>NC_000019.10:60000-10060000 GCF_000001405.40 Homo sapiens
GATCACAGAGGCTGGGCTGCTCCCCACCCTCTGCACACCTCCTGCTTCTAACAGCAGAGCTGCCAGGCCAGGCCCTCAGGCAAGGGCTCTGAAGTCAGGGTCACCTACTTGCCAGGGCCGATCTTGGTGCCATCCAGGGGGCCTCTACAAGGATAATCTGACCTGCAGGGTCGAGGAGTTGACGGTGCTGAGTTCCCTGCACTCTCAGTAGGGACAGGCCCTATGCTGCCACCTGTACATGCTATCTGAAGGACAGCCTCCAGGGCACACAGAGGATGGTATTTACACATGCACACATGGCTACTGATGGGGCAAGCACTTCACAACCCCTCATGATCACGTGCAGCAGACAATGTGGCCTCTGCAGAGGGGGAACGGAGACCGGAGGCTGAGACTGGCAAGGCTGGACCTGAGTGTCGTCACCTAAATTCAGACGGGGAACTGCCCCTGCACATAGTGAACGGCTCACTGAGCAAACCCCGAGTCCCGACCACCGCCTCAGTGTGGTCTAGCTCCTCACCTGCTTCCATCCTCCCTGGTGCGGGGTGGGCCCAGTGATATCAGCTGCCTGCTGTTCCCCAGATGTGCCAAGTGCATTCTTGTGTGCTTGCATCTCATGGAACGCCATTTCCCCAGACATCCCTGTGGCTGGCTCCTGATGCCCGAGGCCCAAGTGTCTGATGCTTTAAGGCACATCACCCCACTCATGCTTTTCCATGTTCTTTGGCCGCAGCAAGGCCGCTCTCACTGCAAAGTTAACTCTGATGCGTGTGTAACACGACATCCTCCTCCCAGTCGCCCCTGTAGCTCCCCTACCTCCAAGAGCCCAGCCCTTGCCCACAGGGCCATACTCCACGTGCAGAGCAGCCTCAGCACTCACCGGGCACGAGCGAGCCTGTGTGGTGCGCAGGGATGAGAAGGCAGAGGCGCGACTGGGGTTCATGAGGAAGGGCAGGAGGAGGGTGTGGGATGGTGGAGGGGTTTGAGAAGGCAGAGGCGCGACTGGGGTTCATGAGGAAAGGGAGGGGGAGGATGTGGGATGGTGGAGGGGCTGCAGACTCTGGGCTAGGGAAAGCTGGGATGTCTCTAAAGGTTGGAATGAATGGCCTAGAATCCGACCCAATAAGCCAAAGCCACTTCCACCAACGTTAGAAGGCCTTGGCCCCCAGAGAGCCAATTTCACAATCCAGAAGTCCCCGTGCCCTAAAGGGTCTGCCCTGATTACTCCTGGCTCCTTGTGTGCAGGGGGCTCAGGCATGGCAGGGCTGGGAGTACCAGCAGGCACTCAAGCGACTTAAGTGTTCCATGACAGACTGGTATGAAGGTGGCCACAATTCAGAAAGAAAAAAGAAGAGCACCATCTCCTTCCAGTGAGGAAGCGGGGCCACCACCCAGCGTGTGCTCCATCTTTTCTGGCTGGGGAGAGGCCTTCATCTGCTGTAAAGGGTCCTCCAGCACAAGCTGTCTTAATTGACCCTAGTTCCCAGGGCAGCCTCGTTCTGCCTTGGGTGCTGACACGACCTTCGGTAGGTGCATAAGCTCTGCATTCGAGGTCCACAGGGGCAGTGGGAGGGAACTGAGACTGGGGAGGGACAAAGGCTGCTCTGTCCTGGTGCTCCCACAAAGGAGAAGGGCTGATCACTCAAAGTTGCGAACACCAAGCTCAACAATGAGCCCTGGAAAATTTCTGGAATGGATTATTAAACAGAGAGTCTGTAAGCACTTAGAAAAGGCCACGGTGAGTCCCAGGGGCCAGCACTGCTCGAAATGTACAGCATTTCTCTTTGTAACAGGATTATTAGCCTGCTGTGCCCGGGGAAAACATGCACCACAGCGCATCTCGAGTCAGCAGGATTTTGACGGCTTCTAACAAAATCTTGTAGACAAGATGGAGCTATGGGGGTTGGAGGAGAGAACATATAGGAAAAATCAGAGCCAAATGAACCACAGCCCCAAAGGGCACAGTTGAACAATGGACTGATTCCAGCCTTGCACGGAGGGATCTGGCAGAGTCCATCCAGTTCATTCAACACCTGGTTAGAAAACTGGGGCCAGCACACAGGGGAAGGGTAAGCTGGTTTCATGATCGAATCAAGGCTCAGACAATTTTTAAAGGCCAGAGGGTAGACTGCAATCACCAAGATGAAATTTACAAGGAACAAATGTGAAGCCCAACATTTAGGTTTTAAAAATCAAGCGTATAAATACAGAAGGTGGAGGGAACTTGCTTTAGACACAGTTCAGGTGAAGAAAGACCTGGAAACTTCTGTTAACTATAAGCTCAGTAGGGGCTAAAAGCATGTTAATCGGCATAAAAAGGCAATGAGATCTTAGGGCACACAGCTCCCCGCCCCTCTTCTGCCCTTCATCCTTCTTTCAATCAGCAGGGACCGTGCACTCTCTTGGAGCCACCACAGAAAACAGAGGTGCATCCAGCACCACAGAAAACAGAGCCACCACAGAAAACAGAGGGTGACTGTCATCCCCTCCAGTCTCTGCACACTCCCAGCTGCAGCAGAGCAGGAGGAGAGAGCACAGCCTGCAATGCTAATTTGCCAGGAGCTCACCTGCCTGCGTCACTGGGCACAGACGCCAGTGAGGCCAGAGGCCGGGCTGTGCTGGGGCCTGAGCCGGGTGGTGGGGAGAGAGTCTCTCCCCTGCCCCTGTCTCTTCCGTGCAGGAGGAGCATGTTTAAGGGGACGGGTTCAAAGCTGGTCACATCCCCACCGAAAAAGCCCATGGACAACGAAAAGCCCACTAGCTTGTCCAGTGCCACAGGAGGGGCAAGTGGAGGAGGAGAGGTGGCGGTGCTCCCCACTCCACTGCCAGTCGTCACTGGCTCTCCCTTCCCTTCATCCTCGTTCCCTATCTGTCACCATTTCCTGTCGTCGTTTCCTCTGAATGTCTCACCCTGCCCTCCCTGCTTGCAAGTCCCCTGTCTGTAGCCTCACCCCTGTCGTATCCTGACTACAATAACAGCTTCTGGGTGTCCCTGGCATCCACTCTCTCTCCCTTCTTGTCCCTTCTGTGACGGATGCCTGAGGAACCTTCCCCAAACTCTTCTGTCCCATCCCTGCCCTGCTCAAAATCCAATCACAGCTCCCTAACACGCCTGAATCAACTTGAAGTCCTGTCTTGAGTAATCCGTGGGCCCTAACTCACTCATCCCAACTCTTCACTCACTGCCCTGCCCCACACCCTGCCAGGGAGCCTCCCGTGGCACCGTGGGGACACAAAGGAACCAGGGCAAAGCTCCCTCAGCCCCATTCAAAGAGGCCTGGCCCACAGGCTCACGGAAAGTTAGCCTCTCATGCCCCGAGAGCTGAGTGCAAGGGAGAGGCAGCGCTGTCTGTGCTTCCCATGCAGAAGCACCCCCCTCCCACCCCTGTGCAGGCCGGCCTTCGCGGCAGACCACCATACACCACGTTCCAAGCCACACTGAGGCCTCCCTCCAAGCCTGCAGCCCCCATTTCCAGACCCTGCCAGGGCAACCTGCATATCCACCTCCCTACCCTGCCCCCCTCTTCCAGGAGTCTGCCCTATGTGGAGTAAGCACGTGGTTTTCCTCTTCAGCAACTATTTCCTTTTTACTCAAGCAATGGCCCCATTTCCCTTGGGGAATCCATCTCTCTCGCAGGCTTAGTCCCAGAGCTTCAGGTGGGGCTGCCCACAGAGCTCCTCAGTCTAAGCCAAGTGGTGTGTCATAGTCCCCTGGCCCCATTAATGGATTCTGGGATAGACATGAGGACCAAGCCAGGTGGGATGAGTGAGTGTGGCTTCTGGAGGAAGTGGGGACACAGGACAGCATTCTTTCCTGCTGGACCTGACCCTGTGTCATGTCACCTTGCTACCACGAGAGCATGGCCTGTCTGGGAATGCAGCCAGACCCAAAGAAGCAAACTGACATGGAAGGAAAGCAAAACCAGGCCCTGAGGACATCATTTTAGCCCTTACTCCGAAGGCTGCTCTACTGATTGGTTAATTTTTGCTTAGCTTGGTCTGGGGAGTTCTGACAGGCGTGCCACCAATTCTTACCGATTTCTCTCCACTCTAGACCCTGAGAAGCCCACGCGGTTCATGCTAGCAATTAACAATCAATCTCGCCCTATGTGTTCCCATTCCAGCCTCTAGGACACAGTGGCAGCCACATAATTGGTATCTCTTAAGGTCCAGCACGAGGTGGAGCACATGGTGGAGAGACAGATGCAGTGACCTGGAACCCAGGAGTGAGGGAGCCAGGACTCAGGCCCAAGGCTCCTGAGAGGCATCTGGCCCTCCCTGCGCTGTGCCAGCAGCTTGGAGAACCCACACTCAATGAACGCAGCACTCCACTACCCAGGAAATGCCTTCCTGCCCTCTCCTCATCCCATCCCTGGGCAGGGGACATGCAACTGTCTACAAGGTGCCAAGTACCAGGACAGGAAAGGAAAGACGCCAAAAATCCAGCGCTGCCCTCAGAGAAGGGCAACCACGCAGTCCCCATCTTGGCAAGGAAACACAATTTCCGAGGGAATGGTTTTGGCCTCCATTCTAAGTGCTGGACATGGGGTGGCCATAATCTGGAGCTGATGGCTCTTAAAGACCTGCATCCTCTTCCCTAGGTGTCCCTCGGGCACATTTAGCACAAAGATAAGCACAAAAGGTGCATCCAGCACTTTGTTACTATTGGTGGCAGGTTTATGAATGGCAACCAAAGGCAGTGTACGGGTCAAGATTATCAACAGGGAAGAGATAGCATTTCCTGAAGGCTTCCTAAGTGCCAGGCACTGTTCCATTCCTTTGCATGTTTTGATTAATTTAATATTTAAAATAATTCTACCAGGAAGCTACCATTATTACCACAACTTCACAAATGAGAACACCGAGGCTTAGAGGGGTTGGGTTGCCCAAGGTTACAGAGGAAGAAAACAGGGGAGCTGGATCTGAGCCAAGGCATCAACTCCAAGGTAACCCCTCAGTCACTTCACTGTGTGTCCCCTGGTTACTGGGACATTCTTGACAAACTCGGGGCAAGCCGGTGAGTCAGTGGGGGAGGACTTTCAGGAAGAGGTGGGTTCCCAGTTGGTGACAGAAGAGGAGGCTGCAAAGTGAAGGAGCAGGGGCTCCAGGTCTGGCGACAACCAGGGAAGGGACAGGGCAGGGATGGCTTGGACCACGAGAGGCACCTGAGTCAGGCAGTCACATACTTCCCACTGGGGTCTACCATGTGAGGCATGGTGTGGGATCCTGGGAAGGAGACCAAGCCTCATTTCAGTTTGCTTATGGCCAAAGACAGGACCTGTGTACCCGACAACCCCTGGGACCTTTACCAAAAAAAGAGCAAACACCATTCACTCACTCATGTTAGATAAACACTGAGTGAAGTCACTGGAGCCCAAGGACTGTGCGAGGTCAGCACTGCCAATACAAGAAGCTGCAGCCCTCCAGCTCGCCTCCCTCAATGGCCACTCCGTGCTCCAGCCATGCTGGCTTCCTTTTAGGTCCTCCACCTCCAGGCTGTAGTTCATGTGCTTCTTTCTGGAATGTTCTTCCCAACCTACCCACTCAACCCTCAGACTTTACCATAAATGTCATTTCCTCACGTCTGCCTTCCCTGACCTGAGACCAAGCCAGGCTTCCCATGACGAGCCTCACAGTACCCCATCTCCCCTGAACAGATGCAGTAATAACCTACATAACCCGGGGCCATGATCTATGGCTTTGAATCCTGGCTCTGTCACTAGGCCAGGTCTCTCAGCCCTTCTGTGCCTCAGTTTCCTCATCTATAAAATGAGATGACGGCAGTGCCTGCTCATGAAGTGTGAGTTAATGCACTCAAATCAATGGTTGTGCACGGTTTATATGAATATTAGTGATTACAAAATATTATCAATAGACCTTGTCACAACTGTTATTGAAGAACTAATCATCTATTGCTTATTTAGGTCTTTCTCTCCTGCCAGAATGTGCGCTCCAGGTGGAGAGGTATGTTGCCTTATCCGTGGCTGGATATATAGAGATTCCCACACTGCCTTGCACACGAGCACTGCTGGGTAAATATTTGTTGGCTGCAGGAAAACGTGAAGGAATAGGCCCTCCAATGGGAGGAAAAGCATGAGTTGTGAGAGCAGAGCCACCACAGGAAACCAGGAGGCTAAGTGGGGTGGAAGGGAGTGAGCTCTTGGACTCCCAGGAGTAAAAGCTTCCAAGTTGGGCTCTCACTTCAGCCCCTCCCACACAGGGAAGCCAGATGGGTTCCCCAGGACCGGGATTCCCCAAGGGGGCTGCTCCCAGAGGGTGTGTTGCTGGGATTGCCCAGGACAGGGATGGCCCTCTCATCAGGTGGGGGTGAGTGGCAGCACCCACCTGCTGAAGATGTCTCCAGAGACCTTCTGCAGGTACTGCAGGGCATCCGCCATCTGCTGGACGGCCTCCTCTCGCCGCAGGTCTGGCTGGATGAAGGGCACGGCATAGGTCTGACCTGCCAGGGAGTGCTGCATCCTCACAGGAGTCATGGTGCCTGTGGGTCGGAGCCGGAGCGTCAGAGCCACCCACGACCACCGGCACGCCCCCACCACAGGGCAGCGTGGTGTTGAGACAACACAGCCCTCATCCCAACTATGCACATAGCTTCAGCCTGCACAGATAGGGGAGTAGGGGACAGAGCATTTGCTGAGAGGCCAGGAGCGCATAGATGGGACTCTGCTGATGCCTGCTGAGTGAATGAGGGAAAGGGCAGGGCCCGGGACTGGGGAATCTGTAGGGTCAATGGAGGAGTTCAGAGAAGGTGCAACATTTCTGACCCCCTACAAGGTGCTTGCTACCTGCCAGGCACCCTTTCCATACCTTGTCTCAGTTCAGCTCCCCACCTTGGATAAACAAGAAACCTTGGTTGCAGAGGAAAAAAGAGGCTGGAAACAAAGGGGTAGAAATGGGGTAGCAGGGGAGATTGCCTGATCAACTGCCAAATGGTACACAGTTCTGGAAAAGCACAAAAAATGTGCACACACGGGTTCTTCCCACTTTAACCCCTGAGGAATCTGAGGCCTGCTCCTGAAACAGACTGGGCAGTGGCTAGTGACTCTAGGTATAGGAGTATCCAGCCCTGCTCACCCAGGCTAGAGCTTAGGGGGACAAGAGGAAAGAGGTGCCTGTGGGGGTGGAGGACAGGAAGGAAAAACACTCCTGGAATTGCAAAGTGAGGGCAGAGTCTATTTATATTGGGTTTAATTAACTCCTCTCCCTGGTGCCACTAAAGCAGCAATCACACTGCAGACAGCACTGATTTGATTGGCAAGAGATGCACCAGGCAGAATATTAAGGGACCAGGCCCCTATAAATAGGCCTAATCACAGCCCCTCACTGGAAAATGGTAAGGAAGACATTAATCAGGCCTGGCACTGTGCCCTAGACCTGCTCCCCTAGGCACTACAGTGGGGCCCTTGGTTGCAACACAAGTAGGTAGGGATGGATGAGTGTGGCATGAAGGGCCTAGGAGATTTCACTTGGGTTTAAAATGCTGTGACCTTGAGTAAGTTGCCGTCTCTGAATCTGATCCTTTCGATTTCCCATTCTCCAAACTGAGAACTAGCACTGCTGAGACGTGGTTATTTCCAATAATAATTTGTATATTTTACATAACGCACCACACCAACATCTTCACCCAGTTGGAGCCTACTCCTTTGCTCCCGCTGCTGGCTTCCCCAGCCCTCCCTTCTGCCCTCCTCAGGCCAGCACTTTTCAGTGAGTTCCTCCTTTGCATACAGGCTTTCCAGATCTGTACTTGCCTTGAATACTCATCAGAGCCCAGGAGTTACTCCTCACCTCCCACTTATTTTTCCTCCCATCAAATAACTAAAGCATGGCCAGCTGATGCCCAGCCAACTGAGAAACCCAACCCTCTGAGACCAGCACACCCCTTTCAAGCATGTTCCTCCCTCCCCTTCTTTGTATTTATACTGATGCAAGTTTGCTGGCTGTCCTAACTTATTTCTGTGCCTCAGTTCTCCCATATGTAAGATCACAAAGGGGGTAAAGATGCAAGATATTTCCTGTGCACATCTTCAGATGAATTTCTTGTTAGTGTGTGTGTGTTTGCTCACACATATGCGTGAAAGAAGAGTACATACACAGATCTCCTCAAAAAGGAGGCAGCAAGCCCGTTCAAGAATGGGACTGAATACACCTGATGAGTGGTTTACTTTCTGTCTGCAAACATCTACTGATCATCTGTTAGGTGCAGGCCATGATCACAACAAAGACGAATAAGACACTACACTAGCCAGGGAGAGTCTCAAAAACAACTAAACTCAAATTAAATTCATTCTACTCCAGTCATGGGTACAAAGCTAAGGAGTGACAAATCCCTCTTGGAGTTAGGGGAGTCAGGAAAAAGCTCTTAGCAGAATGTGTGCCTCTCGGCCGGGCGCAGCGGCTCACGCCTGTAATCCCAGCACTTTGGGAGGCGAAGGCAGGCAGATCACCTGAGGTCGGGAGTTCGAGACCAGTCTGACCAACATGGTGAAACTCCATCTCTACTAAAAATACAAAATTAGCCAGGCGTGGTGGTGCATGCCTGTAATCCCCGCTACTCGGGAGGCTGAGGAAGGAGAATCACTTGAACCGGGAAGGTGGAGGTTGCAGTGTGCCAAGATCGCGCCATGGCACTCCAGCCTAGGCAACGAGGGTGAACCAGGTCCAGGAAGAAGGTGCAAAGACAGCATTCCAGGTAAAAGAAACAGCTTGAACAAAAAGTGTGTAGGGGAACCGCAAGCGGTCTTGAGTGCTGAGGGTACAATCATCCTTGGGGAAGTACTAGAAGAAAGAATGATAAACAGAGGCCAGTTTGTTAAAAACACTCAAAATTAAAGCTAGGAGTTTGGACTTGTGGCAGGAATGAAATCCTTAGACCTGTGCTGTCCAATATGGTAGCCACCAGGCACATGCAGCCACTGAGCACTTGAAATGTGGATAGTCTGAATTGAGATGTGCCATAAGTGTAAAATATGCACCAAATTTCAAAGGCTAGAAAAAAAGAATGTAAAATATCTTATTATTTTATATTGATTACGTGCTAAAATAACCATATTTGGGATATACTGGATTTTAAAAATATATCACTAATTTCATCTGTTTCTTTTTACTTTTAGAAATCACATATGTGACTTAAATATTTCTTTTCTTTTTCTTTCCTCTCACTCAGCGTCCTGTGATTCCAAAGAAATGAGTCTCTGCTGTTTTTGGGCAGCAGATATCCTAGAATGGACTCTGACCTAAGCATCAAAATTAATCATCATAACGTTATCATTTTATGGCCCCTTCTTCCTATATCTGGTAGCTTTTAAATGATGACCATGTAGATAATCTTTATTGTCCCTCTTTCAGCAGACGGTATTTTCTTATGCTACAGTATGACTGCTAATAATACCTACACATGTTAGAACCATTCTGACTCCTCAAGAATCTCATTTAACTCTTATTATCAGTGAATTTATCATCATCCCCTATTTTACATAAGGAAATGGGGTTAGAAAGACCAAATAACATTTTTTCAACATCAAAACACTAGCTTGAGATCAAGCCCAGACTTGGATCTGTCGTCTGAATTCCAAGCTTTTTGTTATTTATTGATATGTTTTGTTGTTTTCATGCAATAATGCAAATCTTAGCCCAAACATTTTGTTAGTAGTACCAACTGTAAGTCACCTTATCTTCATACTTTGTCTTTATGTAAACCTAAATTAGATCTGTTTTTGATACTGAGGGAAAAACAAGGGAATCTAACACTAACCAGCCCGTAGTGTGTGGTCAACACTTTCGTTACTTTAGTATACATCACCCCAATTGTTTGTCTTCACCACACACTTTGGAGTTAGGTAGTAGTATCTATTTTTACAAATAAGAAAACCCAGGCACAAAGGGGTTGATTAGCAATTATCTTTTGAAAAGCCTGTAGTTGCTCATCTGAAGAAGTGACGGACCACCTCTTATTTAGTGGACAGACAGTAACTAGTTGAGAAGACAGGGGATTTTGTTGGCGGAAAAAAAAATTTATCAAAAGTCGTCTTCTATCAGGGAGTTTTATGAGAAACCCTAGCTCCTCAGTTCCACAGTGGGTAACTGTAATTCATTCTAGGTCTGCGATATTTCCTGCCTATCCATTTTGTTAACTCTTCAATGCATTCCACAAATACCTAAGTATTCTTTAATAATGGTGGGTTTTTTTTTTTTTTGCATCTATGAAGTTTTTTCAAATTCTTTTTAAGTGACAAAACTTGTACATGTGTATCGCTCAATATTTCTAGTCGACAGCACTGCTTTCGAGAATGTAAACCGTGCACTCCCAGGAAAATGCAGACACAGCACGCCTCTTTGGGACCGCGGTTTATACTTTCGAAGTGCTCGGAGCCCTTCCTCCAGACCGTTCTCCCACACCCCGCTCCAGGGTCTCTCCCGGAGTTACAAGCCTCGCTGTAGGCCCCGGGAACCCAACGCGGTGTCAGAGAAGTGGGGTCCCCTACGAGGGACCAGGAGCTCCGGGCGGGCAGCAGCTGCGGAAGAGCCGCGCGAGGCTTCCCAGAACCCGGCAGGGGCGGGAAGACGCAGGAGTGGGGAGGCGGAACCGGGACCCCGCAGAGCCCGGGTCCCTGCGCCCCACAAGCCTTGGCTTCCCTGCTAGGGCCGGGCAAGGCCGGGTGCAGGGCGCGGCTCCAGGGAGGAAGCTCCGGGGCGAGCCCAAGACGCCTCCCGGGCGGTCGGGGCCCAGCGGCGGCGTTCGCAGTGGAGCCGGGCACCGGGCAGCGGCCGCGGAACACCAGCTTGGCGCAGGCTTCTCGGTCAGGAACGGTCCCGGGCCTCCCGCCCGCCTCCCTCCAGCCCCTCCGGGTCCCCTACTTCGCCCCGCCAGGCCCCCACGACCCTACTTCCCGCGGCCCCGGACGCCTCCTACCTGCGAGCCGCCCTCCCGGAAGCTCCCGCCGCCGCTTCCGCTCTGCCGGAGCCGCTGGGTCCTAGCCCCGCCGCCCCCAGTCCGCCCGCGCCTCCGGGTCCTAACGCCGCCGCTCGCCCTCCGCTGCGCCCTCCCCGAGCGCGGCTCCAGGACCCCGTCGACCCGGAGCGCTGTCCTGTCGGGCCGAGTCGCGGGCCTGGGCACGGAACTCACGCTCACTCCGAGCTCCCGACGTGCACACGGCTCCCATGCGTTGTCTTCCGAGCGTCAGGCCGCCCCTACCCGTGCTTTCTGCTCTGCAGACCCTCTTCCTAGACCTCCGTCCTTTGTCCCATCGCTGCCTTCCCCTCAAGCTCAGGGCCAAGCTGTCCGCCAACCTCGGCTCCTCCGGGCAGCCCTCGCCCGGGGTGCGCCCCGGGGCAGGACCCCCAGCCCACGCCCAGGGCCCGCCCCTGCCCTCCAGCCCTACGCCTTGACCCGCTTTCCTGCGTCTCTCAGCCTACCTGACCTTGTCTTTACCTCTGTGGGCAGCTCCCTTGTGATCTGCTTAGTTCCCACCCCCCTTTAAGAATTCAATAGAGAAGCCAGACGCAAAACTACAGATATCGTATGAGTCCAGTTTTGTGAAGTGCCTAGAATAGTCAAAATTCACAGAGACAGAAGCAGTGGTCGCCAGGAATGGGGAAGCAAGGCGGAGTTGGGCAGCTCGTGTTCAATGGGTAGAGTTTCAGGCTGGGGTGATGGAAGGGTGCTGGAAATGAGTGGTAGTGATGGCGGCACAACAGTGTGAATCTACTTAATCCCACTGAACTGTATGCTGAAAAATGGTTTAGACGGTGAATTTTAGGTTATGTATGTTTTACCACAATTTTTAAAAAGCTAGTGAAAAGCTGGTAAAAAGAAAGAAAAGAGGCTTTTTTAAAAAGTTAAATATATAAAAAGAGCATCATCAGTCCAAAGTCCAGCAGTTGTCCCTCCTGGAATCCGTTGGCTTGCCTCCGGCATTTTTGGCCCTTGCCTTTTAGGGTTGCCAGATTAAAAGACAGGATGCCCAGCTAGTTTGAATTTTAGATAAACAACGAATAATTTCGTAGCATAAATATGTCCCAAGCTTAGTTTGGGACATACTTATGCTAAAAAACATTATTGGTTGTTTATCTGAGATTCAGAATTAAGCATTTTATATTTTATTTGCTGCCTCTGGCCACCCTACTCTCTTCCTAACACTCTCTCCCTCTCCCAGTTTTGTCCGCCTTCCCTGCCTCCTCTTCTGGGGGAGTTAGATCGAGTTGTAACAAGAACATGCCACTGTCTCGCTGGCTGCAGCGTGTGGTCCCCTTACCAGAGGTAAAGAAGAGATGGATCTCCACTCATGTTGTAGACAGAATGTTTATGTCCTCTCCAAATGCTTATGTTGAAACCCTAACCCCTAATGTGATGGTATGTGGAGATGGGCCTTTGGTAGGTAATTACGGTTAGATGAGGTCATGGGGTGGGGCCCTCATTATAGATCTGGTAAGAAAAGAGAGCATTGTCTCTGTGTCTCCCTCTCTCTCTCTCTCTCTCTCTCTCTCATTTCTCTCTATCTCATTTCTCTCTCTCTCTCTATCTCATTTTTCTCTCTCTCTCTTTCTCTCCTCTGTCTTTTCCCACCAAGTGAGGATGCGAAGAGAAGGTGGCTGTCTGCAAACCAGGAAGAGAGCCCTCACCGGGAACCCGTCCAGCTGCCACCTTGAACTTGGACTTCCAAGCCTCCAGAACTGTGAGGGATAAATGTATGATTTTAAAGTCGCCCAGTGTGTGGTATTTTGTTTTGACTAATACAACCTGAAAACATTTTTCCCTCACTCCACCTGAGCAATATCTGAGTGGCTTAAGGTACTCAGGACACAACAAAGGAGAAATGTCCCATGCACAAGGTGCACCCATGCCTGGGTAAAGCAGCCTGGCACAGAGGGAAGCACACAGGCTCAGGGCTCTGCTATTCATTCTTTGTGTGACCCTGGGCAAGCCATGAATGGAGCTTCAGTCACCCCATTTGTAATGGGATTTAATTGTGCTTGCCCTGCCTCCTTTTGAGGGCTGTAGAGAAAAGATGTCAAAGTATTTTGTAATCTGGCTGGGCGTGGTGGCTCATGCCTGTAATCCTAGCACTTTGGTAGGCTGACGCGAGAGGACTGCTTGAGCCCAAGAGTTTGAGATCAGCCTGGGCAATATTGTGAGATTCCATCTCTACAAAAATAAAATAAAATAGCCAGTCATGGTGTCACACACCTGTAGTCCCAGCTACATGGGAGGCTGAGGCGGGAGGATCACTTGAGCTTGGGAGATCGAGGCTGCAGTGAGCTATGATTGTACCACTGCACTCCAGGCTGGGCGACAGAGAGAGACCCTGTCTCAGAAAAAAAAAAAAAAGTACTTTGTAATCTGTAAGGTTTATTTCAACACACACAAAAAAAGTGTATATGCTCCACGATGCCTGTGAATATACACACACACCACATCATATACCAAGCCTGGCTGTGTCTTCTCACAAATGCACTGCTAGGCACCACCCCCAGTTCTAGAATCACACCAGCCAGTTCACCCTCCAGATGGTTCACCCTCAACTTCATAAAAGTTCCCTACCTAATCTACTGACAGGCTCATCCCCGACCTAATTTTAAAGATTTCCTAGGAGCTGCAGTGGGAATCCTGGACCTCAGCCTGGACAAAGAACAGCTGCAGGTCATTCTCATGTGTGGACACAGAAGCTCTGCCTGCCTTTGCTGGCCAGCTGGGCTGAGCGGGCCTGGGAATTAAGGCTGCAGGGTTGGTCCCAGGCAGTCTTGCTGAAGCTTGCCACATCCCCCAGCCTCCTGGATTTGCCAGGATCCAAGAGCATGGACTTTAGGAATTCCTGGTGGAGGAGTGAAGAAAATGTGACAGGGTGTCCTAAGCCCCGATCTACAGGAAGAAAACTGGAAATAAGACTGAGGACTTAGTTTAAGATGTTCCTACTCAGCCTCTAGCTTTTGTGCTACAGTTCTGGGAACAGACTCCTCTCTCCTGAAAACCACTTCCCTCCGCAGCATTAGATTTCACCAAGATGTCTTGCTTGTGGGAAAGACTTCCAAGGATGCCTGGAGAGAGGAGGATGGAAATGTCCTGCTCTCTAAACAGATAGACAGATGCAGCCAGACAGAAAATAGTTTATCTTGCTGAGGTTTCTAATGTATTTGAAAGAGGCCTGGGTCTAGAAGTCTACCCAGAGGGCTCTGTGTTGTGCACGCAAAGATAAGAACCTTCCCTGTGGGAGTTCCAGAGCCAGTTTTCATAAACACCCATCGGTGACTGTGTTCAGAGTGAGTTCACACCATCCTGACCTGCCCTGAGTTAGACCTTACATGGTCTTCCTCCTCTAGGAAGCCTCTGCAGCCCAGGAACCTCCCCTTATCGGAAATGAACAGCATTTGAAGCTTCACCAGACAGACCAGACAGCTTAGCCCTCGTGTTGTGCCATGTGGGTTGTTCTCTGAGAGGCAGGAGAGCATAGTGGTTACTAGGAAGGGAAGGACTTTGGGACTAGACTGCCTCGGCTGGAGTCCTCTTTCTGCTTCATAGCCACGTGATCCTAGGCATGTTACCTGTGCCTCAGTTTTCACTCTGTCAATATGTAATAACTGAATCTGTCTTTGTGGTGAGGATTCAGTGAGTTAACATATTTGAAGTGCTTAAAAATGAGGCTTGTGTCCATAGATTAATGAGTGAATACACAAATGGTGATATGGACATACAGTGGAGTATTAGTCATAAAAAGGAAGGCAGAGCTGATCCATGGCACCATGTGACAGAACCTCAAAAGCATTAGGTTAAGTGGAAGAAGCCAGACACAGGTCACCTATTGTGTAATTCCATTTATAGGAAATATACAGAATATGTAAATCCGTGGAGAAAGAAAGCCGATTTCCAGGGGCTAAGGGGAGGGGAGAATGGGAAGTGGCTGCTTCATGGGTACAAGGTTTCATTTTGAGCTGATGAAAATGTTTTGGAACTACATAGAGATAGTGTTGGCACAACATGGTGAATGTACTGAATGCCACTGATTGTTCACTTTAAAATGGTCAAACTTATATGAATTTCACCTCCATTAAAAAAAAAAAAAAAGGACCAGATGTGGTTGCTCACACCCATAATCCCAACACTTTGGAAAAAGGTGAAAGTTTTTTTTTCTTTTTTTTTTTATATACTTAAGTTCTAGGGTACATGTGCATAATGTGCAGGTTGGATACATAGATATGCGTGTGCCATGTTGGTTTGCTGCACCCATCAACTTGTCATTTACATTAGGTATTTCTTCTAATGCTATCCCTCCCCCAGCCCCCCACCCACTGACAGGCCCCAGTGTATGATGTTCTCTGCCCCATGTCCAAGCGTTCTCATTGTTCAATTCCCACCTGTGAGTGAGAACATGCAGTGTTTGGTTTTCTGTCTTTGTGATAGTTTGCTCAGAATGATGGTTTCCAGCTTCATCCATGTCCCTGCAAAGGACATGAACTCATCCTTTTTAATGGCTGCATAGTATCCCATGGTATATATGTGCCACATTCTCTTAATCCAGTCTGTCATTGATGGACATTTGGGTTGGTTCAAAGTCTTTGCTATTGTGAATACTGCCACAATAAACATACATGTGCATGTGTCTTTATAGTAGCACGATTTATAATCCTTTGGGTATATACCCTAAGACCTGGGACGCATTTAAAGCAGTGTGTAAAGAGACATTTATAGCACTAAATGCCCACAAGAGACCTCTGCCTGAGAACGTGGGTTTCAGCCTAAGAGTTGTAATATGTGTGCCCATTCACAGGTGCTGCATCAGAGTCCCAGGTGGGAAGAAGGCAAGCATACACAAAAATGGTAAAAGGCAGAAAGGAGCCCAGTCTCGTTCTTTTTAAGAAGTTTTCCTAAGAATCTCCACCCAGCGACTTGCTCTCACATCTTCTTGGCCAGCACTGGACCACACAACTCCTTCTAGATACAGAGGAGTCCTAGGATTCTATGAGAAAGAAGGGGAGGGTGGGCAAAGGGCAGCCAGCTGTGCAGCATCTGCTGGAGACACCTAACCCTTGGTGGAGGGGTTGTGGTGCTGGGAGAAGGCTTTCTGGACGGTGTGACAGCAGAGATAAACTTAAAGGCCAAGTAGGAGTTACCCTGGTGAAGCAGGGCAGGGTTACAAGCATTCCAGCAACATGAAGCAGCAGGAGTGTTTTAATTAAAAGAAGGCAGTTGCTGTAACCAACTATAAACAAATAAAGGCTTAAACACAATGGAAGTTTATTTCTCACTAAGGGAACATCCAAATCCATGATACTTTAAGTCAGGGACCCAGGTTCCTCCCATCTATGGTTCTGCCATCACTAATCTGGGTCTTCCACAATTGCCGTGCTCCTTGGAGGTGGGAAGAGCAGGCGGAGGACACGTGGGAGGTTTTAGGGACAAGCCTGGAGGCAGCATGCGTCACTCCCATGCAGAGTCCATTGGCCAATGCTGGCTCCGATGGCCACATCTCACTGCAGGGGCAGCTGGGAAATACAGTCTGGCTGTCTACCCAGGAGGAAGAGCAGCCAGTTTCTGCTGCTGATGATCAGGAGGTGGAGAAAATGTTCAGTCAGGCAGGGAGTGGGAATAGACAAGACCACAAGCAGCTTGGTGCCTCTGAAAGGGAGAGGGGTGGAGGGGAGACTAGAGAGGTGGGTAGGAATACTGGATTCCACTGACCACGTGCTGGATGTCACGCTTAGCCCTCCTGCTCTGTGCCGGGTTAGGCACCTGGTGTTTTACGTACATAATCTCAATTCTGTGAGGGCATCCGACCTGTGGGAAAAGAGCTGTTTGTTTCAAATGCCAGTCCTGCTTCCTAACAAGTGTTTAGAGCTTAATCGTGTTCAAAATACATATACAATGTTTAATACTTACAAGAATTTGGTGGGGAAAATATTACCATCTTTCCCTTTTGTGATTGGAGAAAAATGAGGCTTTGAAGGGTTTAAGAACTTGCCCAAGGTCGGCCAGGTGCAGTGGCTCATGTCTATAATCCCAACACTTTGGGAGGCTGAGGTGGGAGGATCGCTTGAGGCCAGGAGTTCAAGACCAGCCTGAGCAACATAGTGAGACTTTGTCTCTATAAAAAATAAATAAATAAATAAAAACAACTTGTCCAAGGTCAGACAGGCAGCCTCTTAGTAAGCACACATATCCTCTATATTATACTACCTCTCATGGAGGATCTCCTGTGTTCTACAAATAGTCTGGACTTGAGCCAGAATGTGTTATAATCCTGGGATCACGGCCAGTGGGCTTAGAAGAAGCCATCTCTTTCTCATGCCAAGATGAGGCTCCCCCAGATTTGCTCAGACTTACCTATAGTCAGCAGCATCGGGGGTCAGGAAAGACTTCACGAAGCCATAAATGCATCCTTCTCGGGGCAGCACCTGGCTCTCCCAGGTGAGAGAGGACTCCATTTTCACAGGCAGGCGTGGGAGCTTCAGCACCCATCTCTGGGCCCAGAATGACCCACTGGAGACCTTACAGCTCTCCTGTCACCCCCAATTCCTGCCCCCTCTGCAGCCTTGGAGGAGAATGGAGCTGAAGGGCCTGCCCTCTGTAGGGTGAGAAAGGGAGGCTAAAGCCTGGTGCCCACTGCCCTGGCTGCTCCGCATTGCAGGAGCTGCGCCCTTCCTTTCCTGGCACAGGGTCCACAGCCCCGAAACCCCGTTGTGTGGGAGCTGGGCACAGGGCAGCAGGACTAATCCTTGGAACAGCTCAGGGAGGATTATCCCAGCCACTGTCAGCAGCGGTGCAGCTGGCTCATTCCCATATAGGGGGAGGCCAGAGCCAGGGGCCTGCCACAAGTTGGAAGGCTGGGGAAGGGGAGGCCAGCAGAGGTGTCCTGGCTGTGGGTGGCTCTGAGGGGGCTCTCAGGGGTGGGGCTAAATCTCAGGGGCAGGATTATGTAAATCAAACCAATTCTAGCCACAGATTTAAAGTTTGGAAAAAAAAAAAAACCCAGCCTGGCGGAAAGAATTTAAATTATAAAAACTTAGAAGTATGGAATGTGAAATCATCCTGTAGGTGCTTATTTAACAACGAAATCATCCCGACACAATGAGCCATATGTGAAAAGTCATCCTTCCCCAACACATCCCCCAACAGGCACTCCTCAAGCCTCTCCCACCCAAGTGCTGGCATCCTCCCTGTCCTGCTTCACCTGAGACACCCCTTGTCTCATTAGACATGCAACTACGGGAGGGGTGACAGGAAGACAAGACACTATTTCCTCAGGCCCAGTTTGGTGTGGGGAGAAAGCCTCCTGATCCTGAAAGCAAGAATTTGACCAGAGCAGAAGTAATCAGTATGCAGATTGATTCTGTGGTATGTTAATGTTTATGCATAGATTATGAGGACCAGGTGAAAAGTGGGCCAGGGGAGCCAGATGTGTGTGTGAGTCATGGGTGGCTGAGATGAGGACAGGAGGGAAACTGGTTTGGAGGGTGCTGGCGATGGGGTGGGGGTGCCAGGAGGAAGGGAGGCTAGTTGTTTGAATGTCTGCATGAAAAAGCGGACGACAGCGGGGTCTGGGTGAATTCGGGCAACCATTTGGACCGTGGAGAAAACTGCCTGCGTGCGGCTGAGGACCTGCACTATTAATTTGTTTTTTAGCTAAGGCAAAGATAAATATAAAAACTGATACTCCACCCAGTTACCAGAAAACATTTAGGTATGTGTGAGACAACTTGGGTATGTGAACCTACCTTTTCAATGTAAATTCAGTGAAATCTAAGTGCAGATCCCATATTTCCAATAAAAAGGTAACATCCAAACTCAGATGTCCTATGAGTATAAAATACACAAAGATCTTCTGGACTTAGTATGAAAAGGGATTTTTTTTTTGTCAGGTACCTCACTAGTTATTTTTAAAATAGGATTGCATGTTGAAATGATAATCTTTTGGATATATTGGGTTAAATAAATTTATTATTAAAGTTAATTTCACTTAAAAATGTTTAATGTAGCTACTAGAAATTTTAAAATTAAGCATGTTGCTCACCTTATGTTTCTATTGGACGGCTCTCTCTAGATACAAAGGCTGCCAAGAGGGACCTCACTCTAGCTTCAGGGAGAAGAGAGGAATTAGCAAGGCCAAGCAGAGGCTCCTGAGGGCAGGGCCAAGGGCGGCTTGGTGGGGTGGGGATGGGATGCACAGAGATAACTCCAACCCTTAAGAAGGTGTTTCCTAGAGCAGGCTGTGACCTGTCAGTTTATATACTGAGGCTTAGGAGCCTCTTGGATGCCCCCAGATCTGCACCCCTGAATTGCCCTGTGCCCCTGCCGTCTTTGTTCCTGTGCTGGCATAGTGGTCTCACCTCCGGCAGTATCACCACCACTGGGCACAAGCTTCTCCAGCACAGCAACTGTGTCTTATTTCTCCTTGTACTCCCAGTGTTCACACCATGCTGCACTCACAGAAGACTCTTCGTTGATATTTTGTGGACAGAGAGAATGCCTGTGAGAGTGGGCTGAAGTGTGCGTTGGGCTCCAGAGACCTTAAGGAGGGGAGACCAGGTCCTGAGTAAAGTTGAAGGGGAGGGGCTGAGTCCTGCTAGCCAGGAGTCTCATCCCCTGGGGAAGTTCCAGGGACCCCTCAGAAGTGCAAGGGGACGGTGTTAGTGTTAGTCCAGTAACACAGCCCAGAGCCTGCCTTCCACGTGGGTTTGACAGGAGCCTCCTAACTGCTCTTCTGCTTCCATTTTTGCCCCTTCAGTCTATTCTCAACAGGGAAGCCAGAGGCATCCTTAACCATGTCAGATCATGTGGCTCCTCAGCTCAAAGCCTCATCTCAGAGGAAAGCTCTGGTCCCTTAGAAATGGCCCAGGTGGTGACAGACAGACTCTAAGGTGAGCAGACTGTTGCTAGATATCTGGGCTCGGAGGACTCGCCACTGCTCAAAGGCAGTGAGGATTTTCGCACTAGAAGCTGGAGGACAGGGATCCTTGTTAGGTAGGAGCAGAAAGCTTAGAAAAGTGGTCTCCTGCAGTTACGTGGCAAACACATCATGTAAGTGATAAATTGGGTATGCAGTTGAGGAGATTTCCAAGTAAAATGTTGAGGATGCTGCCTGGTTTCTTCTTACTGCTTATAATATAGTGTGAGAGAAGAGAGATAAATTGAGAAAGAGACTGGTTTTTAAACTGTTAAAATTGAATCAGGACTTGATGATTTTGAAAATTGTCAGTCTCCCCACATGGAAAAAGATGCTGAAATTAACAAATGGCTTCTGAGCATGTGGCATAGGGTGTAACTGTACAGTCTTTTGTGATTATGCATAAAGATCAAAGGATGGGAGTAGCAATGAGTCACACAGAGGTCTGTTGCAAGAGATTACAAGGGTGTACCATGCAGAACCTCTCCACCAAACCTTAGGGCCCTTGGGAAGCTTCAGTGAGTTACCCTGGGGGCCATCTTGGCAGGAGCTGAAGGTAGAAAGGTAGAGTTTATCTCTAAAAGATTCATGGGTATGGCTCTTGACAAATCGACTATGAGCCCCACTGAAACCCACAGAGGACAGGCAAAGGGTTTGGGAAAGCTGTTTCACCCACAGTGCTGGCAGATTGGTCTGTAGGGGACAGAGTGCAAAATGAAAGAAGACTGTCAGAGACCCCAAACTCTGCTGTCAAGAAGAAGGCTGATAAAACTACTTGGCTGCAAACACGTGGATCTTTCGTGAGAAAAGAAGGATGACCCAGAGGCAGAAGCCCAGAAGGCAGAGCCAAGAGACATGGAATCTTCCCACATCTTAAAACCTGTTTAGGGAACACCAGCGTCTGTCCAGCTGGATTTCAGAACCACCATTCCTTCATCCCTCCCCTGCTGCCTCTTTCTGAACAGCAATGTCTCAAGCTTTACCCACCATTGTGTGTTGCATATGTAGGGGGCAGATAGCTTGTATCTTTAGTTTTCCAGATCAGAGGAACATCCAAAGAAATCTGTTCTACACCTAAACCCGATTTAGATGAGATTCGGGACTGTGAGCATGAAGGGATCTCAAGAGGGGTGAATGTGTTTTGCATGCACAAGGGACAGGAGTCTTGGGGACAGAGGACAGGCTGTGGTGGCAGATACTAAGGTGACCCCCACAACCCCCACCTCTGCCATTCACACCCTTGAATAATCCCCTTCTCTGGTTGTAAGCAGAACCTGTGGCTTGCTTATGAAGGAGGCGGTATATATGTGATTCATGTACTGATCATATTGTATAAGATCACTGGCTGGATGCAGTGGCTCGTGCCTGTAATCCCAACACTTTGGGAGGCTGAGGCGGGTGGATCACCTGAGGTCAGGAGTTCGAGACCAGGCTGGCCAACATGGCAAAACCCCGCCTCTACTAAAAATACAAAAATTAGCCAGGCATAGTGGTGCACGCCTGTAATCACAGCTACTCAAGAGGCTGAAGCAGGAGAATTGCTTGAACTCAGGAGGTGGAGGTGGCAGTGAGCCAAGATCGTGCCACTGCACTCCAGCCTCAGTGACAGAGCGAGACTCTGTCTCAAAAAATAAATAAATAAAATGTTAAGATCATAACCTGTCTTTCTGGGGACTCTCTCTTGACGCCTTTGAAGAAGCAGGCTGCCATGTTGCAAGCTGCCTCATGGAGGGGATCAGCTGCGAGGAGCTAAGAGCCCCCTCCAGTCGATGCTCACCAGGAAGCTGAGGTCTTGTGTCCAGCACCCTGCATGGAACTGAATGCTGCCATGTGAGCTTGGAAGCAGAGCCATCCACACAGCTGAGCCCTAGATGAGAACCCAGTGCTGGCTGACACCCTGATGGCACCTTACAGAGGACCAGTTAGGCTGTGCCAACTCCTGACCTGCAGAAGCTGGGGAACATTGGGTCGTATTTGCAGCTGCTGGATTTGTGGGAATTTGTCACACAGCAATTGGGAGTCACACAGCCTGTGACGCCCCAACAATCCACACCTCCTGCATCTCCCTGCCTTCACTTCCTAGCACACTGCCCTGACTCCCTCTGCCGCAGCCACGCTGGCCCTCTGCTGTTCTTCGAAGCCACCAGGGCTGCATTGGCTCCCAGCCTTTGCTCTCACTGCTTTCTCCTCCTAGAGAGCCCTTCCTGCATGTATATGTTTGACTCACTCCCTTGCCTCCTTCAGACTTGTACTTAAAAATCTCAGTAAGCATTTCCCTGGCTACCCTTTTAAAAATTGCAACCCACTTCCATCCCCATCCCCAACATGCCATATTTCCTTTCTTCTTCTTCCTTCTTCCTTTTTTTTTTTTTTTTTTTTTGACACAGGTTCTCTGTCACCCAGCCTGGAGTGCAGTGACATGATCTCGGCTCACTGCAACCTCTGCCTCCCCAGGCAAGAAAAGGGGAGGATGCCAATAAAGGATGCATTGATTTGTATTTACTACAGTGGACATCAAGGGCACATTCTTGCTGTGGCCATCAAGAGACTGTATAAATTCTATGACTTGTAGTTGTCCCACTTAAGAAACAAAGAAGCTGTGCATTTCTTTACTGGTCTAGAGCTGCTCTAGGGCATTTTCTCTACAGCAATTCTAGGTTTCCCCACCTTGTGAGTTTAGCTTTTTCTATATTCAAAGAAAAGTCCTCAGCCAGAGATTCTCAGGAGCTTATAGAACAATCCAAACTCTTGGGAATATTAAGTGGAGAGGGGTACGTGCAAGACACCAACAGCACTAGAAACAGTCCACATCTTTCCATGCGTGGAGGAGTTTATGCTCTATGTGAGTTCACTCCATCATTAATTCTTCAAACACAAGAGTGTTAAAGGAACAAGAGTTAATGGGTCCTGTCATTACACTTGTTCCCAGGATGACATTCTTCATCTTCCTCTTCTACAACCTGTTCTATATTCCCCTCATGTTTATCCAGTGCTTCTGCTAGTCTAGTTCACTTCCAAAGACCCATGATTACCATGGCCCTGTCAGGCTGTAATTGCTGCAATTTCCAATTTACAATTGTCATCATCTATGGTTGATAAAGGTATAGCAATATTTCTATTTCCTCATGATAATGAAGGTCAATTACAACTGCCAGTATAATAACTTATTTCTTTGTCTGCCAACCTACATACACAAGGAAGCCAAAATGACAGGGAGCTACTAAAACTTTATTCTTATTGGAATGCTTACTATGTACCCAGAAGAAGCATTCTCCCTACTCCAGCAGAGCTTAATGCTGTAGGTCCAGGAAGCTCAAATTCTCCAAGGGAGTTTTAGTGAGAGGAGCCACTCTCACCCTCTGCCCTTGGTTTACAAACCTGTATATTCTAGGACCCAATATCTTACAATGTCCATTGGTTCAAAGTATAACATGTTAAAGCACAGAGCCCCAACTCTGAAAAGTACCATCCCTAAATTGGCATTTAGTTGCACCTTTATATCCACCTTTAAAAGAAATATCTTTTAATGTTCTATCAGACTGATAGATTCTGTTTAATATAGTATATTATAGCACCAGTGGATCATTTGGTTGTATGCATATTATTGTACCTTCTCTGCTACAAAATATATTCCTTTGTCCTAAGGTGTGTTACAAAGAACATTAGGCATTCTATGCATCTTTGGATAGTTTAATGGCCAAGGCATTGATGGCAGGAGAGTCAAAGCCACAGGTGGAAAACACATTTATCCCAGTAAGAACAAATTGCTATTCTTCCACTGTAGAGAGGGTAAACAATGTGCCATTACGTTGCCAATTGAATGCCTCAATCATGTCAAGGGCTGAACATCTATGACTGTTTCTGAAAGGTCAAACATTCAACAGAGGCTGTAGCTAGAACTGCCTTAATGATAAGAGATCATGCTGAATTACCCATGCAAAACCTTAATACTTGACACTTATCACTACTTTATTCAAGAGCCTATTGTGCAAGCATAAGTGGCTGAGTCAGGTTCTCAACTCTGCTCATTAATACTATGCTTGGAGTATACAGTAAGATAAGAAACATAAATAAGAAGTGTACATTTGTTTCTTCCTGTTTTCTTCTGGCTATTGGATCAATTACATCCCATCTTAAGCTGACCCCTGTGTAATTAATCAATATCCGTTTTAAGCAGCAATCCATAGTTGTGCAGAAATTAGAAAACTGACCCACACAGAAAAACTAATTGTGAGAACCAATATTATACTAAATTCATTTGACAATTCTCAGCAAAGTGCTGGGTTGATCTCTATTTACGCTTTTCTTAAACACACAAAATACAAAAGTTAACCCATATGGAATGCAATGGAGGAAATCAATGACATATCAGATCTAGAAACTAATCAATTAGCAATCAGGAAGGAGTTGTGGTAGGAAGTCTGTGCTGTTGAATGTACACTAATCAATGATTCCTTAAATTATTCACAATAAAAAAAAAGATTAGAATAGTTTTTTTAAAAAAAAAGCCCAGAAACTAATCTAAGTTTTGTCTGGTAATAAAGGTATATTTTCAAAAGAGAGGTAAATAGATCCACATACTGTGGAGGGAATAAAATACTTTTTGAAAAACAAACAACAAGTTGGATTTTTAGACACATAGAAATTGAATATGTACATTTATAAATATTTTTGGATTGAACTATTTCAAAATTATACCATAAAATAACTTGTAAAAATGTAGGCAAAATGTATATAATTATGGCATGAGGTATGCAACTTTAGGCAAGGAAGCAAAAGCAGAAACCATGAAAAAAGTCTAAATTTTACCATATTGAATTTAAATTTTCAAAAACAAAAATAAAGACAAAGTGGGAAAAATATGTATGCTTCATGTGTGACAAGCCACTGATACCTATTAAATATGAAGAATATTATAAATCATATCAATAACCACAACATTCAAGCTGTCAGTTTGAATAGACAATGTAAATGACAAAACTACATACTCAACAAGATAACAGCAAACCAGCTTCGACAGCACGTTAAAGGGGTCATACAACATAATCGAGTAGAATTTATCTCTGAGATGCAAGAATGGTTCAAAATATGGAAACCAATAAATGTGATATGCCACACTAACAGAATAAAAAATAAAAATCATATTATCATCTCAATAGATGCAGAAAAAGCATTAACAAAAGTAAACATTCTTTCATAATAAGACATCAGATAAAACAAATTAGGAATAGAAGGAATGTACCGCAACACAATAAAGGCCATATATAACAAGCCCACAGCTAACATCATAATAGTAAAATCATCACACTGGTAAAAAAAATGAAAGCTTTTCCTCTAAGGTCAGAAATAATATAAAGGTTCCCACTCTTGCTATTTCTATTCCATATCGTACTAAAAGTCCTAGCCAGGACAATTAGACAAAATAAAAATAAAAACACCCAAATTGGAAAGATAGAAGCAAACTTTTCTGTTTACAGATAACATAATCTTATATGTAGAAACCCCTTAAAACTTCAGCAAAAAAAAAAAAAAAACTACAGAGCTAGTAAATTCAGTGAAGTTGCAGAATACAAAATCAACATACAAAAATCAGTAGTGTCTCTATACACTAATAAGGACTTAACAGAGAAAGAAGTTAAGAAAACAATACCACTAACAATAGAATCCAAAAAATAAAATACTTAGGAATAAATTTTACCAAACATCTGTACACTAAAAACTATAAAACATTGAAAAAAGAAGTTGAATAAGACACATATAAATAGAAAGCTATCTCATGTTAATAGATTAGAAAAAGTAATATTGTTAAGATGTCCTCACTACTTAAAGCAATTTATAGATCTAATGCATTTATTGCAATCTCTTCAAAATCCCAAAGGTATTTTTGACAGAAATAAAAAAAAAATTCTAAAATATGCATGAAACCACAAAAGACTGTGAATAGCTAAAGCAATCTTGAGCAAGATGAACAACACTGGAAGCATCACACTACCTTATTTCAAAATCTACTACAAAGCTATAGTGATCAAAGCAACATGATACTGTCATAAAAACACACAGATAAACCTATGGAATGGAATAAAGAGCACAGAAATAAGTCCACACATTTACATTCAATTGATTTTCAACAACAATGTCAAGAAGACAATGGGGAAAAGACAATCTCTTCAATAAATGATGCTGGAAAAACTATATATCCACATGCAGAAGAATGCAGTTGAATCCTGATTTCATACCATATGCAAAATTCAACTGGAAATGGATTAAATACAAATTTAAAACATGAAATGGTATAACTATTAGAACAAAACATAGAAAATATTCTTCCTGACATTGGTTTGGGCCATCATTTTTCTGATATGACTCTAAAAGCACAGGCAAAAAAAGAAAAAATAGACAAATGAGACTATGCCAAATTAAAAAATTTCTAACAACAAAAGAAACGATCAATAGAGTGAAAAAGATAACCTCTTGAATGGGAGAAATATTTGCAAACTACTCATCCAACCGGGGATTGATATCCAGAATATACAAGTAACACAAATATGTCAAAAGTAAAATAAATAAATAAATAAATAAATAAATAAATTAAATAAATTATTTAAAAATCGGCAGAGGACAGGAATAGACATTTCTCAGGAGACAACATACAAAGGGCCACAGATACATCAAAAAATGCTCAACATCACTATTTGTCAGGGAAGTACTAATTAAAACCAAAATGAGATGTCCCCTCAAACCTGTTAGAATGGCTATTATCAAAAAGATGAAAGATAGCAACTATCAGAGAGGATGATAGAAAAGGGAACCCTTGCATCATGTACAAATTAAAAATAGAACTATCACATGATCCAAGAATCCTACTTCTGGGTATATAGCCAAAGGAATTGAAATCAATATGTCAAAGGGATATCTGCACTCCTATGTTATTGCAGCATGTTCACAATGGCCAAGATATAGAATCAACCTAACTGTTCATAGACAGATGAATGGATAAATGAAATGTGATATGGAAAATTATTCAGCCTTAAAAACAGTAGGAAATTCTGTCATTTGAGACAACGTGGATGAACCTAGAGGACATTAAGCTAAGTGAAATAAGCTAGACACAGAAAGACAAATATTGCATGATCTCACTTAGAATCTAAAAAATCTGAACTCATAGAAGCAGAGAATAGTATGATGGTTACTAGGGTTATCTGGCAGGGAGAGGATGAGGAAATGGGACATTGTTAATAAAAGGAAAAAAATTCAATTAGTAGGATTACATTCAGGGGACCCAATATACGACATGTTGACTGTAATTAATAATGTATTGTATGCTTGAAAATTGCTAATACAGTATATTGTAAATGTTAATATGAGGTAATATATGTGTTAATTAACTTGATTTATTCATTCAACAACATACACATATATTAAAACATCACACTGTATTCCACAAATATATATAATTTTTGTCAATTAAAAAATAATTTTTAAAAATGAGAAACAAAAAAGCTGACATTTTCAGATTAAAAAAATTATACAGAAGAATTAATTCATTAAAGTAAAAACAAATGTGGGAAAATGGTTTTTAAATATAATTTAAACCAAATTTAAAATAAGCATATAAAGACTATGGACAAAACAAGAAATCCAAATAAAAAATAAACATATGAAGAATATTCAAACTCACTTTTTATCAAAGAAATGTAAATTTTAAAATATAGCATTGCTATTGTGTTTTCATAAATAATAATATATCATGGATGAGCCTGTGAGGAAACAGACACTCATACTCTGCAAAGCAATGACTAAGATAATTATGTCAGATCATGAATTACGTTAATTAGCTTGATGGTGGTCACTGTTTCACGATAAATATACATATGTATCAAAACATCACATTACACACCATAAAGATATATAACTTGTTATCAAAAAGAAATATAGCAGTTAAAATTTAAAATTTTTAAAAAACGTCTTTTTGAGGTTCGTACCTCACTTAAGTCACACTGTTCAAAATATTCATGCACTCATTTCTCTCATTCATGTGTTAATGTACAGGGTACGGGCCACTATAAATTCCTTCAGCAACTGGAAAGGAAACTTTATGTACTGAGTGCTCAGAGTTGTATTAACTTTTTTTTTTTTTTGAGCAGCAGCAAGATTTATTGTGAAGAGTGAAAGAACAAAGCTTCCACAGTGTGGAAGGGGACCCGAGCGGTTTGCCCAGTTGTATTAACTTCTAATTCAACACTTTAAGATTCTTAGCATTATTGCAGACAACATCAGCTTCACAAGTGTGTGTCCTGTGCAGTTGAACAAGATCCCACACTTAAAAGGATCCTACACTTTTTTTAATGCTCTGCTGTTTCTGCCTTGAAATTCTTAACAATTTTTTTAACCGAAGTCCTCACAAATTCAGTTTACATTAGCCCTGCAATCATGTAGACATCCTGATTCCAGACAATGTGTCTGGAGGCAGGGTTTACAGGACTTCAAGAACCTTACCTTCTCAACTTTCATCTGCATCTTTACTCCCAACTATATATGAAGATGATGAAGATAGATATGGATGGTGCTTCTACCATACCCTCTTCCTCTGCCAAACTTCCTTGATCTAGGATAAGGTCAGTAAACTTCTTCCGTAAAAGGCCAAAAGTAAATATTATAGGCTCTACAGGCCCTAGAGTGTCTGTCATAACTACTCAACTCTTATTGTAGCATAAAAACTGTCAACAGACAATACAGAAACAAATGAGTGTGACTGGGTTCCAGTGAAACTTTATTTACAAAAGATTTGTCCCATGAGTCAAATTTACCACCTCCAGATCTAGAGAAACACTTTTGAGCCCTTTTATTTTGCTCAACAGTTAAGCATGGCTCCATGTCCCTTATATTTAGTCAGAACTCGGTATGTTTTAAGGAAAGAATGGTTACACGAAGACATACATTCATTCATTTATACAACACATTTTCAGTGTTGAATGATAAATTTTGGAATAGTTAACAGATGATAAAAGTGTTGGTTTCAGTCATCCCTATCCAATGAAGTAAAAAAAAAAGTGTTGAATGGGAAGAAATCAAGAATAGTTATACGAATATCACCATTGCATTAAAGCTCTCTTCCTTGTTTCTAAAAGAATATCTTGACACACATTAAGCTCACTGACCCCCACACCATGAATGAGGGCATCTTCAACAATGGTGGATGACGTCTTAGTTTCCCTCAACTCAGTTAATCTAAGTAAGCTCATGGTATCACTTTCCTGTCCTAGAGGGAACATATTTCCTGCATTTTTCTTTTTTTCCTTACTTTCCATCACCAAGTAACTCTTCTGATATTTTTTCTCTTGAGAAAATTAATATGACTCATAGATCTGGTTCCCAAGAGAAACCAATGGAGGCCTGGTTACAAGGATCTAAGAAGCACCAGTGGGTCTCTAACATCTAGTGGTACTAATTAACTCTGTTAATCATTGGGAAGAAAATGTATACATACTTTTGTCTTGGAGCTGATTCTACTAGAAAGCAGAAATCAAAATGATCAGTTTCCCAGTGTCACTACTGCACACCCTGGAACAGAACAGGTAGGTCAGAAAAACGCTCCCAAAGTTTAGCAATGTCAAGGCAATCTCTCTCTTCTTACATTTCCCTTCAACCTTCCATCTCCTCCACTTTTCTGTTTTCCTCCTATCTCCAATTATTTCAATCCTCAGAGCATTATTCTTACAATCTTAATCACTAAATTATATTACACCCGTTAAAGGAGAGATTTCTAAATGCATTGACATTTGTACTGTCTCTCTTTGGAGAATTAGTATTATAAGGATCTGTTATCTCTTGTCACCTTCCTTATGTCATATGATATGTCACATTTCCCACTGCGGAGACCAAACATGTTCACGTCGTGTGCGTTCCATTTTCCTAATGGAAAGTGGGGGGAAGTGATTTTCTGTCCTCATATAGAGAATGCTGGGGCCATTCCCTCTGTATGCCATATTTGATAAAGCATTTGATAATCTTAGTCAATGCCTGGGCCAAGAATTAAAGGGGTAATTATCAGAATGAAAATGGTTTAATGAAACTGTGTCTATCAGTTCTGAAAAGGGCCTCTATCACAATGAACTAAGGTAGTTATGAATAGAGCTAAAACTTAGGCAACACCATCCTGGACATAGGAACGGGCAAAGATTTCATGACAAAGACACGGAAACCAATCACAACAAAAGCAAAAATTGAGAAGTGGAATCTAATAAAACAATAGCTTCTGCACAGCAAAAGAAGCTACCAACAAAGTAAACAGACAACCTACAGAATGGGAGAAAATATTTGCCAACTGTAAGTCTGACAAAAATCTAATATCTGGCAGCTATAAGGAACTTAAATTTACAAGACAAAAACAACCCCATTAAAAAGTGGGCAAAGAACATGAATAGACACTCTCAAAAGAAGATATACATATGGTTAACAAGCATATGAAAAAAAAGCTCAATATACTGAGCATTAGAGAAATGCAAATCAAAACCATATTGAGATATCATCTCATACCAGGCAGAATGGCTATTATTAAAAAGTCAAAAATAACAGATATCGGTGAGGTTACAGAGAAAAGGGAACACTTATACACTGTTGGTGGGACTGTAAATTATTTCAACCATTGTGGAAAGCAGTATGGGATGGCGATTCCTCAAAAAGCCAAAAACAGAACTATCATTCAACCCAGCAATTCCATTACTGGGTATATACCCAGAAGAATATAAATCGTTCTACCATAAAGACGCATGCATGAGAATGTTCATTGCAGCACTACTCACAATAGCAGAGACATGGAATCAACTTAAATGCCCATCAGTAACAGACTGGATAAAGAAAGTGTGGTACAGATACACCGTGGATTACTATGCAGCCATAAAAAAGAACAAGATCATGTCTTTGACAGGAACATGGATGGAGCTGGAGGCTACTATCCTTAGCAAACTAAGGCAGGAACAGAAATCCAAATACCACATGTTCTCACTTATGAGTGTGAGATAAATGATGAGAACTTACAAACACAAAGAAGGAAACAACAGGCATTGGGGTCTACTTGAGGACGATGGGAAGAGGGAGAGGAGCAGAAAAGATAACTACTGACTACTGGGCGCTACCTGGGGGATGAAATAATCTGTACAACGAACCCCCAGGACATGAGTTTACCTATGTAACAAACCTTCACATGTACCCCCGAAACTAAAATAAAAGTCAAAAAAAAAAAAGAAAAAAAGAAAAATCCATGCATATGATACATCAGTTAACAAGGCACTGGTGAAATTAATTTTAAGTATTATTGTCTCTTTGTGTTTTTGGTCTCAGAAAAGTTACGATTTCCCTTAGTTCCTTAGGGCAGAGAGAATCTTCAATCACTGAAGTCAGGAGACACACATTCTATCTGATTTTCTACATTATCTGTTTGAAAAGGTTACCCACTTATTAGTGTTAAAGCCAAGATATCCAGCAAGGATAGCAACCAACTCTTAAGGTACTCTCCCTTAGGAGGATTCCTGATTCTTTAATGTTTTCTAAAAAAGCAAAACAAACAAACAAACAAAACAAAACACTAAATGTTTTCTCTTTCAACTTATTTGAATACACTCTTTTCTCACTGCTCTGAGCATGAATTCAATATTTCAGGGCAAACTAACTGAATGTTAGAACCAACTCCTGATAAGTCTTGAACAAAAGATAGGATCCTCTATAAACAGGTTAATCGCCACGACATAGTAGTATTTAGAGTTACTAGTAAGCCTGATGCCACTACACAATTCTAGCTTTTCTCTTTAGGATGATTGTTTCATTCAGTCTTATCTCTTTTAGAAAACATAGGAAAAAATTATTTAATAATAAAATTTAATTGGCAAAATGAAGGTATGGCTTATAAGAGTGTTTTCCTATTGTTTTCAGTGTAGGACTCACTGTTCTAAATAACTGGGACACCCAAGGATTCTGTAAAATGCCATCCAGTTATCATTTATATTCCCTAACTCAAAATTCATTCACATGTATTCATTTTTTTCTAAACAAATTAGCATGTAGAATTCTGGTTAAAATTTGGCATAGAACACCCGGGTATTTTTTCATAATGCACCCAATAACTGTCATTCACTAATTGAGAATGGTGATTTAACAAAGGATAATAAAGTTATGAAACCAATGCCACAAAACATCTGTCTCTAACTGGTGTGTGTGTGTGTGTGTGTGTGTGTAAGAGGGAGAGAGAGAAAATTTCACTCCCTCCATAAATCTCACAGTATTCTTTTCTTTTTCCTTTCCTTTCCTTGCTCTTCTTTCTCTCCTATTGCTTTCCTTTCATTTCCTTCTCATAAAAGAAAAATAACAATATAGAAAATAACAAAATATAGATGGTCAACCTTTTTAATATTAAGGTTACCTAAAATGCCATTATCCAAAGTGGTTCTCTAGAGATGCTGATGTATATACTTACATATTTTACAGTGTATTCAAATAAAGAGTATATTACATAAGACATATCCTTTTGTAACCAACTTTTGTCATTAACAATTTACTGGACTTGTCAACAAACCTAAATCTGTATCGTCTATAATGGCTACGTTCATTTTGGTATGAATCTTAATTACCCCTTTCTGCATTATTTAATGATTTTCTCATATGTCACTCTTAAATGTACTTCTAATTTTTCACTTTACATCACATAATGAATGGATCCAAATATGTTATGGATAGATATCTTCAAACTTTCTACTTACAAGTAGTGATAATAACAGATGTTCTCTCTAAAGTGTAGTTGGTATCAATTTTACTGACCTTTAAAAATATCTTAATGGGACAAAGTTCAAATATTTGATGACCAGCTATCGTGACCTTTATCTCTGTGGCTCTGTGGGCCTGTAGTTTTTACGTGCTTTTAGTGTATCATGATTAAATATTTTGTTTTAGTAAAGACACCATTATTTCCCAACTTCATATTCAAATTGTCAAAGGTATTAATCCTAGAGCAGAACTCTCAAAAGCACCAACTCTGATTCCTAACAAAGCATGGAAAAGCCCTCTCTCTGAGTTTCAGATACTCTTTTTTGTGGGGGTTGAGTTTCACTTTATTTAAAGTGAGTCTTAATCCTCCAACAAGTCAACAAGTGATTGGCTGGAATCACACGTATTGGAAAACCAGCAGAAGAGTAAGTCTTTGCATTTTATGCTACTGTACCTCTGGGATTAATTGCTCTTTCCCTCATTGGCCAGTCACTCTTAGTGTGTGATTAATGCCTGAGACTGTGTGAAGTAAGAGATGGATCAGAGGCCGGGCGCGGGGGCTCGCGCCTGTCATCCCAGCACTTTGGGAGGCCGAGGCGGGCGGATCACGAGGTCAGGAGATCGAGACCATCCCGGCTAACACGGGGAAACCCCGTCTCCACTAAAAATACAAAAAGTTAGCCGGGCGCGGTGGCGGGCGCCTGCGGTCCCAGCTGCTGGGGAGGCCGAGGCGGGAGCATGGCGGGAACCGGGAGGCGGAGCTTGCGGTGAGCCGAGATGGCGCCACCGCACTCCAGCCTGGGCGACCCAGCGAGACTCCGCCTCAAAAAAAAAAAAAGAAGATTGATCAGAGAGTACATCCCCTAAGGGTACATGCAGATAAATACAATTAAGGCGATTAACATTTCAAACACGGTGACTGTTTCTTACGTGGACGACGTTGTGTTGAACATGGGTGAGTAAGACTGAAGCAGCCGTAATTACTGCACGATGCGCATGGTAAAGAAGCACTCCGTTACGGAAATTATATTCTTTGCCCCTCTAATCCTTCACTCCACCTGCCATTTTCCCACATGATTTTTTTCTTTGCTGTTCTTGTCTAATTGTTATTAATAATTAATAAATAACTTATGATCTAATTGTTATTAATAATTAATAACTTATCATCACATGATTTATTAATAAATTAATAAATAACTTATGATCACCGCATTTCCCCAATTCATTTATCTTTCTTTCATTTTCTCTCTTTGTGTGTTTTCTGTCTTCATATTTCAGCACTTGCCACATATTTCCCACAAAATCATTTATGGTCAAACAACACTTCAACGTGTAGCATTTGTATTTCTCAATTCTTCCTCACTTTCTTCCTTCAGAATACTAAAGCTTCTTCTCTACTGACTGAGTCAATGGCCAATGGATAGAGTAAATAATTCTGCGGTATCTAAATTTGTATTGATTGGACTTTCAAGCTCTTGGGAGATGCATCTTTTTCTTTTTTGGTTCTTCTCTGTGTTCTACATGGGAATTATCCTGGAAAATCTCTTCATTGTGTTCACAGTAATTATTGACTCTCATTTAAATTCCCCAGGTACTGCCTACTGGCCAACATTTATCTTCTTGATCTGGGTCTTCTCCTACAGTTCTGACTTTTTCACTAACTGCAGCATCATTTCTTTTCCAAGATGCATGATACAGATATTTTTCATTTGTGTCATGCGTAAAAATTGAGATGGTGCTGCTCATAACCATGGCATAGAGCAGGTACACTGCCAATCTGTAAGCCTCCCCATTACCTGACCACAATGAACCCCAAAATGTGTGTTTCCTTTGTTGGAGGCATCCTGGATAGTCAGGATAATCCATGCTGTATCTCAGTTTGTTTTTGCCATAAACTTGCCTTTTTGTGGCCCTAATAGAGTAGGTAGTTTTCACTGTGATTTTCCTTATGTCATGAAACTTGCTTGTGTAGATACTTACAAACTAGAGGTTGTAGTCACTGCTAACAGTGGGCTTATATCCATAGCTACCTGTTTCTTATTAATAATATCCTATATTTTCATTTCGGTAACCGTCTAGAATCCTTCTTCAGGAGACTTATCTAAAGCATTTGTGTCATGTTAGATCACATCACAGTAGGGATTTTGTTTTTTATGCCATGTATATTTCTCTATGTGTAGCCTTTGCCTAAAACAACACATGATTAATATTTGTTCATTGTTCCTTTTGCTATCACCCCTGTCTAGGATCTACACATTAAGAAACAAAGACATGAACGTCTCCATGGAAAGACTGGGAAAATGGATTGCAGGTTCTAGCAGGATGTCATAATAAATGGTGCATATCCAGAGTGCAAGATGATTCAGTCTCACCAAGAACACTGAAAGTCACATGGCTACCAGCATTATTGTGATAAGAACTACTATTTTGGGAGATAGTTTAGCAAAGGTGCCATGTAGAAATTGATTAAGTCAGAGGTATCTTTAACTTGCCACCACAGAGAAGAGATTAATTTCATATACTTCCATTGAGAAGAGAGATAAGAATACAAAACCAAGCTGATTTGCAGGAGTAAACTTGATATTCAAATACTATTTCCTGAATGACATTTTCTGAGACATGCTAATTGTAATTACTTTCAGCTTCAAAACATAATAAATTTATCTCATAGTAAGCATATAGATGGAATAAATAAAATGTGAACTTAGGTAAATTATAAATTAATAAAGTATATTTTTAAAATTTCCATTTTACTTTCTGTTTAAATTAGAATAAGAAACAGAAACAACTATGTAATACGTGTGCAAAGCCCTGAACTGAGATTTGACTTTACCTTGAGCTTTGTCAGTTTACGATGCTATTTCAGTTTTGTGCTCAGATTTGAGTGATTGCAGGAAGAGAATAAATTTCTTTAATGCTGTCGAGACTTTAAATAGATACAGACAGAGCATTTTCACTTTTTCCTACATCTCTATTATTCTAAAAATGAGAACATTCCAAAAGTCAATCATCCAAGTTTATTCTAAATAGATGTGTAGAAATAACAGTTGTTTCACAGGAGACTAATCGCCCAAGGATATGTGTTTAGAGGTACTGGTTTCTTAAATAAGGTTTTCTAGTCAGGCAAAAGATTCCCTGGAGCCTATGCATCTGTGGTTGATATTTTGGGATAAGAATAAAGCTAGAAATGGTGAGGCATATTCAATTTCATTGAAGATTTCTGCATTCAAAATAAAAACTCTATTGAAGTTACACATACTTTTTTCATGTATTTGTTTCTACTGCTTTGTAAATTATAACAGCTCAATTAAGAGAAACCGTACCTATGCTATTTTGTCCTGTGACTCTCCAAGAACCTTTCTAAGTTATTCTACTTAATTGCTTTATCACTCATATGAATGGGAATTTCTTCTCTTAATTGCTGCTAATCTCCCCCATCTTCATATACTCTACCGGGCTTCTGGAACACCACAGCTTCCTGGCTTTTTCTCCTACCTCCTGGGCAAGTCCTTCCCTGTGTCTTTTGTTGAGTGTTCCTCATCTGCTTAACCACCAATCAACCTATTGCCCCTAATTTGATCTTTGGCCTGTTTTCACTTAGATTCTATCCCTACGTATCACCCATTCCCACAGCTTTAATTACCATCTAAACACTAGGGGCTCTCAAACCTTCTATTTTTTCTTTCTTTCTTTCTTTCTTCCTTCCTCCTTTTCTTTCCTTTTCTTTCTTTCATTCTTTCTTTCTTTTTTAAGGGGCAGGGTCTCACTATGTTGCTGAGGCTGGTCTCAAACTCCTGACCTCAAGCAATCTGTCTGCTTCAGCCTCCCAAGTAGCTGAGAATACAGGGACAAGCCATTGCACCTGACCCTGGTACTATTTCTTGAGTTCCTGATCCACAGATCTAACCTCCTACTTTCCTGGATGCCACACAAGATCTTCCACTCAACAAGTCTGCAACTAAACTAGCCTTCCTCTTTTCAAACCTACTCTTCTTTCAGTGTTCTCAGTCACAATAATTTGTACCAACTAGTTACCTAGTTGCACAACCCAAAATCTGGGGAAAATAATAGATTTCTTTCTCCATAGTACCCCAAAATCAATAAATCATCAAGTCTTATTCTACCTTCCAAAGAGCCTTACATATGTTCCTTTATTTTCATCTGTAACACCACTATTCCTGTCTAAGCCTACCTATGTCATTTTTGGAAGAGAATATAGTCACCTATGCGATCTTCCCACTTAAAATCCTATTATCTACGCTTCAGTAAAAGAAAAAAAATTTTTAATCTAAGTATGTAATTCTTTTGCTAAAGACAATTCACATGCTTCTGTGCCCTTAAACTGGTATGTTATCATGGTATAGTAGGCCATCCAAGACCTGGCTTCCTTCCTTTTTTTCAGTCTCAGAGAATAACATACTCTTTCCCTGCAACTCCAGATCCAATTTGGTTTTCTTTTACTTGCCTGGAAACTTCAAATTCTATCAACTCTGGGGCTTTCCACTAGCTAATCATTTTGTATACAATATTTGTCCTTCATGTTTTGCCTCTTAACATCTCAGCTTTCAGTTTCATCATTTTACCAGGGAGGCCTCCCAGAACCTGAGTCCAGAAGAGTTCCTTCCATTGTATATTCCTCTAGCACTACCTATTACCTCTTTTGTAAGACTAACAGCCCTCAAAATTTTTCATTCAGTGATGTCTTCCTCATTGCATTTTAAGTTCAACATGAGCAGGACTTTGTCATGTTCACCTCTATCACATCATAAATATAGCAAAGAGTAAAACTATTGCAACATGACTAATGTATTGAACGATGCTTCAGCTTTCTTCTTACGTTCAATCACAGGTCATACGACTAAAGAACTTCCTTTTTAATCTCCTTTTCTATTCTCAATTAATTTCCTCTGCCTGCATCACCTCAAGTCTCTGGGGTGAAATCCACTAATGAATTCCTTTTGCAGCTTAAGCCAATTCCAATCTTGAGCCAATCTCAGGTGAAGAAGCCTGTAAATTATCACTCTCAGTCCTCTCTTGTACTACTAGGTCTCATGAACTCTTCATTAACAACTCCAGCTTCTCTGTTAGCCCAAAAGCCTTTTGCTGCCTAGAAAACCCATGATTCATGCCTCAGGAAACAGCCTTCAAATCACAACATGTTCTGTATCTGGCTGGCCAACTCCCTGCAACTTATTTCTGCCTAGATGCTCCCTCATTCATTTCAATACGCTGTTCGGCCTGCTACCCCAGTTTCCCACTTAGAACAATGGCACACAGGACAGGAGCACATTGGCACATCAGAATGACTTATGTACTGCTCATTGTGTTGCAGAAGAGACCTCTGTGGGGGCAATAGAACAGATTTTCCTCTCACGTCACTGTAGTTGTGGTTTCCCTAAGCACCTACACTGTTTTACCTCATCTTAGGTAGACAATAATCCATGTAACTGACTGTGTATCCTAATTTTAAAAAATATTTCTGCCCACATTATTCTGCAGTTTTTATCTTGCTTACGTATTTTTGGAATGTTACTATTTTTCAAAAATTAATTTGGGATCAACCAACATTTCTTATTCTGCTGCTGTTCTAGAGAAAATCATTTTCCTCATTTCTGAACAAGAGAAAATGAAATACAGCTCTAAACAAATGCCACTGTAAACCAAGGTGGAGCCTTTGCACTTTCAGGCCACCATGATAACCTGGAGATTAGATTTTTCTGTGTCTTTACATCAATAATAAAGCCAAGCTTCTCCAGGGGTATCCACTAGGCTTGTCTCAATGGCTCAATACAGGTCCTTTTGTGAATGATTACCTCACCCTCATGGAAACACACTCTTGTTACAGAAACTCAGAATGATTCTATTTTTTCTTTTATATTTGTATATGTTTTTCCAATACCTCTGAAAAAACTGATCCAAAAAAAAATACAAATTTTAATTGTAGCCAGTCAATTCAGGAAGGACAAAGGTCAAAAACTTTCAAAGAAACCTTCAACCCCAACACACTAAACTTTGGGAGCACAGGTTGGCATCCAGAGGTAAACATTTGCTATAACTGATAACAGGAGAAGGATCCATTTATTCACCTGTTATCAATTACAGGCATTGTATTTAAAGATCAGATGTTTTATATTTATTTCTTCAAATTTCATTCATGGTGCCATAAGTGAAGGTATGTCTGTCCACCCTGAATATATTTTCACTCCCTCATCTCAGTCATTCCGAACAATTCACACACTAAGATTACCCATGCTAAATGGGGATTCTTTTTTACTAGCCAATGTAGTACCTCAAATCCTTCCTTCCTTCCCCCTATTTCATCAGCAGGCAATTCTTTTGATACTTTTGTCAAGGGGAAATTGTGTGACTCAGAGATCTAGTCCCCAAGAGAAACTAATAATGGGCTGGGTATTGTCTGTCTCAGCAGCATCAGTGGGTCCCTCTCCTGTGCAGCTAATTAGCTTCCTTTCCAATATGAAGAATCTTATATATAGCTTTGTCTTTGGGGTATTACATAAATGAAGATTAAGCTATCTGAATTTCTCCTTCTCCTAAAAATGCACATCCTATGACTGAAAAGACAGGTAAAAGAGATGCTTTTAATTACAAAACCTTCCCTGTCGTGGTTGCTTCTCTCTATCCTTCTAAACTCCCTTTCAATTTCTTCTCTTCTGTAACATATTTGTGCCCAAAATCTTCTGCTTTCTGAAATATTTTATCTTTTTCTTCCACACTATCTCTTATTTTCAAATTTTAATCATTAAATTATATTATGTCTTATAAAACTAATCCCACATATAAACCCCTATGATAATTTCAGTTTGTCCCTAGTATGAAGTTCTTTAAAGATGTGTAGTTTTCTAACTTTCATGCTCTCCAATTCATTATAAACTTCATTTTCCACTCTGAAAAGGAGATGTGTGATCTCGTCTATTTCCATCCTATTTGAAAACCAGATTTAGTTTTAAACCAGAGGAAGGGAATCTCAAGTCTTTACCTCCCACAGTCTGGTGTGATTCTCTCTCTTTTGGTATTACCTTCCTCCACATTGGAACACTCCAGCCAATGCATAGGCTGAGAGGCTATCTCAGATTCAGAAAGATTTGGCCTCATCCCAGGGGAGGGTACAGAGGAGCTGATGGCTATGAATTCTGAAATGGAACTGTTCCAGGTTGAAGAAATAAGAAAGGGAATTGGGAAGAGCAATGCCCAGTGAAAAAGAAGAAATAATATTTTAGGAAGTGAATGCTAATTTTATTTTAAACAAAATAAGAACTCAAGGAATAAGAGGGTTCTTCCAATAGGTTAGAGTGATCCTGTCAAACATATATGCTTCTAGATTTTTTTAAAGACTGTTTCTACCAAGAAAGCATAGACCACTATTGAGAAAGATCATTAAACTGGAATTTAGGAGGTCTGCCTTCTGATTCTGACTTCTTGAATGTATTGTTAGCCATTTAACCACACTGTGTTGTTTCTCATTCTACCTGTAGAATCTCAAAGTTCTTTCCCACTTCTATACAAAACTATAATTCTGAACATCCTTTTTGTTTAATATAAGTCTGCATTTCCTGTTTGAAGATATGTGTCCCAGACCCTAAATGACTGACAAATTTTAAATCTCCAATAGGAAAGATGACAAACTCTATGGAAACTTGGCTTCTGAAGAACTCCTAGAAGCTTTCCAAAGTCATCAGTGTTTCCTAAGAAGGCAGAGAAATCAAACACATGGTCTTTTCCTCTAGACAAGCTCCTTTGGGTCATCAGGATTTCTTCAACAATAAAATGTAATAATTCCAAATGTTTGTAACAGAATGGGTAGGACTTTCTTCACTTATTTAAATACTCCCTTTTTTATGCAACTGAGTTTTCATCAACAAGTACAAGCTTGTGAAGGAGTACTTTAAAATGCAATTTCTCTCTATTTTTGTGGGGGCTAATATTTTATTTCTCATATTGACAATTTATTATGCTGTTTTTAGAAAGTTCATTCATCAAGTATTTCTTGAGCTTTTTCTATGAGACAGGCACTGTTTTAGGCAAGTAATTATGCACTGAACAATGCAAAAAGTTTCCCTGCACTCATGGACTTTAATTTTACATTTATGAAAAGCTACAAATATTAGAATAAGTAAAATACTGCCTGGAGGCTAAAGCATATTTTGATCACTTATTCCCTAATTCTTTTAGAAGAGAACTCACCTGTTGGTTAGCTGAACCACTGCCAGTGATATCCAACTATACATTCAATCCCACCATACCTCATTATCACACTTATTCACTCACAAGCTTAAACTCTTAACTTTTCTCCACATATCAGTGACTATTTCCTACAGCTTTTCTTTTACTTTCCATGTTTGCAGTGACAATATACATAAACAGTGTATGAAAACTCAAGTAAAATCTACTCTCTCAGGTGTTCATAATGCATCAATGTATATTGCTTTAAGCCTGAAGGTAACCTAAGTAAAGATGTACCATGTTCCACCAATGCTTCTTTTGATCATCATTTTATCCTGTTTTTTCTTTAGGATTCTTTCTTATTCCTTCCCCTGACCCTTCTTTTATTCTCCAAATTTCTTTCCAATTCATCTTTGTTCTTCCCTTTCCTTTTTACTCTCTTTAAACATTCTATGGACTCTGCCTCCTTCACACTGATATTGAACGCCCATAGTTTCATATTTTGGATTGCGATTGTTTTATTTTAAAATGGCAAATGTTCATGTTATAAAGAGAATTTTTCAGTCTTTAGACTAATAGGTTCATGTAGTTTGGGATTTTCCTCTTTAAGAAAATTAATTATCACTCACACTCCAAGACAAACACCATTTCAGTAGCAATATGAATTTCAGTAGTAATAGGAATCTCCAAATATGACAAAGTAATTCAGACATTAATTGCTTTTGTTTTGGAATTGCTCTTATAAGATGAAATATCACTTTCATGATGAGAGTCCTAGAGTGCTTGGTTTATATATTGTATCTTAGTTTTAACAGGATAAAACACTTGATCCTAAGCAGTAAACATGATTCTTCAGCTTCAACTTCATTTCTTTATAAATAACTATTTATGAATTGGTGTTGAGCTTAGCAAGTCACCAAACACCTTCTGCTCAGCAGCATAAAGGACATTTCCATGAAACCTCCCAGGGATAATCTTATTTACTCTATAATGTTTCCCGGGTTCAATTCCTCTCCCAAAATCCTTTGTTCTTAAGCCCCTATGATCTGGGTGATCTAAATATGGGTAAGAAGTCCAGGGATAGCACTATGAATGAAGTGAAAATAGTAAAACATAGTTAAAAATGTACAGATGCTCTCTGACTTATAATAGGGTTATGTCCTGATAAATCCATCATAAGTCAAAAATGCATTTAATATTCCTAATGTACCTCACATCATAGTTTGGCCTAGCCTACCTTAAATGTGCTCAGAACACTTTCATTAGCTTATATAAGATCACCTAATACAAAGCCTATTTTATAATAAAATATTGAATAGCTCACGTAATATACTGACTACTATACTCAAGTACAGTTTCTTCTGAATGCATGTCACTTTCTCACCATTGTAAAGTCAAACAATTATAAGTCAAACTATCACAAGCCAGGGACCATCCATATGTATTTCATTCAGAAAATGCTGGAAAAAGCATTTAGGAGAATATCTAGATGAGAGAAGGTAGAAAGCCATGCACAAATTCACTGAGAGTTTAAAAAAATGCATGCATATTGTGGAGATAGAAATCAAATCTATTTGTTTCCATCTGCTGTATTCTTCCCAAAATATTATCTCTTCTTATCCCATTGTACTATATTGCATTTCTTTGACCATTTATTGTGTATCTCTTAATATTTCCCACTTCATCATTACTAACCTCACTCACTCTGAACTTGATGAGAGCACCTGAGCATTAATTTTTCTTATAATTATTTAATGATTACCAGAATTCGTTCAGTATGGCCAGCTCTGGTCAAAGTGAGGCAGGCAAGATGCTTTGTCAACTGCCTGGATGGAATGTCTCAAAAGGTTTCCATTTCATGGTAGCATTATGCAAAGTTCAAGACGTTTAATCAAGACCCTTCACTTACTTAACTATACCTCCTTGAGAATCCCATCTATGAAAAAATTCTAGTCATTATAAAAATGATTGATTAAATGAGGGAAGTAGTAGAGTTCTTCATTTCTTTAGTTGGTTTAGTCTCCTATGAGTCAATCCTAGTTTTCAAAATTCTTAATAAACCATTTATTCCTTCAACTTTCTATGCCATTTGATGTTTTGTAAAAAAAAATATAATATGTATACAAAAAGATATTTCAAAATCTAGAAAGAGAGCTTTAGAGCTTTGTAAAGCTCTTTTAAAAATCAAAAGCAACTACTGTTAATTAACATGTTGTACTATGCAATTTCTTTACCATTATTACTCTTAGTATTTTTAAGAAAAGTCTTTCCATTGTTATTATAAATGCTTCTATTGATATTTATTTTAATAACTGTTATTACAGTCCGTCATGTACATACACTATACTTAAACCTAATGTTTGGTATTTAAATCGTTTCAAGATTTTATCACTGTCAACAAAGTATGATGAATATTTTTATGCTGAAAACTTCTGTAAAAATAGAATTCCAAGAGTATTATTGCACCAAAAGGCATGGACTTAACATTCTTGATACATGATTTCAAAATATTTTCTTTAAGGTTTGAATCAGTCTATATTCCCTCCAGCAGCGTATAAAAGTGCCAATTTCTCTGATCCTTAGCCAGTTTGGGTAATAAAAATTGTAAAACTTTTTTTTCTTTTTTTTTGAGACAGAGTCTCCCTCTGTCGCCAGGCTGAAGTGCAGTGGCGCAATCTCGGCTCACTGCAACCTCCGCCTCCCGGGGTCAAGCTATTCTCCTGCCTCAGCCTCCCAAGTAGCTGGGACTACAGGCACCCGCCACCACCATGCCCAGCTAATTTTTGTTATTTTTAGTAGAGATGGAGTTTCCCCATGTTGGACAGGATGGTCTCGATCTCTTGACCTCGTGATCCACCCTCCTCGGCCTCCCAAAGTGCTGGGATAACAGGTGTGAACAACCATGCCCGGCCTGTAAAACTTTTTCCTAATGTAACAGAAACATAATAGTATTACATTTTATCATATTTCTTTGATTTCTAAGACACACATACACACACACACACACACACATATCTGTATATACAAATACACGTATAGCTTACATTTTAATTCTTCCTTCATTTCATTTGTTCATTTATTAGGTCTTGGAGATTTTGTGAAACTGTTTAAATTCTTTTTTATACTATGAAGATATCAACCTTTTGTCTCTACAGCATTTCAAATTCAAGTATGATTCACGTGTTAGTTTGGGGTAGATCATTATAGGCACATGTAGGAAACAGCTTTCAGAGATGCCTTAACCGTAATTATGCATTTGTATTCTAATTTTTATTTAATGTTATTATTGATTGCATTTTTAAAGATTCTGTATTTTTTAAACCATTTATTTGTATATATTGGTATACAATCTTGCCATTTTCTGGGATTTCATATTTCCTTATTTTTGTTTTTTACCTTTTTTGGCTTGAATTTTTTGAGTTTTTATGCATTCTTTTCCAGTTTCTTAAGATGCTAATAAGTTCATCTATTTGAGCAATTGAGAACATTTAAAGCAATAGACTGCCTCTGAGCACAGCTTTGTCCATATTACATTAACCTTTTATACCCTGGGTTCCCACTAGTTTTTAAATAATCTACTATCAAATAAAAGATTTGTTAATAATAAATTTTAAATCATTAACACTTAACGCATTATTTTCAGTCACACTAAGTTGATTCCTTCGTTTCTTTCAGGTTGCTTCACAGTCTTCCCTTCTATCTGATTCAGTGGACCAAGTAAATGACTCTCTGGTAACAGAATTTGTATTACTTGGACTTGCACAATCCTTGGAAATGCAGTTTTTCCTTTTTCTCTTCTTCTCTTTATTCTATGTGGGAATTATCCTGGGAAACCTCTTCATTGTGTTCACAGTGATCTTTGATCCTCACTTACACTCCCCCATGTATATTCTGCTGGCCAACCTATCGCTCATTGACTTGAGCCTTTCATCTACCACAGTTCCTAGGTTGATCTACGATCTTTTTACTGATTGTAAAGTTATTTCCTTCCATAATTGTATGATACAAAAGTTCTTTATCCATGTTACGGGAGGAGTTGAAATGGTGCTGCTGATAGTCATGGAATATGATAGGTACACTGCGATCTGCAAGCCTCTCCACTATCCAACTATTATGAATCCCAAAATGTGCATGTTTTTGGTAGCAGCAGCTTGGGTCATTGGGGTGATTCATGCTATGTCTCAGTTTGTTTTTGTCATAAATTAACCTTCTGTGGCCCTAATAATGTGGGGAGCTTTTATTGTGATTTTCCTCGGGTTATTAAACTTGCATGCATGGACACTTACGGGCTAGAATTTGTGGTCACTGCCAACAGTGGATTCATATCGATGGGCACCTTCTTTTTCTTAATTGTATCATACATTTTTATTCTGGTCACTGTCCAACGACATTCCTCAAATGATTTATCCAAAGCATTCTTCACTTCGTAGGCTCACATCACCGTAGTGGTTTTGTTTTTTGCTCCATGCATGTTTCTCTACGTGTGGCCTTTCCCTACTAAGTCATTGGATAAATTTTTTGCCATCATGAACTTTGTTGTCACCCCTGTCTTAAATCCTGCCATCTATACTTTAAGGAACAAAGATATGAAGTTTGCAATGAGAAGGCTGAATCAACATATTTTAAATTCTATGGAGACGACATAACACATTTGGTTGATGAGAGCACAGGATAAATGCCATGGACCATCAAGACTCCTGTGATCACCATGATCACTATGGAACGCGCACATTTTTAGTATTGCCTGAAAAAACTGAAAAATCTGCAAAAAGGATGCATTAAATCTAAGAATTGTATTTCAGATAAAGTTGCAACATTTTTTGTTAATCATAAAAAGTATATATTTCTATCTAATGTGTGTATCTAATTAACAGCAATGACTATCTTTAATTTTGATGTAGTTATTTTATATCTGTATATAAGCACATACACATATATATGACCTAGGTTTATTTATCAGTATTTTTATGCTGATAATAAGCATCACTGGAAATTAATTTTCTTATGGAAATTATGTGGATCCAATGGATAAAATATGAGTTTATATAAATTAGTAAATGCCAAAATCAAGGAAGAAACAATTTTTATTTTAATTGTACTTTAAGTTAGATAAATGGTAAGGTCAACAGCTTGTTACAACCCTTAAGTATTATTTTCAGGCTGATTGTCAATATGTTTTGTACAATGTTCTCACTTATAGGTGGGAATTGAACAATGAGAACACATGGACACAGGAAGGGGAACATCACACACCGGGGCCTGTTGTGGGGTGGGGGGAAGGGGGAGGGATAGCATTAGGAGATATAACTAGTGTTAAATGACGAGTTAATGGGTGCAGCACACCCACATGGCACATGTATACATATGTAACTAACCTGCACATTGTGCACATGTACCCTAGAACTTAAAGTATAATAAAAAAAATAGACTCTAGTACTCTGTATTATGCAAAATTTGTCTATGTTACACTTTTTTAACAACACAATCCTATTGCCCTTGAAATCTTCTTCAAAGCATTTCTCGAGTCACTCTTAAAAAGCATCTACAACCTAAAAGTATAGGAAGAGATTTATTTCCTGGAGAAGAGACCCCATTGAGATCTTAAAAGCACATATAATGTGCCTGTGCTTAACTTAAGGTGCTTAGGACAAAGAAGGCGATTGACATCTTTCAGGTAAAACCTGGTAAGTTTGGTGGTCAAGGAACACAACTGAGACATCACTTGGATGTATTTCTATGACTATTTTAAGAAACATAAATTGTGGTGACTCACTCAGCTCACTTTTAACTACTGCATGGTAATTAAAGATGCAAAATAAAATAAGTTACAAGAAGTGAGGTTTTTTATTGGTTAAAGCAATTTTTCTATATTTTCTCCGCAAGTTGGTCATAAAAGTTCTAAGCATTCCTCTTTTTATAAAATCGAAGCATTATTACTTACTCTCTTGTTAACCTATCTGGATTTTAATTTTGTAACTTTATTATATTTGTTTTGCTGTGATTCTTTAAAAAGCACCTTTAGACTCAGTGAGATAGCAAAAATATCCAAATAGGCCAAAAAATTGTGGCAATGTCCTCTCACTCAGGAAAATTCTGTGTGTTTTCTCTAATGGCCAAGGGAAAACTTGTGAGACTATAAAAGTTAGTCTCAGTACACAAAGCTCAGACTGGCTATTCCCAGATCTCTTCAGGTACATCTAGTCCATTCATAAAGGGCTTTTAATTAACCAAGTGGTTTACTAAAAAGGACAATTCACTACATATTATTCTCTTACAGTTTTTATGCCTCATTCTGTGAAAATTGCTGTAGTCTCTTCCAGTTATGAAGAAGGTAGGTGGAAACAAAGACAAAACACATATATTAGAAGAATGAATGAAATTGTAGCATTTTATTGACAATGAGATGGTTCTATTAGTAGGAATCTATTCTGCATAATTCCATTTTGTGTTTACCTTCTGGAAAAATGAAAGGATTCTGTATGGTTAACTTAAATACTTAGAGAAATTAATATGAATAATGTTAGCAAGAATAACCCTTGTTATAAGTATTATGCTGGCAACAATTGTCGAGTCCTCCTCCTCACTCTTCTGGGCTAATTTGTTCTTTTCTCCCCATTTAATAGTCCTTTTCCCCATCTTTCCCCAGGTCCGGTGTTTTCTTACCCACCTCCTTCCCTCCTTTTTATAATACCAGTGAAACTTGGTTTGGAGCATTTCTTTCACATAAAGGTACAAATCATACTGCTAGAGTTGTGAGGATTTTTAGAGCTTTTGAAAGAATAAACTCATTTTAAAAACAGGAAAGCTAAGGCCCAGAGATTTTTAAATGATATTCCCATGATCACACTGTGAATTTGTGCCAGAACCCAAATGCCTACTCCCATCTCAGTGAGACTTACTATAAGGACATAAGGCATTTATATATATATATATTATATATACTATATATTTATATATATTACATATTATATATATATAATATATATTATATAATATATAATATAAATATAATATAAATTATATAAATATAATATATATTTTATTATATAATATAATATATATTATATAATATAATATAATATAAATTATATAAATATAATATATATATTATTATATAATATAATATATATTTTATTATATAATATATATTATATATTATAGAATATAATATATATTTTATTATATAATATATATTATATATTATAGAATATAATATATATTTTATTATAAAATATATATTATAGAATATAATATATATTTTATTATATAATATATATTATAGAATATAATATATATTATATTTATATATAACATATATTATTATATAAAATATGTATAATATATATTATATAAATATATTTATATATTATATAAATATATATATTATATATAATTCTAATGGTTGAATTCCAAGAATAATCTATGGCATGAAAGATTTTACCTGTCAACAGTGGCTGGCTCTTCATGGTTGCTACAATGAGTGTGTAAGATTCTGAAGAACTCCTTTAATAAGCCTAAACTTAATGTTCAACTTAGAATAAATACAATTCTTCTAAATTTTTTTGAATAATTTTTAAAAAGTCAGAAATGAGCTTTGAAAGAATTATGGTGGTGAAGGATCCCCTCAGCAGCACAAATTCAGGAGAGAGATGTCTTAACTACGTTAGCAAGAAATTCCTTTTGCTAAAGAATAGCATTCCTGAATTCTTACTAACAGCCATGATAGAAAGTCTTTTGCTACAGATGAGAACCCTCGGGTCAACCTCATCCTTGGCATATTTCATGTGAAGATATAACTTCAAGATTGTCCTTGCCTATCAATGAAATGAATTAATTTTATGTCAATGCATATTTAAGGTCTATTCTAAATTGCACACTTTGATTCAAAAGAAACAGTCCAACCAACCAGTCAGGACAGAAATTATCTCACAATAAAAATCCTATCATTTGTACTGTCAATGATTAGTATGATTATATTTATTACAGTGCTAAGCAGAAGAGAACTGAAGTGAATGTTCATGATTTATTCCACTATTAGACTTCTCTTTATTCTTAAAAATATTTAAGATCACTAAATTTTTATAGGACTTTAAAAACAGTAATGTGCTGCTTTGAGTGTGTAGGACTAAGAAATGGGATTCAGAGTAGTAAAGAGAAAAGTGGAATTTCCAAGCACTATGAATTACTGTTCTTTAAAAAACAGCAAAAATCAAATAACAGTATTCCTCCAAAAAAGATGGCAAGTGTAAACTCTATACCTTCATGTCTCCCGTGGAATGTTAGTGATCAATTTCCACTTCTCTCTTTTACATCTTACTTGCCCATTAACTCTTATACCTAATCCAAAGATTGTTAATATGGCTATGCCTCACTTTCAGGACACCTTTTATTTGTTACTTCTCTTCACTGCAAAACTTCTTGAAACAGTACTTATTTTCTCTCCTCCATACACAATTGAAATGGCTCTCAACTCATGCCCAGAAGTCAGTGTTCAGTCTCTCACCTGGCAGATAGCAACTTACAAAGATGCCCCAACAATACCTCCTTGTGTCTAGACAGTCATCATTATCCTTTACCTTTTTCTGTATTTATTTCTGCTCCTAAAAGGGATCTCTATGTAAAGTATTGTTATACTAGTGCTTGTTATAATTATTATCAGAGTTAAAGCCATCACAATGTTCCCAATTACTTAAAGACATTGGAATAACATTTTTTTTATTTTCCACATCTTGCCAAAAAATATTTTGTTATCAGTACCTTAATAATGGCTATTATATATTGACCATTACTATTTGCTAGAAAATTTATATACCTGGTCGTATCCAATCCTCACAGAACTTCTATAAAGTTGTGCTATTATCACCTATATTTTCCAGATGTGGCCGTAAGACTGAAATCACTTAGGTGACTTGTCTAAGGTCATTCAGATACATAGTAGATAACCCAGGATTTGAACACAGGCCTCCTAGCACACAAGCTCATATCTTAACTACTTTAATACGTTGCTCGATGGGATCTTACAGGTCTTCATTCACCCCTTTCCTGCTCACACAACCACAACCTGCAGTTATTACCTACTGTTAGGCTTAAAATAATTACTTGGCTTCATTTCCAAGCTCCCTCCCTTCCAATTCACATTGAGTCCAGAGCTAAATTAAACAATCATTCAAAATTTTTCAGTAGTTCTTGTCTCTATAATAAAACAGAAATGCTTTAGAAAGCATTCCAAAATCTCTTACCAGTTTTATCTCCTATGAAAGTCCTTCACACTTTCTCTCATTTAAACTTTATTGCATTTTCCTCACTTTTTCTCACTTCACTTTTGAATTCCCTATTCTTTTATCCTCTGTTAATTTTTAAGTATTATATTTGTGATATTATTTTTTCTTTTTTTCTATTTTTTATCTTTCATTTCATTTTGGCCTATTTTTTTCTCTTAAGAACTTTAATATCACCAAATAACATGTGTGCTACAAACTGTTTTGTAGTTCAAAGAAAAAGGAGATAAACATAGAGTTATGGCATAGACTTAATCTGGCAGAGAGACAAGCATAAATAATGGTATTTTATATTAGGAATAAACCTAACATTAATGGAGACACTGAGAAGCCGAGATAACTGAATTATAAGGCATAGCCAGGGAAGTAGTGCGAGATAAAATTATGATCTTGTTGAATTCTGAATGTCTTTAAGTAATAGATTATAGAAAGTCACTGTAAGAGTGAGCAGAATGATATAAAATGAGGCTTTGAATTTGAATATAATAATTCTGACTTCCTTCTCCTTCTCTTCTTCAAGGTAACTGCAGAGGCTATTTCCTGGAATGAATCAACGAGTGAAACGAATAACTCTATGGTGACTGAATTCATTTTTCTGGGTCTCTCTGATTCTCAGGGACTCCAGACCTTCCTATTTATGTTGTTTTTTGTATTCTATGGAGGAATCGTGTTTGGAAACCTTCTTATTGTCATAACAGTGGTATCTGACTCCCACCTTCACTCTCCCATGTACTTCCTGCTAGCCAACCTCTCACTCATTGATCTGTCTCTGTCTTCAGTCACAGCCCCCAAGATGATTACTGACTTTTTCAGCCAGCGCAAAGTCATCTCTTTCAAGGGCTGCCTTGTTCAGATATTTCTCCTTCACTTCTTTGGTGGGAGTGAGATGGTGATCCTCATAGCCATGGGCTTTGACAGATATATAGCAATATGCAAACCCCTACACTACACTACAATTATGTGTGGCAACGCATGTGTCGGCATTATGGCTGTCGCATGGGGAATTGGCTTTCTCCATTCGGTGAGCCAGTTGGCCTTTGCCGTGCACTTACCCTTCTGTGGTCCCAATGAGGTCGATAGTTTTTATTGTGACCTTCCTAGGGTAATCAAACTTGCCTGTACAGATACCTACAGGCTAGATATTATGGTCATTGCTAACAGTGGTGTGCTCACTGTGTGTTCTTTTGTTCTTCTAATCATCTCATACACTATCATCCTAATGACCATCCAGCATCGCCCTTTAGATAAGTCGTCCAAAGCTCTGTCCACTTTGACTGCTCACATTACAGTAGTTCTTTTGTTCTTTGGACCATGTGTCTTTATTTATGCCTGGCCATTCCCCATCAAGTCATTAGATAAATTCCTTGCTGTATTTTATTCTGTGATCACCCCTCTCTTGAACCCAATTATATACACACTGAGGAACAAAGACATGAAGACGGCAATAAGACAGCTGAGAAAATGGGATGCACATTCTAGTGTAAAGTTTTAGATCTTATATAACTGTGAGATTAATCTCAGATAATGACACAAAATATAGTGAAGTTGGTAAGTTATTTAGTAAAGCTCATGAAAATTGTGCCCTCCATTCCCATATAATTTATTAATTGTCTAGGAACTTCCACATACATTGCCTCAATTTATCTTTCAACAACTTGTGTGTTATATTTTGGAATACAGATACAAAGTTATTATGCTTTCAAAATATTCTTTTGCTAATTCTTAGAACAAAGAAAGGCATAAATATATTAGTATTTGTGTACATCTGTTCCTTCCTGTGTGACCCTAAGTTTAGTAGAAGAAAGGAGAGAAAATATAGCCTAGCTTATAAATTTAAAAAAAAATTTATTTGGTCCATTTTGTGAAAAACATAAAAAAAGAACTGTCACATCTTAATTTAAAAAATATATGCTTAGTGGTAAGGAGATATATGTCAACTTTTAAGAGGTTGAAAAACAAACGCCTCCCATTATAAGTTTATACTTCACCTCCCACCACTATAACAACCCAGAATCCATGAGGGCATTATCAGGAGTGAGTGGAAGAGTAAGTTTGCCAATGTGAAATGTGCCTTCTAGGTCCTAGACATCTGTGGTATAACTGCTCATAAGCAGTAGAAAGAATTTAGAGGGATCCAGGCTCTCATCACGTTGGCACAAAGTATATTACTTGGATCCATCTATGTCATTTTCCATGGTTAATGTTTAAAACCACAGGCTTTAAAGTAAAAAACAAAGAGCTGGATTCAACTCTACTGACTCTTATTAATCATGATTTTGGGCACATTACGTAGCTTTCATGAGCTTTAGTTTCTACATTTATAAACAGGAGATTATACCTATTATGCACGGTTATTATGAAGGAAAATGACAAAATAGATATAAATCAAATAGCCCACTTCGAGACATATTAAGCATGAATAAACATTAGATACTATTAAAATCCTATATATTAACAAAGCCAAAAGTTTCAAACTTTACTTTTTCCCAACATTCTTGTGAAATATGACACATCCCAATCTTAACAGATGCTCATTTGGGATACTGTACTTGTGAGTGGAAGTGTGTATATTTGTGTGCAAGTGTGTACTCATATACTTCCACCTTACCACCCTAGAAAGGCATGATGAAAATTTAAGATAGAAGGAAAATATAAATTGAAAAAAAAAAACCTTAACAAATGATTCTGACAAATATCTTCTCTTTCCAGGGAGAATCACTGAGCCAGAATAAAATTGAACACTAAATATTCTAAGAAAAAAGGAATCTAGTTTGTCAAAATGTGACTTGAATTAATAGATAAGGAGAGTCAGATGATAAGAGGGTCAAAATTATGTTTATCTTAGGAAAAGTAGAATAGAAAATTTATAAGCAGATTAAAAACACATAATAAAAGTAGTAAATAATAATGACAGTATCTCAAATCAGTGCAGGGGGGAAAGGCCTACTAATGTGATGGTGGGATAATTGGATAGCAATATGGGAAAAGATATATTTAATTTATTTGCTACACCAAATGCCAGGACAATCTCTAAGTGAATTCAAGACATAACTCTTTTTTCAAAAAAACTATGCAAATATTAAAAGAAAACAAGTTAATGTTTTTATAATCTATGAATATGGTAAAGATGGATAACATTGACTATCAAATTAATTTTTAATGCGTAATAAAACTATGAGAAAATTTAAAAGTGAGAAGAAACTACTTGTAACTCACATAATAGACTAGTACTTCTAACACATAGGGAACTTCTAAAACAAAACCCAAAATATTAATAGGAAAATGGGCAAAACAGTTAAACTTACAGTTCATACATAAGGAGAATCAGTCTTTTTTTTTTTTTTACAGTTGTAGGCAGAAAACTTTTATTTTTCATTTATTTGTAAAATTTACCCCTAATTTATTCATAATTCATTTAACTGCTAAGGGCATTAATGTGTACAACGCCATGGGAGAAACCAGTATATTCAGAATTTCTCCTGAAATTTGACCAGAAGTTATGGACATCCCTCCCCTGGGAAGGAGGCAGGCAGAAAAGTTTGGAATCTATGTAGTAAAATATGTTACTCTTTTATATATATACATATATGTGTGTATATGTGTATATATATATACACACATATATACATACATACATACATACATACATACATATTATCTGAATTAGGCCTGGTCTTTTTTAATACTTTAAGTTCTGGGATACATGTGCAGAATGTACAGGTTTGTTACACAGGTATACACGTGCCATGGTTGTTTGCTGCACCCATCAACTCACCATCTACATTAGGTATTTCTCCTAACGTTATCCCTCTCCTTGCCTCCCACCTCCCGACAGGCCCTGGTGTGTGATATTCCCTTCCCTGTGCCCATATGTTCTCATTGGTCAACTCCCATTTATGAGTGAGAACATGCGGTGTTTGGTTTTCTGTTCTTGTGTTAGTTTGCGGAGAATGATGGTTTCCAGCTTCATCCATGTCCCTGCAAAGGACATGAACTCATTCTTTTTTATGGCTGCAAGAAATGCAAATCAAAACCACAATGAGATGCCATCTCACACCAGTTAGAATGGCAATCATTAAAAAGTCAGGAAACAATAGATGCTGGAGAGGATGTGGAGAAATAGGAATGCTTTTACACTGTTGGTGGGAGCGTACATTAGTTCAACCATTGTGGAAGACAGTGTGGTGTTTCCTCATGGATCTAAAACTAGAAATACCATTTGACCCAGCAATCCCATTACTGGGTATATACCCAAACGATTGTAAGTCATTCTACTATAAAGACACATGCACAGGTATGTTTATTGCAGCACTATTCACAATAGGGAAGACTTGGAACCAACCCAAATGCCCGTCAATGTTAGACTAGATAAAATGTGGCACATAGACCTGGTCTTAAAATCAAGAACAGAGATTGTTACTTTTACATCCATTCCTAATTGATAAACCATTCAGTTATACCACATCTTAGCTTCTGGACTACAATGACCATATTTGGGGTTTTCTTTCTAATTTCATTATAGGTTCAGAGGGTACATGTGCAGGTTTGAGACAAAGGTATATTGCATGATACTAAGGTTTGGAGTACAAATGATCCCACCTCCCAGGTAGCAAGAATAATACCCAATATGTAGTTTTTCAACTCTTTCCCCTCTTCCTCCATCCTCCCTCTGCTACTCTGTGGTGTCTGTTTTTCTCATCTTTATGTCCATGTGTACTCGATGTTTAGCTCCCCCTTGTAGGTGAGAACATGTGGTATTTGGTTTTCTGTTTCAGTGTTAATTCACTTAGGATAATGGCCTCCAACTGCATTCATGCTGCTGCAAAGGATGTGACTTTCTTCTTATTAGCTGCATATATTTTGTGGTGGATTTGTACCACATTTACTTTATCTAGTCCAAAGTTGTTGGGCACCCAGGTGGATTCCATGTCTTTGCTATTGTGAATAGCACTGGGACAACCCATACAAGTTCATGTGTCTTTTTGGTAAAACAATGTATTTTCCTTTGGGCATATATGCGGTGATGGAATTGCTGGATCGAGTGGTAGTTTAACTCTTAGTTCTTTGAGAAATCCCCAGACTGTTCTCCACAGTGGCTGGACTAAGTTGCATTCCCACCAGCAGTGTAGAAGTGTTCCCCATTCTCTGTAGCCTCACCAGCACATGTTAAACTATCTTTAAATATATGAAAAAAATGTTCAAGTCTCTCAGATTAAGATGCATGCAAAGTAAAATGATACTTAAATATCAGTTCTAACCTATAAAATATCAAATATCTGACCTCAATATTTGATAATCCAACCTGTTGATGAAGCTGTAGAGAGAGGCACTCTTTTTTTTTTTTTTTAATTATACTTTAAGTTTTAGGGTACATGTGCACCTTGTGCAGGTTAGTTACATATGTATACATGTGCCATGCTGGTGCGCTGAACCCACTAACTCGTCATCTAGCATTAGGTATATCTCCCAATGCTATCCCTCCCCCCTCCCCCCACCCCACAACAGTCCCCAGAGTGTGATATTCCCCTTCCTGTGTCCATGTGATCTTATTGTTCACTTCCCACCTATGAGTGAGAATATGCGGTGTTTGGTTTTTTGTTCTTGCGATAGTTTACTGAGAATGATGATTTCCAGTTTCATCCATGTCCCTATAAAGGACATGAACTCATCATTTTTTATGGCTGCATAGTATTCCATGGTGTATATGTGCCACATTTTCTTAATCCAGTCTATCATTGTTGGACATCTGGGTTGGTTCCAAGTCTTTGCTATTGTGAATAATGCCGCAATAAACATACGTGTGCATGTGTCTTTATAGCAGCATGATTTATAGTCCTTTGGGTATATACCCAGTAATGGGATGGCTGGGTCAAATGGTATTTCCAGTTCGAGATCCCTGAGGAATCGCCACACTGACTTCCACAATGGTTGAACTAGTTTACAGTCCCACCAACAGTGTAAAAGTGTTCCTATTTCTCCACATCCTCTCCAGCACCTGTTGTTTCCTGACTTTTTAATGATTGCCATTCTAACTGGTGTGAGATGATATCTCATTGTGGTTTTGATTTGCATTTCTCTGATGGCCAGTGATGATGAGCATTTTTTCATGTGTTTTTTGGCTGCATAGATGTCTTCTTTTGAGAAGTGTCTGTTCATGTCCTTCACCCACTTTTTGATGGGGTTGATTGTTTTTTTCTTGTAAATTTGTTTGAGTTCATTGTAGATTCTGGATATTAGCCCTTTGTCAGATGGTAGGTTGCGAAAATTTTCTCCCATTTTGTAGGTTGCCTGTTCACTCTGATGGTAGTTTCTTTTGCTGTGCAGAAGCTCTTTAGTTTAATTAGATCCCATTTGTCAATTTTGTCTTTTGTTGCCATTGCTTTTGTCCCACTGATCCCACAGAAATACAAACTACCATCAGAGAATACTACAAACACCTCTACGCAAATAAACTAGAAAATCTAGAAGAAATGGATAAATTCCTGGACACATACACTCTCCCAAGACTAAACCAGGAAGAAGTTGAATCTCTGAATAGACCAATAACAGAAGCTGAAATTGTGGCAATAATCAATAGCTTACCAACCAAAAAGAGTCCAGGACCAGATGGATTCACAGCCGAATTCTACCAGAGGTACAAGGAGGAACTGGTACCATTCCTTCTGAAACTATTCCAATCAATAGAAAAAGAGGGAGTCCTCCCTAACTCATTTTATGAGGCCAGCATCATTCTGATACCAAAGCCAGGCAGAGACACAACAAAAAAAGAGAATTTTAGACCAATATCCTTGATGAACATTGATGCAAAAATCCTCAATAAAATACTGGCAAAACGAATCCAGCAGCACATCAAAAAGCTTATCCACCAAGATCAAGTGGGCTTCATCCCTGGGATGCAAGGCTGGTTCAATATACGCAAATCAATAAATGTAATCCAGCATATAAACAGAGCCAAAGACAAAAACCACATGATTATCTCAATAGATGCAGAAAAGGCCTTTGACAAAATTCAACAACCCTTCATGCTAAAAACTCTCAATAAATTAGGTATTGATGGGACGTATTTCAAAATAATAAGAGCTATCTATGACAAACCCACAGCCAATATCATACTGAATGGGCAAAAACTGGAAGCATTCCCTTTGAAAACTGGCACAAGACAGGGATGCCCTCTCTCACCACTCCTATTCAACATAGTGTTGGAAGTTCTGGCCAGGGCAATTAGGCAGGAGAAGGAAATAAAGGGTATTCAATTAGGAAAAGAGGAAGTCAAATTGTCCCTGTTTGCAGACGACATGATTGTATATCTAGAAAACCCCATTGTCTCAGCCCAAAATCTTCCTAAGCTGATAAGCAACTTCAGCAAAGTCTCAGGATACAAAATCAATGTACAAAAATCACAAGCATTCTTATACACCAACAACAGACAAACAGAGAGCCAAACCATGAGTGAACTCCCATTCACAATTGCTTCAAAGAGAATAAAATACCTAGGAATCCAACTTACAAGGGACGTGAAGGACCTCTTCAAGGAGAACTACAAATCACTGCTCAAGGAAATAAAAGAGGATACAAAGAAATGGAAGAACATGCCATGCTCATGGGTAGGAAGAATCAATATCGTGAAAATGGCCATACTGCCCAAGGTAATTTACAGATTCAATGCCATCCCCATCAAGCTACCAATGACTTTCTTCACAGAATTGGAAAAAACTACTTTAAAGTTCATATGGAACCAAAAAAGAGCCCGCATTGCCAAGTCAATCCTAAGCCAAAAGAACAAAGCTGGAGGCATCACGCTACCTGACTTCAAACTATACGACAAGGCTACAGTAACCAAAACAGCATGGTACTGGTACCAAAACAGAGATATAGATCAATGGAACAGAACAGAGCCCTCAGAAATAATGCCGCATATCTACAACTATCTGATCTTTGACAAACCTGAGAAAAACAAGCAATGGGGAAAGGATTCCCTATTTAATAAATGGTGCTGGGAAAACTGGCTAGCCATATGTAGAAAGCTGAAACTGGATCCCTTCCTTATACCTTATACAAAAATCAATTCAAGATGGATTAAAGACTTAAACGTTAGACCTCAAACCATAAAAACCCTAGAAGAAAACCTAGGCTTTACCATTCAGGACATAGGCATGGGCAAGGACTTCATGTCTAAAACACCGAGAGAGGCACTCTTATGCATTGTTGGTGAGAATACAAAATGGTACAACTCTTGGCAATATCTTAAAAAATTTACATGGTACTGACTTTTGGTCTAGCAATCCTACTTCTATCCTAAAGATATATTGGCAAAAATACAAAATAATTGATGCACACAAGTCTATTCATTGAAGCATTGTTTTTCATAGTAAACGGAAAGTAGGCCGGGCGTGGTGGCTCATGCCTGTGATCCCAGCATTTTGGGAGGCTGAGGCGGGCAGATCACTTGAGGCCAGGAATTCAAGACCAGCGTGGCTAACATGGCGAAACCCCATCTCTACCAAAAATACAAAAATTAGCTGGGCGTGGTGGTGCACACTTGTAATTCCAGCTACTTGAGAGGCTGAGGTGGGAGGATCGCTTGAACCTGGGAGGCAGAGGTTTCAGTGAGCCCAGAACGTGCCTCTGCACTCCAGCCAGGATGACAGAGCAAGACTCCATCTCAAAAAAAAAAAAAAAAAAAAAAGGAAAATAACCAAATGACAATTAGTGAGTACTACTTGCAAAACTTGTACGCAATAGAGTATGAAGCAACTATAAAATGAGAGAGAAATATCTCCAAATACTACTCTAAAGTAATCTACAAGGTATACCTTAACTGAAAAGAAACAAAAAAGTGACACCAGAATGCTATTTTTATGTTAAAACAGGGATAAATACATTGGATTTACATGCATATATAAGTATATATTTTATAAATGTTTAAATAAGCATACTTAAAATGGCAAAAACATAATACATATATAATTTTCTTATGGCAGGAGGAGGAAACAGGGCAAGGCACAGGGATAAAAGTTATTCTGAATACATCTTATTTTATATTTTTGACTTTGAAATCATGTAGCTGTTTTATGTAATATAAAAATGTAATTAAATTAACAGAAAAAAATTACAACTGCTAAAAATCAAGATCTGGCTTTTTAATTAAGTTATAAAACATCGGAGAAAAGAATTGTTTCATGGGACACTAACATACAGACAAATTCATTTGGAACCCAATGAATTAATGGGCCTAAGATAACAACCAATAGAAGCTAAAATGACGAATAACTGTTTCAGAAGAAAACATATATGGAATGAATCAGCTGAAAATACCTGAACCTACTGATCAATTTTTATATGTCACATGAAGTGAATACACATAAAGTATAATATGGAGCACATAGAACCAACTAGAAATGAGCCTAATTGGTAAATATTCTCTATTTTATGACAATATACAGGAAATATGTCGAAGAGAGAAACATGCAAGAACACCGTAGGGTTTAATAAGATAATCACAAGGTATGGAATATTCAACAGGATGAATATCCTGGATTATTCAGCAAATACACAGAGCTAAAAAGCAGGAGAAAGGAATTCATATATATTTTTAAAAACTAAAAAGATATATTAGCTGATGCAACTTTGAAACTTCTTTAGATCCTGATTCAAATAGAGCAAATTTAACAAATATATTTGAAACTATTAAAATAATTTAAAAATGACTAAGTATTTGATTATATCAAATATAGACAATAATAACCTTGAATGTACATGGATTAAATGTCCACTTAGGGGCTGGGTGTGGTGGCTCATGACTATAATTCCAGCACTTTGGGAGGCCAAGGCAGAAGGATTGCTTGAGGTCAGAGGTTCAAGTGCAGCCTGGTCAACACAGTGAAACCCTATCTCTACAAAAAACAAACAAAAATAAAAAATTAACTAATTTTAAAAAATATATATTTCTTCTAAATTCTCCACCTGAAAGATATAGACTGACTGAATGAATTTTAACTATGATCTGACTATGTGCTTCCCTGAACAAATGCACTTTACCTGTAAAACACATATTAACTAAAAGAAAAGAGATGGAAAAAGGTATTCCATGAACAGAAACCAAAATGAGTAGGAGTAGCTATACTTCTGTCAGACAAAACAGACTTTAAGTCAAAACTAGCTTTAGAAAAAAGACAAAAATGCTTATTATACAACGATAAAGGAATCAATCCAGAAAGAGGATATAACAATTTTAAATATATATGCAGCCAACACTGGAGCAGCCAGATTCATAAAGCAAATACTACTAGATCAAAACAGAGAGGTAGACTCAAATATAATAATAGTGAAGGACTTCAACACCCCACTTTCAGCATTAAACAGATCATCTAATAAGAAAACCAATCTCGCAGCCCTCACCCTGGAGAGTCCACAGGGACCAGGGGTTGGTCTGAACCCCCAGCACAGAGCACCTGCCTCACAGAAGAGTGGCTGCATTTTTCTTCCTGCAGTTTTCAGTCCTCACTTCTCCTTACCAAGCAGGGCCGCCTGGCCTGGGACTCCTGTACAACTACCCTGCCCCCCACCTGACCACTTCAATAAGAAGTAGCCCAGCATTTCTCCAAGGAGGAAATACCAGAGTCAATTCACAACCACTGCAATTGTAGTGGTACCACCATAACAGCCCTTGGGCTGCAGAAGGAACTAAGAGTCTAATCACTACAGTGGCACCTTCAGCACACCACAGCCACCATACAGAGAGGAATCCAGCCCCCTCCCCTGGGAACCCCCACCACCCACTCCACCAGGCACAGCACCCAGCTCATAACTGCAGATCAGTTGCCCCACCCACAGCTGAGCTTACCTACTGGCAGTGGCCCAGACTTTCCCTAGGGAGAGGCTCCCAGAGGCAAACGGCAGCCTCTCTGCCCCTGTCACAGCAGCAGTTCTATCCATGCTGTCCTCAGGCTTGGAAAGAAACAAAGCGCCTGAAGGCTGCACCTGAACTTACAGCATGCCACAGTTCCCATACGGAGAGGAGACCAGTCTCTTCTCCCAGTGAGCCCTAAACCCCCTGATCCCCAACAAGCAGAGCCCTAACCTCACACCAGCAGTACAGCTGCTCCATCCCCCAGGCTGAACATTCCCAGTAATAGCAGCTCCACCTGGAGATGGAGCCCCCAGGGTCAACCAAAAGCCCCTCTGCCACTGCCTCTACAGTGGTACTACCCCTGCTACCCTTGAACTAACAAAGGAGCAAAGACCCCAGTGCTTTATCCACACCTCCAACAAGCTGCAGTCGACCACAAAGAAGAAACAAGTCTGTCTCCCATGGGTCCTACCCACACCCCCTGCTGTTCACCATGAATGATAGAGTCAACAGTGTGAAAACGACCATACTGCCAAAAGCAACCTACAAATTCAATGCAATTCCCATCAAAATACCACCATCATTCTTCACAGAACTAGAAAAAACAAGGCTAAAATTCACATGGAACCAAAAAAGAGCCCACATAGCCAAAGCAAGACTAAGCAAAAAGAATAAATCTAGAGGCATCACATTACTCGACTTCAAACTATACTATAAGGCCATAGTCACCAAAACAGCATGGTACTGGTATAAAAATAGGCATATAGACCAATGGAATAGAATAGAGAACCCAGAAATAAAGCCAAATACTTTCAGCCAACTGATCTTTGACAAAGCAAGCAAAAACATAAAGTGGGGAAAGGACACCCTATTCAACAAATGGTGCTGGTATAATTGGCAAGCCACATGTAGAAGAATGCAACTGGATCCTCATCTCTCACCTTATAAACAAATCAACTCAAGATGGTTCACAGACTTAAATCTAAGACCTGAAACCATAAAAATTCTAGAAGATAAGATTGGAAAAACCCTTCTAGACATTGGCTTAGGCAAAGACTTCACAATCAAGAACCCAAAAGCAAACACAACAAAGATAAATAGATGGGACTTAATTAAACTGAAAGCCTTCTGCACATCAAAATAAATAATCAGCAGAGTAAACAGACAACCCACAGAGTGGGAGAAAATCTTCACAAACTATGCATCCAACAGAGGACTAATATCCAGAATCTACAAAGAATTGGAACAAATCAGCAAGAAAAAAAACCAAACACAAGGATGACAGTGGAAATACAAAAACAAGACATAAATATTCTGAATAGTGATAATAAAACAGTGCATACCAGAATACAAACTGTTTCCAAGTTACAATGGTTCAACCATTTTTCAGCTTTATGGTGGTGTGAAAGTGATATCCATTCATTAGAAACCATGCTCCAGGATGGGCGCAGTGGGTCACGCCTGTAATCCTAGCACTTTGGGAGGCCGAGGAGGGCGGATCACAAGGTCAAGAGATCAAGACCATCCTGGCCAACATGGTGAAACCCCGTCTCTCCTAAAAATACAAAAATTAGCTGGGCATTGTGGTGCGTGCCTGTAATCCCAGCTATTCGGGAGGCTGAGGCAGGAGAATCACTTGAACCAGGGAGTCGGAGGTGTTGCAGTGAGCCGAGATCGTGCCACTGCCTCCAGCCTGGCAACAGAGTGAGACTCCATCTCAAAAAAAAGAAAGAAACCCGACTCCGAATTTTGAATTTTGATATTTTCCTGGACTACCAATATGTGGCACAATGCTCTCTCACAATGTTGTGCAACAGCGGTGAGCTGCAGCTTCCAGTCAGCCAAATGATAATAAAGGTAGATAATCCATCTTGATATCTTCCTGAAGAACATAATGCCTGCCTACCATCAACAGGCATCAATACTTTCTACCAGCTATTCTCAACCCTCATGATCGGAAGAGACAGAGACTGACTGTGTCAAAGTATTAGTCCCATCATTCAGCAATTAACCTTAGCTCAATGCTTCAAAAATTCTTCAGGCCCTGTGTAATTTCAGCTACGTACATTAATGATAAGTACCCATACAACCATTCTGTTTCTTATTTTCAGTACCATATTTAATAAATATCAGTTATTCAATACTTTATTTAGACATTTTGTTAGATTATTTTGACCAACTGAAGTCTAATCTAAATGTTCTGAGCATGTTCAAAGTAAGCTAGGCCAACCTATAATTTTCGGTGTGCTAAATGCATTTTTAACTTATGATATTTTCAGTTTACGGGGGTTTGTTGAGACATAACTTCATCATACATCAAGGAGCATCTGTATATGGGATACAGTTAAAGCAGTGATCAGAGGAAAATCTATAGCCTTAACACATTTATTAATAAAAGTGTAGGAATTAAATTATCAGCTGAAAAATGTAAAAAGTATCTAAAAGAGTAAGCAGAAAGTACAAGAAAGAACCCAAAGTAGAAAAAAGTGAAAATTAATAAAATAAGAAGCCAAAAAACAGATCAAATCAGTAAACCAAAAATCTTGTTCTTTAAACAAATCAACAAAGTTGACAAAAAAATTAGATCTTTTAATCATGAATAAAAAAAAAGAGAAAGCACAAAAATGAATAAGGAATGGTGAGAGAAATAACTATTGATAATCAGCAAATAAAAAATCATTAAAAACAATGTTGTTCACATCTATGAAAAACATTGAAAGCTAGAGGGAATGGGTAATTTTCTAGAAAAATACAATTCACCACAACTGACTTCAAAAAAAAAAAAAAGAAGTACAGCACTTATGTGAGCAATTTCCATAGAGAAATACAGTTGTCATGGAATTATAACACACACACAAACACTAGGTTTAGATGTTTTCACGGAGAATTCCACCAAACCTTTAGAAATCAGATCGTCCAAAGGCAAATTAACAACCCTCAGCCATTTGCGGCAAAATATTACAATTGAGGCAAGATATACTGTACTGAAAACTTGAGGAAAAAGCAGGAGAGAAAGTTCCTTTGGGAAATTCGAATACTCAAAAGTGCTTACATACAATGAAAAATTTGGAAATCCATAAGCATGGCCAAGGTGGGACACATGCTCAGAAAAGGCCTGAGAAGACACTAATAACTCACCTTTAGTAATTCCTAGGCTCACAGCAAGAAAAAATGAAGGCTAAGGCAGAATTATACATGGCTCCGCTAAGTGTTGAGGGAGCCCCAATACAGAGTCAGTAAGCAAAGTCTGGGAGATGTTTTTCATATTTTTTTCTTTTTTGGCTACTTGCAGTCAAGGAAATCATTTTTAAATCACTAAATGCTAAATGAACACAAGCTAAAGGAACCGAGCCGCCTTCAAACATCAAACATAAAAAAGAATGCAGATATTACAAAACCAGTTTACAAAAGTTACTAAACAAATAAAAACTACATCCCACAGTGGGTAACAAAAATAACCTTGAAGAAGGGAAAAATTTGGTTTCCAGAATAAACACATTATAATATCCAAAATGTCCAGTTTTCAACAAAAATTAAGAAGCATGCAAATAAACACAAAACTATGGCCCATTTACAGAAGAAATAAATGAGACTCTCCCTGAGTAAGCAGATATTGGAAATATTAGACAAAAACTTTATATAACTGTCTTAAATAAACTTAAAGAGCTAAAGAAACCCAAGAGAATGACATATAAATAAATAAGAAATATGAATTTTTTAAAAGGTACAAAAAAATTCTGAGGCTGAAAAGTACAATAACTAATTAAAAAGTTACTTTTTACTTAGGGTTCCAATAGAAGATTTGAGCAGCTGGAAAAAAGAATCAGTGAACTTGATAGATCAAGTGAAATGATTCAGTCTGAAGAGCAGGAAAATGAAAGAATGACAACAAAAAAGAATAGAGCCTAAAGACCTGTGTAACAACATCAAGAATGCCTACATACAGAATCCTGGTGGGGAGTGAGGGGCAGGAAGACTATTTGAAGAAATGTGTTTGAAAGCTTCCCAAATTTCACTAAAAACAAATATATACATTCAAAAAGCTCAGTGAACTTCATCAAGGAAATATACAAAGATATTCACACCAAGACACACTATGTTTCAAATTGTCAAAAGGCAAAGCGAATGTTTGAAAGCAGCAAGAGAAAGGCAACGCGTCATTTACAAAGGATCCTCAATAAGTTTGACAGCAGATAGTGCATTATAATCCATGGATGCCAGAAGAGCTTAGGAAAAAGGCAATGCATCATTTACAAAGGATCCTCAGTAAGTTTGACAGCAGAGAGCTCATGATAAACCATGGGTGCCAGAAGAGCTTAGAATGACATTTTAAAGTTCTGAAAGAAAAAAACACTGTCAACCAAAAATTCTGTAACTTGGAAGATGCCCCTTCAAGTATTAAGGATAAATTACACATTCCCAGATTAAAAAAAAAAAGAGAGAGAGAAAGAGAAAGAAAGAAAGAAGAGAGAGAAAGAAAGGGAGAGAAAGAAAAAGAAAGAAAGAAAGAAGAGAGAGAAAGAAAGGGAGAGAAAGAAAAAGAAAGAAAGAAAGAAAGAAAGAAAAAGAAAGAAAGAAAGAAAGAAAGAAAGAAAGAAAGAAAGAAAGAAAGAAAGAAAGAGAAAGAAAGAAAAGAAAGAAAGAAAAGCAAGCAAGCTTTAAAAGTTCATGTTTGGTAGGCTGTACTTCAAGATACACTTTAAAAAAAAAAAGACTCCTTCAGATACAAACTAAAAAACACTAGAAAGTAACTCAAAACCACATAAAGAAATAACTCCAGTAAGGATAACTACATAGGTAAATATAAAAGGAATTATCATATTTTTTGTAAGTCTTTTTAAATATTCTATATGTTTTAAAACAAATGTGTAAAATAATGACTATAAATCTATGTTAATGAAGCATGATGTATAAAGATGTGGTTTGTGAAATTACCAACATAAAGAAATTCATAGGAAACTAAATAATAATAGAGATTTTGTATACTATTGAAGTTGTTTCAATTTACTCTAAATTGTTCCAAATTAAGAATGTTAATTGTAAATCCCCATGGTAACCACTAAGTTAATATCTTTTGAAAATACAGAAAAGGAAAGCAGAGGGTAAACACAGTGATATGCTACAAAATAGCAACTAAACACAAAAGAAGGCGATAATTGAGGAAATTAGGAACAAAGGAGGTATAAGACATACAGAAAACAAAAGCAAAATGGTAGGAGTAAGCCCCTCTTTATCAGTAATTACATTAAATACAAATGAATTAAACTCTCCAATCCAAAGAAAGAGATTGACAGAATGGATTTTTAAAAAATGATCCAACTATATTGTCCACAAGATACTCACTTTAGATCAAAATACACAATGCGTTGAAATGAAAGGATGGGAGAAAATATTCCATGTAAGTAATAACCAAAGGAGATCTGAGGCAAATATACTTATATCAGACAAAATAGACTTTAAGTCAAAAACTGTTACAAAATACAAAGAACAGTATATATTGATTTCAAAATTAAACAAGAAGATATAACAATTATAAATATATGTACACCAACTAACAGGGCTCCAAAATATATAATGTAACCATTGAGAGAATTAAAGGGAGAGACAGACAATTCCACGAAAATTGTTGGGCATTTTAAAACCCAACTTTAATAAAGGACAAAACATCCAGAGCAAATATCAAGGGAGGAATTAGAGGATTTGAATAAAACTATAAGCAATAACTATAGATAACACTTCTCTCAAAAACTGCAGAATACACATTCTTCTCAAGTGAACATGGAACATTCTCCAGCACAGATGATATGTTAGGCCATAAGATAAGCTCAATAAACTTAAAAAGATTGAAATCATGCAAAGTATCTTCACTGACCACAATGGAATGAAATAAGATATCAATAACAAAAGAAAAACTAGAAAATTTACAAATATTTGGAAATTAAACAACACAGTATTTACCAACCAATGAATCAAAGAACAAATCATGAGGGAAATTAGAAAATGTTTAGAGACGATTGAAAACAAAGATATAACAAGATGGGTGTGATATATCAAAAGCAGTGCTCAGAGTTGTAACACCTACATTTTAAAAAAGAAACATGTCAAATCAATAACCAAACTTTACTCAATAAACCATAAAAGGAAGAGCAAACAAAATCCAGAGCTAGCAGAAGGAAGGAAATAAAGATTAGAGCAGAGATAAATGAAATTGAGAATTAAAAAATTATACAGAGATCAACAAAACTAAAAGTTGGTTCTTTTAAAATATCAATAAAATTAATATACTTTTACATAGACTAAGCAAAACATCTCTATTCAGCTGACTTTTTTTTACAAGGGAGCCAACATTATTCAGTGGGGAATAATAGCTTTTTCAACAAAAAGTGCTGGGAATACTGAATATTCATATGAAAAAAAAATGAAGCTGGACCCCTACCTCACATTATATACAAAATCTAGATTGGATCAATAATGTAAATATACGAGTGAAAACCATACATGCTTAGAAGAAAACATGGAAATAAAACATTGCTGTGGATTGGCAATGCATTCTTAGATAATACACCAAAAATACAAGCATGAAACAAACAAATGTAGCCAAAATGTACCAGAATCTGAAAACATGTATTATCTATAAAGAATTAGAGGGGAATTTGGTGAAAGAAATATGGGAGAATGGGATATTGCTCTGTGAATGCTTTTGTGCATAATTGTACATTTTTAATTAAGTTAATCTTTTACACTCTCAAAGTGTGATATTAAGCAAGCAAAGATAAGTTATTACAAGACTCTAAAACCGAATGCAATGAGAAACAAGTGAATCCAAATATATTTCAAATGAATGAATGACATAATCAAACTTAAGGGGAAAATAATAATTAATCTGATTAATTTTTGACTGTTCTCTTATTTCAAATTGACTTTTGAACATACTTTGACTACATACTATTGCTTGAAAAAATAAAATATCTGCAAAAAATTATTAAATCTTCATGATAGGATTTTTTCTTTTTATATTAGTATAAATATAACAATTCTGAAACAAATGTATGTGCATTGTAAGATTAAGCCAATGAGTAAATATTAATATATTTGTATTGCTAGAACCCCAGATTCTCACTGTGAAAGGACAGAGATACAGATATGGAATAAGACAAGGAAAGAAGCAGCCCACTGAGTTACATTAGAATCAGTATTATCAACATAAATATGCAATGTGCTCTCTCACATGCTCTTTCCTTCTCTTAAAAAAATATAATATGTACATATTATATATTATATGCATAGACACACGTGTGTCTATACATATCCTATCTATACATATTGAGGATTAACAGGTGCTAGTAGAAAATATTAACTTTCTTTGTATTAACAGGTGTTAGTAGAAAGTAGTAGTAGGTGCTAAGATAAAAGCCATAATTAAACCTCCTGGTGAATGAACACACCATCACCTACAATCTTACCAAAAATAGAACCAAGCACGTGTCCTAGTCAAACCTCTGGATTCAACTGTCATTTGGATAAAACGCAAAGGATAGTGAAAATGTCGATCTTCACTGAGAGTCTCACCAGCAAATTTCACAGTGTGGACATCAAGTGACAAAAATCCCACATTTTTCAACAAATATATTGTATGGGAAAGAAAACTTTGAAAAGAAACCTGTATGTTAGAAGGGATTTTAAAAACACGACAAATGAAAACAAATGCGCAAGACTAAATCATAGTGTCTTGGAATGCATGCATGAAGGACACAGCCGTGAAAATGCAAGGACGCCTCTACTGGAACAGTCACGTTTATCGTCACTTTTCAGGAGAAAGGTGGCTGCAACTGAGGAGAGTCACATGCAGGACTTCAGGGCTGGCAAAGTCCTATATCTTGACTTATGTGATGATTACAGGGATGTTTACAAAAATCAAACTATAAGTTTGTTTTGTGCCATGTTTTGTATTGTGTGTGTGTGTTTTGTTTTTCAACTTAAAAATACATAAAATCAAAACCAAGGCTTCATTATCAAGTAGCACAAAGTCTCCAATCTATAACCTCCTTTGTCTGGATATCTGCATTTAACTACCATTGCCAGAGCTAATCCTGACAATGCATTCATATTTTTAACACTGAAACACAGTAAACAGGGAAAATTTTGCTCCTCTAAAACAGGGCATCTTCAGGCAATCAGAACAACTCAGAAAGTTTCTGTCTGTTGCATAAAACTCCCCTGTGCAAAGAGTTACACAAAATGCTGTCATAGTAAAGGTAGTTAACTAACGGCACTAATTGTTCTTGGGCAGTGGCCAAGTGGAACTTCAGAGACCTGGCATTGCCAGCCAGAAATCACTTGTCATGGGAATTGTCTCCTGGAATCACTTTGGTTGTCCCAGGGTAACGCAGGGAAAGTGGTTAATGGGTCACTTGGGGGTGGCATCTTCATCAGTAAATCACATTTACTTTCTCCTACTAAGAATTTTATTTTTGGCCATGAAGCCAAAAGTCAGCTCTTAAATAACAAGGGAAGCAAATAATCATTGAATAAAAATAGCAGAAAGAAAAAGCTGTGCAAAGAAATTTATGTTTTTAATTTGTTATATATGTATATTTTTATCATACTTTAAGTTCTAGGGTACATGTGCACAATGTGCAGGAATAAAATTTATGTTTTTAAAATTTATTCTACATTATGAATTCTACATTAGAAAAATAAACCATAGCCTCATCACAGGCACTTAAATACACTGAAGCTGCCAAAACAATCTATCGTTTTGCCTACGTACTTATCAACTTCCTCATAGCAAACTGGGAGAAAAAAGCAATGGAATGAATAAAATGATAGCCACAAAAATCAAGGTGGGAGAAATACTTATTATATGTCCATAAAAAATTTTAATTAATGCAAAGTATTAACACCAATGATTGCAGTAATACAGATCTTACAAATGATAGTTTTAGTCTGAACAGGACTATCCAAAAGTTAATTTTCTATAGTAACAGTTTTTAAATAAAATATCAATTCCTGAAACACATAAAATGGTCCATGAGTATACAACGAGTGAAAAAAAACAAATTCAGAGCAAAGATAAATTAAGAAGTATCTAATATTCAAACATAGTCAAAGAGAGGGAGATTTCTGGATAATCACTTAAGCCCATGGTTAAACATAAATGCAAATATGTTAATGTTTACTGAATAACTTATCTGTGCCAAGTGGTGTATTAATGATTCATTTTTATTTTTCACTAAATCTTTTCTCTAAAGTTGGTGTAGCCTGCAACTAAATGCAAGAAATCTGACCTAGGACCTGCACTTCTTACCATTTTGCTCATATTTATTCCCTGTGCATTTTTGTAACATGTATATGTTATATATATAGAAAGAGAGAGAGGCAGAGATGGAAAGTAATTTATGGAGTTTGATGTTATGTCAGGGTAATTACATGATTATATAATTAACAGGTTTCTTTTTAAATCAGCTATATCAATAGAAAAATAAATGTAGGAATCAAGAGACTCATTCTGTCCATCTGTGATAGTTCCATCATGATACTGCATTGTCAAGTCATTGCTCCAAAAATATGGTTTAGCTCAACACTGAGTGACTATAGGAAACCAGAAACCAGGCTGGGCGCTAAAGATGCAAAGATGAATGAGACATCATCTCTGCCGTCCAAAAGCTTACTGTCTAGTGGGAGAGTTACACACGTAAGGACAGTAATCTAATAAGAGCTAATAAGTGAAAACTAAGATAAATTAATAATACAAGATTACAGGGAAGGTTTCCAAAGTCAATGAGGCCTCAAATGAATCTTGAAAGTGTGCAAGGATTAACCAAATGAAGAAATGTGTAAGTTTTTCAAACAAAAAGGAACAGCATGAGCAAATGCAAGGAGGCCTAAAATAAAGAGATGTGTAAAGAGGTGTAAGCAGCTTTGTGCTACTGCCTGATAATTAGAAGAATATCGGGAGTAACAAGAGCTATAGAAGAGAGTCACAATTATGGAAAAATATTTATTAAATTATAAGAAATTTATAGCATAAGGAATAGTAGGACCATTAAATGTTTTAATAAAGATGATGCTTCTTTTTTTAATATTTATTTTTATTATACTTTAAGTTCTAGGGTACATGTGCACAACGTGCAGGTTACATATGTATACATGTGCCGTGTTGGTGTGCTGCACCCATTAACTCATCATTTACATTAGGTATGTCTCCTAATGCTATCCCTCCCCCCTCCCCCCACCCCACAACAGGCCGCGGTGTGTGATATTCCCCTTCCTGTGTCCAAGTGTTCTCATTGTTCAAGTCCCACCTATGAGTGAAAACATGCGGTGTTTGGTTTTTTGTTCTTGAGATAGATGATGCTTTAAATTGACCACTCTAGCTGCATTGTGGGAGGAAAAAAAGATTTTAAAACAAGACTAGAAACAGAATAATTAGAAAAATGCAACTACAATGCAGATGAGTGATTATCAAGGTCTGAACTGAATAGTGGAAATAGAGATAAGGAGGCAAATTCAAGATATGTGCGTGACAGTAAAATTAACATGACCTAGTGTTTGATTGACTCTGTAAAGTGAAAGGAAAGGATGAATAATCAACAAATAATATTTATTCTACCAAATGCCTCCATGCCGCTTTGATGACAGGATAATATGTAAGCTTTTCTATATTTCAGAAACTATATGACATGACGAAAAGTAAAAAGGGGATGGGGGTAAGGAGGTATCCTGAATTGACTGAGAAATAAGGAGGTATTCCACAGAGAATATAAATAAACATATACTTAGTGTTCAAGGAATAATAAAAAAGAGAACATCTATGTGTCCACCATACAGGATATGAAATAGAACATTTGCCGGCCATGGTGGCTCACACCTGTAATCCCAGTACTTTGGGAGGCCGAGGTGGGAGGATCACTTAAGCCCAGGACACAGGTTGCAGTGAGCCAAGATCACACTATCGTACTCCAGCCTGGGCCACCATGTCTCAGAAAAATAAAAAAAACTAGATGTCTTGGAGGATTGGAAACAAAATAGAACTTTACTAGTGCCTTAGACGCCCATTGGGTGCTCCTTGCCAATTGTGTTCTCCTTTATTTCCTGCTGGATATGACCACTGTCCTTCCATTGCATTGTATGTGTTTTTTAATAGACTTTAATGGTTCTCAAGTGATGCATTATTTAGTTTGGTTCTTTGAAACTTATATAAATGAAATTATTTTGTAGAAGTTCTTTCACCTTTATCAGAAGGTACTTTCACCTTGATTCAATAATAAGTTTGCATATTACAACCTTGTTGAATGTTGGTGTAATTCATCCATTCGTATTGCTATATGATATTCCACTACATGAATATGTCGGACTTCATTCCTCAGATCTATTGTTGATGAACACTTGAAATTTTTCCAGTTTTTAACCATTACAAACAATGCTGCTATGAACATTCTTTTGTAAATCACCTGGTTCATATGTGCAAGATATCCTCTGGGGTATATATTTAAAAGTAAAATTATTGAGTTATTCAACATTACCATGAGATGCTACACTATTTTTTTTAACAATCCTACCAATTTACACTTCTACCACGAACAGATAAGCATTACCGTTGGTCTTCATTTGTAGGAACCATATTTGTCTTTTGCTCTGGGGGCTTTGTTTTGTTTTGCTTTGTTTTTTGCTTAGAAGTGCTTTGGCTATTAGGGATCTTTTTTTGGCTCCATGTGAACTTTAGGATTTTTTTTTAATTTTGTGAGAAATAACGTTGGTAATTTGATGGGAATTGCATTAACTCTATAGATTGTATGGGTGATATGGTCACTTTAGCTATTGATTTTTCTAATCCATGAGCATGGGATGTTTTTCCATTTGTTTATGTCATCTATAATTTCTTTCATTAGTATTTTGTAGTTCTCTTTGTAGAGATCTTTCATTTATATAGTTATGCATTCCTAGGTATTTTTCATGGCTATTGTAAATTCAGTTGAGTTCTTAATTTGGTTCTCAACAAATTAATCTCAACAAACATTCAAACAGCTTGAATGTATTTGGTGTATAGAAATACAACTGATTTTTGTGGCTTGTTTATCCCAAGACTTTACTGAAGTCGTGTATCAAGTCTAGGAGTCTTCTGAAGACTTTAGGGTTTTCTAGGCCTACAGTCATGTCATCAGTGAGCAGAGATCATTTGACTTCTTTTCTAATTTGTATACCTTTTATTTCTTTCTCCTTTCTGATAGTTCTGGCTAGCACTTCCAGTACTGTATTGAATAGGAATGAAGAAGGTGAACATCCTTGCTTTTTTCCAGTTTCTAGAAGCAACACTTCTAACTTTTGCCCATCCAGGATGATGTTGGCTGTGGCTTTGTCATAGATGACTCATTTTTTGAGGTATACTCCATCTATACCTATATTGTTGAGGGTTTTTATCATAAACAGATGTTGGATTTTATCAAATGCTTATTCTGCATCTAATGAGATGATCATAGGGTTTTTGTTCTCAGTTCCATTTATGTGGTGAATCATGTTTATTGATTTGTCTATTTTGAACCATTCAAGCACCCCTGGAATAAAGCCCGCTTGATCATGATGAATTATCTTTTTGATGTGTTGTTAGCTTCAGTTTGCTAGAATTTTGTTGAGTATTTTTACATCTGTGTTGATCAGGGATAAGGATTTGTAGTTTTCTTTTGTGTTCTTTTTAAAATTTTCCTTGTTAATTTTACTGCACAGTATTATTTTAATGATGAATAAAGTGTTGAGCTGGACATGTGTACCTTGTTCCTCGTGTTAGAATGAAACTGTTTAATATGTCATGATTATTTATAATGTTGAGAGTAGTTTTTGTGTATATATTAAGATATTTACATCAGTTCTCTTCTATTCCTAGTTTGTTATTATTACAAATAGTTTCAAATGTGAACAAGTGCTTTTCCCACAGCTATTGAAATAACCATATTTTTTTCTTTTATTCAGTTAATGTGGTTAATTTCATTGTTTGGTTTTCTAATTTTAAACCATACATTCTTGAAATTACTGCACTTAGTCACGATGTATTTTTCTTTGGAGTATATTGTTGGATTATATTTGCAAACATTTTTGTTTAGAATTATTATGTAGTATATTAGTCTGTAATTTCATTTCTTTTAATATCCTTGTATGGTTTTACTATCATGGAGGTACCACCATATAAAACAAGTTGGAAAGTGTTATGTCTTCCCAATTCTCTAAAAATATTCATGTAACATTGGCATTATTTCTTTATTAAATATTTGGTAATATTTCTTTATTAAATATTGCATCCACCTAGCCCTGGAGTTCTTTCTACAGGAAAAAAAAATTTTCTAAATAAAATTTCTACAATGAAAAAAAAACTACTCAGTTTTTCTAGTTTTTTTCTGATCATTTCATAAAAGTAGGTATTTTTCATAGGAACTTGACCATTCCTTATGATTGTCAAATTTATTAATATAAAGTTTCATATTTTATATTTATTTTATCAGATAAATAAAATTATATGTTTTGAAATATATATTCATTGTAAAATAGCCATGTTAAGCTAACATATGCATTACCTTACATGCTTATCTTTTTTTATGAGAACACTTAAAAATCTACTCTTAGCAATTTTGAAGAATACAAGTACATCCCCTATGGAGAACAGTTTGAAGGCTCCTCAAAAAAGTAAAAATAGAGCTACCATGTGGTCCAGCAATCCCACTGCTGCATATATACCCCCCAAAAAAGAAATCAGTATATCGAAGAGATATCTGCACTCCCGTATTTGTTGCAGCACTATTTTCAATAGCGAAGTTATGGAGTCAACCTAAGTGTCCATCAACAGATGAATGAATAAAGAAAATGTGGTACTTATATACAATGAAGTATTATTCAGCCATAAAAAGGAATGAGACCCTGTCATTTGCAACAACATAGATGAAACTGGAGGTCATTATGTTAAGTGAAATAAGCCAGGCACAAAAAGACAAATACTATGTGTTATCACTTATATGTGGAATCCAAAAAGCAAACAACTGAACTCATGGAGATAGAGAGTAGAAGGAAGTATACCAGAGGCTGTGAAGGGTAGTGGGGGTTGGGAGAGGTGGGGGATGGTTAATGGGTACAAAAAAAGAAAGATTTAATAAGACCTAGTATTTGATAGCACAACAGGGGGATTGCAGTCTAAAATTCAATTATACATTTAAAAATAACTGAAAGAGTATAATTGGATTGTTTATAACACAAATAATAAATGCTTGAGGGGATGAATATCCAATTTTCCATTATGTACTTATTGTACATTGCATGCCTGTACCAAAATATTTCATGTACCCCATAAATGTGTACACCTGCTATGTACCCACAAAAATTAAATTTAAAAACAATACATTGTTATCCACTATAGTCACCATATTGCACAATAGATCTGTTGAATTCATTCCTCCTGTACAATGCAATTTTGTACCCTTTGACCAACATCTACCCAATCCTCCTGGTAACCATCATTCTACTCTGTACTTCTATGTGTTCAGCCTTCTTAGACCTCCACATACAAGTGAGATTATGCAGTATCTGGCTTTCTGTGCCTGGATTATTTTACTCAGTATAATGTCCTCCCGGTTCATTCATGTTGTCACAAATGATACTTTTTTTATTTTTTAAGGTTGTATACTATTCTATTGTGTATGTGTGCCACATTTTCTTCATCCACTCATGTGTCGATGGATACTTAAGTTAATTCCACATCTTGGCTGTTGTGAATAATGCTACAATAAATATGGGAGTACAGATAACTCATTGACACACTGATTTGATATCTTTTTAATATATGCCCAGAAATAGCATTACTGAATCATATGGTAATTCTATTTTTACAGAATCATTTATACTGTCTTTTACAATGGCTGAAATAGTTTACATTCTCAACAATTACAAGGTTTTCCTTTTCTCCACATCCTCTCCAACACTTGGTATCTTCTGCCTTTTCTGTAACAGCCATTCTAACGGATGTGAAATGGCATTTTATTGTAGTTTTAATATGCATTTCTCTGATGATCAGTGATAATTAGCATTTTTATATATCTGTTGGCCATTTGTATGTCTTCTTTTGAGAAATGTCTATTTAGATCCTTTGTCAATTTTTCATTAGGGTTCCTTGTTTTCTTATTATTGTGTTGTTTGAGTTCCTAAGATATTTTGGACATTAGCCTCTTATCAAATGTATAGTTTGCAGATAATTTCTCCCATTTTGTAGGTTATCACTTCACTCTGTTGACTTTCTTTTGCTGTGCAGAAGCTTTTTAGGTTGATGCTATTCCATTTGTGTTTTGTTGCTTTTCTTGCCTGTGCTTTAGAGTCATATCATAAAATATTATTGCCCAGACCAATGTCTTGGAGTTATTCCCCTGTTTTCTTCTAGGAGTTCTATAGTGCTAGGTCTTACATTTAAGTCTAACTTATTTTGAATTTATATTTTTATATGGTATGAAATAAGGGCCTAAGATCAATCTTGTGGACATTCAGTTTTCTCAACACCATTTTTTGAAGAGACTGTTCTTTCCCCATGTGTGTTCCTGGCACCTTTGTTGAAAGTCAATTGACTATAATATGTAGATTTATTTATGGGCTCTTTATTCTGTGTAATTGGTCTATGTGTCTGCGTTTATGCCAGTACCATGGTGTTTCGATTGCTATAGCTATGTAGTATAATTTGAAGTCAGGTAATGTGATATCTCCTGCCTTGCTTTTTTCGATCAAGATTATTTTGGCTTTTCAGAGTTTTTTGTGATTCCATACAGATTTGAGAGTTGTTTTTCTATTTCTGTGGGAAAATGTCATAGGAATTTTGATAGAGATTGCATTCAATATGTACATCACTTTGGATAGTATGGACATTTCAAACATATTACTTTTTCCAATCCATGAACATGAGATATCTTTCCATTTATTTGTGGCTTCTTCAATTGTTTTCATCAATGTTTTGTAGTTTTCAGTGTAAAGATCATTCACCTCTTTGTTTAAATTTACATCTAAGTATTTTTTGTTGCTATTATAAATAGGATTGTTTTCTTGATTTCTTTTTTTGTATAGTTTGTTGTTGATGTGTAGAAATGCTACCGAATTTTGTATGTTCACATTGTATCCTGCAACTTTACTAAATTCATTTATGAATTCTAAATTTTTTGGCAGAGTTATTGGTGTTTTCTGTATATAAGATCATGTCAACTGCAAACAGAAACAATTTAACTTCTTCCTTTCCAATTTTCATGCCTTTTATTTCTTTCTTTTGCCTAATTGCTCTGGCTAGGACATCCAGTACTATGTTGAATAGAAGTTCTGAGAGTGGGCACCCTTGTATGAAGTTTTCCACAACATCTCTTATCTTTTTATTAGCTATATATTAATACGGATGTTTCTTCTTCATCAGGAGTTTGAAAAATATGTCTTTTCTCTATATTGTTCTTAATCAGTCTTCCTAGAAGTATTTCAATTTCAAAAAGTAGCAACAACTGTGGGAGTTCAGTCAGGCTGGTGGGAAAAATTTTAAAGATAGTTATAAGAAATCGACACAAACCTTCATGGAAGGCTGGGGGTGTTGTATAGCTTCAGTAATAGATCTGAATGAAGGCGGCCTAATCCTTCCTTGAGTAAATAGCTTAAAGTAGGTGCAAAGGAATGTAAGGGAGTTTATCTAAATAACTTGTTTACTCATGTGGTCCTGAAGCCAACCTTTGATCATTCACAGGCAGGATGGCTCTCTCTCGGGGGAGGGTGACCAGGTTAATTACCCTCTATTTGTGTTGACTAAAAGCCCCTGTCATTTAATGTTTTTTCAATAAATGCTGGCAGGGCTAGCTAGTCAGGGCTCGTGGCTGCCAGAACTCTTTCTGTGCATGGCCCAGCCCCCTAGCGGCTCTTTCACTGAATAATTGGTGTCTGAGTACATTATTCATCCCTCGTGCAGCTGGGGTCTGCAGGACAGACCCCCACAAACAACAATTTGCAAAAGCAAACTTCCCTGTTTTGTTTTTTTCCCAAGATGATAAATTAGAGGCTTTTAGTGTGCCTCGGCCACTTAGAAATAGCAAGAGAGTGCACAAAGGTCAACTCTGTGAGCTCTAAGTCAAGAAGGAAAATGGGAATCCACCAGAATCATGAAGGACATCATAGATCCCAAGAAGGAGAATGTGAGCAAACAGTCAACATGACAGCAACCAGCTTATAAAAGTGAGCGAAGTCCTAGTATGTGAGAGAGGCAGAGAGCCTCCCTCTGTAACTGACATTTTCACTGTGAATCTGAGCAACCCCAGCCAAGTTGTTGCATTTTGTTTCTCCCAAGGCCTGGAGTCAACATGGGGAGAGGCTTGGAGATGCTGTGAAGCAAAGACACTGGGAACAGCTGCAGACATTTTCCCAGACCAGGAAGTAAGAGCAAGATGCCATTTTCAATCTGGATGCATGCAAAGTCAGCTTTTTTTTTTCTTTTTGTGACCCAGCAGAATGCCTGCACAGGCATTTTAGTCTCAGGCCAAAGATTGGAACAACTGCTTTGGGGCTTGGTAGGGACCTTCACAGCCATATTGTGGAAAACACCTCAGCAGTATGTGCTGGAATTGTGCTTTCCCCCATCGCAGCCTCGGGGCAACAGAAAAGCTGCTACAGCTGTAATTTCTCCCAGGTGATGAAACTTGCAGCCAGGGCCAGCTTGGAGACCTACAACCAGTCTGCAGGTGTCATTGCTGGGTGCCCCAGCCTGTTCCCCTGAGAATGTGATACAGCAGGGCTTTCTCTGCTTCACCCCCAGGCAGAAATTCAGGCATTGGAGCACCTGTCTACCTGGACCAGCATCCTGAGCTACCCCACCGTTTATAAACATAGGTTGTGGTGCAGTGGGGCCCTCTCCAGTCTATGGCCAGGCAGATTTCCAGGTATGTGGAGTACCCACTTGACTGGATCAGCAGCCTGAGCTTCCCCAACCTTCCTGTGCTGAGATTATAGTGCAGTGAGGCCCTCTCATCTCCACACATAGGCAGACCTCCAAGCAATTAGAGCACCTGCTCCTATGGAGAACTTAAATTTACAAGAAAAAAAAAAAACCATCAAAAATTGGCCAAAGGACATGAACAGACAATTCTCAAAAGAAGACATGGATGTGGCCAACAAACATATGAAAAAAAGCTCAAATCACTGATCATTAGAGAAATGCAACTCAAAACCACAATGAGATACTATCTCAAACCAGTCTTAATGGTGATTATCAAAAACTCCAGAAACAACAGTTGCTGGTAAGGCTGTGGAGAAATAGGAATGTTTTTACACTGTTTGTGGGAATGTAAATTAGTTCATTCACTGTGGAAGGCAGTGTGAAAATTCCTCAAAGATCTAGAACCAGAAATGCCATTTGCCCCAGCAATCCCTTTACTGGATATATGCCCAAAGGAATATAAATCATTCTATTATAAAGATACATGCACAGGGCTGGGTGCAGTGGCTCACACCTGTAATCCCAGCACTTTGGGAGGCCAAGGCGGGTGGATCACCTGAGGACAGGAGTTTGAGACCAGCCTAGCCAACATGGGGAAACTCCATCTCTACTAAAAATACAAAAATTAGCCAGGTATAGTGGTGCACACCTGTAATACCAGCTACTTTGGAGGCTGAGGCAGGAGAATCGCTGGAACCCAGGAGGCAGAGGTCAAAGTGAGCCAAGATCATACCATTGCACTCCAGCCTGGGCAACAAGAGCAAAACTCCATCTTAAAAAAATATATATATATACATATACATACATATATATACACATATATATACATATATACAGATATTATATATGTAAATGTATATATATGTGTATATATATACACATATATATACATATTATAACTACATATATATACACACACACATACATATACATGCACACATATGTTTATTGCAGCACTATTTACGATAGAAAATACATGGAATCCTCCCAAATGCCCATCAATGATATATTGGATAAAGAAAATGTGATATATATTCACCATGGAATACTATGCAGCCGTTAAAATAAATGAGATCATGTTCTTTGCAGGGACATGGATGAAGCTGGAAGCCATCACCCTCAGCAAACTAACACAGGAAAAGAAAACCAAACACCACATGTTCTCAGTCGTAAGAGGGAGTTGAACAATGAGAGCAAACACATGGATACATGGAGGGGAACAACACACACCAGGGCCTCTCAGCGGGACAGGGGTAGGAGACCATCAGGACAAACACGTGGATACATGGAGGGGAACAACACACACCAGGGCCTCTCAGGGGGACAGGGGGTAGGAGACCATCAGGACAAACACGTGGGTACATGGAGGGGAACAACACACACCAGGGCCTCTCAGCGGGACAGGGGGTAGGAGACCATCAGGACAAACACGTGGGTACATGGAGGGGAACAACACACACCAGGGCCTCTCAGGGGGACAGGGGGTAGGAGACCATCAGGACAAACACGTGGGTACATGGAGGGGAACAACACACACCAGGGCCTCTCAGGGGGACAGGGGTAGGAGACCATCAGGACAAATAGCTAATGCATGCAGGGCCTCATACCTAGGTGATGGGTTGATGGGTGCAGCAAACCACCATGGCACACATTTACCTATGTATCAAACCTATACTTTCTGCACGTGTATCCCAGAACATAAAATAAAATTTAAAAAATATATACACTGATTCATGATCTCCTTTCTCTCCTTCTGAAACACTCTTTAAAACTTTTTAGCATTTCCCCCTCTGTCTTCCATGTCTCCTAACTACATGTTTCTTATTTTCCATGTCTTTATTCCTGTGTTCATTTTGGATAGCCCCTTCTGACCTATATTACAGTTTACTAGTTCACTCTTCAACTGCTTCTAACATACTAATATTCTGTTAAAACCATTCATTTGGGTTTAAATTTCAATTATGTTATTCTCTATGGACATTCTATTTGTTTTCTTTTAATCTTCTTGGCCATTCTCTAGAGTTTCCTGTTCCATTATGATATTTTTAATTTTTTGTTTTACTTTAAACATACTAAATATAGTTATTTTATTTTATTTTCTGTATCTGATACTTTCAATAACTGCAGTCTTTGCTAGTCTTTTTTCTGTGCTCTTGCTCATAGTTTTTTTCATTTGTTTTCATGATTAGAAAAACAGAGAGAGAAGAAGGAGAGTAAAGGGAGGAGGCGGAGGAGGAGAAAAGAAGAAAGCAGAGAAGAAGGGACAGAGAAAAAAAGGAAGTTGGTTCTAACGTTTCTCTAACAACTGGCTTCAGTGAAACACTCCCACCTTGTGGATTTTTAGGTTATTGAAATTAACCAGTCTTCTGGGTGCAGCACACCAACATGGCACATGTATACATATGTAACAAACCTGCACTTTGTGCACATGTACCCTAAAACTTAAAGTATAATAAAAAATAAAATAAAAAGCTACACAAATTTAAAAAAAAAGAAATCAACCTAATTCCTAGATTACCACCTCTTGATTCAAATGCTTTAAATCTAGGCTTTTCATCTGAGTCTTTCTTTTTAGTTATTCTGTTTATCTTCAAAACACTCCTGCTTTGAATCATTCAAAATCTACCTCCCTCCCTCTGTTTGACTACCATCAATTTTTTTGCTCATTCCTAATGCATTAATCTATTAGCTGTGAATATCCAAAAACCCTCATTTCACTGAATCTTTGACAGACCCCTTTGCATCCTCTTGTTCTTCTAATTATTTCCTCAGAAACTTTATGTTCTCTTTTCTTTACAAGCATGTCATAGTTTATATATAATGTGTGTATTGTTTTTATATATACCTATATATAGCCTCTTTTTAAAAGCACTATACACCATGCTTTGAAATATATTCTAAAATCAGGTAGCATGAAAATGGAAACATAACATACTAAAACATATGGGATGCAACAAAAGCAGTTATAAGAGGGACATTTATAGCAATAAATGCCTACATCAAAAAAGAAAAAAAAGATCTCAAATAAGCAACCTAATATTATGCCTAAAGGAGCGAGAAAATTAGAGAACAATACAAGCCCAAAGATAGCAGAAGGAAACAAATAACAAAGATCAGAGCAGAAATAATATAATAGAAACTGAAAATTTCAATAAAAATAAGAATTGTTTTTTGAAAAGATAAACAAAATTAACAAATTCTTACATAGACTAAGAAAAAAGAAAACAAACTCAGAAGTGAAAGAAGAGACATTACAACTGATACCACAGAAGTTAAAAAATCATAACATACTACTATAAACAATTATTCACCAGCAAATTAGATAACCTAGAAGAAATTGATAAACTCGTACCAAAACTGAATCATGAAGAATTCAAAATTTAGAAGAAATCATGAATAAGGAAATTAAATCACCAATGAAAGGTCTCTCATAAAAGAAAGACCAAGGATTGAATGGCTTGGTGGCTGAATTCCAACAAACACTTAGATGACTAACACCAATCCTTCCCAAACTCTTCCAAAAAAAATGAAGAAGAGGAATACTTTCAAATTCATTTTTCAAAACCAGCATTACCCTGATACCAAAACCAGAGAAGGACACTATAATAAAAATAAATTGCAGACCAATACTCCTGATGAACTTGGATGGAAAAACCTTCAGCCAAATATTAGCAAATATTATTTTTAAAAAAAAACAGCAAAAAAATTCACCAGCTTAAGTGGGATTCATCCCTGGGAAGCTTATTAGTCTTATTTGATTCGTGTAATCAGAAAATTTCTATGTCTAGTGAAGAGAAATGAGAGCAATAGAGACTCATAGCACCTCAACAAATGTCCAGGCTTGAGCCAGTTAACAAATACAAGTCCTTCAAATACAAAAAAGACTGTGAAAGAAAATAGAACAGATCAATGAGACTAAGAATTTGTTCTTTGAAAAGATAAAACTGACAAACCATTAGCTAGACTAGAAAAATGAGAGAATACTCAAAGCAATAAAATCAGAAATGAAAGAGGAAATATTGCAACTAATACCACAGAAATACAGAGGATCATAAGAGGCCACTATAAACAATTACAAGCCAACAAATTGGATAACCTAGAAAAAGCAGATAAATTTCTAGAAAAATGCAACTTACCTAGAGAAAGTCAAGAAGAAAGATAAAATCTGAACAGAACAATACTGAGTATGGAGAGTATATCAATAATAAAACATCTCCCATCAAAGAACATCCCAGGACCAGAAAACTTCATTGCTGAATTCTAACATTTTAAAAAATAATAATACAATCCTTCTGAAATTCTTCCAAAAACTTGAAGGAGAAAGAGTATTTCCAAACTCATTTTAAAAGATCAGCATTATTGTTTTTTTTTAAAGTGATGTTCCCCTTCCTGTGTCCATGTGTTCTCATTGTCCAATTCCCACCTATGAGTGAGAACATGCGGTGTTTGGTTTTTTGTCCTTGTGATTGTTTGCTGAGAATGATGGTTTCCAGCTTCACCCATGTCCCTACAAAGGACATGAACTCATCATTTTTTATGGCTGCATAGTATTCCATGGTGTATATGTGCCACATTTTCTTAATCCAGTCTATCATTGTTGGACATTTGGATTGGTTCCAAGTCTTTGCTATTGTGAATAGTGCCACAGTAAACATACGTGTGCATGTGTCTTTATAGCAGCATGATTTATAGTCCTTTGGGTATATACCCAGTAATGGGATGGCTGGGTCAAATGGTATTTCTAGTTCTAGATCCCTGCGGAATCGCCACACTGTCTTCCACAATGGTTGAACTAGTTTACAGTCCCACCAACAGTGTAAAAATGTTCCTATTTCTCCACATCCTCTCCAGCACCTGTTGTTTCCTGACTTTTTAATGATGGCCATTCTAACTGGTGTAAGATGGTATCTCATTGTGGTTTTGATTTGCATTTCTCTGATGGCCAGTGATAGTGAGCATTTTTTCATGTGTTTTTTGGCTGCATAAATGTCTTCTTTTGAGAAGTGTCTGTTCATATCCTTTGCCCACTTTTTGATGGGGTTGTTTGTTTTTTTCTTGTAAATTTGTTTGGGTTCATTGTAGATTCCGGATATTAGCACTGGGGCCTGTTGTGGGGTGGGGGGAGGGGGGAGGGATAGCATTAGGAGATATACCTAATGTTAAATGATGAGTTAATGGGTGCAGCACACCAGTATGGCACATGTATACATATGTAACTAACCTGTACGTTGTGCACATGTATCCTAAAACTTAAAGTATAATTTAAAAAATAAATAAATAAAAATAAAAATAAAAAGGCAAACAAGGACACTATAAGAAAAGTATGGGCCAACCAATATCCCTGATGAACACAGATACAAAAGTCCTCAAAAAAAAGTACTAGCAAGCAGAATTTAACAACATATTAGGAGAACATTTACCATGATAAAGTGGATTTATCCTCCAGATGTTTCAGCAAACACAAATCAAATGTGATAAACCACATTAACAGAATGAAGGATAAAAAAATAGCTATCTCTATATATGCAGAAAAAGCATTTGACTAAATTCAAAATCCTCTCATGACTAAACCTCTCAACAAATTGGGCATAGAAGGCATGTACCTTAACACAAAACAGGACATATATAACAAGCTCACAGCTCACATCATACCCAACAATGAAAAAGTGAAATCTTTTCTGCTAAGATCAAAAACAAGACAAGGATATTTATTCTCACTACTTCTATTCAACTTATTTCTGGAAGTCCTAGCCAGAGCAATTAAGCCAAATAAAGAAATAAAAGATTCAAATTGAAAAGGAAGAAGTAAAATTGTCTCTGTTTGATGACATATTATATATAGGAAACCCTAAAAACTCCACCAAAAAGCTATTAGAAATGATAAATGAATTCAATAAAATTTCAGAATTCAAAATCAATGTACAAAACTCAGTAGTTTCTTTACACTCACAACAAACTATATGACAAAAATAAAGAAATCAATCTCATTCACAGTAGCATCAAAAAAAACGTATTTTTTTTGTTTAGGAGCACATTTAGGATTGTACTTAGGAGTACATTTAACCAAGGAGGTGAAAGATCTGTATTCTGAACACTATAAAACATTGATGAAAAATTGTAGATGACACAAATACATGGAAAGATATTTTATGTTCATGGGTAGGAAGAATTAATATTCTTAAAATGTCCTTACTGCCCAAAGCGATTTATAGGTTTAATGCAATATTTATCAAAATTTCAATGTCATTCTTCACAGAAATAGAAAAAACAATTTGAAAATTTATATGGAACCACAAAGGATCCTGAATAACTAAAGGACTCTTGAGCAATAAGAACAAAGCTGAAGGCCTCACAATCTGACTTCAAAACATATTACAGGAAAAGAACAAAAGAAGGAAGAAGAGGGTAGAGGAGAAGTGCAGCAAGGGTGGAGGGAGGTGCCCACGCTGGGTCGGAGGAGCAGGAGGAGTATGGAGGGAAGACTCCTGGGTGGCATGGAGCTCTTGCACCTCTAGGCACTGCCCAGCCCTGTGTCAGCCAGGGCTGAACCCCCACAGGATAAGGAAGCCTGTGTGTGTACCAACAATCAAAGCTACATCTGTGACACAACAGGACACTGCTATGGGCAGTCTCAGTGTTGTAACTACTACTATGAACATTGGTGGTTCTGGCTGGCGTGGACCATCACCATCATCCTGAGCTGCTGCTGTGTCTGCCACCACAGCCAAGCCAGCCCTCAAGTCCAGCAGTAGCAACATGAAATCAACCTGACTGCCTATCCAGAAGCCCGCAATTACTCAGTGCTACCATTTTATTTCACCAAACTATTTATTACCTTCTTATGAGGAAGTGGTGAACTAACCTCCACCTGTTTCCCTCCCTGTCTGTCCATTGTGGATGAGCTCTGAGCCCTGTTTTCCTGTGAAGATTCTTTGAATTGCAGCCATTCTATTCACATGAACTCTCACATCTGGAGCACAGATGGCCCTCTCAAGGTAATTTATTGTATGCATTGACTGTTTACCAAACAAATGTCTTACTATGTACTCAGGTATATTCAGCAGCATTGTCGACTGCAGTCCCCTATGCTTGCCAGAAGATACTGTATTCAAAGTAGAAGTTTCACAGTGATGAGTAATCACTGCAATTTTCCCATTGCTCCATGGACTCTCGGAGGCCGGTGTTCTGTTCCCTGTAAATAGAGATGTACTCTGAACCTTTCTGCCTCCCTCAGCTGTTCCTAGTCCTTGGTATCAGCCCCTGGAGATGTCCACAACCACTTAGGACAAAAGGCAAAAGTGGAATTTCAGACAAAACTTTGATAGGATCTTCAGTGATAAACTTGGACTAACTGTGGCCCAGGTATCAGCACTCCCAAGAATTGCCAGGAGGAAGCTTTGGCAGACACCACAGGTATGGCAAGGCCTATCTCCCTCTGCTGAATCCAACAGGGGCAAGCAAGCTGGCATGTGGCTTGAGGTGACCCGAATATGTCAGCACCCCTCAGATGTCTTTCTTTGCACTTTTGAAAAAAATCTCAGAATTTGCTGGCAACATGGCCAAATAGGAACAGCTCCAGTCTGCAGCTCCCAGTGAGATCAATGCAGAATGCAGGTGATTTCTGCATTTCCAACTGAGGTACCTGGTTCATCTCACTGGGACTGGTTGGACAGTGGGTGCAGCCCACGGAGGGTGAGCCAAAGCAGAATGGGGCATTGCCTCACCCAGGAAGTGCAAGGGGTTGGGGGAATTCCCTCCCCTAGCCAAGGGAAGCCCCGAGGGACTGTACCATGAGGAACGGTGCACTCCACCCAGAAACTATGCTTTTCTCATGGTCTTCACAATCCACAGACCAGGAGATTCCCTCCAGTGCCTCTGCCACCAAGGCCCTAGGTTTCAAGCACAAAACTAGGCAGCTGTTTGGGCAGACACCGAGCTAGCTGCAGGAGGTTTTTTTTTTTTCATGCCACAGTGGCAACTGGAATGCCAACAAGACAGAACCATTCTCTCTCCTGGAAAGGGGGCTGAAGCCAGGGAGCCAAGTGGTCTGGCTCGGCAGGTCCCACCCCTACAGAGCCCAGCAAGCTAAGATCCACTGGCTTGAAATTCTTGCACAGCAGTCTGAGGTTGACCTAGGACACTAGAGCTTGGTGGGGGGAGGGGCTTCCACATTGCCAAGGCTTGAGTAGGCAGTTTTACCCCCACTGTGTAAACAAAGCCACCAGAAAGTTTGAACTGGGTGGAGCCCACCACAACTCAGCAAGGCCACAGCAGCCAGACTGCCTCTCTAGATTTCTCCTCTCTGGGCAAGGCATCTCTGAAAAAAGGGCAGCAGCCCCAGTCAGAGACCTATAGATAAAACCCCCATCTCCCTGGAACAGAGCACCTAGGGGAAAGGGCGGCTGTGGGCACAGCTTCAGCAGACTTAAAGCATCTTTGAAAAGCCTGATGGCTCTGAAGAGAGCAGCAGATCTCCCTGCACAGTATTCGAGCTCTGATAAGGGTCAGACTGCCTCCTCAAGTGGGTCCCTGACCCCCGTGTATCCTGACTGGGAGACACCTCCCAGTAGGTGCCAACAGGCACCTCATACAGGAGAGCTCTGGCTGGCATCTGGTGGGTGCCCCTCTGGGACAAAACTTCCAGAGGAAGAAACAGGCAGCAATCTTGGCTGTTCTCCAGCCTCTGCTGGTGATACCCAGGCAAACAGGGTCTAGAGTAGACCTAGGGCAAACCCCAACAGACCTGCAGCAGAGGGGCCTGACTGTTAGAAGGAAAACTAACAAACAAAAAGGAATAGCATCAACATCAACAAAAAGGACAGCCACTCAGTGACCCCATCAGAAGGTCACCAACATCAGAAACCACAGGTAGATAAATCCATGAAGATGGAGAGAAACCAGAGCAAAAAGGCTGAAAATTCCAAAAACCAGAACGCCTCTTCTCCTCCAAAGGATCACAACTCCTCACCAGCAAGGGAACAAAAGAAAACTGGACAGAGAATGAGTTTGACGAATTGAGAGAAGTAGGTTTCAGAAGGTAGGTAATAACAAACTCCTCCAAGCTAAAGGAGCATGTCCTAACCCAATGTAAGGAAGCTAAGGACCTGGAAAAAAGGCTAGACCACTTGCTAACTAGAATAACCAGTTTAGAGAAGAACATAAATGACCTGATGGAGCTGAAAAACACGCCATGAGAACTTCATGCAGCATGCACAAGGATCAAGCACTGATTCGGTCAAGCGGAAGAAAGATATCAGAGACTGAATATCAACTTAATGAAATAAATCAAGAAGACAAGATTAGAGAAAAAAGAATGAAAAGAAATGAACAAAGCCTCCAAGAAATATGGGACTATGTGAAACGACCAAATCTACGTTTGATTGCTGTACCTGAAAGTGATGGGGAGAATGGAACCAAGTTAGAAAACACTCTTCGGGATATTATCCAGGAGAACTTCCCTAACCTAGCAAGGCAGGCCAATATTCAAATTCAGAAATATGGAGAACATCACAAAGACACTCCTCAAGAAAAGCAACCCCAAGACACATAGTCATCAGATTGAGCAAGGTTGAAATGAAGGAAAAAATGTTAAGGGCAGCCAGAGAGAAAGGTCAGGTTACCCACAAAGGGAAGCCCATCAGACTAACAGCAGATCTATCAGCAGAAACTCTACAAGCCAGAAGAGAATGGGGGCCAATATTCAACATTCTTAAAGAAAAGAATTTTCCACCCAGGATTTCATATCCAGCCAAACTAAGCTTCATAAGTGAAGGAGAAATAAAATCCTTTACAGACAAGCAAATGCTGAGAGATTTTGTCACCACCAGGCCTGCCTTAAAGGAGCTCCTGAAGGAAGCACTAAACATGGAAAGGAACAACTGGTATCAGCCACTGCAAAAACATACCAAATTGTAAAGACCGTTGACACTATGAAGAAACTGCATTAACTAACAGCAAAATAACCAGCTAGCATCGTAATGACAGGATCAAATTCACACATAACAATATCAACCTTAAATGTAAATGGGCTAAATGCTCCAATTAAAAAACACAGACTGGCAAATTGGCTAAAGAGTCAAGACCCATCAGTGTTCTGTATTCAGGAGACCCATCTCACGTGCAAAGACACAAATAGGCTCAAAATAAAGGGATGGAGGAATACTTACCAAGCAAATGGAAGGCAAAAAAAAGCAGGGGTTGCAATCCTAGTCTCTGATAAAACAGACTTTAAACCAACAAAGATCAAAAGAGACAAATAAGGGCATTGCATAATGGTAAAAGGATCAATGCAACAAGAAGAGCTAATTATCCTAAATATATATGCACCCAACACAGGAGCACCCAGATGCATAAAGTAAGCTCTTAGAGACTTAAAAAGAGACTTAGACCCTCACACAATAATAGTGGGAGACTTTAACACCCCACTGTCAATACTAGACAGATCAACGAAACAGAAAGTTAACAAGGATATCCAGGACTTGAACTCAGCTCTGGACCAAGTGGATCCAATAGGCAGCTACAGAACTCTCCACCCCAAATCAACGGAATATACATTCTTCTCAGCACCACATTGCACTTATTCTAAAATTGACCACATATTTGGAAGTAAAACACTCCTCAGCAAATGCAAAAAAAAATGGGAATCATAACAGTCTCTCAGATCGCAGTGCAATTAAATTAGAACTCAGGATTAAGAAACTGACTCAAACCCACACAACTACATGTAAACTGAACAACCTGCTCCTGAACAACTACTGGGTAAATAAAGATATTAAGGCAGAAATAAATAAGTTATTTGAAACCAATGAGAACAAAGACATAACATACCAGAATCTCTGGTACACAATTATAGCAGTGTGTAGAGGGAAATTTATAGCACTAAATGCCCACAAGAGAAAGCAGGAAAGATCTAAAATTGACACCCTAACATCTCAATTAAAAGAACTCAAGAGGCAGGAGCATACAAAAAGCTAGCAGAGGACAATAAATAACTAAGATCAGAGCAGAACTGAAGGAGATAGAGACACAAAAAAACCTTCAAAAAAAAATCAATGAATCCAGGAGCTGGTTTTTTGAAAATATCAATAAAATAGATAGACCACTAGCCAGACTCATAAAGAAGAAAACAGAGAAGAATCAAACAGATGCAATAAAAAATGATAAAGGAGATACCACCACTGATCCCACAGAAATACAAACTACTATCAGAGAATACTATAAACACCTCTACACAAACTAGAAAATCTAGAAGAAATGGACAAATTCCTGGACACATACGCCCTCCCAAGACTAAACCAGGAAGAAGTTGAATCCCTGAATAGACCAATAACAAGGTCTGAAATTGTGGCAGTAATTAATAGCCTACCAACCAAAAAACAGTCCAGGACCAGATGGATTCACAGCCGAATTCTACCAGAGGTACAAAGAGGAGTTGGTACCATTCCTTCTGAAACTATTCCAAACAACAGAAAAAGAGAGAATCCTCCCTAACTCATTTTATGAGGCCAGAATAATTCTGGTACCAAAATTTGGCAGAGACACACACAAAAAAAAGAAAATTTCAAGCCAATATCCCTGATGAACATCGATGCAAAAATCCTCAATAAAATACTGGCAAACCAAATCCAGCAGCACATCAAAAGCTTGTCCACCACAATCAAGTCGGCTTCATCCCTGGGATACAAGGCTAGTTCAACATACGCAAATCAATAAACATAATTCATCATATAAATAGAACCAATGGCAAAAACCACATGCTTCTCTCAATAGATGCAGAAAAGGCCTTCGACAAAATTCAGCAGCCCTTCATGCTAAAAACTCTCAATAAACTAGGTACTGATGGAACATATCTCAAAATAATAATACCTATTTATGAAAAACCCACAGCCAATACTGAATGGTGAAAAACTGGAAGCATTCCCTTTGAAAACCAGCACAAGACAAGGATGCCCTATCTCACCACTCCTATTCAACGTAGTATTGGAAGTTCTGGCCAGGGCAATCAGGCAAGAGAAAGAAATTGTCTCTGTTTGCAGATGACATGATTGTGTATTTAGAAAACCCCATGGTCTCAGCCCAAAATCTTCTTAAGCTAATAAGCAACTTCAGAAAAGTCTCAGGATACAAAATCAATGTGCAAAAATCAAGCATTCCTATATGCAAAAAACAGACAAACAGAGAGCCAAATCATGAGTGAACTCTCCCATTCACAATTGCTACTATGAGAATAAAATACCTAGGAATCCAACTTACAAGGGATGTGAAGGACCTCTTCAAGGAGAACTACAAACCACTGCTCAAGGAAATAAGAGAGGACACAAACAAATGGAAAAACATTCCATGCTCATGGATAGGAAGAATCAATATCATGAAAATGGACATACTGCCCAAAGTTTTTATAGACTCAATGCTATCCCCATCAAGCTACCACTGACTTTGTTCACAGAATTGGAAAAAACTACTTTAAATTTCATATGGAACCAAAAATGAGCCCGCAGAGCTAGGACAGTCCTAAGCAAGTAGAACAAATCTGGAGGCATCACGCTGTCTGACTTCAAACTATACTACAAGCCTTCAGTAACCAAAACAGCATGGTACTGGTACCAAAACAGATATGTAGACCAATGGAACAGAACAGAGGCCTCAGAAATAACGCCACACATCTACAACTATCTGATCTTTGACAAACCTGACAAAAACAAGCAATGGGGAAACGATTCCCTTTTTAATAAATGGTGTTGGGAAAACTGGCTAGCCATATGCAGAAAACTGAAACTGGATCCCTTCCTTACACCTTACACAAAAATTAGCTCACGATGTATTAAAGACTTAAACATAAGATCTAAAACCATAAAAAACCCTAGAAGAAAACCTAGGCAATACCATTCAGTACATAGGCATGGACAAAAACTTCATGACTAAAACACCAAAAGCAATTGCAACAAAAACCAAAATAGACAAATGGGATCTAATTAAACTAAAGAGCTTCTGCACAGCAAAAGAAACTGTCATCAGAGTGAACAGGCAACCTACAGAATGGGTGAAAATTTTTGCAATCTATCCATCTGACAAAGGGCTAATATCCAGAATCTACAAAGAACTTAAACAATTTACAAGAAAATAACAAACAAACCCATCAGTGGGTGAAGGATATGAACTGACATTTCTCTAAAGAAGACATTTATGCAGCCAACAAACATATGAAAAAAAGCTCATCATCACTGGTCATCAGAGAAATGCATATCAATACCACAATGAGATACCATCTCACGCCAGATAGAATGGCGATCATTAAAAAGTCAGGAAACAACAGATGCTGGAAAGGATGTGGAGAAATAAGAATGCTTTTACACTGTTGGTGGGAGTGTAAATTAGTTCAACCATTGTGGAAGACAGTGTGGTGATTCCTCAAGGTTCTAGAACTAGAAATATGATTTGACCCAGCAATCGCATTACTGGGTATATATCCAAAGGATTATAAATCATTCTACCATAAAGACACATGCATACATATGTTTATTGTGGCACTGTTCACAATAGCAAAGACTTGGAACCAACCAAAATGCCCATTCAATGATAGACTGCATAAAGAAAATGTGGCACATATACACCATGGAATACTATGCAGCCATAAAGAAGGATGAGTTCATATCCTTTTCAGGGACATGGATGAAGCTGGAAACCATCATTCTCAGCAAACTAATCCAAGAACAGAAAACCAAACACCCGATGTTCTCACTCATAAATGGGAGTTGAACAATGAGAACACATGGACAGAGGGAGGGGAACACAACACACCGGGGCCTGTCTGGGGGTAGGGGCTAGGGGAAGGTTAGCATTGGGTTAAATACCTAATGTAGATGATGGGTTGATGGGTGCAGCAAACCACCATGGCACGTGTATACCTATGTAACAATCCTGCATGTTCTGCACATGTACCCCAGAACTTAAAATATAATTTAAAAAAAAATCTCAAACAACTCACTGAAGTGTCTCAAAGCTGAACAAGTTTTACCAAAATGAATCCTTCTCAGTTAACTGATCAAATGGATGAATCCTGACCCTCTGAAGTCTCTTTCCTGAGTTAGAGCAGGGAACTGCTCTGAGTGTTAACTGTTGGATTCACTGCAGTGTCCTACAATATTTTACAAGAAGATGAAAAGGCAACCTGCAGACCTAGGCTTGATTCCCAAGTCACAGTCTGACCCCTGCTACAGGAGGTTACCCTCCTCAGGAAGAGATAGAAATAGGGAATTTGAAGGAATAGTGAGGGGACCAGGGAGATTTGATTGAGTCTGGTTTCCAGGTGAATTAAAAGGAAGGGTGTCATCCAGGGTTTGTTGCTACAGTCAAAAGAATAAATAAATCAATGAAGAAATACCTTCATTGTCTGTGGTTTTCATGCAGATATACTCATGGAGGTTGTATCTCTCCAAAAACAGACAAATCCAAGGCTGTGAACAAGCATCCGCATTTGAATTCCATTAAACCAAAATCTATGTTGAACGAAGTGAAGTCTGTACACAGCATTGCAAATGTGAACACATTCCTGTGTGAGGCACATCAACATTTGTCAGTTATTGTGAATATGTGTATTTTTAAGCAATAAGATGCAGCTGGTCAGTTTTCTGGGCAATCTTGGCGATGCATTTCCTGTGCTGTGGTTGTTCTCTAACCACTGTGAGAAACCCAAATAAAAATCGATCCCCCCCCAAAACAAATACGTATCACAAAACCATAGTAATCAAAACAACATGACACTTGCACAAAAACAGACACATTGACCAGGGGAACAGAATAAGGAGCCCAGAAATAAACTCATGCATTTATGACCAATAAATTTTTGACAAAGGTGCCCAGAAAACGTAATGAAGAATAGACATTTGTTTCAATAAATGGTGTTAAGAAAACTAGATATCCACATGCAGAAGAACACGAATGTGTATGGTGTGTATCCTTATCTCACACCATACACAAAAATCAATTCAAAATGGATTAAAGGTTTAAACATAAAACTGTAAAACTACTAGATGAAAACATAGGGGAAAAGTTCCACAATGTTGGTTTGGTCAAAGATTTCTTGGATATAACCCCCAAAGCACAGGCAACAAAAGCAAAAATATATGGGATTGCATCAAACTAAAAAGCTTCTGCACAGCAAAGGAAACAATATGGTGAAGAGACAACCTACAAGTTGTGAGAAAATATTTGCAGAGCATACATCTGATGAAAGGCTAATCTCCAAATATATAAGGGACTCAACTCAATATCAAGAAAACAAATAACCAAGTCAAAAAATGGGCAAGGTCCTAAATAGACATTTCTCAAAAAAAATACAAATGACTAACATAAAAAAAGTTTGTCATCCTAATTATCAGGGAAATGCAAATTAAAATGACAGTGAGATGCCACTTCATACCTGTTAGAATGGCTACTATCAAAATGATAAAAGATAACAAGTGTTGAAGAGGATACAGAGAAAAGGGAACCCTCGTACACTGTTGGTGGAAATGTAAATTAATACTATTATGAAAAATAGATAAAAGTTACTCAAAAAACTAAAACTAGAATTACTATATGATCCAGCAATCCCACTTCCTTGTATATATCCAAAGGAATTTAAGTCAATATGCTGAAGAGATATCTCCAGGCTCATGTTCATTGCAGCATTATTCACAATACCCAAATATGAAATCAACACAGGTGTCTATCAACTGACAAATGGATGAAGAAAATGTAGTGTATATATACAATGGAATACTACTCAGCCTTAATAGGAAGGAAAACCTGATATATGTGACAACATGAATTAACCCAGAAGATATCACGCTAAGTGAAATAAGCCAGGCACGAAAAGACAAATATCACATGATCTCACTGATATGTGGAATCTGAAAAAGTTGAATTCATAGAAGTAGAGAATGGAATGGTGATTATCAGAGGCTAGGAGTTGGGGGTAGACATGGAAAAGGTAGATGTTGATAAAAGGGTTCAAAGTTTCAGTTAGACAAAGTTTCAGTGAACTATTGCACAGAATGGTGACTGTAATAAATAACAAGGTATTGTATGTTTCAAAATGACTAACAGAGTAGATTTTAAATGTTTTCACCACAAAAAAGATATGTATGTCAATAAGATAGACCTAATCTTTCCACAATTTAAACATGTATCAAAACATTACATTGTACCCCATAGATACAATTATTATTTGTCAATTTAAAATTTTTCACTAATTTATATTGTTATTGTTGCACCAACTCCTTTCCACCAGGCAGATTCTCATAAAGACTATTTTCTCTCTTACATGAAGCATTTCCTACACACCTCTTAATCACGGTAGCATTGACATCATTCCACCAGATTCTATCTCCAGTGTTAAAATAATCAAGAACCCAGAAATCTCCACCAGGGGGCAACCAATGCGTATCAAAGTTTCCCACTTTCCTTTAGATTTACTTATGGGTAACTTATGGGAAAAAATACTTAAGTACTTCCCTTTTTAAAGAAAAAAATTATATGAATTCTACAAAATTATGGCAGAAAATTTAAGAAGAGCAGATGCTTCCCAACTCATTCTAAAGGGCCAGCATTACCCTGATTCTGAAATGAAAAAGCTTTACAAAATCCAAGATCCATTCCTGACTAAAGATAAAAGAAATTTTCAGCAAACTGTGAATACAGAAAACTTTCTCAGCCTGTTAAAGAGTACCTATGAAAAAAATTATAGCTAACATTATACTTAATGATGAAATATTTAATATATTTCATAACAGGAACAAGTCAAAGATGTCTGCTCTAACTAATTCTACTCAGCATTCAACAAAATGAATATAGTGAATTCATACTAGAATTTTAAAAGCAAATGTCTTTATTCACTGACAACATAATCATCTATAAAGAAAATCCTACATAACCTATAAAAAACTGATGGAACTAATAAGTTTTGCAAGTTTACAGGATATAATGTCAAACAAAGATCTATTATGTGCCCATAAGCTAAGAATAAACAATTGTAAATTGAAATAAAAATGTCACTTAAAAGGGCATCAGAAATATAAAACTTAGAGATAAATATAAAGTACATATGCATAAAGTACCTGTTCACCAAAAACTACAAAACATTGCTGAAAGAAATTAAATGGGCATAATATAGATGTAGAGATGTGTTGAATTTATGACTCATTTTGAACAAGGAATATATTCATCATATATTCATCAGATAAGAATTATGTTACAGGTCTAATAACATTCAAATCAATACATAATGTCTCATAGTTCCTGAATCTAAAATATCAAAGAAAGAAACATAAAGCCATATCATGTTTAACGAGAAGGGCTTATTGTATCATTTATGAGATCTTCTTGTAAATCACTAGCTGTTTGCATACTCTCTTTATTGCTGCCTTCATCTCCTTATTCCTGAATGTATAGACAACTGGATTCAGAAAAGGAGTGAGAACTGCATCAAAAATAGCCAGAAACTTGTCCATCTGTGAATTAGGGTGTGGCCATGTATACACAAACATGGGTGGACCAAAGAACAAAAGGACCGCTGTGCTGTGAGCTGAAAGAGTGGAAAGGGCCTTGGATGAACCACCTGAGGAATGTTTCCAAACAGTAAACAGGATGAAGACGTAGGAGATTAGAAGTATGAAGAAAGTACCCACACAGATAAACCCACTGTTAACAGTGACCATGAACTGCAATCTGTAGGTGTCGGTACAGGCTAGTCTGAGAAGCTGAGGAAGGTCACAGTAGAAGCTGTCCAACACATTAGGGCCACAGAAGGGTAAATTAACAAGAAATGCCAGTTGGAACAGGGAGTGACTGACAACAAGGGTCCAGGCAACAGCCAGAAATGAAAGGCACATTCTTGGGCTCATAATGGTCAGATAGTGGAGGGGCTTAATAGGGCCACATAACTGTCAAAGGCCATGGCTATGAGCAGCACCATCTCCACACCACCAATGACGTGGATGAAGAAGATTTGAGCGATGCAGCCTCCAAAGGAGATGACTTTGCGCTTTCTGAACAGGTCATAAATCATCTTGGGAGAAGTGACAGAGCAGGCTCCTAAGTCAATGAAGGAGAGACTGACCAGTAGAAAGTACATGGGGGAGTGTAAGTGAGGGTCAGTGGTCACAGAAAACACAATGAGGATGTTTCCAGTAATGCTTGCCACATAGAGCACAGAGGAAAACACTAGGAGGAGGAGCTGGATCTCCCATGAATGAGTGAGTCCCAGAAACAAAAACTCAGATACCACTGAGTGATTCTCTCCATCCATTGGTCCAGCCAACTGGGCTGTGGCTAAAATTATGAGAACTAAGAAAATGGGGAGGAAATTGTGATTATGAAGATAATATGTACTAAAATCAATATTGCAATGTCACTATGAATAAATAGTATACAGTTATTCTGTTCCTCACATATTAAAAACAAAAAATCAACATAATATTATCACAACATGTGAGCTGCAACCTGATTTAAACCCATCATCAATACTTTCAGTGTAATGTCTGATCTAAAATTAACAGATTAGGTAAGAACAAGATTCCTGACTATCCATGAAATTCATCAGGTGTTTAAATGACCTGCGATATTAACTATTCCTCATTTCCAACATATTCCATTTGTACTTATACATATTCTTATAATTTCCTTCCCTTCCCAGTTTGCAGCCACAATTCTCTGACAGAAAGTAGACATAAGAGGAAAACATGATTAACAGATGGATTATCACCTGCAGTAAGAGGTGCCTGGGACGGACTTAGTTGAGGTAGGCTGTGGATTGAGACAGAATATAGAGACTGGGGTATGTGAAATCGGAAAGCCCACAACTGTAGCAGAACAGAGTAAGTGGACTTTCACAAGAAATAGAATCACCACCATTATCTACCACATTTTCTCCTGCTCACTGCTATTTAAGTGCCTCAGTTTCTATACAATCTTTCACAATTACGAAGCCCTAAATGGCTTCCCATCCTGCAGTGATTTCATAAGGAGCCTATGCCACCTGTCATGTAAGGCTTTTTCCATGCCTAATAAATATGTTTTGGAGGGATTTCACCAGAGTTTTTGCTAAGATGCATAAAATGGCCACAGAGGTTGTGAGAAATCTCTGCAGTTTCTCTTTGTCTATACACATGAAAGTATTGAAGACCAGCACTTGGATTAGTTAAGATAATGTTTTAATTCATCACTGTCTCCTCCTCCCCTTGGTACCAGCTTTTATGTTCATTGCATTCCCCACCCTTTTAAGTACTCAGTACCTCCTGCATGGTAACCTATTCTGATATTTGATATTATCATGCTTAATTTGACTGAATCCATTTGGATATTTTATCTTTAAGAAATTTGTAGTTTTATACTTTTAATTTATGATAAAATTAGATTAATATCAAACATTAACAAGTGACTTTTAGGAAGGTATATGAGCTTTCTTATTGACTTCAAACTATAAAGTACAAACTGTGACACTAGAAATTTAGTCCTTTAACACATGTTGTATTTATATGTGAAGTGGAGGGTGAGCAGAAAACAGTGTTATATTTCTCTGTGTCCAGATGGATACTCACCTCAATCATTTTCCTATAGTAGAAAGTAGTTCCTGAAAACACTTAATAGAGATTATTTTAGAAGTTGCTGAGGTACAAATAAAACTGCTATGCTGACATACTTTTTTGCACCAACAACTCCAGTTCTTCTGACACAAAGGACCATCTTCCTAGTGCCATAATTTATCTTAGACCCCAAAACTCACAGAGGCACACATCATATCTCTAATACTTGCTCACCACCACTGGCATGAGTCTCTCTCTATCCTCTTCTACGTGAAGTGATTATACTGTCACCTCTGGAGCTAACTGTCCACAGTCTCAAGATGCACACTTTTACAACCAGAAGCCTATGGACTGGGTGAGGGAGCAGAAACAGCCACAGGTACTGCCCATCAGGGTAATGTAAGTCAGCGTGCAAACAACTGATCAGATGAACATGAATAGCAAGGTGCCGAGGCACTGGGAAGAGGGACCGGAAAACTCTATAACTGTTGAAAAAGACTCAAGCCCTTGGGAAGGGAAATGCCTACGAAATTATATAAAGACCATTTTATCCAAGTTGGTCATCATTCAGATGAAAACCATGAGGCCCAGAAAAGTAAACTGAGTTTCCAGAATTCACACAATTGATAGAATAGGAACCAGAATTCAGGCCTCTTGCTTCCTATTCCAGAAAGACAAATTGCAATAATAATCAAATAATATGAGCAATCATCCAGTAAAAATAATCTAGTAAAAACAGCAAAACTCAAAAGAGTGATTTTTCCTGGTTAAGACCAAACTAACCATAGATTGCTATACATAGTATCTATTATAAATACTGAATTATATAGCAGCCTGACAATAAATACATAAAATGTGTACACAAAGATTATTGAACCTGTACAATACAGTAGTAAATAGTAACTTTATATTTGCAAAGTGACTGATCATTACTATCAGAATTTGTACCCATTCTTCATATTTTGTTGGTCATATAACCAGTTACTACAACTGCAAAAACAACCTAAGGTCATGTTTCTGTGAAGTCCATCCTTTTGGTCTTTAAATTTTATTATTCTCAAAGGTCAATTATGATCTCAATCTTTTCTTGTAATTTTACTGACAATTCTCCTTCACACTGATTTGTTCTTTCTCTAATTCCTGTAAATAGAAAGAACCAAAAAAAGTTGAAAAAACATGTATTGTACATATAACAAACAATCATATGTGGTATACAATATATATCAAATGAGTATTAAGATAAACATTCAAAGAGTTTTAAAGAAAAAAGTGTTATAGATATTGGAGGGCAGAAGAGACGATTGCCATTAAGAACAGGTGGAGGAGGTTATGCCAAGGACATTGACCTGACCCTTTAGGAATTAGTGAAAATTGAATAGGAGAAGAATGAGGTATACAATGTGTGAAAAATACCTAAATTGATATAACAGGAGGAGACCTTTTCATATCAATTATCATTACTTCTGTGTATATAACCATATTAGATACCCACAAACGAATAGAAAGTGGATAGTTCTTGATTGACAAGTAAGACTAATAATCCCAGATCATAGTAAGGTCTTAACTTCAAGTCAATAATCTTTATTACTTATGGTTCATTCCTCTCCCTCATGTTTTCCAATAATTTTAAAATGCATAATTAAAACAATTCTCATTTAAAAACATAGTAGCCATGACTAATGATCTTCCAGTGGGAAGGTACTAAGACTTTACAACATGTTTCTTGCTGGGGATAAGACAGCCTACAGCCAGCATTCAACTCATTTTTCTAAAGTCTATGGATCAATTTGAAATACAGAAAAAGTAGAACAGAGATAAAGTTAAAAAAAGATTAAAAATATGGGAAGAATGGGAGAAAGGGGAGATTAGAAGATATGAACAATGATTTAAAAATAAAAGAGCCTCAAAGGAGAAGAGAAACTGCTAAGCAAGACTAAGGTAGGATGAAATACAGTAGTCTCTGTTTCTGAGAACACAGGTTAAAAAGAACATAAATAAAATAAATTTATCACCTTTAATACACTCATTCAAGGATGCTACTGAGTTTGACTTTGGGAATTTCTCACCTTTAATACACTCATCTGGGGATGCTACGGACTGTGACATTGGGTTGCATTTAACGGGGGAGAGAAAGGGCAGTTGCTTCTATTATCTGCCCTTTTGGACTCACAGAGTTTCTTTGAAAAGCACAGATGATAATAAATGGAAATATTGCCTTTTATACTATACAATAATATACACATGCAATTCACTGGAAAAAGTATACTTGTTACTATGATTTGAGGATACTACCATATACTAATCAAGAGAAACACATGTACAGAACAAAGAAGCCACATGAAATTTTTACTAGTGTGTGTTTTCCTTGTGTTCTACCACCCCAGGAGCAGCTTCTGCTACTGAAGATCACAGTAGAGTTATTTCCAAAAGTTGTGGGTCTGCAGGGTGGACTTATCACATAGCTGTTTGCCAAAATTCAAAAGTCCAGAAACCATTTCCAAATTTTCACCTCTTTTATCTTCAAATCCTAAAACTATGAAAATTCACAAACTTAGCTCCATACATTATGGTAGAAAGGTTAATAATTTGGACTTTGAGTTTGACCAGGCCTGATTTTTGAATAAATTCACAAACTTACCTCCATACATTATGGTAGAAAGGTCAATAATCTGGACTTTGAGGTCGACCAGGCCTGATTTTTGGATCCAGGCTGCAACACTCACTTGCTGTGTTAACGTAACAAAGTTCCTAGACCATGCTGAGCTTCAGTTTACTTGTTATTGAATTAGGGATATAGCGTTCAAAGGAAGAAGTTCTAGTATTTGATTGCACAGCAGAGAAATTATAGTTATTGAACTGGGGATATGTAGATAGACATAATAAATTTTAGTATTCAATTATACAATGGAGAAATCATAGGGAACAATAATTTATTATATATTCTAAAATAGCTAGCAGAGAAAAATTATAATGTTCCCAACACAAAGAAAAGATAAATATTCGAGGTGATGAATATCCAAATTACTCTGATTTGATCATTACACATTGTATACATGTATCAAAAATATCACATGTACCCCAAAACATGTACAACTATGATACATCAATAAAAAACAACAAAAAAACCAAAAGAATAGAAATCAAAAATAAATACATAAATACATAAAATAGGGATAATAATACCTCCCTTGCTTGCTTGCTCCCTTGCTCCATTTGTAAGAAATAAGTGATATAATATAGGTAAAAATACTTAACCTCATACCTACCACACAGTATAGCACAATAAACGTTATTTATTATAATCTGAGGCCTACCTACATAAGTGACTTTCAAGTATAGAAAATTATTTCTCAAATTTTAAATACTCCCTGATTCTCAGGTATGGTAATTAGACCTGGCTTTAGGTAAAGCTCTCATGTCTACACTTGGATTTAATCACTTAAGTATATTTCCCAGTGCCCCCCCCAAAAAAAATTGCTCCTAGGTGGACACACTAATCAAAGACTTCCTGAGAAATGCAGGAAGAAGTTTTGTCCTCTGACCACGCTACACCCTTTCCTTGATGGTAAGCCCCATAATCTAAAGCCATAAGTTTCAATTCCTCACATAAAAAGAAAAAAAATGTCTTTTATGACCACTTCAGATAACACTGGATATTTCCCTTGTCATTAGGAATGAGAAATGGGAGGAAGGTAAACTTGTAGACAGGAGAATTGGTAGATGCTTGAAAGGATTTCTGAAAACTGTGCCTATCCAGGTGTACAAATGTGTTGACCAGCCAAGGCAAAGCAGTCAAACCATACAATACCTTATCCTCAGGAAAATGGACTTTTCTCCCAAATTGCCTTTTTCATGAAAAATATAAAATTCTCCAGTTTCAACCTCATGTTAAATTTCACATGTGAAGAAAACAGTCATGCACATCAGAAAATTAAATGGCGAGTCAAGACCAAATTCCTAGTCACAGTTATGTTCTGTTTCCAGTATTACCTTCTCACTTATTCATTTTGTTAAAGTGGAGCCAAAATAGAAGTGGGTGTCACACATCAAGAAAGACTGAAGTCGTACAAAGCCGATCCTTATCCAACGTGCATTAAAATATGCATCAGGCATGTGTGATGCATATAGTAGAAGTGGAACAAATCAGGCCAGGTGCAGTGGCTCACGCCTGTCAGCCCAGCACTTTGGGAGGCCAAAGCAAGCAAATCGCTTGAGATCAGCAGTTCAAGAAGTGTAACAAATCCTCTACAATATAAGTAGAGTGAAAAGAGATAGCTACAGTGATGAGGGAAGGCACTATAGTGATGTGGCATTTGAGTATAGCCATAAAAGAGGATAAATATTACAATACATGAATATAGGGTCTAAAGAAGTCTTTTCAAGTAGATTGTAAAATATTTCAAAAATGGTAAGTTTGGTGTATGTTGAAGCATACAGATTGTCTACATCCTAAAAATCATTTTGGTGAATAAAGGAAAATAAGAAAGGTAGTCAATATTCATTTGTTGCCTATCATTAGAAACTTCTCAAAGGTATATGAGAATTATTAAATAAATTTAGGAAGCCAGTGAAGGTATGGGTCCCGGGAATTGAGGATGAAGCCAGTAATTAGGGAAGATGCCCTATCTATAAGTGTGATGTATCAAATGGAGGAAAAGAAAAACGGAGGGAAGGAGTTCCCTTAAGAGAAGATTGAAATAGAGCAGACTTGGGGGGCTACACAGAGGAACTGGGACTACACAGTTCCAGCTTTTTTTTTTTTTTTTTTTTTTTTTTTTGAGACGGAGTCTCGCTCTGTCGCCCAGGCTGGAGTGCAGTGGCGCAATCTCAGCTCACTGCAAGCTCTGCCTCCCGGGTTCACGCCATTCTCCTGCCTCAGCCTCCCGAGTAGCTGGGACTACAGGCGCCCGCCACTGCGCCCGGCTAATTTTTTGTATTTTTAGTAGAGACGGGGTTTCACCTTGTTAGCCAGGATGGTCTCGATCTCCTGACCTCATGATCCACCTGCCTCGGCCTCCCAAAGTGCTGGGATTACAGGCGTGAGCCACCGCGCCCGGCCCACAGTTCCAGCTTTAAGGCTATAGAAACAGAAATAGAAATACTGGTAAGTAAAAACCCAAAGGATTGGTGACTTATCACAGCTGGAGTGAATACGAAGGAGCATGAACTCAAAGAAAATATCAAGATTTAAGCAAGAATAAATAGGACAATGGTAGGTCCATTTTTAGAAATTAGAAAGTTGAACATAAAATATGTCAGGGTGGAGAAAATAATCACGTGTATTTTAAGCAAATAAGAGTATTAGATATTGAGATGCTCAGGTGAAAACATATGACAGGATATATGGGGGAAAAGTACAAATTCAACATGTAATTGTATAGTAATCCATATAAAAATAATAGACGGATGTGTAAGAGTGCATAAGGTCCCTGAAGGAAATAATACACAGGAAAAAAAGATTAAAAAGCAAAGACCCAACTATAGAAACTATCCACATTGATTATGTAAAGTAGGAAAAGGAATCAATAAACTAGACAGAACATCACAGAGGTAGGAGGACAAGTGCTGGCCTCAAGGAGCCAACACAGAAGCAGGTATCAAGAATAAAGGAGGAGAAGAGAGAACAAAGAGAGAGAGAAGAGAACTTCTGTGGCAGAAGATCAAGTGGGATGGTAGAATAAAGGAGAAGAAATACAAGAAAATTGAAATAAAATTTACAGAAATGTTCTACATTGTAAGTGGGCAGTTTTGACCTGGCACATTGTTGGCACACATTATAAATGTCAAATGTATTAATGAATGAATGAATGGATAATATAATGAATGTGATGGAGTTGTCAAAAGCTGAATTAATTAAAAGTCCCCACGAGAGGTTAGATGACAAAATTTTCAGAAACTTTCCATGCCACTCTGTTGTGACATCAACAGTGCTGGACCCTTGAAATCAAACCAAAAGGATTCCACCATGAGAATGAAAAGGGCTGAGAAGGGGAATGCTGGGTGACACAGAAGGTGACAAAGGGCGAAAGGTTTCTAGGCATTTGATAGACTGATGGACGTCCGCGCTGACCATAAGGCACAGGCCACACAGGAAGGAAAATGAGACCCAACGCGAAGAAAAGTAGGGCTAAACAGTCGGGAAAATGTGGGAAGAAGGATGAATAGTCATACGATCAACTCAGATTCCTCCCTGACATTCTTCTACAGCTTTATTCTCGTCCTTTGGGAGCCGAGATGTTCATTTTCCTACATTCTTAGCTGCCTACACACGGCGACTTTTCTCCACGGTGCCTGATCCCTGCTGCATCCTCCTTCTCTAGTGGCAACAGCAAATGGCCACACAGAAGGCAGACATTGCACCCAACTGAGGAGAATGTAATTCACTCATTGCCAGTCACAGACCTTGGCTCACCGATTTACTAAGTATAGATTTTATTTCTATCCCTCACCTACCTGTTTTGCCAAGGGAACTAAGAAAAGAGCATCATCAAAAATTCAGATAGGTATAGTTCTCACAAGATGAACCAGATCCAGTACGGCATCACTGCAGACATACACACAGAGCTGCATAAAACAGGAAGAGAGCTGCTAATCACAGCCCCAGAGGGTAGTGGCCAAAGTGATGCCTTGGAGATCCGAGAATGCCAGACTGAGATCACACGGCCTGGGGAATTACCGCCTATGGTCATTTTGGTTTTCCCGGGATAGCCATGTTAATTGGGTGAAATAAAGCATATTTGATTTTCTTATGACAAAAAAGGGCTTTTGCCATTGTCTACAGATGATACTTTAAATCTTTATTTTATGACTAAAGGTGAATTCCAGAGCAACATTAAATGTTGTCCCTTTAAATTTTTAATCATTTGCATAACGATTACCATAATATTCAATTTAAACATAAAATGTAATTGAAAGTATGAGATTAATATGTGGACATGAAATCATATAATGTTCCATGGAAAAAATAGAATGTATAAGGCAAAGAGGTTTAAAGTAACATCAAAACTAACGCTCACTATACAAATTCTATGAAATCCTCATAATTACACTGTGAAGCAGGTGTTGTTAGAGCCACATAATCTCAAACAAATTATTTATTATCTAAAATTACATAGATATTAAAAGGTTAGGCCATATATGAATTTAGGATTCTCTCAAAAATTTTTTCTCTTTCTCCTACATCAAACTTCCCTAAATTATAGAAAAGTCACAATGTTACCAAACATATTCACAAAACACATATAATCTTGAATCCAAATTTCAGTTACAGCAGAAAAAATAAAACTCTAGATCAATCTCAATCGTGTAAATAAATTCAGATTTCCAATCTAAGAGTCTCAATTTGACATACTTCTTTCTCTCTCTTCTTTCAAACCAGGAGAAATATAAATATGAGCCACAACCTTACAAAAGCTAGAAAATATTTACAATTCCACACAACAACACATGAAGAAAACCTTCTGGACATCAAAAGTTTAAACCAGTCAAGACTGAACACCAAGATAAAGTGCATGCCTCTGAAGAGCTTGAGCTAGTCAAGAAGCCCAGAAATCCCTAAAAGAGGTGTGTATACTGAGGACTGAGGATCAAAACCTGTGATCTTTACTTGGAACAGAAATATTGCAGCATGTGAACCCTCCACAGAGTGACAGAGGGAAAGGAGTTTAAAGGGAAACATGCAAATGTATCACCTTTGGAATAATTAGGACACGTGTGTGGTGTAATGAAAGAAGGCAAAAAGATGGGGAAGAAGCCAGACAGATGGCAATTTTCATTCTATTATGAAAAGAAAAGGATAAGTCACAAGTCACATGACGAAATTAACAACTATGAATCCACTCTAAGCCATAGTCAATCCTATAGCCTAGGAGTCATTCTAACAGATGAGAGTGTTTTGGAGACAAGATTCCAAAACTCGTCTGCCTTCCATCATACTTACTACCCCCAGCTCCTCCTCCACAATATCCTTTCACAAGTATCTAGAATATTCAAAGACTAATAATATTATATAATTATTTATAATAATTGTATTACAAAAATAAAACTTGATGACCTTTATAAAAATACTAGAAGAAAAAGGGAAAATTACATAAGGTACAGAACATACAAATTATACCATGAAGCAGTAAAAAACAGGATCAAATTTTCTATGTTTTTTAAAAATATGCCTTCTCTAAAATGTTTTCTCTCTGAAATGATATTTAGAAGACATAATTGAAAATAAATACAAAATAAAGTGATAAAAAATAATCTGGCAAAATTCAGGATGTAATGAGTAAAGACAACCATGAAAGAAATGAAGATCAATAAAAGCAGGAAAAAAAGTGGGAAGTGGAGAGAATAATGCTGCTAAAAACACAGATAAGAATATAAATGACAGGCTTAAATATATCCTGAGCAAAACGAAATAGAAAACACAAGAAGGTGAAATGTAACATTAAAGTCAGGTCCAACAAATGAGAAATTAGTGTGAAAGAGCTCACAATATCTGGTTAAAAAATTCAAAGATAAAAGAAAACTTTTCTGAAATGAAGAAAACATTGAATCTAATGGTTAAAGGGCTTATCTTTATCCAGAAAAAATGTGTTATAGTATGACCACATCAAGGCAGATGCAACTGAATTTACCGGACTTCACAAACACAAAATAAACAACCCACAAAAAAAAAAAAAAAAAATAGAGTCCCCATGAGGCTTTAATGAAGACAACTATTAGAGGCCAGGCGCAGGGGCTAACACCTACAGTCCCAACACTTTGAAAGGCCAAGGCAGGAGAATCACTTGAGCCCAGGAGTTCAAGATAAGACCAGCCTGGGCAACATAGCAAGACCCCATCTCTATCAGAAAAACTTAAAAAAGAAAACTATCCACTAAAAATGAATAGAGATAACATGATACAAGTGAGCATTCTGAAGCCTAATATCAAAATGTTCTGGGGTTTGCGGTTAAAGAACAGAATGCAAATGTTACAAACCATAACTGTATAAAGACTAATTATATTCATAACAAAAATAAGAAGAGAAAGATAGTAGAAATATATTCTGGTCCATTCAACTTTCACAGTGGGAGAGAATCAACAAATTATGTTATGGGTGATTAAATATTATTTTAAAAGATAAAGGTCATTATTAGAAAAATTAAAAATAACAAAATCAAATAAAGTTGAATGACGAAGGTGGGAGAGGAAAGTGGGTTTAAGGGGTAAAGTGGAACTATATTAAAAGAGTCAATGGAGAGCACCCTTGGAAATAACACAAAAATTAAAGAACTAAATATAATTTATACAGCACATAACTAAACTATAAATCTTCAAATTAAAAGAAAATAGGTACATACAAAATATCACATAGAGAGATATTAATACCATGAAAATATTAAAATAAAAGCATAAAATTAATTCATTTATTTACCCTATTAGTATTTTTTGAACACCTATGTGCCAGGTATTGTGCTGAATGCCAGTAAGATATAGTTCCTGCATCTTGGAGTTTTCGTGGAGGAGACAGAGATTAATCAAACAATCACACAAATGTAAAATTGCAACCATAAAAATTACTCTGAAATACAATGAAAATTACTATAAGAGAGGGATTTGATGTGAGTCAGAGAAGTTTCCCCTAAGAAAGCAACACTGAAGCTGAGATCTAAAGGGTAAACAGCAGTTAACTGAGTGGAGAACAAAGGTTTTCCTGCAGGGGGAACAATCTGCTCCCCGAGGCCAGAGTGGGGCCTTGGGAGTTGTGCCTGAAACCACATTGTGAGGAAGTGAGGGGAAGCATTGTGCAGATAATGCTGAAATAAGTAGTGGAAGATGCTTCCTAAGAGAATGAGAAATCCAAGACTACTAAGCAGAAGAATGATTTGACCAGATTTCACATTTGTAAATATCACTATGGTTACAATGTATAGAATGGATTTTAAGGAATTCAAATTGGATACAGGTGAGTCAATTACAAAGCAACATGCTTGCCAAGGCAAGAAATTTGATTACTTAAACTAGATATGGGAGTTTTGGAAATAAGTAGATAAATTTGTCATATATTTGAGATAATAAATCACCATGACTTGATGGTAGACTTAGTTGGAGATGCCCTCACTAGTGCACCATCTAATGCTTCAAGTCTAATAATTATTCAATTCCTCCAGAGCCACCAATCCAATGGTTCTACCATATTTATGCTGTCATTCACTTTACTGATATCCTTCTTACCTTACCTCTTTTCCCACTTTATATTCCATGATCAATACCTTGCTCCCTCGTAATGATTGTACTCACTCTTCCAAACAACAATCCTGATAAATCCTACTCTCTGCCTTCTACATCTTGATACCACACAGCTATATGTGGCTAGATAAAACAATCACACTGACAATCATCCTATGCTTTCTGAATCCATCACTCTTCTACTTTTTCAGATCTTTTCTTTCTCCCTCATCCTTACCATGTAATGAACTCATTTTGCATGTCAAGGGCTAAAAGTTGAATATTTTAAAAGTTCTCATTTTCCCACTACTATATAAACCAACAAATATCTTTAGTCTGCATTCACAAATAACATAACAAATGAGCTCTTCATATTTCTATCTGTGGTGAATTAAGATGACTAGAAATTTTGTGGCACCATCCTGTTGAAAACGTGGGGACATATTCTTTCTCCTTGAACCTGGGTGGGCTCTTTGACTGCTTTGACCAATAAAATACAGTGAAAGTAAAACTTCCAGTTTTGATGTCCAGATGTTAAAAGCCTTGAAGCTTCCATTTCTACATCTTGGAACCAACGTGTGTGGGGTGCTGAGTCGGTATCGAAGAATTCTGCTTATTCTGCTTGCATTAGTCCATTTTCATGCTGCTGATAAAGACATATCCAAGACCGGGTAATTTATGAATAAAAAGAGTTTCATGGAATCACAGTTCCATGTGGATGGGGAGGCCTCACAATCATGGCAGAAGGTGAAAAGTATGCATTACATGGGAGCAGACAAGAGACAATGAGAGCTGAGTGAAAGGGGAAGCCCCTTGTAAAGTCATCAGCTCTCATGAGACTTATTCACGACCATAAGAACAGTATGGGGGAGCCACCCCATCATTCAATTATCTCTCACCAGGTCCCTCCACAACACATGGGAATTATGGGAGCTACAATTCAAGATGAGATTTGGGAAAGGACACAGCCAAACCACCTCATTCTGCCTCTGGCACCTCCCAAATCTCATGTCCTCACATTTCAAAACCAATCATGCCTTCCCAATAGTCCCCAAAAGTCTTAACTCACTTCAGCATTAACTCAAAAGTTGGCAGTCCAAAGTCTCACCTGAGACAGGGCAAGTCTCTTCCACATATAAACCTGTAAAATCAAAAGCAATTTAGTTATTTTCTAGATAAGATAGGAGTACAGGCATTGGGTAAATGCAGCCGTTCCAAATGGTAAAATTTACCCAAAACAAAGGGACTAAAGGCTCCAAGCAAGTCCGAAATCCAGTGGGACAGTCAAATCTTAAAGCTCCAAAATGATCTCCTTTGACTCTATGTCTCACATCCAGGTCATACTCATGCAAGTGGTGGGTTCCCATGGTCTCAGGCAGCTCCACCCCTGTGGTTTTGCAGGGGAGAGCCTTCCTCCCGGTTGCTTTCACAGGCTGGCATTGTATGCAGCTTTTCCAGGCACACAGTGCAAGCTGTCAGTGGATCTACCATTCCGGGGTCTGGAGGACAGCAGCCCTCTTCTCATAGCTCCACTAGGCAGTACCCTAGTGGGGACTCTGTGTTGGGGGCTTCAACCCCACATTTCCATTCCCCACTGCCTTAGCAGAGGTTCTCCATGAAGACCTCACCCCTGCAGCAAACTTCTGTCTGGAGATCCAGGCATTTCCATACATTCTCTGAAATCTAGGTGGAGGTTCCCATACCTCGATTCTGGACTTCCGTGAATCCACAGGCTCAACACCACATGGAAGCTGCCAAAGCTTGAGGCTTGCACCCTCTGAAGCCATGGCCTGAGCTGTACCTTGACCCCTTTTAGCTGTGGCTGGAGCAGCTGGGACACAGAGCACCAAGTCCCTAGGCTGTACACAGGCAAACAGCAGAGGGGCCCTGGGCCCAGCCTATGAAACCATTTTTTCCTCCTAGGCCTCTGGGTGTGTGATGGAAGGGGCTGCCACAAAGATCTCTGACATGGCCTGAAGACTTAGCGATTAACATTTGGCTCCTTGTTACTTATGCAAATTTCTGCAGCCAGCTTGAATTTCTCCTCAGAAAATGGATTTTTCTTTTCTATCACAGTGTCATGCTACAAATTTTCTGAACGTTTATGCTCTGTTTTCCTGTTAAAACTGAGTGCTTTTAACACACCCAAGTCACTCTTGAATGCTTTGCTGCTTAGAAATTTCTTCTGCCAGATACCCTAACTCATCTCCCTCAAGTTCAAAGTTCCACAAATCTCTAGGGCAGGGACAAAATGCTGCCAGTCTCTCTCGATAGCAAGAGACACCTTTACTGCAGTTCCCAGTGAGTTCCTCATCTCCATCTGAGACCATCTCAGCCTGGATTTCATTGTCTATATCATTATTTGACATTTTAGTCAAAGCCATTCAACAAGTCTCTAGGAAGTTCCAAACTTTCCCACATTTTCCTGTCGTTTTCTGAGCCCTCCAAACTGTTTCAACCCCTGCCTGTTACCCAGTTCCAAAGTCGCTTCCACATTTTTGGGTTATCTTTACAACAGCACCCCACTCTACCAGTACCAATGTACTGTATTAGTCTGTTTTCATGCTGCTGATAAAGACATACCTGAGACTGAGTGATTTATGAAGAAAAAGACACTTAATGGACTCACATTTCCAGGTGGATGGGGAGGCCTCACAATCATGGTGGAAGGCAAAAGGCACATCTCTACATGATGGCAGACAAGACAGAATGAGAGCTGAGTGAAAGGGGAACCCCCTTACAAAATCATCAGCTCTTGTGAGACTTATTCAAGACCACGAGAACAGTATGGGGGAAATACTCCTGTGATTCAGTTATCTCCCGTTGGATCCCTCCCACAAGACACGGAAATTATGGGAGCTACAATTCAAGATGAGATTTGGGTGGGGACACAGCCAAACCATATTGCTGCTGAATAGATCATGTAGACAGGCTCTCAAACTACACGGAGAGCAAGAGAGGCCCACCTTACCACAACATTTCATCCAATCCACTAATAAAACAGGCACATCACTGAAACCACCTTCAACTCTCCAGACTACCCAGCTGCCAGCTGAATACCACAGATGGCTACAGTTAATACCACATGGAGCAGAATCATGTAGCTAAGCCCTGCTTGCACTAATACAAGTCCACAATTTTTTTTAAGTTTGTTGTTTTAAGCTGCGAAGTTTTGAGGTGGTTTGTGGTACGTGGAATAAGATGTCACTCTAATATAATATAAACTTAAACTATGTGGCATTGGCTTTGGAATCAGACAATGGATAGAAGCCAGAAGGATTTCACAAAGACTGTTAGTGAAAAGTGAACAGACTTCAAGGAAAATGATAGCAAAACCTGTAAAAGCATTCTGGGAACTGACAGTAAACACTGAATGGTCCTTAAGGAGACTGAAAACTTGAAAGAGCTTAAGAAGTCTACTGGAAAGGGCTTTAAGGATAATGAGAAAAAATCATCAGTGGAGGCTGAGGAAAACGCACCAAAGTCGTATTCTGATGGGAGAGTTAGAAAACGCTTGCCTGGAATGATATAAAATATAGGAAAAATACCGAAAAAGTTTGTGGATCTGGCTGGGGAGATTTTTGGTGTCAACTAAAGAAAAAAATTAAGCTTTTAAGAAATTAAAGTTAGATTTATTTAGGGGTCTGAGAACAAGAGACTGAGGATTACAGCCTAGGAGAAGTCTTTCAGAGAGGTTCTGTCAGACTGCTCTGGTGAAGGTCTTTAGCCCACAGTTTATATGCAGGCTGTACATATACACCATGGAATACTATGCCGCCATTAAAAAATGATATCATGTCTTTTGCTGGAATGTGGATGGACCTTCTATTATACTTAGCAAACTAATGCAGGAACAGAAAACCAAATACAGCATACTCTCAGTTATAAGTGGGAGCTAAATGATGAGAACTAATGAACACAAAGAATAAAACAGACCCTGGGGTCTACTTGAGGGTGGAGGGTGAGAAAAGGAAGAGAAGCAGAAAAGATAACTATTGGGTACTAGGTTTAATACCTGGGTGATGAAATAATCTGTACAATAACCCCCTGTGACACCAGTTTACCTATGTAACAAATGCCCCTAAACTTAAAATAAAAGTTAAAAAAAAAGAAAATTAAAATCTCCTTATCATCTACCTGGTAATATGAAAAACACAAATCTTTCATTCATTCCTTTCAACTGATGAGGAAAATGAGGCATCGGGAGTTAGTAAAAGTCCACATTGAGATATGAGACCCACGACTGGCTGGACGCAGTGGCTCACACCTGTAATCCCAGCACTTTGGGAGGCCGATGCTGGTGGAACACCTAAGGTCAGGAGTTCGGGACCAGGCTGGCCAACATGGTGAAACCCCCATCTCTACTAAAAATACAAAAATTAGCTGGGTGTGGTGGCAGGCACCTGTAATACCAGCTACTAGGGAGGCTGAGGCAGGAGAATCGCTTGAACCCAGGAGGTGGAGTTTACAGTGAGCCAAAATCACGCCATTGCACTCCAGCCTGGGCAACAAGAGCAAGACTCTGTCGGGGAAAAAAAAAAAAAAAAAAACCACCACCATCATTTTGCAAGTGTTACCACTATTGTGTGTTAATATTGTAGAAGTATTCCTAATTATGATTTCTTTGTATTCCTAATTGTAATAGCTTTGTATTTGAAAAATTATTGATTCATACTCTATGTTATTATTTTGTATGTGATGACAACAGAATATATTATCATGCTCCTTTTGTGAATCTCATTCATAATATAAAGTATAAATTTGTGATTTTGCTTTAATTTGAAATATTAATTTCAAATATGTTATCACAATTTGATACAAACTATTGACAGTAAATCTGTGGATTAAGTAATGTCTTAGTAGGTATTGGGAAAATTTGAAACTAGTAACATGGAGGACTATTGTCATTGTTTATTTCAAAGCCAGTTAAAATTCTGCAAAGCAGTGTACATAAAAATAATTTCAAGAAATTTATAAAATACCGAGATTATGGTGTATAAACAACTTTAGATTCTTTGTTTAAGAAATTCTGCCAGTTTGTAATATATGCTTCATTCAAAGTAGCTAAGGGCTGTACCTGGCCAATAGTAGGCACCTAATATTTGTTGAAAAGGAATACTGAGTAGCTGGGACCTCCTGAGTAGCTGGGACCACACACATTTAACCTGTATTTATAAAATTACTGTTTAGAGAATAACATTTGATGGAATCATGCTTTTACTTTCTGCTTATGACTCAATTGTTTGTACTGACATTAACATCCCAAATCCTTAGCATGGCCTACAAGGCCCTGAGCAATGTGGCACCTGCTGAAGCCTGCTGCCTCATTTAATAACTCTTTGTCTCTTTCCCAGATCCAGCCACTCTAACATTTTTTAGCTCCTGGACCAAGACAAGCTCTTCCCAGAACCTGACCTTTGTACCTGTTCTTTATTCCTGGAGTATTTTTCCCCTGACAAATTACTTATCATCTATCATAATTCAGGTTAAATGGCACTAACTCAGGGAAGGCTTCCCTAACTGCCTCCCTTCTCCAACCAAATTAGGAACAATTATATGGCCACATAGTATCGAATCAAGTTTATAATTTTAAAATAATTGGGAGATTTTGTTGTTTAACACTTGTTTTCACTATAAGACTGTAATTACATGCAAGTAAGAACCATGCCTGTTTGTTCACTCCTGCCACAGTCAGAATAGTGCCTGGAATATGCAGTAAGGGCTGAACAAACACTAAATAAATGAACAAGTGAATAAATGGATATTGTCTCATTTTTAGAACAGAGTACTGAAGGGATCATGAACACTATCTGGTATGTCACGTAGGTAATTTACAAGGGCTACAATTTCAGCTCAGATTTACCTTTTCCTGGATACAGGTCTTGATAGGTCTCTTGATGTCATTTCACTTCAGATTCTTCTTTAGAAAACTTGGACAATAGCATTTGCTGTCTTGTCCAAATTGTTACTAAGAATCAAGAGAGATATCTGACATGAAATGACATTGGAAAACATTAAACACGATTGAAATAATGCTAGCCAATATGGTTATTATTAGAAACCAATTACATTTTCAACTTAAAAACAGTAATACTTATTGCAGACTCAAATGTGCTTATTCTAAAACAAGTAAATGTTTGCCTATGGTCTGAGATTCTAATCCACGGAGTTCATTCTAATCCACATTCAACACTATCATGTACCAGTGGGCCTCATAACCCACCTAGCCCTGTGATTTTTCAGGTTCACTTTTCTAAACTTGTGAATTAAATATTTATTTTCTTAGTTCAGAAGAGGAAAAAAACTCTTGTAATTGTTGCCCATTTCAGGAGAAATCTTGCATATGAAAACAAGAGATAAATATACACAACTGAGGACTGTGGTTTAAACAAAATCTTGAGAATGTTTTTTGACCTTATACATTTGTGCTTTAGTATAACAAAATGATATAGACAAAGGTAACTTTTAATAGAACCAGTCACTAAATTAAAAAAATGACAAATTCTTCTGCTTAGCTAAGCAACAGAGAAGGTAAAATACTAATTCAATTCATCAATTTAAGCAATACTCATTAAGAGCCAAGTATGTGCTTACTGAATAAGCTGCTAAGGTTTGGTGGTTACAGAGTGTGCGGTGAAATGATGTCTACATCACAGTCCAACATTCACAGAGTTTAAAAGCCTACCAAGAATCAAGACAGACACAAATACCTAACATAGAAGTTTGTATATGATAAGAGAGCCAGAGTACAATTTAGGAGAAGAAATTGTATGGAAGGAAGGTTCATTTCCATTAGACCAGAAAAGACAGCACATTTGAAGGCCTGAATAAGAAATATTCTGGATAAGATATTGTGGCTGCTACCAGAATGGCTCTTGATGATCTCTACCTCTTGGTATTTATACCCTTATATAATCTCTTTCCTATAGTGTAAGCTGGTCCCAGGTACTTGTTTCTATTGAATAGAATAGAACAAAAGAAATGAGATGCCACTTCTGAGATTAGATTATAAGATACTGTGAATTTCATCTTGTGCCCTCTCCCTCTCTCTCTTTCTCTTGCCCTCTCATTTGAATGAAGCCAACCGGCATGCTGTCAGTGGCCCAGTGTAAGTCCTGTTACAAGAAATTGATGATTACCTGTAGCCAACCCTAAGTGAAGAACTGAGGTCCTCAGTCCTACAAATGGAGAGAAACTGAATCTAGCTAAGAACCATGTGAGTGAGCTGGGAAGAAGATCCACCCTCAGTTGAAATTTAAGATGACATATTGAGCAGACATACTGAGACACACTGAAAGTAAGAGAGCAGGAGGAAACAAAACCAGGGTCATACAAAGAACACAACTGATTTTGAGATTCTCACATAAGTATTACACCTTCAGTGAGCACGTGTACTAGAAATTTAAAAAATAAATAAAATAAACCTTCAAAGTGAGCTAGCAAATAAATTTCCCTATGGTCTCAGCTCTGAGTGGAGAGAGAAAATGTTCCCTGTGGAGTTTATAGCCAGAATCCAGCTCTCAAACAGGTTTCAGCCTGAACTCACACAATCTGTGTGGCTTCCAAATTTGCAAGCTGAGAATTTAATTCAAAGTGGTCTCAGGTTGATAGCAGTCCAAAATGCTAGGTAGGAAAAAAAATCCTCTCTGGACAAATAAATCATCAAAGCAAGCTCATAAGAGCAGGTTTCAAAGGTCATGAGCTTCTAACACACACACAAAAATCACACACACAAAATGGGGGTAGCAGCAACATGGGTAGCGTATTCAAACTTGAAAAGACTTTAAATATTTGTATTATTAGATGTAGATTATGAAACACATATTTTAATGTGGTTAATTTTTTTAAGGAATCAAAACTATGAGTAAAGACCAAGAAAATTGTGCTGGATGGCCACTTCCACCATGGCTCCCCTCCTATTTAAGTCTGGGTACTGTGTCACCCGAAGTCTTCAGGCACATTGTTCCAGGTTTGGGTTTGCCTATGAAAGAAACTCATGAGAGCTGGAAGTGAGGAGTGAAGAGGAGGTCTTCACATAAAGCAGGCTTAAGGATTAGACATAGCAGGTTTGACAGATGTGATGGCTTGCAGAATCCTTTATGAGCTCCCACTGTCCATCTGGATAAGATTTACAGACCTTTCAGAAATTCCTATAAGCTTGGGTTCTGTGCCCACTCTCTAGACTGTCAGGCTAAGATCTCTGATATAAAACAGACCTCTTCTGATTTTGTCTAGCTGCTTTTCTAATATCTATTCACCAAGCTCTTCCAATAATAGCATAAGGCCCTAATTAATATTAAACTTTTATCATTATAATACATAGGATGTCTTCTGTTTTCCTGATCAAATTCTGACTACTATTAAAATATAAAGAATTGTCCAGAAATATATAAAAAAAGAATCACACATTGATCTTCTTTAAATGAAAATATAACAATTGTATGGACTAGGATGATTACAGTTGTTCAGTTCTGACTGTTATTTGAAGAAAAAAGCAATAAGAAGCCTCAGCAACTTAACAGAAGGAGCTGCCATTTACTAGGAGAAAAGATTGTGGATGAGAGTGTAGCAAAGGTCAGAATTCTGTGAAGCTTGAGATGTTTATTATAATGAATTATCTTTTATACTCACTACAATTTCCTAACAATTTTGGGGTTTATATTTTTGAAAGAGATATACCTTTAATTTTCTTTCTTTGTACTATTGTTAGGTAACTTTAATGTGCAGATTATACTACAGTGAAAGTTGCCAATGACAAGGCAAAGTCACTTACATCAGACCCAAAGCAAAGTGGAGCCGGGTCATGAAAAAGGGGATCTTGTGTGTGTGTCCACGATAAGCACTATCACAAGGACTTTCTATAAACTCACAAGAAATTTCTGCCCACCCAGCACACTCTGTTTGTCCAGCTCATCCTGTAGGTGTCTCTATAATAGGACCTATCATAAAAAATTCCTCAAGACTGCAGCATTTCAGATAAGCCACCCTCACAAGAACACTTGCCTAGCAATGGCTGTTTCTGCCAGTAAGTTAACACCAGCTCCTGCATCAGACCCTGTGACCAATGATGTTTGTTTCAAAACAGCTTGCATGGACTTCTTTTTGTCTTTATATATTTTCCTTACCTCAACCTCTTGGGATGCACCTATGATTGATCATAGCACAAATATCTCAGATTATAATCCTTGTTTATTTCCAAATAAATTTATTTCTTTGGAGATCCACTTTTTCTGTTATTATACATTGACATTGTTATTATGAAATTGGTTGGGTGATGTGTCTTATTTTCTTGTCTCCAGAAGAATTTCTGTAACAGTGCAATTAAACGTTCTTTGCATGTTTGCTAGAACTCACCTGTAAAATTGTCTGAGCAACCAAAGCCTGGTTTTTGTGTTTAGTTTTTCTTTTGTGATTGGGGAGGGGGGTTTATCGTACTGATTCAAGGTGTGAAGGTAACATCATTTTGATTTTATACATCTTCTTCAGTCCATTTAAGCATGTTACATAGCGTTGTTTGTTCTTTTCATGATATTCTTTACAGTAGTCTCCTAAATGTTCCCTCTGCTTCTGCCAGGAGCCCCTACAATCAACTCAGAAGCTATAGAGTTTAAAACATGTAACATATTATGCCACCTTTCTTACCGTAAAACATCCCATGGTTTCTCATAGTATTTATAGTAAAAGTGAAATTTTTATGATGGCTTGAGAAACTTTTCCCATTAGATGCCCAAGTGCTGGTCTGGTCTGATCTTCTCATCTTCCCTTGGGTGATTCTGTGGCAGTCACACTAGCCTCCTTGCTGCTCCACAAAAACTCCAGCATGATCCTACTTCAGGATATTTGCCATTGTTACTGCATCTGCCTGGAACCTTTTCTCCCATATAAACATAGAGATTGCTCTTGCCTGTCCTTCAAGTCTATTCTTAAATGTCCCATTCTCTGTGAAGCTTTCCTGCCCACCCTATTTAAATTACAGACTTCACTCCCAATTCCCCATCTACTTTAAGAGTCTTCATTTATCATTCCTTGACAAACTGTAAATATACATGTTCACTTTTTTATCGTCTGTCTCCAAATACTGGAATGTTAAGTTCTGTAATGTCAGATATTTCTGTTTGGTTCACTGGTGTATTCTTAAAGCATGTTACATACTAGGTATACTCAATGAATATTTGTTGAATAAATATCACATTGGGCTTATTCCAGAAATTCAAGCTTGTTTCAATAGTTAGAGCAATCTACAAATGTAATTCATTACATTAACTAATTAAAGGAGCTAAATCACATCACCACCACAATAATGCAGAAAACCACATTTGATACAACTCAATATTCATGTCTGCCTAACAAACATCTCATGATACTAGGAAAAGAGGAAGGGATATATTATTTTCATGTATAAAGCACTAACCATTGTAGCATGCCAATATACTCAAAATTCAATGAAATTCCTATCAAAATTTTAGCATTCCTCTTAGTCCTCAACAAAGCATTTCTAAAATGTGTATAGAAGACCAAAGGGCCAAAAGAGTCAACTTCTGAAGAAGCGCAAAAAGAAAGTTGAGGAAATCTTAAAACATGTTATTGAGCTTAAAGTTGCAAAAATAAACTCATGTACCATAATTGATGAGTAGAAAAATAGACTAGTGGAATAACATAAAAATAAAAACAATGCTTACATAAAATGTTGTAACTGATTTGGATGTCATTAGAAATCAGTAAGTAAATAGATGGACAATGTAATGAAAGATGCTAGGCAAATAATGTGGTAGGGAGAATAATGGCCCTCAAAGATGCCCATGCCTAACCCTGGAACCTGTGAATATGTTACACTGAATGCAATAAAGGCTTATCAGATGTGATTAAGGATGCAAACCGAGATGGAGAGATCTTCCTGGGTTACCCAGATGGGCCCAGTCTAATCACATGAGTTCTTAAAAATGGAGAACCTTTCTTAGCTGAGTCCAGAGAGAGATGTGACAATGAAAGAATGGTCAGAGAAATGTGACATTGCCAGCTTTAAAAAGAGAGAGGAGAGGCAATGAGAAAAGGAATGCTGATGTTCTCTAGAAGATAGAAAAGGCCAGGATATGGATTCTACCCTAGCCGCCATAAAGAAACATGCCTGTCGACAACTTGATTTTAGTTCACTAAAATTCATGCCTGATTTCTGACTTGTGTACACTGTAAGATGACAAGTTTGTGTTATTTTAGGTCACTTAGTTTGTAGAAATTTGTTACAGCAGTAATAGAACAAGTGGTTATCCATATGAGGCAAATTAGATTGGATACCTATCTCCAATAGAAATCAATTCAAGGTGAATTCCAGGAAAATACTTAAAACATTTAGATTAAAAATAAATGAGAATTTTTGTTACTTTTTGTAGGTCATAGAACCAAGAAAAACAAACATTAAGGAGGAAAAATGAACATATGACTACATCAAAATATAAAGCTTCTCTATTTGGATGATATCATAAGGTGACAAATCATAAACTGTAATATTTACAACATATATATAAGTGAATAAATATACATTTAGAATATATATGAACTCCCAAAAATCAACAGGAAAAATAAGACATAGAACAAGCAAAATGCATAAACAAAAGAAGGCAAAACAAAAATAATGACTCATAATTATATGAAAAGAAGCTCATCTTCATAGATGAGCAGATAAATGCAAATTAAAACCACCCTGAGATGCTTTTTACATCCATGAGCCTGATAAAAGTTAGAGTCTAAAAGTAATAATTAACAAAGATGGGAAGTAACAGAAAATCTTGTCCATTACTGGTTAAAGTATAAACTGATACAGCTACTTTATAGAATATTACATTATAGAATAAAGTTGTGAGTATGTATATGCAGTGACTCAGCATATTCATTGCTAGTATGTACTCAAGAGAAACTTACAGGAGTGGACTAGGAAGTAAATACAAAATGATTACAACATTGTTTGTTATATCAAAAAATAAAAAAGACACCCAATTTTCCAGCAAAAAAAATAAGTAAAAATAAATCCTGGTGTATTCTAACAATGGAATAATATATAGCCATTAAAATAAATCAACTATTACTGTACATATGAATGTAAGTATCAGCAAAACATATTGTTTAGTGAAAAACTAAGAAGCTGAAGAAGAATATATACAATATGGTTACATTTATATGAAGTCCAAAAACTTGCAAAATAAAGAAATGTATTTAGAAATAGATTCACATGTGAGAAAACTAGAAGAAAATTAATGAAAGGATAAGAGGGATAGCAGTAATTCTGAGTAGTTGAGGGAATTTCAATTGGAAAAAAATAATATCATATTCTTTAAGTCAGGTAGTGGGTATTAGCATTTGTTTTACCATCGTTCTTTATTCTTATAGCTACACTATATATTTTCAATGTATTTAATGTATTTTTTGCATAATTAAATATTATGCAATAAAAATGAGAAAACAAAAAAGTAGAAAATGATAAATTACAATAAAGAAATGGAGAAAAAATTATAATCTAGTTGAGTAATGGTATATTACATAGCTATTTTCTTAAGTAGATGTATGTACATGATGTATGCACGATTGTACATACATGTTCTTAATTATATATAAATATATATGTACATATTTTTAATATAAAATACTAAACAAAGTACACCAAAATATTAGCTCCTATGTTAGTGAGATAATGTTTTGTTTTTTTGTATTTTAAGTTTTACATAGTAGGTGTATTTTTCTGTTTTCATACTGCTATAAAGAACTGCCCAAGACTGGGTAATTTATAAAGGAAAGAAGTTTAATTGGCTCACAGTTCAGCACAGCTTGGGAGGCCTCAGGAAATCTACAATCATGGCGGAAGACAAAGAGGAAGCAAGCCAGCTTCTTCGCAAGGCAGCATGAAGAAGTGCCGAGCAAAGGGGAAAGAATCCCTTATAAAACCATCAAATCTCGTGAGAACTCACTATCGCAAGAACAGCACAGGGGAAACTGCCCCCATGATTCAATTACCTCCACCTGGTCTCTCCCTTGACCTGTGGGGATTATGGGGGCTATGGGGATTACAATTCAAGACGAGATTCAGGTGGGGATACAAAGCCTAACCATATCAGTAGGCATGTATTGAATTTTAAACTCAGAGAAAAATACTAGTGTTTTTATAGGATTCTTACTAAAGAAAAACCAGAAAGTAATAAACCATCTACGCTAAGACATAAAATTCAGTTGTTTAGTTACAAGATAGAATGTGGCCTTGTAAGAAAGCAAATTAACTTCTAACATACAAAGCCTTAGAGAAGATTCAAGTGACTGACGGATCTTAAACAGAGCTATTATTACAACTCGAACTGCAGTAAAATATCCTCAGCAACATAGATGTGTGTGTTTCACTAGTCAGAGCAATACAAATTTAATGAAACTCCATTGGTGGTGTTTTTAATCAGACAATTTCTGAAGATGTCCTGGCTTATTCACAGATGCAAGCCAAATCTCTAGAAGAGTACCATAATAAGAAAAAAAAGAATACAGGCAATTGAGAGCTGTTCCAAAGTTTAGGGAGTTTTTGTAAGGAATTAATAAATAAAAATGTTCTTGAAAGAGAGAAATTAATATGCAGTTCATACTGCCAGAATTGCAGGCAATTTATCAAAGTCCCCTAATCCTCCAAAATCGCTATTTTTTTTTTGACACACACTTTACAGTACAGAAGAAAATGTCTCCGGCAATAAATCACAAAGTTAAAATTACCTAGTCTACAATTAACTACACAGTGATGGTAAATCATTTTCTACCAAAAGAAAGAAATGTCTTGTCTATTCAGGTTCTGCTCTACTTAAAAGTTTTCCTTGTTGGCGAGCAAGTGGTTAGAAAATCATATTTTATACGTACATTCAGCTTAACTATCATTCAGCTCAGGAAGATGACTCAGGGCCTTATCCATACCTTGAAGTTTGCTCTTAGCAAGTAATTGTTTCAGTATCTATATCAAAAATGGCTTAAGCCTGCAACATGTTTCTGAATGATTAACAAGGTGATAGTCAGTTCTTCATTGAATCCTGGATGTTTTATTTTTCTTAATAAGAGGAATTCATATGGATCAGCTAGAAAAAAATTAAGAGGAAAATCACATGGAAAGTTATATATTATATATCTATTATATATAATATTATATATCTATTATATATTATATATTGTATATCTATTACATATATAATATTATATATGTATTATATATATTATATATTATATATCTATTATATATATTATATATTATATATCTATTATATATAATATTATATATTATATATCTATTATAAATATTATATATTATATATCTATTATATATAATATTATATATTATATATCTATTATATATAATATTATATATTATATATCTATTATATATAATATTATATATTATATATCTATTATATATAATATTATATATTATATATCTATTATATATAATATTATATATTATATATCTATTATATATAATATTATATATTATATATCTATTATATATAATATTATATATTATATATCTATTATATATAATATTATATATTATATATCTATTATATATAATATTATATATTATATATCATTTCCAAATTCCCCAGCGTTCATATTTGTCAGTGCAAGTAAAGAGCCTTACTGCTGATGAGGTTTGAGGTATGACCATTTGGCCAGAATTTATGAACTCTACATGTCGCTTGATGTGTGCTTCAGGGTACACTTTTTTTTTTTTTTTGAGACGGAGTCTTGCTCTGTCGCCCAGGCTGGAGTGCAGCGGTGCGATCTCAGCTCACCGCAAGCTCCGTCTCCCGGGTTCACGCCATTCTCCTGCCTGAGCCTCCTGAGTAGCTGGGACTACAGGCGCCCGCCACTATGCCCTGCTAATTTTTTGTATTTTTAGTACAGACGGGGTTTCACCGTGTTAGCCAGGATGGTCTCCATCTCCTGACCTCGTGATCCACCCGCCTCGGCCTCCCAAAGTGCTGGAATTACAGGTGTGAGTCACCACGCCCAGCCAGGGTACACTTTTAAGCAGAGACACTACTTTGAAGGTCATAAAAAATATAATAAGAGATAAGGCTAATTTCCTTTAATAATAATAAAATCCTTTAATAAAAATATAAAGGAATAATATAATAATTTTCTTTAATAAAATATAATAAGAGATAAGGCTAATTTCCTTTAATAAAATATAGTAACTACATACCAACAGAATTCCAAAAAAAGAAATGGAGAGGAAGGGAGCATGGGTCATTAATCTTGTCAAAAATATAAAATTATATACGAGGAATTCCTAGAAACTGTTTTCCTTGTCTGCGGCCATTGTGCTGCTGCTACACAACTACCGCAAGCAGCCCTTCACGCCCTCCTCCCAGTACAAAGCTAATTGACTTGTGAGAAATGTTAAGCTTGGAAGAGTCAGCATCGCTGCACTTATTTTTTATTCTACTCTGACATTAGAATAATCCTTGAGTGGGGGAAAGGTTAAAAACCCCCCTGGATAAGTGTTACTAATTAATGATGATTGTTTTAAACAATGTTTGGATAATTTTTCCTTGTCCCTTGACATAAACTTGATAAATAACTGAGAAGTGAGAAGGAGATTAGTGGGTTGATTAAATTCCATTCAGGTACTTAAAGTTAGCTCCAAAAATTTAGCTATTTGTAAATTGTCATGCATTGTTAATGTATAAGAGATGTAGATTTCATTTATCTTTGGTGGAGCGAGATGAAGCAGTGAATCATTGAAGACTGAAAGAAAGAAAAAGGTCTTTTCCCTTTTCTTTAAGAAGCATCATTAGTTAAAAACATGTTAGTTGATACCAGAGAACTATATTTAAAGGGACAGCAATAAGCAAATTGATTACTCTGGTGATTATTGGAGTGACATTGCCTTTTAGTTGTACTTTCACAAAAATTCACAATATTTGCCAAAGTCAAGTTATCCATTACACTATTAATTTGTCATTCTTTTGTTTATATAGTCAATATCTCTATCTCAATTGGATCTATCTCAACTGCTTCTAAACAAGCCACCATAGTCTCTCCCATTTCAACAATCTCTTCCAAGTACCACTTCATTTCTTCTTTTCATATTTTTGAAAACTTTTGAAAAACTACCTATTTTCCTCCTCCATTTCTTGTTCATTCCATTCTAGTGGACATGGAATCTGTTCCTCCTCCAAAACGGAATTTGGTCACCCTTAAATTACTAAACCCAAAACAATATGTTGTCTTTATCTTTACCTCTCTGTGGCATTTAATGATAAGACCACTACTTTCTTCTCTTTTACCCTTCTTTCTTGAATTCAGTCAAACAACGTACTTACATTTTTTGTCTTATTCTCCATCTTAGAAACCACCTCAGCTTTCTCCATTCAGCTATAAAATTGTGCTTTTCCTCAAAGATTAATCTGCCTCTCCTCTCACTCTATACTATCTCTGTTAGCTAATTTTATTTGTGCACATTGCTTATACTGGGCATTATATACACATATGCATGTGTGTACATGTGCACACACACACTGTATGTGGACATGTATATATATATGTGTGTGTGTGTATATATAGTATATATATAAATTACAATAACATAAAGGTGGCATTTTAAATTAGTGGAAATTACCCTGATTTGATCACTACACATTCTATACATGTAAAGAAAATATCACTCTGTATCCCAAGAATATGTACAATTATGGTTTGTCAAATGAAAAAGTTCATACATTGAAAAATTTTAGATAAATATCAAACTTTCTCTGAAACTGTAACTGTAAAATGTAAAAAACAGTAAGTGCTATATTGCTTATTTCTGAGTAGAAGAATATGAGACATTTCCCTAATCATTATGTGTAATTACAATTACATATATATATGTAATTGTAATTACACATAATGATTAGGGAAATGTCTCATATTCTATATATATAGACAGAAAGAGAGAAAATATATGAGGGAGAGAAGGAATCTTTCCATCTCCTTTGAGTTCCACGGTGTTGAGAGTCAGGACAACTGCAATTGCTTCATCATGCCTGCTTGCAATTATAGGGCTTTTGAACCATTTGTTCCCTCCTTAGATATCCTCATTTTTTTCAGATTCTTGCTTAGAAGTCACTCCTCCGTGGACCTCCTCTGACATATTAAACATTGCAGTCCATTATAAGCTGCAAGAGGACAGGGATTTTTGCCTGTTTTATTCCCTACTGTATCACCAGGGGCTACAGCAATATCTGACAAACAGTGGGCATGTAATGAATATTTGTTAAGTGAAGTAATAAATTCAATCAAATCACACCACCTGTTTAAAGCACTTCATTGGCTTCACATTGCACTTAGAATAAAGAGAAATTCTTTTTATACAATATAAGTTCCTGCAGAATGCAGACACTTTCTACTTCTCCAGCCTCTTTTCGACTCCTCTCCTACTAGCTTCTGTATTTAAGCCACATTAGACCTTTCTTCAGTTTTTTATATAGACTTTGTCGCATCACACCTCAGAGATTCTGTACATGTTCTTCCTCCTGCCTAGAAAGGATCGTCCCTCCACTTTCGCCAACTAATCCCTGCTCAACTTTTCATCTCAGCAGGAGGCCCATTCTCTTTGGCAATCCTCTGGCCTCCAGCCCATTTATTATATGCTCACATGTCAACATGTACTTCGTACAGCATGTAACACAATTGCACTTTTATATTTTAACAAATTATATTTCCCATATTGAACTGTAAGTCTCCTGAAAGCAGGAATTTTGTTCTTGCTCATCATCAACTTTTTCAACATCCAGTGCACCATTTAGAACTTAGATGTAGTCAATAGAGGTTTGTGGAATGAAAGAGGAAAAGAAAGAATTAATATTCCTTTAAATTAGGATGGCAAAGATCATATATAGAAAATTGGCTAAGTTGTGGTCCATTCATGTTTGCTCCCAATTAAGGAGCACAGCTATGAAAAGGAAGGCTTCAAATTAATAACCAATAGATTTTTTTAAAAAGAAAACTGGCCAGGTACTGTGGCTTATGTCTGTAATATCAGCATGTTGGGAGGCCAAGGCAGGATTACTTGAGCCCAGAAATTCCAGACCAGCCTGAGAATTTGGCAAAACTCTGTCTCTACAAAAATTACAAAAATTAGCCAAGTTTGGTGGCATGTGCCTGTAGTACCAGCTACTTGGGAGGCTGAGGTGGAAGAATAGCTTGAGTCTGGGAGGTCAAGGCTGCAATGAGCTGTGATTGCACCACTGCACTCAAGCCTGGGTGGTAGAGTAAGACCCTGTCTCAAAAAAAAAAAAAAAAAAGAAAAATCACTAAGCAAAATAAGACATGTGAAGGATCATGTCAAAGGTAAGAAAAATTAGGGGAACATTAAAAGCTTTCTTCCCAAGCCACTAAATCAACTTGACTAACAAAATTACCACTTGATTTAGCATTAGAAAATTACATTACATATCAAACATAAACCCATTAATCAAATACTAAAGAAATTTCTGAGTTAAATGGTATAATGTTAGCTTATGCCAGAGCTGACCTTGAAAGATTGTTCAAATATGGCTCAGTGTGATTGAAAGTTCTGTGTGAATATGTTTTTGGAAAGATCCAACAGCAACACCTTAGTGTATGTTTTTGAAATAAAATGTATCTGAGTAGCAGCAAAGTTATTCTCAAATTTCCATTTTATAGCTGGAGATGTTATACCGTGACGTATATGATAGGACCCAATATGGATCAATCCCTTTTAGAAGTCAATCAGGAAGAGGGGAGCAGTTAAAACAGTTGCTTGGTTTACAAACATTAGAACAATTTTCTTATTCACACCATCTGATTATTGTATTTTATTTTTTCCCCAACGTTTAGACTACACAATGAGTTAAGAATGATAAAAATAAGCTCACCAATATACTATGTACATATTTACCAAAATCTGTGCATGCTTATACATATAAACACAGCTGATAATTTATTAGTTAGGCTCATTTGTAATTTTTGTCACTATAGACCAGTTTTTTATTTAAATTGAAGATTAGTATACATTTTAAATGATTAGTCAAAATAAAAAATCTAAAATGTGCTCTAAATACCTCTTAGGTCAGAAAAAAAAAGTCAAAAGCTAGAGTATAGAGAAATTAAGAAACGCCCTAAATTTCTAATCTGACAAAAATTCATACAAGATTTAAATATTTTAATGGAAAATAGAACAGAACTAATTATTGAAGAAATTATAGAAAGGAAACAAAATAAACAGATTATATGGAGGATTTTTAGAAGATAAGTAAATAAATTAATATACTAGGAAAAAACAAGGGAAATATACTTGATAAATAAATACAGGTAAGAGTTCTTTTGAAATAATGATAAAATAGAAAATCTCTGTCAAAACTAAAAGGAAAGATGCATAAATATATAAATAAATGATAAAAAATGTTGCATACATATATGACTTTTTCAGAATCAAAAAATTTAAATTTCTGTAATAAAATTTAAATGTTTATAAATTTAAAAAACTAGAAGAAAGAATGTTGACTGTTCACAATACAAATAAATGACAAATATTTGAGGTGATGGATATGCTAATTATCCTTATTTGATCATTGGGCATTGTATACATGTATCAAAATATCACTCTGTATCCCATGAATATGTACAATTATTTGTCTCAAAAACAAACAAAAAAAAGATAATGGGAGAATGTTGAAAACTCAGAGAGAAGAGCAACTCTCACAGATAGGGATCCAGATAACATTAGCAGCTGATTTCTCGGCAGAAACCTTGAAGGCCAGTAGGCAGTGGATTATATATTTAAAATAATGAAGAAACCTGTCAATTGAGAAATATATAGCTGGAAAACTTATCCTTCAAAAATGAAGGAGAAATTAAGACATTTCCGGATTTTTTTTTAAAACTGAAAAAAATCCATTTATCCCTGAATTTGACATTCAGGAAGTGTTAAGTCCTTCAGGTTGAAATAAATGAACTCTAGGCAATAACTATGTAAGTAAATAAGCAAGCTGTATGAATATACAAAGCTCTCTGGTAAAGGTAAATACATAAACAAACATAAAAACAGTCCTATTGTAATTTTGGTTTGTAACTCTGCTTTTTATTTTCTACATAATTTAAAAGGCAAATGCATAAAATGTAATTGTAAATCTGTTAGCTGGTATACAATGAATAAAGATATAATTTGTCACATCAATAACATAAAAAGAGTAGAGCTATATATATAGCAGTAGAATTTTGGTATGTGATTGAACTTAAGTTGAAATAAATTCAAATTAAAATGTTATAACTCTAGGATGTTATATGTAATTCTCATAGTAACCAAAAATGAAATATATATAGAATATAAACAAAAGGAAATGAGACTAGAAACAAAATGTGTCACTACAAAAAAATCAACTAAAGATAAAAAAGAAATAATTGAGAAAATGATTGGCAAAAATCAGTAACTCTGACGTATTAAAACTTTCCATGCTACATAAATCTGAAAACTCTATTTCACATAAAACTGGAGCTGAAAGAAACAAATATTTACCTATAAAGTTAAAAGTTATATAGGGAACAAACACTAATTTTTTTTTAGAAAAAATTATAAAAAGAGTAAAAATATGCCTTATACTACCGTAATTTCATGTTTTACAGCTCTGGGAAAATAGAAAATAAAATGTTCTGTTAGCATGAATCCCTCTGTGCCCCCAAAAAACCCTATGGATTGCATCATTATTACCTAAAAAGTCTATTCTCAAATGCAGCAGAGTGATATTTTTTACAAGGTAGATATTAATTTTAGATATGGAATAATATTGGTGATTTCAATTTTATAACACTGGGTTAAGATGAAAGAATGAGAAGATAAAGGTCCCTCAGCAATATAACTCACAAACATGTTCAGAAGCAGTAAGAAGTTACATTAATTATCTTTTGAAAGTCGATAATCTACATCTTTAATGTATGCATATAGCATAGCTAATGTACTATCGCTGGGTCCATTTATTCAATGAATAATTGCCGCTATGTGTCAGACATTTTTCTAGGCCTAGGAATGGATACATAAGTGAACAAAGCAAAGATTCTGGTTCTTGTAGAGTTTCCATTAAAAGACAATTTAGTAAAACTTTTCTTCCCCCAAATTATAAAATCTGTAAGATGGTTTAACAACATGTGTAAAAGTCATTGTGGGCCAGGCACGGTGGCTCATACCAGGTGTGGTGACTCATAGCACTCTGTCACCCAGGCTGGAGTGCAGTGGCACAATCTCTGCTCACTGCAACCTCTGCCTCCTGGGTACAAGCGATTCTCCTGCCTCAGCTTTCTGAGTAGCAAGGACTACAGGTGCACACCATCACGCCTGGCTAATTTTTGTACTATTAGTACAGACGGAGTTTCACCATGTTGGCCAGGCTGGTCTCGAACTCCTGACCTCAAATGATCCATCTACCTCGGCCTCCCAAAGTGCTGGAATTACAGATGTGAGCCACAATGCCCGGCCTTATTTTCTACAACTTTGGTAACTTTAGCATATACCCCAAATCTGTAAGACATAATATTATAATTCAAATGCAACTCATGGCTTCTCATTGTACTCTTTCTCTAGCTTTTGAATTATTTATTCTAATACCAGTTTTAATTCTGACACAAAAGCATGGGAGTTCTAATCAAAATCCAACCTTTTATCATAAAAACTATGAAGAAATTATGAGTAGAATTTAAAAAGGAAAATAGGCCTATTAATTAGATTTGTCTTTGTAGCATTTAACTCTATAATAAATAATATTTTATGCCTATGAGTCCCCAACAAAGCCTCCAGCTTCTATTTAGATATAAACTGTAAAAGTCACTACTGGATCCACAAGCAAGACTATGGTAAATAAATTTCTCCACCTAACCAGCTTCTTTTACATGATGTTACATGTTTCTTTTGTTTTTTCATTTTGGCAAATATTGATTGTCATCTTCGTGTTTGTCTATGTCCTAAGTGCTGGGATACAGAATCTGAAAAGATGGACACAGGACCTGCCTTCAAGTTCACCCCCTTTTTTTTTTTTTTTTGAGATGCAGTTTTGCTCTTGTCACCCAGGCTGGAGTGTAATGGTGAGATCTCTGCTCACTGCAACCTCCACCTCCAGGGTTCAAGTGATTCTCCTGCCTCAGCCTCCCAAGTAGCTGGGATTACAGGTCCCAGCCACCACGCCTAGCTAATTTTTGTATTTTTAGTAGAGACAGCGTTTCATCATGTTGGTCAGGCTGGTCTCGAACTCCTAACCTCAGGTAGTCGACCCACCTCGGCCTCCCACAGTGCTGAGATTACAGGCATGAGCCACCACGCCCTGCTAGGAGTTCACGCTTTAGTTGGGGAAAATATACAATAAGCAAGCCAGTTTTTAAAATGAGAACTGCAATTAGAGTTAAATGCTACAAAGACAAACTCACAGGAAGATGGGATGTAGAATGATAAGGCTCTCAGAATAGTAAGAGAAACTATTGCTTCTTACGATGTTTGTCTTTCTTTGTATCGGTGCTCAGCTGAGTCTGCAGTGCTTCAGAGGCAGCTTTCATTTTATAAAAATCTATGATTTCTCCTTCCAGTTGTTTTTTCTCTTCCTCGAGCTTCCTTATCTCCTCCTGTTGAATCATTTTAAGATGCTCGAACTTGTCCTGCAGCTGTGAAACCAATGTGCAGTTGTGACACCAAAGCAGTGTGGCTGAACACCTAAAAGAATACGCTTTTTTTCTGATTATCAAACAAACCCAAATCATCACAGTAGAGCACGATCTTAATAACAATCTCAAAAACTCAGGAGTAAACACTCAGATATGGAATTTTTCTTTTCTTTCTTTTTTCCTTTTATAAGATGGAGTCTCACTCTGTTGCCCAGGCTGGAGTGCACTGGTGCGATCTCAGCTCACTGCAACCTCCATCTCCCAGTTCAAGTGATTCTCCTGCCTCAGCCTCTTGAGTAGCTGGGACTATAGGCATGCATCACCACTACAGGCGTGTGCCACCACACCTGGCTAATTTTTGTATTTTTAGTAGAGATGGGGTTTTGCCATGATGGCCAGGCTGGTCTCGAACTCCTGACCTCAGGTGATCCTCCCGCTTTGGCCTCCCAAAGACTTTTTTTTTTTTTTAATATAGAGACAAGTTCTCAGTACGTTGCCCAGGATGGTCTCAAACTCCTGAGCTCAAGTGATCCTCCCACCTCAGCTTCCCAAAGTGCTGGGACTGACTGGATGCAGTGGCTCATGCTTGTAAACTCAGCACTTTGGGAGGCCAAGGTGGGAGGATCGCTTGAGCCCAGGAGTTCAAGACCAGACTGGGTGATATAACACAATAGTCAACTTCAACAGGAGAGAGAATCTGTAAACTTGAATATAGATCTTCCGAAATTATCCAGTCAGAGGACAGAGAAAAAAAGAATAAAAGAGAGAAAAGAAGGCTGGGTGTGGTGGCTCAAGCCTGTAATCCCAACACTTTGGGAGGCCGAGGCAGGCAGATTAAGAGGTCAGGAGTTCAAGACCAGCCTGTCCAACATGACAAAGCCCCATCTCTACTAAAAATACAAAAATTAGCCGGGTGTGGTGGCACACACCTGTAGTCCCAGCTACTTGGGAGGCTGAGGCAGGAGAATCACTTGAACCCAGGAGGCGGAGGTTGGAGTGCAATGTGAGCCGAGACCACACATTACACTCCAGCCTGGGTGACAGAGCATGACTCTGTCTCAAAAAGAAAAAAAAAAGAGACAGAGAAAAGAAAGCCAACAAGACACCATTAAGCAAACCATTGTCAGGTTATGGGAGTTTGAGAAGGAAAGTAGAGAAAGGAGAATAAAGCTTATTTAAAGAATGGCTGACAACTGCCTAAATCATGGGAAAGATTTAGACATCTAAATCCATGAAGCTTAAAGATTCCTAAAGAGGTTCAAACCAAATAGATACTCACCAAGTCACAATATAATCAAATAGTCAAAAGTTAAAGAAACTTTGCAGGTCAGGACAGAATCGAATAATACATTCAAAGTGCTGAAAGAAAAAAACTGCCAGCAACTAATACTATGTCTGACAAAGCTGTCCTTCAGAAAGGAAAAAGAAATAATGTGTTTCCTCGACAAACAAAGCTGAGGGCATTCAGGACCACTAGGTCTACCTTAAAAAAATGCTTAACGGAGTTTTTCAAGTAAAAATGAATGAAGTTGGGAGCGGTGGCTCATGCCTGTAATCCCATTTTGGGAGGCTGAGGTGGGTGGATCACCTGAGGTCGGGAGGTCAAGACCAGCCTGGCCAACATGGCAAAACCCCACCTCCAGTAAAAATACAAAAAATTAGCCAGGTATGAAGGCCACTGAGATCGTGCCACTGCACTCCAGCCTGGGTGACAAGAGTCAAACTACATTTCAAAAACAAAAAACAAAACAAACAAAAAAAACAAAACTTGAGGCCTGGCCTTCTGCTCCTCTCCAACCTCCCCTTCTCTGGGCCCAAGCCACCTTGGCTGAGGAGGGGGCGAGGAGGTGTGAGCCCCTGCCAGGAACCCCCTGCCCGGACCAAGTGCTCGGCCCCCAGGCCTGCGTTCAGTGAGGCCTCCCGTGGCGTCAGCATGTTCGTGTGGAGGAATGTGGAAGGTCACTCTGCGGCCGTGTTCTCCTGGTACTCCATCCCCTTCCTGACCCCTCCCTGCAGCCACACGAGGCCCAGCAACCTGCCAGTCACTCAGTGGCCTCCAACCAGAGAAAACAACCTGCCAAGTTGGCAGCCGTTGCTCATGAGCGTCCACCAGGTGGGACAGGGAGTGTTGACCCTGGGCAGCCCCCTGGAGCCACCTGCCCTGAAAGCCCAGGGCCCGCAACCCCACACACTTTGGGGGTGGTGGAACCTGGTAAAAGCTCACCTCCCACCATGGAGGAGGAGCCCTGGGCCCCTCAGGGGAGTCCCTGCTGGACAGTGAGACAGAGAATGACCATGATGATGCTTTCCTCTCCATCATGTCTCCTGACACCCAGTTGCCTCTACCACTCAGATGATGTCAGGCCCAGTCCCTCAGTGCCCTGCGCAAGGAACAGGACTCATCTTCTGAGAAGGATGGACGCAGCCCCAACAAATCAGACAAGGACCACATCCGGTGGCCCATGAGTGGCGCTCATGATCTTCAGCAGGCGGCACCAGGCCCTGGCGGGGCGCACCAGGGTCATCCCAACCAGGATAACCGGACCGTCAGCCAGATGCTGAGCGAGCGGTGGTACACCCTGGGGCCCAATGAGATGCAGAAATACAACCTGGCCTTCCAGGTGAAGGTGGCCCACTTGCAACAAGGACCGAAAGAAGTCCAGCTCAGAGGCCAAGCCCACAAGCCAGGGGCTAGCAGGAGTGTAACAAGGGCTCGTGGGAGCGGAGCATATCAGAGACGGGCACTGCCACTGCCCCTGGGGTGTCCTCTGAACTCCTGTCAGTTGCAGCCCAAACACTCCAGAGCTCGGATACCAAGGAGCAGCTTCTGTGGGGCAGAACGGCTGCACACAGTCAGGGAACCTGGCTCAGCCTGGCCCAAGCCTTCTCCCACAGCGGGGTACACAGCCTGGACGGCAGGGAAATAGACCGTCAGGCACTACGGGAACTGACACAGGTGGTGTCTGGCACTGCATCATACTCTGGCCCAAAGCCTTCTACTCAGCATGGAGCTCCAGGCCACTTTGCAGCCCCTGGTGAGGGAGGTGACCCGTGGGCAGCCCTGCTGCCGCCCACGTGAGCTGCTCATTCCCAGCACATGGCCAGCGAGGTCATAGCGAGTGACGAAGAGCACACGGTCATCCATGAGGAGGAGGGGGTGATGATGTCATTGCTGATGATGGCTTTAGCACCACCGACACCGATCTCAAGTTCAAGGAGTGGGTGACCGACTGAGAGTGGGGACAACTCTGGGGAGGAGCCAGAGGGCAACAAGGGCTTTGGTGGGAAGGTATTTGCACCTGTCATTCCTTCCTCCTTTACTCCTGCCGCCCCTTGCTGGATCCTGAGCCCCCAGGGTCCCCCGATCCACCTGCAGCTTTTGGCAGTCTATGGTCACACCCTGTCCTCCTCCTACACATACTCGGATGCTTCCTCCTCAACCTTGGCACCCACCTCCTTCTTACTGGGCCCAGGAGCCTTCAAAGCCCAGGAGTCTGGTCAACGCAGCAGAGCGGGCCCCCTACGGCCCCAACCCCTGGGGATGGGGGCCCAGGGACGCCTTCCAAGGTGGCCTGTTTCCTCCCAATGGATCCTGCCACCTTCTGGTGCAAGAGACCTGAAAGTGTGGGCGACCTGGAGCTACCAGGCTCCTCAGTCATCAGGGTCCCTCCCAATACTAAGGCTTTCCTAGGCAGGAGCTGGGCTGAGCCACCCGGGGGGCAGAGCCTGAAGAGAAACTGACTGGGCTTTCGGGGTCGGGGCAGAGGGAACCCCACGGACATGGATCCCACACTGGAGGACCCCACCGCGCCCAAATGCAAGATGAGAAGATGCTCCAGCTGCAGTCCAAAGCCCAACACCCCCAAGTGTGCCACGTGTGATGGGGACAGCTTCCCCTTTGCCTGTACAGGTGGAGAAGCCGAGGACAGGCTCAGGGAACCGGAGACCGAGAAGGCGCTGTCCTCTTCACTGCACGTACCCTGGACCAGTGCCGGCCCTGATCATGCAGCTCTTCCAGGCCCACTGCTTCTTCCTGTCCACTAGGCCACAGCCGCCCTCCAGGCCCACTATGCACACATCTTCCCCTCCAAGGTTTGTTCTGCCCCTGCCCTGACTCCCAGCCCTGTGGGGGTCCTGACCGCACCTCACCTGGCTCAGACTCTTGACGCTGCCCTGGCTGCCCCACCACTGCTTCTGCCCGAGAGTCACGTGAGGCTGAGAGTAGGGGCAGGGGCAGCAGTGGTGCCAGTTGGGGGGCGGTCCAGTGGGAGGAGCCTCAGCCTCGCAGGCTGCTCCGTGGGACTGATGACTGCATGATCTTCTGGGCACCTCACGGATCTTCAACTGCAGGTGAAACGGATGCTGGTGGTGGGTGCAGGGCCGCTGGGAGCTGCTGCATGGTTCCCAGAGGCTGGACTGAGGCAGGTGCCAACTGAAGCTGCTGGGGCAGCATGGGCAGGATGTTCTGCACACAAACCTTGGAGAAGAAGATGTGTGCATAGCAGGTCCACTGCTGCTGCCCCTGCCCTGACTCCCAGCCCTGCCTGACCCCACCTCAACCTGCTCAGGCTCTGGCACAACCCTGGCTGCCCTGCCACTGCCTCTGCCCCAGAGTTGGGGCCTTGACAGCCTGGTTGGAAGGGGACACCCCAGCCCTGCCTCAACACCTGGGGGTCTCCATAACTAGCACAGGCAGGTGGGCAACCCCAAAGATCCCAGGACTCACAGTACCCCCTGAGAACATGGACAGTATGTGGGGGTAGCAATGGAGGGCAGGATGGTTATCTTCTCCCAGGTGAAGCCATTTAATCCTTTCAGTTTGGGACGGAGTAAGGCCTTCCTCTTTTTTTTTTTTTTTTTTTTTTTTTTTTTGAGACCGAGTCTTGCTCTGTCGCCCAGGCTGGAGTGCAGTGGTGCGATCTTGGCTCACTGCAACCTCTTCCCGCCGGGTTCACGCCATTCTCCTGCCTCAGCCTTCCGGGTAGCTAGGATTACAGGTAGACGCTACCACGTCCGGCTAATTTTTGTATTTTTAGTACAGACGGGGCTTCATCATCTTGGCCAGGCTGATTTCGATCTCCTGACATTGTGATCTGCCTGCCTCCCCCTCCCAAAGTGCTGGGATTACAGGCGTGAGCCACCACGCCTGGCCAAGGCCTGCTCCTCTTATCTATACCCCCTACCCCTGCAGCTGTGCCGGGGGAAAGCTGGGCAGTTTCCCTCCTCCGAGCCCCTGTACATACCATGAATTGTGGGACCTTCAGAGCTTTTCACTTTTCGGAAAATAGCTCCTGCTGGGGCTACAAGATGGAGTGTGAAGAGGGCCTTGGGCCACAGGGAGGCGCCTGTGGACTAGGGGGAGTTCATGCACCCCTTCTTTCCCCAGAGGGGCTGGACTCAGGTGAGTATGGGGGTGGGGGCTCCTGCACTTCGACACAGGCAGTGGGAGGGTTTTCTCCCCATTCCCTCTGCACTCCCAACTTGAGCTATACTTTTTAAGAAAGTGATTCACCCTGCCTTTGCCCCCTTCCCCAGAACAGAACACGTTGATCGTGGGCGACATTTTTCATTGTGCCAAAAAGTTGCCATGACCGTCATTAAACCTGTTTAACACCAAATAATAAGGAAAATAAAATAAAAAACTCGGGCTTGACGCAGAAACTCACTCCAAATAAATTACCTACCAAAACATTTACATAATGGTGGAAATATTCCAAAATTCAATATTTTGGGATTTATACACAAAAGATAAACAAATTAGAGGCCAAGAGGCTGCCGGAAGGGAAAAACGGGGCCTGGAATGGCCGACGTGAGGAATGAGCTGGGCCTAAAGAGGCCACTGGCAGGCAGGAGCTGGACCTGCCGAAGTGGCCGAAAGGCAGGAGCTTTGGACTGGGGAGGCCGCAGTGAGGCGAGAGCTAGCTGGGCGTGGAGAGTCCGCTGTGAGGCCGAGGCCGAGGCCGGGCCCGTGCAGGCCTTCGAGAGGCAGGAGGCCGGGCCTGCAAAGGCCGACTGGAGATCAAGTTCTGCGCCTGAAGAGGCTGCCAAAAGTCAAAAGCAGGGCCTGCGAAGGCCGCCGAGAGCCATGAGCTGGGCTGGGCTGAAAGAGGCCACTGGGAGGCAGGAGGAGCTGGGCCTGGAGAGGCTGACTCGAGGAAGTTTTGCACCTGGAGAGGCCGTCGAGAGGACGGAGCTGGGCCCAGGGAGGCCGACTTGCTGCTCTTCCAGGCCCACTTCCAGGCCGACTTGAGGACGACTTGGGCCTGCAGAGGCCGCCGGGAGGCTGGAGCTAAGCCTGGAGAGACTGACTTCGGGACGATTTGGGCCTGCGGAGGCCGCCGGGAGGCCCAAGCTGGGCCTAGAGGAGCCCACCGACCGGAGGCCATTTGGGGCCTGCAGATGTCATCGGAGGGCCAGGAGCTGAGCCTGGAGAGGCCACCGCGAGGCCTGAGCTGGGCCTGGGGAGCTTGGCTTAGGGAAGTTGTGGGCCTACCAGGGCCGCTGGGAGCTGGGCAGGAGCTGAGTCCAAAGACGTTGTTGGGACCTGGAGTCGGGCCAGAGTCCGGCCTGGAGATGCAGCCGGGAGGAAGAGCTGGGCCCGGAGGGGGCGCCGGGAGGCTGCAAGTGGGTCTGAGAGGCCAACTTGAGGAGGCCTGGCCTCTGCCTCCCGCATTGCCCAGCTGTTCCTCCTGGCTGCATCTCCCACCTCCCAGCAAACAAGCTCTTTTGGCTCAGCTCCCGCCTGCGTTTGTAGACCCCGAAGTTTCTGCAACCAAGCTCTTCAGACCCACATCCCTTCTCCCAGTGACTGAACAGTCCCAGCTCCGGCTGGAGAAGGGCGTCTGCAGACCCCGCTGTTGCCTCCCAGGGGAGTCTCCAGGCCCAGCTCTCGCCCCACCGCGACCTCCCAGGCCCAAGTCCCTGCCTACCTCCCAGCAGCCCGAGTGCGATCCTGTTCCTCCCTCACGGTGGCCTGTTGAGGCAGGGGGTCACGCTGACCTCTGTCCGCGTGGGAGGGGCCGGTGTGAGGCAAGGGCTCACACTGACCTCTCTCAGCGTGGGAGGGGCCGGTGTGAGGCAAGGGGCTCACGCTGACCTCTGTCCGCGTGGGAGGGGCCGGTGTGAGGCAAGGGCTCACACTGACCTCTCTCAGCGTGGGAGGGGCCGGGGTGAGGCAAGGGGCTCACGCTGACCTCTGTCCGCGTGGGAGGGGCCGGTGTGAGGCAAGGGCTCACACTGACCTCTCTCAGCGTGGGAGGGGCCGGGGTGAGGCAAGGGGCTCACGCTGACCTCTGTCCGCGTGGGAGGGGCCGGTGTGAGGCAAGGGCTCACACTGACCTCTCTCAGCGTGGGAGGGGCCGGTGTGAGGCAAGGGGCTCACGCTGACCTCTGTCCGCGTGGGAGGGGCCGGTGTGAGGCAAGGGCTCACACTGACCTCTCTCAGCGTGGGAGGGGCCGGGGTGAGGCAAGGGGCTCACGCTGACCTCTGTCCGCGTGGGAGGGGCCGGTGTGAGGCAAGGGCTCACACTGACCTCTCTCAGCGTGGGAGGGGCCGGGGTGAGGCAAGGGGCTCACGCTGACCTCTGTCCGCGTGGGAGGGGCCGGTGTGAGGCAAGGGCTCACACTGACCTCTCTCAGCGTGGGAGGGGCCGGTGTGAGGCAAGGGGCTCACGCTGACCTCTGTCCGCGTGGGAGGGGCCGGTGTGAGGCAAGGGCTCACACTGACCTCTCTCAGCGTGGGAGGGGCCGGTGTGAGGCAAGGGGCTCACGCTGACCTCTGTCCGCGTGGGAGGGGCCGGTGTGAGACAAGGGGCTCACACCTCTCTCAGCGTGGGAGGGGCCGGTGTGAGGCAAGGGGCTCGGGCTGACCTCTCTCAGCGTGGGAGGGGCCGGTGTGAGACAAGGGGCTCACGCTGACCTCTCTCAGCGTGGGAGGGGCCGGTGTGAGGCAAGGGCTCACACTGACCTCTCTCAGCGTGGGAGGGGCCGGGGTGAGGCAAGGGGCTCACGCTGACCTCTGTCCGCGTGGGAGGGGCCGGTGTGAGGCAAGGGCTCACACTGACCTCTCTCAGCGTGGGAGGGGCCGGGGTGAGGCAAGGGGCTCACGCTGACCTCTGTCCGCGTGGGAGGGGCCGGTGTGAGGCAAGGGCTCACACTGACCTCTCTCAGCGTGGGAGGGGCCGGTGTGAGGCAAGGGGCTCACGCTGACCTCTGTCCGCGTGGGAGGGGCCGGTGTGAGGCAAGGGCTCACACTGACCTCTCTCAGCGTGGGAGGGGCCGGGGTGAGGCAAGGGGCTCACGCTGACCTCTCTCAGCATGGGAGGGGCCGGTGTGAGACAAGGGGCTCACACTGACCTCTCTCAGCATGGGAGGGGCCGGTGTGAGACAAGGGGCTCGGGCTGACCTCTGTCCGCGTGGGAGGGGCCGGTGTGAGGCAAGGGGCTCACGCTGACCTCTGTCCGCGTGGGAGGGGCCGGTGTGAGGCAAGGGCTCACACTGACCTCTCTCAGCGTGGGAGGGGCCGGTGTGAGACAAGGGGCTCACGCTGACCTCTGTCCACGTGGGAGGGGCCGGGGTGAGGCAAGGGCTCACACTGACCTCTCTCAGCGTGGGAGGGGCCGGTGTGAGGCAAGGGGCTCACGCTGACCTCTGTCCGCGTGGGAGGGGCCGGTGTGAGGCAAGGGCTCACACTGACCTCTCTCAGCGTGGGAGGGGCTGGTGTGAGACAAGGGGCTCACGCTGACCTCTGTCCACGTGGGAGGGGCCGGGGTGAGGCAAGGGCTCACACTGACCTCTCTCAGCGTGGGAGGGGCCGGTGTGAGGCAAGGGGCTCACGCTGACCTCTGTCCGCGTGGGAGGGGCCGGTGTGAGGCAAGGGCTCACACTGACCTCTCTCAGCGTGGGAGGGGCCGGTGTGAGGCAAGGGGCTCACGCTGACCTCTGTCCACGTGGGAGGGGCCGGTGTGAGACAAGGGGCTCACTCTGACCTCTCTCAGCGTGGGAGGGGCCGGTGTGAGGCAAGGGGCTCACACTGACCTCTCTCAGCGTGGGAGGAGCCAGTGTGAGGCAGGGGCTCACGCCTCTGGGCAGGGTGCCAGAGGCATGAGTTGGGCATCAACAGGCCACCGTGAGGGAGGAGCTGGGCCGCACGCGGGCTGCTGGGAGGCAGGCAGGGACTTGGCCCCGGGAGGCCGCCGTGGGGGCAAGAGCTGGGCCTGGAGAGGCCCCTGGGAGGCAAGGGCGGGGCCTGCAGAGGCTGTTCTCCAACCAGTGCTAGAACTGTACAGGCCACCAGGAGGCAGGAGGTGGGCCCTCAGAGCTTGGCTGGAGAAAGTTCGGGGCCTACAAAGGCGGTTGGGAGCTGGGCAGGAGTTGAGCCAAAAGAGCTTGCTTACTTGCTGGGAGGCAGGGCCGGGAGAGCCCGACTTCAGGACAACTTGGGCCTGCGGCAGTCGCCGGGAGGCCCAACCTTGGCGTGGAGGAGCCCACCGACCGGAGACCATTTGGGGCCTGGAGATGCCATCGGAGGGCAGGAGCTCATCCTGGAGAGGCCACCGTGAGGCCTGACCTGGGCCTGGGGAGCTTGGCTTGAGGAAGCTGTGGGCCGACCAAGGCCGCCAGGAGATGGGTAGGCACTGAGTCCAAAGAGGTTGTTGAGAGGCAGGAATCGGGCCTGGAGACCCAACCAGGAAGAAGAGCTGGGCCCGGAGAGAACGCCCGGAGGGTGCAAGTGGGTCTGGAGAGGCTGACTTGAGGAGGTTCTGGGCCCGGAGAGGCCGCCGGAAGGGAAAAACTGGGCCTGGAAAGGCCGTTGTCAGGAATGAGCCCCATGGGCCTGAAGAGGCCACTGGCAGGCGGGAGCTGGGTGTGTAGAAGCTGCTGAAAGGTTGGGAGCTTGGCTTGGGGGGTCCACAGTGAGGTAGATGCTGGGCGTGAAGAATCTGCTGTGAGGCAGACGTTGGGACTGTAGAGGCTGACGGGAGGCAGAGGCTGGGCCTGGAGGGGCCACCAAGATGCAGGAGCTGGGCCTGGAGAGGCTGCAAAGAAGCATGAGCTGGGCCTGGTGAGGTCGACTTGAGAAAGTTCAGGGCCTGGAGAGAAGGCTGGGAGGCAGGAGCTGGGTCTAAAGAGGCCATTGTAACGATGGAGCTGTGCCTGTGGAGGCTGTTGTGAGGCAGTAGCCTCATCTGCGGAGGCTGCCGTGACGTAGGGTATGGGCCTAAATAGGCCATTGTGAGTCATGAGCTTGGTCTGTAGAGGCTGACTGGAGAAAGTTCTGGGCCTGGAGAGGCTGCCGGGAGGTAGGAGCTGGGCCAAAAGATGTAAGCACATTTGCATTTATTAGGCACTTTATTTCCATTATTACACTGTAATATATAATAAAATAATTATAGAACTCACCATAATGTAGAATTAGTGGGCGTGTCAAGCTTGTTTTCCTGCAACTGGATGGTCCCACCTGAGCGTGATGGGAGAAAGTGACAGATCAATAGGTATTAGACTCTCATAAGGACAGCGCAACCTCGATCCCTCACATGCACGGTTCACAACAGGGTGCGTTCTCCTATGAGCATCTAATGCTGCTGCTCATCTGAGAAGGTGGAGCTCAGGCGGGAATGTGAGCAAAGGGGAGTGGCTGTAAATACAGACAAAGCTTCCCTCACTCCCTCACTCGACACCGCTCACCTCCTGCTGTGTGGCTCCTTGCGGCTCCATGGCTCAGGGGTTGGGGACCCCTGCTCAAGTGCATCCAAAGCGACCCTTCCCACACCAGTCTTCACAGTGGTCAAGGGCAGCAACCACTTAGCTCCCAAGGCATGTGCCTCAGCTGGCATTTCGTCACAATCAACAGTAAGTGGTAGCTTGAGTCACTGTGAGGTCACCTACTGGAAATCACCAGCATCCCATTTCCCACTGGCAAAGAGCTCAGCACTGCCCCCTGGGAAACCAAACCTATGCCCAAATCCCATCTGTGTGGGTTTACCTCCTGGGACCCTTCCTAACATATTAGTCAGAGTCCAATCAGGAAGCATAAACCACTCAAAAGTTTAAAGTGGTAAAATTTAATACAGAGAATTATTCATTATAACAGGTGAACAGCATAATGAGAGATTGGCTAGCACAGAGTAAAGATAACTCTAGAGAATATGGGACTAGCCCAGGCCAGGCATGGTGGCTCATGCCTGAAATTCCAGCCATTACAGAAGCTAATGCAGGAGGATTGCTTAAGGCCAGGAGCTAGAGACCGCTCTGGACGACACAGTGAGACCCTGTCTCTATCCAAAAGAAGAAAAAAGTTAGCTGGGGGTGGTGGTGCACACTTGTAGTCCCAGCTACTCGGAATGCTGAAGTTTGAGCCTGGGAGGTCAAGGCTGCAGTGAGGCATGATTATGCCACTACAGTCCAGCCGGATGACAGAGCAAGACCCTGTCTCAAAGAACAAAACCACAACAACCATTTACAGACAGAAAAGAAATAGAGCTAATAAGCTGAGGAAAGATGTTGAAATGTGACAAGTAAAGTAATATGAGGTCTTTTGTCTATTTAAAATAATCAAACAAAAAATGGCTTACTAAATTATAATACCCTGTGCTGGCAAAGGTGCAGTGAAATGGGCACTTTCTTATACTATGAGGGGTGGTTAAATTGTGTATAAGCCTTCCAGGGTAAAGCCTGTCAATTTTTTAAAATAATGGAGACAGGGTCTCACCATACTGCCATACTGCCTCCTCCAACTCTTGGCCTCAAGCAATCCTCCTCTCTTAGCCTCCCAAAGTGCTAAGATTATAGCTGGGAGGCACCCAAAACCCTGTCAATTTACATCAAGGGTAAGGAGAATGTCCATTCACCATGACTCACAGTAATCTTACTTCTGGGGAGACAATTCAATCTAAGCAAAAGGTCATCTGTACACACACAGTAAAAATCTGGGAGTAACTGAAGACAGAGTTGGTAAGTGAAATAAGAAACAGTTATAAGAAATTAAACTATGGTATCAATAGGCACCTGGTAAAAGGTCAGTTGATGTTAGCTGCTACTTTTTTGTTGTTTTGAGACAGGGTCTCACTCTGTCACCCAGGCTGGAGTGCAGAGGCCTGATCATGACTCACTGCGGTCTCAGCCTCCCTGGGCTCAAGTGATCCTCCCACCTCAGCCTCCCAAGTAGCTGGGACTACAGGAACATGCCACCACACTAGGCTAATTCATGTATTTTTCTGTAGGGATGGTGACTCCCCCTTTGTTTCCAAGGCCTATCGCAAACTCTTGGCCTCAAGCCATCCTCCTGCCTCAGCCTCCCAAAGTGTTGCGATTACCAGTGTGAGCCACCACACCTGGCCAGCTGCTACTTTTATCAATATTATTCTTATTCCACTCAATTAAAAATTATTATTTTCAAGGCTATGCAACAGTATGTATCCTACAGCGTAATTGTAAAAACATACACAGTCGTCATCCCTCAGTATACAGAATTAGTTCCAGCCCCCCATCTCTGCATATACCAAAATCCATGCTTACTCACGTTTCGCTGTCACCCCTCTAGAATCCACGTATACGAAAATTCCAAATGTTAGTTGGGCATAGTGGCAAGCACCTGTAGTCTCAGCCACGTGGGAGGTTGAGGTGGGAGGATCGCTTCAGCCTGGAAGGTTGAGGCTGCAGTCAGCTGCGATAGCACTACTACACTCCAGCCTTGGACAACAGAGGGAGACCCTGTCTCAGAAAAAAATAAATAAATAAATAAAGCAGGTTAGAAACTGTGATGAGGTCTGCTGGGCAAAATTCCATATAAGCAAAGTATAAATTAATAAAGCAAATCGTGATAAATTAGTACGATTGACTTTCTGGAGTTTCTGACAATAAAAGTAAGGAAAATGCAGAACACAAAGACAGAGAGTAAAAAGAGAAATTAGGAAAGCATTCTACATGTTGAATAGGAAGACACTGGCCATGTTCGTGCAGCGGCAGTATGTCGTGACATGACATACCTTGGAGAGAAGTTAACAGATGAGGAAGTTGATAAAAATCATCAGAGAAGCAAAATACTGGTAGCGACACTCAAGTAAACCATGAAATTTCCATAACTTATGTCAGCAAAGTGGGAATATTGTACAGTGTGTGTTGAAGTTCCTATACAACATTGTTTATCTGCCTTTTGTTTGTTTGTAAGGAATGTATATACTAAAAGTTCTTCTTGCTGTCAAAAGAATATGCGTGAATAAGTCATTTTAACTTATTCTTCTGTTTTTCTTTTATCTTCCTGCCATCATCCCACAGCCTTACTTTAGAAATTTCTTTTTTAGAAAATTGAACAAGTGCTCCTTGTGGTGGCACATACCTCGAGGATGGGAGGCAGGGGTGGAAGGGTCACTTGAGGCCATTAGTTTGACACCAGCCTGGCCAAAAAAGTGAGACCCTGTGTCTACAAAACAATTTAAAAATTAGCCAAGTATCGTCATGTATACCTACAGTCCCAGCTACCTGAACTTACTGAGAAAGTTCAGGGCCTGGAGAGAAGGCTGGGAGGCAGGAGCTGGGTCTAAAGAGGCCATTGTAACGATGGAGCTGTGCCTGTGGAGGCTGTTGTGAGGCAGTAGCCTCATCTGCGGAGGCTGCCGTGACGTAGGGTATGGGCCTAAATAGGCCATTGAGAGTCATGAGCTTGGTCTGTAGAGGCTGACTGGAGAAAGTTCTGGGCCTGGAGAGGCTGCCGGGAGGTAGGAGCTGGGCCAAAAGATGTAAGCACATTTGCATTTATTAGGCACTTTATTTCCATTATTACACTGTAATATATAATAAAATAATTATAGAACTCACCATAATGTAGAATCAGTGGGCGTGTTAAGCTTGTTTTCCTGCAACTGGATGTTCCCACCTGAGCGTGATGGGAGAAAGTGACAGATCAATAGGTATTAGACTCTCATAAGGACAGCGCAACCCAGATCCCTCACATGCACAGTTCACAACAGGGTGCGTTCTCCTATGAGCATCTAATGCTGCTGCTCATCTGAGAAGGTGGAGCTCAGGCGGGAATGTGAGCAAAGGGGAGTGGCTGTAAATACAGACGAAGCTTCCCTCACTCCCTCACTCGACACCGCTCACCTCCTGCTGTGTGGCTCCTTGCGGCTCCATGGCTCAGGGGTTGGGGACCCCTGCTCAAGTGCATCCAAAACGACCCTTCCCACACCAGTCTTCACAGTGGTCAAGGGCAGCAACCACTTAGCTCCCAAGGCATGTGCCTCAGCTGGCATTTCGTCACAATCAACAGTAAGTGGTAGCTTGAGTCACTGTGAGGTCACCTACTGGAAATCACCAGCATCCCATTTCCCACTGGCAAAGAGCTCAGCACTGCCCCCTGGGAAACCAAACCTATGCCCAAATCCCATCTGTGTGGGTTTACCTCCTGGGACCCTTCCTAACATATAACCTTCATAACATACTTGAGAGGCTGAGGTGAGACAATCGATTTAGCCCAGGAGTTTGAGATCAGCCTGGACGACATAACTAAATCTCATCTCTACAAGGACGAGGTGGGAGGATCACTTGAGCCCAGGAATTTGTGGCCAGCCTGGGCAACAAAAGAAGACCCCATCTGGCCAACATGGCCAACCTGGCCACCACGGTGAAACTCTGACTCTACAAAAATGATCTGGGCATGGGTGGCATGCGTGTGTAGTCCTAGCTACTTGGGAGGTTGAGATGGGAGGATTGCTTGATCTCAGAAGGCCAAAGCTATAGTGAGCTATGATCACATCACTGCACTCCAGCCTGGATGGCACAGGGAGATTCTGTCTCAAAAAAAAGAAAAGAAATATATATTTAATCTCTGTCCCTGGTTCCTGGCACAGAGCTTCTAAAGCTCTTACAAAGACCTCAGTGATAGATGTGACAGGAGCATCTTTTGTTTTAATATTTGGTCTTGGTCCCAGGTTTCTAACACAAGAGCCTCTAAGAACTTTGGGATCTCCAGCATGGTAAGAATGCATTTGGGGATGTTGTTGAGATGACTGGGTGACTGCAAGCTCCTAAATTTCTTCAAGAGGAGGGCTGATTACCATGAAACCACATGGTAAGAGGCTTGGAACTTTCAGCCTCATGCACTGAACTCCAGGGGGAAGAGGGGCTGGAGACTGACTTAATCACCAACAGCCAAAGGTTTTATCAATCATGCTTGCATAATAAAGCCTCCATAAACACCCTGAAAGGGGTGTGCAGAGCTTTCAGGGTTGCTGGACACAGGAGATGCTGGGAGGGTCGCATGTTCAACAGAGGGCATGGGAGCTCTGTGCCCCTCCGAACTTAACTTTCCCTGGGTATCTTTCTTTTTTTTGAGACAGGATCAGGCTCTTTTGTCCAAGCTGGAGTGCAGTGGCACAATCTCAGCTTACTGTAACCTAAGCCTCCCCAGTCCCCAGCTCAAGGTATCCTCTCATCTCAGCTTCCCTAGTAGTTGGAACTCTAGGTGCACAACACCACACCAGTTATTATTATTATTTTTTAATTTTTTATAGAGACAGGTTTTCACCATGTTGCCCAGGCTGGTCTCAAACTCCTGAGTTTAAGCGATCCTCCCACCTTGGCCTCCCAAAGTGCTGAGATTACAGGCATGAGCCACTGCATCCAGCATGCACGTCTCTTTCATTGACTGTTTCTGAGATGTATCCTTCACAATGAACCAGTAATAGGAAATGAACTGGCCAGATGTGGTGGCTCACATCTGTAATCCCAGCACTTTCAGAGGCTGAGGTGGGAGGATCACTTGAGACCAGGAATTTGTGGCCAGCCTGGCCAACACAACAAGACCCCATCTATACAAAAAATAAAAGAAACTAGCCAGATGTGGTGGTGCAGGCATGTAGTCTCAGCTACTAGGGAGGCTGAGGTGGGAGAACCACTGGAACCCAGACAATCAAGGCTGCAATGAGCTATGACTGCACCATTGCACACCAGCCTGGGCAACAAAATAAGACCCTCTCTCTCAGAAAAAAAGAAAATAAACTGTTTTTCTGAGTTCCGTAAACTGTTCTAGCAAATTATTAAACCCAAGAAGACAGTTACGGGAACCCCCGATTGGTAACAGGTTGGTCAAAAGTATGGTGACAACTTAGGACTTGCCATTGTCATCTGAAGTGAGGATGGCCTCGTGGGACTGAGCCCCTAACTTGTGGGGTCTGTGCTAACTCCAGGTAGTGTCAGAATAAAGTCATGGGATACCCAGTTAATATCCAGAGCACTGAAGAATCTGGTGTAGAAACTCCATACATACATTCAGTCGGAAGTGTGTGAGTAGAGACAAACATGGGCTTTTCTGTCACCTACCTGCTTAACTGCATAGGAGAGGCAATATGTGGTGCTCATGAACAAAGCAAACATTAAAGTCAGACCAGACCCAACATTTGACTCAGTCTTAATATCCAGGTGAGCCTGCGCAAATCATTCATTATTCCTAAGGTTTTCATCACTCCATTCATAAAATGGGGATAACTGTGGCACCTACATGTGATTCTGTGAGAATTAACAAAATATTATGCTTGGGGTTATTGTGATCATTATACCTGTTCCAAACTATTTGACAAGGACAGTGATGGATGAAGACATCAAAAAATCAGAAACTGCAATGAGGTCTCTCAGGCAAAATTCCATACAAGCAAATTACTGTGTCTACAAAGCATTCCTGCCACACTTAATTCACCATTCCCTGAACAAAATATGCCATCTTCATTGTTCAGGTCTGTACAGTGCTGGTGTCCCTTCCCGGGCAGTTTGCGCTATCCCATCCCGGCCCATTCCCCATCCCTCCACCTCCCCCTTCCCTCCCCACTCTCATACAACTCTTCCTCATCTTTCAGGACTTGGCTTCAATGTCACCTTAACTGGAAGCTTCTCTCACTCTCCAGAAGAGCTTCCCATTGCACCTGATGCATGGGAAACATAATTTGATCATTTTTAAGTTACAGTCCAAATCTTTTTGTACCTGAATAACATGTTGCCCAGTCAGTCTCTCTTCCTGGATTCACAAGTCTTTCATGGTAGATCCAGCTGGAAGTGACAAAAAGACATCTTTTGACATAAAGGGATGACACAGACAGACATAAGTTCTTAAATGTCTTAAATGTTATGTGAAAATTAAACAGAATTCAAAGACTTGTGGGGAGCACTTAGGAAGTTACTGGGAATGTCATAAAGGGTTAATTTGTATTTTATTTTATTTTTTGAGACAGTCTCATTCTGTCACCTAGGCTGGAGTGCAGTGGTGCAATCAGGCTCACTGCAGCCTTGACCACCTGGGCTCAAGTAATCTCACTTAATTTTTATTTGGTTTAAGAAACTCTTGGTTGAGGGTGGTGGCTTATGCCTGTAATCTCAGCACTTTGGGAGGCTGAGAGAGGTATATTACTTGAGGCCAGGAGTTTGAGATCAGACTGGGCAATATATTAAGACCCTGCCTCTACCAAAAAACAGAGTGAACGTGTGGAAGACAATTTTTCCACAGACTGGGAATGAGGGAATAATTTCAGGATGATTCAAGTGCATTACATATATTGTGCACTTTATTTCTATTATTACTACATAGTAATATATAATGAAATGATTCTACAACTCACTATAATGTAGACTCAGTGGGATCTCTGAGCTTGTTTTCCTGCAACTAGACTGTCCACCTGGGGTGATGGGAGACAGTAACAGAATATCAGGCATTAGATTCTCATAAGGAGTACACAACCTAGATCCCTCGCATGCACACTTCACAACAGAGTTTGTGCTCCTATGACAATCTAATGCTGCTGCTGATCTGACAGGACATGGAGCTCAGGTGGTCATGCAAGCGATGGGAGGGGCTAGAAATACAGATGAAGTTTCCCTTCACTCGCCTGCTGCTCACCTCCAGCTCTGTGGCCCTGTGGTTGGAGACCGCTGCTCAAGTGCATTTGAAAGGAACCATCCCACGCCGTTCTTCAGAGTCATCTTTACTGCTGCAGTGGTCAACTTGTAGCACCCCTAAGCTTGCAGGACATATGCTTCAACTGGCATTTCACAATCAACAGTATGTGGCAGCTTGAGTCATTGTGAGCGCACTTCCTGGAAATCACCAGCATCCCATATCCCATTGCAAGGAGCTCAGCACTGCTCCTTGGATAACCAAACCTATTCCCAAATCCCATCTGTGTGCGTCTATCTCCTGGTACCCTTCCTAGCATCAATTCTGTATTTGTAGGAGTCCAATCAGGAGACACAAACCACTCAAAAGTTTAAACTAGAATGAGCAAGATGGCTCACACCTGTAATCCCAGAACTCTGGGAGGCCAAGGTGGGTGGACTGCTTTGAGCTCAGGAGTTTGAGAACAGTCTGGGAAACATGGCGAAACCTCGTCTCTACAAAAAACACAAAAATCAGCTGGGTGTGGTGGCACTTACCTGTAATCCCAGCTACTCGGGAGGCTGAGGCAGGAGAATTGCTTGAGCCTGGCAGGTGGAGGCTGCAGTGAGCAGAGGTTGTGCCACTGTACTCCAGCCTGGGTGACAGTGTGAGACCCGGTATCAAAAAGAAAAAACATATATATATATATATATATATATATATATATATATATATATATGTAAATTTAATATAAAAAGTATTAATTTTGGCCAGGCAAAATGGCTCATGCCTGTAATCCCAGCACTTTGGGAGGCCAAGGCAGACAGATCACCTGAGGTCAGGAGTTCGAGACCAGCCTGACCAGCACAGAGAAACCCCATCTCTACTAAAAATACAAAATTAGCTGGGCATGGTGGCACATGCCTGTAATCCCAACTACTCGGGAGGCTGAGGCAGGAGAATTGCTTGAACCCAGAAGGTGGAGGTTGCGCTGAGCCGAGATAGCACCATTGCACTCCAGCCTGGGCAACAAGAGTGAAACTCCATCTCAAAAAAAAAAAAAAAGGTATTAATTTTTACAGAGGATCAGCACAATGAGGGACACACTAGCACAAAGTAAAGACAACTCTAGAGAATACGGAACTAGCAGAGGCCAGGCATTGTGGCTCATGCCTGTAATCCCAGCAATTTGGGAAGCCTAGGCAGGAGGATCGCTTGAGGCCAGGAGTTGGAGACCAATCAGTGCTAAATAGTGAGACTCTGTGTCTACCAAAAAAAAGAGACATTAGCCAGGTGTGGTGGTGGTGCACACCCGTAGTTCCAGCTACTTGGGAGTCTGGGGTGGGAGAAATCCCTTGAGCCTGGGAAGTCTACACTACAGTGAGCCAAGATTGTGCCACTGCACTCCAGCCTGGGTGACAGAGTGAGACCCTGTCTTAGAAAGAAAAAAGAAAAGAAAGTGTTAATCCCCCTATGGGAATCTCCTCTTCTCCTGCCCTCTCTGGAACCTCACTTGTCAGTTCTTCCTCCCACTTTCCTGTATCTTTAACCTATCCCCCACTTTTAGCTCCTTCCCATCATCATTTAAATTACTCAAACTTCTTCTGTTTTAAAAACCTCTCCCTAAACTCAGGGAGAGGTCTTCTGCACACACATTGAGCCATCTGCTCTTCCTGGTGCCTTCTCTACAGCAGCCTGAGCCATGTCTCTAATCTATGAATCTCATCATGTTACTCCCCCATTTACATCACTTCTCCTTGCCTCAGGGATTAAGTCCAAACTCCTTAACAGCCCCTGCTCTGCCCTGCCTTGCAAGGCAGCCTCACTGCTTGCCCCTCTCCATTACATCTGCTATGGAGTCCAACTGAGCCTCATCTGCCCCTTGAACGCACACTCTTTCTCCTCTGGGAGTCTCTGAAGTGGGTAATATCCTCTGCTTATAATATGCTTCCCCTTAAACCTCTACTCTCTTCCTAGCTAGCTTTGACTCCTCTGTCACTTGTCCGCTTTGGCATCACCTCCTCATAGAAGACTTCTATGACTCCCGAGATTCTCAGGAGCATGGCAGGTGAAGTGCTCCTCCCATGAATGGATGGAGATTAAGGAGTGTGTGTTATTCATGCTTAATTCACCAGTGCTTAGCTGAGTACCTGGCATAAAATAGTTACTGTGGTGGCCAAAGTAATAACCCCCACCGCCACCAATTGCTCATGTCCTATGTTACACAGCACAATTACATAGGAAGGGGGAATTAAGAGTGCAGATAAAATTAATGTTGCTCATCAGCTGACCTTAAAACAAGATTATCCTGGAGTATCTAGGAGAGCCCATGTAATTACAAGCATTCTTTAAAACTGGAAGAGGGAGGCAGAAGGTTAAGAACCAGAGACGGTGGGCACAATGGCTCATGCCTGTAATACCAATACTTTGGGAGGCCAGGGTAGGAAAATCCCTTGAGTGCAGGAGTTCAAGGTCAGCCATGGCAACATACTGAGGTCCCATCTCTACAACAAAATAAAAACAAAATTCACTGAGTGTCACGATGCTTACCTGTAGTTCCAGCTACTGGGAAGGCTGACATGGTAGGATTGCTTGAGCCTGGGAGTTTGAGGCTATAATGAGCCATGATAGGACCACTGAACTCCATCCTGAGTGACAGGGCAAGGTCCTGTTTCTGAAGAAAAAAAGGACATTGGAATCAGGGCCCTCTCCATGCTGAGGTGCCTACAAGGCATCTCTCTCTGCAAATGAGTAAACATCACCCTCCAACTCCTTACAGAGTGGAGCAACAGGAAAACTCCTTCACCTCATTTCTGTGCTGCTTGGGAGGCCTGGACAGCCCAATAACCAGCTCCTCACTGATGAAGCAATCAGGAAATGGCTCGAGTTGAGCTAAGGAGAATTTGGATCCTTCCTTTGGTTCTCAGTAGGCAGGGTAGGGGCCAGGCATGGTGGCTCATACCTGTAATCCTTGCACTGTGGGGGGCCAAGGTGAGAGGATTGCTTGAGGCCAGGAGCTCAAGACCAGCCTGGACAACATAGCAAGACCTGGGTGGCATACACCTGTGGTCCCTACTACTTGGTAGGATGAGGTGGGAGGATTGATCACTTGATCCCAGGAGTTTCAGGCTGCAGTGAGCCATGATCACACCACTGCACTTCAGCCTGGGTGACAGAGCCAGACCATGTCACAAAAAGTTAGAAAAAAAAAAAAGAGAGGGAGAGAGACTATACACAGGCACCACCACATTTGGCTAATTTTTAAATATTCTGTAGAGACAAGGTCTTGCTAGGTTGCCCAGGCTAGTCTAAAACTCCTGGCATCAGGCTGGGCATGGTGGCTCATGCTTGTAATCGCAGCACTTTGGGAAGCTAAGGCAGGCAAATCACCTGAAGTCTGGAGTTCGAGACCAGCCTGGCCAACACGGTGAAACTCTGACTCTATCAAAAATACAAAAATCAGCTGGGCAGTAGTGGCGTGTACCTGTAGTCTCACCTACTCGGGAGGCTGAGGCAGGAGAATCACTTGAACCTGGGAGGTGGAGGTTGCAGTGGACCCCATCACTGCACTCCACCCCTGGGTGACAGAGCGAGACTGTCAAAAACAACAACAACAATAACAAAAACAAAAACAACAACAACAAAAAAAACTCCTGGCATCAAGACATCTTCCTGTCTTAGCCTCCCAAAGCCCTGGGATTATACTGTTTCCTATAATTGAAGACACTTGTTCTTATACTGCTTTAAGGTATAAAGGAAGAAAAAAAAAACAGATAATGACAAATGTTGGTGAAGGCCGGGCATGGTGGCAGCCTGTAATTCCAGAACTTAGGGAGGCTGAGGTGGGCAGATCACTTGAGGCCAGGAGTATGAGACCAGCCTGGGCAACATGGTAAAATCCCACCACTACAGAAAAATCTAAAAATTAGCCAGGCATGGTGGCGTACACCTGTAATTTTCAGCTACCCAGGAGGCTGAGATGAGAGAATCACTTGTGCCTGGGAGGTCACGGCTGCAGTGAACTGTGATGGCATCATTGCACTGCGGCCTGAGAGACAGAGCAAGCCCCTATCTAGAAAAAAAAAATGTCAGTGAAGATGTGGAGGAATTGGAACCCACATACATTACTGGTGGGAACATAAAATTGTGTAACCATTTTGTTTGGGTATTTCTTTTCTTGTCATTTTAATTGGATTTTTAAAAAATCAAGACGGGGTTTCACTATCTTGCCCAGGCTGGTCTTGAATTCACGGGCTCAAGCCATCCTCCTAGCTGAGCCTCCTGAGTAGCCGGGATTACAGGTGTGAGCCATTGCACCCAACTGGTATAGCCACGTTAGAAAACAGTCTGGCAGTTTCTCAAAAGGCTAAATGTACAGTCATCCTATAATGCAACAATTTCACTCCTAGGCATATATCCCAGAAAAATAAAAATATATGTCCACACAAAAACTTGTACAACAATCTTCATAGCAGCATTATTCATAATGACCAATACGTGGAATACATGGAAACAACCCAAATATCCACCAACTGATGAACAGATAAACAAAATGCAGTGTGTCTCTACCATGGAATACTGCCATAGAAGGAATGAAATATTGATACACACTATGACATAAAGGAACTTTGAAAACACTGTGCTAAGAGGGAAAAAAAGCCACAAAAGATCACATATTGTACAATTCTATTTGTCCAGATTAGGCAAATCTATAGTGACAAAAAATTAATCAATGGTTGCCTAAGGCTGGGGGCAAAGGTAGGTGGGGAGAGTAGGAGGTAGTAGCTAAGGGGTATGGATTTCTCTATAGGGTAATGAAAGGTTCTAAAAGTGACTGTGGTGATCGATGCACAGCTCTGTGAATATTCTAAAACCTACTGAATTGCAGATTTCAATAAATAAAGTGAATGGCATTTGAATATTTTAATAAAGCTATTATTTAAAATAATAATAATAGGGGGCTGGGCACAGGTGGTCATGCCTGCCTGTAATCCCAGCACTTTGGGAGGCTGAGGCAGGAGGATCACTTGAGGTCAGGAGTTTTGAGCCCAGTCGGAGCAACATGGCAAGATCCCGTCTCTATGATAAAAAATTAGCTGGACATGGTGGCACATGTCTGTAGTCCCAGCTACTTGGGAGACTGAAGTGAGAGAACCACTTGAGCCCAGGAGTTTGAGGCTACAGTGAACCATGATCATGTCACTGTACTGTAGCCTAAGCAACAGAGCAAGACGCTGTCTCTGAAAAGGAAAGAAAACAAATGCAAGTTTTTATCACTTTGTGAGTGTAGCCAAGTTGGAGGAGAAATAGACAATAATAAAAGAGCACTGAATAATGACGGTGAGTGGCTGGTTAGGCTCAGTTGCTAGCTAAATGGCTTCTAAAAAATTCAATAAAGTTACAGCTCTGGGGACAGTCATGTAGTCAAAGAATGAAGGCGAAATTCATTACAATTGCCCATGGTCTTTATTTACATGCCTTCTAGTGAAAAATTCCTAAGTGCCTAAACAGCAAGTCTGCAATGATAGCAGCTGTTTATTAAAGACTACAAAAAAGAAATGGAGGCCGGGCGTGGTTGTTCACATCTGTACTCCTTGAATTTTGGGAGGCTGAGGCAGGCAGATTGCCTGAGGTCAGGAGCTCCAGAGGAGCCTGGCCAATATGGTGAAATCCCATCTCTACTAAAAATACAAAAATTAGCTGGGTATGGTGGCGGGCACCTGTAATCCCAGCTACTCGGGAGGCTGAGGCAGGAGAATTGCTTGGACCCAGAAGGTGAAGGTTGCAGTGAGCCAAAATCGCACCATTGCACTCCAGCCTGGGTGACAAGAGAAAGACTCTTATCTTAAAAAAAAAAAGAAAAAAAAGAAATGGCATCTTCTTCAAGAATTACATCGTGTTTCATGATAAAGAAGCTCTAATTTTGCATTTGTTCAAGTATTGATGAGATTTACCCAATATGACACCCATCTTGGATAAAATGCAAACAACACAATTTCATTTTGTCATTAACAAAACCGATTAAGTAGTCTAATATAAATTGCGATCTTATTAAAAACTGATCAGATTAAAAAAATTATGGAATTATGGAGCCAATAAGATGTTACAACCTGTTCCAAGGGGAATTCCAAAATCCACACATATCTGAGACCATCAAGTATGATGAAATATATTTGATTACTATATTGAAAAATAAACTGATTACATAGCCAACAATTGGACAGGGGTCTCCTCATCCACAGCCACACAAACCCGATCATGCAGCTATGTGGTTACAAGGCCTACATAGCCTAGAAGGGACTGGTCTGACTTGAGATTTCATTTGTATTTGTATTTTGAGACAGGGTCCCACTCTGTCACCCAGGATGGAGTGCAGTGGTATAATCATAGCTCACTGCAACCTTGACCAACTGGGCTCAAGAGATGCTCCAGCCTCAGCTGCCCCCATACCTGGGAATACAGGCAAGTACCACCATGTCAGGCATTTTTTTCATTTTTGTAGAGAGAGAAGACTTGCTATGTTGCCCAAGCTGGCCTCAAACTCCTAGAATCAAGAGATCTGCCCATCTCAGCCACATGAGTAACTGGGGCCATAGGTACATACCATCATGCCTGGCTATATTTATTTTATTTTATTAAATTTATTTTTTTTATTTTTGTAGAGAGGAGGTCTTGCTGTGTTGCCCAGGCTGCTCTCAAACTCATGGCCTTAAAACATACTCCCATCTCTGCCTCTCAAACTGTTGGAACTATAGGTGTGAGCCACTGTACCTGGCCTGACTTGGGATTTCTTTTATCTAGCATCCTTTACTTGGTAGGATTGGGAAAAGCAGTAGTGTTTTTTAAAATTACTTAATAATTCAATCAGAATCAAACTCAACCTTGACCACTGCCTTCTCTCACAGCTCACAACCAGTCTGTCAGGAAATCCTACTGACTGACTTCAATATGTATCCAGGCTCTAACCATCTCTCACCACCACCATGAACCCCGTCAGGATCACTATCATCTCCCACCGGGATGTTGCCACAGCTTGGCCCCCATGCTTCTACCCAAATCTTCCCATAGTCTTTCTCAACTCGGCAGCCAGGTCGTGCTTTTAAATCAGGAGACGGATCATGTCGCCTCTCTGCTCAGAAGCCCTCGGTGGTTCCCATTTTAGTCAGAGTAAAAGCCAAAGCCCCAGCAATAGCGTCCCAGGGCTTACACGATCTGTACCGATCCCAGCCCAGCAACTCCCTGGCCTCCTCGCTGACTTCGCTCCCTCTATCTCTTTGCTCCACTGGCCTCCTTCCAGAGCCTCAGACACACCAGAGAGTTTCCTCCTAATGCCTTTATCCTGTTGACTCAGCCTACAATGCTCTTCCCTCAGCACCTTGGCCAGCTCCATCACCTGCTTCAAACTTTTGCTCAATATTCACTTATGAGGCCAACCCTGACCACTCTACTTAACACTGCCATCTGTCCCCATTCCCACCATGCTCATTTCTTTCTTTTTGAAACAAGGTCTTGCTTTATTGCCCAGGCTGGAGTACACTGGTGCAATCACAGCTCACAGCAACTTCAACCTCCCAGGCTTAAACAATCCTCCCGCCTCAGCCACCCTAGGAACTGAGACTACAGCTGCATGCCACAACACATGGCTTTTTTTTTTTTTTTTGAGACGGAGTCTCGGTCGCCCAGGCTGAAGTGTAAGGGTGCGATCTTGGCTCACTGCAATGTCTGCCTTTTGGGTTCAAGTGATTCTCTGCCTCCCAAGTAGCTGGGATTACAGGCACCCACCACCACACCTGGCTAATGTTTGTATTTTTAGTAGAGATGGGGTTTCACCATCTTGGCTAGGCTGGTCTTGAACTTCTGACCTCGTGATCCACCCTCCTCGGCCTCCCAAAGTGCTGGGATTACAGGCGTGAGCCACTGCGCCTGGCCTTTAAAAACATTTTTTTTTTAGACATGAGGTCTCATTATGTTGCCCAGGCTGGTCTTAAGCTCCTGGGCTTAAGCGATCCTCCCACCTCAGCCTCCTAAAGTTCTGGGATTACAGGCGTGAGCAACTGTAACATGAGGTCCCAGCTTCATGTTCATTTTTTGTTGTTGCTACAACAAAGTACCCTACATTTAGTGGCATCAAACACCACAAATCTACCATCTTACAGTTCTGGGGGCCAGAAGCCCAACTAGGTCTATCAAGGCTAAAGTCAAGGTGTCAGAGAGGCTGCATTCCTTCTGGGGGAGGCTCTAGACAGAATGTGCTCCTTTGCCTTTTCCAGCTTCTAGAAGCCACCTCCATTCCTTGACTTACCTCGTGACTCCATATTCAAGGCCAGAAGTGCAGCATCTTCAAATCTCCCTCTCTGACCTCTTCTTCCATTACCACATCACTTTCTCTAATTCTGACTCTCCTACCTCATTCTCTTATAAAGATCCTTGTGATTGGTGGGTATGGGGGCTCCCATCTGTAATCCCAACATTTTGGGAGGCCAAAGAGGAAGGATTGCTTGAGGCCAAGAGTTAGAGATCAGCCTGGGGAAAATAGGAAGATCCTGCCTTTACAAAATTAAAATCAGCTGGACATGGTGATGCATGCCTGTAGTTCCAGCTACTGGAGAGGCTAAGGTGGGAGGATTGCTTTAGCCTAGGAGGTCAAGGCTGCAGTGAGCTATGATCACATCACTGCACTCCAGCCTCAGTGGCAGAGTGAGACTCTGTCTCCGATATAAGAAAAGAAATATACATTTGGTCTCTGCCCGTGGTTCCTGGCATAGAGCTTCCAAAGCTCTTATAAAGCCCTTCGTGACAGAGGTAATAGGAGCATTTTCTGTTTTGATATTTAGTCTTAGTCCCAGGTTCCTGACACAAGGGCCTCTAAGGTCTTTCAGATCTGCAGCATGGTAAGAATGCATGTGGGATGCTGTTGAGCTAACAGGGTGGCTGCAAGCTCCGAGACTGCTTCAGGAGGAGGGCTAGCTGCCAGAGAAAGCAACCACTTTTTTTTTTTTAAACGGAGTTTGGCTCTTGTAGCCCAGGCTGGAGTGCAATGGCACAATCTCAGCTCACTACAACCTCCACCTCCCGGGTTCAAGCAATTCTCCTGCCTCGGCCTCCCGAGTAGCTGGAATTATAGGGATGTGCCACAACGCCTAGCTAACTGTTGTTATTTTTAGTAGAAATGGGGTTTCACCATGTTGGTCAGGCTAGTCTCAAACTCTTGACCTCAAGTGGTCCATGTGCCTCAGCCTTCCAAACTGCTAGGATTACAGGAGTGAGCCACCGCACCTGGCCCCAACCACATTTTTTGAGGCTTGGAACTTTCAGCCTCACCTGCTGAACTCCAGGAGGCAAAAGGAACTGGAGATTGACTTAACTACCAATGGCCAGTGATTTTATCAATCATGCCTCCATAAACACCCAAACAGCAGGGTTTGGAGAGCTTCTGTGTTGCTAAACACAAGGAGGTCCTGGGAGGGTAGTGTGCCCAACAGAGGGCATGGAAGCTCTGTGCCCCTCCCCACTTACCTTGTCCTGTGCATCTCTTTCATTGGCTGTTCCTGAGATGGAGCCATTACATTGAGCCAGTAATAGAAAATAAGGTGGCCAGATGCACTGGCTCATGCCCGTAATCCCAGCACTTTGGGAGGCAGAGGTGGGCAGAATCACTTGAGCCTAGGAATTTGAGACCAACCTGGGCAACATAAGAAGACCCCATCTATACAAAAAATAAAAGAAATTAGCCAAATGTGGTGGTGGGAACCCTGTAATTCCAGCTACTTGAGAGGCTGAAGCAGGAGAATCACTTGAGCCCTGGACGTTGAGGCTTCAATAAGCTATGATTGCACCACTGCACACCAGCTTGGACAACAGAGCGAGGCCCTGTCTCTTAAAAAGAAAAGAAAAAAAACTTGTTTTTCTAAGTTCTGTGAGTTGTTCTAGTAAATAATTAAACTCAACAAGAGGGTCATGGGAAACCCTGATTTCTAACTGGTTGGTCAAAATACAGGTGACAACCTAGGACTTGCAACTGGCATCTGAAGTGAGGGTGGTCTTGTGGGACTGAGCCCCTAACCTGTGGGTTCTGTGCTAACTCTAGGTAGTGTCAGAATGGAATTGTGGGATACGCGGTTGGTATCCAGAGAGTTGGAGAACTGGTGTAGAAACTCTGCACACACATTTGGTCAGAAGTCTGTGAGTAGAGAGAAACGTGTTGCAGGAAGTCAGGGACCCCAAACGGAGGGACTGGCTGAAGCCACAGCAGAAGAACATAAATTGTGAAGATTTCATGGACATTTATTAGTTCCCCAAATTAATACTTCTATAATTTCTTAGGCCTGTCATTACTGCAATCTCTGAACATAAATTGTGAAGATTTCATGGACACTTATCACTTCCCCAATCAATACCCTTGTGATTTTCTATGCCTGTCTTTAATCTCTTAATCCGGTCATCTTCGTAAGCTGAGGATGAATGTCCCCGCAGGACCCTGTGATAATTGCGTTAACTGCACAAGTTGTTTAAACAATATGAAACCTGGGCACCTTGAAAAAAGAACAGGATAACAGCAATTTCAGGGAACAAGGGAGATAACCTTAAACTCTGGCTGCCTGTGGGCCGGGTTGAACAGAGCCATATTTCTCTTCTTTCAAAAGCAAATAGGAGAAGTATTGCTGAATTCTTTTTCTCAGCAAAGAACATCCCTGAGAAAGAGAATGCATCCCTAAGGGGAGGCCTCTGAAATGGCCGCTTTGGGGACGGCTGTCTTTTACAGTCGTAGATAAGGGATGAAATAAGCCCTGGGTTCACGTGGCGCTCCCAGGCTTATCAGGACAAGGAAATTCCCGCCTAATAAATGTTGGTCAGATGGGTTGTCTGCTCTCAAACCCTTTCTCCTGATAAGATGTTATCAATGACAATGCGCGCCCGAAACTTCATTAGCAATTTTAATTTCGCCCCGGTCCTGTGGTCCTGTGATCTTGCCCTGCCTCCATTTGCCTTGTGATATTTTATTACCTTGTGAAGCATGTGATCTCTGTGACCCACACCCTATTCGTACACTCCCTCACCTTTTGAAAATCACTAATAAAAACTTGTTGGTTTTGCGGCTTGGGGGGCATCACGGAACCTGCCGACGTGTGATGTCTCCCCTGGACATCCAGCTTTAAAATTTCTCTCTTTTGTACTCTTTCCCTTTATTTCTCAGACTGGCTGACACTCAGGGAAAATAGAAAAGAACCTACATGAAATATCAGGGGTGAATTTCCCCCGATATCACACTGGCTCTTCTCTCACCTGTCTACCTGCTTAACTTAATAGGAGAGGCAATGCATGGTGCTCATGAACAAGGCAAGCATTAAAGTCAGACCAGACTAACATTTGACTCAGTCCTAATATTCAGGTGAGCTTGGGCAAATCACTCATTAACCCCAAGTCTTCATCATTTTGTGCATATAATGGGGATAACTGTGGCACCCACCTGTTTTTGTGAGAATCAATGAAATATTATGCTTGATGTTATTGTGATCATGATACTATCTGACAAGGGCAGTGATGCATGATAACATCAAAAAATTAGAAACTGTAATGAGGTCTCTTGGGCAAAATTCCATACAAGCAAATTACTGTCTCTACAAAGCATTTCTGCCACACTTAATTCACCATTCCCTGAACAAAATGTGCCATCTTCATTGTTCAGGTCTGTATAGTGCTGGTTTCCCTGCCTGGGCAGCTCACTCCATCCCATCCCAGCCCAATCCCCATCCCTCCACCTCCCCCTTCCCTCCCCACTCTCATACAACTCTTCCTTATCTTACAGGACTTGGCTTCAATGTCACCTTAACTGGAAGCTTCTCTCCCTCTCCAGAAGAGCTTCCGATTGCACTTGATGCATGCACTATTATTTGATCATTTTTGAGTTACAGTCCAAGTCTTTTTGTACCTGAATAACATGTTGCCCAGTCAGTTTCTCTTCCTGGATTCAGAAGTCTTTCATGGTAGGTCCAGCTAGAAGTGACAAAAAGACATTTAAAAAAAAAAAAAAAGAGGGATGACACAGACAGACATCAGCACTTAGAAGTTTTAAACGATATGTGAAAAACAAAATTTAAGGGCTTCTAGGAGAAATGTAGGAGGGAAGGTGTTACTGGGAAATATGATAGAAGGTTAATTTTTATTTTATTTTATTTTTAGAGAAAGGGTCTTGCTCTATCACCTAGGCTGGACTGCAGTGGTGCAATCACAGTTAACTGCAGCCTCAACCTCCAGGGCTTGAGCAATATTCCCATCTAATTTTTATTTTGTTTAAGAAATGCAGTCTTGCTCTTAGCAAAGCTAAAGTGCAATGGTGTGATCATAGCTTACTGCAGCCTCAACCTTCTAGACTCAAGTGATCCTCCAGTCTTAGCCTCCCCAGTAGCTCGGACTACAGGTGTGCACTGCAACGTGTAGCTCATTTTTTTTTTTTAATTTTTAGTAGAGACAAAGTGTCACTATGTTGACCAGGTTGGTGGTGATCTCCTACACTCAGGCAGTTCTCTCACCTCAGCCTTCCAAAATGCTGGGATTACAGGTGTGAGCTGCCACACCTGGCTGAGGGGGTTAATTTTTAATTATATAAAGAGCTCAAAGCAAATATTAGAAGGAGCCTAAATGCCTCCAGCAGTTGACTGGTACTGGTAAATTGTGATACATCCATATAATAAAATATTATGCAACCATGAAAAGGATTAAGATAGATCAATAGGTATTGGCACAAATGTCCACGAAATATGAAAATATGAAGTGATGTTCAATCACCATGTACGTATCTTGAAGGATATGGCCCATTTTCTCAACTGCAATTATTTCCTGAGATAAGATTATGGGTCTAAAGAGTGAAGGACATTTTTCACTTATTTAAAAGTATTTATCATTTTTATAATTTAATAAAAGATTAAACAGATCATTGAATTAGTAAAAGACAAAGTAACTCTATAAATAAATGGAAAAGACACAGATACCCCAGGCATGGTGGCTCATGCTTATAATACCAGTACTTTGGGAGGGGGTGGTGGGGGGATTGCTTGAGGCCAGGAGTTCCAGACCAGCCTAAGAAACAAAGCAAGACCTCCTCTCTAGTAAAAATAAAAAAATAAAAATAATTGGCCAGGCATAGTGGCATGTGCCTACAGTCCCAACTACTGAGGTGGAAGGATCACCTGAGCCTAGGAGGTCAAGGCTGCAGTGAGTTGAGACTGTGCCACTACACTGAAGCCTAGGAGACAGAGCGAGACTTCATCTCAAAAAAAAAAAAAAGGACAATAAAGAAATAAAGCTAATAAGCTAACATAAGGAAAGATAAAATATGTGACAAATAGGCTGGGCACATGGCTCACAGCTGTAATCAAGCACTTTGGGAGGCCAAGGCGGGTAGATCATGAGATCAGGAGTTCGAGACCAGCCTGATCAACATGGTGAAACCACGTTTCTACTAAAAATACAAAAATTAACCAGGCATGGTGGCATATGCCTGTAATCCCAGCTAATAGGAGGTCTTTCATTTATCACACAGAAAATAACTTGTTAAATTATAATACCTGTGTGGGCGAAGGTGCAGTGAAATGGCCATTTTCTTGTAGTATTAGTGGTGTTTAAAATGTATATAAGCCTTCCAGCATAAAGCTTGGAAATTTTTTTTAAATCATACAGACAGTGACTCATTATACTGCCTCCTCCAACTCCTGGCCTCAAGCAATCCTCCCACCTCAGCCTCCCAAAGTGCTGGAATTACAGGCTGACAGCCACCATGCCTGAAAGCTTTGCAATTTACATCGAGGGTAATAAGAATGCTCATGCCCTGTGACTCACAGTAATCTCACTTCTGGAAATTTCACCTTTGGATATAATTCAACCTAAACAAAAGGTCATATGCACAAACACAGTGAAAATCTGGGAGTAATTTTTTTCTCTTTTTTTAAAAAAATATGGAATGCTTCACAAATTTGCATGTCATTCTTTCACAGAGGCCGTGCCAATCTCTCTATTGTTCCAACTTAAGTATGTGTGCTACTGAGGCAAGCATGAGTAATTTAAGATAGGGTGGTTAAGTGAAATAAGGAAGAATTATGGAGAATTTAAAAATCTATGCTATTTATAGGCACCTAGTAACAGCTCAGTAAATATTAGCTGCTACTATTATTATTTTTATGGTAATTTCACTCAATTAAAAACTGTCGTTAAAAATTACCATTGTCATGGAACATAATGTCTCCTACTGTATAATTGTAGAAACAGATACAATTTGTCCCTTGGTATATGGGGGGATTAGTTCCAGCTCTCCCATTTCTGTGTATACCAAAATCCACGCATACTCAAGTTTTCGAAGTCAGTCCTGTGGAATCCACATATAACACAAATGGGAAAATTAGTGAGGTGTGGTGACAAGCACCTGTAGTCCCAGCTACTTGTGAGGCTGAGGCAGGAGGATTGCTTGAGCCCAGGAGGTTGAGGCTGCAGTGAGCCATAATTGCACCACTGCACTCCAGTCTGGGCAACAGAGTGAGACAGAAGGTTGACTTTTTAATAGAATTTTTCTGTTCACTTGAAGATATGGTCAGGATTGTGGCATATGAAAATTCTTCATAAAATAACTATCTAATCCAATTAATGCTGGAATTGGGAACAGCAGAAGTGTCATCTCACAGCTACTCGCAATGAAAGGTGATGTCTGGGGCTCAGGTGTGTTGAGGTCCCCATGCCGGGACTATGGGTGCTGAGTGGGATTTACTTGTCCATCCATTTTCTATATTCCAGCACTGGGAAACTAGGGACAGTACTTGTTCTCAAGGGAATCTTCAGCTTAGGTGGCTCTGTAAAAGAGAAATTACATCATTGAAAAATCGTCGCAGGTCAGGTGAGGTGGCTCATACCTATAATCCCAGCCCACTGGGAGACTAAGGCAGGAGGATTCCGTGAGGCCAGGAGTTCAAGACCAGCCTGAGCAACACAGTGAAACCTCATCTCTACAAAAAATTAGAAAATGAACTGGGTGCGGTAAAACATTCGTATAGTCCCAGCTACTCTGGAGGCTGAAATAGGAGGATCGCTTGAGCCCAGGAAGTGGAAGCTGCAGTGAGCTCTGATCTCACCACTGCACTCTAGCCTTGGTGACAGAGTGAGACCCTGTCTTAAGACACACACAAACACACACACACACACACACACACACCCAATCTCACTCTGTCCAGCCTTGACTAATCAAAAGGGCCTTCTGGTTACAGAAGAGGTATGCTCTTTTGTAGGACAGGGAGAGACCAGCAAGCTTGTTCACAGACTTTTCCTCATCCTCTGCTTAGTTTTCCAAGAACCCTCACAGTGGAAATGGAGTCTCTGGGAAAATGACCTAAATCTTTGGGTTACCAGGGGAGAAATATGCCTCCTTTGTCAATTAATAAATGGAACATCTGCCTTAAAATCCAGGGAGTTCTGCTAGAATGAATCACTCCCTAAGACCCTGACCAATGCATGGAACATGAAAAACTGAAGTTTAACTGGGCGCGGTGGATCACGCCTGTAATCCCAGCACTTTGGGAGGCTGAGGCGGGCGGATCACCTGAGGTCAAAAGTTCTAGATCAGCCTGGCCAACATGGTGAAACCCCGTCTCTACTAAAAATACAAAAATTAGTTGGGCATGGTGGTGGACACCTGTAATCCCAGCTACTTGGGAGGCTGAGGCAGGAAAATCGCTTGAACCTGGAAGGCGGAGGTTGCAGTTACTTCTAGAAGAATTTCCATTAGCCCTTTGAAATCCTTCAACATTCATGAAGGCCAAAGAGTTTTCACCTAATTTAATCTGATGGGTATGTGACCAGAGTCTTTCTAGGGAATAGAGACTCCCAAACAGTTCGACTGGGAAGTGAGGAGAGAATTTATTACTCAAAACCAAAGGGAAATGAAAAGAGGCCAACATAGAATGTCATTATTCTTTCTTGGTGGGGAATGGATTCCAGAGTCATTCTGTGACCTTTACATGACCTCCTTATTAGCATCTAAAAGCTTCCAGTGTAGGATGCAGCCAGCTAGGTTCTCTTCTAATGTAATAAAATTTGCTTCAGCAAATCTTATGCAGAGCCATCTCCAGGCTCCAGAAACAATAGGCTATAAATTACTGGATCTCCCATTTGATACAATGAAGTATGAGCATGGTCCTGAATGACTCCTCTACATACTACTCTGGGTGGCTTGAAGTGAATTTGATACAAGAACTGGAGCGAGGGCAAAGCAGAGCTAGATCTAGGATTAATGTGCTTGGGCCCAGCTCCTCACTACTCACCTATAAGTCTAGTTCCAGAACCCAAGTAGAGGATGGGGAAACAAGGCTCCTGACTTTTTTTCCCTAATGTCTGCATCTCTTTCACATTTCTTATCTCCTTGCAAAGAAACTAAACAGGCTCAACTGAAATAACTAAATGATTAAACCCTATACAGAGACTCTCCAAAGACTGACAAAATATCATTCAAGACTGTTACACAGACAACCTTGAGGATGACTTGATGTACCAGTGATCTACAATATTTGGGATCATTCCAAATTCCCATCAAGGATCTGCCTATATCAACAAAGGAGCCAAGGACCAACCATTCAAATGGGCCCTGCTGCCAAGCCTTTTTTTTTTTTTTTAACAATGCCATCTCTTCATATTGTTCCATTTAACAAAACTGCAGCCCTTCATCTATCCTTAAGTCCCTTGGCCAATGGTACAGGGCCAGAGTATGCTACTCCCTAGCAGGAAATCAACAGGATGACCTACTAAACACCATTCAGAAGATGCTAAGACCCATGAATTGCAACAGGAAAGAAAAGACAGAGAATTAGTCAGACAGGTACATGCTGTGCCAAAAATGCACTACAGCCCCCACCCAATTCTGCCTAATCCTAGCTGGGCTGACACCAACCTGATGAGACAGGCCTATAAGATCTCAAACTAAAACAGAAACTCCTGAACTGGGTTCTTTCGAGCCCAGGAAGCAGCAGTAAATCATTAAAGAACAGATAAGTTCTTAAGGTGAGGGAGAGTTTCAGATAAATGGAATGCTGGTAGAACACAGGGCCCAAAGGAGCAAAAGTTAACCTAAGCCCAGGTAGAACCTTGTTTACTAGAGTATTAGGCATGGGTTTGGGCAACTATTCTAACCAGAGAAACTGGCTTCAGTGAGGGCAAGTTGGCAATCCAAGGTATAGCATGCATAGGGCTGGCAAAATTCAGGGTGACTGAAGCAAAAGCTTCATAACCAGAAAGACCACATCTGGGGGTAGAGCACAAAACTCTCAAGAGATGAATCTTTGTAAGAGTGAGGCAGAACTATATAGCAGTTTTAGGAGATCTGTTGGTGCCCAGCAAGAGCTCCAAACGGGCTATATGCAGGGATGCAGGCTGTAGTCTCAGGAGAGGAGGTTCACAAAAGTCATTCAGTCCAAGACCTCAAACTGCGTTCTCTACTAAAAGGAATCAAGGTTCCCTAGAGAAACGGCTGACTCCATGTATGGTGCAGTATATTGATCCTGGAACATCTGTTTTGCCAGAAAGCAAGAAAGCCATCAAAGTCCAACAGGATCACGTCAAAAAGACATGAAAGTCAACTTGAAGAGATAATTATTAACCTAGATGAGACAATGTAAGCATCCAAAACAATAAAGACTGCAATGGCCTGAAATACATCAAATGCAAACAATAATCTATGAGTTCATAATGGTATTCAGAAAAAAAAACTACTGGTCATTAGAGGGAAGGTTACTAGGTCACTAACTTACTACTCTGAAAAGTGACTTAAGATGAGAGGTAGGGTGGAGAATTAGCTATTTATTCAGTCTTTCCTGTACAAACATAAATTTTTAGGGAGATTGAAGCAGATGAAACAAATCTGGAAAAATGGAGGTAACTGCTTAATCTGCGGGTTGGGTGCATGGAGGTTCAACATATTTCTTTTGTGTATATTTGAACCCCCTACAAAAAAAGCACAAGACAGAATGTGAGCCAAGCAGCTTAGGGTTTAGGCAAGGCTTCTGCCTACAAGAGACACTAGGATATGAGGGGTAGTTTTAGCCCTAATGGGCTGAGCCAACTGGAGGTATATAGGGAAGTGCTAAATTGCAGAGGTATCATGTTGCCCAGCACTTGATCAAATCCTAGATCCTAGGTCTGCTTGGTGGCATGCTTCCTAAGTAGTGGATCTGAGGCTACCTATAGAACTTCCTTTGCAGTCATAGTTCGCTCAGAAACTACAAAAGTGCTTGCTCTTGAAAATGGAGTCTTTGTCCATTTCATGCTTCTATAAAAGAATACCACAGACTGCATAATTTATAAAAAGGAAAAAAGGAAGGAAAGAAAAAAGGAAGGGAGGAGGGAAGGAGGGAAAAAGGGAAGGAGGGAAGGAAAGGAAGGAAGGGAAAGAAGGAAAGGAAGGAAGGGAAAGAGAGAAAGAGGGAAGGAGGAAGGGAGGGAAGGAGGGAGGGAGGGAGAGAGAGAGGGAGGGAGGGGAAGGGAAGAAAAGGGAAGAGAAGGGAAAGGAGGAAGAAAAGGAAAGGAAAGGAATAAATTTTATTTCTTAACAGTTCTGGATGTTAGGAAGTCCAAGGTTGAGGGGCCTGCATCTGGTAAGGGTCTTCTTGCTGCATCATCCCACTACAGAAGGCAGAAGGAAAAGAGAGTGCAAGAAAGCAAGAGGGCAAAAGGGGCTGAACTCTGTTTTATAATAAGCCCACTCTGTGATTACTAATCTATTACCACAATAACAACATTAACTCATTCATGAAGGCTATTTTATTAGGCCCCACATCCCAACTGTTGCATTGAGGATTGAGTTTCCAGCACATAAACTTTGGGGGACACATTTAAACCATAGCAGAGCACTTAGGTTAATTCAACTAAGAGGAGCTGGGAAAATCAAAGGCATGAGAAAGACAGCAAAAGCTAGCAGAGAGAAATGCATAGGTTAAGGAAAAAAGTCACAGTGAATCCTGTAGTGCAGGCTACTTTATCAAAAGCACCTAAAAAAGATCTCATTAACTCCCCCAGCTCACCTCCACGCACATCTAAAGAGCCACACACAGCACCACCAAAGGCAGCACAATGAGAACAGCATTCTCCTCAACAGACAAGCTGGGAGTATCTAGACACCCGACCTCAATAGCTCCAGAACAGCCCTAAAACATTTCCTCCCTAACCACCACTCAAGTCACCAGCTTGGAAAGTATTAAGAAAACCCAAATCCTGACACACCACTATGAAACAACTTAAAACAGCAAAGAACAACCCATTTAAACAGCAATGCCAGCTGTTGGGGAAAAAAGGAACAATGAGTAGAGGAGAAACAGACCACTCGGGGTCCACCAAGACCCAGTCTCTCAGCTTCAGCACTTTTAAATGCAGAATCCATATCCCTCTGGGGCCTGTGGAGCTCCACAAGGCATGTCGTCCTCAAAGATAAATGAGCACGCAAGCTGGCTAGAAAACCACTAAGGGTATTTATTCTTTAAAGAATCTTTACAGGGTCAAAGAAGAATGGGTCCTAACTGGCTATGTGAACTCCCCACAGATTCTGAGGATGATGTCAGTATCCCTTTCCAGATGTGTTTAACACTTTGCAGTCACTTGTATTCCTGCCACTGAGTGCCAGTGCTTTGCTAATTTGAACTGATTCCAGCTCACGCTGACCCCAGCTCCCTGGATGTTACCATTAGCCAAGACTGTCACCCATACTGTACCCTTTCAAAGAGTCCTAAAAACAGCTCTTCACCTACTCTTCCAAGACAAGTAAAAATGACTGCCAAAGAAATGGGGAAAAAAGATTCAGAGAGTGAAAACAATTAATATACTAACAAGAGAGCAAAAAGCAAAGGGGGAGGAGAAACTAGGAAAATCATATATGGGCTCTCACCTATTTCCAAAGCTGGGCTAATGTCCTTTTGCTTGTGTCTGAATAAGGCACCAATTTTAAGCTGCTAATGAAAAAAAAAGAAAAAGAGAAAGAAGCAGGCCCAGGCTGGGCGCAGTGGCTCATGCCTGTAATCCCAGCACTTTGGGAGGCCGAGGCGGGTGGATCACCCAAGGTCAGGAGTTCTAGACCAGCCTGGTCAACATGGTGAAACACCATCTCTACTAAAAATACAAAAAATTAGCCAGGCATGGTGGCGCATGCCTGTAAATCCAGCTACTAAGGAGGCTGAGGCAGGAGAATTGCTTGAACCTGGAAGGCAGAGAATGTGGTGACCTGAGATCACGTCATTGCCCTCAAGCCACAGCAATGAGAACAAAATTCGGTAAAAACAAAACAAAACAAAACAAAACCACCATAAAATAACTCAGACTTAATTAAATACAACCCTAGTGGTGAATGACTAAAAATGGATTACTCATAACAGAGATAACGGTCCAATAAGAATCCAGGAATCTTACCTTTTAATAACAAAAAAATCCTTTCCTTCTAAAGTAACATCCTCTCAAGGCCAGGAATTCCATTAGTAGAAAGCCTTCCTAAAAAACAAAATTCCTGGCCAGGCATGGGTTCACGTCTGTAATCTCAGCACTCTGGGAGGCCGAGGCGGGAAGATCACTTGATATCAGGAGTCGAGGCGGGAAGATCACTTGACGTCAGGAGTTCGAGACTGGCCCGGCCAACATGGTGAAACCGCATCTCCACTAAAAATACAAAAATTAGCCTGGTGTGGTGGTGGGCACCTGTAATCCCAGTGACTTGGGAGGCTAAGGCAGGAGAATTTCTTGAACCCAGGAGGCAGAGGTTGCAGTGACCAGCAAGGTTGTGCCATTGCACCCCAGCCTGGGCGATAAGAGTGAAAACTCCATCTCAAAAAAAAAAAAAAAAAAAAAATTCCTTTGGGAAGGCCTTCTACATAAAAATCTTCAACATGAGACTGGAAAAAAGGGTATGGGATCATCACCGGACCTTTGGCTTTTACAGCTCGAGCTATAAGAACAAAAAGAAAAAGGGATATCATTTAAACACAGTATGTAGAAAAGAATAATTATTGAATCTGTATTGGTCTTTAACTTTTACACTTTGATCTTTAATTCTGTTATTGTGATTGAGTCCAAAGAAAAACAGTATGAGTAAAATAAAAAGAACACCAAAAATGCTAATATTCTGTTTACCGAAGTCTGTAGTGAAATATCCCATTAAATCCAAGTGCAGTGACACATCCATAATCCCAAGCACTTTGGGAGGCTGAGGCGGGTGAATCTCCTGAAGTCAGGAGTTCAAGGCCAGCCTGGCCAACATGGTGAAACCCCAACTCTACTACAAATACAAAAATTAGGCAGGCGTGGTGGCAGAGGCCTGTAATCCCAGCTACTTAGGAGGCTGAGGCAGGGAGAATTGCTTGAACCCAGGAGGTGAGCTTGCCATGAGCTGAGATCATACCACTGCACTCCAGCGTGGGTGACAGAACAAAACTTCAACCTCCAAAAAAAAAAAAAAAAAAAAAAACAGCTAGCAGGTGACATTTGCTATAGGGAGACTAGGGATATGATCTTGCTGCAATCCTTCCATTTTAGTAAATCTAAACAAGTGTGAATCCATTCTGTTTCGTCCCCACTCCACTCCAGAGCCAAAACAAGAAAATCAATTATATTTCTAGTTCTTTAAAAACATATCTAACTAAATCATCTAATTAAAAGATAATATGCATGGTTCCATACTCTAAAAGAAAACTTATGTCCTGCATATCATGGACATTTGATGAATGCTTATTCAGTTGACTGGTGTAGACTTCAATAATAACCTGTTCAATGCATTATGCCAGATGAATCTTGCATCTCAAAAGTAGAACAAATATTGTTCTTTCAGTTTTGTCTACCCATAAATGCAATATTTACTAATAAAAAGAAAATGAGTTTATTGTTCTAGAGAGTATGAGAATTTTGACAACATGAATTCTCCTGTCCTAGGACATAATTAATACTTAGAGGCATACTATTTCATGTGGAAGCTACCATTAAATCAATGTTAAGTGTTAATTACCTCACATAATCTTCTAATCTGACTTGACTGAAGACGTACCTGACAAAGTTGATTTATCAAGTTGTAAATCTTCACCTATTGAATTCATAAGTTCATGTCTGAAAGGTGAGAATAAATACTTAATATTCACTAGGCAATATTCAGCAAAGTAATATCCACTAGTACACATTTAATATTTCATCATGAACTGCGGGTGTGAAGAGAAAAGACAGGCTGGGCACAGTGGCTCACACCTGTAATCCCAGCAGTTTGGGAGGCCGAGGCAGGCAGATCATGAGGTCAGGAGTTCGAGACCAGCCTGGCCAACATGGTAAAACCCCGTCTGTACTAAAAGTACAATAATTAGCTGGGCATGGTGGCAGGCACCTGTAATCCCAGCTACTCGGGAGGCTGAGGCAGGAGAATTGCCTGAACCCAGGAGGTGGAGGTTGCAGAAACCATTATCACGCCACTGCATTCCAGCCTGGGCAAGAGAGCAAGATTCTGTCTCCATCAATCAATCAATAAAAATATAAGGAGGAAGCATTTACTGTGTATTTATATGTCTGGTATTATGTGAAGCACTTTACTATCTTATCAAATCTTCGGGACAGATCTTCAGTTCTCATGACCACAAAAGAGGATACTAAAGCTCAGACAGGAGAAGAGACGTGGCCAGCCTGTGTCCCCAGGGCCTATGGTCTTACCACTAGGTTACAGTGTTTCCAGATACCACATGTTGTGAGATTTTTGCCTTAAAATGAACCAAAAAAAAACCAAAGGTGAAAAAGGCATAAGCTATTAAAAAGTGGGAGAAACACTAAGAGAACCTTAAGCATGTAACTAAAAATATTATGGAAATGTTATTGAATTCATTAGCAAATTTAGTGCTAGGTTTTCATTGAGGAGTAGGTTATATTACTCATGATGAAGAAAAATGTTCCTTTTAAGTATATTAACATAAATGCCATCAATATTGTTTATCATGTTTAAATGTTCACTTAAAGCAATTCAGTTAAAATTCTGCATATCATACAATTTTATAGTTTGCTAGTAGGTTACAAGTAAATAGTCACCCAAATAAAAACATCATGTTTTCCACTGGTTGTTGCTCTTTTTTAGGTGAGTATTTGATGTATACCAACAGAGAGAGGATAATAACAAATCGCTAATTTCTTTCATCACTATATAAAGGTGGCTTCAGGATAGAATAGTATCAGGGCAATGATGAATTTGAAATCTAACATCAATTCAGTGATGCATCAAGATAAAAGCAGAGACAACAGGGGCACCTTGCTGAGTACTGAACATTTTATTTATTTACTTATTTATTTTGAGATGGAGTTTTGCTCTTTTTGCCCAGGCTAGAGTGCAATGGTGCCAACCTCGCCTCACTGCAACCTCTGCCTCCTGGGTTCAAGCGATTCTCCTGCCTTGGCCTCCCGAATAGCTGGGATTACAGACATGCGCCACCACACCCGTCTAATTTTGTATTTTTAGTAGAGACGGGGTTTCTCCATGTTGGTCAGGCTGGTCTCGAACTCCCGACCTAGATATCTGCCTGCCTTGGCCTCCCAAAGTGCTGGGATTACAGGTGTGAGCCACCGCGCCCAGATGAATTCCAAATTTAACAAAGCAGACTAAGAGAAACAATTCATTTAAAAAAATAATATTTGGCCAGGCATGGTGGCTCACACCTATAATCCCAGCACTTTGGGAGGCTGAGGTGAGTGGATCAGGAGGTCAGCAGTTCAAGACCAGCCTAGCCAAGATCATGAAACCCCGTCTCTACTAAAAATACAAAAATCAGCCAGGCGTGGTGGCTGGTGCCTGTAATCCTAGCTGCTCGGGAGGCTGAGGCAGAGAACTGCTTGAACCCGGGAGGCGGAGGTTGCAGTGAGCCGAGATCGTGCCACTGCACTCCAGCCTGGGCGACAGAGTGAGGCTCCGTCTCAAAAAAAATAAATAAATAATTCAATGAAATTCCTAAGATCCAGGGCTTTGCAATAAATATGTAAATAAATTTCCAATCTCCATACTGAAAGTTTAAAAGAAATGCTAACTAATAACTAAAGAAATACAACTTTTCCTCAGCTTTGCAGCAATCTAGAAACAAAGTGTGTAGACACTACAAAGCACCTTACAAGGAGAAACATGTAAGGATGGCATGACTCGCCGGCAGCCCTGGGCTTGTCCACGGTACCCCCATGATGAACAGTAACTCCACTGTGTAAACGCCCATGAACATAAGATTACAAGACTTTTCCAGTTTAGACATACCATATTTTCTTTCAGACAATTCTTCAGTTTGTTTACGTAGATCAGCGATACGATGATTCCATTTCTCTGAAAACCAAGCAAAAGTTGCTTCTCAATAACACGTCCCTATGTCAGAGCAGCACTAACGTATAATGACTGATGTCATATATTTTACATTCTAACAGTCCATATCATTTTACTGCTTTCAAGAAAAAATTTCCCCTTCTTGGTGGTTCTTAGAATTGGTTTAATGGGAGACTATTAGAGAAGCTGAAAAGCAGGAGGGCAGAAAAGTTCAATCAAATTAAACACAATAACAGGGAGGTCACAATGAGGCGGTCTCCAGGGGTCTTTTAGCAAACTTCCTAAAACATGTCTCAGCTGTGTGAAATAAGACTTTACAGCAGCCGGGTGCAGTGGTGCAGGCCTGTAATCCCAGCACTTTGGCAGCAGAGGCAGGCGGATCACTTTGAGCTCAGGGCAACATAGCCAAAACCCCCCTCCCTAGCCCCACCCCCACCCCGTCCCTACCAAAAATACAAAACAGCAGGGCATGGTGGCGGGCGCCTGTAGTCCCAGCTACTCAGGAGGCTGAGGCAGGAGAATCACCTGAACCCAGGAGGCAGACATTGCAGTGAGCCAAGATCACGCCACTGCCAGCCTGGATGACAGAGCAAGACTCCACCTCAAAAAAAACAAAAACAAAAACACAAGGTTAAGAGGGACCCCCGACCTTACAGATACAAGTTTAAGAGGGACCCCTAAGCAAAAAATGCCAACCCTTTTTCTCCCAATCATTGAAACACCAGGAGGGTGTAACAGTTTTGCAGCCTAGCTGTAGCAGGCTGATGCCCCCAAGATGCCCATATCCTAATCCCGGGAACTGGTGAACATGACCTTATATGGCAAAAGGAGCTTTGCAGATATAATGAAGTTAAGGGTCTTTGGCTTTTGGGGTTGATGTACTCACTCGGATCCTTGTAAGAGCAGAGCAGGTGATGGAGAGGGTGGGAGGTGTAGTGACAGAAGCAGGAAACTCCAGTCATTCGAGACGGGCAGCACAGGCTGAGGAGTGCAGGCCACCTCTACGGCCAGGAAACAGATTCTCCCGCAGAGCCTCGGAAGCTACCGACCCTGCTCCCACCTTGACTCAGTAGGACTTACTGTAGAATTCTGGCCTTCAGACCTGTAAGGGAATACATTTTGGTTGTTTTAAGTCACTAAGTGTGTGGTAATTTGTTGCAGCAGCCACAGGAAACTAGTATTGTAGTGAAGCCTCAAAACCCCCTGAAGGGGCTGGGCTCAGTGGCTCATGCCTGTAATCCCAGCACTTTGGGAGGCCGAGATGGGTGGATCACTTGAGGTCAGGAGTTCGAGACCAGCCCAGCCAACATGGTGAAATGCCATCTATACAAAAAATACAAAAACTAGCCGGGCATGGTGGCACATGCCTGTAATCTCAGCTACTCAGGAGGCTGAGACAGGAGAATTGTTTGAACCCAGGGGGGCAGAGGTTGCAGTGAACTGAGATTCCACCACTGCACTCCAGCCTGGGTGACAGAGCGACGCTCCATCTCGAAAACAAAACAAAACAAAAAAACCCCACCTGAAGGTTTCCAGTTCTGCCAGCACTCTCCCACCCAACCCCCAGAAACAGACATTCCATTGCTGTGGGCCATGGACAGGCAGAAGGAAGCACCTCCTCATGGCAGAGGCCTACCCAGGAGAAACCCAAGGGAAGGCACTGCTGGGCTGGCCCTCTCTGCCAAGGCCATATTCTTTTTTTTTTTTTTTTTGAGGCCAGTTTCACTCTGTCTCCCAGACTGGAGTGCAGGGGCACAATCTCGGCTCACTTCGACCTCTGCCTCCCCAGTTCAAGTGATTCTCCTGCCTCAGTCTCCTGAGTAGCTGGGATGACAGGAGTGTAGCATGCCTAGCTAATTTTTGTATTTCTAGTAGAGATGCGGTTTTGCCATGTTGCCCAGGCTGGACTCGAACTCCTTGCCTCAAGCAGTCCACCTGTCTCAGCCCCGCAAAGTGCTGGTATTACAGGAGTGAGCCACTGCACCCAGCATTTGCCAAGACCTTTGATGGCAGGCTTTTTCCAGGTGATCAGTCCTTGTCTGGTCTGGCTCTGCCCCACTCTCCTTCTCACCTAGTTGGAATCCCTAGCTACTTTTCAGTAGAGGAGAGTGTGTACCCCAATCCCAGCTTGGTTCAGATCTGCATTTAAGTCATGGAACCTGGCTGCTCCCCAGGTCCTGAAGAAAAAAACGGTCTCTCTGTGGGTATGATAAAGGATGGGCCTGTCCCCAGGACCCTGTGAGAGGGAAGCCCAATGTCCCACCAGGTTGGCAGGGCTGGGGAAGGGAAAGTGTTATGGCAGCCCCAAGAAAAAAAAGAGGCAGCAGAGGGAGCAGGACAGCGCTCACATGGAACTCATGCCACTGCCTGAGGGGAGGGAGGAGTGCACGCCAGTGACGTCAGGGGGCAGAGAGGCGCAGTTCCAGGGCGGCTTTCCCCCTCACTTCCTGCCATGTTACTCTGATCGCCTCCAGGTGAGCCTGCCCACTTTGTGCCCAGGGGCCTGTAGAAAACCACAGCTCCCCATGGTTATGGCCCCAGGAGTGGGGCAGAGCAGGGAGGAGTCCTGGACAGAGGAGAGGAAGGGGCAGGAGGGAGTGGGCCTCAAACTCCAGGAGGGGGCCCTTCTCATGGGTCCTGCTTTCTGGCTTCTCCTTCCTTACCCCTGGGCTGATCACTTGGGGAAGAACTGAGACAAAGTTTCTCACCCTCAGGCCCAAAGGGTTTAATTACTGGGCCCTTAGGGAGGTGTGAGCCCCCTGAAAGGATGCAAGGTTTGGTTTTGTTTTGTTTTTTGAGACAGAGTTTCGCTCCTGTCGCCCAGGCTGGAGTGCAATGGCGTGATCTCACCACACTACAACCTGCGCCTCCCAGGTTCAAGTGATTCTCCTGCCTCAGCCTCTGGAGTAGCTGGGATTACAGGTGGCTGCCACCACGCCTGGCTAATTTTTTGTATTTTTAGTAGAGACAGGGTTTCGCCATGTTGGGCAGGCTGGTCTTGAACTCCTGACCTCAGGTGATCCGACTGGCTCCGCCTCCCAAAGTTCTGGGATCACATCAGCCACTGTGCTTGGCCACGATGAAAGGTTTTGTGTGGAGAGCATGTACATGCCTTTCTGGGAAAACAGTCCACAGCTCTTATTCTCAGCAGGCTTCACGGTGAAAAAAGGTTAGAACTCTTGCTACAGAGCTGTGGAAGCAGCCAGGTGAGGGGCCTGCCAAGGGCACTCTGGGCACTACCTGGGCACTCTCGAGCCCATCATCCCCTAGGCAGGCTGCACTGCTTGGTATTTGCAGAGCTGAGGGGGTGGGGCATGTGGGGACTGTGAAATCGCCCTGAGATGACCCACAGTCCTCAGCTGGGAAGTGAGCGCTGCATCTCCTGCAGCGTCCTCCATCCCTACAGCCATGGGGCCAGGAGAACCGGCCCTTGCAGCAAGTGAGAAGCCTATTATTGATTCCCTCCCTAGCCATGTAGACAGTGAACCAAGACACTCATATCAGGTAAATGCCTTGTTCTCTGTTACCAAGGTAACCAGTAGGCATTCCCAGATACAGCGAAGGTCCTCACACCAAGATATGCACCTGGCCACCTGAGGAAAGAGAAAGGACTATCTGAGGGGATGGGGCTGAGCTGGGTGTGGAGTGGTCCTTGTGGGTCTTGGAGAGTGGGAGGGGGAGCAGCATGAGCCAGGCCTCAAGGCAGAAGGACAACCAGGAGACAGCCTGGAAAAAGTGCTGGACCCACAAGGGCTCTAGGCTGGCCAGAGGGGAGGTGGGATAGGCTGTAAAGTCCTGAGGTCTGAAGATTGGCCCTGGCAGGAAGAAACCAGGTAAGGTGGGGTGTTACCTACACCCTCGGGGCCAGATGCAGGCCAGAGCCAGCCAATTACCAGGCCCTTAGGGAGGTGTGAGCCCCTTGAAATGATGCAAGGTTTTTTGTTTTTGTTTTGGAGACGGAGTTTCGCTCTTGTCACACAGGCTGGCACCTTTGCCCAGAGCAGGCACCAAGACTTCTTGCTCTGGGTGTGACCTCAGTCTGGGTAAAAGCCCCAGCCCCCACCAGCACCACCTACCCCCTAGACTACTTCAGGTGCTGAGCCCAAGCCAGGGGCAGGAAGCTAAACTGATGCCTAGGGTAATCCCAACAAAGTCCCTGGTTCCCCGCAGCTATGGGGCTGATGGGGAATTACAGCCCAAACCCCAGATGCTGGCTCTCAAACTAACACTGAGCCCTCAGTGCCCACAGGGAGATACAATCAGCACACTTTCCAGATGGGGAAATGGGATCAGAGAAGTGCAACAGCCTTGCCCAATGCCCCAGACCAGGGCTCCAGGCCCAGAGTGTTCTTTTGTCACTGTGTTCAGAGGGCAGCAGCTGCTGTGATGTACCCACCTGAGCCTGGCAGCTTTCTCCAACTTTGGAAGCCCAGGAGCATGGCCCCTGTCCACAGATGCACCTGGCACGAGGCGTGCCCAGAGGGACAGAGGCAGATGAGTTGCGTCTCCTCCACTGGATTGTGAGGGCCTAGAAGGAGACAAGGGTCTGCTTGAGAAGGCAGTGAACAGCGAGCAGCCTGAGGCAGTGCCCCTCTGGATGGATGTGCAGTGCCTGGATGGAACCTGGCTCAGACAGAGCTCAGTTCTGCAGGTCCCTGAGGCATGGAGAGTTCACAGCTACCAAGTGTAGGAGTCTGGATTCAAAGCCAACGGCGTCACTCCAAAGTCCCTGCCCTAGCCCCTGGACCACCCTTGCAGGCCCATCAGATGCTCAGGCCAGCAGCACAGCCGGCCAAGACCAGGGAAACTTGGGGAGCCTCAGAGCACCCCCAGGTATTCCAACCTAACCCTGGTGCCCCGCCTCTCACCGCCCTTCTTCCTGCTTAACCTCAACCCCTACACAAAGCCTGGGCCACTTCATGTGGCATCAAACAGACGCCTCAATAAATCAGTCTAATCTCGAAAAAAAAAAGACTTAACAGATATACAATTGCACGTTAAAATGCTAAAGACCATAAACATATAACAACTTAAAGTACATATAAATTCAATATATATCCAATCATTGTAACTATGACACGGTAGAATATTAAAATACTATTTTCAAAATGTATACAAGCTTAATGTTCTATGTATTCAAACTATTTATTCAAAATACAAATCATCAACATAAATTGCCACTAATATTCAGTCCCTTCACAGGACATGATTCACTGGGAGTTAATAAATTAGCAGCTGGCAGGCAGTGACACACCGCAAAAATGAAAACCAAGAGGTGAAATAGTTCTGAAATAAAGGTTTTAAAGCTAACAGAAATCACTGAATTACTAAGTCATTAGCACTAATTTTGAGCCAACTAACTAATTAATATGAGATGATACAATGTCCTATACTTTGGTAAATACAGACTATGTTTAAACAATGTCTGTAACGTGACTTGTAAAATGCTCCTGGCTTTACAAAGATGTGATTAAGATGTAGTAACACATGCTAAACCATTTCCCCCTGCAGAGCATGTGGTAACTTTCATCAGTCACATTGAGAGTCCAGAAGATAAAGGAAAAGGTCATGGATTTTGCTGAGAACTTACCAGAGTTGAACTCCCTCATTTTCCGTTCCCCAGCATTGGCGGGTTCTGGGACTGGTGGCTGTGGCGGCTCGTTGGTCTTTGTCTCTTAGAAGGTGGGGAATAATCATCATCTTGAAAAAGAAAAAATGGTCATTACTGAAGGAACCATCTTAGGTTACAGCCACCTCTGGGTCAATTCCCAACATTCAAAAGCTGAGCAGGGCTTTAAAGCTATCTTATTAATAATTATTTCTGTATTGCGAACTTCAGCATACTTTTTTCTAGTTACATTTGAAATGTTATTCTTTTGGGATGTGCTCAAGTGAGTACTGCTTTTTCCTCTGCCTTGCTTCATTACTTTTTAGTTTCCTTCATTTGAATCATCATTGTAAGTCTCCCCTTCTCCTCAAATAACTTTCAAATTGCTGCCAAGAACTATGTTCTATCTTAAGGCTTTTGAGAAAAAACTTTCAATGAAGATAGCCGCCTAAAGTTATACAAATATAGAAGAAACGGGATAAAATAAAGCTTAGATTGGAAAAAATATTTAAGATTCTACAAAATTCACGCGTAAACAAGGGAAGCTGAGTAATTGTATGTTCAAATACTTTTAACAAGTGCAAAACATGTAGGCTTAAAGAAATAGAGCTGGCCAGGCATGGTGGTTCACGCCTGTAATTCCAACAGTTTGGGAGGCCGAGGCAGGCAGATAACTTGAGGTCAGGAATTCGAGACCAGCCTGGCCAACAGAGTGAAACCCTCTCTCTACTAAAAATACAAAAATTAGGCCAGGAGTGATGGCTCATGCCTGTGATCCCAGCACTTTGAAAGGCCGAGGCGGGTAGATCACCTGAGGTCAGGAGTTTGAGACCAGCCTAACCAACATAGGGAAACCCCGTCTCTACTAAAACTACAACATTAGCCGGGTGTGGTGGCACATGCCTGTAATCCCAGCTACTCAGAAGGCTGAGGCAGGAGAATCCCTTGAACCCAAAAGGCAAAGATTGTGGTGAGCCGAGATTGTGCCATTGCACTCCAGCCTGGGCAAAAACAGCGAAACTCCGTCTCAAAAAAAAAAAAAAAAGAAAAAATTAGCCAGGAGTGGTGGCGCATGCCTGTAATCCCAGCTACTTGGGAGGCTGAGGCAGGAGAATCGCTTGAACCCAGGAGGCTGAAGTTGCGGTGAGCTGAGACCGCACCATTGCACGCCAGCCTGGGTAGCAGAGCAAGACCCTGTCTCAAAAAAAAAAAAAAAAAAAAAAAGAGAGAGAGAAAGAAAGAGGGCTACATTATTTATGAAACAGATACTGTTAACTCAGTCACCAGAAAGCCTGTGTATAAATGAGCAGTGAGATATTCAAGCACAGCACACACACACTTCTCAGGACAGCTGTCGTGAGAGTTCCATGCTCATTTCCTTCTGGGTACATCAGCAACTCACTCTGCTATGATCCTGCAATACATCTCATGTTAGAATTAGAGACATCTGGGCCAGGCACAGTGGCTGACGCCTGTAATCCTAACACTTTGGGAAGCCGAGGCAGGCAGATCACCTAAGTTCAGGAGTTCGAGACCAGCCTAGCCAACATGGTGAAATGCTGTCTCTACCAAAAATACAAAAAATTAGCTGGGTATGGTGGCGCACGCCTGTAATCCCAGCTACTCGGGAGCCTGAGGCAGGAGAATCGCTTGAACCCGGGAGGTGGAGGTTGCAGTGAGCCGAGATCGTGCCACTGCACTCCAGCATGGGGGACGGAGAAAGGCTCTGTCAAAAAAAAAAAAAAAAAAACAGAAAAAGAAAAAGAAAAAGAAAAAAGAATTAGAGACATCTGGATCAAATCAGCTGCCAGTCTCGCAAAGTGTCGGGTAATATCCTATTAAGATTGCTGCTTACACATCATCTATAAAATACTGAAAATATCATTTTAAGAAATCTTTTTTTTATTTTGAGACAGAGTTTTGCTCGTTGCCCAGGCTGGAGTGCAATGGTGCGATCTCAGCTCACTGCAATCTCTGCCCCCTGGGTTCAAGCAATTCTCCTTCCTCAGCCTCCTGAGTAGCTGGGATTACAGGCATGCACCACCACGCCTGGCTAATTTTGTATTTTCAGTTGAGACAGGGTTTCTCCATATTGGTCAGGCTGGTCTCGAACTCCTGACCTCAGGTGATCCACTGACCTTGGCCTCCCAAAGTGCTGGGATTACAGGTGTGAGCCACCATGCCTAGCCAAGAAACCCTTATTTTAAAACAAGCCAGGCGCGGTGGCTCATGCCTATAATCCCAGCACTTTGGGAAGCCAAGGCGGGTGGATCACTTGATGTCAGTAGTTTGAGACCAGCCTGGGCAACATGTTGTAACCCCATCTCTACTAAAAATATATTTTAAAAATTAGCTGGGCATGGTGGTGGGCACCTGTAATCCCAGCTTCTCAGGAGGCTGAGGCAGGAGAACCACTTGAACCTGGGAGGTGGAGGTTGCAGTGAACGGAGATCACGCCACTGCACTCTAGCCTGGGTGACAATAGAAAGACTCCATCTCAAAAACAAAACAAAACAAAACAAAACAAAAAACCACTAAAAAAAAGACTCCATTTCAAAAACAAAACTAAAACCAAAAACACAACACAAATGTAGTACACAAATGAAAATAATTACTGTGTTAAACACAGCTTCATAGAAAATAAAAGACCAATCAAATACAATAAGCTGCCTTTTTAGATGGGTATGTTATTCTTCTTTCACAGCTAAAGAAACAGGCTCAGAGAATGTTATTTGATTGGACCGTGTTGCATTTCTGGACAGTGCAGCTGAGATCAGACTTTGTGTGTAACTCCACTAGCCTACCAGGGTGCCTCTCATGAAGGTAAGAAATGTAAATCTGGCCTAATATACAAAGTTGCCAGGGCAGCACTGGGTCAATTCTACATACAGTACTTCTATGTTCATCAAGGGAAATCTTAAGGGAAAGTGAAAATGCTTCTAGAAGGCGACTGGACACCAGCGCCTTTGCTTGTTGCCTTTGGGCTCTTCTTCTAAGGCCAACAGTGACCTGAAATTATTGACTGGCTTTTCCAATCAAGTGGACAAAATGGTACCAAGGTCGCCAACATCGATGTAGAACATCGATGTTCTACAACATTGCTTAACGCAAGGGGAGACGCTCCTGACTCAGAGTGTTTAATTGCTCACCTACTTCTTTTTCTGCCCTCTTGGGCTTCTGAAATGAAAAGAACCCTGGGGTGATACAGTGAGTCAAAGGGGTGCCAGCCGCATCACAGCAAAACAGATTCCTAAAAAATCCCTGGCCTAAGATGACAGCCTTGGCTGGATCAGTTTGAATGTGCTGATAGTGGACATGGTAGAATGAAGGTGGTTGAAATGTTCATATTAAAGAACTTCCACCCAGATTGCAAGAAAAGAGAGAGGAATGGAGATGGCAGCACGAGCCCCTACAATAAAAGCAGATGTTTTGAGATCAGTTATATTTCTTCTGACAAAAATTAAAGATAGAAACCAAAGTTTAGCCTGAGACTACAATTAATTGGGCAATAAGCCAGAGGCACATATGGCATAGACAGATTTAAACATTTCTCCCTGATATTAATACAAACACTAAAATTACAAATGCATGGATTCCAAATAAAACAAATATTTAAAAAATTTAATGAATAAACACTGGGGTCTACAGTAGTATTTGAAGGAGATCTCACAAACAGGTTTGGTTTTTGAAGGTTAGAACTGGTGGTCTAGAGAATTCATTTCATTCCAGAGAAAGAAAGAGAGGAATTTCTTGGGTTCCTTCAGGAATGCATCTAGCTTTGCCTCATCTTTGTTTGAACTATGGATACGGCAGAAGAAAACATGAGGATTTCACAGATTTAAGGTACAAAAAGTCACTGGGTTCTCTAAGAAGTCTGGGATTCTTCTGCTGGAAAAATAAGTTTGTTGAGAAAAAATGAGTTGGAGGAAGCTGTTATTGAAGTCAAGCAGAATTGTTTTTACTAATCTGCTTATTACCCACTCTGTAGTGTGGAAACAAATTATTCATGCACAAGGTCCTCTTACTGTTCCTAGAATGCAGTGGAAAGAGAACAGATTAGTTTTCCTCCCTCAGAACACAATCCCTAGAAACAACCTACCTCAGATGAGATATTGCCTAATTATTTTCAAAAGACAGTGAAACATCATGGATGTAAATGTTTGCTGCAAAATAAATACATGCTAGAAACAGAAGCATCTGGGTCACAGCTATATTAGAGCTACCTGTGTTCCCCTGTCACTGACATTAAAACAAAAATGTCCAATACAATCATTCACAGCGTGGGAGAGGGGAAGTTGAAGGATGGAAAGGCCAGGCATAAAAGGATTTCAGAATTTCCGTCCATAAGGAAGTAGCTTTGTGCACTGTCTGTTACTGTGTGCAAGGTGAAATTTGAAGAATGAAAACGTGCAGTAACAAGGGCTCCTTTGTCCAACTCACCTCTCCAGATACCAAGTTTCAGACATGTTGCATTTTAATTGAAAGGTTGATATAATTTTTTTTAAAGAACACTTGCGGTGTTTGAAGTGACAAAGGCTGCTGTGACAAAAAAGCAGGGAAAGGGAATTTTTTTTTAAAAGCAAACAACAACAACAAAAACCCCACAGAAAAGCAAACAACAAACAAACAAAAAACAGAGGAAGAAGTCGAACACCCTGGGCTGTGACTACTTCCAGGAAGGGGCTACAAGAGGCAGTTGGAAATTCTATTTGTTTTGCAACTGTGGGTTTTCCGGCCCGCTTCCTTTCTAAAGTATATTACTCTGCTTTTGGTTCATGAAGTTATCCATTTCTGTTTTCTGGAACAGCTATGTATTTTCTTTATCTATCATCTATCTATCTATTTACCATCTATCTTTTCTACCTTTCGCTATCAAGAGCTTGGGTCAAGCAGGATAGAATTCCAGTGTATGTTCACTCTACCATTTAAAACAAGAGCTCTTGTAGGCATTCTCCATCACATCATAAACCTGAGCTTTCTAAAACAGGGTGTGGCAAACTACCATGCATGGACCATGTCTGACACAGTCTGCGTTTGTAAGTAAAGTTGTAATGGGACACAGCCAATACATGTGTTACATAATGTCTCTGGCTATTTTCATGGTATAATGGAAGAGCTGAGTCATTGAGAGAGAGACCATATGGCTTGGAAAACTTAAAATATTTAACATTTAGCCCCTTGCAGAAAATACTTGCTGACTCTTGTTTAAAAGATCTCTGTTTAGAATGCTACCTATTGAGTTCTGGATAGAATCACAACTCTTTACCACAATCAACACCGCTTCAGCCCTGCTTCTATATCCAGCCTCATCTATTTCTGCTCCTCCTCATTTTCCTTCTGGCCATGCTGATGGATTGTCAGCTTCCCAGATGTGTGAGAATCTCTCCTCCCTTCCTAACATTCTCATGCTCTCCCTCTGCCTCTCAAGAACTTCCTGCCCCATCTCTCATGACAAATCCTTTCTACATTCTTTAAGATGCAGCCCTTTTGCTCCTTCCTTAAGGATGTCTTGTCTGGCTCTATTTTGGGTGACGTGCTCCTTCTGCATCTCCCAGAGCCAGCCTGTGTGTGTCAGCTACAACATTTCTTTGCATCTCTGTGTCATATATCACCAAATCTGCCTAAGCTTGCATGAGTCACTGCATGACAACTTCAGACTCCACCAGCATTGTCCCCACTAACCACAAGGCTTAGACATTCGTCCAGTATGCTCGGGGTTGTGGGGTGGTAGCAGTAACTGGCTGGTGACCATCATTTCTTACATCAGAATCAAATCTGTAGATCTCTGCCATTCATAAGTATTTGGAGTTTAAAATTAGCATAAAGATTTTCCTTAAAATAAGAAGAAAGGCCTTGAGTAGGCTTTTGGAACATAGGATGTTTCCACTGGTTCATTTCTGTGTTCAATATTCCCACATGAATCTGAACACGACTCTGCTCTTAGTAGCTATGTGACCCTGGGAAAGTCACTCAATCTCCCTCAGCTAAATTTTGTTGTGTGAGTAATGAGGAGAGAGTTGTGATTTGTATTTAGTGAATAATAACAAACAAAAGGCATTTAGCTTTCTGGAACCTGGTATGTAGTAGAACCTCATGAAATACTAGCTCTGTTGATAAAACTAGACTGAAAGAAGCTTTCAAAGTCAACAACAGTTTGAGGCAGTGAAGGACGTAGAGGAGAAGCTGCTGCTGCAGTCTGTAGCTCCTGGAAGCCCGTTTTGTCCATGATTTAGCAGGAATGCATTACCCTTCCATGAGGAGGCACAGCCCACAGAAACCAAGGCCATTCTTTGAAGAAAAACATGTCTTAATAGGGTTTACATTATGTAACAGTGTAATACAAATAATAATTTATTATTAGTAATAATATAAAATTATTTACAGTACCGTAACCCTAACTCTAACCCCTAATCCTAACCCTAACCCCTAACCCTAATCCTAACCCAAACCCTAACCCTAACCCAACCCTAACCCTAACCCAACCCTAACCCAAACCTGACCCTAGCCCCTAAACCTAACCCTAACCCCTAACTCCTAACCCTAACCCCTAACCCTAACCCTAACCTTAACCCCTAACCCCTATCCCTAACCCTAACCCCTAACCCCATAACCCCAACCCTAAACCCAACCCCAACCCCAACCCCTGACCCTGACCCTGACCCTGACCCCGACCCCTAACCCTAAACCCTAACCCCTAACCCTAACCCTACCCCTAGCCCGAACCCGAACCCTAACCCTAACCCCTAACCCTAACCCCTAACCCTAACCCTACTCCAACCCCAACCCCAACCCTAACCCCTAACCCCTAATCCCCTAACCCTAACCCCTAACCCCTAACCCTCACCCTAACCCTAAACCACATGAGCAATGTGGGTGTTATATTTTGGGTGTCATGTGTGCCTTAGGAATGCTGCATTTGTATTCCAACGCTGCAACTGGACCCTGCAATGCAGCCCCTCGCCTTGCCTTGGGAGAATCTCGGTGCGCAGGATTCAGAGGGGCTTTTGGTTTCCCGTTTTCCACACTGAACCGTTCTAACTGGTCTCTGCCCTTGATTATTCACGGCTGCAACCGGGAAAGATTTAATTCACCGTCGATGCGGCCCCGAGTTGTCCCAAAGCCAGGCAGTGCCCCCAACGTCTGTGCTTAGGAGAATGCTGCTCCACCTTTACGGTGTCCCCCAGGTCTGTGCTAAGCAGAACGCAGCTCCGCCCTCGCGGTGCCCTCAGCCCGCCCGCCCGGGTCTGACCTGAGGAGAACTCTGCTCCGCCTTCGCAGTACCACTGAAATCTGTGCAGATGAGAACGCAGCTCCGCCCTCGCGATGCTCTCCGCGTCTGTGCTGAGGAGAACCCAACTCCGCTCTCGCAAAGGCACGGCGCGCCGGCGCCGGCGCAGGCAGGCGCGGCGCGCCCGCGCAGGCGCTGTTCGGGAGACGCGGCGCAGGGCATAGACGCACGCCTCCGCGTCCCCGGAGGGGAGGGGTCTCTGGGCGGGCGGGAGTGAGGCGCGGCGCAGGTGCAGGCGCAGAGACGCACGTCGCTGGGCTCAGGGTGGCGGGGCGTGTTGCAGGTGTACAGTCGCACGCCGCTGGGCGGGGAGCGCGGGAATGGCGAGGTGCAGGCGCAGACACACGTCCCCGGCGGCGCGGCGCACAGACGGGTGGAACCTGAGTAATCTGAAAAGCCCGGTTCGGGTGCCCCCTGCTTGTACCCGGGCACTACAGGACCCGCTTGCCCACGGTGCTGTGCCATTGCGCCCCCTGCTGGCGACTAGGGCAACTGCAGGGCCCTCTTCCTTACAGTGGTGTCCAGCGCCCCCTGCCGGTGCCGGGGCACGGCAGGGCTCTCTTGCTCGCAGTATACTGGCGGCACGCCGCCTGCTGGCAGCTAGGGACATTGCAGGGCCCTCTTGCTCACATTGTAGTGGCAGCACACCCGCCTGCTGGCAGCTGGGGACACTGCTGGGCCCTCTTGCTTGCAGTGTAGTCGGGGCATGCCCTCTTCTGTCCGCTGGGGGCACTACAGGATCCTCTTGCTCACAGTGTAGTGGCAGCACGCCCCCTGCTGGCAACCAGGGCACTTCACGGTCCTCTTGCTCATGGTGTGGTGCCCCTACGCCACCTCCTGGCAGCTAAGGACACTGCAGGGCCCTCTTGCTCACAGTGTAGTCGTCGTTCGCCCCCTGCTGGCAGCTAGGGACACTGCCGGGCCCTCTTGCTGACACTGTCGTGGCTGCACGCCACCTGCAGGCAGATGGGGACTAGGCAGGGCCCTCTTGCTCCCGGTGTGACGGCTGGCGTCCCCTACTGGCCGCCTCCTGCACCACTTAAAGTCAGAGCGCCAGTTATTAATCCCCATCAGTTCTGTAAATTAAAACTGAAAAGGAGCTATTACTGGGGAGAGCTGATGTCCCAGTTATTAACTTGGAAGAAAGATTTTCACCAAGAGGCAGTACAAAGATGGAAGATAACTTCATTGAAAAGAAATACAGTGTAAAGAGCTTATTGTAGGAAAATAGGGAGGAGTGGGTTCATAGTGCATGAAAACAGCCTAAGAGTCCTGTGCAGGGAATTTTATTTTGGACTTCTTCACATTCCTGCCTCTGTCTCAAGTCTATGCTTGTTTTCCTTGGTTTTCCTGCTACTGCCTTAGGTCCCTGACTTGCCCCACTTAGGCTTGTGGGACCTCCTGTTGATTGAGGTACACGTGGGGTGATGAATCTGAATCCACTCTGGCACCAACCTCCTTCCTGCCATCCCAGGCAGGCTGACAGCAGTCACGTTTGTATCTACTGCACCTGCCTCTTTTGAATGTCTTTCTCTGCCCTAATCTGTACTTATGGTGCCAGGTTTCTCTTAGGAATGTCCCCTTTGTCCTTCTTATCAGCATGTAGCTAGCAATATTCTGACATTTTTATTGCAGAGTGAATGATGATTGGGGCATCTTAAGAGAAGTTCTAGGGTGTTTCTGCGTAGGTACCTCTTCTCCCTCCTAACCACAATTGACAAGTGCCCATCCTCTCCAGCACTGGAGATGCTACTAATATGTGCATTTTTGGTGGTCCCTCCAGGTGAGCCTTCACAGACTTTCCCTTTTCCAGGAGCTCCCCCTCCTGTTCATGTCTAGCTAGCTATCTACTCTAACAGAGCCCACTATCCTGTGTCTTTCCCAAAAATAGTGAGGGAATTATTAATTGGAAACCATAAGAAATCATATGCATGTAGATGAAAACTTTACAACTTACACAAATAATCACTCAAAATCATCCTTACACTAAAAAAGCAAAACTATACAATTTCTAGAAGAAACTATAGAAGAAAAGCTATGTGCCTTTGCGTTTGGTAATGAATTTTAACAAATGACACAGAAGGTTGATATACACAGAAGAAATGACAATGTGGATTTCTTAATATTTACAGTTTATACTCTGGAAGAGACCTTGTTAAGAGAACCAAAAGACAAGCCACATATTGAAGAAAATATTTGCAAAATACAGATCTGAGAATTTGTATTCAAAATACATAAAAAATTGTTAAAACTAAACAATAAGTTAAACAGCCCAATTAAAAATGCACACAGATCTGAACAGACGCCTCACCAAAGAAGATCTACAGATGGCAAGTACACTTACAAAAAGATGCTCAACATACTAGAGAACTAAAAACCACAAAAAGATAGCACAGCTGGTCTATATCTCTTAGAACTGCTAAACTCTTTAACAAATGACAAATTGCTGGAGGAAAAACAAGAACTCTTTTCATTGCCGGTGGAACACAGTGTATAAGACCAAAATATGCCACCCCAAAATATAATGGTAGGAAACCAGAATATGCAACCCCAAAATATGTCCCTTTGGCTTAAGAATTATTCCAAGCTAATTATTTTGAAAAAAAAAAACGCTAACAAAGGAAGTTGTGAAAACAGAGTAGAAGTTACACTTGTGTAAGGAAAATTTACATCTATAAAGGAAATCACCATTTAAAAGCTACCTCTCTCGACACCAAGAAGAGAAGGATAACTAAATCACTAAAGAGTCTTATCAATGGAGAATGCATGGACTTAAGTCTGTATAACGAACCTTACCCTTGTCTAATGTGCTTTTGCTGGTTAACTCCCCAATACTGCACCTCAAATCTTCTTTCTTTAAGTTGAAGACAGTACTTATGCTTGAATTGAAAGCCACCTGTTGGAGATTTACTCATTTTTCCCTGAGTATCTCCCATGTAACCATAAGGTATACGTGTTTTTCTACTTTTCTGTTTTTCTCATTTTAATCTGTCAGTTTTTACAGAGCATCCCATCTAAGAATTCTGAAAACAGAAAATTATTTTTCCTCCCCTATTACAAGTTGGGCATTTTTTTCCAAAGCTAAACAAGTCTCACCTTACAATCCAAAAATAACATTCCTAAGTATTTTGACAACTACTTTGATGTTATTTCCAATCAAAAGCTACCATGCAATTATTTACATAAGCCCTATTCATAATGACCAAAGGAAAAAAACGGAATCAGAAAGTCTTACAATAGATGACTGTGTGGGAATCCACTCAGACATCAAAAGTTGTTATAAAGATTATTTAAATGAAAACATTTGAGATACTGAAGATAAAAGAAGAAATCTTACCACAACTTACTTTGTCCAATTAAAGCAGAGCTCCCAGAAAAATACAGCTGCCATTAACCCCATCCAAGGAGTTTCTTGCAAATTCAGCTGCCATGAAGACAGCGTACTCTTTCGCATTAGCATTGATAAACAAAAATTAAATTATAAGCTCCCAACTGACTGAACAGAACCACTCTTGGCTGAGGGGACCACAGAGTAACTTTCAAAACTGAGTTCTCAGCTTTGCTAGGATGGGATGATGGGGTTAACATACACATCGTTAAACCCACTCCTTTGCTAACCATGATGAGGCTTTCTTCCCTAAGGATTTAACAGAAACCAGCCCTTTCAAAGCCTCCACTACTGATATCAACCTCTCCTTTCTTGCCTGATAAGAGACCACCCACAACAGAGAGGTTCTGGCCAGCGTACAGAGGATGCACAGAGCGAGTTTTCATGTCCTCTGCTTCACCTTTTAATGTCAGAGGGCTGAAAACTCCACCCTGGGATCATGCTAACACTGCCATTTTTTGTACATGGGACCCATGAAGAAGCCAGAAACTCAATTGTGCATGCATGCATTTCTCCTTCCATAAATATTCATGACTCCTCCTGGAGCTTATTAAATAAATGTATTTGGCCATTCCAGTCAGCATAAATTGCTATTTCCTTTACCTCCTCCTTGAAGAGTCTGTTTCTGGCTTCTGGCTGGAGGCTATGCTTCCCAGCCTGTCAGAAGGACAACCCTGCAGGCTACAACCCTTTATAGGAAATAAATCTCTCACTGGTTGGGTGGCTCATGCCTGCAATCCCAGCACTTTGGGAGGCTAAGGCGAGTGGATCACCTGAGGTCACGAGTTTCAGACCAGCCTGGCCAACATGATGAAACCCTGTCTCTACTAAAACTGCAAAAAATTAGCCAGGTGTGGTGGTGGGCATCTGTAATCCCAGCTAATCAGGAGGCTGAGGCAGGAGAATCGCTTGAACCCAGGAGGCGGAGGTTGCAGTGAGCCAAGATCACGCCATTGCACTCCAGCCTGGGCAACAAGAGTGAAACTCTGTCTCAAAAAAAATAAAAATAAACATAAAAATGAAGAAATGTCTCCTTTCCAAATTTATGAACCTCATCATTCTTCCGTTGACAGCATTAAAAGGTTCAAAAAGACCTTTCCATACTCTCCCACAGAAGCCCTAGAAATTGTCATTTTGTTCATCATTCTGGATGCCTGAGAACTTGTAATCCAATGAGTAGAAAGTTTGGTACCCCATTTATGGCTGTCAACCTGCCAGTTCTCAGGAGTTTGTAAAAGCCTAAATCCGAAAGGATCTCATCCCATTAGGACCCTTGTCTCCTTTTCTGTTGCCTTTGCCCACTGGCTCTGGCAACAGGGGTCTTTCTTTCTCCTTGGCTATCTTTGGATATGGGGGCTCCGTCTTCTGTGCCACCTTAGGGAATGCCTTTTGCATGCATGGCTAAGTCATTAAAAAGCCTACAGTTTCAGTAACATTTTGAGTGAGTACTCTCTGAAGCTGCGTTGGAATCTCAGGCTTCTTTGTCTGGAAGATAACTCTTGGGCTACAAGTTTCTTATCCTAGCTTTGGTTTTGAGGCCTCTCTGTTCTCCTCTTGGGTTGGAAGTTATTCCTGGCTTTTTGTTTCAAGGTGTCTCTGTGATCTTGAACTTGCTCCTTTCATGAGAACTTCTCAGTTGACTAAATTCTCCCTTCTCAAACCTCTGCTATGTGTTCCACCAATATGGAACTAATTCTACTTCCTTTCCTGTTTACATGATTTTACTAAGAATTATTTAGAAATTTAATTGCTCCTTTGAGAAAATTTTTATCTTCCAAATTGCCTCCTTTTAGACTTTTCCTTTCCCAGTTGAGTCTCTCAACTCCCTGTAATCACTGAAACTTTAGGCACCCCACTCCATGCCTTGGAGGCTCTCAATGTGCTCAAGAATCTGCAAAAGCAAACACCTGGGGCTGAAAAATAAAATAGAAAAAAAAAATATTTCTCATCCTCCATAAGATTGTATGTGAAAACAAAAGAAAACCTTAAAAATCTCCAAAAATATTGGTGAGAAAAAAGCCTTAGCCCTCATATGAAGAAGAAAAAACTTGTTCCATTTTCCAGTTACACAGTTATAATACAAATATAAAATGAGGCAAAGACAAAAACCAAGTCTTCTATATAAACTAGTGAATTTTGTAGTATTGCAATCACATTAGTCAGGGTTCTCCAGAAGGCAGAATCAATAGGATATATGTAGATAGATGAGAGAAGATTCATTAGGGGAATTGGTTCACATAATTATGGAGGCTGAGAAGTTCCACAATAGCCTGTCTCCAAGTTGGAGAACCAGGAAAGCTGGTAGCGTGGCTCACTCCAGATACAAAGGACTCAGAATCAGGGAAGCCAATAGTGTAACTCTGATTCTGAGGCCAAAGGTCTGAGACCCTGAAGTTCTGATGTCAAGGGCAGGAGAAGAAGGATGTTTCCATTTCAGAAGGAGATAATTCACCTTTCCTCTTCCTTGTTGTTTTATCTGGGCTCTCAACCAATTGGATGGTGCCTGTATTCATCCATTTTTATACAGCTATGAAGAAATACCTGAGTCTGAGCAATTTATAAAGAACAAAGAGGTTGAATGGGCTGACAGTTCCACATGGCTGCAGGGCCCTCACAATCATGGCAGAAGGGGAAGCAAAGCTGTCCTTCTTCACAAGGCAGCAACAAGGAGAAGTGCTGAGCCAAAGGGGAAAAGCCCCTTATAAAACCATGAGATCGTGAGAACTCACTCACTGTCATGGGAACAGCATGGCAGTAACCACCACCATGATTCAGTCACCTCCCACTGGGTCCCTCCCACGACATGTAGGGATTATAGGAACTACAATTCAAGATGAGATCTGGGTGGGGACACAGCCAAACCCTATCAGTGCCCATCCACACTGGATCATGCTTATCTCAGTGTCTTCCAGAAACACCCTCACAGATATGCCCAGCAATTGTGTTTGACCAGCTGTGTGTGTCTCTCAATCCAGCCAAGTAGATGTCTACAATTAACCATCAGAATATTTATGCTAGATTCATGGCTGAAATTGTGTTTGACCAGCTATGTGTGTCTCTTAATCCAGTCAAGTAGATGTCTAAAATTAACCATCAGAATATTTATGCCTGATTCATGGCTGAAATCGTGTTTGACCAGCTGTGTGTGTCCTTAATCCGATCAAGTAGATGTCTAAAATTAACCATCAGAATATTTATGCCTGATTCATGGCTGAAATCGTGTTTGACCAGCTGTGTGTGTCTCTCAATCCAGTCAAGTAGATGTCTAAAATTAACCATCAGAATATTTATGCCTGATTCATGGCTGAAATCGTGTTTGACCAGCTATGTGTGTCTCTTAATCCGATCAAGTGGATGTCTAAAATTAACCATCAGAATATTTATGCCTGATTCATGGCTGAAATTTCAGGATGAAAGCTATGAAATCTCTATTTCTGTTTGTACATCTATTAATGTATGTTATGTATATGTGATATTTTCTTAACTCCGGAGAGCATTGCAAAATTCATTTATAAAATCCTCTAAAAGTGCTCTATTCTAACTTGGCTTGGAAAAAAATAAGCATTTATAAATAAATATTCACCAAACTCCTAGAAATATAGGAACTGATCAAATGTTTTTTAAGTTAACACGATTTGGATAAAACTTAGTTAAATAAGATTAATATAATATTTTTGGGGTAGCCATTGTGGGTTATCAGATTCTAGTCTTGTTTCTTGTTTCTGGGCTATTTTTACCTCTTTGTAAACTGGATCCTGCCATCTGATGAATTTTGTCCCACAATGATACTTGGGCAACAAGAAGCCAAGTATTTTCTCTCCTAGTAATGTATCTATTGTCATTTAATTTGAAGGTCTTCAACCCTGGAACAAAGTTAGAAGAGGAAGGTTTTGATCCCCAAAATGCATAACCAAATTGTGGTACATTCATGCAATGGAATGCTATTTAGCCATAGAAAGGAACAAGATATCAACACACACAAAGACATGAGTGAATCTTGCATGCACATTGCTAGGTGGCAGAAGACAGTCTGAGGAGGATACACACAGTGTGACCTCATTTAATGAGACACTGGAGAAGGCAAACTACACAGATGGGAAGCCATTGGCTCCATAGGGTGGAGGTTTGAGGCATTCCATATGATACTTTAATAGTGGGATACCTGCCACAATGCATTTGTCGAAATACGCAGAATTTTACGGCCAAATGGTTAAAGCAAACTCTATTCAAATTACATAAAATTACTCAGGATGTGGAGTATCCCACGACAGAATACATCATGTGAAAAAGAATTTATGCTACAAATTACTATGGTTTGGATGTGGTTTGTCCCCGCAAAAACTCATGTTGAAATTTGACCCCCACTGTGGCAGTGTGGGGCGGTGGGGCCTAGTGGATGGTGTTTGGGTCGTGGGGACGGATCCCTCATGAATAGATTAATGTCCTCCATGGGGTAAGTGAATTCCATTCTCACAGGAATAGATAATTCCTGCAGGAGTAGGTAATTAAAAAGAGTCTGGCTTCCTTGGCTTCCCTCTTGCTTTCACTTTTGCTATGTGATCTCTGGTGCACCCCTTGCTCCCCTTCCACTTTCCACCATGAGGTGAAAAAGACTGAGGCCCCATCAGATGCAACTGCCCAATCTGAGACATTCCAGCCACCAGTATTGTGAGCCAAATGAACCTTTTTTACTTAAACATCAGAATATTTATGCCTACGCATAATATTCAGAATACGCAGCCTCAGGTATTCTGTTACAGAAGCACAAAATGGACTAAGACACAAATGTAGGTAAAAACTCACTGAAGGTGTAGAGAAAATGGTGTTGACCTAAGTCACTTTGAAAATGAATAGAATCTGTAGGCTGAAGGCAAGTGAACTATACTTCATCATTGGATTCCATTTTATAAAGTTCTTTCCAACAGAAGCAATTGTGAACAATTGTAAAACCACAGTGTCTGTATCTGGAATAAAACAATGACTTACATAAGTCGCAGATGGTGGGAACCAGCTTTCTCACTGTTGAAGTGGGAGGTTACAAATTAGCAAGGTGAGAAGACTAGAATGATTCATGTAATAGTAGATCAGAGGTGGAGACATCAATGTAAACTTATGTTTAGTTTAATATAGATGCACAGTTCTACATAGAAAACTTTGTAATTAGGTGTGTAAAGGTAGGTTAGACACACACATATACTTCCTAGCATTGCCAATAAGGGAGAAGATACAATGTGCTCATTCAGCAGCCAGATGTAAGTTTTCCTACCATTCTGAAAGGAATCTGACTCTTTGAAGAAATGTCTGATACTAGAACTGGGACAGTAAATATAGGAGCCAGGATAATCTGGAAGGATCAGAAAGTAAGTAAGTACTAAAAAAATTAAAATATATCAAAGAAAAATAAGAGCCAATAAAAACAGCTACTGATGGCCAACACAGGAATGAATTGTGCAACATAATACTGTAGTGTTGAATAATAACTAAAGCTTAAAGTAATTATCTAGGTGTCTGTATTTGTATACATAGGTGAATAAGCAAATGGAGTTGCATAGAAATCTCCTTTGCAAAAGAATTCCAAATAATTGATGTAGACACTCAGCCATCAAGAAAGTGGAGCCAACTCCTCACTCTGTAAGTGTGGGCTCTGCATAGTGACTTGCTCCAAAAGAACACATGCAGTATGGACAAGGAGGAGAAATAACCTCACAGTGGAGAAATCTGACAAACAGTAGCTCTGCCAAACGATCCAAGTTAACATCAAAGCTGACAGTTCACCTTGAGAACATGAAGTGACAATGGGGGGCATTCTACAAAATGCCTGACCCATCCTCCTCAGTACTATCAAGGTCACCTGAGATGGAAAGCCTGACACACTGTCACAGCCAGGAAGAGCCCACGTGATGACTACATGTCATGCGGGATCCTGGATGGGATCCTGGGTCAGAGTAAGACAGAACTAAGGGAGTCCAAATGAAATATGAACTTTAGTTAATAATAGTCTCAGTATTGGTTCATTAACTGTGACAAATTATGTAAGATATTAATAAGCCATGTGAGACACACTGATAGAAGATGTTAATAAGAGAGGAAACTAGGTTGCGGCTACATGGGAAATCTCTGCTTTTTTTTGACAATTTCTGTGTAAGTAAAAAAAATGATGTAAAATAAAACTTTATTTAAAACACTGTTTTTTTTGAACACTTCCTTGTTTAATTATTTATACCATGAATTACTAGTAATTGACACTGTTAACTAGTCCTGTTTTTTTAAATAAGAGTATTTATGACACAAAAAATTAAACAGTGCAGACTGATACATAAATCAAATGTTCTTTACATGTTTTCTGTTGCAGTAGTAACACACATGTGTAAACTTAATTATCACATGTTTTTCTTGTGCTGTGGTTGTGTCCTGGGTTCATTCTCTAAAATGCTGTTCATCTTAGACCAGGAAAAATATTAACCTTACAGACTCTGTTTCAATTCATAGCTAAATATTTTCAAAAGAGTGACTTTGTAAAAATATGTTCCAATGGCAAATTGATTCATTGTGATGGGATCACTTATTCCAAAGACTTCCTGTCTTTATTTTGTTGCCATGCCTACCTTTTAGCCATGATACAACAGAATCAAATATTGGCCACTGGGAAAAAATATTCAAAGAAAGAAAGAATGTGAACAGAACTTATGACCATGATGATTCAATGTTTTACCACAATGCTTTCTAAAACAGAAGAGTGTAAAAGGATATTCAAAGTCAATTTCCTCACTGAGGCTTTGCAGAAAATGAGGAAACTAGAGAAACAAAAATGGCGGGACATTCTACGGGTGATTTTAAATGTTGCTATGTTTTATGGGAAAAAATACTTTACCTTTTAAAGAATCACAAAGAATTGTTGGAAACCCAAACTCTGGAATGTTTGCAAATTTAGTTGAGCTTCTATGTAATTATGTCTATATAGGTAGCCACAAAGTTGATGATTTTTAAAAATCTGTGCCTTATTTGTGTAATAAAATACACAATGAATAATTAATGTTCCTAGGAAAACCTTATGAAGGGAAAATAAATCTTGGGGAATCAAAATCACTAAGCTAAAAGGAAAAGTCAAGCTGGGAACTGCTTAGAGCAAACCCGCCTCCCATTCTATCCAAAGTCACCCATCTGCTCACTGAGATAAATGCATATCTGATTGCCTCATGTGGAGAGGGTAATCAGCAAAGCAAAAGAATGAAACCATTTGTCTCTTACCTACCTATGACCTGGAAGCCCCCTGTCTGTCCTTCTCACCTTTCTGGACTGAACCAATGTACATCTTTCACATATTGATTGATGTCTCATGTCTCCCTAAAGTCTATAAAACCAAGCTGTGCCCCGACCACGTTGGGCCCATGTTGTCAGGACCTCCTGAGGATGCATCATGGGTGCACATCCTCAAGCTTGGCAAAATAAACTTTCTAATAAATCTGAGAGCTGTCTCAGATTTTCAGGGTTCACACATGTAATGTAGGATGTCAATGTTTATAAAACAGACATTATTCTATCTACTATTAGAAATATGCTACCAATTAACCTTAGACTTTCTCAACAAAATAAAAAATGTTGATGAGGTACAAATAATATACTAAGCTTAAATAGTGTTGCAAGTTTTAATATGCAACACTATTTATTAACATTTATTAAAATGTTAATAAAATTAACATTTTTCAATACTATTTTTACTAATTTAACACTGTAAGAAAAGTGAATAATTAAAACATGAATAAAAGGGTTTACAAGGGGTGCACATGTTTCCTCCAGTCTCTGCCTATCCCCAGCTTTCATCCCAACTGTCTTGATGGTGGCTCTAAGCATTTCTCCTTTCTCTATGCCAAGATCTCTCCCAGAAACAAACCCAAATCTTACTATATATTATGGCACGTTATGATGATGAGCAGTGATGAGCAGCCGAAGCCTCAAGGAAGGGATGCTTTTGTAAAACAAGACTTGTAGAATATAACGTGTGAAAGTAAAGCACATGGCAGAGCTCCCTCCTCAGCACACGCGGAGCAGACAGGAAGCTTTTGCCTCACCTTCCTCAATGGCCTGCAGCCACGTCTCCCAGGTCAGTCTTAAGGACAACGAAACTCTGGTCTTCACTGTGGACACGCCACACTACCAGGTGCTCCAAAGCCATGGTGACTCACCCTCGGGTGGGTCCTGAGCACAACAAAGCTCTGGTTCTAATCCTAACCCTAACCCTGTCCCAAGACTTTGACCCTGAACCGAAATCCTGATCCCTACCCTGGTCCCTAATTCTGACCCTTACTTTGACCCTGACTTTGATCTTGACCCTGGCCATGACCCCACCTCTAACCATACTTCCGGCCCTGACTCTGACCCAGATCCTAATCCTATGCCTAACCCTATTATTATCTTTACAATCTAACTCTAATCTTACCCTCTAGTGCTAAATAGCTGTACCCAAAAGCACTTTTAAATTATTTAACTTCTTTTCTTGAATTCTCTATGGACATCCTAAAGGAGACGTCATTATGTATTTTGCATTCCCTCTGAGTAGTATGGCTTCAGATATGAAGTTGTAATACTTTGCAAGACATAAAAAGTTTGGAGGGTAACAGCACTGGGTTGTTAGGGATGCATGTTGGCATTCATGATAGTCATTGGTGCTGTTCTCCAAATATTTTCAGTTCATTTTTTATGAACGCATTCTGACTGTTCCATCCCACCCACTTAAATTTTCCCATGGCTACATGACTTTTTTTTTTTTTTTTTTTTTTTTTTTTTTTTTGCCGATGGAGGTGAGAAGAAATAACATGTGACTTTTTCAGGAGAAATCTCCAAGAAACAGCGTTCTATTCCGCATGCTTTTTTCTCTTTTCTATAGCAATGGGGATCTTATTGATGGTCCCTCCTTCCTTCTGGATTCCTGTGTTAGGATGACACAGCACAGAGCTACCTCTCACCTGACCCGTGATGAGATGTAAATAAATGAGGAAGAAGATTTTTGAGCCACTGAAATTTGGAGGTTGTTTGTCACCACAGTTTAAGCTAGCCCCCACTGACTGATGCACGGCTGAAGAATGAGTCCGAACTGGCTCTGGACAAGACATGTGAAGAGCGCTCCAGGCTGAGTAAAATTCAAGGGTTGCCTCAAAGATAACACTGAGCACGATATGTTATTGGGGTGGGTGTGGGATAAATAAGGTACATCAGGTGAGAATAACAAGAAACTCAACTTTAAAAGACGGCGCTGATTTGCACTGTGGAGAGATTCAAATGCCCTGCTTAGCATTTGAGATTGTGATGGATGAACAAACTAATTAAGAGCCCAAAATGAAAGCTGGGGATAAATATCTGAAGGTGTCTAATATCCCAGTTTTTCATCCTAGAATGGGCAGAGTCCTTGACCCCATTCTAGGGAGATTTCCAAAAGAAAAAAGACCTGCATTTCTTCAGCAACCCACACTGAGAGACTTTCCTGCACTTTTGACCTGTGGCTAACACTCCTCACCTTTCATTCTGTCATCAGTGTTTTGGGGAAGCACCTTTAACTCTCTATGATTTACAGGTTATTCCTAACCTGTAACAGGTTACAGGTTACAGGTTATTATGTAACAGGTTACAGAGCAAGACGCCGTCTCAAAAAAAAAAAAAGAGAGACAACACTATTCTTAATAACCTATATAAACAAACACTAAGCCCAGATGCAGTGGCTCAGGCCTGTAATCCCAGCACTTTGGGAGGCCAAGGCGGGCGGATCACTTGAGGCCAGCAGTTTGAAACCAGCCTGGCCAACATGGTAAAACCCAGTCTCTGCTAAAAATACAAAAAATTAGCCGGGCATGGTGACACACACCTGTAATTCCAGCTACTTGGGAAACTGACGTAGGAGAACCCTTGAACCCAGGAAGCACAGGTTGCAGTGAGCCAAGATCATGCCATTGAGACGAGAGTGAAACTCTCTCAAAAAAAATTTTTTTAATTTAAAACAGGTGCGTTCCTTCTCCTGCTTTCTGAGGACGCCCTGCTCTGTAACTGAATAGTCGCTAATAAACTCTCTTACCTTCACTATACTCTGTGACTTGCCATAAATTCTTTCCCATGTGAGATCCAAAAACCCACTCTCGGGGTCTGGGACAAGACTCCTTTTCTGGTGACAAAATTATTCAAATTCTAGAAGAAAACATAGAAAGAAAGCTATGTGACATTGGATTTGGTCATGAGTTTTAACACATGACACTCTCAGAGGCATTTGAACCACAGTGAATCCATCTTGATTAAGGGCTGGGTAAAATAAGGATGAGACCTGCTGGGCTGCGTTCCGAGGAGGTTAAGTGTTCTTAATCACAGGATGAGATAGGAGGTCAGCACATGATGTAGGTCACAAAGACCCTGCTGATAAAACAGGATATGGGAAAAAAAAAAAGTCCAAAACCAAGATGGAGATGAAAGTGACCTCTAGCTGTCCTCACTGCTCACTATACACTAATAATATATTAGTGTAACCATCCAAGAGGTTCACCTTGCCCTCTACCTACATGCTGGACAGCCAGGCACGGTGGTTCGCGCCTGTAATCTCAGCACTTTGGGAGGCCGAGGTGGGAGGATCACCTAAGGCCAGGAGCTCCAGACCAGCCAGGACAACATGGCGAAACCCCTATCTCTACTAAAATAAAAAAATAAAAAAATTAGTCGGATGTGGTGGCGGGTGCCTGTAATCCCAACTACTCGGGAGGCTGAGGCAAGAGAATCACTTGAATCCAGAGGCAGAGGCTGCAGTGAGTCTAGATCACCCCATTGCACTCCAGCCTGGGAAACAAAAACAAAACTCCGTCTCAAAATTTAAAAAAAGACAAGACACAGAATGAAACGTAACATTTGCAAAATAGAGATCTGAGCAACAATTTGTATTCAAAATATACAAAGAATTCTTAAAACTCAATAGTAAGATAACCTAATTAAAAATGGGTCAAGATCTGAACAGAAACATCACCAAAAAACATGTAGAGATGGCAAATAAACATACCGAAAGAAGCTCAATTTCGTATATGATTGGGGGACTAAAAATTCCAACAATAATGAGACCCAGCGGTGTGAGACGGTGTGAAAACCCAATGGTGATGAGACAGCGTGTGAAAATTCCAACAGTGATGAGATGGCGCGGCCCATCTGTACCCGCTAGAACTGAGGCAGGAAAATCAAGTCTGGAATCAGGAACATAAGGCGGATTCACACTTCAACTATGACAGGAAATGTCCTCTCCACAGGGCTACTCCAAGTAAATGACTTTGTAACTTTACTTCATCCTCTTCATTTACACGGGGTGGACACCAAGTAACCATTGAAATCCTTTAGAGGGTATTTAAACCCCCAGAGGTTTTGCAACGGGGCCCTTAGGCCCTATGCTCAGCCCGCTCCCACACTGTGGACTGTACTTTCATTTTCAATAAATCTCTGCTTTTGTTGCTTCATTCTTTCCTTGCTTTGTGTGTTTTGTCCAATTCTTTGTTCAAGATGCCAAGAACCAGGACACCCTCCACCAGTAACACAACTGCTAAGCTCTAAAAAAAACTGACAAATGGCCCGGCGCGGTGGCTCACACCTGTAATCCCAGGACTTTGGGAGGCCGAGGCACATGCATCATGAGGTCAGGAGATTGAGACCATCCTGGCAAACATGGTGAAACCCCGTCTCTACTAAAATACAAAAAAAAAAAATTAGCCAGGTGTGGTGGTGAACGCCTATAGTCCCAGCTACTGGGAGGCTGAGGCAGGGGAATCACTTGAACCCAGGAGGCGGAGGTTGCAGTGAGCCGAGACTGTGCCACTGCACTCCAGCCCTGAGACAGAGCGAGACTCTGTATCAAAAAAGAAAAAAAAAAAAGGACTGTGGGGAAAAGAGAGATCACATTGTTTCTGTGTCTATGTAGAAAAGGAAGACATAAGAAACTCCATTTTGATCTGTACTAAGAAAAATTGTTTCTGCTTTGAGATGCTGTTAACCTGTAACTTTAGTCCCAACCCTGTGCTCACAGAAACATGTGCTGTATTGAATCCAGGTTTAGTGGATTTAGGGCCGGTGCAGGTCCTCACATGCTGAGTGTGCCAGTCCCCTGGGCCCACTGTTCTTTCTCTATACTTTGTCTGTGTGTCTTATTTCTTTTCTCAGTCTCTTGTCCCACCTGACGAGAAATACCCACAGGTGTGGAGGGGCAGGCCCCCTTCAAAGGACAAATGAATTGCTGGAGGAAAACCAGGAAGTCTCGTTCACCGCTAGTGGAATGCTTAATGGTACAGCCATTACGAAAGATGGTGTAGAAGACCAGAATATGCCACCCTAAAATATGACTCTAGAGACTATAAAAAATGGCTCTTTGGCATAAGGATTATTTTCAACTCATTTTCAGAAAATGCAGACACAGAAACAGAGTAGAAGTTAACCTTTTATAAGGGAAATTTACATCTACCAAGGAAATCCCCATTTTAACAGAGTCTCCCTCTCAGTACCAGGAACAGAATGATGACTAAATCAACAGAGGTTCTTCTGAAGGGACTTCCAGAAACACCTTCACAAATGCACCCATAAAAACACACCCAGAAATAGTGCTTTACCAGCTATGTGAGTATCCCTTAATCCTGTCAAGGGGACAGCTAAAATTAACCATCCCAGTATTTATGCCTAATTTGTGGCTAACATTTTATTTTTACATTTTTCTTATTATTATTATTATTTTTTTTTGAGACAGAGTCTCACTCTGTCACCCAGGCTGGAGGACAGTGGCACGATCTCAGCTCACTGCAACCTCCACCTCCCAGGTTCAAGTGATTCTCCTGCCTCAGCCTCCTGGGTAGCTGGGACTACAGGCACACGCCACCACACCCAGCTTTTTGTATTTTTAGTAATGATGGTGTTTCACCATTTTGGCCAGGCTGGTCTCGAACTCCTGACCTTGTTAGTATCATTATTTTTTTTGAGACGGAGTCTCGCTCTGTCGCCCAAGCTGGAGTGCAGTGGCGTAATCTCAGCTCACTGCAACCTCTGCCTCCCAGGTTCAAGCAATTCGGCTGCCTCAACCTCCTGAGTAGCTGTGATTACAGGCATGTGCCATAGTGCCCAGTTAATTTTTGTATGTTTAGTAGAAATGGGGTTCCGCTATGTTGGCCAGGCTGGTCTCAAACTTCTGACCTCAGGTAATCTGCCCACCTAGGCCTTCCAAAGTGCTGGAATTACAGGCGTGAGCCACCACGCCCAGCCAAGAGCAGGCTGTTAAAAAGAGTCTGGCTTCCTTGGTTTCTCTCTTGCTTTCTCTCTCGCCATGTGATCTCAGGTGCTGGGATTACAGGCGTGAGCCACCACGCCCAGCCAAGAGCAGGCTGTTAAAAAGAGTCTGGCTTCCTTGGTTTCTCTCTTGCTTTCTCCCTCGCCATGTGATCTCAGGTGCTGGGATTACAGGCGTGAGCCACCACGCCCAGCCAAGAGCAGGCTGTTAAAAACAGTCTGGCTTCCTTGGTTTCTCTCTTGCTTTCTCCCTCGCCATGTGATCTCAGGTGCACACTGGCTCCCCTTCTGCTTTCCACCATGTGTTGAGGCACCATAAAGCCCCACCAGATGCAGCTGCCCAATCTTGGATGTTCCTGCCACCAGAATCATAAGCCAAATGGAATGAACTTTTTTTTCTTTTCTTTTATTATTATTATTATTATTTTTTGACAGGGTCTTGCTCTGTCACCCAGGCTGGAGTGCAGTGGTGCAATCATGGCTCACCGCAGCCTCGACCTCCTGGGCTCAAGCAATCCTCCCACTTCAGCCTCTCAAGGTTGGGACCATAGGCATGCACCACCATGCCTGGCTAATTTTTTAAATTGTTTGTAGACATGGGGTCTCCCTGTGGTGCCCAGGTTGGTCTCAAACTCCTAGACTCAAGGGATTCTCCCATCTTAGCCTCGCAAAGTGCCAAGAGCACAGGTGTGAGCTACCATACCCAGCCAGACATAACATTTTTTTTTTTTTTTTGAGACAGAGTTTCGGTCTTGTTGCCCAAGCTGGAGTGCAATGGTGTGATCTTGGCACACTGCAACCTATGCCTCCCAGGTTCAAGTGATTCTCTTGACTCAGCCTCCCAAGTAACTGGGATTATAAGGCGCCCGCCACCACACATAGCTAGTTTTTCTATTTTTACTAGAGACAGGGTTTGACCATGTTGGCCAGGCTTGTGTTGAACTCCTGACCTCAGGTAATGCACCTGCCTTGGCCTCCCAAAGTGCTGGGATTACAGGTGGGAGCCGCCATGCCCGGCCAACATAAATTTTTAATAGCGTTTTCTAATGAAAGCAATGAGGGCTCTCTGAAGAAATGGCCAATACAGGGACTGGGACAGTAAATATATGAGCCAGGATAATTAACATACCAGAACAAAAGAAAGTACTCAAAAAATATGAAATTATGTCAAAAGGAAAAAAGAACCAATGGAAAGAGCTCCCAAAGGCCAAAGCAGAAACAAATTGAGCAACAAAATACTGCAGTATTGAATAACCAAAGCTTAAAGTAACTGTCTATGTGTCCACATTTATACAAATAAGTGCATAAGCAAATAAAGTTGAATAGAATTCTCCTTTACAAAAGAATTCCAAATAATTGATATAGACACTCAGCCATCAAAGAGGTGGAGCTAACATCCCACTCCTTAAATGGGGGCTGTGCATAGTGACTTCCTCCAGAAGAATACATACAATATGGACAAGTAACTTCACAGTAGAGAAACTGGACAAACACTAGTTCAGCCAGGTGATCACAGTTAATACCAATGGTGATAATTCACCTTGACACCATGAAGTGACAAGAATAGCACTTCACCTCTGTGATCTGCTTCCCCCAAACCCATAACCCCAGTCAACTTCTCAGAAAAGCACCAGGTAAATAACAATGGGAGACATTCTACAAAACGCCTAACCAGTCCTCCTTAACACCGTCAAGGTCATTGGAAGAAGGAAAGTCTGAGAAACCGTGACAGCCAAGAAGAGCCTAAGGAGTCGTGACAACGAATGTTACGTGGGATCCCGGGTGCGACCCTGGAGTAGGGAAAGATAGAACTAAGTGTAAACAGTAAAGTTGAGGTTCCTCTTCAAAGACTTTCCTCCCCATCTAATTAGGAATAAATAGTAACTTCTCTTAGATGTAAAAATTATTCAAAGATCTGTGCTAACATTCTTAAATATCTGCTGGCCGTAATAAAGAAATCAAGGTACTGTATGTTCTTAGCGCCCACAATTTAGCCTAAATATTTGCCTGACATGCTTATACTGGTCCAAGCAAGCATTAGGTTATAGCCTCTTCCTCTTCCTTATTTGAAGGTGTTTTTACCTTTCACAGCATTCCACAAGTTACTTCTTCCTTCCTTTGTTATCCTCTGCCTTTGCCTCTTTTAAAAATTTATAAGTTGCTAGAAGATCAGAACAAATACAGAATGTGGGGTCCCGTTTCAGCCAATGGAAACCGGACACAGCAGTAGGGTGGATGCGTCAGGTTATAAATGACCTTGTCTCCTTTGTTCTGGATACTCTCGTGGTAAAACTGCTGGCGAGTGTACCCTTTATGCAGAAAGTAAAAAAACGGCCTTGCTGAGGAAATTAAATTTATGTTCAAGTGCTATTTCTTTACAGCACCGGGGAACAAGCATTTCTAACATGAGGAACTCCAAATAAAATATGGGCTTCAGTTAATAATAGCATATCAACATTTGTTCATTCACTGTGACAAATGACGTGAGACATACTGATAGAAGATGTTAATAAGAGAGGAAACTGGGTTGAAGCTACATGGGAAATCTGTGTTTTCTTTGTTATTTCTGTATAAATCTAAAACAACTCTAAAATAAAACTTAATTTAAAAGTGTTGTATTTTTTCAAACACCTGCTTAATTATTTGTACTAGTAATTACTAGTAATTTACCCTGTTAACTATTCCTGTCTTTTAATCAGAGCATTTATGACATAAAAATTAAAGCATACAGATTAATATCTAATTCCAAATAAATGCCTCTACATGTTTTATGTTAAAGTAATAACATAGATGTATAAACTTACTTCACATAATTTTTTCTGGTACTGTGGCTGTGTCTTGGGTTCACTCTCTAAAAAGGTGGTCGGTCGCCTTTTAGACAACCAGGAAAAAAATTCATTTTAGAGACTCTATTTCAATTCATGGTTGAACATTGTCAAAAGAATGTTTAAAAAAGTTCCTTAGTATCCAAGATTTAAAAAAAAAAATGTTTCAATGGCAAATCGATTCATCGTGACTGGATCACTTTCTCTAAAATATCCCTGTCTTTGTTTTCCATGCATGCTTTTTAGCAATAATACAACAGAATGCAATATTGGCCACTGGGGGAAAAGTATTCAAAGATAGAAAGTGAATAGAATTTGTAACCATGATAATTTAATGTTTCATTGTGATATTTTCTAAAACAGAAGAGTTTAAGAATATTCAAAGTCAATTTCCTCAATGATACTTTGCAGAATGTGATGAAACTAGAGAAACAAAAATGGCAGGATATTCTGAGTGATTTTAGATGTTGCTAGGATTTATGGGAAAAAATAATTTACCTGTTAGAGAATCACAAATAATTATTGGAAGCCCAAACTCTGAAATGTTTCCAAATTTAGTTGAACTTGTAAGTAATTATAATGTCAATATAGCTAGTCATGAAGTTAATGATAAAAGACGACCCATGCCTTATTTATGTAATAAAATATACAATGAATGATTAATGCTCCTCGGAAAATACGCTGGACTTGAACTACAATTGAGAGTGTCAGAATCAAAATATATTTGATTGTATAACAGGAGTAGCCCATCATGAACAAATGTATCATCTCATAAAGTATGCTCACGTTAAATATACTGTCAGAACAATGGAAAAAGCTGTTTTGCCTTTGTTGAAAGAATAATGGAGACAGTCCAGCTTAGGGAATTATTAGGTTGGAAACATACAATGCTGGCATAAGAACGTCCTGGACAGGGATGTAACAGTGAACAGCTCTGGCAGGTGTAGGAAAGGGTCGCAGCCATCATATCCCCTCCCCAAATGCTCAAACTAAATCTGCACATACGTCTGTATTAGGATTTGGTACATGTTATTTCGTGTGGGGAGGTATAAACAATGCATTTAAACTTTACGTTTCTAGTTAGAATATGCCTATTGCTAAATATTTCCATACTGATTCAACTACTTCAGTGCTGTGAGACAAATGAGCTATTACAACACGAATGAAAGCGCTGGCGACTCCGCAGCGCCGGCCGGTCCCCAGCCATCACCCGCGCCGTCCCGATGGCGCCGCTCGCGTTGCTCCTTTCTCGGCGCCAGGATCTCTCCCCAGGAACCAGCGCAGATCCGGAGGCCACGCTGCGCTGCGCTGCGCTGCGCTGCGCTGTCAGGACGCGCAGTTCCCGCCCCGCTGAAGGGACACCGTTTTACAACACGCCGCGTAGACCGTGACAGGGAAGTAAGGCCCACGGCAGCGCTCCCTCCTCAGCACTCGCGGCCGCGGACAGGACGCCTTTTCCTCCTCCTCTCACCTGGTGACCGGGTGTCCCGAACCGCGGCCGCTCCCGGGCGGGTCCTGAAGAGACCGTGGCTCCGTCTTCCCGGTCGACGCCCCGGGGCGACGAGTGCGGATCCGCCGCGGTTCCCGCGCGTGCTCCAGGTTGGGCGGGAGCCGGGCGCCCCCTCGCGGCAGTCCTGGGGAGTCTCTGAAAATCAGCGTTCGGATGACTGCAGGCCGTGATTTCGGAAATGTCAACTGAAATCGAGGCCACCATCCCGTGCCTTGATCGGAACGGATGGAGATTTTAAAAACTAAAAAAGATGGCCCGGGCGCGGTAGCTCACGCGTGTAAACCCAGCACTTTGGGAGGCCGAGGCGGGCGGATCACCCGAGGTCGAGAGTTTGAGACCAGCCTGACCAACGTGGAGAAACCCTGTCTCTACTAAAAATACAAAATTAGCTGGGCGTGGTGGCGCATGCCTGTAATCCCAGCTACTCGGGAGTCTGAGGCAGGAGAATCGCTTGAACCCAGGAGGCGGAGGTTTCGGTGAGCTGCACCATTGCACTCCGGCCTGGGCAACAAGAGTGAAACTCCGTCTCAAAAAAATAAAATAAATAAAATAAAAACTAAAAAAGATGTCCAGTAGGCAAAAGTCAGTTGAGTTTCTTCATATCACCAATAATGGATGGAAATAATTGGAACTAGAAATATTAAAATACCATTTACAATAGCACCCCTGAAGCTGAATCCATTAAGTATCAGCGTAACAAAAGGTGTGCAAACATGCATTCGGAAAACCATGAATCACAGTTGAGAGAAACCAAAAGAGGTATAAGTAAATGCAGAGATGTTCCTTATTTAGGAGAAGTACACTCATTATTGTGAAGGTGACAATTCTTTCCAAATCGATCTATAGATTCAGCCAAATCCCAGTTAAATTCCAGGCAAAGATATCGACAAACTGTTCCTAAACCCAGAATGGATGAAATAAGACTGAAGGAGAACAAAGTTAAAGACCTCACACATCTGGATCTGAACACTCACCCTAAAGCCACAGTAATGAAGAGAGCGTGGCAGTGGTGAAGCGGTTAGACACATAGATAAGTGGGACAGAACAGAGAGCCCCCAAACAGACTCAAGCCAACTGACTTTGTCAAACGGACAAAGGCAACTCAGTGGAGAAAGAGAAGTCTGTTCCACAAAAGACAACAGAACAATTGCAAACCATAGGGGAAAGAAATGAATGGAGACAAAAACCTTGTATTTTATCCAAAAATTCACTCAAAATAGTCCATAGACTTAAATTTTCAAGTGCAAAGTTGTGAAAGTTATAGAAGAAAGCCGAGAAAAATATCTGCATGGCCTTGGTTTGGGTGATGAGTTTCTAGATGCAATACACCAAAAGCCAACCCACAAAAGAAAACAAAACAATAACGGGGACTTTATTAAAATTTAAAATGGCTGCTCTGGTTAAGAGAACAAAAAAGCAATTCACAGACTGATTGATAGAAAATATTTGGGAAACAGCCGGGCAAGGTGGCTCATACCCATAATCGCAGCACTCTGGGAGGCCAAAGTGGGTGGATCATTTGAGGTCAGGAGTTCGAGACTAGCCTGGCCAACATGGTGAAACCCCGTCTCTACTAAAAATACAAAACAAAACAAAAAAAATTAGCTGGATGTGGTGGCACACGCCTGTAATCTCAGTTACTCGGGAGGCTGAGGCAGGAGAATTGCTTGAACCCAGGAGGCAGAGGTTGCAGTGAGCTGAGATCGCACCACTGCACTCCAGCCTGGGTGATGGAGTAAGACCCTGTCTCAAGAAAAAAAAAGAAAATATTTGGGAAACACATCCGAAAAAGGACTTGTCTGCAAAATATTTTTTTTTAAAAAAAACCTCTAAAACTCAAAAAGAATTAGATGAACAACCCAATTGAAAATATGTGAAGATCTGAAAAGACACCTCAGCAAAGAAGATGCACAGATGCCAAATAAGCATCCAAATTAATTAATTCTCAACAAACTTGTCCTGAGGGAAAAGCAGATTAAATGAGATAGTACTGTACATCTATTAAAATGGCTAAAATCTAAAGAACAGTAGCAATTGCAATAGGAGGTCTCATTCATTGCTGGGGGAAGGCATAAGGGTACAGTCACTTCAGCAGTTTTTCCAAAAACTAAACAAGTCTCACCATCTGATCCAACAATCTCCTTCTTAGGTATTTAGACAACTGCCTTGAAAAATTATGTCCAAGTAAAAACCAGCACACACATGTATAGAAGCACTATTCATAATAGCCAAAAATTAAAGGAATCATGACATTCTTCAGTAGCTGAATGCATAACCAAACTGAAGTATGCGGTGCAATGGAATGCTATTCAGCAAAAGAAAGGCATGACCTATCCACCCACGCTACCCGGATGGACCTCACAGGCACACTGCTTCATGAGAGAGAAAGTCATGACCTATCCACCCACGCCACCTGGATGGACCTCACAGGCACACTGCTTCATGAGAGAGAAAGAAAGGCATGACCTATCCACCCACGCTACCCGGATGGACCTCACAGGCACACTGCTTCATGAGAGAGAAAGTCATGACCTATCCACCCACGCTCCCTGGATGGACCTCACAGGCACACTGCTTCATGAGAGAGAAAGTCATGACCTATCCACCCATGCCACCTGGATGGACCTCACAGGCACACTGCTTCATGAGAGAGAAAGTCATGACCTATCCACCCACGCCACCTGGATGGACCTCACAGGCACACTGCTTCATGAGAGAGAAAGAAAGGCATGACCTATCCACCCACGTCACCCGGATGGACCTCACAGGCACACTGCTTCATGAGAGAGAAAGAAAGGCATGACCTATCCACCCACGTCACCTGGATGGACCTCACAGGCACACTGCTTCATGAGAGAGAAAGTCATGACCTATCCACCCACGCTCCCTGGATGGACCTCACAGGCACACTGCTTCATGAGAGAGAAAGTCATGACCTATCCACCCATGCCACCTGGATGGACCTCACAGGCACACTGCTTCATGAGAGAGAAAGTCATGACCTATCCACCCACGCCACCTGGATGGACCTCACAGGCACACTGCTTCATGAGAGAGAAAGAAAGGCATGACCTATCCACCCACGTCACCCGGATGGACCTCACAGGCACACTGCTTCATGAGAGAGAAAGTCATGACCTATCCACCCACGCCACCTGGATGGACCTCACAGGCACACTGCTTCATGAGAGAGAAAGAAAGTCATGACCTATCCACCCATGCTACCTGGATGGACCTCACAGGCACACTGCTTCATGAGAGAGAAAGAAAGGCATGACCTATCCACCCACGCCACCCGGATGGACCTCACAGGCACACTGCTTCATGAGAGAGAAAGAAAGGCATGACCTATCCACCCACGCTACCCGGATGGACCTCACAGGCACACTGCTTCATGAGAGAGAAAGAAAGGCATGACCTATCCACCCACGTCACCTGGATGGACCTCACAGGCACACTGCTTCATGAGAGAGAAAGGCATGACCTATCCACCCACGTCACCCGGATGGACCTCACAGGCACACTGCTTCATGAGAGAGAAAGAAAGGCATGACCTATCCACCCACGCCACCCGGATGGACCTCACAGGCACACTGCTTCATGAGAGAGAAAGAAAGGCATGACCTATCCATCCACGCTACCCGGATGGACCTCACAGGCACACTGCTTCATGAGAGAGCCAGGATGCAGAGGCTGTACGTCCCCACTTATATGACATGCTGGAAAGGCAAAACAACAGAGATAGCAAACTGATCAGTGGTGACACGGGATTCATGGCGGTGGGGATTTGAAGTACTCCATGTGATACTTTAACTGTGGATACCTGTCCCTGTCCACTTGTGAAAAGTGATAGAATTTTAAAGCCCAGAGTAAATCATAATGTATGCAAGTGGAATTACATTATTTAATATGTGGGAATATCCCTGGATGGAACACAGAATGTGACCAAGAATCTAACTGTATCACAAAAGATTAAAACAAAATCCCTGCAGGGCAAAACGTACTGACCTGAAAGGTCTCTTTAGAATTTAGTGGAATCTGGAGGCCAGGCGCGGTGGCTCACGCCTATAATCCCAGCACTTTGGGAGGCCGAGGCGGGTGGATCACGAGGTCAAGAGATCGAGACAATCCTGACCAACATGGTGAAACCCTGTCTCTACTAAAAATACAAAAATTAGCTGAGCGTGGTGACGCGTTCCTGTAATCCCAGCTACTTGGGAGGCTGAGGCAGGAGAATCACTTGAACCCGGGAGGCGGAGGTTGCAGTGAGCCGAGATCGCGCCACTGCACTCAAGCCTGGTGACAGAGTGAGACTCCGTCTCAAAACAAAAACAAAACAAAAACAATTATTGAACCATTGTATCTCCACCTGGAATGGAGCAGTGACTTATGTAAGTGGCAGATGATGGGAAGCAGGTCTCTCACTGCTGAGGTGGGAGGTTACAGATTAGCAAAGGGAGGCTACAATGATCCATGTGATAATAAACCAGAGGGGCAACATCAGCATCAACTCATACTTAGCCTAATCCAGACACCGACAGCTCCACATAGAAATCTCGATAATCAGGCGGTCCACATAGGTTGGAAACACACAGGTGTTTCCTGGCACGTCAGCTGTAAGACCTAAAGGCATTGAGGCCGCAGGGGCAATGAGTGCATTCAGCTCCTAAATATAGTTTTTCATGCGATTCTACAGTGAAAGGAACCAGGGCTCTTTGAAGAAATGGCTTCACTAAAACTAAGGCAGTAAAAACATGAGCCTGGATGATCCTGAAGTATCAAAAAGTAAGGAACTGCTCAGAACACAGACACACACACTCTCACCCCACACACACACACATACACACAAGCACACACACACACAGATTATGACAAAGAAAAACCAGAGCCAACAAGAGCTCCCAATGACACAAATGGGAATGAATAAAGCAACAAAATCCTGTAGTACTGAATTGTAACCAAAACTTGAAATAACTCTCCAGGTGTCCACACTGGCATAGGTCAATGATTACACACGTAAACAAAAGTGGGTGAGAGAAATCTCCTATGCAGAAAAATCCCAAATAATTGTAGTGGACACTCAGCCATTAAGGAAGTGGCGTTAACTCCCTGCTCAAGCATGACCCTGTGCCGGGTGTGCAGTGAGCCGAGATGGCGCCACTGCACTCCAGCCTGGGCGACAGAGTGAGACTCCGTCTCAAAAAAAAAAAAAAAAAAAAAAAAGAGAAGCAGCAAGCGCTGATGTAGAAATTGCAGGCAAGTTATCCAGATCCAGCTAAGACGGTTGATGAAAATGGCTACACTAAACAACATATTTTCTTTTCTTTTTTTTTTTCTTTGAGATGGAGTGTCTCTCTGTTGCCCAGGCTGGAGTGCAGTGGCGCAGTCTCGGCTCACTGCAACCTCCGCCTCCCTAGTTCAAGCAATTCTCCTGCCTCAGCCTCCTGAGTAGCTGGGATTACAGGCACGCGCCACCACGCCCAGCTAATTTTTGTATTTTTAGTAGAGACGGGGTTTCACCATATTGGTCAGGCTGGTCTCCAACTCCTGACCTTGTGATCCACCCACCTCGCCCTCCCAAAGTGCTGAGAGTACAGGCATGAGCCACCGCGCCTGGCCTAAACAACATATTTTCAACATAGACAAAATAGCCTTCTTACTAGGACTTTCATAGCCGGGGAAGAGAAGTCAATGCCTGGCTTCGAAGCTTTAGAGAACAGGTTGACTCTGTTCTTAGGGGCTAATGTGACTTACAGCCAATGGTCATTTACCATTCTGACCCAGGGCCCTTAAGAATGATGCAAAATCTACTGTGTCTGTGCTCTATAAATAGAACAACAAGCCTAGGTGACAGCACATCTGTTTAATGTCTAGTTTATGGAATATTTTAATCTGACTGTTGAGACCTATTGCTCAGTCTGTTGTTGCCCAGGCTGGAGTGCAGTGGCATGATCTTGGCTCACTGCAACCTCCGCCTCCTAGGTTCAAGTGATTCTCTCCTGTTTCAGCCTCACGAGTAGCTGAGACTACAGGCACCCACCACCACGCCTGGCTAGTTTTTGTATTTTTAGTAGAGACAGGATTTCACCATGTCCAGACCATGGTGAGACCATGGCCAGACTGGTCGCAAACTCCTGACCTCAGGTGATCCACCCGCTTCGGCCTCCCAAAGTGTTGAGATTCCAGGCATAAGCCACCACACCTGGCCAAGAAATACATATTGTAAGGCTACAGCTGCTACAGATAATGATTCCCCTGATGGATCTGGGCAAAGCAAATTGAAAACCTTCTGAAAGGGATGCACCTTCTAGATGCCACTAAGAACATTTATGATTAATTCATGTGAGGAGGTCAAGAATCTCAACATTAACAGGAGTTTAAAAGGACTGGACTCCAACCCTCACGAATGACTTTGGGGGATTCAAGACTTCAGAGAAGGAAGGAGCCACAGTTGTAGTGAAAATAGCAAGAGAATTAGAAGTGGAAGCTGAAGATGTGAGTACATTGCTACAATCTCATGATAAAACTGAACGGATGAGGATGTGCTTCCTATGGATTAGCAAAGTAGTTTCTTGAGACGAAATATTCTCCTGGTGAAGAAGCTGTGAACATTGTTGAAATAACAACAAAGGATTTAGATTATTACATAACCTAGCCGGGCGCAGTGGCTCACACCTGTAATCTTGGCACTTTGGGATGCCAAGGCAGGAGGATCGCTTGAGCCCAGGAGTTCAAAACCAACCTGGGCAACATAGGAAGACCTGTCTCTACAGAAAATTTTTTTACAGATTAGCTGGGTGTGGTGGTTTGCACAGGTAGCCCCAGCTACTTGAGAGCCTGAGGCAGGAGGATAGCTTGAGCCAGGGAGGTCAAGGCTGCAGTGAGCTATGATCACGCCACTGCACTCCAGCAAGGGCAGCAGAGCAAGACCCTGTCTCAAAAAAAAAAAAAAAAAAAAAAAGAATATTACATAAACTTAGCTGATAAGCAGCAGCAGGATTTGACAGGATAGACTCCAATTTTGAAAGAAGTTCTATTGTGCGTAAAATGCTGTCAAACAGTATTTCATGCTATAGAGAAATATTTTCTGGAAGTAAGAGTCAATCGATATGGCAAACTTCAAACTCCAGAGGGGACACTGCTGATTTCACATCCATTGGAAAGACTTCTTTTTTTTTGTTTATTTTTTTTGAGACAGAGTCTCACTGTGTCACCCAGGCTGGAGTGCAGCGGTACCCACTGTAGCTCATTGCAGCCCCAAACTCCTGGGCTCAAGCGATCCTCCTGCCTCAGCCTCCCAAAGCGCTGGGTTTACAGGCATGAGCCACCAAACCTAGGAAGACTTCTTGCTTTTTTTTTTTTTTTTTTTTTTTTTTTTGAGATGGAGCCTCGCTCCAGGCTGGAGTGCAGTGGCGTGATCTCGGCTCACTGCAACCTCTGTCTCCCGGGTTCTAGCGATTCTCCTGCCTCAGCTTCCTGAGTAGCTGGAATTACGGGCACCCACCACCATGCCCTGCTAATTTTTGCATTTTTAGTAGAGACAGACTTTCACTATGTTGGCCAGGCTGGTCTTGAACTCCTGACCTCAGGTGATCCACCCGCCTCGGCCTCCCAAAATGTTCTGATTACTGGTGTAAGCCACCGCGCCTGGCCAAGATCTCTTTCTGGACACTCTCCATGGGACATTTGCTTTTTCACTTCAGAGATGTGGAATTTCTTGTTCCAACAGTTTCTAGTCAGTAAACCCTGTGACTATCCCAGGCATGCCACGGCCAACCCCTTCCATGAAACGCTTCTCATGAGAATAGATCTGGGATCTGGCGGCCGCATCTCTTCCCACAGGTAACTCTTCTGTATGACCCCAGCTCCAATGCTGTCTCTTGTCCTCAGAATCTGTAATTTATTGGCCTTACTGATTGCAACTATATCATCCTTACAAGGCCCACAAGAGCCCGGGTGACAGGCACTGGTGTCCTTCTCTGGGGTTAAAGGTGCATCTGCATGTGTCTCCTTGTGGATCAAGGCCTCCATTTCAACTAGTAGATGTGAGACGTTTGCTCCAATGGAGGACAGGGCTCCAGGTCACCTCCTCCCTGCACATGGGCACTCGGGGCTAGCCCAGCCTCCTTTCCCAGTGGGCTACTTTCCAGTCTCACTCACAATGGCTCTGAGTGACTCTGGAAAGAAGACAGTTATGGAACCTCTCCCTGTCCAAGTCATTCTGCTGATAGATCTGCATAACTCATCTCAGCGAAGCCTGGACCGCCTTGGGAAGATTACCTCTGCCTCTGTAATTCAGACAAAGAATATGAGGCGCAGAGGCTGTGACCACGCAGGTGACCCAGCCCCGTCTGCAGTAGCTGGGATTGAAGCTAAGTTCTCACATTCACAGGGTGCCATGAGGGCCTCCTGATCTCAAGATCCAAAGTGTGGCTGGCATTTCCATTAACATTGACACACATATGTGTGAGCATTTTGATGTGTAAAATTTTGCCAAGTGTCTCACATATTATCTTTTATCGTAGTCACAGAATTCTGTCTTCCTCGATATAAATACTTGTCTTTTTAGAGTTGATTTTCCATAGAGCCAGCAGCTAAAATATTCCAAATGTGTTTTTCACCATGGTTGTTTCATTGTTGGAATTCATGTTCCATTACGTGGCAATGCATCTCTCTCTGCTGCTCTCCCACCTGAGCAGCAGCCAGGCTAACAATACGCCGGGGGCACGTCTCCTCCTGAGCGGCAGCCGGGCTAACTATACGCCGGGGGCACGTCTCCTCCAAGGGAAGAAAACACCTGGCAGGACGTGACATTCTGAACTGTGAGGACTTTTCGGGGGGACCAAAGTTTCTGAAGGTGGCAGTTTGTGTCTCAGTCTCCATGGGGTCCAGAATTGACCACAGAGCAGAAGGCAACAGGGAGCCACTGGATTCACGGGGTGGCTTTAACGTTTAAGCTCCGACATAAGAAGTCACGCCCTCCCTGCGTTTCAATGTCCACAAATACCATAAACCACCTGCATAACTGTCTAGGAGTTTCAACTCATCGTCCAACGTCTAGAGGAAGGTGCTTTCAAATGTTTATAATAGATCAGGTCAGGATGTGGACTAGGATGTTTTATCAATTAATTAATTGATTGATTACAAAATGTAAGTCTTTTAATCTGAAATAGGGCTGGAGAATTTAGCAAAGTATTATCAATTCCACATGAGCCTTCAAAGATCAGTTGTGCCATCTGCCTCTCAGTAAGCATTGGCATGTGACGTTTCTTTCCTAACATGGGGTTTAATTTCATTTAGCTACTGTTCCATCCATTCATAATTTGAAAATCATTTTGTCTTTAGAAAAACCGTACTACTGGCCAGGTACAGTGGCTCACGCTTGTAATTCCAGCACTCTGGGAGGCTGGCAGGAGGATTGCTTGAGACCAGGAATTCGAGACCAGCCTGGGCAACATGGCAGAACCCCAGTCTCTATCAAAAAAAATATAAAAATTAGCCGGGCATGGTGGCGTACATCTATACTTCCCGCTACTCGGGAGTCTGAGGCGGGGGGATCGCTTGAGCCTGGGAGGTCAAGGCTGCAGTGAGCAGTGATTGCACCACTGCAGTCATGCCTGGGCGACAGAGCCAGACCCTGTCTCAAAAAAGAAGAACACCCACACCCCTCCAAAAGCATACTATTACCTTTTCTATTAGATATCTCAACTGCTGTACATATTGCTCAAAGTTATGACAAAAATCTCTCATGTTGTGTTGTGGATTCCCTGAGGTGCAGCCTGCGGTGTGGCCCTGGACTCAGGAAACCCCTGCAGGGAAGCTGTGTTGCTTGTCCACGTGTGGGCGGGGGGAGGTTTCCAGCCAGACAGGTGAGCACCTGCAGCGACACCCTCCCGTCCACACCCACCCTGCCCTGACCCCAGGCGAGGGCCATGGAATCACAGGTAAGTCTTGTTTACTCGGTCATCATCTATTCATTCACTGGGCTAATTCATTCATAAATTCCATTGCTGGAACCTCATAATTCCAAATAACCTAAGCTTCCCTCTGCTGTGCATTGCCCTCACCACATGCCTTGCCTGGTCTGTTCATTCTTCCTGGAGATTCCCTGTCCTTGTAATGCCATTAAAATGTCTAAACTAGGCTGCTTGCTTATAAAACAGCAACTCAAAGTAAAAACAACAAACAAAACTAGGCTTAGATCCAACAAATCACAACTGTTCAAAACAAGGCTAACAAAATGCCGCAGCTCGTTACGTCTCAGAAATGGGAAGTCAAGAGGCGAAGGGTGAGACCTGGGAGCTGTCCAGCTCCTGAAAATACGCAGCGGGAGACTGAAGAACAAAGATTCCCTACATTGCAGACAACGTGCCTCTTCCCGTCGTAGGAGGTGGTCAGCAGCTGAGAGCACGGGGGGCAGACATTCAGGCTTGGGGCTCAACAAGCCTCTGGGAAAACACCCAGACCAACCCTGGGGGCTCACAGACCCCCAAATCCCCATCACCAACGCGGTCCAGAAGGCCACAGGCCACACCACTGCCGTGTGAAGTCAAGGAAACACTGCCTTCTTGCATCAGGTCCTAATAACTAACGTTAAAAGTTTAAATAATGTGGCCGGGCACAGTGGCTCACGTCTACAGTCCCAGCACCTTGGGAGGCCGAGGCGGGTGGATCACCTGAGGTCAGGAGTTCGGGACCAGCCTGGCCAACACGGTGAAACTCCGTCTCTACTAAAAATACAAAAATTAGTCGGGCATAGTGGCAGGTGCCTGTAATCCCAGCTACTCAGGAGGCTGAGGCAGGAGAACGGCATGAACCCGGGAGGCGGAGGTTGCAGTTAGCCAAGATCATGCCACTGCACTCCAGCCTGGGCAATAGAGCGAGAGTCCTTCTCAAAAATAAATAAATAAATAAATATTGTCCCACTAAAAGTAAAGGTAATGACATTTTGAACTTAGGACAATTTTCTCAGGCAGAGTTTTACTTTTTTGACTTAAGATAAAATTTTTCAAAGAGTAGCTTAGTGATCCCCACATACACAGCACATAGACTTAACAGCCACTAATATTTTGCCATGTTTGATTCATGTTTTTGTGTTATGAAATATTGTAAGTTGCAGACATCACAAAATTTCACTCCTAAATACTTCAGTATGCACCTATAAGAAAAGTAACCACAACAGTGGGTGCGGTGGTGGCGCCTGTAGTCCCAGCTGCTCAGGAGGCTGAGGCGGGAGGATCACTTGAGCCTGGGAGGTCAAGCCTGCAGTGAGCAGTAACTGCACCACTGCCCTCCAGCCTGGGCAACAGAATGAGACCCTGTCTCTAAAAAACAAAGTACATGGCCGGGCGCAGTGGCTCATGCCTGTAATCCCAGCACTTTGGGAGGCCGAGGCGGGCGGATCACGAGGTCAGGGGATCGAGACCATCCTGGCTAACACGGTGAAACCCCATCTCTACTAAAAATACAAAAAAAATCAGCCAGGCGTGGTGGCGGGCGCCTGCAGTCCCAGCTACTTGGGAGGCTGAGCAGGAGAATGGCGTGAACCCGGGAGGCGGAGCTTGCGGTGAGCCAAGATCGCACCATTGCACTCCAGCCTGGGCGACAGAGTGAGACTCCGTCTCAAAAAAAAAAAAAGTACGTATGATTTCCTACAAAACCACAATAACATATTGTAGCTAACAAGCTCAAAAAAATTTCTGCCTCTCATCAAATACTCAGGAGTTTTTCAAAAACCAATTAGCCTCAGAAGGTAGGAGAAATGCCGGGCCAGGAGGACATCGCCATGGGAAATGATATTTACATGGCTAAGAATCTGAGTTTCCTGTGAGAAACAACGGAAAAAATACCCTCCTTGTACAATGAGAGAAAATACTATTTTTTTCCATAAAACCATAAGGGTGTGGGCAGTGTAAACCTAAAATTATGCACGAGAGCTTCCCCATCGCTCTGTGTGGGTAGAGAAACACTCCAGCGTGTCTGCTCTCTTGGTGCTGGGAATCTGTGAGAATTCCTGAGCCCGACACACAGCGTCTCGGCTTTTCTCATCAGATGCAGACCAGTGCATGCATAGTCCAGCTGGGCAGCACAGAAACAGCGAGAGGCCACTGGCTCCCAAACCAAAGCTGGGCCCTTCTGGCTTTGGAGGACCCTCTGGGGATGGCTGTGGTCAGCACAGCTCTTTCCTTCTCTGCTCTCACAGCTGTGGTGCCGGTGGTCTTTGTGAAGCACGGAGACTCCCCCAGTCAAGGCCAACGGCTGGACTCAGCTGCGTCATCTCCCTCACCCCGAGCTTCCTCTGCTCCTTACTCTTCACTGGCCGTCCCAACACGGCCACCTGCCCCCCAGCAAACCACATGAGTCGTGTGCACTGTAGCTGCGTCCACAGACTTGCCCTCATCCCTCACTGTGGTCCTGGCTTTCAAGGCCATTGCACCTGGGAGGAGACTGAGGTGTTGGCTGGTGTCAGGGCCTCTGCATCTTTCCCATTTGCTCCTGATCCAAGTGACTCTGTCTGCGGGGTCTGGCTGGGAACCTCTCCCCCATCCACTGCCAGAGGCTCACATTCTGAGCCCAGATACATCCTGGTAGTCTGCGTCCTGGGATACCTGAGCTCCTTGGCCCTGGGAAGCTTCAGTGTGACTTTCTTGGCCAGGAACCTGTCTGACACCTGCGTGGAGCCAAGTCCCTGACGTTGAGCGAGAGTTCTGCAGTGTCTGGGTCACCTTCCTTCCCATCCGCCAAGGGCAGGTCTCCTCCATCTTGGCCCCTAGGGTGGGGATCCCAGGCTGCATCTTTGCCCCCCGCCCTCCCCGCCCAGTGCTACATTACCCTCACCGTAGGCTCAGGCCTGATAGGAACATCCTGCAAGGGCCGGGGAATAAGATACTTAAGTTACCCACTTTAAAAAGACAAATTTACCCTTTTTACTCTCCATTGAAAAAGTAAGCTCTGTATGTTCCGTATTCATTTCAGGGCAACCAGCCCCTGAATTCCCTGTTTCAGAAGTGTGGCCCCCAGGTGCACAGGGGTTGACATGAACAGAGGGGAGGGGTTCGGGCCAGAGAGACCAGCTTTGGGCCTAAAGGACACAGGGACTGGACGAACCTGTGGAAGGGGTTCAGAAGGGGGCTGAGGCGTCAGCTCCAGGCTAAAATCCTGTGTGTGGTCCTTCAGGCCTGACAACAGGCTCTACCGGCGGACCTCCCAGGGATACTGCCCTCCCCACCCAGACTCAGGCCCTGGGGGCGTCCAGCCACCTGCTCACTCACACCACGCTCTCAGCTCAAGTGCCTCTATTCAGAAGCCTCTACTAGGAACGTGGGGCAGGGGCCTCCCCGAGGGAGGCTGGGTCCTTCAACCTGCAGCAGCCTTTTGTTTAGGCCCCTCTCAGCAGTGAAATGACCCTCGTGTGTGCTGATCCACCTGACCCTTGACCCCAGCACTGTGCTGGGAGAAACGCAAGGGGCGGGTTGGCTTCTGGCTTCTACCATCACAGCAGGTGAGTTTGCTTGATAGCTGAGCTGCGCTGAGCCCAGCAGGGGAGCCCTCGGATGTGAGAAACACAGTCCCAGAACGGCCATAAGGAACAGAAGCACTGAGACCGTTTGTGAAACAGGTGCCCTATTTTACTAAAAACCACATATACATTACATTTTACAAAACAGCAACTATCTGATCTCTCGGTCCCTTCCTTAACCCCATAAAAAGAAGGGGATATTTGGGGACCGACGGGAACAGGTTCCCCTCCAAATGCTGAGGGCTACCCAGGCATCTCCAGACTCCTGGTCCAGTGCAGGGCAGGGGGCAGCGGAGCCCGCTCACTGCTCCCATCAGCCCAGGGTTCCTGGAGCCCGTCCAGAGCCCTCAGTGCCTAACCAGGGCTGGAGGGACCACCTGGGTGGGCCTCAGCTGGACTCACAGCAGCTCCCTGCCTGGGCGGGGTCCGGCCTCAGGAGGAGGAGTGCGGGTATCCATAGTGGTTGTGGTCAGCCTCGCCCAGGGTCAACGTCAGTGACAGGCTGGGCTTCCGTTCCAGCTCCTCCTCCTTCAGACAGTGCTGTGGGGGTCGGGCTTTGAAGAAGTCTGAGATGTAGCAGACCTGGTAGAGCAGAGGGTGGTGAGAATGGGCAGGGGGCTGTCCAGGTACCAGGGACATGGGCATGAGCAGGAGGGGGAGGAACAGGGTCCCAGGTGGGAGCGAGGGGCCTAGGTGGGAAATGAGAGGAGTAGTGCCTGGGGTGGGAAGAGAGCGCTCTTAGTGGAGGACCAGTGGGGAGCACTGAGGAGCTGACAGGCCCCGGGAAGAACTGCAGTAGGGCCAGGGGTCCAGAGAAGGACTGGGGTGCACGGAAAGGAGTCCTGTGCACTGGGGTGCAGGGGAGGAATGGGGGCATGGAGGGGGGTCCAGGGAAGGACTGGGATTGGGGGGAAGGGGTCCCAGGGGAGGACTTTGGGGGTAATGAAGAGGGTCCAGGTAAGGACTGGGACTGGGGAGAAGGGGTCCAGGGGAGGACTGGGGGGAAGGATGGGGTAAAGGGAAGGACTGGGGTTGGGGGAAGGGGTCCCAGGGAGGACTGACAGGGAGGAGGCCCAAGGAAGGACTCAGTGGGGCAAGGGTACCCAGGGCAGCACTAGGGTTGGCTGGGGAGTGGTCTCTGGACAACACAGGGGATAGAGTTAGGGTTAGAAGCTCACAGTGAGGGCAGCCACCAGTGCCCCCTGCAGGAGGCCAACAAGGACATCGCTCCAGTGGTGTTTGTAATCAGACACGCGGGTGTAGCCCACGTAGAGGGCAAAGGCCACCAGGAAGAACTGGACTGTGGGTCGCAGCAGCCGTGCCCACTTCCAACAGAGTCGTGCCTGCACATACAGCTGGAGTGGGGAGAGGACGTGTTAGCCTGTGCACCTGCCAGGCGCTCCCCCTCCCCCTGCACAGACGTGTTAGCCTGTGCACCTGCCAGGCGCTCCCCCTCCCCCTGCACAGACGTGTTAGCCTGTGCACCTGCCAGGCGCTCCCCCTCCCCCTGCACAGACGTGTTAGCCTTGCGCCTGCCAGGCGCTCCCCCTCCCCCTGCACAGACGTGTTAGCCTGTGCACCTGCCAGGCGCTCCCCCTCCCCCTGCACAGATGGCAGCACTGAGGCCGGAGGCAAACACTGGTCAGCCCAGGGCCTCCCGTTTTTATAAACAAATCAGTTAGCCCCCCTCACCACCACTACCCACCCATTTTACAGCTGGAAAAACTGAGGTCCAGGGAAGGGAGTGATTTAGCCATGGTTCCCCCGAAAAGCAAGCCCGGGAGAAACAGACTCACCGCCAAGAACACCATGCAGTACATCCCAAAGGAAGAGTGTCCCGAGTAGAAAGACAACCTGAGGAAGGAGAAGGGGCAGGTGGCTCACTCAGCGCCTTCCAACCTCCCCCTTGTCCCCGCCCCGCCCACAGAAGGGAGGGCTCGACACGGAGGCTGCTGCTGTTAGATGCACTCAAATCCCAGTAGCAGAAACTGTTCCCCTTTTCTGTTCCAGTCATCTGATAATGGAATAAGAGTCTCTGACTGGGGCTGTGGCATGAGATGCCTCATCCGTGAAGACTCTGAGGCCTGAACCCAAAACCCAGGGCAGACAATCATGTCTGGCAAGCAGGCAACACCACAGTTTCATTTTCACCATGTTTCTTTTCAGGATTTTCTCCCATCTGCGGAACTGAGGGAAGACTTATTTTTATATAAATTCAAGATTCGGTGAAGGACATCAAGAAAATAGCAGAGCAAGAAACTTCAAAAGCAATTTTTAAAAATGGCAAAAAAGTCACAATCAACTTTTTTGGAACTACTCAAAAGCTTGCAGCCACCAGAAGACTTATCAAGATAAACCAGCTGAATCTCAGAACAAACGGCCTTGTCGCATTTTAACTCATCCTGGTCCCTCTCCCACTGCCTAGACTGGTGGTGGCCTGAGGATTCCAAGAACAGACTTTATTTGCAACTGTGGACGGGAGTATGGCTCAAGGGCTGGCCTTGATCTCACCTGACTGGACATTCTCCCAGTGCTGAGGTGCTACCTGGGGGATATTTGTAGGAAACATTCACAACAAATTTATTATTCTCTGCTGCCTGGGGCCACAGACAGCAGATGAGGCAAACAACAGACTAACCAAACAGGCCAGGGAATAAAATGCTCTGGGCGATGGGGGCCTGGAACGCAGACAGAGCTGTGCAGGAGCTCAGGAGAGGCCTGCGAGGGCCGAAGCTAAGCTCTCACGTCTGGCCGCCTTCAGGCTCCGCACACACAGGAAGCAAAAGCTAAGGCAGAGTTGAAAATGTGTTTAACCGCGGAAGGGCTGACCCCACATGCACACAGACCCTTCTACAAACTCTGGGAGGGTTTTATGGGTTTTTTTGATTCCAGATGTTTAAGGAAATCTCTGTCCTATCACTGACCACTGGGCTAAAAGAATAGGAAGAAACGGCCATACGTGACAAAAAATACAGACTTTACAACCAGAAAAGTCATTAAACAAATAACTACTGCAACAAACAGCAAGAACAAACCCGGGAGAGGGCGTAGGATCATATTTCCAGAGTTGCTACATTATAATATTCTAAACACCCAGTTTAAAACAAAGCAAAACAGGCCGGGGGTGCGGTGGCTCACTCCTGTAATCCCAGGACTTTGGGAGGCCGAGGCAGGCGGATCACGAGGTCAAGAGACCGAGACCATCCTGGCCCACACGGTGAAACGCCGTCTGTACCAAAAATACAAAAATTAGCTGGGTGTGGTAGCACATGCCTGTAGTCCCAGCTACTTGGGAGGCTGAGGCAGGAGATTTGCTTGAACTTGGGAGGTGGAGGTTGCAGTGAGCCGAGATCGCCACTGCACTCCAACCTGGCAATAGGGTGAGACTCTGTCTCAAAAAAAAAAAAAAAATTACAAGGCATGTAGAAAAACACAGGTGTGGCCAATACACAGGGAAAAAAATGTAATAATAGAAATTGTCCCTCAGGACACCCAGATGTTGGACTTACTAGACACTTTCTAAGAGAGGGCCTGACTTGAACTTCTGGGCTCCAGCGATCCTCCTGCCTCACCCTCCCAAATAGCTGTGACAACAGTTGTGTGCCACCAAGCCTGGGTTCTAGACAAACACTTTTAGTTAGCCATTTAAAATATGTTCAAAGAAAAAAGTAAAAATAAATAAATACTATGTTCAAAGAGCCAAAGGAATATGAGAACAATGTCTCACCAAACAGAGAATATCAATAAAGAGAAAGAAGTTATAAAAAGGAACCAAATAAAGATTTGGTTATCTGAAATGAAAAATCACTTGAGGGAGGCTCAATAGCAGGTCTGAGGAAGCAGAAGAAAAAAGACAATGAACTTGAAAATAGGTCAATTGGCCGGGCACAGCGGCTCACACCTGTCATCCCAGCACTTTGGGAGGCAGAGACGGGCAGATCACAAAGGTCGGGAGTTCGAGACCAGCCTGGCCAACATGGCGAAACCCCGTCTCTACTAAAAATACAAAAATTAGCTGGGCGCAGAGGCACACGCCTGTAATCCCAGCTACTCGTGAGGCTGAGGCAGGAGAATCGCTTGAACCCAGGAGGCAGAGGTTGCAGTGAGCTGAGATTATGCCACTGCACTCCAGCCTGGGAGACAGAGCAAGACTCCAACTCAAAAAAACAAAGAAAATAGGTCAATTAAGATTATTTGGCCTGGCACGGTGGCTCAGCCTGTAATCCCAGCACTTTGGGAGGCCGAGGCGGGTGGATCACCTGAGGTCAGGAGTTCGAGACCAGCCTAGCCAACATGGTGAAACCCCGTCTCTACTTAATACAAAAAATTAGCTGGGCATAGTGGTACACACTTGTAATCCCAGTTACTCGGCAGGCTGAGGCAGAGAATCTCTTGAACCCGGGAGGCAGAGGTTACAGTGAGCCGAGATCGTGCCACTGCTCTCCAGCCTGGGGGACAAGAGAGAGACTTCGTTTCAAAGAAAAAAAAAAAGATTATTCGGCTGGGGCCAGGTGTGGTGGCTCACGCCTGCTACTCAGGAGGCTGAGGCAGGAGAATTGCTTAAACCGAGGAGGCAGAGGCTGTAGTGAGACAAGATCACGTCACCGCACTCCAGCCTGGGCGACACAGTGAGACTCTTTCTCAAAAAAAAAAAAAAGAAAAGGAGAAAAAAAACATTATTCAGCCTGGCCGAAAAAAAGAAAAAAAAAAAAGATTATTCAGCCTGGCCAGGCATGGTGGCTCACGCCTGTAATCCCAGCACTTTGGGAGGCCAGGGTGGGTGGATCACCTGAGATCAGGAGTTCGAGACCAGCCTGGCCAACATGATGAAACCCCATCTCTACTAAAAATACAAAAAGTTAGTCGGGCGTGGTGGTGCACGCCTGTAGTCCTAGCTACTCAGGAATCTGAGGTAGGAGAATCGCTTGAACCCAGGAGGCAGAGGTTGCAGTGAGCCAAGATCACACCACTGCACACTGCACTCCAGCCTGGGTGACAGAACAACATTCTGTCTCAAAAAATAAAATTAATAAAAGTAAATGAAAATACAAAAATTAGCCGGGCGTGGTGGCGCACACCTGTAATCCCAGCTACTGGGGAGGCTGAGGCAGGAGAAGCACTTGAACCCAGGAGATGGAGGTTGCAGTGAGCCAAGATTGCACCACCGCACTCCAGCCTGGGCCCAGACTCTGTCTCAAAAAAAAAAAAGAAAAAAAAAAAAGATTATTTACCCTGAACGGGCTCAGTGGCTCACACCTCTAATCCCAGCACTTTGGGAGGCTGAGGCGAGAGGATTGCTTGAGCCCAGGCATTCGAGACCAGCCTGGGCAACATGGTGAGACCCTATTTCTACAAAAAAATTTAAAAACCAGCTGGATTTGGTGGTGTATGCCCGTAGTACCAGCTACTTGGAAGGCAGAGGTGGGAGGATGGTTTGAGCCCAGGAGTTCAAGTCCTGGGCAAGATAGCAAGACCCCCATCTCTAAAAGAAAAAAAAAATTAAAAGCAAAACAAACAAACAAAAAAAGACAGTAATGAGGAATTGAAAAAAGAAGATATAACCTAAGCAAACCTCAACGAAATGACAGAGGTCCTTCCTTATCAGTAATTACATTGAATATAAATAAACACTCCAATTAAAAGTCAAAGTTTCATTAAATGCCTTAATTCAATAAAAAGATTAATATATAATTTAAAAAACATTAAAAAAAAAGTCAGAGATCTGGCTGGATGTGGTGGCATACACCTGTAATCCCAGCACTTTAGGAGGCCAAAGTGGGCGGATCGCTTGAGCTCAGGAGTTCAAGACCAGCCTGGGCAATATGGCAAAACCCCGTTTCTACCAAAAAAAAAATAAACAGTAGCTGGATGTGGTGGCACGTTCCTGTAGTCCTAGCTACTCGGGAGGCTCAGGTGGGAAGATGGCTTGAGCCTGGGAGTCCGAGGCTGCAGTGAGCTCAGATCATTGCACTCCAGCCTGGGTGACAGAGTGAGCCTCTGTCTCAAAAAAAATCAGAGATTGGACAATACATTAAGAAACATGGCCCAATTTCATGCTAGGTATAAGACACTTACTTTACAGTCAGAGACATAAACAGGTTGAAAGTCCAAGAATGGAAAAAAAAAATATTCCATGCAAACAATAACAAAAAGAGAACCAGAATAGCTATGTTAATATCAGACAAAACAGACATCAAGACAAAAATTGTTGAGACAAAACTCATATATCTCATTCTATGATGATGAAATGGTCAATCTTTCAAAAATATATAACAATTACAAAGGTAAATGTACTAAACAACAGAACCCCAAAATACTTAAAGCAAAAACTGACAGAATGTTACAACATGGATGAACTTCAAAAACATACAAGAATGCACTAACTTATACAAAAATTAGCCGGGCGTGGTGGCGCACGCCTGTAGTCTCAGCTGCCTGCTGGCTCTTCATGATTTGGCTCCAGGGCCTTCTTCAGCTCCCATTCCCCACAAGAGTGAAGGCTGCTGGTCCACACCCACCTGGCCTCGGTGACATCAGCAGGGTTTCCCCTGCACACCTTCTCCAGCTGCACATAGACCGAGCAGTTGACCCGGCTCCAGTCGGGGTCGCAGACGGCTAGGAAGTTGGGCCTCAGACGCCCAATCATGTACTTGGCCAGGTCTGTCAGAGACTGGCTCACGGCAGCCCCAAACAGGAAGGTCCCCAGCACCTTGTATACAGCAGCCACGTAGTTGTTGAAGTCCGAGCGAGAATAGAGCCGGTCTGTGTACACCAGGTAGGCTTCCCCGGCCGAGACCTGCAAGAGCAGCCGCAGGAACCAGTGGGGGTCTCGGTCGGCCCAGGGGCCCTCACTCCTCCGCACGGGCCTCCCCAAGGCTGCTGGAGAGCTGGGGACTCTGAAGGGGGCCCTATTACCCACAGGTACCACTCAGGGCAAGGCTGTGTCCCCCGGCCCCACACAGACCTCCAGGGCAGGGCTGTGCCACCCCCCCATCAGGCCCCCAGGGTAAAGCTGGCCCCACCCCATCCCCCTACCCAGTCCCTCTGAGCCCCTCCTGCCTTACAAGGATGACGGTGGCCGTGATGGTGACCCCAGCCATGAGCCCGTGGGTGATGGTATCTGGACGGTAGGGGTACCGGATGGAGTCATCCCCGCAGTAAAATCCTCGCTTGTACGGGGCGTTCACCAGCGTCAGGATAGCGAAGGGCAGGGAGGCTGGTGGGGAAGAAAAGCCTGGGAGCTGTGAGGTTCTCTCACCAGCTGGGCCTTGGGGCCCCACACACCTGCCTTGGCCTGGAGGCCTCCCACCTCTACTCTCACCAGACAGCAAGGAAGAGCTTTTTTCACAGCCCAAATAACACTCCCTTTCGCATCCCCTCAGACAAACACAAACTCCTCAGGCGCTCTGCCCCTCACATCCTGGCAGCCTCCTTTCTGCTCCTTGAACTAACTCAGCAAACACCCACCTTTGCACAGCCACTTCTCTCTGCCCAAAATATCTTTTTTTTTTAAATTTTTAAAAGTAGAGACAGGGGTCTCATGTTGACCAGGCTGGTCACAAACTCCTGGGCTGGAGCGATCCTCCAGCATCAGCCTCCCAAAGTGCTGAGATTACAGGTGTGAGCCAACGTGCCAGGCCCCAAAGTATCTCTAATTTATGTGCGGGGCCCCAAAGTAGCTCTGAGTAACCTCCACTCTCATCTCCCCTGCTGACTGTCCATGCCAGCATCCCTCTCACAGAAGGAAAGGTCTGCTCTTTTTCCCTCTTCCTTATGCAAACCTCATGTGGAATTTGGCAGTCACGTGTGGGACACTGGAATTGATTTCCCCCCATCCACCCACCGGCACCAGGAGGGGCCTACCGTATTCAGGGCAGAGTCCCTGGAGCCTGCTCAGGGCCTGGCCAGGGCAGATGTTTAATAAACATCGGTTAAAATAAGGCAGGACTTCTTTTAACCTAAGAGCAGGCCAGAGAAGTCAGGAAGAAGCCAAGGAAGGGCACAGCTGAGACACCTTCGCTCACGCACTTGCCCCTTCATCGACCAGCCACGTGGTGACCAGGACAGACCCAGCCCTGGCCTCAGGGATCAAAGACACATTCAGGAGCCACTTATGGAAGGTGCTGCCATGGCACTGGGGCTCCTGGGGCCCTGCTGAGCTGAGGGTGGCCAGGGAAGCAGGAGTCATCTACGGAGAACGGGGCAGAGGGCAGGCGCACAACAAAAGCCCGGGTCGGCTAGCCCAGAGACAAACCAAGGCAGGGCATCCTTTGGCCCAGCAGGGCAAGTACAAAAGGGTGTGGCTTTTCTAAGTTCTGAATGTCAGCGGAGGGGCAGGGAGCCCCACACTCCTCCCGACATGCTAACTCCAAGGGCCCTAGGACACCGTACACCTTCCATGCTGGCTAAGTCTGGGGAAATAATCTGGTGAAGAAAACAGAGGCCTGCCTCACCGAGCAAGAAAGGTGAGGGAATGCAGAACAGAATGGGCAGGCCCGGCGTGGTGGCTCAGCACTTTGGGAGGCCGAGGCGGGCAGATCACGAGGTCAGGAGATCGAGACCATCCTGGCTAACACGGTGAAACCCCAACTCTACTAAAAATACAAAAATTATCTGGGTGTGGCGGTGTCCCAGCTCCTCGGGAGGCTGAGGCAGGAGAATCGTTTGAACTCAGGAGGCAGAGGTTGCAGTGAGCCGAGATTGCACCACTGCACACCAGCCTGGCGACAGGGCGAGACTCTGTCTCAAGAAAGAAAAAAAAAGGGCAGCGCCAGGGCCTGGAGGCAGGGCAGGACGGCGGAGAGGGCGGGATGTAAGAACCTGCCTTCTGCTCCCACACAGGAGGGGCTGGAGCTGCTGTGAAGGGAGAGGCCTTGGAGGAGGCTCCTGCAGTTGCCGGCCGGGTGGAAAGTCAGGGTTACGAGATGCCCAGAAGGGAGTGCAGCCCGACCACAGCTCTTATCGGGCGGAGGCTCACACAGGTTAGCCTCCGTTTCCGACCTCCCTGCCCCAGCAACTCCAACTAGAGACGCAGGCACCCCCATAACGACAGGCGCCGGGCTTCCCTCGGCCTGGAAAGCTCTCCCTGGGGTCCCCAAAACAGACACCTTCTCTTCATTTAGCCCCCGGGAGCCCTCCCGCCCTCACACTGCCCTCATGCCAGCATCTGGAACCTCAGTGTTGACTGAACTGTGGTGTGCTCAAGCTTCCAGCATAGAGGTGCACTCGGCCTGGCCACCACCCCTGGCACACAGCAGCAACAGCCAACCCCATCTCGGCTGTACCTCCCGCTGCTGTGTGACCTCCGGCAGGTGACTCAGCACCTCCCTCACAGGCTGTTGTAAGGGAAATGTTTGTTATTTGCATGTTGCTTAGTTCCTGGCATACAGAAAGTGCCACCTAAATGTTTACATAAATAACACCATAGGTGCTCAGGAAATGGTACCACGGGCTGGCAGACACCCACAGGGACTTCTTGCTGTCACCTGGCCCACCCTAAAAAAGGGTCTCCTTCCGGAGGTAAGAGGACTTGGCCTCTGCTGTGAGATGGCAGAGAAGCAGGAAACACGTTGGGGAGGAGGGCACCCCCCAGAGATAGAATTCCAGGGCCATTGTCTGTGCAGCCACAGAGCAAACACTCGGCCTTTGTTCCCGGGACCCTGCGGGAGGGGGGCCTCGGGATGCCCATTCCGCCAGTGTGGCCCGCAAACCCGCCGGACAGGTTTGGTTCTCCTGGCCTCCCGGCCCCCCGCCACCCCGTTCACCCGAAGCCTGGGACCCAGCCTTCATCCCCAGTGTCTCCCCCGCCCGAGCCAGCAGGGCGGCTGGGCCTCCCCGCACGTGCACGGGTTCGAATCCCGCCGACGCACCGGGTGCCAGGACCGAGGGTCAGCCCTCTCCGCGCGCAGCGGGAGCGCCCACCCCAGGGGCGGAGGCGCGGACGTCCTGCCGGGGTAACCCGCGGCCGCCCCCACCTCCCGGGCCCGCGTGACTCACCTCCCAGGCCAGGCGGGGCGGGATGGAGGCGCGCGCGCGGCCCCTCCGCACAGACTTCCTGCTGCCGGGGCGGGGGATGCTGGCCCCGGCTCCCCGGGCCTCTCGCGACCCCCATCCCCCTGGGCCTGGGACGCGGGGACCCCCGAGCCTGGGAGGGCGCGCGCAGTGCGGGGCGCGGAGGGAGGTCTGGTCCTCACGCGAGGTCCCCGCCTCCAGGGTCCTCGGAGGGACGAGGGCGCGCAGCCTCCGCGTTCCCCTGCAAACTTGCGCGCAGCCGGGGGCGTGTCCGTCCCGGGAGGGTCCCCCCAACACCCGGGTCCCCAAGGCTCTTACCGACCAGTAAGCACAGCACGTCGAGCAGCACGAAGACCCACCTCCGCTGCATGGTCCCCGCGACCCCCGACGCCGGTCCCAGCGCGTCCCGTCGCGTCCCGGCCCGGCCGCGGAGTCACGTGGCGCGGAGCCCGCCCCGCGCGGAGAGGAGGGGAGGGGCGGGAAGGGGAGGAGGGGAGGGGCGGGGAGGGCACGAGGGGAGAGGTGAGGAGGGGAGGGGAGGGGAGGAGGGAGGGTTAGGGGCGGGGAGGGGAGGAGGGAGGGGGAGGGGAGGAGGGGAGGGCTAGGGGCGGGGAGGGGAGGGGGGAGGGGGAGGGAAGGGAAGAAGGGGGGGAGGGGAGGAGGGAGGGGGGACGGCAGCGGCGGGCAGGGGAGCAGCGGGGGGGGCGGGGCGCGGCGGACCCGGGACCGCGCGGACTCTGCCCCCGCCTGGCCGCGGCGCCCAAAAGAGCGGGTGGGGCGAGCGTGCGGGCGCCACGGGGACCTCGTCCGCCCGGAGTCCCGGCCCTGACCCGGGCTGTGCGGGTCTCCGAGCGGCGTGAGGTCCTCAGAGGCTGGAGGTTCCCCGCGGGTCGGGCCGGCGGAGCCCCGGGCGGGGACGTGGAGAAGGAGGACGAGCAGCGGCGGGACCGGCCCCGCGGGACGGTTCCCGACTTTCCTCCTCAGGGAGTGGCAGCCGCGCCGTGTGCGCCTGGAAACTCCGACAGCAGGAGGCACCTTAAAGTGGAAGGGGCGACGTGGCTTCATTTCAGGAGTTTCTTTTCTCCTAATACTCAAAATCCTGGCGCGTCCTTGGACCCCTGGCACGTTAGAAGCTCGAGTTCCTCGGCACCCACCTTGCGACGGCGTAGGGTGTCCAGGCGCAGCCCTGTGCCCAGGCACCGTTCCTATCAGCGCACTTGCTGTCCCATTTCACAGAAGAGCACGGGGGCGCCAGGAGCTGGGAACCCCATGAAATGGCGCCGGGGTCTGTGCCCCCACCAGGTCGTGGGGAGCCCTGAGCTGAGGGTGCCTGGGGATTGAGGGCACCTGAGCCAGGGAAACCCAGGCCCAAGGGACCCACACTGGGTCCTTTCGGCTGGGACCATCCGGGAGGCCTCAGGAGTGTCAGACCCACGTTTCCGGAGTCCAGCCTTGACCTCTGCCACTCACGGTCACTTAAATGGGAAGTGGCAGGCCTGGGGTCAGAAACAAGGCTGCTGGGCCCCAGATCCGCTGCCACCCTGACCCTCCTCTAAAACCCGTTCAGCACCACCATCAGCCCCCTGCCCCAGCAACACCAAAACAGGGTGCGTCTCAGCAACTGGACTTCAACTGGGAGCTCCTCGACCCTGCTTCCCGGATGGTCAGACACCTGCACGTGGGGCAGGGGGGCATCATGAGGGAACTCCAAGGGCAAGGGGCTCTTGGGAGACAGCAAAGGCACCCAGAGTGGTGCTGGGTGGGAAGACGGTGCAAGCTGACCTGTGGCCCTCCAAGGGCAGGGTTGAGGTGCTCCCTTGCTGCACTCACGGTGGGGTGGGGGGGCTCTAGCTCCCGTCGGAATTAGGATTGTGAGGGTTCTGGTGCCTAGCATCAATGCTACATAAATGTAGGGTTCAGCGTCACTACTGCGCTTTCCCCCACACTTCACCCTGTCTGCAAATGAGTGACCACTGCTGTCAGTGTAGTCTTGACAGCCAACGCACATTTTCTCCTAAGATGGAGAGGGTGCAACATCTACTGGAGTCAAGGAAAGGCGGTGTTCTTCATTGAGCACCTACTGTGTGCTGGGGAGCAAGGGAGAGGTCACTTGGAGGGGCCTGCCAAAGTGGGAGCGGGGGGAAGACAGTGGGGGCTGTGGGATGGGGCCAAGCCAAGAGGGAGAGACCCAGGAGAGGGGTGGAGGTAGACCTGGGAGGATAGAGGGTGGAGGTGAGGCTGCAGGCTGTTCCCCCTTCCATCCTTCCCCTTGGGTCAGGATTTGGGTTAGCCCTTAAAATCCCTGGGCAGGATAAGGATTAAAATCTGGTGGGGAAAGCAAGAATTAGGATTAGGGTCAGGATTGGGGTCGTCTCCTACATATGCTGACTGCAGCCCACCACACTTCAAGGAACTTCTTGTCACGGCTTTCATAGCTGGATCTGCTGCTGCCCCCAGCTGCCTGGTCCTCCCTTCCAGGAAGAACCTGAGGCCAGGGCAGCTCCCAGCAGGGACAGAGCCTGGCCTGGAGGCCAGGCCTCAGTGGCTTTCTCCTTCACCTGCAAATAGCAGAGCTGGAAGCGGGTGGTGGTACATGTACCCAGGCTGGGTCCCCTAGAGACAAGCAACCCCTGAGGGCCAGGTCGCCACTCCCAGGCAAGCAAGCTCACGGGTTCAGCAACTGCAGCTCCCGCCTCTTGCCCAGCACTGGCTCTGCCACCTTGGTGCCTCATCGCAACCTGGATGGCTCCGGGCCTGTTTCCAAATGGACTCTATGGAGACTAAGACACCTGTGAAGTGGGCAGAAGGGGGCCTGGCACACAGTAGGTGCCACCTAAGTGCAGCCAGCCACTATACCTGCCGTTGCTTTCTCTGCTTCTCTGGGACTTGAGAGGTGAAGTACCTTGCCCAGAGTCAAAACGGGAGTTGTCTCCCAGGTTCCTGGCACGGGGCTCTTGGAGTCGAACGAGTGCCCGTCAGTGGGTTTGACGTGCAGGCAGTGGGCAGGGAAGGCTGAGGGGGTGGATGGTTTGGAAAGACATCTAAGGTATCCCTCAGTCTCTGTCTGCATAAAGGCGGCAAGACAGTAGCTACCACCTGGGATTGTAGAGAAGATTAAATAGTTTGTGAAATGCTTGACCCAGGGCCAAACATTAGGAAACATCATTTGAGGGTTAATTGAACAAAATACAGTGTGGGTAGGTATCACGTGTTTGCTGGGTCAAGATGTAGAAGGTACTTCTTCCTGGGGTCAAGATTTAAAAGGGTTGGAAACCGCTGCCTTCAAATTCACAATCCAGGACCCACGAATTCAAAATTCCCCTCGGACTTTGCAATCCTTGGAGTGCCTCTTAATTTAGTGTAACCTTACAGTCAGTCAGGGACAGGGTAACCCTCCGGGTTTCAGCACCGCGAGTCTGCTGTGCTCTGTCTGTGAGGAGGTCTTCACTGGGTCACAGCAAAGAAAAACACACAGCAGTAGTGCTGGACGTGGTCGCCAGAGCCCCTCGCGCAGACAAGCCGGGACGCGGCCCCCCTGCCAGAGCCCCTCGTGCAGACAACCCGGAACGCACAGCCCCTCCCACCATCTCAGTCTGTGCGTTCGTTCACTGTCCCCGTCTCCTCCCACGAGCTCCAGGAAAGTGGGAGCTGGCACACAGTGGGTGCGCAAGCCGTGCTTACTGGGATGCCCAGAGCCTGAGGTCACCAGGGAGCTGACAGCTGCAGGGAGCTCTCCCTGGGTCACAGCAAGGCAAGACACACAAGCAACAGCGGAGGGCAACAGTGCGTTCTCAAAGGGAGAGCTGGTTTCCGCCTGCTTCTCGTACAAAACGAGGGGCAGAGATGGCAGGGGCCACCCCGCGAAACACTCGATTAAATCCCCGTTCACAAACCTTCCTGATGCCTGGCAGCCCTATCCCTGCCCCCGAAACCAGCATCTGGTGAAGGCAAGGAGAGGCACCTGGAAGACCTCAAATCTTTGCAGGTCTGCAAAGCCACTGAGCACCCACAGACCCCAAGGACCTGGTTCCGACTCAAGGAAGAACAAGGACGGTGGTGGCGGAGGGGCTCCAGAGAACTCGTAATGCCTCTGGTGAGGCCACCGCCGTCCTGCATCTCTTGATGTGACTGGTGACAGCCCACCAGGGCGGGGAACCGGTTCACCTCCCAAGTGCTCACCGGGGGCCGCGCTTTCGACTCTCCCTGCACAGGCCGTGGGTCGTGGCTCCGGGTGAGTGGAAACATTTGCCCCGCAGCGACCACCGCCCCTCCCTCCCCGACCTCGAGCCACAGGACCAGGGGACGGGGCTGGGCTGCGCTCTGGGCCCCGCGATGCCTCCGGGAGGCACGGCCGCCCTCTGCTGGACACGCCGAGGAGGCGCTCCACGCCAGGGTCTCAACATCCTCCTGAGAACAGCCCAGCAATGGGGCAAATAAACATCAAGGACCCCCTAGCTGAGTCCTGATACCTGTGAAACAAACAGGACACCCCGTTACATTTGAATCCCAGAAGAGCAACAAACCGGTTTTCAGTATGTGTCCCGAATACTGCATGGGACATACTTACACATTCGTTTATCTGTAATCCGAGCCCAACTGGGCATCCTGTATTTTATCTGGCCATCCTACCCAGGAACTACAAACCGAGAAAACAAGGACCATCAGGGAGAGAGAAACAGCTGGGTCAGGTCAGTGGGGGCCCAGACAGCGCCAGTCCAGGGCCCGGACATCTTCAACAAAGCCTGGGCCTGGGAGGCTGAGGCTCTGGGGACCGTGGCCGGTCCAGGACCATCAGTTCTGAGCGACTTTCTCCCTCCCCCACTTCCACCCCCACAGAAATTGTCTCAGGAGGGCTGATCTCCAGGCAGGCCCCTGGCTAACGCCTGCTTCCTGGCACGGCCATGGACTCTGTCCAGAACAGATTTCCATATTTGGTTAGCAGGTAGGAAGGAGGTCATCAAAGACCTTCACTTCACTGTAAAAGGAAAGCATTAAATAAACGAACACAAATGACTTTTATTTATGGCTGCCGAAAAGCTGAGGACAGTAAGTTTGTTCTAGAGAGGTATGAGCTCCCCTGAGGTTAGTCAAGACCAAGTCTGGTGGAGGCCTCATTAGTCCTAGGAGCCTGGTGTCAGACAAATCCGGAAGAGCCCCAAGGCACAGCGGGCCCTCCAGGTCCTCCTGCCTGGGTCTGGGCTGCAGGAAGGGCAGGATTCCACCACCCCACAGCTAACCCAGAGGCAAAGCTACGCTACACAAGCGGTGAGCAGGCCAGCCCAGCTCCTCGAGACCAGCACATCAACCCAGCTGCTGACAGGAGAGGGGCAAGCCCTTCCTGAGGCAAAACAGTATCCCCTCTGCTCCTTAACTGTCTTACCCACATCTAGTGCACCCTCAGAAACACAAGACACCATGGACAAGAACAGAATATTAGTCAACAATGGCATCCCAGGGTCTCTCCCAGCTCCAACCTATCTTAGATATTCCAGTCAAATCCAATCTCCCTAAAGCGTGACTCTACTTCAGCTAAAAAACACACTAAGGCTCCCCACTGCCTTCCCAGTTTCAGATTTCTTGGCCTAAGAGGGAAGTTGTTCCTGCACTGCCCTCCTGACCTCTGTGCTCACCCCACACAAATGGGACGCTCATGCCTCTGGGTGGCTGCGCCCGGCCTGCCCATGTGCTCCTCCCTCTTACTATTCCTTCTCCATGGGGCCTGCCCTGCTACCGAAGGGGAACAAGGGACCCTGGCCTGGCCAACCAGGAAACCCCTTCTGCTCGGCAGTTCCTGATTCAGTTATGGGCACGAGACCCAAGAACAAATTTTACCCAGGAGTTTTGTTAGAACAGTTGGGCAAGATACAGGCTTCCCACAGAAATCACAGATGTAAGGTTGTGTGCCTGGAGCTTCTGGTGCCATCTCAGTCGCCACAAAGGGCGCTGCCCCTGAGAAGAAGGTCAGTTCGGGCAGCAGAGAAATAGAAGCACCGAAACATCATAATGTGGATGGTGACTCCTGATTCCTGTTTCTGGAGGCCCTGGCATCCCCGGACTGGGTCTTAAGAGTATAACTTTCGGGCTGGGCACAGCGGCTCACGCCTGTCATCCCAGCACTTTGGGAGGCCGAGGAGGGCAGATCACAAGGTCAAGAGTTTGAGACCAGCCTGGCCAACATGGTGAAAGCCCGTCTCTACTAAGAATACAAAAATTAGCCGGGCGTGGCAGCGTGTGCGGTGTGGTGGTGTGCGCCTGTAATCCCAGCTACTCCGGAGGCTGAGGCAGGAGAATCACTTAAACCTGGGAGGCAGGGGTTGCAGTGAACTGAGATCACACCACTGCACTCCAGCCTGGGCAACAAAGCGAGACGCCGTCTCAAAAAAAAAAAGAAAAAGAAAAGGAAAAAAAGGGCTGGGCTCAGTGGCTCACGCCTGTAATCCCAGCACTTTGGGAGGCCGAGGCGGGTGGATCACCTGAGGTCAGGAGTTCAAGACCATCCTGGCAAACATGGTGAAACCTCGTCTCTACTAAAAATACAAAAACTAGCCGGGCATGGTGGTGGGTGCCTGTAGTCCCAGCTACTCGGGAGGCTGAGGCAGGACAATATCACTTGAACCTGGGAAGTGGCAGTTGCTGTGCGCCGAGTTCACGCCGCTGCACTCCAGCCTGGGCGATAGAGCGAGACCTCGTCTCAAAAAAAAAAAAAAAAAAAAAAAAGCAAAGCAATAGGATGACAATGATTTAAAGTAACTATTATTAAAAGGTTAAAGATTACAGAAGAAAAGATAGGGGCAAGGTGAGAAAATGGAGAATTTCAGCAGAAAAATTAAAAACACATAAGAGCACCTATTAAAATATACAATATGGGAAATAAAAATTTTGTGAAACAGACTAAATAGAAATCTGGAATATCAGAAAAGAGGATTGGTAGCATCAAAGACATGTCGATAGAAATTATTCAGAGGCCGGGCACACTGGCTCACGCCTGTAATCCCAGTACTTTGGGAGGCCGAGGCAGGTGGCTCACGAGGTCAGGAATTCAAGACCAGCCTGGCCAATATGGTGAAACCCCGTGTCTACTAAAAATAAAACAAAAATTAGCCGGGTGTGGTGGCGCACACCTATAATCCCAGCTACTGGGAAGGCTGAGGCAGGAGAATCGCTTGAACCCAGGAGATGGAGGTTGCAGTGAGCCGACATCATCGACATCATGCCACTGCACTCCAGCCTGGGTGACAGAGCAAGACTCCGTCTCCCAAAAAAAAAAAAAAAAAAAAGAAATTATTCAAACAGAAGCACAGAGAGAGAGAAAAATAAAAGAGAGAGCTGTGAGGCAACACCGAGGGTTGTAACATTAGTGACTGGAGAGACTGTGGGTCACCCATGGCCATGACACCAGTGACTGGAGAGACTGTGGGACACCCATGGCCGTGACACCAGTGACTGGAGGGACTGTGGGTCACCCATGGTCGTGACACCAGTGACTGGCGAGACTGTGGGACACCCAGGGCCGTGACACCAGTGACTGGAGGGACTGTGGGACACCCATGGCCGTGACACCAGTGACTGGAGGGACTGTGGGACACCCATGGCCGTGACACCAGTGACTGGCGAGACTGTGGGACACCCAGGGCCGTGACACCAGTGACTGGAGAGACTGTGGGTCACCCAGGGCCGTGACACCAGTGACTGGAGGGACTGTGGGACACCCATGGCAGTGACACCAGTGACTGGAGGGACTGTGGGTCACCCATGGCCGTGACACCAGTGACTGGAGAGACTGTGGGTCACCCATGGCCGTGACACCAGTGACAGTGACTGTGGGACACCCATGGCCGTGACACCAGTGACTGGAGGGACTGTGGGACACCCATGGCCGTGACACCAGTGACAGTGACTGTGGGTCACCCAGGGCCGTGACACCAGTGACTGGAGGGACTGTGGGACACCCAGGGCCGTGACACCAGTGACTGGAGAGACTGTGGGTCACCCATGGCCGTGACACCAGTGACAGTGACTGTGGGACACCCATGGCCGTGACACCAGTGACTGGAGGGACTGTGGGACACCCATGGCCGTGACACCAGTGACTGGAGGGACTGTGGGTCACCCAGGGCCGTGACACCAGTGACTGGAGGGACTGTGGGACACCCAGGGCCGTGACACCAGTGACTGGAGGGACTGTGGGTCACCCAGGGCCGTGACACCAGTGACTGGAGGGACTGTGGGACACCCATGGCCGTGACACCAGTGACTGGAGGGACTGTGGGACACCCATGGCCGTGACACCAGTGACTGGAGGGACTGTGGGTCACCCAGGGCCGTGACACCAGTGACTGGAGAGACTGTGGGACACCCATGGCCGTGACACCAGTGACTGGAGGGACTGTGGGTCACCCAGGGCCGTGACACCAGTGACTGGAGAGACTGTGGGACACCCATGGCCGTGACACCAGTGACTGGAGGGACTGTGGGTCACCCATGGCCGTGACACCAGTGACTGGAGGGACTGTGGGACACCCATGGCCGTGACACCAGTGACTGGAGAGACTGTGGGTCACCCATGGCCGTGACACCAGTGACTGGAGAGACTGTGGGTCACCCATGGCCGTGACACCAGTGACAGTGACTGTGGGACACCCATGGCCGTGACACCAGTGACTGGAGACTGTGGGACACCCAGGGCCGTGACACCAGTGACTGGAGAGACTGTGGGACACCCATGGCCGTGACACCAGTGACTGGAGAGACTGTGGGTCACCCATGGCCGTGACATCAGTGACTGGAGAGACTGTGGGTCACCCATGGCCGTGACACCAGTGACAGTGACTGTGGGACACCCAGGGCCGTGACACCAGTGACTGGAGAGACTGTGGGTCACCCATGGCCGTGACATCAGTGACTGGAGAGACTGTGGGTCACCCATGGCCGTGACACCAGTGACAGTGACTGTGGGACACCCATGGCCGTGACACCAGTGACTGGAGAGACTGTGGGACACCCATGGCCGTGACACCAGTGACTGGAGAGACTGTGGGACACCCATGGCCGGGACACCAGTGACTGGAGAGACTGTGGGACACCCATGGCCGTGACACCAGTGACTGGAGGCTGTGGGACACCCAGGGCCGTGACACCAGTGACTGCAGAGACTGTGGGACAACACCCAGGGCCGTGACACCAGTGACTGGAGACTGTGGGACAACACCCAGGGCCGTGACACCAGTGACTGGAGGGACTGTGGGACACCCATGGCCGTGACACCAGTGACTGGAGGGACTGTGGGTCACCCATGGCCGTGACACCAGTGACTGGAGGGACTGTGGGACACCCATGGCCGTGACACCAGTGACTGGAGAGACTGTGGGACACCCATGGCCGTGACACCAGTGACTGGAGGGACTGTGGGTCACCCAGGGCCGTGACACCAGTGACTGGAGAGACTGTGGGACACCCAGGGCCGTGACACCAGTGACTGGAGGGACTGTGGGACACCCATGGCCGTGACACCAGTGACTGGAGGGACTGTGGGTCACCCAGGGCCGTGACACCAGTGACTGGAGAGACTGTGGGACACCCATGGCCGTGACACCAGTGACTGGAGGGACTGTGGGTCACCCATGGCCGTGACACCAGTGACTGGAGGGACTGTGGGACACCCAGGGCCGTGACACCAGTGACTGGAGAGACTGTGGGTCACCCATGGCCGTGACACCAGTGACTGGAGAGACTGTGGGTCACCCATGGCCGTGACACCAGTGACAGTGACTGTGGGACACCCATGGCCGTGACACCAGTGACTGGAGAGACTGTGGGACACCCATGGCCGTGACACCAGTGACTGGAGAGACTGTGGGTCACCCAGGGCCGTGACACCAGTGACTGGAGAGACTGTGGGTCACCCAGGGCCGTGACACCAGTGACTGCAGAGACTGTGGGACACCCATGGCCGTGACACCAGTGACTGGAGACTGTGGGACACCCATGGCCGTGACACCAGTGACTGGAGAGACTGTGGGTCACCCAGGGCCGTGACACCAGTGACTGGAGACTGTGGGACACCCAGGGCCGTGACACCAGTGACTGGAGAGACTGTGGGACACCCATGGCCGTGACACCAGTGACTGGAGAGACTGTGGGACACCCATGGCCGTGACACCAGTGACTGGAGAGACTGTGGGACACCCATGGCCGTGACACCAGTGACTGGAGACTGTGGGACACCCAGGGCCGTGACACCAGTGACTGCAGAGACTGTGGGACAACACCCAGGGCCGTGACACCAGTGACTGGAGGGACTGTGGGACACCCAGGGCCGTGACACCAGTGACTGGAGAGACTGTGGGACAGCACCCAGGACAGGGCACATGTACCAAAGACCCAAAAGACAGAGTGGGACATCAGAAAAATTTGAGAAATACTCCTTCAGAAATGGAACTCTAAGAAAGCAAAAGAAAACAGAAATATCTGCAGAAATAACAGTCAAGACTTCAAAATCTGTTAAAATGCACCCACCCTCAGGTCGAAGTAGCTCAGTTTAGAAAGCTAGACCCAGGTGCATCACAAACGGCCAAAGTCCAAAAATAAAAGAAAATCATGTATATAGTCAGAAGTAAGAGATTTCACAGTAAGGAAAACAGAATGAGAAAATTCCTCATCAGAACAGTAGAAAACAGCATGAATAGAACCACCTTAACATGCGCAGAGAAAAACACAGTCCACTTAGAACCGTATATCCTGTAAAAATGCACTTCAAAAGAGGAGGAGGAATTAGGGCCTTTTGATCCACGTAAGAGCTAAGCCTAGGCAGAATGTCACTGCAGAGGAACTACAAGGCAATATATATTAAATACGGCACTTCAGACTCAAAGAAAATTATCCCTCTTGGCAACACGGAGTCTGAATGAAGAACTTAAGAGCGCCAGAAAGGTACGAAAATGTACACATCTTCAAAGGCTATGGAAAACAAGATCCCACTACACACCTATTCGAATGGCCAAACACAAAATACTGACACCACCAAACACTGGGGAGGACATGGGCCTCAGGAGCGCTTACTCATTGCTGGTGGGAGTGAAATGGCAGCTTCTCATTAAACACGGTCTCATCACACGGTCCGGCAATCAGGTTTCTTTATTCATCCAAATGGGCTGAAAAGTTGTGTCAAAACAAAAACCTGCACATGGGCGTTTACAGCAGCTTTATGAGTAACTGCTGAAGCTTGGAAGCTGCTAAGATGTCTTTATGTGTAACTGCCAAAGCTTGGAAGCTGCTAAGATGTCTTTACGCGTAACTGCCGAAGCTTGGAAGCTAAGATGTCCTTCAATAGGTACGTAGATAAACAAGCTGCAGCACACGCCCAGGATGGAGTATCATCCAGCGCGAAAAAGAAATGAGCCATCAAGCCACGAAAAGACATGGCGAAGCCTTCAGTGAATATGAAAGAAGCCAATCTCAAAGGCTACATACTGTACGTGTACACCAAAGCACATCCTCATCAGACACCTCAATACACCAAAGCACATCCTCGTCAATACACCAAAGCACATCCTCATCAGACTCAATACACCAAAGCACATCCTCATCAGACTCAATACACCAAAGCACATCCTCATCAGACTCCTCAATACACCAAAGCACATCCTCATCAGACTCCTCAATACACCAAAGCACATCCTCATCAGACACCTCAATACACCAAAGTACATCCTCATCAGACACCTCAGTACACCAAAGCACATCCTCATCAGACACCTCAATACACCACAGCACATCCTCATCAGACTCAATACACCAAAGCACACCCTCATCAGACACCTCAATACACCAAAGCACATTCTCATCAGACACCTCAATACACCAAAGCACATCCTCATCAGACTCAATACACCAAAGCACATCCTCATCAGACTCCTCAATACACCAAAGCACATCCTCATCAGACTCAATACACCAAAGCACATCCTCATCAGACTCCTCAATACACCAAAGCACATCCTCATCAGACTCCTCAATACACCAAAGCACATCCTCATCAGACTCCTCAATACACCAAAGCACATTCTCATCAGACACCTCAATACACCAAAGCACATCCTCATCAGACTCAATACACCAAAGCACATCCTCATCAGACTCCTCAATACACCAAAGCACATCCTCATCAGACACCTCAATACACCAAAGTACATCCTCATCAGACACCTCAATACACCACAGCACATCCTCTTCAGACTCAATACACCAAAGCACATCCTCATCAGACTCAATACACCAAAGCACATCCTCATCAGACACCTCAATACACCAAAGCACATCCTCATCAGACTCAATACACCAAAGCACATCCTCATCAGACTCCTCAATACACCAAAGCACACCCTCATCAGACACCTCAATACACCAAAGCACATTCTCATCAGACACCTCAATACACCAAAGCACATCCTCATCAGACTCAATACACCAAAGCACATTCTCATCAGACTCAATACACCAAAGCACATTCTCATCAGACTCAATACACCAAAGCACATCCTCATCAGACACCTCAATACACCAAAGCACATCCTCATCAATACACCAAAGCACATCCTCATCAGACTCCTCAATACACCAAAGCACATTCTCATCAGACACCTCAATACACCAAAGCACATCCTCATCAGACTCAATACACCAAAGCACATTCTCATCAGACTCAATACACCAAAGCACATTCTCATCAGACACCTCAATACACCAAAGCACATCCTCATCAGACTCAATACACCAAAGCACATCCTCATCAGACTCCTCAATACACCAAAGCACATCCTCATCAGACTCAATACACCAAAGCACATTCTCATCAGACACCTCAATACACCAAAGCACATCCTCATCAGACTCAATACACCAAAGCACATTCTCATCAGACTCAATACACCAAAGCACATTCTCATCAGACACCTCAATACACCAAAGCACATCCTCATCGGACTCAATACACCAAAGCACATCCTCATCAGACTCCTCAATACACCAAAGCACATCCTCATCAGACACCTCAATACACCAAAGCACACCCTCATCAGACACCTCAATACACCAAAGCACATTCTCATCAGTCACCTCAATACACCAAAGCACATCCTCATCAGACTCAATACACCAAAGCACATTCTCATCAGACACCTCAATACACCAAAGCACATCCTCATCAGACTCAATACACCAAAGCACATCCTCATCAGACTCAATACACCAAAGCACATCCTCATCAGACACCTCAATACACCAAAGCACATTCTCATCAGACTCCTCAATACACCAAAGCACACCCTCATCAGACACCTCAATACACCAAAGCACATCCTCATCAGACTGCTCAAAACCAGTGGTACTGAAAAATCTTCAAAGCAGTTGGAGGAAAAAAACCAAGAGAGGACTGAAGATTTCCTGCTGGAGGCAGGGCAAGCTGGAAGACAGAAGACCTTGCACATCTGAAGAAAACGTCAGCAGGCTGCGGCGCTCCAATGAAAACTCCTCTATGCCCATCCCCAAACACCCAGGTTGCCGAGTGGCTGGCCCTGGTTCTCACAGCTCCTGGCACAGGCTCACCAGCAAGACCCCTGACTCTCCCACACCCATCATGCAAGTGGTCCTGGTCCTTCACCAATAGTCCCTGAGGCCAAGCCACAGTCACCTCCCAGCTGGGGGCCGGCCCTCCCCATATCCCATCACCATGCATGCCCACATTTCCCTCACTGATGTGGACAATATGCAACCCAACCAGCCTGCACCGTCCCTGCAGGGCGCTATTAACAATGCAGACCTCAGCCGGGCGCGATGTCTCACGCCTGTAATCCCAGCACTTTGGGAGGCCGAGGCGGGAGAACACAAGGTCAAGAGATAGAGACCATCCTGGGCAATAAGGAGAAACCCCATCTCTACAAAAAATATAAAAAGTAGCTGGGCATGGTGGCGGGCGCCCGTAATCCCAGGTGGCGGGCGCCTGTAATCCCAGCTACTCGGGAGGCTGAGGCAGGAGAATCGCGTGAACTCAGGAGGCGGAGGTTGCAGTGAGCCGAGATCGCACCACTGCACTCCAGCCTGGCGACAGTGTGAGACCCTGTCTAAAAAAAAAAAGCAAAACAAAACAAAAAAACAATGCAGACCTAAAGTGGCTTCCACACCAAGAACAAAACTTGGCCTCATGACCTACTGTCCCCACCCCGCCCAACCTCTGCCCTCTGTGCCCTCAGCTTCTCCTGGAGACCCAGGCCTCTGTCCTCTGCATCTGCTGTCACGCCTGCCAGGCCTCTCGGCAAACTTTCAGCAAAGGAGGCCCATTCTCCTTCATGTTTCAGCTTAAATATCACTTCTAGGAGGCTGCCCCGACCACCTCTACCCAGACGTGGGCCCTCCTCACATCCCGTCATCGTGGCCACAATTCCCTTACTGACGTGAACAATACGTAGCCCACCACGTCATGCCCCCGGTGCACCCCCTCGCCCGTGTTGCTCACGACTTATCCTGGACCCTCCAAGAGACATGCAGGCCCCCAAGTGAGATGACGAGGACACCTGCCGCCCCAGCCCCCACCCGATCCACCACAAGGCACCCCGGGCTTCAAATCAAGTTTAATAAATAAAACAGCAAAGGGGGGTTCAAGGCAGTTATCACTTCACAGTGTGGTCCTTGGTGGGGTGAGGGATGGTCGAGTCCAACTCGGAAAGGGGCTCGAGCACAAGAGGCCGGACGACACCCGGGGCAGGGCGCGCCGCCGCCCACGGAGGACCCCACTCCAACGTGTAAACAGAAACAGAAACGAACGAGAGGGCCAGGGAGGAGGGGGACCAGGACTCCAAGCCATCTTGCTAGGAAGCTTCCCACAGAAGGAAGACCTGCAGGGCTGGGGAAACAGGCTGGAGTCTGGCCCCTGCGTGGCCAGCAGGGCCGGCTCCTCCGGAGGCTCCCTGCCTTGGTACCGGGGGAGGACAGCAAAGGGGATGTAAATCACCTGTCTCCTCAAACCCACGCCTGGGGTTGCTGAGGGACCCCACCCCAACCGCTCAGGATCGGGGAGCAGGGATGGAGGGGGAAGAGGCAGGTGGGGGTGTAAAGTGCGGCTTTTCCTGAAGTGGAGACGATGGGGTGGGAAGGCGAGGCTGGGGTGGGGGCCGGACAGCGAGGTATATGGCTCTGTGCCCCACGGGGTTGGCACTGAGTAGCAGCTGCCCACGACCCCCAGGGCTGGGGCAGCCCGCGGCCCTGCCGGGTGTGGAGAGACAGAGCCAAGCAGGGAGCTGAGGGCGCCCCGGCGGAGGCTGCTGGTGCGGGGCAGGGCGTCCTGCCCGTCTCCCCGCCGGGGCAGTGACGCCTTCCCTCGCCTCTGCTGGCTGGAAGGGACTAGGTGGCCGGCTCTGCCCTGCGTCCCAACGGCGGGGTCTCTTCTGTCCCCGGCTGCCCGACGGATCCCACGTGCAGGCAGCGGCCCGGACCCGGGTGGCAGTGCCGGGCGCTGACGGCGCTGGGTGGGGCCGTGGGTCCATTCTGTGTGGACAGGGGCAAGGGCTCACGGCCCAGCCACCTCACCCCAGTCCTGACGTGTTCTGAAGCAGAAGGAGGTGCTACCCCAAGGCCCGGGGGGTGGGGAAGGGGTCAGGAAGACTGACAGAGGCGGGCCCAGCGGCAGCGCTAAGTCCAGTCTGGGCCGCATACGCCGCCCGCGGCCAGGAGTCAGCAGGTCATCACGTTACAGCTGCAGGGGAGAGACCAAGAGAGACGCAGAGAGTGTCAGTGCGGCCCCACGTGCCTGCACAGCCCAGTGCTGAGCGCTGGACTCGAGACTCCCAGCCTTGCCTCCCCCACAGCCTATGGCAGCCGGGCCCGGGGTGCCCTGAGGGGAGCTGGTGGCTGGAGCAGGGGTGGGACAGCCTGGCACCTGCTCCCATTTGTGGAGAATGTGGACCACATGAATGTATTCTCCAGTCAAAAAATACATACAAGTAAAGAATAAACCTAAAGACACACTGAGAGCCTGCTCGTGGAGCCACACTGTCCTCGGGTCCTTGGGGCAAATGCCTCCCACCCTCCTCTGCTCAGCCTGAGGGCTGGGGGGACCTGGTTGGAGTGTTGCGGAGGCTCCGGGCATGGGGTGGCACTCACTGTGACAGGGGCTCCGAGTGTAGCCCGGGGGCCGGGCACGTGGGGTGGGCGGCCAGGAAGGGGTTCACGTCCCCAATGCCGATGAGTCCAAACTCGGTGACCGACAAAGCCACCTGTGCTGGGGCCACAGTCTCCTCCGGATCCCCGCTGAGGTCCACATGGCTGGAGATGAGGGGCAGCTCCTTGGGCAGGGCGAAGTCCACGGCCAGCCTTGGGCTGGCGTCTGGCTCCGGAGCAGTGACAGCTGGCTGGTATGAGGCTGGGTCGGCCAGGGCTGGGGGCCGATGGGACAGGGGTACAGCGGGGGACTCATCCAGCTGCTGGAAGGAACACGGCCCTGGCTCCGAGGACGGGAGTCCATCAGAGGCCACTCCGGGCTCATCGAGACCACCGGCCGTGCCATCCACGCTCAGTGGATCTGTGAAAGAGAACGCAACAGAGGGTGGGGCCTGCCCACAGCCGCGGATCCTGTGCAGGCTCCTGCCTAACTTTGCTGGGTCCAGCAAAGCCTGTGGATCCCTCCCCAGAAAAGCCTCCACACAAATACAAAAGACACCAGTTACACTGAAATCCGCGAGCCCCAGGTTAAGGGTCTCAGCTTTAGAAGTAGATTTTAGTTCATCAGACCAACAGTGGGTCACAACCCACATCTTTAAAAAGAGCAGAATACAATAGACATAGGTGTAAACAATGCCGGGGGCACTGCAGAGGGTAAATACAGGGTCTGTGGAATACACAGACTTAGGTGTAAACAATGCCGGGGGCGCTGCGAGGGCTAATACAGGGTCTTTGGAAGTTTTGTTCCCACAGGCAGCGCAAGGGGCCTCACCACAATTCTAGGAAGTAGCCGAGGTGGACACCCTTTGGCAAACAAACCATGGAAACAACCAGACTCTGGAAATGGGGGACCCTCCCAGACTCAACCATCTAAACACAGAGCCAGAAAGCAAAGGATCCTCGTTTGCACCCTCCCCGTGTGGGTCTCCACCTTCGGACGCCACATCAGACACCACCATCGGACATGGTCCCTACCCGAGGCCCTGCTGTGCTCCGTCATGGCCTCAGGTGCAAGATCCTGGCGACGGCTCCGGACACCCTGTCCTTCCTGAGTGTCCTGGTGACGGGCTAAGTCCCCACCCTGGGGCAGGAAGGCCCTCCCCGGAGACTGAGGCCTGGTAAATACCCCAACCTCACCATACGGGGCTCCCCAGCAGTGGGGCCACATGCACCCCTCCAGCAAGCCCAGAGGGTAAGCGTAATCCCTGCCCTCCCCTCTCCCAGCCAGGTGTACAGAGCGGCATCCACATCACGTGGCTGCCCTCCGCCACCCAGACGCCCACTCCTCCTGGCGAGGCTGGCCCAGCACAGGGCGCCAGGCAGGAGAGGCTCCACCGGGCCTCACTCACGGCTCCAGACCCGTGGCCGCCCCCAGGGCAGGAGATACTCCCCAAGCCTCACCTGTGCGCATCCCAGTCAGGGTGTCTTGCTCCGGGCGCGGACGGCCGGGGCCATCGGGGTCGCTGCCATCCAGGTCCTGGTCTGCGTCCCTGTGGGGAGAGGGCGCCATGAGGGGCGGCAGACAGGACAGACGCCCCCACCCAAGAGGTGCCGCCCAGGCGCCCACGTGCCCACCCCCGGCGGGGTGGCCGCCTGTCGTTACTGCTGGGGAGGGCTGCACGCACGTGGTTCCGGACGGGACGTACTTCCTCCGGCCCAGCCGCGTCTGCTGGGCGAAGTAGTCGTAGCGCTCCGACTTCTTCCACAGGTAGTAGTACTCGACACACTCGCCCACTGACCGTGTGCGCACCTGCGGGGAGGGGTCAGGAGCCATCTCTGTCCCCGGCTGCCCAGCCCCAGCACCTGCACCACGATCCCAGGACGTCCTGGGACCCCGGGACAGCACAGAAGGAGCACAGCACCCACCACTCTCAGATAACGCAAGACCCCCCGACCCATGACCCTAACAGGCCACAGGCTATGCCCACCACAGGGAACAGGGGCTCGGAGCACTGTGGCACTGCCTCCTGTTTCAAGCCCCCTCAGAGCCCTCCAGCTCCTGGCTTGAGACCCCTTTCCCTTCTGTAGCATCAGCCAGACAAACGTACCCTCCAGGCCTCTGTCTACTGCTCACCCACCCCATCCCAGACCATGAGCCACGGGCCAGTTGCGTCCACCTCATCTGCCTGCTTCTCACAGGCCCGGGGTGGGAGTGGGAGTGACAACCCCCGGGTCCACAGACTCCTGGACTGAGCCCCTTCCCCGGGAGGAAGAGGCACAAGCCCGCGGCGCCTGCTTTCCCACCGAACACATCCCTCCAGGGCCCAGCGAATGCTTCCCAAGTGCACAGAAGACACCGCAGAAGGACACATGGGTTCTGTGAACCCGACAAAATTCCCAACGTAGCACATAAAGGGCCAAACACACATGCACACAGGCTTCAGGGAGACGAGAAGGGACACACACACACACACACACAAGGCTTCAGGGAGACGAGAAGGGACACACACACGCACACAAGGCTTCAGGGAGACGAGAAGGGACACACACACACACACACACACAAGGCTTCAGGGAGACGAGAAGGGACACACACACGCACACAAGGCTTCAGGGACACGAGAAGGGACACACACACACGCACACAAGGCTTCAGGGAGACGAGAAGGGACACACACACACACACACAAGGCTTCAGGGAGACGAGAAGGGACACACACACACACGCACACAAGGCTTCAGGGAGACGAGAAGGGACACACACGCACACAAGGCTTCAGGGACACGAGAAGGGACACACACACACACGCACACAAGGCTTCAGGGAGACGAGAAGAGACACACACACGCACACAAGGCTTCAGGGAGACGAGAAGGGACACACACACACACGCACACAAGGCTTCAGGGAGACGAGAAGGGACACACACACACACGCACACAAGGCTTCAGGGACACGAGAAGGGACACACAGCAAGTGTGTTCCATGTGGCACCTGGCACAGAGCTGGGCGCACACCTGGCAACACCTCCAACATCTCCACCCGGGAGGCTCATCCCACAGAGAGCTTGAGGCTGTGGCCACTGCTGGTGATGGCGGAAAAGACCCCCTCACCTGGACATGCTCTGGGCCAACTAACCCACCGCCACCCAGAACGAGGATGCCCCATGCTCACCGCTGCGAGAACAACGTGGGGTCCTGCCTGGGGGCGAGACCGAGACAACCTCCCTGCAGGGCAAACCTCAAACGCACGCCACGAGGGAGCTCTTCTGTGAAGGGCCAGGGTGAAATACGCACTGGCTCAGGCTGACCAACGTGTGCTGGCTACACACGGCCCCTCGCGGCTGGGCCAGGACCTGCCCGGAGCTCCAGAAACACGGCCGGGAGTTACAAAAACGCGGCCCTGAGCTATAGAAACACGGCCCGGAGCTGCAGAAACACGGCCCGGAGCTATAGAAACACGGCCGGGAGCTGCAGAAACACAGCCGGGAGCTATAGAAACACAGCCCGGAGCTATAGAAACAGCCCAGAGTCCAGAAACACAGCCCGAAGCTCCAGAAACACAGCCCAGAGCTATAGAAACACGGCCCGGAGCTATAGGAACATGGCCCGGAGCTGTAGAAACACAGCCCGGAGCTACAGAAACACGGAGTCCATAGAAACACGGCCCAGAGTCCAGAAACACAGCCTGGAGCTGTAGAAACACGGCCAGGAGTCCAGAAACACGGCCCACAACTCCAGAAACACGGCCCGGAGCTACAGAAACTTGACAGGGGCTCCAAGTGTAGCCTGGGAGCACCACACTCCAGCCACACCTCGCCCCGCTGTCTCCAATCAAAACACCACGTGGTGCTGGAGTCTGACAAGGACAGTCCATCGCTGCTGCGCACGGCACCGCACAGTCACCTGAGCAATGTCCTGAGCCGTACAACCAGCCCCGGGCAGGTGCCTCCTCACCCAAGCCCTTCAGTGGACGACATCGGGCCCCAAATGGAGCACGGTCCCAGGACACGAGGCAGAAGCAAGGCTCGGCAACAAGGCCACAGCCCACTGGTCCTGAAGGGACTCAGTGCCCAACCGGGGCGTGGACAGAGGCGGAGAAGCCACTGGTCAGAGCCATGGGAAGGTTTTCAGCCAGAGATGTCTGACTGCCAAGAGGCTGGCTTGGAAGTTACCACTCAAGAAGCCACAGGGCAGAGGGCACTGCTGCAGACATGCAGAGACCCACAGAGGACGTGGGGAAGGTCTAAGGAAGGGCAGAAGGCCCCGGCACTTGGCAGCACCTGCCTGTCATGAGGGTTTGTCCCGGGTGGCAGGACCTGGGTCCCTGGAGGAGGGAACCAGGAGACCCCTGGTCTCCAGGTGTCAGGGGTTCTGCTGTGGGGCCAATGCTGGACACTGAGCCAGCAGGCTCTGCTCAGAGGACACAGACTTGAAGATGAGGTGCCCAGGGCCCTGGGGTGGAATGTGAGGCAGAAACAACTACTAGAATTCAGCTTTTGCCACATTCTTTCCCAAAGCCAGAGCCTTGTTCTTGTGGGGACAGGAAAGGGGCCCACAGCAGTCAGTAGCAAAAAATGCAGAAGACAGCAATGGGCACACGGTGAGGAGGCGGACACAGGACACGGGGCTCCAGGCCTCCAGTCGGCCGTGTGCTGTGTGCCTGCGGACCCTGAGCCCCTCCCCAGATCGAGAAGCCCCCGGTGGAGCCTGGCAGTGGAGTCCGCACCTTGTTGGCCTGGATCAGGTGAAAGTTCTTTCCATGCACACGGAAGCCGTGCTCAAAGTTCCTGCACTCCTCTTCACTCCAAGCACAGAGCCCATCTGCAAACACGGCCGGGGAGAACGGTCAGTGGTGCCCAGGGCGGGGCCGCAGCGGAAGGAAGGCCCAGGCCGGGGAGAACAGTCAGCGGCGCCCAGGGCGGGGCCGCAGCGGAAGGAAGGCCCAGGCCGGGGAGAACGGTCAGCGGCGCCCAGGGCGGGGCCGCAGCGGAAGGAAGGCCCAGGCCGGGGAGAACGGTCAGCAGTGCCCAGGGCGGGGCCGCAGCGGAAGGAAGGCCCAGACCGCTGCTCACCTCGGATCACCTTCACGTTGAACCGCAGCCTTCGCAGGGCCTCCTCCACATTGAAGTTGCATTTCACCAACTCGTACAGCGCCTGGGGAGAGGACATGTTGGCTCTTCCATGGGCTCAGCGCAGGAGCCGACAGCAAGAACTGTCTATACCATCCAGCGAGTGGCATCAGGGGCCGTCCACACCACCCTCCTGGGCGATGTCAGAGCCACCTACACCTCTATCCAGGGAGTGACATCAGGGGCCGTCCACACCACCCTCCTGGGCGATGTCAGGGCCACCTACACCTCTATCCAGGGAGTGACATCAGGGGCCGTCCACACCACCCTCCTGGGCGATGTCAGGGCCACCTACACCTCTATCCAGGGAGTGACATCAGGGGCCGTCCACACCACCCTCCTGGGCGATGTCAGAGCCACCTACACCTCTATCCAGGGACTGGCATCAGGGGCCGTCCACACCACCCTCCTGGGCGATGTCAGGGCCACCTACACCTCTATCCAGGGAGTGACATCAGGGGCCGTCCACACCACCCTCCTGGGCGATGTCAGGGCCACCTACACCTCTATCCAGGGAGTGACATCAGGGGCCGTCCACACCACCCTCCTGGGCGATGTCAGGGCCACCTACACCTCTATCCAGGGAGTGACATCAGGGGCCGTCCACACCACCCTCCTGGGCAATGTCAGGGCCACCTACACCTCTATCCAGGGAGTGACATCAGGGGCCGTCCACACCACCCTCCTGGGCGATGTCAGGGCCACCTACACCTCTATCCAGGGAGTGACATCAGGGGCCGTCCACACCACCCTCCTGGGCGATGTCAGGGCCACCTACACCTCTATCCAGGGAGTGACATCAGGGGCCGTCCACACCACCCTCCTGGGCGATGTCAGGGCCACCTACACCTCTATCCAGGGACTGGCATCAGGGGCCGTCCACACCACCCTCCTGGGCGATGTCAGAGCCACCTACACCTCTATCCAGGGACTGGCATCAGGGGCCGTCCACACCATCCTCCTGGGCGATGTCAGGGCCACCTACACCTCTATCCAGGGAGTGACATCAGGGGTGTCTACATCCCCTTGCAGGATACCCGGAGGCGTCTACACCTCCTCCCTGATACGTGGTTTTAATTGGCCCCCCTTCTGACCTGAGTAGCTGTTCCAGTGCCCTGGCCCCCACACACCTGACCCCTGCCCTCCCCTCTGCCCTCCCTGGCCCCTGGAGGCACTGGGGTGTGAGCTCTGGCCCACGCCACGGCAGCCCTCAGCCCCTCTGTCCCCGGCATGGCAGCCCCCACCTGCTCACTGTCTTTCACGGCTTCTCCCTCTGGGAGCTGAGGCCCGGCCATCTCGTGCCAACGCCGCTTCACCGCCCTGTACAGGAACTCCTCCACCTCCCTCTCAGGGAGGACGCTGGGGTCCCAGAGCAGCTGGTCTTCGTTCTCGTAGACTGCACAAGCAGAGGGCAAAGGTCAGCTTGCAGGAACCCAATCTGCACCCACACACGCCAGGACAAGCAAAGCAGCCAACTCAGCCCCTGACAGGGAGGAGGCACTGTCCGTCCTCCCTTTCCCAAGCCCTGGGCCGCCATCCCTGTGCTCCTCCTGGGCTTGGTGCTGCTGTGCTCAATTCAACTACCGAGTGGGTCCAGAGCAGGCTCTGGGCACCACACACAGGCCTGTATCCCAACGACCAAGTGCAGGGAGCCATGAGCAGTCAGCAGGGGCGCCTGATCCAGCCAAGGGGTCAGAGGAAGCTGTGGACAGCCTAGATCTGGGGCAGGGGAATTCTAAGCAAGGACTCTGCAGAGGGGGTTCTAAGTAGTGAGACCAGTGAGGTGAGGCTGGCTTCAGGCTGCACAGCTACAAGGGCACCTGAAATGCAGAGGCCTGAGGGAGCAGCAAGGACGCCCCCGACTCTGCATAAAGGCAGCTGAGACTTGGGCCCGTGGACAAGCGGGAGCCCCCACAGTTAGGCACTGTCGCGCTCTAACCCTGGGAGCTGAAGAGCCACGGCCAGAAGGTGCATCACCTCTGGGGAGACATCCTGCCCCCGGTAGCTGGTGTGGATGGCAGATGTGCTCACAGAGGGGAGGAAAAGTCCACGACCTCAGATGCAATTGGCTTTCGGCAAAGGGAGGGACGCAGCCTCCAGCTGTGGTGAGGGACGTGACTGGGGACAAGGCAGGGGAGAGCTCAGGGCCAGGTCTGGCAAGGCTCAAGTGCCAGCACCTCTCAATTATCCAGGAAAGAGGCACAGGATCCCAAACAAAGCAAACCAACAAATAAAAAACAAAATCAGTGCACGGGAAGAAATGTGAAAAACGCACTGGGGAAAACAGCTCCACACGGGAGTCTCCACTGCCGGGGGCTGACGCGGTAACTAGCTCCCAGGTTGGTGCTGTGCCCCACCAAGCAGGGGCCTCTCCCGGTCCTCATGGCCATGAGGAAAACAGGCAGACACCACAGCCACCTTTCTCCATCTCCACAGGCGACACCTGAGCCCTGCTTGGACAGAGGTGGTCTCCAAGAAAACAGCAGACCATCTCTGGAGAAAAAGAACACCACATACAGCCTAGCATGTGAAGGGTGGGAAAACACGAGGGAAAAACATTAACCGGATGTGAGGGCTCATGTCTGTAATCCCAGCACTCTGGGAGGCTGAGGTGGGAGGATCGGTTGAGGCCAGAGTTTGAGACTCGCACACTCCATCTCTACAAAAAATTTCAAATGTAGTACAGGCACGTCTGTAGTCCCAGCTACGGTGGGATTGAGGCTAAGGTGGGACTGAGCCCAGGAGGTCGAGGTTGCAATGAGCCATGATTGCACCACTGCACTCCAGCCTGGGAAACAGAGCAAGACCCTGTCTCAGAATAAAACAAGAAAACAAGGCCAGGCGTGGTGGCTCACGCCTGTCATCCCAGCACTTTGGGAGGCTGAGGCGGGCGGGTCACCTGAGGTCAGGAGTTCGAGACCAGCCTGGCAAACATGGCGAAACCCCAGCTCTACTAAAAATACAAAAATTAGCCGGGCGTGGTCATGGGCGCCTGTAATCTCCGCTACTCGGGAGGCTGAGGGAGGAGAATCACTTGAACCCGGGAGGCAGAGGTTGCAGTGAGCCAAGATCGCGCCACTGCACTCCAGCCTGGGCGAGAAGAGCGAGACTCCGTCTCAAACAAACAAACAAAACAAGAACACATCAGACAACAAAGCAGGTCTACACACAGCCGATGTTAAGAGTCAGCACACGAAGACTTCAATCTAACGAGGATTAATACGTTAAGGAAATGGACAAAACGCCGGAGAGTCTCAGCAGAGACTTGAAATTTATAGAAAAGAATCTCAAGGACCTTCCAGGACTGGATAATACAATACCCGAATGGACCCACTGAACAGCTTTTTTACCAGCAGCCTGAACACAGCACAAAACACAATTAGTGGAATCAAAAGGAAACCAATGTTTACAAGACCAAAACCAAAGTGTAAAAGGAAAGAACACCGTTTAGGGTAGTACAAGACAGTGAGGCAACCTCTAAGATACGTGTAAATGAGTGACAGAGAAAGCAAAGAAGGAGGCAGCACAAAATCTGAAGAGGTAACAGCCAAGAATTCTTCAAAACTGACGACTGATACCAACCCACAGAGCCAGGAAACTCAGGACGAATACAAGGACACACGAAGACGTGTGCACAGGCACAGGAGAGCCAAACTGGTGAAAAACAAACAAATAAAGGAAAGGAAACAACTCTTAGGAGAGAAAAGGGCACAATGACTTCAGAAGAAAGAGTAAGACCGTCCTCTGACTTCTCAACAGAAACGATGACAGCCAAAACGCAATGGAGTGAAATTTTTCAAGTGTTGAAAGAAAACACCCTGCAAACCTGGAAAAACATGCCATGAAAATATGCTTTAAAGAATGAAAGCAAAAATCCAGGCTTTTCAGACAAAAAAATGCTGAAAGAAAGCACAAGGCCTATTACAAAGGAAGTTCTTCCGGCTGAAGGAAATGATTCCAAATGGAAGCTGGAGGAAATATGTGGATAGGATAAATACAAAGAATGTTCACTGTTTAAAACAACAATGTTATCATCTTGTGATATGTAGATTTTTTTTTTTTGGAGATGGAGTCTTGCTCTGTCCCCCAGGCTGGAGTGCAGTGGTGCGATCTTGGCTCACTGCAACCTCCATCTCCGGGGTTCAAGCGATTCTCCTGCCTCAGCCTCCCGAGTAGCTGGGACTACAGGTGCCCACCACGCCTGGCTAATTTTTGTATTTTTAGTAGACACAGGGTTTCACCATGTTGGCCAGGCTGGTCTCAAATTCCTGACCTCAGGCAATCTGCCTGCCTCGGCCTCCCAAAGTGCTCGGATTATAGGCATGAGCCACCACAGCCGGCTCATATGTAAAATTAACGATAGCACAAAAGGCAGGGGGCAGGTAAATTGAGTTAAACTGTTTCTTGCATTGTAGGGGAACTAGAATGTACTTATTTCAAGCTGTGAGGCCCGGTGTGGTGGCTCACTCCTGTAATGTCAGCACTTTGGGAGGCTGAGGTCACTGGAGGTCAGGAGTTCAAGACCAGCATAGCCAACACAGTGACACCTCATCCCTACTAAAAATACAAAAATTAGCTGGGGATGGTGGCGTGTGCCTGTAGTCCCACCTACTTGGGAGGCTGAGGCAGGAGAATCGCTTGAGCCCAGGAGGCGGAGGTTGCAATGAGCCGAGATCACACCACTGTACTCCAGCCTGGGCGACAGAACAAGACTCTATCTCAAAAAAAATGTAGACTGTGATAAGTCAATAATTCATGTTGTAACCTCTAAAGCGCTAAAACTAAAACTTATAAGCTGAAACAGAAGGACAAAATAAACCTATTAATCCAAAAGAAGATATAAAAAAATTAAAAAACAAACAACAGGCCAGGTCCAGTGGCTCACGCCTGTAATCCCAGCACTTTGGGAGGCCGACGTGGGCGGATCACGAGGTCAGGAGATCGAGACCATCCTGGCCAACATGGAGACAACCCATCTCTACTAAAAATACAAAATTAGGCCGGGCGCGGTGGCGGGCACCTGTAATCCCAGCACTTTGGGAGGCTGAGGCGGGCGGATCACGAGGTCAGGAGATCGAGACCACCCGGGCTAACACGGTGAAACCTCGTCTCTACTAAAAATACAAAACATTAGCCGGGAGTCATGGCGGGTGCCTGTAGTCCCAGCTACTCAGGAGGCTGAAGCAGGAGAATGGCGTGAACCCGGGAGGCGGAGCTTGCAGTGAGCTGAGATCGCGCCACTGCACTCCAACCTGGGTGACAAAGCGAGACTCTGTCTCAGAAAAAATAAATAAATAAATAAATAAATAAATAAATAAAATAAAAATACAAAATTAGCCAGGCATGGTGGCGGATGCGTGTAATCCCAGCTACTTGGGAGGCTAAGGTAGGAGAATCACTTGAACCCGGGAGGTGGAGGTTGCCGTGAAGTAAGATCGCATCACTGCACTCCAGCCTGGGCAATGAGAGTGAGACTCTGTCTCAAAAAAAAAAAAAAAAACAAACAAACAAAAAACAAAGAACAGATGGAACACACAGAAAGCAAAGAGCAAGATGGTGGCATTACACAATTGTTTTATAATTACATGACATACAAGTGATTTAAAAAATGTACATGGACTAAAAAGTCTATTAAAAGACAATGGTTTTCTCAGACAATTAAAAATAAGATCTAGGTCGGACACAGTGGCTCACACCTATAATCCCAGCACATTGGGAGGCCGAAGTGGGCAGGTCACTTGAGGTCTAGAGATTGAGACCAGCCTGGCCAACATGGTGAAACCCCATCTCTACTAAAAATACAAAACTTAGCTGGGCATGGTGGCGGACGCCTGTAATTGCAGCTACTTGGGAGGCAGAGGGGGAAGAATTGCTTGAACCCGGGAGGCGGAGGCTGCAGTGAGTGGATATTATGCCAATGCACTCCAGAGACTCCGTCTCAAAAAACAAGATCTAAACATGTGCCATTTACAGAAAATACACTTCAAATATAGGAATCTAGAATGGAAAAAAGAATGGGAAAAAACCATGCAAACACTAAACAAATCAACAAAAAGCTGCTGTGGTCACACTGATGGCAGATTAAGTACTTATTTACGGTAAGAAGTGTTACTACAGAGAGACACGTCACAATGGTAAAAGAAACAATTCAACACAAAGACAAAGCAATCTTAACGTGTATGCACTTAACACAATGTGAAGTAAAAATGGACAGCATTAAAAAGGGGAAATAGACAATCCACAATCAGAGGAGGTCATTAACAATCTTTCAGTAAATAGAACAAGCAGCCAAAAAAATTAAGTGAGAATACAGATGATGTGAACAACAATTATCCAGCGGATCCAAGGGAATACACGGAAAATTCCACCCAACAACAGCACAGCACACTCTCTTCAAACACGTACAACATTTACCAAAACAGATCAAATAATGGACATAAAGCGAGGTGCAACTAATTACAAAGAACTGAAATCACGGAGTATGTTTTCTGACCACAGTGTAATTCAATTAAAAATCAGTAAAAGGAGGCTGGGCGCGGTGGCTCACACCTGTAATCCCAACACTTTGGGAGGCCGAGGCGGGCAGATCATGAGGTCAGGAGATCCAGACCATCCTGGCTAACACAGTGAAACCCCGTCTCTACTAAAAAATACAAAAAACTAGCCGGGCGTGGTGGTGGGCGCCTATAGTCCCAGCTACTTGGGAGGCTGAGACAGGAGAATGGCGTGAACCCAGGAGGCGGAGCTTGCAGTGAACAGAGTTCACGCCACTGCACTCCAGCCTGGGCCACAGGTGAGACTCTGTCTCAAAAAAAAAAAAAAAATCAGTAAAAAGGCTGGGTGCTGGTTCATGCCTGTAATCCCAGCTCTTTGGGAGGCCAAGGTGGGTGGATCACCTGAGGTCAGGAGTTTGAGACCAGCCTGGCCAACATGGTGAAACCCCATCTCTACTAACAATACAAAAATTAGCTAGGCGTGGTGGCGGGCGCCTGTAGTCCCAGCTACTCAGGAGGCTGCGGCAGGAGAATCGTTTGAACCTTGGAGGCGAAGTTTCCAGTGAGTCAATATTGCACCACTGAACTCCAGCCTGGGCAATAGAGCGAGACCCTGTCACACACACACACAAAAAGTAAAAAACAGAAATCCAGCAACAGGGAGACATGAACAAGGCTAAAGTTAGTCCTTTGTAAAGAGTAATACAATTGATAAAACTTTTTGTTTTTGTTTTTGAGACGGAGTCTCGCTCTGTCACCCAGGCTGGAGTGCAATGGCGAAATCTTGGCTCACTGCAACCGCTGCCTCCCGGGTTCAAGTGATTCTCCTGCCTCAGCCTCTCCAGTAGCTGGGACTACAGTTGCGTGCCACCACGCTCAGCTAATTTTTGTATTTTTAGTAGCGACAGGGTTTCACCATGTTGGTCAGGCTGTTCTCAAACTCCTGGCCTCGTGATCCGCCCACCCCAGCCTCCCAAAGTGCTGGGATTAAAGGCATGAGCCCCCACTCCTGGCCTCTCACATCTTAAAGAATAATTCCTCCAGAGGTTAGGAAAAAGGCACACTTCCAAACACATTCACGAAAGCAGCATAACTCTGGTACCAAAACCAGACACGGACAAATAAAAATAAAAGGACAGGCCAGTACCTCCATGAACATACATGCAAAAATCATAAATGTGAGCACATCAAACTGAGGAGGGAAGGGATTAAATACGTATATGTTGATTTTCATTAATCCAGGTGCTCACAGCGAGCATGTAATCACTGCACCAGGGGATACACAGCATTTTCATCAAGCAATCAATACATAAACTTGTTTCAGGTGTCCACTTAAAGACGCCTTACTGCAGGCCGGGTGCAGTGGCTCATGAGTGTAATCCCGGCACTCTGGGGGGCTGAGGCGGACAGATCACTTGAGGCCAGGAGTTTGAGACCAGCCTGGGCAACAAGATGAAGCCTGGTCTCTACAAAATAAACAAAAAAAAAATTAGCCGGCGTGCAGTGGCGCACATCTGTAGTCCCAGCTACTCGGGAGACTGCAGCACGAGAATCACTTGAGCCCGGGAGCAGAGGTTGCAGTGAGCCAAGATTGCGCCACGGCACTCCAGCCTGAGCGACAGAGCAAGACTTTGTCCAAAAAACTAAATAGATAGATAGATAAATAAATAAAATTTAAATTTAAAAAATAGATACGTAAATAAAATTTAAATTAAAAATAAATAAATAAAATTTAAATTTTAAAAAATGTGTCATTGCAGGGGTTCCCAACCCCCAGGCCACAGCTGGCCGCACAGCAGGAGGTGAGCGGCAGGAGAGCCAGCATCACTGCCTGACTCCGCCTCCTGTCAGATCAGTGGTGGCATTAGATTCTCATAGGAGCGCAAATCCCACTGTGAACTGCACACACCAGGGAGGCAGGCAGCACACTCCTTATGAGAATCTAATGCCTGATGATCTGAGGTGGAACGGTTTCCTCCTGAAACCACGCCCCCTACTCCAACATCCGTGGAAAAATTGTCTTCCACGAAACCAGTCCCTGGTGCCAAAAAAGGTTGGGAGCCACTGTCTCACTGGATCTGCCTTGTGGATTCACTAACACTGAACTCACGGCCAGCAGCCCCAGAGCTTGCGCCTGAGTGGAGCTTCTCGAATTTTCTCTGAAAGGGACATCATAGCCTTCTTCCACCTAAGAACACCAGACAGAACGTCGGCACTACATTTAGGGGCCACTTTAATCCGTCAAGTAGCCGACACAAGGCACAAGGATGTGAAAAACGGCATTCAGTACACGGCAGGAAAGGCACGTGCTCACAGTAAAAGATCTGAGAGCCAAGACAGAGCAGCAGCTTGTCCCACCTCAGCTGGAACTGTACGTCAGGTAACTCGCCTTCACTGACACTCTACACACATCTGCTGGCGCCTGACCGTAAAGGTGTTGCGAGTTTTGATTTGCGGTTTCAAATAAATTTTACCAAGTAGGCAATTCACCAGCACAGAACCCACAAATAATGAGGACTGAGTGCATGAGATACATACACACAAGAGAGAACACTTCATGGCCAGGAAGCACGTTTATTCCACCGTGCACCGTTAACTTAACGTTTGAAAATCAATTTATGGGCCGGGCGCAGGGGCTCACACCTGTAATCCCGGCACTTTGGGAGGCCAAGGCAGGCGGATCACCTGAGGTTGGGAGTTCGAGATCAGCTTGGCCAACATGGTGAAACCCCATCTCCGCTAAAAATACAAAAATGAGCCAGGCGTGGTGGCGGGTGCCTGTACTCCCAGTTACTTGGGAGGCTGAGTGGGAGAACTGCTTGAATCCAGGAGGCGGAGGTTGTGGTGAGCTGAGATTATGCCACTGCACTCCAGCCTGGGCAACAGAGCAAGACTCCATCTCAAAAAAAAAAGATTAAAACTTGTCAGTTGCTGAAAAAAATAAGTTTTAATCTTAAAACTTACATAGATATGCAATGAAAACTTACAAAGTTAGAAGACTTGCACCACCTCAGACTTCCTTGTAACCTGTAATAACTGAGACAGTGGCGATGACTCCGGGTGAGACAAGACACACCTTACAGGCACCTGATTTACCACAAAGGCGTCACTGCAGCTCAGTGGGGGAGACAATGGACTTTTGTTGTTTTTATTTTTATTTTTATTTTTATTTTTTATTTTTGAGACAGAGTCTCGCTCTGTCACCCAGGCTGGAGTGCAGTGGCGCGATCTCGGCTCACTGCAAGCTCCGCCTCCCGGGTTCACGCCATTCTCCTGCCTCAGCCTCCCAAGTAGCTGGGACTACAGGTGCCCGCCACCACACCTGGCTCATTTTTGTATTTTTAGTAGAGACGGGGTTTCACCGTGTTAGCCAGGATGGTCTCAATCTCCCGACCTCAAGTTATCCTCCCACCTCGGCCTCCCAAAGTGCTGGGATTACAGGTGTGAGCCACCACGCCCAGCCACCATACACCAAAATGTAAACTAAGTTGGATCACAGCCTTAAATGTGAAAGGAAAAACAATAAATCTTCTAGAAAGAAACGTGGAAGAATATCTCCAAGAGCCTGAGGTAAGCAAACACTCCTTAAGTAGAACACACACACACATTATTATTCAAATAATGATTGATAAGTTGGACTTTATTAAAATTAAAGACATCACTAAGAGAGTCAATGGGCAAACCACAAACTGGAGAAAACAGCAGCAGTGCACAAAGCCCAGAAAGACTTGTTTCCACAAAATGTGAATGACTACAAATCAGAAAGGGAAAGACAACAAAATGGGAGAAAGCTTGGAGCACGCAAAGAGAGAATATCCAAATGGCCAGTACACCTGCGAAAGGTGCTCACCAGGGAAATGCCAATTAAAACCACAATGGGACAGGAGTCCATATCCACCAGACGGGCTAAAATTCAGGCAAATTCACCCTCAGTGGCAAACACCGAGAATGTGGAGCAACTCCCACAAATCATTAGTGAGAAACTCAAGCAGTATGCGTCACCCTAAGCACACACCTCCCACACGACTCCCCGCTGTCCATCAAGTGCCGAGTGCCTATGTCCACTAACGACGCACACGAGGGCATTCACAGCCCACAGCTGAACCAACCATGACCGCAGCCCATGGCAGAAAGGGTGGGTAAATGTGGCATCCAAACCAAGGACCACGATGCAACACACAAGACACACACAACCACGGCATCCAAACCAAGGACCACAATGGAACACACAAGAGACTCAAAAACCATGGCATCCAAACCAAGGACCACAACGCAATACACAAGACACACACAACCACACAGACAACTCAAATGACAGACGTCATCACAATGCAATACACACGACACACACAACCACGCAGACGACTCGAATGACACAGGCGTCATCACAATGCAATACACAGGACACAACCACACAGATGACTCAAATGACACAGACGTCATCACAATGCAATATACAAGACACACACAACCACGCAGACAACTCGAATGATACAGTCGTCATCATAATGCAATACACAAGACACACACAACCACGGCATCCAAACCAAGGACCACAACGCAATACACAAGACACATACAACCACGCAGACGACTCGAATGACACAGACATCATCACAATGCAGTAAAGACACACACAACCACACAGATGACTCAAAGAACAGACATCATCACAATGCAATACACAGGACACACACACACAACCATGCAGACGACTCGAATGACACAGGCATCATCACAATGCAATACACAGGATACAACCACACAGACGACTCAAATGACACAGACGTCATCACAATGCAATACACACACAACCATGCAGATGACTCAAATGACAGACATCATCACCATGCAATACACAAGACACACACAACCATGGCATCCAAACCAAGGACCACAATGGAACACACAAGACTCAAAAACCACAGCATCCAAACCAAGGACCACAATGCAATACACAAGACACACGCAACCACACAGACAACTCAAACGACACAGACGTCATCACAATGCAATACACAGGACACACACAACCACAGACAACTCGAATGACACAGACGTCATCACAATGCAATACACAAGACACACAAAACCACACAGACAACTCGAATGACACAGGCGTCATCACAATGCAATACACAAGACACACACAACCACACAGACGACTCGAAGGACATAGGCGTCATCACAATGCAATAAAGACACACACAACCACACAGACGACTCGAATGACACAGACGTCATCACCATGCAACACACAGGACACACACAACCACGCAGACGACTCGAAGGACACAGGCGTCATCACAATGCAATACACAAGACACACACAACCACGCAGACGACTCAAAGGACATAGGCGTCATCACAATGCAATAAAGACACAACCACACAGACGACTCGAATGACACAGGCGTCATCACAATGCAATACACAGGACACACACAACCACGCAGACGACTCGAATGACACAGACGTCATCACAATGCAATACACAAGACACACACAACCACGCAGACAACTCGAATGACACAGGTGTCATCACAATGCAATACACAAGACACACACAACCACGCAGACAACTCGAATGACACAGACGTCATCACAATGCAATACACAGGACACACACAACCACACAGACGACTCGAATGACACAGGCGTCATCACAATGCAATAAAGACACACACAACCACGCAGACGACTCGAATGACACAGACGTCATCACAATGCAATACACAAGACACACACAACCACGCAGATGACTCGAAGGACACAGACGTCATCACAATGCAATAAAGACACACACAACCACACAGACGACTCGAATGACACAGACGTCATCACAATGCAATACACAAGACACACACAACCACGCAGACGACTCGAATGACACAGACGTCATCACAATGCAATACACAGGACACACACAACCACGCAGACGACTCGAATGACACAGGTGTCATACCGAGTGGGAGGGGCCAGCTGGCATCCCATGGGACGAAGAAGTCCTGGCTGCTCCAGACAGGGCACCCTCATGGGGGGTGAGTCAGGGTGGGGAAAGGGCCCTGATGACAGACTCCAAAGCCAGGGTTTCTGGGTGAGGGTCCCAAGTGTCCCCTCCGACCCTGCCTTCTGGATGTCCCAGCAGCTTGGCTGCACCTTCCTGGCTCCGTCCTCTTCTCACACGGGGCACCCCCGACCAGCCCCAGGAGGACGACTTCTCTTCACGGAGGGTCCCTGTCTCCCTGGACTCAGTACTTCTGCTGCACCTGTCCCTTCCCACCACGCATCTCAGCCACTGAATCACCTTGGAGAAGGCTCCTGAGCTAGGAGCACTGGCCCAGGGCCTGCAAGGGCTCCAGGGCAACACAAATGAGACCCAAGTCAATGGGCACGTGACTCCACGCCTCAAAGGGGCAAGAGAGGGTCGATTTTGAACTCTAGTGGGAAAGAGACGAAGGTCAAGCCCAGGAAAGGGAGCACCCTGAAGAGGAGCGGAGCAAGGCCGGGGGTGCAGCGCAGCATCCGGCGGGTCTCTGGAGAACCATCTAACCCGGCACAGAGCCATCGAATGCAGCGGCCCAGGCTGTGGGGAGGCGGCTGGAGTCAAGGGCAGGGCAGGGCTGGGTCAGAGGCAGGACGGGCTGCTGAGGGTCTGGCTGCACAGGCTGACCAGAGCAGACCCCAAGGGAGGGACAGAGCTGGGCAGGGGCAGGCAGCAATAGGCCCACTGCAGCCACGAGAGCCTCCCACCTCCTCCAGCCACAGGCTCAGCTGCCCCAGTGAGCGATGCGGGGCGGGGACCTGACCAGACTGTCCAAGGATCTGACGTCCAGCCAGGCCACTCCCCTTGCAGAAGTGGGTTTCGCCTCCTCTCCCCAGGCCCTACTTACTCTTCTCACAGTGCCGGTTCAAGTGCAGGTTGCTGAGGTCAGCTTGGAACTGAGGTCCCACCATGATCTCCTGCAAAGCAAGCACCTGGGAATCAGGACACTGAGGAGCATCTAGGCCGGGCGGGAGGCTGGCTGCAGCGTGCTGTGGCAGGCTTACGGGGAGGGGCCACTGTCCAGACCCCAGACCCATCTGTGCCGTCTACCTGCTGATGCCCAGTTCTGGGGTCTGAAGGTGGGAGGCAGAGGCCTGGGTGTGTGAGGGGTGAGGCTGTGTCCTGACGCCTGGCCTGGCAGAGGCCCAGACAGGATGTCGGAGGACAAACACTCTGGGTCAGCAGCAGGGGCCCAGGCTCCGGTCCAAAGCACCTGTGGCCGGTCCCAGCCCACCCTGGGGTCGAGCAGCACGTCCCTCCTCTGAGAAGGGGCACAAACCCAGGGAGAGGGCTCAGCAGGACCCGGCTGCGGTTACTGAGGCCGAGATACCAGGTTGGGGAGAGGGCAGAGCCATGGGAGGGATGCCAGGTTGGGGACACGGCAGAACCACGGCTGGGATGCCAGGTTGGAGACACAGCAGAGCCACGGTCGGGATGCCAGGTTGGGGACACAGCAGAGCCACGGTTGGGATGCCAGTTTGGGGAGACGGCAGAACCACAGTCCGGATGCCAGGTTGGGGACACGGCAGAGCCACGGCCGGGATGCCAGGTTGGGGACACGGCAGAGCCACGGCCGGGATGCCAGGTTGGGGACACGGCAGAGCCACGGCCGGGATGCCAGGCTGGGGAGACGGCAGAGCCACGGTCGGGATGCCAGGTTGGGGAGACGGCAGAACCACGGCCGGGATGCCAGGTTGGGGAGATGGCAGAACCACGTACCTTCTTACATTTGTTGGCAGGAAGAGAGTCCTCCTCGGTGTCGGAGGAGGCAGAAGAGCCAGGCTCTCTGTCTTCATCAGCCAGGAAACGAGCTTTGGGAAAACAGAGGCAGGTCCCCCAGGGTCTCCACTGCCTGCAGCCTATACAACCCCTTCTCTCCACTCCCATTCTCCATCCACCTGATCCCCAGGCCATAACCCTCTCTCTGGCCAGACATTGGGTAAACAGATGGGCACAGGACCCAGGACCAGGGATGCACCTTTGAAGAAAGAGGCCTTCCCTTCTATGCAGCTGCTGCACCTCTGGGCCCCGAGCCCTCAGTTCCCAGGAAAGCCAGCACAGAGGCTTGTGAAGGAGGCCGGTTCTGGGAATGCTGTCCCTGGATCTGCTAGGGGAACCAACATGTTCCCTACTTGTTTAAACCAAATCGCTCTGAGAGTCCAGGCTCACTGGCCAGCGTGGAGGAGAACAAAGCACCCCCAGGGCTACTGACGCTTCCCGCCAGGCAGACGCCCTCATCTGTGATGAGTTCTTGGCCTGCATCAGCCCAAGGACCCTTCATCAAGCATCACGACTGCCTGGCAGGGGGCCTGGCTGCGGTGGAGTATGGGGACAGAGTCACCTACATCCACTCCGGTTAGGGAAGAGGTCGGAGGCCTCGTGGGAGGTCACGGACGGGGTGAGGTCGTCAGCAGATGATTGCGTCTCTTCCTCTTCTTCCCCTGAAAGCAAATCCTTCGCTATTTGTTCCTTTAAAAAAAAAAAAAAAAGTAAAGAACATTTTACAGTTTAACAATCTCGCAATACCACTAATGATAACAACAGTAAAGACACTGGGAGTGCCCTGAGGCTCACATGGGGCTGCTATTCCCATTCTGCAAAGGGTGCACAGCGTGGGGGGAGCGGGGATGGGAAGGAGACACGTGGGAGCCCACACCCAGCCACCAGAGCTGGAGACAGTTAGAGCTGCCACTGGGCACACGCCCGGAGTGCATGGCTCTTTCTCTGACTGTGCATTTGGTTTTAACCTTCTACAATGCAGCCCGCCCCTGCTCCCAACACCCAAGCCTTGACCTGTGACCTCTGGGTACGGAATGGCAGAGAGACCAGTCCTGGGGAGGCCCCGATGTGCCCCTCCACCCACCAAAGCCAGAATGACATGTGGCCTGGGGTTAAGGCTAGGGTCCAGCCCCATGCCCATGGCCATTCCAACCCCAGGGTAGTGGTCACAGGTACATTCTACTTATTCTGGGGGCCTTTGTGCCTCCTCTCACTGAACACTCCCCTCTGCAGAGAGGCAGCGCCAGGCCCCCCCACCTTCAGCTGTGAGCCAGTTCCAGGAAGGGCCCTCACTTACTTTGTCCAGGGTCATGTCTGGGAGGTTCGGGGCCACGTCACCACCCTCACTCTCCCGGTCTGAAATGGGGTCTGACGCCTCGTAGCCATAGAGCGCAAGCAGCTCATCAAAGGGCATGTCGTTGCTCTGAGTTGGGGAAGGGAACAAGGCCCCATCAGGAGGGACGGCTCTGGGGGTTCCTGTCCCTGTCCTCTTGCCTGAGCCTCACTGGCCACAACCAGGGCCACTCTGTCACACCCATAGCAACTCCCCACATGGCAGCACTCCCCAGCCAGACCTCAGGCCCAGTCCTTCATCCAAGAGCTCCTTTACAATCCCTCAGAGGCACCAGAGCCTAGGGGTCACCGGCCAGGGAAGAGGGCACCACCCTGCCCACAATGCCTCCTTGCACAGGGTGAATTACAGGAATACAAGGATGGTGTGACACAGGGTGAATTACAGGAATACAAGGATGGTGCGACACCTGGCAATTTACTATTGTAACTCAACATCAATATATTAAAGGGGAAAAAAGTTATCTGAAAAAGGCATTTGGTAAAATCCGACATCTATTCCTGATTTGAAAAAAAAAAAAAAGGAACTCTCAGAAAACTACATAAACAGGCCAGACACAGTAGTTCACACCTGTAATCCCAGCATTTTGGAAGGCTACAGCAGGCAGATCACTTGAGGCCAGGAGTTCGAGACCAGCCTGGGCAACATGGCGAAATCCCGTCTCCACTAAAAATACAAAAATTAGCTGTGCTTGGTGGCATCCACCTGTAGTCTCAGCTACTCAAGAGGCTGAAGCACGAGAATCACTTGTACTCGGGAGATGGAGGTTGCAGTGAGCCAAGATCACACCACTGCACTCCAGCCTGGGTGGCAGAGTGAGAATCTGTCTCAAAATAAAAAAAAAGAAGAAAACTATGTAAACGGATGCTTCATCAATATAATGGAGAAGCTGTCAATTCACACTCAGTCAAAAATGGGTAACCAGAGCAGCCCCCATCACGATCTGGAACAAGAGCACTGTGATTAACGAACACTGTTTTGATGCTCTGAGCCAATGTAATATGACAAGAAGTATAAATAAGGCACGTAATTCCTGGGAAGGAAGAGATGCGAACTATCAACATCATGCTCTCCAGTGCTGCTTTCAAATCCTTCTGTCCTCCCTTGTGTGAGCCTCTATTCCACAGAGGCTAGTCCTGTCTGCTCAGACTCCACGCTGATCCCTGTGGGTCACTTTCAGCTTCCAACTTCCGGAACACTCCCTCTCATTCTCTCAAGATGTTAGCACTGGCCTCCCCTCCACCCCAGCTCCTGCCCAGACTCAACCTGGGGGCTTCAAGTCCACATAGAAACCTCCCAGCCTAGTCCCAGCCCTTCTCCAGGTGGAATATCTACACTGAGTCCCCCTTTTGTTCTCTCACAGGACCCCGTGGAAAGAACAGATTCTGTATGTCCATTACCTTCAGGATTATGAAGGTGGGAAGGTTGACACAGTGGTCCAGAGGCCCTTGGGTTGCCTGAACCTCTCCATAGTAGCCCAAGGTGAAGACCCTTTCCTAAGAGCACTCAGCCGTGACTTCCATTTTTGGCTTCATTGAGGCTTGCACTGATAGTGCAGCATTGGCAGCCGGCAAGAGCCCAGTGCCCGTGGAAGCTGCAGCCAGTGCATCCCTGCCCACAAGTCACTGCTGTCACATTCCTCACAGACCAAAAGCAAACACCCCAGCTTCACTTCAGAAGATGCTGGACAGCCGGGCAGGATGGCTCATGCCTGTAATCCCAGCACTTTGGGAGGCTGAGGCAGGCGGATCACGAGATCAGGAGTTTGAGACCAGCCTAACTAACATGGAGAAACCCTGTCTCTACTAAAATACAAAAATTAGCTGGGGATGGTGGTGGGTTCCTGTAATCCCAGGGAGAATCGCTTGAACCTAGGAGGCAGAGGTTGCAGTGAGCCGACATTGTGCTACTGCACTCCAGCCTAGGTGACGAGAGCAATACTCCGTCTCAAAAAAAAAAAAAAAAAAAAAGAAGATGCTGGACAAAGTGAGCATTTTGTTAAGTCTCACCCTGAGCAGATGTTTCCATGTGCTGTGAGGGCGTGGGAAGCATGCAGAATGCACCTGCTGCATACCAAAGTGAGGTGGTTCCTTCAAGGAACCACATGCATGGAACGAGTGGTGAGACGAAGAGGCTGTTCCTGGTCGTTTCACCTGAAAGAATGCTGGCCAACTATAGCCACTCAGAAAGGCACCTGGCAGGCGCTGCCTTGTATGCAAGCCAGGGGGGCTGTTACTGCAAAGGAAACAGCTGACCATAACTGCTGCAATGGTAAAACTCAAGATTTTGAAAAACTTGGGTTTGACAACATGAACTTGCCGAATTTCTAATATTTAAAAAACTTACAGGCCAGGCACGGTGGCTCACGCCTGTAATCCCAGCACTTTGGAAGGCCGAGGCGGGCGGATCACGAGGTCAGGAGATTGAGACCATCCTGGCGAACATGATGAAACCCCGTCTCTACTAAAAAAAATACAAAAAATTAGCCAGGCAAGGTGGCAGGTGCCTGTAGTCCCAGTTACTCGGGAGGCTGAGGGAGGAGAATGGCATGAACCTGGGAGGCGGAGCTTGCAGTGAGCCAAGATCGCGCCACTGCACTCCAGCCTGGGCGACAGCGAGACCCTGTCTCAAAAAAAAGAAAAAAAAAAAAAAAAAACTTATGATAAGGCTGGTGGTGATATCAACTGTTACAGTCAACCCTAAGCCCCAACATGACTATATTTGGAGACGGGGCATTTACAGAGGTAATTAAGGTTCAAGGAGGCCGTGAGGGTGGGGCCCTGATCCAACAGGATTAGTGTCCTTTCAAGAAAAACACCAGAAGGCTCCCTCTTGTTCTCTATCCACCATGTGAGGACACAGCAAGCCAAGAAGAGAGCCGGCACCAGAACCCACTCTGCTGGACCTTGATCATGGACCTTTCTGCCTCTTGACCTGTGAGGTTCACTGATACGGTCTCAGATTCCACTCCACAACTACTCTCTACAAAACTATCACTTGATGGGTTTTGCTGTAGCATCAAAGAAGAATACCCACAATTATCCGAAAAGCTGTGAAATACTCCTACCTTTTTCAACCACAGATCTGGCTGAGGCTGTATTTTAACTTCAGCCATAAGAGCCTATCACAACAGATCAATGTCTCCCTTAAAAGACAGAAACTGACCAGGCGTGGCTCATGCCTGTAATCCAAGCATTTTGGGAGGCTGAGATGGCAGGATCAACTTGAGGTCAGGAGTTCGAGACCAGCCTGGCCAACATGGTAAAACCTCGTCTCTACTAAAAATACAAGTTAGCCAGGCATGGTGGTGGGCACCTGTAGTCCCAGCTACTCAGGAGGCTAAGGCACGAGAATCACTTGAACCCAAGAGGTAGAGGTTCCAGTGAGCCCAGATTGCACCACTGAACTCCAGTCTGGGCAACAGAGTGAGACTCTGTCCCCAGAAAAAAAAAAAAAAGACAGAAACTGGGTCAGGTACAGTGGCTCACACCTATACTCCCAACACTTTGGGAGACCTAGGTAGAAAAATTGCTTGAGGCCAACAGTTTGAGACCAACCCTAGCAACATAGCAAGAACTCCACAAAGAAATAAAATAAAAACGTTGGTGAGGTGTGGTGGCGTGCGACTATAGTCCCAGTTATTCAGGAGGCTGAGGCAGGAGCATCCCTTGAGCCCAGGAGTTCGAGGCTGCAGTAAACTATGATTGCACCACTGCACTCCAGCCTAGGCAAAAGTGAGATCCAGTCTCAAAAAAATAAATAAATGTTTTAAAGACAGAAGCTTGGCCAGGCGTGGTGGCTCATGCCTGTAATCCAGCACTTTGGGAGGCCGAGGTGGGCAGATCACAAGGTCAAGAGTTTGAGACCAGCCTGTCCAACATGATGAAACCCCGTCTCTGCTAAAAATACAAAAATTTGCCGGGCGTGGTGGCATGCACCTGTGGTCCCAGCTACTCGGGAGGCTGAGGTAGGAGAATCACTTGAGCCCAGGAGGCGGAGGATGCAGTGAGCCAAGATCACACCACTGCACTCCAGCCTGGGAAACAGAGCAAGACTCCATCTCAAAAAAATAAAAAGACAGAAGCTGGATTTTCATATTTGCTTCTACATTCAAAGAGATATGGAAAACTAAAAATTCAGTCTTCTAATTTTTTTTCTTTTGGGACAGTTCTTTTTATTTTCATAAAAATATTTATATTAACATGTCACTGATTTATTCAGCCTCCTGAGTAGCTAGGACTACAGACGTGCACCACCACGCCTGGCAATTTTCGTATTCTTTTTTTTTCTTGAGATGGAGTTTCACTGTGTCACTCAGGCTGGACTGCAGTGGCACATCTCAGCTCATTTTAAAATGAGTTAGCGAATAAGTATTTTTACATGTCAATTTTTTTTGTTTTTTTGAGACACAGTCTTGCTCTGTCCCCCAGGCTAGAGTGCAATGGCCTGATCTCGGCTCACTGCAACCTCCGCCTCCTGGGTTCAAGCGATTCTCCTGCCTCAGCCCTTTGAGTGCTGGGATTACAGGCGCCTGCTACCACGCCCGGCTAATTTTTGTATTTTTAGTAGAGACGGGGTTTCACCATGTTGGCCAGCCTGATCTAGAACTCCTGACCTCAGGTGATCCACCTGCCTCAGCCTCCCAAAGTGCTGGGATTACAAGCATGAGCCACCGCGCCCAACAATTTTTGTATTTTTAGTACAGACAGGGTTTCACTACGTTGGCCAGGCTAGGCTCAAACTCCTGACCTCATGATCCGCCTACCTCGGCCTCCCAAAGTGCTGGGATTACAGGCATGAGCCACTGCATCCGGCCAATTTACATGTCAGTTTTAACTTTTCATGTAATAAAAAAGCAATAGATAAAGCACATTAACAAAGCTCCTTGAAACTCTAATTTTTTTTAATTTTTTTTTTTGAGACAGGGTCTCACTCTGTCGCCCAGGCTGGAGTGCAATGGCGTGATCTCGGCTCACCGCAACCTCCGCCTCCCAGGTTCAAGGGATTCTCCTGCCTCAGCCTCCCGAGTAGCTGGGACTATAGACGTGCACCACCACGCCTGGCTAATTTTGTATTCTTTTTTTTCTTTTTTGGAGACGGAGTCTCGCTGTGTCACCCAGGCTGGAGTGCAGTGGCACGATCTCAGCTCACTGCAAGCTCCGTCTCCCGGGTTCACGTCATTCTCCCGCCTCAGCCTCCCGAGTAGCTGGGACTACAGTCACCCGCCACTATGCCCGGCTAATTTTGTTTTTGTATTTTTAGTAGAGACGGGGTTTCACCATGTTGGCCAGCCTGATCTAGAACTCCTGACCTCAGGTGATCCACCTGCCTCAGCCTCCCAAAGTGCTGGGATTACAAGCATGAGCCACCGCGCCCAACAATTTTTGTATTTTTAGTACAGACAGGGTTTCACTACGTTGGCCAGGCTAGGCTCAAACTCCTGACCTCATGATCCGCCTACCTCGGCCTCCCAAAGTGCTGGGATTACAGGCATGAGCCACTGCATCCGGCCAATTTACATGTCAGTTTTAACTTTTCATGTAATAAAAAAGCAATAGATAAAGCACATTAACAAAGCTCCTTGAAACTCTAATTTTTTTTAATTTTTTTTTTTGAGACAGGGTCTCACTCTGTCGCCCAGGCTGGAGTGCAATGGCGTGATCTCGGCTCACCGCAACCTCCGCCTCCCAGGTTCAAGGGATTCTCCTGCCTCAGCCTCCCGAGTAGCTGGGACTATAGACGTGCACCACCACGCCTGGCTAATTTTGTATTCTTTTTTTTCTTTTTTGGAGACGGAGTCTCGCTGTGTCACCCAGGCTGGAGTGCAGTGGCACGATCTCAGCTCACTGCAAGCTCCGTCTCCCGGGTTCACGTCATTCTCCCGCCTCAGCCTCCCGAGTAGCTGGGACTACAGTCACCCGCCACTATGCCCGGCTAATTTTGTTTTTGTATTTTTAGTAGAGACAGGGTTTCACCGTGTTAGCCAGGACGGTCTCGATCTCCTGACCTTGTGATCCGCGCACCTCGGCCTCCCAAAGTGCTGGGATTACAGGTGTGAGCCACCGCGCCCGACAATTTTGTATTCTTAGTAGAGATGGGGTTTCACCATGTTGGCCAAGCTGGTCTCGAACTCCTGATCTCAAGTGATCCACCCGCCTCAGCCTCCCAAAGTGCTGGGATTACAAGCGTGAGCCACTGCACCCAGCCTGAAACTCTCAATAATTTTTAAGAGTACAAAGCAGGTTCTGAGACCAGAAGATTTGAGAGCAGCTGGCTTAATCCTTGACCACCGTGCTGCTCAGAGAGCCCCATGAAAGACCTGGTCTCCACTGAATTTCAGCTACTAGGACAGCATCTGGCACTTTGCAAAAAGATGTACAATTTAGCACTTACCAATGTGGAATCTGAGCTGCACAAAACTCATGAGGCTTACCCCGGAGGGCTCCACCCAACACAGGGGCAGGATCACCTTGGCCAAGTACCTGGGAGATGAAGTCCTTCTCCAGCTCCTCCTTGGGCTTGTCTGGGCACCTCGAGGCCTCCTCGCACTCCCCCCTAACACTGTAGTTCTGTGACAGGATCTCTGCGAGGTTGAACTGATGGTCTCCAGAGCCCATGGACACCACTGGGGAGAAGAGAGCAGCCCAGGTGAGCACCGTGCCTCGCCTGTCCCAACCATCCTGCCGAGACTACTGACGCCTGGTGAAGCCCTAAGGATGAGGCCCTCTGCATGCTGCCAGGATCAGCCTCATGAGGGAACCCAACAGGACACCCCACGACTAATGCACACAGGAGCACGGCTGGTGAGCTGCACATACAAATTCCAAGGATTTTTTTGGGGGGTGGGTGTGTCTCTTTCTGAGAGACTGCTTGTCTTCCTGAACACAGAGAAGCCTGCGAGGATTTGGGGAGCAAGTGGACTAGAAAGAGACCAACACCCATCTCGTTAGGGTAGAAGGAGCAGCAGGACTCAGTCGAGGTGGGTTCACACCGGACTCCATGACTCCTGAAACGGGGGTGACGCTGAACCCTCACCTGCACAGGTCAGTACAGCATCAAGGAGCATGCAGGGACAAACCAATGGGGGCTCGACAACACCAGTCCCTTAAGCTCCGTCTGCAGGGCCACATGAAGAAGACATGCGATGTACATGGCCCAACAGTTGACGGCTGTCATCAGATCCAGGGTTTCCCCGAAAGAACTGGGATGTGTCACCATTCCTCTGCATGTTTACTCTCCAATTGGTCAAATTTTTAAACAAACAAAGGAAATAGCTAGGGCTCAATCAATCCAGACAGAGAGCAGTGTAGGCCAAGGCTGGGGGCCTGAGGGCCTGGGAGTCCAGGGCACGAGGCCTCTAGGGCAGCCACACAGCCTGTAGGGCTGGGCACACAGGTGTGCACCACACACAGCCCATGCACAGAACATGCAGCTGCAGGGCACAGAGGACCCCCAGCGGCAGGCACCTCGTTAGAGTGAGGGAATGACCTGGAGCTGAATGGGTGCGCCCGGACCCTCAGTGGCCACCGCACCCTTGGAGGAGCCACGTGAGGGAAAACAGGGATGGCACCGCCTTCTCTGGGGACTCGGGTGGTGACTAGTTTGATACGGAAAGAGACGCAGCCCTACACCTGGCAGAAGGAGCCCAGCCAGGGGAAGAACAGTCATAGAGACCCTTGCCCTACAGCGTCAGCTCCTCCCCGCAGGCCCAACGCAGGTGGCTGGCAGGCGGGCATGGGACCTTGATGCCCACTGGGCAAGCAGCAGCGCAGGGAGGTGCAGGGAACCCGGGGTGCTGCCTGTCTCGCCGCCCTCCACCTTCTCAGCCCCGGCTCCCTCAGCAAGCCACCCCTTCCCAACACCCTGGCAAGATGAGGCAGCCCTCAGCTCGGTGCAGGCGTGTGCCCGGGTCCTCTGCTGGGGGTGCTGGGCTCTGAGGATGGTCTTGGGTCGCCTGGGCTCCCTGCCCCTGCTAAAGAACAGGAAGACGGGAGTCCTGACCACTCTGCCCCACAGCTCCATCTGAACGGGTGGGAGCTGGGACACCCTGGACTCTGGAAGCCAGTGTGCCGGTCCACAGCTCAGCCAGGCCCAGCAGGCATTCTGTCTCTCACAGCCACAAAGGCCTTGGCGGACCTGAGCAGGGGAAGGAGGGAGGAAGGTACCTGCTGTTGTCTGCAAGCCCGGCTCCCCTGGGCACAGGCTGTGCTCGAGGCAGGAGACCACGCGAGGACTCTGCCTCCCCAGCGAGGAGGCCTGCGAAGGAAGAGAGGCAGGGTTAGCTCGGCCGGCCCAAAACCTGCTGCTGGACATCACAGTGTGGCAGCCAAGAGCAAGCGCTGGTCAGAGCCCAGTCCCCAGTGACCAGGGAAGGGGCTTTGTCTCCGCCTCTGAGGGCTGGGGGGCACTAGGAGCAGCACACGCATGTGGCCGCCACTCGCCCCGCCTCCCACCAAGGACCGCTCACAGGGTGGAGGCGTTCTCGCCCAGGGCAGGACATGCATCATGTGACACTGAAAACTGCCCACACACAGGCCTACAGTCCTGACCCATGCTGCAACCTGGATGAAGCTCAACAACAGCATGCACTGGGAGGGAAGCCAGACACCAACGGCCACAGCGTAGGGTCCACTGATACCAAACATCCAGAACAGGCCAGTCCACAGACAGAATGGGGGCTCGTGGGGGCCAGGAGCCAGGGAGAGAGACAGTGGGAGAGTGACTGCTAACGGGGACAGGGCTTCTTTTGGGGATGACAGAATGTTTTAGAATCAGATAGAGGTGATGGTTGCATGGTCGTGAATACACTAAAAATCAATGAATTATAAACTTTAAAATGGGCATATTTTATGGTTTGTCAATTACAATTTTTTTTTATAAAAAGGCAAACAAAACCATTATAAGTTACCATTATCACAATGTTCAATATCTCTCTTTTTTTTTGAGACAGAGCCTTGCTCTGTCGCCCAGGCTGGAGTGCAGTGGCGCAATCTTGGCTCACTGCAACCTCTGCCACCCAGGTTCAAGTGATTCTCCTGCCTTAGCCTCCCGAGTAGCTAGGACTACAGGTGCGCACCACCACGCCCAGCTAATTTCTGTATTTTTACTAGAGATGAGGGTTTCACCATGTTGCCCAGGCTGGTCTCAAACTCTTGACCTCAAGTGATCCGCCCGCCTCGGCCTCCCAAAGTGCTGGCATTATGGGTGTGAGCTACCGCAAGCCACGATATCTCTCATGTACATAAACACAAAACCCTCAACAAAATACTAGCAAACTGAATCCAGCAACACATAAAGATGATTATAAGCCACGACCAAGTAAGATTTACCGCAGGGATGCAAGGTCGATTTAATATCCAAAAGTCAATTAATATAATACATCACATCAATAAAATAAAAAAACAAAACACAGGATCATCTCAACATACCCAATCCAACAAAATCCAACATACTTTCATAAGGAAAAATACCCAACAAACTCAGAACAGAAGGGAGCTTCCTTCTTGGAAAAACCCATACTTATCATTGCCCTCAATGGGGAAAGGCTGCTTTCTCCTTCACACCATGAGCACCACAACGTGTACTCTCACCTCTCATGCTAAATGGAGGGCTGGATGGTGTAGTCAGCGTAAAAGCATCAAATAAAAAGAATCAAGATCGGTAAGGAAGCCGGGCACGGTGGCTCACGCCTGTAATCCCAGCACTTTGGGAGGCTCAGGCAGGCGGATCCCTTGAGGTCAGGAGTTCAAGACTAGCCTGGCCAACATGGTGAAACCCTGTCTCTACCAAAAATACAAAAAAATTAGCCAGGCATTGTGGCATGTGCCTGTAATCCCAGCTACTCAGGAGGCTGAGGCAGGAGAATTGCTTGAACCAGGGAGGCGGAGGCTGCAGTGAGCCGAGATCGTGCCACTGCACTCCAGCCTGGGCAACAGAGCAAGACTCCATCTCACAAAAAAAAAAAAAAAAAAAAAGGCTGGGCGCAGTGGCTCACGCCTGTAATCCCAGCACTTTGGGAGGCCGAGGTGGGCAGATCACGAGGTCAGCAGATGGAGATCATCCTGGCCAACAAGGTGAAACCCTGTCTCTACTAAAAATGTAAAAATTAGCTGGGTGTGGTGGCGGGCACCTGTAGTCCCAGTTACTCGGGAGGCTGAGGCAGGAGGATCGCTTGAACCCAGGAGGCAGAGGTTGCAGTGAGCCGAGATCGTGCCACTGCACTCCAGCCTGGCAATACAGCAAGACTCCATCTCAAAAAAAAAAAAAAAAAAAAAAAAAAAAGATTGGTAAGGAAGAAGTAAAACTATCTCTGTGCTGGTGCTGGTGACATGATCTAAAAAACTATTCAAACTACAGTGAGTTCAGCAAGGTTGCAGTACACAAAATCAATACATAAAAATCAATTTTATTTCTATATAAAAGCAACAAATACAAAAAGAACAATTCCATTTACAATAGCATCAAGGGAAGTGTGAAATGTGTACAGTACTCTGAGTGAACAAAGCAGTGTTGAAAGGAAGATCCAAGGGAATGTAAAGGCATCCCACGTTCATGGCTGAGAAGACAACATTAAGACGGCAACACCCCCCACTGATTGACAAATTCAACACCATGTCTATCAGAACCCCAGTTGGCTTCTTTGTAGAAACCCACGAGCCGATTTCAAAAGCATATGGAAGCTCAAGGTACCCCAAACAGCCCAAACAATCTTGAAACAATACTTCCTGATTTCAAAATTCACCACAGAGCCACAGCAATCAAAACAGTGTGGTACTGCCATAAGGACAGCACAAAGATCAACGAACTAGAACTGAGAATCCAGAAATACAGTCACACATTCATAGTCAACTGGATTTCCACAAAGGTATCAAAACAGTTCCATGAAGGAATGAACAGTCTTTAACAAATGGTACTGGGACAGTTGAATATCCATGTGCAAAAGAATGAAGTTGGACCCCTATCTCATACCATATGCAAAAATTACCTCAAAATGGATCAAAGGCCTTAAATATAAGAGCCAAAACCACACAACTTTTCGGAGAAAATATATGGATAAATATTTGTAACCTTTTGATTGAATCTAAAAATGTGGTGGGAAAAAAGTTTGTGACCTTGGATTTGGCAATGGTTTCTTAGATAAGACACCAAAATCACAAGTGACCAAAAAAAAAAAAAAAAACCAAATGGATAAACAACTTCACCAAAATTAAAAACTTTTGTGCTTCAAAGGACGCCCCCAAGAAAGTGAAAGGACAACTGAGAGAATAGGAGAAAATATCTGAAAAATAATCTATCTGATAAGGAACTTCTTCTCAGTATAAAGAACGTTTAAAACTCAATAAGGAAGAGAGAATCCCATTGAAAAATAGGCAAAGGATCTGAACAGACATTTCTCCAAAGAGGACAGACAAATGGCCAATAAGCACAGGAAAAGATACTCAATGTAATATCAGGCAAAAGCAAGCAAAGTCCACACTACGATACCACTTCCTAATCAGAGAATAAAAACTGTGCTCAAAAAGACAGTAACAAGTGTTGACAAGAACGTGGACAAAGTGGAACTCTCCTGTGCCCTGCCGGTGGGAATGTCAAAATAGTGCAGCCACTTTGGAAAATAGTCCAGCAATTCCTCCAAAAGTTAAATAGTATTTAACCATGTGACCCAGGTCAGGGTCCTAATATCCATCAGCTGACAAAAACAAAACAAAGCACTAGCAACGGGGCAAAGAAGGACGCACTGACACACTACCACATGGACGCACCTCGAAAGACTCATGCTCCTGAAACAGCCAGACACAAAAGGCCACGTGTCGTATGACTCATTTAATCTCAAATGTCTAGAGCAGGCAAATTCGTAGAGACAGAAAATGGATTCCTGGTGGAAAGGGGCTGGGAGTTGATCTGGGGTTTGGGGAGTGACCACTAAGGGGTGTGGGGTTCCTTTTGGGGTGATGAAAATGTTTTAAAATTGACTGTGATGGTGGCTGCACAACTGGGTGAATACACTAACAACCACTGAACTGGACACATTAAAACGGTGAACTGCATGGTAAATGAATTATACCTCGGGAAAGCTGCTGCCAAAAAGGGTAGATTAAAATATTTAATGAAGTTTAAAAACTTGTGTAGTAAGAATTTCAATACTTCTTCACGGGTCCTCAAGAAAAAACCTCACAGGTGGTATAATCATTCCCCTCACAAAAAAACAAGGAAACAAGCTCAAAGAGATAGAGTCAGTTACCCAAGCTCACACAGCAGGTTCAGTGGTGCAGTTACAAAGTGGAGCTCAGGCCAGCGGCTTGCAAACACCTTCCAGCCCATCACACTACTGGGGAACACAACGGCTAGTACAGTTGACCCTTGAACAACGCAGGGGTTACGGGTGCCAACCCTCCACACAGGTGAAAACCCATGCATGACTTCTGACTCCCCGACACTTGATTAATAGCCTCCTGCTGGTCGGGAGCACTGCCGATAACATCAACAGTTGATAAACACATATTTTATATATTGTATTATGTACTGTATTCTCACAAAAAAAGTAAACTACAGAAAAAGTTATTAAGAAAATTGTAAGAAAGAGAAAGTGTATTTACTATTCATTAAGTGGAAGTGGATCATCCTAAAGGTCTTCGTCCTCATCATCTTCACGTTGAGTAGGCTGAGGAGGAAGAGGAGGGGTTGGTCTTCCTGTCTCGGGGTGGCAGAGATGGAAGGAAATCCATGTATAAGTGACCCATGCAGTTCAAACCCGTGAGGTTCAAGGGCCAACTGTACAGCAACGTACAGCAAAGCCACGGAAGGGAGCTGGGGCAGCCACTGGCCCTGGAGTGACTCTGGCAACAAGGCTGCCAAGGACCAAGGAGCACCTCAAGCTCTAAGTGGAGACTGACAGGACCCATCCAGCTTTAGAAAGTTTAGCTCCGTGGTGGCAGAGGGCAAACAGAAGACAGAGGGAAGGAAGAGCCAGCAGGGCCCCCAGGGGGAAGGGGCCACGGGACTGGAAGCAAGCAGCACAGAGTGCATGGCAGCTGCAGGGGCATCTCACGCCTCCTGCCCTGGGGTTGGCCTGGGTCTGGCAGAGATGGCCTCACCTCTTTCCAGGACACAGCAGGTGGCCACCAGCCCACAACCACTCTACACAGCCACACGCGGTGTGAAGCCACAGGGAAAGCATCCTAAGTGACCTCTGAAATCACCCTCAGCCCCCTCTAGGACCCTCTGGGTAGGGGTCGAGGACAGGTTCTCTGGGCAACGGTTCCTGCCTCAGTCAGGGGCTGGCTTTCTACTCCCGCAACCAGGAGCCTGACTAACAAGGGGATGGCAGGCGACCACATCAAATGAGGCCCCAGTCTGGACGGCAAGTTGACAACAGTCCCGCAGGCTTGAGATCCACACCGAGTAACAGGGAGTTAACATATGGCCCCAGGAGAGGTGGTCTGCAGGGTCTGAGGAGGATCTGGCCCTTATATGACGTGCCATTTAACAGGAGAGCTAAGGCAGAGGGGGGCAAAGAGGGAAGCGGCTGGGAACGGCAGAAAGGGCCGCTAACAGGGAGGCCCTGAGCAGCCTGGGATCCCCAAGTTCATTTCCAGGCGACTCTGAGTTCCTGGAACTTACCACGGAATACAGACTTCATGGATCTTCTTCCTCCCGCTGCCCCTGCCTGGTGTCCAGGTGCAAGTCTACTCTCAAAGCAGGTTCCCAGGGACTCTACTTCACTCACTCAGAACACTCTGCATGTTTCCCTCTGAGTTCACTCCCAGGAAAGACAAAGTCCTCTGTTTTGTCAAAGTGGAAGCAGGAAAAAGAGGGGGAGCAGGCCAACGGTATTCCAGGCAACAAAAAAAGCAAAGGAAGCGTAAACAGCATTCTAGAAACAAGGTCCAGAGGACAACAGGCCACAGACCCAGGCGTCCACCAGGGTCTTCAGGCAGTAGAAGCGGCAGCCAGCTACTCAACATAAAGACTGCACCAGAGGACTGGGTGCAGAGCACAGACCAGCCCTTCCCCCAGGGCAGCCCCCACAGGTATAGAGTGCACCAAAAACACAAGAGGCCACCCTGCAAAGCTTAACCCAAAATGACAGGGTGGCAGGTTCCATTCGCCAAGATGGCTGCACCTACCTCTCCCATGCCCCAAGCCCTCTCCCCAGTGTGACTGAAACAACCTCCTCCTAAGAGCCATGCTTGACCCTCCTCCCACCCACACCAACTCAAGTGCCAGGCGCTTGTTGGACTACCCAGCACCCCACTCCTCCGTCTGACCAATGTTCCCTGGGCGCCCACTCTGGGCTCAGCAAGGCAGTGGCGTGGTGGTTAACCTGAGAAACAAGTTCCACCTGCCTCCACCCACATGGAGTTGCTAGTTTTGGACACAGACAACAAACAAGTGGACATGTATGGTACCGAGAAGAGAAAACAGGGCGCACGGGCTCTGCAACTGCGGGTCAGGGAAGGCCTGGGGGGCCTCAGTCGAGGTGGAACCATCGTTGGCAGCCCCCAAATGGGTAGAGTGCACCAGCAAACAGGAGCCCAGGGCCCTAGAGTAGGGGGCAGATCCGTGGGGACCACCTCACAGGGCTGTGGGACTCAGCAAGGAGGAGCATTTTATCCCAGGGACCATGAAAAGCCATGGAGGGTTTTAGGTAGGAGCAAAAGATGGTGCTCTTAGGTTTTTAAAAGATCAATCTAGTATGCCTGAGAAAAGTATGAAGCATTCCCGTCTGCCACTGTGGTGCTTATGATTATTCTGGGATACTGATACAGAATAAAGTAGCTAGTACTGATCACGTGCTATAAAGTTACAAATTGCCACTTTTACGGGTTAAAAACAGTGGAATATCGTCAACTTCACAAGATTCAACTTCCATGTACAAGCCGTTGTGGCAGGACCTCATCAGACCTCCTAGCTCTGAAGGGTGACCATTAAACTTCCCATTTCAGAGATGAGGAAAAGGAAGTTCTGAGTCACTGGGCAACCTGCCCAAGACCACACAGAACAAGTCCGGTGGTCAGACAGCTTGCCATGGCTCCTCACGCTCAGCACCTCATACTTGTTGGTCCTAACCCACCCACGTCTCTCTCTGACCAGACTCTGCATCCCTGTAGGAGAGGCCCTGTCTGCTCCATTCACTCCCAGATCCTCAGGCCGAGGACAGAGCGGGACCTCCTTAGAAAATCAAATCAAATTCACTCAACAGGGCACCACCCCAAAGTGTAAAACAGGGTTAACAGGAGCAGCCGGACCACAAGCTGCTGTGCACATTTACGGAGCTCAGCCTAGAGCAGGGCAGAACAGCCACATGGCAGCTCTGGGGGAGGCTGGCTTGGGAGTCTGACTTGTGCCATCCCAGACACAGAGCTACCTGTCAGGCCACGTGTGTTGCCCAGATTCCAGGAGCACAACTCATTCGACCACCACGTCGCTGCAGGGCCACTGGGAGACGCGGCTTCTGCCTCCGACCCTGGAGGACAGCCACCATCTGCATGGGGACTCAGTCTCCCTAAGCGTCTCAAGAAGAACTAATTCTCGATGAAGGAACTGGCCGGTGGTCTGGCCTAGTATCGAGACACCTACACCGTCTTTGGCATAAACACAGGGCCTGTTACTGCCCCTGAGGTCGTCACCAGGGGGAGAGAATGGCCAGTCCTGCCTCCCACAACGCCCAAGACATAAACACGCAACGTGGCACCACGGCCAGGCCGCAGTTCCAATCCCGGCTTCCCACGAGGCGGCTGTGCCTGGCTGGGTGGGCACCTTTTCCTTTGGGCTCTATCCCAGAGATAGGATCAGCTCTTGAGTCTGCCCGCCTGTCGTAACTTCTGCGCACAGAAGTCATGCACTGAGTCCCACTGACTGAGCACCTCGCAGCCGCCGCACCTTCACCTACATTATCTCTTTCCATCTTCACCAGGGCCCTCCAAGGTGAAAGCAAGTCCACACAGGCTCATCCACCACTCCAAAATCAAAAAAAGCTTCAAAAGCGAAAGTTTCTTCCTTCCTGGTTTGACCTGACACGAAGCTATCTGTTGTCTTATCCTAGACAGTCCTAGGTGGGTTTGATCAAACATCACAGTCCAAAATCCCACAGATCCTCAAATTGGAAAAATTCTGGATTCCAAAATATAGCTGGTCCCAAACATTTCAGATAAAGGGTCCCGGGCTTGTTTCCTGGACGAGGGAGGAGGCTCCAGAAGTAACTTCGTGCCCGGGAGAGGCTGGTCCAACTCTTCTGAGATCAGCCCCGACGCTCTCTAGGCCCCGGCAGACCCACCCACCCTGCGCCCAGTTCGCGCCAGGCGGGTCCGCGTCGGGAGTTCAAATCCCGCCCGGGGTCTGACCCAGCCCCGCCGGGGGGCTCGCGGGCGGCGGAGGCGCGGTGGGTCCACCGGGATCCCGATGGGGAGCGCGGGGCGCCTGGCGGCCCCAGCACTCGGCAAAGTTGGCAAAGGCGCGGGAGGGGAGGCCTGCGCGCCGCGGGGCCCGGGCCGGGGCCGGGAACCGGAGCCGGACCCTGGAACGGAGCCGCGCGCCCACCGGACCCCCGACACCAGCCCCGCCCCGCGTCCCTCCCCTCCCCCACCCCGGCCCCCGCCCGCCCCGCGCCGCCGCGCATGCGCACTGCAGCCCGCGATGTGGCAGCCGGGGGAGTTGGGGGGTGGGGGCCGGCCGGGGGCGGCCGCCGATGGAGCCCCGCGCCCCTCCGGCCCCGGACGGGCCAGGCGCCCCGGCCGGCCTCAGAGCTCCAGAGCGGGGCTCTCCGTCCCTGGGGCCCACGACGAGGCCGAGCCACGGCGGCGGGGGGCGCGGACGCGCGGGGGCGGGGGGCCGGCTCCCCCGGCCCGCTCACTCACCTCCGCCATGGCCGTGTGTGCGCGGGAGGCGGTGGCCGCGCCGGGATCCCCGGATGAGGGGCCGCGCACTCATTGGCTGTGGAGCCTGGAGGGCGGGGCAGGGGGCGGAGCCTGGAGGGGGCGGAGAGCGGGCCGGGCGCGTAGTAGGTGCGCGGGCGCGGGCGCGGGCGCGCAGCCGAGCGTGGCCGGCGGCTTCTGGCGAGCTTGCGGTGTCTTTCCGGCCGTCTCTGCTGGACCCTGATCTTGGCCTTGGCCTTGGCGGAGGAGACTGCATTCCATAAAAATACGAATTCCTGATAATCACACCTGCGTGGGGACCACGTGGTCCTGTGTGACCTCTTCATTCCCTCGGCTGCTCGCTGTTAATACCCCGCGTGGCAGACTAGGAAACTGAGGCCCAGGGCGACGGGCCACCCAGAGTGTCAGTGATAGAGCCAGAATTGGTGTCCGGGCTGCGTGGTTCTGGAATTTTCTGCACTTTCGCACCCGTGATGAGCAAACTAGCGCGCGGAGGAACCAATCGGGGAGCTTGCGAACGCGCACCAGTCGGAGAGGTTTTAGAAACGGTGGCCCCGCGCCGGAGAGCCCAAGGCGGGAGGCAGGGAGGTGGGCTTGACCCCAGGGCCATTTGGTTCTGCAGTCCGTCGTTTCGCAGATTGAACATTTCTGGAACACGTGCACGTTCTGATCCTGAGGGTTTGAAGGAGACAGCCCTAACGCCTGTCTTCAGGGCGTTTAGAGTGGAGGATGGGAAGGCAAGGACTCGCCACACCTTAAATTTGAGACGGATAAGTGCCGTGAATCTTCGGGGCGCACGATGCAGAGAGAGGATAGGAAGCAGGGGTGGGGCGTGAAGAGGCAGGGGCCAGGTGGGAGCTGTGGGGCCTGGACCAGAGTGCAGAGAGACTTGAGAAGGTGGACACCACAAGACTCGCTGATGGAGGGAAGCTGGAGAGAGTGAAGGATGGCCTCCAGATGTCTGGCTTGCGCAAATGAGTGGAGGGCGGTTCCTACTGAGACCAGGAAGAAGAGAACTGGAGACCAGGAAGAAGGGAATTGGGGACCAGGAGGAAGGGAATTGGGGACCAGGAAGAAGAGAATGAGTCTCATTCCTGTTTCCCAGTGATCAGCCAATGAATAGTGAGAACTTGACATGCATCAGCCTTGATTCCTGATGCAAAATCATTACTCAGTCCTCTGAGAATTCACCAACCAAGAGATAGAAGAACCACTCTGGAGGGGTCTACCCTCACTCCTTTTTTGGTTTACATCATTGAGATTGAGGGTTCTGGCCCTCGTGTTGAAGAGTCCTCACTGATTTGTGCAAGAGTTGGTTCCTTCCTTTATTATTCATTTGTTATTATTCATTCAGTCATTCAGTGAACTAAACACATATCTTATGCAGTCCTCAACTGGGTGCTGGGTAGCCAGAGGTCCTGTGAAGCAGGGAGAAGCATGAACAGATAAGAGAGTGAGGTGCTGTGCTGTAACAGGTGGAGGGGCCCGAAGACAAGGGCTTGAGTCCACCTGGCAAAACGAGGGAAGACTCTTAGGAGAGGGCTTGGCAAGAATCATCACATAGATGTCAAATGAGGACTTGGGTGAAGAGAAGGGTATTGTGGCTTGGAACGGTGACTCACACCTCTAATCCTAACACTTGGGGAGGCAGAGGCAGGAGGATCACTTGAGGTCAGGAGTTTGAGACCAGCCTGGGCAACAGGGTGAAACCCTGTCTCTACTAAAAATACAAAAATTATCCGGGCGTGGTGGCGAGTGCCCATAATCCCAGCTATTCTGTGGAGGCTAAGGCAAGAGAATCACTTGAACCTGGGAAGGCAGAGGTTGCAGTGAGCTAAGATCACTGCACTCCAGCCTGGGAAACAGAGTGAGACACTGTTTCAAAAAAAAAAAAAAAAAACTTTAAACATTAGAGGGCATGACGATAATGTGCCTGTAGTCCCAGCTACTCTGGAGGCCGAAGTGGGAGGATCTCTTGAGCCCAGGAGGTCGAGGCTGCGGTAAGCAGTGATTGTGCCACTGCACCCCAGCCTGGGCAACAGAGTGAGACCTGTCTCAAAAAAAAAAAAAAAAAAGAGTGAAGGATATTTTAAGGTCTGAAAGTCTGTCTCCGTAGACTGTTAGTCGCAGTGGAGAAATGAAGCCACTTGTTGGGTGGGTGATAAAACTCAGCATCCCTGGTAAAGGGCAGGTGCACACCATGTGCACCTGGATGTGGTGTCCAAAGCAGGACACGGCATCACTGAATCCAGCCAGCAATGCACAACCCATATCTACATATGAGGAAATTTCAGACAAACCCAAATAAGGAATATTCTGTTAAACAAAAGAGGGACTGTATTCTTCAGAAATGTTAATGCCACAATGGGGCGTGGTGGCGGGTGCCTGTAATCCCAGCTGCTCAGGAGGCTGAGGCAGGAGAATCACTTGAACCCGAGAGGCGGAGGTTGCAGTGAGCTGAGATTGCGCCACTACACTCCAGCCTGGGCGACAAGAGCAAAACTCCATCTCAAAACAAAACAGGCCAGGCGCTGTGGCTCACACCTGTAATCCCAGCACTTTGGGAGGCTGAAGCAGGAAGATCACGAGGTCAGGAGTTCAAGACCAGCCTAGCTAGCATGGTGAAACCTGATCTCTACTAAAATAATACAAAAAATTAGCCGGGCGTGGTGGTGCACACCTGTAGTCCCAACTACTCGGGAGGCTGAGGCAAGAGAATCGCTTGAAACCGGGAGGTGGAGGCTGCAGTGAGCCGAGATGGCACCATTGCATTCCAGCCTGGGCGACAGAGCAAGACTCCGTCTCAAAAAAAAAAAAAAAACCACAGCGACAACAACAAAAAAAAGTTAATGCCAGAAAAGATAAACCTGTGTAAATCTTTTTTTTTTTTTTTTTTTTTTTGAGATGGATTCTCGCTCTGTTGCCCAGGCTGGAGTGCAGTGGCACAATCTTGGCTCACTGCAAGCCCCACCTCCCGGGTTCACGCCATTCTCCTGGCTCAGCCTCTGGAGTAGCTGGGACTGCAGGCATGTGCCGCACCTGGCTAATTTTTGTATTTTTAGTAGAGATGGGGTTTCACCATGTTGGCCAGGATGGTCTCGATCTGTTGACCTCGTGATCCACCCACCTCACCCTCCCAAAGTGCTGGGATTACAGGCGTGAGCCATAGCACCCGGCCAGTACGGAGGGTTTCTACTATACTCATTCTTGCAATTATTCCATGAGCATAAAATGAAGTAAAACTCAGAAAATAAAGAGCAGCGAATCTTGAGCAGGGAGCTTAAGGGGAGAGGCTGGAGAGGGTGCCCCTGGCCGTGGCACAGTGGTTTGAGTGGACACCTCACGTTGGAGGAGATACGCCTGCATGTGCCTCCACTCCAGGCTCCCTGTTTCTTCTCTGCCTGGTTTTCATGGTCACCGGGCAGCTCCCAAGTTTGACAGAGGCATGGTGTCCCGGGATGAGGGTCCAGGTCACCGCATCGCTACACCTCTTGGAGCAGATGGAGACTGCGTGGTGGAGCTGGGGGTGATGAATCCATTGCAGCCCCGAGGCGGGGAGGCAGGGGACGCTGTAGTTCACCCAAGCAGTGTCGTTCTTGCAAATTTTCCCTAGAAAAAAGAGGCCTCACAAGATACTGGAGGAGCTGTGAGTAGTGCATGGGGTGGCCTGTGGTGGATGCTGGGTGCATCATCAAACCCTCCCCTACACAAGCACTAACTTCCCCCTCTGCTCAGGGTCAAGTATCCCTCTGAGGGGCGGCCCACATCAGCGACTGGCTGGTACAGATCCATAAAGACCCAGGCACCTGTGACCAACTGGGGTCAACCGTGAGGCTGCAGAGCTCCTGTAGGATTGGAGGCGGCTTGGTCATCTCAGCTCGCTCCTCCCTCCCTCCAGCCCTGCTTCCTTCACTCTCTGACAGGTGTTGACCCCAAGGGTAACCCCGACAATATTCCTGCACATAATCTTTGTCTCGCAGTCTATTTCCTGGAGACCTAACCCGTGCCACAAAACATGAGTCACATTTTGAAAGGTTTAAAAAAACAAACAAGGCCCGGCGTGGTGGCTCACGCCTGTAATCCCAGCACTTTGGGAGGCCGAGGCGGGCGGATCACAAGGTCAAGAGATCAAGACCAGCCTGGCCAACCCGGTGAAACCCCATCTCTACTAAAAATACAAAGATTAGCCGGGCGTGGTGGCGGGCGCCTGTAATCCCAGCTACTCGGGAGGCTGAGGCAGGAGAATGGCGTGAACCTGGGAGGCGGAGCTTGCAGTGAGCCGAGATCGCGCCACTGCACTCCAGCCTGGGCGACAGAGCGAGACTCCGTCTCAAAAAAAAAAAAAAAACTTAGTCTATTCGTGCTGCTGTAATAAAGCACCACGGATGAGGTAGTTTATATATACATATTTTAAGAACACATTTATTTATCACAGTTCTGGAGGCTGGAAAGCCTTGATCAAGGCGCCGGCAGTTTTGGTGTCTGGTGAGAGCCTGGTCTCTGCTCCCAAAATGGTGCCTTGGTACAGCATCCTCCAAAGGGAGGAACACTGAACCCTCACATGGCAGAGGGGATGGGCAGAGAGTGCTCCCTTTGACCTCGAGCCCTTTTTTTTTTTTTTTTTTTGAGACGGAGTTTTGCCTTTGTCACCCAGGCTGTGCAATGGCGTCATCTCGGCTCACTGCAACCTCCACCTCCCAGGTTCAAGCAATTCTCCTGCCTAAGCCTCCCAAGTAGCTGGGTTTACAGATATGCACCACGACACCAAGCTAGTTTTTATATTTTTAGTAGAGATGGGGTTTCACCACGTTACCCAGGCTGATCTCGAACTCCTGACCTCAGGTGATCCACCCCCCTCCCTCAGCCTTCCAAAGTGCTGGGATTACAGGCGTGAGCCACCGCGCCCTGCCGACCTTAAGCCCTTTTGTAAGGGTGCTAATCTACTCCTGAGGGCAGAGCCCTGATGTCTTAATCACCTGCCAAAGGTCCCGCCTTTTAATACAATTGCACTGGGGATTAAGTTTCAACATGAATTTTGGAAGGACACCGTCATTCAAACCATAGCAAGAAGCAATACAAATTGAAAGTATAACATAATGAGAGAGAAGAGGCCATAAAAGAGAATGAATAGAAAAAAAAATAGTCCCTGGTGTGGTGGCTCACACATGTAATCCCAGCACTTTGGGAGACTGAGGCGGGAGGATTGCTTGAGCCTAGGAGATCAAGACCAGCGTGGGCAACATAATGAGACCCCATCTCTACCGAAAAACAACAACAACAACAAGAATAACAAATATACACACACACACACACAGACACATATATATACACACACACACATATATACAGACACACATATATATACACACACACACATATATATACACACACAAATATATATACACACATATATACACACACACACATATATATACACACACACACACATATATACACACACACATATATATACACACACACACATATATATACACACACACACATATATACAAACACACATATATATACACACACACATATATATACACACACACATATATATACACACACACACATATATATACACACACATATATATACACACACACATATATATACACACACACATATATATACAGACACACACATATATACACACACACATATATACACACACACACATATATATACACAGACACACATATATATACACACACACACATATATATACAGACACACACATATATACACACACACATATATATACACACACACATATATACACACACACATATATATACACACACACATATATATACACACACACATATGTATACAAACACACAAATATATTAAACACATACACACAAATATATATACACACATATATACACACACACAAATATATAAACACATACACACAAATATATATACACACACATATATACACACACATATATACACACACACATATGTATACAAACACACAAATATATAAACACATACACACAAATATATATACACACATATATACACACACACAAATATATAAACACATACACACAAATATATATACACACATATATACACACACATATATACACACAAATATATACACACATATATACACACACACAAATATATAAACACATACACACAAATATATATACACACACATATATACACACACATATATACACACAAAATATACACACATATATACACACACATATATACATACACAAATATAGACATACACACACAAATACATACACACACAAATATATATACACACAAATATATATACACACATATATACACATACACAAATATATATACACACACACATATATATACACACACACATATGTATACAAACACACAAATATATAAACACATACACACAAATATATATACACACATATATACACACACACAAATATATAAACACATACACACAAATATATATACACACACATATATACACACACATATATATACACACACACATATATATACACACACACATATGTATACAAACACACAAATATATAAACACACACATATGTATACAAACACACAAATATATAAACACATACACACAAATATATATACACACATATATACACACACACAAATATATAAACACATACACACAAATATATATACACACACATATATACACACACATATATACACACACACATATGTATACAAACACACAAATATATAAACACATACACACAAATATATATACACACATATATACACACACACAAATATATAAACACATACACACAAATATATATACACACACATATATACACACACATATATATACACACACACATATATATACACACACACAAATATATAAACACATACACACAAATATATACACACAAAAAATATATACATACACAAATATAGACATACAAATACACACACATATATACACACAAATATATATACACACACATATATACACACACAAATATATATACATACACAAATATAGACATACAAACACATACACAAATATATATACACACAAATATATATACACACATATACACACACACAAATATATATACACACAAATATATATACACACAAATATATATACACACACAAACGTGTATATACACACACATATATACACACATATATAATACTAAAAAAGAAAAAGAAATATAAAACAAAAGAAAGCAAAACAAAATAGAAAGTGTAACAAATATGATGAAAAACAAAGATGAAGCATTTATCCTATCGAGAGACTTAAATAGGCTAAACTCAGAAAGGATCAGAGGACAAATCTCAACCTTATGAGCGAACGTAGGAGTAAACCTAAGACACAGTGAGTCACACGGCGTTCCCGTCCACGAGGCACGGGTGCCTCACCACCAGCATGCTGGTGGGTGATCTAGCTCCCAAATCCAACTTTAGAATCTACTTTCTCAAACTCCTTTTGCAGGTCAGATTCTCCAGGAAGTGAATGCTGAGGTAGAGATTTGTATGCAGGAAATTCTGACGCGAGGGCCCACGGGATCGGCACCTGTGGGGAAGTGAAGGCAGCAGGGCAGAGAGAGAAGGATCTGCAGCACAGTTACCGCGGAGGCTTCGGCTGTGGAGCTGGGCTGGCCCCTCAGAGCTGTATCCTACGGGGGCACGGGACAAAGGCTTTGTACCCATGCATTGACCAGTCATTGGGGAGGGAGAGAAGGTGACCACGGGGTCCAGTTGTCTTCAGGCAAGGACATTTCCCAGAGGTATTGTCTTCCAGAGGCTGGAGGACGAGTGCTGAGTTCTGGGGGGGATCTTCTGGCTGGTGTGCCACAGCTCCACTACATCTTGTTCTGAGAATTTAAATGGCTTGTATTTTTCTTCTAGTGATCACCTTTATAATTATAATTTCATATAATCTACTTAATTCCATTCCTTCAGACCAACACTGTCTAACACGAATGTGATAGAATTTAACATTTTCTAGTAACCACATTAAAAAGGTAAAAAGACACAAGTAAAATTAATTGTAATATGTTATTTAATACAAATATCTGTAAAGTATTATCTTTCCCATGTGTAATCAATATAAAATTATTGAGATATTTACACTCTGTTTTCCATACTGCTTTCAATCTCTGGTGTGTGTTTCACACTTATAGGACATCACAATTCAAATTAGCCACATTTTACTTGCCCGCGAACCACATGTGGCTACAAGACTGCACAGCACAGCTTTAGATGCTGACACTGTTTCTATCTATTGACTCTAGTGTTTAAAAAAAATGACATTAGGATACTTCTGCTTTGCCCTATTCCCCCTCTCCTACATAACAGAATCCTAGTTAATTACATTGATTTTCTTCCTGTTTAACATTATGCTCTTAAATATACTTACATTTCTATTATTGGAATAATCCATTTAAAATAATTTTTTTGATGGGGAATGTGTATAACTGTACCACTTCCTATTATCTCTGCTCCCCTCACTTTTTGTTAACCATACCCTTTCTAGTTTCAAGATTTATAACATCTACATTTGTAGCCACTCTTCTTAGATTTGATTTAATGCCAGTCCTCAAGGTGAATGGACTCAGCTCTCAGCATCAGTTCTCTTGCTGTGGCTTCTCCATTTTCTCTCAGTTGGCTGAAAGTCATTCTTAAATAGTTTCTTCAGGAAGTTCCTTCAATTCTTGCATGCTCTAAGACATTTGTCTGATGTCTTTATTTTATTTATTTATTTTTTGAGACGGAGTCTCACTCTGTCACCCAGGCTGGAGTGCAGTGGCGCAATCTTGGCTCACTGCAACCTCCGCTTCCTGGGTTCAAGCAATTCTCCTGCCTCAGCCTCCCGAGTAGCTGGGATTACAGGCGCCTGCCACCACGCCCAGCTAATTTTTGTATTTTTAGTAGAAACGGGGTTTCACCATGTTGGCCAGGCTGGTCTCAAACTCCTGACCTCAGGTAATCCACCCGCCTCGGCCTCCCAAAGTGCTGGGATTACAGGCATGAGCCGCCACACCTGGCCAATGTCTTTATTTTTTAATGACAGTTTGGCTGGGTATAAAATTATTTCTCCAGACCATCTTACTTCAACATTAAGTCCTCCAGAACTTTGTAGACATTTTTCTATTGACTTCTAGCAATGAATGTTGCTGAAATAAAGTCTGGAGAGAGGCTTTTCCCTTTTAAGTCTCTTGGTCTTATTATCTTGATGCACTCAGGTATAAGCCATTTAGTATCATTTTTCTTGGGACATGGTGAGTTATTCCAATATATAGATGAAAATCTTCTTGTAATTCTGGGAAGTTTTCTTAAATTATAAATTTAAATATTTGCTGCGTTCCATTATTTTGTATCTCTTCTTCGTGAATATCATTTTTATATATGTAGTATGGCCTTTTTCTAGCTTCCAAATCTATTATCTTCTCTCTGACCCTTCATGATGATCTGCTATTTTCATGCATTGTGTTAGCTTTGTCAATCCTGTTTTCCATGTCCTTTTACTATTATGTCTTCTGCAATGTCAGTTCTCCTTAAGGCAATTTAGACTTCATTTTAACTAATTTAGACTTTCATTTTTTCTTCCATTTCTTTCCTAAATTCTGCAACCTCATGTTAATCTCCTTCTGTTTCCTTTCTGTATCTTCTATGAACTGTATTCCTGCTTTGTGATAATTTATTTAAATATTTGGTGATTTTTTTTTTTTTTTGAGAGAGGGTTTCACTGTCACCCAGGCTGGAGTGCAATGGTGCAATCTTGGCTCACTGCAACCTCTACCTCTCGGGTTCAAGCGATTCTCCTGCCTCAGCCTCCCAAGTAGCTGGGATTACAGGCACCCGCCAACTCGCCAGGCTAATTTCTGTATTTTTAGTAGAGATGGGGTTTCACCATGTTGGCCAGGCTGGTCTTGAATTCCTAACTTCAAGTGATCTGCCCACCTCGGCCTCCCAAATTGCTGGGATTACAGGCATGAGCCACTGTGCCTGGCCTGTATTTGGTGATTTTTAAACAATACTTATTTTCTCTGTGACATCTTTATTTCAATCCTATCCTTTTCTTTTTTTTTTTTTCTTTTTTTGAGAGATGGAGTTTCACTCTTGTTGCCCAGGTTGGAGTGCAATGATGTGATCTCGGCTCACCACAGCCTCTGCCTCCCAGGTTCAAGCAATTCTCCTGCCTTAGCCTCCCAAGTAGCTGGGATTACAGGCATGCGCCACCACGCCTGGCTATGTTTTGTATTTTTGTAGAGACAGGGGTTTCTCCATGTTGGTCAGGCTGATCTCGAACTCCCAACCTCAGGTGATCTGCCCGCCTCGGCCTTCCAAAGTGCTCAGATTACAAGCATGAGCCACCGTGCCTGGCCTTAATCCCATCCTTTACTTTCTCATCTTTGAATAAGGGTGATCTCCCTAAACCAGCCTTTATTAGGAGGTTATATGATGATCAAGCCAGGACTCTGCTCCTGTTAGTAGGAATCCTTCTGTGACACAGTCTGTGTGACAGTGAGTTATTTTAGCCTTTGTTGTTCTCTGACTCAGCAAGGCTGGCACAGCAGAGTTGTTCAGAAGGCAACCCCATGCCAGCACCCAGTTTACGGGAAGATTCCTTCCTCCTGCAAATATGATTTCACATGGCAGTTACTCATTCAGCCTGCATTCCCTTCTTCCTGAAGTTTCACGCCAAACCGAATCTATAGAAACTCCTACTGCCAGCCTATTCCTAATATTATTATTATTATTTTGAGACGGAGTTTCACTCTTATTGGGCAATAAGATCTCGGCTCACCACAACCTCTGCCTCCCAGGTTCAAGCAATTCTCCTGCCTCACCCTCCCGAGTAGCTAGGATCACAGGCATGCACCACCACGCCCGGCTAATTTTGTATTTTTAGTAGAGATGGGGTTTCTCCATGTTGGTCAGGCTGGTCTCGAACTCCGACGTCAGGTGATCCGCCCGCCTCGGCTTCCCAAAGTGCTGGGATTACACGCGTGAGACACTGCACCCGGCCACCTGCTCCTAATATTCTGAGAAAGAATTATTAGTGTTGCCCCCAGACGATGGATGTATTTTGGAAAACTGCCCTACCAGCTTTGTCTGAGATCTGAGCCCATAGACACCCTTTCCCAGCATTTCTGACACCCTTAGTAACCTTCCCTTTATCATTAATTTGTTTTCTTATCAGTTCAAGGTCACAGATGTCATCACGTTTCTTCAAAGATAGGTGTGGGCATCTCCATTTCTCATTCCTGTAACTTCTTTTGGATCGTGATGCCCCTGCAGGACTACATCGCTGTTTACTTGCTCCCCTATTGGTGGACATTCCGGCTGCCTCATTTTTCATACCAGCTGTCACTGTCTCTGTATATCTCTATCTATCTATCTGTCCATTGAGAGAGAGCACACATTTAATTCTTTGGTTAATTTATTTGCTTTTTTTCCTAAACAAGAGCAAAGCAATGTTTTCCAGTACAAATTTTGTTGCCAAAAGTCAAGAAGAGGCCAAAAGTATAGAAGCATCGTTTGAAGCTGCAGTGCCCATAGTGAAAAAACAGGAGCAAGTTGGTCTATTGAAAAAAAGCCATGAAATTCAACACAAAGTTCTTTCTTTCTTTCTTTTTTTGAAACGGAGTCTGGCTCTGTCACCCAGGCTGGAGTGCAATGGCTCAATCTCGGCTCACTGCAACCTCTGCCTCCTGGGCTCAAGCGATTCTCCTGCCTCAGCCTCCCGAGTAGGTGGGATTACAGGCACCCGCCACCATGCCCGGCTAATTCTTGTATTTTTAATAGAGACAGGGTTTCACCGTGTTAGCCAGGATGGTCTCGATCTCCTGACCTCGTGATCTGCCCGCCTCGGCCTCCCAAAAGTGCTGGGATTACAGGCGTGAGCTACTACGCCTAGCCCTTTAATTTAATTTGATTTATTTTTAATTTTTATTTTTATTTATTTATTTTTGAGACAGAATCTCACTCCATCACCCAGGTTGGAGTGCAGGGGTGCTATCTCGGCTCACTGCAACCTCTGCCTCCCGGGCTCAAGCGATTCTCGTGCCTCAGCCTCCCGAGTAGTTGGGGGTTATAGGCGCCCGCCACCACGCTCAGCTAATTTGTTTTGTATTTTTAGTAGAGATGGGGTTTCACCATGTTGCCCAGGCTGTTCTTGAAATCCTAACCTCAAGTAATCTGCCCACCTCAGCCTCCCAAAGTCCTGGGATTACAGGTATGGGCCACCACGCCCAGCCCAGCAATGATGAGTTTTAAAGAATATACAGGTTATTTTGTTTTTATTTTATTTTTTATTATTTTTTTGAGACGGAGTCTCGCTCTGTCGCCAGGCTGGAGTGCAGTGGCGCAATCTCTGCTCGCCGCAAGCTCCGCCTCCCGGGTTCAAGTGATTCTCCTGCCTCAGCCTCCCGAGTAGCTGGGACTACAGGCATCTGCCACCATGCCTGGTGAATTTTTTGTATTTTTAGCAGAGACAGGTTTTCACCTTGTTGGCCAGGCTGGTCTTGAACTCCTGACCTCATGATCCACCCACCTCGGCCTCCCAACGTGCTGGGATTACAGTCGTGAGTCACCGCACCGTGCTGGTTTTGGTGGGCATCACCTGTCCTTGGCTCTAATAGAGGATGTTACAGAAATCGTGTAGGCGCAGGTTTAGGTGCAGGCACAGGTGTAGGCATAGCACAGTGTAGGTGCAGGCACAGGTGTAGGTGTAGGCACAGGAGTAGGTGTAGGCACAGGTGTAGGCATAGCACAGTGTAGGTGCAGGCACAGGTGTAGGTGTAGCACAGGTGTAGGTGTAGCACAATGTAGTTGTAGCACAGGTGTAGGGGTAGCACAGTGTAGGTGCAGGCACAGGTTTAGGTGTAGCACAGTTGTAGGTGTAGGCAGAGATGTAGGTATAGCACAGGTTTAGATGTAGGCAAAGGTGTAGGTGCATTGTAGGATTAGGTGCAGGTGTCAGCACGGGGTAAGTATAGGCAGAGGTGTAGGTGCAGGCACAGATGTAGTTGCAGGTACAGATGTAGGTGTATATTTTCTCTTGGAAATAGCAAAGCACCGGCCAGACATGGTGGCTCACGCCTGTAATCCTAGCACTTTGAGAGGCCGAGGTGGCCAGATCACCTGAGGTCAGGAGTTCAAGACCAGCCTGGCCAACATGGTGAAACCCCGTCTCTACTAAAAATACAAAAATTAGCCAGACATAGTGGTGCATGCCTCTAATCCCAGCTACCCTGGTGGCTGAAGCAGGAGAATCACTGGAACCTGGAAGTCGGAGGCTGCAGTGAGCTGAGACCACACCACTGCACTCTAGCCTGGGTAACAAAGTGAGACCCTGTCTCAAAAAAAAAAAAAAATCGAAGCACCTTGAAACTCTACAGTTTCAATCCCAGAATCCATTACCCACTCTCATGTTTAAAAGAAAGCTCCTCTTCCCATGTTCCCTATCTTGGTAAATGGTGATGCCACCCCATGAGAAACAGGGTACTCTCTGCTTCTTTCAGAAACGCCACAGTCTATTTATTTATTTATTTATTTTGAGACAAAGTCTCGGTCTGTCACCCAGGCTGGAGTGCAGTGGCGTGATCTTGGCTCACTGCAACCTCCGCCTCCCGGGTTCAAGTGATTATCCTGCCTCAGCCTCCCAAGTAGCTGGGACTACAGGTGTCCACCACCACGCTTGGCTAATTTTTATATTTTTAGTAGAGATGGGGTTTCGCCATGTTGGCCAGGCTGGTCTGGTACTCCTGATCTCCGGTGATCCCCCCACCTTGGCCTCCCAAAATGCTGAGATTACAGGCGTGAGCCACCGCGGCCGGCCCTGATCATTTTATTTCACCCAGTTCTGACACTGTACTTCCTGAAGATCTCTCCTATCCAGCCATGTCACCTACTTCCAGGCTACAGAGAAATTGAGAGTGCCAAGGAAGCCGCCACTGTCTGTGGTTGGCAGAATAGCACCTCAGGAACGTTCCCAGCCCAGTCCCCAGTCCTGTGAATGGGTCGCCTTAAATGATCAAGGACGTTCCCAGGCCTGTGAATGGGTCACCTTAAATAACAAGAGATTTGCAGATGGGATTAAGGATGCTGAGATGAGAGATTATCCTGATGACCCAGGTGGCCCAAGGTCATTACAGTGTCCTCAAGAGAGGAGGCAGGAGGGTGAGAGTCAGAGAGAAGAGGCTGTGCTGGTGGATTTGAAGATGAAAGACCTCAGCCCGCAACCCCACACCAGGGAGGCAAGCGCCTCCAGATGCCAGAAAAGGCGGGAAAGGGACTCTCCCCTGGGGCCTCTGGAAGAGGCAGCCCTGCTGATACTTGGACTTTAGCCCAAGTGAGATCTACTTTGGACTCCATCCTCCGGAAGGATAAGAGAATAAATGTGCTTTTTGTTGTTGTTGTTTTTGAGACAGAGTCTTACAGTCTCTCTCTGTCACCCAGGCTAGAGTGCAGTGGCGTGATCTCGGCTCACTGCAGCCTCAACCTCCCGGGTTCAGGAGCTTCTCCTGTCTCAGCCTCCTGAGTAGCTGGGATTACGTGCATGCGCCACCACACCCAATTAATTTTTGCATTTTCAGTAGAGATGGGGTTTTGCCATGTTGGCCAGGTCTCGAACTCCTGACCTCCAGTGATCCGCCCGCCTCAGCCTCCCAAAGTGCTGGGATTACAGGCGTGAGCCGCCGCACCCGGCCCGAATGTGCAGTGTTTTAAGTCACCCCATTTGTGGGCGTTTGTTACAGCAGTGGCCAGATGCTAACATGGGAACTGTCTTTGTCCGTTTGCCCCGCTGTAACAAAGTACCATAGACCGGTGGGTTAGAAACAACAGAAGGTTATTTCCCACAGTCCTGGAGGCTGCAAGTCTGAGATCAGGGTGCCAGCATGATCAGGTGCTGGTGACGGGGGCCCTCCTGGTTGCACACACCACCTGCTTCTCAGTGTCCTCACATGGCAGGCAGGGGCCACTGGTGTCTCTTGATCCTCTTTTATAAGGACACCAATCCCATGCATGACAGCTCTGCTCCATAACCTCATTGCCTCCCCAAAGCCTCACTTCCTAATACCATCACCTTGAGGGTGGGAATTACAACATATGAATCTGGGGGAGACACAGGCGTTCAGGCCATAGCAGGGACTGGGGGTCTTTTCCTAACCTATTTGAGCCTCAATCTCCACGTCTGTGGAATGGGGACAATGATAATCCCTCCATCATTAGGTCACTCTAAAGATCCATAAGTTGTGCAACAGGTGTCAGCTGCTTTGACTGTGGCTGTCGTTCCGACTCCGACGGTCCCGTGGCCCCTCAGCAGGAGCGTCGGCTGCTTTGACTGTGGCTGTCGTTCCGACTCCGACGGTCCCGTGGGCTCTCAGCAGGAGCGTCGGCTGGTTTGACCGTGGCTGTCGTTCTGACTCTGATGGTCCCGTGGCCCCTCAGCAGGAGCGTCGGCTGCTTTGACTGTGGCTGTCGTTCCTACTCCGACGGTCCCGTGGCCCCTCAGCAGGAGCGTCGGCTGCTTTGACCGTGGCTGTCGTTCCGACTCCGACGGTCCCGTGGGCTCTCAGCAGGAGCGTCGGCTGGTTTGACCGTGGCTGTCGTTCTGACTCTGATGGTCCCGTGGCCCCTCAGCAGGAGCGTCGGCTGGTTTGACTGTGGCTGTCGTTCCGACTCTGACGGTCCCGTGGGCCCTCAGGAGGAGCATCAGCTGGTTTGACTGTGGCTGTCGTTCCGACTCCGACGGTCCCGTGGGCCCTCAGGAGGAGCATCAGCTGGTTTGACTGTGGCTGTCGTTCCGACTCCGACGGTCCCGTGGGCCCTCAGGAGGAGCATCAGCTGGTTTGACTGTGGCTGTCGTTCCGACTCTGACAGTCCCGTGGGCCCTCAGGAGGAGCGTCGGCTGGTTTGACTGTGGCTGTCGTTCCTACTCCGACGGTCCCGTGGCCCCTCAGCAAGAGCATCGGCTGGTTTGACTGTGGCTGTCGTTCCGACTCTGACGGTCCCGTGGGCTCTCAGGAGGAGCGTCGGCTGGTTTGACTGTGGCTGTCGTTCCTACTCCGACGGTCCCGTGGCCCCTCAGCAGGAGCATCGGCTGGTTTGACTGTGGCTGTCGTTCCGACTCCGACGGTCCCGTGGGCTCTCAGGAGGAGCGTCGGCTGGTTTGACTGTGGCTGTCGTTCCGACTCTGACAGTCCCGTGGGCCCTCAGGAGGAGCATCAGCTGGTTTGACTGTGGCTGTCGTTCCGACTCCGACGGTCCCGTGGCCCCTCAGCAGGAGCGTCGGCTGGTTTGACTGTGGCTGTCGTTCCGACTCCGACGGTCCCGTGGCCCCTCAGCAGGAGCGTCAGCTGGTTTGACTGTGGCTGTCGTTCCGACTCCGACGGTCCCGTGGCCCCTCAGCAGGAGCGTCGGCTGGTTTGACTGTGGCTGTCGTTCCGACTCCGACGGTCCCGTGGCCCCTCAGCAGGAGCGTCGGCTGGTTTGACTGTGGCTGTCGTTCCGACTCCGACGGTCCCGTGGCCCCTCAGCAGGAGCGTCGGCTGGTTTGACTGTGGCTGTCGTTCCGACTCCGACGGTCCCGTGGCCCCTCAGCAGGAGCGTCGGCTGGTTTGACTGTGGCTGTCGTTCCTACTCCGACGGTCCCGTGGGCCCTCAGGAGGAGCGTCGGCTGGTTTGACTGTGGCTGTCGTTCCGACTCCGACGGTCCCGTGGCCCCTCAGCAGGAGCGTCGGCTGGTTTGACTGTGGCTGTCGTTCCGACTCCGACGGTCCCGTGGCCCCTCAGCAGGAGCGTCGGCTGGTTTGACTGTGGCTGTCGTTCCGACTCCGACGGTCCCGTGGCCCCTCAGCAGGAGCGTCGGCTGGTTTGACTGTGGCTGTCGTTCCGACTCCGACGGTCCCGTGGGCCCTCAGGAGGAGCGTCAGCTGCTTTGACTGTGGCTGTCGTTCCGACTCCGACGGTCCCGTGGGCCCTCAGCAGGAGCGTCGGCTGCTTTGACTGTGGCTGTCGTTCCGACTCCGACGGTCCCGTGGCCCCTCAGCAGGAGCGTCGGCTGGTTTGACTGTGGCTGTCGTTCCGACTCCGACGGTCCCGTGGCCCCTCAGCAGGAGCGTCGGCTGGTTTGACTGTGGCTGTCGTTCCGACTCCGACGGTCCCGTGGGCCCTCAGGAATGGACGAATAAGTCTGGACTGAAGAGATTCAGAAGGCGCTCGAGATGGTCAATGAAAGTGACTCGGAAAATAAACAGCTGGACAAGTCGCAGGTTGGATGCAAAAATAAATATTATTGTCCTCCTCATCCTTCTTTTGGCCTTCTAGCCCGCCCTCCCTTCTCCAGGCCAAAAAGCTCAGAATAATCACATACACAGGGTTAGGGTGCCTGAGGGTGTTTACTGGGAGCGGAGGTCTTAGAGGCCAGGCCTGGGTTGATCACACTTTTCTGGTGATGCTTTTGGGGGTGGCAAGCTCATAGAGGCGAGGGGACGCCTGTCGTATCCCTCGTTGAGGCCCTTGCGCACTTTGGGCTTGGCCAGGGAGATGATCCGGGGGCTGGCCACCACCTTCTTGGTGACATCCAGCACCTCCCAGCGAGGATCTCGGTCAGGAACGCACTTGTCCGACTGAGCTTTGGGCCCTAGTGGGGGCAGAAGAGAAGGACAGCACTGAAGCTCAAACCTCAAAGCTCCACATTCAGGCTGGGCATGGGAGCTCACACCTGGAATCCCAGCACTGTGGAAGGCTGAGGCAGGTGGATCACCTGAGGTCAGGAGTTAGAGATCAGCCTGGCCAACATGATGAAACCTCGTCTCTACTAAAAATACAAGAATTAGCTGAGCGTGGTGGTGCGTCTCTAGTCCCAGCTACTCGGGAGGTTGAGGCATGAGGATGGCTTGAACTTGGGAGGCAGAAGTTGCAGTGAGCGCAGATCGCGTCACTGCACTCCAGCCTGGGCAACAGAGCAAGACTCCATCTTAAAAAAAAAAAAAAAAAAAAAAAAAAGCTCCCCCATTCAAACGGCCTGCTCATCAGCAGAGAAACGGAGGATGAAAATGTAGTCCACTCAGAGTGGAATATGACTCAGCCAAGAAAAGGAACGAGGCTCTAGCACCAGCTACAGCATGGCTGAGCCTTGAGGACAGCATGTGCTGCGAGAGACCAGAGACACGAAAGGACACACAGTGTGTGATTCCATTTATACAAATGTCCAGGACAGGCCAATCCAGAGTCCGGAAGTGAACGTGTAGGTGCCAGGGGCTGGGAGACGGGAATGGGGAGTGACAGCTGATGGGGGCGGGGCTGCCTTCTGAAGGCATAAAAAGGTTCTGAAATTGACTGTGGTGGTGGTTGCATAACCCTGTGACTGTACTAAAAGCCACTGAAACATATTTTTTATTTTTATTTGTTTATTTATTTAGTTTGATACAGAGCCTTGCTCTGTCGCCCAGGCTGGAGTGCAGTGGCGTGATCTCGGCTCACTGCAACCTCCGCCTCCCAGGTTCAAGCAATTCTCCTGCCTCAGCCTCCTGAGTAGCTGGGACTACAGACGTGCACCACCACAGCCAGCTAATCTTTCTATTTTCAGCAGAGACGGGGTTTCACCATGTTGGCCAGGCTGGTCTTGAACTCCTGACCTCAGGCGATCCGCCCGCCTCAGCCTCCCAAAGGGCTGGCATTACAGGCGTGAGCCACTGTGCCTGGCCTATTTTTTATTTTATTTCATTTTATCATTTTATTTTACTTTATTATTTTATTTCATTTTGAGACAGAGTCTTGCTCTGTTGCCCAGGCTGGAGTGCAGTAGCATGACCTTGACTCGCTGTAACCTCCGCTCCCCAGGATCAAGTGATTCTCCTGCCTCAGCCTCCCGAGTAGCTGGGGCTACAGGCGCCCGCCACCACGCCCGACTAATTTTTTGTATTTTTAGTAGAGACAGGGTTTCACCATGTTGGCCAGGCTGGTCTCGAACTCCTGACTTCAGGCAACCTGCCCGCCTCGGCCTCCCAAAGTACTGGGATTACAGGTGTGGGCCACCGTGCCCGGCCCCATTTTATTTTATTTTGAGGCAGGGTCTTGCTGTGTCTCCCAGGCTGGAGCACGATCTTTAGCTCACTGCAGCCTCCACCTGACTTGAACTGCTGGGTTCCAGCCATCCTCCCACCTCAGCCTCGCAAGTAGCTGGGGCTACAGTCATATGCACTGCCACATCGAGCTACGAAACCTACACTTAAAACAGGGTGAATTACAAATAAAAAATATTTCGGTTGGGCGCGGTGGCTCATGCCTGTAATCCCAGCACTCTGGGAGGCCGAGGCGGGCGGATCACAAGGTCAGGAGATCGAGACCATCCTGGCTCACACGGTGAAATCCCATCTCTACTAAAAATACAAAAAAAAAATTAGCCGGGCGTGGTGGCGGCTGCCTGTAGTCCCAGCTACTCAGGAGGCTGAGGCAGGAGAACGGCGTGAACCCGGGAGGCGGAGCTTGCAGTGAGCTGAGATCGCGCCACTGCGCTCCAGCCTGGGTGACAGAGCGAAGCTCTGTCTCAAAAAAAAAAAAAAAAAAAAGAAAGAAAAAAAAAGAAAAAATATTTTAAACGGCCACTGGCAGCCAGGCTCAATGGCACATGCCTGTCATTCCAGCACTTTTGGAGGCAGAGGCAGGAGGATCACCTGAGCCCTAGAGTTTTGAGGCCAGACTGAGCAACACAGCGAGACCCCATCTCTAAAAAAAAAAAAATGGCCACAGGTACCTGAAAGGGGGACTCAGGGGGCCACAGCCAAGAGAGCTCAAGTCTCCTCACTCTGCTGCCAACACAGGTGACCCTGGTTCACCCCCCTCTCCACCTGCTCATGTCATGGTGGTAAGTGGGTCGGGGCAGGAGGCATCTCCTCCCCCTGGCTGGGGTCATGTCTTGCTCCCTGGTGGCTGTCCCTCAGGCACTCGTGGCCCCCTCCTCCTGGTACCCCCTTCTCACCATCTCTCCCCCACCCCTTCCTTTATAGCAGGGAGCTGCAGCAGACTGCTTGGAGACTAGGAAGAAAGGTGGCCACCGAGTCTGGCATAGCAGCCGGGGCTGTCCTCTACCTTGTCTCTGAAGGCTTCAGGGCCTTTGATTTCTGGGAAAGCTCCCACCTTCTTTCCAGATCCCTCTTTGCGTGGAACTTCTGCGCAAATGAATAAGGGCTACCCACTTCTTGGCAGACCAGCCCTGGCTCTGTGAAGAGGCTCCTGGGGAAAAGAGTGTGGAGTCTCTTCCACTAGGCAGGCAGAACCCCACGTGGCACGTGGCTGGGCAAGGCCATCTGAATGGAAACTGCAGATACAGCACTGCCTTAGACCATCCTGCACGCACCCGCGCTCACCACACACACACGTCGTGAATATAAACATCCATATACTGGTACAGGTGTGAGTGCTTCTCTGGCCCCTGCTCTGCATGCTAATTGTCTCTTCTGCACCTTCCGGGTGGATGCGAGCTCTGCCCGGCAGATGCCCTTGTGCAGGGTAAGGGGGCCAAGCAGTGGGGCCCTGGTGACCCTAAGGGGGCTGGAAGAACCGTGCCCAGAGCCTAGCCTTCTTTGAACTCCTCTGTGAGAATTTAGTAGGCATCTGGGCTTTGAAACTCTGTTGAGTTTCCAGCACTCCCGAGCAGCAGCAACTGAGCCCACATAGCAAGCGTGAGCACGCACAGAGAAACAGCACAGCCACACACTCGCTCTTACCCCCACCACACAGCAAGTGTGAGCACACACACACAGCCACACACTCGCTCTTACCCCCACCACACAGCAAGTGTGAGCACATACAGCCACACTCTTACCCCCACATAGCAAGTGCGAGCACACACAGCCACACACTCGCTCTTACCCCCACCACACAGCAAGTGTGAGCACACACAGCCACACACTCACTCTTACCCCCACCACACAGCAAGTGTGAGCACATACAGCCACACTCTTACCCCCACACAGCAAGTGTGAGCACAAACAGCCACACTCTCGCTCTAACCCCACATAGGTCAGTGCACTTCATTTGCTGGTCTGCTTCACGTTTTAAAAATGCTGCTTCCTGGCCAGGAGCGGTGTCATGCCTGTAATCCCAGCACTTTGGGAGGCCGAGGTGGGCGGATCATGAGGTCAGGAGTTCAAGACCAGCCTGGCCAACATGGTGAAAACCTGTCTCTACTAAAAATACAAAAATTAGCCAGGAGTGATGGCAGGCTCCCGTAGTCCCAGCTACTCGGGAAGCCGAGGCAGGAGAATGTGTGAACCCAGGAGGCGGAGCTTGCAGTGAGCCGAGATCGCGCCACTGCACTCCAGCCTGGGCGACAGAGCAAGACTCCATCTCAAAAAAAAAAAAGGTGGTCCCAACTATGAGTGGGTGGAAGCCTCAACCCTCCGTCATTCTCTCACACACGCATGCACACGCACAAACACATGCATGTGCACACACGGATATATATTTATATGTACATTTGAAACATGGATGGATGTATCCATGCATGTGTGTACCAGTGTATCGATGTTCATACTCAACGTGTGTGTGTTTGTGGTGAGCGTGAGTGCGTGCGTGTACCAGTGTATGGATGTTTATACTCGCCGTGTGTGTGTGGCGAGCACAAGTGTGTGCAGGACGGTGTAAGGCAGTGCTGCATCAGCCCTCATCTGTTTCCATTCATTTCACTCATCATTTCACAAATATCAAGGGAATGGATGAAAGAATGAATAAACAAAGAAAAGGCCCCATAAGCGAAGTTAAAAGACAAGACAGAGACTTGGGAGAAGTTATTGTGCAATGTGTTCAACAAGGGATTAATAACCGTCTTACATAAAGAGCTGCTCCCAATCTACAACTCCAAAACACCAGGCAGCAGGAAACTGGGAAAACGATATAGAAGAGTAAACCTAAATGGCCAAGCAACTTCTCTGGCAATTCGCACACATTACCCTTGTCGTTGAGGAAAATGGTTATTCAACTTGTTTTAAAAGACAGGAATGGAGTCAGGCCAACACCCATTTTAAAGCTGCATTTGTTCCTTAGCGTGGTTCTCTGGTTCCTGCTCTGCACCCTGATTTTCTCTTCTACACCTTTTTTTCCTGCTAGAAAACCCTCTCAGACAACACCCTCTGCTTCCGGACCACACGTCCCTGTGATTTCTGCTTCTCTTTCATGGGGGAGAGCTTCCCTCTGCCCGCTCTAGGCAGAGGTATAAGGTGTCCCTTGGGATCTGAACAGGACATCAGGAAATGCCTAGCCTGAGGCACCTACTTACTGGCCAAGTGAAGGAGGCGGTTATGGTCTGACACATGTGGCTTGGGTTTTGGCACGGGGTCCCACTCTTCCAAGAGGGTGGCTGGGGCCTTCGGCTTTGACAACTGGAGGATCCGCGAGCTGGGGACTGCCATTTGGGCTGCCCTGGATACCTGGGACACCTGGAAAGAGAAATAGAGAGAAGGGTTACGTGAAACAGTCCATGATGCCTCGTGGGCCCTGGAGCTGAAGGACCCCAGGAGCAACACTGAAAGACACAAGACAGACTGGGAAGAAGTTGGTTTGTAATGTATTCATGAAAGGATTAGTAACTATCACGCATAAAGAGCTCCTCCAAACCAATAACCAAAAAAACCCCAAAAGGGCTGAGCAAAGGGTACAGGAGACAAACCCTAAATGGTCAATAACCCTGTCTTTTGACCAATGTAATATCAACAATTGTTGGCAAATGTAAATTAAAACAACAAAATATCACTCCACGCTCACAAATTTGGCAACAATGAAAAAGTCTGACATGATCAAGCCCTGGTGAGAGGCTCTCATGCATGACTGGAAGGAGAGTAAATTAGTACAGGCAGCTCAGGGAGCAATTCGTCCACTAGGTTCAGCTGAACACGCGCAGGCTTGGTGACTGCCACATACGGGGACTCCTGCGCTTGACCCGAGGAAGTGGGTGCAGGGATGTTCCCTGCAGCTTAGTTACCACACACACACCCCGGAAGGAGCCGGGCGCCCGGCCGCTGGGGGCTGCACAAGCTGACTGCAGCGCATTCTCAAGAGAGGGCAACCCAGCAATTAGACCATTTTTTTTCTCCATAAATTGGCACAAATTGCTCTAGAAAACAGTAATGAGGGAAAGCAAAACAGAAGTCATTTATGGTCACGAACACCACGAAACACGACCTAGGGGACAGGATATGAAAACGATGGCAGTGGGGCAGTGCTGGCCGAGGCGGGAGACCTTGCGGACGTTTCACCCAGAAACTTGGCACCCTTGCTCCCCAAATCAATTCTCAGCAGTGGCCAGCACAGTGGCAGCCCTTTGGGGGGTCGAGGTGGCAGGATCATGTGAGCTCGAGACCAGCCTGGGCAACATAGCAAGACCCCATCTACACACACATTCTTGGCATTTTCCAGAAAACCCATAGTGCACTGAAAGTGTGTTCTTTGATGCTTTGCACCAGCCTACGCAGAGACTGAGTACTGCGCGGCGCTCAGACACCCTTAAACTGGAGCTGGCTTCCCTCCTCTCGCCTCATACGCATTCTGTTCCCCTTCACCAGGCTTGCTCCCGTACACGTGTGTAGGAGTCCGCCTGCAAAATAACTAAGGAGTAGGCAAAGGACCGCTTCACACGTCTCCCACTTATGCTTTGCTGGAAGAGGAACTGGCCATTCCTGATGCCTCTGGGGAGGGAGGGAGGGAGGGAAGGAGGGCAGCTGCTGAAATGTTTTCTTCCTTAAAAGGGAAGTGGAGGTGGCCGACCCACGCCTAACTGGATGCTCCTGTCCATCCATTCTTGGAGCGTTACCTGACAGTCTGTGATTGTTGGCTGGTCCTAACTCTAGAGCCTGCGTGGAGGCAGAGGATGAAACCATCCCCAAAGGTCACTGTGAAATTTCAGTCCCTTTCTTCTTGAAATTGCTCCCCCATAAAAATCACAGACACATCTCTCAGCAAAGATATTGTGGTGTTTACAATGGAAGCTCCCACTCAGTGATCCGTCTTCTCCCTCCCTGGCTCCCTCCAGCCTCCTCTCTTCCCACCAGCCCTGCGGCTTCCATGCACACAGCTCAGGCCGGGCTGCTGAGGTAGAGAGACTCCATTTCAGTCCTGCTTTCAAGGAGCTCCAGTCCTGGAGGGGCAGGCCCTGATTCATCCAAACCAACTGCAGAAAGCCGTTGCTCAGACAAGTGGGAAAGGGAACATGGACCGTGCATGTTGGTATCACGGAACCACTGTTCACTTTTTAGTGTGATCAGTGTTACTGGGTTCGTGTTTTAAAATGTCCTTGTCTGTTAGAAATTCCTACTGAAGTTTTATGGGAGAGATGCTGTCACTTTAAACACGTTTAACTTTAAACCCCACTTTAAACAAGTGGGGTCTGAGAAACCACCATAGGAGAAGACGCGACCACACACAGTGAGGGGAATAGAAGTTAATGCCACGCGAGAAACGGCCAAAACGTTTAGGAATAATCAGGTGAACAAACCAACAAGCAAGAAAGCAGGCACTACCACCGAGTGCTGACCACAATGGGGAGAGCCTGAGCTCAATCCCCGCCCGGAGAATGCAAGACGGCGGCCAGGATGAGGCAGGCCTGAGCTTCCACTCCCCGCCCGGAGAATGCAAGATGGAGGCCACGACGGGGCACACCAGAGCTCACTCCCCTCCCAGAGAATGCAAGATGGCAACCAGGAAGGGGATCGCCTCAGTTCATTCCCTGCTTGGAGAATGCAAGACGGTGGCCAAGATGGGGAAGAGCCTGAGCTCCCTCTCCCCACCCGGAGAATGCAAGATGGTGGCCAGGATGGGTTTCAGGCACATCCGTGTGAAGAAGCCTAAACAGGCTTTGTGTGAGCAATAAAAGCTTTTAATCGCCTGGTGCAGGCGGGCTGAGTCCGAAAAGAGAGTCAGCAAAGGGTGGTGGATTATCAATTGTTCTTATAGGTTTTGGGATAGGTGGTGAAGTTAAGAGCAATGTTTTGCGGGCAGGGGTGGATCTCGCAAAGAACCTTCTTAAGGGTGGGGGACATTACAAAGTACCTTGATCACTTAGGGTGGGGCAAAAACAAATCACAATAGTGGAATATCATCAGTTAAGGCTATTTTTACTTCTTTTGTGGATCTTCAGTTACTTCAGGCCATCTGGATGTATACGTGCAAGTCACAGGGGATGCGACGGCTTGGCTTGGGCTCAGAGGCCTGACAACAGGGACAGCCTGAGCTCCCACTTCCCACCCAAAGAATGCAAGATGGCCAGGATACGGCGCACCTGGGCTCCCACTCCCGGCCCAGACAATGCAAGATGGTGGCCAGGATGGGGAGCGCCTGAGCGCAATCCCCACACAGAGAATGCAAGACGGCGGCCAGGATGGGGAGAGCCTGAGCTCAATCCCGGCCCAGAGAATGCAAGACGGCGCCGTCACTTTGGACAACCATTGGTCAGTTTTTTAAAAGTTACATATACCCAGTAACTGAGAAATTCCAATTCTGGGTATTACCCTGGAGATATGGAAACTTACGCCTCCACAAAAAGCTGTATACAGATATTCACAGTTTTGTTTTTTTTTTTTGAGGCGGAGTCTCGCTCTGTCGCCCAGGCTGGAGGGCAGTGGCGCGATCTCGGCTCACTGCAAGCTCCGCCTCCCGGGTTCAAGCGATTCTCCTGCCTCAGCCTCCGGAGTAGTTGGGACTACAGGCGCCCGCCACCACCCCCGGCTAATTTTTTTTTTTTTTTGTATTTTTAGTAGAGACAGGGTTTCACCATGTTAGCCAGGATGGTCTCGATCTGCTGACCTCGTGATCCACCCGCCTCAGCCTTCCAAAGTGCTGGGATGACAGGCGTGAGCCACCGCGCCCGGCGTATTCACATCAGTTTTATCGTAACAGTCCTAAACTGGAAGCCACCCAAATACCCTTCAGTGGGTGCCTGGATCGGCAAATTCTGGAATTGAACCGGCGACGACAAGGAATAAACTACCGACGCACGCGAGAGTCTCAGATGCAGGGCGGGGGGCGGCAGAAGCCGGGTCAAGCCCGCAGGCTGCGGGGTTCAGACTTTCGGAAAAGCAAAAGGTACAGGGCGTAGAGCGAGGTCAGTGGTTGCCGGTGGCCAGGAGTCCGGCCTGAGCTGGGGCGAGAGATGAGCGCTTTCTGAACACCTGAGATAAGACTGTTCTAATTCCTGAGTGTGAGCTGGAAGCTTTGGGATCCACCCGGACTGAAGCGCAGGGAAGGATGACCCCTGGGCGGCTCTGAAGACAGTGAGAGATCAAAAGAAAGCTGCTCCCAGACAAAGGCAGCCGCCCTGTGCAGCTTCTCCTCCTCCCCTGACTCCCAAACGCAAAGCCTCTTTCACTCTCTGCCGGGTCCCAGCCCGCCTGGCGGGGGTGAGTCGCGGGGGGCACGGGGCACCCACCTCAGACATGGGCATGCTCCAGAAGTTATCACGAATCTTCGGGGCGGCCAGTTCCTTCAGGCGACTCGACGCTCTGTATTCCAGGGAGGACCGAGGAATGGGCCAGACAGGAGTCGTCCTGGGGGAGGTCCCCATTTTAGACCAGCAGCTCGGCCGGGGGTGGGGGTGTGTGTGTGTGTGTGTGTGTGTGTGTGTGTGTGTATGTGTCTGTCTGTCTTTCCCAGCTCCTCCATATGTGTCTGTCTGTCTTTCCCAGCTCCTCCTCTGTTTCTGGGGTTAAGAGAGCCTGGGAGAGTGGTGAGTTTTGAAAGCGTCTCCAAACAGGGATTCGTAAAGAATTTCTAAGAGTTCTCAAGTACAGAGCTACCATCTCCCAGGGTTGTCTCTGCTCAATGTGCAACGTCCACCCTCAGGTCCAGGCCTTCTCCATTCCCTTCTGGGACGGCAGCTCCTCCCAGGCCTTCTCTACACACCCCCATCATCAAGAGCCTGGCGTGAGCACTTGGACCCAAGGGATGAAAGTGTCTGTCCTGAGGTTGCAAAGCTGGGGAAAGCGAAGGACAGCTGAGCTCCCGGGGCTGTGCCTTCTGAAATCAGGTCTCAGCTATGCCTCTGCTCGGAAATAAAGCCGCATTTCATTGATTCTAAGGCAAGGTCTCCACATTGAACAGGTCTGAGGTTAGGATGCAGCTTACGAGTGCTGCCAGCCAGATGGCGGAAGTGTCCTGGCTACATCTGGCTGCATCTGTGTGTGCTGTTCACGTGATCTGCACTGCTGCTTCTACAGGAGTTAAGTTTAATTACAGTTTAAATTGTCTTCAGGTCACAGTATGATTTGGCGTTAAAAAGTGCACAGAGGCGTGAGGACAGTGTGTGCGACACCCACATCAACGTCTGTGTCAGAAGTGGTTCAAAACAGTTGGACACACTTCCGCTGTCTACTTCAGCTGTGCTTTCCTTCATACGCTGCATAAAAGATGGGTAATTATATGTTGTGTCTAAATAACTAAAGATCACTTTTAACAAGCACAGGGGCTGTAAGTGGTAAGAAAGAATTTTGTACATAAAATACTAATGTGTCTTAGAATTTCCACCTTTTTTGAGTAAACAAAATACAGTCACAATGGTGATAACATCTGAGCACGCACTGTGTCAGGCGCTGTGCAAATCCCCGTTCACGGGTGCCCTCCACCACCATTCCACAGCTGGCAATGCAGTTGCACGGGGCCAAGCAGCCTGCTGGGGATGTGGACTGGGAAGCAGCCTGCTGGGGATGTGGGCTGGGAAGCAGGCCAGCCCCGTCTGAACACCAGCTGTCTAGGGCTAGGACCTGGACCCTTTCCCACACAGCATCCTGTCAGGCGAGAATAAGGCATTTCTGCCAAACTCTGCCTTCTGAGTAGCCACCCAGCCCTCCTTCCCCCACCTGTTGTTGTTGTAATATTCCAGGTAGAATCTCTTGGGCCGAGACAGTTCCTCCACGCGGCGGGACACCGCTATGCAAAATGGGAAACGGAGTCAGTGAACCCCAGTGTCAACACCCTGCAGTTCCCAGGGGCTTCTGCATGCGGAATTCAGCTTTTCATGAGCTTGGGCAGGAGGCTGAATTGGAAGAACTGTGGGCAGAGACAACTGGGGGCCAGACACCCTGCAGAGAGAAGATTTGCTGTCCCTGATTTAGGGACAATGGGCTCAGAGGCTTGAAGGTCCTTTCTCGGACACCGGATGGGAGTGGCAGGGCTGGAACAGCAGCCCAGCACCGTGGCTCCTCAACGGGGCTCAATACAGATCCAGGGACCCACAGGCTGGGAAAATGGGTTTTGTTCTGAAGTTAGTACAAGCCTGGGGTTTCCAGGGGCCTAGTGATGACTGTAGGTCTAAAGTCAAGAACAGCACAGGAGAGAACTGGACTGTTATTCTCCTCTATGGGGAACTCTCGAAGTGTCTCATTTGAAGGTATCTATGATACCTCAATACCAAATTCCTCTCAAGAAAAGCATGGAAATCATTGTGGAAGGGAAAGCAAAGGGTCTTTTTGTAAATTCTTGCCCCGATTTGGCCCTATCCTAGAGAGTGTTCCCCATGCCCCTCACCCCCAGGACCAGTCTCAGCTCTAGCTCCTCAGGGGACAGACTCCAGTGGGGAGGACAGAGGCTCCGAGGAGATGGGGCAAGGGAGGCCAGAAGTATCTAGATGGGGCGGGGCAGGTTCCCTGGAGGCCGGCAGCCGGGGGCAGGGGTCTCAGCAGGCACGGGCTCCACCTACCGGGCACTGTGATGGTGAGGGTGGTGTCCTCAAGGAACCGCTCGGTCCAGTACACAGAGGGCCTGGAATAAGCGGACGGCTCAGGGCAAGGGAGGCAGAGAGCCCTGGCCCTGCCCGGAAACAAGCCTGGGTCTCTGCCAGGAGGGTGGCCGAGGTGGGGTGTGGAGTTGCTGGGAGAGGGGGTAGGCCAGAGAAGGACAGTGGGGGGGCCGGCGGGACGCGTGGATTATTGTGAGCAAGGCTGATGTCCAGAGAAGGAGGTAGCTGGGGGAGAAGCATAGCTAAGAAGAGGGCCCAGGGCCACCTCCTGGGAGCAGACCCAGGTCACAAGGGTGGAGAGCCCCACATCTGAGGAGCCCTCCCTGATCCTCCTCCCTGGAGAGAGGAGGGTGGCTGGAGTGAAGGGGTCCCCTGGAACCTGACACGTGTCCCCCAGCATAGGCACACGGCGGAGACAGCCCTGGACTTACCAGCAGAGACAGAAGTGCAAGCTCATCTTACATGGGGAGATCCAGGCATACCCCTTACCACAGCGTCCCTTCCTGCGAGGAGACAGGGTCCGAGCCCCACTGCCTCTTGCCCTGGGTCTCCCGTTTGCTCCCAAACTCCTCACTCTCCTTTGGCCACCGCCCAGAGGGCCACCGTTCCCTAGCCACTCCCAGTGTCTGGCCACCTCCTTAACTGGCCAACCCCACCTACCCTAAGTTTGCTGGATGTGGTGGCAGCTGGGGGAGGGGAGCCGAGCAGTGGGGACAGGAGGAGCCCGGGAAGGGTGCAGAGAAAGCCGCCCACGCTGCCCCTACGAGGCCGTGGTCTGGCGTGTCCTCACCTGTCTTTCAGGACTTGCCAGTTTATCTTGGGCTCTGCCAGCTCCATGAGCCTCCTCCGCCTCCTCCTCTTCCTTGCTTTGGTCATGGTGGTGCTGGGGAGCTTCTGGCTGATGGACAGCCGGCTTTGGGAGAATTCCACGTTGAAGTTGGAGCTGCTTTCCCGCCCCGATGCGTTTGGGAGCCCAGAGAAGCGTGGGTCTTGCTCAAGCGCCTTTTGTCTGCACTCACCCTGCCCACCCGCCTCTCCTTTCCCTCGAGGGGTCTCTGAGGGAGGACTTTGGCACCACGAAGGCCTGGACCAACCGCAGCTCCACTGCTCGCTGGATGGAAGACCCGTCCAGGTCACCTGTCTCCCCTGGTCCTCAGCTTCCTCCTCTGTGAATTGGAGGTGAGACCAGCTCCCACCTGGCGGGGCTGTTTTGGTGAGTACTAAGGTAGTGTTTACTCATCTCACAGACATCTGTCAAGTGCTTACTGTATGCCAGGCCCCAGAGGGGCAACCACCCTCTAAAGAGAGCGGCTCCTGCCTCCCAGAAAGCTCACAGACTGTGGGAGGGAAACAGGCAGCAGGTGAAGATGCCAAATGCCAGGATATCTGCCCTGTCCTTGCTTGATGCAGCTGCTGGCTCCCACGTTCTCCCCAGAATCCCCTCACACTCCTGCTGTTTTCTCTGCAGGTTGGCAGAGCCCCATGAGGGCAGGGCAGCCACTTTGTTCTTGGGCGGCAAACCTCCCTGGGCGGCACGGAAACCACGGTGAGAAGGGGGCAGGTCGGGCACGTGCAGGGACCACGCTGCAGGGAGGACGGGAGCCGAGTCCCAGAGGTATGTAGAGTGCGCGCCTTGCTGGGGACACTCCAGCAACTGCCCAAAATCAGCGCCCCCAGTGCTGATTGGCCGAAGCGTCAGTTCACCCAGAACGTGTTCCTCCCGACCATTTAAAACCTTTTAGCCACGTGTGGTGCTTAGAATGGTTTCAACTTTTGAGTTGGGAGGCTTTTTTTTTCCCATTTCTTATTCTCTCTGTCTGACTTGAGGCCATCACTCGCTAAACTCTGAACTCTGGGCACCTGAACTCAGTCTGCCTGACTCCAAACTCAGCGCTGTTTACTCCTCCTCCTGCCACCAGATAGGGGAGCGTCTGCTGGTGTCTGCCTCAGGGCCCAGTGAGGGGTGCTGGCCGCCAACCGACCAAGCCCACACCTAGGCTGACTCGGCAGGGCCGGGCCCCTCGGGAGCAGCGAGCCAGGCCGGTGGCCGGTTACGACCCTTTCGCCCGCCCAGGGGGCTGCTGCCCTCCCCCCACTGCCAGGGGCTGAGCCCTACCCCACCGCACCCAGGCAGGCCCGTTCCCCGGTGCCCACCTGATTTCAGGAATGTCCTCTTCCAAGTCCTTGTCCAGGACTCTCTCCAACTCAGAAAGTGCCTCTTTGGGATCCAGGGTCTCCGGGAACTCCTCCCCGGCCACCTCCTCGGGGGGAAGCTCCTCTTCTGGGTCTTCTGGTCCCAGCTCTGCATTGTCCAGGTCCTGGCGTTCGGGGTCTGTGACCCGCCGGCTCTCGTACACAGAGCTCTGGAGGCCACGGGGGTCGCCGTCCTGCTCCCTTTCCGACCTGCCCGCAGCCTCAGAGCTGGGCTGGTTCCCGAGTGACCTTCGCCTGCTGTCCCCCATACACCGGTCCCTTCCCAGCCCCCGCGGCCTCACTCTCCCGGCACCCAAATGTGTCTGTGGTGGCCGCGGCAACAGGAGAGCGTCCGTCACATTCCCCACGGTCCACATTCTAACCCGTGCGCCGTCTCCAATGCTGGTCACCTGGGCTTGCGCTGGGATCAGGACTCAGTCCTGGTGGTCACGGCTCACTCAGGACCTCCCAGGATTGGTTTAGGAAGGAGACCTGACGGGAACCTGCAGGGGCATCTAGCTATGGATTCCCTCTCTCAAAAGGAGACACAAGGAAGAGACCGCGTCTCCTGTTCCTGTCCCTGTGGGGCCCGTCGGTAATGTCCAGAGCCCAGGCAGCCTTCTTGTGACCATGAGGCCTGCCATCTGAGGGCAGATGAACTGAAAGGTGGGCCTTTGATGTGGCTGTCGAGCCTCTGAACTTAGCAGCCTTGGAATCCACTCTGTGTCCAGGCTTCTTGTTACTTGAAACAGTAAGTTTCCTTAGTACTAAGTCGTTTTGGCTTGGTTTCCAATTCCTAGCAGCTAAAACTGCACCCTAGGTGATACAGACGCTTCCAGCCCCAACCTCTCATGAGAAATAACTTCAAAATAGGCTGTTCCAACCCTCACAACAAAATAATGGTTATAACTGGAGTATTCCCCAGGCTGCTGCCTTCAGGAATTCCTCGTACGTCGCCAAAGGAGCTGAATTTCCAGCCTCTCCCCCTCTGTGCCCCACCCAGCCTCTCCCCCTGTGTGCCCCACCCAGCCTCTCCCCCTCTGTGCCCCACCCAGCCTCTCCCCCTCTGTGCCCCCACCCAGCCTCTCCCCCTCCGTGCCCCACCCAGCCTCTCCCCCTCCGTGCCCCACCCAGCCTCTCCCCCCCCGTGCCTCCACCCAGCCTCTCCCCCTCTGTGCCCCCACCCAGCCTCTCCCCCTCTGTGCCCCACCCAGCCTCTCCCCCTCTGTGCCCCACCCAGCCTCTCCCCCGTGTGCCCCACCCAGCCTCTCCCCCCTGTGCCCCACCCAGCCTCTCCCCCTCTGTGCCCCCACCCAGCCTCTCCCCCTCTGTGCCCCACCCAGCCTCTCCCCCTCTGTGCCCCACCCAGCCTCTCCCCCCTGTGCCCCACCCAGCCTCTCCCCCCTGTGCCCCACCCAGCCTCTCCCCCTCTGTGCCCCCACCCAGCCTCTCCCCCTCTGTGCCCCACCCAGCCTCTCCCCCTCTGTGCCCCACCCAGCCTCTCCCCCCTGTGCCCCACCCAGCCTCTCCCCCTCTGTGCCCCACCCAGCCTCTCCCCCTCTGTGCCCCACCCAGCCTCTCCCCCCCCTGTGCCCCACCCAGCCTCTCCCCCTCTGTGCCCCCACCCAGCCTCTCCCCCCTGTGCCCCACCCAGCCTCTCCCCCTCTGTGCCCCACCCAGCCTCTCCCCCTCTGTGCCCCACCCAGCCTCTCCCCCCTGTGCCCCACCCAGCCTCTCCCCCTCTGTGCCCCACCCAGCCTCTCCCCCTCTGTGCCCCCACCCAGCCTCTCCCCCTCTGTGCCCCCACCCAGCCTCTCCCCCTCTGTGCCCCACCCAGCCTCTCCCCCTCTGTGCCCCACCCAGCCTCTCCCCCTCTGTGCCCCACCCAGCCTCTCCCCCTCTGTGCCCCACCCAGCCTCTCCCCCTCTGTGCTGTGTGCCCCCACCCAGCCTTTCACCCTTCTGTGCTTGGTGGTTTTCTACTCATCATTGAAGACTCAAGCCTGTCGGTCCCCCACGCAGGGAGAGTCCCTGACCATCCCTCCCCTTTCTGGGCTCCCAGGCCTAGGACCCCCACCCCTACCCCCACCCAGTGCTAGCCCACCCCGAGGACTGCTCTGTCCCTCACCCCTGCCACCAGCGTGGGGCCGGCCCTCCGGGCATGGTGACCACTCGGCACGCAAGAGACCCAGTTCATCGACACACACAAAGCCCTCTCCAGCTCCCATCCCATCTCCCTGATGCTCTGCTCCCAGACGCAGCCTCACCACCACCTCTGTCAGGAAAGGGGTCTCTCGGAGGACTCCAGGCAGAAGGGCCCCGGGGAGGATCCGGTCCCATCAAGGAGGCCATGGGAAAATCCCCTTTCTTGGCCGGAAGTCTCGTAAACCCTTACCTTGCACTCAATGATTTACTTTTCTCTCTTAAGTTAAACTGGATCAAGATCTGCGGGTGCCTTTCACAAAGAGATGAGTTAGGCATTGTTGCCGCTGGAGGGCCTGTGGCCACTGCAGTGTTTCCAGGAGACCTCGTTCAGAGCAGGGCGCCGCACCCCGAGGCTGCTCCCTAACCCTACTCCAGGGAGGCGCGGTTGGGGGTCTGGCAGCCTCCGGCTCTCAGCACCCAGGCAGCACCCAGGCTGCAGCGCGTTTAGCCCTCATGGCAGCCCGTTGTGGAGAGGAGAGGCAGATGAGCGCTCCAGGGTCATGGGGAAGCTCCCAGGGCCACGCGGCTGGTGGAGCTGCACCCGGCACCTTCTCGGGGGAGTCAGGGCTGGATGTCTCTACGGCAGGAGCCGGAGGAGCTCAGGAGCGCGCGGGGACAGCAGAACTCTGCCCGCACTCGGGGGAGAGTTGGAGGGTCCACGTCTGCTCCAACATCCTGTGGAAAAGCAAGACGTTCACAGCCAAGGAAGTGCATGATTTCTGAATGTTGTGTGATGTTGCTTTGAGCAGAAAATAGAGGGGGACGGGGACCGGGCTGTGGGATGTGTGGGGTTCTGACTGCCCGGACCTGGGGCGTCCGCCTGGCAGAAAATAAACCAGGTCCCTACTGTGTTCCTCTCTGCTGTGGCCGCCTTAACACATATCACAAGCAGAGGCTCCAGCAACACTGAGCGATTACCTGGCCGCCCTGGGCTCAGAAGCCCAACATGGATCTCACTGGACTCAAGCCACGGTGTGGGCAGGGCTGGTTCCTGCAGCCTTCAGAGGAAGGCCCGTCTCCTGCTCATTTGGTGGCCACAGAATTCAGTGCCTTGTGGTCGTAGGACTGAGATCTGCGTTCTTGCTGTGTGTGTCAGCCGGGGGCCCTTCCCAGCGTTGCTGTGTGTGTCAGCTGGGGGCCCCCCAGCACCCAGAGGCCACCGCTCTTCTCAGTCCTGGCCCCTCGCTCCATTTTCAAAGCCAGCAACGGCCAGTCAAGCCCCCTCACATGGATGCTCCACTGGCACTCATCTCTGAGCAGGGCTGGGAAACCCGTTTGGTTATTACGGAAACAGGTGATTGAAGGTCAGCCTGGATAAGCCAGGTGCTCTGACCCTCCACGTCTGCAACCCCAGTCCCACCTGCGAAGTCCATTTTGCCACATAAAATAACATGCTCCCAGTGTCAAACTCAAACGAGCACATAGAGAGGCATTTTTACGTAAGACATTTTGTTTGGGAAAATACATAAAAACAGAATTGAGACCTGGCGCGGTGGCTCATGCCTGTCATCCCAGCACTTTGGGAGGCTGAGGCGAGCGGATCATGACGTCAGGAGATCGAGACCATCCTGGCTAACACGGTGAAACCCCGTCTCTACTAAAAATACAAAAATTAGCCGGGCGTGGTGGCGGGCGCCTGTAGTCCCAGCTACTCGGGAGGCTGAGGCAGGAGAATGGTGTGAATCTGGGAGGTGGAGGTTGCAGTGAGCCGAGATCACGCCACTCTGCACCCCAGCCTGGGCGACAGGGCGAGACTCCGTCTCAAAACAAAAAACAAACAAAAAAAAACCAAAAAAAACAGAATTGCAATTTCGGGCCTGTACACAGACCGGGAGGTCTTCGGTATATCTGCAGCAGGTTGGGGCTTTTACTAGAAGGAACAATGTTGCGAATCATTTCGAAAGAAAGCTCGCAAGAACTGGAAGCTTTGGGAGCTGGTGAGCTGTGACTGGGAGGGAGGTGGGGGCAGAAGGGACCTGGTGAGCTGTGACTGGGAGGGAGGTGGCGGCAGAAGGCGTCTTCATTTAGCTGAGGTCACCTCCACAGCTCCCAGGTCAAATTGGCTTTAGGGTCACGGCAGGCGGTTTCGGGCGCTGGCCTGTGACGCCGTCCTGGGCAGGCGCGTGCATCTGAATGCTTTTTACCTGGTCTCTCGACTGTTGCGTTGGGTAACTCCCATCCATATCACCAGTTTCACACCAGGTTCCAGGGACGAGGATGTGGACACCGTTGGGGATCACTATTCCTTCTGTGACACCTACCTCATACCACACACAACAGCCCTCAGTGGATACGTGAAAGCTGAAACACAACTTCAAAACTTACAGAAAAAAATGAATGTGACCATGCTTTTGCGCTCCATGTAGGGAGTAATTTTTTTAACAAGACATGTAGAGTGCTAATCATACACGACCAATAAGTCGGCCATATTAAACTGAAGCCTCATGTTCAGGACTCCTCAAAAAAGTGGAAACAGAAGCCACGAATGGGAATGCAGCATCTGTCACATCTATAATTGATTAGTACCCACCATGAATAAATAGCTCCTATAAATGAATAAGAAAATAGATGAGTGCTGGCTGGGTGCGGTGACTCACGCCTGTAATCCCAGCACTTTGGGAGGCCAAGGCAGGCGGATCACAACGCCAAGAGATAGAGACCATCCTGGCCAGCATGGTGAACCCCGTCTCTACTAAAAATACAAAAACTTAGCTGGGCGTGGTGGCGGGCGTCTGTAATCTCAGCTACTTAGGAGGCTGAGGCAGGAGAATGACTTGAACCCAGGAGGCGGAGTTTGCAGTGAGCCAAGATCCTGCCACTGCACTGCGGCCTGGGTTACAGAGTGAGACTCCTCTCAAAAAAAAAAAAAAAGAGCAGAACCCTGGTGATGAGCAGATGTAGGACGTGGGGCAGAACCGTGGTGATTGATGAGCAGATGTAGGAGGTGGAGCAGAACCGTGGTGATTGATAAGCAGATGTAGGAGGTGGAGCAGAACCGTGGTGATGAGCAGATGTAGGGGGTGGGGCAGAACCGTGGTGATGAGCAGATGTAGGAGGTGGAGCAGAATCGTGGTGATTGATAAGCAGATGTAGGAGGTGGAGCAGAACCGTGGTGATGAGCAGATGTAGGAGGTGGAGCAGAATCGTGGTGATTGATAAGCAGATGTAGGAGGTGGAGCAGAACCGTGGTGATGAGCAGATGTAGGAGGTGGAGCAGAACCGTGGTGATTGATAAGCAGATGTAGGAGGTGGAGCAGAACCGTGGTGATGAGCAGATGTAGGAGGTGGAGCAGAACCGTGGTGATTGATGAGCAGATGTAGGAGGTGGAGCAGAACCGTGGTGATTGATGAGCAGATGTAGGAGGTGGAGCAGAACCGTGGTGATTGATGAGCAGATGTAGGAGGTGGGGCAGAACCGTGGTGATGAGCAGATGTAGGAGGTGGAGCAGAACCGTGGTGATTGATGAGCAGATGTAGGAGGTGGAGCAGAACCGTGGTGATTGATGAGCAGATGTAGGAGGTGGAGCAGAACCATGGTGATTGATGAGCAGATGTAGGAGGTGGAGCAGAACCGTGGTGATGAGCAGATGTAGGAGGTGGAGCAGAACCGTGGTGATGAGCAGATGTAGGAGGTGGGGCAGAACCGTGGTGATGAGCTGATGTAGGATGTGGAGCAGAACCGTGGTGATGAGCAGATGTAGGAGGTGGAGCAGAACCGTGGTGATTGATGAGCAGATGTAGGAGGTGGAGCAGAACCGTGGTGATTGATGAGCAGATGTAGGAGGTGGAGCAGAACCGTGGTGATTGATAAGCAGATGTAGGAGGTGGAGCAGAACCGTGGTGATGAGCAGATGTAGGGGGTGGGGCAGAACCGTGGTGATGAGCAGATGTAGGAGGTGGAGCAGAATCGTGGTGATTGATAAGCAGATGTAAGAGGTGGAGCAGAACCGTGGTGATGAGCAGATGTAGGAGGTGGAGCAGAATCGTGGTGATTGATAAGCAGATGTAGGAGGTGGAGCAGAACCGTGGTGATGAGCAGATGTAGGAGGTGGGGCAGAACCGTGGTGATGAGCAGATGTAGGAGGTGGAGCAGAACCGTGGTGATGAGCAGATGTAGGAGGTGGGGCAGAACCGTGGTGATGAGCTGATGTAGGAGGTGGAGCAGAACCGTGGTGATTGATGAGCAGATGTAGGTGGTGGGGCAGAACCGTGGTGATGAGCAGATGTAGGACGTGGGGCAGAACTGTGGTGATTGATGAGCAGATGTAGGAGGTGGAGCAGAACCGTGGTGATGAGCAGATGTAGGGGGTGGGGCAGAACCGTGGTGATGAGCAGATGTAGGGGGTGGAGCAGAACCGTGGTGATGAGCAGATGTAGGAGGTGGAGCAGAACCGTGGTGATGAGCAGATGTAGGAGGTGGAGCAGAATCGTGGTGATGAGCAGATGTAGGAGGTGGAGCAGAACCGTGGTGATTGATGAGCAGATGTAGGAGGTGGAGCAGAACCGTGGTGATGAGCAGATGTAGGAGGTGGAGCAGAACCGTGGTGATGAGCAGATGTAGGAGGTGGAGCAGAACCGTGGTGATGAGCAGATGTAGGAGGTGGAGCAGAATCGTGGTGATGAGCAGATGTAGGAGGTGGAGCAGAACCGTGGTGATTGATGAGCAGATGTAGGAGGTGGAGCAGAACCGTGGTGATGAGCAGATGTAGGAGGTGGAGCAGAACCGTGGTGATGAGCAGATGTAGGAGGTGGGGCAGAACCGTGGTGATGAGCTGATGTAGGAGGTGGAGCAGAACCGTGGTGATTCATAAGCAGATGTATTAGGTGTTGCTGTTGCTGGGGCTGTGGCAGGAAGTGGTTGATCACATTCCTATTCTCCAGTTGGGTAATGAGCTCATGGTTGAATCGTGAATGGGTAAATGAATGGGTGGATGGAAATAATTATGGTTCACCTAATTTTATGCCCCTAAGGTCCTTGCAAAAGAAAACGGAGGGAGGAGAGAGAGGAGAAAGGGGAAGAAGTCGCATTCAAATTCACTCTCGCCAGTCTCTAAAATGGCAGATTCGTTTTGAAACAACTCCAGATTAAGCCTACAGAGGGAAGGCATGGCTGATTCTGCTGAGCACCTATTACAGCTTCAGCAGCATACCTCGTTTCGGTCCACAACAGCTGTGTAAGATTGTGACGGAGCTGGAAAGTTCCTGTTGCCTAGTGAGGTCATGTCCTAGCGCAGAACGCAGAATCACGAAGAGTGACGAATGCCCGCCGTCAACTGCTGGCCGGGCTGCGTGTCATGCAGCAACGCACAACGGAAGCACACCCTTCTCCTGTTCCCAGTGGTCAGAGCCACCCAAGTCGGGGGTGTGGGCCCCCAGCACTTCTACTTCAGGATGGAGACCCCCTGCTGCCTGGCTCCCTCCCCAGGCCCGCCAGGCTAGTCCCCTCCCCTGTCCCTCTCTCAGGCCTGCTCTCATAGCCACGCGGGCCTTTCTGCTGCACACGCCAGCTCAGTTCGGGGCTCAGTAACCCCCTCCCAATTCAGGGGCATGACTCCTTCCAGATTCTCCTTAAATATCACCTCCTCCAAAAAGCCTTCCCCAATCACCTCGTCTAAAGTAGGGCCCCCTCATTTTTCTACCTAAATCTATGGGGAGTTTGTTTGCTTAGTTGCATGTATCATGATCTTGCTTTGTGTTGACTTTTTACATATTTATTGTCTTTTTATCTCATTAGCATATGTGCTCCAATAGGGTGGAGACTGTGATTTATCTTGTTCATGCCTGGACTTCCAGCAGCATTCAGAACAGAACTTCTTTCTTTCTTTCTTTCTTTTGAGATGGAGTTTCGCTCGTGTTGCCCAGGCTGGAGTGCAGTGGTGCGACCTCGGCTCGCCGCAACCTCCGCCTCTTGGGTTCAAGCATTTCTCCTACTTCAGCCTCCGGAGTAGCTGGGATTACAGGCGCGCGCCACCACGCCTGGCTAATTGTATTTTTAGTAGAGTTGGGGTTTCTCCGTGTTGGTCAGGCTGGTCTCGAACTCCCGTCCTCAAGTGATCCGCCCGCCTCGGCCTCCCAAAGTGCAGAAGAGAATTCCAGGAAGCCTCGAGAGTGAGTGACGGCCCGCGGCCCCCGGCGAGGAGGCAGCAATACCACAGGCGACCACCAGCTGCCGCCGCAGTCAAGGGCAGTTGGTCTCCCCTCGCCAGGATTAACCCTGGACCGAGGGCTCCCGAACCGAATCGTCCCCACAGCCTGTCCTGCGAGGGCGGCTTTCCCCATTACCACCCTCGTTTCACCAAGGAGAAAACGAGCTCAGAGAGGCAGTGCATTGGCCCGGGATTGCACCGGGCGCGAACCCACGTCAGCTCCCGCAGAACCTAGATCATTCGCTGCCACCTCCCTCCGGGCCTGCTCTCGCAGTGTTGGGTGGGAACAGAACAGCCTTGGTCGTGGCTGAGGAGAAATCCCACAGATGTCACTGGACGAGGGTGACGGGTGGGGCCGGGCTTTCCCCTGGGTACAGGCACAACCGTGCTCTTCCCTCGCACAGTGACCCGCGGTGTCATCCACAATTCACAGCCTGTTTCCCAGAGGAGGGGCTCGGAGCGGTGCCCTCCAGGTGCCGCCAGCAACACAAGGCCCAGACTACAGAACACCAAATACTGTGATGAGAAATTACTTCCCTTTTCCTTCAGGGCCAGTCCTGGCTACCCCAAGGGGAAAGTCGCAGCTTGGTGCAAATGAAAGTTCAACTGTCCCCAGCATTGTCAATGGTTTTTACAGAGAGAGAGCAGGCCCAAGCCTGGGGCAGAGCATAGGAGCTGGTTAGTAACCTTGTTTTGTTCTCACTGCTGTTTGTTTGCATGCCTTTCTGGCTTTGTTTGTGTTGTTGTTTTGAAATAATTGCGAACTTTCAAGAAAAGTAGTATCATTTTGAAAGAAAGCTCCCTGGAACTGATGAAGTGGGAGGGAGGTGGGGGCAGAAGGCGCCTGGTGAGCTGTGACTGAGAGGGAGGTGGGGGCAGAAGGCGCCTGGTGAGCTGTGACCGGGAGGGAGGTGGGGGCAGAAGGCGCCTGGTGAGCTGTGACTGGGAGGGAGGTGGGGGCAGAAGGCGCCTGGTGAGCTGTGACTGGGAGGGAGGTGGGGGCAGAAGGTTTCTTTGTGTCACTGAGGTCACGTCGGCAAACATAGTTATCGTTATCCTCCTATTTGCCTAGGGAAAGCACCAGGATGTTTAATGCCTACAGTCCAAAATTGGTTGGTGGAAGTACCTACTGTCAGTCCCATCAGTAGATTCACTTATCACATGGTAAGCGGGATGTCACTCAGGCCACGGGTAAATTATTTACAAGACTTTTCTTATCAAAGATCATTAAAATTTAGACCTATAGGGAAACCTTGCCCCAAGGAAATTCCCAAAGGATCAAAAAATACAGAAGTTTTAGTTTGGAAAGAATGTGTGGCCAATAGTGCGGTGATATTACAAAACAATGAATTCGGAACTATTATAGATTGGGCACCTCGAGTCAATTCTACCACAGTTGCTCAGGACAAACTCGGTCGTGTCCAAGTGCACAAGTGAGTCCAGCTGTTGATAGCGACTTAACAGAAACTCTAGACAAACATAAGCATAAAAAATTACAGTCTTTCTACCCTTGGGTATGGGGAGAAAAAGGAATCTCTACCCCAAGACCAAAAATAATAAGTCCTGTTTCTGGTCCTGAACATCCAGAATTATGGAGGCTTACTGTGGCCTCACACCACATTAGAATTTGGTCTGGAAATCAAACTTTAGAAACAAGAGATTGTAAGCCATTTTATACTATCCACCTAAATTCCAGTCCAACGGTTCCTTTACAAAGTTGCGTAAAGCCCCCCCTTATATGCTAGTTGTAGGAAATATAGTTATTAAACCAGACTCTCAAACTATAACCTGTGAAAACTGCAGATTGTTTACTTGCATTGATTTGACTTTTAATTGGCAACACCGTATTCTGCTGGGGAGGGCAAGAGAGGGCGTGTGGGTCCCCGTGTCCACGGACTGACCGCAGGAGGCCTTGCCATCCGTCCGTATTTTGACTGAAGTATTAAAAGGCGTTTTAAATAGATCCAAAAGATTCATTTTTACTTTAATTGCAGTGATTATGGGATTAATTGCAGTCACAGCTACGGCTGCTGTAGCAGGAGTTGCATTGCACTCTTCTGTTCAGTCGGTAAACTTTTAATGATTGGCAAAAAAATTCTACAAGATTATGGAATTCACAATCTAGTATTGATCAAAAATTGGCAAATCAAATAATGATCTTAGACAACCTGTCATTTGGATGGGAGACAGGCTCATGAGCTTAGAACATTATTTCCAGTTACAGTGTGACTGGAATACGTCAGACTTTTGTATTACACCCCAAATTTATAATGAGTCTGAGCATCACTAGGACATAGTTAGACGCCATCTACAGGGAAGAGAAGATAATCTCACTTTAGACATTTCCAAATTGAAAGAACAAATTTTCGAAGCATCAAAAGCCCATTTAAATTTGGTGCCAGGAATGGAGGCAATCGCAGGAGTGGCTGATGGCCTCGCAAATCTTAACCCTGTCGCTTGGGTTACGACCATCGGAAGTTCTATGATTATAAATCTCATATTAATCCTTGTGTGCCTGTTTTGTCTGTTGTTAGTCTGCAGGTGTACCCAACAGCTCCGAAGAGACAGCGACCATCGAGAACGGGCCATGATGACGATGGCGGTTTTGTCGAAAAGAAAAGGGGGAAATGTGGGGAAAAGCAAGAGAGATCAGATTGTTACTGTGTCTGTGTAGAAAGAAGTAGACATGGGAGACTCCATTTTGTTCTGTACTAAGAAAAATTCTTCTGCCTTGAGATTCGGTGACCCCACCCCCAACCCCGTGCTCTCTGAAACATGTGCTGTGTCCACTCAGGGTTGAATGGATTAAGGGCGGTGCGAGACGTGCTTTGTTAAACAGATGCTTGAAGGCAGCATGCTCGTTAAGAGTCATCACCACTCCCTAACCTCAAGTACCCAGGGACACAAACACTGCGGAAGGCCGCAGGGTCCTCTGCCTAGGAAAGCCAGGTATTGTCCAAGGTTTCTCCCCATGTGACAGTCTGAAATATGGCCTCGTGGGAACGGAAAGACCTGACCGTCCCCCAGCCCGACACCCGTAAAGGGTCTGTGCTGAGGAGGATTAGTAAAAGGAAGGAATGCCTCTTGCAGTTGAGACAAGAGGAAGGCATCTGTCTCCTGCCCCTCCCTGGGCAATGGAATGTCTCGGTATAAAACCCGATTGTACGTTCCATCTACTGAGATAGGGAAAAACCGCCTTAGGGCTGGAGGTGGGACCTGCGGGCAGCAATACTGCTTTGTAAAGCATTGAGATGTTTATGTGGATGCATATCTAAAAGCACAGCACTTAATCCTTTACCTTGTCTATGATGCAAAGACCTTTGTTCACGTGTTTGTCTGCTGACCCTCTCCCCACTATTGTCTTGTGACCCTGACACATCCCCCTCTTCAAGAAACACGCACGAATGATCAATAAATACTAAGGGAACTCAGAGGCTGGCGGGATCCTCCATATGCTGAACGCTGGTTCCCCGGGTCCCCTTATTTCTTTCTCTATACTTTGTCTCTGTGTCTTTTTCTTTTCCAAGTCTCTTGTTCCACCTAACGAGAAACACCCACAGGTATGGAGGGGCAACCCACCCCTTCACAGGTCAAATTGGCTTTAAGGTCCCAGTAAGAACTCTGTGTGTCCTTCACCTGGTCACCCGCTGTGAACGACCTGCCGCCCTGTGTTATCCTCCTGTCGGTTTTTTCCTGAACATTTGAAGCTAAGTTGTAGATGTCATGCACCTCCACCCCTAAAAATTTCAGTATTTATGTATTTCTTTATTTTTGAGGCAGTGCCTTGCTCTGTCATCCAGGCTGGAGTGCAACAGTGAATCTCCACACACTGCTGCCTCAACTTCCTGAGGTCAAGCGATCCCCCCAACGCAGACTCCCGAGTAGCTGGGACCACAGGGGCTCTGAGTCTCAGCGTCGGCCGTGTGTCCTCGAGTACACATCAGGGTCTCAGCCTCGGCCACGTGTGTCTGTGAGTACACAGCAGGGTCTCAGCCTCGGCCACGTGTGTCTGTAAGTACACGGCAGGGTCTCAGCCTCGGCCGCGTGTGTCTGTGAGTACACGGCAGGGTCTCAGCCTCGGCCGCGTGTGTCTGTGAGTACACTGCAGGGTCTCAGCCTCGGCCGCGTGTGTCTGTGAGTACACGGCAGGGTCTCAGCCTCGGCCGCGTGTGTCTGTGAGTACACTGCAGGGTCTCAGCCTCGGCCGCGTGTGTCTGTGAGTACACGGCAGGGTCTCAGCCTCGGCCGCGTGTGTCTGTGAGTACACGGCAGGGTCTCAGCCTCGGCCGTGTGTCCTCGAGTACACATCAGGGTCTCAGCCTCGGCCTTGATCATCTATCCTTGTTATATAATAAGCTCACATAAATTAGTAACAGGTCAAAACCCCGGCAGGAGGATGAGTGAGAACTTGGATGAGCAAGTTACAAATGGAAGAAATACGGTGGCCAAGATCTTAGGAACACATATCCAGCCTTAAGAAATTCAAGTTAAGGGCGGGGCGCAGTGACTCAGGCCTGTAATCCCAGCACTTTGGGAGGCCGAGGCGGACGGATCACCTGAGGTCAGGAGTTCGAGACCAGCCTGGCCAACATGGTGAAACCCCGTCTCTACTAAAAATACAAAAATCAGCCGGGCGTGATGGTGCATGCCTGTAATCTCAGCTACTCGAGAGGCTGAGGGAGAAGAATCACTTGAACCCGGGAGGTGGAGGTTGCATTGAGCTGAGAGAGACAGAGAGACGTGCAGGGTTGACAAGGATGGGCTGGCGTGGGGGCAGGCCCCACACCCTCAGCCCTGCACGGGCGCAGCCCTCAGAAGGGAACTGGGCGGCAGGTACCTGCATCACAGATGCTCCGTCCTTGGGCCCAGGATCTTCACCCCCAGTCATCTGTCTTGTGGAGTGTGTCGCTATGAAGAGGTCCCTGAGGCTGGGTCGTTCATAACGAAGAGGGTTCATTTGCTCACGGTTCTGCGGGCCGTACAGGAAATGTGACACCGGCCTCTGGGCCGCTTCTGGGGAGGCCGGGGAGGTTTACCCATCAAGGAAGGTGAAGAGGGAGCTGGTGTGTCACGGGTGAGAGGGAGCAAGAGGGAAGGTGCCGCACTCCTAAATGGCTCTCAGGTGAGCAACAGGCAGGACGGGGGACGGTGCCGCACTCCTAAATGGCTCTCAGGTGAGCAACAGGCAGGACGGGGGATGGTGCCGCACTCCTAAACAGCTCTCAGGTGAGCGAGAGTTAGCAAGGGGGAAGGTGCCGCAATCGTAAACAGCTCTCAGGTGAGCAAGAACTCAACTCACGTGTCACCAAGGGCATGGGCTAAGCCCTGCAGGCGGGATCTACCCCGTGAGCCAGCACCTCCCACCAGGCCTCACACCAACTCTGGGCGTCACATTTCCGCATGAGATTTGGAGGGACACATGTGTCCAAACATGTCACAGAGCACGTAGTCAGTGACGTTCACACATGAATATTCATCCCAGATTTACTCATGGTAATGAAACCCTCAACACGACAGCAGAGTTTGGGTGTGTTCCTAAGAGCGGGTGGTTTGCAGATGTTCACCTCATCCAAAAACATCCTCACAGACCTGCCCAGAATGATGTTTGACCAAACTTCTGGGGATCCTGCGGCCCAGTCGAGTTCACACAAAAAATTCACCAACACACTCGGCATTCCGGGGAAGCTGGGGACGCGTGAGGGGCCACCAGGTGGCTGCAGAGACAGTGTCTGAGCTGTGAGGTCTATTTTCAGCCCAAAGAGTCGGCTTCTGGGGAACAGCCCAAGATGCCCTTGGAGGAGAGGCTGGGACGAGTCCCCCAGTCCCTCTGCAGCCCCAACCCCCAACCCAGCCCTTGACAAGCCCCTCCCCTCCAGACACAGGGCAATGCCCCTCTCCGTCTCTCTGTCTCTCTCTCTCTCCCCTCCCTCTTTCTCTGTCCTCCGTGTGTCTGCCTGTCCTCTGAGTCCACCACTGGCCTCTTGCACGTGCCCTGCCCGTGGCTCCTGCCCTCACGTCTCTGCTCGCTCCCGTATCCCCCATGAGCTGGTTCTGGGAGGCCGCGGTCTGGCTTGTGGGGACCCATCCATTTCTCTCCTGGGGCCTGAGCTGGGGTTGGGGTTCTAGAGCAGCGCAGGCCAAGACCCCACGGTAATGGGAGACAGAGGTGGGTAGAGCGTGGCCTCCAAGACATGATTCTGAACAATGCAGACCCATGGCTGTAACAGATGCAGCCCATGTAGCCTGAGAGTAGGGTCACTGTACAACTACAGATGCCATCAACAAAACTCCGTGTAGCAACATCCTCCCACTCAGTCCTCGAGCAGCCCTGAAGGCACAGCCACCATTGCTCCCTGTCACAGATGGGAACACCAAGACAGCCACCATTGCTCCCTGTCACAGATGGGAACACTGAGGCGAGTCCTCGAGCAGCCCTGAAGGTGCAGCCACCATTGCTCCCTGTCACAGATGGGAACGCGGAGGTGCAGGGACATCGGTGGCTCCCCAGGGCCCGGCTGTGAGCAGCTCTGATGTGGCAGCCCCTTCTCCCCAGCATTGGGGTGCGGTCAAGCCCGCGGACTGGGCAACCGGGCTCTGCTTCCTCCGCGCTTGCCAAGAGCCTCAGAAGGAGGCCGTTCCTCATCTGTGCACACGAGGGCTGGACACAGACACACAGCACACTGCGCCCACGCCATGGCCAGCCTGAGGCAGACATCAGCAGCCGAATGCTGAGGGCCACACTGTTTCCCTCTGAGCCCTGGCAAGGCCTCAGAACCCTTCTCAACCCTTAGCCAAGGCCAAGTGGTCTGAGAGGCCCAGGAGCTTCACTCTGTGGTCCTCAGGGTGCCATTAACCCGACCCCAGGGCCAGCGGCACCTCCAGGCCTGGCCCCCCGGCCCCCGCCCCGGCCCCCGCCCTGGCTGGCTCCCAGCCCACGCTGCTCCACTGCAGGCCCGGCCAGCAGCATCTGTTGCCATGGTACCTGCTGGGGTAGCAAGGCCCCCCCACCCACAGTGGGACATCACCACAGCAGCCGGTGAGATTTAAATGCAGGCAGCGGATTAGATCTGAGCGTTGTGTGGATGTGGAATTTCCCGATGTTGACAACAGCCCCAGGGTTATAAAAGAGAATCCTGGTTTTTAGAAAAGATACGCTGATATGTTTAGGAGGAAGTGGGCATTGCACCTCCAGCATAGTCTTCAATGGTTCTGAAAATGTGTATAAATATGAATATTGTACCATATGTAGATAACAGGTGGCTGTAGATACAGATAGAGGTACAGACACCGAAGATGACACAGCAAATGGGGAAAATCCAGCCCGCTGGTGACTCTGGGTAGAGTCAGGGGGAGTTCCTGCTGTATGACAAGTAATCTTGCCACTTTCCTGTAAGGTCAAAATGATATCAAAACTAAAAGATGTGAAAACAATATTCAAAGCATAGAGTCTTGGGCCAGCCCCCCACCTTACCTCCTACAGAGACCCCAACTCTGCAGGTCTAGATGAGCTCAGACTTTGATTTAATCAGCATCAAGGAGAGTATGATGGGTTGAGTTGTGTCTCCCCCCAAAACACGGTCCATCCCTGGAACCCATGAGTAGGACCTTATTTGGAAATAAGGTCTTTGCAGATGTGATGAGTTCAGATGAGGTCACCCTGGAGTCCGGAGGACCCTCAATCTGATGACCGGCGTCTCTCTAAGATGAGGAGTGGGCTCACAACACTCTCAGGGGCAACGGCCGTGCAAGGACAGAGGCAGAGACTGGACTGAGGCATCTACAGGCCGAGGGCCACCGGCCACCACCACCAGCTGGAGAAGGACACAGACGCAGTCTCCCTCTGAGCCTCTGGAAGAAGCCAGCCCTGCCGACACCTGGATGGCAAAGCTCTGGCCTCCAGAACCGGGAGGACACATCTCTGCTGTGGGAACACCCAGGCCATGTGCCTTTGCTACGGCAGCCCCAGGTGGCAGCTGCTCAGTCCGCGAGGAGGGGCAGCACTGGCCACGTCCAAAAGCTTCCGGAAGAGCGGGCAGGGTCCTGCACAGCTGTTCATTCACCCGCGAGTACGTCAAGCATACATTGGGCACCGACTGTGTGCCACGCCCGTCCCGGCAGAGGCCCTGGGGACCCAGCTGTGAACAAAATCGGCAAAATCCCTGCCCTCCTGGAGGTGGCGTCTTAGTGGGGAAGACAGGCAAGAAACACGATTGGTGAATTGCCGGGAGAACGCGGCAGGGAGGAGATGGTAGAGTCGTGGGGAAGGCAGGAAGGTAGGGAGGTCGGAGAGGCCTTCCCAGGAAGGGGACTTTGGACAAAGACAGAAGTGAAGGAGGTGAGGAAGGGACTGGGAGGTGATCAGGGGAGAGTGCACCAGGAGGAAAAGCCTGGAGGTGGGATGGGGCCAGAGCCTGCAGGGACAGCGGGGAGATACCAATACACAATGGGGTGAGTGGGGCTGGGGAGGAGGGCATCGGCGTGGTCCCCATTCCGTGGGGCCCGTGGCTCTACAGGAACAGCCGTCCCTGAGTTTGGATAGACGTCTATGCAGCCCTGTGCCAGGCAGGCACCTCCCTCTCTGCAGCAGCTCTCTCTGGGCCTGCAGGCTCCTCAGAACACGCATGCCTCGAAGGTCTTCCCTGGCCTTAGGGGTGGAGTGTGTGAGGGTCTCCACGTGAGGGACCACGTGGGCAGGCAGTGCCGGCAGCCCTGCCCCATGTGCTGGTGTAATCTGAGGTTTGCTCTCCCGTCGCCCACCCTCATTATTGTGCAATTAAACACTTGAGGCAGAGGATGACGAGGTTAAAAATAGCCCTTCCTTTCAGCCAGAGAGAGCCCGTGAGTGTGAGTGGGTGTGAGGAGGGCCTGGGGGCCGTGGAGGTGGTGTCTGCAGCTGCCTGTGAAGGTGGGAAGAGGCCCCAGGCCCCCATCCTGTTGATTTCTCAGAAAAACATCTGAGCACCTTGGCCATCACACACATTTATTCCGCTAAAACTTGAACACTTGCTGTGTGTCAAGCACGGTTCTGGGCCTGGGAAGAGGCTGGGAGGTGGTCCTGGCCCCCACAGAGTGCTGAGAAGAAAGCAAAGGAGAGTTGGGGGAGGATGGAGGCAGGGAAGGCCACTGAGGTGAAGGCCGTGAGGGTGTCTAGGAAGAGCACAGCATGAGCAAAGACTCTGAGACCAACGTGCCTGCTGTGCAGATGGAACCAAAAGCAGGCCCATGTGGCTGCAGCAGACTGAGTAAGGGAGAGAAAGGGAGGAGGTGAGAGCAAGGAGGTGGCCAGGCAGGTCATTCAGGGCCTGGTGGGAATGGGAAGGAGTTGGGTTTTTACCGTGACAGAGATGGGAGAGACGGAGGTCAGTGTACAGAGTCAGCAGGTGGCAGGCCTGGTGCTCACAGTCCAGAGACCAGGGATGAGGCAACAGAGCTGGTCTAGGGACAAACAATGGAACAGATGATAAGGAAGGATGGTGGGGGTGTGTGATGATGGGGAAGGATGACGGTGAAGGATGATAGGAAAGGATGGTGGGAAAGGATGATGGAGAAGGATGGTGGGGATAGGTGGTGATGGGGAAGGATGATGGAGAAGGATGATGGGAAGGATGATGGAGAAGGATGGTGGGAAGGATGATGGGGAAGGATGATGGGAAGGTTGATGGGAAGGATGATGGGAAGGATGATGGGAAGGATGATGGGAAGGATGATGGAGAAGGATGATGGGAAGGATGGTGGGGATAGGTGGTGATGGGGAAGGATGATGGAGAAGGATGATGGGAAGGATGATGGAGAAGGATGATGGGAAGGATGATGGAGAAGGATGATGGGAAGGATGATGGAGAAGGATGATGGGAAGGATGATGGAGAAGGATGATGGAGAAGGATGGTGGGGATAGGTGGTGATGGGGAAGGATGATGGGGAAGGATGATGGAGAAGGATGATGGGAAGGATGATGGAGAAGGATGATGGGAAGGTTCATGGGAAGGATGATGGGAAGGATGATGGGAAGGATGACGGGAAGGATGATGGGGAAGGATGATGGGGAAGGATGATGGGGAAGGATGATGGGAAGGTTCATGGGAAGGATGATGGGAAGGATGATGGGAAGGATGACGGGAAGGATGATGGGGAAGGATGATGGGGAAGGATGATGGGAAGGATGATGGGAAGGATGATGGGAAGGGTGATGGAGAAGGGTGATGGGAAGGATGATGGGGAAGGTTGATGGGAAGGATGATGGGAAGGATGATGGGGAAGGATGATGGGAAGGTGATGGAGAAGGATGATGGGAAAGGTGATGGTGAAAGATGACAGGATGGGTGATGGGAAGGATGATAATGAGAAGGATAATGAGAAGGACAATGGGGAAAGATGATGGGGAAGGATGACTGGAAAGACAATGGGAGAGATGGGGAAGGAGGATGGGAAGAATGACAGGGAAGGATGATGGGAGGATGACTGGAGAGGATTTAACAGAAGAGAGGATGGAGAAGGAAGATGGGAAGGATGATGGGGAAGGATGATGGAGAAGGATGATGGGGAAGGATGATGGGAAGGATGATGGAGAAGGATGAAGGGAAGGATGATGGAGAAGGATGATGGGGAAAGATGATGGGAAGGATGATGAGGAAAGATGATGGGAAGGATGATGGGGAAAGATGATGGGAAGGATGATGGGGAAAGATGATGGGAAGGATGATGGAGAAGGATGGGAAGGATGATGGAGAAGGATGATGGGGAAAGATGATGGGAAGGATGATGGGGAAAGATGATGGGAAGGATGATGGGGAAAGATGATGGGAAGGATGATGGAGAAGGATGGGAAGGATGATGGAGAAGGATGATGGGGAAAGATGATGGGAAGGATGATGGGGAAAGATGATGGGAAGGATGATGGGGAAGGATGATTGAGAAGGATGATGGGAAGGATGGGAAGGATGATGGAGAAGGATGACGGAGAAGGATGATGGGGAAAGATAATGGGAAGGATGATGGGGAAAGATGATGGGAAGGATGATGGGGAAGGATGATGGAGAAGGATGATGGGAGGGATGATGGAGAAGGATGATGGGAAGGATGATGGGAAGGATGATGGGGAAAGATGATGGGAAGGATGATGGGGAAAGATGATGGGAAGGATGATGGAGAAGGATGATGGGGAAGGTTGATGGGAAGGATGATGGGAAGGATAATGGGAAAGATGATGGGGAAGGATGATGGGGAAGGATGATGGGAAGGATGATGGAGAAGGATGATGGGGAAGGTTGATGGGAAGGATGATGGGAAGGATAATGGGAAAGATGATGGGGAAGGATGATGGGGAAGGATGATGGGAAGGATGATGGAGAAGGATGATGGGGAAGGTTGATGGGAAGGATGATGGGAAGGATAATGGGAAAGATGATGGGGAAGGATGATGGGGAAGGATGATGGGAAGGATGATGGGAAGGATGATGGGGAAGGATGATGGAGGATGATGGAGAAGGGTGATGGGGAAGGATGATGGGAAGAATTATGGAGAAGGACGATGGGAAGGATGATGGGAAGGATGATGGGGAAGGATGATGGGAAGGATGATGGGGAAGGTTGATGGGAAGGTTGATGGGAAGGATGATGGGAAGGATGATGGGAAGGATAATGGAGGATGATGGAGAAGGGTGATGGAGAAGGACGATGGGAAGGATGAATGGAGAAGGACGATGGGAAGGATGAATAGAGAAGGACGATGGGAAGGATGAATGGAGAAGGATGATGGGAAGGATGAATGGAGAAGGATGATGTGAAGGATGAATGGAGAAGGACGACAGGAAGGATGAATGGAGAAGGACGATGGGAAGGATGATGGGAAGGACAATGGGAAGGATGATGGGAAGGATGAATGGAGAAGTATGATGGGAAGGATGAATGGAGAAGGACGATGGGAAGGATGAATGGAGAAGGTTGATGGGAAGGACGACGGGAAGGATGAATGGAATGGGTGATTGGGCACCAAGTGAGAGCATTCGGTGACACCTTTTTTTTTTTTTTTGAGACTCCCTTTTTTTTTTTTTTTTGAGACGGAGTCTCGCTCTGTCGCCCAGTCTGGAGTGCAGTGGTGTGATCTCGGCTCACTGCAAGCTCTGCCTCCCAGGTTCATGCCATTCTCCTGCCTCAGCTTCCCACGTAGCTGGGATTACAGGCGCCCGCCACCACGCCTGGCAAATTTTTTGTAATTTTAGTAGAGAGGGGGTTTCACCGTGTTAGCCAGGATGGTCTCGATCTCCTGATCTTGTGATCTGCCTGTCTCGGCCCCCCACAGTGCTGGGATTACAGGCGTGAGCCACCGCACCTTAAGTAATATTAACCGCTTTAACACGACCAATTCAGGGTCTTTTAGTGCCTTCGCAATGTTGTGCAACTATAACTTCTATTAAGCTCCAAAACATTTTTTTAAAATAAATTGTCGGGCCGGGCATGGTGGCTCACGCCTGTAATCCCAGCACTTTGGGAGGCCGAGGCGGGCGGATCACGAGGTCAGGAGATCGAGACCATCCTGGCTAACACAGTGAAACCCCGTCTCTACTAAAAATACAAAAAAAAATTAGCCAGGCGTGGTGGCAGGCGCCTGCAGTACCAGCTACTGGGGAGGCTGAGGCAGGAGAATGGTGTGAACCCGGGAGCGGAGCTTGCAGTGAGCCAAGATCGTGCCACTGCACTCCAGCCTGGGGGACAGAGCGAGACTCCGTCTCAATAAATAAATAAATAAATAAATAAATAGTCAGTGTCTTGCTTTTTGGCCCAGGCTGGAGTACAGTGGCATATTCACAGCTCACTGCAGCCTCCAATTCCTGGGCTCAAGGGATCCTCCTGCCTCAGCCTCTCACGTTGCTAGGATTGTAGGTACAAGCCACCATGTGTAGCTCCCCAAACCATTCTTCTTATCTCAGAAAGAAATCCTCTGGATTTAGCTATATTTGACATTTCATGTAAATATAAGCAGACAATATGCGTCCTTTTGGCCTGAGTTTTTTCACTGAGTGTCATGTTTCAAGGCCGTGCTCCATTTTTTTTGTGATTGACTACTATTCCAGCCTACGAATATGCCGCACGGTGGTTCATCTCTCTCTGCCGATGGACATTTGGGCTGTTTCTACGTTTCGAATGATGTAAACGAGCTGTGTGTCTTCTTCAATAAATGCCCATTGAAGTCTTTTGCCTATTTTTTAATGGGGTTGTTGGTCATTTTGTTGCTGAGTTGTATGCATAGTTTATGTGTTCTGGATACTTGATCCTGATGAGCTCAGTGAACATTTATAAACAAACTGACCATAGCAGCCCCCACTCCAATGAAAACGCCACCTGTGACGGCCCCCAGAGGCCCCTCGTCCCTCCTGGTCCCTGCCCCGGGGGCCCCATCCTGACTTCCATTGCTGGCAGCGGGTAGGTTCATGTCGGCTGCTCTTGAATTCCTCCTGCCTGGGCTGCCCCGCGTGATCCACTGAGTGTGGCAGAGACGTGTCGTGCTGCTGCCTTCAGCAGCTCCACCTGCTTGCTGAGAAGGTTCCCGGTGCGTTTGGAAGGCAGAGGCTCCTGGGCTTGCAGGTAGGTGAACGCGCTGACAGAGAGGACTCGGCCGGCGCACCCCCTCACCCCCGTCCACCATCCTGAACACCTAGTCCTCACACATCCTGGAAGATTTGCAGCCTCAGTCTCTTCCAAATGTGTCTTACTCCTCTCTGCTCACCCTGGTGCCAGGCATCCGCCTTTGCCCATCCAGACCCAGCACCAGTGCCCTGCCCTCCCCTTGGCTTCTGTGCTGCCCGGCCATGCCCCTTCCTTCCAGACAGTTCAGGTCATCCTAAAACGTTCATCCAAGCCCTTTGCCCACAGGATAAAGTCCACACTCCTCTTACAGTCCTGTGACCCACAGGCCTCCTTGGAATTTTGGGGCTGAGTCCTTTCTGCTCTGGGGCTTCACAACCCTTTTGTCCTCTGGCCTCCTCTTCCAGGAAGTCCTCCAAGGGCAAGCCTTGCAGGACTCAGACTAGGCACCCACCCCAATGCTTGTCGATGAGAAAGCCTCAGTCAGGAAGGAACTCGGGCAGACCAGGGATGGTGCCCCTGCTCCATGACATCTGGGAGTCTGCTCTAAGACCAGGAGGCTGGGGCCCACCTGGGCTGCCAGCTGCACCTGCCTCCCTGGGCCACCTCCTTTTCATGGCCTGGGTTTGGAAGCTACCCACTGCCACTTTGTATTGCGCGGAGCAGTCTGGAGGGGACAGGCCCAGTGGCCACTGCTCCATGGGGTGAGTCTCAGCTCTGGAGAGCGCAGGGCCGGGAACATCATGTCAGGGACACCCTGGAGCTGTGGTATCCCCGACACGAGCATAAGGCACAGCAGCACTCAGTCCACATTTGCCAAAGGAAAGGGGAACAGCCAACACGCATGACCCCTCACCGCGTGCAGACGACGCGTGACCCCTCACCGCGTGCAGACGACACGTGTGACCCTCACCGCGTGCAGACGACACGTGTGACCCTCACCGCGTGCAGACGACACGTGAGACCCTCACCGCGTGCAGACGACACGTGAGACCCCTCACCATGTGCAGTCACCTTGCTAGGCAGCTTATGTGCCTTCTCTCGTTTCATCCTCAGGTTTGGGAAAATTATCCAGAACTTGGAAAGGGGTAAAAACATCACTGCCTGCTCTTTGGATCCTGGACCCTCGGCACGGTGGGCCTCAGAGCTGATCATTCCCTGGGGTGGGGCCGTCCTGGGCACTGCTGGGTGCTGAGCAGTGTCCCTGGCCTCCGCCCACTCCACACCAGGAGCTCCCCTAGTCGTGACAACCACAGAAGCCCCAGACGTTGCCCCGTGTCCCCGAGGGGCCGAATCACCCAGAGGATCAGTTGTATTCCAGAGCCTCGACCAGCCCGGCCACCCGGGGGTCACTTTGTGGACGCTTCCCTCCACTCTTGCCAGTGTCCTGGCTCTGGGGTTGGACGCTGCTTGGGATTGACAAATGCGGATGAGTTTTGTCCCTGAGCGGCAGGTGCCTCCTTCCTCCTGCTGCGTATAAAACTCAGTCCAGTCCTGCCGTTCCTTAGTAAACACTCGGACGCACCTTTGACCTACAGTGGCCCGTGGTCTGAATGAGGTTTATGCGTGAGTGCTTTGAAAGCTCAATGTTGCCATCACCTGAAGCCTAGAGGGCAGTGTGCACTGGGCACCTCACTTACACAGGAGGAAACTGAGGCTCAGAGAGGGGGAGGGGCTGGCAGTGTGGGAGCTGCAGTCCTTGATCTGAGCTGTCCCCGTGACTTTGGGAGATGAGGAAGGAGCATTCTGTGGCTTGGCTGGGGGAGCCCAGGTGGGAGGGGAGGGTGGGGACACAGTGGCTGGTGGGCGGGGGGGTGCCTCTGAGCCGCCTGGGCCACAGGCAAAGGGGTTAGGGAGGTGAGAGGGGAGCTTGGGGGCAAGGGTCATGTGTCTCCACGGCCGGGCAGGTGCACACTCCCAGGGAGGCCACGAGGACTCTGTGGCCCGGGGATTGGAGTGAACCACGCTGAAAGGTCAGAGGGCAGTGTCCCAACAACAGTGCCCCCGTTCCAGCCCCAACGGCAGCCCAGGGGTTCCCAGGCCCACCCTCACTCTTGCAGGGGTCCCCAGGCCCACCCTCACTCTTCCAGGGTTCCCAGGCCCACCCTCACTCTTCCAGGGTTCCCAGGCCCACTCTCACTCTTCCAGGGTTCCCAGGCCCACCCTCACTCTTCCAGGGGTCCCCAGGCCCACCCTCACTCTTCCAGGGGTTCCCAGGCCCACCCTCACTCTTGCAGGGGTTCCCAGGCCCACCCTCACTCTTCCAGGGGTCCCCAGGCCCACCCTCACTCTTCCAGGGGTCCCCAGGCCCACCCTCACTCTTCCAGGGGTCCCCAGGCCCACCCTCACTCTTCCAGGGTTCCCAGGCCCACCCTCACTCTTCCAGGGTTCCCAGGCCCACCCTCACTCTTCCAGGGTTCCCAGGCCCACCCTCACTCTTCCAGGGTTCCCAGGCCCACCCTCACTCTTCCAGGGTTCCCAGGCCCACCCTCACTCTTCCAGGGTTCCCAGGCCCACCCTCACTCTTCCAGGGGTCCCCAGGCCCACCCTCACTCTTCCAGGGGTTCCCAGGCCCACCCTCACTCTTGCAGGGGTTCCCAGGCCCACCCTCACTCTTCCAGGGGTCCCCAGGCCCACCCTCACTCTTCCAGGGGTCCCCAGGCCCACCCTCACTCTTCCAGGGGTCCCCAGGCCCACCCTCACTCTTCCAGGGTTCCCAGGCCCACCCTCACTCTTCCAGGGTTCCCAGGCCCACCCTCACTCTTCCAGGGGTCCCCAGGCCCACCCTCACTCTTCCAGGGGTTCCCAGGCCCACCCTCACTCTTGCAGGGGTTCCCAGGCCCACCCTCACTCTTCCAGGGGTCCCCAGGCCCACCCTCACTCTTCCAGGGGTCCCCAGGCCCACCCTCACTCTTCCAGGGGTCCCCAGGCCCACCCTCACTCTTCCAGGGTTCCCAGGCCCACCCTCACTCTTCCAGGGTTCCCAGGCCCACCCTCACTCTTCCAGGGTTCCCAGGCCCACCCTCACTCTTGCAGGGGTTCCCAGGCCCACCCTCACTCTTGCAGGGGTTCCCAGGCCCACCCTCACTCTTCCAGGGTTCCCAGGCCCACCCTCACTCTTCCAGGGGTCCCCAGGCCCACCCTCACTCTTCCAGGGGTCCCCAGGCCCACCCTCACTCTTCCAGCGGTTCCCAGGCCCACCCTCACTCTTCCAGGGTTCCCAGGCCCACCCTCACTCTTCCAGGGTTCCCAGGCCCACCCTCACTCTTCCAGGGGTCCCCAGGCCCACCCTCACTCTTCCAGGGGTTCCCAGGCTCACCCTCACTCTTCCAGGGGTTCCCAGGCTCACCCTCACGCTTGATGATTTGCGAGGACGCACGGAACTCCCAGCAAGCTGTCCTCGTCACAGGTAGGGTTTGTCACAGTGCCGGGGTGCAGGTGCCGTGGGCTGGGGAAGAGCACATGAGGCAGCGTCCCGGAGAAGCCCCGTGGTCCTGTCCGGGGAAGCCGGGAACTGCTCACTCACAGGGCGCACGGACCACCAGGAAAGGGCACGGCAGCCTAGGCGCCCAGAGCTCTGCGAGGGATCCCTCGTGGGGGCTTGATTGACTGATTGCTTGCCACGGGGTTGCCCTCGAACTCCAAGGGTGTCTGACGCTGTGAGACCCAAGGCGCTCCCAAGTCCCACGGTTGGTCTTGCTGGTGTGACCCTCCCTACCCCAGACCAAGACGCTCCCCTCAGGCAGGGCAGAAATCACCTCCCAAAGCCAAGGCAAAGCCCAGACCTCACCCCGCACGAGAGGATTCCTCACCCCACGGGGGAAGGTGCGGGTCTCATCCGTGGCACCGCAGCAGGGCTCAGCCGGTGACCAGGACTGGGTGCCACGGGTGCTGGGTCCGTGCCCACTCCAGCCCCACCAGCAGGCAGGGAGGGTACAGGGTGCTGCAGAGGAAACCGAGTCACAGAGAACGGAGGGACTTGTCAGGATTCTGACCCATGGCTGGCAGAGCACAGCTCCCTGGGGCCCTCTCTGCCAGATGGCAGGGGCCGGCCATGCAAGCAGGTGTCCAGTCCCACCCAGGAAGGGCAGCGTGGGTCCAGCCCTGGTCCGAATTCCTGTCCTGTCAGCTGGGAGGTGTGCGCAGGCCCCTTTGCCTTCTGTGCCTCGGTGTTTCCATCTGTGGATGGCAGTAGGCAGCGTCTTGCTGAGGATTCAGCGGGTCCTCCCGCCCACCCACCCACGATGCGCTTAATCAACAGGCCCTGCCCTGCGTGTGACCCTGGAGAGAGGCTCTGGGACCACGTCACTGTACAGTAGGGTAAACTGAGGCTCAGGCGCCGGCCCGCGGGAATGGCCCGCCCTCGTGGGAGGAGCATGTGTGCGGGTCGGCGTCCGCCTCCTCCTTTTTATTGAAGTCATTTTTCTCCTCCTGTCAGCGGAACTGGCCGTGGGCAGCCCCTCCCTCCCACCCCCAGGAGCTGAGAAGAAAACAAAAGCTTAATCGAATCCGGCACTGGGGCGGTGGGTGCCGCAGAGAGAGGCCGAGGGAGCCCCCGCCTGGGTGGGTCTGAGGCCGCCTGTAATTATGGCCCTGATGTGATTATATTAATTATCGTCGCTATTTTGTGCCGGCTTCCGCCCGGCGAGCCTGTGGATTGAGCTCTACTGCACACAAGCCGCCAGGGCTCATCACAGACAGAGCCTTCGGCCTCGGGAGCCTGAGACCCAGAGAAGCCACGCACTGCCCCGGGCCACACCCCACGTGGAAGGTGGGGCTTGAAACTCACCCTGCGGCTCCCCACACACGTCAGGGTTAGAGGTTCAAGGCCCCAGAGAGGACAGGCCGCAAGGCAGGGGCCCTGGGAAGGTGTTACTCCTCCTCCTCGGATGGGAGAGACCCACTGGATCAGTGTTCTGTCACCTTAAAAAATGAATCAGCCGGACGTGGTGGCTGACGCCTGTAATCCCAGCACTTTGGGAGGCCGAGGCAGGCGTATCACCTGAGGTCAGGAATTTGAGACGAGCCTGGCCAACTTGGTGAAACCCCGTCTCTACTAAAAATACAAAAAACTAGCTGGGTGTGGTGGCGGGCGCCTGTAATCTCAGCTATTTGGGAGGCTGGGGCAGGAGAATCGCTTGAACCCTGGAAGAAGAGGCTACAGTGAGCCGAGACTGCACCTCTGTACTCCAGCCTGGGCGACACAGCAAGACTCCGTCTCCAAAAAACAAACAAACAAAACAAAACAAAAAAACTGAAACAAGCCGGCTTGAGCAAACAAGGCACTTTACCGGCCCACCCTCTGAGCTGAAATGGTGCGCAGTTATGGACTTCAGGCATAGCTGGATCCAGGTGTCCGCAATGTCTCCAGGCTTCTGACTCTTCATCTGTTGTTCCCTATGATGGCTCCCCTCTGAAGAAGGGGCATCTTTTTGTAATTTGCACCAAACGGGGTGCCCCCCGCTTGTGGTGCCCATGGCCTTCCTGAGGGTCGGGAGACTCAGGATGGCCGCCAGTCTGAAAGGAGAGACTGCTGGCAGGTGTGCCTGCCTCCTTCACCGCACAGCACCCACTGGGGCCGAGCGCTCTGTGGCGCCAGGGATGCTGGAGGTGCAAACAGTAGATTCGTTCTGCTCAGGATCAACATCACAAGGCAGCAAACGGCCACAGCCAGGAGGGAACAAGGGCATCTGACTCCCCCGGGGTGGGGGCTGACCTGAAGGGCAGTGGGCCAAGACCTGAGGCAGGGCGAGACACCACGCAGGCGCAGAATCCCTGGATGACGCCCACTTGGAAGTGGAGGGGGGAGGGCATGGGCAGCTGCAGCTCCCAGACACCAGCACACACAAACGCACACACAAGTGCACACCAGCAGCGACACAGGCACACACAAGCGCACACAGGGTCACACATGCATACACGGCTCACGTGCTTACACGTGCACACGCCAGCACACAGGCAGCTATACTCGAGTGCCTGCAGGCGCTCACCTGGCACTGTCACATACGCCCAACAGATGAGCACGGTAACGGCACACGCAGTCACACTGCACACACATGCGGAAGCACATGGCGACGTGTGTGCACCTACCTGGCACGCACACGCACACACCCGTGCAGCCTAGCGATGAGTGGCTGGGGCTGAAGAGGCTACAAGGCGCCCGTAGCCCTGTCAACCCGTCCCAGGCCCTGACTGGGGCTCACCAGGCCGCGGTCAGGAGGCCGGGCTACGCTGAACCCCAATTCCCAAAAGCTCCTGGTGGATTTGAGATGGCAGAGACATCTGGACCCCATGGGCAGCAGGAGAGACAGAGCAGCCCAGCCTGGGCTGAGAGCACAGGGACGGGTCCTGCCCCGAGGGGTGTGAGGGGGGGACGGGGTCCTGCCCTGAGGGGTGTGGGGGGGACGGGGTCCTGCCCTGAGGGGTGTGGGGGGGACGGGGTCCTGCCCCGAGGGGTCTGAGGGGGGGACGGGGTCCTGCCCTGAGGGGTGTGGGGGGGACGGGGTCCTGCCCTGAGGGGTGTGGGGGGGACGGGGTCCTGCCCTGAGGGGTGTGGGGGGGGGACGGGGTCCTGCCCTGAGGGGTGTGGGGGGGACGGGGTCCTGCCCTGAGGGGTGTGGGGGGGACGGGTCCTGTCCTGAGGGGTCTGAGGGGGGGACGGGGTCCTGCCCTGAGGGGGTGTGGGGGGGACGGGGTCCTGCCCTGAGGGGTGTGGGGGGGGGACGGGGTCCTGCCCTGAGGGGTCTGAGGGGGGGACGGGGTCCTGCCCTGAGGGGTGTGGGGGGGACGGGGTCCTGCCCTGAGGGGTGTGGGGGGGGGACGGGGTCCTGCCCTGAGGGGTGTGGGGGGGGCACGGGGTCCTGCCCTGAGGGGTGTGGGGGGGACGGGGTCCTGCCCTGAGGGGTGTGGGGGGGACGGGGTCCTGCCCTGAGGGGTGTGGGGGGGACGGGGTCCTGCCCTGAGGGGTCTGAGGGGGAGACGGGTCCTGCCCTGAGGGGTGTGGAGGGGGGATGGGGTCCTGCCCTGAGGGGTCTGAGGGGGGGACGGGTCCTGCCCCGAGGGGTGTGGAGGGGGGAACGGGGTCCTGCCCTGAGGGGTGTGGGGGGAACGGGGTCCTGCCCTGAGGGGTGTGGAGGGGGGATGGGGTCCTGCCCTGAGGGGTGTGGAGGGGGGACGGGGTCCTGCCCTGAGGGGTGTGAGGGGGGGACGGGGTCCTGCCCTGAGGGGTGTGAGGGGGGGACGGGGTCCTGTCCCGAGGGGTGTGGGGGGGGGACGGGGTCCTGCCCTGAGGGGTGTGGGGGGAACGGGGTCCTGCCCTGAGGGGTGTGGGGGGAACGGGGTCCTGCCCTGAGGGGTGTGGAGGGGGGATGGGGTCCTGCCCTGAGGGGTGTGAGGGGAACGGGGTCCTGCCCTGAGGGGTGTGGGGGGAACGGGGTCCTGCCCTGAGGGGTGTGAGGGGGATACGGGGCTGTGTCTAGAGGGGGTCTGTGGAGACAGGGTCCTGTCTGAAGGTTCTGAGGGGAGGCGGGACCCACCCTGTAGGGACCGTGTGGGGTCCGAGTCCTGTTTCCTGACATCCATGTAGTCAAGAGCTGGAACCGTGAAGCAGAACCCAGACCTGCCGCTCCAAGGGAGGTGGTTTATCAGGGGCTGGGCTCCTGCCCCCGCCTGCCTCCACCCGGGGCAGGAGAATGCGGAGGGCAGTGGAAAGGACCTTGCCAATCTGGAATCCTCTTCTCCTTCCTCCCTGGAGTTCACCGCAGAACTCTCTCGTTATTAAACAGCCAGGGAAGCCAACCTCCACCCCCGTATTCCCGAAACACCTTTATTGCACTATAAACAGCATTTATAAACAAACACAGCTGGGGAGTGTCTTAAAGATTTACCCACAGTCAACCTCAGACACTAAGATATCAAAGAGTGCAGGGGGGCTACTAAACGGGGGACCCCAGGGAGAACAGGGCCTGGGAGGGGTGAGCATCAGAGAAGGCGGGGAGCGCCGGCGTCTCTCTCCATGCAGGGCACCCTCCCCGCCTCCCCGGCCTGAGGAGCCTCCGCCCTGGGTGCCCTGGCTTCCGGGAGAGAGCGGAGCCCTGCAACACCAGGCTCAGAAGGGGCCTGCACTCTCCCTCTGGAGGGCTCACAGGTGTGTCCCACCGGACGTGCAGCAGGGGCCCAGCTGCTCCTCCAGTCCTGGGAAGCAGCTCCTCCACCCTCCCCTGGACAAGAGGAACAATGTGTGGCAAACGGGCTGACAAGGGACGTCCCTGGGTACCACAGATGTGCCCTGGTTCCTCCGTGCCCACCAGCAGCCGGGAGAGGCGAAGGCACTGGCCTGGCCTGGCCCCTGCTTTGAGTCTTATCATTTCTGCATCATTCTGAGCTGGAAACCTCCCCAAAATCATTCAAGGACCCACATAACCACACAATGGAAGCCTTGCAGCCACCTAACAGCAGGAAAGGCCATAGCCAGGTCCCCCCAGCTGCCTCCTGGGCTCCGACCCACCCACCGTAGCCACAGCCTATTTACACACGTGGCGTCAAAGCCACGGCCGTCAATCACTGCGTGTCGCTCCCAGCTGCAGACGCTGGACAAAAGGGCGACGGGGTGGCAGCCCCCAGCGAGGACGGATGGGCCATAGGGCTGCTCTCTGGGCATCTCTGAGCAAGACCCTCCGGCGCCACAGCAGAAATGGCCAGACGGGCCTGTACCCAAAAAGCCAGCGGCGACAGTGTTGGAGGAAAACAGGCCAGGAGAGCCGTCTCCTCCCCGCGGACCTCTGCCAAGACCTCCTCTGCTCCGACTGTGGCAGCGGCTGCTCCCTCCGCGCCCACCCTCGTCAGGGCACCCTCGCCTGGCCCCACTCCCCACCGGAGCCTGGGAAGCTGGGGTCTCCCAGAGCCAAGCCTGACCCCTGGGAGGGGGCGTCCCGGGCAGAGCCTGGGCCTGGTGTGGCCGCGAGGCCCTGCTCTCCGCGGGGTGGGAACTGGATGGCGGCAGGCTGTGGGGGAGGAAGACACACGTGCAGTGAAGGAGACTGTGGGCTCCAAGACTTGTCACCTCCCTGTCCACGGCCCCGCCCTGGCCACATGCACGGATTCCTGAACCCCTGAGAACCTCCTTCTAGAACTCTGCGTGAAAGGCGCGAGGCAGTGTGGAGGGGCAAAGGGGGACCCTCTGCCCCGCGAAGTGGCCCCTTCTCTTCCCCCGAGGCCCCTCTCCTCCTCCTCCTCCTCCTCCAAAGGAGAAATTAATTCATGAAAAATAATACTCCAGTCAGCATCGGGTGACCCAGGAAACCCTGCGTCAGCTACAGCATCAGCGCCCAGCCCAGCCTGAGTGTGAGCCCCTCCCCGGCCAGCCCCAGCCCAAGCCAGCGGACCCGCCCGCCAGCACCCGGTGTGGAGGAGAGACCGGGGTCTGCCCTCTGCACCCGAGCGGACAGCGAGCAGGTCCCCGCTCTACAGGAAGGGGAGCAGGGAGGTCAGGGGCAGCTCCTTCTCCCCGAGCAGCGTGTCCCGCTTGAGGCTGCTGCCCTTGTTCACCACCTTGATCCTGAGGGCCAGTTTCCGGACGCTGGCGGGCCCCAGGCCGTCGAAGAAGAAATCCTCGTTGAAGACGGGGCGGCGGCTGTTCTTCACGATGGTGCTGCGCTGCTTCTGCAGCTTGCCCGGCACCAGGCACAGGCCCACGCAGCAGTTGATGCTGCGGGCGTCGCACAGGCGGTCGTAGAGGCCCTCGGCGGCCAGCAGGTGCACCCGCAGGCGGGCCTGGCCGGCCTCGTACTCGGCCAGCAGCCGCACGCTGCCCCGAGGGCCCACGTGGACCGTGTGCTCCCCACGCGCCTGGCCCGACTCGGGGCCAGGTTCCGGGGGTGCCCGGCGGGTCAGGCGGCGCCGGCTCCCGGGGCTGGCGTCCGGGGTGCTGTCGTCCGCAGACAGGGAGCCGTGGCGGCCCACGGAGTGCCGGAGCTGGCTCACCTTGGCCTGGCTGTCCTGGGCGAAACCTTTGAGCAGAGACACGGAGCGGGACAGCAGAGGGGACCCGAAGGGGGAGGACTCGGCCGAGGACCCTGTGTCGCTCTCCCCGCCACTGAAGTAGCGGCCGGGGCTCATGAGGGCCCCGCCAGCCTCCCTGGGGCCCCCATCACCCCCGTTGGCCTTGGCAGCTGCCCGGCGGCGCCCGGCCCCTGGGGAGCCCACCTGGGCCAGAGCCCCGTGCTCACTGTGGAACAGAGACTCCTTGCGCCTCGTGTGGGGGCTCTCAGCCAGCATGGCGAAGCCGTAGGACGTCTGGGCCTTGGGCACCGAGGGCAGGGACATGGCACCCTGGGCCTGGGGGTCGGCGTCAGTGGCCTCCTCGGACAGCCAGTCCTCGGCACTCTCGATCTGGATCACGTGCCGGGTGGCTGCCTTCAGCAGGCTCTTGCTCTCGGCTGCCAGCTTGGCAGGCAGCCGGGGGCTCCGTGGGGTCTGGCGGGGGGCCGCAGAGGCCAGGTTCTGTTCCGACGTGGAGGGGCCCAGCGCGGCCTGTCCCTCGCCCTCCGCGGGGCCCGAGGGCAGCTTGGGGGGGATGAAAAAGTCGGGGATCTTGTCGGGCGTCAACACATTGCTGTACAGGGGCCCCTTGGAGGCCTTGTCCCCCGCCTCACTCCCCACGCCCCGGGCAGCACCGTTTTCCCCAGACCCCCGAAGCCGCTCCAAGAACCACATGTTGGTTTTTCTCATGGGGGCGGCAGGCAAGAGGCCCGGACAGGGGCTGCAGCGTCTGGGAAGAGAAGCAGGGGTCAGGAGCAGTGGGGGGCGGCTGGCAGAGGGCCCTGGGCACCTGCTCCCTGTGGGGCCTCCCGGCAGGGCCCTGCCGGCGGGGTGGGGGTGGAGGGGTCCCCTGGGGGCGTCCCGCCCAGGCGCGGCGGCCCAGGACAGGAGTGAGGCGGGTTCCCCCCACCTTTTTCCGGAGAGATCCCGCTTAACTTCCCAGCACCAAGCCCAGGGGCGTGGGGGCCGCGCTCTGACTCTCCGGGGAGCTCCCAGAGGAGACTGGCCCCTCGCCCGCCCCCACTCTGGTTTTGAGCATCTCAGCGCTCATTCCAAAGGGTTCCGCGCTCAGTCCCAGGGGAAGACACGGATGTGGGTGGACCCCCGGGGTGTCCCAGCTCCGCCCCCCCGGCTCCCACCCACCTGTGGCTCCTCCCTGGACCGGAGGGCCAGGCGTTCGGGGTGGGGGAAGGGAGGGGCGGTAGGTCTGGGGCCGAGAGAGCAGCGAGTCGACTCCCCGGTGTCCCCCCGCCCCCAGCCCTCCCCGACTCCGCTTGGGGTGGGGGGTGGGGTCCCGGCGGTCCCCGCAGACCGGGCGGGGTCCCCGGACTTACCTGCCCGGGGTGATGGCCCGAGGCCGGAGGTCTGTTCGCAGACACGCAGGGGTCTCGGCGCGCAGGCTCCCGGGGCTGGCGCGGGGGACGCGGCCGGAGCTTCGATGCGGGCGGCGGCGGCGGCGGCAGCGCAGTCGGACTCATTCACCCGCGGCGGGAAACCGCCCAGCCCCGCCGCCGCCGCCGCCGTATTCCTCCGAGTACGGCCGCCCGCGCCCGCGCCCGCGCCCCCGCCCCCGCGGGAAGGGGGTGGGGCCGTCTCCCCGCAGCCCCCGGAGGCTGGTGGCAGGGAGGAGCCTCGCCAGGGCCCGGGGGCTGACTGGGGGCCGGTGGGAGACAAGCAGGTGGTCACGGTTGGCTGACGGCCACCCCCGGCGCTCACGCCCGCAGATTCCGGGAAGTCGGACTCCCAAGCCCCTGCCTCCGTATACCGGAAGAGGGTCCCAGACCCCCTACTCGCTGCCGGCGAGGAGCTTTCCCGACTAACGACGACGAATTAAATGACGGCAACAGTAATAAATGCAGCTGGGTTTATGATGGAGCGTTTCCTCCCTGCCAGCCTCCCAGCGTCCTGGCGGGTCTCTGACTCTCACACAACCCAGTACGCAGGTCCTACTGCAATTCTCAATCTGTAGATGAGGAAGGTGGGGGGTTTCCTTCCAGAAACAAGGACCGAACAGCTAGGACAGCAGGTCTTACTAAATGGGCAACCTCTCAGCAGCCCTACAAGAAGCCTGGAAGGGGGGGGCTCCTTCATTTCATGGACAAACGTTTCCTGAGCACCCGCTTGATGCTGGACAGTGACCTGGCCACCGGGGACACAGCTGGGACGGAGGGAGGTGGCCCCAGCCCTGGTGATGCAGGGGCAGGATGCCCACAGAGCGTACAGGTGCAGCTTAGAACTGCAGGGGTGGTGACGCCCGGAACAGGAATACAGCAGGAAAGCGTGAGGGTCGGGGCGAAGAGAGAAGGCACATGCGTGTGATTCACGGATGGAGAAACCCATAGGGGGCAAGACCAGGTCCAAACCCAGGCTTCCTGGCAGTTCCTGAGACCACAGGGTCCCCCCCTCCTGAGGCCCCGACCCCCCTCCTGCCAGCTGCTTCGTGATCTGCCAGCCCCGGCCTTCACTGCTTCCTTCTCTCCCTCCCTCCCTGCCCTCCCCGCCTCAGTTTCCTCTTCTGGAACCGAGCTGAGCAGTTCCCAGCCTCCTCGTGCTTGGAGCCAGCAAGATAACATATCCCCAGGACCAACCCGGAGCCGGCGGACGCCTGGCGCTTTATTGAATTATTGATTGTCCAGGAGCCTCCTGCATTCTGGGAATGTCCCCAAGTCTGGATGTGGCCCAAGCTGGGAGGAGCGGCTGCTGCCACAGTGGTAGAAGAGGGGTCCAGGAGGGCGAGAGAGCTGGGCTGAGGCCTCCCCACTCTCCACGTACCCTTGCAATAAGGGGTTAGAGTCCTGCCGTCCAGAGGGGAAAGTGAAACCCGGAGGAGCTGTGACCCCATCTAAGCTTTGCTCACCCAGCAAACGTTGATGAGCCCTCATTTTTGTGCTGGGGCAACCGCGACGCAGCCCCGAAGTCTGACAAGGAGGCAGACACCGAGGAATTCTCCCCTTCACCGCCGCCGCCTCCAGGAAGCCTGGGCAGGCCCCACCACAGACTAGCAGGGCCCCCGAACCCCAGCTCCAGCTGCCATGCAGAATACCCTTGGGCTGCTGTCCACCACCCCTGCTGGGCCTGAGGCGGGAGGAGGGTCCTGGGGGTCTGTCCACTGCCCCTGCTGGGCCCGGATCCTGGGGATCTGTCCACCGCCCCTGCTGGGCACGGATCCTGGGGGTCTGTCCACCGTCACTGCTGGGCCCGGATCCTGGGGGTCTGTCCACCGCCCCTGCTGGGCCCGGATCCTGGGGGTCTGTCCACCGCCCCTGCTGGGCCCGGATCCTGGGGGTCTGTCCACCGCCCCTGCTGGGCCCGGATCCTGGGGGTCTGTCCACCGCCCCTGCTGGGCCCGGATCCTGGGGGTCTGTCCACCGCCCCTGCTGGGCCCGGATCCTGGGGGTCTGTCCACCGCCCCTGCTGGGCACGGATCCTGGGGGTCTGTCCACCGCCCCTGCTGGGCCCGGATCCTGGGGGTCTGTCCACCGCCCCTGCTGGGCCCGGATCCTGGGGGTCTGTCCACCGCCCCTGCTGGGCCCGGATCCTGGGGGTCTGTCCACCGTCTCTGCTGGGCCCGGATCCTGGGGGTCTGTCCACCGCCCCTGCTGGGCCCGGATCCTGGGGGTCTGTCCACCGTCTCTGCTGGGCCCGGATCCTGGGGGTCTGTCCACCGTCTCTGCTGGGCCCGAGCCGGGAGGAGGGTCCTGGAGGTCCTGTCCCTGTAGTGGCCCCAAGGCACAGGCCAGCCATGTCTCCAGTAAACATTTGCCAAACAAATGGGTGAATAGCATCGCCACGATGGCCCCGAAACAGTGCTCTTTCAGCAGGCCCGAGGAGAGGGGGCCTCAGGGGCCACAGAGCCACCCTCCTCCATTGCAGACAAGGACAGCAGGGCCTGGGGAGGGAAGCGGACAGCTTGGGTCCTAGGAAGGGGCAGTGACGGGTCTCCTGACATCAGGCCAGCCCCAGGTATTGGGGGTTCGCTCTCCGGCACCCCTGCCCAGCCCAGGTGGGGGCAGAGCCTCTCCTGCCAGCTGGGTTGGGGGATGAGGCACTGAGTTTACACTATGCCTGTCTCCATGCTAGGACACAAATCCAGAGCTGGTCAATCAGGGCTTGAATCCTGGTGCCAACCCTTCCCACTGTGTGACGCTGGACAAGCATCCAGACCTCTGTCTCTTCAGCAGCCCAGGGCACCACGGCTCTCGAGGGAGGGCTCAACAGATCACTATGTGCAAAGTGCCTACAGCACCCCACCATGTGTGCGAGGCAGGCGTCAGTCGCCCTCTCCCTCAGACGCTTCTGCAGGTCAGGAAGGGTCTCAACCAGGGGGGAGCTGGCCCAGACCTCAAAGTGCACCCCAGAGCCCTGACCCCACCACAGCCTGGCTTGGCCAGAAGCCCCACCCCATCCCCACATCCTATCACATTTGGGGGCTGGGGAAACATAGGCCTGAAAAGTACCTGGGATGGGTCCTAACACCTGCCCTGTGGACGGACGCAGACCCCACCCTGGGTGGGGCAGGGGCAGGGAGCCCGGGGCCTTCTGGCTGCTTAGCTCTGCACCATCGGTAAGTAAACAGGAGCCTCTCCTGGTCAACAGAACCTTCTGCTTCCCTCTGCAGCAGCCTCGCTGCAGCCCTCCAGGATGGGAGACCAGGATGCTGCAGATTCGGGCTCAAGCTGGAGGAGGGGCCCAGGTGGTATCGACCAGCCCCTCTCCGCCCTGAGTCGTGGCGCCTCATGCTGGGAGGCTTTGGCCCTCCATCCCCCCAGGTGGGGGCCCCACCAGGGACCCGGGGCTTCCCAGAGCCAGGCCTGAATCCAAGGCTGCCCCACAGTGGCCTCCAGGATAACAGGCTTGGAGGACCTACAGGGAGGTGGTTTAAAAAGGGGAGGGCTGCAATCCGAGCTCCAATGCTGAGGAGGCCACTGGGTAGCTGTGCAGCTTGAAGACTTACCCTGGGAGCCTCAGGAAAGGGAGGGGACGGCGTAACAATAAAACAATCCCAGGAGCAGGACTGTCTGCGAGCTCCCAGGAGGGACCTGACTGATTCGTGCATCACGGGTTAGCCCAGTGGGAGGGCCCTGGAGGGCCACCATCGCCAGTTTCCAGAGAGGGACACTGAGGCACCGGGGAGTAGCCCGATTCCTCAGGGAGCACATGGAACCGGCTGACCTCCAGGCCTGCCGCAGGCGGGGTGCTCAGTTGATACTAGCTGATTCCCGGGGCATCCTGCCCCTCCACGGCACCAGCTGATACCCAGGTCATCCTGGCCATCTATGGCACCAGCTGATACCCGGGGTGTCCTGGCCCTTCCATGGCACCAGCTGATACCCAGGACATCCTGGCCATCTATGCCACCAGCTGATACCCGGGGCATCCTGGTCATCTATGCCACCAGCTGATACCTGGGGCATCCTGGCCCTCTATGGCACCAGCTGATTCCCGGGGCGTCCTGGCCCCTCCACGGCACCAGCCGATTCCCGGGGCGTCCTGGTCCCTCCACGGCACCAGCTGATTCCCGGGGATCCTGGCCCTCTATGGCACCAGCTGATTCCCGGGGCATCCTGGCCCCTCCACGGCACCAGCTGATTCCCGGGGATCCTGGCCCTCTATGGCACCGGCTGATTCCCGGGGCATCCTGGCCCCTCCACGGCACCAGCTGATTCCCGGGGATCCTGGCCCTCTATGGCACCGGCTGATTCCCGGGGCATCCTGGCCCCTCCACGGCACCAGCTGATTCCCGGGGCATCCTGGCCCCTCCATGGCACTAGCTGATTCCTGGGGCATCCTGGCCCCTCCACAGCAAGTCCTCCTGTCTCCTCGTGCAGGGGATCGAGTGCGATTCAGGGAAGAAAACGACTCTTCCAGGCTGCGCAGCATTTAGAGGTTGAATGTGACCCAGGGTTCTCCTGCCTCCCACTCCAGGCTCAGGCTCCCGAGGAGTGGATTATTGACTTAATTATTCCAATTATTGGAAGTACAAAGGTAGGAAAGGGGAGGAGACAGGTGTAGGGACCGAGCTGGAGCCAGGCGTCTGGGGACCCAGGCTCTTCCAACCCAGAGAACGGGATTGGGAGATGGGGGCCCTCCAAAACCAGCTTCACCACCTCCCAGTGGGATGGTCTCGGGGGTCACCTCGCCTCTCCGAGCCTCCGTTTCCTCATCTGTAAAGCAGGGAGAGTTTCAGCCCCCCGAGTTCATGATACTCTTGGCTCATGTCCCAGCAGGCGCCAGTTTCTATTTACACAGGGACTTGGAAGAGGACAGACAGAGGTGGAGTGTGGATGGGCAACTTGGGCCCAGGGCCCAGGGCTATGAATGAATGAATGAAGTGCATTTAGACCCCTCTATCCTATGCATCTTGGGAATCTGACACTCCCTACTCCCCAGCACTCCTCTGGTCCAGCGCCTCCTCCTTGCCCTCCCCGCAATTCCCAACAGTTTACTTCCCACAGGGAATGTTATCACCCCTGTGCTCAAGACCCCTGGCAGCTCTTCCTGGCACCAGGCCTCCCCCAAGCTCTGTGTCCTCACCCCGCTTCTGACCTCACCTCGGCCACACTGGCCACCCTTCTGCTCCCTGAACGTGCTGGCTGAACACACCACAGGGCCTTTGCACACGCCATCTCCTCTGCCCACGCCATCTCCTCTGCCCAGAGCTCTACTTTCTTCACCTGGATTTCCTGGGATTTCTAAGCTCCATGACGCACTCTTTTCCACAGTTGTTTGTTTTGAGATGGAGTCTCGCTCTGTCCTCCAAGCTGGAGTGCAGTGGTGCGATCTCAGCTCACTGTAACCTCCGCCTCCCGGGTTCAAGCGATTTTCCTGCCTCAGCCTCCCGAGTAGCTGGGACTATAGGCGTGCACCACCACGCCCAGCTAATTTTTGTATTTCCAGCAGACATGGGGTTTTGACATGTTGGCCAGGCTGGTCTTGAACTCCTGACCTCAGGTGATCTGCCCGCCTCAGCCTCCCAAAGTGCTGGGATTACAGGCGTGAGCCACCGCGCCCACTCCACAGTTGTGATTTTATGTTGAGTGGTGATTTGCGGATTAATGTCACTTGGCCATTAACTCCACAAGGGCAGATCTGTTTTGGTCATTACTGCATCTTGTTTGCCCACCAGAGCTCCTGACAGATAAAAGATACTCAAGCAGGTAAAAGATACTCAATGCAAGCATGCTGAAAGACGGTGGGTGGGTGGATGGATGGAGCAGTGAAGGGAATGAAAATGAACAGGCGATGGATGAGCGATAGACAGGTGGATGCATGGATGATGAATGGATGGACAGATGGAAAATGGATAGATGGAATAATGATGGAGGCTTAGGCCGATGGATGGGGGACCAGGTGGGTGAATGGATAGATGGATGGCTGGGTTACTGATGGGTGTAGATGGGGCGATGAATGGGTGACTGGATGGATGGATGACTGAAGGATGTGTACATGTGGAGATGGATGGATGGCTGGATATGCAGATGGATGGTTGGATGGATGAGTGGGTTACTGATGGATGTGTAGATGGGGGATGGGTAGGTGGATTACTTGATGTGTAAATGGGATGGATGTATGGTTGGATGTGTAGATGGATGGATGGGTGGATTACTGATGGATGTGTAGATAGGGGATGGATGAGTAGGTTACTGATGGATTTATAGATGGATGATGCATGATGGATGGATGGATGATGGATGGATGGTTACTGATAGATTTATAGATGGATGATGTATGATGGGTGGATGGATGGATGAGTGGGTTACTGATGGATGTGTAGATGGGGGATGGATGAATGGGTTACTGATGGATTTATAGATGGATGATGTATGATGGATGGATGGGTGAATGGATGATGGATGGATGGATGATGTATGATGGATGGATGGGTGAATGGATGATGGATGGATGGGTGAATGGATGATGGATGGGTGGGTGAATGGGTTACTGATAGGTTTATAGATGGATGATGGATGATGGGTGAATGGGTTACTGACAGACATGTAGACGGGAGGATGGATGGGTGGCTCTGCCTCCACATCTCGGAAATAAAAGACGTGTCATTGAAGCCCCTTTTGGGTTTGCCTTTGGAAGGCTCCAGTCCTAGTTAAGGACAAACCAGAGTGGCTTTTTCTCCCCACACACACCCTTACTAGACCTGTCCCCCAGGGCAGGGGGTAGGGCCTGCTGTCTGCAGAGAAAGCAGCCAGAGATCCTCGGCCCTTGACAGACATGGCCCTGCAGGGATGTGGAGAGGCTGGGAACCTCTCTCCTGGGAAGATGCTGTGTTTGTGGGAACCTCTCTCCTGGGAAGATGCTGTGTTTGTGGGAACCTCTCTCCTGGGAAGATGCTGTGTTTGTGGGAGGAGCTGGGGGGTCTCTTGGAGCCAGAAGCTCAGATGTAACATGACGGCAGGTCTAAGGAATGGAGCTGGGGTGCTTGAGCACGATGCTGGGCGTCGGGGAAGAGCAGGGGCATCGAGGGGGATGTCCTGGAGAGAAGCTAGGACAACAGGAAAGCCCGGCCCATCTAGGGCCATGCTGGGGGCATCTTGGAGAAGAAAACAACCAGCTCTTGTCTGATGTCCTGGGCTGTCTTGAAAGGCAGAGGTTTGGCATTCGGGTGATAAACTAGGGTGTCTCCAAGGAGGTGAGAGAAGTGTTTAGTGGAGAAGTTGAACTGTGTTTTATCCTGGATAAAACAGAGGTAACCAGAGAGATGCGGGGGCTGCTGGGCAGAGGGGTCACCCCACAATCTGCCAGGTTCGGGCACACGCACAGCCCCGCCTTCCTTCTCTCCAAGTCCAGGCCCTTAGGGAGGCCAAATGTGGTCCCTCTGAGCCCCCTCATCAGCTCTCCACCTGGGAGACTCGTCCCAGCCCCAGCCCCGCGAGGGCCCCCAGATATGCAGGTGGGCTTGTGCTCTTGTGGCCATTCCCAGGTTTAATTACAAACCGATCCGAACATCCCATCTGGGTCGACAGCTGGGAGGGCAGGACTGGGGGGAAGCTGCTGGGCGCAGCCCAGGCCAGGCAACCACGTCCTTCCCCTGCTCCCAGGTGGAGTAGGGGCCTCACGACTGCCTCGATATCCACTGTCTTGGAGCAGCCTGGCTACCCCGAGATCCCAGGTGACCTCAAGGCTGCCTGCACTTCAGCGCCAGCATGTATCCTGGCCTGAGAACCCCAAAGCACCTTAAGCGTCCCCCCTCAAAGACAACTGTGCACCCAGTCCTCAGGTGGGAAGAGGAAGCCCAGCCAGGCCCGGAATCCGCCTCCTCCCCAGGGTCCTGGGAGCCCTGACTCTCCGGGGCGTTAGACCGAACCAGCCAGGCGAGAGGGGGACCCAAGGGCCAGGGCTCCGAGGCAGCGGCTGCTTCTGGATATATTTTCTTTAAAGGCGAAATGGTTCCGTCTTTGGTATGAACACCCTCACTCCAGGCAAAGGAGGGGGTGGGCAGGGGCCCCGGCAGGAGGAGGCTCTGCCCAGCCCGGGGCCAGCTGGAGGAAGGACCATGCCAGAGGCTCATGCGGAGGAAGGAGAGGCAGCGGTGGTTCGGCCTGACCAGGATCCAGGAGGAGGGCTGAGAGCCCCAAGGCCATGACAGGCAGGAGCCGGGGCTGAGAACAGGCAGGAGCCAGGGCTGAGAACGGTCACCTGCGGGCAGAAAGAGAAGGCGAGGTCAGGGCTGAGACGGTGGCCGCAGACCTGGGCTCCGGTGTGAGCCACATGCTCTTCTGCCTTGGCATCATCTCTGCAAGTGCCACACCTCAGGTCCAGCCCAGAGCTCCTCAGGTCGCATGGCTGGGGCTCCGGTGCAGGTGTCCTGAGTCCTTGCTGTGGACCTAGGGCAGTGCCCTAACCTCTCTGCTGTCTCCTCGCGTGCAAGCAAGAATGCCGATCCCAGTGCCTGTCTCAGAACCGAAGGGTTGAGCACATTCCTGGGACAGGGCAACGGCCTCCTGAGCAGGAATCATTACTGCCTTCCAGGTTATTTCTGGGGTCACCAACGCCTTTCCGAGGGGACGCAGGCAGGGACCGGTGCGAACGGAACACAGGAGCCCGTGTGCCACAGGCCGCAGGCAGTTTCAGGTGCTTTACAGGAGCCCCTGCCATACCCGGAGCCCCCTCTGCCTGCAGCCCGAGGCCTGGCTGGGGGCTGGGTGGAGGCCGCGGCCGCATAGGGGAGGGGCCGCCCAGGAGAGAGGAGGCTGGAAGGAGACCGTTGTCATGGGGACAGGAGAGCGGCCTGACCTGGCCCAGAAGCGCAGCCCTTGGGAAATTCCACAGCCCCCTCCCCCTGCCGGCCCTCCCTCCTCCCCGGCTGCTCTCTCAGCCTTCACTCCCTCCAGCCCCACAGCTGCACCCTCTCCTGCCCCAACCTCACCCCAGAGGAGAGACCATGAGATCACCCAGACCTGCCTGTCCCTCCTCCGTCCACACCCTACCATGGGTCCCCCCGGGCCCCGCACCAAAAGTGGAGGCCTGGGGCTCCTTGGCCCGGCCTGAGGTATGGTCTTCTCACTGCCTGGGCTCACACGCCAGCCCCTGCCTGTCCCAGCCCACCGTCCTCTCCGGCAGTGCCCACCCCTCCTCTGGGAAGGAGGCCTGGACACCCAGCACGCCGCAGGGGTCCACAAAGACCAGGTGACGCCCACCACAGCCGACCGCAGTGTCACGGTCATGGCTGCACGCTGCCACCCTCGGGCACATATCCACCCACGGGCAGTGACGCGTGTCCACACACAACCTGCACACAAAGGCTCACGGCGGCCAAAAGGCGGAAGCAGCCCCAGCGTCCATCAGCGGATGAACACACAAAACGTGGTCCCCTCACACAGCGGGACATTATCCAGCCGAGAACAGGAGCCAGGCTCTGGCCCGGGCCACGGCGCAATGCCCCTGGAGGACGTCACGCTCAGTGAGAGACGCCAGACACAGAAGGACACACAGCGTGGAATCCCATTGCTATGAAATGTCCAGGACAGGCCCATCCACAGAGACAGGAGGCGGATGTGTGGGGTTGGAGCTGGGGAGGGGACAGGGAGTGACGGCTGGTGGGGACAGGGCTTCTTTCGGGGCTGACAGAATGTTCTGGAATTCGACAGAGATGGTTGCACGGCTCGGATGCTGAACACCCCTGAGTCGTGCCCTCTAGAGGGAAAGGCACGGCACGTGAACCGGGTCTCAATTTTCAAATCAGAAAAGAATCTGGCAAAGGAGGCAAGGCCAGCGACCCACGGCGGCAGCCACACACCTGGCTCAGGGCTCCCGTGAGACCACGCCACGCAGGTGCAGCTCACTCTCGGCGGCCACGATGGGCTGCCCGTTCTGCAGGTGGTGGTCGATCAGGTGGCTGATGCTCTCAAACAGCACGTCCTTCGTCCGTACCTGCGGGACAGAGACCTCGGCATCAGCTCCCGGGAGCCCGCCTGGACCCGTGGAGTAGGATATTGGCGTTCTGGGGTCCTGCCGGGGAGCCCCTAGGGTGCCTGCATGGACGAGGGGCCGGACCAGGGAATTCCGGGACACCAGCCAAAGGATCGGCCTCAGAATTCCAGAACCACCCATGGGCACGGGCTCTGAAACCCCCAGGGTTCTGGGGCCACGCTTCCTGTCGGGAGCTGAAAGGTGACCGCGGGAAGATGCGGCCAGGTCCCAGCCCTCAGAGCCTGTGAACGTGACCTCATTTGGAAAAAGGTCTTGGTAGATAAACAGGTCAAGGGTCCTGGGACGAATGCATCCAGGATGAGCCAGGGGGGCCCTAAGTCCACTAGCTGCTTTCCTGACAGGAAAAGGAAAACATGCAGATGGGCAGGAGAGAGCAGAGATTGGAGCCGTGTGTCCACGAGGCTGGCAGCACCCGGGAGCCCGGCCACCAGCGGGCGCCGGGAGGGGCCTGGGACCGAGGCTCCCTCAGAGCCTCCGGAAGGAACCAGCCCCGGCCACACCTTGAGTTCGGACTTCTGGCCTCCAGAGCTGTGAGAATGAACCTCTGCTGCTTTAAGCCACTTCGTGTGTGGTCATTTGGTTTGCAGCTCCAGGAAACACACCCCTGAAATCCTGGAGACACAGGCCTGAAAATCTGAATCGCCAAATCAAAATCCAGCTGCATTTTTGAACGAGACCCTCTTAGCGCTACCGAGCGCTGGAACTGGATGCAAAACCAAGAGACCCTGTGTCCCACGGCTGCCGAGCAGCTCCTGAGTGAGGCTGGGGGCCCTGTGCACATTTCACGTGGGAAGCAGGGGTAAATCCACGGCTGCCGAGCAGTTCCCGGGTGAGGCTGGGGGCCCTGTGCACACTTCACGTGCGGAACAGGGACAAATACACATTCCTAGGCCTGTGGCACAATCACGTCCTTCTGTGTGGCACTGGGAATGGGAGCTGGGAATCTGCCTTTTAACAAGGTACTGGTAGACGTTCTGAAGCTTCTCCAGGTGTAGTGGCTGCCGGTCTGACCCCAGCGATCCATTTAACAGAGAAAATCTGGCCTGGGAAAGAACTGAGGTATCACACACCAGGCTAGAGGCTAGGCAGTGGCGGGGACACCAGAAACAGTCTGAGGGGGCTCAGGAACTGGGAGAACAGGCAGCTCTCGCCCAAGCCCTGCCCCCTCCAGCTCTGTCCCAGGCCGGGGTGCACAAGAGCCCCCACCTGCCCGCCCGCCGCCGTGTGCTTCACGCAGAGACCAGGCTCACACCAGCCCAAGAGCCACCTGAGGATTCAGCTGGATGGCTGAAAACGCCTCCTACGCTCTGAGAGGCCTCCGAACCCTCTAGCACCTCCTCACCTGGGAAATAACCTGTGCAGCCCTCGGACGCTCAAAACGCTTCATAAACCCTAGAACTCCTTGTAAATTGGAAAATGCTTTGTAAACCTTTAAATGCTTTAGAAGCTGGAGATTACTAAATCTCATTGGCCCAGAGCAACTGTAAGATGCGCCATGATTTTAGGTACCAGGAGGAGAGAGAAGAGAAAAACCTCCCTGTAAAATAATGATGCACTTCAAATATGCAATTGATGGTTTTTAAACAAAATCCAGACTCTAGAGATATCAAAATTCAGGCGGGGAGAGTGTATATCTTAGAACTGAAGCAGTTAGGCCGGGCGCGGTGGCTCACGCCTGTAATCCCAGCACTTTGGGAGGCTGAGGTGGGTGGATCACAAGGTCAGGAGTTCGAGACCAACCTGGCCAACATGGTGATACCCCGTCTCTACTAAAAATACAAAAATTAGTCAGGCGTGGTGGTGGGCGCCTGTAGTCTCAGCTACTCGGGAGGCTGAGGCAGGAGAATCGCTTGAACCCGGGAAGTGGAGGTTACAGTGAGCTGAGATTGCGCCACTGCACTCCAGCCTGGGTGACAGAGCGAGACTCCATCAAGAAAGAAAGAAAGGAAAGGAAGAAAAGAAGAAAGAAAAGAGAGAGAGAGAAAAGAGTAAGAAAGAAGGGCCGGGCGCAGTGGCTCACGCCTGTAATCCCAGCACTTTGGGAGGCCGAGGCGGGTGGATCACGAGGTCAGAAGTTTGAGAACAGCCTGGCCAATATAGTGAAACCCCATCTCCACTAAAAAAATATGAAAAATTAGCCGGGCGTGGTGGTGGGAACCTGTAATCCTAGGTACTGGGGAAGCTGAGGCGGGAGAATCGCTTGAACGCGGGAGGCGGAGCTTGCAGTGAGCCGAGATTGCGCCATTGCATTCCAGCCGGGGCAACAGTGCGAGACTCCATCAAAAAAAAAAAAAAAAAAAGAAAAGAAAAGAAAAAGAGAGAAAAAAAGGAAAGGAGGGAGGGAGAGAGGGAGGAAGAAGGAATTGAAGCAATTCAGTAACTTGATCCCAAAATTCCTTGTAAATTGAGACATACTTTGTACACCCTCAAATAAATTAGAACCTGAAAATACCATATTTATCCCTCAGATACATCACCATTTGTAAGGTGCATAAGTCATGATAAATGGGGGGGGAGAGCATCTTATGATGGATGAAATCATAAGATTGAGATTACAACTGGGAGGCCAAGGCAGGAGGATCACTTGAGGCCAGGAGCTGGGGACCAGCCTGGGCAACGTGGCAAGGCCCCATCTCTACAAAACTTAGCTGGGGACGGTGGCTCACACCTGTAGTCCCAGCTACTCAGGAGGCTGAGACAGGAGGACCACTTGAGCCCAGGAGTTCGAGGCTGCAGAGAGCTACGACTGTGCCACTGCAGTCCAGCCCGGGTGACAGAGCCAGACTCTGTCTCAAAAATAAACTGGAAAATACTTTGTAATTCTACAGTAGCTGGTCAAAGGCAACATCTGGAACAATCTGGAAAAACTTCATAAACATGGAAAGCTCCTGCATGCCCCGAGACCCTCGAGACCCTTGAGACCCTCCCACCTGTGCCCAGCGAAGCCCCTGGATGCCCCGAGACCCTCCCACCTGTGCCCAGCGAAGCCCCTGGATGCCCCGAGACCCTCCCACCTGTGCACAGCTTACCACGCCCTCGGGGTCCACGAGCAGCAGGTGCTTGGGCTGCCCGGCGTGCATGCCGGTGAGGACATACTGCCCGGGGTTGGTGACGCTGTCTCGCACAAGGAAGTCCCCGTCAGCTCGAAGCATCCTCTCTGCCGCCCGGCGGCTCATCCGGCCGTGGTACCAGGGCTCCTGACGCAGCTGTTCCTCCGTGGGGGCCACAGGGGCCCGGCGGGTAGGGGGGCTGGGCCACTGGTCCTCCAAGGGAAGAGGGGCTGCTGTCACGCCTGCCGCCACTGAGCACTCATGCAACTTCAGGGCATCCTCAAAGGGTCCTGCAGGCCAGGGACAGGAGTGCTGGGCAGGCAGGGGGCAAGCAGCTACTCCTGCCGGGACCAGAGCTGGGAGAAACGGGTTCCCCGGGGAGTCCCTCGTGCACCCGTCGGCCTGCGCTGACCGAGCGCCCACAGCGTATCAGACTCGCACTCTGCCCAGCCCCGTGCGTGCGGTGGGCTCACATGTGTAGCAACCTGGACTCCCCAGGTTGGGTTTTCTAGGCACGTACTAAGCATGTACAAAGGGTAACAGCAGCTCTTTCTTTCAGAGGTTAACTCCTATTTCTTTTTCCTGCCTTGTCAGGTGGGCTTCCTTCCCAAAGCGTACGCCTCTCGTTTCCTTGTCTGGTCTTACTGCATTGGCCGCGGGGCCTCCAATGTGCCCTAAATACTCAAGACGACAGCCGGCACCCCTCTCTTGCCCCTAGCGTTAAAATGTTCTGCCCTGGGTTTTCTAACGGCTTCCAACAATGCCAACATCCGACAGGCCACTCTAAGGCTCTCCTCTGAGTGTCAGTCCCCTCATTGTCAAACAGGGGTGGGCGTGTCCCCAGGCAGAAAGCAGCATGGTTCAGACCCTGCAGTGCTGGAGCCCCAGCCCTGACGGAGATGCATCTACCCGTGGCTGGGGCGGCCTTGAATTCCTCCAGCTCCTGGTCCTGGGGGGTCCTCCCGCCCTGACCCTCACTCCCTGGTCTCCCGCCCCTCCAGCTCCTGGTCCTGGGGGGTCCTCCCGCCCTGACCCTCACTCCCTGGTCTCCCGCCCCTCCAGCTCCTGGTCCTGGGGGGTCCTCCCGCCCTGACCCTCACTCCCTGGTCTCCGGCCCCTCCAGCTCCTGGTCCTGGGGGGTCCTCCCGCCCTGACCCTCACTCCCTGGTCTCCCGCCCCTCCAGCTCCTGGTCCTGGGGGGTCCTCCCGCCCTGACCCTCACTCCCTGGTCTCCCGCCCCTCCAGCTCCTGGTCCTGGGGGGTCCTCCCGCCCTGACCCTCACTCCCTGGTCTCCCGCCCCTCCAGCTCCTGGTCCTGGGGGGTCCTCCCGCCCTGACCCTCGCTCCCTGGTCTCCCGCCCCTCCAGCTCCTGGTCCTGGGGGGTCCTCCCCCCCTGACCCTCACTCCCTGGTCTCCCGCCCCTCCAGCTCCTGGTCCTGGGGGGTCCTCCCGCCCTGACCCTCGCTCCCTGGTCTCCCGCCCCTCCAGCTCCTGGTCCTGGGGGGTCCTCCAGCCCTGACCCTGGGGGCTGAGCCAGCTCCAACTCCTAGCCTGGCCAGTCAGCATGTTCACCTCCCCCTCCCAGCCAGCGACTGGTTTGGGGACGAGCACGTGGCGAATCAGAGGCAGCCCCAGGACTCTTCGTGGAGGACGGACGAGAAGACACCCTTCCTCAACCGGGGCTGCCTGGCAGTCTGGTCACCCTGAGGGACAGCCTGCCTCAGAGGGAAGCTCAGAGCCCCAAGCCCCTCCTTTCCCATCTGAGGGCTGCTGTGAGGAGCCAAGAGGAGCAAGCTCTTCACGTAGTGCTTGGTACACAGCAGGCGCCCACTAGGTGCTAGATGGTGTCATTATTGTGAAGCTGAGGAGAAGCTGCTTTGTCAGGTGGTGGAGGAAAGGGAGAAATTTGCAGTTAGCTTGGGAGGCATCCTGAGCTCAGGCAAGGACCCTACCCGGCAGCTCAGAGCCAACACCTCTCCGTGCTGGAGAAGGGCAGAGTCGAGGCTGCAGGAAATCAGGAGAGAACTCTGGACACCTCAGCCAAGGAAGGACAAGCCTCCTCCGCCCGGCTGGGGGCTCCCTCGGGCTGGGTCATCCACGGGGAAGGAAGGAACGGGCTCACCGTCAGACTAGCCACTTTGTCCAGAGGTGGACTAAGCCTCCCTCATTGGACTGGGCGTTCCTTCAAGCAGGAAGCTGTGCCTCCCCCATCAGGCCGGGATTTCCGTAGGAAGAATCCTCAGACCCCGGAGTCACGTGAAGAGAAAACTCATCAGACTAGGGAGACCCAGAGTCAGCGTGCAAGACCAGCGGGCCAGGCAGTCGTCCCAGCAGGCCGGGATTCCCACAGAGAAAAGACGAGGCCTCCCCTCTCAGACTAAGGAGTCCCATGGGGCGAGGGTCTGGCTTCCCCTGTTGACTGGAGGGCCTCACAGACGGGGCCGCAGCCTCCCACCACACTGACCATTCTTTCAAGGAATGACGAACCTCCTCCCTTCAGACCGGGGGTTCCGACAGAGGCAGGTGGGTTACCCCCGAGAGAGTGGAGCTTCTCACAGAGCGGGGGCCAGCGGCATTCCCAACCAGACTGGGGGTTCAGCAGGGAGGCCCCGGGAGATGGGGTCCTGTAGGAGGGGCTGGGCCTCACCCATTACACTGCTCGGCCGCATTCGCTAGAGAGAATGGGCCTCCCCTGTCAGACTGGCCCCTTTTAAGGCAGAGTCCAGGACACCCCCATCAGACAAGGCCTCCGACAGGAGACAGACTGGGCTTCCCCGTCCCACCCGTCGACTTGAAGGATCTCACGGGGAGAAGGGAGCCTCCCCCATCAGACCAGGGAATCCCGTAGGGAGTGGGGGTGGGGTTGTGCCTCCCCCATCAGACAACACGGCCACACGCGATGACGGCCGCCCCCCAGGCTGCCACATACGCATGTCAAACAGATCCTTTTTGGGGCTGTCCTCCGGCTCGGGGGCGTCCAGACCCTGGGTGTTGACATACAGGTGCTCCTCGTGGTCCGGGGGGCCCCGGGCGTCCGCCTGCACGTAGCCGTCCCCCGGTGGAGCTGGGGAGTGTAAAGAGGGGCAGGGGGTCAGCTGGGAGCCAGGCGAGGGGCTCGCAGGGAGCAAGGCGGGGTCCCACGAGGAGCTCCCCCGGCCACCACCTGTGCTGCTGGCTGCAGGGCGGATGCTGCTCTGGTCTCCCTGTGGTAACCCGCCCGTCTGCAGGTGCCACAGGGAGCATCTTACAGCAGCAAAGCCCCGTCGGGGCTCCAACCAGGGACAAGAGTGGGGCAGCGTGCGGCTGGGGCTGTGGGCACCAGACGTCCACGCCCAGGGAGAAGGCAGCCGCTGCTCCACCCCACCCCGCCCTGGCCCTCCCCGGCCCAGGGTCCAGAGCTTCCCAGTGCGTGTATGTTCAGTCTCCACATTTAAAAATAATCACAGTAACTCTGCTTCCCTGTAATTATGCTATCAACATGACGCACGGAGGGTCACTTATTCTGACTCAGTTCTATTTCAGGATTTTCCTTCCTTTCTTTTTTTAATTGTATTTTGAACGTGTAAAGTGTTTACATGGGGCCGGGCGTGGTGGCTCACGCCTGTAATCCCAGCACTTTGGGAGGCCGAGGTGGGTGAATCATTTGAGGTCAGGAGTTCGAGACCAGCCTGGCCAACATGGTGAAACCCCGTCTCTACTAAAAATGCAAAAATTAGCTAGGCGTGGTGGTGGGCGCCTGCAATCCCAGCTATTTGGGAGGCTGAGGCATGAGAATCACTTGAATTCAGGACGCACAGATTGCAGTGAGCTGAGATTGTGCCATTGCAGTCCAGCCTGGGCAACAGAATGAGACTCAGTCTCCAAAAAAAAAAAAAAAAAACTATCCACATGGTTCAAACCGGAACAGCATCGCAGGTAACCTTGGGGCATCTCCCTCGGGAGCTGCCTGGACCCCATGTGTATTCTGCCAGGTCCTGACCAGACTGCCTCTGCCTTGGAACAGGGTCTGGCTGTGAATCCACATGAACGTGAGGCTGCACTAGCCCTTGCTGGGTGACGAGGGCAGAGGGGCTTCTCCCCCGCCTTCCCAGTCTACCAAGAGGGGCACAGATTCTCTCAGCTTCTTAGGGTCAGGATGGGTGAGAGGGAAGAAACGCAGTTCCAAGAGTCCGGGGAGGGAGGACGACAGTGCGAGAGGCAGAGTCCGGGGAGGGAGGACGACACCGAGAGGGGCAGAGTCCGGGGAGGGAGGACGACACCGAGAGGGGCAGAGTCCGGGGAGGGAGGACGACACCGAGAGAGGCAGAGTCCGGGGAGGGAGGACGACAGCACGAGAGGCAGAGTCCGGGGAGGGAGGACGACACCGAGAGAGGCAGAGTCCGGGGAGGGAGGACGACACCGAGAGGGGCAGAGTCCGGGGAGGGAGGACGACACCGAGAGGGGCAGAGTCCGGGGAGGGAGGACGACACCGAGAGGGGCAGAGTCCGGGGAGGGAGGACGACACCGAGAGGGGCAGAGTCCGGGGAGGGAGGACGACACCGAGAGGGGCAGAGTCCGGGGAGGGAGGACGACACCGAGAGGGGCAGAGTCCGGGGAGGGAGGACGACACCGAGAGGGGCAGAGTCCGGGGAGGGAGGACGACACCGAGAGGGGCAGAGTCCGGGGAGGGAGGACGACAGTGCGAGGGGCAGAGTCCGGGGAGGGAGGACGACAGTGCGAGACGCAGGCGGGTGGAGGAATCCCTGGACCCTGGACCCGCGCTATGGGCACATTTGTAGGAGTTCTTGGCCAGAGAATCGGGAAGGGCATGAGTGCAAGTGAGAACAGCCCGGGTGTGGGCACAGGGGCAGGGAACGCTGGCGAGCCCCCGGTCCGGGGTGAGCAGCCAGCATCCCAGAGGAACGTGCGCCAGGACCAGAGCACAGCTGGGCACCGGGTGGGCACTCGATGGCTCGAGTTTCTCTGACCAGCTCGAGGGCTCTGACGCTTGGCAGCGAAATGCCAGATTGTTTGGGAAGATCTAAAAAAAGCTCAACACAGATGTTAGCAAGGCTGTTAGGAAACAGGCAGCCGCAGGCGGGGCTGGTGGGCGAGCCGACTGCACAGCCGCCTCCAGGGTGGACTGGCACCGCCGGTAACGTGATTAAGGCCGGCGCTCCGTGACCCGGCAGTTCCCGGCTCAGCATGCACTGGAGAGAAGGGCTCGTGGGAACGAGGGGCGCCTGCCGCGGAGCTACCTGAGGGAGCGGGAAGGATCCTCAATGCCCATCAGGAATGGCTTGGGTAAGGGGGAATTGCACACGGCACAGGGAAGGGGAATTGCACACGGCACAGGGAAGGGGAATTGCGCACGGCACAGGGAAGGGGAATTGCGCACGGCACAGGGAAGGGGAATTGCGCACGGCACAGGGAAGGGGGAACTGCACACGGCGCAGGGAAGGGGAATTGCGCACGGCACAGGTAAGGGGACAGGGGACGGCGCACAGCACACGGAAGGGGGCGGCACAGGGAAGGGGGAACTGCACACGGCGCAGGGAAGGGGAATTGCGCACGGCACAGGGAAGGGGGAACTGCACACGGCGCAGGGAAGGGGAATTGCGCACGGCACAGGTAAGGGGACAGGGGACGGCGCACAGCACACGGAAGGGGGCGGCACAGGGAAGGGGGAACTGCACACGGCACAGGGAAGGGGGAACTGCACACGGCACAGAGAAGGGGGAACTGCACACGGCGCAGGGAAGGGGGAACTGCACACGGCACAGGAAAAGGGAGGCCACATGGCACAGGGGAGGGGACGGCACAGGGAAGAGAAATTGCACCCCGCACAGGGAAGGGAGGATCTCTTGAGCCCAGGGCTTTGAGATCAGCCTGGGAAACAGTGAGACCTCACCTCCACACAATTTAAAAATGTGCTGGGTGCAGTGACGCACGCCTGTGGTTCCAGCTACTCTGGAGTGTTAGGAGTGAGGACTGCTTGAGCCTGAGAGGTGGAGGCTTCCGTGAGCCATGATCACACCACTGCCCTCCAACCTGGGCGACAAAGCAAGACGTCTCAAAAACAAAAAGCCAAAGCTCGAAGTGCCCGGTGGGAATGTCGGTTGAGCGGGCAATTACTGATTCCTACTGAAATGGCCCGAGTGCCCCTCCCTGGGACGCGTTTGTTGAGTCCTGGCACACAGGCGGACCGTTTAAGGTCACCACACTGCTGTCTGTCATGGCAAAGGCCTGCAATCAACGCAGATGTCCAGGACCAGGGCGTGAGTGGAATAAATGATGTAACCATGAGGAAGTCTGGCGTGCACAGTGTGGGAAGAACCCCTGATGTTTGCCCCATGGACACAGCAAGGTGGAAGATGGATGGGTAGCACACCCTATCTGCAAAAACAAGGGCTATGACGCACGTTTGAACTGGCTTGAATATCCGTTGAAAAGCTAGGAAAATAACTCAGGAGCCACTGACAGCTAACAGTGGCTGCCTGATCAGGGAGGCAAAGAAAACAGATGCAGACAGGTATGAAAGAGATTGCTCATTGAACGGCTTTTTAAACTCCATGATGTTTTGAACCATGTGGACGAATGCAGTACCTATATCCAACATGCAGAGAAACCTAATACTGTGTGGATGACACAGTATCTACACCCAACGTGCACAGAAACCTAATACTGTGTGGATGACGCAGTACCTATACCCAACATGCACAGAAACCTCATACCGTGTGGATGACGCAGTACCTATATCCCAACATGCACGGAAACCTCATACCGTGTGGATGACGCAGTACCTATACCCAACGTGCACGGAAACCTAACACCGTGTGGATGACGCAGTACCTATATCCAACATGCAAAGAAACCTAATACCGTGTGGATGACGCAGTACCTATATCCCAACATGCACAGAAACCTCATACCGTGTGGATGATGCGGTACCTATACCCAACGTGCACGGAAACCTAACACTGTGTGGATGATGCAGTACCTATATCCAACATGCACAGAAACCTAACACCGTGTGGATGACGCAGTACCTATATCCAACATGCAGAGAAACCTAATACCGTGTGGATGACACAGTACCTATACCCAACATGCACGGAAACCTCATACCGTGTGGATGACGCAGTACCTATACCCAACATGCACGGAAACCTAACACCGTGTGGATGACGCAGTACCTATACCCAACACGCACGGAAACCTAACACCGTGTGGATGACGCAGTACCTATATCCAACATGCAGAGAAACCTAATACCGTGTGGATGACACAGTATCTACACCCAACGTGCACAGAAACCTAATACCGTGTGGATGACGCAGTACCTATACCCAACGTGCACGGAAACCTAACACCGTGTGGATGACGCAGTACCTATATCCAACGTGCACAGAAACCTAACACCGTGTGGATGACGCAGTACCTATACCCAACATGCAGAGAAACCTAATACCGTGTGGATGACACAGTACCTATACCCAACATGCACGGAAATCTCATACCGTGTGGATGACGCAGTACCTATACCCAACATGCACGGAAACCTAACACCGTGTGGATGACGCAGTACCTATACCCAACATGCTCGGAAACCTAACACCGTGTGGATGACGCAGTACCTATACCCAACATGCACGGAAACCTCATACCGTGTGGATGACACAGTACCTATACCCAACACGCACAGAAACCTAACACCGTGTGGATGACGCAGTACCTATATCCAACGTGCAGAGAAACCTAATACCGTGTGGATGACACAGTATCTACACCCAACGTGCACAGAAACCTAATACCATGTGGATGACGCAGTACCTATACCCAACATGCACGGAAACCTAACACCGTGTGGATGACGCAGTACCTATACCCCAACGTGCACGGAAACCTAATACCGTGTGGATGACGCAGTACCTATATCCCAACGTGCACGGAAACCTAATACCGTGTGGATGACGCAGTACCTATATCCCAACATGCACGGAAACCTGATACCGTGTGGATGACGCAGTACCTATACCCCAACGTGCACAGAAACCTAATACCGTGTGGATGACGCAGTATGTATATCCAACGTGCACGGAAACCTAATACCGTGTGGATGACGCAGTACCTATACCCCAACGTGCACAGAAACCTAATACCGTGTGGATGACGCGGCACCTATATCTCAACATGCACAGAGACCTAATACCGTGTGGAAGACGCAGTACCTATATCCAACATGCATGGACACCTAATACCATGTGGATGACACAGTACCTATACCCAACATGCACGGAAACCTAATACCGTGTGGATAATGTAGTACTTATACCCAACATGCAAGGAATCTAGTGTGTGCAGGAAAAACAGACACTGATGATGAAAATCTCAGCAGAGTGTTAGGAGCAAGACGATCTCATAGATTAATGTGAAATAAGCAGAGAGGAGAAAGACTGAGGGGGAGCCAGCACAGGACAGGGCTGAGGAGCCCCAGAATCCTCGTGGGTACCCCTTGCAGCCCCAGCCCATCCTACCTGTACCGGTGGACCCCACGTCCCATGGCAGGCTGCAGGCATCTCTTAGAGAAGGAGATGGGCCCTGGAAACAGAGCAGTGAGAGGTTCCCCGGTGTGTGCAAGCCCCTCTTCCTGGCTCTGGACCCCCAGTCTCCCCGCCCGGCCCTCTTAGATGGCTGGAGACTTAGGGGTGGGGAGCACAGCCCTGGCCCTCCCATTGCTCTCTCACTCTGTAACTAGGCCCCCTGGGTCTGCCGCCCACCTCTGCCGTGGCCTTCCCCGCCTTCTCTCCACCTCGGAAGGTGGTCAGCACATCCTGCCACCTTGCAATGGCTGTTCCCCCTGCCTGGATAACCTTCCCCGCTCTGCTCTCCCAGGCAGCTCCTATTCACCAGTCAGGGCTCTACCCAAATGCCGCTTCCTCAGGGAAGGCCTCCGGACCGCCCTACAGAGTGTATGTCCCCATGGACATCCTCACTGCCTCTCTGGTGGACTTACCAAGGCCCTGATTAAATCATTGCCGTATTTATTTAGTGTCTGAGGGTAGAAGTCATGTCTGAAATGCCACCTCGTCTAATGTGTCCAGAGGAGGCCGGGCAGATAGATGGCGCTTCATCGTGAGTGAGATCGTGAGTGAGAGTTAGAGGAGGCCGGGCAGATAGATGGCGCTTCATCGTGAGTGAGATCGTGAGTGAGAGATAGAGGAGGCCAGGCAGATAGATGGCACTTCATCGTGAGTGAGATCGTGAGTGAGAGTTAGAGGAGGCCGGGCAGATGGCGCTTCATCGTGAGTGAGATCGTGAGTGAGAGATAGAGGAGGCCGGGCAGATGGCGCTTCATCGTGAGTGAGATCGTGAGTGAGAGATAGAGGAGGCCGGGCAGATGGCGCTTCATCGTGAGTGAGATCGTGAGTGAGAGATAGAGGAGGCCGGGCAGATAGATGGCGCTTCATCGTGAGTGAGATCGTGAGTGAGAGATAGAGGAGGCGGGGCAGATAGATGGCGCTTCATCGTGAGTGAGATCGTGAGTGAGAGATAGAGGAGGCCGGGCAGATAGATAGCGCTTCATCGTGAGTGAGATCGTGAGTGAGAGTTAGAGGAGGCCGGGCAGATAGATGGCGCTTCATCGTGAGTGAGATCGTGAGTGAGAGTTAGAGGAGGCCGGGCAGATAGATGGCGCTTCATCGTGAGTGAGATCGTGAGTGAGAGTTAGAGGAGGCCGGGCAGATGGCGCTTCATCGTGAGTGAGATCGTGAGTGAGAGATAGAGGAGGCCAGGCAGATAGATGGCGCTTCATCGTGAGTGAGATCGTGAGTGAGAGATAGAGGAGGCGGGGCAGATAGATGGCGCTTCATCGTGAGTGAGATCGTGAGTGAGAGATAGAGGAGGCCGGGCAGATAGATGGCGCTTCATCGTGAGTGAGATCGTGAGTGAGAGATAGAGGAGGCCGGGCAGATAGATGGCGCTTCATCGTGAGTGAGATCGTGAGTGAGAGATAGAGGAGGCCGGGCAGATACATGGCGCTTCATCGTGAGTGAGATCGTGAGTGAGAGTTAGAGGAGGCCGGGCAGATAGATGGCGCTTCATCGTGAGTGAGATCGTGAGTGAGAGTTAGAGGAGGCCGGGCAGATAGATGGCGCTTCATCGTGAGTGAGATCGTGAGTGAGAGATAGAGGAGGCGGGGCAGATAGATGGCGCTTCATCGTGAGTGAGATCGTGAGTGAGAGTTAGAGGAGGCCGGGCAGATAGATGGCGCTTCATCGTGAGTGAGATCGTGAGTGAGAGATAGAGGAGGCCGGGCAGATAGATGGCGCTTCATCGTGAGTGAGATCGTGAGTGAGAGATAGAGGAGGCCGGGCAGATAGATGGCGCTTCATCGTGAGTGAGATCGTGAGTGAGAGATAGAGGAGGCCGGGCAGATAGATGGCGCTTCATCGTGAGTGAGATCGTGAGTGAGAGATAGAGGAGGCCGGGCAGATAGATGGCGCTTCATCGTGAGTGAGATCGTGAGTGAGAGATAGAGGAGGCCGGGCAGATAGATGGCGCTTCATCGTGAGTGAGATCGTGAGTGAGAGATAGAGGAGGCCGGGCAGATAGATGGCGCTTCATCGTGAGTGAGATCGTGAGTGAGAGATAGAGGAGGCCGGGCAGATAGATGGCGCTTCATCGTGAGTGAGATCGTGAGTGAGAGTTAGAGGAGGCCGGGCAGATAGATGGCGCTTCATCGTGAGTGAGATCGTGAGTGAGAGTTAGAGGAGGCCGGGCAGATGGCGCTTCATCGTGAGTGAGATCGTGAGTGAGAGATAGAGGAGGCCGGGCAGATAGATGGCGCTTCATCGTGAGTGAGATCGTGAGTGAGAGATAGAGGAGGCCAGGCAGATAGATGGCGCTTCATCGTGAGTGAGATCGTGAGTGAGAGATAGAGGAGGCGGGGCAGATAGATGGCGCTTCATCGTGAGTGAGATCGTGAGTGAGAGATAGAGGAGGCCGGGCAGATAGATGGCGCTTCATCGTGAGTGAGATCGTGAGTGAGAGATAGAGGAGGCAGGGCAGATAGATGGCGCTTCATCGTGAGTGAGATCGTGAGTGAGAGTTAGAGGAGGCCGGGCAGATAGATGGCGCTTCATCGTGAGTGAGATCGTGAGTGAGAGATAGAGGAGGCGGGGCAGATAGATGGCGCTTCATCGTGAGTGAGATCGTGAGTGAGAGTTAGAGGAGGCCGGGCAGATAGATGGCGCTTCATCGTGAGTGAGATCGTGAGTGAGAGTTAGAGGAGGCCGGGCAGATGGCGCTTCATCGTGAGTGAGATCGTGAGTGAGAGATAGAGGAGGCCGGGCAGATAGATGGCGCTTCATCGTGAGTGAGATCGTGAGTGAGAGTTAGAGGAGGCCGGGCAGATGGCGCTTCATCGTGAGTGAGATAGTGAGTGAGAGATAGAGGAGGCCGGGCAGATAGATGGCGCTTCATCGTGAGTGAGATAGTGAGTGAGAGATAGAGGAGGCCGGGCAGATAGATGGCGCTTCATCGTGAGTGAGATCGTGAGTGAGAGTTAGAGGAGGCCGGGCAGATAGATGGCGCTTCATCGTGAGTGAGATCGTGAGTGAGAGTTAGAGGAGGCCGGGCAGATAGATGGCGCTTCATCGTGAGTGAGATCGTGAGTGAGAGTTAGAGGAGGCGGGGCAGATAGATGGCGCTTCATCGTGAGTGAGATCGTGAGTGAGAGATAGAGGAGGCGGGGCAGATAGATGGCGCTTCATCGTGAGTGAGATCGTGAGTGAGAGATAGAGGAGGCCGGGCAGATAGATGGCGCTTCATCGTGAGTGAGATCGTGAGTGAGAGATAGAGGAGGCCGGGCAGATAGATGGCGCTTCATCGTGAGTGAGATCGTGAGTGAGAGTTAGAGGAGGCCGGGCAGATAGATGGCGCTTCATCGTGAGTGAGATCGTGAGTGAGAGTTAGAGGAGGCCGGGCAGATGGCGCTTCATCGTGAGTGAGATAGTGAGTGAGAGATAGAGGAGGCCGGGCAGATACACGGCGCCCCATTGTGAGCCTGTGATTGAGTGAGTGAGTGAGATCCTGAGTGAGATCATGAGTGAGTGAGATCATGAGTGAGATCATGAGTGAGTGAGATCATGAGTGAGTGAGATCGTGACTGAGATCATGAGTCTGTGAGTGAGATCATGAGTGAGTGAGATCATGAGATCGTGAGTGAGATGATGAGTCTGAGTGAGATCGTGAGTCTGTGAGTGAGATAGTGAGTGAGACTGAGTGAGATCATGAGTCTGTGAGATAGTGAGCAAGTGAGTGAGATCGTGAGTCTGTGAGTGAGTGAAATCATGAGTGAGATCGTGAGCCTGTGAGATTGTGAGTGAGATTGTGAGTCTGTGAGTAAGTGAAATCATGAGTGAGTGAGTGAGTGAGTCTGAGTGAGAGACCCTCCTCTAGGATCGAGGAGAACAGGAGCAGAAAGAAGAGCTGGAGGTAGGTCCAGGGAACCAGCAGCTGGGGCATCCCTGTCCCCATCCCCCCGAGGGCAGAGGCTGACCTGGTCGAGGGCCGTGAGGGCGCAGGGCTGTGTCAGGGCCAGCCTGGAGTCCACTAGCCCGCCCAGCGGCGGCTCCTTCCCCGGGATGCTGTTGTAGTAATTGTGCTCCAAAGAGTCCTCCTCGTCCCCCCAGGCCGACTCCTCCGGCCCTGCCAGCCTGGGGGACAGACAACAACGGCCATGGCACAGGCAGGGCCCAAGGGGGCTAAAGCCTTACGGCTTGAGCTTCTGGGGGAGCAGGAAATATCTGAGTTCGAATCCCAGCCCCCCACCTGTCACTGAGGGTTCCTACCGGGAAACGCTTCTAGAGCCAGTGACCAGGCCCACTACTTCCTCATCTATAAAATGGAATGTTGCACACATTTCCGAGCTGTAGCACAAAAGGCAGGTCGTTGGCAAACCCAGTCTCCACTCCTTTCTGCCCACCTCCGGCCCCGCCCGGCAGCAGAGGGCATGAGCCAAGTTTATACCCAGAACCAGGACATCACCGGTCAGGGTGGCAACTCTCTGGGATCAAAGCGCCCCCGCCCTCTGGCCCCGATGGCACTGGCAGGAATTGATCCTGCAGGTGCTCCTCAGCAAGCACGGCCCCGAGAGCCAGAGGGGTGCACCCCACCTGGCCCACAGTCGCTGCTGGGATAAATTATGAAGCAGCCTACGGAAGGCAGAGGCAGCTCTGGAGGCAGGCGAGGAGCCCGTCTCAGCTTCGGAGCGTGCTGAGCAACGTGCATCAAGCACGCTGTCCCCGTGCACAAAGGGGTGAGTGTGAGCAGGCGTGCGATGCCGCCTCCCTCGTGACCAGCAGGCTGGGAGCTCATGCACCTGCACCTGCCCTCCCACCATTGGAGGAAGCTGACTTTCTAATGATGAATAGAGACTTAAATAGCTCCTTCTCCAAGGCCAGCTGGCAAACCCCAGCCCAGGGCCAAATCCAGCTCACCGCCTAGATCTGTGTGGCCCACGAGCTAAGAATGGGCTTTCAATCTTTAAATTATCAAAGTTAAGTGTTTGAGAAAACATCTAGAGAATCATATTTTGCAACACGTGGCATTCACACTTCAATGTCTATAAAAAACGTGTTACCAGCACACAGACACGTCCCCCCCTTTACACATGTTCTGCGGTGAGACGGAGGCCGTTTTCTGCCCATTGCGGGAGCCGGCCGCGCGTCTGGAGGAGGGATATTGGTTGTAGCAGCAGGGCTGACAGCCTCAGGCACACCGGGGAGTCAGCTTGCTTAGTCCTCCCCAATCCTGGGGGGCAGGCGGGGATGCGTTTACTCGGGTGTTAACAGCCGAGGAAACAGGATCCTCTGGCTGAGCCATATTCTCACGGGACAGGGAGGGAGGGACAAGGGCAGGACGGAGGCTGAGGCCTGCAGGAGGTGGAGCAGGCTCTGCACCTGGGCAGGTCACTGGGGGTGTCCCCAGGGCACGGGGGAGGCAGCTCTGGTTACCTTTCTGGGGGCAGCGCCACCTTGGGCGGGCTGTGCAGGTACTGCTTGAAGCGCAGCTCGAAAGCTTGGCCCACGGTGCTGATGATGCTCTGTGCCAGGCCCTCACAGCACTCCAGGATGTGGCAGGCTGCGGGCACGTTGGTCATGCAGCCTCCGAGCCACACGGCCGTGCCCCCCAGCCACAGGACCCCCACCGGCCTCCCCGGGGGCCTCACCTCTCTGGTTGATGGGGTCCTTGGCGACGTAGGCCACGTAATCCGTCATGTCCTGGGGGCGGGGAGGGGCCAGCTGGACCTGCCTGGGCCCCCCACCGGGATTCCCAGCTGCCCACCCCAGCAATGCAGAGAGATGGGGCAGTGGATGTGGGCACAGGGTACGTTAGGCGGGCTCTGGGGAAGGATGAGAGGGTCTCGCGGCCGGAGGGGGGCGGCAGGGCTGCAGGTCCACCCCCATCCCTGGCCTCACCGTGTCTCCGCCTGACGCGAAGGAGATGGACGGCATGTGGTGGTTGGCGATGACCTGTGGCGGCAGGAGGCACACGCGGTCATGGGGGCCCCGCTTCGAGGGCAGGGGGCCCGGCAGATGGACCAGGACCACAGCGAAGAGTGGGGCAGGGGCAGGGATGTGGGGATGGAGACGTCTCCTGGACAGGCACCCACTGCAGCCGGGTCCTGGGTCAGCCTGGACGACCGAGGCTGGGATGTGGAGTCCCCAGCAAGGAAGGGACTAGGGCCCTAAGGGATGTGTGGGGTCCGCAGGAGGTCACACGGGAATGTGTGTGAGAGGACAAACCTCCCCCACTGTAACACTTCACACATGTACCTGCCCAGACGCTCACACACACACACCCCAAGCCCCACACACATGCACACACACACACACACCCGAAGCAGCCACGGGAGGGACGGCCCCACACTCCTGACTCCCTTGTCCACGTGCAAGGGCACCTGTGAGTGCATTTGCATGCTTATCTGCATGCTCATTTGTATGCTTGTTTGCCTACTGATCTGCATGCTCGTTTGCATGCTCATCTACTTGCTCGTTTGCGTGGTCATCTGCGTGCTCGTTTGCGAGCTCATCTGCGTGCTCGTTTGCGTGCTCGTCTGCGTGCTCGTCTGTGTGCTCATCTGCGTGCTCGTCTGTGTGCTCATCTGCATGCTCATCTGCGTGCTTGTTTGCATGCTCATCTGTGTGCTTGTTTGTGTGCTCGTCTGCGTGCTTGTTTGCATGCTCATTTGCATGGTCCTGCTTCATTTGCTTCCCGTCACTCAAATCCCTCTAGGCCCCAGTAAGCCCCCGATACCAGCCACGTCCTGAGTCCTCCCTACAGAACATCCACTTCTCAGCCCCCATAGGGACCCTCGAGGCTCTCCCCTTGCCAACCCCGGCCCAGCCAGGAGGGTCTGCTTGGAGCCTCAGTATCCTGTCCATATAGTGGTCAGGGGTCCATGCCTCGCAGGGTGGGGGCAGAGATGGAAATTGCGTGGAAATGGCCCTCAGTCACCCCCCCGCCAGCTCCATCCTTCTCTAGCCTCCTCCCTGGAGCCCCAGCTGCCCCTCACCGCCACCTGCTGCCACCACACCAGCTCAGAGATGCTGTCTCACCCCAAACTCCTCACGATGATCCATGCTAACTTCTCCGACAAGGCGATGCCTCCTCTTTCAGCCACACCTGAGATTCCCCTCCTCACCACCTCCCAGAGCCCTCCAGGAAGTCTCTTCTAGCACCCAGAGCCCAGCACATGCTCAGGACACCCCTCACCTGGCCTCACAATGCTTCCTAAAATCTGTTATTTCCTCTATTTCTGCAATTATAGTTTTTTGTTTTTTGGTTTTTTGAGACAGAGTCTCACTCTGTTGCCCAGGCTGGAGTGCAGTAGTGCAATCTTGGCTCACTGCAACCTCCACTCCCAGGTTCAAGCGATTCTCCTGCCTCAGCCTCCCAAGTAGCTGGGATTACAGGCGCCCACCACCACACCCGGCTAATCTTTGTATTTTTTGTAGAGTCAGCCATGTTGGCCAGGCTGGTCTCGAACTCCTGACCTCAAGTGATCTGCCCACCCCTCAGCCTCCCAAAGTGCTGGGGTTACAGGCGTGAGCCACTGAGCCCGGCCTCACAGTGCTGGGGTTACAGGCGTGAGCAACCAAGCCCGAGCCTGGTCTGCAATTATACTTTTGTTGTTTGTTTCCACTTGAGGACTGATAGCCAGGGTTTATCCCCGCCCCTCCCCAGGCACTGTGGATGTTGGGACGGACCACTCTCTGGGGTGGGGCGTCCTGGCCCCTGCAGGGTGCTGAGCAGCGTCCCTGCCCCCACCCACTCCATGCCAGGAGCGCCCCTGTATCAGGACGGCTCGCCCAGGTGGGAGCCCCTGAGCTGAGCCCCGTGAGGGCAGTGGCTGCACCCCCAGCTCCTGCTCAGCGGGGCCTCGGCTCGTCTTTCTGGATAAACGCCACCTGCTGCCCGCCCCCAGCACCCCACCTGGCTTTGCCTCCTAGGACTCCTGGCCCCTCTGGGGGTCTGGGGACGCCAGGCGAAGAGGGCAGACCCACCTGGCGCGTGGCAGGCACGGAGAGGCTGAGGCCATCAGTGGAGATGTGGATGGAGATGCTCATGCCGGCAAAGCGAAGGTTGCTCTTGCCCAGGACGGACGCCAGGGCCTTGTTGGGGGCCTGAGTTGGGGGCGGAGCACAGCGAGGGCGGCTGTGGGTGGGGGCTGTCGAGGGGCTCCCAGGATGGCCGCAGCGTCCCCACAGCCCCCGACTGCCCCACCAGCCCCACGAGAGACCACAAGCCTCACTCACCTTTTTCTTCCAGGATCCCCGGACGCCAGGCACGGCCTCATGGAGCCGGTTGATGGCTTCCCTGGGGTTGGGAGGAGGGGGCTTAGAGAGTGTGGTGGGGGTGGCCATGGAGGGAGCTGGGGAGGAAGGGGTCAGAGAGGGCGGGGGTCTGGGGAGGGGGCAGGAGCTCAGAGAAGGGCGAGAGAGAGGGGAGAGGAAGGCAGAGAGGGAGGGGTGGGAGAGGATCAGGGGGCCTAAAGTGGGCAGGGAGGGGGCTGGGGAACCTGGGGGAGGAGTGCCCCACAGGACAGGTGCAGCTTGGGCACCAGCCCACTCCACGTGCGTCCTTGCATCCGGCAGAGGCCCGGCCCCCAGCTCTGGCCCCTCTACCACCCTCTTTCCCAGGGACCAGTGTGTCCCTGGCCTCGGCCCACAAGGAAGGCTCGGCATCAGATGTGGGGGTTGGAGCAGCGAGCAGGAGGCCCTGAGCCTGACGCGGGGTCCGTGTCGAGATCCTGTCTGCAGCCTGAGTGGTGGCAGGAGCTGACCCCAAACAAGAGCGCCTCAGACCACTGGTCCCCAGGAGAGGTTAGAAGTCTACAGGGTCCTGAAGGGGCCCCGGAAATGTCGGCGTCACGTGGAGAAACCAGATCCCCCACCCAGGGCATGTGGGAATTTTCACAGCACGGCCACTGTGGAAAACAGCCTGGGGGCTCCTCAAAAGGTTAAAAATTGGCCAGATGCAGCGGCTCCTGCCTGTCATCCTAGCACTGTGGGCCTGACACAAACAAATGCATGCAGGCGCGGCGGCCCCCACCTGTCATCCCAACACTTGGGGAGGCTGAGACGGGCGGATCACCTGAGGTCAGGGGTTCGAGACCGGTCTGACCAACATGGAGAAACCCCGTCTCTACTAAAAACATAAAAACTAGCTGGGTGTGGTGGTGGGCGCCTGTAGTCCCAGCTACTGGGGAGGCTGAGGCAAGAGAAATGCTTGAACCCAGGAGACAGAGGTTGCAGTGAGCCGACACGGTGTCACTGCACTCCAGCCTGGGCAACAGAGTGAGACTCCATCTCAAAAAAAAAAAAAAAAAAGGAGCAAGGCTCTGACCCAGGCCACAGCGCGGACACACCTCGGGAACGCCATGCTCAGTGAGAGACGCCAGACACACGAGGCCACGCAGCGTGTGATCCCATTGCTATGAAATGTCCAGGACAGGCCGATCCACAGAGACAGGGAGGGGATGCGTGGGTGCCGGGGCTGGGGAGGGGACGGGGAGTGGCTGTGATGGGGACGGGGTGTTTTGATGGGGTAATGAGAATGTTCGGAACTAGACAGTGGTGATCGTGTGACTCTGTGAAGAGCCTAAAGTCTCAAACTGTACATTATATCTCACATACGCACGTGTAAACTGTCTCACATGGTTTTTTTAAGTCTATACGAATGGAATCAACCAGTTTTCACAGAAAAAAAGGGTGTCGCTCTCTTCCCTGCTTAAGCCCTGGCCATATCCACAGCCCCTGTGATTGCTTTCCAGACACCGCATAGCATCCTGAGGTCACCGTGTGGAAAACAGAGCAGGGACACGGAGACGCCACTGGGCCCCGGTCCCAGAGGGAACCCGCCAGGCCCTGCACCCCACGCCGTGCGGGGACTTGCCCAGCACCCTGTGAGCGACCGGCGTGTTCTTTCCATCTTAGAGGATCGAGGTCTGCAGGGCACGGTGACCGACACCTGGCGTGGGGACAGGGCGGAGACGTGGCGTGAAGTGGGAGGGAGGTGGGGGGCACCGAGGCTGCGTCCTGGGACCCCAGCGCGGCTGTCGGAGAGCCCATCGCTGCCGCCCTCCAGTGCTGCCGCCCTCCAGTGCGTCACTCAGCCCTACGCGGCCAGGGCAGGGTTGGAGGCTCACCTGGTCACCTGCGTGCGCGTGTTAAAGTCCAGGGAGCGCATAGAGCGGAGAACCTCGATGCAGCCCATGTACTGAGGGGAGAGAACAGGTGTCAGATGCCATCGGAACCCCCGCAGTGGAGCCACGTCCCTTTTCCCAGCAGCCCTTCGCCGCCTCCACCACCCCTGGGGTCGAGCCCTTTCCTCTGTCCCTGGTGGCTCTGGGGCCGTCGTGCCTCCCCCACCTCAAGGCCCAGCCTTGACACTGTCCTGCGAGCCGCCCCCTCTGACTCCAGGCATGTTTTTCTGTGTTGCTGTTTCTCAGGAGCCTGGTGGTTCCCCCAGACGCTCTATGCTGCTTGTTCATTTAACCGTCTTGCCCTCGTCGGTCTCTTTCTGTTCCACCAGCACCGAAGCCGAGGAGCGTGGGGATGGTGCGATCCTGAGCACTTCCCTATCTCCAGCGCCCAGTTCAGGGTCTGGCAAACAGTGGGGCAGACGTCCAGGGCAGCCACAGATGCACACACTGCTGGCCTCGCCCTCCACAGGAAGTTTGCGGGCTTCTGGCCCAGACAGCTGTTTCCATGAAAAGGGAATTCACCATCTCAATGACTGATAATACTGAGGGACGAGAGGGGCAGAGGCGTCCCACCGAGTCCCTGACCTGCTTCAGTGCCGTAAAGGGTGGGGGAACAGGGCCAGGAGGCGAAGGCCACAGCGTCCTTCCAACGTTGGCCCTTGCTGGAGGGAGGGTAAGGGGCACAGCCCACGTCATCTCTATGAAATGTCCTACAGAGGCAGCAAGAGCATGTGTGGGTGCCAGGAGCCGGGGAATGAAGGCTGACACGAACAGGTTTCCTACTGGGGTCATGAGAAATTCTGGAATTAGACAGAAGGGGTGGTGGCACGATATTATGAATGTACGAAATGCTACTGAACTGTGAAAAATGCAACATGCAAAATGATGAATAACGTTATGTGAAGTCCACCTCAGTTTCTTTAAATGATCAACACGCAAACACTTTGACCCTGCAGCTCCATTTTTAGGACTTTACCCCACAGATACATCAGCCTGAGGGCTTCTGAGGTGTGTACAGGTCACTGTGTGGGCCGGCCCAGGCTCTGCCCCTCTCCACGGCTCCATGTACCTGGAGCAGGGAGAGCAAGGAGCAGAGACAGATGTGAGAATGCAGGCAGGAAGCAGAGGCCACAGGACCTGGGCTGTGATGACGGGCAGGGGCTCATCCTGGGCCAGCTGGGGAGCCAGGGAGCACTTAAGCAGGGCATGGACTAAGCAGCCTCACCTCCTGTTGAATGGATGCATGATGGGTGGATGGACTGACAGAAAGATGGCAGGTGGATGGATGAATGAAAGAATGGATGGAAGATGAATAGATGGGTGGGTGAGTGGGTGAACGGATGGATGATGGGTGAGTGGATGATGGATGGATGGGTAGATGGATGGACAGGCAGATGGACAATGAATGGATGGGTGGGTGGATGGATGGAGGGTGGAAGGATGGATGGATGGGTGGGTGGGTAGATGAGTAGATGAGTGGATGGGTGGATGGATGGATGGACAGATGGATGGATGGGCGGGTGGATGGATGGATGGATGAATGGGTGGGTGGATGGGTGGGTGGATGGGTGGATGGATGGATGGACGGATGGATGGATGGATGGGTGGGTGGATGGATGGGTGGGTGGGTGGATGGGTGGGTGGGTGGACGGATGGCTGGATGGATGGGTGGGTGGATGGACGGGTGGGTGGGTGGGTGGATGAGTGAATGGGTGGATGGATGGATGGGTGGATGGATGGGTGGGTGGATGAGTGGATGGGTGGATGGGTGGGTGGACGGGTGGACGGATGGCTGGATGGATGGGTGGGTGGATGGACGGGTGGGTGGGTGGGTGGATGAGTGGATGGGTGGATGGATGGATGGATGGGTGGATGGATGGGTGGGTGGATGAGTGGATGGGTGGATGGGTGGGTGGATGGGTGGACGGGTGGACGGATGGATGGGTGGGTGGATAGATGAGTGGATGGGTGGGTGGATGAATGGATGGATGGACGGGTGGGTGGATGGGTGGATGGATGGGTGGGTGAATGGATGGATGGACGGGTGGGTGGATGGGTGGATGGATGGATGCATGGGTGGGTGGATGGATGGATGAATGGGTGGGTGGGTGGATGAATGGATGGATGGACGGGTGGGTGGATGAGTGGATGGGTGGGTGGATGGATGGAGGGTGGATGGATGGACAGATGGGTGGTTGGATGGGTGGACAGATGGGTAGATGGGTGGGTGGATGAATGGATGGATGGATGGGTGGGTAGATGAGTGCATGGGTGGATGGGTGGGTAGATGAGTGGATGGGTGAATGGATGGACAGATGGATAGTTGGATGGGTGGACAGATGGATGGATGGGTGGGTGGATGAATAGGTGCATGGATGGGTGGGTGGATGAGTGGATGGGTGGATGGATGGATGGGTGGATGGATGTGTAGGTGGATGGGTGGATGGACGGATGGATGGATGGGTGGGTGGATGAATGGATGGATGGACGGGTGAGTGGATGGGTGGGTGGATGGATGGACAGATGGATGGTTGGATGGGTGGACAGATGGGTGGATGAATGGATGGATGGATGGGTGGGTGGATGAGTGGATGGGTGGATGGATGGACAGATGGATGGATGGGTGGATGGATGTGTAGGTGGATGGGTGGATGGACGGGTGGGTGGATGAATGGATGGATGGACGGGTGAGTGGATGGGTGGGTGGATGGATGGACAGATGGATGGTTGGATGGGTGGACAGATGGGTGGATGAATGGATGGATGGATGGGTGGGTGGATGAATGGATGGATGGACGGGTGAGTGGATGGGTGGGTGGATGGATGGACGGATGGTTGGATGGGTGGACAGATGGGTGGATGGATGGATGGATGGGTGGGTGGATGAATAGGTGGATGGATGGGTGGGTGGATGAGTGCATGGGTGGATGGATGGACGGATGGATGGGTGGATGGATGTGTAGGTGGATGGGTGGGTGGATGGATGGATGGGTGGGTGGATGGATGGATGGATGGACGGGTGAATGGATGGGTGGGTGGATGGAGGGTGGATGGATGGACGGATGGTTGGATGGATGGACAGATGGATGGATGGGTGGATGGATGTGTAGGTGGATGGGTGGATGGACGGATGGATGGATGGGTGGGTGGATGGGTGGATGGATGGAGGGTGGATGGATGGACAGGTGGATGGTTGGATGGGTGGACAGATGGGTGGATTGGTGGGTGGATGAATGGATGGATGGATGGGTGGGTGGATGAGTAGATGGATGAATGGATGAACAGATGAATGGACTCTAGGCATGTAGTAGACAGGTCATACCTAAAGGAATTAGCCATGGTCCCTGTCCCTAGCACTGGATTCTCCCACTGAGGAGGCAGCTTTGGTGGGATGCTGGCTGCTCAATGGCTGTCTTCTCTCAGGCAGAGCATGTGCCTCTGGGATGATGTCTGTGCCAGTGTCTGGCGCTACAGGGCCATAGGGTGAGGGATTCTCATTCCCTTACCTGCCCCCTTATTAACACGTAGCCCACTCCGGTTGTGCGGCTGAAACCCTGAACTGTGTGGTCCATGGGTCCCGTTGTGGGGACACCAGCCTAGTGCACGGGGGAGGTGGGGGGCAAACCCTCTGTGGCCCACGGCAGCTCACGAGAGGAAATGCAATATCCTATTCGGTTGAGAACAGGGACTGCAAACTCAGATGCCTACAGCCTTCAGGATCAGCCAGGTAAACACACGAGGTAGGATGCAATGCAGTAACGATACCGACACCTCGCTAACTCAGGGCGCTTGTCACGTGTAAGTCTCTGCTGCGGACACGCTGTGCACAGCATCCTTTAATCCACTGCACGCAGATCCGGTAATGATACCAACACCTCGCTAACTCAGGGCGCTTGTCACGTGTGAGGCTCTGCTGTGGACACACTGTGCACGTGGTCTGTTAATCCACTCCACGCAAATCCACATGCCATGGGCAGCAATGGCCCCTCGGGAAACAGGCCCGGGTGGGAGGGTGACTGACCTCCTGGGCCACACGGCCCGCAGAGCTGGGTCCTGAACCCACACCCCTGGGCTCCAGGATCTGCACTGCTCCCCCTGCACGACGGGAAGAGGCGGGGACCTCAGCTCACTGCATGTCCCACGCTCCACGGCGCCCAGTGCTGCCGGCCATGTGCTTTTTTAAAAAAGAGACCAGAAATTCAGGGCTTTTCTGTGAAATTCTCCCAGTTTGTAAATATCGATCTAGGGCTGAATATCTGTGCCCCCCTCAAAATCCCTCTGTGGAAACCTATGCCCCACTGTGAGGGTATTTAAAGGTGGGCCTTTGGGAGGTGAGGAGGCTATGAGGGCTCCACCCTCAGGACTGGGATCAGTGCCCTTATAAAAGAGACCCCAGACAGAGCCCAGCCCTCCACCACGTGAGGACACAGGAGAACACGGCCCTCTGTAAAGAGGCCCTCGCCAGACACTGAATCTTCCGGCGCCTCGATCGTGGCCCTCCCAGCCTCCAGAACCGTGAGAAATAAATTTCTAGGCCTGGCACAGCAGCTCATGCCTGTAATCGCAGCACTTCAGGAGACCTAGGTGGGAGGCTGTCTCGAAGCCAGGAGTTCAAGACCAGCCTGGGCAATGTAATGAGGCCTCATCTCTACAAAAGAAAAATTTTTAATTAGCTGAGCATGGTGAGTGTGGGCCTGTGGTCCCAGCTACTCAGGAGGCTGAGGTGGGAGGATGGCTTGAGCCCAGGAGGTTGAGGCTGCAGTGATCTGTGATGGCACCACGGCACTCCAGCCTGGGCAACAGAGCACAACCATGTCTTAAAAAACACATTTTTGCCGGGCGCGGTGGCTCACGCCTGTAATCCCAGCACTTTGGGAGGCCGAGGTGAGTGGATCACTTGAGGTCAGGAGTTTGAGACTAGCCTGGCCAACATGGAGAAACCCCAACTCTACTGAAAATACAAAAATAAAAATAAAAATAAAAAAATTAGCTGGGCGTGGTGGTTGCATGCCTGTAATCCCAGCTACTTGGGAGGCTGAGGCAGGAGAATCATTTGAACCCAGGAGGCGGAGGCTGCAGAGAGCCAAGATCACGCCACTGCACTCGAGCCTGGGTGACAGAGGGAGAGTCTGTCTCAAAATAAAAAAAAAAAAAGACAAGCACAGAGGGAGATTTGAGAGACAGAGACACAGAAGGGAGGGGCCGTGTGCAGCCGAGGACACCAAGGCCGGCCCCCAGGCACCAGACACGGGAGAGAGGCCTGGGACAGAGCCTCCCTCAGAGCCTCCAGCAGAAACCAGCCCTGCCCACACCTTGGCTCGGACGTTGGGCCCCAGAACTGTGACAGAACAAGTCTATGTTTGTGTGTGTGTGTGTTTTGTTTTGTTTTTGGGGTTTTTGTTTGTTTGTTTGAGACGGAGTCTTGCTCTGTCGCCAGGCTGGAGTGCGGTGGTGCGATCACGACTCACTGCAACTTCCGCCTCCCGGGTTCACACCATTCTCCTGTCTCAGCCTCCTGAGTAGCTGGGATTACAGGCGCCCACTACCACGCCCGGCTAATTTTTGTATTTTTAGTAGAGACGGGGTTTCATCATATTGGCCTCGCTGGTCTCGATCTCTTGACCTTGTGATCCGCCTCGGTCTCCCAAAGTGCTGGGACTACAGGCGTGAGTCACCGCGCCCGGCTGTCTGTGTTGTTTTAAGCCCCACAGTTTGTGGTGGTTTGTGGTGGCAGCCCCGGGACCCTCCCACAGAAGATGGGGAGGAGCCCTGGCGGCTTCACATTCAACCTTCCCCTTTGCAAATTCAGAAACTGAGGCCCAGAGAGAAGGCATGACCCAGAACCCACCCCAGGACGTTAAGGGAAGGAGCCACTGTACAAGTCAGTAAACCGAAGCCCAGAGAGGGGATGGCACCTGGCCGGCCTCACGCACGCAGCAGGCCAGGGCAGATACAAGCCGAGGTCCCCATGTCTGCACTCCCAGCCTGGGAGACCGTCCGAGTCTCCGCCACCGCCCACGCCAGCCACCGGGACCCACCTCATAGGCTTTGCCATGGTCTGTATCGATGTCATTTACTTGGTATTTTCCTTCTAAATAAACTCCACTTACAAACATAATTGCGTTTACTTTTTAAAGGAAATTGCAGGAAACAACTAAAATATCTATCAACGGATGAACTGATAAATGCAGTGGGGTCCATCCGCACTCTGGAACGTGACCCAGACGTGAAAAGGAGCAAGTCTCCGATACGGGCCATGGCACGGACGCACCGTGAGGACGCCGGACAGGAAAGGCCACACAGCGTGTGATCCCATTTCTATGAAGTGGCCAAGACAGGCCGATCCACAGAGGCAGGAAGGGGACGCGTGGGCGCCGGGGATGGGGAGGGGGTGGAGGGGAGGGACGGCTGAGGGCAGGCGATAAGTTTCCATTTTGCCTGACGGGAGCGTCCTGGAACTAGACACGGGTGAGGGTTGCAGAACCGTGTGGCTGCACTAAATACACCGCCCTGCACAGTTTAAACAGTTGGGATTAGGGTATGCGAATTATATCTGCTTTTTCAAAAATTTGCATGAGAGCCGGGCACAATGGCTCAGGCCTGCAATCCCAGCACTTTGGGAGGCCGAGGCGGGCGGCTCACCTGAGGTCAGGAGCTCAGGACTAGCCTGACCAACATGGTGAAACCCCGTCTCTACTAAAAATACAAGATTAGCTGGGCATGTTGGCTTATGCCTGTAATCCCAGCTACTCGGGAGGCTGAGGCAGGAGAATCACTTGAACCTGGGAAGCGGAGGTTGCGGTGAGCCGAGATCGCACCACTGCACTCCAGCCTGGGTGACAAGAACAAAACTCCATCTAAAAAAAAAATTAAAAAATTATATGAGAAAAAGAGGAAACTTCACACTGCAACCATAACTCCCTGGTTTTCCATTAAAATAAATATATTAATAAAATGAAAAGTGTCCATTCACACAAGAACCCTAAGGTTTTGCTAAAACCAGTGCGTGAAGGTTTGCTGGGAGCTGGGAGCCAGGATGTCTGCACAGTGTCAACATCTGTCTCCCCAGATCACGTTCCAGGGAAGGAAGACCGGATGCCGGGGCCAGGGCTGGGGAGGCCGCAGGCAGCGCTTGGGCTGGAAACGTGCACGGCCTGGCCTGCGAGTGGCTCCCGGGGCGTGCACTGCGACGTCCCCATGCACCCGAGTCCCAATTCCACGAGTCCCCGCAGATCTTCCTCATTATAAGGGAAATAAACAGAGCTTTACGGGGGAGAAAAGTCACCTTCACCAAGTACATTCATTTCCCAGGGCTGCCGTGAGCAAAGGCCACACCTGGGGGCCACGGGAGCGGATCCTCTCCACGTCCCAGAGCCGGGAGTCTGAGGTCAAGCTGCGGGCAGGGCCTCGCTCCCTCTGAAGCCCCGGGGGAGGGTCCTTCCTGCCTCTTCCAGCTTCTGGGGGCTCCCGGCGTCCCGGGCTTGTGGCCGTGTTACTCCATCTCTGCCTCCTCCACACAGCTGTCTCCTTCTGTGCAGATTTCCCTCTTCTTAGAGGACACGAGCCATTGCATTTAGGCCCCACCCTATTTCAGTAACTCCAGTGTGGCCTCATCTTAACTAACCACGTCTGCAAAGGACCTTTTCCAAATAAGGACGTGAGTTTTGGGGAACACCGTTCGCCCCAGGACACTAGGTGATCAAAGTCTCCAGCACCAGTATCAGGACAAACCAGCACCCGGGGGCCTCCTGACACGAAGGGCTGGGAAAACACAGCACCCCTCTGTGCGTCCTGCCAAAAACACAACCTCGACTCAACTGCAGGCAAACACCAGGCAGACACAAACTGAGGGACGGCAGCCCAGCAGCCGGTGTGCACTCTTCAACACTACTGGCTCCATGGATCCCAGGACGGAACAACTGTGAGGCTAAAGGTGGTAAAAGAGACAGGACGGACGGGGCAAGTGGCTCACGCCTCTAATCCCAGCACTGTGGGAGGCCGAGGCAGACAGACGGCTTGAGTTCAGGAGTTCAAGACCAGCCTGGGCAACATGGTGAAACCCCGTCTCTACAAAAAAAAAAAAATACAAAAATACAAAAAGTAGCCAGGCATGGTGGTGCACACCTGTAGTCCCAGCTACTCGGGAGGCTGAGGCAGGAGAATCGCTTGAACGCAGGAGGTGGAGGTTGCCGTGAGCCGAGATGGTGCCACTGCACTCCAGCCTGGGCGACAGAGCCAGACTCTGTCTCTAAAAAATTAAAATAAATAAAATAAAAATTAGCTGGGCGTGGTGGCACACAGCTGTGGTCCCAGCAGCCTGGGAGGTCTCAGCAAGAGGCTGAGGTGCAAGGATCGCTTGAACCCAGGAGGCGGAGGTTGCAGTGAGCTGAGATGGCACCATTGCACTCCAGCCTGGATGATCCAGAGCGAGATCCTGTCTCAAAAAAAGAAAAAAAAAGGCAGGATGGCTAAATGCAATGTGGGATGGGAAAATAAAGGTTGCTCTGACACCGTTGGGAAAACTGGTCACATTTGAATACGCACTGAAAATGTGATCGCAGGATTGTAACGGTACATTTCCTGACTTTGTTAATCATACCATAGCTATGCTGGAGAAAATCCTTGTCCTTAGACTATATACCCTAGCGTGTTTGAGGGTAGAGGGGTATCACGGCTGCAGACTTTCTCAATTGTTCATCAATAATAACGACAGTAATAATAATAATTTATACAGTGGGAGCCTAAGGTAGGAGAATCGCTTGAACCCGGGAGGCGGAGGTTGCAATGAGCCGAGATTGCGCCATTGCACTCCAGCCTGGGCAACGAGAGCAAAACCGTGTCTCAATAATGATAATAATAATAATTTATACAGACAGAATAAATGAGGCAAGATGTTAATAATCGGCCAGTCTAGGTGAATGACACATGGGAACTCTTTGTACTAGTCTTCTTTGGAACTTTTCGTCTCAATAGAATTCCAAACTTACAAAAGCTCTACGTAGTCTACTGTTCTTGTTTCTTTGATCTAAGGTTGAAACTATTTAAAGGCAAATTTCTTTGACACCCTGCGCCACGCTGACCAGTGCCGCCCTCCACCCCTGGCCAGGAGGACGCCCCTCCCACTGGCCACAGCCCCCGTCAGTGCCCCTGGCCATGGCTTTCCACAGGGGCGAGGGGTGTGTGCTGCCCTGGGGGTGCCGCGGAAATGTGGGGCCCTGTTGGCCATCATCGCGAGGCTGGGCAGCCGGCGCTACAGGAGGGGGGGGACTCACAATGACACCGAACTGTCCCCAGGGCCTCGGAGCTTCCTCCAGGCATCTTGTGGGGAAAGCCTTCCATGACTGCCACACGCCTCCAACCTAACTCCACGTGGCCCATGACGCAAGAGAGTGGCGCGTTTTCGTGTGCTTGCTTTTTTATTGTGGTAAAACACACATAACATAAAATTTAGAGTTTTGACTGTCTTTAATCGCACGGTTCAGTGGCACTCAGCGCATTCCCGTGGCTGTGCAGCCACCACCACCGTCTCTCCAGAACGTCCTCATCTTCCCAAACTCAAACTGACCCCACAAAACACTTACTCCCCGTCCCCTCCCCAGCCCCATCCTACTTTCTGTCTCTGTGAATCTGATGGCTCTGGGGACCTCTGATGGGTGGAATTGCACAAAGCTTGTCCTTCTGTGTCTGGAGTCTCTCACCGAGTGAGACATCCTCAAGGTCCGTCCGTGCCGTGGCCTGGGTCAGAGCCTCGTTCCTTTTCTTGGCCGCGTCGTATTTCAGCGTGTGGATGGCCACACTGTGTTGATCCACTCATGCCTGGGTCACAGCCTCGTTTCTTTCCTTGGCCGCATCATATTGTCATATTTCAGCATGTGGATGGCCACGCCGTGGCCACGTCATATTTCAGTGTGTGGATGGCCACGCCATGGCTGTGCCGTATTTCAGCGTGTGGATGGCCACGCCGTGGCCACATCATATTTCAGCGTGTGGATGGCCATGCCGTGGCCATGTCATATTTCAGCGTGTGGATGGCCATACCATAGCCACGTCATATTTCAGTGTGTGGATGGCCACGCCATGGCTGTGCCGTATTTCAGCGTGTGGATGGCCACGCCGTGGCCACATCATATTTCAGCGTGTGGATGGCCACGCCGTGGCCACGTCGTATTTTAGCGTGTGGATGGCCATACCATAGCCACATCATATTTCAGTGTGTGGATGGCCACGCCATGGCTGTGCTGTATTTCAGCGTGTGGATGGCCATACCATAGCCACGTCATATTTCAGCGTGTGGATGGCCACGCCGTGGCCACGTCATATTTCAGTGTGTGGATGGCCACGCCGTGGCTGTGCTGTATTTCAGCATGTGGATGGCCACGCTGTGGCCACATCATATTTCAGCGTGTGGATGGCCACGCCGTGGCTGTGCCGTATTTCAGCGTGTGGATGGCCACGCCGTGGGCCACGTCGTATTTCAGCATGTGGATGGCCATGCTGTGTTGATCCACTCATCCATCAACAGACACCTGGACTGTTTCCACCTTTGGGCTGCTGGGAGTTATGCTGCTGTGGCCGTGAGTGTACAAACATCCCCTCAAGTCCCTGCTCTCCATTTCTGGGAGGTATATATCCAAGAAGTGAAATTGGTGGATCATAAGGTAATTCTCTTTAACTTTTTGGCATTTTTTGTTTGTTTTGAGACATAGTCTCACTCTGTCGCCCAGGCTGGAGTGCAGTGGCGTGATCTCGGCTCACTGCAACCTCCACCTCTTGGGTTCAAGCGATTCTCCTGCCTCAGCCTCCCGAGTAGCTGGGATTACAGTTGCCCGCCATCACACCCAGCCAATTTTTGTATTTTTAGTAGAGACGGGGTTTCACCATGTTGACAGGCTGGTGTCGAACTCCTGACCTCAGGTGATCAGCCCGCCTCTGCCTCCCAAAGTGCTGGGATTATAGGAATGAGCCTCCGTGCCTGGCAGCATCGTTTTTATACAAGTTGGACTAAAATAGTTGTTCACTATTTTAGAAGCCAAATCGTCCGTGTGACTCCAGCCGTGGTGTCGGAGCTGCAGAATGGCAGCCTGCATCTGCCCCGTCTGTGGCTGTCACAGGAATGGTGGCCTTTGTGGCGGCCTCTGTGCTTCCCGGAGAGTGGACCCTGCACATTTACAGGCTGAAACATATTTTGAGTTACTAGGAATCACCACCATTGCGTTTCTCCGTTTCACTGCGGTTGGGGCATCGTACTGACTTGGGGGGAATTCCTGCGTAGGTGTGCGTTTCTCCATTTCATTGAGGTTGGGGCATCGTACTGACTTGGGGGGAGTTCCTGCGTAGGTGTGCGTTTCTCCGTTTCATTGAGGTTGGGGCATCGTACTGACTTGGGGGGAGTTCCTGCGTAGGTGTGCGTTTCTCCGTTTCATTGAGGTTGGGGCATCGTACTGACTTGGGGGGAATTCCTGCGTAGGTGTGCGTTTCTCCGTTTCATTGAGGTTGGGGCATCGTACTGACTTGGGGGGAATTCCTGCATAGGTGTGCGTTTCTCCATTTCATTGAGGTTGGGGCATCGTACTGACTTGGGGGGAGTTCCTGCGTAGGTGTGCGTTTCTCCGTTTCATTGAGGTTGGGGCATCGTACTGACTTGGGGGGAATTCCTGCGTAGGTGTGCGTTTCTCCGTTTCACTGCGGTTGGGGCATCGTACTGACTTGGAGTTCCTGCGTAGGTGGGTGTTACAGGTACACTTGGGTTTCATTTCAGGAGTGAAGGATCACAGAATGCTTGCTATAAATAGTGGTAGTTGATCGGCAGGACGGCCACACGCAGCTGCAGCTGGTGGATCTCAGACCTGAGTGTGACTCAGAATCACCTGGAGGACTCACAAAACGCAGCTCTCCAAGCCCCCCAGAGTCTCTGACCCAGCAGGTCTGGGGTGGGGCTCGAGAATCAGCATTTGCAACAGGTTCCCAGATGCCGCTGGTCTTTAAGCCAGTTTGGTGGCCCCGTTCCCTTCCACAAGTGAAGGGTTTGCCATTTCCAGCCAATGGAGGAGGGAGAACGGCCGGAGTCTCTCACAAAGAGCTCCAGGAAGGGATGACCTCTGCTCCCAGTGGACGTGGCCGGGTCCCAGCGACGTCGGGTGCTGTGGCCACCATTTTGTGACCCTGAAGGTCGCCAAGCCAGCGTGCAGAGGACGGCGGCACAGAAAGATGGGAGAGACTGTGGTCACACCGTCCTGAAAACAGCCCAATGTTGTCTGGCCTTGGAAGCTGAGCAGGGTCGGGCCTGATTGGTACTTGGATGGGAGAAGGACAGAAAGAACCCAGATATGGGTTCTTTGTTCTCAGAAACAAAACCTGAGTTTTGTTTCTGAGGCAGGGTCTTGCTCTGTCACCCAGGCTGGAGGGCAGTGGCATGATCTTGGCTCACTGCGGCCTCGAATTCTCAGGCTCACGTGCTCCTCCTGCCTCAGTCTCCCACATAGCCGGGACCACAGGTGTGCACCACCCTGCCTGGCTAATGTTTTTTCTTTTTTGGTAGAGACAGGGTTTCACCAAGCTGCCCAGGCTGGTCTCAAACTCCTGGGCTCAAGTGATCCTGCCGCCTTGGTCTTCCAAAATGCTGGATTACAGGCGTGAGCCACCACGCCCGGCCAGAACCCAGATCTTTAGGGATGCTGTCGAGCCATGGGATTCATCCACCGTGTCAACTGGCCACACCTGACCCCTCGCCTTCAAGGAAAAGCTGCATTTGGAGCTGAACCATCTCCAGCACCCTCTCACAACTCCCCGCACCTCCCAGCTTAAGGGACCCGCGATGCAGGAAGGATGAAGTGTCATTTTGCCGACCGTGTCCCAGTTTGCGTCCATCCCCCACCGGGCCTGGGCTCCACGCACCTGGAGCAGAGCCAGACACGCACAGGAAACTCTCCCTGAAGTGCTCACGAGGTGAGGTGCGTGAGGGCACCGCAGAGAGCAGGACGGCCTGACTCACGGGACTTCTGTGTATGGACGAGCCCAGCGCCAAAATGGTACGTGTGGGAGAACACGGGGTCGGTGTCCACAGACCTTGGCACGAACTCTGGCCTCTCCAGGAGACAAGCTCTGTGTCTTTCTCAACAGAGACATCTTGCTCAGATCTACGCCTTCGGGTGAAGCCCAAAGATCAGGCGTCAAGATTCACCCAGACCGAGCTGTCCAGCACGGCAGCTGCTTGCTGCCTGTGACCACTTGAGAAAAGTCAGGTAAAATGAAGCTGGCACTGCAACAGCACAGGCCACACCTCGAGGCCCAGCCGCCCATGTGACTCACGGCAGCCACACTGGACGGTGCAGACACGGACGGTTCTGCTGGGCAGTGCCGGGCTGGGCTCATGAGACCCACGGCAAAGTCGGCGGGGGATTCTCAGGAAAAATGTCCCCATTCACAAAAGGAGCCCCACAGAGACAGGGGACCCTGTTCTGCCAAACCAGAGCCACTGCCTTTCAGCCAGGGGAGGAACTGACCCAGCAGAGGCCCCGGGAAGGCGGTCGGTCTCCCGTGGCTGCCCTAACAGATCCCCACAAACGGGGCTTAAGACAACAGAAATGGGCCGGACGCGACGGCGCACACCTGTCATCCCAGCACTTTGGGAGGCGCAGGCGGGCGGATCACCTGAGGTCAGGAGTTCAAGACCAGCCTGGCCAACAGGGTGAAACCCCATCTCTACTGAAAATACAAACAAAATTAGCTGAGCATGGTGGCGGGCGCCTGTAGTCCCAGCTACTCAGGAGGCTGAGGCAGGAGAATCGCTTGAACCCGGGAGGCGGAGGTTGCGGTGAGCCGAGATCGCGCCACGGCACTCCAGCCTCAGCAACAAGAGGGAAACTCTGTCTCAAAAAAAAAAAAAGACCATAGAAATGCTTCCTCACACAGGCCTGAGGGCCGGAAGCCCGTCCCCTCTGGAGGCAGCAGGGGAAGGCCCGTCCTGCCTCTCCCAGTGCTGGTGGTGGCCGGGGCTCCCTGACATCCTTGGCCCGTGGCCGCATCGCTCGTCTCTGCCCCTCTCATCCTGTCCCGCGTCCTTCTCTCTGTGCCCTCACTCAGCTTCTCATAAAGACGGCAGTCACCGGGTCAGGGTGACCTGAATCCAACGTGACCTTGTTTAATGACACCTGCAGAGAGCCTGTTCCACAGAAGGCCTCATTTTGGGGTTCCAGGTTGGCATGAATTTCGGTGAAATAACAATGACCTGGACCCATGACAAAGTCACTGAGCTGCTGAATTAACCAACCCCAGAGCCGCCGACCCCGGGTTCTTCTCGCAGGAGACAATCAAGGTCCCTTTGGCGCCCAGCAGCTCCGAGTCAGGTCTGTGGTGACAGCCCTAAAGGCATCGCGAGTGCCATGACCCAGGGAAGGGCTCTCGGGCAGCTCTTTGACCTGCTGTGCCTCAGCTGCCTCATCTATAAAATGGGTGGAAGCCGCAGGGTTGTGGGGAGAATGGAACCCAGGGCTCCTCGGAACTCAGCACCGCGCAGGACTCGGCGTGAGCCTCGGCGCCGGAGGTACTGCATTTGCACCGATGCTGCCCACGGCGCTCGGACGCGGGGCCCACGCCGCTGATTATCCGGCGTCCAACTTCTCTCCCACACACCGGGATCGCTGCAGGATTCTGGGGGGTTCTGCGATGCCGGCTGAGTCGCCCGGCCCATCCACTCCCTCTTGCTGCTATCACCAATCACCACAAATTGAGTGGCTCCAAACAACGCGAGCTAATCCGCTTATGTCTAGAGCTCAGAAGTCTAAAATCAAGGTGTGGGCAGAGTTGGTTCCCAATCTGCTCCGCCTTTCCCAGCGTCCTGAGGGGCCCACATCCCTTGGCTGGGGGCCCCTTCCTCCCGGTTAGCAGCCACAGCGCAGCCTCTTCCGGTCTCTCTCTGACTCTCACCCCCTGCTGCGAGGACACCGGGCCCCCAAATCATCCCATCTCAGGGTTGCTCACTCGGTCCCACCTGCAGGTCCCCTGTCGCCGTGTGAGGGGCACCTTCACAGAATCCGAGGGTGGATGTGGACACGGGGCCGTTGCTGTGCCCCACACAGGTGCGTGCGTGACGAGTGCCCTCAGAATGTTCTCTCCGGCTCCCGCAGGAGGACCCTCAGCCCCGGGTTCTGGTCCTGCTTTTCACTGCGTAACCTCAGACACAGCTCGGCCTCTCTGTGCCTCAGTTTCCCTCAGTGCACAGGGTCCCTCCAGTGTGGAAGAGCCCTGCGGGCCTGAGCCGCCGGCCGCAGCCCCCGGGTGATGGGGCTTGGCTATTCCCCTCCTTAACTCAAGCTTCCCTGTGACCAGGAGGGACCGGCTGTCCCTGTGCCTGCTGTGATGTAGGTGCTGGGAGACGGGGCTCCTGGGGGACAGCGCTGGGGGCTGAGGCCGGTCAGGCTCCCTGGGGGCCAGGGCCCCTGGTCCATCAGCAACTCCTCCGGGCTCCAACACAGGCTCATTGTCCACTTCTCCCCTCACCTAGGTCCCCTGGCCTGGGCCACCGCCGTCCCTCGCAGCCTCCTCCCGGGTCTCTGCTGCCCTTCCAGACCCTCCTCCTCCCTCAGCAACACTTCCACACGGCCCCTGGAAGGGCTTTCAAAACTGCACACTCTGCGCCACCCCCTACTTAAAACCACCCCCACTCCTCACCACAGCCCACAGAGAGAGTCCCGCTCCCTCTCCATCAGCTCCAGTCTCATGGCTCTCCTTGCCGTGACGCACACGCACCAGGTCCGCTCCCTGCGTGGGGCCTTTGCACCTGCTGTGCCCCCCCTAGAACTCTGTCTGCAAACTCCACCGCGTCAGGCCTTTGCACCTGCACCTGCTGTGCCCCGTCTAGAACTCTGTCTGCAATCCCCACCACGTGGGGCCTTTGCACCTGCTGTGCCCCTGCCTGGAACTCTGTCTGCAATCCCCACCACGTGGGGCCTTTGCACCTGCTGTGCCCCTGCCTAGAACTCTGTCTGTAAACCCACTGCGTGGGGCCTTTGCACCTGCTGTGCCCCGCCCCTAGAACTCTGTCTGTAAACTCCACAGTCAGGCCTTTGCACCTGCAGCTGCTGTGCCCCGCCTAGAACTCTGTCTGTAAACCCACCGCGTGGGGCCTTTGCACCTGCTGTGCCCCGCCTAGAACTCTGTCTGCAAACCCCACCACATCAGGCCTTTGCACCTGCACCTGCTGTGCCCCGACTAGAACTCTGTCTGCAAACCCCACCACATCAGGCCTTTGCACCAGCACCTGCTGTGCCCCGACTAGAACTCTGTCTGCAAACCCCACCACATCAGGCCTTTGCACCTGCACCTGCTGTGCCCCGACTAGAACTCTGTCTGCAAACCCCACCACATCAGGCCTTTGCACCTGCACCTGCTGTACCCCCCCTAGATCTCTGTCTGCAAACCCACCATATCAGGCCTTTGCACCTGCACCTGCTGTGCCCCGTCTAGAACTATGTCTGCAAACCCCACGGCCGGGGTTTCCATGGCTCAGGTCTCAGCTTCAAGGTCGCCTCCTGGGAGGGGCAGCCGCCCAGCCTCCTGCTCTAATATCACACGATTTTAGCTCTGCAGAGCCGCTACCAGAACCTATTTCCTCATCTGTTTGTCCTCTTCTGATTGACTGTCTCTCCTACTGGAATCCAAGCTCCTTGAGAGCAGGAACGAGGTCTCTCATTGTCTACTCATCATCTGTGCCGGGCAGGGGAAGCGTATGCTAAATATTTCCTGCAGTGACGGAAAGCAGCAGTTATCCCCCAACATCCGGAGCCCCAACAACCCTGGCGTCTGAATTCTGAACATTCTAAATCCCACATCCACGGCCAATGGCCACACCTGACTGGTCCCAATGGATGTGGTGTGAAGGAAGCGCACGCGTCCTCCGTGGAACACGCCGGCCGTCGGCGTTAAACTTGTAGGACAAACCGCCGGGAGACGGCGAGGGCGGCCCGATGCCACCAGGGAAAACAGACCCAACCAGGCCTGGCATCCGCACAGACCCGGGGGAGGCGGAAGTGGGTCCCGGGGAGGCGGAAGCGGGTCCTGGGGAGGCGGAAGCCGGTCCCGGGGAGGCAGAAGAGGGTCTTGGGGAGGCGGAAGTAGGTTCCGGGGAGGCGGAAGCGGGTCTTGGGGAGGCGGAAGCGGGTCTTGGGGAGGCGGAAGTGGGTCCCGGGGAGGCAGAAGCGGGTCTTGGGGAGGCGGAAGTGGGTTCCGGGGAGACGGAAGCGGGTTCCGGGGAGGCAGACGCATGTTCCGGGGGACGGGGAAGTGGGTTCCGGGGAGGCAGACGCGGGTTCCGGCGGAGGGGGAAGTGGGTTCCGGGGAGGCGGAAGCGGGTCTTGGGGAGGCGGAAGTGGGTCCCGGGGAGGCGGAAGCGGGTCTTGGGGAGGCGGAAGCGGGTTCCGGGGAGACAGAAGCGGGTTCCGGGGAGGCGGAAGCGGGTCCCGGGGAGGCGGAATCGGGTTCCGGGGAGGCGGAAGCGGGTCCTGGGGAGGCAGAAGCGGGTCTTGGGGAGGCGGAAGTGGGTTCCGGGGAGGCAGACGCATGTTCCGGGGGACGGGGAAGCAGGTTCCGGGGAGGCGGAAGCGGGTCCTGGGGAGGCGGATTCGGGTTCCGGGGAGGTGGAAGCGGGTCCTGGGGAGGCGGAAGCGGGTTCCGGGGGACGGGGAAGTGGGTTCCAGGGAGGCGGACGCGGGTTCCGGGGAGGCGGAAGCCGGTCTTGGGGAGGCGGAAGTGGGTTCCGGGGGAGGGGGAAGCGGGTTCCGGGGAGGCGGAAGCGGGTCTTGGGGAGGCGGAAGTGGGTTCCGGGGAGGCGGAAGCGGGTCCCGGGGAGGCGGAGGCGGGTTCCGGGGAGGCGGAAGCGGGTCCTGGGGAGGCGGAAGCGGGTCTTGGGGAGGCGGAAGAGGGTTCCGGGGAGGCGGAAGCGGGTCCTGGGGAGGCAGAAGCCGGTTGTACTGCGCAGGCCGAGCGCGCCTGGGGACCACACGTGGGGGAGTGAGGTTTCACAGCCAGCTTCTGGGGGCTCCCACAGGCTTTGGTGGGCCCGGGCTTGAGGCCCCCACCTCTGCCTGTCTCCTAACGGCCCGCTCCTCTGTGCATCTGAGTCTAAAGTTCCTTCTCCTTACAGAGACCCCTGATCCAGGTAGGCCTCATCTTGACTAGGTTACATCTGCAAGGACCCTGTTCCCAATATAAGGTAATAAGGTCAGACTCCTACGGCACAGGAATTGTAGGGGGACCCTTCTCAACTCGGTGTAGGGGGAAGGACCCCACTGAACCCAGCGTAGGGGGAAGGACCCCACTGAACCCAGCGTAGGGGGAAGGACCCCTCTCAACTCGGTGTAGGGGGAAGGACCCCACTGAAGCCAGCGTAGGGGGAAGGACCCCACTGAACCCAGCGTAGGGGGAAGGACCCCACTGAAGCCAGCGTAGGGGGAAGGACCCCACTGAAGCCAGCGTAGGGGGAAGGACCCCACTGAACCCAGCGTAGGGGGAAGGACCCCACTGAACCCAGCGTAGGGGGAAGGACCCCTCTCAACTCAGCGTAGGGGGAAGGACCCCACTGAACCCAGCGTAGGGGGAAGGACCCTTCTCAACTCAGTGTAGAGGGAAGGACCCTACTGAACTCAGCGTAGGGGGAAGGACCCCACTGAACTCAGCGTAGGGGGAAGGACCCCACTGAACTCAGTGTAAGGGGAAGGACCCTTCTCAACTCAGTGTAGAGGGAAGGACCCTACTGAACTCAGTGTCCAGAAAAGCAAAGACACAACCCAATGTGAACACAGGCTAATGTTCCTGGCCGCAGAGGCCGGGAGGAGCTGGGAGCACCCACCGGTAGTGGCGTGCGGGAGTGGCTGATCATTTTCCCAGACGCCGTAATGACTGCAGCTGTAGGACAGCTGCTCTCTCAGAAGACGGGGGACTATGCACGGCGCTGTCACCCCTGCAGGTGACTTCACACGGTTTACTATAAACCACAGAGAGGGGCAGACCCGTCAGCAGAGGGGAAGGTTACCCTCCTAGGTGGAGGCGTGCTGTGTCCAGGCGCCCGACTTCCCCGTGTGTTTGAAAAGGTTCATTTATCATAAGACCCAAGGTAAATAAACAAAGGCCGCTTCCTTGGCCGCCCTGGAAGTCCCTGCTGCCTCCCATCTGGAATCCTGGGGTCTGTCCGGGCGCCAGCCCCTTTCCAAACACCCCTTCCCGCACCCCCACCGCAGGCCAGCGTCTCGGGCCCCGTCTGTCATTCGTGAACAGCTGTCCGGGGGGCTCCGGTGGCAGAGACGCCCCGGCCGCTCGCCGCTCTCGGCCTCGCCCGCCCAGTCCGAGTGGGGGGCGGTGCACCTGCGCATGCGCGCCCCTCCCCCGCCGCCCTCTCCCCGCCCCTCCCCACGTGACGCCGTGGGAACCCGGACCCCAGCGCCTCCGGGTGGGGGCAGCCGCCGGCCGCCGGCCGGGGATGGGGGTCCGGGGTGGCGGGAGAGCAGGAAGGATGGGGAGGGGACACCTGGCTCGCGGGGTCCGGGGGTCCCGGAGGAGAGGGTGGGGGAGGGGAGGCCGCCGCGAACGGGCTCCCGGGGGGGGTGGGGGGGACTCACCCGCACGACGTAGGAGACCCCGGGCCCCAGGACCCTGGCGTCGGGGTGTAGCCAGCCGTGCGCGGGTTTGTGGATGAAGCTGCCCTTCCGGATCCACTCGGCGGCGGCGGCGGCGTCCCCGGACCCCGCCGCCCCCCGCCCGCCCCGCGACCCCCGCGACCCCGCGCCCCGACAGCGGCTGAGCGCGGGCAGGGGACAGGGCGCGGCGCAGCGGGGCTCGCAGGCGCCCAGGACGGCGGCCGCCAGCGCCGGGACGCCCCCCGGGCCCGCCGGCTCGGGTTGGGGGTCCGCGCCCCCCGAGGCCCCAGCCGCCCGCGCCGCCGCCGGGCCGCGGCCCAGGAAGCCGCCCGGGGCCGCGAACTTCCACTGCGGCATTCGGGGCAGCAACGCGCAGAAGGTGGTGGGCGCCTCGGGCTCGGGGGGCGCGGGGGGCGCCGGGGGCGCGCGCCCGCCCGGACCCTGCGTCATGGCCGCGGCCGCCCGACGGAGCCCGACCGGGCGCTGCGCCTGGCGCGGAGGAAGCCCTCCCGCTCCGCCCGCTCCCTCCCGCCCCCCGGCCCGGTGATGTCATCCGCCCGGCCCAGCGCGCAGCCGCGGGGGGCTGCGCCCCTGGGACCCCGGCCCTCCTCGTCCCGGAGCCTGGCCGCGAGGCTGGGGAAACTGAGGCCCTCCGAGGACACCGGGCGCTGGCCTGGAACCCGCAGCCAAGGCGGGACGGGGCTTTGAACCCAGAACCCCGTCAGCGACCCTCCCCGCTGCGCCCCCCACCCCCGCCCGCCGCCCAAGTTCGCAGAAGGACCGAGCTGGAGAAGCTTAGAAATTCCACATCCCTTCTTTCCCCTATTTCCTAGTGGGGAAACTGAGGCCCCGGGAGGCGCGGCCAGGGAAAAGAGAACCCCAGACCCTAAGGTCAGCCCCTCCCTCTCCGTTGTTGCAGCTAGAAGGTACCTTAGGGTCACCCCTATTTCTTAGTGGGGAAACTGAGGCGCGGGGAGGGGAAGGGGCGCGGCCGAGGGCTCACAGACGAAGCTCAAACCCAGGAGTGCCGGCTCGGGGGTGGGGGGGGGGGGCGGGGCTAGGAGCGGAGCCGGGCCCCTGCTCTGCGGCCTGTCCCGGCCTCAGTTTCTCCGGCTGTAACTCAGGGGAGCGGGCTGGAGGGTCGCGGCCCTTCTTCCCTCACTTCTGGGGAGCCCAGTCCCGCACCAGCTCATCTGAGCTCTGGGCCTCAGCCTCCCAGGCCGGTCGCTCCATCCCCAGCCTCAACCTCTCCGAGACCGGCCGCACCTTCCCTGGCCTCAAGGGTCGGTTCCTTCTGCACCAGAAAACGGGGTGTCACTGTCACCCCGGGACCCAGCCTCCTGGCCCGACTTGGCTGGAGCTCCCCTGCACCTGCCCCGCCCCAAGCAGGGCTGATTGCCGGGAACAAAGGGAGGGGCCGGGACGCGCTGGCAGGTGGGGAGGGAGGGAGGGGCGAGGCTGCCCGGAGCCCGATCGATAATTCAGGGGATGAGATCACAGCCGGCGCCGCCCGCGGGGCCGGGGAGGTGGGGGAGGGGAGCGAGGCGCGCGGTCGCGATCGGCCGTCTCTGCCGCGGCGCGTGTCGGACTCAGCCCCTGCGCGTCCGCGGGAGGAGCAGATCGTGGGCGCGATTGGTCGGGCTGGAGCCGCGGCTGGACCTGCGCGCGGTGTGTGTGTTGTGCGCAGGGTGTACGCTGTGTCTGGGTGCGTGTCCAGGCATATGCAGGGGATCCAGGCTGCTGGGTCCTGGGGTGTGTTCACCTAATGGGTAAAGGGTGGGACAGGTTTGGCGGCCCTAGGCTGAGGGCTGTGGGCTGAGGAGAGAGCAGCCCCACCACCCCCTCTCTGCGCCCTGCATGCCTCCCAGGCTGCATCCCTCAGGGAGGTCCCGGGGCAGTGTCGCACCCTCCCAAGCTCCGGGATTAGGGTCTTTCTGGATGGGAGGTTTGTAAGGTGGTCCAGGTGCCATCCCTCCCTGGCACACAGAGGGCTCAGTCACACGGCACCCCCGGTGTGTTTCCTTCCTGTCCCTTGGAGACAGTGGCAGGAACTCAGTCCAACATCCAGAGTTCAAATCCTGACATCAGACTGAGGTGGGGGCTCACAGCATGCCCCAGGACAAATGTCCAGTCTCTCCAAAGCACCATTTCCTCTCAGTAGATGCCCCTGGTCCTGAGTTGCTATGAAGCCTAGATGATCTTTATTAATATCCAAAACATAGCAAGCAGCTACTGATGGCAGATATTAGAATACCTCAAGCTCCTATACATCCTTCAAAACCCAGCTTCAATATTGCCTCTTCCAGGAAGCCTACCTGGCTGCCTGCTCAAAAGCTTGGCTCCACCTCCGGCCTCCCCTCGCCCTGGGTCTCTCTTCTGGTCTCTCAGACCCCCTGGCCACTGGAGGGCTACGGGTCTGGCTCTGGAGGGCGGCGTTCGGGTCTCTTTTCTGTGACATCAATAGACACGTTAAGGCCGGGCTCGGTGGCTCATGCCTGTAATCCCAGCACTTTGGGAGGCCAAGGCAGGAGGATCACAAGGTCAGAAGATCGAGACCATCCTGGCTAACATGGTGAAACCCCATCTCTACTAAAAATACAAAAAATTAGCCAGGCGTGGTGGCGGGCGCCTGTAGTCCCAGCTACTCGGGAGGCTGAGGCAGGAGAATGGCGTGAACCCGGGAGGCGGAGCTTGCAGTGAGCCGAGATCGCGCCACTGCACTTCAGTCTGGGCGGGAGTGCGAGACTCCGTCTCAAAAAAAAAAAAAAAAAAAAGACACATTAAATGAGTAAGCACATGTGATGCTGACAGCTCTCCAGCCCAGGAAAGGTTTATTGGCTAAGCAACTGTAGAAGGTGGAGTGGGAAAGGCACAGGCCTCGGGGCTGCCTCCAGCCTGAGTTTGGGCTGGGACCGGGGCTAACCCAAGCTGTGATGGGGATCCAGGCCCTAGTGGAGCTGGACGCCGAGTTCTGGGACACAGGAAGCTCCATCTCCAGCCAGCTACTGGGGAGGGCCGGAAGGTGTCCCTTTCCCCACCTGGCCTGGCCTGGCCTGGCGTGACCTGGAAGAAACTGGGGCACTGGAAGGAGACTCACCCTGCACCCTGCACAGGGCCATGGGTCACAGCCCCCAGGGACTGGAAGGATCAGGTGTCCTAGAAGGACCTGGACAGTTCAGGAAAGGGGAGGGAAGACTCCTTTCCCAGCCCCTCTCGCCTTCTAGCCCCTCCAGCCAAAGCCAGGCCCCAGGAGAGGCCCGCCAGCCCCCCGTTCACTGTGTGGGAAACAGGCCTGGCCTAGCAGCAGCGGCCGGGCAGCCTGTGCCCCGCAGGCCGGGAGGGCGTGGTGGCGGCCATGGTGCTGGCCCGTTTCGAGTGGCGGATGCCCATAGAGAACGCTGGAGCCCTGGCTTTGTTCACGGTGACCTGCTCTGGGCAGTGGGCGCCAGGGCCGGGGGTCTCCTCCAGGGGTCGCGGGGCCCGGGGCCGCCCCAGCATGGTGAAGGCAGGCAGGCGCTGGCGGTAGGTGTTTGCGTCCGGGCTGTCGTACTGGCCCGGGCCTGGTATCTCAGCAGGATCCTGCGGGGGGCGGGCGGGGGGGGTGCGGCCCACCACCGTGTAGCTGGGGCTGCTGGGCTTGGTGAAGATCTGTGAGCCCCACAGAGGGGGCATGGTGTAGGCATTAGGGGCAGGGGCTGAGGTGTCCAGGGGCTTCAGGGGGAGGCGGCAGCCCAGGGTGAAAGCCGGCGGTGTCCGATGGCGCACAGGGGGCACCTTCTCTGGGCTGTAGGCCCCAGGGCCTGGCGTCACCTCCGGACCTGAGAGAGTGGGGAAGGAAAGGTGGCACTGATGTCCTCACCTGCCCAGAGACCCGGCCTGGCTCCCCATGGCCCACATGCACCCTGGAGCTTACAACGCTTCTCAAGCAGCCTGGGTGCCTTTCTCTCCCTTCCCCATCCTCCATACACATGGTCTGTGTTTCAAGCCTCCAGGACTTTGCCCAAGCTGGACCCAGGGCCAAGCACGCCTTCATTTTCCACCCCTCCTCCCTGCTGCCTTCCCCAGCCCATCCAGGGTAGAGCCCTCACAGCCCTTCCAGAGCCCCACAGCCTGGGTTTTCCCCTCTCTCCAGACGTGAGCACACTGAGGTGGGATGGTCTGCACCTGCATCTAACTGCCCCACCAGACTGGGATCCCATAAAAAGGAAGGCATGTCAAATTTACTCCAACTCTCCAGCAGTTGACTGTCTGAGTTGATGGGTGAACAGGATAGGTAGGAGGTGAGTGGTTGAGCGGGGAGTGAATGGTTCATGAAGGGATTTGTAAATGGATGGATGAGTGGATGATGGATGGATGGATGGATGGATGGATGGATGGATGGATGGAACGGTTGATAGGTAGAAGGAAAAAAGGAAGGATTCATAGATGAGTGGGTAGGTGGGTGGCTGAATGGGTGGGAGGGTGGGCGGATGGATGGATGGATGAGTGAGTGGATGGGTGGATAGATGATGGATGGATGGATGGGTGGGTGGAAGGATGGATAGGTGGATGGGTGAGTGGGTGGATGGATGGATGGGTTGATGAGTGGATGGATGGATGGGTGGGTGGGTGGATGGCTGGGTGGGTAGATGCTAGGTGGGTCAATGGATGAGTGGATGGATGGGTGGATAGAATGTTGGGTGGATGGTGGAAGGAGGGGCGGGTGGATGGGTGGATGGATGGATGGATGGATGGATGATGAGTGGGTGGATGGGGGATGGATGGATGTGTAGATGGATGGATGGATGAGTGAGTGGATGGATGAATGGGTAGGTGGATGGGTGGATGGATGGGTATGTGGTTGGATGGGCGGGTGGATGGGTGTGTGGATTGATGGGTAGGTGAGTAGATGGTTGGATGGATGAGTGGGTGGGTGGATAGATGGGTGGGTGGGTGGATGGGTGAGTGGATGGGTGAATGGTTGGCTGGATGGGTGAGTGGATAGATGGGTAGGTGGGTGGATGGATAGATGGATGAGTGGATAGGTAGATGGGCAGGCAGGTGGGTGGGTGGATGGGTGCAGGTCGGTGTGTGGATGGGTGTGTGGATGGATGGGTGGGTGGAGGGATGAGTGGGTGGGTAGATGGATGGGCAGATAGATGGTTGTGTGGGTGGGTGGGTGGATAGATGAATGAGTGGGTAGGTGAAAGGATGGACAGATGGATGGGTAGGTGGATAGATGGGTGGGTGGGTGGATAGCTGGACAGATGGGTAGGTGGGTGGATGGATGAGTGGGTGGGTGGATGGTGGATGGATGTGTGGATAGATGGATGGATGGGTGGGTGGATGGGTGGGTGGATGGGCGGGTGGATGGATGGGTGGATAGATGGATGAGTGGATGGGTGGATGGTTGGGTGGGTGGATGCTAGGTGGGTGGATGGATGAGTGGATTGATGGATGGATAGATGGTTGGGTGGATGCTGGAAGGACGGGTGGATAGATGGATGGGTGGGTGGATGGGTGGGTGGATGGATGAGTAGATGGAAGGGTGGATAGATGGTTGGGTGCAGGGTGGATGTATGGGTGAATAGATGGGTGGGTGGGTGGATGGATGAGTGAATGGATGGGTGGATACATGGTTAGGTAGATGGTAGATGGATGGGTGGATAGATGGATGGGTGGGTGGGCGGGTGGGTGGATGGATGAGTGGATGGATGGGTGGATACATGGTTAGGTAGATGGTGGATGGATGGGTGGGTGGGTGGATGGATGAGTGGATGGATGGGTGGATAGATGGTTGGGTGGAGGGTGGATGGATGAGTGGATAGATGGGTGGGTGGGTGGGTGGGTGGATGGATGAGTGAATGGATGGGTGGATACAAGGTTAGGTAGATGGTGGATGGATGGGTGGATAGATGGCTGGATGGGTGGGTGGGTGGATGGATGAGTGAATGGATGGGTGGATACATGGTTAGGTAGATGGTGGATGGATGGGTGGATAGATGGATGAGTTGGTGGGTGGATGGTTGGGAGGGTGGATGCTAGGTGGGTGGATAGATGAGTGGATTGAAGGATGGATAGATGTTTGGGTGGATGGTAGAAGCATGGGTGGATAGATGGAGGGGTGGGTGGGTAGGTGGGTGGATGGATGAGTGGATGGACGGGTGGATAGATGGTTGGGTGGAGGGTGGATGGATGGGTGGATAGATGGATGAGTGGATGGGTGGATGGTTGGGTGGGTGGATGGATGAGTGGATTGATGGATGGGTAGATGGTTGGGTGGATGGTGGAAGGATGGGTGGATAGATGGATGGGTGGGTGGGTGGGTGGGTGGATGGATGAGTGGATGGACGGGTGGATAGATGGCTGGGTGGAGGGTGGATGGACGGGTGGATAGATGGTTGGGTGGAGGGTGGATGGGCGGGTGGATAGATGGATGGGTGGGTGGTTGGGTGGGTGGGTAGATGGATGAGTGTATGGACGGGTGGATAGATGGTTGGGTGGAGGGTGGAAGGATGGGTGGATAGATGGATGGGTGGGTGGGTGGGTGGATGGATGAGTGGATGGACGGGTGGATAGATAGTTGGGTGGAGGGTGGATGGGCGGGTGGATAGATGGATGGGTGGGTGGTTGGGTGGGTGGGTGGATGGATGAATGGATGGACGGGTGGAAAGATGGTTGGTGGAGGGTGGATGGACGGGTGGGTAGATGGTTGGGTGGAGGGTGGATGGATAGATGGTGGGTGAGTGGGCAGGTGGATGGGAGAATGGAGTCAGGCAGGTGTGTCAGGTGTGCGGGCAAACTGTTGGGTGCCTGTGAAGGATACTGCCGATTTGCCACAGTCCCCATTCACCTCTCACCTCCTGACACCTAGGCCAGCTGCCTCTGTGGCCATGTGTGCCCAGGGCCTCTGTCATCCTGACCCACTTCACTCATTCAGTTCTCCCAGCCCCAGTGGGCACTGCAGTGGCGGCCCCTCCTCCGTGTCCCTTGGATTTGATCACTCCAAAGACTCTGCATTCTAAGAACTCCAAGGATAAGAGGGGGAGGGAGGACAGGGCAGGAGAGTCGCTGAGACCCTGGAAAGCAGGTCCTTGTGCGGCTGCTTGGCTCCAGTACTCACCCCGAGACTTGGCCCGGCCCTGCATGGAGTAGGCAGGGGTGCAGCTGCGGCCAAAGCGTGTGACTTTGGGGTCCAAGAAGTAGATGGGGCCCGGGCTGGTGTCCTGAGGTGGTGCTGGGGAGAGGAGCCCAGAGTGCTGAGAGTGATTCTGAAGACAGTGCCTGCCCCACCGCCCGGCCTCAGTGCCCCTCTTGGCCCCGAGACACTCCCACCAGGTCAGAGGCCACCCCAGTCCCATCTCGGAGGGGTCACCCCAGGGGCCCTGAGTTGTGGCTGCCTGAACTGGGTGCCTCAGGTCTCTGCTCTGACTCTGTCTCCTCACAGTCAAAGTGATTCTGCTCTGCTGCTGTTTGTAGCCACCTCTGCCCCTCTAACCTCTGCGCAGGTGTGGGCTGGAGAACCAGCTCGTGGGTTTGTTGGAACTGGACATAATTAGGCTGGGTGTGGTGGTGCACACCTGTAATCCCAGCACTTTCAGAGGCCGAGGCAGGAGGGTCACTTGAGCTCAGGACTTTGAGACCAGCATGGGCAACACAGCAAGATCCCGTCTCTACTAAAAATTTAAAACTTAGCCAGACATGTTGACATGCACCTGGGGTCCCAGCTCCTCGGAATGCTGAAGGGGGAGGATCACTTGAGCCTGGGAGGTTGAGGCTGCAGTGAGCTGTGATCGCGCCACTGCACTCCAGCCTGGGCGACGGAGCAAGATGGAGTCTCAAAAGAAAAAAAAAACTGCACATAAAGAGTGACAAGAGCGACTAGGCTCTGAACCAGGGCTTCGGCTTGCTGGCAGGTCGCATGCTTAAGAGGGGGGCTCGGCGTTGGACCACGTTCAAATCCAGCAGGGCCTCTTGTGAGCTGGTGACCTTGGCCAAGTTATTTATCCTAAGCCTATTTTCCTCATCAGCATGTTGAGAAAATCAAAAAGTGAGAGGATCCACAGAAGGGAGTGATCCTGTGGCCTTGCACTTCCCGATTGAGACCGTTTGCTGCTTTCACCATTATTGCCACGCCAAAGCACAACCAGTGACAGATGCGCAGGCACCTGTGTGTAGCAGCGTGACCGGTGTTCACGGCCCCACAGACCGTCTGTGCACACATGCTGTACATGTGGCAGTGAGCCACGGGTGAGGGAGGAAACGTCATCCACACCTTCGCCCTCCCCTGAGGAGTCCGTGGCACGCAGTGTGGCCCAGACACGGCTCCAGACCTCCCCGAAACATCATCCAAACCTTTGCCCTCCCCTGAGGAGTCCGTGGCACGCAGCGTGGCCCAGACACGGCTCCAGACCTCCCCGAAACGTCATCCAAACCTTTGCCCTCCCCTGAGGAGTCCGTGGCACGCAGTGTGGCCCAGACACGGCTCCAGACCTCCCCGCCACAGGCACAAGTACTTGCACATACGCTGTGGTCCCCAACGCAGGCTCACTGGCCAGACTCCAAGGGTGATCACTGACCCTTAGCCACAGCCTCATCCTTTGTTAGACTGGCAGGAGGGAGGGGGTCTATTTTTAGCCCCTTCCCCAGGCCCTGGGCAAATACAGTCCCCCAGGACTGGAAGAGGCTGGGGAGATTCTTTTTTTTTTTTTTGAGGGAGTGTCTCACTCTATCGCCCAGGCTGGAGAGTGCAGTGGCTCATGGCTCACTGCAGCCTCGACCTCCTGGGCTCAAGCAATCCTCCCACCTCAGCCTCCTAACTCTGGGACCACAGGCATGCACCACCATGCCCTGCTAATTTTTTATTAGAAACCCTTGATCATGGCTGGGTGCGGTGGCTCACGCCTGTCATCCCAGCACTTTGGGAGGCTGAGGCGGGTGGATCACCTGAGGTCACGAGTTCGAGACCAGCCTGGCCAATATGGTGAAACCCTGTCTCTACTAAAAATACAAAAATTAGCCGGGCGTGGTGGCGGGCGCCTGTAGTCCCAGCTACTCAGGAGGCTGAGGCAGGAGAATCACTTGAACCCCGGGAGGCAGAGGTTGCCGTGAGCCGAGATCGCACCACTGCACTCCAGCCTGGGCGATAGTGTGAGACTCAGTCTCAAAAAGAAAAAGAAAAAGAAAAAGAAATCCCTGGTCATAATCCCATCGCCCCTCCACAGATGCCTGGGCCTCACTCACGTGACCACAGACTCGCCTCAAAGTGCTCACTGTGCAGGGCTTAGCCATCAGGACTCCCCATGCTGAAGCACTGACCTTGGCCTCTACCCTGCACCTGGAACCTTCCAGCCTTTTCTTCTGCCCTCCCCAACCCCTGGCTCAGTGCCCCGTGAGAAATGAACACACCCCAGCTCATCATGACATCACTCATCTCAAGGCCTCAGCCTACAAACAGGCTCTGCCTGGAGTTCAGTTCTTCTGGGGGCTCCACCAAACTCCTATTCATCCTACAAAACCCAGATCCCATGTTCCACTTCCAAGAAGCCTACCCTGGGCCTTCAGCAAAGTGTGCACGATCCCCAGTCCACCAGCCTCCCCACGCTGTCTCGGGCCCAGGAGGTGTCCTGAGACTGGATTTGAACCTGGGAACTCAGATCGGTCTGGGTCATAGGCTAAGTTCTTTTTTTTTTTTTTTTTGCGACGGAGTCTCGCTCTCTCACCCAGGCTGGAGTGCAGTGGCACAGTCTCAGCTCACTGCAAGCTCCGCCTCCCGGGTTCATGCCATTCTCCTGCCTCAGCCTCCCTAGTAGCTGGGACTATAGGCGCCCGCCACCACGCCCGGCTAATTTTTTTTTTTTTATTTTTAGTAGAGACGGAGTTTCACCATGTTAGCCAGGATGGTCTCGATCTCCTGACCTCGTGGTCCACCCGCCTCGGCCTCCCGAAGTGCTGGGATTACAGGCGTGAGCCACCGCGCCCGGCCCATAGGCTAAGTTCTTAAGCCAGTCCTGGGGACAGGGGGTGCTGACGCCTTCACTGGCATTCTGGGACCCCTTGCAGCTTCCTGAGTCCCAGTGTGGGCTGGGATTTTTGCTCATTCTGAAGGCTGAGAACAGGCTGCTGTCCTGCCCCTCCTCCAGCCGCCCCTCCCAGCAGGCCTCTGTCCAAATCCCCACACAAGACCCTTCCGACCGCGCTCCCAGCCCAGCTGGGACCTTGGAGCAGCGGTAGAAAATGGAGGGATGGAATTTGGGAGCCCTGAGACCTGCTGGCCCGTGGTAGCAGCGCCACTGATGAACACCAACAGCTCCCTGGGTGCCGGGCGGGGTCCACGCCGGAGCTGCTTCACTGCGCCCGTTCTAGACAGGAGCAGGCACCATGGGGCAAGGCCACCAGCCTGTGGCACAGCGAGCCGGTGCACCCCATGCCTGCCCTCCCGCAGGCAGCCGGGAATGTCCACAGAGATACACCACAGCCCTGTGAGACGGGCCAGGCCCGGGGAGCCCCCACCTTCATGGTGGAGAAACTGGGGCTCAGGGCTCAGCCTCACACCCGACAGCACACGTTTACTGAGCACTTACTATTTTTTCTTTTTCTTAAATTTGTTTTTGTTTTTGTTTTCTTTTCTTTTCTTTTTTTGAGACGGAGTCTCGCTCTGTCGCCCAGGCTGGAGTGCAATGGCATGATCTCGGCTCACTGCAGCATCTGCCTCCCGGGTTCACGCCATTCTCCTGCCTCAGCTTCCCGAATAGCTGGGACTACAGGCGCCTGCAACCACGCCCGGCTAATTTTTTGTATTTTTAGTAGAGACGGGGTTTCACCATGTTAGCCAGGATGGTCTCGATCTCCTGACCTCGGGATCCCCCCGCCTCGGCCTCCCAAAGTGCTGGGATTACAGGGGTGAGCCACTGCGCCCGGCCCTAAATTTGTTTTAAGACGAGGTCTCACTCTGTCGCCCAGGCTGGAGTGCAGTGGTGCAATCATAGCTCACTGCAGCCCCGACCTCCTGGGTTCAAGTGATCCTCCTGCCTGGGCCTCCCCAGCAGCTGGGACCACAGGCACACACTACCACACCCAGCTTTTCGGCTACTTTTAAAAGCATTTAATCCTCACTTAATGAATCTCAAAAAGGCATCTAATCCTTACAACAGGCCTGTATGGAGTCTGTTATTATTTTTAATATAATGTTAATGTTTTTGTTACTATTGTTAACTTTTTTTTTTTTTCTTTTTAGAGACAGAGTCTCACTCTGTCGCCCAGGCTGGAGTGCAGTGGCGCCATCTCGGCTCACCGCAAGCTCCGCCTCCCGGCTTCACGCCATTCTCCTGCCTCAGCCTCCCGAGTAGCTGGGACTACAGGCGCCCGCCACCACGCCCGGCTAATTTTTCTTTGGTATTTTTAGTAGAGATGGGGTTTCACTGCGTTAGCCAGGATGGTCCCAATCTCCTGACCTCGTGATCCGCCTGCCTCAGCCTCCTTAAGTGCTGGGATTTCAGGCGTGAGCCACCGCACCGGCCTGCTATTGTTAACTTTTAACAGAAACTGAGTTGCAAAGCACTTAAGCAATTTGCCTGAGTCCAGGCAGCAAGGAATTGCAAACACGGTAAGGCAGGTACAGGTACTCACCTCCTTACTGCGCTCTTTCTCCTTCCATTCTCATTATCAATGAAAAAACAGAGAGGGACAGCAGCTTGCCTGAGGTCTCACAGTAAGTAGGAGGTGGAGCAGGTTGTACAGCCCAGCCCTGCCTGCTTCCTGCCGCACTAACTGGGGGCCTGGATCTAAGGGGTAAGGAGACCCATCAGTGCTCCTGGGGGGAGATTGGAGGATCAGGGAAGCCTCCAGCCGCCCACTCGCCCGCCTTACCCTCACTGGGCCTCCGGACGAGCGAGTAGGCGGGACTGGCCACCCTGGTGCAGTCGTGGTTGATGAAGCCCACGGTGGACGGCAGGACATACAAGCCTGGCCCCGAGCCTGCAGCCCAAAGCCCTCAGGTCACCTCCTGGGCCCAGATTCCCCGAAGAAGGAGCCCTGGACCCAGCTCCTGAGCCTTAGCCTGGGTTCCCCTCTCCCTCCATGGTGAGGATTGGGGGCCCCGGGGAGCAAGAGGCTGCTGCCCGTCGGGGACAAAATGTGATGCCTGCATTGTGAGTCAGACATGAATCACAGAGGAAAAGCTGGGGACAGCAGCCCCCCTCACCCTGGGGCACAGACAGGGAGACTGGGGCCTGAGCCTCCCAGAGATACACGGTCACAGGTGGGGAAACTGAGGCCTGAGCCTCCCAGAGATACACGGTCACAGATGGGGAGACTGAGGCCCAGGCAGAGATACACGGTCACAGATGGGGAAACTGAGGCCCAGGCAGAGATACACGGTCACAGATGGGGAAACTGAGGCCTAGGCAGAGATACATGGTCACAGATGGGGAGACTGAGGCCCAGGCAGAGATACATGGTCACAGATGGGGAAACTGAGGCCCAGGCAGAGATACATGGTCACAGATGGGGAAACTGAGGCCCAGGCAGAGATACACGGTCACAGATGGGGAGACTGAGGCCCAGGCAGAGATACACGGTCACAGATCGGGAAACTGAGGCCTGAGCCTCCCAGAGATACACGGTCACAGATGGGGAGACTGAGGCCTGAGCCTCCCAGAGATACACGGTCACAGATGGGGAGACTGAGGCCTAGGCAGAGATACATGGTCACAGATGGGGAGACTGAGGCCTGAGCCTCCCAGAGATACACGGTCACAGATGGGGAAACTGAGGCCTAGGCAGAGATACATGGTCACAGATGGGGAGACTGAGGCCCAGGCAGAGATACATGGTCACAGATGGGGAAACTGAGGCCCAGGCAGAGATACACGGTCACAGGTGGGGAAACTGAGGCCCAGGCAGAGATACACGATCACAGATGGGGAGACTGAGGCCTGAGCCTCCCAGAGATACACGGTCACAGATGGGGAAACTGAGGGCCAGGCAGAGAAACACGGTCACAGATGGGGAGACTGAGGCCCAGGCAGAGATACACGGTCACAGATCGGGAAACTGAGGCCCAGGCAGAGATACACAGTCACAGATGGGGAGACTGAGGCCTGAGCCTCCCAGAGATACACGGTCACAGATGGGGAGACTGAGGCCCAGGCAGAGATACATGGTCACAGATGGGGAAACTGAGGCCCAGGCAGAGATACACGATCACAGATGGGGAGACTGAGGCCCAGGCAGAGATACACGATCACAGATGGGGAGACTGAGGCCTGAGCCTCCCAGAGATACACGGTCACAGATGGGGAAACTGAGGGCCAGGCAGAGATACACGGTCACAGATGGGGAGACTGAGGCCCAGGCAGAGATACACGGTCACAGATGGGGAAACTGAGGCCCAGGCAGAGATACACGGTCACAGATGGGGAAACTGAGGCCCAGGCAGAGATACACGGTCACAGATGGGGAAACTGAGGCCCAGGCAGAGATACACGATCACAGATGGGGAGACTGAGGCCTGAGCCTCCCAGAGATACACGGTCACAGACGCCATGTGTTGTGGCTTCTGCAGAATCTCGATGCCACAGGGATCAGGAGAGACCACAGAACCAGCCCGAGGACCTGGCTTGGGGCCTGACTCCAGCCGCTAATTGTGGGTGAGGAAACTGCGGCCCGTCCTGGGCCCTCACCGAGGCCAGCAGCTGATGTGGCTCCCAGCAGAGCCGCCTCCGCACACGCGCCCCTCGCCCTGCCCCACGTTGTCTAGGGCGCCCGTCCCTGAGGGCCACGCTGGAAATATTCCCTCCTCCCCGCGTCTCCCGCATGATCGCTGTGGCTTTGCCCACTGCTGTACCCACAGCCCCTGGAAGGGGACCCGGCTGGCAAAGCACGCAGCTTCCGTTGGACAGACACATACTCGGGGCTCACGGCAACCCCGTGTCCACACCCATCCTGCCGGAAGGAAAACTGAGGTCTGGGGAAGGGCAAGGACTTGCCTGAAACTCCTGCCTCCTGCTGGGCTCCCAGAACATTCCAGAAGCCCCAGAAGTATGGGGAGTGGAGCAGGAAAAGGTCCCACCCATCCCCCACGGCTGGCACGCACCGTTCTCCAGGGTGGCCGTCCCACAGGACTTCCTCAGGCCGGTCTCCGGAATCTGGCCCTCCGTCACTCGCCGGCCAAGGGGGGCTGTGGCCAGCCGTGGGGTGGAGTCGCAGCTGAGGGTCCCCATGGTGGGCAGGCGATGGCCCCCACAGCACCCACGGGGCCTGGTGCTACCTTCTGAGCCGCAGCAGCTCTGGCGGCCACAGGCCCAGGCACCGTCCCCACCTTCACGGCCTCACCACACCCTCCCACGACCACAGCCGCACAGACGGCCTCTTGTCCCGCAGCAGGGAGTCGTGGGGCCCTGGCCCAAGGCAGGCTGGTCGGCCGGACACTGGCCTGGAAGTGGGGCCGGGATCGAGTGTCGGCCAGGCGGCTGGATGGTCCAGGAAAGAGTCCGGTGTCAGCAGAGTGCGTCTCCCGGGAGCCGGCAGAGCTGGGCAGCTGGGGCCAGGGCCGGCCCCAGGGAACTAGACCTGCAAACATGACACCCACAGCCTTGCAGCAGGAGGGCCTGGCGGGGTCGTGGGTGGCGTGGCCCCGTTTCTACACCTGGGGAAACTGAGGCACAGCCCAAGGTCATACAGCAAGTACACAACTCTGGGAGTTTCAGCTCTGAGCCAAGAAGCATTCACTGCCTCATCCTGTCACTCATTCCTGCCAAAGCATGTACTGGGCACCTACTGTGTACCAGCCTCTGTTGGGGGTGGTGAGAACTGGACACGAACAGACGGAAAAGAAGGAGATGTTCTCAGGATGGGAGAGAGAAAGTCGTCAGTAAATGTGATAAGTGAACACAGTCTGGTGTATGAGGAGGCACTGAACGTGAGGGAAAACGCAGACAGGTTTGGGGCCCAGGGTAGCAGTGTGGGTGTGGGTGAGCCCCACGGAGAAGGTAAAACTGAACAGTCCCAAAGCAGGTGAGGAGGCAGCCGTGCAGAGGCCCTGGGGCAGCGGCGAGGACAGCGGGGAGGTGAGAGCCGTCCTCACTGCCTCCCAGATGCCTCCGAGATTTAAACCACAATGGATTTTGATACATTCAAGGCGACCACTGCGTGAGGCTCCAAGAAGAGGCTCAGAAAACTGCCAGATGAGATGCACGTTCCTGTCTCTTCCTTGTTTGTTTCTGTATTTTTTGGAGCCTTTTGCAGTGTAATTTTTTTTTTTTTTTGAGACAGAGTCTCACTCTGTCACCCAGCCTGGAGTGCGCTGGTGCGATCTCGGCTCACTGCAACCTCTGCCTCCCGGGTTTATGCGATTATCCTGCCTCAGCCTCCTGAGTAGCTGAGATTACAGGCACCCGCCACCACGCCTGACTAATTTTTATATTTTTTAGTAGAGATGGGGTTTCACCACGCCTGGCTAATTTTTTTTTTTTTTTTTTTTTTTTTTTTTTGAGACAGAGTCTTGCTCCCCCGCCCAGGCTGGAATGCAGTGGCGCGATCTCGGCTCACTGGAACCTCCGCCTCCAGGGTTCAAGAAATTCTCCTGCCTCAGCCTCTCGAGTAGCTGGGATTACAGGCATGCACCACCACGTCTAGCTAATTTTTTTGTATTTTTAGTAGCTAATTACAGGCACACTCCACCATGTCCAGCTAATTTTTTTGTATTTTTAGTAGAGACGGGGTTTCACCACGTTGGCCAGGATGGCCTCAATCTCTTGACCTTGTGATCCAACCGCCTCAGCCTCCCAAAGTGCCAGGATTACAGGTGTGAGCCACCGCGCCCAGCCAATTTTTTTGTATTTTTAGTAGAGATGGGGTTTCTCCATGTTGGCCAGGCTGGTTTCAAACTCCTGACCTCAGGTGATCCACACACCTCGGCCTCCCAAAGTGCTGGGATTACAAGCGTAAGCCACCGTGCCTGGCCTGCAGTGTCATCTTTAACAGCTTTATTGATATAATTCACATACCATACAATTATACATTTCACCCTGCAATGTAATTTTAATGTATTGCATGTTTTAAAATTTTTTAATCAAAATGGTATAGTCTACATAAAGGATCATAAAACAAGTCTTAGTACATATCAAACTTTTGAAACTTACAGAGCATATTATCTGGTGAAAAAGGAATTAAAATAGAAATCACCAACAATACGATATCCAGGATCCCCCAAATATATTTAGAAGTTAAACAACATACTTCTGAATAACCCACGCATCAAAGAAGTCATCACAAAGGAAGTTAGAAAATTTTCAAACTAAATGACTATAAAAAATCAACATATTAAACTGTGTAGGATGCAGTTAAAGAAGTACTTAGAGGGAAAATGGTTGCTTTAAATTTTTATATGAGAAAAGAAGGCTGGGCACAGCGGCTCACACCTGTAATCCCTGCACTTTGGGAAGCCAAGGCAAGCAGATTGCTTCAGCTCAGGAGTTCAAGACCAGCCCAGGCAACATGGTGAAACCCCATCTCTACAAAAAATACAAAAATCAGCCAGGAGTGGTGGTGTGTGCCTGTAATCCCAGCTACTCAGGAGGCTGAGGTGAGAGGATTGCTTGAGCCTAAGGAGGCCAAGGCTGCAGTGAGCCAAGATTGTGCCACTGCACTCCAGCCTAGGCCTAAGTTTCCACCTAAGAAGCTAGGAAAACAAGAGTAAGTATAAGGAAGATTGTAAAGATAACAGTAGAAATCCATGAAATTGAAAACTGTAGAAATAATCCCTTGGCCGGGCACTGTGGCTCATGCCTGTAATCCCAGCACTCTGGGAGGCCGAGGCGGGCGGATCACTTGAGATCAGGAGTTCGAGACCAGCCTGGCCACCATGGTGAAACCCCGTCTCTATTAAAAATAAAAAAATTAGCTGGGCACAGTGGTGCACGTCTGTAATCCCAGCCACACAGGAGGTTGAGGCAGGAGACTCGCTTGAACCCGCTTGAACCCTGGAGGTGGAGGTTGCACCACTGAGCCAGGATCACACCGCTGCACTCCAGCCTGAGTGACAGAGCGAGACTCCACGTCAAAATCAAAAAAAAGAGAAAAAAAGAACGCCTCCTCCCCATCCCAAAAAAGCTGGTCTTTATTTTTATTTTTATTTGTGTATTTATTTATTTTTGACACGGAGTCTCGCTCTGTCGCCCAGGCTGGAGTGCAGTGGCACGATCTCGGCTCACTGCGAGCTCCGCCTCCCGGGTTCACGCCATTCTCCTGCCTCAGCCTCCCGGGTAGCTGGGACTGCAGACACGCGCCACGCCACGGCACGCAGGCCCTGCACGGCCTCGTCTCCACCTCCCCCTGTCCTCTCGTCCTGCTCCTTCCCCTTTGCCGCTCTACTCTGACCATCCGGACCTGCTTTCCCTCCCTCGAGCCCCTAAGACGGTCTCCACCTCGGCCTCTGCCTGAGCTCTCTCTACCTGAGATGCCTCTGCCAGCAAACCAACCCTCGCTGGCCCCTTCCTCGGTCACGAGGGCCCCCAGCCCACAGGCCCTGTCACTGCCCAACCTTGGACACACCATTTGCTCGTTTCCAGAGGCAGCACAACTCCAGAGCCACAGCAGGGATGGGTGCCGAGGAGGGAGAGAGGAGGAAAGGCCCCAACCTCCCTCGACCAAAGCTGCTCCTTCACCAAAACCAGCCGAAGTGCAGGACCCCAGGGGCTCCCACGGCTAAAGAGACAGAGGGGACAAGGGCCTGGAAGGTGTTCCCCCAACCCCATCCCTCCTCACATCCGGGTCACCAGGTCCAGGCCACACCAGACAGCCACTAAAGGCAGACAGCCAGAGACTTGGTTCCAGCCCGGACTCGGCCCCACCTGCCTCCGTTTCCCCATTTTACGTGGGGTGGAACCAAAAGCTAACACAGGGAAGACAGGATGGGAAGCCGGCCAAGCCGACAGCATGTTGCTGGGAGGACGCTGAGGGCCGGCAGCCTCGCCAGAACGAGCTGGGGCCCCTCCAGCCACCAGTCCCCTTCTGATCTGATCGCACCAGATTCTATCAACTCTGTCTTCAGCTCAGAGCTTGTCGCAACTGCCAAGCAAAGAGCTTGCAAATGAGATGCAAATGAATTCAACACACATGCAGATGAGCCCTGATTTTAATCCTGCCTGCTCGACAGAAGAGACTAAATCACAACAGTGAAAAAAAGGGAGGCTGGACCGGATGAGAGGCCGGAGGCCGGCCCTACGTCCACCCGCCCAGCTGCCGGCTGCAGGCGAGGGACGTCACTGCCCGGCCTGGGTGTCCTGGGTGGGAGGTGACTCCGTTGGTGCTCCCGAGACCCTTGTTCTCACCGTAATTAGGAACTCAGCCAGTGTTTATTTGGGGCCAGGCCCTGCTCAGGTGCTGGGAAAACGGGAGAGGACAAAACACACAAGTTCCTCGTCCTCCCTTTCCCTTGGAGACAGGCAGGCAGATAAGTGAAACTTACGTGAGTGCAGAGGGCACGTCGCGCTATGGAGGAAACGTGGGCGAAGGGGGTGTTGGAGGCCGAAAGAGTGAGGGCCGTGATCAACTCAGTATACCACTGGGGGGCTATATGAGTAGACAGCAAACTGTTCTCGTAAATGCAGAATGTTGGCAAACTGACAAACTGCGTCTGCCGTGCAGAAGGGCTGCTGAGGGCCATCACCACCCAGGCACAAATGTTTCCTACGATTAGGCATAATTGAAGCCCGTCAGTAACAATATGAACCTGTGATCAATTAAGCAGCTGCTCAATCGTTACCTCCTCCTCTCTGCTCTTGTTACCCAATAAATACTAAGGGCTGTAGAAGCTCAGGAAGCTGCCTTTGCTCACTAGGAGCAGGGAGCCCTTTTCTTCTTCTTTTTCTCTTTTTTTTTTTTTGGGGGGGGGGGGGATGGAGTTTCACCCTTGTCGCCCAGGCTGGAGTGCAGTGGCGCCATCTCAGCTCACTGCAACCTCTGTCTCCCAGGTTCAAGTGATCCTCCTGCCTCAGCCTCTCGCGTAGCTGGGATTACAGGCGTGCGCAACCACGCCCGGCTAATTTTTGTATTTTTAGTAGAGACGGGGTTTCTCCATGTTGGCCAGGCTGGTCTCGATCTCCTGACCTCGTGATCCGCCTGCCTCGGCCTCCCAAAGTGCTGGGATTACAGGCGTGAGCCACCGTGCCCGGCTAATTTTGTATTTTTAGTAGAGACGGGGGTTTCTCCATGTTGGCCAGGCTGGTCTCGATCTCCTGACCTTGTGATCCGCCTGCCTCGGCCTCCCAAAGTGCTGGGATGACAGGCGTGAGCCACCATGCCCGGCCCCTTCTTCTCTCTTTCCTTCTCTCTTCTTCTTCCCCACGTTGCCCTTCCTTTAAAATAGTTACTTTTAAGTTTTTATTTCTATTTAAAAGTTTCCTTTGTTTCTTGTTATCATTTTCTACGTTTGTCCCTTCGTTCAGTCTTATAATGACGGTCTCAGGCAGTAACTGTGGCGGTCAGCCACAGGGTGGTTGGTGGTGTGAGCGTCTGCGATGTGAACTGGGAGGTCGGGAGCCTCGCGGAGAAGGTCACGCTCCAGCAGAGACCAGAGGAGAAGCCGAACTCGGGAGGCGGGCGAGGCATTCCAGGCTGACAGGAACTGCACGCACAGAGGCCCTGGGGCAGGACCTGCCTGGTGTGTAGGAGAAACAGCGACGAGGCCCGTGCAGCTGGAGCAGCGTGAGCAAGGAGAAGAGGAGCCGGGAGGAAGCCGATGCGGCGGGTCCTGCACGGCCTGTGGACTGTGGGGACACGGGTGACGTGTGAGCAGGGACGCGTCCCAATCAGAGCTCACAAGCGCCCTCTGGTGACATCTGGGAGAGCAAAACGTGGGCGGTGCCGGGAGAGGGCGTCACATGCTGGGAAGGATGATGAGGATGGATGACAGGAAGGATGATAGGGGAGGATGATGGGAAGGATGATGGGGAAGGATGATGGTAAGGATGATGGAGAAGGATGATGGGGAAGGATGATGGGGAAGGATGATGGGGAAGGATGATGGAGAACGATGATGGAGAACGATGATGGAGAAGGAATGTGGGAAGGTGATGGGGAAGGATGATGGGAAGGATGATGGGGAAGGATGATGGTAAGGATGATGGAGAAGGATGATGGAGAAGGATGATGGAGAACGATGATGGAGAACGATGATGGAGAAGGAATGTGGGAAGGATGATGGGAAGGATGATGGAGAACGATGATGGAGAACGATGATGGAAAACGATGATGGAGAATGATGATGCAGAAGGAATGTAGGAAGGATGATGGGGAAGGATGATGGAAAGGATGATGGGAAGGATGATGGAGAACGATGATGGAAAACGATGATGGAGAACGATGATGGAGAAGGAATGTGGGAAGGATGATGGGGAAGGATGATGGGAAGGATGATGGAGAAGGAATGTGGGAAGGATGATGGGGAAGGATGATGGAGAACGATGATGGAAAACGATGACGGAGAATGATGATGGAGAAGGAATGTGGGAAGGATGATGGGGAAGGATGATGGAAAGGATGATGGGAAGGATGATGGAGAACGATGATGGAGAACGATGATGGAGAAGGAATGTGGGAAGGATGATGGGGAAGGATGATGGGAAGGATGATGGGAAGGATGATGGAGAAGGAATGTGGGAAGGATGATGGGGAAGGATGATGAGAAGGATGATGGGGAAGGATGATGGGAAGGATGATGGGAAGGATGATGGGAAAAGATGATGGGAAAGTATGATGGGAAGGATGATGGGAAGGATGATGGAGAACGATGATGGAGAAGGATGATGGAGAAGGATGATGGGAAGGATGATGGAGAACGATGATGGAGAAGGAATGTGGGAAGGATGATGGGGAAGGATGATGGGAAGGATGATGGAGAAGGATGATGGGGAAGGATGATGGGGAAGGATGATGGGAAGGATGATGGGGAAGGATGATGGGAAGGATGATGGGAAGGATGATGGGGAAGGATGATGGGGAAGGATGATGGAGGATGATGGAGAAGGATGATGGGAAGGATGGTGGGAAGGATGATGGAGAAGGATGATGGGAAGGACAATGGGAGGATGACCGAGAAGGATGATTGGAGGATGATGGGAAAGGATAATGGGAAGGATGATGGCAACCAAGACCAACTCATCTTCACCAAGCTCATGGTGTAGCCAGAAAGTTGATCACCCACAGCAGCACTGCCCACCAGAAACAGACTGAGAACCTCCTACTTTTTTTTTTTTTTTTTTTTTGAGACAATATGTTGCTCTATCACCCAGGCTGGAGAGTGCAGTGGTGCAATCATAGCTCACTGGAGCCTCCAACTTCTGGGCTGAAGTGATCTTCCCACTTCAGCCTCTGGAGTAGCTAGGACTATAGGCATGTGTCACCATCCCTGGCTAATTTCTTTTTTGTGTGTGGAGATGGGATCTTGCTATGTTGCCCAGGCTGGTCTTTAACTCCTGGCCTCAAGCAATCCCCCTGCCTTAGTCTCCCAAAGCACTGGGTTTACAGGCATGAACCACCATGCTCGGCCATTTTTAAATTTTCTAGTAGTTGTATCAAAAAAAGAGAAACACGTGAAATTAATTTTAATAATACATTTTATTAACCCCCATATCCAAAATAATATCATTTCTGCATATGAACATTACAGGTGAGATATTTCACATTCTTCTTTTAATGCTGTCCTCCCAGCCTGGCATGTTTTGCACTCTCTGCCTCAGTGTGGAGCGTCCACAGTTCCAGTGCTCCAGCGTCACCTGTGACCTGTGGACGCTGTGTCGGGCAGCACAGGTCTAGAGAGTAGAGCCTAGGACTGATCCCTTGGGCCAATGGTGCTCAGCCATGGGTGTTGCTGCCCCCAGGGGACACTTGGCTATGTCTGGAGACATTCTTGGCTGCCAGGACCAGGAGTGCTGATGACATCTAGTGACTGGAGAACTACAACGCTGTTCCTCCCAAGAGAAGACCCTCAAATGTCAATGGTGTCAAGATGGGGAAATGCTGCCTTAGTGGATGGGCACTTATTAATCGCCTACTGCATACAGGGTGAGATCGGCAGGGCGTCCTTGGCATACAGCAGATTACTCATGCAGAACGGCTCTGCTGCCAGCTCTGTGCTCACAGGCGCCACCCCACGAGCTGTTCCATGCCTATCACCATGGACAGAGGCGGAGGTCACAAAGCCAGCAGGAGTGTGGACCTAGGACTCAAGTCCAGAATGTTCTTGGCCCTGCACTGTCCTGCCCACCTACACCTGCCAGTCTGAATGTCACCCACCCTGGCCGCCATCATACGAGCACCCCAGCCCCGCCCCTCGACGGGCACCGAGGCTATTCCCACTTCACCTCCTTTACAATTTCCTGCAGTGAACTTCCCAGGCAGACCTCCTGCGCCCATGAACCAGGGTTTCTGGATTAGACACTGTGTGGTCCCTGATGAATCACTGCACCACTGTGCATGTGTTTCCTCCTCTGAAAAACGGGCATATGTCAGCCTGACTCCACAGGGTCACTCTGAAGACAAGGGCATCTGGCCCCTTATCATTCAAACATCCTCTTCCAGCCTTCCCTCACTCCAGCAAATGGCACCTCCAGACCCATGCTGACTTGGATCCAAACCCCTGGGGCCGCTTCCTGGATCCAAAGCCCACTCAGCAGCTGACTGCTGCTCTCCACCTCACAGCCACGGCCCAGTCCAGGGCCCCATCCCCCCCCAACACCCACCCCCACCTCCTCAGGGATCCCTGGGACGCCTCTCCCAGCCCCAAAAGGCCACTCTATGTCAGCCAGAGCCAGCTCTTCAGACATGACCATGGGAAGCCCTACAGACGCCCATCCTGGCTGCCACTGCGTCTAGCACAGGCTCCTCCCCGACAGACCTCCACCTGCCTGAGTTCCCTCACCACTCCCCCAGGCATGCAGGCTCACCCTCGTTCCAGTGACACGGAGCTATGAGATCATGGTGGGCTGAAATCAACAGACCAGGGGTTCCCAACCCAGGTGATTGCCCCCAGGGGACGCTGGGCAGTGTCCAAGGACACCTGTGGTCGTCACGACTGGGGGAGCTCCTGGCATGGGGTGAGTGGGGGCAGGGATGCCGCTAGGCACCCTGCAGTGGCCGGGACCACCCCACCTGGGATGTCCACAGGGCCTGCGGAAGACCCTGCAGCAGAGAGCCATCAGCTCTTCCTCTCATGGGTCCCCGGAAGCTCTGGGATCAATCAATCCCCATGGGGCCGGCTCTGGGATCAACACTGTGTCCCCAGCTCCCCGGAAGCCCCTGCAGCCATCTTCCTTCCCTCTACCTGTCAGCCGCCATCCTGCCTGTAAAGCCAGGCCCCGCTTTGCCTCTTCTGTGCGGCACGGGAAGGGGACGGTGCACTCATGAGACCTCCCACCCTGCCTGTGAGATCAGTCCTGGTGTGGGTGACAGCTGTCCATCACTCACTTCTGTTGCTGGGCAACGTTCCATCCCATGAAGATGCCATGATTTACTCAGAGCTTCTAGGCTGCTTCTAGCTCGGAACAACCGCAAATAATGCTGTGAACACATGTCTCTCTTGTTTTATTTATTTTTTTCTTTTCTTTTCTTTTTCTTTTTTTTTTTTTTTTTTTGAGACAGAGTTTCACTCTTGTCACCAGGCTGCAGTGCAATGGCGCGATCTTGGCTCACCACAATCTCTGCCTCCCGGGCTCAAGCGATTCTGCTGCCTCAGCCTCCTGAGTAGCTGGGATTACAGGTGTGCGCCACCACGCCCGGCTAATTTTTGTATTTTTAGTAGAGACGGGGTTTCTCCATGTTGGTCAGGCTGGTCTCGAACTCCTGACCTCAGGTGATCCGCCCGCCTTGGCCTCCTAAAGTGCTGGGATTACAGGCATGAGCCACCGCGCCTGGCCTCTTGTTTTATTTTTGACACAGGGTCTCATTCTGTGCTCAGGCTGGAGTGTGCAGTGACGTGATCACAGAAAGGAAACCTCAGAGCAGAGTTGGGTCTTCACATACGGTGGCCAGGAAGGCCCCCTGAAGAGGTGAAACGTTAGCAAAGGCCTGGAGGAAGTCAGGACCTCTAAGGGATGCCCAGCTGTGCAGACATCTACGGGGTGTCTGGGGAGGGCACCGCTGTGCAAAGGCCCTGGGGCAGGACCGCACCTGGCGAGGCGGAGGAGCGAGGAGGAGGCCAGGGTGGCTGCCGCAGGGTGAGGAGGGGAGAGCAGGAGGAGGGAGGGCGGGGCTGACCCAGCAGGTCGTGAAGGGCCCTGAGGACACGGAGAGGACACAGGGTTTTACCCTGAGCAGGGTGGGAGCCACGGAGGCCTCTGCTGGAGCAGAGGAGGGCACGGCCTGAATTGGGTTTGAAGGAATCGACTGAGGGTAGGAAGGTGGGGGTAGGGAAGCCCGGGGGAGGCGAGCACACCAGCCCAGGTGGGCACCACGGGGCCTGGGCTGGGGGCTGCTGTGGGATGGTCAGGAGTGGGTGGGTTCTGGGCCTGTCTTGAAGGCAGAACTCACAAGATTTTCTGAGACGCTGTGGGGTGAAGGGGAGTGAGAGGAGGGGAGGGTCCTGGAAGGGCGGGTGCAACCTCAACCCAGCGGAGGACCCTGCTGACCTGCTTAGTTGTTTATGGAGGGTCATTGCCGTGCTCTACCACGTAACACACGTACACACACACACACAGGTGCACGTTTACACCACGTGGGTGCGCACGATGAGGCACACACAGGCAGGCGCGCACACACACGCGTGCTCACATAGGAACACGAAGAGGCAGGAGCCGGGCGTGCCCGAGCCCCGTGGCGCCCTGGGCATCCCAAACACCGCCTGCCCAGAACAGGTGCGCAGTGAGTGCCTGCTGAGCCAGTGAGTGGAATGAAGCTCTACAATAGTCCAGATGACAGACATGACTGCTGTGGCTGCTGCCGATCCAAGTCCCACCGTTCTTTTCTCTAGAGACAAGGTCTCACTCCACCATCCAGGCTGGCGCGATCACAGCTCACTGACGGTGGAGAAGGGTGATCAGAGAATGGTGGGAATGAGGCGGCCCTGACCTCCTGGGGTTAGCGATCCTCCCACCTCAGCCCCCTAAAGCACCGGGAGGGCAGGTGTGAGCCACGGTGCCAGCCCCAAGTTCCCGACATTCTTTCCTAAAACACATCCTCCGGCTGCAGATGAGGGTGCGACAGCTGGGAGGCAGCTCCCAGGAGGCCGGGTTCCTCCGATGACCTGCTGTTTCTGTGTCCCTGGCACACGGCACAGCAGGAGAGGGGGAGGCCAGGTGTTTGTGGCTGCTGCCACCGGCCCGTCCAGGGTCAGCTCATGCTCCCAGCCTCCGTGATCTGCCACTCCCCACTTCCCTGAGGCTGCTCACTGCTGTCCTTTGTCCGGCGGCCAGCCCCCTGACTCAGACTCACGCGCCCTGCTGCTGCCCGCCCCTTTGTTCCCGGGAGACTCTAACAAGGAAGGCTTGTTCTTCCCGCAAGGACACAGAGAACCTGCCAGCTCCCCTCCATCCTCATCCAGAGAGAGCCTGCTGTCCCCGTGGGACAGTGAGGACAGGACCAGCTCTCAGGCTCTGCTGGGCACCCAGCCCATGCCTGGCAAGTCCTCATGTTACAGACGAGGACACCGAAGCTCAGAGGAAGGAAGGGCTTGTATTCCGAGGATTTGGGGGGCTGGAGAGGGGTCCTAGTGGGCTCTGCTGTAGCCTGCAAGGTCCTACAAGCCCAGGTCCTTCCTGCCCTCTCTGGCTGCGTTGGTCCCTCCGGACTCAGCCTCTGCACTCACCGTACATTCTGCCTGATACACCCGGTCCAACTCCCTCCCCCTCCAGGAAGGCCTTGCTCAAATCTCTCCACCTCCAGGATCTTCCTTGGACCACTGATTGATTGATTGATTTTTTGTTTCTGTTGTTTTTCTGAGATGGAGTCTTGCTCTATCACCCAGGCTGGAGGGTAGTGGCGCAATCTCGGCTCACTGCAACCTCCGCCTGGTGGGTTCAGGCGATTCTCCTGCCTCAGCCTCCCAAGTAGCTGGGATTACAGGCGCCCGTCACCACACCCAGCTAATTTTTGTCTTTTTTAATAGAGATGGGGCCGGGAGCGGTGGCTCACGCCTGTAATCCCAGCACTTTGGGAGGCTGAGGCGAGCAGATCACGAGATCAGGAGATCGAGACCATCCTGGCTAATACAGTGAAACCCCGTCTCTACTAAAAATACAAAAAATTAGCCAGGCGTGGTGGCAGGCGCCTGTAGTCCCAGCTACACAGGAGGCTGAGGCAGAAGAATGACGTGAACCCGGGAGGCGGAGCTTGTAGTGAGCCGAGATTGTGCCAGTGCACTCCAGCCTGGGCGACAGAGCAAGACTCCATCTCAAAAAAAAGAAGGAAAGAAATAGAGATGGGGTTTCACCATGTTGGCCAGGCTGGTCTCAAACTCCTGACCTCAAGTGATCCGCCCACCTCAGCCTCCCAAAGTGCTGGGATTACAGGTGTGAACCGCCATGCCCGGCCTATCGGGACCACAGATTTGATCCTGCAACCTGCCTATCATCATGCTGCCTGCCCCCTTCCCTGCCTTTTCCTTCTTCCCAGCAGCACTCTCCACGCCTCACCTATTGCAGCGGCGGCTGGAGCTGCTCATGCCAGCTCCTGAGCCCACTGTGAAGTTCGCGGCGATCTGTGAGCTGGTTGGCTCATGTTGGCAGCCACGATGGGAGTATTTACAACACAGGGGGCGGCGTGCGCTGCAAGTGAGGGCCTTTTCCCTTGGAGAGCCAGCTGTTCAACATTTCTCCGCACAGCACCACTTCGGTATTATGCCCGAGGTTTATGGCATAACTAGCCTGGCTCATGGTCTCTCTTCCCTGCTGCTCACTAGAATGTAAGCTCCTTCGGGCCGAGGTCAGCCCACCTTGCACTCTGCTGTCTCCTTGGCACTTAAAACAACGCTTGGCATACAGCAGGCACTCAATAAAGATGTGCTGGCAGGGCGCATGACGTGTGCCTGTGGTCCCAACACTTTGGAAGGCCGAGGCGGGAGGATTGCTTGAGCTCAGGAGGCGGAGGTTGCAGTGAGTGGAGATCGCACCACTGCGCTCCAGCCTGGGCCACAGAGTGAGACCCTGTGTCAAAATAATAACAAGCATGAGGCAGGGGGGATCAGCTGAGGTCAGGAGTTCGAGACCAGCCTGGCCAACATGGTGAAACTCTATTAAGGGAGGAGACCATCCCTCATATTGTCTTATGCCCAATTTCTGCCTCCAAAGAAAGAAGTAAAAACTAAAAGGCAGAAATGAAATCCACAGGCAGACAGCCCGGCGCTGTGCCCTGGGCCTGGTAGTTAAAGAGCGACCCCTGACCTACTGGGTTACGTTATCTATAGATTCCAGACATTGTATGGAAAAGCACTGTGAAAACCCTTGTCCTGTTCTGTTCCGATCTGATTGCCGGTGCATGCAGCCCCCAGTCACGTACCCCCTGCTTGTTCAATCGATCACGACCCTCTCACGCGGACCCCCTGAGAGTTGTGAGCCCTGAAGAGGGACAGGAATTGCTCACTCGGGGAGCTCGGCTCTTGGGACAGGAGTCTTGCCGATGGCCCCGGCCGAATAAACCGCTTCCTTCTCTAACTGGGTGTCTGAGGAGTTTTGTCTGCGGCTCTTCCTGCTACACTATCTCTACTAAAAATACAAAAAAAAAAGGCCGGGCTTGGTGGCTGAAGCCTGTAATCCCAGCTCCTCGGGAGGCTGAGGCGGGCAGATCACGAGGTCAGGAGATCGAGACCATCCTGGCTAACACGGTGAAACCCCGTCTCTACTAAAAATACAAACAATTAGCCGGGCGTGGTGGCAGGCGCCTGTAGTCCCAGCTACTCGGGAGGCTGAGGCAGGAGAATGGCGTGAACCCGGGAGGCGGAGCTTGCGGTGAGCCGAGATGGCGCCACTGCACTCCAGCCTGGGCGACAGAGCGAGACTCCGTCTCAAAAAAATAACAAGTAAATCAGTGTGGAACTAACGAGCGCCCTCGTCCCTCGCGCTGCTGGGACTGACGTCCGGGTACCCCCAACGCAACCACGGCCTCCCGGTGACCCTGACCCGCGAAGCGGGCCGGAAGCCCCGCAGCCCCTACTCCAGAATCCGCGTCCCGGAACCTGGATCCCCGACCGGGCCCTGCGGCCCCGACCCCCGCAGCGAGCCCAGCGCCGGGGAACAGGACCCGGCTTCCCAGTCTCCGCCCGGGGACACCAGGCTCCTTGGGCGAACGGCCAGGCCTCCCGGGACCAGCGCGCTGGAAGACTCGCGGCGGGGACGCCCCCTCGGCCGCCCCGTGCCGGGCCCCACGCAAGGGCAGCCGGGGCGCCCCGCAGTGGGAACGCGAGGAGACCGACCACGGGGCGAGACAGCCGCCAGGGCGTCCGCGCCGCCCGCCCCAAGCCCGCATCAGCCCGCCACGAACTCGGAGGACCGCGGGCTAGAGCGGCCCCGCCAGCGCGCAAAGCCTTGTGGGCCACACGCCCCGGCGCCCCGCGCTCCGCGGCATGGCGGGAGTTGTGGTTCAGCTGCGGGGGCCGCGCGGGAGCTGCCGGGAGCTGTGGGCGGGGTGGGTGCGCGCGCAGTGGCAGGGCCAGTGAGCTGCACCCGCGGAAAAGGAGGGGGAGCGGCTGGTCAGCTGCGCCCTGCGGGTCGAGAATGTCATCAGCAGGGATGGCGGCGCTTTGAGTGCTGAGCGCGGCCCCGACCGGGACCCCCTACCCTTGACCCACCCTCGCAGGCCGAGCCCCGACTCCCGACCCGCCGTCGCAGCCCGCGGCCCCGACCTCTGACCCGCCCTCGCAGCCCGCGGCCCCGACCTCTGACCCGCCCTCCCAGCCAGACCCTCTACGCCCGACCCGCCCTCGCAGCCCATGGCCCATCGGCCCGGCAGTGGACGCAGAGCCTCGGCCCCGTTCCCTCCCCGGACCCCCCGGACCCGCTCTCCGTCCTCCCTGCAGAGCCGAGGGCCTTGGCCCAGCCCCGCATCCTCCCCGACCGTGCTCGATCCAGCCCGGGTGTGCTGCACCCGAAACAGGCTCCCGGGGGCCGTCGGGCCTGTGGGTGACCGTGCAGGCCAGGATCTCCCCCTTCCCAGTCGTGACAACCACAGATGGCCCCAGATGCCACGTTAGGGTTAGTGCCTCCTGGGGGCGGGATTGCGGCCGGGGGAGAACCACCCTCCCAACCCGTTAGGAACTGCAGGGACGGAGAGCGCGCTCGGGATGTCCAGCACTCAGCGCGGGTTGGGTGGCGAATGGAGAGCGAGTCGTCCTCAGAGGCCGCCGGCCTGCAGGCGAGAACCCTCCCAGCCAGGAGGCTGCGGCTCTGCCTGAACCCCGACCCAGGGCGAACACCCACATTTGGCCCCTGCCCGGTGCTGAGAGAGGCCAGAGCGGCGTCCCCAGAAGCGGAGCGGGAGCCCCACGTCCGGCGGCCACGATAGAAAGAAGAAAAGAAATGGGTGGTAGTAAGTAAAATAAATCGTATGAAACATAAAACAAGGCCGGGCGCGTTGGCTCACGCCTGTAATCCCAGCACTGTGGGAGGCCGAGGCAGGTGGATCACCTGAGGTCAGGAGTTTGAGACCAGCCTGGCCAACATGGCAAAACCTCGTCTCTACTAAAAATACAAAAATTAGCCGGGCGTGGTGGCGCATGCCTGTGGTCCCACCTACTTGGAAGGCCGTCACAGTAGAATCACTTGAACCCGTGAGGTGGAGGTTGCAGTGAGCCGAGATAGCACCACTGTACTCCAGCCTGGGCGACAAGAGTGAAACTCCAGCTAAAAAAAAAAGAAAGAAAGAAACGTAAAACAAAGATGTATCTTTATCTTATTTAATCCACTGTGTCCAAAATACTATCCTTTCGATTCATAAGCAATACATGTTGAGATGCTGTACACTCTTTGTTCACGCTGAGCGTTCAGAGCCCAGTGTGTATTTTGCACATTTGTGTCCACTTCCTAATTCTCACAGGAAATATTCAACCTGCACTTCAGGCCACTAAAGTTCTAGTTGGAAAAGTGGCTTCACAAACCCTAGCTGTTGCACATGTTTTCCAATAGCTGCGTCCGTTTCTAAGTTGATATTCGTGTTAGAAAGGAGGCTTCAGGGCCAGGCGCGGTGGCTGACACCTGTAATCCAGCACTTTGGGAGCCCAAGGTGGGCAGATCACTTGAGGTGGGGAGTTCAAGACCAGCCTGACCAACATGGGGAAACCCCGTCTCTATTAAAAATACAAAAATTGGCCAGGCGCGGTGGCTCACGCCTGTAATCCCAGCACCTTGGGAGGCCAAGGCGGGCGGATCACCTGAGGTCAGGCGTTTGAGACTAGCCTGACCAATATGGTGAAACCCTGTCTCTACTAAAAATGCAAAAGTTAGCTGGGCGTGGTGGCAGGCGCCTGTAGTCCCAGCTACTCCGGAGTCTGAGACAGAATTGCTTAAACCTGGGAGGCAGAGGTTGCAGTGAGCTGAGATCGTGCCACTGCACTCCAGCCTGGGTGACAGAGTGAGGCTTTGTCTCAAAAAAAAAAAAAAAGTCTACAAATACAAAACTTACCTGAGCATGGTGGCACGTGCCTATAATCCCAGCTACTCAGGAGGCTCAGGCGGGAGAATCGCTTGAACCCAGGAGGCGGAGGTTGCAGTGAGCCAAGATCTCACCACTGCACTCCAGCCTGGGCGACAGAGTGACTCCGTCTCAAAAAAAAAGAAGGCTTTTAAAGAAACAGTTTAGTGCCCTTTATGGTGTTTGCGACGTCGTGTAAACACCAGCTCTCTAGTCTCAAACCCGGCGAGGGCGGTTCATAGACAATTTCAGTCTCTCGACGCGACGCCGTGTGGCTTGTGCCCTTCTAGCCACCTAGACCCTCGGGAGAGGCCTGTGCGGCTCCTGGCTGGGCCCCCGTCTTCAAAGCAGCTTTTGAGTGGCCCTTTGACCCGTGAGACAGGGCCGTGGAAGCTGGGGTGAGCCTGGAGATGCCCCCGGGAGCACCAAGGCGTCAGAGCAGCTGACCAGGGCCCCAGGCCTCGCCGCTTCCCCAGGCAGAGCCGGCCCCAAGCCCCGCCTCTCCCCTGGGCGGAGCCAGCCCCAAGCCCCCCTCCCCTGGGCGGAGACAGCCCCAGGCCCCGCCTCTCCCCTGGGCGGAGCCAGCCCCAAGCCCCCCCTCCCCTGGGAGGAGACAGCCCCAGGCACCGCCTCTCTCCTGGGCGGAGCCAGCCCCAAGCCCCCCCCTCCCCTGGGCGGAGACAGCCCCAGGCACCGCCTCTCCCCTGGGCGGAGCCAGCCCCAAGCCCCCCCTCCCCTGGGAGGAGACAGCCCCAGGCACCGCCTCTCCCCTGGGCGGAGCCAGCCCCAAGCCCCCCCTCCCCTGGGAGGAGACAGCCCCAGGCACCGCCTCTCTCCTGGGCGGAGCCAGCCCCAAGCCCCCCCCTCCCCTGGGCGGAGACAGCCCCAGGCACCGCCTCTCCCCTGGGCGGAGCCAGCCCCAAGCCCCCCCTCCCCTGGGAGGAGACAGCCCCAGGCACCGCCTCTCCCCTGGGCGGAGCCAGCCCCAAGCCCCGCCTCTCCTCTGGGCGGAGCCAGCCCCAAGCCCCCCTCCCCTGGGCGGAGCCAGCCCCAGGCCCCGCCTCTCCCTGGGCGGAGCCAGCCCCAAGCCCCCCCTCCCCTGGGCGGAGCCAGCCCCAAGCCGGCTCTCACCATAGTGTGCCTCCTGCCCCATGGACCCCCATCCCCCCAGACCCCTCCTGATTAGCTCAGGTGGGGCTGCCGTGGAGACCACACCAGCATCATCGCCTGAGGCTCCATGTCCAATTTCCCCGGGGCTGCTGGAGACTGAGCACTGCCCCAGCCCCTCACCAGGCGGTCACTGACCCCAGGGAGGCCTGTCAGCTCTGCCCAGGCTCAGCGACGTGGTCAGCTCGGCCAGCCTGCGGGGAGGGACTCGACTCGGACAAGGGTTCCTTCAGGGACCTGTGCCAGGTGGGCCACGAAGATCCTTCCTTCCTCCTTTTTTTTTTTTTTTTTTTTTTTTTTTGAGACAGTCTTGCTCTGTCGCCCAGGCTGGAGTGCAATGGTGCGATCTCGGCTCACTGCAAGCTCCGCCTCTCCGGGTTCACGCCATTCTCCTGCCTCAGCCTCCTGAGTAGCTGGAACTACAGGCGCCCGCCACCACGCCCGGCTAATTTTTTTCGTATTTTTAGTAGAGACGGGGTTTCACCGTGTTAGCCAGGATGGTCTCGATCTCCTGACCTCGTGATCCGCCCGCCTCGGCCTCCCAAAGTGCTCGGATTACAGGCGCCCGCCACCACGCCTGGCTAATCTTTTTTGTATTTTTAGTAGAGACGGGGTTTCACCGTGTTAGCCAGGATGGTCTCCATCTCCTGACCTCGTGATCCACCCGCCTGGGCCTCCCAAAGTGCTGGGATTACAGGCGTGAGCCACCGCGCCCGGTCGATCCTTCCTCCTTAAACCTGATGCGGGAGCCAGGCCCACCCCCATCGTGGGCTTCATGGCTACAACTCCACACGTACACACGCACACACGCATGCACGCACACAGACGCATGCACACACACACATGCATGCACATGGCTACTTATTGAACCCCCTCCTGCAGCCTCCATCAATCTCATTCCTCCCCCACTCTCCTTGCGACCCTCAGGTCTGGGGTCCTTGGACTGGGTTCAAGCCTTGTCCAACAAGGAGGCCCTGCCGTGATGGGGGTCCTCACTCCAAAGAAAAAGCCATGAGGACCCCAGAACTGACCAGTGGGTGGGAGACAGGAGAGCTGGCCCAGCTGGGTCAAGAAGGGTCTGTCAGGGCCTGGGGCGTGCTCCGCTCCTGGACAACGGCGCCCTCACAGCCCCTTCCCCTCAGGGCAACACAGTCATCTGGAACGCTCCCTCGGCAGCTGTGGACAGGGAGGCCAGGATGTGGGGTCTGGGGCTGGTGGGATGGCTGGGACCCTCCATGGGAAGGGGGGCTTCCTGGCTGGGACCCTCCATGGGAAGGGGGCTTCCTGACGGAGGCCGCCGAGGACAATGCCGGGAAGGGGATTGATGTTGGGGGCGGGGTCGAGTCTCCCAAGGACAAAAAGGAGGTCCCCGTTGCCGGCGGAAGATACGGTGTAGGCCTTCCTGTGGGACTAGGACTCAGACCCAGGGGTCTCAGGGTCCTCCCCGGCCCTCAGGCTGCTGGCCCACCTCGGTCTCTCCATCCCTCTGCCTCTGCCTCTCTGTGTCTCTGTCTCTGTCTCCCTGTGTCTCTCTGCCTTCTCTCTTCCTCGCTCTGTCTCTGTCTCTCTGTGTCTCTATCTCCCTGTGTCTCTCTGCCTTGTCTCTCTTCCTTGATCTGTCTCTCCCTCTCTGTGTCTCTGTCTCCCTATGTCTCTCTTCCTCACTCTGTCTCTGTCTCTCTGTGTCTCTGTCTCTCTCTCTCTGTCTCTGTGTCTCCCTCACCCCCGCCTTCCCCACCTCTGGCCGTTGAAACCTGCGGGTCCCTCTGCCTCTGGGAACCCTCCCTCCTCCTTCCTGTGTCCATCCCACCTGCCCTGTCCTCAGGGGGACCCCAGCTTTGTTGTCTCCCCGCCCCCACAAGCCTGTGGATGTGAGGGCTCGGCACACGGGGACTGTGAGCAGCGTGATCACCACGCGTGACCCAGCGGGCGGGCGGGGGACAGGGCCCTGGAGAGCTGGGACACACCCTGCAAGGGGCCTCAGCCCTCCTGGCGCCCAGTGGTCCCTCCCCACCTGCAGGAAGTAGGGTCGGGGGCTGGGAAACAGCCCATTCACCAGGCCTGCTGCCCCCCGCCCGGGTTAAGGGCCCAGCTTCCCGGGAAGGGCCTGCACCTCCGGCCTGGGGAGGGCCCCTCCTCGGAGTCTGCTTTCCGGTGAGGCCTTTCCCGGCACCAGCCTGGGCAGGAGGGGGATGGGACCCAGGGAGACAGGGCTGTGAGCTCACACACCTGGGCCCTCACCTCTGAGGGGACTGTTTCCCCACCCCGGGCCTCAGTTTCCCTCCTCTAGGCCTCAGTTTCTCTCCTTTGCACCCAGCCCCTCCTCTAGGCCTCAGTTTCCCTCCTCAGCACCCAGCCCCTCCCCCGAGCCTCATTTTGCCTCCTCTGCACCCAGCCCCTCCCCTAGGCCTCAGTTTCCCTCCTTTGCACCCAGGCCCTGCCCTGGATCTCAGTTTCCCTCCTCTGGTCCCAGCCCCACCCCTGGGCCTCAGTTTCCCTCCTCTGATCCCAGCCCCTCCTCTGGGCCTCAGTTTCCCTCCTCTGGTCCCAGCCCCGCCCCTGGGCCTCAGTTTCCCTCCTCTGATCCCAGCCCCTCCTCTGGGCCTCAGTTTTCCTCCTCTGGTCCCAGCCCCGCCCCTGGGCCTCAGTTTCCCTCCTCTGGTCCCAGCCCTGCCCCTGGGCCTCAGTTTCCCTCCTCTGACAGGTAAGCCGATTGGCAATGCTTGGAACCCCATGGACTGGCTGCTGCTTTTTATTCCATGGCCAGGGAAACTGAGGCACAGACAGACCCTGAGGTCAGCAGGAATGCTCCATCATTTTATTCCCGCGTGCCTGCGGTGCATGGGGTCCAGGGTCACAGGACCGGCCCCTGGGTGGAGGGGAGCCAGCCATCACGACTGCCACCACAGGCCCTCATTGAGCTAGGAGCAGAGCACCCTGGGAACCACAGCGGAGGAGGGTGGGGGGCGAGGGGGTGAGGGGGTGGGCAGAACCTGGGTAAGGTGAGGAGCAGCCCGGGCAGAGTCCCAGAGGCCCTGGGAGGGTCCCGGTGATGCAGGGGGGTAAACAAGCCACCAGCGGAGACAGAACCAGTGTGCGGGGCTTGGAGGAACAGGTGGGTGGATTCCAGTGCGTTTGGAAGATGAGGTTCCCAGGACTCGCTGATGGCAGCTGTGAGTGGGAGTCCAGCCAGCATCCCTTCCAGATCCCTCTTGTGGACCGAGATCCAGGTCTCAGTGTAGACCAAGGAACAGAGGCAGCCCCTACTCGGGCTCCCAGGCTCCAGCCAGGCCTGCTAGGTGGGCGGCCTCTGCCCGTGTGATGGAAGGAAGCCAGGCTCAGAGATGGGGTGACTTGTCCCACGTCCTGGAGGGTCTCACAGCTCCACCACGGCCAGGAGACTTCAGTCCAGGGGGCCTCCATCCCCAGCGACCTTCACCTGACCCCCAGGGGACCCCAGCCAACAAGACCCGGCCTGCAGCTCCGGAACGGGGGAGGGCTGCTCTCCACCGCCCCTGTGCGGCCGCCCGGGAAAGTGCAGGCGGGCCGGGCGCGGTGGCTCACGCCTGTGATCTCAGCACTTTGGGAGGCCGAGGTGGGCGGATCACCTGAGGTCGGGAGTTCGAGGCCAGCCTGCCCAACATGGAGAAACCCTGTCTCTACTAAAGATACAAAATTAGCCAGGCGTGGTGACGCATGCCTGTAATCCCAGCTACTGGAGTGGCTGAGGCAGGAGAATCGCTTGAGCCCGGGAGACAGAGGTTGCGGTGAGCTGAGATCGCACCATTGCACTCCAGCCTGGGCAACAAGAGCGAAACTCAGAAAAAAAAGAAAAGAAAGTGCAGGGGACCCGCCGTCGGGGTGGGGGCGGCGCTGCCCAGCCTCTGTCCCACTTCCATGCACTTGACCTCGACCCTCCGGCCTCCGTCTGCGATCTTCCCGTGCCTGAATATGAGGCTTGGAACAGACCCAGACCTTCCTGCCTGCCCGTCCTGAGTGGCCCCGGGACCCCGCCCCATCTTTGGCCCCCAGCCCCTGCCTCTCTGCCGCCTCCAGGGTCGGGGGTCAGGCCAGGAAAGCCCCTTGGGAAGCCCCCGGGGAGCAGCTGGAGCGGGGTCGCCGGGCGGCGGGAAGGAGTGGGCGCCTCTATTTAAGCGGCTTCCCCGCGGCCTCGGGACAGAGGGGACTGAGCATGGATTTCGGACTGGCCCTCCTGCTGGCGGGGCTTCTGGGGCTCCTCCTCGGTGAGAAGGGGAGGGGGCGCGGGAGAGAGGAGTGAGTTAGGAGGGGGCTCAGGAGAGAGGAGGGGGCTCAGGAGAGGGGAGGGGGCTCAGGAGAGAGGAGAGGGCCCGGGAGAGAGGAGGGGGCCCAGGAGAGGGGAGGGGGCTCAGTAGAGTGGGGGGGCTCAGGAGAGAGGAGGGACGCAGGAGAGAGGAGGGGCGCAGGAGAGAGGAGGGGGCTCAGGAGAGTGGAGGGGGCTCAGGAGAGAGGAGGGGCGCAGGAGAGAGGAGGGGGCGCGGGAGAGAGGAGGGGGCGCGGAGGGGAGGGGGCGCAGGAGAGAGGAGGGGGCGCAGGAGAGTGGAGGGGGCGCGGGAGAGAGGAGGGGGCGCGGGAGAGGGGAGGGGGCTCGGGGGAGAGGAAGGGGCGCGGTGAGCGGGGAGGGGACGCGGGAGAGAGGAGGGAGTTAGGAGGGGGCTCAGGAGAGGGGAGGGGGCTCAGTAGAGTGGGGGGGCTCAGGAGAGAGGAGGGACGCAGGAGAGAGGAGGGGCGCAGGGGAGAGGAGGGGGCGCAGGAGAGTGGAGGGGGCTCAGGAGAGAGAAGGGGCTCAGGAGAGAGAAGGGGCGCAGGAGAGAGGAGGGGCGCGGAGGGGAGGGGGCGCAGGAGAGAGCAGGGGGCGCAGTAAAGTGAAGAGGACTCAGGAGAGAGGAGGGGGCGCGGGAGAGGGGAGGGGGTTTGGAAGAGAAGGGGGGCTCGGGAGAGGGGAGGGGGCTCGGGAGAGGGGAGGGGGTTCGGAAGAGAAGGGGGGCCCGGGAGAGGGGAGGGGGCCCGGGGGAGAGGAAGGGGCGCGGTGAGCGGGGAGGGGACGCGGGAGAGAGGAGGGAGTTAAGAGGGGGCGCAGGAGAGAGGAGGGGCTCGGAGGGGGCGCGGGAGAGACGAGGGGTGCTCAGAGTTAAGGGGCTCCGAGATAGGGGGTGATTGGTGATCCTGCCAGAGGAGGGGGCTCGGAGGAGGCAGGGGCTGAGAGGGGAAGTTGCGGGGCTCCGCGCGGCCCCCTGACCCGCAGCGAAACTGGCTCCAGGCAGCTGGGGTTCGGGGGACTGGGGCAGAGGCGGCGGTCGGGGCGGGGTTCAGGGACCGAGCCTGGGAGTCCGGGTAGCGGCGGGGCAGGGGTCCGGGGGTGCAGCGGAGGGTCCGGGAACCGGGCAGAGGCGGGGCGGGGTCCGGGGGTGGAGCGGGACGCAGGGCCGGTGGCGGGGCGGGGTCCGGGACTCCGCGGGGCTGAGCGAGAGCCGCGGTCGCCGCAGGCCAGTCCCTCCAGGTGAAGCCCCTGCAGGTGGAGCCCCCGGAGCCGGTGGTGGCCGTGGCCTTGGGCGCCTCGCGCCAGCTCACCTGCCGCCTGGCCTGCGCGGACCGCGGGGCCTCGGTGCAGTGGCGGGGCCTGGACACCAGCCTGGGCGCGGTGCAGTCGGACACGGGCCGCAGCGTCCTCACCGTGCGCAACGCCTCGCTGTCGGCGGCCGGGACCCGCGTGTGCGTGGGCTCCTGCGGGGGCCGCACCTTCCAGCACACCGTGCAGCTCCTTGTGTACGGTGAGGCGTCCCCCCGCGCCCTGCCTCTCTGACCCTTGGACTCCCGGCTCCTTCCCTATGCCACCTCTTCCTGGAAGCCTCCCAGATTGCAGGCAGGGTCCCAGCTCCATGCACAGCTCCCCGAAGCCAGGTCCCCGGCCTTCGCTTCCCTCCAACTCACCCCAACTCTCCCAGGGCCGGCCCTGGCCCATCCTCCTGTCTATTCCAGCCTCCCAGGGTGGGGCCACGGGGCCTGCGCACAGGCCGTCCCTACTGCCTGTTCATCAGCAGCCCCCACGCATCCTTGGCCCCAGCTCCAAGCCCCTCCGGGCTCCGGCCCCTCCATCACGTCCAGCCCTGACTCTGGGCTCAGCCCTCACCCCCGACCCTCCATCACAGCCTTCCCGGACCAGCTGACCGTCTCCCCAGCAGCCCTGGTGCCTGGTGACCCGGAGGTGGCCTGTACGGCCCACAAAGTCACGCCCGTGGACCCCAACGCGCTCTCCTTCTCCCTGCTCGTCGGGGGCCAGGAACTGGAGGGGGCGCAAGCCCTGGGCCCGGAGGTGCAGGAGGAGGAGGAGGAGCCCCAGGGGGACGAGGACGTGCTGTTCAGGGTGACAGAGCGCTGGCGGCTGCCGCCCCTGGGGACCCCTGTCCCGCCCGCCCTCTACTGCCAGGCCACGATGAGGCTGCCTGGCTTGGAGCTCAGCCACCGCCAGGCCATCCCCGGTGAGTCCGCTGGGTGCCCTGGAGACCCACCCGCTCGCCAGCCTTGACAAGCACTTCGGGACGGGGTGGGGGGGTGGGGGGGCAGCACCTGTGCTGTGGGGCGCTGGGAGGACTGGATTCCCCCACGCAGCGACAGCGACATTCATCGACGCAACATGTATTTGCCGAGCACCTGCCCCCCAGCACAGGTCCCACCCCTCCCCTGCCCACAGCGCTCCATGGCTCTTGCCTTGGGGTCAAAGCCCAAGTCCTCCCGGGGGCCCACAGGAACCTGCACGACCTACCCTGTCCCCTTCCTGTCCTCCCTCCACCCTTTCTCCCCCTCCTCATTCTGCTGCAGCCACACGGGCCTCCTCGCCTCCTCGCTGTTCCTCCAACACACCAGGCGTGATCCTGCCCCGGGGCCTTTGCACGGCTGTGCCCTCTGCCGGGAATACCCTTCTTCCGGATCTTTCCACGGCTCTCTCCTCCTCCCCCTCAGGTCTCTGTAGAATGTTGCCTCCTCCGTGAGGCTTCCCTGGATTCCCGTTTAAAGGGTCAACCCCTGATCCCCAACGTGTACAAACATAGGCACACAAGCACACACATGTACAAACACAGACACACACACGCGTGCACACAGGCACACACGCACACGCGTGTACAAACAGGCACACAAGCACACACGGGAACAAACGCACACACCCACACGCGTGTACAAACACAGGCACACAGGCACACGCGTGTACAAACACGCACACGCGTGTGAGCCCCCTTTCCCTTCTGTTTCGTTTCTTGACACCTTGGATAACATCTGACATCCCCCAGTCCCGTACATTCTCTTTTCCATGACCTTCTCCCACTGTGGCTCCCCAGGTGGGAATCTTGTGTCGCGCACGGCTGTGTCCACAGAAGCTAGAACAGGGCCTGGGGCATAGCAGGTGCTCAATAAACCCTTGCTGAATGCTCGGATGAAGACATTTAATGTGGGCCGGTGCCCTGGCGGTGCTCCCTTCACGCTCTGTCCAATCCCGAAGCCCCTGCCGGCTTCTCCCACTAAAGAAAAAGGGATTTGTCCTCCCATGGGGCACCCTGATACCCATGTTAATGGACGTGAGGTCGTGAGTTTCAAGCAAAGGGCTCCCGGGGATAAAGCAGAAGCTGGGAGACCCGGGAGGTCTTTGTGGTGGGGGTGGGGCTGGGGTGGGCAGAGAGGAGGCTGGATTTGAGGGATATTTTACAGAACACGGGCCCTCACGGGCCTCAGTCTCCCCATCAGTCCCACAGGGGATGGAGCAGAAGGCCAGGGCAGAAAGCCCCCAAGCACCTTCTCTCTCCACGCCAGCCTCCTCCCAACTCTCCTCGTCCACAGCCCATCATAATAAACGCGGGACCCACTCGCTCTCAGGGCAGCCCAAAGAGGTGACTCTCACCCCTTTGACAGTTGAGGAAACTGAGGCACGTGGAGATTAAGGAGGCTGCTGGGGTGATGTTGCCAGTGAGTGGGGGACCTGGAATGCCCGGACTCCCATCCTGCCCACTGTGGTGCCTCAGCTTCCTCATCTGTCCAGTGGACTTCCCTGACTGTGGGTCCTTTGTAAATTTCAGGGACCATGTGGATTTCAAAGCACTTTATAAATTATAGGCTTTAGGCCGGGCTCACGCCTGTAATCCCAGCACTTTGGGAGGCTGAGGTGGGTGGATTACCTGAGGTCAGGAGTTCAAGACCAGCCTGGCCAACATAGTGAAACCCCATCTCTATTAAAAATACAAAAATTAGATGTGGCCAGGTGCGGTGGCTCATGCTTGTAATCCCAGCACTTTGGGAAGCTGAGGTGGGTGGATCACGAGATTAGGAGATCGAGACTAGCCTGACCAACATGGTGAAACCCCGTCCCCTACTAAAAATACAAATATTAGCCTGGCGTGGTGGTGAGCGCCTGTAATTCCAGCTACTCAGGAGGCTGAGGCGGGAGAATCGCTTGAACCCGGGAGGCGGAGGTTGCAGTGAGCCGAGATCGCACCATTGCACTCCAGCCTGGGCAACAGAACGAGACTCCATCTCAACAACAACAACAAATTCTAGGCTTTATCAACTAGAACAGTAAGCCGAATAGAAACAAAAATGTAGGCCAGCCATGGGAGGCTGAGGCGGGAGGATCACTTGAGTACAGGAGTTCCAGACCAGCTTGGGCAACATACGAGACCTCCCATCTCTACAAAAAAATTTAAAAATTAGCTGGGCGTGGTATTGCACACCTGTGGTCCCAGCTACTCAGGAGGCTGAGTGGGGAGGATGGCTTCAGCCTGGGAGGTTGAGGCTGCAGTGATCCATGATCACAACACTGCACTCCAGCCTGCACGACAGAGTGAGACCCCATCTCTAAAAAAAAAAACCAGGCCGGGCGTGGTGGCTCACGCCTGTAATCCCAGCACTTTGGGAGGCCGAGGTGGGTAGATCACCTGAGGTTGGGAGTTCAAGGCCAGCCTGACCAACATGGAGAAACCCCATCTCTACTAAAAATACAAAATTAGCCAGGTGTGGTGGCAAGCGCCTGTGATCCCAGCTACTCCAGAGGCTGAGGCAGGGGAATCGCTTGAACCTGAGGAGCGGAGGTTGTGGTGAGCCAAGATTGCGCCACTGCACTCCAGCCTGGGTAACAAGAGCAAAACTCTGTCTCAAAAAAAAAAAAAAAAAAAAAAAAAAAAAAAAGAATAAATGGAAATGTGACTCACCAGAGTGGTCCAGGGAAGGGGCTTGGAGGGGTTCTGGTCCAAGCCCTTCATCCAGATGCGGAGATTGAGGCAGGAGAGGCAAGCCTGGGGCAGCAGAGAGGAAAAAAAAACCCTCACTCTGTTTCCAGTCCTGCACAGCCCGACCTCCCCGGAGCCTCCCGACACCACCTCCCCGGAGTCTCCCGACACCACCTCCCCGGAGTCTCCCGACACCACCTCCCAGGAGCCTCCCGACACCACCTCCCCGGAGCCTCCCGACAAGACCTCCCCGGAGCCCGCCCCCCAGCAGGGCTCCACACACACCCCCAGGAGCCCAGGCTCCACCAGGACTCGCCGCCCTGAGATCTCCCAGGCTGGGCCCACGCAGGGAGAAGTGATCCCAACAGGCTGTGAGTTCTGGTCCCTGGGGGCAGGGAGGGTGGGAAGGGCTGAGAGCGAGAGGTTCCTTGGATGAAGACTTTAGACAAGAAATTGCCCTGCCCAGCCTTGGTTTCCCCGTCTGCCCAGCCTCAGTTTCCCCGTCTGCCCAGCCTCGGTTTCCCCATCTGCCCAGCCTCGGTTTCCCCGTCTTTCCAGCCTCGGTTTCCCCATCTGCCCAGCCTCAGTTTCCTTGTCTGTCCAGTGGGCTTCTCTTAACTGTGGGTCCTTTTTGTAAACATCAGGGACTGTGTAGATGTCAAGGCACTTGGTAAATTCTAAGCCTTGTAGACTAGAAGAATCTTTGGAATAGAAGCAGAAACAATGCGGCCACATAGGTAATTTCTTTCCTTTTTTTTTGTGAGACAGAGTCTCGCTCTGTCCCCCAGGCTGGAGTGCAGTGGTGCAACCTCGACTCATTGCAACCTCCGCCTCCTGGGTTCAAGCGATTCTCCTGCCTCAGCCTCCTGAGTTGCTGGGATTACAGGCACCCATCACCACTCCCGGCTAATTTTTGTATTTTTAGTAGAGATGCGGTTTCACCATGTTGACCACGCTGGTCTCCAACTCCTGACCTGAGGTGATCTGCCCGCCTCGGCCTCCCAAAGTGCTGGGATTACAGGTGTGAGCCACTGCACCCGGCCCACATAGGTAATGTTAGAAATGCTTGTCCCCCAGTGCCACAAAGAAATAGCACTCAAACAAATTTAATTCTCTCAGCAAGGCCACTTTTACTTTCTGCAGAAAGGGTGCTCATTGTAGACGGAACAATGGCGAGAGCACAGCTGAACAAAGGAAAAGCAGACATATTTATCCCTCACACATTTGGGTCGCCCTTACTGCTGTGTCCTGCATCCACTGGCTGGAGCAGGATATCACACTCTTAAACTGATACCCAGTTTGCTAACAACCTAAAACTTTCCTAAGTAGGTAAGCGCAAAGGAGGACAAACAAGGAGAGGAAGTTGCTTACGAAAGATTTGAGGAAGCAGTAACATTTCCAAATAAGGAAGGGGCATAAGCTATGAGCTAAGACTTCCCTGGGACTCTCCAGATATGCCTGGGTAAGCCCAAGCAACTAACTGGGCTAAAGTGTAAGAACTAATAGCTGATAGGAGGCTTTAGAGTAAGAAGCTATTATTTCTAGTGTCTATGTCTATTATTTTATTTGTAAATCAAGACGAGCTTTGAAGAGGAACTTTTCTACTTCCTACAGGTAATTTCAAATTTAAAAGTAAAGGCAAGGCATGAACCCGGGAGGTAGAGCTTGCAGTGAGCCGAGATCGCGCCACTGCACTCCAGCCTGGGGCACAGAGCGAGACTCCATCTCAAAAAAAAAAATGGGCCGGGCACGGTGGCTTATGCCTGTAATCCCTGCACTTTGGGAGGCCAAGGCGGGCGGATCACGAGGTCAGGAGATCGAGACCATCCTGGCTAACACGGTGAAACCCCGTCTCCACTAAAAATACAAAAAATTAGCCGGGCGTGGCAGCGGGCGCCTGTAGTCCCAGCTACTCGGGAGGCTGAGGCAGGAGAATGGCGTGAACCTGGGAGGCGGAGCCTGCAGTGAGCCGAGATCGCGCCACTGCACTCCAACCTGGGAGACAGCAAGACTCCGTCTCAAAAAAAAAAAAAAAATTAAAAGTAAAAATAATGTGGTCGGGCCAAGCATGGTAGCTCATGCCTGTAATGCCAGCACTTTGGGAGGCCGAGGCAGGAGGATCACTTGAGCCCAGGAGGTTGAGGCTGCAGTGAGCTGAGATCACACCTGGGTGACAGAGCAAGACTCAGTCTCAAAAAAAAAAGTGTTGGCCAGACACGGTGGCTCATGCCTATAATCCTAGCACTTTGGGAGGCCAAGGAGGAGGATCACCTGAGGTCAGGAGTTCGAGACCAGCCTGGCCAACATGGTGAAACCTCATCTCTACTAAAAATACAAAAATTAGCCAGGTGTGGTGGCATGTGCCTGTAATCCCAGCTGAGGATTACTCGGGAGGCTGAAGCAGGAGAATCACTTGAACCCGGGAGGCGGAAGTGGCAGTGAGCTAAGATCACGCCATTGCACTCCAGCCTGGGGGACAGAGCAAGATTCCATTTCGAAAAAAAAAAAAAAGTGTGGTCATACATTTCGCAGAGCCCAATATATCCCAAGCATTATCATTTCAACAGGTAATCAATATAAAATAGTATGAAGGAGATATATTACATTCCTCCCTTTTCCCCAGACTAAGTCTTCAAAGTGCAGATTGTAGGCTCAGCACCCTTCATGGTGGTGAGCCGTCCTCTCTCCGGTCTGCCCTTTTTTTTTTTTTTTTTTTTTTTTGAGAGACAGAGTCTCATTCTGTCACCCAGGCTGGAGTGCAGTGGTGCGATCTCAGCTTACTGCAACCTCCACCTCCCGGGTTCAAGTGATTCTCCTGCCTCAGCCTCCCAAGTAGCTGGGATTACAGGCGCCTGCCACCATGTCCAGCTAACTTTGTATTTTTAGTAGGCACAGGGTTTCACCATGGTCAGGCTGGTCTCGAACTCCTGACCTCGTGATCCACCCGCTTTGGCCTCCCGAAGTGCTGGGATTTCAGGCGTGAGCCACCCCGCCTGGCCTGGACTGCCCATTTCTAAACTCTAAGGTGCTATGCGCATTTCAAAAGGGTCATGGTAAAGTCCTTTGTGAAATTTCAGGGAACGTGGTAACTTTGGAAGCACGTGTAGCCTCTGAGGGGCTCCTCCCTTCCCAAGCCTGCAGAGGCCTGGAGGGCTCTGACCGGGGTCTCCTGCACTCTCTCCCCAGCGTCCAAACCTGCGGGTGACCAGCTGCCCGCGGCTCTGTGGACCAGCAGTGCGGTGCTGGGACTGCTGCTCCTGGCCTTGCCCACCTATCACCTCTGGAAACGCTGCCGGCACCTGGCTGAGGACGACACCCACCCACCAGCTTCTCTGAGGCTTCTGCCCCAGGTGTCGGCCTGGGCTGGGTTAAGGGGGACCGGCCAGGTCGGGATCAGCCCCTCCTGAGTGGCCAGCCTTTCCCCCTGTGAAAGCAAAATAGCTTGGACCCCTTCAAGTTGAGAACTGGTCAGGGCAAACCTGCCTCCCATTCTACTCAAAGTCATCCCTCTGTTCACAGAGATGGATGCATGTTCTGATTGCCTCTTTGGAGAAGCTCATCAGAAACTCAAAAGAAGGCCACTGTTTGTCTCACCTACCCATGACCTGAAGCCCCTCCCTGAGTGGTCCCCACCTTTCTGGACGGAACCACGTACTTTTTACATACATTGATTCATGTCTCACGTCTCCCTAAAAATGCGTAAGACCAAGCTGTGCCCTGACCACCCTGGGCCCCTGTCGTCAGGACCTCCTGAGGCTTTGGCAAATAAACCTCCTAAAATGATACAAACGTGTCAGTTTTCTCAGTTGACACCCACTCCGTGGAGAGGAGAGGTCTGAGGGCTCCGGACAGCAGAGGGTTGACTGTGGGTCCTGCCCTGATGGCTCCATCTCCCTCATCCCACAGTCCGGGGCTGGAGAAGAAAGTGTTAGAAATGCTTGTTCCCCGGTGCCGTAAAGAAATAGCACTTGAATATAAATGTCATTTCCTCAGCAAGGCCACTGTTTTACTTTCTGCAGAAAGGGTACACTGGCCAGCAGTTTTGCCACGAGAGTATCCAGAACAAAGGAGACAGGGTCATTTATAACCTGACGCGTCCACCCTACTGCTCTGTCCGGTTTCCATTGGCTGGAACGGGACGGTTTCCATTGGCTGGAACGGGACCTCACATTCTGTATTTATCCCGATCGGCTAGCAGCTTGGAACTTTTAAAAAGAGGCAAAGGCAGAGGAGAACAAAGGAAGGAAGAAGTAGCTTGTGGAATGCTAAGAAAGGTAAAAACACCTTCAAATAAGGAAGAGGAACAGGTTATGACCTAATGCTTGCTTGGACCAGTATAAGCATGCCAGGGCAGATATTTAGCCTACATTGTGGGCACTAAGAACATAAAGTATGTTGATTTCCTTATTACATTATATATATTCAATATAACATTAACAATTAATTAACAAAGAATGTTAGCACAGGTCTTTTGTTTGTTTGTTTTTTGAGACAGAGTCTCGCTCTGTCGCCCAGGCTGGAGTGCAGTGGCGCGATCTCGGCTCACTTGCAAGCTCCGCCTCCCGGGTTCACGCCATTCTCCTGCCTCAGCCTCCCGAGTAGCTGGGACTACAGGCGCCCGCCACCACGCCTGGCTAATTTTTTGTATTTTTAGTAGAGACGGGGTTTCACCGTGTTAGCCGGGATGGTCTCGATCTCCTGACCTCGTGATCCGCCCGCCTCGGCCTCCCAAAGTGCTGGGATGACAGGCGTGAGCCACCGCGCCCGGCCTACCACAGGCCTTTGAATACATTTTGCTTCTAAGAGAAGTTACTATTTATTCCTAATTAGATGGGGAGGAAAGTCTCATTTGAAGAGGAACCTCTACTTCACGTTTTACAAAGGGCATTTGGTCTGCCCGCCAGAGATTCCTGTGCTGGGAGGATGGTGGAACGGTCCCCCGGCAAACAGCTCTCATTGCCCCCTGCCCGGGGCAACGCCCCTGAGGGACGGGGACGGCACCCAGCAAGCTCTGCCCGGGGCGGGGAAACGCGAGGGCTTAGTGGTTTCCTCGGTGAGAAGCTTAACCAGGAGTCCCCGAAAGCAGTGAGGGAAGATCCACAGAGGTCGCCTGGGGAAACACACCCAGAGGCGGCTTATGGAGGAGACTGCTTGTGTTTTGAGGTGGCTGCGGGCTGCGGAGGGTTGGGAGGGCCGGGAGGGCGGCCGGAAGCGAGGTCAGGCGATGAAGGCCTGGAGGTGCCAGCCCGGGGGCCCTGGAGAGCCATGGCAGAGTTTACAGCTCTGGAGGCTGCGGTGTCAGAAAGCTCCCTCTGGCGGTCAGGGGGTAACAGCGCGGGATGCTCGCCCGTGTGGCCGCCAATAGGGGCTCAGCGCAGCTGCAGCGGAGCTGGGGAGGGGGCTTCTCCCACGAGGTGAGCTACGCACTCAGACGTTGACTGAGTTAGGCGGAAGGCCAGGCTGAGCTCGACCCCCAGCACCAAGGCTCAGAGATGAACATGAGAAAAGGGTCTGGGGGCCGGGCGCGGGGCTGGGTCCAGCAGTCCTGGGCAGGTCCAGCCCCGCGCATGCTCCGTCAGGCTTCTCTGCTAACCAGGGAGACTGGTTGCTAGGAGACCATGCTAATGAAGGACTCGCTCACTACCCAAATGGCAAGCAATCCGGCTTTGTGCCAGAAACGAAGCACTTCCGAGGCAGCCATTTTGGAGTCTGGCAAAATTCAGGACCGAGGCCAAAGCCAGGAGAGCCAATCAATATACACAAAGAGGGAGGAGAAGAGAGAGTGCCAATAAGGACACAAGGAAAGTGGTAGCGTACCCTTGTCACTTCCCAAAGTCTCCCAGCGGGATACCGGTGCCCTCTGCCCTTAATCAAGATGGCCGCCTTGGGGGGGCTCTAGCGCACAGTGGAATATGGCGGTGCTTCCGGTCCCGCTGCCCTCAGCGAAGATGGCGGCAGTGGAGAAGCGGCGGCAAGCGGTACCACCGCCGGCCGGTTTCACGGACAGCGGCCGCCAGTCGGTATCCCGGGCGGCGGGGGCGGCCGAGAGCGAGGAGGACTTCCTGCGGCAGGTCGGCGTGACGGAAATGCTACGTGCGGCCCTGCTGAAGGTGCTGGAGGCGCGGCCCGAGGAGCCGATCGCCTTCCTGGCTCACTACTTCGAGAACATGGGCCTGCGCTCGCCTGTAAACGGCGGCGCCGGGGAGCCCCCGGGCCAGCTCCTGCTGCAGCAGCAGCGCCTGGGCCGCGCGCTATGGCACCTTCGCCTGGCCCACCACTCCCAGAGGTGCGCAGTGGGCCGGCTTGGGCGGGTGGGGCAGCGATGGACTTCAACTCCCAGCATGCCGCGCGCGGCTCCCTACCCGCAGCGCCGGCGCAGGGGCCCGGGGCTTGCTGGGAGTTGTAGTGCGCGATGCCTTCTTGGGTGGGATGGATCGGACAAGGTGGGCTGGAGGGTCCGGGCTTCGGTCCGGCGCTAGGCAGCGCGCTGCATGCGGCGCGAGTCCTTCTGGCCGGCTTCGCCTTCTGTGATGCCTTTTTGCAGGTGCTGAGTTTCCCCTTGCAGTTCATGATTTTCAAAATCGTGCAGCTCAAGAGGACTTGGCCCGAGGTCGCAGAGCCAGCCCCCGAGCCAGGTCCTCCTAGTCGCCTCCTTAGCAGCCTCATGTTATCCCCGTCCATTCAGCCAGAACGTGAATATTTACAGAGAGCAGCGCAGTCACCCAGGGCCCCCATCTTAGGGGACAGGCTCCCAGCGGGCAGGTGGGGATTCCTGGAAGAGCCTGGCGATGTGCGGGCGGGTTGCAGGGAAGAGGCCCAGCAGGTGCAAATTTAGACCCCGAGTGTGGGGCACACGGGAGGCGGGAAAGCCACGGAATTTGGCTGAAGCATGCGAGGCTGCAGGTGCCTACGCGCGGTGTCCCCTGGCTGGGGCCAGTTCTGAGCCCAGGGAAGGTGGTTGGGGACTATCTGTTGGCGTTGGGGATGGATGGGCTGATGTCTTTTGTTGGGGGGGGGGTCCCCAGAAGCGGAGCCTGAGGTAGGCATTGTGTGTGCAGGTGATTTTACAAGGGGGTGCGCCCAAGAGAACCCAGGAAGGGGGTGGGAAGAGCAGGCAGGGAAGGATGCCAAGCAAAGGTGCCCTTTCAGCCTCATAACCAGGGCATAAGCGCCCACCATGGCAGCCCTCGCCAGAGTCCCAGAGAAGTTCGGGGGGAGAAGAGAGATGGGGAGTGTCCCCCCTACCACGTTCAGGGTGCACAGGTGTCCAAGATCATACTCAGATAAGGGTGGCAGGGTGTTGGGTACCTGGACAAGGAGCAGACTTGCTCCGGTGGCCCAGTGGCTCTGAAGGCCCCGCCCGATGATTTGCTGGAGCCAGGTGGGAGGGGAGCGGGCAAGGGCAGGCCCAGAGGGTCAGTGGAGCCGTTTACTGCGATGGAAGGCCCCTGGTTTGAAGAAGCTGCCAGAGCCACTTGCGGATTAAGTTGGAGGCTGGGAGGAGCCTGGAGACAGGAAGGTAGAAAGAAGCGTCTGCAACTGACGTGGGGCCAGGACAGAAGACTGAACTGGAGGGGTCCTGAAGTCTTCAGGAGAGATGAGAAGAGCTCAGGACCCCACTCTGAGGGCACCTAGCCCAGAGAGCCCACCAGAGAGGGTGAGAACGTGAGACCAGAGGTGAACGGGGAGCAGGAGGAAGATGGCCTCCCAGGACATCCGGAAGAGAATCTCCCAAGGAGGAAAAGGGGTCAACAGCAGGCCCACCACGTATGGTTGTTCAGGTTGAGCACTGCACAAGCCACTCACCCCGTAGACACTGCAGATGAGGATATTTATATTTATATTAATTTCCGAGGGCTGCTGGAACAAATTACCTCCAACTTAGTGGCTTAAAACAACAGAAATTTATTCTCTCACAGTTCTGGAGGGCAGAAGTCTGAAATCGGAGTGTCAGGAGGACCACACTCCCTCTGGAGGCTCCAGGGAAGGAGCCTTCCTTGCCTCCCCAGCCTCCAGTGGCGGCCAGCAGTCTTTGGCTTGTGGCCACATTGCTGCAGTCTCTGCCTCCGTCGTCACGTGGCCTCCTGTGTGTCTCTGTTCTGTGTTCCCTCATAAGGACACCACTAGGCCCCACCCTACTCCAGTGTGACCTCAACCGCCTACATCTGCAAAGCTGCTGTCTCAAATAAGCTCTCAGTCTGAGGTTCTGGATGGGCGTGAGTTTGGTGGGCACCAGTCACCCCAGGACAGGAGTGGAGCCATTGGCTGGAAGAGTTCTCATAGCAGGGACTCAGGGCAAGGGTGGTGCTGGTGGCAGATGCATCCCGGCCCTGGGCTCGCCTGGGCTCCCCAGAGACACAGCCAGTGGGGAATGCAGAAGACAGGTGCACAGACCTGCGTGGCATCTGATTCTGTGCTCATGGAGCCAGGCCTGCTCCCGTCCTCCCAGCAGGCAGCTCCGGCCGCCCCTCCATCCTTGGACCGTCAGGAACCCCTGAGGTCACCTGACCAGTCAGGAAGAGAAGCCCAGAGCAGCCGGGCGCGGTGGCTCACGCCTGTCATCCCAGCACTTTGGGAGGCCGAGGCGGGCGGATCACAAGGTCAGGAGATCGAGACCATCCTGGCTAACACGGTGAAACCCCGTCTCTACTAAAAATACAAAAAATTAGCCGGGTGTGGTGGCGGGCGCCTGTAGTCCCAGCTACTCGGGAGGCTGAGGCAGGAGAATGGCATGAACCCAGGAGGCGGAGCTTGCATTGAGCCGAGATCGCGCCACTGCACTCCAGCCTGGGCGACAGAGCGAGACTCTGTCTCAAAAAAAAAAAAAGAGAAGCTCAGAGCCTGGCAGATTTGTCCCCACTCAGTCCAGTGTGTTGACCCCCAAAGGCTGAGGGGCTGACTGGGGCTGCTCCTGAGAGCATCACCGTGGTAGGCTGGGGGAGAAGTCACCCCAGATCCTCCCTGGCACCTTCTTTTGAGAAATGGCAAGCTCCGGCCGCCAGGGCTGGTGATGGCAGCCACAGTGTCCCCCTCCTGCCACCTTCCTGGTCGTCTCCAAGGCCCCCTGGAGCACACACACAGACGTTACATGACTTGCTGAAGGCCACACGGCCACCGAGGGCAGAGCTGGGGTCAGAGAGCCCCAGAGTGCAGCCCCGGAGGCCTCCTCAGCCACCACGTTGCTCATCCTGGCAGCAAGGGCTGCACTGCCCCCTGCAGGTCACTGCCAGGAAAACGTGCACGAAAACGAAGCCCCAGCTGATCTGGGCCAGGGTTCCCCCGACTCGTCCTCTGGGGGCCGTCCTGGGTACTGCAGGGCCCTGAGCAGCGTCCCTGGCCTCCACCCACTCCTTGCCAGGAGCTCCCCGAGTCGTGACAACCACAGATGTCCCAGACACCGCCCGGCGTCTGCTGGGGGCAGGAGTGGGAAGCAGAAGTCTAAGGTGTAGGGTGGCTCCTGTCTCTTTCTGGAGACGTTCCATAAATAGAATCTTTCCTGTATTAACAAATGCTCACACGCCTTACAAACCGCTCTGTGTAGGAGCCGACACAGACGGAGCCCTGGCTGGGCTCCCGCTTTCCATTTTGCAATCAGGGAAACCAAGGCCCAGAGGCCACCGTCACAGGCAGAGCTGACGTTCCAGCCCCGGCCTCCTCCTCCGAGCCCAGAGCTTGCTGCCTTCCTCTTCCTCCTCCTCCCTCACCCGATGATTCTGCTGGGAGCCGCCCGGGAGCCCAGGAGGGGCGGGTATGCGGCCGCCTTGAAGTGGGCTGTCACCTTCCTGTCTCCTGCCGTCATCATGGCTGTGATCTCACCAGGCTGTAATTACCTCTTTGTGTGTCTTCCTGCCCCTCAAGGCAGCTGTGGCTGAGCTGCAGCCCTAATTACAGCCCAAAATAAGCAGGTGGGGCCTCCCACACGTATGCCAGCTGCTGTCCTGAGCACCTGGCTCCAGCCCCGTTCTCCCGTCCTCACAAGAACCCCCACTCCGTAGATGCACAAGGCCAGGTGCAGAAAAGGAGAGTGCACACAGCTGGGAGGGGCAGACGAACACCCGAGGCAGGCCTGGGCCAGGCACAGAGCCCTGCACACCGAGGGGCCGCGTGGATGCTTGCGGAGCTGGACCAGGGCTGCCGCCCCCAGAGAGGAGAGCATTTATGCAGAAGTGGTGGTGGATGGCGCTGGGTAATCCCGGCCCACAGACCTGTCAGTCAGAAGCTGCGAGCACGACAGGAACCAACAACCCCAAACCTCAGTGGCTTCAACACAAGCAAAACTCTTCTCGCTTACTCTGCAGGGGACGTCCAGTTGTTTTTTTGTTGTTTTTTTTGAGATGGAGTCTGGTTCTGTCACCCAGGCTGGAGTGCAGTGGCGCGATCTCGGCTCACTACAAGTTCCGCCTCCTGGGTTGACGCCATTCTCCTGCCTCAGCCTCCCGAGTAGCTGGGACTACAGGCGCCCCCACCACACCCGGCTAATTTTTGTATTTTTAGTAGAGACGGGGTTTCACCATGTTGGCCAGGCTGGTCTTGAACTCCTGACCTCAAGTGATCCACCCGCCTCGGCCTCCCAAAGTGCTGGGATTACAGGCATAAGCCACTGTGCCTGGCCCAGTTTTCTTTTTGAGCCAGGGTCTTGCTGTCACGCAGCCTGCAGTGCAGTGGTGCAATCCCAGCTCACTGCAGCCTCGACCGCCTGGGCTCAAGGGATCCTCCCACCTCAGCCTCCCAAGTACCCGGGACCACAGACGCACGTCACCACACCTGGCTGATTTTTAAATTTTTGTAGAGACAGGATCTCACTATGTTGCCCAGGCTGGTTTCGAACTCCTGGACTCAAGCAATCCTCCTGCCTCGGCCTCCCAAAGTGCTGGGCTCACAGGCAGGAGCCACGGCACCCCCACCCACCCCCCACCAAGGGCTTGTCTGATCTTGACACGCACCTGCAATCATGACCACAGAGAAGTGGACTGAGAAGTAGCACGATGGCTCTTAACATTCCCGCTGAAAGTGGGCCACGCCCCCTCGCACGTTTCAGGGGGCAAAGCAAGGCCCAGAGGCTCACCCTCGGCGGGGTGGAGAAGTGGCGGGTGGAGAAGTGGCGGAGGGATCCGCGGAGCAGCGCTGCCGTCGCCAGCCTTCGAGATGCCCCTGCAAGCCTCGGCTCCCGGGGTTCACGGCCTGGTGCCGTCCCTTCCCCCTGCACAGCCGGAACGGGACTGCAGAAGCAACGGACAGAGTGTGGCCTCCGAGGCGGGTCACGAAGGACATCGTGGTGTCCCCCTCCCTCCTGGGTGGGTTGCTGGCTCGGCTGGGCAGCCGCCATGCGGTGGGGTCGCTCGCGCAGCTCCCAGGGAGCACCTGCAGCCGCTGCCAAGAGCCGCGCGGGTTCCCCTGCGGGGGACTGGGCCGCCTCGCGTCGAGCCCCGGGGGAGTGTGGCCACGGCAACCTCCTAAGAGACCCCAAGCCAGAGCCTCGCAGCAAAGCCGCCGCCGAGACGCTGTGTCAATAGTAAATGCTTGTTGGTTTTGGGCCTCTAGGTTTGGGGTGTGATCTGTGAGGCGGCAGCAGCCTGCCCGGCCTCACAGCAGATCCTGATGAGAGGGGCCCCGGTGCGGCTCCTGCTGGGTCATGCGGAGAGGTCAGGCGTGATGGGAGCTCGGGCCGCCGCGCTGACACTGCGACTGCCCCCAGCGCATTTTGGGGATGACCTCATGGATGGTAAAAGCGCCCAGCGGATTATAAGGGCCAACAAATGGGGCCTTTACTACTTGGGAGGGAAAAGGAGCGTACAGCCAGATGGGCCTAGAGTTGAATTGCAGGTCGCTGCCCTCCTGCCTCTGGGCCTCAGTTTCCTCCTCCATAGCAGAGCTTTGACCCTCGAGCTCGCTGAGATGGCACGTCCATCCCTAAGCCCTGAACTGAGCAGCAGTGATGACCAGGGAGGCACGTGTTCACCAGGCACCCACCGTGCACCGGCCCAGCATTACTGAGCACCTACTGTGCACCCGCCCAGCATTTACTGAGCACCTACTGCATGCCGGCCCTGCATTACTGAACACCTACTGCACACCAGCCCAGCATTACTGAGCACCTACTGCATACTGGCCCTGCATTACTGAGTACCTACTGCACACCAGCCCAGCATTACTGAGTACCTACTGCACACCAGCCCAGCATTACTGAGTACCTACTGCACACCAGCCCAGCATTACTGAGTACCTACTGCACACCAGCCCCACATTTACTGAGCACCTACTGCACACTGGCCCCACATTTACTGAGCACCTATTGCATCCTGGCCCAGCATTTAGTGAGCACCCACTGCACACAACCCCAGCATTACTGAGCACCTACTGTGCACTAGTCCTGCATTACTGAGCACCTGCTGCACACCAACCTGCCCCGGCCCCACATTTACTGAGCACCTATTGCATGCTGGCCCAGCATTTACTGAGCACCCACTGTACACAGACCCAGCATTACTGAGCACCCACTGCACACTGGCCCCACATTTGCTGAGCACCTACTATGTACCAGCCCTGCATTCACTAAGCACCTACTGTACACCAGCCCTGTATTACTGAGCACCCACTGCACACTGACCCTACATTTACTGAGCACCTATTGCATGCTGGCCCAGCATTTACTTCACTCCCACTGCACACCGCCCCAGCATTACTGAGTACCTACCGTGTACTGGCCCTGCATTCACTGAGCACCTACTCTACACCGGCCCTGTATTACTGAGCACCCACTGCACACCGACCCCACGTTTACTAAGCACCTATTGCTTACTGGCCCAGCATTTACTGAGCACCCACTGCACACCGCCCCAGCATTACTGAGTACCTATTGCACACCAGCCCCACATTTACTGAGCACCTATTGCATTCTGGCCCAGCATCACTGAGCACCTACTGTGTACCAGCCCTGCATTACTGAGCACCTGCTGCACACCAACCCTGCATTTACTGAGCACCTACTGCATGCTGGCTTAGCACTTCCCCGGCACCTACCACAGGTGGCCCACAGAAAGGTGAAGTCGTGTGCCCAGGTCATGCCGGAGGGAAGGCTGCCCTCCTCACCATGAAGCTGAGCTCCCAGAAGGGAAAAGCGTAAGCCCTGAGGTTGGCCACTTCCTCTCTGGGACCCTTGGCCAGACCATGGGGCTGCCCTGAGCCTCAGTTTCCCTATATGTCCCAGAGGAAGTAACAGGCCACTAGCATGAGGCCTGGCCGGGAACTGATGGGGGGAGTGAGGCCAGGGGGTTAAGCAGCCCACCCAGGGTCCTGCAGCGGCCCCCACGCTGGCCACGGTGCTCCCTGGCCACTCCCTGGTGCCCTCCACGGGAGTGTGTGTCACACTACCAGCACACGAGTGGCACGTAGTAAGGCCTCAGGCTCCTCACTGGGGCAGGGAATCGAACCCACCCCAGAGCCGGCAGCAGGGCTGACAGCCTTCTTCTGTAAGGGGCCAGATAGTGAACATTTCAGCTTTGCGTGGCAGCCTCCATCCTGACATTCAGCTCTACGGTTCTGGTCGGAAGCTGCCACAGGCCACATGTCAGCGGACTGATGTGGTTATGTTCCGATAAAGCTTTATTTACAAAAGCAGGCAGCAGGTCGTATTTGACCCTCAGGCTGACTGTGGGGCCTTGCCTGTGGGATTGTGGGGAGAGAAATACCACCACTGGCCCCGAGCAGCAACTGTCACCTGTAATCCCAGCAGTTTGGGAGGCTGAGGCAGGAGGATCGCTTGAGCCCAGGAGGTGGAGGCTGCTGTGAGCCCTGATTGTACCACTGCTCTCCAGCCTGCACAACACAGTGAGACCCTGTCTCAAAAAAAAAAAAAAAAGAAAAAATGCAATGTCAGCTGTGTTAAATGTTCAGCACAGACTGGGCGCAGTGGCTCACACCTGTAATCCCAGCACTTTGGGAGGCCGAGGTGGGCGGACCACGAGGTCACTCGAGATCCAGACCATCCTGGCCGACATGGTGAAACCCCGTCTCTACTAAAAATACAAAAATTAGCTGGGTGTGGTAACACACGCCTGTAATCCCAGCAGCTCAGGAGGCTGAGGCAGGAGAATCGCTTGAACCCGGGAGGTGGAGGTTGCTGTGAGCTGAGATTGTGCCACTGCACTCCAGCCTGACAACAGAGTGAGACACTGTCTCAAAAAAAGAAAGAGGGCCGGGCGCGGTGGCTCACGCCTGTAATCCCAGCACTTTGGGAGGCCGAGGCGGGTGGATCACGAGGTCAGGAGATCGAGACCATCCCGGCTAAAACGGTGAAACCCCGTCTCTACTAAAAATACAAAAAATTAGCCGGGCATAGTGGCGGACGCCTGTAGTCCCAGCTACTTGGGAGGCTGAGGCAGGAGAATGGCGTGAACCCGGGAGGCGGAGCTTGCAGTGAGCCGAGATCCCGCCACTGCACTCCAGCCCGGGCGACAGAGCGAGACTCCGTCTCAAAAAAAAAAAAAAAAGGAAGAAAGAAAGAAAGAAAAGAAAAAAACAAATGTCAGTTGTGTTAAATGTTGGGCACAGTATTTGGCCACATGTAAACAGGCGCTGCTGCTGCAGGGAGGGAGACCAGAGGGTCCTGGTGTTGTGGGACAAAGAGTGGAGAGACCGAAAAAGGTTCAGGAGAGTTTATCAAGGTGATCACCGGCTCAGCTGGACATACATCCAGAAAGTCTGAGCCTCGAACAAAGGGCTTTTCCTATTTTTAAACATCGTAAGGCGGGAACTACGTGAGGCGGGAAGCAAGTTACAGAGGCGAGAAACAAAGGCAGTTAAGCATTACAGCATTTCTTTTTTCTTTTTCTTTTTTTTTTTTTTGAGACGGAGTCTCGCTCTGTCGCCCAGGCTGGAGTGCAGTGGCGCCATCTTGGCTCACCGCAACCTCCACCTCCCAGGTTCAAGCGATTCTCCTGCCTCAGACTCCCGAGTAGCTGGGACTACAGACGTGTACCACCACGTCCCGCTAATTTTTGTATTTTTAGTAGAGATGGGGTTTCACCATGTTGGCCAGGATGGCCTCAATCTCTTGACCTTGTGATCCTCCCACCTCGGCCTCCCAAAGTGCTGGGATTACAGGCGTGAGCCACCGTGCCTGGCCAACATTTCTCACATCTTGAGAAAAACATGTCTTACAACCTAAACTTATCGGTTTTGTGACCCTGCAGCCGTGCTAGGGAGGTAAGCAGGAACTCGCTGGGCCTGTAATAAACTGAGGAATGTGGAGTTGGAGAGTATAGATAAGGTCCACTGACTACAGAGAGAAGACAGGCTGTTAACATTCTCTTTTAACTTGAGTGTAAGGGTGGGGGTCACACTTTGCAGCAACTTTAAGAGGATTTTAAAATTTCTATGACTACTACTATTAGGTTAGAGCTGATTTCACTAATTCCTTCTTCACTGGGGCCAGATGCCCCAGACAGATGCCTGCCGTTGATTCAAGACATTTACTGAGCACCTACTGTGGGCAGGGCAGTGTTCTGGGCACCAGGGCTATAACCAAGACGAACTTCCGGCCCTGGAGGGCAGGTGCTCACACTGGTGGGAGACATGAAGCTCACAGGGATGTGGGACAGCGAGTGAGACAGGATGACCACTAGGAAGAAAACAGGAGGAAAGGAGTTAGGGGTCAGGGGAGGCGACATTTGAGGAGAGACCTGGAGGAGACCAGGGAGGAGGTGAGGGAGATCTGGGGGAAGGCAGTGTCACGGCCCTTGCAGAGGCCCTGAGGCCGGTCCAGTTGGAGCTGGGAAGCCAGGGCTGGATGGGAGCTGCGGGGAGGAGAGGCCTGAGCTGGGTGGAGGCTGGGAGGGGGGAGGCCAGGCTGGGTGGGGGCTGGGAGGGGGGAGGCCAGGCTGGGTGGGGGCTGGCCAGGCTGGGTGGGGGCTGGGAGGATGGAGGCCAGGATGGGTGGGGGCTGGAAGGGGGGAGGCCCAGGCTGGGGGGTGCTGGGAGGACGGAGGCCAGGCTGGGTGGGGGCTGGGAGGGGGGAGGCCAGGATGGGTGGGGGCTGGGAGGAGGGAGGCCAGGCTGGGTGGGGGCTAGAAGGGGGGAGACCCAGGCTGGGGGGTGCTGGGAGGACGGAGGCCAGGCTGGGTGGGGGCTGGGAGGGGGGAGGCCAGGCTGGGGGGTGCTGGGAGGAGGAGGCCGAGGCTGGGTAGGGGCTGGGACGGGGGAGGCCAGGCTGGGTGGAGGCGGGGATGAGGGAGACCCAGGTTGGGAGGAGGAGGCCGAGGCTGGGGGTGCTGGTGGGGAGGGGAGGCCCGGGCTGGGCGGTGCTGGGAGGAGGGAGGCCAGGCTGGGTGGGGGCTGGGAGGAGGAGGCCCAGGCTGGGTAGAGGCTGGGAGGAGGGAGATCCAGGTTGGGAGGAGGCCCAGGCTGGGTAGAGGCTGGGAGGAGGGAGATCCAGGTTGGGAGGAGGCCGAGGCTGGGGGTGCTGGTGGGGAGGGGAGGCCCAGGCTGAGGGGGTGCTGGGAGGAGGAAGGCCTGGCTGGGTGGGTGCTGGGAGGAGGGAGCCCCGGGCTGGGGGGTGCTGGGAGGAAGGAGGCCAGGCTGGGTGGGAGCTGGGAGGAGGGAGGCCCAGGCTGGGAGTGCTGGTGGGGTGGGGAGGGGAGGCCCAGGTTGAGTAGGGGCTGGGAAGAGGGAGGCCCCGGCTGGGTAGGGGCTGGGAGGAGGGAGGCCAGGCTGGGTGGGAGCTGGGAGGAGGGGAGGTCCAGGCTGGGTAGGGGCTGGGAGGAGGGAGGCCCAGGCTGGGAGTGCTGGTGGGGTGGGGAGGGGAGGCCCAGGTTGAGTAGGGGCTGGGAAGAGGGAGGCCCGGGCTGGGTAGGGGCTGGGAGGAGGGAGGCCTGGGCTTGGGATACTGGGGGGAGGAGAGGCCAGGGCTGGGAGGGGGCTGAGAGGAGGAGGCCTGGGCTGGAGATGCTGGGGGAGGAGAGGCCCAGGCTGGGGATGCTTGGGGGAGGGAGGCCTGGGCTGGGAGGGGACTGGGAGGAGGGAGGCCTGGGCTGGGGATGCTGGGGGGAGGAGAGGCCCGGGCTGGGGATGCTTGGGGGAGGAGAGGCCCGGGCTGGGGATGCTGCGGGGAGGAGAGGCCCTAGCTGGGAGAAGGGAGGCGGGGGCTCAAGAGAGGAGCTTCAGGGATAGAGGGTGAGGAGGAGGGGAGGCCGGGGATGGGGGGTAGGAGGAGAGGGGAGGCCAGGGCTGGCTGGGGGGTCGGGGAGGCTAGGGCATAGGCCTGGCGAGGAGGGGAGGCTGGGGCTGGGTGGGCGCGCGGTCTCTGCCGGCCCCCAACGTCCCCGTCTCCGCAGGGCCGCCTTCAACAACAACGTGAGCGTGGCCTACGAGTGCCTGAGCGCCGGCGGGCGCAGGAAGAGGCCGGGGCTGGACGGGCGCACCTACAGCGAGCTGCTCAGGCGCATCTGCCGGGACGGCCAAGCCCCCGAGGAGGTGGTGGCGCCGCTGCTGCGCAAGGTGCAGTGCCGTGACCACGAGGCGGTGCCGCTGAGCGTCTTCCGCGCGGGCACACTCACCTGCTTCGTGCTGCTGGAGTTCGTGGCGCGCGCCGGCGCGCTCTTCCAGCTGCTGGAGGACTCGGCCGCCGCCGTGGCCGACCGCCGCGTGGGCCAGGCCGTGCTGGACACCCTGGAGGGCGCGCTGCAGGCCAGCGACGCCGCCGCGCCCGCGCGCTTCCTGGAGGCCGGCTCGCGCTTGGGGCCCGACAGCCTGGCGCTGGCGCTGGACCGCGCCGTCGGGGGGCGGCGGCCCAGCGCGCCCATGACCCGCGAGGAGTTTCTGGAGAGGGCCGCCGCGCTCTTCATCGCGAAGGTCAAGCCGGTGGGCTGAGGCCCGTGGGCCGCGCGGATCCGGGATCTGCGCTGGGGGGTCCCCGCGTGCGGGGCGCGCGGAGCCTTCCCTTCGCCCTGGTGAGGCCCTGCCATAACCAGGCGCCCAGCCCTGCGGAGGAGGCCGGGGCTCCCAGGAAGCGGACGCCCGGTCCCCACACAGCGCCGCGGCCGCCCCTCCACCCCCGCGGGAGCCCCTGCCCCACGCTAATAAAATGTGTTGCGAGGCTGACGCTGGTGTGTATGCGAGCGCCCGCCTCCCAGCCCCGGTGCCCGCAGAAGACGCTTTTCCCCAGCAGGTCACCCACGGCCCCGGAACCGCGGCGACTGGAGGCTGGATTCGAGGCCGGAAACGCCGGGACCCCTGGACCCGGCCTGGTGGGAGCAGCGGAGGGGGACGCCCCACGGGGCCCTGCGGAGCCTGAAGCCGGAGAGCAGGCGGCTCTTCTGGAACGCAGGGCCCGGGCCCTCCAGCCCCGCCCGGCCCAGGTATCCTCCCTGAGCCTCAGTCTCCCCAGATGTCAAATGAAGAGGCCAGCTGGGCAGATGGTAGTGACATTGGTGAGACAACAGCCCTAACACTTCCCAGGAACTGAAGTGCCTCATGTGATTGATTCCCAGGCCCAGGCAGCGGAGGTTACACCCTCAGCAAGGGCTCAGCTGGGATCTGCGCCCGGCCTGCTCCAGAACGCAGCCCACTCGCCACCGGTGGGGAGGGTCGTCCGGTATCCCCCAGTGCCCACCACCACCAACCAGAATCACTTCTCAGACTGCAAGAGCGAATCCAGCCGGGCGTGGTGGCTCACACCTGTAACCCCAGCACTTTGGGAGGCTAAGGCGGCGGATCACTTGAGGTCAGGAGTTCAAGATCAGCCTGACCAACATGGTGAAACCCTGTCTCTACTAAAAATACGAAAAAAAAAAAAAGCTGGGCTGTGGTGGCAGGCGCCTGTAATCCCAGCTACTCAGGAGGCTGAGGCAGGAGAATAACTTGAACCCAGGAGGCAGAAGTGGCAGTGAGCCGAGATTGAGCCACTGCACTCCAATCTGTGCGACAGAGTGAGACCCTGTCTCAAAAACAAAACAACAACAACAAAAAAAAAACAGGCCAGACGCAGTGGCCCACGCCTGTCATCCCAGCACTTTGGGAGGCAGAGGCAGGTGGATAACGAGGTCAGGAGATGGAGACCATCCTGGCTAACATGGTGAAACCTTGTCTCTACTAAAAATACAAAAAATGAGCCGGGCGTGGTGGCGGGCACCTGTAGTCCCAGCTACTCTGGAGGCTGAGGCAGGAGAATGGCGTGCACCGAGGAGGCGGAGCTTGCAGTGAGCCGAGATCGCGCCACTGCACTCCAGCCTGGGTGACAGAGCGAGACTCCGTCTCAAAAAAATAAAAAAATAAAAAGTGAATCCAGAACTCCAGCTCCAGTTGCTGGCAGGTGACTTCACTCCCTTGGCCTCAGTGTCTCCTGTTAAATGGGAGTCCCCACAGCCTGTTCTGGTGGAGGGGGTCCAATCGGACATAGAGAACACTCAAGCCTTGTTTCTCCCCTGCTGTCACCGCCACATCACAGTCATCCACACAGAAAAGACTTCTGTGACCACATGTGGGAGCGTTTTTTCCCACACACCAACCAGCAGACGCCAGCCGGGTGTCCTCTTAATTCAGCTCTGACGCCTTCTACCCAGAGATAGTGTCAGATCCCACAGGCCGAGGGCTCAGTCCCCGAGCCTCTCCCTCTTCAGACACCAGTTGCGAATCTGGGCTTCCAGGACTTCGGTCTGGCCGGGTTCAAGTTGGGGTTCCCAGCACCCCTTTGGGTTCAATTAATTTGCTGGAGCAGCTCACTGAACTCGGAAACACTTGTGTTTCCTGGTTTACTATAAAGGATGTGGCAAAGATAGCAGAAGAAGGGACCACAGGTGAGGTACGTGTAGGGTGGGGATTGGAGTGCCATGAGGATGCACAGGGCACCATCTCAGAGCTTCCAGGCATCTCCACATGTTCAGCTCTTGGAAGCTCCCCAGAACCCAGTTCTCTAGGGTTTCGTGGTTTTTTGTTTGTTTGTTCATTTTTGAGACGGAGTCTTGCTCTGCCACCCAGGCTGGAGTGCAGTGGCGCAATCTCGGCTCACTGCAACCTCCCCCTCCTGAGTTCAAGCGATTCTTCTGGCTCAGCCTCCTGAGTACCTGGGATTACAGGCGCCCACCACCACACCTGGCTAACTTTTGTATTTTTAGTAGAGACGGGGTTTCACCACGTTGGCCAGGCTGGTCTCAAGCTCCTGACCTCAGGTGATCCACCCACCTCAGCCTCCCAAAGTGCTGGGATTACAGGCGTGAGCCACCACACGCGGCCTAGGGATTTTATGGAAGCTTCATGATGTCAGCATTACTTCCCCAGGGGTATAGGGCAGGACCCTCTTTGGGGAGGGTCCCAAGACCCGTAATCGAAAAGGTAAGATTAGAGCTCTGCAGCCCAGAGGAGGGCGGGAGATTATTTCCTGAGGCCTAACGAGCTCAGCAGTGCAGCAAAAGACTGCAACTAGGGCTTCAGGAGCTATGATCCGGGAACTGAGGAAGAAAACTACTCTCTATTCTAACACCACACACGGGAACAGAATTTTATTTTATTTTAATTTTTTGAGACAGAGTCTCGCTCTATCACCCAGGCTGGAGTCCAGTGGCGTGATCTCGGCTTACTGCAAGCTCCGCCTCCTGGGTTCACACCATTCGCCATTCTCCTGCCTCAGCATCCCGAGTAGCTGGGACTACAGGTGCCCACCACCACGCCCAGCTAATTTTTTGCATTTTTAGTAGAGACGGGGTTTCACCGTGTTAGCCAGTATGGTCACGATCTCCTGACCTCATGATCCGCCTGCCTCGGCCTCCCAAAGTGGTGGGATGACAGGCGTGAGCCACCGTGCCTGGCCTTCTTTTTTTTTTTAGACGGAGTCTCGCTCTGTCACCCAAGCTCGAGTGCAGTGGCTCAATCTCGTCTCACTGCAACATCTGCCTCCCAGGTTCAAATAATTCTCCTGTCTCAGCCTCCTGAGTAGCTGGGATCACAGGCACGTGCCACCGTGCCTGGCTAATTTTTGTATTTTTAGTAGAGATGGGGTTTCACCATGTTGGTCAGGCTGGTCTTGAACTCCTGACCTTGTAATCCACACACCTTAGCCTCCCAAAGTGCTGAGATTACAGGCATGAGCCACCGTGTCTGGCCGGGAACAGAATTTTTAAATTTTTACAAGTTCCACGATGGCAGAGACCACTCCTGTCTCCCAGTTTCCCAGCACTGAGCTGGGCTTAGGATAGGTGATCAATGAACCAATGAATCAATACAGGAATGAATCCTGGCAAATCGCCTGTTTCCCAAAAAAAGCCACAATAATGGTTCCACTCCCCGCCGCAGAGGCAGATGGAGAGGTAGAATCCGCATCCCCCTGCGGGACTGGAGCTCCTTCCAAGGCAGGGCCCCTGCGGGACGCTCACCCTCTGGACTGGGCACCAGCTGCGATGCCTGCGCTGACGGCAGCTCCTGCTGTGCAGACTCAGGAGCTGAATAAATGACAGTTGTGGTTCTAGGCTACCAAATTTGGGGTGATTCATTACGCAGCAATGAGTAACAAAGATTAATGAAAGGTGCCCACTCCATCCACAGGTGCTGTTAGGCTACCACAAACGCCCCTTACAGGTGTGAGCCTTACAGGTCATACGCCAGAGCATTTCAGTGAGCACGGGCCGGGGGCTCAGCAGCATTTCCGGTGAGCACGGGCCGGGGGCTCAGCATTTCCGGTGAGCACGGGCCGAGGGCTCAGCAGCAATTCCGGTGAGCACGGGCCGGGGGCTCAGCATTTCAGTGAGCACGGGCCGGGGGCTCGGCATTTCCAGTGAGCACGGGCCGGGTGCTCCGCAGCATTTCCGGTGAGCACGGGCCGGGGGCTCAGCAGCATTTCCGGTGAGCACGGGCCGGGGGCTCAGCATTTCCGGTGAGCACGGGCCGGGGGCTCAGCAGCATTTCCGGTGAGCACGGGCCGGGGGCTCAGCAGCATTTCCGGTGAGCACGGGCCGGGGGCTCAGCATTTCCAGTGAGCACGGGCCGGGGGCTCCGCAGCATTTCCGGTGAGCACGGGCCGGGGGCTCAGCGGCATTTCCGGTGAGCACGGGCCGGGGGCTCAGCGGCATTTCCGGTGAGCACGGGCCGGGGGCTCAGCGGCATTTCCGGTGAGCACGGGCTGGGGGCTGAGCAACAGGACACAAAACACAGGAGAGCCGGGCGCGGTGGCTCACGCCTGTCATCCCAGCACTTTGGGAGGCCGAGGCGGGCAGATCATGAGGTCAGGAGATCGAGACCATCCTGGCTAACACGGTGAAACCCCGTCTCTACCAAAAATACAAAAATTTAGCCGGGCGCGGTGGCGGGCGCCTGTAGTCCCAGCTACTCGGGAGGCTGAGGCAGGAGAATGGCGTGAACCCGGGAGGCAGAGCTTGCAGTGAGCCGAGATCGCGCCACTGCACTCCAGCCTGGGCGACAGAGCGAGACTCCATCTCAAAAAAAAAAAAAAAAAAAAAACATAGGAGAGGCCCCTGTCCTCCCGAAGCCCACAGCCAGGCAGGCTGAGGTGGGCTTAAATCCTGGACACCCGGACAGGGACGCAGGGCACGGAGGCTTCCAGGAGTGACCAATCAGAGGACACCAAAGCTGGTCCCAGGGTGCACCTCACACTCCGCCCCGGTCCCTTGAGGCCAAGGCCGACCGAAGCCCACCTCCCCTGCCCCGCCCAGCTCCCCGGGGCCTCCCCTGATCCCTGACCCTGTGCCGCCCACTGTGCCCGCCCTCAGGTCCCGAGGACCCCGTCTGTCCTAATCCCGGCATGACCCTTACCAGCGCAGCCCGGAAGCTGACGCGTCCTCCCTGGCCTCACAGCAGCATAGAGCGCGGCAATCCCCTCTGGCAGCACCCACAGGCTCCTGCCCCACCCCACAGTCCCCCTTGGAAGCTTCCTCTCTCTCCCCAGCTCCTCTGGTGGCTTCATCCAGGGCCTCCCCTCCTCCCAACAGTCCTCTGCTGGCTCCCTGGGGACATCCCAAGCCTGACACATCCAAGACGGAGCTTCCGGCCGGCTCCCTGGACCCCGGGCTCCTCCAGAGTTTCTGGTCTCTGTGGAAGCCTCTCACCCGATCCACTGAGCACTGAGACCACGGCCAGACGCCTTCCCGGGCTCCACAGCGGCCCTCACCACACCTCATCCTGAGGCACCCTGCCTGCCCTCCCTTCACTGCCCCCGGCTGGTCCAGCCAACACCCTCGCCCACCTGGACCCCCAGCCCTTCACCGCCCCCGGCTGGTCCAGCCAACACCCTCGCCCACCTGGACCCCCAGCCCTTCACCACGCCCCCGGCTGGTCCAGCCAACACCCTCTCCCACCTGGACCCCCAGCCCTTCACCGCCCCCGGCTGGTCCAGCCAACACCCTCGCCCACCTGGACCCCCAGCCCTTCACCGCCCCCGGCTGGTCCAGCCAACACCCTCTCCCACCTGGACCCCCAGCCCTTCACCGCCCCCGGCTGGTCCAGCCAACACCCTCTCCCACCTGGACCCCCAGCCCTTCACCGCCCCCGGCTGGTCCAGCCAACACCCTCTCCCACCTGGACCCCCAGCCCTTCACCGCGCCCCCGGCTGGTCCAGCCAACACCCTCTCCCACCTGGACCCCCAGCCCTTCACCGCCCCCGGCTGGTCCAGCCAACACCCTCGCCCAAATGGACTCCCAGTCCCCACCAGCCAGTCAAAGCATCCCTCCCCCAGCCTCAGCGATGGGTTCAGAGAAACCCAGCTGGCCAGTGAGATGCAGCCGGGAGCTGTTTCCGGGAGCGCAGTGCTGGGCGGCTGGGTTGGGTGCATGGGCTAGACTTTGCAGCCCTCACCTCCGCCATGTCTGCGAATAAAGCCGGCACTCAGGACAGCTGAGCGGGAGGCTCCCCAGCGTCTTCTCACCTCTGTCCCGCACTCACCACCCAGACCCTGGGCCTCTAGCCAGTCGGGCTGTCCCCACCTCAGGGCCCCTGGACGTGCTGTTCCCTCTCCCTGCAGCACTGTTCCCGCAGACCTGCCTGCTGCTTCCCCACGCCACCTGGGTCTCTGCTTATATGTCACCTCCTGAGTCCAAGATGCCTTCCTACACCATCCCGGTGGCTCTCTAACCCCTGGCATTCTTTAGAAACTGCTTATTTATGTATTTATATGCTGGTTTGTGGCCTCTCTCCCTGTGAACCCAAGGGCAAGAAGTTTACTGCTTTTGTTCACTGCTCAATCCCCAGAACCTAGATTTACACATAGAAGAGAAGGAAGAGAAGGAGAGAGGGAAGGAGGGCAAGGGAAGGGAAGGGGAAGGGAATGGAAGGGAAGGGGAGTGGAGGGGAGGGGAGGGGAAAGGAGGGGAAAGGAGGGGAAAGGAGGGGAGGGGGATAGGAAGAGAGGGGAGGGGGATGGGAAGAGAGGGGAGGGGGAGGGGAAGGGAGCAGAGGGGAGGGGAGGAGGAGGGGAGGGGAAGGGAGGGGAAGGGAAGAGAGGGGGAGAGGAAGGGAGGGAAAGAAGGAAGCAATTTTCCCCTAGGAAGAAGCTGGAAGTCATTGAGGTGTGTTAATCCCTGTAGCTGTAGTAACAAATTTAGTGACTTAGCGTGGACGTACCATCTCACAGCTCTGGAAGGCAGAACTTCTAAAATCGAGGCATGAACAGGGCTGGTCCCTCCTGGGGGCTCCAGGGAGAACCTGTTTCCTCCTTTCCCAGAGTCCAGAGGCGCCCGCATCCCTCAGCTCCAGGCCCTTCCTCCCCCTTCACCTCCAAGAGCGCAACCTCTTCCAGTCTCTGACTCTCGGCGCCCGCCCCCCACCGCCCTCTTAAACGGACCCTGTGAGGACATGGGCCCCCATCACCCCGGATGCTCTGCCGTCTCAGGGTTCTTATCACACCTGTAGAGTCCCTTTTGCCACCTGAGGTGGTACAGCCACAGATTCTGGGGATCAGGATGTGGATGTCTTGGGGGCCTTATTCCCTCTTCCACGGTGAGGAACTGGCCCGGGACTGCACAGAGGAAAGCTGACCTGGAAGCCTGTTCTGATGCATCTGGAAGCACACGGGCCCCACAGCCTTTTGCGTTTTTCCCCTTTTTTTTTTTTTAGACAGGGTCTCGCTCTGTGGCTCAGGCTGGAGTGCAGTGGTAAAATCACAGCTCACTGCAGCCTCAAACTCCTGGGCTCAGGCGATCCTCCTGCCTCAGCCTCCCAAGTAGCTGGGACCACAGGTATGTACCATCACACCTGGCTGCTTAAGAAACATTTTTTTTTTTTTTTTTTTTTTTTTTTTTTTTTTTTTGTGGAGACGAGGTCTGGCCATGTTGCCCAACGCCCCACAGCTGCTGTGTCCTGGCTCCCTGTCCCTCTCCCCTGAGGACCATATCCTCCCACATGCACCCCTCTGCCTTCTGAGAACTGTCTTTCTTCCCTACAAGGCATGAGAGCAGCAAGATGCCATCGTGTAAGAGTCTCAGTGACATCTTGGGCTCCACAGGAAGACCTTTGTACAACTATCTTATCTAACCCACTTTCAAATTAAAAAACTGAAAGTCGGGCTGGGCGCGGTGGCTCATGCCTGTCATCCCAGCAGTTTCAGAGGCCGAGGCAGGCGGATCACCTGAGGTCAGGAGTTCGAGACCAGCCTGGCCAACATGGCGAAACCCCGTCACTACTAAAACTACAAAAATTAGCCGAGTATGGTGGCGCACCTGTAATCCCAGCTACTCGGGAGGCTGAGGCAGGAGAATTGCTTGAACCCAGGAGGCAGAGATTGCAATGAGCCAAGATCGTGTCACTGCACTCCAGCCTGGGCAACAGAGTGAGACTCTGTCTCAAAATAAAATAATAAAATAAAATAAAAAACTGAAACTCATAGGCCAGGCACGGTGGCTCATGTCTGTAATCCCAGCACTTTGGGAGGCCAAGGAGGGTGGATCACATGAGGTCAGGAGTTCCAGACCAGCCTGGCCAACATGGTGAAACCCCATCTCTACTAAAAATATAAAAATTAGCTGGCATGGTGGCACAAGTCACCCACTTGGGAGGCTGAGGCAGGAGGATCACTTGAACCCGGGAAGCAAAGGATGCAGTGAGAAGAGATGGAGCCACTGCGCTCCAGCCTGGGTGACAGAGCAAGACGCCATCTCAAAAAAAAAATAATTAAATAAATAAATTAATTAAATAAACCTGAGACTGGGTTTAATGTTTGAGCGATATTTCCAAGGTCGTGGCAGAAACTAGATTTGAATTTAAGGTTCTTCTCTGCCATGTGATGGAAAACCTAACTCAAACTGGCTTAATTAACGAAGAAGGAATTTATTTTTACTTATTTATTTATTTTTGAGATGGAGTTTCACTCTTGTTGCCCAGGCTGGAGTGCAATGGCGTGATCTTGACTCACCACAACCTCCGCCTCCCAGGTTCAAGCGATTCTTGGGCCTCACCCTCCCGAGCAGCTGGAATTATAGGCATGTGCCACCACGCCCGGCTAATTTTGTATTTTTAGTAGAGACAGGGTTTCTCCATGTTGGTCAGGCTGGTCTGGAACTCCTGACCTCAGGTGATCCACCCTCCTCGGCCTCCCAAAGTGCTGGGATTACAGGTGTGAGCCACGGCGCCCGGCACGAAGAAGGAATTTAACCTGGTTGTGGTGGTGTGCACGTGTGGTCCCAGCTACCTGGGAGGCTGAGGTGGGAGGACTGTTTGAGCCCAGGAGTTCAAGGCCAGCCTGAGCAACAGGAACGGGGGCAGGGAGGGAGGAAAGGAAAATAAACTAAAAAGGCTGGGCGTGGTGGCTCACGCCTGTAATTCCAGTACTTTAAGAGGCCAAGGCAGGAGGATCACTTGAGGCTGAGAGATCGAGACCAGCCTGGCCAACATGGTAAAACCCCATCTCTACTAAAAATTCAAAAATTAGCTGGGTGTGACAGTGCACGCTTGTGATCCTAGCTACTTCGGAGACAGGTGGGAGGATTGCTTAAGCCTGGGAGGCAGAGGTTGCAATGAGCTGAGATTGCGCCACTGGACTCCAGCTTGGGTGACACAGAGAGACTCCATCTCAACACAAACGAACTAAGAGGCAAGAATTCATGAGCTTGCATCATTGGAACATCCAGGGGAGGTCAGGTAACAGCATGATGCAGGATCACTAATAGGATTATCAACGTTTCCCCTCTCATCAGCCGGCTCGGCTTTCCTGTGATGCCGCCTTTGTTCGGAGGCCCCGTGGTGACACCATGACCCCGTAACTCCAGCCCCAGGTCCTTCCAGCTCAGCCACCCCAGCACTGTGATCCCAGAGAAATGTCCCAGAGCTGAATCTCATTGGACGTCAGGAGTCACATGCTTGTTCCTGAACCAATCATTGCAGCCCAGGGTGGGGGCCCTGGGAACTGATGGGATGGCCCCTCCCTGCAGCCAGGGCTTGCGTCAGTCCAATTCGAACCCGTTCCCACAGAGTAGGGAGCCCCCAAGCAGGCAGGTGGAAGCCCCTGGTGTCCACCGCTCCCGGGTGCTGTGAGCCTGAGCCTCCCTGGGGGTCGGGGCCCTGTGGGACCAGCTGGAGGGGCTTGAAAATCTCCCCAACCCAGGCCGGGCGCGGTGGCTCACGCCTGTAATCCCAACACTTTGGGAGGCCGAGGCGGGCGGATCACGAAGTCAGGAGATCAAGACCATCCTGGCTAACACGGTGAAACCGCTTCTCTACTAAAAATACAAAAAATTAGCAGGGCGTGGTGGCATGCGTCTGTAGTCCCAGCTACTCAGGAGGCTGAGGCAGGAGAATCACTTGAACCCGGGAGGTGGAGGTTGCAGGGAGCCAAGATCGTGCCACTGCACTCCAGCCTGGGCGACAGAGCAAGACTCCTTCTCAAAAAAAAAAAAAAAAAAAAAAAGCGAGAGAAAGAAAACCTCCCTCACCCACACAGTGCTTCCTGGGATGTGGGTGTACGGAAGAAGAGAGATCTTGGGAGCCCTTAGAGAAGGAATCGTGGTTAATTCTAATTAGCATTAATTTACCCATGAGCTGCTGCCTGCCGGCTCCATGATGCTGGCAATATATCCACGACCTGTGGCACGGAAGAGACTGAGGCTCACAAAACCCTGGGAACCTTGGTGAAGGGGCCACAGCCAGAAGGCCCCACTAGTCCCGAGACCCTCCTTTTACTCCAGGCCCCCAGGGTGCCGGGCAGAGGGGCCTGAGGGAGGAGGCCCAGAGGCCCTTACGGGTGAGGACGCCTCGGCCTCGGCCCTGGACAGCTCTGGAAGTGACCGCTCGGCCCAGAGCTCTTTCTTGGATCCCTCCCTCCCTCTCCACTCCTGATGCTGTTTTCCTTTCCCCAGACAGGTTTGCCTGCTGGTCCTCTTCCGGGGACCAGACTCATGAAGCCGGGGCCAGGTGTTGGGGCACCTGCGGGACAGAGTGGCCCTGGTCCCAGACTGGTTTTTGTTTTTGGTTTTTTTTTTTTTTGAGACGGAGTCTCTGTCGCCCAGGCTGGAGCGCAGTGGCGCTATCTAGACTCACTGCAAGCTCCGCCTCCCGGGCTCACGCCATTCTCCTGCCTCAGCCTCCCGAGTAGCTGGGACTACGGGCGCCCGCCACCACGCCCAGATAATTTTTTGTATTTTTAGTAGAGACGGGGTTTCACCATATTAGCCACAATGGTCTCGATCTCCTGACATTGTGATCCGCCCGCCTCGGCCCCCCAAAGTGTTGGGATCACAGGCGTGAGCCACCGTGCCCGGCCTGTATGTTGATGCAGCTGTGTGTACCCAGGGCATAGCAACAATGCCACTGGCACAGTCCGAGGGCAGGGCCACCCGTCACGGGCACGACTCAGGGGAGGCTGGGCTGCCCCGTCCTCACCACGGCCAGTTCTCCCGACCAAGCTTCACAGCAAGGAGCATGTGGGTGTCTGGGCAGCCACTGAGCCAGGTCAGAAGTCAGGTGGGGTCACAGTGATGCCCGGAATCAGCTGGGGTCAAGACTCAGGTGGGCTGGGCGCGGTGGCTCATGCCTATAATCCCAGCATTTGGGAGGCCGACGCAGACGGATCCCTTTATTAGTCCAAACTGCATCCTCCCCTTCCTTTCAAAACCTAACAACACACTTGAGGTCAGGGGTTCGAGACCAGCCTGGCCAACATGGTGAAACCCCATCTCTACTTAAAATACAAAATTAGCCGGACGTGGTGGCGGGCACCTGTAATCTCAGCTACTCGGGAGGCTGAGGCGGACACTAGCTTGAACCCGGGAGGCGGAGGTTGCAGTGAGATTGTGCCACTGCACTCCAGCCTGGGCCACAGAACGAGACTCTGTCTCATTTAAAAAAAAAAAAAAAAAAAAGACTCGGGTAGGACAAAGGTCAGGCTGGGAGGAGGGCACAGCCAGGCTCGGGCTCAGCTTGGGGTGGGGGCTCCGTGGGGCTGGCGCCTCTCCCGGGTCAGGTGCTGAGCCGATGCTGGCCGGCGTAGGCCTCTTTCCCAGTTTCTCTGGGGGGCAGGAGCACCTTGCCAACCTCTGATGGCTCCAGCGCCTGCACTCGCCTCACACCACATGGTGACTTCAACGGGGACCAGGGAAGCCCTCGCCCCTCCCACCCCTCAGAGCCCTCCCCGACCTCGCCCACTTCTCAGAGCTCCCGCTGTCGGGGGAACCGAGGCAGCGCCGCGCCTGGAAGCCAGGTCTGCGGATCCCGCCTCGCTCCCGCCCCTTCCTCCCTTCCGCGTGGCCAGCGCGACCCTAGGACAGACTTCGCGCCCGTCCCCTGCACAGACGGGGAAACGGAGACGGGGACGCGGGGTCGCGCCGGATGGACCGGCCCTGCCCCTCCGGTCCCGGTCAGGACCCCGCGCCGCGCCCCGTTCACCGCCCGCGGCCCCGCCCCGCGCCGGCACGTCACAAAACAACCCCAAAGCCGGGGGACCGGGCCGGTGACGGCGCAGAGCAGCCCTGCCCGCCTCCTTGCGCACAGCGTCCGCGGTGCTGGTCGAGCAGGGGGCGACGGCGGCGGCCTCGGGGATCGGAAGAGCCCGGGGCTGCGCGCTCGAACCCTCCCTCCCGGCGGAGGCGCTCGGCGCCGTAGGCGGGACCGGGGCCGGGACTCCACCTCCCGGCGTCCCCTGCGGCCGGGCGCGCAGGCGCAAGTCGGACCTGGCCGCGGAGCGCAGGCGCAGTCGGGGCCAGGCGGTGCGCGCAGGCGCAGCGGGGGGCGGGGCGCGCGGGCCCGGCCAAGGCAAGCGCCGGTGGGGCGGCGGCGCCAGAGCTGCTGGAGCGCTCGGGGTCCCCGGGCGGCGGCGGCGGCGCAGAGGAGGAGGCAGGCGGCGGCCCCGGTGGCTCCCCCCCGGACGGTGCGCGGCCCGGCCCGTCTCGCGAACTCGCGGTGGTCGCGCGGCCCCGCGCTGCTCCGACCCCGGGCCCCTCCGCCGCCGCCATGGCTCGGCCGCTAGTGCCCAGCTCGCAGAAGGCGCTGCTGCTGGAGCTCAAGGGGCTGCAGGAAGAGCCGGTCGAGGGATTCCGCGTGACACTGGTGGACGAGGGCGATCTATACAACTGGGAGGTGGCCATCTTCGGGCCCCCCAACACCTACTACGAGGGCGGCTACTTCAAGGTGAGCGCGGCGACCCCCGCCCGGGTCCCGGAGCCCACGAGCGACCTCGGGCGCCGGGAACCAGCTCCCTGCCCCGCGGTCCTAGCGCTGTTGCTGGGCGGGCCCCGAAGCCTCCTGGCTTGGGCTCGTTTCCCTTCTATGGCCACGTTCCCCCACCCAGCTCTGCCCGGCCCCCTCCTCGGACCGTCTCGGGGACCTTCAGCCTCTGCTGCAGTCCTCGAAAATCCCCAGTTCCCTTCAAGGCATCGTCCGGTCCCCTGTTAGGCTCTTGGCCCCCGGAGGGGTGGCCGGGGGCCCTCCCTGTAGCATCTGGGCGTGGGGCTCTTGCCCACCTCCTCCTTGGCGGGGGCTGGACCCCGGCTGCCTCCCCCTCCGCCCCTGCGAGAAAGAGGGAGCGGAGCCCAGGCCGCGCCGGCCTTTCAGCTGCCCTCCCCGCCCTCCCCGGAGGAGACAAAGAGGCCCCCCCAGACCCCGTAGCTGCTATTGTTGGGGAGCTGGGCCCGTGAGCGGGGGAGCGAGGCCAGCCTGGGGGTGGCTGGCGCGGCCACTCGCTCAGTCTCCAACAAAGGCCCGGATGAGCCTTGGCAGCCAGGACCCGCCTGGAAAGCGGCCACCCTTGCCAGTAGCAGCCGGCCAGGCGCCCTGGGCTCCATCCCCTGCTTTATGTAACCTGCGCCCTCGGGAAGGCCGAAGTAGGGGCGTGCCTCCCACCTGCTCCCTGCAGCTCTCTCCAGGCCTCCCGGCTCGGGCCCGCGTCCCGGACCCCGACCTCAGAAGCTCCGGGCTCGCTCATCCCAGCTGGTCTTGGCCTTTCTCAGAGTCCACTGAACAGGTGGCTTCTTGGGACCCAAACCCCGAGTTCTGGGCCGTTTCTTCTGCCCTCTGGCGGTTTAATTCCAAGCAGTTTCTGGATGTTTTTGTTGTTGTTGGGAGCGGGGAGGCTGTTTCTGTCTCATGTGAAAAGGACTCAGGCCAAAACCAGGGCAGTTTTCTTGATCTCACGATCCAGACGTGACCTTTGACTTCTTTTAGCGTTCAGGGACCTCGTTCTTGGGGCCAGAGGGACAAAGCGAGGGGCCCTGTGTGAGCGGTGGGGAACGAGCACCCTGTCCAGGAATCTCCCCCTCCCACCGTCACTTCCTGCCAAGAGCCTGGACACGACACGACACTGCAGGGCCCGGCCCGCTCTGCCCCGGCCAGCTGCGGGCGTGGGGCCGAGGGACCGATGCCTCCCGCACGATATGTGTCTGCTCTCCGAGCTAATTAGTGTCTGAACCGCACCCGCTCAGCGGCTGTGAGGGCAGCAGCCTGGTCTGCTGGGGGCGATTCCTGAGCAGAGAGTGGGACGCCCGTGGGTTCTGCATCTGGAATCCTGCGTCCCCACACAGGGAACAGAGTTTGGGTCTCGAGGTTGCCAAATGGTTTTAGCAGCTCCTCCGCCAGCCCCTTCTGTCTGCTTGGGGGAGCAGCTGGCTGAGGAGCCGCAGCCCCACCTCGAAGCCAGGCCTGTGAGGCGGCTGCTGTTCTGGAAGGAGGGGATGGGGGTTTCTGGCTGCTGTGCCCACCAGACCGGTTGCCAGGGATTGTGGGCAGAGCTTCCTGGGCCAGCATTAGGGGATAATCCGGTTTTCCGGATTTCCCAGGGAGGGGGCCTCTAGACATCTGCCACAGGGTCAGTCCTCAGAAGCCAGTGTTGAGACGGGGGTGCTGCCACCCACGAGGACTCTCCCTTCCCGCTGTGCCTGGGAGGGAGTTGGGGGAGCGTGGAAATACAGAACCTGCTGAGTGCCCAGGGCCGCTGCTGCCCAGCCACTGCCTGCAGCTGCTGTTCCTTCAGGAGCCAAAGTGAGCCCTGGGGCAGGGGCCGCCAGAGAGAGCCCTCCACAGCCGACTTGCTGTCTGCCCTTGGCAGGGCGCTTTCCTTTTCTGAGCCTGGGTTTGCTCCGGGGAAAAGACATTCTTAGAGGTGCCCAAAATAAGAGGCTCATTGGGACTTGGTGGGGTTTGGTACAGATGAGGCCTTGGCTGTTGTCAAGGATTGCCGCCTGAAACCCAGCACCAGGCTTGGGGGGCCTGAAGTCTTGGGGAACCGCAGGACAGTTCTGAGACTGAAGTTCCAGCCTTGCTCTGTGGCCGCGGCCAAGTCACTTGCCTTACGGGGCACCAGTGAGTTCCCTGTCAAACAGAGGACACCCCCCAAGACACCCCGCGTGCCCTCCCTGTCCAGGAGGGGCCCGTCCACGATCCAAGACCCCCAAAGTGCCCTGCCTGTCCGGGAGGGGCCTCGCCCACAATCCAAGACCCCCGAGTACCCTCCCTGTCCAGACCTCGCCCACGATCCAAGACCCCCTGAGTGCCCTCCCTGTCCAGACCTCACCCACGATCCAAGACCCCCTGAGTGCCCTCCCTGTCCAGACCTCGCCCACAATCCAAGACCCCCGAGTACCCTCCCTGTCAAGGCCTCGCCCACGATCCAAGACCCCCGAGTGCCCGCCCTGTCCAGACCTCGCCCACGATCCAAGACCCCCGAGTGCCCTCCCTGTCCAGACCTCGCCCACGATCCAAGACCCCCGAGTGCCCTCCCTGTCCAGACCTCGCCCACGATCCAAGACCCCCGAGTGCCCTCCCTGTCCAGACCTCGCCCACGATCCAAGACCCCCGAGTGCCCTCCCTGTCCAGACCTCGCCCATGATCCAAGACCCCCGAGTGCCCTCCCTGTCCAGACCTCGCCCACGATCCAAGACCCCCTGAGTGCCCTCCCTGTCCAGACCTCGCCCACGATCCAAGACCCCCTGAGTGCCCTCCCTGTCCAGGCTTCCACCACGATCGCTCTGGGGGTGCTGCTCTCGTGCCTTGGAGTGCTGAGTGCCACCAGGACCCCTGACCCAGACAACCTCTGTGTCTGGCACTGGGGCCCAGCAGGAAAACAGTGAGGCTTCCTTGTTTACCTGCTGTGGCCCAGGAGGGCCGTGGGTGGCATCACGCCCCAGGCTGCAGGCCAGACAGCTCTGTCACCTGGCACGTGGCTTCAGGCCTCCCTCTGTGGCCGTCCTTGCCAGCAGATCTGGACCTCCAGGGCCTGGGTGACCACAGGGGGCGATGCTGACAGGGAAGGAGTCCTGCCAGGTTTCTGTGACCTATGGGTCTGCCTGCCTGACCCCCCAAGACCGGACACCTGAGGGCAGACGGCCATACTGACTCATCCCCTCCCACGGCCTGGGCCAGGGCAGGTGTCACAAGTGTTTGCTAACTGAGCAATCATCTGTGCTAACCCTCCCCACACCCTGGCTGCCAAGGCCCTGGAGGTGCAGCCCTGGTCCTGGGCTTCAGCTCCATCCAAGGGGAGCCTGGAGCCCCTGCCAGTCCATTCTGTCTGCTGGTGGGTGCCCCTGGCCTGGGTCCCATATGCCTGACCTGGGCTGCCACGGGCCTGGAGCCACGCGGGCAGCCAGTGCCCACGTTCCCCAGCAGTTGTGCTGGGCCGGGTCCCGGCCACCTGGACTGTGTAGGAGCTGGGATCAGCTCGGGTGACTCAGAAAAGGCTTCAGGCAGCCTTCTGGGGACTTGACCCCAGGCCTGTGAGAGTCCCTGCCTTGGGCAGGATACGGTGTCCCTCACACACACCCTCAGGCACCAGCACTGGGAGTGGGATGGCCTTGGGCACCTTGTGAGCTGGGGCAGGTCTTGGGGCTGGGCTGGACTGAGCCACCTGCCTTCTGCCCCTGCAGGCGCGCCTCAAGTTCCCCATCGACTACCCATACTCTCCACCAGCCTTTCGGTTCCTGACCAAGATGTGGCACCCTAACATCTACGAGGTGAGCGCGGCCCCCACGGGCCTCAAGTCCTCATCCTCCGGGACCCAGGGTGCTGGGAGCCTCACGTCCTCATCCTTCCGGGACCCGGGGCGCTGGGAGCCTCACGTCCTCGTCCTCCGGGACCCGGGGCGCTGGGAGCCTCACGTCCTCGTCCTTCCGGGACCCGAGGCGCTGGGAGCCTCATGTCCTCGTCCTTCCGGGACCCGGGGCGCTGGGAGCCTCACGTCCTCGTCCTCCACGTCCTCATCCTCCGGGACCTGGGGCACTGGGAGCCCGTGCTGACCTCTGACCTGTTCTGACCTGTCTTCTTCTTGTGCAGACGGGGGACGTGTGTATCTCCATCCTCCACCCGCCGGTGGACGACCCCCAGAGCGGGGAGCTGCCCTCAGAGAGGTGGAACCCCACGCAGAACGTCAGGTAAGCCGGCCCAACCCCCTGTGTCCACCCAGAACATCAGGTAGGCCGGGCTCCGTCCCGTATCCACCCAGACCATCAGGTAGGCCGGGCTCCCCCACAGGCTGTGGCGCCAAGGCCTGATTCGGGACCTGCCAGCTGGCGGTCCTGGGCCTCGCTGTACCTGCACGGTAGGTGCTTTCACGGGGCCTGCGGCACCGTGTGTCGGTGCAGACTCCCACCAGGACCCCAGGCCGGCCCCACCGTCTGGAACCACCTAGAGGTGTCCCGCCATCCTCAGTCCTGGGGCCTTCTCCTTACCCAGCCGTCTCTGGGTTGGTCACCTCGTGCCACGTGTGCCGCCTGGGCCTCGTCCCCAGGTACAAGCACTGGGCCGTGTTGCCCGTGTGTCCTGGAGTGTAGTCTAGGCAGGACGTGCGGGTGTGAGGGCAGCCCCGGGTCTGACGGAGGGGTCTGCACCTTGCTGCCCTCCCTGGTCTTGGCGTGGGAGGGAGGAGACTGATGCAGGTCCAGCCCCTGCTGTTCTGGGGGCCTGAGACAGAAGCAGAGGCCATGAGGCCAGGTGAAGGTCACCTGCTGGGTGGGTCCAGGCGTCCCCGTGACCCTCAGGGCCAGAGAAGAGCCGGAAGGCTGGGGTGCCCCGGGCCGCCCCACTCCGACCCACTCTCCCCACAGGACCATTCTCCTGAGTGTGATCTCCCTCCTGAACGAGCCCAACACCTTCTCGCCCGCAAACGTGGACGCCTCCGTGATGTACAGGAAGTGGAAAGAGAGCAAGGGGAAGGATCGGGAGTACACAGACATCATCCGGTGAGGGCGGGCGGGGGCGTCACGGGAGGAGAGACTCAGATCCGGCCTGCACCCCGGCCCCTGGTCCCACGGCCGCCCAGCCCCACCTTCCTGGTGAGGGTGGCGGAGCTTCCTGGTGCCCATTTACAGGGTGCCAGTCACAGATGGAGGCCGGGCCGAGTGGCGGAGGGTCCAGCCAGGTTCAAGCCCAGCTTCTTGCCCCTTTTCCTCTTTTTTTTTGTTTGAGACAGAGTCTCTCTCTGTCACCCAGGCTGGAGTGCAGTGGCGCGATCTCGGCTCACTGCAAGCTCCGCCTCCCGGGTTCACGCCATTCTCCTGCCTCAGCCTCCCAAGTAGCTGGGACTACAGGCGCCCGTCACCACGCCCGGCTAATTTTTTGTATTTTTAGTAGAGACGGGGTTTCAGCGTGTTAGCCAGGATGGTCTCGATCTCCTGACCTCGTGATCCATCTGCCTCGGCCTCCCAAAGTGCAGGGATTACAGGCGTGAGCCACCGCGGCCGGCCTTTTTTTTTTTTTTTTTTTTTGGAGACAGAGTTATACTCTCTTGCCTAGGCTGCAGTGCAGTGGTGCGATCTCGGCTCACTGCAGCCTCCACTACTCGGGTTGGAGCAGTTCTCCCCCTTCATCCTGCCAAGCAGCTGGGATTACAGGTGCCCACTACCACGCCGAGCTAATTTTTGTAATTTTTAGTAGAGGTGGGATTTCACCATCTTAGCCAGGCTGGTCTCAAACTCCTGACCTCAGGTGATCCACCCGCCTCGGCCTCCCAAAGTGCTGGGATGACAGGCGTGAGCCACTGCACCTGGCCTGGTGGTTAGTGTTTTCATAGATTCTTCCAGGCTTTTCAGTTTAACGCATGTCTGTGCTTTAATGAAGAAATGGGGTCGTGCTGTGTGTGCCCAGTGACTGACTGTTAGGGAACATGTGTCTGTGCCTTAATGAAGAAATGGGGTCGTGCTGTGTGTGCCCAGTGACTGACTGTTAGGGAACATGTGTCTGTGCTTTAATGAAAAAATGGGGTCGTGCTGTGTGTGCCCAGTGACTGACTGTTAGTCAGGGGTGTTGGCCTTACTCATGTCTGGAGTGCGTCCCTGCAGGCTCTTGGCCTGGTGAGCTCTGGGTACAGCTGTGCAGTCGCCTACCGGCGCCTTCTGTACCTGCAGTCCACTTAGCTTGCGTGGCTGTGTGTGGTGACCCACGGCTCTCCCTCTCCTCCCATCGCCCTCATGCCCCAGAGCTGAGCCCCACAGCCCCTTCTCTTGGGTGCCTGTGTTCACATGAATGTGTAAACACGTGCGTGTCTGTGTACAAAGACAAGGCTTTCTTTACGGGTTGACGGCCTTAATGGTTCCTGCTCTTCCTGTTACATAGAGGCCCTTCCTATCCATTTTTTTTTTTTCTCAGAGTGATATTGCATAGATTTCCTCACAGAGGCCTCACCTATTTTTGTTGGTATTTTGTATAAACAGAATCTTAAAAACAACTTTTAAAATATTGCACACATAATGCATGTGTCTTCCTCGCCCCAGGACCCAGGAGCATCCAGGGCACCTTCCATCCTGCACTCGCTGGTACCTGGTGTCGTGGGGTCATCTCGGGGCAGCATCCTGGTGCTGGGCGGTCTCGGCTCTGAGCAGCCATGGTGGGCGGGCCCCGTGCGGCCTCCTGGGAAGTGGCCTGCAAGCACCTGCTGGCCTCTGGAGGTCACAGGGTAGCTGCCCTGGCCGTCCCTCTGGTGCAGATGTCCTCGGTGGCCCCGGTCCGGTCGTGTCACCTGGCCCAGGTGGCTGGCTCCTTGGCCCGGTTCTTCCCGGCCACCTCCCTGAGGCACCACCTCCTTGAGATCCCAGCACAGAAATAAAAGCCACACTATTTTTATCCCTCAAAACTCCCTGTGGGCCAACACACATGTGCCATGTGGACTCTGCTGTGGTCGCCGTTTCTGCCTGTTTTTTCATCTGTGTGCGTGTTGGCCTCGTGGCAGCCCAAGTCCCGCTGAGCTGTGTCGGGCAGGCTGCCGTGGAGCCCGGCTTGGTCAGGGATGTTGGTCTTGCTGAACAGGACCTCCAGACCGTCCTCCAGCTCATGCTGGCGGTGTGCCGGCGGCACCTCCACGGTGCAGGTCAGTTCCCACCCTGGCCCTCCCCTGCGTCTCCCCACAGCCGCCACCTCTGCGGTGCCGTCCCCGGGGCACCGTCACCCCCCCAGCCCGTCCACCCTGGCCCTCCCCTGCGTCTCCCCACTGCTGCCACCCGTGCAGTGCCGTCCCCGGGGCACTGTCAGTCACCCCCCCAGCCCATCGGAGAGCTTGGAAAGCAAAGCTTGGCGTCCGCTGGGTCCCGCCACCCAGGGACGTCCCTGAGGCCAGACGCCTGCCCTCCACGCGTCATGCATCCCCATAAAAAGCACTGGGCTTGTGGGCTGGGCTTGGGGCTGTCTGTCTGCTCCCTGGTGCCCTCCCATGCGGGCACTGTGGGACCCGCACACCCTGGTAGCAGCCAGCCCCAGAGCCCAGAGCCGTGCCTGGTCGGTGATAGGGGCTCGAGCCCATTGCCTGCGGCTGCAGCCTCGTTCCTGTTTTCTGTCAAATGGGGTCAGCGTGCCGCCTGGCCCTGCTGTGCCACCCCCGGAAGCCCCTTTGCTTCCAGTCCTGGGGGGACATTCTTGACGCGTGTCCTGGAGGTGGAGCCGGGGGCAGGTTCCTCGTAGGTCCTGGTGTGCGCGGTGCAGCCCCTCATAGGGCCGGGTGTACACGGTGCCCTCCAGGAAGTTTGAGCTAACTTGTCCTCCCTTCCTGCCAGAGGCTGGGATGGCCAGGCCCCCCAGGTTTAGAATCCGGAGGCCGGGGTGGCCAGGCCCCCAGGTTTAGAATCCGGAGGCCGGGGTGGCCAGGCCCCCCACGTTTAGAATCCGGAGGCCGGGGTGGCCAGGCCCCCCAGGTTTAGAATCCGGAGGCCGGGGTGGCCAGGCCCCCCACGTTTAGAATCCGGAGGCCGGGGTGGCCAGGCCCCCCGGGTTTAGAATCCGGAGGCCGGGGTGGCCAGGCCCCCCGGGTTTAGAATCCGGAGGCCGGGGTGGCCAGGCCCCCCGGGTTTAGAATCCGGAGGCCGGGGTGGCCAGGCCCCCCGGTTTAGAATCCGGAGGCCGGGGTGGCCAGGCCCCCCGGGTTTAGAATCCGGAGGCCGGGGTGGCCAGGCCCCCCGGGTTTAGAATCCGGAGGCCGGGGTGGCCAGGCCCCCCGGGTTTAGAATCCGGAGGCCGGGGTGGCCAGGCCCCCCGGGTTTAGAATCCGGAGGCCGGGGTGGCCAGGCCCCCCGGGTTTAGAATCCGGAGGCCGGGGTGGCCAGGCCCCCCGGGTTTAGAATCCGGAGGCCGGGGTGGCCAGGCCCCCCGGGTTTAGAATCCGGAGGCCGGGGTGGCCAGGCCCCCCGGGTTTAGAATCCGGAGGCCGGGGTGGCCAGGCCCCCCGGGTTTAGAATCCGGAGGCCGGGGTGGCCAGGCCCCCCGGGTTTAGAATCCGGAGGCCGGGGTGGCCAGGCCCCCCACGTTTAGAATCCGGAGGCCGGGGTGGCCAGGCCCCCGGGTTTAGAATCCGGAGGCTGGGATGGCCAGGCCCCCGGGTTTAGAATCCAGAGGCTGGGATGGCCAGGCCCCCCGGTTTAGAATCCGGAGGCCGGGGTGGCCAGGCCCCCGGGTTTAGAATCCTGCTGAGGCCACGGAGAGGCTCAGGCCGTTTTTGCGTTTCCCATCTCACCTGTGCTGGTTCCCGTCTCCAGGGATGGTCCTGCCTCCTGTCCTTGGGCCCTCCCAGCTGCTTCCTTTGCTCCTGCGCTGAGGAAGGCTTTTGCCCCCCAGTGGGGCAGCATGGGCCCTCCCTGTTGCCGGCATCGTTATTTTCTCCCAGCTCCTGATGGGTCCCTTGGGTTGTGCTTCGGGGCGGGGCAGGCGGGTGTGACTGCACTGCGCCCGTCCAGCCTCCCACCCGCACCTCCTGCCCTTCCCGAGCCCCCTCCTCTGTCATTTCTCCCCCTGGAGTTCCTCACGCACAGGGCTTTGTCCTAAGTGGTCGCCACACGCCGTTTTAAGAGAAACCTGAGCGTTGGGGTGAGCGTCGGACCTGGGGGAGGGGGGCCGGGCAGGGGCCGAGTCCAGGCACGTGGGTGGCGCCCTCACCCACCCTGTCCCCCCAGGAAGCAGGTCCTGGGGACCAAGGTGGACGCGGAGCGTGACGGCGTGAAGGTGCCCACCACGCTGGCCGAGTACTGCGTGAAGACCAAGGCGCCGGCGCCCGACGAGGGCTCAGACCTCTTCTACGACGACTACTACGAGGACGGCGAGGTGGAGGAGGAGGCCGACAGCTGCTTCGGGGACGATGAGGATGACTCTGGCACGGAGGAGTCCTGACACCACCAGAATAAACTTGCCGAGTTTACCTCACTAGGGCCGGACCCGTGGCTCCTTAGACGACAGACTACCTCACGGAGGTTTTGTGCTGGTCCCCGTCTCCTCTGGTTGTTTCGTTTTGGCTTTTTCTCCCTCCCCATGTCTGTTCTGGGTTTTCACGTGCTTCAGAGAAGAGGGGCTGCCCCACCGCCACTCACGTCACTCGGGGCTCGGTGGACGGGCCCAGGGTGGGAGCGGCCGGCCCACCTGTCCCCTCGGGAGGGGAGCTGAGCCCGACTTCTACCGGGGTCCCCCAGCTTCCGGACTGGCCGCACCCCGGAGGAGCCACGGGGGCGCTGCTGGGAACGTGGGCGGGGGGCCGTTTCCTGACACTACCAGCCTGGGAGGCCCAGGTGTAGCGGTCCGAGGGGCCCGGTCCTGCCTGTCAGCTCCAGGTCCTGGAGCCACGTCCAGCACAGAGTGGACGGATTCACCGTGGCCGACTCTTTTCCCTGCTTTGGTTTGTTTGAAATCTAAATAAAACTACTTTATGAGAGGCCAGAGAAGCTGTGCTTGGGAGGGAGAGGCAGCCTCCACGTCCATGAGTGACTGCACACGGCCAGTCCCACTGGGACCCTGGCTACGCCAGGTGTGGATCTGGGAGGCCTGTCCTGGGAGGCACGGGGAGCAGCCGGGTCCCGCGGCCTGTACGTTCCCATGACTTGGGTCAGACAGGCCTGGGCAGCATCCCCCAGCCTGCGGGACAGGGGCGGCCAGAAAGCCCCCAGAGTTCCTCCTCCCTGTGACCAGGTGCATCTAGTGGGACGGGAGCTGCCTCTGCAGGCATCCAGCAAAGCTTCGTCGCGGGTCCACAGCCGCCTGGGCGTTGATCTCAGCGTCTCAGGGCTCCCAGGACCACAGATGCCCCCGATCAGCACTCCGGCGGCTCCAGCTCCGTCCAGGCACACCCTCGGGGTGGGGAGCCGTGGCCCTGGGCACACAGGGCAGGCACCTCACGTCCTGGTGTCAGGAAGTCCCCAGCATCGTTTTATTACATGTCATGGAGGAAAGCTCGGAGCTCCCATGCCCTCCCGGGGCACCGCCTTCCAGGAACCTGCCTGCGTTCCGCTTCTGGGCACCCGGAAAGTCGCTCAGTGGCTGATTCAGGGTCGAGGAGCTGTGAGGATGAGGTTTCCCACCAAGTTGGGACAGAAAATGGGGCCCTGGGGTCTCAGCAAACCATGGCCCTCGGGACCAAACCTGGCGTCCGCCCCTATTGTGAGTGAAGTGTTACTGGCACAGCCACACCCAGGTCTCAGGATCATCCATAGCTGCTTGGTTTGGTTTGGTTTTGTTTTTGAGACACAGTCTTGTGTTGCCCAGGCTGGAGTGCAGTGGTGCGATCTCGCCTCCTGGGTTCAAGTGATTCTCCTGCCTCAGCCTCCTGAGTAGCTGGGACTACAGGCTCCCACCACCATGCCCAGCTGATTTTTGTATTTTTAGTAGAGATGGGGTTTCACCATGTTGGCCAGGATGGTCTCGAACTCCCAACCTCAGGTGATCGCCCGCCTCGGCCTCCCAAAGTGCTGGGATTACAGGCGTGAGCCGCCGCGCCCGGCCTAAATTTATTTATTTTTGAGACAGGGTCTTGCTCTGTCACCCAGGCTGAAGAGCAGTGGTGCAATTACGGCTCACTGCAGCCCCAACCTGGGCTCAAGCGATCCTCCTGCCCCAGTCTCTCAAAGTGCTGGGATTACAGGTGTGAGCCACCGCCTTCGGCCAGTGTCTTTATTCATGAAGACCAAAAACTAGAACAGCGCAAATATCCGTCCGCTGGTGAATGCATAAACACAGCGTGGTCCAGCCACACAATGGGATGTGACACAGCCACAAAAAGGAGCGAGGCTCTGACACAGGCCACAGCCTGGATGCACCTTGAGGACGTCATGCTGGGAGAGACGCCAACGCAACAGGTCCTGTGTGATTCCACTCCTGGGAGGTCCCTAGAGACCAATTCAGAGGCAGGAAGTAGTGGCCGGGCGCGGTGGCTCATGCCTGTAATCCCAGCACTGGGAGGCCGAGGTGGGTGGATCACCTGAGGTCGGGAGTTTGAGACCAGCCTGGTCAACATGGTGAAACCTCGTCTCTACTAAGAATACGAAAATTAGCCGGGCGTGGTGGTGGGCACCTGTAGTCCCACTACTCGGGAGGCTGAGGCCGGAGTATGGCGTGAACCCGGGAGGCGGAGCTTGCAGTGAGCCGAGATCGCACCACCGCACTCCAGCCTGGGCGACAGAGCGAGACTCCATCTCTGAAAAAAAAAAAAAAAAAAAAGTGTTACTTTGTCAGGTGTGATGATGGTAGTGTGGCTTCATCTCGAGTCCTCTTTGAGAAACACTTTCTAAAATGCTCAAGGATGGAGGGTGGAGGGTGTGCAGCGGTGGGCGGGGCTGTGACCGTCACCTCACCTCCCCCACAGGAAGCGCGTGTGGGGAGGCTCGGGGCCGGGGCCAGCACCCACACTGGGTCTCCACAGCGGCATGGAGGCCTGCGTGTCTTCACTGCTGGTGCTGGCCCTGGGGGCCCTGTCAGTAGGTGAGTGGGAGCCGGGATGCAGGGGGGACACTGAGGCCCAGCGCTCTCGGTGGGTCCCTGGATGGGAGGGGTGGGCGCGGGCGCCGACATCCTGGGTGTAAGAGCGGAGATTCATCCTTGTTTGGAGGGGGACTGAGGCCTGGGGCATCCCGAGCTCCTCACGCTTCACCCCGAGTGGACATCCCGGGACCGTGGGAGAGTGTGGTGTCCACCGGCTCACCTCGCCCATCCTCCCGGCAGCAGCCAGAAGGCAGGGGTCACGCTCACACCCGAGGTGCAGAGTAGGAGACTGAGACTTGGCGAAGGAGATGCTGACCTAGGACTGCCCAGCTGGGAGGGCAGAGCTGGGACTCGATCCCCGCTGGCTGCCTGCCACCACCAAGGGCTTGGCTGGGACTAGGTGCCCAGCAGTGAGGGAGAAGGGAGGTGGGTGGCGGCTCCCCTGCATTCCAGCTGGACTGAGTGACAGGGGCTCTTGATGAGTTGGGGACCCAAGAAGATGGACAGAGGTAGGAATCCAGCCGTCAGTCATCATCATCCTTCCTCCCATTTTTATTTCCTTCCACCCATGGGTCCATCATCCCTCCCTCCCTCCCTCCCTCCCTCCCTCATCTCCCCTTCCTTCCCTCTACCCGTCCGTCCACCCATCATTCCTCCTTCCATTCTTCCACCCACCCATCCATCATCCATCCCTCTACCCATGGGTCCATCATCCATCCCTCCCTCCCTCCTTTCGTTCCCCCTTCCTTCCCTCCGCCAGTCCATCCACCCATCATTCCTCCTTCCTCCCATTCTTCCACCCACCCGTCCATCCATCATCCATCCCTCCTTTCAACCTCCCTCCTTCCCTCCACCCGTCATCCTTCCCTCCCTCCTTCCATGTATCCACCCATCCATCCATCATGCCTCTCTCTTCCTTTCCCCCCTCCTTCCCTCCTCCCTCCCATCCATCCATCATCCATTCCTCCTTCCATCCCTCCTTCCTTTCTCCCGTGCTTCTGTGTATCCATCCGTATTTGCAGGGCTCGTGCTGTTCTAGGCCTGCCCTCCTGTCTGACTGGAAGAGACAGGCCAGGCATGAGACTGTGCAGAGCGGAGGAAACACGGAGGGCAAGAGGGCGGGTGGGGGGCCGTTGCAGGAGACGAGCATAAACCAAGGGAGGAAGCCGGTGGGGGAAAGGTACGCAGGCAGCTAAGTGAGACAGACAAAGGCCCAGGGTGCAGGCAGCTTGCAGGCACAGCTAGACTTGCACTCTTGTCACCCAGGCTGGAGTGCGATGGTGCCATCTCGGCTCACTGCAGCCTCCGCCTCCTGGTTTCAAGCGATTCTCCTGCCTCAGCCTCCCGAGTAGCTGGGATTACAGGCGCCTGCCACCATGCCGGGCTAATTTTGTATTTTTAGTAGAGACAGGGTTTCCCCGTGTTGGTCAGGCTGGTCTCAAACTCCCAACCTCAGGTGATCCGCCTGCCTCGGCCTCCCAAAGCGCTGGGATTACAGGCGTGAGCCACCGCGCCCGGCCTATTTTTTTTTTTTAAGATGGAGTTCTGCTATTCTTGCCCAGGCTGGAGTGCAATGGCACGATCTCGGCTCACCACAACCTCTGCCTCCCGGGTTCAAGCGATTCTCCTGTCTCAGCCTCCCAAGTAGCTGAGATTACAGATGCCCGCCACCTCGCCCGGCTAATTTTTTGTATTTTTAGTAGAGACGGGGTTTCACCGTGTTAGCCAGGATGGTCTCGATCTCCTGACCTCGTGATCCACCTGCCTCGGCCTCCCAAAGTGCTGGGATTACAGGCGTGAGCCACCGCACCCGGCCTTAATTTCTGTATTTTTAGTACAGACGGGGTTTTACCACATTGGCCAGGCTGATCTCCAACTCCTGACCTCAGGCTGTCTGCCCACCTTGACCTCCCAAAGTGCTGGGATTATAGGCGTGAGCCACTGCACCGGCCCGCAAGCGGGGACTTGATTTTCAAAGCATGATGGGGATTCAGAGAAGATTTTGAGCTGATTTACGTTACATTATGAAATCAATCCTTTTATATTTATGATTGATTTAAAATAATTTTTGTACAGCTTTATTAGGAAATTATGCACTATACAATTTACTTATTTAAAGACTACATTTCTTGCTGGGCACAGTGGCTCACGCCTGTCATCCCAGCACTTTGGGAGGCCAAGGAGGGTGGATCACCTGAGGTTAGGTGTTTGAGGCCAGCCTGGCCAACACGGCGAAACCCTGTCGCTACTAAAAATACAAAAAAATTAGCCGGACGTGGTGATGCGCTTCTGTAATCCCAGCTACTCGGGAGGCTGAGGCAGGAGAATCGCTTGAACCCAGGAGGCAGAGGTTGCAGTGAGCTGAGATCACGGCACTGCATTCCAGGCTGGGTAACAGAGTGAGACTCCATCTCAAAAAAAAAAAAAAAATGGCCAGGTGCAGTGGCTCATACCTGTAATCCCAGCACTTTGGGAGGCTGAGATGGGTGGATCACAAGGTCAGGAGTTCGAGACCAGCCTGGCTAACATGGTGAAACCCCATCTGTACTAAAAATACAAAAATTATCCAGGCGTGGTGGCAGGTGCCTGTAGTCCCAGCTACTCGGGAGACTGAGTCAGGAGAATGGCATGAACCCAGGAGGCGGAGCTTGCAGTGAGCCGAGATCGTGCCATTGCACTCCAGCCTGGGTGACAGAGCGAGACTCTGTCTCAAAAAAAAAGAAAAAAAAAGTTTTTTTTAAGAGACTGGGTCTTGCTGTGTCGCCCAGGCTGGTCTCGAACTCCTGGCCTCAAGTGATCCTCCCTCCTCAGCCTCCCGAAGTGCTGGGATCACAGGGGTGAGCCACCCACATCCGGCCTGATGTGCGTTTTGAAGGACTCCTGTGGCTGTGGGGCCCAGTGGGGCCTGGGGAGGTCCTGGAGAGGGGATTGGGAGGTGGCCTGGGGGGAACATGATGGGGGTGATGAGAGGGGGATGGGAGGGATGAAGGGCAGCCCACACGTATCAGCCTAAAAGTTTCGGGGAACACTGGGGACTTCATTAGGATGGCACATCTGCTTGGGGTCCTGGGCCTCTGAGCTGGGCAAGGACAGTCGCAGCAGGCAGCAGGGGCATGTAGCCCCAACCTGGCTCTTTGTCCCCCATCCTGGCAGGCAGCTCCTTTGGGACCCAGATCATCGGGGGCCGGGAGGTGATCCCCCACTCGCGCCCGTACATGGCCTCACTGCAGAGAAATGGCTCCCACCTGTGCGGGGGTGTCCTGGTGCACCCAAAGTGGGTGCTGACGGCTGCCCACTGCCTGGCCCAGCGGTGAGTACCCTGCCCTGCCCACCCCAGGGGTCCGGGGAATCCATCCGACGGCGCCCATTCTCTGCAGGGGGTGGGCTCTGGGAGATTTAGGCCCATTGTGGGACCCCCGTCCCCTCCCGGTGACGACTTAGGCAGGTTTAAGTGACCTGCGGCTGTGGGACTCCTGGAGAAGGTTTACTCCTTGCAAGAGGCACTGGCAGGGCCAGCTCCTTCCACACCGCAGCCTGGGTCAGAGCCTGGCTCCTTTCACGGCTGAGCCACAGTCCTGGTGTGGACAGAGTGCATTGTGTCTGTCCATTCACCTGCTGATGGACCCAACTTAGGCGGGGGCTTCTGCTATAAGGAAGGAGGGTCAGGTGGGGGTGTTTGCCACCTGTGGCCAGGAGGTCGAAGCCGGCCTTCGAGAGTGGCTCGGGAATCGACCTGGTTCCCGGGGATCAGGAAGCCGCTAAATGACCCATCATGGAGTTGCCCTACCTCAGGACTGGTCCGTCATACAGAGCCCAGATCAAGATGGTCAAAGTAACAAAAAGGGATCTGCCGGCTTGTGTAACTGCAAAGTCTAGGAGGAGGCCTGGCTTCAGGTGCGGCTTGATCCAGGTGCTCACAGGAGGCGCTGTGGAGCCCATCTGTCTCCCAGCTCTGCTGCACTACCAGGAAGCCTGTCTCACAAGGTGGAAAGATTGACCCTCCTCAGTCCCATGGAAAGAGGGCTTGGCTCTCTAAAGTTGGGGCACACTTAGGAGGATTGGCATGTGTCAACCCCTGTACAAATCACTGTGGTTGAGCCTGGGGCCCCAAGTGAAGGGAATTCCCAGGGCTGGTTTTCGTGAAGCTGTAGGCTTGGGGTTGGATTTTTGGACACACAGCCCTTGCCTGGGGCCAGGGCCGGGCAGAAGTCTGGGGCAGGGGTGAGAGCAGGGAGGGCTTCCTGGAGGAGGTGGGTTGCAAAGACACAGGGAAGGACTGGCCAAGCCAAGGCCTGTGAGGGGCAGCGGCTGTGAGTGATGGCCATGGACAACGGGCACAGTGGGGGCCGGGACTGCATGTGGCGGGTCGTCCACGCCGGGCCAGGCCGCAGCACCCTGATTCCCTCTGTCCCCAGGATGGCCCAGCTGAGGCTGGTGCTGGGGCTCCACACCCTGGACAGCCCCGGTCTCACCTTCCACATCAAGGCAGCCATCCAGCACCCTCGCTACAAGCCCGTCCCTGCCCTGGAGAACGACCTCGCGCTGCTTCAGGTGTGCAGGGACGGGACAGGGAGAACTGGGCACCCTCCTGTCCCCCACGGGTGCCCCTCACCCCCACTGCGCCCTCCCCCCGCTGCCGACCCTCCCCCCGCACTGCTGCCCCTCCCCCCGCACTACTGCCCCCTCCCCCATTGCCCACCCTCCCCCCACTGCCACCCCTCCCCCCGCTGCCGCCCCCCGCCCCCGCACTCTCACCCCCTCCCCCTGCTCACCTGCCCCTTCCTGTCACTCGTAGCTGGACGGGAAAGTGAAGCCCAGCCGGACCATCCGGCCGTTGGCCCTGCCCAGTAAGCGCCAGGTGGTGGCAGCAGGGACTCGGTGCAGCATGGCCGGCTGGGGGCTGACCCACCAGGGCGGGCGCCTGTCCCGGGTGCTGCGGGAGCTGGACCTCCAAGTGCTGGACACCCGCATGTGTAACAACAGCCGCTTCTGGAACGGCAGCCTCTCCCCCAGCATGGTCTGCCTGGCGGCCGACTCCAAGGACCAGGCTCCCTGCAAGGTGAGGGGCGCCCGGGTGGGGCTGGGGGAATGAGGCTGGCGGGAGGGCCGGGGCCAGGGCAGCCGCCGGGCAGGTTCCTGGCTCTCCCGTTCTCTGGGGAGTCCTGTCAGGGGCTGGGGGGCGGGGAAGCACTGGCAGGGGTCCCGTTTCTCAGGTGCAGAAACTGAGGCTCAGACAGGTTTAGCAACCTGCGCAAGACCACACAGCCGGGAAGCGGCAGAGCTGTGACTTCTGCTCCAGCCAAGACGGTCCGGCGGGGGAAGAAGGAGCAGGGTTCACAGGGCCAGCGGGAGATGGGGAGGGGACACGCGTGGGCCGGGAGCAGCCCCTGTGTCTCCTTGAGCCTGGGGATAACAGGCCTGGCCCTGCTCCCCTCGGCGGGCCCTGCTCCCCTCGTCCCCTCAGCAGGTGCAGAGGCTGAGCTGCGGTGTGTCGTCCCTGCAGGGTGACTCGGGCGGGCCCCTGGTGTGTGGCAAAGGCCGGGTGTTGGCCAGAGTCCTGTCCTTCAGCTCCAGGGTCTGCACTGACATCTTCAAGCCTCCCGTGGCCACCGCTGTGGCGCCTTACGTGTCCTGGATCAGGAAGGTCACCGGCCGATCGGCCTGATGCCCTGGGGTGATGGGGACCCCCTCGCTGTCTCCACAGGACCCTTCCCCTCCAGGGGTGCAGTGGGGTGGGTGAGGACGGGTGGGAGGGACAGGGAGGGACCAATAAATCATAATGAAGAAACGCTCAGAGCCCGCCTGAGTCCCAGCCCACCTCTGTCCATGCTGGCTGTGGGGCTTCCGACAAACCTGTTTCCCTCAGCCTCCCGAGTAACTGGGTCTACAGGCGCCCGCCACCACGCCAGGCTAACTTTTGGTATTTTTAGTAGAGAAGGGGTTTCTCCATGTTTGTCAGGCTGGTCTCCAACTCTTGACCTTGTGATCTGCCCACCTCGGCCTCCCAAAGTGCTGGGATTACAGGCGTGAGCCACCGCGCCCGGCCCTTCCCTGTTTTAAAAAGGGAGGTTGTGGATCCCAAGGCTTCTCCCAGGAGGGGGCGGCGTTGGCCAGGACTGGAGCGGTGGCCGGGTCTGCAGGCTGGCAGGGGTGGGCGGCCGTCCTCCCCGCGTGGCTCCTGGGGCTGGGCCTTGAACAGCATCCCAGGATCTTCTTTTTTAGTAACAGCTTTTATCAAGTTACAACTCACATAGCAGATGAGTCTCCCTGTAAACTGCGATTCAGGGGCCTTTGGTACCTGCACAGAGCTGGGCAACCACCACCGTGACATGTCACCCCAGCACCCCGAAAACAGGCCCGTCCCCAGTCACCCCAGCACCCCGAAAACAGGCCCGTCCCCAGTCACCCCAGCACCCCGAAAACAGGCCCGTCCCCAGTCACCCCAGCACCCCGAAAACAGGCCCGTCCCCAGTCACCCCAGCACCCCGAAAACAGGCCTGTCCCCTGTCACCCCAGCACCCTGAAAACAGTCCTGTCACCCCAGCACCCCGAAAACAGCCCTGTCCCCACTGTCACCCCAGCACCCCGAAAACAGGCCTGTCCCCACTGTCACCCCAGCACCCCGAAAACAGGCCCGTCCCCACTGTCACCCCAGCACCCCGAAAACAGGCCTGTCACCCCAGCACCCCGAAAACAGGCCTGTCCCCCTGTCACCCCAGCACCCCGAAAACAGGCCTGTCCCCACTGTCACCCCAGCACCCCGAAAACAGCCCTGTCCCCACTGTCACCCCAGCACCCCGAAAACAGGCCCGTCCCCACTGTCATCCCAGCAGCCCGAAAACAGGCCTGTCCCCACTGTCACCCCAGCAGCCCGAAAACAGGCCCCATCTCTATCACCCCAGCACCCCAAAAGGAAGCCCCACCCCCATTGTCATTCCAGCACCCCGAAAATAGACTCTGTCCCCACTGTCACCCCAGCACCCCAAAAGGAGGCTCGTCCCCATCGGCCGTCACTCCCCGTCCCCACCCCAGCCCCGGTGCCCTCACATCCCCTCCCTGTCTCTGGATGGGCCTGTGCTGACATTTCATGGACAGGGGATCACGCTGCGTGGCCTTCTGTGTCTGGCGTCTCCCGCTGAGCGTGACGTCCTCAAGCTGCACCCGCGCGCTGGCTGGGTCCGAGCCGTGCTCCTGCTCCGGGGGGTCGAGCTCCAGCTCGAGGGGGGCCTCGCTGCGTTTGTGGGTGCGTCCCTGGGTGCACATCTGGGCGGCTTCGTCTGCGTCCGTCCGTCTGAAGCTTTGCTGGGAGCCGCCTGTGTGCGTTTTCGTGTGGACCTACCTGCTCCTTCCTCCCTCCAGATTAGACCCGTGGGAGTGGCATCTCGGGCTGTTCAGTGACTCTGTTTCAGCGCCGCGCTGTTTTCCTGCAGAATCTTTTAATTTCACTACCAACTCTTTCTTTCTTTTCTTTTCTTTCTTCCCTTTCTTCCCCTTCTTCTCTTTCCCTCCCTTCCCCTTCTTCTCTTTCCCTCCCTTCCCCTTCTCTCCCCTCCCCTCCCCTCCTCTCTCTTTCTTTCTTTCCTTTCTTTCCTTTCTTCCCCGTCTCCCCTTCCCCTCCCCTCCCCTCTCCTCCCCTCCCCTCTCCTCCCCTCCTCTCTTTCTTTCTTTCTTTCTTTCTTTTCTTTTCTTTTTTTCTTTTATTTTCCTTTCTTTTCTTCTGATGGAGTCTCAGTGCGTCACCCGGGCTGGAGTGCAGTGGCACGATCTCGGCTCACTGCAAGCCATCTCAGGTTCAAGCGATGCTTGTGTCTCAGCCACCTGAGTAGCTGAGGGATCACAGACGTGCACCACCACGCCCAGCTAACTTTTTTTGTATTTTTAGTAGAGACTAATAGAAACACAGGTTTCACCACGTTGACCAGGCTGGTCTTGAACTCCTGACCTCAGGTGACCCGCCCACCTCGCCCTCCCAAAGTGCTGGGATTACAGGCATGAGCCACTGTGCCCACGTTAATGGTTTTTTATTATTTTATTTTATTTTTAGACAGTTCCCACTCTGTTGCCCAGGCTGGAGTGCAGCCTCAGCCTCCCAAGTAGCTGGAATCATAGGGGTCCACCACCAAGCCCAGCTAATTTTTTTGGATTTTTACTAGAGACGGGGTTTCACCATATTGGTCAGGCTGGTCTCGAACTCCTGACCTCAAATAATCCACCCGCCTCGGCTTCCCAAAGTGCTGGGATTACAGGTATGAGCCACTGTGCCCGGCCGGGTTAGTGTTGTAATAGACTTAATTTTTAAAACCATTTTTGGTCTGCAGGAGATGTGTGGCGGCTGTATCCACAGGGTCCCCCGCGTCCCCGCCCCCAGGCTCCTGGCCGCTCCCCTCTCCAGTCAGCAGGAGTCACGGCTGACGAACTCACATGAATGCGTGATTAACTACTAAGGACCTACTCTTGGCTCGGATTTCCTCAGTTTCCCCTAATGTCTCTTCCTGCACAGGGTCCCACCCGGGACCGAACCTGCCGTTTCGCCGCAGCCTCTCCTCGGCACCCCCAGGCTCCGACCGTTTCTCAGAACTCCGTGTCTGGAGGCCGGCTGGACGGGATTTATGTAGATTACGGGTGTGGACCACTGCACCCGCCAGCTATCTCATGTTTTTCTCTCGATTGGACTGGAGTCACAGTGTTTTTGGGAGAGGCAAGTGCATTTTTAATCTTTAACTTTTTTAATTTTTTTATGTTATTTTTTTAGAGACTCCTGGGCTCCAGCAATCCTCCCACCTCAGCCTCCTAAAGGATTACAGGTGTGAGCCACCGCGCCCGGCCTAATCTTTAACTTTTTATGGCATCATTGGCAGTGGAAGGTTCTCAGGTCACAAGTGAAGAGCCTCATAACTCACAAACCAGGCACGCCCCTGTTCCCGGCACCTGGGTCCAGACACAACCCCCTGCCCCGAAGCCCCTCCTTAGCCAAGTACCCAAGTCCAGTCTCTTTTTTTTTTTTTTGAGATTCGAGTCTCGCTCTGTCCCCCAGGCTGGAGTGCAGTGGTGCAATCTCGGCTCACTGCAAGCTCCACCTCCTGGGTTCACGCCATTCTCCTGCCTCAGCCTCCCCAGTAGCTGGGACTACAGGCGCCCGCCACCACGCCTGGCTAATTTTTTAAATATTTTTAGTAGAGACGGGGTTTCACGGTGTTAGCCAGGATGGTCTCGATCTCCTGACCTCGTGATCCACCCACCTCGGCCTCCCAAAGTGCTGGGATTACAGGCATGAGCCACTGCGCCCCGCCCCAAGTCCAGTCTCTAACCCCAGAGATGGGCCCTGCCTGTTTGGGTTCTTTTTTTGTTTTTTGTTTTTGTTTTTGTTTTGACACGGAGTCTCGCTCTGTCGCCCAGGCTGGAGTGCAGTGGTGCAATCTCGGCTCACTGCAACCTCCGCCTCCTGGGTTCAAGCAATCCTCCTGCCTCAACCTCCCGAGTAGCTGGGACTATAGGCACGCGCCACCACGCCCGGCTAATTTTTGTATTTTTAGTAGAGACGGGGTTTCACCAGATTGGCCAGGCTGGTCTTGAACTCCTGACCTCATGATCCGCCAGCCTTGGTCTCCCAAAGTACTGGGATGACAGGGGTGAGGCACCACGCCCAGCCCCTTTGGGTTTTTAAATTGTTCATTCATGGCCAGGCATGGTGGCTCGCGCCGGTAATCCCAGCACATCGGGAGGCTGAGGCGGGCGGATCACGAGGTCAGGAGTTCAAGATCGGCCTGGCCAACATGGTGAAACCCTGTCTCTACGAAAATTACAAAAAAAATTAGCTGGGCATGGTGGTGGGCACCTATAATCCCAGCTACTTGGGAGGCTGAGGCAGGAGAATCACTTCAAGCCGGGAAAGGGAGGTTGCAGGGAGCTGAGATCACACCACTGCACTCTAGCCTGGGCGACAAGAGCGAGACTCCGTCTCAGAAAAAAAAAAACAAAAAAACCATAAATAAAAAATTTTTTAAAAAATGATAAATGTTTGCAACTCTAGCTATGTTAATGTCTGATCAGCACACATTGTATGTATTGAAACGTCACTATGTACCCCATGAATATGTACAATTATTATGTGTTCTTTTTTTTTTTGAGACAGAGTATTTTGCTCTTGTTGCCCAGGTTGGAGTGCAGTGGCACGATCTCGGCTCACCGCAACCTCCGCCTCCCAGATTCAAGCGATTCCCCTGCCTCAGCCTCCCGAGTAGCTGGGATTACAGGCACCCGCCACCACGCCCGGCTACTGTTTGTATTTTTAGTAGAGACGGGGTTTCGCCATGTTGGCCACGCTGGTCTCAAGCTCCTGATGTCGTGATCCGCCCGCCTCAGCCTCCCAAGGTGCTGGGATTACAGGCGTGAGCCACCGCGCCCGGCATGTGTTCATTTTTTTTTAAAAAAAAAAAAGGATAAAAAGGCCAGGCACGGTGGCTCACGCCTGTAATCCCAGCACTTTTGGAGGCCAAGGCTGGTAGATCACTTGAGCCCAGGAGTTCGAGACCAGCCTGGCCAACATGGTGAAACCCCGTCTCTACTAAAAATACAAAAAAATTAAAATTAAAAATAAAAACAAATAAAGAAAAGATAAAAAGAAAGCCAGGCCTCTTGGCAATGAAAGCTGCCCGGGGCAGCCCTCTCCCTCTTCCTGGTGCAGGTGTGTTGCCAGCGTGGATGTCCTTCGTGGACGTGAACTTATTTTACAAAAGAGCACTTGTCCAGAGCTAGTCCTGAGCCTGCGGTTTCTGGGAGTCACCAGCTCGAACGACGCAGGACAAGTACACTTTGGGGTGGCACGTCCTGGTGCTGTTATTTTGGGGTGGGGTGTCCTTCCGTGGTACGGCTGGACCACGTTGCCTCTGTCCACTCACTGCCCTCGAGGGATGGGTGAGCTGTTTCCACCTTTGGCTGCCGTGACCTGGGCTGCTGTGAACTTCGCAGACGTTTGTGTTTCTTTCCCGCACGGAAACTTGGACAGAAGCTCCTTGTCACGTCCCACAGTCACACGGCCCCTGCACGTGCTTAAAAGAAGCTGTGGTGTTTTTTTTTTTGTTTTTTTTTTTTTTGTTGTTGTTGTTTGCTTTTTTTTTTGAGACGGAGTCTCTGTTTCCAGGCTGGAGTGCAGTGGCGCAATCTCGGCTCACTGCAACCTCCTCCTCCCGGGTTCAAGTGATTCTCCTGCCTCAGCCTCCCGAGTAGGTGAGATTACAGGCACCCACCACCACGCCCGGCTAATTTTTGTATTTTCAGTAGAGATGGGGTTTCACCATGTTGGTCAGGCTGGTCTCGAACTCCTGACCTCAGGTGATCCACCCGCTTCGGCCTCCCAAAGTGCTGGGATGACAGGTGTAAGCCACCGTACCCAGCGGAAGCTGCGATTTTCCTTATTCCTTGACATCCTCAAGGGAGACCCTGATGTAGAGGCAGGGAGGCTAGGAAGGAGGAAGCATCCAGCCCAGTGGGGTGGACCCGTCAGAAATGCTCAGAGGCGGCCGTGCATGGTGGCTCACACCTGTCATCCCAGCATTTTGGGAGGCCGAGGCGGGCGGATCACCTGAGGTCGGGAGTTCCAGATCAGCCTGGCCAACACAGAGAAACCCCGTCTCTACTAAAAATACAATGTTAGCCGGGCGTGGTGGCGCATGCCTGTAATCCCAGCTACTGGGGAGGCTGAGGCAGGAGAATCGCTTGAACCCGGGAGGCGGAGGTTGCAGTGAGCCAAGATTGCGCCACTGCACTCCAGCCTGGGCGACAAGAGCAAAAAACTCCATCTCAAAAAAACAAACAAAAAAATGCTCAGAGGCAAGGGTTGAGCTTCCTCTCCAGCCTCCTCCAGAGGTCACAGGGCACCGCCCCACCCCACCCACCCCACCCACTGGGTCCTGGGGTGACTCCAACTGGACAGAGATCAGTGGAGGCCAGGCCAGGCTGGTGTTTGGTGAGCTGGAGCCACGCCCCGGGGAGAGAGCTAATCTCTGAGCCCGGACGTGCCTCATCAGTGGTTCCCTCCTGCTGTGCTGAGATGTCCCCACCCCAGCCCCGGTGAGTGACTGGGGACTTAGAGACACAGAACCAGCCACCAGCAGGAGGCTGACACCCTGTGTGGGACACGCAGTGCCCTGGAAGCCTCCACCCCTCCGTCTGTGTTTTCGTGGTTTTTTTTTTTTGAGACAGGGTCACCCAGGCTGCAGCGCAGTGGTGCAATCCTAGCTCACTGCAGCCTCAAACTGCTGGGCTCAAGCAATCCCCTTCCCTCAGCCTCCTGAGGAGATGGGGCTACACGTGTGCACCACCACGCCTGGCTAATGTTTGTAATTTTGCCGAGATGGGGTCTCAGTATGTTGCTTAATGGAGTCTCAAAGTCCTAGGCTCAAGTGATCCTCCCGCCTCGACCTCCCAAAGCGCTGGGATGACAGGTGTGAGCCACTGCGCCCTGCCAGCCCTCGCTGGTTCCTCCTGGTGTAAAAGGGAACAGCCGAGTGAGCATCTCCGGGTGGCCGGTGGGCAGAGCTCTGGTCTCAGGTGGTTTAAACTGGACAGGTGTCACCCGGGAGCTTGACAGTGACGTGGGACCACATGCTGGGTGACTTAAACAACAGAAGGCAGCCCCTCCCCGTCCTGGGGCCCGGAGTCTGAGGTCAAGGTGTGGGCAGGCGCCGCTCTCTGAGAGGCCCCACGGAGGAGTCCTCCTGCCTTCTCCAGCTCCGGGGGCGCCAGGCGTCCTTGGCTTGTGTCCACATTGCTGCAGTCTCTGCCTCTGTCCCCGCAGGGACGTCTCCCCATGTCTCAGTCCAAATGTCCCTCTTCTGATGAGGATGCCAGCCATTGCCTCAGGGCCACCCTTACAACTTTATCCTAACTACCTCTGCCAAATAAGGCCACATTCTGAGGTTCTGGGTGGGCGTGAGTTTTGGGGGGCACCGTTCTCCCTGGGAAGACGCAGACGCTTGTCGTCCCGTGGTAAATGCCAGAAGGCCTCATCTGATGCCCACGTACGCCCTGAGGTGGGGAAGCTGCTGTCCTCATCCTTGCTGAGCGTGGGGCCCCAGGATTCTCAGGCAGCTGGATGAGCCTGTGGAGAGGCCGGTGCCCAGGCTCGGTCCCAGAACAAAGCGCAGAGGCACGATGGTCGCTGACAAAGTGGGGGCCCCGGGACCCCAAACAGAAAGGTCCACAAAGGCTGAGGTCGGGGCAGGGGAATTTGATTCAAGAGACATTTTCAGCCATACGGCCCTTCTCGAATTTTTTTTTTTGAGACAGTCTCGCTCTGTCACCCAGGCTGGAGTGCAGTGGCGCAATCTCAGCTCACTGCAACCTCTGCCTCCTGGGTTCAAGCAATTCTCCTGCCTCAGCCTCCCGAGTAGCTGGGACTACAGGCGCCCGCCACCACGCCCACTAATTTTATATTTTTAGTAGAGACGGAGTTTCACCATGTTGGCCAGGCTGGTCTCAGGTGATCCACCCGCCTTGGCCTCCCAAAGTTCTGGGATTACAGGCATGAGCCACTGTGCCTGGCCTTTTTTTCTCTTTTTTGAGATGGAGTCTCTCTCTGTTGCCCAGGCTGGAGTGCAGTGGTGCAGCTGACTGCAACCTCCGCCTCCCAGGTTCAAGCGATTCTCCTGCCTCAGCCTTCCGAGTATCTAGGATTACAGGCACGCACCACCGCACCTGGCTAATTTTTGTATTTTTAGTAGAGACGGCGTTTCACCATGCTGGCCAGGCTGGTCTCGAACTCCTCACCTTAAGTAATCCGCCCCACCTCGGCCTCCCAAAGTGCTGGGATTACAGGCGTGAGCCACCACGCCTGGCCCCTTATTGAACTTGATGGTTTCTCCTTCGTATCTCAGAAGTCACAAGCTGGAGGATTTAGGTTTGAAGAATCACGATGCCAAGGTCAGGCGCCGTCGCTCACGCCTGTAATCCCAGCACTTTGGGAGGCCGAGGTGGGCGGATCTCGAGGTCAGGAGATCAAGACCATCCTGGCCAACACGGTTAACCCTGTCTCTACTAAAAATACAAAAAATTAGCCGGGCGTGGTGGCGGGCGCCTGTAGTCCCAGCTACTCGGGAGGCTGAGGCAGGAGAATGGCGTGAACCCGGGAGGCAGAGGTTGCAGTGAACAGAGATCACACCACTGCTCTCCAGCCTGGGTGACAGAATGAGACTGTGTCTCAAAATAAAATAAAATAGGCCGGGCGCGGTGGCTCACGCCTGTAATCCCAGCACTTTGGGAGGCCGAGGCAGGTGGATCACGAGGTCAGGAGATCGAAACCATCCTGGCTAACATGGTTAACCCTGTCTCTACTAAAAATACAAAGAATTAGCCAGGCGTGGTGGCGGGCGCCTGTAGTCCCAGCTACTCGGGAGGCTGAGGCAGGAGAATCGCTTGAACCCAGGAGGCGGAGCTTGCAGTGAGCCGAGATCATCCAGCCTGGGTGACAGAGCGAGACTCTGCCTCAAAAAAAATAAAATAAAATAAACTCTGAAATTTAAATTAACTGGGTATTTTTATTTGCTAAATGAGGCCCTACAGGGGGTGGTCCTGAAGACCCTCTCCTTGGCAGATAAAAGAGGACTGGGATCTTCTTGCTTCTGGGGCCAGAACTGAGCAGAGCAGGCTCGGGGGTTTTGGGTCGGGGGCAAGGGGGTCCCTGGCTCTGCCTGAGGGTCAGGGAAGGCTTTCCAGGGAAGGGACCAGGAAACAGGGTGTTGAAGGCGGCCACAGGCTTTATTTTGTAAACAAAGACCAAGTTCCCAGGAGAACTGACCTCAGGCCAGATTGGGGCCTTGCCAGGGGAGGGCTGCGGAGGGGGCAGGAATTGGGCCAGGCCCTGTGGTTGTTTACAACCCTGGAGGGGCTTTGAAGGCAGCTGGCCCTGCTGGGCCTCATCCGCGTCTGTGTCCTCGTTCTGCACGTAGCTTCAGACCCTCCCCCTCCACCCCCCGCCCCCATGAGGACTTTCCAAGCCTGTGGCCCCCCAGGTGGGAGCTCTTTGGCACCGGTGGTTCTGAGGCTCCAAGTCCCCTGATCCGAAGCCATCCCCGAGAGGGGGTCTCCCAGAGTGGGAAGCGGGGGTCTCCCAGAGTGAAGCCCTCAGCCCCGTCCAGGCCCTCGGCCCCCAGCATCTTCCCACCCTGGCTGGGCCCAGCCTTCGCCCTGGATGGGGTTTTCTGCCCCTGCCCACCGTGTGCTGGCCCCTCGGTTACGCACATCACCCTATTTATTTATTTAGAGACGGAGTTTTGCTCTTGTTCCTCAGGATGGAGTGCAGTGGTGCGATCTTGGCTCACTGCAACCTCCGTCTCCCAGGTTCAAAGGATTCTCCTGCCTCAGCCTCTTAAGTAGCTGGGACTACAGGAGCCCGCCACCAGGCCCGGCTAATTTTGTATTTTTAGTAGAGACGGGGTTTCTCCATGTTGGTCAGGCTGGTCTCGAACTCCCAGCCTCAGGTGATCCGCCCGCCTCGGCCTCCGAAAGTGCTGGGATGACAGGCGTGAGTCACCGCGCCTCATCCCCTCCTCAGCCCCCCAGCACCCACACGTCCCCTCCCTGTCTCTGTGGATGGGCCTGTCCTGGACATTTCATAGACATGGGATCACACAGTGTGTGTCCTTCTGTGTCTGGCGTCTCTCACTGAGTGCGACTTCCTCAAGGTGCATCCGCGCCGTGGGCTGCGTCCGAGCCTCGCTCCTGTTCACGGCTGAGTCGTGTCCCATTGCGTGGATGGGCCATGCTGTGTCTGTCCATTCATTCTCTGTTTTTGTTTGTTTGTTTGTTTTTGAGACGGAGTCTCGCTCTGTCGCCCAGGCTGGAGTGCAGTGGCGCGATCTGGGCTCACTGCAACCGCCGCCTCCTGGGATTACAGGCGCCCACCACCACCCCCGGCTAATTTTTGTATTTTTAGTAGAGACGGGGTTTCACCCTGTTGGCCAGGCTGGTCTCAAAACTCCTGATCTCGTGATCCGCCCGCCTCGGCCTCCCAAAAGCAACCATTTTATTTGTATAACTGTGTCCAAATTGTTAGAAATAAGTGCTGGGTCCCGCAAAGAGAAACCAGCCCTTAGAAACCTATTTCCCAGCGAGACAACTTTACTATACAGAATGGGGCTGCCCCGGAGCTCACGGGACGAAGGAAGGAAGGAGCTTCTGTTCCCCCGCTGGCTGGGGCTGGACGCCCTCATCTAAGCTCATCCCGGTTGGCTAAGACTTAAAACTGTCTCCAAATCGGGTAAAGGCAAGATTTGCGAGAAGAGGAGGGCTAGGGGGAAGAAGGGGGTAGGGTTGATTGACAACTTATGACCTGGAAGTTGAGTTTTGTAAGAGGAATTTGGTTGTCTCAACAATTTACTCCTTTTCTGTTTTATACTTCTTCCTCTTCAAATTTATTTATTTATTTTGTTTGAGACAGAGTCTCGCTCTGTCGCCCAGGCTGGAGTGCGGTGGCACCATTTCGGCTCACTGCAAGCTCGGCCTCCCGGGTTCACACCATTCTCCTGCCTCAGCCTCCCGAGTAGCTGGGACTACAGGCGCCCACCGCTACGCCCGCCTAATTTTGTGTATTTTTAGTAGAGATGGGGGGGTTTCACCGTGTTGGCCAGGATGGTCTCGATCTCCTGACCTCGTGATCTGCCCACCTCGGCCTCCCAAAGTGCTGGGATTACAGGCGTGAGCCACGGCGCCCGGCCTAGTTTTCTTTTTTTTTTTTTTTTTTGAGACGGAGTCTCGCTCTGTTGCCCAGGCTGGAGTGCAGTGGCGCAATCTCGGCTCACTGCAACCTCCGCCTCCTGGGTTCAAGCGATTCTCATGTCTCAGCCTCCTGAGTAGCTGGGATTACAGGCACGTGCCACCAAACCCAGCTTATTTTTGTATTTTGGTAGAGATGGGGTTTGACCACGTTGGCCAGGATGGTCTCGAACTCCTGACCTCGTGATCCACCCACCTCGGCCTCCCAAAGTGCTGGGATTACAGGCATGAGCCACCGTGCCCGGCCTTCAAATTTCTTTAACAGGATTTGGCTTTGTTGTTCTTCTTGATCGTCTAGGAACAAGAGCTTATCGGAATACAGAGCAGGAGAGGTAGGGGAGGTTTTTGTGAGAGCTGCTTCTGTGAGTCTTTGGGTTAACCCGCGAATACAAAGGTATGACACAGCAGCCCACAGGATGAGTCCTCCTGTAGCAATTGCGAGGGAGGTAAAGATTGAGGTCAGCCCGGGCGCGGTGGCTCACGCCTGTCATCCCAGCACTTCGGGAGGCCAAGGCGGGTGGATCACAAGGTCAGGAGTTTGAGACCAGCCTGGCCAACATGGTGAAACCCCGTCTACTAAAAATACAAAAAAATTAGCCGGGCGTGGTGGCAGGTGCGTGTAATCCCAGCTACTTGGGAGGCCGAGGCGGGAGAATCACTTGAACCCAGGAGGCGGAGGTTGCAGTGAGCCAAGATCATGCCATTGCACTCCAGCCTGGGCGACAGAACGAGACTGTGTCTCAAAAAATAAAAATAAAAATGAAGAAAAGAACAAAAAAAAGATTGATGTTATGAGTCCCTTCCATTTTCCAAACCACCTTTCCATCAGTCCCATCAAGGGGCCATCTATTCCAGAGTTTATGGCTAATTCATTTGTTAGGTCGGTAAGGCCCTGTCAGGCTTTCGAGATGGTCCCATCAGGGCCTGTATTATCTGGGATCGAAGTAACGATGCGCTTTATTTATTTATTTATTTTTTTGAAACGGAGTTTCGCTCTTGTAGCCCAGGCTGGAGTGCAATGGCGTGATCTTGGCTCACTGCAACCTCCGCCTCCCAGGTTCAAGCAATTCTCCTGCCTCAGCCTCCCAAGTAGCTGAGATTACAGGCGCCCGCCACCACGCCCGGCTAATTTTTTGTATTTTTAGTAGAGACGGGGTTTCACCATGTTAGCCGGGATTGTCTCGATCTCCTGACCTCGTGATCCTCCTGCCTCGGCCTCCCGAAGTGCTAGGATGACAGGCGTGAGCCACCACGCCCGGCCGGTTTGTGACTATTTTCTCTAACTTTACCTAATGTTTCCCTTTAATATTTCTGCCACCATCCTGAGCGAATTTCAACAGGGAATGGCACCCCAGGGTACCGGTTACTACAAGGGCTGGGCCAAGGATTTTCTTCAGAAGAGGCTGTCTTTGGCTGTGGATATCTTTACGGGGTATATGAACCAGACAGGCATCAAACGAAACTAGCTGGGGAAAGGGTGATCACCTTATATTGATAATAAGACGTCCTTGGGCGGCTACAGGGAGAAGGAAGAGACAGATTAAACCTTTTTGAATGTTAATTTGGAAGGCGTTGATCCTGGAGTGAAGGTCCAAGATCCCTCCAGGGATGGGGCCCTTTCCGACCGTCATCTTGGTGGTCAGGAGCACCCGATAAAGTCCTTCCCAGGTTGGCTGAGTTTTTCCTCTTTCCAACTTCTGACAAGGAGGTGATCCCCAGGCTGGTGTCGGTGAACTGGGAATTCGAGGGGTGGAGGCCTTGGGTCCGGAGGGAGGAAAGGGTGGAAGACAAACCACACATATAGTTTTTGAGAAACTGATCTTTTGTTTCAAATGTAGGAAGGTCAGTAGTGGAAGTCAGATAAGGTAGCCCATAGAGCATCTCATAAGGGAACAGGCCAAGATCTTTCCGAGGGGCAGTTCGCATTCTTTTTTTTTTTTTGAAACGGAGTCTCGCTCTGTCGCCCAGGCTGGAGTGCGGTGGGCGTGATCTCGGCTCACTGCAACCTCCACCTCCCAGGTTCAAGCAATTCTCCTGCCTCAGCCTCCCAAGTAGCCGGGATTACAAGCGGGCGCCACGACGCCTGGCTAATTTTTTTGTATTTTTAGTAGAGACGGGGTTTCACCATGCTGCCCGGGCTGGTCTCAAACTCCTGAGCTCAGGCGGTCCACCCGCCTCAGCCTCCCAAAGTGCTGGGATTACAGGCGTGAACCACCACGCCCGGCCTGTTCAGATTCTTAGTAAGGCAAAGGGAAGGCATTCTGTGCGTGGTAACCAGGTTTCCAAGATTAATTCGGTTAGGTGGTTTTTTTAGAGTTTGATTCATTCTTTCTACCCTCCCTGATGAGGGTGGATGCCAGGGAAATATTCCCATTTCATTCCTAGTGCTGGGGTTAGCCCCGTAATGATGTGTGCAGTGAAGGGGGTCCCCTTGTCCGAATCCACGTTCTCTATTAGTGCAAACCTGGGTGTGACGTGTTCCCACAGGCCTCTGACTACATTGCTGGCTGTTGCGCTCGGGAAGGGGGTGGCCTCTACCCAGTGGGTGAGATGGTTGACTGTTCCCAGTAAATGTTTGAGGTGGGCTATTGGGGGCATTTCAGTGTAGTCAACCCAAACACTTTGGAACGGCCTCAACCCTGGGTTTCTTCCCTGGGAGGTTGCCTCTTTTTTTTGAGATGGAGTCTTGTTCTGTCACCCAGGCTGGAGTGCAGTGGGACCATCTCGGCTCACTGCAAGCTCTGCCTCCTGGGTTGATGCCATTCTCCTACCTCAGCCGCCCGAGTAGCTGGGACTACAGGTGCCCACCACACCTGGCTAATTTTTTTTGTATTTTTAGTAGAGACGGGGTTTCACCGTGTTAGCCAGGAGGGTCTCGATCTCCTGACCTCGTGATCCGCCCGCCTCGGCCTCCCAAAGTGCTGGGATTACAGGCGTGAGCCACCGCGCCCAGCCTGGAATGGCCTCAACCCTGGGTTTCTTCCCCGGGAGGTTGCCTCTTTAGGGTTTGCTTATTAGCTTTTCTGCACACGATGCAACCATCCACATTTGCCTAGCGAGGGTCTCTATCCCACACACCCACAGACTCCAAGGGTCTCTATCCCACACACCCACAGACTCCAAGGGTCTCTATCCCACACACCCACAGACTCCGAGGGTCTCTATCCCACACACCCACAGACTCCGAGGGTCTCTATCCCCACACACCCACAGACTCCGAGGGTCTCTATCCCCACACACCCACAGACTCCGAGGGTCTCTATCCCACACACCCACAGACTCCGAGGGTCTCTATCCCCACACACCCACAGACTCCGAGGGTCTCTATCCCACACACCCACAGACTCCGAGGGTCTCTATCCCCACACACCCACAGACTCCGAGGGTCTCTATCCCACACACCCACAGACTCCGAGGGTCTCTATCCCACACACCCACAGACTCCGAGGGTCTCTATCCCACACACCCACAGACTCCGAGGGTCTCTATCCCACACACCCACAGACTCCGAGGGTCTCTATCCCACACACCCACAGACTCCGAGGGCATATATCCCACACACCCACAGACTCCGAGGGTCTCTATCCCCACACACCCACAGACTCCGAGGGTCTCTATCCCACACACCCACAGACTCCGAGGGTCTCTATCCCACACACCCACAGACTCTGAGGGCATATATCCCACACACCCACAGACTCCGAGGGTCTCTATCCCCACACACCCACAGACTCCGAGGGTCTCTATCCCACACACCCACAGACTCCGAGGGCCTCTATCCCACACACCCACAGACTCCGAGGGCATATATCCCACACACCCACAGACTCCGAGGGTCTCTATCCCACACACCCACAGACTCCGAGGGTCTCTATCCCACACACCCACAGACTCCGAGGGTCTCTATCCCACACACCCACAGACTCCGAGGGTCTCTATCCCACACACCCACAGACTCCGAGGGTCTCTATCGCACACACCCACAGACTCCGAGGGTCTCTATCCCCACACACCCACAGACTCCGAGGGTCTCTATCCCACACACCCACAGACTCCGAGGGTCTCTATCCCACACACCCACAGACTCCGAGGGTCTCTATCCCACACACCCACAGACTCCGAGGGTCTCTATCCCACACACCCACAGACTCCGAGGGTCTCTATCCCCACACACCCACAGACTCCGAGGGTCTCTATCGCACACACCCACAGACTTCGAGGGTCTCTATCCCACACACCCACAGACTCCGAGGGTCTCTATCCCACACACCCACAGACTCCGAGGGTCTCTATCCCACACACCCACAGACTCCGAGGGTCTCTATCCCCACACACCCACAGACTCCGAGGGTCTCTATCGCACACACCCACAGACTTCGAGGGTCTCTATCCCACACACCCACAGACTCCGAGGGTCTCTATCCCCACACACCCACAGACTCCGAGGGTCTCTATCCCACACACCCACAGACTCCGAGGGTCTCTATCCCACACACCCACAGACTCCGAGGGTCTCTATCCCCACACACCCACAGACTCCGAGGGTCTCTATCCCCACACACCCACAGACTCCGAGGGTCTCTATCCCACACACCCACAGACTCCGAGGGTCTCTATCCCACACACCCACAGACTCCGAGGGTCTATATCCCACACACCCACAGACTCCGAGGGTCTCTATCCCCACACACCCACAGACTCCGAGGCTGCATTGCACGTAGCTTGGGGACCCGAGTGAGCTCCTTGATGAAGCTCTGACAGTATTTCCCTCATGAGGGGTTTAGACAGCATTTCCCTTCAATCCTACTTGAAGGGAAATCCCTACAGAGGGAAAGTGGTACCTACTTTCCCTCTGGGTTCTCCTGAGCTCCTATATCCCTCCCACCCTCCCTTCCTTCCTGATGGAGTCTCGCTCTGTCGCCCAGGCTGGAGTGCAGTGGCGCGATCAAGGCTCACTGCAACCTCCGCCTCCCGGGTTCAAGCAACTCTCCTGCCTCAGCCTCCCGAGTAGCTGGGACTACAGGCACCCGCCACCACACCCAGCTGATTTTTGTACTTTTAGTAGAGACGGGGTTTCACCAGTGTTGGCCAGGATGGTCTCAATCTCCTGACCTCGTGGTCACTCACCTCGGCCTCCCAAAGTGCTGGGATTACAGGCGTGAACCACCACGCCCGGCAACAGGAGGATTTTTATTAAGGTGGTCACCGGCTCACTGGATTCGCATCCAAAGACTGAGCGTGGGGCCGGGCGCAGTGGCTCACGCCTGTAATCCCAGCACTTTGGGAGGCCGAGGCGGGCGGATCACGAGGTCAGGAGATCGAGACCGTCCTGGCTAACACGGTGAAACCCTGTCTCTACTAAAAATACAAAAAATTAGCCGGGTGTGGTGGTGGGCACCTGTAGTCCCAGCTACTCAGAGAGGCTGAGGCAGGAGAATGGCGTGAACCCGGGAGGCGGAGCTTGCAGTGAGCCGAGATCGCGCCACCGCACTCCAGCCTGGGCGACAGAGTGAGAATCCGTCTCAAAAAAAAAAAAAAAAAGACTGAGCGTGGAACAAAGGGCTTGACTTTGAAGCGTGCAGCGGCGTGAAACTTGCAGTGCGGGAAAGTGAATTTACAGACGCAGGACAGAGGCAGTTAATCGTACAGTGACAGGTTTCGTAACCTCAGCCGAGCTTGTGAGCTTGCGGCCGCATTGAGAAAGAACAGGAGCTTACAAAACTGGCAGAGTATTTTACGGGGAGCGGGAAACGGAAGGAGGAGTCTGGTTCTTATCTTTGCACGGGGGGAGTGCAGTGCTGGGAGGCGTCTGGGCGGCATTCCTTGGGGTTCTGGCTTTTTAAATGGTGTTTTCAAGGCCTTGCCTGGGGGCTTTGCCTGTTGCTGGCTTTGGGGCGAGTCAGCTTTATACGAAAAAGGTATTTTCCGTTTCTTCAATTTCCGCTTTATTCCCTCCTTGATGCTTTTTATAAATAAGGTTTAATAGAAAGCATCACTATTTTTTATTTACTTCTACAGGGGGAAGTAGCTCTTTTCCTGGCAGGGGTGGACACGTAGTTATGGGATGAGCTCGGTGGTACTCGGCCTGTCCACACGAGCGTCTCTGGCTTTGTCGATATTCTTGACAAGGAGGGGAAGAGACAAGAGTACGAGGCGGACTCCCAGTATGGCCAGAACTACTCCTAGTAAGGTTTTAAATCCCCCGAGGGATGAAAACCAACCACGGGGGGGCGGGGGGAACCTGGAGACCATTCCGGTTTCCAGGTTTGTGTTGGAACATGAGCTAAGTCTCGCATTCTCGCAATTAATTCATGACGTCCTCCTCATTGTCATCGATTTTTAGGCAACAATTAGTTAAATTAAACTCTCCGCATATCCCTCCTTCTGACATAGATCTAGCGAGAGCAGCAAGAACAAAGGGAAGAGTAGCATGTTTGTACCTAGGATGGACAAGAGATGTTTGCCCAGAGGAGGGGGTTGAGCAAAGCGACAGGTTAATAGTAAAACAATTAAGATGACAAGGAAAATTACTGGGCTTAAGATTTCTAACTACATTTACTTCCTTGACGAAGCTTCGGCCGTGCGTAGACTGGTCAGCTTCCGGGGTGACTAGAGCAGGGCTGTGGTCACTTTCACTGGCATCTGGGTCCTGTCGTAGGATCAGCCGGTTTGGATGGTCTGGGTCTTGCTGGCTGGTCCACTTGTCCTGGGCTGCTGGTTTCAGCCGACTGTGGAGATCGAAGGCACAGTTCCTGAAACATTAACAGCAGTGGGAGTGGACAGGATCGCAGTCTAGGCCCATCCCATCTGGGTCCCAAAGTGGTTGGATTCTATTTCTTTTTTTTTTTTTTTGAGACGAAGTATCACTCTTGTCCCCCAGGCTAGAGTGCAGTGGCGCGATCTCCGGTCACTGCAACGTCCGCCTCCCGAGTTCAAGCGATTCTCCTGCCTCAGCCTCCTGAATAGCTGGGATGACAGGGGCACACCACCACGCCCCGCTAATTTTGTATTTTTAGTAGAGACAGGGTTTCTTCATGTTGGTCAGGCTGCTCAAACTCCCAACCTCAGGTGATCCGCCTGCCTCGGCCTCCCAAAGTGCTGGGATTACAGGCGTGAGTCACTGCGCCCGGCCGATCTTCTTTCAATATACTTTCCAGTTTCTTGGGCAAACTAAGCTTTTTTGTTTGGAGAATAACGTGGGACCTCTGGGAGGGGAGGCTCCGGGAGGAGAGGCACAGCCAGGGCTTCCTCTTTAGAATGTGGTGTCCTTATTACTGCCCGTTTTGCCTCCTCGTCTGCCTTTGTTTCCTTTGGCCTCCAGTGTTCCTGCCTTTTGTGCACCCTGCAACGCAGAACAGCTACGTCTTTGGGGCCCACACGGCATCCTGGAGCTGTAAAATTTCTTTTTTTTTTTTTTTTTTTCATATGGAGTTTCTCTCTTGTTGCCCAGGCTGGAGTGCAATGGCACGATCTCGGCTCACCGCAACCTCCGCCTCCCAGGTTCAAGCGATTCTCCTGCCTCAGCCTCCCTAGTAGCTGGGATTATAGGCACCTGCCACCGCGCCCGGCTAATTCTGTATTTTTAGTAGAGATGGGGTTTCTCCATGTTGGTCAGGCTGGTCTCCAACTCCTGACCTCAGGTGATCCGCCTGCCTTAGCCTCCCAAAGTGCTGGGATTACAGGCCTGAGCCACCACGCCCGGCCTAGGAGCTGTAAAATTTCTTCTTTGTATTTTATTTCTTTGCCCCCAGCAGTTAAAAGTTCTCTTTCTTGGCTGGGCGTGGTGGCTCATGCCTGTAATCCCATCACTTTGGGAGGTGGAGGCAGGCGGATCACTTGAGGTCAGGAGTTCAAGACCAGCCTGGCCAACAAGGTGAAACCCCGTCTCTACTAAAAGTACAAAAATTAGCCAGGCGTGGTGGCGCGTGCCTGTAGTCCCAGCTACTCAGGAGGCTGAGGCAGGACAATCGCTTGAACCTGGCAGGTGGAGGTTGCAGTGAGCCGAGATCGCACCACTGCACTCCAGCCTGGGCAAAAGAGTGAGACTCCATCTCAAAAAAGAAAAAAAAAGTTCCTCTATGGGATGGTCTTTCCAATTTTCTTTTTTCTTTCTTTCTTTTTTTTTTGAGACGGAGTCTCGCTCTGTCGCCCAGGCTGGAGCGCAGTGGTGCGATCTCGGCTCACTGCAAGCTCCGCCTCCTGGGTTGAGGCCATTCTCCTGCCTCAGGCTCCCGAGTAGCTGGGACTACAGGCGCCCCCACCACGCCCGGCTAATTTTTTTGTATTTTAGTAGAGATGGGGTTTCACCGTGTTAGCCAGGATGGTCTGGATCTCCTGACCTCATGATCCGCCCACCTCAGCCTCCCAAAGTGCTGGGATTACAGGCGTGAGCCGGCAGCTGCATATTTTCTTATCTGTTTATTAAGTCTGTTTAAGAATTCCACGGGCCTGGCCAGGCGCGGTGGCTCACGCCTGTAATCCCAGCACTTTGGGAGGCCGACGTGGGCAGATCACAAGGTCAGGAGATCGAGACCATCTTGGCCAACATGGTGAAACCCTGTCTCCACTAAAATACAAAAAATTAGCCAGGCGTGGTGGCGGGCGCCTGTAATCCCAGCTACTTGGGAGGCTGAGGCAGGAGAATCGCTTGAACCCGGGAGGCGGAGGTTGGAGTGAGCTGAGATCGCGCCACTGAACTCCAGCCTGGGCGACAGAGCGAGACTCTGTCTCCAAAAAAAACCCCATGGGCCCTTCATGTTTCCTCTGTTGTACGTTAAATGCTCGGGAAGTATTTTGGGTTTGCAGATCTGATTCCCGAATCCTTGTAATTATCCCATCTCCGAGATCGCTCATGTTTTTTAGGTCACATTGTCATCCCACCCAGGATCTTGGGCCAGGAATTTACGCTCCGCTGAAAGGACGTTCTGACCGGGGGGTGTTCACGCTCCCAGACTAACACAGCGGCCTGTGAATCATGGTTCTCTCTCTCCTGAGACGAGAGTACTGAGGGTAGACATTAATTCAGCCCAAGCGTACAGCTGTGGCCCCAGAAATTGGTCAATTTGATCCGCGAATCCAAAAGGGTCATCTAACAGTGGTTTGAGTTCTTTTAGATTTCTAACCTCTGAACTGGTTAAAGGGGGCATTTACGAAGTCAATATCCCTTCCTCCCGGTGGTCCTTCCCTAAAGGGGAAAAGGGCTGAGGCAGGTCTTTTTGAGCAGGAGGCAAAAGGAAAGTTCTGTGGGTTTTTGTTTGTTTGTTTGTTTTTTGAGACGGAGTCTCGCTCTTGTTGCCGAGGCTGGAGTGCGGTGGCGCGATCTCGGCTCACTGCAAGCTCCACCTCCCGGGTTCAAGACATTCCCTGCCTCAGCCTCCCGAGTAGCTGAGTAGCTGGAATTACAGGCGCCCGCCACCACGTCCGGCTAATTTTCGTATTTTTAGTAGAGGCGAGGTTTCATCATCGTGGCCAGGCTGCCAGTCCTGAACTCCTGGCCTCGTGATCCACCCGCCTCTGCCTCCCAAAGTGCTGGAATTACAGGCGTGAGCCACCGCGCCCGGCCGAAAGTTTCGAATATCCCTTTGGCATTGTTCTGTTTCCCGTTGGAGCTTTCCTGAGGAAGGGGCATGTTCTAGTGGCTGTCCAGCGGGGATGTGGGTGGCAAGGTCCAGGTGGTTCTATAGGGGAGGGATGGAGGGGCGGAGGAGCGGGTGGGGGAGGGGCGGAGGGGCGAGGGGTGGGTGGGAGGGGCGGAGGGGCGGGTTGGGGAGGGGCGGAGGGGTGGGGTGGGTGGGTGGGGGGGGCGGAGGGGTGGGTTGGGAGGGGCGGAGGGGGTGGGTTGGGAGGGGCGGAGGGGGTGGGTTGGGAGGGGCGGAGGGGGTGGGTTGGGAGGGGCGGAGGGGGTGGGTTGGGAGGGGCGGAGGGGTGAGTGGGGGAAGGTGGTCTAGAGGATCCCACCCTTCTTTAGATATGGGGCGTCTCTGCTAAAAATACAAAAATTAGCCGGGCGTGGTGGTGCGCGCCTGTAATCCCAGCTACTCAGGAGGCTGAGGCAGGAGAATCGCTTGAACCCGGGAGGCGGAGGTTGCAGAGAGTCGAGATCGCGCCGCTGCACTCCAGCCTGGGTGACACAGCGAGACTCCAACACACACACACACAAAAGATATGGCGCGTCTCATTCATTCACAAGTTCCTCTTCAAAGGTTTGGCTCGTTCAGCGCCCTCGTTCTTCGTTTCCTACTTCCAAGGCCAACCTGACTTCCTCACCCTCTGGGCCTCCCCGTCTGAGTCTCAGTAAACAAGTTTCCCGCCGGTCCTGATCTGCAGAGATGGCACCTGCCACCCACTCTGCACATCCCCCTCCCGTCGCCACGGGCTCTTCCCGCCAGTGTAGCCACATTCCTGCCCCTTTCCAGTTAGCCCTTCGCGTTCGGCTTAGTCTGCGGTCCTCTTGCATTGCGACTCCGAGTTTAACTTCCAACACACACTTTCAACCTCCAAGAGACGCCCCCACCTGTGTCGCCCCAATAGCGACTTTTCTCACCGTGGTCGCCGCGGAACTTCAAGGGTCCTTCCTACCCGCGTTGCTGAGAGTCTGGGTTTACGCGTCACCTCGGGCGGGACCCGATCCTCCGCTCCTGAGGCCCCCACAATGAAGCAGTCGGACGCGTCTCCCCAAGAAAGGTAACCGCCAGCCTCTCCTGAAACAGAATGGGATCCAAATGGGATATTTGGGGGCGGCGAGTCGGTCCCGCAAAGAGAAACCAGCACTTAGAAAATTTCTCAGCGAGACCACTTTACTTGTACGGAAGGGGGCTGCCTGCGTGGGATGCAATCTCCAGAGCACACGGGACAAAGGAAGGGAGCTTCTGTTCCTCTGTCCTTTCCCTGTTGGCTGGGGTTGGACGCCCACAATCTAAGCTGATCCCGGTTGGCTAAAACTTAAAACTTTTTTAAAATAGGGTAAACGCGCCACCTGCGAGGAAAGAAGAAGGGGGTAAGGTTGATTGACAACTTTAGACCTGGAAGTTGAGTTTCTGAAGAGGAACTTACTTGTCCCAACCAAATGGTGCACAGGACGTTTATACTAAGAAATTATTCATTTTCTGAGATCCAGATTCAAGTGCCCTTTAAGTATTTTTATTTGGGCGGAGGAGGTCACTTCCTCCCACCTAATTTATTAATACGTTCATATATATATATATATATGTACATTTTTAAAGGCAGAGATGTGCGTCTCGCCATGTTGCCGCGTCTGGTCTCGAGCTCCCGGGCTCAAGCGATCTTCCCGCCTCGACCTCCCAAGGCTCTGGGAGTACAGACGTGAGCCACAGCGGCCGGCCCGTGTTTAACTCAGATAAAATCTGGGTAACACACTTTCAACGCTTCAACCCCCTCGGGCGCACCGCTCTGCGCTCATTGCAACTTTGAAAGCAGGAAGGAAGAAATGCGCAGGCTCCAGCCGCGTCCCCGCAGGCCCCACTCCCGTTTCCTAGCAACGCCGGGTCACGTGCGCCGCCGCCCGGATTCCGTAGCGTGAGCCTGCCGGAGCCGGCGCGTACATGCGAGCGTGTGCGCGCGTGCGCAGGCGGGGCGACCGGCGTCCCCGGCGCTCGCCCCGCCCCCGAGATGACGCCGTGCGTGCGCGCGCCCGGTCCGCGCCTCCGCCGCTTTTTATAGCGGCCGCGGGCGGCGGCGGCAGCGGTTGGAGGTTGTAGGACCGGCGAGGAATAGGAATCATGGCGGCTGCGCTGTTCGTGCTGCTGGGATTCGCGCTGCTGGGCACCCACGGAGCCTCCGGGGCTGGTGAGGAGCGGGTAGGGGGCGGGGGTGCGGTCCTGCAGGGGCCGGGAATGGAGGCCGCGGTGCCGACCCGAAGCCGACGGGAGCCTGGGGCCTCGGCGCGGGGCGGCCTGGGGTGCGAAAGGCCGGCCCCGGGGGCTTCCCGCGCCAGCATGGAGCTTGGGGGTGAAGTCCCAGGGTTTGAGGGGGGACTAGAGGTTCCTCCCGGCGCGGCCTGCCGGGCTCCCCCGGGCGCTCCGGCCTCGAGCCCGGCCTCTGTGTGTGGGCGTGAAGCTCCCTGCTTGGAGGCGGGAGCCAGGGGGTCCTGGCCAGGCCGGTCTTGGTCAGGGGAGGTGGGCGTCTTGCTTTTCGGTCACCTGGGGTTGGGGGTGACCTGCTTCCTGGGTGAGGGCGTCTGCGAAGGCGGTTGGAGGTGGCCCGCCCGCCGGTCCCATCGGCCAGGAGAAGGGAGACCCAAAGCCTGGGTGAGCGTCCCCTTTGGCCTGGAGCCAGGGGTCAGGGGCTGGTTGGTGCCTGCCCAACCCGTCCTGCTGGGGCTGGACTCCGCAGGACCTGGGGAAAGCGGCCTGGGCGTGGAATCTGGAGACGGGTCCACCCTGCCTGCGAGTGTTAGGGTCAGAGACCCTCCCCTGAGACTCTCTGGGGCCCCCGCAAGGGCCCGTGCGGCCTGGAGCGATCATCTTGGCGCTCCCTTCTGGAAAAGGGGCTTTTGTCCTCCAAGAGCACATGGAGGCTCTGAGTGGGTCAGCCCTCCGGATCGGGAAGGGATTACCGTTCTTCACGGGATTTAGCCCTGGCGTCTTGCCTAGGGCGTGCACCTGCCCCCGGGTGTTCTCCCAGACTCTTAAGACCTCGCAGGCTCCCTCGAGGGGCCCTGCGTGGAAGGGAAGGCGGAATCTCCCTCTGATTCTGCCTGGATTCAGCACCCAGAATGAGGTGGTCTCTGAACGCCCCTCCTCCTTTACAGGCGAGGAAACAGCCCTGTGGGAAGTCGAGGTTCCAAGGTCACAGTGAGGGGGCCCTGGCCACCCGATTCAGCGCAGGAAATAGTGAGAAAGTCGTTTTTAGCCGACTCTGACCCGCATTCGGTTTCCAGTGCTGTCTTAGGAGGGCCGTGTGTTGAGGGTGGGCAAACGTGGTTTGGAGAGCGCATTTGGGAAATGGATTGAGGTGTGTTTTTCCGGGAGAAAAGCATGACATCCTTTCTTGCTTCATAGAAAATTTCTTCCTTTGTTGAGACCCCCATTTGGTTCTGGGTTAAAGATTTATAGTGAGGCCGGGCGTGGTGGCTCACACCTGTAATCCCAGCACTTTGGGAGGCTGAGGCGGGTGGATCACCTGAGGTCAGGAGTTCAAGACCAGCCTGGCCAACATGGTGAAACCCCATCTCTACTAAAAATACAAAAATTAGCTGGGCGTGTTGGCGCACGCCTGTAATCCCAGCCACTCAGGAAGCTGAGGCAAGAGAATCGCTTGAACCTGGGAGGTGAAGGTTGCAGTGAGCTGATATCATGCCACTGCACTCCAGCCTGGGTAACAGGGAGACTCTGTCTTTAAAAAAAAAAAAAAAAGAGGTCGGGCATGGTGGCTCACGCCTGTAATCCCAGCACTTTGGGAGGCCGAGGCGGGCGGATCACGAGGTCAAGAGATCAAGACCATCGTGGCTAACACGGTGAAACCCCGTCTCTACTAAAAATACAAAAAATTAGCCTGGCGTGGTGGCGGGCGCCTGTAGTCCCAGCTGCTAGGGAGTCTGAGGCAGGAGAATGGTGTGAACCAGGGAGGCGGAGCTTGCAGTGAGCCGAGATCGCGCCATTGCACTCCAGCCTGGGCGACAGAGCGAGACCCCGTCTCAAAAAAAAACAAAAAAAAAATTTATTGTGACCGATGTGTTGGGAACAAGGTGCAGAGCTGGAGGGTCTGGCCTCCTGAAGGGTCAAGAGCAAGGGCTTCGAGCCTCTGTCCTGGGCATTGAGCCGTAGGGGGCCTTGGGCAGAGGCTGGGGAGGGGGCTCCTTCTTCCAGAGGCTTTGCCAGCTAACTCCTGACCTACGTCTGAGATTTCGTCTTCCTGGTAACCAAAGTGGCCCTTTATCGAATGTCTCCTGGGCAAGGGCCTGGCCCCAGCACTGCGGCCAGCTCTCTGGGGAGACACAGATAGGAGCCCATGGGTGAGGTGAGCGCGGAAGATAAGCCGCCCCCGCCAGCCCTGTGGAAACCCAGCCAGGCCTGACTGGGTTTCAAGCACAGCACGAGGTTCCCACATTGAGCTAATTTGGACAGCCAAGTGGGTGAAAGACCTTTGGTCTCTCCCTGCTGGGTAGGGTGGTTCACAGTTTTGTTCCTTTTGTGCATTTGTGCAGGAGACTGAGAAGGGTTTCTTCTGAGCAGAAAGCTTAGCCTGGGGCTTACTGGCCAGAGCTGCCTGCAGCCTGGGAAGCAGGTGGAGTCTGCAGTGCTGGCAGCGCCGCCGTGCAGCGGTGTAGCCGTGTGTGCGCGTGTGTGTGTGTGGTGAGAAACCCCACTTTTGCTGGGGACTGACTCGTGAAGACCACAAGGTCTGGGCAACACAGCCTTGGCCCGTGTGGGGTGGACACTGCTGTTTGCTCTGTGAATTCGTGACTGTGTTTGCCTCTCCTGAAACTTGCTTCAGGGGCGTCTGCGGGTTGGTGGGGCACAGCCGGGTGGGGTGAGTGCCCAAGGTTGGCCGTCCGCGTCTCCTGTGGGCTTGTCGGGGACCGGAGGGCCGGGGTGTGCTAGCTGGGTCCCGAGGGTGGAGGGCTTCACCCCCGAGCCTCAGATGAGAGGAGTGGGAGTGCCTGGCTGCGGCCGGTGGGGGTGGGTGGGGGAGGTGCCCGAGGCTGCTTCCCAGAGCTGTTCTCGCTGGCTGCTGTCTGAGCACTGGGGTGGGTGGGGAGGAGGGCGGGTGGGGGCGGGCAGCCTTATCCTGCGGGGCTGCTTGTGTACAAGTACCACGCGGCCTGCCTGGCCCTGAGCCCTGGGCAAGGAGGCGGAGGCTGTTTTTAGATGAAGGTGACTTTACTTGAGAACATGGGTTACGTCTCATGTGGCCAGAATCGAATTCTAACCTTTCTGGGGCTGTGGCCGAGGGTCAGGCGCCGTCCCTCCTCCTGCTGCTCATGGGTGGAGGCTCCTGGTGCGGCGGGCGAGATGGGGTGGTCCGTGGGGTGGGGGCGCTCTGCATTGTCCCCGAGGAGCCTCTATGGAGGCTTTCTCTTCCGGACGCCCCCCCACCCCCAGTGACACGTCAATACACAGACACCAGCATCATCAGCATCCGGAGGGACACAGGGTTGTTCCATCCAAAGCCTTTTGGTCCCTTTGGGAGCGATGCTGCCCGCTGAGAAGCTGGCGGACCCAGCGGGAGCACCGGGACCGGTGCAGATGGCGCCTGGGAGCCCGGGACTCCTGGAAAGGTGGCTGGGGGCAGCTCGGCTGCGGGCCCCACCTGGTCCTCCTCACTTTCCTGTGTGCCCTGCCCTGCCTGGAGGTGGGGTGAGGTGAGTCAGGGGCCAGCCCTCTCCTAGCACCCCTGGGTGAGGAGGATGTGGAGCCCAGCCCTGCAGGTCTGGAGGATGAGGAGAGGGGCTGCTGCAGGGCAGGAAGGAGCTTGCCAGCTGGGCAGCCTCTGGCTGTGCTTCCTGCCCTGACTCACCTCGCCCAGCTCTGCACATAGCTGCCAGTGTTGCAGTCTGGGAAATCTTAACTCCCAAGAAATGTAGGTTACCAGGAGGAGATCCCTTTGTGAAAATGGCACTGCCAGCCAGGCGCGGTGGCTCACGCCTGTAATCCCAGCACTTTGGGAGGCCCAAGAGGGTGGATCACGAGGTCAGGGGTTCAATACCAGCCTGGCCAAAATGGTGAAACCCCGTCTCTACTAAAAATACAAAATATTAGCTGAGTGTGGTGGCAGGCACCTGTAATCCCAGCTACTTGGGAGGCTGAGGCAGGAGAATTGCTTGAACCCGGGAGGCAGAGGTTGCGGTGAGCTGAGATTACACCACTGCTGAACAGAGTGAGACTCTGTCTCAAAAAAAAAAAAAAGAAGAAGAGGAGAAAGAAAATGGCGCTGCCAAAACTTGTCAACTGCGCCTGCCCAGAGCTCACCTGAGGTGCTCAGACGTGAACATTCCTGTCCCCGTGGCCTTGGGGGCCGTGACCTGTGCACTGCCACGCAGCCTCGGAGCCGTGTGCACGCATATGCACGTGTGTATGTGTTGTGTGTGTTTGCAGACGTGTGTCCTTGTGTGTGTGTGTGTGTTGTAGCGGTGCCTGGGGAGTCTGACCTCAGAAGGTGCTGTGGGGAGGGCTGCAAGGTCCTGGCGGGAGGAGGCACTCCCCACGCTTCCCCTTGGGCTGGGCTGTTCCTGGCAGGCGAGTGCTAGGCACAGTGTGAGGTTCTGTGTGGATTCTGCTGTGCTCCTTGGCAGCTCTGGGGGCCTTCCCTTGCATTTCGAAGGAAGGGGAGGCGTGTGGCTGGAGGTGAGAGGCCCTGAGGCCCTGCCTGGCTCCCAGCTTCCCAAATCCGCCTCTCTCTGGGTCGCCGCCCTCAGAGATTGCTGAGGACACGAGCTTTCCACCCACGGGCTGTCCTAACGGAGCCGGGCTAGGGGCTTCTGGACAGAGGCCGCCTGCCCCTTTGGGCTTTGGGGTTTGTTTTTCTCAGCAGCTCACCCGGGTCTCTGGGGTCAGGGTATCGGGCAGAAGTCAGAGGACGGTGCGCTTGGGACCTGAGCTCTGGGCAGCCCTCGGGGCTCAGGACTCCTGGCTCTTCTGCCCAGTTTCATGTGTTTTGTGTTTTGAAACCACGTGTGGTCCCACAGTTGTGCCCTCAGAAGCCGCCGTGGCTGCCGTGAGGTAGCAGTGGACGGGACGCCCACGGTCTTTCCCATGCCATGCTGTTTCCAGCCGGGCCCCATCACTCTCCCACAAGCTGAAAGGAAGTGGCTTCTCCACCAGCCCTGGCTGGGAGTCCTGTGGGCGAGGCCTTCCCCAGGAGCTGCCCTCCCAAGTGCCCCAGGCACTAACAAGACCCCACGCGTGCTCTCCCCACAGCCGGCTTCGTCCAGGCGCCGCTGTCCCAGCAGAGGTGGGTGGGGGGCAGTGTGGAGCTGCACTGCGAGGCCGTGGGCAGCCCGGTGCCCGAGATCCAGTGGTGGTTTGAAGGGCAGGGTCCCAACGACACCTGCTCCCAGCTCTGGGACGGCGCCCGGCTGGACCGCGTCCACATCCACGCCACCTACCACCAGCACGCGGCCAGCACCATCTCCATCGACACGCTCGTGGAGGAGGACACGGGCACTTACGAGTGCCGGGCCAGCAACGACCCGGATCGCAACCACCTGACCCGGGCGCCCAGGGTCAAGTGGGTCCGCGCCCAGGCAGTCGTGCTAGTCCTGGAACGTGAGTGGCGGGCACCTCCCTCCCCGCCTCCCTCAGTTTCCCTCCTGTGCCGCTCGCCTCCCGGCTCCTGCTCAGTAGAACCCAGACGCCTCCTCCCCTCTCCGTCCCGCTGTGCCCCGTTGGGCCCACCGCCTGGACGGAGGGGCCCGGACCTGAAGGGGGTGGGCTCGCCGCCTGACCACCAGCGCTGGGCGGCCTGGCTCGGGGCAGGCAGGGCTCTGCCCTCCAGCAGGTGGGTCCTCGTCCTCCCCTCGACCCTCGTGCCATCCGTTCCGTCGTTTCTGCTTCCCCGGGCGCCTGCCCGGCTCCCTCCCTGAGCGTCCATACTGCAAGCCTGAGGGGCCCTCCAAGCTCAGCCCAGGCTTGCAGGTCTCAGAACCTTCTGTGTCCTTCGCAGCATCTCGTTCTAAGGGATTTTCAAATTTCAATTCCTAGCGGGAATATTGTAAACTAACCAAGAACCAAGAGATTTGCTTGGTTGGGGATTGGCAGAAGAACCGGGGTGCTCCCAGCACTGCTGGAGTGCCGTCAGCCTGGGGCTGGGGGGATGTGGGGCCACCTGAGTGCCTCCTAGAGAAGGGCACGGGAGCCTTGGCCGGGGGTGCTGTGGCTATTTTTTTTTTTTTTCCTGGAGATGGAGTCTTGCTGTTCCCAGGTGGAGTGTGGTGGCACAATCTCGGCTCACTGCAACTTCCGCCTCCCGGGTTCAAGCGATTCTTCTGCCTCAGCCTCCTGAGTAGCTGGGATTACAGGCATGAGCCAACATGCCCAGCTAATTTTTTGTATTTTTAGAAGAGACGGGGTTTCACCGTGTTAGCCAGGATGGTCTCGATCTCCCGACCTCGAGATCCACCCGCCTTGGCCTCCCAAAGTGCTGGGATTACAGGCGTGAGCCTCCGCGCCCGGCCACCACCGCGCCCAGCTGGCTACGTTTTTAGAAAAGAATTTCCAGTTTGTGCTGGGGCTGCTACAAGAGCTCGATGCCCTGGTCCCTGCTCAGGGACGTGGGTGGGTGCCTTGTCTGTCCCCACACCCTGGTCCCAGCCTCGTGTGTCTCTGGGCAGGAACATCGCCAGGCGGGGCCTCTGGGTTCCCAGCGCCTTAGCCCAGGGCCCGCCAGCTGCCAGCGAAGGGTGCCTTCCCGAAGGGGGTGCCTTCCCGAAGGGGCCTCCTCAGCAGGCGCTGGGCTCTTCCCTTCCCGGAGGCGTGGCCAGAAGTTCCCCTTGGGCCTCCGGTCCTCGGGGCGTAAGGGCCACGGTGTATTTTTGGGATGAAAACCAGTCCTTCCCGGGGAGGAGCCGCAGGTTCCTGGGGGTCAGGCAGGCAGCGCGGGCCGTGCTCCTCCACTCTGCTGACCGCGTCTCGCCGGGCCTTGCAGCCGGCACAGTCTTCACTACCGTAGAAGACCTTGGCTCCAAGATACTCCTCACCTGCTCCTTGAATGACAGCGCCACAGAGGTCACAGGGCACCGCTGGCTGAAGGGGGGCGTGGTGCTGAAGGAGGACGCGCTGCCCGGCCAGAAAACGGAGTTCAAGTGAGTGCCTGACCACGCCATGCCGCCACCTGCCCCTTCTCACGGCTCTCTTGCCGCCAGCGGCCTGTGGTCCGTGAGAACAAAAGACCGGTCGGCAGGCTTGATCCAGGCGGAAGTTAGGGACCAGCTCCGCGCAGACCCCCAGAGGGAAACCCCAGGGAGGGGTCTGAGGGGCGTCCTTGTGAGGCAGGGGGCTCCAGCAGCCCTGGCAGGAGTCCCCATTGCTTGCTCCTCACTAGGTCCCGGGCACGAAAGGGCGCCACACTGCCAGGTCCCGGGCACGTGTGCGGGCCTCCCAGGCTCTGTGCTCCTGGCACAAGAGGGCACCACACTGAGGCATGCCCTGCTCGGACCCCAGACGCTGTCATGGCCGGAGCTTTGTCATAACTGGGGCTGGGACGGCCCTGGGAGCACAGAGCCTTTTGTTTTCAGGCTGACTGGGAAGACGGTCACAGGGTGTGGGGTGCAGAGCAGGGACCAGAGGTGTGGGGTTCATCAGTCGGGGAGAAGGGGGTCTGTTGGTTCTCTCACCTGTGGGGTCTTGCCAGCCTGGCTCTGTCCTTGGGGCCGCACGGGGACCCCAGGAGTTCTTTTGAGGTTCAGACTTGACTGGGACAGTTTTGCTTTTTCACTGTGCCGTGGTTGGGCCCCTGGAGAACCCTGGGTCCTTGGAGGCGTCCTGCAGAGCTGGTACGCGGCTCACCTGCCTGCTGTGGTTGCAGGGTGGACTCCGACGACCAGTGGGGAGAGTACTCCTGCGTCTTCCTCCCCGAGCCCATGGGCACGGCCAACATCCAGCTCCACGGTGAGTCCTGCAGCCAGGGGTACCGGGCACCACCGACTGTCGGGAGAAGTTGTTGGCCTGAGGCACCCGGCACATCCCAGAGCCCTGGCCCCCTGCTCCCTGGAGGGGAACAGCCCTCCTGCGGGAGGCCGGGGATGGGGGCGGGCCTGCGGTTCCAGGCTCCTCTCTCTCACCCTCCTGTCAGGGCCTCCCAGAGTGAAGGCTGTGAAGTCGTCAGAACACATCAACGAGGGGGAGACGGCCATGCTGGTCTGCAAGTCAGAGTCCGTGCCACCTGTCACTGACTGGGCCTGGTACAAGATCACTGACTCTGAGGACAAGGTGAGAAGCCAAGGAGGCTGGGGGTCCTGGACCCAGCCCTCAGGACTGGGTGAGAGGCCTAGACTGGGGGTCCCGGACCCAGCCCTCAGGACTGGGTGAGGGGCCTAGACTGGGGGTCCCGGACCCAGCCCTCAGGACTGGGTGAGGGGCCTAGACTGGGGGTCCCGGACCCAGCCCTCCGGACTGGGTGAGGGGCCTAGACTGGGGGTCCCGGACCCAGCCCTCCGGACTGGGTGAGGGGCCTAGACTGGGGGTCCCGGACCCAGCCCTCTGGACTGCAGCCCTCCAGACTGGGTGAGGGGCCTAGACTGGGGGTCCCGGACCCAGCCCTCAGGACTGGGTGAGGGGCCTAGACTGGGGGTCCCGGACCCAGCCCTCCGGACTGGGTGAGGGGCCTAGACTGGGGGTCCCGGACTCAGCCCTCCGGACTGGGTGAGGGGCCTAGACTGGGGGTCCCGGACTCAGCCCTCAGGACTGGGTGAGGGGCCTAGACTGGGGGTCCTGGACTCAGCCCTTGCCTTTGGTCCCCTAGGCCCTCATGAACGGCTCCGAGAGCAGGTTCTTCGTGAGTTCCTCGCAGGGCCGGTCAGAGCTACACATTGAGAACCTGAACATGGAGGCCGACCCCGGCCAGTACCGGTGCAACGGCACCAGCTCCAAGGGCTCCGACCAGGCCATCATCACGCTCCGCGTGCGCAGCCACCTGGCCGCCCTCTGGCCCTTCCTGGGCATCGTGGCTGAGGTGCTGGTGCTGGTCACCATCATCTTCATCTACGAGAAGCGCCGGAAGCCCGAGGACGTCCTGGATGGTGAGCCGTCTGCCCTCCTGCCCACATGCCCTGCTCTCGGGGTGGCCCAGGGCCACTCCTGGTCCGTCCCTGCCAGCCCCACCGCTGACCCAGAGCTTGGAACTGAGGAGCCCCAGGCAGGGAGTTGATGGGACCCCGAAAGAAAGTGTGGGATGGAGGGTCTAGCCCCGGGCAGCTGCGGCTCAGTGGGCAGCGGGACCCCGGGAGGAGGAGGCGGCACCTCCGCCCCACAGCCTCACCCGGCCCTTCCCTCCCGCTCACTTGGCTGCAAGCCAGTGTCCTCCGTGGTGAGCCGGCCCTTGCTGCTCTGCATGATCAGGCTCGGGAACCTGAGGTCAGCCATGCTGTGCTCCGGCAGCCCCTGCCTGCCTCCTCGCGGAGCCCTTCTGCCCCTTGGGCTGCGTGTGCCGGGGCGAGGCCTGTGTGGGGCCTGTGATGGCAGCTCCTGGAAAACGCTGTGGGGCAGGGGTGAGGCCCACGAGGCCATGGGGACAGCTCACCATGGGGAGCACACCTGCAGGTGGGGAGGGCTGCCTTTCCCCACAGCACTCAGAAGATGCACGTGGCCGGGGCTGATGAGCTGCCCCGAGCCACCCCTGGGGGTCACTGAGGGCAGGGCTGGCAGCACAGATGCCCCTGCTCGGGGCCTGAGTGGGGCCAGTGCTGACAGGCTGTCCTCTCGTCCTCTTTTTCATGGCGGCGGTCCTTCTTCAGATGACGACGCCGGCTCTGCACCCCTGTAAGTTCCAGCTGTGGGGGTCGGGGGTCCCAAGGAGCGGCCTGCTGCCCCAGGCCTTTAAAACACAAAGGCAGAGCCCCTGGGCTTCAGTATTCGGGGGTCCTGGGGGCCGGGGTGGGCAGGGGTGACTTGGAGAGAGTGACTTGCGGGGGACACCCTCTCACCCGGCCCCTCGTGCCCCAGGAAGAGCAGCGGGCAGCACCAGAATGACAAAGGCAAGAACGTCCGCCAGAGGAACTCTTCCTGAGGCAGGTGCGGTGGGCGGGAGCTCCTCCTGAGCCAGGTGTGGTGGGTGGGTGGGCGGGAACTCCTGAGCCAGGTGTGGTGGGCGGGATCTGCTAGCCAGGTGTGGGCTCCTGGGTCCCGCCTGTGGGTCGCTGGGAGGTGGGTCCAGTCTGAGCGCCCCTCCCTGTCCACAGGTGGCCCGAGGACGCTCCCTGCTCCACGTCTGCGCCGCCGCCGGAGTCCACTCCCAGTGCTTGCAAGATTCCAAGTTCTCACCTCTTAAAGAAAACCCACCCCGTAGATTCCCATCATACACTTCCTTCTTTTTTAAAAAAGTTGGGTTTTCTCCATTCAGGATTCTGTTCCTTAGGTTTTTTTCCTTCTGAAGTGTTTCACGAGAGCCCGGGAGCTGCTGCCCTGCGGCCCCGTCTGTGGCTTTCAGCCTCTGGGTCTGAGTCATGGCCGGGTGGGCGGCACAGCCTTCTCCACTGGCCGGAGTCAGTGCCAGGTCCTTGCCCTTTGTGGAAAGTCACAGGTCACACGAGGGGCCCCGTGTCCTGCCTGTCTGAAGCCAATGCTGTCTGGTTGCGCCATTTTTGTGCTTTTATGTTTAATTTTATGAGGGCCACGGGTCTGTGTTCGACTCAGCCTCAGGGACGACTCTGACCTCTTGGCCACAGAGGACTCACTTGCCCACACCGAGGGCGACCCCGTCACAGCCTCAAGTCACTCCCAAGCCCCCTCCTTGTCTGTGCATCCGGGGGCAGCTCTGGAGGGGGTTTGCTGGGGAACTGGCGCCATCGCCGGGACTCCAGAACCGCAGAAGCCTCCCCAGCTCACCCCTGGAGGACGGCCGGCTCTCTATAGCACCAGGGCTCACGTGGGAACCCCCCTCCCACCCACCGCCACAATAAAGATCGCCCCCACCTCCACCCTCACCCTCTCCTGGCTCCTGTCTGTGCCTGACGGGGTTGGGTTTTCCGAGAGCAGGTGCACCCTGGGCTCTGGTGGTCACAGCAGGGGTGCGTCCAGTACTGGGATTTCACATGCGAGGACGGGTCTGCTGAGACCGCAGTGGGTGTTGGGTGGCTCGGGGCATGGGCTGGACAGGGCCTGAGGCTGTCAGCCGGACTGGGAACTTGGAAGGTGGCTGGGGCCGACCCCGTGCCTCAGAGCCACACAGAAGAGAGTGGGCACTGACCTGAGCCTTCTCTGAGCCTGTTACTCCTCTCGGCATGTTTTGGGCCTGACAAAGGCTGAGGCTTTCTGCTGCCTGCCCTGCAGCTGCCTGCACCCACCCACCTGGGCGGGCTGCTTGGGCAAGGTTCAGGGGTGGTCCTGGCTGCTCCTGGAGAGTGGGTGTGTGAAGCTGGTGCCCAGAGGCTGAGGGATGCCCAGCCCCTGCCCGCCCAGCACACGGAACAGATGTGGTTGCAGGGCTGGAGAGCTTGGGGGACCAGGAGCTTAGAGCGTGGAGGTTGCAAGTTGCAGGACCAGTAACTGGGTCTGGAGGGAGGTTTGCAGCGGCTGTGTCAGCCCTGCAGGCCGAGTGTGGCACTGGGCCTTCTGCTGGTCTGAGCGGGGGTCTCAGGGTGGAGGTCAGCAAAAGAGGCTTAGTGGGGGCTTAGGGAGCCTGGGTGGGTTCCCAGAGAAGCTAGGAATCAGATGGGAAGATGGGAAGGCAGTGTGTTTCCGTGTTGGGCAAATCCAGCGTTTTCATGCCACGGAAGCCAAGAAAGGGCTCACGGCCTCCGGCCTCACAGGGCTACGCAAAGGGGGAGTTGAATAAACACGGTGACGGGCCCCGGGCGGCAGCTGCTCCCGGCACTGATCCTGCTGGGCCAGCGGTGGACTTGCAGGGCCCACATCCGGAGCTGCCCACTGGTCCTCGTGCTGCACAGCCTTGGAGGATCTGAGGCTGGCTCAGGGTCCCTGGCAGCAACTGCCCTGCTAGGTGGGGGCTGCTGGGTTCCACAGCTGGGCCCTCCCTGCCGGCTGCCACCAGGCGGCGCTGCACGCCCACGCTGAGTGGGGCAGGCCCTGGAGCCCCTCTGCCCGGGCAGCCTGACGGCCCCTCCTCCTCGGCTGAGACCGCAGAGTCCCAGGCATCACCCACTGAAAGTGTGCTCAGTGACCTGTGAATAGGGATGCCACGTCTGCGTGCAGACATTGATTAGGCGCCTGTGGTATACCTGGAGCTGGAGGGTGTGCGTGGACAACAGGCAGAAAGGTCCAGTGGGATGGAGGCTGCCAACAGGACGATGGGGAAGGGGCGCGTTGGGGACATCGCCGGGCACGCGGCCCAGGTGGGCCCCTGGCTCAGGTCTCCCCCCACCTCCCTGCCTGGGCTCTGTCCATCTTTCTGCCGCACCCTCAGCCCCAGGTGTGGGCCCACCGTGCTTGTGGACGCCTCATGCTCTGTACCGGGTGGGAGGTGTGGGAGTTACAGGTCAGGGCAGCCTTGGGAGACGGGCAGGTTTCCTGGGGTGCTTACCGGCAGATGGGGCGCCTGGGTCCGTGCAGGGTCGTCCGCCCGAGAAAGCAGCCCCTCACCCCTGGGCACTAACTTCATCTTTTTTCTTTGCACACAGAAACGTAAACCTGATTCACAAAAGTATAACCACTCAGCATGTAGCTTTGTACACCTGCCCTCAGCATTTAGTGTCCTCGTTCATCCAACAAGCATCTAATAAGCACTGGGGTACGCAGTGGTGGGTGTCCGCCCCGTCACTGGGTGTCCAGCGTGGGGTGCGGAGGTGGATGTCCACCCCGTCGGTGGGTGCCCGGCGCGGAGGGGTGCGGAGGTGGATGTCCGCCCCGTCGGTGGGTGCCCGGCGCGGAGGGGTGCGGAGGTGGATGTCCGCCCCGTCGGTGGGTGCCCGGCGCGGAGGGGTGCGGAGGTGGATGTCCGCCCCGTCGGTGGGTGCCCAGCCCGATGTCCACCCCGTCCCTGGGTGCTCTTGGTGGCAACTCGCTGAAGCCTGCCTCGGTTTCCCCAGAGGTGAGATGGGGAAGTCACCACCGCCAGGTCATGAGATGAGATTAGATCATCCTTGCCAAGTATCAGGAAAAGGCCTCAGGGCTCCCCTGGGAACCTTGGGGTCTCAGGAGTCCCAGCTCCCAGTGGGCAGGGGTAGGGTTGGGGCGGCCAGAGGAACAAGTGTTTGTTCATGGGCTGGACCCCACCGCGGCCCCAAAGCTGGGCTGCCTATTCCTGTCCTGGGCAAATTGGCCTCTCCTCCCTCTTACCCCCCACCCCAGTGGGAGCCCACAAGGACAGGGCCTGCCCCATCCCCTCCACTCTGGGCTGTGGCTCTAAGCAGCACGTCCCACTCTAGGGGCTCAGGGCAGGGACAGTGACTCATCCAAGGTCCCGCCGTGGAGGGCAGAGCTGAAGGAGTGAGAAGGAGCTGCTGACATGGAACTGGCCCGTGCGGAAAGACTTTGGTCTTCCCCATATTTTTCACCAGGCTCCTGGGGCAAGGTGAGCCCAGCAGGGAGAAGGAAACTTGTGTGAATCCCAGGCCAGCAGGACTGGGGGCCCTGCTCTCATCGCAGACGCTGCAGACACGGAGGCCTGGGGCAGGGGCCCTCAGGGCTGTGCTCCTGCAGAGATGGAGCTTGCGTGTGTGGCTGAGACTGGGATGCCACCCCCTTTCCTAAGCCTCTGTTTCCTCCGCTGTAAATGTGGGCCCAGGCCTGCCATGCACAGCTCATCTCTTTAATTTTCTTTTTTTTTTTTGAGACAAGGGTCTCATTCTGTCACCCAGGCTGTTTGTGCAGTGGTGTTGATCTCGGCTCGCTGCAGCCTCGACCTCCTGGGCTCAAGTGATCCTCCCACCTCAGCCTCCCAAGAACCTGGGACCACAGATGACACGCACCCCTCCCCCTGGCTCGTTTAGTATTTATTGAGTCAAACTGCAGATTTTCCAGGCGGGCTCAGTGCCTGCCCTGGCCTGATTTTGTCTTCCTGGTCTTAAACTGCTTTTCACTCCAAAGGCCCCAAAATTGTATAAGCTTTCAGGGCGTGCGACCTGGACCTGTCCTGACTAAGTGGGAAATGTAGGTCCGAGGTTGGTAAATCCGGTAAACAATGCCGAGAGAGGCTGCAGGGGGCGGGGAGATGGGGAAGACCCTGGGGAGGGAATGGCAGGGCCTGGGGAGGTTCAGCGAGGAGGGGTCTGGGAGTTCGGGGTCCAGTGACCCAGGCACACAAAGGCCAGACTCGGGCGGAGGAGTACAAGCTGCTGGAGGGACCCGGGCTTTCTTCCAAAGGCACTGGGAGCTGTGAGTGGTTTTAGGCCACAGACCGATGTGACTGACTGAGGGGCCAGGCCCTGGGGCTCCATGCTCCCTACACAAGCCAGGTGCGGTCCCACCTCAGGACCCTCGCACAGGCTATGCCGCCTGCCCAGAGCTTCCTGCAGCTTCCCGGGCCGCACCCCCTCCTTCAGGCCTTCTCCCAGCACCTGGCCCCCTCCCCACCCTGAGTGTTTGGACAATGCTCACCACCTTCTGCTGGACAGTATCTTACTTGCTACTCATAAGGTTGACTGTGATACCCAGCTTTCTCCCCTGGCTGGCTCTCTGAGTCAGCTGTACTGGCCTCTGAGTCAATACTCGGCCTGGAGTAGGTGCTTAATAAGTTTTTGTTGATTTTTTTTTTTTTTTTTTTTGAGACAGAGTCTCGCTGTGTCACCCAGGCTGGAGAGCAGTGGTGCCATCCTGACTCGCTGCACCTCCCAGGTTCAAGCGATTCTCCTGCCTCATCCTCCTGAGTAGCTGAGATTACAGGCATGTGCCACCACATCCGGCTAATTTTTATATTTTTTATTAGAAACAGGGTTTTGCTATGTTGGCCACGATGGTCTCGAACTCCTGACCTCAACTGATCCGCCTGCCTCGGCCTCCCAAAGTGCTGGGATTACAGGCGTGAGCCACCGCGCCCGGCTTTTTTTTTTTTTTTTTTCTGAGACGGAGTCTTGCTCTATCACCAAGCGCTGGAGTGCAATGGTGTGATCTCAGCTCACTGCACCATCTGGCTCCTGAGTTCAAGCGACTCTCCTGCCTCAGCCTCCCAAGTAGCTGGGATTACAGGCGCCCACCACCACGCCTGGCTAATTTTTGTATTTTTAGTAGAGATGGGGTTTCACCATGTTGGCCAGGCTGGTCTCAATCTTTAAATATTTTTTAAATTAAAATAAATGAGCATGGCTGGGGGGGTGGCTCACACTTGTAATTCCAGCACTTTGGGAGGCCGAGGCGGGTGGGTCACCTGAGGTCAGCAGTTGGAGACCAGCCTGGCCCAACATGGCGAAACCCTGTCTCTACTAAAAATACAATAATTAGCCGAGCGTGGTGGCAGGCGCCTGTAATCCCAGCTACTCCGGAGGCTGAGGCAGGAGAATCGCTTAAACCCGGGAGTCGGAGGTTGCAGTGAGCCGAGGTCACGTCACTGCACTCCAGCCTGGGCGGCGACAGAGCGAGACTCCAACTCAAAAATAAATAAATACATAAATAAACAGATAAATACAGAGTACTCCGGCCTGGGCAAGGGGTCAGAGTGAGTGTGCCGAGGCCAGGGAGGGTCCCCGTGCACACTGACAGGCGCTGGCCTGGGTAAGCCTGTGGGCTGCAGAGCCGTCGCCAGGATCTGGTGACAAGGACCCCGAGCCACAGCCTCCCTTGTGACTTGCGGGTTCTGCCGGCGCCTGCAGGAGGCGTCTTTCTGCTTCTCCCACTGCCAGGCATGGGCGGTTCTCGTGCCGTGCGGGTCCCGCCTCCTCCCTGCTCCCAGCCGCGAGCCCTGGGGCTCTGGCGACCTGCCCGGCCTGACATCTTCCCAGGGTGAACATAAAAGAACCCCCTTCAGCTGGAGCACGCATCTGCCTCGGGGCGGGCCACAGCCTGGCACTGCCAACTGTGCCGCCCGCCCGGCCTCTCCCGCACCACCTTGGGACAAACAGCTGTCCTGCCCGCCTATGCGGAGGTGGCCGGCGGGGCCGGCGTGGGGGCGCAGGGATCCCCAGGGTGTGGGGCAGCCAGGCCGAGGCGAGAGACACGGTCGGGCTCAGCCCATCCACTGTCAGCCGGGCACATGCTGGCCCTCCCTCAAGTACCACTGAGTGCCTCCTGGGTGTAGGAAGAGGGCCATCTCTGCCCCGGTGGCCTCGAGGTGCAGATGGGTGGGGGGCACCCGGCACACGGGACATCGTGGCTGAGAGGACGTCAGGCCAGGTGCCAGGAGGGTCCCAGGAGGGCCTCCTGCCTCCAGGTGGGGATGTTCAGCCTCCACTTCTTCGAGTGTGACTGTCTGTCTCCTCTCTCTCACTTGCCAGCTTCCTCACCTGCCCCCTCCCGGCTGTCTGGTGGGCTGGGTGGCTAGGGACAGAGGCCTCATGTCACCTGGCACCAAGCAGCACCCACGCCCAGCCGGCTTCGGCCCAGAAGCAGAGCCTTGGGAAGCACCTGTCTCAGAGCTGGGGACTGGAGGCACTGGGGGCACAGCTGCACCCGGAGTCCGAGGGGTCGGGGAAAGGAGGCAACCCCGGGGCAGGGGGCTCTGGTACCCGTGCGAAGGCGCTAGTGGGCTTTGGGTCTCCCTGTGACCCCAATCTAAAGCCCACCAGACCTAGAGGAGACCCCCGCCGCACGGCTCCCCAGGGCACTGTTTGAGGGGTGGGTGGGAACCCCACACCCTCGGGTGGCTTTTCCAGTTTTCCTTGTCTGGCTGGGCTTGGCCTCAGTTTCCTCAAATGCAGACCAGGGAGAGGAGTGCCTGAGTCTCCCAGAACGGCGCCCAAGCCGGCCTGCCCCTCCCCACGCACTCAAGGGTCTCTGTCCAGGGCCCACAGGCGACCCAGCAAGGGCTCCTGTGACCTTTAGAAACACCCTTTCGTCGTGGAAGTCTTCAAACCTCACAGAAAGCAAGGAGGCGCTGGCCGTGGCGGCCTCTCCCGTCTCCCAGGCCCGCGTCCACCCTCCCCGCGCCGGTGCCCTCCGGACAGAGGTGGAAGCCGCGGCGCAGGAGAGGCGGCTCCGGCCGGGCAGCGGGGCCCGGTGACCTTGGGCGCGTCCTTACACGTCGCGGGCCTCAGTTTCCCCTCCTGGGGAGAGGCCCGCGCGGGGCTCCGAGGCCTCGGGCCGCGTGACCTTGGGGCGCCCCCGACCCCGCGGCCCGAGTTTCCCGGCGCCGAGCGGAGGCGGCGCGCGGGGAGGGGGCGCAGCCGAGGCGGGTCTCCCGCCCCCGCCCCTCCCCCGCCCCTCCCCCGCCGCGAGGCTCCGCCCCCCGCGGCTCCGCCCCGCCCCGCCCCCGCCTCCCCCCTCCCTCGGGCTCCGGCCGGCGGCGGCGGCGGCGGCTCCGCTCCGCACTGCCCGGCGCCGCCTCGCCATGGACGCGCGCGGGGGCGGCGGGCGGCCCGGGGAGAGCCCGGGCGCGACCCCCGCGCCGGGGCCGCCGCCGCCGCCGCCGCCCGCGCCCCCCCAACAGCAGCCGCCGCCGCCGCCGCCGCCCGCGCCCCCCCCGGGCCCCGGGCCCGCGCCCCCCCAGCACCCGCCCCGGGCCGAGGCGTTGCCCCCGGAGGCGGCGGATGAGGGCGGCCCGCGGGGCCGGCTCCGCAGCCGCGACAGCTCGTGCGGCCGCCCCGGCACCCCGGGCGCGGCGAGCACGGCCAAGGGCAGCCCGAACGGCGAGTGCGGGCGCGGCGAGCCGCAGTGCAGCCCCGCGGGGCCCGAGGGCCCGGCGCGGGGGCCCAAGGTGTCGTTCTCGTGCCGCGGGGCGGCCTCGGGGCCCGCGCCGGGGCCGGGGCCGGCGGAGGAGGCGGGCAGCGAGGAGGCGGGCCCGGCGGGGGAGCCGCGCGGCAGCCAGGCCAGCTTCATGCAGCGCCAGTTCGGCGCGCTCCTGCAGCCGGGCGTCAACAAGTTCTCGCTGCGGATGTTCGGCAGCCAGAAGGCCGTGGAGCGCGAGCAGGAGCGCGTCAAGTCGGCGGGGGCCTGGATCATCCACCCGTACAGCGACTTCAGGTACCGCCTCCGGGAGGGCCGGTCGGCGCGAGGGGGCCCGGGGAGCCGGGCGCGCGGGGAGCCGTCCTTGGAGCGCCTGGGGAGGGCGGGGCGGCGCGCCGGGCCGGTGACCTCGGGGCTCCTCGGTGACCTCGGGCGTGTCCGGGACCCGCCCCGGAGTGACCCCGGCGCGCGAGGCTCCGCCTCTGGGGGGGCTCCCCGGGTGACCGCGGAGCGCCCCCCTCCCACGCACCCCGACATCCTCCGCCCTGCGGCGCGGCGGGTGGGGTGGGCCGCAGGGCCAGGGTCTGAGCGCAGAGGGGCAGAGAGGACGAATAGAGGGGAACGTGGGCCCCAGAGAGGCGGCGGAGCGGGAGGGAGGAGGAACGAAGGGCGCCCGGGAAGGACGCGCCCCAGGGAGGCCGGGGGAGAGGGGGTTAAGCGGCTCCCACGGCGTCCACCCGCGCCCCGCCTGCGAGGAGGCGCGCCCGGGGCCGCGGGCCTGGAAAGCGTGCGGGTCCCCAGGCTGTGTCCCCGGGAGCCGCTCCACCCGAGCCGCGGGCGGTGCGCGCATGCGGCGGTGGGTGTGTAGACGCCGCTGTGGATCCAGCCGGCTAATGCGTGGAAGGCTCGGAGCAGGGCCGGCGCGGGGCCACCGCCACTGATGTTTGCGGTCGTGGTTCCTGGGCTGTGCGTGCTGTGGCCGGAGAGCGAGACCGGCGCGTGTCCCCGTGGGCTGTGTGTGAACAGGGGCCCGTGACCGCGGCGGGGTTCCCGGGGCGCGAGCCTGTGGCCGGAGAGGTGTGTCTCCAGGAGTGTGTTTGCGTGGTGGTCGCGGGCGTGTGCGCCTCCGGTGGGTTTATTTTGGTGGGACGTGTGGTTTGTGTGTGTTGGGACCAGGTGGCGGGCGTGCGCGTGTACGCCCGGGGCCGGTGTGCACCGGTGGGCAGTAGTGTGAGCCGCAGGCAGGTCTCACACACGCGACCATGGAGGGATGCGTGTGTGTTTGTGTATCCACGAGTGGGGTGTGAGGTGGGGTGTGGAGGGTGCAGGTGGAGGGTGTAGGTGGGGCCCGCCGGGCTAGCGAGGCCGGGCGCGCGGGACGGGCGCGGTTTCAGCACCACGGACAGCGCGCCGGACCTGGGAAGCCTGCGGTTTTCCCGCCTGTCTCTCCTCCTCCAGGCCTGGGCGCCCCAGGACAGCCCCCACGGACCCTGGACCCCCGGAACTGGGCAGGGAGGCTGTGGGGTTCTCTCTTCCCCTGGATTCTCTGCACCCCTAGTGCTTGACTGGAGAAACTGAGGCCTGGGGCACATGCGTCCTGGACAGAGCCTGGAGGAAGGCCCTGGAATCCTCCTCCCACCCCAGGCCTTCCTGAGAGGTGAATACAGCTTTGACCAGAAGCCTGGATTTCGAGACAGGCCAGGGGTGGGAGGAGCCCCGAAATCCCCAGAGGGGCTGTGTCCGGCCCCTCCCACCCTGCCTCTGTGCCCCACCGGGAGAGCTTGGTCAGCATCTGGGCTCTGGCCTGCGAAATGTGGACAGTGAGCGGGAAGGACTGGACTTCCAGGGCTGCTGGTCGGCCTGGCCCCACTTCCAGTCGGGCAGTGGCACCCCCTGACCGGAGAGGGACGCGGTGGAGAGGGAGCTGTAGAACGTGCCCACTCCCCTCCGTCCCCTCCAGCATGACCTTCGACAGAGATGGGTGCACCGCAGCGTGGGGGCTGGCAGGTGGAGGCCCACACCAGCCACTCCCTCCCCTGGGCAGCTCCAGCGACCCCCTGGCTGCAGAGGGGCGGTCGGTGGCCTGGGGGGCAGGTGGGCAGATGGCTGATCCCGGGGCTTGGGGGGAAGGCCGGTGGTAGGAGTGAAGCCCTCTCATCCTTCCACCCTCCTTGGGCGTGGTCGCCTGGAGGCCTGGGCAGGCTGTGGCCCCGCTCTGTGCTCTGAGGCATAGAGGGCTCAGAGGCCCCTGTGTGGACCAAGTGCAGCCCCACCCCGGCAGATGAGTGTTGAAGTGGAACTGAGCAGGCAGGGAATGGGGTTAGCGGGGCCTGTCTTCGGGACTAGGGGAGTCACGGCAGTCAGATTTTAAAAAAGGATTTCGATGTTGCCAAGCTGGGTGCACGGGGCCCCTAGGACCCTCCCCAGGCTTGGGACCTGTGCCAGTGTGGAATCAGTGTGGAAAAAGACCCCCAAGAATATCTCAAAAGCTCCCTAAGCAGGCGGCCGGACCCTGCTGTGGAGGGTGTTTTGGGGCAGCCCACAGCAAGCGAAGGGGCCTCTACGTTTGCAGCTGACTCAGGAGCCTGGCCCCAACTGGCTTCGGGCCCAAGGCCTCCTGTGCCTGGCTGGGTGTCTTGGGTCCTCGCTGGGCCCCTCTGCCTCAGTTTCCCCAATTGCACGGTGGGGATGGTATGAGGGAGAAGGATGGGGTCTTTCACAGCCTTGCCAGTGTCTCAGCCTCACGTCTCACACTCTCTTCACCTCCCCTTCCTGCTGAGAGAGTGCTGTGCTCCTTGCCCAGCCTGTGCCCCCCAGGCACGCCCTCACCCCGGTTCTTCCTCGCTGCCCAGCTGTCTCCGCCACGCCCAAGTCCACCCTGCTCCCGTGCTCGGAAGTGGCCTCTTTCACGCCCCACGTCCCAGTCCCAGTATACAGCAGGTGCCACATATTTGCTGAATTTTCTGAGGGGCAGAGCATGGGTCCTGGGCTGACGTGGGTCCAGATTTCGGCTCTCAGGCCTGGGCGGCTGGCCCCTTTGGAAGTGCAGTTGGTGCCAGGGTGCAGCGGCTCACGCCTGAGATCCCAGCACTTTGGGAGGCTGAGGCGGGCGGATCACCTGAGGTCAGGAGTTCGAGAGCAGCCTGGCCAACATGGTGAGATGATCCCGTCTCTACTAAAAATGCAAAAATTAGCTGGGCATCGTGACGAGCGCCTGTAATCCCAGCTACTCGGGAGGCTGAGGCAGGAGAATCACTTGAATCCAGGAGGCAGAGGTTGCAGTGAGCCGAGATCGCGCTGCTGCACTCCAGCCTGGCTGACAGAGTGGGACTTGGTCTCAAAAAAAAAGAAAAGGAAGAAGAAGTGCAGTTGGTCTATTGCTGAAGTCTCTGGGGCTGTGGGTGGCTCTACACCCCGGCCTGACGTCTGAAAGTCCCCAGAGGCATGCTGGGCGCTTCCCTGGGGTGCTGGTGGAAGAGCAAGTTCAAGGACCCAAGTTCAAGGTTTTGGGTTCCAGAGGCTCAAGTTCCCTTCCTTGTAGGTGATCACGGTTGGTGCCTGAATTGGAACAGGCGTGAAAACCAAGAAGGAAGGGGTTTGGCCTTATGCAACCCCCAGGGCTTCGGCAGGGTCTTCTGTGCCTCCCAGAGCAAAATTAGGTCAAAAATAAGTATAGTTCATTCCTACTCCCTTCACCCCAGCCGCCGCTGATTCTAAAGGCCACACAGGTCCACTTGGGAAAGCCTGAGTCGTGCAAAGGAGGGTGTCTCCGCAGGAGAGGGGCAGGGGCTGGAGGTCTCTGCACGAGAAGGGCTGGGGCTGGAGGGTGTCTCCGCAGGAGAGGGGCTGGGGCTGGAGGGGACACGAAGGCCCAGGGAGGGGCGGTCTGAGGAGGTCGCGTTCTCCGAAGCTTGCTGTCATCCACCCTCCCTGCCCCCGGTGTCACCGAGGGGGCTGGGCAGACCTGGCGGGGTGGAGACCTGGGCAGATCCGGGGTTTGTGCCCTGGGAGCTCTGGGGGGCACAGGGCAGGTGTCGGGTGGAGAGAGGCTGGCGGCTTCCTGACTGCCCTCGGTCCAGTTCCAGGGCTAAGTGCCCTGTGGCCGCCCTGCCGTCTCCTGCTGCTGCTGACTTGCAGGTCTGTGTTTCTGAATTGTCTTCAGCTGGGGAGGCCCCGTGTGAGGGGAGACAGACGAGATGCTCCCCAAAGCCAGGATCTGTTATGTCCCCTGGGGTCCCCGAGAGGACTGGTCGGGGAGGAGCTGCTCCAAGACCCCACCAGGACAGGCGGCCCCTGGGCCCCGCCTCAGATGGCTGAGTGGGTCAGCGGGAGATCAGCCTGGGGGTGCAGCTCTGCAAATCCGCAGTGATGAATCCCAGCATTAGGGCGTGGGAATAAACCCCCCATTATCCTGGGGGGATGGCCCCGGGGGCAGGGCGAGGCGAGGGTTTGTCTGGCTCTGGTCACGGCAGGAAGGCCCAGCGTGTGCAGGATGGTGGGGTGTGCATGGACCCATATCCCAGGTGGCGGTGGCCTGCCCTCTGGTCTGCGTGGAGGGGTCAGGGGTCGGGGTGGCCAAGGCCTCCCCGCTCTCTTCAGGGCCTTCCCTATGTTCCCTGCTCGAAAACGGACATCTTTGTCCAGGCACTGTGGCTCATGCCTGTAATGCCAGTACTTTGGGAGGCGGAGGCGGGAGGATCGCTTGAGCCCAGGAGTTCGAGACCAGCCTGGGCAACATAGCAAGACCCCCATCTCTACAAAAAGTTAAAAAATTAGCCAGGCGTGGTGGCGTGCACCTGTAGTCCCAGCTACTCTGGAGGCTGAGGCGGGAGGATCACCTGAGCCCAGGAGGTTGAGGCTGCAGTGAGCTATGATCGTGCCACTGCACTCCGGCCCGGGAAACAGAGTGAGACCCTGTCTCAAAAAAATAAAAAAAACCTAAAAACCCACATATTCAAGTCACCTTCATCAGCCCCCCACTCACTTGGGCCGGGCCCTGCCTCACCCCCCACCCCACGGTTCAGCCTCGCACCCTGTGCGCTGGCCGCCTCTCTCCTGCCAGATGCCTCCCCGTCCCCCTTTCTGGCCTCCCGGCTGTCAGCATGGGCCTCTCCAGACATCGGTCCTTCTTTCCCTGTCACCTCTACCTCCTCCCTGGCTCCAGCCCTCCCCAGTCATGTCCCCTGGTCCCGAGGCCGCCCACCGGCCTTGAAGGGAACCCGGAGCATCAACCTCCGCACCTGCTGCCCCTCTTCAGCCACTGCCCTCCCCTCACCATCTCATCCACCCACACGCCACCTCCTCCAAGGAGCCCTCCCACCTGCCTGGGGCTGACAGGCCCATCCCATGTGTCTGTCTTGGGGCTGGGCCTGTGTGGTCATCGTGTGCCCCGGCGCCCGGCGAGAGTTCGGTGAACATCTGCCCCGTCGGGATCACCCGGGAACCCGAGATCTCCCCCACCCGTAGCAGCTCCCTTTCTTAATCCTGGGCACCTGCCACGGATCTGGCCATGACTCCACAGCTGAGAGTGCCGTCTCCTAATCCCCCGGCCCGAGGCTCTCCCTTAATCACCGACCTCCGGCCCCTAATCCTCTCCCGGATTGTCCCCATCTGTAAATCCTGGACGGCCTCCGGCCTGAGGCTGGGCTCCTGCGGGGAGGGCCTGGCTGCCCTCGCCCGTTCCCCAACCCGGGACTCAGGCTCCAGCAGGGGCTGAAGACCCCCTGGGCAGGCCCTCCCCTGGGATCCAAGGGGCTGAGGGTCCTGGGCCTTCTGTTGCCAGGAGACCTGGTGTCCTCGTGGGGTTTGGGAGCCGGGTCGGCGGCCTCCTCCCCCAAGCTTCATCCAGCCCTGGAGAGACGGGGACCTGCGTCGGCTTTGGGAACTTCAGGGGAAGAACCCTGAGCTCGGGGCAGGAGAATGACATGGTCTGTCTGGGTTCCCATCCCACTGTTTCACTTATGGCTGGAGGAGCCTCAGTTTCCGTGTCAGAGCCGAGAGAGAGGCTGGGCGGCTGTTGGAGGAGGGCTGAGCTCACATCGGTGTCAGGTGCCGGGGGCCCCACTGAAGCCACTCTGGAGTGAGAGGGGGTCCGAGGCTTCTTCCGGTCCCCCAGGTGTGAGAGCTGAGGCCGGAAGGTTTCCCCAGGGACCCAGCCTCATCCCGGCCTCCGGAGCTGGTCTCCCTCCCTGCCTGCGAGGGCCAAGCTGGACAAAGTGGCAGGACCCCCGCGTTTCCGAGGAAGGGGCCCTCGTAGAGGCCTCACTGTTACCTGTCGGGGATGGGTTTTAAATACAGGATTTAATGATGGTCACTGATGTTTCTGTGACAGCTGAGGGGGGCCTGTCCCTGCTCAGCACTGGGGTTGGACAAGGAGGGCACAGGGTGCCCGGGGAGTGCTGGGGCCCGCCTGGGTCCCTATGGTGGCCGGATGGGGAAAGGGCTGCCGGACGCGGCTGCACAGAGTGTGAGGGGGAGTGGGGTTGGGCTTTGGGCCTTCCCCTGACCCCAGGTCCCCTCTCTGGGGTCCTGTCTTCTGGAGCTGCCTCCCCCTCCCCAGGGCGAGAGGCAGGAGAGGGTCTCCCAAGGTCACTCAGTCTAGTGTTGGGCAAGGAGAGGGTTGGGGTGGAGAGGGTTGGGGTGCACCGGCAGAGACAGTGACGCCCTGCAGGGCTCTGGGGTCCCCTCTGCCCCAGGCCTCGGTTTCCCCTTGGTAGGGGACATGCGTGGGCGCCCTTCTTCCTTCTGACCTCTGGCTGGTGACGACGAGGGTTGCGGCCCCAAGCCCTGCTTGGAGGCATTGTGGTTGGAACGGGCAGGCCCAGCCCCACAAGGGACCCTCAGGGTGGCCACCCCACCTGTCCCTTCTCCTAGGCCCCTCTGCTCTGACCCCCGTAATCCCCAGGAATACTGCCCTGCTGGGCAAGATGGGCTGAGGAGTCCTTTCTGGGGACACAGGAGCAGAAGGCTCAAGGGAGGTGGTTTCCAGACAGTGTGGGCCGTGGATAAGAGGACAGTCCTGGGGTCTCATCCTGCAGTCCCACTTCCATCAGAGGGGAGGTGTGGTACCTGCCCCCAGCTCACCCCAAGAATAAAGGGGGAGAATGTCTGTTAATCATCACCTGGAAAGGAGGCCTTCATGTTATATGGCCGTTTAAAACCAGGTACCCCTTGGCGGTTTCTAGGTCCTCCTGGTGGTTTCTAGGTCTCCTTGGCGGTTTCTAGGTCCCCCTTGACAGTTTCTAGGTCTCCTTGGTGGTTTCTAGGTCTTCCTGGTGGTTTGTAGATCTCCTTGGCGGTTTCTAGGTCCTCCTGGTGGTTTCTAGGTCCCCCTTGGTGGTTTCTAGGTCCTCCTCGTGGTTTCTAGGTCTCCTTGGCGGTTTCTAGGTCCCCCTTGACAGTTTCTAGGTCTCCTTGGTGGTTTCTAGGTCTTCCTGGTGGTTTCTAGGTCCTCCTGGTGGTTTCTAGGTCCTCCTGGTGGTTTCTAGGTCCCCCTTGGTGGTTTCTAGGCCCTCCTGGTGGTTTCTAGGTCTCCTTGGCAGTTTCTAGGTCCTCCTGGTGGTTTCTAGGTCTCCTTGGCGGTTTCTAGGTCTCCTTGGCAGTTTCTAGGTCCCCCTTGGTGGTCTCTGGAGCCCCCTGGGAGTTTCTCCTCGCCCCTCGTGGGGGAGGTTTCTAGGCCCTGTGGCCTTCTCAACTGCTCTTTCCTGCTGGTTTTGTCCCAAGACTGGTGCTCGAAGGTGGGAGGCAGGTCTCAATCCAGAGGGTGAGGCTGGGGCTGAGCTCCACGGTGAGCCCCCTCGGGGCTGAGGGGCAGGGGGCCAGCGGCAGGCGGGTGGCATCCCCTCAGCCCACTCGGTGCTGGGGCCCTGGGGGTCTCGTTGCTGAGCAGATGTGTCGGACTGGGGGCCTGAGCCCTCATGTCCTGTCTAGACTCAGGGAAAGGAAGGCCTTAAATTTCTAGTCCTTTTAGTCATTTGATTTCACCCTTCAAGCTTGTGAGGGGACCCCTCCCCACCCCGAGATCAAGTCAGCCTTTTTTTTTTTTGAGACAGAGTCTCACTCTGTCACCCAGGCTGGAGTGCAATGGTGCAGTTTTGGCTCACTGCAGCCTCGACTTCATGGGCTCGAGCAATCCTCCTACCTCAGCCTCCCAAGTAGCTGGGTCCACAGGTGCGCACCACCACGCTGGCTAATTTTTGTATTTTTTGTAGAGACGGGATCTCACTATCTTGCCCAGGCTGGTCCTGAACTCCTGAGCTTCTGTGATCCTTTAGTCTTGGCCTCCCAAGGTGCTGGCATTAGAAGCATGAGCCCCTGCACCCACCCTTCCCTTCTTTTTTGAGACGGAGTCTCGCTCTGTCGCCCAGGCTGGAGTGCGATGGCGCGATCTCGGCTCACTGCAAGCTCCGCCTCCCGGGTTCATGCCGTTCTCCTGCCTCAGCCTCCCGAGTAGCTGGGCCTACAGGCGCCCGCCACCTCACACAAAAAAATAATACATTTTTGTATTTTTAGTAGAGACGGGGTTTCACCGTGTTGGCCAGGATGGTCTCGATCTCTTGACCTTGTAATCTGCCCGCCTCAGCCTCCTTAAGCCCTGGAATTACAGGCGTGAGCCACCGTGCCCAGCCTGAGTCAGCCCTTCTCTAGGTTTTATCCCCAGCCTGGGTGGTTCTTGGGGGGTGTCCCGAAGGCTCAGCCCCTCCCCATCCCGAGGCGGTGGATGCTTGGAAGAAGAGACTGAGGTTCTCAGGGGCTGCAGGAACTTGTCCAAGGTCACTGTGCCAGCAGGCGGGTGCCAGCCCAGGTCTGGCTGATGCCACCACGATGTGAGTCGCTGGGTCCCTTCCAGCGTTTGGCTCTTGCAGACCGAGCTGCTGTGAACATTTTGGTACAAATGGCTTTTTAATTTTTTTCTCTTCCTTTTGGACCGTTTCCTCGGGATCATTTCCCCGAAGTGGAGCGTCTGGGTCACCCCGCAGACGTGGTGTTAACAGCTTTTCCCTCGAGGAGCCGTCCAGAAGCAAGGAGCCGACTTTCGGCGGCTCCTGAAACAAAGGTCCCGGCGGCCACGCCAGCGATGAGCTCCCAGGTTTTTCTTTATTGGTGTTAACTTTGGGGAGTCCCTCCAGTCCCTCAGCATCTCCTCCGAAAGGATGTGGGGACCCCGGCCATGATAGGGAGGGGCTGGGCCTGGGGTGGGGATAAGGCCTCAAGAATTGGCCGGGCGCGGTGGCTCACGCCTGTAATCCCAGCACTTTAGGAGGCCAAGGCGGGCGGATCACGAGGTCAGGAGTTCGAGACCATCCTGGCTAACATGGTGAAACCCCGTCTCTACTAAAAATACAAAAAAAAAAAAAAATTATCTGGGCGTGGTGGCGGGCGCCTATAGTCCCAGCTACTCGGGAGGGTGAGGCAAGAGAATGGTGTGAACCCTGGAGGCGGAGCTTGCAGTGAGCCGAGATTGTGCCATCGCACTCCAGCCTGGGCGACAGAGTGAGACTCTGTCTCAAAAAAGAAAACCTCAAGAACTAAGAAGGCTGAGTTGGTACAGGGATGGGAAGGGGTCCCGTGTGTGTGTGTGTGTGTGTGTGTGTGTGTGTGTGTGTGTGTGTGTGTGTCAGAGGGTCTCATGTTACCCAGGCTGGTCTTGAACTCCTGGGCTCAAGCGATCCTCCTACCTCAGCCTCCCAAAATGTTGGAATTATAGGCATGAGCCAGTGTGTTTGGCCTAGCCCCCAGTGTTAATGGCAAAATCCTATGAATCTTTGTGCTGGAAATTCAAGACCCTCCCTTGTCTGAGTCAGGCACACGCAGGCCATGTGGGCTCAGACCCCAGTCTGGAACCTCCCCTTCAGCAAGAGCCCTTGGCCCCAGAGCCCAGAGGTTTTTGTTTTGTTGTGTTTTGTTCTTTGAGACAGAGTCTCGCTCTGTTGCCCCGGCTGGAATGCAGTGGCACGATCTCGGCTCACTGCAACCTCCACCTCCCGGGTTCAAACAATTCACCTGCTTCAGCGTCCCGAGTAGCTGGTACTACAGGCGCCCGCCACCACGCCCGGCTAATTTTTGTATTATTATTTTTTGAGATGGGGTCTCACTCTGTTGCCAGGCTGGAGTGCCATGGCGTGATCTCAGCTCACTGCAACCTCCGCCTCACTGGTTCAAGCGATTCTCCTGCCTCAGCCTCCCGAGTAGCTGGGACTACAGGCACGTGCCATCATGCCCAGCCAATTTTTTTTTTTGTATTTTTTGTAGAGCTGGGGTTTCACTCTGTTGGCCAGGCTGGTCCTGATCTCTTGACCTCATGATGCGACCACCTTTGCCTCCCAGAGTGCTGGGATTACAGACGTGAGCCACCACACCCGGCCTAATTTCTGTATTTTTAGTAGAGACGGGGTTTCACCATATTGGCCAGGCTGGTCTCAAACCCCTGACCTCAAGTGATCCGCCTGCCTTGGCCTCCCAAAGTGCTGGGAACACAGGCGTGAGCCACCGCACCCAGCAGGCTTTTTTCTTTTATCAGTTTTCCAATTAGCCATTGTAAAACCTATCAATCAGTGTCATTAAGCCCATTCTTGCTGTTGTACAACCGTCACCACTATCCATAGTCCATACCTTTCTCATTCCCCCGGACAGAAACCGCACCCCGCACATGCCACTTCTCACCCCTCCAACCCCCGGCCCCCGGCACCCATGCATCCCCTTCCTGTCTCTGGATTGGCCTGTCCTGGACATTTCGTAGAAATGGGCTCACACGGCCGGGCGCAGTGGCTCAGGCCGGTAATCCCCACACTTTGCGAGGCCTAGGCAGAAGGATCATGAGGTCAGGGTTTCGAGACCAGCCTGACCAACATGGTGAAACCCTGTCTCTACTAAAAATACAAAAATGAGCCAGGAGTGGTGGCTCATGCCTGTAATCCCAGCTACTCAGGAGGCTGAGGCAGGAGAATCGCTTGAACTTGGGAGGCGGAGGTGGCAGTGAGCCGAGATGGTGCCACTGCACTCCAGCCTGGGCGACAGGGTGAGACTCCGTCTCGGAAAAAAAAAGAAATGGCTTCTCTCACTGAACGTGACGTCCTCAAGGGGCATCTGCGCCGTGGCCTGGGTCAGAGCCTCACTCCTTTTCGTGGCTGAGTCGTGTTCCATGGTGGACGGGTCGCGCCGTGTTTGTCCCTCCGTTTGGTGATGGGCACCTGGGCTGCCTCTGCCTTTTTGCTACTGTGGATCGAGCTGGTGTGAACACAGCGGAGTGGTCGTCGTCCGCAGTCGAGCTGGTGTGAACACGGTGGGGTGGTTGTCGTCCGCAATCAAGCTGGTGTGAACACGGCGGGGTGCTCGTCCGTCCTTGTTTTCATTTCTTTGGGTATAATCTCGGGGCAGGGAGAGGCTGGTAATTTTATGTCTTTTTAAGGAGCCACCCGTGTTTGCTCCGAGTCGTTTTGATTTTCATTTTCTCGATAGCGAAAGGGTTGGGCATCTGTCCAGTAGCCATTTGCTGACCCTCTATGACCTCCTGTGTGGACGCGGCACTCCCAGCACCGTGTCTGGCCCGCCATACGCAGGCCCTGAACCGACAGGACCTTTTCTGCCAGAGCTTCCCAGGGAGAGTTTTGGGATCCACCTTGGGGACTTGGACTCTGGCCGGGTGTATCTGGGAGTGGAAACGCCCTCTGGTCTCTTGTCCACGGGTATTTATCATACGGAACGTCCGAATGGTGCCAAGTCCGGCTCGGCCGTTCCTCCCACCCTCTCGGCCTCCCCTGTGGCGCCAGCCCCGTCTCTGCTTGGCTTCCCTCCCTCCTGTGTGGACGCCCCACTTCCTCCCCTCTCCTCCTGCGTGGACGCCCCACTCCCTCCTCTCTCCTCCTGCGTGGACGCCCCACTTCCTCCTCTCCTGCGTGGACGCCCCACTCCCTCCTCTCTCCTCCTGCGTGGACGCCCCACTCCCTCCTCTCTCCTCCTGCGTGGACGCCCCACTCCCTCCTCTCTCCTCCTGCGTGGACGCCCCACTCCCTCCTCTCTCCTCCTGCGTGGACGCCCCACTCCCTCCTCTCTCCTCCTGCGTGGACGCCCCACTTCCTCCTCTCCTGCGTGGACGCCCCACTCCCTCCTCTCTCCTCCTGCGTGGACGCCCCACTTCCTCCTCTCTCCTCCTGCGTGGACGCCCCACTTCCTCTGGAAATGCAGCCGGTGCTGCCCTGGTTCAGTCTTCCTGTGGCCCCTGTGGAGGCTCCCGCTTCTCAGTAAGGCATCTGGGGCCCTCACCTCCCGGCGTGAGCTGAGCACGGTTCATTTCCCACCCTGGCTTCCCGCCTTCGCTCTCCCTGTGCGCGCCGCCCTGCCTCGCCCTGCTGCTTCCCAGTGCCCCTCTGCACCCCGGCTCCTCTCTGCTCCTCTGCTGTCCTGTCCTGTCTATTTTTTTAACGCCAACCTTGTGCCAGGCACATTGTCCCTCTCTGGTCATGTGAAGCACTTAATCTATTTTGAGCCACCTCTTGGGCCTTGTGAGGTCTCCTGCATCTTCAAGGACACGGGGTCAAAGTTGGGCCTGAGGAAGGGACCTGGGCTAGGGCAGCGCAGTGGGCGTTGGGCTCCCTCGGGGCTGGGTGGCCTTCCTGGGGTGGGAGCCTGGTCCCGAGGGAGGAGTGCCCAGGGCTTGTCCTGCAGGCGCCTGGGGGGAAGGCACCGGCCTGAGCTGTGGGCACCCTCGTCCCCCAGGGAGGAATGCCCGGGGCTGGTCCTGCAGGCGCCTGGGGGGAAGGCACCGGCCTGAGGTGTGGGCACCCTCGCCCCCCAGGGAGGAATGCCCGGGGCTGGTCCCATAGGTGCCTGGGGGAAGGCACCAGCTTGAGGTGTGGGTGCCCCTCGTCCCACAGGGAAGAGGGCCCGGGGCTGGTCCCATAGGTGCCTGGGGGAATGCACCAGCCTGAGCTGTGGGCACCCTCGCCCCCCAGGGAGGAATGCCCGGGGCTGGTCCCATAGGTGCCTGGGGGGAAGGCACCAGCCTGAGGTGTGGGCACCCTCGCCCCCCAGGGAGGAATGCCCGGGGCTGGTCCCATAGGTGCCTGGGGGAAGGCACCAGCCTGAGGTGTGGGTGCCCCTCGTCCCACAGGGAAGAGGGCCCGGGGCTGGTCCCGCAGGCTCCTCGGAGGAGGCACTGGCTCGAGGTGTGGGCGCCCCTCGTCCCCCAAGGAAGAGTGCCCGGGGCTGGTCCCGCAGGTGCCCCGGGGAGGCACCGGCCTGAGGTGTGGGCACCCTCGCCCCCAGGTTCTACTGGGACTTCACCATGCTGCTGTTCATGGTGGGAAACCTCATCATCATCCCAGTGGGCATCACCTTCTTCAAGGATGAGACCACTGCCCCGTGGATCGTGTTCAACGTGGTCTCGGACACCTTCTTCCTCATGGACCTGGTGTTGAACTTCCGCACCGGCATTGTGATCGAGGACAACACGGAGATCATCCTGGACCCCGAGAAGATCAAGAAGAAGTATCTGCGCACGTGGTTCGTGGTGGACTTCGTGTCCTCCATCCCCGTGGACTACATCTTCCTTATCGTGGAGAAGGGCATTGACTCCGAGGTCTACAAGACGGCACGCGCCCTGCGCATCGTGCGCTTCACCAAGATCCTCAGCCTCCTGCGGCTGCTGCGCCTCTCACGCCTGATCCGCTACATCCATCAGTGGGAGGAGGTGAGGTGGGGCGGGGGCGGGGCCAAGGCAGCAGGGGCGGGGCTATAATGGTGCATGGGCGGGGCCAAGGCAGCAGGGGCGGGGCTATAATGGTGCATGGGTGGGGCCAAGGCAGCAGGGGTGGGGCTATGAGAGATCTGGGTGGGGTCAAGGCCCCAGGGGTGGGGCTATGGGAGATCTGGGTGGGGTCAAGGCCCCAGGGATGGGGCTATGAGAGATCTGAGTGGGGTCAAGGCCCCAGGGATGGGGCTATGAGAGATCTGGGTGGGGTCAAGGCCCCAGGGGTGGGGCTATGGGAGATCTGGGTGGGGTCAAGGCCCCAGGGATGGGGCTATGAGAGATCTGGGTGGGGTCAAGGCCCCAGGGGTGGGGCTATGAGGGTGCAGGGGTGGAGCTACAATGGTGCAGTGGTAGAGCCAAGACAGCAGGGGTGGGGCTATCAGGTTGCTGAGCAGGGTCGAGGCAGCAGGGGCAGGGCTATGATGCTGCTGGGGTGGAGTCAAGCAGCAGGGGTGGGGCCGTGATATCTGGGTGGGGTCAAGGAGCAGGGGCAGGGCTGTGAGGGTGCTGGGCGGGGTCAAGGCATCAGGGGCGGGGCTATGAGGGTTGTGCTGAGCGGGGTCAGACATCCGAGTGGAGATATGAGGGTTGTGCTGGGCGGGGTCAGGCAGCAAGGGCGGGACTATGAGGGTTGTGCTGGGCGGGGTCAGGCAGCAGGGGCGGGGCAATGCGGGTTTTGCTGGGGCAGGGCCAGACATCAGGGGTGGGGATATGAGGGTTGTGCTGGGGCGGTGTCAGACATCAGGGGTGGGGAGCTGTGGATTTGGGGGGTGTCCTAGGGCGGGGGCTGTGGATTTGGGGGGGTCCTGCAGTGAAGGCTGTAGAGGTGGGCGGGGTCCTGGGGTGGGGGCTGTGGGTTTGGAGGGCGGGGGTCCCGGGGCAGGGCTGCAGGGTGGGGCGGGGGTCCTGTGCGGGGCCTTGGATTTGGGGGAGGGGGCCAGGAGCTCCCGCAGTGGGGGCGCACGGGGCTGGGGCTCTGAAGGTGGGGGCCGGGGGTCAGCGGGTAGGGTGGGCTCACGGCGCCTTCCTGCAGATCTTCCACATGACCTATGACCTGGCCAGCGCGGTGATGAGGATCTGCAATCTCATCAGCATGATGCTGCTGCTCTGCCACTGGGACGGCTGCCTGCAGTTCCTGGTGCCTATGCTGCAGGACTTCCCGCGCAACTGCTGGGTGTCCATCAATGGCATGGTGGTGAGCGCCGCGGGCCCTGACGGAGGGGGAGACGCAGGCTCCCATACAGAGGGGGGACCCAGGCCCCCTTATCCCGCTTACAGAGGGTTGAACCCAAGCCTTTCAGAGGTGGGGACCCAGGCGCCCCCTTATGGAGGGGAGGACTCGGGCCCTTACAGAGGTGGGGACCCAGGCGCCCCCTTATGGAGGGGAGGACTCGGGCCCTTTCAGAGGCGGGGACCCAGGCGCCCCCTTATGGAGGGGAGGACTCGGGCCCTTACAGAGGTGGGGACCCAGGCGCCCCCTTATGGAGGGGAGGACTCGGGCCCTTTCAGAGGTGGGGACCCAGGCGCCCCCTTATGGAGGGGAGGACTCGGGCCCTTTCAGAGGTGGGGACCCAGGCGCCCCCTTATGGAGGGGAGGACTCGGGCCCTTACAGAGGTGGGGACCCAGGCGCCCCCTTATGGAGGGGAGGACTCGGGCCCTTACAGAGGTGGGGACCCAGGCGCCCCCTTATGGAGGGGAGGACTCGGGCCCTTACAGAGGTGGGGACCCAGGCGCCCCCTTATGGAGGGAAGGACTCGGGCCCTTACAGAGGCGGGGACCCAGGCCGCCTTACAGAGGGAGAGACACAGGCCCTTCAGGGGTGGGGACAAGACCCCCTTACACGGGAGGACTCAGGCCTCTTTACAGAGGGGGACCCAGGACTGCAGCCCCGGCACTGGCCCCTTAATGTCCCTGGGGGTCTGAAACAGCCACTTGGAACCTTTCAGGCCTGGGATCATCCGTGGAGAGAAGCTGAGTGTGGTTATGATGAGTCCTGTCACCCAGACATCTGCTTAGCGCGTTTTCCAATGGATTTCCCTTTTAATTAACCCACATTAATTATTATTATTTTATTTACTTATTTTTTTTTGAGACTGAGTTTCACTCTGTCGCCCAGGCTGGAGTGCAGTGGCACGATCTCGGCTTACCACAAACCCCACCTCCCAGGGTTCAAGGGATTCTCTCGCCTCAGCCTCCCGAGTAGCTGGGACTACAGGCGCCCGCCACCACACCTGGATAATTTTCGTACTTTTAGTAGAGACGGGGTCTCGCCATGTTGGTCAGGCTGGTCTCGAACTCCTGACCTCAGGTGATCCGCCTGCCTCGGCCTCCCAAAGTGTTGGGATTACAGGCGTGAGCCACCGCGCCCGGCCTGGTTGGATCCCTTGAGCCCAGAAGTTGAGGCTGCAGTGAGCCATGATTGCACCACTGCACTCCAGCCTGGGTCACAGAGCAAGACCTGATCTCTAACAACTAAAGAAAAATTTACAACATGGCCCTGAATTGGGAAAGTGGTATCACCATGCCAAAGAAATAATAAATGGGCCAGGCATGGCTGCTCATGCCTGTAATCCCAGCACTTTGGGAGGCTGAGGCAGGCGGATCACCTGAGGTCAGGAGTTTGAGACCAGCCTGACCAACATGCTGAAACCCCGTCTCTACTAAAAATAAAAAATTAGCCAGGCGTGGTGGCGCGCACCTGTAATTCCAGCTACTGTAGAGGCTGAGGCAGGAGAATCGCTTGAACCCGGGAGCAGAGGTTGCAGCGAGCTGAGATCACACCATTGCACTCCAGCCTGGGCAACAGAGCCAGACTTTGTCTCAAAAAAAATAAATAAAAATAAGTAAAAGCAAAAGGAAGAGGCCGGGCGCGGTGGCTCACGCCTGTAATCCCAGCACTTTGGGAGGCCGAGGTGGGGCTGATCACCTGAGGTCAGGAGTTTGAGACCAGCCTGACCAACATGGAGAAACCCCGTCTCTACTAAAAATACAAAACTAGCTTGGCGTGGTGGCGCATGCCTGTAATCCCAGCTACTTGAGAGGCCAAGGCAGGAGAATCGCTTGAACCCGGGAGCGGAGGCTGCCGTGAGCCAAGATCGTGCCACTGCACTCCAGCCTGGGCGACAAGAGCGAAACTCCGTCAAAAAAGAAGGAATAATAAATGAAGTTAGGTCCCAGATACTCCTTGCTTCCTAGCTGAGATGTGCTGACTGTTAAGAAGGGTTAGTTATGGGAGCCCTCGGCCGCTACAGTCAGGTTAGTGGCCAGTGAGCCTTTGTCCCTGCCTGGGGAGTGCTGTGCCCCAGCGTCCAGCCACATATGGGACTTGGGATGTGTTTGGTTTGGACACAGAGCAGGTGGGCATTGATGGGGTCAGGAGCTACAGAGGGAAGACCCGCCAGTGCCCCTCCCCAGAGCCTGGCACAGCTGCCCAGGCTGAGGCAGCCCATTGTCTGGCTGCCACCCGCACATGCGGTCCCATTTCCTGAACAGAGCCCCGCGGCTCCCCTTTCCCGGCCGGGTCAGCTGAGGACTTGGTGCGGCAGGACCTCCTGGGCCGGCCTGGTGTCTCTGCCCGCCCTGCCCCTCTGCTCTGGCCCAGATGCTCCCTGGAACTTTTGCCCCCTCTTGACCTCACAGATGCTCTGATCTCAGAGGCTGCAAAAGGCGGGACCCAGACTCTCGCCCTTGGGGTCTCAGTTTCCCCAGGAGTGAAGCGGGCAGGTAGAATCAGCCCTGGCCCTCCTGCCAACTCACTGTGACAAGTGTGCAAACCATGTCATCTACCTGGGTCTCCATTTCTCTTGGTTACCTCTGAACATGGGGAGCTCACCACCTCCAGTGCTTGGCAGAGGGTGGGCGCTGGGCCCTTGAGGACCGAGGGCTCCTGGGGCGTGAGCACCTGCCCACCACCGCCCCTCCTGCTGGCCTTGCAGAACCACTCGTGGAGTGAACTGTACTCCTTCGCACTCTTCAAGGCCATGAGCCACATGCTGTGCATCGGGTACGGCCGGCAGGCGCCCGAGAGCATGACGGACATCTGGCTGACCATGCTCAGCATGATTGTGGGTGCCACCTGCTACGCCATGTTCATCGGCCACGCCACTGCCCTCATCCAGTCGCTGGACTCCTCGCGGCGCCAGTACCAGGAGAAGGTCTGAGGGAGGCGGGCCCCGGCCTGGGTTCTGATGGGGGAGGCGGGCCTGGATCTGGGGTCTGAGAGAGAGTCAGGCCAGGCCCTGGGGTCTGATGGAGGGAGGCAGGCCCGGTCCTGGGGTCTGAGGCTGGAGGGAGGCCTTGCCCTGGGGTCTGAGGGCGGAGGTAGTCCTTGTCCCGGGGTCTGAGGGGAGGGGCGGGCCCGGCCCCGGGGTCTGAGGGGAGAGGCAGTCTCAGCCCTTCACTCAGCTTCAAGTGGCGCGCTCAGGGCAGAGACCGCGTGATGGGGAGCAGGGGACCCTGGGGGTCTGTGGCTGTGATTAGGAGGAGAAACGGCCGGTGGTGAGAGGTTCTCTGACCCTGTGACAGGGAGGGAGGTCCAGAGCCTGGAGATGGACGTGGGGCGGGGGCTGGGGAGGGGATGCAGGCTGGGCAGGAAGGGGTGAGTTGGGATCAGGGCAGGACAGGGTCAGTCTTTGGACATCGGGAAGCCCCCGGGCTGAAGGGGCATTGCCAGGAGGCTGGGCCCACCTGGGGGTCTCTAGGCCGGCTCAGGATGGGGCTGGGTTAGGGAAGGGCCTGGCGGGGTCTGAGAGGCCTGGGGTTGCTTCAGGACACGCCGGTGGCCGGCAGTCAGGGCCAGGCTTCAGGGAGAGCAAGGCTGCCCCACTGCTCAGATGCGGCCTCTGGCCTGCAGCGTCCATTGGGTTAATCCTAGGCTTGGCAGTGGAGGGGACACGGGGGAGCTGGGAGGGGTGGAGGGAGATTAGGATTGGCCCCATTGGCAGCCCCTGGAGTTGGGCCTCATGCACCACTCTGTGCCTCAGTTTCCCCATGTTAGGCGGCTGGCTGGTCCTGGCTGGGAGCCAAGTGCCCCCCTCTCCCGCGCCCCGAGCAGTGGCTGGCTGGGTCAGCTGGGCCCCGTGCCAGGCGCCCTGCTGTCCGGAAGCCACGGGCCTCACACCCAAACATAAGCTGGTGCCACCACCCGCCCGCCGTCACGGGTTCCGCTGAGCTCAGGGCAGCTGCGGCCGGGCGGGGCTGGGGCGGAAGTGAGGCTGGAGCTGCCGGGGGGCACCGTCCTGGGGACAGCAGGGCCTGGCACCCCCGCCCAGCACCCACGCTCCCTTCCCTGCTCAGGAGGGGCTGACCCGATGGTTTCTGGAAAGATCATCAGGGAAGGGCCAGAGCCCCCGGGAAGGGGGTCCTGTGTGTCAGGGTACCTGGGGCCTCTCCTCGTAGAGTCAGGTGCCCACCCATTCCTCAGGGATAGGGTTGCTAGATAAAGTTCAGGGCACCCGGCCTGGTGCAGTGGCTCCTGCCTGTAATCCCGGCACTCTGGGAGGCCGAGACAGGCCGATCGCCTGAGGTCAGGAGTTTAAGACCAGCCTGAGCAACACGGCGAGACCTCATCGCTACAAAAAATTAAAAAATTAGCAGGGCAGGGTGGTGCACACCTGTAATCCCCACTACTCAGGAGGCCGAGGTGGGAGGATCCCTTGAGCCCAGGAGTTCAAGACCAGCCTGTGCAATATGGCGAGACCTCATCTCCACAAAAAATAAAAGAATCAGCCAGGCGTGGTGGCGCACACCTGCAGTCCCTGCTACTCAGGAGGCTGAGGTGGGAGGATTGCTTGAGCCCATAGGCGGAGGCTGCAGTGAGCTGTGATTGCACCACTGCACTCCAGCGTGGGCCACAGAGCGAGACAGTGTCTCAGAAAAAAAAAATGGAATTTATCATTGAAACGAATTCAACTTTGATTTAAATAGAAGCATGTTTATTTGCTCTTGTTGAATCTGGCCGCCCCTGTGTGTGGCGGAGGCCTGTCTCCCCGCTGTGGGCGGGGGCTTTGTCTGACCCAGCCCTGACCCCCCACAGTACAAGCAGGTGTGAAGGCCTATCTCCCCGCCACAGGCCGGGGGGCTGTCTGACCCACAAGCAGGTGCCCGTGTGCCCGCTGCAGGCTGGGGGCGGTGTCTGACCCAGCCTCGCCTCCCCACAGTACAAGCAGGTGCCCCTGTGCCCGCTGCAGGCCGGGGGCGGTGTCTGACCCAGCCTCGCCTCCTCCCCACAGTACAAGCAGGTGGAGCAGTACATGTCCTTCCACAAGCTGCCAGCTGACTTCCGCCAGAAGATCCACGACTACTATGAGCACCGTTACCAGGGCAAGATGTTTGACGAGGACAGCATCCTGGGCGAGCTCAACGGGCCCCTGCGGGAGGTGAGGCGGGCGCCGGGCGGGCGGGAGGCAGCCTCCGGTACAGGGCCGGCCTCCCTCTCCTGGAGCCCAGGAGCCGGTCCCTGAGGGAGGCGAGGTGCCTAGGCTGCAGCAGGAGGGACTCGAGCTAGACCTGCGTACACACCCTCCCCTCCCCGCCCCGTGAGCCTCTGCACCCCCAGGACCCCCGCCACCCCCGCCTTGCTTCCCGCTGCCCCCTTAGCAGAACTGCCTGGGTCTGTGCCTGACAGGGCGGGGCAGAAGCAGGGCAGGGGGTGGGGAGGGAGGAGCCGCAGAGGCCCCGCTGAGCACCAGGTCCTGGGGGCACTGAGGCTGATTGGAGCGGGTTTAACTCCCAGCTCTGTTCCGGTAGCCTGAGTGACCCTGGGCAAGTTTCCCAGGGTTGCGGGAACAAATACCCACAGGCTGAGTGGCTTGAACAGCGGAGATTCGGCCTCCCACCGTCCTGGAGGCCGGAAGCCCAACATCAAGGCGTGGGCCGGGCCGTGCTACCCCCCCGGAGCCCCTGGGGAGGATCCTTCCTGCCTCTTCCGGCGTCTGGGGCTCCAGGCGCCCTTGGCTTGCAGATTGATCTCCCTGATCTCTGCCTCCATCTGCTCACAGCCTTCTCCCCTGTGTGTCTCTGTCTCTTCTTGTAAATTCATCCGTCGTTGGATCAGGGCCCACCCGGTTCCTCGTGGCCTCGCCTTAACTGGGCCATGTCTGCAGAGACCCTATTTCCACATAAGGTCCTATTCACAGGAACCGGGGGTCAGGATGTCAGCCTGTCTTTCTGGGAGATGTAGTTCAACCCACAACACACATCAAACAGTTATTGAGCGCCGACTGCGTGCCCTGCCGTGTGCTTGAAGGTCCCACCCTCAGGAAGCGGGGCCTAGGGATGGCGGCCGTGATCACGCAGGCAGCAGAGAGCAGCTCTGGGAAGCGGGGAGGGACGAGGACGGGGAGGCGACATCAGCAAGGCCGTGTGTGAGCCAGGCAGGGTGTCCCCGGTGTAGCACCTGGCTCGGGCAGAGGCCCCGAGGAGGGGCTGGAGGAGCTGGGCGAGGAGGCGGGCAGGACGGGCCTGACACTAGGGACCTCGGGCCCCGGGAATGCCTCTGGGGGGGCGTGTACACCCGTTGCTCCCAGGAGGCACACACTGCGGTTCGCTTCGCCAAGAATGTTTAATTGCATTTGATGACTACGGTTTCCATTCATTCATTTGTAGAGATATAACACTCAGACCACAAAATGCATAAAATGCGGTGGCTTTTAGTATTAACAGAGTGCTGCACCCGATACCACAGCCTCACTCCAGAACATTCTCATGGGCCCAAAAGGAGACCTGGGGTGTTAGTCACCAGCTCACTCCCCGTCCCCAGCCCCTGGCAACCCACGCTACTTAGTCATTATTTAGGTGTTTAGGAGTTGCAAAGTCAAATCTTTAAACCCACATATGGCCAGGCGTGGTGGCTCACGCCTGTAATCCCAGCACTTTCAGAGGCCGAGACGGGCAGATCACCTGAGGTCAGGAGTTCGAGACCAGCCTGGCCAACATGGTGAAGCCCCGTCTCCACTAAAAATACAAAATTAGCCGGGCGTGGTGGTGGGCGCCTGTAATCCCAGCTACTCTGGAGGCTGAGACAGGAGAATCGCTTGAACCCAGGAGGCGGCGGTTGCAGTGAGCCGAGATTGTGCCACTGCACTCCAGCCTGGACAACAGAGCGAGACTCCGTCTCAAAAAAAAAAAAAGTACCAAAAAGTGCCCCAGGTCATAAGGGCACAGCTCGATAGCTGGTCCCTAAAGGGAACGTGGTGTAACCACCACACAGAACGAAGCTGGAACGTTCCTGCCGTCCTTAGAAGCTGCCTTTGCTAAGGGGAATTGCCCTGACTTCCCACACCATTGATTCATCTCCAGACCCTTGGTTTTCATGTTGATTTTTCAAAAATCACCTGATAGTCTGACCGAATGTAGCTTTCCACTGGTGTGTGTGTGTGTGTGTGTGTGTGTGTGTGTGTGAGAGAGAGATGGAGTCTCGCTCTGTCACCCGGGCTCCAGTGCAGTTGTGTGATCTTGGTTCACTGTAACCTCCTCCTCCCGGGTTCAAGAGACTCGTGCCTCAGCCTCCCGAGTAGCTGGGATTACAGGCACCCGCCACCACACCCAGCTAATTTTTTGTATTTTTAGTAGAGATGGGGTTTCACCATGTTGGCCAGGCTGGTCTCGAACTCCTGACATCAGGCGATCCACCCACCTTGGCCTCCCAGAGTGCTGGGATTACAGGTGTGAGCCACCACGCCCGGCCTTATTTTTCCCCCATTTTCTTTTTTTTTTTTTTTGAGTCAGGGTCTTGTTCTGCGCTCAGGCTGGAGGGCAGTGGTGTGGGGATCACGGCTCACTGCAGCCTCGACTTCCTGCACCACCACGCCTGGCTGTTTTTTTTTTTTCCGGTAGAGACGGGGGTCTTACCGTGTTGCCCAGGCTGGTCTAGAACTCCTGGGCTCAAGCGATCCTCCCGCCTCGGCCTCCGCAAATGCTGAGATCACACGCGTGAGCCCCCGCACCCGGCCTCCTTTCCACCGCTCTTGTCTACAGCCGCCCCTCCTGGTCCGATTGTATTGGCAGATGTCGCCAATACGGTGTCAAACGGCGAAGGGGCACTGAGCGTTTTTTCTTTCTCCCGTCCTTGGCGGCAGCAGCTCGGTTCCGGCTACGGGGCTGAGCCCGTCTCTCAGACGAGGAAACTGGGGTCCGAGAGGTGAGCCGGTCCCAGAGGCAGGGCGAGGGGGAAGCGGGAGTGGGGTCCGCAGCGGACCCAGCCCTGCCTCCCCCCTGCAGGAGATCGTCAACTTCAACTGCCGGAAGCTGGTGGCCTCCATGCCGCTGTTCGCCAACGCCGACCCCAACTTCGTCACGGCCATGCTGACCAAGCTCAAGTTCGAGGTCTTCCAGCCGGGTGACTACATCATCCGCGAAGGCACCATCGGGAAGAAGATGTACTTCATCCAGCACGGCGTGGTCAGCGTGCTCACTAAGGGCAACAAGGAGATGAAGCTGTCCGATGGCTCCTACTTCGGGGGTGAGCTTGAGGGGGGCGCGCCTGGAGGGGGAGGGGGCACGCGACCCCCGCGGTGTGCAGAGCCAGGGGGCCGGGGCCGGGGCCGGGGCCGGGGATGGGGATGGGGATGGGGATGGGGCCGGGGATGGGGATGGGGATGGGGATGGGGCCGGGGATGGGGATGGGGATGGGGCCGGGGATGGGGATGGGGCCGGGGATGGGGCCGGGGATGGGGCCGGGGATGGGGCCGGGGCCGGCACCAGGGAGAGCCTGGGTGGGAAGCGCCCACGCTGGCCAAGGTGCAGAGGCCGGGCCGTGTGCCTGGGCGGGGAGGGCCGCGGCGCCCGCCTCGTCCAGCAACCCCCCCCTGCGCGCCACGTGCAGAGATCTGCCTGCTCACCCGGGGCCGCCGCACGGCGAGCGTGCGGGCTGACACCTACTGCCGCCTCTATTCGCTGAGCGTGGACAACTTCAACGAGGTGCTGGAGGAGTACCCCATGATGCGGCGCGCCTTCGAGACGGTGGCCATCGACCGCCTGGACCGCATCGGTGAGCGGGCCGGGGGCGTGGCCGGGGCGGGTGCCCTGGCGGGGGAGGGGCGTGGCCAAGGCATCAGGAGAGTGGCTTGGACAGTGGCAGGGGGAAGGGCGTGGCTGTGGCATCAGGGGCACGGTTGGGGCAGAGACGTGGCCAAGGCATCAGGAGTGTGGCCATGGCAGCAGGGGCGTGGCTGGGGCAGGGGCAGCGGCTGGCCGCTCCTAGGACCCCTTTGGGTCTAGAGGCTGATTTTCTGACCTATTGTCCTACTTCAGCCAGAGGCAGCCTGTTTCCCAAGGGAGGGAATGCACAGGGTGTTTGCGGTTGTGCCGAATGCTCGGTGAGCACCTGCTGTGTGCTGGGGGTGCAGGGGACAGACCCGGGGGCCCACTCAGACTCCCAGGGAGGCTTATGGACTGGTGATGAAATCACACACGACTGGGCTGTGTGCCAGCAGGGCAGGTGGGGCCGGTGGGCTTCCCTGAGTTGGGAATGCAGAGTGGAGACCAGGGTAAGGGATGCCATGTGGAAACGGGGAGGAAGATGTGTTCGTGGAGTGGACACAGCACATCCCAAGGCCCTGAGGTGGAAAAGAGGCCTAGAGTCCAGAGAGCCAGGGAGGCCTGGAGGAGGTTGGGGAAGAAGGGGAGGCCAGACACACAGGGCCCAGTGGGCGGCAGGGAGAGTTTAGACTAAATCAGGAGCATCAGGGAGCCATGGAGGGTTCTAGGTGGGCGGAGGACCTGGTCAGATTGTATCCGCCAAGGCGGGCCGTGTCCAGGAGGGAGACGGTGACCTGGCCTCTCAGGGGGGCAGTCTCTGGGGCAGGGAGGGGCAGAGCCCTGATGACTGGATGTAGGCGCCAGAGAGATGGCGGCTCATGCTGCTGTTCGTGGGAATGGGAATGAAGACCATGGCTGAAACGCAGGACAGGTGCGACGGAGTGGTGTCAGGGAGCTCCCTGGTGTACAGTAGGAAGCTCTCCACAACTTGCTCTATACAGTGAGTATGCAACCCGTTCCTGAGTATCAGGTGCTTAGGTTATAACTTCTGTATACAGCAGGTGCTCAGCACAGGCTGTGTACAGGCAGGTGTTTTCGGTATGCCTGTGGCACACTGGAGGCAGTCATTACATAATCAGCGTATACAGGTGGTACACATGCATACTTGGTGCACAGTGATACCTGCTCCATGTACACAGCAGGCATTAAATACCTGTTTACTGCCAGGCGCGGTGGCTCACGCCTGTAGTCCCAGCACTTTCGGAGGCCAAGGTGGGTGGATCACGAGGTCAGGAGATTGAGACCATCCTGGCTAACATGGTGAAACCCCGTCTCTACTAAAAAAAAAATACAAAAAATTAGCCGGGTGTGGTGGCGGGCGCCTGTAGTCCCAGCTACTCGGGAGGATGAGGCAGGAGAATGGTGTGAACCCGGGAGGTGGACCTTGCAGTGGGCCGAGATCGCGCCACTGCACTCCAGCCCGGGCGACAGAGCAAGACTCCGTCTCAGAAACAAAGCAAAACAAAAGCCCTGCTTTCTGTATGCAGGTGCTTCATGCATGCTGGCTGTGCATAGCAGGTGCTCAGCCTGTATATGGCAGGTACTCAATATCCATACTATAGGCCAGAGATGCTACATATGTGCTTATTGTATACAGTAGGTGGTAAATGCATGCTTGCTCTACACGGCAAGCACTGTGTGCGCACCCGCGGTGCAGAGTAGGTGCTCGGTGCCCGCTGTACGCAGCAGGCGCTCCCTGTGCACACGCTAACGCCCCCTCTCCCGCAGGCAAGAAGAATTCCATCCTCCTGCACAAGGTGCAGCATGACCTCAACTCGGGCGTATTCAACAACCAGGAGAACGCCATCATCCAGGAGATCGTCAAGTACGACCGCGAGATGGTGCAGCAGGCCGAGCTGGGTCAGCGCGTGGGCCTCTTCCCGCCGCCGCCGCCGCCGCCGCAGGTCACCTCGGCCATCGCCACGCTGCAGCAGGCGGCGGCCATGAGCTTCTGCCCGCAGGTGGCGCGGCCGCTCGTGGGGCCGCTGGCGCTCGGCTCGCCGCGCCTCGTGCGCCGCCCGCCCCCGGGGCCCGCACCTGCCGCCGCCTCACCCGGGCCCCCGCCCCCCGCCAGCCCCCCGGGCGCGCCCGCCAGCCCCCGGGCACCGCGGACCTCGCCCTACGGCGGCCTGCCCGCCGCCCCCCTTGCTGGGCCCGCCCTGCCCGCGCGCCGCCTGAGCCGCGCGTCGCGCCCACTGTCCGCCTCGCAGCCCTCGCTGCCTCACGGCGCCCCCGGCCCCGCGGCCTCCACACGCCCGGCCAGCAGCTCCACACCGCGCTTGGGGCCCACGCCCGCTGCCCGGGCCGCCGCGCCCAGCCCGGACCGCAGGGACTCGGCCTCACCCGGCGCCGCCGGCGGCCTGGACCCCCAGGACTCCGCGCGCTCGCGCCTCTCGTCCAACTTGTGACCCTCGCCGACCGCCCCGCGGGCCCAGGCGGGCCGGGGGCGGGGCCGTCATCCAGACCAAAGCCATGCCATTGCGCTGCCCCGGCCGCCAGTCCGCCCAGAAGCCATAGACGAGACGTAGGTAGCCGTAGTTGGACGGACGGGCAGGGCCGGCGGGGCAGCCCCCTCCGCGCCCCCGGCCGTCCCCCCTCATCGCCCCGCGCCCACCCCCATCGCCCCTGCCCCCGGCGGCGGCCTCGCGTGCGAGGGGGCTCCCTTCACCTCGGTGCCTCAGTTCCCCCAGCTGTAAGACAGGGACGGGGCGGCCCAGTGGCTGAGAGGAGCCGGCTGTGGAGCCCCGCCCGCCCCCCACCCTCTAGGTGGCCCCCGTCCGAGGAGGATCGTTTTCTAAGTGCAATACTTGGCCCGCCGGCTTCCCGCTGCCCCCATCGCGCTCACGCAATAACCGGCCCGGCCCCCGTCCGCGCGCGTCCCCCGGTGACCTCGGGGAGCAGCACCCCGCCTCCCTCCAGCACTGGCACCGAGAGGCAGGCCTGGCTGCGCAGGGCGCGGGGGGGAGGCTGGGGTCCCGCCGCCGTGATGAATGTACTGACGAGCCGAGGCAGCAGTGCCCCCACCGTGGCCCCCCACGCCCCATTAACCCCCACACCCCCATTCCGCGCAATAAACGACAGCATTGGCGCCAAGCCTGGCCGCGTGTGATTGCCCGAGACCCGCAGGGCGTGCACCCTTCCTGAAGACAGTGGCTCCTGGGGGTGGCAAAAGAGCTTTATTTACACACTGACAAGGCTCACGGGGTGTCAGCTGAAGAAGTAGGTGGAACGCTTCACCTGCTCCAGGTCGAAGGCCCCTGCGGAGGAAGCAGAGCGGACGGCGTGGGTGGCGGGAAAGCCCCGCCCTGGCCCGCAGTTCGAGCCACCCTTGCGAGGCTGCCCACCCGCCTACCTGGCTTGGGCACCGCCTGCAGTGTCTCCTTCAGCTGGCTGGCCTCCAAGATCTTCTGGGGCCTGGGGTTGGAAGCAGGGTGGGGTGAGGCTGAGGCCAGGTTTTGGGGTGGGGGGGGAATCCAGGTAGTTGGGGTCAGGGAGCGCCTTACTCAGAGCAGAACCGCTTGACCAGGAATCTGGACAGGTCCTGCAGGATGGGCTCGCTGTGCAAGCGGACAAACTGCTCCCGGCACACCTGGGCAGGAGTCAGAGGATCCCCAGGGGTGATCAGGCAGGCTCTGGGCACCACCCCTACCCAACGCCCCAGTGTGGGGGCCCCACCCATGGGTGGACTGAGGCTCAGACTACGGGGGCACCTGGTTCATGACGGAGACATCAGCTGCGTGAGTCCAGTAACAGTCGTGCACAGAGACGAAGGTCAGGCCCTTCCTGTGGCAGAGCGGAGGACTCCTGAAGGGAGGGGAGCTCACAGGGCCACCCAGTGACCAGCATCCTGGCCCTGCGCTCAGCCCCCTCCACTTGAGGTCCAGGGAAGCCCACCCTCCTGCAGGCCTCGCCCCACCCCTCGCCCCGCCCCTCCCCAAACATCCTGGGTTAGGTATCAGTACAGGGGGAGGAAATGTTCCCAGAAGCCTCCTCGCCCCACCCCTGCCGCCCCCCACGCTGCTGTGGGAGCCTCAGCTCCGAGGGCGGCTACGAGGTCCCCTCCTGCCAGGGCCACCACCCCGCATCCTGAGCATTCCCAGCTCCCGTGGCCGGTAGATTCTGCTGGAACGACCTCCACGTGCTCCAGATCTAACCACACATCGCGGTGCCAAGAAATGCCCAGCAGGAAGGGGCAGCGCCCATGCTCGGCTCTCCCTGTCGGGCCACAGGAGGGGAGCTGCCAGGACCACCTACATTCGGGGCACACAGCCTCAGGGCCTCTACACAGGCCCCACAGACACAGCAGATCCACTCTGCCCAGTCCCTGCCCCCAGCTAGACCCAGCCTTGCCAGCTGTGCCCTGCTAGCCAGAAGACGCCCCTGGGAGGCGAGCGGCACCCACGCCGTCCGGAGACGCCCACCTGTAGCAGTGCAGGGCGGTGAGCATCATGTGGGAGGAGTCCAGCGAGTGGATGAAGTTGGGCGGGAAGCCGTTCTTCTGCTTACGTGTGTTGGGCTTTCTGAGGACGGAACAGGTGCCGGTGGGGGCGGCCCAGGGACACCCCTAACTGGCCGCTGTCTCCACCGTGGCTGCTCTCCAGACCCCCGGCCAGGCCCCAGCCCGGGCCCCCCACTCACCGGCTGATGTCTCCGTTGTGGGTGTAGGTGATGCTCTGAATTCCACCTCCTATTTGCTAAAAAGGGGAAGGGGCCGGTGAGTCCCACCCGAGGCCCAGCACGGTGGTGGTACATTGAGGTGGTGGTACACTGGGGTAGTGGCACGCTAGGATGGTGGCACACTGGCGCGGGATGGGGTGGCACACTGGGGCGGTGGTACACTGGGGTGGTGGTACGCTGGGGCACTGGTACACTGGGACGCTGTTACACTGGGATGGTGGCACACTGGGGAGGGATGGGGTGGTACACTGACCTTGACCTTGGAGTCCAGGCGATAGGGCTGGATGACGGGGACGCCCAGGGGTGTGACCCACTCCACCACAGAGCCCATGTGGGAGATGAGGCGGGCACTCTCGGTCAGCCAGTGCTGTGGGACACAGGCCGTCTCAGGGCAGGGGGCTCAGGCCGGGGATCCCGTCCACTTGCTTAGGGAGTCCTGGCCGAGCGGGGACAGGACAGGACGTACCTGGATGGCCCGGGTCCCCGAGAACATCTCCTGTAGACTCTTGAAGACCTGGCGTACGAGATAGTGAGAGGCCTCCCACACGAACTCCTGCAGAGGGCGGGCAGCAGGTGCAGGTCCTCAGGGGCTGGCCCGTTCACGCCCTACTCCCCCCTATTTCAGAGCCACTGAGGCCCAAGGCCTAGGGCCTAGCAGGGGGGCAGGGGAATGGGGCCTGGCGCCCACGCAGTCAGCAAGAAACGCCCAAGCCCTAACAGGCAGCCAGTGGTCTGGGGGAGCAGCCAGGGCTCCTGCTGGGAGGCTGGGTCGGGGGCACACCCGTCTGAGTTTTAAATGGCAGTGAAACCAACGTGTTCGCAGCGCGACATGCCTGGCGCACCTGGGGAAAGTCGCTCAGCTCCCGGAGGCGCTTCTCAATCTGCAGGCGCCCGCCATAGCGCGTGACCCCGTACACCACCGTCATCACCGTCTGCTTCACCACCTTGCGGGTGATGAAACCTTCCAGCACCTGTGCCACCCGCATGCCCCGCTGGGCGTCCTGCCTACGGAACACCTCCACCTGCACGGCGGGTGGGCCGGGGGCGCGGGTCAGCCCCGCTAGCAGCCCAGGGGCCACCAAGCACCCATGAAGCCCCCGCCCCAGCCCCACCACATCCTCAGGACAGGCCAAGGTGAGGGCACCTGGGGCCGAGACTCAGGGCTCACATTGCCCCCACGCCGAGATGCCCCCGGGCAGCAGGGCACACCCTACCTGCGCGGCCACGCCGCTGTACACGTCCTGCGGCACATCCGAGGGCTCCAGGTTGACGGAGGCGGCGCCCACGCTGTCGCGGCCCAGAGCAGCATAATGCTGCAGGCCGTTGCAAGAGCCGTCCTGAGGAAGGGGCGGCAAACGGGAGATGGAAGCTAGAGAGGCAGAGACGTGTGGGACCCCAAACCACCCCCCAGGTCGAGCCGTTCCTAGGGCCGTGCACCCCCCAGCCAAGTGCACCGGAGCCCCCGCACGCTCCCGGGAGAGACCAGGAGCCATGGCTCCCGCACACTCTAGGACCACCTCCAGAGAATACCACGAGCGAAGGTGAAATCTCACACCCTCAAGTCGAGCCCCAGGCCCAGTGCACACTGCACGGCCTCGGGGGCCAGACCCAGCTGGCTCACCTGATGGACGGGGAGGTGGGAGACATAGGCGGCAGGGTCGGAGGCGCGCACAGCGTTCGCCACCTCCATACAGCAGGCCAGCGTCTGCCAGGGTTCCTCCGCGCCCATCCACCACTTTCGGCCCTGCGGGGACAGCGGATGGGGGGCAGTGAGGCCCGGGCCCGATCCCTGAGCCCGCTGGGAGGCTGTGTTGCGGGGAGGTGGGAAATGGGGAGGAGACGCACACCCGTGATAGTGAACACGGGACGCATGTGGGCGAGAGACGGGGCGGTGGCTGGATGAGTTCTCCATAGCCACGGATGGAGGATGGGAGCTGCGGGTGGACCGGGCTGAAACAAGCGTGTCCGGAGCTGCCGGGGGAGGAGGGTGGACAGAGGACCTGGGGGCGCCGGGGGAGGAAGCAGCTCGGCGGATGCAGGGGAGGGGGGAACGTGGGGAACGCGGGGGCCCTGGGGCAGGGGAGAAGGGAGAAGCAGGACGGGCAGGGGGCGCGGGGGAGGAGAGCGGGCGGGGGACGTGGGGGCGCCAGGGGAGGGGGAGGGGAGGAGGAAGACGGGCAGGGGGCGCCAGGGGAGGGGGAGGGGAGGAGGAAGACGGGCAGGGGGCGCGGGGGCGCCGGGGGAGGGCGCGGGGGCGCCGGGGGAGGGCGCGGGGGTGCCGGGAGGGCGGGGAATGCGGGGGCCCCGCCCCTACCGTCAAGGGTTGGTCCGCGGAGTCCAGGATGTCATCCATCACCTCCTCCGCAAAGGCCAGGCGCTTCCGCAGCGGCTCCCGCTTCTTCAACCCCGTGAGATTGACCAGGTGGATCTTGAGCCAATCCAGGCCGTGCGGGCCGAGCGGGCGGCCCTGGGCGAACTCCAGCAGGGCCCGCGCCACGTCGCTGCCCAGGTGGTTGAAGTGCGGCGGGCAGGGGTAGGTGCGGCCGCGGAAGTCCATGTTGTGCGGCAGCCAGAAGACGCGGTCCCGCAGGTGCTGCGCCAGCGAGAGGCGGTACAGCGCCTCCGCCCGCAGGCTGTGCATCTCCCGGGCCACCTTCTGGCAGTGCGCCAGCTCACGGCGCAGCTCGGCCTTGCGGGCGGGCGCGGCGCTGTGCGGCAGGTGGGCCTCGGGCGGCTGGGGCGCCTCGGAGGGCGGGGCCGGCACGCCTAGCTGGGGGCAGCCCTTGGCCTGGAAGAGCTGCAGCACCAGGTCCAGCACGCGCCCGTTGACGCGCCAGGCGCAGTTGCCCAGTTGGGTGAGGGCGTCCAGTGCGCCATGCAGCGCGGTGGGCGGGCAGGTTTCCAGCAGCTCCTGGTGCTGCGTGGCGCCTTCCACCGTGCGCATCAGCTTGGTGGGGCTGAGCAGGAAAGCACCAGAGTGCGGCGATGTCCAGGGCAGCGGGGGGCAAAGCATGGGTACATCCACCGCCTCGAAGGTCAGCGTGGGCTCCGCGGCCTTCTCCAGCAGCTGCACGTAGGCCGGGTGCGGCTTCAGGATGCCGATCTGGGGTGCGACAGGCAGACGGGTCAGGGCCCCGGTGCTGGGGCTTTCCTGTTCCCACCCCTTAAACTTGGGTGAGAGGGGCCGGCTCCCCGGCCAACAAGAAACCAGTGTGGCCTCCCACGAACAGAAGCCACCTCCAGAAACGGCCGGACACCTGCATGGACACCCATGGTGTGTCCCGAGTCCTGGGAGGTACTGACGGCTGCGCTGAGATCAAGGCTCCGCCCAAAGGCGCCAACCCCATGGGGTCCCTGGTCCTCCCAGCGGGATGCCCCCCAGCTCAGGAGGGCACTGCCTGGCACCTGCTGGACGTTGCGGAAGGAATACACGTGGTAGAGCACGGGGACAAGCCGAGAGGAACGATGCGGCTTGTCCAGGCTGCATGGCATCTGCGTAGCCTGCACCAGCATCTCCGCCAGCAGCTTGCCCAGCTCCATCTGCACTGGCAGGGGCCAGGGCTGCTCCCGCAGGGCCTCGGGCGCCCCCAGCTCCTCCCAGTACTGCCGCGGCAGGCAGGGCTCGGGCACCTGTAGGACAGGGCGGTCAGGGCGCTGGGCACCGGGGCCCCTGAGCTAGATGCCCCACCGCCCGTGCCTGACGCCCGGTGGGGCATCTGTCAGCCCAAGCATACAGATGAACAGACTGAAGCTTGGGTGCAAACCCGGCTGCTCCAGGGAGGGAGAGCGCCCACCCACCACTGGCCCCAGCCAGGAGGAGAGGGGGTGCGAGCCTCACCTCGGCGTCGGAGGCCAGCAAGCAGAGGTACTTCCTGTAGTGGTTCTGCAGCGCCTGCACCTGGCCACTGACCCGCTGCCTCTGCACCACGTGCCGGCTGAAAGTGCGCGCACTCAGCTCCCGGGCCAGGGTGGTGAAGGACTCACCTTGGGCGGGCAGCGCCTGCAGGACCTGCGGAAGGCAGCCGTGAGTGCCTGCCCGCCCCGCCCGGGGACCCGGCCGCGCGGAGGAAGACGCACCTGCAGGAGCATCCGCACCACCTCGCGCTCGTCCAGCAGGCACAGGAAGGGGTAAAGTGAGAACCGGCCCTCGTACACCTCGCGCTCTAGGCGGTTCTTGGTCTCCCGCAGCGCCCGGCACAGTGCTTTCTCCCATTGGTCCCGCAGGGTCTTCAGGGTCTTCCGCTGCGGGGGATGAACGGGCCCGGTGAGCCCCGTGGCAGCTGGTGGGACCCAGGCTCACAGGACGGGGGTCACCGCAGCTCCCTGCAGAGACCTCATGGCCCTCAAGGTCCCTGCTGTGTGTTCCGGGTAGCTCCTCACCCCGGCCTGCCCTCTGCCGGCTTCAGCGTGCCTGACGCAGCCAAGAGCAAAAGCCCAGCTGCAGTGTGCGCAGAAGCACAGGCCAAGACCCAACCTCGGGACCCCACAAGTTTTCCCTGAGCGGCAGCCAGGCTGAGTTCCTAGGCCCTGCATGACCAGACCAGGGCATGAGCAATTCAACCGCATACACGGAGCTCAGCCCCTGCGGCGGACACGCGACCCCGGCTCAGCCCCTGCGGCGGACACGGGACCCCGGCTCAGCCCGTGCGGTGGACACGCGACCCCGGCTCAGCCCCTGCGGCGGACACGGGACCCCGGCTCAGCCCCTACCGCGTGCTTGACCTCCTTGCTTGGCAACGTGGGCTTCTCCACGGACACCACGCACACCCTGCTGGCCAGCTCCATGTGGAGCTGCTTCTCAAAGAGGCACTGCAGGGTCTTCAAGGGCAGGTGCAGCTTCGGGTAGGACACACGCCCATCCTGCAGGGATGGGGGTAGTGAGGTTGGGGGCTTGCCAGAGGGCGACCTGCCCTCCCAGGACCCCGAGACAGCATGGGTGCACGCGTTTCTGCGTCTCCTGCAAGTTGCTGGTGGCTATCGCTGACGCGGGGAAAGGCGGGCTGCGGGTAAAGTCAGTGCCAGCAGTGCAAACCAAAGGCCTTGACCCTCCTGGCCTCGACCCCTCTAGAAGGGACACTGGGCACCGTGCAGGGGGTGGCAGGGGCGGTGATGCTGGGAGCTGGCAGAGCCTGGGGAGACCGTTCACTGCACCCCCAGATGTTGGCTGTTTTCTCCTCAAACTCAGAACTGTATGAATGTGACCCATCCAGAAATAGATGAATTAAAAATAACAACTAAAGCCTAGCGCTTTGAGAATCAAAGACGCACGTCCACATAAAAGCTTGTACACAAACGTTCACAGCTGCATGACTCGCAGTCGATAAGTAGAAACAGCCCAACGTCCCATAAACGGACGAACAGACGGGCACGGCGCGGCCATCCACGCACCGGAGCATGACTCAGCCCTGACCCAGGTCGCCTCCCGGAGGCACCATGAGGACGTCACGCTCAGTGGGAGATGCCAAACACAAAAGGTCTCGCAGTGTGTGGTCCCATTTCTATGGAATGTCCAGAGCAGACTCATCCACAGATGGGGAGGGGATGGGGAGTGACGGGGATGGGGACGAGGCTTCCTTTTAGGGTGATGGAACATTCTAGAATTAGACAACCGTGACTACACTAAAATCGCTGAATTACACCTTTAAGAGGGTTTTATGGCAGGTGAATTACACCTCAGTAACAGACGAGCCCACTGCGTGCACCTGGCAGCCCCACTCAAACGCACTGCTCTCCTGTCACCCCACCCTCTCTCTGCGGCCCCCGACCACCTCGTCCCCCTGAGCCCACACCCTCAGGGCCAAGACCCTCCCAGCTCTGGGTCCTCCCATCTTCTCAGAGGAGGAAGGGAGGAATTCAGGGCCCAGCCCAGGTGAGCCCTGGGCACCGGGGAGGCCCATTGGTCTGAGCTGAGGCTCCAGGAACCCCCAAAGGGCAGCTATAAGGACTGAAGTCTGCCGGGGCCCACGTGGGCTCACCTTGGCATACACGTCCCTGAGCAGCTTGGAGGTGTTGACCGGGGGCGGCAGCTGCGGCGGGAGGCTGAAGGTGGGCTTCACCTTGTGCACGGCCTTCAGAACAGTGGCCCGATCCTCCTCAGACAGCAGAACGGCGGTGAAGAGTGCCTGCAGCTTCAGCCCCTCCTGGCTCATCTGTTCCAGACACCTGTGGTGCAGGCGGCCTGCTCGAGGGACGGGCCAGCCCCACGCTGGGCTTCCACAGACCCCAGGGGAACCTCGTGACCACCTCCTGCTAGCCTGCAGGTCTCGGTGTGGCTGTCAGGCCCTCTGGGGGTCCCCAGCCCCCAGCCCAGGCACCGTCCCAGATCTTAAAACCCTGGGAGGGACATGGTGGGGGGTGGGGGCCCTCCCGACACCACCTACCTTTCGATGGTCCCGGCGTCCTGGTCCTGCCTCCCCATGCACTGGAGGGCAGCCGCATAGGACAGCAGGTCCGGAGTCAAGCCGGCATCCTTCACCATGAATAACACATATACCAGCTCCTTGAAGGCACCCTGGGAGACCAAGCCAGGGTGAGGGTCTGGGGGGATGGCCCAACCTCCACATCCTCCCTGCTCCCTGGAGACCCCTTCTCTGTAGCCACCAGCTCAGCAGGGGACAGGGTCACCAGGCAGGAGTGGCCAGCTGGGCAGACCGATGCATCCCCCTGAGGTTCTGACACACAAGCTCCACCTGCAGAGGCAGCCGCATGGCCCGCCAGGTGGGACTGTGGGAGGTTCACGTTCCTCTGGGAGGCAGCTTGTTAAACCTCCAGATTTGTCAATTGTGTGGATCTTTTCAAAGGACTGACTTGGCTTGACTGTTCTCTGCTGTTTCTGCCTTCCATTTCATCGATTTGTTTTAATCTTTGTAACTTCCTCTCATCTACTTGCTTTAGGTTTAGTGACAGCTTCTTCTTCTAGTTTCCTAAGGTGAAAGGTGACGTATTTGGTCTGAGATGTTTCACTTTTTTTCCCCCCAAGATGGAGTCTTGCTCTGTTGCCCAGGCTGGAGTGCAGTGGCACAATCTCAGCTGGGCCGGGTTCTCTGCCTCCCAGGTTCCAGCACTTCTCCTGCCTCAGCCTCCTGAGTAGCTGGGATTACAGGCACACGCCACCACACCAGCTAATTTTTTGTATTCTTAGCAGATACGGGGTTTCACCATGCTGGCCAGGCTGGTCTCGAACTCCTGACATCGTGATCCGCCAGCCTCAGCCTCCCAAAGTGCTGGGATGACAGGTGTGCACCACCGCGCCCGGCCATCACCTTTCCGAATATAGGCATTTTGTGACTATAAATTACCCTGCGAGCACTGTGTCAGCTGCATCCCAGGACTTCTGACAGGTGGTGTTTTCATTTTCATTATCTCCAAGTGTTTTCGAACTTCATAGTTTACTTCTTCTTTGGAAATTTTATTTAATTATTTTTTTAGATAGAGTCTCGCTCTGTCGCCCAGGCTGGAGTGCAGTGGCGCAATCTCAGCTCACTGTCAACCTCCGCCTCCCGGGTTCAACCGATTCTCCTGCCTCAGCCTCCTGAGTAGCTGGGACTACAGGCACATGCCACCACACCCAGCTAATTATTTTGTATTTTTAGTAGAGATGGGGTTTCGCCCTGTTGGCCAGGCTGGTCTCCAACTCCTGACCTCAGGGGATCCACCCGCCTCGGCCTCCCAAAGTGCTGGGATTACAGGTGTGAGCCACCACGCCCAGCCATGTATAGCTTAAATATCCCCTGCAATTTTTTTTTTTTTCATTTAATTTTTGGCCAGGCACAGTGGCTCATGCCTGTAACCCCAGCACTTTGGGAGGCCAAGACAGGAGGATCACAAGGTCAGGAGTTTAAGACCAGCCTGGCCAACATAGTGAAACCCCATCTCCACTAAAAATACAAAAAAAAAAAAAAAAAATTAGCTGGGCGTGGTGGCTCATGCCTGTGCTCCCTCCACTAAAAATACAAAAAAAAAAAAAAATTAGCTGGGCGTGGTGGCACATGCCTGTAATCTCAGCTACTGGGAGCCTGGGGCAGGAGAATCACTTGAACGCAGAAAGCGGAAATTGCGGTAAGCCGGGATCTCACCACTGCACTCCAGCCTGGGAGACAGAAACTTTGCTGTCGACAGACTTGGAGACTCTGTCTTAAAATATACACACACACACATATATATATATATATAAAATAACATATATATATAATTTTTTTCTTGTATTCATTTTTCCTGACATCCCTGTTCTGAGCAATTTCTCCTTTGACCCAGTGGCTGCTTAAGAGTGGCCTGTAACTGTAACAGACTATTCCAAAGGGAAAAAAATTCCCTTACATCCTCCCACCCCATAGTCCTGCAGCTGAAGACATGCTGTGACATGAGGTGGCCACACACCAGAGACCAGAGACATGAGTTTTGGGGCATTTTTTTTTTTTTTTTTTTTTGAGACGGAGTCTCGCTCTGTCGCCCAGGCTGGAGTGCAGTGGCTCGATCTCGGCTCACTGCAAGCTCTGCCTCCCAGGTTCACTCCATCCTCCTGCCTCAGCCTCCCAAGTAGCTGGGACTGCAGGCGCCCGCCACCACACCCGGCTAATTTTTTGTATATTTTTAGTAGAGACGGGGTTTCACTGTGTTAGCCAGGATGGTCTCATCTCCTGACCTCGTGATCCGCCCGCCTCAGCCTCCCAAAGTGCTGGGATTACAGGCGTGAGCCACTGTGCCCGGCCGGTTTTGGGGCAGTTTCTAAACAACCTCTGTATGGTAGACCTCACTGGCCACACATAGTCCTTAAATTGAAATATTCAGTTCTTCCCTTTCACCAGCTTCAAGTGTTCAGTAGCACACACAGCTGTTGGCAGATGCGGAAAATTCCCAACATCATAGAAAGTTCTACTGGATGGTGCTGGTTAGAATACGTGGCCGGGCGCGGTCGCTCACGCCTGTAATCCCAGCACTTAGGGAGGCTGAGGCGGGCGGATTACCTGAGGTCAGGAGTTTGAGACCAGCCCGGCCAACATGGCAAAAGCCCGTCTCTACTAAAAATACAAAAATTGGCCGGGCGTGGTGGTGAGTCCCTGTAATCCCAGCCACTCAGGAGGCTGCGGCAGGGAGAATTATTGAACCCAGGAGGCGGAGGCTGTAGTGAGCCGAGATCATGGCACTGCACCCTAGCCTGGGCAACAGACAGAGAGTCTATCTCAAAAAAAAAAAAAAAAAAAAGATAGAAGCAATGCCTTAGCCTGGCTAACATGCTGAAACCCCACCTCTACTAAAAATAAAAATTAAAACAATTATCCGGGGGTGGTGGCACACGCCTGTAATCCCAGCTGCTCGGGAGGCTGAGCTCGCAGTCCAGCGACATCCAGGACTGCTGGCCACCCCGGAACGCTGGGAGAGGCAGGAGGGGCCCCTGCTAGAGCCTCTGGAGAGACTTCGGGTCTGCAGACATCTTGATTCCAGACTTCTGGGCTCGTGCTAAGAGTGCGTTTCTGCTGTGCAAGCCGCCAGGTTTGGGACACTTTCGTAGGGGCCGATCCCAAAAGCGCCCTGTTACAGTGTGGGCTCTCTGCCCAGGGAATCCAGGGGGCTTGTGACCTTGGAGGGGAAAATACACGACCCTCATCCTCAGTCCTCCCGGAGTCTGGCGCCCCCTGCAGCAAGGAGGAACCAGGCAGCACGCCGCCTCCACCTCGCGGTAAGAGCACTGCGGACTTCACCGCAAGACTGGCCCCACCTGATCCTGAATTTCGCTGTTTGATGCGTTAATAAAGAAGCACATCAAGTTCTCTACCACGAATTGGTCTTAATATTGCGATATCTGTATTTTAATATAATAGTATCCCATGTTTACCCAAATATTAAGAGAAGCTTTTACTGTTGTTTCTCAAATTAGGGCTGAAGGATCATGGGGGGGGAGAAAGCTGGGAACGTTTGCTGCTTTGAAAGGGTGTGTAAACAACACCCTCCAAAACAACCAAGAGTTCCGAGGAGAAACTTTGGCCGGATACGGTGGCTCACGCCTGTAATCTCAGCTCCTCGGGAGGCTCAGGGGGGCAGATCACGAGGTCAGGAGTTTGAGACCAGCTTGGCCAACACGGTGAAACCCCCGTCTCTACTCAAAATACAAAAATTAATCGGGGGTGGTGGCGGGCACCTGTAACTCCAGCTACTTAGGAGGCTGAGGCAGGATAATCACTTGAACCTGGGAGGTGGAGGTGGCCATGAGCCGAGATCGCACCACCGCACTCCAACCTAGTAACAGGGAGAGTATGTCCCAGAAAACAAATAAATAAACAAACAAAAAGAAAACGGCAAGGGAAATTGGAAAATACTCCAGATGAACCACAACGAAGATGGGTGGGATACATCTAAAGCTGTGCTCAGAGGGAATGCGGCGCCAGTGAACACCCACATTTCACACAGAAGGATCTCAGCACAGCAGCCCGACCTTCCACCTCAGGAAACCAGAAAAAGGAGCAAAGTCAACCCCAACACCAAAGCCTCATCCTGACGAGGGCTCTGCAGGCTGCCCCCCGACGAGGCCAAAAGCACCCCTGCCCAGACAGATTCACGAGCCCCGAGAAAGAACGGAAGGAAATGCTCAAGGCATTAGCAGAATTTCTCCCTACTTTTTTGGTCATTTTCAAAATTTGAGAGTCACACGTGATTTGTATTTGAAAAGCCTAAAAGAATTATTAAAATAAAAAACAAAGGACTTGAACCTGGGGGCTAAGAGAGAAAAGTCCAGTCTAAATGAGGGCAAGTTCCTGTCTCCAACGACCAGGGCAGGTGGCCCGGCTCCCGGCTGCACTCACCTGCCGCGCCCAGCCAAGCATCACGGCGTTGTACATGTCCAGCGTGAGCAGCTTCCGCTTCTGCCGCTGGCCGTGGTGGACGACCAGCAGGTGGTGGGCGAGGGGCAGCTGGTCAGTGAGCAGGCAGCACTTGAAGAAGGCCAGGAGCCTCTGCTGCTGACCTGAGAGCTGGGCCTGCGAGTGCTGCCCCGACGGGGCCTGCTCCACATCGAGGCTCAGCTTCCCAGGGGCCTCCTGCAGCAGCCGGGCCAGCTGCTCCTCCCAGGGGCTCTCGGGGGCCTGGCGCGTGCAGTCCTCCAGGCACCCGGCCATCTGCTTGCTCAGGAGCCGGGGCTCCACCTGCAGGCGCCTGGTCAGCGCCTTGAACTCCCCGCTCTGGAATGGCATCTGCAGCTTCGCCTTCAACCGCTGCATACGCATCTGCTGGGTCCGCTTATCCTTCTCCAGTATCTTTGCCCAGCGGCCACAGGGCACCGGGGTGGCATCCTTGGCCCCCATCTGGACCTTCCTGGGTGGCTGGAGGCTACCATCTCCACTGCCACATTCTGGGAGCCGCGCCACATCCACCCTGTTCACCACCACCTCCGACACGCTCTCAGCCTGCAGCTGCCGCACCCGCGCCTGGAGCACTGTGAGGGGCAGAAGGCGAGGACATGAGAGGGACCCCCTCCCCATTCGAGCACCCGTCTCTCTGGACCCTGAGCCAGGCCAGGAGGTGCAGGTGGCTGAGCTCGCTGGGACCCAAGGCGTGAATTCCTCATACTTGCCAACAACGTTGTAAGGTCTGCCCGCTGCTTTCCAGACACACGCACCCCACCACCTCCGCACCTCCCCACCCGAGCCTCACAGAACTCAGCAGCCCTAACAAGCTGCCACCGAAACCTGCAGCACCACGTCTCCCCGGTCACTGGCCGCTCAGACCCTCCAGGTGCACAGGCCCAGAACCCGGGGTCTGTGACAACTCCCTCCGTCCACCTCTCAGTACCTCCTCTGGGCTTGCCTCCAGAATCTATCCAGGTGGCCCCCGCCTCCCCTGCCCCTCTCACTGTCTAGCTCAGGGCCTCTGCACAGACTCCCAGGACCCTGAACCGCCCACTCCCTGGCTCAACCATGGCCTGCAAGTTCGCACCCCGCCTCAGCAAGACCCCCCCAGCTGGTGGAGCTGCCACACACACACTCCTAGGCTCCCAGTGTCTACACCGGTGGACGCTGAGCCACTAGCTCGCAGGGAAAACGCGGCTCCTGCTCGTGCCGCCTCAGGTTGCATTTTTGCCAACCAATCAATGCCTAAGTGTTCTGTATCTCTTTAAAGAAGCCTTGTTGGAAATCTATTGCTGGCCGGGCATGGCGGCTCACGTCGGTCATCCCAGCACTTTGGGAGGCCGAGGCAGGAAGATCACCTAAGGTCAGGAGTTCGAGACCAGCCTGGCCAACATGGTGAAACCCCGTCTCTATTAGAAATCCAAAAAATTAGCTGGGCGTGGTGGCATGTGTCTATAGTACCAGCTACTTGGGAGGCTGAGGCAGGAGAATTGCTTGAGCCTGGGAGGCAGAGGTTGCAGTGACTCAAGATAGCGCCATTGAACTCCAGCCTGGGCAACAGAACAATAATCCATCTAAAAAAAAAAGACTGTTGAAATAAGCCGGGTACAGGGCCGCGCACCTGTGGTCCCAGCTACTCCGGTGGCTGAGGTGAAAGAATCACCTAAGCCTAGGAGTTCCTGGCTGCTGTGAGCCGTGATCAGGCCACCGTGCTGCAGCCTGAGAGACAGAGCAGGACCCTGTCTCAAAAAAAAAAAGGGGGGGGGGGACCCAGGTGTCCAGATGTGGTGGCTCACGCCTGTAATCCCAGCACTTTAGGAGGCCGAGGCAGGCGGATCACGAGGTCAGGAGATCAAGACCATCCTGGCTAACACGGTGAAACCCCGTCCCTACTAAAAATACGAAAAATTAACCGGGCGTGGTGGTGCGCGCCTGTAGTTCCAGCTACTCGGGAGGTTGAGGCAGGAGAATTGCTTGAACTCGGGAGGCGGAGGCTGCAGTGAGCCAAGATCGCACCATTGCACTCCAGCCTAGCAACAGATTGAGAATCCGTCTCAAGAAAAAAAAAATTGCTGAAATAAAAAGACAAGCGTGATGTCCGCCTTCAGAGTGCTCCAAAACTCAGGAGATACTTTTAGGATTAACAGTTGAGAGCTTTGTTTTGTTTTGTTTTGTTTTTGAGATGGAATTTCCCTCGTTGCCCAGGCTAGAGTGCAATGGCATGATCTCGGCTCACCGCAACCTCCACCTTCCGGGTTCAAGCGATTCTCCTGTCTCAGTCTCCCCGGGTTCAAGCGATTTTCCTGCCTCAGCCTCCTGAGTAGCTGGCACTGCAGGCGTTCACCACCATGCCCAGCTAATTTTTGTATTTTTAGTAGAGACAGTGTTTCACCATGTTGGCCAGGCTGGTCTTGAACTCATGACCTCTTGATCCGCCCGCCTCGGCCTCCCAAAGTGCTGGGATTACAGGCGTGAGCCACCGCACCAGGCCTCGGACCCTTGACCTCTTGATCCGCCCACCTTGGCCACCCAAAAGTGCTGGGAGTACAGGCGTGAGCCACCGCACCAGGCCTCGAACCCCCGACCTCTTGATCCGCCCACCTCGGCCACCCAAAAGTGCTGGGATTACAGGCGTGAGCCACCGCACCTGGCCAGGTTTTTTCCCTTTATAAAGGTTCTCCCGCCTCTCCCTTCCCGGCTGCCTAATGGACGCAGACAGGATGTGGGACAGAAGCACCGGCGGGAAGCAAGCACAGGGAAGCTCCCACCTCCCTCCCACACCACCAGCCAGGCCAGGACGAGGGCCTGCCACCGCTGGAGCCTGGGCTGTCCCTCCCAAGTTTCGCAGTCATCCAGTCTCCATTAGGCGCCTACCCCCCAGAGCCAAGCCAGGACAGCTGAGTCAGTTCAGGGTTCACATCCTGGCTCTGCACATGTGGCCTTGGCGGCGGGGCCGGGGGGGGGGTCTCTCCAGACATAATCTTGGGCCTCACCTATGTCCCTGGAAAGTGGGAGCACCTGGTGGGGTTCTGGGGAGGGGGAATTACGAGAGCTCCAGGAAGGAGCCTGCTCAGCAAGGACAGGGCCCATGAGCGGTGCAAGAGATGTTTCAGCAACGCCGTCTGGGCGTGTCCTGGGACCCGAGAGGTGGAGACCGCCCTCAGCCTGTCTCAGAATCTGAGCCTTTGCCTTTTCTCCCGGCAGCAGGGAGCGGACTCTCCTCTCCCGGGCCGCCGTGGGGGTCGCGCTCACCCTCCAGCAGCTCCACGTGGCCCCAGTCCTTCCTGCGGTCTTGGTCTTGCTCCTGGGGGCTGGCGGACGAGCTCCTCCTGGGGCCGCAGACGCCACCGGCGGTCCCTGCGGGAAAGACGAGAGCGGCTGAGCGGGGCCGGGCGTGTGGGCGGGGGCCTCCATAAAGGCAGAAGCCGAAGGGTCGAAGGGCAAAGGAGCCCTAAACGCAGCGGAAACTCTCGGAGCACGGGCTTAAGTTGGAAAGAAACTAAGACAGCGAAGGTGGAAGGGCCCCGCCGCGGCGAACACGGGCGCGGAACCGCCGAGAGAGGGTTCCTCGCACTCGAGGTGCAGCAGGTCAAAGGTTAAGAGCCCTAAACACCACACCTGGGGTCAGGAGGCTGCATAAGAAACCACGAGTCAAAGGTCAGACTGCACGGAGGAGCCTCAGTCGAAAAGCGGGCAAGGGCGAGTGGAAAGCGGGGCCGGGTCGGTGGGCTGCGCACGCCCAGGTGCAAAGAGGCAAAGGTCAAAGCGCCAAAGGCCCCGGCCGCGCGGGGAGGAGCCCACGCCGTGGCCCCCGGGCTGCCTGGCCGTCTCCCTTTGTGTTACCTTCTTTGCCGGGGAGTCCCGGGCGGCCGCAAGGCCGTAGGGCTCGTTTGAGCCCCGCCGCTCCGCGGCCCCAGCAAAGTGCCGACATTACGCACGCCGCTCCAGGCCACCCCACCGGCCCGCGCCTGCGCATGCGCCCGCGCCGCCTGCCGGGAGTTGTGGTTTCATGGTCGACGGAGGCTGCGAAGGGAAACCCCAGCCGGAAGTAGACTCCCAGGATGCAGCGGAGGCGCGAAGGCATGCGCCGGTGGACGCTCTGATTGGTTCCTCCTGCTGTTTTTAAAGGGAGGGGGCGGGACAGAGCTGTTGCCGTGGCAACTGGGAGGCACTCTCAGGCTGTTTTCCCGAGGACCTCAAATCCGGACTTTTTTTCTGTTTTTCTTTCTTTTTTGGTTTTGTTTTGGACGCGTTGTGGCCCAGGCTGGAGTGCAGTGGCGTGATCATAGCTCAGTGCAGCTTCGAACTGCTGGGGTAAAGAGATCCTCGCCCCTCGGCTTCCCAAAGCGCTGGGATTGCAGACGCCGCCACCGTGCCCGGCTTTTTTTTTTTTTTTTTCAAGGCATACTCATCTAATAACGAGGACAGCATCTGCAATTTAGAGATTCCTGTCCGCAACCTTCATTGCTCCAACGACAACTTTTGGGTAAGAGTCATTAGGATGCCGTCTATCATGGAGGAAGCTGAGGCTCAGAGAGGGCCACCAAGTTGCTGGAAGACACAGCACGTGCGACCTCAGGGAGGCTGCAAGGAGAGAAAGCCCCAGTCCGCGAGACTCCCAGCCTCCAGCTTCAGTTTACCCTCCAATCCCCAAGCCCTCAGGGGCAGGAGCCGAATGGAGCGGCAGGCTTGGATTCACCTGCTAAGTGGGGTGAGGTCAAGGGAATGAAATAAACCTCGGAGCCTAGAGCCTGCCCTGGTCTCCGCGTGATCCTGCCTAGGAGGAGCAGGGCGGGAGCTTTAGAATGGAACCTGGAAGGTGTGCCCACCTGTGTCGTTCAGCCGGGGCAGCAGGCCAGAGGCGGGAGCGCCTGCTGTGGGGCAGTAGGCTTGGGAAGGGTGAGAATAGGAATATCTGGGGGTAACTGTGTTCCAGGCTAATATCCCAGTTGCAAAGGGGAGCTGGTTTGGTGGCTCAGGCCTGTCATCCCAGCACTTTGGGAGGCTGAGGCGGGCGGATCACCTAAGGTCAGAGTTCGAGACCAGCTTGGCAAATACGCAAGCATGCCTGGCAACATGGCAAAACCCCGTCTCTAGTAAAAATACAAAAATTATCCGGGGGTGGTGGCGGGCACCTGTAATCCCAGCTACTCGGGAGGCTGAGGCAGGAGAATCGCTTGAACCCGGGAGGCGGAGGTTGCAGTGAGCCAAGATCTCGCCACTGCACTCCAGCCTGGGTGACAGAGCGAGAACCTGTCTCAAAAAAAAAAAAGTGCAAAGGGAGGTCAGTTCAGTGCCTCAGGCCTGTAATCCCAGCACTTTGGGAGGCTGCGGCGGGAGGATCGCTTGAGCCCAGGAGTTCCAGACAAGCCTTGGGCAACCGAGATACTGAGACCCAGTCTCCACCAAAGGAAAAAAAGAAATTAGCCAGGCATGGTGGTGCACACCTGTGGTCCCAGATACTCGGGAGGCTGAGGCAGGAGGACTGCTTGAGCCCAGGAGGTTTAGACTGCAGTGAGCTGAGATGGCGCCACTGTACTCCAGCCTGGGTTGACAGAACAGGACCCTGTCTCAAAACAAAACAAGTGCAAAGGCCCTGAGGCAGGAACAAGCGTGGACAGAGGAGCAATTTGAGCAGAGTGGGGCTGGGGAGAGGGAGCAAAGATGTAGCTGGGGCTCAGTTAGGGGGCCTGACCACACGGGGGCTCGGGGGCCTCAGCTCAAGCTATCCTCCATCCCCAAACCCTGGCACTTCAGTTTCCCCATCAGCCCAGAACGAGGACTCGACCTCACTCTGGAAGGGCCTGGCAGCCTCCTTACAGCACATTCCAGACGCTGCTGCCGACGCCTGCGTGAGCGCACTGATGCCACCGGCTGGGAATGTTTTCGACAGACGGCAGCACCCTCCCTCACCTGCCTCAGTCCACCTCAGGGTGCCCCAGCGGGCTGTGACCTCAGACCTCACCCACTACTGGGGTCACCTGCCTGGCCCTGAATCAGCCAGGCCTGGTGTGCCAAGACCTACAGACACCCCCTGCACCCCTGCAGGCTGGCAGAGCCAGAAACTTGGGTGGAAACCGACTTCTGAACTATTTCACCATTCCTTATGCGTTAGTCTTTTCTTTTATTTGATGAGATCCCAGCACTTTGGGAGGCCGAGGCGGGCGGATCACGTGAGGTCAGGAGTTTGAGACCAGCCTGGCCAACATGGTGAAACCCCGTCTCTACTAAAAATACGAAAATTAGCCGGGCATGGTGGCCTGTGCCTGTAATCCCAGCTACTCAGGAGGCCAAGGGAGGAAAATCACTTGAACCTGAGAGGTGGAGGTTACAGTGAGCCAAGATCGCACCACTGCACTCCAGCCTTGGGCAATGTAGCCAAACCCCATCACTACAAATAATACAAAAAAATTTTGTTGGCTGTGATGGTGCCTGCCTGTGGCCCCATCTACTTGGGAGGCTGAGGTGGGAAGATGTAGAATTGCTTGAGCCAGGAGGCAGAGGCTGCAGTGAGCTGTGATTGAGCCACTGCACTCCAGCCTGGGCGACAGAGCGAGACCCTGTCTCAAAAAAAAAAGAACATAATCTGGGTTTTGGAATAAGACAGCAGTTTCTGAAACAGCTCATTGCCCAAATTCCAGCCTCGCAACTCTGTAGCCGCCACCACCCCCCAGCCCCACCATTTATTTTAACTACATCTGTCTCCACCACTCCTGTATTAAGTAAATGCAATATTGGCTGGTCATGGTGGCTCATGCCTGTAATTCCAGCACTTTGGGAGGCTGAGGCAGGCAGATCCCCTGAGGTCAGGAGTTCGAGACTGGCCTGGCCAACGTGGTGAAACCCTGTCTCCACTAAAAATTCAAAAATTAGCCGGACGTGGTAGTGGGTGGTGCCTGTAATCCCAGCTACTTGGGAGGCTGAGGTAAGAGAAATGCTTGAATCCAAGAGACTGAGGTTGCAGTGAGCTGAGATCTCGCCGCTGCACTCCAGCCTGAACGACAGAGCGAGACTCCGTCTCAAAAATAAATTAATAAATACAACATTAATTATTTTTCTTGCTTAAGTTTTACGAAGAGACTTAATATCACCATCAAAAGTGGGAAACCATATATCTGGCCGGGCGTGGTGGCTCCCGCCTGTCATCCCAGCACTACGGGAGGCCGAGGCGGGCGGATCCCCTGAGGCCGGGAGCTGGAGACCAGCCTGGCTAACATGGTGAAACCCTCATCTCCAATAAAAATAACAAAAATTAGCCGGGCATGGTGGGTGCCTGTAATCCCAGCTATTCAGGAGGCTGAGGCAGAAGAATCACTTGAACCCGGGAGGCGGAGGTTGCAGGGAGCCGAGATCACACCACTGCCCTCCGGCCTGGGCGACAGAGCGAGACTCTGTCTAAAAACAAAACAAAACAAAACCCAACCAAGCAAACCCCACAGAGTCGAGAATCGCTAGATGGAAGGGGATGGCCCAGGTCCCTGGAGCCCCTGTGACAAATTACCACAAACTCGGTGCCTTAAAGCAACGTTCATTTTCTTACATTTCTGGAAATGAAAAGTCCAAAATCAGGACTGCGGGGCTGAAGTCAAGGTGTGTGGAGGCCTCGCTCCCTCCAGAGGCCCTGGGGCTCCTTCCTGCCTCTCCCAGCTTTTGAAGGCTCCAGGTGTGCTTGGCCTGCGGCCACATCACTCCCGTCTCGGTCTCTGTGGTCGCACTGCAGCCTCCTCGTCTGCCTGTGTGAAATCTCCTCCTGTCTCCGTATTGTGACCGCGTTTAGGATGCCCCAGGACAATCTTCTCCATATCGTTCAGATCTTCATGGTGTCAATATATTGAGACTCTTTTTCCAAATAAGGCAAATGTCACATTCTAGGGATCAGGGTGGGGACTTACCTTTGGGCCAACCACAGAGGCTACAAAGAGGAAGACACCACTCAATACAAAGCGTGCGCCAGCCCAGCCCTGATCGGTGTTTGTTGTTGTTGTTTTTGTTTGAGACAGAGTCTCGCTCTGTCGCCCAGGCTGGAGGGCAGTGGCATGATCTCAGCTCATTGCAACCTCCGCCTCCTGGGTTGTATAGATTCTCCTGCCTCAGCCTCCTGAGTAGCTGGGATTACAGGCGTGAAAAGGAGCAAGGCTCTGCCCCAGCCACAGCGCGGATGCACCTTGAGGATGTCATGCTCAGTGAAAGACGCCAGACACAGAAGGACACACAGTGTGTGATCCCCTTTATATGAAATGTCCACAACAGGCCCATCCACAGAGGCAGGAAGGGGATGTGTGGGTGCCGGGGGCTGGCAGAGGGGATGAGTGACAGCTGATGGGGCTTCTTCTTGCGGTGATGGAATCTTCTGGAACTAGACAGTCGTGGTGGTTGCACAACTCTACGAGGTACTAAAATCACTGAACTGGCTGGGTGCAGTGGCTCATGCCTGTAATCCCAGCACTTTGGGAGGCAGAAGCAGGTAGATCACGAGGTCAGGAGTTTGAGACCAGCCTGGCCAACATGGTAAAACTCTGTCTCTACTAAAAATACAAAAATTAGCTGGGTGTGGTGGCAGGTGCCTGTAATCCCAGCTACTCAGGAGGCTGAGGCAGGAGAATCGCTTGAACCAGGGAGGCAGAGTTTGCAGTGAGCCGAGATCGCACCACTGCACTCCAGTCTGGGTGACAGAGCCAGACTCCGTCTCAAAGAAATAATAATAAAATAAAATCACTGAACTGTACAGTGTAAGTGGGTGAATTGTGTGGTATATGAGTGATGTTTCCGAGGTGTCATTAAAGAAACTCAGACGCCTGGGGTGGGGCCAGTCTCACCGCTGTGGGTCCCATCCCCATCATTTCTCACAAGGCCCTCAGATCACCCTTCCGCGGTGGGGGGCGGACACTCTAAGAAGGGAAGACCTGGGCTCCTGCTGGCGAGAAGGCGGTGGACATTTCTTCAGTGTCTGGTGCCGCGCCCTCTGCCCAGCGTGCTCCGTGGAGGGTCTCATTGTCTTCCTCCAGACGTCTCTTTACTGGCCCATTTTACAGAGGCGGAACCGAAGCTTGGGGTGTTGGCCACAGGGCTCTAGTGTGGGAAGCCAGGCCAGGCTGGACCTCAGCCATGGGGACCCCTGTCCCTGAGACTGTGGCACCTGCCACACCCTCTGTGTGACCCGCCTAAGCCAGGAAGAGAGGGTCAGGAGATGCCTGAGCCACCAAGAAGGCATCCCAGCGTCCAGCCAGACCGGTTATCCCTCCAGAGGGCTCCCCGGCAGGACAGGCTGGTCGCCATGTCTTCAGCCTGGTGCTATTTAAAGGTGGGTGCCACCTGGGGCTGTGGCCGCAGGGCCAGGACTGGGCTGCTGGGAGCTGTGTCCCCACAGCGGAGGTCGCCGCCCCTCTCAGGCCTCGGTTTCCCCAGTTGTCAATGCCTCCACTTGGCTGTGAGTCTGTGAGGGTCACTGTGCTCACCTTTTGGGGCCCAGCGCATGGGGCAGGCAGAGGAAGGGTGGGGGCCAGCCGCCTTGCTGGGTGGTTCCCCGTGGGGCCTGGGGTATGGCTCTAAGGGAGGAGCAAGTGTGGGTGCGAATGGGGCCGCCCCATTCCTGCCGCCTCCGACGTGCCCCGCCAGCCGGCCACCGACAGGTCTACGTGGCTATCCTCCCTCCTGCCCACCTACCTGCCCAAACACACGTCCCCAGTCGTCACCTGCCCACCCACCCGCGCATTCCCACACCCTTGTGGGCCTGGCTTTCGGGAAACTACAATTTGCGGGGAGAGAAGTCCCACGAGGGCATGCCCCGGAGCCTGGCTGGTCCCACGGCTGACGCACGCGGCAGGACCTCCCGTGTCCATCTCTGTCCCCAAGCATCTCCGCCTCTGCCCCTCTCTGTCTCTGTGTCTCTCTCGTCTCTCCCGGTCATCTTCCTTGTGTCTCTTGACTGCCGCCGTCTTTCTGTCTCTGTCTCCCTCCGGGTCTCTGTCTCCCTCCAGGTCTCTGCGGCCCGCGTCTCACACTCCCGCCCCCGCAACCCGAGGTCCTAGCCCGCCCGGGGACTCGGCTGACTCACGGACACGCCCCGCGAGACAAACAACAAACGCGCGGAGGCCGAGCGCGGAGTCCCGCACGGCCGCGCCCCTGTGCACCTGGCCCCCGCCCCCGAGACGTCCCATTGGCCGGCGCCCTAGCCTGGTCCCGCCCAAGTGGACCCCGCCCCCGCCCCGAGGCACCCCATTGGCCGGCGTCCCCGCCCCAGCGAACCCGGCCCCGCCCCCGAGGCGCCCCATTGGCCCCGCCGCGCGAAGGCAGAGCCGCGGACGCCCGGGAGCGACGAGCGCGCAGCGAACCGGGTGCCGGGTCATGCGCCGCCGCCTGTGGCTGGGCCTGGCCTGGCTGCTGCTGGCGCGGGCGCCGGACGCCGCGGGAACCCCGAGCGCGTCGCGGGGACCGCGCAGCTACCCGCACCTGGAGGGCGACGTGCGCTGGCGGCGCCTCTTCTCCTCCACTCACTTCTTCCTGCGCGTGGATCCCGGCGGCCGCGTGCAGGGCACCCGCTGGCGCCACGGCCAGGACAGTGAGTGCGGGGCGGCGGGGGCCTGGGGTGGGGAGGCGGCGGGTGACGGCAACGCGGCCGCCGTCTTCACGGTGACCTGCGCCCGCGGGGGAGTCCCGGAGGCTCCTCTGTGCAGCCTCGGCCTCAGTTTCCGTGGTCTGTGAGATGGGTGCAGCCTGCCTGGTGGGAGGGTTGCACTGTTAAAGCGAAGGCTGCAGCGGCGGACCCGGCTCAGGGGCAGAGAAGCGTCCGTGTGGTACAACCCTGTGGGTGGGGCCACCCATCTGCAGGTGGGAAACTGAGGCTCCAGAGGGGCTGGGGCAGGCCCAGCTGCATGGCGGAAGCGGCGGGGGGCTGACCTCCGGACTCCTGACATCACAGAATCCAGTCAGGGCTGCCTGAGTCGGGGCCCCCTCTGCTTCTTCCCAGACACCCCATCTGGCAGGTGAGGACAAGGAGGCACACAGAAGGGATGGGACCTGCCCAGGGTCACACTGACAGGGGTGGCGGAGCTGGGTCCCCACAGGGCCCAGGACGTCACGGAGCGGGCGTCTCTGTCCCCAGGGTCTGCCGAGCACACTGAGGTAGGCCCTCAGTGTTTGTGGAATGTCAGGAGCAAGAGGAGAGGCTGGGCACAGCAGGGGATGTGGGTACCTGGAGGCCAGGGGAGTCGGTGTCCCCGCCGGGCGGGGGGCACTGGGAAGGGGGCCCGGGCCCGCTGGCTGCCGCCTGAATCACCACCATCAGGGCAGGTAATCACCCCCTGTCCTTCCCACCGCTTTCATCTGGGCGCCAAGGCCCTCATTAGGCCGCACGTGACGAGGGCGGACAGGGGACTGGCTGGGCCGGTCCATCCATGGCGGGCATGGCCAGGCGGGGTGGCCTCGGGCCGGGGCAGAGGCCTGGCTCCGCTGCCTGACCTGGAACAGTCTCTGCCTCTCTCCAAGCCTCGGTTTCCCCAGCTGGACGGTGATGGGGGTGAGGGCTAGCTGAGGGCTCTCCTGCCCTTCGTGCATTCGCTGGTCACTAATCGGGCACCTTGTGGGTGCTGTGCTCCGCATGGGGGACCCAGTGGTGACAGAGACGCCCACCCTCCTGGGGCTCCCAGAGCAGAGGCGCGCAGCAGTTAGACACGTGAACAAGGGCGCAGGTGGGTGCACAGAACAGTGAACGGTTGGCCGGGTGCAGTGGCTCACGTCGGTAATCCCAGCACTTTGGGAGGCCGAGGCGGGCAGATCACGAGGTCAGGAGATCGAGACCATCCCGGCTAACACGGTGAAACCCCGTCTCTACCAAAAATACAAAAATTAGCCGGGTGTGGTGGCGGGCGCCTGTAGTCCCAGCTACTCGGGAGGCTGAGGCAGGAGAATGACGTGAAGCCGGGAGGTGGAGCTTGCAGTGAGCTGAGATCGCGCCACTGCCCTCCACCCTGGGCGACAGAGCGAGACTCCGTCTCAAAAAAAAAAAAAAAAAAAGAACAGTGAATGACGTGAACAAGGGTGCAGGTGGGTGCGCAGAACAGTGAACGGCGGTGTTGGGAGGCACCTTGCCAGGGGAGGGGAGGTGCAGGGCGAGGAAGGGGCCAGGGGAGATCGTGACACAGACGCCCCAGAACAACCACCTCAAAGACGTTCCTGTGTGTCCTGGAAGGTCGGGCTGGGAGGCTGCCCCGAGGAGCTTTCACTTTGACAGGGAGCTGGCCGGGCACGCAGGGAACTGTACACCCAGCTGACAAAGCGGCAGACACCCAGGCCGGGGTGAGCGAGTGTGGGTGAGGAGTGGCGGCTGGCCCCAGGGTCCTTGCTGGACAAGACACTTCAGCTCAGGGTGGGGCAGGGCTCACCCAGGGCTACCCACAGACGATGGCGTCCAAATCTGGCTCTGCCACTCCCAGGCCTCAACTGGCCCCTCTGCAACGTGGGCTGCTGAGCGGGCTTGGTAGGACAGCTGGCATACAGTCGGCGCTCAAGCATGTCTGTGGTGTCCCATAAACCACCGGTGTCCCACTCTAGGCCACTGCCAGCCCGGCCTCCAGTCCAGAGTCCCAGTCCGGAGTCCCAGTGACTGTGCGTGGGCCGGGCAGCTGAGCTGTGAGGGCCGGGCTGGGGGCTCCATATGGGGTGGTGTGAGCTGTGAGGGCCGGGCTGGGGGCTCCATATGGGGTGGTGTGAGCTGTGAGGGCCGGGCTGGGGGCTCCATATGGGGTGGTGTGAGCTGTGAGGGCCGGGCTGGGGGCTCCATATGGGGTGGTGTGAGCTGTGAGGGCCGGGCTGGGGGGTCCCTGGGGTGGTGTGAGCTGTGAGGGCCGGGCTGGGGGGTCTCTGGGGTGGTGTGAGCTGTGAGGGCCGGGCTGGGGGCTCCATATGGGGTGGTGTGAGCTGTGAGGGCCGGGCTGGGGGCTCCATATGGGGTGGTGTGAGCTGTGAGGGCCGGGCTGGGGGGTCCCTGGGGTGGTGTGAGCTGTGAGGGCCGGGCTGGGGGCTCCCTGGGGTGGTGTGAGCTCTGAGGGCCGGGCTGGGGGGTCTCTGGGGTGGTGTGAGCTGTGAGGGCCGGGCTGGGGGCTCCATATGGGGTGGTGTGAGCTCTGAGGGCCGGGCTGGGGGCTCCCTGGGGTGCTGCTGGTCGCTGGCTCATTGACAGTTATCAGTGGTCTGGGTGGGCCCTGCCCCTTCTGACTCCCACATCCCAGGAACCCTTTCCCAACCTTCCTCGTGGTGTTGCTGCCCCCCTGACGTCCGTCCCTCTGGGTGTGTGGGAGCCCCCCCGCCATACACACACACAGATGCTGCTCTTGGGCTGAGCTGCAGGGACAGCGCTGACCTGGCCCTCCCACGGGGTCCTCATCGATCTCTGCACTCCCCCAGCTCGTGGGGGCCGTCCTGCTTCCCGTTCCCTCTGCCTGCTCCTTGCTCCTCCCTCACATGCTGGGGGGGGCTCCTGGTGTCAGTCACGGCTCTGGGGGATCCTGAGTGTCCGTCGTGGTCGGGAGGGGACTCGTGGTCCCGGGGGTCTCCTGGTATCTGTCGTGGTCCTGAGGGCCCTGCACGAAGCACAGCGGACAGCAGCGGTGCTGGGGGTGAGCCAGCAAGGCCCTCCCCGACCCCCGCCTCCCCCAGGCATCCTGGAGATCCGCTCTGTACACGTGGGCGTCGTGGTCATCAAAGCAGTGTCCTCAGGCTTCTACGTGGCCATGAACCGCCGGGGCCGCCTCTACGGGTCGGTGAGTGCCGGGCAGGGCTGGGCGGCGCGGGCAGGGTGGGGAGGGTGGGCCGGCCTCACCCCCGCCCGCAGCGACTCTACACCGTGGACTGCAGGTTCCGGGAGCGCATCGAAGAGAACGGCCACAACACCTACGCCTCACAGCGCTGGCGCCGCCGCGGCCAGCCCATGTTCCTGGCGCTGGACAGGAGGGGGGGGCCCCGGCCAGGCGGCCGGACGCGGCGGTACCACCTGTCCGCCCACTTCCTGCCCGTCCTGGTCTCCTGAGGCCCTGAGAGGCCGGCGGCTCCCCAAGGTGCCTGGGCTGGTGGCGAGGGGCCCGGCCACGCTTGTTCTTCCCCCTGCGGGCTCTGTAAGCGCTGAGTGCCCACCGTGTGCGGGCGCTGTGGACACAGCCCAGGAGCCCTCCAGGGGGGTCCCAGCCTGAGGGGGTGGTGGCCACCAAGCAGGTTCAATCCTGAGTTGGGGACCTCGAGGACCCAACAGGGCGCCTCTCGGGCTGAAGGACGCAGACGTCGAAAGGTCGAGGGGGACGTCCCAGGCAGGGCCCGGCAGAGGCAGGGGCTCGGGGTGGGGAGCACGTTGGGAGTGGGGGCAGGAGCGGAGGGGAGGGGAGGGGGCCGGGGAGACGGTGACAGACGCCGCAGAACACCAGCCTCGAAGCCGGTCCCGTCCCGGGAATCTGCAAATACAACGCCTTGCGAGGACAAAGGCACCTGCAGGTGGGACGGAGATGGAGGAGCATCCAGGGTGGGGGGTCCAGGGCCCCAGTGTCCTCACAGGGTCCTCACGACAGGAGGCGGGACAGTGAGAGCCAGAGAGAGATGGGGATGGGCCGCGCTGTGGCCGTGAAGGGGAGGAAGGGCCCTAAGCTGAGGGACGTGGGTGCCTCCAGATGCTGGGGAAGGCGGGAACGGTTCCGCACTGGAGCCCCCGGGAGGGACCGGCCTGCTCCTGCCTTGATATGAGCCCAGTGGGACCCAGTTTGGACTCTGGCCTCCAGAACCGCCAGAAAATAAACGTAGTAAGCCATCAACTTTGTGGTCTTTTGTTACAGCAGACGTCGGAAATATGCACACGGTGTCTGAAACTGTTCTCATGACAAAATAAGCCTCAGATCCCCCGGGGAAGGGCGGAGGCCAACGCCTCGGTGTTCCTCCGATCCCCCGGGAAGGGCGGAGGCCGACGCCTCGGTGTTCCTCGGATCCCCCGGGAAGGGCAGAGGCCGACGCCTCGGTGCTCCTCAGATCCCCCGGGAAGGGCAGAGGCTGAGGGCAGGAGCCGTGCTGGGTGCAGGGCAGGCCTGGGGGCTTCATGCCGCTGTCCTGCGGGACGCAGAGAGGGCTGGCCGTCGGTGTGGGGGCGCCCCCACCTGTGCCCAGCGCCCTCCTGACATCCTGACTCCGCTGGGACTTCTGCCTACAGCCCTGGGAGTCAAACTCCAGCCTCTCAGAGAAAAGGTCAGAGCCAAGAGCCCCACAGCCTGGAGCCAGGCAGTGACACCCTGGGCCTGTCTCCCCTTCTGTGTGTGGGGCGACAGCAGCATCGCCCTGGTGAAGTCCCCGGGGACGGCCAGGGCTCCATCCCCAGCCGCCGCCTTCCACATAAATACAGGAAGACTGGGCCGAGGCACTTGCTGGGAGGTGCTGAGCAGCCTGACACGGAAAACCCTTCTGGGAAGGGAGGGTCGTGCCCGGCCCGAGAGCTTCTGCTCACCCTGCAGACAGAAGCGAGCCCCACCCCAGGGGACACCAGGCGGCCTCTGGGGACATCTTTGGCTGGCATGGAGTGGGTGGAGGACAGGGCTGCACCCAGGATGTCCCCAGGTTGGCAGTGTGAGGGGAGATCGGCCCACGTTGGCCAGTCGGAGGGCGTCGCCACTTGAGTTGTCACTGGGAGCTGCACAGGTCACCACAGCTGAAATAAAACTTGCTGGCACCCCACGCAGGAACGTAACATGTGCCTCGAAGAAACGGGTCAGCAGGCCGGGCGCGGGGGCTCACGCCTGTCATCCCAGCACTTTGGGAGGCCGAGGCGGGTGGATCACGAGGTCAGGAGATCAAGGCCATCTTGGTCAACATGGTGAAACCCCGTGTCTACTAAAAATACAAAAAATTAGCCGGGCGTGGTGGCGGGCGCCTGTAATTCCAGCTACTTGAGAGGCTGAGGCGGGGAATCGCTTGAATCCGGGAGGCGGAGGTTGCAGTGAGCTGAGATCGCGCCACTGCACTCCAGCCTGGGCGACAGAGCGAGACTCCGTCTCAAAAAAAAAAAAAAAAAAGAAACAGGTCAGCAGTTGTTTCTTTGTTTCTAAAACAGAGCGTGGAATGGGCGTACAGCTCCGCACATCCCAGGGCAGTGAAATCCCGGTTCACACAGAGCCCTCAGCAGCTTATTCGCAAGCCCAAACCTGGGGACCCCCGTTGTCCTCAGGCAGTGAGGTGGGGGCCCCCCAACAGAGAGGAGCGGCCTGGGGGCACAGAACCAGCGGCTCCCCAGGAAATCGCCAGCAGTGAAAATAAGACAACCCCAAACTGTTGCAAACTGTGCTTCCGCTTACGAAGCACTCCTGAGCGGCAGGGCGGATGGGGAGAGGGCGGCTGCAGGCGCGAGGGGCCCGGGGACGCAGGGGTGCGGGCCTTACCAGGGCCCTGTCCTGTCGTGCAGCAGGCTCCTGGGGCAGGGAAGACACCAGGGGCGGCCACTTCTTACTGCTGTCTGACCTCGAGCAATGCGGCCTCACAGCCCCCACCAGGGTGCCGGTGTCCTCTGGGCCCAGCGCCCCCGAGGCTCATGCCTGGGTGGGGCGAACCAATCGGTCCTGCTCCTCTGGCCACTCCACGCGAGGGAAGTCCCAGCCTCACAGGCAGGCGCACACCCCGGCAGCATCTCTGACAAAGGCCCTCCAGTTCCGAGTCTCCAGGTCCCGCCGCTGCAAGCCTCACCTGCCCAGCCCTCCTCTCCAGCTCCAACTCCAACTCCCAAGAACCACCACGGACACACAGAACCCGAGCCTTGTCTCCCTCAACGCCTCCTGACTCAAAACTCCATCTTCCAACAGGAAAACGGCTCGGCCGGGGGACTGTGACCCGGAGCAGGCGGCCCAGCCTGTCGCGCAGACTCGGGGCCTAAAACACTTGTTCTCTCAGTCCGGAGATCAAGGACGATCCGAGGTAACCTCCCTACCTCGGTGTCCTCCATGCAACCTCGTCTTAGGGCACCGGGTACGTTACCTCGTGAGGAGCCGAGTCCGCGGGTCCTGGGGTTGAGATGTGGACGCCCTCAGGGCTGGCACTCTGCCCTGGCGGCCACAGTCATGGAAGTCCCAACGCTTCTCTCGGCTCCGCAACCCCAGAGGGCGGCCACGAGGAGGGCCCGCCACGCACGACCCCAGAGGGCGGCCACCAGGAGGGCCCGCCACGCGCGACCCCAGAGGGCGGCCACCAGGAGGGCCCGCCACGGCGTTGCGGCAGCAGCCCAGAAGGTGCCCTGCGCACGGTCCGGACAGGTGGGATCCGAGTTACCTGGCCAAGGGGGCTGACGCAGACACGTCGCGGGACACAGTGAAGAGTGTGGTGCAGAGCGGAGGGCGGGAGTCTTTGGAGAACAGGTAGGGGCGTGGGGCACGCGCCTCCCACGCGCAGGAGCCGTCTACCGTGGAGGGACACGGGTGGTCCTGCTGGAGGCTCCTCTCCGTTAGCTGTCTCCATCGTCTGATTCTTGGATCCCAGGATGGTGGGATCATCAGCAACTGAGATGAACCCACTGCCCCGGCCCCCTGAGCCCGCAGGTCCCCACGCCTTGCCAGCTGTGCCCGAGCTGGCTGCACCCCGGGCCAGGCATCCAGCAACCTTGAGCAGTGGGGTCCGGCTTTTCAGAAGGGGCCAGGAACCCGCGTGGCTGAGGTGTGACCGAAGCGTGGGGCAGAGGCGCTGGGCCCTGGCGCTTTAACGCTGGTGTTTCTGGTTTTAAATTTCACGACCCAGTGACACTGCCACCCTGCTACCTCGCCAGCAGCCCTCCTGGGCTTAACTTCGGGAGAGCAGTTTTGCTAGCCGGCCCTGGGTGCCAAGCCCTGCAGGAGGCGCAGACCCCTGGAGACAGGACCGGACTCTGCAGAGCCCGACCAGCCTCCCAGCTTGGCCTTTTCCTGACGCACGGGCGCAGAAGGAAAGCCACAGCACCGGCTTCTCTTTGTAAGTAGTGTATTTTAAATAGCTTTCAAGATACACATATTTTTTCCTTTAAAAAAGTCTGTTGGAGCAGTTTTGTTCTTGAATTTTGCTGGTCATCCTCATGGTCCCGAGCCCCCCTACTCCGGGTCGTGGAGGCGGCCGAGGGGGAGGCTGGGGGCCCACGTGGCCCGTCCTGGCGGCACCTGCAGCACTGGGGGAGCCGCTGAACCCCGTGCTTCAGCGCTGGGGGAGCCGCTGGGCCCCGTCTTCCGCCACAAACCATGCATGGCCGCCACGTGAGCTCAAACGTCCGTTTATTTCAAAGCAGTAATAATTTAAAATTATAAAAATCTTTCCACCGCTGAACGTTTAGAGGGTGAGGTTAGACAGAGGACGGGGAGGCTGGGGACGCCCCAGAGGGGACCATGTGGCCCACGCCTTCCCAAGCCAGGGGGCCGGTGGGCCGGGCCCGGGTCCTGCCCTGGAACAGGCGGGACCTGCAGCGCTGACCAGCCAAGCGTGGCGCCGCCGGGGCACCCAGTCTGTGGGTGCCGTGTGGCGCTGGCTGAGGGTGGGTGGGAAAGGCCCCGTGCTTTCCCGACGGCCGACGTGGGCTCACGAGTTGCTTGTGGCGTTCTCGTTGCTGGGCGAGCTGGAGGAGGACGATGACGACGAGGAGGAGAAGCTCACCCCAGTGAGGCCAGGGGGGTTCGTGGCCGTGTTCTGTCCCGTGAGGCTTTTTCGGCAGACGGGGCAGCTGTCGTGCTTTGTGGGGACAGAGGCAGGGACGGGAGAAGGGGCAGGTTAGAGGCGGGAGGGCCGCGGTCGGGGTGGGGGGGCGGGTGGGCGGGGCACTCACCTGCTCCAGCCAGGGCACGATGCAGCCGTCGTGGAACAGGTGGTTGCAGGGCAGCTGCCGCACACGCTCACCCAGCGCGTAGTCGTCCTTGCACACAGGGCACTCGAGCCCGGAGCCTGCGGGAGTGTGCAGCTGCGGTCACAGCGGGCGTGGGGGGCCTGCCGAGCCTTCAAGGGCAGGCTACTCCACAGCCTCAGCCGGAGGCCGCCCCTGAGCCCAGCGAGGGGAGAAAAGCCGTGTGTGTGTCCCCCGGGCTGCCAGAGGGGACCTGGACAGAACCCTCTCCTCCCAGCCCACCTTCAGGGAAATGCTCGAGGCCGGGTGCGGTGGCTCACGCCTGTCATCCCAGCACTTTGGGAGGCCGAGGCAGGAGGATCACCTGAGGTCAGGAGTTCGAGACCTGCCTGACCAACATGGTGAAACCCTGTCTCTACTGAAAATACAAGTATGAGCCAGGCGTGGCGGCGGGTGCCTGTAATTCCCACTACTCGGGAGGCTGAGCTCTCATACCTACGTGCTCCTCAGTGACGGGGACGGTGGGGAGGGCCTGGATTTTCTCTTTATCTGCCGGTGGGGGGCCTGTGTTTTCAAACTGATTGAGGAGCTGAAAGACAAGAGGCGAGAGTGCCGGGAGCTCCTCGGGGGCCCGGCCCGGGGCTCTGAAACGCGAGGCTGCAGGACCTGCAAAAGCACCGAGGCCGCGTTTGTCCTGGGCCCTGGGCCCCTTGGAGCCCGCCCGGGGTCGGAGATCACTGTGGAGCCCACGCGGCCCCCCCGCTCCTGGGTCCCCTGACGGTGGAATGGGGGAATGGGCGGAGGCCCGCGCTCCTGGGTCCCTGACAGCGGAATGGGGGGGGGGGCCGCGCTCCTGAGTGCCCTGACGGCGGAATGGGGGGGCCGTGCTCCGGCTGGTGGGCTACTGTGAGGGTCGGGTCCTGCCAGTGACAAAATGCTCCAAGGGCTCCTCAGCAAGGCTGAGACGGGTGGCACTTGGAAGCAGGTCAGGGCGCGACCTCTCGGGAAGAGGGACCGCGTGGCCTCCTGACCATGTGACTGTGGGCGAGTCCTCCCCGCGGTTTTGCTACAACGTTCCGCGTGAACACAGGAGAACCCCCAAAGTTGCCAAGACTCAGAAATGGCAGGAGGAAGGCCGGAGCTGCCCCCTGTGCCCGCCAGAGCGTGGAGGCTGTGCCCGCATCCCCTTTGACCTTTGTGGGGCTTCGTGGGTCCAGGCAGTGGGGCAGCTCCCAGGGGTGGGCAGCCCAGCCCTCCCCCAGCAGGCACTCTGGGCCGTGGCCACGCTGTACCTGTGTGATGATGGCATCCAGGCCGTTGGCCCCCCAGGCGTAGTCCATAGGGTTTGAGTGCAGGACTCCCCTGGAGGTGGAAGGTGGGGTTCAAGTGGCTGACGGGCAGCTGGGGCAGGTGCGTCTATCCACCCCACTCACCAGGGGCCCAGGCTGGGGATGGGGACAGGCACCCCCTCCTACTCACCAGGGACCCTGGCTGGGGATGGGGACAGGCACCCCCACCCACTCACCAGGGGCCCAGGCTGGGGATGGGAACAGGCACCCCCTCCTACTCACCAGGGACCCTGGCTGGGGATGGGGACAGGCACCCCCACCCACTCACCAGGGGCCCAGGCTGGGGATGGGGACAGGCACCCCCACCCACTCACCAGGGGCCCAGGCTGGGGATGGGGACAGGCACCCCCTCCTACTCACCAGGGGCCCAGGCTGGGGATGGGGACAGGCACCCCCTCCTACTCACCAGGGACCCTGGCTGGGGATGGGGACAGGCACCCCCACCCACTCACCAGGGACCCAGGCTGGGGATGGGGACAGGCACCCCCACCCACTCACCAGGGGCCCAGGCTGGGGATGGTGGCGGGCGTGATGATGCCGTTGACGAGCTGCTGGATGATCCTGGAAAAGAGAGCGCCAGTCACGGGGTGAGGCCGCCCCACGCACAGGAGAGGCGCCAGGCCTGCCAGGTCCGTGGTGAGCACCAAGGGCAGGGCCAGCATCAGCTTCTAGATTAGCTTCTATTTATTTATTTTACTATGAGCCAGGGTCTCACTCTAATGCCGAGGCAGGAGAGAAGCAGCTTGATCTTGGTTCACTGCAGCCCCAACCTGCTGGGCTTAAGCGATCCTCCCGCCTCAGCCTCCCAAGTAGCTGGGACCACAGAAGAGGTCCACCACTCTCGGCTACTTTTTTTTTTTTTTTTTTTTTTTTTGAGACAGAGTTTCACTCTTGTTGCCCAGGCTGGAGTGCAATGGCACGACCTCGGCTGACTGCAACCTCTGCCTCCCGGGTTCAAGTGATTCTCCTGCCTCAGCCTCCTGAGTAGCTGGGATTACAGGCGCCCACCGCCATGCCTGGCTAATTTTTGTATTCTTAGTAGAGACGGAGTTTCATCATATTGGTCAGGCTGGTCTCAAACTCCTGACCTCAGTGATCTGCCCGCCTCGGCCTCCCAAAGTGCTAGGATTACAGGTGTGAGCCACCTCACCCAGCCTCAGCTACTTTTTAAAAATTAGAGATGGGGCCTCCCTACATTGCTCAGGCTGGTCTTAAACTCCTGTCCTCAAGAGATCCTCCCTCTTTGACCTCCCAGAGAACTGCAAATACAGCACTGAGCCACCGTGCCTGGCAAAATTAGCCACTTTTAAAGATGACATTTCCAGCAGGTGAGACACACAACCATAAAAGCATCAACCGCCAGGAGTAGGGCCCTGCGACGGCTCCCCCAGGCTCTGTTCCACCAGGAGCAGGGCCCAGCGACGGCTCCCCCAGGCTCTGTTCCACCAGGAATGGGGCCCTGCGACGGCTCCCCCAGGCTCCGTTCCACCAGGAGTGGGGCCCTGCGACGGCTCCCCCAGGCTCCGTTCCACCAGGAGTGGGGCCCTGCGACGGCTCCCCCAGGCTCTGTTCTGGGCCCAAGGCCTGGACAGCGTTTGACGACACGCGTGTGGACAGCAGTCTCCAGAGCACGTGGGCCTGGCAGGCACACGGTGCCCCACTCTGTGGTCAACCCACACACCCTGAACCGGCATACTTCTGTCTCCGAAGGGCCGTGTGGGGAGTCACAGGGGGCTGGAGGGCCTGGCCGGGCGGCCTCTCCAGAGAGCCTATGGATGATGCCACGTTTCCGTGGAACCCGTGCTGGATTCTAAGCGCCAGAACTTCCGACCTCAAGGCGTGGGGCCCTCGCGGCCACCCCCGGGGCCCCCTCACCCTTCCAGCGTGGGGACGCCTTCGTGCCGGCCGGTGGCCCGCCGCGTGGTGAGGCGGGCGCGGGGCTGTCGGGCGCCGTACCGGTGCCGGGACGGATGGTCTCTCTCCCGCCGGCTCTCAGGGTCCCTGCCGTCGTCAGCCTGCGCCCCAGGAGGGAACGTGGGGATCTCGAAGCTGTCATCGAAGATGCCGAAAGCAAACTGTCCGTAGCCCTGCGGCAGCGTGAACAGGTGCTGGTCCACGTGCTGGGGAGAGGAGGGGGGCGTGACCTCGGGGGCTCAGGCCCGTGCAGTCTGCTGGGGGCGCTAGGGCACAAAGACAAAGGAGAAAGCAAGACGGGCCCTGCTGGGTGCCGGGTGGGAGGGAGACGCAGACAGGGAGGCAGGAATTGGGCAGAGCCTGCCCCGCTGGTGTGAGATGCCTCGGTGGAAGTTTCGCTTTCATCCAAGAAACCAACCAAGCAGCGTGGGCCGCCCCAATCCCTGGCCCGGGCCCCTGGAGGGAAAAATTTCCTCCGCCGTGCGGGCAGGGAGAGCCGGGGAGGCGAGGTGGGGACAGGCTGGCGCTCGGGGCCCCGAGCAAGGCTGACACGATCGGGAAGCACGAGGGGCGGGCGACTCACCTCCAACGGTGGCCGGCTCTGGTCTGTGGGAGCTGTGGAGGGGGCAGAACCATTTTCTGTGCTCCTGGGGAGAGAGTGCAGGTCAGCAGTGCCGGCTACCCTGTGCCCCCATGCGCCAGGCGCTCCCTCCCCTCAAAAGCCTATGTTGGGAGAGCAGGAATTGTCCTTGGCACTGCTTCCCACCCGCCACCGCCCCAGCATTTGGTGCCGTAACCCGCTGCTGCTTCCCTCGCCAGTAAACCACGGGTTTCTCGATAAACCGGTGCAGACCCCAACAGCCTCCTAAGCGTGAGAATGTGGGTAGGGCCCCCGTGGCCCCTTCCCCGGAGGGCCTGGGTCACCAGATTAGCCGCCGAGGCTGAGGGAGGTGAGCGGCTGCACAGGTTGCCGGCACTCCCCTCTGGCCCCGGCCCGGCCATCACAGAAGAGAACGGCACGCTGCTGTCTGCACAGAGAAAAGTGCTCCCGGAGCCACAGACACCAGGGCCTGACGGCCCCACACTCGGCGGGGCGGACGCCAGCACAGCCCACACCCCTACAACAGCTGAGGCCCGGCTGGCTCTTCCAGCCTCTTCAACAGGGGGCTGCATTACCTGGTCTCTTCCGGAAGCTCCTCGATAAAACCAGACTCGCATCTTGGACAGATATAATCCTGCAGGAGAGAACAGGAGGCCGGGTCACGGTGACGCCGGCATCACCTGCAAACCCCCCCAAGTGTGAGGACAGAGGGGCTCCGGACCCAGCGGTCTCTGGCTGGCCAGGCACACGCAGGCCAGGGTGGCTCCCAACCCGTGGGTCCTGGAGGGCGGCCGAGGGGACCTGGCCTCTGCCAGCCACCCGCTGACCCTTTGGTGGCTCCCGGCGATCTGAGCCCCTCCGACCTGGCCCCACCGTGACGGGCGTCACCAGCGTCATCAGCGCCTTGGCTGAGCCCCTCCGACCTGCCCCACCGTGACGGGCGTCACCAGTGCCTGGGCACCTCCTCACACAGGTGGCACCACTCGGAGGGGTGCCCCAATACCCCACAGTGGCATTTCCAGGACGCTCTGGCAGCCCCGCACACAGCCCGTTCCCCTGGCTCGGGGGAGGCCACGTCCACGCTGGCCACACCCCTGCAAGACCCCATCCCCAGGTCCCCCTAGAGCCAAGGACAACACAAGGCCAACATGGTGATGTCCCAGAGGAGACGTGAGGACCCTGCCCAGGGACAGCCGTGGGTGAGTCCCAAAACCACGTTCACAGTTCCCCAGCACCAGCCTCAAGCCACAGCTGTGCCGAGCAGGACGGATGCCATCCCCTGTGGATCTCACACTGCAACGGGATCCCCAGGGCTGAAGGGCCTGCTGGAGACACTGGCTCACAGGGCGGACTCCTCATGGATGGCTGGGCCCCTGGTGATGGCGGAGCGTGCCGAGCATTCGTGGGGCCTGGGCTGAAACGTGCATGGTGCCTCCCGGCCTCACCAGGGGCTGGGCAGATGCCGACACACACTTCCCGCACAGCCTGCAGAACTGGAAACTGGAAGCTAAATCAACTGCTCTCTATGAACGACCCAGTCTCAAGTGCTCCATCGCAGCAACGTGAAAATGGCCTCACACGGCACGTGTCATCACGCCAGGGGCTCACATGGGGGTCCCAAGACCACCCCCAGGTAACACAGACAAAAACAGGAGACAAGGCTCCCACCGTGCATGGGGGAGTGCTGTGAGGGGAGCCAAGGTCGACCCCAGGCTCTGGGGATGCAGGTTGCACCGGGGCTGTTCAGTCTTCGCAGGGGCAGGGGCTGGGACCTCTCCAGCAAGCAAGATCCCGGCCTCACCCACTGACTCTGGGGAGAAGCGGGGGTCTGGCGTGCAGTGCCCAAGGGGAGGGCCGACAGCTGGGCCCCCGCCCACACCACGCCGTGCCTGCCTCACCTGCTCCTGCCACTGAAGCACAGGCTGGGTGGGGAGGGACTAAGGCCAGGGTGAGCAAACGATGCCAGATGCACATGAACCCACCGTGAGGGGAGAGTGAAGAGGCACCATCTACAATATAGAAAAAGTGCGGCCCGGCTCCTGGTGAGGCCGGGAGGCACCACATGCGTTTCAGCCCACGCCCCACGAATTCTCGGCACGCTCCGCCATCACCGGGGGCGCGGTGGCTCAGGCCTGTAATCCTGGCACTTCGGGAGGCCGAGGCGGGCGGATCATCTGAGATCAGGAGTTGGAGACCAGCCTGGCCAACATGGTGAAACTCTGTCTCTACTAAAAATACAAAAATTAGCCGGGTGTGGTGGCGGGCGCCTGTAATCCCAGCTACTTGGGAGGCTGAGGCAGGAGAATTGCTTGAGCCCGGGAGGCGGAGGTTGCAGTGAGCTGAGATTGTGCCATTGCACTGCAGCCTGGGCGAGGGAGCAAGACTCCGTCTCAAAAAAAAAAAAAAAAAAAAAAAAAAAAAAAAAAAAAGTGCTGGCCGGGCGCGGTGTCTCATACCTGTAATCCTGGCACTTTGGGAGGCCGAGGCAGGCGAATCACCTGAGGCCAGGAGTTCGAGACCAGCCTGGACAACATGGAGAAACCCCGTCTCTACTAAAAATACAAATGTTAGCCAGGCGTGGTGGCACGTACCTGTAATCCCAGCTACTCAGGAGGCTGAGACAGGAGAATCGCTTGAACCTAGGAGGCGGAGGCTGCAACGAGCCGAGATCATGACATTGTAACTCCAGCCTGGGCGACAGAGTGAGACTCCGTATCGGGAAAAAAAAAAGTGCTTACAACTCAAAAGAAAGAAAGAAAGAAAGAAAAAAAAGCCCAGGCCAGGTGCAGCAGCTCACACCTGTGATCCCAGTACTTTGGGAAGCCAAGGTGGGCAGACCATTTGAGGTCAGGAGCTTGAGACCAGCCTAGCCAACATGGCCAAACCCCATTTCTACAAAAAACAAATTAGCTGGGTATGCTGGGGTGGGTCTGTAGCTCCAGCTACTAAGGAGGGGGAGGAGACAGGCAGGAGCGGGAGGCAGGAGGCAGAATGGCTTGAGTCCAGGAGATCGAGACCGCAGTGAGCTGTGGTCCCACCACTGCGCTAGCCTGGGTGACAGAACCAGACCCTGCCAAAAAAAAAAAGAAAAAGAGAAACAGACAACGCAACTAAAAACGGGCAAAGTCGGGAGGCTGAGGCAGGAGAACGGCTTGAACCTGGGAGGCAGAGCTTGCAGTGAGCCGAGATCGCGCCACTGCACTCTAGCCCGGGCGACAGAGTGACACTCCATCTCAAAAAAAAAGAAAAGTGGGGGGGGAAAGGACGTGTACAGGACATGCCTCCAAAAACACGCTGGGTAAACGCAGCCGGCCAGCCCCAGCGAGATGCCACTTCCCAGGGCCAGCCAGGACGAGATGCAAGACCCCGTCAGGCCTGCTGGGAGCCCAGAAGTCCCCCAGATGGAACTACCCCATGACCCACGAGCTAGAACTTTCACTCCAGGCGCAGACCCCAGAGAAACGAAGACACCTGCCCACCAAATGTTCACATGGCCAGAACTGGCAGGTGAGAGTTCACGGCAGCACAGTTCATCATCGTCGTCGGCAGATGCAAACAGCTCCAGTGTCCACCCGCACCTCAGAGCACGACTCAACCATGGAAAGGGGCAAGGCCCAGACCAGGCCACGGCGGGGGGGAGGGGGGATTGCATCTTGAGGACATCACGTCCAGTGAGAGATGCCAGACACAGAAGACCACGCAGCGTGTGATCCCACGTCTATGAAATGTCCAGGACAGGCCGAGCCACAGAGACAGAGAGGGGATGTGTGAGCACCAGGGCCTGGGGGAGGGGACGGGGAGTGACGGCTGGCAGGGCTGAGGTGGGTTCTTTTTGCAGCTGTGAGAATGCTGTGGAATTAGACTGTGGTGGTGGTTGCACAACTTTATGAATATACTACAAACGTTTCACCAGGTGAATTATATGGTGTGTGAAAATACTGAGATAAAGCTATTAAAATAAATGGGCCAGGCGCCTGTGGTCCCAGCTGCTAGGGAGGCTGAGGTGCCAGGATCGCTTGAACCTGGGAGGTGGAGGCTGCAGTGAGCCAAGATTGCAGCAACAGAGTGAGGCAGCATCTCAAAAACAAAAACAAAAAAAAGAAAGAAACAAAGAAAAAAAGGGCTGGGCACAGTGGCTCACACCTGTAATCCTAGCACTTTGGGAGGCCAAAGTGGGCAGATCACTTGAGGTTAGGAGTTCGAGACCAGCCAACATAGGGAAATACCGTCTCTACTAAAAATACAAAAATTAGCTGGGCACGGTGGTGGGTGCCTGTAATCCCAGCTACTCAGGAGCTGAGGCACGAGAATCGCTTAAACCCGGCAGGCAGAGGTTGCAGTGAGCCGAGATCATACCACTGCACTCCAGCCTGGGCCACAGAGTGAGACCGTGTCAGAAAAAGAAAAAGAAAAAGGGAAAGGGGAAGGGGAAGCAGCCAACGACCACCACTGTGGCCCTGAGCTTAGTGTGGGAGCAGTGTGGCTCTGCCACAGTGGCCGTGACAACTCTCCCCAGGCGTCGGTTCTTGGGGTGTGTTTGGGGTGTCGGGATTGGGACGCCCCACGTAAACACGCTGAGACTTCACAGTCAAATCTGAACCCCTGGTTTCTGCCGGTGTCGGGTCTATCGGGGCTCCTCTGGGCTCAGGGGTTGCCGCCGTCCGCCCGCCAGCTGACCGGGAGCCCAGGGCCGCTCCATCGCCTGGGTGGGTCTCTGGGAATGGAGGGGTAGCTCAGGGCTCAGGCTCTCCCTGCATGGTGACTCCCCAGGCTAGCACCACCCAGTGGACCTGGAACAGCTGCACTGGCCCCCACTGAGGGCAGGACGTAAGTCAGCTGTGCAGCTGCCCCGACCACCATCTCTCCTGCTGGGTGCATCCACAAGGTCAGGCAGCCCCAGAAGGGCCTGAGGGAGAAGCTGTCTCCCTCTGAGGACCCTGGCTTGCCAGCCCCAGCCCCGAATCTCTCCTGGACAAGCACGAGGCCCTGCACACGCCCACGTGGCCTGGCACAGCGCTCGGCCGCTCTGGTCCCCATGTGCCGAGCTCAGCCCCTCTGTGCATCACTGGCTTTCTGTCGGGCTCCCGGGTTCCCGTCTCAGTCCAGGGCACAACGCATGCTCCCGCCACCCGCACTGCCGGCTCACGACAGCCCGACCTGGCCACATACACACTCATCTGCCCCAGCCCTGGCCTCCTCTTGGCCCCCGCTGTCCTGCCCGCAGCGGCCGTGGGGCCTGGTGCCACAGCACTGTCCAGAACCCTCTCTCTGCAGCACCCACTCCAGCGTCGGGGCCTGTGCACGTCGGCCCTGCTGCTGGAACGCCCACCCTAGGGGTTTCAAAGGTCACCTCTCTGCTCCAAGCCTCTGCCCTGTCACAGAGGACAGCCTGGACACTCACTCATATCTGAAATCCGGGTGCCATCGAGGACGCCAAGGGCTGCGACCCAACTCCTGCGTATTGTCAGGGCTCTGGGCTGTCTCTCAGGCCCCCGGCCAGCCCCTCCAGGGCCACCGAAGGCCGGAACCGAGGCTCTGGTCACGAAGGCAAGTGACAGGTGGATCCCGGATATCCAGGGTGGAGGTTGAGCCTCTGCTGGCCGACGGTGGGAGGGGCTGGACCTGGGGGTCTCCAGCCGCCCTCCTCCTCCAAGGGCACAGCCAAGAGACCGCTTGGTCTCGTATTAAATCGGGGCAGCTGCAGGTAGAAACGCCTGGGCAAGGGGGCCTGGTGAAGGAGCTGCCCCACCTTCTCCGGGGGCAGCACGCACTGGGGGCCCCCACAGAGGCCCCATTGGAGCCTCTGGCCCTAGCAGAAGACGGTGAATCCATTCACCTCTCCGTCAGAGAACAGATGCAGGAGGTACGATCACCCGGCATCATCACCATAGCAACAGCTGGCCAGGCAGCCAGGGTAGGGGGGACCCTGCCAGTGCCGGGCTCCACCCATGCACCCCTGCAGCGTGATGGCCTCATCCCCGGGTGGGACCTGGCAGGGCAGCAGAGGCCCCTTCATCCACGGGGCCTGCACGGGGCGCATGTCCTGAGGGCCCAGGGCCAGGCGCATGGAGGGGAGTGGGCTGGCGACCTACAGGCCCCAGATGACTGACAGTGACCAGGGCAGGCAGGCCCCTGGTGACAGTGACTCGGCCCCTGTGGGTGGCAGGGCCCTCGGGAAGCTGTGCACATCAGGAGACCCCAGGGAGAGTCATGGTGCAGTGCTCGGCCTCGGTAGGAGCCCCCGTGCTGGCTACTGTTTTCCTAAAGGGTGCCCAAAGCTTCCCGGCTGATCCACAGTGTGTGGGCCCCGCAGCCCCAGAGGCACGGGCACGTGCGGCGCCTGCACCCCTTTCTTCCCGCCCTCAGCAGCTGCCACCACATCCCACATTCACACCGTCTGTCCCTGGGCCCCACGCACCACACACTCCCAAGACAAGCTGGATGGACGAGGCGTGAGCGAAGCCACTGCCTCAGCCCAGGCTGGGGCCCCGCCTCACACCCCAGGGCGTGCCTCGGCCCAGGCCCCGAACTCTGCCTTCTTCTTCCCAGGTGGCTTCAGGCACCACCACTAGGGACTGGAACCCCACAGGTGCCCATCCGTGCCAGTGCCAGGGGTGCTACGGCTCGCCCGAGGCTCAGAGGAAGGTCCTCATGGTGGCAGAGTTCTAAGTGGGAGGAAATTCAGCACCGGCATCTGCCCGAGGCAGACCCCAGCGCCAGCCGGCCAGAGAGGGCAGCCGACATCCACAGGTTCCCGGGGTATTGCTGGTGCCCGATCACAACGCCAGGCTCCATGTTCACAGGGTGCTGCAGGGAGCCCGTTCCGGAGAACCCAGCTGTGCAGAGCCGCTCCAGGGTGCTGGCCGGACGCTTGAGAGGCAGGGGCAGGCTGTCACTGTCACGGTATCTGGCACAACCGCAGACACACAGAGCAAGCAGCGGCCAGAGACAGACCCAGGCCGTCTTCTGAAGACTCGGGCCAGGCCGCCGCAGGGACCAGGAGAAGACAGGGTGGGCCGGGGGGCAGCTGGGGAGACTTCCCGCCTGGCCCCATCAGTGACACTGGCCGTAGCAGCCCTCACTTCCTGGTGGCTCCCCGCCCACGCCGGCTCTTCCCCGCCACCGTGGGCGGCAGGGCCCAGCACCCCCACCGTCCTCTCACCGCCACTTGGGGACACTGCGGAGGTTGCAGGCGTTCGGGGGTGGGGGGTCGGCAGGCAGAGCTGGAACCACCCTAGGAACCACCCAGAGACGGGGAGGTCAGGGGCAAGGACGGCACGCAGGGCCACCTCCCTGCGCCCGCCTGGTTCCTGGGGGCTCAGTGCCCTCAGCAGCTCTCGCCCACACCCTACAGTCACAGCTCCAGTCAGTGCCTCCTCAGCAGGCTCGAGTCTGGGTCTGCGCAGCCGCCTGTGGCCTGAGCTCCAGCTGGCCTGTCTGGTTCCTGCCGCCACACGCCCCACTCTGGCTGACGCTCCCTTTGCTGCTCAGACACCCAGACACCCTCGTCATCGCCTTTTTTTTTTTTTTTTGGAAGGAGTCTTGCTCTGTCACCCAGGCTGGACTGCAGTGGCACAATCTCGGCTCACTGCAACCTCCGCCTTCCAGGTTCAAGCAATTCTCCCGCCTCAGCCTCCTAAGTCACTGGGACTACAGGTGCCTGCCACCACGCCTGGCCAATCTTTTGTATTTTTAGTAGGGATGGGGTTTTACCATGTTAGCCAGGCTGGTCTCGAACTCCTGACCTCAGGTGATCCGTCCACCTCAGCCTCCCAAAGCGATGGGACCACAGGCGTGAGCCACCGCGCTCGGCCTCATCACAGCCTTTCATGGGGGCAACTGCTGCCCCTGTGCCGTCGTCGCCTGAGCCCCCGACCGCAAGTGTGGCTCCCCGCTCAGGACACCCTCACGAGTCACCAGGAGAGCGGCCAGGTGCCGGCCACTCTGCACACACGTGCCCACCAGATGCCACGGGGAGCGAATCGCATCACTAAACCCACTTGGCAGGTGAGGAGACTGAGGCCAAGGCTGCCCAGCAGAGAATGACCCAGCTGCGCGGGGCCTCAGCCTGATCCCAGAGCCCAGGACAGCAAAGGAGGCCCGGAACGGCCCAGCTGCCTGGGAGAAGCCCTCGTGGGCAGGCACACAGCCCATGGCAGCCAGTCCCCCCTGCGTCAGAGGCAGGCAGGAGCTTCCCGACAGCCAGCCCAGGTGTCTCAGCAGCAGCAGTGCCGCCCCTGACTCAGCCGCCGGGCAAGCTCCCCAGCGGCAGAGACGCCCCGTTTCGAGGGCACTGGTTGTGGCTGGGGACTTTCCCCATTGCCAGATACGGAGCAGCCGTCCCTCCCCAGAACAAACGCCAGGTGTGCCCATTTCCCAGCATAAAAAATTCGTTTTTGAGACAGCGTCTTGCTTGTCACCCAGGCTGGAGTGCACTGGCACCATCACGGCTCACCGCAGCCTCCACCTCCCAGGCTCAAGCGCTCCTCCCACCACCTCAGCCCCCGCCAGTAGCTGGGACTCCAGGAGTGCAACAACACACCCCACTAATTGTTTTAGTCTTCTGTAGAGACAGGGTCCTGCCACGTACGGAGAAGTTCTGACACTGCCATGCTGTCTACGGGCGCCTTGTTGCGTCCTGCTCCAAAGGCACAAGCAGATGCCCTTGGGATCACCCGCGGGGTGGACACGGGCAGGCCCCCGCAGCCCTCTCTGCAGTTATTTGCTCTTAAGGAATCTACCAACGTCCATGATTAAATATTTGTCAATCACTGTTCCATGCTGGCTCCCTGGCCAGCCTGTAAATTCTGTGAGGGCAAAGACCACAGCGGCCTGTCACCACAGAGTTCCTTTCACTACAGGAAGGCCCTCCCCAGGCCCAGTGACAGTCGGAGGAGGTCAAGGTCCTCCGTGTCCAAGGCCACGGGGCGAGGAAGTGGCTCCACCACACCAGGATCCAGTCCTGTGCGGGCTCTAGGAGCAGCTAAATGTGCAGCCGAGTCAAGGCAGTGTCGGCCCCCCACAGCCACCACTCCAGGCTTCCCAGGGGCTTCCCAGGCCTGTCCCAGGGCTCAAGGGGCTGCAAGGGGCTGCCCTGCAACTCACCCAGGCTGGCGGGCTGTCAGGCAACCAGCCTCTCCTGCCACGGCCAGTGGGGACAGAAAGCTGGAAGAGGCAAGAGCGAGACCCCTGGGAGACAGAGGAGTAAGGCAAGGCTCAGTCTCAGCTCCCCAACCTTCGCCCCACACCCGAGATTTCACTTTATTTGTTCCTCCTGCTGGGGAGGGGAAGCCCTGTGGCTTCAGTAGAGAGGAAACCACACCTCTCTCTTTCCACTCCTGGGCCTGGCCCCGCTCTCCCGCCATGCCCCAACTCTAGCACTCGCTCCTCCTCTGTGACCCAGAGACAGGCGGCTTCTCCTGACTCCCTCCAGCCCCTTCCTGGGTCTCTACTCCCGGGGAACTGCACTGCTTCTGGGGGGCTTGGACTTCTCTTACGGGTCAAAGCGTAGCAACAGCCGGGCGGCTACGTACACAGCACAGTAAATCCTCAATGCCTGCAGCCTCTTCCCCTGGGCACAGGGTGGGGAGTCCAGACCCCTCCACCTCCTGCGGCTGCTCCCCTCAAGCTGGCCAAGCGGCTCCCGACTGAGCCGGCTCTGCCACTTTCCCGCTGAGCCACCACGCGCCTCAGTTTCCCCATCTATAAAGCACGGGTGGCTCGACTAAATCACCACTTTGCACGTCAGCCTGGCGAAGGGCAACACGGGTTAAAAATGCAGACCACCGCCGGGCACGGTGGCTCACACCTGTAATCCCAGCGTTTTGGGAGGCTGAGCCAGAAGAATCGCTTGAGCCCAGGAGTTCAAGACCAGCCTGGGCAACACAGGGAGACCCCATTCCTAAAAATAATATTAGAAATGCAGACTGCTGAGCGCATTCCACACCTACTGACTCCGAAACCCTGGAAAAGGGGCCTGGAAATAGCACCTTCAACGAGCGCTGCTCCCACCTCCCCCAAGGTGACATCAGGTCCGCGTGGGAAACACTGCCCTAAACGAGCAGGAAGTAGCACTCGGCACGCCCAGGCCCAGGGTCCTCTTCGGTGAGGGGCGGCTGTAAACACCTGGAGGAAGGGTGGGCTGCGCAGCCAAGCCCCGGGAGGGGAGGAACGCAGGCTCTGCTCACAAAGCCCCGCCGGCGGGCCGCGGTCGGACCCCGGGACAGTGCCTGGGGCGTTCCGGGCCTGGGCCTGCCTCCAAGGCGGCGGCCAGGGCTCCACGAGGCGAGCCTGCAGCGAGGCGCCGGCGCCCCCAACCACGCGCTCGGCGGGGGTCCCCTGGCGTTATTCTCGGGGTCCGAGCCCCGCCAGGCCCAGCCCCTGCCCCGCGCCGCGCCACCGGGCAATACCCTCTCTCTGCTCGCCGGGCCTCAGTTTCTCCGTTTGCAAAACCAGGCTCACCGGGCTTAGGGATCCCACCTGGGATCCTCGCGGCCTCTCGGGTCGGGAACGCCGCGGATGTGGGGTCACCCGGCCGCGATCCCGCTGCGCCGCTCCGGCCAGGCCCTGCCTCCCGCCCGGGCCTCAGTCTCCCGCATGTACAGGACGGGGTTCGCGCGCGCACCGCCCGGGCTCCCCGCGGATTCAGCCTGGGCCGGCGCTGCCCCGAGCCTCAGTTTTCCCGTCGTGGTCAGCTCGCGCAAGAGGCGGGCGCAAGCGACCCCCACCCCGGCCCCGGCCTTGCCTCAGGCCTGCGGCGCAGACCCTGCCGCCCGCCGCCCCGGCCCGGGCCTCACCGGCAGGCGCGGGACGATCTCCACGGAGCAGCAGTGGCAGAAGTACCGTCCGGGATGCGGCGACGCCTCGGCCATGGCCGCCGCCACCTACTCCGCGCCGCCCGCCCCCCGCGCGGCACCCGCCGCCGGCCGTTTGCTGCTCCCTCGCCGGCCGACGCGCCCGCGCACGCTCACGCACGGCACGCACGGCACGCGGGGCGGAGCGGGGGCGCGGGAGCGGCGAAAGCTGCGTACTCGGCGGGCAGCGGCCCGGGCGACGGTGGCCGCTGAGAGACAAACTAGGCCCGGCCGTTGGGCGGGGCTCCAAGCGGGGGCGGGGCTTCCGGCGGGGGCGGGGCCAAAGCAGGCGGCGGAAGAGACGAGAAGCGGGGCGTGCGCGGGGCGGGGCCGAGGCCCTCCTCCCCTCCCGAAGCTGCCCAGGCCTTCGTGTCCCTCAGTGCTTCCCTACCTCATCGCCGTCTCCCCTCACGGTACTTCAGCCCACTGTCCCCACCGTTCCTGGGGCTCGCCAGGCGCCCTCTCCCCCGCCCGCTGCCCGGTGCAGCGCTCTCCCGACGCCCGCGTGGCTTTCTTCCAGGTCTTTGCTCAAATGTCAGCTTACAAGGTCTTCTCTGCTGCCCTCCTGCTCCGTGGCACTGATTCCCTCCCGATGCACTGTCAGGTCAGCTGCGCAGCAAAGGGATTTTTGGACCCGCAGCAGCGCCTGACACACAGCAGGCATTCCCTCAGCGCTGCGGAATACAGGCAGACCCGGGGCTCAGGGCGCTGTCTGGGCCTCACTGGGACCCGTGGGGTCAGACAGAGGCTGAGGTCTGTGGGTTGTGGCCTTGTTTCCAAGATGCTCCACGGGCTGACGGCCCAGGCGCCTCTCGGGTGCGGAGAAGGCAGGAAACCTAACCCCTGCTTCCAAATTTAATCAGTAGAAACGGTATCATCACCCAGCACAGGCCAGGATCATTTCTGAGGTTAGTTCTGGCCCAATCATGCATGCATTTCTTTTTTCTTTTTTTTTTTGAGACGGAGTCTCACTCTGTCACCCAGGCTGGGGTGCAATGGCCCGATCTCGGCTCACTGCAACCTCCGCCTGCCGAGGGTTCAAGCGATTCTCCCGCCTCAGCCTCTCGAGTAGCTAGGACTAGAGGCACCCGCCACCACACCGGCTAATTTTTGTATTTTTAGTAGAAACGGGGTTTCACTATATTTGGCCAGGCTGGTCTTGAACTCCTGACCTCGTGATCCGCCCGCCTCGGCCTCCCAAAGTGCTGGGATTACAGGCATGAGCCACCGCGCCCGGCCTCATGCGTGTATTTCTTTCTTCACTCAACACTCATTGAGCAACTACTGCACACCAGACCCTATGCTGAATGCACGCAGATACCCCCAGTCCCATGAGATTGGACAGGAGCGTGGAACTCAAGGGTGACTCTGGCTCTGCCTGGGGAAAGAGAGAGAGGGCTTCCGAGGGGTAAGGACATTGGAACCAGGGCTGAGGGATGAATAGGATTTGGTTGGAGTTGGACTTCCTGCAAAATGAGGCATTGGAGCGAGACTGTTGAGGAATTAAGAGTTGGAGCCTGTGCATTTAGATTTTTTGTTTGTTTGTTTGTTTTTTAGAGATGGAGTCTGGCTCTGTTGCCCAGGCTGCAGTGCAATGGCGCAATCTCGGTTCACTGTAACCTCCGCCTCCCGGGTTCAAGTGATTCTCCTGCCTCAGGCTCCCGAGTTGCTGGGATTACAGGCTGGGCACCACCACGCCCGCCTAATTTTTGTATTTTTAGTAGACGGGGTTTCACTATGTTGGCCAGGCTGGTCTCAAACTCCTGACCTCAGGTGATCCGCCCGCCTCGGCCTGCCATAGTGCTGGGATTACAGGCGTAAGCCACCGCGCCCGGCCTGCATTTAGGGTTTTGAATGTCCAGAGGTTGGGGACAGGGGCTTCAGCCTCCTTCCAGTCGTCTTTGCAGCAGCGCGAATCCAGTCATTCCTGCTCTGACCACCAGAGAGCGCACGGGCCCCGTCCCTGGGAATCCAGGAAAACCCCAGGCTGGGGAGGGGCGAGGCTTGCCAGACGCAGCCCCTGCACCAGCCTTCACGCTCCGCAAGTGCAGGAGGAGCAGCAGGCCTGGTTCAAACGACGCCAAACCACGAACTGGCTGTGTGTCCCTAGGCAAGTGGCCTAACCTCTGAGAAGGCGGCAGAACCTGACGGTTTTCCGTTGGCTCGGAGCAGACATGAGGACCGCTGGCACCTCCTCAGCCCTCTCTGTGCTCTGCTGCCTGCCCCGAGTCACCTGCCCCTCGCTGACCCCTCCCCAGCCTCACTGGCCCCCTTGGGTGGGCTAAGCAGGTTCCCACCTCTGGGCCTTGCAAGGCTGTGCCCTTCCCCAAGTCCCCTCTCCTTCCCCTGCTTTTTTTTTTTTTTTTTTTTTTTTTTGAGATGGAGTCTCACTCTGTTGCCCAGGCTGGAGTGCAATGGTGCGATCTCAGCTCACTGCAACCTCCGCCTCCAGGGGTCAAGCGATTCTCCTGCCTCAGCCTCCCGAGTAGCTGGGATCACAGGCATGCGCCACCACGCCCGGCTAATTTTTGTATTTTTAGTAGAGCTGGGGTTTCGCCATGTTGGCCAGGCTGGTCTCGAACTCCTGACCTCAGGTGATCCGCCCACCTCGGCGTCCCAAAGTGCTGGGATGACAGGCGTGAGCCACCGCGCCCGGCCCTTTCCCCTGGTTTTTAGGAGGCTGCCCCATCCACCACTGCACCCCACTTCTCAGAGCCCCCTTTCCATCCCCCACAGCCATCCTCACATCTGTGGGTTATTAATGGCGTCTCCCCATATGTGAGGCCAATACCCAGCGCACCAGTAGGTGTTCAGTAGATTCCCAAATGCACCAACAGTTGCCGAGTGTCTACTGTGTGCTGGGCTCAAGCAGGTGCTGGAAACACAGTGGGAATGAGAAGGAACGTAGGGATTTTGTATCAAACTAAGCAGGGCGAGGTGGCTCACGCCTGAGACCAGGAGTTCAAAACCATCCTGAGCAACATAGTGAGACCCTGTCTCTACAAAAATAGAATTAGGCCGGGGACAGTGGCTCATGCCTGTAATCCCAGCACCTTGAGAGGCTGAGGCAGGAGGATCACTTGAGTCCAGGAGTTGAAGACCAGCCTGGGCTACATGGTGAAACCGTGTCTCTACTAAAAATACAAAAATTAGCCAGGTGTGGTGGCGGGCACCTGTGATCCCACCTACTCAGGAGGCTGAGACAGAAGGATCACTTGAGCAGGAGGCAGAGGTTGCAGTGAGCTGAGATCGGACCACTGCACTCCAGCCTGGGCCACAGATGGAGACCCCATCTTTTTTGTTTTGTTTTGTTTTGTTTTGTTTTGTTTGAGATGGGTCTCCCTCTGCCGCCCAGGCTGGAGTGCAGTGGCATGATCTGGGCTCACTGCAAATTCTGCCTCCTAGGATCAAGCGATTATCCTGGCTCAGCCTCCCAAGTAGCTGGGATTACAGGCATGTGCCACCACGCCCGGCTAATTTTTGTCCTTCTAGTAGAGACGGAGTTTCTCCATGTTAAGTAGGCTGGTCTCCAACTCCTGACCTCAGGTGATCCGCCCACCTCAGCCTCCCAAAGTGCTGGGATCACAGGCGTGAGGCTAATCGTTTTAAATTTTTATTTTGTAGAGATAGGATCTGGCTATGTTGCCCAGAGTGATCTCCAACTCCTGGGCTCACGGGATCCTCCCACCTTGGCCTCCCAAAGTGTGGGGATCACAGGTGTGAGCCAGAGTGCCCGGCCACCCCTTTATCCCAAACACACCAAAAAGCAGGCTGCTCTTCCCTGAAGGCAGTAGCACATTGATCAAATCGGCCAGTGGGCACTGACACTGCTGCACACAAATGCACACACTTGCACCCTGCCCCAGGCCCCACCGGCCACCCTGGTTCCACAGACGGCACCGTTTCTCCCATTTCCTCTCACCAGGGACCTCGACAGGTGTGGGCTTGGTTCCGTGAGCTCTCTTAGCCCCTTTTTCAATTCAGGATCCCGTCCCCGTGAACCCTGGGGGCCTCGGCAAACATGAGACGAGAGGACTCCTAAAGGAATGACACGCGCCACTCCCTCCGGGGCAGAGAGGTGTGTTGACAGCTCATTCTCACGTCCCAGGCAGACCAAGCCCAGGTGGACCACGTCCCAGGCAGACCAAGCCCAGGTGGACCACGTCCCAGGCAGACCAAGCCCAGGCGGACCACGTCCCAGGCGGACCACGTCCCAGGCGGACCACGTCCCAGGCGGACCAAGCCCAGGCGGACCACGTCCCAGGCGGACCACGTCCCAGGCGGACCAAGCCCAGGTGGACCACGTCCCAGGCGGACCACGTCCCAGGCGGACCAAGCCCAGGTGGACCACGTCCCAGGCGGACCATGTCCCAGGCAGACCACGTCCCAGGCAGACCAAGCCCAGGCGGACCACGTCCCAGGCAGACCACGTCCCAGGCGGACCAAGCCCAGGTGGACCACGTCCCAGGCAGACCAAGCCCAGGCAGACCACGTCCCAGGTAGACCTAGTGGTTGTGTATTCACTTCTCCCAACCCCCCTGGGAAGAAATAACTGCAGCTGGCCCCATTGCACCAATGAGGAAACTGAGGCCCAGGGAGGAAGCCGATTGCCTGAGGCGGCAGCTTTGGGACTGGACTGTGGCTGCCTCCTGAGGAAGGAAACAGTTCCTCCCTCCACCCTCATCCTGGCAGGGGTTGGGCCACCGTTGCTTCATCAAGTGTCGTGGAGCCTCCGCTCTGTGCCAGGAGCGGGGCCTGTGCCACAAACGTCTGCTGAAACCAGCCATCCACCCAACAGTATCGAGCACCATGATCGGAAGAGTAAAGGCCCCAAACTGGGCCAGGGGCGGTGGCTCATTCCCGTAATCCCAGCACTTTGGAAGGCTGAGGCGGGTGGATCATTTGAGGTCAGGAGTTCGAGGCTAGTCTGGCCAAAATGGTGAAACCCATCTCTACTAACAAAAAAAAAAAAAAAAAAAAAAAAATGGCCGGGTGCAGTGGCTCATGCCTGTAATCCCAGCACTTTGGAAGGCCGAGGTGGGTGGATCATCTGAAGTTGGGACTTCGAGACCAGCCTGACCAACATGGAGAAACCCTGTCTCTACTAAAAATACAAAGTTAACCAGGCATGGTAGCAGGCATCTGTAATCCCAGCTACTCGGGAGGCTGAGGCAGGGGAATCGCTTGAATCTGGGAGGCAGAAGTTGCAGTGAGCCAAGATCTTGCCATTTCACTCCTGCCTAGGCAACAAGAGCAAAACTCCATCTTGTTAAAAAAAAAAAACTAGCCGGGCATGGTGGTGCCTGCCTGTAATCCCAGGTACTCGGGAGGCTGAGGCATGAAAATCACTTGAACCCGGGAGCAGAGGTTGCAGTAAGCTGAGATTGCACCACTCCACTCCAGCCTGAGAGACAGAGTGAGTGAGAGACTTCACCTCAAAATAAATAAATAAAGTCCCCAAACACACTTGATTTTAGCCCAGCAAGACTCATGTCTGTTGCGGGAAGTCAGGGACCCCGAACGGAGGGACCGCCTGGAGCTGTGGCAGAGGAACATAAATTGTGAAGATTTCATTTTAATATGGACATTTATCAGTTCCCAAATTAATACTTTTATAATTTCTTACGCCTGTCTTACTCTCATCTCTTAATCCTGTTATCTTCGTAAGCTGAGGATGTATGTCACCTCAGGACCACCGTGATAATTGTGTTAACTGTACAAATTGATTGTAAAACGTGTGTTTGAACAATATGAAATCAGTGCACCTTGAGAAAAAACAGAATAACAGCGATTTTAGGGAACAAGGGAAGACAACCATAAGGTCTGACTGCCTGCAGGGTCAGGCAAAAAAAGCCATATTTTTCTTCTTGCAGAGAGCCTATAAAAGGACATGCAAGTAGGGAGGATATCGCTAAATTCTTTTCCTAGCAAGCAATATTAATATTAATACCCTGGGAAAGGAATGCATTCCTGGGGAGAGGTCTATAAACAGCTGCTCTGGGAATGTCTGTCTTACGTGGTTGAGATAAGGACTGAGATACGCCCTGATCTCCTGCAGTACCCTCAGGCTTACTACGGTGGGGAAAAACTCCACCCTGGTGAATTTGTGGTCAGACGTTTCCCTATTTTTTGTTCAAGATGTTTATCAAGATAATACGTGCACCGCTGAACATGGACCCTTATCAGTAGTTCTGTGTTGCCTTTTCTCCTGTTCCCTCAGAAGCAAGTGATCTTTGTTCTGTTTTTTGCCCTTTGAAGCATGAGCTCTACTCCATGTTCTCACACCCCCTCCCCTCTTGAAACCCTTAATAAAAAACTTGCTGGTTTAAGGCTCAGGGGGCAGCACGATCCTACCGACATGCGACGTCACCCCCCGGCGGCCCAGCTGTAAAATTCCTCTCTTTGTACTCTTCCTCTTTATTTCTCAGCCAGCCGACACTTATGGAAAATAGAAAGAATTTATATTGAAATATGGGGGGAATGGGTCCCCCCGATACATGTCAGATTTCTTTTATTTATTTATTTATTTATTTATTTATTTATTTATTGAGATGGAGTCTCACTCTGTCGCCCAGGCTGGAGTGCAGTGGTGCCATCTCGGCTCACTGCAAGCTCCGCCTCCCGGGTTCACGCCATTCTCCTGCCTCAGCCTCCCGAGTAGCTGGGACTACAGGCGCCCGCCACCATGCCCGGCTAATTTTTTGCATTTTTAGTAGAGACGGGGTTTCACCGTGTTAGCCAGGATGGTCACGATCTCCTGACCTCGTGATCCACCCGCCTCCACCTCCCGAAGTGCTGGGATTACAGGCGTGAGCCACCTCACCTGGCCTTATTTATTTATTTTTTTTGAGACGGGGGTCTCGCTCTGTTGTCCAGGCTGGAGTGCAGTGGTGCGAACTCGGCTCACCAAAACCTCTGCCCTCCAGGTTCGAGCAATTCTCCTGCCTGAGCCTCCTGAGTGGCTGGGACTACAGGCACCCGGCACCACACCCAGCTAATTTTTGTATTTTTAATAGAGATGGGGTTTCACCATGTTGGCCAGACTGGTCTCAAACTCCTGACCTTAAGTGATCTGCCTACCTCAGCCTCCCAAAGTGCAGGAATTACAGGCGTGAGCCACTGCGCCCAGCTGTTTTGTTTTTTGAGATGAAGTCTCACTGTCACCCAGGCTGGAGTGCAGTGGCGCGATCTTGGCTCACTGCAGCCTCCGCTTCCTGGGTTCAAGTGATTCTCCTGCTTCAGCTTCCCGAGTAGCTGGGATTACAGGAGTGTGCCACCTCGCCCGGCTAATTTTTTTTGTATTTTTAGTAGAGACGGGGTTTCACCATGTTGGCCAGGCTGGTCTCAAACTCCTGACCTCAAATGATCTGCCCGCCGCAGCCTCCCAAAGTGCTGGGATTACAGATGTGAGCCGTGGCACTTGGCCAGTGGGGTTGCTTTAGGGCCCAGCTCACACCGCACCCGGCTGATGGGGTTGTTTTAGGGCCCAGCTCACTTCCCAGTGTTCCCACACCGCCCACCAGGCCAGGCCTTCAGGCCTGAGCCATGTTATCAGCATCACAGGCTCCGGAGTCCAGCAAGTCTTTGCCTCCTGGAGCCCAGGGGTTGGCAAGTTCTAGCTCAGAGGCTGCAGACAATAGACAGTAAGCCAATGCCAAGTATCTTTGGGCTCAGGAAGGTGGGACCGGGTGTCCCTGACTGTTCTGTACCAAGCCACAACCCGCTTCCCATCCTGGAGGCCGAAGGTGGTACCGCAGGGTGAGCTCCCTAGAGCCCCACAGAACACGCTGCTCTGGGTCCTAAAGGCTCTCCTTGCATGAATGCAAACCTGCTGACTACAAAGATGGTTATTATTATCAGCTCCAAGGTACAGAAACTCGGTTTAAACTGGCTTCATCTCCCTGCGGAGGAGGAGTTCAGGCACAGCTGGATCCAGGGACCTCCAATGTCACTGGGAATTGTTGCTGTCCCCTTTGGCTCTGTGGCCCACGGGGCTGGCCTCTCCCTAGCCATCAGAAAGAGCCACCTGCAATTTCAGGCTCACACCTCTCCAGCCCCAGCAGGAAGCAGGTGTCCCTGTCCCTCTCCCAGCAAAATTCCAGGGCCGTTGGCCAGGCGTGGTGGCTCACACCTGTAATCCCCGCACTTTGGGAGGCCGAGGCCGGCGGATCATGAGGTCAGGAGTTCGAGACCAGCCTGGCCAATATGGTGAAACCCTGTCTCTACTAAAAATACAAAAATTAGCCAGGCGTGGTGGTGGGCGCCTATAGTCCCAGCTGCTCGGGAGGCTGAGGCAGGAGAATCGCTTGAACCTGGGAGGCAGAGGTTGCAGTGAGCTGAGATCACGCCACTGCACTCCAGCCTGGGCAACAGAGCAAGACTCCATCTTAAAAAAAAAAAAAAATTCCAGGACTGACTCGTCCTGGTGGTTTTGTGTTTTTTTTGAGACAGAGTCTCACTCTGTCACCCGGGCTGGAGTGCAGTAGTGGGAGCAGAAAGGGGGAACCAGCCCCAGGCTGGCCCTCGTCGTGTGGTCCATGGGAGGCACAGGGGTCCTGGAAGCTTCTGAACCTGGTGCTGACCCTAGTCCTGACTCTGCAGGTCTGTGTGACTCCAAGAAAATCACTTCCCACCCTCCAACCTCATCCCTATAAATGGGGCGCCTGCCTCACAGCCTCCCAGCAAGCAGCAAAGGGGACTCACCATGGTCCCGTTCTGCACGAGCACCCATTGACTGGGTAATTAACAGGAATCTATGCACGCCATGGCCCTACTGTGCGCCTGGCACTGTCCACATCCCACCTGGAACCTCTAACACTGGGGTCTGTGCCCATGTTACAGATAAGAAAACAGGCATAGGCTGGGCACGGTGGTTCACGCCTGTAATCCCAGCAATTTGGGAGGCCAAGGCAGCTGGATCGCCAGAGGTCAGGAGTTCGAGACCAGCCTGGCCAACATGGTGAAACCCATCTCTACTAAAAATACAAAAAATTAGCTGGGTCTGCTGGTGCATGCCTGTAATTCCAGCTACTCAGGAGGCTGAGGCAAGAGAATTGCTTAAACCCGGGAGGCAGAGGTTGCAGTGAGCCGAGATTGCGCCACTGCACTCCAGCCTTGGCAACAAGAGCGAAACTCTGTCTCAAAAAAAAAAAAAAAGAAAGAAAAAGAAAACAGGCCTAGAAGGGTCCCAGGGCCTGGCACACAGTGGGCACCCACGGCTGCTATAACAAATTTGCACAAACTGCCTGGCTTAAAGCAACACACGGGCTGGGCGCAGTGTCTCATGCCTGTAATCCCAGCACTTTGTGAGGCCAAGATGGGCAGATCACCTGAGGTCAGGAGTTTGAGACCAGCCTGACCAACATGGCAAAATCCCGTCACTGCAAAAAAAAAAAAAAAAAGTAGCCGGGTGTGGTGGGAGGCGCCTGTAATCCCACTTAGTCTGGAGGCTGAGGTTGCAGTGAGCCGAGATCGCACCTCTGCACTCCAGCCTGGACAACAGAGTGAGGCCCTGTCTCAAAAAAATAAAAATGGCCAGGCATGGTGGCTCACACCTGTAACCCCAGCACTTTGGGAGGCCAAGGCGGGTGAATCACTGAGGTCAGGAGTTCAAGACCAGCCTGGCCAACATGGCGAAACCGCGTCTCTACTAAGAATACAAAAATTAGCCAGTTGTGGTGGCAGGTGCCTACAATCCCAGCTACTCGTGAGGCTGACGCAGAAGGATTGCTTGAACCCGGGGGCGGAGGTTGCAGTGAGCCGAGATCGCGCCATTGCACTCCAGCCTAAGCAACAGAACGAGACTACGTCTCAAAAAAAAAAAAAAAAAAGTTCCACACGGGTCTGGCTGGGAGAAGATCGAGGTGTTGGCAGAGCTGCATTCCTTCTGGCAGCTCCAGGAGAGAATCTGTTCCGCGCCTTTCCAGGCTCCTAGAGGCCGCCCACATTCCCTGGCTTGAGCCCCCTTCCTCCATCTCCAAATCCCGCAATGGCAGCCAAGTCCTTCTCTTATCCTGTCTCTAACCATAGAGGGCAGGCGTCTCCTTTTTTTTTTTTTTTTTTTTGAGACAGAGTCTCGCTCTGTCACCCAGGCTGCAGTGCAGTGGCACGATCTCGGGTCACTTCAACCTCTGCCTCCCAGGTTCAAGTGATTCTCCTGCCTCAGCCTCCCAAGTAGCTGGGATTACAGGTGCACAATACCAGGCCCACCTAATTTTTTTGTATTTTTAGTAGAGACGGGGTTTTACCATGTTGGCCAGGCTAGTCTCGAACTCCTGACTTCAAGTGATCCTCCTGCCTCGGCCTCCCAAAGTGCTGGGATTACAGGCGCACACCACCAGGCCCACCTAATTTTTTTGTATTTTTAGTAGAGACAGGGTTTTACCATGTTGGCCAGGCTAGTCTCGAACTCCTGACCTCAAGTGATCTGCCTGCCTCGGCCTCCTAATGTGTTGGAGGTTCACAGGTGTGAACCTAATGTGTTGGTGGTTCACAGGTGTGAACCACCGCGCCCGGCCAGGCATCTCCTCTTCTACGGACCCTTCCAGGACAGTGGGCCATCCGTATAACCCAGGATGAACCCCTGTGTGAAAGCCCTCAACTCAGTCCCATCTGCAGAGCCCCTTTGGCCAGGGAGGGTGGGACACCCACGGGTTCTAGGGATGAGGGCCCCATGGTCTCTGGGACCGCCGTTCTGCTGACCACCCCCCACTGCTCTCCCCCTCACTCACAGCACAAGCGTCTGTTTCCAGCGCACACCCCTGCCGCTCCGTCTGACGTTCGAGTCTCAACCTCAACGTCTCTTTCCTCTGGGAAGCCTTCCTCAGTCTCCCCCAGGCCCGGGTCAGGCCTGGGGCACCTTTGCCATCTGGGCATCCTCCGCCACAGAACAACACTGGATTGTCACTGTCTGTTTACCTGTCAGGATGTACCTGGAGGGAGACAGAAGCCTGGGGGGTGAGCAGAGGCCACGAGGAGCCACGGTGGGTGTCTGAGCCAGGGAGAAGTGTTATGGCAGCTGGGGTAGGAAGTGGGCCGCAGGGGCCAGGCTGCGGGCTGGAAGTCCTAGGATGAGCCTCGGGCCTGGATAGGGTGGGGAGAGGGGCAGAGCCGGGAGAGGGGAGGTCATCACTGGGGTCTCAGGAGGAGGCGGCGCTCTGGAAAGGGTCAGTGACCTGTTAGAGGTCACCCTGCACAGAGCCTCTGGGTTAGGGAAGACAGAGCCGGGAGCAGGAGGCCACTGGCAGCTGGCCTCGGTTTCCCCGGAGAGGGCCGGAACCCACGCCAGCCAGACAATGACCCTTTGATTCGCACAGCCCAGGCCGGAGTGGCCAAGCCACGGCGGGGTCAGGTCTTGGCCAAGGTCACACTGTCCAGCCCCCGCACATCCTCAGTGAGAACACAGGGTCCCATCCCTGCCCCACTCCCCAATCCCGGGAGAGTCCCGGGGGAATGCCAGAGGCCAAGGCCAGGTCGAGACGGCGGGGTGTCCCCCGTCAGTGAGAACACAGGGTCCTGTGCCTGCCCCACTCCCCAAGCCGGGGAGATTCCCGGGGGAAATGCCAGAGGCCAAGGCCAGGTCGAGACGGCGGGGTGTCCCCCCTCAGTGAGAACACAGGGTCCCGTCCCTGCCCTGCTCCCCAAGCCGGGGAGATTCCCGGGGGAAATGCCAGAGGCCAAGGCCAGGTCGAGACGGCGGGGTGTCCCCCCTCAGTGAGAATACAGGGTCCCGTCCCTGCCCTGCTCCCCAAGCCGGGGAGATTCCCGGGGGAAATGCCAGAGGCCAAGGCCAGGTCAAGACGGCGGGGTGTCCCCCCTCAGTGCCACTAAGGCAGAACTTGGCCCCTGGCCACTGGCTGCTGGGGGACACAGGCTGGGCAGCTAAGGTGGAGGAAAGGGTACAGGTGTGTCTTCTGTGGGCACAGATCTCACTCAGGCCAGAGAAGGGGCTGTGCCGTGGGGCTGCTGGACACGTCCGTTTCCACCTGCGGGGTGGGCAATGCCGGCACAGCGAGTGGCCAGACACAGGCATGCCCAGCAGACACCCAACCGCTCTCCACCACCTCAACCTTCTGTATTTTCCTGAAAGCATTTACCACTCCTTGAAGTTATAGATTAATTTGTCTCTGCATTTTGTTGTCCAAACCAGGAGCTCGGTGAGGGTGTGATGGGGTCTGCCTTGGTCACCGTGGCACCCCAGCACCCCGCAGGGTCCCTCTGGCCAAAAGAGATGTTCACTGATGCCCTAGAAGCAGGAACAGAGGGGCTCCCCTGCGCTCGCCAAGGGCGCCTGACAAATCTGGAGGCCCCCATGACAGAATCAGCTCCAGAGTAGGAAATGTGTCTGGCTGCACGAAAGCCCCCTCGGGCGCAGCGCCTCCAGGCCCACGCAGATGTCGCTGTCATACATTGTTGGAAACGCCTCTGCTGGAAACAGTGTTTGCTGAATCTTGGAGGGAGAGGAAAAAACCTAGTAAACATTCTTGTTGAGGTGATCTGGGGGAATGTCTGCAAAGGCTTGGAGGGCTGATGGGGCAGAGCTGCCCAGGGGCCCAGGACAAAGGCCAGGCGTGCGCGCGCACACACACACACACACACACACACACACGCAGTGGCCTCCCTGGGGGCCGTGGCTGGGCGAGGCCTGCTGTTGTCCGAGATGCTGGAAGGAGCTGTGTCTCTGGGTCTGTCCCGGCCGCACCCCGTTCTGTCCCACACCCAACCACTCCCCACCCACAGGCCGGCTCCAGCGGCCAGGTGGACGGGTGCGCGGCCCGCGCTGTGAGCAGGGAACCATATCCAGCTGAGGTTTTGGGTGTGTGGGGCGGGTCGGGAACAAGGAGGCCGGGTTGGGGGGCTCAGACCACACTTGGACCATGAAAGTGACCACATGCAAATCACAGAAACGGGATGCAGGGATCCACAGACGTGCTCCTCTTGGGTCCCCGTTACCTCACCGCCACCCCTGAAACTGAAGACCCCCAAACCCACTTTAATTCCTGGAGACGGCCCCTCGATCCACCCAAAAGGCTGCCACCACCTCGAACCCACACCCCTGTCCCGGTTCCGCCCTGGGTCCAGCCACATCTCCCCAAATGCATTCTCTGGCTCCGGAAGGGGACCCGGGCGCTCGCCCCCAACTGCCCCCCGCAGCGGCCGGGCCCGGCGCCTGCCCACCCCGCGCGGGACACGGCCTCGCCCCCGCCACTCCCGCGCCGCGCCCCGCCCCGCGCCCCGCCCCGCCCGCGGCCCGCGGGACCTTTATAGGGAGCGCCGGCCGCGCGCTGGGAAGTCGGTGCCGCTGCCGTCTCTGCGTTCGCCATGCGTCCCGGGGCGCCAGGGCCACTCTGGCCTCTGCCCTGGGGGGCCCTGGCTTGGGCCGTGGGCTTCGTGAGCTCCATGGGCTCGGGGAACCCCGCGCCCGGTGAGTGGGGCGGCCAGAGGGGCGGGCGGGGCGGGCCACCCACGTGGGGCTGCGCGGAATGCGGCCGGGGGGACGTCGGGGGGCGCGGCGGCGGCGGCGGGGGCGAGGGCGGTGTCCGGCGCAAGCTGGAGCCGGGAAGGTCTGAAGGAGGGTCACCAAGAGGTCAGCAGAGCAGAGGTTTCTAATCACAATGACCGCTGACATTTATTGAGCGCTTAGTGTCTACCTCTCCCCTCCCTGAACCTGTGCCATCCCGATAGTGCCGGAGCTCTCTTCATCTCCGTCTTCCAGATGGGGAAACTGAGGCTCAGGGTCACACAGCCTGTAGCAGGCAAAGCCAGGGTTCTAGCCGCGACCGTCCGGGTCGGTCCTGGTGCCGAGAGGTAGTGCTGGGTGTCGGGAGCCAGGCCCTCCAGCTGGGGCTGAGAGCTTTCCCGGGTCCTGGGTAGACGGGGCATGGAGTCTCACACCTGGGACTTGCCGGGAGGTGCCAGGCAGGAGACGGCCCCACTCCTGGCCTCAGTTTCCCCTCCTATGATGGGTGCCAAGGTGCTGCGTTCCACAAGCTGGTCCCTGGCAGTGTCTGTGAACCAGCAAGCGCTCTGGGATGGGGGCTGTGGCCGTTCCTGCCCCCAGGGACGGGGGAAGAAATGGGGGGCTCTCTGGCTCCCCACCCCCCATCCCTGCAGCCCCACCCCACCCCAGCCCTGCGCCAAAGGGAGAGCAGAGCCCCCTCCCCGAAGGCCACGTCCCTGGGGAGACAGTGAGCTCATGCAAGGGGAATGTTCCCAAGTTGGAGTGAGTAAGAGGCGGGCCAGGCGGTGGGGGGGCTGCCAGGCGCGGGGCTCCGCGTGCCCTCGCCCTCGGGTGCTGTCTAGACAGAGGGCAGAGGCGGGAGAAGCGGCTCCAGGGCCTGCTGACCCTGACATGCCCAGTGCCTGGTGTTTGGTGGTGTTTGAGGGGTTGGGCAGGGTGCCAGCCCCTGGCCTGGGGGCTTGGAGGGTACGGGAAGGGACCTCCTGGGGTGGGTGGGGGTTGGTGGTGAGGCTGTGGGGGGGGGCACGTGGAGCTCAGAGGGGAGGAGACATTTCCAGGGTTCTGGAGCCAGGGTGGGGACACCCATGTGGTTTTCTGCCCCTTCTTCCTGGGTGGGGGTAGATCATTCCGTGCGTAACTACTCAGCACCACCTGCATGCATCTGTGGGCGGGCCAGAAGCTGGGTGTCAGGAGTGGCCCAGGAGAGCACCCCGTTCCCCGGCCCGCAGGTGGTGTTTGCTGGCTCCAGCAGGGCCAGGAGGCCACCTGCAGCCTGGTGCTCCAGACTGATGTCACCCGGGCCGAGTGCTGTGCCTCCGGCAACATTGACACCGCCTGGTCCAACCTCACCCACCCGGGGAACAAGATCAACCTCCTCGGCTTCTTGGGCCTTGTCCACTGCCTTCCCTGCAAAGGTGAGACCTCAGGCCAGAAGCAGGGCAGACGTCTCAGCTCAGGACCAGCCACAAACAGTCATGGTGGTCGAGGGCCGAACGTCCAGGGACTGAGCCCGTCACAGGGGTATGTAGGAGGCTGCAGGGGGATCCCAGCCTCAGAGAGGGACTGGGGGGACTTCCCGGTTCCCAGGCTCCAGCCTCTTGCAGCTCAGGACTCAGGAAGAGACCACGTGGCTCCAGCCTTTGCTGGGGCTGAGCTCTCTGCCTGGGTGGCTCTTCCCACCTGGTCGATAAATGTCTGGCTTGCACCTAGCTCCTGGGAAGGTGGGTTTGCCATTCTGGCCTGTGACCCCAAATGTCCACACCAGGGACCTTCACTGCAGACTCCAGGGTCTGCGGTGGGGTTACAGCTGCATGTTTAACAAGCATTTGCCTCGGGACCCTGTTTTGAGAGGATGCCTCCCACATCAGACTAGGGGCTCTTGGTTGGCGAGTGGCACAGAACGAATGAATAAGATTCTCCGCACTGGAGGATGATGGTTTTTTTTTTTTTTTTTTTTTTTTTTCCTGAGATGGAGCCTCGCTCTGTCACCCAGGCTGGAGTGCAGTGGTGCGATTTTGGCTCACTGCAACTTCGGCCTCCGAGGTTCAGGTGATTCTCTTTCCTCGGCCTCCCCAGGGGCTGGGACTGCAGGCGCGCGCCACCACACCTGGCTAATTTTTATGTTTTTGGTAGAGACAGGGTTTCACCACATTGGCCAGGCTGGTCTCAAACTCCTGACCTCAAGTGATCTGCCAGCCTTGGCCTCCCAAAGTGCTGGGATTACAGGCGTGAGCCACCATGCCTGGCCTGTTGGGGCACATCTTGAAGGAGGTGGGCATTAGAGCTGGGGTGTTGGGGGATGTCTAGGAGTTTGCCAGATGGGGCCGGTATGGGAGAGTGGATCAGGAGAGAACATGGCTTGAGGTTAGGTCCTGGTGGGTGGGGTCAGGCAGAGGAGCCAAGGGGAGGCTGAAGCTGAGGGCTGCAGACCCGAAGGCCAGGCTGAGGAACTCTGCTGGCCTCTGAGATGTGATTAATCCCAGATCAGCCTGGCTGGGTGGTCCTGAACTCACTGCCACATACCCCTGCTCCCTCCAGACCCCCCTCTGGCTTCTGGGAGAAGGACAGTCTTCAAAAAGTGCCTGGCCTGGGCATGAGACGGCCCAGGACCCCCCACCCCCAACCTCATCTGGCCCTGGGGACGGAACTCAGGCCCCCTTCCGTTCTCGCTCGCATAAAAGCCACCCTGGCCGAGCATTTCCAGATGTGCCTGTGAGCCGCTGTGCCGGGGCCGCCCAGGTGCGGCCCACATGCCCTGCAAGGGCTGCGTGGCGGGCGCTGGCCATCCCCTAAGGAGTGCCGCACTGCCTTGGAAGTGGGGCTCCCTCGTCAGCCCCACTTTACACACAGAGAAACTGAGGCTGGCACATAAACTCAACAGCTGTGTTCAGAGGCCCTACCAGACCCCCAGATAACAGAAAGGGGGTTGGTCATCTGGGTCCTGGCTGCAGCTTTCAAACTGAGGTGCTTGGGCCCCTGCACTCATAGCTGCGACCCGGCCTCAGTTTCCCCATCTGTAAAATGATGACTTGGGAAGATGCGATAAGCCTAGGAGGCGATGAGCATTCACATTGAAAGCGGGGGCGGGGACCCCAGAGAGAGCTTCCCTAGCAGGACCTCAATATCCCTGTCTGAGCAGCGGGGCTGCGGGGCAGCTCCTGGTTCAGAGGCCTAGGGCTGTGGGGGGCCCCCTCCCCTGGAATCGCTCCCCAGGCCAGGAGGGCCGTCCAGCGCCCCGCCCTCCCCGACGCCTCCTGGGGGAAGGTCCTGGCAGCCCCAGACTCGCGCCTGGCAAGGGCGGAACACCCCAGGCTGACGCAGCTGGGGCCCCTCCGGCCTTCCCAGAAGAGCGCGTGCATCGGGAGCAGACGTCAGCCAGCTGCAAGGAGGAGCGGCCCGGGGCTGCGTAGCTCCGCTGGACCCCGATTCCGGGCAGAGACCCCCCCCCGCCCCGGCCCGCGCGCACCGAGCCCAGCCCCCGCCCCCCAGCGCAGGCGCAGCGCGGACCTCGGCCCCACCGGTCCCGCGCCCGGACCCTGAGCCCTGCCCCTGGGAACCCGAGGGCCCCGACTCCGACTGACCCTGACCTGGGACGGCGCCCCCGCCTCCGCCCTGCAGAAGGGGCGCAGGGAGGGGCCCCGAGGCCTTCGCGCGGCCCCACGCCCGGGACCCTCCCGCGCCCGGCCCCACGCGCGTGTCCTCTGTCCGCAGATTCGTGCGACGGCGTGGAGTGCGGCCCGGGCAAGGCGTGCCGCATGCTGGGGGGCCGCCCGCGCTGCGAGTGCGCGCCCGACTGCTCGGGGCTCCCGGCGCGGCTGCAGGTCTGCGGCTCAGACGGCGCCACCTACCGCGACGAGTGCGAGCTGCGCGCCGCGCGCTGCCGCGGCCACCCGGACCTGAGCGTCATGTACCGGGGCCGCTGCCGCAGTACGTGGGGGCGTGGTCTGTGGAGGGGCGGGGCGGGACCTACCGGACCTGCGCGTCATGTATCGAGGCTGCTGCCGCAGTAGGCGGGGGCGGGGCCTGGGGCGGGACCACCCGGACCTGAGCGTGACGTATCGGGGCTGCTACCGCAATGCGTGAGGGCCAGGCCTGCGGGGGCGGGGCCTGCTGGAGGGGCGGGGCCTGCTGGAGGGGCGGGGCCGCTGCCGCAGTGCGTAGGGGCGGGGCCTCCAGCCCAGGACAGGTCACATGGGTGGCGGTGGGGCCTGAGTAAGGGCGTCTTTATACTTCCGAGGGAGTATCACGGGGTAGGGTCTTTTGTAGGGTTGGGATTTGGAAAATAGTGGGCCTCTGGGGGCTCACACTGGGCAAGAGGTATGTGGCATGGTCAGAGCGGGAGCGTGACTCAGAGAGGGGCTTGTGGGTGTAACCAGAGGGGCATGATGGAACCAGGGGGGTGAGACTGGGTCATGTAAGGGGCGGGGCTCTTGGCTGGGGCGTGGTTCCTGGGTGGAGATGGGCGGGGATTTGTGGGTGGAGTTTGGGTGGGCGGCCCCGCAGTCGCGGAGGGGCGGGGCTTTGGGTAGCATAAGGGGCAGGAGCTCACGAAAGAGGTGTGGCTCCTGGGTACAATGGGAAGGGCAGGGCTTGTGGGTGGAGCCTGAGGGGTGGAATGGAGAGGGGGGCTCACGGGGGGCGGGGGGGTGCTTGTGTCTCCTACCAGAGGGTTTTCGCATCTTGGGGGTTAAGGGTGGGTCTTGGGGCCAAGAGCCCTGCGGGGTTCTCAGCGAGATGTCCCCTGAACTTCCCCTGGCACCCGGCCTGCAGAGTCCTGTGAGCACGTGGTGTGCCCGCGGCCACAGTCGTGCGTCGTGGACCAGACGGGCAGCGCCCACTGCGTGGTGTGTCGAGCGGCGCCCTGCCCTGTGCCCTCCAGCCCCGGCCAGGAGCTTTGCGGCAACAACAACGTCACCTACATCTCCTCGTGCCACATGCGCCAGGCCACCTGCTTCCTGGGCCGCTCCATCGGCGTGCGCCACGCGGGCAGCTGCGCAGGTGCAGACGCAGGGCGGGGGCACAGGCCTGTCCTGGGGGCCGGAGAACCCCCTGCCCTGCGCCCTCAATGCTCTTATCGACCCTTGCAGGCACCCCTGAGGAGCCGCCAGGTGGTGAGTCTGCAGAAGAGGAAGAGAACTTCGTGTGAGCCTGCAGGACAGGCCTGGGCCTGGTGCCCGAGGCCCCCCATCATCCCCTGTTATTTATTGCCACAGCAGAGTCTAATTTATATGCCACGGACACTCCTTAGAGCCCGGATTCGGACCACTTGGGGATCCCAGAACCTCCCTGACGATATCCTGGAAGGACTGAGGAAGGGAGGCCTGGGGGCCGGCTGGTGGGTGGGATAGACCTGCGTTCCGGACACTGAGCGCCTGATTTAGGGCCCTTCTCTAGGATGCCCCAGCCCCTACCCTAAGACCTATTGCCGGGGAGGATTCCACACTTCCGCTCCTTTGGGGATAAACCTATTAATTATTGCTACTATCAAGAGGGCTGGGCATTCTCTGCTGGTAATTCCTGAAGAGGCATGACTGCTTTTCTCAGCCCCAAGCCTCTAGTCTGGGTGTGTACGGAGGGTCTAGCCTGGGTGTGTACGGAGGGTCTAGCCTGGGTGAGTACGGAGGGTCTAGCCTGGGTGAGTACGGAGGGTCTAGCCTGGGTGAGTACGGAGGGTCTAGCCTGGGTGTGTATGGAGGATCTAGCCTGGGTGAGTATGGAGGGTCTAGCCTGGGTGAGTATGGAGGGTCTAGCCTGGGTGTGTATGGAGGGTCTAGCCTGGGTGAGTATGGAGGGTCTAGCCTGGGTGTGTATGGAGGGTCTAGCCTGGGTGAGTATGGAGGGTCTAGCCTGGGTGTGTACGGAGGGTCTAGTCTGAGTGCGTGTGGGGACCTCAGAACACTGTGACCTTAGCCCAGCAAGCCAGGCCCTTCATGAAGGCCAAGAAGGCTGCCACCATTCCCTGCCAGCCCAAGAACTCCAGCTTCCCCACTGCCTCTGTGTGCCCCTTTGCGTCCTGTGAAGGCCATTGAGAAATGCCCAGTGTGCCCCCTGGGAAAGGGCACGGCCTGTGCTCCTGACACGGGCTGTGCTTGGCCACAGAACCACCCAGCGTCTCCCCTGCTGCTGTCCACGTCAGTTCATGAGGCAACGTCGCGTGGTCTCAGACGTGGAGCAGCCAGCGGCAGCTCAGAGCAGGGCACTGTGTCCGGCGGAGCCAAGTCCACTCTGGGGGAGCTCTGGCGGGGACCACGGGCCACTGCTCACCCACTGGCCCCGAGGGGGGTGTAGACGCCAAGACTCACGCATGTGTGACATCCGGAGTCCTGGAGCCGGGTGTCCCAGTGGCACCACTAGGTGCCTGCTGCCTCCACAGTGGGGTTCACACCCAGGGCTCCTTGGTCCCCCACAACCTGCCCCGGCCAGGCCTGCAGACCCAGACTCCAGCCAGACCTGCCTCACCCACCAATGCAGCCGGGGCTGGCGACACCAGCCAGGTGCTGGTCTTGGGCCAGTTCTCCCACGACGGCTCACCCTCCCCTCCATCTGCGTTGATGCTCAGAATCGCCTACCTGTGCCTGCGTGTAAACCACAGCCTCAGACCAGCTATGGGGAGAGGACAACACGGAGGATATCCAGCTTCCCCGGTCTGGGGTGAGGAATGTGGGGAGCTTGGGCATCCTCCTCCAGCCTCCTCCAGCCCCCAGGCAGTGCCTTACCTGTGGTGCCCAGAAAAGTGCCCCTAGGTTGGTGGGTCTACAGGAGCCTCAGCCAGGCAGCCCACCCCACCCTGGGGCCCTGCCTCACCAAGGAAATAAAGACTCAAGCCATTTTGGGGTGTCCAGGCCTCAGTTTGTCTCCTCTCTCAAGGCTTCAGGCCGCCCCCACGGCTGTGGGATGGGCAGCCTGGGGCCTGGGGTGCCGCATGGGTGCTCTGGAGGCACGGGAAGAGAGACCCAGCATTAGTCCTTGGGCAGCCTCTGGCCGCCTCTGGGCCTCAGTGCCTCTCCAGGCAGTGGACAAGCCCGGGAGGGGCTGAGGCAGAGCGGGAGGGGAGGGAGAGAAAGGAGGTCTTTTGGGAGGGCACACAGGATAGACAAGATGGCTTAGGGCAGCCCTAAGACACCAGCTGGCTTGGGACCCAGAAATGGAGGCCCGGTCTTGAATGACTTGGGTGTAACGATAGCAGTAATAAAAATAACAGGATTAGGGCCCGGGTGGGGTAGCTCACCCCTATAATCTCGGCGCTTTGGGAGGCCAAGGCGGGCGGGTCACTTGAGGCCAGGAGTTCCAGACCAGCCTGGGCAACATAGTGAGACCCTCATCTCTACAAAAAAAAAAAAAAAAAAAAAAAAGACCCAGGCATGGTGGCATGCTCCTGTGGTCCCAGCTACTCAGGAGGCGGAGGTGGGAAGATGGCTTGAGCCCAGGATGTCAAGGCTGCAGTGAGCTGTGTTGGCACCACTGCACTCCAGCCTGGGTGACAGAGTGAGACTGTTTCTAAAATAATAATAATAGCATAATTGGCCGGGCGTGGTGGTTCATGCCTGTAATCCCAGCACTTTGGGAGGCCGAGGCAGGTGAATCATGAGGTCAGGAGTTCGAGACCGACCTGGCCAACATGGTGAAACTCCAATCTCGGTGAGCCGAGATCGTGCCACTAAACTCCAGCCTGGGGGACAGAGCAAGACCCCATCTCAAAAAAAAAAAAAAAAAAATTAGCCAGGTGTGGTGTCATGCACCTGTAGTCCCAGCTACTTGGGAGGGTGAGGCAGGAGAATCGCTTGAACCTGGGAGGCAGAGGTTGCAGTGAGCCGAGATCGCACCACTGGACTCCAGCCTGGGTGACGGAGTGAGACTCTGTCTCAAAATAATAATAATAATAATAATAATAACAACAACAACAACAAAAAGGCCCAGCGCGGTGGCTCACCCGCGCCTGTAATCCCAGCACTTTAGGAGGCCAAGGCTAGCGGATCACGAGGTCAAGAGATCGAGACCATCCTGGCCAACATGGTGAAACCCCATCTCTACTAAAAATACAAAAAATTAGCCGGGTGTGGTGGTACATGCCTGTAGTCCCAGCTAGTTGGGAGGCTGAGGCAGGAGAATGGCTTGAACCCAGGGGCAGAGGTTGCAATGAGCCGAGATTGCGCCACTGCACTCCAGCCTGGTGACAGAGTGAGACGTCATCTTAAAAAAATAATAGGCCGGGCGCGGTGGCTCACGCCTGTAATCCCAGCACTCTGGGAGGCCGAGGTGGGTGGATCACGAGATCAGGAGATCGAGACCATCCTGGCTGACACGGTGAAACCCCGTTTCTACTAAAAATACAAAGAATTAGCCGGGTGTGGTGGCGGGCGCCTGTAGTCCCAGCTACTTGGGAGGCTGAAGCGGGAGAATGGTGTGAACCCGGGAGGCGGAACTTGCAGTGAGCCGAGATCGCACCACTGCACTCCAGCCTGGGGGACAGAGCGAGACTCCATCCAAAATAAAAATAAGTAAAGATAAAAAAATAAAATAATAATAAAGAAAATAAAATCTAAAAATAAAAAAATAATAACACAATAACAAACTGTGACAATAACATCACCTGGGACTTGCTGTGCACCCCGCGCTATTCTCTGGTTTTCAGAGGATGACCACGAGGCTTGATGTGTGGCCAGACCCTCTTGGGACTCCTCGGCGCGGCCGGTGCAAGCCCGCCCTGGTGTCCAGCAGCCCCCACGCCCTGCACAGGGAGCTCAGGGCTTCCTGGCCTCCGTTTCCCAGCGGACTCGCCTGCGGTGTGGTTAGGCGGCTGGAGGGAGGTGGAGGAACGGCATTCCAGGTGGGAGGCTGCAGGAGTGTGGGTTGCAGGGGCGCAGGGGTAGACCCAGAGGGGTTCACGGTGGGGGGCATGGGAAGGTGGAAAGGGGCTGCGGACCGAGCCGCGACACGAATGCCGGTGGACCCTGCAGCTGACCGCCCACGGGTGAGGCTGGAAGTCAGTTAACATTTTACTGGGTTTGCTTCTGCCCTTTGCATGTGGAATGGGTGTGCCCCACCGCTGCCCGTCCCACCCCAACCCTGAACATCAGGCTTCCCGTGGGGCCCAGCCACGGAACATTCCAGGCCTGGAGCGGCCATCTCATTTGCATGCCGCAAGGTTGTGGCTCAGGCGGCTTCTCCTGGGGGCCTGGTGGTCCCAGGCAGGGGGCCGGGCTGGGGACTGCTCCGCCGAACCACGTCCCAGATCCAGGCCACAAAGGCGGACACCTGCGTGTACACGTCGGGGGTCTTGGGGTCGCCGCACCAGAGGCCCGAGAAGGAAACGAGGCCGTGAGCCCGGTTCCTGCACACCAGGGGCCCTCCGGAGTCGGCCTGGAGTGAAAGGAGAGGTGAGGTCAGGGCCTCTGGGAGCTGCTGCAGGCACATCTCACCACGGCCCTCCCTGCCTCAGAACCCTCTGTGGCTCCCTACTGCTCTCCAAGGAAAAAGTAAATTCATTTCTCCCCTCCAGGCCCTGAGGACCCAGCCCCCACCCACTTCTCTGCCCTCCCCGCTGAGCCTCCTCAGTGCTCCACGGCCTTTGTATAGCCTGGAGACCTGTTCCTGCCCTGCGCTGGATGCTGCCTGTGTGAACATTCGAGTCTGCAGTGTTTTGGGCAGTGCACAACCTACACAGCTGTACGCGGCAGCCCTCTACTAACAGGTCTCTCTGCCTTGCGTGTGTTTCCTCAGATCTTCTAAGGATTCCTTCAAGTCTCAGCTCAAAGGTGCTCTCCTTGGAGAGGGCTCCCCGTATACTCACCCTAAAATCCCTCATCCTACCCTCCTGCCATCTAGAATCCGCTCTGATACCATCAACTGGATACTAATAGTGTAGCAGTTTTACAGATGGAGAAAAAGAGGCCCAGAGAAATCAAGTGACTTTTCCAAGGTCACGCATCGGGAAAGTGGACAGTCTCATTTCTCCTGGACTCGGGCTGCTGGGCTAAGTGTGTGTCCTGAACCAAGTCGCTCTCTTGCCTGCGGTAAAAGACCCTCCAGGGCCAGTGTCTCCCTTGGCACCTGGGGATTCGTTTATCTGGCAAGGTTTTAGGAGTGGGAGCTGCTTCCTCTCAATCTGTTACTACCCTCTACTGAATACTGCTTGTATAAATACACAAGTGCTTGGCTCTTTGTGCAGTGCGCAACCTGCACAGCTGAACATGGCAGCCCTGCATGACCCTTGCCAACTCCCTGCCTTCCCTGGGCCTCAGCTTCTCCGTCTGGTCCAACATCAATGGGACTCAGTTCCCAAGGCCCTTCCTGGCCCTGACCCTCTCTGTGGGCCTTGGTTTCCCCACACAGTAAGTGGGTGGAGCAGGGAGGGGATCTTACCGAGCAGAAGCCCCGTCTGTGGCTGTCCCCACTGCGGGTGCAGAGCATGGTAAGTGTCAGGTGGCCCTTCCAGGAGCTGTTGCAGACGTCCGGGTCCAGCACTCGGACCTTGGCCTCCATCAGTCCAGGCGGCAGCTCCTCAAAGTCAGACACGAAGCCCCAGCCAGCCACCCGGCACCGTGTCCCCGCTGTGGGGGGCCTGGCCCTTCTCCCTGGCGGCCTCAGCAGCCCCACTGCAGGGCCCAGGACAGCAGAGCCGTTCAGCTGCAGGGAGAGCATGAGTTCAGGCCACTGGGCTCCCTCCCCACCCCCGCTCCTGCCTCAGTTTATCCATGGGACCCCTGGTCCTGCCCTTGTGAAGCAAAATCAATGGCGGCCACCATGAGGCCGGGTCAGGAGGCCCCGTTCCTTCTGCCAACACAGGCCCCTACCCCTCAGGCCTCCAGGGTCACCGTCAGCTGCCCAAAGGGTCTTTCTGTTCTGTTCTTTTCTTTTTTTTGAGATGGAGTCTCGCTCTGTCGCCCAGGCTGGAGTGCAGTGGCACAATCTTGGCTCACTGCAACCTCCACCTGCCAGGTTCAACCGATTTCTCCTGCCTCAGCCTCCCAAGCAGCTGGGATTACAGGCGTGCACCACCACACCTGGCTAATTTTGGTATTTTAGTAGAGACGGGGTTTCACCCTGTTGGCCAGGCTGTTCTCAAACTCCTGACCTCAGGTGATCCACCCACCTCAGCCTCCCAAAGTGCTGGGATTACAGAGTGAGCCGCCGCGCCCAGCCTCAAAGAGTCTTTCAAACTCCATCTCCTTCCTTACTCTAAGCCCTCCCACGGCTCCCGATTGCCCTCAAGACAAAACCTCTTTGCTCACCAGCCAGGGCCTCTGAGGGCTCTCCAGCCTCAGCCTCCCCTTTGGCCAGGCAGGATGAATTTACAGCTACTCCCTGGGCCTGCCACACACCTCCCCTCACACCAGACCCCCAGCCTGAAACACTTTTCCTATTCAGCCATCTCAGCATGGATGCCACCTCTTCCAGGAAGTCTTCCCAGACTCCCAGGCTGGCACGTGAGTCTTCTCTGGGCTCCCTGCAGCCTGTTGAGGCCGGTTTACCCAGTGAAGACTGAGTGACACCCCGGGCTCTGTGTGGCCCAGCACCGGGCCTCTGGCCCTGGCCCTGGCAATTGGCACACAGCTGATGCTCAGTTAATGGGCCTGGGAAGGACGGCTCCAATCCCTGTCTCTGGTTCTCTGATTTGTGCGTCTTGGGTTCATTCCTGACATTCTTGATGTCTCGCTCAGCCTCAGTTTCCCCATCTGTGCGATGGCCTCTGGGTGAACCAGCGCTGGTTCCAGGCTTCAGGGTTTCACAGATGAGAAAAATTCACCCAAAAGCTTTGGCTACTGGCACTTGCTCCTCCTCCTTTTTTTTTTGTTTTTTTCAGAGTCTTGCTCTGTTGTCCAGGCTGGAATGCAGTGGCGCAATCTCGGCTCACGGCAACCTCCGCCTCCCGGGTTCAAGCGATTCTCCTGCCTCAGCCTCTGGAATTTAATTTTGGGATGCTGGGTAGAAGCGTCAGGGAAGGGGTCGTCCCTCGAGCAGGAGGGGGCCAGGCGGGTCTGCATGGATGCACCACGTGTGGGAGGAGCAGCTTCCCACCCGGAGGACTCCACCCAGGGACTTTTTTTTTTTTTTCAGATGGAGTCTCACTCTGTCACCCAGGCTGGAGTGCAGTGGCACGATCTCGGCTCACGGCAACCTCTGCCTCCCAGGTTCAAGTGATTCTCCTGCCTCAGCCTCCCGAGTAGCTGGGATGACTGGCACCCACCACCAGGCTCAGCTAATTTTTTTATTTTTAGTAGAGATGGGGTTTCACCACGTTGGCCAGTCTGGTTTCAAACTCCTGACCTCAAATGATCTACCCGCCTCGGCCTCCCAAAGTGCTGGGGTTACAGGTGTGAGCCACCACGCCCGGCCCCACACAGGGACTTTAAGCGTCTCCTCCACACAGGGCAGGGGCCCGAGAGGCACATTCATTCCATTTCAGCATAAACTTTGAGCGCCTGCTGTGTGCCATAAATGGCCATAAAGGTGATAAAAAATCCCTGCCCGTTAGGTTCAGAGGAAGCGGGAATGAGGAAGCGGGTGGTCCAGGGGTTAGCAGGTGACAAGCAGGTGACGACGGGGCCGGAAGGGTGGTCCAGGGGTTAGCAGGTGACGACGGTGCTAGAAGGGTGGTCCAGGGGTTAGCAGGTGACGACGGGGCTGGAAGGGTGGTCCACAGGTTAGCAGGTGACGACGGGGTGGTCCAGGGGTTAGCAGGAGATGACGGGGCCGGAAGGGTGGTCCAGGGGTTAGCAGGTGATGACGGGGCTGGAACAGGGTTGCAGGGAGGGGGTATGTGGTCCAGGGCGGCCTCCTGGGAAGGTAACATTTGAGCAAAGACTTGACAGGCGTGAGGGGAAAGGCTCGCGGTGTCTGGGGAACTGGTGCACTGGGTACAGCTGGTGCAGAGCTCGGAGCGGAGACTGTGCTGGGGATGGGATGGCCCATCCGGGAGGTCTGCTGGCCTCGAGTCAGAAAGGTGACAGGCATGGATTAGCAGGGCCTGTGGGCACCAGGAGGATTTGTCCTGCAGGAGGTGGGAGCCACTGGGGGGTCCAGGGCACAGGAGGAATGGGACCTGACGTCCAACTGTCTTTAAAACCTAAGTCAGGCCAGGCGCAGCAGCTCAGGTTTGTAATCCCAGCACTTTGCGGGGCTGAGGCAGGAGGATTGCCTGAGTCCAGGAGGTCAAGACCAGCCTGGGCAACATGGTGAAACCCCGTCTCTACTAAAAATATAAAAATTCGCCTGGCGCAGTGGTACACGCCCGTGATCCCGACACTTTGGGAGACCAAGGTGGGCGGATCACTTGAGGACCGGAGTTAAGACCAGCCTGGCCAACATGGTGAAATCCCATCTCTACTAAAAATACAAAAATTAGCCAGGTGTGGTGGTGGGTGCCTGTGATCCCAGCTACTCGGGAGGCCGAGGCAGGAGAATCGCTTGAACCCGGGAGATGGAGGTTGCAGTGAGCCCTGACTGTGCCACTTTACTCCAGCCCAGGTGCCAAAGTGAGACTCCGTCTCAAAAAATAGGCCAGGATTGGGAGGCAGAGGTGGGCGGATCACGAGGTCAAGAGATCGAGACCATCCTGGCAAACATGGTGAAACCCCATCTCTACTAAAAATACAAAAATTAGCCGGGCGTGGTGGCGGGCGCCTGTAATCCCAGCTACTCGGGGGGCTGAGGCAGGAGAATCGCTTGAACCTGGGAGGCAGAGGCTGCAGTGAGCCGAGATCGTGCTACTGCACTCCAGCCTGGGGACACAGGGAGATACTGTCTGAAAAAAAAAAAAATAGCCCAGGGCTGCTTCTCCTGGAAAACACTAAACGGCGGATGACGTCGGTGCAGTGGGGCGGCCCTGGGATGGGGAACGGCGCTGGCTTCCCCCGAGGCTTCGGCACTGGCTTCCGGGCTGGGGCCGCGGAGCTCACAGAGGCAAGACAGAGGATAAGGAGTAGACGCCTGTCACCAAGCTGGGCCGCCTGGTCAAGGACATAAAGATCATGTCCCTGGAGGAGATCTGTCTCTTCTCCCTGCCCATCAAGGAATCTGAGATCATTGACCTTTTCCTGAGGGCCTCTCTCCAGGACGAGGTTTTGGAGATTATGCCGGTGCAGAAGCAGATCCGCACCGGCCAGCGCACCAGGTTCGAGGCGTCTGTTCCCACCGGGGACTACAATGGCCACGTCGGTCTGGGTGTTGAGTGCTCCAAGGAGGTAGCCACTGCCATCATCGGGGCCGTCATCCTGGCCAAGCTCTCCGTTGTCCCCATGCACAGAGGCTACTGGGGGAACAAGATCGGCAAGCCCTACACCGTCCCTGGCAAGGTGACAGGCCGCTGCGGCTCTGCGCTGGTGTGCCTGATCCCCGTGTCCGGGGCGCTGGCATCGTCTGGGCGCCTGTGCTCAAGAAGCTGCTCATGATGGCTGGTATCGGTGACTGCTACACCTTAGCCAGGGGCTGCACTGCCACCCTGGGCCACTTTGCCAAGGCCGCCTCTGATATCCTCTCTAAGACCTACAGCTGCCTGACCCCTGACCTCTGTATTCCCCAAGTCTCTCTTTCAGGTATTCACTGGCCATCTTGTGAAGACTCACACCAGAGTCTCCGTGCAGACGCCCGGCTCCAGCTGTGGTTACAACATAGGGTTTTATACACGAAAAATAAAGTGAATTAAGCCTGGAAAAAAAAAATGGCCAGGCACGATGGCTCACGCCTGTAATCCCAACACTTTGGGAGGCTGAGGTGGGTGGATCACTGGGTCAGGAGTTCGAGACCAGCCTGGCCAACATAGTGAAACCCCATCTCTACTAAAAACACAAAAAACTAGCCAGGTCTGGTGGCGAGTGCCTGTAATCCCAGCTACTTGGGTGGCTGAGGCAGGAGAATCACTTGAGCCTGGGAGGCGGAGGTTACAGTGAGCCGAGATGGCGCCATTGCACTCCAGCCCCCGTGACAGTTCGAGACTCTGACTCAAAAAAAAAAAAAAAGAAAAGAAAAGAAAAGTAGGCCGGGCTCGGTGGCTCACGCTTGTAATCCCAGCCCTTTGGGAGGCCGAGGCAGGTGGATCATTTGAAGTCAGGAGCTTGAGACCAGCCTGGCCAACATGGTGAAACCCCGTCTCTACTAAAATACAAAAATTAGATGGGCTTGGTGGCGCGCACCTGTAATCCCATGTACTTGAGAGGCTGAGGCAGGAGAATCACTTGAACCCGGGAGGCTGAGGTTGCAGTGAGCCGAGATTGCGCCATTGCCCTCCAGCCCGAGCGACAGAGCGAGAGACTGTCTCAAAAACTAAACATACGTCAGATCCACCCCCGGGGCTCACCCGCAGCAGGCAGATGTCGTTGGCGTGGGTCATGGGGTGGTAGTCGGGGTGTGTGGTGAGAGCATCGATGCCAAACACCTGCTGGGTGGGCTCCGCAGTACTCAGGACGTGGGCGCCCAGCACCACCAGGCCAGTGCGGAGGTCTCTGCAGGGAGGAGGTGGTGGGTGAGACGGGGGTGAGGGCTGCCCGTCCTGGGCCTCGGTCCACTCATCTATGAAACGGAGGCCCAGGCCGGGCACGGTGGCTCACGCCTGTAATCCCAGCACTTTGGGAGGGTGAGGAGGGTGGATCACCTGAGGTCGGGAGTTCAAGACCAGCCTGATCAACATGGAGAAACCCCGTCTCTACTAAAAATACAAAATTAGCCAGGTGTGGTGGCACATGCCTGTCATCCCAGCTACTCGGGAGGCTGAGGCAGGAGAATTGCTTGAGCCTGGGAGGCGGAGGTTGCAGTGAGCTGAGATTGCACCATTGCACTCCAGCCTGAGCGACAGAACAAGACTCCGTCTCAAAAAAACAAAAAAAAAACAATTACTTTTGCATCAACTTAATATTCTTTTCCTTTTTTCTTTTTTTTTTTTTTTGAGACAGAGTCTCACTCTGTCCCCTAGGCTAGAGTGCAATCGAGGCTTACTGCAACCTCTGCCTCCTGGGTTCCAGTGATTCTCCTGCCTCAGCCCTCCAAGCAGCTAAGACTACAGGCGTGCGCCACCACTCCCAGCTAATTTTTGTATTTTCAGTAGAGACAGGGTTTCACCATGTTGGCCAGGCTGGTCTCGAACTCCTGACCTGAAGTGATCCACCTGCCTCGGCCTCCCAAAGTGCTGGGATTACAGGCGTGAGCCACGGTGCCCAGCCCCCAACTTAATATTATGATAATAAATTAATAATTATGTTTATTATTTTTCCTACCTCCAATATAGAATTAACTGCAATAGTTGTGGTATTAATTTGAATCATTATTATAAAAACATATTTAGAATGAAGATAATACTTATTATATTTATTATAAGTTCTATTTCAATTATAATATTAACTACAGTAATTTCAATATTCTCCTTTTTTTATTTCTTTAATTTTTTTTTTTGAGACGGAGTCTCGCTCTGTCACCCAGGCAAGATTGCAGTGGTGCAATCTTGGCTCTCTGCAAGCTCCACCTCCCGGGTTCACGCCATTCTCCTGCCTCAGCCTCCTGAATAGCTGGGACTACAGGCGCCCGCCACCATATCCGGCTAATTTTTTGTATTTTTTTTTAGTAGAGACAGGGTTTCACCGTGTTAGCCAGGACAGTCTCGATCTCCTGACCTCGTGATCCGCCTGCCTCGGCCTCCCAAAGTGCCGGGATTACAGGCGTGAGCCACCGCACCCGGCCTTTTTTTTTTTTTTTTTTTTGAGACAAGGTCTCACTCTGTCACCCAGGCCGCAGTGGTGTGATCACAGCTCACTGCAGCCTCGACCTCCCAGGCTCAAGCGATCCTCCCACAGCAGCCTTTCAAGTAGCTGGGACCACAGAAGCACAGCTCCGGTGCGGAGGACTCTGCGGGGAGGAGGGGGTGGGTGAGATGGGGGTGACGGCTGCCCGTCTGGGCCTCAGTCCACTCATCTATGAAATGGAGGCCCAGTAATCCATTTAATGCTCACGCCGGCCCCGTGATAATATTAGGTTGGTGCAAAAGTAATTGCACGAAAAAAATTAAATGGCAAAAACCACAATTAACTTTTTTTTTTCCGACAGAATCTCACTCTTTCCCCTAGGCTGGAGTGCAGTGGTGCCATCTCGGCTCACTGCCACCTCCACCTCCTGGGTTCAAGTGATTCTCCTACCTCAGCCTCCCGAGTAGCTGGGGATACGTACAGCCACTTGCTACCATGCCCAACTAATTTTCGTATTTTTTTTTTGAGACAGAGTCTCGCTCTGTCCCCCAGGCTGGAGTGCAGTGGCGCGATCTCGGCTCACTGAAAGCGCCGCCTCCCGGGTTCACGCCATTCTCCTGCCTCAGCCTCCTGGGTAGCTGGGACTACAGGCGCCTGCCACCACATCCGGCTAATTTTTTTGTATTTTTAGTAGAGATGGGGTTTCACTGTATTAGCCAGGATGGTCTCGATCTCCTGACCTCGTGATCCTCCTGCCTCGGCCTCCCAAAGTGCTGGGATTACAGGCATGAGCCACCGCACCCAGCCTAATTTTCGTATTTTTAGTAGAGACAGAGTTTCACCATGTTGGCCAGGCTGGTCTCATACTCCTGACCTCAAACAATCCACCGTGTCCCAACGTGAGGGGGACTGCAGGCTGGCGGGGGAGCTGGGGACACTGCAGCCCAGGACCAACCTATCCCGTGCCTGGTGGGGGCTCCTGCAGGAGGGGACCCACCCACCCTGGCCCCAATATACATTTTAATAGTTATTATAACAATATGTTTAAAACGAGGCAGGGCATGGCGGCTCACACCTGCAATCCCAGCACTTTGGGAGGCAGAGGCGGGTGGATCATTTGAAGTCAGGAGTTCGAGACCAGCCTGGCCAACATGGTGAAATCCAGTCTCTACTAAAAATGCAAAAATTAGCCAGGTGTGGTGGTGGGCGCCTGTGATCCCAGCTACTCGGGAAGCTGAGGCAGGAGAATCGCTTGAGCCCGGGAGGTGGAGGTTGCAGTGAGCCGAGATTGCACCGTTGCACTCCAGCCTGGGGAACCGAGACTGCCTCAAAAAAAAAAAAGAACATAGTGACAGTTACAGTAACAGAATATGTACTTGTTGCGCCTGTTGCTTCTTCTGTGCTTCTTTTGCCTCCCTGCCTTATCCTCCTGTTTTCCCTTTGTTGCCCTTTAAATCCAGCCCCTGCTGAGACTCCCCCTCCTGCAGGAGCCACGGCGCCCCCAGCTCCCCCACCAGCCTGGAGTCCCCCTCATGTCGGGATACGGTGTCCAGAAAGAAGGGGCCCGACAGGTGAGCTCACCTGTGGCTGAAGCAGTGGGCGGCCGAGACCACCCAGCGGGCTCGCAGCAGGAAGCCTCCGCAGTGATGTTGGCCCCCGAAGCGCACGGATGCCATGTAGGGCCTGGAGTGGGGGGTCACCTCGTGGCCCCCGATGATCTGGGCCCCCCAGGAGCCTGCTGGAGGGACGGCCTGAGTCAGGGACGAGGCGGGAGGAACGGATGACGGGGCTGGGGTCAGGGCAGGGGGAGAAGTAGCGGCCAAGACAGAGACAGGGGGTGAGATTAGAGACGGAGAGACCCAGAGAGCTGGAGACAGAGCCCAGACAAGCCCCCCAGATGCGCTGGGAGGGGCTCCCGAGCCCGGGAGATCCAGGGCTGGGCTGGGCAGAGACCCCGGCCGGATTTCCATCCATTTCCAGCAGAGGCAGCCACGGGGGCTCGGCAGATGGAGCAGGTGGAGCTCTCCCCAGGGTTCTCCCGGGACTGGGGGTTCCCGGGTGTGGCCCCCGTACGGGGACTTGGCGGGGGCCTGGGTGGGGATCCCGGGGGGCTCCTCACCGGGGGGCTTCACGGGCAGCATCAGGGCGGTGGCCACAGTCAGCAGAGGACGTCCCCAGCCCCTCAACCCGAGCCCCATGGCAGACGCAGGCTGGCGTCTCCCCGCAGAGGTCTTCGGGCCGTGGCTCCCACCCTCAGCCAACGGCCGGAAAGGGGGAGCCTGGCTGTGGCCTGTGGTCGGGAGGCCCCACCAGCAACGCCTGGAGCCCAGGCGGGCGTTTCTGAGAAATCGATGGTCTCAGGTGGTGGCTGGTAATAATCATGTTGATAATAATCATTGTCCCCTAGTCCGGAAACAGGGAGAGGAGGAGACAGCTCTGGGGCTGCAAGTGACCTCGGGAAGGCAATTGACCCTTCTGTGCCTCAGTTTACCCAGCCTCCACGTGGCCCAGCATGTGTGGGGAGCTTTCCGAGGAACCGAGGTCACAGCGGCACTCGAGACCCGCAGCTCGCCTCCGGCCCCCACCCCGCAAACCCCAGTCTTCCCATCTCCAAACCCAGGGCCGACCTCAGGGCTGTGGGGACAGCGAGGAAGGCCGGTCTCCTGGGAAGCTCTGATGATTTCTGCCTTTATTTTATTTTATTTTTATAGGTGGGGTTTTGCTATGTTGCCCAGGCTGGTCTCGAACTCCTGGGCTCCAGCGATCCTCCCTCCTCGGCCTTCCAAAGTGCTGAGATCACAGAAGACAGCCACTGCACCTGGCAGATTTCTGCCTTTATTCAGCAGTTATTGAGTGCCTAGTGTATACCAGACCTCATGCTAGGAGGTGAGGATGAGGCAGTGACCGCACCCCAGCCTGTAGCACTGACGTTCTGTGGGATCCGGAGTCCAGTGGGACATGGCTGTACATGGGGGTCTTCACCTTTTTTTTCTTTTCTTTTTTTTTTTGAGATGGAGTCTTGCTCTTGTTGCCCAGGCTAGAGTGGAATGGCACCATCTCGGCTCACCGCAACCTCTACCTCCCGGGTTCGAGTGATTCTCGTTCCTCAGCCTCCCGAGTAACTGGAACTACAGGCGCCCGCCACCACAGCCGGCTAATTTTGTTTCTGTATTTTTAGTAGAGACGGGGTTTCACCATATTAGCCAGGATGGTCTCGATCTCCTGACCTCATGATCCGCCCGCCTCGGCCTCCCAAAGTGCTGGGATTACAGGCATGAGCCACGGTGCCCGGCCTTTTTTTTTTTTTTTTTTTTTTTGAGAAGGAATCTTGCTCTTGTTGCCCAGGCTAGAGTGCAGTGGCGCGATCTTGGCTCACCGCAACCTCTGTCTCCTGAGTTCAAGGGATTCTCCTTCCTCAGCCTCCTGAGTAACTGGGATTACAGGTGCCCACCACCACGCCCCGCTAAATTTGTGTGTTTAGTAGAGACGGAGTTTCTCCATGTTGGTCAGGCTGGTCTCGAACTCCCGACCTCAGGTGATCCACCTGCCTCAGCCTCCCAAAGTGCTGGGATGACAGGCCTGAGCCACCGCGCCCAGCCCGGCAGGTCTTCACCTTTCAGTGGGAGCGTTCTTAGTGGCAAAGTTCAGGTCGTAAATTGCAGCTCACACAGCCGGGTGATGGCGTTCACGGCAGTGGCTAGCAGTGGGGTGCTCGTCAGCGCTTAATAATGAACAGGCTGGGGCCGGGTGCAGTGGCTCACGCCTATAATCCTAGCACTTTGGGAGGCCGAGGCAGGTGGATCACCTGAGGTCAGGAGTTCAAGACCAGCCTGGCCAACATAGTGAAACCCCGTCTCTACTTAAAGTACCAAAATTAGTCAGGCGTGGTGGCAGGTGCCTGTAATCCCAGCTACTTGGGAGGCTGAGGCAGGAGAATCGCTTGAACCGGGAGGTGGAGGTGGCAGTGAGCCAAGATTGCACCATTGCACTCCAGCCTGGGTGACAGAGCGAGACACCATCTCAAAAAAAAAAAAAAAAAAAAAGTCATCATTGAACGCTCCAGACCTGTGTTTTACCAAATGTAAAGTGTTCTCAATAAAGAATGAAGTGAAATGAAGCAACAGGAAATGCGTGGAAAGGAAGGTATGAAAAGGCCCCACAACGAACTCGGGCTCTGCGAGATGCGGGCGGCCTCTGGAAGCTAAAAAACGGCAGGAAACGAATTTTCTCCTGGAGCCTCCGGGAAAAGCCAGCCCTACCGATGCCCTGACGTTAGCCCAGAAGGGCCTGCAGGGGCTTCTGACCTCCAGCACTGCCAGAGAATAAATTGGTGCCATTTCGTTTATTATTATTATTATTATATTTTCTTGAGATGGAGTCTCGCTCTTTCGCCTAGGCCAGACTGCAGTGGTGCGATCTCGGCTCACTGCAAGCTCCGCCTCCTGGGTTCATGCCATTCTCCTTCCTCAGCCTCCCAAGTAGCTGGGACTACAGGTGCCCGCCACCACGCCCGGCTGATATTTTGTATTTTTAGTAGAGATGGGGTTTCACCACGTTAGCCAGGATGGTCTCAATCTCCTGACCTCGTGATCTGCCTGCCTCAGCCTTTCAAAGTGCTGGGATTACAGGTGTGAGCCACCGCGCCCAGCCTCATTTATTATGTATATATTTATTTTGAGACAGGGAGACAGGGTCTTGCTCTGCCGCCCACGCTGGAGTGCAGCAGTGCAATCAAAGCTCACTGCAGCCTCGACCTCCTAGGCTCAAGCCATCCTCCCACCTCAGCCTCCCAAGTAGCTGGGACCACAGGCACCTGCCACCACCAGGCCCGGCTCATTATTTCATTTTTTGTGGAGACGGGGTTTTGCCATGTTGCCCAGGCTGGTCTTGAACTCCTGGCCTCGAGCAATCCTCCAGCCTCGGCTTCCCGGAGTGCTGGGATTACAGGTGTGAGCCACCATGTCTGGCCCAAGTTGGTATCATTTTAAACCACTACGTTTCTGGGAATTCGTTACAGCAGCTGCAGGAAAGATTTTGGGAAATGGAAAGCTGTTTCCAGGGCCTGGGGACAGGTGGGACCCCAGCTCAGGGTCCGTGTACTTGGGGACCATTTCCTGCTCTGCTGTGGTCTACTGGACCGTCTGGCATCGCTGTGACCGCATGGGCCGTGCTCCATCAATATTGTTTTTTTGTGTGTGGGTGTTTTTTTTTTTTTTTTTAGATGGAGTCTCGATCTGTCGCCAGGCTGGAGTGCAGTGGCGTGATCTCAGCTCACTGCAACCTCAGTGTCCCGGGTTCAAGCGATTCTCCTGCCTCAGCCTCCCCAGTAGCTGGGACTACAGGCGTCTGCCCCCACGCCCGGCCAATTTTTTGTATTTTTAGTGGAGATGGGGTTTCACCATGTTGGCCAGGCTGGTCTTGAACTCCTGACCTCGTGATCCGCCCGCCTTGGCCTCCGAAAATGCTGGGATTACAGGCATGAGCCACTGCGCCCGGCCCTGTTTTTATCTTTTAGAGACAGGGTCTCCTTCTGTCGCCCAGGCTGGAGTGCAGTGGTTTGATCTCGGCTCACTGCATCCTCTGCCTCCTGAGTTCAAGCGATCCTACTGCCTTAGCCTCCCAAGTAGGTGGGATTACAGGTGCCTGCCACCACGCCCGGCTAATTTTTGTGTTTTTTTGTTTTGTTTTGTTTTATTTGTTTGGTAGAGATGGGTTTTGCCATATTGCCCAGGCTGGTCTCAAACTCCTGAGCTCAAGTGATCGGCCTGCCTCGGCCTCCCAAAGTGCTGGGATTACAGGCGTGAGCCATCGCACCCGGCTGTCCGTCAATATTGTCAAACGACTGGACAGCAGGCACTCTGGTCTCCACGGTCGTCGCGTCAGCACGAGTGGGTCCCCTGGACTTGCTCCTACCTCCCCTGCTGCCCTCCGTCGCGGAGCACTGAGGCAGAGACCTGGAAAACGTCCCCAGCTCCACGGGCGTTAGAAGGAGAATTGCCCGAAGCTGCAGGCGTGTGGAACTTTGTTCCCTCACGATGCTGTCCCTGTCCCGGTCGCTGATGGGGACACAGTAGGGAGAGGGTAAGCGCCTTAGCCCTGCCACACAGTGAGGAGCCAGGGGGCCGGGGCTGCTGCCTCAGAGGAGCTCCCACTGCCTCTCGGGACCGATTCTATCCAGAGCTGGGCCATTTCCTTCCCTTTTGGTGAACAGTTGTGAAATAAACAACCGTCCTCCAGCGTCTCAGAAAACCGAGCTCCTGGCAGCCCTGAGGAGGGGGCTGAGTGGGGGTCACTGTTCCCACTTCCCAAACTGAGGCCCAGAGAGGGGAGCCGATTTGTCTGGGGCCACACAGCACAGGGTCTTGACCCATGAGCCGCTGGACTGCGATTCTCCTGGAGGGTCTCTCCATGGCAGATCTGAGCGGCTCTTCAGGAGCTCAGACACCAGCCACTGCAGGGAGTCAACAGCAATGGTGACAACAGCTTCCTTTATTGTATTTAATTTTACATTTTTATTTTATTTATTTTGTTTTTTTGAGACGGAGTCTCGCTCTGTCACCCAGGCTGCAGTGCAGTGGCACCATCTCAGCTCACTGCAAGCTCTGCCTCCCGGGTTCAAGTGATTCTCCTGTCTCAGCCTCCCGAGTAGCTGGGATTACAGGCGCCCACCACCACGCCCAGCTAATTTTTTGTATTTTTAGTAGAGATGGGGTTTCACCATGTTGGCCAGGCTGGTCTTGAACTTCTGATGGCAGGTGATCCACCCGCCTGGGCCTCCCAAAGTGATGGGATGACAGGCGTGAGCCACCGCGCCCGGCCCCTCCCCTGCGAAAAATTGTTTTTCAAGACGAGATGTTGCCTGGTGGCTGAGACTGCAATCACAGCTCACTGCAGCCTCTGCCTCCTGGCTCCGCCTTCCCTGTAGCTGGGACCACAGGCTCACAAAACCACCAGGGTAATTAAAAAAAAAAAAAAAGCTAGACACGGTGGCTCACGCCTGTCATCCCAGCACTTTGGGAGGCTGAGGCGGATGGATCACGAGGTCAGGAGATCGAGACCATCCTGGCTAACACGGTGAAACCCCATCTCTACTAAAAATACAAAAAATTAGCCGGGCACGGTGGCGGGCGTCTGTAGTCCCAGCTACTCGGGAGGCTGAGGCAGGAGAATGGCGAGAACCCGGGAGGCGGAGCTTGCAGTGAGCCGAGATCGCGCCACTGCACTCCAGCCTGGGCGACAGAGTGAGACTCCGTCTCAAGAAAAAAAAAAAAAGTTTTTTTGTAGAGATGGGGTCTCACTATGCCGCCCAGGCTGGCCTCAAACTGACCTCGACTGATCCTCCCACCTTGGCTTCCCAAAGTGCTGGTGTAATAGGCATGAGCCACTGAGCCTGGCCTCACTTTATTTTTATTTTTTTGAGACAGATGCTTTGTCACCCAGGCTGGAGTACAGTGGTGTGATCTCTGCTTACTGCAACCTCTGCCTCCCAGGTTGAAGCGATTCTCCTACCTCAGCCTCCCAAGTAGGTGGGACTACAGGTGTGTGCCACCACACCTGGCTAATTTGTTTTGTATTTTTAGTACGGACAGGATTTCACTGTGTTAGCCAGGATCGTCTCGATCTCCTGACCTTGTGATCTACCTGCCTCGGCCTCCCAAAGTGCTGGGATTACAGGCATGAGCTTCTGTGCCCAGCCTCACTTTATTTTTTAACCCCAATAAATGTATATCCACAGGACATTGCTTCTTCTTTTTTTTTTTTTTTTTTGTTGTTGTTGTTGAGAGGGAGTCTCGCTCTGTCACCCACGCTGGAGAGCAGTGGCGCGATCTTGGCTCTCAGCAACCTTTTCCTCCTGAGTTCAAGAGATTCTCCTACCTCAGTCTCCCAGGTAGCTGGGATTACAGGCATGCGCCACCACGCCCAGCTAATTTTTTTTTTTTTTTTGAGATGGAGTTTCGCTCTTGTTGCCCAGGCTGGAGTGCAGTGGTATGATCTCAGCTCACTGCAAACTCTGCCTCTCGGGTTCAAGCGATTCTCCTGCCTCAGCCTCCTGAGTGGCTGGAATTACAGGCGCCCACCACCACCCCCAGCTAATTTTGTATTTTTAGTAGAGATGGGGTTTCGCCATGTTGGTCAGGCTGGTCTTGAACTCCCAACCTCAGGTGATCTGCCTGCCTTGGCCTCTCAAAGTGCTAGGATTACAGGCGTTGCCAACGCGCCTGATCTTTTTTTGTATTTTTAGCAGAGACAGGTTTTGCCCTGTTAGCCAGGCTGCTCTCGAACTCCTGACCTCAGAGGATCCACCCGCCTCAGCCTCCCAGAATGTTAGGATTACAGGCGTGAGTCCCCGTGCCCGGACCTGCTTCCTATTTCTTGAAATGGAAGATAGCTGCCTTAAGAATACACATTGCACTGGCTGGACGCAGTGGCTTGCGCCTGTAATCCCAGCACTTTGGGAGACTGAGGCAGGCGGATCCCCTGAGGTCAAGAGTTCCAGACCAGCCTGGCTAACATGGCAAAACCCCATCTCTACTAAAAATACAAAACTTAGCTGGGTGCGGTGGTGTGTGCCTGTAATCCCAGCTACTCGGGAGGCTGAGGCAGGAGGATCACTTGAACCTGGGAGGAGGAGGTTACAGTGAGCCAAGATTGCACCGTTGCACTCCAGCCTGGGCGACAGAGTGAGACTCCATCTCAAAAAAAAAAAAAAAAAAAAAAAGAATACACATAGCACAACCCAACACTACCTGCCTTCCAGCCAGACTGGAGAGGGCTGGCTTGGCCGCTACTGGGGGTCCCTGAGCTGTCCAAAGGCCCTGCTCCCCGGAGCTCTCTGGCCTCAGTTTTCCCATCTAGGGAATGGGTTGCCCTGGGGCAATGCCGAGAGTGCTGATGAGAATTCAGCAAGGTTGGCTGGGCACAGTGGCTCACGCCTGTAATCCCAGGACTTTGGGAAGTTGAGGCAGGCGGGTCACCTGGGGTCAGGAGTTCGAGACCAGCCTGGCCAACATGGTGAAACCCCGTCTCTACTAAAAATGCAAAAATTAGCTGGGGGTGGTGGCGGGCACCTGTAATTCCAGCTACCCGGAAGGCTGAGGCAGGAGAACTGTTTGAACCCAGGAGATGCAGGTTGCAGTGAGCTGAGATCGCGCCACTGCACTCCAGCCTGGGTGACAAGAACGAGACTCCGTTGGAAAAAAAAAAAAACAGCAAGGTACTGGATGCGGCATGCTGGTGGGGACTGGGGCCCTGGCGCCCCTTGTAAAGCGCCTGTTTGCCCATCCGTAAGCTGGATCCTGCCCCGTCCTTCCCATGGAAGCCATCACAGTCAGAGAAGAGGGTAGAAGACAGGAAACCATCCATTCATTCACTCAACTCATTCCGTGAGCATTTATTGAGCACCTACTGTGTACAGACAGTGTTGTGGGCCTTGGGGACTCAGCAGTGAAGAAGACAGGCAAGTTCCTGCCCTTGTGGGGCTGACATTCAGCAGAGAGGCAGGAAGGAAACGCTGAACACAACATGTAAATGACATTGTCTGTCAGAAGAATTTAGTGGGAAAGAGAGTGTGGACAGACAAGAGGAATAGCAAACGCCAGGCACGGTGGCTCACGCCTGTAATCCCAGCACTTTGGGAGGTCGAGGCAGGTGAATCACCTAAGGTCAGGAGCTCCAGACCAGTCTGGCCAACACGGTGAAACCTCGTCTCTACTAAAAATACAAAAATTAGCCAGGCATGATGGTGGGCACCTGTAATCCCAGCTACTCAGGAGGCTAAGGTGGAAGGATGGCTTGAACCCAGGAGGTGGAGGTTGCAGTGAGCTGAGGTTGCGCCATTGCCCTCCAGCCTGGGCAACAGAGCAAGACTCTGTCTCAAAAAAAAAAAATTAGCCACGTGTGGTGGTGCACACCTGTAGTCCCAGATACTCAGGAGGCTGAGGTGGGAGGATTACCTGATGGGGGAGGTCGAGGCTGCAGTGAGCCAAGATCACATCACTGCACTCCAGCCTGGGTGGCAGAGTGAGACCCTATCTTATTCAAAAAAATAAAAACAACAAGGGTACCGAGGGCACCCAGTGACAATGGGGAAGCTGGGGAAGTTCTCCCAGAGGAACACACAAGGCGTCTAACAGCAGGTGTCTGGATGGCTGAAGCCCAAGCTGGTTGTGGGGCAAGGAGAGGTGAGCAGGGAAGAGACAGGATTGTCTGGGCTCAGCTTTGCCTTGTGGGGCTGCAGGGCACTGGGGAACCATAGATGGTGTTTGAGCTGGGGCAGGCCAGGGCATATTTCTCTGGTGAAAGAGTGGAGTAGGGAGAGGAGGTGGGGAGACCCGGAGGCGACATGGCTCAGGGTTGGGGTGGGGGCCATAAGGCCTCAGCTAAAGTCATGGCTGGGGAGAGGCGAGGGGGGTCTCTGACTCAGGGACAGGGGAGGAGTGAGGTTTTGGGACCCACCTATAGCTTCCGGTCGTCCAAGGCTCCAGAGGGTGGCCAGATCTGCAAGGAGTGGTGGGGCGTGCTGGGCGGAGCCCCGGGGTAGAGCTCTACGGAAGTAGGAAGGGCAGGGGCGCCCTCAGGGAAACCTCACTCCTCCCCTGTCCCTGAGTCCAGGAAGGGGTCAGGCCAACGTCGCTCTGGAAGCCTGGAGGCGGGGCCGAGGTGCAGGGGCGGGGCCGACATTGCCTGGGAGGCGGGGCTGAGGTGCAGGGGCGGGGCCTACATTGCCTGGGAGGCGGGGCTGAGGTTCAGGGGCGGGGCCGACATTGCCTGGGAGGCGAGGCCGAGGCACAGGGGGCGGGGCCAATGTGCAGGGGCGGGGCCGACATTGCCTGGGATGCAGGGAGGTGGGGCCGATGTCGGGGGCGGGGCCATGGTGCAGGGGGCGGGGTCGGGGCGGGGCCGAGATGGCCTAGGCTGCTGGGAGGCGGGACTAGGGTGCAGGGTGCGAGGCTAGCGGGGTGATGCGGGGGCCGAGATTGCCCAGGAGGCGGGTCCGAGGTTCAGGGGGCGGGGCTAGGGCGCAGGGGGCGGGGCCGACATTGCTTCGGAAGCTGGGAGTGGGGACCGAGGTGCAGGAGGCAGAGCCTCAGTGCAGTGACTGCTCCCCACAGGACGCGGATGGGCGCTGCAGTGCCTGTGGGTGGGTGAGCGCAGTGAGGCGGTGGAAGTGAGGGTGTGAAGGGCAACTCGAGGCAGCTTCTCTCCGGTCCACTACACACCCCACCTTGTCCCACCTCCACACCTTTGCCAGGCCGTTCCGGCCACCTGGAACGTCTCCCTCCACCGTTTGCCCGGCCCATTTCCCCGGTTCAAGTGGCATCACCTCCAGGCCTGTGTGTGCTGGAGTCGGGAGGTGTGGGCGGCGCGAGTTTTTCGTGCAGGGCCTTGAGAGTGGCAGGAGGACTTTAGCTTTTGCTCGGAGGGAGGTGTGAGTCCTGGAGGTTTAGAGCTGGGGCGGTGGGAGAAATGATCCCAGCAGTCCCTTACCCTCCCCACGGCCTCCTCACTTCCTCCTATTTTTACACAAAATGCCTCCACCACCCTTCAAACCCTGAATCTTTTATTTTATTTTATTTTTGAGATAGGGTCTGGCTCTGTCACCCAGGCTGGAGTGCAGTGGTGTCTTCACAGCTCACCGTAGCCTCGATCTCCTGGGTCCAACTGATCCTCCTACCTCAGCCTGTGAGTAACTGGAACTACAGATGCATGATACCTCACCTAGCTAATTTTTTAAAAAAAAATTTGTAGGCTGTGTGCGGTGGCTCACACCTGTAATCCCAGCACTTTGGGAGGCCGAGGCAGGCGGATCAAGAGGTCAGGAGATCGAGACCATCCTGGCTAACACGGTGAAACCCCATCTCTACTAAAAATACAAAAAATAAGCCGGGCGTGGTGTCAGGAGCCTGTAGTCCCAGCTACTCGGGAGGCTGAGACAGGAGAATGGCGTGAACCTGGGAGGTGGAAATTGCAGTGAGCCGAGATCACCCCACTGCACTCCAGCCTGGGCGACAGAGTGAGACTCTGTCTCAAAAAGAAAAATTACATTTAAAAATGTATATATGGCTAATGACTGCTGTACCGAACAAACCAGTCCCCAAAAGCAAATGAAATAACAGCTGCCACCAAGTACCACGGTCACACCTAAAAACCAATTAACACCTCGACAGCTCCTCACGCAGGTTCCGTTTACTCGGGAGTAGGAGCCGGCCACCCGATGCAGGGTCACTATGACCCCCCAAGCCCGTGCCTCGCCCTGTCTCTTCTTCCTCCTTATAATTAAAATCTTGAAGGACCCCGATGGCAGCCTGTCCCACCGCCCTGCCTGGGTCTGGCCCCTGCAGCTTGTGATGCTTCTCAGACCCATTCCCAGCCCTCCGGGGAGTCACAGAGGGGTGAGATCAGACAGAGGTTTGAATCCGGGGGTGGCCTTTCCTTGGATGGAGCAGTATTTAAAAAAAAAATTGGGCCAGGTGCGGTGGCTCATGCCTGTAATCCCAGCACTTTGGGAGGCCCAGCTACTCGGGAGGCTGAGGCAGGAGAATGGCATGAACCCGGGAGGCAGAGCTTGCAGTGAGCCGAGATCGCACCATTGCACTCCAGCCTGGGTGACAGCGAGACTCCGTCTCAAAAAAAAAAAAAAATTTGTAGAGATGGGGTCTTTCTGTGTTGCCCAGACTGGTCTCAAACTCCTGGGCTCAAGTGATCCTCCCTTCTCAGCCTCCCAAAGTGCTGGGATTACAGGTGTGAGCCACTGTGTCTGGCCCTGAATCATTTATTTTATTTTGAGCCAGGTTCTGGCTCTGTTGCCCAGGCTGGAGTGCAGTGGCATGATCACGGCTCACTGTAGCCTCAACCTCCCAGGCTCATGCGATCCTCCCACCTTAGCCTCCCAAGTAACTGGGACCACAGGCACACACCACCGTGCCCAGCTAATTTTTATTTTTTATTTTTTATTTTTTTTGAGATGGAGTTTCGCTCTTGTTGCCCAGGCTGGAGTGCAATTGTGCGATCTCGGCCCACTGCAACCTCCGCCTTCCAGGTTCAAGTGATTCTCCTGCCTCAGCCTCTGGAGTAGCTGGGATTACAGGCATGCACCACCACGCCCGCCTAATTTTGTATTTTTAGTAGAGACGGGGTTTCTCCATGTTGCTCAGGCTGATCTCGAACTCCAGAGCTCAGGTGATCTGCCCACCTCAGCCTCCCAAAGTGCTGGGATTACAGGCGTGAGTCACTGTGCCCGGCCCAATTTTTAATTTTTTGTAGAAATGGAAGTCTCACTAGGTAGCCCAGGGTCTTCACCTCCTGGATTCAAGTGATCCTCCTGCTTCAGTCTCCTGAAGTGTTGGGATTACATGTAACAGTCACTTCATTCACCCTGAATCATTTATGTAGGGGACAAAAATCACCGTCTCTCCAAGGACAGAACTTCTTTTTTGTTTTGTTTTGTTTTGTTTTGTTGAGATGGAGTCTTGTTCTGTCACCCAGGCTGGAGTGCAGTGGCGCGATCTCTGCTCACTGCAACTTCTGCCTCCCGGGTTCCAGCCATTCTCCTGCCTCAGCCTCCCCAGTAGCTGGGATTACAGGCGCGCACCACCATGCCCAGCTAAGTTTTGTATTTTTAGTAGAGAAGGAGTTTCACTGGCCGAGCGTGGTGGCTCACACCTGTAATCCCAGCTACTAGGGAGGCTGAGGCAGGAGAATTGCTTGAACCTGGTAGACGGAGGTTGCAGTGAGCCGAGATCGCGCCATTGCACTCCAGCCTGGGCAACAAGAGCGAAACTCCGTCCACCCCAGCCAAAAAAAGAAGTGGTTTTGCCATGTTGGCCAGGCTGGTCTCTAACTTTTGACCTCATGATCCACCAGCCTCAGCCTCCCAAAGTGCTGGGATTACAGGCGTGAGCCACCGCGCCCGGCCTGGTCTCAAACTTTTGACCTCGTGATCCACCAGCCTCAGCCTCCCAAAGTGCTGGGATTATAGGCGTGAGCCACGGCGCCTGGCCGCAAAAATGGAACTTCTGCATCACAGGTGACTAACGGTGCCAGGCACACAGTAGGTGTTCAATAAATCACTTTGGACTAAAAGAACACAGAGGCCAAGGGGAAGTGAAGAAACGACTCACAGGTCAGTTTTATTGGGTGCCTAGTGCAGGGGTCAGTACACTACGGCCCTCGGATCAGCTCTGGCCCTCTGCCTGTTTTTGTAAATAAAGTTTTATTGGGTGCCTAGTGCAGGGGTCAGTACACTACGGCCCTGGGATAAGCTCTGGCCCACTGCCTGTTTTTGTAAATAAAGTTTTATGGGCACAGAGCCATGCCCATGGTTTTACATATTGTCTCTGGCTACTTTCACTCTGCGATGGCAGAGCAGAGTCATTGCCGCAGAGACTGTGGCCTGCAATGCTGAAAATATTTACTCTCTGGCCCTTTACAGAAAAAGTTTGCCAAACCCTGAGCTAGTGTGTGCTGGGCCCTGTGCCAAGCCCTTTGTGTGTGCTCACTCAGTTAACCCTCCCACAGCCTTAAGGGTGGGGGCAGGGGGGTGGGGGGGAATAAGGCTCCGAGAGGTTGAGAAACAGACCCAGGGTCACACAGCTTGGAGATGGGTGAGCTGGGAATCAGACAGACCCGGGACCCCTGATATTCTTTAGGATCTTAGCTTTGTTAACCTTTGCTAATTTATCTTATTGTCTTAAATGCTAAAATGAATACACATTCATTGTAAAAAGGGAGGAATAAAGAAAAGGTGTTGACGGCCTTCTTCAGCCTGGGGTACATCCTGCCGTATCTTTCTCCACAGCTCATCCGGGGCTACTTTCCTTTAAATCTACAGCCATTCAGCAAACATCGGCAGAGGAGAACCGTTTTATAAGAAAACTAAGAAGTTTGGAAGAATCTTTCCTTCCTGCCCACCCTGGACCCCCATGAGTAGGTGTGCTGGGGCTGGTCTGCAGTGTTCTCACGGGAAACCAGGAAGCTGGGCCCAAGGCCTACATGTTGGGGAAGACAGGTCCTGCCTGTCTCCTGCTGTGGCTCCCCAGTGCTCTGAGGACAAAGCCTGAGCTCTCCCTGATTCTCCACCGTCCCTCTCACTCACTCTGGTCGTCTGGTCGCTGGGCCTTTAGTGAGTGTGCCATGGGGGCCCTGGGGCCGATTAAATTCCAGCCCCGGGGACCAGGCTCAGCTCCCAGCCAGGGCACAGACAGATCAGCACCTGCGGTTGTCTCCACCCCAACCCCCGGCCTTTGCAGGCACAGCGCCCTCCACCAGATACTCCGGCAAAGGAGGCCTGGGGACCCTGCGAGCGGGGCCGGGGGTGCAGGGAGCTGTCAGCTCCTCGCAGCGGCCTCCCCAGGACCCCCCTATCCCCTCGCTCGCCCTGAAATGTGTGTCCCTCTCGGCGTCTGGGCTCTCGAGAAAGGCCTTTGCTTGTCTGACTTCGCGAGGGTCCCGGCTCTGGCCCAGGAGCTGGGGAGGGGCGGGACTTGGTGACAGCCGGGTCCCAGCACCGCGCCCAGACCTAGGCCCTTCTCAGGGGTGCCCCGGGGCGGGGCGCGCGGGGCGGGGGGCGGCGGCGGCGCAGCCGGCAGGAGGCGCAGCGCCCGCTCGCAGCGCGGGGAGGTGGGAGGGGAGCGGGGCGGGGAGCGGGGCGGGCGGGAGGGAGAGGGGAGCGCGCCGGAGACGCGCGCGCCCAGCCCACCCCCCGCGCCCGCCGCCGCCCGGACAATAAACAGCAGCTTTGCGCGGGGCGATGCCCGAGCCGGTGCCGCCGCCCCCGCGCCGCGCAGCCCCGGCCGCCAGGCCTTAGCCCGCCCCGGCCCCCGCCAGGCCGCGTCCCCCTCCCCTCCCCTCCCCCGCGCGCCACCCGCGCCCGCCCCCGCCCGGCACCGCGGACCCACCCGGACCTCGGCGGGGAGATGGAGTGAGTAGGCGCGCTCGGGCCGCGGGGCTGGGGGCCCGGAGCTCCGGGAGCCGGGGAGGGGGGAGGCCCCCTCTCTCGCGCCCCATTGGGGGCGTCGCTGCCCCCGCGAGGAGCAGGAGGCGGCGCGGGGCTGCTGGGGCCGCAGCGCAGCCGGGAAGAGACTCGGGCTGGGCCGCGCCTGCCGGGAGGCCTCCCCGCTCCCGGACCCCGGCTGCCCACCCACCGGCGCGTGGGGACCCGGGCAGCGGCGGCTCGGGCCAGTCCAGGACGCGGGGAGGGGGAGGCTCGCGTCTCCGCCCGCGCCCCGCCCGCGTCTCCAGGGCGAGCCTCGGCTCTCGGCCACCTGTGGGTGGCCCCGGGGAGATGGAGCGACCCCTCCCCAGATTGCACCGGTCCGGCCTCGCGCTCACGCACCCTTCCCCCGCCCCAGTCTGAGCGCACGGCTCCTGGCGCCCTGGACGCGCGCGCGGGCCGGTGCCCCCCACCCCCGCCCTTCCCAAGGGCCTCCAGGGGTGTCCTGAGCCCCCCGCCACTGCGCAGGTCCCGAGTTACCGCTGGAGGGAGAGGGGCTGCCCTCGGCTTCCCGGGTCTCTGGGGTGTGTGAGAAGGGAGAGGAACCGGCGTTTTCCAGCGGGGCGCCTGGGTGGGATACCCTCTCGGGGAAGTGTCTCGGAGCTGGGGCTCCACTGGTGTAGCTACAGGAGTGGGCTGGCCCTGGGCTGGGATCCCTGGACCCCCGCATGGCTGCGCCTGTGTGTGTGGGGGGGGGGTGGCCAGTGGAGGCACCGAGCGAGGGCGCGTGGTCATTTCGGACACCGGTCCCCTCCTCCCGGTGCTCGGGTGCCCCTCTGCCCCTCACTCCCACAGGTGGGCACTGCACGGGCAGGGGTCAGGAGGCTCCTCCTGGGGTCACCCACCTGCCCACTTCAGGACAGGGGAGCCAGCTGCCCTGCTGAGGCCCGGGTCCCCACCCCAGCCCGAGGACCGAAGACCGGATCTGGAGGCCGCCTGTGGCCCCCTGCCCTTCCCACTGGGCGTGTTTTCTAAGCCGCCAACTTTCCCCGGGGATTCACCCGTGACCCGCCACGCCCGCGGCTGGGTGGGGGCCGCTGCCTCCCTCCCTCCCTGGGAAAGCGAGACACCCAGTGTCCTCTGCTTTTGAAAACCCAGACAAAGGCCTGACCCCTCTCCCCGTCACCCCGCCCCGGGAGCTCAGCCAGGGGCTCAGGGGAGCCAGGGCCCAGACTTGCCTGCTCCACACCCCCACCCCCCAGCCTTGTTTATCTGCCCTGCTCGCCAGGCCCCGGAGGAGCCTCTGGGCCTCTGACAGCCAGGCCTGGGCAGGGTGTGGCTGTGGGGAGGGGGCTGCCTAGGAGGACGACGGAGATCTCCCTCCCAGAGGAGGGGTGTCAGCGAACACTCCGGGTCGGGCCCATTGTTTCCTTCCTGCCACCCCTTCCTTTCCCACGGGGGATACTGAGGCCCAGAGAGGAGCTGCTGCCCCCCCCCCACCCCCCCTCCATCACACAGCACCTGGGGCCGGGGGGCCTCGGTGCCTCCTGCTCTGCTCCACGGTTTCTCCGTCCTGGGTCAGAGGGTGGCCCACAGGTCCCCCATTGGGTCATCATTGCTTTTGGGGATGCAGACATGGGACAGGCACCCAGTGTTAACCGGCTGCTGTGAGCCGCCATTCGAGGACGACTCTCTCCCCGGTTCCCGGGCTGACAATGGGTGGGGACAGGCCCATCTGGTGCCGCCCGGCCTTGGACACCTGCCCCCTCGTTCTTCTCCCCGGCGGGCTTCAGGCACGAAGGCCCCGTCCGCTAGAACGTGATCGCTTGCCTCCTCCCGTTTCCACAGATTTTCCAGTCGAAGACACGGGAGCTGGCTGTGGTTTGTGGTGGTGCCCGTCTCGCTGGAAAGTTTCACAAATGAATTTAAGAATTTAAAGAATTTTAAATGTCATTCAAGAACAGGTTATTTTTTGTTAATGTGAGGATTTAAGGAGAACTAGCGGGTTGCTAACCACAGGGCCGATGCTGCCAAGGTGAGGAGAACGTCCAGGAAGGAGCTGGGGAGAATCTCTGCTTCGGAGAGAATCTCTGTGCTCTGGGAGGGTTTGTGTGGCCCCTGCGTGACACATGGTCTGGCTGGTAAAATAAAGATATTTTGGCCTGGAGCAGCCATTCTCCAGCACCCACAGCCCTGTCCTGGGTACAGGCAAGGCTCAAACCCCCGGGATAGGGAGGAGAACAGACTTGGGCCTGGACAGATGGTCAAGACCGGCCCAGACTCCTCCCTGCTCGCAGACCTGGAAATTTTCAATAGGAAAGTCTCCGTTGGGTGCTAACTGGGTCCTTAACGCTCCTTCACACTTGCTAATCCCCCTTTTTAATGAGAGGCAGAGCCTGTTAAAAGGCAACAGTACCTAGTGATAATTGAATTTAATAACAAGCTTTTACTTCCGTTGTATCTGTTTCTTCCTCCATGTTTCCGCTGTCTTGTTTGTGGCGGTGGCTTCTGGTTTGCCCAGTGTTGATCACAATATAATGTTTCTTTCTAAAACAAGGCGATTTGATTTACACTGGAGTGGTTTTGAAGGCAAGGAATAGACAGATACTGTCCAGGAGGTGGCGGAACATGGGAAGGTGGTTTCTTTCTTTTTTCCATGTTGCCCAGGCCAGTCTCGAACTCCTGGGCTCAAGCGACTTCCCTGCCTCAGCCTCCCAAGTAGCTGGGACGACAGCATTGCATGGGAAGGTGGTTTGAGAAGTGCAGGCGTAATTTATTCACTCGGCAACCATTAAGTGGGTACCTGCCTTTTCCACGGCCCTGTTTTGAGTGCTCTGTATGTGTGTGAATTCCTCTGATGCTTTTTTTTTTCTTTTGGAGACAGAGTATCTCTCTGTTGTCCACACTGGAGTGCAGTGCTGCGATCTCCACTCACTGCAACCTCCGCCTCCCGGGTTCAAGCAATTCTCCTACCTCAGCCTCCTGAGTAGCTATGACTACAGGTGCCCGCCACCACGCCCGGCTAATTTTTGTATTTTTAGTAGCGACAGGGTTTCACCAGGTTGCCCAGGCTGGTCTTGAACTCCTGACCTCAGGTGATCCGCCTGCCTCGGCCTCCCCAAAGTGTTGGGATGAAAGGCGTGAGCCACGTGCCTGGCTGACACTTGCCTTTTCCATGGCCCTGTTCCGAATGCTTTATGTGTGAGAACTCCCTTGACCCTTGATCCTTCTTTTTTTTTTTGAGACAGAGTCTTGCTCCATCACCCAGGCAGTGCAGTGGTGTGATCCCGGCTCACTGCAACCTCTGCCTCCTGGGTTCAAGCGGTTCTCCTGCCTCAGCCTCCCGAGTAGCTGGGACTGCAGGCGCCCACCATCACGCCCGGCTAATTTTTTGTGTTTTTGGTAGAGACAGGGTTTCACAGTGTTAGCCAGGATGGTCTCAATCTCCTGACCTTGTGATCCACCTGCCTTGGCCTCCCAAAGTGCTGGGATTACAGGTGTGAGCCGCCATGCCTGGTTTTTTTTTATTGGAGACAGAGTCTCTCTCTGTCACCCAGACTGGAGTGCAGTGGCGCGATCTCGGCTCACTGCAACCTCTGCCTCCTGGGTTCAAGCGATTCTCCTGCCTCAGCCTCCCGAGTAGCTGGGATTACAGGTGCCTGCCACCACGCCCAGCTAATTTTTGTATTTTTAGTAGAGACAAGGTTTCGCCATGTTGGGCAGGCTGGTCTCAAACTCCTGACCTCAGGTGATCCGCCCAGCTGGGCCTCCCAAAATGCTGGCATTACAGGTGTGAGGCACCGTGCACGGCCCACTCCCTTGATCCTTACAGAAGCCCTGCGAGAGAGGGAAACTGAGGTACAGGGTGGTCCAGTGGCACATGTAAGGACACACAGCTGCAGAGGCATGGGTGGGGGGTTTGCTGCTGGGTGGGCCGAGCATGCTCTCTCTAAGCCGCCGGGGACAGGGGAGGGTTTTTGGTACCTGTGTCTGGGGGTTGTGGTCTTGTGGGGCGTGGTGGTCTGGATATCAGACATCCTGGTGTCGGCTTTCAATCCTGGTGTGTTTATTGAGAAACACAGACGGTGGCCTTGTCGGTGGTCTTGGCTCCTGGGGCATCTGCCCTGCCTCTGTGCCCATCCACGCCGTTCTGTGATTTGGGAGAGGAGTGTGGAGAGGGGGTCCTGACTCCCCGTCACACCTTAGCATGTCAGTCTCCTCCGGGCCTCACTGTTCTCATCTGGCGAGTGGGGATGTGACTGCCATCATTAGGGGAGATAGGGGTAGAGGAAGGGCAGGTGCTTTATGGGCCTGGACCCTCTGAGCACCACCCAGTGGGGGCATCTCTGCCTCTGCCCATTAGCCAGGTTCATCCTTAAGGGCCTCAGATTTTGACCCTAGGAAATTGGCTTATGTTCTTTTTGTTTGTTTGTTTGAGACACAGTCTCGCTGTCACCCAGGCTGGAGCACAGCGGTGTGATCTCGGCTTATAGCAACCTCTGCCTCCTGGGTTCACGCGATTCTCATGCCTCAGCCTCCCAAGCCGCTGGGACTACAGGCATGCGCCACTGCGCCTGGCTAATTTTTTGTATATTTTTAGTAGAGACGGGGTTTCACCATGTTGGCCAGGCTGGTCTCGAACTCCTGGCCTCAAGTGATCCGCCTGCCTCAGCTTCCCAAAGTGCTGGGATTACAAGAATGAGCCACCATGCCCAGCCTATGTTCTTTTTTTCTTTCTTTCTTTCTTTTTTTTTTTTTTGAGACAGAGTCTCGCTCTGTCACCCAGGCTGGAGTGCAGTGGGGTGATCTCGGCTCACTGCAACCTCTGCCTCCTGGGTTCAAGCCATTCCCCTGTCTCAGCCTCCCGAGTAGCTGGGACTACAGGTACCCGCCACCACACCCAGCTAATTTTTTTGTATTTTCAGTAGAGATGCGGTTTCACTGTGTTAGCCAGGATGGTCTTGATCTCCTGACCTTGTGATCTACCCTCCTCGGCCTCCCAAAGTGCTGGGATTACAGGCGTGAGCCACCGCGCCCGGCTTGTTGTATATTTTTTAGTAGAGACAGAGTTTCACCATGTTGGCCAGGCTGGTCTTGAACTTCTGGCCTAAAGTGATCCGCCCACCTCGGCTTCCCAAAGTGCTGGGATTACACGCATGAGCCACCGCGCCCAGCCTACGTTCTTTTTTTCTTTCTTTTTTTTTTTTTTTTTTCAGATGGAGTCTCTCTCTGTCGCCCAGGCTGGAGTGCAGTGGCGAGATCTCGGCTCACTGCAAGCTCTGCCTCCCAGGTTCATGCCATTCTCCTGCCTCAGCCTCCCGAGTAGCTGGGACTACAGGCGCCCGCCACCACGCCCGGCTAATTTTTTGTATTTTTAGTAGAGATGGGGTTTCACCATGTTAACCAGGATGGTCTCGATCTCCTGACCTCGTGATCCGCCCACCTCGGCCTCCCAAAGTGCTGGGATTACAGGCGTGAGCCACCGCGCCCAGCCTTCTTTTTTTTAGACTGGGTCTTACTGTGTTGCTCAGGCTGGAGTGCAGAGGTGTGATCATAGCTCACTGCAGCCTCCACGCCCCGGGCTCACGGGATCCTCCACCCAGCCTCTTGAGTAGCTGGGACTACAGGTGCCACCACCACACCCTGCTAATTATTATGTTTTGTTTTGTTTTTGTAGAGACGGGGTCTCCCTGTGTTGCCCAGGCCGGTCTCAAACTCCTGGGCTCAAGCATCCTCCCACCTCAGCCTCCCAAAGCGCTGGGAGTACACACATGTGAGCCACTGCACCCAGCCTGATGTTCTTTAAAAGCATCATATGGGCCGGGTGCAGTGGCTTATGCCTGTAATCCCAGTTCTTTGGAAGGCCGAGGCAGGAGGATCACCTCAGGTCAGGAGTTCGAGACCAGCCTGGCCAACATAGTGAAACCCCATCTCTACTAAAAATACAAAAATTAGCCGGGCGGGCGTGGTGGCGGGTGCCTATAATCCCAGCTACTCGGGAGGCTGAGGCAGGAGAATCGCTTGAACCTGGGAGGCGGAGCTTTCAGTGAGCCGAGATTGCACCACTGCACTCCAGCCTGGGTGACAGACAGAGCGAGACTCCGTCTCAAAAAAAAAAAGCATTATATCACCTTTTTCTGAGTGTGGGCCCCTGTTTCCTCTCATCCTTTCTTGATCTAGGAAACCTGTCATTTGTTTATTGAACAAATAAATGCTCCCTCCTCACCATCCTCGTGCTGTGCGGGATCAGCAGGGTCTGGAAAGCTATGCAGCATCTTCTCTGAGGTGTGAGAAAGGCTTCCTCATCCAGTCCATCATGAACCTTTTCTGAGAAGGATGTTTCAGGGTTCATCCAGGCAGGCAGAAGGATGCACCTTGTGGAAGGACTGGCATGTGCAAAGGGCTAGAGGTGGGAAAGCATTGGAAGAAGAGAATGCTCTTTGGTGTTTGTTCCTGCTAGGCCTTGAGTGCCAGGATGGGGAGTCATGGATAGTGTGTGAGCAGGGGAGGAGCAGTGGCTGACCTGGTCATCAAAAAAGGCGCTGGCAGCTGAGGAGTGAGCCCAGGGAGGAGCAAGTCATGGCCAAGCCTTGATTGTGGCTGCAGGGGCAGCATGCAGAGAAATGGCAGAGCCAGAGGGGGCAGGACCCCACGTCTAGGAGGGCAAACACAGGATTCCAGAACTGCGTGTGGTCAGTGATGCCCACAGGGACGGGGCTCCCTGGCTGGGGAGAAGTAGCCTGGTCCCTGGATACATGAGGGGGTGGAGGGCGTCCTCTAGGAGGATGGCTGCGTGGACGTCTTGGTGTCTGAGGAGTGTAAAATCAGGCCAGAGTGGCTGTCTCCCGCCCCAGGGTTTCAAGCAGAAATTCAGGGACAGTCAGAGCCAGTCACCAGGACAGAGCCTGGACTGGGTGGGAAGAGGGAAGGGGAGCTAGGCCTTGGGATGGGGAAGACTTAGATTAGGGCTGGGCATGGTGGCTCACGCCTGTAATCCCAGCACTTTGGGAGGCCGAGGCGGGCAGATCACCTGAGTTCAGGAGTTCGAGACCAGCCTGGTCAACATGGTGAAACCCCCGTCTCTACCAAAAATACAAAAATTAGCCAGGCATGGTGGCAGGTGCCTGTAATCCCAGCTACTCGGGAGGCTGAGGCAGGAGAATCGCTTGAACCCAGGAGGAGGTTGCAGTGAGCCGAGATTGCGCCACTGCCCTCCAGCCTGGGTGACAGAGCGAGACTCTTTCTCTCAAAAAAAAAAAAAAAGAAAGTTTAGATTAGGACCAGAGTGAGGCCAGCTGAGTGGGAGGCGCTGCATGGTCAACAGACTGGTGGTGGGACAGGGCCAGGCCTGGGAGCCCCTCCTGGGTGGGCAGAGGCTGTGGGCAATGGAGGCAGAGATGCGGGACCCTGAAGGCCGGGGAGGGACAGAGGCCCAGGGTTCTTCAGTAACCCCTGTCAGGGAGCGAGAAGCTGATGTCCTCATCAGTTTGTATTCAAACGCTTCCAGCCATGGAAAGTCTCAGGGCAGGGCCAGCAGGGGTTTCAGCACTCCATGGGGGTTGGGAAGGACCCCAGCCCCTGGCCTGGCTCTTGTTGAGAAGGCTGGCATTCCCATTACACATGCACGTATACACACACGTACACAGGTATGTATACACACGTCTGTATGTATATCATTCTTAACAGCTTCATTAAAATACATTTCACACGCTACACAGTCTGGCTGCTTAAAGTGTACAGCTCAGGCGTTTTTAGTACACTGACAGGGTGTACTTTTTTTTTTTTTGAGACAGAGTCTCTCTGTCACATAGGCTGGAGTGCAGTGACGTAATCCCGGCTCACTGCAACCTCCGCCTCCCGGGTTCAAGTGGTTCTCCTGCCTCAGCCTCCTGAGCAGCGGAGATTACAGGCACGTGCCACCACGCCCGGCTAATTTTTGTGTTTTTAGTAGAGACGGGGTTTCACCATATTGACCAGGATGGTCTCAATCTCTTGACCTTGTGATCCACCTGCCTTGGCCTCCCAAAGTGCTGGGATTACAGGTGTGAGCCACCGCGCCCAGCAGAGTTGTGTATCTTTCACCACAATTGTAGAACATTTTCATCACCCCCAAAACAAGCCCTGTCCCCATTAGGCATCCCCTCCCGTCCCCCTCCCCCCAGCCCTCGGGGAGCCAGTCCCCTTCCTGTCTCTGGATCGGCAGGTCCTGGACATTTCGTAGACATGGGATCACACGCTGCGTGGCCTTCTGTGTCTGGCGTCTCTCACTGAGCGTGATGTCCTCAAGGTGCATCCGCGCCGTGGCCTGGGTCAGAGCCTCGCTCCTGTTCACGGCTGAGTCATGTCCCAGTGCGTGGACGGCCACATTGCGTTTACCCACACATCTGTGGATGGACACCCGGGTTGGTTTATCTGTGAATCTGTAGTTACCCCCCGAGATGGTTGGAGCTTGTGCTCTGTTCACACTGAGGAGTCCGGGTCCTACTTTACATAAGTGTAAGTCGTGACAGTGAGTTTCTTTAAAAAGAAGAGGCAGTGATCAGATGACAGGTGGCCCTGGGAGTGGCGGGAGTGTGAGAAGAGGGGGCCGGGATTGGGGGGACCTCTGGGTGGGGGCTTCCTCTGAAGATGGAAAGACCCTAATCGACTCCCTGGGGCAGCAAGCATTTATTGAGCACCTGCTGTATGCCTGGTGCCAGGGACATGGCAGGGACAAAAATGACACAGTTGCTGTCCTAGTGGGAAGACAAGATCACGCCTGTAATCCCAGCACTTTGGGAGGCTGAGGCGGGCGAACCACCTGAGGTCAGGAGTTCGAGACCAGCCTGGCCAACATGGTGAAACCCCGTCTCTACTAAAAATACGAAAATTAGCCGGGCGTGGTGGCATGTGCCTGTAATCCCAGCTACTCAGGAGGCTGAGGCAGGAGAATCACTTGAACCCAGGAGGCGGAGGTTGCAGCGAGCCGAGATCGCGCCACCGCACTCCAGCCTGGGCAACAGAGGGAGACTCCATCTCAAAAAAAAAGAAAAGAAAAAGATAAGTAAAGTGATCCGGGTGGTGACAGCTGCAGGGGTGCCTGGGGCTGAAAATTAGGACAGAAGAGGCCTAAATGAGGAGGTGACGTCTGCAGAAAGGCCTTGGGCCTGAGGCCCGGGGAGGTCTGGGTGACCGTGCACCAGGCAGCAATGCAGCCAGCACAATGGCCCTGCAGTGGGAGCTCTGTGGGACGTCTCAGGAGTGTGGCTGGAGTGCAGTCGCGTGGGGAGGGACCATGGGGCCTCTGCAGCAGGGTTTGCCCTGAGACCCTGCTGAAAGCCAGGGAAGGCCCCGTTCACGCCTCACTGCCCCGTCTTCCCCTGAGGGCCCGGGCAGGGTCCCTTCCCACCCCAGGTTAATAGGCAACAGGTTTGCTTCTCTGCATCTGTGGCCTGCTTTGACCTCCGTCTTCTCCTCTCCCCCGGGGTGATGCCTCTCTGCCGTAACCCGTTTAGGGTTCTCGGTGCCCCAGAGACTGGGATGGCCCTGGGGGCCTCCGTGCTGCATCCTGGGAGGGCTGGGAGGAGGTTCCTTCCTGGAAGGCTGCCTGGAGGAGGTGGCTGTGCTTGAGCTGATCTTGGCGGTGGAGAAGGGAAAGGGGAAGCTGGGAGCTGATGAAGGGTGAGGGGCTGACATTGGGGCTTGGACTCCGGGGCTTGGAGCAGGGCAGGGCGGTGGAGGAAGCAGGGCCGGGGGTGCCAGCGCTCAGGGGAGACACAGGCTCTGAGGACCGAGGATCACCGGGACTGGGAAGCAGCTGGGGTCCAGACTCCCCGAACTCCATCCCCTGCTGCCCCCGCACCCCACACCTCGCAGCCCCGCGTGACTCCCCCACCCCCCACAATGGCCAAGGTCACCGTCAGCTCTTTCCTTTCAATTAGCAGCAGGAATGTTCCCGGCGCTGGGCTCGGCGCCTGCCCGGGCAGGGACCCCCTCGTTCTGGCTGGAGCTGCCCGGGCGTGGGTTCTGGAAGGACGAGTGCGACGCCCCCATCCCACACACGCCCCTCCCGCCTCGGACAGGGCCCGCCCTGCTCGCTGGGTGACCTTGGCCGTTGCGTAACCTCTCTGGGCCCTTCCAACACCAACGCCCCGCACCGCGGAGGCCTCTGCGGGGCTCCCGTCGGGTTTGGGCCTCATGAACTCATCTCCTGGAGCAGGACTATCTCACGCGCTCCAGACGACGCCCTCGCCGGGCCCCGAGCCGCCCACACCGCCACACGCCGTAAAAAGCATCGCGGGGACGGGAGGCCTGTGCGCGCCGGGGTGGGCGTCGGGCGGGGGGCGTGGCGCTCCAGGGGCTCTGCGCGGCTGCCGGGAGCCAGGGAGGCTCGGAGACCCAGCACCTGCCCCGGGACCCCCAGCACCTGCCCTGGGACCCCCAGCAGCACCAGGACCGCCGCCGCCCTGAGCTTTTCCACGCCTTTGCCCGGGACTCAGCTCCTCCGCCCAGCATGTAAGACCTTTTGTGATCCGACCTCCGCTTCCTTCCGTGACCCCTGCGCCGGGGTCCTGGTCCCAGCCTCGCCGATCACACGGGAATGAGACTCCCCCGCGCCTGGCGGGCCCCGCCCGCAGGAGGATGAACGCCGGGAGAAGGCCGCCCTGCCCGGCCTCAGTTTCCCCGTCGGTGAAATGGGGCTGACCCGGCCGCAGGAGGGAGCGAGCGCTGGGGGAGGCGTTCTCGGTTTGTGGCCGTTTTGATCCGTGCGTCGTGGTCATATTTCGCTTAATTTTTCCAATCTGTGACGTGGAGCGTTCTGTCGGCCTGACCTTGGCTACCCGGCGTCGGGGGCGGGTCCACACCCCTCCCGGATGGAAGCCCCTTCCTGGGCGGGCGCCCCCCGGACGCCCAGACGGGGACCCCCCTCCCCTCCCCCAGCCGCAGCGCGGGGGAGAAATTCCCGACCCCTCCCGCCCGTCTAGGCCGCCCCAGGCCCGAAGCCTCGGCCCCCCCCAATCCCCCCAAGCACAGGCCGGGGGCGGGAGATGCTGCGCCGGCCCCACCCCCGCGCGCCGGGCCTCGGCGTTGCCATGGGGACGGCGCGGTTGCCACGGCGACCGCCTCCCGCGGGCCCCTCCATCCATCACCGGGGCGGCGGCGCCCGGGTCTGGGGAGGGGCGAGGGGGGCGCATCCTGCGTGTCCTGGGGAAAGGCGAGGGGGCGTCCAGGCCCGGGGAGGGGCGAGGGGGGCGCCGGGTCTGGGGAGGGGCGAGGGGGGCGCCGGGTCTGGGGAGGGGCAAGGGGGGCGCATCCTGCGTGTCCTGGGGAAAGGCGAGGGGGCGCCCGGGCCTGGGGAGAGGTGAGGGGGGCGCCGGGTCTGGGGAGGGGCGAGAGGGGCGCCCGGGCCTGGGGAGAGTGAAGGGGGCGCCGGGTCTGGGGAGGGGCGAGGGGGGCGCCGGGTCTGGGGAGGGGCGAGGGGGGCGCCCGTGACTGCGGGGGCCAGGGGGGCGCGTCCTGGGGAGGGGCCTGCGCCCTGGGGCTGCTTCCCGCGCGTTCCCTGCCCGCCCGCCTGACATTCCCCCGCCCTGGCCGGCCGGGCAGGGACAGGCTGCCCCAGACACTACCGCCTTGTCTCCAGCCTGGGAGGCGGCCACACAGCCACACTCTGTCCCCGGGTCCGGTCTGAGCGGCCACCTGCCTGCCGGGTGGGGACCTGGGCAGTCGGCGACCAGCCTGATCCTGGGGCCCAGGAGTTCCGCCGTTTTGTGGACCTCCCGCCCCAGCTCTGCTCCCTCCGGGGTGGCCCCGAGCCCACTTAGAGCTGGAAACCAGGACTGTGGGGTGGCCCGGGGCTGGGCGGTTGTTGTTCCAATCTGGCTGTGCCCAGGGCCACGCTGTGCCCTCCCTGGACGTGGCTTCCAGCCATGGGAAGAAGGTGCCGGGCAGGGGGAACCGTGTGTGAGAGGCCCTGGGGTAGGAGGCTTGGTGCATAGCCAGGGGGCCCTGCAGGAGTAGACCAACGGGGGAAGTGAAGGGGCCGACCTGAGGGTTCCTCTAAGGGCTGATGGGAGCCAGGGAGCCTCTAGAGCTGGAGAGGGACAGGGTCTGATTAATTATTATTATTATTATTGTTATTTTGAGATAGGGTTTCACTCTGTCCCCCAGGCTAGAGTGCGGTGGCACGATCTCGGCTCACTGCAACCTCCACCTCCCGGGTTCAAGTGATCCTCCTGCCTCAGCCTCCCGAGTAGCTGGGATTACAGGCGCCTGGCACCACCCCCAGCTAATTTTTGTATTTTTAGTAGAGACTGGGTTTTGCCTTGTTGGCCAGGATGGTCTCAAACTCCTAACCTCAAGTGACCTGCCCACCTTGGCCTCCCGAAGTGCTAGGATTACAGGCATGAGCCACCGTGCCTGGCCTTCTTTTTTTAATTTTAAAAAAATTTTTTGTTTGTTTGTTTTGTTTTTTGAGACAGAGTTTCTCTCTTGTTGCCCAGGCTGGAGTGCAATGGTATGATCTCGGCTCACCGTGACTTCTGCCTCCCAGGTTCAAGTGATTCTCCTGCCTCAGCCTCCTGAGTAGCTGGGATTACAGGCATGTGCCACCATGCCCGGCTAATTTTTGTATTTTTAGTAGAGATGGGGTTTCTCCATGTTAGTCAGGCTGGTCTCAAACTCCTGACCTCAGGTGATCCACCCGCCTTGGCCTCCCAAAGTGCTGGGATTCCAGGCGTGAGCCACTGCACCTGGCCCATTTTTAAAAATTTTCATTTTTTTAATATATATTTTTTGAGACGGAGTCTCGCTCTGTCGCCCAGGCTGGAGTGCAGTGGCGCAATCTCGGCTCACTGCAAGCTCCGCCTTCCGGGTTCACGCCATTCTCCTGCCTCAGCCTCCCGAGTAGCTGGGACTACAGGCACCCGCCACCACGCCGGGCTAATTTTTTGTGTTTTTAGTAGAGACGGGGTTTCACCGTGTTAGCCAGGATGGTCTCGATCTCCTGACCTCGTGATCCGCCCGCCTCGGCCTCCCAAAGTGCTGGGATTACAGGCGTGAGCCAGCGCACCCGGCCTTAAATTTTTATTTTTGAGACAAAGTCTTGCTCTGTCACCTAGGCTGGAGACAGTGGCACAATCACGGCTCGACCCAGCCTCAACCTCCTGGATTCAAGTGATCCTCCCACCTCAGCCTCCCAAGTAGCTGGGACCACAGGGACATACCACCACACCTGGCTTTTTATTTATTTAGTTAGTTAGTTATTTTTGTAGAGACAGGCTCTTGCTATGTTGCCCAGGCTGGTCTCGAACTCCTGGGCTCAAGCGATCCACTGGCCTTCACCTCCCAAAATGCTGGAATTACAGGCTTGAGCCACCACACCTGGCCTAGGGTCTGATTCTCTTTTTGAGAAGCTGCCTCTGGCTGGCGGGTGGAGAGGGAGCTGTGAGGGGGCAGGGAGTTGGCAGGGAACACTAGAGGCCTGGGCTAGGGTGGGGAACTTGGGGTAGGCAGGAAGCGAGGGCCCGGGCCTCAAGGGAACGCACAGTGGATGGTTCACTGCCTGCATCACCCGTTGCTGGGGCTGACCGAGAACTCCAGCTGAGCTGGCTATTCAGGAAGGGCCCCCAAGCCAGAAAGCTGGATCAAGCCTTTCCTGAACCCCACCCGGTGAAGGCAGCTGAACCCAGCCTCCCTGAGGAGGGAGAAGGGAAAGCCACAGAGGGCGCAGCTGGTGTTCCCGGGCCCCTGGGAGGCACCGGGAAGGGTAGGTGTCACCTGCCAGGAAGGGAGGAGCCGGTGGGGTCACCTCTGGGGCATGGGAGCTGGACAACTTCACAGGCCTCAGCAGGGCCAGGAAACCAAACCCGAGTGGGGTGGGCAGGCGGGGCGCCTCGGGCTCCAGGGAGGTCTTGACCCGGAGCAGCCTCCCAGGCGGGGCTGGGGGTGAGCCAGTGCACTGTGCAGTTTCATTTTCTCTGCTGAACTGGGGGAGGGGATGGGGGCACAAGGGGGACGTCATAGGAGGCCTTAGAGCTGCAGGCATCTGTGCCTCCGTGTTTGCGTGGATGGGGAAACTGAGGCCCAGAGAGGCACGAGGGCTCTTTGGAGGCAGGGCTGGCTCTGGGCCCTGACACCAGGCTGAGAGGGCTGGGGGTGGCAGCAGACACGAAGGGCAGGCTGTAATTTCAGTCTCTGGGAAGATAAGATGTTGGGGGTCGGGGGAACCTGTCTCCCACCCCTCACCCCTGGTTCCCGCCAGGCCCTGCCCGTCAGCCTGGGCCTCCCCCTGTTGATGCCGCCCAGAGCTTGGGACACCCACCGCCAACCCCTACCGTCCTCTCCCTGCCTCGCTGCAACAGCCTTGGAAGCCTGAGGGTCGCTGGGAAGGTCAAGGCCAAGCTCAGCCCCAGTCTAGGGCTCGGTGCTCCTTGCGTTTTTCTTTTTGTTGTTTTGTTTTGTTTTGTTTTTGACGGAGTCTCGCTTTGTTGCCCTGGCTGGAGTGCAGCGCGTGATCTCTGCTCACTGCAACCTCCGCCTCCTGGGTTCAATCAATTCTCCTGCCTCAGCTCCTCAAGTAGCTGGTTTTACAGGTGCCTGCCATCACGCTCGGCTAATTTTTGTATTTTTTGGTAGAGACGGGGTTTTACCGTCTCTGTTGGCCAGGCTGGTCTCGAACTTCCGACCTCAGGTAATCCGCTCGCATCGGCCTCCCAGAGCGCTGGGATTACAGGCGTGAGCCACCGCGCCCGGCCTGCTTTTTGCATTTTACTAAGCACCTACTACGTGCAGCTTTCTGAGGGCCCACAGACCAGGGAGGGGAGGGGAGGGTTTGGGTGGCAAAGCTCTTCTTCTAGCAGGTGGGAGGGGAAGCGAGAAAGCAGTGGGGTGGGGGTGCCCTGAACTCCGTGTGAACCACGGGGCTGCAGACAGATGAGGAGAGGGGCTCTGCACCAGCTTCTGGAGCTGCAGGGCGAGGTTGCTGTGGGGAGGTCAGAGAACCACAGAATTCCTCGGTTCTTTCCTGGGCGAGTGAGCGTGTGGTGGGTGCCTGGTGGGGGTGGCGAGGGCTTCGGTTTCTGGACCTCCTTCCCACACCACAAAGGGCCCTGTATCTTTGAAGCCTGAAGCCCGGTCCCTTCAGGCGTATCCGGCAACAGTGGTATTCATTCATTCATTTATTGTTTGTTTGTTTGTTTGAGGTGGAGTCTTGCTCTGTTGCCCAGGCTGGAGTGCAGTGGCGCGATCTCGGCTCATGCAACCTCTGCCTCCTGGGTTCAAGCCATTCTCCTGTCTCGGCCTCCAAGTAGCTGGGATTACAGGTGCCGACCACCACGCCTGGCTAATTTTTGTATTTTTAGTAGAGACGGGGGTTTCACCATGTTGGGCAGGCTGGTCTAGAACTCCTGACCTCAGGTGATCCTCCCACCTCAGCCTCCCAAAGTGCTGGGATTACAAGCGTGAGCCACTGCGCCCGGCCATTCATTCATTTTTGAGACAGAGCCTCATGCTGCTGCCCAGGCTGGAGTAGGGTGGTGGGGTCATGGCTCACTGCCCCCTGGACCTCCCAGGCTCAAGCAGTCCTCCCACCTTAGCCTCCCGAGTAGCTGGGACTACAGGCGCACACCACCACACCTTGATAATATTTTTTATTTTTATTTTTGGTAGAGATGGGGTCTTACTAGATTGCCTAGGCTGGTCTCGAACTCCTGGGCTGGAGTAATCCTCCCACCTCGGCCTCCCAAAGTGCTAAAATTACAGGCGTGAGCAGCTGTGGTTTTGCTTTTGTTTTGTTTTGCGACAGGGTCTCACTCTGTTGCCCACGCTGGAGGGCAGTGGCGCGATCTCGGCTCACTGCAGCCTCGACCTCCCGGGTTCAAGTGATTCTCCCACCTCAGCCTTCTGAGTAGTTGGGAGCAATTCTCGTGCCTCAGCCTCCACGCCCAGCTAATTTTTGTATTTCTTGGTGGAGACAAGGTTTTGCCATGTTGGCCAGGCTGGTCTCGAACTCCTGACCTCAAGTGATCCGCCTGCCTCAGCTGCCCCCTGATATTTGTTAAGCGCCTACCACATACCAGCCCTGGGAGGTGAGGCTACAGCTGCACTGGGTGGGCTGTTTTCAAAAGACAATGATTGGGCCGGGCGCGGTGGCTCACGCCTGTAATCCCAGCACTTTGGGAGGCCAAGGCGGGCGGATCACCTGAGGTCAGGAGTTCGAGACCAGCCTGGCCAACATGGTGAAACCCCTGTCTCTACTAAAAGATACAAAAATTAGCCGGGCGTGGTGGCAGGCACCTGTCATCCCAGCTACTCAGGAAGCTGAGGCAGGAGAATCGCTTGAACCCAGGAGGCGGAGGCTGCAGTGAGCTGAGATCCTGCCACTGCACTCCAGCCTGGGAGACAGCAAGACTCCATCTGAAAAAACAAACAAAACCACAATGATTGGATAAGAGCGAGTCTGGGGTTGAATCCGGACTTGGATCCTTTGCTGTGCGTCCTTGGGAGGCTCGTCTCCCTGTCTGGGCTTTTGCAAGCCCAGGCTTGGGAGGTGGGGCTGGTGGGTCTTTCATCCTCTGTTTGCCCCTCCTGGGGCTGCAGAGTAGGTCTTGGTGGGCAGGAGGGTGCAGAGAGGACTGTCCTGATCTGTCTTATGGTCTGGGCCAGGAGGTGATACACTTCCTTCTTCCCGAAACACCCTTCTCTGGCCTTTGATGCCTGGTGAACTCCTATGTATCCTTGGTGGCCCTGCCTCAATGTCCCCTTCTCCCCAAACCCTTCCTGGTCGCTAGGCAGAGCCTCGTCCCCTCCTGTCCTGGCTTCCTTGGCCGCTGAGGGGGCAGGGAGGGCCCCACTTTACAGAAGGGGAAACTGGGGTTCAGAGATGAAATCCCTTGCCCTGGTTACCCCTAGGGGAAGAGGCAGAGCTGGGATTTGAACCGCGTCTGACGGACAGCAGGGCTCAGTGAACCAGAGCTTGACCTTATCTCCCTCCCGCAGGGTCCTGGCGGCAGAGACCACGTCCCAGCAGGAGCGGCTGCAGGCCATCGCAGTGAGTTTCCGCCGCCCCGCAGACGGTGTGGTCAGGGTGGGGAAGTGGGGGGACCTGGGGTCTCGGGCCCTGGACCTGTCCTAGGACCTGGAACCAGGGCATGGTGGGTGGTGAGTTATTTGCTTGGGAAACTTGGATCCTGCTGACCCGCAGAGAATGGAAGTGGAGACCCCCTGAGTCGGCAGCTCCTGGACCCCCGGCCTCGCTCTGCCTGATGGGTCGGTGGGGAAACTGAGGCTGGCATTCCCTGGAACCCTGCCCTCGTCCTGCAGGAAAATAAACTTTGGTGATGGGAGCACAGATGTGCTTTGGTGCCATCTTGGTGGCCTCTGGCCCAAGAAGGCCCTCTTGGTGTCCGCAGACCCCTCTCTGTGACCCGACCCTCCTGTGACGTGGCCCGATTCCTGGGTTCAAGTGACTCTCCTGCCTCAGCCTCTCGAGTAGCTGGGATTATGAGTGACCGCCACGACGCTGGGCTAATTGTTGTATTTTTAGTAGAGATGGGGTTTCACCATGTTGGCCAGGCTGGTCTTGAACTCCTGAACTCAAGTGATCCTCCCGCCTTGGCCTCCCAAAGTGCTGGGATTACAGGCGTGAGCCACCGTGCCCGGCCAGTCATTGATTTTCGAGACAGGGTCTTGCGCTGCTGTCCCGGGCTGGAGTACAGTGGTGCGATCCGCTGTCACCTGGAAGCCAGTGGGCCACGAGGATCCCCGGACAGAGGAAGCAGGATCGGGCTGGGCAGAGCCTTGTGTGGGGGTGGGGGGGTCTCCGGGACCCCCACGCCCATCCCTGACCCCACCCGGCCCTCCCCACAGGAGAAGCGGAAGCGGCAGGCGGAGATCGAGAACAAGCGCCGGCAGCTGGAGGACGAGCGGAGGCAGCTGCAGCACCTGAAGGTACGAGCGGGGCAGGGACCCAGGGTCAGGGAGTGCAGGCGGCTGTGAGGCGGAGGCCCCGGACTCCTGCCCAACCCTGACCCTGACCCCAATCCCAACCTGACCCTGACCCTGCCTCCAGCCCTGACCCTGACCCCGACCCTGACCCCGACCCCGACCCCGACCCTGACCCCAACCTGACCCCGACCCTGACCCCAACCTGACCCTGACCCCGACCCTGACCCTGATCTCAGTCCTGACTCTGACCCTGACCTGACCCCAACCTCAATCCTGACCCTGACCTTGACTCTGACCCAGACCCTGACCCCCAACCTCGATTGTGATTCTGACCTCAGCACTGATCCCAACCATAACCCTGACCCCAACCTTGGTCCTGCCTCAACCCCGACCCTGATCCTGACCCTGACCTCAGTCTTAAGTCTTAACCCTGGCCCTGGTCCTGCCCACGACTCTGACCTGGATCCCTGCTGCTCAGTCCAAGGCACTGCGGGAGCGCTGGCTGCTGGAGGGGACGCCGTCCTCGGCCTCAGAGGGGGATGAGGACCTGAGGAGGCAGATGCAGGACGACGAGCAGAAGACACGGCTGCTGGAGGACTCGGTGTCCAGGTGGGGGCTGCAGCGTGGGTGCCACCGGGCTGGGTGGGGCCTCGGGGGCCGCTGGCTCCCGGGAGGGTGTGGGCTGGGAAGAGTCGTCAGTGTGCTTTGAGGGAGATGCGTGGACCGGGCAGGCCAGGACCCAACATGCTTTGAGGGGGACGCAGGACGGGACAGATCAGGTTGGGGCATCCACCTGGGTCTGGGGCAGCTTGCTGGGGGCAGAGGCTGGCTGCGTGGCCTCAGGCAGGGAGATACCCCTTTCCCTTCCCACCGCCCTCGTTTGAGCCAGCGAGGGACGTGGCGTCGAGCTCCTGGGTCCCTGGAGCTGGCCAGCGGGGGACGTGACGTCGAGCTCGTGGGTCCCTGGAGCTGGGTGTTGCCGGCATTGGCCTCCCTGGGGGCTTCCTGGCGCCAGCCCAGCTGGCGGGCAAGCGCTCCCATGGTTCGAACGGGATGGATGCAGAGCAGCTGGGCCCGCAGGAAGCTCGGGCGGGGGCAGGAAGGGGACAGGATGGGGAAAGTGGCAATCCCTGTGGGGGCTGGGACCAAAGGCCTGGAGTTTCCGGCGGGCGGGAGGCCCAGGCTGTGCTCGGGGGCAGCAGGGTCAGGGTGGAGGGAAGTGACGACCAAGATTCCAAACGTCTGCCCTGGCCAGGGAAGGTGCCCAGAGGCGGGAGGCCGGCCGGATCACACGGACCTCGCAGGCCCTTCCCAGACGCTGGGTTCTGACCCCGTGGGGGCCCCTCCCTGCCCAGTTCTGCCCATTTGCTTTGAAGAAAGCACGTTGGGGGTGTTCGGGATGGACTTCCCTCCTGGGCAGGGCGTGTAAAGGCATGGACAGGCCGGGTGCGGTGGTTCACACCCCTGATCCCAGCACTTTGGGAAGCCGAGGCAGGAGGATCACTTGAGATCAGAGGTTCGAGACCAACCTGACCAACATCGTGAAACCCCATCTTTACTAAAAATACAAAAATTAGCCTGGTGTGGTGGTGCCCAGCCTGTAATCCCAGCTACTCCGGAGGCTGAGGCAGAAGAAGGCCAGGCGCGGTGGCTCAAGCCTGTAATCCTGGCACTTTGGGAGACCGAGGTGGGTGAATCACGAGGTCAGGAGATCGAGACCATCCTGGCTAACACAGTGAAACCCCGTCTCTACTAAAAATACAAAAAAATTAGCCAGGCGTGGTGGCGGGCACCTGTAGTCCCAGCTACTCATGAGACTGAGGCAGGAGAATGGCGTGAACCCGGGAGGCGGAGCTTGCAGTGAGCCAAGATCTCACCGCTGCACTCTGGCCTGGGCAACAGAGTGAGACTGGGTCTCAAAAAATAAATAAATAAATAAAAATAAAGGCATGGACATGCTGGGCGTGGGTGGGGCTCACACCTGTAATGCCAGCACTTTGGGAGGCCGAGGCAGGAGGATCACCTGAGGTCAGAGATTTGAGACCAGCCTGGCCAAGATGGCGAAACCCAGTCTCTACTAAAAATGCAAAAATTAGGTGGATTAGTGGCGGGCGCCTGTAATCCCAGCTACTGGGGAGGCTGAGGCAGGAGAATTGCTTGAACCCAGGAGGCGGAGGTTTCAGTGAGCCGAGATCAAGCCACTGCACTCCAGCCTGGGGGACAGAGCGAGAATCTGTCTAAAAAAGGAAGGTATGGACAGGGTGGGGCAGTTCTGGTGGGTTTGGGGCCTTGGAATGAGCCGAGTGTTACCCACTCCCTGGGCCTCAGTTTCCTCACCTGTGAACCAGGGAGGCAAAAATCCCACGGTGCGTCTTTTTTTTTTTTTTTTTTTTTTTTTGAGAAGGAGTCTCGCTCTGTCGCCCAGGCTGGAGTGCGGTGGCGCGATCTCAGCTCACTGCAAGCTCCGCCTCCCGGGTTCACGCCATTCTCCTGCCTCAGCCTTCTGAGTAGCTGGGATTACAGGTGCCCGCCACGCCTGGCTAATTTTGCATTTTTAGTAGAGACGGGGTTTCACCATGTTGGTTAGGCTGGTCTCGAACTCCCAACCTCAGCTGATCCGCCCGCCTCTGCCTTCCAAAGTGCTGGGATTACAGGTGTGAGCCACTGCGCCTGGCCCCACTGTGCATCTTAATTCCAGCAAACATTAAGCACCAGCTGTGTCCCTGGGCTGGACGGGATGTTCAGACCGAGGTGGGGCTGAGACGGGCCTGGCCCTGTCTGCAGAGAGGTGGATGGTCAGACACCTGGGCGAAGGCAGTGGGAGTTACTGGCCGTGGGGGCTGGGCACACTGGTGTTCTTTTCACGCGGCCCTAGTGGGCACAGGCTCAGGCCCCTCGATGGAGGGTGAAGACCTGGCTTGAGGCCTAGTTTGCTTTCAGAGGCTTCAGCTTCACCCCTCCCCAGGGCAGCCTGCTTCTCAGGTGCTGAAACTGAGCTGCTCTGGGTCTCCACTACCCACCTTCTGCCTGCTCAGGGGCTCTGCCCAGGCACCTCCTGCAGGAAGCCCTCCAGGCTGACTGTGGGCTCCCAGACACCTCCTGCAGGAAGCCCTCCAGGCGGCTGTGGGCTGGACCCCTCTTCTGGTTGGAGGGGACACAAGTCTGGCTCTGTGTCCAACCTGTCAGCCTGGGCCCACCTTGTTAGACTTACGCACTCAGCCCTCGTCTGTCCTGTCCTCAGGCTGAGGCTGAGCTGCCGTGAATGTCGCCCGCCCTTGCCAGACCCCGGGGCTGGGATTTCATATCCCGGTTTTGTTTTCCTGGATCTGCTTGTCCCGTTATCTCTTCTAATACTTGGAAAGTGACATGGTTTTTCCAGTTTCCCTGGTGAGATAAAGTTTCCTGTTAAAATGTGCAAATTTGAGCGGGAAAGGAGAGTTCATTTGATACAGACAGTGACATAAACAGCGCAGGCCAGGGGTCAGGGGACACAGGGAGTCAGCCCTGGTTTGGATCCCGCCTCTGCTACCTGCTGGCCATGTGGCTTTTGCACTCCGTGCCTCAGTTTCCCCCATCATGAAAGAGCACGATGCCTCTTGGGGCTGCCTGGGAGCCTTAAATTCAGAGAGCTAGGCCGAGTGCGGTGGGTCACGCCTGGAATCCCAGCACTTTGGGAGGATGAGGCGGGCAGATCACCTGAGGTCGGGAGTTCAAGACCAGCCTGGCCAACATGGTGAAACCCTGTCTCTGCTAAAAATACAAAAAATTAGCTGGGTGTGGTGGTGCACGCCTGTAATCCCAGCTACTCGAGACCCTGAGGCAGGAGGATCACTTGAACCCGGGAGGTGGAGGTTGCAGCGAGCCAAGATCACGCCATTGCACTCCAGCCTGGGCAACAAGAGCGAGAATCTGTCTCAAAAAAAAGACACTGGGGAGCTGTCGTACAGAAGGTGCCCAGAGCCCCACCGGGGATGCAGGAGTCACCCTCACAGGCACACCCTCTCCCCAGGTTGGAGAAGGAAATTGAGGTGCTGGAGCGTGGAGACTCCGCCCCAGCCACTGCCAAGGAGAACGCGGCGGCCCCGAGCCCAGTCCGGGCCCCAGCCCCGAGTCCAGCCAAGGAGGAGCGCAAGACAGAGGTGGTGATGAATTCACAGCAGGTAAGGGGGTGACTGGGGGGAGCGGATCCCCAGGCACCCACTCCCGCTGGCCCCAGAGCGAGGCCCCAGCCCTTCCATGTCAGCGTAGCTGAGGGGACAGGCACAGACTAGAGCCAGGCACTTGATTTCCAGCTCACCGGAGCCACTTCCCAGCTGTGTGAGCCGGGACACGTGGTTTCGCCTTGCTGGGCCTCGGTTTCCCCATCTGTAAGATGGGGGAGTAATCAGAGCAGCCACCGCTGGGGGCATCAGAAGGACTCAGGGAAGCAGGAGACCCACCTGGGGGCATCAGAAGGGCTCAGGGAAGCAGGAGACCCACCTGGGGGCATCAGAAGGGCTCAGGGAAGCAGGAGACCCGCCTGGGGGCGTCAGAAGGGCTCAGGGAGCAGCAGGAGACCCGGTGCTGGTGGGTGTGGTCATAGTGTTTTTTTGCTTTTGTTGTTTTTTGAGACTCGTTCTGTTGCCCAGGCTGGAGTGTAGTGGTACAGTCTGCAACCTCCACCTCCCAGGTTCAAGCAATTCTCCTGCCTCAGCCTCCCAAGTAGCTGGGACTACAGGCGCCTGCCACCATACCCGGCTAATTTTTTTGTATTTTTAGTAGAGATGAGGTTTCCCCATGTTGGCCAGGCTGGTCCCAAACTCCTGACCTCAGGTGATCCACCCAACCTCGGCCTCCCAAATTGCTGGGATTACACGCATGAGTCACCTTACTTGGCCTGGTTATTTTGTTTCTGTGTTTGTTTTTGACACAGGGTCTCACTCTGTCACCCAGGCCAGCCAGAGTGCAGTGGCACAATCACAGCTCACTGCAGCCTCGACTTCCCCAGCTCCAGCGATCCTCCTGCCTCCGCCTCCCGAGTAGCTGGGACCACAGGCACGCACCACCACGCCCGGCTAATTTCTGTATTTTTGGTAGAAACGGGGTCTCTGCTGTCCAGGCTGGGGTTTTCATGGTTTCTATCGATCACCTGCATCTGTTTCATGTGGCCAAGGCTCCTGAAAGCCCTTCCTGTGGGAACAGTATCCCCGTGTGATGGAAGTAAAAATCGCAGCCCACAGAGGCAGAGAGGCTGGCTCAAGGCCACACAGCTGAGTGGTCCTTAGTGGAGTCGGCTGTTAATTCTGGCATCTGCCATCTAAGCCAGACGATGTTAAAACCAGACCCTTGGCCGGGCTTAGTGGCTCACGCCTGTAATCGCAGCACTTTGGGAGGCCGAGGCAGGCACATCATTTGAGGTCAGGAGTTCAAGACCAGCCTGACCAACATGATAAAACCCCATATCTACTAAAAATACAAAAATTAACCAGATGTCGTGGCCGGCACCTGTAATCTCAGCTGCTCGGGAGGCTGAGGCTGAGAATCACTTGTACCCAGGGGGCAGAGGTTGCAGTGAGCTGAGATCACGCCACTACACTCCAGCCTGGGAGACAGAGCAAGATTCTTTCTAAAAAAAAAAACCTGGTTCTGGGCACAGTCCTGGACCTCACTGAGCTCACGTCAGGTGGGAAGATGGCGTGTATTGGGGACCACCCAGGGAGGGTGGTCAGGCCGAAGAGGTGGGAAGCCCAGGGCGCTGTGGAATCCCCAAGGAAGTGCCTCATTCGTGGGAGGGCTGGGCAGGCGACCTGGAGGATGTGGGTTTCGTGGGAGGGCTGGGCAGGCGACCTGGAGGACGTGGGGTGGTTTTTTTGTGTTTTTTTTTTTGAGACAGAGTTTCACTCTTGTTACCCAGGCTGGAGTGCAATGGCACGATTTCAGCAACCTCTACCTCCTGGGTTCAAGTGATTCTCCTGCCTTAGCCTCCTAAGTATCTGGGATTGCAGGCGCCCGCCACCACGCCCAGCTAATTTTGTATTTTTAGTAGAGACAGGGTTTGGCCATGTTGGTCAGGCTGGTCTCGAACTCCTGACCTCAGGTGATCCGCCCGCCTCGGCCTCCCAAAGTGCTGGGATTAGAGGCATGAGCCACCGTGCCCAGCCAAGGAAGTGGGTTTTGAAGGTTGAATAGGAGTTCTCCAGGTGCTTTTCCCTGAAGGTTGTTTGAGCATGGACTAGTGCTGTCATGGGAGACTCAGCAATACACATGCACGGCCCCTGCCTTCCTGACGGGCACACCCAGTGACGTGATGAGGGAAGAGTGCACTGAGGGAGCATCAGACACCACAGCCCTGAGACAGGAGTGTGTCCCAGAAACAGCAAGAAGACCAGGGATGCCAGGGCACAGTTCAGGGAGAGGGGCCTGTGTGCAGGGTCTGACCATGCAGGGCAGAACGGGTTCAGACAGGCGACACTAGACCCTGAGCCTCGCACAGTGGCTCCCAGGAGGCCAAGGGAGGAGGATCGCTTGAGAGCAGGAGTGGACGAGACTGGAGGGGGCACGGAGGAGCCGGCTGGATTCAGGGTGGCCTGCGGGAGCCGCTGATGCGGGGGTATGTGGGGAGGGAGGGAAGAAATGAGATGGAGCGGACGTGGTGGCTCAGCCTGTAATCCCGGCACTTTGGGAGGCCGAGGTGGGTGGATCACCTGAGGTCAGGGGATCGAAACCAGCCTGGCCAACATGGAGAAACCCCGTCTCTACTAAAAATACAAAATTAGCCAGGTGCGATGACGCAGGCCTGTAACCCCAGCTACTGGGGAGGCTGAGGCACGAGAATCGCTTGAACCCAGGAGGCGGAAGTTGCAGTGAGCCAAGATTGCCCCATTGCACTCCGGCCTGGGCGACAAGAGCGAAACTCCATCTCAATAAAAAGAAAAAAGAAAGATGACCTCTGTGTTTCTGGCCAGAGTCCCAAGAGGATAGGATGAGAAGCGGGTGCGTATGACGTCACCCACTGTGCCATGCCCTCCCCAGGCTCCTGACCCCATGGCTCCCCTTCCTCTTCCCGGGGATGCTGACGCCCCTGACCCTTCTCTCTTCTTTCTTGCAGACGCCGGTGGGCACGCCCAAAGGTAGGACCTCTGGAAGGAACTCGTGGGGCCTCGGCGCACTCTGGTGGCCAGAGAGGGGATGGCAGGGCGGGGAGTGAAGCTACAAAGTTGCTCGGTGCCTCACGCCTGTGATCCCAGCACTTTGGGAGGCCGAGGCGGGTAGATCTCCTGAGGTCAGGAGTTCGAGACCAGCCTGACCAACATGGCGAAACTCAGTGTCTACTGAAAAAATGCAAAGACAATTAGCCGGGTGTGGTGGCTCATGCCTGTAATCCCAGCACTTTGGGAGGCTGAGGCAGGAGGATCGATCGCTTGAGCCCAGGAGTTCAAGAGCATGCTGGGCAACACAGGGAGACCCTGTCTCTGCCAAACATAAAAAAATTAGCCGCCGGCCAGGCCCAGTGGCTCAGACCTGTAACCCCAGCGCTCTGGGAGGCTGAGACAGGTGGATCCCTTGAGGTCAGGAGTTCAAGACCAGCCTGGCCAACATAGTGAAACCCCGTCTCTACTAAAAATACAAAAATTAGCCGTGTGTGCTGCACGCCTGTAGTCCCAGCTGCTCGGGAGGCTGAGGTGGGAGGATCACTTGAGCCCAGGAGGTTGAGCTGTGATCGCACCACTGCACCCCAGCCTGGGCGACAGAGCGAGACCCTGTCTGTAAACTGCATTTCACGGAACGTGTCCGCTTCTGTATCGATAGCGGGACAGCCACCAGCCGGGATTGACGCTGGCGTCTGAAGTGCTTCTGGCCTGGTTTGTTGTGTGTTAATTATTCATAAGGAGAGTGTCTTCTTGTCTTACTGTAGAATTAAAAATTAATCATTAAAAAAATCCAGACAGGCCTCTCAGGGATTTTGTGAAAATCACTGGGCTGAGGATGAGGAATGAACTGTGAGGCTGCCTGTGGGATTTTCTAGGGGTTGCGGTGGGGGTCCAGGTGCCTGTGTCTGTGCGGGGCCTGTGTCTGGGGGCCCAGGTGCCTGTGTCCTGGTGTCTGGGTGGGGTCTGTGTGTCTGGGGGCCCAGGTGCCTGTGTCCTGGTGTCTGGGTGGGGTCTGTGTGTCTGGGGGCCCAGGTGCCTGTGTTTGGGTGTCTCGGTGGGGTCTGTGTGTCTGGGGGCCCAGGTGCTTGTCTGGATGTCTGGGGGCCCACAGGTGCCTGTGTCCGGGTGTCTGGGTGGGATCTGTGTGTCTGAGGGCCCAGGTGCCTGTCTGGATGTCTGGGGGCCCAGGTTCCTGTGTCCGGGTGTCTGGATGGGATCCGTGTGTCTGAGGGCCCAGGTGCCTGTCTGGATGTCTGGGGGCCCAGGTGCCTGTGTCCGGGTGTCTGGGTGGGATCTGTGTGTCTGAGGGCCCAGGTGCCTGTCTGGGTGTCTGGGGGCCCAGGTTCCTGTGTCTGGGTGTCTGGGTGGGATCCGTGTGTCTGAGGGCCCAGGTGCCTGTCTGGGTGTCTGGGGGCCCAGGTGCCTGTGTCCGGGTGTCTGGGTGGGATCCGTGTGTCTGAGGGCCCAGGTGCCTGTCTGGGTGTCTGGGGGCCCAGGTTCCTGTGTCTGGGTGTCTGGGTGGGATCCGTGTGTCTGAGGGCCCAGGTGCCTGTCTGGGTGTCTGGGGGCCCAGGTGCCTGTGTCCGGGTGTCTGGGTGGGATCTGTGTGTCTGAGGGCCCAGGTGCCTGTCTGGGTGTCTGGGGGCCCAGGTTCCTGTGTCTGGGTGGGGTCTGGGTGTCAAAGGCCCAGGTGCATGTGGGAGTCCGGATGCACTTCTGTGAAGGGGCGTTGGGCTGTCTGGGGGGTCCATGTGACCTCTCCTCTGACCCTCATCTCTCTCTCCGCTTCCACCTCCCGTGCAGACAAGCGAGTCTCCAACACGCCCCTGAGGACGGTTGACGGCTCCCCCATGATGAAGGCAGGTGGGTTGGCCCCCAGGCTCTGGGCCCCAGATCCAGCCGCTGTCAGGGACCAAGTCTCGGTCCGGGGGGCCGGGTGGGGCGGGGGCGACACCGACCTGCTCTCCGCAGCGTCTGACGGGGCCGTGGTTATGGGGGTGGCAGCTGGACCGAGGCCGAGGCTCCGAGCCTGGGGTGGGGGCCCCCTCTGCTTTGTTGCCCTGGTCCCACGCCGGCCCACGCTTCCCCGAGAAGACGGGCCCCACGCATGGCGGCTCTAACCGACGCGACCTCACGGCTTTCATTCCACCCTAATCTCACGGCTCCCTCCTGGGGCCCGCTGGGGGTGGCGCTCACGCCTGAACATGCTCGCTGCAAATCTTACCTGCTCCAGTCCTCGGGCAGTAGGACTGGCTGCCCCGGGAGAAAGTGGGTGCCCCGTCCCTGGAGGCAACCAAGCCAGGTCCCCAGCACCGCTGCGCTTCCGAGAAGCAGGGGAAGGTGGGGGTTGACGCTGAGTGCCACACGGTGCTCAAGTCAGGCTCGAACCCCTGGTCTGCCGCCTTGAATTTCTCCGCCTGCCAGAGGGGTGGGACCTCAGTACGCCATCCTGGGGCCCGGCACAGGACAGGAGCCCAATAATGAGAAATCGTCGCAGTGGGCAAAACCACTGCTATGTGAGTGAGCTGGAACAGCACAGAAAGAAGGCAGAGGGCCGGGCGTGGTGGCTCACACCTGTAACCCACCCCAGCACTTTGGGAGGCCGAGGCGGGCAGATCGCCTGAGGTCAGGAGTTCGAAACCAGCCTGGCCAACATGGCGAAACCCCATCTCTACTAAAATACAAAAATTAGCCGGGCATGGTGGTGCACGCCTGTAATCCCAGCTACTCGGGACGCTGAGGCAGGAGAATCGCTTGAACCTGGGAGGCGGAGTTTGTAGTGAGCCAAGGTCGTGCCACTGCACTCCAGCCTGGGCGACAAGAGCAAGACTCCGTCTCAGAAAAGGCAGCAAGGCAGGGAGGTGAAGAAGGACTCTGGGGTGGCTGCCCAGGACGGGACAGGGCTGGAAGGAAGGAGAGCCACCCGGAGGCCCAGGTCTCCAGCACGGTCCAGGGTGGGGGTTGCCCCAGGATGCAGCAGACAGAGGCATTTGTCAGAGCAGGTGGTGCCTGTGGGCCTCTGTGCCAGTGAGACCAGCCCTGGCAGACACCGAGGCCCAGGTCCCCCGCTGATCCCCGTGGCCACTGACTTTGTGCAGTGCACAACCTGCTCAACAGTGTGGGCAGCTCTGGACTAGCTGTCTGGGGTGGAGGGCTGAGGCTGTGCAGAGCTATAGAGTTGAAAAACAGTCGTCCCTTCACCCAGAATGCCTTTCAAGCGCCTGCTGCATGCCAGGCATTGGGGGAGAGGGTATTCTAATGAGGGCCACAACCTCTACTACGGTAGAAAAGTGAGGCCAAGGACGTTGAGCTGGAGGAAGGAGAATTTGAACCAGAGGGCTCAGGGGAGGGGAGCGTTCAACGTAAGAGGTGACGTCTGAGCAAAGACCCAGAGGTGCTGAGGGAGCAAGGCACGCAGCTATCTGGAGGAAGGTGTCCAAGGCACGCAGCTATCTGGGGAAAGGTGTTCCAGGCAGAGGGCACGGCCAGTGCAAAGGCCCCGGGGCAGGACTGCGCCTGGGGTGTTGGAGGAACGGCCAGGAGATCCGTGTGGCTGGAGCAGCGTGAGGAGGGGGAGAGGGCGGAGGAGAGATGATGGAGAGATTGTTGAGGGCCCTGTGGCAGGGGCGGGAGGGGACGTGGGCTTTTCCCGGGAGGGAGGCAGGAACCATGGGGGGCTGCAGGCAAAGCCGGGACTGCCCCGACTCCGTGCTCACCCACGCCCTCTGGTGACTGCAGGGAGAACAGACCGTGGACGGTGCCAGGTGGAGGGGACAGGGCTGCTGGGGGAGGAGGCTGGGATGGGCCGTGGAGGGGCGAGCAGTGGGCGGTTCCTTATGTTCTGAAGGTGGAGCCCCCAGGGTTTGAGGAGAAACGAGGTGTCAGGGAGGACTGGCCAGGCACGGTGGCTCACGCCTGTAATCCCAGCACCTTTGGAGGCCAAGGCGGGCAGATCATTTGAGGTCAGGAGTTCAAGACCAGCCTGAGCAACATGGTGAAACCCCGTCTCTACTAAAAAATAGAAAAATTAGCCAGGCGTGGTGGCTCACCCCTGTAATCCCAGCACTTTGGGAGGCCGAGGGGGGCAGATCATGAGGTCAGGAGATCGAGACCATCTTGGCTAACACGGTGAAACCCTGTCTCTAGTAAAAATACAAAAAATTAGCTGGGCATGGTGGCAGGTGCCTGTAATCCCAGCTGCTCGGGAGCCTTAGGCAGGAGAATCGGTTGAACCTGGGAGGCAGAGATTGCAGTGATCTGAGATCACGCCACTGCACTCCAGCCTGGGCAACAAGAGCAAAACTTTGTCTCAAAAAAAAAAAGAGGGAGGACTGAGCTGCCCCCAACGGGTGGGAAGAGCCAGGGTGGGGGCAGGTGTAGGGGGCAGATTGGGAGTAGTGTTATGGACGTGTGAGAGTGGGGCCCCTGTGGATAGGGGCTGAGTCCAGGTCAAGGTCCAGGTGGGGATGGGTGTGCGGGAGATTAGAGCCGAGTGCCTGGGCGAGGTCCCCGGCGCAGAGCAGAGTCCAGGGCCGCAGCCGGGCCTAAGCGTCGAGGTTGGGTGGGAGGAGGGAAACGAGGTGGCTATGGGGGCCGAGGGGCCAGGCGATGGCAGGGCTGCCCACGATGGGGACCGATGGCCCCTCAGAAGTGGTGAGGACATGCAGCTATCTGGGGGGTGTGCCAGGCATTGGGAACAGCCTGTGCAAAGGCCCTGAGGCTGGGCCGCACCTGGGGTGCAGTGTCATGGGTCAGGCCAGTCCTGGCAGCCCTGTTCAGCTCCCGCTGCGGGGCGGGGTCTCAGGGAGGTGCCTGGTGATCCCCAGTGCTCGTCATCTTCAAGCAGGCCTGGGGGTGGCGGGCAGCCACCAGTCGCTGTTAGGATGCAGGCTCTGTGTGGTTTCTGCAGGAATGATTTTTACAGAGTGGGGCGAGGTGCTGGCTGTGGAGTTAGGGCCCTGATGAGTAGCAAGTTCGACTATCTCAGGAGGGTTCCTTCATTCTGAGTCTAAATAGATGACGGCGTGTCCAACCGTTGGCTGGAAGGAGGCGTCAAGTCCTGGGAGCTTGGATGGTCGGGGCGGGGGCTGTGGGTCTGCAGACTGAGCCCCAGTCTCCGCCGTGACCCCGGGCAAGGCAGGATCTCTCTGGGATTCACCTGCTCCTCTGAGAAACCAGGAATGGTGGGGCTCGAGGGCTCACGTTTATAATCCCAGGGCTTTGGGAGGCTGAGGTGGGAGGATTGCTTGAGCCCAGGAGTTTGAGACCAGCCTGGGCAACATAGTGAGACCCCCATTTCCAAAAAAGATAAATAAATTAGCCGGGTGTGGTGGCGCACACCTGTGGTCCCAGCTACTTGGGAGGCTGAGGTGGGAGAATGGGGTGAGCCAGGAAGGTCATGACTGCAGTGAGCTGTGATCGTGCCGCTCCACTCCAGCCTGGCCAACAGAGGGAGACCCTGTATCTATTTAAATAATAGGCTGGGCGCGGTGGCTCACGCCTGTAATCCCAGCACTTTGGGAGGCCAAGGCAGGTGGATCACCTGAGGTCAGGAGTTTGAGACCAGCCTGACCAACATAGAGAAACCCCGTCTCTACTAAAAATACAAAAATTAGCTGGGCGTGGTGGCGGGCGCCTGTAGTCCCAGCTACGTGGAAGGCTGAGGCAGGAGAATCGCTAGAACCGGGAGGTGAGTCCAGATCACACCACTGTGCTCCAGCCGGGGCGACAGAGCAAGGCGGCTCCATCTCAAAAAAATTAAAAAGATCCGGGAACAATGAAGGCTTTCCAGATGGGCTGGGCTGGAACCTGAGCTTGACAGACAATAGTTTGGTGGCGAAACAGAGGACACAGTGCAGAGTACAGGGACGAGGACCATCTGGGCGGACAGCAGGATGGGCCTCAAATGCCAAGGAGAGGTGTTCAGACTGGTCGTCTCCAGGCACTGGGGAGCTATGGAGGGATGTAGAGTTGGGGAGGGCCGCGTCGAGAAGGTGCCCAGGCATCCCCGGCTCCGCCTGCCCCATCGCTGCTTGGCTCTGCGCTGCTGGCTCCCCCCTCCCTGGCTTGGCCGCAGCCCGGCGGGGGGGTGCGGGGGCGGGCAGGCCGTGGTGTAACCCCGTGACTCTCGTGCCAGCCATGTACTCGGTTGAGATCACTGTGGAGAAGGACAAGGTGACAGGGGAGACCAGGGTGCTGTCCAGCACCACGCTGCTCCCTCGGCAGCCGCTCCCTCTGGGCATCAAAGTCTACGAGGACGAGACCAAAGGTACGAGCACCCCGGCCCCTGCCCTCCCTCCACCTGGGCCAGAGCCCCGAACACGTGTGCTCCCAGCGTGTGGGTCTGGCGTCTGCCCCGGAATCAGGACCCCGATTCGATGTGAAGCAGATGACGCTGTTCAGGCCAGGGCCTCACCCCCTGTGGCCCACAGCTGGGCTCAGAGGTCGTTCAGCCCTGGGCTCACTGCCCAATCATTCATCCACTCCAGAAAGCTGCCTGAAAGCTGAGCCGGGCACCAGGTACCCAGCTGGGCTCTGGAGGGAAATCCGGAGGTAGATTCAGCTTCTGTCCTTGCCGGGTGGCAAACCGGGCCCTTCCATCTGGAGCTCCTAAATAATTCGTTTAAATAATTACTGCTAGCCCAAGGGCTCACGCCTTTAGTCCCAGCACTTTGGGAGGCCGAGGGAGGAGGATCGCTTGAGCCCAGAAGTTTGAGACCAGCCTGGGCAGCATAGCAAGGCTCCGTCTCTACCAAAAAAAAAAAAAAAAAAAAATTACCCTGGCATGGTGGTGCGTGCCTGTGGTCCCAGCTACTTGGGAGGCTGAGATGGGAGGATCACTTGGGCCCAGGAGGTTGAGGCTGTAGTGAGCCGTGATCGCACCACTGCACTCCAACCTGGGCAACAGAGTGAGACCCTGTCTCTTAAGAATAAAAAATAATAATAAAGAATTGCTAGCGTGACAGAAGCCACAGAAAATGCACATCCAGGGGGCTGTGAGAAGTCTCACAGGGTGAGGATGGGGCCGGGGGAGGCTTCCCAGAGGAGGCAAGCAGGGGCTCATCAGAGACACGCAGTGCATGGGAACCACACCTGGCAGAGCCGCAGCCCCTGCAAAGGCCCTGAGGTAGGATGGAGTCAGCTGGGCTGGAGGGCTGAGGGGAGTTGGGCTGCAGGAGTGAGGGGAGACGGGCTGCAGGGGTGAGGGGAGACGGGCTGCAGGGGTGAGGGGAGACGGGCTGCAGGGGTGAGGGGAGACGGGCTGCAGGGGTGAGGGGAGCTGGGCTGCAGGGGTGAGGGGAGACGGGGTGAGGGGAGACGGGCTGCAGGGGTGAGGGGAGACGGGCTGCAGGGGTGAGGGGGAACCAGGTTGGTCAGGGAGTTGAGGAGCTGGGCTCACGCAGGGAGGAGAAGGGTGCTTTGCCTGGAGGCAGGGGGACAGGCGGGGCCGTGTCCTGAGGGCTTTGGGAAGCCTTGGGTGCGTTGGGTCCTGACGGTGCTGAGGTCTAATTTGGTTTTAAGGGCTCCTCCTAGAGGTCAAGAGGCAAACAGGCTGTGGGAGATGCCAGGGACCCCAGGAGGAGGAGGGAAGCTCCACACTGAAGCCCCACTCTCTCTCTTTCTTTTTCTTTTTATTTATTTACTTTCTGAAGAAAGAGTTTCACTCTGTCGCCCGGCCCGCAGTGCAGCGATGCCATCACAGCTCACTGCAGCCTCCAGCTCCTGGGCTCAGGCGATCCTCCTGCCTCGGCCTCCCGAAATGCTGAGACCACAGGCATGAGTCACTGCACCCGGCCTCTTTTTCTTTTATGAGATATAATTCGCAGACCATAAAATTCCGCCTTAATGGGAGGCTCATCTGGGCCCGGGACATTGAGGCTGCAATGAGCTATGATGGCACCCCTGCACTCCAGCCTGGGCCACAGACCAAGACCCTGTCTCAAAAACAAGAAAGAGGAGAGAAGCCCCATCCCCATCAGCTGTCACTTCCTGTCCCCTCCCCAGTCAGCGTCACTCCCTATCCCCTCCCCAGCTCTGGCACCCACGCATCCCCTCCTGTCTCTCTGGATTGGCCTGTCCTGGACATTTCATAGAAATGAGATCACACGGCCGGGTGCGGTGGCTCACACCTGTAATCCCGGCACTTTGGGAGGCCGAGGCGGGTGGATCACCTGAGGTCAGGAGTTCGAGACCAGCCTGGCCAACATGGAGAACCCCCGTCTCTGCTAAAAATACAAAAATTAGCTGGACGTGGTGGCGGACGCCTGTAATCCCAGATACTTTGGAGGCTGAAGCAGGAGAATCACTTGAACCCAGGAGGCGGAGGTTGCAGTGAGCCGAGATCGCGCCACTGCTCTCCAGCCTGTGCGACAAGAGTGAAACTCTGTCTCAAAAAAAAAAAAAAGAAAGAAAAGAGAATAAATGGGGTCACACACTGCACGTGGCCTTCTGTGTCTGGCGTCTCTCACTGGGCGTGACGTCCCCAAGGTGCATCGGCACTGTGGCCTGGGTCGGAGCCTGACTCCTTTTCATGGCTGAATACTATTCCACGGGTTGGGTGGGCCATGGTGGGTTTATCCCTTCTTCCATCTGTAGACAGTTGGGCTGTTTCTACCCTTTGGCTGCAGTGAGTAGCATGCTGGGGAATTTGTGTGCAAGTATTTGTTCACGCCCCTGCTTTCGAGGCCTTTGGGTGTACACGTAGGAGTGAACTGCTGGGTCCTGAGGCGACTGTGTGGAGCTCCGTGAGGACCTGCTGTTTTCCACGGAGGCTGCACCGTCCCGTTCCCACAGGTCGTGGATGAGGGCCCAGTTTCTCCACGTCCTCACCAGCGCTCGTAGCCCATTCTCGTGGCTGTCCTGGTGGCGTGACGTGGGGTCTCCCTGTGGTTTGGATTCCCAAAGCCTTCTGTTCTCAGAGGCAGCTTGGCCTCTGCGGTGCCCCAGATGCTGTCAGAGGGGTCCCCGCAGCCCAGCTCTGGAGTGGCTTTGGGGTGTGGCGTTGGTGGCATCTCAGCTCTAGCTCTCCCCAGCTGTGTGGCCCTGGGAAGTCCCCATGCCTCGTCTTCCGGATGAGGTCCTCACCCCCATCACTCCACCCTCCTCAGCCTCACCTGGTCCCTGGGGATTCCAGACCTGCCAGGCTGGACACTGGTTGCTTAGCAACGGGCAGGTGATCCGTTTCCATGGCAGCCGAGGGCTCCAATTCCTGTCTTGGGGCAGCGGCCAGTGGGACACACTGAGTTCAGTTCCGCCTGATCCAGACACACCCCACCCTCTGGGCCTCCAGCCCAAAGTCATTGAGATGCCTTGAAGCATGGACTCCCCTCCCTGGGGGCTTAGAAACTGAAAGTGGAGAACACTTTCCTTCTGGTCTGTAGCCAGGAACAGGAGCCCTGACCCTTGGCCGAGAGGAGGCGAGTCCCTGGGACCCCCCTTGCGTCCCTCCCAACTCCCAGCGTGGCCCAGGCAGCCGTGTTTCTAGAAGGAATTTGCAGGGCTGTGAGCTAGGGCTGGTGTTAGATCATAGCAGGGAGCCGTGGGGTGCTGAAATCCGGTCCTTGGAGAGTCCAACACACCTCAAGAAATGTCAAGTCAGAGACACACAGATAAGGAAATTTGGAAAGACTTGAGAAACACATTTAGCAAGATTGATTATATGTATAAAATGCTACCCAGTGGAGAATACACATTCTTTTCAAACACAGAACATTGTCAGAAAGTGACCACCGTGGCCCAGGCTGCCAAGGAGGTTTTAGGACTGTTAACAGAGTTTGTATCTTCTGCTCTGTGTTCCTCTCCTCCCTGAAATTTAAAAACACCCTCTAAATAAATTGTGGCTTCCTGTGGCAATCAATCAAACTAGGAATTAAAAACTATTTACACTTGAAAATGAATAACATTGGCCGGGCATGGTGGCTCACGCCTGTAATCCCAGCACTTTGGGAGGCTGAGGCAGGAGGATCACGAGGTCAGGAGATCGAGACCAGCCTGGCTAACAAGGTGAAACCCCATCTCTACTAAAAATACAAAAAATTAGCCAGGTGTGGTGGCAGGCGCCTGTAATCCCAGCTAGTCAGGAGGCTGAGGCAGGAGAATGGCGTGAACCCGGGAAGCAGAGCTTGCAGTGAGCCGAGATGGCACCACTGCACTCCAGCCTGGGCGACAGAGCGAGACTCCATCTCAAAAAAAAAAAAAAATAGAAAGTGAATAACATCATCTAACTCGTAGGACACAGCCAAAGCAGACCTCAGAGGAAAATGCATAGCCTTTAGGGAAGCTCCTAGAAAACAAAAATAAATGAATGAAACTTTAACTCAAGTTAGAATGAATGAAAATTTCAATTTAAGATCAATCAAATACACCCATAGATGGAAAAAATCAGAATCCCTGTAATGGCCAGGCATGGTGGCTCACACCTGTAATCCCAGCACTTTGGGAGGCCAAGGCGGGTGGCTCACCTGAGGTCAGGAGTTCAAGACCAGCCTGGCCAACGTGGTGAAACCCCATCTCTACTAAAAATACAAAAATCAGCCGGGCATGGTGGCGGGTGCCTGTAATCCCAGCTACTCTGGAGGCTGAGGCAGGAGAATTGCTTGAACCTAGGAAGTGGAGGTTGCAGTGAGCTGAGACTGCGCCACTGCACTCCACCCTGGGCGACAGAGGGAGTCAAAAAAAAAAAGCAGCAGGCACGGTGGCTCACGTGTGTAATCCCAGCACCTTGGGAGGCCAAAGTGGGTGGATCACCTAAGGTCTGGAGTTCAAGACCAGACTGGCCAACGTGGTGAAACCCCATCTCTACTAAACGTACAAAAATCAGCCTGGTGTGGTGGCAGGTGCCTGTAATCCCAGCTACTCTAGAGACTGAGGCAGGATAATTGCTTGAACCTGGAAGGTGGAGGTTGCAGTGAACTGAGATCGTGCCATTGCACTCCAGCCTGGGCAACAAGAGCGAAACTCCATCTCAAAAAGTGAAAGAATCCCTGTAACCTCCAGTTCCCCAGGGTGGGTGGTCCTGTCTTGTAGAAGAGAAACAGGCCCCGATGCGGGGAAGGAGCAGGGGTTTGGCTCTGTGACCTTGGCCCAGCTGTGTCCCTTCTTTGAACTTTCATTTTTGCTATCTTTACAGCGGAAATGAATCCCTACTTTTCAGGGTGATCACGTGGGAGCTAGTTGGCTAAAGAATATGGAATTACAGGCCAGGTGCGGTGGCTCACGCCTGTCATCCCAGCACTTTGGGAGGCTGAGGTGGGCAGATGACTTGAGGTCAGGAGTTTGAGACCAGCCTGGCCAACATAGTGAAACCCCAGCTCTATTAAAAATACAAAAAATTAGCCAAGCATGTTGGTGCATGCCTGTAATCCCAGCTACTCAGGAGGCTGAGGCAGGAGAATTGCTTGAACTAGGGAGGCGGAGGTTGCGGTGAGCCGAGACAGTACCACTGCACTCCAGCCTGGGCAGCTCCATCTCAGAAAAAAAAAAAAAAAATCCCAATTCATTCCTTTCCACTCTTTCTTGGTTCCTAATAAATGTTTTTGTGCTTATAAATTTTCCTCATTGTCGGCTGGGCCTGGTGGCTCACGCCTGTGATCCCAGCACTTTAGGAGGCCAAGACGGGCGGATCACCTGAGGTCAGGAGTTCGAGACCAGCCTGGCCAACATGGAGAAACCCCGTCTCTACTAAAAATACAAAATTAGCTGGGCGTGGTGGCGGATTCCTGTAGTCCCAGCTACTCAGGAGGCTGAGGCAGGAGAATCGCTTGAACCCGGGAGGTGGAGCTTGCAGTGAGCTGAGATCACGCCATTGCACTCCAGCCTGGGCGACAGAGTGAGACTCCGTCTCAAAAAAAATTTTTTTTCCTCATTGTACGGCATTGGCTGCATCCACAGATGCCAACAGGGGGCTTTAATTGTCTGTCAGTTCTGACGGTGTAATCTAGTTCGTGATTTCCTCTTTAGCCTGGAGGAGGATACAAGCCTTGCCAAGGTTTCCCTCCTGCCTGAGCCAGGTCACTCTCTCTGTCCCTCCTGCCTGGAGCTGGGTCATTCTCTCTGTCTCTCCTTGTACAGTGGTCCATGCTGTGGACGGCACCGCCGAGAACGGGATCCACCCCCTGAGCTCCTCCGAGGTGGACGAACTCATCCACAAAGCGGACGAGGTCACGCTGAGCGAGGCAGGGTCCACGGCCGGGGCGGCAGAGACCCGGGGGGCTGTGGAGGGGGCAGCCCGGACCACGCCCTCCCGGCGGGAGATCACCGGTGTGCAGGCACAGCCAGGCGAGGCCACGTCCGGCCCGCCGGGGATCCAGCCCGGCCAGGAGCCCCCGGTCACAATGATCTTCATGGGTTACCAGAACGTGGAGGATGAGGCCGAGACCAAGAAGGTGCTGGGCCTTCAAGATACCATCACGGCGGAGCTGGTGGTCATCGAAGACGCGGCTGAGCCCAAGGAGCCTGCACCACCCAACGGCAGTGCTGCCGAGCCTCCCACGGAGGCCGCCTCCAGGGAAGAGAATCAGGCGGGGCCCGAGGCCACCACCAGCGACCCCCAGGACCTCGACATGAAGAAGCACCGTTGTAAATGCTGCTCCATCATGTGAGCCGGCCCCCGAGACCCCGGCCCCCACCCCACACCACAGACACCCACCAGCCCGGCCCCTCCCGGCGCCTGCCCACCCTCCACCCACAGCCTCACGGGTCCAGGACTTGGCGTGTTGTTACATGTTCCTTCCGAGTTTTCTTTCGCTGGAAAGAGGGACAGGGGCCCCCACCCGTCACCACGCCCCAACACTCCCCCCGAACCAGAGCCGTGCACTTGTGCCTGGTAGGAGAGAGACAGGACAGACCCGCTTTTCCCGAGACAAGGACCCCCCATGTCACGGCAGCTTCACAGACGCGGCTCGCGCCCACCGGGGTCCTGGCGGGTGGGACCCGCAGCCTCCACGCGGCCCAGGCCAGCCTGCCACCCTCTGGGCCTCCTACCTGTGCCTTTCTCTGAGGGGACACCCCGCCAGAGAGGGCCCCGGGAGCCGGGGGTGGGTACTGAGGCCTGCTCAGGCCCTGGAAGTGAGGCTCTATGGGGTTCCCTGGCCAAGGCGCTGGCCCCCCAATCTCAGGCAGTTGGGGTGAGGCCGTGCCTCTTTGGGGGCTAAAGGTCTTGGGTGGAGGACAGGCCCCTCTGCTGTGCCCCTATGCCCTGTGTGGGCCCAACCAGTGGACAATGGAGTCTGGGGGAGGGGGAACCCCGGGGACATGCCCCCACCCGGGAGGGGCCGGTAACCCCTGGGCTATCTTCTAGACGGGGCGAACCAGGGGTCATTGACCTGCCCCCTGCACAGGGCAGGGACCGAGTGAGCCACTCCTTGTCCCGAGCTCCCGCCCCCACTGGGCCCTCCTTCCTCCTGGTGCTAATTTGGGGACCCCAGGGGCCGCCCCCGGCCTCTTCTCCATCCTGCTTGGACCAGGGTCCTGGGTCTTCCCAACCATACCCCGAGATCAGGCCCCACCTGCCAGCTCTACTGGGCTTGGAGCACGTCCGGGCAGTGGAGGGAGGGACACAGCCTGGGACAGGAAGCCTCTTGGGTTGGAGCAGGAGACCCTCATTTGCCACCCAGACCAATGTGAGCCTGCCCCCAGCCCCCTCTCATTGGAAGTGGCAAGGGGCTTCCCTCCTGGGGGCAGCTACACTCGTCCCCAGAGGCACATTCGTGCACATTCTCACAGACACCGTCTCACACGTTGGCTTTGGACAACCAGGCCCCAACTTGGTCCCTGCCCTAGGGACCTCCAGCCTGGTGCCCAGTGCTCAGGCCACCTCCTGGTCCAGTCACCACCTGCAGCCTCGGCAGGGCAGGTACAGGGGCCACCTCGGATGGGAGCCTGGGTCCCTGCCTCCGCTCTGCCCCTGGGTGGCTGGGAGGAGAGGCCCTCTCGGGGGTGACCTGGGCGTCAGCCGTGGAACCCCCTCCTCCTCCCTGGAGTCTGCCTGAGTCCCTCGAGCCGCGAGCCTTCGCTGAAGTGCCCTTGCTATAACCCCCTCTGCTTCTGGTGTGTGACGAGGCCCCCGATGTTCTTGATTTTCCCAGAGAAGCAAATAAACAGCGTGAACAGCCCCAGTTCCTGGAGTTCTTGCCTTTCAACCTGGCGAGGAAGGCGTGGCCAGGCCAGGGGGTGGGGCCTGCCGGCCTTTGAGCCATTAAAGGGAGGCTGAGCAGGGTTGCGGTGTGCTGGCTTCACCTGCCTGCACCCGCTCACCCTGAGCGCCTTGGGGTGGTGGGAGGCGCTGGAATCCCCACTGTGCAGGTAAGGCCTGGCTGTAAGGGGCTGCTGTGGGGGGGCAGGACTGGCTTCCCGGGGGGCCCTCGGGTTCTGCGGCCGCCCCGTCCTGTCCTTTGTTCCTCCCTTTGCTGGGCTCACAGCCCCTGGGTGATGACAGAGGGTCCCCTGGACACCCACAAGCTCTGTAGAGAAGCCGGCCCCTGGGAAATACACAGGAGGCCTGGGGAGGAGGTGTCTGTAGAGACCAGTGTCATGCTCACGGGAAGGTGCTGCCCCGCCAGCCCCACTCTCTCACGCTGTAGTCTTGGAGAAGTCGCTGCCTCCTCTGGGCCTCAGTTTTCCCATCTGTAAAATAAGCCTTCGTGGCCGGGCACGGTGTTTCACACCTGCAATCCTAGTACTTTGGGAGGCCGAGGTGGGCGGATCACAAGGTCAAGAGATCGATACCATCCTGGCCAACATACTGAAACCCTGTCTCTACTAAAAATACAAAAACTTAGCCGGGCGTGGTGGCTCACGCCTGTAATCCTAGCTATTCAGGAGGCTGAGGCAGGAGAATCGCTTGAACCTGGGAGGCGGAGGCTGCAGTGAGCTGAGATCGTGCCACTGCACTCCAACCTGGGCGACAGAGCGAGACTCTGTCTCAAATAAAATAAAATAGGCCTTCGGAGCCCTGAGTGGGAGGCCAGCCTCAGCCTGGGCGTGGGACGTCTCCACAGTGCCCCCAGCTCATGGGCGATCCAGCCTCCACCCTGCTGGGGCCTCAGTTTTCCCCGATGAGGTGGTGAGTGTGGTGGAGAGCACTGCTGAGGGAACTCAGGTTCCAATTCCAGCCTAAACCCCCGCCATTCCTGAGGCGCGATTTTAAGCTTTCCGTACCTCCGTTTCCCTATCTACAAGCCAGGGAGAAAAGGACGTGAAGGGGGTGGCGGGAGGCGGCGGTGGGAGGCGCCGTGAGGCCGCGCACCCTGAGCTTTCACACACCCAGCAGCGTTAGGTGCCACGCTGTCCTTTGGGGGCCCTTTATCCAGATTTGTCCTTAAACACCCCCATCTTGGCCAGGCGCCGTGGCTCGCGCCTGTAATCCCAGCACTTTGGGAGGCTGAGGCGGGGGCATCACCTGAGGTCAGGAGTTCGAGACCAGCCTGGCTAACGTGGCAAAACCCTGTCTCTACTAAAAATACAAAAATAGCTGGGCGTGGTGGCTCATGCCAGTAATCCCAGCTACTAGGGAAGCTGAGGCAGGAGAATTGCTTGAACAGGGGAGGTTGCCGTGAGCCGAGATCGTGCCACTGCACTCCAGCCTGGGTGACAAGAGCGAGACTCCGTCTCAAAAAAAAAACACAAAAAAAGCACCCCCCTCCTGAGCAGCCCTGCTGGATTCGTAGCTGGGGGCCTTTTTACTCGAAGAAGAGACTGAGGTTCAGAGGGGCTCCACAAGCAGCCCCTCTGGCGTAGGTCAGGACAGAGCCCCAGCCTGGGGAACTGAAGTCCCTGCCCCCTCAGCTGTGTTCCCTGCCCTCATAGACGGCGCTAGGCCCAGTGGCCCGACTTCCCCACAGATGCTGGGCTCCCCACAGTCCCAGCAAGGCCTCTGCACCTTGACTAAGAATCCAGGAGGACCATGGGCGCCTGAGGGCCTCTGCGTCCCCATCTCTCGGGGTGGCCTGGGTCTTTTGACGGCCTCGTGCGGTTCTTTTTTTTTTTTTTTTTTTTTTTTTTTTGAGTTGGAGTTTTGCTCTTGTCGCCCAGGCTGGAGTGCAGTGGTGTGATCTCGGCTCACTGCAACCTCCAACTCCTGGGTTCAAGTGATTCTTCTGCCTCAGCCTCCCAAGTAGCTGGGATTATAATAGCGTGCCACCATACCCCGCTAAATTTTGTATTTTTAGTAGAGACGGGGTTTCGCCATGTTGGCCAGGCTGGTCTCGAACTCCTGGCCTCAAGTGATCCGCCCGCCTCGGCCTCCCAAAGTGCTGGGATTACAGGTGTGAGCCACCAAGTCCGGCCCCCTCGTATGGGTTTTTATGTGGATGGGGCCTAGGGAATTCCTCCCAGCAGCCCTGAGGGAGCCCGGGCGTGATGTTCCCCCACGTCCCGGAGGAGAAAACAGGGCTAAGAGAGGTCAGGTGGGATCAGAACCCAGGCCACACCAAACCCCCCCGAGTCTGCCAAACCTGGTTTATGCAAGAAGGGGGCCATCTAGGGGAGTTGCCCCAAGGGGTGGGCTGGGCCAGAAGGCACGGACGGGATTGGGACTCAGCCCCTCCGGCCCCCCAGGAGACACAGGCCACTGTGCACGCTGAGCTGCTGTGTGGCCCTGGACACCTGCTGACCCTCTCTGAGCGGTGCTGAGAGGCGGTGGGAGGGCCAGGCAGCCAAGGGAGGTTTCGGCTGAGTTCTGGCTCCTCGGGGCCACCTGGAGGCCCTGGGGGTGGAGGGGCAGCCGGCAGCGGGCACGGTGCCCGCCCTTGCCCAGCCTGGTATCCTCTTTCTCCCTCCTCCTCCTCTGGACTTTGTTTCCTGATCCCAGGTGGGGCTGGGGGGAGGGGGCACACCTGCCTCCCCTGGGTGGGGCCTCTGTTCCCTGGCAACCTGGCGGGCAGGGCGGAGCTGGGAGGCCTCTGTGCCCATCGAGGAGTCAGAGTGGAGGCTGCAGACTGTGGAGCCGGGAGCCGGCAGGTGAGGCTGGGGGCGCCCCGGGCCGGGCCGGGCGGGGATCCTGTGTGGGGCGGTTGGATCCACATTTGGCGTGGGAGCGTCATGTGTCTGTGGGCGGGGTCTGCTTGCCTGGCGGCACTTGGGATCCAGGGAGGCCCCCTGCCCCACCCCGTCACCCTCGGAGCCTCCCTGAGGCACCTTTCCCTCTGCCCCCGCTAGGTACTCTGGGGCCTCAAGGGCACCCACTGGGAGAGCAGAGAGGCCCTTGTCCCTGAACTCTGCTGGGGCTTTTGAACCCCAAATCCCAGAGCCCTCCAAGGGAGGGGCCGGGTTGGCACCCCCATGGTCAGAGGCCAGAGGGGCCCCTCCATGGTTCTGGGAATTCCAGAGGCTTCTGGAGAGATGCTTATCCGTCCCACCAGGCCCCTGACTGGGAGGCTCTGGGCAGTAAACACCCCCGTGGGGCTGGGGGCTGGTTTGGGGACACGGAGGAGGGGTGGCTGAGTACAGGCGGAAGGAGTCTCAGGCCGGGGCTGGGGACTTGGCCTGGGTCCTCGGGTGGGGGTGAGGTGGTAGCCTGGGATCCCGGGCAGCCAGCAGGGACTCGGCCCAGCGTCTGCCGGTGGAGCTCCGCCCAGGAGCCCAAGGAGCTGAGATGACTCAAGGGTGACTGCAACCCTGAGGGATGGGAAAAAGGAACGGGGCCCTCCCTTCTGCATGGCCTCCTTGTCTGAGTCTCGGCCCCACAAGGGAACCTTTGCCCCTCACATAGAGCCAACTGGCTGATGAGGAAGGAGGTGTGGCACCAGGGTCCATAAACCCAGTTTCATTCTGGTATCAACAGAGTTCAGGGTGAGGCTGGGAGGAGCAACCCAGGGGGCTTCCTGTAGGAGGGGGTGATTTGGAGCAAAGTCTGAAAACTGGCTTCAGACACTTGCTCTGTCATCGCTGTGTGACCTCAGATGAGCAGGTTCTCCTCTCTGGGTCCCAGCTCCCTCTCTCGAAAACCGGAGTCGAAAACGGTTCCAAGGTGTTGCAGGAAGAGTCTCAGGACGCCGAGGTCCTTAGCCACCGCCGGGCCTTGCAGGGGCCATCTTCCGTCCTGGGGCTCTTCCCCCGAGGGCAGCGCCGCTGCCCAAGAATGCCGGCCATGAGAGCCGCCGTGGATCCAGGGGTTTTTTTGGCCGACACAGTGAAACCCCATCTCTACTAAAAATACAAAACTTAGCCGGGCGTGGTGGCGGGCGCCTGTAGTCCCAGCTACTTGGGAGGCTGAGGCAGGAGAATGGTGTGAATCCGGGAGGCAGAGGTTGCAGTGAATGGAGATCGCGCCACTGCACTCCAGCCTGGGCGACAGAGGGAGACTCTATCTCAAAAAAAAAAGCGGGGGGCGGGGGTGGGCACTGAGGCACAGGCAGCAGGGGAGGGGGCCCAGTGGCCTTGAACCCAAGAGCTGGACCCCAGGCCCCACCCGCTGGCTTCAGTGAATCACTGGGGAGGAATGAGCAGAGGAGGATGCGTGCCTTCATCCCCACCCAACCCCGACCCCACTGGGAGACCCGGCACCTGCTCGAGGCTGGGCGGACAGCTCCCTTTCTCCCGGAGTTGACGTCTGATGTGGGTTATAAATCCCGCTGTGTAAACGTCTGTCCACTCACTGGGCAAACATTCCTACACCCGCCCTCCCCGGGGAGCTCCAGGGTGCAGGGCGTGGACCTGCCCAGCCCTTCAGGGCCAGAAGGCACGGTGGAGCCGGTCTGCATTCCGCAATGAGCCCGACCCCCACGTCTGAGCAGCTGGGATGAGTGGTGTTTGCCCAGCCAGTATTTATTAGGCGCCTGCTGTATACCAGACTCTGGGCTGCAGGAAGGGTGCTGACCTGTGGCCACAGCAGGCGAGAGCGAGGCCTGGGCTGACGGTTTCGGGTGGGAGAAGGCAAGGCCTTCCGTGAGCTGGGCAGGCGGCGTCCACGGAGGAGGAGGCCTCGGGTCAGGGGAGCCATCTGTGCGTCACGCTTTGGGAGGAAGCTCAGCTGTTTGTGTGGGATTTATTCACCAATGCCGCCTGGTTTTCAATGTTTCCCCTATTTTAGTTTCTGACATTTGATACGCGCGGAAGATTGCATGACACATTGCGTGTAGTTTCAACACGGCTCCCCACGGTCTCTCCACTTTATGCTGTTTGATGCCACTTTCCAGTTCAGAGAGGGGCTAAGTTTTTCTTTTTTTTTCTTTTTTTCTTTTTTTTTTTTTTTGAGGCGGAGTCTAGCTCTGTCACCAGGCTGGAGTGCAATGGTGCGATCTCAGCTCCCTGCAAGCTCCACCTCCCGGGTTCACAGCATTCTCCTGCCTCAGCCTCCTGAGTAGCTGGGACTACAGGCGCCCGCCAGCACACCCGGTTAATTTTTTTTGTATTTTTAGTAGAGATGGGGTTTCACCATTTTAGCCAGGATGGTCTCGATCTCCTGACCTCGTGATCCGCCAAAGTGCTGGGATTACAGGTGTGAGCCACTGTGCCTGGCCGACCCTGTCTGTTTAAAAACAAAAAAAAATGCTGCTGGTTGGTGTAAAGGCAGCAGATCTAAATAATAGCCTTGGTGGCCCGGGAGCGACAGTCCTGCTTTGTGGGGGTTTGTTTTTCTTTTGAGACAGGGTCTTTCTCTGTCACCCAGGCTGGAGTGCAATGGCACAATCTCAGCTCACCGCAACCTCCACCTCACAGGTTCAAGTGATTCTCCCACCTCAGCCTCCCAAGTAGCTGGGATTACAGGCCTGAGCCCCTGTGCCCAGCCGACAGTGCTTTTTTTAGGAGTCAGGAGCTCAAGCTTTTGAGATCCCTGTGTCTTCAGGTGAGGCTTCCTTTCCTCAACTATGAAAGATGATGTCTGCTGGACACGGTGGCTCACGCCTGTAATCCCTGCACTTTGGGAGGCCGAGGCAGGCGGATCACCTGAAGTCAGGAGTTCAAGACCAGCCTGGCCAACATGGTGAAACCCGTCTCTACTAACAATACAAAAATTAGCCGGGTGTCCTGGCTGGGCGCGGTGGCTCACGCCTGTAATCCCAACACTTTGGGAGGCCGAGGCGGGAGGATCACGAGGTCAGGAGATCAAGACCATCCTGGCTAATATGGTGAAACCCCGTCTCTACTAAAAATACAAAAAATTAGCCAGGCGTGGTGGCGGGCGCCCGTAGTCCCAGCTCTAGGGAGGCTGAGGCAGGAGAATGGCGTGAACCTGGGAGGCAGAGCTTGCAGGGAGCCGAGATCGCGCCACTGCACTCCAGCCTGGGCGACAGAGTGAGACTCCGCCTCAAAAAAAAGAAAAAATTAGCCGGGTGTGGGGGCGGGTGCCCGTAGTCCCAGCTACTCAGGAGGCTGAGGCAGGAGAATTGCTTGAACCCGGGAGGTGGAGATTGCAGTGAGCTGAGATCACGCTACCGCAGTCCAGCCTGTGCATCGCAGCGAGACTCTGTCTCAAAACAAAAGACAATACCTAAGACGGGTGCTGGGTACAAGGCCTGACATGAAGGAGGTGTTCAGATGATGGCTCTGGGGGAGGGGCAATCTGGGTTACTTCCTGGAGGAGGTGTCCATGGGCTTCAGCAGAGGAAGCCGTGGAGAAGCAGAAACAGGCAGCCTCGAGACAGAGAGAGCTGCAGGTAGAGGAGGAGGGCGAGGTTTGGGGTGGAGGAAGAGGGCCTGGTTTGGGGTGGAAGAGGAGGGTCTGGTTTGGGTTGGAGGAAGAGGGCCTGGTTTGGGTGGAAGAGGAGGGTCTGGTTTGGGTGGAAGAGGAGGGTCTGGTTTGGGGTGGAAGAGGAGGGCCTGGCTTGGGGTGGAGGAAGAGGGCCTGGTTTGGGGTGGAAGAGGAGGGCCTGGTTTGGGGTGGAAGAGGAGGGTCTGGTTTGGGGTAGAAGAGGAGGGCCTGGCTTGGGGTGGAGGTGCCCACAGAAATTGGGGTTTCGTGCTAAGGCCAGGAGCAGGGTGTGAGAACTGTGCCCTGCAGATGCCAGGAGCCACAGAAGCGATGCGAGCAGGTGTGTGACCTCCGGGAAGGCTCCTGGAACTGAGCCCAGCAGCAACCTGGACCCTTGGGAGAGGGCGAGAGCCGGAAGGCACTGGGTCAGGGTGTCACCCGCTCGCTCCACGGCCCCACCTGGGCCCAGCGGGACAAGGTCCACGGTGTTCCTTTGCCCATCCTGGCTTTATGGCGACAAGGCCCAGGCGGGGATGTTGTCTCAGATGGGACGAGGTGTCCAGCTGGGCAGGGCAGGGTGGAGAACCAGGATGTGGGAGCCGGGAAACTGGAGTTGCTGTCAGTCCTTCTCTCTGGGCCTCAGTTTCTCCATTTGACATCCCTTAGCAAGGGGCCATCTGTAATTGTCAGATGGAAAAATCCCACACCAGGAGTCTCAGAGTGAGCTCAGGGTGGAAAGGCTCAGTGCACAGGAGACACAGATAAATATGGTGCGGCCAAGGAAGGCTTCAGAGATCAAGGCTGAGGCCAGGCGCGGTGGCTCACGCCTGTAATTCCAGCACTTTGGGAGGCCGAGGCGGGCAGATCACCTGAGCTCAGGAGTTCGAGACCAACCTGGCCAACATGGTGAGACCTCGTCTCTACTAAAAATACAAAAAATTAGCCGGACTTGGGAGGTTAGCGCCTGTAATCCCAGCTACTCAGGAGGCTGAGGCACGAGAATTGCTTGAACCTGGAAGCAGAGGTTGCAGTGAGCTGACATTGTGCCACTGCACTCCAGGCTGGGCAACAGAGCGAGACTCCATCTCAAAAAAAAAAAAATCAAGGCTGAGCTGGACTCCACAGGGCAGGTGTGTGTGTCTGGGAGATAAGGTGGGCAGGGCACCCTGATTTTATTGGGCTGCAAATGTTAGAAACATATAATGCGAGTTGTTGGGGTAGTAACCGGGACATTCAGAGATTCAGGTATGGTTGGAATCAGGGAGCTTAAAAGTTTTCAGGATGCTTTGCTGGTGTTGGGGTTGCTGTCAAGCAAGCTGTACCCACTGGGGGCATTTACGTCCCCAGCAATTCACTATCTCATTCCATCAGCCTAACAAGACCAGCGGGAAGAGGGTCCCATCTTCTGCATTAATTGTAAAGTCCCAGGGTCTCATGTCATTGGCTAGACTGGGTCACATGCTCATCTCTGAACCAATTACAGAGGCCAGAGGGTGAAATGCTCTCACTGGCTGGACTAGGTCACTTACCCATCTTTGAACCAATCACAGAGGCCAGTGGGTGGGATGCTCTGATTGATCAGGATGAGTCACTTACCCATCCCTGAACCAATCACAGAGGCCAGAGAATGGGCTACTCTGACTGGCCAGGCTGGGCCATTTACTCATCCTTGAACCAATCACAGAGGCCAGAAGGTGGGATGCTCTGATTGGCCAGGCTGAGTTACTTACCTATCCCTTAGCCAATCACAGAGATTAGACAATGGGCTGCTCTGAGTGGCTGTACTGTGTCACGCACCCCTAAACCAATCACAGAGGTTAGAGAATGGGATGCACTGATTGGCTGGACTGTCACTTACGCACCCCTAAACCAATCACAGAGGTTAGAGAATGGGCTGCTCTGAGTGGCTGGACTGTGTCACTTACCCATCCCTAAACCAATCACAAAGGCCATTTGATGGACCCTTTGCCCTTTGGGGGACTGGAGGCTGTTCCTCTCCCTAGGTGCTCTGACTTGATGGCCCTCATTTCCTTCTCCTCCCTCAGTAAGCCCAGAGGTCTCCACCCCACGGGAGGAAGGCTGAGGCCAAGACCCCGGAAGAGATGGACCGCGTGACCAGATACCCCATCCTGGGCATCCCTCAGGCACACCGTGGCACCGGCCTGGTGCTGGATGGAGACACCAGCTACACATACCATCTGGTGTGCATGGGCCCCGAGGCCAGCGGCTGGGGCCAGGATGAGCCGCAGACATGGCCCACTGACCACAGGGCCCAGCAGGGCGTGCAGAGGCAGGGGGTGTCCTACAGCGTGCATGCCTACACTGGCCAGCCGTCCCCACGGGGGCTCCACTCGGAGAACAGGGAGGATGAGGGTTGGCAGGTTTACCGCCTGGGCGCCAGGGATGCCCACCAGGGACGTCCAACATGGGCACTCCGCCCAGAGGACGGGGAGGACAAGGAGATGAAGACCTACCGCCTGGATGCTGGGGACGCTGACCCCAGGAGGCTGTGTGACCTGGAGCGGGAGCGCTGGGCCGTCATCCAGGGCCAGGCAGTCAGGAAGAGCAGCACCGTGGCCACGCTCCAGGGCACTCCTGACCACGGAGACCCCAGGACCCCCGGCCCACCTCGGTCCACGCCCCTGGAGGAGAACGTGGTTGACAGGGAGCAGATTGACTTCCTGGCAGCGAGACAGCAGTTCCTGAGTCTGGAGCAGGCGAACAAGGGGGCCCCTCATAGCTCCCCGGCCAGGGGGACCCCTGCAGGCACAACCCCAGGGGCCAGCCAGGCCCCCAAGGCCTTCAACAAGCCCCACCTGGCCAACGGGCACGTGGTTCCCATCAAGCCCCAGGTGAAGGGGGTGGTCAGGGAAGAGAACAAGGTGCGTGCTGTGCCCACCTGGGCCAGTGTCCAAGTTGTGGATGACCCTGGCTCCTTGGCCTCAGTGGAGTCCCCGGGGACCCCCAAGGAGACGCCCATCGAGCGGGAGATCCGTCTGGCTCAGGAGCGTGAGGCAGACCTGCGAGAGCAGAGGGGGCTTCGGCAGGCAACCGACCACCAGGAGCTGGTGGAAATCCCCACCAGGCCGCTGCTGACCAAGCTGAGCCTGATCACAGCCCCACGGCGGGAGAGAGGGCGCCCGTCCCTCTACGTGCAGCGGGACATAGTACAGGAGACACAGCGTGAGGAAGACCACCGGCGGGAGGGCCTGCACGTGGGCCGGGCGTCCACACCCGACTGGGTCTCGGAGGGTCCCCAGCCCGGACTCCGGAGAGCCCTCAGCTCAGATTCCATCCTCAGCCCGGCCCCAGATGCCCGTGCGGCCGACCCAGCTCCAGAAGTGAGGAAGGTGAACCGCATCCCACCTGATGCCTACCAGCCGTACCTGAGCCCCGGGACCCCCCAGCTAGAATTCTCAGCCTTCGGAGCATTCGGCAAGCCCAGCAGTCTCTCCACAGCGGAGGCCAAGGCTGCGACTTCACCAAAGGCCACGATGTCCCCGAGGCATCTCTCAGAATCCTCTGGAAAACCCCTGAGCACAAAGCAAGAGGCATCGAAGCCCCCTCGGGGATGCCCGCAAGCCAACAGGGGTGTCGTGCGGTGGGAGTACTTCCGCCTGCGTCCTCTGCGGTTCAGGGCCCCAGACGAGCCCCAGCAGGCCCAAGTCCCCCATGTCTGGGGCTGGGAGGTGGCTGGGGCCCCTGCACTGAGGCTGCAGAAGTCCCAGTCATCTGATCTGCTGGAAAGGGAGAGGGAGAGTGTCCTGCGCCGGGAGCAAGAGGTGGCAGAGGAGCGGAGAAATGCTCTCTTCCCAGAGGTCTTCTCCCCAACGCCAGATGAGAACTCTGACCAGAACTCCAGGAGCTCCTCCCAGGCATCCGGTGAGAAGGGGCTCCAGGGAGTGGCTGCTTGGCTCAGGGTCTCAGAGGTTGGAGCAGGGGAGGGTGGGGAGGTGGAGTTTGAGGCTGTCAAAGGGCTGGGGTTGGGGAGACATTGCCTCCTGACTGTTCATCCCCTCAGTCGCTGGTTTGTCTGCCTGTCTATTAAAAATGTAGATTTTGGAGAGAAATGTCAACTTTACCTTAGGGCTTTTGCTTTATGGATTTGGATGCCTTGTTGTTAGGCGCATAAATGTTCATATATGTTTTGTGTGTTTTGTTTTTGTTTTTGTTTTTTGTTTTTCGGTTTTCTTTTTTGAGACGGAGTCTCGCTCTGTCGCCCAGGCTGGAGTGCAGTGGCAGGATCTCAACTCACTGTAACCTCCACCTCCTGGGTTCAAGCGATTCTCCTGCCTCAGCCTCCTGAGTAGCTGGGATTACAGGTGCCCACCACCACTCCCGGCTAATTTTTGTATTTTTAGTAGAGACAGGTTTCATCATGTTGGCCAGGCTGGTCTTGAACTCCTGACCTCAGGCGATCCACCCTGCCTTGGCCTCCCAAAGTGCTGGGATTACAAGCATGAGCCACTGCTCCCGGCCTGTTCATATATGTTTATCCTCTTGGACAGTTGCACCTTTTTGACAATATGAAATATTCCTTGTGTCACTTTTAATGTTTTTTTTTTTTTTTTTTGAGATGGAGTCTCGCTCTGTCACCCAGGCTGGAGTGCAGTGGCGCGATCTCGGCTCACTGCAAGCTCCGCCTCCCGGGTTCACGCCATTCTCTCGCCTCAGCCTCCTGAGTAGCTGGGACTACAGGCGCCTGCCTCCACGCCTGGCTAATTTTTTTGTATTTTTAGTAGAGATGGGGTTTCACCGTGTTAGCCAGGACGGTCTCGATCTCCTGACCTCGTGATCCACCCACCTCGGCCTCCCAAAGTGCTGGGATTACAGGCGTGAGCCACCGCGCCCGGCCACTTTTAATGTTCTTCACCTTGCATGTCGGCCCATCTGTGCATCCAGTTTCTCCTGACTGGCTACTTTGGTCAATCTGTCAGTTTCCCGGATAGTCATCTGCTCTGTCTGTCCATACATCTGTCTCCTTAGCTGCTGGCTAGAGACTCTGTCTCCCGAGCAGAGGTCTGACAAATGTTCTAATGTTCTGCCCTCCCTGCTCCCCTACAGGCATCACGGGCAGTTACTCGGTGTCTGAGTCTCCCTTCTTCAGCCCCATCCACCTACACTCAAACGTGGCGTGGACAGTGGAAGATCCAGTGGACAGTGCTCCTCCCGGGCAGAGAAAGAAGGAGCAATGGGTGAGTCTGGAACCCGTCTCTGCAGAGGCCAGGCTGAGGTCAGACAGCCCCTATTAGGGCCACAGGAAGTTCAAGCAGGACTCAAGCCTGACCTGGGTTCAAGCACTACCCCCACCCCTGGCCGTGCCTCAGTCTCCTGCAGATGTCAGGTAGAAGATGATAAACTTGGTGTCCTTGTATCTCTGGGCTTCTGCTTGGAGAGGCCATATAAGCTGGGGTCTTTGTCCCCATCAGGAGGTCATCTCCAGGATCAAAGACCAAAGGACCAACTCTGCTTGGAGGAGGAGGACACTGGCAATTTGTCATCGTCACCAGCATTAGTTTCTTTTTTTTTTTTTTTTTTTGAGACGGAGTCTCACTCTGTCGCCCAGGCTGGAGTGCAGTAGCACGATCTCGGCTCACTGCAACCTCCACCTCCCGGGTTGAAGTGATTCTCCTGCCTCAGCCTCCTGAGTAGCTGGGATTACAGGCGTGCACCACCACGCCCGGCTAATTTTTTTGTATTTTTAGTAGAGACGTGGTTTCACCATGTTAGCCAGGCTGGTCTCAAACCGATCTCAAGTGACCTGCCCACTTGGGCCTCCCAAAGTGCTGGGATTATAGGCATGAGCCACTGCACCTGGCCACAGATATTTACTTCTAAGAAAGAGAGAGAGAGAGAGAGAAGGCAGGAGGGAGGGAGGGATGGAGGGAAGGAAGGAACAAAGCGAGGAAGGAAGGGAGGGAGGGAGAGGGAGAGACGGAGGGATGTGTCTGTCACACGCTGGCTCGGGGCTTCCAATGAACCACACCTTTAGCACCCTGGTGGTCTCACATGCCCAGGGTTAGGCAGCTCATGAACCCAGGCTTGACTCCAGGACCTACAGGCCACAGAGCTTTGCCTTAGGGGTTTTACTTTATGAATTTTGATGCCTTGTTGTTAGACATGTAATTGTTCATGTATGTTTATCCTCTTGGATGAGAGCTCCTTTTGTCAGTATGAAATATTCCTCACGTCACTTTTAATGACACGAGGAATATTTAGTGCCATGAGGAATATTATGTCCTTTTTTTTTTTTTTTTTTTTTTGAGATGGAGTCTCGCTCTGTCACCCAGGCTGGAGTGCAGTGGCACGATCTTGGCTCACTGCAACCTCTGCCTCCCGGGTTCAAGCGATTCTCCTGCCTCGGCCTCCCGTGTAGCTGGAATTACAGGTACGTGCCACCACTCCTGGCTAAAGGGAGGCTGCTAGGGAGGCTCCATCCGGGAGGTGGAGGTTGCAGTGAGCCGAGATCGCACCACCGCACTCCAGCCTGGGTGATAGAGCAAGACTCAGACCCAATATAAATAAATAAATTAATTAATTAAATTAAATAAATCATGAATGTTGGACAGAGGCTGCACTGAGGGGAACAGCATGAGGAACAGCAAGGGGGATGGCTGTGAGTCTGGGTGATCGTGGGACACGTGTTGAGAACACTCAGGGCAGGGGATGCCTTCCACTCTTCCCCAAATGGTGACAGAGAGGGCTGTGTGGGAGCTCTGGTCGGACTCTGCACCGGGCAGGGCAGAAAGGCCTGGGCTGACTTGTGTTCCTTTCCTGTAGTACGCTGGCATCAACCCCTCGGACGGTATCAACTCAGAGGTGAGTATGCTCCTGGGCACGAAGACTCAAGTCTTTCCCCCCCACATCTGTGCCCCTGCACACAGGGGCCAACGGAAGCCCCTTCCTCCAGGTGTGGGGATCGTATTGGGTGTCTTCTCAATTGGTAGTGTCTGCTCAGGGTGGATTTTGCTGTGATCTGCTTGTGATGTCTGCCATGGGCATGGATTAGGAGAAGAGGGTTCACATGCCACCTCTCCACCACGTGGTGAAGGTTTGTGAGGTTAGACCCCAAACAAAGGCAATGTTGCTTTTTTTTTGTTTTTGTTTTTGTTTTTGTTTTTGAGACAGAGTCTCGCTCTGTCGCCCAGGCTGGAGTGCAGTGGTGCGATCTCGGCTCACTGCAAGCTCCGCCTCCCGGGTTCACGCCATTCTCCTGCCTCAGCCTCCCGAGTAGCTGGGACTACAGGCGCCCACCACCACGCCCGGCTATTTTTTTTTTTTGTATTTTTAGTAGAGACGGGGTTTCACCGTGTTAGCCAGGATGGTCTCGATCTCCTGACCTCGTGATCCACCCGCCTCGGCCTCCCAAAGTGCTGGGATTACAGGCGCGAGCCACCGCGCCCGGCCAAGGCAATGTTTTTTTGGGAGGATGGAGTCTCGCTCTGTTGCCCAGGCTGGAGTGGAGTGGCTTGACCTCGGCTCACTGCAACTTCCGCCTTTCAGGTTCAAGCGATTCTCCTGCCTCAGCCTCCCAAGTTGCTGGGATTACAGGCACCCACCACCATGCCCAGCTAATTTTTGTATTTTTAGCAGAGATGGGGTTTCACCATGTTGGCCAGGATGGTCTCGAACTCCTGACCTCAGGTAATCCTCCCGCCTCCACCTCCCAAAGTGCTGGGATTACAGGTGTGAGCCACCGCACCCAGCCAAAGGCACTTTCTTTGAGGAAGGTATGCATCTGAGACTATTCAAGCCAAGCCCCCTCAGTCGGTTTATGGCACACGTGTGTGGCCCTCCTTTTTATTTTTATTTTTTTTTATTTTTACTTTTTTGAGACAGGCTCTCACTCTGTCACCCAGGCTGGAGTGCTATGATGTGGTCCCAGCTCACTGCAACCTTGACCTCCTGGGCTCAAGCAATCCTCCCACCTCAGCCTCCCAAGTAGGAACATAGGAATGTGCCACTGCACCCAGATAGTTTATTTTTATTTATTTATTTATTTATTTTTGTACAGGCAGAGTCTCACTAGGTTGCCCAGGCTGGTCTCGAATTCCTGCATTCAAGGGATCCTCCCACCTCAGCACACCAAATTTCTGGGATTATAGGCATGAGCCACTATCGCCTGACCCCTCTTTGAGCTGAATCCGAAATGCCAAATACATTGGACAGGCACGGTGGCTCACGCCTGTAATCTCAGCACTTTGGGAGGCCGAGGCGGGAGGATCATGAGGTCAGGAGATCGAGACCATGGTGAAACCCCATCTCTACTAAAAATACAAAAAATTAGCCAGGCGCCGTAGCGGGCCTCTGTAGTCCCAGCTACTCAGGAGGCTGAGGCAGGAGAATGGTGTGAACCTGGGAGGCAGAGCTTGCAGTGAGCCAAGATCGCGCCACTGCAGTCCAGCCTGGGCAACAAAGTGAGACTCCATCTCAAAAACAAACAAAAAAGCCAAATACAGACATTTTTCCTGCCCTGGAGCTCAGCATGAGTTAGCATATTCTTTGATCATATTACTAGGAGTAGAGGGTCTGAAACAGAGGAGGGGATCCTACTTTACCCCCGTTCTAGGCCTCTCTAATGAATTGGCAGTTGGAGGAGACATCTTGGGGGTGTGGTAGGACCTGGATCGGGGGAATTCATGCCTCCTTTTTGCAGGTCCTGGAAGCCATACGGGTGACCCGTCACAAGAACGCCATGGCAGAGCGCTGGGAATCCCGCATCTACGCCAGTGAGGAGGATGACTGAGCCTCGGGATGGGGCGCCCACCCCCTGCCCTGCCCTGACCCTCGTGGGAACTGCCAAGACCATCGCCAAGCCCCCACCCTAGGAAATGGGTCCTAGGTCCAGGATCCAAGAACCACAGCTCATCTGCCAACAATCCCACCATGGGCACATTTGGGACTGTTGGGTTTTTCGTTTCCGTTTCTATCTTCCTTTAGAAATGTTTCTGCCTTTGGGGTCTAAAGCTTTTGGGGATGAAATGGGACCCCTGCTGATTCTTTCTGCTTCTAAGACTTTGCCAAATGCCCTGGGTCTAAGAAAGAAAGAGACCCGCTCCTCCACTTTCAGGTGTAATTTGCTTCCGCTAGTCTGAGGGCAGAGGGACCGGTCAAAGAGGGTGGCACAGATCGCAGCACCTTGAGGGGCTGCGGGTCTGAGGGAGGAGACACTCAGCTCCTCCCTCTGAGAAGTCCCAAGCTGAGAGGGGAGACCTGCCCCTTTCCAACCCTGGGAAACCATCCAGTCTGAGGGAGGAGGCCAAACTCCCAGTGCTGGGGGTCCCTGTGCAGCCCTCAAACCCTTCACCTTGGTGCACCCAGCCACACCTGGTGGACACAAAGCTCTCACATCGATAGGATCCCATGAGGATGGTCCCCTTCACCTGGGAGAAAAGTGACCCAGTTTAGGAGCTGGAGGGGGGTCTTTGTCCCCCACCCCCAAACTGCCCTGAAATAAACCTGGAGTGAGCTGCCTGCCTTGGTCCCTGCCTGGTCCGGACAAAGTCCCCTGGGCCTCCACTCTCTGTTTCATTTTCTTGGCGACATTAGGTTCCACCCCGCTAGGCCGTGAGCCTGTGGGGCTGTCAGGTTCCCATGGGGGGGTTGCCAGCATCTGCATGCAGTAGGTGCTTAGCTGATGCTTGTTGAGTGACTGACAATTGATCATGGAGAGGCACCTTCAGCAACACCAGGCCCGGGGCCCAACCTCACCAGCCCGGCTCCTCCAGCCCCGTCTCACCACGTCCATCGCAGTACCCAGGGTGCTTATTAAGCATTTGCTGAATCCCTCACCACTCTGGTCTCAGAGGAGGCCGGAGGGTCATTAATTCGGCTCCGCATGTATACCAGGCTCACATCCAGGGAAGCCAGATCCTACTGGTCAGAGGCGTGGGCGCTGGACCCAAGTCCTGGCTCTGCTGCCTGCTGTGTGGCCTTGGGTGGGGGGGGGTCCTCTCACTGCCCCATGCCTCAGTTTCCCTCTGACACACAGGGATAACGATAGGACCAGGCTCCCGGGCAGTAGGAGTTAATTTACGTAAAGCTCTCGGCACATGGGGACCATTGACGTTGGATTCAGTGCCTGATGGCAGGGGCGTGTCCTCAGACACCCCCCAAAGCAGGCCTCGGCCCCCAGGCTCCCCCAACCCTGCTGGGAGCAGCGGGTGTTAATTACACCTAGGCCAGTGTCTCCTCCTTGGCTGCTCAGTGTCCGCTGCGCTGCCTCAGGGAAAACCGCGCAGCCACGCCGGGCCCAGGCAGGCAGATGTGGAACCGAAATAGCTGGGCAGTGGGGGCTGTGGGGACCCTGGGGAGGCGGGGGAAGGGGGCTGAGGGGCTACATCTGGGCAGAGCAGAGACTGAGGGAGGAGGGAGAGCCCCTGTCTTCAGGGAGACCCCAGTCTGATGGAGGAGGCATCTGCCTTCACAGAGATCCCAGGCTGATGGAGGAGGCCCCTGCCCCCAGGGAGACCCCAGTCTGACGGAGGAGGCATCTACCCACAGAGGGGCCACAGTCTGACGGAGGAGGCCTCTGCCCTCAGGGAGACCCTATCTGATGGAGGAGGCATCTGCCCTCGGGGGACCCCAGTCTGATGGAGGAGGCAGGTTATGTGACCATAGAGGGAGGCTCAGTGGCCATAGTTGGTGACTTCTTTCATGTCGGGGCAATTCTATTCCAACCCCAAGAACCAAACGTGGGGCCTGCGGGAAGGGAGGGCCTCACACACAGTCCTGGGTGAGTCCCATCAGTTTCTCCACTGTCTGCCACCCCATCTTCCCCCGATGCCCCATGTTCTGTCCCTCTGTCCCTGTGCTCTGAGGATGTGTGAGCCTCCACTGGCTACTATAACAAATCACCACCCACCTAATGACTTAAAACAGCAGACATGGTTGGGCGCAGTGGCTCACGCCTGTAATCCCAACACTTTGGGAGGCCGAGGCGGGCAGATCACCTGAGGTCAGGAGTTCGAGACCAGCTTGACCAACATGGTGAAAGTCCGTCTCTACTAAAAATACAAAAAATTAGCTGGGCCTGGTGGCAAATGCCAGTAATCCCAGCTACTTGGGAGGCTGAGGCAGGAGAATCACTTGAACTGGGGAGGTGGAGATTGCAGTGAGCCAAGATCGTGCTATTGCACTCCAGCCTGGGTGACAGAGTGAGACTCTGTCTCAAAAAAAAAAGGCAATCTCTCCCTGTCTCTCTCAGGCTCACCTTCCTGCCTCCTCTCGTGAGGGCCCTATGAGGACACTGGGCCTCCATGTCACCCAGGATGTTCTCCTGTCTCACGGTCCATTACTCAGTCCCATCTGCAGGTGCTTCTGCCACGAGAGGTGACACGGCCACAGGTCCCGGGGATTAGGAAAGGGATGTCTTTGGGGCCATTGTTCTGCCCACCAGAGGATCTCGACATCCCCCTTCTCCGTGACTCTTCAGTCACCTCTGCTCAGGGCCGGCCAGGACTGTTGCACAGGCTGTGCCCTGCACAAGCCCCCTGCCAAGACCAAAGGGCAAGGCTCTGTGTGCGGCCAGGGTCCCCGTCTTCAGTGTCCCTGGCCCTGGCTGTGGCCTGTTGCCAGACACCGCGTCACCAAGGGGTGCATTATTCCCACATCATCCCAGTTGGACGGTCACCTCACCCTGCCCATCGTCCTGCCAGCAAGATGGTCCCACAGCGGCCTCAGTTCTCAGAGGCTCGGCAGGGTCTCCCCTGACCCCGTAATGCCCCTCACTGCCCCTGGGCGCTGGGTTCAAGAAGAACCGCCTGCTTCGTTGCAGGAAGTGATGTCCACCCCCAACTCTGGATCGGAAGCCACGATCTATCCTCCAGACCCAACACCAGGTCCCCAGCCCTTTATCTCTCCTGTCTGTCTGTCCATTTCTGGTGTTCAGGCCTCTCTCTCCACGTCTATCTCCCTGTTTCTGTCCCTCCTGACCTCTCTCTTTTTCCATGATTTTTGCTTTCCTCCCTCCCCGTCTCATCCTAAATTTGTTTTTTTGTATTTTGTTTTTTTTTTGAGACGAAGTCTCGCTCTGTCGCCCAGGCTGGAGTGCAGTGACGCCATCTCAGCTCACTGCAAGCTCCGCCTCCCGGGTTCAAGGGATTCTCCCACCTCAGCCTCCCGAGTAGCTGGGATTACAGGTGCCCGCCACCACGCCCGGCTAATTTTTGTATTTTTAGTAGAGACGGGGTTTCTCCATGTTGGGCAGGCTGGTCTCAAACCCCTGACCTCAGGTGATCCGCCCGCCTCGGCCTCCCAAATTACTGGGATTATGGGCGTGAGCCACCACGCCCGGCCCTCATCCTAAATTCTTAAAACCTGCTCTCCTCTCAGCCATGATTTTCTTTGTCCTGTGCCATAAAGAATTCTCAGAAGCAGGATGCAGCTTCTGCTGCTCAAGGGTGAGCCCAGCCAGTGGGATCTGGTGTCGCTGCCCGCAGACCCCTCAGTCAAGAGCGGGGTGGGGGGCAGCAGGAGCTACAGTAACAGCCCGGATGGTCCTGCTCCTGAAGGCACCCCACCCTGCTGTCCAGAGGAGAGACCGAGGCTCAGACATTTGAGCCCCACATAACCCAGCCTGCCACACACCGCAGACTCCAACAGTGTAGCCCCTGTACCCCAGAAGTCACTTCAGCAAATCACTCAGGGCTCCACCTCACATCTGTCCCCAAGTCCTTGGGGACTTGCTCACTCAGCAGAAGACCAAGAGAAGCCAGATGCAGTGGCTCACACCTGTAATCCCAACACTTTGGGAGGCTGAAGCGGGCGGATCACCTGAGGTCAGGAGTTTGAGACCAGCCTGGCCAACATGGTGAAACCCCGTCTCTACTAAAAATACAAAAAATAGTCAGGTGTGGTGGTGGGCGCCTGTAATCCCAGCTACCCGGGAGGCCGAGGCAGGAGAATCCTTTGAACCCAGGAGGTGGAGGTTGCACTGAGCCAAGATTGTGCCACTGCACTCCGGCCTGGGCGACAGAACAAGGCTCCGTCCTAAAGAATTAATTAATTAATTTAAAAATAAAAAGAAAATGTGCACTTTCATCTTGTATTATTCTGTCCTTTTGTTTGTTTGAGATAAAGTTTCGCTCCATTTGCCCAGGCTGGAGTGCGTGATCTCGGCTCACCGAAACCTCTGCCTCCTGAATTCCAGTGATTCTCCTGCCTCAGCCTCTCGAGTAGCTGGGATTACAGGCCCACGCCCCCACCATACCCAGCTAATTTTGTACTTTTAGTAGAGACAGGGTTTCTCCATATTGGCCAGGCTGGTCTCGAACTCCTGACTCCAGGTGATCCACTTGCCTCAGCCTCCCAAAGTGCTGGGATTACAGGCGTGAGCCACCTCGCCCGGCCTATTCTGTCCTGTTTTTTTAAGATTTAGTTTGCCGGGCACAGTCACTCACACCTGTAATCCCACCATTTTGGGAGGCCGAGGCGGGCGGATCACAAGGTCAGGAGATCGAGACCAGCCTGGCCAATGTGGTGAAACCCTGTCTCTACTAAAAATACAAAAATTAGCCGGGCGCAGTGGTGCGCACCTGTAATCCCAATTACTCGGGAGGCTGAGGCAGGAGAATCGCTTGAACCCGAGAGGCGGAGGTTGCAGTGAGCCAAGATCGCGCCACGGCACTCCAGCCTGGGCGACAGAGCAAGACTGTGCTCAAAAAAAAAGATTTAGTTTAATTCCTGTAATGAGTCAGCCCCTTGGAAAATCAGACAGAATTCTGCCTGCTGAGCAGACACATTCCAGAAGTTACTCTGTGAGAGGTTTAGACGAATTCCTAGTGAAATTTCCAGGGGCGGGAGAGCGTGTCTGGAAGGTCTGCGGACATCACAGCAATCACAGAGGCCTTTGGGGCGGGCAAAACTGTCCGCTGGCGCTCGCTGCTAGCAGGAGGGAGTTCATATTCTTTCCTGGTTTCCTCCTGGCTCAGTGTATCATGATATGCCAGGGAAAGGAGGAGAATTCTCTTTTTTGTTTGTTTGGTTTTTTGAGACAGAGTCTCACGCTGTTGCCCAGGCTGGAGTGCAGCGGCGCAATCTCAGCTCACCACAACCTCTGCCTCCTGGGTTCAAGCGATTCTCCTGCCTCAACCCCCGGAGTAACTGGGATTACAGGCACCCACCACCACGCCTGGCTAATTTTTGTATTTTTAGTAGAGACGGGGTTTCTCCATGTTGGGCAGGATGGTCTGGAACTCCAGACCTCAGATGATCCACCCGCCTCAGCCTCCCAAAGTGCTGGGGTTACAGGCGTGAGACACTGCACCTGGCCTCAACTCCATTTTAATTAACCCTGCAGGGGCCAGGCATGGTAGCTCATGCCTGTAATCCTGGCATTTTGGGAAGCTGAGGCAGGAGGTGGATCACCTGAGGTCAGGAGTTTGAGACCAGCGTGACCAACATGGTGAAACCCTGTCTCTAGGAAATACAAAAAATTAGCTGGGCGTGGTGGCAGGTGTCTGTAATCCCAGCTACTCGGGAGGCTGAGGCAGGAGAATCACTTGAACCCAGGAGGCAAAGATCGTGGTAAGCCGAGATCGCACCATTGCACTCCAGGCTGGGCAACAAGAGCGAGACTCCATCTCAAAAAATAAAAATAAATAAATAAAAAATAAATAAAAATAAAAAAAATTAGCCAGGCGTGGTAGCGCGTGCCTAGTCCCAGCTACTCAGGAGGCTGAGACACGAGAATCACTTAAACCCGGGAGATGGAGGTTGCAGTGAGCTGAGATCGCGCCACTACACTCCGGCCTGGGCAACAGAGCAAGACTTCGTCTCAAAAATAAATAAATAAATAAATAAATAAAATAAAGAGATTTAGGAGAGGACACAAGCAAACATAACTCAGACTGACTTTGGCAAAACTAGGCTTTATGGGTTCCCGTAACTGAAACATCAATGTAGGGCCAGCTTCAGGCTCAGCTGGTTCCAGGTGCCACACAGCATCCTCAGGTTCCTTCGGTGTTGGGAGCTCAGGCTCCAAGCCCAGGACAGATTCCCAGCTCTGCCACATGCCCCTGAGGGACCCTGGGCAAGGCCTACCCCTCTCCCAGCCTCAGTGTCCTTATCTGTAAGTGAAGTCGCCACATTGACATCCCTGCCCTGGGGGACGTCATGAGGGTCACCGGGCACCTGGTGAAAATCAGTGAGGAATAAGAATGAATGTTGAGGCCAGGTGCGGTGGCTCACGCCTGTAATCCCAGCACTCTGGGAGGCCGAGGCGGGCGGATCACGAGGTCAGGAGATCAAGACCATCCTGGCTAACATGGTGAAACTCCGTCTCTACTAAAAATACAAACAATTAGCCGGGCGTGGTGGTGGGCGCCTGTAATCCCAGCTACTCGGGAGGCTGACGCAGGAGAGTGGGGTGAACCCAGGAGGTGGAGCTTGCAGTGAGCCGAGATCGCGCCACTGCACTCCAGCCTGGGCGACAGAGCGAGACTCCGTCTCAAAAAAAAAAAAAAAAAAAAAAAAGAATGAATGTTGGTTCTGACCAAGTAAATTAACGAATTGTCACCAGACAATGACTTCCATGTGACTTTCTGGTGTGAGCCGGAGAGGAGCCGATGCACGCTGCCACCAGAGGGCGGCAAACACCAAGGATGCAGCCGCGGCCCTCGCCCCGCCAGGGAGAAAACGCACCTGCCGCCACTCTCACCTTCTCATTCCCGTAACCGGATGGTGTTTGCTTAGTGCTCCTTGAAAGCCTGGACAGGGCCGGGCGCGGTGGCTCACGCCTGTAATCCCAGCACTTCGGGAGGCCAAGACGGGTGGATCACTTGAGGTCAGGAGTTCAAGACCAGCCTGGCCAACGTGGCAAAACCCCGTCTCTACTTAAAAAAAAAAAAAAAAATAGCCGGGTGTGATGGCGTTCACCTGTAATCCCAGCTACTCAGGAAGCTGAGGCAGGAGAATTGCTTGAACCTGGGAGGTGGAGGTTGCAGTGAGCTGAGATTGAGCCATTGCACTCCAGCCTGGGTGACAGAGGAAGACTCCATCTAAAAAAAAAAATTATTTGTAGAGATGACAGAGTGAGACTCCATCTAAAAAAAAATTATTTGTAGAGATGGGGTTCTCACCATGTTTCCCAAGCTGGTCTTGAACTCCTCAAGTGATCCTCCTGCCTCATCCCCACAAAGTGCTGGGATTACTGGTGTGAGCCATCGAGCCCAGCCCTGACCAACTATTTAGAGGTTGAAAACAGAGCCCGCAGGGCCGGGCGCGGTGGCTCACACCTGTAATCCCAGCACTTTGGGAGGCCGAGGCCCTCGGATCACGAGGTCAGGAGATTGAGACCATCCTGGCTAACAAGGTGAAACCCTGTCTCTACTAAAAATACAAAAAAATTAGCCGGGTGTGGTGGGGGGCACCTGTAGTCCCAGCTACTCAGGAGGCTGAGGCAGGAGAATCACTTGAACCTGGGAGGAGGCGGAGCTTGCAGTGAGCCGAGATCGAGCCACTGCACTCCAGCCTGGGCGACAGAGTGAGACTCCGTCTCAAAAATAAAAATAAAAATAAATAAATAAAATTAGCCGGAAGTGGCCGAGTGCGGTGGCTCTTCCACAGCAGCCAGAGGGCGCCTGTGAGGCTGACTGGGGGTGTCCCTGCTCTGCCCACAGCCCTCCATGGCTCCCATTTCCCTCTGGGTAGAAGCCCAAGTCCTCCGTGCAGCCCACAAGGCTCTGCCCAGTCCCCTCTCTCCTCTCCCTCCTCTGTCTACTCTCCCTCCTCCCTGTCTCCCCCTCCTCCTCTGCCCAGTCCCCTCTCTCCTCTCCCTCCTCCCTCTCTCCTCTCCCTCCTCCCTCCCTATCTCCCCCTCCTCCTCTACCCAGTCCCCTCTCTCCTCTCCCTCCTCCCTATCTCCCCCTCCTCCTCTACCCAGTCCCCTCTCTCCTCTCCCTCCTCCCTTTCTCCCCCTCCTCCTCTACCCAGTCCCCTCTCTCCTCTCCCTCCTCCCTGTCTCCCCCTCCTCCTCTGCCCAGTCCCCTCTCCTCTCCTTCCTCCCTGTCTCCCCCTCCCTCCTCCCTGTCTCCCCCTCCTCCTCTGCCCAGTCCCCTCTCTCCTCTCCCTCCTCCCTGTCTCTCCCTCCTCCTCTGCCCAGTCCCCTCTCCTCTCCTTCCTCCCTGTCTCCCCCTCCCTCCTCCCTGTCTCCCCCTCCTCCTCTGCCCAGTCCCCTCTCTCCTCTCCCTCTTCCCTGTCTCCCCCTCTGCCCAGTCCCCTCTCTCCTCTCCCTCCTCCCTGTCTCCCCCTCCTCTGCCCAGTCCCCTCTCTACTCTCCCTCCTCCCTGTCTCCCCCCTTCCTCTGCTCCAGCCACACGGGCCTCCTCCCTGTTCCTCCAACTTGCCAGGCGGGGTCCTGCCCCAGGGCCTTTGCCTCCCCAGGTGAGGTCCGGCCCCAGGGCCTTTGCACGGCCATGTCCTCTGCCTGGTTTCCCTTCCCTAGGTACCCACTGGGTTCATTTCTTCACTTCTTTCAAGGCTTTGGTGAACGCTCCCCTCATCACACAGCTGTTGCTCAGTAAATATGGCAGAATAAATAGCTGGGCAGGGCTCAGTGGCTCATGCCTGTGATCCTAGCACTTCTGGAGGCTGAGGCAGGAGGCTCACTTGAGCTCAGGAGTTGGAGACTAGCCTGGCCAACGTAGAGAGACTCCATCTCTACTTAGGGTGACCAGGGGAGAGAACAAAATCATGGGCTCATTTTTTTTTTTTTTTTGAAATGGAGTCTTGCTCTGTCGCACAGGCTAGAGTGCAGTGGTGAGATCTCGGCTCACTGCAACCTCCACCTCCTGGGTTCAAGCAATTCTCCTGCTTCAGCCTCCTGAGTAGCTGGGATTACAGGCACATGCCACCACACCCGGCTAATTTTGTATTTTTAGTAGAGACAGAGTTTCGCCATGTTGGCCAGGGTGGTCTCGAACTCCTGACTGCAGGTGATCTGCCCGCCTCACCCTCCCAAAGTGCTGGGATTACAGGTGTGAGTCACTGCACCCAGCAAAAAATGTTTATTATTCCCATTTCACAGACCAGCAAACTGAGGCCCAGAGGGAGCCGCCTGAGGAAACTGGATTGCGCAGCTGATGGAGTCTCAACCAGAGAAGGGGCCCGTGGGGCCTAGATTCAGACTTCCGGCTGTGCAGGCAAGCAGGAGGGCCCCCCAGTCAGGGTCCCCAGGACACCAACCCCAAGCCAAATGAGGCCACCAGAGGCTGTGCCCAGCCCCAGTCCCGCACGGGGCAGGTGTGGAGCAAATGCTGGCGGGATAGAGGGATGGAGAAGGGGGCTGCCTGGGAGTGAGGGGCTGGGTGCCCCACCCACCTGGCCTCAGCCTCCTGCCCTATCCGAGAACAGAGCTCTGGTTTCCTGCCCGGCAGCCCGTGAGGAGCAGCGAGGCATGGCCAGCTGGGGGCCGGACAGTCCTGAAGAGCTTGAGGACTGGCTCCTGGCTCCTAAAGCATAGCGCCGGCTCTGGGGATCTGCCAGGGAGAGACCAGCTCCAGGGCCCCTGGATGCAGGTTAGAGCTCAGGCTGTCCCCTGATGGCCTCGGTGCTATGGGTGAGTTTCTCCACCTCTCTGTGCTCAGCCTCTCACCGGAGAGGGGGTGGGTGATCCTGGCCTGAGTAGGTGACCAAGGCATCCTCCTCTGTGGCTGGTATTTCCCAACACCCTCAATAAATTCACAGGTGGCTCAGGCCTGTAATCCCAGCACTTTGGGAGGCCAAGGCAGGCAGATCACCTGAGGTGAGCAGTTTGAGACCAGCCTGGCCAACATGGTGAAACCTTGTCTCTACTAAAAATACAAAAATTAGGGCCGGGTGCCATGGCACATGCCTGTAGTCCCAGCTACTCGGGAGGCTGAGGCAGGAGAATCGCTTGAACCCGGGAGGCGGAGGTTGCAGTGAGCCAAGATTGTACCACTTCACTCCAGCCTCAGCAATAAGAGCAAAACTCCATCTCAAAACAAAATAAAAAATAAGGGCGCAGTGGCTCATGCCTGTAATCCCAACACTTTGGGAGGCCAAGGCAGGCGGATCACAAGGTCAGGAGATTGAGACCATCCTGACCAACATGGTGAAACCTCGTCTCTACTAAAATACAAAAAATTAGCTGGGCATGGTGACGGGCGCCTGTAATCCCAGCTACTCAGGAGGCTGAGGCAGGGGAATCGCTTGAACCTGGGAGGCAGAGGTTGCAGTGAGCCGAGATCCTGCCACTGCACTCCAGCCTGGGTGACAGAGCGAGACTCCATCTCAAAAAAAAAAAAAAAAACAAAAACAAATTGGTTTGTTTATTTTCCTGTTGATTTGTGGGAGTTCTTTATATATTCTGGACCTGAGTCCTTGATTACATTATGCACTGCTAGCTAGTACCTTCTCCCAGTCTGGCACTTTCCTTTTGAGTCTTCTTCTTTTTTTTTTTTTTTTTTTTTTTTTCTGAGGCGCCTGCCACCACACCCGGCTAATTTTTGTATTTTTAGTAGATACGGGGTTTCACCATGTTGGCCAGGCTGGTCTTGAACTCCTGACCTCATGATCCACCCGCCTCGGCCTCCCAAAGTGCTGGGATTACAGGCATGAGCCACAGTGCCTGGCCCCTTTTGAGTCTCTTAATGGTGTCTTTGGACAAACTCATTTGTTCAAAATAAAATGCAATTTTTTTTTTTTTAGATGGAGTCTCACTCTATCACCCAGGTTAGAATGCAGTGGGACAATCTCTCCCAGGCTCAAGCGTCTCTTCTGCCTCGGCCTCCTGAGTAGCTGGGATTACAGGTGGGTGCCACCACGCCCAGCTAATTTTGTGTATGTTTAGTAGAGACCAGGTTTCACCATGTTGGCCAGGCTGGTCTTGAACTCCTAACTTCGAGATCCGCCTGCCTTGGCATCCCAAAGTTCTGGGATTACAGGCATGAGCCACTGTGCCTGGCCATGTTAGGATATTTCTTTTTTTCTTTTCTTTTCTTTTCTTTTTTTTTTTTTTTGAGAGTCTCGCTCTGTCACCCAGGCTGGAGTGCAGCGGAGCCATCTCGGCTCACTACAAGCTCCGCCTCCCAGGTTCATGCCATCTCCTGCCTCAGCCTCCCAAGTAGCTGGAATTACAGGTGCCCACCACCACGCCCAGCTAATTTTTTGTATTTTTAGTAGAGACGGGGTTTCACCGTGTTACCCAGGATGGTCTTGATCTCCTGACCTCATGATCCGCCCGCCTTGGTCCCCTAAAGTGCTGGGATTACAGGCGTGAGCCACCGCGCCCGGCCCATGTTAGGATATTTCTGAGCAAATCTGAGGGTTTGGCCTGGAACCCTCAATTTGAGGTTGCAAACCCTGTTTCCTGCTAAGCCAGACAGATGGTGCTGGAGATGGGGAGGCCATGGTTTATGTTTTGTCCACTCTGGGTGCTGCCTGGACAGGTGACTCATGCATGTGGCGGAGCAGTCCAGAGTGAGGACTGTACCCCTACAGACACTCCCCCAGACCATGCTGGTGGCCTGAGCTGGGGGCTGCCCAAGTCCCCTCCCCGGGATCCACTTCTGGGGCCTCCCAAGCCTTCCCTGGGGTCAGTGAGTGCTGGAAGGGCAGCCAGCAGTGTGTGTCCACGGGGGGGGGCGGGTCACCACTTATCTGGGCATTAAATATTTGGGGGGGTCTCAAAATAATGGAAAACAGGGGGCCAGAAGTGGTGGCTCATGCCTGTAATCCCAACACTTTGGGAGGCCGCAGTGGGAAGATCGCCTGAGGTAAGGAGTTCAAGATCAGCCTGGGAAACATAGCAAAACCCTGTAATGAAAAACCCAAAAATTAGCCCGGCGTGGTGGCAGGTGCCTGTGATCCCAGCTACTCGGGAGGCCGAGGCGGGAGGACTGTTTGAGCCCAGGAGGTTGAGGCTGCAGTGAGCTATGATTGCACCACTGCTCTCCAGCCTGGACAACAGAACGACCCACTTTCTCAAATAAATAAATAAATAAATACGCTGAGGCCAGGCGCGGTGGCTCACGCCTGTCATCCCAGCACTTTGGGAGGCCGAGGTGGGCGGATCACGAGGTCAGGAGATTGAGACCATCCTGGCTAACATGGTGAAACCCCCGTCTCTACTAAAAATACAAAAATTAGCCAGGCGTGGTTGCGGGCACCTGTAGTCCCAGCTACTCGGGAGGCTGAGGCTGGAGAATCTCTTGAACCCGGGAGGCTAAGGTTGCAGTGAGCCCGAGATCACACCACTGCACTCCAGCCTGGGTGACAGAGTGAGACTCTGCCTCAAAATAAATAAATAAATAAATATTAAAATAAATAGGGCCGGGCACGGTGGCTCACACCTGTAATCCCGGCACTTTGGGAGGCTGAGGCAGGTGGATCACGAGGTCAGGAGATCGAGACCATCCTGGCTAACATGGTGAAACCCCGTCTCTACTAAAAATACAAAAAATTAGCCAGGCGTGGTGGCGGGCGCCTGTAGTCCCAGCTACTCGGGAGGCTGAGGCAGGAGAATGGTGTGAACCCGGGAGGCGGAGCTTGCAGTGAGCCGAGATCGCGCCACTGCCCTGCAGCCTGGGGGACACAGCGAGACTCCGTCTCAAAATAAATAAATAAATAAATAAATAAATAAAAATAAAATAAAATAAAATAAATTAATTAATTAAAATAGAGATGAGATCTGCCTCTGCCGCCCAGGCTGGAGTGCAGTGGCGTGATCATAGCTCACCGCAGCTTCCAACTCCCGGGCTCCAGCAATCACAGGACAAACCTCCCGCCCGGCCCTGCAGCCAGGTGCTCACACCAGCCCTATTTATAACAGGAATCCATGGAAATTTCTGGCCCCACCAAGCTGCTGTCATGAATAAGTCATCGTCCGGATCAATGATTCCACCCAGGGAGCATCTGCAAGTTTCCACCTCGTTCTCCCTGGGCCCCGGACAGCCTGGCTGGGACGTCAGAGCTACCAGTCAGGCTGCGGAAACAGCCTGGGGGTTCCTCTGTGACCAAACCATTCCACGCCGTGGTCTCTACCCAGAGAAAGGAAAACACAGGTCCATACGCGTGTTCGAGGCGGCATGATTCATAACGAACAAAAGGAGAAGACAGGCCGGGCGCAGTGCTTCATGCCTGTGATCCCAGCACTTTGGGAGGCCGAGGCGGGTGGATCACGAGGTCAGGAGATCGAGACCAGCCTGGCCAACATGGTCAAACCCCATCTCTACTAAAAATACAAAAGTTAGCCGGGCATGGTGGCAGGTGCCTGTAATCCCAGCTACTCGGGAGGCTGAAGCAGGAGAATTGCTCTAGCCAGAAGGGTGGAGGTTGCAGTGAGCCAAGATTGTGCTGCTGCACTCAGCCTGGGAGTCAGAGCGAGCAAGACTCCGTCTTTAAAAAAAAAAAAAAAAAGAAAAATTCAGCCGGGCGCGGTGGCTCACACCTGTAATCCCAGCACTTTGGGAGGCTGAGGCGGGTGGATCACAAGGTCAGGAGTTCGAGACCATCCTGGCTAACACGGTGAAACCCCGTCTCTACTAAAAATACAAAAACTTAGCCAGTCGTGGTGGCGGGTGCCTGTAGTCCCAGCTACTCGGGAGGCTGAGGCAGGAGAATGGCGTGAACCCAGGAGGCAGAGTTTGCAGTGAGCTGAGATTGCACCACTGCACTCCAGCCTGGGCAACAGAGCGAGACTCTGTCTCAAAAAAGTAAAAAAAAAATAAAATAGATGTATATAAAATATATAAATAAATATATATAAATATATATATAAATATATTTTTTCTTTTTTTTTTGGATGGAGTTTTGCTCTTGTAGCCCAGGCTGGGTGCAATGGCGTGATCTCGGCTCACTGCAACCTCTGTCTCTCGGGTTCAAGCAATTCTCCTGCCTCAGCCTCCCAAGTAGCTGGGACTACAGGCGCCCGCCACCACACCCAGCTAATTTTTATATTTTTAGTAGAGACGGGGTTTCACCGTGTTAGCCAGGATGGTCTCGATCTTCTGACCTTGTGATCCACCCTCCTCGACCTCCCAAAGTGCTGGGATTACAGGCGTGAGCCACCGCGCCCGGCCTATTTTTTAAAAGATTATGGATTTAGGGCACCTCCTCCCTTCTCCTTTTAGCCCCAGATAACATTCCATTCTCGATGTTTATCTGCTCGCCTGCCGAAGGACGTTTTGGTGGCTTCCAGGGCTGGGCTGTTATGAATAGCAGAGCTGCAGGCCGGGGGCGGTGGCTCACGCCTGTAATCCCAGCAGTTCAGGAGGCCAAGGTGGGAGGGTTGCTTGAGGCCAGGCAATCGAGACCAGCTTGGGCAACACAGCAAGACCCCAATCTCTAAAAAACATACAAAAATTAGCCAGGCATGATGGTGCACACCTGTGGTCCCAATGGTTCCAGCCACTCAGGAGGCTGAGGTGGGAGAATCACTTGAGCCCAGGAGGTCGAGGCTGCAGTGGGCTATGACTGCACCATTGCACCTCAGCCTGGACAGGAGGACAAGACCTTGTCTCAAAAAAAAATTTTTTTTTTGAGAGGGAGTCTCACTCTGTCACCCAGGGTAGAGTGCAATGGTGAGATCTCGGCTCACTGCAACCTCCACCTCCCGGGTTCAAGCGATCCTCCTGCTTCAGCCTCCAGGGTATCTGGGATTACAGGCGCCTGCCACCACGCCCAGCTAATTTTTGTATTTTTAGTAGAGATAGGGTTTTGCCATGTTGGCCAGGCTGGTCTCAAACTCCTGACCTCAAGTGATCTGCCTGCCTCAGCCTCTCAAAGTGCCGGGATTACAGGCGTGAGCCACCATGCCCAGCCAAAAAAAAATTTTTTTTTTAAATAATAAAATAGAGGCTGGGAGTGGTGGCTCACGCCTGTAATCCCAGCACTTTGGGATCACCTGAGGTCAAGAGTTCGAGACCATCCTGGCCAACATGGCAAAACCCTGTCTCTGCTAAAAACACAAAAATTAGCTGGGCGTGGTGGCTTGTGCCTGTAATCTCAGCTACTTGGGAGGCTGAGGCAGGAGAAGCGCTTGAACCCAGGAGCCGGAGGTTGCAGTGAGTCGAGATTGTGCCACTGTGCTCCAGCCTGGGCAACAGAGCGAGAGTTCGAATCAAAACAAACAAAAAAAGCCACAGGCGGCCACACATAGACCGTCACTGACCTCCTGGAGCTTCTCTTCTCAGGGAAAGGAACTTCCAGACTCAGAAAACTGGGGCAGGAAACATCCAGGCCAGTTTTTCCAGCCCACCGGATCTCAGGCAGCTTCCAGGAGGATTGCCTGAACTCGCTGAAATTGCCCAATTCCCTCCTGGGCACATGGTTTTCAGATGATGAACACACACCCTGCACCGGGGCTGAGGCCTCACCCTGGCGTTTGAATCCTGGGCCCCGGGTTTAGTCCACAGGAGGAGAAGCCACACTGGCTGCTGGGAGGGAATGGGAAGCGGGCAGCCGCCGTGGAAAACATGGATCAGTGCTTCAGAAAGCCAGACAGCGGCGCCGTCTAACCCCACCGTGCGGCTCCGAGGAATCCACCCCAGATAACCGAACACAGCGGCTCTCAATAAACATGTTCACAGCAGCATGAGCCACGGGAGCCAGGGGTGGACGGAAACAGTGGCACGAGCCACAGGAGCCAGGCGTGGAAGGAAACAGTGGCACGAGTTACGAGAGCCAAGCGTGGAAGGAAACAGCAGCATGATTCACGGGAGCCAGGCATGGACGGAGTCCACAGGAGCCAGGCGTGGAAGGAAACAGTGGCACGATTCACGGGAGCCAGGCGTGGATGGAAACGGAGAGGAGCAGAGAGCAAGGCTCTGACGCCAGCCACAGCGCAGATGCACCCTGAGGATGTAGGGCTCAGACGGATGCCCGACACGAAAGGCCACACAGCGTGTGATCCCATTTCCATGAAATGTCCAGGGCCAGGCGTGGTGGCTCACGCCTGTGATCCCAGCACTTTGGGAGGCCGAGCCGGCGGATCACGAGGTCAGGAGATCGAGACCATCCTGGCTAACATGGCAAAACCCCGTCCCTACTAAAAATACAAAAATTAGCCGGGTGTGGTGGCGGGCGCCTGTAGTCGCAGCTACTCAGGAGGCTGAGGCAGGAGAATGGTGTGAACCCAGGAGGCGCAGCTTGCAGTGAGCCGAGATCGCGCCACTGGATTCTAGCCTGGGCGACAGAGCGAGACTCCATCTCAGAAAAAAAAAAAAGAAAAGAAAAGAAAAAGGAAAAACAGAATTAAGCATTGTAGTGAATAATTCAGTGGGATTTGGTGCCTTCACGGTGCTGTGCTGCTGTCACCTCTAATTCCAGGATATTCCCATCATCCTTTGTGGTTGGGGCATCATCTGTCACTCCCCATCCCCTCCCCATCCCTGAGAATCCATGCATCCCCTTCCTGTCTCTGTGGCTTGGTCTGTCTGTCCTGGACATTTCTTTTTTTCTTTTTGTTGTTGTTGTTGGTTTTGTTTGTTTGTTTGTTGTTTGTGGGTTTTTTTTGAGACGGAGTCTCGCTCTGTCGCCCAGGCTGGAGTGCAGTGGCACGATCTCAGCTCACTGCAAGCTCCACCTCCCGGGTTCACGCCATTCTCCTGCCTCAGCCTCCCGAGTAGCTGGGACTACAGGCGCCCGCCACCACACCCGGCTAATTTTTTGTATTTTTAGTAGAGATGGGGTTTCGCCGTGTTAGCCAGGATAGTCTTGATCTCCTGACCTCGTGATCAGCCTGCCTCGGCCTCCCAAAGTGCTGGGATTACAGGTGTGAGCCACTGCGCCCAGCCTAGCCTTTTATTTTTAATAGAGATGGGGTCTTGCTATGTTGCCACGCTGGAATTTTTTTTTTTGAGGTCTCTCTGTGTTGCCCAGGCTGGAGTGCAGCGGCACGATCTTGACCCACCAAAACTTCTGCCTCCCTGCTTCAAGCGATTCTCCCACCTCAGCCTCTGGAGTAGCTGGGATTACAGGTGCCCGCCACCACACCCGGCTAATTTTGTATTTTTAGTAGAGATGGGGTTTCATCATGTTGGTCGGGGTGGTCTTGAACTCCTGACCTCAAGTGATCCGCCCGCCTCGCCCTCCCAAAGTGCTGGGATGACAGGCGTGAGCCACCGTGCCCGGCTGCCCACACTGGAATTCTATGTTATAGGAACTTCATCTCACTGAAAGAAAAAGGGGACTCCTGGATGGGTCCTGAATTTAGACATTTATTTGTTCATGAAACAAACGCTGATGGGGCCGTTGCACACCCAGGTCTGCACTGGCCGCCCTGTGGGGCCCCGGAGGGGCGGGGGCAGGGAGAGGCCGCCTGAGAGGCAGTGGCCCGGGTGGAGGACCCAGGGCTGGGCCTGGCGATGCTCCGACTGCAGCTTCCGGAGAACAATCTCAGGTCCACAATGTGGAGACGTTGGCAGATGCTCCTGCTGAGGACCGACAGACATCATCCCCGCTTCATCCTGCTTTTTCCTCCCATGAGGAGGTCAAAGTCACACCGTGGGGCCAGGCCCGGTGGCTCATGCCTGTAATCTCAGTACTTTGGGAGGCCAAGGTGGGCAGACTGCCTGGACCCAGGAGTTCAAGACCAGCCTGGGCAACATGGTGAAATCCCATCTCTACTAAAATACAGAAAATTAGCTGGGCGTGGCTGGGCATGGTGGTTCACGCCTGTTATCCCAGCACTTTGGGAGGCTGAGGCGGGCGGATCATGAGGTCAGGAGATCGAGACCATCCTGGCTAACAGGGTGAAACCCCGTCTCTACTAAAAAATACAAAAAAAAAAATTAGCTGGGCGTGGTGGCAGGCGCCTGTGGTCCCAGCTACTCAGGAGGCTGAGGCAGGAGAATGGCCTGAACCCGAGAGGCGGAGTTTGCAGTGAGCTGAGATCACGCCACTGCACTCCAGCCTGGGCGAAAGAGTGAAACTCCGTCTCAAAAAATAAAAAGAAAAGAAAAGAAAAGAAAAGAAAATTAGGCCGGTGTGGTGGCACACACCTGTAGTCCCAGCTGCTCGGGAGGCTGAGGCAAGAGAATCGCTTGAACCCGGGAGGCGAGGGTTGCAGTGAGCCGAGATCGCGCCACTGCAAGACTCCGTCTCAGAAAAACAAAGTCGCACAGGAGAGTCACGTCCACCCCCTGGGCCACCGGACAGTCGCCACAGACCAGGCAGCTGAATCCCCGCTCTACAGACAACCCCATCAAGGCTGGGGCAGTGAGACGCTCTGAAGGCCACAGGCCCCCAGGATCCCACCCCGTCCGTCTCTCCCTCCCTGCTGTCCCTCTGTGAGCCACACCCTGCGGCTGTCAGCGGCAGTGATGGGGGCTGCAGGGGCTGGGGACAGAGGGGGATGAGTTTCCAGCCAGGCGGCCTGGGAGGGTAGCTTTAATCCCCACCTCGGTTTTGTCTTAGAAGCAGTTGCATGGCTGTGCTCCAGGCCGTCCAGGGTTCAGGCTGAGCCACCGTCTAGGTCTAGACGTCAGTGTCCATCAGGACCTGGCGTGCCCTGCAAGCAGACATGTGCTCCTTCGACCTCCGTCAACCCTGGAGATGAAGCAGGGAAGGGGCCCTGGCTGGAGGCTTGGACATCCATCCGGAGGGGCGGAGTGGCCTCGAGGCGGTGTGTGAGTCCCCGGGGAAGATGCAGGGGACGCTGGGTGGCCGGTGGCACGAGTGAGGCTCGGGGTCCCGCAGCCCCCCGTGGTGTGGGTGCCTGAGTTGGGGGGTCCTCGAGGAGGACAAGGGAGGGAACTGAAGGGGGCCAGGACACCCGGTAGCTTGGCTGCCGGGGGCTCTGTGATATGCTAAGTCCCTCCTGCTCACCACTAAACCCAAGAGGAAAAGGAATTCCTGGCAGAGTCCAATTTAAAGTCAACAAACAAACAATGTGGGAAGGAGAGAAGGAATCCCAGGAATGTGGGCGAGGTCCTCCTCCCGCCGGGGCCACCCTGGACCCGGCGAGAAATCGAAGGTCCCCCAAGGACCCACGTCCAGGAGCCAACAGCCTCTCTGTGCAAACCAGACAACCCTGCAGGAACTGTGCTTGAAGAAACCGTGGAAACTGCCCCCAACCCTCCCGTCTCTATTTCTTTCTCTGTTTTATTATCTCATTCTTGGCTGTGAGGTAAACAGGAGAAAATGAGAAGGTGGTTCTGGAGGACCCGACCGAATTTGCTTTCGTGACAGGGTCAAGCGCCCTTTCCTCGCCGGCCGCAGCCCTCACCAAAGGGGATTTGGGGGCCTCCGGACAGGGGTCCTGAAGGTTTTGAATTGTTCAATCTCTGGGGGTACAGGAACCCCTGCAGGAGGTTTCAAAGGCAAGAGTTTCGCAGAGAGAAAAAAACCATGAACTTTGCAGGTTGGTGGCGGAATCTGGTGATTTAAGAAAACGTGTTTAAGCCTCGGCCGGGCCGCGCCTGGGCTGTCTGCGGTGCTCTTCCGGAATTCTCTACAATATCTGGAAGTGACCAAGAAAATTCCAGAACCCGGAGGCTGCGCCGTGGAGATAAACATGGGCACCTGGGTATGTTTGTTTTTATTGTTAGGACCTATTTTATCACAAGCAAAAAAAAGGAAGCTGCCCAGAAATCCAGGGGTGATGGATAGAAGGCGATGGGGCCTGCAGTGGCCCAACGGATTCTAGAATTTTCCTCTAGGAAGATGCCCGGGAATTTTAACCCTGTTGGCTCGACCCAGAAGCTCGGGGTGGCAGGGAAAGGATCACTGTGGCCTTCCTTCCTTCCTTCCTTCCTTCCTGGAATTTCGCTCTGTTGCCCAGGCTGGAGCGCAGTGACGTAATCATAGTTTGCTGCGGCCCTGACCCCAATGGCACAAATGAGCCTCCTGCCTCAATCTCCTAAGTAGCTGGGACTACAGGCATATGCCACTACGCCCGGCTAAATTTTTTTTTTTTTTTTTTTTGAGACAGAGTTTCCCTCTTGTCGCCCAGGCTGGAGTGCAGTGTCGCAACTTCGGCTCACCACAACCTCCGCCTCCCAGGTGGAAGCGATTCTCCTGCCTCAGCCTCCCAAGTAGCTGGGATTACAGGCATGAGCCACCACGTCTGGCTAATTTTTGCATTTTTAGTAGAGACGGGGTTTCGCCATGTTAGCCAGGCTGGTCTCGAACTCCTGACCTTGTGATCCACCCACCTCGGCCTCCCAAAGTGCTGGGATTACAGGCGTGAGCCACTGCGCCCGGCCCATTGTTTATTTATTTATTTTTGTAGAGACAGGGTCTCGCTGTGTCACCCAGGCTGGAGTGCAGTGGCAAGATCACATCCCACTGCAGCCTCGACCTCCTGGGCTCAAGTGATCCTCCTGCCTCAGCCTCCTGAGTAGCTGGGACCACAGGCATACGCCAGCACGCCCAGCTAATTAAAAAAAAAAAAAAAAAACTTTAGCAGCCAGGCACGGTGGCTCACTCTTGTAATCCCAGCAATTTGGGAAGCTGAGGCGGACAGATCACTAGAGGTCAGGAGTTTGAGACTATCCCTGTCTCTACTAAAAATACAAAAATTAGCCAGGTGTGGTGGCGCACATGTAATCCCAGCTACTCCGGAGGCTGAGGCAGGACAATCACTTGAACCCGGGAAGCAGAGGTTGCAGTGAGGTGAGATCGTGCCCCTGGGCGACAGAGGGAGAATCCATCTCAAAAAAAAAAAAAAAAAATTTCCGGATGGGGTCTCGCCACGTTGCCCAGGCTGGTCTTGAACTCCTGAGCTCAAGTGATTCTCTCACCTCGACATCCCAGGTTGGTGGATTACAGGCGTGAGCCACAGTGCCTGGCCCTGGCTTTTCTTCTTGTTTGTCAGGCTCTGCTGTTGTGATAGGAAGGCTTGAGGACTTCAAAGGGGCGGCTGGTGTGCGGGGTTGGGGACGATGGCAGGGACAGGAGGGAGGTGCTGTTGGCATGTGTGGAATGTGGCATTGGCGCTGGATGGACGGGTCTGTGTGCGCTGACTGCGTGTCCGATGCCAGGGCCTGTGTTCCCCCTGCACGTCCCCAGGAAGGAACTGCTGGACCAGCAGAATGAGGGGCCAACGCCAGGGGCAGCACTGCCCGGCCACAGAGGACTGTGGCCCCACAGATGACACCCTCAGCTACCAGCTCCTGCATCTGGAAGATGACCAGGAGGAGGAAGGACGGTCTGCAAGTGTTCAAAGTGATGTTTCCAGGCCGGGCGCGCTTGTAATACCAGCATTTGGGAGGCTGAGGCAGGCGGATCACCTGAGGTCGGGAGTTCGAGACCAGCCTGACCAACGTGGAGAAACCCCGTCTCTACTAAAAATACAAAATTAGCCAGGCGTGGTGGCGCAGCTACTCGGGAGGCTGAGGCAGGAGAATCGCTTGAACCCGGGAGGCGGAGGTTGCGGTGAGCTGAGATTGTGCCATTGCACTCCAGCCTGGGCAACAAGAGTGAAACTCCGTCTGAAAAAAAAAAAACCTCTATAACATCCAAAATACTAACCACTTGTTACCTCTAGATTGTTTGGGGATGTTAGATTTCTCCTTTGTTGCCAGCTCTTTTATTTTTATTTATTTATTTATTATTATTATTATTATTATTATTATTATTATTATTTTGAGATGGAGTCTTGTTCTGTTGCCCAGGATGGAGTGCAGTGGTGTGATCTCGGCTCACTGCAACCTCCGCCTCCTGGGTTTGAGCAATTCTCCTGCCTCAGCCTCCCGAGTAGCTGGGACTACACGCGTGTGCCACCACGCCAGGCTAATTTTTGTATTTTTAGTAGAGACGGGGTTTTGCCATGTTGGCCAGGATGGTCAGGAACTCCCCAACTCTTATTTTTAAATGTTGGGCCACACAAGTCTGGGAAATGTTAGTTTTCAAACACATCAGGGAATAAATGGATACAAAAGTCTTGAGGACCACTTAAGAAATGAACAATAGCAGATGTGTAACAGTTATACTACGCTGCTACCTTGTAAAACATTTTAGAAACATCTGTTTCCAGCCGGGCCTGGTGGCTCACGCCTGTGATACCAGCACTTTGGGAGGCTGAGGTGGGCAGATCATGAGGTCAGGAGTTCGAGACCAGCCTGGCCAACCTAGTGAACCCTCATCTCTACTAAAACTACAAAAAATTAGCCAGGTGTGGTGGCGGGCGCCTGTAATCCCAGCTACTTGGGAGGCTGAGGCAGGAGAATCGCTTGAACCTGGGAGGCGGAGGTTGCAGTGAGCCAAGATTGCACCACTGCTCTCCAGCCTGGCAACAAAGGAAGACTCCATCTCAAAAAAAAAAAAGAATAAAAAGAATACAAAAAGAAAAAAAAAACATCTGTATCATCCTTGTAGATTCTGGGGTTTGGAAACAGGCTTTGAAAAAAGTCCTGAAACAGGCCGGGCGCCGTGGCTCACACCTGTAATCCCAGCACTTCTGGAGGCCGAGGCGGGCGGATCATGAGGTCAGGAGATCGAGACCATCCTGGCTAACACGGTGAAACCCCGTCTCTACTAAAAATACAAAAAAATTAGCCGGGCGTGGTGGTGGGCACCTGTAGTCCCAGCTACTCGGGAGGCTGAGGCAGGAGAATGGCCTGAACCTGGGAGGTGGAGCTTGCAGTGAGCCGAGATCGCGCCACTGCACTCCAGCCTGGGCGACAGAGCGAGACTCTGTCTCAGAAAAGAAAAGAAAAGAAGAGAAGAGAAGAAAAGAAAAAATCCTGAAGCAAATGGAGCAAATTTTGAACAGCTTGAATACCTGAGACAGGCCAGGGGTGCGGGGCAGGCTCATTTTATATTCTTCACGGTTGTGTGAATTTCTTGCAATTATATGTAGCAATTTTTTCACCAGGATTTAGTATATTAGCATGTTTCGGGCTGGGCACGGTGGCTCACGCCTGTAATCCCAACACTTTGGGAGGCCGAGGCAGGTGGATCACTAGGTCAGGAGTTTGAGACCATCCTGGCCAACATGGAGACACCTCATCTCTACTAAAAATACAAAAATTATCTGGGCGTGGCGGTGGGCGCCTGTAATCCCAGCTACTTGTGAGGCTGAAGCAGGAGAATCGCTTGAACTCGGGAAGCGGAGGTTGCAGTGAGCTGAAATCGCACCACTGCACTCCAGCCTGGGCAACAGGGCGAGATTCCGTCTCAAAAAAAAAAGAAGCATGTTTCCTAGCAAGCCAATTCAGAATAAAAAGAAAACAAAGGAGAAAATATAATCCCAATAAAATATATTGAAATAAATATGTACACACATATATATATGTGAGTTTATGCTTTGTTTTGTTTTGTTTTCTGGAAGACGGAGTCTCGCTCTGTCACCCAGACTGGAGTGCAATGGCGTGATCTCAGCTCACTGCAACCTCTGCCTCCCTGGTTCAAGGGATTCTCTTGCCTCAGCCTCCCGAGTAGCTGGCATTATAGGTACCACCACGCCCGGCTAATTTTTGTATTTTTAGTAGAGACGGGGTTTCACCATGTTGTCCAGGCTGGTCTCAAACTCCTGACCTCAAGTGATCCTCCCGCCTCTGCTATTTATTTATTCTGGGTTTTTTTTATTCTTTTTTGTTGTTGTTTTCATTTTATCTTTCTTTTCCTATTTATTTAGAGACAGGGTTTCGCCATGTTGCCCAGGCTGGTCTGAACTCCCGGACTCAAGCCATCTGCCCATGCCGGCCTCCCAGTGTGCTGGGATTACAGGAGGAAGCCACTGTGACCAGCCTGAAAGTGTTCATTTTTAAATTTTTAATAGAGATGGGGTCTCACTATGTCACCCAGGCTGGTCCGAAACTCCTGGGCTCAAACCATCCGCCCACCTCGGCCTCCCAAAGTGCTGGGATCACAGGTGGGAGCCACGCGCCCGGCCCCAAAGCCCTCCTTGCACAAGCACCTGAGCCGCCATGGCCCACAGGCCCATCAAAACCAGAGCAAACTGGTACCTGTGATACAGCCTCCACTCCAGCCCCAGGGCCCAGCCCCAGGCCACCCGAGCCGGCTGTGGGTGACCTGAGACCAAGTGTCGTTTCCTGCTATAAACTATTGATGCCTGAGCAGTCACCTCCAGGAGCTCCGGGCTTGGCTACGGTGTCCTGGGTTCCCTGTAATGAAGCCCGGGGCAGCTGCGGCCTGGAGGGCGTCTGCTCCGCCTCCATCCTGGGCCCGCCTGGGGCTCTTTTCCTTCTAGGCCTGGTTCCCTCCAAAATTAGCTTCCTATCGGGATCCCACATCCCCTCACAATGGAGGCCTGACCTCTGGGGAGACACAATGTCAGGGTCACTGTGAGGTTTTTATTTATGTACTTTTATTTTTATTTATTTGATACCGAGTCTCACTGTGTTGTCCAGGCTGGACTGCATTAGTGTGATCCTGGCTCACTGCAACCTCTGCCTCTCGGGCTCAAGCGATTCTCCTGCCTCAGCCTCCCAAGTAGCTGGGATTACAGGCACCCACCACCACGCCCGGGTAATTTTTTTGTATTTTTAGTAGAGACGGGGTTTCACCGTGTTCGCCAGGATGGTCTCGGTCTCCTGACCTCGTGATCTGCCCGCCTCAGCCTCCCAAAGTGCTGGGATGACAGGCGTGAACCACCGCGCCCGGCCTCGATTTACTCATTTTTTTTGAGAGAGAGAGAGAGTCTCACTCTGTCACCCAGGCTGGAGTGCAGTGGCGTGATCTCAGCTCACTGCAACCTCCGCCTCTTGGGTTCAAATAATAATTCTCCTGCCTCAGCCTCCCGAGTAGCTGGGATTACATGTGTATGCTACCACACCCAGCTAATTTTTATATCTTTGGTAGAGACAGGCTTTTGCCCTGTTGGCCAGGCTGGTCTCGAACTCCTGACCTCAGGGCATCCACCCGCCTCAGTCACCCAACGTGCTGGGATCACAGGCGTGAGCCACCGCGCCTGGCCTGACTTTATTATTGTTTTACAAAGAGCAGACCTTCCACCTGCCATGGATAAAACGCCGAGTTCTAGAGGACACTGGAGACAGAGTGTTCCCCAGAACAAGGCCTGGGCGCAGCAGCCTGCAGGGCTGGGGTCTCCACTCCCGGGGGAGCGTGCAGCGGGGCCTGCCATCCCTCTGTGCCCCCGCCCCACCCCCACTCTGCAGGCCGCTGACCCTGTGGTCGGGCTGGTGAGCAGATGGCTGCTGGATCACTGACAGCCCGGCTCACGTTCCCTCTCCCTATGGAGACATCTTCCTTTTAATAAATTTTGCAAGGCCGTGGAGGGGGGCCAGCGCTCTGGCCCACGTCTGTCTCCCATCCCCATCACCACACGAGGCCCCAGCACGCCTGGCTGGCCTAAGTCCCCGCAGGATGAATGGGCTTCCGGGGCCTGCTGGGACCAGGTAAGCAGGCTGTGCGGCTTAAAACAACACAAATACACTCTCGTCTCTGGAGGCCGGAAGTCTGAAGTGAAGGTGTGCAAGGTGCCAGGCGAGTACCCTCCCGGCCTCTTCCAGCTCCTGGTGCCGACAGCCACCTCTGACCCTCCTGGACTTGCGGCCGCTTCCCTCCCAATTCTGCCTCTGCTGCCCCACGGCGGTCTCCTCTGCATCTGTGTCCAAATTTCCCTTGTCTCCCGAAGTCGCCTGTCACTGCGGTGGTGCCCGCCCTAATGATCTCATCCTAACTAATTACATCTGCAGAAACCCTATTTCCACATAAGGTCCCATTTGTAGGTGCCTGGGGTTCACGCAAAGACAGATCTTTGAGGGAACTCAATTCACCCCACCCCGGGGAGTTTGCCTTTGTGGCCGGCCCTTCCCCCTCAGATCAAATTCTGCCTCCTCAGCGAGGCCTTCCTGACCCTCCCGGGCCCTTCCTGCCTTTCTCTCTGGCTGCGGCTGTTTCCTGCGGGGCTGGCTGCAGCTCCCGGCGGCGCCCTGTCCTGTACCTGTTTCATGTCCATCGTCGGCAACCCCTGGCTTCTAACACAGCTCATTGCCCGCAGGACCTCCCAGCAGGAGCAGGGACCCAGTAGGCCCTGCGTCTCCGTCCGAACCACAAGCTGCTGTGGGTGGTCACTTGACAGAAAGACCCCTGCCCCCCCTTCCTTATTTGTTTATTTGCTTTTTCTGTTGCTTTAGAGACTGGATTTTGCCCTGTCATCCAGGCTGGAGTGCAGTGGCGAAATCTCGGTTCACTGCAGCCTCCATCTCCTGGGCTCTGGTGAGACTACGGCCTTAGCCTCCTGAATAGCTGAGACCACAGGCGTGCACCACCACGCCCAGCTGATTCTTTGACTTTTGTTTATACAGGGTTTTGCCATGTTGCCCAGGGTGGTTTCAAAGTCCTGGCCTCAAGCAATCCTCGTGCCTCGCCCTCCCGAAGTGATGGGATTATAGGCATGAACAACTACCCACTTCACTCCATCCTTTCCTTTTTTTTTTTTTTTGAGACAGAGTCTTACTCTGTCACCAGGCTGGAGTGCAATGGTGCGATCTCAGCTCACTGCAACCTCCGCCTCCCAGGTTCAAGCGATTCTCCTGCCTCAGCCTCCCGAGTAGCTGGGATTACAGGCATGCACCACCACACCTGGCTAATTTTGTATTTTTAGTAGAGAAAGGGTTTCACCATGTTGGTCAGGCTGGTCTTGAACTCCCGACCTCAGGTGATCCACCCACCTCAGCCTCCCAAACTGCTGGGATTACAGGCATGAGCCACCACACCCGGCCGAGACAGGGTTTTCAGGCGATCTGCCTGCCTCGGGCTCCCGAAGTGCTAGGATTACAGGCGTGAGCCACTGGGCCTGGCTTTATTTAATTTTTTGAGATGGGATCTCACTCTGTGGCCCAGGATGGAGTGCAGTGGTGGGATCCCAGCTAACTACAGCCTTGAACTCCTGGCCTCAAGGGATCCTCCCGCCTGGGTTTCCCAAAGGGCTGGGAATGACAGGTGTGAGCCCCCACCCCCCTGGCCTGGATATTTCATAGAAATGGGATCACACGGGGCCAGGCGCGGTGGCTCACGCCTGTCATCCTAGCACTTTGGGAGGCCGAGGCGGGCGGATCACCTGAGGTCAGGAGTTTGAGACCAGCCTGGCCAACATGGTGAAACCCCATCTCTACTAAAAATACAAAAATTAGCTGGGCTTGGTGGTGGGTGCCTGCAATCTCAGCTCCTTGGGACTCTGAGGCAGGAGAATTGATTGAACCAGGAGGCAGAGGTTGCAGTGAACTGAGATCGTGCCATTGCACTCCAGCCTGGGCAGCAAGAGCCAAACTCTGTCTCGAAAAAATAAAATAAATGGGATCACACGCTGTGTGTCCTTCTGTGTCTGGCGTCTCTCACGGAGCGTGACGTCCTTAAGGTGCATCCGCGCTGTGGCCTGGGTCAGAGCCTGGATCCTTTTCACGCTGAGTTGTGTTCCGCGGTGGACGGCCGGCACTGGGTTGGTCTTTTCTTCCACTAACGGGAATTTGGGCTGTTTCCACATGTGGCCTCCGTGAATAACACTACGATGAACGTTCATGTACGCGTTTCTGTGTGGACTTGTGTTTCCCCTTCTCTCAGGGGCATGAATAGGAGGAGAATTGCGGGGTTCCTGAGGGCCGGCCCCCAGTGCTGGCACATCCCCAAGCCAAGCCCCACCCCTCTTTTTTTTTTTTGAGACAGAGTCTTGCTCCGTCACCCATGCTAGAGTGCAATGGCCCCATCTCGGCTCACTGCAACCTCCGCCTCCTGAGTTCAAGCAATTCTCCTGCCTCAGTCTCCCGAGGAGCTGAGGTTACAGGCACCCACCACCATGCCCAGATAATTTTTGTTTTTTTAGTGGGAGACGGGGTTTCCCCATGTTGGCCAGGCTGATCTTGAACTCCTGATCTCAGGGATCCACGCACCTCAGCACCCTCTTTGGAAGTTCCTAGCAAGTTCTCTGCCTGAGTTCAGACCCACAGGGCCTCTTAGGGGACGGGGGAGGGTCAGGGCCCAGCTCTAGCTGAACTCCCCCGGGGGGAGGGGGGAGGGGGGAGGCTCAGGACCCAGCTCTAGGGGGGATTGAGGAGGATCAGGGCCCAGCTCTAGCTGAACTCCCCTGGGGGTAGGGAGGAGGGTCAGGGCCCAGCTCCAGCTGAACTCCCCTGGGTGGGGTGGGGAAAGAGGGTCAGGCTGGGGAGGGGAGCACAGAATGGCGGGGTGCCAGGCCTGGGGGAGAGGCGGATGGGGTGGGGAAGGATGGGTCTGGGCAGATAACGCTGTGGCCTTTTCCTGTTGGCCTGAGGGCCCAGGGTGGGGGTGGGGAGAGGCTGGTCTCCCTGAGGTCTGGGCATAGGGAGGTGTCCTGGGATGAGAAGACTCTTGAGAAGTGACTTTGATAATTCGGGGGCAGATCCTTGGGCCCACCACCCCTTGCAGGGACAGGGGTCCTTCTTGGGGTGGGGGATGAACAGAGACTGGAGAGGGTGGGGGAGAAAGGAGTTGAGGGGCTAATTTACAGGACCTCTCAGGCCGGGTGTGGCAGCTCACACCTGTCATCCCAGCACACTGGGCAGCTGAGGCAGGAGGACCCCTTGAGCCCAGGAGTTTGAGACCAGCCTGGGTAACACGGTGAGATTCTGTGTCTACAAAACATTTTTTAAAATGAGCCAGGCGTGGTGGAACTACTTGCTTATAGCCCCAGCTACCGAGAGGCTGAGGCGGGAGGATCACCTGAGCTGGGGAGGTTGGGGCTGTGGGGAGCCGAGACTGTGCCTCTGCACTCCAGCCTGGGCAACAGAGTGAGACCCTGCCTCAAAAAAATAAATAAACAAAAAATAAATAAAGCCCCCATTCCCTTTAGGATCTCTACTTCCTATACCAACCCACTGTCCCAGCTTGGAGGGGCGGGACCAGCCTCGAGCCGCAGTTGATTCCCAGAGCACAGAGCACAGGACGGAAGTGGTTCTGCATGGGGTATAGTGAGGCCAGGGAATAGCAATGCATTCCTGTCCGTGAGTCCTGGCCATCAGGCCTTGGGGTGGCCTCACCGAACCCCCACTCCAAGCTCCGTTCAACAGAAATCCAGGAAATGGGCCGGAGAGGCTGGGAGACCACCCAGGAGACCAGCCCGAGGCCGCGCCCTGGATCCCTGAGCCCTCACTTTTGTAATTAAGATAATAAACCTGTGCTGGCTGTGCGGGCACACACCTGTCATCCCAGCACTTTGGGAGACCAAGGCGGGCAGATCACCTGAGGTCAGGAGTTCGAGACCAGCCTGGCCAACACAGTGAAACCCCATCTCTACTAAAAATACAAAAATTAGGCTGGGTGTGGTGGCTCACAGGTGGATTACAGGGTGGCCTGTAATCCCAGCACTTTGGGAGGCCAAGGAGGGCAGATCACAAGGTCAAGAGATCGAGACCATCCTGGCCAACATGCTGAAACCCCGTCTCTATTAAAAGTATAAAAATTAGCTGGGCATGGTGGTGGGCGCCTGTAGTCCCAGCTACTCGGGAGGCTGAGGCAGGAGACTCGCTTGAACCCAGGAGGCGGAGGTTGCAGTGAGCTGAGATCACGCCATTGCACTCCAGCCTGGGCGACAGAGCGAGACGCCGTCTCAGAAAAAGAAAAAAATAAATCAAATAAAAAAATAAGAATAAAAATACAAAAATTAGCTAGGCGTGGTGGCAGGCACCTGTAATCCCAACTACTCAGGAGGCTGACGCAGAAGAATCACTTGAACCCGGGAGGCAGAGGTTGCAGTGAGCCAAGATTGCGCCACTGTACTCCAGCCTGGGCAATAGAGTGAGGTTCCATCCCCCCCAAAAAAAAAACAAAAAAAAAGGAAAAGGAAAAATAAATCTATGGAACTGCTCATGGGGAGGAGGGACGGCCTGGCCCTGCCACTCATGTTGACGAAGAAGTAAACTGAGGCACGGCCCTTCCCTCCCCCATCAGAACTGAAAGGTGTCTGAGGCCCCAGCAGGCCCTCTGCATGAGATTCGGTGGCTCTGAGGGCCTCAGATGTCCTCACTCCCCCCCCCGTTTCTCCTGCCAGGCTCAGAGTATCATTTTCAAAATGGTAACCAGCAAACCAACGTGATTCTCGCACAAAGGCAAGGTGAGCCTGTTCCTCGCTCACCCTGAATCATTCATGAAGGAGGCAGCTGGCCTGCGGGCTGGGATGGGAGACAGGAGAGGAGAAAAGACAGAGGCTGGGCCCTGCTCGCTAAATAAATCAGGTGCCCACGGGAGCCCCTGGGCGTCTTCCCGCGCTGGCGTTCTGCATATGACAGCTGACCTGTAAATTGCTGGGCCCTCAGCCATGGTTACTGTCAGGCCAGCCCAGGAAGGACACTGGTTTCAGGTGACCTGGGTGAGGTGGAGGCGGTGGGGGGGGTTCCTGGGACCAGGCCGCCATTGCAAAAACAAACGGCCTGCTTGTACCTGCTATCGCCCTCTAAGCTTCAGGTGGTGGGTGGGGCTGAGGGGCTGAGAGGTGGCCCCAAAGAAAGACAACCACATCCTAAACCCTGGAACCCGTGAACAAGGCTTCATTTGGAACACCAGTCTTTGAAGGTACCATTAAGTGTCTTGAGATGAGATCATCCTGGAGTCTGCAGGTAGACCCTAAATTCCGCGACATACATTTTATTTTTTATTTTTACTTTTTTTTTTGAGATAGCGTGTCACTCTGTTGCCCAGGCTGGAGTACAGTGGCGTAATCTAGGCTCACTGCAACCTCCGCCTCCCGCGTTCAAGTGATTCTCCCGCCTCAGTCTCCCGAGTAGCTGGGATTACAGGAGCAAACCACCACGCCCGGCAAATTTTTGTATTTTTAGTGGAAACGGGCTTTCACCATGTTGGCCAGGATAGTCTCAGGCTCTTCACCTTGTGATCCGCCTGCCTCGGCCTTCCAAAGTGCTGGGATGACAGGTGTTTATTTTCGTTTTTGTTTTTTAGAGACAGAGTTTCACTCCTGTTGCCCAGGCTGGAGTGCAATGGCGCAATCTCGGCTCACTGCAACCTCCGCCTCCCGGGTTCAAGTGATTCTCTTGCCTCAGCCTCCCAAGGAGCTGGGATTATAGGGCATGCACCACCACGCCTGGCTAATTTTTGTATTTTTGGTGGAGAGGAGGTTTCTCCATGTTGGCCAGGCTGGTCTCGAACTCTGACCTCAGGTGATCCACTCACCTCGGCCTGCCAGAGTGCTGGGATTACAGGTGTGAGCCATTGCACCCGGCCAGACACTGTCTTAAAAAAATAAAAATAAAAAAAGGTACTGGACAGGTGGCTGGTCATGTGGGGCTTGCGGGGTAAGGGATGGCCTTGGGTTTATACTTTGAGCAAGACAGGAGGCCTGGCGGGGCCACGATCAGAAGTGGGTTTTAACACGATTCCGAAGGGTTAGACTGGTGCTTGGAACCTGGTGGTCTCTACTGCTGCCAGCTGCCACTCAGACCCCCGGCCGCCCCTGCCTGTCTGCTTTCAGGGCGGGGCCCATCCCAGGCACTCCGCGAACAGACAGAAGCGGCTGGTTCTGGTGGTGTGAGGATGGGGGTCTCCAGGGGAGCAAATCCACAGTAACACACTGGGCTTCTCCCAGATCCACCGGACATTCCTGATGAGTGACCCTGGCTGCAGATGGCTCTTGGTGAGTCTCCGTTGACCGGGTGGTTCGGGCCAAAGGACCTTGCCGTGCGATGCCTCCATGGAGCTCGGCGGCCACCCCTAATCCGGGCTGGAATCCTCTGGCACCAGACGCCCGGCGGGGCTCCAAGGCTCCTGGGCCCACGCCAGGCCCCGGCCTGAAACGCAGCACTGCTGGAATAAAACACGCCAGAGAAGCAGGGCGCTAGGCTCGCCTGGATTTGGGGAAACGAGAATTGTCATGTCTTCTCCCTCCGTAGGTTGGTGTTAATGAAAAACCCCCTTTTCAGCATGGACTAAATCCCGCTAATTCTATTTAGGGAGCAGTGTCTACTCCGGGCCGGGAACTGCTCCGGTTTCCAACCGCAGCCTCCCGTGAGGGTCCCAGTGTGGAGGGCCGGGGTCATCCCCTCACTCTGGGATGGCTCCCAACCCGCTGACCTGGCCTCCCCGTCAGGCACCCTCACAGCTCTGTCAGACTCTTCATGTGATCAGCGCTCCTGGGAACATTAGTTTAGGGTGTTTTCTGCTGCTGGGATGGTGGCCCGGGAGGGACCCTCCTGGTGACCCTGCTGGGCCTGGCCCTCAGTTTCCCCAGCCGTAGGCTGGCAGCCTCGAACTGTACGAGCTCCAGGCCACAGTTTCCCCAGCTGTAGGTCAGTGGGCCAGGGACTGTAGGGGGCTCGGGCCTCAGTTTCCCCAGCTGTAGGCGGGTGGCTTGGGCCTCAGTTTCCCCACCTGTAGGCGGGCGGCCTTGGATTGTATGGAGCCCGGGCCTCAGTTTCTCCAGCTGTAGGCGGATGGCCGTGGACTGTGTGTGGCCTGGGCCTCAGTTTCCCCCGCTGTAGGCAGATGGCCGTGGACTGTGTGTGGCTTTGGCCTCAGTTTCCCCAGCTGTAGGCGGATGGCCGTGGACTGTGTGTGGCCCGGACCTCAGCTTCCCCAGCTTTAGGCGGTTGGCCGCGGACTGTGCAAAGTCCAGGCCTCAGTTTCCCCAGCTGTAAGCGGGCGGCCGCCCACTGTACAAGGTCCAGGCCTCAGTTTCCCCAGCTGTAGGTGAGAGGCCGCGGACTGTACAAGGTCCAGGCCTCAGTTTCCCCAGCTGTAGGCGGGCGGCCAAGGACTGCAAGGTCCAGGCCTCAGTTTCCCCACCTGTAGGCGGGCGGCCGCGGACTGTACAAGGTCCAGGCCTCAGTTTCCCCAGCTGTAGGTGAGAGGCCGCGGACTGTACAAGGTCCAGGCCTCAGTTTCCCCAGCTGTAGGCGGGCGGCCGCCTACTGTATAAGGTCCAGGCCTCAGTTTCCCCAGCTGTAGGCGGGCGGCCGCGGACTGTACAAGGTCCAGGCCTCAGTTTTCCCAGCTGTAGGCAGCCGGCCGCGGACTGTGCGGGGCCCGGACCTCAGTTTCCCTATCTCCGCAGTCGGGATTCGCTGTTCCGGGGCGAACAAAGAACGGTCGGGGGTGACCCCGGATCATGGCGCGCCCGCAGTATCTGTGGCCACTGTGGAAACAGCCCTGGCGTGTCCGGGACGCGACGCGGCCTTTCCCTCCCCGCGCGATCACCCAGATGTGAGCGCTCAGTTTGAATCGGACTTTTTGGCCATGTGCCCACAACCAACATGGAGCCCTGAGGGTTTCCTGCCCGACTCCAAGATGGCGATGCGACTCCCTTTGCCCTCACGGCCCAGGCGGGCGGGTCCTGCCCACTTGCAAGATGGCGGCAGCCTGGGCAAAGCACGCTTCCCGCCGCCTGACTCGCCACGTACCCACTCTCAAGATGGCGTCTCCCGCAAAGCCACGCGCCAGCTGACTGGCTCAGACGCCGTCACGTGATCCCATTTTCTCCCCCTCCCCCGACTACACAAGCCGTTTCCGCCTTCGGCCTTGAGGAATAACCGCCTCCCCCAATAGGCGCCTGCGATTTCTCTGGGTCCCGCCCCCGGGCGGCCTTCTGGCCAGTGGGAGGTGCTGGCGGGGGCCCGCGGGGCTCTCCCCGCCCCCTGGCTGCAGCGGGAGCCAATGGGCAGCGCGCGCGGGGGACGTGTGCGGGCGTCTCCGCCATTTTGTGAGTCTATAACTCGGAGCCGTTGGGTCGGTTCCTGCTATTCCGGCGCCTCCACTCCGTCCCCCGCGGGTCTGCTCTGTGTGCCATGGACGGGTGAGTCGCACGTCGCCCCGCGCCCCACCGCCCTCCCCGCGCCGCAGCCCTGCCCCCGCCGCCGCGCCGGCCTCCCCGGGGCCGATCTCGCCCCCTCTCGGGCGGGAGGGGGCGGCGGGCTCTCCCCTTCCTCTCCGCGTGGCGGGCGCGGGTGCGGGGCGGGTCAGGGGCTTCCCGGGGGTCTGGCCGCGTCCCCATCCCCCGTCCGGCCCGCTTCCGGCCCCCGCGCGCCCCGTCCCTAGCGCACGCGGCCTCCCGCGCCCCTCCCCCTCCGCGCGCGTCCCCGCACTTCGCCTTTGCCCCGCCTCGGCGGCGCGCGGCCCTTCCCGCTTCCCGTCCGGCCCTCGCGCGCCCGGATGGCCCTTCCCGCCTCCCGTCCGCTCCCCTCGTGCGCCTGCGTAGCCCGTCGCGCGTCCCCGTTGGCCCCAGCGCGCGTGCGCGGCCGCCATCGGGGGCGCGCGCCTTTCCCGCCGCCCGGACTCTGCCCCCGGCGCAGCCCCGGAAGCGCAGGCGGGGCTGGGGCGGCCGCCGGGAGGGAAAGCTGGCGCCGGGGCCTCGCCGCGGGCCCGAGTCTCTGCGCTCCCCGCCCTACCCCTGCCCCCCGTGCGCCCCGGGCCGCGGCCAAGGGGTTTCGGTGATCTCGGGAGAGAAGCGGCCGCCCCGAGGGTCTGTCCTCCGCCCCGGGGCCGGAGGGGCCTCTCCAGGGACCCCCGCGGGCGCCGTCATGGGGAGGGGCCTTCCCGGCTCTCGGGCCGGGGCAGCCTTTCCGGGCGGCTTTGCTGGGCGGGCTTCCCTTGGGAGAGGTGGGAGCCCCCTCCAGAAAGGCCGTGTCCCGCCGAGCGCTTCCTGCGCGAGGCCCTCCCTGGGAATAGGAAGCGGGAGAGGCTGGAGATGTTTCGCATTCTTTCCGTTTTCCTGAGAAGTTTTTCTTGGGTTCAGTCACTTTTAAAAGTCTGTTAAACGTGGTCCGTGCAGTCTGTGGTGTCAGAAGAGGCGCAGCCCTAGAGTGGGTCTGGACCCCTTAGCATGCGTGCGGGCAGGTGGGTCCTGCAGACGGCGAGACGAGGGCTCCCCGCTCTCGGACCCAGCACCGCGGGCTCGGGGGCCGCGCACTCGCCTCCCGGAGTGAGGCAGGAGGCCCGGAGGCTGCCCTTCCGACGGACGCTCCGAGTCACTTAGGGCCTCGCCGGGAGTTGCAGTGGCCGGGAGAAGCCGTGGGGAGCTCACTGTTGGGTCAGGACCTGGCCGGGGCTGAAGGGAGGGCCTCGGACAGTCCGGCTTTCTATCCACCTTCCCCCCGGGGTGTCCCGAGGAGGGAGAGTCGGGTCGGGCGGGGCTCGGGTTGATCAGTAACTGAGGCTGTGTTCTGGTCGGTCTGTTAATTTTTATTGACGGTTTCCACGGCCGCCTCCTGCTCTCCTCGGTGGATCGGGCTCCACTCTGCTGAGAGGCACCCTCTTGGGGGCCCACCCCTACCCGGGTGGAAGCTCTGGCCCAGGCCTGTGAGTTTGCCAGTTTCAGCCTCTCCGAGGCGTTTCCAACTTACTGGAAAGCACACAGCAGCCCTTGAACCCTCTCAGCGGCATCTAGCATTCCTCGGGGCTTCCGATGGGGGTGTCTTTGTCTTGGAACGTGTGGGGCCTGGTCCAGAGGTGGGGCCTGGGGTCCTGCTGGGAGGGAGGGGCGCCAAAGGACAATGGTGGCCCCTTTTCAAGTTGCAGTCAAGTGGACGGCTCACTTCCCTGCCCTTCTGAGCTTTCTCTAGCGGGGCCTCGTGCAGCCAGAGGGAGCCCTGCGGAGGTGGCAGCTGCAGGGACCTACGGGCTCTCCTGGCCCGGGGACAGCTGGGTGCTCCTGCTGCTGAGTGGCCACCAGGCTAACGTTGTCTCCTTTCTTTCTCTCTACAGCATTGTCCCAGATATAGCCGTTGGTACAAAGGTAGGCACTTCTCACTTTGCTTCTCCGTGACGCTCCTCTGACCTTGTGCCGACCCCGGGGGCCACCCCCCAGCGCTGTTGCGTTGGCTAGAGGGCGCTTTTCCATTCCTAAGGGGCACTACCCTTGGTCTGGAATCTGGAGTTGGGCGGTAGGGTTTGAACCCCGGGCTCCAGTGCCCGTGAGTTTTGGGGGCTTGGGTTTGCTGGCCGCCCCTCAGGTCTGGAATCTGAGCTGCTCTTCGGTTCTTGCTGTCAGCAGCGAGGGCTCTGTGTGCCCCAGGCCTGCCTTTGGAACTTCTGCCTCTAGAGGCTGGAATCGTGCCGTTCAGTGGGAAACCTCATGTTGTGGCTGCCTGGGAGACTCTTGGTTTTGATAGGAAAAGAGCCACCTGGCTGTGGAGGGGACCTGGATAGAATCCAGCCTATTTGAGTGGCTAGGATGGGCATTTACTGGTTGATTTTGACGTTAAGTTTTTTTGTTTTTGTTTTTGTTTTTTATTTTTGAGATGGAGTCTTGCTTTGTCACCAGGCTGGAGTGCAGTGGTGTGATCTTGGCTCACTGCAACCTCCACCTCTCAGGTTCAAGCGATTCTCCTGCCTCAACCTCCTGAGTAGCCGGGATTACAGGTGCCCACCACCATGCCCAGCTAATTTTTGTATTTTTTTTTTTTTTTTTTGGTAAAGATGGGGTTTCGAACATTGTTGGCCAGGCTGGTCTGGAACACAGGTGATGCACCCCCCTTGGCCTCCCACAGTGCTGGGATTACAGTTGTGAGCCGCCAGACCCGGCTGACATTAAGTATCTTTGATGGCATCTGGTTAGAACAGCAGCAAACTGTCAAAGGTGGTGTTTGGGGCAAGAGAAAAATGAATGTGCCACGTCTCTGGGGTGTGCGAATCTTGCAGCCCCATGGAGGGTGAGGCCAGGGCTCAGCATGTGAGGAAAGGGGGTCAGAACCTGGAGAAGAAGAAGGTCCTGGGGAGGCGATTCTCGAGGGAGCTGTAGTCCTCGCTTAGCTGGGGTAGTTGGTTAATGATTCTGCTGGTCATTGTGGGTTGAGGGGGCTCCCGACTTCAGGGCTTGTGCCCCGAGAGCCTCCCGCAGGGCGAGCCCACAGTGGTGGCGTCCTGAGCCAGCAGCCAGTTGGTTTCTGGTCAGTCAGCAGTGGTGCCTGGGCCAGGTTTCGGTTTTTCCCAAGTGGACTGCTGTCTTTACGCGCTGCCTGCCCCGATCTTCCTGGAGATAAAACCTGTTTGTTCAGTGTGGGAGGAGGGAGAGGTACTTTCATCTGAAGCATTTGCAACAATCCCTAGATGTGTCTGGCTTGCAGGCAGTCGTCTCTTCCCTGCTTCTGTGGGCCTGCTTTCCAGCTGGAGTGGCCCTCAGCTTCCATCGGGTGGTCCTTGAGCCCTCCTCTGCAGTTCCTAGGGGGCTCCTGGGCTGGGACGTTGAAGCCCAGCCAGGACTTGAAGCCTGCGGGAGGGATTTTGCCACAGGGCAGGGTTAGGGCTCCTGCTGGGTGCAGGCCCTGGTAGGAGGACGGGGTAGTACCCTGACCCAGATGATACCCCCCCTCCCCCCCACCACCAGGGAGCCCTCAGCTGACCTGGGCCCACACCTGGCTACGCTGTCCTTTAGCCCAGGACAGAGCAAGCTCTTGTTCAGTGTGGGGTTAAAGACACCTAGGAACTGTGCTGTAGGGCCCCAGCTGCAGACTGGAAGTCCTGGGGCGTTTCCTGTCAATCTGTGTGCTTCAGGACAGGTGCCCTGAAGGGACCCTCCTGGGGTACCTGGCAGCTGCTGTGAAGGCAGTGGAGGCGCTAGGCCCAGCTCGTGTCTCCTGGTTGCTGCCCTGTGGAGCCTCGGAGCCTCCAGGTGTCCCTTCCGTTCTGCTGGGGCGCCGTTGAGCTGAGCCAAGCCGGCCTGTGCCGCCTGGGCAGGCATGGAGTTTGCTGCCGCAGACAGTTGTGGGCAATGCCAGGCCACTTGCCCATGGGAATGAGATTAGGGCTTCAGGCAGGCGGCCAAGAGGACCGCTCAGAGGAAGCGGCCCCGCCCACCACTCCAGTCAAAGACAGGGTCCAAGATGCCCTTTTTAAGGTTTGTGCAGCCAGCACATGGGAGCCGCATGGGCGCTTGGCCACTCTCCAGCTTGGGGGAGGACCAGCCCTGGTGTCCTGGACGGGGTCGGCTCCTGGGCTCCCCCAGCCTCTGAGCTGGAGGGGAGAGCAGACAGGAAGCGACTTCCTGTGGGAGGCGAAGGTTGGAGGCCCTGCGTCTCAGGTGCACCCATCCTCCCTTCCTCCCGTCCTCCCTTCCTCCGGTCCTGGCACTGCTGTGTTTTCTGATCGCGTGGTTTCCACCTGAGGCGGCTGGCTCTGACCCCTTTCCCCTGGGCCTGCGCAGCCCCGCCTTGTGCTCATAGGGGGCCCCAGACTCTGAAAGCGAGAGGACTCGAGGGTCTGTTTTCAGTATTTGGCTTCATCTGTGTCCGGCCGGAACCTCAGGGCCGCCGTGACACTGGACACTGTTCATTCTCTGACCCTAAAGTCTTGGGGACTGAACAGGTGCCATTTGGGTGGGCGCCGGGCCTGTGGACCCTGAGTGATTCCTGGTTCCGGCCCTTGTGGCTGCTCGATTGCTTGTTTGGTGACGCCCTGAGTGCTTGTGGGATTGGTGGGAGACTCAGGGCTGCAGTTAGAGGTCTCATTGGCAAGGGCCAGTCCCTGTTCCCCATCCTCCTTGAGCAGGTGCCGGAGTCTCCCGAGGCTCTTGCCGTCCGCGTCGGGAGGAGGCAGCTGTGGGGCTTTGGAGGCTCGGGCAGTCTTCCTTCCAGGAAGCTCTTGAGCCAGGGCCAGGGCAGGAGTGGAGCTGAACGTGGGTGGAGGGGAGGCGGCCTTAAGAGAAGACCAAGCGCAGGCTCGGGGAGGCCAGCGTTGGTGGGGGCTCTTTGGCCAGGTGTGGGGGCAGCTCCTTGACCAGGCATGGGGGTGTGTGGAGCTGGGGGTTGTCTGAGGGGGGACAGGGTGTGATATCCACTGGTTCTTTCTGATGCGATGGCCCTGGGCCCTTCAGCAGGTGGGGGCAGGCTCTTGGCCTCAATCCTGATACGGGAGATGGAGGCTCCTTTGTTCCCTGGGATGGCCCTGTCCTGGGGGGCCTGGGCGTTGCTGCCCTCAGCGCCTGCAGAGGCTCGCTTTGCAGACCAAGCGCCTGTGCTCCAAGGTCCTCAGACCCGAGCTTTGTTTTCTGTGTAACTAAGGGCCGTAACCAACGTCTCCTCCAATTTCACTCTTTGAATAAACGTGTGTCTTCAATCCTTGCAGCGGGGGGGATGTCTGCCGTCCTGAGCCTAGGATCAGTCTAGTGCAATTCTTAGAAGTTGATCCAATTACATAGAAATAACCAGTGAATAGATTGTTTCTGGAGAGAAAATGGACAGGTCAGAAGTGATGGAGCCGCTGTGGAGCTCCCCCGGCCCTAGTCACGGCCGCGATACCAGCGGATCACTGGGCGGGAGGCCGTGTCTCTAGTCCTCAGTCTCGCGTGTGCAGAGACGGAGGTCGGGTTTCTTTTCCGGGCTGGAAAACAGGAGAGGAGGGGCTCCTGCGAGAGTGAGGGAGGCAGCGCTATAATTTGGTTCTCTTGCGAGGCCACCAGAAGTGAGGACGGCTGCCTGGGCCCTGCCGTGTGCTGCTGGGGGGGCTGGCTCCATGGAGGGGGTCCTCTGCCCTGCTGGCTGGTGGCTGAGGCCCCAGGCCTGTGCCCAGGGCCGCTGGCAGCACAGTGAGGCCACGTCCACAGCAGAGTTGGCCGTGGAGATAGTGTACGTGGTGCCCTCCGTAGCTGAGAGCCTCCCAGCCCCACACTGGCTGAGTACCCAGGGCTTCCAGAATTTGGAAAAAGGAGCAGTGTTTTGGTCGTGGAGCTGTGGGGTGCCGTGCGCGTCCATGGGCTGGGTCTGCGCTCAGGCTGCCCTGCCGTGGAAGTGTGGGTGTGGGTATGGGTTGGGGGTCTGGGACCCCAGGCAGCCCAAGTGGGAGCAGGGCCGGCCGGTGGGGAAGGGAGGCTCTGGCCTGGTGGGAAGTGCAGCTCCGCGTTGTCCCTTCTCTTGCAGCGGGGATCTGACGAGCTTTTCTCTACTTGTGTCACTAACGGACCGTTTATCATGAGCAGCAACTCGGCTTCTGCAGGTAAGGCCGGGACTCGGCCCAGGGCAAGACCCGTGGGTGTCTTTCCCTGGAACAACGTTACGTTCTTGTTCTGGGACTCTACTTTCCATCTCCAACTGCAGGGGCCCATGGTCCACGCTACAGACCCAGGTCCAAGTTCTCGCTGCAGAGAATTTCCAGGGAGGCGCTGGATGGATGGTCCAGGCTGGCACTTGGACCTGTGGGCGGGTTGTCAGGAGCTGTCGGGAGCAGGGGTCCTGACTGTGCAGGTCTTGGCCTCTCGCGCTGCTGGTTCACATGCACCCTCCTGGGGCTCAGGGTTGGTCTCCGTAGCAGGCAGGGCTCTAGGGGGATAGCAGGGACCTTCCTCTGTGGGCTCCTGCGAGTTGGTGCCTGCATCTCATGGCACCCCCTTTTCAGCAAACGGAAATGACAGCAAGAAGTTCAAAGGTGACAGCCGAAGTGCAGGCGTCCCCTCTAGAGTGATCCACATCCGGAAGCTCCCCATCGACGTCACGGAGGGGGAAGTCATCTCCCTGGGGCTGCCCTTTGGGAAGGTCACCAACCTCCTGATGCTGAAGGGGAAAAACCAGGTACCTGAGCCGCGTTTCTCCGGGGTGCTCACACCGTGCAGGCGGGGACGAGGAGGGCCCAGCGCTCACTGCCTCCCCAACAGGCCTTCATCGAGATGAACACGGAGGAGGCTGCCAACACCATGGTGAACTACTACACCTCGGTGACCCCTGTGCTGCGCGGCCAGCCCATCTACATCCAGTTCTCCAACCACAAGGAGCTGAAGACCGACAGCTCTCCCAACCAGGCGGTGCGTGGCCCCGCGGCGGACCCCAGCAGCCCGGGGACCTCGGGGGTGGGCCCAGCCGCAGGGGCCGGGGACTCACGGCTGTGCCTCCCACAGCGGGCCCAGGCGGCCCTGCAGGCGGTGAACTCGGTCCAGTCGGGGAACCTGGCCTTGGCTGCCTCGGCGGCGGCCGTGGACGCAGGGATGGCGATGGCCGGGCAGAGCCCCGTGCTCAGGATCATCGTGGAGAACCTCTTCTACCCTGTGACCCTGGATGTGCTGCACCAGGTGAGGTGGTCCCATCACCGCCAGGGCAGGTCGGCTGCTATTGCTGTGGGCACAGGCACACGGGAGGGGCCTGGCAGGGCTGGTGGGCACCGGGCAGGAGCTCATGCTGTGGCCCGGGACCTGCAGATTTTCTCCAAGTTCGGCACAGTGTTGAAGATCATCACCTTCACCAAGAACAACCAGTTCCAGGCCCTGCTGCAGTATGCGGACCCCGTGAGCGCCCAGCACGCCAAGCTGGTGAGTGGGGCTCCCGGGACGGCGCCCGCCCTGGCCCTGGCCCGGCGACGTCTCACGGTCCCTCTCCCCTCAGTCGCTGGACGGGCAGAACATCTACAACGCCTGCTGCACGCTGCGCATCGACTTTTCCAAGCTCACCAGCCTCAACGTCAAGTACAACAATGACAAGAGCCGTGACTACACACGCCCAGACCTGCCTTCCGGGGACAGCCAGCCCTCGCTGGACCAGACCATGGCCGCGGCCTTCGGTAAGAGGCTGCCCGACGCGGCGCCAGTGTGCAGAGTGGTCTATTAGGGCCGCTCAGTCCGGAGCCCCGGCGGCACGGGCCCGGCCCTGCACCAGGGTGATGCACCTGCTGCTCTCTGCACGGCCAGCACAGCACGGTCCAGTGTCCCCCACGTCGGGACCACGGCCCCCCCTGGAGCAGCGGATCTGCCCGCGAAGGCTCTGCCGGGGCCGCCCGCCGGCCGGGTTGGGGCCCATCCCGCAGCACAGCGCCCGCTCGCGGTGGAGGTTGTGGGTGCGATGATTAGTGTCTCATTTATTTCTAGGTGCACCTGGTATAATCTCAGCCTCTCCGTATGCAGGAGCTGGTTTCCCTCCCACCTTTGCCATTCCTCAAGCTGCAGGTATTCAAACGCTTGGTCTTGGTTCCCCAGCGACTGCATGCCCACACCACCTTCCCAGGCAGCTCCGCATCCACGGCGGCAGCCTGGGCGGACTGGGCACTCGAGTGCCAGGTCAGGGGCCCTTCCCGGGAGAGGGGACGCCACGTCCACAGAGCAGGCTTGGCCAGGGCAGTGGTAGGACAGGGCTGTGGAGGCCCACGTGTGGACGGCGCCAGCCAGAAGCCGCTAATCGCACAGTCTTTGTGGTCTGGTTCCCTTCAAGCACCTCCGGGCGAGCGCGAGGACCGCCAGTGGTTGGAGGGATGTCTCTAGTAGTTGAATTTGAGTGGCCTGGTAAGCGCGCGGCCCGAGGCTGAGCAGCATGACCGGCGGCGGGACGTGTGTGCGTGGCCGTCCTCCCGCTTCCCTTCTGGGACCGGGGCCCGGCCGCCCCAGTGCTGGCCGTGGACGGAGCAGCGCGTGCCGCCCGGCGGCCGCCTCGTCTGCATGGAGGCATGGGCGCGCATGCGCGGTGGTCCCGGGACGGGCCCTGCTTGCCGAGGGCCCCGTGTCTGTGCTGGCGGAGCCGGAGCTTTTCTGTGCTGTGGGCGGGGCGCATGCAGATGAGCCCAGGCCCGGCCCGGCCCGTGCTGTGAGGAGAGGCGGGCGCTGGTGCAGGAGCCGGCGGGTGGCTGTGCGGGGGTCGGACGACCCCACAGGCACCCAGGGTAGGGCCAGAGCCAGGGCCGCCTCCCGCGCGGCTCGGCTCCTCGGTGCATGAGGACGGGGAGCGTCGGCCTCTCCCACTCTGCGGTGGAGTCGGGGGCGCCGCCGCTCATCTCACCTCCTGCTTTTCCAGGCCTTTCCGTTCCGAACGTCCACGGCGCCCTGGCCCCCCTGGCCATCCCCTCGGCGGCGGCGGCAGCTGCGGCGGCAGGTCGGATCGCCATCCCGGGCCTGGCGGGGGCAGGAAATTCTGTATTGCTGGTCAGCAACCTCAACCCAGAGGTACGTGGGCTTTTCCTCCGCGCCGCCGTTCCTCCCGGAAGAGCGAGCAGGGGATGTTGTGCTCGGGCTCGGGTCCCGGAGCAGCGCCGCCCCTCGCTGTGTCTGCGCCTCTGCCCTGGCAGCCCCTCTGCTGCAGCGCTGAGACCCTCCTTTTCCAAGATGGCTTGAGTTTTCCTCTTTTCCTGAATTCACATCTTGGTTCGCGTTTTCTCTTGCATGATACGCAGAATGAATTATTTTTTGGTTACCCAAAGGCAATCTAAAAATTACTTGGAGCTGAGCAGGGCGCGCAGTTCAGAGCCCCAGCAGGCCGCCCTGCTGGTCAGCGGGACACACAGGGTTAGCGCGGCGGGGTGTGGGCAGCCCCTGTGGCTCGAGAGCCTGTCACTTAACTGGTGGATCCGTTATTTCCCAGAATGGTTAAATTCCCCTCGGGGAGAGCTTGGGTGAAACAAGAGGCCCAAAATATGTAACTCTTGATGGATGGGATCCTCCTGGAATCAGCATTTCAGGCTGTTCTGTTTCCCGGCAACTCCTGTGACTTCCTCAAGGCGGTGCCCAGCCTGGCCCTCCCTCGCGGGGGCCCAGGACGCACTCCCTGCCTGTGCCTCTTACCACGAGCCGGGTGCTGTCCCTCCAGCTCCTCCTGAGCGAGGCCGTGCACTAACAGACTCGATCTCCCTTCACGCCTGTAATCGTCCTTAGAGACTGACTTGTGCCACAGCTGCGGGAGACAGCGCTGCTGCAGGGCTTGGCTGAGGTGGCCGCGAGCGGAGCTGCACGCGCGCTCCTGGGGGGCGTGGTTGGGATCGGCTTCTGGGAGCCCCTCCAGCAGCGCTGTCTCTGCCGGCATGTGAGTGAAGGTGCTTCTCTTACCGTGTGCCCGTCGAGGTAAACCTGTAACTGGAATGTGTGTGGAGTGTGACTGATAGAACACTACCTGATTCTTATGTATTTACTGACCTGTGTTTTTTTGCTACTTTTTTTCTTTTCTCCCCTTCCCCTTTCCCTATTTTTTTTCTTGCCCTGATCCGGAATTTCTTTGCCAACTGACTGCACGGTACTTCTGCTTCCTGTTGTTGCTTGAAACAAAACAAAAACATAAACAAATAAAAAACAAAAATTCCCCCTCAAACCCTGCTCTCCGGAAACCAACCTGCCCTTGAATATTAACATCCTGACAACTTCATCATCCATCAACCACTGCACGCCTGCGGGGACTGTCTTCCTCGTGTGGACGATTGGCAACTCGCCCCCCTTGACCTCTCCCTCTCCCCTGTCCCTCCGCTGCCTTGCTCTGCTGTCTCTAAAGAGAGTCACACCCCAAAGCCTCTTTATTCTTTTCGGTATGTTATCGTTCACACTTTTATTACCTTGTTTTCATTAATTGAGATGATTTTGATGCCCTGAGACGTATTATGAGTTTGCGGTTTGGCACTCTGATGCTCCGTGGCATCCGCCTCGTTTTATGGTTTGCTTTCGGTTTGCGAATTTTATTTGGTCCCGTAGATACGTACGCATGGTTTATCGCCCTGCATGCTTTTCAGAGTTAGACCTGTCGGTGGCATATGCCACCGTGGCCACCCGCTGGCAGCTTACCTGTCCTGGATGCTATGACTTTGCTGAACGGAGCTGCTCCTGTTAGCGCGCCCTGTGGCTGCGAGACGCAGCTCCGCAGTGGCCGATAAAGCAAACCCGGCCGGGCTGAGCCGGGCCTTGTGGGGGTGCGCGGGGCCGGGGCTGACGGGGAGATGGGCGGGGCAGGCAGCAGGAGACTCAGGCCCCATCCCTGGGCTTTTGAAGGCGTCTACGGTGACGTGCAGCGCGTGAAGATCCTGTTCAATAAGAAGGAGAACGCCCTAGTGCAGATGGCGGACGGCAACCAGGCCCAGCTGGGTAAGAGGCCGGGGCGGCCCCGGGGTGGAGGGGGCAGGGGCGGGGGCTGCGTTCCCTCTCGGGCGCCTGGTCACGCGGGTGCTGCTCCCCCAGCCATGAGCCACCTGAACGGGCACAAGCTGCACGGGAAGCCCATCCGCATCACGCTCTCGAAGCACCAGAACGTGCAGCTGCCCCGCGAGGGCCAGGAGGACCAGGGCCTGACCAAGGACTACGGCAACTCACCCCTGCACCGCTTCAAGAAGCCGGGCTCCAAGAACTTCCAGAACATATTCCCGCCCTCGGCCACGCTGCACCTCTCCAACATCCCGTGAGTGCTGGGCCGGGGGGCTCATGGGGCCGGGGGCGGGCAAGGGCTCTGCTTGGCTGTCCTACCGCGTCGGTGTGTGGACTTCTGGCGTTTCCAGAGTGCAGGTCGGGCACCTCTTACCCCAAACCTGAAGTACTGCAAGGCCTGGAGCTTGAGCCGAGGGCTGCTCAAGGGAGGGGGTCGTTGGACACTTTGGAGGTTTTGGCTCAGGGGATGCTCCCTGTGAGAATGTATAATGCACACATTTATTTATTTATATTTTTTGAGGCGAAGTCTTGCTTTGTCACCCAGGCTGGAGTACAGTGGAACGATCTCGGTTCACTGCAACCTCCGCCTCTTGGGTTCAAGTGATTGTGCCACCTCAGCTTCCCGAGTAGCTGGGACTGTAGGCACCCACAACCACACCTGGCTAATTTTTGTATTTTTAGTAGAGACGGGGTTTCACCATATTGGCCAGGCTGATCTTGATCTCCTGACCTTGTGATCCGCCTGCTTCGGCCTCCCAAAGTGCTGGGATACAGGCGTGAGCCACCGCGCCTAGCCACATTTATTTATTTATTTATTTATTTTACTTATTTTGAGATGGAGTCACGCTCTGTCGCCCAGGCTGGAGTGCAGTGGCGGGATCTCTGCAAGTTCTGCCTCCTGGGTTCATGCCACTCTGCTGCCTCAGCCTCCCGAGTAGCTGGGAGGGACTATAGGTGCCCGCCAGCACGCCCGGCTAATTTTTTGTATTTTTAGTGGAAACGGGGTTTCACTGTGTTAGCCAGGATGGTGTCGATCTCCTGACTTTGTGATCAACCCGCCTCGGCCTCCCAAAGTGCTGGGATAACAGGTGGGAGCCACCACGCCTGGCCTAATGCACACCTTTATAATCCCAGTACTGTGGGGGGCCGGGCAGGGGATTGCTTGAACCCAAGAGTTAAGACCAGCCTGAGCAATAAAGTGAGACCTCTGTCTCTACAGGAACAATTGGTTAAAATTAGCTAGGAGTGGTGGTGTGCACGTCAGGTCCCAGCTCTTCCGGATTGGGAGGTTGAGGTGGGAGGTTCACTTCGCGCTCAGGAGGTTGAGGTTGCAGTGAGCTGTGATTGCACTGCCAGACTCCAGGCTGGGCGGCAGAGTAAGACCCTGTCTGTAAAAATTACATAATGCAAGTATTTGGAAATGCAGGTACATCTGGCCCCAAGCATGTCAACCAGTAGTAAGCCCTTTGATATTTAACACGTTACTTGTGAAATGTTATCAGAAAATCAACAAGGGGCCTGGCAGAGTGGCTCACGCCTATCATCCCAGCACTTTAGGAGGCCGAGGCAGGCAGATCACCTGAGGTCAGGAGTTCAAGACCAACCTGGCCAACCTGGTGAAACCCCGTCTCTACTAAAAATAAAAAAATTAGCCTGGCATGGTGTTGCGTGCCTGTAATCCCAGCTACTTGGGAGACTGAGGCAGGAGAATCACTTGAACCTGCAGGCGGAGGTTGTGGTGAGCTGAGATCACGCCACTGTGCTCCCGCCTGGGCGACAGAGCAAGATTCCATCTGGAAAAAAAAAAGTGGAGGAGCGTGGTACTCTGTTTCTGCAAACTTGTAGATGCCTGGTTTCGTTAGAAGCTGCTTCAGACCATTGTGGACATGATTTGATACCCCATTTCTGGGCTCCTAAAAGGCCCTACGCCTTCCCCGGCTACTCTGAAAACTAGTCTGGGGAAAGCCTCGCGGACCTGACTGGGCGCCCCCACCCCCACGCGGCCCCAGGCTCACGCCTTTCTCCTCCCACAGGCCCTCAGTCTCCGAGGAGGATCTCAAGGTCCTGTTTTCCAGCAATGGGGGCGTCGTCAAAGGATTCAAGTTCTTCCAGTGAGTATGAGGCGGGCTGTCCCTGGCTCTCCCCAGGCTGCCCTGCGGCCGGCCCTGACCCCCTGTCTTGCAGGAAGGACCGCAAGATGGCACTGATCCAGATGGGCTCCGTGGAGGAGGCGGTCCAGGCCCTCATTGACCTGCACAACCACGACCTCGGGGAGAACCACCACCTGCGGGTCTCCTTCTCCAAGTCCACCATCTAGGGGCACAGGCCCCCACGGCCGGGCCCCCTGGCGACAACTTCCATCATTCCAGAGAAAAGCCACTTTAAAAACAGCTGAAGTGACCTTAGCAGACCAGAGATTTTATTTTTTTAAAGAGAAATCAGTTTACCTGTTTTTAAAAAAATTAAATCTAGTTCACCTTGCTCACCCTGCGGTGACAGGGACAGCTCAGGCTCTTGGTGACTGTGGCAGCGGGAGTTCCCGGCCCTCCACACCCGGGGCCAGACCCTCGGGGCCATGCCTTGGTGGGGCCTGTGTCGGGCGTGGGGCCTGCAGGTGGGCGCCCCGACCACGACTTGGCTTCCTTGTGCCTTAAAAAACCTGCCTTCCTGCAGCCACACACCCACCCGGGGTGTCCTGGGGACCCAAGGGGTGGGGGGGTCACACCAGAGAGAGGCAGGGGGCCTGGCCGGCTCCTGCAGGATCATGCAGCTGGGGCGCGGCGGCCGCGGCTGCGACACCCCAACCCCAGCCCTCTAATCAAGTCACGTGATTCTCCCTTCACCCCGCCCCCAGGGCCTTCCCTTCTGCCCCCAGGCGGGCTCCCCGCTGCTCCAGCTGCGGAGCTGGTCGACATAATCTCTGTATTATATACTTTGCAGTTGCAGACGTCTGTGCCTAGCAATATTTCCAGTTGACCAAATATTCTAATCTTTTTTCATTTATATGCAAAAGAAATAGTTTTAAGTAACTTTTTATAGCAAGATGATACAATGGTATGAGTGTAATCTAAACTTCCTTGTGGTATTACCTTGTATGCTGTTACTTTTATTTTATTCCTTGTAATTAAGTCACAGGCAGGACCCAGTTTCCAGAGAGCAGGCGGGGCCGCCCAGTGGGTCAGGCACAGGGAGCCCCGGTCCTATCTTAGAGCCCCTGAGCTTCAGGGAAGGGGCGGGCGTGTCGCCGCCTCTGGCATCGCCTCCGGTTGCCTTACACCACGCCTTCACCTGCAGTCGCCTAGAAAACTTGCTCTCAAACTTCAGGGTTTTTTCTTCCTTCAAATTTTGGACCAAAGTCTCATTTCTGTGTTTTGCCTGCCTCTGATGCTGGGACCCGGAAGGCGGGCGCTCCTCCTGTCTTCTCTGTGCTCTTTCTACCGCCCCCGCGTCCTGTCCCGGGGGCTCTCCTAGGATCCCCTTTCCGTAAAAGCGTGTAACAAGGGTGTAAATATTTATAATTTTTTATACCTGTTGTGAGACCCGAGGGGCGGCGGCGCGGTTTTTTATGGTGACACAAATGTATATTTTGCTAACAGCAATTCCAGGCTCAGTATTGTGACCGCGGAGCCACAGGGGACCCCACGCACATTCCGTTGCCTTACCCGATGGCTTGTGACGCGGAGAGAACCGATTAAAACCGTTTGAGAAACTCCTCCCTTGTCTAGCCCTGTGTTCGCTGTGGACGCTGTAGAGGCAGGTTGGCCAGTCTGTACCTGGACTTCGAATAAATCTTCTGTATCCTCGCTCCGTTCCGCCTTCGTTGCTGGCTTCCTCTTTCTGTGCCGCGGGCGGCCCCGACTCCCGCCCGGGTGTCCGCCGAAGCGCCAGGTGGGGCCACGGGCGGGGTGGGCCCGGCCCTGAGAGTGGGGGTCCCTGCGTGGGGCGTGCGGGCCAGAGCGAATGACCAAGAGCCGGACCTCGGTTTCTGCCGCTTTATTGAGCATCCGCGCGGCCGCCCGCGCCCTCGGCCCGCCCCCCGCCCGCCCCCGGCCCCGCCGCGCTAGTCGGGGAAGCGGCGCGCCTGCATCTTGCGGAAGTAGCCCTCGGCCTCCGCCTCCGCCTCGCGCTCCGCCAGCCCCAGGCCGCCCGCGTGGCGCCGCAGCGTGGACTCCCGGCTGCCCGGGCCCAGCGCCCCATCGGCCGCGCCCAGCGGGGGCAGCCCCTCGCCCGTGGCCAGGTTGACGGTGGCCACGGCCCCGAACCGCGGCTCCTCCTGGTCCACGTCGCTGACCGACGAGCCGGGGGACACGCCCGGGGGCTTGGCCCCGCCGCGGAAGCCGCGCGCCAGGTCCCCCAGCTCGTAGCCGCCGTCGGCCTCCGCCTTGGCCCCGCCGCCCGCCGCCTTCCACTCCCAGGGCGCGCCGCCGGCCGACAGGTGCACCACGGGGTGGTGCGGCGCGTGCGCGTCGATGGTCACGATGCTGGCGGAGTCGCGGTCCGACGGCGACCGGTACTGCGAGGAGTCGGAGCTGGCGCTGGACGACGACGCCGTCTCGGCCGCCTTGGGGCCCGGCGCGCCCGGAGCCTTGGACATGGCGATGACCTGCAGCAGCCGCGGAGGGTTGGCCACTGCCGCCCCGCTCTTCTCGGCCATCATGAGCCACTTGGCGCGCACCCCGGCGCCGCTTTTGGGGGACAGGCCGGCCCCCGTCTGCGCGCCCTCCTCCGGGATGTGCACCAGCGGCGGCGGCCCCGCGCGCGGTGGGAGGATGACCCGAGGCCCCAGCCCCGGCCGCGCCTGCACGGTGGGGTAGAGCGAGGGCGGGGCCGGGCCCTCGTCCTCCTCCTCTTCCTCCTCCTCCTCTTCCTCTTCGTCCTCCTCCTCTTCCTCCTCCTCCGCCATGGGTTCGGCGGGCGCGCGCAGGTGCCCGGGGCTGGCGTCGTCGGGCAGCCCCAGGCCGCGGCCCTCCAGGCTCTTCTGCTTCCACTCGCTGATGAGCTGCTTGGAGCGCGAGGCGTCCAGCGGCACGTGGATGGTCATGTGGCGGCGCGCGGGGTCGTCCAGCGAGGGCGCGCTGGCCCTGGGCAGCGTGTGGCTGAAGGTCACCATGTTCTCCTTGGCCATGGGGCTGCGCGGGGCCAGCAGGTCCACGTCCACGCTGGCGCGCTTCAGGCTGCCCAGCGAGGTCTTCTCGCGGGCCACGGGCCGGGGCGCGCCCTCCAGCCGCCCTGGGGGCCCCAGCTCGTCGGTGCTCACCGACTTATTCTGCTGATAAACCGAGTCGTGGCCCCGCTGCGTCAGGGCCCGCAGCGCGTCCTTGGCGGGGGCCGGGGCCGCGGGCTTCTCTGCAGGTGGGGCCTGGAAGTTGCCCACCGCGTGGCAGGCCTGTCGGGGAGAGGGGTCTGGGGGTGAGGCCTGGGGCTCAGAGGGCTCCTCCCCTGTGATCGTTGGACTTGCCGCGGGGGGCTCTGGACCGGGGGTGGGGGCTGGCAAGCTCTTGTCCAGTGGGACCGGTTCCCACCCCAAGGTTGCTGACCCAGCACATCGGGCAGGTCTGAGCCCACGGGATTCTGACTCCAGCATTCCAAGGGCGAGACACTTCAGCACCCATGCCTTCCCCCTAAGACCCCTTCGGGACCCACGTCTATCCCCTCAGACACCCTGGGCACCCGTGCCTCCCCCCTAGAGCCCCTGGGCACCCATGCCTCCCCCCTCAGACCCTCTGGGCCAGCCCCCCGCCAGAACCCCTGGGAACCATGCCTCACCCCTCAGGCTACCAGCCTCCCCTGTCAGACCCCCTGAGCCTGCCTCCCACCTCAGACCCCTGGGCCAGCCTCCCCACTCAGGCCCTGTGGGCACTCATGCCTCCCCCCTCAGATCCCCTGGGAACCCATGCCGACCCCCATCAGAACCTGCCACTCACCAGGTAGGCAGCGATGCCCGCCCCGATGAGGAAGCCGGCATACACGTCCACAGGGTGGCTGCGGTACTGCGTGATCTGCGTGAGCCCGCATACGCCCGCGGCGATGGCAAAGGCGAAGACCAGGATGGGCTTCAGCAGCTTGGTGGTGTCCGAGATGACCGAGTTGAAGTACATCTGGGGCATGGGGGTTGGGGTCAGGGAGGGCTCCCCACGGGTCAGCAAGAGGGCCTGGGAAGGGCAGTGAGGGGCCGGACTCACCGACACATAGACCGCGGCGAAGGCTGACAGCGTGGCGTGCTGGGACGGGAAGGTCTTCCTGTAAGAGGCGTCCAGCGTGAGCCCCGCCCACCTGGGGACCCCAGCTCCAGTGGCCTCTCTGTGTCTCTGTTTCCCCGCATGTTCACCGGGGCGGAAGAAGGCTCCCAGTCAGGGGAGTTGGGGGTCCGGCTCACCGTGCAGACAGGATGGCGTGGATGTCGTGGCCGGAGCAGATGTCCTGCGTGATGTAGGGGTTGACCTCGCAGGACGTGCCCAGGAGAGTGTAGTTGGGCTTGCAGACGGTGAGGAAGAAGGGAGTGTGGTAACCCGTGGCCAGCTGGATCACGTCCGTCACCAGGGCTGTGGCACACAGGCCGAACACGTGGACACCTGCAGGGCGGAAGGCTCGGCCAGGCGGGGAGCTGGGGACCCGGGACAGCCCCACCCCCTGCATGTGGAGGTAGCTCAGGGTCGGGGCGCGTCCCGCAACTCACCCACAAACCGCACCGTACGCCGCAGGAAGGAGTTGAAGTTGCAGCCGCCGGCGTTGATGCTGCCCTCCGCCCCGGCGGGCCCCCCGGCACGGCCCCACAGCCGGGACTGCAGACAGTACAACATGCCCTCGGCCACCATGATCTGCCAACAGGGAGGGGGCGCTCAGGCCTCGGTGCCCACAGGGAGGGGGCGCTCAGGCGGGCTCCCATCTGCAGTGCCCACAGGCTGGCACAGGCCCCGGTGTGGATGTTCACCGAGGTGGCGGGGGTGGGCTCCCAGCCGTGGTGCCCACAGGCTGGCACAGGCCCCGGTGTGGATGTTCACCGAGGTGGCAGTGGCTGCGGTGCCCACAGGCTGGCACAGGCCCCGGTGTGGATGTTCACCGACAGGCCCCAGTGTGGATGTTCACCGAGGTGGCGGGGGTGGGCTCCCAGCCGTGGTGCCCACAGGCTGGCACAGGCCCCGGTGCAGGTGCTCACCGAGGCGGCAGGGGCCGCGAAGGCCAAGCTGAGCAGCATCAGCAGCGGGATGAGCTCCTCGTTGGTCTCCACGTAGGGCATGGAGAGAGTGCGGTCATAGCACTGGAAGCCCACCTTGGCCGGCTTGAAGAGGTCGGTCAGCTCCAGGAAGTACAAGGATACGATGGAAGAAGCCACTATGGGCAGCTGTGGGGACAAGGTGGGCCAGGTTCACCCTGCTCTCCCTCGCGGAGGCGTCTGTCCAGCCCTCCATGAATTCAGGGCCATCCACCGTCTCACTCACCTATCCACAGATCCAACCCGCTCCCAGCCACTCTTTCCCCCATGAGTTATTCATCCATCCACAGATGCTCCATCTGTAACTCGACCATCTACACATCACACACCCACTCACTCATCCTCCATCCACCCAAACACCTATGCCCCCAACATCCACCCACTCACCGACCCATCACCCACCCATCCATCCACTGGGAACCATCCATCCATTCATCCATCCACCCACCCACCCATCATCTATCCACCCATTCTCCACCCATGCACCCAACGGTACCCATCCATCCATCCATCCATCACCTAGCCATTCATTCATCTGTCCATCCATCCATCCATCATCCACCCATGCAGCCATCCATCTATCCACCCACCCAACTGTCCATCCATCCACCCACCCACCCATCCATCCGTCCATTCATTACCCAGCCATTCATCCATCCATCCACCCACCCATCATCCATCCACCCATTCTCCACCCATGCACCCACCCACCCATCTACCCACCTACCCATCCATCCAACCGTCCATCCATCCATTCATTACCCAGCCATTCATTCACCCATCCATCCATCCACCCATCCTCCACCCATGCCCCCAGTGGTACCCATCCATCCATCCATCCATTCATCACCCAGCCATTCATTCATCTATCCATCCATCCATCATCCACCCATTCATCATCCAGCCATTCATTCATCTATCCATCCATCCATCATCCACTCATGCACCCAATGGTACCATCCATCTATCCACCCACCCAACCGTCCATCCATCCGTCCATTCATTACCCAGCCATTCATTCATCCATCCATCCACCCACCCATCATCCATCCACCCATTCTCCACCCATGCACCCAACAGTACCCATCCATCCATCCATCCATCACCTAGCCATTCATTCATCTATCCATTCATCCATCCATCATCCACCCATGCAGCCATCCATCTATCCACCCACCCAACTGTCCATCCATCCACCCATCCACCCACCCACCCATCCACCTATCCATCCACCCATCCATCCATTGATCACCCATCCATCCATCCATCTATCCACCCTCCCACCCACCCATCTACCAACCTACCCATCTATCCACCTACTCATCCATCTACCCATCTGTCCATCCACAACAGTCTTGCTCTGTTGCCCAGGCTGCAGTGCAGTGGTGCCATCTCAACTCACTGCAACCTCTGCCTCCTGGGTTTTTGTATTTTTAGTAGAGACAGGGTATCGTCATGTTGCCCAGGCTGGTCTCGAACTCCTAGGCTCAAGTGATACACCCGCCTTGGCCTCCCAAAGTGCTGGGATTAGAGGCGTGAGGCACCGCACCCAGCCATGGCCTCAAGCCTTTTTTTTTCCCCCACTCTGTCACGCAGCCTGGAGTGCAGTGGTGCAATCTCGGCTCACTGCAAACTCCGCCTCCAGGTTCAAGAGATCCTCCCACCTCAGCCCTCCAAGTAGCTGGAATTACAAGCGTGCACTACCACACCTGGCTAATTTTTTGTATTTTTAGTAGAGGCGGGGTTTCACCATGTTCCCCAGGCTGCCCTCGAACTTCTGACCTCAAGTAATCCACCTGCCTCGGCCTCCTGAAGTGCTGGGATTACAGGCATGAGTGACCTTGCTCAGGCATGGCCCCAGTCGTAATTTCTGCCTTGTTATGGCATCTTAGCAGGGGTTCAGCCCTCAGTCCAGTCCTGGGGAGGGCACAGGTCAGGGCTGGGGGCTCCAGGAAGGGAAAAGCCATCACTGAACATCCCAGGGCAGAATTGGATCGAGGGAGCTGAGTTCATGTCCAGTGAGCATTCATTGAGTGCCTGTTGCATGCAGGCACGAGGCCCGGGGCAGACGCGGAAAGTGGGTAGCAGCGTTTGTTTGCACCTGACACCCGGTTTGAAAACCACCCACTTTAACCTGTGGGCGGCCAGCAGACCCCCTGTGCCTCAGTCTCACCAGCTGCAAAATGGGAATGATAAAGTAGCCGCCTCCAAGGGCTCAGGTGGAGATGAGTCAATGTGGGAGGTGGCCCCTGGCAACTATCTACTTGTTCTCTCCACTTTCATTATCAGCATGATTTTGCTGGGGCGGGCAGACAGCATCAAGCCCGGGGAGGGTCTGAGGTGGGGCCTGGGCGCGGCCTTAAAAATATCTAACCATGGGCCGGGTGCGGTGGCTCACGCCTGTCATCCCAGCACTTTGGGAGGCCGGGACGGGCAGATCACCTGAGGTCAGGAGTTTGAGACCAGCCTGGCCAACATGGTGAAACCCCATCTCTACTAAAAATACAAAAATTAACCCAGCGTGGTGGTGCGTGCCTGTAGTCTCAGCTACTCCGGAGGCTAAGGTGGGAGAATCGTTTGAGGACGGGAGGTGGAGGTTGCAGTGAGCTGACATTGTTCCACTGCACTCCAGCTTGGGCAAGACAGCAGGACTCCATCTCAAAAAATAATAATAATAAATAAAATAATAATAATAAGGCCGACCGCAGTGGCTCACACCTGTAATTCCAGTGCTTTGGGAGGCTGAGGCAGGAAGATCACTTGAGGCCTGGAGTTCAACGCTAGCCTGAGCAACACAGTAAGACCCTGTCTCTACTAAATACATACTTTTTTTTGGAGTCTCGCTCTGTCGCCCAGGCTGGAGTGCAGTGGCGCGATCTCGGCTCACTGCAAGCTCCACATCCCGGGTTCACGCCATTCTCCTGCCTCAGCCTCCCGAGTAGCTGGGACTACAGGCGCCCGCCACCGCGCCCGGCTAATTTTTTGTATTTTTAGTAGAGACGGGGTTTCACCGTGTTAGCCAGGATGGTCTCGATCTCCTGACCTCATGATCCGCCCACCTAGGCCTTCCAAAGTGCTGGGATGACAGGCGTGAGCCACCACGCACAGCCTACTAAAAATGATTTTTAAAAATTAGCTGGGGCTCAGGCTAGCCTTGAACTCCAGGCCTCAAGTGATCTTCCTGCCTCAGCCTCCCAAAGCACTGGAATTACAGGTGTGAGCCACTGCGCTCGGCCTTATTATTATTATTTTATTTATTATTATTATTTTTTGAGATGGAGTCTTGCTCTCTTGCCCAAGCTGGCGTGCAGTGGAACAGTCTCAGCTCACTGCAACCTCCACCTCCCGTCCTCAAGCGATTCTCCCACCTCAGCCTCCGGAGTAGCTGAGACTACAGGCACACACCACCACGCTGGGCTAATTTTTGTATTTTTAGTAGAGGTGTGGTTTCACCACATTGGCCAGACTGGTCTCAAACTCCTGACCTCAGGTGATCTGCCCGTCCCGGCCTCCCAAAGTGCTGGGATGACAGGCGTGAGCCACTGCACCCAGCCTACTTTTTTTTTTTTTTTTTCCGAGATGGAGTCTCACTCTGTTGCCCAGGCTGGAGTGCAGTGGCGCGATCTCGGCTAACTGCAACCTCCACCTCCTGGGTTCAAGCGATTCTCCTGCCTCAGCCTCCCGAGTAGATGGGATTACAGGCGCCCACCACTACGACCACCATGCCCAGCTAATTTTTGTATTTTTAGTAGAGATGGGGTTTCACCATATTGACCAGGCTGGTCTCGAACTCCTGACCTTAGGTGATCCGCCCACCTCGGCCTCCCAAAGTGCTGGGATTATAGGTGTGAGCCACCATGCCCGTCCTGCAACAGGAATTTAAGTGCAATTTCGAAAAATAAACAGATTTTCTATGAAGTGATGTGGGCAACTTAATGATATTGTGTTTGGGAGGGACCCACTTGCCCGGGTGTGAGGTAACGGATTACAGGCCAGCCGCTGGCCGTGTGACCTGCACGGGTCACTGCTTCCTTGAGACTAGGGTCCCGTCTTCCATCGAGGCTCTGGAAGGCCCATCACTAGAGCCGGTTTTCCTGGCCTGACATGCAAGGATGGATTAAAGTTATTTTATTTTTTGAGATGGGGTCTGGCTCTGTCATCCAGGCTGAAGTGCAGTGGTGTGATCTTGGCTCACTGCAACCTCCGCCACCTGGGCTCAAGTCATCCTCCATCTCAGGCTCCTATGTAACTGAGACCTCAGCTGCACACCACCACGCCCAGCTATTTTTTCTGTTTTTAAAATTTTGTAGAGATGGGTTTTTGCCATGTTGCCCAGGCTAGTCTTGAACTCTTGGGCTCAAGCAATCCATCTACCTGGGCCTCCCAATGTGTTGAGATCACAGGCGTGAGCCACCACCCCAGCCTTAAGTTACTCTACCATCCTGAGCCAGGTGTGTGCCAAAATGGTAGCTTTTTTGTTTTAGAGACAGAGTCTCTGTCATCCAGGCTGGAGTGCAGTGGTGTGATCACAACTCACTACAGCCTCAACCTCCTGGGCTCAAGCAATCCTCCCACCTCGGCCTCCTAAGTAGCTGAGAATAAAGGCACGCAGCACACGCCCAACTAATATTTTAATTTTTTCTGTAGAGATGGGATCTTGCTGTGTTGCCCAGGTTGGTCTCAAACTCCTGGCCTCAAGTGATCCTCCCACCTCAGTCTCCCAAAGTGCTGGGATTACAAACATGACAAACGTGAGCCACCGCACAGGGCAGGGGGCTCCATTTATTACATTTATTGTCTTCTTTTTTTTTTTCTAAGACAGGGCCTTGCTCTGTTGCCCAGGCTGGAGTGCAGTGGCATGATCTCTGCTCACTGCAACCTCCACCTCCTGGGTTCAAGCGATTCTCCTGCCCCAGCCTCCCGAGTAGCTGGGCTCACAGGCATAAGCCAACATACCCGGCTAATTTTTTTGTATTTTTTAGTAGAGATGGGGTTTCACCATGTTGGCCAGGCTGGTCTTGAACTCCTGCCCTCAGGTGATCTGCCCACCTCGGCCTCCCAAAGTGCTGGGATTACAGGCGTGAGCCACAGTGCCCAGCCTAATTTTTGTATTTTTAATGGAGAGGGGTTTCACCATGTTGGCTAGGCTGGTCTTGAACTCCTGACCTAGGTGATCCACCCGCCTTGGCCTCCCAAAGTGCTGGGATTACAGGCGTGAGCCACCGCACAGGGCAAGGGGTTCCATTTATGGTCATAAACTCCTCACTATGTGCCTAACACGTTTCCGTATTCTGTAGATATTAATTCCTATCAGCTCCAGGAGTGGAAAAGCGGAGGCCCAGAGAGGTTAGGGGCAGGGCACCAGCCTCACCATTAGCAGAGGTGAACTCAGACCCTGAGGCTTCGGAGCCCACGCGGCACCTGCACCCAACCCCACCCCCTCCGGCCTCCCCGCCCCCTCCAGGCCCCCAGCCCCCGACCCCCAGCCCCTCTGACCACACCTTGGTCAGAAGGGCTCCCCTCCTAGCACCTGCCCACAGTTCCCACGGCCTGGACCCCCCTCGGTTCCTCTGGAGCTCCTACTCGACCCGCACAGCCCAAGTCCTCTGCCCCACCCCCCATCCGCCGGACACCCCGGTCCTGCCCCGCCCCGAGGCCACTGCCGGGGCAGCTGCGCCGGCTCCGGTCCCCCAGCGCGGGGGTCTCTGCGGGCGGGCGGAACCGAGGCGTCTCCCCCGGGCCCCAGCGCGACCCCCACCCACCTCCACGAAGTAGAAGCAGGGCAGAAGCGTCATGCTGTCCTTCGGGATCTTGTTCTTCTCCTTGGTGGAGATCATGGTGCCGCGGGCGCCGCAGGCCGTGGCTGGAGGGGAGAAAGCGGCGCTGGAGGGGGGCGCGCAGGCGGAGCCCGGGGGAGACACGGTGGCCGGCGCCGGCGGGGGAGGGGCGGTCGGGGAAACTGAGGCTGCAGAGAGCGGCGTCCGCGTGGCCTCCCCGCGCCCCGGCCCAGCACGCGGCTTCCGGGCGCCCCTACACCCGGGATCGGGGGGTCGGGGCCGGGATCGCCGAGGAGGGCGGGGGGTCTCCGGGCGGGAGCCAGTCCCCGCGTGGTGGTGGGGGGCATCCGGGAGAACTGGGGTTCCGGGCGGCGGAGGAGACTGGGTCCGCGCCCCCAGCCCCACAGCCCCTCACCTGGCGCGGCCGGCGCCCAGCACAAAGCGCGTCTCCTCCGTGGGGCGGGGCCGGGAGCCGGGAAGGGGAGGGGGACGGGGGAGGGGAGGGTCCGGCCCGGAGACCCCCGCGCGCGCCCAGACGCCGCAGCCCAGACGCCGCAGCCAGGGGCGGGGGCTCTTTGTCTGGGCGCGTCCTCCGCAGGCCCCGCGCACCGTCCCCGCCTCCCTGGCGCCGCCTCCCACCGCCGGGGGTCTCGGGGGTCTCAGGTCTGCGCGAGCGGCTGGCGGGGCTCGGGGGTCGCGTCCTCCTCCCTTCGGGCCTGCGGCGGTGACGGTCCCGTCCTCCCCTCCCGGGTGGCTGCGGTCGGCCCGGGGGGCGCCATCGAGACGGGGGCGGAGGCGGGGGCGGGGGTTGGGGTTTCGGGGTCTCTGACTGTCTCCGTGTCTCTCACGGTCTCTCGCCGGCTCCGACTGCCCCCGCCCCGCGCCTCCGCCCGCCCCTCCGCGGAGCCCGCCGCTCGCTGGTGCGCGTTTCCATGGCGAGGCTCCCAGGGCGCCCGGAGCATCGGAGACAAAAGAGCTGGGGGAGGGGGACTGGGGGGTCTCCCGGTGCCTCCCTCCCTTCCCCCCGCACTCACCCTCGCCCCCTCCGCCGCGCCGGGGTCCACCCTCCGCCTGGCCGCAGCCGCTCGGTGCGCACGGCGGGATTGCGGGGCGCGGGGCTGGGGGCTGGGGGCTGCGGGATGCGGGCAGGGCCCTCGGGACCCGCACTCGGGCAGTGCCTGCTGTCTGCGTGCATTTCCTCCTCCATATGCGCAGCCCTGCGGGGTAGGGGCTGGTTGACCCCCGTTGTAGGGATGGGGAAACTGAGGCTTGGGCACCCTGGGTCGCAATCCGAGGTCTCCGGGCCCCAAACGGCAGGATTTACAAAAATCGGTTTTTGGGCCGTGCGCGGTGGCTCAGGCCTGTAATCCCAGCACTTTGGGAGGTCGAGGCGGGCGGATCACGAGGGCAGGAGTTCGAGACCAGCCTGGACAACATGGTGAAACCCCGTCTCTACTAAAAATACAAAAATTTTTAGGGTGTGGTGGCTCATGCCTGTAATCCCAGCTACTCGGGAGGCTGAGGCAGGAGAATCGCTTGAACCTGGGAAGCGGAGGTTGCAGTGAGCCGAGATCGTGCCACTGCACTCCAGCCTGGGCAACAAGAGCGAGACTCTGTCTCAAAACAAACAAACAAACAAACAAACAAAGAGTGACTTCCAGGCTGGGTGCAGTGGCTCAGGCCTATAATCCCAGCACTTTGGGAGGCAGAGGCGGGAGGATCCCTTGAGGCCAGGAGTTCCAGACCAGCCTGGCCAACATGGTGAAACCCCATCTCTACTAAAAATATAAAAATTAGCCGGACATGGTGGCAGGCGCCTGTAATCCCAGCCAGATGGGAGGCTGAGGCAGGAGAATTGCTTGAACCTGGGAGGCGGAGGTTGCAGTGAGCCGAGATGGCACCATTGCCCTCCAGCCTGGGCGACAGAAGGAGACTCTATCTCAAAAAAAAAAAAAAAAACAAACAAACAGTGACTCCAGAGGGTTGGAGCCCTGCTAGATACCTTAGTTTGCTCATAACAGGCACTGCTGCCCCCGGGAAGAGGGTCGCCTGCCATAAATGCGGAAACAGTTAAATGGCGATGGGAATAGGATGGGAACTCAATGGTGTTGCTACCTTTGGATGGACTCGGAGGCAGCCCAGCTTCCTGGGACAGGACTGCACGGACTGCCTGGGGAGGGGTCTTTGGCCCCCCGGTTCCTGCAGGGGGGCTCGGGGAGGCCCTGTGAGCAGTTGGTCACAGGTGGGTCCCATTCGATGCGATCCTGTTCCTCCCCAACAGCCCTGGAGAAGGGGGACGTTGCCTGCTGTGGCTGCGGCTGTTTTCCTGGCCTGTGAGAGGCGGGGCCAGAGTGGCCGTTGGGAATCTGGGTGTTGCAAGGTGACCACAAACAGCTCTCTGGGGGAGGAGGAGGAAAATGCAATTGATTTTCAGGAGCCTTCTGAGGTCAGGAGTGGGAGAGTGTGCAGGGGGACCCTCCTGGCAGCTTGGGGGTCCAACAGAAGATCTGGGGGAGTCTCAGGGTCTTCTCCCCCTAGGATCACCAGTGGTGGAGATGGGGCAGGCCTGGCCATGGAGGGCACGTTGCTTGGCTGAGGGGCCTGGGCTTGAGTGTGGGGCCTGGGCTTGAGTGATGGGAGAGTTCCGAGCAGGCCGGAGGGGTTGAGCGTACCAGACGCTGCTCAAAACTTTTATTTAAAAATGATTATTATTATTATTACTATTATTTTGAGATGGACTCTTGCTCTGTCGCCCAGGCTGGAGTGCAATCGTGCGATTTCAGCTCACTGCAACCTCCCACCTCCTGGGTTCAAGTGATTCTCCCTCCTCAGCCTCCCGAGTAGTTGGGATTATAGGCGCCTGCCACCACGACGGGCTAATTTTTGTATTTTTAGTAGAAAGAGGATCTCCCCATGTTGGTCAGGCTGGTGTTGATCTCCTGACCTCAGCTGATCTGCTGCCTCAGCCTCCCAAAGTACTGGGATGACAGGGGAGCCACGGAGCCCAGCCTTTTTTTTTTTTTTTGGGAGACGGAGTTGCACTCTGTCGTCTAGGCTGGAGTGCAGTGGCGCGATCTCGGCTCACTGCAAGCTCCACCTCCCGGGTTCACGCCATTCTCCTGCCTCAGCCTCCCGAGTAGCTGGGACCGCAGGCGCCCAGGACTATGCCCGGGTAATTCTTTTGTATTTTTAGTAGAGACGGTGTTTCACCGTGTTAGCCAGGATGGTCTTGATCTCCTGACCTCGTGATCCGCCCGTCTTGGCCTCCCAAAGTGCTGGGATTACAGGCGTGAGCCACCGCGCCCAGCTTTTTTTTTTTTTTTTTAATAGAGAGAGGGTCTCACCATGTTGCCAAGGCTGGTCTCAAACTCCTGGGCTCAAGTGATCCTCCCACCTCGGCCTCCCAAGGCACTGGGATTACAGGCGTGAGCCACCACGCCCGGCCTCAAAAACTTTTCAGAATATGAACCCCACTCCATGCTCAGCACTGTTCTGTCTAGAAGGCAGAGTCTATCCCTGTCTCAGGGCACACTGACGTGCAGACAGCGAGCTCGCCCTGAGGTCATGCGACTGGGAGGGACAGAGCTTCCGGCTCCCGGCAGAGGGGAAATGGGGCCTGGCCCACGGGAGAGCTGAGGCCCACGTTTGGCCAGGACAGGGTGGATGGAGGCTGGGGCCTCCGCAGGGAAGATGGACAGGTAGGATCCGGGGTGGGCAGAGAGGGAGAGCTGGCTTGGACGGAGGCAGGGATCTGGGGGCTGTGCCATGGACCCTGTGAGGTGGCTGGGCTGTGAAACTCAGTGGAGACCGGAATTATTATTATTATTATTATTTTTTTGAGATGGAGTCTCACTGTCTCCCGGGCTGGAGTGCAGTGGCACGATCTCGGCTCACTGCAAGCTCCGCCTCCTGGGTTCACGCCATTCTCCTGCCTCAGCCTCCTGAGTAGCTGGGACTACAGGCGCCCACCACCACGCCCGGCTAATTTTTTGTATCTTTAGTAGAGATGGGGTTTCACCGTGTTAGCCAGGAAGGTCTTGATCTCCTGACCTCATGATCCGCCCGCCTCGGCCTCCCAAAGTGCTGAGATTACAGGTGTGAGCCACCGCTCCCGGCCTGGAGACCAGATTTGAGCCCTGGGACCCTACATTCCCGATGGGCAGCGGACCTCAAGGCACACCGGCCCCGCCTCCCTGGACTCTCCCCGTATCCGCCCCTTGGAGGGGCAAACTGCCCTCAGAGGGCTCCCACAGGCCCAGACACAAACTGGTGTCCCCAAGGGTGTGGGGGACACGGTAAGCTCCAGACCTCAGTTTCACCTTGGAAATGAGCCCCTTTGTAAAAAATGGAGGTGAGTTTGGACGCAGTAGCTCACACCTGTGCTCCCAGCACTTTGGGAGGCCGAGGCAGGTGGATTGCTTGAGCTTAGGAGTTTCAAACCAGCCCGAGCAACATAGTGAGACTCCACCTCTACAAAAAAATACAAAAATTAGCCGGGCATGGTGGCATGTGCCTATGGTCCCAGCTACCTGGGAGGCTGAGGCAGGAGGATTGCTGGAACCCGGGAATCGGAGGCTGCAGCGAGCTGAGATCGTGCCACTGCACTCCACCCTGGGCAACATAGTGAGATCCCATCTCTACAAAATATACAAAAATTAGCCGGGCACGGTGGCGGGTGCCTGTGGTCCCAGCTACTCGGGAGGCTGAGGCAGGAGGATCAGTTGAACCCAGGAGATTGAGGCTGCAGTGAGCTGAGATGGTGCCGCTGCCCTCCAGCCTGGGCAACAGCGAGACCTCAACTCTGAAAAAAACAAAAGAAGGAGATGAAATTTACATAACTTAAAATTAGCCATTTTGAACGGTACAGTGAAGTGGTTTTCGGTGCATTCACCGACTTGTGCAACCATCACTGCTGTCCAGTCCCAGAACATTCCATCACCCCAAAGAAGGAAGCCCCATCTCCATCCATCAGCCATCACCCCCTGCCCTCCCCCGGCCCCTGGCAACCACAGATCCACTTCCTGCCTCTGCAGATTTGCTTGTTCTGGACATTTCGTCTATTTATTTTTATATAGTTTTTAATTTGTTTTTATTTATTTTTTTTGAGACGGAGTCTCTCTGTGTCACCCAGGCTGGAGTGCAGTGGCGCAATCTCGGCTCACTGCAACCTCCACCTCCCAGGTTCAAGCGATTATCCTGTCTCAGCTTCCCAAGTAGCTGGGACTATAGGCGCCCGCCACCACGCCCAGCTAATTTCTTTTTTTTTTTTGAAATGGAGTTTTGCTCTTGTCGCCCAGGCTGGAGTGCAATGGTGCGATCTCGGCTCGCTGCAACCTCCGCCTCCCAGGTTCAAGTGATTCTCCTGCCTCAGCCTCCTGAGTAGCTGGGATTACAGGCATGTGCCACCACGCCCAGTTAATTTTGTATTTTTAGTAGAGATGGGGTTTCTCCATGTTGGTCAGGCTGGTCTTGAACGCCCAACCTCAGGTGATCTGCCTGCCTCGGCCTCCCAGAGTGCTAGGATTACAGGTGTGAGCCACCGCACCCAGCTTGTCAATTATATCTCAATAAAGCTGTTGAAAAAGTTTAAAAAAATCACCCAATCGGGCACAGTGTTTCACACCTGTAATCCCAGCATTTTGGGAGGCCGAGGTGGGTGGATCACCTGAGGTCGGGAGTTTGAGACCAGCCTGGCCAATATAGTGAAACCCCATCTCTACTAAAAATACAAAAAATTAGCCAGGCGTGGTGGTGGACAACTGTAATCCTAGCTACTCAGGAGGCTGAGACAGGAGAATCACTTGAGCCTGGGAGGCGGAGGTTGCAGTGAGTCGAGATCACACCATTGCACTCCAGCCTGGGCAACAAGAGCGAAACTCCGTCTCAAAATAATAATAATAATAATAATAATAATAATCACCCATACAGACGCGCAGGACTCAACGCAGGACTGCCAGCTCCACTGCCCTGAGCCCCCCGGTGCCAGGCCCAGCGGGCAGTGCTGGAGCCCCAGTGGCTTGGGATGGGGAGACTGGGACTCTGAGCTGGCAATGTTCCTGGGTGCTGGCTGCATGCCCGCCATGTGCTGGGCTCCGGGATCCACTGGTTCCTGACACCCTCACCTGCCCCTGGGGGTGTGGCCATCTTCTAGAGAGGGAAACTGAGGATCAGTGCAGAATGTAGGGGGAGCCCAGGCTGGCCCAGGGAGCAGTTGGCGGTGGAGGCCTTGGGCAATTTCCCGTGTTCCCACTGAGTGGGGCTGTCCCTGGGCCTGGGCGGGGACGCCACCAACTGCCAAGGCCTGTGTATAAGGGCAGCCGCCGCCTTAGCCACAGACCTGCCCCGCCATGACCCGGCTGACAGTCCTGGCCCTGCTGGCTGGTCTGCTGGCGTCCTCGAGGGCCGGTGAGTGCCTCTCTGTGCCGGTGGTCCCCCATCTGTGCTAGGGCCCGGCTGCCAGGGCAGAACTCAGACTTAAAGCACAGAGAAGGCAAGCGGCTTGGCCTGGGTCACACAGCCAGCCCGGCCTGGACGATCCCGCGAAAGGCGTGAGGGCGGACGGTGTGCGGGACTCAGGGGCCCCCTGTCCTCTTAGGGAGTGGGACGATGGGGGAGGGTGGGTCCCCCCGCAGCCCCACTGGGTGGATAGAGCTGAGGCTGCAGCTTCACACGCCCTCCCGGCCACTGTGTGGATTCTTGGGGATCTCAGAGCTGTCTCCCCCCGACCCAGGCTCCAGCCCCCTTTTGGACATCGTTGGCGGCCGGAAGGCGAGGCCCCGCCAGTTCCCGTTCCTGGCCTCCATTCAGAATCAAGGCAGGCACTTCTGCGGGGGTGCCCTGATCCATGCCCGCTTCGTGATGACCGCGGCCAGCTGCTTCCAAAGCCAGTGAGGGGTCCTGGGGAGGGGGCCTAGGGGGCATTGGGGCTCAGAGAAGGGGCTTGGGGGGCTTAGGCATTCAGTGGGGGTGCTTGGTAGGTGAGGAGGGGAGGGGATTGCAAAAGGAGGGGCTCAGGGAAAGGAGGGGGCTTGGAGAGGGAAATGGGGACTGAGTTGAGGAGGGACCCAAGGATATTGGGGGGCTCAGATGGAGGAGGCCCAGAGAAGGGAAGGGGGTCAGATGGAGGAGGCCCAGAGAAAGGAAGAGGCTCAGATGGAGGAGGTGCAGTGAAGGAAAGGGGGTCAGATGGGGGAGGCCCAGAGAAGGGAAGGGGCTCAGATGGAGGAGGGGGCCCAGAGAAAGGAAGGGGCTCAGATGGAGGAGGTGCAGAGAAGGGAAGGGGGTCAGATGGGGGAGGCCCAGAGAAGGGAAGGGGCTCAGATGGAGGAGGTGCAGAGAAGGGAAGGGGCTCAGATGGAGGAGGTGCAGAGAAGAGAAGGGCCTCAGATGGAGGAGGTGCAGAGAAGGGAAGGGCCTCAGATGGAGGAGGTGCGGAGAAGGGAAGGGGGTCAGATGGAGGAGGTGCAGAGAAGGGAAGGGGGTCAGATGGGGGAGGCCCAGGGAAGGGAAGGGGCTCAGATGGAGGAGGGGCAGAGAAGGGAAGGGGGTCAGATGGGGGAGGCCCAGGGAAGGGAAGGGGCTCAGATGGGGGAGGCGCAGAGAAGGGAAGGGGGTCAGATGGAGGAGGTGCAGAGAAGGGAAGGGGGTCAGATGGGGGAGGCCCAGATAAGGGAATGGGGTCAGATGGGGGAGGTGCAGAGAAGGGAAGGGGGTCAGATGGGGGAGGCCCAGATAAGGGAAGGGGCTCAGATGGAGGAGGTGCAGAGAAGGGGAGGGGGTCAGATGGAGGAGGCTCAGAGAAGGGAAGGGACTCAGATGGAGGAGGGGGCGCAGAGAAGAGAAGGGGCTCAGATGGAGGAGGAGGCGCAGAGAAGGGAAGGGGCTCAAGATGGGAAGGGGGCCCTGGAAAGTCTCGGCTCTGCTTCTGTAAAAGCGGGGGAGTTTTCAGGGTGAAGGATTGCAGTCTGCAGGCTGGGATCCCCCCTAATTTGCAAGCCGGCTTGCTCTGTGCCCAGGCCCCAGCCTGGTGTCCTCCCTCTGCCCTTTCCTCCGCTACTCTCAGGAACCCCGGGGTTAGCACCGTGGTGCTGGGTGCCTATGACCTGAGGCGGCGGGAGAGGCAGTCCCGCCAGACGTTTTCCATCAGCAGCATGAGCGAGAATGGCTACGACCCCCAGCAGAACCTGAACGACCTGATGCTGCTTCAGGTGAGAGGATGGTGCCACCTGTGATCCCAGCACCTCGGGAGGCCGACGTTAGCCAGGGAAACAAGTCCAAACTTGGTCTCTACAAAAAAATACAAAAATTAGCCGGGAGTGGTGGCGCGCACCTGTGGCCCCTGTGCTTCAGGAGGCCGAGGCGGAAGGACGGCTTGAGGTCAGGAGTTCGAGACCAGCCTGGGCAACATGGCCAAACTCAGTCTCTACAAAAATATATATGTGTGTGTGTGTGTGTGTGTGTGTGTGTGTGTGTGTGTATCTTGCCGGGTGAGGTGGCTCATGCCTGTAATCCCAGCATTTTGGGAGGCCGAGGTGGGCGGATCACGAGGTCAGGAGATTGAGACCAGCCTGGCCAACATGGTGAAACCCCATCTCTACTAAAAATACAAAAATTAGCCAGGCATGGCAGCGGGCGCCTCTAGTCCCAGCTACTCAGGAGGCTGAGGCAGGAGAATCGCTTGAACCCGGGAGGCGGAGCTTGCAGTGAGCCGAGATCGCGCCCCTGCACTCCAGCCTGGGTAACAGAGCCAGACCCTATCTCAAAAAAAACTTCCAAAAACAATACAGCAACACATACAGATGTACCACGGTTCGCGTATGGAGCCTCCTGTTGGTGGAGACTGACGTCGTTTTCAAATGCTTTTGCTATGACAGAATCATGTGAATGTTTTTCATGTTTGGTTTTTTTCTTTGAGAAAATGATAAAATTATCTCAAAAATATCATTAAAAAATTTAAAAAAGTAGAGACGGGGGTTTCACCTTGTTGGCCAGTTTGGTCTCGAACTCCTGGCCTCAAGTGATCCACCCACCTTGGCCTCGCAACGTGCTGGGAATACAGGCGTGAGCCACCGCACCCGGCCCCTGCCGGGAATTAAACGCAAACCACTTACAGACTACAGTTAATGTCGCTGACACTTCTGCTCCCAGGGGTCCCCATGAGGCTCCAGTCCCCAGGGCCACCCTCCCCTGACTCCATTTCCTTCCCCAGCTGGACCGTGAGGCCAACCTCACCAGCAGCGTGACGATACTGCCACTGCCTCTGCAGAACGCCACGGTGGAAGCCGGCACCAGATGCCAGGTGGCCGGCTGGGGGAGCCAGCGCAGTGGGGGGCGTCTCTCCCGTTTTCCCAGGTTTGTCAACGTGACTGTGACCCCCGAGGACCAGTGTCGCCCCAACAACGTGTGCACCGGTGTGCTCACCCGCCGCGGTGGCATCTGCAATGTGAGTGCTCCCTGTGGCGGGAGGAGGGGTCCTGAGAGGTACTGAGCTCTCCGTGGCAGGAGAAAGCAAGTGCAGGCTGAGGGCGGCACAGCAGGGGGGCCCCAGGATTGAGCATTTTCACGGTAGGAGAAACAGTATCTTTTTTTTTTTTTTTGAGACAGAGTCTCGCTCTGTCGCCCAGGCTGGAGTGTAGTGGCGTGATCTCGGCGGCTCACTGCAACCTCCGCCTCCTGGGTTCAAGCGATTCTCCTGCCTCAGCCTCCTAAGTAGCTGGGATTACAGGCATGCGCCACCACGCCCGGCTAATTTTGTATTTTTAGTAGAGACAGGGTTTCTCCATGTGGGTCAGGCTGGTCTCGAACTCCTGACCTCATGATCGACCCACCTTGGCCTCCCAAAGTGTTAGGATAACAGGCATGAGCCACCGTGCCTGGCTGAGAAACAGTAGCTATCAAACGCCGGCTGTGAGCCACGTCTGTGCTGGGGGTTGGGGACCCAGCAGGCATGGTAGAGCCGGTCACTGAGGGACTCAGGCGTGTGATTGCCAGGGGAGGGGCACCTGGCCCAGCCTGGAGGTGCCAGGAAGCTCCAGAAAGCAACTGATCCCAAAGTCCACTAGCAGTTAACCAGGGCAGAGAAAGAGAAGAGCCATGCAAAGGCCCTGGGGCTGGATCAGGACTTGTAGGTTCCAGGGGCAGCAAGAGGCCTCTGCAGTTCTGGGGTGGCGTGGGAGCCAGGCCCTGGGACGCCCTGACACAGCTGCTGCCTGCCCAGGGGGACGGGGGCACCCCCCTCGTCTGCGAGGGCCTGGCCCACGGCGTGGCCTCCTTTTCCCTGGGGCCCTGTGGCCGAGGCCCTGACTTCTTCACCCGAGTGGCGCTCTTCCGAGACTGGATCGATGGTGTTCTCAACAACCCGGGACCGGGGCCAGCCTAGGGGGGCCTGTGACCTCCCATGGAGCCCAGCCCCGCCCTCCACACCTCCGGCGCTCCGCACCCACCTCCCACGGCCCCGCCCCTGCCCCCGCTCCGGCCAGAGGGGCCCTGGCTGTAATAAAGAAGCCGATCTCTCCTCTGCTCCTGGTTTCTGTTCATTGGTGGGGGAGGGGGCTGTGGGGACGCGTGAGTGGCACCTTCACCGGCCTTAGGGGCACCCACCGCAGGTGCACTGCCTGTGCAGATGTCAGATGTTCAGAGATTCCCTCAAAGCCCGGGAAGCAGGGGCTGGTGTTATCTGCACCCGACAGCGGGGTGTTGGGGGGAGGCCCAGGTTCAGAGAGGTTGGGTGGCTGCCCAGAGGTCACACAGTGAATGCCGCCCAGCACTTTGGGAGGCCGAGGTGGGCGGATCACCTGAGGTCAGGAGTTCAAGACCAGCCCGGCCAACCTGGTGAAACCCCATCTCTATAAAAATACAAAAATTAGCCGGGCATGATGGCGGGCGCCTGTAATCCCAGTTACTTGGGAGGCTGAGGCAGGAGAATCACCTGAACCCGGGAGGCGGAGGTTGCAGCGAACCGAGATGGCGCCACTGCACTCCAGCCTGGGCGACAGCGAGACTCCAGCTCAAAAAAAAACAAAAACCACGGGAGAAAACGGGGAACATTCTCCTCTTGGATCCAATAGAAACAGTAAAACGTGAATATGAAATAATAAATATAATTGTATATATAAATAATACAGAATAAAATATGAATATGATGGCTGGATGTGGCAGTCACATCTGTAATCTCAGCACTTTGGGAGGCCAAGGTGGGAGCATCGTTTGAGCCCAGGAGTTTGAGACCAGCCTGGGCAACGTAGTGAAACCATGTCTCTACAAAAATAATTTTTAAAATTATTAAAATTACACAGGAGAGGCCGGGCACAGTGGCTCATGCCTGTAATCCCAGCACTTTAGGAGGCCAAGGCGGGCGGATCACGAGGTCAGGAGATCGAGACCATCCTGGCTAACACGGTGAAACCCCGTTTCTACTAAAAATACAAAAAATTAGCCAGGCGTGGTGGCGGGCGCCTGTAGTCCCAGCTACTCGGGAGGCTGAGGCAGGAGAATTGCTTGAACCCGGGAGGTGGAGATTGCAGTGAGCCGAGATCACGCCACTGCACTCCAGCCTGGTGACAGAGCAAGACTCCGTCTCAAAAAAAAAAAAAAAAAGCCGGGTAAGTGGCACCTGTCGTCCCAGCTACTCTGGAGGCTGAGGTGGGAAGATTGCTTGAGTCCAGGAGGTGGAGGTTGCAGTGAGCCGTGATCGCACCACTGCACTCCAGCGTGGTCCACAGAGCAAGACCCAGTCTCTTAAAATGATAATAATAATAATAATAATAATAATAATAATAATAAGAAGAAGAAGAAGAAGAAGAAGAAGAAGAAGAAGAAGAAGGAAGAAGAAGAAGAAGAAGAACCTGTAGTCTCAGCTATTGAGGAGGCTAAAGTGGGAAGATCACTTTAGCCCAAGAGGTTGAGGATGCAGTGAGCTATTTTTATCTCATTTATTTATTTATTTGAGACAGAGTCTCCCTCTGTCACCCAGGCTGGAGTGCAGTGGCGCGATCTCGGCTCACTGCAACCTCTGCGCCCCCAGTTCAAGCAATTCTCCTGCCTCAGCCTCCTGAGTAGCTGGGACTACAGGTGTGAGCCACAATGCCTAGCCAATTTATATATATATATTTTTTAGTAGAGATGGGGTTTCATTATGTCGACCAGGCTGGTCTTGAACTCTTGAATTCAGGTGATCTACCCATCTCAGCCTCCCAAAGTGCTGGGATTACAGGCGTGAGCCACCGCGCCTGACCTTATTTCATTTATTTTTGAGACACGGTCTTTCTCTGATGCCCAGGCTGGAGTGCAGTGGCGTGATCAAGGCTCACTGTAGCCTCAGCCTCCCAGGCTTCAGCAACCGTGCCCGGCCTTAGAATTCACTCTTTTAAAGTGTGTACAGCCGGGCGTGGTGGCCCACACCTATAATCCCAGCACTTTGGGAGGCCGAGGCTGGCAAATCACCTGAGGTCAGGAGTTTGAGACCAGCCTGCCCAACATGGTGAAACCCTGTCTGTACTAAAAATACAAAAAATTAGCCTGGCATGGTGGCATGCACCTGTAATCTCAGCTAGTCGGGAGGCTGAGGCAGGAGAGTGGCATGAACCCGGGAGGCGGAGCTTGCAGTGAGCCAAGATTGAGCCACCGCACTGCAGGCTAGGGGATAGAGTGAGACTCTGTCTCAATAAAATAAAAAATAAAATAAAATAAAATGAAGTGTGCAATTCAATGGTCTTCGGTACACTCACAATGTTGTGTGGTCATGACCTCTGTTGAGTTCCAGAATATTTCATCACCGCCAAAGGAATCCCTGTCCCCATCAGCCGTCACTCCCTGTCCCCTCCCCAGTCCGCGGCACCCACGCGTCCTCTTCCTGTCTCTGTGGATGGGCTTGTCCTGGACATTTCATAGCAATGGGATCACACACTATGTGGTCTTTCGTGTCCGGCGTCTCTCACGGAGCGTGACGTCCTCACGGTGCCTCCGCGCCGTGGTCGGGTCACAGCTGGGTCCGTTTCACGGCTGCGTCCTGTTGCCACGCCTGGAGGCCTCACTGTGCTGCTCGAGGCCCCTGTGGATGGACGTCTGAGCCTCTCCACTTCCGGCCACTGTGACCCTCACTGCTGTGGACACTCATGTGCAGGTTTGTGTTGGAACTGCTGCTTTTCTTTCTTTTGTGGGTATAACGGGTCCTTTTTTTTTTTTTTTTTTGAGACGGAGTCTCGCTCTGTCGCCCAGGCTGGAGTCCAGTGGCGCGATCTCGGCTCACTGCAACCTCCACCTCCCGGGTTCACGCCATTCTCCTGCCTCAGCCTCCCGAGTAGCTGGGACTACAGGCACCCGCCACCGTGCCCGGCTAATTTTTTGTATTTTTAGTAGAGACGGGGTTTCACCGTGTTAGCCAGGATGGTCTCGATCTCCTGACCTCGTGATCCGCCCGCCTCAGCCTCCCAAAGTGCTGGGATGACAGGCGTGAGCCACCGCGCCCGGCCAACGGGTTCTCTTTACAGAGGGGGAAACTAAGCCTAGAGAGGGGTGCCAATGGCTCAGGAGCCCAGCCGGTGGGGGCCCTGCCTGGGTTTGGAGAGGCAAAGCCACTGCCTGATCATTGTTCAGATGGGGAAACTGAGGCCCAAGGCAGGATTGGGGTTCAAGGGCTTCTGGTGCCCCCGGCTCGGGGCCACGTTCGGTCATGAGGGTCCCCCTGCTGGGGCGGGATTCCTGCCAGAGGCGGTTTCTGCCCTCCTCCCCCCAGCCCCTGCTGCTCCCCCTTCCTGGGCCCAAGGGTGCTGTTCTCGGGTTCCCCTGGTAGCGGTCAGCCCGGCTGCAGGGCCCTCAGAGCGGGGCTGCGTGTGACTGTGGGCAGCCCGAGTCCTCTCCGCGCCTCGGATTTCAGGGACATAGAACGGGGTCCCATCCGTGGACCCACCCGCCACCCCGCAGCCCCGTCCAGGCCCCGACGCGTGCAGCCCCCACCCCGCAGCCCCGTCCAGGCCCCGACGCGTGCGTGCAGCCCCCACCCCGCAGCCCCGTCCAGGCCCCGACGCGTGCAGCCTCCTGGCAGAGCCAGCTGTGCTCAGGCTAAAAACAGCTGTTCTGTTTCTTCTCTGTGCCCCTCTACCCGGCCCCACTCACTGGTGTCTTGAGAAGGTTTTTAAATTTTCGGAATTCTCAGAACAGATTGTGAAATGTCTGGGTTTGGCTTAGAAATCCCGTGAGAGGGGGCATCAGGGGACAGGTGGGTGGATGGGCCTGGGGGGTGTGGAAGGCGGCCGGGTGTCAGGGCCCCAAGCACACGGGAAGGTCAACGGTCGGCACAAAACACACACAAAACACAACCACTGCGAGGCTGAGCCTCGCGGGCGAACCAGCATCTTCCCGTCACTCAGGGAGAGAAGGTTTTCCTTTATAAAGAGGAGAGGAAAGGAGGCCGGGCACAGTGGCTCACGCCTGTCATCCCAGCACTTTGGGAGGCCGAGGCGGGTGGATCACCTGAGGTCAGGAGTTCGAGACCAGCCTGGCCAACATGGTGAAACCTCGTCTCTACTAAAAATACAAAAATTAGCTGGGTGTGGTGGTGGGCGCCTGTAATCCCAGCTATTCAGGAGGCTGAGGCAGGAGAATCGCTTGTACCCAGGAGGCGGAGCTTGCAGTGAGCCGAGATCGCGCCACTGCACTCCAGCCTGGGCAACAGAGCAAGACTTCATCTCAAAAAAAAAAAGAAAGAAAGAAAGAAAAAGAAAGTAGTAGAGGAGAGAAAAAAGAGAGAACAAGAAAGATGGAGAGACAGAGACGGACAGAGACACAGAGACAGAGAGAGACGGAAAAAGAGGGACAGAGCCAGAGAGACTGAGAGAGATAGTTTTAAAAAAGGGAGACAGCGATGACACAGAGAGACACAGACACAGACACAGAGATGAAGAGACAGACAGATATAGGGAGACAGAGACAGACTGAGACAGAGAGACAGAGACAGAGGGAGACAGAGACAGAGACAGAGAAGGAGACAGAAAGAGGGCGGGGAGAGAGACAGAGACAGAGACACAGGCCTGAGCCCCGCATGGGTCTCCCCTCGGCCCCAGGCGGCGTCACCTGCGATCCCTGAAGCCGTTACCAGTTGCGCCACCTACGGTTGGTACAGGAAGGGGCCCCCACTACCTCTGCCCCCAGGCCGACCCCTGCAAAGCCCCCAGCGTGTTCCACGGAACCCTCCCTGCTACCCGCTCCCAGCGCTCCTGTCGCCCTGGCCTGTGCTTTTGAGTCCCCCCAGGACGCACAGGGAGCCTGGAGGACCCGGGGCCCGCGGGACGGTGCTGGGACCCTCCGGTCAGGACCGGGCTGCATCAGCCTTGCGTGGAAACAGATCCTGACGGGGAAGCCCACGTACAGTGAGGACGGGGCAGCCCCCTGGGCAGCTCTCGCGTGTGCTAGATCCAGCAGTGTGTGTGCAAGGTCTTTCTTTTCTTTCTTTTCTTTTTTTTTTGGTTGACAGCTTTATTGAGATGTCCTTCACACACACCAAGCAATTCACCCACTTAACAATTCGGTAGTGGCCAGATGGTGGGGGAGGATCGCTGGAGCCCAGGAGTTCCAGACGAGCCTGGGCAGCATAGCAAGACCCCTCTCTATTAAAAAAAAAAAAAGGCAGGGCGCGGTGGCTCACGCCTGTAATCCCAGCACTTTGGGAGGCTGAGGCCGGCGGATCACCTGAGGTCAGGAGTTCGAGACCAGCCTGGCCAACATGGTGAAATCCCGTCTCTACTACAAATACAAAAAACAAATTATTCAGGCGTGGTGGCAGGTGCCTGTAATCCCAGCTACTTAGGAGGCTGACGCAGGAGAATGGCTTGAACCCAGGAAGCCAAGGTCACACCACTGCACTCCAGCCTGGGTGACAAGAACAAAACTCCATGTAAAAACAAATCAAGAAACCTCAAATCCGTCGACCCCCACTGCTGCCCTGCAGAAGGTCCTATTACCGTCCTCACCCGCCTTTACAGGTGGGGAAACTGAGGACTGCAAGCCAAACAGCTTGCCTCAGCATGAGCTGACTCATGGCTGAAACCAACAGCACTTTTGTTGAATGAGAATAACCCTTTTATTTTGAGACGGTGTCTCGCTCTGTTGCCCAGGCTGGAGTGCAGTGACGCGATCTCAGCTCACTGCCCCCTCCACCTCCCGGGTTCAAGTAATTCTCCTCCCTCAGCCTCCCAAGTAGCTGGGATTACAGGCATCTGCCACCACACCCAGCTAATTTTTGTATTTTTAGTAGAGTCGGGGTTTCACCATGTTGCCCAGGCTGGTCTTGAACTCCTGACCTTGTGATCCATCTGCCTCAGCCTCCCAAAGTGCTGGGATTACAGGCAACAGCCACCGCGCCCGGCCACAGCTCTAGTTCTTTTTCTTTTTTTTTTTTTTGAGACGGAGTCTCGCTCTGTCGCCCAGGCTGGAGTGCAGTGGCACAATCTCTGCTCACTGCAAGCTCCGCCTCCCGGGTTCACGCCATTCTCCTGCCTCAGCCTCCCGAGTAGCTGGGACTACAGGCGCCCGCTACCACGCCCGGCTAATTTTTTGTATTTTTAGTAGAAACGGGGTTTCACCGTGTTAGCCAGGATGGTCTCGATCTCCTGACCTCGTGATCCGCCCGCCTCGGCCTCCCAAAGTGCTGGGATTACAGGCGTGAGCCACCGCGCCCGGCCCACAGCTCTAGTTCTTTAATACACATCAGGTCGGTCATGGTGGCTCATGCCTGTGATCCCAGCATTTGGGGAGGTCAAGGCAGGAGCGTCCCTGAAGGCTGGCAGTTCAAGACCAGCCAGGGCAACATAGCAAGACCCCATTTCTACAAAAAATTAAACAGCCAACCAAAAAAAAAAAAAAAAAGAAAGAAAAACTTTAGCTGGACATGGTGGAGCATGCCTGTGGTCCCAGCTACTTGGGGGGTTGAGGCAGGAGAATTGCTTGAGCCCAGGAGGTCGAGGCTGCAGTGAGCCATGATTACACCACTGCACTCCAGCCTGGGTGACACAGCCAGACCCTGTCTCAAAAAATATATATGTATATTTTAAAATATTATATATTATATAATGTAAATAATATACATGCTACATATTTTATGTATACATCTATGTTATATACATTAATATAGCCAGGTGCAGTGGCTCACACCTGTGTTCCCAGCACTTTGGCGGGATTACGGGCGGGTCACCTGAGGTCAGGAGTTCGAGACCAGCCTGGCCAATATAGTGAAACCCCGTCTTTACTAAAAATACAAAAAAAAAAAAAAATTAGCCAGGCGTGGTGGTGGGCGTCTATAATCCCAGCTATACAGGAGGCTGAGGCAGGAGAATTGTTTGAACCCGGGAGGCGGAGATTGCAGTGAGCTGAGATCGCACCACTGCTCTCCAGCCTGGTGACAGAGCGAGACTCTGTCTCAAAAAAAAAAAAAAATCCAAAGGGGAAAACAGTAACTGGACAGTGCAGGAACCGGCAGATGCCCTGACCACGTGGTCAAGGTTATTACCATCAGCACGAGACAGGCCGAAGCCATGGGCTTCGACGTGGGGGGCCTGAGACAGACACACGCCACGCCCGGGACTCCCTCCATTGAGTCCTGAGGCCACCCAGGACCATCCCCACGGAGGGACGCTCTGCAGAGTGACCACCAGCTCTCCTCAATGGTCCCAAGGGCTGAGGGAGGGCAGAGGGACTGCGCCCGCTGGAGGAGACCCTGACATCTGAAGATGGGTGGCTTGTGTACCCAGGACCCAGCAAAGGGTGGCTGGTGATACTCAGGGGGCTGGGGCAGAGGGGGCCATTTGGAATCAACTTTCGCGCCCTGGCTTCGATCACAGCCTGGAGGGTTGAGCAAGAGGACAGAATTTAGGGAAGCTGGGGGAGGGAGGCCGGGGGAGGGAGTTTGGGGAGCGGGGAGGGAGTTTGGACCCTTTGGACTTCTGTAAGCGTGAAATCCTTTCCAAATGAAACGTTAAAAAGCTTTTTTTCTTTTTGGCCTCCAAGTTCATTCAGTGCTTCTCTCCATTTCACTGTAGGTTTAAACCGTTCAGTTATAAATAAATAATTTTATCCTCTGTCCTCGGCTTTCCCCCGTTTCCGGCACTGCAGACATGGGGGCTGGATTTGTCTCTGCGGCGGGGCCATCCTGGGCACTGCAGGGCCCTGCCAGGAGCTCCCTCCAAGTCGTGACAACCACGGATGTCTCCAGGCCTCACACAGGGACCCCTGGGGGCAGAATCACCCCAGGGTTAGAGGATTCCACAGACCCCAAGAGACTCTGAGTCCCATGATCCTCTGCCCTGCTGAGGTCCCAGGAGGCTGCACACATTGAAATCCACACCCTGAGTGGGAGGGAGAGAGGAGGCGAGTCCCGGGAGCTGGGGTCCCCCGGGTTTATGCCGTACGCCCCATCGGGAGTTTATTCTGGTGTCCGGTGTGAGCAGGGGGCAGACTGGATTTTTTATTTTTTATTTTTATTTATTTATGTTTTGAGATGGAGTCTTGCTCTGTTGCCCAGGCTGGAGTGCAGTGGCACGATCTTGGCTCCCTGCAACCTTCGCCTCCCAGGCTCAAGTGATTCTCCTGCCTCAGCCTCCTGAGTAGCTGGGACTACAGGCGCCCGCCAACACGCGCAGCTAATTTTTGTATTTTTAGTAGAGATGGGGTTTCACTATGTTGGCCAGGCTGGTCTTGAACTCCTGACCTCAGGCGATCCACCCGCCTCGGCCTCCCAAAGTGCTGGGATTACAGGTGTGAGGCACCGCACCTGGCCATTTTTTTCCCCAAATAATGAACACTGGTCTCTCCCCTGGGCCCTGTGGACATCGGGGCTGGATCCTTCTCTGGGGCAGGCCCGTCCTGGGCACTGCAGGGTGCTAGGCATCATCCTTGGCCTCCACCCACTCCATGCCAGGAGCTCCCCTTTCGTGACAGCCACAGGTGTCCTCAGACCTCGCCCAGGGTCCCCTGGGGGCAGAATCACCTCTTGATTGAGAATCCTGGCCTTAAAGGGGGAAGAAAACCCCCAGACAAAACTGGCAGGAGGATGTTCGCTGGGGCCTCAGGTGAGGCACTGAGGGCACTCGTGGTGGGGCCCTGCCTTCCCGAGCTCTGCATCCTGTCCCCTGCTACGTCCTGCTGTCTGTCCGTTTCCAGCTCACCCACCCACGGGACACACCTGCCACGGCCGGCTTTGCTGGGGCCACAGGGACCTCGTCAGGGAGGCGTCTCCTTGTGGGTGGCACGTGGGCATGTGTTGCTCTGAGGGCTGTGGCCATGTTGCCCACCTGGCCAGGGACCCCCGACTTGGGTGGGTGACAGCCAGCCTCCCCGCCCCCACAAAGGTTGGGACCTTGAGCCCAAAGCCCCCACCTCCTCCCCGGAGTCCGTTCTGACTCCCAGGCTCCCAAGGCAAAAGGAGGAAGTGGGGACCCAGCCTGGGCATTGGGCAACTCAACGGCCTCTGGCATTGGGCTATAAGAGGAGCTTGACCGTGGGTGCACCCTGGACCCCACCATGGCTCACCGGCCCCCCAGCCCTGCCCTGGCGTCCGTGCTGCTGGCCTTGCTGCTGAGCGGTGAGTGAGCCACGTGCCCATCCATCCAGCCTCCAGGCCCCGGTGGATTGTGGGGAAATATCCACCACGAGGTCCATCCAAAGCCCTTCTGGCACAGCTGGGGAAACTGAGGCAGGGTCAGGGGAGACTCCACTCACTGCTCGGGACCAACGCTTGCAGGGGTGGGGAGGACAAGGGCAAGGGGGAGCCCTGGCCATTTGACTCAGTTGCCTATCTGTAAAACGGGCAAAACCCAGCCCTTCCCTCCTGAGGAGCTGTTTTGGGAATTAGCTAGTAACAGGCGAATTCCTGGACAGCACCCAGCCTTCAGCAAATGCTCAGTGAATATGCATGAATGAATGAATGAGTGAATGAATGAGTGAGTGAGTGAATGAGTGAACAAATGAATGAGTGAATGAATCAATGAGTGAGTGAATGAATGAGTGAATGAGTGAATGAGTGAACGAATGAATGAGTGAATGAATCAATGAGTGAGTGAATGAATGAGTGAATGAGTGAATGAATGAGTGAATGAGTGAATGAGTGAACGAATGAATGAGTGAATGAATGAATGAGTGAGTGAGTGAAAGGGTCGAGGAGTTAGTGATGCTGGAATCAGGGGAAGAAGAGAGCATGGGCCCCCTCAGGTCCCTATCCTGAGGGTGATTTTCTTTTTCTTTTTCTTTTTTTTTTTTTTGAGACGGAGTCTCGCCCTGTCGCCCAGGCTGGAGTGCAGTGGCGCGATCTCGGCTCACTGCAAGCTCAGCCTCCCGGGTTCACGCCTTTCTCCTGCCTCAGCCTCCCGAGTAGCTGGGACTACAGGCGCCCACCACCATGCCTGGATAATTTTTTGTAATTTTTGTAGAGACGGGGTTTCAAGGTGTTAGCCAGGATGGTCTCGATCTCCTGACTTCGTGATCCGCCTGCCTCAGCCTCCCAAAGTGCTGGGATTACAGGCGTGAGCCACCGCGCCTGGCCCTTTTTTTTTCTTTTTTGAAACGGAATCTTGCTCTGTCGCCCAGGCTGGAGTGCAGTGGTGCAATCTCAGTTTACTGCAGCCTCAGCCTCCTGGGGTCAAATGATTCTCCTGCCTCCGCCTCTTGAGTAGCTGGGATTACAAGCACACACCACCACACCTGGCTAGTTTTTGTATTTTTAGTAGAGATGGGGTTTCACCACGTTGGTCAGGCTGGTCTCGAACTCCTGACCTGAGGGGGATTTTCAATGCCTCAGTTTGTTCATCTGCAAAATGGGTCTCTTTGTTGGCTGATTTTTTTTTTTTTTTTTGCTTCTTTTTTTTTATTTTGTTTTGTTTTGTTTTTTTGAGATGGGGTCTCACTCAGGCATGAGCCACTGCGCCCAGGATTTTTTTTTTTTTTTTTTTTTTTTGAGACAGAATCTCACTCTGTTGCCCAGGCTGGAGTGCAGTGGTGTGATCTCGGCTCACTGCAACCTGTGCCTCCTGGGTTCAAGCGATTCTCCTGCCTCAGCCTCCCAGGCAGCTGAGATTACAGGTGCGAACCACCACACCTGGCTAATTTTTTTTTTTTTTTTTTTTGAGACGGAGTGTCATTCTGTTGCCAGGCTGGAGTGCAGTGGGGCGATCTTGGCTCACCACAACCTCCGCTTCCTGGGTTCAAGCGATTCTCCTGCGTCAACCTCCGGAGTAGCTGGGACTACAGGCACGTGCCACCACGCCCAGCTAATGTTTGTATTTTTAGTAGAGACAGGGTTTCACCATGTTGGCCAGGATGGTCTCCATCTCTTGACCTCAGGTGATCCACCCACCTCGGCCTCCCAAAGTATTGGGATTACAGGCGTGGGCCAACCGCACCCGACCAATTTTTCTGCTTCTTTAAAAACATTTTTTTAAATTTTGTTTTAGAGACAGGGTCTTGCTCTGTTGCCCAGGCTGGAGTGCAGTGGTGTGATCTCAGTTCACTGCAGCCTTGACCTCCTGGGCTCAAGCGATCCTCCCTCCTCAGCCTCCCAAGTAGCTGGGACGACAGGTGCACACCACCATGCCTGGCTAATTTTAAAATTTTTTGTAGAGATGGGGTCCTCACAATTTTGCCCAGGCTGGTCTTGAACTCCTGAGCTCAAGGGAGCCTCCTGCCTCGGCCTCCCAAAGTGTTGGGATTACAGGCGTGAGCCACTGCACCCAGCCACCTGGTCTGCGTCTTAAAAGCCTTCCTGACTCTCAGGACTGAAAGCTGCCACCAGGGCGCCTTTGGAAATCGTCGTAATTATAACCCCCCCGGCCTGGGCGCTGAGTCCTTCCCACCAGCCAGCAGGCACTGACCGGGTTGCAGATCGGGAGACGGAGGCTCGGAGAGGCCCAGGGGCTGCTCTGCCATCCCCCCTTTCCCTGCAGCCTGGGGGCTCCCTGACGCCTGGACTCCCCCCCTGCAGGTGCTGCCCGAGCTGCGGAGATCGTGGGCGGGCACGAGGCGCAGCCACACTCCCGGCCCTACATGGCCTCCCTGCAGATGCGGGGGAACCCGGGCAGCCACTTCTGCGGAGGCACCTTGATCCACCCCAGCTTCGTGCTGACGGCCGCGCACTGCCTGCGGGACATGTGAGCGGCCGCCTCCACACCCCTGTCCGCCCGCCCCGCCCTCTTCCTCCAGCCCTGGCCCGGCCACTGTCCCTCTGCCCGGGGAGGACCCAGCTAAGCCCCGTCTGCAGACCCCAGGCCCCGCGCGCGTGGGCAGTTCTGGGGGGAGGCCCGGGGCAGGGTCGCCGAGGGAGGGGTCTGGGGCTGCACCGCGGCCTCGGGAAGGGCCGGCTGTGGGCGGCGGCGAGTGTCCAGGGCGCCGAGGAGTGACCACCCCACCCCCGCAGACCCCAGCGCCTGGTGAACGTGGTGCTCGGAGCCCACAACGTGCGGACGCAGGAGCCCACCCAGCAGCACTTCTCGGTGGCTCAGGTGTTTCTGAACAACTACGACGCGGAGAACAAACTGAACGACGTTCTCCTCATCCAGGTGGGCGGGCAGGGCCGCGAGGGCTCGGAGGGGCACGGCCAGAGGGCTCCGGGACCCCCATTCCTGCAGCCAGCATTCATTGAGCACCCACTGTATACCGGGCCACGACCGAGGCCGCTGCAGCCTGGGTCCAGTGGCACTGGCCGGGGGAGACCGCTCCTTGGACACCAGGCCACTCCTCCTCCCCGCCTCTCCCCCGCCCGCGCCTCTCCCCCGCCCGCGCCTCTCCCCTGCGCGCCTCTCCCCCGCCCGCGCCTCTCCCCCGCCCGCGCCTCTCCCCCGCCCGCGCCTCTCCCTTGCCCGCCCCTCTCCCCTGCCCGCGCCTCTCCCCTGCATGCCTCTCCCTTGCCCGCCCCTCTCCCCTGCCCGCGCCTCTCCCCTGCGCGCCTCTCCCCTGCCCGCGCCTCTCCCCCGGCCGCTCCTCTCCCCCGCCCGCGCCTCTCCCCCGCCCGCGCCTCTCCCCTGCGCGCCTCTCCCCTGCCTGCCCCTCTCCCCTGCCTGCGCCTCCGCCCGGTGTGCTGTTCCCCCAGAAAGCCAGGTGCCCTCGCCTCCTCCGGCGCCTCCCCTGACCTCACTGGAAGTGGCGAGGACAGCCACAGCCCTCCCCGATTCACTGTTCTCCACTGAACCGCGTGCTCCTCTCATTCATGGGGCCCTCCTAGCCTCCTCCCACCCAGAAAGATCAGCTCCCCAGGGCAGAGGATTTTTGTCTGTGTTGTTCGTTATTGGACTCATGTGGCTTAGAACGGGACTGGGCATACAGGTGGTGCTCAGTAAGTGCTTGGGGCTGGGCACTGTGGCTCACGCCTGTACTCCCAGTACTTTGGGAGGCTGGGATGGGAGGATCACTTGAGGCCAGGAGTTTGGGAGCAGCCTGACCAACCTAGTGAGACCCCATCTCTATAAAAGACATTTTTTTTTTTTTTTTTTTTAGACAGAGTCTCACTCAGTCATCCAGGCTGGAGTGCAGTGGTGCAATCTCGGCTCACTGCCACCTCTGCCTTCCAGGTTCAAGTAATTCTCCTGCCTCAGCCTCCTGAGTAGCTGGGATTACAGGCATGCACCAACACGCTTGGCTAATTTTTGTATTTTTAGTAGAGACGGTGTTTTGCCACGTTGGCCAGGCTGGTCTCGAACTCCTGACCTCAAGTGATCTGCTCTCCTCAGCCTCCCAAAGTGCTGGGATTATAGGAGAGAGCCACCGCGTCCAGCCTACAAAAGAAAAATTTAAAAATCAACCGGGCATGGTAGCACACGCCAAGCCACTCATGAGCTGAGATGGGAGGATCACTTGAGCCCAGGAGGTTGAGGCTGCAGTGAGCTGTGATCATGCCACCACACTCCAGCCTCGGCGACAGAGCAAGACCCCATCTCAAAAAAAAAGTGCTTTGAAGATGAATGAATGGGCCAGGGGCGGTGGCTGTAATCCCAGCACTTTGGGAGGCCGAGGCGGGCGGATCGCCTGAGGTCAGGAGTTTGAGACCAGCCTGATCGATATGGCAAACCCCGTGTCTACTAAAAATACAAAAATTAGCTGGGCGTGACGGCAGGTGTCTGTAGTCCCAGCTACTTGGGAGGCTGAGGCAGCAGAATTGCTTGAACCCAGGAGGCAGAGGTTGCAGTGAGCCGAGATTGTGCCACTGCACTCTAGCCTGGGCAACAAGAGCGAAACTCCATCTCAAAAAAAAAAAAAAGAAAAGAAAGAAAGAAAGAAAACATGAATGAATGGCCGGGCACTATGGCTCACACTTGTAATCCCAGCACTTTCGGAGGCTGAGGAAGGCAGATCACTTGAGGTTGGGAGTTTGAGACCAGGCTGGCCACCTCACCCAATGGGATGGCTCCGGGAGGTTCCAGTGAGCCGAGATCACGCCACTGCATTCCAGCCTGGGTGGCAGAGCAAGACTCCATCTCAAAAGAAAGAAAGAAGGAAAGAAAATGAATGAATACAATAGTGACAAATGGGACAAAGGGGGTCGTGGGGCCCAGGCGGAGGGAGCGGCATCCGCGGCGTTTTGAGGTGGTGGGTGTGGTGGGTGTGGTGGGAGGGCGGCCCGGGCGGCCACCGTGACCTGGAAGCAGCGTCTCACCGCCGCCTGCCTTCTGCCCCAGCTGAGCAGCCCAGCCAACCTCAGTGCCTCCGTCGCCACAGTCCAGCTGCCACAGCAGGACCAGCCAGTGCCCCACGGCACCCAGTGCCTGGCCATGGGCTGGGGCCGCGTGGGTGCCCACGACCCCCCAGCCCAGGTCCTGCAGGAGCTCAATGTCACCGTGGTCACCTTCTTCTGCCGGCCACATAACATTTGCACTTTCGTCCCTCGCCGCAAGGCCGGCATCTGCTTCGTAAGTAACCGTGCCCCCACCCCGGGCACCGGGCTGCCATGAGGGGAGGAGGGCGGCGGCCAGGGTTCCACGCCACCTCTTAGCTGTGTGGCTTCATGCTGTGCCTCAGTCTCCCCACCTGGAAGGTGGGCACACCCAACACCCAACGGGCAGGCTCAGCGGGGTGGGGGCGCTCACATTGCACCTGGCTGCTTGGGTGGGTCTGGGGGTTCCCTGCCCCCCACTCCCCTCTAGGACCACAGGAAGGTGTGGGAGACCCATCCGCCCTCACCGGCGGCCCCTTCCAGAATCCAGGACTCCAGGTATCCAGCGGGAGGCCCATAAATGCCCAGTTCCTACGAAAGACCTCAGCCCCTCCCTGCTCACACTTTTTGTTTGTTTTTGAGACGGAGTGTCGCTCTGTTGTCCAGGCTGGAGTGCAGTGGTGAGATCTCAGCTCACTGCAACCTCCACCTCCCAGGTTCAAGGTATTCTCCTGCCTCAGCCTCCTGAGTAACTAGGTGCACAGGTACCTGCCACCGTGCCTGGCTAATTTTTTTGGTATTTTTAGTAGAGATGAGGTTTCTCCATGTTGACCAGGCTGGTCTTGAACTCCTGGCATCAAGTGATGCCTGGCTGGTGCTCACACATTTTAAAGAAAATTCCAGGCCAGCAGTGGTGGCTCACGCCTGTAATCTCAGCACTTTGGGAGGCCAAAGCGGAAGGATCTTTTGAGTCCAGGAGTTCAAGACCAGCCTGGGCAACATAGCAGGGTGGCATCTCTACAAATAATTTAAATATTAGCTGGGCATGGTGATGTGAGCCTGTAGGCCCAGCTACTCAGGAGGCTAAGGCAGGAGGATCACTTGAGCCTGGGGAGTTCGAGGTTGCAGTGAGCTATGATTGTGCCACTGCACTCCAGCCTGGAGAACAGAGCGAGACCCTGTCTCGAGAGAAAGACAGCCAGCTACTCGGGAGGCCGAGGCAGGAGAATCACTTGAACCCGGGAGGCAGAGGTTGCAGTGAGCCGAGATCACGGCACTGCACTCCAGCCTGGGTGACAGAGCGAGACTCTGTCGCAAACAAAACAAAAACAAAACAAAACAAAACAAAAGGAGAAAGAAAGAAAGAGATAGAGAGAGAAAGAAAGAAGAAAGAAAGAAAAAGAGAGAAAGAAAGAAAGAAAGAAAGAAAAAGAAAGAGAGAGAGAGAGAGAGAGAGAGAGAAAGAAAGAAAGAAAGTTCCATATTGGAAGCATTTTATTCTGAAACAGCTGTGGCTACCCCAGCCCCCTTCCTGGCTGCCTGGGGCCAGCCCGGGTGACTGGCTGTCCCCATCCTCCCGGGAGACTCAGGTGGCCCCTGATGGGTGACTGGCCGTCCCCATCCTCCAGGGAGACTCAGGTGGCCCCTGATGGGTGACTGGCCGTCCCTGTCCTCCAGGGAGACTCAGGTGGCCCCCTGATCTGTGATGGCATCATCCAAGGAATAGACTCCTTCGTGATCTGGGGATGTGCCACCCGCCTTTTCCCTGACTTCTTCACGCGGGTAGCCCTCTACGTGGACTGGATCCGTTCCACGCTGCGCCGTGTGGAGGCCAAGGGCCGCCCCTGAACCGCCCCTCCCACAGCGCTGGCCGGGACCCCGAGCCTGGCTCCAAACCCTCGAGGCGGATCTTTGGACAGAAGCAGCTCTTCCCCGAACACTGTGGCGTCCGGGACGGCCCCACCCGTCCCCCCACACTCCCTCCCACGGGGCTCCGGGAGACAGGCCGGCCCTGCACCTCACCCCACCGTGACCTCAATAAACGTTGAAACTCCCCCTGGCTCCTGTCTGTCCTTCCCATATAGGGAGGGGAGGGGGAACTGCCCACCGTGACCTCAATAAACGTTGAAACTCCCCCTGGCTCCTGTCTGTCCTTCCCATATAGGGAGGGAACCAGGGAGAGGTCCCCTGGGTTCAAGTCCCCGAGCCCCAAACTCAGGATGGGGGGAGTCGGAGCGGGGGATGGGGGCCCAGGTTGCAGGGGGTCTCTCTCCTGGATGCTCGTGGCTGTGGGTTCTAACCCGGCCCCATCAGGGTGGCCCTGGGCAGGTTGTTATTCATCTCCGTGCCTCAGTTTCCTCATCTGGAAAATGGACTCGCCCCAGACGTTTCCTAGAACTGTCCCTGCTGGCTCAGGGACTCCTTGAGGAAGGGGATGGGGATGGGGAAGCAGCCTGGGGGGCTTCCTGGAGGAGGTGGCAGTGCCAGAGCTGCATATCAAGGTGTGAACAGAAACATCCGAAGGGCTGCCAGGCAGGGGGCACAGTCCAGGCAGAGACCTGAGGGCTAGAGGCCAGGGGACGGGGAGGAGGGCAGGCAGGGGAGGGATGTGGGTGCAGGGGAGGGGTAATGGGGTTGGAGCGCTATTTCTCGTAGGAGGGGTAGGCAGGGCAGGAGTTCCCTGGTAGAAGCATGAGCAATGAACTGGGTGGGGGGGTGGCCAGAGGGGAGGTCCGAGGCGGGGAAGAGGTGGGACTCACAGTCCAGCTCAAAGACGGGCAAGTGGCCACTAGAAGGAGGCATTAGCCACAGAGAGGGGACGACCTGCTCCAGGACACGTGTAGAGAAGAAATGAAGCTCATTGCTGGTGTTTTTTTTTTCTTTTTAATATTTTTTTGAGACAGAGTCTCGCTCTGTCACCCAGGCTGGAGTGCAGTGGTGTGATCTCGGCTCACTGCAAGCTCCGCCACCCGGGTTGAAGCGATTCTCCTGCCTCAGCCTCCGGAGTAGCTGGGACTACAGGCACAGACCACCACGCCCAGTTAATTTTTATATTTTTAGTACAGACAGGGTTTCACCACGTTGTCCAGGCTGGTCTCGAACTCCTGACCTCAGGTGGTCCACCCGCCTCAGCTTCCCAAAGTGCTGGGTTTACAGGCGTGAGCCTACTTACTTATTTACAGCTGGCCTACTTATTTATTTTTGAGACAGGGTCTCACTCTGTCGCCCAGTCTGTAGTGCAGTGGTGCAATCTTGGCTTACCGCAGCCTCAACCTCCTGGGCTCAAGTGATCCTCCCACCTCAGCCTCCCGAGTAGCTGGGACTACAGGTGCCACCACACCCAGCTATTTTCTTAGTTTTTGTAGAGACGGGGTCTGGCTGTGTTGCCCAGGTGGGTCCTCAGTGACTCTTTACATATGAACACCTCCAGGTCACTGTAATCTTAGCAATCTCCTGGCCTCCCAGAAGACCCCACGTCCCCCTCGGAGTCTACACCCGCTGTGACCATAACACCCCTACCTTCCCTGCCACAGTTAATGGTGAACCAGCTCTCAAAGCAACACTTTCTTTTTTTTTTTTTTTTTTTTTTTTTTTTTGAGACGGAGTCTCGCTCTGTCGCCCAGGCTGGAGTGCAGTGGCATGATCTCGGCTCACTGCAACCTCCGCCTCCTAGGTTCAAGCAATTCTCCTGCCTCAGTCTCCCGAGTAGCCGGGATTACAGGCAGGTACCACCACGCCAGGCTAATTTTGTATTTTTGGTAGAGACGGGGTTTGTCCATGTTGGTCAGGCTGGAATTCCCAACCTCAGGTGATACACCCGCCTCAGCCTCCCAAAGTGTTGGGATTACAGGCCTGAGCCACCGCGCCCGGCCAGACAACACTTTCTTAGCTAAGAACTTTATGAACGTGAATTTATTTCATCCTCTTGACAGGTTTATGTGATGGATCCTACGATTATAATTTTACAGAGGAGGAAACTGAGTCACGGAGAGTTTATTTCAGGGGCCTGAAGTTACACAGTGGCCAAATGGCCACACCAGAACCAGGATATGAACCCAGCGTCGGCACACTTAATAATGACTGCACGTGAGAATGTAGTATACAGCTGGTGCTCAATAAATGCAGCTGACGCCAAGTCTGATCTCCGTGCTGGAGGCCAAGCCCCTTCCAAAGATACGGCGTCCCCCACCCCTGAAATCCCCCCACCCCCGACTTGAAACAGGGCTGTGTAGACAGTAGGCGCTTACTAAGTGCACTGTGGTGATGTTAAGGCAGCAAGGTGGGAACCCTGCCAAAAGGGGAGGGGAGAAGGCAGGGTAGTGTGTGTCTGATTAAGCTGAGGACAGGGCAGACATGGACTGAGCGCCTGCTGTGTGCCAGGCTCTGGGAGGGCAGGGCCATTGTCTCCCTAACCCGAGAGCCATGGGGGTCCACTTGCCTGTGGTCACGTCAGGACTCCAGCCTGGCCCAGGCTCTGCGTGTCCCCGGGTGCCCTCGCCCCGCCTATTCCTGGAGACAGGCCCGTTGGTTCCCTTCCCCTCCCCTTGTCCTGGAGCCAGGAGGACGTTGGTTCTTGCGACAGCCTTGGCCCGGCCGTTGCAGCTGGAACATCGTGGGGGAGATGGGAAGAGGAACGGGGCCCGGAGCCCGGGGCTGGGTCCTGGGAATCCCTTTCCCGCAGCTGGGACTCCAGCTCCCCTGCCAGTTCCTCCAGGCGGAAGCCCTCAGGCTTGGTCCTCACTCCAGCCTCCCGGCCTGGACAGGAATTCTCTCTCCAGCAGCCCTGCCAGATGCCCGCCCAGCCCCTGCCTCAGGCGGGGAGGGCTTCAGGGAAGCTCACCAAGGCAGAAGGGCGGGAGAGATTGTCAGAGCCCCAGCTGGTGTCCAGGGACTGACCGTGAGCCTGGGTGAAAGTGAGTTCCCCGTTGGAGGCAACAGACGAGGAGAGGATGGAAGGCCTGGCCCCCAAGAATGAGCCCTGAGGTTCAGGGAGCGGCTGGAGTGAGCCGGCCCCAGATCTCCGTCCAGCTGCGGGTCCCAGAGGCCTGGGTTACACTCGCAGCTCCTGGGGGAGGCCCTTGACGTGCCTCAGTTCCCAAACAGGAACCCTGGGAAGGACCAGAGAAGTGCCTATTGCGCAGTGAGTGCCCGACACAGCTGCATGTGGCCGGTATCACAGGGCCCTGGGTAAACTGAGGCAGGCGACACAGCTGCATGTGGCCGGTATCACAGGGCCCTGGGTAAACTGAGGCAGGCGACACAGCTGCATGTGGCCGGTATCACAGGGCCCTGGGTAAACTGAGGCAGGCGACACAGCTGCATGTGGCCGTATCACAGGGCCCTGGGTAAACTGAGGCAGGTGACACAGCTGCATGTGGCCGGTATCACGGGGCCCTGGATAAACAGAGGCAGGCGACACAGCTGCATGTGGCCGGTATCACGGGGCCCTGGGTAAACTGAGGCAGGCGAGGCCACCCCCATCAAGTCCCTCAGGTCTAGGTTTGGCAGGTTTGGCAAAAACACAGCAACGCTCGGTTAAATCTGAATTTCGGGTAAGTATATCCTGGGCCTCATTTGGAAGAGACTTAGATTAAAAAAAAAACGTCGAGACCAGCCCGGCCAACACGGTGAAACCCCGTCTCTACTAAAAATACAAAAAATTAGCCAGGCGCAGTGGCTCACGCCTGTGATCCCAGCACTCTGGGAGGCTGAGGCAGGCGGATCACCCGAGGTCAGATGTTCAAGACCAGCCTGGCCGACAGGGCGAAACACTGTCTCTACTACAAATACAAAAATTAGCCGGGAGTGGTGGCAGGTGCCTGTAATCTCAGCTATTCAGGAGGCTGAGGCAGGAGAATCACTTGAACCTGGGAGGCGGAGGTTGCCGTGAGCCGGGATCACGCCACCGCACTCCAGCCTGGGCGATAGAGCAAGACTCTGTCTCCAAAAAAATAAATTAAAAAACCCACATTGATTATCTGACATTTGAATGCGATTGTGCATCCTGAATTTTGTCTGGAGGCCCCACCCGAGCCAATCCAGCGTCTTGTCCCCCTTCTCCCCCTTTTCATCAACGCCCTGTGCCAGGGGAGAGGAAGTGGAGGGCGCTGGCCGGCCGTGGGGCAATGCAACGGCCTCCCAGCACAGGGCTATAAGAGGAGCCGGGCGGGCACGGAGGGGCAGAGACCCCGGAGCCCCAGCCCCACCATGACCCTCGGCCGCCGACTCGCGTGTCTTTTCCTCGCCTGTGTCCTGCCGGCCTTGCTGCTGGGGGGTGAGTTTTTGAGTCCAACCTCCCGCTGCTCCCTCTGTCCCGGGTTCTGTTCCCACCTCTCCATAGAGGGCCCCACCAGTGTGGGTCCCTCATCCTCACAGGGGAGGTGCCAGCTGGGACAAGGAGACCAGAAGAGACTGAGGTTCTGAGCGGTGAAGCCACCACCAGGAGCCCAGAGTTGGGGTTTGAAAACCGGGGAGGGGGGGGGGGTCGCAGGTCGCCCTCTGGGTTCAAGTCCAGGTCTGTCTGTGCCTTGGAGGGGCACCGTGGGGAGGTCCCTTTGCCTCTCCGTGCCTCAGTTTCCTCATCTGAACAACAGGGGTGCGAACGGCCCCGATCCCGTGGGTTCCCGGTGGGGGATCCCGTGGGTTCCCGGTGGGGGATCCCGTGGGTTCCTGGTGGGGGATCCAGAGGCCCCGTGGCCGGGAGGGGACAGGCTCCTTGGCAGGCACTCAGCACCCGCACCCGGTGTGTCCCCAGGCACCGCGCTGGCCTCGGAGATTGTGGGGGGCCGGCGAGCGCGGCCCCACGCGTGGCCCTTCATGGTGTCCCTGCAGCTGCGCGGAGGCCACTTCTGCGGCGCCACCCTGATTGCGCCCAACTTCGTCATGTCGGCCGCGCACTGCGTGGCGAATGTGTGAGTAGCCGGGAGTGTGCGCGCCCGGCTCGGACCCCGCGTCCCGGTCTGTGAGGTGGGTGGGGGGAGGCCGGGGCCGGGGCTGCTGGCGGGGGGGGGTCCGTCCAGGGCCCGCGGGGCCCCTCGAGCACCTTCGCCCTCAGGCCCGTCGCCGGATGGGGACGACAAGGCGCGGCTGAGCCCCGACCCCCGGGGCCGCCCCTGAGCCCCGCCTCTCCCTCCCCGGCAGAAACGTCCGCGCGGTGCGGGTGGTCCTGGGAGCCCATAACCTCTCGCGGCGGGAGCCCACCCGGCAGGTGTTCGCCGTGCAGCGCATCTTCGAAAACGGCTACGACCCCGTAAACTTGCTCAACGACATCGTGATTCTCCAGGTGCCGCCGGGCGGGGCGGGGGGCGCAGGGGCGGAGGCCAGAGGCCTGGGGAGGGTGGAGGCTGCGACGGAGGGGCGCGTCGGGGCCGCTCGTGGGGACCTGGGGTGGCATCGTGGGCTGGGTGGTCCCCTCTCCGCGCCTCGGTCTGCACCTCTGTGAAACGGGAAAATACCCGCCATGGGCCGTTGAGGGGTTAAATGAGATCCTGCAGGGAGGCCCCGATCTGCTGTCAATCAACAAACTTACTGAGAAGGGAGGCCCCGATCTGTTGTCAATCAACAAACTTACTGAGAAGGGAGGCCCCGATCTGTTGTCAATCAACAAACTTACTGAGAAGGGAGGCCCCGATCTGCTGTCAATCAACAAACTTACTGAGAAGGGAGGCCCCGATCTGTTGTCAATCAACAAACTTACTGAGAAGGGAGGCCCCGATCTGCTGTCAATCAACAAACTTACTGAGAAGGGAGGCCCCGATCTGTTGTCAATCAACAAACTTACTGAGAAGGGAGGCCCCGATCTGCTGTCAATCAACAAACTTACTGAGAAGGGAGGCCCCGATCTGTTGTCAATCAACAAACTTACTGAGAAGGGAGGCCCCGATCTGCTGTCAATCAACAAACTTACTGAGATTCTTTGTGTCTCTCCATTCACCAGTCCTGTGGCCCAGGGCAGGGGCCGCCTCTGTCTTTGGGAAAAGGGGCAAAAGTCCCCACCTTTCCACCCCTGTCCGCGGCTTGCAGTTCTGGTTATTTCCTGGGCGCCGGGCCCCGTGGCTCAGGCCTGTCATCCCAGCACTTTGGGAGGCTGAGGCGGGTGGATCACGAGGTCAGGTGTTCGAGACCAGCCTGAGCAACATAGTGAAACCCCGTCTCTACTAAAATACAAAAAAAAAAAATTAGCCGAGTGTGGTTGTGGGTGCCTGTAATGCCAACTACTCAGGAGGCTGAGGAAGGAGAATCGCTTGAACCCCGGAGGCGGAGATTGCAGTGAGCTGAGATCACACCACTGCACTCCAGCCTGGGTCTCAAAAAAAAAAAAAAAGATTCCTCCCTGGGAAGGGTTAGAGGGAGAGTTTCCTTGTCACTAAGTTTTCTCATAGCTCTCACCCAGTGCAGTGGCGCGATCGCAGCTCACTACAGCCTCCATCTCCTGGGCTCAAGCCACCCTCTCAGCTTGGAATGGGGGGTAGCTGGAACCACAGGTGCCACCACGTGGGTCCACCACGTCTGGCTAATATATATATATACACACACACATACATATATTATAAATAATAAATATATATTTTATTTAAATAAAATATATAATATTTATAATTATTTTATAATTATAATAATATTTATATAATTATAAATATCATTTATAATTATAATATTTATTATTTTATAAAATAATAAATATAAAATATATAAAAATATTTTTATAAAATAATAAAAATATATATATACACACATATATATATATTTTTTGAGACAAGTCTCGCTCTGTCGCCCAGGCTGGAGCGCAGTGGCACAATCTCAGCTCACTGCAACCTCCGCCTCCCAGGTTCAAGCGATTCTCCTGCCTCAGCCTCCCAGGTAGCTGGGACTACAGGCGCCCGCCACCACGCCTGGCTAATTTTTGGTATTGTTAGTAGAGACGGGGTTTAACCATGTTAGCCAGGATGGTCTTGATCTCCTGACCTTTTGATTGGCCCACCTCAGCCTCCCAAAATGCTGGGATTATAGGCGTGAGCCACCGCACCTGGCAATTTTTTTTTATTATTTTTGTAGACATGGGGCTTTGCCACATTGCCCAGGCTGGTCTTGAATGCCTGGCCTCAAGTGATCCTCCTGCCTCGCCCTCCCAAAGTGCTGGGCTTACAAGCATGAGCCACCGCGCCCGGCTGTAGTTTTTTTGTTAACTGAGCACCTACTGCTTCCTGCACTCAAGCCACATCCAGGGACAACCTCCAACGCCCTGAGCCTTGGTGACGGCTCCCACTCTACAGATGGGGAAACCGAGGCTTGCCTTGGGGAGCAGAGTGTGGGGTGGGTATCCTGCCCTGCAGGATCCCAGAACCACAGTGGAACCTGAGATGGGGAAACTGAGGCCCGGAGAGGGGAGGGTCATCATCACTGCCCCGTGTGACGCGCTGACGATCTGTCCCCACCGCCACAGCTCAACGGGTCGGCCACCATCAACGCCAACGTGCAGGTGGCCCAGCTGCCGGCTCAGGGACGCCGCCTGGGCAACGGGGTGCAGTGCCTGGCCATGGGCTGGGGCCTTCTGGGCAGGAACCGTGGGATCGCCAGCGTCCTGCAGGAGCTCAACGTGACGGTGGTGACGTCCCTCTGCCGTCGCAGCAACGTCTGCACTCTCGTGAGGGGCCGGCAGGCCGGCGTCTGTTTCGTACGTGCCCTGGGTGTCCCTCTGCTCCCCACCCGCTCCCAGCCCGGACTGCAGCAACAGGCACCGTGGCTAGACCCTAGGAGGGACTTCCCAACCCTGACAGGCGGCGGGCAGGTGGGCAGGGCCTCGCAGTCCAGCTTCCCCACCTTGTCTGCCTCCACAGGGGGACTCCGGCAGCCCCTTGGTCTGCAACGGGCTAATCCACGGAATTGCCTCCTTCGTCCGGGGAGGCTGCGCCTCAGGGCTCTACCCCGATGCCTTTGCCCCGGTGGCACAGTTTGTAAACTGGATCGACTCTATCATCCAACGCTCCGAGGACAACCCCTGTCCCCACCCCCGGGACCCGGACCCGGCCAGCAGGACCCACTGAGAAGGGCTGCCCGGGTCACCTCAGCTGCCCACACCCACACTCTCCAGCATCTGGCACAATAAACATTCTCTGTTTTGTAGAATGTGTTTGATGCTCCTTGGCTGTGTGATTGGGTGTTGAAAATGGTCAGTAGGTCGGGCGTGGTGGCTCACACCTGTAATCCCAGCACTTTGGGAGGTTGAGGCAGGCGGATCACTTGAGCTCAGGAGTTCAAGACCAGCCTGGGCAACATGGCAAAACCCCCGCTCCATTAAAAAAAAATAAATAAATAAAATAAAATAAAATAAAATGGTCCAAGCCTGGCCCAGTGGCTTACGCCTGCAATCCCAGCACTTTGGGAGGCCGAGGCTGGCAGATCACCTGAGGTCGGGAGTTCAAGACTAGTCTGCCAACGTGGTGAAACCCCATCTCTACTATAAATACAAAAAAAATTAGCTTGGCGTCGTGGCGCGTGGGAGGCTGAGGCAGGAGAATCGCTTGAACCTGCGAGGCGAAGGCTGTAGTGAGCCGAGATTACGCCACTGCACTCCAGCCTGGGCAACACAGAGAGACTCCGTCTCAAAAAAAAAAAAAAAAAAAAAAAATACCGGTGCGGTGGCTCGTGCCTGTAATCCCAGCTCTTTGGGAGGCCCAGGCAGGCGGATCATCTGAGGTCTAAAGTTCGAGACCAGCCTGACCAACATGGAGAAACCCCATATCTACTAAAAATACAAAATTAGCCGGGCGTGGTGGTGCATGCCTGTAATCCCAGCTACTCGGGAAGCCTGAGGCAGGAGAATCACCTGAATTCTGGAAGGTGGAGGTTGCAGTGAGCCAAGATCGCTCCATTGCACTCCAGCCTGGGCAACAAGAGCGAAACTCCATCTCAAAAATAAATAAATAAATAAATAAATAAATAAATAAATAAATAAATAAATATAAATAATAATGATAATAATAATAATAAACAACAAACTAGAATCCAGAGTCTCTTGGGCATCTCTGGAGTAAGCCACCACCAGGGGGCAGCACAGCCAGGGCAATGGAGCAGAAGTGACTTCCCCACATTGTGTTTTTTTCTTTTTTGTTTTTAGATGGAGTCTCGCTCTGTCGCCCAGGCTGGAGTGCAGTGGCGCGATCTCGGCTCACTGCAAGCTCCGCCTCCCGGGTTCACGCCATTCTCCTGCCTCAGCCTCCCGAGTAGCTGGGACTACAGGCGCCCGCCACCACGCCCGGCTCATTTTTTGTATTTTTAGTAGAGACGGGGTTTCACCGTGTTAGCCAGGATGGTCTCGATCTCCTGAACTCGTGATCCGCCCGCCTTGACCTCCCAAAGTGCTGGGATTACAGGCGTAGCCACCACGCCCAGCCCTGTTGTTATATCATTTTCTATTCTCTGTGCGTATGAAATAATCCACAGGGGGCCAGGCATGGTGGCTCATGCCTGTAATCCCAGCACTTTGGGAGGCCGAGGTGGGCGGATCACCTGAGGTCAGAGGTTCGAGACCAGCCTGGCCAACATGGCAAAACCCTGTCTCTACTAAAAATACAAAAAGTTAGCCCAGTGTGGTTGCTCATGCGTGTAATCCCAGCTACTCGGGAAGCTGAGGCAGTAGAATCGCTTGAACCCGGGAGGTGGAGGTCGCAGTGAGCCGAGATTGTGCCACTGCACTCCAGCCTGGACGACAGAGCAAGACTCTGTCGCAAAAAAAAAAAAAAAGCAAGAAAGAAAGAAAAAAAGAAGGAAAGAGAAAGAAAGAAAGAAAAAGAAAGGGAAAGAAAGAGAAAAACAGAGAAAGGAAGGAAGGAAATGAGGCTAGGCGTGGTGGCTCACACCTGTAATCTCAGCACTTTGGGAGGCCGAGGCAGGCGGATCACGAGGTCGGGAGATCGAGACCATCCTGGCTAACACGGTGAAACCCATCTCTACTAAAAATACAAAAAATTATCCGGGCGTGGTGGCGGACGCCTGTAGTCCCAGCTACTCCGGAGGCTGAGGCAGGAGAATGGTGTGAACCCGGGAGGCGGAGCTTGCAGTGAGCTGAGATCGCGCCACTGCACTCCAGCCTGGGCGACAGAGCGAGACTCCGTCTCAAAAAAAAAAAAAAAAAGGAAAGAAAAGAAAGAAATGATCCATGGTGAAGAGAAAAGCCGGGGGAACCTCGTGTGCTGCTCCCCCTGGGGACAATGTCTGAGGTCCTCCCCACAAGGTATCCCCATCCTTCTGGTCCCCGCACCATGGATTAATGCAACGTGAATCCCGCTGGCCCCTGTGGGGCAGATGTGAAAAATGGAGCTACACCATGAGCAGGCCTGCAGTCCCAGCACTTCTGGAGGCTGAGGTGGGAGGATCACTTGAGCCCCGGAGGTCGAGGAGGCTGCAGTGAGCTATGATTGCACCGCTGCACTCGAGCCTGGATGAAAGAGCAAGACCCTGTCTGTAATAAAACAAAAACAACACACACAAATCCCCACCTCACAAAAGGCCCTATGGCCCAGATTCTGAGAAGTATTTTATTTTAATTTTTTTGTAGAGATGGGGTCTCGCCGTCTTCCCCAAGCTGGCCTTGAATTCCTGGGCTCAAGAGATGCTCCTATCTGGGTCTCTCAATGTGCCGGGATGGTAGGTGGGAGCCACTGTGCCCGGCCAGCCCTGACTCTGTTCATCAGAACCTGCCCTCAGTGAACAGTTTGGGAGGGGGCGTGTGATCCAGGCTCCACCAACCCAAGGCACCCTTGAGACTTGGCTGGAGTGAGGAAGAATTTTAGGAGGGGCCCACTGAGCCACTGGGTTGAGTGTGGGGTCCCTGGAAACACACCAGGGGAGGCTGGTGAGGAAAGAAGCCATCAGAGAAGAAAGGAGAAGCCAGAAGCAGACACTGGACATTGTTCAGGCACCTGGATCAAGCCACACCTGAAGGCGGACATCCCTGAACTTTCCATATAACTTTCATGATTCAGGCTCCACCCAGTTTGTCTGGGTTTTCCTGTCCCTTGTAGCCAGTCTTCCCAGCTGCCTCTGCCTTGGCCTTTCCAACTTTCTATTCGTCAGGGTGTCAAGCCCCAGAGGCCACAGGGACAGAGACAAAGGTGTCAAGTGACCTTCCTACCCCCAACAGACCTTCTCTCTAATATAGAGGAGGAAAAGAAGGGAGGGTAGCAGGACAAGAAAGTGGGTTGTTTACACGCTGTGGCCTCCAGCTAGGATTGTGAAACACCCTGGGGGACTCTGGGTGTGGTGAAGTTGGGGCCGGGGTGGGTGCAGCCCCCCTCTCTGCCTCCTGCCCATCTGAGGGACTGCCCCCCACCAGGGCCAGCAGGCTGTCAGGCTCACAGAGGCCCGAGGGTCTCCCAGCGACTTGTCGACTCTGGTGTGAGTCTGGCAGGAGGTAACCCAGTCCCGGGGAGGGCGGAGGCTGGGCGGGCGAGTTCCCCTTTCCCCAGCTGGGCCGCTGCCCACCCGGGGAGCGGCCCGCCCCCTCCACCCTCATAAAAGCACCCCCAGGGCCCTGCCTGGGTCAGTGTCTCAGCCACAGCGGCTTCACCATGCACAGCTGGGAGCGCCTGGCAGTTCTGGTCCTCCTAGGAGCGGCCGCCTGCGGTGAGGAGGCCTGGGCCTGGGGTGAGGGACAGGGCTGTGTAGGGGCGTGGTGCTCCCTTCCGTCACACGGACGGTCCTCCAGCCCCTCCAGGTGGGCAGGAAGGGGGTGTCTCTCCTCACTAATGGAAGGCTCTGAACGCTGAAAAATTCTAGAAAATTCAGATTGGAAATCGGAACTTTCTGGAGTCAGCTTTTCTTGCAGACAGAGTCTGAACGTCTGCGTGGAAAACTTCATCTGCGTGGCTGACTGGGCTGGCCCAGGCACTGGCTGGGTCAGCCCCATTTCTCTTATGTCCAACTGGAAGGCACTGCGCCCAGGGTAGGGCGCTGGGATCTGCCCCCGGTCCCCAGCCCACTGTGGGTTCTGTACTCTGGGGCATTCCCGCCCGAGGGTATCTGAGTTTGCAACGCTGAGGGGCCCCAAGACGGAAACGGGATTCTTTTTTTTCTTTCTTTTTTTTTTTGATAGGGAGTCTCGCTCTGTCGTCCAGGCTGGAGTGCAGTGGTGCGATCTCGGCTCACTGCAAACTCCGACTCCCGGGTTCAAGCGATTCTCCTGCCTCAGCCTTCCGAATAGCTGAGATTATAGGCCACGCCGACTAAATTTTGTATTTTTTTTTAAAGTAGAGACGGGGTTTCACCATATTGGCCAGGCTGGTCTTGAACTCCTGACCTCATGATCTGCACCCCCCCCTCCCCCCCCGCCCCCGCGCGGCTTCACAAAGTGCTGGGATTACAGGCGTGAGCCACCGCGCCCAGAGATGGGATTCTTGCGGGGAGCGGCCTGGGGGGTGAGAGCTGGGATCCCGTCAGGCAGCCTCGCCCGGGGGAGGAGTCCACCCCGCGGCCCTCACGCGCCCGCCCACCCACAGCGGCGCCGCCCCGTGGTCGGATCCTGGGCGGCAGAGAGGCCGAGGCGCACGCGCGGCCCTACATGGCGTCGGTGCAGCTGAACGGCGCGCACCTGTGCGGCGGCGTCCTGGTGGCGGAGCAGTGGGTGCTGAGCGCGGCGCACTGCCTGGAGGACGCGTGAGTGCCCGCGCCGCGCGGGGGAAGAGCCCGGGTGCGGTGGGGGGAGTCGGCTGGCACCGACCGCGGACTCCGTCCGGTCCCCAGGGCCGACGGGAAGGTGCAGGTTCTCCTGGGCGCGCACTCCCTGTCGCAGCCGGAGCCCTCCAAGCGCCTGTACGACGTGCTCCGCGCAGTGCCCCACCCGGACAGCCAGCCCGACACCATCGACCACGACCTCCTGCTGCTACAGGTCGGCCCCGTGTAGCGCAGTCCCTCCTGCGGCGCTGGGATCCCCGGCCCACCCTCACTCCACCCCGCCTACACCGCGCCCCGGGTCCAGCCTCGACCTCTCCTGCTGCATGGGGACCCCGCCCCACAACCCCCACACCCTCACCCCGGGTCTAGCCTCGACCTCTCTTGCTGCGCTCGGAGCCCCCCCACCCTCTGCACCCTCACCCCGGGTCCAGCCTCGAACTCTCCTGCTGCATGGGGACCCCGCCCCACAACCCCCACACCCTCACCCCGGGTCTAGCCTCGACCTCTCTTGCTGCGCTCGGAGCCCCCCCACCCCCTGCACCCTCACCCCGGGTCCAGCCTCGACCTCTCCTGCTGCATGGGGACCCCGCCCTACAACCCCCGCACCCTCACCCCGGGTCTAGCCTCGACCTCTGCGGCTGCACTGGGAGCCCCCCACCCCCCGCTCCCCCTGCATCCCCATCCCGGTTCCAGCCTCGACCTTTGCAGCTGCACTGGTGAGCCTCGCACCCACCCCATCCCCACCTGCACCCCCACCCAGGGTCTAGCCTAAATCTCTCCTGCTGCACTGAGACCCACGCCCCTGCCCTGATGCCCACCTCCCCCGTCCCGTCTCCCCGAGCCTAGCGGCATTCTCCCCAGCCTCGCACCCCCGCACCCCAACCCTGACGTCCGCCTCCACCCTCAGCTGTCGGAGAAGGCCACACTGGGCCCTGCTGTGCGCCCCCTGCCCTGGCAGCGCGTGGACCGCGACGTGGCACCGGGAACTCTCTGCGACGTGGCCGGCTGGGGCATAGTCAACCACGCGGGCCGCCGCCCGGACAGCCTGCAGCACGTGCTCTTGCCAGTGCTGGACCGCGCCACCTGCAACCGGCGCACGCACCACGACGGCGCCATCACCGAGCGCTTGATGTGCGCGGAGAGCAATCGCCGGGACAGCTGCAAGGTGAGCCTTCAGGCCTGGGAGGAGACGCGGGGCCTGCAGGCCCCGGGAAGGGCCTGCAGAGGGAGCGCGAAGCGGGGGGCAAGTAGGAACAGGGCCCAGGGAAGGGGCGGGGCGCGTAGGGGGCGGGAACTGGAAGATGGGCGGAGCATGAGGGTGGCCCGTGGGCGGGGCCTGTATGAGGGGGCGGGGCATGTGGGTAGGGTGGGGCCTTGGGGGCGAGGCCTGGAGAAGGTACGGGGCCTCTGGAGAGGGTGGGGCTGAAGAAGGGTCAGGGCGGGCAGAAAGGGCAGGAACGGGTGGGATGTGGAAGGACCTGTGGGTTAGGGTGGGAATAGGGGGCGGGGCTCGAGGAGGGGGCGGAGTCCAGTAATAGCGGGACTGCAAGGGGGCGAGGCCAGGAAGAGGGTTGGGGCATGAGGGGCAGGGCATGGAGGAAGGGGCGGTACCTGTGGGGAGGGTGGGGCTGGAGAAGGGTCAGGGCGGGCAAAAGGGCAGGTGGCAGAGAAAGGGTGGGAGGTATAGGGGGCGGGCACGTGGAGGAAGGGGCGGGGCATGGGGACGGGGCGGGGCAGGTGGAAGGGGCGGGAACCTCTGAAGGGGCAGGGCTGGTGCGGAGCGGGATCCCTGCTGTGGCAGGGAAGAGAAGGGGTCCTGAGCAGGGCAGAGGTTTAAGACCAGCCGAGGCTTGCATGGTAGCCGGGGCCAAGATTGGGTGGGGCTTAAGGGAGGGGCGTGGCCTGAGGTGAGTGGGGACTGAGCAGAGCAGGTGGCCACTGAGACGCGTTAGGGCAGAAGTGGGATCCACGGCAAGTCAAAGCTTGGAAGAGCAGGAATGAGGTGTGGGACCCCCATACTGGAAAGGGCTTGGAGCGGGGTGGGGTCGGGGGAACACGTGGTGAGGTTGAGGCCAGAGGGGGTGTGGCCAGGAGCTGGGGGCGGGCCTAGAGGGGCGTGGCTTGTGGTTGTGGCCTAGGCGATAGGCGTGGCGCGGGGCTATTGACTAGTGAAGACCAAATTAACACGGGAGGGATGAGCGAGCATTGTGGGGCGGGAGCGGCAGCCAGGTGAGGGGGTCTAACACGTGAGGCCGGGGTGGGCGCGGGCCGCCCCTCACGGCCCCGTCCTGTTCCGGCAGGGTGACTCCGGGGGCCCGCTGGTGTGCGGGGGCGTGCTCGAGGGCGTGGTCACCTCGGGCTCGCGCGTTTGCGGCAACCGCAAGAAGCCCGGGATCTACACCCGCGTGGCGAGCTATGCGGCCTGGATCGACAGCGTCCTGGCCTAGGGTGCCGGGGCCTGAAGGTCAGGGTCACCCAAGCAACAAAGTCCCGAGCAATGAAGTCATCCACTCCTGCATCTGGTTGGTCTTTATTGAGCACCTACTATATGCAGAAGGGGAGGCCGAGGTGGGAGGATCATTGGATCTCAGGAGTTCGAGATCAGCATGGGCCACGTAGCGCGACTCCATCTCTACAAATAAATAAAAAATTAGCTGGGCAATTGGCGGGCATGGAGGTGGGTGCTTGTAGTTCCAGCTACTCAGGAGGCTGAGGTGGGAGGATGACTTGAACGCAGGAGGCTGAGGCTGCAGTGAGTTGTGATTGCACCACTGCCCTCCAGCCTGGGCAACAGAGTGAAACCTTGTCTCTCTCTACAAAAAAAAAAAAAAAATTCTGCGTGGTGGCTCACGCCTGTAATCCCAGCACTTTGGGAGGCCGAGGCGGGCGGATCATTTGAGGTCAGGAGTTCCTGATCAGCCTGACCAACATGGTGAAACCCCGTGTCTACTAAAAATACAAAAAAAAATTAGCTGAGCGTGGTGGTGGGCACCTGTAGCCCCAGCTACTCAGGAGGCTGAGGCAGGAGGATAGCTTGAACCCGGGAGGCGGAGGTTGCAGTGAGCTGAGATCGCACCACTGTACTCCGACCTGGGTGACAGAGCGAGACTCTGTCTCAAAACAAAAACAGAAACATTAAAAAAAGAGGAACGCGGGAAGCTACAGATAAAAGCGCAAGAACGGAGAATACAGCGAAGTTCCGGGTCCAGCGCTTCCGTGGGGCTGACGCGGCCACACGGCGGCGCCCTTGCCACACACACACACACACACGCGCGAAGGCCCGCCAGGCATGGGTGTCCCCTCCTGGTCTGGCTCATACCGTTTCCCTTTGCTTACCAAGGGGAATGTGAGCGTCTTCTGTGTGCAAGGCTGTGGGCTGAGACTCAGGTGCACAGAAACCCTTCGAGGCCGTGTTCCTATGACCCATATCCCATAAGGGGAAACTGAGGCTCACAGGGACTGTGCGACTCTCCTGACCTTACACAGAAGCTCCAGGACACAGCCTGGACTGGAGCCCAGAGCCACGGAGCCTGCCTTCACAAACCACCCTGGGTGCGGCCAGACCCACACCAGGACGACGAGCAGCGGCACCTGCTTGCTGGAGGCCCTGGACCTCAGGTCACCCTTCTTGGCAAGGCCAGGGAGGACACCTGAGGCCCTGTGCCCTTTCTCCCACCTGGTGGAGGGGCAGCCAGGCGCTATCGTAGAAAAAGACTGATGGGCCAGGCGCGGTGGCTCATGCCTGTAATCCCAGCACTTTGGGAGGCCGAGGCGGGCAGATCACAAGGTCAGGAGATTGAGACCATCCTGGCCAACACGGTGAAATCCCATCTCCACTAAAAATACAAAAAAATTAGCCGGGCGTGGTGGCGGATGCCTGTAGTCCCAGCTACTTGGGAGGCTGAGGCAGGAGAATAGCTTGAATCCAGGAGGTGAAGCTTGCAGTGAGCCGAGATAGCACCACTGCATTTCAACCTGGGCAACAGAAGGAGACTCCATCTCAAAAAGAAAGAAAAAAAAAAAAAAGAGAAAAGAAAAAGTGACTGATGGGCCGGGTGCCGGTGGCTCACGCCTGTCATCCCAGCACTTTGGGAGGCTGAGGCGGGCAGATCATGAGGTCAGGAGATCGAGACCATCCTGGCTAACACGGTGAAACCCCGTCTCTACTAAAAATACAAAAAATTAGCCGGGCGTGGTGGCAGGCACCTGTAGTCCCAGCTGCTCGGGACGCTGAGGCAGAATGGCGTGAACCCGGGAGGTGGAGGTTGCAGTGAGTGGAGATCACACCACTACACTGCAGCCTGGGTGACAGAGCGAGATTCCATCTCAAAAAAAAAAAAAAGACTGATGATCTGAGAGGCAGGTCCGCTGGGAAAAGGGGGGATGGATTGATGAACACTGTGCTTGGGTGTTTTTGGGGCTATGGAACACTCACCTAGGAATCACACTGACGTGCAAGCACGTATTGAGCACTTACTGTGTGCAGAGCCCTGGGCCGGGCACGGTAAGACACATCTAAGCCCCAGCCCTGCTCTTAGGAATTTGGTAAATACTGCACTGCACGGAAGGGGGCCCATTCAGCCGTCTGGTGACCACCACGAAGTTGGAGCTCACTGTGTGAATTTCACGTTTTTGTTTTTGTTGTTTTTGAGACGGAGTCTCTCTCGTCGCCCAGGCTGGAGTGCAATGGCACGATCTCGGCTCACTGCAACCTCTGCCTGATGGTTCAAGCGATTCTCCTGCCTCAGCCTCCCGAGTAGCTGGGATTACAGGCATGCGCCACCACGCCCGGCTAATTTTGCATTTTTAGTAGAGACGGGGTTTCTCCATGTTGGTCAGGCTGGTCTCGAACTTCCGACCTCAGGTGATCCGCCCCCCCTCGGCCTCCCAAAGTGCTGGAGTTACAGGCATGAGCCACCTCGCCTGGCCACCCAGCTAATTTTTAAGATTTTTGTAGAGATGAGGTCTCGCCATGTTGCCCCAGGTTGGTCTTGAACTCCCAGGCTCAAGTGATCCTCCTGCCTGGGTCTCTTATGGTGCTGGTGCGTGAGCTGCTGCATCCGGCCTGCCTGGGCATCTTTGCATCCTTTGGTCCGCAGGAGCTACGGAGGGTTCCGGAGGAGGAGACGGTTTAGGAGGCGGTGGAACAGGAGTGGTGGGGAGGATGCAGGACGGGAACATCTGGGCACCACATAGTCCTCTGAGTTGAGACGCGGTCCAGTCTCCGCACTGCCATATATATGGCCTCTGTTTCCTCATCTGTATCTCGGGGCCCCAACGTCCCTGGCTCTTAGGGAGATTTTGAGGACCCCTGGGGGAACCGCGAGGCGACGAGGACCTTGGGAAGCCGGGGGCGGGGACAGCAGAGCTTCAGGGCCACAGGCCGCCTCTCAGCACCCCCATGCCCTGCCTGCCTCGCCCACCCCACTGTACCTGAGTGAGGTAGAAGCTCATGACAGCCAGCTTGTGACAGTGGTCTGACAGACCCCCCCCCCACCTAGTGACGCAAAGCCCACCCCGGCTCAAGTGGTCAGGAACTGATGGGACCAGGGGGCATCCTGTCCCCACTCCACGCGTCCAGACCTCAGCCAGGTCACCAGAACCACGGGGGGCTGGGGTCAGCTAGAGGCATTTTCACTTCTGAGTCGGGCACTGGGTGACTCTGATCTCCCGGCCCCTGAAGCTGCCCACGAGCCTGCGTCCCACAACGCATGGGCACCCTCACCAGTGCTCCCATCTCCTCCCCGTCCACCCGCCGCAGGCCTGCACCCCTCGCCAGCGCTCCCATCTCCTCCCCGTCCACCCGCCGCGGGCCTGCACCCCTCGCCAGCGCTCCCATGTCCTCCCCGTCCACCCGCCGCGGGCCTGCACCCCTCGCCAGCGCTCCCATGTCCTCCCCGTCCACCCGCCGCGGGCCTGCACCCCTCGCCAGCGCTCCCATCTCCTCCCCGTCCACCCGCCGCGGGCCTGCACCCCTCACCAGCGCTCCCATGTCCTCCCCGTCCACCCGCCGCGGGCCCGCACCCCTCACCAGCGCTCCCATCTCCTCTCCGTCCGCCCACTGCGGGCCCGCACCCCTCGCCAGCGCTCCCATCTCCTCTCCGTCCACCCACTGCGGGCCCGCACCCCTCGCCAGCGCTCCCATCTCCTCTCCGTCCACCCACTGCGGGCCCGCACCCCTCGCCAGCGCTCCTGCACTCTGGTCTCTGCAGAGCCACATGGAAACGCCGCAGACACCCGGACAAAAGCCGCCCCCAACCACCCGCCAGGGCCCACTGTGTTCTGTCTGTCACTTGCTTTGGACACCCCTGGCATCCACAAGGCGCCCCACACATGCTGAGTGACTGGGGGAGATGGAGGCCCACACACTCCTGAGCTCGAGAGGAGGTCGCAGGAGTGGGGCCGGGAGCTGCCCTAGGGTCTGTCCCTCAGAGGATGGCCAGGGGGACGGTGAGACGGGGCTCGGTGTCCCAGCAGAGCTTGGAGTCTGCGGCCGAGGACGGGGGCCTTAAAGTGGGGGGGCCTTAAAGTGGGGGGGCCTTAAAGTGGGAGTGCCTCAGCCAGGTGACGGGGTGCCTGAGCTCCCGCCTCGCGAGCCGGCACTGGGCACTCACCCCACCCTCGCTGCCCTCCCCAGAGCTGCAGAAAGGAGGAGTCCGTCGGCACACAGCAGGGGCACCACTGTGCTGGGAAGGCCTGCTGGAGACGGAAGGCGGGACCCCTGGGGACAGCAACAGAAACGGCAGAAACTTGGCCCAGGGGCTAAGCAACCTCCAGCAGAGAGCAGCTGGAGAAACATAACAGGGACAGAGTCAGGCAGAGACACAGAAACAGCATGCAGAGACACAGAGACCATACACAGAGAAGTGCAGAGATACCAGAGACACGCAGAAACAAGGAGAGCACGCAGAGACAGTATAGAGACAGGCAGACAACACACTGAAAGGCAGATGCCTGGACAGAAGCCACCCTGACGATGGCCGCCCCATCCCATCCACCGGCCTGCTGTGTCCTGTCCCCACTGCTCACTTTGGATACCCCCAGACTCGGCATCCACTAGGTGCCCCATAAATGCTGAAGGATTTAAAGACAGGCCAAGAGGACACAGGCTCCCGGCACCAAATCGAGGTCGTGGGTGGGGTCGGGGGCACCGACGGCAGGGACGCGGGCCTGGGCGCAGAGGGCGTTTATTGGACCTGTCCTTCCCAGCCGCTGCTTGTCCAGGTTCAGCGCTCTCCGCGGGTGAGGCAAGGAAACCGAGGAGACGCCCGAGCCGGGTCACCACAAGGTCCGCCTGGACCCCCGGCCGTCACGGACGGTCCTCTGGATGCAGATGGTCCAGGGATCTGGGGGTCCTGGGAGAGTGGTGTGTGGACTGCGGGCCCAGCTGGACAAAGGCAGGGGCTTCCTCAGAAGCTCTGCTGGTCACGCAGGCGTCCGGCCCACGGCCTTCAACAGCCCTGCAGGGCGGGCTGAGGTTAACCGCGCCGAGGAGAGTCCAGGGCGAGCGGTGGCTCTTGCAGCAGCCGGGCTCAGGGGCAGCTGAGGGGTAGCTGAGGAGTAGCTGAGGGGCAGCTGGGCTCAGGGGTAGCTGAGGGGCACCCGCCACCAGAGCCCACCGCACAGGCAGTTCTTGATCCAGCGCTGCTCCCACTGCTTCACCGCCGTGGTTCTGTTGGGCGACTTGAGCATGGTGACACAGCCGCACCTGCGGGGAGGCAGGCACTGAGCGGGTTCCCACTTCCAGGCGGGCCTCCCTTACGCCTGCCCCACTTTTGCTTCCAGGCAGGTCTCCCTCTGCTCGCCGTCCCTCACGCCTGCTCCCCACGTCCCCACCTGCCACAGGGCCTCTGCCCATGCTTCTCCTCCCCCCAGCAATGCTGCTCCCTGAACTAGCCCCGCCACACCAAGTTAACTGCTCCACATCCTGGGATCCTGGCTCCAACACTCCCTCTGGGACGTGCTCCCTCCACCACCCTTGACCGTCTGGAGCGCTGGGTGGGGGCTAGAATCAGCTGAGCCATCCCCAGCGGCACATCTCTGGGAGTCAGCGGTTCCGGGGGCCCCTCACCTGGTGCAGGCCTTGCATTCCTCCGTGGGGCAAGCGCCAAGGTGCAGCCTCCGCAGGTGGTCGATCTTGGGCTGGCCTGGGGCCCTGGCGGGAGAGGGGAGAACGTGAGGGAGGCCTGGGCACCACGAGGCCAGGTTCCGGCAGGGGCATCTGTCCACAGGCGGGGGTGGAGGGAATGGCCGGCCTCACACCATCTGCCAGGTGGGCCCAGATGTCTGTGAACAGTGAGGTGGGAGGTGCGGGACCACCTGAGACAGGCCCAGTAAAGGGGGCGGGACCCCCCACACGGAGGAGGGTTGGTCTCCCAGGTGCCTGGGGAGCTTGAGGCTTAGAGACCCAGTAAAGGGGACGGGGCCCACACAGGGACGAGGGTCGGTCCGCCACGTGCCCGGGGAGCCTGAGGTGCAGGGAAGGTGCTTGTGACGCTCCCATTTGAGGCTGGACAGAAGCAGGTACATGGGGACTTCCACACCACCTCTGCCCAGACACCCGGCCTGGAGGTGCCGGGACCTCTGAACGACAAGATTCTGGTGGCAAAAGCTGCCCTCGGTGGTGGGTGGGGGACCTGGGTCTGGGTGGGGGTGGGCCGGCTTATTCTGCTCTCATTAAATATCTGAAATTTTCCCAGTTTACAAGCCTCTGACGTAACCGTCCTCTCTTTCCATCAAGTCTTTTCCTGAAACCCAAACCCTCGTGTGTGACTCATTAGGAGGCCCCTCCCACAGTGAGCACGAGGAAGAAAATGCTGGAGGTCCTAGAGCCAAGCCAGGGCGCCTTCCCGGAGGTCCCGGAGCCAAGCCGGGGGTGCCTTCCCTGGAGGTCCTGGAGCCGAGCCGGGGCCTTCCCCGGAGCAGGGCTGCTGGAGGTTCACTTCATTTTCTTCCTTTTGCTCATCTGTGTTTTCTAAAATTCCAGCCCTGAGCAATCAGTGGCTCAGAGGGTTTGCATGTGCTCCTTGTCAAACGTGTGTCTGAAACAGGCTGGGGGTCTGACGGGCCTGGGTTCAAATCCTGACTCGGCCACTTCCTGACCGCGTGACCCCAGATGAGTGGGGTGACAAGGTCCCACCCTTTCCAGGCTGGGTTTCCTCACCGTGAAATGGGGTGACAAGGTCCCACCTCACAGGGCTGCTGGGCAGCCAGGGTCAGCTCAGCACACTTGGGTTGCCCAAACCCCGCACATTCCAGAGAAAGGCCAGCCCCGGGCCCTGCAAGGTGACCTCTTGCCCCCGGGAGATCCTCCTGATGAGGTGTCTGCTCAGCAGGGCCCTGGGCCATATGCTAAGGCGTCTCTCTCCATCCACAGAGGGATCTACGGCGAGGCCTGACATCCAGGGGGGCCAGAGACTAAGGGCAGAGGCTAAGGCAGGGCGCCCTGTACAGCGAGGCCAACACACAATCAGGAAACACCAAGGCAAGGCCGGGGCGGTGGCTCACACCTGTAATCCCAGCACTTTGGGAGGGCGAGGCAGGTGGATCACCTGAGGTCAGGAGTTCAAGACCAGCCTGGCCAACATTGCAAAACCGCCTCTATACCAAAAATACAAAAAATACCTAGGTGTGGTGGCTCATGCCTGTAATCCCAGCTACTGGGAAGGCTGAGGTAGGAGAATCATTTGAACCCGAGAGGCAGACGTTGCAGTGGGCCAAGACGGCACTACTGCACTCCAGCCTGGGCAACAGAGTGAGACCCTGTCGGGGAGACAAAAAAAAAAAAAAAAAGGGAGAGGGTGAATGGAAGGGCTGGGTGCCCGTGTTGGGGGTGGTTCGTGACACAGCAGAAGACACCACTAGGGGATGGAGTTAGGGGCACCTAGAAGGAAGCAGCAGTCATGGCCATGACTGGAGAACATGGAGGGAAGGAGCCGTATGGATTCGGGGGGGTCCTGGGGCAGGACATGGAGGGAGGGAGCCGTGTGGATTCGGGGGGACCCGGGGCAGGACATGGAGGGAGGGAGCCGTGTGGATTCGGGGGGTCCCGGGGCAGGACATGGAGGGAGGGAGCCGTGTGGATTCGGGGGGTCCCGGGCAGGACATGGAGGCGGGGAGCCGTGTGGATTCGGGGGGACCTGGGGCAGGACATGCAGGGAGGGAGCCGTGTGGATTCGGGGGTCCCGGGGCAGGACACGGAGGAAGGAGTCCTGTGTTTGGGGACCAATGCAGGGACACACGCACCTGGCGAGGCCGTCGAGCTGCAGGGTGGCAGCACTGCCAGGCAGCGTGGGCGCCCGGCCAAACTGCAGACGAAGGGGCTGCTTGGGCTGCAGGCGGCTAACCAGGCCGTCGCTGGCTGGCAGCCAGTCCAGGCTGGGGATAAGCAGCTGGCTGGGCAGCAGGCAGCATTCATCCACCAGCGCCTCGTCCGGCTCGCTCGCTGGGCCCTCATCGCGACCTGCGGAGAGAGGTGGCGGAAGTCTCAGCACCCCTGACTGGGGCACCGCCCGGCCACCCGGGACGTGCTGGGAGCCCCTCCAGTTCAGGAGCACCAGGTCAGGGCCCCAGCTCTGTCTGCCTGGCTGGGTGACCCCGGGGTTCTCTCACCAGGTCGGGGCCCCGGCTCTGCCTGCCTGGCTGGGTGACCCCAGAGTTCTCTCCCCGTCTCTGGCCTGTCATGAGACTCCCTCATTCACTTAAAAAGTATGTGGGAAGCACTGTGCCTTTTCCAGACACTGGGATGTAAGAATGACACAGCTCACCCTCCTCACATACACACAACCCGACAAGGAGAGACAGCAAACAGGTGCCTGGAAGTGGCTGCCATCCCAAAAGCACCCACACAGAGCATGGACCTGTGCTAGGAACTGGGGAAATAGCAGATATCAAGGCAGAGCCACTGCCACCTGCAGGGGCTTATGTTCTGGCGGGGGGCTCAGGCAGGACTTGTGTTTTGGTAGGGAGAGGGGAGCGGGGAGAGGGGAGAGGGGAGAGCGGGGAGAAGGGAGAGCGGGGAGAGGGGAGAGCGGGGAGAGGGGAGAGCGGGGAGAGGGGAGAGCGGGGAGCGGGGAGCGGGGAGAGGGGAGAGCGGGGAGCGGGGAGAGGGGAGGGGCGGGCGGGGGTGCCTCACAGCAGATCCAGAGCTTGGTGAGCAGGCGGAAGAGCAGGGACATGCTGTCCTGGGTATCCGAGGTGGCCGTATACACGGGCAGGCAGCTGGGCTTCAGAAGGCCCCAGATGCGGATGACCACCATCAATTCCCGAAGCATGCCCAGCGAGGTGCCGTCCCGCAGAAAGCTGTGGCCCGGCCTCAGCAGGGAACCCTGCCCGAAAGAGGCATCGGTGTGGCTGGGGCGGCGGGGGGCAGATGGCGATGGGATGAAGTGTCTTGGGGTCGGTGGAACCCCGACCGGGGGGCAATGGGCAGGGTCTGGGACATTTGTGGTGGTCAGGACTGGGGTGCTTCTGGCACCGAGTGGGTGGATGCCGGGGACGCTGCTCAGAGCCCTGCAGGGCCCAGGACAGCCCCATTTGCAGAGTCGTCCCATCCCTGAGAGTCCACAAGACTAAGACGAGGCTCTGGCTGAGGCCAATATCCCCACCTGCACGTGGAGGAGCAGCCGCCCCCTCCTACAGCTGCGGGCCCGGGCCCCTGGTGACTGTACTGGGAGCTGAGAGGACCAGGGAAGGGAGGCCCCAGGGGTGGCCCCTGGCAGCCTAAAGCCCCACAAAAAGAAGAGAGGGACTTCAAACCGTCCGTGATGGGCGCGGTGGAGAAGGGCGGGCCCCAGGGCAGGATGAAGCCGGGTGGGTGGGGCAGAAGAAATCACAGCTGGGGCAGGACAGAGTGTACCGGCGGGGGGGTGGGGGCGAGGTTGGAGCCCTGGTCAGGGGCGCACAAGCCGCAGAACTGAAGGTGGAGGTGTGGATGGAGACTTGATTTCAAGGCCGCCCACCCCAGGCGCAGGGAGCTGGGGAGGGTAAGGGGTGGGGGCAGCAGCAGCAGAAGCAAGGCGAACCGGCCTTCGTGTAGGGGTGGGGCTGAGAAGGAGCAGGGCCTGGGAGGCGGGGCTTTGAGAATGGGCAGGAAGGGTGTGGCCAAGGAAAGGCTTCTTACAGCAGAGGCTTCATGGAGAGGAGGGCTCCGAGGTGGGGGAGGGCTCCGAGGTGGGGCAGGGCTCCGAGGTGGGGGAGGGCTCCGAGGTGGGGGAGGGCTCCGAGGTGGGGCAGGGCTCCGAGGTGGGGCAGGGCTCCGAGGTGGGGCAGGGCTCCGAGGTGGGGGAGGGCTCCGAGGTGGGGGAGGGCTCCGAGGTGGGGCAGGGCTCCGAGATGGGGCAGGGCTCCGAGGTGGGGCAGGGCTAGGAAGTGGGGCAGGGCTAGGAAGTGGGGCAGGGCTAGGAAGTGGGGGTTTAAGAAGAGACAGACTCAGGAAGTGGGACTCCAAGTAGGGGTGGGACTCCAACCAGGGGCGGGGCTGAGGTGGGACTCCAAGCAGGGGCGGGACTCCAAGTAGGGGCGGGACTCCAAGTAGGGGCGGGACTCCAACTAGGGGCGGGGCTGAGGTGGTTTTGAGGGGCAGGGGCAGGGAAGCGGGGTCCTGATGAGATGGGGGCCCAGGTGGGGGGCGGGGCCTTAGGGGAGAGCATGGCGCACCTGGTTGGGTAGGCTGGCCAGCAGGTACAGCACGAAGTCGCCCACCCACTGCAAGAGCTGCTGCAGCGCCTGCAGTGTGTTCATGTCCAGCACAAATTCCTCCGTCTTGAGGTTGATCATGACCTTGTCAATGTCTACAAGGAGACGTGGGTCGGGTCAGCTCGGGCCTCTTGTACACACAGGGTGACCTAACTGCACCCCTCGGTCCTTCGACCTGCACTGAGTGCCCACCCAGTACCAGGACACAAGGGGACCCACACCGGGAACGAGAAGGGGGCGATGGCGTTGCCGGACGGAGAGGAACTGGGAGCCCACTGCCTGCCCCCCCCCGGGGGCCGCTGTGCTCAGCACCAACCAGCTTCTCTCGGCCTGCAGGCCTTGGCGTGGGCAGGTCCCCATGCCAGGGCCACCAGTGCTCAGGCCCGGCCTGCTGGTGCACATCTGCCCCCTGCTCCGAGGTGAACTCTGTGAACACAGGGGCATGTCCACAGCGTGCAGCTGCAGCCACCCCCGGCTGGCAGCTGGCGGCGGTTACACACCCAACAGATGCCTCTCGGATGGTGACTAGGGTGGTCCCACAGAACTAACCATGACTGTGCACACGGCTCCCAGCTACCAGGAGTGCCACGTGTCCACACTCAACCGGGTACTCCAGACAAACGATAACCCTAAATTTTTTTTTTGAGACAGAGTCTCACTCTGTCGCCCAGGCTGGAGTGCAGTGGGGTGATCTCAGCTCACTGCAAGCTCCGCCTCCCGGGTTCACGCCATTCTCCTGCCTCAGCCTCCCGAGTAGCTGGGACTACAGGCGCCCGCCACCACGCCCGGCTGATTTTTGTATTTTTAGTAGAGACGGGGTTTCACCGTGTTAGCCAGGATGATCTCGATCTCCTGACCTCGTGATCAGCCCGCGTTGGCCTCCCAAAGTGCTGGGATTACACACGAGTCGCCACGCCCAGCAACCCTAATTTTTAAAAGAAACAGCCTGCCAGGCACAGTGGCTCACGCCTGTAATCCCAGCGCTTTGGGAGGCAGAGGCGAGTAGGACACCACGTGCTGGGTGAGCCTGGGCAAGCTGCTTAGCCTTTCTGCCTCAGTCCCCTTACGGCAAAACGGAAGGAGGAGCAGACCTGCCTGCACAGGACCCGGGTGCCGGGTGTCGGCCTGGGAGCGTCTCAGCCCCCAGGAGTAGAGAGAGGTGAAAGGATCGCTTGAGCTCAGGTGGTCAAGACCAGCCTGGGCAACACAGTGAGACCCTGTTGCTACAAAAAATTAAAAACCGGGTGTGGTGGCACGTGTCTGTAATCCCAGCTACTCCAGAGGCTGAGGCGAGATTGCTTGAGCCCAGAAGGCAGAGGCTGCGCTGAGCTGGGACTGCGTCACCGTGCTGCAACCTGGATGACACAGTGAGACCGTCTCTAAAAGCCTGGGTGTGGTGTAATCCCAGCCTTTAGGCTATATCCCAGCACTTTAGGAGGCCGAGGCGGGCGGATCATTTGAGGTCAAGAGTTCGAGACCAGCCTGGCCAACATGGTGAAACCCCGTCTCTACTAAAAATACAAAAAATCAGCCGGGCGTGGTGGCACGTGCCTGTAATCCCAGCTACTTGGGAGGCTGAGGCAGGAGAATCACTTGAACCAGAGAGGCGGAGGCTGCAGTGAGCTGAGATCGCACCACTGCACTCCAGCCTGGGCAACAGAGTAAGACCCTATCTCAAAAGAGTAAAAAAAATAAATAAAAATAAAATAAATAGATGAAAGAAACCTCGAGGCCCCGGGCGTGGAAAAGGACCCACCGACGTCGGTGATCTTGGTGCAGATCTCGGTCAGCCGGTCGCCGGGGCTCTTGTCAGGCGTGTTGAGAAAGTGGGGGCGCAGCAGCGACTTCAGGGTGGAGCTGATGGCGATGAGGAAGAGCTTGGTGTGGTAGTCGCACACGCGGGTCACCGTGCAGGGCGACAGCTTGCAGAGCGAGGCCTTCATGGCCAGGATCCGGGTGGAGAGGACCTGAGGGCAGGAAGCCAGGTCACCCCAAGGGGCCGGAGCAGAGGCGCCCGCCAAGGCTCCAGCTGAGGAGAAGAGCAGTTCGACTCTGACACCAGGCGCTCGGTCAGCTGGGCAAGCTGCTTCGCCTCTGCACCTCAGCAACCTCATGGCAAAACAGGTGCGGAAGACCAGGCGCACAGGACCAGGTGCTGGGTTCTCAGCTGGGAGCGGCTCTGCCTCTGGTGGGGGCCCCTGGTGATGTCTGGAGATATTTTTAGTTGTCACCACTGGGGGTGCCCCTGCCAAGTAACGGGTGGAGGCTGGGGAGGCTGCTCAACAGGACACCCCCATCCCAGAGGCTGCTCCAGCCCCCGATGTCTGTGGTGCCTACGGGGAGACCCTGGTCTAGAGAGAATGAATGAATGAGCTGAAGCATTTTGGGAGGCTGAGGCTGGAGGATTCCTGGAGGCTGGGAGTTGGAGAGCCTGTGCAACGTAGGACACCCCATCTCTACAAAAAATAGAAACAACTAAAAACAAAAATGAAACGCTTGGCACACAGCGACGGCCCAAGGAGGGAGAGGGCGAGGTCTCGCCATCACTAGCGCTGTCACTGGCTACGGATCCCAGCCACGCTGGGGTTTAGCCTCGCAGCCCCCGCCTGGGTCTCACGCGTTTCTCGGCAGGCTGTGCCGTGAATGGGATTTTTTTTTTCCCATTTTATCTTCGTATTGGTTTCTGATGGCACAGAGGAAAACAAGTGAAGCTCAGAGGGCTGGTCCCACGTGCAGCTGCCGGCTGAGCTCGTTAGATCTGAGGTCCTTCGAGGACACTCTGGGATTGCAGGCACATAACCACACCACTGCAAGGGACCCTTCTGGCACGTGGGCCTCCGTATCCGCTCCCTCCTCTCCTTCCGACGGGCGGGTCTCTGTGTGTTCATCTTCTGACCGTGTTTGCTGAGGCCTCACACCACAGGGCCACCGGGTGTGCATCCTGGTACCCATCACATTCTGAGAGGATGGCTTAGAAAGATACCTCCAGACTGGGAACACTGGAGAGGGGAGCCGTCCAGGGGGGATCAGGCCTTACCTGTGGGGCTTAACGTGTTACAGAAGAAACTTCCCAGGTAAGGAAGGAAACTGCTTCTCTGAGGTGCAGCTTTCCTGGACGGGCCTCTGGGAGCACACCCCACACGCAGCCTCACCTGCCACAGGCTACCTGCCCCTCTTGCCCTCCGCCTGCCATAGAGCCCCCAACCTGCCGCAGGGAAACCCCTCCAGCTGCCACAACCCCCACATCTGCCGTGGGGACCTCTACAACTGCTGCAGAGACCTCCTCCACCCTCCAAGGGAACTCCCTCCCTGCTGCTGGCACTTTACTGACCACGGGGCCCCTGCCTGCCACAGGGACAGCCCCACCTGGCACGGGACCACCTGCCACGGGGCCCCCACCTGCCACGGGGCCCCACCTGCCACGGGGCCCCCACCTGCCACAGGGCCCCCACCTGCCACGGGGCCCCACCTGCCACGGGCCCCCACCTGCTGCAGGGCAGCGGTCTGGCGCGTGTACTCCTCGTGCAGCTTCTCCACCAGGCTCTGTACCATACTGGGCTGCACGTGCAGCAGGATGTCCCACCAGTCGTAGCCGGTCACCATGCAGTACTCCAGCAGGAAGAGCAGGTGCCGCAGCGCCAGCCCCACCTCCAGCGGGTGGCCCATGGAAGGTGAGAGGCGGAGCACGCTCAGCTGCCAGAGACAGAGCCCAAGGAGAGCCCGGTGAGATGGGGCTGCGCCCTCAGCCGGGAGAGGAATGGGGCCCTGGGGCTGCGGCACGTGTGTGGATCTGTGTGCGCGCACGCCCGTGTGTGGGCCTGTGTGCGCGCATGTGTCTGTAGCGTCTGTACCTTTCTGTCAGGGTCATGCACAATGCCTCTGGGAACAGGGAAGGAAACCTCCCTGAGCCCCGACTGCACTGGATGCCGAGCCAGGCTTACACTCGTCTGCTTTACCTGAGGAGTCTACCCCGTGAAAGGCGGTCCTCTCAACAGCTCCTAGTTACGAAGCTCCTAATACGTGCTGTGAGCCACCCCACTGACCTCGCTCAACAAGACGAACCCATCACACAGACAAGGCAGCGCAGGCAGGGGCTGGCGAGGGGCTTGCACCTGTGGTCCCTTCCCCCGGGGGCGCCTCCCTCTGGCACCCTCCCAGCCCCAGCCCCAGCCCCAGACCCACGTGCCCCAGCAGCTCGCCTTCCCCTGGTTGTCAATGCCCACCAGCCCCTGCCCCACGTGCCCCAGCAGCTCACCTTCCCCTGGTTGTCAATGCCCACCAGCCCCAGCCCCAGCCCCAGCCCCAGCCCCACGTGCCCCAGCAGCTCGCCTTCCCGTGGTTGTCAATGCCCACCAAGCCCAGCCCCACATGCCCCAGCAGCTCGCCTTCCCCTGGTTGTCAATGCCCACCAGCCCCAGCCCCACGTGCCCCAGCAGCTCACCTTCCCGTGGTTGTCAATGCCCACCAGCCCCAGCCCCAGCCCCAGCCCCACGTGCCCCAGCAGCTCACCTTTCCGTGGTTGTCAACGCCCACCAGCCCCAGCCCCAGCCCCACGTGCCCCAGCAGCTCGCCTTCCCCTGGCTGTCAATGCCCCCCAGCCCCAGCCCCAGCGCCACGTGCCCCAGCAACTCACCTTCCCCTGGTTGTCAATGCTCAGCAGCTCACCTTCCCGTGGTTGTCAATGCCCACCGAGCCCAGCCCCACGTGCCCCAGCAGCTCACCTTCCCCTGGTTGTCAATGCCCACCAGCCCCAGCCCCAGCCCCAGCCCCACGGGCCCCAGCAGCTCGCCTTCCCCTGGTTGTCAATGCCCACCAGCCCCAGCCCCACGTGCCCCAGCAGCTCACCTTCCCGTGGTTGTCAATGCCCACCAGCCCCAGCCCCAGCCCCAGCCCCACGTGCCCCAGCAGCTCACCTTTCCCTGGTTGTCAATGTCCACCAGCCCCAGCCCCGGCCCCGGCCCCGGCCCCACGTGCCCCAGCAGCTCACCTTCCCCTGGCTGTCAATGCCCACCAGCCCCAGCCCCACGTGCCCCAGCAGCTCACCTTCCCGTGGTTGTCAATGCCCACCAGCCCCAGCCCCAGCCCCACATGCCCCAGCAGCTCACCTTCCCGTGGTTGTCAACGCCCACCAGCCACAACCCCAGCCCCACGTGCCCCAGCAGCTCACCTTCCCCTGGTTGTCAATGCCCAACAGCCCCAACCCCACGTGCCCCAGCAGCTCGCCTTCCCCTGGTTGTCAATCCCCACCAGGGCCAGCCCCACGTGCCCCAGCAGCTCCCCTTCCCCTGGTTGTCAATGCCCACCAGCCCCAGCCCCACGTGCCCCAGCAGCTCCCCTTCCCCTGGTTGTCAATGCCCACCAGCCCCAGCCCCAGCCCCAGCCCCACGTGCCCCAGCAGCTCACCTTTCCCTGGTTGTCAATGTCCACCAGCCCCGGCCCCGGCCCCGGCCCCGGCCCCGGCCGCAGCTCCACGTGCCCCAGCAGCTCACCTTCCCCTGGCTATCAATGCCCACCAGCCCCAGCCCCAGCCCCACATGTCCCAGCAGCTCACCTTCCCCCGGTTGTCAATGCCCACCAGCCCCAGCCCCAGCCCCACGTGCCCCAGCAGCTCGCCTTCCCCTGGTTGTCAATACCCCCCAGCCCCAGCCCCAGCCCCAGCCCCACGTGCCCCAGCAGCTCGCCTTCCCCTGGTTGTCAATGCCCAGCAGCTCACCTTCCCATGGTTGTCAATGCCCACCAAGCCGAGCCCCACATGCCCCAGCAGCTCGCCTTCCTCTGGTTGTCAATGCCCAGCAGCTCACCTTCCCATGGTTGTCAATGCCCACCAAGCCCAGCCCCACGTGCCCCAGCAGCTCACCTTCCCCTGGTTGTCAATGCCCACCAGCCCCAGCCGCACATGCCCCAGCAGCTCACCTTTCCCTGGTTGTCAATGCCCACCAACCCCAGCCCCACGTGCCCCAGCAGCTCGCCTTCCCCTGGTTGTCAATGCCCACCAGCCCCAGCCCCACGTGCCCCAGCAGCTCGCCTTTCCCTGGTTGTCAATGCCTACCAGGGCCACGCCCCAGCAGCTCGCCTTCCCCTGGTTGTCAATGCCCAGCAGCTCACCTTCCCGTGGTTGTCAATGCCCCCCAAGCCCAGCCCCACGTGCCCCAGCAGCTCACGTTCCCCTGGTTGTCAATGCCCACCAGCCCCAGCCCCACGTGCCCCAGCAGCTCGCCTTCCCCTGGTTGTCAATGCCCAGCAGCTCGCCTTCCCCTGGTTGTCAATGCCCACCAGCCCCAGCCCCACGTGCCCCAGCAGCTCGCCTTCCCCTGGCTGTCAATCCCCACCAGGGCCAGCCCCACGTGCCCCAGCAGCTCACCTTCCCCTGGTTGTCAATGCCCAGCAGCTCGCCTTCCCCTGGTTGTCAATGCCCACCAGCCCCGGCCCCACGTGCCCCAGCAGCTCACCTTCCCGTGGCTGTCAATCCCCACCAGGGCCAGTGACGTCCACGATAGCTGCATAGCCTTTAAGTGGACGGCGGGGCCCGCGGTGCGGGGGCGCTTCATGGCCGGCTCATCCACAGGCCTCGGGGCCGCGGAGCTGTAGAAGACGGCCATGGTCTGCAGTGAGAGCCGGTGCACGATGTGGACGCTGCCGTCGTGGAAGGCCAGGGCCAGCCCTGTGGGGCACAGGCACTGCTTAGACATGGGCAGGGCCCAGGACACGCCCGCCGGGGGAGGGGCCTCCTGCTCTGCAGGGTGTGGAGAGCCGGGGCTGCCCATCCAGGGGGTCAGCCCCCGCCAATCGGCATCCAGCGCCCGTGCCCCCAGCCACTCTTTCTTTAGTTACACAGTCCCTGAGCACCAGGGGAGCAGGAGCCAGCAGCCTTGGCCACACTGCTCCCAGCCCCTCCCCGCCCCTCCCAGCTGGGCCCATGTCCTGGCTGACACGCCCCTCAAGGAGCGCAGGGGAGGGGGGCACTACAGGTGGGGGACCAAGGGTTGGGGCTCCTGGCGTCCCAAAGAGAGGCATCTTAGGGTGGTGGGCTGGGGCTGTCACTCACACTGGGGTCTGCCATTGTACGAGGGCCGGGGGGAGGTGGGGTCCAGAGCCCAAAGCTCATGGAAAAGAGAATATGAAAGGAGTCCCTGCAGTAGAGAGGCTGCAAAGCCGGGCGCGGTGGCTCACGCCTGTAATCCTAGCACTTTGGGAGGCTGAGGCGGGCAGATTGCCTGAGCTCAGGGGTTCGAGACCAGCCTGGGCAACACCGGTGAAACCCCGTCTCTACTAAAATACAAAAAATTAGCCGGGCGTGGCAGCACGCGCCTGTAGTCCCAGCTACTCGGGAGGCTGAGGCAGGAAGGAGAATCGCTTGAACCCAGGAGGCGGAGGTTGCAGTGAGCCGAGATCACACCACTGCACTCCAGCCTGGGCAACAGAATGAGACTCCAACTCAAAAAAAAAAAGAAAAAAAAAAATAGAGCCTGGAAAATGGAGCATAAACCAAGGGTTTTGGAGCAGGGAACTGCATCCCCTCAACCTCTCTGCAGGCTCTGAGGAACAGCCCTGAGCCCCGAGCGGGTTTTGATAAATGCTCTTTCCAGGGAACCAGGGAAGAACGGGAGCTGGGGGAAGAAAGGGCCTGAGCTAGGGCCGACTTGTCCACATTTTACAGCTGAGCAAATAGGGTAGGCACTGAAGAGTGTGCAGACTCACTCATGGGCACGGATGCCACGGTTTGAGCTCAGGACCACATTATGGCTGCTGCAGCACAGAGAGGACACATGCCGCCTACCCAGGAAGGAGTTCCACCAAGTTCCCCAGGCTCCCTTGTTGATTTGCAATGACTCTTTACATATTAAAGAACACTGGATCTGTCTGCCAGCCTCACAGATCCCGAAAGATGAGATCTGCCTCCTAATTGGGAACCCATCAGAACCCAGAAGGCTGAGCTCCTACAGCCCCATGGCCTGTGCTCAGAGCCCACGTCCTCTGGTGTGAGCTCCCACGACCCCGTGGCCTGTGCTCAGGGCCCAACTCCCCTGGTGTGAACTGAGGCCCCGCGTGGCTGCCGCTGGCTCCACCGTACCGAGGCCAGGGTAGAACTGTGTGTCGCTGGCCACCTTGAGGTCGGTGTTGGTGAGCGAGATGGGCAGCTTGGGCAGCGCCACGGCCGACACACGGTCCAGATCGTTGGTGGCCGATAGGATCCGCCATTTGAGAATTGTGGGCTGTTTGTCGCCAACTGAAAAATCAGGGGCAGGAAAACAGGAAGGCAATGGAGTAAAGACAGGCTGAGACAGCCGCAGGAGTCCAGCATGGCCTGGTGTGCAACCTGCCCAGGGCCCTTCCCAGGTCTCATGCCGCCCTGCTCCCATGCCCAGAAGACCAGGCCCGGCCAATCCGAGCGCTTCGTGCCTCGGCCACTCATTGGTTCCAGGATGGGCACGTGACCCAAGGTGGGCCCTGGGATTTCATGGAAACCTGTGGGCCGGCACCATCTCACCCCCGATGGGGCAGACAGTGGGGAGACGGCGCCACCTCAGACCTGCAGCCATGCAAACCCTAACACTCGCTCGGCCTTAGCCAGCTCAGCCGGGATTCCCATCCCTCCTCATCTACAATTCCAATAAAGCCATGCGGGATGGTCGCACCCACAGATCCGCTGCCTGACAGCCCCTGCGTGAAGACGCAGCTCCTCCCAACAGGGCAGAGACTTCTGGGAATCTCAGGCCAAGCCTTAGCAAATGTGACATGGCCGGGCACAGCAGCTCACATCTGCCACCCCAAGACTTTGGGAAGCCAACGCCAGAGGATGGCTTGAGTCCAGGAGTTCAAGACCAGCCTGGACAACACAGCAAGACCCCATTCTCTACAAAAAAAACACAGTAAACATTAGCTGTGTGTGGTGGTGATGCACGCCTGCACACGCCTGTAGTCCCAGCTACTCAGGAGGCTGAGGTAGGATTGCTCGAGCCCAGGAAGATGAGGCTGCAGTGAGCCAAGATCACGCCACTGCACTCCAGCCTGGGCAACACAGCAAGAGCCTAGCTCAAAAACAAAAAACAAAAACAGTGGCCCAGAGAGCACGTGTGGGGGGTCCTGCTGTGGCTGCATGTGGGACACGGAGGGCAGCTGGAGCCGGCCTGCTGGAGCATGTGCGGCCAGTGGACAGGCCACGCCACCTCGGCTGCTAACCGCAGACACGTGGGAACCAGGAGAGCGCAGCTGAGGCAGCCACAGAAACAGAAACAGTGCAGGGCTGCTGGCCTGAGCTGCTCAGTTTGGGGCTGGCTTGTTACTCGGCTGAAGCTGACTACCACGCAGCTGCTCTGTGCCACCCGCATCATGAGGTCTCTGCCCCGGACGGGCCATCACGGTCACAGAGCCTTGACCTCCTGCAAACCCGTATAGGGGTCCTGTGAGCAGCATTCCCTGGGGGGAAACAGGCCCAGAGAGTGGCTGAGACGCCCAGAGGGCACACAGTGGTCAGGGGTGGCTGGCCCTCATGGAATTGAGCCTCTCATAGGAAAGACAGGAAACTCAACGCCCCAGCGCCGGGGGAGGCAGCTGCCATGACGACCACACCCCCAGCTAGTGGCCAGGGTACCCTCACAGCACGATTTACATCCCCTCCTCCATCCAACTGACGGCTGCGGTCAGCATTCCTAAATGAGGGGGGACTTGAGGCAGGGAGAAGCTAAGCTGCTAAGTGGGGATGTGGGGCAGTGGGTGAAGAGCTGGGCATGGTAGGAACCGAAGCCTGGCATGGTGGGCACGTGGGGCGGTGCGTGAAGAGCTGGGCATGGCGGGGACCGAAGCCTGGCATGGTGGGCACGTGGGGCGGTGGGTGAAGAGCTGGGCATGGCGGGGACCGAAGCCTGGCACGGTGGGCACGTGGGGTGGTGGGTGAAGAGCTGGGCATGGCGGGGACCGAAGCCTGGCACGGTGGGCACGTGGGGCGGTGCGTGAAGAGCTGGGCATGGCGGGGACCAAAGCCTGGCATGGTGGGCACGTGGGGCGGTAGGGGGAGAGATGGGGGAGAGATGGGTGCGGTGGGGACTGTCCCAGTGACCCCCAGCTGCCAGGGATGTGAGACCTGAGAAAGGCTGTGGCATGTGTGTGAGACGTGGCTCTCGGGCGGGTAACAGCTGGGCCAGCAGGTGAGGACGGCTGCAGGAGACGAGGAGGAGTGTCGGAGCCCAGGACTGCCCAGTGGCTTGGCTGTGGGCAGATGGTAGACACAGACGTGCCCAGCGGGGGCACCGGGCAGTGAAGGTGCAGGTCTGTGCAGCCACACGGGGTGGCGCCAGGTGCTGCTGCAGGAGCCAGCGCAGCCCAAACTGCCTGGTGACTCACCACGAGGCCCAGGGGAAGGAATGAGGCCCAACAAGGCCCTGGGGACCGGGCGAAGGAACGAGCCCTGGGAGAAGGAATGGCAGCAGCCCTCTTCACCTGCCTGGTGACTCACTACAAGCCCTGGGGGAAGGAATGGCAGTGGCCCTCTTCACCTTTACTGCCTCTGCGGCCACAATGGGCAGTTGACATAACCACCTGCAGGCCCCGGGAGCCATCGGGGCCTCTTGACACGTGCTCATTAGTGGCTTCTGAGGAGCGCCTGCCCCACCTGCCCCACGTGCCCCCACGTCTGGCCACTCCAGGGTCCATTAGCGCTAATCGGCAAATGCCTGTGCTCTCATCTACCGGGAAAACATCTCCCTTCTCCAGAGCGGAGGCCAGCCTAAAAACCAGGCCCGCAGCCTCCGAGGCTCTGAAAACCAAGCGGCTGTTCTGGTCCCCGGTCATAGCAGGCGGGCGTCCCTGCTTCGCTCCAGCCCCAGGATTTTGTGCCGGAGGTGGGGATGACGGGCTTGGCTCCGTGGGTGCGGGGGGCCCATCGGGCGGATAGAGATGGGAATGGGGGCCCCAGAAGAGGCTGCTGGAGAGGTGGGGTGGGGTGGGGGGCGTGTTCTCAGCAGCCTCAGCTGACCCGCTGAGCCTTGGCTTCCTCTCCCTGAACCAGGTTCCGGAGGATTCCGTGCACCGCCCCTGCCCGGTCTGGCCTGTCCCCTGCTGCCCGACGGCCCCACCCACAGACCCACGCTCCACAGCCGCCCACACGCCTGCAGCCCCTCACGGTGTCCCCGCTGGCTGAGCAACGACACCTCTCAGCCTCGGCCTCGCACAGAATGGTGGCAGCCGCCGCAGCGGGCGTGGAAGGATGGAGGAGTCTATACGCCTAACACACTCAGAATGCTGGCAGGCGCGCGGTCACACCCGAGATCCTAGCACTACTGGAGATCGAGGCGAGACGATCGCTTAGGGCCGGGGTTCAGGACCACCCTGGGTGACACAGCAAGACCTGCCTCCAAAATAAAAACCAACCGCCCCCGAGGGCAGGCCCAGGGCCTCCGCAGCCGGCGGGAGACTCACCCACGGGGGAGATCTGCTGGAAGATGTTGTTCACGGGGAGTCCCTCCTTGCGCAGGGACCAGCACTCCACGATGCTGCTGGTCTGGCTGGACGCGCACAAAAGCACCTGCGGGGGAGGTGGGGGTGAGGGCTGACCCGGCACTGCTGTGGTGGCCACGCCACCACCGGAGCCTGAGCTGCGGGACCCTGGGGCCACGCACTGCTGGGCCTGTCTCTTCAGCCACGCCTGCCCCTCGGGCCCTCCTGGATTCCAGCCCAGGCCTGTCCCCAGAGCCCAACATCCACTCACAGGAACGCAAATGTCCCCGGATGGTGCCCTCCCACAGGGACAGCAAAGGGACACAGGGAACCAAGTCAGGGGCTTCAAGGAGTTTGGGGCGTTACTGATTCCTAATTACAACAGGAATCCAGGCGACCTGGTGTGGTCGGCTCAACAGTGGCCCCCAGAACATCCCATCCTCAGCCCTAGGACCGGTGGCTGGGCCGCCTCTCACAGAGAAGGGACCTGCGGGTGGGATTCGGTTCGGGACACTGAGACGGGAGAGCACGTTGGGGGGGGTCCGGGGGCCCCAGTGTCCTCACAGGGTCCTCAGGAGAGAATGTGGGAGGTTGAGATTCAGAGACAGGAAGAGGCTGCGCTGTGGCCACGAAGCGGGAGGAAGGCGCCCCGAACCGAGGGATTGGGCGCCTCCAGATGCTGGGAAAGGCAGAAAATGGGTTCTCCCCTGGAGCCCCCGGGAGGGACCGGCCCTGCCCACACCACGGTTTAGCCCGTGGAGGCCCGCGCGGGTCTCCACCCCCAGGACCCTGAGAAGCAGTGCTTCATTCCAAGCCTGCCAGCCCACGTGATGGCCTGCGCCCGTTCACCTGCTCCGACATGTCCCGGGCCAGGAACTTGAGGTGGGTGATGGCGGGAAACTTGTCCTTGCGGTTGAGGTCGGTGGTGCAGCGCATGAACAGGGAGGGCAGGATCTCCGTGTCGATACGGCACTTCTCGCTCACCACGCTCACGCACACCTTGTAGAACTGCACGGGCGACGCGCTGCTGCCGTCCGCCGTGGCCACCACGATGTTGCCGCCGCCGGTGAAGGCGATGTCGGCCAGGGCCACGCGGCCGCGCAGCCGGCACAGGCTCTCGGTGGACGTCAGCACCTGCCCGCTGGGCTTCAGCAGGGACACGGTGACCAGGCCGCTGACCGTCACCGCGATCCAGCCCTCCATGGGCTTGCCGCCGAACAGCGTGAGCGACGGTGAGAACTTGACTCGGGAGAACTTCTCCCCGAAGCTGGAGGCGCCCGACTGTGGAGAAGGGAGGGAGGGAGGAGGGGCCGCTCAGGCTCATGGGGGCTGCCCCATGACCCCCAGAAACACGCGCACAGAAGAACCACGCAGAAGCCAGGAGTGTGTGCACCTGGGTTCAGATCCTGACTCGGCCACCTGAGCCGTGTGGGATGTGATCCCCTCTGACCCTCCGTCTCCTCATCTGTAAGGTGGAAGGAACGGCACCTTTGCTTTAGAGGACAGTGGGGAGGATTAAACGGGTGAACGTGTGCGCAACGGGAGTCACCTCCCCTTTCTGTAAAGGGACAGACAGCAGCATGCTCGGTTCTGGGAGCCAGGTGGTCCCTGTTGCAACGACTTGGCTCTGGCTCTGCCGTGGCGGCACACAGGCAGCTGGTGCCAATGAGCCACACTCACAAACCCAGGCGGGGGCCGTCAGGCCCTGGGCCGCACTGTGCAGACCTGAGCTATAGCACTCAGGAAGTGCTGTGTAAGCACCAGCGGCTGCTGCGGGCACTATTTGATTTCAAATCAAATTTGTCAAGTCATTATTGACATACGGAAACATCCACCCTTCTTTCAACGTGAGTCTTTTAAAAGATGGGGTCTTGGCTGCGCACGGTGGCTCTCGCCTATAATCCCAGCACTTTGGGGGGCTGAGGCAGGTGGATCCCCTGAGGTCAGCAGTTCAAGACCAGCCTGGCCAACACAGTAAAAGCCTGTTGCTAATAAAAAATACAAAAAAATTAGCCGGGCATGGTAGCGGGTGCCTATAATCCCAGCTACTCAGGAGGCTGAGGCAGGAGAATTGCTGGAATCCAGGAGGTGGTGATTGCAGTGAGCCGAGATCACACCATTACACTCTGGCCTGGGCAACGAGAGCAAAACTTTGTCTCAAAAACAAAAAAAAAAAGAACAAGAAAAATGTCTCTACGTTGTGAAAAAATGCGAGGAAGAGAAGTGTATCATACGTATCGTACGGCTCCATTCTAAGTTACAAGTTAAAAAAAAACACTTCTTATAGCAAGAAGCAGGTCCAGAAGTCCAGGAAGCAAGCCAGGCCTGGTGGTGAGGGGTTGCCATGGCGACGACTCATCTGGTGTCCACACCACACGTCTGTGTGGGTCGCAGGCTGGCATGTCTGAGACTATGTTAAAGGAGCACATGTGCCTTTTATTAATGTAATTAAAAAACAAAAATTTGGCCGGACGCGGTGGCTCACGCCTGTAATCTCAGCACTTTGGGAGGCCGAGGCGGGCAGATCTCAAGGTCAGGAGTTCGACACCATCCTGGCCAAGATAGTGAAACCCCGTCTCTACTAAAAATACAAAAATTAGCCGGGCGCGGTGGTGCGTGCCTGTAATTCCAGCTACTCGGGAGGCTGAGGCAGGAGAATCACTTGAACCTGGGAGGTGGAAGTTTCAGTGAGCCGAGATCGCACCACTGCACTCCAGCCCGGTTGACAGAACAAGACTCTGTCTCAAAAAAAATGTATTTGGTTATTTTAAAAAGCGAGGCTCTGACTCAGGCCACAGCGGGGATGCACCTTGAGGACATCACGCTCAGTAAGAGATGCCAGACACAGAAGGCTACGCAGTGTGTGATCCTGTTTCTATGAATGTCCAGGACAGGCAGATCCAGAGAGACAACTGGGTCTCGGGGGCTGGGGTGGGGGATGGATCAGGGTGATGCAGGATGGGGACTGGGTTTCCTTTTCGGGTGATGAGAAGGGACTGAAGCTGGGCACAGTGACTCACGCCTGTCATCCCAGCACTTTGGGAGGCCAAGACAGGCAGATCACCTGAGGTTAGGAGTTCGAGACCACCCTGACCAACATGGAGAAACCCGGTCCCTACTAAAAATACAAAAAAGCAGCCGGGCGTGGTGGCGGGCGCCTGTAATCCCAGCTATTCAGGAGGCTGAGGCAGTAGAATCGCTTGAGCCCGGGAGGGAGAGGCTGCAGTGAGCCGAGATCGCGCCACTACACTCCAGCCTGGGCAACAGAGCAAGACCCTGTCTCAAAAAACAAACAAACAAACAAAAAAGATAAAGGTCTGGCCGGGCTCGTTGGCTCACACCTCTAATCCCAGCACTTTGGGAGGCTGAGGCAGACGGATCACCTGAGGTGAGAAGTTCGAGACCAGCCTGGCCAACATGGTGAAACCCCGTCTCTACTAAAAAATTACAAAAATTAGCCAGGTGTGGTGGTGGGTGCCTGTAATCCCAGCTACTCAGGAAGCTGAGGCAGGAGAATCGCTTGAACCCAGGAGGCAGAGGTTGCTGTGAGCCAAGATCGCATCACTGCACTCCAGCCTGGGGGATAGAGCGAGACTCTGTCTCCAAAAAAAAAAAAAAAAAAAGATAAAGGTCTGAGGTTAGCTATGGTGGTGGCCGCACAACATGGCGAGTGTATACGAAACCTCTGGACCGTGTGGGCTGCACACTCTCAATGGGTGAGTTCTAAGGTCTGTGAACTCCATCCCGACAAAACTGTTACCAAAAACAGGAAATACAGACAAACGGGGACCGCAGGGTGGGGAGTGCACCCCGGAGGGCCCCCGTGGCACGAAGCCGGTGCTGCGTGTACTGCGGCAATGCGCCGACAATGGCAGTCCCTGGGGAGGGACTCACGAAGGGACGAGAGAAAAGATCTTGTCCACTGCATCCCTCCAGGAAGGCCTCCTAGTTCCTGCGAGAGCCCCAGCACAAGCAGACGCACAGAGGCACGAAGCTGGGGTGGCTGTGAGGCCTTTGCCACGAACATCCCCGAGACCCTGCCGTCAGTGAGGAAACTGACACACAGAGGTGAGGAGTCAGAGCCTGAACCCAGGTGCCCCCCCAACCCTGGCCACGCCTACTCTTAACTGTCCCCCCCAACCCTGGCCACGCCTACTCTTAACTGTCCCCAACCCTGGCCACGCCTACTTCTTAACTGTCCCCAACCCTGGCCACGCCTACTCTTAACTGTCCCCCCCAACCCTGGCCACGCCTATCTTAACTGTCCCCCCCAACCCTGGCCACGCCTACTCTTACCTGTGGGGCCGAATCACAGGGAGCATAGAGAGGGGCTCTGGGATGTTACTAAATCAGAGGGTGGGCTGCATTCAGAAGACAGCAGCCACCAGTTATACATGCAGCTACCTAAGGACAGTAGCCTCCAGTGAAAGAGATAACTCACTAAGAACGGCCACCCTCAGTTAAATGAGGGGCCACTGAACACGCAGGTGCCAATGACAGCCAGACTGCAGGTGGGGGCCAAGTGAACAGCCACCCTCAGTTAAATGAGAGGCCACTGAACACACAGGTGCTAATGACAGCCGGACTGCAGGTGGGAGCCAAGTGCAAGGTCCAAAAAACCAGGGGATGCTGGTGATGGAGAGGAGAGGGGCTGGCGGGTGGCTGGGTAGGGTGACATCTCATCTGCCTCATCCGCTCACTCGGGCAGGACACTCACCTTCTCCACGTGCAGGGCCAGTTTCACACCATTGTGCAGCCAGGACAGGGCCACAATGGGGTCCCCCTCCACTAGGCTGCCCACTGAGCTCTCCCAGCTATTAGCCAGGTGGTCCGCCATGCTCCAGCACTTGATCTGCCCGTCGGCATCTGCTGACAGGAGCCGGGAGCCTGAGGGCAAGAAGCCATCATTGCGAACCTTCCAGGGATGGGCAGAGCACTGCGTTGCAGGACGGCACAGCGCCTGGGGGAAGCCAGCCCAGTGGAGAGGTCTCGGCCCAGGTAGGGCACAGCAGGTGGCACAAGGCGCACTCCAGAGATGCCCTGAGACACCCTGAACAAGAATGATTCGGGCCACTATGGAAAGAGCAGCAGGTGCAAAGCTGCAGACCAGGGGCTCTAGACCCAGCGCCGGACTCCAGACTGACCGGAGAAACACAGGGCCCCCCTGCTCCGGGATCCGGGTCGCCACCCCTGGCCACGTGGGACCAGCGCCTCACCTGACTGGTCCCACTCCAGGCAGGTGATGGCCTCGTGGTGCTCTGAGGGGATCGAGTGCAGGTCCCAGGGGTGCTCCGTGTCCAGGATGTGGATCATGCGGGTCAGGTCTGTGGGGACGGGGCATGGTCAGCACGGCCTGGCACCACAGCCTGCAGACGATGACGATGACTCCAGGCAGGCTCCAGGTAAGCCGGTGTGTGTCCCACCCCAGGAAGGTCACAGAACTGCTGTCAGCCGAGTCGACAGCTCAGGGAACAGGCTGTCCCCCCGCAGGAACAGAGCAGGCCTGTGAGGCGCCACAACTGTGTCTTTAAAACCAGATTAGAAGAAAATGACTCCGAAATGTGAACAGTGGGAGCCTCTCCACAGCAGATAATAGGTGGCTTTTTTGCACCCCGATTTGATTCCAATTTTCTGTGGTTTTCTAGTTTTCTCTAATGACCACGTATTATGAGTGCCTATTACTCAAACAATGGAGAGAAGACGGGCACAGCCACCACGCACCTTTCAAAAACCAGTGACACACACCGTCTAGAAAACTGGGGCACGTGTCTCCAACAAGCCTCCGTCAACCAACGCTCCAGCCCGATTCGATCCCGCACACGGGGCGATCTCATGTCTCCTGGCACCAGGTTTGGGGGGCACTGAATCCACCCTCTGTACCCCCAGGAGGCTGAGGCTCTCACACAAGTTACAGAGGAGGGCCAGGGTGAGTGAGAGGTGGCCTGAGAGACCGAGTCCCTTCAAGGCAGTGGGCCGGGCACCTGGGGAACAGGGCGGGACACCATGCGGCCGGGAGGGGAAGCAGGTGGGAGGGGGACGCACCCTGGTCATCGCTGCGCAGGTCCATGGTGAAGGCGATGAGATTTCGGCAGGACCAGGCGCAGGCCAGGGGCACCGATGGGCAGTGGGTGCTCTTGGACCATTTCTCCCACTCACAGACGTAGGCCAAGTCCATCATCCCACCTGCCGCTGGCCGCCGCAAATCACACATGAGGGCAGTCACCAGCTCCTGCGGGAGGGAGGTGTGGTGGGACGTCTATGTTGGCTGAGCACCCAGGGCATGTGGAGTGCCAGGCCAGAAGTGGGAAAACAATGGAGGCCCGTGGTAGAGGGAACAGCCGATGCAAAGGCCCGGAGGCCAGACAGAGCCTGGGGCTGGGGCCGAGGGGGAACATGGAGAGGTCAGGGCCAGTCCTGGGCCTGTGGGCTTCTACTCTCAGTAAGGTGGGAGCCCGGGAGGGCTGGGACCTATTTGGGTTTCACCAGGACCCCTCTGGCTGTCTAGGGAACAGACCATGGGGGCCAAGGGCACAGCCGGGAGACGCAGCGGAGGGTCTGCGCTGGCCCAGGTGAGTGATGATGGGGGCAGCAAGTGGACACTAGCTCTCTCCCGAAGGAAGAGCCCGCAGACAGGCAAGCGGTGGGGCGGCTCCCTGTAGCCGAGGCGGGGCTGAGTGACAGGGAACACCTGTGGCCGAGGCGGGGCTGAGTGACAGGGAACACCTGTGGCCGAGGCGGGGGCTGAGTGTGACGGGGAACACCTGTGGCCGAGGCGGGGCTGAGTGTGACGGGGAACACCTGTGGCCGAGGCGGGGCTGACTGACAGGGAACACCTGTGGCCGAGGCGGGGGCTGAGTGTGACGGGGAACACCTGTGGCCGAGGCGGGGCTGAGTGTGACGGGGAACACCTGTGGCCGAGGCGGGGCTGAGTGTGACGGGGAACACCTGTGGCCGAGGCGGGGGCTGAGTGTGACGGGGAACACCTGTGGCCGAGGCGGGGCTGAGTGTGATGGGGAACACCTGTGGCCGAGCCGGGGGCTGAGTGTGACGGGGAACACCTGTGGCCGAGGCGGGGCTGAGTGTGACGGGGAACACCTGTGGCCGAGGCGGGGCTGAGTGTGTTGGGGAACACCTGTGGCCGAGGCGGGGGCTGAGTGTCACAGGGAACAGAGGGGGCACCTCCTCGAGGCTTTCTAAGCGCCTGGCATCCAGACGGGCTGTTTCGCTTCGCAAAGGCAAAAGCCCAGGGAGCCTGGAATCACCCGCAACCAGGTTCTCCTCAAACCCTAACCCCGGCTCCCTACTTCTTCAGGGCCTGCCCCAGACCCCCAAGGCTCCGCCACAAGCCTCTAAAAGTCTTTCAGCCCCACCCCTGACCCCCTTTGCTTCCCACACTTCATTTCACCCCTTGAGCCCACGGCCTCACCCTAAATTCTCAGGCTTCACCGTAGGGGTCCCATGTACTCTCCAGGTCCAGCCTCCAACGCCCTTAGCTCTCCAGGCCCAACCCCTAAAACTCCCCAGTCCCCAGACTCCACCCCGGGGACCCCACGTACTCTCCAGGCCCTTCCCCTATTGCCCCCAAATACGAGGCTTCATCCCAGGGACCCCATAGCCTCTTCAGGCCCCGCCCCTATAACCCCCAATCTCCAGGGTCCATCCCAGGGACCCCCTACCCTCTCCAGACCCCTATAACTCCGCAGTCCCCAGTCTCCACCCTAGGGACCCTATTCCCTCTCCAGGCCCCGCACCGATAACCCCGCAGTCTCCAGGCCCTGCCTCTACAGCCCCCCAGTCCCCAGGCTCCACCCCGGCGACCCCAAACCCACTCCAGGCCCCGCCCCCGAAGTCCCACCAAGCGCCTTCAGCCTCGCCCCAAACTCTCCTTAGGCCCCGCCCCGAACCCAGCCCCGCGGGCCTCAGGCCTCCCCCAGGTTTCCGCCGCAAACCCTGAGCCCCGAGCCCCGCGCCCCGCGCCCCGCGCCCCGCGCCCCGCGCCCCGCGCCCCGCGCCCCGCGCCCCAGGCCGCCTACCCAGCAGCCTTTGCTCCCGGCCACGCCCCCGACCCCGCAGGCCCCGCCACGGCTGCGCCGCGTTCCCTCGGGTCCGTGGACACGGTCAGGGGTCCGTCCGCCCTCGCCGGGCCCCCGCAGCCCCGCACTCACCTGGTCGGCCCGTGCGCCAAGCTCAGCGGGCGTCCGCGGTGCGATCTTCCCTAGCGCCTCGGGTCTGGCGCCGCCATCTTCCTCGGTAACAACCAGTCGCCTGAGGCGTGGGGCCGCCTCCCAAAGACTTCTGGGAGGGCGGTGCGGCTCAGGCTCTGCCCCGCCTCCGGGGCTATTTGCATACGACCATTTCCAGTAATTCCCAGCAGCCACCGTAGCTATATTTGGTAGAACAACGAGCACTTTCTCAACTCCAGTCAATAACTACGTTAGTTGCATTACACATTGGGCTAATATAAATAGAGGTTAAATCTCTAGGTCATTTAAGAGAAGTCGGCCTATGTGTACAGACATTTGTTCCAGGGGCTTTAAATAGCTGGTGGTGGAACTCAATATTCGTGCTCGCTTCGGCAGCACATATACTAAAATTGGAACGATACAGAGAAGATTAGCATGGCCCCTGCGCAAGGATGACACGCAAATTCGTGAAGCGTTCCATATTTTTTTTTTTTTTTCCATTTTCCCTCCCAGAAACGGAATCTTGCTCTGTTGCCCAGGCTGGAATGCAATGGCGCGATCTTAGCTTGTTGCAACCTCCGCCTCCCGGGTTGAAGCGATTCTCCTGCCTCAGCCTCCCGAGTAGCTGGGATTATAAACATGCGCCACCACGCCCGGCTAATTTTTGTATTTTGGTAGAGACGGGGTTTCGCCATGTTGGCCAGGGTGGTCTCTATCTACTGACCTCCTGATCCGCCCGCCTCGGCCTCCCAGAGTACTGGGATTACAGGTGTGAGCCACCGCGCCCGGCCTTTCTTCCATTTTCTAATGTCCAAGAGTGGGGAAACTGTAAGCGAAGTCACCGACCCCGTTGAGTATTCCTACTTCCAACCCTATTCCCACCTCCTCCTCCAAAAGCCAGTTTAATGCAATGGATGTGGTGCTCTTCTATTTTTATTTTTATTTTTTTTGAGACAGGGTCTCGCTCTGTGGCCCAGGCTGGAGTGCAGTAGCGCGATCTCAGCTCACTGCAACCTCCGCCTTCCAGGCTCAAGCGATTCTCCTGCCTCAGCCTCCCGAGTAGCTGGGACTACAGGCGCGCACCACCATGCCCAACAAATTCTTGTATTTTTAGTAGAGACGGAGTTTCACCATGTTGGCCAGGATGGTCTCAGTCTCTTGACCTGGTGATCTGCCTGCCTCAGCCTCCCAAAGTGCTGGGATTACAGGCGTGAGCCACCGCGCCCAGCCTGTTTTTTCAAAATTTTAATAGCGATGGGGTCTCACTATGTTGCCCAGGCTGATTTCAAACTCCAGGCCTCAAGCCCTCCTTCCACCCCGGCCTCCCAAAGTGCTGGGATTATAGGCGTGAGCCACCGCGGCCTCACTGCATGATTTTTGCAAGAATTCTGCAAATATAAAACTGTTCTAAAATTACAGGTTAACAATGGCCCAAATATCAGAGTGTTTTTTCTGGATCAGGGTTCAGTTCTCCAAGAGGGCCACGCAGTGACCTTACAGAAAATCCCCATTCCCAGGCAGCAGGTAGGGATTTAACGTTCTTAGCGGCCCGGGTGTGGTGGCACACACCTGTAATCCCAGTACTTTGGGAGGCCAAGGTCTGAGGACAGCTTGAGTTTGAGACCAGCCTGGGAAACATAGCCAGACCCCGTCTCTACAAAAAAAAATTAAAAATTAGCAGGGTTGGGGAGGGAGGGGCGCTGGGCAAGGTGGTTCAGGCCTGTAATCCCTGAACTTTGGGAGGCTGAGGCACGCAGATCACCTGAGAACAGGAGTTCGAGACTAGCCTGGCCAACATGTTGAAACCACATCTCTACTAAAAATACAAAAATATTAGCTGGGCATGGTGACACATGCCTGTAGTCCTAGCTACTCTAGAGGTTGAGGCAGGAGAATCACTTGAACCCAAGAGGTGGAGGTTGCAGTGAGCTGAGATCGCGCCACTGCACTCCAGCCTGGGGGACAGAGCAAGACTCTGTCTCAAAATAAATAAATAAATAAATAAAATAGCTGGGTGGGGTGATGCACACCTGTAGGCCCAGTTACTCAGGAGGCAAAAGTGGGAGGATCACTTCAGTCTGGGAGGTCAAGGCTGCAGTGAGCTGGGATTGTACCTCTGCACTCCAGCCAGGGCAACAGAGCCAGACCCTGTCTAAAAAAAAAAAAAAAAAAAAAAGAGAGGTTGAATTCCTAACTCCCACTACCTCAGAATGTGACCTTATTTAGAAACAGGGTCTTTGCAGAGGTAATCAGGTTAAAAGGAGGTGATTAGCATGGGCCTAACCTAATGACGGGCATCATAGAGATGGATATTTGGGCACAGACACGTGAGGAGAGGACGATGTCAAGACAAGACATAACACACAGGGAAAACGGCCACTTGGAGATGAGACCACAGCAATGTGGCCACAAGCCATGGACACACGAAGTCCCCAGAAACCGGGAAAGGCAGGAAGGCTCCTCCCCTAGAGACGCTGGAGGGAGCACTGCCCTGCAGACACCATGACCTCATTCTTCTACCTCCAGCATTGTGAGAGGATAGATTTCCCTTTTGCTTCTCTTTGACCTAGGGTCTTCCTCCATACCCAGGCTGAAGTGCAGTGGCACGGTCTCAGCTCACTGCAGGCTCAAGTGATCCTCCCACCTCAGCCTCCCAAGTAGCTGGGACTACAGGCGCACACCACACCCTGCTAATTTTTGTGTGTGTGACAGAGTTTTGCTCTTGTTGCCCAGGCTGGAGTGCAAAGGTGCGATCTCAGCTCACTGCAGCCTCTACCACCTGGGTTCAAGCAATTCTCCTGCCTCAGCCTCCTGAGTAGCTGGCATTACAGGCATGCACCACCACACTCGGTTAATTTTGTATTTTTAGTAGAGATGGGGTTTCTCCATGTTGGTCAGGCTGGTCTTGAACTCCTGACCTTGTGATCCACCCGCTTTGGCATCCCCAAAGTGCTGGGATTACAGGTGTGAGCAGCCACCATGCCCAGCCAACCCTGCTAATTTCTCTCATGTTTTGTAGAGACAAGGTCTTGCTATGTTGCCCTGGTTGGTTTCAAACTCCTGGGCTCAAGCGATCCTCCTGCCTTGGCCTCCCAAGGTGCTGGGATCACAGGCATGAGCTACTGCACTGGCCTTCTGTCGTTTCAAGCCCCCTGTGTGAGACCCTCCATTACAGGGGCCCCAAGGCACTCGTACAAGCCACTCACTCAAGGTCTACAGGGGCCCCAAGGCACTCCTACAAGCTCCTCACCCAAGGTCACACGGCAGGCATGTGGCAGAGCCAGGGTTTGAATCCAGGCAACCAAGGGCAGAGGAGCCAGGGGGGCACCTGCAGCCCTTGGTGGCCAGGACCTACTAAGCCCCCGGCCCTGCCCCGAAGAAAAACACACATAGCCCGAGGCCAGAGCACCAGAAATTTATTAAATTCCCCACTTTCCCCCAAAACACAATTACCCACACGCAGCAAGGGGGTGCGGAGGCCCCCCAGCCTGGCTCCTGCAGCCTGGGCCAGGAGGACCAGCATGGGGACACAGGAGCTATCAGGCAGGAGTCAGGCTGGGGGACGAGGGGACACGGGATGGGGTGACAGACAAGGTAGTGCAAGGGCAGAGGCTTCTGGCTGGAAGTCCTGGACCCCCAGCATAAAGGAGGGGAGGAAAGGAAGGGGGCTCATATAAAGCAGGAGACCCTGAGCCCCGACACAGGTGGCGTGGGGGAGGACACGCAGAATGACGAGGATAAAACCGGCTCTTAGGACCGTGGCTTCTGTCCTGGGTCTCAGGGCACACGCGCGCACACATATACAACACAAGATGCTTCTGGCATGAGGGGCAGGGTCCCAGAGACCCCACCCTCATTCAAGCTAAAAACTGGGAGGGGCTGAGCAGGGGCTGGGACCAAGACCCATGTTTTACCAGTGGGGCGAGTTTTTTTGGTTTTTCTCTCCAAAAGGGAAATTTAAAAATCTACAACAAATCACACCAAATTCATTAAAAGTGATAAAAACCCAGCCTCCCCCTCCTCACTTGAGCTTCAGACCGGGCCAGAAAAGCTCAACGATGAAGAAACAGGAACATGCCCAGGTCAGGTCTCCCCACCCAAACACAAGTCCCGGAGTGGGAAGCTTGGAGCTGGGATGGCATGGGCAGCCCCAGCCGCCAGCGTCTGTTGACTGCCAAGAGCTGCGTGAGGAGGGGGCAGAGTGAGAGAGACCACCCCAAGCGAAAAAGGTTTCCGAGGACAAATTCTAAAAATATGAAAGATATTTTAGCCGAAGGTATCGGAGGGCTTGATGGCTGGGCGAGGTGGCAGCGGGGTCTCCGCGGGGCCGCCATCAGCTGTGCTGCTCCAGGTAGGCGGACAGGAGCAGCCCCGGCGGCAGGAAATCCAGGTGCCGATTACTGACCTTCATCTGCCGCTTCCCCTCCAGGTCAGCACCTGCAGACGGGACCAGCGGGGCAAGAACGGGAGGAATTTGGGAGCCGCGGCAGGTAGAGGTGCCTCGGACCTGCACCACCCTCGCTTCTTCCCAGGGAGGTCACCGCCAGCTGGTGTGTGCTGGTCACTGCGGCCTGGCTGGCCCTAAGCCCGCAGGTCCGGGAGCCTGGCTCACAAGAATACCTAAGGCTCCCTACAGGAGCACTCTCCTCGGGCCCATCTCACTCCCCGCTGGCACTCATTCCACTGTGCGGATGGGGACCCTGAAACGCACTGGGCCTGAGGCCGCATGGCCACTCACACGCCTGCCTGGCGGAGTGTCCGGCCTCCCCTCAGGCTCCCTGCCCTGCAGAGGTGGCTCTGAGGCACCCAGGTCCTGAGTGGTCCAGCTCCCACCGGCCTCCCCTTCCCCATCTCCCCCTCACTGCAGAAAAATGAATGACCTGGCCAGGCGCAGTGGCTCATGCCTGTAATCCCAGCACTCTGGGAGGCCAAGGCAGGAGGATCATCTGAGGTCAGGAGGTCGAGACCAGCCTGACCAACATGGTGAAACCCTGTCTCTAGGGCTGGGCGCGGTGGCTTAAGCCTGTAATGCCAGCACTTTGGGAGGCTGAGGCAAGCGGATCACGAGGTCAGGTTGAGACCATCCTGGCTAACACAGTGAAACCCTGTCTCTACTAAAAAAAAAAATATATATATATATATATACAAAAAATTAGCAGGGCGTGGTGGCGGGCACCTGTAGTCCCAGCTACTCGGGAGGCTGAGGCAGGAGAATGGCGTGAACCCGGGAGGTGGAGCTTGCAGTGAGCTGAGATCGCGCCACTGCACTCCAGCATGGGTGACAGAGCGAGACTTGGTCTCAAAAAAAAAAAAAAAAAAGAAACCCGTCTCTACTAAAAATACAAAATTAGCCGGGCGTGCTGGCCGGCACCTGGGATCCCAGCTACTCGGGAGGCTGAGGCAGGAGAATCGCTTGAACCCGGAGGTGGAGGTTGCAGTGAGTAAAGATTACGCCACTGCACTCCAGCCTGGGTGGCAGAATGAGACTGTCTCAAAAAAACCAAACCTAACCAACCAAAACAAAAAAAAAGAGCCACGTCCCATGTGAGCTCCGCGCCTCAGCAGTCCCCTCTGCCTGGGACCCCCCCGTCCTCTACTCCCCATCTTGCTGGGACCCCTCCTCTTCCGTGTCAGGACCACAGCTCCACACCCACCAAGCTCCAAGCCCCGCACCCCCAGCCAAGGCCGGATGTTCTGAGCAGAGGCAGGCATGGGGGCTGCGTCTCCCACAGAGGGAACAGAGGGAGGCATCGTCCGGTTGCCATGGAAACTGTCACCTCGGCAACTCCAGGCGGGGCGGCAGAGACAGGTGTGAGAGGCTCAGGACCAGATGGGGTGCCTGGGGCCGGCGGCGCCTGCACAGACGTTCACTACGGGGGTGAGTTCTGAGACTGCGCCCCGTTGGAAAAGTGGAGCGCAGGGGCCAGTAGGGGGTCTCGCCTGAGGTCCCACGTGTGGTATGTGGGAGGCCTTAGAGTTAAATGCAAACCTTCCAGACACTGCGTCCCCCCATCTTATCTCTGGCTCTGGGAGGTCCCTCAAATCCAGGCTTCATCACCCCCACCCCGGGCCCCGAAGATGCAGATGGAGGAGTGTCTGTGTCCAGCAGCCTGGTTGTGTCTGCGGTCACCCTGCGTGGGGCCGCATATGCAGGGAGCTTCTGGTGAATTCAAGGCAGGGTCCCACTGCCACCCCTGAGTTCGTAGCGTCCCCACTCCAGCCCCCTTCCCCACCTCCCCACCAAGCCCCACTCTGAGGAACCAGGCCCCTGGGACCCTGGCCACTTTCCCAGGTTGAGCTGGCCAACTTGGGGTCTTGGGGGCCACCGGCACTTACTGGCCGAGATGAGGTCCATGTACTGGCAGACAGCGTGCAGCAGAAGCCTCTCGAAGCTGTGGGGAACGGGCAGTGAGCGCCGTGCAGGGGCTGCAGCGTGGGGTGTCCGCCCACCTGGCCGCAGCCTCGGAGGGTCCGCTCGCCTGGCCGCCCCCCCTTACCTGTTGTCTAGCATTGCTGTGTACACGGCCTGGGGGGACACGGAGAAGAACCGAAGCAGCCGCTCCTCCCAGGTCTCCAGCGTTTCCTGGGGAGAGCGGCCCGGTGGTCAGGGAACTGCGGGACCTGTGGGTGGGGGGCCAGGGAGGTCCAGGGCCCCCAGGAGCCCACAGCGCTGGGCTCAAACATGACCTCTGACCCACCACGTGAGGCTGCTTAAGTGTCTCTGAGGCCACCATGCCACCTCCTGCCTGTGCCTTCCGTGGAGGAAACTCCTACACACCCTGCAGTGCCCGCCTTCGTTGCCCCCGCCCTCCTACTCAGGGCCCTGGTGCCGCTGTCTGTATCCTGCCCTGTTTCCCCTGACACGACCTGCACCGGGTGAGAACCTGTGCCTGGGAAACGGGCCTTCAAAAAAGACCAGGCAGGTAGAAAAGGGAGGCCCGGCAATCCCCCACTCACCATGGGGATGCGGCTGCGCTTGAGGACGGCTCGCAGACGCCGGCTGATGCGCTGGAAGCACTCGCGGGGTGTATAGGCGGGGTCCTCTGCAGGAGTGGGGGAACAAGGGGCAGTCTTGGGGTGCTCGTCCTGGCCCTGCCCACCTGCCAGACCACGCCCACCCAGGGAAGACCACGCCCATCTGTGCCTTGGCCTCTCCTGCCCACCAAACCACACCTTCAACGATACTGTGGCCCCATCCAGCCAGCAGACCCTACCCCCACGAGGCCCTGACCCCAACCCATCCAGCTGACCCTACCCTCACCTGTATGTTCACCCCAGCTAGACATGAGGCCCCACCCACTCCAGGCCCACACAAGCCAGCTAGCCCCACCCCTACCCACTGCCATCCAGATCCTGCCCCCACATGCTGGCCACATCCACTCCATGTCCCGCCCCATCCATATCCTACCTACCCCATCCTGGCCCCACACACCCCATTGCCCTGTCCCCATCCATACCCTGGCCTCACCCACACACTAGGTCCAACCCACTCCAGGTCCCGCCCACACCCCATCCATATCCTGCCCCCCATCGCGGCCCCACCCACCCCAGGCCTCGCCCCCATCCCCCATCCATACCTGGGCCCAACATACTAGGTCCAACCCACTCCAGGTCCCGCCCACACCCCATCCATATCCTGCCCCCCCATCCCGGCCCCACCCACCCCAGGCCACGCCCCCATCCATACCCTGGCCCCACCCATACCCGCCCCAGCCAGGCCCGCACCTCTCCTCCGGTCCTCCCCACGGCCAGGGCCCCTCCTCCGCGCCTTGCTCCTGCCCTCATCCTCCAGGTAGCGAAGAACCCGCTCCTGCTCCTCCCCGGAGCGGTTCATGAAATCGTTCCAGACCTGGAAGAGAGGCAGGGAGGCAGGCTTGCCATGAAACACTGGGGCTGCGCTGACATCCCCGGGCAAATGGGCACGGTAAGGCCGCCAAGCACGTGGACGCGCTCCTGCGGTCACCTCTGTCCACTGAGGGGCCGCTGCTTGTGTCGGGCCCTGAGCTGAGCGCAGGGAAGCGGGGAACCGGGGTGGGCCCAGCTGTCTCGGGGTGGGGGGGATTGAGGTGAAACACTCCTGCAATCGTTGGAGGGTTCCCAAACGTGTTGGGCAGGTGAATCCAGGAGCTCGAAGGTTCCAGGGGTGGGGTGGGGATTCTGGCCTGGTCTGGGGACCCCGAAGGAGACTGAGGGGCCTTCATTAGGAGATCAGAAGTGGGCGGGTGCTTCTGGCGGGGGACGGGCACAGGCGATGGCCTGGCCGTAGGAGAACTGCCGGGGTCCCCGTGTGGAGGGAGTGAGGGGGTTGGGGGCCACACCTCCACATAGGTGGCGTTGTTGCAGGCCTCGGCAAAGATGCCTGGTGATGCAGGGGGTGCCAAGTCCCCATCCTCCAGGCCAGGCAGGCCCCCGTCTGTCTCCAGCAGGGTCAGGAGGTACTGGGCTAGGTGGAAACAGATGCTCTCTGGGCCGGGGTGGCATTTGGGGACCCCCAGGCACCATGGGGACCCAAGAACTAGCCTTCCTCCTTTTTTATCATCTCAACCTCCGCACCTCCATGCTCCAACTGTCTTCCCCAGAAGGTACAGAGACCACCTAGACCCCAGGTTCTGGATTGTCGAACTCCTATATATCCTTTAAAGCCCCAGCTCCAATGCCCGGGGCGCCCTCCCACCCAGCCCTGATCCAAGAGTCCAGGGGGCGCCTGTGTCTGGCTCTATTTATATGGTCCCCCGGCCTACAGCTGACACCTCTTTGGGTCCCCAGCCCCACCCAGGCACAGCTCATGGGAGGGGTAACAGATAACACCAATATGCATGCCATTCTACAAGGCCCAGGAGCCCCCAGGAGGCGCCTCCCGACCCCTGCTCACTGTTCTCCAGGCGCTGGAGGCTCTTCCGCCCCTTGGCCTTGGGCACGAGGTCTGAGTTCCGCACTGCCTGGTTGATGAAGTGCTGTTTCCGCCTGGAAGCCGAGAGTCTCTTCACCTGGGAGCTGGCTAGGGCAGGCAGGCAGCTGGGAAGGGGCCTGTGGGCCGGGGCAGGGGTGGTCCTCAGGGTCAAGGCCGGCCAGGATCTCCGAGAAGGGCCCTACCACAGCCATGGCCCGCTTGGTTTCCCCCAGCAATGGAGAGCTCACCCCTACGGTGTGTGAAGTCCTGGGCCCTTAAAATCCTATTTTGTTTCATCCTCACATCACAGGAAGCAGATACAATTGTGAAGACGGGCTGGGTGTGGTGGCTCATGCCGGTGATCCCAGCATTGTGGGAGGCTGAGGCCGGTGGATCACTTGAGCTCAGGGGTTCAAGACCAGCCTGAGCAACATAGCAAGACTATGAAAAAAAAAAAAGACTTATTTTTTTGTCTCTACAAAAAAAAATAATAATTAAAAAATTAACCGGTGTGCTGGTACATGCCTGTAGTCCCAGCTACTCAGGGGCCTGAGGCAGGAGGATCACTTAAGTCCAGGAGGTCGAGGTTGGCATGATGGCACCACTGCACTCCAGCCTGGGCAACAGAGCAAGACTGTGTCCAAAAAAAATAAAAAAAATTAGGTCAGGCACATTGATTCATGCCTGTAATCCCAGCACGTTGGGAGGCCAAGGTGGGTGGATCACTTGAGGTCAGGGGTTGAAGACCAGCCTGGCCAACAGGGTGAAACCCTGTCTCTACCAAAAAAAATACAAAAATTAATCAGGCGTGGTGGCGTGCGCCTGTAATCTCAGCTTACTCAGGAGGCTGAAGTGAGAGAATCGCTTGAACCCGGGAGGCAGATGCTCCAGTGAGCTGAGATTGTGCCACCGCACTCCAGCCTGGGCGACGGAGTGAGACCTTGTCTCAAAAAAAAACAAAAAACTGTGATGATAGATTAGTAAACCGAGGCTCAGAGAAGTGAAGACACTTGCCCAAAGTCACACAGCAGGTGAATGACCAAGAAAAGCTGCCGCCCACCCCCAACCCCAGTGTTCAAGGTGTTAGCTGTAAGCCAGCAAGGCCCACAGCCTTTGGGACGTGAACAGCTTCCTTCAGAAATGGAGAGTCAAGAAACTTGATTTTATCCACATCCCCCACTCCCAGCAGCAGAGGAGCCAGAAAACAGCCCCAGAAGCTCAAGGTGATGCCTCAGCCCCCCCCGCAAACCCCCCCCTTAATGTCCCCTGTCCCCAGGGCCAGGAGGAGAGTGCGGCTGCAGCGGCCCCCCTCCAGAGCTAATCGGCCTGGCCGGAGCAAATGGCATTAATTGTGGAGATGGATTAGCTGTCACAGCTGGGCCTCCCACCGAGAATCCAAGGGCCGAGCCACTCAGTGTGGGGGGAATAGGCAGCCGCCTGGGAAGCGGGTGGTTGGACAGGGTGGGGGTAAGCGCGCACCGCAGCCACCGGGCACCCGGGAAGCGGGCGGCGTTTGGGGGGAGGTAGGCGCGCACCGCAGCCACCCGGCACCTGGGAAGCGGGCCGGTGAGGGGGGGCCTCATGGATGGGGACTTTTCTGGCAAGGAAAAACCACACAAACTGGGCGTGGGAGCTCATGTAATCCCAGCACTTTGGGAGCCCAAGGTGGGTGGATCCCTTGAGCCTGGGGAGTTTGAGGCTGCGGTGAGCTGTGACTGCAATACCGCGCGCTCCAGCCTGGACAACAAGAGCAAGACCGTGTCTCAAAACAAACAGGACGGGCGCGGTGGCTCACGCCTGTCATCCCAGCACTTTGGGAGGCCGAGGCGGGCGGATCATGAGGTCAGGAGATTGAGACCATCCCGGCTAACACGGTGAAACCCCGTCTCCACTAAAAATACAAAAAAATTAGCCGGGCGTGGTGGTGGGCACCTGTAATCCCAGCTACTCGGGAGGCTGAGGCAGGAGAATGGTGTGAACCGGGGAGGCAGAGCTTGCAGTGAGCCGAGATCGTGCCACTGCGCTCCAGCCTGGACGACAGAGCGAGACTCTGTCTCAAAAGCCAAACAAACAAAAAACCGTAATGCTAGCTCCACTGGGCTCACAAACCCCCACACCACAGGGCTGACCATGGCCTCCAGGGTCTGGGGGTACCAGGATCGGCTCCACCCTTATCTCCTAACTCCACCCCACCTGAAACACATTCTGCTCCAACCCCACAGTGGCACCTCCTGGCCGCTGCTGCTTCCAAGACACGATTTCCCGTCCCGCCTCGGACCTTCGCACAGGCGGCTCGGGTTTGCTGGCTGGCTGTAACCCCCACCGCCGGCACTCACAGCCAAGCCTCGTTCACAGGAGACGCTCAGAAAAATAACCACCAAATCAATCCTCAATAAAAATTCTGTGATTCCAAGAGAGCCCACAGTCGAAAATCCCTAATAGCATCCAGAGTTCCCAACACAAAAATTAAAAGCAACCCACTCCACCCCTGCAACCCCCAAAAGACTGGAAAACGCTAGGAAACTCTAGGCCAGTTGAGACAAGATTCACTCGAGGCAAGCTGGGCGCGGTGGCTCATGCCTGTAATCCCAGAGCTTTGGGAAGGTGAGGAGGAAGGACAGCTTGAGGCCAGGAGTTCAAGATCAGCCTGGGCAACATCACGGTCCCCGCTGCTCAGGAGGCTGAGGAGGGAGGATCACTTGAGCCCAGAAGGTGGAGGCTGCAGTGAGATGAGATCGTACCACTGCACTCCAGCCTGGGTGACAGACCAAGACTCTGTCTTAAAAAAGAAAAAAAAAATGCAGTCAAGGGGGTCAGAAATGAGGGCAATGCTCTCCAGGGTCCACACACATGTAAAGAGTCCTCAAGCCTTAAGTCTGTGCACTTTACAGACCAGCTGTTACATCTCAATCAAAAGTAAACAAGCTGATTGGCCGGGCGTGGTGGCTCACACCTGTGTTCCCAGCACTTTGGGAGGCCAAGGTAGGTGGATCACTTGAGGTCAGGAGTTCAAGACCACCCTGGCCAACATGGTGAAACCCCGTCTCTACTAAAAATACAAAAAATAAGCCGGGCGTGGTGGCATGCACCTGTAATTCCAGTTACACAGGAGGCTGAGGCAGGAGAATTGCTTGAACCTGGGAAGCAGAGGTTGCAGTGAGCCAAGATTGTGCCACTGCACTCCAGCCTGGTGAACAGAGCGAGACTTGGCCTCAAAAAAAAAAAGTACGCTGGGCGCAGTGGCTTATGCCTGTAATCCCAACACTTTGGGAAGCTGAGGATCTCCTGAGGTCGGGAGTTCGAGACCATCCTGACCAACATGGAGACACCCCCATGTTTAGTCTCTACTAAAAATACAAAAATTAGCCAGGCATGGTGACGCATGCCTGTAATCCCAGCTATTTGAGAGGCTGAGGCAGGAGAATTGCTTGAACCCAGGAGACGGAGGTTGCGGTGAGCCAAGATCATGCCGTTGCACTCCAGCCTGGGCAACAAGAGTGAAACTCTGTCTCAAAAAAAAAAAAAAAAACAAAACAAAACAATTAGCCAGGCATGGTGGCATGCACCTGTAATCCTAGCTACTCGGGAGGCTGAGGCAGGAGAATCACTTGAACCTGGGAGGTGGAGGTTGCAGTGAGCCAAGATCGCGCCACTGCACTCCAGCCTGGGCGACAGAGCAAGACTCTGTCTCAAAAAAAAAAAAAAAAAAGTAAGCAAGGTGAGGAGACCCAGGGCTGCCTGAAGCAGGAAGGGGACGGGCAGATAAACAGCACAGTCTCCACAGACTGCGGCAAAAATCTATGAAAAGTCATCAGAACAAAAATCTCACATATGCACAAGCACCCACCAATAGGGACCTGCAGGCAGAGGCACGGGTCAAGCTTCCACCCTGGACCAGGTGCTCAGAACTCAATGGCCCAGGCAAGCCTGGCAACTCCGAAACTGCCTCCTCGCCAGGCTGCGGCGTTAGCAGGGCAGGTCCTGGAATCTCAGCCCAGGGTGTGAACCCCAGCTACGAAGCTTCACCCTGAAACCCCCTTTTTTTTTTTGAGACAGAGTCTCACTCTGTCACCCAGGCTGGAGCGCAGTGGTGCGATCTCCGCTCACTGCAACCTCTGCCTCCCAGGTTCAAGTGATTCTCCTGCCTCAGCCTCCGGAGTAGCTGGGTATACAGGCGCCCGCCACCACGCCTGGCTAATTTTTTATTTATTTTTAGTAGAGATGGGATTTTTTTTTTTTTTTTTGAGACAGAGTCTCGCTCTGTCGCCCAGGCTGGAGTTCACTGGCTCGATCTCAGCTCACTGCAAGCTCTGCCTCCCGGGTTCACGCCATTCTCCTGCCTCAGCCTCCCGAGTAGCTGGGACTACAGGTGCCCGCCACCACGCCTGGCTAATTTTTTGTATTTTTAGTAGAGATGGGGTTTACCGTGTCAGCCAGAATGGTCTGGATCTCCTGACCTCGTGATCCGCTCACCTTGGCCTCCCAAAGTGCTGGGATTACGGGCATGAGCCACCGCGCCCGGCTCACCCTGCAACCTTTAACCTCAGCCCCCTCTCAAAAAGTGGGAACAAGTTGGTTTGGGAGGGGTACTCAGAGCCAAAAGGGCCTGGGATGAATTCCCCTCATCTCAGCTGCCACTTGCTTGTTTTCCTCCTATGATGGGGAACTCACCCCTCAGCCATGCCACACTGCTTTTGATCGTAAGTGTCGCTGGACTGAGTATTTTCCCCACATTGGGCTCATTTCCTGTCACCTGTGCTGTCCCCGGGGAGGCAAGTTCTATTACTTTGATGCCCATTATACAGATTTGGGGTTTTTTTGTTTTGTTTTGTTTTGTTTTGAGATGGAGTCTCACTCTGTTGCCCAGGCTGCAGTGCAGTTGTGCCATCTCTGCTCACTGCAACCTCCACCTCCCTGGCTCAACCGAGTCTCCTGCCTCAGCCTCCCGAGTAGCTGGGATTATAGGCGCCCACCACCACGCCTGGTTAATTTTTGTATTTTCAGTAGAGACGGGGTTTCACCATGTTGGCAGGCTGGTCTTGAACTCCTGACCTTAAGTGATCCGCCTGCCTCAGCCTCCCAAAGTGCTGGGATTACAGGCATGAGCTACCACGCCCGGCCCTCATTATACAGATTTGTAAACCAAGGCACAAAGTCACCGCCCAAGCTCCCATTGCTGCAAAGAGGGCAGCTGGAGAAGGAGGTGGTGGACCATGCCCTCAGCACAGAGCACAGCAGCCGACGGGTACTCAGTGGGAATACAGGGTCATGTTAAGCCAGCGTCTCTGAAGCTGGATCAGCCTGAAGCTGCCTCCCTGAGGCCGGAGCACTCTGTCCCATGCCCCAGATTCACCCACAGCCCCCCCTGAGGCCCCGGGGCCTACTTCTCCACCCCAGCAGCTGGACAGGGCCGATAACAGAAGTGACATCCGAGGGGAGCCCTCGGGGAAGTCAGAGGGGGCGGGGCTCGGTGACACAGCTCAAGCCCTCCCAGCAAGGGGCCTGGTATCACCCCATATTACAGATGAAGGATCTGAGGCTTGGAGAGGTGGGGCTGTCCCCCGTCACCACCCAGACAATGCAAGGAGCTGGATGTGAACCTGGGTCTGACCCAGAACCCCAGAGCTACCCTGCTTCCCTCACCACCCCTCATACCAAAGCCCCACAGGCCTCTCCTCCAGGCCCACAAGGACCTGCCTGGTCCTTCCCCTGCTCCAGCACAGCCCATGGCTCCCCAGCATCCCAGGGCCAGGCCTGGCTCCCCCTTGGCCTAGCACTGCAACACGAGGGCTTTCGCCTGTTTTGTTTGGTATCTGAGGGCTCGCCACCCTCCCCTGGGTCTCTAGTGCTGAGCTGAGCACTGGAAATCGAGTCCCACCATCAGATGGAGCTGGCTGACTTCAACCAGTTTCCAGCAGGAAATTAAGAAACATCTTCAAGCTTGTCATCCCAGCACTTTGGGAGGCCGAGGCGGGCGGATCATGAGGTCAAGAGATGGAGACCATCCTGGCCAACATGGTAAAACCCTGTCTCTACAAAAATACAAAAATTAGCCAGGAGTGGTGGCGCACGCCTGTAGTCCCAGCTACTTGGGAGGCTGAGGCAGGAGAATCGCTTGGACCTGGGAAGTGGAGGTTGCAGTGAGCTGAGATCGCACCACTGCACTCCAGCCTGAGTGACACAGCAAGACTCTGTCTCCCAAAAAAACAAAAACAAAAACAAAAACAAAAAAACATCTGGCCTCTGGGGTAGACAGGGGGGCCTGGGAGTCACCGACACTCCTCTCCAGAAATGGAAGGAACAGGAAGACCACATCAAAATCCCCATGCCTGGCCGGGCGCAGTGGTTCACACTTCTAATCCCAGCACTTTGGGAGGCTGAGGCAGGTGGATCACTTGAGGCCAAGAGTTCGAGACCAGCCTGGCCAACATGGTGAAACTCCCGTCTCTACTAAAAATACAAAAAAATTATCTGGGCATAGTGGTGGGCGCCTGTGGTCCCAGCTACTCAGGAGGCTGAGGCAGGAGAATCACTTGAACCTGGGAGATGAAGTCTGCAGTGAGCCGAGATCACAACACTGCACTCCAGGCTGGGTGACAGAATGAGACTGTCTCAAAAAAAATAAAAATAAAATAAAAAATAAAAAAATCCCACGTCCAGCCACAGGCCCCTCCTCACAGTGCTCCAAACTCAGGGAGCCCCGGTCTCTGCCTGATGCACCTGCTCATTCCAGCCTCAGCTCTGTGTTCACCACCCCCAGGAACGGCCCCGCCCCCCACCTAGCCCAGTCAGCCTTACCAGGAAGCTCTGGAAACCAACCGGCCCCAGCCGGCCCGTTTACTTCTTTGCTCCTTAATCACTAGCTCACTAGGCCCACAGAACAAGACAGGGTCCGCCCCCCGCCCACCGCCGCCCCCCGGTCCTGGCCTGTGACCGGCCCACAGCGGCGCTCACTGCCTGTTTGTTGAATGAAGAACTAAACTTCTGTTGACACACCTCCCAAGGGCTGGTTCATCTGTTTCCCACGCCACTCAACAAGACCACTTTACAGACGAGGAAACTGAGGACCCAGCGGGGGTATCTGAGGCTTCCTGGACCCTGAAGGCTCGAGGATGTGTGTCCACAGAAGAGGGGGGCAGCCCAAGCTGGGGAGCTGCTGGAGTTTGGGGGAACAGGCCTCCCGGCCACTCCCAATTCTACTCCTTGCAGATTTTGAGAGGGGAACTGTGAACCCTCAGTCCCTCGAGCAAAAACACACCTTTCCCAGCACTGGTCCCTCCCCCAGGAACCCACTAGAGACAGCAAGAGAGGAACCGACTTGTGCATCAGGAAGCCAGGGCTCAGGGCGGAGGTGACTCAGCCTGGGGTGGGGCAGACTGCGGCGGCCCCCAGCAGTCCCCAACCCCCCACCAGGACACAGCTGGCAGGTAAACACCCAGAGACTGACGGCTGAGAGCGGAAACATGAGTGTATTTACATAGTTACATAGGAGTCACTACACCTGGGCTTCAAGACCAGGGTGCCAGGCGTGGTGGTTCACGCCTGCAATCCCAGCACTTTGGGAGGCCGAGGCAGGTGGATCACCTGAGGTCAGGAGTTTGAGACCAGCCTGACCAACATAGTGAAACCCCGTCTCTACTAAAATTACAAAAATTAGCCAGGCGTGGTGGCACATGCCTGTAATCCCAGCTACTCAGGAGGCTGAGGCAGGAGAATCGCTTGAACCTGGGAGGCAAAGGTTACCATGAGCTGAGATCGCGCCACTGCACTCCAGCCTGGGTGACAGAGCAAGAACCTGTCCCCCCAACCCCCACCAAAAACAAAAAAAACAGAAGACTCAGGAAGAAGAGCCCATTTTGAGGGTAAATGCCCACACCAGGTGGTTCAAGGCCCCCTTAGAGGAGACGTTACGTGGGTGCAGTGGCTCACGCCTGTAATCCCAGCACTTTGTGAGCCCAAGGCAGGTGGATTCCTTGAGTCGAGGAGTTCGAGACCAGCCTAGGCAACATAGTAAGACCCTCGTCTCTACAACAAATTAAAAAATTAGCCAGGCCGGGCGCAGTGGCTCATGCCTGTAATCCCAGCACTTTGGGAGGCCAAGGCCGGTGGATCACCTGAGGTTGGGAGTTCGAGACCAGCCTGACCAATATGGAGAAACTCCGTTTCTACTAAAAATACAAAATTAGCTGGGTGCGGTGGCACATGCCTGTAATCCCAGCTACTCAGGAGGCTGAGGGAGGAGAATCGCTTGAACCTGGGAGGCAGAGGTTGCAGTGAGCCGAGATCGCACTACTGTACTCCAGCCTGGGCAACAAGAGCGAAACCATCTCAAAAAAAAAAAAATAGCCGGCATGGTGGTGCACACCTGTGGTCCTAGCTACTCGGGAGGCTGGGGCAGGAGGATCGCCTGAGCCCGCAGGTGGAGGATGCAGTGAGCTGTGATCAAACCTGGGTGATAGAGTGAGACCCTGTATTAATAATACTACTACTAGGCCGGGCGTGGTAGCTCACGCCTGTAATCCCAACACTTTGGGAGGCCGAGGAGGCAGGATGGCTTGAGCCCAGAAGTTTGAGACCAGCTTGGACAAGTTAGCAAGACCCTGTCTCTAATATGAAAAACAAAAACAAAAACAAAAAAAAAGCATCCTCTGCTCCAGCCTGGCCAATAGACCGAGACTCTGTCTCCAATCAATTAACCAATCAACCAATCAAAGACGCATCCTTTCTCCTTCAGATACAAATCACCTCGGTAGAGATGGGTATGGCCTCTGAGTGGAGATAATAGTGATGATATAATAAACATAATAACGATGATAGTAATAAATGATCATTTAAAAATAATACTAGCCGGCGCGGTGGCTCACGCCTGTAATCCCAGCACTTTGGGAGGCCAAGGCGGGCAGATCACAAGGTCAAGAGATCGAGACCATCCTGGCTCACACGGCAAAACCCCCGTCTCTACTAAAAATACAAAAAAATTAGCCGGGCGCGGTGGCGGGCACCTGTAGTCCCAGCTACTCGGGAGGCTGAGGCAGGAGAATGGCGTGAACCCAGGAGGCGGAGCTTGCAGTGAGCCGAGATCGCCCCACTGCACTCCAGCCTGGACGACAGAGTGAGACTCTGTCTCAAAAAAATAAACAAATAAATAAATAAATACAAATAATACTAAAGACCGGGTGCGGTGGCTCACGCCTGTAATCCCAGCACTTTGGGAGGCCGAGGCAAGCAGATCGTGAGGTCAGGAAATCAAGACCATCCTGGCCAACATGATGAAACCCCATCTCTACTAAAAATACAACAATTAGCTGAACGTGGTGGCGGGCGCCTGTAATCCCAGGTACTGGGGAGGCTGCCGCAGGAGAATCGCTTGAACCCAGGAGGTGGAGGTTGCAGTGAATGAAGATCGTGCCACTGCACTCCAGCCTGGGCGATAGAGCGAGACTCCGTCTCAAAATATTAATACTACTAAAATAACCAATAAAACATTAACGATAATTAGTAATGAGACAACGGACACTCCTGTTTGCTGGGCCCGCCGCAGTGCCAGCTCGGTAACCCCCACCACTCGGAGAAGAGGCCACACTTACTATCCCATTTTACAGAAGGGGAAACTGAGGCATGGAAGCATGAAATAACCTGCCCAGGTGGCGCCGTCCGCACACGGAGGAGGCAGGAACGGAACACGCGCCGCCTCCTCGCCCTCCACCAACACGGACCCCAGGGGCGCACCCTGGGTCCCCGGGTCCCTGTGCGGGCCGGGGTGACACACGGCTGACCCCCGCACAGACCGCCCCGCTTCCGGGTCCCCCGGGAAGGACGCGCGGGCTCCTGCTTGCCAGGTTTTAACCCACAAGGGTTGTAGGGATTTACCCAAAGGAGAGCAAGGAGCCGGGTCTGCCCGGAAAGGCAGGGGGCGCGGACAAGCCCAGAGGGCGAGTGGGGCCGGGCGTGCGGCAGGGACCAGGCTGGAGCGCATGGCCACGTGGGTGAACCCCGACCCGCGGACAGGGGCCCAGGACCCTCTGGCGGGAGGCTCCATGGCTGGCACCTCGGGGCCCGGGGAGTGGGGGGGCAGACCCGGGAGTGGGGGCGCGGCCCCGGGGAGGTGGGGGGGGGGGTGGACCAGGGAGTTGGGGGGCGGACTGGGGAGGTGGGGGGACGGACCCGGGAGTGTGGGGGGCGGACCAGGGAGTTGGGGGACTGACCGGGGAGTGGGGGGACAGACCCGGGAGTGGGGGCGCGGCCCCGGGGAGGTGGGGGGGGTGGACCAGGGAGTTGGGGGGCGGACTGGGGAGTGGGGGGACAGACCCGGGAGTCGGGGCGTGGGCCAGGGCAGTGGGGGGGTCGGACAGAGGAGTTGGGGGGCGGGCCCGGGAGTGGGGGCGCGGACCCGGGAGTGGGGGCGAAGACCAGAGAGTAGGGGCACGGACCAGGGAGTTGGGGGGTGGAACCGAGGAGTTGGGGGGCTGACCCGAGGAGTTGCGGGGCGGACCCAGGAATGGGGGCAAGAACCAGGGGAGTGGGGGGGTGGAGCAGGGAGTGGGGGGACGGACCCAGGAGTGGGGGCGTGGATCAGGGCAGTGGGGGGGCGCGGACCCGGGAGTGGGGGGAGTCGGACCCGGGAAGTGGGGGCGCGGACCGGAGAGTGGGGGCACGGACCGAGGAGTTGGGGGGCGGACCCGGAGAGTGAGGGGGTGGACCCGGGAATGGAGGCGCGGACCAGTGCAGTGGGGGGGCGGACCGGGGAGTGGGGCGCGGACCGGGGATTAGGGGGCGGACCGGGGAGTAGGGGGCGGAACAGGTAAATGGGGACGTGGATCCGGGTCCCCTCCCCCAGCGAGCCCCCGGAGCGCCAGGAGGGTGTCCCCGCTGAGTAACAATGAAGACCCCCCACCCAGCCTGGGGGTCCACAGCGGGCGAGAAGGGAAGGCAGGACAGGCTGAAGCCCCGGAAGATGAGCAACGGGAGCGAGGGGAACGAAGGGAACGAGGGGAGGGAAGGGAAAGGAGGGGAGGGGAGGCGGGGAGAGGATCTCAGGGGAGGGAGCCCAGCCCGCCCCCGGCGCCCGCCGCGCCCCGCCCGCCCGCGCTCACAGCAGCCGCCGCCCGCCCGGGGTGCCCTCCGCCGCCTCCGGGCCGCACTCGGGGTTCTCCAGCGCGACCATGGCTCGCACGCTGTCGCCGCCGCCGCCGCCCGGCAGGGCCTTCACCGGGCCGGGCAGGAAGTGACGGGCGCCCGGAGGCGGGCAGGGGCGGGGCCTGGGGCTGCGCGGCGGGGCGGGGGCGCCCACCTCCCGGCTGCCGGGAACGAACGCGGAAACCCAGGCGCGCGGGGAGGGGATCCAGCCCCTGGGGGGACGAACGGGGAAACCGAGGCGCGCGGGGCGGGGATCCAGCCAACAGGGAACGAACGGGGAAACCGAGGCAGGCGGGGCCGGGATCCAGCCATCAGGGAACGAACGGGGAAACCGAGGCAGGCGGGGCCGGGATCCAGCCCCTGGGGGGACGAACGGGGAGACTGAGGCGGGAGGCGGGGCCGGCCACGATCCCTACACCCAGAAATCTAGCTCCGGGAAGGAGGGACACCTAGGCGAGGGGTCGAAAACTCAACCACAACCCTGCGTCCCGATCCGGGCTGCGGACTGAGCCAGGAATCCAGCCCAGGGAGGCGAGGAGACACGGACAGGGAAACTAAGGCCTGAGCATCGACGAGGGAGGGGACGTTCTTCTTGGAGGCAGAGGATGGCGGAAATTAAAACTGCCCGAGCCTTCCTTCCACCTGCCCCTCCCAGCCCTGGAGCCTCGGCTAGGCAACCCCTTCCCCTGCTTAGCCTCAGTTTACTCTTCTCTAAAATTAGGCCTGGTGGCCAACGTGGTGGCTCACGCCTGTAATCCCAGCACTTTGGGAAGCCAAGGCCAGTGGATCACTTGAGTCCAGGTGTCTGAGACTAGCTTGGGCAACATGATGAAAACCCATCTCTAAAATAAAAAGAAAGGGCCGGGCGCGGTGGCTCACACCTGTAATCCCAGCACTTTGGGAGGCCGAGGTGGGCGGATCACGAGGACAGGAGATCGAGACCATCCTGGCTAACACAGTGAAACCCCCTCTCTACTAAAAATACAAAAAATTAGCCGGGCGTGGTGGCGGGGGCCTGTAGTCCCAGCTACTCGGGAGGCTGAGGCAGGAGAATGGCGTGAACCCGGGAGGCGGAGCTTGCAGTGAGCCGAGATCGTGCCACTGCACTCCAGTCTGGGCGAGGAGCGAGACTCCATCTCAAAAAAATAAAATAAAATAAAATAAAGCAAGAGGGAGGCTGGGCACGGTGGCTCGCACCTGTAATACCAGCACTTTGAGAGGCCAAGGCCAGTGGATCACTTGAGGTCAGGAGTTTGAGACCAGCCTGGCCAACATGGCAAAACCCTATCTCTACTAAAACTACAAAAATTAGCCGGGCGTGGTGGTATGCACCCATAGTCCCAGCTACATGGGAGGCTGAGGCACAAGAATCGCTTGAACATGGGAGGCAAAAGTTGCAGGGAGCCGTCCACTTCACTCCAGCCTGGGCCACAGAGTAAGACTACTCTGTCTCAAAAAAAAAAAAAAAAAAAAAAAAAATAGCCAGGCACAGTGGCTCACGCCTGTAATCCCAGCACTCTGGGAGGCCGAGGCGGGTGGATCATGAGGTCAGGAGATTGTGACCATCCTGGCTAACACGGTGAAACCCCATCTCTACCAAAAATACAAAAAATTAGCCGGGCATGGTGGCAGGCGCCTGTAGTTCCTGCTACTCAGGAGGCTGAGGCAGGAGAATGGAGTGAACCCAGGAGGCAGAGCTTGCAGTGAGCCGAGATTGTGCCATTGCACTCCAGCCTGGGCGACAGAGCGAGATGCTGTCTCAAAAAAAAAAAGCAAGAAAGAAAGAAAAAGAAAGAAAGAGTAAGGAGGAAAAAGAAAAGGATGAGAAACTGTGGATGGACTCAAAAAAGCGTGCACTGTGAGATTCCTGTAGATAAATGTGCAAAGAGGTGAAAAAGGACAATGGAGAGATGTATCAGGAGTGACTGGCAGGGGAGCTGGGCATCGGGAATGAGTGGTTTCCCCATCCATCAGGCACAGGGTAAGGGTAGATGCTCAAAGAATGGACCTGAACATTTATTCGTGAGAGAGGGAGGCAACTCCAGAGAACTTCCTGGGCCTTCCTCCCATTCTGGGTTCCAGGGCTTCCCTTCAGGGGCCTGGGCCTGTCCTGTCTGTACCTTCTTCTTCTTCTTCTTCTTCTTTTTTTTTTTTGAGAGAGTCTCGCTCTGTCACCCAGCCTACAGTGATGCAATCTCAGGTCATTGCAACCTCCACCTCCTGGGCTCAAGTGATTCTCCTGCCTCAGCCTCCCAAGTAGCTGGGATTACAGGCACCCTCCACCAAGCCCGGGTAATTTCTGTATTTTTAGTAGAGACCAGGTTTCACCACGTTGGCCAGGCTGGTCTGGAACTCCTGACCTCAAGTGATCCACCTGCCTCGGCCTCCCAATGTGCTGGGATTACAGGCATGAGCCACTGTGCCCGGCCTATTCATTTTTTTTCCTCCCTTTTTTGTCTTTTTTTATGCAAATGGAAGCACCTTTTTCTTCGCTGTGTATTACTCCATGATGACCAAATGTCTTGGACTCTGTTGCAGGATGGACTTTGGGGGAACCTCCTGGATGTCATCCTGGGGTACACTTCCAGCTGTGGGATTATGGAGTCAAGGTTGTGCTGACCAGGCTGGGTGGCTCATGCTTGTCATCCCAGCACTTTGGGAGGCTGAGGCAGGAGGACTGCTTGAGCTCAGGAGTTCAAGACAAGCCTGGGCAACCTAGTGAGATCTTGTCTCTACAAAAAAATTTAAGGGGGGAGGGGGGAGGGATAGCCTTAGGAGATATACCTAATGCTAAATGACGAGTTAATGGGTGCAGCACACCAGCATGGCACATGTATACATATGTAACTAACCTGCACATTGTGCACATGTACCCTAAAACTTAAAGTATAATAATAATAAAATAAAATAATAAATAAAATTAAAAAAAAAACTTTATTTGCAAAAAAATAAAAAATAAAAAATTTAAAAATAAATTAGCTGGACCGGGAGCAGTGGCTCACGCCTGTAATCCCAGCACGTTGGGAGGCCGAGGAGGGTGGATCACCTGAGGTCAGGAGTTCGAGACCAGCCTGGCCAACGTGGTGAAACCTGGTCTCTACTAAAAATACAAAAATTACCCGGGCATGGTGGCAGGCACCTGTAATCCCAGCTACTCGGGAGGCTGAGGCAGGAGAATTGCTTGAACCCGGGAGGCGGAGGTTGCTTTGAGCCGAGATCATGCCACTGCACTCCAGCCTAGGCAACAGAGCGACACCCTGTCTCAATAATGATAATAAAAGGCCGGGCGCGGTGGCTGACGCCTCTAATCCACCACTTTGGGAGGCCGAGGAGGGTGGATCACGAGGTCAGGAGATCAAGACCATCCTGGCTAACACGGTGAAACCCTGACTCTACTAAAAGTACAAAAAATTAGCCGGGCGAGGTGGCGGGCGCCTGTAGTCCCAGCTACTAGGGAGGCTGAGGCAGGAGAATGGCGTGAACCAGGGAGGCGGAGCTTGCAGTGAGCCGAGATGGAGCCACTGCACTCCAGCCTGGGCGACCTGAGCGAAACTCTGTCTCAAAAAAATAAATAAATACATAAATCAGTAATAATAATAATAATAATGAGGCTGTGGCGTTTGCAAGGTGCCCTCCACCTGGTTCCCGCTGCTAGTGTCCCTGCGGGTATCAGACACCCCTTGTCAGTCATGTGGGACACATTCAGTCCCAAACCACCAGATCGGGGACGTCCCTCACCTGCCCTGAACTTTCCATGGCTCTCCAGGGTCCTGGGGACAAACCCAAGCTATCCTCACTCAGGGTCTCCGCTGAGGGCTGGCCTCCCCGCCAGGCTGGGCCCACCCCCTGGAGCCCCAGCCCCTACGAGGGTCAAAGCCCTTCCCATATTCACAGGCCTTAGAGTTCGCGCCTTGGCTGGGCTCCTAGTCCGGGCTGAGCGTCTACTCGCTGGTTAAGGTCGGTCCTTCCAGGTCCACAGCGGCCTCCACGCGGCCCACCCCCTGCCTGCTCCGCCCCCTCCAGCCCCCTCCCGCGCTCTCACTCCGACCTTGCACCGGGAGGAGGGAATAGGGGGGTTGCCGCTGGGTGAATAGAGGGCGCGTGGGCAGGGGAGGGAGTGGCGAGCGGCTGCCGGAGAGGCGGGAAGGCAAGGCCAGGGGAGGGGGGCACGGGCTATAAACGCTCGGCCGCAGCGGCGCCGGCAGAGGAGCCGCCGAGCCCAGCACAGCTGCCCTCTGGACCCTGCGGACCCCAGCCGAGCCCCTTCCTGAGTTCCACAGGCGCAGCCCCCGGGCGGTCGGGCGGAGGGGTCCCCGGGGCGGTGCCAGGGCGCAATCCTGGAGGGCGGCCGGGAGGAGGAGGTGCGCGCGGCCATGCACACCGTGGCTACGTCCGGACCCAACGCGTCCTGGGGGGCACCGGCCAACGCCTCCGGCTGCCCGGGCTGTGGCGCCAACGCCTCGGACGGCCCAGTCCCTTCGCCGCGGGCCGTGGACGCCTGGCTCGTGCCGCTCTTCTTCGCGGCGCTGATGCTGCTGGGCCTGGTGGGGAACTCGCTGGTCATCTACGTCATCTGCCGCCACAAGCCGATGCGGACCGTGACCAACTTCTACATCGGTGAGTGCGGGCGCTGCGCCGCACCTGCTGCCGTCCCGGGGGCTCCGAGGGCCGAGCGGCCTGGGGCGCCCTCTCGCGACGCATCGGGGCCCTCTCGGACCCGGCTCTGTCCCCTGCAGGGGTCCCCCCCAACCTCGAATCTTTTCCCTGTGGTCCCTGCACCTGAGGCTAGAGGTCGCAAACTCCAGCGCGGGCGGGCCCGGGCGGGCCGGAGGGTGGGGAGTGTGGCACATGGAAACCTCGACCTGGCCACTCGCGGGGCTCGCCCCGGTGCAGCGCGGGCCAACGGCTCGGTGTCAGCTGAACAAAGGGCTGGGGGAGGGGCTGGCTTGGCCCGCGGGCCTTAGTTTGCGACCCCTGCCCCGGTGGCTCTCTGAGCCTGTTTATGCATTTGTGTCCTGGGGTCCCCTATCACACACAGCTGTGAGCCCAGTCGGTGGCTGCTGGGCCGGCACCATTGTCTCCAGTTTGCAGTTGTGGAAACTGAGGCTCAGAGGGTCAGGGGCCTGCTTAGGCTCCCCCAGCCCGGACAGGGCCCAGCAGAACCGATTTCTGCCGGAATGGCCAGGAAATCCGAGCCGGAGGCGTAATGTTTGAGATGTAAGGGGGAATTACTAGAAGGCGCCCCAACTTCTCCGCCCGAGGAGGCCAGGGGCGCTGGGGGAGGGGGGGGCCTCCCTGAGCCATCCTGCTGGTCACTCGGACCAAGGTGGGGGCCAGGGGTCAGGGCCAGGAGCGCTGGGCGGTTCCCGCGGCCAGTGGCGCCCACGCCCAGCGCCCGCGCATCCCCACCGCAGCCAACCTGGCGGCCACGGACGTGACCTTCCTCCTGTGCTGCGTCCCCTTCACGGCCCTGCTGTACCCGCTGCCCGGCTGGGTGCTGGGCGACTTCATGTGCAAGTTCGTCAACTACATCCAGCAGGTGCGCTCCGGAGCAGGAGGGGAGAGGGCGCACTTGGGGACGGGCGGGGGTGCGCTCCGCAGTGGGAGGGGAGGGGACGCACTTGGGGACAGGCGGGAGTGCGCTCCGCAGTGGGAGGGGAGGGGATCGTACGTGGGGACGGGGAGGGGGGGTGCGCTGCGGAGCAGGAGGGGAGGGAGCGCACGTGGGGACGGAGGGAGATGCACTCAGAAGCTGGAGGGGAGGGGGCGCATGGTGGGGCGGGGCAGGGGTGCACTCTGGAGCAGGAGGGGAGGAGGCGCACGTGGGGACGAGGAGAGGGGATGAGCTCCGGAGCGGGGGGCGGGCGCATGTGGGGAGGGGGAGCCCACGTGGGAAGGGAGGACGGACCTTGGGCGGGGCGCGAGGCAACGCATAGGAGAACCAGGGGCTGGGGTGCCCAGCTTGCGGGAAGGGGCTGGGCGGTGGTGCAGCCTAGAACTGGAGTGGGGGGCGGGAATGGGGGAGGGATGCAGACGGGGACCCGGGTCACTGGTGAGGAAGGGCTACTGAGGCCCTGAGGCTTCTTGCCCCGCCTGTCCCTCCATCCCACGCAGCCCCCCTGTCTCAGACTCGGGGTATCAGCCGCCCCCCAAGGGCTCCCTCACTTCCCCAATCCTCCTGCCCTCCTCTCCCAGTCTCCCCACCTTCTGTCCCCTCAACCCGCACTGGACACTCCTCCCAGGACACTTCCCGTGTATGTGCCTGAGTGTTCGCACACGTAGGGGGATCAGCAGGGCGGGCGGACAGGGCAGGCTCCCAACCGCGCAGGTGGCCACACGCCCGGCTGGCGGCTCCCGCAGGTCTCGGTGCAGGCCACGTGTGCCACTCTGACCGCCATGAGTGTGGACCGCTGGTACGTGACGGTGTTCCCGTTGCGCGCCCTGCACCGCCGCACGCCCCGCCTGGCGCTGGCTGTCAGCCTCAGCATCTGGGTAGGTGAGTACAGCTCAGGGGCCTCACGGGAGAAGGCGGACACGTCCTAGTGCCCTGGGCGCCCGGAGCCACCTGCCGCCTCGGTCCAGCATCTGGAAAATGGGCGCAATAGCTCTGCCTGCCTAGGGCCAGCGAGGCTGCAGACGGGGCGCCCGGGCCTTTGCAGGGTGGCTGGGTGAACGCCTCCCGGGGAGGCACGTGGGGGACCGCTGGTTCCCCGAGCGGGGTCTTCATCCTGGCTTGTGGCACAGGCTCTGCGGCGGTGTCTGCGCCGGTGCTCGCCCTGCACCGCCTGTCACCCGGGCCGCGCGCCTACTGCAGTGAGGCCTTCCCCAGCCGCGCCCTGGAGCGCGCCTTCGCACTGTACAACCTGCTGGCGCTGTACCTGCTGCCGCTGCTCGCCACCTGCGCCTGCTATGCGGCCATGCTGCGCCACCTGGGCCGGGTCGCCGTGCGCCCCGCGCCCGCCGATAGCGCCCTGCAGGTGCGCGGCGTGGGTGGGAGGACAGCAAGGCTGGGCGGGCGGGGAGGCACCGTGGTGGGAGGCGCCGGTGGGGGCATCTGCGCGGGCAGGGACAGCCCAAGGGGTCCAGGAGGGGCGGTGCGAGGGGATGAGCTGAGCCGGGCCCCAGCCTTTCGTCTAACCACCTTCACGGCACCCCCCCAGGGGCAGGTGCTGGCAGAGCGCGCAGGCGCCGTGCGGGCCAAGGTCTCGCGGCTGGTGGCGGCCGTGGTCCTGCTCTTCGCCGCCTGCTGGGGCCCCATCCAGCTGTTCCTGGTGCTGCAGGCGCTGGGCCCCGCGGGCTCCTGGCACCCACGCAGCTACGCCGCCTACGCGCTTAAGACCTGGGCTCACTGCATGTCCTACAGCAACTCCGCGCTGAACCCGCTGCTCTACGCCTTCCTGGGCTCGCACTTCCGACAGGCCTTCCGCCGCGTCTGCCCCTGCGCGCCGCGCCGCCCCCGCCGCCCCCGCCGGCCCGGACCCTCGGACCCCGCAGCCCCACACGCGGAGCTGCTCCGCCTGGGGTCCCACCCGGCCCCCGCCAGGGCGCAGAAGCCAGGGAGCAGTGGGCTGGCCGCGCGCGGGCTGTGCGTCCTGGGGGAGGACAACGCCCCTCTCTGAGCGGACCCGGTGGGAATCCGAGCGGCTCCCTCGGGAGCGGGGACTGCTGGAACAGCGGCTATTCTTCTGTTATTAGTATTTTTCTTACTGTCCAAGATCAACTGTGGAAATATTTTGGTCTCTTGTGACGTTCGGTGCAGTTTCGTTGTGAAGTTTGCTATTGATATTGAAATTATGACTTCTGTGTTTCCTGAAATTAAACATGTGTCAACACAGGACTTTCTGGATCATTCCAGAAAGTGTCAGACGTTTTCTCATTGTCTTGTAGTTGACTGTCACTGTGTACGATTCATTCCACTTTTTTTTTTTTTTTTTTTTTTGAGACAGTGTCTCATTCTGTCACCCAGACTGGAGTGCAGTGACGCGATCTCCGCTGACTGCAACCTCTGCCTCCCGGGTTCAAGTGATTCTCCTGCCTCAGCCTCCCGAGTAGCTGGGATTACAGGCGCCCGCCACCACGCCCGGCTAATTTTTGTATTTTAATAGAGACGGGGTTTCTCCATGTTGGCCAGGCTGGTCTCGATTTTCCTGACCTTAAGTGATCCCCATGCCTCTGTCTCCCAAAGTGCTGGGATTACGGGCGTGAGCCACCGCGCCCGGGGCCTCATCCCACTTTTAGAGAGACTAAAATGTGAAAACAGACAGTGCAAATGCCCATCAATCAACGAGCAGATAAAGAAAATGTGGCGCGCGCGCACACACACACACACACACACACACACACAGAGAAGACTACTACTCAGCCATAAAGAGTAATGAAATGGCATTCACACAACCTGGCCGGAGTTGGAGACCACTACTCTAAGAAACTGGAATGGGAAACCAAACATCCTATGTTCTCAGCCTCCTGCCTCAGCCTTCCGAGTAGCTGGGACTACAGGCGCCCGCCATCACGCCCGGCTACTTTTTTGTACATTTAGTAGAGACGGGGTTTCACCATGTTAGCCAGGATGGTCTCGATCTCCTGACCTCGTGATCGCCCGCCTCGGCCTCCCAAAGTGCTGGGATGACAGGCCGTGAGCAAAACTCATTTTCAGGTGAGACGGCGCCACCTAGCGGCCGCCGGCGCTGGCCCCGCCCCTAAGAGCCCGCCCCCCCTCCCCTCCCGCCGGCCGCAGTCCCGCAGGTGCCCGGCAGATGGCACGCGCGGCCCGCGGAGGTTTCGCGCCTTCTTTTCTCGCCTCCAGAAGTCCCAGAGGTGCCCCGTGCCCAGGGCGCGGTGTCGCTCCTTCGGATCCCAACCTGGACCCCCGGTTGGAGGTATCCCCGCTGTGAAGTGGGGCAATCAGAGGCACATTGTGAATTATCCCGGTCTTAGGCACTTTACTTTTGAGGGCCCCTTCTATGAAAACGTTATTCAAAATGGTAATTTATTCTACAATATTCACCGTCAAAGAAAAAAAGAAGAAAAAGATACTTTATTCTGCTTCATGTCCTGGAAGAGGGGTAAAAATGATATTTTATATCTGCGTCAGTATAAAGAGAGATATAACAGGCTGGATTCATTATATATGATTTTTTTTTTTTTTTTTTTTGAGATGGAGTTTTGTTCTTGTTGTCCAGGCTGGAGTGCAGTGGCGCGATCTTGGCTCACTGCAACCTCCGCTTCCCAGGTTCAAGGGATTCTCCTGCCTCAGCCTCCCAAGTAGCTAGGACTACAAGCCTATGCCACCACACCAGGCTAATTTTTGTATTTTTACTAGAGACAGGATTTCGCCATGTTGGCCAGGCTGATCTCAAACTCCCAGCCTCACGTGATCTGCTGACCTCCACCTCCCGAGGTGCTGGGATTACAGACGTGAGCCACTGTATTTTATTTTTTGAGACAGTCTTGCTCTGTGGCCCAGACTAGAGTGCAGTGGTGTGATCATGGCTCACTGCAGCCTCGACCTCCTGGGCTCAAGCAATCCTCTTGCCTCGGCCTCCCGAGTAGCTGGGACTACAGGTGTGTGCCACCACAATTGGCTAATTTTTGTATTTTTTGTAGAGATGGGGTCTTGTTACGTTGCCCAGGCTAGTCTCAAACTCCGGGGCTCAAGAGATCCTCCTTTCTCAGCTTCCCAAAGTGCTAGGATTACAGTCTTGAGCCACGGTGGTCAGCCTTAATTTTTTTATTTTATAAATTTTTTGTGGAGACAGGGTCTATGCCCAGGCTCATCTTGAATACCTAGCCTTAGGCCATCCTCCCGCCTAAGCCTCCCAAAGTCTGGGATTACAGGCGTGAGCCACTGTGCTGAGCTCTCTTCTTTTTTTTTTTTTTTTTTTTGAGACAGAGTCTCCTTCTGTCTCCCAGGCTGGTGTGCAGTGGTGTGATCTTGGCTCATTGCAACCTCCGCCTCCCAGGTTCAAGCTATTCTCCTGCCTCAGCCTCCCGAGTAGCTGGGATTACAGATGCCTGCCACCATGTCCGGCTAATTGTTTTGTATTTTTAATAGAGGCGGGGTTTCACCATGTTGGCCAGGCTGGTTTCGAACTCCTGACCTCAAGTGATCCACCTGCCTTGGCCTCCCAAAGTGCTGGGATTACAGGTGTGAGCCACCAGGCCCAGCCCTAGTTTGGGCTTTTTAACCTGCAGAGCTGTGGGAGCGGGATCTGGGGGGTTTTATGAGGATGTCCCCTACCTGAGTGCAGAGTAGAGAACCGGTCCAGTGACCAGCAGGGTTGGGGGAGGATCACGCTGTTTTTGTGTGGGGGAGGTTCCCAAAGCCCCAGGCGCCCCCAGGAGATGGTCTGGCTGGGAAACCTTCAGAGCTAGGGCTGCTGTGCCCCCAGGAGATGGTCTGGCTGGGAAACCTTCAGAGCTGGGGCTGCTGTGCCCCCGGTAGATGGTCTGGTTAGGAAATGTTTAAAGCTGGGGCTGCTGTGCCCAATGCACAGCTTGAGAAAGAGACTGGGAGAGGTCTGTACTGATCTAAATCCACACTGCTGCCTACCCCTGCGGGGCATGAGGGCATCTGGAATATGGTGGAGCCAGCTAGTCTGCGTAGACATTCCCGGCTCCCTCTCTGGGCTAAAAATAGGAGCCCCCTCACTGCAGGCAGCTGCCATCCTGCATCCCCTCACCCCCCTGCGCGGCCCCTTTGGGGGAAGCTGCAGCCAGCTACCCGGATCACAGCTTCCTCCTGGGAAACGGGTAGGGGCTCTACCCTTCCTGCCCTGGGGGTAATTATGCCCCCACCCTGTGCCCTTCCCTTTGAACAAAGGGCAGCCTAATCCAGAACAGGATGGTGAAAGGGTTGAATTAACATTGGCCCATTTTATAGAGGGATAAACTGAGGCACAGACAGGCCCATGCACCTGCCCTCCAGGTGCCTTTCGGGTCTGCTGGCCTCCAGGTGCTCCATCGTAGGTGGGAGGGACTTCCTGCACCTTCAGACCTGAGCTGGGTCCTGGCCCGAGAAGGGGGTACTCCCACACCCCTTTATCCCGCTGCAGGGAGCGTCTCTCCAAAGCACCCCCAACCTGGGGCAGGTGTCTCAGGCCTCTCCATCGGAGATAGGGGTGGCAGCTGGGTTTGGTGTTTAATATAGCCTTATGGTGGAGGCCTCTCAGACACCTGCCGCCATTAGGTTACACGTGGCCCTGGGGCTGGAAGGCTGGATTCAGGCCTTGTTGTCGGGGGCAGCTCTCCTGCCGGCAGTTTTTTGTTTTGTTTTGTTTTTGAGGTGGAGTCTCACTGTGTCACCCAGGCTGGAGTGCAGTGGCGCGATCTCGGCTCACTGCGACTTCCACCTCCCGGATTCAAGCGATTCTCCTACCTCAGCCTCCCAAGTAGCTGGGACTACAGGCGCGCGCCACCATGCCCGGCTGATTTCTGTATTTTTAGTACAGATGGGGTTTCACCTTGTTGGCCAGGCTGGTCTCGAACTCCTGACCTCTGATGATCCGCCCACCTCCGCCTCCCAAGGTGTTAAGATGACAGGCGTGAGCCACCGCGCCGGCCCCGGTTGCAGTTTTGTGGAGGGAGGAGGTGCAACTAGGTGGAAGGACAGAGAGAAAGTTGCAATGCCGTGTGCTAGTCTAGGGAAAGGGGAGGGAGACGACTACAACCCCGCCCCCAACACTCAGGACCGGGGACCCGAGCCCGCCAGAGACCCTCCACAAGTGAGGGTCCCCCGGGGTGGCCCCTGCCCGCCCTCCAGGCTCCCCTGGGGCTCACGTCCGGGCTGGAGCCTGGGCCTCTGCGCTTAGCCCCCTGGGGTCGCTTCCCGCGCACACAGCTCCCTGCAGAGCACGCGTCCCCCTCCCGACCGCCTTCCTTGCACCCCGCTCGGTGCCTCAGTTTCCTGCTCTGCGCAGTGGCGACAAGAAGGTTGCCAACTACAGAGAGGAGTGAGGGCTGGAGACGTGCAGGGACCTCCCTGGAGGGAGGCGCGGGGCACGTGGTTGGGCAAGCGACCGCTCAGACCGTGTAAGTCATCACCACCTTCACGGGGGGGTGGTGGGCAGCCGAGCTCCCGACGCTGGTGACAGCCGGGCCGGGCAGGGTCGTCCTGGTTTCACAAAGGGGCTCCGGGTCCCAGCGCGCACCTCCCCACGCCCGCGCCGAGCCCCCGTCTGCAGCCCGTCCCTCCCCAGAGGGAGGCCGGCGGGACCCTGGTTCCCTCCCTCCGACGCCGCCCGCCCAGCTCTGCACCGGGTCTTTCAAGCCCATTTCTCAGACTTGGAAACGGCGGCTCCGGAGAGTGAAGTCACTCTCTCAGGGTCTCTCCGTCTAAGGGGCGAAGGTGAAACTCCGAGTCCACGAGGCCCAGCGTAGGTGCTCCGTAAGAAGGGAAGAGACTTGGTCCCGGATCTGGCTCCGATGCCTCCGGCCAGCCCGCCCAGGCGGAGCCCCAGTCAGTCCCCTCTTCTTCCCCCGGGGCGCTCCCGCCCCAGCCCCTGCCCCCGGCACCCTCTGCGCTTGGGGCCGCGTCGCGCACTTTGCCCACCGTCCCTAGGCCGGGGGCGGGGCCTCCCGCGGCGCTGTTCCCCTTCCCGTTTATTATTTATTATCCTTTAAAGGGGCCGCGACCTGAAAATTTCCGTCCACTCTGCCCGGCTCCCCAGCGCCCCCGGGCTGGTTGCGCGTCGTCAGACCGCGGGAGGGGGGCGAGGGGGCGTGCGGGGAAAAGTGGGGAGCCCTGGCGAGGCCCTCCCGCGCCCGGGCCGCGGCGCTGAATCACCGGCCAGGTATTTGCATCCGAGAGCGACTCGTCCCCTGGTGATTTGTCTGGGGGTGGGGGAGGGGCGGGGCGGGGGCCGGCCGCGCGCGGGGCGCCTCTTACCAATCGGGCGGAGGGGTGTAGACGCGGACGCGGCTGGCGGCTCGGTGAGTCGGCGCGCGGCACAGCCCCGTGGGTCGGGGGCCGGGAGCCAGCGGCGCGCACCGGCGGCTGGAAGCCAGGCGGGCCCGGGCAGGCCGACCCCAGGCGCGGGGCGCGCGCCCCACTACGAGCCGCCCTGCGCGGTAAGGCTGGGGAGCGCGCTGGCCGTTCCCAGCGCGGGTTCCGGTGCCGGGGTGGGCGCAGTGCGTCCTGGAAGCCAAAGAAGGGGGTCCCCAAAGTTGGGCGGAGATGTTGGTGGGGGTCCCGGACTGGGAAGGCGGCCCTGGCGGGCTGGGGTTCGGGGAGTTTTCTCTGCACCCCGCTTGGAGACTTCACTCCCCACTGGATCAATCGCTCAGGGGCGAGCAGGGGCGATCGGGGGTCGCGAGTGCGCGCCCCCCCCTCCCCAGCGGAAGGAAATGGTCTCTGCGCGCGCGCGGGGGGCTGCACCCCGATATTTTATTTCATTTTTATTCTTTCTCCCCGAAATCAGGGATTTATTCGGGAGCCCAGAGAGGAGGGAGGGTAGTTCCCGGCGAGCCTCCCCAGCCGGGCTGGTTTATTTATAAAGTGTCCGCCCCAGCGCAGAGAGGGGCCCCCGGGGGAGACACCGCGGCCCCCGGGCGCCGGGGTGGGTTGGGCCCGGGCGCCCGGTTCCTCGGCGGGGATACCCAGGAAGAGCCCCCTGACCCGTTTCAGGGCCCCCCAGACACAAAAGCGGGCGCAGGAAGCGCTGGGAGCGCGCGTTTGTCAACTCCAACGCTCGGCGCCGGCCCCGGGCGGCGGGTTCAATTATCTTCCGTTTTTAGGCGCTCGGGCTGGAGGGGTTCCCCCCCCCATGCAAATCGGCCGCTTTCCAAGAAGCCTTTGAAATCCGGACCAGGGTTTCTGTCTTCTTATTTCTTCTCCTTCTTGAGTTTTTTTCTCACTTCCTCCAGGCCCCCCCAACCCAGGACTTTCTTAGCCCCCTCCCCAGCTTTCTGCCCCGCCCCTCCCCCTCCTCTTCCCTTCGTGGAGTGAGGGGCCCCTTTCGCCACCCGCGGGCCCGGGGCCTTGCACAACTCTTTAAATAACCATGTTTTGCAAGGCCCGCGCCGAGCGGGTGACCTCTCTCCGGAGGCCTGGGGGGAGGAGGGTGTGGCCCAGGATCCCTCCGCCCCCCACCCCTGCCTGGTCCAACGACCACCCAGCGCCCCGTCCCAGCCTCTCCCTTGGGGCTGTCATAAAATGGGGGTGGGGGTCGAGGACAAAGGGCTCTTGGGGGGAGGGGTCTGAAGGGGGTGGGCGTAGCTAGTTTAGGGTTATGGCGGCGATGGGGGGGCACCCAGCCCTGACCTAGGGGGGAATCTGGGATCCCCACCTGCCCCCTCCACCGGCCCCAACGTGGAGGTCTGTCCTGCTCCCCTCCCCCACCCGGCGACCCGGAAGGGTCATTAAACCCAGCAGGGCTCGGAGCGGGCTGGTGGGGGGAGTGGCTTCCTTTGGCCTCTTCCTTCTGTGCCCCCAAAGAGGGGGGGCTTTGCTTGGAGCTCTTCCGTGGGGGGGGCCTTGTCTTGAAGTTGTCCCAGGTGGGGGAGGGGCGACAGACCCGACCAGACCCTGAGTCAGAAATGCCCCCTCAGCACTTTCTTGGGTTGGGTGGGTGGGGGGTGACCTCCAGCCTGGGGATGGGGGGCTGGGTGCCGCCCTGGTGGCCTCCGGACCGCCAGGCTCTCCTGGTCACAACCCAGCGCTATGGCCCTGAGGTCTTTGTGACCTGGGACCTCTGTCCCCACAACAGATGGAACAGAGGCTATTTTGGAACATGCCCTCCTCGCTTTCTCCCAGGGGCCACCCACCTGCCCCCCACTGCCTTTTCACCCATGGGGCCGAAAGACTCAGGGGTCTGGGTAAAGGGTGTCTAGGGCAGAGGGGCCACAGGACTCTCTTGTCCGGTGACTGGGGAGGCTTGGGGGTGTCTGCTGTGCAACACTGACCTGGGTGGGGTCGGGTCACAGGAGGGATCTGAGTCCCAGGGGTCCCTGCCTCCTCGTCTCTCCAGGCCTTGTCTGCCCAGGAGCTGTGTATGAGTCTTGGGGGCTCCTTTGCCAGGGTAAGGGTTGGGGGTGGCCTCCTGGGCCCAGCTGCCTCTCGGGAGGGTGGAGCTTTGCCCCCTCCGCTGTCCCCATGATGTGCCTTCCCTCTGGGGTGTCACTCCAGGCCTGTTGGGTTCTGCCCGGCCTGTTTTATTGGCGGCCTGGGCGGGTGGAGGTGTGGCCTGGGCTAGGGGGTGGCTCGGGTGGGACCCAGGCCCCAGGAGTCTCTGTTCTTCACCCAGGCCATTAGGACTGGCCCTGGGTGGAAGGCACTCTAGGCTGGGTGAGTGTGTTGCCGTCCGAGACATCTGGCCCACTCGGGATCCCAGAGGACCGGGAAACTCCAGACCCCTGTTGCCCTGCAGAGATTGTGGGGTCTGCGTGGGAGGCTCTGTGGTCACCCAGACCTGGGTTCAAATCCCACCGCCATGTCTCCAAGCAGAGGATCCCTGAGCCTCAGTTGTCCTCAACCATGAAATGGGACCGCCCTGGTGCCCCCTTCTCTGACACCTGTTGGTGCCCACCTTAACCTCCTGAACTCGATTCATCCCTCCTTGAGTGCCATGGGTTGGGGGGGTACTGTTACCCACACTGTTTTGCAGGTAGGGAACCTGAGGTCCAGAGAAGTTGTGGCTTGGGCGTTGCTGTTGAGTTGTGTGATGGGGGGAGGGTTAGCCCAGGGCCCGTATACAACAGGCGCTCAATCTCCAGTCTGGCCTGAGATGGGAGGATACCTAGATACCTGGAGGCCAGGCTGGGCCGCTCCAACAGGGACTCAGGCAGCGACTGGAACTTAGAACCCACCTGACTGGGGCCCGGAGCCCGCTGGCCAATCACAGGCCAGGAACGCCCATTCCCCCACCCTGCTTGTGAAGCAATAATCCAAGATCTCCTGGGGCAGACAGTCTGGCCACAGCGTGTTTCTCTGTGGCCCCGTGCGGGGCGACCTTGCTACCCAGGCCCACAGTAGGCTGTATGCGAAGAGCCTGCGCCTCTGCCTCCAAGAAGGCCTCCAGGTCTGCATCCTGCATGAGATGGACATGAGAGCTGATCCCCAGGGCCTTCATGGGGAAGGAAGGAGGGGGCTTGAGGAGCTCAGGCCTGCTCTGACTGTGCCTTTTTTCCCCCTCAGGTTTCTGCAAATGCGTGAATGAGCCGGATGCCAGCCTCTGTCCCCTGGAGCCCAGCGTGAGGAAGAGGCATGCCCCATCAGCCTTCAGCTTGAGCCCGGCGGCCCCCGCCCCCGCCCCCTGCCACCCTGCACTGCCCCGGCTCCCCCGCGGCCCCCACGCTGCAGTGCGGCCGGGCCCCCTCCCCGCAGGGGCCGCCCCCGCCGCCCACCCCTAGCGCCCGTGGTGGTGGTGGTGGTGGTGGTGGTGGTGGCCCGGGCCGCAGGGCCATGAAACTACAGGCCGTGATGGAGACGCTGTTGCAGCGGCAGCAGCGGGCGCGCCAGGAGCTGGAGGCCCGGCAGCAGCTGCCCCCCGATCCCCCTGCTGCACCCCCCGGCCGGGCCCGGGCTGCCCCCGACGAGGACAGAGAGCCCGAGAGTGCCCGGATGCAGCGGGCTCAGATGGCCGCACTGGCAGCCATGCGGGCTGCAGCTGCGGGCCTGGGACACCCAGCCAGCCCCGGCGGCTCTGAGGATGGGCCCCCAGGCTCGGAGGAGGAGGACGCGGCCCGGGAGGGGACACCGGGCTCACCCGGGCGAGGCAGAGAAGGGCCAGGAGAGGAGCACTTTGAGGACATGGCCTCCGACGAGGACATGTGAGTTGGGGTCTGGGGCAGGGCCTTCTGGGGGCTGTTACTGGCTCTGAGTGTCACTCTGCTCATCTGCAGAATGGGAGTAAGGGTCAGGTCGCGGGATCTCCTTCCTGTAATTCCAGCAGTTTGAGAGGCCGACGTGGGAGGATCACGTGGGCCCAGGGGTTGGAGACCAGCCTGGGCAACATAGCAAGACCCCATCTCCGCAAAAAATTAAAAAATTAGCCAGGCATGGTGGTGCACCTGTGGTCCCAGCTACTGGGGAGGCTGAGGCAGGAGGATCCCTTGAGAACAGAAGTTGAGTTGTGATTGTGCCACTGCACTCCAGCCTGGATGACAGAGATAGACCCAGTCTCAAAAGAAAAATGGTTTTTTTAGCCGGGTGCTGTGGCTTACGCCCGTAATCCCAGCACTTTGGGAGGTCGAGGTGGGTGGATCACCTGAGGTCAGGAGCTCAAGACCAGCCCGGCCAACATGGCGAAACCCCATCTCTACTAAAAATACAAAAATTAGCCAGGCGTGGTGGCAGAAGCCTGTAAACCCAGCTACTCGGGAGGCTGAGGCAGGAGAATGGCTTGAACCTGGGAGGTGAAGATTGCAGTGAGCCAAGAATGTGGGTTTTTTTTTTTTTTTTAGACAGAGTCTTGCTCTTTTCGCCCAGGCTGGAGTGCAGTGGCGTGATCTCAGCTCACTGCAACCTCCTCCTCCCGGGTTCACACCATTCTCCTGCCTCAGCCTCCCGAGTAGTTGGGACTACAGGCGCCCGCCACCACGCCTGGCTAACTTTTTGTATTTTTAGTAGAGACGGGGTTTCACCATGTTAGCCAAGATGGTCTCGATCTCCTGACCTCATGATCTGCCTGCCTTGGCCTCCCAAAGTGCTGGGATTACAGGCGTGAGCCACCACACCCGGCCAACTTTGTTTCATCTTAGTTAACTTAAAGCAACCTAGCCACCGATGGCTACAGCAGATTCAGCGGCAGGGGCAGATAAAATCTGCAGCCGGCTGGACCTGCATAGCGTGTGGGTCCCCCCAGGGCTGGCTGAGGGCTCACTTGCTGTGGGATCCTGGCCTCCAGGAACCCGCATCTTCCTGGGAGGACCTGAGCAAGCAAAGATGCTGGGCGCAGTGGCTCACGCCTGTAATCCCAGCACTTTGGGAGGCCGAGGTGGGAGGATTGCTTGAGCCCAGGAGTTCAAGACCAGCCTGGGCAACCTAGTGAGGCCCCATTTCTACAAAAAGTACAAAAATTAGTCGGGTGTTGTGGCATGCATCTGTGGTCCCAGCTACTCGAGAGGCCGAGGCGGAAGGACTGCTTGAGCTCAGGAGGTCAAGACTGCACTGAGCTGTGATCACACCACTGCACTCCAGCCTGGGCAACAGAGAAGACCCTGTCTCAAAAAACAAAACTGGCCGGGTGCAGTGGCTCATGCCTGTAATCCCAGCTACTCAGGAGGCTGAGGAGGAGAATCGCTTGAACCTGGGAGGCAGAGGTTGCAGTGAGCCGAGATCGTGCCTTTGCACTCCAGCCTGGGCAACAAAGTGAGACTGTGTCTCAAAAAAAAAAAAAAAACAACCAAACAAAACCTAGCAGCAAAGAAGCAGGTGATATCAGGTTGTACAAACAGCTGCCAATGGCTGGGCGTGGTGGCTCACGCCTGTAATCCCAGCACTTTGGGAGGCCGAGGTGGGCGGATCACGAGGTCAGGAGATCGAGACCATCCTGGCTCACACGGTGAAACCCCGTCTCCACTAAAAATACAAAAAAATTAGCCAGGCGTGGTGGCGGGCGCCTGTAGTCCCAGCTACTTGGGAGGCTGAGGCAGGAGAATGGCATGAACCCGGGAGGCGGAGCTTGCAGTGAGCCGAGATTGCGCCGTTGCACTCCAGCCTGGACGACAGAGCGAGACTCCCTCTCAAAAAAAAGACAAAAAAAAAAAAACGGCTGCCAAGAAAGTCTAGGAGGGTGCCGTGGAGGGGCAGTGGCGAGGGTGGGGCGGATTTCAGATGGCGGTGGGAGAATTCTCCCTGTGGAGGGAAGGGGAGGTGGAGCTGGGACAGCATGCATGGTGCAGGATGCAGGAACCAGCCTGCCGTAATGATTCCCTTTTTTTTTTTCCCAAGAGAGTCTTGCTCTGTGGCCCAGGCTGGAGTGCAGTGGTGCCATCATAGCTCACTACAGCCTCCATCTCCTGGGCTCAAGGGATCCTCCCGCCTTGGCCTCCCAGAGTGCTGCCGGGATTATAGGTGTGCGCCACCGTGGCTGCCTGCGTGATGCTTTTCAAGGCCCCAAAATTCACGCTGTAGGGACGGCTTGTGCTGTTCTGGGCTAATTGGAAACAAAGTGGGCGTCACGGGTGCCCCACGCTGTGCTCATGAGCGCTCTCTGCAGTCTGAGCTGGCGGCGGCCGGCTCTTCCTATTTCCAGAGAGGGAAACTGAGGCTGGGCGGGGAGTGGGTCTTTCCTTGGGCTGGGACGAGCCAGCACCTTCTCCCCTGACTCCTGCCCTCTGCTCACCCCAGGAAGCCCAAATGGGAGGAGGAGGAGATGGAGGAAGACCTCGGGGAGGATGAGGAGGAGGAGGAGGAGGATTACGAGGATGAGGAGGAGGAGGAGGACGAGGAGGGGCTGGGCCCCCCAGGCCCTGCCAGCTTGGGCACCACGGCACTGTTCCCCCGAAAGGCCCAGCCACCCCAGGCCTTCCGCGGCGATGGCGTTCCCAGGGTGCTGGGGGGCCAGGAGCGGCCGGGGCCTGGCCCTGCCCACCCCGGAGGGGCCGCCCACGTAGCCCCGCAGCTGCAGCCGCCTGACCACGGCGACTGGACTTACGAGGAGCAGTTTAAGCAGGTGAGTGGGCGCGTCCCGCGTGGCGGCTGAGGCACCTGCTCCTGGGCCAGTGGGGCCCTTTGAAGGCCCACGTTGCACGGGGTGTGTGCTGAGCCGGGCGTCGAGTTGAGAGCTGGGGGTTCCTGCGGTAGCTGTGCTTCCTGTGCTTCCCTCCTGGGCGTGGGCTCGACCAGCTGGCTGTTCATTGCTCTGATGTGGGATGTGTGAGGAGCACCCGGCCGGGTAGGAGAAACCTGGGGGGCTCCACGGCCCCCATATCGGAGGTGATGGGGCAGAGATGGAAAGGTGGGCCTGGGAGGGAGAGGCTGGCGCCGGCCCGAGCTGGGCTTGGGTTGGAGGAACCAGGCCTGCGGGCGATGCGGGCAGAGAGGCCGGGGCCTTGGTGACGTGGTGACTTGGCCTCCTCTGTCCCCTGGCATCTGTGGAGAGCCGTGGGGGGTTGCGGGCTGCAGCTGGCAGCCGAGGGGATGTGGGGGTGGCTCAGGTGTGGCTGCAGGAGACGCAGGAGCCAGGGCCTGTGAGGCTCCGAGTGGGCGGTTAAGGCTGGGGCCGGCAGGGGGTCTCAGGGACCCCAGGCTGAAGGAGGAAGTAGGGGCCGCCCCAGCCTTTCCCCGCAGGCGGCCAGGCCAGAGGAAGTGGCCGGGCGGGGGATGCTTTGAAGTTGGGCCGTGCTGGGCCGGGCAGATGGAAACCAGATGGTGGCCAGGCTCACATTCCAGCCCTCGTCCAGCTGGGCTCTGCCTCGACCTCTGGGCGCGGCTGGGGGGAGCCACCTCCTCGCCCGGGGCTGGAGCTGGTCTGGGCTCCCGCAGGGAGGTGGATGATGGACACGCTGGGACATGCCTGCCTCGGGGCAGCCCCTTCGGCCCTGGGCTTCCAGAATCCGCTCTGAGGAGCCTCCTAGGAGGGGCCAAGGCACAGACACCCAGGGGGGCCTCCCCGGGGCTCCTGACTCCAGGGGTGCCGGGTAGCTTAAGGGGCGGCCCTAACCCCAGCAGCCCTCAAGAGACTTAAGGTTGGGCTGCCTGGAAACTCACAAATAGTAAAGAGCTGAAAGCCGGACACGGTGTGGGAGAATGGCCAGGGCAGCGGCGGGGACTCGGTGGGGGGGGGGGGCGTCTCGCTGATTCCACCCTGCTCTGTGACTCAGTTTCCCACTCCTGCAGAAGGGGATGCTCCACGGGCCACACTGCCGCGCGTCCCATTCTGCCAGTGAGAAAACAGAGGCTCAGTGTTGGGAGGAGGGGTCTTGTGATCTTTTCTGGGTTTAAGATGATACGGATGAGCATGCTGAGAGTGGATTCTCTTTAATTTCATTAATTTAATTCACCAATTAATTTAACATTCACCCAATATTCGCCATCTGCCCGGGACTCAGCCCGCAGGGAGCCCTGGGCTGGAGGGGCGGGCAGGAGCCGGACGGAGACCTCCATCCCCGCAGGGTTATAGCCAAGCCGAGAGGGAGGGTCAAGGCCCCCCATTCAGTCGGTCCTTCGGGGGTCAGAGGTGAATGGGACCCCCTGACCCTGGACACACGCCCCGCCCAGACAGCCCCGGCCTCCAAGGCCCAAAGCCGATGGGGGAGTTTTGGGGTGACTGGCCCAGACCAGGCAGGGATGAGGGGCCAGGCGCCCTGACCCCACAGCCCGCAGCATGTCCTGAGCGAAGGCAGGAGGCAGAAGCCACTGTCTACCTTGTCTGGGCGACACCGCGGGTCAGGGTTGTAGGTGCCATGTGGGGTTTTTCTGCAGCGGGAAGCCGAGATGGGGAAACTGAGGCCAGTGCAGGGAGGGGGGTCACTGTGTCACCGGCAGCCTCAGGTATTCCTGGAGATCCTGCCGCCCCGCACCTGCCCCCTGGGTGTACCGGGCAGTGCAGAGGCCCTGAGGTGGACTAAAGCTCGGCTTGTGTGTAGGGACCGGGTGCCGCCTCTGGGTCTTGCGGGAGACGGGATTGGAACTCCGAGAAGATGAGGGCCTAGGGATGGTCGTGGGCAGCGGGGGTGGGGGGAGGCCCCCGCCCTGCAGTCCTGTGACTTTTTTTTCTCTAGAGAAGGGCTTTCACGGTGTTGCCCAGGTTGGTCTCAAACTCCTGGGCTCAAGTGATCTGCCTCACTCAGCTTCCCAAAGTGCTGGGATTACAGGCCTGAGCCACGGTGCCCAGCCAGTCCTGGGATCTTATCCTGGGCTGTTCGTGGCAGGTCCAGCCGCCGATGCCGCCGCCCGCCCAGCTGGCCAGACACCTGTGTTCCCAGTGTCAACAGTGGCCTGGGCCCAACCAGCCCAGTCAGTGTTACCTCCCGCCCGGCCCCTACTGGGGCCCCTGTTGACTCTGGCGCCTGCCCCACCCCCTTCCTGGCACGTGGCAGGCCTGGCCCGCTGGCCGGCCGCTTGGCACCGTCTCTGCCTCTTCCTCCCAGGTCCTGGCAGGGCTCGGGGCTAACTTCCGCCTGCAAATCCTCGACAGCTGTGAAATTCTGCTGTCGGCTGCAGGTCTGGTGGGTGGCCAGGCCGCGGCGGGGGGCCGGGCGCAGCAGGCTCAGGGCCACGGGTTCTTTCCTTGGACACCTGGAACCTTGCTGCCTGGGGCCTGGGGACGTGCAGTTTTGGAGGCCAGCACGTGTCGGGCAGTGATTAGGATCTCAGCCTCCTGATGTCTGACGTAGCCTCCTGGTGGCCTCCTGTCACCCACACAGCAGGCCCAGCTTCTAGAAAGCGGCCACGGTAGGATTTTATTGGATTATTATTATTTTTGAGGCAGGGTCTTACTCTGTCGGGTAGGCTGGAGTGTAGTGGTGCTGTCCTAACTCACTGCAGCCTCGATCTCCTGGGTTCAAGCGATCCTTCTGCCTCAGCCTCCTGAGTAGCTGCGAGTACAGACGGGCGCCACCAAACTCAGCTAATTTTTGTAGAGACGGGGTCTTGCTATGTTGCCCAGGCTGGTCTAGAACTCCTGGGCTCAGGTGATCTGCCCTCCTTGGCCTCCCAAAGTGCTGGGATTACAGGCGTGAGCCACCGCACCCCACCATGGTAGGATTTTATTTATATATTTGTTTATTTATTTTTTGAGACGGAGTCTCGCTCTGTCGCCCAGGCTGGAGTACAGTGGCGCGATCGCGGCTCACTGCAAGCTCTACCTCCCGGGTTCACGCCATTCTCCTGCCTCAGCCTCCCGAGTAGCTGGGACTACAGGCATCCGCCACCGCGCCCGGCTAATTTTTTGTATTTTTAGTAGAGACAAGGTTTCACCGTGTTAGCCAGGATGGTCTCGATCTCCTGACCTTGTGATCCGCCTGCCTCGGCCTCCCAAAGCGCTGGGATTAAAGGCGTGAGCCACCGCGCCCGGCCCGTGATGGGATTTTACACGCACAGGCGGTTAATCACAGATCTTCAGCTGCTTAAGGATTTGAACCTTTAGTCTCAACAATTCTAATAAGTGTTGAATGAATTTGAGATGAATCTTAAAAAACAGCTTTATTGGGCTATACTTCATATGCCATACAATTCACTGTTTTAATTGTACGATTGGGGCCAGGCACAGTGGCTCACACCTGTGATCCCGGCACTGTGGGAGGCCGAGATGGGCAGATAGCCTGAGCCCAGGAGTTCTACACCAGCCTGGGCGGTATAGCAAGACCCCATCTCTACAAAAATTAGCTGAGTGTGGTGGCGCACACCTGTAGTCCCAGCTACTTGGGACCCTGAGGTGGGAGGATCCCTTGAGCCCAGGAGGACAAGGCTGCAGTGAGCCGTGATCGCGCCACCACACTCCAGCTTGGTGACAGAGCGAGACCCTGTCTCGAAAAAATAAGAAGGATAGGGTGGGTGCAGTGGCTCACGTCTGCAATCCCAGCACTTTGGGAGGCCGGGGCAGGCGGATCACGAGGTCAGGAGATCGAGACCATCCTGGCTAACACGGTGAAACCCTGTCTCTACTAAAAATATAAAAAATTAGCCGGGCGTGGCAGCACGCGCCTGTAGTCCCAGCTACTTGGGAGGCTGAGGCAGGGGAATCACTTGAACTCAGAAGCAGAGGTTACAGTGAGCCGAGATCATGCCACTGCACTCCAGCCTGTGTGGCAGAGAGAGATTCTGTCTCTAAATAAATAAAATAAAATAAACCCTGACCCTTTAACTATTATCCCCCTATTCTACCAGCACGCCCCAGCCCCTGGCAACCACACATCCCCTCCTGCCTCTGTGGATTGGCCTGTTCTGGACATTTTATAGAAATGGGATCACATAGCTGGGTGCAGTGCTTCACGCCTGTAATCCCTGTACTTTGGGAGGCTGAGGTGGGCAGAGCACCTGAGGTCAGGAGTTTGAGACCAGCCTGGCCAACACAGCAAAACCCTGTCTTTACTAAAAATACAAAAATTAGCTGGGTGTGGTGGCGGGCACCTATAATCCCAGCACTCGGGAGGTTGAGACAGAACCGCTTGAACCCGGGAGGCGGAGATTGCCGTGAGCCGAGATCGCGCCACTGCACTCCAGCCTGGGCAACAGAGGGAGACTCCATCTCAGAAAAACAAGAACAAAGAAAAGAAATGGGATCACACACTGCGTGGCCTTTTGTGTCTGGCGTATCTCACTGAGCGTGACGTCCTCCAGGTGCATCAGCACCGTGGCCTGGGTCGGAGTCTCCTTCCTTTTCACGGCTGAGTCATACTCCGCTGGATGGATGTGCCGTATTGTGTTTGCCCGTTCCGCTGTTGGTGACCACTCGACCTGTTTCTGCCTTTTGGGTTTGTAGTGCTGTACACGTTTTTATGTGGGCGTACGTTTGTATTACTTTTGGGTGTGTATCTGGGAGAATTGCTGGGTCTGCTGGTGACTCCATATTCACCCATCAGAGGAACTGCTAGACTGTTTAGCAAGCAGCTGCCCACGTTACCTTCCCACCAGCCACAGATGTGGGTTCCAGTTCCTCTACATCCTCACCACTTGTTATTGTCGACTTTTTTTTTTTTTTTTTTTTTTTTTGAGACAGAGTCTTGCTCTGTCACCCAGGCTGGAGTGCAATGGGGCGATCTCGGCTCACTGCAACCTCCACCTCCCGGGTTCACGCCATTCTCCTGCCTCAGCCTCCCGAGTAGCTGGGACTACAGGCACCTGCCACCACGCCCAGCTAATTTTTTTGTATTTTTTAGTAGAGATGGGGTTTCACCGTGTTAGCCAGGATGGTCTCGATCTCTTGACCTCGTGATCCGCCCGCCTCGGCCTCCCAAAGTGCTGAGATTACAGGTGTGAGCCACTGCGCCCGGCTAATTTTTTGTATTTTTAGTAGAGACGGGGTTTCACCGTGTTGGGCAGGGTGGTCTTGAACTCCCAACCTCAGGTGATCCTCACACCTCAGCGTCCCAGAGTGCTGGGATCACAGACGTGAGCCACCGCGCCCGGCCTGTTGTCGACTTTTGATCCTAGCCTCCTTGTGGGGGTGGCGTGGTTTCTCACTGTGGTTCTGATTTTCATTCAGTGTCAGGATCTCTCCCTCTGCTTTCCAAAGTAAAGCTTGCTGCCCATGTAACTTGCAGATGAGCTCAGAGGTGTAGGAATGACGGCACTAGCCGGTATCTGTTGCTTCACTGCGTGAAGAAAGTGACTGAGTGTTTTAGATGGGTCGTCTCCCAGATCCTCACTGGATCCCAAGGAGCTGCCGTTGAACCTGTTGTGCAGACGAGAAACTGAGGCATGGGGTGATCACATGACTTGTGCACAGTCGCCCGGGGGACGTGTCAGAGCTGGAATTTGACCCCCGGGATGCACCTGCCAGAGAGGACCCAGCGGTGTGTGGATGGATGGCCCAGGGAGCTGCTGGTGGGACGGTTTTGGGGAAGCTCAGCTGCCCCTCCGTTTTTCTTTTTGTCTGGAATGAAAGTGGTTAGACCAGGCCAGACCTCAGTGCTGTCCTCATATCCAGGCCTCCGGGCCTGACAGCTGGGCGTGTGTGGGCACTGGGGCAGGGACGGCCACCAGCAGCCTCTCAGGCTCAAGGCCAGACACACCTCGCTGGGCCCAGCCCCAGAGACCGCTGGGTCCTCACCACGGTGCCTGCCAGGCAGCTCTCGGGAGTGAAGCGAGACCCCAGCAAGAAACGGGCATCCGGTTTTTGGTCTTTTTTTGGTCTTTTCAGCTCATTTGTTTTTTTTAATTGTGGAAAATACACATAGATACATTATTTTATCTCTCTTTTTTTTTTTTTTTTTTGAGACGGAGTCTTGTTTTGTCACCCAGGCTGCAGTGCAATGGTGCAATCTCAGCTCACTGCAACCTCTGCTTACTGGGTTCAAGTCATTCTCCTGCCTCAGCCTCCCAAATAGCTGTGACTACAGGCGCGTGCCACCACACCTGGCCTATTTATTTATTTATTTATTTATTTATTTATTATTATTATTTTAGACGGAGTCTTGCTCTGTCACCAGCCTGGAATGCAGTGGCGCCATCTCGGCTCACTGCAACCTCCGCCTCTCGGGTTCAAGCAATTCTCCTGCCTCAGCCTCCAGAGTAGCTGGGACTACAGGCGCCCACCACCACACCCAGCTTATTTTTGTATTTTTAGTAGAGACGGGGTTTCACCATGTTGCCCAGGGTGGTCTCGTATTCCTGACCTCGTGATCTGCCCGCCTCGGCCTCCCAGAGTGCTGGGATGACAGGCCTGAGCCACCGCGCCCGGCCTCTCGATACACTTTTGGTTCCAGAAGTAACACTTGACACTCTTCTTGCAGAGAGGAAGAAAATGGAACGTTTACAGGGAGCCCCGAGTCCCTCCCTTGACCTCTAGGGCATGAGCCGCATGTTCTCCAGGCCTTTCTCTGCCCACTCACACCCAGGAATGTGACCTGGGAGGTATCTAACGTGTGATCTTCCGGGCAGGTCGGGAGGTTCCTCCCGCCGCTGCCTTCGAGGAGCTGTTTATCTTGGGTGCGTTCGCGTCGTAATTGGGATGTTCCGAGCCACCTGGTTCTTTTCAGCTGTATGGACGTTCCCCTCGTGGCGCTGGACACCCCCACGTCCACACACTTCCCTCGGTCATTTCCCTGTTGTAAGCAATACTGTAACGAACATCTTCGGGGCGTGAGAGTTGCTTGGAGCAGTGTGGGGAGGAGGTGGGGAGCTGGAATTGCCAGGGCTCTGGGAGAATCGGCAACACGTTTTCTTCGTCGTGCCCCGGAGACCCCCAGACTGGTGGGAGACAGAGCTGGATGTGAAGGTAGCACTGGGGTCTGCCGTGGCCTCGCCACGTCCATTTCAGACTGAGGCTTAGGGGCGCTGCTGGGCTTCCCCACATCCCTCGAGGGGTCAGGGCTGGGCTAGAGGGGATTGAGGGGGAGGCTGCCAAGAGGAAGGGGCATTGGGGCTGGGGCTTTGCAGGATGTGTAAGAGTTTGTTAGCGAGCCACAGCAGGGCAGGGCCTGCCTCTGGGATCACTGTGACTGGAGCGTAATGTGTGGGGCCAGGGTGGCCAACTTTTTGGCTTCCCTGGGCTACATTGGAAGAAGAAGAATTGTCTTGGACCACATGTAAAATACAGTAACACTAATGATACCTGATGAGCCAAAAAAAATTGCAAAAAAACTCTCATCGTGCGCTAAGAAATGTACGCGTTTGCACTGGGCCGCATTTACAGCCGTCCTGGGCCGCGGGTCAGTCAAGCTCTCGGTGTAGCAGGAGGGGTGGGCAGAGCTTGAGGGCACTTGGCAGGGTTTGGAGCTGGGAGAAGGAGGCTGGGAGGACCCTTCTGGAGCCTGTTTTGGAGACAGAACGGAGGCACCCTTGGTCCAGGCAGGAGTAGAAGAGGCCAACACTGCAGCTGGGCTTCTGGGGCCTGAGAAGAAGGAGAAGGAGGAGAATTTTCCCAGCACAGGCGGGTGCTCTAGGCAGATGGTGCAGCTGGGGCCTTTGCCCAGAGGTCAGGCAGCAGGTTCCGAGCACACAGAGGCAGCGGCTGTGTTTGAGACAGAGTGTGTTTGTCAAGAGAGCCCCGAGCCAGGCCCTCGGCCGCCAGCCCTGGTGCCGGCGTCTTCCTGGGCCTCCGGGAGCCCCGGCTGCACGTGAGCCGCCGGGAGGGCTGTCGGGAAGCCCCCTGGGCACCTGGTCCTCCCCACCGGGGCAGCGCCCGCCTCATCAAAGCCACTGTGGCTGCTGGCGCCGGGCCAGCTGGGCCCTGGCGGGCGAGGGGTGGGTGGGTGCCCGCCAGCCCCTGGCACTGTGCCCCGGCCCGTGCCCGTGCCAGGAGCGTCGCTGACTCAGCCGGAAGAGCCTTATCTGGCCCCTGCGCCACCGCCTGGCCGTCGGGTCACCGCCGCGGGGTCACCGCCGCCGCGGCCTGGCCCCACGCCCACCGCCGGCGTCCCACCCTGGTGGCTGCTGCCAAGCGCCGGCCCCGCCCCATGCTTTCTAATAACACACGCGGCAGCCCGAGGGAGCGGTGCCCGCAGGCAGAGAGTGTCCCCGCGTGGTGCCTGGGCGGGGGAATGGGCGTGGTGAGCCGCCGTGGCGTGCGTGCGAGTGTGCACGCTGGGGCTGTGGCCGGGCGGCTCGTGGGTCCTGTCTCGTGGGACCCTGCCTGGGAGGGAATCTTGCTCCAGACACAGCATCTTCGGACCCTCCAAGGCCTCTGCCCACCGGGCACCTGCTGGATTCTGTGGGTCTCGTGTGTGGGGCTGTGTGCACCCAGCCAGCGGCACCTCACGCGCCCGCCTGCGTGTCCCCAGCCAGCACCACGGTGTTCGTTTAGGTCTCTGTGTGCCGAGTGACGTGGCAAACTTCCCACGTCCCTGTTTTGCGTGGACCTGTTGGTGAGTGTGTCCAGACGTGTGTCTGCCCTGACGTCCTTTGTGAATGTCTATGTTGGGGTGATGATCTCCTGTGTGTGCATTTTTTTAACTATAAAGATGGGGTCTTGCCATCATGTTGCCCAGCCTGGTCTCAAACTCCTGGGCTCAAGTGATCCTCCCGCCTCGGTCTCTGAAAGTGCTGGGATTACAGGCGTGAGCTGCTGTGCCGGACTGGTCTCTTGTGTTTTGTGTGGATGTGGCTGTGTGTGTGTGTGTGTGTGTGTGTGTGTCAGGGGTGGCTGCAAGCGTATGTGTGTGTGCACGTCGAGGCTGGAGAGTGTGTGTCCAAAAGCGTGCCTGCTTGGGCTCGCCACGTGTGCGCACGTGTGCCCGTGACAGACGACCTTCCTGTGTGCCTGAGCATTTGGGAGCCTCGTGCTGGACCCTGAAGCATGAGGTCGCGGTGGGGCCTATTAACCATTAGACCCCCGGGGCTGCTAGAGAGTGGCGCTGTCTGTCTTGGTCAGCAGCGCGCGTCGGCCGCGGGGCACAGATCAGCGCCTCCCCTGCCCGCCATGGGCTCTGGAGCCAGCCTAGCCGATGATGGAGCCCCAGTGGCCACCGAGCTATGGACAGGGCCGCTGGGGGTGCACCCCCACCCTCTCCGACCCCGAGGAGCTGCCGGCAGAGCCCTGTCCACTCTTGCCTCAGTTTCCCTGCTGGACACAAAGGGCTGAAGTCCAGGTCCCTTCGATGGCCCAAATTACCTGACTGTCGATCCTGACTGGGGCGGTGGCGACATGGCCCCCGCAGCTGCCCGGCGGTGGCACCCAGGGGCGTCACCCACGAGGGACGCTTGACTCAAGGTCCTCTCCACTGGCCGCCGGGAGCCGGGCCGGGAGCCGCTGCGGTGCCGACCTGGTGGGTGGCACACGGGGGGCGGGTGCGGACCGCCTCTTCTCCGCTCTGCCGGCTGCACATGGCCAGAGGACAATTGGGGGTCACAGGGTTAAACGCTGACTAATCTGGCCATTGAAGGCCCAAGCGCCGGGATATGCAGCCTTGCCCCTTGGTCAGGGCTGGGCTGGGGGTCCGTGGGCACAGGTGGGTGGGCAGGGAGTAGGTGGAGGCCGCCCCTCCCACTGCCCCGCAGGCCCTGGTTCTGGCCAGGCTCAGGAAGTGAGCTCCCTGGGGACCCAGGCCCCATGTCCAGAAGCCACGCTGGACATAGTGCCCAGATTCCATGCCCAGCAGCCTCCTCTGCCACCCTCAGAGACGGAGAACGTGAGAGCAAGTAAGAACCCGCCTTCCGGGAGGAGCCCCGTCTGGATTGGATGGCATCGCCCAAAACTCACGTCCACCCAGAACCTCAAGATGGGACTGCATTTGGAAATAGGGTCTCTGAAGATGTTAGTTTCAGTGAGGTCCTGCAGCGTACGGTGGCCCCAAATCCCATGCCGGTCGGTTGTCCTCTAAGGGGGAGGTCACACCTGTGATCCCCGCGCTTTGGAAGGCCAAGACGGGAGTTTCGCTTGAGCCCAGGAGCTTGAGACCAGCCTCAGCAACAGAGTGAGACCCCTGTCTCTACACAAATTAGCTGGGTGTGGTGGTGCGTGCCTGTGGTCCCAGCTACTCTGGAGGCTAAGGCAGGAGGATTGCTTGAGCCCAGGAAGTCGAGGCTGTAGTGAGCTATAGTGGCACGACTGCACTCCAGACTGGGCGACAGGGCAGGACCCTGTGTCAAAAAAAGAAAAAAAAAAAAAAAAGGACGGGCGCGCAGTGTCTCATGCCTGTAATCCCAGCACTTTGGGAGGCCGAGGAGGGCGGATCACCTGTGGTCAGAAGTTTGAGACCAGCCTGACCAACATGGTGAAACCCCGTCTCTACTAAAAATACAAAATTAGCCGGGCGTGGTGGCGGGTGCCTGTAATCCCAGCTACTTGGGAAGCTGAGGCAGGAGAATTGTTTGAACCCAGGAGGCGGAGGCTGCAGTGAGCTGAGATCGCACCACTACACTCCAGCCTGGGTGACAGAGCGAGACTCTGTCTCAAAAAAAAAAAGAAAAGAAAAAAGAGAAATTTGGACACGGACACGTAGGGAGATAGCTGTGTGGAGACAGAGGCAGAGGCTGGAGCGATGTGGCCACAAGCCAAGGACACCTGGAGCCCCCAGAAGCTGGGAGAGGAGGGAAGGACCCTCCCCTGGAGCCCCAGTGACACGCTGATGTCAGACTTGTGGAGAGAAGAAACCTCTGCTGACGTGGCACCGTGCCCTGGGCAAGGTTAGGGCAGAAACACCAGGCTGTGCCTCCCTGGGCACACATGTGTCTGAGCCCGACCCTTTCATGGGCACTTACGGAGCACCTGCTGTATGCCAGCCCGACCCTCTCATGGGCACTTACGGGGCACCTGCTGTATGCCAGCCCGACCCTCTCATGGGCACTTACGGGGCACCTGCTGTATGCCAGCCCGACCCTCTCATGGGCACTTATGGGGCACCTGTTGTATGCCAGCCTGACCCTCTCATGGGCACTTACGGGGCATCTGTATGCCAGCCCGACCCTCTCATGGGCACCTACAGGGTACCTGCTGTATGCCAGCCTGACCCTCTCATGGGCACTTACGGGGCACCTGCTGTATGCCAGCCTGCCTGCGTACTGGGGACACAGCCGTGCATGAAGCAGAAGCTCCTGCCGCCGGCACTGGAGTCCTGACGTCGGCAGCGCGGTGGAGGGCGGGCCTGTCTCGCCGTTATCTCCCAGGCGTGTCTGCTCCCCGTGTGTCTGGCTGCAGGGGCGCGTCCAGGGGGTGTGTGTGTGTGTGTGTGTGTGTCTGCGTGGGAGTGTCTGGCTGTGTGGCTGCACGGAGGCCTGTCTGGGTAGGAGTGTCGGTGGGGGCGGTCCCACACGGCCATGGTTTGTGTCTGCCACGGCCTCAGCCCCGTTGCTTCGGTCGATGCCCCCAAACCTTGACCCATCTCAGGGGCACCACGCTCACTGCTACAAATGTGGGTCTTCCGGGCAAGTGAGCGTCCCCCACCCAGGACCCCCGACCCCGGCCCTGGGAGGGCCCGACTGCCAGCCTGGCTGAACCTCCTTCATTGTCTGGTTTTCGGGGGTGGATTTTGAGACAGGGTCTCGTGCTGTCACCCAGGCTGGAGTGCCGCGGTGCAGTCATAGCTCACTGCAGCCTCGACCTCCCGGGCTCCGGTGATCTTCCCGTGTCAGCCTCCTGAGTAGCTGGGACCACAGACACTCGCCACCACACCCGGCTAACTTCATTTTATTTTTTGGAGACAGGGTCTTGCTGCGTTGCCCAGGCTGAACTCCTGAGCTCTTAGGGGAGCCGGGATGTCCCTGGGTCCTGCGGTCGCTCTCTGTCTCCATCTCTTCTTTCTCCTCTCCCCTCTCCCTGTCTCTGCCACCCGCCCCGTCCCTTCCACCACGTCGCCCTGTAATTCTTCCCTGACGGCCATTTTTCCGGGAGTGGCTGGGCGTCTCTGCCCTAGCTGGCGCCCTGCCCAGCCACTGCCCCCACCCCTCAGTTGGCCACATGCCCATCTCGTGGGGGCCCTTGGACCTGGTTCTTGGGGAAGAACTAGACAGATCACCTCTGTGGTTATTCATTGCTTTAATGCCACCTGGGGGGAGAGAGCCTGGGCACACCAACATGCAGAGATCCCAGCTCTGCCCGACCTGGGCCTGGTGCCTGTGACCTCCTCCTCTCGGCCTCAGTTTCCCCGCCCGTAAGACGGGGATGGTATCAGAAGGAGTGCAGCTCTTGTGACTTTGTTTTCATCCTTGGCCTTTACGGTTCACCAGGTTTCTCCTGTAACTCCTGTAGAGAGGGGACGGCGTGTGGCATGGCCCCTGCTGCCTGACCCAGCCCACCTCCGTCTGCTCCCTAGCGGGGAGGTGTCCAGGGCGGCCCCAGCCCACCTCCGTCTGCTCCCTGCAGCGGGTGGGATGGTGGGGTGTCCCTGGAGCGGGCAGAGCCTTGAGTGACTCCTCCGAGGCTGCTGCCCATGGTAGGGGCAGTTCCTGTCCTGCCCTCAGCCTGGGGTCTGGCAGAAGCTCCGGCCAGGTGTACCCCAAGGGACCCCGGACCCTGAGCCCACCAGGGAGGGCCCTTCCTCTTGACTCTAGGGTGGGAGGTGGAAGCAGCCCCTTCCTTCCTGCAGCCGTCTTTGGGCCCGGACTCCAGGCAGGCCCGTGTCCCATTGTGGGGACGGCGTCGACATGGCCGGGGCAGGCGTGTTCTGGCCCCTTGCACTGCCCGGCTCCTGCTGCTGGTGCTGGGCTGCGTTTCTGTTCAGAGAACCTGGGCTGGGAGTGATGGGACCGCAGTCTCCCACCAGGTGCCTCTTTCCAAATGGACACTCCTGCTGGGCATGACACTTCTGAGGCTTTCTGGGACCGTCCAGGTCCCGTCTGCAGGGAACCCCAGGACGGAGTTAATTGCTGAGTGCCCAGCTCTGGGCAAAGTGCTTGGACCCTGCGGTTACTCCGAGCCCATTTCTCAGCAGGGAAAAATGAGGCTCGCGGAGGCAGGGGCCCGGCGTCCAGGTGGGAGCATGAGGGCGTATTGTGGGTGGGCTGGCCGGTCTGGGGGGCGGGGACCCTGTACAGAACGCCCCGGCCGCGTGGAGTGGCAGGTTCGTCACTGCCTGGGGGAGGAGAACACTGGGTATTTCATTTTTATTTTTTTGTTTTTTTTACTTTTACTTTTTCCTTTTTATTTATTTATTTATGTATTTATTTATGAGACAGAGTCTTGCTTTGTCACCCAGGCTGGAGTGCAGTGGTGCGATCTTGGCTCACTGCAAGCTCCGCCTCCCGGGTTCAAGCGATTCTCCTGCCTTAGCCTCCCGAGTAGCTGGGATTACAAGCGTGCACCACCACGCCCGGCTAATTTTTTGAATCTTTTTTTTTTTTTTTTTTTTTGAGACGGAGTCTCACTGTCTCCCAGGCTAGAGTGCGGTGTCGCGGTCTTGGCTCACTGCAAGCTCCGCCTCCCGGGTTCACGCCATTTTCCTGCCTCAGCCTCCCGAGTAGCTGGGACTACAGGCGCCCGCCACCATGCCCGGCTAATTTTTGTATTTTTAGTAGAGATGGGGTTTCACCATGTTGGCCAGGCTGGTCTCAAGCTCCTGACCTCAAGTGATCCGCCTGCCTCGGCCTCCCAAAGTGCTGGGATTACAGGCGTGAGCCACCGTCCCCGGCTAATGTTTTCTTTCTTTAATCCCAAAGGCTTCAAAACTAAAATTCTGTTTGTTTGTTTGTGTGTGTGTGTGTGTGACAGGGTCTCCCTCTGTTGCCCAGGCTGGAGTGCAGTGATGTCATCTCGGCTCACTGCAGCCTCGAGCTCCTGGGCTCACGTGATCCTCCTGCCTCAGCCCCCTGAGTAGCTGGGATTACAGGTGCGCCACTATGCCTGGCTAATTTTTTTTTTTTTTTTTGTAAAAACAGGGTTTTGTCATATTGCCCAGGCGGGTCTCAAACTCCTGGGCTCGAGCAGTCTGCCCACCTCGGCCTCCCACAGTGCTGGGATCAAAGGTGGGAGCCACTGTGCCCAGCCCACACTGAGATTCTGCATTGAAATGTTTGCTGGGTGCCCCCCATTGCTGGGCACCGTGGGGTGGGGTGTGTCTGTGTGTGGCCTGGGGCACCCCCTGCCGTCAGCCCAGATCTGTGTCTGTGTCTGCATCTGTGAAACGGGTTTCCTGGCAGATAGAGGGGCTGCTTAAGGCCAGTGCCCTCGGCGGAGACTCTATTAGGGACTGCGGGCCCCAGATTTCCACGTCATATCTCGCCGCCATGGGGCTGCCTCCTGCCTCCTCTGCACCAACTTTCTGGAAGTGCCTGTCAGCTGATCCCACCCCGGCCACATCTCAGCACCAGGCCTGTCGCTGCCGTCCTGGACTCGTGGGCCTCAGTTTCCCCAACTGTGAAACGGGCTGGCGGCCGGTCAGCGTCTCCTCCCTGAGCAAGGGACTCCCCCATCCATGTCTCAGCCCCCACCCAGATGCCCCGGGACCGTTTCACAGATGAGAAGACCGAGGTGCCAGGGTGGCGATCGCACGAAGGGCCCGTCACGGGAGAATGAGGAGGGTCTGGCGTCAGCAAGCTCCCCCGGAATCTCGTGATCTGGAAATCCACAGAGAAGCACCTTCACCACGCCAGCTTCCCGGGCCGCGCTTCATTGTCATTTCTGGAGAGTGTTATTAATATCCGCCCCGTGGGTGCGGCGCTGTGTATTTCCAGAGAGGGGACTCGGGGCCCATCAGGGCCGGGGGAGTGGAGCCGGCAGATGTTCGGCCCTGCCCAGAATCACTTCCCCAATTTCCCCACGCCCGGCGGGGCTCTCAGCATCTGCATCCGCCGAGGCCTGGCTGTGCTGACGGGAATTGAAAGGACCTCGTGGCTTAGGCAGGCGGGGGAGCCCCCCGGCTGGTCAGGTGCACGAGGAGCAACCCATGGCCAGGCAGAGCCCAGAGAGGGCGGGGAAGGGCCTGAGGTCACACAGCAGACGCTAGCTAAGTAAGCGCCTGCTGGGTGTGGGTGACCCTGCCCTCCCCCGACCCATCAGTCCAGGTCGGTCGGGGCCGCCTGTCCCCTGGTGTTTCCCTTCACAGCCCACCCGCCCCAGCTGACCTCTTCCTCCTGCTCCCTGAACCGGGAAGTCCGGGCCCTTTTTGGACACTGCATCTCCCCAGCATACAAGATAGTCCAGGACACACAGGAGGTGCTCAATAATGGCTGCAGAGTGCCCTGTCCTGGCAGAAACGCTGTGGACTGACAGCCCCGTGTGGCTGGCCCTGTGGTCCACGCTCAGCTCTGCTGCCTCTGTCAGTCCTGGGAGTTTCCGGGACGGGAAAAACAGCGAGATTCAAAATCCCCCGGCCTCCCGGGGCCGCGGTCCTGCGGGGCCACAGCGCCAGCTTCCGCTTCTTGATGGCTTCGGCCCCACCCCCACCATGGGTAAACTGAGGCCCGGAGAATGGGCAGACTGGGGCGCGAGACTCCAGGTCCTCCAGGTCCTCCTGCCCCCCGTGCCCTCCTCCCGCCTGCAGCCCCAGGCTCTGCTCCGTCTTCATTCCTTCTTCATTCCTGCCTCATCTGTCCAGCTGTTCATTCCTGGCCTCTGGACTCTGTGGGGAGGGGACGAGGGATGAGGCCTGGAGTCTTTTTTTTTTTTTTTTTTTTTTTTTGAGACAAAGTTTCACTCTGTCGCCCAGGCTGGAGTGCAGTGGCACGATCTCAGCTCACTGCAACCTCCGCCTCCCGGATTCAAGTGATTCTCCTGCCTCAGCCTCCCGAGTAGCTGGGACTACAGGCGTGCGCCACCACGCCCGGCTAATTTTTGTATTTTAGTAGAGACAGGGTTTTGCCATGTTGGCCGGGCTGGTCTCAAACTCCTGACCTCAGGTGATCCGCCCGCCTCGGCCTCCCAAAGTACTGGGATTATGGGATTACAGGCATGAGCCACCGCGCGTGGCCATCCTGGAGTCTACAGCAGTGATGTGGCTGCGGGGGTGCACTCTGGCCGCCTCCTTCCCGCCTCTCCGGACTGTGGACAAGTGAAGGGCTTTGCAGGTTGCTGGTACTCTGCAAACCTGGTTACCAGAGAGGTGTGGACCCCTCCCTGCCTCAGTTCCCCAAATGCAGAGCAGGGCCCCAGGGGTGTGGGGAGGCAGTGCTGGGTCCCGCCCTGCCCACCCCTCCCAGCGGCGGCGTGGGTGCCTGTGTGGAGGGGGAGGTGCCAAGGCCCCCAGGGACCCTGCCCACCTGGGGAGCAGCAGCCGCAGGTGCTGAGTCATCTCAGCCTCTGCCCCGGGCCTCCGCCGTGCCAGATAGCAGGATCATCAGGCCTCCGGGAGGGGGTGGGGGGCTGGGGGTGCTGTCAGTGGATGGGAGCTGCCAGGAGTGGGGCTTCAGAGAGGGGCCGGAAAGGGGACACCAGCATTGGAGGAAGGAAAGCTTCTTACGGCCTCTTTCTTTTCCTTCTTCCTCCAACTCCTGGCCTCAAGCCATCCTCCTGCCTCGGCCTCCCAAAGTGCTGGGATTATAGGCAGGAGCCGCCGCCCCTGGCCTTTCCCCTCCCTCCAGTGGATGCCTGCTGGATTCCCGCCACTGTGCCCCACAGACCCTGATTCTGTCTTTTTTTTTTTTTTTTTTGAGATGGAGTCTCGCTCTGTCGCCCAGGCTGGAGTGCAGTGGTGCGATCTGAGCTCACGCAATCTCTGCCTCTCAGGTTCAAGTGATTCTCCCACCTCAGCCTCCTGAGTAGCTGGAATTACAGGGGTTCACCACCACGCCCGGCTAATTTTTGTATTTTTAGTAGAGACGGGGTTTCTCCATGTTGGCCAGGCTGGGACTCCTGACCTCAGGTGATCTGCCCACCTCGGCCTCCCAAAGTGCTGGGATGACAGGTGTGAGTCACCGCATCTGGGCTAGATTTTGCCTTGATGGGTGGGAGGTAGGCAGGAAAGATGCAAAGAGGCCGTCCCCAGAGTGAACGGATGGATGAGGCCGTCCCCAGAGTGAACGGATGGATGAGGCCGTCCCCAGAGTGAACGGATGGATGAGGCCGTCCCCAGAGTGAACGGATGGATGAGGCCGTCCCCAGAGTGAACGGATGGATGAGGCCGTCCCCAGAGTGAACGGATGGATGAGGCCGTCCCCAGAGGGAACGGATGGATGAGGCCGTCCCCAGAGGGAACGGATGGATGAGGCCGTCCCCAGAGGGAACGGATGGATGAGGCCGTCCCCAGAGGGAACGGATGGATGAGGCCGTCCCCAGAGGGAACGGATGGATGAGGCCGTCCCCAGAGGGAACGGATGGATGAGGCCGTCCCCAGAGGGAATGGATGGATGAGGCCGTCCCCAGAGTGAATGGATGAGCACCCAGCCTGAGCCCGGGAAGGTGCTGAGGGTTAGCACAGGCCGCCTGCTGCTGCAGGAGTGAGAGGGGCCCACTCAGGGAAAGAGGGGTTCAGGGGGAGCAGCCAGGTGTGTACAGATGGCTGTAGCCATGTGGAGGCGCGCGTGGGGACCGGCAGGCAGGCAGGGAGTTGGGCTTTCTTCTGGGAGCAGTAGGGAGCCACGGTTGACCGTGGAGCAGGGGAGAGACCTGGTTTGATCTTGGTCTTGACTTCCAAGCCCCTTGGTCCCTCCGACCTTGGAGGCTGCTGGAAGGAGAGGGCATCTCATTTACCATCCTGGCTGCTTCATGGGGATTTGGGAGATAAAAAGCAGCTCTTTCAGTTTAACTTTGGTTGTAGGAGTCACAGTGAATTAGTTCTTTATTTTGTTTTTTTTTTGAGGTGGAGTTTCACTCTTGTTTCCCAGGCTGGAGTGCAATGGCACGATCTCAGCTCACCACAACCTCTGCCTCCCGGGTTCAAACTATTCTCCTGCCTCAGCCTCTTGAGTAGCTGGGGTTACGGGCATGCACCACCACGCCTGGCCTATTTTGTATTTTTGATAGAGATGGGGTTTCTCCATGTTGGTCAGGCTGGTCTCAAACTCCTGACCTCAGGTGATCCGCCCGCCTCAGCCTCCCTAAGTGCTGGGATTACAGGCGTGAGCCACTATGCCCGGCCAGGATTCTTTCTTAAAGAAGAGACGGGGTCTCGCTGTGTTGCTGAGGCTGATCTCAAACTCCTGGGCTCAAGTGATCCTTCTGCCTTGGCCTCCCAACGTGCTGGGATTACAGGCGTGAGCCACCACACCCAGCCTTTTATAAGATCTTTTAAGGCCAGGCGCGGTGGCTCATGCCTGTAATCCCAGCACTTTGGGAGGCCGAGGCGGGCGGATCACAAGGTCAGGAGTTCAAGACCAGCCTGGCCAACATGGTGTGAAACCCCATCTCTACTAAAAATACAAAAATTAGCCAGGAGTGGTGGCAGGTGCCTGTGGTCCCACCTAATCGGGAGGCTGAGGTGGGAGGATCACTTGAGCCCAGGAGGCTGCAGTGAGCTATGACTGCATCACTGCACTCCAGCCTGGGCGACAGAGTAAGACCCTGTCTCAAAAAAAGGAAAAAAAACAACGTAGACTAAAGAACCAAACCTCAGAGTTCCCCGGCTGGTCTGGGTGGGCCTGGCTGTTGGATGAATTCTCTTTTTCCCTCTGACCCTTCAGCCCCGCTGGGTGCGTGGGCGCCTGGGAGGCTCAGGCTGCTGCCCGGAGGGGGCGGCTGCTGACTCAGATCTATTGCTGCTGCTTCTGAGCATCCGCAGACCTATATCTGGCCTTAGAGGAAAACATACTTCTTCAGTTTCCCAGAAGCCATATTGGACAGTGCAAAAACGTGCCTTTTAGAACATTTCTCAGGCTGGGCACAGTGGCTCATACCCAGAATCCCAGCACTTCGAGAGGCAGAGGCGGGAGGATGGCCTGAGGTCAGGAGTTCAAGACCAGCTTGGCCAACATGGTGAAACCCCGTCTCTGCAAAAAATTTAAAAAAAAAATTAGCCAGGTGTGGTGGCACGTGCCGGTAATCCCACCTACTTGGGAGGCTGGGGCAGGAGAATCGTTTGAACCCGGGAGGCGGAGGTTGCAGTGAGCTGAGGTCACACCACTGTACTCCAGCCTGAGCGACAGAGCGAGACTCGGTCTCAAAACAAAAACAAAGTGTCTCAGGCTGGGCGTGGTGGTTCATGCCCAGAATCCCAGCACTCTGGGAGGCCGAGGAGGGAGGATCACTTGAGCCCAGGAGTTTGTACCCAGCCTGGGCAACATAGCAAGACCCCATCTCTACAAAAAAAAGTTAAAACTGGGCATGGTGGTGTGTGCCTGGGGTCCCAACTACTCCAGAGGCTGAGGCAGGAGGATCACTTGAGCCTGAGAGGCTGAGGCTGCAGTGAGCTGTGATCGTGCCAGTGCACTCCAGCCTGGGCCACAGAGCGAGACCCTGTCTCAAAAAAAAAAAAAAAAAAAAAAAAAAGGAAAGAAAATTTCTCTTCTTCTGACATCTCTCTGCCAAGTCTCGGGCCAACCCTCCTGGAGGCTCAGTCAGGCCAACCCTCCTGGAGGCTCAGGGCTCGGCAGTCCCCAAACGCTAGACACTTGGATTCTTTCTTGGATTTCCCTGAATTCTGTGGCCAAAGAGAGCGTCTGAAGGGCTGCAGCTGACCAGGTGCCTCCCAGCTCCTGCACCCCTCCCACCCCTGCCGTGGCCTCATCCCCAGGTGGGGCCTCATGGACTTTGGAGCCTCCTGGGAGACTGGAGGGGGCCTGGGGGGCAAAGGTTCTCCCAGGGGGCCCTGCAGACAGGCGGTTTCTTTACAGCCTGGGCCTCTGGGCCCAAGGACACCGCCCTGGGCCCCCCGCAGCTGCTGGGACCTGGTGGGAGTGCCCAGGTGGGGCCTGCCTGGGGACTGAGTGGGGAAACCATAGCCCCCCTGTGACCTTGGGCACTGCCCACCTGTGACCTTGGGCACTGCTGGGGGAGGGGCCGCATGTGCTGGCCCCGGCCACCCTCTTCTGTCCTGGCCAACCCTTTCCTTGGATTTTCTGCAAACCTCTGGGGTCTTTTTCTGACCTTCCTCCCACCTCCCAGAGCCGGTGGGCTGGGGAGGGGAGTCCTGAGCCGGGGCTGAACTCCCTGGTTCTAGGGGTGGTCCGGGCAGCCGGGGAACCCCCTCCCCACTCCCAGGTGGCCCTGGGACTTATCTTGCACCCTGTCCGCCAGCAGACTCCACTGACCCCCTCGGAGCTGTCGTTTCTCTGGGAGGTGGGGTGGAGAAAATCATCAACGTTTCGCCACAAACAAGAATTTCCTGTTTGCCCTTCCAGGGCTGGGGGGTGGCGGTTATCTCACTTTTTCCTCCCCTCCCCCACCGGCGCCACCACCCGAGCCCCGCCACCCTCTCTCCTCACAGGTGCCCCCTCCAGAGGGGCCCGGTCCTCATCAGGTGGGGGCGGCACCTCCCACCCCCCCAGGCCTCCCACACCCCCCCCCGTGCAGAGCCGGGGGAGTGTCAGGGTCGGGGGCCACAGCGTCTTCCCTCCATCCCCAGAGCCACGGAGTGTGTCTTGCAGATCCGTGTAACGGGGCTCGGGCGTGCAACCTTCTGGGAAGAAAACCAAAGAGGAATGAAGGGGTCAGAGGCTGAGGGGGGCTGTGGAGGGGGCTCTGTCAGAAGGCGACGTTTGGGCGGGAAGGCAGGAGCCGAGCGGGGACCCGGGAGCTGCATTCCAGGCAGAAGGAACAGCGCCGCGGAGGCCCTGGGGTGGGGGCCTGTGCGTTTTACATAGAAAGACGCCAAGGCTGGGTCTGGGGGCTCCTGCCTGTAATCCCAGCGCTGTGGGAGGCTGAGGCAGGAGGATCACTTAAGGCCAGGAGTTTGAGACCAGCCTGAGCAATATAGCAAGACCTTGTCTCTATAGAAATACAAAAATTAGCCGAGCGTGGTGGTGCCTGCCTGTGGTCTCATTGGCTCAGGAGACCGAGGTGGGAGGTGGAGGCTGCAGTGAGCTAGGGTCTCACCACTGCACTCCAGCCTGAGTGACAGAGCGAGACCCTGTCCCTAAATAGGGCAGCTCAAGGCCGGGGCGGAGGGAGCAGGAGAGGGCAGGGAGGGGCCAGGAGGGTGCTGGGGGGCCCTGGGAGGCTGTGGCCGAGGGAGGGTCATGCTCAGATGTCTGTGAAAAACCCCCCACCCCACCCAACTGCTGAGTGGGGAAGGGTCTGGCAGGAGGGGCGGCCGGGGGACCTGGAGGTGGCTTGGCTCCACGCGCTCTGTGCCTCGGTTTCCCCTTCTCCGAAGCAGGTGGTGCTGGGAAGGGGAGACGATGGGCCCAGCCTTGGTAATTAGGGGTCCACACCTTCCATCCCCCACAGCAGGAAGTGGACAGAGGGGAGGGGACCCCCTCAGGGAAAGACCCCCAGGCCTGCCCTGTGGCCCCGCATTTTCTTGGCATCGCACTGAGAAAGCAAGTTCATTTAACATGCATTTATTAGGCAACTGCTGTGTGCCCGATTTTGGATGCTGGCAACAAGATAAGAATTCCGCATGTTCCAGGGCAGACAGACGAGAGACAAATGCGTGAATCCACACAGCTGGGGCCATGCGAGGGCTGGGGGTCCAAGGGGGGCCGTGAGCCAGAAACCCCGTGAGGCCGGTGGTCGGTAAAGGTGGGTGGGAGCAGAGCATCTGCGGAGGTGATATCGGTCCTGGGAGGACGGGGGGCTCCCCTCCAGGGAGGGAATGACCACAGGGGACCCAGACGAAGGGAAGGGGCTGAGAAGGCCTCGCAGACGGGAGGAACAGCCGGGGCGAAGGCGGCCGCTCGGGGCTGATGGGGGGCGGTGGGGGTCTCAGCGGAGGGGCACCTTCAGAACTTCACACCCGACCCCTCCCGTGATCAGAGCAGGCCCCAGGGAGGTCAGGCGGCGTGGAGGGGAGTGCGGGCCGCTTATCTCGGCCCTCAGCCCCTGGGGAGGGAGTTTCCGGAGATTTTGCCCAATCTCCAGCCTGGGTTTAGGGCTCCTGTGGGTGTGTGGTGGGCGGCTGATTTCAGAGCTTTCTGGTTGACGTTTCAGAGGGGCAGGGTTTCGGCCACAGAACCCAGGTGAGAACCAAGGCCTGGGTTTGCCATGGGGTGTGCTGTGGCCCAGCAGTTCAACCCGGGATCTGGCCCACAAGGGGGGCCTGGACACCGCCATGGGCAGCCTGGACACCGTCCCCTGCTTTCCCATCCCTGGGGCCTCGGCCAGCTGGCCAGGGCGGGGCGCCCCCCACAGGGGAGCGGAACCGGGGGCCAGAGACCCATAAAGCCCAGGCGGCCTTTACTGCTGGCTTTGTTGCTGGCTGCCCACAGCAACGGCCATTAGAGCCGCCTCCCCCGCCAGCAGCTGGGGCCCCCGCAGGTCCTCCCTTTACTGCCACGCATCAGTGCCCCGGCCCCACAGGGGTCTGACCGTGCCTCGCCACCGGCCCAGTTCGCCCACCATTTGGCCTGGGAGTTAATGGCTCCCCTCTCCAACCCCAACCTTGGCTGGCTGTACATGGGGCAGCTGATTGCTGCCTGGCGCCTCGGTTTCCCCATCCGGGATGTGAGGGTAGCTGGGGCGCCAGGTGCTTGGGGTAAAGCTGCTGTGTTTTCTCACACACTCTATTTGAGAGATGGGGAAACTGAGGCAGGAGGTGCGGTGAGGTTTCTTGTAGGGGCTGTGCCAGGGAAGGGGGGGTCCAGGCAGGGTAGACCCCGTAATACCGGGTCAGAATCTCAGAGGAGAGGACCTTCCGCTCGCCCTGGAAGGGCCCAAGGTGTGCTGGCCTCTACGTGCGGTTCTTAGCCGGGGGGCTGCGTAACGAAGGACCTCAAACCGCGGGCGTAAAACAAACGAAACCTGTTCTCCCTCCGTCCTGGAGCCCAGAGTCCAAAATCGAGGCGTCCGCAGGGCTGCGCTCCCTCCAGGGGCTGCAGGAGGAGCCTTCCGCCTCTCCCAGCTCCTGGGGGCTCCAGGAGTCCCTTGACATGTGGCCGGCCTCTGTCTCTGTGCGACCGTCTCCAGTGCCCACCGGCCTTCACTGTGACTTTTTCTCAATTTGATCACGTCTGCAAAGGCCCTTTTTCCAAATAACGTCTCGTTCTGAGGTTCTGGGCCGATGTGAATTTGGGTGGGGGATGGCGTTCACCCCAGGACAGCCCCAGCGGTGAAGTCCTCCCCATTCCAGTACCTGCTGCCTCAGGCGTTTCCCTGGCAAGCTCGTCCTGTCCCCCTCTCCGCCCTGTCCCCCTCTCCGCCCTGCCCGGCTCACTTTTGCAGCTGAGAAAATCAAGGTTCAAGTAACGAGCATTTATTAGGCAACTGCTGTGTGCTCGGCTGATTCCAGACTCTGGGAACAAAACAGACTAAACCCCAGATACACTCCTAGATCCGTGACTCGGTGATGGACGGGGTCTCGGAGGAAGAACGTGGAGGGGAGGGGGCGGCAGCCGGGCCGGGGTCAGAGGACGAGGCCGGGCGTGTGGCCATGTGTGCGTGCCTGTGCTCATGGGACCCACCGGCCCGGCCAGCCGGGTCTACCTGAGGGCCCCACACCCCTCAGGCAGCTGAAGGGGAAAGGGCCTCCCCGGCCACCATAAATCAGCGCAGGAATGCAGGCTGGCCAGTCTGGCGCTGGCCGGGTTGGGGCGGAGACAAAGACCAGGCAGCTGGACCTCGGGCAGCCTCGACCACCCAGGGCAGAGGTCAGGACTCCTGGCTGCCCCCCCAGCCCCTTCCCGGAAGGCCTCACTGGGCCTCCAATACACAGACGGGGAAACTGAGGCCCAGAGAGGGGCAGGACGGCTGCAGGGTGATGGGGCCTTTGGCCGGCCTCCCCAGCACCTGGGATGTCCCCGCAGCAGCAGGGGCTGGGCGTGGGTCTCCTTCTGGGCCCTAATGACCGATCATCCCAGCTGAGGCCTAATTGGTGGTTTCAAGGCTCCCCACTGCCCAGCCAGCCACATTCCCCCGAGCTTAATTGGCAGCCTGGTATTTGTCGCAGCTCCTCCTCGGCAAATTGGCCCCCGCCTGAACTCCGCTTTCTAATTATCCCTGCCGGCTTTCCCCCACCCTGCCCGCCCGAACCTGTGGGTGGGGGGGGGCGCTGGGGGACCTCCTGGCTCCTTGTACCCCAGACGGAGCCTCTTTCCCCTCTGGAAGACGTTCCGGGGCCTGGTGATCTTCTTCCTCCCCAGCCACCACCCTGGCAGGCAGAGGCGGTCGGTGGCTCATTTCATAGCTGGAGGCTGAGACTCCAGGCTCCAGGTGCGGGGAAGCCAGCAGGAGACAGGAGGACCGGGATGGGAAGCAGGGCGGGGCTCTGGGCCAAGTCCCCAGCAGCCCCCAGGCTCTGGTCCCGCACTCGCCGCTGTGTCTCAGTTTCCTCACCTGCAAAGCAGAGCCAGTTCTCGGAACAAATGCGCTCCCGTCCGACCCTCAGGACAGCCCCGGGAGGCATGCTGGTGAATTTTTGCAGCGATTTGCTGTGTGAACTCAGGCAGGCACTGTCCTAGGGTAAATTGTGTCCCCCAAAGAAAAGGTGGAGGGCGGTGGCTCCCGCCTGTGACCCCAGCACTTTGAGAAGGCAACACGTGAGGATCGAGGGAGCCCAGGAGGTCGAGACCAGCCAGGGCAACATAGAAAGACCCATCTCTACAAAAGAAAATGTAAAAACTTAGCCGGGTGTGATGGCGAGTGCCTGTGGTCCCAGCCACTTGGGCAGCTGAGGCAGGAGAATCCCTTGAGCCCAGGAGGTTGAGGCTGCAGTGAGCTATGATTGCGCCACTGCACTCCAGGCTGGGCAACAGAGTGAGACCCTGTCTCCAAAAACAAACAAAAAAAAGACTTTGGGAGGCTGTGGCAGGCGGATCACTTGAGGTCAGGAGTTCAAGACCAGCCTCGCCAAATAGTGAAACCCTGTCTCTACCCAAAAAATACAAAAATTAGCTGGGCATAGTGGCAGGTGCCTGTAATCCCAGCTACTCAGGAGGCTGAGGGGGGAGAATTGCTTGAGCCCCGGAGACAGAGGTTGCAGCGAGCTGAGATTGCGCCATTGCACTCCAGCCTGGGCGACAGAGCGAGACTCCATCTAAAAATAATAATAATAAAAATTAAAATTAAAAAAAAAAATAGGCTGGGCGCAGTGGCTCATGCCCATAATCCCAGCACTTTAGGAGACTGAGGCAGTCGGATCACGAGGTCAGGAGACCATCCTGGCCAAATGGTGAAACTCCGTCTCTACTAAAAATACAAAAAAATTAGCCGGGCGTGGTGGCGGGCGCCTGTAGTCCCAGCTACTCCAAGAGGCTGAGGCAGGAGAATGGCGTGAACCCGGGAGGTGGAGCTTGCAGTGGGCCAAGATCGCGCCACTGCACTCCAGCCTGGGCGACAGAGCGAGACTCCATCTCAAAAAAAAAAAAAAAAAAGAAGAAAGAAAAAGAAAAGAAGAGGACAGGTTCAAGCACTGGATTCCCAGTACCTGTGACAGGACCTCATTTGGAAACGGGGGAACTTACTGACATACAATCACGTGTTGACACTTTGGTCAACCTCAGACCGCAGATGGGACGGTGGTCCCACAGGATTAGAATTCCATATTTCTAGTGGCTCACGCCTGTAATCCCAGCACTTTGGGAGGCCGAGGCGGGCGGATCACGAGGTCAGGAGATCGAGACCATCCTGGCTAACACGGTGAAGCCCCGTCTCTACTAAAAATACAAAAAATTATCCGGGCGTGGTGGCGGGCGCCTGTAGTCCCAGCTACTCGGGAGGCTGAGGCAGGAGAATGGAGTGAACCCGGGAGGCGGAGGTTGCGGTGAGCCGAGATTGCACCCCTGCACTCCAGCCTGGGGACAGCGAGACTCCGTCTCAAAAAAAAAAAAATTCCATATTTCTTGTGCACCTTTTCTGTGTTCAGCTGTGTTAGACGCACAGACACTCATGCTCACGTTGCCACTGCCTACGGGACCCAGGACAGCCACAGATTTGTAGCCCAGGAGCGCTGGCTGGGCTGTGCCTGTGCCTGGGTGTGTGGGAGGCTCCACCCGTGAGGTGTGTGTGACTCACTGTTTGATGTTCACACTGACGAAATCACCAACAGACATTTATCAGGACGCATCCTGCACGAAGACAGAGGCAGAGGCTGGAGCGACGCGGCCACAAGCCCAGGAACCTGGAGCCCCCAGAAGCCGTGAGAGGCAGGAAGGTTCCTCCCTTGGAGACTTCGGAGGGAACGCAACCCTGCAGACATCTTTTGTTTTGTTTTGTTTTTAGAGACAGGGTTGCGTTCTGTCGCCCAGGCTGGAGTGCAGTGGTGCGGTCTCGGCTCACTTCAGCCTCCACTGCCCAGGCTCAAGCAATCCTCCCACCTCAGCCTCCCGAGTAGCCGGGACTGTAGGCATGAGCCACCCCACCTGGGTAACTTTTTGTTATCATAATGTAGAGATGGGGTCTCACTATGTTGCCCAGGCTGGTCTTGAATTCCCGGGCTCAAGCGATTCACCCGCCTCCCAAGGTGCTGGGATTACAGGTGTGAGCCGCCACCCTGAAGAGAAGTTGGTTTTGGACTTCTGGGCTCCGGGACCGCGGGAGAATAGATTTCTGTTGCTTTAAGCTGCAACGTGTGGCTGTAAGGGAGTTAAGGATCGATTTGAGATGAGGTGGCCCTAAAACCAGCAGGCTGGTGTCCTGAGAAGAGGAGAGAGAGACGGGGAGACGGTCTTGTGGAGACGGAGGCAGAGACTGGAGCGCTGCGGCCACAAGCCAGGACGCACCTTGATCTGGGGTTCCCGGGCCCCTGGACCGGGAGAGGACACTGTCTTGTCCCAGGCCACCTGGTTTCTGGTGCCTCCTTGCAGACCCTCTGGGAAGCTCGTTCACCGGCATTTCTGTCTTGCAGCCTTGTGGTTCTTCACCTGCCCAGCGGGGTCTTCGGCTCTGGCAGCGGCTTGAGGGTCCTAGGGGTGGTGACCCCTGCTCCTGTCCTCCTGACCTGGCCTCCAGTGCAGGAGGGACATGGTTCCCACACCTGAGCTCTGGCACCAACTAACCCATCCCCTCTCCACCCTCACAGCTCTACGAACTCGACGGGGACCCCAAGAGGAAGGAATTCCTGGATGACTTGTTCAGCTTCATGCAGAAGCGAGGTGAGCCCTCTGCCCCCACCCCGCTGGAGGGAGGTCACAGAAACAGGGCTGTAGGAGGGGCCCTACTGGCTCCAGGTATGTCGGGGCGGTGGTGAGCACCCCGTGGCTGGAGGCATCCAAGGCTCCTAAATCGGGAGGGACTTCAGGGGTGTCTTGGGGGGAAACACATCCTGCCATGGAGGTTTGACGCGGGAGGCACGCCTGTGAGTCTAAGGGGTAGGTCCCTTGGTGGGGGGCAGGGCAGTCTCAGGGCCCCAACCCAGAACAGACAGTCCAGGTCATCTCCTTAGCATCCAGGGTGCAGTGAAGTGGGGGTCCCCACTACTGGGTAATGGGGGAGTGGAACCAGCCTCTGTGTTTAGGGAGTGGGGTCAGATTCGGGCTGGCCAGGTGGGTGCAGGTGCGGCAGGACAGAAGCCCCCCGCCCGGCCGCGAGATGGCTTAGAGTCTAATGATCTCATGGCGGCCAATGCGACATTTGAGTCCTGGCCCCTCCCCTCTTCCCACCAGGGCCTCAGTTTCCCCATCTGTAAAAACGGGCCACAAACAGTCCCTGCCCAAAACTCAGTGGCCAGCAGGTACCCCAGATGTGCTGAGTGCAGGGCCGCTGTTTACTGTGCACACTTATTGGGCACCAACGGTATACCAGGCTCTGTGCCCCCAAAGTCTCCTGGCCTAGAGAGGGCAGGTCTGGGCTGGTGTCCAGGTGGGGAAACTGAGGTCCAGACACAAGACAGACTCAGACGACCAAGGGTAGCCGGGGTGTCCCAGCGGCCATTCCCAGGCCCCACCCCAGCTTAGAGTGACCACGGGGCAGAGAGAGTGCGGCAAGGGCTTCCGTCTCGCCTCCAAGTCCTCGTCGGCCGGAGAGGGTCCTAGGAGCGTCTGCTGCCAGGTAGGAGCCGCCCCAACCCCCCTGGACACTCCTCTAGGGCAGGGAGCTAGCTCCGATCCCCACTGTTCAGACGGGGGAGGAGGCCTTGGGGCCCACAGAGGTCGGAAGGGGTGGGGCAGAGGGCTCTGTCCCTGCACTTGGGGCCGTCACAGGGGCCCGCTGTGTCCCAGCCTCCGCCCACCCCTCCCCTGGCTTCTATAAACACAGGCCCCAGACCCGCCACTGCCAGCCGCCCGGAAGGGAAGGAGGAGGAGGGTTGTGGGCCCCCTGGCCCACACTGCCCAGCGGCCTCCGAGTTAACCCCTCCCGTGCTGGGAACAGAGGATCCAGACCCGGGACCTGGGCGGGGGCCCCTCCTGTGTTATCCTCCAAGGCCAGGCTTGACCAGGGCCCACTGCCCCCTGTGAGGCTGGACAGATCCTCCCCATGACCCTTTATCATCCTGTTCGCACCTGCTCAGCCCTGACCACTCTGCTGTGGGGCTCCGAGCTCCTGGGTCCAAAGCCAACCCGTTTTGCTGTTACCCGTGCCTGGTACAGTGCCTGGTGTCCTGGGGGTACTTAGAAAGCACGGTGAGGGCTGGGCATGGTGGCTCACACCTGTAATCCCAGCACTTTGGGAGGCCGAGGCAGGTGGATCACTTGAGGTCAGGAGTTCAAGACCAGCCTGGCCAACATGGTGAAACCCCGTCTCTACTAAAAGTACAAAAATTGACCAGGCGTGGTGGCAGGCGCCTGTAATCCCAGCTACTTGGGAGGCTGAGGCAGGAGAATTGCTTGAATCCAGGAGGCAGAGGTTGCAGTGAGCCGAGATTGCAGCACTGCACTCTAGCCTGGGTGACAGAGGGAGCCCCCGTCTCAAACAAACAAAAAGCAGGCATGGTAGGCTGCTCATGAGTGTGGGTGAGATGGGGGCCCGTGGCACGTGGGGCCGTGAGGGTTGGTGTCCAGCTTTACCTCCCTCTCCAAGCTGGGAATTCCTACAGGACAGGAGACAGCGAGCTCCTATGCGTCCCTCAAAACCCAGCCTCAAAGCTCCCTCTTCCTTGGCTTCCTCCAGGAGCTTCCTGCTCTGTAATGGGGGCCCTTGGAGCTGAGAATCCGTCAGGTGAACCTGCCCATCACCCTAGACTTCACAATCTTCCTCTCCTTCACTCCAGACAGAGAGAAATAATTTTTTTTTTCCCCTGTGTCACAAAGTAAAAAACTCTAACTAAATTTCTCAGAATTCTCTGGGGGCTAGAAGTGAGGGAGGGGTCCTGACCACACCCTCTCCCCTCAGCAGCAGCAGCTGGACCACCTGACCTGCTGTTCCCTGACAACCTCCCCACCCTTCCTTATCTGGGCCCCACGACGGGCCCTGGTGATGCTCCCAGCTCCTTCTGTAAACATCCTCCTCCCGCCCACTGCAGAGCCAGGGCGTGGCCCTGGGAACCAACCCTCTGCTGCTGATCCTTTTTTTTTTTTTTTTTTGAGACAGAGTTTTGCTTTTGTTGCTGAGGCTGGAGTGCAATGGCGGGGTCTCGGCTCTCTGCAACCTCCACCTCCCAGGTTCAAGTGATTCCCCTGCCTCAGCCTCCTGAGTAGCTGGGATTACAGGCGCCCGCCACCACGCCCGGCTAATTTTTGTATTTTTAGTAGAGACAGGGTTTCTCCCTATTGGCCAGGCTGGTCTCGAACTCCTGACCTTGGGTGATCCGCCCGCCTCAGCCTCCCAAAGTGCTGGAATGACAGGCTTGAGCCACCGCGCCCGGCCTGATGCCGTTACTTTTACTTTGCAAACTCTGAGGCCTAAACTGGTGTCCCGAGTGGGGCCGGGCGGAGGCTCTGGGCAGGTTTCCGGGCCGATCCTGCAGCTGAAACCCGGCGCGGCTCCTCTCGCCCAGGCTGTAAAGTGGGTTTCAGGTGGGATCGGGTCTGAGGCCCGTCTTCCTCCAACCTGGGATCTCCTCCATTCACTGGGGGTTTTGCAACCTGGGAAGGGCCTGGAAGTGGCGGAGGGTGGTGGGAGGTGTTTCTGGAAGGTCAGACACCGGGGGTTCCGGGGGTAGCAGGCCTCGACCAGGCAGAGGGCCGGCTGCTCACTCAGGGCTGCACCCGCTCTCCAGCCAGTCACATCCCAGAACCTCGATGTCCACGTCCCCATCCCTAACAGGGCGATGGGCGTCCCCTCCCACCCCATGGTGAGTGGGCAGCAGCTATGGCCTGGGCCACCTGCCCTCACTGGTCTTCACTGAGCGCCTACTGTATGCCACTGAGTGCTGGGACCCCACGTAGGCAGAACATGGGGTGGGGGCCACAGACTGTACACAATTGATCTCCTAAGTGCAGAATTTCACGGACAGAACGATAGGTTTAAGTGGGTCTTGCCTACTGTCAGGCCAGGGAGGGGCTGGGCAGAGGTGGAGCTGACATCTGAAGCCAGAGGCTCCTGGTGCAGGGGCAGCCTGGGAGAGCCCTGGAGGGGGCAGGTAGGGCTGGAAGGGCGGGGAGGGGCCACGTCTGCAGCCGGCTCCAGGAGTTGAGGGGCAGGAACCTGAGTCAGCCCAGCCGCCTCTTCTTCCTGGGCCAGCCCACCTACCGCCCTTCCCCTGCCTAGGCTAATCCTCCCCCTTTCCCTCCCTGGCATAGCGTAGCCCACAACCCTCTCCTCCTGGGCTAGCCCAACCCCCCATGTCGGGGCTAGCCCATCCCCTTCCCCTCCCTAGGCCAGTCCACAGCCCTCCATTCTCCAGACTTGAAATTGGGTAAGCCAGGCTTTACCCCTTGCCTGCCTGAGGCTGCAGAGCCCCTGTCAGTGTGGAGGGAACAGGCCTCTGGGAACATAGGCAGAGTTGTTTTGGCAGCTGCCGTGGTGTGTGGCGTGGAGAAGGAATAACAAAGATCCGGGCGTCTCCCGCACGTCCCTCCTCTCAGTAACCCTCCTCCCGAGGGCTGCGCTGTCCCTAAGCCCAGGTTACTGGTGGATAAACCGAGGCAGAGCTGCCCCCTCTGCACCCTCTCGAGCAGAGGTTCCCAGCCTGGATGATCCTGCACCCACAGAGGGCCCTGGGCAATGTCTGGAGACATCTGTGGTTGTCACAGCCTGGGCGGGGGAGTGCTCCTGGCATGGAGAGGGCGGAGGCCAGGACACTCGGCTCCCTGCAGTGCCCAGGTGGCCCCCAACCTCCCTCTCGCCCCTTCCCCCAGGGACACCTGTGAACCGCATCCCCATCATGGCCAAACAGGTCCTTGACCTGTTCATGCTGTACGTGCTGGTGACGGAGAAGGGCGGCCTCGTGGAGGTCATCAACAAGAAGCTGTGGCGTGAGATCACCAAGGGCCTCAACCTGCCCACGTCCATCACCAGTGCAGCCTTCACCCTGCGGACCCAGTGAGTGGCGGACGGTTGTGCCGAGGTCGGGCCAGGGCACTCTGAGCAGCCAGTGCAAGGGGCCTGCAGAAGAGGGAGGGGGTGGTGGGCAGCTGCAGAGGAGGGGGCAGTGGGCAGCCGCAAAGGGCACAGGGCCACACCGTGCGTCCAGGGCCCGAGAGCGTCAAGTAGGGGTGCGAGGACCACACAGTCTCTGGGGTTGTGCAATCAGGGGCCATTGCGAGGAACAGCATTGAGATGGAGGGAATGGGCAAAGGCCCAGCAGCTCTGGGGGCTGCTGAGCAAGTCCAAGGGAAGAACCAGGGATGGTGGTGCCACAGTGGGGTTTACTTTGTACTGAAGGCCAAAGAGAGCCGTAGGGGTGACCCGGGTGCCATCCTCTTCCCTCGTCCCACCCACAGATACATGAAGTACCTGTACCCCTACGAGTGTGAGAAGCGGGGCCTCAGTAACCCCAATGAGCTCCAGGCAGCCATAGACAGCAACCGACGGGAGGGCCGGCGCCAGAGCTTTGGTGGCTCCCTCTTTGCCTACTCGCCAGGCGGGGCACACGGCATGCTCTCCTCACCCAAGCTACCCGTGTCCTCCCTGGGCCTGGCCGCAAGCACCAATGGCAGCTCCATCACCCCCGCCCCTAAGATCAAGAAAGGTAAGGGCCTGTATGGGGCCTGGGGCGTGTTCCCAACTGAGCTTCAGCCTGGCTGTCTGACCTTGGGGGATACCTCTTCCCCTCTCTGGGTAACCAGGATGAAAAACCCTATAGTTGGCATGGAAAAGGGCTTCCAATCTACCAGTCCTCTGCCTATGGCAGACATTACCAATCCATCACCATTTTCTAATTCCACACAGGTGGCAGGCAGACATTGCTAATCAATCTGTGTTTCCAGTCCTGTGGCCAAGGCAGACATTACTAATTGATCACTGTTTTTCCAGTCTACACTGAGGCAGGCATCATCAGTTGATCAGTTTTCCCTCCCACTGAGCCTCTGAATCCTCCATAACACAGAGGTACCAACAGCACACACAGCAGTGTCACCTCAGTTTGCCTGTCTGAGTTACCATTTCTCATCTGGGCAACATAGTGAGACCCCATCTCAAAAAAAAAAAAAAAAATTAGCTGGGCGTGGCAACGTGCACCTGTGGTCCCAGCTACCCAGGAAGCTGAGGTGGTCAGATGGGTTGAGCCCAGGAGGTCGAGGCTGTGGTGAACTGAGATTACACCACTGCACTACAGCCTGAGCAACAGTAGTGAGACCCAGTCTAAAAAAAATTTTTTTAGGCCAGGCACAGTGGCTCACGCCTGTAGTCCCAGCACTTTGGGAGGCTGAGGCAGGCGGATCGCTTGAGGTCAGAAGTTTGAGACCAGCCTAATCAATATGGTGAAACCCTGTCTCTACTAAAAATACAAAAATTAGCCGGGTGTGGTGGCACACACCTGTAGTCCCAGCTACTTGGGAGGCTGAGGCAGGAGAATCGCTTGAACCCAGGTGGCAGAGGTTGCGGTGAGCCAAGATCACGTCACTGCATTCCAGCCTCAGCGACAGAGTGAGACTCCGTGTCAAAAAAAAAAAAAAAAAAAATTAGCTTAGTGTGGTGGTGGGCGCCTGTAATCCCAGCTACTCAGGAGACTGAGGCAGAAGAATCACCTGAGCCTGAGAGGCAGAGGTTGCAGTGAGCTGGGATCGCGCCACTGCCCTCCAGCCTAAGCAACAGAGCGAGACTCTGTCTCAAAGCAAAAAAAAAAAAGGCTGGGCGCGGTGGCTCACGCCTGTAATCCCAGCACTTTGGGAGGCCGAGGCGGGCGGATCACCTGAGGTCAGGAGTTCAAGACCAGCCTGGCCAACATGAAGAAACCCCGTCTCTACTAAAAATACAAAATTAGCCAGGCGTGGTGGCGGGTGCCTGTTTCCCAGCTACTAGGGAGGCTAAGGCAGGAGAATCACTTGAACCCGGGAGGCAGAGGTTGCGGTGAGCTGAGATCGCACCATTGCACTCCAGCCTGGGCAACAAGAGTGAAACTCCGTCTCAAAAAAAAAAAAAAAAAGAAAAGAAAAGAAAAAAGAAGGTGCATGTTCCTGCCTTGAGTGGAAGGCAGGGCCCAGCCCCTCCTGGCCACCAATTCCCCTTTTTTCCTACCTAGAGGAGGACTCAGCCATCCCCATCACAGTCCCTGGCCGCCTGCCTGTGTCCCTGGCGGGCCACCCTGTGGTGGCAGCCCAGGCAGCAGCTGTGCAAGCAGCAGCCGCCCAAGCAGCTGTGGCCGCACAGGCAGCTGCCCTGGAACAGCTGCGGGAGAAGCTGGAGTCTGCAGAGCCTCCGGAGAAGAAGATGGCCCTGGTGGCCGATGAGCAGCAACGGCTGATGCAACGTGCACTCCAGCAGAACTTCCTGGCCATGGCGGCCCAGCTGCCCATGAGCATTCGGATCAACAGCCAAGGTACTGCCCTCGTGCCCAGACCCGCTGTGCTTCCTGCGTGTGTCACACAGTGAGGGCCTTGGAGCCTACATATGTAAAGAGTGCCAACAAATCAATAAGAAAAAAAAAGCCGGGTGCAGTGGCTGACATCTGTAATCCCAGCACTTTGGGAGACCGAGGTGGGTGGATCACTTGAGGTCAGGAGTTCGAGATCAGCCTGGGCAACATGGTGAAACTCCATCTCTACTAAAAATACAACAAATTAGCCGGGCGTGGCAGCGCACCCCTGTAGTCCCAGCTACTTGGGAGGCTGAGGCAGGAGAATCACATGAACTGGGAGATGGAGGTTGCAGTGACCCGAGATAACGCCACTGCACTCCAGCCTGGGCAACAATAGCAAAACTCCATCTCAAAAAATAAAAAATAATAAAGTAAACTGGCTGGGCACCGTGGCTCATGCCTATAATCCCAGCACTTTGGGAGGCTGAAATGGGAGGATTGCTTGAGCCCAGGAATTTGAGATCAGCCTGAGCAACACAGTGAGATGCCATCTCTACAAAAGTTAGCTGGGCGTGGTGACACGCTCCTGTAGCCCCAGCTACTCGGGAGGCTGAGATGGGAGGATCACTTGAGCCCAGGAAGTCGAGGCTGCAGTGAGCCATGATTGCACCACTGCATTCCAGCCTGGGTGACAGAGCAAGACCTGGTCTCAAAAACAAGGTAAAAAAAAACAAAGTGGAGTATGGACAAATACACTTATTCAACAAATAAATATTGAGCACCTACTGTGTGCACTGGTGACAGCATGAATGTGACAGACACCGTCTACACCTTGTAAAGCTAAAATCTAGTTGGCGAGACAGACAGAAAACAGAACATGTCACAGGTGTCTTTATGATCAGAAATGGCAGTTTTGGTCGGGCGCGGTGGCCCACGCCTGTAATCCCAGCACTTTGGGAGGCCGAGGCGGGCAGATCACCTGAGGCCAGGACTTCAAGACCAGCCTGGCCAACATGGTGAAACCCCGTCTCTACTAAAAATACAAAAATTAGCCGGGTGTGCTGGTGTGTACCCATAGTCCCAGCTACTCAGGAGGCTGAGGCAGGAGAATTGCTTGAACCCTGGAGGTGGAGGTTGCAGTGAGCCGAGATCGCACCACTGCACTCCAGCCTGGGTGACAGAGTGAGACTCCGTCTCAAAAAAAAAAAAAAAGAAAGAAACTCATTTGTTCGGCTGGGCACAGTGGCTCATGCCTATAATCCCAGCACTTTGGGAGGCCGAGGCGGGTGGATCACGAGGTCAAGAGATCGAGACCATCCTGGCCAACATGGTGAAACCCCATCTCTACTAAAAATACAAAAAATTAGCCAGGCGTGGTGGCGGGCGCCTGTAGTCCCAGCTACTGGGAGGCTGAGGCAGGAGAATGGCGTGAACCCAGGAGGCAGAGCTTGCAGTGAGCTGAGATCGCGCCACTGCACTCCAGCCTGGGCAACAGAGCAAGACTCTGTCTCAAAAAAAAAAAGAAAAAAAGAAACTAATTTGTTCTTCTTCCCACAGCCTCCGAAAGCCGCCAGGACTCTGCTGTGAACCTGACGGGCACCAACGGCAGCAACAGCATCAGCATGTCGGTGGAGATCAACGGCATCATGTACACAGGTAGGACCCCTGAGGCCACGCCCTGCCTGGACCTCGCCTCTCCCGCCGCCGTGAACTCAGGACCCTGAGTTGCGCCTGGTCCCACCTGCTTGAACCTAGGTGTGCGGGCGAGCAGGGCACGGCCAGGGGCTTTGCAGGACAAACAGTCAAGACTGATGGAGAGGATACCATCGTTCACCCGGTACCACGCTCAGCCCAGAGGGGGTCGTCCACAGATACATATTCAGTGTGACGTTGGATGGTTCACATTCCTAGTTTTTTGTTTTAATGAGACGGAGTCTTGCACAGACATGCACCAGCACACCTGGTTAATTTTTAAATTTTTTGTTGCTCTTTAAATTTTAAATTGCTTTGTTGCTCAGACCGGTCTTGAACTCTGGGCTCACGCAATCTTCCTGCCTCGGCGTCCCAAAGTGCTGGGATTACAGGCGTGAGCCACCGCACCCAGCCAATCCCAGCATTTTCGGAGGCTGAGGAGCAAAGAATGTATAAGCCCAGGGGTTAGAGACTTTCAGGCTGCAGCAAGCTGTGATGACGCCACTGCACTCCAGCCTGGGCCACAGACCGAGACCCTGTCTCTTGAAAAAAAATTTAATGAATGTATTTTTTATTTTTTTTAATTTGTAATTTGTAATTTTTGTGGGTACATAGTAGGTATATATATTTATGGGTTTTATGAGATGTTTTATACTGGCATCCAATGCCTAATAATCACATCAGGGTAAATGAGGTATCCAAAAAATTGAATCTAGGCTGGGTGCAGTGGCTCATGGCTATAGTTCCAGCACTTCGGGAGGTTAACACGGGAGGATCACTTGAGCCCAGGAGTTCAAGACCAGTCTGGGCAACATAGTGAGACCCCATCTCTCCTAAAAATATAAAAATCAGCAGGGCGTGGTGGCAGGCGCCCATAGTCCCAGCTACTCGGGAGGCTGAGTAGGGAGGATCACTTGAGCCCAGGAGGTGGAGGTTGCAGTGAGTCAAGATCACACCATTGCACTCCAGCCTGGGTGAAAGAGTGAGATCCCGTCCTTCTCTCTCTCTATATATCTATATATAGATATATCGATAGATATAGCTGTAGCTATACATAGATATATATAGATTAGATATAGATTTATATGTATCTATAAATACATATATACTTTTATATCTATATCTACATAGATATATATATATATAGTTGTTTTTTTTTTCTTTTGAGAGGGAGTCTTCCCTCTGTCACCCAGGCTGGAGTGCAGTGGCACGATCTTGACTCACTGCAACCTGTGCCTCCTGGGTTCGAGCGATTCTCCTGCCTCAGCCTCCCCAAGTAGCTGGGACTACAGGCGTGTGTCACCACACCCAGCTAATTTTTTTTTGTATTTTTAGTAGAGATGAGGTTTCACCATGTTGGCCAGGCTGGTCTTGGACTCTTGACCTCAGGTGATCCGCCTGCCTCGGCCTCCCAAAGTGCTGGGATTACAGGCATGAACCACCGCGCCCACCCTATATATACATATTTTTTTAAATAAAATGAATTAAAAAGTTGCCGGGCACAGTAGGTCACACCTGTAATCCCAGCAGTTTGGGAGGCTGATGTGGGTGGGTCACAAGGTCAGGAGTTCAAGACCAGCCTGATCAACATGGTGAAACCCCATCTTCCCTAAAAATACAAGAATTAGCGAGGTGTGCTGGTGTGTGCCTATAATCCCAGCTGCTTAGGAGGCTGAGGCAGGAGAATTGCTTGAACCCGGGAGGCGAAGGTTGCAGTGAGCCGAGATCGCGCCACCGCACTCCAGCCTGTGCAATGGAGCAAGACTTCGTCTCAGAGGAAGAAAAAAAAAAGAATTAAAAAATTTAATTAAAAAAGTGGAGTCAGTGCCAGGGGCAGTGGCCCACGCCTGTAATCCCAACACTTTGGGAGGCTAAGGAGAGAGGTTTGCTTGAGGCCAGCCTGGGCAACACAGAAGACCCCATCTCTACAAAAGAACATAAGTAAATGAATAGTTTTTCTTTTTTTTTTTTTTTTTTTTTTTTTTTGAGACAGAGTCTCACTCTGTTGCCCAGGCTGGAGTGCAATGGCATGATCTCAGCTCCTGCAACCTCCGCCTCCTGAGTAGCTGGGATTACAGGTGCATGCCACCAGGCCCGGCTAATTTTTGTATTTTTAGATGATACGGGGTTTCACCATGTTGGTCAGGCTGGTCTCGAACTCCTGACTTCGTGATCTGCTGGTCTTGGCCTCCCAAAGTGCTGGGATTACAGGCATTAGCCACCACACCCGGCGGTAAATGAATAGTTTTTCTTAAAGTGGAGTCAGGCCGATGGTTCATAGTGGCCACCAGGTGGCGCTGTCGACACAGAGCAGCCTTGTTGCAGGCCCCCGCCCGGCTGTGGTCAGAGGCTGAGCTGAAGGTCAGTGGTGTCCTCACAGGTCCACAAATGGATTTTTGAGGGGTCCGTGCCCTCCGGAAATCAGATGTAAAACGTGTACATTCATATTGAATCTTACAGGGGAGAAGGCCAACTGTGTGCTAGGGGTCTCGCAACCCCACATCAACGAACCATGGGCATCAGGGTTCTCCCTGCAAGAGCTGTGTGCACGCTGATGTGCATGTGTGGATTAAACACACGTGTGTGCTCACGTGCATCCATATATATGCACATGTGTGTGATGAAGGAGTGAGCAGACACAGTGGGGAAGTTTAAGCTGGGCTCACGTCTGTAATCCCAGCACTTTGGGAGTCAGAGGCAGGAGGATTGTTTTAGGCCAGGAACTTGAGACCAGCCTGGGCAACATATTGAGAGCCCATCTCTACAAAAAATAAAAAATTGCTAAAATATTGCCAGCCACAGTGGCTCATGCCTGTCATCCCAGCACTCTGGGAGGCCAAGGTGGGTGGATCACCTGAGGTCAGGAGTTGGAGACCAGCCTGGCCAACATGGTGAAACTCCGTCTGTACTAAAAATAAAAAATTGGCTGGTGTAGTGGCAGGCGCCTGTAGTTAGTCCCAGCTACTCAGGAGGGTGAGACAGGAAAACTGCTTGAACCCAGGAGGTGGAGGTTGCAGTGAGCCAATATCGCACCACTGCACTCCAGCCTGCGCGACAGAGCGAGACACCATCTCAAAAAAAAACAAAAAAATAAAAAATTAGCCAGACATGGTGGCACGCCCCTGTGGTCTCAGCTACTCGGGAGGCTGAGCTGGGAGGATCACTTGAGCCCATGAGGTTGAGGCTGCAGTGAGCTCTGATGCCACCACTGCACTCTAGCCTGGGGGACAGAGTGAGAGAGAAGTTTATTCCCCGGAGCACCCCATTGGGTCTCCCTTGTGGCCCGCCTCGCATCTTCTTAAACTCTGCATGGCATATGTCTTCTGTTCTTGCCTTAGGAGTTCTGTTTGCTCAGCCGCCGGCCCCCACGCCAACCTCTGCTCCCAACAAAGGAGGCGGCGGCGGCGGCGGCAGCAGCAGCAACGCAGGCGGCCGGGGAGGAAACACCGGAACCAGCGGCGGCCAGGCTGGGCCAGCGGGGCTGTCCACACCCTCCACATCTACCTCAAATAACTCGTTGCCTTAACCGCATCACTCCCCACCCGCCACCCACCCTGGAGCCCGCCGGCCTGGGCAGGGGGTCCAGGTGGGCCACACAGGGGCCAGGATGGCGGAAGATACGGGTGGGGAGGGAAGATATCCAGAAAGGAGCCACAGCTGACGCCAAAAAGAAAAGAAAAAAGATATATATATATATATATATATATACACGTATATATATAAAGAGAATTTAATAAAACAGGGGAAAACCAAGGAACACTTGAATTTCTCAGGTTTTGGACATTCAGAGAGATGAATTGTGAGAACAGCAAAGAAATCCATCAGAAAAACAGAAAGAGGCAGACGTTTCCCAGGGCGTTCAGGCAGCCCTGATGGACCGAAGGCTCTGGTGTCTGGTTTGGCCCCACAGCAGTGTGGGCCGATCCTGTTTACCTCATACATCCCTGCACTGTGTGTTTTCATTTTTGTCTGCTTTAGTTCTCTTTTATTTTCTATTCACCACACACTCACCACTCCCAGCTTCTCGTGTCCAGTGAAACCCCTGAACCAAGATCACTGAATTTTTGTTTTTTTCTTGTTGCTTTGGGAAATTTTTTTTTCTCTGTAGGGTTTTTAAGAGGTTTCGGGGGTTTTGTTGTGTAAATATTCTATTTTATTCTTGGGGGGATCAAACCTTAGGAAAAGGATATCTATATATCTATATAGCTATATATTTGTGTTCCTTCAGGGAAACTGGTCTTGAAAAAGCAAGAAAAAAAAGCAAAAAAAAAAAAAAAAAAAAAAAAAAAAAACTCACCTTTTTATTTTTCCCATGACCAATTTGGGTCCCTTTGTCCATTTCTGGGGGTGCGTTGGGCAGCTGTGAGCCCAGCACATCGGATCCCTGGGGCTAGAGCCGCGGAGCCAATGAACTCAGGTGCTATGGGCCGGGCTGGGGCAGAGGGTGCATGCTGGGGTCCCACCGGCCAGGGGCCCCTGACAGTGAATTGCTGACTGTGATATTCCACGATGCTTTTGCTTGTGCCGTGCTTGTCTGCTGGGCTCTCGAGTCAGGGGCCTGGAAATTTTTTTTTTTTTTTTTTTTTGAGACGGAGTTTTGCTCTTGTCGCCCAGGCTGGAGTGAGTGCAATGGTGCGATCTTGGCTCACTGCAACCTGCACCTCCCAGGTGCAAGCGATTCTCCTGCCTCAGCCTCCGGAGTAGCTGGGATTACAGGCGCCCGCCACCACGCCCAGTTAATTTTTGTATTTTTAGTAGAGATGGGGGTTTTGCCATGTTGGTCAGGCTGATCTCGAACTCCTGACCTCAGGTGATCTGCCCGCCTTGGCCTCCCAAAGTGCTGGGATTACAGGCATGAGCCGCCACGCTGGCCCGGTCTGGAAATCTTATCTAAAAAGTAGCAAGTGCTGGAAAAAGGGCCTGGGGGGCGGGGGTGGTTCTTGTCGAAGCCCCCAGGCTCCTGTCTCAGGGATGAATGTGGCGTCTCATTGGGATTCTTCTCTTGCCCGAAAGGGCTGCTTTTGAGGACTATCAATACTGGGGAGTGGGGGTGAAGCCGGACCTCACTCAGGGTGAGGATTTCAGGGCCCCGGCATCCTGAACACCCCCCACACCCCAACATTCTCCTCGCTCTGTCCCTTCCTCTTCTCCCAACCCCTTTTGTGCTGGGGCTGCGAGCTCCCCGAGTTCTGCGGTGACTAAATCGAGGCCGAGAAGGGAGGCTGCCCCCCACCACCCTGTGGGTCAGTACCCCTCCCCCTGGCTTGGAGAAAGTGGGGTCACCGCAGCTGAGCTGGGGGGTTATTTTGGCTGGAGCTGCTGGAGCAGAAAGGCTGGGTCTGAAATGCCCAGCAGGGTCTGGGGACTTCGTTGGACCCGCGTGGTGTTGGGCGGGGCTGTCGTGTCCTACACGGGAGCTCTGGGCTTTCATTTCTCTTGGGGTGCAGTGGGGATTAACTCAGCTATTCCCAGGGTAAGCCTGGGTCTCTAATTGGGCCCTGGGAGCCCTGTTAGGCCACCGGCATGGGGGCTTGGTGAGGAAGGGGACTCCCCAGCTCCCCCCACTCCCAACCACCTCCCCATTGCCTTGGAGACCCCTGGGGAGGGGGCTGGGGGGCTTCTGAGCCCCTGAGTCTAGGTTCACTTTCCCGTCGGGCTGTGGGAGGGGACTGTCACTTTCCTGTGTCTTTGGGGAGGGGACCCCCACTTCCTTCTCGGATCTCAGGGCCGTGGACACACACCCCCTTTCCAGGAGGGGGTGGTGGGCGTCTAGGTTTTCCTTGTCCCTTCCTGGGGCCAGCACCGTAGCAGCACAATCACCCCGGGAAGGGGGTGTCTGTTTGCCTCCAGACACAATCGGGCCCCACTCGCAGAACCACCTGGACTCTGTCCGTGTCTGTCCCCCGGCCTCCAGGGCTCCTCTCCCGGGACCCCCGTCCCACGCCTGGGCCCCGCGCCGGGGGAAGCGCCTGCTGCCTATCTCTGTCTACCTCAGGTCTGACTTTTGATGCCAAAATCTGAGCCCCTGGGGTGCCTCTCCCCCGCCTCCCGTGCACCAGGGTCTGCAGCAGCCACTGGGGCCTGGCTGCCTGCTGCATCTGGCGGCCCTGGACCCCTGGGGCCCCCGTGCACCTGCCCACCTCGGAGCCTGGGGAGGGGCCGTGCAGGGTCGAGGGCTGGGTCGTCTCCCTCGGGCTGCGTGTGTGTGTCGGGAATCCTGCGTGTCGTGTCTGTGGGCGATCCGGCCTCCCGGCGGTGGGTGGACCTGGATTCTAACTCAGAGGACTTGAGCCTGCTGTTAACTCCGATGATTGTAGGGACAGGCGGGGTGGGTGGGGGGTGGGCGCGAGGCTGGGTCCCGGCCCAGGAGAAGGAAGTCGCTGAAGGCAGTGGCCATGCTGGCCGTGGAAATGGGAGGCGGTTGCAGAGGGTCTATGGGGCCCGGTCCTGGATACTCGGCAGGAAGCCGTGTCTGCAGAGGCTCCTCCCTGCCTCAGGTGGCCCCGTTCAACCCCAGCCGTGCCCATCTCCTGCCACCGCCTGTCGGTGGGGGTTTAAATTCGGTGTGGCTTTCTGGGGTGCAGCTCAGCACCCCCCCTTATGCAGACTGGGAGGGGGTCGGGCAGTCCCCTCAGCCACGAGGACCCTGGATGGGTTCTAGTTCACTTGGGACCGTGGGGCCTGGCTGCGTACTGAGTGGGTGCCCCACAGTCAAGGCCAACGGGGGCTCCCCCTGCTCTGAGATGTTGGGAGAAAGGCGGCTTCTGGAACCTTCCGTGGGACCCGTAAGTGGCTGTCCAGAAAGGCGGGAGGGTGGGCACGGGGCACGGGGGGCAGCTGGGGTCGTTGTTAAGGGTCACGCATCTGTACAGTTGAATTTCCTTTCTCTTATCATGTTTTACCCACCTTGTCCCTTTTTTCCCCAATTGTGCTTTTGCATTTTTTTCCTTGGCAAATGTAAACTCAGCCTTTCATTCATGACGTGTGAAATTTCAGTTTCTCTGGAGTTTGTCAGACGGCGTGGGAACCACGCCTGAAACTCAGGTAATAGGAGGAAAAAAAAAAAAACTTAAAAAAATTTTTAAAAAACATAAAACTACTCTCTACCTCTGGCTGGGCCCAGCCTGTCTCGCCCTGGCCGCGGCAGGGTGGCCTGTAACAATTTCAGTTTTCGCAGAACATTCAGGTATTAAAAGGAAAAAAAAAAAAAAAGACAAAAAGACCAAAAAAAAAAAAAAGTGTGATTTTGAAATTTAAAAGAACACTGAAAGTTTACATTTTATAGTAACATTATTATGCAGATTGTATTTAAACTTCAGAAATATTTAAGACGATTGTAACCCTGTAAAGCTGATGAGATATTAAAACGAGACAAAACACTTCTGACTTTTAACAGAAAAGTGTCCTGTGGTGTTTTTTTTCTTTTGGCGTCTCCCCAACCTCCAGCTCCACCCTACACCCCTGCCCAGCACAGCCAGGGGTGAGTGGAAGGGGGTGCTCTATCCCCCTCTGCCCTGCATCGCTCTAGGTCTGGTTCCGGGCGGCAGAGACAGCTACAAAAGCGGGGGTCTGGCCAGGTGCGGTGGCTCACGCCTGTTATCCCAGCACTTTGGGAGGTCTAGGAGGGCGGAATCACCTGAGTTCGGGAGTTTGAGACCAGCCTGACCAACATGGTGAAACCCCATCTCTACTAAAAATACAAAATTATCCGGGCGTGGTGGCGCGTGCCTGTAATCCCAGCTACTCCGGAGGCTGAGGCAGGAGAATTACTTGAACCCAGGAGGCGGAGGTTGCAGTGAGCCGAGATTGCGCCACTGCACTCCAGCCTCGGCGACAAGAGGGAAACTCCATCAAAAAAAAAAAAAAAAAAAAAAGCAGGGGTCCTCAGCCAGGGTCTGTGCCCCCAGGGGGACCCTGGTCCATGTCTGGGGGCATTTGTGGTTGTCACGCCTGGGGGGGCGCTCCTGGTGTGGAGTGGGTGGAGTCCTGGGATGCTGCTCGGCACCCTGAGTGCCCAGGACGGCCCCACCGCAGAGAACAATCTGGCGCCCAGCATCCACACTGCAGGAGTTGGGAAATTCTGCCTTCATTATTTAAGGTGGGGTAAAAACAGTTCTCCCTGCCCACAGCAGACACCAGGATAAGCTCCTGACAGGGCAGACGGTGTAAACCCGGGGGAACCCAGCTCCTGGGACTCGCCTCCTCTCTCCCTCCCTACTCAGGGCATGGATTTCAGTGTGTGCAGCCTCCTGGGACCCCAGCAGGGCCGAGGATCATGGGATGCAGAGTCTGTAGGGGGTCCATGGAATCCCCTAACCCAGAGGGCCTTAACCAGGGTGATTCCGCCCCCAGGGGACCCTGGTCCATGTCTGGGGACATCTGTGGTTGTCCCATCTGGGGGGAGCTCCTGACATGGAGTGGGTGAAGTCCAGGGACGCTGCTCGGCACCCTGAGTGCCCAGGACGTCCCCACCCCAGAGAAGGATCCAACCGCAAGGTCCACAGGGCCGAGGGGAGCTCCTGGAGGCCGCTCTGGGCACCTCTGTGCCTCGCTGAGAGCCCGACACCAATCCCGTTTTAGGGATTTGGGATGACAGGTGTGGCAGGGCCAGTGTGCGCACCCCCAGCCACCTGCCCACGAGCCTGACCCCTCGCCTCCTGCCTCAACAGGGCTCTGCATGCGGGCGCCCCTGGCGTTATCCGACCGGAGCTCCCAGGGCAAGTGGCCCGGTCCGGCCTCAGGGCCTTCACACAGCTGTTCCACCGCCGGGAACAGCCCTCTCCCCCTTTGCTCTGACAGACTCCTTTCCATCCTCTGCAGCCGACACACAGTCCCCGCCTGCCCATGACAGGAGGGTGCGGCCCCTCGGGTGGGAGGCACGGGGCTCCCCGCTCCTCCGCCCTCTGTGCGGCCCAGATGGAGGCCCTTGTGCCGAGCGGGACACCCTGTTCCCGAGCCCCCCATAAGTTTGCCCTCCTTCACCTCCTAGGCGAGCCCAGGAACCAGCCCACTGGTGAAGCCGCCTGGAGCTGAGGCCTCTGGGGTTCAGGGGCGTCCTGGTGGCTGGGGGAGGGAACTTTTCCAGTGCTGGCCACATTTTCACCTTTTCCCTTACAACACCATTCGGGTCCTAGGAAACAAGACCAAGGGCCAGATTTGGCCCCTGGACAGCCAGTTTGCAGCCCCCAAACCCAGAACATAGTAAAGGGACTCAGCTGGGGTCAGAGGTTCACACCCGTAATCCCAACACTCGGAGGCTGGAGCGGGAGGATGGATAGAGCCCAGGAGTTTGAGACCAGCCTGGGCAACATAGGGAGACCCCATTTCTACCAGAAATTAAAAAAAAAAAAAAAAGCCGGGCATGGTGGCTGCGGTGAACAGTGATCATGCCATTGTACTCCAGCCTGGGCAACAGCAAGACCCTGTCTCTCTCTCTCTCTTTTTTTTTTTTGAGACGAAGTCTCGCTCTTTCTCCCAGGCTGGGGTGCAGTGGTGCATTCTCGGCTCACTCCAACCTCTGCCTCCCAGGTTCAAGCAATTCTCCTGCCTCAGCCTCCCGAGTAGCTGGGAGTATAGGCGCCCGCCACCACACCCGGCTAATTTTTGTATTTTTAGTAGAGATGGGGTTCCACCATGTTGGCCAGGATGGCCTCGATATCCTGACCTCGTGATTTGCCTGCCTTGGCCTCCTAAAGTGCTGGGATTACAGGCATGAGCCACTGTGCCTGGCCCCTTTTTTTTTTTTTTTTGAATCAGGGTCTCACTGTGTCAACCAGGCTGGAGTGCAATGGCACAATCTTGGCTCATTACAACCTCTGCCTCCTGGGTTCAAGCGATTCTCCCAACTCAACCTCCCAGGTAGCTGGGATTACAGGCACGCGGCACCACGCCTGGCTAATTTTTGTGCTTTTAGTAGCAACGGGTTGGGTTTTCACCATGTTGGCCAGGCTGGTCTCGAACTCCTGACCTCAAATGATAACACCCACCTTGGCCACACAGGGCCAGCCGGGACCCTGTCTCTTAAAAATAATAATAAAAGGCCGGGCACGGTGGCTTACGCCTGTAATCCTAGCACTTTGGGAGGCCAAGGTGGGTGGATTGCCTGAGCTCGGGAGTTCGAGACCGGTCTGGGCAACATGGCAAAACCCTGTCTCTACTAAAATAAAAAAAATTAGCTGGGCGTGGTGGTGTGCACCTGTAGTCCCAGCTTCTTGGGAGGCTGAGGCAGGAGAATTGCTAGAATCTGGGAGGCAGAGGTTGCAGTGAGCTGAGATCAACCCACTGCACTCCAGCCTGGGTGACAGAGCAAGACTCCATCTCTAAAAACATTAATTAGGCCGGGCGTGGTGGCTCATGCCTGTAATCCCAGCCCTTTGGGAGGCCGAGGCGGGTGGATCACGAGGTCAGGAGATCGAGACCAGCCTGGCCAATATGGTGAAACCCCGTCTCTACTAAAAATACAAGAAATTAGCTGGGCGTAGTGGCGGGCGCCTGTAGTCCCAGCTACTCAGGGAGGCTGAGGCAGGGGAATGGCATGAACCCAGAGGCGGAGCTTGCAGTGAGTCGAGATCACGCCACTGCACTCCAGCCTGGGTGATAGAGCGAGACTCCGTCTCTAAAAACATTAACTAATTAATTAATTAAAAATTAAAAAATAAAAGGCCTCTCGTTCTTAGCCCACAAACCCAAAGAAAGTGGTATTGCAACGTTTTCCCAGGAAAGGGTTTCCTGGGCCGCCTAACCCACTGTCCACCCTCCCATTGCCCACGCCCAGGGGACGTGACTGGAGGAGGGTCAGCGTGGCTGGAGGTGGACAGGCCCAGACTCAGCTGCCCGGCCTCCCGCGCACCATCCTGGCCGAGGCTGGCCGGGACACGTCCCTCCCCAGGGCTGTGTTGGAGGCGAGGGACCAACAACACCCCCACACCTGTCCCAGCCGGTTGGTTCCTGAAACCCACGTTAGACCCTGGCCCCGGAAGGGAAAATGGCATTTTCCATTCCAGCCAGAAATGAGTCTGCCAAACCCTGCGTCCCGGAGATGGAGTCCCACTCACTGCCTGGAGGAGCCCGCCGGCCCCAGGGAGAGGAGGGAAGAACCCTGGGAAAGCCCCCACCCCAAACTGGATCGTCAGGCCCTGCTTGTTCACCCGCAGCTGAGGGCCTCAGAGGCGGGGAGTCAGGGAGGGGGTGCACCTCTGAGTTCCCCAGCCTGGGAGGGAGGGACTCAGCCCCCAGCTCTCCCCAGCCAGGGAGGGACTCAGCCCCCCACCTCCTCCCCAGGCCCCCACCTCTCCCCAGCCAGGGAGGGACTCAGCCCCCCACCTCCTCCCCAGGCCCCCACCTCCCTCCCCAGCCAAGGAGGGACTCAGCCCCCCACCTCCTCCCCAGGCCCCCACCTCCCTCCCCAGCCAAGGAGGGACTCAGCCCCCCACCTCCTCCCCAGGCCCCCACCTCCCTCCCCAGCCAAGGAGGGACTCAGCCCCCCACCTCCTCCCCAGGCCCCCACCTCCCTCCCCAGCCAGGGATGGACTCAGCCCCTCACCTCCTCCCCAGCCCAGGAAGGGCCCAGCCACCCCCTAGCCTCTCAGAGCCCAGCCACCTCCCTGGGCCGCCTGCTAGGTGCTTGCTAGGAGGGCGGGAGGCTCCCGGAGGTGAAGCTCAAACCCTCCTCTGATAGCCGATTTTCGGAGCCAGCCAAGAGTCCAGACTGGAGAGGCGGCGGCTGAGACGCTTCCAAAAGCAGAGGGCTACCAGAGCCGGCTGCTGCTCTCCCCACTGGCATAGGTAATGATGGGGCTGCCGCGGGACGGCCGCAGCTGCTGGGTCTGTGGGGCCAGGACCGGGGCAGCCAAGCCGACTGGGGTCTGGCTGGGTTCATCAGTGCCTGCAAACTGGCGGTGCTCCATAAATGTGCAGGGGATGGAGAATGAGGGCCTTACACCCCGAGGGGAACGTTCCTGCCTCTGTGCCTCAGTTTCCCCTTCCTGGTTACCCCCCCTTCACAACCTCCAGCTGGCACCAACGAGATCCGGCCGCTGGGTGGTCTGGAGATGCCCCCAAAGTGTGGCTTCTGTCCCCTGCTCCAACACGATTAGTCTGTCCTCATTCCAGGAACCAGGCTGGGGGCGGGGTGACCTCTGACCTCACACTGCAGCCTGGCCTGGCCACGTCCCCAGGGAGGGGAGGAGGGGAGGAAGGCCTGGCTCGGGCTGGGCCGCAGCAGGAGGCCTGTGAGAAGGTGGAGACTGTAGTCCATCGACTTCCTGCTGCCCCTGCCCTCTCCTGCCTGTGGCAGCAGCCCACACCTGCCCGGTCTGCTGGGTGTCCTGGAACCCGGGAATTTAAAAACTTCCAGGCTGGGCCAGGCGGTGGCTCATGCCTGTAATCCCAGCACCCTGGGAGGTCGAGGAAGGAGGATGGTTTCAACCCAGGAGTTCAAGACCAGCCTGGGCAACACGGCGAGAGCCCCTATCTATGAAAAATTAAAACGCTAGTCAGGTGTGGTGGTGTGCACCTGTGGTCCCGGGAGGCTAAGGTGGGAGGATCGCTTGAGCCCTGGAGGTTGAGGCTGCAGTGAGCTATGACGGTACCACTGCACTCCAGCCTGGGCGACAGGGCCAGACTCTGTTAAGAAAAACTAAAAATGAACCAGGCGCAGTGGCTCACGCCTGTAATCCCAGCACTTTGGGAGGCTGAGGCGGGCAAATCACGAGGTCAGGAGTTTGAGACCAGCCTGGCCAACATGGTGAAACCCCGTCTCTACTAAAAATACAAAATAAATTAGCCGGGCATGGTGGCACATGCCTGTAGTCCCAGCTACTCCGGAGGGTGAGGCAGGAGAATCGCTGGAAACCAGAAGGCGGAGGTTGCAGTGAGCTGATTGTGCCATTGCACTCCAGCCTGGGCAACAAGAGCAAGACTCAATTTCAAAAGAAAAAAAGAAAAAGAAAAATGAAAAAAAAGGCCAGGTGCGGTGCCTCACGCCTGTAATCCCAGCACTTTGGGAGGCTGAGGCAGGTGGATCACCTGAGGTCAGGTGTTCGAGACCAGCCTGGCCAACATGGTGAAACCCCGTCTCTACTAAAACTACAAAAATTAGCCGGGCGTGGTGGTGAACACCTGCAATGCCAGCTATTCAGGAGGCTGAGGCAGGAAAACCACTTGAAGCCAGGAGGCGGAGGTCGAAGTGAGCTGAGATCACGCCACTGCACTCCAGCCTGGGCAACAGAGTGAGATCCACCTCTCCTGCTTGTCTACAAAAAACAAAAATAAATAAAGTAAAAATTAAAACAAGGCCAGGCACAGTGGCTCATGTCTGTAATCCCAACCCTTCGGGAGGCCAAGGTGGGAGCATCATTTGAGCCCGGGAGTTTAAGACCAGCTGGGCAATAAAGCAAGACCCTGTCGCTGCAAAAAAAGAAAAAAAAAAAGCACAAAATTAGTTGAGTGTGGTTCCTATGGTTCCAGCTACTCGGGAAGCTGAGGTGGGAGGATGGCTTGAGCCCAGGAATTGGAGACTACAGTGAGCCATGATTGCACGATTCTCCTGCCTCAGCCTCCCGAGTAGCTGGGATTACAGGCATGCACCACTGTGCCCAGCTAATTTTTGTATTTTTAGTAGAGACGGGTTTCACCTTGTTATCCAGGATGATCTTGATCTCGTGATCCACCCACCTCGGTCTCCCAAAGTGCTGGGATTACAGGCCGGAGCCACCACGCCCCGCCGATTTTTTTAAATAATGTTTTTTAAATAATGTTGGAGGCCGGCCTCAGTAGCTGACGCCTGTAATCCCAGCACTTTGAGAGGCCGAGACGGGCAGATCACCTGAGGTCAGGAGTTCGAGACCAGCCTGGCCAACGTGGTGAAACTCCGTCTCTACTAAAAATACAAAACTTAGCTGGGCGTGGCGGCTCACACCTGTAATCCCAGCTACTCGGGAGGCTGAGACAGGAGAATCGCTTGAACCCGGGAGGCAGAGGTAGCAGTGAGCCGAGATCGCACCATTGCACTCCAACCTGGGCCACAGAGCAAGACTGTCGCAAAATAAAGAAAGAAAATAAAAATGAGGTTGGAGGAAACTCTGGAGGCACAGCAGGTCCTTGGATTGGACTCCCTCCCTCCCTCCCAGGATAAAATGAAATCCAGGCCTCGTTCACACGGCCCTGCACGGCCCGGCCCCGCTCCGTGGTCCTGCCCCAGGGCCTTCGCACGGGCCTGCCCCGCACACGGTTCTCTGGGGGTCGCTGGCTCCCCGCTCAAACGGCCCCTCCTGCCGACCAGGCGGGTCCCCGGGGCCGCCCTCCCTCTGGCCTGGGCTCGGGGTCGGTGGCTCGCGCCTGCCACCTGGCGGCCAGCGGGGCTGCGGCGCCGCACGCTCTGGCACCAGCCTCCTGCCCCGGCCGTGCCCTCCGCCGGGAGCCGCGGACCAGGAGTCGCACCGCCTCCGGGGACCGCACCCCGCATGCAGCCTCCAGCCCCTGCCTCTTGCTGCTCGAGGGCACACGACCCAGGTCAGCTGCAACCCCCGGGCGGAAATCCCGACTTTTAAATGAATGCTCCCTTTTTATCCCTTTTTAAGGGGTTGGCAACTAATTGCACATTTTAAATCATACTGTTTTTAGGCCGGACGTTGTGGCTGAAGCCTGTAATCCCAGCGGTTTAAGAGGCCAAGGCCTAAGCCCAGGTGTTGGAGACCAGCCTGAGCAACACAGTGAGACCCCCCATCTCTACTAGATATATATTTAGTATAAATAAATAATAGATATATGTTTTTCTTTGAGACAGAGTCTCATTCGCCCAGGCTGGAGTGCCTGGGATCTCGGCTCACTGAGACCTCCGCCTCCCGGGTTCAAGCGATTCTCCTGCCTCAGCCTCCCACCACGCCCGGCTTTTTGTACTTTTTGTAAAGACGGGGTTTCGCCATGTTGGCCAGGGTAGTCTCGAACTCCTGATCTCAGGTAATCCACCCACCTCGGCCTCCCAAAGTGCTGGGATTACAGGCCTGAGCCAAAGCGCCCGGCCTTTTTTTTTTTTTGAATGCCGTTTTCAGACATGGTCCGTGACGGGCAGCCGTGACATGAAGTTAGACCCTGCTTGGCTCGGACAGAACTGGCGACTTGTTTGACCTACACCAAGCTATCCGACTAATAATTTAGATGTTGAGGCCCCTAAAGAGGGGTCAAGGGGGAGGCAGATGTCGACCAATAAGGAAACACTGGGCCGGGCGCGGTGGCTCACGCCTGTAATCCCAGCACTTTGGCAGGCCGAGCTGGGAGGATCACTTGAGCTCAGGAGTTCGAGGCCAGCCTGGGCAGGACAGTGAGACCCTGGCTCTACAAAACTAAATAAATAAGGAAGCAGTGAATTCCAATGTATTCATCGCCAACTAGCCATGTTGCTGGGTGTGCGCTCTCTCTTTTAGGCGCAATGTGTCATTTAGGCCTGTGACGTCGGAACTTTATTATTTGAACATTTAAAAATAAATGAATCCAAGAGCTTGAGTCACTTGGCCAAAAATGCCCAGGAGGAAAAGGCCAAGTCAGGTACCCCGGCTCTAGAGCTACTAACTGATCGCCGGAGACCCTGGGCCTTGGAAGAAGTCGCCTCCCCAGATCTCTAAGCAGGCCGCGCGACCCTCGAGTCTCAGGTAAGCGGGAAATCCCACTTCACAAGAAAGCCCCTCTCTCCGAGGCACGGGCGCATGCGCGGGTCGGCCACCCGCTGGGGCCGCGGGGCCGCCGCTCTGGCCCGCGTGGGGCAGTCGTCCGCGTCTCGCTCATGATGACGCACGTCCGGGGCGGTGGGGAAGGCAAGATGGCGGCGCCCATGGAGGTGGCCGTGTGTACGGACTCGGCGGCCCCGATGTGGAGCTGCATCGTGTGGGAACTTCACTCGGGCGCCAACCTGCTCACCTACCGCGGCGGCCAGGCGGGACCCCGCGGCCTGGCGCTGCTCAATGGCGAGTATCTGCTGGCGGCGCAGCTGGGCAAGAATTACATCAGCGCCTGGGAGCTCCAGCGGAAGGTGCGGCGGTGCGGTCTCGCTGCTGGGGTCATGGGGCGCCCGAGGCTGAAGTCGGGGGATGGGTTGGTGGGGGCCGCGTGCACCCTTAGTCGGAATTGGCGTGGGGAGGGGAGGTGGTCTCCGTTCGGGCGCTCTGCGCATGCGCGGGTCTGGGGGCTTTGGGGAGATACGTGCGACCTGTTAGGCCGCTCTGCGCACGCGCGGGGCTCAGGCCTGAGCTGCTATGGGGGCAGTGGGGGAAAATGGGAGACGCTCCGGGGGGTCCCTTGGGGCAATTGCGCATGCACGAGTTCTTGGAGCGCGAAATTTGATTAAAAGGGGCCTATGAGCTCTGTGGATGTTGTGGTTCTGGAGGAAAAGGGAGAAGGACCAAGGTCTGGGGGAGTCTCCCATGAAGGGGTGGCGCAGGAAACTCATGTTTATTCCTCCAATAAAGCAACAGATACTCACCGTCGCCCACAGTTTCCCCTCTACTCCCAAGCCCAAATGCAGCCAGTCCCTGAAGCTACTCGCTTCCCCCGTGTGCCCGCTGAGATCTCTTGGGACTGGCTCTGTGCTCCAGCATTGCCTGATGGAGTCTACACACAACTCATAAATTTCTCCCATTTTATTTTAGTTTTGAGACAGGGTCTCACTCTGTCGCTGAGGCTGGAGTGCAGTGGTGCGATCTCGGCTCACTGCAGCCTCTGCCTCTAGGGTTCAAGCGATTCTCGGGCCTCAGCCTCCTGAGTAGCTGCAACTACAGGCCCGCACCAACCACCACACCCGGCCCACATTTGTATTTTTTGTAGAGGCAGGGTTTCACCATGTTGGCCAGGCTGGTCTCGAACTCCTGACCTCAAGTGATCTGCCCACCTCAGCCTCCCAAAGTGCTGGGATTACAGCCGTGAGCCACCACGCCCGGCTGAGTTTTCCCATTTTAGAGAGGAGGAAGCTGAGGCTTGGGGTCTTAGGTTGGACATTATGGATAGAAGGATTGGGGCACAAGCCTACTGGGCTCTTGGGCCCCAGTGTCCTTCTGGATCCTCTTTGTTCTGTTCCTGTACTCCTCCCACCCAGGGCCCCTCTGACCCTCAGAGGAAGCACCAACCTCACATCTACCACCTCCAGCCTCGAAGCCTCTTGCAGGGGCGAACACTTCCTTGCTGGACCATGCATTTGCTCAAACCACCCTGCTCCCGACTCCTCTTCCTGGTTCTCTGACTTAGCCATTGCCCAGGCGTCCCCTCCCCTCGCCCTCCACTGCTGTAGTAGCTCCCGTGTCCTGCATGGGGCTCACGAGGCTGACTGTGCATCCTTAGGACCAGCTCCAGCAGAAGATCATGTGCCCCGGGCCTGTCACCTGTCTGACTGCATCACCCAATGGTCTCTACGTCCTGGCAGGAGTTGCAGAAAGCATCCACCTGTGGGAGGTAAGAGGAGCAAAGCGTGAGCGTTTCCCACAGGACATCTCAGCCCATCTGAGCTTTGCCTGCAGGGCACCAGGGAACAACCATGCGGCCTGGGGCCCTGGGATGGGTGACTGCTCAGGGGTTATAGCCTAAGCTTCACCCTGCTGCCTCCTTTCTCCAGGTCCCCTCGAGACTTGCGAATCCCAGACCAGCCCTAATCCTGCCTTGAGTGCTTGGATAGAGCCCGGTGCAGCCCAGTCCCCGGCACTCACACACCGCAGCATCTTCCAGGGCTAGCGGGCATCTCTTCCACGCAGGCGGCAGCGCCTGGCACTTGTGACTTGAAAGTTATAAAGGGCGGCCGGGCGCAGTGGCTCATGCCGGTAGTCAATGCAACCTCTGCCTCCCAGGTTCAAGCAATCCTCCTGTCTCAGTCTCCTGAGTAGCTGGGATTCCAGGCGCCCACCACCACACCTGGCTAATTTGTTTGTATTTAGTAGAGAAGGGCTTCACAATGTTGGTCAGGCTGGTCTCCAACTCCTGACCTCAGGTGATCCACCCGCCTCGGCCCCCCAGAGTAGTGGGATTACAGGCGTGAGCCACCGCGCCCGGCCAGTGCCTCCTTTTTCTTACCGCTGGACCAACCAGGTGACAGCAACTCCTAGACACACTCACAGCCCGGATCCTGCCATGCTCTCACTGCGAGACAGAGTGAACTGTTCAGGCTTTGCATTTAGGCCAGCTTCTCAGCTCTGCCCTGGTGAGGGGAAGCAGCCCTGGATGATGTGTGAGTGAGTGGGCACAGAGATGTGCCAGGGAGACTTCATTCACAAAGTCAGGCCTCTTGGAGTTTGGCCCATACCGTAGCTGTGGCGTTAGATCACCGGCTGTGTTGTCACAAATGGTCCATTATATTTCGGGGGAGACCTGCCCTCAACCCCACATAGAGCAGGGCAGACAGTACAAGATCTGGGGCCAGAAGACCCAAAGGTAACCATGTTTCTGCCCTTCCTGACCTTGTCCTTGCTTCCCTCAGTGGGCTGCTCAGAGAACTGAGAGGGCTGGGTGGGCATGAGCATTCTCGGAGAGATAAAAAAGCCACCAGGGGATGGGCATGGCGGCTCATGCCTGGAATCCCAGCACTTTGGGAGGCTGAGACGGGCAGATCACTTGAGGCCAGGAGTTCAAGACTAGCCTGGGTAACATGGTGAAAACCCATGTCTGCAAAAAATAGAAAAATTAGCTGGGCATGGTGGCATACACCTATAGTCCCAGCTTTTTGGGAGGCTGAGGCATGAGAATCACTTGAATCCGAGAGGCGGAAGTTGCAGTGAGATGAGATTGTACCACTGCACTCCAGCCTGGGTGACAGAGCAAGACCTTGTCTCCAAAGAAAAGGGGGGTCGGGACAGGCAGCACAGGAATGACAGGAGGCATCATTATCTCACCCTCAGGACACGTGTGTATGTATTTAATTTTTAAACTTATTTTTGAGATGGGGTCTCACTACATTGCCGTAGCTGCTCTTGAACTCCTGGGCTCAAGCGATCCTCCCAGGTAGCTGGGATTATAGGCATGTGCCACCATGCCTGGGATCCCAAGGCTTTTACATCTCACTCCATGATTTTGAAACTAGGATGCAGTTGCTGAGAGGGAAACTGAGGCAGGGAAGCAGTAGCTCACGAGTCACCCCTAACAGTAGACCTCCTAGCCCTGGTTGCTGTCAGTCTGGTGCAGAGGGGCATGTGGGTAGGAATTAAATGTGTCATCGCCCCATGGGGGATGTCTTAGGCGGGACCCCTTCCTGTTCTTGGCTCGGGACAGTGTGCTGGGTGGCACCCACTGCCAGACCCCTGCTCCCCTAGCCGCCTCCAGTTTTTTTTTTTTTTTTTTTTTTTCAGATGAAGTCTCGCTCTGTTGCCCGGGCTGGAGTGCAGTGGCTCAATCTCAGATCACTGCAACCTCAGGCTCCCAGGTTCAAGCGATTCTCCTGCCTCAGCCTCCCAAGTAGCTGGGAGGCGCCCGCCACCATGCCTGGCTAATTTTTGTATTTTTATTAGAGACGGAGTTTTGCCAGGTTGGCCAGGCTGGTTTCGAACTCCTGGTCTCAGGTGATCCGCCCTTCTCAGCCTCCCAAAGTGCTGGGATGACAGGCGTGAGCCACTGCAGCTGGCCCTCCTGGAGAGTTTCTGACCCGTGAGCTGTGACCATGAAGGGGTGTCCCACATAGCCAGAGCTCAGGCCGGGACTGCCTCCACTGTACCCCCCTGCCACGGTCGAAATCCTCCTCCTGTTCTCTGTGTAGGCGACGGGTGTGTGAGCGGTGAGTCAGGAGTGGGCTGGAAACCTGAGAGCCAGGGCTGTGGGGCGGGAGCTGGTCCGCCCCTCCCACGCCACAGGGACAGGGACCTCCCGGGAGGCACTGATGTTCTGAAGCTGCCCGGTCTGTCCCGGCCCTGGGCAGTGGTGGTCACCAGAGCTGCCCTCTGTGGTTTGGGGCTGACCTGGATCCTGCTTCCTCTGGTGCCATTTAACCCTCCCCAGCCACCCTGGGTTTTGCATGCGAGGAAAGCGAGGCCCAGAGAGGGCATGGCTGTCAGATCTGGGCCCAGCAGGCTCTGCCTGCCCCAACAAAGCACGACGCACAGGGACTTTCGACAACAGAAACTCGGCCCCCATCCTTGAGGCCAGACGTCCTAAATCAAGATGTCTGTGGGGCCACGCTGCCCCTGGAGGCCCTGGGAGGAGCCTTCCCACCTCTCCGGTGGTGGCCGGCACCCCTTGGCACCCTTGGCTTGTGGGTGACTGTCCCCTGCCTCTGCTGCCACCACTGCCGCGTGGAGCCCCTGTGTGTTTGCACTTCTCTCAGCTTACAACAACCGGGACACATGGATGGATGCCCCCGCTCCAGAACCACCTCATCTTAACTTATGATATGTGCAGAGACACTGCGTCTAAATGAGGCCATTCACAGGTCCCAGGTCGGGACTTTTAACATGCTTTTGGGGGGAAACACGATTCAATCCACAACCCCCACCAGAGCATCTCAGCTCTCGAATCCACAACCCCCCACAGAGCATCTCAGGCCTCGAACCCACAACCCCCACCAGAGCTTCTCAGCCCTCGAACCCACAACCCCCCAGAGCATCTCAGCCCTCGAACCCACAAACCCCCCCAAGAGCATCTCAGTCCTCGAACCCACAACCCCCTCCAGAGCATCTCAGTCCTCGAACCCACAACCCCCCCCAGAGCATCTCAGCCCTCGAACCCACAACCCCCACCAGAGCATCTCAGCCCTCCCCAGGTGTCCTGGAAGGGGCTCCCTGTCCTCTTCCTCAGATGGAGCTGCCTGGCTTCCTGCCGGAGCTTAAGCTGCCACCACCCTGGGTCAGGCCACCACAGCCTGCCCAGAAGCGACTTCCTGTTGAATGGTGGGAGCCGCCTGCAGGTCCTGAGTGCAGCCGTTCCTACGGGGCCCACACAGGACGCCTGGGGTCAGGCTCACAGGGGACCAGCACCTCCCTGAGGCAGCAGGGAAGGGCAGGAAACTTGCCCCTTCCTGGGCCATCATGCAGGTGGGGACGAGGCGGGAACAGGTGCCCACCCAGCCCAGGCAGGGGCGCGACGAGGCCCCGCTGTACCTGCTGGCCGCTGCCCTGACAGGGTCACCCCGCAGTCCTGGGGCAGGGCAGGCAGGGGGCGACAGTGTGGCCATGGCCGTGCAGTGGTGGGTTCCTGGGGCTGCAGCCCCCCTTTCCTCCCCTGGGGCTTTCCTCCCCTGACCTGGATACCCTCTGCCCCTCACAGGTCTCCACCGGGAACCTTCTGGTCATCCTGAGTCGACACTACCAGGACGTCTCCTGCCTTCAGTTCACAGGGGACAGCAGCCACTTCATCTCAGGGGGCAAGGACTGCCTGGTGCTGGTTTGGAGCCTCTGCAGGTAGCGCCTTGCGCACTCAGGCCTGCACCTGGAACTGCACCCGGGCTCAGGCGGGGAGAGGAGGCGCCAAGGCCCCTGGCGGGAAGGGGCTTCTCTCTTGGGGGCTGGAGTGCAGAGGACGGAGTGATCATCCCAGGGGTCCTGGCTGCCCACACTGGGGTCTGGTTTGTTCTGGGGGCCGTGGGGGCCCAGCCTTGAGTTTACTCAGGTGAGGCAGGCCAGGCTGCTGAGTGGAGGCAGGTGTGTGCGTGAGGTGGGTGCTGGAGGCGTGGACTGCCCTGTTCCCTCCGCTCCCCGCCTGCTGAGCACCTGCCCCACCCCGCTCAGCGTGCTGCAGGCCGACCCCTCCAGGATTCCGGCGCCCAGGCACGTCTGGTCTCACCACGCGCTCCCCATCACGGACCTGCACTGCGGCTTTGGGGGCCCCCTGGCCCGGGTGGCCACCTCCTCACTGGACCAGACGGTGAAGGTACGCCGCCCCCACCCCACCACGGTCCATGAGCGGAGCCCAGCAGCCGCAGGTCCTCAGCCAGGAATGCAGGAATCGCCTCCTCCCGCTCCCTGCTGTCAGGACTCCAGACGGCTTTTAATCCCCTGGTGCTCTGAGCCCAAGGACGTCCAGGGAGGTCTGCCAGCCTGGAAATTCCTACTCATTCACCGTTTCTGGCCCGGCTCCCTGGCCAAGCCTGGGGAATCGGAGGTCATCACTATGCTTGAGTCGTGACCGGTGGTCCTGGGAGGGAGAACCAGGGGTCATCAGCCGGAGACCAAGCTCCATTTCAGCACAGGCCATGTCCCCTGGCCCCCAAGACCCACATGGTGACGGCTTTCACCCAAAGTCGCAAGCCCTAGGGCCAGAGGACAGCCGACGCCTGACCTCCCTGGTGCCCCTGTTCCCATGGGGTCCTCGGGTTCCCCCTGCCGGGCCGAGCCCCACGCCCTTTGCCCACCCGCAGCTATGGGAGGTCTCCTCGGGGGAGCTGCTGCTCTCCGTCCTCTTTGACGTGTCCATCATGGCAGTGACCATGGACCTGGCTGAGCACCATATGTTCTGCGGGGGCAGTGAGGGCTCCATCTTCCAGGTCGACCTCTTCACCTGGGTGAGTGCCGCGGTCTGCGGGCTGCACCCTGCCCTGGGGCTGAGGGCATCGGGCCTGCGGCTCACACACGTCTCGGCCTTCGCAGCCCGGACAGAGGGAGAGGAGCTTCCACCCAGAGCAGGACGCCGGGAAGGTCTTCAAAGGGCACAGGTGGGGACGTGGGAACGGGGCGGGGGCTCCCAGGCACGTCCTGTCTGGCACGTCCCAGGTGACCCCTGTCTGTCTGTCCAGGAACCAGGTGACTTGCCTGTCAGTGTCCACTGACGGCAGCGTGCTGCTCTCAGGCTCCCACGACGAGACCGTGCGCCTCTGGGACGTGCAGAGCAAGCAGTGCATCCGGACGGTGGCCCTCAAAGGTGGGCGCGCCTCTGCTCGGCCCGCGGCCAGCGCGCAGGGGAAAAAGCCAGCAGGAGCTCCGGGCTTGGCTTGGGTGGGGGCGGGGACTGGTTTGCTGTGGGGCGGGGCCGGGCTGGGGGCGTGGACTGGCTGTGGGGCGGGGCCTGGCTGGGGGAGTGGACTGGCTGTGGGGCGTGGGCTGGCTTTGCTGTGGGGCGGGGCCTGGCTGGGACGGGGCGGGGCCTGGCTGGGAGCGTGAACTGGGTTTGCTGTGGGGTGGGGCCTGGCTGGGGGCGTGGACTGGCTGGGGGCGTGGACTGGCTGTGGGGCGGGGCCTGGCTGGGGGCGTGGACTGACTGTGGGGCGGGGCCTGGCTGGGACGGGGCGGGGCCTGGCTGGGACGGGGCGGGGCCTGGCTGGGGGCGTGAACTGGCTTTGCTGTGGGGTGGGGCCTGGCTGGGGGCGTGGACTGGTCGTGGGGCGGGGCCTGGCTGGGGGCGTGGACTGGCTGTGGGGCGGGGACTGGCTGGGGGCGGGGACTGCCCTGGATGGGGCGGAACTTGGCTTGCTGTGGGGTGGGGCCTGGCTGGGATGGGGCGGGGCCTGACCTCCGCGCCCCCCAGGCCCAGTCACCAATGCCGCCATCCTGCTGGCGCCCGTCAGCATGCTGAGCTCAGACTTCAGGCCCAGCCTGCCGCTGCCCCACTTCAACAAGCACCTGCTGGGCGCCGAGCACGGGGACGAGCCGCGCCACGGGGGCCTCACTCTGCGCCTGGGCCTCCACCAGCAGGTACGGCCCCCAGCAGGGAACCCCCACTGCCCTTTTGTCCCGGAAGACCCCGCGGGCCCTGGGCTCCTTCGCTCCCTTGGTCCTGGCGCCCGTGCGGCGGTTCCCCACAAGCCCGGCACTGGAGGGCGCGTCCTGTGAGTGGGATGGTGATGCTCGGTGGGGCCTCTGCCCACTCTCAGTATGGACCCAGAGGCTCTGAGAAGTTAACCACCCCTCTTCCCCCGGCCAGCAGGGCCGAGCTGCACGCCCCACACACCAGCCTTCCTGCGGCTGGATATCTGACAGTCAGTTAGGTCTTTCTGCAAAAGGCCGATGCCCCATACTTCGGGCTGTGAGAGCCAAAAGGTTCACGTCTGGGCTGCCGAAGGTGCAGGAGCAGCCGTGAGGGCAGGGAGCGGGTGGGGCCCTGGTGGCTGCAGGTGGCTCCCACGTGGGCTGGGGGCAGCCTCTCGGCCTGGCCACAGTCACGCCCTCACTCCCTGCAGCTCAGCACCGACCCCCGCTCTGTGCAGGTACTAGGGTGGGCTCCCTTACCTTCTGAGGGTAGAGTGACTTCCGGAACACTTCCCACCCCAGCCCCAAGACCCTCATAGAAGCCAGTGTGGTTGGCTGGGCTGGGCTGGGGTGGGGGCTGGGGGTTCCTTGGGCCTGGGGAGGCTTCCCAGTGTGTTTCCGCCTCACTCCCCGACCTTCGATGAGCTGCCTGCGTCCTTGGTGTCTCACGTCACTGTCTGTGTCCCTCGCTGGGCTCTGGCGCTTGGCACTTCTCCCCACGCGCCCTCTTCTTACCTGAGTACAGATTGATTTTTTTATCTGGAGGGTGCCCGACAGCCTGATGGCCTGACAGGCCCTGCACCAGGAGATGCCGTTATCTCCCTTGTCCGTGCTTCCTCATGGAGTGACACTCTGTTTTCCCACATCTACCAGTGGGCTTGGGGCGGGCAGGCAGGGGACCGCCACCGTCTGGGCATCCGCAAGGCCCCTCAGACTGCAAGGAGGCCAGGAGCACAGGCTGGACTGACTGCTAACAGCGTGGGCGCAAGGAGGGGCGAGCTTTTTGTTCAGAAAGTGCCGGAACTTTCGGAGTGAAAACAGGCCTCCAGCGGCAGAGCCAGCTCCACGCTAGGGCGCCTGCCCGGCCACTGCCTCCTCCTAGGGCAGCAGCGGTTCCCACGATTCCTGCCCAGCCAAGCGCTCTCCCTAGAACCCCACCTAGTTGGCCACAGTGGGATTCCGGAGGGGGCCAGGCCATGCCCTCCGGTAATGCCGCCACCTTTCCCTAGCCGCCCCACCTGGCTCCCTTCCTCCCGTGACGGCTGCTAGTCCTCTGTGACCCTTGTTCCAATCCAGCTGACACTGGAATGTTGGCCTGTCCCACAGACAGGCGCTGCTGGGGCCCAAGGCGCTTCGTCCAGGAGGCGGGTTCCCGACCTCTGATCCCCCAGCAACGTCCCTCCATGTAACTGGTTCCTCTGTACAGGGCAGTGGCCTTGCTGGGCCGGCCAGGCTCTCCCCATGGCTGGAGGTGCTCACTGTCTGTGAGGCCCTCGCCAGGCCCTGTGTCCCAGAGCCTTCCCTGGGCTTGCGGGTCCTTCCAGGTCTGGCCCAGGCCCCTGTCTGTGGTGTGGCCATCTGCACCCCCATCCCCAGCCACATCCTTGGGCGCAGTCGTGGAGGATCTGAGGCGCTGGGTAATGACTGCATGGCCAGGGTCAGGGTTGTCATCTGCAGGCTCGACGGAGGTGAACGCCCCCGTCTCAGTCTTCCCTTCTGTCTGTGGGCGTCACGGTGGCCCCTCCCTGGCTGAGTGGCTGCCCACGCTGGCGGGGGTGGGATGGGCAAAGCGTGTGGTGTGTGACAGGACGCGCCCCGAGGTCACGTGGCTCCCTGTGTTACAGGGCTCGGAGCCCAGCTACCTGGACCGCACGGAGCAGCTGCAGGCCGTCCTGTGCAGCACCATGGAGAAGGTGGGCGGGGCCTCGGGAGGGGCGGGGCCTGAGGCTGGGGTCAGTCCTGGCCAGTGGGGGTGAGTGGCCCCCCTCCAGCACACCCCAGGCCACTTCTGCCCTCTGACCCCGACTTCTCCCGCAGAGCGTGCTCGGCGGCCAGGACCAGCTGCGCGTCCGTGTGACGGAGCTGGAGGACGAGGTGCGCAACCTGCGCAAGATCAATCGGGACCTGTTCGACTTCTCCACGCGCTTCATCACGCGGCCGGCCAAGTGAGGCCCGGAGACCCCGGCCCGAGGCGCCCAGGCCTGAGCCCCATGCCTCCCAGCAACCAGGGCCCGCGGGTGTGGCCCCCACCAGCCCAGGCCTGGACTCTCCTCAGTTCTGTGTCGTGTTCGGGTTTTTCCTCTGTGACTGGGCCGTCTTGGTGTCTCGTGGCACGCGTCACAGTGGTGCTAGTCTGTTTTTAACAAAAGAGGATGAAAAGCCCCTCCTCTCCGGCCTCCTTGTGTCCGGGTGTGGCCTGGTGCTGCGTGCAACACAGCTCCCCTGCTGCTCGGCCCAGCTGGGACCCCAGCCCCACTCGGCACCCTCTGTCCGGAGGTGGGGGCCTTAACCAACCTAGGCCTCGCGGGGGCGGCTTTAAGAGGGAGCCCCGAGCACCTGCAGTTCTGACTCTGCTCTGTTGCCCGAGGGCCTTTGCATGGCCGCCCCCTCCCGAGAAGGCGCTGGACCGGGGTGGTGGGATTGAGGAAGGAACCGGGAAGCCAGGCCCCTCCGGTCTGCTGTGCAGGGGGTCTGAGTGGAGACAGCCCTGTGGGGTCCCGGAAGGAGGTGGCTTGGTGTAGAGAGACGGGCCTGGGGACGTTTGGGGGTGGACCCAGCCGCCAGGGTTGAGGGGTTTCCCCGGGTGCAGGACCCAGCTCTCAGGGAGGGTTTCGGGGGTCCCTGGTCCCTGTGGAAACGCAGGGCTCAGGACCAGGCAGGAGGAGGGAGCTGGTGTGGGTGGGGCCTTGGAGCACAGGCTCCTCCCAGTGCATCCCTCGGGTGCCTTGGGGCCCCTGCTGGCTTCCCCAGGGCCCAGCTGGAGCCGCCCAAGGGTGAACCCAGGGTGGTTCTCCGGGCAAAAGGTGCCACGGCCTCCCCAGGCAGAGGTGGCTTGCCCCACCCAGCAAAGGTGGCCACTGCAGGCTGGGACCGTCAGATGGGTCAGGAGCAGGTCTGGGGGTGGTGTCCCGATCTGAGCCGGTCCCCAGAGGGAGTTGGACCCCTGCCACACCACAAGCCGTGCTTGTGGGTATCAAGGGCTTGAGGGAGGTCAGGCCCTGCTGCCCTGGGGACGCTGCCACCCAGCGCCTGGATCCCAGCCCAGAAGCCCAGAACCTTCCAGAAAGCTGCTCCCGACTGACAGTCCTACCTAACGATCCAGAAAATCCGTGTGATTTAGCGGGCGTGGTAATGACCGCAGTCCAGCCAGCCGCCAGCGCTGAGTTCATGCTTTTAGGCTAATTTGTGTTCTTGTCCCCTCTATGGGGCTCTGAGTCCTCTCGGCTGGCAGCCTGGCCACACTGCATCAGGGCAGCTGGGCCCTCACCTGGCACTGACATCTGCCTCGGCTGCTCCGAGCCCTGAGAACCACTCCAGGGTCCCTTCCCCCTGGGCGCACGGCCAGCTTGTTCCTTTTCCATCATGAACCACTCACTCTGCTGACCTGCAAGGCTGGGTCCTGCCTGCGGGGAGCACGCGGATTTGGGGTGAGGCAGCTGGGGGGTCCCTTGGGGTTGGCTGATCTCCCTGGGTCTGTACCTACTGTTCCCCTGGAGCCATTCCCACGACCCCTGCCCCCCTCCGCATCACCACCCAAAGGCTCCCAAATTTCCCTCCCAGCACCAATCAGGACCCCCAACCACCAACTCAAGGGTATCGGCACAACCCTGTGGCTGGTGCCAGGGCGGGGTGAGGGTGCGCAGAGCCGTAGAGGGACAGCTGCCTGGGGCTCCCAGGGCCCGGACTCGGCTCCAGCCGCTGCAAGAGCCCAAGGTGAGCCAGGCACGAACATCCAGGTCACTTCGCAGCTGCCTGCACCACGCGGCCGTCCGGGGCTGAGGTCGGCTGCCCTCTCCGCAGGCTGCAGAACAGGGTTAGAGTTCACCGTGGGGCAGGGCCCGAAAATCGCCCGGTGGCCTCAGACAGGCGACACCTGGCCGGGTCGGACTCGACGTTCTTGTCTCCAGAAAGGGGTCGTCCCCCGGCGGGTCGGCTGGGAGCTGGGCGGGGGCGGCAGGAGCTCACGCCTCATTCCCTGCGTTTCCCTCCATGTGCCCCTGCACGCTGGGTCCTTGGACACAAGCCCCCTCGGTGCCTCTCCACGCCCGCTCCCGCACCGTCATCACCCTCTCGGCCCAGAGCTCCCAGACGTGCTCAGGCACCGCGGCTCCACCCTGCGTCGTAATTGCCGGTCTGGGTGCGATGGAAACAGTGGTGACGTCATCGTTCAGACCCCCCGCCCCCGGAGGCCCCACAGATTCTCAGAGGGACGGCGCCGGGACTGGGGAGGCCAAGGCGTTGACGAGCGGGGACGCCGGTGTGCACAGGTGACCTGGCGGCTGGCGGGGCTTGACTGTGCAGACCACAGTGAGGTGCGCTTGCGGGCGCCGGGACAGCTGCCAGCAAAGCTGAGAGCAGAAAACATCATGCGCGAGGAGGTGGGGAAGCCACAGCCTTCCCGTGCCCTGGTGCGGACATAAAATGGGGCATCCACTGTGAAAATAGTCTGGCAGGTTTTTTGTTTGTTTTTGTTTTTGTTTTTGTTTTTTTGAGACTGAGTCTCACTCTTTCCCCCAGGCTGGAGTGCAGTGGCCCGGTCTCCGTTCACTGCAACTTCTGCCTCCCGGGTTCATGCCATTCCCCTGCCTCAGCCTCCCAAGTAGCTGGGATTACAGGCGCCCACCACCACATCAGGCTAATTTTTGTATTTTTAGTAGAGACGGGGTTTCACCATGTTGGCCAGGCTGGTCTCGAGCTCCTGACCTCAGGTGATCCACCCGCCTCAGCCTCCCAAAGTGCTGGGATTACAGGCGTGAGCCACTGCACCTGGCCATTCTGTCAGGTTCTTAAAAAATTAAACAGCGTTAAGGTTGGACCCAGCGAGTCCACTTCTGGGTATATACCCAAGGGAATGAGGAGCAGGGTTTGGGAATGAGGAGCGGGGTTTGGGAATGAGGAGCGGGGTTTGGGAATGAGGAGCGGGGTTTTGAAATGATCCACACACCAAGCTCACAACAGCTCCATCCCCACAGCCAAAAAGTGGGGGAAGGCCAGGCGCCGTGGCTCACGCCTGTCATCCCAGCACTGTTGGAGGCCAAGGCCGGTAGACCACCTGAGGTCAGGAGACCAGCCCGGCCAACATGGTGAAACCCCATCTCTACTAAAGATACAAAAATTAGCCAGGTGTCGTGGCACGTGCCTGTAATCCCAGCTACTTGGGAGGCTTAAGGCAGAATTGCTTGAACCTGGGCGGTGGAGGTTGCAGTGAGCTGAGATTGCCCCCCTGCACTCCAGCCCAGGTGACAGAGCAAGACTCCGTCTCAAAAAAAAAAAAAAAAAAAAAAGTTGGGGAAACCAGGTGTCCATCAGCGGTTGGATGGGTCACCACAACACGAGTCCTCTGCACAGTGGAATATTATTCAGCCTTGTAAAAGAACGAGAAGGCTCAATGCAGTAGCTCACCCTGTATTCCAGCACTGTGGGAGCTGAGGCAGGATAATCGCTTGAGCACAGGAGTTTAAGACCAGCCTGGGCAACATCTCTACAAAACCCCATCTCTTCAAAAAATATAAATTTTAGCCAGGTGTGGTGTGCACCTGTGGTCCCCGCTACTTGGGAAATCAAGGCAGGAGGATCGCTTGAGCCCAGGAGGTTGAGGCTGCAGTGAGCTATGATCTCACTACTGCGCTCCAGTCTGGGCAACAGAGCGAGGTGCAGTCTCAAAATTAAAAAAATAAAATAAGTGAGGCTCAGACACAGGCCAGAGCATGGTTGCACCTTGAGGACATCACACTCAGTGAGAGACGCCAGACACAAAAGGACACGTCCTGTCTGATTCCACTCCTAGGAGGTCCCTAGAGTTGTCAGATTCACAGAGACGGAGAGGATAGGAGGCGTCAGGGCTGGGGAGGGGACGGGGAGTGAGTGTCCCCTGGGGACAGAGTTTCAGTTTGGGAAGATGAGAAAGTTCTGGACAGGAGGGTGGTAAGGGCTACATAGCAAGGAGTGTGCTTAATGTGCCTGAGCTGTGCACCTAGAAATGGCCAAGATGGCAGGTTTCATGTTATGACTATTTTCCCACAATAAAACATTTTTTAAAAGTCTCCTCCACGTGGCCACTTGTTCCACATGGCAGCTGGGAGTAGGAACGCCTACTGTTGCCCGTGTACAGATGGGGAAACTGAGGCAGGGCACGAGGGTGAGTTCCCGGAGGGCAGACACAGTCTCTGCCCCTAGGAACTCTTGCTCCTCAGAGGGAGCCGAACCCAGGGAGGGACGGGGCCCCAGTGGTCCCTGAGGACACCAGGACCCAGCACCTCTCGCAGACCCAGGGAGGGGACCCCTTGTCCTGCCCCCGGGGACACCTGGCCAGGGGGCTGGAGGGGGTGGCCTGCGGGTTCCTGGAACCGAGCCATCCCTCCCTCCGTCCCTCCCCAGTCGTCTCAAAATCCAATCCATTTTACTGGCTGGCACTTGGCATTTTATTCATTTCATGGAGGATTTTTTTCCTACCTCTCCAACGCTGGCTCCAAAAGGAGATGACGTTTGGGGTGTGTGTGTGTGTGTGTGTGTGTGTGTGTGTGTGTGTGAGAAAATCGCCGGAGTGTAGATCCATTAATTAGAGCTGAATGTTCCCAACACAGCGGCTGTTCTGCTGCCCCGCGGGATCTGGGGAGACACCGTCGGGAGGACAGGATGAGGAATGCCTGGGCAGGGAGGAGGTCCTCTGCTAGATGGATAGACGGATGCAGCCGCCCCCATCTATCAGGCGCCTGTGGGATGCCAGGGCCCCAGAAGGCACCCCCCGAGGCCCAGAGGACATAGGCAGGCTTGGGGACTGGTAGACAGCGGGGAGCTATGGAAGGCTCTAGAGCACTGGAGGAGGGGCATGTGAGCAAGCATCCTTGTCTGGGCCGTTGCTCAAGCCACAAGCAATTATAGAGTGCCTACTGTGTGCCAGCAACCAAACCAGACCCACCCCAACCCTCCCAGAGCTGAGTTGAAGAGATGGTCACTAAATAAGAAGGAAATGAACAAAAAGATGGTAGGCCGTTATGGAAATGTGTGGAGGTTGGGGGTGGGTAGCAGCAGGACTGAAATGGGGCAGGGAGTGGTGCTTTCTGCATTTTCTCAGTGGCAAGCAGGGAACGTTTTTCAGGGCAGGGCATTTGGGACTGGGTTTTGAAGGGTGAAGAGGAGTTCTGTGGCCCAAGTTGCCTGCCCACTGCTGGAGGGCAGATCTACTCTATAGGTTTCCATCAGACATGCCTGTCTCAGTTTCCCCAGGGTGCACTGGATGTTAGAACACACCCCTGGGCTGGCCTGGTTAGAAACTGACAGCTCCCTGGATGTGCGAGACAAGCAAGACCCTTCCTGGGCCTCAACTTCCCTGCCTGAGCAATGGTCGACATTGGTGGAAGGGGTCAGGGATCCTGGAGAGGAACGGGGTGGGCGTCCGGGCCAATTTTATTTTCTTATTTTATTTTATTTTTTTTGAGACGGAGCATCGCTCTGTCGCCCAGGCTGGAGTGCAGTGGCACGATCTCGGCTCACTACAACCTCCGCCTTCCAGGTTCAAGCGATTCTCCTGCCTCAGCCTCCCGAGTAGCTGGGATTACAGGCTCCCGCCACCACGCCCGGCTAATTTTTGTATTTTTAGTAGAGACGGGCTTTCACCATGTTGGCCAGGCTGGTCTCGAACTCCTGACTTCGTGATCTGCCCGCCTCGGCCTCCCAAAGTGCTGGGATGACAGGTGTGAACCACCGCGCCCGGCAAGTCGGGGCCAATTTTAAAGCGCAGTCTTTTCCTGGCACCTCCGTTCCATCTGTGGCCTGAATCAGAGCAGGGATGGGCAGTGGTTAGGCGTCCCCGGCCCCCGCCAGGTGTCACCGCCGCCGGCCTCAAACAACCACTGGGAGGCACTGTTTCCCCCCCATCCCGCCCTGGGCAGGGCACGTCCCACTCCCCCCGCGCGGTTGCTGGGAACCCGGAGGCCGCCCGGGCGGAGCGCGGAGGGCGCGTCGGAACCTGGCCGGGGCCCTCCACCCGCGCCGTGGTCCCGGTGGTTGCGCCCCGTGGCGAGCGACGCCGACAACTTTGCGATGGAGTTTGTGCGGGCGCTGTGGCTGGGCCTGGCGCTGGCGCTGGGGCCGGGGTCCGCGGGGGGCCACCCTCAGCCGTGCGGCGTCCTGGCGCGCCTCGGGGGCTCCGTGCGCCTGGGCGCCCTCCTGCCCCGCGCGCCTCTCGCCCGCGCCCGCGCCCGCGCCGCCCTGGCCCGGGCCGCCCTGGCGCCGCGGCTGCCGCACAACCTGAGCTTGGAGCTGGTGGTCGCCGCGCCCCCCGCCCGCGACCCCGCCTCGCTGACCCGCGGCCTGTGCCAGGCGCTGGTGCCTCCGGGCGTGGCGGCCCTGCTCGCCTTTCCCGAGGCTCGGCCCGAGCTGCTGCAGCTGCACTTCCTGGCGGCGGCCACCGAGACCCCCGTGCTCAGCCTGCTGCGGCGGGAGGCGCGCGCGCCCCTCGGAGCCCCGGTACGCGGGACGCCCGGAGTCAGGACGAGGGGGACCCGGGGCGGGAGCGGGGTCGGGAGCCCTGGGGACGTCCGGAGTCAGGATGGGGGTGCCGGGACTACGCAGGGAAGGGGGATCCCGGGACGCTGGACGGGCCCCAGGGATCAGGGATGGGGAAGACCCGGGTGTCCCCGGAGCAAGGAAACCAGAACCCAGAGGAAGAGACCCAGGGGCAGGGACCTAGACGCGGGGTTGAGAGCTCCAGGGACGCCCCTGGAACGCCCCTGCAGACCCCTTCCCAGCGCCCTGGTGATGGGGACCCCGCCACTGTGGCCTCTGCCCCTTCCTTGCCCAGGCCCCTTCCCTCCTTCCCCACAGACCCTTCCCTGGTCCCTGGGACCTCCTGGTCCCCACCCGGCTCTGGGTGGCTGGGCTGGAGGACAGGCGGTCTCCCTCCTCACTCTAGGGGTGCAGTTTCGGGGTCTGCAGGTCTGGATCTCCCTCCTTCCAGCATTCTCCCCGTCCCCTCCCAGAGGCCTCCAAGATCCCAGAGCAGCCTCCATCATTCCAACCCCGACTCCATTCCCACCCCCCAACCCCTGGCAGCCTTCAAGTTCCTCTCTTCTAACCCCACCCCAGGCCCAGATCCCGGGAGGAAACGGAAGAAGAGAAGGGCGATTGACTGGGTTCTGGGGTCCCTGTTGTCCCCCCCAACAGGGCTCACTGCGCCCCAGATAACAAGCCCCCTCCCGTGGCCAGCAAGGAGGTCCCAACTCCGGACATGGGCCTGGCTGAGCTCTATGCCCCAGCTGCCCCTCCTTCCCAACCCACTCAGAGGCCCCTCCAGCCCCTCCCTCTCCTCAGGGAGGGAGACCCTGACGCTAGAGGGGGGGTCTCTTAGCCCAGCTCTCCAGGTGTCAAGGGGACCCCTGTCCCCCCACCGCCCTAGGGCTGGTGGGAGAGGCGGGGCCCAAACCCAGGCCTGGGGCGCCCTCTGCTGCCGTCTCCAGGAGCTGCACCGCCGCAAGCCGGGGCGTGGGACCGACCTAGCGTCTTAGGGACTGGCTTGGCCCCCTGGGGACTGAGCCCCATCCCAAGCCCATCCTCCAGCACTGGGCACCCTGCTTCCACCCTGGGAAGCGCCCTGCCAACCCGAGGGGCCTGGCAAAGCTCTCCCACCTTTAATATACTAAGTTAAATCCAGGGCCGGGTGCGGTGGCTCACGCCTGGAATCCCAGCACTGTGGGAGCCCAAGGTGGGAGGACAGCTTGAGCTCAGGAGTTTGAGACCAGCCTGGGCAATATGGCGAGACCCCATCTCTACAAAAAATACAAAAATTAACTGGGCGTGGTGGTGGGTGCTTGTAATCCCAGCTACTCAGGATATATATATATTGGCTGGGCACTGTGGCTCACGCCTGTAATCCCTGCAGTTTGGGAGGCCGAGGCGGGCGGATCACGAGGTCAGGAGATCGAGACCATCCTGGCTAACATGGTGAAACCCCGTCTTTACTAAAAATACAAAAAAAAAAAAAAAAAAAAAAGCTGGGAGTGGTGGAGCTTGCAGTGAGCTGAGATCACGCCATTGCACTCCAGCCTGGGAGACAGAGCAAGACTCCATCTCAAAAAAAAAAAAAAAAAAATCCAGGAGAACTTTCTGGATGGCACTGGGCACAAGGGGGCCCCTCAGCCCTCCATGTGCCTGGCACGGGGCAGTAATGTGTGAAGGGGATGCTAGGGGAAGCTACCTGGTTTGGCTCTAAGCACAAGGCCATCGGTGGGCTCACCTTTATGAGCCACAGCTCTTGGCCCTAGAGGGGTTCCCAGGCAGGTGGGTGCCAGGTGAGGTCAGGACTGTAAAGGAATCAGGGAGGGACCTGAGGCTGGAGGCGTTCCAAGCTGGAGCCTGGGCTCTGCCTGGAGGATGGAGAAGTCTGAATAGAGGAGGAGCAATGTGCTTGGGTTTTGAAGGATGTGTAGGAGTTGGTGGGCATAGAGAGAGAAAGATATTCCATCCGGGGAATGGCACATGCAAAAAAAAAACAAAAAACACCAAGTGTGCCCATGACAAGGGTAGCTGGAGCCAAGAGAGGCTGGGAGACTGAGCTTTGTGGGGATGGTGATGGGGAACGATGGAAGGGTTTAGAGCAGGGCTGGGGCTGGGGGGAGGTGGAGGGGAGGTGCAGCCATCCAGCTGGCATCTACTTGCGGATCACCCGCTGCTGGGGTGGGAAGGGTTTTGTGGGGGTGGAGGTCGTCAACCCTAACCGTGGCCACCCCTCTCCCAGAACCCATTCCACCTGCAGCTGCACTGGGCCAGCCCCCTGGAGACGCTGCTGGATGTGCTGGTGGCGGTGCTGCAGGCGCACGCCTGGGAAGACGTCGGCCTGGCCCTGTGCCGCACTCAGGACCCCGGCGGCCTGGTGGCCCTCTGGACAAGCCGGGCTGGCCGGCCCCCACAGCTGGTCCTGGACCTAAGCCGGCGGGACACGGGAGATGCAGGACTGCGGGCACGCCTGGCCCCGATGGCGGCGCCAGTGGGGGGTGAAGCACCGGTACCCGCGGCGGTCCTCCTCGGCTGTGACATCGCCCGTGCCCGTCGGGTGCTGGAGGCCGTACCTCCCGGCCCCCACTGGCTGTTGGGGACACCACTGCCGCCCAAGGCCCTGCCCACCGCGGGGCTGCCACCAGGGCTGCTGGCGCTGGGCGAGGTGGCACGACCCCCGCTGGAGGCCGCCATCCATGACATTGTGCAACTGGTGGCCCGGGCGCTGGGCAGTGCGGCCCAGGTGCAGCCGAAGCGAGCCCTCCTCCCCGCCCCGGTCAACTGCGGGGACCTGCAGCCGGCCGGGCCCGAGTCCCCGGGGCGCTTCTTGGCACGGTGAGTGGGGACCCTGCTTCCCTTAGGAGGGTGTCCAGGCCACTGAGTCTGCACTGCTCATGGATCACAAAAGGCAACGTGAGGCCAGACGCGGTGGCTCACGCCTGTAATCCCAGCACTTCGGAAGGCCGAGGCGAGCGGATCACTTGAGCTCGGGAGTTTGAGACCAGCCCGGCCAACATGGTGAAACCCCATCTCTACCAAAAAATAGAAAACATTAGCTGGGCGTGGTGACACGCACCTGTAGTTCCAGCTACTCAGGAGGCTGAGATGAGAGAATCGCTTGAGCCTGTGAGGTCCAGGCTGCTGTGAGCTGAGATCGCACCACTGCACTCCAGCCTGGGCAACAGGGACCCTGTCTCAAACACACAAAGTCAGGATGCTTTGTTAGATGTCTTAGGTCCCCGGAAGCAGTGCCCACCTGGGGAACTATCTCAGGGACAGCAGAGAACGAGCTGAACAACTAGGAGGGAGGGAACGGGTCTCTGGCTGAGCCCTGGAGGAGTTCCTGAGAATGAACAACTCCTGGAAACAGGTGACCCCAGCTGGGTGCTTGTGTGTCAGTCACTGGCTTCAGGCGTATGTGGAGTGGGGGCACAGCCACGGCATCGGGCACGGATGCCCCGGGATCAAGGGGTTAGGCTTGGGGACTAGGCTTGGGGACACCAGGAGCGTCCACGTTTGTCCTCATGATACGGACAAGAGCGACCAGTGGGAATCGGGCACGTGCTGGGCAGGGGTGAGAGGATGGAGGGGTGTGAACTTCGACACCTGACACCCCCCCCGCCCTGCCCCTAGGTTCCTGGCCAACACGTCCTTCCAGGGCCGCACGGGCCCCGTGTGGGTGACAGGCAGCTCCCAGGTACACATGTCTCGGCACTTTAAGGTGTGGAGCCTTCGCCGGGACCCACGGGGCGCCCCGGCCTGGGCCACGGTGGGCAGCTGGCGGGACGGCCAGCTGGACTTGGAACCGGGAGGTGCCTCTGCACGGCCCCCGCCCCCACAGGGTGCCCAGGTCTGGCCCAAGCTGCGTGTGGTAACGCTGTTGGAACACCCATTTGTGTTTGCCCGTGATCCAGACGAAGACGGGCAGTGCCCAGCGGGGCAGCTGTGCCTGGACCCTGGCACCAACGACTCGGCCACCCTGGACGCACTGTTCGCCGCGCTGGCCAACGGCTCAGCGCCCCGTGCCCTGCGCAAGTGCTGCTACGGCTACTGCATTGACCTGCTGGAGCGGCTGGCGGAGGACACGCCCTTCGACTTCGAGCTGTACCTCGTGGGTGACGGCAAGTACGGCGCCCTGCGGGACGGCCGCTGGACCGGCCTGGTCGGGGACCTGCTGGCCGGCCGGGCCCACATGGCGGTCACCAGCTTCAGTATCAACTCCGCCCGCTCACAGGTGGTGGACTTCACCAGCCCCTTCTTCTCCACCAGCCTGGGCATCATGGTGCGGGCACGGGACACGGCCTCACCCATCGGTGCCTTTATGTGGCCCCTGCACTGGTCCACGTGGCTGGGCGTCTTTGCGGCCCTGCACCTCACCGCGCTCTTCCTCACCGTGTACGAGTGGCGTAGCCCCTACGGCCTCACGCCACGTGGCCGCAACCGCAGCACCGTCTTCTCCTACTCCTCAGCCCTCAACCTGTGCTACGCCATCCTCTTCAGACGCACCGTGTCCAGCAAGACGCCCAAGTGCCCCACGGGCCGCCTGCTCATGAACCTCTGGGCCATCTTCTGCCTGCTGGTGCTGTCCAGCTACACGGCCAACCTGGCTGCCGTCATGGTCGGGGACAAGACCTTCGAGGAGCTGTCGGGGATCCACGACCCCAAGGTGGGCGGCCTCGGGGGGCTGCGGGTGGCCTTGGGGGGCTAGCGGTGGCCCCGGGCTGGGCTGTGTGGGGCAGGGGTGGTCAGCTGGACGTGGAGGACGTCCACTAGGCCAACTCTGGTCCCAAGAGACATTTATTCAATTAATTTATTTATTTAAAGAAAAATAGCCGGGCGCGGTGGCTCACGCCTGTAATCCCAGCACTTTGGGAGACCAAGGCAGGCAGATCACCTGAAGTCAGGAGTCTCGAACTGGAGCCTGGCCAACATGGTGAAACCCCATCTTTACTAAAAAATACAAAGAATTAGCTGAGCATGGTGGTGGGCACCTGTAATCCCAGCTACTCGGGAGGCTGAGGCAGGAGAATCACTTGAACCCAGGAGGCGGAGGTTGCAGTGAATCAAGATGGCACCATTGCACTCTAGCCTGGGCAACAGAGCAAGACTCCGTCTCAAAAAACAAAAAACAAAACAAAAAACACAGAGATGGGGGGCTGGCTATGTTGTTCAGGCTGGTCTCAAACGCCGGGGCTCAAGCAGTTCTCCCACCTTGGCCTCCCAAAGTGCTGGGATTACAGGCGTGAGCCACCGCATCCAGCCTATTTTTCTTTTCTTTTTTGAGACAGTCTTGCTCCATCGCCCAGGCTGGAGCGCAGTGGCACGATCTTGGCTCACTGCAACCTCTGCCTCCTGGGCTCAAGCGATTCTCCTGCCTCAGCCTCCCAAGTAGCTGGGATTACAGGTGTGCACCACCAAGCCTGGCTTTTGTATTTTCAGTAGAGTTGGCGGGTTTCACCATGTTGGCCAGGCTGGTCTCGAACCCCTGACCTCGTGATCCGCCCACCTCGGCCTCCCAAGTGCTGGGATCACAGGTGTGAGCCACCACATCTGGCCCGTATTATTATTATTTTTTTTTGAGACAGAGTCTCACTCTTGCCCAGAGCTGGAGTGCAGTGATCTCAGCTCACCGCAACCTCCACCTCCCAGGTTCAAGCAATTCTCCTGCCTCAGCCTCCCACAGTGCTGGGATTAGACGTGAGCCATCGTGCCCGGCCTCCCCTTGTAATTTCTTGGCAAAGTCGGGTTTTCTGCCCCGTAGTGTCTCTGAACTTTTGGATCTGCCCAGTGGTGTCCCCTGGGGGTGCCTGGCCTGCTCCCCAGCCCCTGGTGTCCCCTGTGAAACGGTAGTAAAGCGTAGACGCCATGCTGTCAGGTGAGCCGACTGCTGCCGGCGGCTCTTCCAATGTAAACGCTGCACAGCTGAGCCGTCAAAGCCTTTTCATCATACGGAAACTTCCATCAGATGCTGCTGACCCACAGGCACGATGGGATTCAAGTTTGGGTTTTTGGTGGTGCTGGAATCCCGTGGGGAGGCCGTGGCTGGTGTGACCTCAGCAGCCAGACCCACCTACTCATTAGGGGTCTGCACCAGGTTGCCCTGGCAGCTGTGGGGAGAACAGACCACGGGTGGTGCAGGGAGGACCCCGCAGAGGGGCCTGGGCTGGTCGAGGATGTTGATGGGGAAGGAGGCTGGGTTCGACGCTGGGCCCCAACCTGGGTAGGAGCTGTGGAGGGGTGAGCAGTGGGCAGTTCCCTGTGTTGCAGGTGGCGCCCCCCAGGGTTTTCGGGAGAAACAGGGTGTCAGAGGCAGTGACGACAGAGCTGCCTCCGCCTGGGGTGGGAAGAGCGAGTGGGGGCAGATCAGGAGTGGGGTCATGGACATGTTAGAGTGGGGCTCCCGTGGGACCCCCAGGGGAGAGGCAGAGGAGGTGGTGGGATAGGCGTCCAGCCCAGGGCGAGGTCCAGGTGGAGATGGACTTGCCGGCGTTTAGAACAGAGGGTCTCCACCCGGGGTGATCCTGCCCCCCGCCCCAGGGGACCCTGGACAGTGTGTGTCTAGAGACAGCTGTGGTGGTCACGCCTGGGGTGTGCTCTGGGCATGGAGTGGGTGGAGGCCAGGAATGCAGCCTCGGCGCCCTGCAGTGCCCAGGACGGCCCCACCCCGGAGAACGGCGCGCCCCTCAATGGTCAGGGGTCCTGAGGGGCAGGCAGAGGCGCTGACGGGGTCCCCCGCGCAGCTGCACCACCCGGCGCAGGGCTTCCGCTTCGGCACCGTGTGGGAGAGCAGCGCCGAGGCGTACATCAAGAAGAGCTTCCCCGACATGCACGCACACATGCGGCGCCACAGCGCGCCCACCACGCCCCGCGGCGTCGCCATGCTCACGTGAGCCCGGGCGCGGGGTGAGGCGGGGGCGGGGCGTGGGGTGGGCGGGGCGATGGCTGACCCCCGCCCCCGGCCCCAGCAGGAGCGACCCCCCCAAGCTCAACGCCTTCATCATGGACAAGTCGCTCCTGGACTACGAGGTCTCCATCGACGCCGACTGCAAACTGCTGACCGTGGGAAAGCCCTTCGCCATTGAGGGTGAGAGGCACCTGGGCGAGGCGGGGCGCCGGGGTCTCTGGGGACCTCCTGGGGGCAGTGGGGAGCCACGGAGGGTTCGAGGTGGGAAGGGGCGAAATCCCACGTGTGCGGGCAGAGTTCCCCTGGGGCTGTCCCACCTGGCCCCACCGCCTGGCCCCGCGCCCCCAGGCTATGGGATCGGACTGCCCCAGAACTCGCCGCTCACCTCCAACCTGTCCGAGTTCATCAGCCGCTACAAGTCCTCCGGCTTCATCGACCTGCTCCACGACAAGTGGTACAAGATGGTGCCTTGCGGCAAGCGGGTCTTTGCGGTTACAGAGGTGGGGCAGGGCCTGGGACAGAGGGTGGGGGTGGGGGTGGGCGTGGGGGGCCCTGAGCCTTGTCTGAAGTGACCAACCCCAGTGCTCATTCCCCAGACGTGCGTTTGTCTGCTTCTGCGCACTTCTATTCACCCTACAAAACCCCGGCTGCAGTGCCCCTTCCTCCATGAAACCTCACTCCCCCCAGCCATGGAGTCCCTGCCTCCCAACCTGGCTCCACTGCCCCAAGCCCCTCTCTCTGGCCCAACCTGTTCTCCCCTAGTTCAAGGCTCCCCAGGGGCCTGCCATTACGTGACCGTGCGGGGCTCCTGCTGTGTTGCCCCCAGACCCTGCAGATGAGCATCTACCACTTCGCGGGCCTCTTCGTGTTGCTGTGCCTGGGCCTGGGCAGCGCTCTGCTCAGCTCGCTGGGCGAGCACGCCTTCTTCCGCCTGGCGCTGCCGCGCATCCGCAAGGGGAGCAGGCTGCAGTACTGGCTGCACACCAGCCAGGTGGGGAGCGGGTGGGCGGCGGGCGGCCCCACCCCCCCCGCCTCCTCGCCAACCGGGTCTGTCTGGGGTCTTAGAAAATCCACCGCGCCCTCAACACGGAGCCACCAGAGGGGTCGAAGGAGGAGACGGCAGAGGCGGAGCCCAGGTAAGTGGTGGTCGGGGCGGACCACGATGCAGGACCACCCAGACCCACCACCCCACCAGCTCGCCCCGAAGCCGGCCGCGGGGTGCAGGAGGTTCCCGGAGGTCCCCCGCCCACCCCCGGACGTGCACACCGTGGCTCCCTGGTTGTGCCTGTCGGCCATCCTCTGCCGTCAGCGGCCTCTGCAGAGGCCCAGGGCGCGAGACGGCTGCCCCGGCGGACACTGACCAGGCCGGTTCCGTCCCCAGCGGCCCCGAGGTGGAGCAGCAGCAGCAGCAGCAGGACCAGCCAACGGCTCCGGAGGGCTGGAAACGGGCGCGCCGGGCCGTGGACAAGGAGCGCCGCGTGCGCTTCCTGCTGGAGCCCGCCGTGGTTGTGGCACCCGAAGCGGACGCGGAGGCGGAGGCTGCGCCGCGAGAGGGCCCCGTCTGGCTGTGCTCCTACGGCCGCCCGCCCGCCGCAAGGCCCACGGGGGCCCCCCAGCCCGGGGAGCTGCAGGAGCTGGAGCGCCGCATCGAAGTCGCGCGTGAGCGGCTCCGCCAGGCCCTGGTGCGGCGCGGCCAGCTCCTGGCACAGCTCGGGGACAGCGCACGTCACCGGCCTCGGCGCTTGCTTCAGGCCAGAGCGGCCCCCGCGGAGGCCCCACCACACTCTGGCCGACCGGGGAGCCAGGAATGAGGCGGCAGCCGGGCCGTTTGGGCTCAAGACACACACACAGCGCAGTGAGCCGCTGTCAACAGACAGTTTATTCTATATACAAACACAATTTTGTACACTGCAATTAAATAGAATGGAATGAGCGCTCCTCCGCATTCCTCCCCGAGTGACTGGTTTGGCCGCCGGCCCACTCCATCCCCGAGTGGGACTGGACCACGGCCCTGGCTGCTGCCACTGATGTTGGCGCCTGCACCCCACGTCCCTATGCCCGAGGCGCAAGCTCTGCTCTCCCGGGGACCCCAAGCCTGGCGCACACGCGGGGAGGGCGGGGCCATGGAGAAGGCACTGCAGGGAGCACCAGGCAGAGCCGGGCTGAGGCCGGCCGGCACTAGGGCGCGAGGCCCCACCCCAAGCCGGCCTCTCCTCCACACCTCCGCCTTGCTCAGAGACCTGCACCATGGGACCCCACTCCATCCTCAGGACGGTTCACTGCAGACCTACCAAGACCCCTCCAGAACCTTCCGCGGAACCCCACCCCCTCTCCTTGCTGACCAGCTCAAACACCTCACTAGCGGGTACAAGCCTCGGGCGCGACCTCACACCAGGGGGAGGAAAGCCGCCTTCCGGGCAAACCCCACGAAACCCTGAAAGCCCCCGACACAGGCTGGGCAGTCCCAGAGGAAGGAGGTGGCTGGCCTCCCCCACCCCCACGGGCTCGGGAAGGTCAGGCCCAGCCAGCAGGGGTCAGAGGCGGCTCAGCTGTGCGGCTCAGGACCCCACCTCCGAGGGCGCCTCCGTTGGGGCCATGGAGGCCGGGCTAGGCCCGCCTACCGCAGCCCCCAGGGGAGTTGTGTCAGAAGCTGCGGAGTCACTCGGGGGGACACTGTCCTGGGGGGCGTGGGGGAGGCCCCCAGCAGGGCCCAGCGGGCTGGCTGGACGCCGCTCCAGGAGGGAGGCGCTCAGGCCGGACAGGAAGGAGGCGTCTGTGATGATGGCAGCGGTCTCTGCCATCCAACCCAGGTCACCACCGGCAGCTGCTGCCACTGAGGCTGCCGCGGCCACCAGGGAGCTGGGCGCCGCTGCCACAGGCCCGGGACTCCCGCTGGCCCCAGGCGAGACGGGGCCCAGGGCGGGGGGCTGGCCGGCAGAGTCAGGGGCTGTAGCCGGGGCGCCCGAGTTGTTGTTCATGTCATCGGGCAGCGCCGTGGGGGTCCCGGGGCCCAGTGGCGGCGCCTGAAGCAGCATCTCCTGGATGCGGACCTGCTGCAGGATGGCAGGCAGCTCGTAGTGGTGGAAGAAGTAGATCATGGAATGCTGCGGGAGGGAGAGTGGGAGTCAGGACGGGCCCGCCCCTGCCCCACCCAGCCGCTGCTCCCAGAGGGCAGCCCACCCGGGACCATCCACGCTACCTCTGCCCGCTTGGGCCGACCCCACAGGGCATCCTCCCCGGCTGCAGCCTCTCCTGCCTGGAAAGGCACGGCTGGCCTGCCCCCTGCTTGCCGCCCAGGCCTCACCTGGATGAAGAGCCAGGAGGTGACCAGGGCCAGGCTGCTATACTGCCCATTGAAGCGGTAGTGATAGGCATAGAAGGCGAAGTGGTAGAGATAGAAGAACCTGCGGGGCGGGGTGAGGGCGTCGGGGCTGCAGGTCCCACCCTGCCAGGCCCAGCCCCTGGGGTTCCCGCGTGGCGCAGCCACCACCCCCGCCTCCAGCGCCCCTCCCTCTGGCAGCCCCCTACCCCTGCCCACCAGCACCCACTCCACCCTGCCCCCGCGCCACGCTCACCGCAGCCAATGCCGCTTGCTGGTGCTGGTGTGGCAGCAGATGGCGTCATACTGGTCCGCGAGCCACACGATGAGGATGATGTAGAAGGCGGTGGTGGTGTCGTTGAAGAACTCCGACATGATGGCCTCCATCCCTGCAGGGAGAGGCGGCGCCGGTTGAAGCGGGCGGGGCGGGGTGCAGCGCGGGGCGGGGGAGGCCGGGTGGGGTCCTCACCGACGAGGGCCAGGATGACGGTCAGCAGGGGCGCTGCGGGGAAGGCGATGGCCATGTTCATCTCCAGCATCTGCAGCAGGTCCACTGCGGGCACAGGGCGGCGGGCGCCCGGTGAGGGCCTGGAGGACGCCCGCCCCGCCCTGCGCCGGCGGGACACTCACCGATGAAGACGAAGATCTGGTGGTGTGAGTACCGCAGCAGCATGGACACGCTCAGCGTCTGCAAGGGGCGCGCAGGAAGCGCTATGAGGGGCTGCGAGGGCCTGCTTGGCTCCCGCCCGGCCAGCCCCCGCACCCGCCCCGAGGCACTCACGAAGATGACCATGATGGCGAAGGCGGCCAGGTAGGACGTCCGCGCCATCCACATGCTCACAAAGCGGTAGTGCTCGCCCGACACCACATTCCGCAGGAAGCCTGCAGCAGAAGGAGCCGTGAGCGCCCGCCCCCACCCGCGCCCTCGCACCCTCGGCCCCGGGGCATGCCTCACCCTTGTTCTCCTCGTTCTCGGCCAGGCCCTTCACGCTGGACATGAGGATGTCATCGTAGCCCAGGAACTCATCCAGCAGCAGGCGGCTGAAGCGGTCCCCGAAGCACTGGTCCCGCGTGGGGTCTGCGGGTGGGTGAATCAGGGAGCCGGGAGCCCCGCCCAGGCCACCCCCTGGGCCCTGCCCCAGCTGGCTCCATTGCTGAGGCCTGGCCTGCTTCCTGGCCCTGCCCATTCTTAGGAAACCCATCCAGGACCCCAGCCCTGGGAAGCGTGCCTGGGGCGGGGCAGACCCCAGTGCTTCCTGCACAGCCCCCCGTCCCGCACCAGCAGGAGGAGACCCGAGGGAGGAGGGGAGGCCCCGCCATGGAGCTCCCCAAGCCCAGCAGCTCAGACTCACCCAGGGTGACCACCATGACGGGGATGCTCAGGCGCTGGCGGGTGGCCTGCGACAGGCGAAGGAAGCCATACTCTAGTGAGTACTCCACGATGTACTCGTCCTGCGGCCACACTGCAGGGCAGAACCAGGGACCAGGTCAGCGCCCCCACACACGTCCCCCGCCCACTGCCAGCAGGCAAGGCAGGCGTTGAGGGGTGGAGGGTGAGACCTGCTGAGCCCTGGGCCCCAGGTGGGTGCTGGGAGGACCCCTACATGGACACTTGGGATGGTGCCCACTCAAGCTGGTGTCCTGCCCTGTGCACTGCAGAGGCTGGCCAGGCTCCTCCTCCCGTGGCCCCCTCTCCCTGGCTGGGGCTGGCTGGGTGCAGGGCTGCCCCACTGCCCTGGCGGCCCCCAGCACACCCCCAACACTTCAGAGGCCCCGGCCCTCTGGATAGACCCTCTGCTGCCAGATGGGCAGGGGTGGGGGCGGGGGCGGGGGCTTCCCTGAGCACAGCCCGCTAGAACTCTGAGCTCAGAGCCGAAGGGATCCATCCCCTCCAAGTCGCCGTTCACGAGGATCCCAGAAAGGATGAGCTGAGCCAGTTACCCCAGGCTCTGGGGTGTCCCCACAGCCTCCTGTGCTGACAGATGGGGAAATCGAGGCACGGGGGTGCCCTCAACGGTCCAGGACATGCAGCCAGCAGGCTGGGGATGTTCGGAGGGACCCCGCCTGCACCCCAGCACCCCATGACTGAGGCAACCCCGTGAGGCAGTACACCTTTGGTGGGTGGCCTACCTTTGGTGGGCGTCTCGGGGAAGGGGAACTCCTGGCTGTCATTCAGGGCCTCTGTGCTACTCGGCGGCTTGAACACCTTGGGCTCGATGTCCAGCTCAAACTGTGGGCGACCAGGGACCTGGGTGTCAGCAGCGCCAGCCCGGGCTGTGAGGGCCCAGCCTGAGGATACAGTCCTGCTAATGGGAAGGGACTGGAAGCCTCAGCCTCTGCCCCACCACTGACCAGGCCAGGGTGGACTACGTGTGCCTCCCGCCTCAGCTGGGACCCCACCTCAACACCAAGCCTGCCCTGCTGTGAGGCCATCTCCAGCACAGCTCTGAATCCTGAAGCTGAGGCAAGGGCCAGCTACAGGCAGTAGACCCCATGGAAGGGTCCATGATGCTCTGCCCAAACACTCAAACTCTTGGGGTTGGCTCTGTGGGAACAGGTGGGACCCCAAACCCTGACTGCTGAAGCAAAAACATCTCCCACCAGGCTGTGGGGCCCAACACAGCCACCTGGTCCCACCAGTGCCCAAGGCCACCACAAGCTGACCGGGAACCCAGCACCTCTGCAGGCAGTGGGGCCACCTCAGGACGGCCAGGATGGGCCCAGAGCTCTTAGCTTTCAGCCCCCAGGCCTCCTCAGCTATTGCTGCCCACTGCATCCCCAGCCCCAGCCAATCCCCTCCCCGGAACAGCTACTCTCAAAGGCCCGAGTCTGCCCAGCCCAAGTCCTCCCCGAGATCCCCCTGCCCTGCCCAGGCCTCTAGCAGGGCGACAGGCCGAGGGTCTTGCTTCAGAGCCCCCAGGCCACCAAAAGGCCACGGCAGGCAGGGGCGGCCTTGTCTGCATGCCAGGTCCCTGAAAGTCAAGAACCCCAACATCCTGTCGATGTCAGGAACCGCCCCTTCAGCGACCAGCATCTACGGGGCGCTGGCCTCTGCTGCAGCTGAGCCCAGGCCTGGCTCACCTTGATGGAGCTGTTCCCAAACATCTCCATGGTCAGCTCTTCCTCCTCCTCATCTTCCATGTCCAGGTTGCTGCCTGGTTCCACGGCCAGGCCCGGGAAGCTCCCGCGGCCGCCGCTGTCACAGAACTGTAGGAAGACGGGCGCGCGGCTCGAGTTGTGCCGCACTTCCACACGCAGGATGCCCTCACGCGGCCACTTGTCACGCACATGCTCCAGGCAGTTGATGGGCGAGCGGGAGAAGACGATGTGGATGTAGGCCAGGACGAAGAGCACAAACAGGGCCTAGGGGGCGGCCGGCAGTCAGTGGGGCGCCCCAGGGCCAGCTGCAGCCGACACCCAAGGGCCTACGTGATGGGGCGTGATGGGGCGCGCTGGGACGCCCAGGACGGGGAAAGGAAGGAAACCCCAGAAGCCGAATTGGGCTCTGAGGACCCTGGGTCCCTCCCACGCTGACTGCACCGGGCCAGCCCCTCACATAGTCCAAGTGACTGAGGATCCGGGGGACGCCCCACTCCAACCCCGGAGGGGCTCTGCCACCTGCAGCCCGGCTCTGACAGGCCCTGGGGCTTCGGCAAGGCCTGTGACTGCCCCGCACCTCCTCAGGGGTGAGCCGGACGAAGCCAGCAGGCCGGGGCCCTCTCAGATGCACACAGGACCCCCCAAACCTGGGAGGAGACGAGGCTGGACTCAGACCCACCAAGTGGAGCACACCAGGGCCCTCTGCCAGCCAACGGCTCCCGCCCTGCAAGCAGCAGCATGGGTGTTGCCGCCACCCCAGGGCCACCAGCTGGACCCACTGTCTACGAAAGAGGGCACAGCCCTCCACAGCCCAACCTGCTGCTTCCTGCCTCACCTTCCGCTGCGTCCCCAGCACTCCCCTGATCTCACCACCTGAAAATAGCTTCTCTCACCTGGCGGGGCGCCCTGTGCAACCCTCCCAGGCCTGGCGGGGCCAGCCGCAGCTGCTGGGGACACAGTGGACCTCCGTGGCTGGGCAGAGCGCCCCACGGCAGGGCGAGGCTGCCGTGCCCGAGGCACAACCTATGAACTGGGGTGCCAGCAGCTCTCACCTGGGGGCTCCTGCCCAGGGGATGCTTGGGACATCTGTGGTTGTCACAATTGGGGGAGCTCCTGGCATGGAGTGGGTGAGGCCAGGGATGCTGCTCGGCACCCCGCAGTGCCCAGGACGGCCCCACCCCGACGTCCACAGGGCTTGGGGAGCCCACGCCCCAGCGTGCTGCAGGCACAACTCAGAGTGGGGCCCCTCTAGGGGCAGTTCAGGGCAGCCCCTCTTCCAGGGAGCCCGCCTCACCGTCTGGCGGTTTGGCTGCCCACTGTACCTCCCAACCTGAGGTCCAGGCATCACCCCCGAGCCTGGTGAGGGTCACGTCTACCTGCTGCCCCGATCCGCAAAACTGAGGACCCAGCTGGGCCAAGGGGGCGCCCACGGCCACATGGAACCCCAGACTCTCAGGGAAGAATTGATCAGACTCAAAATCACAAGCCAGAGAGCCTGGAGCACAGGGCCCCTCCGTGACCCGTGACCTGCTGGCAGGTGCACCAATGCCCGGGGTGCAGTGAGCCACCTGTGGCCGCACAGCCATAGGCAAGACCACCAGGAGCCTCAACTCTTCCACGCCCACAGTGAGCTGGGGCCTCCTCTCCAGAACCCTCTGTAGACTGAGCAAAGGGCCGAGTCAGCAAAGCAACCCACTTCCAGCCCGGCCGCAGTGCTGTGACCTGTGGGAGGCCCTGAGTCTGAGCACGGATAAAGCCCTGGGTCTAGCCGCACGTGCACCTGGGGCGAGCCCCATCACACTCCCCAGCCCCAGGAGCTGGAGAATCCCTTGGGCTGATCTGAACTGCATTTCTAGTCCTTACAGCCAAAAGAGCCGCAGGGGATGAAGGCTGGCCCGGCGCTGAGATTTAAGCAGAAACAGGCAAGAGCAGAACCCTGACCGCCAGGCATTCAGGCCCCGCCCACAGACGCCGGAGCTACAAATGAGGGGTGGGCGGGGGGAGGGGGCAGGGCCCTCTGCTGGGGAGGGTTCCCCTGTGTCCTGGGGAAGACAGGGAGGGCAGTGTGGAAGGGGGGCAGCCCCGGAGCCTGAGATGCTTTCAAAGCCTAGCGTTTCCCCATATGGCATCTGGGGACAGGAGCCACGGAGGCTGGGCCCAGTGGTGGGTCACGGTCAGAGACACTGACCCCACAGCCCCTCGGCTCAGCACTCTCAGGAGAGAGGGGCCCGCGAGGCCCATGGTGGATGCTGCTGGTGGCCACGCTCTGCCTTCCAGGCCCACACATCCAGCAGGAGCTGTGCCCAGGACAGCAATGGACCCTGTGCCAAGATGTTCCAAAAAGTGCTGATACACAGTGGGCCGAGGTCGGGGCTGTCCAACGCTTCACAAGGGACGCACGGCTGTTACCATCCCTGGTTTATATACGAGGAACTGACACAGAGGTCCCGACAGACCTGGACCTGCTGAGGTCACATGGCCAGGAGGGAGGGGCCAGGGCAGTGCCAGTCTGCACAATTAAGGCCCCACGGGGAAGAGCAGCTCCTGGGGTTGCCCTGGGCAGGGTCAGCTTGGTCCAGGGTCAGCGGGAGAGGGCACAGGACACACATCCTGCCACACCCAGCACTGGTGTGAGTGACCCGTCCCATGAAGACAGCGGACGTGATGAGAGGGCACCAGTGTTTTCACACAATGTGCACACACTCCAGTCAAAGACTTCAAGTCCACCAGACGCTATGACTCAGACGTCACTGTGTCTCTGCCCCATCAGGTGCTCCGTGCTGACCGAGCTCAGGGCCCCTCTTCCCTGACTGAGCATGACCAGAAAAATGCCCCACTGGACAAGGCCCGTTGCCGCCAAAGCCTCAGCTCCCCTTCAGTCTCCCACCACAAAACAAGGAGCAGGCACCACCCAGCCAGACGCAGGCTCATCCCGAGTCCCGGGTCCTCCTCCCCAAGACCTGTCTGTCATCAGCCACCCTGCAGCAGCCACCTCACCAGGCCCGGCCCTGAGCCACACGCCCAGGCAGCCTCGTCCACGCCCACAGTAACCCTCCCCAGGGAGCTCACCTGCAAATGCTCCCATGGGCCCCTGGCCACCCTCTGCCCGCAACCTGGCTCAGCCACTCGCATGCCCTGGGTGGTCCAGTCCCCTACACTCCATGACCCTGTCCCTGACCCAGGCTCCCCAGCAGGCACCCACATGCTCCAGCCCCACGGCCTTCCCACACGCTCTCCAGCTGCCTGGACACCCCACCCCATCCCACTGGCTGTGGCTCACCTCCAGGAGGCCCTGCCCACCCAGCACAGGAGTCACCCCACCCCTATGACCCTTCCTTCCTCCGGGTCAGCCCACACACGGCTGCACCCACAGGAGCACCTCCCCCAGCCTGGGGCCGTGCTCACCGCCTCCTCCAGGAAGCTTCCTGGATGTTCTGGCCGAGGCTCTCAGGGCACCCCAACACTCGGCCACTGGGTGGGCCTTTCCTTTCCTGTCTCCCCACAGACCTGGAGTGCCAGGAGCAGCCTGCCCGCTCTCTGGGTATTTGACTGACCCACAGACCGACGGACACACAAGCCCGCGGAGCCACACTCTCCTCCCAGGTGGGACACAGAGCCCTCAGCCCCAGCCAGGAAACACTACCTGGGGCTCCCCTTTGTCCACCCGGGGTGCTTCCTGCCTCCAGGCCACCGGGGCCTCTCCTTCCACTGCAGCCTCACAGTGGCCTCAATGTGACAGGTCCCCCATTCAGAGCAGGGCCCCTGGGGTCTCACATACCCCGTCTTTAATCGTCACGACCCCACAAGAGGAGCCCCATTACTCCCTGTGGCTAGGCGCGGGCCCCTGCCCATGTCCAGGGGTGCTGAGTCGAGACCCCTTCACCCTGTGGGCATCCACTTGGTGGTCACCTGGGTCCAGAGCCCAACCGCACAGGTGCAGGCACCCAGTGCCCCAAGATGGACAGTCTCTGCCACACTGGGCTCAGGGCCATGAAGGCCAGCAGAGGTGGATACTGAGGCTGGATGGAGGTCTCCCGAGGGCCCCTGGAACACAGGCCCCTGCCGCCTCCTCTCTCCCCAGCACCTGGCACTGCCTGGCATTTCCTAAAGCCACCCAGGCATGGATGAGGGACCGGGGGGCTCCATGCTGGCTCAGAGCTGGGAGATCCTGGCATTTCCTAAAGCCACCCAGGCATGGGTGAGAGCTGGGGGACTCCATGCCAGCTCAGGGCTGGGAGCTCAGCTGCACAGATGCCACAGGATGAAGCCACCTTGAAGGGATCATACCAGGGAGGACCTGGCTCTCTGCAGGGAGACCCCCGGAAGCCAGGCAGGCAGGAAGCAGAGGAGCCTTCTGGAACTCAAGGCAGCCTCTGAAATCAGGCAGTTCCAGCCTGCACTTTGCAGATAAGTAAAAGTGAAGGCAGCAGGGTCAGATTCTGTGCCACCAGATTACCGGGTGGAAAATTCACAAAGAACAGATTTCCCCACCCAGGCCAGGCATGGTGGCTCACGCCTGTAATCCCAGCCTTTTGGGAGGCCGAGGCGGGCAGATCACCTGAAATCAGCAGTTTGAGACCAGCCTAGCCAACATGGCAAAACCCAGTCTCTACTAAAAAGACAAAAAAATTAGCCGGTTGTGATGGTGGGCACCGGTAATCCTAGCTACTCCGCAGGCTGAGGCAGAAGAATTGCTTGAACCCAGGAGGTGGAGTTTGCAGTGAGCCGAGATCAAACCACTGCACTCCAGCCTGGGTGACAGAGCAAGACTCCATCTCAAAAAAAAAAAAAAAAAAATTCACCACCCAGAGATCTCACAGTCCAAAGCCCTCTGCTGAGAGAGGAGGGATTGGGGTTACTGAGAACCTCCCAAGAGTCTCCACCCTACACAGAAGACGGGGAACTCCAGCTCTGGCCCAGCCCCATCTGACCACCTGTGAGTGGTATTGGCCTGGAGATGGAGCCGGGTAGGCTTGATCCCTTTCCAAACCGGGACATGGTGGGACCAGGGCCCAGGCGACAGGGATGCACCTCCCAAGGAGGCTGAGCTCCGTCGGGGGAACCTGGCCTGGCACCCAGCACACACCCTCCACAAGCCTAAGGACACAGTGGCTCCATCCTGTTCCCAGGCTACTCCATGGAAGGAAAACCCACGTCCACAGACCAGCCTCCGTCCACAGTTTCAGGCCCCGTCTGTGGACCCCAGAGCCGGGAAAGGCCGCCTGCCTGCGTAACCCTTCACAGCCCTGCTCAGGTGCCTACTGAGGCGACCATGCCACTCTGGGGGGCTGCAGGGAGGAAGGTGGGAAGGATGATGGGCTGAGCTCTGGCCTGGGGAGGCACGGATCTGGAGGCTGGGGGGCCTTCCGTGAAGTGGCAGCAGGCTGGGACCCACACCCAGGTCCGCAGGACGGCCAAGGTCCAGCTCCACTTGCCGAGCCCAAAAAAGCAGCCAGCTCCTGACCAACCTGTGTCAGGCTGGGAACTTGCCCACGATCGCAGCCTGGCCCGCCAGCATCGGACCCCTCTTTGCAGGCTAGATCCAAAAAGCTCACGGCGCAACTTCAGCAGCCCCCAAGCCCCGGCGCGGCGGTGTTCTGATGCAGAACGAAAACGGCCACGTCCCCATTTCGCCAGGTGGCCCAGGACCCCGGCCAGCTTGTTTTCTGAGGGGCTGCAGCTGCTACTGAGCCCCTCTTGTCACCCAAGCAAGACTCCTTCTCAGAGGGAGTCAGGCCGATGCCTGTCCTGCACGGCTGAGACCTCTGCCATCTGAGGAGGGCGGGAGGGGGACAGAGCCCAAGACGCGGAGGCCGGTGCCTCATAGGGGAGGCACGGGCGACAGACCCACAACCTGAGCTCCTGAAGCAGGAAGGGAGTGGGGACCCAGCGGAGGAAGAGGCCGGGGATGGGGTGGTACGCTGCTGCCGGTGACTTTGCCGCTAACCCTAGCGAGGTGACCTCAGCTAAGTCACATTCCCCTGAGGCTCAGGAGCGGGGAACGCAGCTGAAAGGCTACAAGGAGGGAGAGAGGGGAGTGGGGAGTCGACTTCCAGGACAGGGGTTGGTCCGAGGGAGACCTGCGTCAGGCTGGGTTCTGGGCCAGCACATTGGGAGGGGAGAGAGGCCTCGGAACTGAGGGTCTCAGGCGGCACAGTCAGGGGTCAAAGGGCGGGAGGTGCTACCTCGCAGGCCAGGACCGGACTCCAAGCCTGGGTAGGTGGGGACCTGGGAAAGGCGGTCGCCGGGGACAGGATGGGCCCTGGAGGGAGCTGACAGTGAGGTTTCCAGAGTAGAGAACAGCGGCTTCTAGTGCAGCGGGATCCGGCCTTCCCGGGTGGACGTCCCCGGGCGGGATGGGGTCACGAGACGGTGTCCCTGGCCAATCCCAGGGTCAGAGGTCGCGAGGGAGAGCCCTAATCGGTAGGGCCGGGTATAGGCCTCAGGGTGCAGGGTGGCGCTCGCTGTCCCCAGCGGGGCCAGGGGTCGCGGTCGGAGGTAGCAGACTTGGGGGTCGGGACAGCCGCTGGGGTCAAGGGTCGGGGGTCGGGGCCGCGGTCACCTTGAGCAGCACGAAGAACTCGAAGAGACGGCGGAAGGCGGGCGGGAAGAGCCGCGAATAGGTGACAGCCATCTTGAAGAACAGCGCGTGGAAGAGCCGGTCGCGCACGTTGATGAGGGGGTTGGGGTTGAGATTGGGGGTGCGAGGCCCGCGCGCGGGGGCCGGGCCGCCGCCGCCGCCGTTGGGCCCGGGCCCCGGAGCTGCGGGCTCCACGTGCTCCGACATGCCTCCCAGCGTCGCGCCCTAACGACCCGCAAGTGTCCGAGGGCGCCTCCCGGCCGCCATCGGCCGCCCTCGCAGCCGCCGCTCTCCTCACGGCCTCCCGGCCGCCGCCGCCATCTTCCGCTTTCTCGTCCGGCTGCGGCGCTGCTGACGCTAGCGAGTCGCCACGCCGGGCAAGAGCGGCCCCCCTGCGCCCGCAGAGAACGCTGGGATGCCAGCGGCGCCCGCGGAGGCCTCACCCCCTACCTCGGCCGCTCCAGGGGGCGGGCCTGCATCTGGGCCACCTCTTTTGCATATTGGCACCCACAATCCACCGCGGCTATGAGGCCAGTATAAGGCGGTAAAATTACGATAAGATATGGGATTTTACGTGATCGAAGACATCAAAGTAAGCGTAAGCACGAAAGTTGTTCTGCAACATACCACTGTAGGAAATTATGCTAAATATGAAACCGACCATAAGTTATCCTAACCAAAAGATGATTTGATTGAAGGGCTTAAAATAGGTGTGACAGTAACCCTTGAGTCGTGCTCGCTTCGGCAGCACATATACTAAAATTGGAACGATACAGAGAAGATTAGCATGGCCCCTGCGCAAGGATGACACGCAAATTCGTGAAGCGTTCCATATTTTTGCTGTAGTCTACAGCTCGTCACCTCGTTTGGCTTCTCTTGCCCGGATCCTGCCATGACGTCACAGGGCCAGTAACGTCATAGTCTTCCCGTGTCCATCTCCTGTGGCGCCACTAAGGTTGGCGGTAGAACAATCTGGCAGTCTCTACTCCTGCGTGGCGCTGTGCCACCTGCCCCCGTAGCTTCGCGCAGCAATGAATAAATAAGTGCTCTTCAGGGGCACTTACTGAGTGCCGGCTGCGTACACAAGAGGATACTATGGTTTTTGGGTTTTTTGGTTGTTTGTTTGAGATGGATTCTCGCTCTGTCGCCCAGGCTGGAGCGCAGAAGCGCGATCTCGGCTCTCTGCAACCCCCGCCTCCCGGGTTCAAGCCATTCTCCTGCCTCAGCCTCCCAAGTAGCTGGGATTACAGGCATGCGCCACCACTCCAGGCTAATTTTATATTTTTAGTAGAGACGGTTTCTCCATGTTGGTCAGGCTGGTCTCGAACTCCTAACTTTAGGTGATTTGCCCGCCTAGGCCTCCCAAAGTGCTGGGATTACAGGTGTGACCCACCAAGCCCGCCAAAAAAAAGTTTTGTGTTGTTTTTTTTTTTTGAGACGCAGTCTCACTCTGTCGCCCAGGCTGGAGTGCAGTGGCGTGATCTCGGCTCACTGCAACCTCCGCCTCTTGGGTTCAAGCAATTCTCTGCCTCAGCCTCCTGAATAGCTGGGATTGCAGGCTTCCGCCACCACACCCGGCTATTTTTTTTGTATTTTTAGTGGAGACCAGGTTTGATCATCTTGGCCAGGTTGGTATTGAACTCCTGACCTCGTGATCCACCCGCGTCAGCCTCCCAAAGTGCTGGAGTTACAGGCATGAGCCACCGCGCCCGGCCCCCCCAAAAAAATGTTTTTAAAAGTTAACTGAGGACGTTGGTGCATGCCTGTAATTCCAGCTACTTGGGAGGCTGAGGTGGGAGGACTGCTTGAGCCCAGGAGTTGGAGGCTGCAGTGAGCCATGATCGTATCCCTGCGCTCCAGGTTGGATGACTAAGTGAGACCCTGTCTCTAAAAAATAAAGTGTAAAAAAGCCAACAGTCAGTATTTTTAGCTTTTTTGGGTAGAGTAACTACTCCACTCTGCTGTTGTACAGAAAACGCAGCCGTAAATGATACATAAATGGATGGGCACAGCTGTGTGCCAATAAAGCTTTGTCTGCAGACACTGGAATTTGAATGTTATGTAATTTCCACGTTTGATAGAATGGTTTTCATATTTTGGGTTTTTTTTTCAACCACTTAAAAATGTAAGAGCCATTCTTAGCTCACAAGCCATACAAAAATAGGCTGCAGCTGGATTTGGCCCACAGGTCAAGAACACAGCTTTCCAAGAGAAAGATAAGCAAATAACAAACATAACTTTAAGTGTTCTGGTAGCCACAGTAAAACAACTAAAAAAGAGCAAGTGAAATTAATTTTAATAATATATTTTACACATCTCAAGTTATCCAAACAAGGTCAGGCGCGGTGGCTCATGCCTGTAATCTCAGCACTTTTGGAGGCTGAGGCGGGAGGATCATTTCAGCCCAGGTGTTCAAGACCAGCCTGGGCAATATAATGAGATCCTGTCTCTACGAAAAATACCAAAAATTAGCTGGGCACGGTGGTGTGTGCCTGTGGTCCCAGCTACTTGGGAGGCTGAGGCAAGAGGATTGCTTAAGCCAAGGAGTTGGAGGCTGCAGTGAGCTGTGATGGCACCATTGCACTCCAGCCTGGGCAACAGAGCAAGACCCCACCTCATAAACGAAAAAAAAGTGGCCGGGCGCGGTGGCTGACACCTGTAATCCCAGCACTTGGGAGGCCGAGGCGGGCGGATCACGAGGTCAGGAGATCGAGACCACCCTGGCAAACACGGTGAAACCCTGTCTCTACTAAAAATACAAAAATATTAGCTGGGTGTGGTGGCGGGCGCCTGTAGTCCCAGCTGCTCGGGAGGCTGAGGCAGAAGAATGGCCTGAACCCGGGAGGCGGAGCTTGCAGTGAGCCGAGATCACGCCACTGCACCCCAGCCTGGGTGACAGAGCGAGACTACTTCTCAAAAAAAAAAAAAAAAAAAAAGTAACTGAGATGTACCAAGTCTTCAGAATCTGGTGTGTTTCCCATCCATGGGGTGTTCCAATATGGATACCAGTGCTTCCTCAGAAATACTTATCTCCACAGTATTTAGATTTACAGCGTTTATACTGAAAAGGAAAATTCAGAAACGCTAAGGTATTTAAAATATACACGAGGCTGAGCACGGTGGCTCACGCCTGCAATCCCAGCACTTTGGGAGGCTGAGGCGGGAGGATCACTTGAATCCAGACTGGGCAACATAGGGAGACCCCATCTCTACAAAAAATTTAAAAATTAGCTAGGCATATGGCACATGCCTGTAGTCCCAGATACTCAGGAGGCTGAGGCAGGAGATTACTTGAGTCCAGGAGGTCGAGGCTGCAGTGAACTATATTTGCACCACTGCACTCCAGCCTGGGTGACAGAGCAAGACCCTGTTTCAAATATCTATATATTTACATTTATATGTATAATGTGTACATATGTGTGTATTTATGTATTTGAAAACTTTAATGTGTGTGTACATATATATATAGTCAAAAACGGAAATCATGTCAGTTTTTAATTTTTAACTGAAATTAATTGAAATAGCCCGGCCACGGCAGCTGACACCTATAATCCCAGCACTTCGGAAGGCTGAGGCCGGCGGATCACTTGAGGTCAGGAGTTCAAGACCAGCCTGGCCAACATGGTGAAACCCGCATCTCTACTAAAAATGCAAAAATTAGCCAGGCGTGGTGGTGCGTGTCTACGGTCCCAGCTACTCGGAGTCCCAGCTACATATATATGTGTATTTATATATATGTGTCTTCAAAAAATGGAATCTAGTGCCAGTTTTTAATTTTTAATTGAAATTTAAGAATAGGAAGTATTTGCTGGGTGCGGTGGCTCACACCTGTAATCCCAGCACTTTGGGAGGCTGAGGCGGGCAGATCACGAGGTCAGGAGATCGAGACCATCCTGGATAACACAGTGAAACCCCGTCTCTACTAAAAATACAAAAATTAGCTGGGTGTGGAGGTGTGCCTGTAGTCCCAGCTGCTGGGGAGGCTGAGGCAGGAGAATGGCGTGAACCCAGGAGGTGGAGCTTGCAGTGAGCCAAGATTGCGCCACTGCACTCCAGCCTGGGTGACAGAGCGAGACTCCGTCTCAAAAAATAATAATAAAATAAAATAAAAAGAACATGAAGTATTTGCTTCCCTGATGGCACCAGCCACACTTCCAGTGCTCAGTAGCCCCATGGCCAGTGGCTACAGTAGTAGATAGTGCCACATTGAAAATTTCCTTCATCTCAGAATAACAGAAATGGTCAGCACTGGTCTAAAATGACATGGGTCGGCCAGGTGCAGTGGTTCAAGCCTGTAATCACAGTACTTTGGGAGGCTGAGGCGGGTGGATCACCTGAGGTCAGGGGTTCGAGACCAGCCTGGCCAACATGGTGAAACCCCATCTCTACTAAAAATAAAATAAAATAAAATAAAATAAAATAAAATAAAATAAAATAAAATAAAATGTGTCAAACTCCTATTGATGCTTCAAAACCCCATCTCCCTTGCCTCCTCTTACATGCAGCTTTCCTTGATTCCTCCGACAGAGCCCCAACTCTCCCTCCAGTTCCTCCAGCCCCAAGCCTCTCATTCTGTCCTGTACTTGCTCATATAGGGAAACAGGGTGGGCGGGGTGGGGGGGTTCCGCCTGTGCTGGCTCATACAGGGAATCCGGGTTGGGGGTTGGTCTGTGCCAGCTCTGTCTTCCTGGGCATGGGCTGGGCCAGAGCTAAGGTCTCCTGAGAGCCAGCACTGCCTGGCAGGAGACTGTCCCGGAGACTTTTTAATAATTTATTATTATTAGGGTTTTTTTGTGTTTTTTTTTTTTGTTTTTTTTTTTAAGACGGAGTCTTGCTCTGTCGCCCAGGCTGGAGTGCAGTGGCGCGATCTCGACTTACTACAACCTCCGCCTCCTGGCTTCAAGTGATCCTCCCACCTCAGCCTCCTCAGTAGCTGGAATTACAGGCATGTGCCCCCATGCCCGGCTAATTTTTGTATTTTTAGTAGAGACGGAGTTTCGCCATGTTAGCCAAGCTGGTCTGGAACTCCTGACCTCAAGTGATCCGCCCGCCTCGGCCTTCCAAAGTGCTGGGATTGCAGGCGTGAGCCACTCGGATTTTTATTTTTATTTATTTATTTATTTTTAGAGAGAGGCTCTTGCTCTGCTGCCCAGGCTGGAGCGTCATGTTGTGATGATAACTCACTGCAGCTTCGACCTCTTGGGCTCAACGGATCCTCCCCCTTCGGCCTCAGCCTCCCAAGTAGCTAGAACTCCAGGTGCAAGCTACCGCACCCAGTAAGAATCCTATTCTCTTTTGGACTGACAAACTCCTACTCATCCAACAAAGCCCCAGCTCCAATGGCCCCTTCTCTGAGGAACCTGCCCTGGTTCCCTGGTCCACCTCCCAGCTAGTAGAGTTCCCTGGGAAGGGGTTAGACGCCTCTAAGTGGCAGAGAGGGGCCCTCATTCCTGCCCCAAAGGTAGCCTTCTCCCCTCCCCTTTCTGGCAGAAGAGAAGTCTGAGATGGAGAAAGAGTGAGAGCCGCCCACGAGCTCTGAGCAGAGAGCCCGCAGGAGTGCCACGTCCCGGCGGCCTCGGCCCCTCCCTGCCTCAGTTTCCCGTGGCATCAAAGGGGGCGAGGGGCCCCTCCAGGCCTCTGGTGACGGGGGTGCTGTGCCCAGGCGGGGGTCCGGGGGCGACCGAGGGGGCTCAGGAAGTCCGCGGCCGCAGGAATTCGGCGCCTCCAGGCCTTATAAGGACATTTGCGCTCCGGGCCAATCAGCGGCGGGGGCGTGGCGCGCGGAGCCCGGCGCGTCCCAACCCCGCGCCAGCCCGGCGGTCCCGTCCCGTCCCGTCCTGTGCGGCCCCGTCCCGCCGCCCGCCCGCCAGCCATGAGCTCCACGCAGTTCAACAAGGGCCCCTCGTACGGGCTGTCGGCCGAGGTCAAGAACCGGGTGAGTGAGGGGCGCCCCTTGTCCCCCCGACAGCGCGGCCGTCGCACGCTCCGACCGGTGCAGGAGCCCCCAGGCGCCCCCGGCACCTCCCGGGCAGGGAGCTTGGAGACCCGGGGCGGACGGGCCCTTGTTCTCCCTGACGCCTGGTGGGGGGATGTCTGCGGGCACCCCCTGAGGCTCCCGCGAATCTTGGGGAGCACCCAGGTCTGAGATCTGGGGGACGAGTGACCCATTCCCCCCCCCAACATCTAGGGGTAGTTGGGTCTGACTTCGTCCCCTCGCCATGGCCCCAGGACCCCCACGTGTGAAGCCCCTGGCGCCCACTCAACCTTCGAGAAGGTCCGTTCAAGGTCCGACAACGCTCTGGGGGTCTGGGGGGGACCCCAGCAACCCCGTCATCTCCTGGCCACACTTCTGCTTTTGGGGCCTCTTAGCTTTGGGAGGGGAAGGGGCATGGCCGAGTGGTTTTTGAGAAGTGTTACCCCCCCACAAACAGGAATTTCCTGGCCTCTGGGACACCTTGGGGGTGTCTTGGGGGGAGGGGCGGTAGCCGCTTTGCACGGTCTTTGTCTCCCATCTGACTAATTTAAACGGATAACAAAGAGGTTCTCTGAAGGTGGCCCTGAGATATGTGGGGTTTTGCAGCCTCGAAAGAAGAGCTGGGGCCCGGCAGGGCGCGGGGGCTCACGCCCGTAATCCCAGCACTTTGGGGGGCGGAGCTGGGTGGATGGCTTGAGCCCAGCGAGTTCGAGACCAGTCTGGGCAACATGGCGAAACCCCATCTCTATAATTAAAAACAAGCCAGGGCTAGGGGAGACACTTTTTAAGAGAGCACTTGTGGTTCTAGCTCAGAGAGGACCAGACACTTCTGCAGGGTCACACAGCAGGGTCCTGGACAGGATTCCCAGGGAAAGTGGGGGGCGGGGGTTGTGATGCGAGACCCACGGACAGGACCGGGACCTGACCCTCCAGGACCTTCCAGCTGGAGGGGGGTGTCGTCCCCGCCCACCCCCTCCCCCGACGCCCACTGGGCACCTGGGAAGGTGTCCTTACAGCTGACTTCTGCAGGGGAAACTGCCTCTGCACGCTCTGAGGGCACCGGCCCTGCCAGCCCCAACAGCCACCTGCCCGGCGGCACTCCAGGGCCGGCAGACTGGAGGGAGAATTCCTGCTTCCCCGCTGTGAGCCCCTGCAAGCCTTCAGACCAGCTCTTGGCCAAAAAGGGAGGCTGAGGCTTGGGGTGGTCAAGGCCTGAGCCAGGGTCCCCAGCCCGGGGCTCACGACTCCTCCTTCAAGGGGCCATCTGCACCCTGCATTCATAGAGCCCCCCGTGCAGTGGGGTGGGCACCCTGCCGCACCCTGCATACAGCCGGCTAAGGGCACCGGTGTCCACAGGGACCCAGAGACGTCGTTCCAGCTGCCCAGGGCCACACAGCCCACAAGTGACAGGGCCAAGACCGGAACCCAGTACCTGCTGGGCCTGCGGAAGTGGGAGCGGGCACAGGAGGGTGGGGCGGCTTCCGGAGACGGGGTGGGGTGGGGTGGGGGCAGGTTGATACCTGCCCTGGCGGGGGTGAGGACAGAGGCTGGAAGAGCCGCTTAGCAGGCTCCCCGCGCAACCCTCAGTCTGTCCGTTTGGAGGGTGGGCGAGGCGTCGGCCAGCTTGCCAGGGTCACGGAAGGGTCGCCTCCCAATTAGAAACCAGCTTCCCCCTGGCTTCCCGCTCACACCCGCTTTACCGGCTGCTTGAAACAGCCAGAGACCCGCCCCCCGCCCCGCTTCCCCGTGGCTCAGTTGACTCCCGGCTGGACGGCACGGAGGCAGCTCGGATCCACAGTGTCTGCGGCCTTGCATCCCGGCTTGGGGGTCCGGACCCGCTGGGAACAGCTGGTTCAGATTTAGCCGGGGAGGCAGCGCGCATTCCTGGCAGTTTGTGGTGAACAGGAATGTGCTGGAAGGCCGGCGGCCGGGCAGCGGGGGGGCGGGGGTGGGGGAGGACGGCAGCGGCTGGGGGTGGGGCCAGGGGACCTGGGCCCCTGAGCCGGCAGAGACGCGGCGCAGCTGGGCAAGGCAGGGCTGTGTACCCAGCAGCCACCGTTCTCATTCCTCGGGATCAAAGTTGCCGGCGGGGCGGGGCTGCCCCCGGGCGTGGAAAGCCAAGCTGGGTGGGCTGTGAGCTGGTACTGGGGGGCCTCCCCGCCTTTGCCTCCTCTGGGCTACGAGCTGTTTCCAGGCAGGTGCCAGGTCAGGGGACCCTAACCCAAATAATCCCAGGCAGGTCCAGGTCAGGGGACCCTATCCCAAATAATCCCAGGCAGGTCCAGCTCAGGGGACCCTAACCCAAATCATCCCAGGCAGGTCCAGCTCAGGGGACCCTAACCCAAATCATCCCAGGCAGGTCCAGCTCAGGGGACCCTAACCCAAATCATCCCAGGCAGGTCCAGCTCAGGGGACCCTACCCAAATCATTCCAGGCAGATCTAGCTCAGGGGACCCTAACCCAAATCATCCCAGGCAGGTCCAGCTCAGGGGACCCTAACCCAAATCATCCCAGGCAGGTCCAGCTCAGGGGACCCTAACCCAAATCATCCCAGGCAGGTCCAGGTCAGGGGACCCTACCCAAATCATCCCAGGCAGGTCTAGCTCAGGGGACCCTAACCCAAATCATCCCAGGCAGGTCCAGCTCAGGGGACCCTAACCCAAATCATCCCAGGCAGGTCCAGCTCAGGGGACCCTAACCCAAATCATCCTAGGCAGGTCCAGCTCAGGGGACCCTAACCCAAATCATCCCAGGCAGGTCCAGCTCAGGGGACCCTAACCCAAATCATCCCAGGCAGGTCCAGGTCAGGGGACCCTAACCCAAATAATCCCAGGAAGAGATGAGGAAGCGGAGGCTGAGTGGGGAGCTGTCCGCGGGAACCTGGGGAGATGGGTGCAGAGCAGGGAGAGGGATTTGATTTTTTTTTTCCTTCTCTCTTTTCTTTCTTTTTTTTTTTAAGACAGAGGCTCACTCTGTTCCAGGCTGGAGTGAAGTGGCCCGATCTTGGCTCACTGCCTCCTCTGCCTCCTGGGTTCAAGCGATTCTCCTGCCTCAGCCTCCCAAGTAGCTGGGACTACAGGTGCCCACCACCACGCCCAGCTCATTTTTGTATTTTAGTACAGACGGGATTTCACCATGTGGGCTAGGCCAGTCTCGAACTCCTGACCTCAGATGATCCGCCCGCCTTGGCCTCCCAAAGTGCTGGGATTGTAGGTGTGAGCCACCGCACCCAGCCCAAACCCTACTTTATTCTCCCTCCAGCGTTTATCTCCCGCTCCCGCTACACGACCTGCCCCCATGCTTATGGCCCCCTATACACTTTGCCGTCTGCCTCAGTGCTGTCTCCGCGGTCACTAGTGGCTGGATAGGGACACTCGAGGTCCCCACTGGTGCACACCCACTGCCCAGGAGCACACAGCCCATTCCCCACGGCGGTGTCTCAGAGCACCGAAGGCCAAGAAAGCTGGAATGGCCGGGTGCAGAAAGGTGGCAGGGAATCGGTGGCAAGGAGCCAGGTGCGTGACTAGAGGCGGTCAGCCTCGGGGGCAGCTCCTTCGGGAGTTGCTAAGAAGCAGGATGGGGGCCGGGCGCGGTGGCTCACACCTGTAATCCCAGCACTTTGGAGGGCTGAGACGGGCAGATCACGAGGTCAGGAGATGGAGACCATCTTGGCTAACACGGTGAAACCCCGTCTCTATTAAAAATACAAAAAATGAGCTGGGCCTGGTGGCGGGCGCCTGCAGTCCCAGCTACTCGGGAGGCTGAGGCAGGAGAATGGCCTGAACCGGGGAGGCGGAGCTTGCAGTGAGCCGAGATCGCACCACTGCACTCCAGCCTGGGCGACAGAGTGAGACTCTGTCTCAAAAAAAATAAAAAAGAAAAAAGAGCTGATGGTTGCACAACATTGCAGACGTACGAAATGCTGTGAAATGGTGCGGTTTCAGGTGGTTGAAGTGGTAAACGTCAGGTGTGATATAGCGGGGAGGTGAGAAGGCAGGGCGGGGAGGCAGATCCGGCCAGGTTTGTCCTGCACCGGGAGTGGATTAGAGCTGATGTTTATCAGTGAGTTCTAAGCCGGTTGTCGGCCTGCTTGGAGGGCGGTTTATCTGTGCCCGCCTGCAGTGGCTGGGGCGCCCCCAATGATGGGAAAAGGGAGCATCTGCGTGGGTGTGGTGAGGGGGGACCTCCAGGCCGCTCTATCTGCTGTTGCCCTGGAGTCCCCGGCCCCACCCTCTGCAGAGCTTCTGTGGGGTTCCTGCTGGGGGTGCCCCCAGCCCAGCTCAGTCTCGTGCCCTTTGCTCCACCAGCTCCTGTCCAAATATGACCCCCAGAAGGAGGCAGAGCTCCGCACCTGGATCGAGGGACTCACCGGCCTCTCCATCGGCCCCGACTTCCAGAAGGGCCTGAAGGATGGAACTATCTTATGCACGTGAGTACACGCAGGGACACAGGCTGTCTCACACTTAACAAATCTTGGTTTTTCTCACTTTTTTTCTTAATTAAGAAATTTTTGGGGGGCCGGGCATGGCCTGGCTCATGCCTGTAATCCCAGCACTTTTGGAGGCCGAGGGTGGTGGCGGGGGGCGGTGGATCTCGAGGTCAGGAGTTCGAGACCAGCCTGGCCAACATGGTGAAACCCCGTCTGTACTAATAATACAAAAAAATTAGCCAGGCACCTGTAATCCCAGCTACTCAGGAGGCTGAGGAAGGAGAATTGCTTGAACCCGGGAGGCGGAGGTTGCAGTGAGCCGAGATCACACCATTGCACTCCAGCCGGGGTGACACAGCGAGACTCCATCTCAAAAAAAAAAAAAAAAAAAAAAAAAAGTTAGCTGGGCGTGGTGGCTAAATAAATAATTTTTTTTTTTTGAGGTGGAGTCTCACTCTGTTGCCCAAGCTGGAGTGCAGTGGCATGATCTCGGCTCACTGCAACCTCCACCTCCTGGGTTCAAGTGATTCCCCTGCCTCAGCCTCCCGAGTAGCTGGGATTACAGGCGACTGCCACCATGCCCGGCTAATTTTTTTTGTATATTTAGTAGAGATGGGGTTGCTCCATGTTGGCCAGGCTGGTCTTGAGCCCTTGACGTCACGTGATCTGCCTGCCTCGGCCTTCCAAAGTGCTGGGCTTACAGGCCTGAGCCACCAAACCCAGCCAAAGATTACTTTATAAGAGTGGAAACTTGAGGCCTGGGATGGTGGCTCACGCTTGTAATCCCAGCACTTTGGGAGGTTGAGGTGGACGGATCACGAGGTCAGGAGATCGAGACCAGCCTGGACAACATGGTGAAACTCCATCTCTACTAAAAATGCAAAAATTAGCCGGGTGTGGTGGCAGGCACCTGTAATCCCAGCTACTCGGGAGGCTCAGGGCTGAGGCAGGAGAATCACTTGAACCCGGGAGGTGGAGGTGGCAGTGAGTCTAGATAGTGCCATTGCACTCTAGTCTGGGTGACAGAGCTAGACGCCGTCTCAAAAAAAAAAAAAAAAAGAGTGGAAACTGAGGCCCAGAGAGAGGCCGTGAGTTTGCCCAGGAAGGCGTGAGCTTGGCTGAGATCAGCATCGGGTCTTCACGGTTCCTCGCTGCTCACAGAGGTTTCTGTTTCCCCCGCCCCATGTTGTGCCCTCCAGACTCATGAACAAGCTACAGCCGGGCTCCGTCCCCAAGATCAACCGCTCCATGCAGAACTGGCACCAGGTGAGGGGCTGGTGGAGCGGAGCAGGGATGGTGCTGGGGGCCCATCTAACAGGTGGGGAGACTGAGGCCCACTCACTGTCCCTCTCCTGCCTCTTCCCAGCTAGAAAACCTGTCCAACTTCATCAAGGCCATGGTCAGCTACGGCATGAACCCTGTGGACCTGTTCGAGGCCAACGACCTGTTTGAGAGTGGGAACATGACGCAGGTGCAGGTGTCTCTTCTCGCCCTGGCGGGGAAGGTGAGGCCCAGAGAGGGGCAGCCACCTGCCCAGAGTCACACAGCGAGGTGGATGTAGCTGCTGCATTCACTCGTTTGCAAATTTCTGTTTGTTTATTTTTGAGTCGGAGTCTCACTCTGTCACTCAGGCTGGAGTGCAATGGCGTGATCTCAGCTCACTGCAACCTCCAACTCCCAGGTTCAAGCGATTCTTCTGCCTCAGTCTCCCGAGTAGCTGGGATTACAGGCACCTGCCACCACGCCTGGCTAATTTTTGTATTTTTAGTGGAGACTGGGTTTCACCATGCTGGCCAGGCTGGTCTTGAACTCTTGACTTCAGGTGATCCGCCCGCCTCGGCCTCCCCAAGTGCTGGGATTACAGGCATGAGCCCCTGTGCCCGGCCTCGTTTACAAATATTTCTGAGCATCCGTGAGGTGCCAGGTACTTCAGATTCCTTGGTGAACAGGAAGGACATGGTCTACCCCTTATGCAGTTCAGTCTGATGGCGGAGGCATGCAAAAGTGAACACAGCATTGTATTATGCATTATATGTAAGCTCTGGCCGGGCGCAGTGGCTCACACCTGTAATCCCAGCACTTTGGGAGGCCGAGGTTGGAGAATTGCTTGACACCAGGAGTTCGAGACCAGCCTGGCCAACATGGTGAAACCCCATCTCTACTAAGAAAACAAAAATTACCTGGGCGTGGTGGTGCATGCCTGTAATCCCAGCTACTCGGGAGGCTGAGCCCAGGAGTTAAGAGGTTGCAGTGAGCTATGACCACACCACTGCTCTCCAGCCTGGGCAACAGAGCAAGACTCTCTCAAAAAATAATCATAACAAAAGTAATAAATAAGCTCTGAACTGGGAGAAATGCCTTGAAGGAGAAGAATCAGACGAATGTTGAGTGTCTAGTGATCTTCAAACCCAGACCGGGAGCGTGGGTGGGACAGTGGTGTAGACCGGGAGCGTGGGTGGGACAGTGTCTGGTGTAGACCGGGAGCGTGGGTGGGACACGGTGTCTGGTGTAGACCGGGAGCGTGGGTGGGACACGGTGTCTGGTGTAGACGGGGAGCGTGGGTGGGACGGTGTCTGGTGTAGACCGGGAGCGTGGGTGGGACACGGTGTCTGGTGTAGACGGGGAGCGTGGGTGGGACGGTGTCTGGTGTAGACCGGCAGCGTGGGTGGGACACGGTGTCTGGTGTAGACCGGGAGCGTGGGTGGGACGGTGTCTGGTGTAGACCGGGAGCGTGGGTGGGACACGGTGTCTGGTGTAGACGGGGAGCGTGGGTGGGACGGTGTCTGGTGTAGACCGGCAGCGTGGGTGGGACACGGTGTCTGGTGTAGACGGGGAGCGTGGGTGGGACGGTGTCTGGTGTAGACCGGGAGCGTGGGTGGGACACGGTGTCTGGTGTAGACCGGGAGCGTGGGTGGGACGGTGTCTGGTGTAGACCGGGAGCGTGGGTGGGACACATTGTCTGGTGTAGACCGGGAGCGTGGGTGGGACGGTGTCTGGTGTAGACCGGGAGCGTGGGTGGGACACGGTGTCTGGTGTAGACGGTAAGCGTGGGTGGGACACGGTGTCTGGTGTAGACCGGGAGCGTGGGTGGGACGGTGTCTGGTGTAGACCGGGAGCGTGGGTGGGACACGGTGTCTGGTGTAGACCGGGAGCGTGGGTGGGACACGGTGTCTGGTGTAGACCGGGAGCGTGGGTGGGACGGTGTCTGGTGTAGACCGGGAGCGTGGGTGGGACACGGTGTCTGGTGTAGACGGGGAGCGTGGGTGGGACGGTGTCTGGTGTAGACCGGCAGCGTGGGTGGGACACGGTGTCTGGTGTAGACCGGGAGCGTGGGTGGGACGGTGTCTGGTGTAGACCGGCAGCGTGGGTGGGACACGGTGTCTGGTGTAGACGGGGAGCGTGGGTGGGACGGTGTCTGGTGTAGACCGGCAGCGTGGGTGGGACACGGTGTCTGGTGTAGACGGGGAGCGTGGGTGGGACGGTGTCTGGTGTAGACCGGGAGCGTGGGTGGGACACGGTGTCTGGTGTAGACCGGGAGCGTGGGTGGGACGGTGTCTGGTGTAGACCGGGAGCGTGGGTGGGACACATTGTCTGGTGTAGACCGGGAGCGTGGGTGGGACGGTGTCTGGTGTAGACCGGGAGCATGGGTGGGACACGGTGTCTGGTGTAGACGGTAAGCGTGGGTGGGACACGGTGTCTGGTGTAGACCGGGAGCGTGGGTGGGACGGTGTCTGGTGTAGACCGGGAGCGTGGGTGGGACACGGTGTCTGGTGTAGACCGGGAGCGTGGGTGGGACGGTGTCTGGTGTAGACCGGGAGCGTGGGTGGGACACGGTGTCTGGTGTAGACCGGGAGCGTGGGTGGGACGGTGTCTGGTGTATACCGGGAGCGTGGGTGGGACACGGTGTCTGGTGTAGACGGGGAGCGTGGGTGGGACACGGTGTCTGGTGTAGACGGGGAGCGTGGGTGGGACGGTGTCTGGTGTAGACGGGGAGCGTGGGTGGGACACGGTGTCTGGTGTAGACCGGGAGCGTGGGTGGGACACGGTGTCTGGTGTAGAATGGAATGGGAGTGTGTGTTTGTGACATGGTGTCTCACGTAGAAGGAACAGCAAGGTCTTGACATTGGAATTGGCTGGGCTGTTAGAGGAAGCGGGAGCTGGTTTTCTCCTGGGGTAACTGCTCCAAATGGTGTTTTCAGATGCCCCCTGTGGCTCCCAGTAACCTCACGTGGGGAATGGTGGTCAGGGAGGAGCCGGGCGCAGACATCCCAGTGAGGGGCAGAGCCAATGGCCTGGCCATGGTGCCCGGGGATTGGGTCAGAGGAGGTGGTGGAAGGTGAGAGAGAGGAAGCGAAAACCACGTCCCCATCCCCAGAATTCTTGGCCTGAGCCCTGGAAAGCTGAGCTGTTGCCTAAGACAAGGCACGCTGGGATGAAGCAGCCCCATGGGCTGGGCGCGGTGGCTCACGCCTGTAATCCCAGCACTTTTGGAGGTTGAGGCGGGTGGATAACTTGAGGCCAGGAGTTCAAGACCAGCCTGGCAACATGGTGAAACCCCGTCTCTACTAAAAATACAAAAATTAGCCTGGCGTGGTGGCACACGCCTGTAATCCTAGCTACTTGGGAGGCTGAGGCAGGAGAATTGCTTGAACCTGGGAGGAGGGGGTTGCAGTGAGCGGAGATCACACCACTGCACTCCAGCCTGGGTGACAGAGCCAGACTCCATCTCAAAAATAAAAATAAAAAACTGAAACAGCTGTATGATGGGTGTGTGGAGTGTGTGGAGTCCCAGACACCCGAGAGATGTGCCTGTGGGGGCTCTGCGCGGCAGGCAGAGGTGACAGGCCGCGGCCTGGTCTCTGTCCCGCCCCCAGGGCCTAGATCTAGGGTCCCTGGCTGCCCTCTGCTGGTACTCCCGGCCCCTTTCCCTCACCCAGGCCAAGACTAAGGGGCTGCAGAGCGGGGTGGACATTGGCGTCAAGTACTCGGAGAAGCAGGAGCGGAATTTCGACGATGCCACCATGAAGGCTGGCCAGTGCGTCATCGGGCTGCAGGTGGGCGACAGCTCCCCCAGCCCCAGGGACCACGGCATTGGGGGACCACGGTGTTGGGGGACAGCAGCATTGGGGGACAGCGGCATGGAGCCCTGTGGTCCCTCAATTTCAGGGAGGGACCGGAAGCTTGTTGGGTGCAGTCTGACCTCTCCCACGAACCTCCCTGCAGATGGGCACCAACAAATGCGCCAGCCAGTCGGGCATGACTGCCTACGGCACGAGAAGGCATCTCTATGACCCCAAGAACCATATCCTGCCCCCCATGGACCACTCGACCATCAGCCTCCAGATGGGCACGAACAAGTGTGCCAGCCAGGTGGGGCTCGCCCGGGTGCCCCCGACTCCTCTCCCTGCCCCTCTACACCCTGTGGTCTCGGCCCCTCCCTGGGGCCACCTCCAGCTTCTCTCCCCACTCTCAGTCTCAGCCCCTTCCCTAGACCACCTCCGGCTTCCCTCCCCGCTCTCTGTCTCCGCCTTGGATTTCAGCCTCTGTCATTTCCACCTGGCTGTGGGTCTCTAGGGAAGTTACTACCTCACCCTGTGTCATTTTCCCTTAAGGACTGCCCAAAGGTCCACCCAATTCTTTTTTTTTAATCTTTATTTATTTTATTTATGTATTTATTTTGAGATAGGATCTCACTCTGTTGTCCAGGCTGGAGTGCAGTGGCACGATCTCGGCTCACTGCAACCTCTGCCTCCCGGGTTCAAGAGATTCTCCTTCCTGCCTCAGCCTCCCGAGTAGCTGGGACTACAGGTGCATGCTGCCACACCCGGCCAATTTTTGTATTTTTAGTAGACATGGGGTTTCACCATGTTGCCCAGGCTGGTCTCGAACTCCTGAGCTCAGGCAATCCACCCGCCTTGACCTCCCAAACTGCTAGGGTTACAGGTGTGAGCCACCGCACCCGGCCACACCCAGCTAATTTTTGTATTTTTAGTAGAGACGGGGTTTCACTGTGTTGGTCAGGCTAGTCTTGAACTCCTGACCTCAGGTGATCCTCCCACCTCAGCCTCCCGAGTAGCTGAGACTACAGGCGCCCGCCACCACGCCCGGCTAATTTTTGTATTTTTAGTAGATATGGGGTTTCACCGTGTTGGCCAGGCTGGTCTTGAACTTCTGACCTCAGGTGATCCTCCCACCTCAGCCTCCCGAGTAGCTGGGATTACAGGCATGTGCCACCACGCCCAGCTAATTTTGTATTTTTGGGAGAGACAGGGTTTCACCGTGTTGGCCAGGCTGGACTGGAACTCCTGACCTCAGGTGATCCTCCCACCTTGGCCTCCCAAAGTGCTGGGATTACAGGCGTGAGCCAGTGCACCCAGTGAAGGTCCCCTCTTCTCTCCACCATGACCTGCTCCACCCCTCCTTCCTCTCCAGGTGGGCATGACGGCTCCCGGGACCCGGCGGCACATCTATGATACCAAGCTGGGAACCGACAAGTGTGACAACTCCTCCATGTCCCTGCAGATGGGCTACACGCAGGGCGCCAACCAGAGCGGCCAGGTCTTCGGCCTGGGCCGGCAGATATATGACCCCAAGTACTGCCCGCAAGGCACAGTGGCCGATGGGGCTCCCTCGGGCACCGGCGACTGCCCGGACCCGGGGGAGGTCCCTGAATATCCCCCTTACTACCAGGAGGAGGCCGGCTACTGAGGCTCCCAGCACGCTCTCTCCCCACATCGTCTGCCCATCTGGGTTTTTGGGTTTTTCTGTGTTTTCATCTTTTTTTTTTTTTTCTTAACCCGTTCAGTGCTGCCAGTCAACCAAGGGTCTGTGAGTGTCAGCGTGGGATCAGGCAGCAGAGCTTTTTTCCCCTTTGCCTTGATCCTTCGCAAGGCTGAGCCACTGGGCTGTGGGGGAAGGGGTCAAGGCCATATCCCAATACGTGTAGGGCGAGGGTCCCTGCTGGCACATTCAGGCTGTGCTGGGAAGAAGAGACCTGGGCTTGGAAGGAACCGGTCCCCGACGGTTTCTGCTTGCCTCGCCTCTTCCCCCTTTTGTCAGCTGAGCAGTTTGTGGTTTCTATGCCCGCAAGTTTCAGGAAGTATTCACAAAAGAAAAATACATTTTTTCCCCCAGGGGTGGGGCAAGGACAGTGGAGAGAGTGCTAGGAAATGAGTCCCCTGGGAAAGGGGACCGGGCCGTGATGTTAAATATCTCCGGCTCCCAAGTGACTGGATTTGCCTAGGACCTTCAGACCAACAGACTTCAGACCCTCAGACCTGCCCCGGGGCCAGGTGGAGAAAGTGAGGGCCGTACAAGGAAGTGAAATTCTGAGTTGTTGGGGCTAAGCCTGACCCCCTCTCCATGCTCCCCGCCCCAACCCACTCTGGCCTCAGTAGATTTTTTTTTCAGTTGTGGTTGTTGCCCAGGCTGGAGTGCAGTGGCGCCATCTTGGCTCACTGCACCTCCACCTTCCGGGCTCAAGCGATTCTCCAGCCTCAGCCTCCTGAGTAGCTAGGACTGCAGGTGCTCCACCACGCCCGGCTAATTTTTGTATTTTTAGTAGAGATGGGGTTTCCCCATGTTGGCCAGGCTGGTCTCGAACTCCTGGCCTCAGGTGTGATCCGCCCGCCTCCGCCTCCCCAAGCGCTGAGATTACAGGTGTGAGCCACCGTGCCCAGCCCCTCAGTAGGTTTTAAGGAGCCCCCAGCCCTCCTCCCTTCTGGGCCCGACCAGCTTATACTGCTCCATCTTCCCCGGCCACATGCCCCGCCAAGTACTGCACAGGGACCCCCCACCCAGGGGACCTGCTCCGTGAGATAATGTGAAATACGACTGTGGACCAAACGCAATAAAACCTCTGTTTGTACGAAGAGAAGGTGGCCAAGAGAGTTGGCGTCGATGAGGGCGTGCTTTGCTTTGATGCTTTTGTGGGGAGAGAGGAGGTCTTGGGGGATGGGGGGATCAAGGGGAAAATGTCCACCTCACCATTGGGAGGAGGAGCAAAAGCTGAAGCCACAGGTGAGTCTGGGTGGAATGAATGATTTGAAGGGCCGGGACTTGGGGTAGAGGGAGAGGCTGGGCTTCCTGGCCATTTGGAGAAGAGGCAGTTCCCTCAAATGCCCCCCATGCGCTTTGGCTGCACTCTACCTTACAGCGCAAGTCTCGTGGCCTCAGCCTGGATGTCTCCCCGTTGGCGAACTCCTATTTATCCTCAAAGCCCCAACGGCAATGCCACCTCCTGCCGCGGGAGCCGTCCCCACGCCTCTCACTCTCCCCAGCGCCTTCAAAGCTGTGGACCCACACGCTCCCATTTCAGCTTCACCTCCAGCCTGAAGAGTTTATTTCAACTCTTCTTCCAGAGTGGGAAACGGGTTTTCCTCAAAATCAGGGTAGCCACTATAATCGGAGACTCTAGAATGTTGGCCCCCTCCCCCTCCTGCCATCCTCTGCAGAAGCCGAGGAGCGTTCGTGGAATGAATGAATGAACGAATGATCTAGTGGAACCCCTACTTTACAGACGGACGAGTGTAGTCCCAGAGTCTGGACTAAACTAGAGGGAGCCTGGCCAGCCCCGGGGACAGCGGGGACAGAGGGAACTCCTGCAATTCGGAGCTGCGGTATTGCAGCCGGTTATACAACGTGGGGAGGCAGCCTGGCTCCCCAAAGACAGCGCAGCCTCGTTCCCGGAGGGCGGCCTGCCTGGGACCTGCCGGGCACTCCGCCACCCTACGGTGATGCAGCAAGAGCCGCGCGGTCCCTTTAAGAAACCCGGCTAGGCGAGGCCCTTCTGTGATCCCGTCTCCTCCCTTGGCCCGCGCAGCTCCGACGGAGCAGGCCAGTGAGTGACGGGCAGGTCGCCCAATAGCAGCGTGCAGAGGCAGGGGCGTGCCCCGGCGCTGCTACCTGCGCGGGCAAGCTCAGCGCACTTGGCTTAAGGGGCGGCGCGCTCCCTGCCTGCTGCTGGGCGGAGGGAAGGCGGCAAGAGCTGCGGAGCCCCTGGAAGGTGAGAAGGACTCGGAGAGGGAAGAAGGCCCGAGACTCGAGAATGCGGGGTTGGGGCCGGGAGGGATGCAAGTTCCCTGGGAATTAGGGGGTCCAGCCTCTGACCTCCTTCCGGTGAATGTTGACGACGGCTGAATTGATCACTGATTCTCAAGGGGGGCATCGGACATCTGGGACCCTTAAGAGGGCCTTTGCCGATCACACACCTGCAGCCCCCTGCCCGTTAGAACTCCTGCACTCCCCCTTGCCCCGTCTTACAAATGGAGAAACTGAGCCCACTCCCCCAGATCCTAAGTCCCGCTTGATGTAAAGGAAAGAACCCTGGCGTAAGGGTCTGGGTCTGAGGTCCCAGTTCCGGCCTGGTCACCTTTAGCAACTTCCTGCCCCTCTGTCAGCGTCAGATTCTCCATCTGTGTCAGAGGTGGACCGGCCCAAGGAAAATAGATCAGGAATCGCTGACTCCAGGAGTCTCTATCCCAGCCCCTTCGCCTGACTCTTTCTCTGGCTCCCGCGGTCCCTCTGAGCGATTAATGCTACATAAGGTGTGGGCAGAGCTGGGGTCGTGCCTCCAGCTGGGCAACTGCCTGTCTCTCTGGGTGCCTGGGTTTGCTTTCTTGGGCCTCGGTTTCCACTTCTGTAGAGTGGGGTGATAGTCCAGCACTTCCCCTGGGCGTGTGAAATGTCCAGCACTGCCAATATTCGTTGCTGTTATCTTCGGAGAACAGTGAGGGGAAAGGAATCCTTGCCTGGGCTGGGCCAGGCAGGAGGCTGGGGGTCAGGACCTGGAAGAGGCTTCCAGGTGAGGCTTGGGGTGGAGCCTGGTGACGAAAGCGTTAAGCCCAAACTCGGTCCCTGGAGGATTAGAGGATGATCTTTAAGTCCCCAGCTGTCAGCCCTGCTCAGAGCGACAGTCCTGGCAGCCAATCAGATGCGAGGACGGCTGCGGGTTGCGCTCCCATTGGTTTACTCCACCCCTGGGGTAGCGGAGCCTCTTTATCGAGTGACTACTGTTTGCCTCGCTCTAATCAGAGCTTCCAGGAACCCTGCGCTGTGGGATAAAGGAATGAGGTTCAGAAAGGGGCAGGGAGTTGCCCGCAGCCGCACCGCACGTCTTCAGCCCGACCGTTGTCCTGACCTCTCTGTCCCGTCCCCTGCCCAGTCTCACCATGGCCTTCTGGACACAGCTGATGCTGCTGCTCTGGAAGAATTTCATGTATCGCCGGAGACAGCCGGTAACGCCCCAGTGTGAGACCAGGGCCGGGTGGGCAGGCAGCCCCCACTGTCCCCCACCGTCTCCCACCTATTCTCCCCCAGGTCCAGCTCCTGGTCGAATTGCTGTGGCCTCTCTTCCTCTTCTTCATCCTGGTGGCTGTTCGCCACTCCCACCCGCCCCTGGAGCACCATGAATGTGAGCCCCCCCAGGGACCAGGCACTTTGTGTGTGTAGGGGAAGGCAGATGGCTCACCCGTGCACAGGAATCCCCCGTGCATGTCAGGGAGCCTTCACCAGGCCGCCAATACATGGCATGGGAGTGAGCTCTCCATCGCTGGAGGCATGCAAGCGGTGCCGGGCGACCCGATGGGGGTGGAGTCAGGCAGAGTCCACAGGGCCTCAGCACCAGGCGTCTCCCCGCAGGCCACTTCCCAAACAAGCCACTGCCATCGGCGGGCACCGTGCCCTGGCTCCAGGGTCTCATCTGTAATGTGAACAACACCTGCTTTCCGCAGCTGACACCGGGCGAGGAGCCCGGGCGCCTGAGCAACTTCAACGACTCCCTGTGAGCCAGAGGCAGTGGGTGCGGCCGGCCTGCAAACTCGGGGCTGCAGTGCCGGCCGGAACCCCGCCTCCTGCCCTCTCTCTGTCCCCAGGGTCTCCCGGCTGCTAGCCGATGCCCGCACTGTGCTGGGAGGGGCCAGTGCCCACAGGACGCTGGCTGGCCTAGGGAAGCTGATCGCCACGCTGAGGGCTGCACGCAGCACGGGTGAGGAGGCCGGGGGGCCTCTGGCAGGGCTGAGCTCTGAGCCTCAACTTGCCGGGCCGTGAAATGGGCACAGGGTGGGGGTGGGTGCCTCAGACCAACGTCCCCCCAGCCCCATGCTCCCGTGCGCTCCTCCCCCAGCCCAGCCTCAACCAACCAAGCAGTCTCCACTGGAACCACCCATGCTGGATGTCGCGGAGCTGCTGACGTCACTGCTGCGCACGGTAGGGTGTCGGGGCGGGACCGCGCTGACTTCCTGGGACACTGCACTGGGGATGTCCTGGCACTGCCCCACCCCGGGCCAAGGACCTCCCGTTCCAGGCATCCAGGCTGTCCCTGGTCTCTGCGGTGATGCTGCTTGTCCGTCTGGGCCCCCAGACAGAGTGTGTCTGACCCAGTGAGGAAGACTCGTCTGTGAGATCTCCAATGAGTCCCTTTGCCTCTCAGAGCCTCAGTTTCCCTATTTGTAAAGTGGGGGCTATGATAGTATGGTCTGCCTGGGAACTGGCCAGAGCGCTGGACCCCTAGTGAGTGTTCAAAATCATTGTCCCCCTTGTGGTCTTTCTCCCCAGGAATCCCTGGGGTTGGCACTGGGCCAAGCCCAGGAGCCCTTGCACAGCTTGTTGGAGGCCGCTGAGGACCTGGCCCAGGAGGTACGAGGCCCCACTCATCCTCAACCCCCATGGAGGCAACGTTGGCAGGCAGCCTGCGCCGGGAGGGTCTGGGGCAGCCCGGGCACTTCCCTTGGGTGGGTTTTCAGGAGGATTAGACAGCGAGAGGGAGAGGCTGCCCCTGGCCCAGTGCCCTGCCCTGGTTAGGGCTTGGAGGTGGGATCATTGCCAGCTCCGTCTGGTAACCTCTCTCTAGCTCCTGGCGCTGCGCAGCCTGGTGGAGCTTCGGGCACTGCTGCAGAGACCCCGAGGGACCAGCGGCCCCCTGGAGTTGCTGTCAGAGGCCCTCTGCAGTGTCAGGGGACCTAGCAGCACAGTGGGCCCCTCCCTCAACTGGTACGAGGCTAGTGACCTGATGGAGCTGGTGGGGCAGGAGCCAGAATCCGCCCTGCCAGACAGCAGCCTGAGTGAGTGACTGACCTCGGTTTCCCCTCTTGGGAAGTGGAACTCTGGGCAGGGGGGCAGGGCCTCATGGCACCCCCATCCCAGGCCCCGCCTGCTCGGAGCTGATTGGAGCCCTGGACAGCCACCCGCTGTCCCGCCTGCTCTGGAGACGCCTGAAGCCTCTGATCCTCGGGAAGCTACTCTTTGCACCAGATACACCTTTTACCCGGAAGCTCATGGCCCAGGTGGGGGCAGCCTGGATGCTGGGGTGGGAGGGTGGTGGCCAGAGCCCATCCAGTACCCTCAGTCCAGGTGGGCCAGGGCCAGGCCGGAGGGTCACGGAAACTATTTGAAGAAGTAGGAGTTAGCCGATGGAGGGGGATCAGCTTGTGCGGAGGATCAGAGGCACACGCAGGAGCAAGGCAGAGGGGGCAGGGGGTGGGCAGGGGTCCTCAGAGGAGGAGAGGGTCATCAGTGGAGGGGGTGCTGTCCACAGGTGAACCGGACCTTCGAGGAGCTCACCCTGCTGAGGGATGTCCGGGAGGTGTGGGAGATGCTGGGACCCCGGATCTTCACCTTCATGAACGACAGTTCCAATGTGGCCATGCTGCAGGTGTGCGGGGGTGCTGGGGAGGTGGGATGTGGCTCCCCGGTGAGGAGGGTAGACAGGCCCGGTGGATGGGAAGGTGGGCTCCGTGCAGACCCCCACTTTTTTTTTTTTTTTTTTGAGATGGAGTCTCGCTCTGTCGCCCAAGCTGGAATGCAGTGGCGTGATCTCGACTCACTGCAACCTCCACCTCCCGGGTTCAAGCGATTCTCCTGTCTCACCCTCTGAGTAGCTGGGACTACAGGCGCCCACCACCACGCCCGGATGATTTTTTTTTTTTATTTTTAGTAGAGACGGGGTTTAACCATGTTAGCCAGGATGGTCTCGATCTCCTGACCTCGTGATCCACCCGCCTCGGCCTCCCAAAGTGCTGGGATTACAGGCGTGAACTACCACGTCCTGCTTTTTTTTTTTTTTTTTTTTTTTTTAAGAGATGGAGTCTCACTCTGTTGCCCAGGCTGGACTGCAGTGGCGAGATCTTGGCTCACTGCAACCTCCGCCTCCTGGATTCAAGCAATTCTCCTGCTTCAGCCTCACAAGTAACTGGGATTACAGGCATGCGCCACCACTCCCGGCTACTTTTTGTATTTTTAGTAGAGATGGGCTTTCACCATGTTGGCCAGGCTGGTCTCGAACTCCTGACCTCAGGTGATCCACCCGCCTCGCCTCCCAAAGTGCTGGGATTACAGGCATGAGCCACTGTGCCCGACCCAGACTCTCACTTTCACCTGCGCCCCCCAGCGGCTCCTGCAGATGCAGGATGAAGGAAGAAGGCAGCCCAGACCTGGAGGCCGGGACCACATGGAGGCCCTGCGATCCTTTCTGGACCCTGGGAGCGGTGGCTACAGCTGGCAGGACGCACACGCTGATGTGGGGCACCTGGTGGGCACGCTGGGCCGAGTGACGGAGGTGAGGGCCTGTCCACCTGCGGGGTCTGTTTCAGTGGGGAGGGCAGGTCCCATCCTAGTGTTCCCACCCTGGTGTTCCCAGGGGGAGGCGGGCCCGGCCCTAGTAAGAGCCTGGGATTTGTAGAGATCTCAGGAGGGAGCCGGCCGTGGGCCTACGAGGGGAAAACATGGCCCAGCCCCGAGGTCCAGGGGGAGGAGCGGAGTGGTCTAGGAGGCAGGCGGACCCCAGCGCCTAGGACTCACCCCCGCATCCCACAGTGCCTGTCCTTGGACAAGCTGGAGGCGGCACCCTCAGAGGCAGCCCTGGTGTCGCGGGCCCTGCAACTGCTCGCGGAACATCGATTCTGGGCCGGCGTCGTCTTCTTGGGACCTGAGGACTCTTCAGACCCCACAGAGCACCCAACCCCAGACCTGGGCCCCGGCCACGTGCGCATCAAAATCCGCATGGACATTGACGTGGTCACGAGGACCAATAAGATCAGGGACAGGTCAGGCGAGGGAGGGGGCGGGGGGATGAGGGACTGGGCGGGGCCAAGAGCGTGGTGGGTGGGGCCAGGCAGCATTCAGCCTATTGGAGACCATGATAGACAGGATCTGGGCTGTATCAACAGTGGTATGGTAGCCAGAGCCCGGGGCTCCTTAGACCAATAGGGGCCCGTGATGGGCGGGGCCTAGGTGCATGAGGGGCGTGGCCATGGGCCTGAGATAAGATGAGAGCAGGTATAGGTTGAGGGCAATGGTGGGCGGAGCCAGGTGTATTATTAGGTCCCTGGAATAAGGGTGGAGCTAAAATTGCACCGGGTGCTGAGCGCAGTAGATCTTGCCTGTTATCTCAGAACTTTGGGAGGCCAAAGTGGGAGAATCTCTTGAGGACAGGTATTCGAGACTAGCCTGGGCAACATAGTGAGACCGCCTCCCCCCCGCCCCCCTCCCCCACCAACCTCACGAAAATATCTTTAAAAATTAGCCAGGTGAGGCCGGGCACAGTGGCTCACGCCTGTAATCCCAGCACTTTGGGAGGCTGAGGCGGGCGGATCACGAGGTCAGGAGATCAAGACCATCCTGACTAACTCGGTGAAACCCTGCCTCTACTAAAAAAAAAAAGTACAAAAAATTAGCCGGGCGTGGTAGCACGCGCCTGTAGGCCCAGCTACCCAGGAGGCTGAGGCAGGAGAATCGCTTGAACCCAGGAGGCGGAGGTTGCAGTGAGCCGAGATGGCGCCACTGCACTCCAGCCTGGGCGATAGAGCGAGACTCCGTCTCAAACAAATGAATAAATGAATAAAATTAGCCAGGCGACTTGGGAGGCCGAGCTGGGGGGATCGTTTGATCCCGGGAGGTCAAGGCTGCAGTGAGCTATGATTGCAGCTCTTCACTCCAGCCTGGGCGACAGAGCAAGACCCTGTCTAAGAAAAAGGTTATTCAGGGTGGGGCCCCGGGAGTTTCTAGCCCTTCCCTACAACCGGCCACCATGCCCCTCTCGCAGGTTTTGGGACCCTGGCCCAGCCGCGGACCCCCTGACCGACCTGCGCTACGTGTGGGGCGGCTTCGTGTACCTGCAAGACCTGGTGGAGCGTGCAGCCGTCCGCGTGCTCAGCGGCGCCAACCCCCGGGCCGGCCTCTACCTGCAGCAGATGCCCTATCCGTGCTATGTGGACGACGTGTGAGCTCTGGCACCCCTCCCCGCTCTTCCCCGCGGCGGGAAGGTCCCGGGTGTGGGGGTGGGCCCAGGCTCTGTTGGGAACCTTCCTGCGGTCCAGGCTGCGAACTTTGCACCTTTACACCACTCCACGTGACCTGCTGCAGCGGGAGGAGCAGGGGACTCTGAGGGTCTGGTGGGGGGGGGGACTCTGAGGGTCTGGGGGCCCCCGGCGCAGGGACAGCCTGGGCTGCACTGATGCCTGAGAGCCAAAGGCTGGCTGGATCAGGTTCCAAGGAACAGGGAGGCAAATCTTCCCGCCTTGAGATCCCGGGACACGAACCAGTCGTGCCAGATGGTGGGCGGAGGGGGGGTCTGCGGAGGGTCTCCAGCCTCCACCCCAGCCGTCCCCACCCCAGGTTCCTGCGTGTGCTGAGCCGGTCGCTGCCGCTCTTCCTGACGCTGGCCTGGATCTACTCCGTGACACTGACAGTGAAGGCCGTGGTGCGGGAGAAGGAGACGCGGCTGCGGGACACCATGCGCGCCATGGGGCTCAGCCGCGCGGTGCTCTGGCTAGGCTGGTTCCTCAGCTGCCTCGGGCCCTTCCTGCTCAGCGCCGCACTGCTGGTTCTGGTGCTCAAGGTGGGCGCGCCTCGGCCTGCCCGGCTGCAGAATGGGTGCGCTGGAGGGTGACAGACAGGGGCGGCCCCACGTGGGTGCGCGCCCCCAGGCCAATCCAGGAGCTGCACCCTAAGCTCCCGTTGCCTCTCACAGCTGGGAGACATCCTCCCCTACAGCCACCCGGGCGTGGTCTTCCTGTTCTTGGCAGCCTTCGCGGTGGCCACGGTGACCCAGAGCTTCCTGCTCAGCGCCTTCTTCTCCCGCGCCAACCTGGCTGCGGCCTGCGGCGGCCTGGCCTACTTCTCCCTCTACCTGCCCTACGTGCTGTGTGTGGCTTGGCGGGACCGGCTGCCCGCGGGTGGCCGCGTGGCCGCGGTGAGAGCCGGGTCGGGCGTGGATGGGGGACGCCCCCCGCTTCGGCCGCTCACTGACCGCCCGCTTTTCCGCAGAGCCTGCTGTCGCCCGTGGCCTTCGGCTTCGGCTGCGAGAGCCTGGCTCTGCTGGAGGAGCAGGGCGAGGGCGCGCAGTGGCACAACGTGGGCACCCGGCCTACGGCAGACGTCTTCAGCCTGGCCCAGGTCTCTGGCCTTCTGCTGCTGGACGCGGCGCTCTACGGCCTCGCCACCTGGTACCTGGAAGCTGTGTGCCCAGGTGGGCCGTAGGGGGCGGGGCTCCGGGCCGGGTCGCACCTGCTTTGCGGGAGGCTGAGCTAGGGGTGTGGCCTCCAGGCCGTTTGGGGGTGGGGGGTGGCTTATTCCCTTGGAGAGAAGGCGGGGCTTCTTGGCACACGCATGCAGGTGGCTGCATTGGAGGGGCGGGGCCTGAGGCAGGTGGGCGGGGTTTCTGGGCCGCCTCATACCTGGACGCCCTGATTCCAGGTGTATGGCCAGAAGCTGGCACAGTCGCCGGGCGCTGTGGCTCACGCTTGTAATCCCAGCACTTTGGGAGGCCAAGGCAGGAGAATCGCTTGAGCCCAGGAGTTTGAGACCAGGCTGGGCAATATAGTGAGACCTCATCAATACAAAAAGTTAGCTGGGCGTGGTGGCACGCTGGGCGTGGTGGCACGCTCCTGTAGTCCCAGCTACTCGGGAGGATGGGGTGGGAGGATCACTCGAGCCCAGGAGGTTGAGGCTGCTGTGAGCCGTGATCCCACCAGCCTGGGCAACAGAGTGAGACCTCCATCTCTTTAAAAAAAAAAAAAAAAAAAAAGCTGGCTGGGTGCGGTGGCTCACGCCTGTAATCCCAGCACTTTGGGAGGCCGAGGCGGGCGGGTCATCTGAGGTCGGGATTTCGAGACCAGCCTGACCAACATGGAGAAACCCCGTCTCTACTAAAAATACAAAATTAGCTGGGTGTGGTGGCGGGTGCCTGTTTCCTAGCTACTTGGAAGGCAGAGGCAGGAGAAATGCTTGAATCCCGGAGGCGGAGGTTGCGGTGAGTCGAGATCGCGCCACTGCACTCCAGCCTGGGCAACAAGAGTGAAACTCAGTCTCAAAAAAAAAAAAACAAAAAAAAAAAAAACAAGGCCGGGCACGGTGGCTCACGCCTGCTTTCCCAGCACTTTGGGAGGCCGAGGTGGGCAGATCACGAGGTCAGGAGATGGAGACCATCCTGGCTAACACGGTGAAACCCCGTCTCTCCCAAAAATACAAAAAATTATCCAGGCATGGTGGCGGGCGCCTGTAGTCCCAGCTACTCAGGAGGCTGAGGCAGGAGAATGACGTGAACTGGGGAGGCGGAGCTTGCAGCGAGTCAAAATCGTGCCACTGCACTCCAGCCTGGGCAACAGAGCAAGACTCCGTCTCAAAAAAAAAAAAAAACAAAACCCCAAAAAAAGCCTGGTACACTCCTGGGGGGTGGGCTAAGCAATAACCCGCGCCCCTCCCCGCAGGCCAGTACGGGATCCCTGAACCATGGAATTTTCCTTTTCGGAGGAGCTACTGGTGCGGACCTCGGCCCCCCAAGAGTCCAGCCCCTTGCCCCACCCCGCTGGACCCAAAGGGTGAGGCACTACGAGGCTTAATAGCTGGTTGTCCACATATGCCCAGTTCCCCCCCAAAACGAGATTCCACAGATGCCAATGACAATGACCTGGACACCCCAACCCTCACACCTGCCCTGAAGACACTGCGGTCCCCAAGCTCCCGCAGCTTTTATAGGCCCCGGCCCAGCAGGTCCCGGATTCCACAGCCCAGCTCTGAGGGACTTGCAGGCCCCAGGACCCCCATGACCTCCATGGCTGAGTCCACCCCATCTCTGCAGTGCTGGTAGAAGAGGCACCGCCCGGCCTGAGTCCTGGCGTCTCCGTTCGCAGCCTGGAGAAGCGCTTTCCTGGAAGCCCGCAGCCAGCCCTGCGGGGGCTCAGCCTGGACTTCTACCAGGGCCACATCACCGCCTTCCTGGGCCACAACGGGGCCGGCAAGACCACCACCCTGTGAGCCCCCAACCACTCCCTCCCCGTGAGCCCCCCCACTCCCACCCCGTGAGCCCCCCCACCACTCCCTCCCCGTGAGCCCCCCACCACTCCCTCCCCGTGAACCCCCCACCACTCCCTCCCCGTGAGCCCCCCCACCACTCCCTCCCCGTGAGCCCCCCACCACTCCCTCCCCGTGAACCCCCCACCACTCCCTCCCCGTGAGCCCCCCCACCACTCCCTCCCCGTGAACCCCCCACCACTCCCTCCCCGTGAGCCCCCCCACCACTCCCTCCCCGTGAGGCCCCCCACCACTCCCTCCCCGTGAACCCCCCACCACTCCCTCCCCGTGAGCCCCCCCACCACTCCCTCCCCGTGAACCCCCCACCACTCCCTCCCCGTGAGCCCCCCCACCACTCCCTCCCTGTGAGCCCCCCGACCGCTCCCTCCCCGTGAGCCCCCCCACCACTCCCTCCCTGTGAGCCCCCCCACCACTCCCTCCCTGTGAGTTCCCCCACCACTCCCTCCCTGTGAGTCCCCCACCACTCCCTCCCTGTGAGCCGCCCAAACCACTCCCTCCCTGTGAGCCCCCCACCACTTCCTCCCTGTGAGCTCCCTGTGAGGCCCCCGACCAGTCCCTCCCTGTGAGCAGTAATGGCGCCACTGCACTCCAGCTTGGGCAACGGAGTAAGACCCTGTCTCAAAATAAATAGGGCGGGAGTGGTGGCTCACGCCTGTAATCCCAGCACTTGGGCAAGCCGAGGTGGGAGGATTGCCTGAGGTCAGAGTTTGAGACACAGCCTGGCCAATATGGCAAAACCATCTCTACTAAAAATACAAAAATTAGCCGGGTGTGATGGTGGCGTGCACCTGTAATCCCAGCTACTCAGGAGGCTGAGGCAGGAGAACTGCTTGAACCCTGGAGGCGGAGGTTGCAGTGAGCCGAGACTGTGCCGTTGCACTCCAGCCTGGGCAACAGAGTGAGACTCTGTCACAAAAAAATAAAAATAAACAAATAAATAAAAATAAGGCTATCACAGGGTTTTGGATGTAGCATTTAATAGGTGCTCTGTGGCCAGGCGTGGTGGCTCAGGCCTGCAATCCCAGCACTTTGGGGGGCCGAGGCGGGTGGATCACGAGGTCAGGAGATTGAGATCATCCTGGCTAACATGGTGAAACAGTGAAACCCCGTCTCTACTAAAAATGCAAAAAAATTAGCCGGACATGGTGGCGGGCGCCTGTAGTCCCAGCTACTCGGGAGGCTGAGGCAGGAGAATGGCGTGAACCCGGGAGGTGGAGCTTGCAGTGAGCCGAGATCGTGCCGCTGCACTCCAGCCTGGGCAACAGAGTGAAACTCCGTCTCAAAAATAATAATAATAATAATAATAATAATAATAATAATAAATAATTAAAAATTTTTTAAAAACAGAAATTAAAAATAGAAGCTCTGTAACTGCCAGTGCACTCTGTGAAGGGGGCTACTCTGAGACCCCTCTATCCACAGGTCCATCTTGAGTGGCCTCTTCCCACCCAGTGGTGGCTCTGCCTTCATCCTGGGCCACGACGTCCGCTCCAGCATGGCCGCCATCCGGCCCCACCTGGGCGTCTGTCCTCAGTACAACGTGCTGTTTGACATGTGCGTCTCGGCAGGCCCAGAGTGCAGCGGTGGGAAGGGACTGGACGCCCTCTGGGACTCTGCCTGCCATGTGGGTCACTCTGCTCTGTGCACTGGCCGCAGGCTGACCGTGGACGAGCACGTCTGGTTCTATGGGCGGCTGAAGGGTCTGAGTGCCGCTGTAGTGGGCCCCGAGCAGGACCGTCTGCTGCAGGATGTGGGGCTGGTCTCCAAGCAGAGTGTGCAGACTCGCCACCTCTCTGGTGAGCCCATCCCCAAGGGAGGTCACCTCACAGGGAGGGGCCTGGGGATTCATCCTGAAGGCAGGGGGAAGCCGGGTACTGAGGTCCACGTGGGTAGGCAACCTTGCCCAAGGCTGGGTGTGACACACTGAGGTCCCTTCCCCATCTCTACCAGGTGGGATGCAACGGAAGCTGTCCGTGGCCATTGCCTTTGTGGGCGGCTCCCAAGTTGTTATCCTGGACGAGCCTACGGCTGGCGTGGATCCTGCTTCCCGCCGCGGTATTTGGGAGCTGCTGCTCAAATACCGAGAAGGTAAGAGCTGGGGATTCTGCTCGAGGGGCCAGAAAAGGCTTCTGACAAGGAAGTGCTGGGGATGGGGTTTTGAGGAATGAGTAGGAGTTTGCTACATGTGGACCCCACTTGTTGCTATGGCATTTAGGGGCTACTGCTCAAATACCGAGACAGTAAGAGTTGGGGATAGACAGAGGTTCCCCTGGATTCTGCCTGAAGGGCCAGAAAAGGTTTCCAACAAGGAGGTTCTGGGGATGAGGTTTTGAGGGATGAATAGGAGTTTGCTTCATGGGGCAGACAACTCCTGGCAGAGGCCCCAGCTCGGGCAAAGACGCGGCGGCCTGATGGTAGTTGTGGGTTGGTCCCCCGTGCCTAGGTCGCACGCTGATCCTCTCCACCCACCACCTGGATGAGGCAGAGCTGCTGGGAGACCGTGTGGCCGTGGTGGCAGGTGGCCGCTTGTGCTGCTGTGGCTCCCCACTCTTCCTGCGCCGTCACCTGGGCTCCGGCTACTACCTGACGCTGGTGAAGGCCCGCCTGCCCCTGACCACCAATGAGAAGGTGGGGACCGGCCTTCTCCTGACCCCTGACCCCCGGGACTCTGTTCAGCCCTGAAGGCCAAGCCACTTGGTGCCTCTCTGCCCGCAGGCTGACACTGACATGGAGGGCAGTGTGGACACCAGGCAGGAAAAGAAGAATGGCAGCCAGGGCAGCAGAGTCGGTGAGGGCCGGGGTGGGAGACCCAAGGCGGGTGGGCAGTGGGGTGGCTGTGCCTTAACTTGAGGAGGAGGAGGGGGAGGGGGAAGAGGAGGAGGAGGGGGAGGAAGCGGCAGAGGAGGTTGAGGCGGAGGAGGAGGGGGAGGAGGAGGGGGAGGAGTAAGAGGTGGAAGGGGAGGCGAAGGGGAGGAGTAGGAGGGAGAGGAGGAGGGGGAGGGAGAGGAGGAGGGGGAGGAGAAGGGGGGAGGAGGAGGGGAAGGGAGAGGAGGAGGGGGAGAAGAAGGGGAGGAGTAGGAGGGGAGCAGAAGGGGAGGAATAGGAGGGGGAGGAGGAGGGGGAGGGAAAGGGGGAGGAGAAGGGGGAGAAGTAGGAGGAAGAGGAGGGGGAGGAGAAGGGGGAGGAGTAGGAGGGAGAGGAGGAGGAGGGAGAGGAGGGGGAGGAGAAGGAGAGGAGGAGGAGAGCACTTGAGAACCTGAGATGATGCCCCCATCCCTGGGCTGAGCCGGAACCATGAGACTAACTTGAACACTGACCCCACCTTTAACCCAACCAGGGCTGAGCCCAGAGACAAACCTACCCCTGACCTCCAACACTAGGTCCAGCACTGCCCTCAAGATCTCTTTTTGTTTGTTTCTGAGTCTTGCTCTGTCGCCCAGGCTGTAGTGCAGTGGTGTGATCTCAGCTCACTGCAACCTCTGCCTCCTGGGTTCAAGCATTTCTCCTCCCTCAGCCTCTCGAGTAACTGGGATTACAGGTGGGTTCCACCATGCCTGGCTAATTTTTGCATTTTTGGTAGAAATGGGGTTTCACCATGTTGGTCAGGCTGGTCTCAAACTCCTGACCTCAGGTGATCTGCCTGCTTCAACCCTCAAAGTGCTGGGATTACAGGCGTGAGCCACTGCGCCCGGCCGCACCTGGCCTACGTTCTTAACCCTGATCTCTGTCTGCCGGGACAGTCCCCTCACAGGTCACCAATGCCTCTTCCCCAGGGAGACTGGGGTGGGGCGTGAGCCGGGGCTCCCTGAAGCACCCCTTTGTCCACACAGGCACTCCTCAGCTGCTGGCCCTGGTACAGCACTGGGTGCCCGGGGCACGGCTGGTGGAGGAGCTGCCACACGAGCTGGTGCTGGTGCTGCCCTACACGGGTGCCCATGACGGCAGCTTCGCCACACTCTTCCGAGAGCTAGACACGCGGCTGGCGGAGCTGAGGCTCACTGGCTACGGGATCTCCGACACCAGCCTCGAGGAGGTGTGAGGCCTGGGTGGTGGTGAGGTGGGGCCAGGAGGAGGGCTTCCTGGAGGAGGTGGTGTTTTGAAGGATGAATAGCGTGTTTATGAGCAGCAAGGACATTCAGGGAGGAGGCATGGCACATGAGGAGCTCTGGTGGCTCAGATGTCCCTTGGGAAGGCCTGGGGGACCCATGGTGTAGGAGGGGTGGGGGGCTCACAAGCCCCCAGTTCTCCCTGTCGGTGTCCAGTCTCTGAGCCCCTGCTTGTCTCCCCAGATCTTCCTGAAGGTGGTGGAGGAGTGTGCTGCGGACACAGATATGGAGGGTGCGGCCACAGCTCCCTGACCCCTGACCCCAGTCCAGAGTGGGACCAGAGGCCAGGTCCCCATCCCTGGCTTAGTGTGGCCCAAGGCATAGCCTTTACCCTATACCTGATTCCTGATCCCCCAATCCGTGACCCTCAACTTTGACCCTGACCCCTGATGGCCCTGCAGATGGCAGCTGCGGGCAGCACCTATGCACAGGCATTGCTGGCCTAGACGTAACCCTACGGCTCAAGATGCCGCCACAGGAGACAGCGCTGGAGAACGGGGAACCAGGTAAGTCCTTCCCAGTGGCCCTGGGGTCCTCCCAGCCACCCCCCCACAGCAGCGTGAGCACTGACCCTCTCATCCCTCACAGCTGGGTCAGCCCCAGAGACTGACCAGGGCTCTGGGCCAGACGCCGTGGGCCGGGTACAGGGCTGGGCACTGACCCGCCAGCAGCTCCAGGCCCTGCTTCTCAAGCGCTTTCTGCTTGCCCGCCGCAGCCGCCGCGGCCTGTTCGCCCAGGTGAGGAGGGCTAGCACCAGGGAGTCGCATGGGAGTCCCTGAGTTCCCTACCCTGGCCGTCCACTCAGTGGCCTAATCCAAACCCTTACCCCCGTGTGTATTCCCAACCCAAAGCACATTTATTGAGGGCACTGGGGAGCCATGGGTGGTTGTAGAGCAGGAGCAGGGACAGGTGCAAGCAAGCCTGGAGGGTGGATGGAAGCAGCAGCTGATGGGCTGGTCCCCCAGATCGTGCTGCCTGCCCTCTTTGTGGGCCTGGCCCTCGTGTTCAGCCTCATCGTGCCTCCTTTCGGGCACTACCCGGCTCTGCGGCTCAGTCCCACCATGTACGGTGCTCAGGTGTCCTTCTTCAGGTGGGTGCAGAAGGAAGGGGCTGGTGGCAGGAAGACTAGGGACCTGGGGGTACAGCCCTGACCCTACATCTCCCCTCACACACAGTGAGGACGCCCCAGGGGACCCTGGACGTGCCCGGCTGCTCGAGGCGCTGCTGCAGGAGGCAGGACTGGAGGAGCCCCCAGTGCAGCATAGCTCCCACAGGTGAGGCGTCTTGTTGGCCTGGACCTTTCCCCTCTCTGGCCTCAGTTTTCCCATCTGGTCCCTGGCCAGGGAGCCTCAGGGGGCACCTGGAGCATCCCCTGTGCCCACCTGGGAGCTGGGAGCCTCTGTGGCTCCAGGAACCCCCAGAAGCTGGGTGCCCACAGACCTTCACCTTGACCCTGCAGCGCCCTTGAGTGTGCACAGCCCATTGTCTGCAGGTTCTCGGCACCAGAAGTTCCTGCTGAAGTGGCCAAGGTCTTGGCCAGTGGCAACTGGACCCCAGAGTCTCCATCCCCAGCCTGCCAGTGTAGCCGGCCCGGTGCCCGGCGCCTGCTGCCCGACTGCCCGGCTGCAGCTGGTGGTCCCCCTCCGCCCCAGGCAGTGACCGGCTCTGGGGAAGTGGTTCAGAACCTGACAGGCCGGAACCTGTCTGACTTCCTGGTCAAGACCTACCCGCGCCTGGTGCGCCAGGGGTGAGCCATGCCCTGGGACTCAGTTTCCCTGGCTATAGCATGGGTCCTTGGGTTGCTGGGGCTGGTGTGGTCCTGGAGGAGGAAGTGGAGGGGTTGGATGCCCAGCTTGGGGCTACGGGCTGGGAGTCTCGCGTACCTTCCTTTCCTCTTTTTTTTTTTTTTTTTTTTTGAGATGGAGTCTCCCTCTGTTGCCCAGGCTGGAGTGCAGAGGTGTGATCTCAGCTCATTGCAACCTCCACCTCCCAGTTTCAAGCGATTCTCCTCCCTCAGCCTCCCGAGTAGCTGGGATTACAGGCACGCACCACCACTCCCGACTAATTTTTGTATTTTTAGTAGAGATGGGGTTTCACCGTGTTGCCAGGCTGGTCTCGAACTCCTGACCTCAGGTGATCCACCCGCCTTGGCCTCCCAAAGTGTTGGGATTACAGGCAGGAGCCACCGCGCCCGGCTTTCTTTCCTGTTTTTGTCCACCCTTGACTCTGTGCTCCCCTCTCACCATCTCTCTCTCTGTCCCACATCCCTGTCTGCCTGTGTCTCTGTCCATCTCTCCCACAGCCTGAAGACTAAGAAGTGGGTGAATGAGGTCAGGTGAGGAGGGGTCTAGCTTGGGGTCCCCTGCCCCAGTTCCACTCCCATGCCCTCTGCCTGCCCCCTGGGAGCTCTCCCGGCCCCCCCGGCCCTCAGCTCCCCTTCCCTGCCTGCATGGCCCCACAGATACGGAGGCTTCTCGCTGGGGGGCCGAGACCCAGGCCTGCCCTCGGGCCAAGAGTTGGGCCGCTCAGTGGAGGAGTTGTGGGCGCTGCTGAGTCCCCTGCCTGGCGGGGCCCTCGACCGTGTCCTGAAAAACCTCACAGCCTGGGCTCACAGCCTGGATGCTCAGGACAGTCTCAAGGTGGGAACTGGGGGGGCAGGTGGGCGTCCTGTCACAGCAAGGTCCAACCCCATTGCTCTGACCCTATGACCTTGACCCCCACCCAGATCTGGTTCAACAACAAAGGCTGGCACTCCATGGTGGCCTTTGTCAACCGAGCCAGCAACGCAATCCTCCGTGCTCACCTGCCCCCAGGCCCGGCCCGCCACGCCCACAGCATCACCACACTCAACCACCCCTTGAACCTCACCAAGGAGCAGCTGTCTGAGGGTGCACTGTGAGTCCCTCCACCCTGCATGTCCTACCCTGCACGTCCTACCCTGCCTCCATTTCTCTGTCGTTTGGGGTGGTGGGAGCTGGATTTGAACCCTGACACACTCTTGCTTTATAAATGGGGGATAGAAACTGTTCCTCTGCTCCCTAAGCCAGGGAAATGGGACCTCCTCAGACTCAGCGGGCCCCAGCCTCCCCCACACATCCTCATCCCACCAACCTTTATCCTGCCTGAGACCTGTACAACCTCTGCTGCCAAATCCCAGGCACCCTCATCCCTAAATTGCCCCTGCCATCTCTGCCACTGCTGACTGCCCCATAGACCTTTGTCCCATCAATGGCGTGTTCAGCTCTGCTCTGAGCAACCCATGCACCCTCACCCTACAACAGCTCTCATGTCTTCACCTCCAGGATGGCCTCCTCGGTGGACGTCCTCGTCTCCATCTGTGTGGTCTTTGCCATGTCCTTTGTCCCGGCCAGCTTCACTCTTGTCCTCATTGAGGAGCGAGTCACCCGAGCCAAGCACCTGCAGCTCATGGGGGGCCTGTCCCCCACCCTCTACTGGCTTGGCAACTTTCTCTGGGACATGGTGCGGGGGCTGCTTGGACGGGTGGGGGCCCAGCCACTGCTTGCCACTGCCCTGTCTGGCCCCTTGTAGGCAGGGGCTTGTCCAAGATGGCCTGGGTAAAGTCTTGAGGATTGTGGGAGACTTTGTGCCTTCCTACTCAAAAAGCAAGGAGGTCAGGGTGGGAACAGGGCTGAGGGTGGCAGTGCCCACCTCTTTAGGCTGATAAAGGTAACTGCCATCTCCAATGCAGTGTAACTACTTGGTGCCAGCATGCATCGTGGTGCTCATCTTTCTGGCCTTCCAGCAGAGGGCATATGTGGCCCCTGCCAACCTGCCTGCTCTCCTGCTGTTGCTACTACTGTATGGGTGAGGCCCCCAGTCCCTCAGGGCCTATTCTTACTGACCCCTTACTGCCTTCCACATTAATGCTGCTGAGATAGAACTCTGCAGTGACTCCCAAGGAGAGGATATGGAGGTCTGAGGTGATGCCGTGTGTGATCCAATTCAGTGGTGTGCCAAGGTGGCCTTAAAAGCTCATCTTATCCTGACTCATATTAGTAGAGTTCTAAGGCAGCCCATGCCTGTAATTCCAGTACTTTGGGAGGCCGAGGCAGGAGGACTGCTTGTGGCCAGGAGTTTGAGACCAGCCTGGGAAACATAGAGAGACCCACCTCTAAAAAAGAAAGAAAGAGAGAGAAAGAGAAAGAGAGAAAGAAAAAAAAAAAAACAGAAATGTGCTTTGGGTGAAAATGTCAAGGTCTAAGGCAGAGAAGATGGGAATGGAGATTTTTATTCCTCTCAGGGCTTCTCAGTCTGAGTGGTTACTCCAGTGACTCCTATTGTCCCTTCAGCTGGTCGATCACACCGCTCATGTACCCAGCCTCCTTCTTCTTCTCCGTGCCCAGCACAGCCTATGTGGTGCTCACCTGCATAAACCTCTTTATTGGCATCAATGGAAGCATGGCCACCTTTGTGCTTGAGCTCTTCTCTGATCAGGTGGGGCACCACGAGGCTGGGGCTTGGGCTGGGTTGGGTCGTTGGACTCAGCCCCTGACCAACATCCGTCTCCCACCCTTGAGCAGAAGCTGCAGGAGGTGAGCCGGATCTTGAAACAGGTCTTCCTTATCTTCCCCCACTTCTGCTTGGGCCGGGGGCTCATTGACATGGTGCGGAACCAGGCCATGGCTGATGCCTTTGAGCGCTTGGGTGAGAACTTCCTGTCAGGTGGGGCCATGGCTACAGATAGCTAGCACCCTTGGAGACCTAGAGTTAATTATACAGAGTGGAGAAAAACAGCCCCCCAGGGAGACAGCCAGGGTTCTTAGGTGGCCCTAAGGTTGGGCCAAGTTGGAGGTACAAGAAAGCAGCCATAAAAAGCTAATTCTTAGATTACATCACAAGAGGCCTCTTCTGTTTTCTATGCCAATTAGACTCCAGCTGAGTGGCCTATCCAATTTGTGTTCCTTTCCCTTAAGAATCCAGAGTGACATGGATGGAGAAAGGGCCAGAAACCAAGACTCTCATGGACCCAGTCCCTCCTTTCTATATCCACAGGAGACAGGCAGTTCCAGTCACCCCTGCGCTGGGAGGTGGTCGGCAAGAACCTCTTGGCCATGGTGATACAGGGGCCCCTCTTCCTTCTCTTCACACTACTGCTGCAGCACCGAAGCCAACTCCTGCCACAGTTAGTGAGGTCTATGGAGAGGGTGGCAGGGGCCAAGGACCTACTTTAAGCCCACAGATATTCTGTCCCCAGGCCCAGGGTGAGGTCTCTGCCACTCCTGGGAGAGGAGGACGAGGATGTAGCCCGTGAACGGGAGCGGGTGGTCCAAGGAGCCACCCAGGGGGATGTGTTGGTGCTGAGGAACTTGACCAAGGTAGGTGTGGTCAGGTCGACTGCTGGGTGGGGGGTGCTCCCACTGGCCCACTCACCTTTCTGAAAGACCTGCACTCTCCCAGGTATACCGTGGGCAGAGGATGCCAGCTGTTGACCGCTTGTGCCTGGGGATTCCCCCTGGTGAGGTGAGTCCAGGGGTGGAGGCCAGGTGCAGGGACAGTGAGTGGCTGCCCTACTGCATGCCCTGCCCATCATCCTTTACTGAACACCTACTGTGTATCCACCACCTTTTATTGGGCACCTACTGTATGCCAATATTTGTGCTCCTATTTTTATTTTATTATATTATTATTTATTTATTTATTTATTTATTTATTTATTTGAGATGGAGTCTCACTCTGTCTCCCAGGCTGGAGTGCAGTGGTGGGATCTCAGCTCACTGCAAGCTCCACCTCCCGGGTTCATGCCATTCTCCTGCCTCAGCCTCCCGAGTAGCTGGGACTGCAGGCGCCCACCACCACGCCCGGCTAATTTTTTTGTATTTTTAGCAGAGACGGGGTTTCACCGTGTTAGCCAGGATGGTCTCCATCTCCTGACCTCGTGATCCACCCGCCTCAGCCTCCCAGAGTGCTGGGATTACAAGCGTGAGCCACCACACCTGCCCTATTTTATCTTTTTTTAGAGACGGAGTCTCACTCTGTCGCCCAGGCTGGAGTGCAGTGGTGAGATCTCGGCTCACTACAAGCTCCACCTCCCGGGTTCACACCATTTTCCTGCCTCAGCCTCCCAGGTAGCTGGGACTGCAGGCGCCTGCCATCACGCCTGGCTAATTTTTGTATTTTTAGTAGAGACAGGGCTTCACCATATTAGCCAGGATGGTCTCGATCTCCTGACCTCATGATCCACCCGCCTCAGCCTCCCAAAGTGCTGGGATTACAGGCGTGAGCCACTGCGTCTGGCCTGTGCATTTATCTTGAGCCAACAAAACCTCATTAAGCACCTACTGCATGCTTACCTCTGTTAAACACACACTGTGCTCACTAAAGAGGTGTACTGAATACTTTTGTGTCCATCAACGTTTATCAAATACCAATAGAATTTATTGGACCCCTATTGTATACACATCTACATCAAGCACTTGCTCACAGCCAGCATTTATCAGGCACCTGCTTTGTACCAGTTCACATTCAAGCACCTACTATATACAAATGTATTTGCTGTGTGCCACTTATTGGCCACCTACTAGGGCTGGTACACATCTGCAAACAAGTGCTGTTTGTTAGCACACATTGCAGTATATATATATATTTTTTTTTCTTTTTTTTTCTTTTGAGATGGAGTCTCACTGTCACCCAGCTTGGTGTGCAATGGTGTAATCTTGGCTCACGGTAACCTCCGCCTCCCAGGTTCAAGCGATTCTCCAGCCTCAGCCTCCCGAGTAGCTGGGACCACAGGCACATGCCGCCATGCCCAGCTGATTTTGTATTTTTAGTAGAGACGGGGTTTCACCATGTTGGCCAGGCTGGTCTTGCACTCCTGACCTCAAATGATCCACCCACCTTGGCCTCCGAAAGTTCTGGGATCACATGTGTGAGCCACCATGCCCGGCCTTTGTTTTTTTCTTTTTTTTTTTTTTTGAGACAAAGTCTCGCTCTGCCACCCAGGCTGGAGTGCAGTGTCACGATCTCGGCTCACTGCAACCTCTGCCTCCCAGGTTCAGGCGATTCTCCTGCCTCAGCCTCCTGAGTAGCTGGGATTACAGGCGCCCGCCACCACAACCGGCTAATTTTTGTATTTTTAGTAGAGATGGGGTTTCACAATGTTGGTCAGGCTGATCTTGAACTCTTGACCTCAGGTGATCTGCCCACCTCGGCTTCCCAAAGTGCTGGGGTTACAGGTGTGAGCCACTGGGCCTGGCCCACAGTATATCTTTACTAAGCACCTACTGTGTGCTGGCCAACCTCTCTACCTTGGGCTGACTGTGCACCTAGCCTAAGTACACACAGTGTGCCAGGAAACATATGGAGAGCTCATGCCCTGATATTTGTTGAGCACTGCTGCACACGACCTTTATAGGGTACCCACTGTGTGCCAAAAGCCATTCCCTGCTAAGTGACAGCTTTATGCCTCGCTACATACCCCAATATCTGCCTAGCTCCCCCGGGGCCCCACCCACGGCCTTCCATGTGGACACTCAGAAATCAGAGGTGCTGAGGCCAGGCGTGGTGGCTCACAGCTGTAACCCCAGCACTTTGGGAGGCCAAGGCAGGAGGATCACTTGAGGTCAGGAGTTCGAGACCAGCCTGGCCAACATGCCAAAACCCCGTCTCTACTAAAAATACAAAAATTAGCCGGGCTTGGTGGCACACGCCTGTAGTCCCAGCTACTCCGGAGCCTGAGACAGGAGAATTGCTTGAACCCAGGAGGTGGAGGTTGCAGTGGGCCAAGATCGTGCCATTGCGCCGGGGTGACACAGCAAGGCTCCGTCTCAAAAAAAAAAAAAAAAAAAAAAGAGGCTGGGTGCCGTGGCTCACGCCTGTAATCCCAGCACTTTAGGAGTTCAAGGCAGGCGGATCACAAGGTCAAGAGATCGAGACCATCCTGGCCAACACGGTGAAACCCCATCTCTACTAAAAAAAAATACAAAAATTAGCTGGGCATGGTGGCAGGCGTCTGTAGCCCCAGCTACTTGGGAGGCTAAGGCAGGAGAATTGCTTGAACCCGGGAGGCAGAGGTTGCAGTGAGCCAAGATCGCACCACTGCAGTCCAGCCTGGGAAACAAGAGCAAAACTTGGTCTCAAAAAAAAAAAAAAAAGAAATCAGAGATGCCGGAACCAGGGCCTGGGGCCTCACTGAGCACCATCTGTGGGCATCCCTGTAGTGTTTTGGGCTGCTGGGTGTGAATGGAGCAGGGAAGACGTCCACGTTTCGCATGGTGACGGGGGACACATTGGCCAGCAGGGGCGAGGCTGTGCTGGCAGGCCACAGGTGAGGGGTGCCAGGTAGGGTCAGGGTGGGGCAGGGTTGGCCCTGACGTCCTTGTGCTTCCCCACCCCTCCACCTCCAGTGAATGGACTGGGCTCACTGCCCCACACCTGCATGGTCTCTGAGACCCCTGCACCTCTACCTCCCACACGCGGACCAGGCCCTGAGACACCCCTGTCCCTTATCAGCGTGGCCCTGGATGGGTGGGCCCTGAGACCCCTGTGTTAGCCACCAGTATGGTCAGGGACTAGCCAGCTCTCTGAGCCCCCGGCGCCCCCATCCCCAGCGTGGCCCGGGAACCCAGTGCTGCGCACCTCAGCATGGGATACTGCCCTCAATCCGATGCCATCTTTGAGCTGCTGACGGGCCGCGAGCACCTGGAGCTGCTTGCGCGCCTGCGCGGTGTCCCGGAGGCCCAGGTTGCCCAGGTGAGCCCACTTTGTCCCCACCGCTCTCACCTCCCAGGGCCCACCCGACCCAGGCCGTGCCTCTAAAGCCTGGCCCAATCCCGCACTCTCTCGCCTTGGCTCCATCCCTGTCCCTGCCCCCAGACCGTGCTTCCTTCCCCTATACCTCTGTCCCCCATCCTGGTCCAATAGGGATGTGGCTAGCCCGCCTCTTTGCCCCGCAACACCAAGTTCCACCATTCTCATTGGTCCACCCACCCTTCCTTCCGCTGCACGTTGCCCCTCTCTCCTTGACTCTGCCTTCTGTGGCCCTGCCCACTTGCTCCTCTTCTGCCTACCCCCTAGGGCTTCGCGCCTTTCTCGCTGGGGTCACGGTCACATTCTCACTCTGGCCGTTCCCAGTTTGCAGCCGTTTCACTGCCTCTTCCATCTGCTTGGGGGTCTTGTCTTTGCCCTGGCCCGCCCCACCCTCACACTGTCCCACCCCATGCCCTTTCTGGCCCTGCCTCATACCCATGTTGGCTCCACCCACACCATGGCCCTGCTCCATACCCATCCCAGCTCCACCCATACCAAGGCCCCACCCCATACTCATGCTGGCTCCACCCACACCATGGCCCCGCCCCATACTCATGCTGGCTCCACCCACACCATGGCCCCGCCCCATACTCATGCTGGCTCCACCCACACCATGGCCCCGCCCCATACTCATGCTGGCTCCACCCACACCATGGCCCCACCCCATACTCATGCTGTCTCCACCCACACCATGGCCCTGCCCCATACTCATGCTGGCTCTACCCACACCATGGCCCCGCCGCATACTCATGCTGGCTCCACCAGTGTGGCCCCGCCCCATACTCATGCTGGCTCCACCCACACCATGGCCCCGCCCCATACTCATGCTGGCTCCACCAGTGTGGCCCCGCCCCATACTCATGCTGTCTCCACCCACACCATGGCCCCGCCCCATACTCATGCTGGCTCCACCCACACTATGGCCCTGCCCCACACCCATCCCAGCTCCACCCACACCATGGCCCCGCCCCATACTCATGCTGGCTCCACCCACACCATGGCCCCGCCCCATACTCATGCTGCCCCCACCACACTATGTCCCATTCTCACATTTGCCCTGCCCCATGCCCATTATGCCCCTGCTCCACACTCAATGCTGGCCCCGCCACACTGTGGCCCTGCCCCATACTCATCAATATGAGTCCCCATGCCTACTCTGGCCCCACCCCACAGACCGCTGGCTCGGGCCTGGCGCGTCTGGGACTCTCATGGTACGCAGACCGGCCTGCAGGCACCTACAGCGGAGGGAACAAACGCAAGCTGGCGACGGCCCTGGCGCTGGTTGGGGACCCAGCCGTGGTGTTTCTGGTGCGTGGGAGCGGTGCCTGGGTGGGGTGGGGCCTGCGACGGAGGCGGGGCCTTGCTTATGGGATCTTCCGTGCTCCCCAGGACGAGCCGACCACAGGCATGGACCCCAGCGCGCGGCGCTTCCTTTGGAACAGCCTTTTGGCCGTGGTGCGGGAGGGCCGTTCAGTGATGCTCACCTCCCATAGGTGGGCCGGGCTCTGATGCCCTGGGCTGTGGTTAAGGTGATCCAGGCCTGGAGAGAGAGCCCCAAAGCACAAGGCCACAGGGGATGGGGGGTCCTGGCCCTAGTGGGGCGAGGGCGCCAGGCCCCGGGGTGTAAGGACACACAGAGGTGGGACGCGGCGCCGGGATCAGAACGGTCTGGGGAAGAGTGGGGAGATGTCCACACCAGAAGGGTGGCCCAGGCCGGGGGAAGCAGGCAGTGTGGCGCCAGGCACAGGTGGCCCCGGCCTCACGGAGCTCGTGGTGCCGGGTCCCGACAGCATGGAGGAGTGTGAAGCGCTCTGCTCGCGCCTGGCCATCATGGTGAATGGGCGGTTCCGCTGCCTGGGCAGCCCGCAACATCTCAAGGGCAGGTGAGCCGGCGCGGCCTCCAGGCAGGTGTGGGGTGAGGGTGGGCACGTAGGTAGGCTCAGGGGAGAGGCCAGACGTAGAGCCGGGTGAGGAAAGTTTGGCTCCAACTGGAGAGATGGCCAAGGCTTTAGATTGTCCTGCAGGGGTGACTGAGGGGGCGAGACAGGCTGGGGTGTGCTGGGGGCGCAGGACCAGGAGGCGTGAGCCGGGGGCTCTGGGTGGATTTAGAAGACACAATCAGGTGTGCGTTGGAGTAGGTGCAGCCTGGAGAGGTGAGGGTGGATTGATGGGTGGAGTTAGGGGAGGGCCTGGTTAGTGGGCGGGGCCATAGGAAAGTGGGGCGGGGGTATTTATTGTGTGGGCGGGGGTAGAGTGCAAGGGCGAAAGAGGAGTGTCCGAAAAAGGAGTCAAGTGGGGTGATAGCTTCGAGAGCAACCTGGGCAACCTAGGGAGACCCCATCTCTATAAAAAATTTAAAAATTAGCTGGACATGGTGGTGTGTGCCTGTGGTCTCAGCTACGCGGGCGGGGGGTGGCGGGGGACTGAGACGGGAGGACCACTTGATCGCTAGGGTAGTACAAGTATGGGGCGGGGCCAGAGAGTATTAGGGGCTGGAGGGTGAGCTGAGGTGGGACCTGGGAAAGGCCCGATCCGGTAGCCCTGGCCCCACTCACTGCAGATTCGCGGCGGGTCACACACTGACCCTGCGGGTGCCCGCCGCAAGGTCCCAGCCGGCAGCGGCCTTCGTGGCGGCCGAGTTCCCTGGGGCGGAGCTGCGCGAGGCACATGGAGGCCGCCTGCGCTTCCAGCTGCCGCCGGGAGGGCGCTGCGCCCTGGCGCGCGTCTTTGGAGAGCTGGCGGTGCACGGCGCAGAGCACGGCGTGGAGGACTTTTCCGTGAGCCAGACGATGCTGGAGGAGGTGATCACGGCGCCGGGGTCGGGCTGGGGGAGGCAGGCTGGGGGCCAGGCCCGTGGGCTGACCGTCCCTCTTGTCCCCTCTGGGCTGCCCACCGCTAGGTATTCTTGTACTTCTCCAAGGACCAGGGGAAGGACGAGGACACCGAAGAGCAGAAGGAGGCAGGAGTGGGAGTGGACCCCGCGCCAGGCCTGCAGCACCCCAAACGCGTCAGCCAGTTCCTCGATGACCCTAGCACTGCCGAGACTGTGCTCTGAGCCTCCCTCCCCTGCGGGGCCGCGGGGAGGCCCTGGGAATGGCAAGGGCAAGGTAGAGTGCCTAGGAGCCCTGGACTCAGGCTGGCAGAGGGGCTGGTGCCCTGGAGAAAATAAAGAGAAGGCTGGAGAGAAGCCGTGGTGGTGAAACCGTGTGCATGTGTGTCCTTGAGCCAGGCTGCACACATGTCCACACAGCTGCCTGCACATGCGTCTGGATATGGCTGGCCCCTTGCAAGCTGAGTGTGCACATACGGGCCAAGTGGCGATTCATAGGACACAGGTGTGAGCGTGCCTACAGCTGACCGGATCCCAGCTGTAAATGCCTCTGTGGCCAGCCCAGGAGTTGGGGATGTGAGTGCGGGCCTCATAAGGGCCTGGTCACACCGTCCCTGTCCCCACGTCCCTGCGTGCCTATGTGGGGCTGGCGCCTAAGGGCGGTACCTGTAAGTGCCTGGCCATAAAGTGGGGATGAGGTCAGGACTCAGGAATGTCCTGGGAAGCTTACAGGAGCCCGGTGTCCCGGAGCACAGGCCAGGGCCGGGCCAGAAGCCCATCCGACATCCAGCTGACCCTCACCCTCTGACCCCAGCCCTCAGCGCCATGAGTCGGGGGCAAAGAGTTCTCAAGGGTCTGCTGGGCTGGGTTTGCACTTGGACCTGGGCCTGGAGAGCCAGACTTGGAGCAAGGGGCTGTGGCCTTCATGTCCTGTGCCCCAGAGATCTGCCCCTCCCACCCGAGGTAGGTGGGAATGGGGTTTGGGAAAGGAAAGAGGTTGGGGTTTTGGGATTGGGGGTGGGGTTCTGGAAGGGGACAGCAGGGAGACTTGGGGAGGGGGGAGAGAGTTCACACTGCGGGGTGGGGGTTGGGGGAAGGTAGGAGGCTGGGATCTGTATGCCTGCAGATGCCCCAGCTCTTGGCCAATGCCGCCTCAGGCTGTTATCAGCAACGGGTGCCTGCGTCCTGCTGCCCAGCACGTCCGGTGGTCCAGAGTCACTGGAATGCAGCTTGGGAGGCGGGGCTGGGGACCTTAGCTAAGGGCAGGTCTGGGGCAACATGATATGGCCCACAGGGCTGCTGAGAGGTAACCAGGTGTCCTCAGCATATTCTGCCGATGGTGGGGTCCACACCACACTTTGGGGACCCCTGTGCAGGCAGCCCAGGACCAGGTGGACGTGGGGACCCAGACGGACGTGGGGACCCAGACGGACAGGGCCCGGTAACCTGGATTGTTCTGACTTCCTGGACGTCTTTGCCCCCAGGGTTTCGGTTCTGGGCCTCAGTTTCCCCACCTGTCCTCGACCTGACCCACTTCACGGGGCTGCAGGGCGGGTGATGGGGGGGACCCTACTCTGCCCGGCCCTGCTGGGGCCCGGCCACACCCTAGGGTCTGCAGGAGAGGCGGTGGAGCGGGCTTGCCTTCAGGGAAAAGGGGGCTGCAGGGGCGCAGCTTCGGCCTGTGCGTGTGTCTGGGGTCTGAGGGCGAGGCTCCAGGGGCTTGGTGGCGTCTGAGCGCGTGTGGAGGTCCGGGTCTCTGCGTGTCATCGTGCACGTGTCTGTGCACGCCCACTCGCGTCCGGGAGTGAGAGTCAGCGCCCTGCAGTCGGCCGCCCCGTGCCCGCCAGCGTCAGGCAGGGGCTCCCGGTCCCACCCCGCGAGCGGCGCGGCTCCGAGCTCCCGAAGGCGGAAGCGGGGGGCGCGGCCCGGGGCTGGGGGCGGGGCCTGCGACCTCACCTTCGCGCCCACTCCGCAGAGCCGCAGGCTGAGGCCGGGAAGGGTCGGGGGCGAGGCCGCGTCGCCGCCTCCCCGAAGCCTTTTCCTGTTGGGGGGAGGGCCCGCCAGTGACGGCCGGGCCTGTCACGTGGGCCTGACAGCTGGGGAGGGGGTGGCCGGCGACAATGTGGTCCCGAAGCGGCCAGCGCCGGGAGCTGCAGCGCTGAGACCCCCAGCCCGCCCCCTCGGGCTCCCGGCCGGGGCCCCATCATGTTCTCCAGGAAGAAACGAGAGCTCATGAAAACCCCTTCCATCTCGAAAAAGAACCGCGCGGGAAGCCCCAGCCCGCAGCCCTCGGGGGTGAGTGGAGCCCGGGTGAGACCCGGAGCTGACGCCGGGCCGCAGGGGGACAGGGACCCGCCCTGTGCTCGGGGCTCATGCTGGGGCGGCGGCTGGGGGCTCGTGCCAGCTACAGCCCCTACCGGGCGGGACGGCAGGGGCCACAGCAGAGAGGCCGGGACCCCGGCATTCAGCTCACGGTAGGGACCCTGGGAGTGGTGGCCGCCTCCCTCCACTCCATCCAGGGCTGGCCGCGGGGCCCAGGGAGCAGGAAGGGAGGGTGCCGGGTTGGGACGATGTTGTGTTTGGGCCGCTGCAGGTTGGGGGCTTAGGCAATCTGGGGGCTCTAGGGGCCGTTGAGATGGGAGGGCTGTGGCCTGGCCATTGGGCTGAAGGTTGACCGGGCAGCAGATCCTCTAATGGGATCCACCAGGTTCAGAGGTTGGGGAGTGTCCCCAGGCCTGGGGTGTCTACAAAGCTGGGGGGGGGGTCTACAGAGCTTGGGGGTCCGGGATGTCTACAAGGCCTGGGGCTGCCCATAGGCTCTGGGGTTCCATGGACCTTTAGGGGACAGACAGAGTCAGAAGTGTGTTCACTTAAAGCACCTGCGTTGTAGGAGCCTGAGGGGGGCTTGAAGGGCTGAGGACCCTCCCCACCCCCACCAGGAAGTGGGGACCCCCCTCCCGCGCCTCCCCGCAGGCCCCGCCCCGGCTGTGGTTTGGGCAAGGACCGTTGTTTGTGAAAGCTCTAGGGAAGAGGATGTTGGGTAACAGGTGGGGGGGTACACTACCAAATCTCGGCCCTGTGACCTCTGGCCTTTGACCCCTGTGGGGTCAGGGTGATGGTGGCCCTCCACAGCCCCACTTCATTTCTGGGGAAACTGAGGCCGTGTCCAGGCCGGAAAATCCCTTTAACGAGCTCCCCTCGGACCTGCCCAAGGAGCTGCCCAGGAAGGATGGGGCTGACGCGGTGTTCCCCGGACCAAGCCTGGAGCCGCCCGCTGGGTCCTCCGGCGTCAAGGCCACAGGGACCCTCAAGCGGCCCACCAGCCTGAGCCGCCACGCCAGCGCGGCTGGCTTCCCCCTGTCGGGTGCTGCCTCCTGGACACTGGGCCGGAGCCACCGGAGCCCACTGACAGCCGCCAGCCCGGGCGAGCTGCCCACCGAGGGTGCCGGCCCGGACGTCGTCGAGGACATCTCCCATCTGCTGGCGGACGTGGCCCGCTTCGCTGAGGGCCTTGAGAAACTTAAGGAGTGTGTGTTGCGTGACGGTGAGAGCCACGGGGACACCGAGGCCTGGGTGGAAGACAGAGCCAGACCCAAGGGAGGATGGAGGGAGGGACTTGGGGAGGCTCAGAAGGGAGGGAGGCTCAGATGGCAGGGAGGGCTGTGTGGAAGAGGCCATGACAGCTAAGGCTCTGAGGGATGTGTAGGAGTTTGGTGGGGGAGTCCCTGAGCGTACACTGGCTCAAGAGGGTGCCCACTTTATTTTTTTTAAAGGATCTGATGGCAATTAGGAGGGAAAGGCAGAGGAAATGTCCCATGCACAGGCTCAGAAACACGGAAACAGAGAATGCATTTGGGGGCCAAGGTGTGGGGTGCCGCTGGTGTAGGATGAAGGCATGACAACGCCAGGCAGAAGGGCAATGGGGAGCCATAGAAGGTGTTAGAGCACAGGACAGATGGGGGCAGATCTGTGTCTTGGAATGAAGCAAACTGGGGGTTGGCTGAGGTCTGGGTGGAGAGAGATTCAGGAGGCATGGCGAGGGGCAGGATGGGGTCATCAGGCGGCGGAGGTGCTGGGACCCAGCGGCCTGCAGGCCGGCAGTTCCGTTTTCTCCTCCACGCGGCCGCTGACAGCCCTGCTTCCTGCCGAGTTATTTTCATCTGCTTCCTGTTTGTCCCTGGCAGCCCAGGCGGGCACCTCATGTGCTGCCTTCAGCCCCCGGCTCCTCCCAGAAACCACAGTGCCAGGGTCATGCCAGGCGCTCTGATCTGCTCCCAGCAGCCGCCCATTTTACAGATGACGAAACTAAGTCTCTAGTGAGGCCCTGACCCCTGGCTCACCCAGCCAGGGCAGGGCAGAGCCAGGACTGGACCTCAAGTGGTGGAGTGGCCTCTGCACCTTCAGGGCACTAGTTGGGGAAGGCCCGGTCCCCACTGGGAGGAGTGGGAGCCCCCGGGTTATCTGGTCCCAGGGGCGGGGGCTAGGCTGCTTTCCTGGGGAAACCCTAATCTCGGTTCCTTTCCGATCCTGGCGCTTCCTTGGAGGCCTGGCCTGGGCGGGGCTCAGCTCCCAGGCTCCTGCAGGAGGTCTGAACTGGGCCAGCCAGGGTGGGGCACTTTTTTTTTTTTTTTTTTGATACAGGGTCTTGCTCTGTTGCCCAGGCTGGAGTCCAGTGGTGTGATTGAGGCTCACTGTTACCTTGAACTCCTGGGCTCAAGCCATCCTCCTACCTCTGCCTCCCGAGTACCTGAGACTACAGGCATGAGCCACTGCACCTGATTTATTTTATTTTATTTATTTTATTTGAGATGGTGAGATGGAGTCTCACTCTGTCGCCCAGGCTGGAGTGCAGTGGCGCGATCTCGGCTCATTGCAACCTTCCTCTCTCGGGTTCAAGTGATTCTTCTGCCTCAGGCTCCCGAGTAGCTAGGACTACAGGTGCGTGCCACCACACCTGGCTAATTTTTGTATTTTTAGTAGAGATGGGGTTTCACCATATTGGCCAGGTTGGTCTCAAACCCCTAACCTCGTGATCCGCATGCCTCAGCCTCCCAAAGTGCTGGGATTACAGCAGGCATGAGCCACCGTGCCCGGGCTTTTCTTTTTTTCTTTCTTTTTCTTTTCTTTTCTTTTTTTTTTTTTTTTTTTGAGACAGAGTCTCACTCTGTCACCCAGGCTGGAGTGCAGGGGCGAGATCTCAGCTCACTGCAACCTCCACCTCCTGGGTTCAAGTGGTTCTTCTGCCTCAGCCTCCCGAGTGGCTGGGATTGCAGGGGCGCGCCACCGTGCCCGGCTAATTTTTTTTCTTTCTTTTTTTTTTTTTTTTAGTAGAGATGGGGTTTCACCATTTTGGCCAGGCTGGTCTTGAACTCCTGATCTCAAGTGATCCACCCACCTCGGCCTCCCAAAGCGCCAGGATTACAGGCGTGAGCCATCGCGCCCGGCCAGTTTTTGTATTTTTTGTAGAGACCGGGGTCTCCCCATATTGCGCAGGCTGGTCTAGAACTCCCGAGCTAAAAACCGTTCTCCCGGCTCCGCCTCCCAAAGTGCTGGGATAACAGGCCTGATCCACCGCGCCCGGCTGGGGGCGCCTTCTGTGCGTCTCGGGGCCGCCCCAGGCCAGAGAAGACCCTGGCGGCTAGGATGTGGGCTCTAGTCCCGATGTTTCTCAGCTGCTGAGACCCTGGCAAGCCCCTTCCCTCTCTAGGTGTCAGGTGACTTATCTATAAAATGGGGCCACCTGCATGCAGCGATGGTTGTGGGGTCCACCCCACAGCTTGGGGACCCGCGTTCAGGCAGCTAGGAGGGGACCCACATGGACGGTGCCACCCCGACACTTCCCGGGCTTCCTCGTTCCCGGGCTTCAGGTCTGGGCCTCAGTTTCCCTGCCCGTCCTCGACCCTCCCCACCTCGAAGCTCTGCGGTTAAGGAAGGACCCAGGCTGGGGCGAACGGGACCCCAGGGCGGGGTTTCCCTCGCGGGGGCGGGGCCTCCTGACCGGCCGGAGCCGGTTTGGCCACCGGAGACCCCCATCGGTCAGCTGCCAGGCCCCACGCGCTCGCGGTCTCCGCGCCCCGACGGCTGCGCCATGTGTATCTGCGGGACGGCGCACCCGGTGCTGGACGAGGGCCCCGTGCGCTGCCGGGCGGGCCCCCGAGGTGAGGGGACAGGTGCCGGGCGCTGGGTCCCGCCGCGTCCGGGAGCACGTGGCGCTCGGGCCGTTTGCCGCCCGCGGTGGGGGAGCAGCGGCTGCCGCGCGCCTGGCCTGGCCGTGCGCACCTGGGCATCCCTGCGCTGCGCAGGGGTCGCGCCGGCCGCCGGCTTCCCGGGTAGGGGGTGTGCGGGGACAGCCGGGGGTCCGTGCGCCGGCCGCGCGCGGAGTGCCGGGTGCCCGGCTGGAAGGTCCCGAGAAGGGGCGTGGCCGGGGCCTCCCAGCGGCTTCCCGGAGCTCCTGGAGCCCCAATCCCATTCCCGGAGTCCGCCTCGCATCCAGCAGCGAAGACATGTTCCGGTCCGGGGTCTCAGGCCCGGCGGCGGCCAGCGGGGTATCTCTGGCGGGTGACTCGGTCGGTCTCTTCCCGGAGGTGACATTCACCTGGGGTCTTCGGTGCCGAAAGGGATGGGGCACTTACTTTTTCAGATTTCATTTCGTATTTGGGGCATCCTCTGAGCGGTACAGTCAGGCGTCAAAGCTGCCCCTCCCGCTGGCCTCTGTCCTCCCGGGTACCTTTCCCCTCCTACGAATTCCGTGGGTTTGTTTCCACTACGTGGTGTGTGCCTGGCTCTCGATGTTTCGCCTGTACTCTCTGCTTTTTTCTTTTCTTTCCTTCTTTTCTTTTCTTTCCTTTTCTTTCTTTCTTTTCTTTCCTTTCTTTTTGGGATGGAGGAGTCTCACTCTGTCACCCAGCTGGAGTGCAGTGGCGCGATCTCGGCTCACTGCAACCTCCGCCTCCCAGCTTCAAGCGATTCTCCTGCCTCAGCCTCCCGAGTAGCCGGCATTACAGAGGAGTGCCACCACGCTGCTACTTTTTGTATTTTTAGTAGAGGCAGGGTTTCGCCATGTTGGCCAGGATGGTCTCAAACTCCTGACCTCAAGTGATCTGCCTGCCTCGGCCTCACCAAGTGCTGGGATTACAGGCATGAGGCACTGTGCTTGGCCCTCTCTGCTTTTTTCTTCTTCCAATTGAGAACGTTCGATGAGGGCATTTAGCTTTTTATTCTTTATTTTATTTCTTACAGAGACAGGGTCTTACTGTATTGCCCAGGCTGGTCTTGAATTCCTGGGCTCAACCCGTCCTCCTGCCTCAGCCTCCCAAAGTGCTGGGGTCACAGGTGTAAGCCACCACCCCTGGCTGAGGAGGGCAGTGAAAGCCAGGTTCCAACAGTCAGATCTGACCTCCTCTGTTCTAACACCTTCTATGGCTCCCTATTGCCCTGGAGATAAAGCCAGGCAGGATCCCTCTGCCTGGCGTTCTCACGCCTTCAGAGCTAGCGTAGATGGAAAAGCTGTGTGATTGTTGAGAAATGGCTTCCCCTCTCTATGCCTCAGTTTCCTCACTTAGGAAGGGCAGAGAGAGACCTGGACAGGGCTTTGAGCAGTCCTGAGGAGTTAGGGCAGGGAAGGAGCCTGGTGGGCTGCATGGAGGAAGGGGCTGCAGGACTGTAGCTTGAAGGACAAGAGGCAGTTTGCTTTCTGGAGGGACAAGAAAAGAGTGTTCTGAGCAGCAGAGTGCCTAGGCCAACGTCTGGCCTTTGTTGATCTGGCCGGTAGCCCAGGGAGGGACAGTGCCCTCCCCGCGGTCTCGAAATGAGCCCCAGGCATCTGCCGTCTTCCACCTCTGCCTCAGTTTCCCCATCTGGGAACAGGAGCTCTAAAGAGGGAGGAGGTGGACAGACTTTCCCTGGGACTGGGCCCTACCCCACTGCTCACTCCGACTCTCCCCAGCAGACCTCCTTGAGGCCCGCCGCCCGCGGGCCCACGAGTGCCTGGGTGAGGCTCTGCGTGTCATGCATCAGATCATCTCCAAGTACCCGCTGCTGAACACCGTGGAGACGCTCACCGCAGCCGGCACCCTCATTGCCAAGGTCAAAGGTCAGCCTGCTGGAACAGGGCTGCGAGGGCTCTCTGCCTAGAAGGGCATCCTGGAGGAGGGGATGTTTGAAGTGGGTTTTGAAGGATGCATAGGAGTTTGACAGGCACAAGCTCCCTCCTGTTCCCCCTGGGTTAAGGGCTCCGGTCAGTTCTTGCAGGGATGGTCACCTCCCAGAGTGGGCCCACCTCCTTGTCCTTATCTCTGCTTCCCAGCCTTCCATTATGAGAGCAACAATGATCTGGAGAAACAGGAGTTCGAGAAGGCCCTGGAGACGATTGCTGTGGCCTTCAGTAGCACGTGAGCACGGGAGCCTGTGGGGCAGGGCAAGGGAGCGTGGGGGGCCCGGGTGTCTCTCGATGGTGACCTCGCTGGCCCTGCAGAGTGTCCGAGTTCCTCATGGGTGAAGTGGACAGCAGCACCCTCCTAGCAGTGCCTCCTGGGGACTCGAGCCAGGTGAGTGGGGTGGGCCAGGGCCACCTGTGTCCAGCTTCTGGAGGCCAGCCGGGTTCAGGTCTGCAGGGCCCAGACAGTCACCCTGCTTCCCCTGTGCGCCTTGGTTTCCCTCTCTGGGGGAGGCAGCAACCGTCCCCTGAAGGGTGGGCACTGCCCAGGGCCCCGCATGGGGCTGGTCTCACCTGCGTCTCCGTCCTACAGTCCATGGAAAGCCTGTATGGACCGGGCAGTGAGGGCACGCCTCCCAGCCTGGAAGACTGTGACGCCGGTAAGCCCCCACCCAGCGGCAGGCAGGCATTTGAGGGGTGGGCCATTGCGCGGGTCGGGCCAGGCTGAGCAGGCCCCCGTTCCCTGCAGGCTGCCTGCCCGCCGAGGAGGTGGACGTGCTGCTACAGCGCTGTGAGGGGGGCGTGGATGCCGCACTGCTGTATGCCAAGAACATGGCCAAGTACATGAAGGACCTCATCAGCTACCTGGAGAAGCGGACGACGCTGGGTGAGAGCTGGTGTCCCAGCAGGGTGGGTCTGGAGGGAGGGGGTTCTGGGTGAGCTGGGAAGGCCTTGTCCCAGCACCTCACACCCCTCTCCGGCCCGCAGAGATGGAGTTTGCCAAGGGCCTGCAGAAGATCGCTCACAACTGCAGACAGAGCGTCATGCAGGAGGTGGGGGCCCCGCGGGCACGGGGCGGGGGTCCCTGGGCCCGGGTGTGAGTCTCAGCCCCATTTCAAGGGCCCAGGGACCAAGAGCAGGGGCTTCCCCTCTACATTAACGGGGGTGGCTGCAGGGACCAGGGAGCTGGTGGCTGGGGGTGCTGGGGCCGCCCTGCCTCCATCCCTCCCCACCCAGTGAGCCGGTGCCCCACCCACAGCCCCACATGCCGCTCCTGTCCATCTACTCGCTGGCCCTGGAGCAGGACCTGGAGTTCGGCCACAGCATGGTGCAGGCGGTGGGCACCTTGCAGACCCAGACCTTCATGCAGGTGCGTGGTGCCCGGGAGGGCGGGCTGGGCGGGGGTGTCACCGGGGTACCCACTCACGGCCCGTCTCGCCCCAGCCCCTGACCCTGCGGCGGCTTGAACACGAGAAGCGCAGGAAGGAGATCAAGGAGGCCTGGCACCGTGCCCAGAGGAAGCTGGTGAGGCGGGCGGGCGGGGGCGGGCGGGGGCGGGCAGCGGGCCTCGGCGCAGGCGCAGTCCCAGCCCCAGCCCCATAGCGAGGGCCCTGCGGCGAGCTCCGCACACGCCCCGGCCTCCTGCGCATGCGCGGCCTCGCAGGCTGGGCCGCCCCCCCCAACGCCAAGCCGGGTCGGAGATGCTCCAGCCCCGTCGCCCCCAGCTCTGCCTGGAAGGACCCAGGAGCCCGGCGCTCACTGCTGTCCCTGCAGAAATGGGGAGAAGCCGTGCCTCCCTCGGTTGTAAGCAGCTGGTCTCCGGGTTGAGGGAGACTGATGGTCTCTCAGGACTGGGAAAGCGCCATGCTCCTGCATGTATTCTTTTTTTTTTTTTTTTTGATACGGAGTCTCGCTCTGTCGCCCAGGCTGCAGGCTGGAGTGCCATGGCACCATCTAGGCTTTCACTGCAACCTCCATCTCCCTGGTTCAAACAATTCTCCTGTCGCAGCGTCCCGAGTAGCTGGGATTACAGAAGCACGCCACCACACCTGGCTAATTTTTGTATTTTTAGTAGAGACGGGGTTTCACCATAGTGGTCAGGCTGGTCTCGAACTCCTGACCTCAGGTGATCCACCCGCGTCGGCCTCCCAAAGTGCTGAGATTACAGACGTGAGCCACCGCACCCACCCGGCCTCCTGCCTGTATTCTCTTCCCACTTCGCTTTTGGGTTATTTCAAAGACGCCGGCGCCTTTTTGTTTGTTTCTTTGCTTGTTTTGAGATAAGGTCTCGCTCTGTCACCCAGGCTGGACTGCAGTGACGCAATCATACCTCACTGCAGACTTGCCTTCTTGGGCTGCAATGATCCTCCCACCTCAGCCTCCTGAGTTCCTGGGTCTACAGGCACCAGCCATCACACCCAGTTCATTTTTTTGTATTTTTTGTATACTCACTATGTTGCCCAGTTTTTGTTTGCTTTTTAGCTGTGTTAACACGGTCTGCAGTGAAACGCACCCTCCTAGCTCCTTCCAGCACATACCGGCAAACACATATCTGCCCTGTTTTGTACACACGAGGACAGCTCACCTCATGCCCTGTTCTGCTCCTGATTTTTATCCTCACCTCCATATAGAGAGGCTCACCCGATATCAGTCAGCATGAAGCAGCCTGAACCCCTTTTTTCGGCTGTGCAGGGCTCAGCTGAGGAGATTGAGTAGGTTATTTCATGGACGTCTTGGGAGTGGCTGAGCTGTTGCTGTTACGAACACCATTGCTATGACAAGCTTGTGCCCCTGTCTCAAGGATGCCTGAGGGATCAGTGCCCAAAATAGAACTGCTGGGTCAAGGGGCGTGCGTGTATGAGCTACCCTCCCAGGCCACAGCCCTGCTTTTCCTCTTCTGTGAACCCTCAGTTCTTAACCTTTGCTTAGTTCTTATCCTTTGCTTACTTTGTACTGGACAGTGGCTTATCATTGATTTGTCAGAGCTTTTTACATATTAGAGAACTTAGGCCTTAATCATGTGAGTTTTAGACTCCCCCCATTCCCCTCCCACAATTTACTGTTTGACTTTTGATTTTTACCTGTGGCCTATTTTGCCAGGTAGAAACCTGTGATTGTTGGCAGTAGTCTTTTTTTTTTTTTTTTTTTTTTTTTTTTTTGAGACAAGAGCCTCACTCTGTTGCCCAGGCTGCAGTGCAGTGGATCGATCTCAGCTCACTGCAACCTCCATCTCCTGGGCTCAAGCGATTCTTCTGCCTCAGCCTCCCAAGTAGCTGGGATTACAGGCGCCAGCCAACATGCCTGGCTAATTTTTGTATTTTTAGTAGAGATGGGGTTTCACCACCTTGGCCAGGCTGGTCTCGAACTCCTGACCTCAGGTAATCTGCCCACCTTGTCCTTCCAAAGTGCTGGAATTATAGGCATAAGACACCGTGCTTGGCTAATTTTTATATCTTTGGTAGAGATGGGGTTTCATCATGTTGGCCAGGCTGGTCTCGAGTAGCTAGGACCACAGGTGTGCGCCACCACGTCTGGCTAAATTTTTTAATTTTTTTGTAGAGATGGGGTCTCACTATGTTGACCAGGCTGGTCTCAAACTCCTGGCCTCAAGTGATCCTCCTGCCTCGGCCTCCCAAAGCACTGGGAGTACAGGTGTGACCCATGGCGCCTGGCGGTCTCCTAGTAATTGGATGAGTCCGTTTGTTTGTGTGCGAATCTGATGGTGCAGGTTGTGAGGTGTGGCCCCCGAGCCCACAGGTTTTTGACTAAGTGCTCTTCCTGCCAACCTGTGGGCGCCTGGCTTCCTGCCTGGGCGGCTTCTCTGTTCTCGTCTGTGAGGAGGGAAGTGAAAGCAAAAGAGCCCGGAGACGCTCCCGTGGGGGCTGGTGTGCGTGTCTGCAGAGGCTGCCGTGTGAGCCTCTGTGCAGAGCTTGGCTGCACCTCAGCTTCCCGGGCTGCAGAGTGGGCACACAGGACACCCATTTCTCCGAGTGTCCTGTTACGGGTGCCTCCTCCCGTTCTTTTTTTTTTTTTTTTTTTTGAGCTGGAATCTCTGTTGCCCAGGCTGGAGTGCAGTGGTGCATGCAATCTTGGCTCACTGCAACCTTCGCCTCCTGGGTTCAAGCTGTTCGCGATTCTAGTGCCTCAGCCTCCCGAGTAGCTGGGATTACAAGCGTGCACCACAATGCCCGGCTAATTGTTTTAAATTTTGGGTAGATACGGGGTTTCACTATGTTGGCCAGGCTGGTCTCAAACTCCTGACCTCAAGTGATCCACCTGCCTCGGCCTCCCAAAGTGCTGGGATTACAGACGTGAGCCACCGCGCCCGGCCACTCCTCCTGTTTTTCCGCTGCCGATTGTTGTGCAGGGTCCTCTGCATGCCCAGCTGGGCCATGGGGCCTTGCTGAGAGAGATGGGGGTGGGGAGGAAAGGAGGAGCTGGGGAGACTGAGTCCCATCCGAGGATAGGGTTGGAACTGGCCTCCTGGCTCCCACACCCACAGCAAGAGGCGGAGTCCAACCTGCGCAAGGCCAAGCAGGGTTACGTGCAGCGCTGCGAGGACCACGACAAGGCTCGCTTCCTCGTGGCCAAGGCGGAGGAGGAGCAGGCTGGCAGCGCGCCGGGAGCAGGCAGCACGGCCACCAAGACCCTGGACAAGCGGCGGCGGCTGGAGGAGGAGGCCAAGAACAAGGTGAGGGCGGGTGGAGGCAGGGCTGGAGGTCCCTGGAGGAGGAGATCCAATGCTTGGTGTGACATTTACTACCTCCAGACCTTTGTTTTTGTTTTTTTGTTTTTTTGTTTGTTTTTGAGACGGAGTCTTGCTCTGTCGCCCAGGCTGGAGTGCAGTGGCACAGTCTCGGCTCACTGCAAGCTCCGCCTCCCGGGTTCACGCCATTCTCCTGCCTCAGCCTCCCGAGTAGCTGGGACTACAGGCGCCCGCCACCACGCCTGGCTAATTTTTTGTATTTTTAGTAGAGACGGGGTTTCACTGTGTTAGCCAGGATGGTCTCGATCTCCTGACCTCGTGATCCGTCCACCTCGGCCTCCCAAAGTGCTGGGATTATAGGCATGAGCCACTGCGCCCGGCCAATTTGTTTTTTGGAGACAGAGTCTCATTCTGTTGCCCAGGCTGGAGTGCAGTGGTGAGATCTCACTGCAACCTCCGCCTCCCAGGTTCACACAGTTCTCTGCCTCAGCCACCCTGCCACCAAGCCCAGCTAATTTTTTTGTATTTTTAGTAGACACAGAGTTTCACCATCTTGGCCAGGTTGGTCTCAAACTCCTGACCTCATGATCCACCCACTTCGGCCTCCCAAAGTGCTGGGATTACAGGCATGAGCCACCGCGCCCGGCCCCGATTTTTAAATTATTATTATTTTTGAGACAGTGTCTTGTTCTGTCACCCAGGCTGGAGTGCAGTGACGTGATCATGGCTCACTGCAGCCTCTACCTCCTGGGCTCAAGCAATCTTCTCGCCTCAGCCTCTAGAGTAGCTGGGACCACAGGCGTGTGCCGCCACACCCAGCTAATTTAAAAAAATTCTTGGCCGGGCGCAGTGGCTCACGCCTGTAATCCCAGCACTTTGGGAGGCCGAGGCAGGTGGATCACAAGGTCAGGAGATCAAGACCATCCTGGCTAACAGGGTGAAACCCCGTCTCTACTAAAAATACAAAAAATTAGCTGGGCGTAGTGGTGGGCGCCTGTAGTCCCAGCTACTCGGGAGGCTGAGGCAGGAAAATGGCATGAACCCGGGAGGTGGAGCTTGCAGTGAGCCGAGATCGCGCCACTGCACTCCAGCCTGGGCGACAGAACGAGACTCTGTCTCAAAAAAAAAAAAAAATTCTTTATAAAGATGGGGGTCTCAGGCTGAGTGTGGTGGCTCACACCTGTAATCCCAGCCCTTTGGGAGGCTGAGACGGGCAGATCATATGAGGCCAGGAGTTCGAAACCAGCCTGGGCAACATGGTGAAACCCCTGTATCTCTACTAAAATTACAAAAAATTAACCGGGTATGGTGGGTGGGGGGCACCTGTAATCCGTTACTTGGGAGGCTGAGGCAGAATTGCTTGAACCCGGTAGGTGGAGGTTGCAGTGAGCTGAGATCGTACCACTGCACTCCAGCCTGGCCTACAGAGCAAGACTCCATCTCAAAAAAAAAAAAAAAAAGATGGGGAGGGTCTCACCATGTTGCTCAGGCTGGTCTCGAACTCCTGGCCTCAAGCAAGTCTCCCACTGTGGCCTCCCGAGGCGCTGGGATGACAGGCGTCAGCCCCGCCTCCCTGAGGTTTCTGTCTGAGTCCTGCACCCCGGGCTGAGGCCTCTCTCTGTGCGCCCCGCCCCCACCGCAGGCGGAGGAAGCTATGGCCACCTACCGCACCTGCGTGGCCGACGCGAAGACGCAGAAGCAGGAGCTGGAGGATACCAAGGTGACGGCGCTGCGGCAGATCCAGGAGGTCATCCGGCAGAGCGACCAAACCATCAAGTCGGTGCGTGGGGTGCTCCGGCCGCCCGGGCGGGGATGGTGGACCGGGCGGCCTCCTCCTGACCCCTCCGCTCTCCGGTGCCGCCCGCAGGCCACGATCTCCTACTACCAGATGATGCATATGCAGACGGCGCCGCTGCCCGTGCACTTCCAGATGCTGTGTGAGAGCAGCAAGCTGTATGACCCAGGCCAGCAGTACGCCTCCCACGTGCGCCAGCTGCAGCGGGACCAGGAGCCCGATGTGCACTACGACTTTGAGCCCCACGTCTCCGCCAACGCCTGGTACCGCCACCCAGCTGCCCTGTCCCCGGCGCACAAGGCCCTGCCTGGGAGCCGGGCTTCCCTCTGTCGGGGGCATGAAGATGAAGCTGTCTTGCCCCCCATCACCTCCCCTCCTTTTCCCGGTTTCTTCCACTAGGTCCCCCGTCATGCGTGCCCGGAAGAGCAGCTTCAACGTGAGTGATGTGGCGCGGCCGGAGGCTGCCGGGAGCCCCCCAGAAGAAGGCGGGTGCACTGAGGGCACACCTGCCAAGGACCACAGGGGTGAGTGTCCGGCGGGGCCCAGGGGCGGACGCTGGCTCCCTGCGACCCACCCTGGCCCTTCACCAGAGACGCCTCTTTCTCCAGCCGGGCGAGGACACCAGGTTCACAAGTCATGGCCGCTCTCGATCTCAGACTCGGACAGTGGGCTGGACCCCGGCCCTGGCGCAGGTGAGGGAGGCTCTCTGGCGGGCTGGGGTGTGGAGCTGCCTCCTCTCCTGAGCCTCAGGGTTTCATCACCCACCGGGGTGATGGAGGGGGCCCCCCTGGCTGGGGGAGTCTGAACAGTCCTGATTCCCGCCCAGGGGACTTTAAGAAGTTCGAGCGGACGTCATCCAGTGGTACCATGTCGTCCACGGAGGAGCTGGTGGACCCAGACGGTGGAGCCGGGGCTTCAGCCTTTGAGCAGGGTGAGGGTCCCCTGACGGGGCTGGAGAGAGAGGGGGGTTTGGACACAGTCCATGGGCCTGGCCCTGAGCTGCCTTGGTGACACCGGCTGCCTGTGCTGCCCGCAGCTGACCTCAACGGCATGACCCCCGAGCTGCCGGTGGCCGTGCCCAGTGGACCGTTCCGCCACGAGGGGCTGTCCAAGGCGGCCCGTACTCACCGGCTCCGGAAGCTCCGCACGCCCGCCAAGTGCCGCGAGTGCAACAGCTACGTCTACTTCCAGGGTGCTGAGTGTGAAGAGGTGAGTGGGACGCCCCGACGGACAGCTGGGAGCCTTCGGGAGCCTTTGGGGTGCCCAGCACCGCCGGCCTGTGTGCCCTCAGGAATGTCCGGCCCAGAGCAGGGAGCAGTCGGACGCCTTTGGAAGGAAGCGAACGGAGGGGGTGGGGTGGGCTCTTTTAGTTCTGGGGAGCAGGGTTGGCTCTCTGAGGCAGCGAGGCAGGGGGCAGACCTGGAGGGTGAAGAGTCCTGGGGCTGTGGCCAGAAGACCTGGAGGGCAAAGGCCCTGGAGCTGTGTCCAGAAAACCAAGGGGCGGGAAGGAGAGGAGGCCACAGGGCAGGCGGGATCACCCCTGGGGTGGAAGCCACGAGCCACTGTCCAGCTTGTGTTTGCAGAAGCTGCCGTGTGGGGGCTGTGAGCGCCCCGGGGAGGTGGGGTGGAGCCGCTGGGGGCTGCGCTGAGCTGGGCGCCCCGGGGCTGGGCTCACTCACTCTGGCCGCCCCCAGTGCTGCCTGGCCTGCCACAAGAAATGTCTGGAGACGCTGGCCATACAGTGCGGGCACAAGAAGCTGCAAGGCCGCCTGCAGCTGTTCGGCCAGGACTTCAGCCACGCGGCCCGCAGCGCCCCCGACGGCGTGCCCTTCATCGTCAAGAAGTGCGTCTGCGAGATCGAGCGGCGGGCGCTGCGCACCAAGGTGAGGCGGGGGAGGAAGCGGCTCACAGCGAGGAGGCGGGAGTGGGCCGAGGCTGATGGGCCTCCCCACCCCCGGGCTCCCGCAGGGCATCTACCGGGTCAATGGGGTAAAGACACGCGTGGAGAAGCTGTGCCAGGCCTTCGAGAACGGCAAGGAGCTGGTCGAGCTGTCGCAGGCCTCGCCCCACGACATCAGCAACGTCCTCAAGCTCTACCTGCGTCAGGTGAGACCCACCGGTGGTGGCCAGGCAGAGCCTGGAAGGGGCGTAGCCAGGCAGGAGGAGGCGGGGTGGGGGTCCGGGAGCTGGAGCAGGACTGAGCTGGAGCAGGACTGGCGCAAGCGGGGGCCTGGGGAGGACAGGGTGGGCGGGACAGTGCCTGGCAGGGCAGGGCTGAGGCTGGGGGCGTGGTCACGGTAGGAGCGAGGCGGGGCCAGTTCTGCGCCGAGGCACGGACAGGGACAGGAGGGGCGGGGTGGGGCTTGGTCAGCACGTGGCAGGGGTGTGGCCACGGCAGAGGCACACCTGACGCTGTGCGGGGGCGGGGCCGGGGCCGGGGCTCGGTGGGGCGTGGCCAGAGCAAGATGGGCGTGTTCAGCGCTTGGCAGGGACCCGTATGAGGCTAGGGGCGGGGCTGAGGCTAGACAAGTGCGGGGCTGGCGGTGGGGCCTGGGCTTGGTGGGGCGAGGCTGGGGCCAGGGGCGTGGTCATCCCCGGGGAAGGGCGGGACTGGGGCTAGGGGCGTGGTCATGTCTGGGGAAGGGCGGAGCTGGGCTGGGATGGGAGTGGGACCAGCACTTCGCAGGTGGTTGGGAAGGGGTCAGACTATGCTGAGTGGAGCCGGAGCTCGTTAGGGTACCTGCAGGGCGGGGCGCGCGTGGCCAGAGCGAGAAAGGGAGTGGAGCTGCGGGCGTGGCCCGGGTAGGAGGGGCAGGGCTCACGCTGGGCTGGGAAAGGGGACTGACGCCGCTCTGGGTGGAACCCGAGCTCGGTGGGGTGTGGCCAGTGCTCTGTGGGGGTGGGGCTGAGGCTGGGGGCGTGGCAGGCACACGTGGGGGCTGGGCCAGGCCCACCAACACCTGCTGACCCTTGACTCTGCGCAGCTTCCCGAGCCGCTCATCTCCTTCCGCCTCTACCACGAGCTCGTAGGGCTGGCCAAGGACAGCCTGAAGGCAGAGGCCGAGGCCAAGGCGGCGTCCCGGGGCCGGCAGGACGGCTCGGAGAGCGAGGCAGTGGCGGTGGCCCTGGCAGGTCGGCTGCGGGAGCTCCTGCGGGACCTGCCGCCTGAGAACCGGGCCTCGCTGCAGTACCTGCTGCGTCACCTACGCAGGTGAGTCCCGGCATATGGAGTGGAGGGCGCGGGGTCCCGGGAGCCGCTCAGCACCTGGCCCCTGCCCACCCCGCAGGATCGTGGAGGTGGAGCAGGACAACAAGATGACCCCCGGGAACCTGGGCATCGTGTTCGGGCCCACGCTGCTTCGGCCACGGCCCACCGAGGCCACCGTGTCCCTCTCCTCCCTGGTGGATTATCCCCATCAGGCCCGCGTCATCGAGACTCTCATCGTCCACTACGGCCTGGTCTTCGAGGAGGAGCCGGAGGAGACCCCCGGGGGCCAGGTGAGGGTGTGGGCCTGACCGGGGCTGGCCACTCGGGGCTTGGGGAGCAGGGGGCGCTGCTGGGGACAGTCGTTGTCGGATGAAGCCCAAGGAACCACAGGGAGATAATTTGGTTTGGACAGGGCTGTTCGGGAGGCCACTGTCTTTTTGTGTCTTTTATGCAAAAAACTCAGCGAGGTCTGCATTGAATCTGGCAGAGGTGCAAAGGCTCTGCGGCCGCCCCTCCACTCTCCCTTGGGGCTGGCCTTGGGCCTCACCCTTCACCCCCAGCTTCCTTCCCCGTTTCCCATCCCGGTGCTGCCTGCAGCCACAAGCTCCACGCTGGCCCGGTGTCCACAGCCTGCCCGAGCTGCCACTGCACTCCGCCGCGAGGTCAATTCCCCGCTTCAGATTTTCTTTTCTGGGAGTTGTAGTTTCGCTCCTGCTGCCCAGGCTGAAGTGCAATGGGGCGATCTCAGCCCACCACAACCTCCGCTTCCCAGGTTCAAGCGATTCTCCTGCCTCAGTCTCCCGCGTAGCTGGGACTACAGGCGCCGGCCACCACACCCGGCTAATTTTTGTATTTTTAACAGAGATGGGGTTTCACTTTGTTGGCCAGGCTGGTCTCGAACTGCTGACCTCAAGTGATCCGCACCCCCCTTGGCCTCCTGAAGTGCTGGGATTACAGGTGTGAGCCACTGCACGCGGCGTCTCGTATTCTTTCAATCCATCTTCCCTGGGTGTTTAGGGGCTGCGGTTTCTCGGGTTTGCTCTTGGCTGAGGACAGACCGCCTGGGCAACAGCGGGTGTCAGTAGCTGTTACGGGCTGTGTGGGTGGGTTTGTTAATTTATAACATGGAAAATGGAGCCCCGGCCCCTCTATGACTTCCGTTCTGCACTTGCAGGACGAGTCATCCAACCAGCGAGCTGAGGTAGTCGTCCAGGTGCCGTACCTGGAGGCGGGCGAGGCGGTGGTCTACCCGCTGCAGGAGGCGGCGGCGGACGGGTGCAGAGGTGAGTGTGTGGCTGCCCGAACGGCCCCAAGGGAGGCTGGCGTGTGCCACCCATGGGCGCAGGTGCCATGACCTAGTTGTACACACGTGGCAGGGTCCACGGTGCTGCACATTCTGTGGATTTCGTCTGCCACGGAGACCACACCTATGAGCTACTCATTCAGTGTCCTTTAACCGGCTGCAAAAACAGGCAAGGCAGTGCCTTTTGAGGTGCCTACCCCGCACTCAGAAACCAGTAACGTGAACGTGGGGCTGATGCCTTGTGAGGCTCCAGGTGCACCAGGTCAGGCTAAGTGCCTTTCCTGCAGGAGCCCGTTTTTCTAGAGAAGGGCGTGGGGCTGGGAGTTTGACCCACGTGGGGCCAGCACCACCTGTCAGAGGCAGCTGGCCGAGTGCCGCATCTAGTTATGGGACACCTGTGTTGTCTGTCTTCACACTGCTGATAAATAAATACCTGAGGCTGGGCACGGTGGCTCACGCCTGTAATCCTCGCACTTTGGGAGGACAAGGCAGATCACTTGAGGTTAGGAGTTCAAGACCAGCCTGACCAACATGGTGAAATCCCATCTCTACTAAAAATACAAAAATTAGACAGGTGTGGTGGAGGGCACCTGTAATCCCAGCTACTCAGGAGGCTGAAGCAGGAGAATCACTTGAACCGGGGAGGCAGAGGTTGCACTGAGCCAAGATCATGGCACTGCACTCCAGCCCGGGCAAGAGAGAGAGACTCTGTCTCAAAAAGAAATACCTGAGACTGGGCAATTTACAAAAGAAAGAGGTTTAATGGAGTTACAGTTCCATGTAGCTGGGGAGGCCTCACAATCATGGCAGAAAGCAAAGAGGAGCAAGTCACATCTTGCATGGATGGTGGCAGGCAAAGGGAGAGCTTGTGTCCGGAAACTCCAGTTTTTAGACCATCAGATCTTGTGAAACCCACGTACTATCATGAGAACAGCCCAGGAAAGACGCACCTCCAGGATTCAACCATCCTCCACCAGCTCCCTCCCACAACACGTGGGAATTATGGGAGCTACAAGATGAGGTTTGGGTGGGGACACAGAGCCAGACCCTATCAACACCTCTCTCCTTCCGTTTCTCCCCTTGTCTCTCTCTCCTCCTCCCCGCCATGTCTCTCCATCTGTCTGTCCCTCCCCTTGTCTCTCCTCCATCTCTCCTGTCTCTCCCCATCTCTCCTGTCTCTCCATCTCTCTCCCCCCTCTCCTGTCTCTCCCCATCTCTCCTGTCTGTCCCTCCCCTTGTCTCTCCTCCATCTCTCCTGTCTGTCTCCCCCCGCCATCTGTCTCCCTTTCTTAGAATCCCGAGTTGTGTCCAACGATTCGGACTCGGACCTAGAGGAGGCCTCCGAGCTGCTGTCCTCATCGGAGGCCAGTGCCCTGGGCCACCTCAGCTTCCTGGAGCAGCAGCAGAGCGAGGCCAGCCTAGAGGTGGCTTCTGGCAGCCACAGCGGCAGTGAGGAGCAGCTGGAGGCCACAGCCCGGGAGGACGGGGACGGGGACGAGGACGGCCCGGCCCAGCAGCTCTCAGGATTCAACACCAACCAGTCCAACAACGTGCTGCAGGCCCCACTGCCCCCCATGAGGCTCCGTGGCGGGCGGATGACACTGGGCTCCTGCAGGGAAAGGCAGCCGGAATTCGTGTGAGCTGGGGTGGGGCTGGGACCACAGGTGGCTTCTCTCTTGCCTGCTCCTGTCCCTCCAGCACGTCCCCTGCACCACGGCATAGCTTAGGTGCGCCGTCCTGGGGTCGCTGCCGAGAGCGCCTGGACTTCGACGTCCCACCAGCGGGCGCCTCCTCCCAGAGGCTTCCAGGAGCACGAGGGCCTTGCGGCACAGGACTGTGCCCTGTGCTGTCCCCTGCACCCCGGCTCAGCTGAGCTGGGGAACACTGCTGTCGTGTGAAGTCACAGTGGCCTTGTTGGTGCCCACAGGGCTGTGTGGATGGAGGAAGCTGTCCCTGCCCAGTGCATCCCCCAGGTCATCACGGGGACGCAGGAGGCAGGCCCTGCCCTGCCCTCTCCTCACAGGTCTGTTGCAGGGACTCCAGAAACCATTCTGGGAGCCGTGGATGGGGGCGGAGCTGGGGTTTGGTGCAGTTTCCAGGGTGCAGTACAGCAGGGCCTGAATACTGGCCCTGGACTCCCTTTTCCAGAACACCAGGTGTGGCCACCTGGGGCTCAGGTACACAGTGGGGTCTCTCGGAAGCCACCGTGTGGTTCTTTCACAGGCACGTTTATTTTGCTGAAATAAAAAGTTTTTAATCGGGTGTTTTCTGTGGCAGCTGCAAGCTTAGAAGATTTTCTGTGGCAGCTGCAAGCTTAGAAGAAGGGGCCAGGGAGGGGACAGAGAGAGCCCCGTGGCGTGGCCCTGGGCCTCCCCCTAGGGGAGGGATGTGTGAGGAAGGGAACCCCCCGCCACGGGGCCCCGCGAGGTGGGAGCCCGGGTGGTCTTCACCACAGGCTGTGCAGACGGTCAGGCATCGAATGACCTCGTCACGTCCACCTGCAGCCCAGGGCAGTCCAGGAAAACGTTCTCGATGACGGACGTATCCCCCGGCTCTAAGGTTTCGCACGTCAGCCCCACATGGCCACCAAGCACTGGAAACGTGGCCCATGCGCCTGTGGAACTGCATTTTTTTTTTTTTTTGAGACAGGGTGTGACCCTGTGGCCCAGGCTGGAGTACAGGAGCACAATCGTAGCTCACTGCAGCCTCGGCCTCCTGGGCTCAAATGATCCTCCCGCCTCAGCCTCCCAAAGTGTTGGGATTACAGGTGTGAGCCACTGTGCCCAGGTAATCTTAAAGTTTTTTGTAGAGGTGGGGGGTTTCTCTGTGTTGCCCGGGCTGGTCTTTTAACTCCTGAGCTCAAGCGATCCTCCACTTCCTGGGTTCAAGTGATTCTCCTGCCTTAGCTCCCAAGTAGCTGGGATTACAGGCATGCACCACCACGCCCAGGTAATTTTTGTATTTTTTGCAGTGATGGGATTTTGCCATGTTGGTCAGGCTGGTCTCGAACTCCCGACCTCAGGTGATCCGCCCACCTCGGCCTCCCAAAGTGCTGGGATTACAGGCGTGAGCCACCGCGCCCGGCCACCTCCAGAATTTTCTCATCTTCCCAAACTAAAACTGTGCACATGACACACTCTGTCCCCTCCCTCCTCCCCAGCCCTGGGAACCCCCATCCCCACCCAACTCCCCAGTCCCGGGAACCCCCATCCTACTTCCAGTCTCTGACGACTCTAGTGACCTCCTAGGAGTGACATCAGTGTTTGTCCCTTTGGGTCTGGCTTGCTTTGGCCAAGACAATTTTGAAAAAAGTACATTTGGAGAGAAGGGGAAGCACTGTCCCCATCACACACACAGTCCGCGGCCTGGGGATCTGGGGACCCTGCTGCACAGAACAGTGGGCGCGTTACAGACCACCGACCGCCCGAGGGTGAATTACATCTTAATAAAGCTACTGTGAGAGAACCACGTGGCTAGGTTAAACTTGGGCAGGCGAGGCCTTCTGAAATCAGACAGTAAGCAAACGGGGAAGTAGAGCCAGATCCCAAACGTCTGTAAGAGGAACTGGCCGCAAACCACAGCTGCACAAGCCAGAGAACAACTCCACACCCTCACGGGAAGGGAAGAGACAGACACGCTCACGCCTTACCCAGGAGCACGAAGTGGGAGGGCAGGGCGAGGGCCTGGGGAGACACTGACCCCTGAAGCCAGCGCGAGGAGGGCACACCTGCCAGGCTGACCTCGTGTGCTTGGGGTGAGGCAAGGCCACCTGCTGGAAACCTTGTTAGTCGGCCTGGTTTCTGTATCAAGCAAATTTATTTGCTCAAAACATCTTTACCATTTGAAAACACCCAACCTCCTACAACAACCGAGAACTCCAGAGCTGGCATCTCGCACCCTGGTGGCTTGAGCGCGTGCATGGCTGTGAATGGAGTAAAGAGCCGAGGCCGGGCGGGGGCCGCCACGCATCAGGGCCCCCGAGGGAGGGAAGACGAGGGGTGGAAGGCCGAGGGCCCAGGAGGAAGCAGTGGCTGGTGGGAGACCCGGACCCCAAACCCCCAACAGAGGGGACCCAGCGTGGTCTGGGTGAAGACCCGGCACCAGCTGCCCCCAGGTGACCTCCCTCTGGGGGCCTTGTTCCTTCTGAGGCTGCATCTCGCACAAATCCACAGGTGAATGGGGCGGGCTGGGCCACAGGAAGCCTCACCCCAGGACGGGAGAACGTGGGTGGAGGCCACCTGCCTTGGGGAGTCCAGAGGAGCAGCAGCCGTGAGAGCTGTGGGGGCCGGATTCTGGCAGGGCAGGGGCGTTTGTCCTGCAGGGATGGGGGTCGCTGTGTGTCCGCCTCTAGGGGCTAGGAAAGGGGGAGAGTGGTCACACGACAGGGGCAGATCCAGTATGCCCAGGACAGCACAACGCCCACCGAACGTGACGGGGTGCGGGAGGCCTGGCAGGAGGCGGCCCAGGCCGCAGTGCAGAGGCCGGACGGCTCCCTTGTGCCCAGCGGTCACACAGGCGTGGGCAGTAGCTCTGACCTCAAAGGAACCGTGCCAGCGTCAGACCAGGCCAAGCCCCACCCCTGGGCTGAGTGTGAAGTGGGGCGGCCTGCAGGACAGCAGCTCGCCATGACCAGAGTCCAGGGGAAGCTGGGAGGCTCTCGCCATGGGCAGAGGCTGTCCCGCTCCTGAGACTCCGGCCAGTCCCTCCCAAGGTGCCCACTCAGGGAAGGGTTGGCCTGAAGCTGTGCCTCCTCTCTCAGCTCTGGGGTCTCTGGGCAGGTTTCTAAACCCTCTTCTGGAAAGTCCCGCCGCACAACTGCCCTGCAGGTGAACGTCTCCTGCTTCTAAGGTGGGTCAGCGGCGGAGAGACGCACGCCCCGCGTACCAGGACTCTCCCGTCCAGGCGCACAGCCCCAAGAGCTGCAGCCTACGGTCGGGTGGGGTCTGGGGGTCTGGGGGTGTCCTGGGAGCGCCTGGTGGCCCAGCTGGGCTGGTGCTAGGAGGGTCTTGCTGCCGGACAAAGCAAGAACAGCCCTGCACACCGACGGAGGGGACGACACCCCTGCCTCTGACCCCACCTCAGTGCCTGTCCCTCGGCCGTCTCACCTGTCAGGCGGTAGCTACTGCACCAGCCGGTAGGTGATGTACCTGCCAGCCGTCTCACTGGGCCGGATGATCTTCACCACCTGCAGAGACAGAGAGCAGGGGCTGCGAATGCTTGAGGGGTCTCACTGCAGTCACCAGACAGCAGGCGGGCAGCACACGGGCTGGGGATGGCCGGCAGGGGTCCGAGATGGCTGACCCTGGGCTGTGGGACCCGCTCCCTGGGAACCTGGGTCACGCTCTTCTCTGGGCCCAGTGGCCCTGGCTTTAAGAGGGGGATATTGGGGGTGTGGTCTCGAGGTCCCCTCCAGGCCCTGGATCAAGGGGGAGGGGCTGTCGGGGAGGGACAGAAGCCCCCTTCTCCGAGTGGTCAGCTCAGAGCAGCCCCAGGGCCCCTTCTCCCCACAGGGCTCACCTGCCCACGCTTTATCCCAAAGTAGCGCGCCACAGGGTCCCCCGCCTGGATCCTGGGCAGCTGGTTCTCTCGGAGCTTACTGCGAAGCACCGTCAGGAAAATGCCAGACAGGGCCGTTGGGGGGGCAGGGGTGTGTGTGGGGGGGGAACGCGGAAGTCTCGAGGGACAGGGAGGGGCGGGGCCGGTGGGGCTGGAAAGGATACTATCGGGCCAGCAGCTCTGTCACCTCCTCCTTGGTCATGACGACGTGCTCAGGGACTAGCTGCCGAGAGAGGAAGCCACCAGGCATCACCAAGGGCTGGTGAGACCCCACGTGGCTCCCAGGTGCCACCACAGCCCCTGCGCCTTCAGACGGACAAGAGCCCTGAACCCCACCCCGATCCCCGGCACTCAGGGAGCCCACCCACCCCACCCTGGCTCCACAGGCGGGGGACGGAGTCACAGCTCCTGGGGCTTCTGAGGCAGACGGGCTGGGCACAGCCACCTCCTGCTGGGACTCCTCCTGTCCCAGCACTAGGGTCCCTCCACACTCCCAGCAGTCCCGATTCTACAGGCTGGGGTGGGCCCGGGATCTGCATTTTTTTTTTTTTTTTTTTTTTTGAGATGGAGTCTTGCTCTGTCTCCCAGGCTGGAGTGCAGTGGCACAATCTCGGCTCCCCGAGTAGCTGGGACTACAGGCGCTCGCCACCACGCCTGGCTAATTTTTTTGTATTTTTAGTAGAGACGGGGTTTCACCGTGTTAGCCAGGATGGTCTGGAACTCCTGACCTCGTGATCCGCCCGCCTCGGCCTCCCAAAGTGCTGGGATTACATGTGTGAGCCACCGCGCCCGGCCGGGATCTGCATTTCTAGGAAGCTCCCGGGTTCGGCTGCTGCAGGCCCAGGGCCACCCTTTGAGAACCCTGTCCTCCATGCACTAATAGGAACACCTGCCCTGGGCCCCAGATCCCACATCTTCCTGGCCACCCACAAACGCTGCATCTCTGCCGGCCCCACGCAGGCGGGATTCCGCGGCGCGCGCCCACCTCGTGCTCCGTGATGTTGATGAGCAGCTCCTGCTGCAGAAACTGCTCCAGGATGTACTTGGGGGCCATGTCGACCAGGGACTGGAAGAGAGCGGCTCTAAGGCACGGCCCGGAGGGGCCCAGACAACCCCAACCCCATTTCCTGCCTCAAGCTACCTGGGGCTTACTCGTGTGCCCCAACAACACACCCACGTCGTGAATCAGAAAACCCCACCGCCAGCCCAGGAGCCTTCAACAGCCCGCCCCTCCCCAGCCTCTCTGCTCATCGAGAGCCTCATCCAGCAGTGAAGTGGCCGTGGAAACTCGGATGTGTTTCCATCCATCACACGCTTCCAGGGGCGGCCCTCAGAGCTGGCAGGGCGACCTCTTCCCCATACAGGGGTGCTGCTCTGTGTGGCTGCGTGAACCCCACAGCTGGTGGGCCAGGGACTAAACTGCTCTGCTGACTGCCCGTCACAGCACAGCAGCCTGGCTCCAGAGTGTCCGACAGACAGACGGGGAACACGGATAGGCCCCTGGAGGACCCCGTGCCGGGCCTCCTCTGCAAGTCCCCCTGGACATCAGCTCAGGATAAAGAACCTCCGGCTCCTGGAATCTGCACCAGGCCGAGGGCTGGAGCCCACAGGAGCTGGCGAGAGGCACAGTGCCCTCCGCCCTGACGCCCCTCCTGAGAGCTGGGGGAGGACGGCGGCTGCCTGGGGTGGGGCCCATGGACGCGGTGGGAGGGAGGCGGTCGGGGCTTGCCGGACATCCCGGCCACATCCTCCAGGGCACCCTGGCTGGCCTGGCCCAAAGCCCAAGGCACGTGGGCCGCCTGTGGGTACTGCTTGCGGGAGGAGGCTGGGGAGGGGGAGAGGCTGGCGGGGTGGGGCAGGGGTGCCCACCTGCTTGGCGGAGGGTGTCATGCCCTGCTGCACCACGATGAGAGCCCGTGTGATGTTCTCCTCCTGCATGCGCTGGCAGTACACCTTGATGGTCTTGATGCCCACCTTGGGCTCCTCTGCAGACAGAGAGTGTGCTGGCCTGCACGAGCCTGGGCCCTCGTGGCCCTCGCCCACCCAGAGCCCAGAGCACCCAGGTTCCAGCCCCATTCCACACAGGTGTCTCTCCTGCTCGGGCCTCGGCTTCCGCGTTTGCAAAACGAGGCCTGAGTTGCAGGATCCCAGGACAGGGGAAGAGAGGGCTGAAACCTCTCATTCACCCGGAGACAGGGACAGGGGGCTGACACCCCTCAGTCACCCAGAGACCAGGGAGAAGCAGAGACCTTCGACTCTGAGAGGCTCCCACCCTGGGCAGTTCTGGGGAGGCGGGTGACTCAGCACCAACCTCTCCAACAAGCAGACCTCACACCCCAGGACGCTCTCTTTAAGAAGCATCACCTGAGGCCGGGTGCGGTGGCTCACACCTGTAATCCTAGCACTTTGGGAGGCTGAGGCAGGTGGATCACTTGAAGTCAACAGTTCTAAACCGGCCTGGCCAACATGGTGAAACCCGGTCTCTATTAACAATACAGGATGGGCGCGGTGGCTCGCACCTGTAATCCCAGCACTTTGGGAGGTCAAGGTGGGCAGATCACGATGTCAGGAGATCGAGACCACCCTGGCTAACAAGGTGAAATCCCGTTTCTACTAAAAATACAAAAAATTAGCCCACGCCCGCAGTCCCAGCTACTCGGGAGGCTGAGGCAGGAGAATGGCGTGAACCCGGGAGGCAGAGCTTGCAGTGGGCAGAGATTGCGCCACTGCACTCCAGCCTGGGCAACAGAGCAAGACTCTGTCTCAAAAAAATTAATTAATTAATTAATAAACAATACAAAAAGAAAAAGTAGCCAGGTGAGATGGTGTATGCCTGTAAACCTAGCTTTTTGGGAGGCTGAGGTGGAAGGATTGTTTGAACCTGGGAGGTGGAGGTTGCAGTGAGCTGAGATTGCGCCACTGCACACTCCAGCCTGGGTGACAGAGGGAGACTCAGTCTCAAAAAAAAAAAAAAAAAAAAAGACTGGGCGCGGTGGCTCACGCCTGTAATCCCAGCACTTTGGGAGGCCGAGGCGGGCGGATCACCTGAGATTAGGAGTTTGAAAGCAGTCTAGCCAACATGGTGAAACCTCATCTCTACTAAAATGCAAAGAAAAACTAGCCAGGCGTGGTGGTGGGTGCCTGTAATCTCAGCTACTCAAGCTGAGGCAGGAGAATCGCTTGAACTCAGGAGGTGGAGGCTGCAGCAAGCCGAGATGGCACCACTGCACTCCAGCCTGGGCGACAGATTGAGACTCTTTTTCAAAAAACAAAAACAAAAAAAAAACAAAAAAACCCAGCAGCGTCACCAGGTCCGGTTGGCAGACGTGCTCCGTCACCCCACTGATTAATTCTGGGCGTGGGGCTGCGCCCCTAAGGCGCTTGCAATCCCCCAACCGCTGAGGGCTTTAGAGCCATACTAGGGAGGCAGACAGGTGCGGAGACTTCCGCAAAGCAGGTGCTGAAACCGAGGGTCCCAGGGGTCCTGGGAAAAGAGGCCCGAGCACAAGCTCGAGGGACGAGTACCGGACGCTGACAGGGGAGAGGGGGCATGGGGTGCGGAGGAATGGGCTGGGGCGGGCAGGGGCCGCAGCTCACAAGGAGGCTGCGCTGACCCAGACGGGGCCTCCTGGGCCAGGCCAAGAAGCTGGAAGTGCACCCAACGGCCAGGATGGGGGAGCCAAGGGACACTAGGGCAAAGGACATGGGGGGCTGGGGGTGAGTGGGGAGGCCCTTGTGACTCTCCTCGTTGGCAGGAAGAGAGAAGGGGACTGAGAGGGAAACTAGAAAGAAGCTGAGCATGAGAGGGGTCAGAGATCAACGGCATCACCCACAGCAAGGAAGGGGAGGGGAGTTTTCCTCCCAGACTGGGCAGAGAGACAAATGCTGGGCACCAGGCGAGTGGGGGTGGGTGCTAGCGACCGGCTCCTCGGCAGGTGCTCTGGTGGCTTCACCGGAACTCCCCCGGGACCCGCTGCTCACCTGGAAAGAACACAAACATCTGGTCGGTGGGGTCATCGTTGTGGGCCACCAGCACGGTGAGGTCCGTGCGCCGCGGCCGCCCCTCACTCGGCTTGTCCCCAGATTGGGCTTTGAACTCCTCCAGGGTCTGGTCAAGCTCGTCCTGGGTCACCAGATAGCCACGGTCGTGGCACAGCTGCAGAGAGAAAGAACCAGCTGACCCCAGGGCAGAGAGAGGAAGGCGGCCAAAGCTCGTGACCCGGAAGTCAGACCTGCGGCTGCTGCAGAGGACAGAGGTGAACAGCAAACGGGATGAACACTCACTGTGTGCTCCATGACAGCCACCCCGGCCCCCACAGCCTCACACCACAGGATGGGACCAGTATGATCCTGAGAGGCTCCCAGAGATGTCCAGCCTTGACCAAGACCGTCTGTCCACCCAGCCTCACAGAAACCTGGCAGGGAGCAAAGCCCTCCAAACCACTTTGCAGAGCTACCCTAAAGGCAGGGACAAAGGCGGGGCGCGGAGGCTCACGCCCGTGATCCCAGTACTTAGGGAGGCTGAGGCAGGAGGGTTGCTGGAGGCCAGTTCAAGGATGCAGTGAGCTATGATTGCACCACTGCACTGCAGCCTGGGCGACAGAATGAAACCCTATCTCTTAAAAAAAAAAAATGACAGGGACCGAAACAGATGTGACTTCAGGCTGACAATGTTTGAGGATCGGAGAAAGAAGAATCAGGCTGCGGGGGGCTTCGCTGAGGACAAGGGCAAAGGGTGGGAAGCAAGACAAAGCAAAAGCTCTCAAACGGCCCCAATGGCTGAGGCAATACCCTGAACCGCAGGTCCTCAGGCCTGTGCCCGGCTTCCAAACCGGACTCGACCCAGTGGCCTCCATCTGCCCCAGACCCCAAGGCACGGGTTCCGAGCTCCACGTCCCCATCGAAAGCCCCAGCTCGCCCGCTGCTTCCCAACCACCAACTCTGCCAGCCTCGGATGCTGAAGACTCCATGGGGTTCAGGACGCAAGGACAAATAGCGACGCTGAATCACAGAGAAGGGCAGAGTCTGGGGGCGCCCCCCGTCCCCATTCGCGGCTTCCTCCTCCTCTCGCCGCCACGCGCGCCGCACCAGCCCAAGCCGCCCACCCACCCCTAAGCACCGCACCCAGACGTCTCGAAACCCCCTCCCTTCCCCGCTGCCGGCTCAGGTCGGGTCCAGCGCCTGGTATCCCCGGCGACCTCTGGGCCTCCCGTATCGGCCCGGCCCTTCATCGCTGCTGCTCCGACGAGAGTACGAGGAGACGCCGTGCTCGACCCCACCTCGGGCCCCTACACCCGCCGCCCGCGCCCCCGCCCCCAACACCAGGCGCGGCTCACCTGCATGATGGTCTTGCGGATTTTCCAGAGCCGGTACGTCTCCTCCTCGTCGTCCATGGCAGCCTCCGCCGCCGCCGCCGCTCGCACCCCTTCTCCGCGCGAGAACCCGCGCGGACTGCGCCTGCGCCGAATCCGAATCAGGCCCCCTCCGCCTAACCCCGCCCCGCGCTGGTCTGTCGTCGGCGAATGCCTGAATGCAGCAACGTCTCGGATCGGCAGCGCCAAGGGCAGCCCGAGCCTTACGAGAGCGGCAGTTGGCTGAGCGAGTCTCTCGCCTCCGTAGTTCTCGTGTGTCTTTGGCCGCACAGCCTCTCGGGAGTTGTAGTTTCCGTTCAACTCCCACCTTGGAGCAACAGTTTAGAATCCCACGAGGCGGGGGCGAAGTGTGAGCGGGGAAACTGAGGCCTGGATGGGGTCAAGGGGCAGCTCGGCTCCTAGGGATGGTCTGGGAGCCTAGTGGGAACTCTATAAATATTTGTGCATCAAACTGTACAGGGTTTCCTCCATTGGCTCCTGGCCAGGTCAGGGTTAATTCCCTTGGGCCTCAGTTTCCCTACCTGTGCAATGGCAATAAAGTGTCCCTACTTTAGACGGTTAACTGAGAGTCTTAGGCATCTCTCTAGGTGCTTATTAAGTCCCCTCACCTCTGTCCTCTCCCCTGAGCGCCACCAGCCTAGCCTGGGTATCTCCCCAGCCTAGCCTGGGTATCTCCCCACCCCAGACTCTTCCTGTCTTTGCAAACCTCCTCACTTCCCCAGGTTCACGGAGAACCCCAGCCCAACACTTCCTGTGTGCAGGCTATCAGTAACTTATTCAGTGATGCATTCGTTAATTCAACATTTACTCAGCAACCTACAGTGATGGTGAATAAAACAGGCCAAGTATCCCTTGCATTCAGATAAAGACAGGATTTAGTAAAATATAATAAATAACGTGGCCGGGCGCGGTGGCTCATGCCTATAATCCCAGCACTTTGGGAGGCTGAGGCGGGCAGAGCATGAGATCAGGAGTTCAAGACCATCCTGGCTAACACGGTGAAACCCCGTCTCTACTAAAAATACAAAAAATTAGCTGGGCCAGGTGGCAGGTGCCTGTAGTCTCAGCTACTTAGGAGGCTAAGGCAGGAGAATCTCGTGAACCTGTAAGGTGGAGGTTTCAGTGAGCCAAGATCGTGCCACTGCACTCCAGCCTGGACAACAGAGCAAGACTCTGTCTCAAAAATAAAATGAAATGAAATAAAATAAAATAAATAACAACGTTAGAAAGTGACAAAGCTACGGAAGAAGAAAGAGCAGGGAGGCTAAGTGACATGGGGAGAATGGGAGAACTGCAGTATCACATGGGGAGGTCAGGGAATACAGTGAGGATAGATTCAAGCAAAAATCCCATTAGCAGTGGTGGCTCATCACTGTAATCCCAGCACTTTGGGTGGCCGAGGCAGGCAGAGCATGAGATCAGGAGTTCCAGACCAGCTTGGCCAACATGGTGAAACCCTGTCTCTACTAAAAATACAAAAATTAGCCAGGTTTGGTGGTGGGTGCCTGTACTCCCAGTTACTCGGGAGGCTGAGGCAGGAGAATCACTTGAACCCGGGAGGCGGAGGTTGCAGTGAGCCGAGATCGCACCACTGCACTCCAGCCTGGGTGACAGAGCAAGACTCCATCGAGAAAAAAAAAAAAAAATCCCATTGGGCGCGATAGCTCACACCTGTAATCCCAGCACTTTGGGAAGCTGAGAGGGGAGGATCCCTTTGTTGTAGTTTTGTAATTTTTAGTTGTAAGTCACGGACTTTTTTACACTGATATTTGAGATTCTTTTTGGGGGGCTGTCAGGGGCTACTTTTTTTTTTTTTCCTGACACGGAATCTCGCTCTGTCCCCCAGGCTGGAGTGCAGTGGCAGGATCTCGGCTCACTGCAAGCTCCACCTCCCGGGTTCACGCCATTCTTCTGCCTCAGCCTCCCGAGTAGCTGGGACTACAGGCACCTGCCACCACGCCCGGCTAATTTTTTGTATTTTTAGTAGAGACGGGGTTTCACCGTGTTAGCCAGGATGGTCTCCATCTCCTGCCCTCATGATCCGCCCGCCTCGGCCTCCCAAAGTGCTGGGATTACAGGTGTGAGCCACCCCGCCCGGTCTGTGCAGGCTTTCTTATCTAACTACCTAACTTTTCTTTCTCACCTTGAGGCCAGGAGTTTGAGACAAGCCTAGGCAACATAGGAAGACCCCATTTCTTTTTTGTTGTTGTTGTTGTTTTTTGAGACCGAGTCTCGCTCTGTTGCCCAGGCTGGAGTACAGTGGCATAATCTCAGCTCACTGCAGCCTCCGCCTCCTGGGTTTAAAGGATTCTCCTGCCTTGGCCTCCCGAGTAGCTGGGATTACAGGCGTGAGCCACCACACCTGGCTAATTTTTTTGTATTTTTGGTAGAGATGGGGTTTCACCATGTTAGCCAGGCTGGTCTTGAACTTCTGACCTCAGATCATCTGCTTGCCTCGGCCTTCCGAAGTGCTGAGATTACAGGCGTGAGCCACCGCACCCGGCCAGGAAGACCCCATTTCTACAAAAAAATTTAAAAATTAGCTGGGCGTGGTGGGCGCACCTGTAGTCCCAGTTACTCGGGAGGCTGAGGTGGGAAGATCTAGGATCGCCTGAGCCCAGCGGTTGAGGCTGCAGTGAGCTGTGATTGCGCCACTGCACTCTAGCCTGGGCGACAGAGCAAGACACTGTCTCCAAACAAACAGAAAACAAACAAAAACCAGAAGAGGAGAGGGAGGAAACCTGGGGTTGCCTGGGGATAGCTGTATCAGGCAGACAGCACAGCCAGGATAGAGGCTCTGGGGCTGTGCCTCACCTGGAGTGTTCCTGGCAGGGAAGGGGCAGGAGGGGGTCAGAGGGCAAGGTGGGGCAGGTCCCATGAAGCCTTGCTGGTCAGGGTAAAATGTCTGGAGCTGCTGTGTTGGGAAATGACTGTTGGGAGCCAGGGCAGAAGCAAGAGACCAGGGAGGGAGTGGGAAGGCAAACTTGCCACAGGTTGGGGTGGCTCCAACTACGGTAGGGGCAAGCACAGAGCGGGGAGGGTGCCACAGGGCGAGAAAAAGAGGGAGAAAGGGAACAAAGCTGTCCCTGTGAGCAGTGAAAAGAGGGGTGGGAGGGTGGAGGCGTGTAGGTCGAGGTGAGCTCTGGAGTTCAGGGCAAGGTCTGGGGGATGGACGTGCAGGCAGGGTGGCCACGTGGTGAAGATTAGAGCCGGGAGCCTGGACCAGGTCCTGGGAGCAGAGCAGAGTCCAGGAGAGTAAGTCCAGCCCTGCTGGTGTTCAGAAGCCCGGAGAAGGAGGGGAGGCAGCAGCAGGAGGGGAGGGAGGCTCAGCACAGACACTGGAGCAGCCCCTGAGCTGCAGACCTGGCTGTGTGATCTCAGGCAGGTTACTCAACCTCTCTGTGCGTCCCCTCTCCCCTCCCTTGTAAAACAGGGACAAGAACAGCACCCACTTCGTAGGGTAATTGGCTAATAATTGCAATGTACACAGAGTGGCGCCTGACACCAGCACTGCATAAGTGTTCCCTAAATAGGATAAAGGGCAGGAGGTTGCCAGGTCTCCTGGAAACCTGGTGAGGAAGGTGTCTAGGGGCAGAGGGAAGGGAGTGGCTATGTGATGCCACCGCCAAGTCAGCCTGAGGACTGAGCAGGGATTCGCCTAGCAGACATTGCTTGTGACTCAGGGAAGGGGGCCAGTGCCTGGCAGGACGGATTTGAGGGAGGAGAGGAATTGGAGATGTGGGGCAGATACATGGGGCGGGGAGGGTCAGGAGACGGACAGGCCTCAGGAGTGGATTTTATGACACAAGAAAGGGCATCTGGAGTAAAGACCAAGCAGTGACCTGCAAATCTGGGGGCAGGGGTGGACTGAGAGGCTGAGCCCAAGCCAGGGGCGGCCTGGATGATAACAGCAAAGCCAGAGGCCCGGAAGTCAGGCCATGATCCACACACAGGGCAGGTGAAAATGTAAGATGGTGCAGCCGCTATAGAAAGCAGTCTGGTCGGCCAGGCGCAGTGGCTCACGCCTGTAATCCAAGCGCTCTGGGAGGCTGAGGCAGGCGGATCAACTGAGGTCAGGGGTTCGAGACCAGCCTGGCCAACATAGTGAAACCCCGTCTCTACTGAAAATACCAAAATTAGCCGAGCATGGTGGTGCAGGCCTGTAATCCCAGCTACTTGGGAGGCCGAGGGAGGAGAATCGCTTGAACCTGGGAGGTGGAGGTTGCAGTGAGCCGAGATCGTGCCACTGCACTCCAGCTTGGGCAAAAAGAGTGAAACTCCATCTCAAAAAAAAAAAAACAACAAACAGTCTGGTGGATCCTCAAACTGTTACACAAAGAGTCACCATATGACTCAGCAATTCCACTCCTAGGCATACACCCAAGAGAAATGAAAACATACGCCCACACAAACACTTGTACGGCTTTACAAACTCAAAAAGAGAAAACAGCCCATAGCCGGGCATGGTGGCGCATGCCTGTAATCTCAGCTATTCAGGAGGCTGAGAAAGGAGAATTGCTTGAACCTGGGAGGCGGAGGTTGCAGTGACCTGAGATTGCGCCACTGCACTCCAGCCTGGGTAACAGAGTGAGACTCTGTCTCAAAAAAAAAAACCCCAGATGTCCATCCACAGATGAATAAATAAACACAATGTGATCCCTCCACACACTGGAATATTTCTGAGCCATGAAAAGGAATGATGAGGCTCTGACACAGGCCACAATGTGGATGTAGCCTGAGGACCTCATGCTCAGTGAGAGAAGCCAGGCACAAAAGAACACGCAGTGTGTGATCCCATTTCCATGAAATGTCCAGGACAGGCCAATCCACAGAGACAGGAGGGGATGTGTGTGTGCCAGGTCCTAGGGGAGGAGATGGAGAGTGAAGGCTGATGGGGTCTGGGCTTCCTTTGGGGACAATGAAAATACTCTGTGCTGGGTGCGGTGGCTCACGCCTGTAATCCCAGCACTTTGGGAGGCCTAGGCAGGCGGATCACCTGAGGTCGGGAGTTTGAGACCAGCCTGACCAACATGGAGAAACCCTGTCTCTACTAAAAATACAAAACTAACTGGGTGTGGTGGCGCACGCCTGTAATCCCAGCTACTTGGGAGGCTGAGGCAGGAGAATCGCTTGAACCTGGGAGGTGGCAGTGCAGTGAGCTGAGATCGTGCCACTGCACTCCAGCCTGGGCAACAAGAGCGAAATTCTGTCTCAAGAGAAAAAAAAAATTCTGGAACTAGATAGATAGAGGTGATGGTCTCATAACATTGTACACGTCCTAAAAACACTGAATTGTACACTTTGAAGTGTTAAAATGTTGAATTTCATATGTATTTTGTTTGAATTTCAAAAACTTTTTTTTTTTTTGAGACAGAGTCTTGCTGTATCCCCCCAGGCTGGAGTGCAGTGACACGAACTCGGCTCACTGCAACCTCCACCTCCAGGGTTCAAGCAATTCTCCTGCCTCAGCCTCCTGAGTAGCTGGGATTACAGGAGCACGGCACCACTCCCAGCTAATTTTTGTATTTTTAGTGGAGATGGGGTTTCCCCATGTTGGTCAGGCTGGTCTTGAACTCCTGACCTCGTGATCCACCCGCCTTGGCCTCCCAAAGTGCTGGGATTACAGGCGTGAGCCATTATGCCTGGCCCTAATTTTTGTACTTTTAGTAGAGACAGTTTCCCTATGTTGGCCAGGCTGGCCTCAAACTCCTAACCTCAGGTGATCCGCCTGCTTCGGCCTCCCAAAGTGCTGGGATTACAGATGTGAGCCACCGCACCCAGCCAAAAAGTTTTTTTTGAGACGGAGAGTCTCGCTCTCTTGCCCAGGCTGGAGTGCGGTGGTGCGATCTCGGCTCACTGCAAGCTCCGCCTACCGGGTTCACACCATTCTCCTGCCTCAGCCTCCCGAGTAGTAGCTGGGACTACAGGAGCCCTCGACCACACCTGGCTAATTTTTTGTAATTTTAGTAGAGACGGGGTTTCACCGTGTTAGCCAGGATGGTCTCGATCTCCTGACCTCGTGATCTGCCCGTCTCAGCCTCCCAAAGTGCTGGGATTACAGGTGTGAGCCACCATGCCTGGCCAAAAAGATCTTAAAAAAGAAATGAAGCCACAGGACAGCCCCTCCCCAGTCCTTCCTGGAGCCAGGGGCTGCTCTAGAAAGATATGTGGCAACACAGCTTCCTGCAGGGACACTCAAGAACTTCCGCCCTCACAGGGCTGGAGCCTTGAGAGGTCCCCGAGACTCCATTTCCCCGTTCGTGAAATGGGGACACTCTGGGAAAAGCTGTGAAGCCCCCAGCACAAATCTCTCCCAGAGCCTGGGGCCCCGTTCTCAGATCCGAGGTCGCGACCCCGTGTTTTCCCCACTTCTGACTTTATCACAATTGGCAGGAAGTCAGGAATGGGATCAAGTCTCTCCGCGGAGCTGTGGGTGCTGAGCTGTTTTTCTGGCAACCCTGAAATAAACTCCCATTTCAGTGCACATGTTTGCAACAAACTTAAGGAAAACAACACCGGCAAAATTGCGAACAGCTGAGCCTTCGCAAGGGCAAGAACAGAGTCACCAGTGTGGCCCTGTCACCCGGCACTGCCAGGGCGGGAGGAAATGGGGGGGTTTCCTGAGAAGTCAGACAATGGGAGTTGACTCCAAGAACTCAGCCTCTAGGGGCTGGGCGGGAGCAAAGCCATGTGAACAGACTTATGCAAGACCAGGATTCGGCCAGCCCTGCTCAGGGATCCTTGCTTCACTGCCTCTGCCACCAAACCATCCATGACGCCTCTGTGCTGCATCTGGCAGGCCTGAGTCGGGGGCAGTGGCGGGGGCAGGCTCATAGCACCCCCCAAGTCAACCCGGCCCTGAGTCTGTCTCTGAAGAAATACTCAGTGCAGGGTCAGAAAAGGTTAAGACCTTGAGGACAACATACAAATCCCAAGCACCTAGGCGGGGTAGAGTGGCTCACACCTGTAATCCCAGCACTTTGGGAGGCCGAGGCAGGCGGATCACCTGAGGTCGGGAGTTCGAGACCAGCCTGACCAACATGGTGAAAGCCCGTATCTACTAAAAACACAAAAATTAGCTGGGCGTGGTAGCACATGCCTGTAATCCCAGCTACTCAGGAGACTGAGGCAGGAGAATCACTTGAACCCGGAAAGCGGAGGTTGCAGTGAGCTGCGATGGAGCCACTGCACTCCAGCCTGGGTGACAGACCAAGACTCCTCAAAAAAAAAAAAAAAAATCCAAACCCCTGCCTGTACAGGGGTCAAAGTCCAATCACGGTGACTCAGTTCCCAAGTATGAGATGAGTGTTTCTGTTGCCACATGTCCAAGCCACGAAGTGAAAAACAGAGTTGGAAGCCAAGATGTGGGGCAGTATGGGCTCGGGTGTGCCCATACCTTGTAATGTTAGAAGTGTAAGAAAACCCTCCAGACTTGTGTTTATTTTCTGAGCACATACCGCGCGTCCCTGCGTGGGCAGCTGCCCCTGGGGGTGGGAGCCCAGGAAACTCCAGGTTCTCAGTTAAGTGGTAACTGTCTTGATGACTCTCAGGTCTCAGTGCCCACATTATACAAGCGGCTCAGCAACCAGACCCAGGATGGGGAGTCACTGACCCCCTGCGCCCATGGCAGGGGTGAGGGTAGGGACACCCCCATAAGATGGAGCTGTGATGAGAAGCAAACCCAACTCAGTTTGGTTTCATTTACATTAAAAAGGCAAATCCCTTGGCCGGATGCGGTGGCTCACACCTGTAATCCCAGCACTCTGGGAGGCCTAGGCGGGCAGATCACCTGAGGTCAGGAGTTCGAGATCAGCCTGGCCAACATGGTGAAACCCCGTCTCTACTAAAAATACAAAAAAATTAGCTGGGTGTGGTGGCTCGCTCGTGTAATCCCAGCTACTCAGGAGGCTGAGTCAGGAGAATCGCTTGAACCCGGGGGCTGGGTGGAGGTTGCAGTGAGCTGAGATAGCGCCACTGCACTCCAGCCTGGGCAAAAGAGCAAAAAAACTGTGTCTCGGAAAAAAAAAAAAAAAAAAGGCAAATCCCGGCCGAGCCTTTGGCTCACGCATGTGATCCCAGCACTTTTGGGAAGCTGAGGCTGGAGGATCACTTGAGGTCAGAAGTTTGAGACCAGCCTAGGCAACATAGCGAGACCCCCATGTCTACAAAACAATAATTAGCCAGGAATGGTGGATGAGCCTGTTGTCCCAGCTACTCGGGAAGCAGAGACGGGAGGTTCGCTTGAGCCTGGGAGGTCGAGGCTGCAGTGTGCCCTGATCGTGCCACTGCACGTTAGCCTGGGCAACACAGCAAGACCCCGTGTCTTAAAAAAAAAAAGGTAAATAAGAGTTGGGGACACTTTTCTGCGAGTTGGAGAAACCAAACCCCCTCGACGAGTCTTAAGTAGTATTCTCAGGTTGTCTGGCCTGCGGCCGCGCTGCTGTCAACCAGCCGGATAACTGCGCTGCCTCCCGACGCGCCGCCAGCCAGGCCACGGCCTCCTAGACACAAGCGAGCATGCGCAGTCGCCAACAACAAGTCCGCACGTCCGGTCCCGCCCCCCCTTCCCCGCCTTCTTCCCACTCCGGCCTCCCATTGGCTGACGTCGGCGCGAGCGCTCAACACCGACGCGTCTGACCAATGAGCGCTCTGGAGGGCGTGGCCGTGGGAAAGGAGGCGCGGAAAGCCGACGCGCGTCCATTGGTCGGCTGGACGAGGGGAGGAGCCGCTGGCTCCCAGCCCCGCCGCGATGAGCCTCGGCCGCCTTTGCCGCCTACTGAAGCCGGCGCTGCTCTGTGGGGCTCTGGCCGCGCCTGGCCTGGCCGGGACCATGGTGAGCTAGCGCCGCGGCCGTTGCCGGCCCGGTGACCGTTGGGGCGGGCGCGCGATCCCTGCCTCCGCTCGCCGGCGTGGGGAACCCTCAGGCTCCAGTGACCTTGGTGGGGGGCGTCTGGGGGCTCCCCCTCCCCACCCCCGGCCGGGCACGGACGCGGGTGACCGTACTGCGACGCGCTCCGCGGCCCTCCAGGCCGTTGTAGGCGCGCGGGCTGGGGTCGGGGAAGGGGAAGGGGTTGTTCCACGCGCGCGGGTCGTGGTCGGGGAAGGGGCCGTCCAGGCCGTTGCAGGCGCGCGTGCCGGGGCCGGGGTCGGGGGTCCAGGCTTGCAGGGGGCGGGGTCCGGGACGGCTGGGGCGGAGCTGGACCGTTGAGGGCCACGGCGGGGCGTCTCCGGGCCGAGCGGGGCTGCTGCGCCCGAGCGGTTGGGGGCGCGGAGGGCTGGAAATCCCGGATCACGCGCCCCCGGGCGCCGCCCCGCCCCCGCACCTTGGCCTAGCGCGGTGGCGTCACAGTCGCGCAGTCCTGACTACGGCCTCCGGGCCCTTTGTCCCCGCTAGCGGCGCTCGGGGTGGGGGAGCCAGGAGGGGCGGGAGACGGGCGGGTATGGGCCGCGCGGGCGCAGGCTCCCCCGGGCGCCGCAGGCAGCGGTGCCAGAGCCGGGGCAGGCGGCGGCCGCGAGCCCCTCGGCGGCGGAAGGCCCCAGCGTGCAGGCGCAGGAGGGCGCGGCGCCGGCGGAAGAAGCCCTGTCCCCGCAGCTTGCGACCGGAGATCCACGAATGTCCCAAGTCCCAGGACCCGGTGCGCGCGGGGCCCCCACACCGGCTAATGTGGCACATTTTGGGGTTGGAACCCTCTCCCGGCCTCCGGGTCTCCGGTAAAACCGGACCAGAAGTACAAGGGGGCGTGTGCGTTTAAGGAGGAGGAGCGTTCAGGTCTTCAGGGCCGCAGGGCCTCGGTGTCCCCGCCACCGACCCGCTCCCGATCCCTTCCTGCCTCAGGGTCCCGGGCTCAGCCTCCCGTCCACGCTCCCTGCTCAGCTTCCTTTGCCTTGCAGTGCGCGTCCCGGGACGACTGGCGCTGTGCGCGCTCCATGCACGAGTTTTCCGCCAAGGACATCGACGGGCACATGGTTAACCTGGACAAGTACCGGTGGGCGCTCGCCTGGGGTGGGGCGCGGGGTCGGGCCCTGGGAGGGGGCCGTGTTCTTCTGCGCTGACGCCGCCGATCCTCGCAGGGGCTTCGTGTGCATCGTCACCAACGTGGCCTCCCAGTGAGGCAAGACCGAAGTAAACTACACTCAGCTCGTCGACCTGCACGCCCGATACGCTGAGTGTGGTTTGCGGATCCTGGCCTTCCCGTGTAACCAGTTCGGGAAGCAGGTGGGCTGCTGCGTCCCCGGGGCCCGCAGAGGCGGGTGGGTGGGGGTCGGGGTGGGCTCCAGCCTGGAGAGGGCCTGGGAGTGTGCAGGGGGCCCGGACTGAGGGGGTGCCAGCCCCCGACTCACTCACACACCTTGGCCGCCACAGGAGCCAGGGAGTAACGAAGAGATCAAAGAGTTCGCCGCGGGCTACAACGTCAAATTCGATATGTTCAGCAAGATCTGCGTGAACGGGGACGACGCCCACCCGCTGTGGAAGTGGATGAAGATCCAACCCAAGGGCAAGGGCATCCTGGGAAAGTGCGTGACCTCTGGGGACAGTACGGCTGCTGGGGTGGGGGTGGGGGGGCTGCTGGGATGCTCACACCTCCCTGGGGCAGAATGGCTCATGGCTCGGGGGGCGGTTGCGGGGAGGTGCTGGGACTCTCACATCGCGTGGCCTCCTGGGGGTAAGATGGCTCAGGGGGACATAGAGGGCTGTGGAGGCAGCCAGGGATGCCCACACCTTTGTGGCCTCCTGGGGACAGGATGGCTCGGGGGCCTGTGGGGGGCTGTTGGGACTCTCACACTGCATGGCCTCCTGGGGTAAGATGGCTCTGGGGGGGCTTGGGGGCACTGTGGCTGTGGAGGCAGCCGGGGAAGCTCACACCCTTGTGGCCTCCTGGAGACAGGACAGCTTGGGGACTGTGGGGGGCTGCTGGGGACGCTCACGTCCATGTGCTTCTTTTCCAGTGCCATCAAGTGGAACTTCACCAAGGTAAGGGGGCTGTGGGGGGTAGGGGACCAGCTTCCCCTGGCCACAGCCGTGGCCCAGATGGGCAGCGGACAGGAAGGGCAGCCTCAGCCCCTTGCAGGGGTGGCCCCACAGTTTGGACACCGTCTCTCCACAGTTCCTCATCGACAAGAACGGCTGCGTGGTGAAGCGCTACGGACCCATGGAGGAGCCCCTGGTAGGTCCTCTCTAGGGAGCCCGCTTGAGGCTCGGGGGCTTGGGAGGTAGCTGCCCTAACCCAGCTTTCCTCCCCGACAGGTGATAGAGAAGGACCTGCCCCACTATTTCTAGCTCCACAAGTGTGTGGCCCCGCCCGAGCCCCTGCCCACGCCCTTGGAGCCTTCCACCGGCACTCATGACGGCCTGCCTGCAAACCTGCTGGTGGGGCAGACCCGAAAATCCAGCGTGCACCCCGCCGGAGGAAGGTCCCATGGCCTGCTGGGCTTGGCTCGGCGCCCCCACCCCTGGCTACCTTGTGGGAATAAACAGACAAATTAGCCTGCTGGATCTTTCTGCGTAGGGGCTTGGGGGGCCCTTTTGCCAGGGGCCCCTCCATGTCAGGGCCAGTTGCCGTCAGCTGCCAGGCTGGGGGTGCCATGGAGGTGGCGTGTTGTTGCCCCCTCTTCCTCCAGGCTCGGGGGGCTGTGCTGGCTGCAGTGCTGGGGTGCAGTGAGATCTGGGCCCGTTGGACACCCAGCCCTGGCTCTTAATCCGTGCAGCCCCACCTGCTGTGCACAGGCAGGGCCTGGTGTAGTGCCGAGTCTTGGAGGAGATAATTCTAAGTGGCTGTGCTTCCTGGCCCCGGGCCTTAACTGTTAGGAGGTGGCTACTGGGGCCTCCCCTGGCCAGGAAGCAGAAGTGCAGAGGCCCGAGGAACAGCGTGGCCCTGGTGCTGGGGATGGGTTGGGCACCCACACCGGCCCTTGGGGCCTCACCTGGCTGGGGGGTGTGGGGGTGGCTGGGTGGTTACTGTTTGCACAGAGTCCCTCCGTGAGGGCTGGGGATGGACAGGCCAGGAGGGGCTGGTAGAGCAGTACCAGCCACCGTTCATGGGACCCGGGGGCTGTCTGGACACGGCCTGGCTGCCCACCTGCACAGCTAGAGGGACTGCAGCCTGCCAGGGTGGCTGATCCCAGCTGCCCCCACTGGGGGTCTGTGGAATGGACGGTCCATGGCACCTGCCCCAGACACTGGGTTGAGAGGTCTGTCTCTCCCAGCCCTCGTCCCCTCTCATCCACATGGGGCCAGCACAGGCAGTGGGCAGAAAGGCCTGGTAACCAGGAGAGCCTGGGGGGATGCCCACACACCCCTGCCCTTCCCTCCCTGTCCCACAGGCTGAGGAGCAGACTCCGTGGGAAGTAGGCAAAAGGCACATATATTTAAAAAAGTCCTTTACATATGTACATCAGAACTTGCTATAAATACATAGAAACCGCAGGCGCCACCCTGCCAGCTCCGCGGCCTGGGGCCTGGGAGAGGTGAGCGGGCAATAACTTAGGGGTCAGGGAAGGGCTGGGGGAGGGAGAATTGCATATATTAGCAGGGGTCTGCCCCACGGAGCCCCCGAGACGCGGGGCCCTGAGCACCTGGGGTTTCCTGAGTTTCTAGCTCTTGGGACCACCCGGTTTCACGGATTTCAAGGGTTTGGGCCCACTGAGCCCTTGTGGGTGCCCAGTCCCAGAGCAGCCACCCGGAGCCCCTTCCTACTTGGGAGGAGAGGCACAGAGAGGGCCCTGCCACGCCCCGGCCCCCAGCTGTCCTGAGTGGGCCCCGCCAGGGCTGACCAGGTGGGGGCCCGGGTCGGGCGCTGAAGGCACTGCGGCCAGGGCCTAGGGCTCCTCTGAGCAGTGGTCAGGGGACCTTGGCCCTGCTCCCCACCGCTGCTCCTAGGGGAGAAACGGTCCCTGTGTCTTGGGGCATGTTTCGCCTAAAGGCGTGTCAGAGAGGAGCCTGGGCGCCGGGGAAGGGTGGGCTGAACTGGATCACGCTCTGCCGCTCGGGACCACCGCCCGCCGCGCCCCCCGCCCCCGCGCCCTCCCCCAGCGCGCCCTCGGAGGGCGGCCCCGCGTGCAGCGAGCGCAGCATGTCCTCCAGCACCTCCTTGAAGTTGATGTCGCAGCCCTGGTGCGCGAGGGCCGCAGGGTCGGCCTGGGCGTCGGGGGTGCCCAGCGGCACGACGCCGGGGCCGGCGTCCAGGGACAGCGGCGCCGGGAAAGAGAAGTGCGGGGGCGGCGGGAAGGCCTCGGCCGGGGGGCTGTAGGTGAGGTCCAGCACCTCTCCGGGGCCGCAAGGCAGCGCCAGCGGGCGCGGGGCGGGCGGGGCGGGGCAGCCCAGGGCGGGCGCCTGCCTGCGCTTCACGTCCGCATCCATCAGCCGCAGCTCCTGCAGCACCCGGCGCACGCAGCCCTCGGGGATCTTGATGCCTGCGGGCAGAGCGTCGGGGTCAGGGCCGGCGCTGGGGGCTCGGGCCTTCCCGGGGCGCCCGCCGCCCACTCACCCACTTGCTTCTTCCTGTCCTTGGTCTTCAGCCGCACGATCTGCAGGTAGCTGCTGCTGCTGACGTCGGCCATGACGGCGGCGATGCGGCCCCACACGCGCAGCAGCGCGCCGCACAGCATGTAGTGGTGCCGCAGCCGCAGCCCCTGCAGGCAGTCCTTACCCTCCTGCGCCAGCCGGCAGTGCCGGTTCCTGCGGACGAGACGGGTCGTCTCGGCTCAGGCGGGTCCCAGGGGCCCGCAGGCTCCCCAGGTGCCCTGAGATCTCCCGCCTCCTCTCAGGGTCTCGGGAGCCCCCGATCCCCGCCTGGGTCGCCGCCATCTGCCGGTTTCCCCCTGGTCCCCGGCCCGCCCTCACCAGGCGCTGTGGCTGCAGTGCGTCAGCGACAAAGCGTAGCCACTCTCCCAGGGCTCCTTGGCCTCCTCCGCGGTGACCTAGGGACACAGGGCCGCATGAGCCTGGGCGGGGTCAGGGCCGGCAACCCGAGCGAAAGCTGCGCCCGGCGGCCGCCTACCCGGTGGAACTTGCGGCGGAGGCTGTCCAGGGCCTCCAGCTGGCTCTGCCGGCCGATGTTGGGCTTGTACACCGTGAAGAACTGGCCGCGGTTCTGCTCCGCCAGCAGGCAGCTGGGCTTGTTACCGCGGACCTGCGGAGGGGGGCGTTGAGGCCGCGCCCCGGTCCGCCCCCCGCGGGCCCTCCTCTGGGGGGGTAACCCCGCCCGACCCCACCTTGTAGGAGAGGTAGAAGCCGTCATAGGGGCCCGTCAGCGCCAGCGACTTGGCAAAGGCGTCCTCCCACTTCAGGCCGCGGTCCACGCTGATCTGCCACGGCACGGGGTGGGGGGGTGTGAGTGTGGTGGGGGCGGGGTGGGCAGAGTGTGAGGGGCTGTGGGGCTTCCTGCTGACCTTGTAGAAGACCACCTGCCCGTCCTGCGGGTGCCCGGGAGCCAGGAACACCTGCTGGCTCTCCTCGTAGATCTCCTCGATACCGGGAGCAAGGTCTAGGGGGGCGGGTGGAGGGTAAGTGGTGTCCAGGCCTGGGACTGTGGGCTGGGGCCAGGGTCAGTCCCGTAGCCGGGGCGCACCCTAGAGACGACCCCCCGAGAGCACAGGAGAGGGTGTCCTGGATCCTGGCCTGACCTGGCCCAGCGTGGGGATGGTGCACGTGGGCCCCAACCTGGCAACCGCTCAGGTCCTAGGTAACCCCGAGCAGGCTGTGGGGGATCGTGGGAGCCTGGGGGCCGCTCAGGTCCTATGTAACCCCGAGCAGGCTGTGGGGGATCGTGGGAGCCTGGGGGCCGCTCAGATCCTAGGTAACCCCAAGCAGGCTGTGAGGAGATTGTAGGAGCCTGGGGGCTGCTCAGGTGCTGGGTGACCCCAAGCAGGCTGTGGGGGATCGTGGGAGCCTGGTTGGCTGCGGCACTGCTCATGAGTGAAGTAGCCATGGCCCGGACCCGACCCTCATCTGGACACAGGGAAGTGGTCCTGATGGACAGGCCTGGCCCCATGAGGCTGGAAGCACAGGCTCGCCGGCCTTTCGTTCACAACAATGTAGCAGGTGCCCCGTGAAGCCTGGGGATGAGCATGGTGGGCAGCGTGCACCAGCCTGGGCACCTTCCAGAGACGTGCACGGTGATCCCACGAGCCCTGTGCCTGCATCCGCCCAGTCTCACCCAGTACCCTCGCTCACCCAGGATGCATGGCGCTTCCACGAGCCCCTTGCCCACCTAGGCCCTCGCCGTGCTCACCCACAATGCACGGTGTTCCCACGAGCCCCGAGCCCACCTGGGATGCCCGGCGTTCCCACGAGCCCCTCGCCCACCCGGGATGCACGGTGTTCCCACGAGCCCCTCGCCCACCCGGGATGCCCGGTGTTCCCACGAGCCCCGAGCCCACCCAGGATGCATGGCGTTCCCACGAGCCCCGCACCCACACCCACCCACACCACACCCCGGCACCTGTGCTCACCCAGGATGCCCATGTCGTATTTGCCCTCCCGCTTGTCCATCTCGATGAGGTGGTCGAAGGTGTCTGAGAAGTACTGGAACAGGGCGTTCTGCTTGTGCACCTCCAGCCCCAGGATGCGGTTCAGGAACTTGGTGATGGAACAGTCTGGTAGGGGAGGGAGCCAAGCCTCAGGCTGCGCTGGGAATCCCTCTCCCTGCTTTGCTCACCACCCGAGGCCAAGGTTGCATGAGATGAGAGACAGGAGCGCCTCTGGGCCTGGGTGTGGGGCACTCACCCTTCTCCACGTCCAGGCAGCCATTCCGGGACTCCCGGCCACCAATGCCCACAGACAGCAGGCCCTGCTTCATGTCTGCGGGGAGAGGGGCCTCACATGCTGGTCTTCCCACCCCTGCCCCTCCCTCGAAGCCCCTAGCTCCTTTTCCAGAGACCAGCAGCTCCCTGGGGGGCTGGGGAGCAGCTGCAGCCTAGGGCCAGGGCCAGGGCCAGGAGCGGAGCCTTTTGCCTGACTTACAGGAGTGAGAACAGCATGTTCTTGGGGAGTAAACCCAAACCCCAGGCCCCTCAGCTGCCCTGGAAACCCACCCGGCAGCTGCTGGGGGCCGCCTTGGCTCCCTTTGCCTTCACAGCCCTCTCTGTCCGTGTGTGGGGAGGGGTCACTCAACACACAACCGGCCTACAAAGCCTGCTGCCCCAGCTGCTCTGGAGCCCAGTGCTCTGCAACCCCTGCCCCTCCCAGGAAGACCCCCACCAGCCCAGCTTACCCCGGAAGAAGGTGGGGACCCCTCCAGGGTATCCCTGGGGCACAGGCACTTTGTTCTCAGTCTGGCTCAGGATGGTGGTGAGGACACAGTGCAGGGCCCGGGTGCCATACTAGGGGGAGAAGGTGACTCGGGGAGGAGGCCCAGGGAGGAGGCTGGCTTTCCCTGGACCCCTGCCTCCCCAGAACCCCACCCTCCCCTAGGCCCCTGGACCCTGCCCTCCCCTAGACTCCTAGACCCCACCTCCCCCAGCTCTCAGCCACCTCCTCCCCGGGGGTCCTAGACTGGGTCCTCCCCCAGACCCCTGGATGCCACCTCCCTGAGCCCCTAGAAGCCCCCTTCCCCCCTGGGGGTCCTAGACCCGGCCCTCCTCCAGACCACTGAGCCCCACGTTCTCCAGCCCCCATCTACCCCCTCCCCCAGGCTCTTAGATCCGGCCCTCCCTAGACCCCTGCCCCTGCCCCGCCCCCCAACCCTGCCTTCCCTGCAGTACCTTGTTCTCAAAGTTGTACTTGCTGAGGTCACGGGACTCCGTGGCGCGGCGGTCTCCGTGGGTCAGGGCCCCCTGCCAGGGGTGGGGAGGCCATCAGTTGGTCACCTGGGGTCTGGCCTCTAGCACCCCACAAAGCTTTGGAGAGCCTTCCTGGGCCTGTCCCTGGTTCTCAGCCCCACCCCCACCTGCTCACCAGACTCTCCAGGCGCTTGGCCACGATGGAGGCGAACCGGCGCTCCCCGGCCAGCTCCGAGATGAGGAAGACATACTCTGGCGCGGAGACCTGGTTGGACCGGTGGGTGCGGCCTGGGGGCAGAGCTGCTCTCAGGGCCCGGCCAGGCGGGGGCGGGGCCGAGACCATGTTGGGGGCGGGGCCAGGCAGCGCTGGGGGCGGGGCCGGACTCACCGAACTGCTGGATGGCGCGGTCGGCGCTCCACGGCAGCTCCAAGGTCATGTGCACGCGGCGCCGCTGGTTCTGGACACGGCGGTCGGCTTGGAGGGAGACACCCGAGCTGGAGGCCTCCGAGATGATGGCCACGAGCTAGGGGGAAAGAAGGGGCCGGGACACGGTTGGTGCAAGGCCCGCCCCAGCGTTGCCGCCACCTCCTCACCCACTAGGCCCCCGCTCCAGGTCACCAGGACGTCCCGGGGCAGCGAGAGGCCTGCGGGGCGCGGACACCACCCGCCACACGGCCACTCGCGCCCGCACCTGGCACACACACACTCCAGAAGTGCGCGGGTCCACAGTCCCCGGGGACCCTTGGGCCCCTCTGTGCCTCTTGGGTCCCGTGGGCCGCGCCCAGTGCACTGCAGCCCCGCACCTTCTCGCCGCTCATGAAGCGCTGCTTCTCCCTGAGGTTCACGTGGTCGATGGACAGACCCTGCTCTGCCCGCGACTCGAAGGCCACCGTCCCGTCGGGCCTGGACACCACGCGGCCTTTCCTGCCGGTCATCTGCAGCCGAGACAGGGACAAAACCGGCCGTCAGTGTTGTGGCCTCGCAGGAGTCTGGCCACCCGTGTCTCAGCTTCCCTATGTCCTACAGTGGTCATGGGCTCCCAGCTGTGCACGGGAGGTGGGGGTGCTGGGAAAGGGAGGGCGGGACTGCTGGACCCAGGCGATGTGTGCCTGTCCAAGGCCTGGTATTATCAGCCAGCCGGCGCCACGAAGTGAAAAAGTGAAGCTGGGCGGGGGCAGGGAGTAGGAGGCCGCAGAACCAGGCCCAGGGGCTTGTGTCCTGGCCCTGGGCACCCCAAGGGGTGCGTTCAGGCAACGATCTAAGCAGAGGCCTGCGCAGGCCAGGCTGGGGGATCTGGGGCTTAGAGGGATGGGGCAGGCCGTCCACAGGAGGTCGTGGCCTCCCGGGCCGAGCTGGACAGCACGCTGCTGCCCCAGGGCTCCCCAAACGCCCCCTCCTCGCAGGGCCGCGGAGACGCAGAGTGACCAGCAGGGGCCACCAGAGCTGCACACAGCCTGCGTGAAGCCCCACCCACTGCCCATGCCCCGCCCACCACACTCCAGCTGCCACGTCCCACCCACCTCCGCCACCCGCTGGGGGCCGCCCAGCTGGTCGATGAGCTCGTCCAGGGTGTTGACTGGCAGTTCCCGGCCCAGCCGCCGCACTTTGTCCAGCAGATCCTGCTTCAGCCGCTCCACCCGCTCCAGGACCCCGGGGCCATGCGGGTCTCTCTGCAGGAGGCACAGGGGTCCTAGGGAGGAGGTGGAGGGTCAGGGCAGGACATGTTGGCTGCCTTCTAGGGCCCACCTAACTCAAGGCTGGCCCCTGGAGGGCAAGGACAAGGGGCCCGGGGCAACCCTGAGGGACGGCAGGGTGGCGGGGAAGCCCGGCACCGTGGCCCAGGACTGCTTTTCTGCACTTGTCTCCCTGAGACCAGCTGGGGCGAGACTAAGCCTCCTGTCGCGGACCAAACACTGTGACCTCACTGCCTCCACAGGGGTAGGGACTGCCCAGCCCCAAGCCCCAGCTCTGCCTCTGACCAGTGGTATAACCCCTGACCTCCCCTCTCTGGGCCTCAGTTTCCCCCATCTGTAAAGTGGGCACCATAGCAGCAGCTGGGCTCAGGTGGGCTGGACTGAGGGCTACAACCTGGGGTGGGTGGTGACCGCCAGGAGGCCGGGGGAGCCTCAGGCTGGAATCCTGACCCAGAGGTGGCTGCTCAGCCTGGACTGGAATCCTGACCCACAGGTGGCTGGCCAGCCTGGGCAAGCCCTCACCCCGGTCGTCACTGGGGAGCCCGACTGCATCAACGATGACAACGTCGTCATCCACCAGGGACTCGGGGGAGGAGTTGAAGTCGCTGTCCAGGCCAGGGTCCGACTCCGTGCTGCTGTCGTCACTGATGCGGATGACGCCCGCTGTCTCGCACGCCAGCCGGGGGGCTTTGGCCCCGCGTCCCCGAGGTCGCCCTGCAGGGAAGGACAGGGTCACCGAGGGCCAGACCGCAGCAAGGTGGAGGAGCAGGTGGAGGAGACGCAGCAGGACAGAGCAAGGCCAGTGGTCCGAGCTGGGGAGGTCCATCCGAGAACCCCCTGCCTCTGGGCAAGCAGCTCAGCTGTTCTCCAGGGACGCCCTCTAGGGAACCCCGTGCCCTGTGGCCAGGAGGGTACGGTGTGGGGGGCCATATTTTATTTATTTATTTTCTTTTGAGACGGAGTCTTACTCTGTCGCCAGGCTGGAGAACGGTGGCATCTCACTGCACTCTCTGCCTCCTGGATTCAAGCGATTCTCCTGCCTCAGCCTCCTGAGTAGGTGGGATTACAGGCGCCCACCACCACGCCTGGCTAATCTTTTGTATTTTAGTAGAGATGGGGTTTCACCATGTTGGCCAGGATGGTGTCGATCTCCTGACCTCGTGATCCACCTGCCTCAGCCTCCCAAAGTGCTGGGATTATAGGCGTGAACCACCACGCCTGGCTTATTTATTTATTTTTGAGATGGAGTTTCACTCTGTTGCCCAGGCTGGAGTGCAGTGGTGCGATCTCAGCTCACTGCAACCTCCACCTCCCGGGTTCAAGCAATTCCCCTGCCTCAGCCTCCTGAGCAGCTGGTATTACAAGCATGCACCACCACACCTGGCTAATTTTTCTATTTTTAGTAGAGATGGAGTTTCACCATGTTGGCCAGGCTGGTCTCAAACTCCTGGCCTCAGGTGATTTGCCCGCCTCAGCCTTCCAAAGTGCTGGGATTACAACAGGCGTGACCCACTGCACCTAGCCAATATTTTATTTTTATTAATTTTTTTGAGACAAGAGTTTTTTCTGTCACCCAAGTTGGAGTGCAGTGGCATGATCTCGGCTCACTGCAATCTCCACCTCTCAGGTTCAAGCGATTCCCCTGCCTCAGCCTCCCAAGTAGCTGGGATTATAGGCGTCCACCACCACGCCCAGCTAATTTTTGTATTTTTAGTAGAGACAGGGTCTCACCATGTTGGCCAGGCTGGTCTTAAACTCCTGACCTCAGGTGATCCACCCGCCTCGGCCTCCCAAAGTGCTGGGATTACAGGCGTGAGCCACCACGCCCAGCCAACGGGACAATATTAATAAACCCATATCCAACGTCCTTTCAGGCCTGGCCAGTATGGTGGACACGCGGGGTGCCTGGGGAGGCCACACACCAGACTTCGACAGGCAGCTCTGGGCTTCCCTGTGACAGAAGCCTGGGGGTTATCAATGGGCTCCCCAAGGGACCGTGGAGACCCTGAAAACGGAAGGTGGGAGGGGTCTCGCTCAGCACCCGCGTCCGTGTCCCGCCCCCCGGGTCTCGCTCGGCACCCACGTCTGTGTCCTTCAGGCTGTCTGTTGCTTCCTCTTCCCTAAGCGTTCCATGGCAGGGTCCACGCAAGACCTGCCACTGGCAGCGGAGCCTTGAGCCTGCCTGGCACGGACAGGACCTGCATTTGGCTGAGTGGACGGGGGAGTGGGGGAAGCAGGGAGCGACCAGCCAGCCCCCGGGGGGAGAAAGCAGAGGGGCAGGGGTGGGTGGGGCCATGGGGGGCAGGGCTTACGTTTCCGCTTGCTGCCCGCTCCTCTGTCCCGCTTTCTCTTGGTGGACGGAAAGTGCTTCTGAATTAGCGACAGGAACACGCCTCTGAAAGTGAGACGCGGAGTTTATTCTCACACGAGGAGCTGAGGCCAGGCGGGGTTGCTCTCCAGGAGCTGGACGCACCCCTGGGTCCCTGTGGGGGTCCCGGACAGGACCGGGCCTGGGCAGAGGGTCTCCTGTGTGGAGTGGGCTGGGGAGGACTGGGGGCTGCCTGTGAGCTCTCCTCTGGCCTCCTGGTGTCACAGGGCCACCTCGGCCACCAGGCTTCCCCCGCTCTGAGGAATGTGGCCGGATATGATGATGGCTCCCAGGACAGGGGCAGGGGGCAGGGTGAAGGGGTAGCTGGGGGCATTGGGGAGCTCCGACCCCCAGGCAATGGGGGGATCTAGGGGGGCTGCTGTGACCCTCCCGGGGCATTCTCAACCAACAGGGGAGAGGCTGGGGCTTCAGACAGCTGGGAGGGCCAGCCCCTAAAATCCACAGCCCCCTTGTTAAAACGGCACAGATGCAGGAAGCCTCCTTCTGAGACCCCTGGAGACCATGTCCCAAACCTTCCAGGCCCACCATGCCTGGGGTCCACCTCCAAGCCTCTGCTTTAGACCTGGAGCAGCGGTGAAGGCCTCTGTGGCTGAGGCTGGGGGCCCAGCAAAGCCCACCCCAGCACCTCCTGCTGCTGGGGCCAAGGGGCAGGGTCAGGCCACAGGTGGCCACAGAGAGGGGTGGCCATGAGCGCAGGAAGCCCACAGTCCTGTCCCCACCGTGACACTTACTCAGCGGCCGAGACGAAGCAGTTGAGGTGCCCATCGTTCTCCCCCAGCACCTCCCGCGTGCGCGCCTCGCCCGTGGACTGCAGCCCGATGACCACGCACTGTGGGACGGCAGAGGACTGTGAGCCACCAGCCCTGCTGTGGGGCCTCTGTGGGGCCAGAACCTGCCAGGCCTGGGGTGATGGCCACATCCCTCACTCTGCTGCTGTGCTCGCCTCCCCAGGAGGGGCCACGGCCCCCCTACAACACACACTGCTGGGTGGGGGTCTGCCGGCTGCCTGTCTCGGGATGGTGAGCTGCCCACTGTGTGGTCACACTCCGCTGTTCTGACACCCTGGCTGGCTCTGATTGGAAGACGGACATCCGGGCGTCTCTCACCCACCAGGGTGCAGCCCCCGCCCACGTCTGGGGAGGGGCCAGGAAGGACCTGGAAGAAGAGCAGCCTCCGCCCCTGCAGGCCCGGCCGCCCTCAGCCCTCGAAGGCCGCAGCCGCTCACCTTGTCTCGCGCCAGCTCCTCTCGGGCCAGCTCCACCAGCCGGCGCACCTTGGCTGCGATGCACAGATACTTGAAGAAGCGCTGGTGTGCCGACCAGAACTGGCCCCACAGGGACTTGCGCGACTCCAGGCCGATCCAGTCGGCCGCCTGCTGGAACACGTTCAGGGCCTCGGCCCACTGCAATGACACGTCACAAGGCGCCCCTGAGCTGTGGCTCCTGGCTCCCGACCCGGGCCCCGGCCCACCTGCCGCCAGCCCTGGGCAAGGCATCCCCACGCCAGGTGGAATTTAGGGCAGGATGGGGGTGCTGGGGGTGTGCACTGTAAGAGGCACTGCCTCTACCTGTACGGCAAAAACCTGAAAAACCAAAACACTCGTGGTGGGGAAGCCGTGCTGCAAACTGCACAGACTCCGCGCCCGCGGCAAACAGGCTCAGCTCCTTCCAAGAACACAGGGTGCTCGCAGCCACGCCTCTCTTGCTTTGGACCAGGGTCTCACCCAGGTGTGATCCTGTCCAGGGGACACTGGGCATGTCTGGGGCTGGCTGTGGTGGTCAGGTTTGGGGGCTGGTCCCGGCATGACTGGGTGGGCTGGGTTAGGGTGGCTGGGACTCTGGCCACGGATGCTGCTCCATACCCCAAAGTGCTCAGGACGGCCCCACCCCGGAGAGCAACCCGGCCCTGGGGGTTACGGGAGATGCTGGTTGTGTCACCTAAAGAAACGAGTGAAGAGGCTGGGTGTGGTGGCTCACGCCTGTAATCACAGCACTTTGGGAGGCTGAGGCGGTCAGATCGCCTGAGCTCAGGAGTTTGAGACCAACCAGCCTGACCAACATGGAGAAATCCTGTCTCTACCAAAAATATAAAATTGGCCGGGCTGGTGGCACATGCCTGTAACCCCAGCTACGCGGGAGGCTGAGGCAGGAGAATTGCTTGAATCTGGTAGGCGGAGGTTGCGGTGAGCCAAGATCGTGCCATTGCACTCCAGCCTGGGCAACAAGAGTGGAAACCCCGTCTCAAAAAATAAAAAAAAAAAACCATCGAACATACAGGGCTGTTGGGCGTGAGGGGGAGAAAACAGGACCTGTCCAAACATGGAGGGAACGACCAAGCCACATGGCCCACAGCAATGTGGATGCTGAACACGGCTACCAACTGCCAGCTGTGGGCCAGGACCTGGGGGCAAAGGGCTTGGGCACCACAGGAAGGGGGGCGGTGGTTTGGTCCCATCCCTCGTTATCACAGCCACATAAAAACCCCAGTGATGGCCGGGCACGTGGCTCACGCCTGTCATCCCAGCACTGTGGGAGGCCGAGGCGGGCAGATCACTTGCGGTCAGGAGTTTGAAACCAACCTGGCCAACATGGAGAAACACCGTTCTCTACCAAAAAATACACAAAATTAGCTGGGTGTGGAGGCGGGCACCTGTAACTCCAGCTACTCGAGAGGCTGAGGGGGGAGAATCGCTTAAACCCAAGAGGCAGAGGTTGCAGTGAACTGAGATCACACCACAGCACTCCAGCCTAGATGACAGCACGAGACTGTCTCAAAAAAACAACAAAAAAAAAACCCCAGGACAGGACAGGGCGGGCCGTCACCTGATGACGCCTGTGGCATCTGCAAGGCCACGGGGGAGCAATTTCACCCGGGAAACGCACAGGGGTCCCCGGGTCGGGTGCGCAGGCTCACCAGCAGGGCCGCGCGGTTGTAGACGCACTCGAAGGCTGGGGCCAGCGGGATCTCCTCGATGCGGAAGGTGACGCCGGAGAAGCTGAGCTGGCGTGCGATGTACATGCCGCTGACCTTCATGTCCATGGCCACGATCTCCATGGCGCCAACGCCCCTGCGGATGGACACAGCCCCCGTGAGCACGGCCAGAGCCCGTGGGGATGGAGCCACTCGGAGCGCGAGGCAGAGCCAGTCGCAGAGAGGGCGGGGTCGGCAGGAGCAGAGCCCTGGCGGCCACTGAGGCAGTTGGCAGCTGAGCCTGGCGGGGACGGGGCAGGAAGGGCTGCGGAGGGGCTGGCTTCCCTGGGAGTGCTGGGCAGCCCGAGGCAGTGAAACGAGCGACCCACATTCAGCACCTCTGGGTGCTGGGGAAGCACACGTGGCAGTGCCAGGCCTTGGGCTGATGGGCCTGAGGCCTCCTCCCCACCCCCCGCCGCCCCTCCACGTGGGTGAGAAGGGCACTCACCTCTTCTCGATGGCGTGCAGGAACTCCTCAAAGTTCCGGAAGGGTGTGCCCTCGCCCCAGATACCCAAGCGGCTCATGTAGATCATGTTCCGAGGCTCAGAGGCACCTGTGGGGGGAAGCTGCCGTCAGCTCCCCAACCCGGGAGGGCCCAGAGGCCGCGTCAGGGGACGACTAAGTTGGGACCACCCGACGAGGGGCCCTGCGGGGTTGGAGCCATGGGCCTGAAGAGAGCCAGCGTGGCCTTGGGACAGGCGCAGAGGTGCCCCAGTGTCCGAGGAGGAGCAGGGTGCAGACGGAGGCTGAGTACGCGTGTGGGATACCCCTTCGCGGGGACAGCCAGGCAGAAAGACGCTGCTGCGGGTGGGTCACGTGGGATCCGCACCGCCCCACCTGTGGCGCTGGCGTAGACCACGCGGGCCAGGGGCAGCTTGTTCTGCAGGTCTAGCACAGCCTTGCCCATCTTGGTGGAGCCGGCATTCTTGGCTTTGTGACACTCGTCGAACACGATCTGAGGCACACGTGGGTTAAGGAGTATTCTGAAGGACGGGGGCGACCCCAGGAGCCCAGGTCCTGACCACCCAAGACCCCACCTTCCTGGTGGGGGGCAAACGCCTGTGCGGCTGAGAACTCCACGAGGGAAGCCCAGGTCGGAGTGGCAGCCGGCTACCATGGGGGGCGGGCGGGCAGGCGGCCCCCACACGACCATTAGATGGGTGTGGCCTGGGATGGCTCCTCCCAGACTCTAAACAACACACACCGAGGATGGGGCCTCCGGCGAGGAAGGGTGGGATCCCTAAACCATGATATCGCAGGACGTTGCCATCGGAGGAGGATACCTGGAACCTGTTTTCTTTTTTGTTTGTTTTTTTGAGACAGGGTCTTGCTCTGTCACCCACGCTGGAGTGCAGTGATACAATGTCAGCTCACTGCAACCTCTGCCTCTCAGATTCAAGTGATTCTCCTGCTTCAGCCTCCCAAGGAGCTGGGACTACAGGTGTGTGCCACCACCACAACCGGCTAATTTTTGTAGTTTTGGTAGAGACGGGGTTGGCCGTTTGGTTGGCCAGATAATCTCAAACTCCTGACCTCAAGTGACCTGCCTGCCTCAGCCTCCCAAAGTGCTGGGATTACAGGTGTGAGCCGTGCCCAGCCCTAATTCTTTGTTTTTTTTTGAGACGAAGTCTCGCTCTGTCACTAGGCTGGAATGCAGCGGCGCGATCTCAGCTCACTGCAACCTCCGACTCCCTGGTTCAAGCGATTCTCCTGCCTCAGCCTCCTGAGTAGCTGGGATTACAAGTGTGCGCCACCACGCCCGGGTAATTTTTGTATTTTCAGTAGAGACGGGGTTTCACCATATTGGTCAAGACAGTCTGGAACTCTTTTTTTTTTTAGATGAGACACAGTCTCGCTCTGTCGCCTGGGCTGGAGAGCAGTGGGGCAATCTCGGCTCACTGCCACCTCTGCCTCCTGGGTTCAAGCGATTCTCCTGCCTCAGCCTCCCGGGTAGCTGGGATTACAGGTGCGCACCACCACGCCCAGCTAACTTTTGTATTTTTAGTACAGACGTGGTTTCACCATGTTGTCCAGGTGGTCTCGAACTCCTGACCTCGTGATTCGCCTGCCTCGGCCTCCCAAAGTGCTGGGATTACAAGCGTGAGCCACTGCACCCGGCCAGGTTCTTAATATTTTAAGACGAAAGAAAGCCAAGTTCCAGGAAAGCAGTCTGAGGAAGGAAAACTGGGAGAATACAAATTAAACGGCCGGCCCTGCCGCCACGTAGCAGCTCAGCGAGGTATGATCTCAGGGTTATCGCTATTTCGTAGATTGTTGCACATAGATTGTTCAGCCGGGTGCGAAGACACCAGCAGTCTCCCGTTCTGTTTCTGGCCAGTCTGAATGTTCTGTGTCTCGGCGTTAACTGAACAGCAAAGCCATGGCCATGTCCTGTGCATGAAGTGGATGCTGCAGGCCAACGTCCCTCCCTTATCTGAGCCTGTGCTCCCAACACCCCAACACCCAAGGTGCACCCTGCAGGGCCGAGCACCAGGGCTGAGCCTGGCCAAGGGGTGCCCTGCCGTGCCTTTGCTGCTAACTGTCCTGGGTCTCCTGTGGGGGAGCCCCTCCGAACCGCAGCCTGCCGACGAGAGCCCTGGGATGCTGGGGAGTGAACTGTGCCCACCACACTATCAGCTGGGGTTGGCACCTTCCTGACTTGGGGAGCAGCTCAGTGGCCACCCTCTGCCCACGGCATCATGGCAAACATCAGGACCACATCTATGGTCACTCATCCCACTTATCAGAACCAAGAAACCAAGCCGGAGCCCTGTGGTGAATGATGATGGTCACTTGTGTGGTACCCACAGGGCCAGCCTCCCAGGACCAGAAAAGTCTTCTATCCGGAGTCCTAAACCCTGAGCAAAGCTGGGGGCTGGGTGGCCACATCCAGGGTAGTGAGCTCCAGTGGCCTCCAGCCCTTCCCCAGCCCCACCCCTCCGCTCCTACCCTCTCCCATCCTGCCCTCCTCTCCCCTGACTCCCACCCCTCCTCTCCCACTCCTCCATCCTCCTTTTCCCTCCGACCCCCTAATCCAGCCCTCCCCTCCCGATTGCCCCCAGCAGGATACGACGCCCTCGAAGGCCTCCCCACACCAGTCCAGGATCTGCCGGAGGCGAGTGCGGTGCTGGCCGCCGGCCTGGCTCTCCCCAATCAGGGCGGAGTAGGTGGCGAAGAGGACGCCCTCTGAGGTAGTGGTGTCACCGTACTTGATCTGGGGATGCACAGAACAGGTGTGGAATGGGGCCCCGGCTCAGCAGGCTCTGGACCTGGGTCTCCCTATCTGTAAGGGTGCTGGGCAGAGCCTGCCCTGGCTGCTGGCCCACCCAGCTGAGCAGCCCCCACTTTGCAGGGCACGGTCCCCACCTTGCCCCCTACTTTGCCGAGCACAGCCCCTACCTTGCTGAGCGCGTGCACCGCGATGCCCGTGGCTTCGATGTCCCGCAGGTCGCGCTCCGCATCGTACTTGAGGTCGTTGGAGACGCTGAACCTGCGGGGTGGGGGCGTCAGGCGCGCCCACCCTTCCCCCTCGCCCCCCGCTTCCGCCCCCCACCCCCGCTCCCGCCCCCTGCCCCAGGCAGGGCCTCACCACAATGCTTTCTTCCGGCCGCGCAGGTGGTTCTCCAGGATGACTCCGGCCACCGTCCGGCCTTTGCCCACGCCGGCCCCATCGCCGATGAGAAAGCCCGCGCGCTGCCCGCTGGGGAGCAGGACCTCGTGTTGCTGTTGCCGGAGAGCAGGCGTCAGGGCCTGGGGGTGCTGGCCCGGCCCCTCCCCAGGGGCCTCGCGGACACAGGCTGGGCTGGGTTGGGGACATGCGGTCACCTGGCAGGCGTAGGTGATGGCCTCTAGCTGCAGGGCAGACAGGGCCCCGCTGTCCGAGGGCAGGGCCAGGGTGTAGGTGATGTCTGGGGGTGGGACGCTGGACAGTGTGCTGGTCTCCACCACGCGGTCTGGGTGCTGCTTCCCGATCTTGGCTGGAGGAGCAAGGACGGAGGGCAAGGTAAAGGGTATGGCCAAGGGGTGACCAGGGCCGGTTATGGCACGCTGGGCGGGTCTGGGGCGTGGCCAGAGCTGGCGGGGCAGTTTGGGGGCGTGGCCAGGTCCCGTTGGGCGGGTCATGGGCGTGGCCAGGAATGCCTGGGTGGAGGAGTGGTCAGGGCTGGCCGGGTCGGGGGTGTGGCCGCGGCCTGCTGGGTTGGTTGGGGGCGTGGCCAGCGGCTTGCAGGAGGGGCAAATGCATAAAAATCCTCCCAGTGCCTCTGAGGTTCCTTTCCACTTCTCCCCTCTGCGAACCCCGGTTTTGTATAAGCCTGGATTGTAGAACCTGTCCCCGGGCTCTCCGGCCCTCCCTGAAGCTTCACATTCCCTCTGTGGGCTGTGCGGGCGGTGGTCACCTGCAGGGTCTCGGTCCCACAAAAGGGTTTGAACCTGTCCCAGGGCTGGGTGCAGCCGGGCCACTCACACTTGGACGGCACGTAGTCGGCGTAGGTCTCTGTGTGCCCCAGCTCCTCCGCCTCCTCCTCCTCAGCCTCGTCCTCCTCCTCTGGCTGGCTCTGCACACTCTGCTCCTGCGTGCGTGGCGGGAGCTCAGCGGAGACTGCAGGCCTGAGCGGCCGCGGGCACTGGGCTCCCCCAGGGGCAGGGGCCAGGCTGACCATGGGCAGCTGAGTGACCCAGGGGTGGGAGACGGCTCTGTCTGCCCCTGCAGCAAGGTGCTCCCCCAGGGCCTCCATCTCCTCAGCTATAAAATGGGCACTCCCAGCTTCTAGGCCAGCCAAGCGCTCCCCACAATGGAGATGCCTGTGCTGAGCCCTCTCCTTAGGTCCCATGAGAGGGCAGGGGAGGGAGCTCTCGGCTGGGCCCAGCTCACCTGGTAGCTGACGAGAAGCGGGGTGCTGTGGGAGGGCAGAAAGTCCTCGAAGCCTGCAAACGGCCTGCTGAGCTGGAACAGCTGGAAGGGGAGCAGGATGTCAGCCCGGGCCAGACGGGACAGGTCACAGCTGGTGGGCCCTCGCAGCCTGGCCACCAGAGGGAGGCTCCCCACTGCCCCGTCCTCGCCTCCCCATCCTCGCTCCCCAGGGCCCTGGGTCTTGCTCTCCTGCTGTTCTCAGGGTGACCCTGGTGCCTCCCAAGCCTCCCCAGTGGGCACCTCCCTGGGGCCTAAGGCTCGCTCCTCCTGGCCAGCACCTGGCTGCCTTCTCACTGATGGCCAGTGTGCCTGCCTGGAGTGCCCGGGAGGAAGGTGCCCGGCTAGTTCTGACAGACAACACAGCTTGGTCCCGCGGGAGCTGCCAGGAAGGCTGTGGACAGGGGTCTGACAGGAGAGACCCACTGTGTGCCAGCCCCATGCAGTGCAGGAGGCCCTCGGGGGCCTGGGAGACAAGGGGTTGGGAGCTCCCTGTCGAGGGGGAAGAGGAGACAGAGGCAGTGGGGGCGGGCGGGCCTGGGCCTTGTCCCTCACCCGATGGCTCCCAGCACACAGGGTGGGTGGCCCAGGGCAGCCCTGCACTCTCCAAGAACCCCCGTGGGTGCAGTCCCTGAGGCCCCTCGAGGGCAGCACCTCCTCTGTGAGAGATGGGGCAAGGATGCCTGCCACTGTAGTGACCAGAGAACACATCCCACTGCGGCCCCACCCTGGGGAGAAGGACTGCCCGGAGCCTCATGCAGATTCACCAGGGTGGGCAGTGACACTGTCCTCGGGGAGCTGACCCCAGGCCTTGGCAGACAGGTGTGCTGGGCCTCTGGATGAGTCTGTGGCCCACCCAGGGGTCTCCGAACTGACTGGGCGTGTAAAGCCTGTGAACGGGTGGGTCGGGGGGTGGTGTGGCCCGTCGTCATGCCCACTGTCCAGACGCCAACACTGAGACAGTGTGGACCCCGGGACGGATGGCTGGGGGATGGTAGGGTCCAAACTAGGGTCTGTGTGATTCTGGAATATATCCACTCTTAAAAAGCAAAAATCCTAACAGTAATACGAGCCATAAAAAACGTAAGCATGGTCAGGGTACAGTGGCTCACACCCGTAAATCCCAGCACTTTGGGAGGCCAAGGCCTCCCAGAGTGGAGGTCAGGATTTCGAGACCAGCCTGGCCAGCATGCTGAAACCCCGTCTCTACTAAAGATACAAAAAAAAAAAAATTAGCCAGGTGTGGTGGTGGGCGCCTGTAATCTCAGCTGATCAGGAGGCTGAGGCAGGAGAATCGCTTAAACCCAGGAGGCAGAGGTTGCAGTGAGCTGAGATCACGCCATTGTACTCCAGCCTGGGTGACAGGGCGAGACTCCATCTCAAAAAAAAAAAAAAAAAAAAAGTGAGCGTGGGCCGGGCATGGTGGCTCACGCCTGTAATCCCAGCACTTCGGGAGGCCAAGATAGGTGGATCACCTGAGGTTGGGAGTTCAAGACCAGCCTGACCAAAATGGATAAACCCCATCTCTACTAAAAATACAAAATTAGCCAGGCACGATGGTACATGCCTGTAATCTCAGCTACTAGGGAGGCTGAGGAGGCAGGAGAATCTCTTGAACCTGGGAGGTGGAGGGTGCAGTGAGCTGAGATCGCACCACTGCACTCCAGCCTGGGCGACAAGAGCGAGAGACTCTGTCTTAAAAAAAGAAAAAAAAAAGTGTGAAGAATTGGAAAGGGGAGAATCCCGCCGGGTGCGTGGCTCAGGCCTGTGGGAGGCAGAGGCAGAACGGGCGAGATCTTTTGGGGCCAGGGTTCCAGACCAGCCTGGACAACATGATAAAATCCTATCTCTACAAAAAATACAAAAATTAGCCAGGCGTGGTGTCGTGTGTCTATGGACCCAGCTACTCGAGAGGCTGAGGCAGGAGGATCGCTTTAACCCAGAAGGTCGAGGCTGAAATGGGCTGAGGTTGCGCCACCACACTCCAGCCTGGGCGACAGAGTGAGATCCCGTCTCAAAATAAATAAGTAAATAAATAAATAAGAGCATCTCTTCTAGACCCGGTCCCCCCCTTGAACTCCAACGTCCTGAGACGGGTGAGGTTTCCGCCCAAGCCTGCCTGAGCCCGGGCCGGGTTCTCGGCAGTGTGTGGGAGCCACCAGGCTAGTGATGCTAATGAACTGAGTCCACAGCTTCTGCATTTTCTAACACTAGGAACACTCCTGAGGGTTTTTAAAGAAAGTGGAAGCGTGGCACAGGAAGGTTAGAAACCTATACTCAGTTGCCCTCTCCTTTTTTTTTTAAGTTAACAAAACACAAAAAAACAGACGCCACGCAGGTTCCTGGAAGGCTGAGTCACCATTCCCGGTGGGGCTGGCGGGCATTGGGTTTCAGATGCCCTCGTGCCGGCCACAGCAGGCCGGTCAGGCCCTGGCTTCTTTCCTCACGCCCTGCTGAGGACCTGGGAGCTAGCTGGGAGGGCACGGGCCCCGGGCTGGGTGAAATGCTCTGCTGGGCCCTTGTGCCAGAGGGACCAAGCCTGAGCCGCCCACCATGGCTGCGGGGTGCCCTGATGCTTCCTGAGCCGCCCACCGTGAGCCACCCACCGTGGCTGCGGGGTGCCCTGATGCTTCCTGCCTGGGCCCCCAAGCCCGTGAGTTCTGCTGCCCGGGTTGCCCCTTCCTGAGGGCCCGGGAGAGCGGCCTATGGGTGTGAGCCCACCACTGTGCCGGGAGCGTGCGGAGGCTGGCATGGGCCCTCACCGGAAGGCGCTCAGTCCCAGAGACATGTCCAACGTCTGCTCCCAAAGTCTAGAAGCTTCTCTCGTGGACAGGCCCGGATTGGGGAAGGGACTTGCCAGGCCTGGCTCCCAGCCATGCCTCCCTCACCAGACACCTCCACTGAGTCGCACTGGGGCACGGCTAGAGGCTAGGCCCGAAGAACCTGGGGGCCCTGCTGCCCTACAACCCCTGCTCTAGGCCTGGCCCACCCAGGTCCTTCAGGAGCTTCTTGGAGGCAAACCCCAGCCCCTCAGCCCCCACGGACAATGTCCAGCTCCCCACCCTGGGACAGGATCCACCAACCTCGCCCTCTCAGCTCCCCACTAGCGGGGACACGGCCACTGCTGACCCAGGCACCATGGGGCTGGATGCCACCACAGGTGCTGTTCCTCTGCCTGGACAGCCACATTGCCTGGGCCCGCTGGGCGCTGCCTCTCCAGGGGGCCCTTCCTGACCACGCTTCTCTGTCCCGTCACCTTCCTGTGCTTCTCTAGACCAGGGACTCCCCGGGTGCGGTGGACACGGGGCAGGGTCCCTCTCAGGTGGGGCCATAATGGGCACTGCAGGGCGCTGGGCAGCATCCTGGCCCCCCCCAACTCCATGCCAGGAGCACCGCCCAGATGTGGTAGCCACAGATGTCCTGGACGTCGCCTTCTCCTATTCAGGACACAAGAGGACCCTCAACTAACCACCTCATCCATGGCCACAGATGGCGCCGACAGTGACAGGCACAGCCATTGGCACGCAGAGTGGGGGAGACTGAGACCTCACTGGACCGTGTGGGTCCCGGGCTGGGGAGGCCACGCTGGTGGGTCGGGGCTGGCTGGGGGCACCGGGCGCACTGACCTTATCGTGGGTGGAGGGGGCAGGGTTATCGTCCCAGATGGTGGACACCTGGTTGAGGCTGTCAGCCGGCAGGAAGTCGGGCGTGTCCACGATGTCCGACAGGGAGTCCACGGACGAGGAGAAGATGGAGATGTTGGAGAAGTCCTCAAAATAGGAGGAGTCCTGGAAGACAAGGCCAGGCCCGGTGAGGGTGGTACGGGAGACACCAAGGCCCCTCCACGCACTGGAGCACGTGGGGATGGGAGACACCACGGCCCTCCACACACTGGAGCATGTGGGAATGGGAGACACCACGGCCCTCCCAGGTTCAAGCAATTCTCCTGCCTCATCCTCCCAAGTAGCAGGGATTACAGGTGTGCGCCACCATGCCCAGCTAATTTTTTTGTATTTTTACTAGGGACGGGGTTTCACCATGTTGGCCAGCCTGGTTTTGAACTCCTGACCTCAAGTGATCTGCCTGCTTCGGCATCCAAAAGTGTTGGGATTACAGGCGTGAGCCACCATGTGACAGAGCGAGAGAGTGAGACTCCGTCTCAAAAAAGAAAAAAATAAACAAGCAATGGGTGAGAAACACCAACCCTCAGGGCCACGCAGGACGGCGTCTGACTTCTGCAGCACCTGAAGGGCAGCAATGCTGCAGGAACTCTGAGCAGCTCGGGTCTGGGGTGAGCCTGGTGCCATGCCCTGTGCCGGAGGCAGGGGCGGGGGCAGCCACGCCCAGAGGTGGGGCTCGCCATGGGGATGACACACACACACGCGCTGCCCAGTGAAGGAGATGTATGTACATCATTTCATTTTTTTTTTTTTGAGACGGATTCTTACACTGTCGCCCGGGCTGGAGTGCAATGGTGTGATCTCGTCTCACTGCACCCTCTGCCTCCCAGGTGCAAGCGATTCTCCTGCCTCAGCCTCCCGAGTAGCTGGGATTACAGGCACGTGCCACCACGCCCAGCTAATTTTTGTATTTTTAGTAGAGACGGGGTTTCACCGTGTTGGTCAGGCTGGTCTCGAACTCCTGACCTCAGGTGATCCATCCACCTTGGCCTCCCAAAGTGCTGGGATTACAGGCGTGAGCCACCGTGTCCGGCCACATGTGATGTCTCACGCCTGTAATCCCAGCACTTGGAGGCCAAGGTGGAAGATTGCTTGAGTCCAGGAGTTCAAGATTCGCCTGGACAATATGGCAAAACCCCATTTCTACTAAAAATACAAAAATTAGCTGGGTGTGGTGGTGCATGCCCGTAGTCCCAGCTACTCGGGGGGCTGAGGCGGGAGGATCACCTGAGCCCAGAGGGGTCAAGGCTGCAGTGAGCTGTTACTGCACAACTACATTCCAGCCTGGGTGACAGAGCAAGACTCTGTCTCAAAAAAAAAAAAAATAGACTGGGCATGGTAGCTCACGCCTGTAACCCCAGCACTTTGAGAAGCCAAGGTGGGCAGATCACCTGAGGTCAGGAGTTCAAGACCAGCCTGACCAATATGGTAAAACCCTGTCTTTACTAAAAACACAAAAATTAGCTGGGCATGGTGGTGCGTGCCTGTAATCCTAGCTACTCGAGAGGCTGGGGCAGGAGAACTGCTTGAACTCAGGAGGCAGAGGCTGCAGTGGGCTGAGATCGTGCCATTGCACTCCAGTCTGGGTGACACAGGGAGACTCCATCTCAAGAAAAACAAACAAAGAAAAAAACCAGGCATGTCAAGGGGGCGCTGTCTCTCCCTGGAAGCTGTGGGTTCCGTCCCCCTCACCTTGCTCAGCTTTGCCCACTGCCCACCCTGTCAGACCCAAGCACCTGGGCACTGATCACTAGGGACCTTCAGGAACCTGCCCCCAAACAGAGACCCCCGGGACAGAGGTGTCCATGCTGCCCGCCTGAGGCCCAGAGCCAGGTAGGGTGCAGCACCCCCCACCCCAGGAGGGTAGGAGCAGTCCACCTCCCAGAGCCTCTGGAGGCCCCGATCGGCAGGGTTGGGGAGCATTCATCCCACTGAGGCCCACGAGGGCCCTCCGGACACTGCCCACCCAGGCTGCAGAGGGCCTGGTCACGCTGACCTGTGGCCCGGACCCTCCGTGGAAGCATTTCCCGGGCAAGGTCAGGGGCTCCTGAGTTGGTCAAGGCCCCAGCCAGGAGCGGGGGTGAGTTGCTATCGGGCCCAGAACCGCCCAGGCCTTGGTGGTGCAGGGAGCGCAGGCAGAGCGGAGGAGAGCTCCCCAAACCCAAATGCGTGGGTCACACGGCCAGTCCTTCCCCGGAGCTCAGCGTGGACAGAGGGAAGGGACCTCAGGCAGAGACACCTGCCCCACGCCCTCACCAGGTGCCCTTGGCCCAAGAAGACAGGACAACAGGGTCCTCCCGCCCAGGGTCCTCCACCCAAAACTCCTGCCCCAGTCTGAGGAAACACCAGCCCGACTACTCCAGGGCATCCACACCACCCGACCAGCCCCAGGACCGCCCAACGCATCTGAAACACGGGCCTCTGAGAAACCATCACAGCCCAGAGGGGCCTGAGGAGACGCCTAAACACCACGTGGGGTCCTGGGCAGGAAAGGACATGGGGGAAACTGAGGCAATCCAAGCAAAGCGTGGGCCTCAGGAGTTAACGGTGGCGTACGGATGTTGGTTCATCAGCCGTGACAGCCACAGACGGGAGATAGAACAGCAGGGAGCCCGGGAGTGGGTGCACGGGGACTCTCTGCACTGTCCCTGCAGCTTTTCTGTCATTCTAAAACAGTTTGAAAAGTTAAAGTCAAGTCGGGCAGGGGGGAGCTCACGTCTGCTACTCAGGAGGCTGAGGCAGGAGGATCCGTTGAGCCCAGGTGGTCGAGGCTGCAGTGAGCTATAATTGCGCCACTGCACGCCAGCCTGGGAGACAGAGCGAGACCCTATCTCAAAAAAAAAGTTAAAAGTCAAGCAGGGCGTAGTGGCTCATGCCTGTAATCCTACTGTTTTAGAGCCAAGGTGAAAGAATCACTTGAGCCCAGGAGTTCAAGACCAGCCTGGGCAACACAGCAAGACTCCATGTCTACAGAACGTTTAAAAATTAGCTGGGCATGGCAGCATGTGCCTGCAGTCCCAGCTACTCAGGAGGCTGAGGTGGGAGGATTGCTTCAACCCAGTTGGTGGAGGTTGCAGGGAGCCGAGATCGTGCCACTGCACACCAGCCTGGGTGACAGAGCAAGTCCCTGTCACAAAAACAAATAAATAAAAGTGAAAGTCTAATAATGAGGGAGTGCTTGCAGCTTTCAGGCTTCAAGAACGCAGCCTCGAGGCCCCGCCCTGCTCCCCGTCCGGTCCTTCCCAGCACAGGACACCCCACCAGGTGCATGAGCCCTCGAAGCCTTCACTTCTAGCAGGTGCCCTCAGCGATTAGGGACAGAGGGAGACGGGGTTCCCAGGGCTGGCCCTGTTCACATGTGGGAAGCTGAACAGAGCCAGGCCAGCTCCCCCCACAGTGGCTCCGTCCTCTGCCCACATCTGGATTTGACTCCTAGCAGCCACCAGCTCACCTCAGAGACAGCCTAAGTCCCACCCGCGCCTGTGTGTCCCTCCACAGCCCCTCCAGGCCGGCCCAGGCTCCTGCATCCTTCACCACATGACCCACCCACCCTCCAGCCTCAGCTCAGCGGACCCAGTGCCTCCCCAGGGAACCGGGCCCCTCTGCAGTCTGTAGTGAGGGCAAGCACCAAGGCCCCTCAAGGGTGACACTTGCATCCCTCCCCGCCAGCCCCCAGTTCTGGGGCCCCAGGGAGGGCCGGGGCTGCCCGCTGTGGTTCTTGTCTCTGTAGCATTTCAGGAGCCCTGGGCTGAGGTGGGGAGCTGGGAGGACCTGGCTGGGAGGACCTGGCTCTGCCCGCTTCAAAAGCAGCAGACACAGCTCCTCCTGCCCTGGGCAGCCAACTCCAGACCTGACTCCAGAACTGACTCCAGACCTGATGTGCTGCCGCTGCCCTGTGCTCCAGGACCCATGGGGAGCCACAGAGCCACAGGGATTTGCCGGCCTGCGCCACCAGAGCCAGCCCTGACCAGGCCCACCCAGCCTCCGCTCCCTACAAGAGCCCCATAAGACACCCAGAGCCCCTCCACCTGAGGCTTCTCCAGAGGAAAGCCACAGCTCTGGGTCCTACCCCAGGGGCAGAAGGAGGGGGACGCAGCCCTCCCGACAGCCACTGCCACTGTCACTGAGGGCCCCCGTCCGGGCAGGGCTGAGCCCGACCCCCCCACTCCGCTCGGGTCCCCCAGCCTACGCACAGGGCGCCGCTCCCAGCCCGAAGTCTTAAATCTCTGCCTCGGAACCTTCCGGCAGATTCCCTCTCACTGCCAGAAGAGACGGACGGGGCGGGGTGGGGATTTTTTTAGATCCTGGCGGCCTCGGACTCTAGGATGAGATGCCGGCTGCTCCGGCAGGGGGCCCGGCCGTCCTGAATGGGGTCCCACCTCCCAGACCCCTGCCCCCGAGGGCCTCGCCCGCCCCGGGAAGGGAGTGTTACCTTGTTCAGAGCCTCAAACTGCAGCCACAGCTGCAGCTGGGACATGGTCCCGGCGCTCGGGGGGCCAGGGGTCCCCCAGGAAGCGCTGCCCGGGAGCGGCTCCCTCATGACCGCGGCAGCAGCCCCAGCATTGGGTCGGCCGGGGCGGACGGGGGCGGCTCTCCGCCCGGCTGCATTTGCATGTCGGTTTAGTCACCGCCGCCGGCGCCTACTTCCTCTAAGGCCGGGGCTGACTTTCAGGAAATGATGCCGGCCCCGTAAGTCAGGGCAATTACCGGCAGTGCGAGGAGAATTACTGTACGGGGCGGATCTCCCACAGGCGCTGTCAACACGCAACCCCACCCGTGCCCCGCCGCAGGACCAGCCCCCTTTGGGGCACCCGGCGGACGTGCAGAATGCCCAGGTGGGCATGGGCCTCGGTCTCCCCAGACTGCAGGGAGCTGGGTTCCGTTCCACGGGGACCAGCTGCTGTTCCTGGTGCCCCCAAACCACAGGCAGGGAAACTGCGGCCAAGACCGCCTCCCTTCACCCAGCACCCCACGCATGCCAAGCGCACCTCAGGCCCTGCTGCGCCCCCCTGGGGCTCTCCCCACCCCACCCCTGCAGGCTGAGGTCCCCGAGAAGCCCCTGCCGCCGAAGCAAAGTCCCCTCCCTGCTCTTTCCCTGCTGTCCGTGCCCAGGGGGTTCAGCGGGCCCCGTGGCCTCCCTTGATCTGGGGCTGGCGGAGGGAGAGCTGAGCCTGGGCCCCTCCTCTCCAGGCTCTGGCCAGACCCGGCCTCGGCCCCCTGGGCAGGAACAAGTGGTAGCGTCCTGGGAAAAGAACGTTCTCGCTTTGGTAGAAAACCAAGTGTCAATGATGCACTTGCTGGGGCAACCCCGGGCCGCGAGCCCGCCCGCGGCCACACTCTTGCCCGCACTGTGAGGACCCTGGCGCATCACAGGGGCCTAGACACCGCGGGGCAGACACCTGATGGGACCTCACATTGGGCCACAGGCGGTCATTCTCGGTGTCCTTGGAGGAGCTGGGGAGGCCCCAGGGCCAGAGGGGGTGGGAGGACGGCCGGGCTGTGGAGAGGACGGGCCCCATCTGCCTGTACTCAGCGACTGACGGGGCAGAGGCCGCATTGCCCACGAGACCGCGGCCGAGACCGCGCAGGTGGCCACGGCTCCTCCTCTGTGAGGGGAGGAAGGGCCCGGCCCTGTGGCCAGGGGCCCTGGGAAAGAAGGAAACCGCCCCGAGAGGCCAGGGGAGCCCGTGGCTGGGCCGGAGGGCTCGGGACAGTTCTGGGCTTGTAAGACTCCCGCCAGGGCTCTGAGGGGAGAGTGGGACCAGGGGGCCCTCAAACCCTGTGCACTCCGCCCCCTCGGGCTCACCCTGTTCTAGACCCTGAGGCCCTGTGCCAGCCCCACTGGGGCCCCGCGACCAGGCACCGCAGCAGCGGAGGCTGGTGCAGACTGTCGCCCACACCCCTTGCCACGACCCATCACCTCCTGGAGGCTGGGCGACAACACGGGTCCGTGCCGCTGGGGCGAGGGGCCCGCCTGCCAGGCACCCCGCCCGCCAATGGAAAACAACCAATGGGGAAGAAACCCACGGAGCCGCTCAATCCGGCAGCCAATCACAGCCACCGCTCAACCTAGCAGCCAATCACAGCCACCGCTCAACCCAGTAGCCAATCACAGCCACCGCTCAACCCAGCAGCCAATCACAGCCACTCCCAGAGACAGCTCCACACCAGCTCCACGCAAAAAACCCACAACCACAAGCGCTGCTGAGGACGCGGGGCAGTGGCCTGGGAACCATCCTGCAGCTCCTCAAAAGAGGCGAATGGGGAGTAACAACCCAGCAGCTGCACTCCCACGTGCCATCAGGAGGACCCACAGCTCACAAAAGCCTGAACCTACAGCTCAGGAGTGGACCCACAGCCCACAGGACCCACAGCTCAAGGGTGGACTCACAGCTCACAGGACCCATAGCTCATGGGTGGACCCACAGCTCATAGGCGCCTGGACCCACAGCTCATGGGTGGACCCACAGCCCATAGGACCCACAGCTCACGGGTGGACTCACAGCTCACGGGTGGACTCACAGCTCACGGGTGGACTCACAGCTCACAGGTGGACCCACAGCTCACAGGACCTACAGCTCACGGGTGGACTCACAGCTCATAGGCACCTGGACCCACAGCTCACGGGTGGACTCACAGCTCACAGGACCTACAGCTCACGGGTGGACCCACAGCTCCCGGGTGGACCCTCAGCTCCCAGGTGGACCCACAGCTCATGACAGCCTGGCTCCTGCAGCGCAGTCACCACGGAGGAACAGGGCCAGCACAGTGAGGCCGTCCACACACTGGAACACGACCCAGCCATGAAAAGGAGCAAGGCTCTGACCCAAGCCACAGCACGGATGCACCTTGAGGACCTCACACTCAGTGAAAGACGCCAAACACAGAAGGCCACGCAGTGTGTGAGGCCATTTCTATGAAATGTCCTGTCCTGAACAGGAATCCACACAGACAGGAAAAGCATTCAGGTTATCAGGGGGTGGGGATGGGCTGGGGAGTGACAGCTGATGGGAACGGGGCTTCCTGTGGGATGATGGAATGTTCTGGAACTAGACAGAGGTGGTGGTTGCACAACTCTGTGAATATACTTTTTTAAAGTGTGGATTTGGGCCCGGCACGGTGGCTTACGCCTGTAATCCCAGCACTTTGGGAGGCCGAGGTGGGTGGATCACGAGGTCAGGAGTTCAAGACCAGCCTGGCCAGCATGGTGAAACCCCGTCTCTACTAAAAATACAAAAATTAGCCAGGTGTGGTGGTGGGTACCTGCAATCCCAGCTACTCGGGAGGCTGAGGCAGGAGAATTGCTTGAACCCGGGAGGCAGAGGTTACAGTGAGCTGAAATCGTGCCACTGCACTCTAGCCTGGGCAACAGAGCAAGACTCTGTCTCAAAAAAAAAAAAAAAAAAAAAAAAGGTGGATTTGGCCGAGCGTAGTGGCTCACACCTGCCATCCCGGCACTTTGGGAAGCTGAGGTGGGCAAACAGCTTGAGCCCAGGAAGTTCAAGACCAGCCTGGGCAACATAGTGAGATCCCATCTCCACAAAAAATACAAAAACCAGCTGCGCATGGTGGCGGGCACCTGTGGTCCCAGCTGCTCAGGAGGCCATGGCAGGAGAATCACTTGAGCTAGAGAGGTGGAAGCTGCAGTAAGTTATGATCACACCACTGCACTCCAGCCTGGGCAACAGAGCAAAATACTGTCTCAAATAAATAAAGTGGATTTTGTGGTATGTGAATTTTGTCTCAGTTTTTAAAAGACCTGGAAAGCAACGAAACAGAAAGAACAAGCACAGACTCCGACTTGCTCCCCAGGCCCCAATGTGACAGCACAGCCCAGGGTCCCTGGAGCAGGTCAGACTGAGGATAGGGGTGCGCCGCCTAGGGACCTGCTGGGCACTACCCCACCCACCTCCGGCGCCCCGCGCCCAGTCCTGGGCTCCCGTGGCCCGGTCTCTCCCTCCGCCTCTGTCCAGGGTGCACCCCTCACTGACCAGTCCCGCAGCAACGCTGACCGAGGGCTCCGTGTAAGCCTGGCTGAATGCCCGCTGCCTCAGCCCTCACAGGAACCCTGCCCTGCATTACAGGGAGGGAAACAGGCTACGGGGATGGGAGGGGCTCCTCCTGGAGGGGGCTGGGGGGCAGACAGAAGAGGCTTCCAGGTGGTCGTGGGGCACAGGTGGCACTTCCTAGACACTGCCAGTCTTTGGTGGCTGGGAGAAGGGCCCCTCAGCAGGCCTGGTCACTAGAGTGCCCCGTGCAGAGCTGAACTGTGTCCCCAAAATGGTGTGATCATGTCCTGGCACCTGGAAGCTGTGTGTGTGGCCTTATTTGGGAATCCGGTCCTTGCAGATGTGAGTGGTTAAAAAAAAAAAGGCCGCACTGGCCGAGCGGGTGTTCTGTGCCTGGTGTCCTCATTCGAAGGAGACACAGTCCCGGGGAGGAGGCCACGGGACACAGAAGCAGAGATCCCAGCCCTGCGGCCACAGCCAGGGGATGCCCGGATCCCCCAGATGCTGGAGGGGCCGGAAGGAGCGCGGCCCTGTCCGCACCTTGACTTTGGACTTCCAGGCTCCAGGGCTGGGAGGGGACAGAGTCCTGGCCTTTGAAGCTGTGTGTGCTGCTTCCTCACAGCAGCCCTGGGAGGCTGGCACGGCTCCCCAGGAAACTGGGCTCCCTTCTGTCAGGGTTCCGGCCAGGTGCCTGGTATGGGCCCTGGGGCCGCCGCCTCAGTGTCTTCTGGTGCTGCAGCCGGGCAGGGCCGAACCCTGGCGCACAGCTTCCTGCTGAGTCTCCCTCTCTAAGGCTGTCTGTGGGCGGCTCTGCCGGCCCCTCCTGCACCTGCCCAGGCCCTGGGCGGAGGCTCCTCCTCCCGGGGGGGCTGTGGCCTCAGCACAGACCAGGGGACAGAAGGTGGCTCTTCTTGGCCTTGGCTGGGTGTGAACCAAAGACTTCCTGTAAGAAATCCCCCTCTCCCTCTCCCTCCTTCGCTCCCTCATCTCTCTCCCTCTTTTTTGCCCAATGCCAGTAACTGTGGGGGCTCCGTGGTGCCGGATGGGCCGAGGCATCTGACCCCTGCTGAAACGCATCTGCAGAACAGTCAATGCTGCCTGCCTCCCTGCCTGAAAGCAGCCAGAGTTTGCAAAGCGCTTTTCTGAGCCGTGAGCTCATCCTGAGCTTCCCAGAAGCCCCCGGGCTGCCAGGCAGAGAGTGTTGTTACCGGACAGCTGCGTTCCCAATGGTCCCTGCAGCCCCATGGGGACCCGGGATGGATGCCCGGCAGGTGGAGAGGTCCTCACAGGACAGGTGGTGGGCAAGGGGGCAGCACCTGGGGAATGGGGATGGGCTGTGGGTGCCGAGAGCCCCAGGAGCCCAGCAGAGACGCAAGGGATCTGGGTGATGTCAGGAAGGGTGAAGGAGCACCCCCACCCCAGGAACAGGCGGCAAGGGATGGGCGAGGGGCAGTGAGGCGAGCAGGACCTGGGGAATGTCCTGTGTAGGGGCACAGGCTGGGGAGAGGCTTGGGCTGGGGTGCGGTTGGGGGAGGCTGGCACTGGGGTGCAGTGGAGGAGAGGCTCGGGCTGGGGTACAGTGGGGGGAGGCTCAGGCTGGGGTGAGGCTCGGGCCGGGGTGCGGTGGGGGGAGGCTCGGGCCGGGGTGCGGTGGGGGGAGGCTCGGGCCGGGGTGCGGTGGGGGGAGGCTCGGGCCGGGGTGCAGTGGGGGGAGGCTCGGGCCGGGGTGCGGTGAGGGGAGGCTCGGGCCGGGGTGCGGTTGGGGGAGGCTGGCACTGGGGTGCAGTGGAGGAGAGGCTCGGGCTGGGGTGCAGTGGGGGGAGGCTCGGGCTGGGGGGGTGAGGCTCGGGCTGGGGTGCGGTGGGGGGAGGTTCGGGCTGGGGTGCGGTGGGGGGAGGCTCGGGCTGGGGTGCGGTGGGGGGAGGCTCGGGCTGGGGTGCGGTGGGGGGAGGCTCGGGCTGGGGTGCAGTGGGGGGAGGCTCGGGCTGGGGTGCAGTGGGGGGAGGCTCGGGCTGGGGTGCAGTGGGGGGAGGCTCAGGCTGGGGGGAGGCTCGGGCTGGGGTGCGGTGGGGGGAGGCTCGGGCTGGGGTGCGGTGGGGGGAGGCTCGGGCTGGGGTGCGGTGGGGGGAGGCTCGGGCTGGGGTGCAGTGGGGGGAGGCTCAGGCTGGGGGGAGGCTCGGGCTGGGGTGCGGTGGGGGGAGGTTCGGGCTGGGGTGCGGTGGGGGGAGGCTCGGGCTGGGGTGCGGTGGGGGGAGGCTCGGGCTGGGGTGCGGTGGGGGGAGGCTCGGGCTGGGGTGCAGTGGGGGGAGGCTCGGGCTGGGGTGCAGTGGGGGGAGGCTCAGGCTGGGGGGAGGCTCGGGCTGGGGTGCGGTGGGGGGAGGCTCGGGCTGGGGTGCGGTGGGGGGAGGCTCGGGCTGGGGTGCGGTGGGGGGAGGCTCGGGCTGGGGTGCGGTGGGGGGAGGCTCGGGCTGGGGTGCAGTGGGGGGAGGCTCAGGCTGGGGGGAGGCTCGGGCTGGGGTGCGGTGGGGGGAGGCTCGGGCTGGGGTGTGGTGGGGAGGAGACCAGAAGAGGCACCAGGGGCTGCCCTGGGGGACACTCACCCCACACAGAAACAGGTGCCGGAGAGCCTGGGGGTGGGGCCGCGAGGCTGGGCTGGGCCTGGAGCAGGGGACCCACGGGAGGCTCTGGGCACAGAGGGTGGGCTGCAGCAGCAAGGGCCCCTTATCCTCGAGCAGGAACCCAACACCCCCCAGCCAGACCCAGTCATGCCTGGAACACACAGACATGGACCTGCATATGGACGCTGCTAACAGCGATTCACAGCTGCTGTCAACCCATACCTACTCCTGGGTATGAGCCCAAGAGAAACGAAAACGTGTCCACTGGGAAGTTTGCACCCGTGCTCACGGCGGCACAACTCACGACGGCCACGGGTGGAAGCAGCACAAGCGTCCATCACGGACACACAGACAGACACAGTGGGGCCCTCCACGCCTCCATCACAGACAGACACAGTGGGGCCCTCCACGCCTCCATCACAGACGGACACAGTGGGGCCCTCCACGCCTCCATCACAGACAGACACAGTTGGTCCTCCACGCCTCCATCACGGACAGACACAGTGGGGCCCTCCACGCCTCCATCACGGACAGACACAGTTGGTCCTCCACGCCTCCATCACGGACAGACACAGTGGGGCCCTCCATGCGTCCATCACGGACAGACACAGTGGGTCCTCCACGCGTCCATCACAGACAGACACAGTGGGGCCCTCCACAGGTCCATCACGGACACATGGACAGACACAGTGGGCCCCTCCACGCGTCCATCACAGACAGACACTGTGGTACCTGGTACCTCCACGCGTCTATCATGAACAAAAACAGTGGGTCCTCCACGCGTCCATCATGAACAAAAACAGTGGGTCCTGCATGCGTCCATCATGGACAAACAAGGTGGGGCCCCTTCATGTGCCGGAACACGGCTCAGCCATAATCAGGAGCCAGGCTCTGACCCAGCCATAGCTCGGATGTACCTTGAGGACATCACACTCAGTGAGAGACGCCAGAGGCAGGAGGCCATGCAGCGTGTGATCCCATTTCTATGAAATGTGCAGGACAGGCCAAGCCACAGAGACGGGAAGGGGATGCGTGGGCGCCGGGGCAGGGGAGGGATGGGGAGTGACAGCTGACGGGGACAGGGCCTCCTCTAGGGGGACAATGATCTGGAATTAGAATTACATGGTGATGGCTGAACAGCTCTGGACTTTGTAACAGCCACAGCATCGTTCACTTAGAAATGGGGACTTTTCTGTCACGTGAATTGAGTCTCACGTGACAGAAAAGGGGCGGGGCGTGGTGGCTCGCACCTGTAATCCCGACACTTTGGGAGGCCGAGGCGGATGGATCACCTGAGATCACGAGTTTGAGACCACCCTGGCCAACGTGGTGAAACCCCGTCTCTACTAAAAATACAAAAATCAGCTGGGCGCGGTGGCGCACACCTGTAATCCCAGCTACTCGGGAGGCTGAGGCAGGAGAATCACTTGAACCAGGCAAGCAGAGGCTGCAGTGAGCTGAGATCGTGCCATTGCACTCCAGCCTGGGAGACAGAGTGAGACTTTGTCTCAAAAATAAATAAATATGGTGCGCGTCTGTAATCCCAGCTACTCAGGAGGCTGAGACAGGAGAATCGCTTGAACCTGGGAGGCAGAGTTTGCCATGAGCCGAGATAGATCACACCATTGCACTCCAGCTTAGACACCAAAAGCAAAACTCCATCTCAAAACAAAACAAAAAACTAGAGAAAAACAGAGACAGAAAAGAAAGAAAGAAAATAAAGAAGAAATGCAGGCCGGGCGCGGTGGCTCACGCCTGTAATCCCAATGCTTTGGGAGGCTGAGGTGGGTGGATCACAAGGTCAGGAGATTGAGACCAGCCTGGCTAACACGGTGAAACCCCGTGTCCACTAAAAAACACAAAAAATTAGCTGGGCGTGGTGGTGGGCACCTGTAGTCCCAGCTACTCGGGAGGCTGAGGCGGGAGAATGGCATGAACCCAGGAGGCGTTGGTTGCAGTGAGCCGAGGTCACGCCACTGCACTCCAGCCTGGGCGACAGAGCGAGATTTCATCTCAAAAAAAAAAAAAAAGCAGCAGCAACACAGAGCCACGTGTCCACAGAACCACGGTTCACCTGCACACCGCGGCAGGGGGCCCCACCAGGACACACGGGGCTGAGCCATCACCCACCAGGGACATTGAGCCTGATGGCTTCGCGCCAACCTGGAGACGGAAGGCTGAGCAGAAGTGAGGGGGGCCCTTCCTCCGGGCCAGGGTGGCTGGAGGGCCGGGCAAGGCACACACGTGACACCGCGGGAGCCCCGCAGCCCACGGTGGATGCCAGCAGCGGCATCCTGGCGCAGCGTGAGCCCCAGGGGTGGGGGTGGGGGTGGCCAGGGAGCAGGCAGAGAGCGGGGAAGGGGTGGGGGTCCCACACAGACCCAGCCGTCAGCAGGAGAAGGCACACGGAAAACAGACGGACGCAGCAGGGATGCCCGCAGGCAGCTCCCACGGGCAGAGGCTGCTGACCCCGCCTTGGGCAGGACCAGCCTCTGCTCAGCCTTGGGTCTTCCCCCAGGCTGAGAGAAACAGGAAATGGATGGTGAAGGAACCCCGTCCCCGCCAAGCGGCCAAAGTTACCAGCATCAGCACAACACGCGCAACGCCAGGCACTCCGGTCCACGCCGCACTGTACATGGTGCCGTCTGAGGGATTCCTCCATCCAGTCAGGAGACAACCCCAGACAAAACCAACGGAGAGGCACTCTGGAGAAGACACACCCTGGAGAAGACACACCCTGGAGAAGACGCACCCCGGAGAAGACGCACCCCGGAGAAGAGGCGCCCCGGAGAAGAGGCACTCCGGAGAAGACGCGCCCCGGAGAACACGCGCCCCGGAGAAGAGGCACCCTGGAGAACTGCCTCTTCGGGGGCAAGCGCAGAGGCTGCTGACTCCCCCGGTCCAACAAGCTCTTAGTTTTTGCAATTTTTTTGTAATTTTTTTTTTTTTAGACAGAGTCTTGCTCTGTCACCCAGGCTCGAATGCAGTGGCGCAATCTCGGCTCCCTGCAACCTCTGCTTCCCGAGTTCAAGTGATTCTCCTGCCTCAGCCTCCTGAGTAGCTGGGATTACAGGTGCCCGCCACCATGCTCAGCTAATTTTTGTATTTGTAGTAGAGACGGGGTTTCGCCACGTTGGCCAGGATGGTCTCAAACTCCTAAGCTCAGGTGATCTGCCCGCCTTGGCCCCCCAAAGTGCTGGGGTTACAAGCTTGAGCACTGCGCCTGACCTGTAAATCTAATTTTTAATTTTGTATAGAGATGAGGTCTCATTATGTTGCCCAGGCTGGATCCACGTGTCCTTCATGGACAAACACAGTGGGCCCCTCCACGCGTCCATCACGGACAAACACAGTGGGGCCCTCCACGCATCCATCACGGACACACGGACAAACACAATGGGCCTCCCACTGGGAACTCCCAGACTCAAGCGATCCTCATGCCTCAGTCAAATAGATGGGACCCAAATACTGGGACTACAGGCTTGCACCACCATGCCCGACTAATTTTTTCTATTTTTTATACAGATAGGGTCTCACTATGTTGCGCAGGCTGGTCTCAAACCCCTGGGCTCAAACAATCCTCCCGCCTTGGCCTCCCAAAGTGCTGGGATCACAGGCGTGAGCCACCGTGCCCAGTCCTGACTCAAACATGACCTCCTGCATTCCCAGGGGCAGAATCTCCCAGGCACAGTGGCCCTACTCGGAGTCTGTGAAGTGAAGACCACCAGGTGAGCCATGATCAACCCTCCCCTCAATGACCTCCCTCACGATCAACCCTCCCCTCAATGGCCTCCCTCCTCATGATCAACCCTCACTCAGTGACCTCCCTCATGATCAACCCTCCCTCAATGACCTCCCTCCCCACGATCAATCCTCACTCAATGACCTCCCTCCCCATGATCAACCCTCACTCAATGACCTCCCTCATGATCAACCCTCCCTCAATGACCTCCCTCACGATCAACCCTCCCCTCAATGACCTCCCTCCCCACAATCAATCTGCCCCTCAGTGGCCTCCCTCCCCAGGCCGTGAAGGCTCTCCAGCAGAACCAACAGTGCTGCGGAGTCCACTGGCCCCAGGCACTGCCCGGGTCCACGGCTCATCTGCTTTCTCCTATTGCTCTGGCTGCCAAGAAACTCAGGGCTCAGGTGTATCAATAGTTACCAGGCGGATCGCCTGAGGTCAGGAGTTCGAGACCAGCCTGGCCAATATGGTGAAACCCCGTCTCTACTAAAAATACAAAAATTAGCCAGGCGTGGTGGCGCACACCTATAATCCCAGCTACTCGGGAGGCTGAGGCAGAAGAATGGCTCACACTTGGGAGGCAGAGGTTGCAGTGAGCCGAGATTGCACCACTGCACTCCAGCCTGGGTGACAGAGCGAGACTCCGTCTCAAAAAACAATAGGCCAGGTGCGGTGGCTCATGCCTGTAATCCCAGCACTTTGGGAGACGGGCAGATCACCTGAGGTCAGGAGTTCGAGACCATCCTGGCCAACATGGCGAAATCCCATCTCTACTAAAAATATAAAAATTAGCCGGGCGTGGTGGTGGGTGCCTGTAGTCCCAGCTACTTGGTAGGCTGAGGCAGGAGAATCGCTTGAACCCGCCAGGCAGAGGTTGCAGTTACCCAAGATGGCGCCACTACACTCCAGCCTGGGCAAGAGTAAGAGTCGGTCTCCAGAAAAAAAAGTCATGACTAGCTGTCTCGTTATGGCCTGTGGGGTTTTACATTCACCCTCACTCCCAGCCCAGGAACAGGTTCTCCCTACCAATCCCTCCAGGTTTATACAACAGCAGGAAACATTTGCAGGGAATGCACACATGCCACAGGTCACACGATGGCTTTGAACGGTGCCTCCGTTTCCCCTCGCTCCCGTGAAAAGCTACTGTCAACCTCATGGCTCCAACAAGCTGAATATGGTGGCTCACGCCTGTAATCCCCATGCTTTGGTAGGCTCAGGCAGGAGAATCGCTTGAGCCCAGAAGTTTGAGACCAGCCTAGGCAACACAGTGAGACCTCATTTCTACAAAACATAAAAAATTATCTGGGTGTGGTGGTGTGTCCTTATGGTCCCAGCTACTGGGGAAGCTGAGGTGGGAGCTTGAGCCCAGGAGGTGGAGGCTGCAGTGAGCCGAGATTGCACCGCTGCACTCCAGGCTGAACAACAGAGCCAGACCCTGTCTCTAAAAATAAAAATTAAAAAAATATATAAATGAAACACACACTTATCCTCTCACAGTCTGGAGGGCAGAACTTGTAACATCAAGGGTGGGCAGGGCAGGTCCCTCCCGGGGGCTCCAGGGGAAAACCCAGTTCCTGCCTTTCCAGTGTCCAGAGGCACCCGCATCCCTTGGCTTGGGGCCCCTTCTTCCCCCTTCACGGCCAGAGCGCAGGCTCTTCCCGTCTCTCTCTGGCTCTCACCCTCCCGCCTCCTCTCATGAGGGCCCTGTGAGGACACTGGGTCTCCAGGTCACCCAGGAAGCTCTCCCGTCTCGGGTCCATCACTCAGTCCCATCTGCAGGTCCCTGTGAGGACACTGGGCCTCCAGGTCACCCAGGAAGCTCTTCCGTCTTGGGTCCATCACTCAGTCCCATCTGCAGGTCCCGTCTGCCATGAGAGGCGACACGGCGGCAGGTCCTGGGGATCAGGACGGGGACGTCTTGGAGGCTGTAACCGTGTGGCCAGCACATTTCCTCAGGTCTGAGTCGGGAGCAGAGGCTTCCGTGGCTGGCTGGGCTGCGCTGGGGGGCACGGCGCAAAGGGCCTCGAACACCAGGCTCAGGTCTGGGCTCCTTCCTGGCTCCGCAGAACCACGCGGCCCAGCCCACAGGCCTGGGCTGACTCATACCCGTCCCGTCCCACACTTGGCACCGCGGGACCACGCATCCCGTCCCACACTCGACACCACAGAACCTTGCGGCCCAGCCCACAGGACTGAGCTGACCCACACCCGTCCCATCCCACACTCAGCACTGGGGGACCACGCGGCCCGGCCCACACTTGGCACCGGGGTCAGACTTCCTCCAAATGAAGTTCTGCTGCTTTAACAGGGAGATTTGGGTCCAAGCTGCCCCACATACGGACGCTGGAGCATGAGGCGGCTGTAGGCAGGGTGGGCAGGGAGCCGGGCGGGCGGTGCTCACAGAACCAGCACAGTGGCCCCGAGGGCTCCGGGCTGAACAGATGCAGCAGCAATTGTTCAGGAGGGGAGGAGCAGGAGAATTCATGAGACAGAGATGGAGACGGAGACAGAGACAGAGACATGGAGAGAGACAGAGACAGGGAGACAGAGACGCAGAGACATAGAGACATAGAGACAGAGGCAGAGAGGGAAACAGACGAAGACAGAGAGGGCGACAGAGACAGAGGCAGAGAGGGAAACAGACGAAGACAGAGAGGGCGACAGAGACAGAGAGGGAAACAGACACAGAGGCAGAGAGGGAGACAAAGAGACAGGTGGAGAGGGAGACAGAGAGACAGAGGCAGAGACAAAGAGACAGAGACAGAGAGGGAGACAGAGAGACAGAGACAGAGAGGGAGACAGAGAGACAGGGGCAGAGACAAGCAGAGAGGGAGACACAGACAGAGACAGAGAGGGAGACAGAGAGACAGAGGCGGAGATGGAGACAGAGACAGAGAGACAGAGACAGAGAGGGAGACAGAGACAAAGAGGGAGACAGAGACAGAGACTGAGAGGGAGACAGAGAGATGGAGCATAGAGGGAGACAGAGACAGAGGCAGAGAGAGAGACAGAGGCAGAGAGGAAGACAGAGGCAGAGAGGGAGGCAGAGACAGAGAGGGAGATAGGCAGAGAGAGATTGAGAGGGAGGGAGACAGAGAGAGAGACTAGGAGCAGGGGGAAGAGGGAGAGAGAGAGACAGAGAAAAGAAAGAGACAGGCCGGGCACGGTGGCTCACGCCTGTAATCCCAGCACTTTGGGAGGCTGAGGCGGGCGGATCACCACAGGTCAGGAGTTTGAGACCAGCCTGACCAACATGGAGAAACCCTGTCTCTACCAAAAAAAAAAAAAAAAAAATTAGCCAGGCATGGTGGTGCATGCCTGTGGTCTCAGCTGCTCGGGAGGCTGAGGCAGGAAAATCGCTTGAACCTGGGAAGCGGAGGTTGCAGTGAGCCAAGATCGTGCCATTGCACTCCAGCCTGAGCAACAAGAGCAAAACTCTGTCTCAAAAAAAAAAAAAAAGAAAGAAAGAAAGGAAAGAGAGAAGGAACACACAGAAAGAGGCAGAGAAGGGGTGAAAGAGAAGAAGGGGGCGGGGCAAGGACAGGCTGACCCAGGGCTGGGGCTGGTAGGAAGGCAGTGGCGGTGAGGAAGGAGCCACTGCCATCAGTCGCACCCCGGGCTCCTCCCCTGTGCGTCCCCTGAAGGGTGGGGCACAGATGCCAGCTCTGGACAGGCGCCTCCCCTGCCTCAGTTTCCTTCTGTGTCCGGCTGGCATGGCGCAGCAGCTTGCCACACCTTGGCCAGGACCAGATCACATGGGGGTCCAGGGCTACTGCGGGTGAGGACAGAGCCCCTGTGCGCACCTCGCTGACCTCAGCCCCAAGATGAGCAGGGGCGCCCCCCTCCCCTGAACACAGCTGGTAGGCCAATTTCCAGGCCACACACTGGGGGCTACAGGACAGGAATCCACCCTCTTCCCGTCCCAGGGCCCGGGAGTCTGAGGCCAAGGTGTCTCAGGGCCTTGCTCCCTCCCACAGCTCTGACCCACCTCTTCCAGCCCTGGGGCTCCAGGAGAAACTGACCTGTGGCCACACCGCCCCAGCCCCGGCCTCCAGCGTGGCGCCAGCTCCCAATCTCTCCTGTCTCTTCTGAGGACCCTTGTGCTGGATTTCAGAGCTACCTCATCTCATCTTGATCCCTACCCAATGACATCCAAAAAGACCCTACTTTCCAGGAAGGTCCCCTCACAGACTCTACTGGGGAGGCGGACTTGACGGACGCGGTCACCCCAGCACAGACTCAGGGTCCGGCTGGCTTTGCCCCGCTCTGCTACGGCCCTGAGTGGGGAAAACTGGGCCCGGGGTCCACCCGGCGAGCTGTTTGCAGGGCCTGGGTCTGGGTGAGCCCTGGGACCTGAATTGGCTCCATTCTGCTGCAGCCACACCTGACCGCTTCTCTCTGGATCTGGCCGGCTTGCGCCCATCCCCCCAACAGCTCTGAGGCCCAGGCAGATCTCACATGCCCATTACACAGGGGAAGCGGAGGCTTGGGGGAGCTGAGCACCAGGTGACCCTCGCTCCCCGGCAGGCCCTGGATGTGGTCCGGCCCAGCAGCAGCCCCTGGCCCCGGGTCCCACACGGAGGCTGTGGTATCCGAACCGTCCCAGGGAAGCCGATCTCTGTGGCACTGGGTGCTCCAGAGCTGCCGAGAGGAAGCTGGGGCACTGGGAACCCCTTGGGGAAGGCTGTGAGGGTGGGGGTGGGGTCCGCCTGATGCCGCAGTGGGAGGCTGTGAGGGTGGGGGTGGGGTCCGCCTGATGCCGAAGGGGGAGGCTGGGAGGGTGGGGGTGGGGTCCGCCTGATGCCGCAGTGGGAGGCTGGGAGCCTCCCCGCGACCCTGGGGAGAAGGAGGTGGAAAGTTCTGTTCCTTTGGTATGTGAGTTCCGTTTTCAGGTGGCTGCTAAGGGGTTGGGACTCCAATGTGCAGGGTGTCTGGACCCGCCTAGAGGGAGGGCCGTGGGGGCAAAGGCTGCCAAGGGCATCTCTCCCAGCACCGCCCTCCCCGCAACTCCCTCTGTGGCATTGCCCAGATGCTCGCAGGGACCCCAAGGGCTGGGCGGGGCTCACTGCTGACACGAAGGGCCAGTCACTGGCTCTTCCCCAAAACCAAGCCACATCTCTGGGCTCCTACTGCCCCACCGTAAACCCTGCGGCCGAGGGGCCAAGCCGAGGTCACTGAGTCCCAGGCAGGCCTGAGCGAGAGAGGTCGCAGGGCAGCTGGAGGGGCGGCCCAGACTCCACCCTGCCCCCCACGGCGCGGTGAGCTCCTGGGGCTCCTACCTGAGCAAAGTCGCAGGTCTTTGGTGGCAAGCTGGAGGCGGTGGCCACGGGGGCATAGCTGGTGTCTGGGCAGGGCTGGCTGCCGAGGAAGGAGGCGGAGCTCATGAACGGGCTGGAGGGAGATGGGGGGGGGGGAGGTGAGATGGGGTGCTCAACCCACTCCCTCAGTAACACACCTGCACCCCCATGGCCGCAGCCAGAGGCCCCTCGAGGCCCCACTGGAGTGTGCCCAGCCCGGCAGGACCCATGGCCCCGCTGCACATACAGAGGGGCCTCCAGGGGGGTGGTGGTCAAGCCTGGGGCTGCCCTCCCACCCCCACTGGACACAGCCCGGCAGAGCTCCTACGGAACAGCCGCCTGGTGGGCGGGGGGACATCCAGGGCCACCATCCCGCCCTCCCCGCTCCATCAGCAGGACTCGGCTAAGGGTTCATTCTGGCGATTCAGAACCCCAGCCTGGCCATCCCTCCCCCACACACAGGCCCCTTGACCCACACCTCACTCCCGCCTCGAAGGAGGAGAGCGCTACGGGCAGAAACCCAGGATCACCGTCCTCCAGGGAGGGCTCAGGTCGGAACCCCCCGCCCTGTCACCCTGAGGATGGCAAAGGACACAGCAAGGAGAAGGTCCTGGGGGCCCCCCGCCCAGGGGCGCCTCTCTCCAGATGATCCCAGGAGTAAAATGTGGCTGGCAGGGAGGCTTCTCTGCCCTTCCCCACTCCGGCCCCCTTGGCCAGCTCCTGCGCTTGGGAGAGGGGTGGCCGCCGTCCCCAGGGCCTCCTTCCCTCCCGCCAGGCTCCCCAGGCTCTCCCTCCAGAAGCTTCTCTCCAGCAGGGCTGGCAGCAGGTCCAGGTCTCTGCCCAGTGGGAGCCGGAGGCCTTGGGTTGGAGGCGGCCCTGGGCAGACCTGCTCCCAGGGCAGGGACCGCCTGGGGGCCACTCTCCTCCTGCATAGAAAGGTTTGCAAACACCAGCAGGAAAGAAGCATCCACTCCACTCCCGGGCCACAAACAGCTGCTCCACAATCTCCTGGAGTCTCCCAAGGCTCTGGCTATACCTGCTCCCAAGCCCTTTGCACAGCCTGCTCGACTGCTCGCCTGGCCAACTCCTACCCCCCCTGCAGAACCCAGCCCAGCTGCTGCCCTCTGTGGGAAAAGTGCCCTTCCCACCCTCCTTCACCCACCCCAGAAAACCTCCCGCCCCTTCCCACCCTCCTTCACCCCAGAAAACCTCCCGCCCCTTCCCACCCTCCTTCACCCCAGAAAACCTCCCGCCCCTTCCCACCCTCCTTCACCCCAGAAAACCTCCCGCCCCTTCCCACCCTCCTTCACCCCAGAAAACCTCCCGCCCCTTCCCACCCTCCTTCACCCCAGAAAACCTCCCGCCCCTTCCCATCCTCCTTCACCCCAGAAAACCTCCCGCCCCTTCCCACCCTCCTTCACCCCAGAAAACCTCCCGCCCCTTCCCACCCTCCTTCACCCCAGAAAACCTCCCGCCCCTTCCCACCCTCCTTCACCCCAGAAAACCTCCCGCCCCTTCCCACCCTCCTTCACCCCAGAAAACCTCCCGCCCCTTCCCACCCTCCTTCACCCCAGAAAACCTCCCGCCCCTTCCCACCCTCCTTCACCCCAGAAAACCTCCCGCCCCTTCCCACCCTCCTTCACCCCAGAAAACCTCCCGCCCCTTCCCACCCTCCTTCACCCCAGAAAACCTCCCGCCCCTTCCCACCCTCCTTCACCCCAGAAAACCTCCCGCCCCTTCCCATCCTGGTGTCACCTCCACAGGAGGCCCCCCTGGCCCATAGCCCACACCTCCCCGCCCTCTACCAAGCTGGGCTCTCGAGGAGAGGGAAGCCATGGATCACAAAACAGCGTTCCACAAACAGGGGTCTCAGCCTGGACCTGGCCCGTGGGGTGGAGCCTTCCAGGACCACGTGCACACCACCCTCCAAACCCCTCAACAAGACTTTGGGCCCTCGCGCCCTGCACCCAGAACTCCGTTTGTAACTGTGACTTCAGAATGAGCAAGCCTGGGGGCCAGGCGGGGAGGGTCCCGGTACTCACCGGCTGTCGCTGGAGAAGGCAGGGTATGGCGGCAGCGAGAAGGTGTTCCAGTAGGGGCAGTGCAGCATGGCGCTCTAGAAGAGACAGCGGGCATCAGTGAGTGGGAAGCAGAGGACCTGCGGTGCAGCCCGGCTAAGCCCTCCGGGCAGGGTGACAGGCCGAGAGGCTAGGGAGGCCCCGCAGTCAGGGTCCCATCCCGCCCCTGCTGGTATCTCCTGGGGAGTCATTTAACTGCCCCGTGCCTCAGTTTCCCCACCTGCACAAGACCCCACCCAAGGCTTGTGGTGTGGTCTGAAGGCACTGAACCACCCGCGTGAAGGGCTCAGCACAGGTCTTGCTCTACCAGCAGCCCCATGTGCAGGCCCGCAGCCCGGGAGTCTGCATCTCACACAAGACCTGGGGGTGCCGCTGGCCCCGGGACCCTGCTTGGAGGCCCCATTCTAGGAGGTGGAGGATCGGACCGTTTGCGTGAGGGAGACGCGCACCCGCTGCCTGTGGTGGAGGGTGGGTGTCGGGGGCTCCTCGGGCAGGGCCTGGGGCAGGCGAGGGCCTCACACCACCTCCAGGCCCCTCGGACAAGCTGATGTGCCCGGGAAGCTCAGGCTGCTGCGGGACGGGGCCCTGACTTCTCAGAAGCTGCACGGGGCTGGGGTGCGGGGAGCCTGCTTTGGGAAATGGTGACCAGTGGCCTGGAGGCTCAGCCCGAGGTCAGTGGAGGCGTGAGTGGCTCCAGGTTGGCCGAATCTCTGGTGGGTCTGACTCCAGGCCAGGCTTACCCAACACCCTCGCCAGGAGCCGATGTCCCCACCCCATGGTTCTCTGGGAAAACCTCACTATGCCTGCCCTTGGGAATGAGAGCGGCTTGAGGCACACGGCAGGCCCCAAAACCTGAGGATGGGGAGCACACGGGGCAGCAGCGGGCCCAAGGGCGGCAGCGGGCCCAGGGTCAGCACCTGCGGCTTCGGGGGCAGGGCTGTGGACACCTCGTGCCCTGCAGAATGGGCACCCCTCAGCAGGGCCCCCACCTGCACAGGGCCAACCTCACCTGCAGCAGAGAGACCCTGCCGTCACAGACGCCCCCACAGTCACGGGGGAGACCCTGCCGTCACGGATGCCCCCACGGTCACGGGGGAGACCCTGCCGTCACGGACGCCCCCACGGTCACGGGGGAGACCCTGCCGTCACGGACGCCCCCGTGGTCATGGGGGAGACACCACCAGCCGGGGGCATCATCCTGCTTATCCCAGCAGGACTGGGGGCCACGCTGGCTTCCAGAACAGGGTTGGGGGTTCGCCTGCTTCCCTGAGTCCCCCAGTGACCTCTCCCAGGCCCACGTGAGCCCTGCTCCTCTATGAGGCCCTGATGCAATTCCCTGGGGCTCGGCCACCTCTGCCCCTCATTCACCTCACACTGGCTGGGAACCAGCCCGGATGGCCGGGGGCCACTTTCTGTACCCGCAGGTGCTGGGTGGGGGATTCCAGGACCCCCGACAGCCTCGAGATAGGCAAAGCCCTCGGGGTGACCGCTGCCCCGCTCCTCCAGCTTTTGCATAAAATAAGTTTATCAGCAAAAGCCCACAGCTCCTCCCCTGCACAGAGGCCGGCAGCCTGGGCACCCTGAGCTCCTGCACCCGTGAGAAGACCCCGTGCAAGTGGCTTGCAGGAAGCCGGGCCACCAGCCACAGGGGCTCCAGAGCCCGGGTCTCCTGATCCTTCCCCTCCTCCTGCCCTTTTGGGAAGAGAGAAAGCCAGCCCTGGAGAGAAACAGGAACTTCCCAAGGCCATGTGGCACATCCGGAACATTCTGGAACAGAACTCTGACTCCAGACCAACCCAGCCTCCTCAGATGAGCTGGAGTCCGTCTCAGGCACACACGGCGCCTTGGGCCAGGCTGGGCAGGGCCACGGCCAGGGAACTGCAGCTGCAGGAAGGGGGCGGGGGGCTTGGGGTCGCAGGGCGGGAGGATCCAGGGGTCCCTGGCTCACCCAACATGCTCCACCTGTACCCAGGCCAGGCTAGGGGATGGGACGGGGGGAAAGTCCTGACTGCCTCTATCCCCCTAGTCTCCTCCCTCCCACAGCCCATGGCTCCTCTGAGACCTGCCATCCACACACACCCGAGTCCCACCCCACAGGGGTGCCATGGGCATGGCAGGCCAATCAGAGTCTTCCCTGGGACCTTCTCTGGCAGCCAGAGGGTGTGGCTTCACCTTTAGATGGCAGGTCCTAGCACATAATTGGTCCAGAGATGGGCACCTGACCCTGCCCAGACAATCAGAGCCTGCCTGGTGATTTTCTTTCCTTTCCTTATTTTGAGACGGAGTCTCACTCTGTCACCCAGGCTGAAGTGCAGTGGCACGATCGTGGCTCACTGCAACCTCCACCTCCCGAGTTCAAGCGATTCTCCTGTCTCAGCCTCATGCGTAGCTGGGATTACAGGCGCCCGCCACCACGCCCAGCTAACTTTTGTATTTTTAGTAGAGATGGGATTTCATCATGTTGGCCAGGCCGGTCTCGAACTCCTGACCCCAAGCAATGTGCCCACCTCGGCCTCCCAGAGTGCTGGGATTTCAGGCGTGAACCATTGTGCTGGCCGGTGTATTTTTATTTCTAATTGAATACTCTGGGCACTGGAAGAGGCTGGGCTGTGCGTGTGCGAACTCAGTCGACCCTGCCCAGAGGTGTCCATGACGTACCCGAATGTGACGGAACCCGGAACAGGGAGGGTGGGATGAGCCTCACACACGGGATGGGGAGCAAAGCCGGTTACGCGCACGGGTGCGCCCCGGCCTGAGCCCTGTGGCTGGTGTCCAGTGCCCCCGCCGGGTTCCAGCCCTGTCGCATTCCCCGACTGTCACTGCTAACACCTTCCTGCTCCCGCTCGGATCCTTGAAGATGGCTCCTCTGTCTCCACATCCCATAATTCGCTTAATTATTTCCCCACCGTAGAGCCTCTGGGGAGATTCCAGTTTCCTGCCACTATAAATAGTGCCGCTCTGTCTTCCCCTCCCTCCTGGATTAGTCCCCAGGGTGTGTTTCCGAGATAGAATTCTTGGATCGGAACAAGCTCCTGGCGGGTTTCGGGGGATGGAGCTGTTCCGGTGGGGATGTGGCTTGGCCAGTCCCCTTTATGGTGGCCCAGGAGGCTGACCGACGGCCGGTACTCGAGCTCCACCGGGGCAGCTGTGAGGATCCAGCCTCAACCCCAAGGGACTCAGGAACTAGGGAGGGGGACAGGAGGGGTCTGGGCCGCAACAGGGACCCTGCTACGAGAGGGGTACCCTGGCCCCAGCTCAGAGCCCCCTCTGGACGGTCAGAACATGGCAGGAAGCTGCCCAAAGCCCTCTGAGGATGGACTGCCGAGGGGTGTCTGTGATGTTCGCCCCACAGGCCAACCTGGGTGTTGGGCTAGGGAGTACCCAGGAGACCCTGGAGTCCTGGAGCAGGTCCTGCTGCTTGATAGGAGAGGGCAGCCCCTCTGTCTCCAGGTAAATCCCCAGGCAGGGCCGGGCGCGGTGGCTCACGCCTGTAATCCCAGCACTTTGGGAGGTCAAGGCAGGCGGGTCAACTGAGCCCGGGAGTTTGAGACCAGCGTGTCCAACGGGGCAAAACCTCATCTCTACGAGAAAATTTTAAAAATCTGCCGGGCATGGTGGCGCGTACCTGTGGTCCCAGCTACTCAGGAGGCTGAGGCAGGAGAATCACTAGCCCAGGAGGCAGAGGCTGCAGTGAGCCGAGATCGCACCACTGCACTTCCAGCCTGGGCAACAGAGTGAAACCGTGTTTTAAAAATAACAAAACAAAATAAAATAAAATGAAATAAAATAAAAATAAATATATATATACACGTTTATATATTTTTAATTTAAAAATTTTTTTTTTTCTTTTTGAGCCACAGTTTCGCTCTGTCACCCAGGCTGGAGTGCAGTGGTGCAATCTCTGCTCACTGCAGCCTCTGCCTCCCAGGTTCAAGCGATTCTCCTGCCTCAGCCTCCCAAGTAGCTGGGATTACAGACACCTGCCACCACGCCAGGCTAATTTTTTGTATTTTTAGTAGAGACAGGGTTTCACCATGTTGGCCAGGCTGGTCTCAAACTCCTGACCTCAAGTGATCTGCCCGCCTTGGCCTCTGAAAGTGCTAGGATTACAGGCGTGAGCCACCGTGCCAGGCCTATTTTTCATTTTTTTGAGATGGAGTCTCACTCTTGTCGCCCAGGCTAGAGTTCAGTGGCGCCGTCTCCACTCACTGCAGCCTCTGCCTCCTAGATTTAAGCAATTCTCCTGCCTCAGCCTCCCGAGTAGCTGGGATTACAGGCGTCCGCCACCACGCCTGGCTAAGTTTGGTATCTTTAGCAGAAGCGAGGTTTCACTATGTTGGCCAGGCTGGTCTTGAACTCGGGACCTCAGGTGATCTGCCCACCTCCACCTCCCAAAGTGCTGGGATTACAAGCACGAGCCACTTGGCCAGAAACATATTTTTTAAGTAATTCCCTCACTGACAGGTTCCTACAAGTAAAGTTGAGCCCCCCCTACAGCTGACGGCGAAGGAACTGGAAGCTCTGCAGCAGGGAGAATCTCCTCAAATGTGCTTCTTGAAAAGCTGGGGCCATGAGTAGCCTCCCATTCACATCCCCATGGGGACCCTTCTCCAGGGCCCACGGGGGCGGGTGGAGCCGGGCTCCGGGCCAGGAAGGTCAGGTGGAGATCACGCCGCGTCCACTGGGGCAGCATTCCGCACGACGTGACCCCGGGCACTCGGAGCGGGGCAAGTGCCCGTGGACCCCGTCGGGTGGGCCGGGGCCGGGGGTGGGGCTCACCTGCAGGGGCGGCGGGCTGTACAGGAGGCTGCCCGCCGGCGGGGGTTCATGCTGCGGGTAATCCCTGTCCATGGCGGGCCCCACTGCAAGCATCGGGCGGCAGGCGGGGTGGGGTCCTCGGCCGGGCAGCAGGCGGCGGGACTCCAGGACCCGGGGCCGCCGGGGCGTCTATCTGGGCTTCTCGCTCCGTGGTGGCGGCGGTGGCGGCAGCATCATGATCTGCAGAGGGAGACGGGGACGTCCTGAGAGTCCAACGGTGGTGGAGAGTGGTGCTCCCCGGCCGCCTCTCCCTCGGGCATGACCGGTCCCAGCCTGGGCTGCAGCTCCTGCTACCTCCTGGGCCGGAACCAAAAGGCGCTCCTTCCCCTCCCCACTCACCCCCACCCGCCATCAGCAGTGCCACCCAACTCCTTTGTGCTGCCCACAGCGCCTTTCCTGGCCTCCCCGGCCCCAACTACAACGATTAAGGTGGGCCCGACAGGGCTGCCCAGGTCACAGGGCAGCCGTAGGACCAGGCACCCAGACTGTGAGCAGTGGAGCTGCAGGCTGACTCCCCCACATCTGGCTTTGTCAGCAGCCGGTGTGAGACTGTGGAGGGAGAGTCCAACCCGGGCCCGGCACCCAGGGGAGCCCAGGGGACACTGGACCCAGCCCTGTCCCTCAGAGGCAGCAGGGGCTCCACAGTGAGGTCTCCCAAGGAGGGGGGTCAGGGGCCACGCAGAGCTGGAAGAGCACCCAGACCTCGTTTCAGGCTAATCACACACCAGCATCCCCACTGAGAACGTTCCTGGGCTACAGAGCCGAGCCCCACACCATCAGACGCCAGGGACAGCTCCCACGTGCCCCGCGGCCTCTGGCACACGGCCAGACGCCCGCCAGGCTGAGCCCCCACCAGGCCCTACCTGGCGAGTGCAGGGACCCAGGCTGGCCCGTGGTGGCAGGGAAAGCTTTCCAGGCGTCCGCCCAGCATGCTCACTGCCGAGGGCGGCAGGAAGGGGAGGCGGCGGCCACTCCCGGCCAAGCCCTGGAGTGAAGAAATCTCCGGGACTTCCAGTAATTGCCGTCCAGCCACACGCAGGCACTTGTGCAATCCCGTGGGGGAGAGGCACGTCTCTGCCCGGCGCTCCAGAGACAGTGGCCGGGCAACAGGGGCTGGGGGTCGGGACTCCTGTCCCAGAGACCAGATGGAGGTGGTCAGGCACAGTGGGGGTCACCCTGCCAGGCCGTCCCAACTGTCCGCGGCCTCTGCCTGCTCCCTGCAGTCAGGACGCTACAACCCACTGCCACCAGAGCTGGGACCCTTGGCAGCCCTTCCAGCTGCCCACGGGGACCTGCGACACCCTTGCCAGAACGGCCCTTTAGGGGAAGGGACAGGCCCGCTGGGATCTGGGGTCTTGGCCAATCCTTGTCAAAGATTCTGGGTCAGGCAGGATCAAAGCCTGGCTCCACCTTCTGAGTTGAATAACCTCAGACACCCAAGCTCCTCCAAGCCTCGGTATGTTCCTCTGGGAGACAGGTTCTCTGGGTAGAGCCTGGGACCCCCCGACCCCGGCCCCGTGTGCTGGTGGCCACAAACAGCTCTGCTGGGCCCAAGGCAGCTGCTGATACCGGGGTCCCCATCCAGGGGCCCACCAGTGCTAGGGGGTGGCCCACCCCCTGCCTTGGGGCTCAGCAGCCCCTCCCCTGCAGGGACTCCCCTCAGCTCCTGTCAGCACCCCTTCCTGCTGCAGGTTCCATCTCACGGCAGCCACAGCCCCAGAGCTACGCTGACCTTTTCCACACTCAGGGCGCTCCTCAGCTCTGAGGCCACACAGTCCTGAGCTGATGGGCAGCAGGGCCCAGGCCCCACGGTGGACGGAGCTTGGGGAGGGGGCACCTTGGGCAGCTCTGGGGCGACCCCATGACCGTCCTCGGGGTACACCATAGCTGAGGGACCCCTCCAGCAGCAGGGGCCCTGAGCTCGCCTGTGTCCGAGTCCCCTAGGCCAGCACGGTGCTCCTGGCAGCTCCTCCCTCCCTACGGTCTCTGAGCCCCCCACGTCTGTGGACGCCCCTTCCAGGCGGCAACCCCAGGAGGCTCAGGGGACCGGGTTCTTCAAGGGGAGGGCTTCACACATGGCATGTGACCTGGAGTCCATGCCTTGGGGACCTGGCAGGGTGTGGAGACCTGGACCGGGAGGGGATGGGGGCAGGAGAACAATGCGGACACCAGGCACAACCAACCAAGAGTCAGGGCCCAAAACCAGGAGGCGGAGGCGGAGGCGGATCCTCACACACGGCTGCTTGGCAGTCTGGGATTCCTCAAGAGGCTAACGCTGGAGTCACCACACCACCGAGCAATTCCACACCACACAGAAACGTGGCCATGCACGTCCACAGCAGCACCACTCACAACAGCCACCCGAGGAAGCAGCCCAGTGTCCACGGATAGGCGAGTGGACCAGCATGTGGCGTGGCCCATCCACGTGCCAGAACACGACACAGCCATGAACAGCAGCGAGGCCGACCTAGGCCACAGCGCAGACGCACCTTGAGGACGTCACGCTCTGTGAGAGACGCCAGGCACAGATGTGTGTGATCCCACTACTATGCACTGTCCAGGACGGGCCCATCCAGAGACAGAAGGGGATGCGTGGGTGCCGGGCTGGGGCGACCCTGCACCCGGGGCCCATTTCCAAGTCCCCCCACAACCCAACACTTCAGGCTGTGCCCACTCCTGAGAACGCCCACCCTCTGCAATCCCCCAGGACCCGCCACTCCTGAGAACGCCCACCCTCTGCAATCCCTCAGGACCCACAGCCCTGCCTTTCCGCCCACTGCCAGCCCCCCATCGCCTCCCACCCTGTCCTCGGCCATATCTCACAACCCCTGCTGCCCCGATCCCCAGGCCCTCCCGCAGCCCCCAGCCCCTAGCCCTGCCTGCAGACTCGGTCCTGTCCGAGGGCCCACGCCCCCAAGGGCTGGCTCCCACCCCATGGTCCTGAGCCCTCCGGACCCTTCCCCCATTGACTCCGCCGCCGTTTCTTGCAGCAGCTGTGACCACGCCATGTCTCTGGGGCATCCAGCTGCCCCAATCCCCAGGATAAACCCTAGTGGGACACTGGGTGGGGTCTTGGGGCCTGAGAACACCCCAACGCAGCCTCTGCCACGCAGCCCCGGAGACGCTCTCCCCACGCGGCCCCGGAGACCCTCTGCCACGCAGCCCCGGAGACGCTCTCCCCACGCGGCCCCGGAGACCCTCTCCCCACGCGGCCCCGGTGACACGGCCCACCCCGAGCCTCAGAGCCACGGGCCAGCCAAACGTCCAGCGGGCAGCAGAGCGTGTCCCCTGCCTGGTTTTATTTTTGGGCGCGAGTCCCATGACTGGAGGGATGCGTGGTGTGGGGGTTGGGGGGGCGGGGGTCACACGGTTCCCACCTTGGGAGGGGGCCCGCGCTTTATCAGCACGCTGACACCCAGAGGGGATGTGGCTTCCTTCTGAAATCAGGTCTTCAAGGGAGTCGTTGTAAAAGAGAACGATGAAGGTGCTGGTGGCCCAGACAGGACAACCACTGGGAAGGCAGAACCTCAGACAGGACCAAGATCCGGGAGAATCCGAGGAACCGGGTAACTGTGTCCGCCTCCCAGCTCTCTCCTGAGTCCGGGTAACTGCGTCCGCCTCCCAGCTCTCTCTCTTGAGTCCGGGTAACTGCATCTGCCTCCCAGCTCTCTCTCCTGAGTCCGGATAACTGTCCGCCTCCCAGCTCTCTCCTGAGTCCGGATAACTGTCCGCCTCCCAGCTCTCTCCTGAGTCCGGATAACTGTCCGCCTCCCAGCTCTCTCCTGAGTCTGGGTAACTGCATCTGCCTCCCGTCTCTCTCTCCTGAGTCCGGGTAACTGCGGCCGCCTCCCGCCTCTTTCTTCTGAGCCTGCTGAAGTCCCCGTCTTCCTGGCTGGACGCCCCAGGGTCTCACCCCACGCTGTGCAGCAACAGCTCAGCCTCCTGATGTTCAGAACTGGCCACTGTGCGGACCCTCCCCCTGGGGGTCCCTGAGCACCTGTCGTGTGGAGCCCCTTCGCGCGCTCCGCCCTCAGACCCGAGCCGTCTGCAGATGGGGAGCTGTGTCCTCGGAGCCCGGTTCTCCTGCCGTCCTCTCGCCGAGCAGGGTTGTGACCCCCGCACTTTCGGATGTGGACACGGAGGCCCCTAGGTGGAGCCTTGACGTGACCCCCAGAGCCAGACTCAGCAGCTCAGGCCACGCTGTGCCCACGTTCGCGACGGCAAAGCGGAGACCCTGAGAAGACACTGGCCGCAGAGCCATAACCGAGACCACGGGAGGACCCAGGGCGCACGGCACACCCCAGAGCGCTCCGCCCAGGCCCGGGTTCTGGTCTCCTGGCACACCCGGCAGCATCTCAAGGCCTGCGCCAGCAAAGGCGGACATGGAGGTCTGAGGAGGAGGCGGCGAGGCCCGGGCGAGCGGGCGCGACCGTGGTGATGGAGCCCGGCAGAGGCCACCGCACAGTCCCTGGAGGCCGCATTACCTCAGCCGAGGTTCTCCGGGCAGGCACAAGGCGCTCCCTGCGTCCCAGGACCTGAAGATGGCAAGGAGCAGGCCCCCGGGTGTCCCGGGAACCCCGCACAGAGCCACGGCCATAAGACAGAGCGGACTTGCGGCCTCCGGTGACCTCACAGCCGTGATGGCCTCCTGCAGCTGTGACCGCCGCCCCACAGCCGCGACCCCACCTGCAGCCGTGACCCCACCTGCAGCCGCGACCCCACCTGCAGCCGTGACCCCACTTGCAGCTGCAACCGCCGCCCCACGGCCGTGACCCCACCTGCACCCGCGACCCCACCTGCAGCCATGACCCCACCTGCAGCCATGACCCCACCTGCGGCTGCAACCGCCGCCCCACAGCCGTGACCCCACCTGCAGCTATGACCACCGCACACTGGCCTCCAGATGGGCTCAAGACAGGGCAATCACCCTCTACCTGGCGGGCGCACAACTCGCATCCTAGGACCGGGTGCAGGGGGCGGGGGCTGGCGATTTCACAAGGCTCAGCTAATATGGGGCAGAGAGCCCTGCAAGCTCAGGCACCTGGGCAGGCCCCAACTCGGCCGCCAGGACCGTCTGGTGGGGAGGACACTGCAGGCCGTCTCAGGTCCTGACCCCTGCAGACAGAGCGCTTCGTCCCTCAACATGGAGCCCGGGGCAAGGGAGGCCTGAAGGGCTGGAGCCAAGGGAGGGTCAGCCCAGTGAGAGACCTTGGGGGGACGGGGGTAGCAAGAGGGGGTAGCAAGGGACAGTTGGGGACAGCAGGGGACAGTGGGGGGACAGGGGGCAGCAGGGGACAGTTGGGGACAGCAGGGGACAGTGGGGGGACAGCAGGGGACAGTGGGACAGCGGGGGAAGAGCAGGGGACAGTGGAGGGACAGCAGGGGACAGTGGGGGGCAGTGGGGGGACAGCGGGGGATGGTGGGGGGACAGCAGGGGGACAGTAGGGAAACAGTGGGGGATAGTGGGGGGGCAGCGGCGGATGGGACAGCGGGGGGACAGCAAGGGACGGGGTGACAACAGGGAGACAGCGGGGAGATGGGGACAGCGGGGGGCAGTGGGGGACAGTGGGGGAACAGCGGGGGGACAGTGGGGGGACAGGAGGGGACACATTCAAGACATCCGTGAGGTTCCCCTACTCCTGGGCCAAGGTGCCTGCCTGAGAGGACTTCGCCCCCCACAGAGCTGGGCAGTGGCAGAGGAGGGGGCCAGGGAAGGGAGGTGGGTGAGGGAGACCCCAGAGTGTCCGGCGCTGCCCCTGCCCACGCCAGTGCTGCTCTCTGCAGCCATCAGCCTCCGGGTGCCCCCGCCTGCCCCGCCACGCGGCCACATTCCCGCACCACCCTCTCACACGTTCCACCCCAGGGGCAGCACCCGCCCTCTGGCTGTGGGTGCTGGTGGGCAGCTTGCGCCTGGCACCTGTTTGTGATGGGGGAAGCTGCCCCGGCAGCGAGGCTGAGGGAGCGGGAAGGGCTGGGCCTGGCAGAGGAAGAGCAGCCGCTCACCCACATCCCTGCAGCCCGGCTGGGGCCCAGCAAGCCGCTCACGGTCCCCAGGCCCTCATGGGCAGCCCCCCACCCACTGGGTACATCCAACTTCATGCACCAAGAGCCCATGAAGAAACCACTCCCACACCCCTGCCCAGGCCTCGGGGGGTCTGCGGGGCGGCCTCACAGGAGGCCCAGTATTACAATGGCGGCCGCCTGGCTGCAGTGAGTGCCTGGTGGACACCCCCGAAGGGCAGTGGGGAGACCCGGGGGAGGACGCACAGAGGGTGGCTACAGAACAGAGGCAGCTGGCTGGAGCCACCGGGGGTCTCGTCCCTGCAGCCTTCGCCTCCTGGGTTCCAGTGATTTTTGTGGACCCACTGGGGGTCTCGGCTCACTGCAGCCTTCGCCTCCTGGGTTCCAGTGATTTTTGTGCCTCAGCTTCTGGAGTAACTGGGATGACAGGCACCCGCCACCACGGCCCGGATAATTTGCGTATTTTAGTAGAGAAGGGGTTTCACCATGTTGCCCAGGCTGGTCTCGAACTGCCGATTTCAGGTGATCCGCCCGCCTCGGCCTCCCAAAGTGCTGGAATTACAGGCGTGAGCCACCAGGCCCGGCCCGAATGGAAATCATTTTCATAGTAACATGAATCTCTGTAACTCACTAGACTGTGGCCAGGGAAACCTGTGGGCAGCTCTGCCAGGACCACAAGGGGGCATTTGCTCTGGACGGCCCCTCCCAGGGTGGGCAGGGCCCGAGGACGGAAAGAAAGGGTGGAGGGTCCTGAGGTGCTTCCCAGAAAGCTCAGGCTGCTCCTCCAGCCAGGCACAGCCAGACCGGGAGCACCGGGAGGTGGGGGTGGGGGTGCCTGAGCACTGGAGGCTGGAGGTGGGGGTGGGGGTGCCTGAGCACTGGAGATGGAGGTAGGGGTGCCTGAGTACTGGGGGTGGGGGTGGGGGTGCCTGAGTACTGGGTACTGGGGGTAGGGGTGCCTGAGCACTGGGGGTGGGGGTGGGGGTGCCTGAGTACTGGGTACTGGGGGTAGGGGTGCCTGAGCACTGGGGGTGGGGGTGCCTGAGCACTGGAGATGGAGGTAGGGGTGCCTGAGTACTGGGGGTGGGGGTGCCTGAGTACTGGGTACTGGGGGCGCCTGAGTACTGAGTACTGGGGGTGGGGGTGCCTGAGTACTGGGTACTGGGGGTGCCTGAGTACTGGGTACTGGGGGTAGGGGTGCCTGAGTACTGGGGGTGGAGGTGGGGGTGCCTGAGCACTGGGGGTACCTGAGCACTGGGGGTGGAGATGGGGGTGGGGGTGCCTGAGCACTGGGGGGGTGGAAGTGGGGGTGGGAGTGCCTGAGCACTGGGAGCTGGGGGTGGGGGTGCCTTCCTGTCTCAACACAGCTTTACCTCTTGGGCCCGATGAAGCGGGTCTCAGGATGCCCAGGACCCACATTTTAGGAACGGCCACGTCATACTACGCTTTCTACCTCTCCTCTTGAAATTTTCTAAAAGTTCTCAAGTCTGCTGCCAAGGTTATCAGAACTGCGTAGGGAGCTGTGTGGGTCACCTGTGAGGCCCGGAGCCTCCCTGACGCAGGTGGTGGGTGTCATGGCTCTGCTGTCTTGTGAAAGAGTCGTCAGTCAGGCGGCAGGGCCAGGAGGGTGAAAGCCGATCCACTCCCTTCCCTGGGGAGCCGCGGGGGGGGGGGGGGGGGGGTTGGGCCAGGCCTGCGGGGAGGAGCCGACATACAGCTTCCCCAGCAGCCGGCCAGACAGACGGACGTCCTGGCCCAAGGTGAGCGGGCACGGCCACAGATGGCGCCTGGGGCCTTTGCAGGCGCCCTCCTGGCCCCGAGGCTGTGGGGCTCCTTTGTGGGGGACACAGGGCTCAGGGACCACTCCACACCCTAGACGGGAGCAGGGATGGGGTCTTTTAAAGTTAAGGTTTTATTCTTTTTTAAAATAATACAGCCGGGAACAGTGGCTCACACCTGTAATCCCAGCACTTTGGGAGGCCAAGGCGGGTGGATCACGAGGTCAGGAGATCGAGACCAGCCTGGCTAACACGGTGAAACCCCGTCTCTACTAAAAAATACAAAAAATTATCCAGGCGTGGTGGCGGGTGCCTGTAGTCCCAGCTACTCGGGAGGCCGAGGCAGGAGAATGGCGTGAACCCGGGAGGCGGCGCTTGCAGTGAGCCGAGATCGGGCCACTGCACTCCAGCCTGGGTGAAAGAGCGAGACTCCGTCTCAAAAAAAAAAAAAGAAACGCTGTTGGGGGCAGGAGCCTGGATCTCAACCCCTGCAAGGTGGAAATCTGGCTTCCTCTCACCCATACGAGCCTGCCAGAGGCAGGAGGCTGACGCCCCGGAGGGACCAGCTGACATCGGCCTTGAGGGACCAGACTTCTCCAGGCCGGCAACCTTCTCCCAGCTTTGTGAGGTGGAGCCCAACCTCCAGACCAAGAGAGGCCTTCCTGACCTTCAACCCCATCTCCAGAGCTCCCCAGAGCTGGTCTAGCCCCTCATCTGACACACAGAGAAACGGAGACCAGGAACCTGACGCTGGTTTCCCTAGCCCATGTGAGGACCCTGTAGACCAGCTACATGCACACCCAGTCCAGCCGCCGGACAGCGTTCAGTGGGAAGAGAGCAGACCATCGTCCACCCACATTCCAGACTCCAACTGGCAGAGGGGAGGGGACGTTGGGGCTGCAGGGCCACCAATGTGGACGGGACAGAGCCCCAGGGACAGCCTGTGCTGGGGACGTATGGGGGCAGGATCAGACCCCACAGTGCCTGCGGGCCACAAGGCCAAGACAGGATCTGGTAAGTGACGATTTGGAGGCTGGTCCTGAGGTGCAAGAGGGAGTGCCAGGGACAGAGAGGGCACCGGGGTGACTACAGTCCCTCCAGACTCACATCTACCCGCACCTGTGGGTGGGGCCTTATTTGCATACAGGGTCTTTGCACACGTGGTTGGTTACAATGAGGATGCTGGAGGGGGTGGTCTGTGTCCCTGTTAACAACTCATGTCCTTAAGAGAAAAGAGGAACGTGGACACCCACACATCGGGAGACGGCCGCATGGAGACGGAGCAGAGGCTGGAGTGACGCGGCCGCAGACCAAGGGCGCCTGGAGCCCCGGAAGCTGGGAGGGGCAGGAAGGGTCCTCCCCTGGAGCTACTCCTTGACCTCAGCTTCCTGTGGCCTCCAGGACAGGGACAGGCTGCTCTAAGCCACCCAGTTTGCAGCACTGCTGCGGCCGCCACGAGAAGCTCGTCCAGGGAGGAGGCTGCTCCAGCCCTGAGCCCCACGCGACTCCCGTGAGCACGAGGACTCGGGTGCCCTGGGGTGAGGCGGCACGAGGCTGTCTGTGGATTTCCACAGCATCCCAGGAGGCGTCTGGACCGCAGTGGCTCCAGGCTGCCAACCACGGGCAGAGGCCACCGCTCCCGAGCTTGGACCCTGCCACGCGCAGGCACAGGCCAGGCGGCGCCGGGGAAGCCTGGGGGCCCCAGACCGGCCCAGCACCGCCTGACATTTCTCAAGCATGCTGGGGGACGGCCCCTCAATTTAGGATGAGGACGAGGTGGGCCCGGCAGGAGGGCAGGAGCCGGGGTCCAGGGCGAGCAAGTTCTCCCCGCCCCACGAGGAACGGCAGTGGCCCCGGTTGCCTGGAGGTGGAAGGGGCACTGCAGCCTCACCGCCCCATACCCCAGGAGCCCACGTGCTTCTCTCACAGGGAAAGGTGTACTGGCCAGACTCAGCGCCCTGAGGACGGGGTCGGAACCCAGCGCCCAGGAAGCTCCCCTCCCCCCGACCAAGGACCTCCCTCCAGGTGGGTCCTCTGGAAACTCAGGCCCGCGGCCATCACGGCCCCTCTCCTGGGAGGGCTCAAGGGTGTTGGCCGTGGGGGCTTCACACTGCACCCCGATTTCGAGGGAAGCCCCTGCCCATGGCTTCCGGGGCCTTCCGGAGGGGCCAAGGGGCTGGTGCCATGGGAGGGAAAGTTCCCAAGCTCGGAGATGGCCAGGAGCAGGAACAGCTTGAGCGGGTGGCCGAACTGACAGCTTCTCTTGCCAAACCTCCTGTCCTGCTCCAGCACAAAGCCTCCCCCGTGCACAGGAACAGGTGCTAGGACACTGTGGGGACGTCCCAGATGCCAGGGGCAGTGGAGACAGGAGGAGGAGGAGGAGGAGGAGGAGGAGGAACAGGAGGAGGAGGAGGAGGAGGAGGAGGAGAAACAGGTGCTAGGACACTGTGGGGACGTCCCAGATGCCAGGGGCAGTGGAGACAGGAGGAGGAGGAGGAGGAACAGGAGGAGGAGGAGGAGGAGGAGGAGGAACAGGTGCTAGGACACTGTGGGGTGTCCCAGATGCCAGGGGCAGTGGAGACAGGAGGAGGAGGAGGAGGAACAGGAGGAGGAGGAGGAGGAGGAACAGGAGGAGGAGGAGGAGGAACAGGAGGAGGAGGAGGAGGAGGAGGAAGAACAGGAGGAGGAGGAGGAGGAACAGGAAGAGGAGGAGGAGGAGGAACAGGTGCTAGGACACTGTGGGGACATCCCAGATGCCAGGGGCAGTGGAGACAGGAGGAGGAGGAGGAGGAGCAGGAGGAGGGAGGAGGAACAGGAGGAGGAGGAGGAACAGGAGGAGGAGGAGGAACAGGAGGAGGAGGAGGAACAGGAGGAGGAGGAGGAGGAGGCACAGGAGGAGGAGGAGGAGGCACAGGAGGAGGAGGAGGAGGAACAGGAGGAGGAGGAGGAACAGGAGGAGGAGGAGGAGGAGGCAGCGGCGGCACTGTGGGTCTTCCACAGGGTGTGCCCGGAGGAGGTCAAGACTCCACTGCCCTGAAGCAAACAAGGCGTCCAGCCCGAGCCAGGGTCACACGCCCAACAGGTAGGATCCAGCAACCCCTGCGCAGCAGCCCCCGCCATGCGAGGGAGGACCCGGAGTTGAGCGTGGCCCTGCCTGACATCTGACCCCGCCGTCAGGAGCTCCACCAGGTCAGGGCTGCTCAGCTGACCCCACAGCCCCACCAGGCATGGTCAGCACGGTGCCGAATGCAGGCCTGGAAAGGGAATAAAGGAGGCCCTGGGGAGGGGCCTTGGTGCTTCATCCCAAGCCAACCCCGAAAGTGGAAGCCACAGGGCCAGGGGGACGTCGTGGCTGAGATGCGAGCAGGGTGCCGGGCACCCCCAAGGCAGCACTGCTGTCCCTGAGAACAGAAGGAAGTCCAGGCCCAGAGTCAGAGCCAAGTGGAGTAGTGGTGGTTGCTGGCACTCAGTCCCGTACCCTTGGACAGAGCAAGAGTCCCAAGCCAGGAATGTGAGGCCGATGCCTTTTAGGAAGAAACCACATCTGGGGAACCAGACCCCAGATCCCAGAACCCAGACCTCAGATCCCAGATCCCAGATCTCAGACCCCAGATCCCAGACTTCAGATCCCTAGATCCCAGACCCCAGACCCCAGTACCCAGACCCCAGATCTCAGACCCCAGACCCCAGATCTCAGACCCCAGATCTCAGACTCCAGACCCCAGATCTCAGACCCCAGACCCCAGATCTCAGACCCCAGATCCCAGACCCCAGACCCCAGATCCCAGACCCCAGATCTCAGACCCCCAGACCCCAGATCCCAGATCTCAGACCCCAGATCCCAGACCCCAGACCCCAGATCCCAGACCCCAGATCTCAGACCCCCAGACCCCAGATCCCAGATCTCAGACCCCAAACCCCAGATCCTAGATCTCAGACCCCAGATCCCAGATCCCAGACCGCAAGATCCCAGACCCCAGATCCTAGATCCCAGACCTCAGACCCCAGACCCCAGACCCCAGATCCCAGATCCCAGACCCCAGACCCCCAGATCTCAGATCCCAGACCCTAGATCCCAAACCCCAGATCTCAGACCCCAGATCCCAGACTTCAGATCCCCAGACCCCAGATCCCAGACTTCAGATCCCCAGACCCCAGATCCCAGACTTCAGATCCCCGGATCCCCAGATCCCAGACCCGAGATTCCAGACCCCAGATCCCAGACCCCAGCCCAGAGGGAGGCCCGGTGAGGGAGTGGAAAGGAGATTCCACGACACAAATGCTTATGCGGAAACAGCCTCCAGGCCGGGCTGCGGGGCTCCAAAGCAGGGTCCCCATGCTCCGAGCGGGCCTCACTGCTACCTGGCGGTTAAAGGCCTGTCCGCCTGGACAGGGTGGTGCGGCTTTCTGTGGCAGCCAAGCAGCTTCCACGCGGCTTCTGCTGCTGTGAGGAGCCCGCTCGGGTCTTGTGTTTATTTTCAGTCTTTTGGGGCCAGTGCGGTGGCCCGTGGCTGTAATCCCAGTGCTGGGAGGACTGCGTGAGCCCAGGAGGTGGAGACCAGCCTGGGCAACAGAGCGAGACCGCAACTGCACGCGCACACACACACACACACACACACACACACACACGCTAAAAGCCACACACGCTAAAAACCTTTTAACATGCTGAGCTTGAGCCTGTGGTCCCCTCTAACCTACACGTCTTTTTCTCCTGAGCAGACGTTAAGCTAAATCCCCACTCACTCCAGACTTCCGGTCCTTTGAAATGGAGGTGCCCTTGTGTGTCTTCAATCCATGTGGAGGGTAGTCTGGCCCATCCCACACCTGCTACTGTCACTGCCTCACATCAGCGGCCTCAGGCCACAAGGTCTCCCCACCTGGCTCCTTGGGGAGTGCCAAGCGTTGCCAGCAGCCGGGCTATGCTGATCCCAGACAAGTGGCTCGACCGGTCACCACTGTCCTTGAGCTTAAGTCCAGCCTTGGTGACAAAAATGTCACAAGGACCTGCATCCGAGCCCTGAGGGCATCAGGTCCTGGAGGAGGAGGAAGAGTCCCTTCTGGCTTCGGGCTGGGCTTGAGGACGGCAGCTCCAAGACCGCTTAGAGCGAGACTTCAGCGCTGACTGCTGGAGCTACGCACCCTGTCCTGACAATGGCCGCACAGTTAGGCGCTGCTCCACGCCTGGAGGAGGGAACTGAGGGCCCGAAATCACAGAAGCAGGAACTCCAGGTTCGCCAGTGCGGCCTGATCCACCTTCCCTCAAACGTAGCTGCTGACAACGACACCCACGCGCCCTCTCTGGGCCCAGCAGGTCAGAGGTCCAGGTGGGCTGGCTGCTCCACGGCCACGGCTCCAAGGCCAAGGTCAAGGCACTGCTGTCCTGGGCCCTGGTCTGGGTTCTCCGGGAGAGTCCGCGCCTGAGCTCGGCCGGGGGCGGGATTCTGCTCCCTGTGGCCACTGGGCTGAGGCCCCACTTCCCTGCTTTCGGGGAGCCACGTCCCCCATCACGCCATCCCTCCCTCCTAAAAGCCAGCAGGGCAAGGTCCCTCTTAGGCTTCTGACCTGACCTCCCCTCCTCCAGCTGGAGAAGGGTCCCACGCATGAGGACATTTGTGACGATGCCGGGACCCGAGGAATCCAGGACGACCCCTCTGCAGAGCCCCTGTGCCCCGGGAGGCACCACACCCACGGCTCCAGGGGGTGGGGGGGACGGTGGCTTCTCTGGGGCTGACCCAGACCTGCAGTACACAGCGCCAGGCCATGAGGTCTCAGCCTGCGGTCAGGCCGCGTGCACGGAAACCCAGGCTCCTGAACGGCCAGCCAGGAGCAAAGCCGGCCACTGAGTACGGGAGCAGGCTCCGGGGACACGCTCCCACTCCTTTTAGGGGCCCAGAGGCTGTGGATGAGGAGCTCGAGTATCCCCCTCTCAGTGTAACCTCCCCACCCCTCCCACATCCTCCAAGTGGGGCAGGAGCCGCCTCACCAGAGCTGGGGGAGGGGGCCACACAGGTGCACCCCTGGGGAGGGGCAGCGGAGACTTGTGGGCAGGAATGTGGCCAGGGTTTCTAGATCATCTGGTTTTTCAAGAGAAGCCACAAGTCTGCGTTTGAGGGTGGCAGCCCCTGGTGTTCCAAAGTCGGCAAGCAATTCAAGCATCCACACCCCCACCCCGGGGCAGCGTTGGGTGCCCAGACCTCAGGGCCACCCCGAGAGCTCCTGCATCCACCTGGGGGCTCGCAGCTCCCCCAAGCTCCTGGCGGGTAGCAGTCATTCCAGGATCTGATAAAAGCCCCCGAAAATGCCCCGGTCAGCCCAGCCACACCCGGGCAACACCGACAGCCATTCTCCACCAGGGCCCCAGCGCCCAGCTGAGTGAGACCCACCCGGTAGCTTCCGGGGCTGGGCCCCTGCCCCACCAGTGAAAACATTCTGGTCACAGTGATGCCGCCCTGAGAAGCTCCTCACCGTCCCCCGTGGCCTTGGAACCCCCCTCACACCCATGGGTTCCAGGCACCCTGGCGGCTGTCTGTCCCCACGAAGCCTGGCCCTCTCACAGCGTAGGGAGGCTGCGGTCACCAGCGTGGGTCCCGCGACCCATTCCACCCGGCCCCTGGGCACCGGAAGCCAGGCGGCGAGCGCAGCAGACCCCAGAGGCAGCTTTCCTCAGTTTACCTGACATGCAAAGGAAGACGCCTCCTCACTCCAGGCTGGACGGGCAGCCGACGGCGGTCCGGGGCCATGGCGGGCAGGGACTTTCTCCGTGACCCTCCCTGGCTGCCCCTCCCCAGCAAGTGAGTCAGTTCCAGAAACGTTTACTGCCCGCCAGGCCCGAAGGCTCACCGGCTCCCCCTCCCCACGCCCCAGCACCCAGGGCCTTGGCCCCAGGAGCCCACAGCGGCAGAGACTCCCAGGAAACGCGAGTGAGCCGCCTTCCGGAACCTGGCGCACATCACTTTCAAAACGCAGCGGGGCCTGGAACCAAGGCCAAGGCCGCCTCTTTCGGTTTCACTTGGACGCTTGTTCTTGCTGGGGATGGAGGTCAATCACAAGGCTCCGGGAAGCACGGGCACGAGTCACAAAGCAGGTCACTGAGACAGCGGCACCAGGCCCGCCAGTCCGATCTGCTGACCCCAGCCAGGGCCCAGCACTCCCATGCCCTGCACTGCACGAGGCTGCCCGGGACAGTGCCTGCAGGGGAGATGACTCGGCAATGACTCTCTGGGCCCCTCCTCCCACCCCATCACTCATGGGGTTGTCCAGGGCAAGAGGCCCAGGGGAATCCGCAGGAGAGCCAGGGCACAGGGCACGAGTGCGGCCCCAGGCTGAGGCCTCCGTGGGACTGAGCTTCAGGGCCACGCTGCCATGCTGAGCTCTCACGGGGCCTCCGCCTGGACCACCAGGCACCCTCAGGCTGACTGGCCCCTGTGTGCCACCCATGTGGCCCAAGGCCTGTCCCCCTCATGCCAAGAGCCCCGTAGGGCCCCTTCGAGTAGAATGCAGCATTCCCTGCCCCTCCGAAGCAGTGAGTGGTTCAGGGGCAGAGCTGGGCCTGGGCGAGGGGCCCCCGGGGGGTGGGGTGATGCCATCACTGTTGCCGTCCTACGGGTTGAGACAGGACAGCTGCCCATCACCCCTTGATGCAAGCTGGCTGCAGGCTGCCTGACCAGTTCCCGGGGACACCGTGCTCAACCCTGTGGTGACAACTGGGGATTCCGAAGGACAGGGAGGTCTTACTTTCTGTTAAACACTTTTATTTTCCCTGAGATACAATCCACACCAGGAGGGGCACCTGTCCGGAGCATATGACTCAACGGTTTCAACGTATTCTAAGGCAGACCACCACAGCTTCTAATTCCAAAACATTCCGCTCCCCCAAAACACAGCCGTGTCCCCAACAGCAGTCACTCCCCCGCCTCTACAGCCCCTGCAACCACACGCCCACTTCTCTTCTGTGGACTGGCCTGCTCTGGACACGTGACCACACGTCTACCCCCCATCTGTGGACTGCCCTGCTCTGCACACGTCACATGAACGGAGTCACGTGCCGTGGCCTTTTGCGTCTGGCGTCTCTCCGCAAGCACGTCTCCGCAGAGCATCCATGCCGGGCGCACAGACGACAGATCTAATCTCCGCCTCCTCACGGGGCCCAGGAGGCCCAGGGCGAGAGCTGATGGGGCCCACGCATCCGAAATCCCCGTCTTGGCCAGAACCCCAGGTTTGCCTTCGCCCGCAGGGCTGAGCCCTCTCCTGAGTCCTGGGCCCTGTGACGGGTGACCACACCTCCCAGCAGGGAGGCAAGGTGACCACGGGGCTGGCAGTCTGCTCTTCGTCCCAGCCCGAGGGTGCAGGTGCCGGCCAACCTCCCGGGGGTTGGGGGCGAGAGTGCAGAGGCGAGGGGCAAGGCTGAGAGTCCACCCACACTGCCGGGCGGACAGCGGGCAGGCCAGGACGAGAACCAGGTTGGGGTGACCTCGCTTTTAGGCTTCAACCCGGCAGCTGGACACACCCAGCCCTCCCCGTGTGCTGTCTGACCACACAGCCCTCGGCTGTGGAAAAAGTGACTGGAGGTATTCCAGGCCTGCCCGCAACAAATCACACACACATGCACACAGGGACAGGCCACACACGTGCACACAACACACGCACACATACAAAACACACGTGCACAAGACATGCACAAGCAGGGGTGCATGAGAACACGCAGCACGCACACAACACACACAACGGACACGTGCATAACGGACACAGGTGCACAGGCAACATGCGGGCACACACAACATGCACACAAAGTACACGTTTGCATGAGCACGGGTGCAAAGGTCATACACATGCACCCACAACACAAACACACACAAAATACATGTGTGAGCAACACACGCAAGCATGGGCACATGGGCACAGGCAACACACACATGAGCACACACACAAAATACACACAACCACCAAAATACACACACACAACATACGAGGACAGGCACACAGGCACGGGCAACACACAAAATACAGACACACATAACCGACTCATGAACATGGGTACACACAGGCACACACACAACACAAACACGGGTGCACAGGCACACACAACACACAAACACGGATGCACAGACACGCACACAATGTGCACCCATAAAACACACGCGTATGAAACACACGAGCAACACACACATGCACAGGAGCACACAGCCACAGGCACGCACATTCACACACACACAACGCACCCACATCCGTACAACACACACACAGAACGCGCACACGTCCGTACGACGCACACACAGAATGCACGTGCGTACGTACAATGCACACAAAGAATACACACATCCATACAACACACAGGCACACAACACACATGTGCATGCACATGGCGCAACATACAGATACACAAAGACACGTGTACACACACATGCAGAGTCCCCAGGGCAGCGCTGGCGTCATGGGGGGCTGCCTCCACACCGCCTCCAGGAGTGTTTACAGCTGTGGATTACATGATACCGCCCCCTTCCCAGAGCTGATCCCACCCCCCAGCATGGGGGCCCCCTGGGAGGGGGCCTCTGGGAGCCGGACTGGTTCTGTCGACACAGTCGCCTCTTTGTTCGGGGCAGAGCTCACTCTGGCGGTGTTGGCGTTTCCGCATGGGCCCTGCCGGAGGGGCATCCGTGACTCCGCTGGAGCCGGGTTGGGCCAAGCCCAAGCTGGTCACACCCCTCACACCCCTGGGGTTGGGGGAGGCCTTAGGCAGCAAGTGGGTGGGGGGTCTAGGGGTGGCTGGCGCAACCTCTCTCCACCTCGGTTTCCCCGCCAGGTGAGAGGGCAGTGACTGCCCATGGTCACGCGGCTGGAGAACATGCACCCTCTCCTCCGCACCTGCACACCTGGGTGCCTCCTGTCTAGCCCAGACTCCAAAGCCAACCAAGAGTGAATGGATGAACGGAGAGGCCAGACCCCAAAGCAAACTGAGAGTGAATGGATGAGGGAAGCTCCTGCTGCCTCTTCTGTGCTCTGACAGGCTCCCTCCCCCTGAAGTCCAGCCCCTGCCTGCACAGCCCCCTCCACACCAGGGCCCTCCTGGCTCCTGGCAGGTGTGGGCAGATGTCTGCCGGGATCCTCAGAGTTAAACAAAAGCCTCCTCCCTGTGCTCTGAAATCACACTCCAGGGGCTGGCAGGCGCCTTCCAAGTCCTTCCCTCTCCAAGGACGAGAGCCTGCCTGCGTCTCCTCTGCCGTCTCCCCTGCCGTGGGAGGCCCTGAGGCCCCCATCCTGCTGTTCTCCATCCCACCCACCAAGGGGTCCAGATCTCAAATTCGCCCTTTCTCGGCAAGAACTCTGAAGGTGGCCCGGAGCAGGCCACTGTGAGAAGCCATCACCCCACGACCAGGGTCACCCCTGGGAAAATCTGGGGCCGGGCAGCCAGATCCCTGAAGGCCAGAGGATGTCTGGGAAGAAAGGGCGTGGACGGCACCTGCTGGGCCTGCCACAAACTCTCTGGGTCCCATGTCCCCGCTGCTCCTCTTCCAGGGCCGAGTCAGGGAGAGACATCCCAGGGAGGGCACCCGAAACAGCACAGCACCCCTCAGTCAGGAAGCAGTGCCGGCTGCCCTGGCCCGGAGGAAGAGGCCTGGAAGAAAGTTTGAAGCCTGTAATCCCCGTGTAATCGGGCTGGCTGCCCACGGGGTCTGCGGCCCTGGGTCCTCGGCCCCTCCCATGCTCTTCTCTTGAACCTCGGCTTCCTCTGCCCCTCTGTAAAACACTCACTGCAACCGCCCCCCCCGCCCCGGCAAACTGGCAGCCAGCATCAGCACAGGCCAGCTCCGAGGCCGGGCACTCTCGCTGACAGGGCGTGCAACAGATGGCACCAAACCTATCCCGTCCCGTCCCAGCAGTCACAGGCAGGAAGGACGTTCTGAGCAGGCGGGAACAACAGGCATTCCGGGAAGAAGCAGCCAGGGGAGGCCCCGGCTACACATTTAAGAGATTTTTTTTTTTTTTTTTTAACTTTTCAGAATGTTAATCAGTTCATCCAGGGAGACACCCACCGTCCCTGCCCCAGCACCATCCGTGCCCGGCGTCCCTGGAGGCGCTGGGTGGGCTCTCCACAACGCCTGCCCCCCACGCCCCAGGTCAGTCTGGGGATTGGTCCCTCCAGGCCCCACCTGCCTTATTCTTCGGGACTCTGGGGTGGTGGGAAGAGTGCCCTACGGGGGACAGGACCCACCAGGAGGCCTGCGCTTCCCCTTCACCGACACACGCTGCTCCCGGGCCCCACTCGGGCCATCTCAGCCCGCTACCCTCCCTCCCGCCTGTCCCTGGAAGCCGGGTTTGAATGCGACCCGCACTCCCACCCCCAACACGCTCTGCAGACTCCGCCCAGACGGCCCCGGGGTCACCTAATATCAGCAAGCCCCCATCCCAAACCGGGGGACCTCCATGCAGAAACCGAAAAACCATCTGCCCCAGAAGAGAAGTCGGAGGCCCCAGGAGCGGGAGGGGCGGGGAGCAAGGGGAGGGAGGGAGACAGGGCTGCGCTGCGGGGCCGAGAAGGCAAGGGTCCTGGGACCGGGGACAAGGAGGAGGAAGGGGCACGAACGCCCGAGGAGCCTGGAGTCAGGAATCGGGGCGGCGGGAGAGACCGGGGGTCACTCCCAGGAAGGGGTCGAGGTCACGAGGCGCATGGAGTCGAGAGTCCCCAAAAGGGAAGGCCAGGATACCGAGGAAAAGCGGGTGCGGGGTCACCAAGGGGCTCGGGGGCACCGATGAGTGCGGGGTCAAGGGTTACCAGAAAACGAAAGGTCGGGGGTCACCAAGCTGCGCGGTACAGGGAGTCACCCGGAAGAGCGGGAAGGAAAGGTTGGGAGGGTTGTCGTGGAAGGTAGGGTTAAGGTTCACGGCAGGGGGTCGCCGGGGGGCGGGGGGGCAGGTCAAGGTTCACGGCGGTGGTCGCGGGGCAGCGCGGGGTCAACGTTGGCGGCGAAGGGCGGGGTCGGAAGGGGTCGCGGCGGAGGGCGGGGGTCCCGCCGCGCTCGCCCCCGCCCCACGGCCCCCAGAACCCCCAGCCCCGGGCGCAGGGGTCCGCGGGGAGCGCCGGACCCACAAGCGGGGTCGGGCCAGGCAGGGGTCGCGGTGGAGCCGGGGCGGGGGTCGCAACCAGAGCCTCACCTCGGGCCCGGGTCCGGCCGGGCGCGGAGCCCGCGGCGCCTGTTTCTCCGAGCCTCGCAGCTGCCGCCGCTCACTTCCGGGTTTCGGGCGCCATCTTGGGGGCCCCGCGCACTTCCGGTCATGCCGCGGGGCGGGGCCTCCACCTGCGGGGGCGTGGTCTCGGTTCGGGGGCGGGGCCACCTTCCAAGCCAATCCCTTGAGGTCCTTCCGCTATTCGGAAGGGGCTGGGACTCCTACGGCTCTGGGTTCGAATCCCGCCCTGCCTGGTTCTCTTGAGACCCCAGCATGTGCTTTCACCTCCTCAAGCCTCAGTTTCCTCTTCTGCACCGTGCTGGTGAAATGGAATCTGCTTTGTGGTACAGCATCCCCTTTTTTCCTCCTTCCTCAGAACCCCCTCCAAGCCTCTGCATGTGCCACGTCCCCCACTGGGGCTCACTCACCCGAGACTTTTAAACTGAGACTCCCTCAAAAGCTACTAAGACGATCACCAGCCGGGCGCAGTGGCTCACGCCTGTAATCGCAGCACTTTGAGAGGCTGAGGCGGATGGATCACTTGAGGTCGGGAGTTTGAGGCCAACCTGGACAATATGATGAAACCCCGTCTCTACTAAATATACAAAAATTAGCTGGGCGTGATGGCGGGCACCTGTAATCCCAGCTACTCAGGAGGCTGAGGCAGTAGTATCGCTTGAACCTGGGAGGTAGTTATTGCAGTGAGCTGAGATCGCACCACTGCACTCCAGCCCGGGCAACAGAGTGAGACTCCATCTCAAAAATAAATAAATAAATAACGAAATAAAATAAAATGAAATAAAATCATCACCTCTGGGCCTGTCAGACATACTCTCTCACGAAAAGTTATCTCTGTTCATTAATCTCTCTCCCTAACCAAATACAGTTCTGGACGCTTCAGCATGGTGACTGGCACATGGGGGTTTGGGTAAGTCCCAGGGGCTACCCCCAAGAGAGCAGGATCCTTTCAGGCAGGGCCACGGGGGCCTGAGGGGCTCCTCCTCTCGGTGGCTGTGGTGGGAGGCTGCCCTGCGTGGGGAGCTGGAGTCTCAGGGCACTTTTCCTGTGACTTGAGCCAGTGAAGGCAGATCCAGTGTGGGAGGCACCACCGCCTCCCCAGCCCAATTTCAGCCATGACAATACTGATACAGCTCCCTGGACCCAAGCAGCCACAAGCCAGAGGCCTCTGCCCCCATTCCAACCCCCTGAAACTAGAGTTGATTTCTCCATGACTTTGTTAATTCATTCAGTGACTTCTAATCGATGCTGCTCTGTGCTTGGTCATGAGCTGGGAAAACCCAGGGTCTCACAGAGGACTCAGCTGTCTGTCCCAACATCAGAAAGCCCCTGGTCTAGGGGAGAGAGAACCAGGACCAGACACTCCAATATGCGGGATCTCTGGGAGGGTTGAAATGTCTGCCTAGGGCTTCATAGAGGGCTGCATGCTGAAGAGTGTGTTGAAGCTGGGGTTTTGAAGTTCAAGTAGGAGTGTACCAGGTAGACAAGAGTAGGAAGAACAGTCCGGGCAAAGAAGGCCTGGTAAGGCAGATAATAAGCAGGTTTAAGATATTTTAGCACCTCTCTAAAAAACTGAGGCCAAAAGCCAGGCACGGTGGCTCACGCCTGTAATCCCAGCACTACGGGAGTCTGAGGCAGGAGGAACACCTGAGGTCAGCGGTTTGAGACCAGCCTGGCCAACATGGTGAAACCCCATCTCTACTAAAAGTACAAAAAAGTTAGCTGGGCATGGTGGTGCCTGCCTGTATTCCCAGCTACTAGGGAGGCTGAGGCAGGAGAATCGCTTGAACCCAGGAGGTAGAGGTTGCAGTGAGCTGAGATCACACCACTGCACTCCAGCCTGGGCGATAGAGTGAGGTTCGGTCTCAAAAAAACAAACAAACAAAAAACGGTGGCTCACGCCTGTAATCCCAACACTTTGGGAGGCTGAGGTGGGTGAATCACCTAGGTCAGAAGTTCAACACCAGCCTGACGAACATGGTGAAACCCTGTCTCTACTAAAAATACAAAAATTAGCCAGGCGTGGTAGTGGGTGCCTGTAATCCTGACTACTCAGGAGGCTGAGGCAGGAGAATCACTTGAATCTGGGAGGCGGAGGTTGCAGTGAGCTGAGATCGCGCCATTGCACTCCAGCCTGGGTGACATGACAAGACCCCGTCTAAAAAAAAAAAAAAAAAAAAAATTTCAGGCCAAGGACCCCTGTCATCAAACCCAAAAGCACAAGGGGGCAGATGGGGAAACTCAGACCCAGAAGGCAGAAGTGATATGTCCAGAGTGAGATGCAGAAGGCGCACAAGGACATTTTGTCCTTCAGCTCATTGGGGGTCTCCTTTACCCATGGTGACAGAACGGCGTCCACCTGTTGTGAGCTTTTCCTCAGAGTCCCGCAGAGCAGCCGGACCCGACAGAGATACTTCCCTCCACACTGAATCTCTTTTTTTTTTTTTTTTTTTTGGGACGGAGTCTGGCTCTGTCGCCCAGGCTGGAGTGCAGTGGCGCAATCTCAGCTCACTGCAAGCTCCACCTCCCAGGTTCATGCCATTCTCCTGCCTCAGCCTCCTGAGTAGCTGGGACTGCAGGCGCCCGCCACCACCCCGGCTAATTTTTTGTATTTTTAGTAGAGACGGGGTTTCACCGTGTTAGCCAGGATGGTCTCGATCTCCTGACCTCGTGATCCGCCCGCCTCGGCCACCCAAAGTGCTGGGATTACGGGCGTGAGCCAACGCACCCGGCCAAATCTCCTTTTTTTTGAGATGGAGTCTTGCTGTGTCTCCCAGGCCGGAGTGCAATGGCATGACCTCTGCCTCCCGGTTTTGGCAAACTGGGTGCTCATCTCAACTTTGAGACTATTTTCTCTTTTTTTTGAGATGGAGTTTCACTCCTGTTGCCCAGGCTGGAGTGCATTGGCGCAATCTTGGCCCACTGCAACCTCCTCCTCCCCTGTTCAAGTGGTTATCCTGCCTCAGCCTGCCAAGTAGCTGGGATTACAGGCATGTGCCACCATGCCCAGCTAATTTTGTATTTTCCGTAGAAATAGGGTTTCTCCATGTTGGTCAGGCTGGTCTCAAACTCCTGACCTCAGGTGATCTGCCTGCCTCGGCCTCCCAAAGTGCTGGGATTACAGGCATGAGCCACCGTGCCTGGCTGAGACTCTTTTCACAGCAAATTGAACAGCAGTTAAATTGAGCAATAGGCACTAAAGATTTGGAAGGGTGAGGAAGCCAGCCTGGGGACTGGAGGGTGGCGGCTGCATCTGCTCATTTCCTCCCACACTGGACCATCCACACAACTTTTGAGGATCAGTGGAAATGAAAACACGGTGCCCCGGCACAAAACATATTTCATAGCTTGGGTTAGGCAACAGCAAAGCATCACGCTGAGCGCCGGGACCTTCTGAGTGCAGGCGGTGGGCGAAGCCCCGAGTCACACACACCCACGACGCCGGCCCTGCTCCCACAGCGGCCCTCTGGGGTAGCGACTGGTATTACCTGCATTTCACGAGGGAGGAAACTGAGGCACGAACTGTTCAGAAGCTGCCCTGAGGTCACCAAGTGAGCTAGGAAGAGGCGTGGGCTCGATCTCTGCCACATCCACCTCGGGAAACCACAAGGTCTCGATGGGTGATTTTGCCTAAAGTGGGGGCAGTTTGCCCAGGCCGGGGTGGGTCCAGCCATCTCAGCAGGCAGGAATCTGCCAAGTTGGGGGATGCTTAGGGAATTAGTCAGATGCGGGGATTTCCAGGGAATCACAGGGGGTGGCTCCGGAAAGCAGCAGGGACACAGTACTGGGGCTCATGGCCCAGCCTGGAGTACAGTGCTGTGAATCTGCTGTGTGACCCAAGGAGAGTTACTTAACCTCTCTGTGCCCCGGTTTTCCCACCTATAAAATGGGGAGGGTGATAATAATAGCAACTAGTGGCCGGGCACGGTGGCTTATACCTGTAATCCCAGCACTTTGGGAGGCTGAGACGGGAAGATCACGAGGTCAAGAGATTGAGACCATCCTGGATAACATGGTGAAACCCTGTCTCTACTAAAAATACAAAAATAAGCCGGACATGATGGTACGTACCTGTGGTCCCAACCACTCCGGAGGCTGAGGCAGGAGAATCGCTTGAACCCGGGAGGCGGAGGTTGCAATGAGCTGAGATCGCACCACTGCACTCCAGCCTGGGCAACAGAGCAAGACTCTGTCTCAAAAAAAATAATAATAATGATAATAATAATAATAGCAACTAGCTGCTAGGTTGTTCAGACAACTCAATGGACAGACAGTGCCTAATAGAATTTAACCACTACGAATATTTCCAAATGAAATTCTTTTTTTTTTTTTTTTTGAGACGAAGTCTGGCCCTTTCACCCAGGCTGGAGTGCAGGGGCATGAGCTCAACTTAGTGCAACCCCTGCCTCTTGGGTCCAAGTGATTATCTTGCCTCAGCCTCCCAAGTAGCTGGGATTACAGGCACGTGCCACCATGCCCGGCTAATTTTTGTATTTTCAGTAGAGGCAGGGTTTCACCATGTTGACCAGGATGGTCTCGAGCTCTTGACCTCGTGATCCGCCTGCCTTGGCCTCCCATATTGCTGGGATTCCAGGCTTGAGCCACCCTAGGGAAATTCTTGATTTTCCTCGGCCCAGTCCATGGCGTCACTGAAGTGGATGTTCAATGAGAAAATAATAAGGATGAATGCTGCAGTTGGAGTTCAAGAGAGGAGGCATTTTTGACGCCACAGATGGGCAGAGATGGGGTGAGGGCCCTGGCCGGCACCAGCTCTCCTGGCTCAGACTTTGGAAGCCGCCCCCCAGGGGAGACGCTCAACTGGTCAGAGGTGTGGATAGCCCCGTCCCCCAGTAGTCCCACCCCGCAGAGAGCTCTCAGGCTTCCAGCTCTGGCCCAGGCCCAGGTCCTCGGTGCCATGTGAAGGGTGGAGAGCTCTCCTGGGGGACAGAGTTGTACATTTGTGGAGGTTTTCTGGTGGGGCTGTGTTTGACGTCAACACTCTCCTCCCTAAACCCTCCCTCTTCCCCATCCCATACAGGTCCTCCTAAATGTCTTCCCAGCCCCTTCGAGAGAATTGTGGAAGTGGGGTTGCCAGATCAAACACAAGACACCCAGTTAAAATTCAACTGTAGGTACGTGACGAGTACTTTTTGTTGCTGCTGCTGTTGTTGTTCTTGTTGTTTTTGAGACGGAGTCTCGCTCCGTTGACAAGAAGGCTGGAGTGCAGTGGCGCGATCTTGGCTCACTGCAACCTCCACCTCCCGGGTTCAAGTAATTCTCTGCCTCAGCCTCCCGAGTAGCTGGGACTACAGGCACCCGCCGCCACACCCGGCTAATTTTTTGTATTTTTAGTAGAGACGGGGTTCCACCATCCTGGCCAGGCTGGTCTTGAACTCCTGACCTCGTGATCCACCTGCCTCAGCCTCCCAAAGTGCCAGGATTACAGGCGTGAGCCACTGCGCCCAGGCTTTGTTGTTGTTTGAGACTGGGAATCACCCTGTCGCCCAGGCTGGAGTGCAGTGGTATAGTCACAGCCCACTGCAGCCTCTGCCTGCTGCGCTCAAGCAATCCTCCCCAGTCAGCCTCCTAAGTAGCTGGGACTACAGGTATGCACCACCATGCCTGGCCAATTTTTTTACTTTTTATAGAGACGGGGTTTCACCATTTTACCCAGATTAGTCTTGAACTCCTGAGCTCAAGCAGTCCTCCCACCTTGGCCTCCCAAAGTGCTGGGATTACAGGCATGAGCCATCACACCTGGCCCATTTCTTTCTTTCTTTCTTTCTTTCTTTCTTTCTTTCTTTCTTTCTTTCTTTCTTTCTTTCTTTCTCTCTTTCTTTCTCTCTCTCTCTCTATTTCCTTCTTTCTTTCTTTCTCTCTCTCTCTCTTTCTTTCTCTCTCTCTTTCTTTCTTTTTTTTGTAGAGATGGGGTCTTACTGTGTCGCCCAGCCTGGTCTCAAACTCCTGGCCTCAAGCAATCCACCTGCCTCGGCCTCCCAAAATGCTAGGATTACAGGCATGAGCCACTCTGTCCAGCCTGTCTTAATTATTTCAAATTGCAGAAAACTTCAGACAAACATGAAGGTTGTTTGTAAGGACCTTCTTGGGCTGTGCCTCAGTTTCCCCATCTGGGAGATGCCAGCCTGGATTCCCCTCCCGGCCTCAGTGTCTCTCCTGGGCGGCAAGAAGGACCCTGGGACTGTGCCCACTCTGCCGTCCAGGGGGCCGAGGGAGGTGCCCAGGGAGGGGGAGGTGCGTGGTGGTGACGGGCGGCTCCCGCACAGAGCCTCAGACCTGGGCAGGTGAGGCAGGCAGGTGGGTCTGGCCCGGCGCGGCCCGATGCGGGGGCAGGGATGGGATGGAGCCACTTCCTGTTTCTCCACATTCTGGAAAGTCCCTGTGTTCCCAGGCAGAGGGGGCACCTCCTCCCTGCCAGCCCTCCTGGGCGCCGGGCTCCTCACCACTTCTCCTTCCTCCACCCACTTCCCCAGCGGACGGGCCTGGGACCCGCCCCTTCCCCTCCTGCCTCTCTCCTCTTTTCTTTCCCAATCAGGCCCTTCCTGGTGTGCAGAAGGGAAAGCTGATTCCACAGCAGCTGGGCCTGCCCGACCCAGGAGGCTACATCTGTCACCCCTCTGTCTGTCTCTGTCTCTGTCTCTATCTGTCTCTCTGTCTCTCTCTGTCTCTTTCTCTGTCTCCTTGTCTGTCTGTCTCTCTGTCTCCATGTCTCTCTGTCTCTCTGTCTTCGTCTCTCTGTTTCTGGCTCTCTTTGTCTCTCTGTGTCTCAGTTTATTTCTGTCTCTTTCTGTGTCTCTTTGTCTGTGTCTCTGTGTCCCTCTGTCTCTGTTTCTCTGGCTCTGGCTCTGTGTCCCTGTCTGTTTCTTTTTTTTTTTTTTTTTTTTTTTTTTGAGAGAGTCTCGCTCTGTCCCCCAGGCTGGGGTGCAATGGCGCGATCTCGGCTCACTGCAAGCTCCGCCTCCCGGGTTCACGCCATTCTCCTGCCTCAGCCTCCCAAGTAGCTGGGAGTACAGGTGCCCGCCACCACGCCCGGCTAATTTTTTTTTTTGCATTTTTTAGTAGGGACGGGGTTTCACCGTGTTAGCCAGGATGGTCTCGATCTCCTGACCTCGTGATCCGCCCGCCTCAGCCTCCCAAAGTGCTGGGATTACAGGCGTGAGCCACCGCTCCCGGCCTGTCTCTCTGTTTCTCTGTCTCTCTCTTTGTCTCTGTCTCTCTGTCTCTGTCTCTGTGTCCCTCTGTCTCTCTGTTTGTCTCTCTCTGTGTCTGTCTCTGTCTCCGTGTCTCTCTGTCTCTGTCTTTGTCTCCCTGTCTCTGTCTCTGGATCCCTCTGTCTGTTTCTCTAGCTCTCTCTTTGTCTCTGTCTCTGTTTCTCTATCTCTGTCTATCTCTGTCTCAGTCCCTTCTTTTGCCACCATCCCCCTCCCGTGGCCGCCCTCACGTGTCAGCACCATACCCTCCCTGTGGTCAGGGCCACCTGCTCCAGGGTGTCCTCAGGTCGGTGCTGGCCGGCGTGTTCCCGGGCCCTGCAGCCACCTGCTTGACCAGGGCCAGGCCCAGAGTGAGATCCTACCAGGCCAGGTCGGGGCAGCCTCTGTGCCAAGACAACTTTAGGGAACAACAAACCTGTCTGACGGGTTTGAGATTCCACATGGGACAGGCTTTCTCACCTCCGCACTGACGCTAGGACAGCTGGGTTGAAGGGGCCCAGTGACACCCCTGACATAGCACCTCAGGCTGGGTACAGGCTGCAGCAGCCTAGTCTGGGTCAGGGCTGTGTCCTGAGGTTGGGGCACCCAGGGCAGGCTGGGTGAAGGAAGATCAGCAATCTGCCGGTCGCCCTGTGCAGGGAGGATAAACAGGGAGAAGGCACTGCACATGCAAAGTCTCAGCGGGGACAAAGACTCAGGGGAGAGTGTGCGGGGCCTGGGGTGTGAGGATAGATGGACTGGGAGAGAGAGAGGGGACCCTGGAGGGCCTGGAAGCTAGACGTGGCCTGTATTCTGGGGGCACTAGGGAACCATTGAGGGTTCTGGAGCAACGGAGTGGTACAGTCATGGTGGGGCTAGCGGTGTACTGGATGGGGTGAGGCACAGGGACCGAATTTCAGATCAGAAGGCTCATCTGGTAGTCAGACTGAGGCCGGAGGAGGCTCAACTGCCCCGAGGATGAAGAAAGGAGCCAAACTTGGCCGGGTGCAGTGGCTCACGCCTGTCATCCCAGCACTTTGGGAGGCCAAGGCAGGTGGACTGCCTGAGGTCAGGAGTTTGAGACCAACCTGCCAACACGGTGAAACCCCGTCTCTACTGAATATACAAAAAAATTAGCTGGGGGTGGTGGCGGGCGCCTATAATCCCAGCTACTCGGCAGGCTGAGGCAAGGGAATTGCTTGAAGCAGGGAGGCGGAGGTTGCAGTGAGCCGAGATCGCACCACTGCACTCCACCCTGGGTGACAGAGAGAGCAAGATTCTGTCTCAAAAAAAAAAGAGCCAAACTTTGAACTTCTTTTTTCTTTCTTTCTTTTTTTTTTCTATTTTGAGACAGGGTTTTGCTCTGTCGCCCAGGCTGGAGTGCAGTGGTGTGATCTCGGCTCACAGAACCCTTGAACTCCTTGCCTGGAGCAATCCTCCCTCCTCAGCCTCCAGAGTAGCTGGGATGACAGGCGCACCACTATGCCTGGTTAATTTTAAATTTTGTTGGCCAGGCGCGATGGCTCATGCCTGTAATCCCAGCACTTTGGGAGACCAAGGCGGGTGAGTCACCTGAGATCAGGAGTTCGAGACCAGCCTCACCAACGTGGTGAAACCCTTTCTCTACTAAAAAAAAAAAACAAAAACAAAATTAGCCAGGCATGGTGGCACGCACCCATAATCCCAGCTACTCGGGAGGCTGATGCAGGAGAATCGCTTGAACCCAGGAGGCGGAGGTTGCGGTGAGCCGGGATCGCACCACTGCACTCCAGTCTGGGCGAAAGAGCGAGACTCCGTCTCGACAAACAAACAAACAAACAAACAATAAATAAATAAATAAACCTTGTTTGTAGTGAAGAGGTCTCACTGGGTTACCCAGGCTAATCTTGAACTCCTGGCTTCAAGTGAGCTTCCCACCTCGGTCTCCCAAAGTGCTGAGATGACAGGTGTGAGCCGCTGCACCCGGCCTGAACTTCCTATCAGGTGCTCATTATGAGCCAGGATTGAGCTACAGAAAATGCGAGGGAGGGGAGACGGCCCCCAGGATGCCCCCAAACCGGTACTCTGCACCCCCTGGGCCCACATCTAAGGACGACAAGGCAGAGGCCTCAAATGCCAGGTCCTGTGGCTTTGTCCCCGGGGCGGTGGGGAGCCACGGGCAGAAGTAGGGCACCAGAGGAGATTGCTCTGCCAGGGCTGGGGCCAGAGCAAAGGGCCGGGGGCAGGGCAGGGGCGTTGGATCGTTGGATGGGGCTGCAAGGTGGGGAGGGCAGGTTGGGGCCATGTATTCATCCGAGATGAATTTCTCAGTGCCACCCAGGGCCAGGCCCCACTTGCAGGTGCCAGGGCCACTACAGAGAACAGACACACCCTGAGGGGGTCCCCAGGCCACGAAGAAGCCGGATGCTGGAGCAGCCTAGGACACAGACACCTTGGCCCTTCCCAGGCAGGCCCCTGCCACGTGAGTGCAGGGCAAGGGTCCCAGGAGGGGGAACGGGCTCCAGGCCCCACCATGGCTGCCCTGAGTGTACGCAGTGGTCAGCCCAGTGCTGATGTCACCTGTGTGGGGACTTCCTGGACCTTCACCTCGGATCCGCTGCCCGGCCCCGAGGGAAATTCCAGAGAAGCCAGGGCCGCTCCTGGCTGACTCATTCTAGGTGCCAGTAGCACGGGAGGGGCTGGGCAATGGAGGGCCTGGGGGCATTTGGAGAACTGTGAGGAGTCTGACCACCTCCTCTGAGGGCCAGTTTCTGCTGCGTCCCACGGGGACTTGGGGAAAACTTGGACTCCCCAGCCCCAGCCCTGGCATCATTTTTTTTTTTTTTTTGAGACAGAGTTTCACTCTTGTTGCCCAGGCATGGGTGCAGTGGTGCGATTTCGGCTCACTGCAACCTCAGCTTCCCGGGTTCAAGTGATTCTGTCGCCTCAGCCTCCCCAGTAGCTGGGATTACAGGCGCCTGCCACCGCGCCCGGCTAAATTTTGTATTTTTAGTACAGACAGGGTTTCGCCATGTTGGCCAGGCTGGTCTTGAACTCCTGACCTCAGGTGATCCACCCGCCTCAGCCTCCCAAAGTGCTGGGATGACAGGCGTGAGCCACAGTGCTCAGCCCAGGCCAGCATCTACAGGGCACAAGTGGGAATCTGGGTTCTAGGAGGTGAGAACTGGGGGGTGGGGGGTTGCAATGGGTGGAGAGTGCTTTCCCTTCCCTGCAGGCCTTCTCACGTCCACAGGGTTGCAAGCGGGACTGGCAGAGTTGAAACAAAAGTCAGGGAGCAGGGCTGGGCGCAGTGGCTCAAGCCTATAATCCCAGCACTTTGGGAAGCCGAGGGAGGCTGATCACCTGAGGTCAGGAGTTCGAGACCAGCCTGGCCAACATGGAGAAACCCCGTCTCTACAAAAAATACAAAAATTAGCCGGGCTTGGTGGCGGGTGCCTGTAATCCCAGCTACTCGGGAGGCTGAGGCTGGAGAATTGCTTGAACCTGGGAGGCGGAGGTTGCAGCGAGCCGAGGTCGCACCACTGCACTCCAGCCTGGGTGACAGAGCAAGACTCCATCTCAAAAAAACAAAAGAGGAGTGTGGGAACAAGTAGTGAAGATTTCCACCGTTCAAATCCCGCCACTCCCCCCCGGGGCTCTGTGACCTCAGGAAGGCACATGACCTCCCACACTTCAGTTTGCCCATCTATAAAATGAGGATAATCGTGGTACCTCCTTTGGAAGCCTTTTGTGAGAATTTGGTAAGTTCTGGTATGTGTTAAGTGTTTGGAGTGGGGCTTGGGGTATGGTGAAGAGTTTATATTAAAAAAAAGAAAAAAAACCTTCAAGTTGGGCATAGTGGTGCACGCCTGTAATCCCAGCACTTTGGGAGGCCGAGGCGAGCAAATCACTTGAGGTCAGGAGTTTGAGATCCACCTGGCCAACATGGTGAAGCCCTGTCTCTAGTATAAATACAAAAATTAGCCGGGGGTGGTGGTGCACACCTATAGTCCCAGCTACTGAAGAGGCTGAGGCAGGAGAATCTATTGAATCTGGGAGGCAGAGGTTGCAGTGAGCTGAGATCGCGCCATTGCACTCCAGCCTGGGCGACAGAGCCAGACTCCACCTCAAAAAAAAAAAAAAAAACAAACAAGAATCGTTTGGTTGCAGCTGACAGAAATTGAAACTACAACTGGCTCCTTTTTAAAAAACAGGAATTTTTTGCTCATGGAACTGAAAGATTTAGGGATAGAGCTAACTCAAGGCCACCCCTCTCAGCACCGTTGATGTTCTGGAAAGGACCATTCACTAGGGTGGGGGCCGTCCTGGGCACACAGGGTGCTCAGCAATGACCCTGGCCTCCACCCAGTCAACGTCTGTAGCGTCCCCACCCGGTCATGGTGACCAAAAACATCTCCAGACATTGCTGAGTGTCCCCTGGGGGTGTAATCACCCTTGGTTGAGCCCTACTGGTCTGGCGGGTTTCAGACACAGCTGGATCCAGGACCCTCGGTCAGTGTCACAAGGATGTGTCCAATTCTCCATCTCTTAGCATTGCCATCCCCTCTCTTGGCTTTTTTCTTTTCTTTTCCTTTCTTTTTTTTTTTTTTTTTTTTTTTTTGAGACAGGGTCTCGCTCTGTCACCTCTGCTGGAGCCCAATAATGTGACCTGAGCTCACTGCAACCTCTGCCTCCCGGGTTCAAGTGATTCTCCTGCCTCAGCCTCCCGAGTAGCTGGGACTACGGGCGTGCGACACCATGTCTGGCTAATTTACGTATTTTTAGTAGAGATGGGCTTTTGCCATGTTGGCCAGTCTGGTCTTGAACTCCTGACCTCAGGTGATCCACCCGCCATGACCTCCCAAAGTGCTGGGATTACAGGCGTGAGCCACCGTGCCCGGTCTCTCTTATTTTTTTTTTCTTCAACAGACTTTGCCTTTATGGGGAAAAGATGATGCCATAAGCCCCAAATCTCATCTGCCCATCATCTTAACAGCCCTGGCAGGAGTCAACACCTCTTCCCAAGGTGGGGGCACCAAAGTGCCAGGGAGGTTCTCATTCGCCCAGCCTGGGTCACATGTCCTGGTGGGCTGTGGCCTGGTAAGGGGATGCCCAGATTGGCCAGGCAGGGATCACATGGTTGTATGGAGTGAGCCAATTGGGTGAAAACTCGTGGTCGGGATGGGCACGGCGGCTCACGCCTGTCATCCCAGCACTTTGGGAGGCCGAGGCGGGCAGATCATGAGGTCAAGAGTTCGAGACCATCCTGGGCAACATGGTGAAACTTTGTCTCTACTAAAAATACAAAAATTAGCTGGGAGTGGTGTTGCATGCCTGTAATTCCAGCTACTCGGGAGGCTGAGGCAGGAGAATCGCTTGAACCCGGGAGGCGGAGCTTGCAGCGAGCCGAGATCGTGCCACTGCACTCCCAGCCTGGGCAACAGAGTAAGACTCTGTCTCAAAAAAAAAAAAAAGTACAAAACATGAGCCGGGCATGGTGACGCACACCTGTGGTCCCAGCAACTCAAGAGGCTGAGGAGGGAGAATCTCTTGAACCAAGGAGGTGGAGGTTGCAGTGAGCTGAGATTACATCACTGCCCTCCGGCCTGGGTGACGGGGTAAGACTCTGTCTCAAAAAAAAAAAAAAAGGGCCGAGTGCGGTGGCTCACGCCTGTAATCCCAGCACTTTGGGAGGCTGAGGCGGGTGGATCACGAAGTCAGGAGTTCAAGACCAGCCTGGCCAAGATGGTGAAACCCTGTCTCTACTAAAAATACGAAAATTAGCTGGGCATGGTGGCGGATGCCTGTAATCCCAGCTACTCGGGAGGCTGAGGCAGAGAATTGCTTGATCCCGGGAGGCAGAGGTTGCAGTGAGCTGAGATTGCGCCACTGCACTCCAGCCTGGGCAACACAGTGAGACTCTCCTTCTCAAAAAAAAAAAAAAATAGGCCAGGCATGGTTGCTCACGCCTGTAATCCCAGCACTTTGGGAGGCTGAGGCAGGTGGATCACGAGGTCAGGAGATCCAGACCATCCTGGCTAACACGGTGAAACCCCGTCTCTACTAAAAATACAAAAAATTAGCCAGGCGTGGTGGTGGGCGCCTATAGTCCCAGCTACTCAGGAGGCTGAGGCAGGAGAATGGTGTGAACCCGGGAGGCAGAGGTTGCAGTGAGCCGAGATCGCGCCACCACACTCCAGCCTGGGCGACAGAGCTAGACTCTGTCTCAAAAAAAAAGGAAATAATAATAATAACAAAAAACAAAAACAAAAAAACCCTCCTCTATGGACAGAGGCATGATTGGCAGGGGTGGGATAGCTGTTGGCAAAGAAGGCCCAGCTGTGCTAAGCAGGCCACCCATCCCATGGAAGGGCTGGCATGGAGGCAGCACCAGTAGACATCAGAGGATGAATGAGTGGGATCCAGTGCTGCTCAATGAATACATGCGGGTTGTTTTGTTTTTGTTTTTTTGTTTTTTTGAGACAGAGTCTTGCTCTGTCGCCCAGGCTGGAGTGCAGTGGCACGATCTCGGCTCACTGCAACCTCCGCCTCCCGGGTTCAAGCAATTGTCCAGCCTCAGCCTCCCGAGTAGCTGGGACTACAGGCGCCCACCACCACACCCGGCTAATTTTTTGTATTTTCATTTGTTTGTTTATTTGTTTGTTTGTTTTGAGATGGAGTCTCACTCTGTCGCCCAGGCTGGAGTGCAGTGGCATGATCTCAGCTCACTGCAACCTCCGCTTCCCAAGTTCAAGTGATTCTCCTGCCTCAGTCTCCCAAGTACCTGGAACTACAGGCGCCCACCATCACACCCAGCTAGTTTTTTTTTTGTTTTGTTTTTTGTTTTTTTTGAGACGGAGTCTCACTCTGTCGCCCAGGCTGGAGTACAGCGGCTCCATCTTGGCTCACTGCAACCTCTGCCTCTTGTCTTCACGCCATTCTCCTGCCTCAGCCTCCCGAGTAGCTGGGACTACAGGTGCCCGCCACCAAGCCTGGCTAATTTTTTTTTTTTTTTGTATTTTTAGTAGAGACAGGGTTTCACCGTATTTGCCAGGCTGGTCTTGAACTCCTGACCTCGTGATCCACCCACCTCAGCCTCCCAAAGTGCTGGGATTACAGGCGTGAGTCACCGCGCCTGGCCAATTTTTTGTATTTTTAGTAGAGATGGGGTTTCACCATGTTGGGCCAGGCTGGTCTTGAACTCCTGACCTTGTGATCTGCCCGCCTCGGCCTCCCAAAGTGCTGGGATTACAGGCGTGAGCCACCACAGCCAGCCTTTTTGTTTTGTTTTGCTTTGTTTTGTTTCTCTTTTTTAATTGAGACACAGTCCCGCTCTGTCACCCAGGCTGGAGTGCAGTGGTGCGATCTTGGCCCACTGCAACCTCCACCTCCCAAGTTCAAGCGATTCTCCTGCCTCAGCCTCCCGAGTAGTTGAGATTACAGGTGCGCACCACCACACCTGGCTAATTTTGTATTTTTAGTAGAGACGGGTTTTCTCATGTTGGCCAGGCTGGTCTCAAACTCCTGACCTCAAGTGATCTGCTCACCTAAGCCTCCCAAAGTGCAGGGATTACAGGTGTGAGCCACTACACCCAGCCTCTTTTTTTTCTTTTTCTTTTTGAGACAGGGTTTCGCTTTGCCATGCAGGCTGGAGGGCAGTGGTGCAAACAGGGCTCACAGGCAGAGGCTGCTCTGCCTCCTAGGATCAAGGGATCCTCCCACCGCAGCCTCCTGAGTAACTGGGATTACAGGCACAAGCCATCATGCCCAGGTAATAGTTTTAAGGTTTTTTTTAGTAGAGATGGGGATCTCACTATGTTGCTCAGCCTGGTCTCGAACTCCTGGCCTCAAGTGATCTTCCCGCCTCAGCCTCCCAAAGCCTTGGGATTACTGGGTGAGCCCCCGTGCCCAGCCAGTGGCTGCTTGCACTGGCTGGCCTCCAAAGCTGAAAGTATTTGCTCCCTGGCCCTTAACAGAATAGGTGGGCTGACCCCTGCTCTATGTGGTTCTTTGTCCCCAGGCAAGGATTCAGGGACATCTCAGAGCCGCTGGGGTCTCGTCGGTAAAGTGGTGGTGGACGGCATGGAGGAACTTTAGCCCTGGACCAGAAACTTTAGGTCAGTCTATGTCAGCCATTGTTGCTATCAGCCTTCAGGTCGTCTGGGCTGGGAGGTCTCCTCCCTCTTCCTCCAGGCACCAGTGGGAGCAGGCAGTCACACCTTCCTGTGAGTGAGAACCATAGCAGAACCTTCAAAGCACCTCTCAAGTCGGGTGAGTCAGCAGAGGCCTGCAGACAGGGTTGACGGGGGCAGGGTGTGGGGATGTGGGAGACCCAGACTGGGGGCCAGCAAAGGCTGTTCGGAGGAGGTGACCACTGAGCTATGACCTGAATGAGTGAACGAGGCAGTTATTTTATTTTTTTGAGATGGAGTTTCGCTCTTGTCGCCCAGGCTGGAGTGCAGTGGCACAATCTGGGCTCACTGCGACCTCCACCTCCCGGGTTCAAGCGATTCTCCTGCCTCAGCCTCCTGAGTAGCTGGGATTACAGGCGGCCGCCACCACGCACAGCTAGTTTTGTATTTTTAGTAGAGATGGGGTTTCTCCATGTTGGCCAGGCTGGTCTCGAACTCCCGACCTCAGGTGATCTGCCTGCCTCGGCCTCCAAAAGTGCTGGGATTACAGGCGTGAGCCACCGCGCCCGGGAACTTCAAGTGATTCTTGAAGGAGACAATTATGTGGGTCCATGGGGAGGAGCCTTTGAGGTGGCAGGAGGGAACCAGTCCTGATGAGGGAAGATTAAAGGACAGTGGGGCTGGGGATGGTGGCCCACACCTGTGTTTGCAGCACTTTGGGAGGCTGAGGCAGGAGGATCACTAGAGCCCAAGAGTTCAAGATCAGCCTGGCCTACAAAAAAATATTTAAAAATTTGCTGGGTGTGGGAGGCTGAAGTCAGAGGATCACCTGAGCCCAGGGAGTTGGAGGCTGCAGTGAGCGGTAATCATGCCACTGCACTTCAGCCTGGGGGACAGAGTGAGACCCTGTCTGAAAAAAAAAAAAATTGGGCCAGGTGCGGTGGCTCATGCCTGTAATCCCAGCACTTTGAGAGGCCGAGGCGGGCGGATCCCGAGGTCAGGAGATCGAGACCATCCTGGCTAACACAGTGAAACCCCGTCTCTACTAAAAATACAAAAAATTAGCCGGGCGTGGTGGCAGGCGTCTGTAGTCCCAGCTACTCGGGAGGCTGAGGCAAGAGAATGGCCTGAACCCAGGAGGCGGAGCTTGCAGTAAGCTGAGATTGTGCCACTGCACTCCAGCTTGGGCGACAGAGCGAGACTCTGTCTCAAAAAAAAAAAAAAAAATTAGCCGGGCATGGGGGCACATGCCTGTAATCCCAGCTATTGAGGAGGCTGAGGCAGGAGAATTGCTTGAACCCGGGAGGTGGAGGTTGCAGTGAGCCGAGGTCGCACCATTGCACTCCAGCCTGGGCAACAAGAGCAAAACTCCATCTCAAATAAATAAATAAATAATAAAAAAATAAAAAATAAAGAGGGTGGGCATGATGGCTCAAGCCTGTAATCCCAGCATTTTGGGAGGCTGAAGCAGGTGGATCACTTGAGGTCAGGAGTTCGAGACCAGCCTGGCCAACATGGAGAAACCCTGTCTCTACTAAAAATACAAAAAATAAAATAAAATAAAATAAAATAAGCCAGGTGTGGTGGCGGGTGCCTGTCATCCCAGCTAACTGGGAGGCTGAGGCAGGAGAATCACTTGAACTGGGGAGAAGGAGGTTGCAGTGAGCCAAGACAGCTGCACTGCCCTTTAACCCAGGCAATAGAGTGAGACTATGTGTCAAAAAAAAAAAAAAAAAAGGACATTATTAGAGTTGGAAGGAAATGACCATAGGCCCAGGGTTCCACGGTCCAGACCACCACACACAACTGATGCAGGATATAACCGAGTCATTCCATCCCAGGTAATACCCAAGTACCCACGGGAGGATCAACATCCACGGAAAAGCCTGTGTACAAATTTCATAGTAGCAAATGCTTCTCCTATGCGTCTTTTTTTTTTCTTTTTTCTTTTTTTTTTTTTTGAGACAGAGTCTTGCTCTGTCACCCAGGCTGGAGTGCAGTGGCACGATCTCGGCTCACTGCAAGCTCTGCCTCCTGGGTTCAAGCAATTCTCCTGCCTCAGCCTCCTGAGTAGCCGGGACTACAGGCGCGCGCCACTGCGAGGCTAATTTTTTGTACTTTTAGTAGAGACGGGGTTTCACCGTGTTAGCCAGGATGGTCTCGATCTCCTGACCTCATGATCCGCCCGCCTTGGCCTCCCAAAGTTGTGGGACTACAGGCGTGAGCCACCGCTCCCGGACACGTCTGGCTAATTTTTTTGTATTTTTACTAGAGACGAGGTTTTGCCGTGTTCCCCATGCTGGTCTCAAACTCCTGGGATCCAGTGATCCACCCACCTTAGCCTCCCAACATGCTGGGATTACAGGTGTGAGCTACTGTGTCCGGCCCAAATTGTCTAATTTTTAAAAATAGTTTCTGGGTTATGGATCTGAATAAAGCGTGCAATTAGTGAACAGTTTATAAACCTCTTGTGTGCTTTTAATTTATTTTATTTTATTTATTTATATATATTTTTTGAGACAGAGTCTCGCTCTGTCACCCAGGCTGGAGTGCAGTGGTGCGATCTCAGCTCACTGCAACCTCTGCCTCCAGGGTTCAAGCGATTCTCCTGCCTCAGCCTCACGAGTAGCTGGGATTACAGGTACCTGCCAGTATGCCCGGCTAATTTTTGTATTTTTAGTAGAGATGGGGTTTTGCCATGTTGGCCAGGCTGGTCTCGAACTGCTGGCCTCAAGTGATCCTCCCTCCTGGCCCTGCACAGTGCTGGGATGACAGGCTGAGCCACCTCACCGGCCTCTTATGTGCCTTTTAATCTGCAGGTTCGCCCTCCCTCTCTCTTTCTGTGGTTTGTTTTTGTTTTTTTTTTTCTTTTTTTCTTTTGTATGAAACCCAGTTGTTTTTCCTGTTAAGTTTCCCACAGTCTAGAATTTGCTGATTTTTTTCTGTGATAATTTAAGTTTTTGAATAGTGATGCATTCCCGTGTCGTAAAACTGAAGAGTCAAAAGCATACCCAGACTGCAGCCGCTGGGGAAGAGTGTGGTAGCTCCACAAGAAGTTAAACGGAGGCGGGGTACGGGGGCTGGGCGTGGAGGCCGGGCGCAGGGGCGGATGCCTGCAACCCCAGCACGCTGGGAGGCCAAGGCGGGCGGATCACTTGAGGTCAGGAGTTTGAGACCAGCCTGACTAACATAGCAAGACCCCATCTCTACAAAAAATACAAAAAAATTAGCTAGGCATGGTTAACTGCTGTTTTTGTCAAGATGGGTTATTACTATGTTGCCCAGGCTGGTTTCAAACTCCTGTCCTCAACTGACTCAGAAGGATCAACTTAGCCCAGGAGTTCAACATAGCGAGACCCTGTCTCTACAAAAGAAATGTTAAAAAAATTAACCAGGCCTGGTGGCATGCACCTGTACTCCCAGCTACTTGTGAGGCTGAGGTGGGAGGACTGTTTGAGCCATGGAGTCTGAGGCTGCAGTGAGCTACGATTGCACCTGGAACCCAGGCCTCTCCCGTCTGGAACCCAGGCCCTCACCTACACTGTCAGCCCCTCCACCTGGAACTTGTAGAACTTACCTGTAAGCCCAGGCTTCACCTGAAACCCCAGTCCCCCACCTGGAACCCAGGCCCTCACCTACACTGTCAGCCCCTCCACCTGGAACTTTAGAACTTACCTGTAGCCCCAGCCTTCACCTGAAACCCCAGTCCCCCACCTGGAACCCAGTCCCCCACCTGGAACCTGGGCCTCCCCAACCTGTAACCCAGGCCCCCACCTAGAACCTGGGCCTCTGTGATCTGTAACCCAGGCCCTCATCTGGAACCTAGGGCTCTGTGGAAACTGTGGCACTCACATGTAAACCTGGCTTCCACCTGAAACCCCAGTCCCCCACCTGTAATCCAGCTTGGGTGAGACAGCAAGACCCTGTCTCAAAAAAAAAAAAAAAAAAAAGGCCGAGCACGGTGGCTCACGCCTGTAATCCCAGCACTTTGGGAGGCCGAGGCAGGTGGATCACAAGGTCAGGAGTTCAAGACTAGCCTGGCCAATACGGTGAAAACACGTCTCTAATAAAAATATAAAAATTAGCTGGGCATGGTGATGGGCGCCTGTAGTCCCAGCTACTCGGGAGGCTGAGGCAGGAGAATCCCTTGAACCGGGAGACAGAGGTTGCAGTGAGCCGAGATCGTGCCACTGCTCTCTAGCCTGGGCAACAGAGCAAGACTCCGTTTCAAAAAAAAAAAAGGGAATAAATGTCATGTTACATATATTTTATGAGAATTCTAAAATATATTTTATGGCAGGGCACAGTGGCTCACGCCTGTATTCCCAGCACTTTGGGAGTCTCGCTCTGTCCCCAGGCTGGAGAGCAGTGGTGCGATCTCGGCTCACTGCAACCTCTACCTCCCGGGTTCAAGCGATTCTCCTGCCTCAGCCTCCCGAGTAGCTTGGACTACAGGCGCCCGCCACCACGCCCGGCTAATTTTTTGTATTTTTAATAGAGACAGGGTTTCACCGTGTTAGCCAGGATGGTCTCGATCTCCTGACCCCGTGATCTGCCCCCCTCCCAAAGTGCTGTGATTACAGACGTGAGCCACCGCGCCCGGCCTATTATTTTTTACTTTTTTTTTTTTTTTTTGAGGCGGAGTCTTGCTCTGTTGCCCAGGCTGGAGTGCAGTAGCATGATCTCGGCTCACTGCAACCACCGCCTTCCAGGTTCAAGCGATTCTCCCGCCTCAGCCTCCCAACTAGCTGGGATTACAGGTGCCCGCCACCACGCCCGGCTAATTTTTGTATTTTTAGTAGAGATGGGGTTTCACCATGTTGGCCAGGCCGGTCCCGAACTCCTGACCTCAGGTGATCCACCCGCCTCAGCTTCCCAAAGTTCTGGGATTACATGCGTGAGCCACCGCGCCCGGCCTATTTTTCACTTTTTTTTTTTTAGCCGAATGTGGCGAGGACAGTTATCGGATTATTTGCAGCGGATCCTACACGTCCCCTCCTCCTGCCTCTTGCCCTGCGCTCCCGAAGGGGCCTCCGGACCCGGAGGATCTCACCGCGGGGCGGGGTCCACGGCGAGGGGGCTCGGCCAAGCGGGCAGCCTCGCGCACGCGCACTCAACCCGGACGCGGGCCTCTCCGCCGCAGCCCGCGCCCGCCACCTGGCGGCCACAGCGGTCCGCGCAGACCGCCGGCCCCTTTTCTATCCGCGACCGGATACCTGGCAGGGGTCTAGGAAAGACCCCTCTGGCTGCTGCGGGGCCAGTGCGTGCGAGGCTCGACCCCACTCCATTGCGTGGGGGGGCTGAGCTAGGTCCGTGAAGCGGGGCGGTTGCGATCAAGGCCCCGACTTTTTTTTTTTTTTTTTTTTTTTTTTTTTTTTTTTGAGACGGAGTCTCGCTCTGTCGCCCAGGCCGGACTGCGGACTGCAGTGGCGCCATCTCGGCGCACTGCAACCTCTACCTCCCGGGTTCAAGCGATTCTCCTGCCTCAGCCTCCCGAGTAGCTGGGACTACAGGCGCCCGCCACCGCGCCCGGCTAATTTTTTGTATTTTTAGTAGAGACGGGGTTTCACCTTGTTAGCCAGGATGGTCTCGATCTCCTGACCTCATGATCCACCCGCCTCGGCCTCCCAAAGTGCTGGGATTACAGGCGTGAGCCACCGCGCCCGGCCAAGGCCCCGACTTTTAGACCACTAGTGGAGGAGGTCTGGGACACGGGTCTGCGGCCAGAGAGAGGCCAGGAGGGAGGACTGGCGGGCATTTCTCCGCAGGGTGGGGGTGAACGGGGGCCTGGGCATCGGAGCCGGGGGGAACGTGGGGTCAGCGAGGGGTTCTAGGGGAGGAAATGGTAGGAGAGCTCCTGCCCTGCAGGCTGGAGGGCAGGATCTGTGTGTTTGGGGGGAGTCATGGGTGGGTAGGAGAGATGACAGGTGACAGCCTGGAGGAAGAGATGGAGGGAGGCTTGAGCCCTGGGCGGGGCTGGCAGAAGCCCCCACCTATAACTTGGGACCTCTGAACCTGGAACCCAGCCCCCACCTGGGACCTGGGCCTCTCCCATCTGTAACCCAGGCCCTCACCTAGAACCTCTGAACCTGGAACCCAGCCCCCACCTGGGACCTGGGCCTCTCCCATCTGTAACCCAGGCCCTCACCTAGAACCTGGGACCTCTGAACCTGGAACCCAGCCCCCACCTGGGGCCTGGAACCTCCACCAGGAACTTGTGCCCCCCTCTTTGGAACCCTTGCCTTCACCTGAAAACCCAGTTACCGGCTGGGCGCGGTGGCTCACGCCTGTAATCCCAGCACTTTGGGAGGCCAAGGCGGGCAGATCACGAGGTCAGGAGATCGAGACCATCCTGGCTAACACGGTGAAACCCCGTCTCTACTAAAAATACAAAAAATTAGCCAGGCGTTGTGGCGGGCGCCTGTAGTCCCAGCTACTCGGGAGGCTGAGGCAGGAGAATGGCGTGAACCCGGGAGGTGGAGCTTGCAGTGAGCCGAGATTGCGCCACTGCACTCCAGCCTGGGCAACAAAGCAAGATACCGTCTCAAAGAAAAAAAAAAGGAAAACCCAGTTCCCCACCTAGAACCCAGGCCCCGACCTGAAACCTGGGCCCCTCCACTTGTAACCAGGGACCCCCACCTAGTATCTGAGCCTCTCCCATCTGTAACCCAGGCCTTCACCTAGAACCTGGGCCTCTGCAAGTGTAACCTGGGGTTCCTACCAGGAACCTGAGGCCCTCATGTGTAACCTGCGGCCCCCGACCTGGAGCCTGGGCCTCTCTCATCTATAACCCAGACCCTCACCTAGAACCTGGGCCCCTGCAACTGTAACCTGTGGCACTCACTGTAAGCCCGGACTTCACCTGAAACCCCAGTCCCGCACCTGTAAACCTACACCCCGCCAGGAACCTGGGCCTCTCCAACCTATAATTGAGGCCCTCACCTGTAACTTAAGCCCACACTTGTAACCTGGGGCTCTCTGCTATAACTTGGGGCCCCCACCCATAAGCCAGTTCCCTTAACAGAACCTGCAGTTTGGTGAGGATGAGAGAATGCAAAGAAAGCATTTTCCCCAGGACTACCATAAATAGTCATAAGCATCACTTTTTCCTATTACCATAGCATTACCATTTGTCACGGTTTACCCACCCGAGGTCACTCTGCCTCTTTTTCACTTTATTTTTTTTTTATTTTTATTTTTTTGAGATGGAGTCTCTCTCTGTCGCCCAGGCTGGAGTGCGGTGGCGCGATCTCGGCTCACTGCAAGCTCCGCCTCCCAGGTTCACGCCATTCTCCTGCCTCAGCATCCCGAGTAGCTGGGACTACAGGCGCCCGCCACCGCGCCCGGCTAATTTTTTGTATTTTTAGTAGAGACGGGGTTTCACCTTGTTAGCCAGGATGGTCTCGATCTCCTGACCTCATGATCCACCCGCCTCGGCCTCCCAAAGTGCTGGGATTACAGGCGTGAGCCACCGCGCCCGGCCAAGGCCCCGACTTTTAGACCACTAGTGGAGGAGGTCTGGGACACGGGTCTGCGGCCAGAGAGAGGCCAGGAGGGAGGACTGGCGGGCATTTCTCCGCAGGGTGGGGGTGAACGGGGGCCTGGGCATCGGAGCCGGGGGGAACGTGGGGTCAGCGAGGGGTTCTAGGGGAGGAAATGGTAGGAGAGCTCCTGCCCTGCAGGCTGGAGGGCAGGATCTGTGTGTTTGGGGGGAGTCATGGGTGGGTAGGAGAGATGACAGGTGACAGCCTGGAGGAAGAGATGGAGGGAGGCTTGAGCCCTGGGCGGGGCTGGCAGAAGCCCCCACCTATAACTTGGGACCTCTGAACCTGGAACCCAGCCCCCACCTGGGACCTGGGCCTCTCCCATCTGTAACCCAGGCCCTCACCTAGAACCTCTGAACCTGGAACCCAGCCCCCACCTGGGACCTGGGCCTCTCCCATCTGTAACCCAGGCCCTCACCTAGAACCTGGGACCTCTGAACCTGGAACCCAGCCCCCACCTGGGGCCTGGAACCTCCACCAGGAACTTGTGCCCCCCTCTTTGGAACCCTTGCCTTCACCTGAAAACCCAGTTACCGGCTGGGCGCGGTGGCTCACGCCTGTAATCCCAGCACTTTGGGAGGCCAAGGCGGGCAGATCACGAGGTCAGGAGATCGAGACCATCCTGGCTAACACGGTGAAACCCCGTCTCTACTAAAAATACAAAAAATTAGCCAGGCGTTGTGGCGGGCGCCTGTAGTCCCAGCTACTCGGGAGGCTGAGGCAGGAGAATGGCGTGAACCCGGGAGGTGGAGCTTGCAGTGAGCCGAGATTGCGCCACTGCACTCCAGCCTGGGCAACAAAGCAAGATACCGTCTCAAAGAAAAAAAAAAGGAAAACCCAGTTCCCCACCTAGAACCCAGGCCCCGACCTGAAACCTGGGCCCCTCCACTTGTAACCAGGGACCCCCACCTAGTATCTGAGCCTCTCCCATCTGTAACCCAGGCCTTCACCTAGAACCTGGGCCTCTGCAAGTGTAACCTGGGGTTCCTACCAGGAACCTGAGGCCCTCATGTGTAACCTGCGGCCCCCGACCTGGAGCCTGGGCCTCTCTCATCTATAACCCAGACCCTCACCTAGAACCTGGGCCCCTGCAACTGTAACCTGTGGCACTCACTGTAAGCCCGGACTTCACCTGAAACCCCAGTCCCGCACCTGTAAACCTACACCCCGCCAGGAACCTGGGCCTCTCCAACCTATAATTGAGGCCCTCACCTGTAACTTAAGCCCACACTTGTAACCTGGGGCTCTCTGCTATAACTTGGGGCCCCCACCCATAAGCCAGTTCCCTTAACAGAACCTGCAGTTTGGTGAGGATGAGAGAATGCAAAGAAAGCATTTTCCCCAGGACTACCATAAATAGTCATAAGCATCACTTTTTCCTATTACCATAGCATTACCATTTGTCACGGTTTACCCACCCGAGGTCACTCTGCCTCTTTTTCACTTTATTTTTTTTTTATTTTTATTTTTTTGAGATGGAGTCTCTCTCTGTCGCCCAGGCTGGAGTGCGGTGGCGCGATCTCGGCTCACTGCAAGCTCCGCCTCCCAGGTTCACGCCATTCTCCTGCCTCAGCATCCCGAGTAGCTGGGACTACAGGCGCCCACCACCACGCCCAGCTAAATTTTGCATTTTTTAGTAGAGACGGGGTTTCACCATGTTAGCCAGGATGGTCTCAATCTCCTGACCTCGTGATCCACCCTCCTCGGCCTCCCAAAGTGCTGGGATTACAGGCATGAGCCACCGTGCCCGGCTCACTCTGCCTCTTTATATCCAGAGTGTCATCAAATTTATGAATTCAAGGCCAGGCTTAGTGGCTCATGCCTATAATCCCAGCTTTTTCGGAGGCCAAGGTAGGTGGATTACTTGATGTCAGGAGTTCGAGACCAGCCTGGGCAACATGGTGAAACTCCGTCTTTACTAAAAATACAAAAATTAGCTGGGCATGGTGGTGGGCACCTGTAATCCCAGCTACTCGAGAGGCTGAGACAGGAGAATCGCTTGAACCCAGGAGGCAGAGGTTGCAGTGAACCAAGACTGCGTCACTGCACTCCAGCCTGGGCGACAGAGCAAGACTCTGTCTCAAAAAAAGAAAAACACAGGCCAGGAACGGTGGCTCACACCTGTAATCCCAGCACTTTGGGAGGCCGAGGCGGGCGGATCACAAGGTCAGGAGTTCAAGACCAGCCTGGCCAATATGGTGAAACCCCGTCTCCACTAAAAATAAAAAAAAAAAACCTAGCCAGGTGTGGTGGCGCACGCTTGTAATCCCAGCTACTCGGGAGGCTGAGGCAGGAGAATCGCTTGAACCCAAGAGGTGGAGGTTGCAGTGAGCTGAGATTGTGCCACTGCACTCCAGCCTGGACAATAGAGGGAGACTCCATCTAAAATAAATACATAAATGAAAATGTGTAGATATCTACGAGTTCGGTGGGGATTCATACAACAGTGCATCTCATTCCCGACCGTGTCTTATCTTTGATGACAGGGTCATCGTTAATCCTCCATCCAGAGAAATGGGAAGTTAGAGGCCAGGACCTCCCAGCTGAAGATTTCTGTGGGACACAGGGCTGGGCCAGAGAAAAGGGCCCTGCAGGAGACCCTTAGAATAGCCGCCGGGCGACTGGCCCCACGGTGCCGGGAAGGACCCTTTGATCTGATTCCGCCATATGATCCGGTTCCGTGCTGGCCCAGCCTGGCCTGGGTTGGATGCCTGGTCCGATGCCCAAAGCCCCATCACCCTGAAGCAGATGGAGCTGGCATCCTGAATGAGACTCCTGGGGGCTCCAGGGCTCTCAGGTGGGAGTCCCAGAGCCACCAGGGACCTGGAGTGTAGACCTGGGCAGGGAGCTTGCTCTCTGCCAGCTGCAGTGGGCTCACCTGTGAGGGAGGATGTTAGAATAGTTCTTTTTTAAAAAAAAAAATTTTTTTTTTGAGACAGGATCTGGCTCTGTTGCCAGGCAGGAATGCAGTGGCGTGATCATGGCTCACTGCAACCTCCACCTCCCGGGCTCAGGTGATCCTCCCACCTCAGCCTCCCAAGTAGCTGGGACCACAGGCGCCCGCCACCATGACTGGTGAGTTTTTGTTTTTTGTTTTGTTTTGTTTTGTTTTTGAGACAAGAGTCTCACTCTGTTGCCCAGGCTGGAGGGCAATGGCGCGATCTCGGCTCACTGCAACCTCCGCCTCCTAGGTTCAGGCAATTCTCCTGCTTCAGCCTCCCGAGTAGCTGGGATTACAGGCGCCAGCCACCACGCCCGGATAATTTTGTATTTTTAGTAGATACTGGGTTTCACCATGTTGGCCACGCTGGTCTCCAATTCCTGACTTCAGGTGATCCGCCCGCCTCGGCCTCCCAAAGTGCTGGGATTACAGGCTGCGAGCTACCGCGCCTGGCCCCTAGTTTTTGTACTTTTTGTAGAGATTGGTTTTCACCATGTTGCCCAGGCTGGTCTTGGACTCCTGAACTCAAGCAATCCTCCCGCCTCGGCCTCCCAAAGTGCTGGGATTATAGGGGTGAGCCACTGCGCCCGGCCTTGTTTTCTTCTTTTCAGTAGAGACAGGGTCTTGTTCTATTGCCCACACTGGAGTGTAGTGACATAATCCCAGCTCACTGCAGCCTCAAACTCCCAGCCTCTGTTGATCCTACTGCCTCAGCCTCCCGAGTAGCTGGGACTACAAGCGTGGGCCACTGCTCCTGGTCTATTTTCAGTTTTTTTTTTTTGTTTGTTTTTGAGATGGAGTCTCACTCTGTCGCCCAGGCTGGAGTGCAGAGGCATGATCTCAGCTCACCACAACCTCCTCTTCCCAGGTTCAAGCAATTCTCCTGCCTCAGCCTTCCAAGTAGCTGGGACTACAGGCATGCACCACTACGCCTGGCTAATTTTTGTATTTTTTAAGTAGAGACAGGCTTTCACCATGTTGCCCAGGCTGGTCTGGAACTCTTGGCCTCAAGGGATCCGCCCACCTCGGCCTCCCAAAGTGATGGGATTACAGGCATGAGCTGCCATGCCTGGCCCTATTTTCACTTTTTGACTCTTGTGAATAACGCTGTTTTGAAAATTCATGCGTGTTTGTGTGAACAGGTTTCTAGTTCTCTCGGGCATATATCTTGGGGTGGAATTGCCAGTACATATAGCAACTCTATGTTTAAACTTTTGACTCTTTTCCAAAGGGGTTGCCCCGCTTATGAGAATTCTGGTTTCTCCACATCCTCACCAATACTTGTTATGGTCCATCTTTTTTTGTTATTTATATATTTTATCTATTTTTATTTTTTTGAGACGGAGTCTTGCTCTGTCGCCAGGTTGGAGTGCAGTGGCGTGATCTCCGCTCACTGCAACCTCTGTCTCCCGGGTTCAAGTGATTCTCCTGCCTCAGCCTCCCGAGTACCTGGGATTAGAAGGGTGCGCCACCACGCCCAACTAATTTTTGTATTTTTAGTAGAGACGGGGTTTCGCCATGTTGGCCAGGATGGTCTTGATCTCCTGACCTCATGATCCGCCCGCCTCGGCCTCCCAAAGTGCTGGGATTACAGGCGTGAGCCACTGCACCTGGCCTGTTATTTATGTATTTATTTTTTTTTGAGACAAGTTCTTGCTATGTTGCCCAGGCTGGCCTCAAACTCCTAGGCTCAAGAGATCCTCCCAAAGTTCTGGGATTACAGGTGTGAGCCACTGTGCATAACCCTGAAGTGGTTAATTTTAATAATACATTTACTTTAGCCTAACATATCCAAAATTACATCATTTCAACATGCAATCATTATTAAAATTATTAATGAGATATTTTATTTTATTTTTATTTATTTATTTTTTTGAGACGGAGTCTCGCTCTGTCTCCCAGGCTGGAGTGCGGTGGCGCGATCTTGGTTCACTGCAAGCTCCGCCTCCTGGGTTCACGCCTTTCTCCTGTCTCAGCCTCCCGAGTAGCTGGGATTACAGGTGCCCGCCACCACGCCCAGCTAATTTTTGTATTTTTAGTAGAGACCAGGTTTCACCACGTTGGCCAGGATGGTCTCGAACTCCTGACCTCGTGATCAGCCCACCTTGGCCTCCTAAAGTGCTGGGATTACAGGCGTGAGCCACTGTGTCTGGCCAGTGAGATATTTTATTTGTGCCCTTTTTTTTTTTTTTTGAGACCGAGTCTCACTGTGTTGCCCAGGCTGCAGTGCAGTGGCACAATCTTGGCTCACTGCAACCTCTGCCTCCCAGGTTCAAGCGATTCTCTTACCTCAGCCTCCTGAGTAGCTGGGATTACAGGCGGGCGCCACGACACCTGGCTAGTTTTTGTATTTTTAGTAGAGACGGGGGTTTTACCATGTTGCCCAGGCTGGTCTTGAACTCTTGACCTCAGGTGATCACCTGCCTTGGCCCCCCAAAGTGCTGGGATTACAGGCAAAAGCCGCCATACCAGGCCCATTTTTTTTTCTTTCGAGACGGAGTCTCATTGTTGCCCAAGGTGGAGTGCAATGGCAAGATCTCAGCTCCCTGCAACCTCTGCCTCCTGGGTTCAAGCGATCCTCCTGCCTCAGCCTCCCAAGTAGCTGAGATTACGGGCGCCCGCCACCACGCCTGGCTAATTTTTGTATTTTTAGTAGAGACAGGGTTTTACCACGTTGGCCAGACTGGTCTCAAACTCCTGACCTCGGGTGATCCATCCGCCTCGGCCTCCCAAAGTGCTGGGATTACAGGTGTGAACTACCGTGCCTGGCAGGCCCATTTTTAATTTTTCTAACTTTGGAAATTCAGTGTGTAGGGCAGGCATGGTGCCTCATGCCTGTAATCCCAGAACTTTGGGAGGCCGAGGCAGGTGGATCACCTGAGGTTAGGAGTTCGGGACCAGCCTGAACAATATGGTGAAACCCTGTCTCTATTGAAAATCCAAAAATTATCCAGCCATGGTGGTGTATGCCTGTAGTCCCAGCTACTCCAGAGGCTGAGACAGGAGAATTGCTTGAATCTGGGAAGCAGAGGTTGCAGTGAACCAAGATCATGCCATTGCACTCCAGCCCGGGCAACAGAGCGAGACTCCGTCTCAAAAAAAAAAAAAGAGAGTCAGTGTGGAGGGAAGTGTCTCTGTTGGGTCCGGGTGCTCTGTGGGACTCTGAGGAAAAGCTCGCACCAGGTAGATGCTGTTCTGTCCCCATGGGTAAAGGACACCCCAACAAACCGAGGAGCAAAATGTCCTCGTATGCCCTCTTCGCGCAGACCTGCCAGGAAGAGCACAAGAAGAAACACCCGGACTCTTCTGTCAATTTCGTGGAATTCTCCAAGAAGTGTTTGGAGAGATGGAAGACCACGTCTGCAAAGGAGAAGTGAAGTTTGAAGAGAAGGCAAAAAGTGACAAAGCTCGCTGTGACAGGGAGATTAAAAATTACATTCCTCCGAAATGTAAGAAAGGGTAAGAAAGGAAAGAAAAAGGATCGCAATGCTCCTAGAAGGCCACCATCTGCCTTCTTCCTGTTTTGCTCTGAACATCGCCCAAAGATCAAAAGTGGACACCCAGGCCTATTTGTCGTGGAAACTGCAAAGAAACTGGGTGAAATGTGGTCTGGGCAGTCAGCCAAAGATAAACAACCATATGAGCAGAAAGCAGTTAAGCTACAGGAGAGATATGAAAAGGGTATTGCTGCATATCGTGCTAAGGGCAAAAGTGAAGCAGGAAAGAAGGGCTCAAAGAAGAACAAACCAGAAGATGAGGAGGAGGAGGAGGAGAAAGAAGATGAAGATGAGGAGGAAGAGGGTGAAGATGAAGAATAAATGGCTATCCTTTAATGATGCCTGTGCAGTGGGCTTGTTTTGCTAAGAATGTGAATTCTAGTACAGCTCAGTATTAGCTTCAGTATAAAACTGTACAAATTTTCGTATAGCTCATAAGATTCTCTGTACAGAAAATACTTTTCTTTTCTTTTCTTTTTTTTGAGACAGAGTTTCGCTCTTGTTGCCTAGGCTGGAGTGCAATGGCGTGATCTCGGCTCACCGCAACCTCCGCCTCCCGGGTCCTGGTTCAAGCAGTTCTCCTGCCTCAGCCTCCTGAGTAGCTGGGATTACAGGCACATGCCACCACGCTCAGCTAATTTTTGTATTTTTAGTAGAGATGGGGTTTCACCATGTTGGCCAGGCTGCTTTCAAACTCCTGACCTCGTGATCCGCCTGCTTCGGCCTCCCAAAATACTGGGATTACAGGTGTGAGCCACCGCACCCTGCCTAATGTCCCTAAATATTTAATGGTTTTTAAAAAATTTATTGTGTATGGCAGCACAGCACACTTGTAGGAATTAGTATCAACAGTACATCTTGCGTTTTTTAAGATGCTGCATTTTTTAACATTTTGTAATAAAATTATGCGTATCAAAAAAACAAAGAAATTCCGTGTGTAGTTCACACTCACAGCACATCTCCGTCCAGGCACTTGAGAGAATGACTAGGAGGGGTTCTTGGAGGAGGTGGTCTTTGAACGGAGAATCCATCTTCAAGGATTCTGTCTGTAATGGTCACCAAGTATTTCCTGAGTCACTTCCATGTGTCCTGCAGTTCTCTGAAGGGGCGTGGGACCTACCGATGCCAATTATCCAGCATTATCTCCAGATTCCAAGAAGTTGGGGTGTGAGCCAGCAATCAGTACAGAAAAGAGATACCAAAATAAGTTTGAGTTGGGGAGTGTTCCTTCAACTTCAGTTTTCTGGAAGAGATCTTTTTTTTTTTTTTGAGACAGAGTTTCGCTCTTATTGCCCAAGCTGGAGTGCAGTGGCACGATCTCGGCTCACCGCAACCTCCTCCTCCCGGGTTCAAGCGATTCTCCTCCCTCAGCCTTCTGAGTAGCTGGGATTACAGACATGCACCTGTAATTTCTACTAAAAATACAAAAATTAGCCGGGCGTGGTGGCGCACGCCTGTAATCTCAGCTACTGGGGAGGCTGAGGCAGGAGAATCGCTTGAAACCAGGAGGCGGAGATTGTACCAAGATAGTTTGTTCCAGCTAAACAACCTGGCGCTAGTGCAGGAAAAGGTGGAAGGCACGGGGCTAGCACAGGAGGGTTCAATATTTTCAACCTTATCAAGCCATATTTTGGCAACTCTTGTTTTTCACGAGAAGCCCCCGCTGGGCTTGTCCCAGCGCTGTCCTGAGGCTTCCCCCATGAGTTCCGATAGGGCAGAGGCCGCCCTGAGCGTTTCTCTTTCCCCTGGTCCAAGAGTGGCTCAAAAGAAGGATTTTTGACTGGAATTGGCCACTTTGTGTTACTTTTTGACCCTTGACCTCGCCCCAAAGGGGGATGCGGGGGAGGGGCTCTGGTAGGGGTGGCCCCGCTCCTTCCAGGTCCGCAAGCCCAGGTTCCCGCCCACCGGGCTCAGCCCACCCTGCGGCCGTTCAGGGAGGCCGTTGGCACCCGTGACCTACGACCCCCTTCCCGAGCCCCACCGAGGTCACAGCCGTGGCCTCGTCTCCCCATGCCTGCTTCCCGCCCCCTGCCCGTGACGGGCGTCTCCGAGGACCAATGAGCGCGCTGTATCCACCCCTCGGGCGGGGCCAAGCGCCGACCAATCGCCGCTCGGGCGCCCGGCCGGGTCCAAACGCTCCAATCGTCAGCGGCGGCGGGGCGGGCAGAGGGCCGGGGATGGCAGGTTCAACCAACGGGTGGGCACGTCGTCCTCGCGAGGAGGCGTGCCCTGCGGCCGGGCGTGCGGTGTCCGCGGCGGCGCAGGGAGGGGGAGGGAGGTAAACAAGATGGCGGCGGCGTGTCGGGCGCGGAAGGGGGAGGCGGCCCGGGGCGCCCGCGAGTGAGGCGCGGGGCGGCGAAGGGAGCGCGGGTGGCGGCACTTGCTGCCGCGGCCTTGGATGGGCTGGGCCCCCCTCGCCGCTCCGCCTCCTCCACACGCGCGGCGGCCGCGGCGAGGGGGACGCGCCGCCCGGGGCCCGGCACCTTCGGGAACCCCCCGGCCCGGAGCCTGCGGCCTGCGCCGCCTCGGCCGCCGGGAGCCCCGTGGAGCCCCCGCCGCCGCGCCGCCCCGCGGACCGGACGCTGAGGGCACTCGGGGCGGGGCGCGCGCTCGGGCAGACGTTTGCGGGGAGGGGGGCGCCTGCCGGGCCCCGGCGACCACCTTGGGGGTCGCGGGCCGGCTCGGGGGGCGCCCAGTGCGGGCCCTCGCGGGCGCCGGGCAGCGACCAGCCCTGAGCGGAGCTGTTGGCCGCGGCGGGAGGCCTCCCGGACGCCCCCAGCCCCCCGAACGCTCGCCCGGGCCGGCGGGAGTCGGCGCCCCCCGGGAGGTCCGCTCGGTCGTCCGCGGCGGAGCGTTTGCTCCTGGGACAGGCGGTGGGACCGGGGCGTCGCCGGAGACGCCCCCAGCGAAGTTGGGCTCTCCAGGTGTGGGGGTCCCGGGGGGTAGCGACGTCGCGGACCCGGCCTGTGGGATGGGCGGCCCGGAGAAGACTGCGCTCGGCCGTGTTCATACTTGTCCGTGGGCCTGAGGTCCCCGGAGGATGACCTAGCACTGAAAAGCCCCGGCCGGCCTCCCCAGGGTCCCCGAGGACGAAGTTGACCCTGACCGGGCCGTCTCCCAGTTCTGAGGCCCGGGTCCCACTGGAACTCGCGTCTGAGCCGCCGTCCCGGACCCCCGGTGCCCGCCGGTCCGCAGACCCTGCACCGGGCTTGGACTCGCAGCCGGGACTGACGTGTAGAACAATCGTTTCTGTTGGAAGAAGGGTTTTTCCCTTCCTTTTGGGGTTTTTGTTGCCTTTTTTTTTTCTTTTTTCTTTGTAAAATTTTGGAGAAGGGAAGTCGGAACACAAGGAAGGACCGCTCACCCGCGGACTCAGGGCTGGCGGCGGGACTCCAGGACCCTGGGTCCAGCATGGAGGTGGTGGACCCGCAGCAGCTGGGCATGTTCACGGAGGGCGAGCTGATGTCGGTGGGTATGGACACGTTCATCCACCGCATCGACTCCACCGAGGTCATCTACCAGCCGCGCCGCAAGCGGGCCAAGCTCATCGGCAAGTACCTGATGGGGGACCTGCTGGGGGAAGGCTCTTACGGCAAGGTGAAGGAGGTGCTGGACTCGGAGACGCTGTGCAGGAGGGCCGTCAAGATCCTCAAGAAGAAGAAGTTGCGAAGGATCCCCAACGGGGAGGCCAACGTGAAGAAGTAAGTATGGCTTGCTGGGGTCGGGGCCGGGCCGGGCCAGTCACGGTGCTGATGGTTCTGTCTTCCTTCCTTCTCTCCTCCCTCCCTCCCTTACTTCCTCTTAACACCCTGAGCTGGACCCGTCTGGCGCCTGTGTCCTCCGTGCCAGGGAGAGCGTGGTTGGGGGCCTGCGTTACGGACTTTCACTCAGGCAAGGCCAGTTGTCGCAGCGGGGCGTGCGTTTGCATGGGCTCTTGGACTCCAGTTAAAATGCCCTGGTAGCGAAACCCTCCTGAGAAGGGAGCGGCCCCCAATCCCCTAAGACTAGCCCCTTGGCTCCCCCAGCTGTCCAAGGAGCAGAGGCGCCCAGTGGAATCAGCCTGTGTTTGTTTGGGCCCCGAGAGTTTGTGTGCGGCCGCCAACACGTTTTCTGCGCAGTGTGTGGCCGTTACCGGGGCCAGGCGAAATGTGATTTGTTTATCCTGTCAGAGGGGAACCCTGGGCTGCCAAAAATAACTGTTTGCACCGGCTTATCAGTCAGCAGGAGGGAAACGTAGCCTTTCCTCATTTGCCAGGGATGTGACGCTGGAAGCATCCCTGGCCCCCGGGGCTGGAAGCCCTGCCCGAGGGGGACTGTGCCTCCCTCCCGAATTGCATCCGGAAGACCTTACTTTTCCAACTGACTTCTTCAGGCACGGGGCTGCCGCTGGGCATCCCGGACGCCTCTGCATCTGTGCGCGGAGAAGCTCCTACCTAGGGCAGCACTGGCCGGCCTGAGCCTCTCCCAGCTGGTGGGGGTGGCCGGGGGTGTCCCTGCCTTATCGCAGCCAGACACGCTGCACCTGCCGCCGCCTGGCGGGCCCTGCCCAGGCCCTGCTCCTTTCCCAGCCTTCTTAACTTTCAAAACTTTGCCTCCTGTTTCCAAGAAAGGACCTTATCTGCTGGGCTAGGCCTCGAGGGACTGGCAAGGACACCCTGCGCAGGGCACCATGACCTTGGAAGGAGGTCCGGGGAGGGGCTGCTGCGGTGTCTGCTCTCACCTTCCTCCTGCTCAGGGGCCCTGGGGCTCCTGCCGTGTCTGCTCTCACCTCTCTCCTGCTCAGGGGCCCTGGGGCTCACGTACATTTTTTTTTTTTTTTTTTTGAGACGGAGTCTCGCTCTGTTCCCCAGGCTGGAGTGCAGTGGCGCGAACTGGGCTCACTGCAAGCTCCGCCTCCCGGGTTCATGCCATTCTCCTGCCTCAGCCTCCCGAGTAGCTGGGACTACAGGCACCCGCCACCACGCCCGGCCAATTTTTTGTATTTTTCAGTAGAGACGGGGTTTCACCGTGTTAGCCAGGATGGTCTCAATCTCCTGACCTCGTGATCCGCCCGCCTCGGCCTCCCAAAGTGCTGGTACTACAGGCGTGAGTCAACGCGTGCGGCCTTTTTTTTTTTTTTTTTTTTTTTTTTTGAGACGGAGTTTCACTCTTGTTGCTCAGGCTGGAGTGCAGTGGAGTGGTCTTGGCTCACTGCAATCTCCGCCCCCTGGGTTCAAGTGATTCTCGTGCCTCAGCCTCCCGAGTAGCTGGGATTACAGGTGCCTGCCACAGTGCCCAGCTAATTTTTTTTTTTTTTTTTTAGTAGAGACGGGGTTTCACCATCTTGGCCAGGTTGGTCTTGAACTTCTGACCTCGTGATCCACCTGCCTCAGCCTCCCAAAGTGCTGGGATTAAAGGCGTGAGCCACCGCGCCCGGCCAGCACGCTTCTTAATCAGCATGCAGGCTGTGACATGCGGAAACCAGGGGCACAGGCTCTGAAGTTTGTACTCTGGAGCTGGAGCAGTCAGGGTTAAATGGGAGCGGCTGGGAAGGGTGTGTTTCCACGAGGCCTTTCTGATGTCTCAGTGCCCAGTCTGGACCCGGGTAGAAGGTGTGGCCAGTGCCTTGAGTCAGTGGAGCAGTTGCCTGTGCCTGGTCTCTGTGAGATGGGTTGGTCAGGGGCTAGGCAGAGCCTGTGCCTGGTCTCTGTGAGATGGGTTGGTCAGGGGCTAGGCAGAGCCTGTGCTGGGGGTAGCAGGTGCCCTCTAAAGGGGCCAGTGACAGTCTCTCTCCCAGCAGTGAGAAACCCACGCTTAGGGGCCGGGCGCGGTGGCTCACGCCTGTAATCCCAGCACTTTGGGAGGCTGAGGTGGGTGGATCGCCTGAGGTCAGGAGTTCGAGACCAGCCTGGCCAACATGGTGAAACCCCATCTCTACTAAAAATACAAAAGTTAGCCGAGTGTGGTGGCGTGTGCCTGTAATCCCAGCTACTCGGGAGGCTGAGGCAGAACATTGCTGGAGCCTGGGAGGCGGAGCTTGCGGTGACCCGAGATCGCACCATTGCGCTCCAGCCTGGGCGACACAGCGAGACTCTGTCTCAAAAATAAATAAATAAATAAATAAATAAATAAATAAATAAATAAATCTGGCTTGAGTTTTGACAAATGTATATGCAGGGTCAATGGGAAGACAGACGCTGGAGGGTGGAAGCCTGACTGTGAGAGTGAGCCCCCTGCTTTCCTGAACAGTCAGTGGAGGAGGTCCTGGGAGCTCAGGTGAGCACCTGAACGGTAGGGCAGAGCCTGAGGGTCTTGGTGGAGACAGGCAAGAAGGTTGCAGGAACCTAGTCTGGCCCAGTGCCTGGGAGAACGGGAGGGAACACGGAGGCAGGGAGGCAGAGGGGTTGGCAGGACCTGGACTGGACTGTGCGTCGCAGCTACCCACAGCTTGACCCCACTGCCTTGAAGTGAGTGATGCACCCTCACTAGTGTTCAGCGTCCAATTTCATCCTGGCCCTGAGTGTGTAACGGCTTTGCCCTTGCGGGGCCCCCTGGGATGAGGGGTGAGCCCTGTCCCTTCCTGGTCACTGTCTGCCATCAGGAGCTGCCCCGCTTACAGCTGTGATTCAGGAGCCACTGCATTTCCTCCAGCCCCCTGGGTGCTGCCAGGGGGTCCTCCTATTCTGGGAGCTGGTGTGTTCTGACTGGAGGCTGCCATGTGCAGAGTGCTGTCAAGGAGAAGGGGTGTCCACTGCCCAGCCCTGAGGCCCAAGGCCTTGGCCAGCCTTGCTGCCAGCGCTGCAGGGAAAAAGCCTCCTTTGTGTGTGGGAAGTTTAATAAACTCCGCTCAGATTGTGTCTCGCAGCGAGTGTCTGGAACCTTCCAGACAAGCCTCAGGCGTCCGGTCCTCCAGTTGGTGTGGAAAGCGTGGGCGATCACCAAGGGGGGTGGGTTGGGGCAGATGGAGCCGGCGTGAGTCCCGTCTCTTCCCTTCCTTCCCAGAAAGGCAGCCCTGGAGTCCATGCCTTGTCCCGCTCTCACCGGCAAAAAGTATAATCTTATTAGAAATAGGAAAGTTCCAAAAAGCATCAATGAGTTAAAAAGAGGGCTGGGCATGTTCGGTCATGCCTGTAATCCCAGCACTTTGGGAGGCCAAGGCGGGTGGATCACCCGAGGTTGGGAGTTAGCCTGACCAACATGGTGAAACCCTGTCTCTACTAAAAATACAAAATTAGCTGAGTGTGGTGGCGCACGCCTGTAATCCCAGCTACTCTGGAGGCTGAGGCAGGAGAATCACTTGAACCCGGGAAGCAGAGGTTGCGGTGAGCCAAGACCATGCCATTGCACTCCAGCCTGGGTAACAAGAGTGAAACTCCGTCTCGAAAAAAAAAAGGGCTGGGGCCGGGCGTGGTGGCTCACGCCTGTAATCCCAGCACTTTGGGAGGCCGAGGCGGTTTGATCACAAGGTCAGAAGTTTGAGACCAGCGTGGCCAACATGGTGAAACCCTCTCTCTACTAAAAATAGAAAAACTAGCCAGGTGTGGTGGCACATGCCAATAATCCCAGCTACTTCATCTGAGGTCAGGAGTTCAAGACCAGCCTGGCCAATATGGCGAAACTCCGTCTCTACTACAAATACAAAAATTAGCCAGGCGTGGTGGCGCGCGCCTGTAGTCCAGCTACTGGGGAAGCTGAAGCAAGGAGAATCGCTTGAACCTGGGAGGCGGAGGTTGCGGTGAGCCGAGATCGCATCATTGCATTCCAGGCTGGGCAAGCCTAGGAGAGAAGAGCGAAATTGTGTCTCAAAAAAACAATTAATTAAAATAAAATCAGTGCCATAGGCTGTTTCTGGTAGGCAGTGGGTTCCTAGGGTGGAGCAGGGAAGGGCTGGAAAGGGTCGCCTGTGCCCAGCCCGACTCCCCGTGCTTCTCGGGGGACAGCACGGCTAGCTGCTGCTGCGGAGCCCACAGTGGGGTTCTGGGGGGGGGGGTGCAGGCAGAAGGCCGCCATGCCTCCCTCCCCCTTTCCACCCCAGTGAGAGTGGGCTCGAAGGCAGGGAGTCTGCCCGCCTTGTGGAGCCTCCGCAGAGGCACCCAGGGCTGCCGTGAGCGCACAGCCTGGCGGTGTCCCACGGCCCTGCCCTTTCCTGTCACTTCCACCTGTTGCAAAACACTGTGCTTTCGTATCTTTTCTTTCTACCTGTTTGGAAATGTGAAAATCACTGCTGCCGTAGGAAACGGGCCCAGATCCGGGCTGTGGCTCTCCCATCCGCACCGCCCCCGCGGTGTCCAGCCAGGAGGTGGGAGGTGGGCGGCACTCAGTGTGCCTGGTTGCGGCGATGATTGGCAGATGCTTGGACCTATGGTAAAGAGGATTTTCGCGAGCTGGGAGTCAGTCCTGGACTTTGTAGGTCTTTACATCCCAGGCGGCCTTTATGGGGTTCCAGCATCTGCTGAGGCCCCTGCGCCAGCCATGTGAGGCCTGGGTGTCCTCGAGGCCTCTGTTTGTGCCCCTCTCTGGGCAGCGGGAGGGAGAGCTCTGAGACCCAGAGGGAGCTCAGGGGCTGGGCAGCCGCAGAACAGCGGGGGTAATGGGTCCACTGGGGGTTCTGGGCTGTGCACACAGTGGGCTTCCGGTGCCCAGCCAGCTGGGGCAGGCCTGGAATGTTGGTTCCTCTCTCAGGATCTGGGGCGCTGCTGTAGCTGTCGGGGAATCAGTGAGGCGGCTGGACGGCCCGTATATCCCACAAACGCCACCGTATTGCTCAAACTGGACTCAATTTTCTTAACACCTTTTTTTTTTTTTTTTTTTTTTTTTTTGGAGACAGGGTCTCACTGTATCGCCGAGGCTGGAGTGCAGTGGCGCAATCATAGCTCTGGGCTCAGGTGACCCTCCTGCCCCCAAGGTAGCTGGGACTGCAGATGTGCACCACCACACCCGACTAGTTTTTTGTAGAGATGGGGTTTCGCCATGTTGTCCAGGCTGGTCTCAAACTCCTAGACTCAAGCTATCCGCCTGCCTGGGCCTCCCAGAGTGCTGGGATTACAGGTATGAGCCACTGCTTCGCCACGTTCACCTTTATTTACTTATTTATTTATTTTTGAGACGGAGTCTCGCTCTGTCCCCCAGGCTGGAGTGCTGTGGCACGATCTTGGCTCACTGCAAGCTCCGCTTCAGCCTCCCAAGTAAGCTGGAACTACAGGTGCCTGCCACCAAGCCTGGCTAATTTTGTTTTTGTATTTTTAGTAGAGACGGGGTTTCACCGTGTTAGCCAGTATGGTCTCGATCTCCTGACCTTGTGATCCGCCCGCCTCGGCCTCCCAAAGTCCTGGGATTACAGGCTTGAGTCACTGTGCCCGGCCCACCTTTTTATTTTTTATTTTATAGAGACAAGGGCTTGCTGTGTTGCCCAGGCTGGTCTTGAACCCCTGACCTTAAGTAATCCTCTCTGGCCTCCCAAAGTGCTGGGATTACAGGTGTAAGCCATAGTACTGGGCCTAAAGTTCACCTTTTTTTTTTTTTTTTTTTTTTTTGAGATGGAGTCTCGCTCTGTCACCCAGGCTGGAGTGCAGTGGCGTGATCTTGGCTCACTGCAAGCTCTGCCTCCCGGGTTCACACCATTCTCCTGCCTCAGCCTCCCGAATAGCTGGGACTACAGGCGCCTGCCACCATGCCCGGCTAATTTTTTTGTATTTTTAGTAGAGATGGGGTTTCACTGTGTTAGCCAGGATGGTCTCGATCTCCTGACCTCGTGATCTGCCTGCCTCGGCCTCCCAAAGTGCTGGGGTTACAGGTGTGAGCCACCGCACCCGGCAAAGTTCACCTTTTTAAAGTGTGTAATTCAGTGGCATATAGTACATTGACAGAGTTGCACAACTATCACCTCTATCAGCTTCCAGAACATTCTTGTTACCCCAGAAGGAAACCCCGTCTCTGTCAGCCATCACTCCCCATTCCCTCCCCAGTCCCGGCACCCACGCATTCCCTTCCTGCCTCTGGATTGGCCTGTCCTGAACATTTCACACGAGTGGTGTCACACACCGCGTGGCCTTTTGCGTCCGGCTTGTCTCACGGAGTGTGCTGTCCTCAAGGGGCATCCGCGCCGTGGCCTGGGTCCGAACCTCTCTGCTGTTCACGGCTGCGTCACTTTCCAGTGTGTGGAGGGCCACGCTGCGTTTGACTGCTCATCTGTGGCTGGACACTTGGGCTGCTCCCGCCTCTGCCTGTGAATTGTGGCTGCTTTGGTGCACGTGTGCTCAGCCGGCGTCCCTCTAGAATCCTTGAGGGCCTTGTTTCAGCCACATCAGGAGGGATTCAGGGACCAGGGCACGCGGGTCTGGAGCTGGGTGTTCCTGGGTCTCCATGTGCCTCCCAGTCCTGCTCTGAGCCGTGGGAGGCCGGGGCGAGGGCCAGGCCCATCTCTTCCCTGTATGATCTGTTTCTAGGCAGACGGAGGCTCCTAGCCCCACCTCTCTGTGAGCTTGAGTGGCGTTTATGACTCTCCTTCCTATTTCCTGTCCTGCTAATCAACAAGTCAGCTAAACAGTCCATGCTGCCTGGGCAAGCCCAGTAGGCCCCTAACGTGGCACCTCGGAGCGGCTGGCGATGCCCCAAGAGCCGGGCTTCCCCCTCCTGGAGGCTCTTCCTGTTCCTCGCCAAGCTCTTAGGTTTCGCTGGGCCTCCTCTTCTGCTCTTTTTCTGGCTGGAGACGTCAGAGGAAGCCTGGCGATCTAGAGAAGCTGATGTGCACCCATCATCCCGGAGGTGACTGCCACCAGGCGGGGGTGGCTCCACCCCCACTCCTCCCCTGGCATAAATCGGGGGACGCACGTGCCTGCGCAGAATGCCTTGGTCCCTTTTAATTAAACAGACAACCCAGTGTCCCTTGGTCTATGCTGACCTGCTCAGGAGTGCCTGGGCTCTTCCACGTTTCAGCTGCTGTGTGTCCTGCTGCTGTGAAGTGTCCCCGTTGAGGTGGAGGCAGGGCAGGGCGCCTTCGGTGAGGGCGAGTCCTCCTGTGCCCGTTTCCCCATCTGTAGAATGATGGCTCATGGAGGAGACATGGTGTCGGCAGGTGGTGGCCGGCGCAGGGAGGTTTCCAGGAGGGAGTCCTCCACCCTCATTTGCTTTTAGGGCCGTGCAGCCTCCCGAGCGGCCCCCACGAGGCTCTGAGGCTGCATGCAGGTTGAGCTCCTGGCCTCACTGCCCCTCCTCAGGGTTAGGACTGTGCTGGAGCCTGGGTGGGTGTGGGGTGGTCCCTGCACAGGCAGCAGGAGGTGGGCCAGAGCGGTGCTGGACCTGAAGGCCCGTGGCTCCCTCAGCTCCACTGAGGAGGCTGGAATAGTGTCCTGGGCCACCTTCCCTGCCGGTAGCCGGCTCCTGCTGAGGGAGGGGGTGCTTTCGCCTCCTGGTGGAGCATCAGGCTCTTGGGGCCTGTGCGTCCGAGCATCTGGCCTCTGCTGTCTGAAAACAGCACCTTCCCCGCCCCCCGGCCACCGCATCTCCTCTGAATAGAAGGCAAGTCTTGCCTCCCAGGAATGGCCTGTGACCTTCATCAGCGGGGGAGGTTAGGGGCACACAGAGCCCTGGGGAACAAGGGGATCTGGGGCTGAGCCGGGCCTCTCGGGCCCACCCCGAGCTCTCCTGAGCAGCCTGGCAGGCAGGAAGGCGCTGGGCCCCGGGGCCTTTGCCGAGCCCAGCCTCACCCTCAGCGTCCCCCTCAATGCCCTGGGTGCCTGCCAGGCTGTGGACACAGGCCCTGGCCAGTTCTATAAATAACCTTGCCGGGCCCTGCTGGGAATTGGTGCCACCACCACATAGCCCAGAGAGAACGGAAACACAGGGCTTCTCAGCGAGCAGACCAGGCCTGCGGTGACCAGTGGAAGTGGGGGACGCTTTCAGGGCTGGGCAGCCCGACAGGGCACCGGGCACAGCCAGGGGCCGGAACCAGTTGCTCACTGGCTCCGCTTCTGGGGGACTGTGTCCCTCTGTGCCCCGTCCCCATCACACCTTGCTTTCCCTTCATCCTGCTCTCCTAGCCCCTCCCCAGACTGGCGGCCCCTTGTCCAGGCCCAGCCCCAGCACAGCCTGCAGCCCTGGCAGAGCTCAGGCCTTGGCCTTCTGAGGTTGCCCTGAGGGCAGTGAGCAATGAGCCCTGGGACTGGTGCACTGGGAGGGAAAGGTGAGCCAAGGCTTCCTGCAAGAGGCAGCCCTGAGCTGGGGGTGGGGAAGGCTGGGTCGTGGGATACCCCTGACACCCCAAGTTTTTTTTTTGAGATGGAGTCTTGCTCTGTCACCCAGGCTGGAGTGCAGTGGTGAGATCTCGACTCTCTGCAACCTCCGCCTCCCAGGTTCAAGCGATTCTCCTGCCTCAGCCTCCTGAGTAGCTGGGATTACAGGCGCCCATCACCACGCCCGGCTAATTTTTGTATTTTTAGTAGAGACAAGGTTTCACCATGTTGGCCAGGCTGGTTTCGAACTCCTGACCTCAGGTGATCCACCTCGGCCTCCCATAGTGTCGGGATTACAGGCGTGAGTCACCGCGCCTGGCCCCCCAGCTGTTTTTTATGCTCCATGCTTGGGCTTCCTGTTAAGAATTAAAAAAGAAAAAAAAAACTATGGAGATGGAATTTACATACTGTACAACTCATTCGTTCACAGTGTACAATTCAGTGGCATTAAGTACATTCACACGGCTGTGCAACCACTACTTCTAATTCCAGAACGTTCGGTCACCCCAAAAGCAAGCCCCATTCCCATTGTGTCACTCTCCATCCCCTCCACCAGCTCCTGGCCACTCTGAATCCACTTCCTGGCTCTGGATTGGCTTGTCCTGGATATTGCATAGAAATGGGATCCTGTCGGCCGGGCGCGGTGACTCACGAGAGCAAGAGATCCAGACCATCCTGGCCAACATGGTGAAACCCCATCTCTACTAAAAATACAAAAATTAGCTGGGCGTGGTTGCGGGCACCTGTAGTCCCAGCGACTCAGGGGCTGAGTCAGGAGAAATCGCTTGAACCCGGGAGGCAGAGGTTGCAGTGAGCTGAGATCATGCCATTGCACTCTGGCCTGGCGACAGAGTGAGACTCCGTCTCCAAAAAAAAAAAAACAAGAAATGGGATCCTGTCATCCCAGCGTTTTCCGAGGCCGAGGTGGGCAGATGACTTGAGCCTAGTAGTTCAAACGAGACCAGCCTGGGCAGCACGGTGAAACTGTCTCTACTAAAATACAAAAATTAGCTGGGCATGGTAGCACACGTCTGTAGTCCCAGCTACTTGCGGGGCTGAGATGGGAGGATCGCTTGAGCCTGGGAGGTGCACTCCAGCCTGGGCGACAGGGAAACCCTGTCTCAAAAAAAAAAAAAAAAGTGCATCACACACTGTGTGTCCTTTAGTGTCTCACTGTGACATCCTCAAGGTGCAGCTAGGCTGTGGCTCGAGTCAGAGCCTCACTGGTTTTTGTGGCTGAGTCTTGTTGAGTGCGTGGATGGGCTGTGCTGATCCTCGTCTGTGGAAGGGCCCCTGGGTGGTTCCACATCTCGGCTGCTGTGCGTCCTGCTGCTGTGAGCATCTCGTGCTCCGTTTCTGCGTGGCGTGTACTGTTCCTCAGGGTGTGTACCTGGGAGTGGAGCTGCTGGCTCACAGGGTAACAGACCTTTGGAGAAGCTGCAGACGCTTCCACGCCCACCCACTGGGTGTGAGGACCTTGCTCCTCGTCATTTTTGTTTTTGTTTAATTTTTTCTTTTATGAGACAGGGTCTTATTCTGTTGTCCAGGCTGGAGTGCAGTAGCACGATCACAGGTAACTACAGGCTCAAGTGATCCTCCCACCTGAGCCTCCCGAGTAGCTAGGACTTGAGGCACGTACCTCCACACCTGGCTAATTTTTGTATTTTTAGTAGAGACAGGGTTTCGCCGTGTTGCTCAGGCTGGTCTCGAACTCCTGAGCTCAGGTGATCCACCCGCCTCGGCCTCCTATAGTGCTGGGAGAAATGAAGTGTCTGCGACAGGGCGGCAGCTGCAGAGGGGGCTGTGCTCTCTGGCCTGTTGTGCCCCACCCTTGTGACAGGCAGGTGGGCGTGGCCAACTGGGCGGCAGCTGCAGAGGGGGCAGTGACAGGCGGGTGGGTGTGGCAGGACCCCACAATGTCTCTTTCTGTGGCGTCTCCTTCTTCGCCTGCCCCTTCCTATGGGCCATCCTTCCAGCTCACCTGCGGCCCACCCTCCAAGGAGTGGGACCCTCGGAGTTGGGAGCCCTTGGCTGCGTGGGACTGTACTGTGTGACGGAGCCATCACCAGGGCTCCAACTCACCCTGGCTCCTGCCACAGTCTGGGCTCCATCTGTGCTACCATTGCAGTAGTCTGGTTTCTAGGAAGCAAAACTGTTACTGAGTTACAAAGCTCAATTAAGAGTGTCCTTTGGGAGGCCGAGGCGGGCGGATCACAAGGTCAGGAGATCGAGACCATCCTGGCCAACATGGTGAAACCCTGTCTGTACTAAAATACAAAAAAATTAGCCGGCTGTGGTGACACGTGCCTGTAGTCCCAGCTACTCGGGAGGCTGAGGCAGGGAAATCACTTGAACCTGGGAGGCAGAGGTTGCAGTGAGCTGAGATCGGGCCACCGTGCTCCAGCCTAGGGACAGAGCAAGACTCTGTCTCAGAAAAAAAAAAAAGTGTCCTAACTGTGTCCTCCAAAGCCCTCGCCGGCCGATGACAGACTAGAGGGCGCTGTGCTCCCACCCCCTACCGCCCTGAGCCTGGACGCGTGGCCCCTGCAGGGCCCTTTCCCACAGCACTGTGAACTCACAGCTTCTCTCTAGGGAAGGGAGGAGGTACGCCACTTCCACAGGGAGATGGGGAGGCCGACTCCAGGGATCCAGGCCATCATCCTGACGTTGGGTCGGCTGATACACCCCTGTCCTCTCTGTCCCAGGGAAATTCAACTACTGAGGAGGTTACGGCACAAAAATGTCATCCAGCTGGTGGATGTGTTATACAACGAAGAGAAGCAGAAAATATATCCTTTCCGGTGTTGGGACCGCGGGGCCTCCGTGGGAGGGGCTGGGGCCCTGGGTCCGCCTGCCTCGAGGCCTGCTCCTCTTCCCGTCTCCTTGAAGGAGACTGGCACACGAGGGCCGTGGCCTTCCCTGGTTCCCCGGAAGTCAGCCATTGTGGCAATGGCTGCGCAGCTTGCTGAAAGGGGCCCTGAGCCCTGGCCCCTGTGTCTTGGGCCCGTGGGGTGTCAAGTCCCTTTTTTCTCAGAGTCTCCTCCCAGGCTAACCAGGGGTGTAGCCACGGTCTGCCTGAGACAGGCCACGCGGGCTGACCGTTGTGGGCCATTTTGGTCGTGGCTGGGCGTGTCCTCGTGTCATCTGTGGACACCCCCATGGGTCTTACGGGCACAGCCTCCCTACGGGGACTTTGCTTCCTAAGGCCCTGTGCCCAGAGCAAGAGCCAGAAGTGGTCCTGAGGCTGGGGCTGTGTTCCCTGAGCCACGCGGTCAGGGGCCCTGGGACCGTCCTGCATGGGCCCGAGCCTGCTTGGGGGGGCGTCCAGGAGGCACCATCCCCCGCCCATGGGCAGGGTGGGGGACGTGAGCCCCGCAGGAACGCTGCCCCAAGAGTCAGCCCTGTCCTCCCCTTCCCCGTAGGCTCCTTCCTCCTGGGACGCTGGGGCCCCTGGGCCTTTTCAGAGGGGTGGCTGAGGGCAGGGTGGGCCCTGGTCCCGAGGAGGGGCAAGGTGGGTGCAGAGGGTCCCTCCAGAGCCCCTTTTCTGGCCCCCGTGCTCCCTGGGCCTGTGAGTGGGGCCGCCCCCTGAGCTGTGTGTCCTTAGCGCCCCACGTATATGGTGATGGAGTACTGCGTGTGTGGCATGCAGGAAATGCTGGACAGCGTGCCGGAGAAGCGTTTCCCAGTGTGCCAGGCCCACGGGTGCGTGCGCGGGGCAGGGGCCAGGGTGGGGCGGGGGCCGGGGGCCAGGCAGGGCAGGCTCCTTTCCGTGAGGCCACACTGCTTGTCCTGATATTCATTGACATGAAGGCCCAAGTTTTTTTGTTTTTTTGTTTTTTTGTGTTTTTTTTCGAGATGGAGTCTCACTCTGTCGCCCAGGCTGGAGTGCAATGGTGCGATCTCGGCTCACTGCAAGCTCCGCCTCCGAGGTTCACGCCATTCTTCTGCCTCAGCTTCCCGAGTAGCTGGGATTACAGGCGCCCGCCACCACGCCCGGCTAATTTTTTGTATTTTTAGTAGAGACGGGGTTTCACCGTGTTAGCCAGGATGGTCTCAAACTCCTGACCTCGTGATCCGCCTGCCTCAGCCTCCCAAAGTGCTGGGATTACAGGCATGAGCTACCACGCCCGGCCTTGTAAAGGCCCAAGTTTTTAAAAACAGTTTTGGGGTCCCCCATGTGTGGCATCCACAGGCAGGGCTGCTGCCAACCTCCCGCCTCCATCTTTGCTGGGCCTGCTGCCTGAGGCCAGTGGCCTGCTTCCAGCCCATCGCTGGCAGCCGCCTGCCCTGACCAGATCTCCTGGATGCAGGTCTGTGGCCTCAGAGTCAGGGCCCCTTGCTGCTGCAGGACCACAGGGGCAGGGAGGGGCCTGCTGTTCCAGCAAGACTTTGGGGTGCAGCCGGCCTGTGGCCCACAGGAAAATGAGACCTGTGGACATCCGGGGCCCTGCCAGACGTGGCTCGGCCGGACGAGGGTGGCCACTGCAGGCGCAGGTGTGGCTCCCTGCTGGACCTAGCCTTTCCTCTGTCCTGTGTGCCTGGACTTCTGTGACTTCCCAGCTGGGCCTGTGGTGTTTGGGAGGCTCCCAGGCAGCTGCAAAGGGGACCCCTGTGAGGGGCAGGGAGGCCTCGGCCCCAGGACGGGTGTGTGCTGCCCGCAGGTACTTCTGTCAGCTGATTGACGGCCTGGAGTACCTGCATAGCCAGGGCATTGTGCACAAGGACATCAAGCCGGGGAACCTGCTGCTCACCACCGGTGGCACCCTCAAAATCTCCGACCTGGGCGTGGCCGAGGTAGGCACGTGCTAGGGGGGGCCCTGGGGCGCCCCCTCCCGGGCACTCCCTGAGGGCTGCACGGCACCGCCACAGGCACTGCACCCGTTCGCGGCGGACGACACCTGCCGGACCAGCCAGGGCTCCCCGGCTTTCCAGCCGCCCGAGATTGCCAACGGCCTGGACACCTTCTCCGGCTTCAAGGTGGACATCTGGTCGGCTGGGGTCACCCTGTAAGTGCCCCGCCCCCCCGGGCACTCACCACACGCACACTCCGAGGGGCCTCTGCGTCTTGGGCAGCTGCCGGCCTGTGGGCGCAGGGCGTGGCCACCGGCCCAGACCCTCTCTGGCCACAGCCGCTAGGGGGTGCTTACTTTATGGAAATGTAACTCATACGGCAGATGGTGGTTCACCCGTGTGAAGTGCAGCCTGGCCCGTCAGGGATCTTCACAGAGTGGCACGGCCGACCCTCCTCCCAGAGCCCCACAGGGAAGCTGGGCGGGTGACAGCAGCTCCAGGCCCCTTCCCCGGGTGGGTCCAGAGGACACTCCCCTCCTACCCCGTAGCCTCCACTAGTGGAAGGTGGTGAAGACAGAGGTGTCCTTGAGTCCACAGGGCCTCTGGTCCAGCAGCCACGGGACGCCTCTGTCCCTGGGGTAGAGCTGGGGCTCCTAGGGCGTCAACCACCTTGACTGACCACGCCTTTCTTCCCTCCCCTCGAAATGAAGCTACAACATCACCACGGGTCTGTACCCCTTCGAAGGGGACAACATCTACAAGTTGTTTGAGAACATCGGGAAGGGGAGCTACGCCATCCCGGGCGACTGTGGCCCCCCGCTCTCTGACCTGCTGAAAGGTGGGAGCCTCATCCCTCTGCCCGCAGCCCCAGGGAGGCGGGGCTTTTGTGCAGAAATGTAGGGTTGGGGGTGTCAGGTGGGGGGCTATTGGCCCCGAGACCCCAGCAGGCATTGAGAGGACTGAGTGGAGAGGCCGACCTCCCCGCAGGGCCTGGTTTGCCAGGTCCCTCAGCTCCACCCTGCTTCTGGGCCCTGTTCACCCTCCGAACTCCCACCCCAGAGGGCAGTGCTGCCCTGCGCCTCCCCCAGCCCCACCCTCGGGGGCTCCCTGGCTTGCAGGGTCTGTCAGGGTTGTCCTGCTGCACTTCCTACGCATGGCAGCAGGTGGCACTGGCCGTCCGTCCATCTGCCCAGTGGCCTTGGGAGAACGGAACCGCCCTGGCCGTCCAGCCCAGCCCTGTCTCCCTGCCAGCCGCGCACAGGCTGTCCCCGGCATGTCCCAGGAGTGGAGTGGCCTCTGTCAGGGAGACCGCCTGTGCGCGGGGTCCCCCTTAGGAGCGTCCAGGTATCACCCAGGGCCTGACAACAGAGGCTGGGCAGGCGGGGACGGTTGGTGGGGTCTCAGGCCTGTGCCCAGCTGACAGGCTCCTCGCCGGCTTCTCCTCAGGGATGCTTGAGTACGAACCGGCCAAGAGGTTCTCCATCCGGCAGATCCGGCAGCACAGGTGAGCGGCCCCTGGGGGCAGTGGGGCCGAGGCTGCAGGGAGGCCGGCCATGTGGGCAGCTGGTTGAGCGGGCGCTAGAGCAGGGCGTGGTGGGGGTGCCAGGCTGGGCTGGGGCCAGACCCCGTGCAGCGCCCGCAGTTCTCGGGGCCCGAGTGGGGTCTCTGGGCAGTGTCCTGTTACCGGCCAGACCCAGGCGCCTTGTCCGAACTGGGGTCTGAGTGAGGACATGCGTCCGTCCCTGCCCTAGGCATGGAGATGCGCCAGGAAGGGCACAGCTGGTCCCAAACACTGGCGAGAGCCTCTCTTTTTCCCCTCCTCCTGGGGCTCCCAGCAGCAGGGTGTGGCTGGGATCCAGCCCAGGGCCCCCAGCTCCATGACAGGGAAGACAGAGCAGCGGACGGGGTCAGCAGGCCCCACAGTGCCGCCTCCCTCACTTCGTGGGCTCTGCTCCTCTGCACCAGCCCCTGGAGGCCCTTGAGCCGTCTGCTGGAGCCCCTCCGAGCCCCGAGGCCACCCACTGAGACCGGCTCTGGGAGTGGGAGTGTCCGGACCCCTGAGGCGCTGGTGCTGATTGTGCCTTGGGGGTCTCTGCACAGCTCGGGTCATCTGGGCGCCTGGCGGGGACTGGGGCTGCCCCCCGATAGCCTCCTGGGCTGGGATGTGCTCAGGGCCCCCCAGACCCCCTTCTGGCCTTTGCTGGCTTTGCAGCCAGCATCCATCTGGTGGGTGCTGGCTTCTGAGTGCCACCTGGGACACAGGCCTCAGGGTGGAGGGGACATCTGTCAGGCTTGGAGTCAGGTCAGCCTGCCTGCTCCTAGAGGACATGGCTGAGCTTCTGTGGTCACAGCCACCCCTTGCACGGCCTGGTCCCAGCTCCTGAGTGTGTGGCAGGTACCCTGGGCCCAGAGGAGCTGGGTCGGAAAACTGGACCGCCCTGGTGCCAGCCTGACAGGCGCCACTGCTTCTGGGCGTTTGCAGCTGGTTCCGGAAGAAACATCCTCCGGCTGAAGCACCAGTGCCCATCCCACCGAGCCCAGACACCAAGGACCGGTGGCGCAGCATGACTGTGGTGCCGTACTTGGAGGACCTGCACGGCGCGGACGAGGACGAGGACCTCTTCGACATCGAGGATGACATCATCTACACTCAGGACTTCACGGTGCCCGGTGAGTCTGGCGGGGGCCCCTGCCCGGCTCTGCTGACTCGGCCAGGATGTCCCACGGGAGCAGGGTGCCTGCCTGTCTGCAACAAGGACAGCTTCTGCCCTCTGGTGGCCAATCCCACGTCCCCAAAGCCTCCAGCCCACCTGCAGGCTGCCTCCGCCCTGCGGGCCGCTGGGACATGGCTGAAAGGTGTGGGGTCAGCGGGGGCACCAGCCCAGGCCTGTCTGGCCAGGAGGGTTCCTCAGGCGTCTCTCCGGGTGCTGCCCAGCCAGGCACCACCCACCGGCCTTGGCCTGAGTCCCAGCAGGAGCAGGCGGGGGAGCCCCAGGGTCGGGGGAGGGTAGGTGAGAGTCAGGGTGCAGGGTGGCCCCTCAGACAGCTGGCATGAGAGAGGGTCCAGTGGCCCTCCCTCCCGTCGTCCCTGAGGCCTGCCCGCTGGCCCTGATGCCGGCCGCCCTTCTTCCCTAGGTGGCGAGGAGGCGTCTGAGGCAGGGCTTAGAGCGGAGCGCGGCTTGCAGAAGAGCGAGGGCTCAGACCTTTCAGGAGAGGAAGCCTCTCGGCCGGCGCCGCAGTAGTGCCTGAGGAGGAGCTCAGGGCCTTAGCGTAGGGGCGGCCCACATTGGCAGCCAGCCCCTCCCCGCCATGCTCCCGGCTTGGCTGTGTTCGGCCCAGGGCTGGGCCGTGTCATAAAGAGTTTTGCAGTGTATCTGCAGGGTGGATGCTTGCTGCGCTCGGGCTGGAGCCTGAGGGGGCTTTCTGCTTTACTGTTTCAGCGGGAAGTGGTGGGCAGGGGCCGGCCTGAGAAGGGGGGTACGCCAGGCAGGTTGGGATGTGAGGACCCAGTGCACAGGGTCCACCCCCGGGCCCGAGGGTCCCAGAATAGTGGGGGCCCTGCAGAGAGCCCCCCATTAGGTCCCTCAGCACTCCTGGGCCCCTCATCAAACCCCTAGGCTCAGCTCAGTAGCTGGTCCCCAGGAGAGTACAGTGTGGGGGCCCCCGAGAGCACAGTGTATGGGGGTCCCCGGGGGGTACAGTGTCTGGGGGCCCCCCAGGAGGATGCAGCATGTGGGGGCCCCCCAGGAGGGTACAGCGTGTGTGGGGCCCCCAGGATCACAGGGTCTCAGCTCCTGGGCTCTTGGATTTGCAGCACCACGACCATCGCGTCTGGTCTGTTGGAACGGGAGGTGCTGCTGGGTACCCTGGTCACTAGGGTGTGCTGGGAGGTGGGGGCCCCTCATGGTGCCCATCCTTGGGGCCTGGCTGCAATTTGACCCCAGGCCCAGGGTCTTCTGCCTTTCAGAGCCCTGGTGCCCTGAGACGGGCAGCCAGGCAAATCCCAGGCAGGAGGGCCAGTTAGGGCAGGGCCAGCCCAGGCAGGTTGCGAGAGTCCCTACTGGGACGTGGACCACACGCTGACCCCCACGGCCGCCCCTGCAGGCCAGGATCCCTGAGCCAGGACCCGGCACTGGCTTCCCTCCTGGGGACCCTCAGGCCTGTGTGAGACCTGGGCTGCCCTGGGGTGAGGTGCCTGGGAGGAGAGCAGGGGCTGGGCCACCTTTTTCATGACCCTGCTAAGCCCACTGTGGGTGGTGAGGAGGAGTACCCAGCAGGGGGAAGGGCCGCCAGACCACTCGGCATGGCTGAGGCCTCAGTACTCAGTACTGGGTACTCAGGTGGACGCCCCTCCCACTGCTCAGATGCTGGGGACAGGCTCAACTTCAGGCTTCAGCGTGAGCCCCGTCCCTGACCTGCAGAGCCCCCTTGCGTTGGGGCAGGACAGCCCGGCGCCCTCGGGTCAGGCCATCCTCTGCGCTCTGCCGGGGCTGCTGCATCGGCCTCTGCGTGCCTCCACTTTGGCCTCACGTGTCCCTACCCAGGATGCGGGTCCTGCTGCCAACACCCAGATCCCAGGGAAGGGGCTTGGGCTAGATCCTGGGCACCAGTGCAGACAGGAGTGTGGGGTGGGGCAAGGGCCCAGTGGCGGCTGTGCCCGCTGATGCAGAGCTGGGGCACCTTGTCCACAGGGTCTGCCCCACCAGAGACGGGCTGGGCCCAAGCTCAGACCTATGGGTGCAATTGGTGCCTCCTCACCAAGGTCTTTTTTATCTTTTTTTTTTTTTGGAGACAGAGTCTTGCTCTGTCGCCCAGGCTGGAGTGCTGTGGTGCGATCTCGGCTCACTGCAACCTCCACCTCCCGGATTCAAGCAATTCTGCCTCAGCCTCCTGAGTAGCTGGGATTACAAGTGCGCGCCAGCATGCCCGGCTAATTTTTGTATGTTTAGTAGAGACGGGGGTTTCACCATGTTGGTCAGGCTGGTCTCAAACTCCTAACCTCATGATCTGCCCACCTCGGCCTCCCAAAGTGCTGGGATTACAAGCGTGAGCCACCGCGACCGGCCCAAGGTGCTTTTTTAAAGCTAGTGACTTCCTGTGCACATGGGGTGGGTGTGTGGCAAGTTCTGGAAGCTGCTGAGTCAGCCACTGGTCCATTCTCGGAGCTGGGGCTCTGCACTGGGCACATGAGCTCTGGGGCAGCCCGGGGCGGCCTCCCACTGACTTCGCCCGGGAGGGGCCTCGGGGATGGCTCGGCAGCCAGTGTGTTCGCGGAGTCCTCGCCAACCACCACGGCTCCTCGCAGGGACAGTACGTGGGCAGCTTCCTGCACTTTCCCCTGCCATTGTGAGAACAGTGTCCACCTGGGCAGGGTGGGCAGCCCCAGGCCTGTGGGTTTCACCAGGGTGCTGGTGATGGTTGGTGGCTAGCAGGGACTGGGGGCAGCTGGGGGCCCTGGCAGGCTGAGCTCTGCTCCCCGCGTGGTTCTGTGCTGGCATTTCGCGTGCCTGGCCTGAGCCTGGCCCGAGCCTGGCCCTCCTGTGTCCTCACAGATGAGCATGTGGCGGCTCCTGGGCCTCTAGAACCAACCATGGGCCAGGGTGCCCCAGGGGAGCACGGGAGGGTCCTGCCTTGTCAGCTTGCCTCCTACTCGTGAGGTTCCTGCAGTCAGTACCTGGGTGGGGTCCCACCTGCGGCCATGGCAGGTGCAACAGACGTGGTGGAGGGGACACTCCTGCCCAGGCCATCTGCGGGAGGCTCAGCCCCGGGGGGTGCCTCCCAGAGCTGCTGGGGGGCAGCATTTCAGGCTGGATACACCTGGGCCTGACCCGGGGGCGGGCATGGCCTGGGCAGCAGCTGTAAGTGCGTCCCCGTGGTGGGGGCCAGCCAGGTCCCTGTGGCTCTGGGGTTGCGCCCCTCAGCTCAGGCCACACTTGCCGTCTCCCTCCCAGGACAGGTCCCAGAAGAGGAGGCCAGTCACAATGGACAGCGCCGGGGCCTCCCCAAGGCCGTGTGTATGAACGGCACAGAGGCGGCGCAGCTGAGCACCAAATCCAGGGCGGAGGGCCGGGCCCCCAACCCTGCCCGCAAGGCCTGCTCCGCCAGCAGCAAGATCCGCCGGCTGTCGGCCTGCAAGCAGCAGTGAGGCTGGCCGCCTGCAGGTGGGGCGCGGCGGGGCCCGGGTGGGGCATGTGGGGACAACGCCTGGATGCCACAGCCAGCCGTGAGCATAGCCCGCGCTAGTCAGTCATGGTGACCGTCACGTGGCTGCGCGTGGTTGCCATGTGGCCTTTGGGTGGCTTGGCCACGTAGCGATCCCCGTGGAGGGTGCCGTCTCGGGGCCTGGTGTCTGGCCAGCGTGCTGGTCATGGAGGCCTACGTGTGGCGGGGCTCTGGGGGGGCGTGCCGTCCTCACAGCCACCTCTCAGAGTGGGTGCATTCCGAGGACCCTGCCCTGGGCCTGGCGCCCCCTCCCCATGCCCGCGCCGCTTCCAGGAAAGGCTTATGCTGGGCTCAGCCCAGAGGCTTTTGAGCACCAGTGGGTGGTGGGTGGTGGGGAGGGGCCGCGGCCTCCATGGCTCTGCCGGGGTGCCGCAGGCTCTGAGCCAGCTGCCAAGTATGGCTGAGGCTGAGTCGTGCCGGACGCTGCCCTGTCTCTCCCTGTGTGCCTGCCTCCTCTCCCAGCCCCAGCCCCAGCCCCGGGTGGGAGACGGAGTCCCAGAGGTGTCAGAGACCCTTAAGTCACCTGCCGAGGATGCGGGGTGGATGGGGGCCCGAGGCTGAAGCCCCTGCCTTGCCACAGCCCCTCTCCCAGGTTTTGGGGGCCACCGCCTGAGTTACATGTCTGTCCCCCAAATGGGTGCCCACAGCCCATCCACCAGCGTCAGAGCCCGCCAGGCCCCACTGCAAAAGGCCACACAATGTACCCCGGGAGTGACTCAAGGGTGGCCTTCCCTGGCCTCCCCTGCTGCCCCCCAGGAGTCCGGTAGCCCCATGACTGTACCTCAGCTTCTCCATCCTCCCAGGGGCCCGCGGGAGGCGGAGAACCGGTGCCCAGGCTGACCTCTTCCGTCTTCCTTCCACCCTGCAGCCCGTGTCCAGGAGCCCCGCCAGGTGCCCGCGCCAGGCCCTCAGTCTTCCTGCCGGTTCCGCCCGCCCTCCCGGAGAGGTGGCCGCCATGCTTCTGTGCCGACCACGCCCCAGGACCTCCGGAGCGCCCTGCAGGGCCGGGCAGGGGGACAGCAGGGACCGGGCGCAGCCCTCCCCCCTCGGCCGCCCGGCAGTGCACGCGGCTTGTTGACTTCGCAGCCCCGGGCGGAGCCTTCCCGGGCGGGCGTGGGAGGAGGGAGGCGGCCTCCATGCACTTTATGTGGAGACTACTGGCCCCGCCCGTGGCCTCGTGCTCCGCAGGGCGCCCAGCGCCGTCCGGCGGCCCCGCCGCAGACCAGCTGGCGGGTGTGGAGACCAGGCTCCTGACCCCGCCATGCATGCAGCGCCACCTGGAAGCCGCGCGGCCGCTTTGGTTTTTTGTTTGGTTGGTTCCATTTTCTTTTTTTCTTTTTTTTTTTAAGAAAAAATAAAAGGTGGATTTGAGCTGTGGCTGTGAGGGGTGTTTGGGAGCTGCTGGGTGGCAGGGGGGCTGTGGGGTCGGGCTCACGTCGCGGCCGCCTTTGCGCTCTCGGGTCACCCTGCTTTGGCGGCCCGGCCGGAGGGCAGGACCCTCACCTCTCCCCCAAGGCCACTGCGCTCTTGGGACCCCAGAGAAAACCCGGAGCAAGCAGGAGTGTGCGGTCAATATTTATATCATCCAGAAAAGAAAAACACGAGAAACGCCATCGCGGGATGGTGCAGACGCGGCGGGGACTCGGAGGGTGCCGTGCGGGCGAGGCCGCCCAAATTTGGCAATAAATAAAGCTTGGGAAGCTTGGACCTGGCCGTCTGGGTTTTGTTCGCGTCTCAACGTGGATGGGGCGGCAGCGGGGCGGGCGCCGTTGACATGCGGAGGGCAGTGGGGACTCGGGGCGCGGGAGGGCCGGGGCCGGCTCCCTCAGGGCCGGCGGCAGCAGCGGTGGCGGCGCGGTTATTGCTCGGAGGCGGCGCGGGCTGCCGCCAGCACACGCCGCAGTGAGGTAAACGGTCTCGGAGGTCGGCAGTCACGGTGTTGAGCCGCCTCCCGGCCCAGGGCGGCGAACTCGTCTGCGACCGTTAGCGCCCCGCGGCCCCCGCCCGGGCGAGCTCGCGCACGCGCCCGGCACGCGGCGGCTCCATCGGGCCCAGTGGGCTGCGCGACCCTCGGGTGGCGGGCCCTGCGACTAAGCGGCCGCCCCGTCCGGGACTGAGGGCGAGTGATCGTTGTCCTCAGGAGCCCGAAGCTGAGAGCCGTTCACGCCCCTTCCTTCCCGCCCAGCCGGGGTCTCCGCGGCCCGCGCCTCACGACGCCCAGCACCCGGCAAGCACCGGAAAGAGCAGTGCACACTTCGGCGGCGCGAGGGCGGCCGGGGCTCTGCGCCTGCGCCCTGAAGCGGCGAGCGCGCCTCCGTCGCCCGGCGCGTGCGCGAAGGGCCCGCGGTCCCCGCGCATTCGCGTCGGGGCGTCGCGCCCCCACGTCTCTCCCGCCGCCGAGGCCCCGTGCGGCGCCGGAGAAGCTGCCAGAGAGATGGGCCCAGGACGCGGGACTTAGGCCGGGCTGTGGTCGGGGGACGTGGGGGCGGCGGCGACCAACGCGGGAGTCGCCACGACGGGCTCGGCGAGGCGCGGCGGAAAGAGTCTCTCGTCGAGGCCAGCCGCCAGCTTGTCCAGCACCGACCCGGATGGTAGGACGCACAGGCCCGAGCCGGGGCACCCCCCGCCGCCCGGCTCCTCCTCGATGACGGGGATGGCGGGGTCGTCGCCGGCGCCGCCCAGGGTGCGACCGTCGGGCGGGCCGTCCACGCTGTCGCCGCGCCGCAAGGGCGCACGCGCGGGTCGGGCCGCGCCGGCAGGCGGTGCCGGGGTTCCGGCCAGGGCCGGGGCCGCGCGGGCGCCGGGGTCGCTGTGCTGCCGGCCACGCTGCCACTGTTTGCGGGCGTGCGGGTGCGCGCGGGCGCGGTGTCGCGCGGCAGCCGGCGTGTCGTCGAAGTGCGGGTCGTGGCGCAGGAACTCGTGGAACAGCGCGTCCGTCTTCTCGTCGATGCTGTAGTCGCGGCGCGGGCGGCGGGGCCAGGCGCGCGGGCTGCGGGGCCGGGCGGGCGCGGCAGGTGGCTCGGTGTCGTCGCCTGCGCCGCGGCCCTCGATGCTGGCGTAGCCACTGTCCATCTGCAGCAGCCGGCGCGCCTCGCCGTCCTTGGGCCGCGGCGCGGGCGGGGAGGGCGGCGGGAAGGCGGGCGCCGCGCCCCCGGAGCCTGAGCCCGAGCTGTCGCCGCTGCGCACCGAGTCGCGGTCGTTGCCGCTGCTGCTGTGGTCCGAGGCGGCCGCATGCAGCTCAAGCGAGGCGCGCAGGCTCCACAGGTCGCGGTAGCTGGTCTGGGCCTGCTCGGGGCCCGCGTCCCGCTCGGCGTCCGGCTCCAGTGGCGGCTGCTGCTGCTCAGGCCCCGCGCTGCCCGCGCCGCGCTCCGGGGGGGAATCGGGGCTCGCTCCTCCCGCTGCCTCGGCCGCCTCTAGCCTGCAAGCCAGGCCGCGCCGTCAGAGCCCCGCCGAGCCCCGCGCCCCCTACCCGGCCGGCCATCCCGCCTCTGGATCAGGGAGGGTGGACGCGGGTGGGACTTGGGACTCGGGCGGGCCTTGGAAGGTGAGAGCTTTAAAATGAGCCAGTGTGTTTTGCAGGGGATGCGTCTTGCATTGACCCTGAGCTGTGGCGCCTGCTTATTAAGCAGGGTGCCTCCATGCTGGACTGCAGACGGCGGGGCCCCCTCCCTTGGAAGCCCCCAGGAAAAGTCAACATGCTTCTCTCCGGGAGTCACGTTTTCCCAGCCTCCCAGTGGACGTGGGAGCCGCAGGGGATGGACTGGACGCGGTTGAGTCCAGCTCAGCCCCTGCTCCAGGCTAGGGCTCTCTGCCCACCCATGCTGGATAACCAGCAGGAGGACAGTGCACAGACGTGAGGGTCACCCGCCATACCAGGGCTGCCCCAGGAACCCTGCTCTGCCCCAGCCCCACGCCCCATTCCCATCCCACCGACGTGGGCCCTGGGCTTCAGGGAAGTTGCCCTTGGGTTGGGGGAGGGGTGCTGCTGGCCGGAGTGGTCACAGCAGCTTCTGAGAGGAGTCTGCCCAGCCTTGGGAGCATGGGCGGGGCGGGGGTGGGAGAGGGCCTGGGACCACAGCAGAACCCTTCAGGCCTCGGACTCCACCAGCAAGCAGCAGTACCAGCGCCATCCTCGGGGGGCCCCTCCTCCCCACCCACCGCCCTACCCTTACCCAGTCTCTCCCTGCTTCCCTCCTCTGGTCCATGCTGGAGAGGTGGCCCCAGTGAGTCCGCCTCTGGGAGGGGCCTTGCCGCTGGAGGCAGGCGAGCGCGTGTCCACGGGGCCTGGAGAGCGCTCCCTGGGCCGCCTAGGGGGGGGCGAAGGGGGGCAAGGGCCCACAGGTCCACCCCTAGCACCTCCATCTACTGAAAAATACCTGCCGAGAGCAGGGGGCGGGCTGGCCAGAAAGGGGCGGGGGTGCGGGAAGGCCACGGCGTCGCCCGCCCGGGCAATGTACTGGATGAAGTCCTCCTGGGGGGCATCCCCCTCCTCCTGCTCCGTGCTCTCACTGGCTGCCCGCTGCCGCTGGAAGTGGTGCCGCTTGGGGGAACCTGCGCACGGGATGTGCCGTAAGCGTCAGCCGGCATGTGCCTCCACCCGCTCCACACACACACAGAATGCCTATGCCCCCCCGCCACACACACACAATGCCTGTGCCCCCCCGCCACACACAACGCCTGTGGACCCCCACCACACACACACAACGTGTGCCCCCCACACATACAACGCCTGGGCCCCCCCCACACACAGAACGCCTGTGGCCCCCATACACACACATAGAACGCCTGTGCCCCCCACCACAGAACGCCTGTGGCCCCCTCACACACACACGCCTGTGCCCCCCCCACAGAACGCCTGTGCACCCCCCATGCCTGTGCCCCCCCCACAGAATGCCTGTACCCTCCTACACACAGAACACCTGTGGCCCCCACACACACACAACGCGTGTGCCCTGTCTCTGTCTCACACACACAGGAGTGGGCCCTGGCTTGGGCCAGACCCTGGCTGGCATCTCCCCGGGTCAGGTGGGTGCGGACAGTGGCTGTGTGTACACCCTGGAGTACAGGTGAGAAAACTGAGGCACGGAGGGAAGAGGTGCTGGGACCAGAGAGCCTGAGCAGGGCAGGGCCAGGAAGCGAGTGAGTGGAAGGGCCTCTGGCACCGATAGTGCCTTGTGGCAGCCCTGGTCAACATGTGGCCACTCATAAGGGCGTGTCCTGGACACCTGGTGGCCTGCACAGCCTGGCTGAAACTACGGAAGGCATGAGAGAGTCACATACAGGCTGGTGGGGGCCAACGAGGAGAGGGAGAGAGGTGCCCTCTCCTGCCAGCTCCACCCTGGTCTGGAGAGCGCTGGGGGACTGCCCCACCCCTGCCTCGGCCCCCTTCTCCCAACAGCCTCCCCAGCAAAGCTTGAGTGGGCAGGCCCCAGCAAACAGGTTCTGGGATGTGCTGCAACCACATTGGACTCTAAATGTCTCTAGTCACCCCTGGGCCCCATTCATTTCAAGATCTGGATTCTCTCAGCTGGAGCGGGGCAGCCAGAGGAGGCCTTCCCCTCCCTGGCCCCTAGCTACCTTGGGGGTGGGGGCTGGGAGAACTCACCCCACCCCCGCTGGCTGGAGCCACAACACAGGGTCTCCCACTGTCTGATGATGTGTCCTCTGTCATGCTGACAGCACCTTCTCTCTGCACTTGTCCCCTATCCTGGCCTCACCTGACGACAGGACCTGCCACCCTGTCCACAAGGCAGAGCGGGCCCCAGCCCCTCTGGGCTGCCCTGGCCCTGCTGAGCTGGCTGAGCAGGGCTGGTGCCTGCTGCCAGTGCTACAGATGGGACACCTCTGCTCCCCACACAAACTCCTGCCTCGAGCCCAGATAAGGCAGCCCTGTCTCCAGGATCCTGCCTGACCCAAGGCCTGCAGAATTGAAGGGCTACTGTCAAACAGTCCAGGGATCTATGTGCTACAGCCCAGAGGGCAAAAGCACCCCCTGCCCCGGAGCTTCGGTAAGTTTTACTGGCACACAGCCACGTGCATTCGTCATGCAGCGCCTCTGACTGCTTCCTCGCCTCAACAGCAGCAGAGTTGTGGAGACACAGCCTCTCTGACCATAACCCCACGAACACCACCATCCGGGGCCTGATGGGAAAAGTCTGCTGACCCCTGGCCCAGTCCAACACTTACTTCGTGTTAGAGGAAGTCAGAGCCCAGACAGGCAGAGGGCCTCGGCCAAGGTCACACAGCAGCTGATGGTCTGCCAGCGGGCGAGGGAGGGGCCCCGGGGGAACCCGCCTTCCACTCACATTCCCAGGGATGAGAGCCGAGCATGGCTGGGAGGGGATGCAGGCCACAGGCCCCACCCTCTGCGCTCCACAGTGACCAGGTGGCCCCCGACACCCTCCTTTACCACCTCATCCTGGATGCCCCAATGGCCCGAGAGCAGTCGGGGCGCGCAAAGCCTTCCCGCACAGGTTCCCGGAGCTGGGTGGGTCTGGCTCAGGCCGCCCGCACACTCAGCCCTCCCAGCCACCTGCAGAACCTCAGGCAGCACGCCCGCTGGCAGACTGGGCAGGACTCAGCCCCAGAGCACCGGCTCCCCACCCAGCCCACAACCTCCTGCTCCTGGATGTCCAGGGCAGCCCCTGGCAGCCAGCACCCAGCCCACAGGGGCCCACTCTCCACCAGGTGCTACAGCTCACCTCTCGTGTCCAGACTGGCTGCCCGCTGGCTGGGCTCCAGCTTCCACTTCTTGACCTTGAAATAGGGGCTGGCCCCATCCAGGCTGGCATGGCGGCGCAGGCGGGTGAGGAACTGCAGAACGGTACCTGCCCCGGATCCCGGGCCCGCCTCCCCAGGCCCTGCTGCAGCCCCGGGCCCTCCAGCCTTGGTGCTCCTGGTACCGGCATCCAACTGGCAGGGAACAGAGATGGCGCTCAGGCTAAGACTTCTTCCTGGGCCCGTGTGCTGGCCCCAGGTGGCCGTAGGTCTGAGAGACAGTCCCAAGGGCCCCCCATCACTGGGACAGAGAGGGGTACCTGCTCGGAGAGGGGCAGAAGCGGGAGGAGGGGCGCTCAGTGGCTGGGTGGGCTACACTAAGGTGCTCTGCCCTCTGGGGAAGGTCCCTGGATATGGGGTTTGGAGAGAAAAGGAGGTGCGTGTCTAGAAGGTCTCTCGCCCACGGCGTGGGCTGCAGGTGAGGGAGGGCAGGGGTGGCGCACCCTCTCCAGAACCTAGGGAATGTCAAATGAGGTGGGAGCCTGGGGTGCCCCCTGCATGTGTGAGGACACGCCTGTGTCCGGTGTGCGGCCGGCTCCCTCTTTCTCCCGTGTGCAATGACCCGGCGGGCCAAGGAGGGCTGCGGTGGCTGGCAGGTCATAGGTTGACCTTGGTCCTGGACTGGGGACAGGGAGGGGAAGGAGCCTCCCCGGCTGTGGACACCATGGGGGACACGCAGGGGCCCTCACCGAGGTGCCTTCCCCAGAGTCGCTAGATGCCGAGGGGCTGATCTCTGCGAAGTCAGTGGCGCCCGCGGCTGAGTTGTAGGGGTCACCTGGCAGGGCGGAGCTGGGGCCCACAGAGCGGCCGGTGAGGGCCTTCCCCGGGGGCTGTGGGACAGAGCCAGGTGGGGGAGGAAGCAGTGACAGGTCAAAGAGCATGGGTGGGTGAGGGACATGGGCAGGTGAGGAGCATGCTGGGCTTGGCCCCCTGCCCTGCTCCACCCCACCCCGCCCATCCCGAGATGAGGGCCACCCAGAAAAAGAGTGGGTGAGGGCGTGGGGGTCCGGGAGTCCCCGGGGCTGCCTCCCGTCCCCCGAGGAACCGGGGCTGCTGCCCATAGGCTCACCTGGAAGATGGCCAGAGTGGCCTTGGGAGAGGTGGCCGGGTGGGGCGTGGTGGCTGAGCTGGCCTCGCCTGAGTCACACTCGTGGATGGTGACAATCTTGAGGGGCGGCAGGTGCAGGTGCGTGAGCCGGGCATTCTTCAGGTGGTGGAAGTCCCCCTCCGTCAGTGTGTACCTGCGACAGCATCTGGCCATCAGAGCCCGCCCACCTCCCATGCCCGATGCCCCAGCTGCCGTGCTCTGCCATCCACCCTGCCGGCCTGGGCAGGGGCAGGCGAAAGGGGGGCAACTGGCCAAGGCCGCCCCACCCCACGGTCCCAGTCCAGGAGCCTCTGCCTTGGTCCCTGCAGCCTCCGCACCCAGCTCCTCCCCCGTCCCGGCGGCCAGGACCTCAGACAGGCCCTGGGGTGCCTCCCAACGCCGCCCCGCTTACCGGCGACCCTTGTCCTGCGTCTTGCGGCTCTGCTCAAACAGCGCCGCCTCATTGAAGGAGACCCGGCGGCCCGTGGAGCTGGTGGACAGGAAGCGTTCGGTCTCCGCATCCTGGCACTCGGGGTCCTCTCCCCGGAAGTCGGGGTCTGCGTGGAGAGGCAGGAGAGGGTGGGCCCCGGGCGGGCCACGCCAGGCGCCTGGTCCCGGGAGGGCTGCTCCTCCGGGCGGCCACGGCAGGGAGGGCTGGGGCCGCGGCACGGGCGGCCGGGCTGGCGGGGCGAGGGACACTCGTCCATCCGCTCACACACTCACTCGCTCAGCACGCGCCTGGGCCCACCTACGCCTGGGCGTTAAGGAAACAGAGATGAGTCGGAATCGAGCTGCGCCCAGTCTGGTGGGGGAGACAGACAGACACAGACGGTCAGGCAGCCCGAGGGGGCGGCGGGTGGCCGAGGGGCGGATGGACAGGCGAGCGCACAGCCAGGCTGGCCAGCACCTCACCTTGGGCTGGGTGGGTGCCGTTGTCCAGGTAGGTGGTGGTGGTCTTCTCCGCTTCCTCCATGGCCCTGGGAGAGACGTTGGGAGAGCCCAGTGGCACGGAGGGCCCAGATAGCCACAGTGGGTCTCGGCTCTTTGCCCCAAGCCAAGCCCTGCGCATCACCCAGTCTCCAGAGGCATAGCCCACCCTGTGACTCAGAAGCCAGTGAGGTAGACCCCCCACCACCCGATGGCACCCACAACCACCATGCACCTGCCCAGCCGAGGTGGGGGCCTCGCACCTGTTGAGGCGCTGGTGGACGTCCCAGCAGCGCTTGCAGAGGAGCAGGACGCCAGACAACACCACCAGCGTGCCCCCCACGAACAGCGACATCACCACCACCAGCAGCACGTAGTTGTCCAGGATGGGGTCTGGCTCTGCCTGCGGGTGTGCAGGGGGGGTCAGGTGCTGCTGGCCTGGACGACCTCCTGCCCCTCCCACCTGTCCCCTGCACCCACCGTGGGGCGTCCAGTGGCATTGTCCCACGACGTCGTCAGGGCTACTGTGGCAGTGGTGGTGGTGGTGGTGGTGGCGGCTGTGGCCATGGTGGCTGTGGGCTGCATTCTGAACTGGGGAGGAGGGCCCTGTGGGGAGGAAGCCTGGTCAGCTCCAGCTAGACCTACTTCTCCTGCAGGAGCCACTGCAGACAAGCTGGGTCTTCCCTGCAGGAGCAGGAGCCCACACAGGGGGCAGTGACTCATGGAGAGGTAGCAGAGCCGGAGGCAGCCTCCACCCGGCTTGGCTCTGCCCAGCGGGCCCCGGGGGCTCTCTCTGGACCTCCATCTCCCATCCCCATGGCGGGGGAGGAGGCCTGGCCCTCTGAGGGTGCGCCTGTACCCATCACAACTGCACACAGCCGGTGCGGCCTGTCCTGCAAGGTAGCGCCAGGCCCTGGAGCTCAGCGCTGGGCAGGGCAAGCACTCGGAGGAATGGGGACGCCAAGGCGGTGCAGCCGGCTCGAGAAGGACTCCAGACGCCCTGTCCGCCCCATCACGGGGGTGGGGGGCTACCCCCACCCCAAGAAGTTCAGCTACACCCTGGCAGGGCCCACCCGGCCATGGTTGGGTAGAGGGAGACCTCCCGCTGCCTGCGCGCCAGGGAGGGTGCAGGGGCTGGGCGCGTGCTCCCGGGTCACGACTCCGGGAGGTGGAGGTCTCCCCGGTGCTGAGTGCTGGTGGGAGTGCAAGGGACAAAGAAGGCGCATCTGTTCCCAGCCCCGGAGAAGCTGGTTCCCATGGCGACTGCGGAGCAGGCCGCGGCTGGGGGGGCGGGTTGCCAGGGAGCGGCGGGGAGGGGGCGCGGGGGCGGCGGCCTGGGGGGGGGCGGCGGCCTCGGGGGGGCGGGCGCGAAGCCGCAAGATGGCCGCGGCCGCCTCCCCGCCGTGCCCAGCCCGGGCGCCCGGAGCATCCCCGGCCGCCTTACGCTCGGGGGAAACTGAGGCGGGGCGCGGCACCAGGGAAAGGAGCCGCCTGGACGCTGTGCGGCGCAGCCGGGTGGGGAGGCCCGGGAATCGCAGGGGGTCGGGGCTGGCGCCGGGGTGCTCGGCGGCCCCAGGTCAGCACCGCACGCGCGAGACCTTTCCCGGAGCGAGAGGAGCGCACAGGCGGCAGCCGCTCCTGCCCTTCCCGGACTTCCGCCCACACGCGACAGCGGGAAACTGAGGCCCAAAGCCGGGCAGGGTCCCGGCGGGGGCTGGTGTCCTCAGCGCTCCCGGTCACAGGCTGCCCGGGCCCTGGTACTGGGGGAAGGGGCCGCATATGTAGGTCGGGAAATGAGTTCAGGCTGGAGGGGGTGGGGACAGGCGCAGGATGGTGACCGGAGGCCGGGGAAGATGGCAGGAGGCCGAGGGGAAGAGGGGGGCTCCTGGGGGAGGCGGCTGCGGGAGCCGAGGGCGGAGGTTCCCCACGGGGCAGCACCGCGCCCCCGAGCCGGCCAAGGGTGGGGATGGCGAGCCAGGGGAGGCAGGGACCCGACGCCAGGGCTGAGCCGAGACGCCATCGTCCTCGCCCGACCTCACAGGGAGAAACTGAGGCTGGGGCGGGGCCTGAGCGGGGGTCCCTCTGGAGGCAGCCGGGTGGGGGGCGCAAGGCCCGGATCTCGGTCCCCACGCCCGCCGGACTCCTCCGCGCCCTCCCTCCGGCCGCTTAGCCCACAGCCGGCTGCGATCCCCGGCCTGTCCCCCGTCCGCCCCCCGCAGCCCCGAGCCCGCCGCGCCTACCTCAGCGCCGGGACGAGCGGCCCATGGGCGGCGGGCTGGCGGCGGGCGGCTGCGTGGCGCTCGCGGCTGGCTCCGGCGCCCGGTGGCCGCGGAGCAGGCGGAGAATTTATGAATGGAGAGCGCGGCGCGGGGGAGGCCGGCGCGAGAGGAGGGGCCGCGCACGTGACCGCGTTGGCGGCGCGCCCGCTCCGCGCGCCCGGTGCTGCCCGGTCCCCGGCCCGCCGCCCCCGCTGCGCTCGCCGCTGGGTCTGGCTGGCTCCGCGCCGGCCACCGCCTCCCCTTCCCTTCCGGCGGGGCGGGGGGCGGAGCCTGCGCTCCCGGGCGCCCACTCCGCACGCGGAGCCGCCCCCCGCACCCGCCGCGGCGGCCGAGCCCCGCCCCCGGCCCATCGGCACGATTCACCTCGCCCGGTCCTGAGGTCCCAGGGACGCAGCTGGGGGTGTCCTGGAATTCACGACTCTGCAGCCCGAGGTGCGCCGCGTGCGCAGGAGGGGGTGGGGTCCGGGGGGGCACGGACTCCCCTCTCACGTTGCTTGGTCCGTGGGGGTTCTGGGGCGGCACAGCCAGGGCCCCTCGGCCACAATTCCCCTTTAAGCTGCACAGCCCAGGGTCTCTGGACACAGGCGCCCCGCCTGCTTCCCCACGCAGGTCCCCTCTGGCACTGTGGAGGACTCGCCATGCCTCTCCTGCCCCCTCCCCTGTGTGACAGCGATCACAGACCCCGGCACAAAGCTGAGCAGAGCCCATCGGGGCCCAAACGTGCACTCACAGAGGCCTGCTCCTCGTGGGGTGACATCAGAACGACACCCGCAGAAACCCAAAGCCCAAAGCTGCCCCCGCTTCTCCCTCTTAGACCATCGAACCTCATCCTGCAGATACTCAGGCCACACACCTGCCACCAGCCTGGCCCGAGCGCCACCCCAACCCCTCTGAGCCCACGCCTAACACCCCACAGCGCCTCCTCTTTCTCGTCCCAAAGAAAGGCTGACACCGCTCTGGCACGTGGCTGGCCCAGCTCAGCCTCCCCGCCTCTGCCCTTGCAGGTGCCCTGTACCCAGGCCTCTGTCCATGCAGCCAGAGATTCACCCCGGTTTCCTTCAACTCCTTCCCCAGCTTCACAGTCTCGGCGCTTCTGCTCTTGGCTTCCAGCCCATGCCTGGGTCCCCTCCTCTGCTACGTCCCTCCAAGGCCCTATGCCTTGCGCCTTGCCTGTTCCTGTGTGCTGTGGGGCCACCACTCCGATAGCTGTGAACTCCAAGGGCAGCCCCAGGGAACCTGGTGCCAGGCAAATGGGAATTGCATGGGCAAAGGTTTTGAGGCAAAAAAGTTTGCAAGTCAATGCCTGTGAAGGAAGCAGAGAAATCGTCTTGTTCCCAGCAGGACCATGACATGGGCAGGCTTCAGGGTTTTTTGTATTTCGGTTTTGCTTTTTGGAGAGACAGAGTCTCGCACTGTCGCCCAGGCTGGAGTGCAGTGGTGTGATCACGGCTCACTGCAACCTCCACCTCCCGGATTCAAGCAATTTTCCAGCCTCAGCCCGGAAGGTAGTTGGGACTACAGGTGCGCGCCATCATGCCCAGCTAATTTTTGTTTTGTTTTTTTTTGTAGAGATGGAATCTTGCTATGTTGTCCGGGCTGGTCTCGAACTTCTGGGCTCAAGAGATCCTTCTGTCTCAGTCTCCTAAATTGTTGGGACTACAGGTGTGAGCCCCCACACCCCGCCAGGTTTCTGATTTTTAATAAAGACTCCCTCTGGCTGTGTGAAGAAAAGGTACCTGTACTAAACGGGGGGAGGCTGGGGCCTCCTAGGCAAGAGATGGTAGCCGCGGTGGCCATGCTGGGTGCACAGGCCGGGACAGGGCGGAATTCCAGAGGAACCCCAGGTTTGGGGCTGGAGTAATGGCGCCCTCACCCGTGGGCGACCCTGGAGTGGGGACTGGAGGGAAGTGGTTCCACGAGTGAGACTGAGTCTATTAGGCCTCCCAGTTTCCTGGAGTGGCAGCTGGATATGCGGTCCTGAGAGCCAGGAGGTGCACAGGTCACGACTCGAAAAGTGAACAGGCCTCCTCCTCTGCACCCCCCGAGCCAGGGCCAGGATGACCAGGCTCCAAGTGACCGTCACAGCGCTGGCCCGGTGGGAGGAGCCAGGCCCACGCCTTCATCCTGAGTCGGACCAGCAGGGCCTTCTTCAGGTGCTTGGGTTCCAGGGGACAGTGGCGCCCGCCATTGCACTGGCCTGAACACGGGCAGGGGGCGAGGGTGCAGCCTCCGGATGTAGGGAGCCACGGATCGTGTCGGATTCGCCCACAGCAGGAGGCATTGGATCTCCCTGGCTGCACCCTTGTAAAGCCACAGCCCCAGGGCCTCCCCTGCTCCCTGCACCCCTGGGGTCCAGCCCACCGCGCCAGGCTCAAGGCCCTTTCCAGGGAGCCCGAGCCCCAACCCCCGCCATCCCCGATTCCGCATTTTCCCGGAGCCTAAGGAGCGGGGCTGGGGGCCCGGCCGGGTGCCGCAGACCTGCGTGAGCGCGGGGGCGGGGCGGTGACGTCATAGCCGCGAGCGAGGCTGCGCGGGCCGCTGGCTGACGGCAGCGGAGCCCCGAGCCGCCCGCGCACGCGCTCCTGCGTCAGAGGCGCACGGGGGCGACGGCCAGGCAGGAGGTGGGGGGTCGGCGAGCGCATCTCCGGGCGCGGAGCGCCCTCTGCCGGCGTCGAGGAGCAGCGCGCCGGGGTCCGGGATCCCCAGCGAGCCCTCCCGCGTCGCCCGCGCTGTGCCCCTCGCCGCGGTCGCCGTTTCCTAGAACAGCTGCACCTGCAGCCTTCCACCCTGTCCCGTCCTGCACACTTTCTCGGCTTTTACTGTGATTTATTTTTGGCTTTTGCCACCACCTACCACTACGACCTGTTTGTTTTTAAATTTTATTTATTTTTTTGTTTGAGACAGAGTCTTGCTCAGTCGCCCAGGCTGGAGTGCAGTGGCGCGATCTCGGCTCACTGCAACCTCCCCCCCCCCCCCCCGCCCGGGTTCGAGCTATTCTCCTGCCTCAGCCTCCCGAGTAGCTGGGATTACAGGCGCCCACCACCATGCTCGGCTAATTTTTGTATATTTAGTAGAGACGAGGTTTCGCCATGTTGACCAGGCTGGTTTCAAACTCCTGACCTCAGGTGATCCGCCTGCCTCGCCCTCCAGATCGGATAAAGTGCTGGAATTACAGGCGTGAGCCACCGCGCCCGGCCTGACCTGCTTATTAATGATCTCAAATGTCTGCTAAATAACCCCCGGCCCCAGAGTGGGATTCTCACTCTGTTGCCCAGGCTAGGCAGTGGCGCAATGATAGCTCACTGCAGCCTCAATCTCCTTAGGCCCAAGCGATGCTCCCGCCTCAGCCTCCCCAGTAGCTGGGACCACAGGCGTGCATCACCACGCCCGGCTAATTTTGATTATTTGTAGAGACGGGGTCTCCCTCTGTTGCCCAGACTGGTCTCCATCTCCTGGGGTCAAGTGATTCTCCTGCCTTGGCCTCTCAAGGTGCTGGGATTACAGGTTGGAGCCACCACACCTGGCCCAGAGCCGGAAACTTGATGTTTTCTTGATGTCTATCCAGGGCCCTGCATCCAATGAGCGCCCCAAAAATCTTTTTTTTTTTTTTTGTACAGACGGGTCGGGGGTGGGGGCGATCTACACTATTGCCCAGGCTGGTTTCCAGCTCCTGGCCTCAAGTGATCCTCTGGCCTCAGCCTCCTAAAGCGCTGGTATTACAGTCGTGAGCCACCACGCAGCCGAATCTTGAATTTCACTGAAGTTCGTTTTACTCCACCTCCCAGGACGGTTTCACCGCCCTTATCTGACCACCCCCTGGTTCTGCCGCAGCCCGGGCCGGAACAAAACTGCAACCCCCAGAATACCTCACGACGGGGCACTGCGTCGTCAACGTCGCGTGCGCCCTGCCGGGAGTCGTAGTTCGCGCTTGCGCTCTCGCCGGGACTCCTCCTCCCAGACGTCCCTGCGCGTCGTCCTCCTCGCCCTCCAGGCCGCCCGCGCCGCGCCGGAGTCCGCTGTCCGCCAGCTACCCGCTTCCTGCCGCCCGCCGCTGCCATGCTGCCCGCCGCGCTGCTCCGCCGCCCGGGACTTGGCCGCCTCGTCCGCCACGCCCGTGCCTATGCCGAGGCCGCCGCCGCCCCGGCTGCCGCCTCTGGCCCCAACCAGATGTCCTTCACCTTCGCCTCTCCCACGCAGGTTCGGGCGCTGCGGGTCGGGACCCTCCGTGGCCGCCGCCCCCGGAGTCCAGGGTCCCCACCCCCAGGGCGCGACCCCCGCTTCCGGGCCCCCGGACCCGCGCGCCCCGGAAGCCGAGGCTACTCAGCCCTGGACCCTCGGCCCTGCCTCTGCTGCCCGAGCCCTGCGCTGCCCTCGTCCCGGGCACCTCCCCGAGATAAGCGTCTCCTGGGTGCCCTCCCCGATCTCCCTGGCCAAAGCCTGGGTGTCGCCGGATCGTTGCATTCCCATTTCGCGGATCAGTAGAATGAGGCGCAACTGTTGAGGACCAAAGCTGCAACTTCGGATCCCTGCGCTGGGTTGTCTCAGTGCCTCACATCAGCGCCAGGTCCTGCCCTGACCCATTACTTAGCAGGACAGGCCGAGTGCCCGGTGGGCGCGGGGCCGGCCTGCCCCGCCATCATTCCCCACGCTGTTGTCTGCAGGTGTTCTTCAACGGTGCCAACGTCCGGCAGGTGGACGTGCCCACGCTGACCGGAGCCTTCGGCATCCTGGCGGCCCACGTGCCCACGCTGCAGGTCCTGCGGCCGGGGCTGGTCGTGGTGCATGCAGAGGACGGCACCACCTCCAAATACTTTGGTGAGTCCGGTGGAGGGCTGCAGGGCCAGGCCAGGCTGGGGCTCCACATCCCAGGTCAGTCTCCGTCTCAGTTGAGGCTGCGAGAAAAAATAGTTTTAGGCCGGGCACGGTGGCTCAAGCCTGTAATCCCAGCACTTTGGGAGGCCGAGGCAGGTGGATCACCTGAGGTCAGAAGTTCGGAGACCAGCCTGGCCAACATGATGTAACCCCGTCTCTTCTAAAAATACAGAAAACTGGCCGGGTGCGGTGGCTCCCGCCTGTAATCCCAGCACTTTGGGAGGCCGAGGCGGGGGGATCACGAGGTCAGGAGATCGAGACCATCCTGGCTAACACGGTGAAACCCCGTCTCTACTAAAAATACAAAAAATTAGCCAGGCGTGGTGGCGGGTGCCTGTAGTCCCAGCTAGTCAGGAGGCTGAGGAGATTGTGCCACTGCACTCCAGCCTGGGCAACAAGAGTGAAACTCCATCTCAAATAAGAAAAATACAGTTTTAGCAGGTTTGTCCACTGAGGAGCCTGGGCTGGCCGGTGATGAAAGCGAACCAGAGGGGACCCTGCTCTCAGCCGGTTTATGACTGGCTCTGGACCAACCAATGTAGGATGGTCGAAGCAAGAGATGTAAAACCACCCAGGCCCAGTGGTTCATGCCTGTAATCTCAGCACTTTGGGAGACTGAAGTGGGAGAATCGCTTAAGCCCAGGAGTTTGAGACTAGCCTTGGCAACATAGTGAGACCCTGTCTCTACAAAAAATAAAAAGAAACTGACCAGGCGAGGCTGGGTGCGGTGGCTCACACCTGTAATCCTAGCACTTTGGAAGGCCGGGGTGGGAGGGTCTCTTGAGCCCAGGAGTTTGAGACCAGCCTGGGCAACATAGTGAAATCCCATACTACAAAAAATTAGCTGGTTGTAGTGGTGCACACCTGTAGTCCCAGCTACTCGGGAGGCTGAAGCAAGAGGACCGCTTCAGCCGGGGAAGTCAAGGCTGCAGTGAGCCAAGATCATGCCACTGCACTTCAGCCTGAGCAACAAGAGTGAGACCCTGTGCCAAAAAAACCCCTCAAAAAACCATGTTGGGAGGGCTGATCAGATTAGGGGAGGAAGGTCATTTGTGCAGGAAAAAAAGCAGTTCTAAGCCTCACTGGTTTCCAGTGGTGGCCAGATTTGAACTCAGCTTGCCTTTGGCCCTGACCCCAGCTCAACCCATGGGTGGTGGGTCAGAGGGAGGGCCTCTGTCCCCAGGCAGTGCTTTTGGGGGTTCCTCCAGCTTCTAGTCCTTTCTTGCGGCCCCTGTTTTGTTCTTCTCTAGCAGTTGCCCGCCATGTTGGGCCCAGGGCCAGTCCTGTGGGTCTGTTTGCACACTCAGGACACAGACTTGGATGTTTGTGGAGCTCCTGGTTCACAGGGGGCTCTGGACTTGACCAGGGGAGTCCCTGAGGCTGTGCAGCCCTTTGGGGTCTCACGCCTTCCCCCCGCCCCATTCCCCCAGTGAGCAGCGGTTCCATCGCAGTGAACGCCGACTCTTCGGTGCAGTTGTTGGCCGAAGAGGCCGTGACGCTGGACATGTTGGACCTGGGGGTGAGTGTCAGAGGGGACCTGAGGCTCAGCAGGTTGGAGCTGTCCAGGCTGCGGGGGAGGGAGCGCTGGGGGACCAGGAGCCGGGCTGGGGTCGCTGCTGGCCCCTCACCGCCCCTCAACCCCTTGCAGGCAGCCAAGGCAAACTTGGAGAAGGCCCAGGCGGAGCTGGTGGGGACAGCTGACGAGGCCACGCGGGCAGAGATCCAGATCCGAATCGAGGCCAACGAGGCCCTGGTGAAGGCCCTGGAGTAGGCGGTGCGTACCCGGTGTCCCGAGGCCCGGCCAGGGGCTGGGCAGGGATGCCAGGTGGGCCCAGCCAGCTCCTGGGGTCCCGGCCACCTGGGGAAGCCGCGCCTGCCAAGGAGGCCACCAGAGGGCAGTGCAGGCTTCTGCCTGGGCCCCAGGCCCTGCCTGTGTTGAAAGCTCTGGGGACTGGGCCAGGGAAGCTCCTCCTCAGCTTTGAGCTGTGGCTGCCACCCATGGGGCTCTCCTTCCGCCTCTCAAGATCCCCCCAGCCTGACGGGCCGCTTACCATCCCCTCTGCCCTGCAGAGCCAGCCGCCAAGGTTGACCTCAGCTTCGGAGCCACCTCTGGATGAACTGCCCCCAGCCCCCGCCCCATTAAAGACCCGGAAGCCTGACTGTGTGCTCGGCTCTTGTTCCTCCACCTGGCCCGGTGAAGCCGGGAGCGTCCTGGGCCCCTGCTCACGTCCTCCATGTCCCTTGCAAATAGGGCCTTTGAGCTCCCCTGGACTATGTCCCTTAGGGCACCTGGAGGTCCGTAGGAAGCAGGCTCGAGGGGGTGGGTGGGGTGCAGCCAGGCGGGCAGGCTGCTGACCTTCACCCTACAACGGTGGGGAGGGTGAAGGTCACCAGTGATGGGGACATCGGTCAGGGAGGGGTGTCCCTGCTGCTCCTGGCGCCTCTGCCGAGTTCCTGGTCTCCAGGCCTTGACCCTGAGCCCTGCTGGCCCTTGGCCCTGCCCACCAGCCTCTGGAAAGAGGCGGGCCCCACCCGCTCCCACGCTGGCCCCGCCCTGTGCCAGCCGGTCCTGTGGGTGGCCCTGCCTGGCCGGGTGCCGAATCTGCAGTGTTTTTGGCACCTCCGTGGGCACCTAGGCTTCTGGGTTGGCCCCAGATGGAGTGGGGTGGGCCCAGGAGGGGGCGGCTCCCTGGCACTGCCCCGTTGGGCCTGCCTCTTCTCCTTTCCATAACCCTGGGGGCGGGCAACACTGGCTCCAGCTGGTGTGTGGACGGCGGGGGCTGGGGTCTCCTGACCTCCTCCCTTCCTTGGGACAGGGCCCTGTGCAGTGGGGTAGGCAGGGAATTCCAGGGGGGTGAGTGGGGAGGGTGGGCCTGCCTGTGTCACTGGAGCTGGGATGGTGACAGAGAGGCCGCCCCGGGCCTGTCAGCACGGACGGGCAGCTCACTCCCACGTCATGGCACTATGCGGGTGACTTGCCACAGCTTCACTTGAGGCGAGGTGCCGTTGGGGGCCTTGCGACTCTGAGGCCGCCGGTCAGCAGATCAGGTATTCTGGAACAGCCCACGGTCCCCTGCCTGGCTCCCCCTCCACTTGGGCCTCGGGACACGAGTGACCAGGCCCCCACTTCTCCAGGAATCCGCAGCCCAGGGAAGGTTGTGTCAGCCACCAGGCCACAGGAGCAGCCTCTGCCCAGGCCCCCCCTCCCCCCCGCCCCCAGTTCCAGCCCCAGGTCTTCAAGTTCCTGCCAGGCCACCAGGACCCTATAAATAAGACCAAGGGCACAGCTGGGACTTAGCAGGGGCCCAGCGGGAGGAGCTGCTCACTCCGGGGACCTCCCCTGCCCCCACCACCAGGGAGGGTGTGAACCTTGGAGCCAGGCCTCAGGACACCCGAGACACCTGACACTCGGAGGGAACAGCCCGTGCTGGCTGGATGCGTCCTGGAGCAGGAGGCAGTCAGGGTGGGGCCGGGAACCAGGCGGTCAAGGCCCTTCAGTGAGGGCAGCCCCTGGCTTAGTGAGGCAGAACAGAGCACAGGGTTTGTCCCCATCACACCCAGGAACAACCCACTCAACCATGGGGACGCCGAGTATGGGAAATGGTGGGGAAGCGTTTTAGCATGTTTATTCATTTAGACTGGCTCTGGGCATCTGGTCCCCAAAGGGCCACACAGTGGCCCCTGTGAAGCCCAGCAAGTTCCGACAACCCGTGTCCCATTCCACTCCCGACCAGACTGAGGTGATGGTGTCCATTCCACTCCCGACCAGACTGAGGTGACGGTGTCCATTCCACTCCCGACCAGACTGAGGTGACGGTGTCCATTCCACTCCCGACCAGACTGAGGTGACGGTGTGCAGGTGGCAGAGCCACACACGAGAGGCAAGAGGCAGGGAGGGAGGTGGGGGCTGCTGGCCACTCACAGGGGGCCCCAGTGTCCTGCTTGGGCTGCTCATTTGGCACCAGTCCACGGCTCCCTCCGCCACCTTTGTTCTCACTGGAAGCAGAATGAGCCTGGCCCTGTAGTTCCCACCTGGGGCCCCAGCCCTTCATCCAAGCCCCATTCATCGACCCTGCCCCTCCTCCCTCCAACTGGGTCCAGTTCACTAAGCTCCCAGAACTGCTCAAGCCATTCCCACTTCCTGGACCATCGTCTTTTTTTTTTTTTTTTTTTTTTTTTTTTGAGAGGAGTTTCGCTCTTATTGCCCAGGCTGGAGTGCAATGGCACAATCTCAGCTCACCACAATCTCCGTCTCCCGGGTTCGAGCAATGCTCCCGCCTCAGCCTCCCAAGTAGCTGAGATTACAGGCGCACATCACCACGCCTGGCTAATTTTTGTGTTTTTAGTACAGACAGGGTTTCACCATGTTGATCAGGCTGGTCTCGAACTCCTGACCTCGTGATCCGCCCGCCTCGGCCTCCCAAAGTGCCAGGATTACAGGCATGAGCCACCGCGCCCGGCCTTTTTTTTTTTTTTTTTTTTTTTTGAGACGGAATCTCGTTTTGTCGCTCAGGCTGGAGTGCCCTGGCACGATCTGGGTTTATTGTAACCTCCGCCTCCCGCGTTCAAGCGATTCTCCTGCCTCAGCCTCCTGAGTAGCTGGGACTACAGACACATGCCACCATGCCCAGCTAATTTTTGTATTTTTAGTAGAGACAGGGTTTCACCATGTTGGCCAGGCTGGTCTCAATCTCTTGACCTTGTGATCCGCCCGCCTCGGCCTCCCAAAGTGCTGGGATTACAGGCGTGAGCCACCGCGCCCGACCGCATCATCTTTTTTATGTGACAAACTCCTAGTCATTCCTCAAACCGCAGCCCCTGTGACCCCCTTCCAAGGGTTATCCCAGCCTCTCCCTCTCTGGCCTAGCCCTGACCCTTCGGGGCTGGGTGTGCCTGTCAAGGTGGGGGCCACGGCTGCCGGGAGCATGGGTGGCAGCCGGAAGGAGACCTGGGGAGGAGCGCAGCCCTGGGAGGGGCGCCCATGGCCAGGGTGGGGGTGGAGGTGGTCAGGCCAGATAAAGGGAGGGGCCAGATGAGTGGACAGGAGGTGCTCCCGTAGGAATGGGGTCCCCTTCTCTAAATAGAGGGGCAGGACGGGGCCCACCTCAACCAGGACCATCCTCAAAAAGCCGACGGGGAAGGGTGAGATGCACACCACATTCGTGTCTCATTGGCTGTGGCCTCAGTTTCTTCATCTGTAAAATGGGGTAATGCCCACCCCAAAGGCTGGGAACCAGTGCATGTCCTGCATTAATGGGGGGTGATGGCCCCAAAGTGATCCTGCCGCATCCCCTCACCACACTCCCACCCACCCTGGAGAAACTGAGGCTTGGAGAGGCCAGTTACCTCCCGGGGTCACAGCATAGCCGGCTGGTGACTGGCTGGGCACAAGGCAGGCCTGGCACTGGCTAATCGCTCCATAAATGCCCTCTGAGGTCACCATTGACAGATGCAGGAGGCCAGGGCTGGCCAGGGCACCCCCACTCTACGGCAGGTGACTCCAGCCTGTTTTCCTGGACGACAGCCGCTGACTCAGGCCCCTCTTCCCGTCCCCCCCACGCGGGCGCCCCCAGGCGGAAGCACCGGGCCTGGGGCGACAGGAAGGGGGCGGGGCAGCGAGTCGCGCTGTACACCCCAAAACCCTGTCCCGCTGACGATTCGGGGTGCATCTCAGCCCGCGGCGAGGCGGGCCGAGACCCTTGGCTCGGGGCATTCAAGGGGAGTCCCCCCATGAACTGCGCCAAGCCTGGGTCCCGGGTGGCCCAGCCGTCAAGGCGCCCCAGGGCCAGGGCCGGCAGGCAGGGGCGGGGGCCAGTCTGCGTCACCGCCCGCCCGGCCCCCCGCCCCCCTGCCCGCCCTAACTCCACCCCGAGGGAAGGCGGCGCGGATAAAGGCTGAGGGCCGCGCGCTTGGCCCAGACCGGCCCGGCCAGCGCGCATTCGGCCCCGGACGAAGGTACTCGCAGCACTTGGAGCGCAGAACCGGCCGCGCCCGGTGAGTGTGGAGGGGGGGGACCTGCGGGCCGAGGAAGGGTGCCCACTCTAGATGGCTCAGGATGCCCGCACTTTTCTTTGTTCTTGGGACAGGAGGGATCGGGGAGCCTCCGGTCCTGGGAAGCCCCCCGGGGTGCGGGGTGGGAGGGGCTCCGCGCAGCCAGCGCCGCCCTGGCCGGACCTCAGCCCCCGCCCCGCCCCCCGGGGCACTCCCCCTTCACCGCGGGTGACCTTGAACTGGTTGCCGTTCCGCCCTCCGTTGCCCAGCCACACGGTCCCAGTCTCCCGACTACAGTCTTTCGTTCCCGATCGGGGTTCCTCCCCCGCGCGCAGCCCAGTCGTCTTCCTCCCCTGCCAGGGGCAGCGCGGCGCCCCCTCCCCGGGACTCCGGGCGGCGCTCCCAGGCGGGCCCGGCAGAGGGCGCGCCCGAGCTGCTGACTCACCGCATCCCCGAGCGCGCGCGGGCGCAGCCGGGGACGCCGCGTCACGTCACGGCTCGAGCGGGCGCGCCTCGGGGAAACGGGTTCTGCCCGCGGCCGGCGGGTGGGCGCGCGGGGCCCCCGGCGGCAGCCACCCGGCCACGTCACCGAGGTGCGGGCGCCCCGCCCCGGCCACAACTCCGCCCCCACGCACCACGCCCTCCCCGGGGCCGCGGCCCTAGCCTCACCGTCGCCCGCCCGCCCCGGGACCCCGGCCACGAGGCGCGGACTTCGCGCTCCCGCTTCCGCTCGCGGCTTTTCCCGGACGAAGGCGGCGGGGTGGCCCCACGACTTCCTGCCCCTCCCGGCGCCGGGAACAATGGCCCGCGCCCCCTCCCGCTCCCGGCCGCTCCCTTGGGATCGCGAGGGGTACCAGACCCGTCTCCAGACCTGGGTCCCGCGCCCCCCGGGGCGCGCCCGCCCTTTGTTGCGGGCTCCGGGCGCTTATGAATGGCTGCGGGCGCGGGCGGGGCGGGGGCGGGCGCGGAGAGGCGCCAGCCCCGCCCCCGCTGCGCTCCCCTTGGTCGCCTGGGCGCTGGGGGCGGGGCGAGGGGGCGGGCCCGGCTGCCACGTGGGGCGGTGCCGCGGCGGCTCTCATAGGCCCGGGCTCGCGGCCGACTGGGCGCTCGGCGCGCGGCGATTGGCCGGCGCCCGGCCGGCGGAGTAAGTAGTGAATGGGAGGGGGCGGCGGCCCCGCCCCCTGGAACGTTGATACATTATAACTTTTTTTTCTTGTTACTTTCACCCCCAGATCCTCCGAGCGGCGGCGACGGCTGTTGCTAAGGGAGGGGACGCGCGAGGAAGCGCGACCCGGGCGGCAGACGGCACCCAGCGCCACCAGCCGAGCGGCGCCCCCTCCCCAGGACCCTTAACCGCGCCGCGTCCCGGTCGCGCCCGCCGCCCTTTGAAGGAGAAGCAAGTGCCGTCCCCACCCCCGGAAGGCGCCCCCAGGAGCCGGAGCGACCTCGGAGCGCCACTCGGATTTTGGATTTCGGTCTCGCATTCCGCGGCCGGGACTTTCTCGAGGAGGACGCGCGCTGCTCCGCGCCCCCGAGTGCCCGGAGGACCCGGCATCCGGGGAGCCTCTCGCCCCTGTCCCGGAGGCGCGGCGAGGATTGGCGGCGCCCGCCGCCCCCAGCCCCCCAGCGCGCGCCGGGGATGGAGCCGCAGCCCGGCGGCGCCCGGAGCTGCCGGCGCGGGGCCCCCGGCGGCGCCTGCGAGCTGGGCCCGGCGGCCGAGGCGGCGCCCATGAGCCTCGCCATCCACAGCACCACGGGCACCCGCTACGACCTGGCCGTGCCGCCCGACGAGACGGTGGAGGGGCTGCGCAAGCGGTTGTCCCAGCGCCTCAAAGTGCCCAAGGAGCGCCTGGCTCTTCTCCACAAAGACACGTAGGTACCGCGCGCCCCCGGCCGGCCGCCCCCTCGGGCCCCGGCCCCCGGGCGGGAACAAAGAGCGCGCCGCGCGGGGAAGGCAGGGGGCGGCCAGACAGGGGGCGGGGGCGCGCCGCGCGCTCTCGGGCGCCCTCTGCTCGGCCTCGCCTGCCTCGGCCCCCTCCCCCGCCCGGGGTCGCCGCACAAAGGCGGCTGCGAGGGCGTCCCGGGCCGGGCTTCGGCGGCCCCCCTTGGGGGCGGGCAGGAATCCCAGGGCGTTGCGGGGGTCCCGGCTGCGGGTGTGGGGGCCGCCACCGCCCCCTCCCGCCTGCGTCCGCGCCGGCTTCCGCATCTGCTCGGCGGCCTCCTCTGCGTCTGGCTGTCTCCCCCCACTTGCGTCTCTCTCCCCCCCTTTGTTCTCGCCTCCGAGCGCTCCCCGCAGCCTCCCCTCCCCCCTGGTATTTAAATCGCCTGCAGGCCCGGAGCCCTCCCCCCGCGGGCCTCCGGGGACACGCAGTGTCCATCCCAGTGGAGGGGCCCATCGGGGGAGGGGCGGAGGGGGAGGGTCTCCTTTGTCTGCGCGGCGGCGGCCGCCTGCGCCGGGGAGGGAGGAGGAGGGGGAGCCCGGCCCGGCGCAACCCCCAGGGCCTCTCCTCGGGCCGAAACCCGTGGTTCCTACAAAGAGGAGCCAGGACTAGAATTAGGGAATTGGGGGCAGGGGCTGCCCTGGGGTCGTGGGGGAAGGTGGCATAGAGCACACTGGGGCCCAGAGGAGGAGAAAGTGCCTGGTTGGGGTGCAGAGGGGGTGCCAGAGTCCAGGGCGGGGGTTCCACTGGAGGGAAGGGGTCCGAATCGCCAGGATGGGGCTCCCAGCACCAGACGGAGACCTCTCTGCACGCGCTTAGGGCCCTGGATCTGGAAGCCGGGAAGGGGTGGGGGTGGGAACTTATCCGTCTCTCCCCACACAAGCACAGCCCTCCCCCGCGGCCTCTGCTTCCGCGTCCCTGTGTCGTCTCCGCGGAGTCTCATGCTCTTCCTTCCTCCCCCCAGCCGGCTCAGTTCGGGGAAGCTGCAGGAGTTCGGCGTGGGTGATGGCAGCAAGCTGACCTTGGTACCCACCGTGGAAGCGGGCCTCATGGTAAATGGCCATGGGGCTGCGTGCCCCCAGAGGCCCCCGCACACAGGCAGTAGCCCCTCCCTCGGTACCTGTCCGCACACACACTACCTGGGGCCCCCACCCCGCCAGCCAGCAGGGCCCTCTCCACCCCCTATTCCAGCCCAGGATTCCGACCCCACACTCAGGCCCCTCTCCTCCCTCTCTTTGTAGTCTCAGGCCTCAAGGCCGGAACAGTCCGTGATGCAAGCTCTCGAGAGTCTCACGGAGACGCAGGTAAGACCTCGCCAGCCCCTTCCTAACAGGGCAGCCCTGGGAGCAGGGTGCCTTGGCCACCGACGGGGCCTGGGGGTTGTCTGTGCTCCCAGGAGGCTGGGGGAGGGGAGGGGACGCGCCACCCCGCCTGGGTGCCAGCCTGGCCTGGCCTCCCCACCTCCTCTCCCCCAAGATTCACCACCTGACCCGGAGGGCTTTCTCTCCCACGGTGGCTGCCCTGGGGGAAGGGGGCCTGGCTTTCACAAGACTGCCTGCAGGATGACCTTGGCCTATGGGGCCTCATCCCCGCTCACACCCTGGCCTGCATCCCCAGCCCCCTCCGCCCCCACCGAGGAGCCCCCCTCCAGCCGCTGTGGCTTCCCCAGAGCGAGTTTCTCCTTTTTTACATTTCTGCTGAGGGCTGGGGGTGGCGGCTTGGGTGACACTCCTTCCGCCTTCCGTGACCCCCATCGTGAGAGGGTGGGGATCTCGTCACCCTCCCCTCCTCTCTCTGGCCTTTGTTCTCTACCCCGAAAGGGGAGGGGGCGGGGGTGCCCAGCCCTGGGGCCAGTGAGGCCTAGACAGGATGTTAGGAAAATATTTAGTAAGCGGCCAGGAGGGAGGCTGGGGCTGGCCCTCACCCGGTTCCCGGTTTTGCTGCGGACTTTTTTTTTTTTTTCTCCTTCTTTCCTCATTTTCTTGGCTGCGGCCAAGCCTTCCTCAGACAAGGGCCCTGGCCACCTCCCAGGAGGGTGACACAGGCCTCAGCAATCCGCCCGCTGCCAGGGTGGGGGACGCAGGCTGCCACCCGCCCCAGCAAGGGGTGGCCGGCTTCCCGGGCCTCCCTGGCCCCGAGGCCCGCACCCCCTTCCGCTTTCCCAGCGGCATGTAGAGTCCTGCCCTTTCCCTACATCGCGGGGGCAGGGCGGGGGCCGGGAGCTGGGTGGTCTGCCATGGGGGTGGCCACAGCAGCAGCAGCAGTGGCGTGGGGGCAGAGCCGGGGTCCCGAGCCAGGGCGGGGGCTGCAGGTGATTTCCTGGGGCGAGTGTGAGCAGAGCTCCCCGCCGCTGGGGGGCTGCGGTTGGCAGGGGGCCCAGGGCGTGTTGGCTTCACACCCTCCTCCCTGGGCGCCTGCGTCAGGAAGGAGCTGGGTTGGGGGGGGCTGGAGGGGGTGCTGGGCGGAGACACTGGGCTCCCCAGGGTTGCTTCCCTGCCTGGCACCGAGTCATGCCCGCCCATTAGCCTTCCCCAGGGAGGAAGTTGCAGGGCGGGTGGTGGTGGGGACTCCAGCTGCTCTCGGGAAGCCACCCCGGGCCCTTCCTGCAAAGGCTGTCTTGGGGCAGGGGGGTAGGGGGCCGGGCAGGCTGGGCCGCAGGGTGGGGGCTTCACCCTGCCCTCCTCCCTGCCTCCCTCCCCATGGGCCCCAAGCAGAGAAGGTTACGCCAGCTACTGCCAGTGGAGAGGAGAGCCGGGAGGGAGAGCTGGGAGGCGGTCGGTTCTGAGTCATCCCAGCCTATGTCACTTCTCAGAAACCTCCGCCACCCCCCCCCCCATCCCGGCCACTGGGGAGAGCAGGGCTCTGGCCCATACCCAGAGCAGGGGGCTTGGCGAGGACAGGGTGAGATTCAACCCACACCCACCCTGAACGGGGGCAGATTGAGGGTTTCTGTGCTTGGAGCAGGTTGTGCCCTCCGGGACTCCAGCCCCAGGGCGGTCAGGGCCCCTTCCTGCAGCCTTGCCACAGCCCCCTAGGCCTCCGCCCCGCCCAGGACAGATAAATATTTATCTTGAGAAAGCAAAGGTTAGGACAGAAGAATTCGTGCAGGAATTCCACCCACTTGCTGGCCCTGGTGACTTAGCTGGGAGGGGGCCTGAGGTGGAGCCCCTCCCGTATCCACAGGCAGAGAGGATCTAGGGGCCCATGAGGGTGGGGGAAAGGCAAAGTGAAGGTTGTTTGAGGTCAGTGACTGCCAGCTGGGCCCCGCCCCCTCTGGCCTCAGTTTCCCCTTGCAAGACCGACCTAGTTGGCCAGGGAGGGGCAGGCCCCCGTCTGACCCGCCTCTGTCCCCACAGCCCCCAGCGGCGCCCGGGCCGGGCCGGGCTGGCGGAGGAGGCTTCCGGAAATACAGATTCATTTTATTTAAGCGTCCGTGGCACCGACAGGGACCCCAGAGCCCAGAGAGGGGCGGCGAGAGGCCCCAGGTCACAGCGCGGGGGGACTGGGCCGGGCTGGGCTGGGGGCGCCGCAAGCTGGGGCTCCCAGCTGACGGACCGCTCTCCTTGCAGGTCAGTGACTTCCTGTCGGGCCGTTCGCCACTGACACTGGCCTTGCGTGTGGGCGACCACATGATGTTCGTGCAGCTGCAGCTCGCGGCCCAGCACGCTCCACTGCAACACCGCCATGTGCTGGCCGCTGCGGCCGCCGCCGCTGCTGCGCGGGGGGACCCCAGCATAGCCTCCCCCGTGTCCTCGCCCTGCCGGCCGGTGTCCAGTGCCGCCCGAGTCCCCCCGGTGCCCACCAGCCCGTCCCCTGCATCTCCCTCGCCCATCACAGCCGGCTCCTTCCGGTCCCACGCAGCCTCCACCACCTGCCCGGAGGTGAGCCTGGGGAAGGGAAGGGTGACCCTTGGTTGGAATCCAAAGGGTGGGCCGTCCTGGGGAGGTCTTGGGGAGGACAAGGACTCTTAGTCCCAGGTGAGTCCCTTGTATTAAGGGCTATCCTGTGACCTCGGGCTGGTGGGTGATCCCCCAGCCTAGATTGGTGGGGTATTTCTAGATCCTGAGTTGACGGTCATCGCCTGACATGACCTGGACCAGTAGATGATCTCTTGATCTTTGACTCATGGGTCATCTCTGTGTCCTGGGTTGGTTGTGACCTCGTGACCTTGGGCTAGTTTATCTCTAAACCCTGTGTTGACAGGTCATCTCCTGACCTGGGCTGGTGGGTGATCTCTGGTCCCTGGGTTGCTGGTGATCCCCTGATCCTGGACCCCGTGCTCATGTGCCCCTTCCTCCCATCAGCAGATGGACTGCTCCCCCACGGCCAGCAGCAGTGCCAGTCCTGGTGCCAGCACCACGTCTACCCCAGGGGCCAGCCCTGCCCCCCGCTCCCGAAAACCCGGCGCCGTCATCGAGAGCTTTGTGAATCACGCCCCGGGGGTCTTCTCAGGGACCTTCTCTGGTAGGTGTCACAGCACATGTGTGAGCTCACGTGTGTCCCGTGACCCTGTGCATTTGGGGTCTACATCCACCCACAGGCGACTCCACATATTCTGGGCATACACAGGCTGTGTCCGTCTGCTCACTTCACATGTCCCCCAGGAATCCCCCACACACACGCCTGGCCCTGCCCGGGGGGCCGCGGGTCACCAGGCGCCTGCATACTGGGGACGTGTCCCGCTCCCGCCCCGTGGTCCCTCGTGCACATCAGCCCACATGTCCACGCCATTGCCTGAGCTCATGAGCTCACACCCGTGGACGCCCGTCCTGGACATGCGGGACTGTGCCCGTGCCGGGCACTCACGGCCACCTCTGCCCGCAGGCACGCTACACCCCAACTGCCAAGACAGCAGCGGGCGGCCGCGGCGTGACATCGGCACCATCCTGCAGATCCTGAACGACCTCCTGAGCGCCACCCGGCACTACCAGGGCATGCCCCCTTCGCTGGCCCAGCTCCGCTGCCACGCCCAGTGCTCCCCGGCCTCACCGGCCCCCGACCTGGCCCCCAGAACTACCTCCTGCGAGAAGCTCACGGCTGCCCCCTCAGCCTCCCTGCTGCAGGGCCAGAGCCAGATCCGCATGTGCAAGCCCCCGGGTGAGTGGCCACCCTCGGGGGTCCTACCTTCCCCGCCCGCCTGGGCTTCTCAAGGCCCCTCTGTGTGAGCTGGTGGGCTCAGGAGCAGCTGACCTGCCCAGGGGCTGGGGGGGATGGCAGCTGCCGTGGCCACTGCTCTGCTCCAGCCCGGAGAGAAGGCAGCATGTGTGTCAGGGCACAAAGTGTCCTTGTGTGCTCCCGGGGGGCCACAGGCCCACTTCCTCCTGCCCCACCCCCACCCGGGGCATCATCTCCAGATGGCATTTGGTGCCTCTGTGAATGGCCAAGTCAGGCCTGGCAGGCCGAGGCGGGGCCAGAGCCCACCCCTAAGCATTTCAGTGACTTGGAAAAGCAGCGAACACAACCCCCCTGCCAGCCTGGCCCCAGCTACTCCCAAACGGCGGGTTACTCCCTCCAGAGTCTCACCAGAAGATGGCTACTGTACTGCCCTTGGGCTCTGCACCCGTCGCGGGGGCTCCTCCCAGCTCAGTTTAAAAGTGGGAAACTGGCCGGGCGCGGTGGCTCACGCCTGTAATCCCAGCACTTTGGGAGGCCGACGCGGGCGGATCACGAGGTCAGGAGATCGAGACCATCTTGGCTAACATGGTGAAACTCCGTTTCCACTAAAAATACAAAAAATTAGCCAGGCGTGGTGGTGGGCGCCTGTAGTCCCAGCTACTCGGGAGGCTGAGACAGGAGAATGGCGTGAACCCAGAGGCGGAGCTTGCAGTGAGCCGAGATCGCGCCACTGCACTCCAGCCTGGGCGACAGAGCGAGACTCCGTCTCAAAAAAAAAAAAAAAAAACCAAGGTACAACCCCCAAGTATCTCCCCTCGGATCACAGAAGCGGCCAAGCCCCCTCCATGTAGGACTCCAGGAAGAATGAGGCAGGACAGTCCTGACCTCCCCAGCTCATGGCTGAGCTGGAGAATTAGAAGCCAGCTGCGTAGCTGGGACTCCAGGCAAACACCACCATGCCCAGCTAATTTTGTAATTTTTGTAGAGGAGGGGTCTCGCTCTGTGGCTCAGGCCTGTCTCGAACTCCTGAGGTTGCCCAGGCCTGTCTCGAACTCCTGAGCTCAAGCGATTCTCCTGCCTCGGCCTCCCAAAGTGCTGAGATTACAGGCGTGAACCACTGTGCCCGGCATGGTGGATGTCCTTGACTGTTTCCTTTGCTGACCTCCCTCCAGGGAGGGCAGGACTGTGTCTGACCTCAGGGGCATTTGCTGGGGTCTGGGGTGGTCCTCTGTGTTCAGCAGGTGGAGGCTTTGGGAGTCACAGGCCACTACCTCCTTTGCAGGGGACCGGCTTCGGCAGACAGAAAACCGCGCCACGCGCTGCAAGGTGGAACGGCTGCAGCTGCTTCTGCAGCAGAAACGGCTCCGTAGAAAGGCCCGGCGGGACGCGCGGGGTCCGTACCACTGGTCACCCAGCCGCAAGGCCGGCCGCAGCGACAGCAGTAGCAGCGGGGGCGGCGGCAGCCCCAGCGAGGCCTCCGGCTTGGGCCTCGACTTCGAGGACTCCGTGTGGAAGCCAGAAGTCAACCCTGACATCAAGTCAGAGTTCGTGGTGGCTTAGGATCTTCGGATCGGCCACCCTCGCCCCTCGCACCCCAGCCCAGGGCGGCGGGGACTCCGAGAGCCCCGGAGAGAACGTGGCCCAGCCCTGGAGGGCAGGCGGCCACTCCCCCAGCCAGAAGTCTTTTTTTCTTTTCTTCTTTTTTATTATTTTTTTCTTTTTTTAAAAAGTTCTGACCGTGGTTTCCTGGACTCTTCATGGGCTTTGCTTCCTACCTCCTTCACCCTTCACTCCTGCCCTCCTCTTCCTCCTCCTCCTCCTCCTCCGTCTGTCTCCTTTCACCTCTGCGCCAGGTCGGTCCTCCCTGCCAACCTTCCCCAGCTCCAATATGTAGCAGTCTCTCTGGATGGCGGAGAGTGAAGGAGACGGAGAAACGCGCCCCATCCCTTCCGCCGCCTCCTTTCCCCCCCGACCCTATTCAGGTTTTAAGTCAAAAATGTCGATATGTCATTATGCACTTTACAGATGAGGGGAGGGGCCGCAGTGCGCAGAACCCACCCCACCCCCCAGTGCAGACTTCGGGGTCTCCACCCCAGGCCAGCAGCGCCCACTGGGCTACAGCAAGCCAACAGGTCACAGAAGCCAACGAGGGGACTGTTTCTCTTCCACTCCTATCCTCTTTTCTTGATCTTTTTTTTGCATTTTCCTTCATTTCTTTAACAAGGAGAGCAAAGCTGTTTTAGCAGAGGCTGGGGCTGAGGTCCCCATGGGGTTTGGGTGCAGGGGCATGGCACCCTTTCCTGTCGGGAAGGGAGAGGGGAACTACCCCCCCAGCCTGCCCTCCGCCCCGCCCCAGCCGGCGGACTGTGCTGTTTCCTCCGCCCCCACTCCCGTGTTTTCTGACCTCCTGCCTGAGTTTGGGGTATTTATAGACTATTAATTTTCTGACTGAGCCAATAGTGGTTGGGGAACTCTTGAAAAAGGGGAGAGAATGGCTGGGTGCTGGGGAGTTCCCCCCTCCGAGCCCTCCTTCCCGGCCCAACCTGAGGGATGTGGATTTGGGACTGTCTGGGGGCCCCTCCTGCAGCGAGGATGGGAGGGGGTGCTGAGCTGTGAATCCCCTGGGCAGGGGGCGACAACTCCGTGTAGCATTAACCCCCGTGGCGGGGTCCGCTGCTGGTCTAATTTGGACCCCCTGCCTCTCAGTGCCCCTGCCCTAGGGGTGTCTGTCTCCAGAGGGGAGGGACAAATCCCCTACTGGGGCCATTTCAATGGGGTAGTTTTTGGATTTTTTTCCCCACTCACTTTTTATTTTTTAATGATAATGGAGATGTCTGGACCCTTCCTCACCCCACCTGTCGGTCTTGTCCTGGCTCTGCCTGTCCCCCACCGTTGTTCTCGTAGGTGAACCCCAGGTCCTCAACTCCCCCCCTTTATGTGTTGAAAGTTAATGGTTTCAGATGTGAACATCACGTGTTATAACTGTAGCGCTGTAAATTTTTTTGTGGGAGGGTGGGCAGGGAGGGGTCCCAGAGGGTAGAGCTCAAGGATTTTGGGTTTTGTTTTGTTTTCATTTTTCCAAAAAAAAAAGAAAAAAAAATAGAAAAAAAAGGAGTAAAAGGGGCGGGTTTGTTTTTTGAAGAACTGTCTTGGATACCTATTTAAATGTGTGTTCTGTTTTGTTTTTTAACGATTTTTAAATAACGTCTGTGCCTCCACTGGTTGAGGGTGGAACCTCCAGGCAGGAACCGGCTCGCCACCCTCTGCCCGGTAAGGGCTGCCCAAGAAAGCATTACCCGCCCTCGGGGGGTCGGGCTGTGGGGGTCCCGGCACCTGGCGTGAGTTTCATGTATGAAAACATAAAATTGAAAAAAAAAAAAAAACCTACACGAGCACCGTGATTTCAAGTAATAAACAGAAAATGAAACACACATTGACTCCCGCCTGCTCGCCTAGTGGGGGGATCTGGCCTTGGTTGGGAGGGTTCCTGGGGTGGGATGTCAGCTCAGGGAGTCAGAGGGACTGACCTGGGTCCCAAGGCCCCGAAGAGGGGGTGGGGCAGGGGTCAGGGCCCTGAGAATTTCCCACGCTCCTTCCCCGGCTGCCGGGTGGGCAGGAAGCAGCCAGGGTGGGAGGGAGGAGCCCAGCCACTTCCTGGTACCCAAGGCCGGAAGTCCCTTAGGGTGTGGGGCGAGGGCCTGCCTGCCTGCTTCGTGGCCTGGGCAGGACCCTGGCCCCCTCAGGACCTGCCAGTATGGGGGAGACGCGACCACCAGCTCTCCCCAGCCACAGGAGTCGGGGACTCCCACTCTGCCACACCCACCTGCTCCCCTTCCTGGAGTCTCACATCTGTGTGGCTTGCTGCAGGGAGATCACCAGGCCGACTGGGAGGACCTAGGACTCCGCAGGGTACCTTGGGCTGGCAGGTGATACAGGCCTGGCTTGACCCAGCCCTGGGGGGCCTCTCTGGCCACACCTCCTGACATTCCAGCCCTTCCCAGACCTGGCCTTCAGCTCCAAACCTCCCGGCCTTTGCCCCCTGTCTAGGAACACCCCTGGTCCGGCTGTCCCTTGCTGTCTGGGAACTTCCCCAGCCTGCGCCTTCCACCCCTGTCCACCCCGTCCCGCAGACCCCACCCTTCCCTCTCTCTGTCCCTAGCCTGGAGCTCCCCGTGAGCCTCACCAGGACTGAGTCCTCTCTGGGGTCCCACCTCCACCCATGTCCGGGCTGGGCAGAGATGAGGCAATAACACTATTTCATGTCTTTTTTTAAATTTTGTAACCTGTATTTCCTCAGGTAACAAGAGTTGCCTATGAGAAGTAATTGGGCTCCCATTTTATAGATGGGAGAACAGAGGCCCAAAGAGGAACATCACTTGGCCCAGAGGATTTGGGGTGTTTGTTCAATGATGTGACCTCCACCCCTTATCCCATCTCTAGGGGCCCCAGTACCGGGAGCCCCCAGGGGAAGGGGCACAGGTTCAGAGAGTGGCCTGGGAGCACCTTCCTGAGACCCCTCTGCCCCTCCCAACGCCCAGTCAACCCCAAATCATCGCACGCCCACGGCAGGAAGGCGGATGCCCAGTCAGGCGGCACCCACCCCCCGCCCCGTCCCTGGTGCGGATGTCCCCTCGGGGCTCAGGGTGGGGGTGCGGGTCACCGACGCCAGGCCTGGGGTCAAGGCGAGGGCCCCAGGGCGCCACCGCCCCCTCGCTGGGCGGGGTGGGAAGGAGGAAGGAGGATGTTGTCTGAAGCACCTGCTGAATCACAGGGGCTGTGTCTGTAGCCTGCAGGGTGGGGGGCGCGTCCCCTGCACTCCAGGACCCGCCCCTCGGGATGCCGACCCCCACCCCAGACTGGGGATCCCAGGGGTCAAGGCTGTGCCCTGGGGGCGTGGGGTGGGGTATGGAGCTCCAGGCTCAGAGCCCTGGCCTGGTAGGGTCAGCCCAACCAGGGGTGCAGCGGGCGGAGGGGCGGCAGGCGGAGGCCAAGTGTGCGTAGGGAAGCACGGAGAGGTAAACTGAGGCACAAAGAGGGCAGGGACCGCTGGGATCTCGCGGGGCGGGGTCGGCCCTGGATCGCTCCCTTCCCCCAACCATTGAGGAAAAAGCTGAATGGGAGGGGGCGGCCCCCGGAAACCCGCCGGGATGGAAACGCGGTTTCCAGGGCAACGCGCCGCGAAAGGAGCCTGACGTCACCCCGGGTAGGGCGCCCTGCCCGCCCCCGTCCGCGCGTCGCGCGGCCCAGGCCCCGCCCACCAGCGGGGAAGCCTCATTGGTGATCGCACCGCTCGCTCATCGGCGTGCCCCAGTAGCAGCGCGACGAAGCCTCCAGAAGGCGGGACTTCAGCCCGGCAGCGCCGAGTGCGCAGGCGCAAGCGCGGAGGCGCTGCAGCCCCGCCTCTCTCCCCGCGCGTCTGCAAAGTTGGGGGCGGGAGGCGCAGCCGAGGGTCTGACGGCTGCGGCGGGGCCTGGACGGAAGAGGGGGCGAGCCCCGGGGCGCCGCACGTGGACCCCCGGCACGGGCACGCTCACGTGCACCCGTCCTTTCACGCCAACGCGTTTCCTGCTGCCCCCACCCCTGCACCACTGCACGTCCCAGACCCCGGCCCAGCCTCCCCGCGGTCCCTAGGCTGGGGGAGCTCAGACAGGAGGCTAGGAGGAGGGGGACTTTGGGGCTGAGGCTTTGCCAAAGGAGCAGGAGTTTGCCAAGTGTTGTAGGAAGCGGGAAGGGTGCGCCAGGTAGGGGGCACGGCGTGTGCCAAGGCCCGGAAACGTGAAACCGAGTGCTTTTCGGGGGCAACCGGGAAGTCAGTTGGTGGAGAAAAATCAAAGATGGGAGGAAAGGCGAGGCTGACAAGGACCCTAAACGGTGATTCCCCAAGTCGGCCACTGGAGGGATGACTTGGGGGACCAGAGAGGAAGAGCAGGTGAGGGGGAGCGGCGGCCAGGACATCTGGGAGGTGGCTAGACCCGTGGCCTGGACTTTGGGGGGCGGTCGAGTTGGATCGATGATCGATGGGGACCCTGGCGGCCTCACCCTGGGGGAGGTAGAGACGAAAAAGGAACTACGGTGTGCCCGGAAGGTGGTGGCTTTAGGTCCACAGGGAGGTGGTTGGCAAGGCGGGGGTAACAGGGGGAAGGAGAAAATCTGAAATGCCGGTGTGAGCTCCGGGCCAAGAGAGTTGAGGACTCAGGAGGCAGGAATCCCCCGTGGCCGCCCGCTGCTTGGCTGTGGGCTCCAACTTGGTGTGTGCTCAGAGAAGGCAGTGGTTGGAGTGAACAGGGCCTGTGCCAGGTGGGGAGACTAGCCAAGGTGTTTGTGCAGCCTGGCCTCTGGAGCGGCCTGGGAAGAGCTGGAGTTCGCAGGGTGGGAGCTGCCCTGTGGCTGGGAGCCCGTGCTGGCGTCCCTGCCAGGCGGTGATCTCACAGGTGAGCGGTGCTTGGGGAGACGCGGAGCTGTGGGCGGGCAGGAGAAGGTCAGTGGAGGTCATGGCTTTTGGCTTGAGGCCGGAGTCCTCTGGGGGTGGCCGAATGCGCCCTTGGAGCTGCCTTGGGAGGTGGCTAGGGTGGACAGCAGTGGAAGCCAGGCCCTTGGCTTAGAGCCACTGGGTTGGAGGGATTGAGCCAGTGCCCGGGCACAGCCGCCCCCACAGGGCCTTGCCCCACCCGCCCTCCTCTCCCAGCACCATGGGAATGGGAGTTACCGGGCTGGAGGCTGGGGACGCCACCACCCCGTGGCCAAGGGCGTTGGGGCCCAACCCAGGAGCCTGGTGCAGCCCCACCCACGGGCCGCCCAGCCCTGGAAGGGCAGAGAACTGGCTGCCTCTGGGGTCACTTGGGACAGGTGAGCAGCCCAGCCCAGCCCAGCGGGTGGGGGAGGGGAGGCTGTCACCTGGGCCCTGCCTCCACCCTCTTTCTGGTTCTCACTCCCTCCATTTCTCTTTCTTTTGCCTTTCTCTATTTCTGTCCCGATCTCTGGCGCTCTCCCCAACCCAGTACCACCATCTCCGCCCCTCCGTCCCTCCCCTGCTTCCGCCCCCTCTCTGGGGGCCCCCTTCACCCCGGGGCACATTCCAGCTTCCTCCCCCGCCTTGCAGTCCCTCCCTGGAGCCAGCTGCCTCCTCGGTTGCCAGAGCAGAGAGAGTGGGCTTGGGCCGAGGTCGGAGGTCGAGGAGCGGGCGGGAGCCTGGGAGGGCACCCCCAACCCCTCTGGAATGTGGGTGGAGCGGGGCAAGGGAGACAGCTGGTTTCCACGGAGGGCACATGCCCCATACCCAGGACGCTACCCACACTCAGCCCTGGGGGAGAGCAAGCAAAACCAATGGGTGCCATCCCACGAGGGGCCTGCACAGCCATCCCACACCCCCGACCAGCACGCCCGGGACAGCCCTCCACAGGCCACGCATTTATGGGTGCGGCTGGTGTGCCAGGCTCCCAGATACACAACCCCCCCCCCCAGACACACCCCATATACCTGTCCCCAACCTCAATCCACTGTGTGACCCTAAAACAAACAGAACCTCCTTGCTCAGCCTGGGCCAAGGCCTCCCCAAACAAAACTCCAGCCTGCAGAGTCCCACCACACACCGCAGCTGTCACCAGATACAAAGAGGGCCCTGACCAGATACAGAGAGGGCAGCAGCCTTCCCCCACAACCAACACACGCCTGGGCGGGGGCAGGAACACCCCCAGGGCCTCCAGCCACAGACACTCACCCACTCACCCCTCTGTGCACCAGTGATCCTCCGCTGCCCAGCCAAGCTTGACTCCAGCCTGCTGGAGTCTGGGTGGGGGATGGAGAGGGGTTCCCAGGCGAGCCCCAACCTATGCCTTCCAAAAGTCTTTCTGTGCATGTTGGAAATACAAATGAAACAGGAGAGTTAGCATACGGGACAATTATTATTTTTGTTTGTTTTTGTTTTGAGACGGAGTCTCGCTCTGTCGCCCTGGCTGGAGTGCATTGGCGCGATCTCGGCTCACCGCAACCTCTGCCTCCCGGGTTCAAGTGATTCTCCTGCCTCAGCCTCTGGAGTAGCTGGGATTACAGGCGCCCGCCACCACGCCCGGCTAATTTTTGTATTTTTTTAGTAGAGACGGGCTTTCCCCATGTTGGCCAGGCAGGTCTCGAACTCCTGATCTCAAGTGATCTGCCTGTCTCGGCCTCCTAAAGTGCTGGGATTACAGGCGTGAGCTACAGCATCCAGCCCAATTTTATTTATTTTTAGTAGAGAAGGGATTTCACCATGTTGGTCAGGCTGGTCTCAAACTCCTGCCCTCAAATGATCCACCCGCATTGGCCTCCCAAATTGCTGGGATTACAGGTGTGAGCCACCACACCTGGCCCCAGTTATTAGTATTTTCGAGACGGGGTCTCACTCTCTTTCCAGGCTGGAACGCAGTGGCTCCATCACAGCTCACTGCAGCCTCGCTGGAACTCCTGGGCTCAAGCGATCCTCCTGCCTCAGCCTCCTGAGTAGCTGGGACTACAGGTGAGCACCACCATGCCCAGCTAATTTTGCTTTTTTTTTTTTTTTGTAGAGACAGGGTCTAGCTATGTTGCCCCGGCTGGTATCAAACTCCTGGACTCAAACGAAAGTGCTGGGATTCCAGGCATGAGCCAGCGCTCCCGGCCTGCATACGGGATGATTCCATGTGGACTGCCACATCAAGGAAGCAAACAACAAGGAAAGCCTGGCGCTGCGTGGAGCTGTCTTTTGCTGCTAACTGCCCTTGACCGACTTCCTACCAGGTCTTCCCTGTGCGCCTCTAACCCCAGGAGGTGCTGCTGGCATGCCCACCTCTCAGATGAAGCAGTGCGGTCCAGAGAGCGTCTTGGGCACCGCCTGCCTCACAGCTGGGCCCCTGACCCTCCAGGGACTGTGGCTGAGCAGCCATGGCTGCCTGGACGGGTGTCCCCTGGCCCGTCTGTCCGTCTGGATGTGGGAACCCTCCAGGCACGCTGGGGCGGGCAGGTGCCAGGTGCCTCTCCAGCAAGATGCAACATAGGTGTCTTCACTTGCACTCCGTAGGTCCTGAGCCCCTGCAGCTGCCTGGGAGAGTGGGGAAATACTCTCCACTTGTCCCACTCCACTGTTGCCATGGAGATACCTCCCACCCTAGGCAGGGCCACCCTGAGCCTGGTTGGCTTTGCAGGAAATCCCCACTCTTTGACCTCTCTGTTAGGCACAGGACGTGTAGTCCCATGAGAGGGAACTGGGCCCAGGTGGAGATCCATCCGCCTACCCCAGAGCGCGCATCTGTTGCTAAGCAACATCTGAGGCTGCATGGAGGTGGGGGCTCCGGAGCCCCCAGACCTTTTCCCAGTTTCAGAAACTAGGTGGCTGCATCCCCAGCGTCCACGCAGGCGAGCCTAAGCCTCGGTCAGCTTTAGGGTGTCCGTGGGCCATGCAGGGTCTTGGGCCTTTCACAGACACCTGATCTGCACGTCACAGACACGCATGGGTGCACGTCACTACACGTCCGCCACATGTGCTTGGCTGGTCTGCGCCCCAGCAGAAGGGGTCACCTATGTCTCTGCAGTATCCTGTGTACTGAAAGAGCAAACAGGTGTGTGACCCCAGGGCAGGTCGGGGTCCGTCCTGTCCCCAGCCTGTCTACTGCGTGTGCCTGTGGCAGGCAGGGTCTCCGGATGCCGAGTGCATGGTGTATGACTTTGTGTCCAGTGGGTACGAAGCAGGGGTGTGGGTGTGCACCTGTGTGTGGCCTGTGGCGGGGTGTGTGTGCCGGGGATGTCCCTCTGTGGCCCAGGCCTGGCCTTTGGGCTGCTGGGATGGCCTGGCCGGGGCAGGAGTAGACAGGGCCTCCCAGCCTCCACATTCCTGAGCTGTGACTCAGGCCTGTGGGGAGGGGGTGAGTCACAGGGAAGGGAAGCCGACCCACCCTGCGAACGCATCCGAGGAACAGGAGGGAAACTGAGGCTGGGGAGCAGCTCAGTCCGGCTTTCCTGTGTAGCAGCCCCTGAATCTCAGGCCCGGGGGTGGGGCGGGGTGGCGGGGGGGGGCGCGCGGGGCCTCCCAGGGGACCTGAGATCCCAGCCCTGGACTCAGCTGGGAGCTGGGGGAAGAGGCAGGTTTAACCCTTCCTCTTCTGGGCTTCTGGAACTCTGGGCTGCCCTGGGAGGCGCGGCTCCCGCTGACACAGCACGCGTGCCCACCCCAGGGACATGAGTCACAGCACCAGGCATGGACACATATGCTCTGTGGGTCCCGGCACACCCGAGTCACGCACACCCAGCCCTGTCCCCGGCTGCCCCCACATCCACATCCGGATAAGCGCACACTTTGGAGTCCAAGCGCCCACCTCCTTGGGTTGCACACACAGCGCCACGCAGACGGGTTCCTGTGTCTTTGCACACACGCGGGTGCCGGGGGCTCTGTGCACACACCTCCAAGACTGCGTGCACGCCCCTATATGCCCTGCGCACCGACGCAGGCCGGCCTGGGGTCCCTGCACTCACCACGCCGTGTGCACTCGCACATAGCTACACATTCGTGTCCACACAAGCTTGTGTCTCTGTACTCTGCCCACGGGCACACATGTGCGCCACACCTGGCAACCCGCACGCCCGGTCTCTGCATCCCCCACCCTGGCTCTGGGCCCCGCGTAGTGGGGCCAGCTGGGTCGGCTGCAGCCTCTGCCAGGACGGTCCTATTTCTGCGCCCCCGCGGGGCGGCCGCCAGGTGCACGGTCCCGGCCCCCGCCTGGCTAGGAGGAGGCGGTAATTATGCGGCCCCGGGGTCCCCCCCACGCGCCTTTCATCCTCGGCCACGCCCGTCGCAGGCCTAGACGCTCTCTACCGCCTCCCGCCCGGTCATTAGTCGGGGTCGGGGGAGGACCTGGCGTCCGGCGGGCGGGGCCCCGTGGGGAGGGCGGAGTGGGCGGTGCGGGAGCGAGGGAGCTCCGCCCTCGTCTCCATGGCGACGCCCCGCAGGGGAGGAGGCCCGGGAGGAGTATCAGGGTGCAGGAGGTGCGCGCCCCTTCCGAGACGGCAGGCTGGAAAGGGGGCGGATTTGTGAATGGGCCCACGGGGCCCAAGACAGACGCGCGGGGAGCAGGTTCGGGGACTCTGACTGATCCCCGCGCCTCGCCGGGCAGGGGCGAGCCCCGCGCGTCGGGCCCGGAATAGCAGTCTCGCCCCCGCCCGGCGCGGCTATTTTGAGCTCCTCCGTTGGGGCCGAGGCGCGGGGGCGGCGGGAGGCTGGGGGTCGACACGCAGGCTGCGTCCTCGCCCCGCGAGATTGGACCCCTCGAGGACTGTGCGCTGTGGCCGCGCAGGGCTGGGCGGCGGGGCCCCCTCTCCCACGCGAGGCGTCTGCGTGGAGCGGCGGCACCGGGAGCCCGGCCGCTCGAGCCAAACGCCGCGGACGGAGCGAGGCCGCAGCGCCCCCTGGTGTCCGCAACGGGCAGCGCGTCCCGGTCGGGTCCCGCATGGTCAGTGGCCAGCAGGGGTGGATGAAGGGGTCCCAGCCGCCTGAGACCCCCGGTGGGGACACAGGATCGCGGTGAGATACCTGGGAGTCACGGGTGCTCGCAGACGCAGCTGACCCCAGAGGCACAGGTACCGACACAGGTCCACACCTGGAAGCCGGTGCACAGTGCTCGGCACAGATGCAAAGCGGCAGGTGTGCGCAGGTGCGTGTCAACGCCACCCTGGGAACCCAGGATGGCTGCGGACACTCACGGAGCCCGCACCCAGGAACCCGCTCGTAGTAAGCGCTTAATAACTAGGCACTGGCTGAATGAATGAATGAATGAATGAACACGGCGCTTCGCAAAACCAGGAAAAGGCAGAGGCTCACAGAACCAGGGAACGATGGGCTGGGGGGAGCGGCAAGAATTACGCAATTATGCAGGGGCCGCTGTGACTACCAGGCACCCCCTCCAACTCCCCCCCTACAAGGGCTGCTCTGGGTCAGAGAACGTCCACCGCGCTGACTGCTGGGGCTGGGGGCTGGGGGCGCAGATCAGAAAGAATGGGCCTGAATTGCTCCCAGGCTGGGCATGTGGCGCCCGCGTCTGGGGCTCCAGTGGGTGGGTGGCCCCTCCCGCATGGACGGCGGGCGCAGGGGAGCTCGGTGCTGATGTCTCTCTCCTTTAATAACCACCCTGCGTGAGTGGCTGACGCAGCAGCCGGCTGCCGCTGACGGGGAGTGGGGCGGCTGTAGTGGGGGGGCCCGAGGTGCAGAGGGGGTGGTGATGAATCACACAGCTGCTGCCTGGGGGAGGGGGTCTTGAGCCCATGAGGGGTCCCAGAGACCTTGTCACTGGAGACAGCGCCCCTGGCTACCCCCACCTCGATCCACTTGAGGGTGGAAGTGAGTCTGAGGTCAGGAGTGGGGCCGGGATTTCCCTGGGATGAGCAGCAAAGCGGGGGTCTCTGTACGCCAACTTCCCCCAGCTTGTCAGCAGAGGGTCATCCCTCCGAAGACTTTCTGGGGCAGAGAGGCAGGGGTCCGCGCTGGCTTCTTCCACCAGGGCTGGGGGAGGCGGCGGCATGAGATGACTCCTGGGCGAGGAGCAAGTGGTGGCCATAGAGGGCCCCCCAGAGGCTTTGGGGCCGCCGAAGAGTAGTGAGTGAGGGTCCTTGTAAAGCTGGTTCTCCAGATGGCGGCGGCTTTAAGACTCCCCTCCGCCAACCAGGCTCAGTAGGGGAGGCCTGTGGAAGGAGAGAAAAGGCCTGGGTGGAGGAGCAGAGTGGGCCTGGCCCCGCGTGGGGAGCGAGTGCGCCGTTGCTGTGCAGCACGGTGGGAGGGGAGGCCGAGGGCCGGGCGGAGTGCTGGGGTGCAGTGGGGACTCGGGGTGTCCGCCTGCACCCGACAGCAGGGACGCACAACACTATCCGGCCAGGCGAGTGTGGGGGTGTGGGCCACGCACCCAGCCGTGATAATCGCGGTTCCAGTGGGAGTTAGGCTTGGGTGCGGGTTGGAGTTTGTAGGCAAACTGGGTTGCGTAAAGTTGGGGTGCACCAAAGTGTGGCGATGTAGGAAGAATTGGGATTGCGAATATTGGGGTTCGCATGAATGGGGTTGTCTCTGTTGGGGTTTTGGTGGGCATGGGGTTGATGGCAGGAATGGAGTGCTGGGGTGCTGGGAAAACTGGGACGTCGGTTGTATTGGCAAGAATATCACGACAGGTGTCGGGGTTCAGATGAAGTTGGGATGTCTGACAGCCGGGTCTTGGTTGGGTAGGGGATCTGGGCTAGGTTGTTATGTCGGGACTGCTGGAGCACAGGCAAAGTCGGGGTCCCAGTGACACCCAGAAGTCCCCATGAGGCCTGAGGCCTGGGAATCGGGGCTAGAGGCCCATTTGTTCCCCGCCGCAGGCCAGGGAGCAGGCACGCGTAACTGGGTCAGCCCCGCCCCGCCCCGCCGCGCGCTGGTCACGCCCCCTCGAGCGCGGGTGGAGGACTGCGGACTGCAAACGTCTCGGCCAATAGTCGAGCCCGACACCAGTCCGCGGGAGGGGGCGGAACCGAGATAGACTCGGCCCCCAGCTCATGAATATAAGACGCAGGCGCGCCCTCTGATTGGCCCAGGATGTGTAGGGGGCGGGGCCCGGCGGAAGCGTATATAAGGCCGGGCTCGGGGACGCCCCCCCCTCACTCGCGCGTTAGGAGGCTCGGGTCGTTGTGGTGCGCTGTCTTCCCGCTTGCGTCAGGGACCTGCCCGACTCAGTGGTGAGGGCCCTGGCTGCACCGGCTCCGAGGAGCTCGGGGCGGCGGGCGGCCTGCGGCGGCCAGGCGAGGCGGGGCCGCAGCGGCACGCCCCTGGGAGGGGGCGGGCCCGGGGTGGAGTCCGCCCCGCCGGCGGCGAGGGACAGCGGGAGATTGGGCCGAGTAGCGGCCAGAGGGCCTCTCCCCGCCGGTCCGGGCCGCCGGCGACCCGGTTGCCGCCGCAAAATGGCGGCCGCGAGCTCGAGGCTGTGCCCAGCGAAATGGCGGGAGCGCCGAGTTCCCGGATGGAGTGGCGCAGGGTGCGCGCGGGGCGCATGCGCACGCGGCGGGGGCGGGGCCACGTGGCGCCCCCGGTCTCCAGGGCCGCTTTCCCGGCCTTGGGGCTGGAGGTATCCACACACCAACGCTTTTGCTTACCGAGCCTTAGTTTCCTCCTTTTCCCATTGCGATTGCATGAGGGAAAGGACGGCCTCGTAAATCTTGGGTAGGCGTGGCCCGTTCTAGTGTGGTTCCTCGTCTGCCACGTCGTGCTTTGCGCCCAAAGTTTGGTCCAAGTTGGCACAGCTCCCAGTGCCAGACTTCCAAGTCTAGTTCTCAGAGCCACTGGGTGGCGGCCATTCCCAGCCAGTGAATGCTTTGTCTGTGTCAGCACTGACCGCCCCCTTAAATAGCCAGTTCTCCTAAATGCCACTTCCCCTGCCTGGAAATCCTGCCTTATCACTTCCGGGGCCATCCCTTCCCGATTCCCGGCCTAGGTCCTGGCTATGGAAGTCAGTACCTGCCCTGAGGTGCCCCCCAGGACGGGGCGGCCTCCCTGACAGCCAGCCCCCCCCCCAGTCTCAGGAGGCATTTTACAGTGAGCAGAAGCACGTTCTGGTCCAGCAACAAGTAGATGTCAGTTGGTTAGGGTAGGAGTTGGCACCCGTTCGGAAATAGGAGAACCTGAGAGTGCAGTCCTGCCCAGGGCACAACTGGAAGGCTGTGGGGGAAGGGAGACACCCATTGTGGAAATGGGTGCGGCCTGCCTTCAGTCTTGGGGGTGGATGGAGTAAATTATTTGAATTAAGAAGTCCTAGGTGGCTGGGTGCGGTGGCTCACACCTGTAATCCCAAAACTTTGGGTGGCCAAGGTGGGAGGATTGCTTGAGCCCAGGAGTTTCAGACCAGCCTGGGCAACAGAGCAAGACCCCATCTCTACTAAAACAAATTTAAAAAAATTATCCAGGCGTGGTGGTGTACACCTACAGTCCCAGTTTCTTGGGAGGCTGAGGTAGGAGGATTGCTTGAGCCCAGGAGGTGGAGGCTGCAGTGACCCCTGCACTCCAGTCTGGGTGACAGTTAGACACACTGCCCCCGACCCCAAAAAAATAAGTCCTAGGTATGAGTTTGAGATAATGAAAAATAAAAATCTGATTTTCTAATATTTCCCCTAAAAAACACATGTCATTTACATAAAATAGGAAGCGGGGAGAGGTGGTGAGAGATGACCCCTGTTGAGGATTTCATTGGTGTCTGCCACAGGCCGCCATGGCATCAGATGAAGGCAAACTTTTTGTTGGAGGGCTGAGTTTTGACACCAATGAGCAGTCGCTGGAGCAGGTCTTCTCAAAGTACGGACAGATCTCTGAAGGTGAGGCTGCTGCTGGGCCCGCGGCCCTGGGCGGGGGGGCTTGTGCTCCTCCTACCTGGAAGTACAGCTGGGTGCTGACTGCAGACCTCTCTCCCCTGCACAGTGGTGGTTGTGAAAGACAGGGAGACCCAGAGATCTCGGGGATTTGGGTTTGTCACCTTTGAGAACATTGACGACGCTAAGGATGCCATGATGGCCATGAATGGGAAGGTGAGGATCAGGGTGCTGAGCAGGAGTCCCGTCTCGAGGATGGGGCACCCACCTGCTAACCCGTCCCGCCCTCTGTCTCCAGTCTGTAGATGGACGGCAGATCCGAGTAGACCAGGCAGGCAAGTCGTCAGACAACCGATCCCGTGGGTACCGTGGTGGCTCTGCCGGGGGCCGGGGCTTCTTCCGTGGGGGCCGAGGACGGGGCCGTGGGTTCTCTAGAGGTGAGTGCCATGAGTGGGTCCCTTGGGGATGCTGTGAGGTACTGCTGGTGGGAGCTGGTACTCACTTTTTCCTGTATGTGCAGGAGGAGGGGACCGAGGCTATGGGGGGAACCGGTTCGAGTCCAGGAGTGGGGGCTACGGAGGCTCCAGAGACTACTATAGCAGGTGAGGGGGAGGCCGGCCCAAGCACAGGGGTGGTTGCGGGATGGCCAGCTTCCGTCCCGGGTCCCAGGTCCCTGGGGGAGCTGAGATGAGACTGGCTGGGCAAGGAGCAGAGGCAGGTGGGGACCCAGGCCAAGAGGAGAGGAGACTGCTCAGGACATTCGCAGAAGCGGGAGGGCCTGGGGGACAGGCTGGTGGAGATTTTGAACAATTTCCAAGATGCTGCCCTGCTGGGGTCCTTGTTGTGTCCCCAGAAGGGACGGCTGGCATGGGGGCTGGCGGCTCAGCCTGTTGTGGCAGAGCAGAAGTAGACGGGTACCTTCCGGTACTCAACGTTTGTCTGTCTTGCAGCCGGAGTCAGAGTGGTGGCTACAGTGACCGGAGCTCGGGCGGGTCCTACAGAGACAGTTATGACAGTTACGGTAAGTCACACTCCGAGGGCGCCACGCTGCTGTGGCCTGCGGTGGGAGCTCGGTTCACCTTGGTGCCCTCTCCAAGCACTTTAGGCTGGACACTCAGACCTTGTCACTGTGCTTGCCCAGAAGAGGCGCATCTGTCCTCTCAGAGCCATTTCTATCGCAGGACGCAAAAGCCAAATGAGACTGACCAAAAAGGCAAGGGAGAGCGAGGGCCCGCTGGGCAGTCAGCTAGGTGCATGTGTGGCCGCAGGCCAGCCTCCCTCGGCTGTGGGGGGTGGTTGCTCCCCGGCCGCAGGCCGCGCCCTGGTCTGGCCTCTGGGGTGAAGCTGCCTCTTGTTGCTTCGGTGCCTTTACACTGTGCCTGCTTCTTGTCCTCAGCTACACACAACGAGTAAAAACCCTTCCTGCTCAAGATCGTCCTTCCAATGGCTGTGTGTTTAAAGATTGTGGGAGCTTCGCTGAACGTTAATGTGTAGTAAATGCACCTCCTTGTATTCCCACTTTCGTAGTCATTTCGGTTCTGATCTTGTCAAACCCAGCCTGACCGCTTCTGACGCCGGGATGGCCTCGTTACTAGACTTTTCTTTTTAAGGAAGTGCTGTTTTTTTTTGAGGGTTTTCAAAACATTTTGAAAAGCATTTACTTTTTTGACCACGAGCCATGAGTTTTCAAAAAAATCGGGGGTTGTGTGGGTTTTTGGTTTTTGTTTTAGTTTTTGGTTGCGTTGCCTTTTTTTTTTTAGTGGGGTTGGCCCCATGAAGTGGGTGCCCCACTCACTTCTCTGAGATCGAACGGACTGTGAATCCGCTCTTTGTCGGAAGCTGAGCAAGCTGTGGCTTTTTTCCAACTCCGTGTGACGTTTCTGAGTGTAGTGTGGTAGGACCCCGGCGGGTGTGGCAGCAACTGCCCTGGAGCCCCAGCCCCTGCGTCCATCTGTGCTGTGCGCCCCACAGTAGACGTGCAGACGTCCCTGAGAGGTTCTTGAAGATGTTTATTTATATTGTCCTTTTTTACTGGAAGACGTACGCATACTCCATCGATGTTGTATTTGCAGTGGCTGAGGAATTCTTGTACGCAGTTTTCTTTGGCTTTACGAAGCCGATTAAAAGACCGTGTGAAATGAACCTTGCTCTGACAATTCCCTTGCATTGCACCACACACTCCTTGCTGCGGGCTCCTGCAGCCAGACCTGAGCAGAGAGAGAAGGTGGAGAAGCAGCGGGTCTGCAAGCCTTCCCTGGGGCCTGCAGAGCTAGAAAGGGAGGCCCAGCAGACTGGCGCTGGTCAGGGTAGGGGAGCCAGGCGGGGGACGGGAGCGGGCAGCTCAGGCCTCAGGGCAGCCCTGGGAGGCTTCTGGCAGTGGTGGCCAGAGGGCTGGACTGTGCGGGCAGCTTAGCAGGGACAGTGGACGTGCACCTGACGCTGACCTGGACTGCCTCAGTCTAGAAGCAGGCCAGAGAGCAGAGGCACGTGGCATCCCAGGGCGACCTCAGACGGCCAGCCGGTTAGCTAGTTCTGCTGTTGCTTCACGAGTTCTGAGCATTCTCTGCTAGCCTATGGAAGCTGCAGCCCTCGGAGGACAGAAGTGTTGTGCGCCCAACAGAACCCTCTGAGACGCAAGCTGCTCCCTTGGCTAGCTCATATGTGGAAATAGCCCTGTAATTCGAGGTAACTCCTTCCGCTCGTGTCCACATCCCTCTTGTTGAGAGCTCACTGAAAGTCATGTGCCCGGGGAATGTTCCTGTGACTGTTTTTTGTTTTTCCTTTTTTTTTTAACTTTGTTTTTGTTTTTTTCAATTAAGCTGGAACTAAAGTCAGGCCCAGCCATTACGCTCCCCACGTGCAGCCAGGTGCAGCCTGGGCCCAGTCATGCCTGGCTCATAGATGAAATCCCTTAAGCAGGATTGAAGACCAGTGAACGCCCCCGCCTTTTGGATTTTTTGCTCAATTGACCGTCTTTTCCAGACCTCTTTAAGTCACACTCTTAACTTAGCTTTCTCTGATGTCTGTTGCCGCCATTAGTTTTTTTCTAGAGCCCACACTGGCCCACATAGCTCCATCCCATACGGGTAGCTGGCTCCAGCTGCGCCAAGGTGCAGACCCGCCCTGGGCATGCTGGCCTGTGACGGAGCCTGAGGTCACAGCCCCCTGACTAGCCTGAGACCTTCCTAGGGGCTGTGGCTGTTTCCGGGGAGGCCGGGAGGGGCAGCTGTGAGCCCTGTGGAGGACGTTGGGAGTAACGCTGCTTTGCTTTGGCAGGTTGAAGGGGCCCGGCCAGGACTCGGGGAAGGGTGGCCTGAGAGCAGCGATGACCTCTGGGGTCACTGTCCCAGGAGGGACTTCACCTGGAACAAGAGCTGGAGGCAGCCGCTTGCCCAGGAGGCTTGTCCCCTGTAAGTGCTTTCGGGAAGAGTGGCATGTGGCGCTGAGCCCTGTCCCGGGCGGCACCTGGGCGTTTCAGTGAGTCCTGCTCTCCCGCACCTATGGCCCCATGGCGGGCGCCTTTCGGTGTGTGTTGGGTGCAGGGCAGCGCCTCCCGGGAGCGCCGGGTCCCCCGCCTGGAGCCCGCGCCTGTTCTCCCTCCCTTCCTCCTCCTTCCAGGAGGCGCTTCGCCAGTGAGGTGCGGGCTCAGGGCCTCGAGTCTCTCCTGGAGCACGGGCTGCGGTGCGCCGGCAGCTTACGGGGCGGCCAGTCCTTGCCCACAACGATGTGGAGCCCTGTGAAAGTCGGATTCGAATAAAGGGCCACGTGTGCACCCAGAAAGCCGAGTCTGTGGTTCAGGGGGGTCTGTCGGCGGAGCGGGGCCACTGGAAGAAAAGCCTGCGGACCTCGGTTCAGCGCACGAGTAGGACCCGACAGGGAAGACTGCAAGGGTCATTGTCCGAGCAGTGACCGCGGGGGGCTCGCCACTGAGGGGGTTCGCAGCGCGGAGACTCCAGTCTCGCGGGATCTGAGGCGCACTCGGCTTCGAGGGAGCGGCGGCCGCGCAGCCGCTGTCAGGCCCCGTCTTGGGCCGAGTCCCGGGTTCCCTGTAGCAGGCTTGGGAGCGGGGCGCCACCTTCCTGGGCCCTGGACGTGGCCGACGCGTTCTCAGTGTCCGTGAGGCCGGGGCAGGAGTGGCGGGGGTCGCCCCGAAGTGGGTGGGAATGAGCGGCCCGAGGTCCTGAAGTCGGGGTCCGCCCCGTCTCCCCGCTGCCAGCCCGATTTCCTCGGAAGCCGCGACCCCCCACGCTGGGCTGGCAGTTCTGGGCTCTGCCGGCTGCGCCTTGCCGGGACTCCCACGGGCGGGCTCCGGGCCTCCGTCCTGATCCCTTGGAGCGGTTCGACGAAGCAAGTTCCGCGGCGGGCGCGCGGGGCACTGTGGGTAGCGCCGGGGCTCACCAGGCGGAGGCGGGGCCCGGCGTCAAGCTCCGCCTCCGCGCCCCATTGGCTGGCATCACCTCCGCGCGCCTGACTGACAGCGCGCATAGGGGCGGGGCGCCGCCACCGCTTCCGCCGGGCCATGGGGCCGCGCGTGCTGCAGCCGCCGCTGCTGCTGCTCCTGCTGGCGCTGCTGCTGGCGGCGCTGCCGTGCGGTGCCGAAGAGGCCTCGCCGCTGCGCCCCGCGCAGGTCACGTTGTCGCCGCCGCCGGCCGTGACGAACGGGAGCCAGCCGGGCGCGCCACACAACAGCACGCACACGCGTCCGCCGGGGGCGTCGGGCTCGGCGCTGACGCGCTCCTTCTACGTGATCCTGGGCTTCTGCGGCCTGACCGCGCTCTACTTCCTGATCCGGGCGTTTAGGTGCGTCAGGCGCACGTGGGCGCCGTCTCTCAGCCTTGGCCAATTAGCGCGCGCCTAGTGCGTCACGTGCCGGGCCGCGGGGTCCTCCCCTCCCTCCCTCCCTCCCTCCCTCTCTCCCTGTTGGAGTGGGCGTGGGCGGTGCTGTGCGGGGTCGTCACGTGGTGTGGGCGGTGCAGGGGCCACGGGACTCACCCGCTCTCCAGCCTGCGCCTGGGGTTGGAGGTGCCCAGCGCGCCGCCTCTTAACTCGGGGGTGACGCTGCCCGTTTCCCAGGTGGGGCCACTGAAGCCGGAGCATGCCGGGCAGGGGTCAGGCCCTGGCGGGGCGAGGGGGCCTCCTTGGCTCCTTGTCGCCGGATGCCCGTCCTCGTTCTCATCTTCCCGCCTGCCGCCAGGCCTTTCCGTGGGGTCCCGATATTTTCCTTTCTGCTTCTACCCACTGAAGCTGGTTCGTCGCCAGGGTCGGCCACGTGCCCGCCTTGGGTGCTCCCACAGCCCGGGAGGTGCAGCTGCGTCCCCAGACCCTCGCGGGGGTCTCCAGCTGTAGGCAGCCCCTGGGCAGGAGGGGCTTCTGCGTGTTCAGGCCACCCCGGCTTCCCTGGCCTGTGGCTCCAGTCTCCTCTGGGCTCCTGACTACCCAGTGTGGCTGCTTCTCCCGGGTGGGAGAGACACAGCGAGGACCTTATCCCTCCCCATCACCACCCTGGCAAAGTCAAGCCGCTTTTTATTTTTTATAAGTTTTTATTGTAGCGATGGGGTCTCGCCATGTTACCCGCGCTGGTCTGAACTCCTGGGCTCAAGTGATCCTTTTTCGTTGGCCTCCCAAAGTGCTGGCATTATAGATGTGAGCACCTGCACTCCGCCATGCTGCTTTTTATGGGCCCTGTGCAGAGCCTCCCCTGTGCTCCACACCTCTTCCTGTGGAAGCACCTGCTGCGCGCTCTCCCCTGCCTGTATGCCGCGCCCTCCCTGCCTCCCGGGCTGCTGGGGCCACCAGGGGCTTGGCCCTGAGACAGGCTTCCATTCTGTTGTCTTTGGCAAAGTCTCACCCCTGTGTGAGCCTCAGTCTTTTCATCAGTGCAATGGGAGTGACATCAGCGTGCCTCTCCTGGGGTCCTGGCGCAGGGGAGATGGGAGGGCCTGGTAGGGCACATGTCTTCTTACTGTCATCGCCATGGGAGTGAATGGTAATCACTTGGCGATTAGGACATGAAAGAAGCAGGCACAGCAAAACCAGGGAGGTCTGCAGCAGGGCTCGGGGCTCCAGTAGAGGACGGCAATGAGAGTCCTGAGGGAAGGAGGAGGCAGGGTTGGCGGGGAGGGGCCACTGACTATGCCTGGACCTACTTCCAGGTTGAAGAAGCCTCAGCGGAGGCGATACGGCCTCCTCGCCAACACTGAGGACCCCACGGAGATGGCCTCGCTGGACAGCGACGAGGAGACGGTGTTTGAGTCCCGGAATCTGAGATGGTGTGCACCCTTCCCCAGCTCTGGGGCCTCGGTGGGCAGGCTGGGCTGGAGACTCAGCAGGACCCTGGGGACTTGGCCAAGCCATGGAGTGGTCCCTGCAATCACAGCTGACAGCGGTAGTCAGGCCATGGCCCCACTGGGCAGGGCTCATCCCTTCTCCCAGCCTCCATTTACAACTTTTTTTTTTTAAACTTAAATGTTTGTCATTTATTTATTTTTGAGGTGGAGTGGCGCGATCCCAACTCACTGCAACCTCCGCCTCCGGGATTGAGGCGATTTTCCTGCCACAGCCTCCCGAGTAGCTGGGATTACAGGCACCCGCCACCACGCCTCGCTAATTTTTTGTATTTAGTAGATAGAGATGGGGTTTCACCATGTTGGCCAGGCTGGGTTCCAGCTCCTTACCTCAGGTGATCCATCTGCCTGGGCTTCCCAAAGAGCTGGGATTACAGGTGTGAGCCACCGCACCTGACCTAAGTTTTGTTTTGTTTTGAGATGGAGTTTCGCTCTTGTTGCCCAGGCTGGAGTGCAATGGCACGATCTCTGCTCACTGCAACCTCCACCTCCCAGGTTCAAGCATTTCTCCCATCGCAGCCTCCTGAGTAGCTGGGATTAAAGGTGCTCACCACTACACCCGGCTAATTTTTGTAGTTTTAGTAGAGACAGGGTTTCACCATGTTGGCCAGGCTGGCCTCGAACTCCTGACCTCAGGTGATCTGCCCGCTTCGGCCTCCCAAAGTGCTGGGATTACAGGTGTGAGCCACCGTGGTCAGCCTTCTTGCTTTTTTAAGGCAGGAAAGCGGCTGCAGGGCTTAGGGTAGTGGTTGCTCCATCTGGGCCCCTCCCTGAGGGATGAGGTCTAAGTCAGGTGGAGAACTGACTGCAGGATGCTTCTGAGCGGGCGGGGTCAGGGAGGGCCTCTCCCTGGTGTAATGGGGCTGGCTTCTGGAAGAGTGTCTCAGGCCGAGGGAACAGCAGGGAGCGGCCGGGCTGCGCAGATGCCGGGCGGGACTGGGGTAGGCCTGGGCATCGAGGCAGCTGTCAGGGGTTAGCAGGGTTCTGGGCAGGGAATGATGGGTATGTTGCGCTGCAGTGTGGCTGCTGGGGGGACCTTGGCCTGTTGGGGGGTGGCAGGCATGGAGGCTGGGAGACCAGGAGACTGGGCGGCCTCTGGGGACAGCTCTGACTTTTTGAGCCCCCAGGGAGGGAGGCACTGGGATCCCTCCGCATGCTCTGACTCCATTCTGGGAACCCCTCCCAGGTTTCTTCTACCTCCTGGCTGGGGGCCCCTTCCCCCGGAGTGGGCAGTTGCACAGGGCCCAGGAGGCCGGGGAGGGAGGCCAGTGGGGGGAGGCTGGGCCCTGGTAGACCGAGGGGCCTGGACAGGCTGCCTGCCCCTGCCTGACCTGGGTGAGCCTCTGCCCGGCAGGGCGGGCCCTTCACTCCTTCCCTCTCACCCTTGACCCCCTGCTTTCAGATGCTGAGCCAGGGAGGCGGCCCTTCCAGCAGCCATGAGGGAAGGACAGGAGATGGGGCCCACCCCAGTGCCCAGCAACCCCCTGCTCCACCGCTCATTCCCCTGCTGGCCCCGGGGCTGGTCTCACCCAGTGCCAACCCGAGAGCTCCTTTTGGAACCTGCACAGCCCGCCGACCTGTTGCCACCTGCACCCACCGCTGGACCATGCAGCCTCGCCTCCTGGATGCTGTCCCAGCCTGGCCGAGGGTCCCAGGTGAAGACTGGAGGGACCCCAACAGCCACCGCCCAGGACGCTGAGGCTCCCTTGCCTGACTGTGACTTGTGCCTCTCTCCTGCCCCCGTGGGGACATGGCAGCCCAGAGCCAAGGCTGGGTGGGCAGGTGACCCAAGGAACCTTTCTGGGAACACCTTCTCGCCGGGCTGGGAACAATAAATGCAGCCATGTCTCTGCAGCTGGTGCTGACCCCATGCCACCTCTAGACCCGTGCGTACTGGTGCAGCCAGTGTGGGGGTGGGTGGCGGAGCAGGGCTCAAGCCAGCCTCGGTTCCCCATCTGCGACCATGCTTGGGTTCTCCAGCCTTGCTCCCAAGTAAGGAACCCATCTTCAGCTGCCTGGGATGAGGCCCTGCCTGTCAGCATCTCTCTTCCTAGAGAGAACTCCTATTCATCCGTCAAAGCCCCTGCCCCAGGGCCCCCTCTATGCCATCCCTTCAGCCTGGGTCTCATGGGCCCTGCCCTGGAGGATCCCCACATCACCCTCATGAATACCTCTGGCAATGATTCCAGGGAGCCCCAGAGCTCTGCTGCAGGAGGCTGGAGTTCCGTGCGGCCTGGGTCCCCATGCCGGACACTCCTCCCCCATCTGCCTCCTGTGGGACTTGGAGCCTGAGACCCCATCCCAGGCAAGGTGCTTAATCAGCTTCCCTGGGGCCTTGTTCTTCCTGCAGGGGCCTGTGTCTGGGCGGAGTCCAGCCCTGGCCTGTCATCCTGTCCCCCATGAGGTTAGCCTTGGAGAGACCATGGTGCGTGGGTACCCATGGCCTGAGGTCCCCCACAGGCAACCTGTCTGGAGCTGCCACTGCCCTGTCACGAGGAGGAGCTGCCACCAGGTGGCAGCCTTGAGCCGCCCAGTCCTCTGGCTGTCTCCTTGGTCCTAACCCTTCATGTGGGAAAGCAAGTCCAGCACAGCCCATTTGTCACTCCACTTCCTGAACCCACCGTGTCCTCACATCCACTGGGGGATGGGCAGTCCCCCAGGTTTGCATCTCACATACCTGCCGACCCTCCCTGTCTGCCGCCAGGGTTGGGAGGGGCTGTCTCCACTGGGGGCCAGGCTATCGCCCCTTCAGACCAGGGTCCCCTGTCCTGGTACTATCTGTTCCCTTGGGCATGTCCGTCTGACCAGGCCTGCCAAGACTCTGCTTACGTTTCTCCTTCCCCTTCCAGTGCCCTGGGTCCTTCTCTGCCCCAGCCTCAGCTGCCGCCTCCAGGAAGTCCTCCCTGATTGCCCACCCCAGCCTGTTCTTTAGGGGAATCCTGCAGGGAAGGTTGGGGAAGCAACCCTTAAAGTGAGGGCAGAGCCCGAGGGAGGCCCCTGAGACTGCAGGTGGGGAGGGCAGCTTGGCTCAGCCTGGCTGTGTGTGGGACTGGGGACAAGCAAGTCACACCTATGACTCGGGCTCTGCTGTTCCCCATCTGTCTGGCCGTTGCGTCTGTCTCCAAACTCCCGTTTGCATCTCTCCATCTGCCTCCTTCACTTTGTCTCTGTCCGTCTCTGTCTCCATGTCTGACCCTTTGGGACACACTTTTAACAGGCACGGAGACACCAGCCCCGGCCCCCAACCCTGTGATCTGTGCCCCCCGTCCCACAGCTCTGAGCGCTTTCACCAGCTTCAAAAGGCACATTAATTACTCTAATGAGGTCAGGAGAGACCCACGCTCTGCCATCCGGAGTCGGAACATGCCGCAGCCCCCAGCCCAGCCGCCGCCGCCCCCCGCTCGAGCAGGGAGAGGGGCTCTGCTGCCTCCGTCCCCTCTGCCTGTCGGGGCCCGTGCTGCACCCCACGTTGCTGCAGAGTAATTGGCAGCCCCCCAAGGTTAATGCACTGTTAGCCAGGGGTTCTCCTGGGCTCAGAGCCGGAGAGGGGCCTGTCAGCGAGAAATGAAAGGCCCCAGGTCCCGGCTGGTGCTCGGCTTGTGAGCGTGTGTGTGCCCGTGGGAGTGCGTGTGTGTGCGGGTGCCTGGGAGCTTGCGGGGGCGGGCAGTGGCTTCCTCCACCTCTCCCACGCAGACACGCAGACACGCAGGCACCCACAAAATACAGTCTCATAGACACACGGTAAGCAACTCGGACAGTTCCATGGATGGGACGCCCGCAGCCCCGTGGGACACGCGATCACACACATGGGTGTGACCTGCTCAGCTCCTAACCCCACGCCGGGGAGTGTCTCAGACCCATGCCCCCCACCCTTGCCCCTCGGTGTGCCCACTGGACAAGCAGCATATCAGGTCTGTGCCTCTGGGTGGGGGGGGGTGGGGGTCTCTGCTTCAGCAGCGGGCCCCGCCCAGGCTGGAGTCCAGTGGACTCACTGCGGGGCTTCTCCGCTTGTGAAATAGGGGCGGGTGGGCGCTGGGGACGTGGCCTCAAAGGCGGGATGCGTTGGGTTCCTTGCGGCGCCGGCTTGTGCCCACAGCTTGGGGCCGACATTCATCCTGGGGAGATAGAGACAGGGCTCCTCTGCCGCCCTGGTGCCGGGGTGCCCCAGGGATGTGGCCCCATGTGCCAAATCACAGTCACTCGGGTTGGCAGGCGACGGAGGGCTCTCTGCCTCTTCTGGGGGTGCTGAGACCCCTGTACCCTCGACTCCCCACCTCCAGGGATCTCACCCCCAGGTGCCCATCTCCTCTGTGGGGGGCCTGAGCCACCACTGACCCCACATTAAGGCCACTGACGTCCCCGTCCTAGGCCAGCCAGCCCCTGAGAAGCACCCAGTGCTTTGCTGTGGGACACAAAGCCACACATGGCTATTCACGTTATTTCATTAAGTTACATAAAACTGGAGGTCCAGGGCCTCAGTCACCATGGGGAGAGGTCCTCAGTCGCCATGGGGAGAGGTCCGGGTCCTCAGTCGCCGTGGGGAGAGGTCTGGGGCCTCAGTCACTGTGGTGGACAGCGATTGGTGGGGGCAGGGACATTTCCTTTGTCTTGGAAAGTTCTGGACGCTGGTGGTGTCTGGACACTGGAGAACGGGTCTGTGTTCAGGCCCCAGACCTGAAGGTGGGATGAGGGAGAGAGGAAGGAGGAGGAAGGGGAGGAGGGAGGGGACAGAGTGGGAAGGAGAAGGATGTGAATGGAGAGGAAGGATGGGAGGAGGAAGGAAGGAAGGAGGGAAGGGGAGGAGGAGGAAGGAGAGGAGGGTGCAGAGGATGGGGGAAGGAGGGGGGAGGAGGGTGTGAAGGGGAAGGAGGGAGGAGGGAGCGGAGGACTGAGAAGGGGAGGAAGGTGTAAAAGGAGAGGGAGAGAGGAAGGAAGGGAGGGGGTATTAAGGGGGAAGAGAGTGGGAAGGGGGAGGAGGGAGGGGAGGGTAGTATGAAGGGGGAAGGAAGGAGGGAGGGGAGAAGGGTGGGAAGGGGAGGAAGGAGAGAGGGAGGGAGGGGAAGGTGTGAAGGGAAGGAGGGAGGGGAGGTGGGAGGGAAGTAGGGAGGGGGAGGGAGGGGAAAGGTGTGAAGGGAAGGAGGGAGGGGAGGAGGGAGGGAGGAGGGTGTGAAGGGAGGAGGGGGAGGAGGGTGGGAGGGGAGGAGGGAGGGAGGAGGGTGTGAAGGTGTGAAGGGAGGAGGGAGGGAGGGGAGGAGGGAGGGAGGAGGGTGTGAAGGGAGGAGGGAGGGAGGAGGGTGTGAAGGGAGGAGGGAGGGAGGGGAGGAGGGAGGGAGGAGAGTGTGAAGAGAGGAGAATGGGAAGGATGGGAGCTGGGGAGGAGGGAGGAGGGTGAGCTGGGAATGGGGCTGTGTGCCTGCTCTTTTCCACCACTGGCTGCAGGGGTTGCAGGAATCTTGGGTCCATGGCTGGATGGGGGTGGGGATTTTCATGTTACCCACTGGAGAAAGGGATACATTTTTATTTTCAAGGACAGCGACCCAGCCCAGGGGAAACGCCCCTGGCCCCTGGGGCTAAGCGCAGACCCCAGCTCCGTGCTTCGCAGGTGGGGGGCGATGGACAGCGGTGGGGCTCCCGCCCTGAGTGGAGCCTGTGACCTGCCCGGGCCCCAGCGCCCCGTGACCCCTGCCGCCTGATCCTTGCCTGGCTGAGATGGGGCTTCTGAAGGCTGCCGGCACCAGGGCAGGCAGCGCATTGGGTCCAATTTATTCTGTAATGAGAAATTCTCCCCGCATATTTTTAGCTTCCTCCTGGCGTCGCGGCCTTTGAAGGCTGAGGGGCTGCGGGACGCTGATCCCAAGCCCTGTGGCCTGGCCATGTGGGCAGTGGGTGCTGGGCACGGGCTGGACAAGTCCCTTCCTGAGTCTGGGTAGACCCCAGTCCCAGCAGTGCAGAGCAGGGGGCGGGGCCAGACCCCATCAAGCCCTGTACTGGCTCCAGACCAGGGACTGAGGGCGACCCTGGATAACCCCTGACCTTGGCGGACACCTGTTCCCAGAGTGAGCCTGATTTCTGACCCTTGGCTCCACAGGAAGCTTACTCTAGAGTGACCTCCGGCCGCGGCTGCGTCCCAAAGCCGGGACAGCTCCCAGCCCCAGGAGGGAACAGGGCTTCTTGGACCCCCACAGTGGCCCCCCTGCCAGGCAGGGGTTTGCCGGGGCAGCCTCGCCCAGGGCCAGGCCTCGGAGACGCCCTGCCCTCCCCTCCCTTCCCCAGGTCCTTCCTCTAGGAGCGGCCAGCGGGCGCGGGGAGGTTGAATGGGGGACGCACCGCCTTTGTTCCCGTCCCTGCTTGGGCTCTGACCTTGAGAGAGACAAGAACAGAAGGAAAACGGAGCTTCTGCTCAAATCCGTTCAGCGGTGGCGGTGGTGGCGGCTCTCGCCTCGGTGGCCCCTGCATGCAAATGAGTGGCCCTGCCATGCCTGGGTGGAGGTGGTGCCCTTCCAGCTCCCACCTGTGCAGGTCCCAGTCCTGGTTTGAGAAGAGACCCCCTCCTCCCGACCCTGGCCCACCCCTCCTCACCCACGAGATCCCTTGAAGCAGGAGGGGGCTTCTGGTCCCAGGGTAGAAGGAAGCTTCCAGAACTCCCACCTTTGCCAGGTGGCATGCTGGGGCCGGGCACGCCAAGACCCCAGGCTCACGGCCCCTTGTCCTGTGCTTGGGTGCAGCCGCCACACTCTGCTCCGAAAGTGCTCACCTCCGGGAGTGGCCGTCCCCCTCCCTAAAAGAGCCCCCCACCAGACGGAGCCGCCCGGGAAGCTTCTCCAGCCTGTCTGGGCTACAGAGCCTTGTGTGGCTAGAACCCAAGGCCCTCACTCCAGGGGTGCTGAGAGAGCCTGTCCAGAGGGCCTGCCTCAGCCACCACCTGGGACAGGTTCACGCCCTCCACTGAAGAGACACCCGGCCAGCCCTGGGCCTTCGACCTGGGACGTCTGTAGTGGGGTCAGGGGATGAGACCTGGAGCTCAGAACAGACGGGCTGAGCTCCCTGGAGGAGAGAGAACTGAGAACCTTGTCCTGGCAGGGACGCTAGAGCACTGGGTGGGACAGACCTTTCTGGAAGAGCAAGATTTTAACAGGAAGAAAAAGTGGAAGGACTTCCCAGCAGGACCCAGCCTGAACAAAGGTCAGGTGGTGTGGCCCGCGTGGCCCGCTGGGGAATCGGGGGAGGAGGGCACGCAGGAGACACAGGACAGAGCCCACCACGTCTCAGAGCTGTGGGACGGTGGTGGGTCCGGTCCCCACCCCACCTTGCTGGGGCACAGGTTAGCTTGCCCATCTCTGGGTTCACGGTCCCTGCCAGGAGTTTGGGTAATGCCTCACACAGGGACCTTCGGGTCCAAGGGCTGTTGGTGCTTGCCCTGCAGTTCCCTCTCCTGCACTGGGCCTGGTGAATGACACTAATTCAGAGACGTACAACACGATCTGGGCATCGCCAGCAAAGTCCAGCCAGCGTTTGATGACAGCCTACCCTCCACAAGCTCAGAGTCTGGTGAGGGAGGCTGTGGCATGAATAAGGGCAAAAACAGAGGGCAGGCCAGGTGCAGTGGCTCACGCCTGTAATCCTAGCACTTTGGGAAGCCCAGGTGGGAAGATCGCCTGAGCCCAGGAGTTCAAGACCAGCGTGGCCAACATGGCCAGACACTGTCTCTATAGATTGGAAAAAAGACAAAGCAGAGGCCAGGCCCCCAGTTCCCCACCTGTGTCAGCCTACCAGGAGGAGAAATCACTCGGCGTTCCCTGAACAGATCAGACCCCGGGTCTTTGCACAAGCTGTGCCCCCGGGCAGCGGCCCTCCCCTGCCTGCAGGATTCGTGCGTGGAGACTGATTTGCTGTCGGCCGGGGCTTCACTCTGGGCTTCTTGGATCCCATCCCCAGCTGCTCACACTCCACATCGGTCCACCTACTATGCTCCCGGCACCCTTAGGGCTGAGGTGTAGGGACTTACTCCATCCCCAGGGAACAGCGTGGGTCCGGAGAGGCGACTCCCAGGAGGGCCCCAGGGAGGTCGCAGCCCGAGCAGCTTTGGACTTTGGCCAGCGCCCCTCTGAAACTCTGCCCCGGCCCCCGCAGGGAGACTGGAGTTGGCCGAGCCCGATTTGGGACGCGTGCGTCGGGGTTGGTGAGGCTGCGGATAGCGCTGGAACCGGGCAGGTGAGAGGCCCGGGACCCAGGGCCGGGCCGGGTGGAGCGCGTGGGGGCGCGGGAGGCAGGGTGCGCCCCCGCCCCTCGGAGACCCCAGGCCGGGCCACGCGGATGCCGGCGGGGGGCGCGCAGAATCGGGGTCGCTGGGGGCAGGCCCCGGGGGACGAGCCTGAGACGGGGTGGGCCGGGGCAGGGGGCGGGCGCAGGCTGGAGACCCCCGCCCAGTCCCCGCGCGGCCGGGGCACGGCGGGAGGGGGCGCCCGCGGCCCTCCCGACGCTCGGGCGGGACAAAGGCCGGAGCCCGGGCCCCTCCCCGGCGGGTGCGGCGGCGGCGGCCCGCGCTCCGACAGTCCGCGCGGCCGGGTCCTGCGCCCGGGGCGACCCCGGCGCCCCGCCCCGCCGCCGCCTGACTTCTCGGCGCCCGAGGTCGCGCGCGCGGAGGCGGGGGCGGCCCGGGATCTCCAAGCGCCGCCGCGCCCTCCTCCCGCCCGCCCTCCGCCCGCCCGCTCGGCGGCGGCGGCGGCGGCGGAGGAGGCGGAGAAGGCTGGCAGGCGGCGGCCGGGAGAGCGAGCGCGGCGGCCGGACCGGGGCCATGGCGCCCGCGCAGCGCCCGCTGCTCCCGCTGCTGCTCCTGCTGTTACCGCTGCCGCCGCCGCCCTTCGCGCGCGCCGAGGACGCCGCCCGCGCCAACTCGGACCGCTACGCCGTCTACTGGAACCGCAGCAACCCCAGGTGAGCGCGGCCGCGCGCGGGGGGCGCCCGGGGACCCCCCAACGCCCCCCAAGCCGCGCCCGGCCTCGCGCCCCCGGAGCTCCGGGCGCCCCCCACGCGCGCGCCGCCGCCGGGATGCGGGCGCCCGGTTCCCGCGGGAGCCCCCCAGGGAGCTCCGGCCCCCCGGAGTTTGGGGGACTCGCCCTTTTCGCGCCTGCCTTCCCCGGGGCGCCCCATTGCCCTACGGACTGTGGGGACTCGCGCCCCACATCCCCCAGAGCGCCGACGTCTCCTGGAGTTTGGGGAACCCCTCTGGTACCCTCCGATGCCGGGTAGCCCCTGAGTTGCCTGCCTGGACTTGGGGGGACCCCTGATCCACCCGCTTCTCTGGGGAGCCCCCTCGGTTTCGCATTTGGTGGGGATCCCCGGGGACCTTGGCACCGGAGGTGGGGGACTGTGGCCCTCGAGGGATCTCTGGGTTCGTCCTGCCCGCAGGTCCCCAGATGAACTTGGGGAAGTTGGAGTGTCCCTCCCTCAGGACCCAGCATCTGCTTCACTCCAGGGGGCCAAGGGCCCAGCTTTGAAAGGAGACTGAGGGGCCGGGGAGCTGGGGGTCAGCCCCGGGAGGGGCAGTGGGATGGAGTCCTCTCTTGTCCTCTGGGCGCTGACCAGGAAACTGAGGTGCAGAGGGGATGAGGAGCTGGCTCAAGGTCATGCAAGGGGGGGACTTGGGGGCAGGACCCAGGTGGCCCAGTGCCCTGCCTGCCACGCCCGGCCGAGATGCCGCACCCGCCTGCTGCAGGCCCCCTTGTTTTGAACCAGGTCCGGGCCAGGCACAACGTGGGGGACAGGAGAAGCCCCCGTTGGTCAGAGCAAAAAAAGTTTGCCGGGGCCTGGCCATGGCCTGGACGTGGGTAGAACCCTCTGAACCATCCCAGGGTCTCCAAGACAGGAGCAGGCTGCAGCTTCCCTGGGGGTCCCGTGGGAGCCGGGGCTTTGGGGGTCCTGGGGCTCGGGAGGGAGTCAGCCCCAGCACTCAGGGTGTCACCGTCTTCCTAAGGCACACGGAGCTGCACATCGGGGGCTGAGGCGGCCCCCCCCCACTCTTCTGCTACTGGTCACTTTCTCTCCGTTTTCCAGCCGCTTCCTGTGCCGACCGAGCCGCCCTCTGGAGCCCGCCACCCCTCCTTGTCCCCTCTGTCTCCTGCTGTCCTCGGTCCCCGGGAGGAAAGTTGCATGAAGGGGTCTCTTTGAGGCGGGCTCGGGGACAAGGGCGGCCCGTGTTCCGCCGTGGGGGTGGGGAACACGCACAGGCCCACCCCCCACCCTGGTCAACGGCCTCGGGTCGGGCCCTGGGGGCTGAGGGCAGGGACCCCGGGCCGCTGGGGGACGGCTGGCCCACCTCAGAGCGGGTCCCCGAGCCGCCCGCTGTGCTGGTCACATGTGGGTTTGATTAAGGCTGTCGCTGGCCGTGCGGGGAGTCCAGCGGGCAGCGCTTCCCCGGCCCAAGTTTTTGGTTTCAGCTGCGGAATCTCCCGTCCCCAGCGTGGCCTGTCCTTTGTTCTAGCAAACGCCAAACACACGAGGACCCGGCAACCGGGGGAGGAAGGTGGTCACCAGGGCCGTCCTGCTGCCCCACCTGCCACAGGGCTGTGGGCTGCGGGCCGGACCCCCGGCCAGGGGAAGGAAGTGGCCTCCCCAGTGCCTGGCTTGGCCCAGCCACCTCCTGTTGCTCCGGGTCTGACCTGGTTGCCCAGCTCAAACCGCTGCCTGAGGGAACGGCCTTGCTGGTCCGCAGAGCCGACCTGGGCAGCACCGAGGCTGCCTCCTCCTTCCTCTCCTGCCTGCGGTATCCAGGGTTGCTGGGGACGGAGCCGACACCCTGCAGTGGGGCCCAGGGCTGGGTGAGCACCTTCCCGGGAAGCCGGGATCCAGCCAGAATCAGGGCTTTGTCGCGGACATCAGGGGTCTCTGCAGTTCTCAGATTTGGTGTCCAGGGGCACCTGCCCGGGACCTGTGCCTGAGTGGCGGGGGTGTCAGGCACAGCAGGGGGTGGTGCTGGGCCTCCGTATCCAAGGGGACCCTGTGGAGGGGACATCGGCTTGGGGAGAGGAGTGGCGTCAGCCGGCAGGCCTAAGGTGTGAGGCTGGGCTGGCCGGGGAGGGATGATGGGGTCGGGCAGGTGTGTGGGGGATGCGGGGACCCCAAGTCTTTGAGAGGGGCATACAGAAAGGCACTGGAGACGGGGACAGCCGCGATGGGGGGCAGACAGCAGCGTGGGCACCAGGGGACCGTGTGCTCGATGGGGCCTGCAGGCCCGGGCAGTGCCGCAGCGTCGCCGGCCGCCCCTTCCGCCCATTGGCCTGGCACCTGTGCCCAGGCGATGACTGTGTGGTCTGTCTCCACATCACACCCTCTCTGCTGTGAGAGGCGATGCCTGCACCCAGGGGACCCCGCACCCACCTCCTTGGGCCGCTATAAGGTGGGGCCCCGTTGGGTGGTCTGGCTGGCCGGCCCCGCCACTCCCACCGGTGACTGCACAGCGTCCGTCCAACCCACTCCCCAACCTGGGCTGGGTACCCCTGAGCTGGCCGCCAGGAGTCTCTGGGCCTGTTCCCAGCCGACCCGCATCGGGCTGGGGCGTCCAGGGCTTGGACCTGGCCGGCTGCCCTCACCTGTCCTGTTGGACCTGGCCGGCTGCCCTCACCTGTCCTGGCCACAACACCGCGTGTGCATTCCCACGGCTGCTCATGTGTGTTTGCGTGCAGCGGTGGGGAAGGGTGGCGTGCAGGTGTGCCTGGAGTCGCATCCGGCTGCAGGTTACATGTGTCTGTGTGTGGCAGGAGGCTGCGTGAATCCACAGGGCACAGCTCTGGCGTGTTTGCACATGTGTCTGCGTGATTGCATATGAGGTGCATGTGTGTGCATGAGTGTGTCTGTGCGTGGCACCCGCGTTTGCATGTGCGTGCCCTTGCACGGGATGTCTGCAGTGTCCGAGGTCCCTGTGCGTGTCTGCCTGTGGCATGCATGCGTTTTGTCTGTGCGTGGAGTGCAGGTGTGTGTGCGTGTCTGCGTGTGGGGTGCATGTAAGTGTGTCTCCCTGGGGGCAGTGCTGGCTGGCTGAGGGCCTGCAATGTGGGGGCAGTGGTGGCCCCAGCACGGTCCACAATGGCAACCCCGCTGTTGGCCCTCCCTCTCCTCCTCCCCTGGGGACGGGACCAGGGCCCGTGTGCAGACGGCCATCAAGCCTCAGAGCAGGGTGGACGCAGGGGCCTGTGGTCCCCGGGAGTCCCCACCTTCTGATTGGAAATCTGCAGCCTTGGGGGCACTGGGTGGGCGCTTGCCCACACTGGGCATCTCTGGGCTTCGGCCACCCTCCCGGGGTTCCCCACGGACCCAGTGGCCCTCGGGTGTGGGCAGCAGCCGGGTTCCCCTCAAACACTGGATGGAAAATGGTGACCTATGCAAGGGCTCACTCCCCGAGGGAGGAGCCGTCCCCCAGCAGAGGGCAGAGGTGAACGGGGTGTCTCGCTCCCCGTGGCTCCGCTGGCGTCCCTCGGCCTCTCGGGGAGCCGGCTTTGAAGGGGGTGATGCCGTGTTCTGCTGCATAAGGGTTTTTTGTTTTGTTTGAGAGAAGCTGGTCCACTCGGCATTGGGGGCGCTAGGAGAGCCGGGCGGTGGGCCTGGGGGATTCGGGGCCTGAGGGTGGGGTCCTGGAGGCCGTGGGGTACCTGGACTCAGACTCGGGAGTCTGGGAGACCTGGGCATGACGTCAGGCAGGTGGCTTAGCAGCCTGGAACCCCCAGGCCTGCTCTGCGAAGTGGGGGTGACGGAGCCCTGCGGTGGGTGCGGCTCGGCCGATAGGGCCTGGTGTGGATGGGCAAAGGCCTGAGGGTGGTCCCAGGGGTTAGTGTCCCCTCCCCAGAAGGGAAACCGAGGCAGCTCCTGTGGTGGGGAGGATGCTTCTGCCGAGGCACCATGGTCTCTGTGTCTCACGGTCTCTTTGGGTCTCTGTCTTCCCCATCTCTGGGCATCCTGGGGTGCCATGGGTGGCCCAGGCCTTCCGCCTCCACTGCAGGCCTCCCTGGGCGGCCTCAGTTTGCAGAGAAGGGAACAGAGGTTCCGTGGCGGGGGGCCGTGAACGCAGTGGGATTTGACCTTCCCCCGTCTCTGGGCTGACGTCTCCGCAGGTCTGCAGGGGACTGGCCCTACGTGGGTCCCTCGGGGTCACGGCGGAGGCAGTGGGTTGTGCATTCATGGGGGTCCGGGTGGTAGCGTTTCTGTGGAGCCGGTGGTCTCCTTGTCATCCATGAGGGTCCTGCCCCGGTGGCCGTGTGTTCCCCGGGACACGGCTTCTCTCCTCCCCAGGAACCGGGATGCAGCCAGGCCTTGCCCCTCAGTCCTGTGTGTGGGACCAGCCTCTCCTGCAGATGGGTCCTCAGGGAGAGCTGGGCTTTGTACCTTGCTGGGGGAAGGGCTGAGCTGCTCCCGTCCCTGTGCCCACCGTCCCGTCGCCCCAGACACGCGGCTGGAGCCTGCGGAGGAGCAGACGAGCCGGCGGGGTTTTTGCTTTAACCTCAAGCAGGCGTTTGAACTCTGTGGCCGAGTCGGTCCTGGTGGGGGGCTCGTGCCACACCTGCTCCCAGACCAGGCTGGTGTGGGGTCTGGCCGAGAGACTCAGCGGCGTGTCCCCCCAGCTCTGTGCGCCCCTTGTCCACCTGCCCTGTGGGTCAGGGGCCCCCAATTCAGGGACAGAGCAGCCGAGGCCCTGAAAGACGGTGACTCACCCAAGGCCACCCGGAAGTTGGGCAGAGTCCAGGGTGTCCCACCTGGGGCCGGCCCGGGGGAAGCCAGGGACAGCCCTGGGAGGGGCAGGAAGGTGGGTGGCCGACGGCAGCTGCACTCTGTACCAGGGCCACCCACGCCCACGGTGACGGAAGCCCAGGTGGGGCTGACCCTGCCCGGCCCATCTTTTTCCTATTTTGCTTCATTTCTAGGGCCCTGCCTCAGTTTACCCTCCTGCACCACAAGGCCATACTTGTCCTTTCTTGGGCAGACCTTGCACCATCCCGGGGACTGATTTCCCTTCAGGTCCCACCCAGGTCCTGAGCAGGAGGAAAAGCTCCAGTCCTCAGTCAGGGGGGACATCTCTTCCGTCCCTGGAAAAGCCAGGTGTGGGTGCTGTCACCCCAGCAGGTCTTGCTGGGGGTGGCAGGAGGGGACGGGCGGCCTCAGCCCCACGCTGGGCTTCAGGACCCGGGCTGCCTGCTCATCCGGCCAGCCTGGGCCTCCCCGGGAGCTTCTCCACCCTGGAAGAGAGATGCAGACGGGTGCAGGCGTCCACCTGCCCACCCACGGGGTCCTGGCTGCCGGCCACACCACTGCCTCAGTTTCCAGTCCTGGAAGGCAGCCCAGCCCACCCCCACCCCAGTTTTGGGTGAGATTCCTAATTAGTCGCTTAGCTATTAGCGTCTAATAACTTGACAATTGCCCGATTGGAGCTAATTAGCTCCAGGCCGCTTGCTGGAAGCTGGTGACAGCCAGGAGGCCCGGGTGGGCAGGAGGGGAGCCCTGCTGGGTGAGCCTCTGCCTGGGGCCTGGAGGGCTGCCTGGAGGCGTGGACTTTGGCACCCGCAGGTTGAGTGAGTGTGGGGGGAAGGTGTGGCCCGGCAGAGGGAACCCGGAGGAGTAAAAACTGCCACCGCTGCTCTGTCTGGGAAAAATCCCAAATCAGTCATTAACCCCTTAGTGAGAATTTCAGTCTCTCTGCCGCTCCGGGGAGGATTTGCATATCGAGGCTTCATCACTAATGGAGGAAGCGAAGGCTTTGTCTGCCTCTCCCCAGGTGCGGTTTTGGGGTGGGGGCCCCCTCCCCCCTGCAGGCGCCACCCTCAACAGGGGCAACGCGCCCACCTCGGGCTTGCCCGCCAACTTGGAACCGGGAATGCCAACACAGCAAGGCCGCTGCTATTTTAGAGACGCAAAGGGAAAAATACGGCCCCACTCCGGCAGGCAGAGCCGGGGGTGGGGGTTCCCCTGGGACCTGCCCTCCAACACACACACCTGTGGGCTGCTCCCCACAACTCTGGCATTGCAAAGTCCTCGCCTCTTGACCTTTTTAATTCACTCATTATTGAGCACCACTGTATGCAGGGCCTGTGTAGGGCCCTGGGGAGGGGACAGAGGAGGCCAACATCAGGATCCGGGATTCAGACAGCAAACCCTGTAAAGAGCAGATGTGATATGGGGCGGGGCACAGGGAACAGCACTGCAGGCAGTGGGAACAGCAGCTGCAGAGGCCCTTGGTGGGAACAGGGACAGCCGGGAGGCTGGTGTGGCTGGAAGGGAGGAGTCTTGGAGAGAGGAGGATGAGGAGGGCGCAGTGGATGGGCCACACAGGCCTGGAGGGGTGTGGATTTTATTCTGAGGATCAGGAATGGATGGAGGGCTCTGAGCCGCCGCCAACGTGTTACAGGGTCTGTTTTGCAGAAGAGCGAGGCTTGGGATATGGGGAGGCTGGGCCCCGGCAGACCCTCACCGCAGCCTGGAGGGGCCCGGGCACCTGGCCGCTCAGCCACACAGAAGCCTCGGTCTCTGACATTTTACCGAAGGCAGAACAGGAGGAGAGAACACAGTGGTGTCAGACGTGGGGGAAGGAGGCACCATTGGGGAACCAAGAGGCCAGAGGGGGACCTACAGGGCTGGTGCTGTGGGCACTTTCAGAGGCTGCTCTGTCTCAAGAAGTGTCCTGCTAGGAGCCAGGTTCTTTTTTTGGGTTGAATGTGGCTCCCTGGGGATCACTGCCGGGACAGGAGGGGAAACTGAGGCCAGAGGGCAGTGGGGAGCCCAGACGCCCCTGTGGTCCCTCCACGGAGGCCTCCCCTGCAGGGTGACCTGGGTGTGGGCAGTCCCAGGCGGGAGCTGGGCCTTGGCTACCATCGACCGCCTGATCAATGGGCTTTCACTTGGGCTGGGCAGGAACGAAAATGACTTTTCAAAAAGGCTGGAGCAGCTTCTGCATCGATCGTGCCCAAGGGGCCAGCGGGTCAATGAGATGCCTGTGCCCGGCCGGCCAATGGGGCAGCCTGAGGGGTGGGCTGAGGCCGAGCCCATCTCCATCTGAGCCTGTATGGGGGCTGCCCCCGTGTCTGTGCGGACGCACCCCGAGTGTCCAACAGCCGGGAGGACCATCCCCTTGCACGGAGGGGAAAGGGAGCCTCTGAGAGGAGGCCGGACCTCGAGACCCAAGGGTTCAAATCCAGACGCAAGCCCAGAACTGCAAGATTCCGAAGCCCCGGAAGGGCCCCTGCCCTCCAGGCCTGGTGCCCGGGGGAGATTTCCCTGCAACACGCCCTCCCATGTCCCCTGTGCTGGGCTCACAGGGGTGATGAAGGAGGCCTGGGAAGCTCTCTGTCCCTGGACGAATCCAACCAGGTAGGGAAGGGCTGGAGGGTGACTTCACCGCCTCCGCCGCCCTGCCTTGAAATTCTTTGCTCTGGAGATCTTCATGCCGGATCCCTAGTGGGGAAACTGAGGCGCAAGTGAGCACACCTGTCTGCCCCTTCTCACCCCTGGAGACCCAGGAACCCCCGGCCCCGCCTGGCGTGGCATCTCAGGGTGGCGGGGGGCCGGGCTGATGCCATCTGATAATCCCACCACCCTCTCTCTCGAGCTGCTGTGCCAATTAGTGCCCCCAGTGTGGGGCCTGCGGCGGGCTCACCCCTGCAGGCCGGGGTGGCGGTGGCTGTGCCGGGCTAGAGGCAGTGCCAGGGCCGGGATCGTAGCAGCCTGCACCCATGTGCTGCCAACACTGGTGGGGCCTCAGTTTCCCCTGCCTGTGCATGGAGGGAGGAGGCAGGAGCGGTGTGGGGGACCCCCCATTCCTCCCTGTTCAGGTCTTTTATGTGCTAATAAGCCCCTCTCAGGGCCCCCCTCGTGCCCCGCTTGGTCCAGGCCGCCGGTTACATGACAGGGGCCCTGGGGACCACAGCCGGGAGATCTAAGGGCTCCTGCCGCCATCGCCCGAGGCAGTGAGGGAAGGGGAGCCGCCGGTCCCTTCCTCGGCTGATCTCTATCCTCACAGACGAGGCTGGGTCAGGGGGCTCCCTGGAGGAAGGGGCCTGTGGGTTGCGTCTGGGGGACCTCAGGGCAAAGGCCTGGAGGCAGGGCTGGGGGCTGAGGTGTCAGGAGTGCAGGCACCCAAGAGGGAGACCAGGAGGCCGCCGGATTCCGGGGCTCGGGGCTCGGGAGGTTTCTGGGTTCCAGATGTGAGAGGGTGGTATGGGGCTCGCAGGGTCACACAGGAAGGCAGGGGTGGGGCTGGGAGTGGAGCCCAGGATGTCTCCGAGCTGGGCGGCAGGTGGAACTCGGCAGGCTGAGAGAGAGGGGGCGGTGGGCGGAACTCTGGGGGTGCTGAGAGGAGGGTGGAGGGATTCTTCACGCCAAGCTCCGTTCTCTTTGGGGAAACTGAGGCCAGGGTGGGGGCAGAGCTTGCCCCAGAGCGAGCTGGAATGCCCGACCTGTGTCCCCCACGCTGCCCCGGTCCTTCTCAACAGGTGGGAGTGCAGAATGAAAGCAGGGCTGGGGGCTGCCTGGAGGAGGCGGCACAGATGTTAAGCATGTTAGGTAGATGCGAAGTTTCTGGAGAGGGAATTCTTGTGGAGGGACAGCTCGTGCAGAGGCCCGGAGTCAGGAACCCCCCGCCGGCCCTTTGCACACAGGGGTCCAGATGTCACCCACCTGGACACCCACCTCGCTGCTGGCCCTGCCGTGGGGCTGTTGGGGACACTGAGGCAGGAGGTGGGGGGCAGTGCCAGGCAAGAGATCGTGGGCTCCCAACCTTGGAAGCCCGCCGTGATTGGGGTGTGCAACCCCACCTGCTGACCGCTATCACCATTCAGGGCCCAGGCGGAGTCCACCTTGTGAACTGACCCCTCCCCCATTCCCCGGCCTGACTTCCCCGTGCACCTGTCCCCTGACCCGTCCCTCCCCGCTCACCCTGTCCCGTGCCCTGTGCACCTGTCCCCGGAGCCATCTCTCCCCGCGCACACTGACCCGTGCCCCATGCACCTGTCCCCTGACCCTGTCCCCCCTGGCGCACCCTGACCCGTCCCCCGTGCTCCTGACCCCGGCCCTCGCCGCGCACCCCGACCCGTCCCTCGTGCTCCTGTCCCCTGACCCTGGCCCTCCCCGCGCACCCCGACCCGTGCCCCGTTCCTCGCTCCGGGCGCTGACCTCTGGCCGCCTTGTCCCCGCAGGTTCCACGCAGGCGCGGGGGACGACGGCGGGGGCTACACGGTGGAGGTGAGCATCAATGACTACCTGGACATCTACTGCCCGCACTATGGGGCGCCGCTGCCGCCGGCCGAGCGCATGGAGCACTACGTGCTGTACATGGTCAACGGCGAGGGCCACGCCTCCTGCGACCACCGCCAGCGCGGCTTCAAGCGCTGGGAGTGCAACCGGCCCGCGGCGCCCGGGGGGCCGCTCAAGTTCTCGGAGAAGTTCCAGCTCTTCACGCCCTTCTCCCTGGGCTTCGAGTTCCGGCCCGGCCACGAGTATTACTACATCTGTGAGTGGGGTCGGGCCGGGGCTGCCGGGGCCCGAGTGGGCGGGGACGCGGGGGCGGGGCCAGGAAGTGGGCGGGACCACTGGGGTGGGGCCGGGGAGTGGGCGGGGCAGCGCAGTGGGCGGGGCCGCGGTGTGGGGCCAGGGGGGAGTGGGCGGGGCCGCGGAATGGGGCCAGGGGGGAGTGGGCGGGGCCGCGGAGTGGGGCCAGGGCCGGTGCTGGCCACTGACCCACCCCGGTCACTGACCCCCTCCAGATGTCAAGTGCATGATGGACGTGCCATTCTCCCAACCATCCCGGGAGGCCAGGACTTTCCTCGTCCTTCGTTGCATATGGGGAAACTGAGGCTTGGAGGGGGACTGAGGCTGCACTATTGTGATCTCGGGCCTCCAGCTCAGACCACTTGGTGGTTGGGCCAGTAGACCTGGCTCAGCCCCCCGATAGCGAGACCAGGGTGCCCGAGCCCCAGCACACTGATGAGGGAAACTGAGGCATCCGGAGCCCAGCAGGGGAGGGGAGCTTGGTGGAAGCCACAGCTAGGCTGAGTGCTGGGGCTTACTCCTGCAATCCCAGCACTTTGGGATGCCGAGGCGGGAGGATCACTTGAGGCCAGCGTGGACAACGTAGGGAGACCTTCTCTCTACAAAAACATAAAAACAATTAGCCAGGTGTGGTGGCATGGGCCTGTGGTCCCAGCTGTGCAGGGGGCTGAGGTGGGAGGGCTGCTTGGAGTGCATGAGCTCTGGTCGCTCCACTGCACTCCAGCCTGGGTGGCAGAGCGAGACCCTGTCTTTAAAAGAAGAAAAAAACCCCACAGGGCCCCTGCCGCACCAGCCGCACCCAGACTGGGTAGGGGTCTCCAGGTCCTCCCTGCCCCGCACCCACCCCCGCATCTCCCCGGGACCCATGCCAGGCTCGGAGACTCCCTGAGGACCGTGGGGTCTTCATCTGAAGGTTGGGTGGCGGCAGCCTTGGGGATAGTCACATCTGCAGGACCCCATGGTGGGCCAGGCTGGGTGGGCCAGGCTGAGGGAGGCTGCCAGTCCCTGCTGCTTATCGGAGGTCCGAAGCTGGCCTTTTTGTCCCTACGAAAGGCCAACGGCAGGTGGGGAACACAGCAGCGCCAGCCGGAGTCCCAGTCCTGCTTGGCCATGATATCTGTGACCTTGGCGGGGGAATGAGGGGCCAGGCACTGCCCACCTGAGATGGGGATGATGGCATCACACTCGTGGCTTCCGCCGTGGCGCTGAGACTGAGGGATTCTCGTGGAGTGGGGACCCCGGCTTCTCAGCATCTCGGGGCCTGAGGGATGGGGAGTCAGGGATCTGGGGTCTGTGCCCCCAGGCTGCAGGGGGGCCAGTGCCTGGACACCCAGCTCCTGCTGTGTGAAATTAAACTTTACAAGGCCCCATTGCCTCCTTTCTCTGCTCTAGTTGGATTTTTCCCTTTTAATTCAGGGAAGAAGCGGGTGGGGGACGGGGGAAGGTGTTTAAATTAAGTCCCCATAATATGAGAAAAATTACATTTTTCTTTCTGAGACGGCAGTTTCATAAAGATAATTATTGTAATTATTCGTCCTACCTCTGTGATGAATGTTATTTTTATTACATGCTTTTTATCTTCATCTTCCAGTGTGAGGGGTTTCTAGGGGGCGGGCAGAGGTGGTGGCCATGAGAGCCAGGCCATCAGGGGCCCAGGGCCCGGCAGAGACAGCAAGACCACATCCATGTGTGCGTGCACATGGACCCACCCCTGTTCGATTGTCCACACGTGTGCACACCCCAGCGGCCCCGGCTTCAGGCGTCCTTTTCCTCCTCTCTTGATCCTTGCAGACGCCCCCACTGCACTCCAGGATGCTTCTGGGGGCCCGAAAGCAGGGGCGGTGATGCTGGAATTTTGGGCGTAAGAACCAGTTGGAAATAATCTTTCCCAGCCAGGCGTGGCGGTGGCTCACGCCTGTAATCCCAGCACTTTGGGAGGCCGAGGCGGGTGGATCACCTGAGGTCAGGAGTTCAAGACCAGCCCGGCCAACATGGTGAAACCCCGTTTCTACTAAAAATACAAAAATTAGCCAGGCATGGTGGCACACATTTGTAATCCTGTTTACTTGGGAGGCTGAGGCAGGAGAATTGCTTGAACCCGGGAGGCTGAGATTGCAGTGAGCCGAGATCGTACCATTGCACTCCAGCCTGGGCGACAAGAGCAAAGCTCCATCACAAAAAAAAAAAAAAAAAAAAAAAAAAAGAATCTTTCCCAGAGAATCTACTGTGTTGCCAGGCGAGGTCCAGAGAGGGAGCGGCTTGTCCACAGGCTCTCAGAGGCAGAGATTTGAACCCAGGTCAATCATTTCACTATTAATATATCACCTCTTTGCTGATTGCTTGAAAACAAATACATCATTTTCCGAGCTCACCCTGTGCTGCCCTGGGGTGAGGCAGAGCAGAACAAAAACACAGACACCCCCAGGTTCTGGGGTCAGGATTGGACAGAAGGAGGAGCAGGGGGAATGTGCAGGAGACTGCTGGGAAACAGGGGGCATTGTGTCTGGGGCTTTGATGTACGATTAGGAGTTTTAAGGGTGGCTCTCCACCTGGGGTCAGGGTTGATTCACCAAGGTGGGGAAGGGAGTACAGCCCCAGGAGGTCTCAGGCACCAAGAGGCACTTCCCCACTCATCCCCATCCCCTCTCTTCTAGCTGCCACGCCTCCCAATGCTGTGGACCGGCCCTGCCTGCGACTGAAGGTGTACGTGCGGCCGACCAGTAAGTGCTCAGGGGGATGGGCAGGATCCAGGCCCCCACCCCTGTGTCCTAAACCCACAGAACCAGTGAGTGTTCAGAAGAGCCAGGACAGGGGGCCTCGGGTTTCCCTATCTTGCCCTGCCTTGCCCCAGCCTCGATTTCCCCGTCTGATGAACATGTCAGACCTTCGAGAGTGAAGGTTAGCTGAGCGCAGTGGCTCACGCCTATAATCCCAGCACATTGGGATGCTGAGGTGGGAGAATCAATTGAGCCCAGGAGGCCGAGGCTGCAGTGAGCAGAGATCACGCCACTGCATTCCAGCCTGGGTGACAGAGCAAGACTCTGTCTCTAAAAAACAAAGCAGGCCGGTTGGGTGGCTCACGCCTGTAATCCCAACTTTGGGAGCCTGAGGCAGGTGGATCACCTGAGGTCAGGAGTTTGAGACCAGCCTGGTTAACATGGCGAAACCCCATCTCTACTAAAAATACAAAATTTAGCCGGGCCTGGTGGCGGGCTCCTGTAATCCCAGCTACTCAGGAGACTGAGGCAGGAGAATCACTTGAACCCGGGAAGTGGAGGTTGCAGTGAGCCCAGATTGCGCCACTGCTCTCCAGTCTGGGTGATATAGCAAGACTGCGTCTAAAAAATAAAATAAAATAAAAATAAAAATAAAAACAGAGTGGCCGGGCACGGTGGCTCACACCTGTAATCCCAGCACTTTGGGAGGCTGAGGTGGGTGGACCCCAAGGTCAAGAGATGGAGACCGTCCTGGCCAACATGGTGAAACCCCGTCTCTGCTGAAAATACAAAATTAGCCGGGCGTGGTGGCACATGCCTGTAGTCCCAGCTATTTGGGAGGCTGAAGCTGGAGAATCGCCTGAACCCGGGAGGCGGAGGTTGCAGTGAGCCCAGATTGCGCCACTGCACGCCAGCCTGGCGACGGTGAGACTCCGTCTCAAAAAATAAATAAATAAATAAAAATAAAGCAAAAAAAAAAAAAAAAAGATTAAAAGAGTGAAGGTTGAATTCAACAGCCAGGTCCCCCACTTCAGGCCAAGTGACTTTGCCCGGAGAGTGGGCATCGGGGATGGCACCAAGAGGGAGCAGAGGGCCTGCCTGGTGGGGTGATGAGCCCGTTGGGCAGATGTGCACCCTGAGGGCGGGCGGCACGTGGGGAGCCCAGTGGGGTTCGGGCGGCCGCTGAGCGTGCTGTCTCTGCCACCCGCAGACGAGACCCTGTACGAGGCTCCTGAGCCCATCTTCACCAGCAATAACTCGTGTAGCAGCCCGGGCGGCTGCCGCCTCTTCCTCAGCACCATCCCCGTGCTCTGGACCCTCCTGGGTTCCTAGTCCCAGCCCCGCAGGACGCCGACCCTGCCTGGACGGCCCCGCCTGGACCGCCTGACCTCGGCCCTCCGGACCCGGCTGCGGCCCCCGCCTCCGAGACCAAATAGAGACGCTGCTTCTCCCTCGCCTGGTGCCGCCCCCGCCGGGCAGGGGCCATCCACCCGCCCCAGGACCAGCCCTCAGGGAGGGGAAACGGCCGAGAGCCCCCCCCCGGAGGCCCGAGGGGCCGGGGTGTGGATGCGGACCGTGGCCAGGCCATCTCCTCTGGGGCGTCGGAGAACCCGGGAACCTCTTGGCGATTTTTTTTTTTTTTTTTTTTTTTTTTTTTTTTTTTAGTGTATTTTTCGTGGTTGGATCAAAAAGACTTGAGTTTTTAATTTAATTTATTCCCTGCCGTTGTAGCGGGGCGGGGTCCCTGTGCCCTGGCCTGGGGGAGGGGAACGCGGAACATGGGGTCGGGAACACAGCCGCTCCCCTCTGCTCTGCACCCCACTCGTGGGGGAACACAGCCGCTCCCCTCTGCTCTGCACCCCACTCGTGGGGGAACACAGCCGCTCCCCTCTGCTCTGCACCCCACTCGTGGGGGAACACAGCCGCTCCCCTCTGCTCTGCACCCCACTCGTGGGGGAACACAGCTGCAGCCCACCGCGGACCCCCCTGGTGCTCCAGGTTGGGTGAGTCTGAGCCGGAAGGGGTACGTGGTGGGCGCCCCTCATTGTGGCTGGGGAGACCTCATACCCCATCGCCCACCCCCGTCCTCCTGGTCATTTCCTCCCAGACACTGTTTTGCCCCAGCGCCCTTCGGAATCACAGTCCCGCCGTGTCTTAGAAACTGCTTTGGCCGATGCAAACAGCCCCCTACCCGTCCCCCTCGCCTCACACGGTCCCTCTCCGAGGCCGAGAAGACCTTCTGTTCCTGTAAATACAGCCAGCAAGTGCAAACTGTGATTTTATTTTCCACGTATTCCTGAGGACGGACTGGACCGTCTATGTTTTTTCAGCCCTTCATAGGGGGTCTTTTATTTTGGTGGGGGGGTGGGGTGGACTTTTAGAGTAGAAGCTGCACTTGGCAATAAGCTCGTGTCGTCTGTCAGAGCCCCTCTCTCAACTCTGTGACCTGATAATGTTTCTAAGAAAAAGAAAAAAAGGACAAAAGGGAGGGAACCACTACCAAAAAAAAAAAAAGAAACTCCTCCCCGAAGACACTTTAATGAAGGAAACAACACATTTATACGGATTTCATATTTCTACCCGCCTTTCCTGACTCTGTGTTTTATATATATTATATATAAATATATATTGTGTACGGCCGCCGGCCGGCGGCTCGAGGCACGCCCGGTGGTGGGGGGTGGGCAGAGGGCTTTTGTAGGGGGTCGGCGGGGCGGGCCGCGTTGCCAGGCCTGGAGCTGGCGACCGGGCCTCCCTCTTCCCGTCACAATCAACTTTGGATTCTGTATTTTTTTATAATAAAATGAGCATAAACCTCAAACGCGTGTGTCTGTATGTGGGGGCCTTGCCCTACTTGAAGGAGACTTTTGCATTCCTAATTTGGCGGTGGATGCTGGGCGTGGTGGTTTACTCCTGTGATTGCAGCACTTTGGGAGGCCGAGGCGGGCAGATCGCTTGAGGTCAGGAGTTTGAAACCAGTCTGGCCAACATGGTGAAACCCCATCTCTACTAAAAATATGAAAAAAAAAAAAAAAAAAGCCAGGTGAGGTGGTGCACGCCTGTCATCCCAGCTACTCGGGAGGCTGAGGCAGGAGAACCTCTTGAACCCGGGAGTTGGAGGTTGCAGTGAGCTGAGATCGTGCCTTTGCCCTCCAGCCTCGGCAACAGAGCGAAACTCTGTCTCAAAAAGGAAAAAAAAAATTAGCTCGGCGTGGTGGTGCACAACTGTAGACCCAGCTACTCGGGAGGCTGAGGTGAGAGGATGGCTTGAGCCCGGCAGGTGGAGGCTACAGGGAGCTATGATCACACCACTGCACTCCAGCTTGGGCAACAAAGCAAGACCCTGCCTCAAATAATAGTAATAGTAATAATAATAATAATAATTTAGAGGTGGGTCTGGAATCTACTGGGGAGAGGGGTGCGGCTTCGAGGAACCTCTGGGGATCCCCAGAGCTGTGAACCTGACTGATTCTTTGGTTCTGTGCATCGTTTTGGGGTCAGACCTTGGGATGAGCATTTTATAGGGCCCGTATCCTTCATAGCCATCCATGGGCTTCAGTTTCCCTCTCTGGGAAGTAGCAACAGCCCACCTAGGGCTGGGAGGGGGCAGCTGGGAGGATGGAGGGAGGAGACGGGGCCTGTGCATGGCTGGCCCTGGGGACACCGCTGGCCGGCACACACCTGAACATGGTGGAATTCCTGGGCCTCAGGATCCAATCAAATGTTGTGAAATCTCCACTGGCAAGCTCTGCCTCTGTGTAACTCAGTTTCCCCACCTGCTCCAGGCCAGGGCAGGGGCTCTGTCATCTCCTAACCTCTTCCCCTTGCAAACGGCACATCTGTAAGTTCTCGGGTCCCAGGGGCCTTCATGCCAGGCACGCCCCGATTGAAGAAACTGAGGCACAGAGAGGCTGGGGGTGACGCGGCAGGTGACCCGGCCCAGGGGACTGAGGTCTTTACGGCTGGACGATGGTCGCCTGCATCCCACCCGCCGTGACGACGGCGTCTCCGGCACAATTAGCCGAGCGGGAACGCTCCCAGCTAATTAATTCAGCTGCGCTGGGCCCGGTGACGGGGGCCGCCTCCTAATGAGGCAGCCCAGGCACAAAGACCCCTGTGTGTGCCCCGCCCCGCCCCTGCCCAGCGCGGGGTGGACGCACGGAGGCACAGAGGGCCGGCCGGCCACCGTGCTGAGCACCGCGGGGGAGGCTCCACCATGCCCCACTCCACAGAGGACCCCGAGGCTCAGAGAGGGAGGCGACCCCCACAGCCCATTCATGCCGAGACCCCCACCCCAAACTGCAACGTGACCACTGGGACAGAGAGGACCAAGGACAGAATGAGATCAGGGATCATGAGAGGCATCCCAGTGCTGACTGTGATGCTGTTACAAAAACACAATAGTGTCCTTCCCTCCATTTTAAGTACAATTGCATGGATTTTAGTGCATTGAGACTTGTGCAGCCATCAGCTCTGATTCCAGAACATTCCATCACCCCAAAAGGAAGCCTTGTCCCCATCAGCCGTCACTCCTTATCCCCTCCCCTGGCACCAACGTATCCCCTCCTTCCCTGTCTCTGTGGATGGGCCTGTCCTGGACGTTTCATGGAAATGGGTCACACACTGTGTGGCCTTGCGTGTCTGGCATCTCTCACTGAGTGTGACGTCCTCAAGGTGCATCTGCGCTGTGGCCTGGGTCAGAGCCTCGCTCCTTTTCACAGCTGAGCACGTTCCGGTGCGTGGAAGGACCACGCTGTGTTTATCCAATCATCTATCCAGGGGCACTTGGGTACTTTCCACCTTTTAGCTATTATGACAATTGTTAAAAATACAATTTATTATTATTATTGTTTTTTGTAGAGATGGGGTCTTGCTATATTTCCTGGCTGGTCTCGAACTCCTGGGCTCAAGTGATCCTCCCGCCCTGGCCTCCCAGAGTGCTGGGGGTGCCAGGCATGGTAGCTCACCCCTGTAATCTCACCATTTTCAGAGATTGTCTCTAAAAAACAAAGAACAAAAACTCACAAGCCAAACTTCTTGTGATTACAGAAGTGAGCCACCACGCCCAGCCAAGATGCTTTTTTTAGATTTATTATTTAACTCTGTATTATTTATTAGAGACGGGGTCTCACTCTGTCGCCCAGGCTGGAGTGCAGTGGTGCGATCACGGCTCACTGAAACCTCTGGCTCCTGGGCTCAAGCGATTTGCCTCCCGCAGCCTCTGAGTAGCTGGCACTACGGGCATATTGTGACAATCTTATTATTTTTGAGACAAAGTTTCAATGCAAAAGGTGACTTTGCTTTTTCGTTTTTGTTTTTGTGTTTTTTTGAGACTGAGTCTCTCTGTCACCCAGGCTGGAGTGTAATGGCACGAACCCGGCTCACTGCAGCCTCCGCCTCCCACGTTCAAGCAATTCTCCTGCCTCAGATTCCCGAGAAGCTGGGATTACAGGTGTGTGCCAACTCGCCCAGCTAATTTTTGTATTTTTAGTAGAGATGGGGTTTCACCATATTGGCCAGGCTGGTCTCAAATTCCTGACCTGAAGTAATCCACCTGCCTTGGCCTCCGAAAGTGCTGAGAATACAGACGTGAGCCACTGCGCCCAGCCTAAAAGGTGACTTTGGGTAAATACACAAAGAATGGCTGAGCTCCTGCCTCTGGGCCTTTGCATGCACTGTCCCCCCAGCCCACCCCACTGCCCCGATGAACCTCTCTTGCAGATTGCAGCCAGGCTCCCCCACTCAGCCCCTTCCAACTCAGCTCAGATGTCACCTGAGCTCCTGGCCAGGAGGCTGTGGGTGCCCTTTGTGACTGTTTACTTACCTGACTCCTCCCCAGGCTGCAGCCGCTAAGGGCAGGGCTGGGTCTGTCCTGGTTATCGCCGGGACCAGTGCTGGGCCCAGAGCAGGGAATCTCCTGGGACCGTGTCATTGGCCACACGCAGACACGTGTACACACACACACGCGTAGCCCTGCGCTTGCACCTCCATGCCTGTGTACCCCTGTGTCGCCAGACACATGTGTTTTGGGCCCGAGCCTCTCAGGAACTGACCTCCACTCCCGCGCCAGACCCTGACCAGACCCTGGTGCCTGTCCCAGTGGCTGCATCAACGTGTCGAGTGGCCACTCACTCCAGGGGCTGTGCTGGGATGTCCCCGCCGGGTGTGGGCGCTCCTTGGGGAACCTGGTTACCCCCGACCCCAGCCCCAGTGAGACCCCAATGCCGGCTCCTGCCAGCCCTGGACGGCCATTGGTACGCTGGTCCCGCGCAGAGTCTTTTCCGCCCAGAGGATCCTGAGGGAAGTCATCTCCCTCCTGCCGGCCAGTTACTGCCGCCTCGGTGCCCGCCGCGGGCAGGGGGCAGCGGGAGGCTGCTAGGGGAAAGGAGGCCTGAGGCGCCCAAAACTCTTGAGTGCGGCTTGGGGTGGAACGTGCCGCCCCCCACAGCCCCGGTGGCCCAGGGCAGGGCTCTGCATCCCCCCAGACCTCACCACTGAGCCTCAGTGTGCCTGTCTACATCTGTGTTTGAGGAGAAAACCCCTTGGTCCCCACCCTCTGGTCCAAACAGCCATGATGGAGGGGGGCTCACTTTTTTTTTGCTTTTTAGAAATGGTGTCTCATTCTTCACCCTCAAAACTGAACGGAGGCTGGGCATGGTGGCTCCTGCCTGTAATCCCAGCAATTTTGGAGACTGAGGCAGGCTGATTGCTGGAGGCCAGGGGTTCAAGACCAGCCTGGGCAACAGGGTGAGACCCCCACCACCACCATCTCGGCAAAATAAAAATTAAAAAATTAGCCAGGCATGCTGGCACGCACCTCTGGTTCCAGCTACTCGGGAGGCCCAGGGGGAAAGATGCTTTGAGCCCAGGAGGTTGAGACTGCATTGAGCCATGATCACGCCACTGCACTCCAGCCTGGGTGACAGAGCCAGACCCTGTCTCAAAAAACAAACAAACAAAAATACTGAACAGCTCACACCAGTAATCCCAGCACTTTGGGAGGCCAAGGCAGGTAGCTCACTTGAGGTCAGGAGTTCGAGACCAGCTTGGCCAACATGGTGAAACCTTGTCTCTACTAAAAATACAAAAATTAGCCGGCCGTGATGGCAGGCGCCTGTAGTCCCAGCTACTCGGGAAGGCTGAAACACAAGAATCGCCTTGCAGGGATCCAACAGCCACATGGCAGTAATGAGAGGCTCCAGAAAAGAAAAGAAAACAAAACAAAACAAAAATAAGAAAAACAAACAAAATAAGGAGAAGAAAAAAAAAAGAAGCCCCCCCCCCCACCATCCCCAGAGGCCACAGCACTCTGTCCTCTGGTCCCCCAACCCAGCCCTGACACCTGCTTCTTCCCCAGGGCACCTCTCACTCACGGGTGTTCCCTCTTTGCCCTGGCTGGCACACCCTTCCCGAGTCTCCTCTGGGCTCTCCCCACCTTTTTTTTTTTTTTTTTTTTTTTGAGATGAAATTTCGCTCTTGCCGCCCAGGCTGGAGTGCAGTGGGGCGATCTCGGCTCACTGCAAGCTCCGCCTCCCGGGTTCACACCATTCTCCTGCCTCAGTCTCCTGCGTAGCTGGGACTACAGGCGCCCACCACCACGCCCGGCTAATTTTTTGTATTTTTAGTAGAGACGGGGTTTCACTGTGTTAGCCAGGATGGTCTCGATCTCCCGACCTCAGGTGATCCGCCTGCCTCGCCTCCCAAAGTACTGGGATTACAGGCATGAGCCACCGCGCCCGGCCTATTTATTTTATTTTATTTTTTTGAGACAGAGTCTCACTCTGTCGCCCAGGCTGGAGTGCAGTGGCACGATCTCAGCTAACTGCAAGCTCCGTCTCCCGGGTTCACGCCATTCTCCTGCCTCAGCCTCCCGAGTGGCTGGGACTACAGGCACCCGCCACCACGCCCGCTGTTTTTTTTTTGTATTTTTAGTAGAGACCGGGTTTCACTGTGTTAGCCAGGATGGTCTTGATCTCCTGACCTCGTGATCTGCCTGCCTCGGCCTCCCAAAGTGCTGGGATGACAGGCGTGAGCCACCGCGCCCGGCCACTGGGGCCACTTTCTATCAACCACACCTGGCTCGGGCATGCACCTGCCCTCCCCCATGCATACAGGCCCACATCCATGCCTTCAAATGGCCACAAAAGTGTGCGTGGCCATAGACATACATACTTGCAAGTGTTTCTCTTTTTGTTTTTTGTTTTTTGTTTTTTTTGAGACGGAGTCTTGCTCTGTCACCCAGGCTGGAGTGCAATGGCACAATCGCAGCTCACTGCAACCTCCGCCTCCTGGGTTCAACTGATTCTCCTGCCTCAGCCTCCTGAGTAGCTGGGATTACAGGTGCGTGCCACCACACCTGGCTAATTTTTGTATTTTTAGTAGAGACAGGGTTTCACCATGTTGGTCAGGCTGGTCTCAAACCCCTGACCTCGTGATCCTCCCGCCTCAGCCTCCCAAAGTGCTGGGATGACAGGCGTGAGCCACCGCGCCCGGCCTTTTTTTTTTTTTTTTTTGGACGCAGTCTCACTCTGTCGCCCACGAGTACAGTGGCGTGATCTCAGCTCACTGCAACCTCCGCCTCCCGGGTTCAAGCGTTTCTCCTGCCTCAGCTTCCCGAGTGGCTGGGACTACAGGCACGTACCACCACGACCCGCTTTTTTTTTTTTTTTTTTTTTGTATTTTTAGTAGAGACGGGTTTTCTCCATGTTGGTCAGGCTGGTCTTGAACTCCCGACCTCAGGTGATCCTCCCGTCTCGGCCTCCCAAAGTGCTGGGATTACAGGCCGCGCCCGGCCATCTCCACCTGCTTGAAGGTCTTGCCGTCGTAGACGCCCACCGTGCTACCCACCATCGCGGGCAGGAGAAGCACGTCCCGCGGGTGCGTCTTCACCACTTCCGGCTTCTCCGTGGGCGGCGCCCCCTTCTTGGCCTTGCGCAGGCGCTTGAGCAGCGAGCGCTGCTTCCGCCACAGGCCCGGGTTCAGCCGCCGCCGGCGCGCGCTGTTCAGCTGCATCCGCTGCTCCGAGGACATGTCCAGTAGCTGGTCCAGGTCCACGCCGCGCTGGGTGAAGTTGCGGAAGGTCTGTTTCTTCTGCTGCTGTACCTCTGCCGTCTTGCTGCATCCTCAGAATAGCTCTCCAGGCCCTTCTTTATGAGACAGGGTCTTGCCTTTGTTGCCCAGGCTGGAATGCAGTGGTGTGATCATGGCTCACTGCAGTCTTGACTTCTTGGGCTCAAGGGATCCTCCTGCCTCAGCCTCCCGAGTAGCTCGAACCACAGGTGCACACCACCATACCTGGCTAATTTTTGATTATTTGTAGAGATGGGGTCTTGCTACGGTGCCCAGGCTGATCTCAAACTCCTGGGCCCAAGGGATCCTCTTGCCTCGGCCTCCTAAAATGCTGGGATCACAGGCGTGGGTCACCGTGCCCGGCAAGCTCTGGGTCCTCCTGCACGGTCGCCTGGTGGAGCAGAAACCACCGCCAGCGGCTCCCCGTCTATTTGTCTGTGCACATTCCTGGGCTCAGACGGTGGCTTCCGAGGCCGGAACTTCGGAGTCACCTGCTCCGCACTTGAGTCTGGAACGTCTCAGACCGGACCCCTCCCTTTACAGCCTGAGAGAGGGAGAGACCCTGCCCAGGCCTCCCAGGGGCCTGCCCACCCGACAGCTCCTGACTCCCCCACCCTCATTGGTCCAGAAATGGAAGGCTTCGGCCCAGGAGCGATCAATGCACCCTAATGGACATGTGTCGGGGGGGGGGGGAGGGGCGCTGAGTCGCAGGAGACACCCTTCCCTGTGCAGAGGGGGAAACTGAGGCCACTCCCAGGCCCCATGGGTCACTGGCCCGAAGCAGTGTGAGCCCTGCCGGGTCAGGGGTTGCATCTGGAGCAGCCCAGGGAGAATGAGGCTGGGGACCCTTCATTCCGGGGGTCATTAGGGACACCCCACCAGGCTGTGTGTGCCCAGGGTGGTCTCTTCCCCAGCTCCGACTGCCCCGCCGGGTTTTGGGGCTTACGGTTCTGTCCTGGGCTCAAGTCCTGGCTCCCACCAGGCACTGTGGGGCATCCCCTCTGGGTCTGGGGTCCACAGTGCCTGTCTCCAGGCGTGAGAGAAGCTTCTAGAGACAATCTGTGAGCATCTTTCCCATCCCTGCCTCTCCCCAGCTCAAGCTCCGAAGGGAACGTGGATGGCAGGAGAGAGGAGGGAGGCGTGGGGCGAGTTTATCTCTCACTGGCTTTCTCCGCCCCCACCTGGCCTCCCCTGGGGCTTCTGTGATTCTTTGTTTTTTTTTTGAGGCAGGGTGTTTCTCTGTCCCCCAGGCTGGAGTGCAATGGTGCTATCGTGGCTCACTGCAGCCTCCACCTCCTAGGCTCAAGCAATCCTCCCACCTCAGCCTCTCGCGAGTGGCTGGGACCACAGGCACGCGGCTCCATGCTAGCTAATTTTTTTTATTTTTTGTAGAGATGAGGTCTCGCTGTGTTGCCCAGACTGGTCTTGAACTCCTGGCCTCTGGTGATCCTTCCACCTCAGCCTCTTGGGTAGTTGAGACTGCAGGCATGAGCCACCACACGTGGCTAATTTTTGTTTATTTATTTATTTATTTTTGTAGAGATGGGGTTTCACCATGTTGCCCAGACTGGTTTCCCAACTCCTGAGCTCAAGGGATCCTCCCGCCTTGGCCTCCCAAAGTGCTGGGATTACAGGCATGAGCCCAGTCTGAGACCCACTTTGTAGATAAGGAAGATGAGGTCAGAGAAGGGGAGTGCCCAGGCCCTGGGCCCCACAGCCGGGACCCCTTTAGGGTCCAGTGGATGGCGAAGGGGAGGCGGCCTGACCACTACCGACTCCAGCCAGTCGCCCCAGCCTCCAGGGAGAGCAGCACAGGTGCCCAGAGAAGCGACGAATCTGGATATTTCTTCCCCACATGAGGAGGAGCTGGGGGCACCTGAGTGGGTGGTCTCGGTGCTGGGCGGTCCTCATGGCCCCCTAAGCGTCGAAAACCAGAGCTTGTTATGATCTTGTGATGGGAAGGGGGCCCGCCTCTCGCAGGGACCGCTGTCGGCCCCCTCTGCCCGCCCACCAGGCGCTAGAGTTATGGTTTGCAATATCCCATGCCCCTCCCAGCCTGAGCATTAATGACGGTGGTATCCGAGTCCCCGAGCACCCGGGGCTGTTATTAACATCGTCCATCACGCTTGTGGCTGCGGCTCTAGAAGCTCTTTGGCTAGGAGGGGAAACTGAGGCACCGAGAGGTTCGCCTTGACCCCTGCGTGAGGGCACAGCTGCAGACATCGGATAAGCCCAGGTTCCAGTGCCCTCTCCACCACCCGCTGTGGGTGAGGCCCCTGTTCTCTGAGCCTCAGTTTGCTCATCTGGAAAACAGGCTAGTGACACAGGGTGGGGTCTCAGATCCTGGGGGCTCTTGATGAGCAGAATCGCCAGGCCCATGGAGGCAGGCCCTTTGTTGCCTGATCTCCCCGCCTTCCCTGTGATCCCATTGTCTGGCACAATGCCAGCAAGCCCTCCTCGGATGTTTGTTGAATGACTGAATGAGCGTGTTGTGTGTGGACTCTGAGTCAAGTGCTCTTTCTTGCCAACTGGGAAAGACTGGAGGCAAAGGGCTCATTCTCCATCATTCACTCCTCCAGGAAGGCCTAGGGGGCAGGGGTGGTGGTGGGGAACGGCCTCTCGCAGGTGAGGGGGGCAGCGGGGGAACCGCGGGAGTCAGCCGTGCTGGCTGGCAGATCTTTAAATTAAAATGCATATATACACCAGATAAATAAACTCGGCCCACATCCTGGTGACAGGCAGAATTAAGTTGCCCAGTTGGGGACCGGGCAGCGAAGGCTGGGGGTGGAAGGGGATGGGGCCGAATTACCAAGGGCGGCGACTCAGCTCCATCCTCTGCCACATTGTATCCCATGAACGTTCCTGAGACCCCTGTCCTGCCGGGTCTCTGGGAAGCGCTGAGGGGGTCAGGGAGTAAGGACCCAAATTCTGAGCCCCAAGTTGGGCACCCAGGATCTGGCCCGGCTTAGAGAGAGACCAGCTGCCCACGGGGTGCCCTGGGTGAGTCAGTGTCTTCGTCTGAAACAGGGAGACCATGGCCCCCCGTCCCAGCACAGAGGCTGCCCTTGGCAGTGGGCATGGGGCGGACCTGGTTCAAGTCCCGGCTGAGCACTCAAGGGCTGGGAGCAGCCTCCGTCGGGTCAGGTACCAGGGAGACCCCGTTCTAGCTCCCAGGGAGGCCCCCGTGGGGCCCGCACAGCTGCAGGGTCCTCCCTGGGCCCTTCCCTCTGACCCAAGCCCAGGGGAGAGGGGCGGAGGGGGCGGCGGGCAGTTTTCAATTACGGAGCAGCTAATCTCCCAGTGAGGGCCGTTCTGGGGCCCAGTAAATCTATTATGAAAAGCCTCTAAATGTATGTAAAACCGGCCTCCGACAATCCGGGGATTAGGCCGCCGGGAGGGGAAACCGAGGCGCAGGCCGCCTGGCGGATTAGCGCAGCGGGGCCCCTGGAGGGTTGGGGGGAGCAGTCCCCAGAGGTCCAGGGCAGAGGGAGAGGGGTCCTCTGAAGAAGCCAGCACCCATTTTATAGCTGGGGAAACTGAGGCCGGGGAAGGGCCCCCCCCCCCCCCCCACCAGGGGTCCCCTCTCAGCGTCAAGGGCACTTTTGCCAGCCGCTCCTGCCTTTGTCGCAAACCCAGGGGTATTTTCCCACAAGGTGGACTCGGTGGGTTTGAAAGATGGGGAGCTGGGGACCCCTGGACCCGGCTTAAGGCTCCGTGGCCCGGCCCGCATCTCCTGCCGCCGTCGCAGGCCCTTTGAAGCTGCCCCATCCTTTGGTGCTTTTGAAATGTCTTTATTAATCACCTACCGTTTGCCAAGCCAGAGGTGGCAAAGGTAACAGGAGACGGGAGCCCAGTGCCCTGGCAGCTCAGGGCACTCGCCAAAGACGAAGGCAGCCGGGAGAGGCCTTCCCCAAGGACTCCCGCTTCCGCTGGGAGGTGGGGAGGAGGAGGTCACCCCACAGAAGTGCGGTGAGGCCACTGCAGGCGCGAGGGAAGGCCTGGTGGCCGAAGGGAGGCGTGAGCTGAGAAGCCCCGTGCCTGGGCTGCTCCTGAGGGTGGCAGGGAGCCCTCGGAGGGCTTGAACCTAAGTGGCCCCTGCAGCATCCATGGCGGGACCGTGGACCTCCAAGCCCGCCTCCCTCGGAAGCACAGCTTCCTCAGCGTGGCCCCACACTCTCCCAGGCTCACCCAGCCCCCTCGCATAGGGCCTGCTCACCCTCCTGCCTGTGGGGCCCTTGGTCCAGCAGTTTCCTCTCCTGCACACTGTCCCCACCTGCTGAAGTCCGTCCAGGAGCCCAGGTGCATGATGGGAGGGGGTGATGCCCCTCCTCACCCCCACCTAGTGGAGTTTGCAGGCAGCTCTGCAGATCGCCTGGCAGCTGGAGAAACTGAGGCATAAGGCTGGGCGTGGTGGCTCACGCCCGTAATCCCAGCACTTTGGGAGGACGAGGCTGGTGGATCACCTGAGGTCAGGAGTTTGAGACCAGCCTGGCTAACATGGTGGAACCCCGTCTCTACTAAAACTACAAAAATTAGCCGGGCGTAGTGGCACGCACCTGTAATCTCAACTACTCGGGAGGCTGAGGCAGGAGAATTGCTTGAACCCGGGAGGTGGAGGTTGCAGTGAGCCGAGATTGTGCCATTGCACTCCAGTGTGGGTGACAAGAGCGAAACTCCGTCTCAAAAAAAAAAAAAGAAAAAATTGAGGCATGAGCTGACAGCTGTTTCTGCAGGCCTCAGGCAGCACCCGATGGGGCCTTCCCAGGGCCCCTGGCCTGGCCCGGCTCCAGCCACCAGCTTGTCCCTGCCTCCCAGGTGCTGGGGAATGAAAGGGAGGCGAGTGATTTCTCTGACTCCTTCAGGCCCAGGCCTCCGAATTCCTCCAACTCCCAGGTGAGGGGTTGTGCAAAGCTGCAGCAGGGTGGGACCGTCCCAGTGAGGGTGATTCTGGAGTCGGCCATGGTGGGCCTGCTCTGTGACCTGGGAGGGGGTGTGTGCCTGTCTGTGACTCAGTTTCCTCGTCCGTGTCATCAGCAACGGCCAAATGCCGTTCCCAGCACTGGATGGGGGTGGAGGGCCTGAGGGGTGTGGGTGGGGGGGAGCTCCAGGCGCCCCTGCCCCCCGCCCAGCCGTCAGTCAGGCTGGCCGGGCCCCCTTCAAGTCGTCACGGCCCAGCAGCGGCCACGGGAGGGATTATTCCGGCCTGTCCAGGGTGGACTGAAGTGGAACCAAGGCTGACGAGCGGAACGCGCCCCCATGGACCCAGCCCGCCCGCCTTTGTCCGCCGCCAGCCCCCCACCCGCCTGCCGTCACAGACCCCGCCTCCCGTGCCTGAGCCCCATTTCTCTGGGGGCCGGGCTGCCTCGCGTGGCCCCCGCCTGACTAAAGCCATGCAGCTTCTCGGCCGGCTCCATCCGCTGGCTGCCTCAGTTTCCCCCTCTGCAGCATGGGCATACAGGGTTCCTCTCGTCGGCTCATTGGCTGCTGAATGGGGGCTGTGTGGGCAGAGGCTCTCCCGGGGCTTTCCCAGGGTGCTCGGGGGTCCCTCTGCCCGGTCCCTCCACTGTGCCTTTGTCCAGGAAATTCGAGGTGGCAGGGAGAACGGATCCGCTCTCGGCCTGAACGGAGCCGCGGCAAATGCTGTTGACCCCTGACCCCGGCCCCCTAATCCCGGGGTTGAGGCTCTCACCGGAGAGGGGCCCTGGGAGATGAGCTGGGGCACGACCCCCGCCCCGGGCACCGAGGGGGGCTTCCAGGTCAGGGTCGGAGAGGCTTCGGGAGGACGCGGCTGCCCCATTGGCCACGTGCCCGGTCATCACCTCTCGGAGGCCAACACGGGAAACTGAGGCGTGGAGGAGCCCTCCTAAGCCCCACAGCTCTGGGATGGGAGCCAGGCCTAGCCACCTGCAGGGAGAGAGACACGGCCGGCAGCTGCCCCTCCCTGAGTCACCAAACAGGAATTCCGGGACGTCTGGCTGGCCCTGGAAGGCACGGCTAGCTTACAAACCCCCAGTCTTCAGGAACCTCTCTGGGTACCTGGCCCCTGTGTTCCCCGGGGAGGCCCCAGGATCCCCTTGTCTGGAACAGGGGGAGGGGCCTTTCTGGCCACCCTCTGCTGCTCTACATTTACCCAGTGTCTTCAGGAGGAAGAAATGAATGAATGAATGAAGTGGAAGGTGTCCTCATGCCTGCCAGCTGCTGCAGTCTAGCCCCCGTGCCTTGTGGCTACTTAGAGGCCTCAGCTAGCAGCATCCACCGCAGATTAAAAGATTCTCCGTCGGAGGCTGGGATGCGCTCACACGCTTGGGCGCCCCTGCGCTCCCCGGTGGCCGTGTGTCTGTTCCACCCTGCCGAGCTGTTCCCCACGATCAATTTCAATTTGGCCTGGTCTCTGCCTCTGCAGCACGACCCTCCTTGGGGGCCGACGGCGGGGAAGGAGTTGCTGGCTTCCGCAGCTCTCCCCCCAGGTCCCTGGGACCCTCGCCTGGTGAAGAGAGAGCTCTGCTGGGCCGCCTCTTTTTCCGGGCCTCAGTTTCTCTGGGTTTGGAATGAGGGCACAGGGCAGCGCAGTGTGGACCCAGCCTGGTTTTCATCCAACCTCATGAAGTCACTGAATGCTCGCCGTGGGCCTGACCCTGGGCTGAACCCTGGGGCACCGTGGGGGCTACGGCAGGCAAACGAGTCGGAGGCAGAGGAAGGGCGTTCCTGCAGGGGGGAGGCTGTGTGCAGAGGGGTAGAGGGAGGGAGGCAGGAGGGAGCGTCCTGGAAGAAACAGTTAAGGTGGGGCCACAGAGGAGGGTGGACAAGCCTAGGCAACAATATTCCTCAACAGCCGAAGTTTGTGTATTTGTTTTTTGAGACAGAGTCTCACTTTGTCACTCAGGCTGGAGTGCAGTGAGCTGAGGTGCGATCTCAGCTCACTGCAGCCTCAACCTCCCTGGCTCAATCGATCCTCCCATCTCAGCCTCCCAAGTAACTGGGACCACAGTTGTGTGCCACCACGCCCAGCTAATGTATTTATTTATTTATTTATTTAGAGACAGAATCGCTCTGTCGCCCAGGCTGGAGTACAGGGGTGCAATCTCGGCTCACTGCAACCTCCACCTCCTGGGTTCGAGTGCTTCTCCTGCCTCAGCCTCCTGAGTAGCTGGGATTACAGGTGCACCCCACCATGCCTGGCTTATTTATTTGTTTATTATTTATTTATTTTTGAGACAGTCTTGCTCTGTCACTCAGGCTGGAGTGCAGTAATGCGATCTCAGCTCACTGCAACCTCGACCTCCCTGGCTCAAGTGAGCCTCCCATCTCAGCCTCCCAAGTAACTGGGACCACAGGTGTGCACCACCACGCCCGGCTAATTTATTTATTTGTTTATTTAGAGACAGAGTCTTGTTCTGTCGCCCAGGCTGGAGTGCAGTGGTGCAATCTCGGCTCACTGCAACCTCCACTTCCTGGGTTCAAGTGATTCTCCTGCCTCAGCCTCCCGAGGAGCTGGGATTACAGGCACCTGCCACCACGCCCGGCTAAATTTTGTAATTTTAGTAGAGATGGGGTTTCACCATATTACCCAGACTGGTCTGGAACTCCTGAGCTCAAGTGATCCACCCGCCTCGGCCTCCCAAAGTGCTGGGATTACAGGCATGAGCCACCCACCACCCGGCCAATAGCCAACATTTATTGAGTGCTTACTGTGTACCAAACGTCAGCCGACAGGCTTTCCCTGCCTCATCTCCCTGCAACCTCCCAAGGATCCTCTAATACCCATTTTACAAATGAGGAGACAGGCCACAGACAGAGGCCGCTGTGAGGTGAGGGAAGGAGGCCACGGCCATGCTGGCATTGGCAGCACTGGTCCAGCTCAGACCTGTCCAGGTCCCCAGCAGGACTGCGGTGCGCCTGGCTCCTTCCTCTGCGCGCTCCATTCCCTTGCTGCTTCCTTCCGGGCCTCCAGGCTTCCCTCCTTTTCTAGGGTGGCGGTGGAGGAACCTATATGGGCTCCTGGGTGCTGGAGTTCGATCTGAACCTTCCCGCTCATTCTGCGTGACCTTGGGGGCGTGCCTGGCCCTCCCGTGCCTCAGTTTCCCCAGCCGCACCTGCCGGACTGTGAGGCCCCGACCCCCCGCCCTCTCTGGCCCCCCCGCGGCTCCGGGCTCAGGCCGCCGCTAGGTGGAGCGAGGAGGCCGGTGGAGACGCGGTGCGGGGAGACGCGCGCTCGGGAGCTGCAGAGGCCGGGGAGCGGGCCTGGCGCGCGGGTAGAGCTGCGTGGACGCCCGCGGCCCTTGGCGCTCAGAGCTCCCGCCCCGCAGCCAGCGCCTCTAGGAGGCCCAGCCGGACAGTCTGCGAGGGGCGCGCTCCGGGCGCAGGAGGGGCGGTGTCCGGGGCGCGTGGTTTGGGTCGTCGGGACCTGGATCCCGGAGCAGGCAGGCTGAGGTCTGCATGGTCAGGGCGGCCTCAGGTGCTGGGGAGCCACCCTGGCTGGACCTAGGGTCCCAGCTTCACGTTCACCTCCTGGAGCCTCAGGTCTGGGTCTGATGCCCCAACGGGAACCCCAAGCCCTGCCCACCGCCCGTCCTCACCTCTGCTGCCCCTTCACTGCCCCGACCAGTGGCTTCCGCCATAACCCTCTTGGGAGACCCATTTTTCATAGGAGGAAACTGAGGCACAGAGCGTTTTCTCGGTCACAGAACAGCTGGATCCCTCCTGTGTGATGAGCACCTCTGGGTCCTCCTGTGTCGTGACCACACCTGTGTCCACTTTCTGGGTCCTGGGCTGCAGAATGTCACCGCCCCAAATACCCTCTCGTGGGTGCTGTGGTTGGTTTCCTTGGCCTTGGGAGGGTCCTTTCTACTCAGGTAGGGATACCGTCTGGGTTCCCCCCCTACTGCCCCTGCAAGGCAGGGCTGGTGATCCGTGTGCACCCTGGGGGCCGTCTCATGTGTGGCTGCACCTTCCCACACCACGGCTGAGGAGAGGATCCTACCCACAGGTGCCCCTGGTGGGTTCAGCCGGCCCCTGCCGCGGGATCCTGCTTGATTTCTGGTACTCCAGGCCTCGCCACTGTCATTCCCGCTGGGCATGATGCGCACCTGCTGTGCCATGCTCTTGGGCAGCTCTCTGGGGTCACGGAAACTTCTGTGCCTCAGTTGCCTCCTCTGGAATGTGCAAATCCTTCGAGAAATAAGCTGGAAGACCTGGGAGCAAGCAGGCTTGGGTTTCCAGGTTTGGGGGGGGGGTGCCCAGATACAACCCCAAGGCTTTGGGAGGTGAGGGGACACCCTGCTGCTCCATCTGGACCCGCGCCCGTGAGCTCTGCTGCTCTGCGCCTGACCCACAGCTCTGTCCACTTGCCCCATATGGGTTCAAGGCACCAAGAATCAAGAATCCAGCCCTCTGGGCTGGATGCGGACACGGTGGCTCACGCCTGTAATCCCAGCACTTTGGGAGGCTGAGGCGGGTGGATCACCTGAGGTTAGGAGTTCAAGACCAGCCTGGCCAACGTAGTGAAACCTCATCTCTACTGAAAATGCAAAAATTAGCCAGGTGTGATGGTGTGGGCCTGTAATCCCAGCTACTCAGGAGGCTGAGGTAGAAGAATTGCTTGAACCTGAGAGAGGGAGGTTGCATTGAGCCGAGATATCGTGCCACTGCACTTTAGCCTGGGGGATAGAGTGGGAGGGATCGATCCAGCCCTCTTTCATCCCCTTCCCGCTCACTCCGACCCAACCTCCCAGTTCTGTCTTTAAAACAAGCTGCTTTTGTCTCTGCCCCAGGGCCTTTGCACGGGCTGCTCCATCCCTGCATGTGGCCAGCCCAGCAGCTCCCTCACTGCCCACCTGTGGCCGGCTGCATCCCTCCAATCTTCAGACACCCATTTTTTTTTCTTTTTCTTTTCTGTTTTATTTTTTTTGAGATGGTGGGGGTGGTCTCGGTATGTTGCCCAGGCTGGTCTCCAACTCCTGAGCTCAAGTGATCCTCCCACCTCGGTCTCCCAAAGTGCTGGGATCACAGGCATGAGCCACCTCGCCTGGTCTTGACACTTATTTTCATGTTCAGTTTGACCATATTTGTGACAAGTCAGAGACGATACAGCAAGGGGAAGAAGACACGTTCCCTTCCCTCTAGAAAGTCACAGTCACGCACAGAAGGCAGAAGGCTTGCAGTGCACAGCGACGGGATAAAGGAACCAGCTCTGCAACAGAGTGAGTGGCTCTGAGCTTTTGATCATTGAGATATAATTCACAGACCATGAGGTTCACCTGCTTAAAGCACTGAGCTATAACTCGCGGACCATGAGGTTCACCTGCTTAAAGGTGTAATCCAGTGGCTTTTAGCGTACTTGCAGAGTTGTGCAAACCTCACCTCTCTCTAGTTCCAGAACGTTCTCATCACCCCAGAAGGAAACCCCATCCCCATTAGCCATTGCTCCCCATCCCCACCCCAGCCCTGGCACCCAGGCATCCCCTCTCTGCCTCTGTGGGTTGGCCTGTCCTGGACACTTCATAGAAATGAGATCACAGACTGGGTGTGGTGGCTCACATGCCTGTACTCCCAGCACTTTGGGAGGCCGAGGTGGGTGGGTCACCTGAGGTCAGGAGTTCAAGACCAGCCTGGCCAACATGGTGAAACCCCGTCTCTACTAAAAATACAAATAAATTAGCCGGGCGTGGTGGTGGGCGTCTGTAATCCCAGCTACTCAGGAGGCTGAGGCAGGGAGAATTGCTTGAACCTGGGAGGCAGAGGTTTCAGTGAGCCAAGATTGTGCTGCTGCTGTCCAGCATGGGCAACAGAGCAAGACTCTGTCTCAAAAAAAAAAAAGAAAACTGAAACTCAGACAGCGACCCTCCTCTGCCTCAGTCCTGCGGTGGCTCCATGTGCCCCAGGATTAACGCACACTCCCCGGCCTGGCGGCACACTTTGCTGGGCACGGGGCGAGACCAGAAGAACCCAAAGAGGCCAGAGGGTCCCAGCTCAGCGAGGAGTGGGAGGTGCTTCCTTCTACCCAGATAAGAGCCTGGGAGAGCTGGGAGAGTGGGAAGTGGGGTCGCCCCGATTTTCCAGGGCAGGAAACCAAGGCTGGGGCCTTGGGCTAACACCCACGTCAGGCCCCGGGTCTCGCTGCCCAGAGGCTCCGGTGAGTGAAGCTCCTGGCAGCGTGCACCTGCGCCCGCCGGACCCGCCTCCCACCTGCCATTCCTGCCGGGGAGGGAAGGGCCACTGTGGGCGGCTCAGGGCCCCCACCGCTGTTTCCGGGCTCTTGGTGGGGTGGGGAGGGCCGCTGTCAGAGACCCCCTGAGACCCTCGGGAACACTGCCTGCCTAATGAGGATCCCTGGGGCCTCTGCCCAGTTCGGGCCGGGGAATAAAGGCCTCCTCTTCCATTCCGCTGTTTCTCCGCCCCCCGCCGTAATAGGATTGAGACTTTTGAAGTTAATAGGAAATGAGGCAGGCTCCCACGTACAGAATGCGGACGCGGAGGGCTTAGAGGGCCCTTTGTGAGCCCGGCCGGGCGGCTCCCCCCGCCGGCCGGCCGTGATGAAAGCACCGTGAAATATACAGTGGCAGGACGCCCCTTGACCCTGACAGGCCTCTTAAAGAAAAGAAGGGGGGAAAATCCCCCAGCAGTTGTACATGTGCATGTGAACACACGTGTGTGTGTATGCAGCGCTCTGGCCCGGCCGGCCACTGGGACGCTGTCTGCACGGCGCCCACGCGGGGCCTCGGCTCAGCCAGGAGGGTTGGGGATCATTCCAGCAGCCAGGAGTTTGGGTTTTTTTTTTTTTTTTTTTTTTTTTTTTTTTTTTTTTGAGACAAGAGTTTTGCTCTTGTTGCCCAGGCTGGAGTGCAGTGGCGCGATCTCGGCTCACTGCAACCTCCGCCTCCCAGGTTCAAGCTATTCTCCTGCCTCAGCCTTCCTGAGTAGCTGGGATTATAGGCATGCGCCACCATGCCCGGCTAATTTTGTGTTTTTAGTAGAGATGGGGTTTCTCCATGTTAGTCAGGCTGGTCTCGAACTCCCGACCTCAGATGATCCGCCTGCCTCGGCCTCCCAAAGCGCCGGGATTACAGGCATGAGCCACCGTGCCCGGCCTGTTTGTTTTTTTTTTGAGATGGAGTCTCTGTCACCCAGGCTGGAATGTAGTGGCGCAATCCCTGCTCACTGCCACCTCTGCCTCCCAGGTTCAAGCGATTCTCCTGCCTCAGCCTCCCAAGTAGAGTAGCTGGGATTACAGGCACCTGTCACCATACCCAGCTAATTTTTTTTTTTTGTATTTTAGTAGAGACGGGGTTTTGCCATGTTGGCCAGGCTGGTCTCGAACTCCTGACCTCAAGTGATCCACCCACCTTGGCCTCCCAAAGTGCTGGGATTACAGGCTCGAGCCACTGCGCCCAGCTGAGTTTGGGGTTTTGGATGCTGGGCCTGAGAGTCAGAGGCCATTCATCACTCAGGGCAGACAGCCCCACCCAAGGCTCGGTCTTCTCTACTAACACACCTCCAGAGACGGCAGGCTTACCACTTAGCAAGACTCCTAGACAAGGCTTCTTTGCGTGTGGCTCCAGAGGAAGGTGAAGATGACACCTTTCAATGTCACTAAGGAAAAGTGACAAGGGACAGAAGGGAAGGCAATTTTTTTTTTTTGAGACATGGTCTCACTCCCATTGCCCAAGCTGGAGTTCAGTGGTTCTGTATCACCTCATTGCAGCCTCCACCTCCTGGGCTCAAGTGATCCTCCCATCTCATTTTTTCATTTTTTTGTAGAGATAGGGTCTCACTACATTGCCCAGACTGGTCTCGAACTCCTGGGCTTAAGGGATCCTCCCACCTCAGCCTCCCAAAATGTTGGGATTACAGGCGTGAGCCACCGCTCCTGCCTCAGCCTCCACAGTAGCTGGGATTACAGGTGCCTGCCACCATGCCCAGCTAATTTTTGTATTTTTGGTAGAGACAGGGTTTCATCATGTTGGCCAGGCTGGTCTCAAATTCCTGACCTCAGGTGATCTGCCCGCCTCAGCCTCCCAAAGTGCTGGGATTACAGGTGTGAGCCACTGCGCCCGGCCCAAGAAGGCAATTTCTAAAACAGCTTTATTGAGTTATTCACATAGCATACAGTTCATTCATTTAAAGTATACAATTTTTTTTTCTTTGTATTTTTAGTAGAGATGGGGTTTCACCATGTTAGCCAGGCTGGTCTCAAATTCCTGACCTCAGGTGATCCACCCGCCTCGGCCTCCCAAAGTGCTAGGATTACAGGCAAGAGCCACCACGCCCAGCCTAAAGTATACAATTTCTTTCTTTCTTTTTTTTTTTTTGAGACAGAGTCTCGCTCTGTCGCCCAGGCTGGAGTGCAGTGGCAGGATCTCGGCTCACTGCAAGCTCCGTCTCCTGGGTTCACACCATTCTCCTGCCTCAGTCTCCTGAGTAGCTGGGACTACAGGCGCCTTCCACCACGCCTGGCTATTTTTTTTTTTTTTTTTTTTAATTAGAGACAGGGTTTCACGGTGTTAGCCAGGATGGTCTCAATCTCCTGACCTCGTGATCCACCCACCTCGGTCGGCCTCCCAAAGTGCTGGGATTATAGGTGTGAGCCACCGTGCCCTGCCTTGATTTCTTTTATTGTCTTCATAAAGCTGTGTGTCCATCAACCCAATCAACTTTAGAACATTTCCATCATTCCAAAAGGAAACCCCGTTCCCTCCCCAGCCCTGGCACCCACACTTCCCCTCCCTGTCTCTGTGGATCTGCCTGCCCTGGACATTTCATAGAAATGGGATTGCACACCTGTGGCCTTCTGTGTCTGGCGTCTCTCACTGAGTGTGGCGTCCTCAGGATGCATCTGCGCTGTGGCCTGGGTCAGAGCCTCGCTCCTTTTCACGGCTCAGTCGTGTTCCAGTGGGCAGAGGGCCATGCCGTGTTTGCCCATTCTTGTGTTGATGGACATTTGGGCTGTTTCAGACGTTTCTGAGTGTGTAGGGAATGCTGTTCTTGCCAACTCTTCCAGTGGCCCTGGATTTGGGCCTTTGACCCTCACAGAAGGCCAAGCAGAGGCTGGGCAGGTCCCACCAAGGCCAGAAGCAGAGGGCGTGTTCCCCAGCAGGGCCTGGTGTTTGGAGCATGACACATGGAAACAGCTTCCAGGCATGACCCTGTGTCTCCCAGCTGGCCCTGCCACTTCTGGAGGTGACCCTGCCACCCTGTGACTCTGTTTCTCCGTCGGCAAAGGCGGCGGTGATGGGGACTCTGTGGTGGCAGCTATTGTCAGGCAGCATGGCAGCTGCACACGGGGGCTCGCCCATGTGAGGGAGGCTTTCCGCAGGTGGTCCCTGTCCCTGTCCCTGTTCGCATGGTCCTGCAGACGGCCGTCTCACCCCCATACCACTGGCGTTGGAGGGCAGATTGGGCGTGAGGAGAGGGTGAATCTGTGTCCAGGGCTCCCCAGTTTTCCGTTCAGACCCGTGGGGAGGCGACTTTCCCGCTGTGGGCTCCAGCATCGGGAGGGGTGGTCTGTGTGGAGTGACGTGTGGCCCTGTCCCCGCTACGAGAAATCCCGGGGAAAGGAGGGGTGAAGGGGGCGGGAGGGGGTTCCTGGAATCTGGCTGAGCTTGGGTGGCACCCAAGGATGCCTGCAGCCCGCCCAGTGGCACGGGAAGCCCCCTCACCCGCTGGCTGGAAGGGGTGGGAGGCAAGTGGCAGGAGGCAGGTGGATGGGTTGCCTGTTCTTCCCTGGGGGCGCCAGGGGAAGACCTGTCCCTGCCAGAGCACCGCGGCTGGCAGCCCCCAGCCCTTTGGTGGCAGCTATGCCCTGGGGTGGGCAGGGTGATGCGTAGGTCATCTGCCCCTGTGGTGGGCCCAGCGCCCTCCTGTCTTCTCAGACCCTCCAGAGGAGGCAAAGGAGGTCTCTCAGGCAGAGCGAGAACATGTCATTCCTTCAGGGACAGCAGAACCACCACAGGTACTGCCCACCTGGGTCAGACATCAGAGGGACAGAGACAGAGAGACAGAGACAGTCAGAGACAGAGAGACAAAGGGAGACAGAGAGAGACAGACGCAGGCAGACAGAGTCAGAGATGGAGGGAGGAAGAGACGGAGAGACAGTGACAGAGACAGAAGGAGACAGAGACAGAGAGACAGAGACAGAGGGAGACAGAGAGACAGAGATGGGGGAGACAGACAAAAACAGAGAGACAAAGACAGAGACAGAGGGAAACAGAGAGAGGGAGAGACAGAAATAGAGATAAACAGAGACAGAGAGGGAAGGAGACAGAGAAAGAGACAGAGAGACAGAGGGAGACAGAGATAGATCGAGTCGGACAGAGACAGAGAAAGAGACACAGAGAGACAGAGGGATACAGAGATACAGCAAGTCGGAGAGAGACAGAGAGACATGGGGAGACAGAGGCAGCGCAGGGGCGGCTGTGCAGGGCGATGGGCCGAGGGCTCCATCCCGGCCTTCCTGGCCCCTGGGCCCCCCGCCTCCCAGCTGTGACTGGCCTGCTCTGGCCTTGGGCTCCGCCTGACTTTTCTGGGTTTGGGGTTGAGGGTGCAGGAGGCCCTGGCAGGGCAGGACTCTGGGTCCCCAGGGGCCGCCTCACCATCCTGCCCCCGGGGTCACAGAACTTGGGCATCTCCCCATCAGTGGGCGACACGGGCCCAGCAGGGACTCGGGAAGGGGCTGGGGCACCCTGGGCTCTGCTCAGCCCGTGTCCCAGGAGCTTGGCAAGGGGCGCACAGCCAGCCCACAGCTAACTGCTGAGGGGAACCCTCCTCTCCCAGGTGCCAGCCCAGGTGGGGGCAGGGAGCCTCAGGCCCTACCCTCGGGTGCTCACAGCGTCTCCTGGACTTAGCAGAGGTCGGTGAGGCCCGAGGAAGCTTCATGCTGGGGTCTCGGTGCAGGAGGTGGAGGGGGGATGGGAAAAGGCTTGAAGGGAGGGCCCGGATCCATCAATGGACACTGAGGCTGCTTGGTGTCTCCTGGAAGATCTGTTCACATCCTGGCCCCTGAAACTTGTGAATGGGACTTTATTTAGAAATAGGGCCTTTGCGGCCGGGCGCGGTGGCTCACGCCTGTAATCCCAGCACTTTGGGAGGCCGAGGCAGGCGGATCACAAGGTCAGAAGATCGAGACCATCCTGGCTAACACGGTGAAACCCCGTCTCTATGAAAAATACAAAAACAAAATTAGCCGGGCGTGGTGGCGGCAGGCGCCTGTAGTCCCAGCTACTCGGGAGGCTGAGGCAGGAGAATGGTGTGAACCCGGAAGGCGGCGCTTGCAGTGAGCCGAGATCGCGCCACCGCACTCCAACCTGGGCGACACAGCGACACTCCGTCTCAAAAAAAAAAAAAAAAAAATAGGGCCTTGGCAGATGTGACCGAGTTATGACGAGGTCGTTCGAGTGGGCCTGGCGCAGCGTGACTGGCATCCATATAAAATACACATGCATTGATTGGGCACTGGTGAAAGGGAACTACCTCAGTCCCCACCTCAGGATGTCGCATAACCGGTGTTTATGGCACCAAAAACTTCATCTCTGTAAACCACTTGGAGGGGTGTCTGGCACCAAGTCCATGTCCATGAGTGTCTGAAAATAGCATAAAAATAAAATAGAAAAAAAGAAAGAGCTGGTGCCTACCCTCGGGGAGCCTACAGGACGTGAGCTTGAAAGAGCTGGTTATCTCCCCGTCTCTCTGTCTCTCTCTGTCTTGGAAATGTCTAAGGGGGCAGGCAGGAGGGCTTCCTGGAGGAGGGGTCCTTTGAGCTGAGTTCAGAAGGGCGAGAAGGAGCCAGGTTTCTCATGGAGCAGCCAATGCAAAGGGCTGGGGGCCACCTGGAGCCTGGTGTGTCCTTCGGGCAGCTGGTGTGGCTGGAGCAGGGGATGCCAAGCCTGCTGAGGGCTTCATGGGCCGCAGGGAGGAGTTTGGTTTTTCTCCTGAGGGCACTGGGGAGCCACAGCAGAGTTTAGAGCAGAAGAAGGACACAATTTGTGCCCTGTGCCCGTGGTGAGCGGCGAGCAGGGAGGGCTGCCTGGAGGCGGGTAAGGACCTCAGAGCGGAATTCTGCCACAGTGAAGCTTTGGAGGAAATCTTTCTTCCTTTTCTCTTCTTTTCCCATCACGGGTTGAGAAATTGGAGGGAGGGGCATTGCTGGGGCTTCCTGTGCCCGCGTGTGCGGGGGGTTCTGGGGCCTGCTGCCTGCCTGAGCCAGCCCCTTTTCCCGCCAGAGGCCTCTCGTCAGTCCCCGGGGGGGCCCAGTGGTGACCTTGGGCCTCGGGGAACATCCAGACCTGGGTCAGTGGCCTCGGCAAGTGCCCGGGGGATCCGCCCTCCGGTCCCCGTGCCAGTTTCCACAGCGGGACAGGGGGGTCCCGGGGGCCGGGAGTCCGCAGCCCCGAAGACCTACGCTGCCGCCAGCCACACCCCTGGGGGTCCGACCCTCCTGGGTCCCACTTTACAGATGGAGGAACTGAGGCGGTGACTCTAATCTTCGCCCGGCCTGAGTCGCGGGGCTGGAACCCGCAGCGTTTGCCGATTCCCAGGGCCCGAGCGCTCCGGCGAGTGTGTGTGTAACGCCCTCTCCCTGGACGCCTCGAGTTTAGGAAACGGCGGAGCCGCCCGGATTGAAATTCTCGGCCCGTGCACGCCCGGCGGAGAAATCCATGACGCATTGTTTAGACAGACGCCTTTAAACCGCGCCGCGGCGGGGGGCGGCGGCCGGGGGCGCCTGCGCGGGGAAGGTCACCCTTTTTTTCTGCACAAAGGTCAGCCGTAGACCGTTGCCAAGACAACGGCCGGCGTAAAGATGGAGGCTTAAGGAGAACAGACAGTTCCCCTCCCGAAGATGCCCCGTGCAAAGGGCCCGGCCGTGGGCTTGGGAGGCTCAGGGGGTGTGAGGAGCTGAGCGCCGGAGCAGAGAGAGCGGAGAGTGGGGCGCTGGGATGGCTCTGGGAGGCCAGGAAGGAATGCGGGGGCCTGGGGGGCAGATCTTGGCTCAGGCCCTGCCAGGCTGTCTTCAAACCAATGAGCCTCAGGGTTCCTGGCTGTGAAATGGGAACAACGTCTGCCCTTCAGGGTAGGCATCTCCAGGCTGGTCTGGTGTGGGAACCGCTGTGTTAAACATGCAGACTCCAGCCAGGCGCCGTGGCTCACACCAACGGGGCACAGTGGCTCACACCAACAGGGCACAGTAGCTCACACCCGCCGGGCACGGTGGTTCACACCAGCCGGGCACGGTGGCTCACACCCGCCGGGCACAGTGGTTCACGCCAGCCAGGCACAGTGGCTCAAACCCGCTGGGCACAGTGGCTCACACCAACGGGGCACAGTGGCTCACACCCGCCGGGCACGGTGGTTCACACCAGCCGGGCACGGTGGCTCACACCAGCCGGGCACAGTGGCTCACACCCGCCGGGCACAGTGGTTCACACCAGCCGGGCACAGTGGCTCAAACCCGCTGGGCACAGTGGCTCACACCAACAGGGCACAGTGGCCCACGCCAGCCGGGCACGGTGGCTCACGCTAACAGGGCAGAGTGGTTCACGCTAGCCGGGCATGGTGGCAGTATGCCAGCCGGGTACAGTGGCTCACGCTTGTCATCTCAGCACTTTGGTGTTTGTTTGTTTGTTTGTTTTTGAGATAGTCTCACTCTGTCGCCCAGGCTGGACTGTAGTGACAAGATCTGGGCTCATTGCAACCTCCGCCTCCCGGGTTCAAGCGATTCTACTGCCTCAGCCTCCCAAGTAGCTGGGACTACAGGCATGTGCCATCACGCCTAGCTAATTTTTTGTACTTTTAGTAGAGACGCGGTTGCACCATTTTGGCCAGGCTGGTCTTGAACTCCTGACCTCGTTATCCACCCGCCTCGGCCTCCCGAAGTGCTGGGATTACAAGTGTGAGCCACCGCGCCCAGCCTCATCTCAGCACTTTAGGAGGCTGAGGCGGGAGGACTGCTTGAGTCCAGGAGTTTAAGACGAGCTGGGCAACATAGTGCAATCCTGTCTTTATTTTAAAAAATACAAAAAAATTAGCTGTGCATGGTGGTGTGCATGTGCAGTCCAGTCCCACGTACTCAAGAGGCTGAGGTGGGAGGATCTTGGGAGCCCAGGAGGTCACAGCTGCAGTGAGCCATGATTATGTCACTGCACTCCAGCCTGGGTGACAGAGCAAGACCCTGTCTCAAAAAGGCAGATTCGGCCGGGTGCGGTGGCTCACGCCTGGAATCCCAGCACTTCGGGAGGCCGAGGTGGGCGGATCACCAGGTCAGGAGATCGAGACCATCCTGGCTAACACGGTGAAACCCCGTCTCTACTAAAAATAAAAAAATCAGCCGGGCGTGGTGGTGGGCGCCTGTAGTCCCAGCTACTTGGGAGGCTGAGACAGGAGAATGGCGTGAACCCGGGAGGTGGAGCTTGCAGCGAGCCGAGATTCTGCCACTGCACTCCAGCCTGGGTGACAGAGCGAGACTCCGTCTCAAAAAAAAAAAAAAAAAATGCTGATTCATAGGCCCTCCAGGGGGCTCGGGCTCCAGAAAGGCTGGGGGTCTTGGTCAGCATCCTAGGTGTCCCCTGATCACCGCCAGAGGTCCCATGAGTGTGAGCTGGGACTCCGAGGAGGCTTGGTTTCTCCTACCCCCTTCCCCGAGCTGGAGCCGGAAGCCCAGTGGCCCCTCTGGGCCGGAAGCAGACTGGAGGCTCAGATTTGCAAACCTGAGAACAGAGGTCCCGGGAGCAATGAGGTGGGCCTGAGACCCTCGCTCAGAGGTGGCTGCTTCTCGATCTGCAGGATCTGAGGGCCTTGGCGGCCAGCAGGGACGTGGCCAGGAGCTGGCCTCGGCTTTGGGGACTCAAGGTCTTTGCTGTCATAGCTTTTTGGTAGCTACATAAAAATGGTGCTGTTCACACAAACCAATCTCCCTGGAGGTGCTTTTAAGGACTGATGAGAGCCACACGCCCTGATTACCATTTCATTTACCGGCGAACCTGCCTTACCTTTGCGACAGAGAGGACATCAGGAAGGTGACTTTTATTGAGGTGAAATTCACACGATGCAAAAGTAACCATTTTAAAGTAAACTTAATGACCTGCGTCAGCCTCACTCCCATTCCCTGCCCCAGCCCTGACGCTACGCAACCACTTTCTTCTTTTATTTATTTATTTATTTATTTTTTGAGACAGAGTCTTTCTCTGTAACCCAGGCTGGAGTGCAGTGGCACGATCTCAGCTCACTGCAACCTCCACCTTCCGGATTCAAGCAATTCTCCTGCCTCAGCCTCCCGAGTAGCTGGGACTACAGGTGCCCGCCACCACACCCGGCTATTTTGTATCTTTAGTAGAGACGGGGTTTCACCGTGTTGGCCAGGCTGGTCTCCAACGCCTGACCTCAAGTTATCCACCCACCTTGGCCTCCTGAAGTGTTGAGATTACAGGCGTGAGCCACCTCACCCAGCCGAGCAGTTTTTAATTTTTGGAAAATGTGTACCTCCACTGTGAGAGGCGTCTGTGTGTGCGTGTTGTGGTTTGAGTGCCCTGAATTAGTTAAAGGCACTCCTTCTTCTCTGCGGTTCCCTGCAGACCTGACCGTCTGTGATTCTGCAGATGTCAGGGCTGTACAGAAGAGGGTGGAGGCCGGGCCAGCCCCAGCTCCTGCTCACACAGGGAATTAGTGTCAGAGCTGGGCTGGGGTCGAGAGGTGGGCTGCTGGGACATCCGCCCTTTCACCCCCATGCTGACTCCAACATCAGATTGCTGTCAGCCTGGCTGTCCGAAAAAGAACGGACCTGGGGCCGGGCGCAGTGGCTCACGCCTGTAATCCCAGCTACTCAAAAGGCTGAGGCAGAAGAATCGCTTGAACCAGGGAGGCGGAGGTTGCAGTGAGCCGACATCGTGCCACTGCATTCCAGCCGGGGTGACAGAGTGAGACCCCATCTCAAAAAAGAAAAAGAAAAAAAAAAAGGGCCGGGCGCAGTGGCTCATGCCTGTAATCCCAGCACTTTGGGAGGCCAAGACCGGCTGATCACGAGGTCAGGAGATCGAGGCCATCCTGGCTAACACAGTAAAACCTCGTCCCTACTAAAAATAAAAAAAATTAGCCAGGCGTGGTCGAGGGCACCTGTAGTCCCAGCTACTCGGGAGGCTGAGGCAGAATGGTGTGAACCCAGGAGGCGGAGCTTGCAGTGAGCCGAGATCGTGCCACTGCACTCTAGCCTGGGCGACAGAGCGAGACTCCGTCTCAAAACAAACAAACAAACAAACAAAAAGACTGGGCACGGTGGCTCAGGCCTGTAATCCCAGCACTTTGGGAGGCCAAGGCTGGCAGATCACCTGAGGTCAGGAGTTTGAGACCAGCCTGGCCAACCCAATTTTTTTTCTCTACTGAAAAAAAAAAAAAAAAAAATATATATATATATATATAGGAGGCTGAGGCAGGAGAATCGCTTGAATCAGGAGGCAGAGGTTGTAGTGAGCCGAGATTGTGCCACTGCACTCCATCGTGGGCAAGAGAGGGAGACTCTGTCTCAAAAAAAACAAACCTAGAAAAATTAGCTGGGCATGGTGGTGGGCACCTGTAATCCCAGCTACTTGGGAGGCTGAGGCAGGATAATCACTTGAACCAGGGAGGCGGAGGTTGCAGTGAGCTGAGATCGCGCCACTGCACTCCAGCCTGGGCGACAGAGTGAGACTCCATCTCAAAAAAAAAAAAAAAAAAAAAAAGACGTACCTGCTCTTCTCGCCAATTAGGACAGGACATCGGGAACCTAGAAAATTTGACCAACACGGAAAAGCACCCCAAACCAAACCACACAGCAACAGCAAAACTCAGACTCTTAGCACCTCCACCCAGAACCAGTACTGTTTATACGATTCCAGTCACGACCCGGCATGTGTCGGGTGTGGACGCATACGCATGCACCTGCTTTTCTCAAAGAGTGATGTTTTAGCTGCTAATTTGTACCTATTTATCACTTAACACTGCATTAATATCACTGCTCTTTTCCCATGTAAACTAGTCTTCTGGGACAGAATTTGTTTTTATTTTTATTACAAAAATTTTTTTTGAGACAGAGGCTCTATCGTCCAGGCTGGAATGCAGTGGCATGATCGCATCTCACTGCAACCTCTGTCTCCCAGGTTCAAACGATTCTCCTACCTCAGCCTCCCGAGTAGCTGGGATTACAGGTGCATACCACCCCCCCACTAATTTTTGTACATTTACTAGAGACAAGGTTTCACCATGTTGGACAGGCTGGTCTCGAACTCCTGACCTCAGGTGATCCACGCACCTTGGCCTCCCAAAGGGCTGGGATTACAGGCATGAACTACCGTGCCCAGCCTTATTTTTACTTTCAGAGATGGGAGTCTCACTGTGTTGCCCAGGTTGGCCTCAAACTCCCGGGCTCAAGTGATCCTCCTGCCTCGGCTTCCCAAAGTGCTGGGATTACAGGCGTGAGTCACTGCGCCCGGCCCTGAAGTTTTTTTTTTTTTTTTTTTTTGAGACGGAGTCTTGCTCTTTTGCCCAGGCTGGAGTGCAGTGGTGCGATCTCGGCTCACTGCAAGCTCCACCTCCTGGGTTTACGCCATTCTCCTGCCTCAGCCTCCCGAGTAGCTGGGACTACAGGCGTCCGCCACCGTGCCCAGCTAATTTTTTGTATTTTTAGTAGAGATGGGGTTTCATCGTGTTAGCCAGGATGAGTCTCGATCTCCTGACCTCGTGATCCACCCGCCTCGGCCTCCCGAAGTGCTGGGATTACAGGCATGAGCCACCGCGCCTGGCCTGGCCCTGAGTTTTTAATCTTTGGCTTCTCGCAAGGTGCTGCTTCCTTTTACCTTCTAGAATGTTCTCCGCCACAAAAAAGATTAAAGTCTCCAACAACAAAACAAAACAAAAAACACTTCCAAACTGCAACTCATTGAGAGATGGCAGAGGCTTGTTTCAGATTCCAGTTGGGAAGGGGAGGTAGGGTGGGTGCTTCTCCGAGAAAGCCCCTGGTGTGGGGGAGGTGGGCTGAGGTTGGAGAGGGGGTACCCACAGCGGCCAGGTGGGAAGAAGCCTGCCTGGGAGCCGAGGTCTCCACGTGGCCGCCATGGACTGGGGGTCACTCTGCGCCTGAGATGTCTTCAGAGACTCCAGCTATAAAAAGCTGTGTGGGGCTGGGCGTGGTGGCTCACAGCCACCTGTAATCCTGGAACTTTGGGAGGCTGAGGTGGGCGGATCATGAGGTCAGGAGTTTGAGACCATCCTGGCCAACATGCTGAAACCCTTTCTCTACTAAAAATACAAAAAATAGCCGGGCACGGTGGCTCACGCCTGTAATCCCAGCCCTTTGGGAGGCCGAGATGGGCAGATCACCTGAGGTCAGGAGTTCGGGACCAGCCTGACCAACATGGAAAAACCCCGTCTCTACTAAAAATACAAAATTGGCCGGGTGCGGTGGCTCACACCTGTAATCCCAGCACTTTGGGAGGCTGAGGTGGGCGGATCACGAGGTCAGGAGTTCGAGACCATCCTCGCCAACATGGTGAAACCCTGTCTCTACAAAAAATACAAAAAATGGCTGGGCGCAGTGGCTCACACCTGTAACCCCAGCACTTTGGGAGGCCGAGGCAGGTGGGTCAAGAGGTCAGGAGATCGAGACCATCCTGGCTAACACGGTGAAACCCTGTCTCTACTAAAAATACAAAAAATTAGCCGGGCGTGGTGGTGGGCAGCTGTAGTCCCAGCTACTCGGGAGCCTGAGGCAGGAGAATGGCGTGAACCTGGGAGGCGGAGCTTACAGTGAGCTGAGATAGCGCCACTGCACTCCAGCCTGGGCGACAGAGCGACTCCATCTCAAAAAAACAAAAAAAAACAAAAAAAAACAGCTGTGTGGATTCCTCCGGGGCACGCTGGGCCTCCGGAGTCTGGAGTGGGGGCTAGGGGCTGCCTGGGGAGGGGCTGGAAGGGAAGCAGCAGACAATGGGCTGGGCTGCACCCCTCCCCCGGTTCCAGTTCCCCCCAAATCAGACGGACACGGCTGCAGAAAGCTGCGGCCTCTCACGCGGCCAGGCGCGGGGCGCACAATGCTTGCTGTCGTCCCGTGTTTTCTGCTGTCCCCGCCTCCGTTGTCTGGGTCCCCTGGGGCAGCTGTGGAAATTGGGGGTTGAGAGCCCTTCCAGGCAGGCTATCTTTGTGGCTGTTTCAAGCATCCTTTGGGAGACAGTAGGGGACACCTTCCCTTCCGCCCTCTGGACGAGGCAGGGGTGACAGCGTCGGTGCGTGTACTGGGCTCTCGGGAAGGAGGAGGGGGCCCGGCTCCTGGTCCCTTGTCCCTTGTCCCTGCTCAGTCCTGGTTGCAGGCATTGTGGGCACCACCCGTGCTGCCCACAGGAAGATCATTGTCCGTAGCAGCATCCTGAGCTGTGACCTGCGTTTATTTCCCCATGGGGACGTGGGGTCTCCCTGATGTCAAGAGAGGCGGTGTCACACAGGCATTTAACATGCCACTGCCATGATTGGGACTGGGATTGGGACCAGCACAGCCCCTTGGGGGATGTGGCGGTGTGGTGGGAGAGGGGCTTGGGAACCCACCAGCAGCCTAGCCCTGGAAGCTGCGTGTTGTAGATTATGGAAAATGCTGCAGCACTCAGAACGAGACATCTGAAAATGGTGTTGAAAGAAAACAAGGACCTGTCACTTCTGTGAATGTCCCCAGCAAGGACTCTCAGGCTATGATGAGTTGGTTTTTTTTTTTTTTTTTTTTTTTGAGATGGAATCTTGCTCTGTCGCCGTGGCTGGAGTGCAGTGGTGCAATCTCGGCTCATCGCAACCTCTGCCTCTCGGGTTCAAGTGATTCTCCCACCTCATCCTCCTGAGTAGCTGGAATTACAGGCACCTGCCACCACGCCCAGCTAATTTTTATATTTTTAGTAGAAACAGGGTTTCACCATCTTGGCCAGGCTGGTCTCGAACTCCTGACCTAAAGTGATCCACCGATCTCAGCCTCCCAAAGTGCTGGGATTACAGGCGTGAGCCACCATGCCTGGCCCAGCAGTGATGAGTTTTAAAGAATATACAGGTTATTTTGTTTTTATTATTTATTTATTTATTATTATTTTTTTTTTAGATGGAGTCTCACTCTGTCACCCAGGCCGGAATGCAGTGGCACGATCTTGGCTCACTGCAACCTCCAACTTCTAGGTTCAAGTGATTCTCCTGCCTCAGCCTCCCGAGTAGCTGGGATTACAGGCACCCGCCACCACACCCAGCTAATTTTTTGTATTTTTAGTAGAGACGGGGTTTCACTGTGTTAGCCAGGATGGTCTCGGTCTCCTGACCTCGTGATCTGCCTGCCTCAGCCTCCCAAAGTGCTGGGATTACAGGTGTGAGCCACCACGCCCAGCCTCAAAAAAAAATTTTTCAAATTAAATTTAAAAAAAAACAAACCCAGTCTGGGCACGGTGGCTCACACCTATAATCCTAGTAGTTTGGGAAGCTGAGGCAGGTGGATCACTTGAGGTCAGGAGTTTGAGACCAGCCTGGGCAACACAGAAAAACCCCATCTCTACAAAAAAGAAAACATGAGCTGGGTGTGATGGTCCACGCCTCTAATCCCAGCTACTTGGTAGGCTGACGTGGGAGGATCACTTGAGCCCAGGAGGTTGAGGCTGCAGTGAGCCATGATTTTGCCACTGCACTCCAGCCTAGGCAACGGAGCAAGACTCTGCCTGAAAAAAAAAAAGGATTTGTCTGTGTCTACGCGCGTGTGTGTTTTGCTCTTGTTGCCCAGGCTGGAGTGCAGTGGCGCAATCTCGGCTCACTGCAACCTCCGGCTCCCAAGTTCAAGTGATTTTCCTGCCTCAGCCTCCTGAGTAGCTGGGATTACAGACATGCGCCACCACGCCCGGTAATTTTTGTATTTTTAGTACAGACAGGGTTTCTCCATGTTGGCCAGGGTGGTCTGGAACTCCCAACCTCAGGTGATCCGCCCACCTCGGCCTCCCAAAGTGTTGGGATTACAGGGGCATGAGCCACGGTGCCCAGCCACATTTATGTATTTATTAAATAAAATAGCTGGGCACCGTGGCTCGTGCCTGTAATCCCGGCACTTTGGGAGGCCCAGATCAGCAGCGCTTTGCACGTTGTGCCTGTTGGCCTCGGTTTCCCCGGTAAAACTTGTGATGGTTGCATGAAGCCCAGATCCATGAATAAAACACGAGGTCTGGAGTTAGTGCTTCCTCTCCTACAGCGAATGCATAATCAGCCCACAACTGCGGCGACGAGGCGTCCGAGGCGGCCGCACCCCAGCAGCGATCGGTGATTCATGGCTCGATCTGCTAATTGCCTCTCGGGCCGGCTTCGGGCTGATGCGTTTGACAAGGCGAGGAGGCTGAGACGTGCATTAGGCACTCAGCCGCCCCCGCCGCCCATGGAGGGCGCGACTGCTGCTCCCTCTTGGGGGTGATCCGTCATTTCATCCACGGGGGAGTTGGGGACCTGGGGGGCAAGAGAGAGGCTGGATGCCTGGGCCCTGTTTGTAAACAGCGTTGATTTCTGAGCTGAGATGTGGCGACCAGGCCCGGAGCAGGGCTGTATTCACAGTCGTCGAGGGGTCTGCCGGCCGTGGCCCTGCTATGGAACCTTGGGTGGGGCTGGGGAACAGGACCTCCTGCCTCACCTCAGACAGCCCCTCCTGGGCCAGGCACCGTGGCTCACACCTGTAATCCCAGCACTTTGGGAGGCCGAGGTGGGTGGATCACGAGGTCAGGAGATCGAGACCATCCTGGCTAACACGGTGAAACCCCGCCTCTCCTAAAAATACAAAAAATTAGCCGGGCGTGGTGGCGGGCGCCTGTAGTCCCAGCTACTCTGGAGGCTGAGGCAGGAGAATGGCGTGAACCCGGGAGGCGGAGCTTGCAGTGAGCCGAGATCACGCCACTGCACTCCAGCCTGGGGGACAGAGCGAGACTCCGTCTCAAAAAAAAACAACAACAAAAAAAGACAGGCCCTCCTGCCAAGGAGAACGCCAGCTGCCGGCCGCAGTCATTTGTCTGTCACTTGGATGCATGCAGAGCGGGGTCTCCGGAGGGTGGCTGGTGCCGGAACCTGCTGCCACTTACAGGGCCCTGGTCCCCGTGGATGCTCCAGCTTCTCCTTAGAGCTCCCGGCTAAGATGGACCCGCAAGTGTGTTTTGTTGTTGTTGCTATTTTTGGAGACGGAGTTTCACTCTGTCGCCCAGGATGGAGTGCGGTGGCGTGATCTTGGCCCACTGCAACCTCCATCTCCCGGGTTCAAGCAATTCTCCTGCCTCAGCGACCTGAGTAGCTGGGATTACAGGCATGCGCCGCCACCGCACCCAGCTAATTTTTGTATTTTTTAATAGAGACGGGGTTTCACCTGTTGGCCAGGCTGGTCTGAAACTCCTGACCTCAGGTGATCTGCCTGCCTTGGCCTCCCAAAGTGCTGGGATTACAGGCATAATTTTTGTATTTTTTAGTAGAGATGGGGTTTCACCATGTTGGCCAGGCTGGTCTCGAACTCCTGACCTCAGGTGATCTGCCTGCCTTGGCCTCCCAAAGTGCTGAGATTACAGGCATAATTTTTGTATTTTTTAGTAGAGATGGGGTTTCACCATGTTGGCCAGGCTGGTCTCGAACTCCTGACCTCAGGTGATGTGCCAGCCTCGGCCTCCCACACTGTTAGGATCGCAGGTGGATCGCAGAGTCTTGCTCTGTTGCTCAGGCTGGAGTGCAGTGGCAAAATCATGGCTTACTGAGCCACCGCGCCCGGCTTGTCCCGTATTCTTATTGCTACGTCCGGCAGCGCTGTCTGGACAGGCCTAGGACCTGCTATCTCCTTGGGTCAGGCTCAGGCCTCTTTGTCCACTTCTGAGCTCCTCCTGGCACGTACTCTGTGGAATGAAGCCTGGAGCAGCTCTAATTTTTTTTTTTTTTTTTTTTTTTGAGACGGAGTCTTGCTCTGTCACCCAGGCTGGAGTTCAGTGGCGCAGTCTCAGCTCACTGCAAGCTCCGCCTCCCAGGTTCACGCCATTCTCCTGCCTCAGCCTCCCGAGTAGCTGGGATTACAGGCACCCGCCACCACACCTGGCTAATTTTTTGTATTTTTTTAGTAGAGACGGGGTTTCACCATGTTAGCCAGGATGGTCTCAATCTCCTGATCTCGTGATCCACCCTCCTCGGCCTCCCAAAGTGCTGGGATTATAGGCGTGTGCCACCGCACCCGGCCCTGGAGCAGCTCTTGAGGTGTGTTGGCCCCTTGGGCCCACTGGCCCTGGGTCACCTTGGGTGTCCACCCACAGTGGTGCAGCAGGAGGCCATTCTCAGCAAGACCCGCTCTCATCCCAGCGTCGCTCAACAGCTGCTGAGAACGCCCTCTGCTCCCGGTGGGAGAAGGGGCTGGTGGCACCTGAGGACCCTGGCCCGAGGGAGCCCTGGAGATGCTGTGGGTTCCCACATCTAGGGATGCTGGTAAAGCTTTGCACAGGCCTGGCAAGGAGGAAGCGGACTCCTCACCCTGCCGGGCACTAGGCAGGTCCCCAAATAGCATCAGAGAAACCTGCTTCCCCAAACGAACACTGAGTGAAGCCGTCATTTGCCCGGAGGTGAAAATGTAAATGGTTTCAAAATAGATTTGGGGCCAGCGTGGGCGACAGACACAGACAGGCACACACATGGGCTACCCGGGCTGGGGTGCGATGACGCCGTTGCCCCTGGTTACAGAAAGGCAACCCCCCAGCTCAGCACAGGCCGGGGGCCACCACCCAAACACGGTCACCAGCAGCGGCAGGAGGGAAGCAAGGAGACCACCTTTTCCCGGGGCCAGGAGACCAGGTCATGCCTCCAAAGGCTCCAGCTTGGGCTACCTGTGCCATTAGCGAGTGCCTCTCAGCTGCCCCCCGGGAGTCAGCAGGCTGACTGCCCCACGGCGGAGGAATGGCGGGGCTGTTTAAAGCACTCTGTGGAACTTTTCTTCTTCTTCCTATTATTATTTATTTATTTTATTTTTCAGATGAAGTCTCGCTCCGTCGCCCAGACCGGAGTGCAGTGGCGGGATCTTGGCTCACTGCAACCTCCACCTCCTGGGTTCGAGCAATTCTCCTGCTTCAGCCTCCCAAGTAGCTGGGATTACAGGCGCGCGCCACCACACCCATCTAATTTTTGTGTTTTTAGTAGAGACGGGTTTCACCATGTTGGCCAGGCTGGTCTCGAACTCCTGACGTCAAGTGATCCGCCCACCTCGGCCTCCCAAAGTGCTGGGAGTACAGGCGTGAGACACCGGACCTGGCCCTTCTTCTTTCTATTATTAATAGACTTTATCTTATTTTTATTATTTATTTATTATTTTCCTTTTCTTTTTGAGACAGGGTCTCACTCTGTCACCCAGGCTGGAGTACAGTAGAACAATCTTGGCTCACTGCAACCTCGACCTCCTGGGGCTCAAGTGATCCTCCAGTCTCAGCCTCCCGAGTAGCTGGGATTACAGGCGCCTGACACCACACCTGGCTAATTTTTGTGTTTTTAGTAGAGATGGGGTTTCGCCATGTTGGCCAGGCTAGTCTCGAACTCCTGAGCTCAGGCGATCCACCCACCTCGGCCTCCCAAAGTGCTGGGATTCCAGGCATGCACTATTATGACTGGTTACTTTGACTTTTTCTTAAAAATGGGGTCTCACCATATTGCCCAGGCTAGACTCAAATTCCTGGGCTTGACCGTGGTTGGTGACTTTCGCCTTTAATGTGAACACTTTGGGAGGCAGAGGTGGGAAGAGTGCTTGAGGCCAGGAGTTCAAGAACAGCCTGGGTAACATTGTGAGACCCCCCATCTCAATTTTTATTAAAAAGAAGGAAAACAAAAAAATTAAAAAACTCCTAGGCTCAAGTGATCCTCCTGCCTCGGCCTCCCTGGTAGAATAGATTTTTTAAACAATTTTTGGGCCAGGCACCGTGGCTCACGCCTGTAATCCCAACACTTTGGGAAGCTGAGGCGGGTGGATCACCTGAGGTCAGGAGCTTGAGACCAGCCTGGCCGACATGGTGAAATCCCGTCTCCACTAAAAATACAAAAATTAGCTGTGCGTGGTGGTGCATGCCTGTAGTCCCAGCTATTCAGGAGGCTGAGGCAGCAGAATCACTTGAACCCAGGAGGCGCAGATTGCAGTGAGCCGAGATCGCGCCATTGCACTCCAGCCTGGGCAACAGAGCGAGACAGGGCCTCACTCTGTCCCCCAGGCTAGAGTGCGGTGGCACGATCTCGGCTCACTACAGCCTCGACTCCGGCCTCCGTCTCCTGAGTAGCTGGGACTACAGGCGCCCACCACCATGGCCAGCTAATTTTTTCCATTTTTTAAGGAGCCAAGTCTCACTATGTTGCCTGGGCTGAGCCCGAACTCCGGGGCTCAAGCAATCCGCCCACTTCAGCCTCCCAAAGTGCTGGGATTACAGGTGTGAGCCACCACCCCAGCCGGTTTCTCCCTTTTAGAAAATTTACCACTAGGAGCCAAAATATTTTTTCCCAAGCTCGTTAGCCCTTTGACTTCTGTTACCATCCTCCTCATCTTTTCCGAACGACCACTTCTCTTGTCATGAGCTGACACAGCTCTCTGGGATGGGGTTATTAAGCCCTTTCCAGCAAAAACTGCAAGTATGTTTCCCAGCTGGGAGGGTGCTAAGGCATGTGTTACTCTGGTCCTGCTCCTGTGATACATTGTCTCCCAACTCCGGAGAAGGAGGTCAGGGTTTCAGTTCCTGGGTCTGTTTCTAGGGATGCCAGGTGGGAGTATGGTTTTAGAAAAGCAACTTGGGGCCGGGTGCGGTGGCCCACACCTGTAATCCCAGCATTTTGGGAGGCTGAGGAGGGTGGATCACCTGAGGTCAGGAGTTCAAGACCAGCCTGGCCAACATAGTAAAACCCCGTCTCTACTAAAAATACAAATATTAGCTGGGCGTGGTGGTGGGCACCTGAAGTCCCAAGTACTCGGGACGCTGAGACAGGAGAATCACTTGAACCCAGGAGGTTCATCCCAGGAGGTTACAGAGCTCAGATCGTGCCACTGCACTCCAGCCTGGGCAACAGAGCGAGACTCTGTCTCAAAAAAGCTGGGTGCGGTGGCTCACACCTGTAATCCGAGCACTTTGGCAGGCTGAGGCCGGCAGATCACGAGATCAGGAGTTCAAGACCAGCCTGGCCAACATGGTGAAACCATGTCTCTACTAAAAATGCAAAAATTAGTGGGGCGTGGTGGTGGGTGCCTGTAATCCCAACTACTCAGGAGGCTGAGGCAGGAGAATCGCTTGAACCCAGGAGGCGGAGGTTGCAGTGAGCCATGATCATGCCATTGCACTCCAGCCTGGGTGACAGAGCAAGACTCCATCTCAAAAAAAAAAAAAAAAAAGCAAAGATGGGGAAAATTGGGGACGTCGCCTATCCCGACCCCTGTGCCTGACACGCAGCCCGTCACAGGGCGTGGGAAGCACGGGGCAGTTGCGGGGACCGCCGTGTTCTCAGCCACCCACCCAGGGCCCCCAGCATCTCTCCAGCGTCTCCTCCATTTGAGTTCAAACATGGGCCCTTTCTACAATCAGCTTTGTTTGTGTGGTGTTTGGAATTGCCATCCTGGAGGCCCTGGGTACTGTTGTGATTCCTAGGCTGGTTTCCTGGGGCTCCGTGTGGTGGGGGCCTCTGGCCAAGCTGCTGTAACAAAGACCACAAACCTGGTAGCTTGCAACGGCACACAGTCACCATCTCACAGTCTGCAGGGCAAGGTCTCGCTCTGTCACCCAGACTTGGGTGCAGTGGTACAGTCGTGGCTCACTGCAGCCTCCACCCCCTGGGCTGAAGTGATCCTCCCACCTCAGCCTCCCAGAGTGCCAGGACCACAGGTGTGAGCCACCACCATGGCTGGCCCAAATCACCCCTTATTTATTTATTTATTTATTTAGGAGACGGAGTCTTGCTCTGCCACCCAAGCTAGAGTGCAGTGGTGCAATCTGGGCTCACTGCTACCTCCGCTCCCCAGGTTCAAGCAATTCTACTGCCTCAGCCTCCCGAGTAGCTGGGATTATAGGTGCCCACCACCACGCCTAACTTTAGTATTTTTAGTAGAAATGTGGTTTCACATGTTGGCCAGGCTGGTCTCAAACTCCTGACCTCAGGTGATCCGCCCACCTTGGCCTCCCAAAGTGCTGGCATTACAGGTATGAGCCACCACGCCCGGCCAAATTTCCCATCTTTATAAAGAAACCAGGCATATTGGATCAGGATCCACTGTACTCCCGAATGACCTCGTGTTAACTGATTACATCTGCAGAGACCCTATTTCCAGGTAAGGTCCTGGGGTTACAACTGCAGTCTGTGGATGATTTGTGGGGGACGTGGTTCCACCCTAGTGCCTGCCACCTGCCATCTCTCTGGGGGTTTGATGCCCTTGGGGTGCCTGGCACCTCACTCTCAGCTGCTGCCAAAGCCCTTCTTGAGCTCGTCAAGGTCACCCTGGATTCTAATCCCAACCCCCAGGCACTTCTTGGCACCAGGAACATTTTCTGCAGGTGGCCTGCGAAGGAGCTGGGAGCTGTGCTCAAATGCTTCCTCCTAACAAGCCTTCCGTCCTGGGGACTGGCACTGTGTTGAGACGGGAGAGACTCCAGGTCCGCAGAGGGCACCGTCCTGCCTGGAGGTTCAGGACTGCCACCATTCATCTCCGTGAGGAGCTGGAGCAGGCGTCCTGCCTTTCTGTGTCCTCTACCCTGGTTTTGAATAGAAGGCATCCTGGCTGGGCAGGGTTCTTCAGGGAGCAGGTGATCCGGCATTCAGCCAGATTCTTGAAAACCCCCTGGGCCGGGCACGGTGGCTCCCGCCTGTCATCCCAATACTTTGGGAGGCTGAGGCGGGGAGATCACCTGAGGTCAGGAGTTCGAGACCAGCCTGGCCACTGTGGTGAAACCCCGTCTCTGGTAAAAATACAAAAATTAGCCGGGCATGGTGGTGCGTGCCTGTAATCTAAGATACTCTGGAGGCTGAGGCAGGAGAATCGCTTGAACTGGGAGGCAGAGGTTGCAGTGAGCCAAGATCGTGCCACTACACTCCAGCCTGGGCGACAGAGCGAAACTCTGTCTCAAAAACAAAAACAAGGAAAACACTCCAGCCCCCACACCAGCACGGGGACTGCAGCGCCCGCGAGACTTGGGTCACGGTGACTCCTGGAGGCTTTGCACGTTAAGCCGCCGCCTGCCCAGGGACACTGTGGTCACCTTCCCCCGCCGGAGCCCTGCGTACCTCTCCTGTCTGTGCTTTGAGAGAGGAGTTTTTTTCCCGTTGCTTCTGGAACCCTGGGTTGTCCTGCAGAATAGGACACCCTCCTTCATTACGATAGAGGATGCAGAGCCGCTCCCTGGCAGGTGTTCCCAGTCCCAGCAGGGGTTTCCAGAGACACAGGGTGCGGAGGGATTCTCCACCAGGAGATGGTTCCAGATGCGTAAGCCCGTCCCCTCTGCAAGGCCCTGTCCCCAAAGAGCTTGGGCCTGTGGGTCCCACAGCTCCTGCGAGTGACCACCACCGTCCAGGGCCCCCCAAGCTGTTCACTCACGGGTCTGGGTGGAGGCAGACATCCTGGGAGGAACCCCAGGGGTGTGGCCGAGGCTGCACAGAGGCCTCTCCACGCCTCCTGGAGGGATGGGAGTTAGTCTCGGCTGGAGTGGAGGGTGGGGAACCCAGAGTCAGGAGCACCCAGAGTCCAGGTGGGAAACGCCTGAGGCAGGGGCCCTGCTTCCACCCCTGCTGCAGGGGACACTCAGGGTCCTCCACCTGGGAGTGGCCACGCTGGTGGCCCTTTGCGGCCCTGCACATTACAGCCCTGCCAGCTTTGGGGAGAGCTGACATCTCAAGGAAGTCCTTTTTAAAAAATTTTATTTAGCCGGGCGCGGGGGTGCACGCCTGTAATCCCGGCACTTTGGGAGGCCGAGGTGGGCGGATCACAAGGTCAGGAGTTCCAGACCATCCTGGTTAACACGGTGAAACCCCGTCTCTACTAAAAATATAAAAAATTAGCTGGGCGTGGTGGCGGGCACCTGTAGTCCCAGCTACTCAGGAGGCTGAGGCAGAATAGCATGAACCCGGAAGGTGGAGCTTGCAGTGAGCCGAGATCGTGCCACTGCACTCCAGCCTGGGCTACAGAGCAAGACTCCATCTCAAAAAAAAAAAAAAAAAAAAAAAAAAATTATTTAATGGCTCACGCCTGTAATCCCAGCTCTTTGGGAGGCTGAGGCAGGTGGATCACGTGGTCAGGAGATCAAGACCATCCTGGCCAACATGGTGAAACCCCATCTCTACTACAAATACAAAATTAGCTGGGCGCGGTGGTGTGTCCCTGTAGTCCCAGCTACTCGGGAGGCTGAGACATGAGAATCGCTTGAACTTGGGAGGCAGAGGTTGCAATGAGCCAAGATCACACCACTGCACTCCAGCCTGGGTGACAGAGCAAGACTCCAACACACACACACAAAAAATTTATTTAAAATGTTTTATTAGGCTTTCCCTATGTTGCCCCGGTTGGTCTTGAACTCCCGGGCTCAAGCAATCCTCTTGCCTCAGCCTCCCAAAGCCTTGGGATTACAGGTGTGAGTCACTATGCCTGGCTTTTGAAACATGTTTTAAGGTATTTTAAAACTTTTAATTCTGAAATAATTGTAGAATCACAGAAAGGTGTAAAGAAACATAGAGGGGCTGGGCGCGGTGGCTCACGCCTGTAATCCCAGCACTTTGGGAGGCTGAGGCGGGTGGATCACGAGGTCAGGAGTTCGAGACCATCCTGGCTAACACGGTGAAACCCCTTCTCTACTAAAAATGCAAAAATTAGCCAGGCATGGTGGTGGGAGCCAGTAATCCCCCCTACTTGGGAGGTTGAGGCAGGAGAATTGCTTCAACCCAGGAAGCAGAGGCTGCAGTGAGCCAAGATCGCGCCATTACACTCCAGCCTGTGCAACAGAGCGAGATCCTCTCTGAAAAAAATAAAATATGCCGGGCGCAGTGGCTCACGACTGTAATCCCAGCACTTTTGAGAGGCCAAGGCACGTGGATTGCCTGAGGTCAGGAGTTCAAGACCATCCCGGCCAACATGGTGAAACCCAGTCTCTACTAAAAATACAAAAAAAATTATCCTGCGTGGTGATGTGGGCACCTGTAATCCTGGCTACTCATGAGGCTGAGGCAGGAGAATCACTTGAACCCAGGAGGCGGAGGCTGCAGTGAGCCAAGATCGCACCATTGCATTCCATCCTGGGCAACAAGAGGGAAACTCCCATCTCAATAATAATAATAATAAAATAAGATAAAAATGCAAAAATCAGCCGGATGTGCTAGTGGGTGCCTGTAATCTCAGCTGCTTGGGAGGCTGAGGCGGGACAATTGCTTGAACCCAGGAGGCAGAGGTTGCAGTGAGCTGAGATTGCACCATTGCACTCCAGCCAGGGTGACAGAGCAAGACTCCATCTAAAAAAAAAAAAAAAAGGAGCTCTCAAGCCAGGAAAAGACATGGAGAAACTGTAAATGCATGTGACCACGTGAAACAAGTCCGTCTGAAAAGCCTCCGTGCTGCAGGATTCCAGCTTTAGGACGTTCTGGAAAAAGGCTAAACTACAGAAACAGTAAAAAGATCAGAGGCTGCCAGGGGCCGGCAGAGGGAGGGATGAACAGGCAGAGCACAGGATTTCTAGGGCAGTGAAGCTATTCGATCTGAGAGTGCAAGAACATGATACCTTTATCAAATCCATAGAACAAGGCCAGGCATGGTGGCTCACGCCTGTAATCCCAGCACTTTGGGAGGCCAAGGTGGGTGGATCACCTGAAGTCAGGAGTTCAAGACCAGCCTGAACAACATGGTGAAATCCCATCTCTACTGAAAATACAAAAAAAAAATTAGCCGGGTATAGTGGTGGTCACCTGTAGTCCCAGCTACCTGGGGGGCTGAGGGAGGAGAATCACTTGAACCCAAGAGGTAGAGGCTGCAGTGACCGACATCGCACCACTGCACTCCAGCCTGGCCGACAGAGCAGGACCCTGCTTCAAGAAAAAAAAAAAAAAAAAAAGCCAGGTGTCGTGGCTCACGCCTGTAATCCCAGCACTTTGGGAAGCCGAGGCGGGCAGTTCACCTGAGGTCGGGAGTTCGAGACCGGCCTGACCATCATGCTGAAACTCGTCTCTACTAAAAATACAAAATTAGCTGGAAGTGCTGTCAGGCACCTGTAATCCCAGCTACTCGGGAGGCGGAGGCAGGAGAATTGCTTGAACTCAGGAGGTGGAGGTTGCATTGAGCCAAGATTGCACCACTGCACTCCAGCCTGGGTGCCAGAGTGAGACCCCATCTCCAAAAGAAAAGAAAAAAATAATTATTTTTTTTCTGGGTGTGGAGGTGTGCACCTGTGGTCCCAGCTACTCGGGAGGCTGAGGTGGGAGGATCGCTTGAGCCCAGAAGGTCAAGGCTGCAGTGAGCTGTGATCATGCCACCACACTCCAGCCTGAGCCACAGACAGAGTGAGACCCTGTCTCAAAATAAATAAATAAAATAAAAATAAATAAAGTTCCCTCAAATCCACTTTGCAATGGACGCATTTAGAGTGTCATGTTTGCACAAATGTGGTCACCTGCCACAGTGGGCGAGATGAAGACCACAGCCAATATAATTACGGTACAGACAATTGTGAAAGCAAAAAGAGGGGGAAGGAAGCCCAGGTTTGATTTCTAGCTGGGGTCCAACCCTGAAGTGGGTGAGGTAAAGCCAGATCCTGTGCACACACTGCTATGGGCGCTGCTGGGCCTTCTTCCTGGAGTTTTTGTCGGCCTGGAGTGGGAGCCAAGGCTCTTGGGGACTTAAAAAGGCAAGATCCAGCTGGGCATGATGGCTCACGCCTATAATCCCATCACTTTGTGAAGCTGAGGCAGGGGGATCACCTGAGGTCAGGAGATCGAGACCAGCCTGGCCAACATGGTGAAATCCCATCTCTACTAAAAATATAAATGTTAGCCATGCATGGTGGCGGGTGCTGATAATCCCAGGTACTCGGGAGGCTGAGGCAGGAGAATCGCTTGAACCTGGGAGTCGGAGGTTGCGGTGAGCGGAGATCACATCACTGCACTCCAGCCTGGGCGACAGAGTGAGACTCCGTCTCAAAAAAAAAAAAAAAAAAAAAAAACCCTGCAAGATCTGCATTTGAGGTCAGAGTGTCTGGGGGTAGAAACTGAAACAGAGTTGGGGGTGACCCTGAGACAGGGTCTGGGTTCTCTGTGGCAGGTGCAGCAGTCACCCAGTCTCAGGGGGGAGATGGGAGGATGGGGAGGTTGTCTGCGAATTGCAGGCTGTGTCTGCGTGCGAGAGTTTCAGACAAAGAAGGAAGTTATTGGCTGAGAACAATGTAAGATTATATGATGTAGGACCTTGAAGAAAACAAATAAAAGACAGTTGTAGATTACCCACGTCTGGGAGAAGAACAAGGAAAGAGAAAGAAGAGAGAAAACAAATCCTCAAATGGCAGCGCTTTTTTTTTTTTTGAAATGGAGATGACACCTTACAGCCTGCCCTGAAATGCCTAACAGCTAAAATGAAAGGCTTTTTTTTTTTTTTTGAGACGGATTCTCACTCTGTTGCCCAGGCTGGAGTGCAATGGTGCGATCTCAGCTCACTGTGACCTCCGCCTCCCAGGTTCAAGCGATTCTCCTGCCTCAGCCTCCCAAGTAGCTGGGATTACAGGCATGTGCCACCATGCCTGGCTAATTTTTTGTGTTTTTAGTAGAGACGGAGTTTCTCCATGTTGGTCAGGCTGGTCTCAAACTCCCAACCTTAGGTGATTCTCCCGCCTTGGCCTCCCAAAGTGCTGGGATTACAGGCGTGAGCCAGTGTGCCCGGCCTATGACTTTGGTTTTTGTTGTTTGTTGTTTGTTTGTTTGAGACAGAGTCTCCTTCTTGTTGCCCAGGCTAGAGTGCAATGGCACCGTCTTGGCTCACTGCAACCTCCGCCTCCTGGGTTCAAACAATTCTCCTGTCTCAGCCTCCCGAGTAGCTGGGACTACAGGCACATGTCACCATGCCTGGCTAATTTTTGTATTTTTGGTAGAGACAGGGTTTCATCACGTTGGCCAGGCTGGTCTCGAATCCCTGATCTCAGGTGATCTGCCTGTCTCAGCCTCACAAAGGGCTGGGATTACAGGCATGAGCAATGATGCCTGGCCCTCACTGCTAAATTAAAAAAATTTTTTGGAGAGACAGGGCCTGGCTATGTTGCCCAGGCTGGTCTCAAACTCCTGGGCTCAAGCGATCCTCCCGCCTCAGCCTCCCAAGTAGTTTGGGATTACAGGTGTGTGCCACCATGCCCAGCTAATTTTTTTTTTTTTTTTTTTTTTGAGAGAGTCTCACGCTGTCACCCAGGTTGCAGCCCAGTATCGTGATCTCGGCTCACTGAAACCTCCACCTCCCTGGTTCAAGTGATTTTCCTGCCTCAGCCTCCCGAGTAGCTGGGACTACAGGCATGCACCACCGCACCCAGCTAATTTTTGTATTTTAGTAGAGACGGGGTTTCACCATGTTAGTCAGACGGGTCTCGAACTCCTGACCTCAGATGATCTGCCTGCCTCAGCCTCCCAAACTGCTGGGATTACAGGCGTGAGCCCCTGGGCCCAGCTGACCAGCTAATTTTTTTTTTTTGAGACAGAGTCTCGCTCTGTCGCCTAGGCTGGAGTGCAGTGGCACAATCTCGGCTCACTGCAAGCTCCGCCTCCTGGGTTCACGCTTTCTCCTTCCTCAGCCTCCCCAGTAGCTGGGACTACAGGTGCGCAGCACCACGCCCTGCTAATTCTTTGTGTTTTTAGTAGAGACGGGGTTTCACCGTGTTAGCCAGGATGGTCTGGATCTCCTGACCTTGTGATCCGCCCACCTCGGCCTCCCAAAGTGCTGAGATTACAGGCTTGAGCCACAGTGCCCGGCCTCGCTAATGTTTTAATGTTTTCTAGAGACGGGTCTCTGGTCATGTGGCCCAAGCTGGTGTCAAACTCCTGGCCTCAAAAGCTCCTCCCACCTCTGCCCCCGAGAGCACTGGGATTACAGGCATGAGCTACTGTGCACAGCTCTAATCTCTTCTTTTATAACGACACCAGTCACAATGGATTAGAGCCCAGACATATGACATTTTACCTTAATCTCCTCTTTTTTTTTTTTTTTTGTTTTTGTTTTTTGAGATGGAGTTTCGCTCTTTTTGCCCAGGCTGGAGTGCAATGGTGTGATCTCGGCTCACTGCAACCTCTGCCTCCCGGGTTCAAGCGATTCTCCTGCCTCAGCTTCCCGAGTGGTTGGGATTATAGGCATGCACCACCACGCCCAGCTAATTTTTTGTATCTTTAGTAGAGACGGGATTTCACCACGTTGGCCGGGCTGGTCTTGAACTCCTGACCTTGTGATCCACCCTCCTCGGTCTCCCAAAGTGCTGGGATTACAGGCGTGAGCCACCGAGCCTGGCCTAAAGAAAGTGGTTTAATCGACTTACAGTTCCACGTGGCTGGGGAGGCCTCACAATCATGGCAGAAGGTGAAAGACCCATCTCACATGGCAGCAGGCAAGAGAAGGGAGCTTGTGCAGGGAAACTTGGAGGCTGAGGCAGGTGGGTCACTTGAGGCCAGGAGTTTGAGACCAGCCTGTCCAACATGGTGAAACCCTGGCTGTACTAAAAATACAAAAAATTAGCCAGGTGTGGTGGCGGATGCCTGTAATCCCAGCTACTTGGGAGGCTGAGGCAGGAGAATCACTTGAACCCAGGTGGCAGAGGTTGCAGCGAGCCGAGATTGCACCACCACACTGTAGTCTGGGGGACAGAGCGAGACTCTGTCTCAAAAATAAAATATAACCATCAGCTCTTGTGAGAGTTATTCACTATCAAGAGAACAGCACGGGAAAGACCTGTTCCCATGATTCACTCGCCTCCCACAAGGTCCCTCCCACAACACGGAATCGTGGGAGCTACAAGATGAGGTTTGGGCCGGGCGCGGTGGCTCATGCCTGTAATCCCAGCACTTTGGGAGGCCAAGGCCGGCAGATCACGAGGTCAGAAGATCAAGACCATCCTGGCTAACGTGGTGAAACCCTGTCTCTACTAAACATACAAAAAAAAAAAAAAAAAATTAGCCGGGCGTGGTGGCGGGCGCCTGTAGTCCCAGCTACTCAGGAGGCTGAGGCAGGAGAATGGTGTGAACCCGGGAGGCGGAGCTTGCAGTGAGCTGAGATCCCGCCACTGCACTCCAGCCTGGGCGAAGGAGCGAGACTCGGTCTCAAAAAAAAAAAAAAAAAAAAGGTGAGGTTTGGATGGGGACACAGAGCCAGACTCTATCAAAGGTCTTAAAATTCTTTTCACTTGGGTTTGTTTGTTTCACAATAACAGAAGTAATACAAGCCCCAGGTAAGCAGTCAAACAAAGCTAAGAAACAGGATGGAAAAGACACTGATCCTGTCCTTATTCCAGGACGGCCCCAGGCTCCTCAACGCCTCCCACCCGTGTTGGTAGAGACAGGGTTTCACCATGTTGGCCAGGCTGGTCTCAAACTCCTGGCCTCAAGTGATCCACCTGCCTCAGCCTCTGAAAGTGCTGGGATTAGAGGTGTGAGCCACCATGCTTGGCCCCAAAATCGCCTTAATATTCATCCCTTATGGGGACACAGACACATACTGCACATCTGCTGGGTGCCAGCCAGGGTCCAGCAAGTCCTGCCTGTCTCTGCCTCAATTTTCTTTTTTCTTTTTTTTTTTTTTTGAGATGGAGGTTTGCTCTTGTTGCCCAGGCTGGAGTGCAATGGCATGATCTCGGCTCACTGCAACCTCCACCTCCCAAGTTCAAGCGATGATTCTCCCGCCTCAGCCTCCTGAGTAGCTGGGATTACAGGCACCCACCACCACGCCCAGCTGATTTTTGTATTTTTAGTAGAGACAGGGTTTCACCATGTTGGCCAGGCTGGTCTCGAACTCCTGACCTCAGGCGATCCACCCGCCTTGGCCTCCCAAAGTGCTGGGATTACAGGTGTGAGCCACCGCGCCCAGCCTCTGCCTCAATTTTCTTTGAGTCAGTGTCTCGCTCTGGCACCCAGGCTGGTGTGCAGTGGCGCAATCATAGCTCACTGCAGCCTCGAACTCCTGTATTCAAATGATCCTTATGCCTCAGCCTCCTGAGTAGCTGGGACCACAGGTGCGTGCACCACCACACCTGGCTAATTTTGTTATTTTTTTGTAGAGATGGGGGTCTCACTATGTTGCCCAGGCTGGTCTTGAACTCCTGAGCTCAAGGGATCTGCCTGCTTCAGCCTCATGAGTAGCTGGACATGCATTTCCATCTTGCTCTGTGTTAGCTGGGGGAGGCCAGCTCCTGAAAGCCCTTGCCCTTCCCAAAATGCTGGGGGACGTCCTGACCCCCCCATTTGTCCTTCCTGTGTCTCTCTGGCTATCTGTCTGTGTCTTCACCTCTCTGGGTCCCCACCTTCCACAGCCCCTCTCCGGTGACCCCCAAACTGCAGCTGTATTCTCCTGCAGAGGAGTTCGGCGGTCTCTTTGTGGGTCGTTTTTATCTCATGCCCTCAGGCCTCCCTCACGTGCCCCTGGCCCTAATTAAGGTATTTTCCTAAACAAGCCCAGTTGCGTCTCTTAAAATGAATTCTGGTGCCAGCTGGTAAAATTAATTTTTTTCTCATCCTCTACAATGCAAGAATGAATGACACACGGTCGCTTGTCCACAGGAGGCCGGCGTCCTGCGGAAGGACAAGCGTGTAGACCAGTAATTACGTTCCAGTGTGGAAAGTGTCCCACATGAGTGCGGCGGAGCGAGGTAGCCCTGAAATAAGGGGCATCCCCACGGTGCAGCTACTAGACATGGCTAAGGTTGATTTCACACTCACCCTCGCTGGACCGTGTTGGATAGTGTCAGCCAAAATATATGTCTCCCTAGAACCTCAGAATGTGACCTTCCTTGGAAGTAGAGTCTCCACAGACATAATTAGTTAAGATGAGATTGTGGCAGGGCTCAGTGGCTCACTTCTGTAATCCCAGCACTTTGGGAGGTTGAGGCGGGCGGATCACCTGAGGTCAGGAGTTTGAGACCAGCCTGGCCAACATGGCGAAACCTCGTCTCTACTAAAAATACAAAAAAATTAGCCGGGCGTGGTGCCGCGTGCCTGTAGTGCCAGCTACTCAGGAGGCTGAGGCAGGAGAATCTCTTGAACCTGGGAGGCGAAGGTTGCAGTGAGCCGAGATCTCACTACTTCACTCCAGCCTGGGCGAGTGAAGTAGTGAAGAGGCTGTCTCAAAAAAAAAAAAAAAAAAAAGATAAGGTTGTATTGGAGAAGGGTGTGCTCTAATCTAATGAGATGTCCTTATAAGAGGAAGAGGCATGGACCACACACTTTGGGAGGTCGAAGGTGGAGGATCGCTTGAGGTCAGAAGCTCGAGACCAGCCTGGGCAACAGAGCAAGACTGTGTCTCTACAGAAAATTTCTTTTTCTTTTCTTTTTTTTTTTTTTTGAGACAGAGTCTCAGTCTGTTGCCCAGGCTGGAGTGCAGTGGCGTGATCTTGGCTCACCGCAACCTCTGCCTCCCAGGTTCACGCCATTCTCCTGCCTCAGCCTCCCCAGTAGCTGGGACTACCAGCGCCTGCCACCATGCCTGGCTAATTTTTTTGTATTTTTAGTAGAAACGGGGGTTTCACCATGTTAGTCAGGCTGGTCTCAAACTCCTGACCTCAGGTGATCCACCGCCTCAGCCTCCCAAAGTGCTGGGATTACAGATGTGAGCCACTGTGCCCAGCCACTTTTCTTTTTTCTTTTTTTTTTTTTTGAGTTGAGGTCTCATTCTGCTGCCCAGGCTGGAGTGTAGTGGCACCATCTCGGCTCGCTGCAATCTCTGCCTCCTGGATTCAAACAATTCTCCTGCCTCAGCCTCCCAAGCAGCTAGGATTACAGGCACCTGCCACCACGCCTGGCTAATTTTTGTATTTTTAGTAGAGACGAGGTTTCACCATGTTGGCCAGGCTGGTCTTGAACTCCTGACCTCGTGATCCGCCCACCTTGGCCTCCCAAAGTGCTGGAATTACAGGCGTGAGCCACCGCACCCGGCTGGCCTTTTTTTTTTTTTTTTTTTTGTAGCAACAGGGTCTCCCTGTATAGCCCATGCCTGAGTGCAGTGGAGCGATATCGGCTCACTGCAGCCTCGACCTTCTGGGCTCAAGTCATCCTGGTCTCCCCAAGACAATCCTGACTTCCGTGGAGCCCCTGGGTCTCCAGAAACACCAGTGACAGCCCTCTCTCTTGTGTTCTGAATTTCCTATGTAAAAACCTGGCTTGTGTGAAGGGGGCTGGTAATTGGACATCTGTAAAGCTCCTTGGCAGTGGGGCCCCGTCAAAGCTGGCAGTCGTAGCTCCGTGTTAACAAGGTCAAGGTCTGGTCAAGGTTTCCAGTGTGGTCCCCTTATGGCCTAATTAGGGACTTGAATGGGTTGGAACACTGATTGAGTTTCAGTTCAGAGGCTATTTTGATGTTACAGTTCAATCACTTTAGAAAATATAGATTCAGTTCTGGTTCAGGCTGGAACACTAGGTGTGTGTCTGTGTGTTTTAATCTTTGATTTAGTTCATGGTTCAGTATCAAACTTAATACATTTTTCACCCATCATCAGATTAACAAAGATGAGAGAAATAATCACGCCCGGCCCTCGTGCAGGGTGTTAGATGGGCCGTGGTAATGCGGGGCTGCCGCCAATGTGAATTGGTACCTTTCTGAAAAGCAACTTGACGTCATCTGTCAAACGCCTTGAGGATGTCCAGACCCTCAGACCCAGCAATTTCCGCCTCCAGGGATTTATCATAAGGATATAATCAGAGGTGCACCAAGATTTACATAGGAGAGTTGCTTTCTGCGGCCTTATTTAAATCATGGAAAAATCAGGAATCGCTGAAATGTCTCACAATAGCGGTCTGGTTAATAAAAATACGATAGCGACCGTTGTCTTACAACGCCTTGAGTAGCAGAGGGAATTGTGTATGATACATTTCCCGCAGAAGGGGAAACGTTTTAATTAAAGCCATAACTGACGTGGAGCCGGAAGAAGCCTGTGAAAGGACGTTCTTGCATCGACCTGCCAGGCCTTTGTGCTGCCTTAGAAGCAGCCGCTTTATTGCAACTGTGAATCTCTATGGTTTAGGAGAGAAATTCATTCTTTAAACAAAATTTGAGTGAGCGCTCGGTGACACGGACTGGGCTTACAATGGTGAAGAAAACAGGACTCAGGGAACTCACAGACGAATGGAGAAGACATTTAATAAAATAAGACCTAACATTTCACCACTGGCACAAGTACTTTAAAAGCATTAATTTATTTAATACCAGAGCCAGAGGCCAGGCACGGTGGCTCACGCCTGTCATCCTAGCGTTTTTGGGAGGTCGAGGTGGGTGGATTATGAGGTCAGGAGTTCGAGACCAGCCTGGCCAACATGGTGAAACCGTCTCTACTAAAAATACAAAAAGTAGGCGGGTGTGGTGGCGTGTGCCTGTAATCCCAGCTACTGGGGAGGCTGAGGCAGGAGAATGGCTTGAACCTGGGAGGTATAGGTTGCAGCGAGCCGAGATTGCACCAGTGCACTCCAGCCTGGGCAACAAGAGCAAGACTCTGTCTCTAAAACAAATTAAAAAAATATACCTCATTTGAGCTCATAGGAGCTTTGAACTCCTGGGCTCAAGGAATCCTCCCATCTTGGCCTCCCAAAGTGTTGGGATTACAGGCGTGAGCTGTTGCCACGCTGTGTTTTGTTTTGTTTTGTTTTTGAGACAGGGTCTTGCTTTGTCATGTGGAGTGCAGTGGTGCAATCACGGTTCACTGCAGCCTCGACCTCCCAGACTCACGCAATCCTCCTGCCTCAGCCTCCTGGGTAGCTGGGACTACAGGTGTGCATCACCATGCCTGGCTAATTCTTTTTTGTTTTTGTACAGGCAGGGTCTCACTATGTTGCCCAGGCCTGTCTCCAACTCCTGGGCTCATGTGATCCTCCCATCTCAGCCTCCCAAAGCACCTCCCAAAGCACAGGCGGGAGCCACCGCACTGGGCCCCACTCCTCCTGAGGCAGAGGCTTGGATCTGGCACAGCACCCCTTCTGCTGTATTCCCTGGGCTGAAGCAGGTCACACGCCAGCCCAGGATTTTTTCTTTTTTCTTTTTGAGACAGAGTCAGTCTTGCTCTGTCACCCACATTGGAGTACACTGACGCGATCTCAGCTCACTGCAACCTCCGCCTCCTGGGTTCAAGAGATTTTCTTGCCTCAGCCTCCCAAATAGCTGGGATTACAGGTGCACACTACCACGCTCAGCCAATTTTTGTATTTTTAGTAGCGATGGGGGTTTCTCTATATTGGCCAGGCTGGTCTCGAACTCCTGACCTCAGGCGATATGTCTGCCTTGACCTCCCAAAGTGCTGGGATTACAGGCCTGAGCCACCGCCAGCTCAGATTTAACGTGAGAGGATATCAGAGACATAGTTCTTGCCAACCACCCACAGACCACCACCCCCATTTTATAGACAAACTGAGACGGCTGAGCAAGGTGGATCCTACCTGTGATCCCAGCACTTTGGGGAGCCGAGGTGGGAGGATCACTTGAGCCCAAAAGGTCGAAACCAGCCTGGCCAGCATAGCAAGACCCTCTCTCTACAAAAAATAAAAATCTTAGCCAGCCATGGTGGTGCGCACTGTGGTCCCAGCTACTCCGGAGGCTAAGGTGGAAGGATCATTTGAGCCTGGGAGGTTGAGGCTGCAGTGAGCTATGACTGGGCCGCTGCACTCCAGCCTGGGCCACAGAGCCAAACTTCGACTCAAAAATGTAAATAAAAATAAAAAACAAGTGAAAGGTGAACATTCTCAACTTGATAAAGGAAAAAAAATCAGTCGCTGAGGTTGCTGGGATCGACCGAAGACACAAACCTTCTATTCCCGCAAATGTGAGAAGGAAAAAGAAGTTAGAGCCGGCTTTGCTGTCGCCCCTTCCCCTTGAAGAGTCGGGGCCAGTGCGTGACGAATGCTGCTGTAAGTCTTTTAATTTTTTCCTTTTTTGAGACGAAGTCCCACTCTGTTGCCCAGGCTGGAGTGCAGTGGCGCGATCTCCCCTTACTGCAAGTTCCGCCTCCCGGGTTCAAGCGATTCTCCTGCCTCAGCCTCCTGAATAGTTGGGATTACAGGCATCGCCACCACGCCCGGCTAATTTTTCTATTTGTAGTAAAGACGGGGTTTCACCATGTTGGCAATGCTGGTCTCGATCTCCTGACCTCATGTGATCTGCCCGCCTCGGCCTCCTGCTGGGATTACAGGAGTGAGCCTGTATCTTTTTTATAGAGATGGGGTCTCGCCATGTTGCCCAGGCTGGTCTCCAATCCTTGGGCTTAAAGGATCTGCCAATTCGGCCTCCTTTGCTTTTAAAGAACTGTGGGGGCTGGCGAGGTGGCTCAGGCCTGTAATCCCAATACTTTGGGAGGCCGAGGCAGGCCGATCACCTGAGGTCAGGAGCTTGAGAGCAGCCTGATCAACATTTAGTATTCTCTACTAAAAATACAAAAATTAGCCGGGTGGGGTGGCGCGCACCTGTAATCCCAGCAGGAGGAGGCTGCAGTGAGCTGAGCTCGCGCCACTGCACTCCAGCCTGGGTGACAGAGCGAGACTCCGTCTGAAAAAAAATCAAAAACCGCTCAGGGAAAGGCCTGACACTGATGGAGCGACCGCTCCGGGGCTCCCGCCACCCGCGGCTGTTTCCGGTGCCCCCCGGGGTCTTGGGACCCTCCCAAGGTGGGTCCTGCTCTAGTTCAGAAGCTTATGACGCCTTTGCGGGGATGCCTGGCTTTGGGATCGGTTGGGATCTGCTGGAATTGGGTCCGTGGCGCGCAGCTCCCGGGCTGGGAGGTGCCGTAGGACCTGGAAGATTCTCGAAAGTTCTGGAAGGTTCTCTCAGGGATCGCCGCGGGCGGGGGAGCCTGTTTTCCCACCGAGACCCGCGAGGGCGGTGTCCGGGGTCTGACTGCAGGACAAAGGGCCGGGAGCGCGGGAGGGCGGCGCCCGGGAGCGGCCACACATGCCCCGCCAACCGGTCTCCTCAGGCAGCACTCCCGGGAAAAAGGGGTAGACGCGCGGCGGAAGGGGCGGGGCCGGCGCGCGGCCGTGGACGCCGGAGAGGGCGAGGCCGGCGCTCCTTGGGAGCGCGCGCGTCCCATTGGGCAGCGGGCGGAAGGGGGCGGAGCTTGGCGCCGCCGCGAGGCAAGCCCCGCCCCCGGCCCCGCGGGGAGCGGCGGCGGCGGCGGCGGCGGCGGTGGCGGAGGCGGTGAGCGCGGGCGGCGCGGACGGCAGCGGTTGGCGGGCGGGTCCTCCGCTGTTGCGGCCGCTGCGGCCTCCTTGCCCGGGCTTGGGGCGCCGCGCTGGGGAAAGCCGGGGGCCCGGTGAGCCCGCGGGATGCGTCCCCTCGGTTCCGCCGGGCGGGGCTGAGGCGAGGAGGCCGGGCCTGGGGGGAGGGGGGGCCCCGGCCTAGAGACTCCTCCGGGAGCGCCCGGTCCCTACCGCCGTGGGTCCCCCACTCTGCCCGGACCCCCTTTTCCGCCCCTGGCGCCGTGGGCCCCTCACTTTGCCTGGACTCCTTTTCCCGTCCCTGCCGCCCGGACCCCATCTCTTGCTTGGACCCGCTCCCCCATCCTTGCTGCCTGGACCCCTATCTCCTTCCCTGGATCCCCCTCACGTCTGCCGTGAACCCCATCTCTTGCCTGGACCCCCATCTGCTTCCCTGGATTCCCCACCCCCAACCGTGAAATCCCCCATCCCTGCCACCTGGACCCTCCGCTCCACCTCCTCCGTGAGCCCTCGTTCTTGCTCCCTGAGCCCCCCCGCTTCTGCTGTGACCCCCTTCTCTGTTGCCTGAATCCCCCGTTCCTGCAAGCCGCAACCCTTCCTCCGCCATGAAATCTTGTCCCTGCTGCCTGGACCCCTACTTCTGCTGCTGCTGTGATCCCCTCTCTTGCTGGAAACGCCACCCCTACCTCTGCTGGGAACCTCCTCTTCCCTGCTGCGGGGACGCCCCCCTCCGTTGTTGCTAAATTCCACCCCCACCCCCAAACCTCCTTTTCATTTCTGTCAACAGCCAAGCCAGTCCTTCCCATTGATGCTGTGAACGGTCTGCAGCTGTCCCCGTTCTTTCAGGGACATGGCAGCCAAAAGAGCAGTCGTTTTTCCGCTCTTATTTTTGTGTGTGTGCTGTGGTCAACTGTTAACTCCCCAAATTGGGGAGGGTTGTGAGCTTTGATTGTGTAAAATGCCTCTCCTGCCGAGGTCGGAGGCAGGTCTTCCGCACGGAGATGATTTATTCAGGAGCCTTTTAAAACTGATCTAGATAGAACCTTTGGGAGGGACTGTGCTGTATTTTATTTATGAAAAAATGCAGGCGCCTCCCTGGATACCGAGCCCCGTCGTTTCTGTTTGTCAGTCTGCTTTTTGGCATTGAGCATCTCAATGCAAGATTGTGGAATTAAACCATCTACTTGAGGCTAAGTCGAGCTAACCTTTGCCCCTGAGGGCTGTGTCTGCGTTAACATCGCCAGCAAACAGTTGTATAAACCACCGTGCAAATTTCGTTCCAGGACACATTGGCGTGAGACCTGGGAGTACGTTGTGCCAAATCATTGCCACTTGCCACATGAGTGTAAATGATGGCGGATGCCAAGTATGTCCTCTGCCGATGGGAAAAGCGATTATGGCCTGCGAAGGTGACAGCCATTATTCTGTAACTTCAGGACTTAGAAATGACTTTCGGGTGACAAGTAAAATCTTGATCAGGAGATACCTAGGATTTGCTTCAGTGAAATAATTGAGCCAGAACACGGTTGGCACTGATTCTCGTTCCCCATTTAATGGGGTTTTGGTCTAGTGCTTCCAAGGTTACACTTCCAGAAATGTCTTTTTTTTTTCACACTAAAAAAAAAAAAAGAATCAGCTGTAAAAAGGCATGTAAGGCTGTAACTCAAGGAAAGATCTGGCAAGCAGCCCTGTGATAGTAAATTATGGTCGTGTTCAGGGAATGCTTTCCAGCAATTCAGTAGACAGTGCTCAGCTGCAATGCAAAAGCCCAGGTCCTTGTCTTTGTCTGCCACTGGCCTCTCATGCCTCAGTTTCCCCATCTGTGAAACAATGGGGATTGGACCAAATATCTGAAATCCCATGGTTATAGGCCTTCAGGATTACCTGCTGCATTTGTGCTAAAGTTTGCCACTGTTTCTCACTGTCAGCTGTTGTAATAACAAGGATTTTCTTTTGTTTTAAATGTAGGTTTTGGCCCGAACCGCGACTTCAACAAAAAATAAGAGAAGAAAGGAATATTTTCTAGCTGTGCAAATCCTCTCTCTAGAGGAAAAGTTAAGTGTTGTGTTGTTTTAATACTGTTTTTTCCCGTGTAGATTTCTGATACTTCAATCCCCTACTCCCCCAAAACAGTTGAAGCCCAGCCCACTCTTAATGGGCTTATTCACCATTTGTGTAATTCATTAATGCTCATAATAACCTCATGAGAAAGCAACTAGTTTGATTTTATGTCAGTTTGGAAGCTGAAGATCCAAACGAGGCATTCTGTGAGATCTATGGAGAGATTGGTACAAACACTGAATACATGTAAATTATACTCAGGGTAGACCCTATTTGTGGTTAAAATAGGGATATTTCCTTTTTTTTTTTTTTTTTTGACTGTTTCTTAATCAGTGCCATGCCAGGAAAATAGGGATGTTTCCTTCCCAGAGATCTGTGTGTCTTTTTTCAGAAACGTCTGTGACAGGCCCATCAATTTTGAAATATTTGGTTTTTGAGCCTGTCACTCTAAACCAGCGTTTAACGTTCAAAAGGCAAATAACTGATGACCAGGCGGCACATTGTTCTGCTCCGTGAGTGTCTGGCACTGGGAAAGGTGTAGATTGTCTAGAATGACAGCAATTCCGACGCCCCAGTCAGTCCTGCGTGATTGTGGCGAGGGCGCGTCTGGCACCGGGAAGGTGTAGATCATCTAGAATGACGGCGATTCCGACGCCCCGGTCAGTCCTGCGTGATTGGCGAGGGTGCATCTGTCGTGAGAATTCCCAGTTCTGAAGAGAGCAAGGAGACTGATCCCGCGTAGTCCAAGGCATTGGCTCCCCTGTTGCTCTTCCTTGTGGAGCTCCCCCTGCCCCACTCCCTCCTGCCTGCATCTTCAGAGCTGCCTCTGAAGCTCGCTTGGTCCCTAGCTCACACTTTCCCTGCGGCTGGGAAGGTAATTGAATACTCGAGTTTAAAAGGAAAGCACATCCTTTTAAACCAAAACACACCTGCTGGGCTGTAAACAGCTTTTAGTGACATTACCATCTACTCTGAAAATCTAACAAAGGAGTGATTTGTGCAGTTGAAAGTAGGATTTGCTTCATAAAAGTCACAATTTGAATTCATTTTTGCTTTTAAATCCAGCCAACCTTTTCTGTCTTAAAAGGAAAAAAAAAAAAAAACCATTCACCAGGGTTCTTGCTGCCTGTAACCTCAGGCAGATGAATTCCTAGTTGGCTGTGACTTTTGGTTTAAGTGGAAGGTTGAGGAGGAAAATGAAAATAATTCTTTTGTTATCTAAAGGAAAACATGTTTGAAAATGTCTTGGCGGCGTTGGCTGGTGGTGTGTAACGTCGATTTTGTCTCTGCAGAATTAAGGTGAAAAGCACTGAAGTTGAGATCCTAGAGAAGTCTCAAATTGAAGCCATTGCTTCCTCGTTAGGTAAGAGCGTATTTTTAAGTGGCCACTAGGTTTTCATAAAATAAGAGGTCATTTGGGAGAATGTGAAGGCTCAGCTTTCTGGGTAAAAATTCACCCTGTTCACCATGTTTTTCTTCATACAAGGGAACGCGAATCCCCTGAGCTGAAGGAGAAGGAAAAATGGATCCGCTTTCTTAAACCTTTCCAGAATTTGCCCCTAGAACCACTCCTATTCTTGACGCCCAGAATGGTCAGTGGTGAGCATCAAGGTCATCTCGTACCCCCGTGGCCTCCAGTACACAAGACGAGGAAGGACTTTGCTGCCATAAGGGGGGAGGTCCTCCTTTTTCCTTTCCTCTTCCTATAGTAAGATTTGCTGTGGTACTGTCGCTGCCTGGCCAGTCTGGTCTCAGCCCAAGGTTTGAGAAGCAGTTGGTTGTGTGTTTAAAATTCCAGAGCAGAGCCCAAGGGAGAGAACGGGTGGCCTGGCACTGGGGTTGGTGGCACCCATTGTTTGAGGCACTGTCATGGGGGGCACGAGGCAGGTCGGAAGTGGAGCTCTCGGCTTCCCATCCATCCGGGTGCGCTTTCTCCCAGGCCTTCAGTTTAGCACCCACCTCCTTTGCACACTGTGGGTGAGAAAAGCTTTGCCTGAGTCCAGCCGGGGACTGGTCATGCACATACATGACAAGTGAGGAGCACTGGTGACTGCCTGCCCCCTAGCCACAGTTGTGCAAACCCAAACCTGCCAGCCTTCCTTCTCAAAGTGGAACTGTTTATCCCATTTGCAAATAATTGTTTCTCTTGTGAAAAGATGGACCGGAATTCCTTCCAATGATGTTTATAAAATCAGGTCTATTTTCCTGTGTCTTCCGAAAAACAGCTCTTGTTTAAAGCAGGATCCATCTCTGCATAACTTAGGCCGGGCTGACCATCATCTTGGATGGCGTCGTCCTTGTTGGCGCAGATTGTGTTGGGGGGCTGGTTGTTTGTGGGCGCCTTTAATATTCAAAGGGGAGAATACTGTTCTGATTGAGGCATTATGCCCGCTGAGTTGTGATATTACATCCATCATCTTGTTCAAATAAATAGCGCCGTATCTATATGTCGGAATGAATAAATAAAAGTGCTGCAGCAGGGAGGTTGGGCTGGAAACCAGAGGCCCACGATGCTCTTTGCTGGCTTTGAAATGCCCTTGCAAAGAAGTATTGAAAATTTACCAGCCCACAATGAGTCTTTTAAATCTCCTTTTCCTTGCTACCACCAACCCCTGCACCAACCAAGAATACGTTGCCAGCAGAGTTCTTTATTTAGTTGGCATTGGTTTTTATTGACCCTGATTGAATTTGAAATTGTAAGGCTGAGAGAGGATTTGCAAAACATTTGAATACATTTTGCTCACGGTATTGTTTTGTAACTTGGAGGAATTTATCTTTTTAGCCAATCAGGTTAAGGTCAATAAATTTGGTTTTTAAAAAAATGAAGCCTCGAATCCCGGAATGAATAGCTGTCGTTCTGTAGCCTCGTCTCCTTTTTGGGAAAATGTAGGTGAGAAATGTTAGTCCTCCCCTTCAGTGATTTAGGTATGAAACTAGCCGTCAGAATGAGACAAGCGAGCTTCTAAAGCGATGCCGTGACCGCAGTGCCTGTGCAGTGAACGTAACCGGCATTGTGTATGTTCGGTCCTTGCAGCCTCACAGAATGAGGTTCCTGCGGCACCCCTGGAAGAACTGGCCTACAGACGGTCGCTTCGCGTGGCTCTGGACGTTCTGAGCGAGGGCTCGATTTGGAGTCAAGAAAGCTCTGCAGGGACAGGTAGAGCTGACCGGTCTCTGCGAGGGAAGCCCATGGAGCATGTCTCCTCGCCCTGTGATTCGAACTCCTCATCTCTTCCCCGCGGAGACGTGTTGGGCAGTTCCAGACCTCACAGGAGGAGGCCATGTGTGCAACAAAGCCTGTCAAGTTCGTTCACTTGTGAAAAGGACCCCGAGTGCAAAGTGGACCACAAGAAGGGGCTCAGGAAAAGTGAAAACCCAAGAGGCCCGTTGGTCCTCCCAGCTGGAGGTGGTGCCCAAGATGAGAGTGGGTCCAGAATCCACCACAAAAATTGGACTCTTGCAAGTAAGAGGGGAGGAAACTCAGCGCAGAAGGCTAGCTTGTGCCTGAATGGATCTTCCCTTTCAGAGGACGACACGGAGAGAGACATGGGGAGCAAAGGAGGCAGCTGGGCAGCCCCGTCCTTGCCCTCCGGGGTCAGGGAGGACGATCCCTGTGCCAACGCTGAGGGACACGACCCCGGTCTGCCGTTGGGCAGCCTCACTGCGCCCCCAGCCCCTGAGCCCTCGGCCTGCTCAGAGCCTGGAGAATGCCCTGCGAAAAAGAGGCCGCGCCTGGATGGCAGCCAAAGGCCGCCTGCCGTGCAGCTGGAGCCCATGGCAGCAGGGGCCGCACCATCCCCCGGGCCGGGGCCAGGGCCCAGAGAGTCTGTGACCCCGCGCAGCACCGCCAGGCTGGGCCCGCCTCCCTCCCACGCCTCTGCGGATGCAACCAGATGTCTTCCTTGCCCGGATTCCCAGAAGCTGGAGAAAGGTAAAAGTTTCTCGTGGAGGAGGAGAGCGCAGAGGGTGGAGTCCTGCTCCTCCGCAGCCAGACTGGGAGCCAGGCACGTGGGTGTTTTTGACCAGATTTTAATGAGATCGTTGCCAAAATAGACTTAGAGCAGAGACTTCCTCATTCCTTTTTGTCTGTCTCCCCACTGGGCTATAATTGCTTCAACTTCTAAATATTTGTCTTCTTATTTTTGTTTAGAAGGGAAGGGAGTTGAGTGAGTGGGGAGCCCGTAGAGGGGCGGCGGGCCACGATTGTCTGCGGCGCGGCTGGGAGCATTGTGGCTGTGCTGAGGCCGCAGCTGCGGCTGCACCCCGAGGATTAACTCTTTTAACGGAAGCAGTAACGCATTCCTATTAAATTGGGCAGCAATCTCAAAAGTGATTCACTCACTCAAAAGACTGACTTTTTAAAGAATTCCTGTGCAGATATATTTTTGTGTGGTTGCAGGCAAGCACTGTGACTTTTTTCCTTTTAACACTGTAGCATCCTTTATTTTTTAAATGCTAGTTCAGAAATCTTAATTACCACATGATCAAATGTCTGGAAATCTACTTGCTACAAACTTACCGCGCAGATATTTCAGTCTGTACTCTGAACTTCTTTCCTGAGGTCATCATCTCCTTAGCACGTTGGAAGCGGCAGGGAACTGAGGTTGCCACGCTCTGAAGACAAAGTGACCGCACCCCTACCCTGTTCCATAGTCAGCTCCCGTCCCGGCCCCCTCCCTGCGTATCCGCACCTCTGTCCTGTTCCATAGTCAGCTCCCGTCCTGGCCCCCTCCCTGCGTATCCGCACCCCTACCCTGTTCTATAGTCAGCTCCTGTCCTGGCCCCCTCCCTGCATATCCACTGATTGCTTCAGATGTGAAGGGACAGCCAGGCCGGGACAAAAGGGATTCCCACCCAGGGTGCGCGCAGCTTCTGTGGCCGAGGTGGCTGCTGCTTACGGCCCGCCTTCCCTTCACCGCAGGCCTCTCTCCCTCCCTCCTTCCCTCCTTCCCTCCTTCCCTCTTGCGTTTTTCTTTAAAATGTAGTTTATTAGAAGCGCACTCTGTTTGAATTTGGCAGTGTGGAGTTGTGTATAGCATGGAACCTTTTCTTTATGCATCGATGGTCATGTGTCATGAAATGTTTTCTTGGGATGAGTCATCAAGACAATGCAATGACCATGAAAGTCTAATATCACATTATTGGCAGAGTGCCAGTCTTCCGAAGAGTCCATGGGGTCTAATTCCATGCGTTCTATCCTGGAGGAAGACGAGGAAGACGAGGAGCCACCAAGAGTCCTTTTATACCACGGTAAGAAATGATCAGGGGGCGCCGGCAGTCCTAACGGTGCGCTCAGAGGCAGCGGCGGCGGGGCTCCGAGACCGGGCCCCACATTCTCCATGAAAGGTCTCCTGCGAGTTCATTTCTCTCCCACTGAACCGAGACCTGGAAGGGACCTTCAGAAGTGTCACGTTTTCAGTCCTCTATCTTAAGAATAACCTACACAAAGGGACGAGAGACTCCTGGGAAGAGACGGCCCAGCCCTCCCTGTTAGAGCATTACTCCTGTCACTTACCTCAAGCCCTTGTCCTCCTGTCCCCTCGCGGGGAGTGAGGGATGGCCCAGTGAGCCGAGGGGCTGCGTCGCCATTGCTCGGGTGTGGCCACGTACTGTCTCGCGGCTTCCGTTGGTGATGGCGTTTGGGGGGCTGTCCAGGGAGGCAGGGCCTTCAGCCCAAGAGTGAACTGCTCCCGCGCCCCTCCTGTAAGTAGCTGCTTGCACTAGAGGAAAACCTGCCTTTAGGTGCCCCTGAGCATCTACGTGGAAGGGACTAGAAATGAGAGACCCAAAGATCTGAGCCAGCCGCGAACAGAAAGTCGGCTTCGCAAACCAAGTCACAAGAACCAGCCCCACTTGAGACTCGCCCGTGAACCATTCCTCTTAACCAAGTCTTGTTTTTCTTTTCTTTAACCTTCTAGTTTCAGAATAATTATAGATTCACAGGATGTTGCAAAAATAGTAAAGGGAGGTGAGGGGGCTTCTCACCCGGGCTTCCCCACTGGCAGCATCCGTAAGGCGCAGGATGTCCCCGGCCAGGAAGCTGGTGCGTGTGCAGCCTCGGGAGCGCCATTCCACGCACACTTGCGTGCCGGTGGCCTTGTTATGTCGTTCTTTTTTTGTCTACACTGTTTGAGTGCTTTTCCATCATTGAAAGGGCTTCATTACAGTCTCACATTTTCCCTTTTTTTTGCCTAATGCTAATGGTCAGACTTTTTAACAGTTTTCCACATGCTCTTCTGATCCTTTTCCTCTGGGGTGAGCAGTCACCACTCACCAAACCCTGCCCCACCCATTGGGCACCTGTCTGGATGGTCCCAGGACCGCAGGTGCTGTGGGGCACCCATTGGGGACTTCCAGGAAATCATTTCTGCAGGATCCGTTCGCACACACGAAGAGCACAGTGCCCTCGGGAAGGGCCCTTTCCGACCACGCTGCCCCACTGGGGTTGGGTCACCGGGACATACAGAGGCTGGTGCTGCCTGGCTTCTCCTGCCTGCGGTGGGAGCTGGGTTTTGCTCCCGTTTGGTTTTGTTTTCTACCTGTCAGGCTGGGCGTCTTTCTGAGGGTTCCCTGACCGGCCTCTGAATTGATTGTTTGTCCACGTGGGCCTGGAAGTTTCTCTTAAAGACTAAATGCCCCTCACTGGGGAAACGACGCTGTGCCATGTTCACAGCAGACACTCACCCCAGTGGGCCTCCCTTTTTCTCTGGTCACGTTGGTTACTTCATAGGCCTTTAGGTTTTGATCTGTGTTTATGGACCACGGCACTTCCTTCCTTCCACAGTGCGGTCAGACACAGGCTTTGTGTGTCTAACGACAGACTGTTTCCAGTAGTTTTTCTAATACTTTAGTTTTAAAATTTTAAATAATTCACTTGTTTTTTGGCATTGAAAATATTTCATTCATAAATAGTTTCTAGTTATGATTTAAATAATTTTCCCATTTTTGACTGTAGTTTCCCAGAATCCTCTTTAGAATCTCAGTCCTTGTGTTTGGGTCTTCTCCGCGTGCCATTACCTCACCTCTGTTTTGTGCCACACACTCTTTAAAAGTGTCTTCCCGCGGGGTTTAGAGTTAGGAAAGTCGCGCACACATAGGACAGAGCCCCAGCCGCCCCTCGTGGCACCCCTCCCATCCCAAGGGTGCGTTTGTCGCAGCTGGGAACCCAGTGCAGCACCCCACTCAGCTGCTGGTTTCACTGTCTCATCATTGGTGGTTAGACTCAAGTAGTGTGGGGTATGTGAATCTGCCTTTCAGATTCTCCTGATCTTTTAAGCGAATGACACAAAGTCAGGTTTTAACAATATCGTGCTAACTGTGTTTTCTCAGGCTGTTACACCTGGTGCTTGATATGGATTTGACTTGTCTATTCTTTTTTTTTTGTTTTTCTTTTTTCTTTAATTCTAGAACCACGTTCGTTTGAAGTAGGAATGCTAGTCTGGCATAAACATAAAAAATACCCCTTCTGGCCAGCAGTGGTAAGAACAGCTTCCTCCGTCTTCTCAGATGTAGTTACTTAAATTTCATGAATTTTTATTCCATCCATCTTTAGTTCTTGATAATTTGATCAGGATAAATGTTTTCATTGTTTTGTTTTTCCTGGGAAAAGTTGGTGGGTTTTTAGAAAAGACTTCAGGAGATGCCTGTACCTAAATTAAGGCACAATGGTGTTAAGTTGATAGGCCACATTTTCACCAAGCAGGCTTAGAAAGACCTACTCGAAAAAAATATTTGCGGCCGGGTGCAGTGGTTCATGCCTGTAATCCCAGCACTTTGGGAGGCCGAAGTGGGTGGATCACCTGAGGTCGGGAGTTCGAGACCAGCCTGGCCAACATGGTGAAACCCTGACTCTACTAAAAATACAAAAAATTAGCCGGGCGTGGTGGCGTGCGCCTGTAATCCCAGCTACTCGGGAGGCTGAGGCAGGAGAATGGCGTGAACCCGAGAGGTAGAGGTTGCAGTGAGCCAAGACTGTGCCATTGTACTCCAGCCTGGGTGACAGAGTGAGACTCCGTCTCCGGGGGAAAGAAAAAGGAAAAAAAAGAATTGTGATTTGCTCATTTTAAATATTGTGCATTTCACCCCATGAGAGCTCATTAATTTGGATTTTGTGGTGGGGTTGGTTGCATGTGTACAAACAGGAATTCGAAATCCTGTCCAAGTTCCCGGTGTGGGTGATGAGTTCAAGCCGGGGCAGATTCTCTGCTTCTGTCTCTGCAGGCCTGGAAGTTGCAGGTCATTGGTTTGGGTGCTGTCCTGGCCTTCGCCTCTCCTTCATATCTTACCCCTTTTTCCCTTTATCCTCCTAAGACACAAACGCCAAAAGGCGTTGGCCCTGCAGTAATCCAGAGACGCCTTTGTTGCTCTAATGACTGACCTCACTCGAGTCACCCAGGCTCCTTGCATGTGACTGATTGTGGTTCCGGGAAACCGGGGATTGAATCTGTGTGGTGTTCGCTGGGGAGGTTCAACACGTTTATGGCCTAGCTGGGCTCCTTGTGTCGCCTACTGGCCGGCGGAGATGGAGGCCGGGCTTCTGGACCCTCCGCCCTCCCTTGGCACTGGTTTCCTCTCCCGCACCTTGGTAGTCTTTCCCTTGTTTTCATCAGTTTCTGGGGTCCCTGCTGGGTTAACAGGTCACTGATGTGACAGGTTCCTGGGGCATAAGAGCAGGCAGCCTCCCTGAGAGCGCAGGGCGGAAGGGCCATCGGAGGCGCTGGTCGCCACTGCTCCTCACTGCCTTCTCACGGTGGCCCCGGGAGGCCAGGACTGGGGAGGCTGTGGGGAGGTGGCAGCGCCCTGTAGTCCCTGCCCCTCCCCGTGTGGCCTGGGCTTGTTCCCGAGCCTTTCTGCACTTCCTCCACTCACCCAGAGCATTAGGAGGACAAACCTGCCCTGCTGAGCCGCTGGAGAATCTCAGGACGCTTATTTAAAGAGGCAGCTGGCAGCGGTAGCTGTGGTTCTTTTTATTCAAAAACCCAAACAAAACTGGCTGATTCCGCTCAGATGGGAAAACGTTCAAGTGATGCGTGTGGCAGAGCATGGGGCCGTTTCTCAGCGCCTCCTTGCGGGAGACTTCGCTGGGGTCACCCCCAGAGCTGGGGTCAGCGCCTGTTAGATGTATCATGTGATGTCACAAAAAAATATTTAAAATCCACGATCTCTTTTGTTTTGACGTTTTATTTTCTTGGATTTGTGAACAGGTCAAAAGCGTCAGGCAGAGAGATAAGAAAGCAAGTGTGCTATACATCGAAGGACACATGAACCCGAAAATGAAAGGGTAACCCGCTGTTCTTGGTTTCTGTGAATGGGCCTGAGGGGCCAGGCCGGCCGCTCTCAGAGTCAGAGCGGGCGTGGGGATGGAGGGACAGAGGGGAGGCCCCGGCAGGAGTCCAGGCCCGGGCAGGGCTAGTGAGGTCTCACTGGAGGTGTGCCCTTCTTGTGGCCTCTCACTCCCTGGGATGGGTGAGTCAGACAGAGGCTGGGTGTGAAGGGTCTGGTCAAACACCCCAGTTTTCACAACTTGATTTGCTGGCTTTGAAAGGCAGCCCAACCAGACACTCACTGGGGCCCTGTTTCCCACAAACCAGCAAAATGTCCACGCAGGTGTGCAGACAGCATCCCTGCGTCCACCTGAGTTTGCCCCTGGGTTACCTGGTCGTTCCTTAGTCATGGGATGAAAGCACACGTGGATGGATCAGCCGGCTGAAAGCAGCCTTTAGAACCATCGCATTGCATATCCCCAAGTCGAACGCGCAGAACCGGTGTCATCTGGTACTTCTGTGCTGCCCCCGAGGGGTGGGAGGTGTGGAGTGGAGACCCAGGCCCCGAGGTCGGCCTGTCCTGGCGGGGCCCAGTCAGTGTTGCTGAAGTCACTGGACCCACCATGGTGCATTGGGAGCTTCTTGGCAGCTGGGGAAACGGTCACCTTCCATAAATAAGCTGGGGCTGGTGGGGCCTCCAGCGGCCTCCACTGATCTTAATCAGAGACAGGGAAAGGTTTTTAGCTTATTAGAGGAAGTTCATTCATGTTAACTTTTCCCTCTCTCTGCTTCAAGTTTCACAGTGTCTCTTAAAAGTTTAAAGCACTTTGATTGTAAAGAGAAACAGACGCTTCTGGTAGGTGGATGATGTTTTGTGCTTGCTTTAAATGGTTTACTTTGTGATTAGTAAATATGTCCTCTGTGTGTAGCTCTTGAAATCCATGGCTGCGGTGTACGCGTGTGAATGATTGTGGGAAGTAGCAGAGCCAGGCTGCGCTCTGGCCGTTAGAGTTAGATCGTGGGCTCAGTCACTGCGCTGAATTCTCACAACTGTCCTGGGAAGTTGCGGCCCCATTTCCCCGCTTTACGGGTAAGGAAGCTGGGGCTCCGGCGAGGACAGTTTACCCAGGGCCACCAGGCAAGGCTACAGCAGAGAGCCTCTGCGCAAGGCCACCGCCTTCCCTGGCCGACTGTCTCAGTCCACCCCATGTCACGGTGGCCTCGGTAGCCAGCCCCTTGCGGCCGGGGGCGTCCCTAGCTCAGCGTCGGGAGCCCTGTGGGCGCTCAAGTGCTGCAGTGAGCCTGGCCGATACCACGTGGCAGACGTCTTGCTGCAGAGTGGCTTCCTGCTCCCTGGATCTGCAGCCAGCTTTCATCATGTGCTGTCGATGAACTGCAAGGGATTTGTCTAACTCAGAAATGTCTATTTCCCCTCTGGAAATACTCATTTTGTTGTGGCGACTTCCAGCACCAACACGTCAACTCAGTGCAGTTATTTTTACTCCTCTGGAAAAAAAGAAAAAGTGGTTGTGTCTTTTCCACTCTCAGGGATCTGAGTTACTTTCTTTTGTTTTTTTTGAGACGGAGTCTCACTCTGTTGCCCAGGCTGGAGTGCAGCGGTGCGATCTCAGCTCACTGCAACCTCCACCTCCTGGGTTCATGCGATTCTGCTGCCTCAGCCTTCCGAGTAGCTGGGACTACAGGCAGGCACCAGCACACCCGGCTAATTTTTGTATTTTTAGTAGAGACGGGGTTTCATCATATTGGCCAGGTTGGTCTCGAACTCCTGACCTCATGATCCGCCTGCCTCAGCCTCTCAAAGTGCTGGGATTACAGGTGTGAGCCACTGCGCCCGGCTGGAACTGAGTTACTTTCTAAAAATGGATGAAGGTGTGGGGTGAGGAGAAGAGCAGGAAGTTCCGTGCCTTAAACGCAGAAGGGCTGCCGTTTATATCAAAAACCCTGGGTTCTGAGAGCACAGGGTGCCCGCTTCTTCTTCCTAAGAGTGCGCTCACATCTGCTTGTGAGTCAGGTATGTGGTGGTCCCGAAGCCCACTTGATTCAGTGGTAGTCACCGTGGCTTCTGAGGGATGATATTGGGGAAGCCGTGCTTTAGGAAAGTGCGGGGGCTGCTGGGCAGGCAGAGAGCGGCGTCCACCCGGCCCTGGGATGTGCTTATGGGGTGCCCCCGTACCCCTAGTGGCCCTCGGCTCCAGAGTCTTCCCTGGGTCATTGTGTGATGGTCGTGGCTTTATGGCATCTTTGGGACGGCTGTGTCCTTTTCTGGGGACCCACCCTGCTGCCAGCCCAGGTGCTGTTAGAGCAGCCCAGGTGCTGGCCTAGCCTGGCTGCAGACGATAGCTCCCAACAAAAACGGCTGTTAGAGCAGCTTATTTCCAGGACTTGATGTCCTGTCATGTGGCACAGTGGCCACAGGGGAGGTGTTTGCACCGTCGATGCGTTCAGACCAGCCCAAGCCTTCGGGTCCCCGGTGCCCACCTGCGTTCAGACCAGCCCAAGCCATCGGGTCCCCGGTGCCCACCTGCGTTCAGACCAGCCCAAGCCATCGGGTCCCCGGTGCCCACCTGCGTTCAGATCAGCCCAAGCCATCGGGTCCCCGGTGCCCACCTGCGTTCAGATCAGCCCAAGCCATCGGGTCCCCGGTGCCCACCATTTGAGCAGCTCAGGGCCCAGACCTGTGCCTGGTGCGTTTCCCATTTACCAGAGGGTCCCTGTGCGAGGCGTCTGCCAGAGCCCCCTTTGTCAGGGAGGGTCAGAGGTGCGGGCTGGAGCGTGAGCAGCCTGGACACCTGGCTGGTCCCTGGGCTCTGCGTGGCTTCTGAACCCAGGGTGCTTGGCACTGCCTCCCACTGACGCCTGCTGCCCGGATCTCATTGTAGAATCAAGCCAGGGAGGACTTCAACCAGGACATCGGCTGGTGTGTCTCCCTCATCACCGACTACAGGGTCCGGTTAGGTACGTGGGGTGCTGGGGAGGGGTGGAGCTGGGCAGCAGGCGTCCAGCCTCTGAAGACCCCTTGGACGGGCTGGGCCGGAGCTGCCTGGAGGCGGGGCATATTTCCGTGGGCCTGGGGCATTCCCTGTGGGTGGGCTGGGGTTCTGGCCTGGCCTGATTATTTCCTAAACAGAGACGCCGGGCCAGCCCCTGGAACACACTTCCTGGGACTCCTCTTAGGTCTACACAGTGCTCTCTCCCCTCCACCCCCTGCAGGCTGCGGGTCTTTTGCTGGCTCTTTCCTGGAATATTACGCGGCTGATATAAGTAAGTCTACAGGCACATCTTGGAAAATGTGGTTTGCCTTTTAGCCCTTTAGAAAAACAATCTTCTATGTCTGAAGCTGTGGAAGGGGACGTTGGGGTCAAGGCACTGTCCGCAGCCACACAGCATTGTTCAACCTCTATGAGGTTTTGATGTGACCCTGAGGCTCCCTGGGACCTGGGGCTGCTGGTGTCCACTGGCACAGCATCCCGAGCCTGCCCTGGGGCCCTCATCCCATGGGCCACATCCAGCGTGTCCCTGCTGTGGCTGGTGGCTGCACACATCAGATGTTGTGAAGAATGTAGGCCAGGTGCGGAGGCTCACACCTGTAATCCCAGCACTTTGGGAGGCTGAAGCAAGAGGATTGCTTGAGGCCAGGAGTTCAAGACTAGCTTGATCAACAGAGCAAGACCCCATCTCTACAGAAAAATAGAAAAAAATGAGCTGGGCGTGTGGCTTGCGTGCCTGCAGCCCCAGCTACTCGGGAGGCAGAGGTGGGAGAATGGCTTGAGCCCGAGAGTTCAAGGCTGTGGTGACCTATGTGATTGCACCGCTGCACTCCAGCCTGGGTGACAGAGCAAGACCTGGTCTCAAAAAGAGAACGTGTCACGAACACCGGGATGTTTGGCCACCACTTCACTGTCGATCCAGCATTTTCCTTTATCGACAGTAGTGGAGTTTTCCATGCCTCCTGGTTGGTGGAGGAGTGGACGTGGCTGAATTGATTCTGCTTGGGCAGTGCTGCACGGGCAGGCGCTTTTCTCTGCTATAAGGGTTAAACCTGGCTGCAGGGCCCAGTGAGGGGGGAAAGGCCGGGGGTCCCAGCAGAGGAAGTGTCTTTAGGAGCGTGAATGCTCCACTCCCGTGCTAACACGGAGCTCGATCGCTAGGGTCTGCCCCCATCCCTGCCATGTCGCAGCCTCCCATCGGCCCTGACCCACAGCCACCCGAGGAAGGCAGCCCACGCGCTGGTCCCACGACAGGTGCTTCTTTTGCAGGCTATCCTGTCCGAAAATCCATCCAGCAGGACGTCTTGGGGACCAAGCTTCCTCAACTGAGCAAGGGGAGCCCCGAGGAGCCCGTGGTGGGGTGCCCCCTGGGGCAGAGGCAGCCCTGCCGGAAAATGCTCCCCGACCGCTCGCGGGCCGCCCGGGACCGGGCCAACCAGAAGCTGGTGGAGTACATTGTGAAGGCCAAGGGCGCGGAGAGCCACCTGCGGGCCATCCTAAAGAGCAGGAAGCCATCTCGCTGGCTGCAGACCTTCCTGAGCTCCAGCCAGTACGTGACCTGTGTGGAGACCTACCTGGAGGATGAGGGGCAGCTGGACCTGGTGGTGAAGTACCTGCAGGGCGTCTACCAGGAGGTGGGGGCCAAGGTGCTCCAGCGCACCAACGGCGACCGGATCCGGTTCATTCTGGACGTGCTTCTGCCCGAGGTGAGCCGCGGACCGGCGTGTCACGTGGGCAGGGAGGGGCCTGCGCTGGGATTTTGCAACTCCGCACGAGGAGGCTGCCACGGTCCTCGCCCCTGCTCCCTGGCCGTTCGGCGGCCAACGGAGCGTGGAGGCCTCCTGTGTTTACATCCTGTCAGTGCTGGGAAATGCGAGTGCGTGCGCTTGACCCTGTGCGGAGACGGAGCCGCTTACTTGACCCCTGTGCAGAGATGGAGCTGCTTAGAAGCTGTCAGCACCAGGGGGTGCGAACTCCCTCCCTACTGCGGGCGCACAGATGCTTCCCAGCCTCGGTGGGTCAGTCCTGGGAAACCCACTGCGAGTTGGAAATTCCCAAGTCAGAATCGCATTTAGTACCCAGATAAACCCACTGTAAGTTGAAAAACTGTAAGTGGATAATGCGCCTCATACTCTGATAAACCCGTGGTAAGTTAAACACACAAATTAGACTGTCTGTGATTTCGAACTTCAGCTGCGGATTTGGGGCTTGGTGAGGAGCAAATACAGATGATTTTGAAGTTTGTATCTGAAATTTCAGAGAGGACATTGCTGGGCATATGTGTACATCTGTGGGAAAAAAACATACTCAAAACTATTTAACTTTATAACTATGGGAATTTTCAAATAGACCCAAAAAGAAAATAGCATAATGAACTCTAATGTGCCCATAACCTGCCTGGAATTATTTTTTGGAGCATAAAAACCCTCAAGCTTTTTTTTTTTTTTTTTTTTGAGTTGGAGTCTCGCTCTGTCACCCAGGTTGGAGTGCAGTGGCGCAATCTCGGCTCACTGCAAGCTCTGCCTCCCAGGTTCACGCCATTCTCTTGTAGCCTTCCAAGTAGCTGGGACTACAGGCGCCCGCCACGACGCCCGGCTAATTTTTTGTATTTTTAGTAGAGACGGGGTTTCACCATGTTGGCCAGGATGATCTTGATCTCCTGACCTCGTGATCCACCCCCCTCAGCCTCCCAAAGTGCTGGGATTACAGGCGTGAGCCACCACTCCCGGCCACAGTTTTTTTTTAAGCCCATAAATACTTCAGTGTGTGTCTCTAAAAGGAGGGTGATTCTGCCCCCTGGGGGACACTGGCAGTGTCTGGGGACATCTGTGCTTGTCACAGCTAAGGGTGCTTCTGGCATGGAGTGGGTTGGGGCAGGGACGCTGCTCAGCACCCTGCAGCGCCTAGGACAGCCCCACCTCAGAGAACAGTCTGGCCCCGACGTCCACAGGGCCGAGTGGGAGAGACTCTGCTCTGAACCGAATGGACTCTGTTAAAAATGTGTTTACCATAATCACAAAAGTAAAAAATAGGGATGATTTCTTAATGTCAGGTATGTATTGTGTATTCAGGATACTCTTTTTTTTTTATAACAATAAACTTAAGGCCGGGTGTGGTGGCTCGCATCGGTAATTCCAGCACTTTGGGAGGCCGAGGCAGGTGGATCATGAGGCCAGGAGCTTGAGACCAGCCTGGCCAACATGGTGAAACCCCGTTTCTACTAAAAATACAAAAATTAGCTGGGCGTGGTGGCGCGTACCTATAATCCCAGCTACTCGGGAGGCTGAGGCAGGAGAATCACCTGAACCCGGGAGGCAGAGGTTGCAGTGAGCTGAGATTATGCCATTGCGCTCCAGCCTGGGCGACAGGGCGAGACTCTGTACCAGAAAAAACCGCCACCAAAAAAAAAACTTAAAATTTTTGAGAAATGCTCTTGTGGGTTTGGGTCTTGCCTTTTCTTCTCTGCTTTTAGTGATCTGAGCTATTGTGTCTAGTCCGAAAGATAGTACTGATTTAATTAAGAAACATCATTACAAGCAGGGATTCATGGACTAGGTTTGCACCTTCTGAACCATGAGCTAGACCATGTCTGGAGGCTGGAACCTGGTGACCCAGGCTCCCTGCGGCCTTCTTAACCGCAGGCCACTTGGGGCCAGTTGGGCAGTGCCTGCTGCTATTGAGCCCCGTGCCCTCTCACAGGCCATCATCTGTGCGATCTCTGCGGTGGACGAGGTGGACTACAAGACGGCTGAGGAGAAGTACATCAAGGGGCCTTCGCTGAGCTACCGGTAGGCCGCTCCCGGCGCTATCTCCAGCCACTTGCGTCTCTGCCTTGCAGTTTCTATTTCCACACCCACAGGCAGTTTGACTCCAGGCTGCCGCAGCCCCTCTCCCTCATGAGGTGGCCCAGGTGCTGGGTGGTGAGCTGATCACATACGCTGAACTCACCCTGTGGGTCACTCCTGCCCCCCAGGAAGGCTGTGCCCGGGTCTCCCAGCTGGTCGCTGTGGGCAGCACGGGGCCACGGGCACGTGCCTGGGCCGTGTCTGTTCTTAATCTCTTTTTGCAGGGGCTGATGTTTGCTTTTTGCACTTTCCTCCCCTCTTTCCACAGCCCCATGGCTGTGTGAGAAATACAGCAAGATTAAGCAGCAGCACGGCCCGGTGCTTTCCAGCAGCCAGAAGAATGCTGTGATCAAGATGTTTCTCTCACATCCGTGTGCTTAGCTGCCCTTGGATGTTTGGCCCCCAGAGCGCCTAATCCTGTCTCTGGGCATGCGGCCAGGCCTTGCTGGGAGCCAGGCGGGGCCCACGGGGCAGTGACAGGCTGAAGACTCAACTAGAGTCAAGGACAGGGTCTCCGGCCAGGGTGGCTTGCGCAGCCACCGACGTCTCCCGGGCCCACAGTCACAGGAGACTCCTGGTGAAGACACTGAACTCCCTCACCAGCCCCATGTCCTCCCTGGGCAGGGCAGGAGGGGCCCCTGGAGAGGCCAGGGAGGAGGTGTGGGGCCTCGGTGGCATTGGCAGGCCACCCCCGCAGAGCTGCACAAAGGTGGAATTTGGCCTTGTTTAGGGAGTGTTGGCCCAGCTGGCTTACCAAAACAGGAAAGGCCTTTGGATACAGAAACTGGGTGTTTTCCTGCTGGATCTTCATGGTTCCCCCGTCATGCTTGCCGTAAGAATAAGTGAGGTCCGGGGAGGGGGTAAGGTCGGAGCCAGGACACCTGGACCCAGCCTGCTGGTTTGTCCTCTCCCTCCGTCTCAGAAGCCTCTTCACCGCTCCACGCCCATCTGTGGAAATCTTTCATCCTGATTTTTTTTTTTGAGTCTGGGTTGCCGACATCAAAACCCGTTAGGAGTTCATCACAGCTTCCAGTTGCCATGAAAGCCTCCCGTGACCTGTGAGAATGGTGCTGGTGCTGATGGAGAAGTTACTTGGGCTGAGCACACAGGCCGTGATTTCATCACGCCGGGGACATGCTCAAAATAACAAGCCAGTGAGCAGCATCGCACTTGATCTTTGGCCTCAGTGGAGCCTTGGGTCACACACTGGGCGTCCTGGGACCCAGTCTCCCCGCCGCACGGCGTTTCCCAGGCCCTCTTGTTCTTTTAGAGTTGCACCATGAGCCTCTCTGCACTCTTCCCAAGGCTGTCCTCCTCAGGTCTGCCTTTCTCTGGTGCTGCGGCCGGTGTGCTCTCCCCTATTTCCAGGTCTGCTGGGGCGCACATCAGAGCCAGCAGCCGTTGTTGATCTCTTTTGATCCAGGGCAGCCCTATTGCTGAGAGGGGTTGCTAGCTAAGCAATTGTTATAATTTTCCTTTACAGGGAGGTCACTTAGTAAGGACAATTTGGCATCTCATACTCTTTCGTAAAAAATTATTTTTAGTCAGTCACAGTGGCTCATGCCTGTAATCCCAGCACTTTGAGAGGCTAAGGTGGGAGGATCCTCTGAGCCCAGGAGTTTGAGGCTGTAGTGAGCCATCATTATGCCACTGCACCCTAGTCTGGGTGACAGAGCAACACCCTGTCTCTAAAAATAAATATTATTTTAAAACATTGTTAAGGCCTGGTGCGGTTGCTCACGCCCATAATCCCAGCACTTTGGGAGGCCGAGGCAGGTGGATCACGAGGTCAGGAGTTCGAGACCATCCTGGCCACCATGGTGAAACCCCATCTCTACTTTAAAAAAAAAAAAAAACCAAGCATGGTGGCACGCGCCTATAGTCAGTCCCAGCTACTCAGCAGGCTGAGGCAGGGGAATCGCTTGAACCCGGGAGGTGGAGGTTGCAGTGAGCTGAGATTGTGCTACTGCATTCCAGCCTGGTGACAGAGCGAGACTCCGTTTCAAAAAAAAAAAAAAATATTACACATCCTGTAAAAGTTACCATCCTAACCTTCTTAAGTGTATGGTTCGATGGCGGTGAGCACTTTCACAGTGCTATGCAGCCGGTACTGCTGCTCATCTCCGAACTTCATCTTTCCAAACTACAGCTCTGTCCCCATCAAACAACTGCCCTCTCATATATATATAATATATATTATATATATAAAATATATATAGCCATATATATTTATATATAATGTATATTATATAAAATTTATATATTATATAAAATATATAAATTTTATATATAATATATAAAATCATATAATTTATATATTTTATATATAAAATATATATTATATATAAAATATATTATATATAAAATGTATAATTTTATATATTATAATATATACAATTATATAACAATTTTATATATTATATAATATATAATTGTATATATTATATATAAAATGTACAATTTTATAATATATAAAACAATTTAATATATAATATATATAAAGTATGTATACTTTATATTATATATAAAATATATAATTTTATATATCATATGTATATGTAGACATACACACACACACATATGTATTTATTTATTTTTTTTTTTTTGAGACAGAGTCTTGCTCTGTCACCCAGGCTGGAGTGCAGTGGCACAGTCTCGGCCCACTGCAACCCCCCCACCGTGCCTTGGTTCAAGCGATTCTTCTGACTCAGCCTCCCGAGTGGCTAGGATTGCAGGTGCCCACTACCACGCCTGGCTAATTTTTGTTATTTTTAGTAGAGACAGCATTTCACCATCTTGGCCAGGCTGGTCTTGAACTCCTGATCTCGTGATCCACCCACCTCGGCCTCCCAAAGTGCTGGGATTACAGGCGTGAGCCAAAGTGCCTGGACTCTCTGTCATACTCTTTTTTTTTTTTTTTTTTTTAGAGACAGAATTTAGCTCTGTCGCCCAGGCTGGAGTACAATGGCATGATCTTGGCTCACTGCAAGCACCACCTCCCGGTTTCAAGCGATTCTCCTACCTCAGCCTCCTAAGTAGCTGGGATTACAGACATGCGCCACCACGCCCGGCTGTTTGTTTTTTTTTTTGTTTGTTTTTTTTTTTTTTTGGTATTTTTTGTAGAGACAGGGTTTCACCGTGTTAGCCAGGATGGTCCTGATCTCCTGACCTTGTGATCCGCCTGCCTCGGCCTCCCAAAGTGCTGGGATTACAGGCGTGAGCGACCACACCCAGTCCTCTCTCTCATATTCTTTAACACACAATGATTAATTACTAAAATGAAGACTCTTGTTTTCTGAAGGGAAAAAGAAATATTTGACAACCAGCTCCTTGAAGAGCGGAACCGGCGCCGTCGGTGAGGGAGCAGCCGGCTGTGCTGTCAGCGGGGCCTGGCGGTGGAAGCGCCTCCAGTGTGCATGAGCGTGTCTGAAGATGGGGGGCTCAGGGGGCACGTTTGCGTTTGGACCTGTCTGTGCGTTCTCCTGCGTGGCAGTCCTGATTTCCATGCTTCTGGAGAATCCATTTCGTTAACACTGAAAGCCAGTTCTCTTTTCCTGGCAGTTTTTTTCATTTTATTTTTGGCATTTTTTACAAGATACCGTTCGGGAAAGGCTTTTGAAAGGACGGAAGCGTATTCACTGTGCGCCAGTACTCCTGGCTGTGCTGTGGTTTCTCCCGACGTGCACATCGATCTCGTATGTGTGGCATCTGATATTAAACGGGAGGTTTTAAGAAGCGTCTGCCGTGATCATGGAGCTTCGGAAGCGGGAATGGTTCTTCCGGGTTTGCTGTTTTGTCTGTTTCCCCCTTGTGTGGTTTCCGCCTGCGACAGTTCCAGAATTTGCTCTCCCACTCAGTGTGCTCTGCAGCTGTGAGGAAACAGCCTTCGTTAGAGGCGGGAGCAGAGACGAGCCGCTGCTCTGTGTCGTGTTTGCTGTGGCCGCAGGGAGAGGAGCAGGACACGCACCTTTCCAGGGGCCTCTGTGTCCCGCACTGTGTGTGAGTGGACCGCAGCGCGCAGCCACATGCCCTGGCTGCCATGGGCCAGACCGCCTCCACCTCCCCCGCCCGCCTGGCCTGTCCTGAGTGCATTTCCCTGCACTGTGTCGTCACTGCACAGCCAGTCACCGCGGTCTCAGTCATCGGCGCGGATGGCTATGCTGGGGTCCCAGGGTGGCCGCAGCAGTCAGGGTCACTGTGGGAGCCCTGGGGTGGAGTGACAAACCGCATTGTCCTGTGCCCGCCATGGCAGAAGCGCAGCCTTTGTATGGAGGCCCAACCGCGCTCCCGTCTGGAGAAGCGGCTTCCGGGGTGTGGCTGCCGGGTCGGCTCTGGTCCACAGCACGGTGCCGGGGCTGCAGGTTGTTGAGGGCTGTGACTCCGTGGGGCTCAGCCAGGCTCCAGCAGGGTCAGACGTGCTGTTAAGAGCAAAGCCACAGACGATGACTTGTCCATTCTCAGTGGATGCTCCAGGCTGTGCCTACACAGCAGTGCTGGTGACATGTCCAGGGTTCCAGGGCCCGGTGGCCTGGGAGCTGCTTTCTCCCCACTGGCTGGGCTGCATCTGGCCCTGGCTGGAGGCCTTGCTTTGAGGGGCTGTGACCCTCTTCCCCCAGGCCCTCCCCAGCCGACGACAGCCACCGGAGAGGAGATCGGAACACGATTGTCTCAGATGCAGGGCGCTGTGCGGGACGAAGCCGCAAGGACTCTCGTATCGGGCCCTTGGGACTCGGGAGGTGCCAGAGGCGGCGGCTGCTCTGGACCTCGGTGTTCACTGACCTTTGTTTCACTTGCCTCTGCTCGACTCCGAGAGCAGGAAACCCGGCCGTGGCCTGGCAGCTCCGCCTCCCATGCCCGCACGCTGGGGTCTGTCTTGTCTGGAGCAGTGGGGCACACCCCGGAGGAGGCGGGGGTCAGGGCTGTCGGCCTTGGCCCCCTGCTGGTCGCTGTTTCGGGGACTCGGGGCGGCCAGTACCACCGCCTGAGGCGGGGCTCAGCAGCGTTGCATGTACGGGCCTCGTACTGCCTCATGGAAAATCCTCCGGAGCCGCCCTCCATTGTGGGTTCCTGAGAGTAGGACACATTGCCATGGTTTTGTGGGAATCACGCGCCCCTGATGGAACTTTTCTGCTGTTGTGAAGTACTTTTATCCATTTGCTTCTCTGCTGACCTTGCCAAGTTGTTCGAGGTGGAATTAAACACCTCCCAGACCTCTGGCTTGTCTTTTCTGAACCCCCAAACACATCCCACTGCATGGGTTGTCCAAGCTTGGAAATGGGAGAGTGACCCTGCCATCCCCAGGGACATGGCCTGGCCTTGGGGTGGATTCCCACCTCACTGGCGGGCCTAGGGTGCTGTTTAAACAGCAGCCAGAGGCTGGGCGCGGTGGCTCACGCCTGCAATCCCAGCACTTTGGGAGGCCAAGGCAGGTGGATAACCTGAGGTTAGAAGTTCGAGACCAGCCTGGCCAACATGGTAAAACCTCATCTCTGCTAAAAAAAATTAGCGAGCATGGTGGTGGGCGCCTGTAGTCCTAGCACCTGGGGAGGCTGAGGCAGGAGAATTGCTTGAACCCGGGAGGCAGAGGTTGCAGTGAGCCGAGATCACGCCACTGCACTCCAGCCTGGCCACACAGTGAGACTCCGTCTCAAAAAAATAAACAGCAGCCAGGGGCCTCACTGGGGTTCATGCCTGTGGCCCCAGCTACTGGGGAGGCTTAGATGGGAGGAACACTTGTTTGGAGGTCAAGGCTGCGGCTCCAGTGAGCCGAGATCACGCCACTGCACTCCAGCCGGAATGACGATGAGCACCTGTGTTGCAGCATAGCCCTGCCCAGCAGGTGGAACCAGAATGTGCCAGAGGCCCCCTTGTGCGTCCCACCCCGCCTGCACCCTCTGCCCTTACTGTCCTGTGGGCTCTGAGGGTGTCAAGGCCGCTGGGACAGGCCCTGCCTGGGTGCTTCCCTCAGTAATGGGGGGTCGTGGGTGCTCTGGGTTGTCAGCCGGGCAGTTGAGTGGGAGTCAGGGGTGCTGACCTCACAGGCACGGCCAGTGAGGAGCATTCCGGGGCCCTGAGGATGCCAGCATGGGTGGTCCTGGGCTCGCCCTCTCCACAGCATGGCTGGCGTTCCTCGACTGCCGCCGGAGCCCCGGGAAGACAGGCTTGACCCCGTGCACACACGCAGGGAGACGCCAGGAGCCCTGCCCTCAGAAGCCTGCACGCTTTGCCTCTCTTCTGGCAGCTAGCTAACCCTGCATCCCCACCTGAGCCTGTCCCTGGCACTGAGGACACTGGACCTGTGTCACTGGGGTGGGGTGTCCTGGGTCCTGCTGGGTGCTGAGTGTCTCCATGCCAGGAGCTCCCGCCTCTACCATCGAGATGACCACAGATGTCCCCAGACGTGGCCTGGTGCTCCGTGGAAAACTGCTGTCCACAAACCATGGCGTCCTTCCCCTGACCCCCGCCCCTTCCCTCTCTGGCTTGGCCCAGCGGGTGTCTCAGAACCTGGGTGCGTGCTTCTGCCAGCCCCCCAACCACCTGGCCCACACTCCCCAACCCCCTTCACTGAGCCGCAGAGACCCCCATGTCCCTGCCAATGCTTTTTCCGAAGCCGGTCTCACTTGTTCCCGCCCTGGCAGTGTGAGGGGAATTGGGGTCCCCCCTCAGTGGCACAGCTGTGCCTGTCTGATGACTTCCACCAAGCCCCCTTCACTGAGCTGCAGAGACCCCCATGTCCCTGCCAGTGCTTTTTCCGAAGCCAGTCTCACTTGTTCCCAGCAGTGTGAGGGGAATTGAGGTTCCCCCTCAGTGGCACAGCTGTGCCTGTCGGATCACTTCCAACAAGGTGGCCTTGGTGGCCGCACGGGGCACTTCGTCCATCTTAAAGGGGCAACACAGGCATGCAGCGAGAATTCCAAACCACAGAAACCTCACTCTCATGGGCCCCACTGCCTGAGGCATTTTCTGTTTTGCTTTTGTTGGTGGGTTGGTTGGTTGGTTGGTTGGTTTGAGACAGGGTCTGGCTCTGTTGCCCAGGCTGGAGTACAGTGGTGCAAACGTGGCTCACTGCAGCCTTGACCTCCCTGGCTCAAGCGATCCTCCCACTTCAGCCTCCCAAGAAGCTGGGACCACAGGTGTGCACCACCATGCCCGGCTAATTTTTGTGCTTCTTGTAGAAATGGTGCTTGCTGTGTTTCCGAGGCTAAGTGATCCTCATCGGCCTCCAAAGTGCTGAGATTATAGGCGAGAGCCACTGCAGCTGGCCTGCCTGAGTTCTTGTGCCTCTCTGCCTCCCTCCCTGTGCCAGCCTCACGCCCCCTCCTCACCTTCCCCAATTCCTACTCTCACCCCGCCCTGGGTCCTTCCCCTCTCACTGGCCTGAGCTGTTTCTGGAACTGCTGCCTGCCCTCTGCTCATGTCCTGCCTCTGCCCCGTGAAACCAGCTCCTCCATGTTCCCTGTCTCAGGGGTGTCCTCCAGGGCCCGGAGTTCCTGAACCAGATTCTTCTCCCCACCTACCTCACCTTTCTGTCCAGTCCGCCTATCAGTCAGCCCCCTTTGCAGCAGAATGCCACCCCAAAACCCAGCGCCTGGAACATTCTCCACACAGTTTCTGTGGGGCCGGGATCTAAGGGCAGCCCGGCCAGGGGCTTCTAGGGTGGCTCGTGGGGCTGCAGTCCACATGCTGGTTGGGGCCACATCATCAGAAGGCTCCAACGGGGCTGGGGGTCTGAGGAGCCTCGCTGGGGGCAGCAGCCCAGGAGCCACAGCAGCCGCCCATGAATATCACCGCCATTCTGTTGGTCACACAGAGCAGCCCCGGTTGAACGTGAAGACCCTATAGGGGCTGGGCTTGGTGGCTCACACCTGTAATCCCAGAACTCTGGGAGGCCAAGGTGGGCAGATCACCTGAGGTCAGAAGTTTGAGCCCAGCCTGGCCAACATGGTGAAACCCCATCTCTACTAAAAATACAAAAATTAGCCGGGTGTGGTGGTGGATGCGTGTAATCTCAGCTACTCAGGAGGCTGAAGCAGGACAATTGCTTAAACCCAGGAGGCAGAGGTTGCAGTGAGCTGAGATTGTGCCATTGCACTCCAGCCTGGGGGACAGAGCGAGACTCCGTCTCAAAAAAAGAAAAAAGACCCCATAGGAAGGCAAGAGCCTGAACAGCAAACGCAAGCCCAGGAGCCCTGTCATCCCAGCGGCCAGAGGACCATCCCCCTTGGCTCCCACTGAACTCAGCTGCAGTCCCCACCCCATCCCCCACCACCACTAGGGCTAAGAGCCAGCAGAAATCCTTGGGCTGGCTTCATTGTTCCTCCCGGGAAGAGTCCAGGGCAGCTGACACATGATCCCAGCATGGCACGCCGGGGACAGGGGAGGCACTCTGCTGTCCCTGACTGTATTTAAAAAAAAAAAATCCACAAGCAAAATCCCTAATGAGCAATGTTCCACAGTAAGTCCTGCCTCAGAACTGTGCAGGCATCAGAAACAGGAATGCCTGAGAAACGGCCACGGTCCCAGGAGCTGAGGAAACACCACGCCTGATGCCACGTAGGGTCCTGGATGGAGCCCTAGGCCAGGAAAGGGCATTAGAGGAAACCCAGGAAACTTGGATAGAGTGTAGATTTTGGTCAGTAATAATGTATCATGTGACAAATGTATCACACTCATGAACTGGGCATGGGGTACTCACAACTCTAAATTATTCTAAAAATATTGATATAAATTTAAGACCAAAACCATGGCCAGGCGTGGTGCCTCACTCCTGAATCCCAGCACTCTGGGAGGCCGAGGTGGGCAGATCACCTGAGGTCAGGAGTTCGAGACCAGCCTGGCCAACAAACCCTGTCTCTATTCAAAATACAAAAACTAGCCGGGCATCGTAGTGTGTGCATGTAATCCCAGCTACTCAGGAGGCTGAGGCAGGAGAATCACTTGATCCAGGGAGGTGGAGGCTGCAGTGAGCTGAGATCTTGCCACTGTACTCCAGCCTGGGTGACAGAGCAAGACTCCATCTCAAAAAATAAATAAATAAAAATAAAACCAAAACCCTACAGCACGGGCAGCTATGAGAACTAGAGAAGGAAGAGGGTTTTGTGCACCTGCCAGCCTCTTAGGTTCTTGTCAGCTTTTCCCCCAAGTCTTTATTATTATTATGTATTGTAGAGATGGGGTCTTGCTATGTTGCCCAGACTGGTCTCAAGCTCCTGGCTTCAAGTGATCCTCCTGCCTCGGCTTCCTAAAGTGCTGGGATTGCAGGTGTGAGCCACCATGCTGGGCCCCTCCAATCCTTTTGAGCTGCCCAAGAACAGAGACCAGGCCTGGCTTTGCTCAGCAGTGGGTCCCCAGCCCATGGCACGAATTCAGTAAACACTTGTTGTGGTCCTCAAGGGGCCCCCAGTCTTGCTAGTCACCTGTGTTCACCTAATTTGAGCCTCTGTTTTCTTTACTTTTTCTTTTTCTTTTTTCTTTTTTTTTTTTTTTTGAGATGGAGTCTCACTCTGTCGCCCAGGCTGGAGTGCGGTGGCACGATCTCAGCTCATTGCAACCTCCGCTTCCCGGATTCAAGTGATTCTCTTGCCTCAGCCTCCCGAGTAGCTGGGATTTAGATACAGGGTTTCACCATATTGGCCAGGTTGGTTTTGAACTCCTGACCTCAGGTGATTTGCCTGCCTCAGCCTCCCAAAGTGCTGGGATTACAGGCGTGAACCACCGCACCGGCCTTTGCCTCTGTTTTTGTAATCATAAAACAGGCAGACAAAACCTCCAGTGGAATTGTGAAAATTAAATGATATGCATGCAGAAAGCGTTCTGCAAACTCTGTTTTGCTAGTTTGGGTGTTTAGTGTTAGTTTTTATATCATTAGTACTGGTTGTAAACTTATCAATTTAAGCAAGATGGAAAATCGAGGGTGTGTCAGGGAAGGGGGAAGTTTGAGCTGAAATTATGACCTCTTAGGGGTGGGAAGAGGAGGCTTTGGGGTTGTGAGGTCTGAGCCCCCTTACTTTGGGATGAGTCCACATCGCGGCGACTCCTCTGCAGAATGCGGTGATGTTGCGGTAAGGGGTCCGGGATAGCTGCGAGGCAGCTGGACCAATCCTGAACGAAAGACATCAGTGATCGCAAGAGGCGCTAAAACTTCTGCCGAAACCCGGGATCGAACCAGGGACCTTTAGATCTTCAGTCTAACGCTCTCCCAACTGAGCTATTTCGGCTGGGCGGCAGAGTCGCTCTCGCCGGGACTCCGTCCCGCGCTGCGCCTTCCCTGCGCAGGCGCAGTCGTTTCGCGTCAGCAGGCCCCACATCCTTTGTAAGGTCTCCCAGGGCGCCGGAGCGCAGTGTCGTCTCTGTGGCGCAATCGGTTAGCGCGTTCGGCTGTTAACCGAAAGGTTGGTGGTTCGAGCCCACCCAGGGACGCGTGGTGACTTTTGCCCTCCTGGAATAACAAGAAAATGAGTGTCGCCTCTGTTTTTGTCGGTCCGCCGCAGACCCGCGGCCCCCACGTGCGCACTCCGATGACCTTTCCGCCTCGGGTGATCTGGGGGTGCACGGCGCAACACGACCACGGAGGCCGAAAGCGCAGCGGAACCTCCCGGCTCCAGGTTCCGGTTTCCGCATGCGCTCCGAGCCGCTTTGGGCGGCGGCCCCGGGAACCCGGAGCGCTAAGGAGAACGGACCTCAGAGGTTGTCTGAAGGCCGAGGCCAAGATGGCGGTGCTGTCAGGTGAGCGCGGCACCGGCGGCGGGTGTGGGGCCGCGCGGGTCTGGGGCCGTGGGAGCCTCGGGTGTCGTGGTGGCGTCGGGGGTCGGTGCCGGCGTCGTGGCCGCGGTCCTCTCCGGGCTTCTCCGAGCCGGCCGCTCCTCGGGCTCCCCGCCCGGCTTGCGATGAACGGTCGCCGTTATTGCGTCCAGAGTACAGTCGGGGAAACCGAGGCCCGGTAGGTCATGACGCAAGCCTCCAGCCTCAGGAAGGCGCTCGGGGTGGAGGCTGGAGGGGCCCCATTCACGTCCCCGAGACCAGGGCACGGCCCGCGAGGCTGCTCTTGAGATGCCCTGGAGAGAGCGGGGCCTGCCTGACAGGCTGGGAAACTGAGGCCCATTGAGGGTCTTCGAGGTCACAGGGCCGGGCCTGGGAAGGAACAGGACCCAGGACATCCACGCCACCCTGCTGGACCCTCCACCTCCCTCCCCACCCCTGGGAGGTAAGGGCCTCTCGCAGAGCCTGTCCTGCTCCAGGGACTTTTTTGGGATCAGCTGAAGCCTGCGGACCTCTGCTCAGATAAAGTTATTAAATGCATGGAATAAAATCCATAGAATTGCAAGGAAATCAGTTACACGGAGAGGCAGTTATTAAAAGATTGTCTTGAAACCTGATTGGCGACTTAGTAATCTAAGTGCTTCCCTTATGAACGCGATCTAGCGGCAGGTCTAATTGCGACTGTGATTTGGAAGGAGTGAGGAGTGGAAATGAGGCTTTGATGATACGGAAACGTCTGCAGCCCCTGCACCATAGCTAGGAAACATCTGTGATTCCGCTTGGTGAAAAGTTACAGGTCCTGCTAATACTGCCGTATTTTGTTGTCTATGCTAAGAATTTTTTATTTATTTATTAAGACAGGGTCTGCCTCTGTCGCTCAGACTGGAGTGCAGTGGTGCCATCTTGGCTCATCACTGCAACCTGTGCCTCCCAGGCTCAAGCGATTCTGGCACTTCAGTGTCCTGTGTAGCTGGGACCACAGGTGTGCGCCACCATGCCTGGCTAGTTTTTGTATTTTTAGTAGAGATGGGGGTCTTGCCCTGTTGCCCAGGCTGGTCTCGAACTTCTGAGTTCAAGCAATCCTCCCACCTGAGCCTCCCAAAGTGCTGGGAGCCACGGCACCCAGCCTACGCTAAGAATTGAATGAAGGGCTAATTTTCCATAAGATGCTGGTGACAACAAAGACATATATATTTTTTTATTCCAAGCAAATTCACAGTTCTGAATCCTCACCAGGCCCCTTGTTAAGAATGCCTGGCCCACGCGCGGTGGCTCACGCCTGTAATCCCAGCACTTTGGAAGGCCAAGGTGGGCGGATCACCTGAGGTCCGGAGTTCGAGACCAGCCTGGCCAACATGGAGAAACCCCGTCTCTACTAAAAATACAAAATCAGCTGGGTGTGGTGGCGCATGCCTGTAATCGCAGCTACTGGGGGGCTGGGGCAAGAGAATCGCTTGAACCCGGGAGGCGGAGGTTGCAGTGAGCTAAGATTGCACCATTGCACTCCATCCTGGGCAACAAGAGTGAAACTCCGTCTCAAAAACAAAAACAAAAACAAACCAGCTGGGCGTGGTGGCTCAGGCCTGTAATCCCAGCACTTTGGGAGGCCGAGGTGGGCGGATCCCCTGAGTTCGGGAGTTCAAGACCAGCCTGATCAACATGGAGAAACCCTGTCTCTACTAAAAAATGCAAAATTAGCTGAGCGTGGTAGCAGGCGCCTGTAATCCCAGCTACTCGGGAGGCTGAGGCAGGAGAATAGCTTGAACCTGGGAGGTGGAGGTTGCAGTGAGCCAAGATTGTGCCGTTGCACTCCAGCCTGGGTGACAAGAGCGAAACTCCGTCTCAAAACAACAACAACAACAACAAAAACCCTGACCCAGAGGCACAGAATCCCATCACCTCAGAGGTTCTCAGAAGAGTATCTCCTCTGCTAGGAGCTCATCCAAAGTCCTGCATTTTCAGCTTGGGAAACTGACACCTGGAGTGGGGCAGCTCCCACCAGAGCCTGGGGCTGGGCAGTTAGCCTGTCTGCTGTGCCCAGCCTCAGGCATGCCAAGAAGTAGGTCACAGGCTTGTGTCCTTCAGAGAGTTGTGGCCTGGACGGGGCCATGGGAAACAGCAACCCCGGATGAGGCTAAGGCTGGGGTGAGGGAGGGGCTCAGAGGCAGGAGAAGGCCCCATGGATCGCTGCATTCAGGGGCATCAAACCCTGGCCCTGGCCCCTGGAGGCTGCCCACAGCCTCTCCATCGGGCCTCACCTCACCCACAGCGACAAAGTACCATCACCTGGGCAGCTTCAACAGAAGCTGATTGTTCTCACAGTTCTGGGGGCTGGAAGGCCAAGATTGGGGGTCAGCAGGGTTGGTTCCTGCTGAGGCCTCTGTCCTTGGCTTGCCCGTGGCCATCTTCTCCCTGCGTCTTTCCTCTGTACATGTTTGTGTCCTGATCGCCTTTTCTTACAAGGACATAAGTCATATCGGATGAGGGCCCACCCTCGTGACCTCACTGTCCTTTATAATGACCCTTTATTTTATTTTTTGAGATGGAGTCTCCCTCTGTCACCCAAGCTGGAGTGCAGTGGCGCAGCCTCTGCTCACTGCAACCTCTACCTCCCGGGTTCAAGTGATTCTCCTGCCTCAGCCTCTCGAGTAGCTGGGATTACAGGTACCTGCTACTACACCCAGCTAATTTTTGTATTTTTAGTAGAGACGGGGTTTCACCATGTTGCCCAGGCTGGTCTCGAACTCCTGACCTCAGGTGATCCACCTGCCTCGGCCTCCTGAAGTGCTGGAATTACAGGCATGAGCCACCACGCCCAGGCATTAATGATCCCTTTAAAGACCCCATCTCCAAAAGCAGTCACATTCTGAGGTCCTGGGGTTAGGGCTTCAGATGCAGGTCGGGTGGAGGGTCACAGTTCAGCCGTCACCAGCACCAAGCCTGCCTTTCTGGATTCTTCCTTGTGAGCCAGGATTCCTGGCACCTCCAGGTTTCCTCCCGCTGAGTGCCCCGGGCGTGGCAAGGCCCTGCTCTGGCCTTAGTCTTCGCCTCGGGAAGGCTCTCCCAGGAGACTTCGTGCAGGCGCGTTCCCTCCTCTGCGCTTCCTTTGAGGCTGGCTCCTCTAGGGGTGCTTTTCTGTGTAGATTGACGTGGGCAGCGCCCTCCCCGCTTAGCGGACTGCAGATTCCTGCAGGATGGGGCCTGTGCTCAGCTGCGTGGGAAACGCCCGAGCAGCAGCCAGGGCCTGGAGCACCCAGCACACGCTTGTCAGGCACAGCTGAGGCCAGGACGAGCACTGGGTGCCCAGGGAGGCCCCAGCATTGCTGGAGTGGCAGGCACCCCACAAGCACGCATAGATGGAGATAGAACCGGGTGCCGGCAACCGGAGGACCTGGGGTCCTGGTGTAGGCGGGACGCCCCGGGTATCTGAACTGAAACCTGCCTCATGAGAAGGGGCCAGCAGTGTGCAAGTGTGAGGCGGGGTGTCCCCCGCAGGGCAGCAGCCAGTGTGCAAGTGTGAGGCGGGGTGTCCCCCACAGGGCAGCAGCCAGTGCGGGGGCCCTGGCGCAGGAAAGCGGCAGGTGCCAGTGAAGATCGCCAGGGCGGGGAGACGGGGCAGCGTTTGGGTTCCTTCCGGGGCCATGCAGTCTCAAGCAGGGGACTAAGACTCTCTCGTGTTCTGAAAACCCCCTCGTTACCTAACGTTTGTTAAGTGGCACTCGAGTTGGGATCAGAGCTAGGCTGTGCGGGCAGGAGCCTGATGGGGAAGCGCCTGGAGGCCGGCCCTGCGTGCTGCCCGCAGCTCACTGTTCCCACCCCGTGGTCCTCTCTGCAGCTCCTGGCCTGCGCGGCTTCCGGATCCTTGGTCTGCGGTGAGTGCCTGAGTCTCCAGCCCTCAGCTGGGAGGGGCCTTCAGCAGCGACAGACGAACGGGGCGGGGGGGGTGGGGGGTGGGGGGAGCGCCTTGTTGAAGGTCACGTGTCATGTTAGGGACAGGATGCAGGTGACGGTCTGCACGCTGCCCGTGATGTGCCGGGACCCTCCCTGGGACAGTCCACGCAGTGGCAAAGGCTGGACAGTCAGGAGGAAAACCCTGTGGGCCCGGCTCAGTGCCGTCAGAGCTCACCGCCACCTGGGGTGGGAAGGCATTCTCTGAGCCCTGTGCAGATGGCAGCTGGGGCAGGCCTCCTGCAGACCCAGGTGACTGACAGGGCGGTGAGGGCGCATGCCCAGGGATCTTACCTTGGTCATGTGTGGAGGGCCTGCTGCCAGTTTCCTTCTGTGGATGATCCTGGGACCGTCCTTGCTTGGACACTGTTGACCTGCTGGGTACGTCACAAAAGAAGTTCCATTCAAGTCTGGGCCATCATTGGGGGTCGGGGCGATGGCCGCATGGCTCCAGCGGCTCTGGCCAGTGGCCCAAGTGTTGACAGGCAGAGGTGAGAACAGTCTCGCAGCAGGGAGGGGAGAGGCAGGACAACAGTGAGTGCGGCTGGGGGAGCTGGAGGGGCCTGGGACAGCCACTGACCCGCGTTCCATCTCCCGGCAGCTCCAGCGTGGGCCCGGCTGTGCAGGCACGAGGTGTCCATCAGAGCGTGGCCACCGATGGCCCAAGCAGGTGAAGCTGGCCTTCTGGGGGAGGTCGTACCCCCTCGCCCCACCCCCATCCCTTCCTTATTTTCTGCATCAGTGCCGCAGCCACTGAGGTGCATGGATGGGGCAGGGAGGGGGTCACACATCCCAGTCCCTGACCTCATGTGGGTCCAGGCCTCTGGCAGCGGCCGTGGGGGCTCGCATCCGCCTCTGGGAAGCACCTGCGTGGCTGACGCCTCCTGTGCCCGTGTGTCTCTGTGCCAGCACCCAGCCTGCCCTGCCAAAGGCCAGAGCCGTGGCTCCCAAACCCAGCAGCCGGGGCGAGTATGTGGTGGCCAAGCTGGATGACCTCGTCAACTGGGCCCGCCGGGTGAGTACTATGAGCTGTAGGCCCTCCTCGAGCGCCAGGGCCTCTCTGCACACTCACAGGCACACACATACACACACCAACGTGCAGACACGTACACACACAACACATGCATGCACACTCACATGCGCACATGTGCATGCAAGCTCACATGTATGGACAGATGTGTACACGGACCACACGCACACTCACGCACACAATGCACATATGCACACTCGCACACATGCACACTTGCACACACATGCACACACAAGCACATGTGCACACACGCTTGCACACATACACACATGCACACTTGCACTCATGCACACTCATGCGCACATATACACATGCACACGCACACTCGCACACACGTGCACATATATGCACAGTCATGCACACACATGCACACTCACACACATGCACACACGTCCTTGTGTGGACACATGCATGTGTGCCTGTTGGCATGCATGCACACAGGCACACTCACTGATGCACACACACCCCTGCGGCCGTGGAGCAGGGCGGACCCTCCCGGAGGCCCCTGTGCTGGCCTGGTGGCCTGTGGTTCCATCTGAGGATTCGGACCCTGCTGGAGATGACCCCTCCGTTTCCGTCATTCTCTTTCTGGCGTCCGTGTGTTCCTCTTGTTTCTCTTTTAAGGTGAAAGCAGTGTTTTAAGTTAAAAGGAGCGCGTGTGAAGGCAGTAGATCCTTCTCGGTACCCGTTTAAAGCCTCCCCTGCCTGTGGCGCCAGCCCCCACGCAGCCCCTGCCATCCCCCTGCAGCGTGAGCACGTGCAGCTCCCTCCAGCTCCTGCGGCACTTGCTGCGACAGCCCGGGTTCAACAATCCCCCATTGATGGACGTTCACTGTTTCCTTTTGTTTTTTGTTTCCTAAACAATGCCACGGCGAACGTCCTGCCAGGGCCGCAGTGGTCGAGACAAGGATAGTTTTTAATGCAGGATAGTTCTTTTCTTTTTCTTTTCTTTTCTTTTTTTTTTTTTTGAGACGGAGGCTCGCTCTGTCGCCCAGGCTGGAGTGCAGTGGTGCGATCTCGGCTCACTGCATGCTCCGCTTGCCGGGTTCTCCTGCCTCAGCCTCCTAAGTAGCTGGGACTACAGGTGCCCGCCACCACGCCCGGCTAATTTTTTGTATTTTTATTTTTAGTAGAGATGGGGTTTCACCGTGTTGGCCAGGATGGTCTCGATCTCCTGACCTCGTGATCCGCCCACCTCGGCCTCCCAAAGTGCTGGGATTACAGGCGTGAGCCACCACGCCCGGCTAATGCAGGATAGTTTCTAATGGAGGGAACCTGAGACATGGCCAGCGGCCGTCCCAACACAGGCTTCTGGCGGGCAGGTGGACCTGGCCATTTCTGCCCGGGCAGCCCTGCCTCACTCTGTAGCCTGACCCTGTCACCCGCCAACACATGCAGCAGGGCCCCTGCCAGGTCTCAGAGCCGCGTGCAGGGAGAGCGGGAACGGTGGGGGAAATGAGAAGCCACAGGGATGGAGGAGAGGGGAGGGAGTGGCCAAGGAGATCTGAGAGGGCTTCCTGGAGGCGTCGCACTTGGTATGTGGACCCAGATCTAGTTAACGCAGAGAGTTCCCGGTTAGACCTGCGCTACTACTCGCCTGTAGCCCACGCGCTCAGAGAGTGGCTGGAGCCCCCTGTTGAAATGGTGGGACTTAGGATACACTGGGTTCGAGGAACTATGTGATGAGGACAGATCTCACCCGTTTCTCTCTATTTTATGTATTTGAATGTGGCTGGTGGGGCGCGCTTTACAACTCTTGGGGCCCGGAGGCCACCTGCAGGAGCCGCTGTGCCTCTCACCTCTGCCGGCTGCCGCCCCGGGACATGAGTCGGGGGTTCTGGGTGCTCCACGTGGAGTCTCACGCTGGGCCACGCGGGGCTCCGGGGGTGGCGTCTGACCCGAGCCCGGCCTCCGCAGAGTTCTCTGTGGCCCATGACCTTCGGCCTGGCCTGCTGCGCCGTGGAGATGATGCACATGGCAGCACCCCGCTACGACATGGACCGCTTTGGCGTGGTCTTCCGCGCCAGCCCGCGCCAGTCCGACGTCATGATCGTGGCCGGCACACTCACCAACAAGATGGCCCCAGCGCTTCGCAAGGTAGGCCTCGTCCCAGCCGCCCAGCCGCCCCCAGAGTGAGCTGCGCACGGACCCCGCCTCTCTTCCAGGTCTACGACCAGATGCCGGAGCCGCGCTACGTGGTCTCCATGGGGAGGTGAGTGCAGGGCGGGGGGTCTCCAGGGACAGACGTAGCGTGAGTGCTGGCCTGGCCGTGCCCTGATGGCGCTTATCAAAAGTGTCATCTACATTCAGTGAAATCCCACGTGGTCCCGGCGCTGCCCTTCAGCCGTCTCGGTGCCTCCACCCTAGGCAGATGCGCTGGTGGGCCTCTCCCCAGAACGATTCCTCCCATCCACCCCCACGCAGCAGACCCCACATTCCGCCCAGTTCTCTGCTTTACTCACACATAAGTGATGACAGGTGCTGTAGATAGTTTTATAATCTCAGCCTTCTCACTTGCCATTAGTTTTTTTTCTTTTTTTTTTTTTTTTTGAGACAGAGTCTTGCTCTGTCAACCCAGGCTGGAGTGCGGTGGAACCATCTCGGCTCACTGCAACCTCCGCCTCCCAGGTTCAAGCAATTTTCCTGCCTCAGCCTCCCAAGTAGCTGGGATTACAGGCATGCACCACCACACCCAGCTAATTTTTGTATTTTTAGTAGAGACGGGGTTTTACCATGTTGGCCAGGCTGGTCTTGAACTCCCTCAGGTGATCCGCCTGCCTCGGCCTCCCAAAGTGCTGGGATTATAGGCATAAGCCACCACGCCTGGCCTTGCCCTCATTTTTTAGTCATTTCCCCGTAACATTGAAAGGTATTTAGTCTCTTAACATTTTAAAATATTTATTTATTTACTTAAAGATGGAGTCTAGCTCTGTCGCCCAGGCTGGAGTGCAGTGGCACGATCTCAGCCCACTACAACCTCCGCCTCCCAGGTTCAAGCGATTCTCCTGCCTCAGCCTCCCGAGTAGCTGGGATTACAGGCACCTGCCACCACACCTGGCCAATTTTTGTATTTTTAGTAAAGAAGAGGTTTCACCATGTTGGCTAGGATGGTCTCGATCTCCTGATCTCGTGATCCACCCACCTCAGCCTCCCAAAGTTCTGGGATTACAGGCATGAGCCACCATGCCTGGCCAATATTTATTATTTTTATTTTTTAGAGACAGAGTCTCACTGAGTTGCCCAGGCTGGAGTGCAGTGGTGCAGTCATAGCTCACTGCAGCCTTGACCTCCTGGGCTCAAGCGGTCCCCCAACCTTAGCCTCTCAGAGTGCTGGGATTACAGATGTACTCCACTGTGCCTACTTTTTAAAATTTCTGTAGAGATCAGGTCTTGATAAGTTTACCCTTTTAAAGCGAGCAGTTCAGTGGTTTTTAGGCCACCACCTCTAATTCCAGAACATTCTCATCACCCCCAAATGAAATGCTGTCCCCATCAGCAGTCACTCTGCATCCCCTTCCGAGCCCCGGTGCCCACACCTCCCCTCCCTGTCTCTGTGGATGGGCCCGTCCTGGACATTTCACAGAAACAGGATCACACGCCGCATGGCCTTCTGTGTCCGGCGTCTCTCACTGAGCGCGACGTCCTCAAGGTGCATCCGTGCTGTGGCCTGTGTCCGAGCCTCGTGCCTTTTCTTGGCTGAATAATATCCCACTGTGTGGACATATTACTAATCTAATTCTAAACAGTTAATTAGAATATTCCAGAGTTTTCATAACCGTCTCCCACTGCTGGGCATTCAGGGTATGTCCATTTTTACGGCTGTGGGAAGCAGTGCTGGGAGTGGAGTCTGTGTGGTCTCCTGGGGTTTCCAGCTCCCTGCCCCGGGTGGACCCCAGCGCCTCACTGACAGAGCCGGAATCAGGCGAGGGTGAGGCTCAGCCGCCCCATAGACAGGGGCTGGGTGTTGGCACTGTGGCTGTCTGAAGTGGCTTTTTGTTGACACATGTGATCTGACACATCCCAGCCCCGGGAATCGGTGGTCAGGAGCCCCCTCGGGAGGGGAGCACTTTTCCCCGAGTTATCAGCCACGTGTGAGCTTGCGCCCCACTGGTCCCACAGAGGCTCTGGGAGCCTGTGCGTGTTTGCTCATTGCTTCTCCGTGACAAGTTCCAGCCTCGTAGGTGCCTGGCCTGCAGTTGAAGGCGGGTGGGGATGGGGCGAGGCCTCGTGGAGGGAGGGTGGGCAGGCGGGTCTTCGGCACACTCCCCTCACGGTGCCTCCCCAACAGCTGCGCCAACGGAGGAGGCTACTACCACTATTCCTACTCGGTGGTGAGGGGCTGCGACCGCATCGTGCCCGTGGACATCTACATCCCAGGTAGGGCCGGGACCGCACCGCCCACGAGGGAGCTGGAGACAGGGCCAGCGCCACACGGAGCCCGGCGGCCCCTGTGAGGGAGTCCCACACCCCCAGCAGACGGCGGGCTCCCCCATCCTATGGATGGGCCGACTCGGAGCGCTGCCTCTTAGTGGAGCCTGTCCCCTGTGAGAAGTCGGCGATGTATTCAGGCATCAGAGGGATCAGAGGGAGCAGGGGAAGCTGAGTGGAATTCCTGACACACGCCTGGTTTACAGCAGTTTCATATGGTCCTACCTGGCACAAACCAAAGACCTGCAGTTAGAAATACCAAGCGAGAAGGTTCCTGGGGGCCAAGGACACTGTCCCGCGCCCTCAGCCTTACAGAAGGGCACGCAGGACTCCCTGGGACCCGGGGTGGCCGGATTTGGCAAATGAAAACGTGGGAGGCTTAGTTTGACTGTGAGGTTAGGGTGAATTTGACCATCAGGAAAACTGTTAGTAGTAATTGTTTAGTACGAGTATATCCCAACAATATTTGGGCTATACTGACACTAAAAAGAGCATTGGCTGCATACCTGAAATTCACATCGCACCGGGAACATTCTTTATATCTGGTGATCCCGTGGGACTCTTGCACCTCACGTGGTCCCACGAGGGCCATCCCCCCGGGCGTTCACCTTGACAGTGGTCCACGGTAGGCAGGCTTGGAGGTGGCGCTCATGTGGGACAGGGGACAGAGTCCTGTTCTTGGCCACCCTGTGCTGCGTGCGGCATTAGCTCATGCGCAGAGAGCCCAGCCCTGAGTCCCGAGTCTGGGGGTTTGGGCAAGCGAGAGGCACATCCTGGTGCCTCTCAAAAGTGGAGGAACAGGCTCTGACTTTGGATTCCGCTTCCCTGGAAAGGGCGTTGATTTGTTCAGCGTTCTGCACGGTTCAGGTCACCCCGGGGGCAGTGGAGAGGGCAGCCTGGGCCTCCCTGTGACTTGACAGCACAGAGAGGTCCATCCTGGGGTCAGGAGCTCTGCCCATGCCCCTGGCGTCTTCCCCTGCAGTGCAGACCAATGGGGCAAGTTGCGAGTGTGGACTGTACTCCTCCCTCCTTGCAGACTGAGCTCCTCCCTCCCTGGGGACCGCGCTCCTCCCTCCCTGCGGACTGTGCTCCCTGTCTGGGGACTGCGCTCCTCCCTCCTTGGGGACCGTGCTCCTCCCTCCCTCCCTGCGGACCGCGCTCCTCCCTCCCTGGGGACCGCGCTCCTCCCTCCCTGCGGACCGCGCTCGGCCCTCCCTGGGGACCGCGCCCCTCCCTCCCAGCGGACCGCGCTCCTCCCTCCCTGGGGACCTCGCTCCTCCCTCCCTCCCTGCGGACTGTGCTGCTCCCTCCCTGCGGACTGTGCTTCTCCCTCCCTTGGAGCAGCCTGGACTTGCCAGAGCTCTGCCAGGTGGGGCCTGGCCGCCCTTTCCCAGGCCCTGCAGTGGCCTTGTCCTTTCTCACCTGTTTCCACTCCTGCTGTCCCCGTTGGGCCCTGGGCTTCGTCCTCTTGCTCAAGCCCTTTGTTCTGAACCTGCGTGGCAGCCGGGACTGGGGGATCCCCAGCAAAGAGCTCTGGCTTGGGGCTCAGAAAGAGGGTCATCGGGTCCTCGTGGGATGCCCGGGCTCTGGGCCACCTCCCCTCCCTCCGCCCAGCCTCCCTGCCTCCATCTCCGTCCAGGGCAGCCCCGGGCCCTGCTCCCCACTGCTAAGTGTGTCTGCTGAGCGCTGGCCCCCATTGAGTCCTGAGGGCTGGGGCCGGGGGCCGGGTTAGTGAGGTCAGCGTCTTGTCCGAGAGGTCCCTGTGACAGCCCGGGATGAGCCACGGGTGGAGGGCAGTGGGGCCTTGCCCAGGGGAGGACCCCACTCTTCCTGCAGGGACCTCCCCTGCGCCGGCTCCCAGTCCCTGGCACTGCGCCCACCCAGGGCTGTCAGCCTCCACCTTCAGAGGCCGGCCCGGGAAACCCTTCCAAAGCCGAGCCGGCTGCGCTGTGCACGCGGTCACGCGGGCTCCGGCTGCGGGAAGCGAGACTGAGGCAAGGTCCCTGCAGGCTGCCCACCTACGGCCGAGGCCCTGCTCTACGGCATCCTGCAGCTGCAGAGGAAGATCAAGCGGGAGCGGAGGCTGCAGATCTGGTACCGCAGGTAGCGCCGCCGCCGCCGCCGCCGGAGCCTGTCGCCGTCCTGTCCCCAGCCTGCTTGTGTCCCGTGAGGTTGTCAATAAACCTGCCCTCGGGCTGCCGCCTCCCAGTGTGGTGTGTGGGTGAAAGGAGCCGGGGACGTGGGGGGATCACAGACCCCCTGCGGCGTGCCGCCCTTGGGCTGGGGGCGGTTGGAGCAGAGCCGGGGGCAGAGACGGGCACTGTGCCTGCCAGCAGGGTCCTTTCCCGCTGCTCTGCGAAGACCCTGGGGTGGACATCGTGGCCCAAAGTCCCGAGCGTGGAAGGCCGCACACCCATCCTTCCTGGGAGGGCCCTGACTCAGTCTCCCTCTATGCCCTAAGGCAGGCTGAGCAAAGCCCGTCTGAGCCTGCCCCGGGGTTCAGAGTGTGGCCTGTGGCCTGCGTGTGGACTTGGGCAGGTCGCCACTGCCCTCTGGCCCATTTCCAGGCGGTGGCATGGGCTGGTTAGCTGAGGGCTGGGGCCAGGGAGATGGGGAGGTGGCACCTGGTCCAAACCAAAGGGCTGCAGGGCAGGACTGTGAGCCTCACAGGCTGTCTGACCCCACTTTGGGGACCCTCTCCACCCAGGGCTTTCGGGGAACCCTGACTCCACCCCACCAGCCCCTTCATCCGTCGAAGTCCAGGCCTCATCAGGGACGTGCATTCATTCAGCAAACGTCCCATCTTCCTGTGTTCAGCGCCAGATGCCGCCGGTGCTGGGACCTCGCTCTGCAGGCCCACCCTGCATGCCTGCTGCACACCAGGGACAGTTCTGGGGATCGGCAGTTATGACGGGCCAGGCTGGGATGGGGCCCGGGAGACTGGGGCGGGGGTGGGGAAGAGGCACCCAGCCCAGCCGGGTCAAGCAGCCTGGAAGCAGGACATGCTGGGGTGGGGACAGGGCGTCAGCCAGCGGAACAGCAGCCCTGGGCCAGAGTGCAGAGCACAGGAGCCGGCCTTCTCTCAGGGCAAGGAGGTCAGTGGAGGGGGCGAGCAGGACGGCCCCAGGAAGATGGGCGGGCTGCACACATGTGGATGCAGGGGGCAAAGTGGGAGGCATGGGGTGACCAGCTGGGCACAAGGGCACAGACAGGCAGGACCCGGGATGTTCCTGGGGCTGGGCAGGTGGGGCTGCCCCTGCAATGGGCCCAGCAGGGGCGATGCCTCCTGAGAGGAAACCACATCTGGAAATGGGAGGCTTGGGGAACGGGGCTGTCAGCAGCCACGCCCCTCCTGGGGCGGGAGGAGGGGAGCTCAGGGTGTGCTGGGGCGGGCAGAGAAGTGGGTTCCTGCCTGGGGTGGGCAAAGATCCTTGTCCCACCCACACCCCGGCCGTGGTGCTGCCACCCCCTGAGACCCTGACCTAGTTACCCCCTTCCCTGACCCCACTGCAAAGGGTCAGGTGGCTTTCATCTGAGGAAGGGACATCGGGCATCAGCTGGAGATGTCTGCTATGGGCAAGACAGTGGGGGGGGCGGGGCGGATCCTGGGGCCGCTCAGAAACCTGGAGGGGAGTCACCCACTTTTCCTGTGTCCATGGGATGGGCGGGAGGTGAGGGAGCAGCCGCTGGAAGTAACAGTCGCACGCTCACTGCCGACTGGCCAAGCCCAGCGCCGGCGTTTACTTCACCTCAGGGACCCTGCAGTGGGCAGCAGTGACCCTCACAGAGAAGCTGGGAAAGCTGCTGGTGACACACAGCTGGGATCAGCCCTGGGCTGGTGGGACCCCTCACAGAGAAGCCGGGAAAGCTTCTGGTGACACACAGCTGGGATCAGCCCAGGGCTGGTGCGACACCCTGGACTCCCGGCCAGGAAGGCACGGAGGAGGGCATGGGTGTGGCCGGGCCGGGGTGGGGGCTCAGCCTTTGGTCACCAGGGGCGTGATCATCTGTGGGAAGGCGTAGTAGCGGCAGTCGGCCGGTGGGACCAGCGCCATCACCTCCGTACGGATGTTCTCCCTCCGGAAGCCGGCCTCCAGCAGCGCGGGCACCTGCGTCTCCTGGTCGGGGATGGCACCAGGTCACCTCTGAGGGCCATGGGGGTCACGTGCACCCTGGCGCCCACCCCTCATTGAAGAGTGTTTACAGATGGCAAGGCCCGGGTGGGCGGCTGCAGCTCCCGTGGGCACGTGGCAGGGCAGCCCTGGAAGCCCAGGTGTGAACGGGAATCTCCAGCTCCCCAGTGCGGGCAGCAGCTTCCCGGCTGTCCTGGAACCCCAGCCCCACACTCGAGCCACCCCCGGGCACCTACTCCACAGTTCTCCAGACCTTGCCAGTGTGGCGGGTGGAGCCAAAGAATCACACCAGAAAAAGAACACAGGCCACTAGTTCCCATTTTGGAAGAAAAGCTGCCCCAGGGGCCACAGGCACCCAGCCGGCTCTCACAACAGCAGCCCAGGGCAACCACATAGAGCCCTTCTCAGATAGGCCGCCTCCACCAGGCAGAGGGAACAGCGAGACAAGCACTGCTGAACCAGCAAAGACAGCCAGGTGGAGGCAGCTGGAGGGAGGGGAACACGCAGGGCTTAGGCTGAACCACAGGGCACTGGGGAGCCATGGGAGGTTGTTGAGCTGGTGAGGGACTTTGATTTCCATTTTTTTTGTTTTTGTTTTGTTGAGATGGAGTCTCGGTCTGTTGCCCAGGCTGGAGTACAACGGTGCAATCTCGGCTCACAGCAACCTCCGCCTCCCATGTTCAAGTGATTCTCATGCCTCAGCCTCCCGAGTAGCTGGAATTACAGGCGCCCGCCACCACGCCTGGCTAACTTTTGTATTTTTAGTAGAGATGGGATTCTGCCATGTTGGCCAGGCTAGGCTCAAACTCCTGGGCTCAAGTGATCCACCCGCCTTGGCCTTCCGAAGTGCCGGGATCACAGGTGTGAGCCACCACGCCCAGCCTGATTTCCATTTTTTTTTTAAATTTTCTTTCTTTCTTTCTTTCTTTCTTTTTTCTTGAGACAGGGTCTGGCTCTGTTACCCAGGCTGGAGTGCAGTGGTTCGATCTGGGCTCACTGCAACCTCTGCCCCTGGGGCCCAAGCAATCCTCCTACCTCAGCCTCCCAAGTAGCTGGGAGTACAGGCACACGCCACCACGCCCAGCTAGTTTTTTGTATTTTTTTTTTTTAGGAAAGATGAGGTCTTGCTCTGTAGCCCAGGCTGGTCTTGAACTCCTAGGCTCAAGCAATCTGCCCACCTCGGCCTTCCACAGTGCTGGGATTATAGACCTGAGCCACTGCTCCTGGCAGCCACTGCGCCAGGCAAAGGACTTTGATTTCTAAATGAACCAGCACAGTCCAGCCCACCCAGGGGGTCAGGAAGGGACCCTCCCCAGGTAGCAAGGTGGCTCCAGCAGCCCCTTCCCACCCCCATCCAAGGTCACTTCCTGGAGACCCATGGGGAACTTCAGGTGGGCGCACCTCAAACATGATGGTGATGTCTGAGTACTTGGACTTCATCAGCTCCCCCCAGGAGGTGAGGTTGCAGTAGGTGAGGACGCCCCCCGGCTTCAGCAGGCGAAAGGCGTGGTTCTGTGGAAGGGGAGTGGCCAGTGGTCAGGACGGAGGTGGGGGTGTGGGCAGAGGGGCTTCCCCGAGGGCCTCCCGCATCCCAGCAAGTCAGAGAGAACCACCTTGATGAAGTTGAACTGGTGTGTGTGCCAGGTCTCCTCCGAGAGTGGGTACGTGTCGTACAGGATCCCTGCACGGAGAACAGAAGCCCACGCGGTCAGGGCCGGGCTCAGCGCCTCACCCAGCCTCACCCGGCTCATCCCCCAGCGGGTGGAGGTGCAGTGAGACGGGGCCGTGGGTAGAGGTGGGGCTCCCACACAGGCTTGAGAACCCCGAGATCGCCTCCAGGGCCCCTCCGTGAGCATGCCCATCCCCGGTGCTCCGCCATCCCACAGCCAGGCCCACACCCACTTGGGCTCTGTCCCCCCAGTGCACATCAGAGGGACCCCCACAAGCAAAGGAGGGGCTGCATTGGAGCTGGGGAGGCCCACCCTGTGATACGTCCCCTCACCCCTCACCATCAAAGTGACCGTCAGGCAGGGTGGGTGCCACATCCTCCCACAGGCCTTTCAAGGGGATGACCTTGCAGAGGGGAAAAGAAAAAGAGAGGACAGGGTAGAGAGGTCCCCAGGATCTCCCCACCTGCAGAAAGGGAGCGGCCAGGGGGACTCCCGAGAGAGAAGACCACCTCCTCCACCTCTGACAGCCCCAGGCCCCCAACCCCCAGGAAGCAGTGCCCTCACCCCAAGGAGTGGGGGTCCTGGAGGGCCTGCGGGCAGAGGGGCACCTTGTGTGTCTGCCGTGGGGCCCAGTCCCGGAGCCGCTGGAAGACGCCGTCATTGCACTCGATGATCCAATGCTCATCAATGGGCGCCTCCTGCACCTTTGACGCTGCGATGGCCATGCCAAAGCCCACCTCCAGGACCCGGCCCCCTGGGCAGACACAGGGCGCCTGGCATCACTAGGTGGGGCGGGCTTAGGAGGCTGCCTGGAGGAGGGGCACAGGGCAGGGCAGGGCTGGGGAGACTGCCTGGAGGAGGGGGCGCAGGGCTGGGCTGGGGGTCTGCCTGGAGGGGGGCGTGCAGAGCAGGGCTGGAGAGGCTGCCTGGAGGAGGGGGTGTGGGGCAATGCTGGGGAGGCTGCCTGGAGGAGGGGGTGCGGGGCAGGGCTGGAGAGGCTGCCAGGAGGAGGGGATGCAGGGCTGGGGAGGCTGTCTGGAAGAGGGGGTGCAGAGCAGGGCTGGGGAGGCTTCCTGGAGGAGGGGGCACAGGGTAGGGCAGGGCTGAGCTGGGGGTCTGCTTGGAGGAGGGGGTGCAGGGCTGAACTAGGCTATGTGAGTCACATTTGCCACAGGACGGGAGGGCACCCTGGGCCAGCATGGACAGAGGCGGGCGGAACACAGTAGTCCTGAGCGGGAACAGCGTGGGCCCTGGCCAGCGGCCAGAGAGAGGATGACCAGCCAGGGAGGCCGAAGACGGCCGCTTTTGGGGCCAGGCCTGTGGGGAGGCGAGAGCCTTGGACTTTGAGCCCAGCCCACGCTGTTTGTCCCGGGTCCCTTATCTCTCGGGTTAGTTACTTTTCTCTCCCCCTCCCTCTATCCGAAAGTTGGATTTGCAAGAGTGGCCAGGCAAGACCTGGACTTGAGACTATCTGGGAGGGGAAGGACTGGTCCCCAGTGGGCCACACATGGGCCCCCCGCTCAATCCTGATTGGCACTGGACACTGGACGTGCCCATTTTCAGGGTGGGAACACTGAGGCCCGACCCCTGGACGGGGCCTGTGTGGGGCCAGGGAGTCCTTTCTTAGCAGCCCTTAGCGTCTGACGCCAGGCAGGCCAGGGCCACCCCGGGGACAGCTGTCTCCCTGAGCTCAGCTTTCCGAGTGCTATTCTTAGCCGGGCGAGTCGGGGCTGCTCTCCCAGGCAGGCAGAAGGGCAGCCTCTCCCTGGCACGACCCCTTCCTCCCGACCTCAGACAGGGAGCTGGGGACCCGGTTCCACCCAGTTTCACCCAGGTCTCACGTTTGAGGTCCCCATCTGGAGAGCGGGGGGCCTCACTCCCCCTGGAGAGGAAGTTTCTGGTACTTAGGCGGTGCCTAACGTGTGCGGGCCCCACGCCTGCCGCACTCCCCGTGAACGCCTCCGTGTGCCCCCACCTGCAGCCCCACTTCCCAGGCGAGGAGACAGAGGCGCCCCGGCGGGAGGGTGGGCTGCAGAGTCCCCGGGTCGGGGCAGCCCCGGCCTCAGTTTCCCCTGCGCCCCCGGGGGCGGTGCAGGCCGGGCGGGGGCTACCTTTGGAGGAGGCGGCGGCGGCCAGCGCGTGCATATAGGGGGTCTCCCAGCGCTCCATCACCGGCTTGCCCAGGATGCGCAGGTGCGTGTCCGCTGCGTCGTAGGCCGCGGGCGCCGCCCCCCACGCGGGGCTGCAGTTCTCGCCGGGCGCGAAGATGGGGGTCGCGCTGGGGGCGCTCATGCTGCAGGCTGGACGGCGACCCGACCTCGATCGCGCGCCGCCCGGGCCCGCTCCCTGCAGGGGCTTGTGGGCCGGGGGCGGGTCCAACAGGCCCGGGGGGCGGACCCGCGAGAGGACGCGCGCGCGCGGCTCCGGGAGCGGCCTCTAGCGGCGGCCACGCGAGAGGTGGCGGGAGTGGGGTCGGGGCCCCGGCCGCCCCCTCCCCAAGGAGCCTCGGTGCCCCCTCTGCGGAGCGGGCACCGCAGCCCCGCGCCCGGGGACGCGAACCTGCAGGCTGGGGACTGGAATCCCCGCCTTGCCGCTTACGCGCCATAGATTCCTCATCTGTCAGCACCGCAGAAAGGCCCCCTCCTCGCTGGGGTGTGAGAATCTGAGGATCTTCCAGGCGCTGTTGGAAGTGCTTTAAGTGTTTAAAATCATTTAATCTTCAGAAGATGCTACAGTGAGTTCTGTCTTTTTTTAATAGAGACGGGGTCTTGCTATGTTGCCCAGGTTGGTCTCAAACTCCTGGGCGCAAGCGATCCTCCCGCTTCAGCCTCCCAAAGTGTTGGGATTACAGGCGTGAGCCACCGCGCCCGCCAGGTTCTATGATGACTGTCGTTTTTCCTTCCTTCCTTCCTTCCTTTCTTTTTTGAAAGCAAGTTTATTAAGGAATAAAAATGAATGGCTACTCCATAGAGCAGCCGACTGTCATTTTACAGATGTGGAAACTGAGGCTTTGAGAAGCAAAGCCGGTGGTCTGGTGGCCACGAGGGTGGGGACCCAGCATTAGAGCTCTGATGCCCCCCTTTCATGAGCCCATGTCACACCCCCATAGGCTGGGGGTCATCTGAGACCCCGGGTCCCTAATGGGGGATTCCGCCCAAAGACGCCTCCAGTTCTGGAGACCAGGACTCAATCCCAGCAGTGCCCTTTCCTCCGGCGGCCCTGCAGCTGGGGTGTGCGGGGGTGGAATTAGGCCTCCCCCAGCCCAGGGTAGCCCCTTAGGGTCAAGCACACCCCCCGCCTGTTTCCTGGGGGCCCCCAAGCCCGCTGCGGTGGCGTCCTGGCTCTGATAGCCGGTTTCCTTCCCCCTCTGAACGTGGGGCCACAGTCATGAGCCCTGAGCACTGCCTGCCTGCCTGCCTGCCTGCCTGCCGTGCGTTCTGCACGGGTTAACAGATGCAGTTATTATGCCCATTTAACACGAGGGAAACTGAGGCCCAGAGAGGTTGAGGTTCACAGGTTGCAGCAGGGCCACGGTGTGAACGCAGGCAGCCTCGGAAACAGCTCCCGCGCGCGGCCTTCCCTGCGCCACCTTGTCTGGGTAGCTGCCTGCCCCATCACTGCCTGCTCAACGCCTCCACATGCCCCTGCCACCTCTTGCACAGCTCCTTAGCCCCGGGCCTTGGCACACGCTCTTCCCCTTGCCCAGACAGCCTCTCTCCTGGTCAGGCCGCTTTCTCGTTCTGTCTCAAGCTGAGCCCACGTGTCCTCTAGGAGACACCCCCATTCTGCCCCAGGACAGGCATGTCCTGGTCAGAAGCTGTTTTGTTTGTTTTTGTTTTTCTGAGACAGAGTCTCACTCTGTTGCTCAGGTTGGAGTGCAGTGGCATGATTTTGGCTCAGTGCAACCTCTGCCTCCCGGGTTCAAGCGATTCTCCTACCTCAGCCTCCTGGGTAGCTGTGATGACAGGCGCCCGCCACCAAGCCCGGCTAATTTTTTTTTTTTTTTTTTTTTTTTGTATTTTTAGTAGAAACGGGGTTTCACCATGTTAGCCAGGATGGTCTTGATCTCCTGACCTCGTGATTCACCCGCCTCGGCCTCCTAAAGTGCTGGGATTGCAAGGTGTGAGCCACCGCACCCACCCGGCCAGAAGCTGTTTTCTCTCTCTTTGGTAGTTCACTAACGGAAGGTATTTCTTCATGGTCCTAGCGTCCCTCTCACAGGGCTGTCAGTGATCCTGGCACACAGAACATGCTTGATAGGCTGGGTGCAGCAGCTCCCACCTGTGATCCCAGTGCCTGGGGGAGGTGCAGGGGCTCAGGCCTGTGATCCCACCACTTTGGGATGCCGAGGTAGAAGGATTGCTTCAGTGCAAGAGTTAAGACCAGCTTAGACCACACACAGAGACCTTGTCTCTACAAAAAAAAAAAAGTTTTAAAAATTAGCCAGGGCCGGGCGCGGTGGCTCACGCGTGTAATCCCAGCACTTTGGGAGGCTGAGGTGGGCGGATCCCCTGAGACCAGCCTGGCAACACGGTGAAACCCCATGTCTACAAAAATACAAAAATAGCTGGGCGTGGTGGTGGGTGCCTGTAATCCCAGCTACTCAGGAGGCTGAGGCAGGAGAATCGCTTGAACCCGGGAGGCGGAGGTTGCAGAGAACATCACTCTCAGTGAAATAAGCCAGTCGCAACAGGACAAATCCTATGTGAGTCCACTCCTAGGAGGTCCCTGGAGTCCTCCGATCCACAGAGACAGAACGTAGGATGGCGGGGGGGGGGGGTGCCAGGGGCTGGGGAGGGGACAGGGAGTGAGTATTTCACGGGGCAGAGTTTCAGTTTGGGAAGATGAGAAGGTTCTGGAGAGGACGGCGGTGATGGTTGCACAACAATGGGAATGCGCTTAATGCCAATGAGCTGTGCACCTACAAATAATTAAAATGGGGCCGGGCGTGGCGGCTCACGCCTGTCATCCCAGCACTTTGGGAGGCCAAGGCGGGCAGATCACCTGAGGTCAGGAGTTCGAGACCAGCCTCAACATGGAGAAACCCCGTCTCTACTAAAAATACAAAATTAGCCGGGCGTGGTGGTGCGTGCCTGTAGTCCCGGCTATTCGGGAGGCTGAGGCAGAATTACTTGAACCTGGGAGGCGGAGGTTGTGGTGAGCCGAGATCGAGCCATTGCACTCCAGCCTGGGCAACAAGAGAGAAACTCCATCTCAAAATAAATAAATAAAATAAAAACAAAAATAATTAAAATGGAAAATTTTATGTCACATATATTTTACCACAAGAAAAAAAGGGGACCAAAACTACATACCGTGTGTTGGATCTGTTTATAGTCACACTGGGAGTAAATTCAGATCAGTATCTGCACAGCCTTTTTCTCGCTGCCTTTGCCCTGGAGTGGAAGGAAGGAAATGAATGGGGAAGAGGGAGAAGCGGAGAAGTAGCCTCTTCTAGTTCTTTCTTCCTTCCTTTTTTTTCTTTTTCTTTTCTTTTCTTTTTTTTGAGGTGGGGTCTCGCACTGTAGCCCAGGCTGGAGTGCAGTGGCGCGATCTCGGCTCACTGCAACCTGCACCTCTCATGATCAAGCGATTCTCCTGCCCCAGCCTCCTGAGTAGCTGGGATTACAGGCATCCGCCACCACACCTGGCTTTTTTTTTTTTTTTTGAGATGGAGTCTTGCACTGTCGCCCAGGCTGGAGTGCAATGGTGTGATCTCGGCTCGCTACAACCTCTGCCTCCCGGGTTCAAGCGACTCTCCTGCCTCAGCCCCCTGAGTAGCTGGGATTACAGGCACCCGCCACCACGCCTGCCTAATTTTTGTATTTTTAGTACAGACAGGGTCTCGCCATGTTGGCCAGGCTGGTCTCGAACTCCTGACCTCAGGTGACCCGCCCACCTCGGCCTCCCAAAGTGCTGGGATTACAGGCGTGAGCCACCGTGCCTGGCCTGTATTTTAAAAAATATATTATTTGTAATCAGCTTGTGCCCGACTTCCTTCTTTGGGCCACATTCTGTGCATTTCATCCACCCACTGCTTCATTGTTCATTTATCCAGTCACCAATAGATGGATGTGTGGTTATTTCAAATGTTCCAGTCTTGTTTTGTTTTGTTTTTGATAGAAACAGGGTCTTGCCATGTTGGCCAGGCTGGTCTCGAACTCCTGACCTCAGGTGACCCGCCCACCTCGGCCTCCCAAATTGCTGGGATCACATGTGTGAGCCACTGAGCCCAGATTTTTTTTTTTTTTTTGGCAGGGTTTGGCTCCGTGGCCCAGGCTGGAGTGCAGTAGTGCGATGTCGGCTCACTGAAACCTCCAACTCCTGAGCTCCAGCCATCCTCCTGCCTCAGCCTCCAAGTAGCTAGGACTGCAGGTGCGTGCCACCAAACCTGGCTGATTTTTGTATTATTATTATTATTATTATTTTTTGTAGAGATGGGGTTTTGTCATGTTGGCCAGGCTGGTCTTGAACTCCTGGGCTCAAGCGATCCTCTCATCTCAGCCTTCCAAGGTGCTGGGATTACAGGCATGAGCCACTGCATCCGGCCAGTTTTATTTTAAATGGGGTTTTAGTCCCAGCTACTTGGGAGGCTGAGGAGGGAGGATAGCTGGAGTCCAGGAGTTCAAGGCTGCAGTGAGCTATGACTGCATCATTGCACTCCAGCTTGGGCAACAGAGTGAGAGCCTGTCTCAAAATAAAAGAAAAAAAAGTGTTTTGTACTATTTGTCTGTGATCTTGTTCCTTGTATTTTTTTTTTTTGAGACAGAGTCTTGCCGTGTCGCCCAGGCTGGAGTGTAGTGGCACGATCTCGGCTCACTGCAAGCTCTGCCTCCTGGGTTCAAGCAATTCTACTGCCTCAGCCTCCTGAGTAGCTGGGACTACAGGCGCCTGCCACCATGCCGAGCTAATTTTTTGTACTTTTAGTAGAGACGGGGTTTCACCATGTTAGCCAGGATGGTCTCGATCTCCTGACCTCGTGATCCGCCCACCTTGGCCTCCCAAACTGCTGGGATTCCAGGAGTGAGCCACCATGCTCGGCCCTTTTTTTTCTAAGAGGGAGTCTTGCTCTGTTGCCCAGGTTGGTGTGCAGTGGCGCGATCTCGGCTCACTGCAACCTCTACTTCCTGCCTTCAAGCATTTCTCCGGCCTTAGCTTCCCGAGTAGCTGGGATTACAGGCGCCCACCACCACGCCCGGCTAATTTTCTTTTGTATTTTTAGTAGAGACGGGGTTTCACTATATATGTTGGCTAGGCTGGTCTCGATCTCCTGACCTAAATTGATCCTCGGCCTCCCAAAGTGTTGGGATTATAGGCGTGCGCCACCTCACCCGGCCTTGTTCCTTGTATTTATTTAATTCTGTGATGATGAATAAACCAAACGATCAGGCTGTCAATGTGCTGTGAGATTAAGGAGAAAAGCAGTAGGCAGCACGTACCCGGTTTTACAAAACCCTGCGGGTCACCTGTTTACTACCGTCAGCCTAGACCGGTTTTTCCACCTCCTTCTGCTGACATTGGAGGACGGGTATCATTCTTTTTGGGGGGTCGTCGTGTGCACTGCAGGGTGCTGAGCGGCATGTCTGGTCTGGACCCACTCGATGCCAGCAGCACCCCGCACTCAAGTTGTGACAACCAAAACCGTGTTTTCAGACATTGCCAAGTTATCCCCTAGGGGGCAAAGTCACCCAGAAGAAGAACCACTGATGTATGCAATTAACAGATGCAACTAAAACAGTATTTGGCTATTAATAGTAATAGCACTTGGGGGGGGGGTCAATAATATCTTTTCATAGTCATTGAATTTAGTTAATTGTTTTGATTTGATTCCAGTTCAGCCCCGAACTGGGTGACCTTGGCCAAGTGACTCAGCCTCTCGGACCCTCGGGATCCTCTTCTGTGAAATGCGGACAGGGGAAGGAGCCTCGCGCGGGACGCTCACGTGCCGTTCCCGCTCCGTCCGCCCGCCTGGGGTGCGGGCGGGTACACTCCCACTCCCCGCAGCGCCCCACGCGGCTCCACCGCTTCCGAGTGAAGAGTTAAAGAGGAAGCGGCAGCCGCGCCTGCGCCCACAGTGCCTAGCCCGGAGCGCCGGTCTCGCAAGCGCGCACGCGCACGCAAGCCCGCACGCGCGCGCACGCACGCACGTGGCTCGGCCCGCGCGCATCCTCCCCTTGCAGGGGCGGGGCCAGCGCAGGGACTCCATTTCCCAGCGTGCCCCGCGGCAACGCCAGGAGCCTCCGAGGAGAAAGGAAAACGCGCGACGGCCCCGACTGCGGCGGCGCGAAATCCGCCTCAGGGACGCACGCACAGACGGAGTACCCCTGGACCCGCCCCCGGAGACCCCGTGCGGGAGCGCGCCCGGGCGTGCGCAGGGGCGGCGGCGCGGCGGCGCGGGGACGCGCGGTGACCGTTGGCGCCGAGGGGAGGAGGCAGCCGCCGCCGCCGCCGCCGCCGCCGCCGCCGCCGCCGCCGCCGTTGCGCAGATCCGGGCCGCGGCTGTGGGGAGGGCGACGGAGCGGGTGACCTTCCGGAGGCGGGAGCGAGCGAGGAGGCCCGGGAGCGCCGAGCGTCGCCGCCGCCGCCGCCATGAACAACTCGGGCGCCGACGAGATCGGGTGAGGACGAGCGGCGCGGGCCTGCGTCTCCGCCCCGAGCCCGGCCCGCCGCTCCCCGCCGCCCGGCCTCAGACGCCGCCCCCCGGGGCCGCCCCGTCAAGGTCACGCCGGCCGGGGGCGGACTCGGGACCCGGACTCGCCGCGGCTTCGCGCCGGGGGCCCTGGACGGGTGCCCGGGGTCTGGGGGGGTCCTGGCGCCCCCGCCGCCGCTTCCCGGCTTCCCGTCCTGGGGGATCCTGAAGGAGAGCCTGAGGGGTCCGGGGGGCCCCGCCGCCGCCTCCAGACTTCCTGGTCGGGGGAACCCCGAACGGCAACCTGGGGGGGTGTCCTGGGGCGCCCGTGCCGCCGCTTCCCGACTGCGCGTCCTGAGGGACCCCGAATGGGAGCCAGAGGGGTTCAGGGGCCCCCGCCGCCGCTTCCTGGTTGTGGCGGCCCCGAACGGGAACTTGGGGGGGTCTGGAGCGTCCCCGTTGCCGCCTGTAGGGCTTCCTGGCCTGGGGGACCCCGAATGAGAACCTGAGGGAGTCTGCGGGGAGTCCAGGGCGCCGTCGCCGCCGCCTCCCGGCTTCCTGGCCAGGGGGACCCCAAACTGTGGCGTGGGGGGTGGTCCGGGGCGCCCCCAGCGCGCGCCCAAACTTGGCGGGCGGCGCACGTGGCGAGCCGAGGCGAGGGTTCCGGTTCTGCCACCGCCCAACCTATCCCACTCGGGGCTCCGGGCTCCCCGCTCCCATCCCACCCCCCCAAAGTGGTAAGGTCGGGAGGGGTTCGCAAACCCAGGGCCCAGGGGGCTCGGGTCAGCCGGGGCCTGCTGTGTTTACGTTGCCTCGGCGCCTCCCCGCCGGGGGTGGGCTTGAGCTGCGGAAGGGAGAGTCAGCGCTTCCGAGGCGGCGACGGGCCCGCGGATCTTTGCTGCGCCGAGGCGTCCCCTCCTATAGGAGCCTGACCTGCTCCGGACCCCGCGGGGCCGGGAAACCTCATTTCGCTGTGCCCCAGGGCTCGGCGCCATTCTTTGGTAGGAGCGGCTCCTGCCGCAGCGACGTCGTTTTAGAGTTGCATTCTTCCGGCAAAACAGTCTGGGTTGGGTTTCCTAGTGGTCTGGTGTAAATTTCTCGGTGCCCTTAGCTTTGAGCAGCGCCCTGTGTTCTCAGCGCTGGGCTTGGCTAGTGCGGGAGCGGTTGCTGCTAGAGGGTTGCCTTGGCAGGCGCCTCTCGCACCAGCTACAGGTCACACTTGTGGATGGGAAATGCCTTTTGTGGGCTCTCCCCCTCCCCAGACAAAACAAAAGAGCACCTTCCGTTGGAGAACCAGGATGAAAGCACTTAGCCCCTGCCTAGCCCGTGCTGTGAGTCCTCTCCAGGCACTTTGACTTGGCAGGGTCCGTGTGCCTGTGTGAGGGACATTGCAGGGATGGGCCTGAGCAGGGAGTCCACCGGCCATGGGGGATGGAGCCATCGACTTTGGGGTGAGGCAGGGAAAGGGCTCCCAGATGGGGTACCTGGATTAGGTCCATTCAAGCCGCGGGTGAACGTGGGCCCGCTCCACCCAAGCCGTGGCTGTGAGGAGGCTGGAGAGAGGTGAGGGCTCCTGTCCCCTCCCTGCATGGACACCCTTGGGAAGTGGGGCAGCTGGGGTCCCAGCCTGGGTCTGGAGGGGTCCCACCCACAGCACAAATAGGCTCGCAGGCCACCCGGACGCCACGGGCTGCGTGGAGGAGAACTGGAGTGCATGGACCCTGCTCTCCTCCCCGGCTGCCAGGAGTGTCCACTGCTTTCTAAGTCAGACTCCTTGGGCAAGAAGTGTTGCCACAGCCGCCCGTCGCATGGGAGACCGGCTTCCATTCTATGCGGAGTCCACGGTCTGCTCTGATCTTGCTGTGTGGAGTTGTTGTGTGCGTGAAATGCTTGTGACCCTGCGAAGCGCCCTCCTGGCAAGTCCCCTGCAGGTGCGGTGGGTGCCATGCAGGAGGGTGCTGAGCTTGGATGGAAGCAGGCCCTCTCTGCGGCAGATGGCGGCTCTCAGGACGCCATGGGTCTGCGGTGTCCCTTACCCACTGGGGGGGCTCGGCAGCCTGAGGAGCTCCCTCTTCCTGATGCAGAGCCCTCACTGCTCACTGCCATGGAGGAGGCAGGAGATCCCGCCGGACCCCGCTTGGAGGGCTGGGCCTGGAGCATGCATGGGTGCGGGGTCAACGCCTCAGGAGACTTGGAGCTTGGGAGCCCCCTGTTCTGGGACACTTGTGGCCGTCCAGCTGCTGCCCTGGGAATCCACACCTGGAAGGTGGGTTAGGGAGCCATCCTTGGGGGAAGCTCTGCTTTTGAGTCTGAGAAGTCGTCCCAAGTTTTGAGGGTCCCTGTGCTGGCTTAGAAGTCCATGTAAAGCTTGATGGGGGATGAAAGTCAGCTGAGGCCTGCCGGTGATAACGGATGCCTTACACACACCGACTTCCAGTCAGCTTGAGGGGGGCTTCATGCAGGAGGAAGCGCATACGTGTGGTGGGGTGTGGGGAGTCCCTCTCTGGATCCTGGTGGGTTTGGCACGCGGACCCTACATGGTGGATGTGATGGACAGTGTCCTCCTTTGGGAGCGGGGCCTGTCCTGGTCCTCTTGTGAAGGGTGGGGGACAGGCACTGACCTGTCAGGAGGGTTAGAGGGTTGGCACCAGCAGGTGGCCTGGAGCGCTCAGAGCACGCGCGATCAGGAAGGCCCGAGTCTCCAGTGTGCCCTCCCTGGCCTTGTGAAGTCATCTTAAAGTCTGGCTTGAGCGCCTCTGACTTGGATTCTGGGAAGCTGACACAGCGCGGCCGGGGTCGCCACATCCTGTTGAGTAGCCGCTGGGTGCTAGGCGCCTGGGTGGTAGACCAGGTGTCAGGGATAGGGCCCATGCCTGGCCTACTGGGGAGAGGACAGAGGCTCAGAGGGGTCACCTCGAGCGCCCAGGCCATTGTGTTCTGCTGGCTTCCAAGGCAGCACACGGTCATGGAACTGGAGAGAGAGGTTTATGGAAGATTTTATCTGGTACACTGGGGAATGGTAAGACAGGGACACCTGGAAATATTGTAGGAAAGTCACAGAGGGAGGAAGGACTCAGCGGAGAGAGGAGAAAGCCGCCTCTGGGCAGCTTCGAGGATACCCAGGACTGTGGCCGGGGGCCATGCAGCTCAGAGCCAGGCCCATGGCAGGTCTCTGGGTTTATTGGGTGGCTGTGGAAGGAGACATCCTGAGTGGGGCTCCTGGCTGGGCCCCTAGAGGCCGTGACTACTTGTACCTGTGCAGAGTGAGCACAAGGCACCTGGCAAGATTGTTGGTCAGGCCAGAGAGGGCCGTGATCTGGGGGAGGCTGTTGCAGTGCGGGGAGTGATAGGGAACCTCATGGGGCCGTGCCGGCCTTTCTGGGGCTCTCTTGGTGCATTTGGAGTTATTCCGAGGCAGGTCTCCTGGGCTCTGTCAGCACTCTGGCCTGGATCACTCTGGGGCACCGTGGGCACTGCAGGGTGCTGGGCAGCACCTTTGGCCTCCATTCACTCCGGGTCAGGAGTACCCCCAGTCGTGACAACCACAAATGTTCCCAGACATCACCCAGTGTCCTGCTGGGGGGAGAGCCACTGTCTGGGAGCATCTGTGCTTTTGGCCTGGTTGCCCCTGCGCTGGGGGCCGCTGCTCCTTGTGGTTTATGGCTTGTCCTGTGTCGGCTCCTTTGATTCCTGTGAATGGGCCTTGAGGGTGGATGTGCTCCTGACTGGCTCGCCTTGGCTCCAATGGTCTGGAGCAGGCCGGTGTCTAGAAAGGCAGCAGCATGGACCCTGGCGCTTGCCCTTCACACAGCAGCTCCCCAGTGGCCCAGAGCTAGCAGCAGCGCGCAGCGTGCCCAGCTGTGCTTGTAGCCTTGGCTCTAACCCTTGGCTTTGCCAGAGAGACTGAGGCACAGAGGAGTTGAGGGATGGGCCCGGGGTCACCCCAGGGGGTGGAAGATCCGGAGCTGGGAGTCCACACTCCTCCACTGCCCGCCCCGCACAGAGGGCGCTCCTGGTCAGGCGGCTATGTTCATGGTGCGACCCGTCAATCTGAGGTTGTGCTGTCTTCTGTGAACTGAGGCCTTTTCCCATCCAGGCCTGGTCCCCGTGACACCATGTCATGATGTCAGAATCCCTGAGAGCTGTGACAGGGCTTTTGGCAGAGGCCAGTCATTCGACAGATGCTTATAGGCTGAGCTTCCAGCTTGGCTCCAGGCGTTGCCAAGGAGAACACTGGTCCGCCTGGGAGGGCGGGGCTGGCAGGGAGAGGATGAGGGTGACCACAGTTAGCACCCAGGATGTGGGCATTCAGGGGCTCCTTCAGCACACAGCAGCGCGTTCCAGTTCACGGACCGCTCCTGTGTTCTGTGGACCCCACACCCTGCAGGCGTGGGCTGGAGGGGGGGCATCTGACCCTGCTGGGGAGAGGGAGTCCAGGCTATGGAGGGGCGGGCTGGGCTCACTGGCCTGAGGCAGTGGGTGAAGTGGTCCTGGTTTCCCACCTGGTCTTAGGGGCAGGAAAGTCCCTAGAGGCTCTTCCTGATGCTCTGGAAGAAGAGAAGGGTTCCCCACACATCAGCCGCCACTGGGCCTGGACTTCTGCCTCTTGAGATTGTGCACGGAGCTGAGTGTGACTGGCGGAGCCCAGAGCCAGGTGGGGTCTGTGGGGAGGCAGGCTCCTCCTGGCTTGGTCCCCCGGCCCAGCAGGAAGGGAAAGGTCGCCTGCCAACTGCCCCCATTGAGGCTGCTGGCCCCGAATGGCCGGGCTGGCCGCCGGTTTTTGAAGCCCACTCTGGTGCTGCCAGGAGGTCAGGGCTCTTTGTGGTCAGCCTAGGCCAGAGGAAGCCTCTGCAGATGGACTTTACGCATAAATACCGCACAGGCACCCGAATGGCACGCAGCAAGCGAGGTTGCCATCCAAAACGGCTTTTGCTTTAACAGGCAGAAGAGGGTGGCTGCGCCGGCCACCGTGGATTGAGCACCTGCCAGGTGTCGAGCTGCAGGCCCTGGGTGCCAGGCTTGCAGATCCTGGGAGATGTTCATCATGACCTTTGATGGGCAGACTGCACGCTGGACTCCAGGTTGCAAGGGAAGAAGTGGAGCTCGTCCCACGCCTCCCCCACTAATGAGAACACCCCTTTTGGGTTTGTGGGGTGTGAGGTCTGTAGGAGCCACGACTTCCAGTGTCGGAGATGCCGTCAGCTGGGTGATGACTCTCCCACCCAGCGGGCCCCTCAGAGGCAGGGTGCAGGAGCCACATTGCTCACCGACCCCTTCATCTGCGTAGGCCAGTGTTGCCTTGCCCCGTTAACGTCCTCAGTCCACACGCCGCCAGCCAAGGTGCAGGCTGAGCAAGCCTGGAGCTGAGGACAAGCGGACCGCCAGCCCCGTAGCAAGCCCACGAGAGCCAGCAGCTCCTCCTTTTGGCCTCTGCCCGCGCCCGGCTTCCTGGACTCCGACGTTTACTTGTGTGAGAGTTGGTTCTGCTGCCTGGGCAGTTGATGGACAGTGTCTGGGAGGTGCCTGCCCAGGGCTCCGCATGTTTCTGATGTGCCGGCTTCTCACTCACGACCTGGTGAGGTTGGCAGCCAGGAGCTTTCTTATTTTATTGATTAAAACATCCTGAGATTCAGAAGTAGGGACTTTGTGCCAGGGCCCTGGAGGCAGTCCCTGCCACTGAAGAGATGACCCTGCTTTCCGGGACTTCCCGGAGGCTTCTGTCTGTAGACCAGGGAGAAGGTGTTCGCCGGTGGCTCCTGAGTGGTAGTAAAAGACACATGGACACAGGAAGCTTTAGCGTTAGAAGCTGCTCTCAAATATCTCAACAGAAACACACAGTGTGGCCGCGCGCGGTGCCTCACGCCTGTCATCCTAGCACTTTGGGAGGCCGAGGCGGGCGGGTCACCTGCGGTGGGGAGCTCCAGACACAGCTATGTGAAACGAAAGCTATCTGTTGCTGTCTCAGATTCCATAAGGACTGAGACTTGTTTCAAAAGAAACTGAAATTCTGTCTTGTTCTCAGTAATGAAAGTCTTTTATACCATAATTGTATATATAACTTCTGACTTACAGGAAAATTACAAAAATTCCCATATCCTCTTGGCCCTGCCAGACTCACCATTGGCTGACATTTTACCCTTTGGCACGTGGTGCCTCTTGCCCCACCCCCAGTGAACTGTGTGTGTGTGTGTGTGTGTGTGTGTGTGTGTGTGTGTGTGTTTAGATGGACCCTCACTCTGTCGCCCAGGCTGGAGTGCAGTGGCTTGATCTTGGCTCAGTGCAACCTCCGCCTCCCGGGTTCAAGCAGTACACCTCGAGCTCAGCCTCCCGAGTGGCTAGGATTACAGGTGCGCACCACCGAGCCCAGCTAATTTTTGTATTTTTAGTAGAGATGGGGTTTTGCCATGTTGGCCAGGCTGGTCTCGAACTCCTGACCTCAGGTGATCCGCCCACCTCAGCCTTGCAAAGTGCTGGGATTACAGGCGTGAGCCAGTGCACCCATCCCCACTGTGTGTGTTTCTACTGAAATATTTGAGAGTAGCTGGAGACCGATGCAGTCCCCTTTATGTGTACACTGAGATATCTATTGTTTCCCAAGAACAATGACATTCTCTCACATGAACACAGCACAGTGATCAAAATTGAGAAAGTGGCCGGGCGCAGCTACTCACGCCTGTCATCCCAGCACTTTGAGAGGCCGAGGCTGGTGGATCACGAGGTCAAGAGATTGAGACCATCCTGGCCAATATGGTGAAACCCCGTCTCTACTAAAAATACAAAAATTAGCTGGCGGGCGCCTGTAGTCCCAGCTACTCGGGAGGCTGAGGCAGGAGAATCGCTTGAACCCGGGAGGCGGAGGTTGCAGTGAGCTGAGATCGCGCCACTACACTCCAGCCTGGGCAACACAGCGAGACAATTTTTCAAAAAAAAATTGAGAAAGTATTTATTATTTTTTAAAATTGTATTTGAGTATTTTTTATTTTTTTAATTTTATTTAAGAGTATTTTTTATTTTTTTTTTAATTTTATTTAAGAGATGAGATCTCTGTCACCCCTGCTGGAGTGCAGTGACACAATCACGGCTCACTGCAGCCTCGACCTTGACTCAAACGATCCTTCTGCCTCAGCCTCCCAAGTAGCTGGGACTACAGGTGCCTGCCACCACCTGGAGTCTCGTTACGTTGCCCAGGCTGGTCTTGAACTCCTGGCCTCCCGTAATGCTGTGATTATAGGCGTGATCTGCGCCCAGCTGAGAAAGACAGTACTGATACCAGGTTATCTAACCCCCCCGGCCCTGTTTCAGGTTTCTCAGCTGAGCGTTTCTAGCCCTTCCCCCTTAATACACAATTTTTGAAATTTAAATGAAGACCGAAACTGGACTGGTCTGACGAGTTCCTTCTGCCAGTGAGGTGGGGGTGGAGGGGGTACTGGGCTGCTTGGAGGACACCTGCCTGTTACCTGGCTGTTGGGTGGGTGCAGTGCTGACTACAGGCTGCTGTTTCTTCAAGTGACTTGGATTTGGTTTGGTTTTCAGGGTTTTATGTGTGTGTGTGTGTGTGTGTGTGTGTGTGTGTGTGTTTTGTTTTTTTTTTTTTTTTTGAGAACTGCTTGAACTTTAATTCCAAAGGATTGTGTAAATGAGCATTTTTCCGGTCGGTTCCAGCCAGGCTTGGGGGCCCTTCCTTCATGGGGTGGGGGCTGCTGCTGGCTCCTGCTGGGTGCCGGGCCCTGCTGGCAGGGATGTGGGCGGGGCTGGCCCTGACTCAGCGCGGGCACAGCCTATGGAGAGTGAGGCACAGCCTATGGAGAGTGAGGCACGCGGAGGCCTCGCTCCTCCCACGGTCTCTAGGCCTGACCTCAACGCTCCCTGGCCTGATTGCGAAGGGTGCGTGGGAGACGTAGGATTTTAAGTTAATGAGGCCTCAACCTAAGCCTGTTGCTGTTGCGTGATCAGCATGGTTTTCCCTGAAATTTGCCTTTTCAGATCTCGTCTCTAAGGGTCAGGAAGCACAGGGCGGCTGGCACACCCCGCCTCTAATTCTTCCCGCCTCAGCCCTCCCCACCGAAGAACGGGGCTGGGGGGTTGCTTGTTGACGTTTTGAAGACGGCAGTGGGTGCCTTTCCTGTGGTGGGAACATGCTTTGTTTTTCACACACTAAATTTAAATCAGTCGTTCTTAGGGAAAAAAGAAGGAACAGGGACAAGCTCCTGGCGGTTGGCTGTGGCAGACACTTCACCAGGGGCTGACTCGCGGGGGCTGAGTGTACAGGCCCCAGGTGGTGGTTGATGAGAGGTGATGAGTGTGCCAGCCACCTTGCAGGGGTCTTTCCTGGCGAGCTGGCAGGAGCAGGGAGGAGCACGTTGCTCCTGCTGCTGGTGGGGCAGTAACGTGTTCAACCTGACAGCGACGTTTTTGCTGAAAGCCGAAGCCAAGGGTGGTGTGGTTGGCCGTCAGGGATACAGGGCCCCGCGTGGGAATGGTGCTTTCAGTGAGGCTGGCAGGATTCTTGCGGCTCAGGTGGGAGCTTTGGCCTGCACGGTGTTTTGCTCTCTGGAGACCAAGGGTGATGATGGTGCTGGCACTGAGTCACAGCTGAGATTCAGCTCAGGGACTTCATTTCTGAATGCGTGTCCTCTTTCCCAGGGAAAGCAGGCAGGATGGGAGAGTCGCCGATAGAACCACCTCTTCCCTGCCTCCTGGGCTTGGGGGAAGCTTGAATGACATCTAAGGCCCCGTGCCTGGGTAAGCCTTGTGGTGTCTCAGACATGCCCAGTGGGTGCCATGGCTGACTCAAGGTGGCACAGTCCCCATTGGGAGTTGGCACAGTCCCCATTGGGAGTTGGCACAGCCAAGGCCCTGGGGCCACCTGGAGCGGCAGTGAGGTGGAAAGGTGAGTGGGCCCTTGGGCGTCGCTGCAGGGTCGATGGCGGACGCCTTGGGAGAGCTCCAGCTCTTCTGCCCGGAGGAGACAGCCCCAGGACGGGGGTGGCGCGGGTCTTTGGTGGGGGCAGGCAGGAAGTGCCAGTGCTGAGACTGAATTTCAGGCCCTTCTCATCTGCCAATAAGAGACAGCCCCAGAATGGGGGTGGCGCGGGTTTGTCGGGGGTAAGTAAGTGGGGCCAGTGCTGAGACTGGAGCTTCAGGGCCTTCACCTTCATCTGTGGGCCTCTCGTTAGTTCGTGAGTGCAGGCTCATTGGGAGGCTTCTGTCTGTGTCCCCCCACCCCCGCCCCAGGCTGTAATTCAGAGGCCGTGTGGCATAGGCTTCTAGTTTACTGTGCATCATTTCAGATGTAGACTTCTACATTCTTTTTCCTGATTATAAAATACTCGCAAAAGCTGTAGGAAAGCGAGCCTGTGTCCCACTTGGCAGCAGTGCAGGTGAGCGTGGTGCCGTCACCACTGGCCTGTCCCAGGAACTCATCGCCCGCCACGCATGAGGTCAGCGTGCGGCTCTGTGGCACGGTCCTCTCCCCATGGCAAGGATTGGGATCATCTTTCATGTCTGCAGACAGCATGGGCGAGGCTGACTCGCCATTGCTGTGAGCTTTGTATGCCGTCACGTGCACAAGGACGTTTGCGTCAGCTGCTTCTGTGGTTTGAATTAAGACCTCAGCTTGGCTTGGATGGGGGCATTTCTAAGGCGAGCGCTGTCTTGATCCTGAATGTTTTCTCATTGAATCGCAGGAAGCTCTTCGTGGGCGGTCTTGACTGGAGCACGACCCAAGGTAGGTGGGGAAGGGGTGTCAGGTGGGTACTGCAGATGGGCTCTAGGACCTCGGCCTTCAAGTTGTGTCTGCCCGCCTCTTGCTACTGTCTTGGATATTTTAAAGTCCTTTTGACGTTGTTCTGATTTCTGGGCAGGGGACAGAGTAAGTGTGTATTTGCTCTGAGACTGTTAATTTGGTATTTCCATCCCAAGTTACAGGGAAGACCTCAGGCTGCAGGTTCCTAGCTCCGGGCTGAGGTGGCTTGTGGAGGCAGACAGCTGTTGTCTGGAAGTGCAGAGGGCTGGGGGCTGGCCAGGCTGTTACTGAGTTCAGAATAGGAGGAAAGAGTGTGTAGCAAAGTCGGCGCTCCTTGGCCACTGCCAGCATTCAGAGTTGTCTTGTTTGCCTTGCCTTAAACGTTGCCTTCCTGGACGCCTACAAAGTCAGGTTGTAACCGCTGGCCACTGCTGTGCTCACTGGCAGCCCCTGATTTACGTGAGGACCTCAAGTGTGTGTTGGGCAGAATTCCCCAGCGCTTCCCGTACACCCCCCACCCCCAGTGCAGCATCGCTCGGTGCGTGGCTGGTGGACTGGAGGAGTGTGCGTGCCGGCAGCACTGCCAGGCACGTGCCTAATGCTCTGGCCCTGTGTGTTTGTGTTTTCTTCCCGATTTCTGAGCAGAGACTCTGCGCAGCTACTTTTCCCAATATGGAGAAGTCGTAGATTGTGTTATCATGAAAGATAAAACCACCAACCAGTCTCGAGGCTTTGGGTTTGTCAAATTTAAAGACCCAAACTGTGTGGGGACGGTGCTGGCCAGCAGACCGCACACGCTAGATGGCCGAAACGTAAGTGCCCTTCCGGGAGCTCACACCCGCTCTCTGTCTCCCCTGTCCTTCCTCTGCTTCATTTTTTCCTGGACTCTGACCGATGTTTGCGTTAGAGTATGTTTGAACGTGGGGTCGATTGGGAAGGATTAAGCCTTGGTGCTGAGGCTGGATATTGCAGGAGGATACAGGGTGAATGGAGCCGGCGGGGCGGGGCGGGCCGGGCTGCTGTGCCGTGGCTGCTGTTGTGCTGACACCCTCTTTCCTAGAGAAACAGCCTCTTATTCACAACCAGCTGATTTGAAATTTCCTGCAGATCGACCCCAAGCCATGCACACCCCGGGGGATGCAGCCGGAGAGAACACGGCCGAAGGAAGGATGGGTAAGGGGCTGGGCCGGGCGGCCTCCTTGTGTGTTCTCCACTCCACGTGGAAAGGAAATGCGTGCCTTCAATCTGCTGTTGTCGCTCGTTAAGATTGAGGGCGACGCAGGTCTTCTGGGTTGGCACTCGAGCAGCTGAGGATCACCCAGATTTATCAGTGCCGTGAGTGTTTTACAGCCAAGAAAATTCTTACTAATCTATCTTAGGGAAAAAAAAAATGACAGCTCATGCCACTGATTATCAGGAGCCAGTCAGCTTCCCTCTGTGCCCTGTGTGCCCTCTGTGCCGGGCCTGCCCCCTCCCACTGCCTGGCCCTCCTCAGAGGTGGGCCATCCTTCCACTGCCGGGGCTGGGCCGGGCTGTGTCAGCTCGTGCTGGCCACTTTACTGCTCCACTTGAGATCCCCTGACGTGGCAACTTGGGTTCTCTGACCTGCGCCCTGGTGCTTGCCTGGCCGACAGGGCACTGTCCTGGCATGGGGTCTCCTTGGCATTTGGGTCTCACCACCACCCACACCTCACCTTCCTCCAGCCCTGCAGTTCTCACACCGGCACCAGGAGCCTGGTGGGGCGGTGCAGATGGGAAAGCTCTTAGCCCCATAGAACGTGCTGGACAGTGCAGACCTGGAGGCCTGCTGAGGCACCGGGTGCCAGCCTCTCCACAGTGTGGGCAGCAGGGTGGGGTCTATATGTATTTACATCCATCTCTGTCCACATACACCATTCCTAAGGACCGGAGGGTGCGTCTCCTAAAATGACGGCCACCCCTCGCATGCACCCACCGTCAGCACGCTGGAAAGCGGCTGCAGGGAATCCCGTGTCATCTGTGTCCAGGCCGTGTTCCCAGCTCCAGAATTGTTTCACAAGTGTCTCTCATAGCTGGTTTTTTTCAGACTGGAATCCAAGGTTCATATTCCATCTGGTTATTAATGTCTCTCTAGCTTTTCTTAAGATATAATGGGCACGTAGTAAACTGCACCACTTGATGATTCTGACCCATACAAACACTCATGAAACCATCCCGACCGTCACGGCAGCGAGCACTCACCCCACGCACACACTCATGAAACCATCCCAACCGTCACGGCAGCGAGCACTCACCCCACGCACACACTCGTGAAACCATCCCGACCGTCACGGCAGCGAGCACTCACCCCACGCACACACTCATGAAACCATCCCGATCGTCAACGGCAGCGAGCACTCACCCCACGCGCACACTCATGAAACCATCCCTACAGTCACGGCGGCGAGCACTCACCCCACGCGCACACTCATGAAACCATCCCTACAGTCACGGCGGCGAGCACTCACCCCACGCGCACACTCATGAAACCATCCCTACAGTCACGGCAGCGAGCACTCACCCCACGCGCACACTCATGAAACCATCCCGAACGTCACGGCGGCGAGCACTCACCCCACGCGCACACTCATGAAACCACCCCGAACGTCACGGCGGCGAGCACTCACCCCACGCGCACACTCATGAAACCACCCCGAACGTCACGGCGGCGAGCACTCACCCCACGCGCACACTCATGAAACCACCCCGAACGTCACGGCGGCGAGCACTCACCCCACGCGCACACTCATGAAACCACCCCGAACGTCACGGCGGCGAGCACTCACCCCACGCGCACACTCATGAAACCATCCCGACCGTCACGGCGGCGAGCACTCACCCTCAAAGGTTTATAGTCTTTTATTCAAAGCAGTTGGAACAACTTAAAATGTGATAGCCTTGGATAGGGAAAAAAAAAAAAAAGGATGGTTGGTGGGTGGGGGCAGGAGGAGAGCAGCCCCAGCCCTAAGGGCAGCCCGGGAGCTGGACCAGAGACTCCTGGCTCTGGCCACCCAGTGAGCGCCGAGGCCCCGGGAAGTGGTGCCCAGGAGCAGGCGCCCTTGCCAGTGGGAGGCCGGCAGAAGGGGCTGTGTGGTTTGGGCCAGTGTTTCACACAGCTCTTGAGCTGCTGGAGGTTTCCGTAGCCATCATTGTCACCTGCTGGAGATGTACAGCCTGAAATCCAGCTTCCTCTCTGCTCATTTCGTCGTCGCTGCTGCCTTTCCCCTGCCGTCCTAAAGTCCCTGCCTTCACACTGGAGCACTTTTCCACGTGGCAGTGGTTGTAATTCGGAATAGCTGAGGCAAGGCACGCACTGTGTCGTGGGTCCGTTTAGCTGAAATGTAGCTCTGCAGAAATGCTCAATCCCTGTCTCCTTGGGTCTCTCTAGAAAAGTGAGAAAGTGTCTCAGCAGAGCCCAGTGTCTTTGGACTTAGCGGGCTTGTGGAGTGTTCTGCTCTGGCTTTCAGCTGACTCTTTAAACCAGCGCGGATTGGCCTTTATGTCCTCCGCAGCTCGCGGGAGGGTTTGGAGGGTTCCCGTGTGAACTAACTATCCTTCCCTTCTTCAACAGCAGAAAGGACCCAGGAGCGATAACAGTAAATCAAATAAGATATTTGTCGGTGGAATTCCTCACAATTGTGGTGAGACAGAGCTCAGGGAATACTTCAAGAAGTTCGGAGTGGTGAGTTTCTCCCCACCCCGGCAGCACTGTGGGGACAGAGCCGCTTCTGCTCAGGCCTGGGCCTTCTTGGGGCTGGAGTGGCCGAGCCACAGGTGCACGGGCCTTTCAGGCTGGGAGCTCGCTGTCTCGTATTTCCCCAACGCCTGCGCCCTCCGGAAAGGTGGAAAGCCCGGCCTTTGCCTTCATGGCCATTTCGTGTCCCAGTAGGGTGGTTGGGCGGTGAACCAGCCTGACAGCCTTCAGGGCGGCCGCCCGATTCCATTGTGAACACCGTGGGGTCCAGTGTCAGAGAAGGGCAGTTACACAGAAACGGGGTTCAGTGTGGCCTGGGCGAGCCAGCCCCACAGAGCTGACTTTCCACTGGGCAGGTGGGAGAATGCCCGAGCTCCGTTGAGCCCAGTGCCAGAGGGAGCTGGGACAGCCGGAGGGGGCCGGCGGGGAGCCCTCCTAGTCACCCAAGGCAGGGGCGTGTGGTCACCCCAAGGTCCTGCTGGGACTCCTGCCGTGCCCCGCAGGTCACACTCCGAGCCCCGCCAGCAGGACAGCCCTGCGTGCCTGAGTACTGCGCACGTTCATCAGGTGGTACCTGAGGGTGCCACGGGCCTGGGCCAGGAATGAGAGGCCTGAGCGGGGCCTGGAAGAGCAGGGTCTGCAGAGGAGCTGTGTGTGGCTGCCCCGCCACTTCGAGTGAGGGCCGAGCGTGCCCTTTGCTTCCCGCGTTTGGGTGGGAAGGGCTTCTGTGGGGTCTCCTGGCTCCCACGTCCCCTGCTAGGATGCGTGGTCGGCGTTGTTGGCCCTTCATGTCCGTCAGCACACACGTGAGCGGGGCCACGGGCAGCCCGGAGGCGGGTATCCAGACGCCTGCCCTGGAGCTGCTTCTCCCTGCCTGCGTCTGGCCCTGGGAGTGTTGGGGCTCCAGCCTTTCTCAGACAGCAGCCCCACGGAGCAGCTGTTGCCCGTGCACCTCCCCCGCTCAGGGAGGGCGCACCCTGTGCGAGAGTTTGGGTTCGTGGGAACAGGCTGTGCCCTCGGAAGACCACCTGTGGTGCTGGCCCTGGTGTCCGTGCTGACGCCACCCTCTCCTTCCAGGTCACGGAGGTAGTCATGATCTATGACGCCGAGAAGCAGAGGCCCCGAGGTAAGGGCAGATCTAGTTTGACCTCGGCCTTCTCCCTGCTCCTCCCTCAGATGGCAAACTATCTCACCCGCCAGGCACACACAGGTGGCGGCTGTAGCAAACAGCCTCAGGAAGGGACGATTTGGAGACAAATGACTAAAACGTGGGCTCCTCATGTGCACCCCATTCAGCCTGTCTGTGCTTCCCGAGGTCAGACGTCACACATTGTTTTTTGGCTTGTTCTTTTGAAGTTTTTACGACTTGTCATGAGTCTCGGCCTGGCTTCTGTTTTTCACTGTCCGGAAGAGTGTGGTCCTTCTGCATTTGACCTTCCTTCACCCTCATCCAGTCCTCCCAGTGTGGCCGGTCTCATTTCGTGTCGTCAGCTGGGTCAGCTGGCTCGGTGTGGAGTTTGGATTTTCCGTGATCCATCCCATGCTTTTTTTTTCTTTCTTTCTTTTTTCCTTTTCTTTTCTTTTTCTTTTTTTTCAGTTTTCTCCCCTCTCTGAAGTCAGCAGGGCAGGTGGGAGGAGGGGTGAGGAGTCACCTCAGGGCCTCCCCTCATTTTCCCTCAGCTTCTTGCACACCCATCCATGCTGGTTTGTGGAGCTGGGACGATGGGCGCCCAGTTTCTGTGCCCCTTTTCCGTGGCTGCTGCTGTCTGTCCCGCCCGCCCGCATGGTTTTGGTTCATCAGCTGCTTTTGGCCGGCCACGTGAGCAGACCTGCAGCCTGGGTCTGCCCGCCACGTCCGTGCCGCCCCCGCACCACCGGCCCAGGTCAGTCGGGGCAGCCCCGAGCGCCAGGTGGCGCCGCAGCATGCCCACCATGCTGGAGCATAGTTTGCCATTTGAACCTCCCTCCCCACGGTTAGGAGTGCTCCTCCTCCATGTCGGTTACGCTGTTAAGTCTTAGTCGTAACTTAATTTAGACATACATGCTTAGTGACGTACTTAAGTGTTTCATAGTAAAGTACAGTGATGTTAAGTAAGCTGTTTTTCCTTTTCTCTCTGTGAATTGTGTGTGATTAACGATATCTCTTTAGATTTCTCTTCTCCAGGTGCTAAATTATATCACACAGGTACAGGCCAGTCCCGCAGTCAGAGGAGGGAGCGGCTTTGCTCCAGTGGGGTGTAAACGAAGTTTCAGGTGTTTCTGTCCCGCTTCCTCAGTGGTGATGTCGCCTCTTGACAGCCGCATTCCTAGACAGCGCTCAGGGCGCCTCCCCCAGGACCCAGCGCCTCTTGCACTGTGCCCGGACCAGGCGAGCCCTGTGGTTTCAGACACTCCTGCAGTTTGCGAAAATGTCTACTTCTAAATACGTTGTTTCATCACCGATGCTGTGTTCCAATACTGCCTCTGATCTTGGGAAACTTGAGCGCGCGGGAATCTGAGGGTTGCTTCTAGATCCTCCCGGTCCCCCTCCGGCTGCCCAGAGCTGGCGCCCCTTCTCCTCGCGTCCTGTCCTGTCCCGTGTGGACGGGACGTGGCGAGTGTCGCTGAGTCCACACTGGTGTACAGAGCACTTCGGGGCCAGCACGTGGCCACATGTCCTTAGCTGTTGGGCTTTGAAAGTGTCCCTTGGGTGTCAGGCGAGTGGAGGGCCGGAGAGACGCTGCGGCGCTGCTTAGCGGGTCCTCCCAGAGAGTGTGTCCCCTTCCCTTGGCCTTTCTGCATCTTCTGAGACGGGTCTGTGTCCCCCTCCCCGCCACCTCCTCCCTCTTCCTCTCCACTGACTGAAGGTCATGGCCATGTCCCTGTCAGGGACCCCGCCTGTGTCTCGGGCACACAGTGTCTGTGCGGGTCCCTGCTTGGCCCTCCCACGTCTACCCTCGGCCCGCCCGCTCCAGCCGCTGCCTCGTTCGCCTCTCAGTCCCCTCAGGTCTTCTCCATCCTGCGCTCCTCTCGCTGTGTGCCTTGCCTTCCTGGTCCCTCCTCCTCTTCCTCCTCCTCTTCCCCCTCCCCCTCCTCCTCCCCCTCCCCCTCCCCCCTCCCCCTCCGTCTGGTTGCAGACACTGCGTGCACAGTCACGCTCAGGTGCACACGTGTGCTCAGGACGGTGGGAGGCTCCTGAACCACAGTGACCTTTGTCCCCTCACAGTCTGAGCTGCCCTTTCTGCCCCGTTTCCATCTTTCCCCGCCCCCAGTTTTGCTTGTCCTGTTTCTGCCTGGTCCCAGCTACAGCAGCCCTGGCCCCTGTCTCTTCAGCTTGAGAGGCCCCACAGTAGGCTGCTCCTTCCGGGGGCCGTTGCCTGTTCCCACCCCCCACGGCCCTTCTCTGCCGCGCTCGTTCACGCCTCACGCCCGTGCTGCGCTGTCCCCTGCTGTGTGGTGCCTTGTCACGCACCCTGTGCCTCTGGCGCGGGCAGCCCATCTTCAGCCCGGTCTCAGCTCTTCCCATGTCCATCTTTGTTCTGTGAGGTCTTGGGCAGCTGTCTGCCGGGCACTTCCATCTGGGGAGGGGCTGGTGCCGCCTGGGCCCCGCCTCGGGAGGACGGTGTGCTTTGCGGTGTCACGCTCCACCTAGCCGGGGAGGCCTGGAGAGCCCGGCGCACTCCTGCGCCTAGAGGAGGAGACCCGCCCCGTTAGCCGGGGGCCGCGCCCACCCCAGACCCACTAAACTTCGTTTATACTGCCACTCTTGTGTTTGGGAAATGCTAAATTTTTTTTGCCTTTAAAATTTTCTGTTTTGATCCCATGGTGCATCTCGCTCTTGCTGCTGGCAGCAGAGTCTGACCTGCTGGAACCCGTTGTGGCCTGTATCTTTGTGCATTGTTTCTCTACCTGTATAGAACATGCATAGATGTCTACGATATGACCTCTTCTAGGACTCCTTGGGCTTACCCAACGGTGTTGCGTAAGCCTAGCGAGGCACCAGCTATGATAGATACTGTATCTGTTAACGCTTTAGAACGATATATGGCTGCTGTCAGCACTAGCTGCAAAGCAAATTGCAAGCCAAGGGGGAGAATCCTGGGTTTCAGAGAAGCATACACACATCCACGGTGCACACCCCTGACTAAGATGGCGCATTCCACGCGGGCCCCCGGCCTGCAGGGTTCACTGGCAATCTCCCCACAGGCGAGAGCCAGAATATTCAAGCACGGGCCTCTGACCCTCCCCTGGGGGGCGCTTTGTCTGCCAGTAGCGATGGAGGCCCTCACCGTTCCCCTGTCTCCGCTGCTGTTTTATAAGATGTGCTCCTTGTTCCAAATCTTTGTGACACGGAGCCCCAGCCCGGGGTGTCTGGGGCGGAGGCTTGACTCAGGCCTCAGTCAGCAGAGCCGTCACCGGGAGTGCGGACGTCACCGTCTGTCCACTCCGTGTGCAGTCGAGTGGTGGCTCCTGGGGAGGGAGGCAGCTGCCCCAGGGGCCCGCAGCGCCCCACACACAGCTTAGCTGAAACCCAAGGTCGATCCCTCGGCCCGTCCCTAATACTGTTCATCATCCTGTTTTGTGTCACAACACCCTGCTACCTTGATTCACTCTTCGTCGTTGGCTAGGTTTTGGATTTATTACTTTCGAGGACGAACAATCAGTGGACCAGGCTGTCAACATGCATTTTCACGACATCATGGGCAAAAAAGTGTGTAGTTGTAGTTTTATTTTACCTTAAGACCAAACCAAGTCTTAGGCAACTTAGGGGTTTCACTGGAAAGGAACATTCCTTCACGGAAAGGGTCGGGCGAGTTCGTCCTGTGAACCTTTGCTGCGTGAGGTGGGCCTGGGTCTGTAGACGTGAGGAGGGTCCCATCCTTCCCCAGCACCCTTCCTGCGGGGTGGGGATCTCTCAGCTTTGCTCCTGGAGCCCCTCCCTCTGGGTGACCTGGGACTGGGCGGGTAGGGGGCTGGGGCTGGGAGGCTGTGGCGGTGTTGGGGCTGGCTCCAGTGAAACCGCAGCGTTGCCTCAGGCTTGGTTTCCACGACCACTCCTTCAGATGTCTGCAAATCCCCATTGTCTGACACTGACCTGTAATGTGATCAGCAAGGGACCTTTGAGAGCCGAGGTTCCGCTTAAAATGGAAAGCACAGTGGAAACATCATGAAGGACTGGTTGTTTGAATTGGGTCACTTACTGTGGAACTCCGGCACCAGCCACATGCTCTCGGTAGTACTCAGCCACCATGCAGTCAAGTGACCTCTGGTTGTGTCATCTTCATACTGTGTTACCCCCGGAGGTGAGAGGGACAGGAGGCCACCCCCCCAACCCCCAGGCCAGCCCTTGGAAGGCATGTGTCAGAAAGGGGTCCCTAAATCCTTGTTTTACCTGGACCCTTGGAGGTTCTTGAGAAGTGGACTCTGAAATAAATAACTGGTAGAAATTCTACAGTGTGGAATTTCTTGCAGTTAGCAAAAGCTTAGGGGTCCAGGTTTTTGCAGGATTCCTGTCTTGGTCCTTTCAAACCAAGGAGCTCTGCTGGCTCTGCCAGGCCGCCTCACATGCCCAGTGGGATTCTGACCCGGCCTCCTTGGTGCGGCAGCTTCTCCCGTTAACGGAAGAAGACGCTTAGCCCCTCTGACAGGGCCATGGTTGTTTTTTCAATTAAAATGTCCTGGAGGGAGCATCGTGCTCATTATCTCCTGCCCCTGCCCTCTACCCCAGCCAGAGGTCTTGATAGCAGAACTTTTTTAAAAACAGTAGCATGTGTAGTTATTTTTGTATACACGTGGCTTAGATTGGGTTGCAGACTTCATTAATTCCATTTGAACCCAACTAAAACAGGAGACACAATCCTTGTTCTGACATCGAGTGCAGCTTGTGGTTTAAAATGAGCCTGCCGGCTGCATGGGTGCGCGACAGTACAAGCAGGGCTTCAAGGAGTCTGCGCCCAGTGTTTTAAGGGACTACGACACTGACAATTTGGGGAAAGCGTGGTCTTGATATACGGGGCAGAAAGAGCTCTGTACAGTGCACACACCTGCTGCCGTCCCTGGGCAGCCCCTGGGTCCCCCCAGCCATGACTGTTCTGCGCGAGCTCCTGAGCTGGGCGACCTCAGTGTGGGTCTCGCCTTCCAAGCCAGACAGTCGTTGGAGTCCAGCTTGCCCGGCGCCGGCCTTCACTGGTTGGCTGGAGCGGCACTTGGCGTCGCCGCCGGCCCCTCATGGGGGTTTTCCGTTTGTGGAGTGTTTGGTACCGCGTGGTAGTTAACCCTCCATGCCAGGCGACTGCATTGCTGCATTCAGGTAGGAAAGGGTGAAAGAATTTTTTTTTGTTTTTGTTTTTTTAAAGTACAAGGACCGCTCTGCTTTGTAAGCAGGAACCGCAGTCCCCTGAGGAGGGTGTGTGAAGACTCGCTCATTTGAGTTCTTTGAAATGGGTCCCTTGGTCCTGCTGTCACATTGCCTTGAGCTAACGGATCCTGTTCCCATCATAGGCCGGTCCTTGGGGCATTGGGCAGGTGGGGGCTTTGTGCCTCTGTGGCTGCTGCTGTCTGTTCTCTAACAGGCAGAACTGAGGGATTCTGAACTCAGGATGTGCAGCTCTCCAGACTGAGACCCCAAGGCTGACTCCAGGTGGATCCATTGTCTCTTTATTCTCATTACGATTTATCAGAAAAGTGAGACAAATTCAGGATTCTCAAATGCTGAGGCAGCCCCGGAATTGGGGGGATCTTTCTGTTGTTAGTCCACCCATATTTTCAAGCAGGCATTAAAGGAAGGTCAGCCACTGCGCCTAGAATAAGTAGGTCAGGCCTGCTCCATCCATTGTCCCCGGCCCCGCACCCTCCTCCTGAGAAGACTGTGGCTCCTGACACGTCTAGAGAGGAAGGGCCCCGGGCTGCTGAGCGAACACAGTATGAAGATTGCTTACTGATCCAAATGTCCATTTTATTGCATGTTTGTTACTTTTTTTGTTAGATGTAATGTAAGATTCTCTTATCACATCCATTCCCTCTGACATTAGTTTTGAGTTAATTGAGATTCTTTAAGCGTTAGCCTGGGGAAGGTAAGTCTTTATCTTCCATTAGACATTTTAAATTTAAAAATCTAAGTAAAACACCAGCCGTGTTTCTCAGGTATGAGTTAAAAGCACAGGTGGGCGGGCTCCAAGCAGTCCAGAGGGCGATGAGGATGCCGATTGCTGGGAAGATCCTGGTCCCTTTTTGTCCCCATGTTTTCAAGAGGAAGGAGGACGCTGCCATTTTACTTGAGTGAAAGACCCTTCGTCACGCACGAAACCCCCGAGGGCTCTGGGCTCGGTCCTGCTGCCCCGCAGTGGGCGGGCTCTGTGTGTCTTACGGTTGCATCTGTTGTACCTGAGAAACATTTTTTAAACAAAAAAATTCAACACAAAAGAATTTTTTAAGAAAAAAATGCTACTGGCCTAAATAAGGTTTATAGTTAAGTATTTAGTCTTAAGTTGTAAGATGCTAAGTGTAGTCATAAGTTACCCGAGGGTGTGTCTAAAGGGAAGGGGGTGCTGGGACCCGCAGCCTCGCCCTAAACCAGAGCTCGGTTTGTTTAGGTGGAAGTTAAACGAGCTGAGCCTCGGGACAGCAAGAGCCAAGCGCCGGGACAGCCAGGTGCCAGCCAGTGGGGGAGCCGGGTTGTGCCCAACGCTGCCAATGGCTGGGCAGGCCAGCCCCCGCCCACGTGGCAGCAAGGATATGGCCCGCAAGGTAAGGCTGATGCAGAGGTGCCCACGGGAATGTCCCCCTTCTCGGACTTGGCCCGCGCGCCCTGGGCTGTGCCGTCGCTGCGGCCTCCCCACCTCTGCTGTGCATGCACAGAGCCGCGGTTCACAGTGTCCTTGAGCCCCCGCGAGGTGCCGGCTGACAGCCAGCTCCCGGGCAGCACCCGCAGCCTCCTCAGTAGCGGGGTGGCCACGGCTTAGGTGCCCGTCCGGGGCCTGGGACTCATTGTCACCGGGAAGAGCTGCAGTGAGCGTCTGCACCTCGCGACCGTGTGCCACGGCAGGTCTGAGCACGAAACCCTGAGAGGGCTGGCATTGCCAAGCTGAGCTCAGAATCGGGGTGCTGCCCCTGGGGGGCTTGAGGAGCCGGCAGGCTTTGGATCCTTGCCACCTGCCGTTCCCTCTGCAGTGCCGTGGGCCCTCTGTAGTTAGGCCCACGTTGTGGGCCGTCCTTGGAGCTTCCAGCAGCCACGGAACCCCTGGGCTTGGCTGCAGCCCGACCCGAGTTGTGGGTCAGGGTTCCAGATGTACGTCGTCCGGGTCCCGAGACTGTGGCTTCCCTGCACCTCGTCTAAAACCTTTTTCTCTGGAGCCTCCCTTGTTGGAAACTCGGAGGTGCTGTGGGGACTGTCCCTGCCCTCTCGAGGCTTAGAAGTCTCAGGTTTCTCTGGGGTCCTCAGGTGGAGCCGGGAGGTCACCCGTGCCCCAGTCAGCAGACACAGTGCCCGCCACCTGGCAGGGCACAGAGGAGAGTGGCTTTAAGGCCTGTTCTACAAGGGGTGGGGAGTGCTTCTCTGCTCAGGGTTCAGAGGGCTCTGCCCTCAGGACGAACAGGCTCTAAGCACAGGAGGCTCCGGGGTTGGTCCCAGCCCTTGACGTCCATGCTCTGCGGCTCCTTCTCTGCGTCGGACAGCTGGTGGACACGGCGCCAACCTCCTCTTCTGTTCTCTTATCTAGGAATGTGGGTGCCGGCAGGACAGGCGATTGGTAAGTCCTTGTTTATAGAGCAAAGGCGGGGACAGAAGCCACATGGCAGGCTGACTCGCCAGGTGTCCTGGGGCAGCCGGCAAAGCCTGGTTCCCGTGTCCTGAGTGCTGGAGAGGAAGAGAGGGTGAGGGGCCTGCTAGGGCCCCTGGCAGGCCTGGGTCTAACTGTGGCCAGTCTGTGTTGTCCAGCGCTCTCTGTCCATCACCCCCGTACTGTGTGTTTCAGGTGGCTATGGACCGCCCCCTGCAGGAAGAGGAGCCCCCCCGCCACCCCCACCGTTCACCTCCTACATCGTGTCCACCCCTCCTGGAGGCTTTCCCCCTCCCCAGGGCTTCCCTCAGGGCTACGGTGCCCCGCCACAGTTCAGTAAGTCTAGGGGGCCTTGTGGGAGGGCCTCCCGCCTGCTCCGGAGATGCCAGGTGGTGGGCGGGGTGATGGGGAGTCTTGTGTTACACGTCTGGCCTCAGCCACAGGTGGGGTGCCGGCTGGTCAGCAGGTCACCTGCCACCAGGCCCTTCACCTGCAGATGGGCTCCATCGCCTGTGGCCTCGCTGGTTAGGCTAAAGGGCAGCCCGGGCTCCTGCGGGTTGGAGAGCTCATAGCAGGAATGTCTGGGCCCAACCAGTTCTCACAGGCTCCTCAGGAGACAGAGCCTGGACTTCGTGTCTTAGCCTCATACTTCAGGATTAGGGGGGCATTTGTTTAAGGGTGTACAAGCTCTAATTGTTTTTTTTTTTTTTTTGAGATGGAGTTTCACTCTGTAGCCCAGGCTGGAGTGCAGTGGCGCAATCGCGGCTCACTGCAAGCTCCGCCTCCTGGGTTCACACCATTCTCCTGCCTCAGTCTCCCGAGTAGCTGGGACTACAGGCGCTCGCCACCACGCCCGGCTAATTTTTTTGTATTTTTAGTAGAGACGGGGTTTCACCATGTTAGCCAGGGTGGTCTCGATCTCCTGACCTTGTGATCCGCCTGCCTCGGCCTCCCAAAGTGCTGGGATTACAGGCGTGAGTGACTGCGCCCAGCCTCACAGGCTCTAATTCTTGACTAATTTTCCTGTACACGTCACTTGTAATTGAAAAGCTGAGTGTAAGATCAGCCGACACACCCAGAGTTTTATTTTATTTTATTTATTTATTTATGGTTTTTTTTTGAGATGGAGTCTCACTCTGTCGCCCAGGCTAGAGTGCAGTGGCGCCATCTCGGCTTACTGCAAGCTCCACCTCCTGGGTTCACGCCATTCTCCTACCTCAGTCTCCTGAGTAGCTGGGACTACAGGCGCCCACCACCACGCCTGGCTAATTTTTTTGTATTTTTAGTAGAGACAGGGTTTCACCGTGTTAGGCAGGATGGTCTCGATCTCCTGACCTCGTGATTCGCCCGCCTCGGCCTCCCAAAGCGCTGGGATTAGAAGCGTGAGCCACCGCGCCCGGACTATTTTATTTATTTTTTTGAGATGGAGTTTCACTTTTGTTGCCCAGGATTGAGTGCAGTGCCCCGATCTTGGCTCACTACAACCTCTGCCTCCTGGGTTCAAGCGACTCTCCTGCCTCAGTGTCCTGAGTAGCTGGGATTACAGGCGTCTGCCACCACGCCCGGCTAATTTTGTATTTTTAGTAGAGAACAGGTTTCACTATGTTGGTCAGGCTGGTCTTGAACTCCTGACCTCAGCGCATCCAGAATTTTAGACGGGGCCCCCAGGGTGAGGTCTTGGCACCCTCCAGTAGAGAAGAAGGGACATGGGCCATACGTGGGGTGTCCTTTCTGGGAGCCTTGCGTCCCTTACCTGCCTAGCCAGGGATTGCACCTCACAGCACGCAGCCAGCAGGAACGGCACCGTGATCTGATTTCACCTGCGGGCCCTGGGCCCTGGGGGTGTTTGACAATTGGGGCATATCACAGTGTGAGCTAGTCCCGTCTCGGGGGTTTGGAGGCTCCACGTGGCCGTGGTACAGGAGCAGGCAGTTCCATCCTCTGGCCTGGATCAGGCTCTGCACACGGAGGCCTGTGGGCCAGATGACTGACAGGAGGGGAGTTGGGTGGAACCTCGGCCTGCCTGATATCCAGCAACAGAGGGCAAGGGCGGCAGCACCTCCAGCATGACAGTCCCTTCCAAGCACGTCAGGATGCTCCCTTGCCTGTGCTGGCAGCTTCCTAAACATGGGGACTGGGCATGGTGGCAGGTTTTTGTCCTTCTGAAAGAGCAATTTTGCTGTGAGGTTACTTGCTCCTTGAGTTCTTGTCTGAGGCCCACCTGGCGGCTGCTCCGTGAGGAACGAGGTGGCCCTGCTGCAGCTCAGCATCCCGCCACGCTCCCAGGAGTGTGTGTTTCCTGGGGGGAGCGGCCCGGGACCGTGGCTCTGTGGTCCATTCTGTGGATGTCCACAAGGCCTGGGCGTTCTGTGGGTTTGGGTGGCAGTCCCGTCTGGGCAGCTCCTGCTGGGCTGGGTGTGGGTCTCCTGCTGGTCTGCCCCCAGCTGCACAACGTGTCTTGTGCCTTGCCCTCTTGTACCTCTGCAGGTTTTGGCTACGGGCCTCCACCTCCACCGCCAGATCAGTTTGCCCCTCCGGGGGTTCCTCCTCCACCAGCCACTCCCGGGGCAGCACCTCTGGCTTTCCCACCGCCTCCGTCTCAGGCTGCCCCGGACATGAGCAAGCCCCCGACAGCTCAGCCAGACTTCCCCTATGGTCAGTATGGTAAGTGGTCTCCTGCCATGCCGCGTCCCCGCTGGCCCCAGGACCCTGGGCACGGCCTGCCTTCTTCTGCTTCCTCCCCTGCTGGACGCTCCCCAGCCTTTACCTGGTGGGAAAGGGGAGAGGGAGGAGAGGGGGGTGTGGGGGTTGTTGGAGAGATCTCGTGGCAACTCGGGTCCAGCAGAAGGGAGCGTGGGAGTCTTGTCGCAGCAGAGCACTCGTCATACAGCAGGTGCTGCAGGGCCTGCATGTGTGGGAACCTGAGTGGCGACTGGGTCGAGGGAAGTGAGTCGCAGGCAGCTGTGATCACTGTCTAGAGGTTCAGGCCCTCGGTGTGGGTCCCGGGTGCACTGGCCCCTTGGTGGGTTCCAGTTTCTGGCGTCATCAGCCTCCTGCTGGGTCCAGACCCCGCTTGGGGCAGAAGCTGGGTCTGTAGTAGGCGTGGCCTGGACGTGGGCTTCACCCTGGACTGGATGGCTGTCGTGGCTTGGGTCTGCCTGGACGTGATCTGCAGGCAGCGCATGTGCTTCCGGGGCAGGAGCTTGTGGGGGGGCGGGGTCAGCATGGGTCAAGGTCTGCATGTCAGTAGTTCTCGCCCTGCACTGAGCCAGGAGTCACAGCAGCCTTGCTCAGGACCAACGCGGTGGCCTCAGTGGGCAGGGCTCCAACTACGGTCAGCTCCTCCAGCACCAGGGGTCATTCACAAGCAGGGTTTGAGAACATGGGGCACCTGTCTGCAGGTGGCCACGGGCTTCCGGGGTGCCTGTGAACACGCTTCCTCTAGGCCTGGTGGAGGCCGGGGTGTGGGAGCTGTGTTCGGCCGAGGTGCCCGCCCACCCACCTCGCATGGCTGTGGTTCCCCTGCCCCCACGCCCAGGCCTTGGGCCGAGGTTGCCGCATGTGTGGGTTCTTGACCCACTCACCACCAAACCCTGGCGTGTCTGAGACTGGCAGGGGGGTGTGAGGCGCCCGGTTGGGGCGTGGCGTGTGTCAGCCGCTGCTCTTGGTGGCGGCTGCTTGGGTTGGTCACCCTGGTCTCGTCTCTTGCCAGGCCTGGGTTCCTATTCTCCAGCCCCGCCGGGCTGCGGCCCACACTTTGTTTACAGTCTTATGGTCAGGCTGAGCAGTGATGTGGCCTAGGTAGGTGCCGCCTCCTTCTCCAGGGTCCTCCCACCCGCCTGCACCGGGAGGTGGACGTGGCTTCCTCTGCCGTCCCGGGCGGGGGTGGACGCTGGCGGTGCCCTCTGGGAAGGGGCCCTTGCCGGTGCCAAGACATTGGCCACAAGCCTTCAGCGGGCCCAGGATCCCCCAGAGAGAGCCCACGCCCACCTGTGCCCACGTGCACCCGAATGGGAACCCAGAGGTCGTGGGAGGGGCTTCCTGCAAGGTGTGCAGCGGGGTGGGGAGCGGCGTGAGCAGCTCTGTCCTTGTAAAGACACCGCTGTCCATGCTCCTGAGGTCGGCTGTGTGGGCCGGACGGGCTGCAGGGTGTGCTGGCCCCTCAGCCAGTGGTGTCACTGGGGCAGTCAGGTTGGGCCCAGAAACCCTTCCCTGACACGTGCCACCGATGGACGTGCCCTGACAGGAAGGACAACGTGGGGTCTGGTCTGCGACGGAGGGGCAGGCCCTGTATCGCTGCAAGGGCCCGTCAGGGGTTTTCTGAAACTCCGAGAGCCAGCTTTCTAGAAGCCTGGTCCACCGTGCCTTGGGCCATGTGTGTCTCCAAGCCCCGAGGCTTCTCTACCTCCCCTCACCCCCCCAACCACGTCTTCGGGATTGAACAGGGAAGCGGTGAGGTTACGTGGGCCATGGAGGGCTCTGGAAGCCGCTTTTCTCTGTGTGTGCCCCTGCTCACATGTTTTTGAGGGAGAGAACATGCCCGGGGTCCTCTCCCCGGCCCAGGTGCTGGCCTCAGAAGGGCCCCACCCGCACCCCGTGGGACCCGTGGACTCAAGGCAGGCTCGGCGGAGCTGTGTCCAGGTGGCCTCGCTCGACGGCAGTGCCAACCGCCCAGGGACCGCCCCGAGCTCACAGGACTTTCTCCCCCAGCAGGTTACGGGCAGGACTTGAGTGGCTTCGGACAGGGCTTCTCAGACCCCAGCCAGCAGCCTCCTTCCTACGGGGGTCCCTCCGTGCCAGGGTCGGGGGGCCCCCCCGCCGGCGGCAGCGGCTTTGGACGAGGGCAGAACCACAACGTGCAAGGGTTCCACCCCTACCGACGCTAGCCCGCGGCGCCGCGACGTCTGCACGGCCCAGACCCAGGATTCCAAACTTGTGAACTCGTGACAATCACAAACTTGGCGGCAAAGTGGCGACTCAACCTTGGGGGGGGGGGCGGGGGGAGGGCGCGAGGCTTTTGGAGCGGCTGTGGGTGTCGTCTGGACTGAGGTTTTTAAATATTTCTTTCTCTAACCCATCAGCACAATAAAAAAAAGTCACTGGTTCAACAACAGGGTTTAAAAAAAATGTCTTCAGCTTTAATTCAAAACTTCAGGTTTCTTTTTCTTCCTTTTTTTTGGAAATTATTTTCCTGAGCCTTTTGTTTTACGGTATATTGTAAACTTTTATGTTAAAGAAAAAATATACATTTACAAATTGTGAGATTTTTAAGAGAAATTTTCTACGATGTATACTGGCTTATTTTTTAATTTAAAACGGGGTTTCCGTCGGCACTGGTGGAGGGGGTGCGCTGTTAGTCCCCTCGCTCCTGGCTTTGGGGGTTGGGACTTGGTGGTCCAGAAACTCTGGGAGCTTCTAGAAGAAATCTACTGAGTGTATTTCTGTTTTTTGTTTAATTCCTTGCTTTTGTCGACTGACCTGCTTGGTAGTGTCTGAGGTGAACTGTGGGGGTTGCGCACAGCCAGCCGCGTGGATCCCACGCAGCGCTGAACCGAACCGAGTAGGAAGCCTTTCTCCCCAGGCACGTGGCTTCAGGGCGTTTCCCATTGACCAGTTTGACCCTGGTTTGAATAAAGAGAAGTGCGTTTGGATTAGAAACCACTTTGTGTCCGTTTTTTCCCTCCTTGGTCTTGGCCTGTGCCTACCCTTCCAGTGCCTAGGAAAGGTCTGAAACGCGACGGAGGCGCCCTCGCCCTCCCCTTGGCTCTTGGTGGTCTCAGCAACCCCGAGGGCTTCAGGGCAGAGGCTGAGTGGCGAGCTGGGCCCATCCCTCAGTGGGTCTTGGGATGCTGTGACTTTGAGGATGTGGCCACCACCAGTTTTCTCGGGGAATGTGGGCTCCAGGCTTTTCCCATCTCAAGACCTTTAATCATATCTTTTGCCATGGAAGGTGACATATCCCCAGGTTCTGGGGATTAGGACAGGGGCATCTTTGGAAAGGGATACTCTGTCACTGTGGCAGGGAAGGCGAGACTTAAAAAGGGCCGGGCGCGGTGGCTCACGACTGTAATCCCAGCACTTTGGGAGGCCGAGGCGGGCGGATCACCTGAGGTCGGGAGTTCGAGACCAGCCTGACCAACATGGAGAAACCCCGTCTCTACTAAAAATACAAAAATTAACCGGGTGTGGTGGTGCATGCCTGTAATCCCAGCTACTTGGGAGGCTGAGGCAGAAGAATCGCTTGAACCTGGGAGGCGGAGCTTGCAGTGAGCCGAGATTGCGCCATTGCACTCCAGCCTGGGCAACAAGAGCGAAACTCCGTCTCAAAAAACAAAACAAGAAAAAAAAAGGACCATGAAGTCCCAAACTGGAAGCCTACAGCGTGCCAGGCGTGAGACTGTTCAGGCGACAGCCAGAACCACCCCCCCCCGCCCCAGTTCATATTTTGGGGACAGGGAAGGTTTGACTTAGTTTGGAGAGAACCAAGAGAAGGGGTACCCCCAACATCCCTGTGCAGTGCAGTTTCCTCACTGAGACAGTACCCCTCAACGCCTCAGCCCAGGAAGCCAGCTCCATTCCCTGCCGTCAGAGCCTTCTCCCATGTCCTCAGGAGCTGCTGCCCCAGCTCCCAGGAGGGCCAGGCGGGGGCGGCTGTCTATCCACACCACAGGTCATCATGGTGTTGAGTGTCAGCCCCTCCCGTTACATTAGCTCCCCCAGCCAAAGAGCAGCACTCACAAAATCAGCTTTCCAGCCAGGACACTCTGCTGCAGGAAAATGGGTAACATGGACGGGCCCGACACATAGGTCCTGTGCTCCTCGGGACGGAGACTCAGCCCTCCCTGAGTACAGTGTAATTGGCTTCCCTTGGGACTGTGGGGACGGCTGGGGAGAGCTCAGCTCCCTGGACAGTGCCACAGCTAAGCTCGGGTTCCCAGAGGTTTTGTGCTTTTTTTTTTTCTTTTTCTTTTTTTTTTTTTTTTTTTTTTTTGAGAAGGAGTCTCTGTCGCCCAGGCTGGAGTGCAGTGGTGCGATCTCAGCTCACTGCAACCTCCGCCTCCCGGGTTCAAGCGGTTCTCCTGCCTCAGCCTCCCAAGGAGCTGGGATTACAGGCACCCACCACCACGCCTGGCTAATTTTTTGTATTTTTAGTAGAGTTAGGGTTGGTCAGCTTGGTCTTGAACTCTTGACCTCAGGTGATCCGCCCGCCTCGGCCTCCCAAAGTGCTGGAATTACAAGCATAAGCCACCACGCCCAGCCAGGTGCCACATCCATAGTTAATAGTCACCTTCAACTTTATACTTAATTCCAGTAAGATACAGAAACATCACTCCTAGGCCAGGCGCGGTGGCTCACGCCTGTAATCCCAGCACTTTGGGAGGCCAAAGCGGGTGGATCACCTGAGGTCAGGAGTTCGAGACCAACATGGCCTGGCCAACATGGAGAAACCGTGTCTTTACTAAAAATACAAAATTAGCCGGGCACGGTAACAGGTGCCTGTAATCCCAGCTACTTGGGAGGCTGAGGCAGGAGAATCGCTTGAACCCAGGAGGCAGAGGTTGCAGTGAGCCGAGATCACACCACTGCACTCCAGCCAGGGCAACAAGAGTGAAACTCTGTCTCAAAAAAAAAAAAAAGTCACTCCTACATAGTTCTAGTTACTCCTTCTCTTTGAGCTATCATTATTCACATTACATTTACATATCTTAACAAACCCAGTGATATTCCTAACTTTATTTTTGAGGCAGGGTCTTGCTCTGTCGCCCAGGCTGGAGTGCCGTTGGCGCGATCACGGCTCACTGCAGCCTTGACCTCCTGGGCTGAAGGCTCAGCCTCCCGAGTAGCTGGGAATTTTTTGTACTTTTTATTCTTTTATGTCCGTGTGTACACAAATTTTTGTATTTTTTTGTAGAGAGGCAGTCTCACTGTGTTGTCCTTACTAACTTTATATACAAAATTTTATCTGTTAAAGCCGGAATGGTTCTTTTCAGCGAGGCCCTGTCCCTGCTCCAGTATCTGTAATGAATTCTCGTGTTCCTCCCACAGTGGGACCTGAACCGCCAAACCGCACCTACGAGCAAACGGTAGGCGCTCCATAAATACTTGTTGATGTGGGTGCCATCGTGTAGATGACGGAGCACGAACCCGAGGCTCAGACAGGGGCGGCGACTTGTCCAAAGTCCCACTCCGTGGAGGAAGCGGCTCTGCAGACCTCAGGCGGCGGCTGCTCTAATCCCTGCAGCCTGTGTTTTGCCCTCCAGACGGCAGAGGGCGCGTGTTCGCCGCCGGGAAAGCGGAAGCGCGTGTGCGCGCACGGCCGAGGGGGCGGGACATGCCGGCAGTCTCGCGATAACTGCGCAGGCGCGGACCAAAGCGATCTCTTCTGAGGATCCGGCAAGATGGTGAGTGTTGCGATTTGGCGCGTCTCTGCCGGGCCTATCCGGCTCCATCCAACCTCTGACCGTCTCGCGGGGGCCGCAGTTCGTCCCCGCGGCTACGGCGGCTTGCTCCCGACCCTGCAGGCGGCTGGATGTTGGGGCGAGGGGCGGACTTGGTGGGTGTCGGGACGACGCGGGGCTGGGAAGGCCTGTCCGGGCCTTCATGTCCGGGTCCTCGTAACCCGGAGCCGCGAGTGATCCCCGGGGACGGGTCGAAGCGGTGTGTCCCTGTCGGGCTTCTGTCCCCGGCGGCGCCGCGCGTCTTCCGCGGTGTCCTCGGGCCCGGTGGCCCCGGGAGATGGGTGTCGGGATCCCGCTGACGCCCGATCCGCGCCCGCACAGGCAGAAGTAGAGCAGAAGAAGAAGCGGACCTTCCGCAAGTTCACCTACCGCGGCGTGGACCTCGACCAGCTGCTGGACATGTCCTAGTAAGGGCGGCCGCGGGGGTCGCGGGCAGGGGCTGGGCCAGCGGTGGGGCTTGTCCGGGTGAGGGCGGCGGGGCGGGGGTCCAAGCGCCTCTGCGGCGGTGGGCGGGCACGGTCTCCGCGCGGGTTTGGAACTGAGTGTGGTCTTGCGCCCAGAAAACTGTCCAGAGACGTTGAGGTTTTTGCTTATTTGCAACCTGCCCCCCGTTGTTCACTTTTCCGCGGCTTAGTTGGAAGGTGTAGCCCCTGTCTGTAGCCCACGTGACTTAGAATAAGGGGCTGCGTTAGACTCCTTAGATTTTAAGGGCGGTGGAGGTCGCTGGGTCCTTTCCAGGCAGGGTGGTGGTGGGCATCTGGCTTGCGCTTTTATTTTTTAATTTTTGATTATTTTGAGGCGGAGTCTCATCCTGTCGCCCAGGCTGGAGTGCAATGGCTCCGTCCCAGCTCACTGCAGCCTCCCACTCCCGGGTTCAAGCGATTCTCTTGCCTCAGCCTCTCGAGTAGCTGGGATTAGAGGGCCCCCCCACCACGTCCGGCTAATTTTTGTATTTTTAGTAGAGACGAGTTTCAGTGTTGCCCAGGCTGGTCTCAAACTCCTGACCTCAGGTGATCCACCTGCCTCGGCCTCCCAAAGTGCTGGGATTACAGGCGTGAACACCGCGCCCGACCTTGATTTTTGATTATTTGTGGAAACAGCGTTTCTCTGTGTCGTCCAGGTTGGTCTTGAACTCCTGGGCTCAAGCGACCCTCCCGCCTCAACCTCCCGAAGTGCTGGGATCACAGGCGGGAGCCACTGCGCCCTACCTGCCTTCCCCTGCGTTTTTAGAGGCCTTTGGCCCGAGCTGTACGCTGCAGCACCTTGTCTGAGGCTGTGGTCTCCGGGCCGCTTGTTCTCTCTGAATCTCTGCAGTCACACGGTGGCTCTTGCATGTGAGGGGTGAGTCGCGCATATCTGGCGGGGGTGCCAGAGGGACTTGGCGTGTTCATTGTAGTCACTACAATGGACAGTGACAGGTCCACTGCGGCTCTGTCCCTGGAGAGAACCAAGCCTTAGTTCTCTGTCCGCCGGAGTGCGTAGGGTCTCCCCAGGCCGGGCCGCTCACAAAACTGCCTGGTGCATCCTCCCCAGCGAGCAGCTGATGCAGCTGTACAGTGCGCGCCAGCGGCGGCGGCTGAACCGGGGCCTGCGGCGGAAGCAGCACTCCCTGCTGAAGCGCCTGCGCAAGGCCAAGAAGGAGGCGCCGCCCATGGAGAAGCCGGAAGTGGTGAAGACGCACCTGCGGGACATGATCATCCTACCCGAGATGGTGGGCAGCATGGTGGGCGTCTACAACGGCAAGACCTTCAACCAGGTGGAGATCAAGGTGTGTGCGGCCGTCCCTGCCGGCTGGGGTGGGCTGGGGTCGCCTGATGCAGGCGGGATCAGCTGACACCCAGCTTTGCTCTTGGTCTCCCGCAGCCCGAGATGATCGGCCACTACCTGGGCGAGTTCTCCATCACCTACAAGCCCGTAAAGCATGGCCGGCCCGGCATCGGGGCCACCCACTCCTCCCGCTTCATCCCTCTCAAGTAATGGCTCAGCTAATAAAGGCGCACATGACTCCAGTCCTTTGCGCAGCTTGTTCTTCCTGGCGTCCCGAGCTCTGGGAGGGGCCTGGGCCTGCTTCAGGTTCGTGGTGTGAGGAGGTTCAGGTTGGACGTTCGGGGGTGTGTGGTAGTGTTGTGTGGATGGTCTCTTGGTGTCGAAGACTGACAGCTGTGCGGGCCCTGCCCCAACTCGGCTGCCCCTGCTCCTGTCTGCAGGGACAGCTGTGGAGCTGGGTGCCCAAGCCCAGGTGTGTAGCTCCGTCCCTTTTGGCCCCCTCAGCGTTCTTGACCTCGGGGCAGCTGCCTGGCCTCACTCTGTCTTCTGGGTACCTCACGTAGAGGGGGCCACTCCTGGGCTAAGTGCAGCCCCTCAAGCCCTCACCTGGCCTGGGCTCTCCTTTCTGGCTTCCCTCATCTCCTGTGGAGGGTTCCCGCAGGAAGTGAAGCAGCAGCAGGAACCTTTGGGCCACCTGAGCCCCTCCCTTCTATCCTCACCCCTGCTTGGCTTCTTAGAAGCTCCTGACTCTCCTCCTGACACCACGCTGCTGGCATCTCCTCTCCCAGCAGGCTCCATGGCTGCAGCCAGCCCCATCCGCCCAGCCTGGGGCTTTGTGTCCGGGACAGAGCCGTGTCCCGTGGTTAGGCTGCACCATCCGTGGCCTGGCCAGCTCTGTCTCCTTTGCACAGAATGCTTGAAAGAACAGGACAAAGTGGCTGTGCCTGTGGGTGGGGGGCACCGTCCAGCCCTCCATGGGCTCTCTGATGGCCGTACGTGGGTTGGAGAACATGGTGAGAACTAACCCCGTTCAATGCTGGAGTCACCTCAGCCCAGAAGGTGGTAACTTTGCTCACTAAGCACCCAGCAGAGTGGCCCAGGGATGTGGGGTGGGCCTCCCCTTGGGCAGTGGACAGGAGGGTGAGAGCTCAGCCAGGCAGATGGGGGCAGGGGAGATGTGAGGAGCCCCACCTTCACCCTCAAATGGCCCACAACAGCCTCCTGTGGGCCCTCTTCTATAATGTTTCTCCACTTTTTTTTTTAAATTTGTTGCCCAGCCGGAGTGCAGTGGTGTGATCATGGCTCACTGCAGCCTAAATCTCATGGGCTCAGGTGATCTTCCCACTGCTTCCCAAAGTGCTGGGATCACAGGCATGAGACACTGCAGCTGGCTATATCTTCAAATTTAAACATGATTTGCAGCCAGGCGCGGTGGTTCACGTCTGTGATCCTAGCACTTTGGGAGGCCGAGATGGGTGGATCACCTGAGGTCAGGAGTTCGAGACCAGCCTGACCAACGTGGTAAAACCTTGTCTCTACTGAAAATACAAAAAAATTAGCCTAACTGGGCATGGTGGCATGCGGCTATAATCTCAGCTACTTGAGAGGCTGAAGCAGGAGAGTCACTTGAACCCAGGAGGCGGAAATCGCACTCTAGCCCGGGCAACAAGAGCTAGACTCTGCCTCAAAAAAAAAAAAAAAAAAAAACCATGATTTGCTCGTGTTCTTACCTCTCGATTTGGAATTAAGTTACATTACAGAGAAAGTGTGGGTCCGTGTTTTTCTCTCTGTTTGGGAAAAGGTGGGTTGGACAGAGGAAGGATGGCCCAGGGTTATAAGCTTGGCTCCAGTACAGCCGGGAGACCCCCAGGCAGCATGAGTCGGTGGGACTGGACCTGCCTGGCTGGTGTCCAGAGGGGCCCGTAGCCAGTGGGACGGTGCTGCACGTGGTCGTGCCTCAAGCCCTCCACTGCACCGGGCGCCCTGGCCAACCCTGCCAGGAAGTAAGGAGACCGGGGAGGCCACTGAGGGCCTGGACCTGGCTGGGTAGTCAGAAGTGGGGGCAAGTCTTGGCTGGCAGCCCCTGAGATGTGTAGAATGTTTGAAAATTCGCCTGTGGGTTGACCTGAACCCACCGGGCTTGAAACCAACGGTCCAAAGTTTGGAGTGTGGTCTTAAGGAAGGAGACCACTACTACTCCTGCTGCCTTCCTCCCACCACCTTGCCTAGTTCACAAGACAGGAGGAGAGAAAATGCAAAAAGTTGGAAAAAAAATGCAAAAGTAAGATAAACAGACAACCTTGGCACCACCACCCGGCCCTAGGAGTTAAAAAAAAAGTAATAATAACATCAACCACTGACCTAAACTACTTGTGTTATCTGTAAATTCCAGACACTACGAAAAAGCATTGTAAAACTTTCTGTTGTGTTAGCTGATGCATGCAGCCCCCACTCACGTTTTCCACACTTGCTTGATGTATCACGACCCTTTCACGTGGACCCCTTAAAGTTGTAAGCCTTTAAAAAGGCCAAGAATCTCTTTTTCGGGGAGCTTAAGACGCGAGTCTGCTGATGCTGCCGGCCGAATAAAAACCTCTTCTTTAATCCAGTGTCAGGAGTTTTGTCTGTGGCTCATCCTGCTACAGTCTGGCTGCTAGGTGGCCGCCGGAGGTCTCTGGGCAGCACTGGCCAGGTTCACTTCAGCGTGAACAGCAGAAGCTTGTACGGGACCCAGCTTCGAAGGCCCACCCCAGGTCCAGCTCAAGGAGAGGGAGGGAAGGCATGTGTAGGCAGGGTTCATTGTAGTCTCGGTTGTCAGCATTCAGAATTCTTTTTATTTTTTGAGACAGAGTCTCGCTCTGTCGCCCAGGTTGGAGTTGAGTGGCACGATCTCGGCTCACTGCAGCCTCCACCTCCCAGGTTAAAGCAATTCTCCTGCCTCAGCCTCCCGAGTAGCTGGGATTACAGAAGCACGCCACCACGCCTGGTTAATTTTTGTATTTTTAGTCGAGACAGGATTTCACCATGTTGGCCAGGCTGGTCTCCAATTCCCAACCTCAGGTGATCCGCCTTCCTCGGCCTCTGAAAGTGCTGTGCTCCAGCCTGGGCGACGGAGACTCCGCCTCAAAAAAAAAAAAAAAAAAAAAAGAAATTGCTGAGGTGTTAGGTGCTTTTCGCCTCAGATAAGCAAAGTGGGAAATTAGTGGATGTCCCACTGAAACAGCTTTATCTGCAACATGGTTTTCAACCCTGAGCCTTAGAAATCAAAAGTGCCGGAAACCATGGTGCACACTTGAAGTCTTTACCGAGGCCCCGTCTAAAAAAAACAAATGGAGCCGGGCGCGGTGGCTCACGCCTGTAATCCCAGCACTTTGGGAGGCCGAGGCGGGCGGATCACGAGGCCAGGAGATCAAGACCATCCTGGCTAACATGGTGAAACCCCATCTCTACTAAAAACACACACAAAAAATCAGCTGGGCGTGGTGGCGGGCGCCTGTAGTCCCAGCTACTGGAGAGGCTGAGGCGGGAGAATGGCGTGAACCCGGGAGGCGGAGCTTGCAGTGAGCCGAGATCGCGCCACTGCACTCCAGCCTGGGGGACAGAGCGAGACTCCGTCTCAAAAAAAGAAAAAAATAAATAAATGGAAATGACAGAGCTTTTGAGCTACCAGGTCTATCTGCAGAGCAAATGACACAGAGATGTGTGGGGCCGCGCCCATCATGAGGCAGCTAGCTGGGAACAAGCCCCAGGGGGCCCTCCCTGAGGAAAGCATAATAGGAATGGGTGCTGGGCCTCACTTCGCTTTTGCAGAGCTTTACTGGCACCCAGCTGTGCCCATTCATACCTGTATTACTTCTGCCAGGCAGACGCTGAAAATTTACTGTCTGGACCTTTACGGGAAGTTTCCTGTCCATAAAAGCCCTCCCTGCACACGCCCCTGCTGGCTAGCACGTGGCTGCTAATGGGTACTTCCCTTGGTTTTCTGCAGTTGGAATCCAGCATGTGTGATCAGGGAAAATATGTATTAGTATTTAAAGCAAAAAGATACCCCCAGTTCAGAGAGACACATGTCTTGGTGGCCAGGTGGTGCCCTAGGTCCACAAGAATTTGGGGGGTGTCCAGGAGGTGGGGTGGGAGCCTCTAACTAGCACTAGGGTGCCACTGTCGAGGGCCACTCCCAACTCAAGGCCCAGGCTCTGTCTTTAGGCCTCTCTGGCCATATCCGCACTTCTTTTTTTTTTTTTTTTTTTTTTTTCTGAGACGGAGTCTAGCTCTGCCGCCCAGGCTGGAGTGCACTGGCAGAATCTCAGCTCATTGCAACCTCCGCCTCCTGGGTTCAAGCGATTCTGCTCAGCCTCCCGACTAGCTGAGACTACAGGCATGCGCCAAGACGCCGGTTAATTTTTTGTATTTTTAGTATAGACGGGGTTTTGCCATGTTGGCCAGGCTGGTCTCGAACTCCTGACCTCAAGTGATCCACCCGCTTCGGCCTCCCAAAATGCTGGGATTACAGGCGGGAGCCACCGTGCCCGGCCCCACGCTTCTGTTTCTACCCTCTGGTCCCACACCCCGCTCCAGAATCTGCATGGACTCTCCCAGACCTGCCCGGCCCCATCTGTGCCGTCTCAGACAGACAGCTCCGTCCTCATCAGGTTCAGGTCTGGCCCCGGCGCTTGCGGGTCAGCTGCCTTCAGGCCCTGTCCTGGTTCCCGGCGCTTCTCACATCCCCGCGGCCTCCCCCCTGGACGGCAGTTTACACTGAACTCGGCGCCCTCCCCTGACTTCTGAAGGAGGAGTCCTGGGTGGCCCCGAAGCCTCCCCGGCAGCCGCACGGCTCCGTCCCCGCTCCAGGGTTCAGCTGAGGCACCTGCTGGAGGCGGCCTGTCCCCGCCGCCCTGCTAAAGCGGCGCCCCTTTCTCCGGCCGCTCGTTCTTTGGTTTCCAGGGACTTTGCACAATTCATAACACCCCTCTTAGCCCCCATCCTGCCCGGGCCGCATCTTCCGCCCGATCATCCGGCCCTCGACCCGCGCAGCCGCCTCCGCCCTCCTCTCCCGGCACCGCCCACGGCCTGTTCTCCCCGCAGCCGCCAGCGGGCGCCCGCGAGCCTGGAGCCGGGCGCGGCCCTGCTCTGTCCACAGCCCGCGGTGGCTCCCACCTCCCGCTGGGCCTGCGCGACCTGCCCCCCGGGGCCTCCCAGCCCTCACTGCCCTCGCGGGCTGCACTCTCCCCCAACACTCCCCAGGGCTGTTCGGCCTCCCCAGCAGCTCCCCATGCCCTGCCCGCCGCGCTGGCGTCTCTCCCAGCCCGCTGCAGTCCCCTCGTTCACGTCAGCTTCCCAAGGGCCTGGATTTTGTTTTGTTCAGTGCAGGGGGACCCAGCACACAGTAGGTGCTTTATAAATGCTTGTTGCATGAATGTCCGCGTTCGGTGTCGCCCCCTTACGGCGGCCCCCCGCGCGCCCAGCTCGGCGCCCAGCAAGCCTTGTGCGCGCAGGTGATGTTTGCTGAATGACTAATGAACCTCAGCGCGCCAAGCCGGGCTGATTCGGGGGTGGTTCCGAGCTTCCGCAGGGTGACCGTCCGCGGGCAGCGGACCACAGCCGCATGGCGACGCCGCCTCTGGCCCCCCGCGACCCCCATTCCCCGTGGGACCTCTCGTGCCCCCACCCCCACCCGGCCTCCTCCCCGCCGCCTCGGGCCCCCCCAGCCTCCTCCGCATTCGAACTCCCCAGCGTGGTCGGACCCGGACCCTGGCGCCGCTCGGCCCACGCGAGTCCCCTCCCCTCTCTCCCATCCTTGGATCTCCCACCGCCCCTCCGCAGCCTCGGTCCCGCGAGACTCCCCAGCCCCCGCGAGCACCCCCAGACCCCACGGTACGCCCTCGCCCCTTTCGGGAGGAGCCCCGCCCCGGGCCCGCGGACTGACCCCTCCCGCCCCTCTCCGCGCAGGCGCAGGGCGGCCCCGTTCGCGTCCCGCACCCCCACCCTGGCCGCCGAGGGGCGGGGCGCGGCGGGTCCGGGGCGGCCGCGGCTCCATGGGGCTCCTGGGGCTCCTGAGCCTGCTGCACTCGGCCTTCTTCGGGGACCAGGTAGGGCGCGTGGGTCGAGCCGTTGGGGAGGGCTCCGGGCCGCGCAGGAACGGGGCGGGGTCCACACCGCGGGAACAGCGGGCGCGGCGGCGGGGGGCGCATGGGGCGAGCGCGCGGAGGCTGCAGAGTCGGGGGTCTAGTGCCGTCGCCGTAGAGACCGTTGCCGGGAAACCGCCTCGGAAGGCTGGCGGGGATGGAAGCCCCTCTCGTGCGCCGCTGCGACCCCCAGCCCCGGGTCTGCGCAAGCGCAGGGCTCGCCCAGCCCAGCCCTCGGCCTCTGCAGGAGACCCTCGGACCCCTCCTCACTGCGCCGACGCGGAGGCTGCGCCAGCTGGGGCGGCGGGGGCGGCTGCGGGGGCATCCTGCGGAGGCTCGGCCCTGCGCAGGGTGGGGGCCTGGGCCACGCCCTGCGCTTCTTTGGGCCTCAGTTTCCCCTTCTGGGCGCGAGCGTATGGCCTGCTTTGACGTTCGCCGCCGCTGCTGTTCGTATCCGTCCGCTCCCGACCCCAGCGCTTCTCCAGCCTCCGGAATCGTCTGAATTTCGCGGCTGTGACATCCCTCATTGGAGGGGAAACTGAGGCTGGGGGGTGCAGCGGGGAGCCCAAGGTCACGCTTCGAGGCCGGAGCCTCGTTGCGGAGCTAAGGCGCCCGCAAGAGAACGCGGGGCGGGGGCCGGGGAGCTGTCCGCGGTGCTGACGGAGGCGCACGTCTGCCGACTCGCCGCCGGGGAAACTGAGGCCCATAGCGGCGGTCAGGCTTCAGGGCGCGGCCTGGACCGGCCTACCCCACCCTCCCCCACCTCCGGTGGCCTCCTCACCGGTCAGGGCTCTGCCCGGCCACCCAGCCGGCGGCGGGCCGTCTCTATCCTCCCGCGATGACCTGGTGCCTTCTCTGTCCCCACCCAGCTCCCGATGGGGGCCGCCCCTGTTTCTGCCTCTAGCCCCTGGCACAGAGGAGGCATCAAGGGGGCGGGGACAGCTCGAGGTCAGACTCAGAAGGCTCAAAGACACTCCAAGAGTGAGCCGTGTGCCAGGCTGCGGACTTGCGGGGAGGTGTCACAGGACAGGGGTGGGGGAGTGAGCATTTCATGGAACTTCCCCTTTAGCCCAGCAGCAGTAGGGGGCGTGGAGGACCCCAGGGAGGAGCCTAGGTCGGGGTCTTGGGCTAGGCCCTGCGTTCTGCAGTGGGAGAAGGGGGAGACCTCTCTCAGTCTCCTGAAGTCCTAGGGGGCTGTGGGGGGTTCTTGAGGCTCTGAAATGTCTGGTGATGTCTGAGTGTGGCTGTGGTTCAAGGATTTACAGGGTCGAGGATTTTAGTGTGTGGGGGGGGATTGTTCAGGGACATAATGTTTTGTAGATTTGGGGCCAAGGGCATCTTGTCTTGGGGTCTCAGCCCCCATGTACCCTCAGCCCTCCAGGCCCTGGCCACCCCCAGAGGGATAAGAAGGGAGGTTCAGTGTCACTCCGGAGGCCTGGCTGGCACAGGTGAACTCAGGCAACACGTTCCCTGGCCCAGGCCTCAGTTTCCCCATGTATACAAGGACAGGACTGACCTTGGATCCCCCAAACCCCTGCCTGATGGGGGCCTGGGGAGCTGAGACATCTGAAACTACACAGGGAGGTGGGACTTAGTTCCTCTTTGGGGGAGGCAGGGATCATCCAACCCACCCTTCAGTAAACAAGACTGGAAACCGAGGCCAGAGAGAGACATGCCCAGGGGGACACAGGGACAACAAGGCTGAGCTGAAGCCAGGGCCCTGGGCTCTGCATCCCCAACCCCATTTCAGCCTCGCCCAGCTCTGCCCCGGCTTGACCTGTCAAACCCCACCACGCGCCCTACCCCATGGCTCCACCAGACACCCCCTGTGTCCCAAGCATGCATTGATCTTCCCTCAGCCTGGAACGCCTCTCCTCCTGATCACTGCTGTTCACTTCTCAGGGCAGCCTTCCAGCCTCCAGAAAAAAATCCCCTTCGAGGCGGGCGGATCATGAGGTCAGGAGTTTGAGACCAGCCCGACCAACACGGTGAAACCCCCTCTCTATTAAAAATACAAAAATTAGCTGGCAAGGTGGTACATGCCTGTAATCCCAGTTACTGAGGAGTCTGAGGCAGGAGAATCACTTGAACCCAGGAGGCGGAGGTTGCGGTGAGCCGAGATGGCGCCACTGCACTGCAGCCTGGGGGACAGAGCAAGACCCCATCTAAAAAAAAAAAAAAAAAAAGGCCGGGCGTGGTGGTTCACGCCTGTAATCCCAGCACTTTGGGAGGCCGAGGCGGGTGGATCACGAGGTCAGGAGATCGAGACCATCCTGGCTAACGTGAAATCCCGTCTCTACTAAAAAATACAAAAAATTAGCCTGGGCGTGGTGGCGGGCGCCTGTAGTCCCAGCTACTCGGGAGGCTGAGGCAGGAGAATGGCGTGAACCTGGGAGGCGGAGCTTGCAGTGAGCCGAGAACGTGCCACTGCACTCCAGCCTGGGCTACAGAGCAAGACTCCGTCTCAAAAAAAAAAAAAAGAAAAAAAAGAAAAAGAAAAAAGAAAAGATCCCCTGTGTCTGCCCACTGCATTGCCTCCCCAGACCCAACCAGTGGGGACAGCTGCGTCCAGCTCTGGGGGCTCCCAGACAGCCAGGCCGAAGGGCTCTCAGCCCCTGGCAGTGCTGGCCCGGGACAAGGCCCTCGGGTCTTCAGCTCAAGGCCCAACAGGAAACAGCACGGGTCCTCCCTTGCCTTTGTCTACGGGGCCTTGAATACTCGGACCTTCCCACCCTCTCCTATCATTCCCTGCACCAGCCCTTGCAGAATCTTCCGCCTCCTCTCCATTTTACAGAGGAGGAAACCGAGGGTTGAGCGGCGAATGATTTGCCCTGCCTGCCCAGCACGGAAAAAAATCACTCTTCTGGCCCCAGTCGCCTCCCTTTCTGTGCTGTGAGTCTGTGTCCAGAGCAGGAAGGGCTGCTCCGAGCTGCAGGGACGGGCTCTGTGTGTTAAACCTTCAAATGGCTTCCAGGGACTCATGGAGCATCCAGGACACCTGGAGATGGCGACTCCTGGGACCCCTGGCCCTTCCCTCCTCTGGCCTTCGGTCCGTGAGGGTGAATTAAGTGTGCCACCCACCAGGGGCAGAGACACATGGAGACAGAGATTGAGAGACAGAGAACAGAGGGGGAGACAGAAAGAGAGAGGGACATGAAGAGCAACGGAGTTACAGGAGGATCTGACGCTCCGTTGGGGAGACAGGGAGAAATGTGGGGAGATGCAGCGTCCCAGGTGCTCCCCAGTGGCCCTGCCCCTCCTCCCCTCTCCCCTCCCCACCAGGCAGGACCCTCAGGGAGCTCCAGCCTGGACCCGAACCCTGTCCCACCCTGACGCACCTGCACCAGGCCAGGCTGGACCTGTGGGGTGGGTGCAGGCCTGGCCCCAGCCCGGCCACTGCCCTGGAAACCCCTCCCCCGCCAAGATGCTGATGTAACATCCAGGATTTGATGTTTTACTCTCCAATTCTGCAAATCCAGACGCAGGAGGTTTTAAGAGGCCGTTGCACCCTGCAATAAAGTGCGGGACACAGGAATCTTGGTCCTCGGGGCACCCCCTTCCCTCGGGGGGGTTTCGCCCCCCGCACTCACGGCCCCTGAGCCCGCGCGGAGGCCCGACGCCCCGCGGCCGACGCCGGTCCCCGCCCCGGGCCGCCATTGGCTGTTGCCATGGCACCAGCCCGTCTTCCCGCGCCCTCATTGGCTGTCTCACCCGCATCCCTCATCCCGCATCCTCCCCCGCTCGCGGTGGTCTCGCCCAGCGCTAGGAGCGGCAGCGCCGCCTGCCCAGGCCCGGACCGGGCTTTGTCCGCCCCGGAGCCCCTGCCCGCGCCGCGGAGACCCCGGAGCCCGCGCGCTCCGAGGCCACCCCGGGCCGGGATTTCCGGTGGGGCCCGCGGAGCCGCGCAGAGGGAGGAGGCCCCAGACCCAGGCGCCCCGCCAGCCCAGCTGCACGTAAGCGGGTGTGTGTCCTCGGGGAGGAGGGCAGGGGCGCGACCTCCGCCTCGCGTCGAGGTTTCCATCCCTGGCTCTCAGCATTGCCCGTCAGCACAGACTCTGGACCCTCCATTTCCCCAGAGTGGGAGCTGGAGGGGAAACTGAGTCCCGGTGAGCTGGGCGTCAGCGTTTCTGCAGCCGGTCCTGCGCACACACCCACTCACGGGCTTCACCATCCGGACCTCCCTGAGGTGATCGGAGGAAGGGATGGGCAGGCCAGTGGTGTGTCTTCGGGGGTGTTGCTGCACCTCTCTGGGTGTCAGTTTCCCTCTCTGGAAAGAGGGGGTTTGGATTAAAGGAAGGAGAAAGGCCCCTTTGGGCCTGGCTTCCCATACCTGTGCCTCCCTCCCCTGAAATGCAGCCCGCTCAATAAGACCAGCCCCCAGTCATGGTGCCTTCAGGGAGTGATCGCTCAGGAAGGCCCCCAGGAGGCTACACGATGCAACCTGGGGGTGAAAGTAGGCAGAAGAGCTTCGTGGAAGAAGCTGCACTGTGTGGGATGGCAGGACTTAGAAAAGGTGCTCTAGGCAGGGCAACTGCACGTGCAAAGGCCTGAGAGAAGAGAGCCTCCAGCCTCTAAGTGAGTCGCGGTGTACATGGAGGAGTCGGAGCGTATCCTGAGGGCACTGGGGAGCCATGGAAGGTGTTTGAGCATGGGAGAAATGGGATCTCACTTGTGACGTTTAAAGCTCCCTCTGGCTGTGCATGGGGGACTGTGGGAGGCCAGGAAGAGGCTGATCAGAATGTCCTCACAGAGGGGTGTCAGGAGCTGGGGGAGGCATGATCCCGCTGGGCAGAGCTTGGAGGGACTAGCTTAGTCTGATGAGGATGCAGAAATGACCACCGAATGTGGGGAGAGGGAAGGTGTCTGAGGCTTGGCTTCGGTCAGCTGAGAAGAACCACGTGGGGGAGGCCTGGGTTTGGGGAGCAGGAGGCAGACATGTGTTGCTTTGCACGTCATCTGGTCCTTCCACCTGGCTGGGCATGGGATGGTGACCTCAGCTGGAACATGGGGCTCGAGCCAGACCCCAGGGTCTCCCTGCGTGTAGCCCCCAACCCCAAGCCTGATCCCCACTGGAGACCTGAACAGCCTTGGACATCATCGGATCAGGGTGGGAGGTGCCAGCCTCTGCCACCTGACTTCCAGTCCCTGTGCCCCTCCCACCCTGCCCTTGGGCACTCCTGCCCTGCAGGTTCCTCAGAGGGGCAACCCAAAGCCAGAGAGGGGCGGGTCTTGTCGGGCCTCCAGCCTGGACTTCCCAGCCCCTCTGGGGCAGCATCTGGGTGCCAGACCTCGGTTCCTAGGGCCTCGTTTCTCCCTCTGGGAACAGCCAAATGGTGGTCCCTGAGACTCAGGACAGACCAAGAAGGAGCCGGATGACATGGCAAGCCACACACTGCGTCCCCTGAGCAGGACGGGACAGCCCGACTCCATCCTCCCACCTGCGACTGAGCCCCCACCCCTACTCCTGTCCCAGCCGTGCCCCTGGTGACATTTGGGTGGGAGGGGAGGGGATGAGGGGGCACCTGGGGGTCAGAGAACAAATGACGGGTGAATACATGTGTGTGGCCAGGTGGAGGAGGGAGGGGAGGAGCAGGTGGGCTGGACAGGGCCGGTGTGAGGAAGGGGCTCAGGCTGGCAGGGGGAGGTGGCAGAGGGATGGGCTGCCATTGGTGCGTCTGAGACAAAGGCGGAGGGAGGAGGCGAGCGCTGATGGGAAAGGAACAAAGAGGGAAGGGGGGCGTGAAGGGGGGCTCCGGCGGGAGGGCCGAGCCGAGGGAGGAGGCGCCGGCCAGCTGGACAGAGGGAGGAGGCCAGGCCAGAGCCAGAAGACGGCCAGAGGCACAAAGAAGCCAGCGCGCTGGCAGAGTCAAGGGATGGGGCAGGGGCTGCCGGGGCCAGCAGGGACCAGCTGAAGGCTGCGCAGGGGGTGCGGGCCACACAGGTAGCCACCCTGAGCTCAGCCACCGATGGAGGGTCGTGGGGCTGCTGCGGTGATGGCGGTGGGCTTGGGTCCATCTGTCCTGCCGTTTCTGCACAGCTTAGGTGTCACCCACTGGCCTTCGTGGTGTTTTCATTGTCCATCGGCAGGGACAGCTGGTGGTCTGTCCGCCCCGCGTGTCTGGCTGTCAGCCTCTGGGCAGGCTTGCTTTTATGGGGGAGGGTCCTGTCTGTCTGTCTGTCGCCCTCTCTGGCTGTGAGCCTGGGGGTGCTGGGCTGGCCAGTCGGCTTGCTGGGTTAGGCTGTCCCAGCTGTCTGTGTGTTTGTCCGGCTGTCAGGATGTGTCCTGGGGGCTGGGAAGGAGAGGCCGACCCATCGTCTGTCGGTCGACTGGTCAGTTGGACGTTCAGCTGTCTGTACGTCTGTCTGCTGGCCCCTCTGTCTCCCCTTGGGGCCACCTCTCACTCCACCTGCCCCTCTGCGCCCCGGATTGCCTGGCCACCACCACGTGGGCCTGTACTTGTCCACACCAGTGACTCCTGCCTGAGACCCCCCCCAACCCAGGATCAGGCAGGACGGCTGGGGCTTAGGTCAGGGGCCGTCTGTCCGGAAGGCATCACCGCGCCCTCCCCAGACCATCAGCTGAACCCTCTGACCCTGTGATCCCAGACGCTGCAGGAGCTGAAGATGGCGAGCTCCGTGGCGCCCTACGAGCAGCTGGTGAGGCAGGTGGAGGCCTTGAAGGCTGAGAACAGCCACCTGAGGCAGGAGCTAAGGGACAACTCCAGCCACCTGTCCAAGCTGGAGACAGAGACGTCGGGCATGAAGGTGGGGGCCTACATGGAGGAGGTGGGCTAGGGTCCCGGGGTGGTGCCCCCCGGCAGCCCAGTGCAGTGGCTGATGGCTTCCCGCCCTCTTTCCCGCCCCTGCAGGAGGTCCTGAAGCACCTACAGGGAAAACTGGAGCAGGAGGCCCGAGTGCTGGTGTCCTCGGGGCAGACGGAGGTGCTGGAGCAGCTGAAGGGTGAGCGGTGGGGCCACCCGCAGAGGGAGTGGGGGAGGCTGGGGGGAAAGGCAGGCAGGGCCGCTGACCTCCGCCCTGTCCCCGCCCATCCAGCCCTACAGATGGACATCACCAGCCTGTACAACCTCAAGTTCCAGCCGCCCACCCTGGGCCCGGAGCCTGCCGCCCGGACCCCCGAGGGCAGCCCAGTACACGGCTCCGGGCCCTCCAAGGACAGCTTTGGGGAGCTGAGCCGGGCCACCATCCGGCTGCTGGAGGAACTGGACCGGGAACGGTGAGTGGGCGTGGGAACCCAGCCTCGGGCAGCTGGAGCATGACTCGGTCCCCAGCGGGCTCTGCCCTCTAATTCGCCCACCCGCATATGTCTCTGCCCACACCTCACACGCCCCACCCACTTGCATATGGCACTGCCCACCGAACAACCCCGCCCACCTCGGAGCTTCGTCCCCACGTGGCCTCCCTCCCCCTCCCCAGCCCGGCTGACCTCTGCTGGAGTTCAGAGAGGATGGGGGACGTTCCTGGCTGAGGGAAAGGCTCCTTGGAGACGTCCCCAGGGGTCCGAGACACGCAGGCGTCGCCAGGGACCGGGCTGTGTCCGGTGCCAGGGCTCAGCCAGGCCTGGAGCCAGGCGGGCTCAAAGCCGTCTTTGTAGAGAGCTGTGGCCCAAGAAGCGTGGGCTCAGGGCCAGCAGAGGGAGGCAGGGTCTGGGCACCCTGTGCAGCTGGGAGGGGTCATGTGGGGTCAGATGGGGCCATTGAAGAGCAGCGTGGGGTTGTCTGTGCTCTGCTGTGGGACCTCACTCAGCTCCCCTAAACCCTCCCAGCCTAAGACTCCTGCCCTGTAAAATCGGAATGGCCGTGTCTCCCATGAGGTTAAGGGAAACCTCTGTTGCACCTGGAGCACTTTGAGCCTGAAGCTACCTTGTAAGCTGGAGGGAGGTTAGCAAGTATGGGAGAAGTGTTAGAGGCAGGACAGCCTCCCTCAGTCTTTCTTCAAGGAGGAGAATTTCCAAAGGAATTGCTTTCTCTTTTTTTTTTTTTTGTTTAGTACATATAGTTTGAAACAGGGTCTCACTCTGTCACCCAGGCTGGAGTGCAGTGGTATGATCATCGCTCACTGCAGCCTCGAACTCCTGGGTTCAGGTGATTCTCCCACCTCAGCCTCCCATGTCAGGGAGTAGCTGAGACCACAGGTGCGCACCATCATGCCTGGCTAATCTTTTGTACTTTTTTTTTTTTTTTTTTGAGACGGAGTCTCGCTCTGTCGCCCAAGCTGGAGTGCAGTGGCGCGATCTCGGCTCACTGCAAGCTCCGCCTCCCGGGTTCACACCATTCTCCCACCTCAGCCTCCCGAGTAGCTGGGACTACAGGCACCCGCCACCACGCCCGGCTAATTTTGTTTTCGTATTGTTAGCAGAGACGGGGTTTCACCGTGTTAGCCAGGATGGTCTCGATCTCCTGACCTCGTGATCCGCCTGCCTCAGCCTCTCAAAGTGCTGGGATTACAGGCGTGAGCCACCGCGCCCGGCCGGCTATTTTTATATTTTTTATTTTTATTTTTTCCTTTTTAGAGAGGGGGTCTCGCTATGTTGCCCAGACTGTTTTCTCTCCTTTAATTTTTTTGCATCCCCCAGTTAATTTCAATACCCACCCCCCCCCCCTTACCCTAGCTCGGGGAGTGCCACGGGAGAGACCTTGCCATGTTGCCTGTTAACCTTGGCATACAGTAAGCGCTAACAAGTGATTACAAATATCAAAATAAACACACACGGCGCCGCCCTCTGAGCCCGCCCCCGCTGACTTGCTCCCCAGGTGTTTCCTGCTGAATGAGATTGAGAAGGAGGAGAAGGAGAAGCTCTGGTACTACTCTCAGCTGCAGGGCCTGTCCAAGCGCCTGGACGAGCTGCCGCACGTGGAGACGGTGAGCCGGCCGGGGAGCCAGGGGGCAGCGCGCCCGCCCCACTCAGGGTGCGGGAAGCGGCGTGGGGGAGGAACGGGGCCTGGCCCGGGCGCCCCTCACCGTGGCCCGCCCGCCTGCCTTTGCCAGCAGTTCTCGATGCAGATGGACCTGATCCGGCAGCAGCTTGAGTTCGAGGCCCAGCACATCCGCTCGCTGATGGAGGAGCGCTTCGGCACCTCGGACGAGATGGTGCAGCGGGCACAGGTGCGGCGGTGGGCGGGGTGGCGCGGCGGTAGGCGGGGCCCTGCGCCAGTGGGCAAATCAGAGTGCAGATATTATGGGCGGGGTCTGGGGTAATGGGAGGAGTCTTATGCCTCCTGGGTTGGGGGGCGCGGGTTCTGGTTCAGGAGGCGGGGCCAGAAGCTGGAGGTGTTGGTGGGTGGAGTCAGGAGGCTCAGAGCCTGAGCACAAGGGCGGTGGGGTGCGACAGTGGAAGGTGGCATGGCCTGTGGGCAGGGCCAGATCAGCAGGTGGGTGGGGCCTAGAAGGACGAGGTCTAGGTTCTGGGTGGAGCCCAAATGGGAAGTGGGAGGAGTCAGAGCCTGGGATGGACTAAAGGCGGGGTTTAGACAGTGGGTGGGGTCATATCTTAGGAGGCGGGGCTTAGGGAGCTGGCAGGGCTGGATCAGGGAGAAGGCAGAGGTAGGGTCAGGGCCTGGGGCGGGGTTATCAGGAAGAGGCGGGGTCAGAGCCCAGGGTGGGGTCATCCCAGGGAGAGGCGGGGTCAGAGCCGGGGGCGGGGTCAGCTCCAGCACTTGCCCTCGTGTGGTCCTGAGCAGATCCGCGCCTCGCGCCTGGAGCAGATTGACAAGGAGCTGCTGGAGGCGCAGGACCGAGTGCAGCAGACGGAGCCCCAGGTACCGGGTGGGGCAGAGCCAGGGACCAGGGGTGGTGTCGGCCCAGGCAGAACGGGGCTCCTCGAGTTCTGCCCGCCCCCGCCCACATCATCACGGGTGAGCAGACTGGGTGCTCTGGGACTGTACCCCCGACCCTGGTGCTCTCCCTGCAGGCCTTGCTGGCGGTGAAGTCGGTGCCGGTGGACGAGGACCCCGAGACAGAGGTCCCCACACACCCTGAGGATGGCACCCCTCAGCCGGGCAACAGCAAGGTGAGGGGGAGGGTGAAACGGGGGCTGGCGCAGCTGTCTGGGCTGGAAGGGGGATCAGGTCTGCATCCTCGCCAGTGGTGGTGCCCTCCCATGCCTCCATCCAGCACCCCCTCGGGTGTAGGAAGGCCCCTCTGGCGTGCAGCTCATGCAGAAGCTGCGGGCCTGGCGAGGTGGATGGGGAAATACGTCCCGTAGCGGGGGCTAAGTGGGGCACCATAGACGTCCCCGTGGAGTCCCTTGGCTCTGCGCGGCCACCCTAGGAATGCCAGGTGAGGGGGGCCAGCCTCCCCGAAGCACGTGTGCAGCCTCCTAGCGTCCCCTCATCTGTCCCCCAGGTGGGCGTGGGGCTGCCCTTGGGGACGGGGCAGGGGTCACAGGGCTCCGACCGGGTTTCCAGGTGTGCGGGGGGCAGGTGAGGGACCCCACCCTGACCCTGCCCTCCCCCCAGGTGGAGGTGGTCTTCTGGCTGTTGTCCATGTTGGCGACGCGCGACCAGGAGGATACAGCGCGCACGCTGCTGGCCATGTCCAGCTCGCCCGAGAGCTGCGTGGCCATGCGCCGCTCGGGCTGTCTGCCTCTGCTGCTGCAAATCCTCCACGGCACCGAGGCCGCGGCCGGGGGTCGCGCCGGGGCCCCAGGGGCACCGGGCGCCAAGGACGCACGCATGCGCGCCAACGCGGCGCTGCACAACATCGTCTTCTCGCAGCCGGACCAGGGCCTGGCGCGCAAGGAGATGCGCGTCCTGCACGTGCTGGAGCAGATCCGGGCCTACTGCGAGACCTGCTGGGACTGGCTGCAGGCCCGAGACGGCGGGCCCGAGGGAGGTGGCGCCGGCAGCGGTGAGTGCCTGGCCTGGTGGGCCCCCTCCGCGCAATTAACGTGCAGCTAGGGCTTCCCGGGGGATGGGCGACTAGGACCTCCAGCCTTTGCTGCCTGCCTTCTGGCGTTGGAGGCTGCAGTACCAGGCTCCGGCCGAGGCCTGTGGGGGCATTTGACGTTGGGAAAAGACCCGCCCATGATCGTACCTGGCGCAGAGTAAACGCTCGGGAAGTCGCTGAATGCATGGATGGATCGTGGGTAACTCTGGAAAGTTGGGTGCAGACTTTGAGATTCTTTTTTTGCAGTTGATCGCAAAGTTAATATGGGGGCCGGGCGCTGTGACTCACACCTGTGATCCCAGCACTTTGGAAGGCAGAAGCAGGAGAATTGCTTGAGCCCAGGAATTTGGGGCTGCAGTGAGCTGAGATCATGCTACTGCACTCCAGTCTGGACAACAGAGCGAGACCCTGTCTCGTCAGTTTTATTTTTAAAAAGGGCAGAAGCACAGCTGAAAGGTGTGGTGCTCCAGGAACTACCTCGCCTCCCTTCCCAAGGCTGAGTGAGAGAGGCCACCCCATCATCCCATCTTAGAGAGGCTGGGAAAGGAAGTCCCAACTTTGCAGCCATTTGCAAAGCTCCCGGGATCCTTCAGGCCTGGGGCGGGCGGGTTGCGGGACCTTCGGGAGTCACCTGGGACATTTCCTGGGAATGGGGGCTCTGATCTGGTCCCTGTGCCCACAGCCCCGATCCCCATCGAGCCGCAGATCTGCCAGGCCACCTGTGCTGTTATGAAGCTGTCCTTTGATGAGGAGTACCGCCGTGCCATGAACGAGCTAGGTGAGTGTCCCAGGTCCTCTGGGAAGCCATCCTCCAGCCCCCGAACAGGTGGTGGCTCCTCGGCCGCTAAAGGGACACAGGCTGGGTCATCTGAGCTTGGGCTGGGGATTGGAGCCCGGAGAGGGACAGACTCCCTGGAGTCACATAGCACCTCTCATGAGTGGACCGTCACCCTGGGCCCTCTGTCCCCATGAGCTGCGTGTGGCCTCCCGATCTGGTCTGAGGCTTCGGGGGTGACTTTCAGCCCTAAGTTCCCTGGGGCTCAGAACAGGGAACGGACCAGAAGGGCAAAGATAGATAGAAGACAGGCCCAGAATTGGAACTGTAGGGGGTGTTTTACGTTTGAGGACATTGCAACATCTTCTCTTTGTCAATATAAAAAGTAATTGAGGCCGGGCGAGGCTGCTCATACCTGTAATCCCAGCAGTTTGGGAGGCCAAGGCAGGAGGATGACTTTAGCTCAGAAGTTCGAGACCAGGCTGGGCAAAAATAGTGAGACCCCATCACTACAAAAAAAAAATTAGTCCCAGCTACTGGGGAGGCTGAGGTGGGAGGATCTCTTGAGCCCAGGAGGTTAAAGGTGCAAGGAGCTATGATCATGCCACCACACTCCAGACTGGGCAACAGAGCCAGACCCTGTCTCAAAAAGAAAAGTCTTGCTGTAACTTTTTTTTGAGACAGAGTCTCACTCTGTTGCCCAGGCTGGAGTGCAGTGGTACAATCTCAGCTCACTGCAAACTCCACCTCCGAGTAGCTGGGATTACAGGTGCCCGCCCCCACACCTGACTAATTTTTGTATTTTTAGTAGAGACGGGGTTTCACCGTGTTGCTCAGGCTGGTCTCAAACTCCTGGCCTCGGGTGATCCGCCCACCTCGGCCTCCCAAAGTGCCGGGATTACAGGCGCGAGCCACCACGCCCGGCCACTTTACATCTTCAAACTCTGTCCCGGTGAAACATTTCCTGCTCATCCTGTCCCCAGCCCCTGGCACCCACCCCCATCCTACTTTCTGTCTCTGTGAATCTGATGGAGCTAGGGACATCCTAGGAGTGGAATCACACAGGATTTGTCATTTTATGCCTGGCGTCTCCCACTGAGCGTGACATCCTCAAGGTGCACCTACGCCATAGTCTGTTTGTTTCAGAGCCTCATTCCTTTTGAGACAGACAGGGTCTTGCTCTGTTGCCCATGCTGGAGTGCAGTGGCGCCATCTCGGCTCACTGCAACCTCTGCCTCCCGGGTTTAAGCGATTCTCCTGCCTCAGCCTCCCAAAGTGCTGGAGTTGCAGGCAGAAGGAGCCACCACACCCGGCCAAAGCCTGGCTCCCTTCTGAGGCTGCGTGACATCCCATCGTGTGCACAGGGCACGCTGGGCTGACCCACTTGTCCTCCTATGGATGCTCTAGCTGCCCCCCACTCCTGGCTCTGTGAATCGTGCTGTGGTGAACCTGGATGTACGCGTTTCAGGCTGGAAGTTTTCTGAGATATGTCCCTAACTCACTTCCCCAAAGGGTGTCTCCACTGACCCACTCCTGCTCTGAGAACAGTCACATTTGCCTCTGTTGTCTTTGAAGAGGGAGAAAAGTGTTTTGGTGACAAGTCCTCCTCTCCCTCTGACTCACAGGCGCCATCTCCCCGTTGATTTCCCCCTTTTGTAATGGGGAAGCGGGGCGAGTGAAGAGGGTGGGTGTGGCCGTCACCCATCCCTACAGCCCTGTCTGTGCTGGGGATGCTGCTCTCCATCTGATGGTCTTGGGGTGTATTATTAGAGGACTCAGGGGGCCTTCCCCGAGGCACCTATCAAACAGGGCAGGGAAGAACATTCCAGGCTGAGGGAACAACAGGTGCAGAGGCCCAGTGGCTGGAGGAAGCGTGAGCCAGGACCGAGGGCTGACAGGAGGCGGGGGTGGCAGTCACAGGGCACTGGGGGTACCCCTGTGGGTCTGGCAGCAGGGTGAGGCCATACCGGCTCCTGGAGGAGGTCTCAGACTTGGGCCTGGAAGGGGAACTTGAGGGCAGGTCTGGGGCATAGGGAGGGCCTCTGGGCAAGGGAGTGAGGTGGGGCGCTGGGCAGCAGGCAGGGTCATCCCTGCCACCCACCAACCTTGTTGGGTCCTCACAGGTGGGCTGCAGGCCGTGGCAGAGCTGCTGCAGGTTGACTATGAGATGCACAAGATGACCCGGGACCCGCTGAACCTGGCGCTGCGCCGCTACGCGGGCATGACCCTCACCAACCTCACCTTTGGGGACGTTGCCAACAAGGTGCCCGGGGGCAGTGGGTGGGCTGGCACTTTCCTCATCCAGTCTTCCAGGGACTGAGCCTCCTTCCAACTCATCCCAGCCTCGAAACAGCCCTGAGAGCTGGGGCCACTTGTCCCCAACTTACAGACGGGTAGACTGAGGCCCAGAGAGTGCGGTGTGGGGGGACGGGAGCGCGTGCTGAACCTCCCCACCTGGCGGTGTCCTCACGCCCACCCTGTTGCTGCCTCTGCAGAAAATGGCCCTCATTGTAGAGGGGGCCTCAGGGCCCCGAGGCTGGGTGTCTGCCCCTGTCTGGGCCTCAGTTTCCCGACCTGAGCATGGGGTAACCGTCCCCGGTAGTGGTCAGGATCAGCAGGGGTCTGAGTTTGCAGCTGCAGCACACAGACGGGGCTGGGAGGTGAGGGGCACAGTCTCCCTTGTGTCCCAACCCCGTGACCCCGGCTGCATAACCCCCAACAGGCCACCCTGTGTGCGCGCCGCGGCTGCATGGAGGCCATCGTGGCCCAGCTGGCCTCCGACAGTGAGGAGCTCCACCAGGTACAGGGCGGGGTGCTGGGAAAGCCTTCCAGGGTGTCCCTGATAGGCAGAGGCCCCTCCCCAGCGGTGTGGTGGGCTGGCAGGGGTGTCCCGTCCGACTCTCTGCAGACTCACATTTGCTGGGGGGTTTGGGGGGCCTGGACCCTAGTCCCACCACACTTGCCCCTCACCCCACCCAGGTGGTGTCCAGCATCCTTCGGAACTTGTCCTGGAGGGCCGACATCAACAGCAAGAAGGTGCTGAGGGAGGCGGGCAGCGTGACTGCCCTGGTGCAGTGTGTCCTGCGGGCCACCAAGGTGGGCACCCGGTGGGCGGCAGGGATGCTTCTTCAGTCACTGGAAGGAGACTGCTGGCGGCAGCGGGCGAGCTCTCCGACTTGGGAGGAAATCAAGTTGAACAGCTCACTGCTTAGCGGGTGGTCCAGCCTCAGACCGGCTGGGGCTCACTCCTCATGTCACTGCTCTTTGAAAGCAAATGTGGGCTGGGCGCCGTGGCTCACTTGAGGTCAGGAGTTCGAGACCAGCCTGGCCAACATGGTCAGACCCCATCTCTACTAAAAAAAACAGCCAGGCGTGGCAGCGGGCGCCTGTTAGTCCAGCTACTCGGGAGGCTGAGGCAGGAGAATCACTTGAACCTAGGAGGCGGAGGTTGCGCCACTGCATTCCAGCCTGGGCCACAGAGCAAGACTGCGTCTCAAAAAAACAACCTCACTGGGCCGGGCGCGGTGGCTCTTGCCTGTAATCCCAGCACTTTGGGAGGCCGAGGCGGGCGGATCACAAGGTCAGGAGATCGAGACCATCCTGGCTAACACGGTGAAACCCCGTCTCTACTAAAAATACAAAAAATTAGCCGGGCGTGGTGGCGGGTGTCTGTAGTCCCAGCTACTCCGGAGGCTGAGGCAGGAGAATCGCTTGAACTGGGGAGTCGGAGCCTGCAGTGAGTCGAGATCTCGCCACTGCACTCCAGCCTGGGGGAGAGAGTGAGATTCCGTCTCAAAAAAAAAAAACAAAAAACAAAAAAACCCAACTTCACTGAATGTGAGCGTGGGAGCCTTTCCTCCGGGCCACTCAGGCCCTGACCCGCCCCTCTCCCGCCCCTCGTCCAGGAGTCCACCCTGAAGAGCGTGCTGAGCGCCCTGTGGAATCTGTCTGCACACAGCACAGAGAACAAGGCGGCCATCTGCCAGGTGGATGGCGCCCTGGGCTTCCTGGTGAGCACCCTGACCTACAAGTGTCAGAGCAACTCGCTGGCCATCATCGAGAGCGGCGGCGGCATCCTCCGCAATGTGTCCAGCCTCGTCGCCACCCGTGAGGACTACAGGTCGGCCCCCACCCCCCCACCCGCACACAGGCAGCTGCGCTCGGGGCGGGCACAGGGCTGGGCTGGGCACTGTCCTCCCGTGAATGCATGCTCCCAAGGCTTCCCCAGGGGCTGCTGTTTGCAGCATAAATACGTCCCAAATACTGCGTGAGATATACTAAAATGCAGACCTATTTATTACATTAAAATTACTTCAGGCCAGGTGCAGTGGCTCATGCCTGTAATCCCAGCACTTTGGGAGGCCGAGGCAGGCAGATCACCTGAGGTTGGGAGTTCAAGACCAGCCTGACCAACATGGAGAAAGCCTGTCCCTACTAAAAATATAAAATTAGCCAGGTGTGGTGGCGGGCACCTGTAATCCCAGCTACTCGGGAGGCTGAGGCAGAAGAATCGTTTGAACCCAGGAGGCAGAGGTTGCGGTGAGCTGAGATTGTGCCACTGCACTCCAGTCTGGGCAACAAGAGCGAAACTTCATCTCAAAAAAAAAAAAAAAAAAAAAAAAAATTCAGGCAGCCAGGCGCAGTGGCTCACACCTGTAATCCCAGCACTTTGGGAGGCCGAGGCGGGCGGATCACGAGGTCAGGAGATCGAGACCATCCTGCCTAACACGGTGAAACCCCCATCTCTACTAAAAATACAAAAAATTAGCTGGGCATGGTGGTGGGTGCCTGTAGTCCCAGCTACTCAGGAGGCTGAGACAGGAGAATGGCATGAACCCGGGAGGCGGAGCTTGCAGTGAGCTGAGATTGTGCCACTGCACTCCAGATTGGGCGACAGAGCAAGATTCCGTCTTAAAAAAAAAAAAAAATTACTTCAGGCTGGGCTCGGTCCCTCACACCTGGAATCCCAGCACTTTGGGAGGCCGAGGTGGGCGGATCACCTGAGGTTGGGAGTTCAAGATCAGCCTGACCAACATGGAGAAACCCTGTCTCTACTAAAAAATATAAAATTAGCCAGGTGTGGGCCGGGCGTGGTGGCTCACACCTGTAATCCCACTTTGGGAGGCCGAGATGGGCAGGTCACAAAGTCAGGAGATCCAGACCATCCTGGCTAACATGGTGAACCCCGTCTCTACTGCAAATACAAAAAAAATAGCCAGGCATGGTGGCGGGCACCTGTGGTCCCAGCTACTCGGGAGACTGAAGCAGGAAAATGGCGTGAACCCGGGAGGCGGAGGCTGCAGTGAGGTGAGATCACACCACTGCATTCCAGCCTGGGCGACAGAGGGGACTCTGTCTCAAAAAAAAAAAAAAAAATTAACCAGGTGTGGTGGCTCATGCCTGTAATTCCAGCTACTCGGGAGGCTGAGGCAGGAGAATTGCTTGAGTCTGGGAGGCGGAGGTTGCAGTGTGCCAGGATAAGGCCATTGCACACCAGCCTGGGCAACAAGAGCAAAACTGTCTCAAAAAAAAAAAAAAAAGAAAAATTAGCTTGGCTTGGCGTCCACATGTAGTTCCAGCTACTTAGGAGGCTGAGGTGGAAGAATCACTTGACAATAGGAGGTTGAGGCTGCAGTGACCTGTGATCACGCTACTGCACTCCAGCCTGGGTGATGGGAGTGAGACCCTGTCTCAATTTTATTTTAAATCATATTAATATAACTGTCTTCATTAAAATATTTAAACAATAGAGAATACTTATTTATAAAAATAAATAATATTTTTAATTGAAGTACATCTCAAATACACATCGGATATACTAAAAATTAACTTATTGGCTGGGCGCGGTGGCTCACGCCTGTAATCCCAGCACTTTGGGAGGCCGAGGTGGGCGGATCACCTGAGGTCAGGAGTTTGAGACCAGCCCAGCCAACATGGTGAAACTCCGTCTCTAATAAAAATACAAAAATTAGCCAGTGGGGTGGTGGACGCCTGTAATCCCAGCACTTTGGCAGGCCGAGGTAGGTGGATCACCTGAGGTCAGGAGTTTGAGACCAGCCTAGCCAACATGGTGAAACTCCGTCTCTACTAAAAATATAAAAATTAGCCAGGCGGGGTGGTGGGTGCCTGTAATCCCACCTACTTGGGAGGCTAAGGCAGGAGACTCGCTTGAACCCAGGAGGTGGAGGTTGCAGTGAGCGGAGATCATGCCACTGCACTCCAGCCTGGGTAACAAGAGTGAAACTCCATCTCAGAAAAAAAAAAATTATTAAAATAAAAATGTTGTTAAATAAGAAATATTAAAATAAAAATATTTACATGTTATTTATGAAAACACAAAATATTATTTTTACCTGGTCATCGTGGCTCACGCCTGTAATCCCAGCCCTTTGGGAGGCTGAGGCGGTTAGATTGCTTGAGCCCAGGAGTTGGAGGCTGCAGTGAGCCATGATTGCACCACTGCACTCCAGGCTGTACGACAGAGCGAAACTTTCTCTCAGAAAAGATAGATATAGACAGAATCTATCTAAGTATACCCCAGATACCACATAGGATATGTGCATGCTGTTTTTTCCTTTTTTTTTTTTTTTTTTTGAGATGGATTCTTGGTCTCTTGCCAGGCTGGAGTGCAGTGGCGCGATCTCGGCTCACTGCAGCCTCTACCTCCCGGGTTCAAGCAGTGCTCGTGCCTCGGCCTCCCGGGTGGCTGGGATTACAGGTGCTCGCCACCACACCCAGCTAATTTTTGTATTTTTAAGAGAGAGAGGGTTTCACCATGTTGGCCAGGATGGTCTCGATCTCCTGACCTCAGGGGATCCACCCCACTTGGCCTACCAAAGTACTGGGATTACAGGTGTGATCCACTGCACCCGGCCTACCTTTTTTTTTTTTTTAACTCCATCTCAAAAAAATAAAAATAAAATAATTTAGTCTCTGTCATGCAATCTTTGGGATATACTTATACCAAAAATTAGTCTTTCCAAGATCCAAACCTAACCAGATGCGTTTACTTTTACCTGCCACATCTGGCCCCCCCATCCTTCGGTGGGCAGGGGAGGGTGGGGGGTGGCCCAGGCTAACCCGCCCTGTGCCTACAGGCAGGTGCTCCGGGATCACAACTGTCTGCAGACGCTGCTGCAGCATCTGACTTCGCACAGCCTGACCATCGTGAGCAACGCGTGCGGCACGCTCTGGAACCTGTCGGCCCGCAGCGCCCGTGACCAGGAGCTGCTGTGGGACCTGGGCGCCGTGGGCATGCTGCGTAATCTGGTGCACTCCAAGCACAAGATGATCGCCATGGGCAGCGCCGCCGCCCTGCGCAACCTGCTGGCCCATCGGCCCGCCAAGCACCAGGCGGCCGCCACCGCCGTGTCCCCAGGCAGCTGCGTGCCCAGCCTGTACGTGCGCAAGCAGCGGGCGCTGGAGGCCGAGCTGGACGCACGGCACCTCGCGCAGGCGCTGGAGCACCTGGAGAAGCAGGGCCCGCCGGCAGCCGAGGCCGCCACTAAGAAGCCGCTGCCGCCCCTGCGACACCTGGACGGCCTGGCCCAAGACTATGCTTCCGATTCGGGCTGCTTTGACGACGACGATGCACCGTCATCCCTGGCTGCGGCCGCGGCCACCGGGGAGCCAGCCAGCCCTGCCGCGCTGTCCCTCTTCCTGGGCAGCCCCTTCCTGCAGGGGCAGGCGCTGGCTCGCACCCCGCCCACCCGCCGAGGCGGCAAGGAGGCAGAGAAGGACACCAGTGGGGAGGCAGCCGTGGCGGCCAAGGCCAAGGCCAAGCTGGCGCTTGCAGTGGCGCGCATCGACCAGCTGGTGGAGGACATCTCCGCCCTGCACACCTCGTCCGACGATAGCTTCAGCCTCAGCTCTGGAGACCCGGGACAGGAGGCGCCACGGGAGGGCCGCGCCCAGTCCTGCTCGCCATGCCGCGGCCCGGAGGGCGGGCGGCGAGAGGCAGGAAGCCGGGCGCACCCGCTGCTGCGGCTCAAGGCGGCCCACGCCAGCCTCTCCAACGACAGCCTCAACAGCGGCAGTGCCAGCGACGGGTACTGCCCACGCGAACATATGCTGCCCTGCCCGCTGGCCGCACTGGCTTCGCGCCGCGAGGACCCCAGGTGTGGGCAGCCTCGGCCCAGCCGGCTTGACCTTGACCTGCCCGGCTGCCAGGCCGAGCCCCCGGCCCGCGAGGCCACCTCCGCCGACGCCCGCGTGCGCACCATCAAGCTGTCGCCTACCTATCAGCACGTGCCACTGCTTGAGGGTGCCTCAAGGGCGGGTGCAGAGCCCCTCGCGGGGCCTGGAATCTCTCCAGGGGCCCGGAAGCAGGCCTGGCTGCCGGCAGACCACCTGAGCAAGGTTCCCGAGAAGCTGGCGGCTGCCCCGCTGTCTGTGGCCAGCAAGGCACTGCAGAAACTGGCGGCGCAAGAGGGGCCACTCTCGCTGTCCCGATGCAGCTCCCTTTCCTCGCTGTCCTCGGCCGGCCGCCCAGGCCCCAGCGAGGGTGGTGACCTGGATGACAGTGACTCCTCCCTGGAGGGGCTGGAGGAGGCCGGCCCCAGCGAGGCTGAGCTGGACAGCACGTGGCGGGCGCCCGGGGCCACCTCGCTGCCCGTAGCCATTCCGGCTCCCCGGCGTAACCGAGGCCGGGGCCTGGGGGTGGAAGACGCCACGCCGTCCAGCTCGTCGGAGAACTACGTGCAGGAGACACCGCTTGTGCTGAGCCGCTGCAGCTCTGTGAGCTCGCTGGGCAGCTTCGAGAGCCCGTCCATCGCCAGCTCCATCCCCAGTGAACCTTGCAGCGGGCAGGGCAGCGGCACCATCAGCCCTAGCGAGCTGCCCGACAGCCCCGGACAGACCATGCCTCCCAGCCGGAGCAAGACGCCACCGCTGGCGCCCGCGCCACAGGGTCCCCCCGAGGCCACCCAGTTCAGCCTGCAGTGGGAGAGCTACGTGAAGCGCTTCCTGGACATCGCCGACTGCCGGGAGCGCTGCCGGCTGCCATCTGAGCTGGACGCAGGCAGCGTGCGCTTTACCGTGGAGAAGCCAGACGAGAACTTCTCGTGCGCCTCCAGCCTCAGCGCGCTGGCCTTGCACGAGCACTACGTGCAGCAGGACGTGGAGCTGCGGCTGCTGCCCTCGGCCTGCCCCGAGCGCGGCGGGGGCGCCGGGGGCGCCGGCCTCCACTTTGCAGGGCACCGGCGGCGGGAGGAGGGGCCGGCGCCCACGGGTTCTCGCCCTCGCGGCGCCGCGGACCAGGAGCTGGAACTGCTGCGGGAGTGCCTGGGAGCCGCCGTGCCTGCCCGGCTGCGCAAGGTGGCCTCCGCGCTGGTGCCAGGTCGCCGCGCACTCCCCGTGCCCGTCTACATGTTGGTGCCCGCCCCGGCCCCGGCCCAGGAGGACGACTCCTGCACTGACTCCGCGGAGGGCACGCCGGTCAACTTCTCTAGCGCCGCCTCGCTCAGCGACGAGACGCTGCAGGGACCCCCCAGGGACCAGCCCGGGGGACCAGCGGGCAGGCAAAGACCCACCGGCCGCCCCACCTCTGCCAGACAGGCCATGGGGCACCGGCACAAGGCGGGAGGCGCCGGCCGCAGCGCGGAGCAGTCTCGGGGCGCGGGCAAGAACAGAGCAGGGCTGGAGCTGCCCCTGGGCCGGCCCCCGAGCGCCCCCGCAGACAAGGACGGCTCAAAGCCCGGCCGGACCCGCGGGGACGGGGCGCTCCAGTCGCTGTGCCTCACGACGCCCACTGAGGAGGCCGTGTACTGCTTCTACGGCAACGACTCGGACGAGGAGCCCCCGGCGGCCGCGCCCACGCCAACCCACCGGCGCACATCGGCCATCCCTCGCGCTTTTACGCGGGAGCGTCCGCAGGGCCGGAAGGAGGCCCCTGCCCCGTCCAAGGCTGCACCAGCTGCCCCGCCGCCCGCCCGGACCCAGCCCAGCCTCATTGCTGACGAGACCCCGCCCTGCTACTCCCTGAGCTCCTCCGCCAGCTCCCTCAGCGAGCCCGAGCCCTCGGAGCCGCCGGCCGTCCATCCACGAGGCCGGGAGCCCGCGGTCACCAAGGACCCGGGCCCAGGAGGCGGACGCGACAGCTCGCCCAGCCCGCGGGCCGCGGAGGAGCTTCTGCAGCGGTGCATCAGCTCGGCCCTGCCCAGGCGCCGGCCCCCCGTGTCTGGCCTGCGGCGCCGCAAGCCCCGAGCCACCCGGCTGGATGAGCGGCCCGCAGAGGGGTCCCGGGAACGCGGCGAGGAGGCAGCGGGCTCGGACCGGGCCTCCGACCTGGATAGCGTGGAGTGGCGCGCCATCCAGGAGGGCGCCAATTCAATTGTCACGTGGCTGCACCAGGCAGCAGCTGCCACGCGGGAGGCCTCGTCCGAGTCCGACTCCATCCTGTCCTTCGTATCCGGGCTGTCAGTGGGATCCACCCTACAGCCCCCCAAGCACAGGAAGGGACGACAGGCGGAGGGAGAAATGGGCAGTGCCCGGCGGCCAGAGAAAAGGGGCGCAGCCTCAGTCAAGACCAGCGGGAGCCCCCGTTCCCCTGCAGGCCCCGAGAAGCCACGTGGCACACAGAAGACCACGCCCGGGGTGCCAGCTGTGCTCCGGGGACGAACAGTGATCTACGTCCCCAGCCCGGCACCCCGTGCCCAGCCCAAAGGGACCCCCGGCCCCCGCGCCACACCGCGGAAGGTGGCGCCCCCTTGCCTGGCACAGCCCGCGGCTCCAGCCAAAGTCCCGAGCCCCGGGCAGCAGCGGTCGCGGAGCCTACACCGGCCTGCCAAGACCTCGGAGCTGGCGACGCTGAGCCAGCCCCCCAGAAGCGCCACACCGCCCGCCCGCCTCGCCAAGACCCCCTCCTCCAGCTCCTCCCAGACCTCGCCCGCCTCCCAGCCCCTGCCCAGAAAGCGCCCCCCGGTCACCCAGGCTGCTGGGGCCCTGCCCGGCCCCGGAGCCTCCCCGGTGCCCAAAACGCCGGCGCGCACCCTTCTGGCGAAGCAGCACAAGACGCAGAGATCGCCCGTGCGGATCCCGTTCATGCAGAGGCCGGCCCGGCGTGGGCCGCCACCGCTGGCTCGGGCAGTCCCGGAGCCGGGCCCCAGGGGCCGGGCGGGGACCGAGGCGGGCCCGGGGGCGCGCGGGGGCCGCCTGGGCCTGGTGCGTGTGGCCTCAGCCCTCTCCAGCGGCAGCGAGTCCTCCGACCGCTCGGGCTTCCGGCGACAGCTAACCTTCATCAAGGAGTCGCCGGGCTTGCGGCGCCGCCGCTCCGAGCTGTCCTCGGCCGAGTCCGCGGCCTCTGCCCCCCAGGGCGCCTCGCCCCGCCGCGGCCGGCCCGCGCTGCCCGCCGTCTTCCTCTGCTCCTCGCGCTGCGAAGAGCTCCGAGCGGCACCCCGGCAGGGCCCGGCCCCGGCCCGGCAGCGGCCCCCCGCGGCCCGACCCAGCCCTGGCGAGCGCCCTGCCCGGCGCACCACCTCCGAGAGCCCGTCCCGCCTGCCTGTGCGCGCGCCCGCCGCCCGGCCGGAGACTGTCAAGCGCTACGCGTCGCTGCCGCACATCAGCGTGGCCCGCAGGCCCGACGGCGCCGTCCCCGCGGCCCCTGCCTCAGCCGACGCCGCGCGCCGCAGCAGCGACGGGGAGCCCCGGCCGCTCCCCAGGGTGGCCGCGCCGGGCACGACCTGGCGGCGCATCCGAGATGAGGACGTGCCCCACATCCTGCGCAGCACGCTTCCCGCCACGGCCCTGCCACTGCGGGGCTCCACGCCCGAGGACGCCCCGGCCGGGCCCCCGCCGCGCAAGACCAGCGACGCCGTGGTCCAGACCGAGGAGGTCGCCGCCCCCAAGACCAACTCCAGCACGTCCCCGAGCCTGGAGACCAGGGAGCCCCCCGGGGCCCCCGCCGGCGGCCAGCTCTCCCTCCTCGGCAGCGACGTGGACGGTCCCAGCCTCGCCAAGGCTCCCATCTCCGCACCCTTCGTGCACGAGGGCCTGGGGGTCGCCGTGGGGGGCTTCCCCGCCAGCCGGCACGGCTCCCCCAGCCGCTCGGCCCGAGTACCCCCCTTCAACTATGTGCCCAGCCCCATGGTGGTCGCAGCCACCACCGACTCGGCCGCGGAGAAAGCCCCGGCCACTGCCTCCGCCACCCTCCTGGAATAGTGGCCTAGGCCGGCCTTCTGGAACGTTCTCTCCCGGCCCTGCGGCGCGGTCTGGCTGCCCCATGGGCCTGCGCTGTAGACGTCCCCCATAGGTCGCCCCAGGGCCTCTGCCCACCCGAGCCCCACCACTCTCAGAACCCCCGCCCAGCGCACGGCGACCTCGCGCCTCACCGGAAGACCTTGCCTCTGTGCCGCGGAGGTCCAGGAGGAAACGGGGCGGCCGCTAGGCCTCAAGTCCCGACCGTGGAGCGCTGGCAAGGGCGTCCTGGCCCAGCCCTGAGCGCGCGGCCCTTCCCCTGTCGGAAGCCGTTGCTTGACCCCGGGCGAGGGAGGCGGTAGCCTCCGGGTCCGGGTCTGGGTCTGGGTCCGCTGCTTCGCAGGGACAGCGCTGGGGAGGTGACGGCGCCCGCCGCAGGTGGGGCGAGGCTGGGGGAGGGCGGCGCCGCGGCGGGCCTGCCAGCTGGGGGCCTTTGCGGCGCGCAGGGGCGAAGCCTGTAATCACTGCAGCCGCCGGTAATTCGCTAATGAGGGCTTTGCAGGGATTGTTTTCATTCTCAGCCCCAGCTGTGGGAGTGCGGGTGGGGGTGTGGCCGAGCCCCGGCAGGAAGCCCCGCCCAGACGGTGTTCAGGGAACCCGGAGCCCAAGCGCTCCGGCGGAGCCCAAAAGGGTGGGGGTGGGAGGGGCAGAGGCCAACGGATCCCCCTGCCTGTCGCACCCCTTGGCGGGAGACGGGAAGGCAGCGGGCTGCGTACGATGGGACCCTGGTGCAGACGCCGGGCCGGCTGACATTTGGACCCCATCCCAGAGGAGATGCTGGCTACCAGCTGGGGCGACCCCAAGGGTCGCTGGAGTCAGTATCGGCCCGGCGCAGCCGCGGCGGGCGAGGCCAATGGAAAGGAGACTGAGGGGAGTCCCGGCAGTGAGCCCGAGGCCCTGGGACCTGGAGCCCGCGCTGGCCTCTCCCCAGCGGAGCCTGCACGTTACGGAGACCATCACATGTGGGCGTGGTCAGTGCCCAGGACCGCACCGCTGCTCATCTTGTCCCTTTTCAATTCCCTTCTGGTTCATGATGCATAAAGCGCTAGGCCCTAGAACTCCAGAAACAGCACAGCTGGGGCGGGGACCCAGCCTTGCCCTCCACCCGAGGCTCTGGGACAAGGCGGGAGGTTCGGGGGCCTTCCGGCAGGTGAACGCAGGGCTGGAGAGTATTTGGTGCCAGATGAGGTGAAAGCTTATAGAAGGGCCTGAGGGGCTCGGCTGCCTCATCCCCTGGCGGGGGAGGCTGGGAGCTGGGCCTCCTGCGTGGGGTGGGACTCGCAGGGGCCGGGTCTCCGTGACTGGGGCAACGCCTCGTCCTGCAGAGGGAGCCGACGACCTCTTTTCTGCAGAAAAGCTCCAGCAGGCGCTGCCTTCACCCACGGATCTGCCCAGGCTGAAGGCACACGCTCAATGCCCCACGTGCCTTCTCCAGGAGGAACGAAGCAGGGTTTGAGGGTTGGGTGGATGGAGCTCAGAAGGAAACCCCAGCCCCACCACGGATGACACCATCCCTCCCGTCCCATCCCCAGCATGGGCAAGGCCAGCCTTTCTGGCAGAAGGAGCTGTCCTCAACTCAGGGCCGCTGTGAGCAAAGCTGACCCCAGCCCCCACCCCCAGTTAACACTGCTGCTTCTCTGAATGCATGTCACGCTGCACCCCATGCTCCGGGCCCACACCCTGCAGGACAAGGAGCTCCAGACAGGACGTCCATAAGTCACCGAGGTGTGCCACCCAGCAGGTGCTGGAGGTGCCCAATGCTCCCTCCTAGGACCTCGCAGCCAGGCAAGGCTGTCAGGTTGTTTTGGGGGAAGAGGGGGTCATGGATGGCTGAGCAGAGAGCGGGGAAAATGCAGGCTGAGTGGGGCGACCTCCTGCCTGCCAGGAGCCCCCTTTCAGGACACAGCGGGGGTCTCACACTTGCTGTCCCCATCCATGGCCCGAGGGGGAACCTGGTGGTCTCTTCTGAGCTTTTGGACTTGGGGATGCCAAACACGTGCTCACCCTCACACTCGCCCCGGCCCGCTGCGCCCCTAATTGCCAAAGGGTAGGGAAATGGCGAAGCCAGCCACCAGGTCGCTGGTGACAGGGCCAGGGTTATGCAGGAAGGTGGTGCGGCATTGCCTTCCACATATGTAAGTCTCTGGGCGGCGCCCTCCCAGCTCCCTGCCTCTGTTTCCCCATGTGGGCCGTGGGGAACTCCCAGAGCTACCTCTTGGGGGAGCGTGGTGGCAGCGATGATGGGGAGACGCCTGGAAGCTCACAGAACTTGGGTCTGGCTGGCTCCTGCCCGTGACGCCTTGCCCAGCAGCAAGGTGCGCAACATGGCTGCCAGCCCCGCCTCCCACCCCCACCCCGAGTCCTGAGCTCACTTTCGCCTTCTCCATCCCCTGCCGTGGGGGCCACAGCCACACCTCACCGCCCAGTCCAGCTGTCTCCAGAAGGGGACAGGCAGTCCGCGGTCTCTGGACAATCAACTCAAGGTACGCCCACTGCAAGGCCTCCCTCCCACCGCGGCCCCTGCCTGGCCACCTGGCCTCTCTGCACCAGGGTGACAAGGGGTCCTCGTCTGCCCCCCAATGCTCCAGGGCCAGTCCTAAGGAGCTGAGGGTCTGAGGACGCAGGGAGGGTGGAGGTGTCCTGAGGCTGATGGACAGTGACCGCCACTGGCCCCCAACATGACCACACGTGGGTGCTGAACTCGGGGCGCCGTGCCCACCGGCATGGTCCTCCCGAGCTCCGACAGCATTACCTCACCCGGCCCCATCTGTTGCCCCGGTCCAGCCCTGATGGCGCGCGCCTGGTCTGTCTGATTCCCCTAGCCGCCACCCCACGTTTCTGTACCGGGTCTCTGCAGTGTTAAACGGACGTGTAAATAGTGGTAAATAGTGAAAGCCTGTCCTTCCCTAAATGTAAAGCCATCTGTCCGGCGTAAGGACGACACCGTCAGCTGTCCGACTCGCACACATTTAATAAACTGAGCTCTTGCATTGCCTGCCGCCATCACCTCTTCCTCAAAATGGGCTGTGGGCGGGTAGGTTCATCGCTGTCTATGTGCTGCCACAGAATTGCTGAGACCCCCCAGGTTAGATCCCTGGAAGCAGAGCCAGAAAGCAGAAACTGGGGGCACAGGGTTTGTGGGCACCCCACCCAGATGGGCCGGGGAGGCACTGGCTGAGGCCAGGAGTCTCCCCCTGGTCCCAAGGGAGGGCAGGCTCCAGGGGGTGCACAGCACCCCAGACAGGGGGTCCAACCTGGGCATTGGTACCTGGGCCAGTTATTATGGCAGGCCCCAGTGTGGGGCAGGAGGCACCCATGAGCCACTAGGAGCTGTGGCTGGTGCAACAGCTGGGATGGGGCAGCCACAGCAGCCACTACCGGGGAGAGTCAATGGTGGACAGGGGCTGCGGGAGCTGGGACGGCCCCACGTCAAAGCCACTTCAGGGAGCACAGCCCTGGCCCAGCTGGGGGGACAAGGAAAGCTATGACTGCAAGCAGCACAGAAGTGCAGGGTGGGAAGGGATGGCAGGAGCCGGCCCCCTCCCCACCTTCCACCCTGGGACACTGCCGGGACCTCCCTCGGCCAGGTGAGCAGCTTCAGAAGCATGACCAGTGAGAAGTCCCTAGGGCCCAGGCCGGGCTAGCCAAGTCCCAGTTTCTGGATGAGGCGCCTCCCAGGCTGTGTGTGGCAGGCCCCCTTTCTTCAGGGAATAAGAAACATCTTCCACATTCAAGAAACAAAGCTGGCTGTGGGTCTGGAGAGAGGGTGAGGCAGCCCCAGGTCTCTGGGTCAGGCGGACGGTCCCTGCATGCAGTGCCCGGCAGGACTGAGCAGGGTTCCCGGGGTCGCCGGTACCCATCCCTCCCCAGCTTCCGGGGCCCCGGGACGGAGCCGCTCACAGAGGCACCATTCAGACGGCCAGACACACACGAAAGCTTTATGTGCAGGGCCCAGCCTCTGGGCCGCCTTGCCCAGGTTTCCACTCAAGTTGCTATTTAGGATGAAAAGCCTTTGGCAAGACCCTCCGCCGCACTAACGCCCCCTCCCCCAGGGCCAGAACCCGCAGGGAAGCAGGCCCAGGACCTGCTGCAGCTGGCAGGGTGGCTATGAGACTCAGGACACCCTGGGCTCCTGGCCAGTGACTCACAGCGGTCCTCCAGCAAGGGCAGTGGCTGGGAGACACCCGTGCCGTGGAGCTAGGCCCAGCCTGGCTGGGTCTCAGGGCTGCTTCTCTTGGGTGACCCCAGCGGCCCAGGGTCGTTGTGAAGATCAACGTGGCTTGTGGGAGGAGCCCGGGGCCCAGAAGGAAGTGGGGTCAGGGGCTCAGGCTGGCCCTCGGGCTGCTCTGACATTGGGTGGGCACTCGCTGGATGGAATCACAGTTAACACCTCGATCCCAACACCTGGACTCAGAAGTGGACAGGCGAGTGCCTGCCCCGGGAGAGGAAGGAGGTGGCACCTGCTCCCAGGGGCCCCACTGCAGAGCACGGCCACTGTGAGCTGACGACAGAATCACAGTACAGCAATAATGTCCCTATCCTCTTCCAGAACCCCAGTGGGGCCCTCAGGTCACGCAGGACGGAGCCAGCTGGGTGGGTCCCACCAACTCGGCATGAATGAGACGACGGATGAACCGCAGCCCCAGCATCAGGAGGGGCGCCTGTGTCAACACCCACGTGGGCTGGGACCCCGTGAATGCCAGTCTGGGGCCGACGGACCCCCAGGGAAAGCCTGGGTGCAGGCCACCTTGTGCGCTGCCCAAGCCTGCAGGCCCCGAGAGGTCAGCCTGAGGAGGCAGCCTCGGCTGCCGGTAATGCTGCCTGCTTCATCTGGGCCACCTCCCGCTCCAGGTCCTCGCCGGCTCGCTGCAGGAGCTCACACCTCTGCCTCAGCACGTTGCCCGCCTGCTGCAGCCGCTGGTTGGCAGCCACGTAGGCCCGGCTTTGCTGGTAGAGCTGCTCTCCCGGGGCCTCCGCATCCTCCATCATCCTGAAGGGAACTGGGGGGTCTGAGACAGGACACAGCAGCATCACTGCCTGCTGACCACCCCATCCTCCTGGGCACCCCTCACTACTGCCCCCAAAGGGCAGGGTTCCCTGCAGTCCCCGAGTGAGCTTGCCAGCCGGGGTCTTCTTAACATGACGGATGCAGCCAGGTGTGGTGGCTCACGCCTGTAATCCAGCACTTTGGGAGGCCGAGGCGGGAGGAACACTTGAGCCCAAGAGTTAGAGACCAGCCTGGACAACATAGTGACACCCCCATCTCTACCAAAAAATACAAATACAAAAATTAGCTGGGCGTGGTAGCACGCATCTGTGGTCCCTACTTCTCTGGAGGCAGAGGCAGGAGGATCGCTTGAGACTGGGAGGCCGAGGCTGCAATAAGCTATGATCGTGCCACGGTACTCCAGCCTGGGTGACAGAATGAGACCCTGTCTCAAAAATAAATAAAAACAAAAATCAAGTAATGGAGGCTTCCTCGTCCATCAGCTGGGAGAGGCACAGTGGCTGGGTGGCAGGAGGGGCTTCCAGCTCTAGGCTACCCGCCTTAGCAAAGCGTGTGACCAGGGGGATCGGGTCACAGAAAGAGCTCAAGCCTCGCCAGCAGTGGCCCTCCTGGGGGCGGGGCTTCCATTCCTGCAAAAGCCGTGGCACCCACCGGGATGGACTCCACTGAGCTGGCCTGGCTCTCATTCCTGCTGTCTCTGGAAGCCAGAGACGCAACAAGCCCGCCACCGAAAACCTCTCCAGGGGCCGTGCAACCTCCTGGAGCACACACTTAGGGAGGCAGGGGTGGCGAAGGTGAGAGGTGGGCATTGACGTCCTGGTGACTCCCACATTCAGCAGAAACTACGTATGGCTCCCTGCTCCCCCACGTATGCAAGCCCAGTGCAGCAGGGCTGAAGCAGCACCGACTTCAGGGTCACTCAGAGAAGCGTCAGGGGCCCCTCGGCTCTGGCCTGCCCCTCGGCAGTGTGGTCTCCCACGGACGAAGGCTCCACGTGCCGCACGGGTCTGGGCTGATCAAATCACCTCTGTCATCACCTGCTTTAGCAACAGGGTGGGAAAGGCCGGGCAGTGCCTGGATGAAGGCACAGGAGGCCCCCTACCTTCTGTGAGCGCCCCCCGTCCCCCGCACAGCGTGCCTCAGTTTCGCCACACTCAACGGCCATGGACCTGAGCCCATGAAGCTCAAACCACGGCCCCAGCACCCTCAGGTGACCGAACTGCATGCTGGGAATAAAACCAACTCATGCACCTTGACCAGTACCGGCCCACAGAACCTTCCAGATGATGCGCACACCTCCCACCGATGCTGGTCCACACCAGCCACCAGCCATGTGTGGCTCCTGGGCACTTGAAATATGTCTAAAGGGAAAACACAACTCAATTTTTCTCTTTTTTTCTTTTTCAGAGACAGGGTCTCACTCTGTCACTCAGGCTGGAGACTCCAACTCCTGGGCGCAAGCAACCCTCCTGCCTCAGCCTCCTGAGTAGCTAAGACCACAGGTGCATGCCACCACACCCAGCTAGTTTGTGTATTTTTGGTAGATATAGGTTTTGCTATGCTGCCAAGGCTGGTCTTGAACTCCTGGCCTCAAGTCATCCTCCTGCCTCAGCCTCCCAAAGTCCTGGGATTACAGGCATGAGCCACTGCACCTGGCCCCAGAATTTTCTAATATTACTTTTTAAAAATGTTCCCTTAGAAATTCACAGTTTCTATCATTCCACATGGCTCATTTTCTTTTTTCTTTTTTTTTTTTGTTTGAGATAGAGTCTTGCTCTGTCACCCAGGCTGGAGTACAGTGGCACGATCTCAGCTCACTGCAACCTCCGCCTCCTGGGTTCAAGCAATTCTCCTGCCTCAGCCTCCCAAGTAGCAGGGATTACAGGCATGCGCCACCATGCCCAGCTAATGTTTTTGTATTCTCAGTAGAGACGGGGTTTCACCATGTTGGCCAGGGTGGCCTTGAACTCCTGACCTCAAATGATCCGCCCACCTCAGCCACCCAAAGTGCTGGGATTACAGGTGTGAGCCACCGCACCTGGCCGATTCATCTTCATTTGTTTCCCGCCAGCCCCAGAACAGCCTGGGGCAGACATTCTTGTTTCTTTTGTTCACTTGTCCATTAGCAGTGCTCTAAGCGCAGAGCCCAGCACACAGGAAGTGCTCAAGAAAAGGATTGTTGAATGAATGAATGAGCCTCATCCAGAACACAAAATTCACCCAACTGCACTGCTGAATCCTTTGGTCTCTGACTAGCTTCCACCTCGTAAATCAGGAGTGGACAAGCTTTCCTGCCAAAGGCTGGAGTCTCTGCTCCCACTACTCAACTCTGCCCTTCTGGTGTGAGAGCAGCCACTAACCGTATGTGAATCATTTGGCTGTGTGCCGTAAACCTTTACTTACCAACACTGAAATCTGAATTTCATACCTCTTTCAGGTGTCAGAAATGTTCTTTTTCACCCACCCCCATTTAAAAATGTGAAGTCCATTCATAGCTCCCAGACCTTAAAAAAACAGCCAGGGGCAGGGTTTGGGGGGCCCTAGCTTACCACCTCTGTTTTACTTTATTTATTTCTATTTATTAATTATTATTATAATTATTGAAACAGAGTCTCACTGTGGTCCAGGCTGGAGTGCAGTTGCGTGATCTCAGCTCACTGCAACCTCCGACTCCCAGGTTCAAGTGATTCTCCTGCCTCAGTCTCCTGAGTGGCTGGGATTACAGGCCCATGCCACCACACCCGGCTAATTTTTGTATTTTTAGTAGAGACAAGGTTCCACCATGTTGGCCAGGCTGGTGTCCAACCTCTGACCTCAAGTGATCCACCCACCTCGGCCTCCCAAAGTGCTGGGATTATAGGCGTGAGCCACCGCACCGGCCACTTATTTATTTTTGAGACACAGTCTGGCTGTGTTGCCTAGGCTGTATCCTCCCACTTTAGCCTCCAAGAAGCTGGGGCTACAAGTGTCCACCACCACACCCAGTAATTTTTTTTTTTTTTTGAGACAGTCTCGCACTGTCACCTGGGCTGGAGTGCAGTGGTGCGATCTCGGCTCACTGCAAACTCTGCATCCCGGGTTCAAGCGATTCTCCTGCCTCAGCCTCCCGAGTAGCTGAGATTACAGGCGCCTGCCACTATGCCCAGCTAACTCTGTTTTGTTTTTGTTTTTGTTTTTGTTTTGTTTTTTCATTTTTAGCAGAGACGGGGTTTCACCATGTTGGCCAGGCTGGTCTCGAACTCCTGGGCTCAAGCGATCCTCCCGCCTCATCCTCCGAAAGTGCTGGGCTTACAGGCCTGAACCACAGCGCCCGGCCTCCACCCCTGTCAGAAGAACCCTCTGAAAATCGGTCCCACTCTACGGAGGAGTAGAGGGAGACTCGGAGAGGATACGGACCGTGCCCATGTTGCGGGGGTTCCCAGGGCGTGGGGTCAGGAGTTAGGGGTGTGCTTCTCTCCCGTCCCCTTGCTGCCGGGGTCTCAGGTCCGCTTTTCCCCGGGACCGGGCTCCCCCTACCTTCCGGGGCCAGGATGGTGAACACTGGATCCTCTGCCGGCGCACCCCGCACATCCTCCAGGATCTGCTCCACCGTGGGGGGCGCTGGGCGGGTGGGCAGCAGCACGCGCTTCTTTGCCTTGGAGCCCATCTCTGAAGGCGGGGAAGGGGGCGCTGACCGGGGCGTCCACCTCTCCGCCCTTGCCCGGGCTGCTCCTCCCGCCCAGCGAACTCGTACGCACCCGTCGCGGTCCCGCTCCCGGGGAAGCCCGCCCTGTCCCGCCCCTCTGAGCTCGCCCCAGGCCCTGACCCTCCCTCCGCCCAAAAACACGGTGGCCAAGGCTTCAGGGTCTGGCTCAACCTCTGCCTCAGTTTCCCCGCGGTCACCCCAGTCGCCGGCCTCTTCCCACCTGGGCGCGGGACCCGAAAGCCCAGCGTCGACGACGCAGCCACTTCCGATTCCGGTCGGAGCACCGCCCCGTCCCCGAACACGTGACACACACTTCCGGCCTCCTCTCCCGCCGGCCCGCCGCTCATCGCGGGGCTCCGCCCCGTCTTAAAGGGATAGTGCCCTTGAGACTCGGATCTCAGCCTCTCAGGCGAACCCGAACCTGGACGCGCTACGATGAGAGCGAGTTCGAGTCCAGGCTCCACTGGCTGGGTAGAAAAGCATCCGAGGCTCGTCTTTCTGAAAAGGGGAACACGGCACTAGGGGACACGCCACCCATGTGGCTGACGGGAGCACAAAATTGCTGTCCACCTAAGGGAGCCTGGTGGTGCATGAGCACTCGGCGGCCGGAACACAGCGGGGGCGGGGCGGTCGCGGCGCCTCCACTTCCGGCCAAGGCGGGTCCTCCCACCTCGGGGACGGTGCTGGAGGTCACCTTTTCCTCTCCGCTGATGCCTGGGAAGGCAGAAAGAGCAGAGGGCCCTTTTCCTCTCTCAGGGGCTTTATTGAGATGCAGTTTACATACCATAAAGTTCTCCTGTTTATTTCGTTTTGTTTTGTTTTTTTAGAGACAGAGTCTCACTGTGTCGCCCAGGCCGGAGTGCAGTGGCGTGATCTCAGCTCACTGCAACCTCCGCCTCCCGAGTTCAAGCAATTCTCCTGCCTCAGCCTCCCGAGTAGCTGGGACTACAGGCGCCCGCCACCACGTCCGTCAAAATTTTTTTTTGTATTTTAGTAGAGATGGGGCTTCACTGTGTTGCCCAGGCTGGTGTCAAACTCCTGAGCTCAGGCAATCCGCCCGCCTCAGCCTCCCAAAGTGCTGGGATTACGGGCGTGAGCCACCGCGCCCGGCCAAATTCGCCTGTTTAAACTGTAAATTCAGCCTGGGCGCGGTGGCTCATGCCTGTAATCCCAGCACTTTGGGAGGCCGAGGCGGGCAGATCACTTGAGGCCAGTTTGAGACCAGCCTGGCCAACATGGTGAGACCCCGTCTCTACTAAAAATACAAAAATTAGGCTGGGTGTGTTGGCTCACGCCTGTAATCCCAGCGCTTTGGGAGGCCGAGGTGGGTGGATCACGAGGTCAGGAGATCAAGACCATCCTGGCTAACATGGTGAAACCCTGTCTCTACTAAAAATACAAAAAGAAAAACAAAATTAACCAGGCATGGTGGCGGTTGCCTGTAGTCCCAGCTACTCAGGAGGCTGGGGCAGGAGAATGGCATGAACCCGAGAGGCAGAGCTTGCAGTGAGCCGAGATCGTGCCACTGCACTCCAGCCTGGGCGACAGAGCAAGACTCTGTCTCAAAAAAAAAAATATTGTTGAGAGAGAAGGAAGGAAGGAAGGGACAGAGAGAGGGAAAAGGAAAGAAAGAGAAAGAAAGGAAAGAAGGAAGGAGAAGAAAAAGGAAGGAAGGAGAGAGAGAAAGAAAAAAAAGAAAAAGGAAATAAAGAGAAGAAAGTAAAGAAGAAAAGGGAGAAAAGAAAGGAAAGGAAGGAAAGAGAAGGAAGAACGGAAGAAAGGAAGGCGAGAGAGAAAGAAAAAGAAAAGAAAGAGGAAGAAAGAAAAAGGAAAGAGAAAGAAGGAAAGAAAGAAAGAAAAGGAAAGGAAGGAAGGGGCCAGGTGCGGTGGCTCAAGCCTGTAATCCCAGCACTTTGGGAGGCCGAGGTGGGCGAATCACGAGGTCAGGAGATCGAGACCATCCTGGCCAACATGGTGAAACCCATCTCTACTAAAAAAGGAAGGAAAGAGAAGGAAGAAAGGAAGGAAAGAAGGAAGGAAGTAAAGAAAAGGAAGGAAGGGAGGGAGGGAGGAAAGGGCCAGGCACAGTGGCTCACGCCTGTAATCCCAGCACTTTGGGAGGCCAAGGAGGGAAGATTGCTTGAGGCCAGGGTTCAAGGCTGCAGTGAGCTACAATCGCACCACTGTACTCTAGCCTAGTCAACGTAGGGAGACCCTGTCTCAAAACAAACAAGAAAAAAAACAAAGGAATCACCGCAGGAGAGGATTCTGGGCCATGGTGAGCCATGTTCTGGGGCTGGACATTACTGCTGACCCCCGGCCATTCCCTGCTGTTCCCACTGCCTGGGGTCCCTGGGCCTGGGCGGACTCTTTCTCCGTGGCCGGCTGCATTCTCCATGGACTGATGTCCGGGGACCCCAAGCAGAAACCACCTGAGCCCTGGGGCCTCGGGCCCACCCTGCTCCAGAGGAGGCCACAGACTGAGCACCTTCTAAGCAACCTTTATTTGCAAACTCTGAGGTTGGACGCGGTGCCCGAGGCGGACAGTGTCACGTTTCTCTCCCTCCACTTTCCCCTGGCTTTTGGGGTGCTCCAGCCTCTCCCCCCAGCCCACTCCCGCCCAAACCCAAAATGCAGAGGAGACTTCTCTCTCTCTCTCTCCCGCCAGGCTTCGGGGTTCCACGGGGCCCATCCCTGGCAGGCCAGGCGTCGGGTGCTGGTGCTCGCTCCTCTGGGGCCAGCCTGGGGAGGCAGCATGGCAGCAGTGCCTGTCAGGGACCCAGGCGGGGGCAAGGTCGCTTTCTGAGCTGACAACTTCAGGTTCCAGCTGGCAGCCAGACCTGGGGTTTGGTGGGGGTGGCCCTGGCACGGGAGAGCCAGGCGTATAGTGGGAGGTCCATGGACATGCCGCAGAGGACGGGGCCTCCGAGGGTCACGGCCAGGAGGCTCAGCACCATGGCCGAGGCTGGGCAGCGGTGGTGGGGACAGGCGGCAGCTCTAAGCCGGGGGCGGCTGTCGGGGGTGGTGGGTCCCATGCAGGAGCCCTGCTGCTGGTCCAGCGTGGAGGATGGGGGACAGGAGGTGCAGTCCCTCGGGGAGCCGCCGCGGCAGGTGTAGCAGGAGGCATGGCAGCTGGAGCAGACCCTCAGCGCGGGCGCCGCCGTGTGCCCAGGCCCAGCGGTCACCAGCCTTGTGTGGTTGAAGAACCGCGGGGGGCAGTAGGCCAGGCAGAGCTGTCCCAGGATGTAGGCGGGGCCGTCACACGCTGCTCGGGGACACGCACGCAAAGGCCCGTCAGCTTGCCACCCGCAGCCTGTTACTCGCCACCCGCCCGCCTGGGGCCACATGCACGCTGCCCACGGTGGCCGCCACCGCCTCCCAGCAGTGGGCCCTGCCCCGCCGGCACTCACCCTGGCACAGCCCCTCTGTGTCCCGCTGCACACACGCGCTGCTGGTCACCTGGGGGCCTGTAGGCCGCGCTGTCATGTCCTCGGCCGTCCCATAGAGCAGCAGCGTGTAGCGGTACAACGTCCCTGGACAGGGGTCGCGGGTGGGCACAGGAGGAAAAGGAGGCTCTCGGCAGCCTGGTCCTGGTAGTCCCCGGGCTCCCTCCCCTTCAGCTCCCACGCGGGGCCCTGGACTGGTTCACATCTCTCAGGGAATTGCACACCTACTGTGCGCCTGTCACTGGACACCGACATCTCCCGGGTGACTGCACACCTACTGTGCGCCTGTCACTGGGCACCTACATCTCCCGTGTTACCGCACACCTACTGTGTGCCTGTCATTGCACACCATCTCCCGGGTGACTGCACGCCTACTGTGTGCATGTTCTCTTGGAGAAGGCCACTGGGAACCCCTTTTGCAGTGCGGTCACCAAGGCTAGCTCCAGAGCCCCTGGGGGGAGGTTGGAGAGCCAAGCCCCGCCCACCACAGCCCCGCCCCGCCCTCACCCGTGTTGAAATAGTAGCCCTTGTTCTCTAGGCCCAGGGTCCACACGCCCTGTGGGTTCTCATCCCAGAAGTGGGTGGACATGAAGACCCAGTTGTTGTAGCCTTCAGTGCTGACGTCCAAGGGTCTGGGACAGAAGGGTGGGTGGGGGTGGGGGTGTCAAGAGGGATGGCTTTGTGAAGCCGGCAGAGCCCCATGAAGTGTCTGACCGCACGCGCTGGTGGCCGCGTGTCCTCTGGGTGTGGGTGAGGGTGTGACTCGGGGTCCCACCAACTAGGCTGCCGTGTGACTCCTATGGGCCTGGCCCCTCCCCGTGAGGACACTCCGGGTAGATGGCAGCGTTTACCGACAGGGCATGAGGCCGCCCCCTCTCCTCTGCGGGCCGCTCACCGTATGGCCACGAGTGTGGAGCGCGTGCCCATGGGGCTGGTGAGCGAGATCTCCAGGTCTCCGCGCCGGCTGTAGGACAGCGTCAGCTGCGCCTGCACGTGCTCCAGCGAGCGGATGGAGTTGTGGAGGCCGGCGCAGGCCGATACGTTTTCCCTGATGTAGATCAGCGGCAGGATGGGGCTGAGGGGGTCGAGGGGTGAGGACCCTCCTGCGGCCTGCTGGGGGGTGGGTGGGCGGCCAGCAGGCGAGGTCGGGGCTCAGAGGTCACGGGGTCCAGCCCTCGTTTTACAGATGGGTAAACTGAGGCCTCAGGCCTGTCCCCCACACCCCCAGCGGGGATAGCGGAGGGGCGCGCAGGGGTCTCACGTGGGGCGGCTCTGGACCCGGACGGCGCACTTCCTCTGCGGCTGGGTGGGCAGCCAGGTGCGGGCGGTGTCCACCAGCAGCCCGGCGTCCAGCAGCCCGTATCCGTAGTGATGGCTCACTGCGCGGAAGGGCAGCAGTCACTCGCCCCGTGGGCCCCGGGTCCCCGCCCCCGCCCGGCCCCGCCGCACCTTGGCGCCCCACGCCGTTGGTCCTCCAGTCCTCGGCCTGCAGGTGCGCCGGCTTGGACGCGCGGACCACCAGGTGCTGCATGTCTCTCCACGTCAGGAACGGGCTGCGGGGGGCGGGGGCGGGGGCGGGTGAGCCGCCGGGCCGCGCCTGGGGGCGAGGGCGGTGGACCGGGCCCCGCAGTCACCTACTTGGCCTCCAGCGCTAGGGCGATCATGCCGGCCGCCAGTGGGGCTGAGGCCGAGGTGCCCGTGTGCTGGTCTGTGCACCCGTGATGCAGGTCCGTGGTGACCTGAGGGCAGAGGGGGGTGGGACTCGGGGGGCCGTGCACAGTGAGAATACAGCCCTTCTTCAAAAAGTACCAAGGACTGGGCGGGCGCAGTGGCTCAGGCCTGTCATCCCAGCACTTTGGGAGGCTGAGGCGGGCGTGTTGTCTGAGGTCAGGAGTTCAAGACCAGCCTGGTCAACATAGTGAAACCCCAACTCTACAAAAATACAAAAATTAGCCAGGCATGGTGGCGGGCACCTGTAGTTCCAGCTACTCGGGAGGCTGACACAGGAGAATCACTTGAACCCGACAGGCAGAGGTTGCAGTGAGCGGAGATCACACCCACGCCACTGCACTCCAGCCTGGGCAACAGAGCCAGACTCTGGATTAAAAAAAAAAAAGTACTAACGACTGAATTCAAAAAGTACCAAGGGCTGGGTGCGGTGGCTCACACCTGTAATCCCAGCACTTTGGGAGGCCGAGGTGGGTGGATCACCGGAGGTCAGGAGTTCGAGACCAGCCTGGTCAACACCTTGTCTCTACTAAAAATACAAAAAAATTACCCGGGTATGGTGGCGGGGCACCTGTAATCCCAGCTACTTGGGAGGCTGAGGCAAGACAATCACTTGAACCTAGGAGGCAGAGGTTGCAGTGAGCCAAGATCACACCGTTGCACTCCAGCCTGGGCAACATGGCAAGACTCCATCTCAAAAAAATAAAAAAATAGTACCAAGAACTGAAGTCAAAAAGTACCAAGGACTGGCCACACAGTGGCTCACGCCTGTAGTCCCAACACTTTGGGAGGCTGAGGCGGGCAGATTGTTTGAGCTCAGGAGTTTGAGACCAGCTTGTGGCAACATGGTGAAACCCCGTCTCTACAGGAAAAATACAAGAATTAGCTGGGTGTGGTAGTGTGCACCTGTAATCCCAGCTACTCAGGAGGCTGAGGCAGGAGGATCGCTTGAGCCTGGGAGGTAGAGGTTGCAGTGAGCTAAGATTGCACCACTGCACTCCAACCTGGGTGACAGAGTGAGACTCTGTCTCAAAAAAATTTAAAAAAAAAGGTACCAAGGACTCCAAGGACTGAGTTCAAGAAGTAACAAGGACTATGCTCAAAAAGAACTAAGAGCCTGGCCAACATGGTGAAACCCCGTCTCTACTGAAAATACAAAAAAATTAGCCGGGCATGGTGGCGTGGCCTGCTATTCCCGGCACTTTGGGAGGCCGAGGCTGGTGGATCGCTTGACCTGAGGAGTTGGAGACCAGCCTGGCCAACATGGTGAAATGCCATCTCTACAAAATATACAAAAGAAATTAGCAGGACATGGTGGCATGCTTGTGGTCTCAGCTGCTCAAGAGGCTGAGGCACAAGAATCGCTTGAGCCCGGCAGGCGTAGGTTGCAGTGAGCTGAGATCATGCCACTTCACTCTGTTGCACCCAGCCTGGGTGACAGAGCGAGACTCCATCTCAAAAGAAAAAAGAAAGTGCTGGGCACTGTGGCTCACACCTGTAATCCCAGCACTTTGGGAGGCCGAGGTGGGCGGATCACGAGGTCAGGAGATCGAGATCATCCTGGCTAACATGGTGAAACCCTGTCTCTACTGAAAATACAAAAAATTAGCCGGGCATGGTGGCGGGCACCTGTAGTCCCAGCTACTCAGGAGGCTGAGGAAGGAGAATGGTGTGAACCCGGGAGGCGGAGCTTGCAGTGAGCTGAGATCGCGCCACTGCACTCCAGCCTGGACGACAGAGCCAGACTCCATCTTCAAAAACAAACAAATGAAAAGAAACCCTGGGCTGAAGTGATTCTCCCACTTTGGCCTCCCAAAGTGAGCTGTTGCGCCCGGCTGGATTTGTTTTTGTTTTGTTTTGTTTTGTTTTGTTTTGAGACAGGGTCTCGCTCTGTGGCCTAAACTGGAGTGCAGTGGTGCAATCTTGGCTCACTGCAACCTCCATCTCTGGGGTTCAAGCGATTCTCCTGCCTCAGCCTCCTGAGTAGCTGGGATTACAGGCGCCCGCCACCATGCCTGGCTAATTTTTTTTTGTATTTTTAGTAGAGATGGGGTTTTGCCATGTTGGCTAGGCTGGTCCTGAACTCTTGACCTCAGGTGATCCACCCACCTTGGTCTCCCAAAGTGCTGGGATTACAGGCGCGAGCCACTGTGCTTGGCCTGGATTTGGGTTATTGATTGATTGATTGATTGATTTTTGAGACGGAGTCTCACTCTGTCGCCCAGGCTGGAGTGCAGTGGCCCGATCTCGGCTCACTGCAAACCCTGCCTCCCGGGTTCATGCCATTCTCCTGCCTCAGCCTCCCGAGTAGCTGGGACTACAGGCGCCCACCACCACGCCCGGCTAATTTTTTGTATTTTTAGTAGAGACGGGGTTTCACTCTGTTAGCCAGGATGGTCTCGATCTCCCGACCTCGTGATCCACCCGCCTCGGCCTCCCAAAGTGCTGGGATTACAGGCGTCAGCCACCGTGCCTGGCCTTTTTTTTTTGTAGTTTTAGTAGAGACAGGGTTTCACCATGTTAGCCAGGATGGTCTTGATCTCCTGACCTTGTGATCTGCCTGCCTTAGCCTCCCAAAGTGCTGGGATTACAGGTGTGAGCCACCGTGCTCGGCCTGGATTTGCATTTTCAAAGCAGCTTTGGGAGGGTGCTAAGTCACAGTGGTGGGGACAGGAGGAGGCCAGGCTGGGATGGCAGGGCCTGGGGAGGGGACCCTGTTGGGGCGGCTGCACTCACGATCTGGGGGTCGGTGGCCACGCCGCTGCTGTAGGTGGTGGTGAGGGTGGAGGCGCAGGCTTCGCTGTACCAGGGCACGCGGCCCTGCTGGGTGGTGCTGCCCACGGAAAGCGTGTGGATGCTGTTGGTGTAGCCGTCGCAGTTGCAGTTGTCGTAGTGCAGGCCGCCGTTGCCCGAGGCCCAGATGAAGAGCGTGCCCAGCCCGCCGCGGCCCTGGGAAACCAGGAGGGGCGGGGAGGGGGCGTCGGCCTGGCCTGCCACCCCTGCCCTCCTCGGGCTGCCACTCACCTTGGTCACACCACGCCGGAAGGCCTCGCGGGTGAGGATGCCGGGGCCGTCCACCGTGCGGCCGTCGTCCTCGGGACCCCAGCTGGCGCTGTAAATGTGGATGTGCTGCGGCTGCAGGCTCAGCGACTGGGCCTCGATGACATCGGTGATGGTACCGTCCAGCATCCGTACGCCTGCAGAGCCAGGGCGGGAGGGCCGCTGCCACCGGCCCTGCCCTTCCCCACACCCCAGCCCGCCCCGCGCCACTCCACACCACTCCCCAGCCCTACCTGGGCCCTCTCTCTGCTCCCTGGAGTGGGACCATTCGTATTGGCTCAGCACCCCCCAAGCCCTGGAGTCTGGGGCCCTAGCACCACCCAGCAGTGAGAGGGTGGGCTCCCGAGTCCTTGGGCCCAGCTCCCCGCCAGAGTCACCCCCTTCCCTCTCTGTCCCGGAATGGTGCCGCTGGGGGACCCCGGGTACCTCCGATTCGGGCGTTGAAAGCGACCCCCACACCACAGAAGCCATTGTTGGCCATCGCGGCCACCTCCCCAGCACAGCGGGTCCCGTGCCTGGTGCCAGGGCCAAGAGGGGCTCCTGTCACGGCCTCCATCCCCCTGCCGGGTACTGGGGCTTCCCCCGTGTGCTGTGGGAGCCCTGCTCACCGGTTCTCTTTGCTGGGGGTGTAGCGGGGCTGGGGGTCCGGGTCGTAGTCATTGAAGTCATAGCTGGCCAGGGGGTCCTGGGGGCAGGTGGGGATATGAGGGGGCCGGGAGGCGTCCCTAGGGTGGTGCCAGCCTCGGCACCTGGGGCAGCCCTCGCCCACAGCCACCCGCGGTCTCACGTAGTTGGCCCAGAGGTCCGGGTGGTCCTTCTCGATGCCATCGTCCAGCACAGAGACCACGATGCCCTGGCCTGACAGCCCCTGACTCCAGGCCTGCAGGATGCTCAGGTCTGGTTGGGCCTCGCTGTTCTGCAGGGGGAGGCGGGGTTGTGACCCTGTGAGGGCCTGGAGTTGAGGGCGCCAGCGGCCCCGTCCCCGTCTACCCACCCTGGCTGCCTGCTCACCATGTACCACTGCTTGGAGAACCAGGGGTCCGTGGGCACCACGACAGAGCGTTTCACCCGCCGCTGCAGCGTCTGCTGCTGGAACCACTGCACCTGCAGAGCAGAGGGTGCATCAGGCCTGTCCCCTGCTCGCCCCTGGGGCCCCTCGTGGTTCAGGGAGTGAGGCAGCCCCGTGCCCTGGGACCCTGTGTTTGTGGGGGTTGCTCTCCAGGGTCCCCATGTGCCTGGGGCTCTGTCTGCAGTCGGAAGGGGTCGAGGCTTTTGGACCACCTGTCCTTGGGCCCACAGACGCGTCGTTGCTGCCGCGGGTGACTGCAGGTCCCCGGGTCCCCACCCCACTCTCTCCCCCATCCCTGTTCTAGATCCTTCTATCTCTCTCCTGCATCACTTCCTTATTTTTTTTCTTTTTTTGAGACAGAGTCTTGTTCTGTCGCCCAGGCTGGGGTGCAGTGGCGCAATCTTGGCTCACTGCAACCTCTGCCTCCTGGGTTCAAGCGATTCTCCTACCTCAGCCTCCCAAGTAGCTGGGACTACAGGCGCACACCACCATGCCCGGCTAATTTTTGTACATTTAGTAGAGATGGGGTTTCGCCATGTTGATCAGGCTGGTCTCGAACTCCTGAGCTTAAGTGATCTGCCTGCCTTGGCCTCCCGAAGTGCCGGGATTACAGGCATGAACCACCACGCCAGGCCTGGCTTCTCTCTTGCAAACCACATCAGGAACTGGCCACTGCTCTCCCTCCCGGTGCTGTAAGCAGGCAGCTGTCCAGTCCTGTTCAAGGCACTTCCTGGCCTCCGAGGGCTTCCCAGGCTCCATCCCAACCCCTCAGCTTGACATCCCAGGCATTTTCTAGACAGGGCCCAGCCCGATGGGACCCAGGCCCCTTTCTGAGCGCCTGGACACTGCGTCCTGAGGGCCACTGGGTGACTGTAAGCCTCCTACTTTTTTTTTTTTTTTTTTTGAGACGGAGTCTCGCTCTGTCGCCCAGGCTGGAGTGCAATGGCGCGATCTCGGCTCACTGCAAGCTCCGCCTCCCGGGTTCACACCATTCTCCTGCCTAAGCCTCCTGAATAGCTGGGACTACAGGCGCCTGCCACCATGCCCGGCTAATTTTTTTGTATTTTCAGTAGAGACAGGGTTTCACCGTGTTCGCTAGGATCTCGTCTCGATTTCCTGACCTTGTGATCCGACCGCCTCCGCCTCCCAAAGTGCTGGGATTACAGGCGTGAGCCACCGCGCCGGGCCAAGCCTCCTACTCTTTGGAACCCATTACGGTGTCGTAAAATCCCCTTCCCTCCATCCCATGACCTAGACGGTGGGGAAGTCACGCCGTCTGTCCCTCCTTACCAGAGCCCCTGGGGCCCAGAGGAGGGAGGGGGAGGACAAGAGGTGCCCACTGTGTACCAGGCCCTGGCAGGCGCCATGATTTCCGTATCTGGGTCTTCCTGCCTCCTCTTGCTGTATAGACTTGGGGCCCGGGCGGGTCTGAGCCACAGAAAGCACACAGCTGTTCATAACAACCACGAGAACCACAGAAGATGGCTGGTGGCCCCAGGAGGCAGCTGAGACCCCGGGCAGGGGGTTGGCCTCCAGGCCAGGCTCACCTTGGGGTTTTTCTTCAGGTGCAGGCGGTGGCCCCAGTGCGGGGTCAGGGACTGCTGGACCACGCCCCGGTGCCGCAGGTGAAAGTACTGCCCGTCAGGGAAGATCTGGGGATGTGGGGAAGCGGCCGCACCGATGGGACCCGGCTCCCCTGCTGAAGCCCCCGAGGGCCGGTAACAGCCCCCTTCTTTGTCCTTCCCCAGCAGGTGCTCTCTGGGAGTCCCAGAAGCTGAGCTTGGCTGAGGCAGGGGTGGGCTGGGACTCTTGATATTTAGAAGACCTTGTGGGCTCCCTCCCCCTTGTCGGGGTCTAGGGTTGTTCAGTCCCCTCCAAGCCCCCACTTCCCGTCTATCCCGGTCCCACCCACCGGCCCCAGGTTGACGAAGCCGAATTTGCGTGCCAGGCGCTCGACCTCCCGGTTACCCTGGGACACCTGGACGGCCCAGCTGCTGACATAGATGGGGGCTCGGACCGGGGCCCACCCCACAGCCCGGGGGCGGACAAGGGCCAGGGCCAAGACCAGGCGCAGCCACAGCGCAATCGGGGCGGGCCGCATGGAGGCGGGGCGGGAGCGGGGCCTGCGCAAATCCCCTCCCTCCCGCCAAACCGCCGAGTGGGCCCAGGCGTCCGACCCGCCCCCGGCGCCATAGCAACGCAGAAGGCTTCGACTCCCAGGGGGCCTTGCGGCTACTCAGCCAGGAGGGGCGCGAAGATCTAACAGAAGCGGGAGAGGGACGCACGCCTGCCCGTCTTCCGCAGACCCACACCCTCGGGAGCCTCAGTTTTCCCATTTGTACAACGACAAGACTAACCCAGAGAAGCGGGTTCACTGTTGCGATAACGCGTCCTACCCTTTGTTTGACCTCTCCCACTTTCCAACACACCCCTCCTTCGAGAATCAGCCCGGCCTCCTGTCCGGCCTAATCAGAATCATTCTTTTGCGTAATCCCGCCTCCTCCGATAAGCCTCGCCCCGTTCCCGCCCCTACCATTCCGCCCTGCCTCCTTTGTGATCAGCCCCGCCCTCCACTGGTCTCGCCAATGAATCGCGTCCCGTTTCTCCAATCGGCTCGGATGTTTCTTTAGCCCCTCCCCCCGGTTCCGCCCCCCCACGCCTCTCCTCGCCCTGGCTCCACCCTTCAGCCAATAATCCCATCCTCTGACACCGCCCTTCCAATCAGCTACGTCTCGCTCCGGCCCGGCCAATCGGTGCCCTGGGCCGCCGCGCCCCGCCCTCTCCCGGCGGGGTCTGGGCAGCGGCGGCCGTGGCGGAGGGCTATGCGGCGGGGGAGACGGGGCAGGCCCCTCCTCCTTTGTCCGCCCTGCCCTCCCATTGGTCCTAGCGGGGGGCCGGGGGCGGACACCGGCGCGGGGCCGGAGCATCGCGGCTCAGGCTGCGGGAAAGCGGTGCGCGTGCAGCGGGGTGGGTGCCCTGGTCCGCGGGCGAGCTCGAGCAGCCAACCCCGGGCGCGTCGGGGCCATGGACGGCCTGAGGCAGCGCGTGGAGCACTTCCTGGAGCAAAGGAACCTGGTCACCGAAGTGCTGGGGGCGCTGGAGGCCAAGACCGGGGTGGAGAAGCGGTATCTGGCTGCAGGTGAGCCGTCGGCGCTAGCCCGTTTCGCCGACGGGCACACCGAGGCCATGGGCCTGGGGGTCGCAGACCGGACTCCTTCCCCGGCTACGGGGTCCGGTCCGGCCGGTGGAGCGCGCGAGGTGACTGGGACCTCGAGGTCCGCCCGCAGCCCTTCCCTTGCCCGCGCCCTGCGACCCTGCTCCCGGGCCACCCCTCTCTAGCTTCCGCCCCTGGCCGCCCCCCGACGCCTCCTTCCGGGCGCTGGGTGCCTGCCATGCCGAAGTCCGGTTCTTCCAGTTGCCCAGTGGCCCCAGAGGGGTCGGGATGCCAGTGTCCTGCGCGTTTCGCCGTCCCCCTTCCCCCGTGGACCCCGGCCTGGCTGCAACAGTAGAGATCTTCCCGTTTTTCTGAGGGGAGGCTCCTGGCGGGAAGGGGAACGGACCGTCCTGGGGGCCTGCCCAGGACCCTTCTCCTTTCCTCCTCCTCTCCTGCCCTAGCTCACCTTCCCCCAGCTCAATGGCTTAGTGCCACCGAGCGTAAATGTTTGTTAAGACGGAGTTGGGTTGTCTGACGGCTGTGATGTGGGGAGGCTGGACTGGGGCCCACAGAGCCGGAGATCCAGGCACCCCGATTGTGACTCCATTACAGTTCTTCCGTGACTTTCACCCTTGGTGACGCTGCGCGCCCCTTCCCCTTTCCAAATCTCTAGCAAGAGCATGTAGTAAACGCTCCTTAAATGCCTCCCTCCCCACCTTTAAAACTTTTTTTTGAGACCGAGTCTTGCTCTGCTGCCCAGGCTGGAGTGCAGTGGTGTGATCTTGGCTCACTGCAACCTCCACCTCCTGGGTTCAAGCGATTCTCCTGCCTCAGTCTACCAAGTAGCTGGGATTACAGGTACCCACCACCATGCCCGGCTAACTTTTGTATTTTTAGCCGTTCAACATGGTGAAACGGGGTTTCACCATGTTGGCCAGGCTGGTCTTGAACTCCTGGCCTCAGGTGATCTGCCCACCTCGGCCTCCCAAACTGCTGGGATTACAGGCATGAGCCACCTTGCCTGGCCTAAAACTTTTTAAAATTAACTTTTTTAAGAGACAGGGTCTCACTATGTTACCCAGACTAGTCTTAAACTTCTGGGCTCAAGCGATCCTCCTGCCTCAGCCTCCCAAAGCTCTGGGATTACAGGTGGAAGCCACTGCACCCAGCCTTTCTTCCGTTTGTGTGGTGCTCCCAGCCCCACTGGCTCTGCCTTCTCTTCCAGGAAGCTCCGCAGAATGACTCACAAGGACTTGCTCTGGGCCTGGGGTATTCTGGGTAGAGGACAGTGCCACTTTTTTGAGCACCTTCTGCAGGTGGATCCCAGGAGTCCAGTTCCCCCCCAATTTTCCCACCATCTGGGGGTTCCCATGCCAGGCAGCGCCAGAACAGTCTGAAGTCTGTGCCCACACCCTGGAGGTCCCCAGGTGCCTGGTCCCATGTGCAGCGCAGCAGGTGGCATGGGCATGGCCCGGCTGTGCCTGCCCCCGGGAGCAGGTCCCTGACCTCTGCCCTCCCTTTCCACATCCCTGGGGCTAGTGGGCAGGAATTTAGGTCGTAGAGCGCCCAGGAGGCAGGCAGCAGGGAGGGGCTGCCTGGGGCACCGTGTCACCAGAGACGAAACTGAGGCACAGGGAGGCAGGGGCTGCCTCTGTGCCTGTTCTGTCTGAAGCATACAGTCCTCCACCCTGCCCACCCCCAGTCCCATCTGCTGCTAATCTTGGGGGCTGGGCCTCCCTCCACAGTTCTGATGTCCAAGGTCATCCTCCCGTCGCTGAAGCTGCAGGAAAAGGGATTTAGGGGAGGGACGCCCTGGGAGAGTCATTCCTCCCCACGAGCCAGGCCCGGGGAGAGATGGCAGTCCCTCATCCCCATCTCCCACCTCCTTTAAATTGACAAATCCCACACCCCTGGGTAACATACGAAGAAACTCAGAGGGGACAGTGACTGGGAGGCCACTCCTGGGACCAGCTGGGGGACTCCTCCTACCCCTGACCTTGGGTGCTTTTGGATAAAGACTAAAGCAGGTGGGAGGGGCTGGGGGGACTTGGGCCTCTGCCCTTTGGTCCAGAAGTGGCCTCTATCTCACTCTGCAGATAGCAGCCCCAGGGGAGGAGGAAGAAGGCTGTCCAAGCTCTCTGGAGCACATAGGTTCCCTGTGTGACCTTGGGCAACACCCACCCACCCCCAGTTTTGGCTGTTGAATAATTCAGGAAAAGCACAAAACCTGGCACACAATAGGCGCTTAATAAATGCAGCTGTCGTAGTCATTCTTTTCAGAGCCAGGTTCAGGATTGGGGCTGAGCTGGACACACACACACACACACACACACGTTTTTCTCTGAACACCCTCCTTGCTGGGACTGTGTTATAGTTGCCTGAAGGCACTTAATAAATGTGCAGAAAGGCTGATGGCGGTGGCTCACGCCTGTAATCCCAGCAGTTTGGGAGGCCAAGGCGGGCGGATCACCTGAGGTCAGGAGTTTGAGACCAGCCTGGCCAACATGGTGAAACCCCGTCTCTACTAAAAATACAAAAATCAGCTGGGCATGGTGGTACGCTCAGCTACTCAGGAGGTTGAGGCAGGAGAATCACTTGAGCCTGGGAGGCGAGCTTGTAGTGACCTGAGATTGCGCCACTGCACTCCAGCCTGGGTGACAGAGCAAGACTCCATCTCGAAAATAAATAGAAATAAACGTGCAGAAAGGCGTTCTCTCTGTTAACTTGTAACCATAGGAGGCAGGGGCCATTACTACTCCCACTTACCAAGGGGGAAACTGAGGCTCCATGCAGCCACAGCCTCACTCAGTGCCGGCTGGTGAGTGCACACCCGACCAAAGGGCTCTCCTCCACCCAGGGGATCGAGATGCTGGGGTTTGCTGCCTCCAAGACAGGAGGTTCTCAAAGGGGGTAGCCCTGCCCCCCACCCCGCCCCAGGGGACACTGGGTGATGTCTGGAGATACCTGTAGTCGTCATGACTTGGGGGCTGATGGCATGGAGTGGGCAGAGGCCAGGGACACTGCTCAGCACCCTGCAGTGTCCAGGACAGCCACTTCCCCCTCTCCACCGAAAACAACCAAGAATGACCCGGCCCTGAACATCAGCAGTGCCAAGGCAGAGAAACCCTGCGCTAAGATAACAGATGAAACAGTTGCCTTTCTCAGCTCTAGAATCAAGTCTTCATGACAGCCTGGCCTCCCTTGCAGGTTTCTGCCATCCCTTATATTGAAACACTGGCCTGTTTTCCCAGTGCCTCCCAAAGGGCCTGGAATGAGATGGCTATCGTTGCAGATTACACTTTTTTTTTTTTGAGACGGAGCCTCACCCAGGCTGGAGTGCAACGGCGCGATCTTGGCTCACTGCAAGCTCCGCCTCCTGGGTTTACGCCATTCTCCTGCCTCAGCCTCCCCAGCAGCTGGGACTACAGGCACACACCGCCATGCCTGGCTAATCTTTTGTATTTTTAGTAGAGATGGGGTTTCACCGTGTTAGCCAGGATGGTCTCCATCTCCTGACCTCGTGATCCACCTGCCTCGGCCTCCCAAAGTGCTGGGGTTACAGGTGTGAGCCACCGCGCCCGGCTGCAAACACTTCACTGGGCAGCTATTCCGCACCCACCCCCACTGCCCAGCGTCGAGCTCCTGCCTGCCCTTGGGGAGCTCTCAACCCCGGTGGGGGACATGGACACGTTGACCAGTTACAGGCACAAGGCTCAGGGCCTAGAGGCACGATGGGGGATGTACAGGCACATCAGGGGCAGTGGACATATCCTGGAGGCGGCTCCTGGGAGGAGGTGACGGTTGCAGTCTTCGTCGACTGAAAGGCGGCCTGGGTACCGTCGTGGGGGCTCAGCGGGTCCCCAGCCCTGGCACACCACCGCCTCTCTCCGGCAGGAGCCGTCACTCTGCTAAGCCTGTATCTGCTGTTCGGCTACGGAGCGTCTCTGCTGTGCAATCTCATCGGATTTGTGTACCCCGCATATGCCTCGTGAGTGCACGGCTGGCTGCCCACGCGGGGGGTTCTGGGGGCTCCCTGGCAGCCCCTGACCCTGCTGCACCCTCCCTGCAGAATCAAAGCTATCGAGAGCCCAAGCAAGGACGACGACACTGTGTGGCTCACCTACTGGGTGGTGTACGCCCTGTTTGGGCTGGCCGAGTTCTTCAGCGATCTACTCCTGTCCTGGTTCCCTTTCTACTACGTGGGCAAGGTGGGCCCTGCCAGGGCGGGCACAGCCGTGGAGCGCATGGGGCTTGGGGATTCCTGGGAGGCGCTGGGGCCAGAAAGTCCGGAGGATACCAGGAGATGGGGGATGTGAGGGGAAGACTCAGTCCCTTCCCTGGGGAAACGAGCCCTGTCCGGGGGCTGATGGTGGAGGGCCCACCCTGAAGGGTGTCTGATGGTGGAGACCCAAGCCTGCTCCAATAGGATGTCCGATGGTGGAGGGCTCACCCTACAGGATGTCTGATGGTGGAGGGCCCACCCTGAAGGGTGTCTGATGGTGGAGACCCAAGCCTGCTCAAATAGGATGTCTGATGGTGGAGGGCTCACTTAAAGGGTGTCTGATGGTGGAGACCCAGGCTTATTCCAATAATATGTCTGATGGCACAGGGCCCACCCCTAAAGTGTGTCTGACGGTGGAGACCCAGGCCTGTCCCAGTAGGACGTCTGATGGTGGAGGGCTCACTCTAGAGGGTATCTGATGGCGAAAACCCAGGCCCATCCCAATAGGACGTCTGATGGTGGCGGGCCCACCCTAAAGGGTGTCTGATGGTGGAGACCCAGTGCCTGTCCAGGATGGGCATCTGGTGGAGTGGTGCAGCCCCTCTCCCCACCAGGGGCACAGAGCTGGGTGGGCCCGCGTGTAACTCCTGCCCCGCCCTGCAGTGCGCCTTCCTGTTGTTCTGCATGGCTCCCAGGCCCTGGAACGGGGCTCTCATGCTGTATCAGCGCGTCGTGCGTCCGCTGTTCCTAAGGCACCACGGGGCCGTAGACAGAATCATGAACGACCTCAGCGGGCGAGCCCTGGACGCGGCGGCCGGAATAACCAGGAACGGTGGGTGCTCGCAGGCGCCTGGCTGCCTCAGGCCATCTCCCGGGTCTGGACCTGTCTCTCTCCACCTTGCCTCCCTTTCTGACTTTGGCCGCCCCCTCTCACTGTCCGCCTCTCTCTCTCACGCTTCCGGGAACCAGTCTTGCAGGTCCTGGCCCGTAGCCGGGCAGGCATCACCCCGGTGGCTGTGGCCGGGCCCTCCACTCCCCTGGAAGCTGACCGTACGTAACCGCTGTGGGGAGATAGGAGCTGTGTGTGTGTGTGTGTGCGCGCGCGCGCGCGTGTGTTTGAGCGTATGTTTGCTGTGTGCACATGTATTATTGTGTGTGCATGTTTTGTCATGTGCAAGAGGGTGCGTGTGCATGGGCTCAAGTGTATGTTTGGTGTGTGAGTGAGCAAGGGAGTGAGCATGTTTTCTCACGTGTGCATATGTGTGTGTGTGCCCACGTGTGCATGTGAGTATATGTGTGTGCGTGTGACCATGTGTGCACGTGTGAGTGCGTGCGTGTGCATGACTGCACATGCGTGTGCTCTGTGTGCACCCATCTGTGCATGGGTGACCATGAAAGCCTCTGTGTGGTTGACACCATCTCTGCTGAGGGTGGCTGCCCGGCCCCTCGACTTGTCATGCTCATAGCCAGTAGCCTCAGTCCCGCCTGCGAGCAGCTCCGGGGAGCCCAGGCCTGCCTCACGGCCCTCCCCCACCCGCCCCTCTCTCTGCAGTCAAGCCAAGCCAGACCCCGCAGCCGAAGGACAAGTGAAGCAGCCCCCTGAGCCTCACAAGGACCTCCTGGCTGGTGAGGAGGGGGCCGCGCCAGGCTCCCAGGCCTCCACAGAGTCTTCAGCGCATCCCCCAACAGCAGCCCCTGCCAGTCCCTCGGGTCCAGGCAAGGCCCTGGGGGTCTCCTTAAATGCCACCTCGGGCAAGTCCCAGTCCCAGTCCTCGGCCACCCCCAGCTCTGGATCCCAGGGCCAGCTGCCCTCTGGCTCTGGCTGTGGCTCCCGCCTGTCCGGCAGGGCCCAGGGCCAGCGTCGGGCACAGGGCAGCTCCCACTGGTCTCGGCAACACACCCAGCCGCCTGGTACTTCCTCCAGCCCCTCCCAGTCAGCCCTCCCGTCCTCGGGGCCCCTGCAGCCACCCAACGTCACCTCCAGCCCGGTCTCACCCATGGTCCAGTCTCCCAGCAGCAGCAACATCCCCACGCAGCCCCCCAGCAAGTCCTCTGGCAAGCCGGAGGACGCAGCCCCCAAGACCAGCGGACAGCGCCAGAAGGAATCGTCGAAACAGCCTGCCAGCAGCGCCTCAGTGCCCGAGCTGGTCCCCTGCCATTCCGGGACCTCTCTGGAGTACACTTCGGAGTCCACCACCGAGATCACCTGCAGCTGGCCACACCACAGGCCCCCGTGCCTGCAGCACTACTGGTGCCTGAAACACCTGGCCTGCTAGGAGGCTCCAATAAAGCTAACCCGGACCAGACCTGTGTGCCACGTGTGCGGGGGGCCCAGGGGAGGGGCTGCGAGGGCACCGTCCCATTTCATCAGGCATGAATCCCGGCTGTGCCGACCAGCCCCATAATATAGATGAGGAGACTGAGGCCCAGAGGCTAATTCACCCACTCAAGGTCCACCCACATGGCCAGGATGGGTGCAAGCCCCGGAAAAGCTTGTCCTTAATCACAGTGCTTTCTCTCCTCCCTCCCGAACTAGTTGTCTGGCCTATTTGCATTAGCCTGCTTCTCTTAAAACTCCCCCATTTGGGTGCGGTGGCTCACACCTGTAATCCCAGCACTTTGGGAGGCTGAGGCAGGTGGATCACCTGAGGTCAGGGGTTTAAAACCAGCCTGGGCAAAATGGTGAAGCCCCATCTCTACTAAAAATACAAAAATTAGCCAGGCATGGTGGTACATGCCTGTAATCCCAGCTACCTGGGAGGATGAGGCATGAGAATTGCTTGAACCCAGGAGGCAGAAGTTGCAGTCAGCTGAGATTGCGCCACTGCACTCCAGCCTGGGCAACAAATGAAACTCCATCTCCAAAAAAAAAAAAAAAAAAAAAAGTGAGTAGGATAAACCACAAACCCTGATATATTTTCCCAAGGGGCCATAACTCAGTTATTCTCAACCCAGAACAGTTTTGTCCCCCGGCCTTTGGGTCTTGTCTGGAGACACTTTTTTTTTTTTTTATTGATCATTCTTGGGTGTTTCTCACAGAGGGGGATTTGGCAGGGTCATAGGACAATAGTGGAGGGAGGGTCAGCAGATAAACAAGTGAACAAAGGTCTCTGGCTTTCCTAGGCAGAGGACCCTGCGGCCTTCCGCAGTGTTTGTGTCCCTGGGTACTTGAGATTAGGGAGTGGTGATGACTCTTAACGAGCATGCTGCCTTCAAGCATCTGTTTAACAAAGCACATCTTGCACCACCCTTAATCCATTTAACCCTGAGTGGACACAGCACATGTTTCAGAGAGCACAGGGTTGGGGGTAGGGTCACTGATCAACAGGATCACAAGGCAGAAGAATTTTTCTTAGTACAGAACAAAATGAAAAGTCTCCCGTGTCTACCTCTTTCTACACAGACATGGCAACCATCCGATTTCTCAATCCTTTCCGCGCCTTTCCCCCCTTTCTATTCCACAAAACCGCCACTGTCATCATGGCCCGTTCTCAATGAGCTGTTGGGTACACCTCCCAGACGGGGTGGTGGCTGGGCAGAGGGGCTCCTCACTTCCCAGTAGGGGCGGCCGGGCAGAGGCGCCCCTCACCTCCCGGACGGGGCGGCTGGCCGGGCGGGGGGCTGACCCCCCCACCTCCCTCCCGGACGGGTCGACTGGCCGGGCAGAGGGGCTCCTCACTTCCCAGTAGGGGCGGCCGGGCAGAGGCGCCCCTCACCTCCCGGACGGGGCGGCTGGCCGGGCGGGGGGCTGACCCCCCAACCTCCCTCCCGGACGGGGGCGGCTGGCCGGGCGGGGGGCTGACCCCCCCACCTCCCTCCCGGACGGGGCGGCTGGCCAGGGTGGGGACTGACCCCCACCTCCCTCCCAGATGGGGTGGCTGCCGGGCAGAGACGCTCCTCACTTCCCAGACGGGGTGGCTGCCGGGCGGAGGGTCTCCTCACTTCTCAGACGGGGCGGCTGGGCAGAGACGCTCCTCACCTCCCAGACGGGGTCGCGGCCGGGCAGAGGCGCTCCTCACATCCCAGACGGGGCGGCGGGGCAGAGGCGCTCCCCACATCTTAGACGATGGGCGGCCAGGCAGAGACGCTCCTCACTTCCTAGATGGGATGGCGGCCGGGCAGAGACGCTCCTCACTTTCCAGACTGGGTAGCCAGGCAGAGGGGCTCCTCATGTCCCAGACGATGGGCGGCCAGGCAGAGATGCTCCTCACTTCCCAGACGGGGTGGCGGCCGGGCAGAGGCTGCAATCTTGGCACTTTGGGAGGCCAAGGCAGGCGGCTGGGAGGTGGAGGTTGTAGTGAGCCGAGATCACGCCACTGAACTCCAGCCTGGGCACCATTGAGCACTGAGTGAACCAGACTCCGTCTGCAATCCCGGCACCTCAGGAGGCCGAGGCTGGCAGATCACTCGCAGTTCGGAGCTGGAGGCCAGCCCAGCCAACACAGCGAAACCCCGTCTCCAAAGACCTTGTCTCCAAAAGAAAAACAGTGGTCAGTCAGGCATGGTGGCTCACACCTGTAATCCCCAGCACCTTGGGAGGCCAAAGCAGGTGAATGACCTGAGGTCAGGAGTTCGAGACCAGCCTGGCCAACATGGTGAAACACTGTCTCTACTTAAAAATACAGTAATTAGCCAGGCGTGGTGGGACATGCCTGTAGTCCCAGCTACTTGGGAGGCTGAGGCAAGAGAATCACTTGAGCCTGGGAGGCAGAGGTTGCCGTGAGTGGAGATGGTGCCATTGCACTCCAGCCTGGGCGACAGAGTGAAACTCCATCTCAAGAAAATAAAAATAAAAAGGCTGGGTGCGGTGGCTCACGCCTGTAATCCTAGCACTTTGGGAGGCCGAGGTGGGTGAATCACGAGGTCAGGAGATTGAGACCATCTCGGCCAACATGGTGAAACCCCGTCTCTACTAAAATACAAAAAATTAGCTGGGCATGGTGGCGTGTGTCTGTAATCCCAGCTACTTCGGAGGCTGATGCAGGGGAATCGCTTGAACCCGGGAGGCGGAGGTTGCAGTGAGCCAAGATAGCACCATTGTACTCCAGCCTGGCAACAGAGCAAGACTCTTTCTGAAAAAAAAAAAAAAAAAAAGAGTGTTCCAGGCAGAGGGCACAGCCTGTGCAAAGGCCTTGAGGCAGGACCACGCTGGTGAGTGGGAGGCACAGAGAGGAGGCTCCTGTGGCTGGAGCAGAGAAGGGGAGGAGGGAGGAGGGGAGGAGGGAGGAGGGAGGAGGGGAGGGGGGAGGAGGGGAGTTTTCGGGGCTGCACCACACAGGCACTGGGGGCGGGGGGTGCACTTTGTCTTTTTTTTTTGAGACAGAGTTTCACTCTTGTTGCCCAGGCTGGAGTGCAATGGTGGGATCTCAGCTCACCGCAACCTCTGCCTCCTGGGTTCAAGCAATTCTCCTGCCTCCACCTCCCGAGTAGCTAGGATTACAGGCATGCGCCACCACACCCAGCTAATTTTGTATTTTTAGTAGAGACAGGGTTTCTCCATGTCCGTCAGGCTGTTCTCAAACTCCCAAACTCAGGTGATCCACCTGCCTTGGCCTCCCAAAGTGCTGGGATGACAGGTGTGAGCCACTGTGCTCGGCCCGGGACTTTGTCTTTTACTCGGGGTGAAGGATTTATCAGAGCAAAGGGCAAGGGTAATCATTAATCACCCCCCACCCTGTGTCGGTGATCACACGGGGATGGCAGACGGGGCTCTCAGAATCTGCCGATCACTGGCCCAGCTGGTTTGAAGAATGTGGTCTGGTCATGGCCCTGAGGGAGGAGAGAGGGTGCCAGGCTCGCTCTGCACCTGGCATGGTCCCTCACTTTCACTGGCGGGGAGCAGCAAAACTGGCTCTGGCCTGCCCAGGTCAGCACACCCAGGGAGCACAGGTGGGGAGGAGGACACACTTGTCTTACCAGGTGGAAATGTGACCTTTAGCCCCTCAGGCATTTTATTTTATTTTTATTTTGTATTTTTTAAATTTTATGTTTGAGACGGAGCCTCGCTCTGTCACCCAGGCTGGAGTGCAATAGTGCAATCTTGGCTCACTGCAACCTCTGCCTCCCGGGTTCAAGTGATTCTTCCACCTCAGCCTCCCCAGTAGCTGGGATTACAGGCGCGCACCACCACGCCCAGCTAATTTTTGTATTTTTAGTAGAGACAGGGTTTTGCCATGTTGGCCAGGCTGGTCTTGAACTCCTGACCTCAGGTGATCCTCCTGCCTCGGCCTTCCGAAGTGTTAGGATTACAGGCGTGAGCCACTGTGCCCAGCTCTTTTTATTTATTTACTTTTATTTTTATTTTCTGAGATGGAGTCTCTCTCTGTCCCCCAGGCTGGAGTGCAGTGGCACGATCTCAGCTCACTGCAACCTCCGCCTCCCGGGTTCACGCCACTCTCCTGCCTCAGCCTCCCAAGTAGCAGGGATTACAGGCATGCGCCACCATGACCTGCTTTTTGTATTTTCAGTAAAGACCGGGTTTCACCATGTTGGCCAGGATGGTCTCAATCTCCTGACCTCGTGATCCACCCGCCTCGGCCTCCCAAAGTGCTGGGATTACAGGCGTGAGCCACCGCACCCGGCCTTTATTTTTTCAAATAGATAGGGGGTTTCACTCTGTTACCCAGGCTGGAGTGCAACAATGCAATCACAGTTCACTGCAGCCTCGACCTCCTGGGCTCAAGCAATTCTCCTGCCTTAGCTTTGCAAAGTGTTGGGATTATAGGCATGAGCCACCACAGCTGGCCTAAAGGGGTCTTTAAACAAATGGAGGCCGGGCTCGGTGGCTCATGCCTGTAATCCCAGCACTTTGGGAGGCCGAGGCAAGCGGATCCCCTGAGGTCAGGAGTTAGAGACCAGCCTGGCCAAATGGTGAAACCCTGTCTCTACTAAAAATATACAATTAGCCAGGCGTGGTGGCTGTTGCCTGTAATCCTGGCTATTCAGGAGGCTGAGGCAGGAGAATTGCTTGAACCCGGGAGGTGGAGGTTGCAGTGAGCTGAGATTGCGCCATTGCACTGCAGCCTGGGTGACAAGAGCAAAACTCCATCTCAAACAATAAATAAAAATAAAAATAAATAAAAGAAGGAAAGAGTGGCAGCCAGGTGCAGTGTCTGACACCTGTAATCCAGCGCTTTAGGAGGCTGAGACAGGAGATTCGCTTAAGGCCAGGTATTCAAGCCCAGCCTTGGCAACATAGAGAGACACCATCTCTACAAAAAAGAAAAGAAAAGAAAAATTAGCCACACATTGTGGTATGCACCTGTAGTCCTAGCTACACCAGAGGCTGAGGCAGGAGGATCACTGGAGCCCAGGAGGTTGAGGCTGCAGTGGGCTGTGAATGCGCCGTTGCAATCCAGCCTGGGAGACACAGTCAGACCCCGGCTCTAAAAAAATAAAAATAACAAAGATAACAAAACGTTCGCTTGTCGGCTTTAAAGCTAAAGCGCAAATCTGGAGACTGTTTATTGCCGATGGTTACGTGGTTCTCACTGGAAACAATGTTGTCATTTTCAAATCACGCTGGGGTCCTCTCGCCCACGCAGGAATGGCGTGCTCCTGGCGGTGGGGGCTGTGGGACACCTGGTGCGCGTTTCTCCCAGCGCCTCCGTGTTTCTCCCTGGCCGCAGGCACAGCCTGGGGTCCCTGTTGAGGAAACTCTCCGAGTGTCAGCTCCCCTGGCCGGTTGCGCAGCCCCTAGGGTAACTGTCTGAGATCCAGGCGCCGGGGCAGCCCAGGGGGTCCGTGGCCGGGAGAGACCTTGAAACCTCCATTCCCTGGGACACCCCAAACCACAGCCGGGGAGAAGGGACAGCCTTACAGACTGACAGGGGAGGGAGGGCAGTGGGGTGCCGGCAGGCACCGACAGTAGCCTCATGAGCCAGTGCTGTCACGAGGAGGCCTGCGAGAGGGCCCCGCGTCCAATGGGAAGCGAGTGCCCACGCGGAAGTGGGCTCAGGGCACCTGGGGCCACAAGCCACGAGGCGCGCCCGGAGTCCCTTCATGTCCCGTCCTGCCGCCAGGGGGCACTGCGGCCCCCACTCATCCCTGCAGCACCCGCGGCCCTTGGCTGGGGAGCCCCTGGGACCCCCGCCGGCAGCGCGTGCTGCAGACATCAATCACAGAAGGCACCACGTCACTGAAGCGCCAGGCCTGGGCCGTCCCAGGCTCCGCTGGGTCCCTGGTATGCCGTCGGTGCTCAATAAGCACTTGCTGCAGAAATGTGTGAAGGAAAAAGGGGGCTAGGGAAGGGCTCCAGGAAAGTGTAACTCCCATGTCAGAGCTGGGAGGGGCTTCGAGGGCATCACTCACTGAGCGGGAAACTGAGGCTGGAGAGGGGCTGCACCTGGCCTGGGGTCATCTGCAAGATCAGGGGCCGTGTCCACCAATGTCCTGCACCCCTTGCCGACTCCCTCTGCCTCGGCCGCCTCCTTGCCCTTCACCCTCTCTGGTTGCTCCCTGCCTGGTGGGGGTAGCTTGTCCGTGCCCAGTGGACAGCGGGGACCCATGGACCCCAGGCACCCCAGGCCCCAGGGAGAAATGCAACCACTGGTCCCACACAGAGTGGGTTGTCCCGGGTGGCAGCATGAGCCATGCATCAGGCGTCAGAGGCAGAGGGTTGGCACCCCACGGAGGAGGGTTTGCTGAGCGACCTCGTGACACCCCCTAGTACACACACAGCCCGTGTCGGCCCTCCTGGTTGCAGAAGAACATAGCGGGCTGGCAGCTGGCAGACAGCAGCGGCTCTCACCTGCCTCCTCACCTGGGGAGGGGTTCCCAGGGTGGGCCTGAGAAAGTATGTGGCAGTTGGGGGAGGCTCAGGACCTACCAAAGCCCCATTCATTCCCCACCTGCTCCTATCCTCCTCTATTCCCTGCCCTCACCTCACACAGTGTCAGACGTGCAGGGAGGAGGTGAGGCTGGACCAGGAGGAGGGGTGGGGTGCGTGTGAACATGCGTGCCTACCCATGAGCAAGGTCGAGACGGGGTTCTACCAGCGTGTCCCTGAGTCTCTGTGACCGAGTGCATGTGACTGGGGTGCTTAAAAAAAAAAAAAGTGCTCTGCAGCCATAAAAAAGGATGAGTTCATGTCCTTTGCAGGGACATGGATGAAGCTAGAAGCCATCATTCTCAGCAAACTCACACAGGAACAGAAAACCAAACACCACTTGTTCTCACTCACAAGTGGGAGTTGAACAATGAGAACACATGGACACAGGGAGGGGAACATCACACACCGGGTCCTTTGTGGGGTGGGGGCCGAGGGGAGGGAGAGCATTAGCACAAATACCTAATGCATGTGGGGCTTAAAACCTAGATGATGGGTTGATGGGTGCCACAAACCACCATGGCACGTGTATACTAATGTAATAAACCTGCACATTCTGTACACACCCAGAACTTAAAGTAAAATTTTTTTTTAAAAAGTGCTTGTAAAAATTAAAGAGGAATAAAAGGGGGGTGAACAGCCAGTACGATAGTGCATGCCTGAAATTCCAGTGCTTTGGGAGGCCGAGGCAGGAGGATCGTTTGAGGCCAGTAGTTGGAGAGCAGTGTGGGCAACGTAGCAAGACCCCATCTCTACAAAAAATTTAAAAGTTAGCCGGGCATGGTGATTCACACCTGGAGTTCCAGCTGCTGTGGAGGCTGAGGTGGGAGGATCGCTTGAGCCCAGGAATTTGAGGCTGCAGTGAGCCATGATTGCACCACCGCACTTCAGCCTAGGTGACAGAGCAAGGGTCTACCTCAGAAAAAAAAAAAAAGGAGGAGCAAGCACGTGTTGATGGGTGGAAATCCAGCCAGAAATGCTGAGGCTGAAAAGATTGTCTCCGAGTTTCCTGGTAGCCAGGGGAAAAGGGGAAATTGGTACGTTGGTACGTTACAGTGCCTGGTTAGGCATGTCTTCTAAGGGGCATGCCTGTTTGTGACAGTGTCTCTGCCCTTCACACATGAGGGTGTGTGTGAGTAGCAGAGAGCAGAGACAGCACAGTGTCTGGGAAGTAAACAGATGATCTTCTGGGTACCCAGGGCAGCAGGGTGTCATGCTCGTTCATGACAGTGTCTCCAAGCAAGTGTGACGCGCGCAAAGAGAAAGAAAGCAGCGTTAAACTTTCTGAGTATAAATAGCTATGAGCTTCCTGGCAGCCAAGGAGAGAGGCGAAATAAAAGTCAGAGTCTCCTTAGTGCCTCCTCACCAGTGCCTGCCGGCTTGTGACAGTGGCTTTGACTGCATGCAGAGGTGTCTTAAGCGTGTGTGGGAGGGAGTCACATAGCTGCACAGGTGGGACGTATTTCAGAGCTGCCTGGAAGCCAGGGTGAGAGGGGAAATACGTTGACGTTGAGGCTGGTCAGATGTATCTTTCTTGCTGTGTGTGGCCGGGGCTCCTGCAGGGGCTCAGCCAGGACAGCGCCGGGCAGTCAGGCGTATGCGGCTGTCCTCCGCAGGGCTCCAGGGCCGGGCGTAGCCGGCGTGGGGCAGCAGCAGCTGGTCCTGTGTGCCGTCGGGGCTGACAAGACGCTGGACAGCCATCAGGTAGTCCCGGTGGGGTGCCAGCATCGGGCAGGGGCAGTGGCCTGGCGCCCACACGTACTCGCGTGCCCGCAGTGGCGAGCGGTTCTTGTAGACGAGCTGGATGCGCACCTCATAGCGGGTCTCCTGGGCCTGGTGGTGGTGGCCCAGCACTCGGGCCTGGAACACTGTTGAGGGGACGTGCTAAGCTGGCTGGCTGCTCAACTCTGCGCAAATCTCTACGCCCCCTCCCTTGCCAGAAGAGGGACTGAGGGTCAGGTGGGACCTCGGGATCTATAGGGACTAGAGTCAGGATCACGTCAGGGATCAATGAGGGATTAGGGTCAAGAGGCAAATTAGGATCAGAAGAAGGGGTCAAGGGTAAAGTCAGATTAGGGTCAGAGGTCAGGAGGAGGCCAGGTTAGTAGGGGCTAAGTCAGGGTAGAGGTCGGGGGTCTCACCAAAGTCACTGCCGCAATAGTGGAGTAGTCGGTGGGCGCGGCCGCGGGTGTCAGGGCAGGGTGGGCAGGGGTCTGTGGGATGGGCGGTGCTGTGAGGGGCACAGGCCTCAGTCCCCACTCATCCCCCACCCTGGCTGTCCCCACCTCACCTGGGGCCAGCGTTGGGGTCTGTGCAGGGGTGACAGCAGGGGCTGCGGGGGGCTGAGGCTCCACCCCCCGGGGCTGAGGCTGCCTCAGGGGCCAGCCCAGGGCCTGCACACGAGCCTGGAAGGGGCTGTAGCGCTCCCGAGGGAGCCAGAACTCAAACTCGATGCCAGGGTTGGGCTCCTGCAGGAGGACCTGGAGCAGGGGAGGGGACACAGGGAGCTTCACAGGAGGCTGGGGTTGCCTCCTGCCTCTGACCCTACGACCCCAGCCTCCCCACTTTGATCCTGTCTGCCCCCAGCCTCCCTCCTCTGATGCTCTGTCCCTAGCTGATCCCCTCTGACCCTGTCCCCACCCTCCCCCCTCTGATGCTCTGTCCCAGCCTCTCCCCTCTGACCCCAGACTCCCCCTTCTGGCCCCAGTCACCTCCACTCCTACCCTCTGTCCCCAGCCTCTCCCCTCTGTCCCCAGCCGACCCCCTCTGACCCTGTTGGAGGCCCAGTGGCACCTGTAGGAGCAGGTCATGGGAGGTGGGCCCGGCTGCTTGCAATGTCTCCTGGGGCCCTGTGTCTCGGGTGTAGACCACATGCGTGCCGGCCGCCTCGTAGGTCCCTGGTGGGCTGACCACCCAGTGCCCATTAAGCACGTAGCGCCCATCGCCCCCCATCAGTGCTGCAAGGGAACAGTCAGCCCTCAGGAACCTGTCGTCTCGTCTCCCAGACCCTGGGGTCCCCTCCTCAGGCCTCAGTCTCCCCATCTGTAAACAGGGACAACCGCCCCCGGGTGCCCAGCCGGGTGCCTCTCGCCTCACATCCTAGGATACCCAGGTGGTTGCGGCTCCTGTGTTCCACGCGGATGTGTCTGGCGCCCTCGGGGATCAGGGTCACGTTCCAGTACCCAGCGAAGGCACCTGGGTGGGAGGGTAGGAGGGTGTTGGGGTGCCAGTGGGGGTGTATTTGAGCGATGACTTGAGGATTTAATGAGCTACTGCGGGTAAGACAGCTAGCCAGGGTCCTGGGAACCGGAAAACCCTCCGTAAACGTTTGGAGTTACAATTACTATTGCTTCAGTGTGGCAGGGAAAGGGTTAAAACCCCATCTGTCCTGGGGAAGGGCGGGACAATCTGTCAGTAGCCAATCAGGATGAGGAGAAAGGGGGGCTGGGCCGCACACTGGCCAATCAGCACGGAAATTTGCTTCCGGGCCACGGCTCGTTAAAGGGCCCACTCTGACGTGTGTGCAGGGAGGGCGGGGCAGGTAGTCACCGGCGTCACGAAACACGCGCTGCACGAAAAGGCACGAGTCGTTGGCGCCTCCGCAGCGGCCACAGCGGTCCTCGAGGGCACCCGAGCCCAACAACCCATCACAGCCGGCGCTCTAAAGGGTGAAGGACAGGCGCGGCGTCACTGACGCTGGGAGGGGCAGGACCTGGGGAAAGGGCAGTGCCTGGGAGCAAGAGGACGAGGCCTGGAGGGAAGATGGGGGTGGAGCCTAGGGAGGAGCAGGACCTGGCGGGAGGAGGATGGGCTTGGCGCCCGGGAGTGGGTGCCTAAGGGGGGCTGGGGGCAGGGCCTGGAAGGGGAGGGGGAAGGCGGTGGAGCCTAGGGAGGGGGTGGAGGCTAATGGGAGGAGGGCGGAGGTGGAGCCTAGGATGGGTGGGGCCTGAGTGGGAGGTGGGCGGGGCTCGGGCGGGGCCTGACGAGTCCTTACAAGGCAGCGGCCAGCCACGCAGACCCCCTGGGCACCCGGGCTGCAGGCGGTGCCGTCCAGGACGCGGCCGAAGCTGTGGTAGAAGGCGTGCCCCTCAGCCAGGCAGTTGAGGTCGCACTGGTTGGGCGCTGAGGGCAGGAGGAGTCGGTGGGCCGGGGACCCCTGTTCGAGCTCCAGTCCCCCTCTACCAAGCTTCATCAGGCAACCATCACTTTGGGCAGATGAAGCCCAGAGATTTGGCCAAAGCCACACATCGAGGCTGAGGCAGAGCCAGGACTGGACCGTAGGTGCTCTGCGTCCAGCAACCTGGGACTCGCAGGCAAGTATCCTGGGGCTGCATTCATTCATTCATTCATTCATTCATTGTCTTTATATTAGGAGTCCTTACATATTATTCATTTTTAACACCATTACTCATTCTTCATTCCACTGAACACCTACTGTTTTCCAGACACTGTTCCAAGCTCTAGGATACAGAAGCAAGAATTCAATCAGTGTGCAGATGGATGGCCTTAAAAAAGGCCAGGTGTGGTGTCTCATGCCTGTAATCCCAGCACATTGGGAGGCTGAGGTGGGCAGATCTCCTGAGGCCAGGAGTTCAAGACCAGCCTGGGCAACATGGCGAGACCCCCCCGTCTCTACCAAAAATACAACAATAAAAATTTAGCCAGGCTTGGTGGTGGGAGCCTGTAATCCCAGCTACTCCGGAGGCTGAGGCAGGAGAATCGCTTGAACCAGGGAGGTGGAGGCTGTAGTGAGCCAAGATCATGCCACTGCACTCCAGCCTGGGTGACAGAGCGAGACTCCATCTCAAAAAAAAAAAAAAAAAAAAAAAAAGAAGATCTGAGCATCTGGCCCAGGCACCAGCAAGTACCCAATGAAGTGTTTGTCCAGTACTGACTGGACTGAGTCCCGCACAACTGAGCTGTGTCGCTGGTCCTCCCTGGGCCTCAGTTTCCCCTTCTGCCTGGAAGTGGGGCAAAATGAGCTGTCTGATCAAACACAAAGGCCGACAGCCCTGATCTCCACTCCTCCTTCTCCAGCTCCTTCTGGCTCCCATTTCCCTGAGCCTGGCTGGTGGACCCTGCCTGGAACGGATCCTGGGCTGGCCCTAGTGGGCCTCTGCGGGGGTGGGATCACAGCAGGTTTCCTCCAATTCTCAGATTGATGGAAGGAAGGAAGGGAGGGAGGGAGGGAGGGAGGGAGGAAGGAAGGGAAGGGAGAAAGGGAAGGAAGGGAAGGAAGAAAGGGAAGGAAGGAAGGAAATGAGGTTGATGGATGGCACTTTGTCCATTCTAGGCTTTTCTTATATCTGTGTCTGCCTTCCCCATGGCGTGTGAAGCTGCCTGTCTCCCTGAAATCTGGAGGCGCACTGACCCGGGCACGTAGTTATATAACTCGCTATTTTCAGCTCAATGCAGCAACATTTCCTGCTACTGGGATAAGTTTGAGAAGTGTTGGCCTCTGGATACAGCTCTAAGTCAATCCTTAGTTGGGTGTTCAGCCCTGTGCAGAATGAACCCTGCTTCCCTCTGCCCCTGTTTCACGCCTAACATATGCTGTTTCTGTTTCACTAACTCCTACATATCCTTCAAAGCCCTAGCACTAATACCCTCTTCTCTTTGCAACCCTCCAAGACCCTCTCCCTGAGACTAATGAGTTGTTCGCTCTGGACCAATTCTGACCACAGGAGACCAGACTACTCACCCCCATGGAAGGGCACCCACTGGTAGGTCTTCTGGGTGCCCAGGACAGGGCGGCCATTGTACAGGGCACACTGTAGGTCTCGGAAGGGCACAGCCCCTGGGGGGCAGTCCTAGGGACAGAGATAGGTGAGCCAGAGGCTGGGACAACCCCAAGGGGCAGGTGGTGGGCTTCAGGCAGTCTGGGGTGGGAGAGTGGTCTGGGAGGTGGGCAGGGCTTACTGGCAACTGGCAGAGGCGGTACTCATGGGAGTCTCCCCAGCACGGTTCTTCCCCAGGAAGCCTGAAGGGAGACAGAGTGTGGCGAGAACCCCCAGGGACCCCCTCCCAGGGCTGGCCTTCCACCCTCCGCCCCCGCCAACCCCACCCGCATTCCAGCGGGATCAGGGGGATTAAAGGGCACAGCATGTGTGGGCAGGCCGAGGGTGCGGCCAGGGGCCGGGCTGGGCCGGCGGGGGAGGAGGGGCAGGGACCCCCTCCGGGCCCCGCTCACCGGAGGCAGCGCCGGCTGCGCACAGAGACGCCACGCCCGCAGGAGCTGGAGCAGCGGGTCCAGGACACCCACGGGGTCCACTCGCCCGGACCCTACTTGGGGAGACAGAGGCACGGTCAGCCTTGTAGGGGGACGCTGGTGACCCCACACTGCTGACTGGGTCCCCATTCCCACTCGCCACCCCCTGGGCTCATGCCCCCCCTTACCTGAGCACTGACCCCCAAACCACAGTTCAGCAGGGCCCACAGGAAGAGCAGGAGGTTCTGGAAGAGGTGGGGCCTGGGGAACAGAGGGGCCGAGTCCATAGAGCCACCGCCAGAGACACAGGGTTGTGTCCCGGCTCTGCCCTGACTGGCTGTGTGATCTTGGAAAGTAACTAAACCTCTCTGAGCCCTACCTCTCGTCTCTGAAAAACGGGGTAATAGAGCCTCCCTTACAGGAAAGTTGAGGGGTCCTGTGGATCAGGTAAAGAAGACAGGAGACGTGGAGCCCGGTATGGAGAGGAAGAACTCAGAATGTCATCTGCAATTATTATTGTTGTTAGTTAGTTTGTTTTTGAGACGGAGTCTCGCTCTGTCGCCCAGGCTGGAGTGCAGGGGTGCGATCTCGGCTCACTGCAACCCTCCCCGGTTCAAGTAATTCTCCTGCCTCAGCATCCCGAGAAGCTAGGATTACAGGTGCCTGCCACCACGCCGGACTAATTTTTGCCGTTTTAGTGGAGACAGGGTTTCACCATCTTGGCCAGGTTGGTCTCAACCTTCTGACCTGAAGTGATCCACCTGCTTTGGCCTCCCAAAGTGCTAGGATTATAGGCATGAGCCACTGCACCCAGCCTACAATATTATTGATATGTGTATTGTGCTATAATGCAGACAGTAGGTGCTTAATCGATGCTTGATGATTGGAGGGATCATTCAAAAATAGTACACAGGTGCCTCCTAGGGCTGGGGCCCCCTCCCCGCCCTCCCCACCATCACTGCTTCTACCTTTCCGTGTGGCCTGAGGCCAGCCACTCCACTCTCCCAGGCCTCAGTTTCCCCATCTGTGCAGTGGGGGCCAAGTGGACTCAGTCCATGATTCTGTGACACCCTGCGGAAGGTGCGGCCGGCAGGGGCTGGATCAGGAGTTGGGTCCCTAGAAGAGGCCCTCAGCTGCACCCCGGCCCCAGGGCTCCCTCAGCTCCCAGACAGCAGGGAGTCCCCCGGATTGGGGATGGGACAGGGAGGGGGTGACCTGGCCCAGGTCCGTTCGGTGCCTCATGGCCTCATCGGCGGAGGGGGTGGGACTGAGCTCCGGGGCAGCCCGTGGAGGGAAGGGGCCACTGCTGAGGCTGGAGCAGGGAAGGGGAGGAGGCTGACTGCCTCTCTGGGCCTTAGTTTCTCCATCCTGTCAGGGCAGGGATGAAGTCACTTGCCATCCACACCCTCCTCATGACCCCAGCCTGCAGGGGGAAAGAGGGGGGAAGGGAAGCAGCCGCCAAGTGAGCCAGGGCGTCCTGCTGCCAGCAGAGCCTGAAGGCAGGTGGGTGAGCCCCGGCCCGGGCACCAGCTGGGGAAGAGGCTGGGTCCCACCTGGACCCTGTTTCCCTGGCTCCAGCATTTGGACTTCTGAGGCACCAAGGGTCTAGGGTCCTGGGTATCTCTAGGTACTGAGACAGCTGTGTGGTCTGCTGCATCCGTGCCCCTCTCTGAGCCTAGAGCCTGGGCTGGCCCAGGAAGCAGGAAGAAGTCTGCACCAGAAACTTAAAACAAGGGGAGGGGGGCCAGGTGCGGTGGCTCACGCCTGTAATCCCAGCACTTTGGGAGGCCAAGACAGGCGGATCACCTGAGGTCAGAAGTTTGGGACCAGCCTGACCAACATGGTAAAACCCCATCTGTACTAAAACACAAAAATTAGCCCGGTGTGGTGGTGCACACCTGTAATCCCAGCTACTTGGGAGGCTAAGGCAGGAGAATCGCTTGAACCCAGGAGGCGGAGGTTGCAGTGAGCCGAGATGGGGCCAATGCACTCCAGCCTGGGCGACATAGTGAGACTCAGTCTCAAAAACAACCAACCAACCAAAAAAAACAGGGGGAGGGGGCTTGACCTTCTGACCACCCCCACCGGACTCTAAGCCTGGTTTGAGGAGTGGGGGTCTAGGTGGTGAAAAGTGGGGGGCTACAAGGACCACCCTACCCCCTCCTCAATGGGCCCTGCCCAGAATCAAGGCTCTCCCCTCCCCGTGTGGGCTGCAGCCCGGACTGGCGGAGGGATCTCAAGGCAAGCCGCACCTCTGGGCCTCAGTTTCCCCCGGAGAAAGTGGGAGGATAGGCAGATGGACTTACCGGCTGCGCGGAGCCCAGGCAGCGCGTCCCGGCTCCCTGAGCGGCCCCAGGGCGAGCGGAAGCGGCGGGGCCCAAGGTGCTGGGCGGGGTGGGGAGCCTGGGACGGTCCCTCCCACCGCGGCCTCCGCAGGCGCGCCCAGGCCCGGGTCAGGAGGGGCGGCGGCCCCGGGCGCCCTCGCGCGGCGGGCGCGGATCTGCGGCAGGGGACTGCCCGGCGGACGCGAGCGCAGGGGTCCCGGAGCCGCAGGCTGGTGTCGGGCGCCCGGGTCCGGGTGACCTTGGCAGGCTCGGGCGGGGGCGCGGCGCGGGGACTGACCGCCCTCCTCTGCCCCGGGGCTGCTATTCCGGGCGCCGCGCTCAGGGCCCGGGAATGTGCGCGAACCGAGGTCACCCCGCCCTGGGTCTGGGAGTCCCGGGCGCTGCCCCTACCCCGCCGACGCCCGGATTGCGTCCCACCGGCGTCCCCATCCCCGGTCACAGCCCCCTCCCCTGGTCCTGCCCCTCACCCCTCTCGCGGGGGGTCGACCTGCTCGTGGATGGGGACCCTGGCGCGCCTGGGCTCCCATCCGGGGGTTCCCCGACCCAGGTCCCGGTCACCCCCAGCGCAGGGCCCCAGCGCACTGGGGAGAGGCTCGGCCCCGTGGGCCGCGCGCGGGGGGCGGAGAGACCCTCCCAGCTGGCGCATTCCCGGGCGCTGCTGTCACCAGGGGACGCGCCCCACCCCGCCTCCCGCCCTCCCTGCCGGGCCCCGGGGCTGCCAGCGGGGCTTCAGAGCCAGACCCGGGTCCAGGCGGTCCCTCTCCCTCACAGCCGCGGCCACACCCTCTCCGGCCTCAGTTTCCCCATCCCAGCAGTGGGCCCGGCAGGGATCTCCACCGCGAACCTTCCATCTGGAATCCGGCTCTGCGCGGACCGGCAACGCGAGGGGGCACCCCGGGACTCCCCCCACCCCACCCTTTCCCGCCGGGCGTCTGTGAGCCGCCCCGTGCCCACCCACGCAGGGATGAGACCAGGCCCTGGGTTCTGGGCTCCACCAGTTTCTGGTGTCGCCCCACGGCGCCCCCTGGCGGGCGGGCTGAGGGACTGGGGCACTAAAGGAGGGGGTGGAGGGACTGTCCTGCTCCCTGGGCTCCACCCAGGCTCGGTCTGAGCACCCCCTCCTCCAGGAAGCCCACCCTGCTGTCCCACAGCGCTGACCACAGGGAGAGAGGTTTGCTGGGGACATACAGGGTGTTGCTGGTCCAACTCAGTCTGCCCTCCAGCCTGTAGCATGTCAGCAGAGCCACCCATATGCCATTTATTGAGCACCTACTGTGTGCACAGCTGTGAACAACCCAGCCAGTCCCAGGCCAGCGGGTAAGGCAGCCCCCTGGAATGTATGACCCCCCACCTTCTGACCTGGACTATTGGAGAAAATAGCCCAGGCCCACCACTGATGGCCCCAGGTTGGGGGGTGGTGGTTGCGGGGATGTCAAGAAGGCCCTCACTGAAGGGGTCAAGAGAGAAGGGCAGGCCGGGCGCGGCGCCTCATGCCTGGAATCCCAGCACTGTGGGAGGCCGAGGCAGGCGGATCACCTGAGGTCAGGAGTTTGAAGCCAGCTTGGACAACATGGTGAAACCCAGTATCTACTAAAAATATAAAACTTAGCCAGGCATGGCGGTGAGTGCCTGTAATCCCAGCTACTCGGAAGACTGAGGCACGAGAATCGCTTAAACCCGGGAGGCAGAGGTGGCAGTGAGCCGAGATCACGCCACTGCACTCCAGCCTGGGAGACAGGCGAGACTCCGTCTCAAAAAAAAAAAAAAAAAAAAAAAAGGAAAGAAAGAAAGAAAGAAGTCAGCTCAGGACATGTGTCAATGTGTCATTAGGACAATTGTATCCTCCTCAGATGTGCCCCATTCCCAGATGTCCAGTCCACAGAGCTCCACTGGGAGTGCAGACAGCAGGCCCTGTGCCCCGCAGGGAAGGTATACAGAAAGCACAGCGCCCACAGGGAGCACACACAGCAGGCATTATGCTCTGCAGGAAGGGTATACAGCAGGTGCTGCATCTTGTAGAAATGCATAGAGTAGACTCTGCCCTGCAAAGGAGTGTATACAGTAGATATGGCACCTTCAGAGGAGTGCATACAGCAGTCACTGCATCCTGTAGAGAGTATATACAGCAGGTGCTGCATCCTGCAAGGAAGGTATACAGCAGGTGCTGCATCCTGCAAGGAAGGTATACATAAGGCGCTGTCTCCTGCAGGGAGCGCATACAGTAGGCACTGAGTTCTATGGAAAGTGTACCCCGCAGCCCCTGTTCCCTCCTGGGAGTGCATACCGCAGCCACTGCACCCTGCGTGGGGGCTCTAGAGCTGGCAAGATTGGCAGAGGTGGTGGTGAAGATGTGGAGGGCTGCCCCCCACCCCCAGTTCTTGTCCCCTACCGTCTCCCACCTCTGTCCTCTGGATGTCCCTAGGAGGAGGCTGGGAGCTCAGCCTAAGACACCCGGTGTAGGTGGAGGGGGTGGCTGCTGAGGCTCAGAGGCTCCTGGGGTCCCAGTTGGGCGGGGTCCCAGCTTACTACATTCCCCTGCCCTTGCCTGGACCCTGACCCAGGAATCAGCCGAGTCCCCCTACTCTGAATTTCAGCCTGGACCCCCTCCTTGAGGCAGCGTCAGGGCTAGAGGGGAGACTGAGACGCGGGTCCCGGCGGATGTGGATCAATTAGGTTCCATTTCCTTCATGGTTGTATGGCCTTGAGGCTTAAGGAATGCCGCGATCTGCTGTGTGACTGGGCTACAGTGAACAGTATGGTACCCCACACTTCAAACTGTGTTCACAGGGTAGATTTCATGGTAAGGGTTCTTACCATAAAAGAACAAAAACAGTGGGACACAAGGGACCTCGGGAAGTGACAGGTAGGCCTGTCATCTTGAGTGTGGTGACTGCATATGTGCAAACTCATCAAATTGCAGACACTGGGCTGGGCACGGTGGCTCACGCCTGTAATCCCAGCACTTTGGGGATCCAAGGCCAGTGGATCACCTGAGGTCAGGAGTTCGAGAGCAGCCTGACCAGCAAGGTGAAACCCCGTCTCTACTAAAAATGCAAAACCTAGGACACGGTGGTCCCAGGATACCTCAACCTCCTGCGTGGACTGGGTGGGGCCTCCCCATCCCTGCCCCACAGACCCCTGGACCCCCCGGTCCCTGGGGCTGTCCGTCTGTTCCTGGGCACCAGCAGGGGCCACGCAGAGTTGGGACCCTCCCCGGCTGGAGTCACCCCATGGGACTCAGGGCCCTGGACCCTCCTTGGCCGCTGCTCGCCCGGTCCTCATTCTGTGCCGGTTTCTTGTGCACGCTCGGAATCTGTTCCCTGCAGGCACCCAGTGCCCCGGGCACCGTCCAGAATTCCTGGAAGAGACCTCTTGCTTTCTTACCCCACTGCCCAGGCTCCAGGCCTGTGACATGGCCTCCCCAGGGTGCCCCTTCCCCTCCACCTTCACGTGCTGAAAACCACCTGTTCTGTCACTTTCAGGCGACGTGGATCAGGTGGACTGGCCCACCTCCTCCATTGTGTATGACGTAACCCATGCTTGGCCAAACAGATAATTCCATCTCCTAGAGACGGGGATTGGCTGGGGGATGACCATGTGACCCAAGTGGGCCAATGAGAGCCTGCCCTGGGACTTGAACTGGGCCATTAGAGGAAAAGGTGGTTTCCCGTGGCTGGGGTGGGCTCCAGGGATGGCGTGAGTTGAGGTAGGCTGGACTTTCTTGACTGCTCGAAGAGATGCACTGTCTCAAGCAGATGCTGACAGACGGCAGCAAATGGAAGGGGCCAGATTTCTTTTTTTTCTTTTTATCTTTCTGTCCTTTTCTTTCTTTTTTTACTTTTTTTTGAGACAGGGTCTTGCTCTGTCGCTCAGGCTGGGGTGCAGTGGTGCAATCACAGCTCACTGCAGCCTTGACCTCCTGGGCTCAAGCGATCCTCCCACCTCAGCCTCCCATGTAGCTGGGACTACAGATGCATGCCATCACATCTGGCTAATTTTTTTGATCTTTAGTAGTGACAGGATCTTGCTATGTTGTCCCGACCCAGGCTGGTCTCAAACTCCTGGGCTCAAGAGATGCTCCTACCTCAGCCTTCCAAGTAGCTGGGACTACAGACATGCATCACCATGCCTGGCTAATTTTTATATTTTTTGTAGAGTTGGGGGTCTCCCCCTGTTGCCCAGGCTGGTCTCGAACTCCTGAACTCAAGTGATTCTCTTGCCTCAGCCTCCCACACTGCTGAGATTGCAGGCATGTGCCACCCACCGTGCCCAGCCCAAAAGTCTAGATTTCTGAGAAGGTTGTTTGAGTTCCTGGATTGAGCCTCATCTGAAGGCATTCATCCATTTTTTTTCACTTTAGCAATTTTTAGTTTCTTACTTTTTTTTTTTTTTTTTGCCAGGGTCTCGCTCTGTCATCCAGGCTGTACTGCAGTGGTGCGATCTTGGCTAACTGCAACCTCTGCTTCCCAGGCTCAGGCAATCCTCTGGGATCAGCCTCCCAAGTAGCTCGGACTACAGGTGAGTGCCATTATACCCAGCTAATTTTTGTATTTTTAGTAGAGGTGGAGTTTTGCCACGTTGCCCAGGCTGGTCTCAAACTCCTGAGTTCAAGTGATCCTCCCACCTTGGCCTCCCAAAATGCTGGGATTACAGGTATGAGCCACTGTTCCCAACCTTATTTTAGAATTTTTAAAAAATTTTTATTATTATAGAGACAAGGTTTCAGGAACGAAACTCCGTCTCAAAAAAAAAAAAGGTGATAACAATTACTATTTCATGATTATTGACTAAATTCCAAATGTTATTTTATTTGGATTTGGATTTCACCAGGCTTGTTTTTTTGTTTTTTTTTTTTTTTTCAGATGGAGTCTTGCTCTGTCTCCCAGGCTAGAGTGCAGTGGCGTGATCTCGGCTCACTGCAAGCTCTGCCTCCTGGGTTCACGCCATTCTCCTGACTCAGCCTCCCAAGTAGCTGGGATTACAGGTGTGTGCCACCACGCCTGGCTAAATTTTTGTATTTTCAGTAGAGACAGGGTTTCACTGTGTTAGCCAGGATGGTCTCGATCTCCTGACATCATGATCCACCCACCTCGGCCTCCCAAAGTGCTGGGATTACAGGCGCGAGCCACTGCACCCAGCCTTTTTTTTTTTTTTTTAAACAAATGTCCTTTTTCTGTTCCTGGATTCCATAAGACATTGAACTATTTGTCTCATAATTAGTAAAAAGACCCATGCAGATTAAAAATGGATTATTTCTGTGGTAATCGGGTGGGTTCTGATGCCCATGCAGCACCTTGAACACGGCTGGAGTTGATGAGTATCCCTGATGGGAAGTCGATGCTGCGTCCATGGAGAGAAGGGGCACGGGGTTGAGTGTCCACCCAGCACCTAATGGAGATACAGACCCTCTCCCTGCCACTGGCGCTCCCTGTCAGGTGGGACAGACACCAGCAAGCTAGCAAGGAAACCATCATTCTGGGTTGTGGTGGAACTGGGGAGAAGCAGGCATGGATCACGTCTAGGGCATCTTGGGGCAGGGGCGGCCTCCTGGGCACAGGTGGCCCTTTCCTGCCTGGGCCTAAAAGCTAAGAAGAGGATGCCAGGCAAAGTCTGGGAGGGTGGCAGAGGGAACAGCACATGCAAAGGCCCTGTGGCAGGGTGAGCTTGGTGTGCGTCTGAGGACAAATGGGAAGGCCAGAAGGTTGATGTCTTGGCCTTGTGTCCTCATCTTGGGTGGTCAACTCTGGGGAATGTTGTATTCAGTTCCTCAGAGGGTGCCTGATGAGTGTGGGACTCAGGGTGCCCCGGGGGTACCCAGCTCCCACCCTGCTCCCTGAACCAACTCTCTGCACTAAAGCCTTGCTTCAGGCTCTGCCTTTGGGGGAACCCACACAGATGGGCCAGGAGGGTTGAGTAACCTGCCCCAGCTGCCAGTGCTAAAGCCACCCACCTGGACAATGTCAGTGGAGGAAGTGAAGAGAGTGGGTGAGAGGCCCCAACACTGAACCCCAGGCTCCCAGGAGAAGGAGGAGGTGGCTTAAAGGAGAACTGGAAAAATGCATCCAGAAAGATGGGAAGGGGCCAGGCGCGGTGGCTCACACCTGTAATCCCAGCACTTTGGGAGGCTGAGGTGGGTGGATTACCTGAGGTTGAGAGGTCGAGACCAGCCTGACCAACATGGAGAAATCCGGTCTCTACTAAAAACACAAAATTAGCTGGATGTGGTGGTGCATGACTGTAATCCCAGCTACTCAGAAGGCTGAGGCAGGAAAATCATTTGAACCCGGGAAGCACAGGTTGTGCTGAGCCGAGATTGCGCCATTGCACTCCAGCCTGGGCAACAAGAGCAAAACTCCATCTGAAAAAAAAAAAAAAAAAAGATGGGAAAACATCAGGAGCAGGGGTGTCCCAGAGGACAAGAGAGGACGGTGCTTTTATTATTATTATTTTTTTTTTTAATTTTTTTTTTGAGAGAGAGTCTCGCTCTGTCTCCCAGGCTGGAGTGCAGTGGCACAATCTCGGCTCACTGCAAGCTCCGCCTCCCGGGTTCACGCCATTCTCCTGCCTCAGCCTCCCGAGTAGCTGGGACTACAGCCGCCCGCCACCACACCCGGCTAATTTTTTGTGTTTTTAGTAGAGACGGGGTTTCACAGTGTTAGCCAGGATGGTCTCGATCTCCTTACCTCGTGCTCCACCCGCCGTGGCCTCCCAAAGTGCTGGGATTACAAACCTGAGCCACCACGCCCGGCCACTTTTATTATTAATTATTATTATTATTGTTTTTGAGACAGGGTCCTGCTCTGTCACCCAGGCTGGAGTGCAGTGGTGCCATCACAGCTCACTGCAGCCTCAACCTCCTGGGCTCAAGCAATCCTCCCACCTCAGCCTCCCAAGTAGCTGAGACCACAGGCGTGCACCACTCCACCCGGCTAACTGTTTATTTTTTGTAGAGAAGGGGATCTCGCTGTGTTGCCCAGGCTAGTCTCAAACTCCTGGACTCAAGGGATCCTCCTGCCTCAGCCTTTCGAGTAGAGTAGCTGGGATTACAGGCATGAGCCCTGCATCTGGACAACAGTGCTTTTAGGAGGAAACAGAGTTGAGAGAGGGAAGAACAGGGCTTGGTTTCGGGGCACCAAGTCTGGACGCCCCCTCCTGCGCTCACACTGGGCCATGTCGTGCAGCATAAACCACAATCAGTGGGGGTCTCTGGAGCCCTGTGGTGGTGGTACGTCTCCTGCCTGCTCTGCTCCCAGGGCCATGGGTCCCTGGGCACCTGCGTGGTCAGGCGTCCAGGCACGTGAGACCCACGGGTGCTTGGTAAAGGCCAGGAGACCAGGCAGGGACCAGGGAGCTGGGCTGAGTCACATTGGTTGGTGGCCTCCACCCTGGCGCCTGCCGGAAGGAGGGTGCTGGGGAGGCCTGGGCCGCCGCTGACCTCGGAGGCAGCCCCATGAGCCTCCTGGGCCTCCAGGGAGTCGGGTGCCTGCTGTCTCAGCTGCCACGCCTCCACCTGCAGTAGGTATTTTGAGCAAAGCTTCCCGGCACTTCTCCGCAAAATCCGCTGAGTCTGTGGTTTTCTCAGGTCAGCAAAAGAACAGAGACTGGAGAGGAAATCGAGCCTGTGGTCTGGGATGTGAGAGGTGCTGGGGGTACAGGGGCTGCAGTGCTAGACCACCCAGGCCTCAAGAACCCAGGGCAGGGGGTAGGATGGGAGGGCCAGGTGGCCCCATTGAACCCTGCCCTGCCCCTTTGCAAAACGGCATCCTGTGCTCATCACACAAGCCGTGCCTCAGTTTCCCCATCTGTAAACTGGGGCATTAGTAGGACTATGTGTTTTAGGGGGTAGGGAATCTAATATATTTTTCCCTTTTTTTTTTTTTTGACAGAGTCTCGCTCTGTCGCCCAGGCTGGAGTGCAGTGGCGCGATCTCGGCTCACTGCAAGCTCCGCCTCCCAGGTTCACACCATTCTCCTGCCTCAGCCTCCCGAGTAGCTGGGACTACAGGCACCCGCCACCACACCCGGCTAATTTTTTGTATTTTTAGTAGAGACGGGGTTTCACCATGTTAGCCAGGATGCTCTCGATCTCTTGACCTCATGATCTGCCCGCCTCGGCCTCCCAAAGTGCTGAGATTACAGGTGTGAGCCACCACGCCCGATTAATTTTTGTATTTTTAGTAGAGACAGGGCTTCGCCATGTTGGCCAGGCTGGTCTCGAACTTCTGACCTCAAGTGATCCTCTTGCCTTGACCTCCCAAAGTGCTAGGACTACAGGTGTGAGCCACAGGGCTCGGCCAATTCTTTTTTTTTTTTTTTTTTTTTAACCTTTGAGGTGAAATTCACATAACATAAAATTTACCCTTTTTAAAATGCACAATTCAGCAGCATTTACTGCCCTCACAGTGTTGAACAAGCACCCCCTCTATCTAATTCTAAAACAGTTCATCCTCAAAAGGAGACTTGTACCCAACAGCAGTCCCTCCCCATCCCCTAATCTGTGTAAGAGGCCTTCAGGGAGAGCTGAGGGGTGTCTTTGGGGGCATTCATCCTTAGCCCCCCAAAACTCCCCTGGGGCAAGGCTGTGGTGAGCAGCCAGCCTGGGGCAGGGCGGGGGATGGGGACAGCTGGTTAGGAGGGCTCACATAGGCTGGGGGACAGAGTCCCTGCTCAGAGGGGCACAGGCTGGGACTAGGAGGCCTTTCCCAGCTCCATAGTGGAGTCTCAGCCAGGAAAAGCCGCGGGCGGCCAGGGGAGAGGGAGGGCGAGCCGGTCTCTGTGCAAGGAGCATCAGCTGACAGGCGGGCTGCGAGGCTCTGGGCCAGGAACTCTGATTTCTTTCCCCCTAGGAAGCTCAGACACCCGCCTCAGCACGAGGGCCTTGCCTGGCACTGCTCCCTGGGACTGCTGGGGCTGGCAGCCTGAAAGAGGGACAGACCTATTGTGGGGGGACCAGGAGCTCTGGATTCACTCCCACCTAGACTCCAGGCTCAGCCACATGCAGTCCGCGGTGATCCTGGGCTGGCACCGGACGTTCGGAGCCTCAGTTTCCTCATCTGTAACACAGGGCTAAGAACAGCACCTGCCTCAGGGACAAGTTACTGCCCAGAACGGGCCTGGCTCACTTCCTTCCACCTCCAAAGCTTTCCTTGACCCCTGACTTGGTGAAGTCTTGGACGTTCTTGCAGTCCGTTAAGCAGTGGTCCTTTTACGAGGACAGGGCTGGGTCTGCCTTGGGCTCGCACAGCCTGACACAGGCCCATATGCAGTAAGTGCTTAACAAATGCCTGAACTGATGCCAGGATGGACTGGTGCTATCAGGAAGGAACCGGAAGCCAGGCCTGGTGGCTCACGCCTGTCATCCCAGCATTTTGGGAGGCCGAGGCAGGCGGGTCATTTGAGGTCAGGAGTTTGAGACCAGCCTGACCAACATGGTGAAACCCGTCTCTACTAAAAATACAAATAAATAAATACATCAGCTGGGTGTGGTGGTGCATACCTGTAGTCCCAGCTACTTGGGAGGCTGAGGCAGGAGAATTGCTTGAACTCGGGAGATGGAGGTTGCAGTGAGCCAAGATCACACCACGGCACTCCAGCCCGGGTGACAGAGCAAGACTCTCTTTCAAAAAAACAAACAAACAAAAAAAAAAGCAAGGAACTGGCTTTCTGCCCCTGGAGGATTCCAGGGTGACAGTCGTGTGACAGCTCAGACACTCGGGCCCCGAGCAGCCCACCTTGCAGCCACCTCACCTGATTCTCATCAGCAGGGGACTTGGGCTCCCCAGCTGCAACCCGGTGGCCCCAGGCTGGCCAGGAATCTTCCGCCCTGGCCCTGGGACCAGAAACCCCGCAAAGGTGCCCGAGCTCAGCCCCGTCCAATGCACGGGGGCCCCATTCGTGACACCAGGTGGACACGTGACGGCTCAGAAGGTGTTTCCTGTCCCTAGTGGTGTGGCCGGGCCAGATTCCGAAATCTGGTCCCTGGAAAATTCCAGCCCCACGGAGCCTGGTAACCCCTCCCCATTCCTGGTGTTATGTAACATTTGGGGATTAATACCGCAGGCGTCCAGGGGCGGCTGCCGGGATTCAAACCCAGCGCTGCCCTTTCCTGGGCTGACTGAGCGACTTTGCGTCCCTGGGTCTCAATGTCTTGCCTGTACAATGGGGACAAGGCCCGTTTTTGTGTCCCAGGCTGGGTGGAAGGGTGAGGGAAGACCTCACCAGGAAAGGGGTGCACCTGAGTCTGGGGCAGGGCTTGGAGCAACCACCCCCACGATTCCGGGGGAGTCTCAAGCCCCCCACTGTCTTCCCACCCAGCTGTTCTCTGAGTTCTCTGAGGTTTCTGATGCTCTCTGAGGTCGCCATTTCAAGGACGTCCCCACCTGGCTGTCCGTGCAAACCCCAGCCAGGGTCCACCTGCTGCTCCACACAGCCCATCCCTTCTCCGGGCTGAAGCTCCCTCATATGGGACATCCACTACACTGTAGGACCCCAGCCCATGCGTCCCCAAGCCCCGGTCCTGCCTCCTGGGTCCCTGTCCCAGGCCTCACCGCCCTCCCCACCAGCCCCAGCATCACAAACGCTGGGCTTCTCTGCCGCTCCGAATTCTGCTGTGGCTCCCCAGTGCCCAGGGCCATCAAGCCCCAGGTTTTCATGTGGGCCCCAGGGACCCGCCAGCAGGGAGGACCCGAAATGGCACACATTCAGAACGTCGAGGCTCATACCTCAAGCGCACTGTGGGGGAGAAGCCCCCGGAAGCCCCCAACCCCCCACGCGCGAGAGAGCCTCAGTTTCCCGCTCGGTAAAGCGGGCGTATCAGCGGTTCCCAGCCAGCCCGGGTGTGCAGGGTCGGAGGAGCTCGCGGGCTGAGCGCGGCCCCTGGCGCCCGGTTGGCGTGCGGGACTCGGGCGCGCTCTGGTCCGTGGAACTTCCCCAGCCGCGGCGTCCCCGCCGCTCACGCGCCCCCCACTCCACGGCCGGGCACCTCCCGCCCCTCCCCGGGCTGGACCTGCGCCCGGGCTCCGCCCCCTCCCCGCCCCCGCGGCCAATAAAACGCTCCCCGGCGGCTCCTGCGCCCTCAGAGCGGCCCCGGAGCGGCCGCAGCGCGGTGGTCTCGGCCCGGCTGCGCCAGAGTCCGCGCGATGGAGCCCCGGCCGCGGCGGCGGCGCAGGAGTCGCCCCCTGGTCGCCGCCTTCCTGCGAGACCCGGGCTCGGGCCGCGTGTACAGGCGCGGGAAGCTGATCGGCAAGGTGGGAGGCCCGCGCCCCGAGTCCGCGACGGGGCCGGACCGGGCTGGGCTGGGGTCCCGGGGCGCGCGGGCGATCCTGCGCGGTCTACGCGGCGCGTCCCTGCGAGCGCGGGGTCTGGAGCGGGCGCGCGTCCGGAGCCGCGGGGCCTCCCGTGCGGGGTTTCGCATGGCGGGAACCGTGTTGAGCGCGCTGTGCGTCGTGTCCGTGGGTTGCGTGTCCGGGGTGTGGGCGTGCGGCTCGGCCTCGGGATGCGACGCTGTGTTGCCCCTGGGTGTGTGTGCGAGCCTGGCGAGGGTCTGAGTGTGCCGCGTCTGTGCCCGCTGCTTCCAAGTGTCTGGGTGCTGTGCGGTGTTCGTGTGTGTGTGTGTGTGTGTGTGTGTGTGTGTCTGGGTGTTGTGTTGCTTGTTCACCTGTTGTTTGTGCGTCATGCCTTTGTGTGTCCAGTCATTGTGTTGTGTGTCTGGGTGTTGTGTGTTCATGTGGTGTGCTTGTGTGTTTGTGTGTTCATATGTGGTGTGTCTAGGAGTTGTGTGTTCATGTGTTTGTATCTGTGTCTTTGTCCATGTGTTGTACTGTGTGTCCAGGTGTTGTGTGTTCATGTGTTTGTGTGTTCCTGTGCTGTGTCTGGGTATTGTGTTGTGTGTCCACACGTGGTGACTGTGTGTCCAGACATTGTATATTCATGTGTTTGTGTGTTGCTGCGTTGTGTATCTGGGTGTTGTGTTGTGTGTCCATGCATGGTGACTCTGTGTCTGGGCGTTGCGTGTTTGTGTGTCGTATTCAGGCGTGGTGTTGTGCATCCGGTGCTGTCTTCTGGTCCGTGGCCTCTATGCACCAGGCGTGGATGTGTCTGTGTCTGTGTCTCTGTGCCTTCTTGTGTGCATCATGTCTTGTGTGTCCAGGCGGGAGGGTGGGAGCTGTGTGTTGTTTTTTCCCCGGTGTGTGTGTGGAGAGACCTGGACGCGCCTGCGTCCCTGGCTGCCCTGTGCCTCTGTACGCGCTGCCAGCTTGCACACCCGTGCACACCTGCCCACTGATCTGCTGACCCCTCCCCACAGGGCGCCTTCAGCCGCTGCTACAAGCTGACAGACATGTCCACCAGCGCCGTGTTCGCCCTCAAGGTGGTGCCGTGTGGCGGGGCTGGGGCCGGGTGGCTTCGCCCGCAGGGAAAGGTGCGTGTCCCCATCGGTCCCCAGGGCCCACAGTCCGCAGCCCGCAGCGTGTCCCGAAGAAGGCCCTGCCCTTTGGTCCCAGCCCTGGGTGGCCATGAGATCGTACAGGAGGCAGGCGAGCATCCTGCAGCCTGTGCCCCGCTGCAGGCGGGTACATGTCGGGGCCGTGCCTGCAGGTGGAGCGTGAGATTGCCCTGCATAGCCGCCTGCGACCCCGCAACATCGTGGCTTTCCACGGACACTTTGCTGACCGCGACCACGTGTACATGGTGCTGGAGTACTGCAGCCGCCAGGTGCCCAGGGGCGGGGAGAGGGCAGGATTCATGTCAGCTGTGCCCGTCTCTGTCCACCCCGTGTCCATCTGCACCTCGCCGCTGCCCCCCGTACCATCCTGTGTGCCCTCTGCTGTCCATTCGCCAGCGCTTCTTACGCCTACGTAGGGCCAATTGTGTCCATCCTTTACTCACCTGGGCACACCCAGGCTCTCTTGATCCACCTGGGCCCAGCTTACGCTGTGCTCATCAGGCCCGTCTCAGACTCACCTGTGACCGCCTGGGCCCATCAGAATGTGTTTGCTTCTTCTTGGCCCCCTTGGACTCACCCATGCCCACCTGTACCCACCAGCATGCCCCTGTGCCTACCTGTGGTCACCTGCGCCCCTCCTGCACCCTGCTGTGCCCACCGTGGCCGTGAACTCACTGTGCCCATTAAGTAGACCTGAGCCCACCTGGGTCCACCTGTGCCAGAATATGCCCCCTCTGCGTTCACTCCTAATCACCTGGCCCTTCTCAAGCTGACAAGCATGTCCACCAGCGCCGTGTTCACCCTCAAGGTGGTGCCAGGTGCGGGGCCGGGGCCGGGCAGCTGTGCCCGTGGGGAAAGGTTCGTGCCCCCCCTCAGTGGCCACCTGGGCCCATCTGAACCCGCATGCTCCTATTGGGGTGGGTCATCTTTGCTCACCTGTGTGCACCTGCGCTCACCTGTGCTCATCCCATAATCAGCCATACCACCTTGGCCAGGCTGAGCTTACATTTGCCTTCTAATCCGGGGCCGCTGGTCACCCACAGTCTTTGGCCCACGTGCTGAGGGCGCGGCAGATCCTGACGGAGCCAGAAGTGCGCGACTACCTGCGGGGCCTGGTCAGCGGCCTGCGCTACCTGCACCAGCGGTGCATCCTGCACCGCGACCTGAAGCTCAGTGAGTGCCAGGAAGGGGAACTGTGGGCGGGGGCGTCGGGAGGTGGGCACGGATCCACCCCCATGCGCAATGCCCCTCCCACTGCCAGGTAACTTCTTCCTTAACAAGAACATGGAGGTGAAGATTGGAGACCTGGGACTGGCGGCCAAGGTGGGGCCAGGGGGCCGCTGCCACAGGTGAGAGCCGGGGGGAGGGCTCTGAGCAGTCCGTCCGGGTGGGCACGGCTGGCCCTGAAGTCTGGCACGGGGATCCCAGCCTTCCTGAGCCCCCCATGACGCCCTTCCTAGAGTACTCTGTGGGACCCCTAACTTCCTGGACCCTGAGGTTGTCTCCAGAAACGGTCACTCCTGCCAGTAGGACATCTGGGCTCTGGGCTGCATCATGTGAGTGGGGTCCTGGAGAAGGTGGGCAGGGCCTCCGGGGGGGGCAGGTGTGGCGGGGGGGGAGCCTGCACGGAACAGGTGGGGACCGTTGTGCAGGGTGGGGCGCGTGGAACAGGCACCTGTCGCCAAGTGTGCAGTATGAACAGGACGTGTGTGGGGAGGCGTGTGTGAGGGAGGACGGGGGAGGGTGTGCACAGAGAGGTGGACAGGTGTGGGCAGGTGGCAGTGGCACAGGCAGGTCAGGGCGTATGTGTACAGGGATACAGCGTGTGTGGGCGCAGGGCAGGTGTGAGCAGGCATGGGATAGCATTGGAAGGTGGAGGCCAGGCGCAGTGACTCACGCCTGTAATCCTAGAGCTTTGGGAGGCCGAGGCAGGAGGATCGCTTGAGCCCAGGAGTTCAAGACCAGCCTGGCCAAGTTGGTGAAACCCTGTCTCTACAAAAATTACAAAAATTAGCCAGGAGTGGTGGTGTGCACCTGTAGTCCCAGCTATTCAGGAGGCTGAGTTGGGAGGATTGCTTGAGCTCAGGAGGTGGAGACTGCAGTGAGCTGTGATTGCACAACGGCACTCCAGCCTGGGTGACAGAATGAGACCCTGTCTTTAAAAAAAAAAAATAGAAGCATTGAAAAGGTGTATGCAGGTGAGTTCAGGGTGAGCCAGGTGCAGGCAGGGGATGGACAGACGCTGGTGTCCACCAAGCAGGGTCCATGGGACTGCACAGGGTGCCAGGTGCAGGCAGGGGATGGACAGACGCTGGTGTCCACCAAGCAGCGTGCATGGGACTGCACAGGGTGCTAGGTGCAGGCGGATGTTGGGAGATGAGGAAGCCGATATGGGTTGCACAGCTAAGCTGTGTAGGCAGGTCTGGCCAAGTGTGCAGGGGTAGCTCTGAGCGATGCCTGGACACCCAGGTTCTTGCCCCCCACCTGGCCCAGGTACACGGTGCTGACTGGCACCCCACCCTTCATGGCCTCACCCCTGTCGGAGATGTACCAAAACATCCGTGAGGGCCACTACCCCGAACCCGCTCACCTGTCTGCCAATGCGCGCCGCCTCATCGTGCACCTCCTAGCACCCAACCCGGCCGAGCGGCCCAGCCTGGACCACCTGCTGCAGGACGACTTCTTCACACAGGTGGGCGGCGGTCCTCGGCGTGGGGTCCCTGGCGTGGGGTCCCTGGCAGGTGATGAGCCAGAGCCTGCCCTGCTCAGCCGAGGGAGGCCCCGCCCTGTCCCAGGTAACCCAGGTGCTCAGGGGCTGGGTGACCTAAGCCGGGGATAACCCCAAATCCCCATCCAAAGGGTTTCACTCCAGACCGGCTGCCGGCCCACTCCTGCCACAGTCCCCCCATCTTCGCCATACCCCCGCCTCTGGGCAGGATCTTCCGGAAGGTGGGCCAGCGGCTGCTCACCCAGTGCCGGCCACCCTGTAAGTACCACCCCCGCCCACACCTGCCCAACACCTGCCCACGCCTCCCACCTGCCCACACCTCCCACCTGCCCACGCCTCCCACCTGCCCACACCTCCCACCTGCCCACGCCTCCCACCTGCCCACGCCTCCCACCTGCCCACGCCTCCCACCTGCCCACGCCTCCCACCTGCCCACGCCCCCCACCTGCCCACGCCCCCCACCTGCCCACACCTCCCACCTGCCCACACCTCCCACCTGCCCACACCTCCCACCTGCTCACACCTCCCACCTGCCCACACCTGCCTACGCCTGCTACCTGCCCCCACCTGCCCACACCTCCCGCCTGCCCACACCTCCCACCTGCCCACAACTGCCACCTGCTCCGCTCTGTCTCCACATCAGGGGTGGGTGTGGGTGGCAGGTGCCCCCCTACCCCCAGCTTGGGGCCCAGGCTGTGCCCCCTCCAAGGCCTTGTGCCTCCCTCAGGCCCCTTCACGCCTAAAGAGGCCTCGGGTCCAGGAGAAGGTGGGCCAGACCCTGACTCCATGGAGTGGGACGGCGAGGTGAGACATCGGGGTGGGGGACACGGGGAGACACAGGTGGAGGGCATGCTGGCCCCTGCTAAAACCCCCTCCCCCATGCCGGCTTCTCTGAACCCCTTCTGGGGTCTCCAAGCCCGGCCCCCTCCCCCTAGTCCCGTCCTGACGCATCAGAGCTGGGATCCATTTGTGTCCAAATGTGCCCACCTGGGCTTTCCCAAGGGCCGGGCTCGAGGCCATGGGAAGGGTCCCATCCATGGCTTCAGTCCATCACATTTATTGAGCACCTACTGTATGCCTCCGAGACACTCCGAGGCTGCCTCCCAAGGGGAAAGCAGTGCCTCTGTGTGCAGAGCACGGAGGGCACAGGCAGGGGCCAGAGCCTGCCACCCACCTCACGCCTGTCCCTGGGGCTGGGGCCGGGGCCACCCCCACCCCTGCTGCTCCCACCTCAGAGCTCCCTGTCTGCGAAAGAGGTTCCCTGCCTGGAAGGCCCCATCCACCTGGTCGCACAAGGGACCCTGCAGAGTGACCTGGCCGGTGAGCAGATCCCCGTCCCAGCCCGGGGCTGCAGGTGGGGAGGGAGGAATTACAAGTGACAGGGGGACCAAGGCCGTGGCTTACCAGGGTCACAGCCGCCGTCCCGGCCTCACCTTTCCCGCCTGTCAAATGGGAATGCCGCCTCTGGGTTGAGGATGAGATGTTCCTGGATGGAGCCGTGGGGAGGGGGACTGGTTGGAAGAGCCTGGTGGTGGGAACCCAGACCTGTCTGCGGCACAAAGACCTGTCTTCCCAGGGCCCGAGGGGAGCCGGCGGCCAGAGGTGGAGGCGGCCCTCAGACACCTGCAGCTGTGCCTGGATGTAGGCCCCCCGGGTAGGAGCCGGCCCAGCCCCCAGGATCACCTTTACTCTTACTAGCCAAGTAAAATTGCCTTCATTCCCATCCTGGGCCCTCCTGGGTATTTCTGGGGGTGAGGAGTAGGGGTGAGGGAGGCCCCAGGACACGGTGACATCAGGAGAGTGGGTTAGCCCTCCTGTGTGCAGAGCCTGGCACGGAGGGCTCTGCGGCAGCCTTACGTTTCACGGTCTCTTAAATTCATGACCCGGGCTCGTTAGAGACCCAGTGAGTGAGGAAACGTGACCTGGGACGTTGGACACAGAGCCCTGTGCCCACAGGCCACACTCCAAAGGGGGACCCCTCTTATCCCCAGTGTCCCAGAACCCAAACCCTCTTCCTCTCCCCTCCTCTCCCTGAGCCTCCACTGACCCACACATACTGCCACCCTTAGAGAGGGAGCCCCAAACCCCACGCCAGGTCTCCAGCCCAGAAGCCTTTTCTTTTCCTTTTCTTTCTTTTTTTTTAAGAGACGGAATCTCACTCTGTTGCCTAGGCTGGAGTGCAATGGTGCCATCTTGGCTCATCACAACCTCCACCTCCTGGGTTCAAAGCGATTCTCCTGCCTTAGCCTCCCGAGTAGCTGAGATTACAGGCGTGTGCCACCACACCTGCTAATTTCTGTATTCTTTTAGTAGAGACAGGGTTTCACCATGTTGGCCAGGCTGGTCTCGAACTCCTGACCTCCGGTGATCTGGCCGCCTCAGCCTCCCAAAGTGCTGGGATTACAGACGTCGTCAGCCACCACGCCTGGGCGCATTTTTTTTTTTTTTTTTTTTTTTTTTTTTTTTTGAGACGGAGTCTCACTCTGTCGCCCAGGCTGGAGTGCTGTGGCGTGATCTCGGCTCACTGCAAGCTCTGCCTCCCGGGTTCACGCCATTCTCCTGCCTCAGCCTCCCCAGCAGCTGGGACTACAGGCACCCGCCACCATGCCCGGCTAATTTTTGTATTTATAGTAGAGACGGGGTTTCACTGTGTTAGCCAGGATGGTCTCGATCTCCTGACCTCGTGATCCGCCTGTCTCGGCCTCCCAAAGTGCTAGGATTACAGGTATAAGCCACCGCGCCCAGCCTCAGGACCCCATCTCTACAAAAAAATGAGCCGGGCATGGTGGTGCATGCATGTTGTCCCAGATACTCAGGAGGCTGAGGAAGGAGGATCACTTGAGCTCGGAGGTGGAGGCTGCAGTGAGCTGAGATCGTGCCACTGCACTTCAGCCTGGGCAACAGAGCGAGACCCTGTCTGAAAAGCCAACAGACAAACAAGCAAAAACCCAGAAACGGGGCAGGGCGTGGTGGCTCATGCCTGTCATCCCAGCACTTTGGGAGGCTGAAGCAGGTGGATCACAAGGTCAGGAGATCGAAACCATCCTGGCCAACATGGTGAAACCCCATCTCTACTAATAACACAAAAATTAGCTGGGTGTGGTGGCACGTGCCTGTGATCCCAGCTACTCAGGAGGCTGAGGGAGGAGAATCGCTTGAACCCAGGAGGCGGAGGTTGCAGTGAGCCGAGATTGCGCCACTGCACTCCAGCCTGGGGACAGAGCAAGACTCTGTCTCAAAAAAACAAAACAAAACAAAACAAACAAAAACACACACACCCAGAAATGTGTAGTATTTTCAGAGCATTGCAAGTATTTGAGAATTGCTCATTCCCAGGGGTGCGCCAGTATCCCACAGTCTCCCTCTGCAAGCCAGAAATTAGTTACGGTTCCGTGGCTTCTGTTGATGTCTGGTCTCCTAGAATCCACCACCGAAGCCCCCAAGCCTCTGTCCGGTCCCCGCCGTGGGAAGGGTCTCACCCATGGTTTCAGTCCATCACATTTATTGAGTGCCTACTATATGCCTGACCCCTGACCCCTGGCTCAGCATACCTTTGTTTGTGCCCAGCCACACAGGACCCCCTGGGAGAGCAGCAGCCCATCCTCTGGGCCCCCAAATGGGTGGATTATTCCAGCAAATACGGCTTTGGCTACCAGCTCTTGGACGGGGGGCGCACGGGACGGCACCCACATGGCCCTGCGACCCCCCGGAGGGTAAGTTGTGGCCTCCTGTGCCCTGGGGGACCAGGCACTCCCCCTGCCTTTTTTCATTCATCTCTCAAGTATTTATTAAGCACCTACTGTGCACACCTACAGGTGCTCCCTGCCTGGTCGGGGAGAACAACACTAAACGAATCAGCAAGTGCGTTTCTGTAGTAAATGAACCCAGTGAAGAGGCAGATTAGGAGGGGAGGTGAATCTCAGTAGTGTGGGTAGGGGGAAGGGGAAGGGGTCTCTGAGAAAGTGACGTGAATGACAAGCGGCAGCCCTGTGCTTTGGGAGGCCAAGGCAGGATTCCTTGAGCCCAGGAGATCGAGATCAGCCTGGACAACATAGCAAGACCCCATCCCTACAAAAATTTTAATAATTAGCTTGGTGTGGTGGCACACACCTATAATCCTGGCACGTTGGAGGCTGAGGTGCGGACTCGCTTGAACCCAGCAGTTTGAGATCAGCCTTGGCCTCATAGCAAGACCCCATCTCCACAAAAAAATTAAAAATTAGCTGGGCGTGGTGGTGCACACCGGTAATCCTGGCACTGTGGGAGGCTGAGGTGGGAGAATCACTTGAGCCCAGCAGTTTGAGATCAGCCTGGGCCACACAGCAAGACCTTTCTCTACAAAATTTTCTTCTTTTTTTTTTTTTTTTTTTGAGATGGAGTCTCACTCTGTCACCCAGGCTGGAGTGCAGTGGCGCAATCTCGGCTCACTGCAAGCTCCACCTCCCGGGTTCACACCATTCTCCTGCCTCAGCCTCCTAAGTAGCTGGGATTACAGGTGCCCGCCACCACTCCTGGCTAATTTTGTATTTTTATTAGAGACGGGGTTTCTCCATGTTGGCCAGGCGGGTCTCGAACTCCTGACCTCAGGTGATCCACCCGCCTCAGCCTCCCAAAGTGCTGGGATTATAGGCATGAGCCACCGCGCTCAGCCACTCCTGGCTAATTTTTTGTATTTTTAGTAGAGACGGGGTTTCACTGTGTTAGCCAGGATGGTCTCGATCTCCTGACCTCGTGATCTGCCCGCCTCGGCCTCCCAAAGTGCTGGGATTACAGGCGTGAGCCACCGCGCCTGGCCAAGTTTTTTTTTTTTTAAATTAGCCAACTGCAAGGGTATGCATCAGTAGGTCCCAGCTACTTGGATGGCTGAGGTGGGAGGATCACTTGGTCCCAGGAGGTCAAGGCTCCAGTGAGCCATGATTGCACCACTGCGCTCCAGCCTGGGTGACAGAACGAGACTCTGTCTCTTTTTTTTGAGACGGAGTTGTGCTCTTGTTGCCCAGGCTGGAGTGCAATCTCGGCTCAGCGCAACCTCCCCATCCCGGGATCGGGGTAGCTGGGATTACAGGCACCCGCCACCACGCCTGGCTAATTTTGAATTTTAGTAGAGACGGGGTTTCTCCATGTTGGCCAGGCTGGTCTCGAACTCCCGACCTCAGGTGATCCTCCCACCTGGACCTCCCAAAGTGCTGGGATTATAGGTGTGAGCCACCGCGCCCGGCCTTAACACAATCTTTCTAGCGGGAGTGACATGGGGGCCAGTGGGGAGGTGGCTGGACTCATCAGGTGGGCAGTGGCGGAGGCCTGGGCTGTGCTGGTGACCGGGGAGGGATGAGAGGGGCTGCAGTGTGGATAGAGTTGGAAGGCAGGAAGGGTGGACCAGCTGTCAGCTGAGGTGAAGAGAGGACAGAGAGCCGCACTGGGCATATGGATAAGGTGTAACTAGGGCAGAGCTGCTCTTTAAAGCCACCATTCCAGGGGGTGTAGGTCAATGGAAGGGTGTCCACTGGCCTGGGCTGTCCAGGACAGAGGCCCTGTGTCCTGGCCCCAGCCAAGTGTGCTACATGCCCAACTGCGGGAGGCTGGAAGCCTTCGCCCTGAGGGATGTGCCCGGCCTGCTGGGCGCCAAGCTGGCCGTGCTGCAGCTCTTTGCCGGCTGCCTGCGGCGGCGGCTGCGGGAGGTGAGAGCTGGGGTGCTGGGTGTGGGGGCGAGGGGTGGGGACGCCCCCTGCGTCACGTGACCTCAGCCGAGTCTGTCCACAGGAGGGGACCCTCCCCACACCTGTGCCACCTGCTGGACCCGGCCTCTGCCTCCTGCGCTTCCTGGCCTCTGAGCACGCCCTGCTGCTGCTGTTCAGCAATGGGATGGTGCAGGTGAGCCCGGGGCTCAAACTCGGGGCACTGGGGCTCGGCAGGGTGGGGTCTGGCCTGCCTGGGCTGTTACGGAGCAAGCTTTGGGGGAGCCTTAGGAAGCATTTGCCTCCCAGGAAAAAAAAAAAAAAAAAAGGTATTGGCTCCTGCGTACAAAACCACAGCATGGAAAATGCATGACGTTTTTGGGCCAGGCACTGTGGTCCACACCTCTAATCCCAGTGCTTTGGGAGGCCGAGGCGGGCAGATCGCAAGGTGAAGAGTTTGAGACCAACCTGACCAACACGGTGAAACCCCATCTCTACTAAAAATACAAAAATTAGCTGGGCGTGGTGGAGCCTTCCTGTAATCCCAGCTACTCAGGAGGCTGAGGCAGGAGAATCGCTTGAACCTGGCAGGCGGAGGTTGCAGTGAGCCGAGATCACGCCACAGCACTCCAGCCTGGGCGACAGAGCAAGACTTCGTCTCAAAAAAAAAAAAAAAAAGGCCGGGCACGGTGGCTCACGCCTGTAATCCCAGCACTTTGGGAGGCCGAGGTGGGCAGATCACGAGGTCAGGAGATAGAGACCATCCTGCCTAACACGGTGAAACCCCGTCTCTACTAAAAATACAAAAAAAAAAAAAAAAAATTAGCCGGGCGTGGTGGCGGGCGCCTGTAGTCCCAGCTACTGGGGAGGCTGAGGCAGGAGAATGGCGTGAACCCGGGAGGCGGAGCTTGCAGTGAGCCGAGATCGCGCCACTGCACTCCAGCCTGGGTGACAGAGCAGGACTCTGTTTAAAAAAAAAAAAAAGTCAGGGTCTTGCTGGAAGACTGTGGGCAGGGGAGCCCCCATCTGAGCCTCAGTTTCCCCAGGTGTACAGTGGAGCACTTGGCCTCCCGACCCCGAGTTCCTGTGGCTGGGGCAGGCACTAGGGGCCAGACTGGGGGCTCTGGGTCCAGTGTCCACTTGTCCTTCTGGAGCGCCACGGCTGGAGGCAGGTGCAGGGGTACCCGTCTCCCCTTGACTGGTATCTTACCCTTTGCAGGTGAGCTTCAGTGGAGTCCCGGCCCAACTGGTGCTGAGTGGCGAGGGTGAGGGTTTGCAGCTCACCCTCTGGGAGCAGGGGTCCCCTGGCACCTCCTACTCCCTGGACGTCCCGCGGAGCCACGGCTGCGCCCCCACCACCGGACAGCACCTTCACCACGCCCTCCGCATGCTGCAGAGTATCTAGTGCCCCTGAGGGTCAGAGTGGACCCCTGCATGGTAGTGCCAGGGACCCAGGCTCCATTTCCATTCCTGTGGCTCCCCCAGAGGGGCTGTCCTGGGGGAGGGCTGGGGGGCACACGGGAGGTGGGTTCTTGCCTTGTGGCATGACTGTTCAACCCAGACTTTGCTGGGATCTCTTCCTTTTTCATTAAAGACAATTTGAAATGCTGTAGGCCATGGTCTGCCTCTCTTTGGGGGAAAGCGTTTGAGGAGCTTTGGCAAAGAAACGTTGACCCCACGTGACGTTGCATCCTCCCTGTTTCTCTTAGTGGCAGAGGTGGGTTACATTTTCACTAATGCAGACATTAGCACCAGAGGCCAGTGTAGTGGCTCATGCCTGGAATCCCAGCACTTTGGGAGGCCAAGGCAGGAGGATCGCTTGGGCCCAGGAGTTTGAGACCAGCCTGGGCAACATGGCAAGACCCCATCTCTACAAAAAATTAGCTGGGCATGGTGGCACGTGCCTGTAGTCCCAGCTACTTGGGAGGCTGAGATGGGAGGATGGCGTGAGCATGGGAGGTTGAGGCTGCAGTGAGCTGTGATTGCACCACTGCACTCCAGCCTGGGCGACAGAACAAAGACCCTGTCTCAACAACAACAAAAGTAGTACCAGAAGTGGGGTTCTGCCATAACTCCAAATCTAAAACATGGGACAGTTGCTTAATGGGTGGACAGGAAAGAAGCCGACACTGAGGCTGGAAAGATGGCTGGCTATGCTCCGGGACACAGTTGGCACAACCGTCACCTGTGCTGCCCTGGGGTGGACGGTGCACTCATGGACCTGACCTCTCTGGGCTGATGGAGCATTGGTTGTTAGATCAAAATGTCATAAAAGGCCAGGCGTGGTGGCTCACACCTGTAATCCCAGCACTTCGGGAGGCCAAGGCAGGCAGATCACTTGAGCTCAGGAGTTCGAGACCAGCCTGGCCAATATGGTGAAACTCCGTCTCTACTAAAAATACAAAAATTAGCTGGGTGTGGTGGTAGGGGGCCTGTAGTCCCAGTTACTCAGGAGGCTGAGGCAGGAGAATCACTTGAACCCAGGAGGCAGAGGTTGCAGTGAGCCGAGATTGCACCATTGCACTCCAGCCTGGGCAACAGAGCGAAAATCCCTCTCAAAAAAAAAAAAAAAAAAAAAAACTGGACGCAACCTAAGTGTCCAGCGGTGCGAGACTCAAACATCTGGCCATCCCCTGGGATGAGTGAGGCTGGGAAAGTGGGAAGGCTCACGGGAGGCATTAAGGCAGGCCGAGGGGTGCAGAGCTGATGACGGAAAAACCCGTCAATCGCAGAAGGACTCCAGGCCCCTCAGTAGCTCTTTTGTTTTTTTTGAGACAGAGTCTTGCTCTGTCGCCCAGGCTGGAGTGCAGTGGTGCGATCTCAGCTCACTGCAACCTCCGCCTCACGGGTTCAATAGATTCCTCTGCCTCAGCCTCCTGAGTAGCTGGGATTACAGGCATGTGCCACCACGTCCGGCTAATTTTTGTATTTTTAATAGAGACAGGGTTTCATTTGTTTGTTTGTTTGAGACGGAGTCTCACTCTGTCGCCCAGGCTGGAGTGCAGTGGCACGATCTCGACTCACTGCAACCTCCGCCTCCCGGGTTCACGCCATTCTCCCGCCTCAGCCTCCCGAGTAGCTGGGACTACAGGCGCCCGCCACCAAGCCCGGCTAATTTTTTTTTTTATTTTTTAGTAGAGACGGGGTTTCACCATGTTAGCCAGGATGGTCTCGATCTCCTGACCTCGTGATCCGCCTGCCTCGGCCTCCCAAAGTGCTGGGATTACAGGCGTGAGCCACCGTGCCCAGCCTAGAGACAGGGTTTCACCATGTTGGTCAGGCTGCTCTTGAACTCCTGACCTCAGGTGATCCTCCCACCTCAGCTTCCCAAAGGGCTGGGATTACAGGCATGAGCCACTGTGCCTGGCCCCCTCATTAGCACTTGAGGCCACAATTCTCAGTGCGAGGCTCCTGGGCTGTGCTTTGGGCGTCTGCTAAGGTGCTCAGAGGTGTATCCTATGCTGGAGAAAACTCCACCTCGACCGATGCGGGATCAGGAGACCGGGGCTCCAGTCCCAGCTGGCCACTTCCAGGCACATCCAGGCCTCAGTTTCCCTGCCTGTTTAAGGGGGGCATGTATTCTCTGGAATCCCTGCCAGCAGCATGATTCTGCATGAAGTTCTACTTCCAAGTTCCGGTTATCAACCCCAGAAACTCATCATAAAAGAGGGAGAAGTGGCTCATGCCTGTAATTCCAGCAGGCTGGGAAATTGAGGCAGGCGGATCACTTGAGGACAGGAGTCTGAGACCTGCTTGGGCAACATAGGAAGACTCTGTCTCTACTAAAAATTTAAAAGCCAGGCCTGGTGGCACATGCCCGTGGTCCCAGCTACTCAGGAGGCCCAGGTGGGAGGATTGCTTGAGCCCAGGAGTTCGGAGGTACAGTGAGCTATGATTGCACCACGGTACTCCACCACTACTCTGGGTGATAGAGCAAGACCCTTTCTCAAAAAATAAAAATAAAAAATTGGCTGGGTGCCGTGGCTCACGCCTGTAATGCCACCAATAGACAGATCACCTGAGGTCAGGAGTTCGAGACCAGCCTGGCCAACATGGTGAAACCCTGTCTCTACTAAAAATACAAAAATTAGCTGGGCGTGGTGGTGAGTGGCTGTAATCCCAGCTACTTGGGAGGCTGAGGCAAGAGAATCGCTTGAACCCAGGAGAGAGAGTTTGCAGAAGGCGCCACTGCACTCCAGCCTGGGCGACAAGAGTGAGACTTCGTCTAAAAAAGAAGAAAAAAGAGAGACATTCCTGGAGGTGCGCACAAAAGGGCATCATTGACATCTGGAGTGCAGTGGCATGATCTCGGCTCACTGCAAGCTCCGCCTCCTGGGTTCACGCCATTCTTCTGCCTCAGCCTCCCGAATAGCTGGGACTACAGGCGCACGCCACCGTGCCCGGCTAATTTTTTGTATTCTTAATAGAGACGGGGTTTCACCGTGTTAGCCAGGATGGTCTGGATCTCCTGACCTGATCCGTCCGCCTTGGCCTCCCAAAGTGCTGGGATTACAGGCGTGAGCCACCACGCCTGGCCACCTTAGCCTCTAGAATAGTAGTAGTTCTCGGCCGGGCGCTGTGGCTCATGCCTGTAATGCCAGCACTTTGGGAGGCCAGCGTGGGCGGATCACGAGGTCAGGCGTTCAAGACCATCCTGGCCAACATGGTGAAACCCCGGCTCTACTAAAAATACAAAAATTAGCCAGGCGTGGTGGTGTATGCCTGTAATCCCAGCTACTCGGGAGGCTGAGGCAGGAGAATCACTTGAACCGGGGAGTCAGAGGTTGCAGTGAGCCAAGATTACACCACTGCACTCTAGCCTGGCGACAGAGAGACACTCCGTCTCAAACAAAAAAAAAAAAAAAAAGAAAGAATAGTAGTTGTTCTCAATGGTGGGGGGGGGGGTGATTCTGTCCCCAGGGGACACTGGGCTATGTCTCGGGACATCTGTGGTCATAATGACAGGGAGTGCTCCTGGCATGGAGTGGGTGAAGGGCAGGGACGCCGCTCAGCACCCTGCAATGCCCAGGACAGCCCCACCCCAGAGAATGGCTTGGCCCCAACATCCATAGTGCCCAAGAGGAGAGACCCTAGCTTGGACATAGGAACTGAAATATTTACAGGCTTAGTGTTTAATTCCTAAAGCGGATTTCCTCTGTAATCAGGGAAAAAAAAAAAAAAAAAAAAAGGAATGAAGTGGAGAAACGGCACTCCCGGGAGACGTTGCACATTCCCAAGCCCACGCTGCACCTCACACGCAGCGGGGAGCAATGTCCCCGTAGTGGCCCCTCGTCAAGGTCAGTGATGCACGGGGCGAGAGAGGGGTTGAGGTGGGGATGGCCTCCTGCCAAGCACAACGTGTCCTGGGGCCACCCATCTGCAGGCAGAGCGCTCCACCACTCAAATGGGGGCGTGATGAGTCCGAGGCCACCCAGGTCTGAAGCTTCCCAGGGGCCCTCCTCACAGCCCTTTCCCTTTGGAACCATAGTCTATCAATTCTGAAAGTAAAATGCAGACTTTTCTTTTTTTTCTTTTCTTTTTTTTTTTTTTGAGACAGGGTCTCACTCTGTAGCCCAGGCTGGAGTGCAGCGATGCCATCTTGACTCACTGCCCCCTGTGCCTCCCGGGTTCAAGCGATTCTCCTGACTCAGCCTCCCAAGTAGCTGGGATTACAGGCATGCGCCACCACACCCGGCTAACTTTTGTATTTTTAGTAGAGATGAGGTTTCACCATATTGGTCAGGCTGGTCTCGAACTCCTGACCTGTGAGCCTCCCGCCTTGGCCTCCCAAAGTGCTGGGATTACAGGCGTGAGCCACTGCACCTGGCCTCCTTTCTTTTTCTTTCTTTCTTTCTTTCTTTCTTTTTTTTTTTTTTTTTTTTTGAGACAGAGTCTCACTCTGTCGCCCAGGCTGGAGTGCAGTGGTGTGATCTCAATTCACTGAAAGCTCTGCCTCCGGGGTTCAAGCAACTCTCCTGCCTCAGCCTCCTGAATAGCTGGGACTACAGGCATGTGCCACCATGCCCAGATAATTTTTGCATTTTCAGTAGAGACGGGATTTCACCATGTTGGCCAGGCTGGCCTTGAACTCCTGACCTCGGGCAATCTGCCCACCTCAGGCTCCCAAAGTGCTGGGATAACAGGCATGAGCCACCGCGCCTGGCCCATTTCTTTTATTTTTATTTATTTATTTTTTTTTTTGAGATGGAGTCTCACTCTCTCGCCCAGGCCGGAGTGCAGTGGCCGGATCTCAGCTCACTGCAGCCTCCGCCTCCTGGGTTCAAGCAATTCTCCTGCCTCGGCCTCCTGAGTAGCTGGGACTACAGGCGTGTGCCACCACACTTGGCTAATTTTTGTATTTTTAGTAGAGACGGGGTTTTACCATGTTGCCCAGGCTGGTCTTGAACTCCTGACCTGAGGCAATCCACCCGCCTAGGCCTCCCAAAATGCTGGGATTACAGGCGGGAGCCACTGCGCTTGGTCTGGATGCCGTTTCTTTGTCACAAAATTGCAACCTTAACAAATCAAACTCAAGTCCCAGGGTCCACCACCACCTGTCCCTGGGCCCCCTCTGTTTCTGGGAAGTGACAGGGTCTCCTCTTTTTTTCCCATCTGTTTCCTATGCTTACTTTCCTGGAGAGAATAACTGACCCATGGCGGCATCCCCGCGTCGCCTCTCGGCCGTGTGCCTGTGTGTGTTGCTGCGTCTGTGGAGATAGAGCCAACTCTGTGCTTTTTATGGAACGGGGGATGAAGCAAAGCCAGCGTTTGTGGATGGGAGAGAAAATACGACCAAAACAGACACTGGGGCCCATGTTGGGAGTAGAGAGGGCTGCAGGCACGCTGGGCTGGGGTGGGGGGAGGAAGCAGGGGGACGGGTCAGGGGAGGTCGTGTGCCTTGGTGTGGCCAGACCTAGGAGGAGGGATCAGTGGGGAGAATTTGGAGATGCCCCCAGGGACCCCAAAGGAATGGAGTGTGGGTGAGAGAGGAACAAAAGCAAGCAGAGAAAACACAGAGCAAGTGCATCACTGCCTTTAAAAACAAAATGAGCCGGCCGGGCGTGGTGGCTCACGCCTGCATTCCCAGCACTTTGGGAGGCTGAAATGGGCTGCTCACCTGAAGTCAGGAGTTTGAGACCAGCCTGGCCAACATGGTGAAACCCCGTCTCTACTAAAAATACAAAAATTAGCCACCTGTGGTGATACACACATGTAGTCCCAGCTACTCGGGAGGCTGAGGCAGGAGAATGGCGTGAACCCGGGAGGTGGAGCTTGCAGTGATTGAGTGATTGGAGATCACGCCATTGCACTCCAGCCTGGGCGACAGAGCGAGTCTCCATCTCAAAAAAAAAAAAAAAAAAAGTTTGTTGTTATTGCAAGACACCAAGTTGTTGTTGTTGTTCTTCTTCTTCTTCTCCTTCTTCTCTTTCTTCTTCTTCTTTTTTTTTTTTTTGAGACAGTTTCTCTCTGTCGCCCAGGCTGGAGTACAGTGGTGCAATCTCAGCTGACTGCAACCTCTGCCTCCCGGGTGCAAGCGATTCTCCTGCCTCCCGAGTAGCTGGGATTACAGGCATGCACCACCATGCCTGGCTAATTTTTGTATTTTTAGTAGAGACGGGGTTTCACCATGTTGGCCAGGCTGGTCTCGAACTCCTCACCTCAGGTGATCTGCCCGACTCTGCCCCTCAAAGCGCTGGGATTACAGGTGTGAGCCACCGCGCTCGGCCTCTTCTCTTTTTTTATAGAGAGAAGGAGTGTCGCTCCGTCACCTAGGCTGGACTCAAACTCCTGGTCTCAAGCAACTCCCCCGTCTCAGCCTCCCAAAGCACTGGGATTACTGTGAGCCACCGTACCTGGCCCAGACACCAAATGTGAAGGTAACTTGTGACCCGGCAATAGCTAACTAATACACAACCCAAAACATGCAAGAAACAGCTTCATTTCTGCCCGGAACATTTGTTTCCAGGGAGAAAAAGACAAAACATCTTCAGAGTGTTTAACTGGGTGTCTTGCAAAATGACCTACCTAGAGTATTTATTTCCATCTGCTTGTGGGCGTCAAGAACAGCAACAATCTGTGCCGTCTCCCACGCCCCGAGCCCACAATGGTGGTTTATTAAAAATAAACCAACCACAGAATATATTAATTTTCTAACCTCCCGGGCCAATTCTTATTTCTAGGTATAAGAACTTCCAGAGATGGCAAAGCACCCACACCGCCCTCGTGCTAAAGTTTCTGGAATCTTCCTTAGACGGGTGAACTGTGTGCTGCCAGAAATAAAATTAATAGCCTCACTTTTTTGGGTGCTTACAAGGGTTGGAACTTCAAGAAATGGTCATGAATTCACTCCAGCCCTGGCTCAAAGATTTTTTTTTCTTTCTTCCCTTCTTCTTCCTTCTTCTCCCTACTCCCTTCTCTTCCTCTTTCTCCTCCTCCTTCCTTCTCCTTCTTTTTCTTTTTGGAAACCACTGATTTAACCCTGAGAGAGGGAAAACTTGTCCTGGCAAGAATTTCCAAAGCTCAGTTTTATTTTTTAAGACAAAGTCTCGCTCTTGTCACTCAGGCTGGAGTGCAGTGGCGTGCTCTCGGCTCACTGCAGCTTCCGACTCCCTGGTTCAGGAGATTTTTCTCGTGCCTCAGGATCCCAAGTAGCTGGTACTACAGGCGTCATCATGCCCGGATAAATTTTCTACTTTTAGTAGAGACGGGGTTTCACCATGTTGGCCAGGCTGGTCTCGAACTCCCGACCTCAGGGGATCCACCCGCCTCGGCCTCCCAAAGTGCTGGTATTACAGGCGTGAGCCCCAGCGCCCGGCCCCAAAGTTCCGTTTTACCCTTTTTCCCACGCTGAGGCTACAGCTGAACCCAGCCTCCAGACCACCTCCTCATTGGTCTATGGGAGCACGTGACATCATGCGTCCTCCAATCACCAGCAAGCAAGCAAGGCGTGGGCGGGACCAAGGGCGGCTACCTCTGGGGCCAGCAGGATTGGCTGTTGCCCGTGGTAACTGTGTGTGACGTCATAAAGCTTCCTTGCACCTTGGCAAGGCCCCGGGAGCAGGGACCTTTTCTCTCCCACTATACAGATGGGGACACTGAGGCGCTGGTTCTCAATCTATGAAAAAATGGGGTGCTGGTAGGTAGGTCAACCTGGGTCCCACGGGGAGTTTTCAAACTCCTGATGACTCCAGAGAATTACGCTGAGTGAAAAAAGCCTGTCCCGGCCGGGCGCGGTGGCCCACGCCTGTAATCCCCGCACTTAAGGAGGTCGAGGCAGCCGGGTCACAAGGTCAAGAGATCGAGACCAGCCTGGCCAACATGGTGAAACCCCATCTCTACTAAAAATACAAAAATTAGCCGGGCGTGGTGGCGGGCGCCTGTAGTCCCAGCTACTCGGGGAGCTGAGGGAGGAGAATCACTTTCACCACGGAGGCGGAGGTTGCAGTGAGCCTAGATCACGCCACTGCACTCCAGCCTGGGTGACAGAGTGAGACTCCGTCTCGGGAAAAAAAAAAAAAAAAAAAAATTAGCCGGGCATAGTGGGGTGTGCCTGTGGTCCCAGCTACTCAGTTGGCTGAGGTGGGAGGATCACCTGAGCCCAGGAGTTCCAGACCACCCTGGGGAACATAGTGAGACCCCATCTCTATAAAAAATTAGAAAATTAAGGCCAGGCGCGGTGGCTCACGCCTATAATCCCAGCACTTTGGGAGGCCGAGGCGGGCGGATCAGGAGGTCAGGAGATCGAGACCATCCTGGCTAACACGGTGAAACCCTGTCTCTACTAAAAATACAAAAAATTAGCCGGGCGTGGTGGCGGGTGCCTGTCGTCCCAGCTACTCGGGAGGCTGAGGCAGGAGAATGGCGTGAACCCGGGGAGACGGAGCTTGCAGTGAGCCGAGATGGCGCCACCGCACCCCAGCCTGGGCGACAGAGCAAGACTACGTCTCAAAATAAATAAATAAATAAATAAATAAATAAGCCAAGGATGATGATGCACACCTGTAGTCCTAGCTGCTTGGGCGACTGAGGCAGGAGGATGCCTTGAACCCAGGAGTTCATGTAGGTTGCAGTGAGCTGTAGTTGCACCACTGGAGTCCAGCCTGGGCAACAGAGCAAGACCCTGTGTAAAGAACAAAAAAAGTTTATGTAACATTTTAGAAATGGAATTAGGGTTAGGGATGAGGGTGCGGGGAGGGTGCACAAACAGCAAGAGATCCTGATGGTGATGGAAATGCTCCATGTCATGATGGTGGATACACGAATCTACCCAGGCCAGCAAATTATAGGAGACTAAAGACATCTCACACACTCACACACACGATCACAAGTTAAACTGAGGAATCCTGAGTAAGATTGATGGATTGTATCCATGTGAAATCTTACTTATATGTTTTTTAGAGATGGAGTGTCCTTAATGCACCCCAGGCTGGAGTGCAATTTTGTGATCTCAGCTCACTGCAGCCTCTGGGGTTCAAGCGATTCTCCTGCCTCAGCCTCCGGAGTAGCTGGGATTACAGGCGCCCACCACCACGCCCGACTAATTTTTGTATTTTTAGTAGAGATGGGGTTCCACTATGTTGGCCAGGCTGCTGTCGAACTCCTGACCTCGTGATTCACCTGCCTTGGACTCTCAAAGTGCTGTGATTACAGGCGTGAGCCACCACACCCGTTTTTGTTTTGTTTTGTTTTGTTTTGTTTTTGTTTTGAGATGGAGTCTCACTCTGTTGCCCAGGCGAGAGTGCAGTGGTGTGTTCTAGGCTCAGTGCAACCACCGCCTCCCAGGTTCAAACGAGTCTCCTGCCTCAGCCTCCCGAGTAGCTGGGACTACAGGTGCCCGCCACCACGCCCGGCTAATTTTTTGTTGTTGTTGTATTTTTGGTAAAGAGGAGGTTCCCCATGTTGGCCAGCCTGGTCTCGCACTCCTGACCTCAGGTGATCCACCTGCCTTGGCCTCCCAAAATGCTGGGATTACAGGCATGAGCCACAGCACTCGGCCCTTCCCTCCTTTCTTTCTGAGACAGGGTCTTGTTCCGTCACCCAGACTGGAGTGCAGTAGCAGGATCACAGCTCAATGCAACCTAGAAGAATTCCTGTCGTCCTGTGCTCATGAGATCCTCCCTCCTCTTGCAACTGCATATGAATTGACAATTATTTCAATAAAATTTTCAATTAAAAAATTATGAGGGCTGGGTGCGGTGGCTCACTCCTGTAACCCCAGCACTTTGGGAGGCCGAGGCGGGCGAATCACGAGGTCAGGAGTTCGAGACCATCCTGGCTAACACGGTGAAACCCTGTCTCTACTAAAAATACAAAAACTAGCCGGGCGTGGTGGCGGGCGCCTGTAGTCCCAGCTACTCGGGAGGCTGAGGCAGGAGAATGGCGTGAACCTGGGAGGCGGAGCTTGCAGTGAGCCGATATCACGCCACTGCACTCCAGCCTGGGTGACAGAGCGAGACTCCATCTCAAAAAAAAAAAAAAAAAAAAAATTATGGTCCAGGAGCGGTGGCTCACGCCTGTAATCCCAGCACTTTGGGAGGTCAAGACGGGCAGATCACCTGAGGTCAGGAGTTCGAGACCAGCCTGGCCAACATGGTGAAACCCCGTCTCTACTAAAAATACAAAAATTAGCCGGCCATGGTGGCAGGTGCCTGTAATCCCAGCTACTTTGGAGGCTGAGGCAGGAGAATCGCTTGAACCCGTGAGGCAGAGGTTGCACTGAGCTGAGATCGCACCACTGCACTCTAGCCTAGGTGACAGAGCAAGCCTCTGTCTCAAAAAATAAAAAGAGAAAAAAAGAAAAAAGCCAAGAAAGTGGAGTCTTTTCTGCCCTTGAAAGGGTAGTGGTAAAACTCTCTGGGTGGTGTGGGGTGTCCAGGTATCTCTCTGTCGCCCCTAACACTGGGCGAGACTGGATCTGTTTTGCATAAAGGAAGAACACATTTCTGTGTCCCCTGCCAGTCATCCATGCAATCATCAATTTCGTTGTTGTTGTTGTTGTTTGAGATGGACCTTCCCTCTTGTCGCCCAGGCTGGAGTGTAGTAGCATGATCTCGGCCCACTGCAACCTTCACCTCCCGGGTTCAAGCGAGTCTCCTACCTCAGCCTCCCGAATAGCTGGGATTACAGGTGTGCGCCACCACACCCGGCTAATTTTTGTATTTTTAGTAGAGACGGGGTTTCACCATGTTGGCCAGGCTGGTCTCGAACTCCCGACCTCAGGTGATCCGCCCGCCTCGGCCTCCCAAAGTGCTGGGATTACAGGTGTGAGCCACTGCGCCCGGCCAATCAGCAAATATTTAATGAGCCCCCACTGCGTACTAGCGCTGAACTACTGGGCGAGGGTCGGCCAGCGGCAGGAAAACGGGGAAACAGGTGCGCCCGTTTGTGCGCGGGGGAAGCTCGCAGCCACGAGCGAAGGGACCTGTGTCTCCACTTTGGACAAATCTCCCGGGAATTTCCCGGGGGTTCAGAGCTCCGATGTCGGGGCGGGGAGGGGCAGGGTGTCATGTGCGGCGCTGGCCACACGGTGGCGACAGAGAACGTGCCGTTCTGGTCCAGCCTGGCGGCTGTGGGGTCGAAATGGGGAAGGAGTTGGGGTCGCGATGGAGTCGGGGAGGCAGTGGGGTAGGAGCGAGGGCCCCCTTTTTTTTGGAGACAGAGTTTCTCGTTGCTCAGGCTGGAGTGCAATGGCGTGATCTCAGCTCACCTCAACCTCCTGGGTTCAAGCGACTCTCCTGCCTCAGCCTCCAGAGTAGCTAGGATTACAGACATGCACCACCACATCCGGCTAATTTTTGTATTTTTAGTAGAGACGGCTTCGCCATGTTAGGCAGGTCTCGAACTTAGGACTTCATGTGATCCATCTACCTCGGCCTCCCAAAGCGCTGGGATGACAGGCGTGAGCCACCACGCCCAGCCGAGACAGCCTACCCACTGTGGGCTTTGGCAATAAGGCGCTCAATCAATTATAATAAACACCTATGGAATTAATTCCCGTCTGTGTTCCCCAAACCGTCCTCCCCAACCCCCACCGCCGCCCAGTAATTCAGGGACCACAAGAATGGAGGTCTCTGGCTTATAACTCTCACTGAGAAGCCTGATGCAGGAGCTCACACCTGTAATCCCGGCACTTCAGTAGGCCAAGGCAGGAGGATACTACTGAGCCTCGGTAATGTATTGTTTTTTATTTTTTTTATTTTATCATATATATATTTATTATACTCTAAGTTCTAGGGTACATGTGCATTCTCAGCAAACTATTTTTTCTTTTATTTTTATTTATTTATCTTTTTATTTTTGAGACGGAGTCTCTCTCTGCCGCCCAGGCTGGAGTGCAGTGGCGCGATCTCGGCTCACTGCAAGCTCCGCCTCCCGGGTTCACGCCATTCTCCTGCCTCAGCCTCCCGAGTAGCTGGGACTACAGGCGCCCGCCACCACGCCCAGCTAATTTTTTGTTTTAGTAGAGATGGGGTTTCACCGTCTCGAACTCCTGGCCTCATTGATCCTCCCACCTCGGCCTCTGAAAGTGCTGGGATTCTAGGCGGGAGCCACCGCGCCCCGCCAAGGCTGGGTAATTTATAAACAAAGGAGGTTCCTGGACTCACAGTTCTGCATGGCTGGGGAGGCCTCAGCAAACTTACAATCACGGTGCAGGGGGAAACAAGCGTGTCTTACCTGACTCAGGCGAAAAGAGAGGAAGGAAGAGCAGGGAAAACTGCCTTATAAAACCATCAGATCTCGTGAGATCTCACTCACTATCAGAGAGCAGCACGAGGGAACCGCCCCCATGATCCAATCACCTCCCACCTGCTCCCTCTCTCCACACGTGGGGACCATGGAGATTACAACCGAGATGAGATTTGGGTGGGGACCCAGAGCCAAACCTCCTCAGGACCTCTGTCCCCCCTCCTCTCCTCCCACTGCCTCTGGGCACGCTGGCACCCCTGCCTCCTCTTCCCTGGTTGGTCTTTGGTGAGATGTGTGTCCATTGGTCCCAGAACCTGGCGTTGCCCAGGCTGGAGTGCAGTGGGGCGATCTCGGCTCACTGCAAGCTCCGCCTCCCCGGTTCATGCCAGTCTCCTGACTCAGCCTCCCGAGTAGCTGGGACTACAGGCGCCCGCCACCACGCCCGGCTAATTTTTTGAATTTTTTAGTAGAGACGGGGTTTCGCCGTGTTAGCCAGGATGGTCTCGATCGCCTGACCTCGTGATCTGCCCGCCTTGGCCTCCCAAAGTGCTGGGATTACAGGCGTGAGCCACCACACCCGGCCCAAGACCCTGACTCTTAAAAAATAAGGCCAGGCCAGGTGGCTCACACCTATAATCACAGCATTTTGGGAGGCCAAGGCAAGTGGATCGTTTGAGCTCAGGAGTTGGAGACCAGTCTGGGAAACATGGTGAGACCTCGTCTCTATTAAAAACACAAAAAATTAGCCAGGCACAGTGGCACATGCCTGTAATTCCAGCTACTCAGGAGGCTGAAGCAGGAGAATCGCTGGAACCCAAGAGGTGGAGGTTGCAGTGAGCTGAGACTGTGCCACTGCACTCCAGCCTGGGTGACAGAGCAAGACTCTGTCTCAAGAAAAAAAAAAAAAAAAAAAAAAAAAAGGCCAGTCTCAGTGGCTCACGCCTGTGATCCCAGCACTTTGGGAGGCTGAGGTGGGTGGATCACCTGAGGTCAGGAGTTCGAAACTAGCCTGGCCAACATGGTAAAACCCCGTCTCTACTAAAAATACAAAAACTAGCCGGGCGTGGTGGCAGGTGCCTGTAATCCCAGCTACTCAGGAGGCTGAGGCAGGAGAATCGCTTTAGCCCCGGGAGGTGGAGGTTGCAGTGAGCCGTGATCAAGCCAGTGCACTCCAACCTGGGTGACAGAGCAATAACCTGTCTCAAATAAATAAATAAATAAATAAATAAATAAAATTCAAGCTTAGTAGAATAAAAAATTCAGCTTCCCAGTTGTCCTCGCATTTCAGGTGACAAATCATGCACAGCTGGTGGCTTTGTATCACACAGTGCAGATTTAGACCATTCCCATAATCGTTTTCATCATTGTAGAAAGTTCTATTGAACAACGCTGGGCTAGAACATTCTAGAAGATTCTAGAAAGCTCCAACACAGGAGCCAGCAGCCACCTGAGGGTAATTACATTTAAATTTAGACTTAAATTCTGTTGGCTGGTGAAGTCCAGCACATGCTGGTTTGGTTTTTTTTTTTTTAGGGGTGAGGTAGTTAGACTGCAGCAAAAACAGGGGCTCCCATCACAGTTCTGTGCAGGGGGTGAGTGAGACTGAAGAAACCAAAGACCATATCCCAATTCACTTTCTGAAATCATCTCCCGTTATTTTCACCTGTTCTCTGATTACTCTTTGTTCCCTGCGTGTGCCCTGTCATCCCACCTCCACACCTTTGCCATACTGTCTCCCTTTGACCCCCACATCCAACCAGCCCTGTCTAGCCTTCTGCAGCATCCCCAAGCAGAATTCACTGGGCAGAATTAATCTCTCTCTCCTCTGAACTCCTGATTCACCCATCCATCCACCCATCCCCCTTCCTGTCCACCCATCCACCCATCCATCCATCCAAGCATCCACCCACCCATCCACCCATCCAACCATCCACCCACTCATCCACCCACCCACTCATCCACCTGTTCACCCATCCACCCATCCATTCATCCATCCAACGATCCACCCACCCATCCATCCACGCATCCATCCATCCGTCCATCCATCCAACCATCCAAGCATCCACCCACCCATCCATCCATCTCCAACCATGCACCCACTCATCCCTTCATCCATCCATCCATCCATCCATCCATCCATTTACCCACCCTCCCATCCATCCACTCACCCATGCACTTGTCCACCCATCCACCCATCCATCCACCCACCCATCCATTCACCTACTCACCCATGCACTTGTCCACCCATCCACCCATCCATCCACCCACCCATCCATTCACCTACCCACCCATCCATCCATCCATTCGTCCACCCACTCCCCCATCCCCCCATCCAACCACCCATTCCTCCATCCATCAATTCACCCACCCACCCACTCACCCATCCATCCATCCATCCATCCATCCATCCATCCATCCATCCATTCATCCACTCATCCACTCATCCATTTACCCACCCTCCCATCCATCTACCCCCCCATCCACCCATCCATCCATCCACCCATCCATCCATCCATCCATCCATCCATCCATCCACCCACCCTCCCATCCATCCACCCACCCATCTACTTGTCCACTCATCCACCCATCCATCCACCCACCCATCCATTCACCCACCCACCCATCCATCCATTTAACCACCCACCCACCCACCCACCCAGCAACACATCCATCCACCTACCCATCTAATCATCCATCCATCCATCCATCCACCCACCCACCCATCCATCCATCCATTCGTCTACCCACCCACACCTATCCCCCATCCAACCACCCATTCATCCATCCAATTCACCCACCCATCCACTCACCCATCCACCCACCCATCTACTCATCCATCCGTCCATCCATCCATCCATCTACTCATCCACCATCCACCACCCACCCACCCACCCACCCATTCAACATCCATCCATCCATCCATCCATTCACTCACCTGCCCATCCACCCACCCATCCATCCCCTCCAGAATGTAAGCATCTGACGTCAGTGATTGCGAGGGCGCCTATAGTGGGCCAGCTCTTACTGAGCACTTGCCCTGTACCAGGCTCTGTTGCTCACCAGCTGGTGGTTTACCCTTGGTTAAGCCCCCAATTCCCCATCCTACGGATGCAGAAACCAAGGTTGAGAAGGCGAAGTGACACGCCCAGGGACAGCCCAGGAAGGTGGCGCGGCAGACAGGGGCTCAGGCATCTGACTCTAGAGCCCACCATTTTCCTCATGCATGGTGGACATGGGGCACGGTCTCTACCCTGGGGACATCCCAAGGGACACACGGTGTGTGGATGGTGCGTTCTTCCCACCAAGGGACACAAAATGTGTGGGTGGTGTATCCTTCCCACGTGGAGCCTACAGATGGGAGAACCACAGCCCTGCCCCTCAGTGTCCCCCGTGTCTGATGAGACCTGGAACAGGGGATTTTCAGCAGACATTGGACTAGGGTCACCCCACCATGCCAAGTCCATGAGTCAAAGGAGGTGAATGACAATAGCAATGAGACTTTGTGCCCAGGACACAGGCCAGGCCTCAGCCCTTGGCTTCCCTGAGCTGTGCCGAGACATGGAGAGGCCAATGCATGGGATCCTTGCTTTGCCATTGCTGCCCAGCCCCTCTAGAAAATTCTTCCAGCTCCTTGGTCAGAAATGTGGTCCCTGTAGGTGGTTAGAGTTTCAGTTGTTCCAACTGCTATTAGCTCTGATGATGGAAAGGTTGGCATGGAAAAGTTGGCTTTCAGGCACAGCTGGATCCAGGGCCTCGTGCAGCAACTTTAAGAATCCAGACTGGACCGGATGCAGTGTCTCATGCCTGTAACCCCAGCACTGTGGGAGGCTGGGGCGGGCGGATCACTTGAGGCCAGGAATTCGAGACCTGCTTGGGCAACATGAAGAATCCCCGTCTCTACAAAATATACAAAAATTTAAAAATATACAAAAAATTAGCTAGGCATGATGGTATGTGCCTGTGGTCCCAACTACTAGGGAGGCTGAGGTGGGAAGATCGTTGCAGTCCAGGAGGTCAAGGCTGCTGTGAGTTATGATTGCACCACCACACTCCAGACAGGGCAACAGAGCAAGACCTTGTCTCTTAAAAAAACAAAAACAGAATCCATCTCTGGCCATCTCTTGTGCTGTGCCCAAAGGCCACAGACACTTCAGACTCTCATGTGCCAGCTGAGCAACCCTGCAGTGGGAGTGAGCTCATCCCTCGGATGTCTCCGGAAGTCCTGGGACCAGCATGGTGACACCCCTGGCCCCTGGCTGGGGGGCCTCAGCTCCTCTATATCACTACATCAGAAACGCCTAGAGCAGGTCCTGGCCAGTCTAGACTTGGGCCCTGCCCTGGCGGGTCACCCAGCAGCCTCCCCAAGCTTTGCCATTCCCTTCCGCCGGGCAATTCCCCACCCCACCTCCCAGGGTCTTTGCGCCTAGCTCTGTCATGTCCTCTCTTCTCCCAATTTTTTTTTTTTTTTCGTCGTTGTTGTTGACAGAGTCTTGCTCTGTCACACAGGCTGGAGTGCAGTGGTGTAATCTCGGCTCACTGCAGCCTCAACCTCACTTTGCTCAAGTGATCCTTCCACCTCAGCCTCCCGAGCAGCTGAGACTACAGGTGTGTGCCACCACGTCCAGCTTCCTCCCAGTGTGGAGGTGCCTCTCCTCTCCCCAGCCTCCCCTGCAGTTAGGTGACAAACTGACCCCACTTGGGGCTCCCCGGAAGCAGAGCTGCTCCATGACACCCCCTGAATCCTTGCAGCACCAGACAAAATCATCCCCTTCTGCCCACTCTATCGGAACCCGGGGGCTGCAGGAACCCTCATATCCTTCCAAAAGACTCTCCTCCACCCCTTTGACATTTGTCCCATCTTTGATCCCTCGACCCCTTGGGGGCTGCTCTCATTCTCTCCATGACCCAATTGCAGAGAGGGGAGGGGGGCATCCGCACACCCGCCCCTCCCTGCGGCCTTCTGCAGTCTGGCTGAGGCACGAAGTCAGCCCAGGTCACAGGGTGTGTGGCCTGCAGCCGAACCCAGCCGCTCCGCACAGCTGTGGCCAGACCCAGGTTAACAGTCCCTCCCGGCTGGGCGTGGTGGCTCACACCTGTAATCCCAGCACTTTGGGAGGCCAAGGCAGGTGGATCACGAAGCCAAGAGATTGAGATCATCCTGGACAACTTGGTGAAACCCCATCTCTACTAAAAACACAAAAATTAGCCGGGTGTGGTGGTGGGCACCTGTAATCCCAGCTACTCAGGAGGCTGAGGCAGGAGAATCTCTGGAACCTGGCAGGTGGAGGTTGCAGTGAGTCGAGATCACGCCCGGCTAATTTTTTGTATTTTTGGTAGAGACGGGGTTTCACCGTGTTAGCCACGATGGTCTATGATCTCCTGACCTCGTGATCCACCCACCTTGGCCTCCCAAAGTGCTAGGATTACAGGCGTGAACCACCGCTCCCGGCCCCTCTCCCTCTCTTATAAAAACACTCATGGCCGGGTGCAGTGGCTCACGCCTGTAATCCCAGCACTTTGGGAGGCCGAGGCGGACAGATCACGAGGTCAGGAGATCGAGACCATCCTGGCTAACACGGTGAAACACCGTCTCTACTAAAAATACAAAAAATTAGCCGGGCGTGGCGGCAGGCACCTATAGGCCCAGCTACTCGGGAGGCTGAGGCAGGAGAATGGCGTGAACCCGGGAGGCGGAGCTTGCAGTGAGCCGAGATGGCGCCACTGCACTCCAGCCTGGGCGACAGAGCAAGACTCCGCCTCAAAAACAAAACAAAACCAAACAGAAAAAAAAAAAAAAACAAAAAACACTCATTATTAGATTTAAGGCTTGCTCTAATTCAGGATGATTTCATCTTGAGATCCTTAATTATATCTGCAAAGACCTTTTCCCAAATAAAATCACATTCTCACTTTCTGGGGGACTCCTTATTTTGGTGGGGGGACTCCATTCAACCAATGACACGCCCCTCAGTCTCACCGAGAGGGAGTTTGGGCCTCGAACACCCTGCGTTTTGCGGAGGAGGGAGTTCCAGGCCAGGGGCCTGGGTAGGGCTGGGCTTGAACTCAGGTGTGCGTCTCTGGTGGTTCCTCTCTCCTCCTCGCCTCCTCCTGGAAGCTCTCCAGGCCTCTCTTCCACACGTGCTTCTCTTTCCCTGGTGGGTTCTAAGTCCCAGGCCCCTCCCCAAGGTCCACTCCCCAAGCCTGCAGCCTGTGTGCCCGGCCCCTTCCTTGTCCCCGGAGTGGCCCATCCTGACACCCAGGGGCTTCCTGGCTGTTTTGGGATGGCGCGCTGGGACAGCTCACCATGGGTCCAGCCTGTGGTCTTTTTTTTTTTTTCTTTTTTTTTTTTTTTTGAGACGGAGTCTCACTCTGTCACCCAGGCTGGAGTGCAGTGGTGCAATCTCGGCTCACTACAAGCTCCGTCTCCCGGGTTCACGCCATTCTCCTGCCTCAGCCTCCCAAGTAGCTGGGACCACAGGCGCCCACCACCACGCCCGGCTAATTTTTTTTGTACTTTTAGTAGAGACGCGGTTTCACCGTGTTAGCCAGGATGGTCTCGATCTCCTGACCTCCTGATCCACCTGCCTCGGCCTCCCAAAGTGCTGGGATTACAGGCGAGAGCCACTGCACCCGGCGAGCCTGTGGTCTCAACCCCAGCCCTGAAGAGCTATATCTGGTGGCCCCATGTGTCTGTCATGGCTCCCAGAGCAGTGGGGGGATGACCACGGCTCAAACGTCCTTCACAGACCAGGATGCATCGGGGTCAAACCTGGGACGGGCATTTCCAGGCCTCAGTTTCCCCATCTGCACGACCGCTGGACGGTCTGTTGGGATGGATCCCACACACCCAGAGAGCTGGGCAGATGTCCCTGAGGAAGGACAGCCTGGGTCCCCTTTCTCTGTGGGATCCATGGTTGAACACCCACAGGGATGGGGAGGACCTGAGGTTTGCTCACGGGGAGCCCAGCTAGACCCTCCCCCACAGACCCAATTCCTTCGTCTGGAACAAGGGACAGTGCCTGGTCGGGGTGAGGGCCTGGACCACGGAACTGGGGGGTTGAGGGGCTGGATCCGGGTGTCCCCTGCCCCGGGGTCTCCCCTCCTGGTGCCCATCCCCCACACCACGCTGAAGCCGTGTGCTCACATGTAGAAAAGAGGCTTTATTAAGAAGGCTTTGAAGTCAAAAAATAAAACTCTTGATACAATTTTTTTAACCCTTAAATCAGCTCAGCAAATATATAATCAGTAATTTAGCTGTGTAAGATTAAAGGTCCATTACTTTATTTAAAATAAAATATATTTTAGTTCTTAAAATTTATTCCATAAAGTACATATTTCCCTATAAATTCCCTACATATACACAAGAGGTAAAAAGTAAAAGTAAAAAAAAAAAAAAATTAAAAAAATTTTAAAAATGACAACAGAAACCGCAGTAAAAAGGGGATTAATAATTAACAGAAAGTTAGAAATTTGATTGGAACGCCCCTCGCCCCCGCCCCCCTGCCCCCTCCGGCCGCGCACGGTTGATGTACAAAAGCATAAATGGTTAGCCCCAAAAAGGGAGTAAAAATGTCACCCTCCTCCTCTGGAACGTCTGTGCGGCCTGAGACCGGCCGGCGAGAAAAGTCAAATCAGAAAACGGCTTCGGACGAAAGGAAAAAACGCTGAGCGCTGGAAAAGTCGTGTTTTTTGTTTTGCTTTTTTAAAGATCACCCTGGAGGGGAGGGGTGTCTAAAAATAAGAAAACTAAAAAAAGTGCAAGCGGACCTTTTCTCTCCGGTTTATTGTAACCTGACCACTCAATACTGTCGTTGAAGGGCTGAGGCGCCGCCGGGCTGCGGGGTCTCCGTCTCCACGCCTGAGGCGGCAGTTAAAGCTCATCTGTAAACACTGGCCGCCGCCCACCCCCCTGCCCCCTCGGCCTCCGCCCCTCGCCCCCTCCCCGTCCCTCTCCCACCCCGGGTCCCGCCCCGTCTCCCGCGCCCACCCCTGGCCCCCGCAGATGGCCCCGGCCACGTGGTGGTCCGCGCTCTAGGAAAAGATATGAATGGCCTGGGTGGCCGGCGTGCGGCAGGCGGGACACTCGGGCTCGCTCTTGCCGCAGATGCGGACGGCGCAGTCCATGCAGAAGAGGTTGTGGCCGCAGGGGACCAGCGCAGCCATCACCTCGCCCTCGGCGCACACCACGCACTCTCGCGCCAGGGCCGGGGCCGAGGACGCCGAAGGGGGCTTGCGGCTGTTCTCGGAGGCGCCGGAGTCCAGGGGGGCGCAGGCGGCGGCCGCGGGGCTGCTGGGCAGCGAGGTGGCCGTGGAGAAGGCGGCGCCGCCTGGGAAGGATACGGGGCCCTGCGGGGGTCGCCAGGACAGCGCGCCCACCGGGTCCGGGGCGCCACGGCGAGACAGCGGGAGCTCCAGGCGGAGGCCGCCGGGCTCGGGCAGCGTGGGCGAGTGGCGGGGGGTCCCGGCCCCACTGCTGCGCCGGGCGCCGGCGGCGGGAGGTCCCGGGGCTCCGTTGACCGTGGAGCAGCCGCTGAAGGCGGGCAAGGGGGCGGCGCGCTCAAAAGGCGCCCAGATGGTGGCCGCGGCGGGCACGGTCAGGTCCAGCGCCAGGAAGTCGAAGTCGAAGCCGAAGTCGCAGTCGTCGGGGGCGGCCGTCCCCACCGGGGCACCGGGACCCTCCGCGCCGAAGGCGAAGCCCCCGTTGCCGGAGCCGCTGTAGGGGCTGGCGGGGCCTGGGTCCGGCACGGAGGGGCCGCCGCGGCTGCCCGCGTAGAAGGCCTCGGGGGCGCTGGGGGCGCCCAGGGCCGTGTCCCCGCGGAGGCCGGCCGTGGCCGTGGGGGGCCGTCGTCCCTGGTTGGGGGTCTTGGCCCAGAGGCTGGCGGCCGCCCCGAGCAGGTCCAGGCAGACGTCGGTGCCGTTGGCGTGGAAGTCGCTGTCGGGGCCCGCGTCGGTGAAGGCGCCAGTGCGCAGCGTGATGTGCGCCTCGATCTCCTCGCGCGCGCGGTCCACGTTCTCGGGCATCCCAGTGACCGCGAACACCGGCTCCTTGTCGCGCCCGGGCGTCACGATGTAGGTGTGCGTCCGCTGCTGGATGCGCTTGATGGTGGCGCCCTTGGGCCCCACCACCAGCCCCACCACCCGGTAGGGCACGCGCACCTGGATGGTGGTCTGTCCGGGAAGGTTGGGCGGGCCCTGGGCGGCGCCGGGCAGACCCCCGGCCTTGCTGCGCGTGGCGCGGATGATGGAGAAGTGTTCGGCCGCCGACAGGATCTCACGCTTGGCCATCTCCACGTCCTCCTTCCGGCCGGTCACGATGAAGACCGGCTCCTCGCCCCGCACTGGGGTCTTGATGTAGGTGTTTGTCTTGGCCCGCAGGGCCTTGATCTTGCAGCCTGTCCGGGAGGGAGGGGAAGGACAAGGTGACCCAGAGCCCCCTGCGCAGCTCAGCCCCGCTGGGCATGCAGGCTGCAGGGCCAGTGAGGGAGCCCCTACCTCCCAGCCTGTGCCCAACAACACTTTATCCTCAGACACGCCACGTCCCTTCTTCCCTCAGCCTCAGTTTCCCCTCTGGGCTCGAGTTTGGCCTAAAAGCAAGACGGCAAGGGGACCCTGTTTTAGGTTGAAAGGTGTGCGCCATAATTTATGTTCCCCTGGAACCGCAGTGTGACGGCTGGGGTGTGAATGTTTCCCCCAAGTTCACAAGCTGGACCCTAATATGCGGCGTTGACAGTATTAATTTAATACGTAGGGTCGGCTGGGCCCGTGGCTCACCCATGTAATCCCAGCACTTTGGGAGGCCGAGGCAGGTGGATCACTTGAGGTCAGGAGTTCCAAACCAGCCTGGCCAACATGGTGAAACCCTGTCTCTACTAAAAATACAAGCAATCATCCGGGTGTAGCGGCAGGCACCTGTAGTCCCAGGTACTTGGGAGGCTGAGGCAGGAGAATCACTTGAACCCAGGAGACGAAGGTTGCAGTGAGCCAAGATTGCACCACTGCACCCCAGCCTGGACGACAAAGCAAGACTCCAACTAAAAAAAAAAAAAAAGCGGGGTGCAGTGGCTCACCCCTGTAATCCCAGCACTTTGGGAGGCCAAGTTGGGTGGATCACGAGGTCAGGGGCTCAAGACCAGCCTGGCCAACATGGTGAAACCCTGTCTCTACTAAAATACAAAAAATTAGCCAGGCGTGGTGGCAGGCATCTGTAGTCCCAGGTACTCGGGAGGCTGAGGCGGAAGAATCGCTTGAACCTGGGAGGCAGAGACTGCAGTGAGCCGAGATCGCACACCATTGCACTCCAGCCTGGGTGACAGAGCGAGACTGTCTCAAAAAAAAAAAAAAAAAAAAAAAAAAAAAAAAAAAAAAGCCGCAATTAGCAAGGTGTGGTGGCGCACGCCTGTAATCCCAGCCACTGGGGAGGGCTGAGGCAGAACCGCCTGAACTCAGGAGGTGGAGGGTGCAGTGAGCCAACATCATGCCACTGCACTCCAGCCTAGCCACAGACCAAGACTCCATTTCAAAAAAAAAAAAAAAAAAAGAGCCACAGTGGCAGGGTCAGTGGCTCACACCCGTAATCCTAGTACTTCGGGAATCTGAGGCAGGAGGATCACTGGAGCCCAGGAGTTTGAGACCAGCCTGGGCAACACAGCAGGACCCCATCTCTACTACAAACAACAACAAAAAATTAGCCAGGTGTGGTGGTACACACCTGTAGTCTTAGCTACTCAGGAGGCTGAAGTGGGAGGATCACCTGAGCCCGGGAGGTGGAGGCTGCAGTGAGCTATGATCACACCACTGCACTTCAGCCTGGGTGACAGAGCAAAGCCTTGTCTCAAAAAAAGAAGGAAAAAAAAAAAAAAGACACACACACACAGAGAAGCTGGCCTTGTGGAGACACAGACAGAGACTGCAGTGATGTCTCTACAAGCCAAGGACTGGCCATAGCCCCCGGAAACTGAAGGCGCCCCCCGCCCTGCCCACACCTTGACTTGGAACTTTTATCTTACAGAAATGAGAGAGGAGACGTTTCCATGGTTTCAAGCCCCCATTGTGTCAGCCCAGAGAGCAACTGGAGACCCTCTGACACCACCTCCCGGCCCAACAGGAGGGGAAGCCGAAATTCAGATTGTGGAAACTGCCTACAATTTTCTTCCGGCCAAATGACCCTCCCTAGGCTACCAAGACCCTGGCCTAAGGGGAGCCGAGGTCTCGGCCCGACTGCAGACGCCCGCACCCTGACTCCAGATGCCTCCGAGGCATCCAGGTGGGCCCTGAGGGGCCTGCTGTGGCTTTGTTCTTGTTGGCTGGGCTGGGGGTCTGACCTGGTGAGGGACATGAGTGTCAGTGTGGGAGGCAGGGCTCTCCTCACCGATTGTGTAGGCAACCGCTGACCAGGTATGGCCTTCTTGGGGTCCCAGACATCCCTACCCCACCCCTGGGGCCTTAATGGTTTTTTTTTTTTTCTTTTCCTTTTTTGAGATTATCTCACTCTTGTTACCCAGGCTGGAGTGCAGTGGTGTGATCATAGCTCACTGCAGCCTTCAACTCCTGGGCTCAAGTGATCCTCCCACCTCAGCCTCCAGAGCTGGCACCACCATGCCCAGCTTAATTAGTTATTGAGACGGAGTTTTGCTCTTGTTGCCCAGGCTGGAGTGCAGTGGTACCATCTCGGCTCACTGCAACCTCTGCCTCCTAGGTTCAAACAATTCTCCTGCCTCAGCTTCCTGAGTAGCTGGGATTACAGGCGCCCACCACCACACCCAGCTAATTTTTTTTATTTTTAGTACAGATGGGATTGCACCATGTTGGCCAGGCTGGTCTTGAACTCCTGACCTCAGGTGATCCACCTGCCTTGGCCTCCCAAAGTGCTGGGATTACAGGCGTGAGCCACCACGCCCGGCCTATTTTTATTTTTAGTAGAGATGGGATCTCACTATATTGCCCAGGCTGGTTTCAAATTCTTGGGCTCAAGCAGTCCTCCTGCCTCGGCCTCCCAAAGTGCTGGGATGACAGGTGTGGGCCACTGCGCCCGGCCCGTGAAGGAGTTTTGAGCCACTGCTCACAACCCCTCAGGCTCTGGGGAAGCAGAGGGAGCTGCAGGGATGTTTCAATACAGTCAGAAGGTGGCTCTGAGGGGAAAACAGTGTTGCTAACTCTCCCACAGTGCAAGAGATGAAATGAGCAGGATCAGCACTTTTGACGGGGAAGAAGTCAGAAACTGCCTGGGCCAGGAAGATGGAAGGCGTGGGACCTGGAGGCTGGTGGTCCCAGGGGCTCGGTAGGGAGGACCCTGGGAGGGGTGGCGGGGGTGCACCCACTCGGAGGAGGACAGCAGTTTTCCCGCCCCAGCTGCACTGCCACCACACCTGTCCCTCCCAGTCGCAGCATTCTGTTCACCTCCATTGCACCCAGTCCCCTCCATTCTTCTGTACAGTCCGGTGTCCCCCTCCTCCAGGAAGCCCACCCTGACTGCATCGGGTTGGGCCTGCTCTTCTGAGTCTCTCCTAACATGCCTGACTCTCTGAGCTGCCTCCCTGAGGCTGGAGGATGGGGCTGGGGATTCCCTCGGCACTTGGGGGACCTTGCTATGCCTGTTTCTTCACTGTGAAAGGGGAAGGTAACAGGCCTGGCTTCACAGGCCCGGCTTCACAGGCCCTCAGAGGGCCATGACCAGGCCGTTGGCTCCTGGCAGCCACCCTGGCAGGTCTCACTGCAGCCCACAGTGTTTGCTTTAGATAGATCCTCCTTGAGGAAGGGAAACTGAGGCACAGGGAGTGGAGACCCAGCAAGGCTGGGGAAGGAGGTGCCACCCACAGATGGAGGCTCCGCTGGCCCTGCCCACAGGCAGGAAGTGAGCCTGTTCCCCATCACGCCGACCCGGCAGAGGGCAGAGCCCGCCAGCGTTGCCAGGGTGCAGCATGGGGTCCTCCCTTGCTGATCTGGGAGCCGCCCCGGGTCCCCAGAGGGTCACACGTGGGAGAGGCTGCCCCGACGTGGCCACCGCTGAGCTCACAGGCTGTGGTCACAGAAAGTCTGGTCTGGGTGAGATGACAAATTTGGGAGATGGAGGTGGCAAGGAAGGGGGCGTGTGACTGTCTGAGCAGAAACCAGGATGGTGCTGGGAGCCACGCGTGCGTCGGGGCAGGGGAGGGAACTGGCGCCTCCCCCTCCCCTTACTCCATCCTGCCCTAACCCAGACGGTGGCGCTGGGTGGAGACCTCACAGCTAGAAGGCCTCTAGGACCTCAAAGACGGAGCTGGAGCTCAATTCATTGGTGCTGCGTCTGCTTTGACACGTGCTGGCCCCCAAAACTCCACCCACATCAAGACGCCAAGGGGCCAAGGAATCGGGGCTCCAGGAGTGATCCCAGCCCACCCCTGCCCCACTGGAAATGACACAGCGAGGCTAGAGGGACAGGAAGCCTGAAGGGCGGGCTCTGGGGGACACCGAAGGTTGGCAGGCACTGAAATGCAGATTCGTGGGCCATGTCCCCAGAATTCCAACTCGGAGGGCTTGAGATGCCTGGGAATCGGGGTGACCACCCCAGAGTCTGGCCCTGACCTGTCCCACACCCCCAACCCACAGCAGCCAAGTCTCCCCCTACCAGGGCCCCACGCAGCACACACACCAGCGGGCATCACTCATCCAGCCCGTCCAGGGTCCTGGCTGCAATGACCGTGCACTACGACTTACCAATGAAACCACAAGTCCTGGTGTGGGAGCCGAGGCCACCAGCCCAGGCTGGATGGGTTTGCCATGGCAGGAAGGGGAATGTGAACCCCAGGGAGCCGCTGAGGCAACAGCAAGGACAGGATTCTAGAAGCAGGACGGGGCGAGAACAAGGCCTCACAGCCAACACTCAGTCCAACACGCAGCCGCCCCCAGCCAGGCAGCCGGGTGACGCGGGACAGCAGCATCCCAGACCTGGGCCACTATGGAAGCCAGCGGGAGCTGAGGGGTCTGGTGGGGAGGAGGGAAGCTGGTTCAGCTGTCAAACAGGGATGTCAAAACCCCCTCCCAGGCCAGGAACAGTGGCTCACACCCGTACGTAGTTCCGGCACTTTGGGAGGCCAAGGCAGGAGGATCACTTGAGGCCAGGAGTTCGAGACCAGCCTGGGCAACATAGCAAGATCCTGTCTCTATAAAGGGTGTCACCTGTCGCCCAGGCTGGAGTGCAGTCACAGCTCACTGCAGCCTTGACCTCCTGGGCTCAAGCCATCCTCTCACCTCAGCCTCCCGAGTAGCTGGGACTACAGTTATGCACCACCACCCCCGGCTAATTGTTTAAAGCTTTTCTGCAGAGACAGGGTCTTATTATGTTGCCCAGGCTGGTCTGGAACTCTTGGGCTCAGGTGATCCTCCCATCTCAGCCTCCCAAAGTGCTAGGATTACAGGTGTGAGCCACCATATCCGGCCTCTACAAAAAATTTTTAAAAATTAGCCAGGTGTGGCCGGGCACGGTGGCTCACACCTGTAATCCCAGCACTTTGGGAGGCCAAAATGGGTGGATCACGAGGTCAGGAGATCAAGACCATCCTAGCTAACACGGTGAAACCCCGTCTCTACTAAAAATACAAAAAATTAGCCGGGTGTGGTGGTGGGCGCCTGTAGTCCCAGCTACTTGGGAGGCTGAGGCAGAAGAATGGCGTGAACCTGGGAGATGGAGGTTGCAGTGAGCTGAGATCGCGCCACTGCACTCTAGCCTGGGCGACAGAGTGAGACTCCGTCTCAAAAAAAAAAAAAAATTAGCCAGGTGTGGACCGGGCACAGTGGATCACGAGGTCAGGAGTTCGAGACCAGACTGACCAACATGGTGAAACCCCATCTCCACTAAAAATACAAAAATTAGCCGGGCGTGGTGGCGGGCGCCTGTAATCCCAGTTACTCGGGAGGCTGAGGCAGGAGAATCGCTTGAACCCGGGAGGCAGAGCTTGCAGTGAGCCGAGATTGCACCACTGCACTCCAGCCTGGGCGACAGAGTGAGACTCCGCCTCAAAAGAAAAGAAAAGAAAAGAAAATTAGCTGGGTGTGTTGGTGCGCACCTGTGGTCCCAGCTACTTGGGAGGCAGAGGTGGGAGGATCGTCTGAGCCCAGGAGGTTGAGGCTGCAGTGAGCTACAATCACACCACTGCACTCAGGACAGAGCAACAGAACCAGACCCTGTCTCAAAAACAACAAAACAAAACAACAACAACAAGAAACCGCTAGGCGTGGTGACTCACACCTGTAATCCCAGCACTTTGGGAGGTGGAGGCAGGCGGATGACCTGAGGTCAGGAGTTCGAGACCGGCCTGGCCAACATGGCGAAACCCCGTCTCTACTAAAAATACAAAAATGAGCCTGGCGTGGTGGTGGCAGATACCTGTAATCCCAGCTACTCGGGAGGCTGAGGTGAAAGAACTGCTTGAACCTGGGAGGTGGAGGCTGCAGTGAGCCGAGACTGAGCCACTGTACTCCAGCCTGGGCGACAAGAGCAAGACCCTGTCTCAAAATGAAAAGAAAAAAACCTCTCGGGGAATGAAGGGAACATGTACACTGTACTAACGCCAGAACTCTCAGTTGGGTCTGCAGTGTGGAGGTTTCCTAGCAGAGCCTTTCTTCCTAGGGCTCTGCAGTGTATGGACAGGAAAACCATGGCATGGTCCCCACCAACACCCCAGCACTGTCCCCAGCTGTCGGGAAAACCTGGGGCCTGCGGGGATGGGAGGAGAAGAGGAGCCTCTGGGGCTGCAGCCAGGAACAAGGGACAGGAGGGGAGACAGTGAGCCAGGGGTCGCCCCCAGCTGAGGGGAACAACCTAAAATCACTAGCCTTAGCCTGTGCCGACAGCAGAGAGAGCGAGCCCTGAGCAGCTTCCAGTCCAGGCCCTGCCTTCAACATCACTCACTCATTCATTCATTCATTAGCCACAGAACACCTTCTGTGTACAGGCCCTGGCAAGACACTGAAGACCCAACCATGACCAAGCACCTGCCCTGGTTCCTGTCCCTGGGAACATGCAGGGGGAGAGGCTGCCACGGAGCACAGATTCACCCAGGGTGCCTGGCAAGCGGGGTGAGAAAGGAGGGTACATGTTGGGGTCTCAGCAGGAGCAGGGCCGGAGGTCCCCTAGAGCACCTTTGCTGGCCGGCTGGAGGGAGACGCCTGTGCTTTTGGGTCTCCACTTTGCCTGTCTCCCAGACAGGGCTGCCTCCCCTCACCCCCAGCCCTCAAGCTTTGGAATCTGAAATTTTCTTTGCTGACCCACCAGAGAAACTGGGTTTGAATCCCAGCCCATGATTTTTGTTTTGTTTTGGAGACAGGGTCTTGCTTTGTTGCCTAGACTGGAGAGCGGTGACAAGATCATAGCTCACTGCAGCCTCGACCGCCCAGGCTCAAGTAATCCTCCTGCCTCAGCCTCCAGAGTAGCTGGGGCTGCAGGAGTGTGCCACCATGCCTAATTTTTGTATTTTTTTTTTTGTAGAGACAGGGTTTCGCCATGTTGGCCGGGCTGGTCTCGATTCCTAGGCTCGAGGGATCCTCCTGCCTCAGCCTCTCTGAGTGCTGCTATCCCCTCAGTTTTTACCTATTCTTTACCTCTTGCAGCCTCTGCCTCCCCATCTGTGACCTGGGAGCTGCAGGACCTTTCCTGGGGCACATTATGGGCCTCAGTGAGATGGGGCAGGTCAAGTCTGGCATAGGCTTAGCACACAGTAGACCCTCAATAAAGATCTAGCCAATGGCCAGGCGCAGTGGCTCACACCTGTAGTCCCAGCACTCTGGGAGGCTGAGGTGGGTGGATCACCTGAGGTCAGGAGTGTGAGACCAGCCTGGCCAACATGGCGAAACCCCGTCTCTACTGAAAATACAAAAACCAGCTGGGCATAGTGGCACGTGCCTGTAATCCCACATACTAGGGGGGCTGAGGCAGGAGGATCGCTTGAACCTGGGAGGTGGAGCTTGCAGTGAACCGGGATCGTGCCATTGCACTCCAGCCTGGGCAACAGAGCGAGACTCCATCCCAAAAAAAAAAAAAAAAAAAGATATAGCAAATGAATGAACTGGAGCCTCCAGCAGATGGGTGGGAACTCAGAGGGTTTGAATGACCACAGTCTGCCCAGAAAGCACTCGGACCCCCTCTAGGATCAAGAGAACTGAAGCTCAGAGAACAGCACGTAGCTACTGGGGAGAGGGCTGGTGCCAGGCCTGTGTGACTCTTGTCTAGGTGGGGAGGCCGGACAGGTGCACCCTTCCTGGCCTCCAGGGAAGGGGTAACCTTGGAGCTTGGGTTTGACAGAGAAGCATGAGAAGTTCAGAGAGCCCCAGGGTGGAGAGGAAGGTGAGTAAAGGGGCAGGGCCGGGGCACAAAGGACATTGAAAGGTATGCTTGAGAACGGGGTGGGTGGGAGAAGCTGGGAGCCACAGATGGTTCTACAGTGTGGAAGAAGTACAGACTACCGAAGCTGTGGAAGACGTAAGGACTACTGAAGCTGCCAACCTGTCCTGGCATCCACAGTTGCATCCCTGGCAACGCGCACTCCACTTATGGGGTGGCCACTGTGTGTGACCTGGAGCTGGGATTAAAACCAGCAACTTGGGTCCAGGCATAGTGGCTCACACCTGTAGGAACCCCAGCACTTTGGGTGGCTGAGGATCGCTTGAGGCCAGGAGTTCAAGACCAGCCTGAGCAACAGAGCAAGACCCTGTCTCTACAAGAAAAACTTTATAATAAAAACAAATAAATAAAACTGGCCGTGCGCAGTGGCTCACGCCTGTAATCTCAGCACTTTGGGAGGTGGAGGTGGGCGGATCACTTGAGGTCGGGAGTTCGAGACCAGCCTGGACAACATGGTGAAACCCCGTCTCTACTAAAAATACAAAAATCAGCTGAGCGTGGTGGCTCACACTTGTAATCCCAGCTACTCAGGAGGCTGAGGCAGGAGAACTGCTTGAAACCAGAAGGCGGAGTTTGCAGTGAGCCCAGATCACGTCACTGCACTCCAGCCTGGGCGACAGAGCGAAACTCCGTCTCATAAATAAATAAATAAAACCAGCATCTTGCCCCAGAATCCTCTACCCTAATGGAGGTGAGACGTCCGCACATCACAGAGAGGGGCCGTCATCTGCGCAGGGCCACGGCGGCCTGCAGGACAAGCAATCAGGGCCCACTCTACCCCCGACCCCCACTGTACCCCAGGGCCTGCCTTGCTGACGGCCACCAGCAAGAGCCCAGTAAGTGGGTGCAGAACGCACAGGCCAGAGGTGGGGGCTGAGCCTGGTGCCCACAGACTCCATTTCCCATGGACCTGCCCCTAGAGAATTCCCACCCTGAGGCCACAGGTCTAGAAGCTCTCAGCCTGACGCTGATTCCTGCCAGCTCCCCATGTGGCCATAGCCTCGCTCAAAGGCCCTTGGGTGCCAGGACAAGCGCGTTCACAAAGAACACAGCCACAGCCTCCACCACCTGGAGGCTCAGGCTCGTGCCTTTGGTCACTTGGTCCCCAGGCCTCGGCTTGGACGCCTGTCTCCACAGGCTCCCAGACACTCCGCACAGGGCAGCTGTCCCGTTCTAGGCCCTGGGTATGGGACATGGAGGCCGGGTGGAAGGCCTCAATGGGGAGGCAGTAACAGGATGGTAGGGCGCCCTCCTGCCAGGGGGTCCCACCAAGGGCAGCCAGCAGGACTGAGACAGAACCCAGTCCCTCCCCACCCACCACTCCAGAGCATGCTTCCTGGGGCCAGCACCATGCCTGACCCTCCGTGGGTCCCCACATGAGCTGGACAAATGAACGACCAAAAGACAGGAGGCTGTGGTGCCCCACCCACCTGGACCGAGGGAAAGGGCGGAGGGGAGGGCGCCCTGGTGGTCCCCCGCCTGAGGCCAGGGCCATAGATGACCTTGCAATCCCAGCCCCCCACACCTTTCTCTGGCCTGGATTCCCGAGGGCCCCGGGGAGGCAGGGACCCCCAGCCCAAGTGTCCTGCGGCCCCACCACCAGCCCCGCCAAGGCCCCACCCCAAGTTCTAGAACCTGGCTGATCACTGGCGGTCAGCGGGGACCCAGGAGCGGGGAGGGGTGGCGGGAAGGCAGGAGAAAGTTGAGGGAGGCAGGCGGGCGGGTGGCTAACGGGGTGGTGGGTGTGAGCTGGGCCAGGCACTGCCCACCACCCGCCCGCCCGCCCCGCAGCTCGGGGGCCAATGAGCAGCGGCCGGCCTGATGTCACCCTGCAAATCTCAGCCTCGCTCTCTAACAAAGAGAACAATGGGGCGGCCAGAGGGAAGCTCCGACGATGCCACCGCTGGACCCCACACCCGGGGCCTGCCGCCCGCCGGCCTGCCCAGCAGGCTGCACCCCAGAAGTGGCTTTGACAGCCGGTCCTTCCCCAGGCCCCGAAATCCCTGACTCGGGGCCAGAGAGTGGAGCAGGGACCCTCTCCTGCCCGGTCCCGTCCCCACCCCAGTCAGGGCCCCAGGCTGGAGACTGAGACGTGCGCTCTTTGTACTGTCAGCCTTCTCTCCCGGTCCTGCAGGCGGCCCCCCTAAGCCACCCCTAAACCTGCGCTTGCCCCGCCCCGCCGCCTGTGCTGGGTGTGGGGCGCCCCCCGCCCGGCCGGAGCCCCGGGCCCTCGAGCCCCTCTCTGGGGTGCCCCTGCGGGCGGCCGAGGGCCTGGGCTGCGGCGCGGCTCCCCGGAGCCTTTCCGGGCTGGAGGCGGCCCAGACAAAGGCGGCGGCGGGGCCGGAGCGCGCAGGGGAGGAGCGCGGGCTGCGCCCAACTTTCTCCCGCGGCGGCTGCAGGACAAAGGCGCAAAGGCAGCGGCCGAGGCCGGAGCCCACGCGGGGCGTGTCCGGTGCGGGGCGTCCGGCGCGGGCTGGGCTGGGCTCGGGCGACCCCCTTCCCCGGGGCGGACGGTGCGGGGACCCCCAGGACAGCAACCCCCGACGAGGGCCACTCACCCTGGCGACCCACGATCTCGGCGACGTGCTCGGAGCTGGGCACCGGGACGCACTCGGTCATGTTGACGCTTTTCTTGCGGCTGCCGATCACGCTCATCTGGTCGGCCAGCAGCGTCGGGGGCCCCAGGGCCGCGGGGTGGGGCGCGAAGCCCGCGAACACGTCGGGGGGCGACGGCCGGGGCGGCGGCGGCGGCGGGGGACTCGCGTTGGGGTCCAGCAGCGGCAGCGACCCGGGGGCCACGGCGGGGGCCAGGGTCGGGGGCGCGCCGGCCTCAGGTCCGTCGGGGGGCACAGGCTCCGGAGCCGCCCCGCCGTCCGCGCCCCCCGCCGCCGCTGCGCCGTCCCCGGCCGCCCCCTCCTCGTCCGTGTCGCCAGCGCCCCCCAGCCCGAGCGCCGACAGCTGGTCCAGCGCCAGGCGGAGCGCGGCGGCCGCGTCGTCGGGTTCGGGCGGCGGCCGGGGCGCGGGCGCGGCCTCCTGGGCGCCCTCGGGCGGGGGCGCAGGTCCGGGTCCGGGGTCCTCCCCCGCCGCCCCCACGCCGCCGCCGCCGCCGCCCCCGCCCCCGCCGCCGTCGGGCTGGCCGAGCGAGCTGGGCATGGCGGGAGCTAGCGCTGGGGCCCGCGCTCCTGCCGCCCGCGCCGCCGCCGCCGCCCGCGCCGCCCTCCGCCTCTGCGAGCTGGGCCGCCGGCCGCCTGCATCCAGCGGCGGGGGCGGGCACGGGGGGCCGGGCGGGCGGGGCGGCGGCGGCGCGGGGCTGCTCGGGGCCGGGCCGGGCCGGGCCGGGCGGCGGCAGCGACTCTGGCTGCGGCTCGGCGGCGGCGGCGACGGCGGCGGCGGCTCCTCGGCGGCCGAGGCGGCGGCGGCGGCGCGGGACGCTCCTTCCCTCCCGCCGCCTCCCGCGGCCCCGCCCCGGCCCCGCCCCCGCGACGTCACGCCGCGGCCCAACAATGGGCGGCCCCCAGGGCGCAGGCGCGCGGGGCGGGGCCGGGGCGGGGCCGGCGCCGGGCACGTGGTCCAGGCCCCGCCTCCGCCCGGCGCTCGGGCGGGAACCCGGGCGCATCCGCACGTGCGGGCGCTGCTGCAGGTGTGTGCGGCTCAGCCCCTGCCTGGACAGCGCTCCCTCCCCAAGCCTGAGAGTCCCTGCCTCGCGCGCCCCAGGGCCCGAGGTCCCGCTCCCCAATTTCCCCTAGAGATCCGGGTCGCCCCCAAGCGAGGTCTCTTGCTCCACGCCCGCTTCCTTGTGCCAGGGACCCCCACCTCCCTGCATAAAGGCGTGGGGTCCTCTCCAAGTCCCCCTCGCGATCCCACTGGACTTCGAAGTCAGGCTCCTGCCCGCCCACCGCCTCTGTGCCAGGGTCCAACCCCCGCCCCACGGTGCACCCCCCAGGGCCTGGGGTCCCAGTCCCCAAGTACCCCTTGCTATCAGGTGGGCTTTAGGGTCAGGCCCCTGCCCCACCCCCAGCCTCTGTGCCAGGGACAGCTCCACAATCATGCACACCCCAGGGCCTGAGGTCCCTCTCCCCTAGTCTCTCCTAGCTCCCCTCTGGCTGGCTCCCGGCTTTGGGATCAGGCCACCTCCTCCACGCCACCTCCTCCGCCCCACCCAAGGCCACAGACCCGGTCTCTGTGCCCCCAGCCAGAGACCTCTCTACCACAGTGGTGCTTCCATGGCGAGGGCAGGCTCACACCAGCCAGAACCCTCCATGTGGAGCCCCACCCTCTTCTGGGGTGCCTTTCCCCGCAACGGGCGTTGTCCACCTCTAAAGCCACCCTTGCCGGGCGCGGTGGCTCATGCCTGTCATCCCAGCAGTTTGGGAGGCCGAGGCGGGTGGATCACGAGGTCAGGAGTTAGAGACCAGCCTGGCCAACATGGTGAAACCCCCGACTCTACTAAAAATACAAAAATTAGCCAGGCGTGGTGGCGCGCACCTGTAATCCCAGCTACTCAGGAAGCTGAGGCAGGATAATTGCTTGAACCCTGGAGGTGGTGGTTGCAGTGAGTCGAGATTGCACCACTGCACTCCAGCCTGGTTGACAGAGCAAGACTCCTCTCAAAAAAAAAAAAAAAAAAAAAAAATAGCCGCTTTCCCAGCGGCTCTTCCTCCAGCTGTCCTTCGGGGCCTTCCTTGCACCTGTGGGGTTTTTTGTGATAAACCTGTCTGGCTGGGTCTACCTGCCCCCCTCTTCTACCAGACCTGTCCCTGGCTGGCTGTGCAAACTTGGACCGAAGGCAGGGCTCTCTGGGCAGGAGTGGGGCAGCCTGCCCCTTTGCCTAGCAAGGCTTCTCCTCTGTCCCCTCCCCCCGCCTCACACACCCTGGGTCCCCCTCAGCCACTCTTCTAGTCCCTCAGCCACAGCCACCCACTGCTGGGCCCTTCACTTTTGGTGGCTTCTCTGCCCACTTCTTCCAGGCAGGCAGGGTCAGGATCCCCCTGCCTGGAGCCCTTCCCCACCCAAAATCTCTCTCCTGACCCCAGGCTGCATCCAGCCCCACTTCCCCTCCTGGGGTCCTGGACTTCTCTTTCGTGCACGCCCATGCTTGGAATTGTTTTTCTATCTCTCTTTCTTTCTCTCTTTCTTTTTTTCTCTTTCTTTCCTTTTTTTCTTTCTTTCTTCCTTTCTTTCTTTTCTTTTTCTTTCTTTCTCTTTCCTTTCTTTCTCTTTTTTCTTTTCCTTTTCTTTCTTTCCTTTTTTTCTTTCTCTTCCTTTTCTTTTTTCTGTCTTTCTTTCCTTCTTTCTTTTCTTTCTTCTCCTTCCTTCCTTGCTTCCTTCCTTTTCTTTCATCCTTTATTTCGTTCTTCATTTCTTCTTTTCTCTCCCTTCCTTCCTTCCTTCCTTCTTTCTTTCTTTTTTTTTTTTTAGACGGAGTCTCGCTCTGTCACCCAGGTTGGAGTGCAGTGGTGCAGTCTTGGCTCACTGCAAGCTCCGCCTCTGGGTTCACGCCATTCTCCTGTCTCAGCCTCCCGAGTGGCTGGGACTACAGGTGCCTGACGCCACACCCAGCTAATTTTTTGTATTTTTTGTAGAGACAGGGTTTCACCGTATCAACCAGGATTCTCCCTTCCTTCTCTGCTCCCCTCCCCTCTCCTCTCCTTTCCTTTTCTTTCTTTTTCGGACAGAGTCTTGCTCTGTTGCCCAGGCTGGGGTGCAGTGGCTATTCACAGGTGTGACCCCAGGACAGATCAGCATGAGAGCTTTGACCAGCTCCGTCTCTGACTTGGGTAGGTTCAGCCCTCCTTAGGCAACCTGGTGGTCCTCCCAGTCCAGGGAGGTCATCATATTAATGTAGACGCTGGATCAGCATAGCTCACTACAGCTCAGAACTCCCGAGCTCAAGCAATCCTCCCGCCTCAGCCTCCTGAGTAGCTGGGACCACAGGTGTGCACCACCACACCGGGCTACTTTTTGTATTTGTAGAGACAGGGTCCTTTTTGTTGCCCGGGCTAGTCTTGAACTCCTAACCTCAAGCAATCCTCCTGCCTCAGCCTCCCAAACTGCTGGGACTACAGGTGGGTAACACTATGCCCAGCCACTTGCAATTATTAATGGCATTGTCAGCCGGGCGCCGGGCGCGGTGGCTCACGCCTGTCTTCCCAGCACTTTGGAAGTCCAAGGCAGGTAGATCACCTTAGGTTAGGAGTTCTATATCAACCTGGCCAACACGGTGAAACCCTGTCTCTACTAAAAATATGAAATGAGCCGGGTGTGGTGGCGTGAGCCTGTAGTGCCAGCTGCTTGGGAGGCTGAGGCAGGAGAATCGCTTGAACCCGGGAGGTGGAGGTTGCAGCAAGTTGAGATCACACCACTGCACTCCAGCCTGGGCAACAGAGCAAGACTCTGTCTCAAAAACAAACAAACAAACAAAGAAAAAACCCTGTGTCTAATAAACAAATGAATTTATGAATGAATGAAGCAATGAATATTTAATTCTTTCCCAGTTTTGGAGCCTCAGAGTCAAAACTCAAGGTGTGCGCAGGGCCGCGCCCCCTTCAAAGGCTCTGGGGAGCGTCCTTTCTGCCTCTTCCATCTTCTGGGGGCTCTGGGCCTCATCGCTCATTGTGGCCTCATCGCTCATTGTGGCCTCATCGCTCATTGTGGCCGCATCGCTCTGACCTCGGCCTCTGTCTTCACACACCCATGTCTCCCTGTATGTGTCCTGGTTTCCCTCTTCTCATGGGAACAGGAGTCACGGGATGAGAGTCCACCCCCTCCCGTACAACTTTGGCTTAACTTGTCTGCAGAGACCCTCTTTCCAAACAAGGTCCCATTCAGAAGTTGTGGGGTTGAGGACACAGACATCTTTGTGCGGACATGATTCAACCCATAATATACCTCCTTGGTTGTGACAGCCCAGATGCCCACAAACGTGGCCCCTGGGCCCAGAGTCACCTCAGGTGGGAAGCGCTGGTGTAGGTGGTGGCACTATTGTGGTCACCGTGAAATGTGAAATTCTCTCAGGCCCACTCTGCATCTGATGTTTTTTACTTTTTCTTTTCTTTTCTTTTCTTTTTTTTTTGAGACGGAGTCTAGCTCTGTTGCCCAGGCTGCAGTGCAGTGGCACAATCCCAGCTCACTGCAAGCTCCGCCTCCTGGGTTAAAGCGATTCTCCTGCCTCAGCCTCCTGAGTAGCTGGAACTACAGGCATCCGCCAACAAGTCCAGCTAATTTTTGTATTTTTAGTAGAGACGGGGTTTCACCATGACGGTCAGGCTGGTCTTGAACTCGTGACCTCAGGTGATCCGCCCGCCTTGGCCTCCCAAAGTGCTGGGATTACAGCCATGAGCCACCACGCCCGGCCGCGTCTGACATTTTTTCATGGGAGAATGTTGGAAGAAAATCACATAGGAAGGGAGGCATTTTGACCGGGCAGGGTGGGGGTTATGGGAGACAAGAGGAGCCGTGATCATCGCTGATGAAGCCCAGGGGTGGGCCTGGGGGATCCATTGTCTTGCTTAGGATACAGTTTTTTTTTGTTTGTTTTGTGTTTTTGAGAACGGAGTCTTGCTCTGTCACTCAGGATGGAGTGCAATGGCGCCATCTTGGCTCACTGTAAACTCCGCCTCTCAGGTTCAAGAGATGCTCCTGCCTCAGCCTCCTGAGTAGCTGGGATTACAGGTGCCCACCACGCCTGGCTAATGTTGTATTTTTAGTAGAGAAGGGGTTTCTCCGTGTTGGTCAGGCTAGTCTCAAACTCCCGACCCCAGGTGATCCTCCTGCCTAGGCCTCCCAAAGTGTTGGGATTACAGGCGTTAGCCACCGTGTCTGGCCTATTTATTATTATTATTTTTTTGAAGACAGAATCCCTTCACTCTGTCGCCCAGGCTGGAGTGCAGCGGCGTGATCTCAGCTCACTGCAACCTCTTCCTCCCTGGCTCAAGGGATTCTCCTGCCTCAGCCTCACGACTAGCTGGGACTACAGGCACCTACCACCATGCCCAGCTAATTTTCGTGCTTTCTAGTACGTGTTGGCCACACTGGTCTCAAACTCCTGACCTCAAGTGATCTGTCTGCCTAGGCCCTGCAAAGTGCTAAGATTACAGGCGTGTCCCACCTTGCCCAGCCTGTACAAAAAATTTAAAAATTAGCCGGGTCTGATGGCACACACCTATGGTCCCAGCTACTTGGGAGTCTAAAGTGGGAGGATTGCTTGAGCCCGGGAGGCAGAGGTTGCAGTGAGCTGAGATTACGCCACTGCACTCCAGCCTAGGTGACAGAGTGAAATCCTGCTTCAAAACAAAGAAAAAAAAAAAAAAGGCCAGGTGCAGTGGCTCACGCTTGTAATCCCAGCACTTTGAGGGGCCAAGGTGGGGGCAGATCAGTGGATCACCTGAGGTCAGGAGTTCGAGACTAGCCTGGCCAACATGGCAAAACCCCGTCTCTACTAAAAATACAAAAAATTAGCCGGGCGTGGTGGCACATGCCTGTAATCCCAGCTACTTGGGAGGCTGAGACAGAATTGCCTGAACTGGGGAGGCAGAGATTGCAGTGAGCCAAGATCGCACCATTGCATTCCAGCCTGGCGACAAGAGGGAAACCCCATCTCAAAAAACAAAACAAAACAAAACAAAACTCAGAAAGGAAAAGGAAAATGCACAGGGAGAATCCTGTGATGGAGAAGGAAGGCAGGCAGGACAGCAGAGACAGGAGCATTTTATTGCTTGTAAATTACATCTCAAAAAACCCACTTCACACACGTTAACTGGAAATATCTTCAAATGAACGGCCGTGAGCGTGGTTATTTTGGTAACCAGAGAAGGCTAAAAATTAAAACTGTGAAAATTAAAACTGAGCAGGGAAGGCAGTTTTGTGGTCTCATATTATTTGCCCTCAACAAAATTCTTTTGCCCGTGGCCAACATGGTGAAACCCTGTCTCTACTAAAAGTACAAAGATTAGCTGGGTGTGGTGGCGGGCGCCCGTAATCTCAGCTACTCAGCAGGCTGAGGCTGGAGAATCTATTGAACCCGGGAGGAGGAGGTTGCGGTGAGCCAAGTTTGCACCATTGCACTCCAGCCTGGGCAACAAGAGCGAAACTCCATGCCGAAGAAGAAGAAGAAAAAAAAGTACACAATTCTGGTGAGGCACGGTGGCTCATGCCTGTAATCCCAGCACTTTGGGAGGCCGAGGTGGGGGATCACTTGAGGTCAGGAGTTCGTGACCAGCCTGGCTAACATGGTGAAACCCCGTCTCTACTGGGGGTGGTGGCATATGCCTGTAATCTCAGCTACTTGGGAGGCTGAGGAGGGAGAATGGCGTGAACCCAGGAGGCAGAGCTTGCAGTGAGCAGAGATCACACCATTGCACTCCAGCCTGGGTGACAAGAGTGAGACTCCATCTCAAAAAAAAAACTGTGGAACATTATCATTAACTTTTGTGGGTGCCCTTTAGCCATTTCCCCCAGTCCCCATAATCCCCAGTCACTGGCACCCACGTGTCCCCTTCCTGTCTCTGAATCGGCCTGTCCTGGACATTCACACAAATGGGATTGCACGCCGTGTCGGTGTCTGTGTGTCTCTTGCTGAGGGTGGACTCCTCCAGGGGCATCTGCGCCGTGGCCGGTGTCAGAGCCTGGTTCCTGTTCATGGCCGAGTCCTGCTCCATGGTGTGGCCGGGCCGGGCTGTGTTCGTTCATCCCTGGATGGGCACTTGACTTGTTTACACTTTTTGGACCCCTTGAATCTGGAGCGAGTGTGACAGAATCTCACAGGCAGTGCCCAGCCACCCGCTACCAGAAAGCTGAGTCTTGCTCCGGTATGGCCCTGTCCGAAAGAACGTTCCGGAAGCTGGGGGTGTTTTCCATGGGCACCTCCGGGCTCCTGGAGATTTGCTGTGACAGCCATGAGGGACACACACAGGCGAGGGGCATCCCCGGGGATCTTTGCGGTGGCGAGTGTGTGCGGTGGTCAGAAGGGCTGTCCCTGTCTGCCTGGGTCTGGGGGCTGCAGGGACAGCAAGGCACGGGCCCTGGGTGTGGCAGGAGAGGCATGATGCCCCTTAGCTGGTGTTGCTGAGACTCGGGAGCCCTGTGGTCCGTGTGGCTGGGCCGAGGGCTGGGAGGTGCATCCTCGCCACGGGGGTCCTGAGCCTCTCCTCCCTGGTACCCTCTGTGGCGGCAGCGGTGGGGAGCTTGGTCTGAGGGGAGGCGGGGGACACGTGAGGCTCTTGCTGCTGCTGGCAAGTGCCAGAAGGGCTGCCATGGTGGTTCACACCTGTAATCCCGGCAATTTGGGAAGCTGGGGCGGGCGGATCACCTGAGGTTAGGAGTTCCAGACCAGACTGGCCAACATGGTGAAACCCTGTCTCTATTAAAAATACAAAAATTAGCTGGGCGTGGTGGCTACTCGGGAGGCTGAGGCTTGAACCCAGAAGGTGGAGGTTGCAGTGAGCCCAGATCACGCCACTGCACTCCAGCCTGTGCAACAAGAGCGAAAGAAGAGCGAAACTCTTGTCTAAAAAAAAAAAAAGTCCCAGAAGGTCTTGGGGCTGAGACATGGGCGGGGCTGGGGGCAGCCAAGTGGCCTTTGAGGATGGGGCCAGGCACCGCACAGGGCAGGCTGGTCATGAGGCCCCCACGAAAGATCCCAGCATTGGGAGCTCAGGCTTCCCCGCCCCATGCCAGGTCTGGGTTCTGGGGCTGGAGTGTGGAGCCTCGGTGCGCCCAGGGGGTTCAGCCTGAGGGTCTGAGACTTTTCCAGGGCAGGGAATTTGACGAGGGCCTGAGCACTGGGCTGGCCCCTCAGGTGCCCACGCCTACAACTCACTTCTCACCGGGCACGACCTCTAGCAAAGGCCAGTATTGCCTTGGCCTGTGGGGGTCCCCAAGGTTTCAGGGAGAGAGGAAAGGACCCTCAAGCTTCGTCAACAGCGACAGCCCAGGGCCTGGATGGGCTTCCAGTGGGGAGGGCCCTGTGGCAGGGGTAGGGATCATCACATCTCAGACCAAGGCCAGGACATGGCCAGAACCCCGGGATCAGAGGGACTGATCGGGGTCTGTCAGTGACAGGAAGCTGGGCTGCGACAGAGAGGGAGAGACAGCAAGAGACAGAGACAGAGACCGAGGGAGAGAGACAGGAGAGAGAGCAAGAAACAAAGAGGGACAGAGAGGGAGACGGCGCAAGAGAGAGACAAGAGGGAGAGATAGAGACAGGGATAGACAGAGACAGAGAGAGACCAAGGGAGACAGGGACACAGTGGGAGATGGGAAGAGGGAAACAGAGTGTCTCTGAGTGCCGGGCAGATGAGGGGAGGGTGGCCTCCCAGCCTTCAGGTCCAGAAAGCAGCTTCCAGTGGCCATGGCTAGTGAGCTGAAGTCCAGGGTCCCGGGGCACAGCTCCCCTCCCTGCAGCGGCTGTGCAGGACCTGAGGACCTGGGGGGCCCTCCCTGCCAGGCAGCCCCTCCTGCTTCCCTTCCTTTGGAAGGAGCGGTGCTGGGTCTGAGCCCCAGCCCATCTTCCTCACCGGGGCAGCAGGGCCAAGACCCACGATCCCTAGGCTGAGCCAGCGGCACCTCAGGGGGCACGGCCCTTGCCCACAGATGCCCAGGCCGGCCTGGTCTTCTCTGAATACCCCTAAGCCTGACTCTTGGGTTGTGAATGTCCGCGAGGTTGGGGGACCTGCTGGCCCTGTCCCCACACCGCTTTCAGCCTTTCATCACCCAACCAAAGACAGAAGCTCAAACGTGGGCACCAAAGTCTAGCGGACGCACCGAACTCCAGGCTCCAAGCACATCCACCCATGGTGGCTTTATTCAGTCACGTCCCCACGCCCACGGCTCCCTCCACCAGGCAGACAGAGGGGAGGCCACCCCACTGCAAAGGGTCCCAGCCAGTGGGCACCAACCTCAGGAAGACGTGGTCCCCACCTGGAGCTTCCCTCGGCTGCCCTGGCCCTTGAGCCCGTCCTGAGGATTTGTGCTTTGACTCTGACAGGGAGCAGCAGGAAGCTGCCAGCCCACTGCCTCCATGCGGGTCCTTGGAGGGCAGACGGTGGAGCGGCGCTTCCTCAGCTCCCGCGGTCAGGCCCCATCAGGGATGGTCACAGTCCAGCCACAGGGGCGACTCTGCCCATCAGTCCCCCTGGGGCAGCGACCAGATCCTGGCTGGGGCAGCACCGGGACAGGCCCTCTCTATGGGCCTAAGGTCAATGCAGGTGGGGGCTCGCTGGGCCCAGGCCAATGAACCCACCCGTAGGAGCCCTCACTGGGCAGCAGGGCCAGGAGGGCACCAGGGACTGGCCGCAGAGTCCACTCGGGGCAGGCGTCTGTGGCTTGGAACCTGCCCTCGCCAAGGCACTGGGGGGTTAAGGAGCAGATCCCTCAGACGGCCTTGGGCCAGAAGCTCCCTGGAGAGCTGGGCACCTCGAGGAGCGTCTGGGAGCCTCACCCTGTCCCAGTGGCTCCTGGCACCCCTGGGAGCGTCAGCACCACCCCAAAGCTGGGTGCCTGTGTCGCCACTAAACAGAAGGGAAACCGAGGCAGGGGGGCCGGCTGGCAGTGGAGCATTCTGGCAGCGCCGGGCGACCAAGTCCCGACTGGCAGCGGCTGGAGTTTGGTTTTCAGAAGCGAAGGCTGGCGTTGGCACACAGGGAAGGCTGCCCGATGACGTGCCTCGACTGTGTTACATTTACTGAAGGAGAGCGGCCTCCTGGGCATGCCACTCAGGCACGGTGAGGCTCTGTGGCACCACCAGCCGCATGGCAGGGCAGAGAGTGGCGCCGTCCTGCATGCCCCCCACAGCAGACCAGAGTCCCGTCCTCACGCTGCACAGTGGGTGATGTGAGTTTCAAAACTACGCCTCCAGACCGAGAAACCCTCCCAGCTGTCAGCAAGCCGTGGCGCCGAGCTGCCGGGCACCTGCTGGCTGCTCTCCAGTCTCAAGGAGCTGGGACAGCGGGCATGGGGAGGAGCTGGCCTCGAGCCCAAAGGTCGTAGGGAGCCAGGCAGGGCCCAGGAGCACCCGGCACTTCCCGAAGCCGGACTCTGTAGAGGACGAGCGTGGAGGGTCTTTCGGGTGGGGGCAGCCCCAGCTGTGTGCCCCGAGGCCCCGGGAAGTGGGGACGGGCCGAGGAGGGAGCCAGGAGCACGGCCTTCCTCCTGGGTGTCTCCAAGGCTGGGCTTCGCCGCCGAGCCTGGTTCACGTGGGGCCGAGGACCGCGTCTGCAGGCGGCTCCAGCAGGCAGCACGGGCTCTCGGCAGGGCCTCTGGAAAGGACAGGGAGGGCTGGCTTTAGCGACTCCACGGGACGGGGACGCTTGGGCTCTTCTAGGGAGATGGGAAGCTCTTGGGAGGCACCCGTCATCCCAAGCACATCTGTGTTCACCAGGCAGTCCCCACTGCCAGGACCCGACTCCAGGGAGCCCCCGTGGCCCCGCAGCACCTGCCCTAGACGTGCTCCATCTCCGGGTCCGGGTCGGGCTCCTCCTCCTCCTCCTCCTCGTCTTCCTCGTCGTCGTCCTCAGCGCAGGCCTTGTCCAGCGGCGCCTCCCCGTCACGGGCCAGCTCCTCCACGTGCGCCAGCATGTCGGCCATCAGCGCCTCCTCCAGCCGCTTCCGCACCTGCTGCACCAGCTCTTCCTGCTTCCTGGGGACACATGGACCTTGCGTTACACCAAGGTGAGCGGCCAGCAGGACATGGACACAGGATGAACGTGGGGACCTCAGCTGGGAGGGGAGGCCCGAGGGATCCACAGGCACCCCCCCAGGACCAGCCCTGGCCCGTGCCACCCCTCCCTTCACAATCCACGCAGAGAATGACCGGCTGCCGCTGGCCATCGCCAGCGTCCGCCACCCTCCCAGATGGCCCCCCTGCCACCTCTACTGGGACCAAGGGAGGGGCCTGACCCTTCAGTCCCCAGACTTGGCCCTGAGCCTCCCCGGGGCTCAGCTGTGTAAACCCTTGCTCCTGTCCCTTGACAGGCACTGAGTGGGGCAGGAAAACCCTCACCAGGCCAGGTAGAGGCTCATGCCTGTAATCCCAGCACTTTGGGAGGCCGAGGTGGGCAGATCACTTGAGGTCAGGCGTTCGAGACCAGCCTGACCAACATGACGAAACCCCATCTCTACTAAAAATATAAAAATTAGCTGGGCGTGGTGGCGGCCGCCTGTAGTCCCAGCTACTTGGGAGGCTGAGGCAGGAGAATCACTTGAACCCGGGAGGCGGAGGTTGCAGTGGGCTGGGATGGCGCCATTGCACTCCAGCATGGGCAACAGAGCCAGATTCTGCCAAAAAAAAAAAAAAAAAAAAAAAAAAAAGCAAGCCTCACCAAAATCAGCTACCATCAGCCCGCAGCAGCCCCCACCCTCGCAGGCCGGGGGTCACCTTTCCGCTGCCCACTATGCACCAGCGTGTACTCCTTTACCATGGCTCGGGCGGCCTGAGAAAAAGAATCCACACCCTCGTCTCAACCCACCACCAGGGATGGGGGGCCTCCTCCTCGGGGCCTACAAGCTGATGCCAGGCACTCCAGGGTGGCCGCTCCTCTGCCTGCCGCCTCCGGGGCCGCAGCACGTGCTTCTGCCCACCTCCCTCTCCGGCTGCCCAAAGAGCCCGTCTCTGTTCTGCTTTCAGTCCCAGGCAAAGCTGACTTTGTTTCTCCCCAGTTGTGGCCGAGGCTCAGCCGCCCCCTGCCTCCGGGGTCTCTCTCCAGCGGCTCCTGCAGACCTGAGCTGCTCCCTCTCACTCTGTCCCCACCACCCGGAACACCCTGGCTCACCTACTCGACTGCAGCCACCACCTGCTCGTCATCTTTCCAGACAGGACCCTACCTCCTGCGGAACCCACCACCGAGTTCCTCATTTCAATGCCCTTTTCTATTTCTATAAGTTCTTATTTTATTTTTTTAACTCTGTCACCCAGGTTGAATTGCAGTGGCAGGATCTCAACTCCGCCTCCCAGGCTCCAGTGATTCTCCTGCCTCAGCCTCCCGAGTACCTGGGACTACAGGCATGTGCCAAAACACCCAGCTAATTATTTTATTTTTAGTGGAGACGGGGTTTCACCATGTTGGCCAGGCTGGTCTTCAACTCCTGACCTCAGGTGATCCTCCCGCCTCGGCCTCCCAAAGTGCTGGGATTACAGGCGTCAGCCACTGTGCCCGGCCTTATTTCTGCAAGTTCTGCAGGGCTTTTAATGATCTGTCTGCTATTTTTCACAGTCTTGTTCTTTTCTTTTGTTGACAATTCTTCCTATTTCACCATCTTCATTTCGGGAAGTTCTCTGAGCGCGCAGAGAGTGTAAATGGACCTCAAACCCAAAAGAGGGGGCCCAGAGGTACCACGGCCGGAGGAGGATGCCGCCAGCCGCTCCGGATGGAACCCTTGGCGCCCACAGTTTGTGTGCTTGTGGGGGTGGCGTCTCAGGTCCATCTGTTCACCCTGTGTGGGGGCACAGGGTCTCTTCTTGTGCCCAGGGGCCTTTAACCCCGGCTGCTGCCACAGGAAACCCGCATGCCCAGCGCCTCCCTGGCCGTTCCGGGTCTTGGCTCCTTCTTTCTGGAACCGTCAAGTTTCCTTTCCTTCCTCTGACCTAAGCCGTGTGCTGCACTGAACGTGAAAGGTCCCGTCTTCGCTCCAGCACTTCCAGAGTTTCCTGCAGGCGCCTCCGTCACCAGGCGGCCTTGCGTCCACTCTGCACACTGGAAGTGGGTTCGGCCCTGAGGCCCCGCAGGAGGGCCGCTCACCCCTGGGCTGCTCAGCCTCACCTGACTGTTGCCTGTTTCTGAGCGGCCGTGTTCCCTGCTGTTCGTTCCGAGGCTCTGCACATCAGAACTGCCCCTCAGCAGGCACCCAGAGCCATCTCCCTGAAGGCAGAGACTCCTGGCCTGCCCTGTCCCTCCGTCTCCAGGGCCCAACATGGAGCCCAGCACCCAGCATAGCCAGTCCTCACGGACTCAAAGGACCACACTCTTTTCAAGAACATTCCTCCAAGGGGTGCCTGGCTCGCCCTGAACCCAGGACGCGGGTGAAACGGTTCATACTGCTCCGACGATGGGTCCCCTTGCCCTGGCTGTTTCTGTTTCAAAACCCCAGCAGCATCGTGGGGAGACGGGAAGCACGCAGGCACACGGGGACACTCAGGGTCCCCACGGCCACAAGAGACAGGGTGGAGCAGCAGGGGACCAGGCCAAGGGGCTACCTGATGTCCTCGTCGGTCACCATGAAGGCTTTGCACAGGGGCTGCGTGGTGTTGAGCCATACGCCGGGGTTCTTCTCCACGGCGGCCGAGAGCTGTCCCGTGATGGGCATGGTGCTAGTGTGCAGGGCGCTGGCGATGGCCGACAGCAGCGTCTCATCCGTGCAGCCAGGTCCCACCCCTGCCAGGCAGTGGACAAACAGCCGCAAGTGGAGAGGTCACCACGGGGCAGCTGTGGCCCAGACAGGCCACGGAAATGCCCCAAGAATGGGAGCTGCCACCTTCTTGGAAGGAACCCCAACTTGGGTTCCATTTCTAAATTCCCTCTCCCGCTTGTGTTACTACATTCATAACAGAAAAAAAAGCAAGTTAGGCCAGGCGTGGCGACTCCCGCCTGTAATCCCAGCATCTTGGGAGGGCGAGGTGGGAGGACTGATTGAGCTTAGGAGTTTGAGACCAGCCTGGACAACACAGTGAGACTCCTGTCTCTACAAAATAATTCAAAAATTAGCCAGGTGTCACGCTGCATACCTGTGGTCCCAGCTACTCAGGAGGCTGTGCTGAGAGAACCACTTGAGCCCGGGAGGTAGAGGCTGCTGTGAGTAGTAACGGCGCCACTGTACTTCAGCATGGGCCACGGAGAGGCTGCCTTTTGTTTTTGAGATGGGGTCTTGCTCTGTATCTTTTTTTTTTTTTTTTGAGACGGAGTCTCCCTCTGTTGCCCAGGAGAGTGCAGTGGTGCGATCTCGGCTCACTGTAAGCTCCGCCTGCCAGGTTCACGCTATTCTCCTGCCTCAGCCTCCCAAGTAGCTGAGACTACAGGCGGCCGCCACTACACCCGGCTAATTTTTTGTATTTTTAGTAGAGACAGGGTTTCACCATGTTAGCCAGGATGATCTCGATCTCCTGACCTCATGATCCGCCCGCCTTGGCCTCCCAGAGTGTTGGGATTACAGGCGTGAGCCACTGCACCTGGCCTTGCTCTGTATTTTCTGTAGAGATGGGGTCTCACTATGTTGTCCAAGCTGGTCTTAAACTTCTGAGATCAAGTGAAACTCCTGCCCCAGCCCCGCCAAGTGCTGGGATTATAGGTGTGAGCCACTGTACCCAGCCGACCCTGTCTCAAAAAACAACCACCAAAACCATGCAAGAGCTGCATTCTTTGTTCTGTGGTGTGGACGTGCTGGGAGAGTACAGAAGCAAAGTCAGCTGTCCTTGTTTGTTTATTTAGGATCTCCATGGCAAAACTGCACGTCCTGCAGGTGAAAACAGCCCCAGGCCTGCGCCACACCTGGAAGCCACAAAGCCCCACCCGCAGGGTCTCCAAGGTCAAGAATGAAGGGCCCAGCCCAAGCGCCCTTACCCATCCCCAACCCCACTGGGTCCCCTCCTCCTGCCCCAGTCGCTGGCAGATTTGCCCTAAGCACCCAAAGCAGGAACAGCCATCCACCCTGCCAGGAGATGAGGGCACCTGCAGCACCTCCACCCCACCCGGCACATCCCCTTCCGCCTCCCCTCAGGGTGCCCGCTCACCCTGCAGGCCCTTGGGGAGGTCCATGGTCTTGACCAGCTCCTCAGCAATGTCGAAGGCGTTCAGGCCGCTCAGCTTCTTCTCCCAGAAGAGCTGCCCCAGACACATATGTGAACCTCAAGAGTGGCCCTGCCCTCTCCCCACTCCAGGTCCTTGCTGGGCTCCAGGGAGGCCCACCTGGCCTCCTTGCCCCATGTGGGTCCCAATGGGGCATCTCCCCTCCCACTGCCTTGGGTCTCCAGACCCTGCCCAGGCTTTCCACAGCCAGGGATCCAGTGGACGTTTGTAAATAAGAATAAAAAATACACATGGGGTGGCTCACGCCTGTAATCCCAGCACTTTAGGAGGCCGAAGTGGGTGGATCACCTGAGGTCAGGAGTTTGAGACCAGCCTGGTCAACATGGTGAAACCCCTTATCTACTAAAAATACAAAAAAAAGTCCGGTGTGGTGACGGGCGCCTGTAATCCCAGCTACTTGGGAGGCTGAGGCAGGAGAATCACTTGAACCCAGGAAGTGGAGGTTGCAGTGAGCTGAGACCGCACCATTGCACTACAGCCTGGACAACAAGAGCAAAACTCCATCTCAAAAAAGAAAAAAAAAAAAAAAAATTAGCCGTGCATTGTGACGGGTACCTGAAATCCCAGCTACTTGTGAGGCTGAGGTGGAAGGATCACTTGAACCCAGTTGAAACCAGGAGGCAGAGGTTGTAGTGAGTTAAGATCCTGCCACTGCACTCCAGCCTGGGTGACAGAGCGAGACTCTGTCACAAAAAAAAAAAAAAAAAAAAGAAAAAACAAAAAGAAAATACACACGGTTCTCAGGTTTTTAAGAAGTAGGTTACACAGTCACATATGGGCAGTCAACCCCCTGTATCTGTGGGTTCCATAACCACACACCCAACCAGCGGCAGACTGAAAATATTTGGGGGGAAAAAAAATAAATAAATACAACAACTGGCCAGGTGAGTTGGCTCACACCTGTAATCCCCACAGTTTTGGAGGCCAAGGTGGGAGGATCACTTGAGGCCAGGAGCCTGAGACCAGCCTGGGCAACATACAGAAACCCTGTCTCGAAAGTGAAAAACTTAAAAAAATGAATAAAACACACACAAGGAACGTCACAAGCATCCACACCTCATGAGCAAGCTAGAAAATACCTGCAGGTAACGTGCAAACATTAGACCATTTCCATTTTTTAAAAATATTTTTATTTTATTTTTGAGACCGGGTCTCGCTCTGTCGCCCAGGCAGGAGTGCAGTGGTGTCATCTCGGCTCACTGCAACCTCCACCTCCCGGGTTCAAGTGATTCTCCTGCCTCAGCCTCCCGGGTAGCTGGGATTACAGGCGCACACCACCACGCCCAGCTAATTTTTGTATTTTTAGTAGAGACGGGGTTTCACCATGTTGGGTCAGCCTGGTCTCAAACTCCTGACCTCTCAGGTGATCCACCTGCCTCGGCCTCCCAAAGTGCTGGGATTACAGGCGTGAGTCACCGCGTGAGGCCATACTAGACCATTTTCTGAGGGGCCTGAACATCCCCAGATTTTGGTATCTGGGGGTTGAGGGTGGGGCGTATCCTGGCACCAATACCCTGCACATTCCAAGAGGGGACCGCAGGACTGGGTCTTGCTCTGCCCCCAGGCTGGAGTGCAGTGGTGTGATCATAGCTCACTGCAGCCTCAGCCTCCTGGGCTCAAGCAATCCTCCCACCTCAGCCTCCCCAGAAGCTGGGACCACAGGCGGGCGCCACCACGTCCAGCTAATTTTTTACTTGTTTTTTGCCTCGTCATGTTGCCCAGGCTAGCCTGGAACTCCTGCGCTCACTACGTCCGCTCCACGTACGACCTCATTCCAAACGTCCACCCACCAAAGTGAACAACCCGGCCGGGAAGGCTGGGGTCGCTGTGCGTTGAGCTCACCTGGCGCGGCTGGTCCACCGCCTTCTGCGGGTCGCTCTTGACCTTGTTGCTGGGGTGGTTGGTAATCTTGGTCACCGGCTGCTTGAAGATGGACGCCGTCTGGCGCACGGGCAGCGCCGTGTTCAGGTCGGGCTTGCCCTGCGGGAGGAAGGATATGCAGTCCGGCCTGGGGGCGCCCCGGCGGCGCGGAGCCTCAGGGGGTGCGGGGCCCGGGTGACCCCCTGCTTTGCCGGCGCCCCTCGTGTCCCCCGCGCCCGCCAGGACCCCCACGGTCCGGGGAGGCCGCTCCCGCAGGGTCGGTCCGGCCGGCTCTGGAACGCCCGCCGCGGGCCGCGTCCTCGCCATGCGCCTTGCGCTCTGCACCCTGTGGCCTGCGCCTTCCGCTCTGTGCCCTCCGCCCGCTGTGACCTCCTGCGCTCAGGACGCCGGGCTGTGTCGCCTGCAGCTCACGTCATGGCCGCGTCCCCGCCTAGAACGCCCCGCGCCGACGTCACCTGCGTGACGCCACCACTCACCTTGACCTGGTTGGAGGAGTCGTAGCGCACGCGCTGGCGGCTCTTGTTCATCTTGCTCATCAGCATCTTGCCCGTGCGGAAGTCGAAGGTGCTCAGGTCCATGGAGCCGCCCAGGTAGCGCGCCAGCTGCGGCTTGCTGCGGAACTTCTTCCCGCTCGGGCTGCGGGGAGGCGGGACGGTCGGCGCCCCGGGCGGACCCCAGACCCCAAACCCAGGCCTCGGCCGCAGACCCAAACCCAGTCCCAGCCCCAGCTTCAGGTCGCGACCCCAGCCCCAGACCCCAACACGGCCCTGACCCCAAACCCAGGCAGGCCCTGGCCCCAGCCCCAGACCCCAACCCTGGCGTGACCCCAGACCTTCATCCCAGACCCCAGCACCCCACAACTGGCCCCTAGATCTGGGCGCCAGCCAGACCCAGAGCACTGGCCCCGATCCTCACACCCTGGCCCTAGCCCCAGCCTCCACATCGGATCCTTGCTCCAGACCCCCAACCCCGGTCCCCTCTGAATCCTCCCCACCGTAGGCCCTGGCAGCGTCAGGCACAGCAGACGCTGAGTTCGGGTACAAACGCTACTACCTACAGGGCTTTGGGCCCCGGCTCTGGGAGGATGGCTCACATGTCCAGAACATTCCAGACATGGAATTTAGGTCACATTCTTGAGAAAAGACCCCACGGAGAACAGGTATGTGAGGGACAGCCCTAAAAGCAATCTTCTTCCACCTTGGGGTTACAGCAGCAGGGCCAGACTGGGAAGGGGTCTCGTTCTAAGATCTGGGGCCAGGCCCTAACAGCTGCTTGGGCATAACCCGACTGGAGAGCTCGCAACAAGGCAGCCAGGTAAACACAGACCTGCTCTCAGACACGGGGCTCTGCTCTCAGCCTGCCATGGACAAGCGCCGGCAACTCATCCTCTCCAGGACATAAGGACACCCACCAATGGGTTGCCCTGTGTGTCACATGAGGTCACACTACAGGATGACAAGCACCCAACCCAACACACCGTCATCATGGTTGGGATGTAAGATGGAACAGCCATGTTGGAAAAGCCTGACAGCTCTTCACTGAGTTTCCAGATGACCCGGCCACGCCACTCTTAGGTATCTGCCCGAAAAATGAGCACGCATCCACACCATCACTTCTACACGGATGTCCCCAGGAGCCAGAAGGTGGAAGCAGCCCAGACGCCTTCAATGGATGAACGGACAAACGCCCATCCACACGATGGGACATACTCAGCCATGAAAAGGAGCGAGGCTCTGACACAGGCCACAGCGTGGATGCACCTTGAGGACGCCACATTCAGTGAGAGACGCCAGACACAAAAGGCCACACAGTGTGTGATCCCATTTCTAAGAAATGTCTAGAACAGGATAATTCAGAGACAGGAAGGGGACGCGTAGTGCCAGAGGCTGGGGTGCAGGATGTGGAGTGGCTGCTGATAGGGACAGGACTTCGTTTCTCTCTTTCCTTTTGGAGATAGGGTCTCACTCTTGCCCAGGCTGGAATGCAATGGCTCAATCACAGCTCACTGCAACCTTGAACTCCTGGGCTAGGGTGATCCTTCCACCTTAGTCTCCCAAGTAGCTAGGACGACAGGCACAAGCCACCACGCCTAATTTTTTTTTTTTTGAGATGGAGTCTCACTCTGTCGCCCAGGCTGGAGTGAAGTGGCTCGATCTTGGCTCTCTGCAACCTCCACCTCCCAGGTTCAAGTGATTCTCCTGCCTGAGCCTCCTGAGTAGCTGGGAGTACAGGTGCCCGCCACCACACCTGGCTGATTTTTGTATTTTTAGTAGAGACCAGGTTTCACTGTGTTGGCCAGGCTGGTCACGAACTCCTGACCTCAGGTGATCTGTCCGCCTCAGCCTCCCAAAGTGCTGGGATTACAGGTGTGAGTCACCGTGCCCGGCCTAATTTTTTTTTTTTTTAAGACGGAGTCTCGCTCTGTCACCCAGGCTAGAGTGCAGTGGTGCGATCTTGGCTCACTGCAACCTCCGACTTCCGGGTTCACACCATTCTCCTGACTCAGCCTCCCGAGTAGCTGGGACTACAGCTGCCCACCACCACGCCCGGCTAATTTTTTATATTTTTAGTAGAGGTGGGGTTTCACAGTGTTAGCCAGGATGGTCGCGACCTCCTGACCTCATGATCTGGCTGCCTTGGCCTCCCAAAGTGCTGGGATTACAGGCGTGAGCCACCGCGCCCAGCCAATTTTTATATTTTTTTAATAGAGATAGGGTCTCACCATGTTACCCAGGCTGGTCTGGAACTCCTGAGCTCAAGCAGTCCTCCCATCTTCCCTCCCAAAGCTTTGGGATTAAAGGTGAGTCATCACGCCCTGCTGCTTCATTTCTTTTTTTTTTCATTTTTACTTTTAGATCCAGGGTCTCCTTGTGTCGCCCAGGCTGGAGTGCAGTGGTGTGATCACAGCACACTGCAGCCTTGACCTCCTGGACTCAAGGGATTGTCCTGCCTTGGCCTCCTGAGGAGCTAGGACTACACGTGTGCACCACCATGCCCAGCTAATTTTTAAATTTTTTGCATAGATGGGGACTCGCTATGTTGCCCAGGTTGGTCTCCAACTTACGATCTCAAGAGATCCTCCTGCCTCGACCTCCCAAAGGGATTATAGGCGGCAGCCACTATGCCTGGCTGGTGTCTTTTATCTTGATAAAATCATTTAGAAATAATAGCACTTGTATGGTGCTTACTAGGCCAGGTACCTCAAACATATTATGTCTACAAACTCAGTCAACAGTCACTTTTATTAATAATGCATCAGCCTGAGATTGGTGGGTAGCTCTGTTTTGCTGTTTTCCCGTTTTCCCAGAATCCTCTAGGGCAGTCTCCTCCTGTCCTCTTCTGCCCCTGCCCCAGACGTCCTGGCCCATGGCAGATGCCAGATGTCAGACAACTGAGACAGCTCAGAAGAATCTCCCATAGCCAGAAGGAAACTCAATTCTGCAGGCACTGCACAGAAATGCTTGGTCCCATGCTTAGCTCAATCGCCTCTATCCAGGATCTATGTACTGGGCCGATACATAGATCACAGGAAGTTTTATTTCTCTCCACCCCTGCCCCCCAACCCCGGGCAAATTCCATGGTCCACAAGGACACGGGCAGGCTCCAGCATGTCCAGTAGGACAGGACGCCTCAGGGAGGGCACGAGGACAAGTGCCTGGGGGTCTGAAACCACTGAGGGCTCTTCCCGGAGATTTACTTTTGAGACTTAACTCTTTTAATTACTCTCTGGACTGGCTGACGTTCAGTCGAAGCTGGTTTGCCCAGGGCAGTGGAAAGAAACCAAGAAACCAGAGGCTGAGACTCAGGCTTCATGTAGCCACAAGGAAGGAAGAAGAGACCCCACAAAACACTCCCAACAGCTCTTTGCCTCCGGTCACCCCAAAGAGAGGCCGTTCTGCCTTTTAAGATGAAGGGAAACAAGGCCGGGCGCGGTGGCTCACGCCTGTAATCACAGCACTTTGGGAGGCTGAGGTGGGTGGATTGCCTGAGCTCAGGAGTTCGAGACCAGCCTGGGCAACATGGTGAAACCCGTTTCTACTAAAATACAAAAAATTGGCCGGGCACAGTGGCACGTGCCTATAGTCCCAGCTACTCGGGAGGCTGACGCAGAATTGGGTTGAACCCAGGAGGCAGAGGTTGCAGTGAGCCGAGATCATGACACTGCACTCCAGCCTGGGCGACAGAGCAAGACTGTGTCTCCAAAAAAAAAAAAAAAAAAAAAAGGTGTAAGGCGAACAAGAGACACACACAGACCACAGCCTGGTTGTTAAGACTGGGGGTGGGCGCACAAGGCAGTGGTAAATGGGCCTGGGGTTCTTTCTAGGGTGATGGAAATTCTAAAATTGAATCTGAGGATAGCTGCCTATATCCGTAAATATGTGAATATGCTGAAAAACCATTGACTCGTGCACTTTAAATGACTGTATTGTATGGTACATAAAACTGTATCTCGATAACACCTTCTCAAAAAGAATAAATGCAGTGGCTCACACCTGTAATCCCAGCACTTTGGGAAGCAAAGGAGGGCCAATCACCTGAGATCAGGAGTTCGAGACCAGCCTGACCAACATGGTGAAACCCCATCTCGACTAAAAATACAAAAGTAGCCGGGCGTGGTGGCACATGCCTGTAATCCCAGCTAGCTGGGAGGCCGAGGCAGGAGAATTGCTTGAACTCAGGAGGTGGAGGTCGCAGTGAGCCCAGATTGCAGCATTGCACTGCAACATTGCACTCTAGCCTGGGCAACAAGAACGAAACTCGGTCTCAAAAAAAAAAAAAAAAAAAAAAAAGAAGGCAGGCGCAGTGGCTTTCATCTGTAATCCCAGCACTTTGGGAGGCCAAGGAGGGCAGATCACCTGAGGTCAGGAGTTCAAGACCAGCCTGGCCAACATGGTGAAACCCCGTCTCTATTAAAAATATAAAAATTAGCTGGGGGTTGTGGTGGGGGCCTGTAATCCCAGCTACTCAGGAGTCTGAGGCAGGAGAATCGCTTGAACTCAGGAGGTGGAGGCTGCAGTCAGCCGAGATTGCACCACTGCATTCCACCCTGGGTGACAAAGCGGGACTACTTCTCAAAATAAATAAATAATAATGAACATAAAAAATTAGCTGGGCATGGTGGCACATGCCTGTAGTCCCAGCTATGCTGGAGGCTTAGGAGGCAGGATCGCTTGAGCCCAGGAGGTCAAGGAATGCAGTGAGCTGTGACTGCACCACTGCACTCCAGCCTGGGTGACAGAACAAGACCCTGTCTCACAATGAATAAATGAATGAATGAATGCAAATGCAAGATAGAGGGGGTTAGTGGTTACCAGGGGCTGGGGGAGTAACAAGTGGGGAGTGACTGCTAATGAGGACAGAGCTGCTTTTCAGGGTGATGAGAATGTTCTGGAATTAGATAGCGGTGATGGTTGCACAACTTTGTCAATGTACTAAAAACCACTGGGGGCCGGGTGTGGTGGCTCAGGCCTGTAATCCCAGCACTTTGGGAGGCTGAGGTGCTGGGGTCAGGAGTTCGAGACCAGTCTGGCCAACATGGCGAAACCCCTTCTCTACTAAAAATACAAAAATTAGCCGGGCATGGTGGCAGACGCCTGTAATCCCAGCTACTCGGGAGGCTGAGGCAGAAGAATCGCTTGAACCCGGGAGGTGGAGGTTGCAGTGGGCTGGGATTGCGTCACTGCACTGTGGCCTGGGCCAAGAGTGAAACTCCATCTCCAAAAAAAAACCCCACTGAATTGTACATTTCTAAAAAGTGGCTTTGGCCAGGCAGTGGCTCATGCCTGTAATCCCAGCACTTTGGGAGGCTGAGGCGGGTTAACTGCTTGAGTCCAGGAATTCGAGACCAGTCTAGTCTAGGCAACACAGCAAAACCCCATCTCTATAAAAATAAGCCAGGTATGGTGGCACGTGCCTGTAATTCCCACTACTTGGGAGGCTGAGCTGAGAGGGTCGCCTGAGCCTGGGAGGTCAAGAATGCGTAAGCCGTGATTGTACCACTGCACTCCAGCCTGGGTGAGACCCTGTCTCAAAGAAAAAAAACAAAAAAGGTAGCTTTTGTGGAATGTGAATTATATCTCAATTTTAAATAAAGGTTATGCCCATCTATTGACACAAAATGATGTCCCTGAGATTTTATTCAATGAAAAAAGAACAGCCTTGATAAAACCACACGTATAGAAAAAAGTGGGCAACATGGCCTGAACTCTCCCCAGGCACCCCCAACAGAAAACGCAGTCTGGGAGCCTGCAGCCTCAGATGAAGGGCTGGGTTGAGGCCCCAGACCTGCAGAGGGCGGCTCTGGGCTGCCTGGCTTCACCCTCTGCAGAGAAACCTGAAATCTCTAGCCTGTAGAGGAGCTTCTCCCTGCTTTTCTCCACTGCTAGACCCTCATGCTCAGGGCCAGGGCCCAGAGTGGGAATGAGAGAGGTGGGGTGATGACAGCCTCAGGATACTCCGCTCAAGCTGGCCTTGGTTCTAGCTCCCAAGCTGCAGCCACCTCTTAGGGGGTTCCTGCTGCCTGGACGCCTCTCCCTGTCACTCAATGTCACGTCCTCAGAGAAGCCCTCCCTGACCCCAGTCTCATTCAGGCCCCGTCATCTGCCCTCCCAGATTTCAGCATGTGTCACTGCAGATCTCAGGACGTGTACAGGGTTCCAGCTCATAAGGGTACACATTTGGGGACCAAGTTTCCCCTCTCTTGCTGTCCTCCAACTTTCCAGGAACCAGTCCCTGAGCTCCTCCTGCAGGACGAGGCCCCACACATTGCTTCTGATCACAGCCATCCTTTCCCCGCTCACTTTTCTCACTTTATCTCCCCAAACCGGGACAGTCAAGAACCACAGAGGACCGAAGTGCACAGTGGACGGAGCGGTCGTTCTGCCCCTCCTTGGCTCGTGGAAACCACCCGCCCTCACCTGGGCGGTCTCCTGCCCACGACCCCGAGCTGTGGGAAAAAGGGGGACCAGCCGCACACCCCCCTTTACCCAGGTGCTCGGCACATGGCAGGCGTCCTCCGCTTTCCCCTCCTGGGGGACCTGAAGGCGCCACGGGACACTGAACCAAGGGGAGGGCGCAATCAAAGCTGGCCCAGAATCAAAAGCATCTTTCCCGAGCCAGGAAAAAAAAAAAAAAGAGGACAAACAGCAGGTGGCCGACTGTCTGGGACTTGGCTGCAGCAGGCGACTAAGTCTTTGTTCCACGGAGGGGGTTCCCTGCGACCTTTCAGAGCAGCGCCTTGTTCCAATTTGGGGACGGGGGGGTCTCTGAAAGCCTTCCACCACCAGTAACATCCACGCAAAGACTACCGTTAGGTGGGCTCGGAAAGTCGAAAGCCTCAGGTCTCCACCCTGAGGGGGCCACGACCCAAGAGGACCAGAGGCCTCGGAAGGAGTCAAGGGGAATACCTTTAAAAAAAGCAACGCTGCGTGGGAGACCAGTCACCCTGAGGCGCTTATTCCCAGGACTGGGGCGAGCCCAAGAACCCGTATTTTCACGCACGCCCTCCCCGATCCGCCCATGAGCCCTGCTCCCCGAAATCCCGGCTGGCCACCCCCTCGGGCTCCGCGCCACCCCAGGAGCGCCCCAAGAAGGCACCCCCTGCGTCTCACGGGAACCAAAGGGACAGCCCACCCTCCACCCCTGCCCCCCGGTAGCATCTGGCCGCCGCCAGGCGCCCCTGGCCCAGCGCGCACGAACAAAGGCCGCAGTCGCCGTCCGGCAGCCAGTCCCTGAACGGCCGGCCGAAAGCCATGCGGCCCAACAAGCGGCGCACGCGCACTGGGCCTCCGCGCGCCGGGCGCACACGCACGCAAGACGCACGCACGCACGCACGACGCACGCGCGGGGCCCAGGCCGCGGCCCGGGGCAGGGGCGCCGAGGCCGCCGCAGAGGCCGCTGGGAGGAGCCCGTTGAGGCCCTGCGCGGCCGGCGCGCTCATTCACCTATAGTAAAAGACATCCCTGTGGCCGGCCGACAGCCCCGACCTTCTGGGCACTTCTTCCCTCTCCCAGCCCTGCGGGAGCGCCGGGCACTCCCACCTCTTCCGCTCCATTGCGCCCGGCTCCTCGGCCCGCCGCCGGGCCCGCCGCCGCCGCCCGGACCCCCACTCGCCGCCGCCGCCTCAGCTGCCTCCGCTGCCGCTGCCGCCGCCGCCACTTGCCGCGGCTGTTCCGGCCCGCGGGCCCCCGCCCTCCGCCCCCAGCCGGGCGCGCGCCGGCTTTGCCGCCCTTTCGGCCCCCTCCCCGCGCTCGCCAGCCCCCGCTCGGGGGGCCCGCTCCGCCCACCCGCCCGCGCGGGGCCCCGCGCTGCGCAGCCGCGGCGCCATGCCCCCGCCCCTCTACGGCCCCGCCAATCAGCGCGCTGGGAGGGGGCGGGGCCTTAAGTGGCGTGCGCGCCTGCGCGCTGTGCCTTGCGAGCTGCCAGTGCCCAGCAGCTGTGCCCGGAGTCCGCGCGGCTCCTTTTACTGTGCCCTGTCTCTGCCGGCCGCCTGGTGCGCGTGCGCGGGGACATGCTTTCGGACTAGTGGGGTCCTTTCCTCCGACCTTTCTCCAGCCCAAGTCTTGGGGACTCTGGCCCAGTGACTGGACCTCGACTTCCCCGCCCTCCTGGTCTCCCAGCTTCCGAGCTTTTTACGAGCGTCCAAATCTGGGGGACTTCCCCCGTGACCACCCCTTCCACGCCCCCAAGTTCCCTCCAGTAGCTTTTTTTTTTTTGAGACGGGGTCTCTGTCACCCAGGCTGGAGTGCAGAGGCGCGATCTTGGCTCACTGTAGCCTCCGCCTCCCGGGTTCAAGTTGTTATGCCTCAGCCTCCCAAGTAGCTGGTTCCACGGACGGCTAATTTTTGTAGTTTTAGTAGAGACGGGATTTCACCATGTTGGCCAGGCTGGACTCGAACTCCTTACTTCAGGTGATCAGCCCACTTCGGCCTCCCAAAGCGCTGGGATTACAGGCGTGAGCCACTGCGCCCCGTCCAGCTGCTTTTTGAACCCTCAAAATCCAGGAATCTGAGCACCCCCCCCCAGCTCCCCGACCACCCCCTGCACCTTAGTCCAGCCACCATCTCTGGCCGGGAGAGTTCCAGGACCTTCCTGCGGAATCGCCCACCCCCTGTTGTCTCCCCTTAACCCCTTCCCCAGCCAGCCAGAGGGATCCTGAAATGGAAACGGGTGGGCTGCCCCCCATCAGTTCCCCCTGACAGCGTCGCTCCCAAGGCTAGGGCTGGGCGGGCCTGCACAGGTGTTCAAGGACTGAGTCTAGCTGCTGTGCTCCCCTGCCTCCAGCTGGAGAAACTGTCCTGGTTCTAAGGACTCTTTTGTTGACATTGGGTCCACCCGATCTGGGATGCTTTCCCATCTGAAGATCTCGTCCCATTTTCAAAGTCCCTTTAGCTGCAGGTTCCAGGGAGTAGGACAGGCACATTCATTTATTGATTGATTGACTGACTGATGGAGACAGAGTCTTGCTCTGTTGCCCAGGCTCGAGTGCAATGGCGTGATCTCGGCTCACTGCAACCTCCACCTCCCGGGTTCAAGTAATTCTCCTGCCTCAGCCTCCCAAGTAGCTGGGACTACAGGCGCCCACCACCATGCCCGGCTAATTTTTTTGAATTTTTAGAAGAGATGGGATTTGACCTTGTTGGCCAGCTGGTTTCGAACTCCTGACCTCAAGTGATCCGCCCACCTCGGCCTCCCTAAGTGCTGGGGTTCCAGGTGTGAGCCACAGCGGCCGACGGAACGGGCACATTTTCGGGATGTTGTGCTGACCACAGAAGCACTGAATAAATCAGGATGGATGGGTGGATGATGGTCGGATGCCCCGCTCACCCCACCTCGTCGTGAGGTGAGGTGAGGTGTGAGACAGCCAGCTCTGTCTCCCGAGAAGCTCAGGAGCTGGTTACTGGCCTGAGACCGAGGCCCCATGGCATTGGGCTGCCATGGAAGAATCAGTGCTCCCAAGGAGACAGGAAAGTCTATGCTGTGGACTCAAAGCCAGGCAGTTACACCCCAGAACCAGCCGTGGTACCTGACTAGGGCAGCCAGAGCAAGGCCTGCCCCCATGCAAGGGAGATGATAATTATGTTTTGAGACAGGGTTTCACTTTGTTGCCTAGGCTGGAGTGCAGTGGCGTGATCTTGGCTCACTGTAACCTCCTGAGCTCAAGCAATGTGCCTGCCTCAGCCTCCCAAAGTGCTGGGATCACAGGCGCCAGCCACCACGCCCGGCTGGGAGATTATTATTATTTTTTTAATTTAATTATTTGTGTTTTTTTTGAGACGGAGTTTCGCTCTTGTTGCTCAGGCTGGAGTGCAGCGGCGCGATCTCGGCTCACTGCAGCCTCCGCCTCCCGAGTTCAAGCGATTCTCCTGCCTCAGCCTTCCAAGTAGCTGGGATTACTTGACTAGGGCAGCCAGTGCAAGGCCTGCCCCCATGCAAGGGAGATGATTATTATGGTGGCACCCGCCACCATGCCCGGCTAATTTTGTATTTTTAGTGGAGACGGGGTTTCTCCATGTTGGTCAGGCTGGTCTCAAACTCCCGACCTCAGGTGATCCGCCTGCCTTGGCCTCCCAGAGTCCTGGGATTATAGGCGTGAGCCACCGCGCCCGGCCAAGATTATTTTTAAAATTGGGCTATGATTGTGACAATGCACTCCAGCCTGGGTGGTAGAGCGAGACCTTGTCTAAAATAAGTAAGTCAATAAAATAGTCTTTAAAATGGCCAATTCCAGGCTGGGCGCAGTGGCTGCATACCAGTGTGAATGTATTAAAGCACTGCATTGCACACCTGAAAATGGTTAATTTTATGTTATGTGAATTTCACCTCAATAACAAAAAAAGTGACCCGGGACATATCATGTGCACACAGGAGCCCATTTGGAAGGGGTCACGATGGCCAAACAGAGAGGACAACTTGAGCAACAAAATTAAAGTTTATAAAGGATTTATAGTCTGTAGAAAAAATGTCATCAAGGCCGGGTGTGGTGGCTCATGCCTGTAATCCCAGCACTTTGGGAGGCCAAGGCGGGTGGATCATGAGGTCAGGAGATAGAGACCATCCTGGCTAACACGGTGAAACCCCGTGTCTACTAAAAAATACAAAAAATTAGCTGGGCTTGGTGGCGGGCGCCTGTAGTCCCAGCTACTCGGGAGGCTGAGGCAGGAGAATCGCTTGAACCTGGGAGGCAGAGGTTGCAGTGAGCTGAGATCGCGCCACTGCACTCCAGCCTGGGCGACAGATCGAGACTCTGTCTCAAAAAAAAAAAAAAGGAAAAAGAAAAAATGTCCTCGAGTGGATGCTGGTAGAAATAAATGACTGAATAAATGGCTGATGGGACCACGAGACTGCTCCTCTTTACAGTGGAGTCCAGTGACTCACTGTGGCAACAAACACAGGACCCCATCCGCCAGTCTGGCTCCTGTCACCTCCTGGGCTGGCGAGGGCCTCAGTGCCACCATGCTGAAGTCTCTGCCTTCCCTTTCGGGACTTAAGTACCAGGACAGCAGATACAGAAATAGGCAGGGGAAGCTCACTGCTACTGGGGTCTGGTAACCTACAGATTCAGGGCTCAAGTCACACAATTTCTTTTTTGAGACAGGGTCTCACTCTGCCACCCAGTCTGGAGTGCAGTGGCACAATCACGGCTCACCACAGCCTCAAACTTCTGGGCTCCAGCAATCCTCTCACTGTGGCCTCCCAAAGTACTGGGATTACAGGTGTGGGCCACTACACTTAGCCTGCAGACAATTTTTTTTTTTAAATTTTTATATATTTTTTGAGACAGAGTCTGGCTCTGTCACCCAGACTGGAGTGCAGTGGTGCGTGAGCCACCACGCACAGACCCCTGGCCAATGTTTTTTTAAAAATCAGAACAAAATCTGGCCGGGCACAGTGGCTCCCGCCTGTAATCCCAGCACTTTGGGAGGCTGAGGTGGGCAGATCACCTGAGGTCATTTCAAGACTAGCCTGGCCAACATGGCAAAACCCCATCTCTACTAAAAATACAAAAATTAGCAGGGCGTGGTGGCAGGCACCTGTAATCCCAGCTACTCGGGAGGCTGAGGCAGAAGAATCGCTTGAACCCTGAAGGCAGAGGTTGCAGTGAGCCAAGATCATGCCACTGCACTCCAACCTGGGTGACACAGTAAGATTCCATCTCCAAAAATAAATAAATAAATAGGCTTGGTGCAGTGGCTCACAGCTGTTAATCCCAGCACTTTGGGAGGCTGAGGCAGGAGAATCGCTTGAACCCAGGAGGCGGAGGTTGCAGTGAGCCAAGAGCGTGCCACGGCACTCCAGCCTGGGCGATAGAGCAAGACTGTCTTTTAAAAAAGAATAAGTAAAATAAATTTCTGTTGGTTGAGCCATGCAAAATCTGTGGTATTTTGTTATGGCAGCCCTAGCAGACTGATATAATAGCTATTTCCATCAACACACTTATGTATGCAGACAGTATGTCTAGGATTTTTTTTTTTTTTTGAGTCTCACTCTGTTGCCCAAGCTAGAGTGCAGTGGTGCAATGTCGGCTCAGAGATTGGCAAGAGCTGGAAAAAACTGGGCAGCTGTATCAGGGAGTGTGACTTTGTACCATATTCTCTTTTTATACCTGTTCATTTTTATTTTTTCATTTTTTTTCTTTTTATCAGAGACAGGGGCCTCTTTGTTGCCCAGGTTAGTACTGAACTCCTGGTTCAAGTGATGCCCCTTCCTCAGCCTCCCAAAGTGTTGGGATTGTAGGCTGAGCCACCACTCCCAGCCTGTTCATTTTTGTATCCCTAATGTGACAGTTTGAAATGTCTACCAATTCTGATATTCTTCCCTTCAAAACACAGAACCTCATTCTCCTCCCTCTGCACGTGGGCTGGGCCTGGGGGGCTTGCTTTTGATAAACAGGCTGTGGCGGAAGTGATCACGTGAGACTTCTCAGGGTGGCTCATAGAAGCACTGTGGCTTGCTCCTTCCTCTCCCTTGGTTCACCTGCTCTGGGGAAGGCAGAGGCCATGCCGTGAGGATGCTCAAGCAGCTTCGTGTAGGGGCCCCCATGGGAAGGAACTGTGGCTGTCACCGACAGCCACGTGAGGGCACTGGCTTGGAAGTGGCTCCAGCCCCAGTTGAGCCTTCCTCAGACGAAGTGGCCTTGGCTGATGTCTTAACTGCAACCTCATGAGAGACTCTGGGCCACAACCACCCAGATACATCACTCCCAAATCCCCGACTGACACAGACTGTGAGAGAGTGAATGTTCGTTGCTTTAAGCCACTACGTGTGGGTGACTTGTTAAGGCAGCAACGGATGAACACACTGCAGATACTACTTATGAGCCATTTCAAATAGGCAGTTTCTGTCAGCCATTGGAACACTCTCCTAGACTTGCAACATTCTGGAGCTGAAAGGACGCCTGGGTCACCTGTGCCACTCCAGCTACAGTCACAGTAACCAAGCCACCAGCATGATCAACATCCGGGCACGGAGCAGGTTTCAGTGAGGTTTAATGCAACGTGCATTAAAATATCCAAGCTGTTTTCAGAAACATAAGAAGCCTGAAGCTGAGCTGTGGGTTTCCTCTTGTCCATCCTGAGGCTTGGGCTGCTCCAGATGCAGCAGGTGCTGAGGTGGGAGGAGCTAGCACCACCAGGCACCTGGAGGGAGAGCAGACGAGGCAGGGTGAGTAGAAGTGTCCCTTCCAGGCTGGGTGCAGTGGCTCACGCCTCTAATCCCAGCACTTTGGGAGGCCGAGGCGGGCGCATCACCTGAGGTCAGGAGTTTGAGACCAGCTTGATTAACATGGAGAAACCCCATCTCTGCTAAAAATACAGAATTAGCCTGGTGTGGTGGCAGATGCCTGTAATCCCAGCTCCTTGGGAGGCTGAGGCAGGAGAATCGCTTGAACCCGGGAGGTGGAGGTTGCAGTGCGCCAAGATCGCGTCATTGCGCTCCAGCCTGGGCAACAAGAGCCAAACTCTGTCTCAAAAAAAAAAAAAAAAATTAGCTGCGTGTAGTGGTGGGCACCTGTAGTCCCAGCTACTTGGGAGGCTGAGGCACAAGAATCGCTTGAACCTGGAAGGCAGAGGGTGCAGTGAGCTGAGATCGCGCCACCGTATTCCAGTCTGGCAACAGAGCGAGACTCCGTCTCAAAAAAAAAGAAACGTCCCTTCCATATGAAGCTGGCTGCGGAAGTGGCCCAGGACAGCAGCCTGGCAGGAACACCAATGCAGCACAGGCCCCGGGCTCCACGCAGTAGGGAGAAACACAGACCGGAGCAGGGCTCTGAGGCCCAGGTTCAAACAGTGGCATGGCCTCAGGCCTCAGGCCAGCACCTGGAAAATGGGGGTGTAAGAGCACGGCCACGTGGGACTGTCATGTGGGCACTGGGAAGATGCCACAGGCACTGTGGTTAAGGGGGCAGCTGGCATGCTGGAGAAACACGTGGATGCGTCCAGGGCCTCACAGGCGCTTCCAAGAGCTCATGGGGTGTCCAGCCACTGTGGGCCAGCCTCCACCTTCCCCCTCTGTCTGTAACATGGGCCCCACCCAGTTCAGGCTGCAGTGCCCACTGAGACGGAAGCAAGGTTTGCCTCAAAGACTCACTGGGATTGTCCAGAGGGAGGGCGAGGCCCACACCCCAATCACACAACCCAAGGCTGCGGGGCGGACAGTTCTGTGCCCGTGGGCCGGAGATGCCAGAAGGGGCACCCAGGGCCCCACTCTCGAATGCAGGTCTCTCCAGGGGGAGCAGTGAGGGCTGCCGCCCCGGCTCTGGGAGCCTGGAGAACCCACTCTTCGGCCACCATCCGGCCATCATGCAGTCCACCCACCGCAGCCCACTGAAACTTACCAGAGCAGTCTGTGAAGGGTTTGTGTAATTAATTATCCTTCTTAAACTTGCCATTGATGTAAGGTACCCAGTCCAGGATCAGCCGCCAATCGGTGGCCCACACCAGCCCCACGGCGCCCACAGCGCCCCATGTGTAGGCCGTCGGGACCCTGCGAGAGGAGAGGGGATGGTCAGGCCTGCTCTGGACCCTTTCTCCAAGACCCTCTCCTGCCCACCCCGGCCCCCCGTCCTGAGCGGTGATGGCTGAGGTGCGGGCCTGGCACCTGTGCCCGCCCAGTGCTGTGAGCCCTGAGGGCTGGCACCAGCAGCACAGGCCCTGCCCATGCTGCCGGCTCTCAGGAAGCCAGTAACTGCTCAAGGGGCTGCTGGGGTGGGAGTGGAGCTGGGGGGAGGCTGGGCCTGGCGCATGTGTAGGTGTTTGTAAGTTTGCAACCACCATGATGATGGGTCCGGTCTGCTGCAGTCTGCAGAAATTCATCCATCCCTGCCACAGCTGCAGGACTCAGGCAGGTGCCGCCATCACAGTCCCTGTTCCCAGGCGAGGACACCAAACAACAGACAGGGCGAGGCCCTCACCTGAGGCCACACAGCTGGCGAGGATCGAGGCCTCCGGTTCCAAGCTCATGCTCTTGCCCACCACGGCACGTGCTGTGAGAGCTCCCCTGAGTTGCCTGGGCCCAGCAGATTCTAGGAAGGCCCAGCAGATTCTAGGAAGGCCCAGCAGATTCTAGGAAGGCCCAGCAAACCCGCCTGCTGGCGTTTACGCCCTCGCACAGTATGAACTTGGGCACAGGCTTCTTTTTTTTTTTTTTTTTTTTTTTGAGACGGAGTCTTGCTCTGTCACCAAGCTGGAGTGCAGTGGCGTGATCTCGGCTCACTGCAATCTCCACCTCCCGGGTTCAAGCAATTCTCCTGCCTCAGCCTCCCGAGTAGCTGGGACTACAGGCGCCCGTCACTGCGCCTGGCTAATTTTTTGCATTTTTAGTAGAGATGGGGTTTCACCGTGTTAGCCAGGATGGTCTCAATCTCCTGACCTCGTGATCCGCCCGCCTCGGCCTCCCAAAGTGCTGGGATTACAGGCGTGAGCCACCGCGCCCGGCCGGGCACAGGCTTCTAATGAGTAGAACGCAGCATGAGCAATGGGGCATCACTGCCGAGGTCAAGTGACAAAAGACTGGCTTCAGACATGGAGGCTCACAAGGGGAATCCCAGCACTTTGGGAGGTTGAGGCAGGAGGCTCACTTGAGCCTAGGAGTTTGAGACCAGCCTAGACAACAGAGTGAGACCCCATCTCTACACAAAATTAAGAAAAATTAGCCGGGTGTGGTGGCACATGCCAGTAGTCTCAGCTACTAGGAAAGCTGGGGCAGGAGGATCTCTTGAGCCCAGGAAGCAGAGGCTGTGGCTACACCAACTGCCTTCCAGCCTCGGTAAATATGAGACCATATCTCAAAAAAAATTAAAAAAGAAAAAGAGGCTGGGCGTGGTGGCTCACGCCTGTAATCCCAGCACTTTGAGAGGCTGAGGCGGGCAGATCACCTGAGGTCAGGAGTTCAAGACCAGCCTGGGAAACATGGTGAAACCCCATCTCTACTAAAAATACAAAAATTAGCCGGGCATGGTGGTGGGTGCCTGTAATCCCAGCTACTTGGGAGGCTGAGGCGGGAGAATGGCTTGAACCCAGGAGGTGGAGGTTGCAGTGAGCCAAGATTGCACCATTGCTCTCTAGCCTGGGTGACAAAGTGAGACTCCGTCTCAAAAAAAAGAAAAAGACTGGCTTCCATCCTGGGCACCTTTGTGCAACCTCTAGCTGCCTCTGGAGAAGCCAGCTGCCATGCTGTGAGATGCCCTATGAAGGGACCCATGTGGCAGAGAACTGACGGCAGCCTCCAGCTAAGAAGGAAATGAGGGCCGGGCATGGTGGCTCACGCCTGTAATCCCAGCACTTTGGGAGGGTGAGGTGGGCGGATCATGAGGTCAGGAGATAGGGACCATCCTGGCTAACATGGTAAAACCCCATTCTACTAAAAATATAAAAAATTAGCCAGGCAAGGTGGCGGGCGCCTGTAGTCCCAGCTACTTGGGAGGCTGAGGCAGGAGAATGGCATGAACCCGGGAGGCGGAGCTTGCAGTGAGCTTAGATCATGCCATTGTACTCCAGCCTGGTGACAGAGCGAGACACCGTCTCAAAAAAAAAAAAAAAAAGGAAGAAATAAATGAATCCAGCCAACAACCCCGTGAGTGATCGTGGAAACGGATCTGCCTGGTCACACCCTCGGATGAGACTGCAGCCTCACAAGAGAGCCTGAGGAGTTGACTCAGTGCACCCACTGAAACTGTGAGATAAGCAGCATTTGCTAGTTTAAGCGGCTAATTTTGGGAGACCATTTCTTATGCACACAGCACTAGATAACAATTGCAGGTCCCACTGCTGGCCAACAGAGGGCTGAAATTAAAATCCAATTCCGGGCGGGGTGCGGCGGTTCACACCTGTAATCCCAGCACTTCCGGAGGCCGAGGCGGGTGGATCACCTGAGGTCAGGAATTCTAGACCAGCCTGGCCAACATGGTGAAACCTCATCTCTACTAAAAATATAAAAACTAGCCCGGTGTGGTGGTGCGCACCTGTAGTCCCAGCTACTGGGGAGGCTGAGGCAGGAGAATCACTTGAACTCTGTAGGTCGAGGTTGCAGTGAGCCGAGATCGTGCCACTGCACTCTAGCTTGGGCGACAGTGAGACTCTGTCTCGGAAGAAAAAAAAAAATCCGATTCACCTCCCTGGATCACAGCAAATCACACAGCTGGGATGTTGGGGCGGTAGGGGGTGCTCCTCCTGGAGGCGGATGAAGAAACCCTGCCCACATTGCCCCAAGGGGCCTCACCAGAGACTCTCCAAGTGTAGGCCAGGTGCCCGCTCACCAGCTGGGGGCACGCACAGCTGCTCCTGGAACCTGGCTCGGAGGCAGATGCCACCAACAGGGCAGGAATCTTCGCACGTGTTGTCTTGATGGCATTCTGGATAAGTTATTTATTTATTTATTTATTTATTATTTATTTTGAGATAGAATCTCGCTCTGTCACCCAGGCTGGAGTGCAATGACGCAATCTCAGCTCACGGCAACCCCCGCCTCCCAGGTTCAAGTGATTCTCTTGTCTCAGCCTCCCATGAAGCTGGGATTACAGGTGTCCACTACCGCGCCCGACTAATTTTTGTATTTTTAGTAGAGACAGGGTTTCACCTTGTTGGCCAGGCTCTTCTCGAACTCCTGACCTCAAGGGATCCACCCACCTCAGCCTCTCAAGGTTCTGGGATTACACGCGTGAGCCACTGCGCCCAGCCCTGGGTTATTAATCACCAGAGAAGCCTGCTCATAAATATGCCCAGTGGGCCGGCCTCCGCCTCCCCTATCATCCTGGTCACCCCATGTAGGACCCTGTGGATTTGGACAGTGTGGGAAGAGCCCACAAAACCTGATTTCCACTAGCCACTGAGGAAGGACGTACAGACCATGACCACACTGACCAACGACCTCGTCGCCACGACAACCCCTTCCTCAAAGCAAGCCCCAGCAGGGCCTAGAAGGGGTGTGGACTGCAGGGTCCCCAGCTGGTGAACTGTGGCCCTCTCAGTCCTAAGTCTGAGACTCTGAGACACAACCCCACAGTGCCTCCTGGGGATGAGACCCGCTCCCTAGCCTCCCAAAGCCACTGCCTGGTGGCACAGCCCTGCACGGCCCCTCGCACGCACGTGTCTGCACCCCTTCCTCTCCCGCTTCGTTATTTTAGGTCAGCCCCACACCACAGGTCTCGTTTCTTTACCTTTCCTTGCCCACCAACCAGAATGTCCGCCCACAAGGGTTCGGTCTATTGGCGCGTCCCTAACACATAGTAGGTGCTCAATAAATGTTGGGCTGGGCGCAGTGGCTCATGCCTGTAATCCCAGAACTTTGGGAGGCCGAGGCAGGTGGATCACGAGGTCAGAAGATCGTGACCATCCTGGCTAACACGGTGAAACCCCATCTCCACTAAAAAATACAAAAAAAATTAGCCGGGCGTGGTGGCGGGCGCCTGTAGTCCCAGCTACTTATGGGAGGCTGAGGCAGGAGAATGGCGTGAACCCGGGAGGCGGAGCTTGCAGTGAGCCGAGATTGCGCCACTGCACTCCAGCCGGGGCGACAGAGCAAGACTCCGTCTCTAAATAAATAAATGAATAAATAAATAAATAAATGCTTGCTGTTGGATGAAAGCACGGATGACGGGTGGTCCCCGCTGTGACTGAACACAGAAGAAGCAGACCTGCTGCACCCGGGAGGGGCTGCACTGGCTACCATGGGCCACTGGGTTCTCAGCTAGGAGCAGGCTTCCTCATCCCAGGCCTGAGTTACCCACGCTGTAAAACGCCACCGGCACCATCACATTCCACTTGAAGGTCCCAGTCAGCTCCACCGTGCAGACCCTGTCCCCGACCTGTCCCCCAGTCTGGGATAGAGGAAGTATGTTCTGGCTTCCGGAGACACTGCCAATCATAAGCCTTTGCTTTTTTCTTTTTTAGAAACGGAGTTTCGCTCTTGTTGCCCAGGCTGGAATGCAATGGCACAATCTCAGCTCACCACAACCTCCACCTCCCGGGTTTGAGCGATTCTCCTGCCTCAGCCTCCCAAGTAGCTGGGATTACAGGCACGCGCCACCATACTTGGCTAATTTTGTATTTTCAGTAGAGACGGGGTTTCTCCATGTTGGTCAGGTTGGTCTCAAACTCCTGACCTCGGGTGATTCGCCCGCCTTGGCCTCCCAAAGTGTTGGGATTACAGGCGTGAGTCACTGCGCCCAGCAGCTCTAAATTTTTTTGTAGAGATAAGGTCTTGCTGTGTTGCCCAGGCTGGTCTCAAATTCCCAGGCTCAAACGATCCTCCCACCTTAGCCTCCCCAGTAGCTGGGACTACAGACAGGTGCCACCATGCCCTGATAATTTTTTGTTTTGTAGAGATGGGGTTTCATTGTGTTGTCCAGGATGGTCTTGAACTCCCAGGCTCAAGTGATTCTCCTGCCTGGGCCTCCCAAAGCACTGGGATCACAGGCCGGAGCCACTGCACCCGGCTAAGACCTTGCTGCTTTTTTTTTCTTTTCTCTTTTTGGGACACAGTCTCATTCTGTCACCCAGGCTGGAGTGCAATGGCGCAATCTCAGCTCACTGCAACCTCCTCCTCCCGGGTTCAAGCGATTCTCCTTCCTCAGCCTCCCGAGTAGCTGGGATTAGAGGCACCCGCCACCACGCCTGGCTAATTTTTGCATTTTTAGTAGAGACGCGGGTTTCACCACGTTGGCCAGGCTGGTCTCGAACTCCTGACCTCAGGTGATCCACCTGCCTCGGCCTCACAAAGCGCTGGGATCACAGGCGGGAGCCACCGCACCCAGCCAGGCCTTGCTTCTTAGCACCCCACGTGGAAACACCAGACAACCCTACGGAGGCCACCCCCAGCCCGGCTTCTATGGGGGCCACCCCTATGCCGTCCCGCTGCCCACGTGGGCTCAGGCGCAGCTGAAGCTTTCACGCTCCTTGTTAAAAATCATAAAAACCAAAATAGTGGCAAAGGCCGAAGATGCCGCGAGTGCTGGGCTGGGGATCGGGACTCGGCACCTTCTGGGCGCTTCCGTCCAGGGGGTCACCATTCGGATCCCCCGGTAGAGATGGGGAAACTGAGGCTTGGAGCGGCCTAGCCGCGGAGCCGGGCATGCTGGGGTTTGGCCTTGGGTCCGTCACGTCCCGTTCACGCCGGGACGCGCCGCTCCGCCTCTCGGCCTCAGTTTCCCCCTCTGTCACCGGGAACAACAAGGGACCTGGGCCCGGCCCGGCCCGGCCCCCGGAAACGCGCACAAATACGGAACGCAGCGGCGCGGGGCTGGGCCGAGGCGGGAGCGCGGATGGGGCCGCGGGTCGGCGTCCTCACCAGTTCTTGACCAGCTCCCGGTAGCGTGGGCCCAGGAACCGGGTCACCATCGCGGCGGAGTCGCACCCTCAGGATGACCCTGTCCAGCTGACCCGGCTACACTGCGCAGGCGCGGCCGCGGCGCGCACGCGCGCGGGGAGGGCGGGGGGGGGGGGAGGAAAAAAAAACATCATCCGCCACTGTGCGCGCAGACCCGGAAGCCACTTACAGTAACTTCCGGCGAGGGTTGGACGACCGCGGAGAAGTGGTCCGGAGTGGGCGGCGTTAGGGCGGTGCTTTCTGGCCACGTGGTCTGGCGGCCGATTGTGCTTCTGGGCTCCGCGGGGCTACCTGCCAGTGATTTTGTGCGCCTAGTATGTGCCAGAACGTTATTTACAATGAAGGAAACTGAGGTCCAGCGGGGAAGGGTCTTGCTCAGAGTCACACAGAGGGGAAGAGCTGGGATTGGAGCCCACTTTTGGAGGCGTCAGGCGTTGTTCCTGATTCGCTGTAGGACTTTGGTCGAGCGGCAGTGCTTCCCTGAGCCTCAGCGTTGCCCGTTGCTTGGAGGCCCTGTCGGAAATCTCTTTGCAGGATTCCGTTTGCGAGCCTGGGTTATTCCTCATTCCGGCAGCAGAGGGTGGCCTGGCTCCTTGCTCGGTGAACGTCTCTGGATGCTCTTAGCTGATGACAGGCAGGTCTTTCTGCCTCCTGCTTTCCACCGCACCAGGCTCGCTTGGGCTCGCCTTTCTCCAGTCCCTGCTTCCTCTGCTCTCCCACAACCCGGCGCAGCACCGTACATGCTCACTCAGCTCCCAGCTTCCAGCCTCCCCCCTGCACACCGGGCCGGTGTGGGCAGAAGGAAGAGGGGCATATTCCCAGACACCGCCATTGCACTTTTGTGCCTTTTCCCCCATATTCAAGAGTTGCCTCCCTCAGGAAGCCCTCCTGGACTGCCTGACCCACAGGCACCTTTACAGCATGAACGGAAAGGCCATAGCCTAGACGGGGCACTGGGCGTGATTTGTCTCTCGGGCGCCAGCGTCACTTGCAGGCCTCGTGATAAGGAATGGACACCGTGGGTTCTTCTGCCCAGCCTGGCCTGTCCTCCTGGGGTCAGCCCCTCAGTACACCCCAAGCCTGCAGCTCTCTGGGGACTGCGGGTGCTAACCCATCCCTATCCCTGGTTAAGGACTCAGGGTGGGAGCCGGAAATAGGTTTTGGACACCACAGTCTGGGCACTGTTTTTCTTTCTTTTTTTTTTTGAGACGGAGTCTCGCTCTGTGGCCCAGGCTGGAGTGCAATGACACGATCTCGGCTCACTGCAACCTCCGCTTCCCGGGTTCAAGCTTCTCCTGCCTCAGCCTCCCAAGTAGCTGGGACTACAGGCGTGAGCCACCACACCTGGCTAGTTTTTGTATTTTTAGTAGAGATGGGGTTTGGCCATGTTGGCCAGGCTTGTCTTGAATTCCTGACCTCAAGTGATCCGCCTCCCAAAATGCTGGGATTACAGGTGTAAGCCACCGGGCCCGGCCCTGGGCATTGTTTGTAGAACTTTCCAGTTGGCTTGGGGTTTTTGAGCTTGGGATCAGAGAGCACCTGAATAAGACTCTTCCCATTGGTGGAAACTTAAAAAAGTGGGATGCAGGGGCTGACACAGAGACTATTAAGAGAAAGGACAGGAACACAAGGGCTGCTGGAATGTCAGCCCAGAGTTTCCAGATGCCACAATGTAAGAGTTCACCAGTGGCCGGGCACGGTGGCTCACGCCTATAATCCCAGCACTTTGGGAGGTTGAGGCGGGCAGATCACCTGAGACTGGGAGTTCGAGACCAGCGTGACCAACATGGAGAAACCCCATCTCTACTAAAAATACAAAATTAACCGGACATGGTGACGGATGCCTGTAATTCCAGCTACTCGGGAGGCTGAGGCAGGAAAATTGCTTGAAAACCCGGGAGGCAGAGGTTGCGGTGAGCCGAGATCACGCCATTGCACTGCAGCCTGGGCAACAAGAGTGAAACTCCGTCTCAAAACAAACAGACAAAAAAAAGAGTTCATCAGAGACAGTGACATAAACAAGAGCTGAGAGATGGAGAGAGATTTGTAATGACACCTGGATCCAGCTGTGCCTGAAGCCATTCAACATGACATAGAACTTCCTTTTTGTTTCTTGAGCCGGTTTTTGTTATTTTGTTGGACCATCTGGATGTCCCCTCCACCCTTTTTTTTTGAAACGGAGTCTTGCTGTCGCCCAGGCTGCAGGCTGGAGTGTAGTGGTATGATCTTGGCTCACTGCAAGCTCCGCCTCCCAGGTTCACGCCATTCTCCTGCCTCAGCCTACCGAGTAGCTGGGACTACAGGTGCCCGCCACCACGCCTGGCTAATTTTTTGTATTTTTAGTAGAGATGGGGTTTCACCGTTAGCCAGGATGGTCTCGATCTCCTGACCTCGTGATCCGCCCGCCTTGGCCTCCCAAAGTGCTGGGATTACAGGCATGAGCCACTGCACCTGGCCCACCCTTTTTTTTTGACAGGTTCTGGCTCTGTTGCCCAGGCTGGAGTGCAGTGGTGCAATCACAGTTCACTGCCACCTCAAGCGATCCTCCCACCTGAACCTCCTAAGTAGCTGGGACTACAAGTGTGTGTCACCAGGTACAACCAATTTAATTTTGATTTTTTGAGACAGTCTCGCTCTGTCGCCCAGGCTAGAGTGCAGTGGTGCAATCTCAGCTCACTGCAATCCCTGCCTCCTGGGTTCAAGCTATTCTCCTGCCTCAGCCTCCCAAATAGCTGGGATTACAGGCTTGCGCCACCATGCCCGGCTAATTTTTGTATTTTTAGTAGAGATGGGATTTCGCCATGTTGGCCAGGCCGGTCTCGAACTCCTGACCTCAAGTGATCCACCCGCCACAGCCTCCCAAAGTGCTGGGATGACAGGCGTTAGCCACCGCGCCCGGCCAATGTATATTTTAAAAGTTGTTTTCCAGCATGAATTTAGAGGCCAGCTGGGTAGAGTGGTGGACAGGGCTCCCTCAGCACCTTCTGTCAACTCCTGGCCACTCTCTTTCCCTTAAAAATTATAGACATGGGGTCTCACTATGTTGCCCAGGCTGGACTGGAACTCCTGGCCTCAGGCGATCCTCCCGCCTCAGCCACCTGAAGTGCTGGGATTACAGATATGAGTCACTGTGCTGAGCCTTCTCCTCCCTAAGGCACTTGTGTGCCAAAGGGCTCTCTCCTGGGGGCCACCCCCCGTCAAGTGGCCAGGAAGGCACTCCTTCCACCCCAACCCTGTAGGGGAGCAGGGCAGTCCAGCTGTGTCCTCGCAGAGATGCAGCGGCCAAGTCCCTGGGCACAGCAGCAGATGCCTGCCAGTGGGCACTTTGGGATGAGCAGCGCCCCCACAGGTCCTGCCACACCCCTTCCCCCCGAGAGCTCTGTCCGTGGGTTCCGTGGGCATCCGGTTGTGGAGGAAGTCACAGATGCCGCACTAAGGAGTGTGGGGTTGACGCTGCCAGCAACGGAGCCGTGGAAGGTTTCAGAGGAGCAGTGACAGACTCAGACTTCGAGCCGACTTCGGAGCAGGAAGGGGCAGGGAAGTGGGTTCCAACAGCCCGGGGGGGGGACGTTGGGAGATGGGGAGCCCTCCCAGATGGGGGCTGGGAGGACCGCAGGTCCTGGATGGTTCCTACGCGCCCAAGTGCAGCCCCCAGGGAGCTGCTTTTCCCCGGGAGCCAATCCTGCTTCCAGGTGGCCTGGAGCCCTGAGTACACATGCAGGTTCCCAGCCGCCCTGGGAGCCATGGGCTCCTCAGAGTGAGGAGTCGCTTCGAGGAAGCCCAGTGCACAGGGTGGACCACGGTCCTTGCTGCACCCGAGGTGAACGTCAGGGCCCCCCCCCACTTCCCTTCCTAAACATGTGACACCAGAAAGAACCCGGGGACTGCAGGGCATCGTTATAAAATGTCACGTTTATTGCTACAGTGCTGTTATATACAGGACAGGTCTCTGAATCCACCTGAAAGAGGGTCGTTTTAAAGTCCCAATCATCCAGCCAGCTGTGTTGACACGTATACAATTATTTTCTTTAAAAAAATTTTTTTGAAAACCATCTTGAGGCACTCAGATCACACCCCCCACCCCCCATAATTGTGGTTCCCAGGAACTGCTGTTTCTTCCTCCTCGCGCTGGGTGAATCTCGTTTGAATTCTATGCAGAACGCACAGTTCCAGAGGCTATGGGGCCACTGCCCACCCAGACCTAGGGGCAGGGCCAGGAGCAAAACAAGAGGGAGAGGCAAGTTCCCTTAAGAGATCAAACTCCCAGGGCGTAGGGGAAGCCACCGAGAAGGGAGAGGCAGCCGGACAGCCCCTCCCCTCCGCCTGGCCTGGACTGGGGGCAGATACCAGGCATTGAGCTGGCCTTGAGGTTTCCCTTGCATCTACCATGGGGCCCAGGCTCCCAAGCCAGTCTGGGGAGGGGAGTCAGGCAGTCCAGGATCTCCTGGGGGTAACGGTGGGAGTCTCAGGAGTGGCACGGGGGGAGACGCCCGACCTGCAGCGGGGATGAACACAGCCAGCCCAGGGGTCCACAAGGCCTCAATGCAGGGAGGGGCATGAAGGGCACATGAAGGCCCCCAGCTAGCCAGGCCCACACCTGGGTGCCACAGTGACCACTGCCCTAGTTCGTGTGGAACTGGATGGGATCCCAGGGTAGGAGACTTGCAGTTTTAAACCCAAGACAGTCCCCAGCCAGCTGGGAAGAGCTGGTTACCCTCATGGCAAAAGACCAGAAAAGGAGACCTGGAGAGAGGCCTGGGTGCTGGGACATGGGACACAGATGGGCCCGAGGGGACACCCTGCTGGTTCTGCAGCAGGGTCGGACGCACAGCCCAAGGCCTTCGTGGGGCTCAGACCAGCACAGTCCCCCGGCTCCAGCCACTCTTGCCCTTGGACCACACAGAGGGAGGGCAGCAGGTGTGGCCCCAGGCCCAGGGATGCTCCCCAGCATTGGGGGAGGCTGGCCAGGCCCCTGGCATCCTGTCTACGTCACGATGGCCCTCTGGTGTAATGGGGACATGGTGGGGTGGGGTGGGGGGTGTCCTGTGCTGGCTCCTGAGCAGCATCCTCTCAGCCAGAGTTCAGAGCATGAGCCTGGGTCCCTGGGGCAAAGGAGTGAAGGACAGGGTGTCCAGGAGGTCCCCAGCACCGGGCTCCAGGGTGTGGTCCCCATGCCAGGGGTCACTGGTCCCAACAAAATGCCCCATTTCAGAGAGCTGTGCAGGTTCCAAGGGAGAGCAGCTTAGGGGGGCCTGGGGAGGGCGTTGTGTAGGGTAGCCCTGGGGGCCACAGCTGCTTGGCAGAGTCACCTGGGAGGGTCAGAGCCACCTTGCTGACGTCCCTTCCCCCAAGCCCAGGTCAGTCCCCTTCCTGAGGGGAGAGGATGCGGCAGGGAAGCCCCAAGGTGCCTTCATCAGGGAACGCCCACGCATCACTTTCCACATGACAAAACCAAGAGAACCCCCAACATCAAAAAAACAAAAGACCCGCCGCCTGTCCCCGTTCTGTCTGTGTGCAGTGGCTTCCGGGGGGGGGGGGGGACGGGGGGGCTCAGGTTTACACGGGGTCTTTTTAATACAACGTTTAATCATCTGGTTGATCAAGAAATGCAATGCTCAGTCTAGGAACAGCAGCAGAAATAGCGAGAGACACGGGACTTTTATACAAAAAAATTTGTTGCTTACAAAACATATGCAAAAAAAGCTTAAAAAAACCAGAGACCAAAGGCAGCATCCTTGCTAATTTTCATCTACATTAAGAAAAAAAAAATCTTGTAACTAATGTTTTTATTTTCCTTAAAAAAAATATTTCGCTTAGGCACAATTTGCTGGTGGCTTTAGAAGAATAAGCCAGGTTTCCACAGCATCCCCCTTGAGTGATATGTTTCCATTTCTCCGCTTTTTATAGTTAAGGCATTTTTTTCTTCTCTGACAAAGTGTATGTTTTGTTGCTTGCTTTCAGGTTTTGTTTACTGGAAAAAAAAAAAATGCTCCTGTCAGCCCAGGCAACAGGGCCAAGATGCAGTTTCAGGATCCATGGGACAGGTCACAGAGTGACACGGTGGCTGAGATTCGGGGACAGGGGGAGCGAGGCCAGTGAGTGGTAGGCCAGGGCCCCAGGGAGCTCCTGGACCCAGTGTCACCTTGGCCGCCCCCATCACTCCGAACCTTGTCAGGTTGGTGTTGGCTCGATGCTGACAACAGGTGTGTGAGGTGTGGATGTGGATGAAGCCCGGGGTCTCGAGTGGCCGTTCTGGGGCCAGAGCACAGGGCTGAAAGCGGGTGGCTCGTCCCACGGAGGCATACCTTTCACATGTGCCCGGCGGGGTTGTGGGCTTCGCTCAGGCCTGGGTGGGGAGCTGAAAGCACCATCTGGGGGTCTCCAACCACACCTGACACCTTTTCCTCTTCTCGCCGTTTCAAACAGGCTGCTTTGGGATTCAGGTTCCGCTCTGGAGGGAGGGGGGAGAGCTCTGTGGGAGACGGTCCCAGGGAGGAGAAAGATGTGAGGTGGGAGTGGGGGGTAGGATGTCGGGGGGGGGGGTGGGGGCAGAGCCCCATCACGTGTGGCCTCCTGTATTTCCGGCTCTCACCTCCTTCCTTGAGAAGGCTGGGGGGATGGGGTGGAGGCTTGTAAAGAAGAGAGTGGGTATCAGGGGGTGTCTGGGGAACATCACTGGGTCTGAGTCCAGCCACAAAGACAGACATGGACAGAGTCCGGGGGCGGCAAGCACAGGAGGACCCCAGCATCTGCACCTGGGTGTGGGGAAGGGAGAGGGTGCTGGGGCAGCCCTGGCCGGGGAGCCTACCTCGCACCTGCTGCTCCAGCCCCAGGATGACCTGCACGGCCTGCTGCAGGATGAGCAGCTTGGTCTGCGCTTTGTCCGACTTGAGGTGCATCTGGCACATGCGCCCCAGCTCCCGGAAGGCCTCGTTAATATCCCGCACGCGCACCCGCTCCCGCGCGTTATTGGCCATGCGCCTCTCCCGGTCCCTCAGGTCTTTCTCCTCCAGGGACAGCACCTCGTCCGTACTGCTGGGTCACAGCACCGAGGCCTCTGTTAGTGATGCGCCAAGGCTGGGTGGGAGGGCAGGGCTGGGTTGTGGAGAGGGTATCCAGCTACTTGTGTTTGTGCTGGTGTGGGCAGCAGTGTGGGTACACGGCTGGTGTTGGTGGGCACAGCAGTGTGGGCAGCAGTGCAGGTACATGGCTTACATTGGTGGGCACAGCAGTGTGGGTACACGGCTGGTGTTGGTGTGGGCAGCAGTGCAGGTACACGGCTGGTGTTGGTGTGGGCAGCAGTGCGGGTACACGGCTGGTGTGGGTGTGGGCAGCAGTGCGGGTACACGGCTTACGTTGGTGGACACAGCAGTGTGGGTACACGGCTGGTGTTGGTGTGGGCAGCAGTGCAGTTACACAGCTGGTGTCAGGCACTGCAGTGCAGGTACACGGCTGGTGTCGGGCACAGCAATGCAGGTACATGGCTGGTGTGGGTGTGGACAGCAGTGGGGGTACACGGCTGGTGTGGGCAGCAGTGCGGGTACACAGCTTACGTTGCTGGGCACAGCAATGTGGGTACATGGCTGGTGCTGCTGTGGGCAGCAGTGCAGTTACACAGCTGGTGTCAGGCACTGCAGTGTAGGTACACGGCTGGTGTCGGGCACAGCAATGCAGGTACATGGCTGGTGTGGGTGTGGACAGCAGTGGGGGTACACGGCTGGTGTTGGTGTGGGCAGCAGTACGGGTCCACATGCTGATGTGTGTGTTGTCACATGCGTGAAAATGTGCTTCTCTGTGCACGCGGCGAATGTGCTCCCTGGAATGCAGCAGAGCCCCATGGTGGGGCGCCTGTGTGTGTACGCGACTGGCTGCCCAGGTGCAAGTGCCCTCAGACTCAGCTCTAGGGGAGGCTGTGGATGTGGTCACACCCAGGAAGACCCAAGGTCTGACTGTTCCCAGACGTTTCTGTGGAGGGAGATGGGGCCCTGCTTCCCCGTCTGGGAGCCCACAGGGTAACTGCTTCTCCCTTGACCCTGCTCACTCTGTGGGCCCCAGGGCAGGGCTGGGGGCAGGGGAGGCCCAGTGCCTGCTCCTCTCTTTGTTCTTCCCTCCCAAGATGATGACTTTCCCTGCTCAGAGCAGCCACTTGCGGGGTGATGGACAGCTAGGCCTGGCCAGACTCACTGTGGACAGAGGAGGCCTTGAAGACACGGGCTCAGCAGGCAAATACCTGGGCCACTCCAAAAACCCGGGACTGGGGAGTCCAGGACTCAAATCAGGGCTCACATGGAGCAAACCAGCTCCCATCCCCCGAGACCCCCACACCCTGGGGAGGAGCCTCAGAAATGCACCCGTCCCCTACAGTGAACTCCGGCTGCCCCAAGATGAGCCCTCCCTGAGCTCCTGCCCCTGGCTGGGAAGGCCAGCTCCCTAGGCCTCCAGGAACCCCATTGTCACTGCCACCGTGAATGGTCGCAGTAGGAGCTCTGAGGTTCCAAGAGCCTGTTCTGTGCCAGGCCCAAGGCTGAGCCCCCTCTCCAGCCGAGCAGCATGCAGCTGGCGAGCGGGCACTGTTGCTGCTGCCGCAGGGGTGCGGGTCCCGGCCCAGGCCTCTGTGCTGCATGGCCCTGCATGGGTGACCTCGCTCTGTTCCCTGGCTTCCTACTTGGTAGAATGGATGCCGGTCCCCATCAGGGCACCCACTGCTCTAGGTTGTGGTGAAGATGAAATGGGTGAAGGTCTGGCCCAGTGCCCAGCATGCCTGGTGCCCTGTCTTAGTCTCTAGGGGGCTGCCTCACCCACTTGCCTGCCCACCCTGCCTTAGGGGCCTGAGGGGATCCCTCCAGGTGGTGGGGGCGGCCCCTGGAGCCCAGGACAAGCGCACAGACCAAACTGACAGGACCAGGGGCTGCGTGCTCCCGGGTCTGGTTTCTTCCCGCAAGCCCTGACGGGGGGCTTTGGGGGAGGAAACGCCCTGAGGTTGCAGCCCAGCCGCTCCCGGTGCTCGGGCAGCAAGTGCGAGGTGAGGAGGGGCTGCCACGGGAAGCAGAGGGACGGACGGGCGGGATGGAGGGGAGGGCGGAAGGCAGACAGCAGAGAGGCGGGCTTGGGGGGCGCGAGGCGTGCCACACACGGCTGCAGAGACTCGGAAACCTTAGAGCTGAGGGGATAGCGTGTGGGCCGGGCCGGGGCTCTGGCTCCGGTCCCAGCAACAGTGCTGCAGGAGAGAAAGGGTTAACGGGGTGCAGGCGAGGAAAGGAAGGAGTTAAGGAAGCAGCCGCCAGCGCCAGCGGGGGGAAGGAGTCAGCTCACATCTGCGGGTGGGGACAGGGTCTGTCTGTATCCTTCCTCCCCCTGGCCCTGGGAAATGGGGGTGATAGGAAGTTTCCCTATCACCTTCAGATAGGGAAACTGAGTCAGAGACAGGGGATGGGCTCATGTGGCCTTGCGTGGCATCTGCCTGACGGGAAGGGGCCAGGGTGGTTTGCACACCAGCTCCTGTCTCTGGGATCGGGGGACACTGGCCTCTGTGAGCTGGGTTCTGGGCTTCCCAAGAAAGGAGGACCACGGCGAGTGGGAGCCCCGTGGAGCTGGGAGATACAGTTCTGAGCCACAGAGCCCAGGCCTGAAGGACTAGGGGTCCAGAAAGAGTCCAGTCCTCCCACTGTGGAGGGGATGCTGAGGCAGGCAGGGAGAAGGGCTGGCAGTCAGGAGTGGACAGTCATGGCAATGCGGTCAGAGGGGTGAAGGGCACAGTCACTGCAAGGAGGCAACTGCTGCAGAGGGAGGGCTGGCTCCAGGAAGGCGGGCGGGGAAGGAGAACGAGGGCAGGAACACGAGGGAGGGTGGCGCTGCAGGGACGCTGGTGGCCCGCGCCCCCACTGACCTCGCACTTGCTGCTCCAAGTTCAGGATGACCGAGACAGCCTGGTGCAGGATGAGCAGTTTGGTCTGGGGCTTCTCGCTGTTGAGGTGCAGTTGGCACATGCGCCCCAGCTCCTTAAAGGCCTCGTTGATGTCACGGACCCGCAGCCGCTCCCGGGCGTTATTGGCCACCCGGCGCTCCTTCTCCCGCTCGGCCTTCTGCTCTGGGGGGAGAAGGTCGTCCTCGTCCTCGTCTGGGCTATGGGGAGGGCGCCGGGAGGGGGCCAGAGGGAGACAGTGAGGTTGGGGGAAGAGCGTGGGGCCCGCCGACGGCCTCCCAGTGTGGGTGCGGTGTGCGTGTGGCCTGTGCACATGTGCGTCCTGATGGGGTGAGGGTGGGGAGTGCCGAGGGGTGGGTTGGCACCTGGTCCGGGCCCGGGGGGCCTTCAGCTCCTTCTTCTCCTCCTCCGAGTGGTCAGCCGCTGACGTGTTCTCCTCGTCCTCCTTCTCCTCCCGCTTGATCTCGCTGGCGGCCGCCGTGGCACCTGCTCGCCCTAGCCCTGCAACAGGCCTAGGGTCAGGGGCCTGCGTCGGCCTCCAGGGCCAACTGACATATCTCTTTGTGCTCCTGTGGTGAGGGACTTGGGCTTTCCTGGAAAAACCAGGTCTTGGCCAAAAATAAAAACAAAAAACCAACAACCAGAACTGGATCCCTACCTCACGCCATGTGTAGCTACCAATGCCAGACAGATTAAGGACCACAAGATGAAAGGGAAACAGTTTTACCACCTTTGGAACAAAGTGTGTAGAAATTCTGCAGCAACTCAATGGCAGGAATCTACTAAGATGCTAAAAGAACACTCTTCTTTTTTGGTGAAAGTAAACTGTTTCAATCATTAACTTAAAAATATGGAACACTTCGGATGGGCACAGTGGCTCACACCAGCTCACACCTGTAATGCCAGCATTTTGGGAGGCCGAGGTGGGTGGATCACGAGGTCAGGAGATCAAGACCATCCTGGCTAACATGGTGAAACCCCATCTCTACTAAAAATACAAAAAATTAGCCAGCTGTGGTGGTGGGTACCTGTAATCCCAGCTACTTGGGAGGCTGAGGCAGGAGAATCACTTGAACCCAGGAGGCGGAGGTTGCAGTGAGCCAAGATTGCGCCACTGTACTCCAGCCTGGGTGACAAAGCAAGACTCCGTCTCAAAAAAAAAAAAAAGAATAAAACTTTGGAACACTTCAGGAATGTCCACGTCACCCTTGTGCAGATGCTATGCTAATCTTTATCATTCTCATTTTAGTCCAAGAGCTGTCCAAGCAAGTGCTCAAAGCGCTGCTTTTGAAAGAACACAGGCCGGGCACAGTGGCTGACTCACGCCTGTGATCCCAGCACTTTGGGAGGCTGAGGTGGAAGGGTCACTTGAGGCCAGGGGGTCATGGCTACCGTGAGCTGTGATCATGCCCCTGCACTCTGGTGTGACAGGGTGAGACCCTGTCTCAAAACAAAACAAGTAAAAAAGAAAAAACAAAAATCAGTAAGCTGGACTATATCAGAATTGAGAGTTCCTGATCAGCAAAGATACCAGGAAAAGAAAAGCATTTGCCAAAGAATAGAAGACACCCACCACAGATGTAGCCAACCAGGAGGTGATCTCCCACAATCAATGGGAAAGGACAAAAAGAAAGTAACTCAGTAGAAAAATAAGCAAGGTATCCAAAAAGGCATCTCACAGACAAGGAAACCACATGGCTAGAAACACGTGGAAGTCCGCTTCAGCACATCAAGAGATTAAGGAAATGCAAATTAGGGTGGCTTTGCGCTACCCTTTCATACCCAGTCAGCTAGCAAAGTTGAGGGACCTGAACAGTCAAAATCTTGCCTGTGGGAGGGCAACTTGGCTGCTTTGGAAAATAATTCATCAGCCTTTCCTCTGAATTGACAACAGGTGTATCACACCCTTGATCAGCAGGTTGGCAGGAAAGCGTGATGTTGGAATGACCTACAGCCCCACGCCCGGGCCAGGGCCAACGGCACACTCACAATGGGACCCCAGCCGCTCACACCACACATGTACCCCACACACAACATAAGCCAGCAAACCAGCGTGTAAAGAACACGCTAGTGGGACGCCGTGTTCATGAAGCTCAAGAACAATAATTGCAAAACATGTGGCTTAAGGGTACACAGTGCCCCAAATGAATGCGGCCACTCTGCATTCAGCAGGGCCTGGGCCACCCCCAAAACCCGGGCTTGGGGAGTCCAGGAATCAGTCAGGGCTCACATGGAGCAAACCAGCTGCCATCCCCTGAGACCCCCGTACCCTGAGGGGGAGCCTCAGAAATGCACCCGCTCCCCACAGTGAACTCTGCTCCAATCGGCCAACGCCAGCCACCAGGACCAGCCCAGGCCTCAGCACACGAAGTGAAGGACAGGAAGGAAACAGAGGGGAGCCTATGGGTGAAAGACTAAGCTTGGGGCTGCCCCTGGAAACTGCTGACCTGTGGGTCCGGACCCTTCTCTGGGGTGGGGCCGTCCTGGGCACTGCAGGGTGCTGAGCAGCATCCCTGGCCCCCACCCACTCCATGCCAGGAGCTCCCCTCAGCCCTGACAACTGTAGATGTCCCCAGACATCACCCAGTGTCCCCTGGGGGCAGAGCCGCTGCGGTGAGATGCCCTGGCCTAGGAGTGATAGAATCAAGGTACTTGGAAAGTCTGCCTGGAAAGCAGGCAGGATTCCTGGGCTGGTGGAAGGCACAGGGCCAGGACAGCGCCCACAATGACCCCACCTTCTCCTGGGCCTCTCATGGGTGTCTGAGACACTCAACAATCCCCAGGCCCAGGTCCAGATTTGTCCCCAACCTTTTCCTTTGTCCCCTTCCTTACGGAGTTCCCAGCCCCAGTGTCACCCACAGCTCGGGCCAGAAATCCCAGAGCCACCCTGCCTTCTCTCACCCTCAAGTCCTGTCCATCACAAATCCTGTGGGCCCCGCCTTCAGGAGATGCAGGGCCCACCCACTGCTCACCCCTCCAAGGCCCCTGGACCAGCCCTGTGGCCTCTGCCTTGGTCTCCCGGTGCCACTCATAGTCTGTCCTCCAAGCAGCCACCAGAGGGTATCTGTGAGCACCTGGGTCAGGTCCCATCCCTCCTCAGCCCTCCACGGCTGCCACCTTTCTCATGGCCAAATCCCAAGTCCTCCCCGCAGCCCACAAGGCCCCGCATGACCTGCCCTGCCCCGCCCTCCCCCCTTCCCTCTCTCCCTCTCCTCACTCTGCTCCAACCCCACGGGTCTCCTGGCTGTTCCTCCCAGGTGCAGTCCAGCCCCAGGGCCTTTGCCTGGGCTGCGCCCTCTGCCTGAAACCCTCCTCCTCCAGGTACTTGCCTACTCTTGCCTCCTCCCAGATGCTGCCCAAACACCACCTTGTGGCCTCATGGGCCACCATCTTCAAAGCCATACAAAACCCCCAACCCACCGCAGCCACTTCGTTCCTTCTCCCTGGCACCTGTACTGTGCAGCGAGCTCCTGGTCTGTCTCCCCTGAGGCAGAGGCATCCTGCTGCACCCCTCGCCCCTTCCCCAGTGCTGAGCGCTGCCAGGCACACAGCGTCTGGGAGCAGGCGAATGAAGAGGCAGCCCAGAGCTGTCCACCTCACACGCCCAGGGCCAACGCCGGCCCCGCCGGTCTTACCCACCCTCCTGAAGTTGCTGACTGGGGCGCCCATGTCACCAGGTGCCCCCACGGTGACACCTGCCCTGGGCTCCCACCCTGACCCCCACCACTAGAGTGCCTCAGTTTCCCCAACTGGAACCAGGAGTCGGACAGTCCCAAGCTCAAGGGCTTACCACTGTAGGAGTCGGGAGGCCGAGACAGGTCAGGGAGGGTGCCTGGCTGGCTGGGGAGGGCCGCGTGGTTGTGCATGAGGCTGGTGCTGCCTGCGAGGCCGTCCTCGGGGTGGCTGCCTCCAACCTGCAGGCGTGGGGAGACGGGTGCATCAGGGGGAGCCGGGTCCCCGCCCACTGCCCAGCTCCACCCTCGCCCAGCGCTCACCAGGCCTGCGTGCCGCCCGCCCAGTGACATGGGGCCGGTGAAACCTGAGGCCAGCGCCCCGTGGCCAGGCAGCAGCGTGTGCATGTCGCCGGCTGTGCCCACGGCGTGGCTGCGGAGCACGTGGATGGCCTCGTCCAGGTGGTCTTCTATCTTACTCTGCTGCAGGGTGGGGGGATGGGTGGTGAGGGGCCCAAGCCGAGGGACCCCACAGGCCTCCATTCATGTCCCTTCCGCATGCAAGTGGCCGGTGGTCCCATCTTCCCCTTCCCCAGGAAGCTGCATATGCCAGGCATCTGGCGCCCGGGAGCACACACAAAATGTGTGTGCCTTGGCGGCCACGAGGCCTCAATAACAGCTTGGGGCTTATTTACAAGAAACTAACAAAAAGGTTTCTCCTTCTCAAGGAGCGTCTGTCCTGCAAATTCTGTCGGGGAAGGGTGGGGTGGGGCGGGGCAGGCACTCACCAGGCCGTGGAGACCCCCGTCGTAGCTGGGCGATAAGGCACCGGGGGCTCCTGCTCGAGGCCACTGTGACGTTCCTGGAAGGGAGTGGGGACGTGAATGGGGTGCGAGGGGCGGGGTGTGAGCATGGCCTGATGCCCATGGGGAGGGATTCATGAACCACCCCGCCTGTCCAGCCTCCGGTGATGCCCAAGATGGCCATTCCGGGGCACCCCACACTGATGCAAAGCTGCTCGGCCCCGCCAGGCAGGGATGCTGGGTGCCCAGTGGGTACTGCCATTCCTATCTCTGAGCCTCAGTTTCCCCATCTACAAAATCCAACTCCCCACTCAGAGGATAAAGTGGCTCGGCAGCACACAGTAGGGGGCTCCTCCCCATGCTGCCCCACCCTGGCTGACCCACGCTGGGCTCCAGCAGCAGGCAAGAAAGTGGCAAGCTCCAGGTGGGACCAGACAGGCCGAGGTGAAGTGAGGGTTCCTGGCGCTTCCCATGGGGGCAGAGATGAGGACTCACGGGTGTTTTTAAACACCCAGACCTTCTGGAAACCTCCAGTTCTCACTCCCCCTCCTCCTGTACCTGCCCCCGACCCCCTGCGGATAAGCAAGCACGTCCTCACAGGGATAGGAGGGTCTGCCCTCCCATGCCGGAGCACCGCACAGGGTAAACAGTCAGTACCTAATAAATACCCAGTGGGTGAGCAAATGGCAACACGCACACATTCTAGAGTCCAGGCCACAGCCCTGGCGATGCTGGCCCCATCGGACCTGGGAGCTGCTAGGCACGCCAATGTCCCCTCATGTTCACGCAGTGTGAACTGCCAGGTCCTGCCTCCTGGCTTTGCCTGTGCTGTGACCTAACCTGGACGCCACCTCCCAGCCCTCCCTCACTGCCTGGTTATGTGCTATAGCCTTGGAGGGCTGGCTTGGAGGCTGCCTCCACTAGGCAGCTTTCCTGGATTGCCCAGTGGAACACAAGCCCATGGGGGACTCCCTTCCACCGTCGGTTCCTGACCAGCGATGCCACGGGCCCTTGGGGGCCATCTGCTCCCTCCCCGCTGCCTGCCTATCCCAGCAAGGTGCAGACACCAGAACCAGCCTCCCCTCCCCCGCAAAGCCTTCACAGACCTCAGCCTCCCCTCCCCCCAAACCCTCACAGACCTCAGCCTCCCCTCCCCCCAAAACCCTCACAGACCTGCCAGGCCCTGGGGGGAGCCCACGGGGGTAGAAGGGCTGGACGAGAAGTTATTGCTTGAGTGATCCGGGGAGTAGATCTGCGAGGAGGACCAGGAGAGATGGGCGGTCAGGGGCCGGCCTCTCAGGTCACTTGCCTGGCCACCCCCCATGCCCCACGCCTCACCGAGGCCAGTGCTTTGCCGAGGGCATCCCCGGAGCTGCCAGCTGTGGTCCCTCGGGAGCCTGTGGGTGAAGAGAGGTGAGGCCCACGCAGCCCGGCCTGGGTGCTGCCGCCGACGGCAAGCTCTCCTGCGTTCTGCCGTCCTGCACAGACACTGCTGCGCCAGGGAGAGCAGCCTGACTCGGGTCCGGTTTCTGTCTGACCCCCTGAAACCAGCCTCTGCAGGGGTTGAGGCACTGGGGACAGGCCACTGGCAGGGGACCCTGGGTGGGTGAGTCCCCTTCTGGGCCTGGGTGGGTGAGTCCCCCTCTGGGCCTGGATGGGTGAGTCCCTCTCTGGGCCTGGGTAACTGAGTCCCTCTCTGGGCCTGGGTGGGTGAGTCCCTCTCTGGGCCTGGGTGGGTGAGTCCCTCTCTGACCCTGGGTGGGTGAGTCCCTCTCTGACCCTGGGTGGGTGAGTCCCTCTCTGAGCCTCTTTCCCAGCTGTAAGGCGGGAAAGCCGCTCCTCAAAGATCTGTTTCCAGACATCCCAAGCCCAACGCACGTGGCAGGCCCTGCAGACAGCGGACAATGAGAACTGACAACAACCCGCTCTCAGGGCCAGCAGACGCGCCTGCGCCTCCCGTGGAGTCCTCGCCACCCCCCACCCAGACCCTGCCTGGAGCCCAGTGTCCCCTCGGAGAGGCCGCATCCCAGGGAGGGGCCATACCCAGGAGGCTGTCGGCCCCGCTGACAGGCGGCGTGTGGCTGGAGACGCCGCCGTACGTGGCTCCGGGGGCTGAGGAGAAGGAGGATGCAGATGGGAGCCCACCGTTCACCTCTGCTCCATGCAGCTGGTAGCCCTGGGGGGTCAGGCAGGAGGAGGGTGGGTTAGATGGGCACTGCCACCCTCCGCCCACCCCCTGCCCCCTGCCCTGGGTCCTACCATACGCTCGTGCTGGTGCAGGCCACCAAACGTGCTGCTGCTTCCACTGCTGCCCACCGGGCCGCTACCGGGCGGGAGGGGCAGCGGGGATGAGCCCCCACCCAGCATGGGCCCGAAGCCCGCCTGGCCCGGGGGACTCCAGAGCTCGGCTGAGGGGTGCAGGCTGCCATCTGTGGAGGGGAGCTGGTAAGGTGGGGGCCGAGTGGGGAACCCCAGCCCTGCCCTACCGTCCCTGGCGAGCCCCCGCCCTGCCATGTACCTGCCACGTAGAAGGGGGCGGGATAGGTGCTGCTGGGGGTCTTGGCGGACGGGTAGGCGGTGGCATCCCTGCCGTAGTCCTCACCTGAGCTGGGTGGGTACACCTGCGGGCGGGTGGGCGGTGGGGGGTGCAGTCAGGACGGAGGGACCACGATCAGCCCATGCACCTTGCCGGCCTCCTGTCCCCTCCTGGTAGCACATCTACCACCCCGTTTCCCTTCCCTGTAAAGCCACCCCCCTTTAGGTAAATCCCAGCCCCTGGCCAAGTTTGAGGTTCTTATGATGTCCTGGTCTCTCTCTCCTACTCCTTTTCCAGCCCCCACCTCCCGCCTCCCTGAACTTCTGACCTTTGTACTTGAGGACTTGGATCTGGCTCTGCCTACTAAACCTTTTTCCTCCTTAATCCAGAAAACTCCTATCGACCCATCAAAACCCCAGCTCCAACACCCCATCCCATCCTTCTCCCTTGTTCCCCAGCTGGAATCAATCTTCCAGTGCTGAGCTTCCCTTGGTCCCAGAGCAACATTCGTCCTTCACTAAAGTAACAGGAAGAGGGGTCTGTGAGTAGCGCCAGCTCTGACTGGTTGGCACTGCCTGGACTGTGGGGCTGGGGCCTGTTGGTAACGTCTGCTGCTGTGCTGGAGCGGGAAGTATGCTGGGTGGGCCTGATGTTGTAATAAACTGGGGGGCGGTTTCAGGGCAGAGAAAGTGCACCCTGGGGAAGGAGGGGAGTGAGTGATACTGTTGGGAGCAGAGCCTGACCACGCCTTTGGCCTGGGAAGTCAACCTGACTCTAACCCCGAACCCAGGCCTGTGGGGAGCTGGTCGGCTGGAGGGGTGAGGAGATGTATGCCCAGGGCTCTTGGGGCCAGCACAGGCACTGGGCAGAGGGTGGTTGGTGGCTACTGAGCCAGGGAATCGGCAAATTCCCTCTCCCTCCAGCGAGATGAGACCGCAGGAGTGTGGCACAGCAGCCTGGACCATCTGCGAGGCCTGGTAGGGAGGCAGGGATGCGGGGCAGCCTGAAGCTGTGAGGATGTAACAGGGAGCCCCAATTGCGGCACCCCCCGCTTTTTTTTTTTTTTTTTTTGAGACAGAGTCTCACTCTGTTGCTCAGGCTGGAGGGCAGCGGCATGATCTTGGCTCACTGCAACCTCCGCCTCCTGGGTTCAAACGATTCTTCTGCCTCAGCCTCCCAAGTAGCTGGGATTACAGGCACGCACCACCACGCCCGGCTGATTTTTGTATTTTTAGTAGAGATGGGGTTTCACCATGTTGACTAGGCTGATCTAGAACTCCTGACCTCAGGTGATCCACCCACCTCGGCCTCCCAAAGCGCTGGGATGACAGGCATGAGCCACCACACCCAGCACAATTGTGCCCTTTCTAAAGGGGCCTCAGCCACCAGGACTGCCTTTCTCTCAAAACAAGACAGACAGAGGCTGGACCTAGGGAAGGACTTCCCCGCCTTCCCTTGGAGGCGGCCTCGGGTCAGAGCTCAGATCTTGGCTCAGAAATCACAGGGGGCCTGTCCACTCAGGGCCCACCCCGCCATGTGTGTTCCCAAGCTTCGCCAGGACACAGGGCCTGGCACTGCCACTGACGAGCTGTGGGGTCCCTTCTCCCTCGTGCGACTCACCGAGGATGGAAGACCCGGCGGGACCTTCCGGACCTTCTTGGGCTGCGTGTCTGTTAGAAGCAAAAGGGGTGAGAACCGGCCACCGGCCATGAGAACAACCCCTGCCCTACACCCTGGAGGAGAGACCCTCACAATTCCCGTTTCATATATTAAAAACCTCGGGTCGGCTGGGTGCGGTGCCTCATGCCTGTAATACCAGGACTTTGGGAGGCCAAGGCAGGCAGATCACGAGGTCAAGAGATCAAGACCATCCTGGCCAACACAGTGAAACCCCGTCTCTACTGAAAATACAAAAAGTAGCCGGGCGTGGTGGCGGGTGCCTATAATTCCAGCTACTCGGGAGGCCGAGGCAGGAGAATCACTTGAACCCGGGAGGCAGAGGCTGCAGTGAGCCGAGATCGTGTCACTGCACTCCAGCCTGGGGACAGAGAAAGACTCCGTCTCAAAACACAACAGCAGCAGCAGCAACAACAACAAAAAGCCCCGGGTCTATTTATACGGCTCCAAAGATGTCGAAGAACCACGATGGTTTTCTCCCGCGACGCGCAGTTTGGAAAACGAGGAGTTGGTGGATTCTAAGCCAAGGCTCTGCTGAGAAGCCCCTTGGCCCCACCCTCCTTCCAAGATGGCCCCGACTATCCCACGCAGTCAGGCTTCACCACTAGGGGCTGCTGTTTGCAAACTCGCCTACAGGATAAAATCCGTAACCCGGAAACCAGCACTCAGGCGCCTTCCTGATCACTCACGGACGTGCGCACAGTGGGAAAAGTTCGAGTGGCCCAGGCGCATGTGCCCAGCCAAGGCGGAACAGAGGCCTCCTCCCGCATCATGGGGCTCCTGTCCTTGGTCTATTCAGAGCCACGATCTTTTACGTTTTTGTGCTTTTTGTGGGTGATTTCACGCTTATTTTTTTCAGGCAGGGTCTTGCGCTGTTGCTCAGGCTGGAGTACAATGGTGCGATCGCAGCTCATTGCAGCCTCGAACTCCCAGGGTCAAACCATCCTCCTGCCTCAGCCTCCTGAGTAGCTGGGACCACAGGTGTGTGCCACCATACTTAGCTAATTTTTAAAATTTTTCGCAAAGATGGGATCTCCCTATGTTGCCCAGAATGGTTTGCAACTTTTGGCCTCAAGTGATCCTCCTGTCTCGGCCTCCAGAGAAGCTGGGACCCCAGGTGAGTGCCGCCATGCCTGGCGACTGTGCTGCCTGGAATGGGCCCCGGGTAGTTCAAGGCGCCGTCCAGTGCTCCTGAGCCCGAGGCTGTGACGTGCCTCGCGGGGGATGCCCGCGTGTGCAGCAGGGCTCAGTGCAGAGGAGCCACGATGCAGCCCCATGAGGCATCTGACACAGAAAGCACATGGCAGAGCCCGTGCCCGTCAGCTGCAGGAACCTCGGGACCAGAGGCTCGTAGGAACCTCTCCCTGGACGTGCCACGCCCGCCGGCCCCTGCCTCGACCCCCCGTCACCGTCCATCCCTCCCACGGCCCGAGCGCCCGACGTCCAGCCAGGACCTGGAAGGTGCGGGGTCTGCTCCCTCTGGTGCCCTCAGCTAACGGGAAGCCTCCTACCTCCCTTTGCAGGCTCCCTCCCAGAAGCCCCCGATGCCCCGGCCAGACCCCGCTCACCTAGGCTGCCGTCTGCCGCTCTCCGCCGGGAGCTGCCGGAGTAGGAGGGGTAGTACTGGGAGGTCCCCTTCATGCCCGAAGGGGACAGGGGCCCGGGGCTGTTGAGGGCCAGCTCGCCTGACAGGAAGCCAGCCTGGTGGGGAGCGGATGGTCAGAAAGCGCCCAGCTGGCATCCAGACCCCAGGCTGTTCCATTCAAGAAAAAACTGCAAAGGCCGAAGCCACTCAGACCCGCCCTGCAGTGGGTGATGCCCCTTCTGCCTGTCACGGTGTTTCTCTGTGACACCTGCTGTGTTTTTCTGACTTGAGACTGACCGCATCCCACACTGCTGTTTTCACGAAGAACGAAAGACTGAGAAACAGATACCAGTGTGGCCAACCCAAGGGGCTGCTCCCCCGATTCTGAGACGCAAAGTACAAAGCTGCGTGGCTAAGCGTCTGTGCACCCGGCTGCTTCCTATCTTTTTGGTTTTGTTTTGTAAAGCCCTCGGTTGGATTCTGTACATGTTAGTGTGAAACGGGCTTTCTTCCTGGGGAGCCAGGGCTGCCCTGAGCCGGGTCCCGGAACTGACTCCTGCATTTCATCCGTTCTAAGGCCGGGCACGGTGGCTCACACCTATTATCCCAGTACTTTGGGAGGCTGAGGCGGGCGGATCACCTGAGGTCGGGAGTTCAAGACCAGCCTGACCAACATGGAGAAACTCCGTCTCTACAAAGAATACAAAATTAGCCGGGTATGGTGGCACATGCCTGTAATCCCAGCTACTCAAAAGGCTGAGGCAGGAGAATCGCTTGAACCCAGGAGACAGAGGTTGCGGTGAGCCAAGATTGCGCCATTGAACTCCAGCCTGGGCCATGAGCGAAACTCCGTCTCAAAAAAAAAAAAAAGAATCATCTGTTCTATCATCATCCAGTGGCCCCACGGGGTGGCCCAGCGCCCAGGACAGGGCCTTCTCCCGAGGCCCGGCCTGTCCTGAGCCCGCACCCTGTGTGGCCACCGCGGGGCTCGATGAGTCACCCGGGAGCGCCAGAGAGCAGGGCCCGAGCCCTAGTTCTGCTTCTCGGATGGGGAGCCCGGGCACTTGCGTATTCCTGTCTGTAAAATGGGCACGTAGGCCGCGGCCCCTCGTTGCGGGGACTGATAGGGAAACGCGCATCTGCCCCTGGCGCAGAGCCTGGCACCCGGCTGGCCCCCTCCATCACTATGGCTACTGTTGCTCTGGCTTGGGCACAGTGAGCACACAGACGGCCCCACCTGTGACAAGGCCGAGCCCCACCGAGAGCTAGGAGCTGACGGCGGGGACAGAGATGAAGTCCTGGGGTGAGGGAGGAACCCTGGGGGTGCCCAGCACCGGAGGCTGCATGGGACCCCTGTGGCTGGTCACAGCCCCCAACATCCTCCCCCAGCCTCACAACCAGGGCCAGCGTGGGTGAGGATCTCGGCTGCACAGGGGCCTGTTGTATGGGCTCCCCAGGGGGTCCACACCTGCAAAGCCCTGCTGCATGGCCTGTTTTCCTGCCTGCCACTCAGAGGAGAGGGCAACCGAGCCCCTCCAGCTAAGCATGGCAGCCCTGCAGGCCTTGGCCTCCCTGGTCCTCACCTACCTCCCCTCTGCTCCCGGTCCACACCCACCCAGCCCACCCTGGCCCAAGCCCAGCCTGGTTTCGCTATCAGGAAGCAAACATAACCTAGCTAAGCCAGGAGAGCTTCTGCAGATCAGAGAGGGTGGGTGACAGATTTGTTTAAAATCAAAATACACCCCAGCCCGGCCCGAGCCCCTCACCTGAGTCAGGCCGCCCACGCCTGCGTCTCTCCCGAAGGAGGCATAGGCGCCCCGCTCACCGCTCTTGCCTGCAAGGGGAGAAGGAAGGTTAGTGGGAGGCGACCCCAAGGAACATCCTGAGGGCCCCCGAGTGCCTGCCATGTGCCTACAATAGGCTCTCAGTAAGTGCACACGACTGAGAGCGCCACGGCAGGATGCTGGCAGAGCCTGACCCCAGTGTGCCCATCTCGGGGAGCCCTGGCCCCAGTATGCCCATCTCCCGCAGAGCCCTGCCCTCAGTGTGCCCATCTCCTGCCCAATGACAGGCTTGGGGACAAGAAGGGGTCCCCGATGATTTCGGGGCCAACTCTGAGCATCTGCAGCCCACAGAAGCCCTGCCCAGGGGGTGGGGCGGAAAGGGGACAGCAGAGCTCACGGGGTGAGGTGGGAAGGGGACAGCAGAGCTCACAGGGGGTGAGGCGGGAAGGGGACAGCAGAGCTCACAGGGGGTGAGGCGGGAAGGGGACAGCAGAGCTCACAGGGGGTGAGGCGGGAAGGGGACAGCAGAGCTCACAGGGGGTGAGGCGGGAAGGGGACAGCAGAGCTCACAGGGGATGAGGCGGGAAGGGGACAGCAGAGCTCACGGGGTGAGGCGGGAAGGGGACAGCAGAGCTCACAGGGGGTGAGGCGGGAAGGGGACAGCAGAGCTCACAGGGGGTGAGGCGGGAAGGGGACAGCAGAGCTCACGGGGGTGAGGCGGGAAGGGGACAGCAGAGCTCACAGGGGATGAGGCGGGAAGGGGACAGCAGAACTCACGGGGTGAGGCGGGAAGGGGACAGCAGAGCTCACGGGGTGAGGCGGGAAGGGGACAGCAGAGCTCACAGGGGGTGAGGCGGGAAGGGGACAGCAGAGCTCACGGGGGTGAGGCGGGAAGGGGACAGCAGAGCTCACGGGGTGAGGCGGGAAGGGGACAGCAGAGCTCACAGGGGATGAGGCGGGAAGGGGACAGCAGAGCTCACAGGGGGTGAGGCGGGAAGGGGACAGCAGAACTCACGGGGTGAGGCGGGAAGGGGACAGCAGAGCTCACAGGGGGTGAGGCGGAAAGGGGACAGCAGAGCTCACAGGGGATGAGGCGGGAAGGGGACAGCAGAGCTCACAGGGGGTGAGGCGGGAAGGGGACAGCAGAGCTCACGGGGGTGAGGCGGGAAGGGGACAGCAGAGCTCACGGGGGTGGGGCAGGAAGGGGACAGCAGAGCTCACAGGGGGTGAGGCGGGAAGGGGACAGCAGAACTCACGGGGTGAGGCGGGAAGGGGACAGCAGAGCTCACAGGGGGTGAGGCGGAAAGGGGACAGCAGAGCTCACAGGGGATGAGGCGGGAAGGGGACAGCAGAGCTCACAGGGGGTGAGGCGGGAAGGGGACAGCAGAGCTCACAGGGGATGAGGCGGGAAGGGGACAGCAGAACTCACGGGGTGAGGCGGGAAGGGGACAGCAGAGCTCACGGGGTGAGGCGGGAAGGGGACAGCAGAGCTCACGGGGTGAGGCGGGAAGGGGACAGCAGAACTCACGGGGTGAGGCGGGAAGGGGACAGCAGAGCTCACGGGGTGAGGCGGGAAGGGGACAGCAGAGCTCACAGGGGGTGAGGCGGGAAGGGGACAGCAGAGCTCACGGGGGTGAGGCGGGAAGGGGACAGCAGAGCTCACGGGGTGAGGCGGGAAGGGGACAGCAGAGCTCACGGGGTGAGGCGGGAAGGGGACAGCAGAGCTCACGGGGTGAGGCGGGAAGGGGACAGCAGAGCTCACAGTGGCCCTGCTTCCTGCTGGCCAGGCCCCTGCCCTTCCTGAGCCTCAGTTTCCTCTGTTTCAGGCGTTGAGGGGCTGATGCCCTGGGGTGCTGGGGTCAGAGGCATTTGTCTGTCCCAGGGGACAGGCCTGGGGGCCCTGGCGGGGAGCCCCGGGGCCTGTGCACACCGCATCAGGTTCACCGCACAGGCTCCCCCAAAGTGCCCAGCATTCAGCCTTCAGGCCAGGGTTCATTCGCGAATGAGCACGTGACCTGCACCCCACCAATGAGCACTTCCCTGGGGCGCTCAGTGACAAAGGACAGGTGAGGCCTCGGGGCTACGGAGGGGGTCAGCTGGCCAGGGCGAGCCCCCAGCATGGAAGGCCTGGGCTACGGAGGGGAACAGCTGGCCAAGGCGAGCCCCCAGCATGGAGGGCCTGGGCTACGGAGGAGGACAGCCTGCCGGGGCGAGCCCCCAGTGTGGAGGGCCTGGGGCTGATGCGGTGACACCTGGATCCAGCCTTGCCTGAAGCAGGCACCCCGATTACTCAGGACCTGAGCCACTTAAATCCCCTTCTGGCTGACACTGGGCACGGAATGTGACTGGGGCTGCTGTGAGGGGCTGGGACGCGCGATCGAGTAATGTACATTATTCTCAAAGCAGGAAAAAAATTTCCCGATTTTTGAATTTTAAAAGTTCAACGATTTCCCAACTCCTGGAACAAATGCTGCTGTTTTTTGCCTCCCGTTTCCTCATCTTGGTGACCCGGGGGGACATGGGGAAGATGACAGCCACGACCCACCCCACAGGCCACACCCGGCCACAGCAGTCACTCGCCCGGCTCCTCGGGTGAGAAAACTGAGGCCATAGGAGACTGAGGTTATGGCAAAAGCCCCCCGTGCCTCCCCGGGACCCCCGCCTGCCCTCTCCAAGCTGCCTGGCTATGGCCTGGGCCCCACCCGTGGGGGTGGCAGGTGGGACATGGCTGGGCTCTGGGCATTGCTGGCCGGGCCGTGGGAACTGCCCACGTCAGCCCTGCCCACCCTGGGGCCATCGGGGGTATGAGGAAGAGGCTGGGAGGAAGGAACAGCCAGTGAGGAACCAGGCTCCCAGGTGCAGGGGCCACCCCCGGCAGGGGGGCGGGGCCAGGCCTCACCTACCCCGTAAGGGGAACGGGCAGAAATCGCCCGTGGCACGTGGTGGGCCCTCAGACACACCCGCCAGACCTTCACGCTATTCGCTTCCTACTCAGGACACCAACTGACTCTACTGTACTCCAAGTTCGAGGCCGGGCAAAGCGAGACAGGACCGTCCCTGCCCCGCTGTGGGGCCCAAACAGGCGCTGCCCCTCAGGGTCCAGGGAAAAGGCTGGGTCGGCCAAAGTCCTCCGGGCCTCAGTTTCCCCGCAAGCCAACAATGCCGAGGGGTACACGGTGAGCACCTGGGCCCCGCAGCAGGTCCAGTGCCCCACAGCTCCCGGCTTCTAAGCAGCGCACACCCCCACTGCACCACGAAAAGCCAGCAGAAACACTGCCTCAAACCGTCGGGTTCCAGAGAAGGGAAGGATCCCGCATCCCAGGATGACTGAGGGATGAAACCACAAATTCCACAGCTGAGGCACTGGGGCAGGAGGCTGACCACGACAGCGGGACCCCTGAGGCCCTTACCAGCCCCCCAAGCAGCGGGACCCCCCCAAGACCCCTACCTGAGCCCCCGAACCCTGGGGCACAGGACTTGACACTCCCGCAGGAGGCGGAGCATGTGAAGCTCGGGGCATTTCCTGTGTCACCCGCAGGAGGGACCGCACACGGGACACTGTCCCAGTCGCAGCCCCAGGTGCCTGGAGGAGGGCGTCCCAGTCAGCCCCACCCAGCCGCAGACCCCCGGCCAGGGTGCCCTTCCCAAGCGTCGGTTCGTTCCCCTGCAGCACGGGTGAGCCTGCAGCGGGGCTGGAATATACCCAAGACCAGGCACCAACCCCCACCTGGCATTGGGCAGGGCCTGCAGAGCTGGGTCAGTCCTCACCGCCTCCCTCCAAGAAGGTTCTGGGAGGGTCCCTTTCCCACAGTGGGGAAACTGAGGCTCAGAAGAGGATGGCGCTTGCCCAGGTTCCGTGGTGGGGTGGGACCAGACACCAGGCCTGAGTCTTCATTCTTTTTTTTTTTTTAAGATGGAATCTCGCTCCATCACCCAGGCTGGAGGGCAATGGCGTGATCTCGGCTCACTGCAGCCTCCACCTCCTGGGTTCAAGCAATTCTCCTGCCTCAGCCTCCTGAGTAGTTGGCACTATAAGCATCCAACACCATGACCGGCTAATTTTTGTGTTTTTGGTAGAAGCGGGGTTTCACCATGTTGGCCAGGCTGGTCTCAAACTCCTGACCTCAGGTGATCCACCCACCTCGCTCTCCCAAAGTGCTGGTATTACAGGCGTGAGCCACCGAGCCCAACCTGAGTCACGATTCTCTCGGTTAACAGGAGGGCCCCCCAGGGAAAGAGGGCGGGCGGGCGGTCTGCGGAAGGGCATGGGCTCTGACCACCGCACACTCTGGCCGCCCTCCCGAGTCTCCAGAACTCCTACGCCTCCTTCCCAGCGGGCACAGGCCAGCCCGGCTGACCCCTCCCCGGGAAGCAGGAGGAGCCCTGCAGAAATCCCAGGGAGGAAGTGGGGTCTGGAACGGCCTCCCTGCCTCTACGCTCAGGCGGGGAAGCCTAGTTGCAGAGTGCCGTGCCAGGGAGTCCGGGCCACGTCCCCTGCACCTCCCCGCAGCTGCTCCCAGGACGGGCAGAGGCTTCGGCTGTCCACACCCTCTGGGTGAACGCTGGGGACTTGCCTGGCGCTGTGCGTGCACTGACCATGCCAAGGCCCACGTCTGCACATCTGTGCACAGCAGAGGGACCGCACCAGGCCAGGCACTCACCTCCGAGTCCCGGTCCCAGGAATGTGGATGAAGAGAGGCTGCTGTGCGACTCAGTGAAGTGGGTGCCCTCGCTGAAGGTCTAGGGGAGATGGGGTGGGGATGAGAGGTGCTGGGGCTTCACAGGCCCCCCCTCCACCCCGCATTACAGCTGGAGAGGCAGGACTCAAACCCATGTCCCCCAGTCCAAACCCCTGGAAGGCTGGCCCCTTCTCTCAGCCTCAGTTTCCCCACACCCCTCGCCCCCAACTCTGGGGACAGGAAACTCAGGGTCTCAGGCCTCACGGGGACTCCTACCCGGCTGGGGTCAAAGGAGGAGCTGCTCTGGTCGCCGCTGCCCCAGGAGCCTGAGCTGGGCCGGTCCTCAAGACCTGCAGGCAGGACAGAGAGAGTTATGGGTCACCCTCACGCCTGCCCAGCTCTAAAAGCTTCGGTTCATCATCTCAGGGGCAAACCTCAGTGGACCCGGGGGGCTTGTGGAACCCTTCCTAACCCAGCCTCACCCAGCCCGACTCATGAGGACACCAGTCAGCAGCTAACACCCAGACACCCTGGGACTCGGAGCACTTACAGGTCCATAAACTTAAATTAACTCTTCCGTCGGCTCTCTGCTGGCCAACTCCTACCCACCCACTAAAGCCCCAGCTTTCATACCCTCCTTGGGCAAAGACCTCACTCTCACGCCGAGCCTCCTCCCCATCAGCCCCAAGTCCCTCCCTCTGGCCCAGCCCTGACTATGTGGACTGGGGTCTCTGTGTCAGATGCAGACTCTTCTGACCCTGTGAGAAAGGCTCATGACAGCATGAGGGTGTGGAAGCTAACCCATGAGCTCTGGGGAGGCCCAGGGTCTCCCTGTCCCCACCTGCCAGTGTGGGAAGTGGGGCCGCCCTTTGCTGAAGCAGCAGCAGAGGCTCACCCATCGGGCAGGAGGCTGGCAGCCCGTGAGGGTGGAGCCGAATCTCATCACCCAGGAACAAGCCCAGTGTGGAGACCAGAAGCCTGCGTGGGGCAGGAGTTCCCGGCGCAGCAAGGGACGGGACGAGGACCTTGGTCCCGGGGCGGGGCGGGCGGGGCCCTTATCTCTCAGAACACTCACAGGCAACGCCCAGGACTCCAGAATCTTCTGCCCTGGGCAGGGAGGGCCTGCTTGGATCCTTCCCCCTTCCATCGGGGGCCACAGAGCACACCCGTGGAGAAGCAGGAGCGGGCCCTGGGCCTCCTCAGCTTGGCCACGGAGTTGCTGCCCTGCCTTGGTTTCCCTCTCTATAAATGATTTACAAACAGGCCCTACTTTTGCAGGGCTGGGGGTGTCCATGTCCAACTCCCAAGTCCAGAGGCTTCCCGAGAGCCAGGCCTGGGGGACCCAGCCCAGTGCTGATGTCTGTGACCGGCACCACCTCAGGCTGTTCTGCAGGCTCCCCCGCCCCGCCCCCTGCCCTCCCTGCTCATCCACACCAGAAACTTCTTTCAAATCGCATCCTTCTATTTCGGTGCCTTTGTGTTAATCATTCCCCCCGGGGAGTATTGGTGTTTAATTGCTGTCTGATTTGCATAATTATGCATATTAATCTCCAAGTCTAATGAATATTCATGCGCCTCATTTAGATTTTGTTTTCTAATCAAAAATTTCCAATGTGATTATGAGTGGGGGGCTGGGATGCTGCCTTGGCTGGGTTGGGGGCCAGGCAGGGGGCTCCTGTGGTCTCCAGGAATCCACACGGCATTCGCTGCCAGGTCTGGGCCATCTGCACCCCAAGATCCTGGTCCTGCACGTGGGCCCTGGTGAACAGGGCAGCTGCTGAGGCCAGGGTGGGCTGGCTGTGTAGGGGTGGGCACAGCGCCGGCACCCTCTGGGTCTCAGTTTGCCTCTATACCACCTGCATGTTGTCTGGTCCCCTCCGGCCATAGCCAGTACCCCAGGAGGTGCAGAGACCCCCAACTGAGCAAACGGGAGGCTCCTGGCACCCCAGCCCTCATCCCCTGGAAGGCCTGGTGTGGTGGGGGACCTCCTGGGGCCCCATGCCCAGGGATCGCCCCCGAAGTTCACTCCAACAGGCCTGTGCCAGAGGCACTGCGGCCTCAATCTGCCCTTTGGGGGAACCCTCCCTCACCCAGCCTTGGCCTCCTCCTAGAAATGACAAAAATAAGGACAGCCCCCACATTAATACAGTTATTAAAATCCCCCCCACCGATTAATGATGCATTTTAATAACCCACCATGAATATTCATAATGCATCCATTGCTCCTGTTCTAATTAAAATGTACTAATAGAATAAGACACTGCTGTCAGAGTGTGGTTTTCTGTGATTTCTTTGGTGAAGCACCGCAGAGTTTTACCCGGGAAGGGCACCTTCCTGCCCTGGGCCAGCCTGGCTGCCTCGGGAGAGGCCTGCGAGTGGACGGCGCAGGGGCGCTGGGGAGAGGGCCCCAGGAGCGGCCCACCCCTTGGGCTTCAGTTCCAATTCCAGTCACGGGGTGTGGAAGCCGCCCACCTGCCTGGGCTGCCGTGAGGATAACAATGAAAGATGCTGCTTCAGAGAGGCCATCCGTAGCCAAGGAATGCTCCAGGCTGGTGGTTTCCCAGTCCCGGTCCCTGTTGGGTCCCCTCCTGAGAGGGACCGGGGACTGGTCTTTGCCTGGTGGCTCGTTGGCAAATGGGAGAGGGAGGCTTCAAAAGGCGCTTAGTAAATACCGGGTAGGACTGAGATTGGTCTGCAGCAGGGATCTGCAAACAGTACACAAGGACCAAGTCTGGCCCCTAAGCTGCTTTTTAAATAAAGTTTTATTGGCACACACTATGCCCGTTTGTCCATGTACTATCAACGGCTGCTTTTGCTGCAACAGTAGAGTTGAATCAATTCCAATAGAGACCATCTGTCCTGCACAGCCAACAATATTCACTCCTTGGTCCTTTCCGGAGAAGGCTGGCTGACCTTGATACAGAAAAAGACTGTCCAAGTGCCTTCAGCTGCCTCTGCACAAGAAACCCAATCGACAGACTTCAGTACCAGGAGTGGGGTTACCATGCCGGGCAGGCAAAACTATTGGTGGACACGGGCCCTGAACACAGCCCTGTGTACCGCCCCTGCCAAACCCTCAGGCACACCACCAGGTGGTCTGGCTTCAGATGGGCCTGGGGACTTCATCCTATAGCCCCAGCTCTGCAATGTGCCCCCACTCAGGTGCTCAGGCTAAAGTCCTGGGAGTCCTCCTCACCTTCCCTCCTCCCAAAGAACAGCAGCTTGCCCCATAGCTACAGCAGCGGGTTAAGCCCAGTCCCTGCAGCAGCTTCCTTCCAAGTCTGCTGACATCCTCAGGCAGCCGGATGGAGCCTTTAGAAGCAAAACTTGGCTCTTCTCCCTCCCTCTACCCTCTCTCATGGCTCCCCACCGTCCTCAGGATAAAGACCAAACTCTTTCCTGATCTCACCACTCTCCTCTTCCCCAACACAGGAGGTGACCCCCACCCACACCCCCTGCCTGAGCCCCTTCCCAGCCTGGGACCCCTCTTTGTCTGCAGCACTGCCTGGAACACAGCTGACGCCCCCAAAACACCCACCCTCAACGTCTTCATTTTACTCATAAATAACTGTGCTTCCAAGAACATTTTCCTGGAGGATCAAAATATTCTCCACCTCTGCTGTCCAATACGGGGACCACACTACCAACTGCTGGAAACGTGGCCAGCATTTTTTCAAGCACATTAAAAATTACATTTAAAAATGTGTATATGGCTAATGCCTGCTGTACTGAACAACCCAGTCCCCAAAAGCAAATGAAATAACAGCCACCACCAAATACCACGGTCACGTCTAAAAACCAATTAACACCTCGACAGCTCCTCACGCAGGTTCCGTTTACTCGGGAGTAGGAGCGGGCCACCCGATACAGGGTCACTATGACCCCCCAAGCCCGTGCCTCGCCCCGTCTCTTCTTCCTCCTTATAATTAAAATCGTGAAGGACCCCGATGGCAGCCTGTCCCACCGCCCTGCCTGGGTCTGGCCCCTGCAGCTTGTGATGCTTCTCAGACCCATTCCCAGCCCCTCTGGGGGTCATGACGGGTGAGATCAGACAGAGGTTTGAATCCGGGGGTGGCCTTTCCTTGGGTGGAGCAGTATTTTAAAAAATTTTTTTTTTCTTTTGCTTTGAGACAGGGTCTTGTTGCCCAGGCTGGAGTGCAGTGGTGCGATCTTGGCTCACTGCAACCTCCGCCTCCTGGGTTCAAGTGATTTTCCCGCCTCAGCCTCCCACGTAGCTGGGACTACAGGAGCCTGCCACCACGCACAGCTAATTTTTGTATTTTTAGTAGAGACGGGGTTTCATACATGTTGGCCAGGCTGGTCTTGAATCCCAGACCTCAAGTGATCCGTCTGCCTCAGACTCCCAAAGTGCTGGGATTACAGGCATGAGCCACAACGCCTGGTGAATTTAAAAAAATTTTTTTGTAGAGATGGGGTCTCACTACATTGCCCAGGCTGGTCTCAAACTCCTGGACTCAGGCGCTCCTCCCACCTTGTATTTCCCAAAGCCCTGGGGTCACAGGCGTGCACAGCCTCCATTTTATCTAAATTCAAGCTATGGGAGAAGATGAAAGACCAGGATGCCCTCGGCCCAGCTCGCGCACTGCAGCCGCCCTGGGTTTATCTTCCTGTCGTGTCTTCTTGGTCAGGGCCCGCAGGCTGTGTAGCACATGCTCCCAGCTTCTGAGGAGGATCCCGAGTGGGGGAGAAAATGCTTCTGGGGCACCACAGAGCCCTTCCTTGTTGGGGGGCTGACGAGATCCCGCAAAGCCTCCCACTTCGATCTGCCTCTAATGTCTGGCGATGGGGGGTGGGACAGCAGGGCCCTGTGGCCCGCCCGCGAGCAGACAAACCTGAGGCTGAAGAGAATGTGAGTGGAGACCACACACCACCCTAAGAGTGGGGGTCCCCACAGCACCTAAAGTGGCAGGACGTGCCCTCGGGTAGAGGCACAGTGAGGCTGTGCGGGCAACACAGGCAACCTCCTCCGCCAGAACCGGGGACGCCTCGCAACCTCCTCCACCAGCACGGGGGACAACCTCCTCCGCCAGAACCGGGGACAACTGGCAACCTCCTCCACCAGAAGCGGGGACAACCTCCTCCACCAGAACCAGGGACAAGCTCCTCCCCCAGAACCAGGGGCGCCTCGCAACCTCCTCCACCAGAACCGAGGACGCCTGGCAACCTCCTCCACCAGAACCGAGGACGCCTGGCAACCTCCTCCACCAGAACCGGGGATGCCTGGCAACCTCCTCTACCAGAACCGAGGACAACCTCCTCCACCAGAACCAGGGACAACCTTCTCCCCCAGAAGCAGGGGCGCCTTGCAACCCCGCTCCCCCAAGGCCCTGGGGTTTCCCTGGAGGGCAGAGCTGGCCCCGAGAGTGGGCATCGAGCACAGATGTTAAGTAACAACTCAGAGAAACAGGGCCCCGCTTTGAATTTCAGTGACCACAGAGATAACCGAGACCCCATCCCGCTCTTGCTTCCATGTCTATGGGCATCACCAGTGACACCTGAGTGTGGGGACCGGAGAACCTGCCCCTCAAAACAAGCTCAGAAACCAACCCGGGGCCGGGCACGGTGGCTCACGCCTGTAATCCCAGCACTTTGGGAGGCCAAGGCGGGCGGATCACGAGGTCCAGAAATCAAGACCATGCTGGCCAACAGGGTGAAACCCCCGTCTCTACTAAAAATACAAAAATTAGCTGGGCGTGGTGGTGGGCACCTGTAGTACCAGCTACTCGGGAGGCTGAGGCAGGAGAATGGCGCGAACCCGGGAGGCAGAGCTTGCAGTGAGCCGAGATCGTGCCACTGCACTCCAGCCTGGGCAATAGAGCGAGACTCCACCTCAAAAAAAAAAGAAAAAGAAAAAGAGACACAAGAGGGAACCCAACATGGAACAAAAAGGATGAAGTTCAAGAAGTTCAATGATTTACCCTAAAAAACGAGAAGACTGTCTTAAGCCTGTAAGCCCCATGGATCCTCAAAGAAATGGCAGAGCCTGGGGGTTCTATGGAATGAAGTAGACAGTGAGCACATTTAATTACGAATCAAGAGATTCCTAGAAGCCGTAACAAGACAGGCACACAAGGAAAGCCCTCTGGGGGCACTTTGTGAGTTCTCTCTCATTTCACTGAATCCTTGCAGTGGCTACATTACCCCTACCCTACAGATAAGGAAACTGACGCAAAAGATAGATGCCATTTGCTCAAGCCCTCACAGTAAGTAGCAAAGTCACTATTTAATGATACAAATGTTTCCTAGTAAGATGCAAATACACAATTATGAACAGATACAATGTTTTTTTGTTTTTTTTGTTTGTTTGTTTGAGACTGAGTCTGGCTCTGTCGCCCAGGCTGGACTACAGGCGCCCACCACCGCGCCCGGCTAATTTTTTTGTATTTTTAACAGATACGGCATTTCACCGTGTTAACCAGGATGGTCTCGATCTCCTGACCTCATGATCCGCTGGCCTCGGACAATGTTTTTTAAAAGTAGCAATTTATTGGTAGCAAATACCAGCAGGGAAGAGAAATATACAGGCTCAATTTTCACCTTCTCACAGAAGGGGGCAGATGCGATTTCACTTCGGACGTTGAGAGCGCGAGAAACGGCGTGTTTAAACGTGTTCTTCACAACGCAGAATACTAACCGCTATTCAATCACGGCCTTAAACGTGTTATTCAAAACTAGAAAAGAACCACTGGCAGAGCCGCAAAGCGGTACAGAGCTTCAGAAAACACACACCGGGGGAAGCAATCCGGAGTTGGGAGCACACAGATGGAAAAACAAAATAAGACGATGGAAGGAAAAGCTGAGAACGAAGATGGACGGGTGCTTAACGTCTTTAATCTGAAAACACGGTGCCGACCAAAGACAGTTTTGAAACAAGCGACTCAGGAGATACAACCAGGAGCACAAAGATCTGCCAAGCCACACCAACAAAAAGGAAGGGTTGCAACCTTCATATCGAAGTTTCAATTCAAGGGAGGTTTCTTTTTCTGAGACAGAGTCTCGCTGTGTCGCCCAGGGTGGAGTGCGGTGGCGCGATCTCAGCTCACTGCAACCTCTGCCTCCCAGGTTCAAGTGATTCTCCTGCCTCAGCCTCCCGAGCAGCTGGGATTGCAGGCACCTGCTACCATGCCTGGCTAATTTTTTATATTTTAGTAGAGATGGAGTTTCGCCCTGTGGGCCAGGCTGGTCTTGAACTCCTGACCTCAGAAGATCCACCTGCCTTGGCCTCCCAAAGTGCTGGGATTACAGGCATGAGCCACCACCACCAGCCAAGGAACGGATTTTTTTGTTGTTGACAATGGCTCGACCCACAACGAAATCCCACTGTCTCAGCCCACACAAGCCCACAATCCTGGCATCTAAATACGTCAACAGAGAAACCGACAAACAGAACAGAGGGGGATGGCGCTGCTCTCAGCCTGACATTAAACAGATTAAAAATCTAAATATGGTTCAAAGGCCTCGCAGCTCCACATCCAACTATCCCTCAAGTACTCACAAAGAAGGACAAAAATAATCCATGTTTCAGCCTCGGCAGAGGAGCTCTGCGTCCTCCAAACAGTAGCTACCGTTTAAGCCAAAGCTGAGTTTTGGCACTGGAGATCTAGAAATCAAGAAAGGACCTCCAACTTGGAACTCAGAAACCTCTGAAGCAACCTGACCTGAAGAGGAAATTAGGAAAAAAAAAAAAAAAAAAAAAAAGGAACAAATGTCAGTAATATGAGAAAAACATGCATTATGGAAACCAATGGGATGGGGTTCACGGGGTGGAACCCTCAACACCACACTGATGGAACAGAAGAGGGCAGAAGTCAGCAAAAGGGGCCTGTGATCTGAAAGTCACCAAAAACTTTAGAAAGAGAAGAAATGCCGATAAAGAGGAAAATTGATCAATTGATCAATATCGATTTGCCAATGAAGCAGATTCTCCAGAAGAAAAATCAACGAGAGAGAGAAAATGCACAGGGCAGCCGAGTCAAGAACAAAGAAACCACCTAAAAGTTGGCGCATTGAGGACCGCGGCGCCCTCAGCCTCCCTGCGCAGGTGGAAAGACAGGCGCCTCCAAACGTTATCAAAGAGCCGAACGGGGCCAGGCGCAGAGGGTCAGGCCTGGAATCCCAGCACTTTTGGCACGGGTGGACAGACAGGCGCCTACAAACATTATCAAACAGCCAAATGAGGCCGGGCTCGGTGGCTCATGCCTGTAATCCCAGCACTTTGGGAGGCCGAGGCGGGAGGATCACCAGGTCAGGAGACCGAGACTGTCCTGGCTAACACGGTGAAACCCTGCCTCTACTAAAAATACAAAAAATTAGCGCAATGGTTACTAAACTCTCTAAGTTTCAGCTTCTTTACCAGTAAAATACGGTAATAATTACACCTATTTCGCTAACCTGTTAGAACTGAGAATTCCCAGTGAATAAGCCAAGCTTTGTGTCCAATGCACAGTGCTCAAGAAACACTGATGTAAGCAGTGGCTCACACCTGTAATCCCAGCACTTCGGGAGGCCGAGGCGGGCGGATCACAAGGTCAGGAGATGGAGACCATCCTGGCTAACAAGGTGAAACCCCGTCTCTACTAAAAATACAAAAACTTAGCCGGCACCTGTAGTCCCAGCTACTAGGGAGGCTAGGCAGGAGAATGGCGTGAACCTGGGAGGCGGAGCTTGCAGTGAGCTGAGATCACGCCACTGCACCCCAGCCTGGGTGACAGAGCATGACTCCGTCTCAAAAAAAAAAAAAAAGTGATGTAAATTGTTGTATTACTGATGTTGTTAAAAAGTTAATGAGGCGGCCAGGCGCGGTGGTTCACGCCTGTAATCCCAGCACTTTGGGAGGCCGAGGTGGGTGGATCACTGGAGGTCAGGAGTTTGAGACCAGCCTGGCCAACGTGGCGAAACCATGTCTCTACTAAAACTACAAAAAATTAGCCAGGCATGGTGGCAGGCACCTATATTCCCAGCTACTCAGGAGGCTGAAGCAGGAGAATCGTTTGAACTCAGGAGGCGGAGGCGGAGGCGGAGGTTGCAGTGAGCTGAGATCGTGCCACTGCACTCCAGCCTGGGCAACAAGAGCAAAACTCGGTCTCAAAAAAAAAAAAAAAGTTAATGAGGCAGCAATAAAAAGAAAAAAAAAAGATACAGCCAACAGCTTGGCTGGATCTCCAGGGAATTATGCTAACGTAACAGAATAAAAGCTAATCTCAGAAGGTTGCAAACTATAGGATTCCATTTACACAAAATACTCAAAGTGAAAAATTGGGCTGGGCACAGTGGCTCACACATGTAATCACAGCACTCTGGGAGGCTGAGGTAAGAGGATCACTTGAGCTCATGAATACAAGATCAGCCTGGAGAACACAGCAAGACCCCATCTAGACAATATTTTTTTATTCTTCAGACACGGTCTCCCTCTGTCCCCGAGGCCAGAGTGCAGTGGCGCAATCTCAGCTAACTGCAACCTCCGCCTCCCAGGTTCAAGTGCTTTTCGTGTCTCAGCCTCCCGAGTAGCTGGGATGACAGGCACGCACCACCACGCCCAGCTAATTTTTGTATTTTTAGCAGAGACGGGGTTTCGCCACGTTGACTAGGCTGGTCTTGAACTCCTGGCCTCATGTGATCCACACACCCTGGCTTCCCAAAATGCTGGGATTATAGGTGTGAGCCACCGCACCCAGCTGAAATTTTTCTTTTTTTTTAAACAGAGACAGGGTTTCTCCATGTTGCCCAGGCTGGTCTTGAACTCCTGGGCTCCGGCAATTCTCCCATCTCAACCTCCCAAAGTGCTGGGGATTACCAGTGTGAGCCGCTGACCCAGCCCTCTACAAAATACATATTTTTTTAATTAGGTGGTCGCAGCTGCTCACAAGGCTGAGGTGGGAGGATCAGTTGAGCCCAGAACTTCAAGGCTACAGTCAGTTATGATCACACCACTGCACTCCAGTCTGGACAACAGAGTGAGACCTGGTCCCTAAAAAAAAAAAATCGTACAGATGAAGAACAGATTGGTGATTCCTGGGCTTAAAGAAGGTGCATGTCTCAAAACTGCACAGAACTACACACACACACACACACACACACACACACACACACGCACGCGTACACACACGCACGCAGACACAGACGCAGACACGCACACACGCGCAGACGCACAGACACGCACGCGCAGACGCACACACACGTGCGCACACACGCACGCACACGCACAGACGCGCACACGCACAGACACACACCCGCACGCACACACAGACACACACACGTGCGTGTAAAGCCGGTGGAATCTGATCAGGATCTGTGGACGGCACCAATGTCGGCTTCCTAGGTCTGACGCAGCACCACGGGTGGGCGGGACGGTACCCCTGGGGGTGGCTAGGTGAGAGGAGAACACTCTGCCACTTCCTGTGAATCCCGAAAGACTTCAGAATAAAAAGTGGATCAACTTCAAGGACGAGGGCCCAAGAGAGTAACAGAAAATTCACCAGAGAGCCATTCACAGGGTCAATCCCCTTCCGAGAAGACCACCGCCCTCTATTAAACAAGTGGCAGGTGAAAGGACACGATCTTTGTCACCTATTAAATGAGACAGGCCGTGCTGTCACCACGTTGGCCAGGCTGGTCTCGAACACCTAGTCCCAGGTACTCCTCTTGCCTTGGCCTCCCAAGTGCTGGGATTACAGGCCTGAGCCACCGCGCCCGGTCACAAGGGACGCTTTCAATGTGAAAAAGCATCCAGGGACCCAGCAATTCCACTCCCAGACACGCACCCGGAGGAAATGACCCATGCGCCAGGTTCTCCCGGGGTTTCCTCTTAAAGCAGAACGCGGAGGTGCCGTTCTGTGGATTTTCACTCTGACCGTGTGTCACACTTACAATCGCACGGACAGAGAAAGCGACGGGGAAATGAAAAATAGGAAAGAACTTTCCTTTGGTCCGTCAATAAGCAATTTCCTGGTGTCTCCCGTGGCCTCAGAGCCTGTCTGTCTTGGCAGAAGATAGGCTGTCACTCAGAGACCTGTGCCTGAGGGTTTCCAAAAATGGGAGGCGGTGGGTGGGAGAAGGCGTACGAAAATTATTCCCGTTTTAAATGTCTTCCGATCCAGACAACCAGAAAATCTTGGTTTCCTATTCGTTAATCTCTAATGCCTTTTTTGTTTCGTTTCTGTTTTGAGACAGGGTCTGGCTCTGTCACCCAGGCTGCAGGGCAGTGGCGCAATCTCAGCTCACTGCAACCTCCGCCTCCCAGGCTCCAGCAATCCTCCTGCCTCAGCCTCCCGAGTAGCTGGGACCCCAAGTGTGCGCCACCACGCCCAGCTAATTTTTGTATTTTTAGTAGAGATGAGGTTTTGCTGTGTTACCCAGGCTGGTCTCTAACTCCTGCGCTCAAGCGATCCTTCCGCCTTGGTCCCCCAAAGTGCTGGGATTATAGGCATGAACCACTGTGTCTGGCCCTTTTCTGTTTGTTTGAGTTGGGGTCTCTCAGTCACCCAGGCTGGAGCGCAGTGGCTCAAACATAGCTCACTGCAGCCTTGACCTCCTGGCCTCAAGCGATCCTCCTGCCTTGGCCTCCCAAAGTGCTGGGATTAAAGGTGTGAGCCACCTTGCCCAGTACCTAACTCCTCTCTCGACACCAATTTTTAAATATTTATAAATATCGAAGAACAGGCAGACCCTTCACAGGGGAAAACTTATGTTTAATTAATTTTCAGGGACACCTTTTATTCTCACCTGGGTTTCTGGTTCTCAAATCTAAAGTTTCCTTTCAAATGAACTTAAGAAAAGCGAGGTGACTTAAAAGGGAGCTAGAACAGGGCACATGAAGAAGGGGCCAAGGTGGAGAATGCGGCTGGGGTACCCCATCAGCCATCAGCGTTGGGGACTCCTGGCGAAGGGTGGCGTCCCCGAAGCCAACTAGGCCCCGCCTGGAAGGAAGCTGCACCCACTGTTCCAGGAAGAAGCCGAGGTTTGGGAAGGGATCCCACAGCTCCGGGGCTCCATCCTGCTGATGAGCCCCAAACTCCCCTCTTCCTGGGTCCTCGGAGAGGAGAAGCAGGAAGCGGGGAAATGAGCTACTGCAGCTCCTGGGCCCTGCCGGGATCCCTCCGCCCCTCGCACCCATCGACTCGCTGAACCTGACGATGGAAGAGAGCAGGTGCCCATCTTGCGGGAGCTTCGGGAGGGCCACACCTGGGGCCAGCGCCACAGCCTGCAGGGGCCTGGGGGAGTGGAGGCAATGAGGAGGGTGCCACCAACTCAGGCCTTGGAGCTCTGCATCCTCCACCACCCCCGGGCTCAGGCGGGCGTTAACTGCATGGACTGAACGGGGAGGGGGTCACCCCTCTGTGTCCAGGAGCTGGGGGGTCCCAGGCTGGAGCAGCCACATCACGTCCCTCAAGGGCAAAAAATGCAACATACTGGGCCTCACTGGGCCCTCCAAAGCCTCCGCCCTAACGTGTGAGGGGACAAGGCGAGACCCTCCCAACCTGCAGCATTGGGGCAGGGCCGGAGCACAGGGCGAGACTCTGTGGGAACCACAGAAAATACATCTGCAAACATTGGCAGGTTCCTGCTGGGACCGGGCTGGGCGTCCAGGGAGAGGCAACCCAGAGGGAGCATTCTCAGGTCCACACGGCCTACACACCACAGCTCTGGTTACCCAGGGACCAATCTCACAGTGGTCCGTGCCAGGGCTGAGGGGGTGAGAGGCGACAGGGGACGAGGGAAGACACCTCCCACCCCACCCTCCCCACCAGGCCCTGCTGTAAGCCCACCCAGAGGCCCAGGAGAATGGGGGTGGACGGCCTTGGGAGTTGCGCTTCCTCCTCCAGGAAGCCCCCAGGGCCTGACCCTCTGCCTCACACAGGGAAGCATTAGCATGTCCGGTTCCTGGGGCTGTTTCCGGGGGGCTGGCAGGGTGGCGTTTGGGGATTTCCACGCCTCAGGGAGCATATTCCGGCCAGCCCTGTGGCCACTTCCTCACGTAGAGGGGAAGGCCAGTGTGAGGCAGTGGGGGCAGCAAAGCGATGTCTCTCCATGTGGGGGTGCAAGTGCCCAAGTACAGAACCCCCTTTGCCCACCACTCAAAACCCCGACACTCCAGCCAGGGCCCACCCCTGGGGGATTCTGGAGATAACTGCAGGACGGCGCTTTCCACCCAGATCCCGGAGGCAGGAAGGACACAGCTTCAGAGGCCCCAACCCGAGGCCCCCACTCCCCGGAAAGATGCTGATGTCCACAAAGAGACCCGTGGCTCTGAAGCAGCATCGGGGGCACCCGCCCCAACCTCCCCCACCAAATCCTGTCGACAGCCAGCCTGGGCCGCCCAAATGCACATCAGACTAGACCCTCTCTCCATTCACAACCATCCAGGGCTCCCCGCTGCCCCTGCAACGAACACAGCGCCCCTAGCCCGCCCCGCCGGCCGGTCCCACCGCAGGGCGTCCGTACGGGCTGCTCTCTCTGCCTGGCAAATTCCTCCCCTCATGCTCCCACGGCCCCTTCCTCTCACCCTCAGGGCTCTGCCCCGACACGCCCTCTGCGGAGACCTTCACTAGAGGTCCCGCTTTGGGGCAACCTGGCCCTCGCTGGGTGTGCCGTGAAGCCCTGCCCATGCTCCAGAGTGTGATTTTCAGGCCACCCCCAGGACCCCACGTCTCCCCTATCTGTCCCGCCCACTGCTGTGTCATCAGCGAGGGTGACCCGCTCATCCAGGTCAGCCTGGGATGTTTCTGCTTTGAGCACTCAAAGCCGCGGGTCCCAGGAATTGCCCCTCAGTCCTGGGCAAACCACAATGGCCGGTCACCCTGGTGCTGGGCCCTGCATACAGCAAGCGCCTAATACCTGCTTAAATGAAAGTCGTCGAGGCTCACAAGGTGGGTGGGATCCAGTGAGAGCCGGGATCCCGCACCACGCCCTCTCCAGAGCCTCAGTTTCCCCCTTATGGATTGACTGGAGAAACGGATGCTCGAGATCCCCACCCACACACAGGCCCAGCTCCAACCCTGCGCCTAAAAACAAGCCCCACCCAGCCCCCAGACCCAGGCTCCAGGCGCGGGAGGGACGAGGGGACGAGGGGCTCAGGGGCTCGGGCTCCCAAGGCAGGTCACACGGGCAACGGCAGCTGATTTCAGGGGTCTTCAGGCTCGCTGCCCCCGACCCGGCCTGTGTGGCCCTTTCCCCATTGTCTCCCTCCTTTGCTGCCCCAGCCTCCCTCGCCCGCACACTGTCTTCAACAGACCCTTGATCTCCTCACTCCACGAGCGCTGGCAGGAAGGCGGGGTCCTACCTGAACCTCCGAACTGCGCCCCGGCCAGGGAGGCGGGCCGGCCCTTCCCGTTGGTGACAGGCAGCGGGAACATCTGCAGGGAGGGGAGGGGAGACGTGAGCGGGGCGGGTGGCAAACCAAACCCTACAGTCCCGGGTTCAAACCCAAGCTGGGAGCAGAGCTGGGGACACCCGGGAACCTGAGACTGCGCTCCATCTAGGCCCGGCCCGTCCTGCTCCGCCCCATCACAGACCAGAAGACTCTGAGGACTCGCGTGCCCTCAAGTGACGCTGCACCCTGGACACCCACGCCCAGAGTGAGAAAACTCCAGACGATGACCCCGCTGTACCGCCAGGCAGAGTCCCTGCCGCTGAAAACTCGCTGTTCCCCCTGCCTTTGCTCTGGGGGGAGGGGTATCCCATTAGGCGAAGGATACAACTTATCAGCTCTTGACAGTGATACAAAGTTGTCTTTACGTTTCAGCTCTGAAAAGTGAGAGGTTTACACTCAACAGGTGGACATGTGGAGAGTCCCCGGATGCCTGAGCCCTGGCTGACTCCTCGTTTCCTGTGTGTGCACTGGCCCCGCATGGCAGGCCCTGGAGCAGGGGGTCCCTGGAGCGGGGGGTAGGGCCCAGTGTCCCCCTACCAGGGCTGGGTATGGGTTTGCTTGGCAAAAGGGGAAGCCGAGGCTCAGACAGGCAGCAGGTCGAGGAAGACACGGGATGGAGCCCCGGGCCCGGCAGGAAGCTGGAGGGGCTGGGGAGAGGCTGCACCCCACAGCTGATCCAGCTCCTGGGTGCTAGGGGTGTGGGACTGCCACCCTCCCTCCCGCCCGGCTCACCCGTACCCAGAACACTAAGTCCCTAAAGATTAACGGGCTCAGCGGCATTAACCGGAAAAGCCAACGGCAACAAACCCTTTTGCCACAGAAAAAAACACAACAAGCCTCCGCCCTGCCCCAAGGGGCTGCGTTTTAAGGCTCCCATCGGGGCTTAAGTGATCAAAGTGGCTGGAATCAGAGCCAGGGGCTTTCTGAGGAGCAGCCAAGATCCCCAACACCTTCCCCAGCCAGCCAGGAGGCGAAGGCACAGCGCCTGTGGCCACGATCCACAGGTCCAAAGGGGACCCAGGAAGCGGGGTTGTCCCCCACTCCCTGGTCCTGCAGAAGGGGAAACGGAGGCCGCATTCTCACCTGGCCCTGGAGAGGAAGAACGGTCTTGCGGGTAGGGGTGGCACCCGCGCTGAAGGCAGTGTTCGCCCTGGACCACACCCCCTCCCGCAGGCTCCGGTGCACCCAGCCTCCCCTGGACCCAGACCTCCAAGGGCCAACCTCTCATTTGGGAAACAAAGGCCTGCTGTGGGGGACAGCCAACTGCATTTCTATCTGCTTTGTCCCCTAGGACACCAGGGCTGCACCAACGTGCCACAGGTCACATGGGTACCGGGCTGTGTCCTGTGGGCTCTGCAGGCCTCATGAGCAGCCCAGAACAGCCCCCGCACCCCTTGGAGCATCAGTTTCCTCTTCTGAGAAATGGACCGAGGGCTCTGGCTGTGTGGGACGTGGTGAAACCCAAAAGCCCATGGGAGTCTCGCACGCGGCAGGGCCTGGGGAGCTCGCTTCCAACAGCCTCGGTCCTAGGGACTCGCTCCCCCTTCATTCCTGAAGCCCCTGACTCAGGCCCAGGGACTGCCTGGGACCCAGGCAGGGCATGTCAGCCCAGGCCAGTGCTGGCGGGTCCTTCGTTCCCGACCAAAGCTAGCCTGGGTCAGGGCAGGACAAAGGCGCGCTGGGAACAGCCTGGGTTAGCGTTCTCCCTCGTATTTATTTGGAGTTCCCTGTTCTCTCACTTTATACGCATCTGGTCCAGGGAAGTAAGTGCTTCCCCTAGGACCCAGCCTCGGCAGGGGCAGAAGGCAGGCATGCAGGAACAGAGTGGGGATGCGGGCAGTCACAGGGGCTGCCTCTGCCTCCCCGTCCTGGCCAGGGAGGTGGAACTCCACCTCTGGGTAAAGCCCGAGGGGGGACGCCCGGAGAGGACGGGCACCTCGCCGCTCCCAGCCTGTTTCCTCATCTGGGAACGGCTCCGACCCGGGATGGGGAGACGTGCTGAGTGGCTTGAGGTGAGGAGTCAGGTCCTGGGGCTGAACCTGTGCCCCCTCCCCCCAAACGCTGGTCTGTTCCAGCCCAGCGGTCTGTGACTTGTCAGTTTAACAAAAAACAACCCAACTGCACCTCGGGTTACTCAGCCAGGGAAGCAAAAATAAAACGGGGCTTAAAAATACCAGCATGGCCCTTCCGGAGCCTTGGCCCCTCCGGCCCTTGGGCTGTTTTTTTCCGCAGGGTGGCCGGTGTTGTTTCAGTTTGGGGACTTTTGTTTTTGACAGACCTCAGTGGCCTGTGCCTCATAGGCGGGAGGGTTAAATTCAGACTGAAAGTGCCCTCCCCCAACCTGTTTCAACCCCAAACGCTGCCACTGGGCATGGGGGGGGGGGGGGAGCAGAATTTAAGGACATCTGTAGACAGGCCAGAAGAAACAAACCAAGGTCCCTGGGCTTCTCCAGGAACCCATAACACATGGCCCCACTGTACCAGCAGGCAAACCGAGGCCCCGGGCCTTTACAGCACCCGTCAGCGGCCGGTACCCCAGGGGGCTCCGGCATTCCAGCCTCACTGCACCTGCCTGAACTGTGTGACTTCTGAGGACCAGCACCCTCTGAGCCTCCGTTCACCCAGGTGGAGAATGGGCCGTACAGGGACAGATCCAACCACCTAAGACTCTGAAGAAGCCGCCCCGCCCTCCCCACCGGGCCTGCCTGCTCCGCAGTGATAACCGTGGCAGTCACAATGGTGGCGCTGCTGTCTGCTCGGTGGCCCATGAATTCCCACTCAATCCCAATCCAGCCTCCTCCTGGCCCAAGCTCGGCTTCTGGCAGCTTAACTTCAGCACCCACGTGTGACTAATTAACCACACAGTCAGTTTCATGCCCGCATCCTCTGCCCACCAGGGGAGTCCCGTATGGGGCAGGTTGTGTCTGCCCTGTTCACGGAGGGTGGTCCGCTCAGCACTGGGCACCCCCTCCTTTACTTCTTTGAGGAAGGATCTTACTCTATCGCCCAGGAAGGAGTGCAGTGGCGCAATCACAGCTCACTGCAGCCTCAACCTCCAGGGCTCAAGTGATTCTCCTTGCCTCAGCCTCCCAAGTAGCTGGGACCACAGGCATCTACCACCACTCCTAGCTAATTTTTTGAGTTTTGTTTTGTCTTTTTGAGAAATGGGGCCTCACTATGTTTCCTGGGCTGGACTTGGAACTCCTGGCCTCAAGCGATCCTCCCGCCTCAGCCTCCCAAAGTGCTGGAATGACAGGTGGGAACCACTGTGCCCAGCCCCCCTCCCATTTACTGAAACAGGGTCTCCAGGGTCTCACTGTCAACCAGACTGGAGTGCAGTGATCTTTTACTTACTTTTAATTTTTGTATCTACAATGAGGTAAGCGACCCTGATCAGGCCCATTTTACAGATCAGAAGATCAAGGCCGCATTTTGCTTACCCAGCCAAGCTGGGGGCCCAGGACCATGCCCCTGAGGACTCAGTTTCCCCATCTGTAAAGCAGTAGGCTGTAGAATGCTGCGTCCGGGCAAAAGCCCCATAGCACACGTGCTGCCGTGCGCTGTCAGCCTCCTGCCAGAGAGCGGCCCACTCCCCCAGCCCCACCGGGGCCTCCCATCCAAACAGCTGAGGCTCCATCGCTGAAGTATTCAGCAAACACTCTCCCCTGAAAACCTTCCCGTGAACTGTGGAGGCAAAGGGGTGTCGGGGGCTGGGCGGGGGTCCTGGCTCACCATGCTGAAGTCCAGGAGGTCACTGAGCTCCTTGTCTGTGCCCACAGGCGCCATCCTCTGCGGCTGGTTCATTCTCCTGGGGCCAGGGCGGGCACCTCAGGCCTGGAAACCCTGCTTGGTGGATGTGGGGACAGATGGACAGGGAGAAACAGGGAGGGGAGAAGAGTTGTGAGTGGTCAAAGCACAGAGTGCTAAAAGCCACCTAAAAAACCCTCAACCGCCCTGGGGTCTGAGTTCCAGCAGAGCCCTGGGGGCACGGGGAGCCCTGGGAGCAGGCGCAGGGAAGCTGGAATTCCAGAGTCTAGGTCCCTGCAGAGTCCTCCCCAGAGACCACAGGGAGTCTGAAAAATGGGGGGAGGGTGTGCAAATATAAACTCCCTAACTCCCCCAGGGAACACCAGGGCATCAAGTTGCCAAGTTTAAACTGCACGCAGGGCAGCCAGAACCTCTCCTTTCTCCAACTCTCTCATTTCCAACCAACCCCGGGCTTCCTCTGAGGCCCCCTACCCCCGGGAAAGGGAGGAACAGCCCGATCCTACCCCGCCCCGAGGGAAATTTGGTGATTCCCCCCTCCCCCAGCAGATGGCACAGCCCGTTGAAGACCAGGTCGCCCCCAAATTCAACATGAAGGAAATCCACAAGTCAGAAAACCACGAAACTCTTTTACAAGCTTCAAGACTTAAAGTGCCGGGGGTGGGGGGGACGCGCATCCTATGCAGGGACCAGCAAAGCTTTCCTCCACCCTCAATCTCCCTCCCCCCAAGAAAACCCCAACAGTATTCAGGAAAGAAAAAAAAAACAGCCCTAGATTGCTTTACTGTCGCGATGTATCCGGGAATTATTTTTAAGCAAAACTTTGACAACATCCCTTGCCTGCCCTCCATGAGCGGGGAGAGCGTCTCAAGACCAGGGTGCTCCCGCGTGGTCCCAGGGGGCTCCATTCTAAGATGGGGGATGGGGGATCCACCTGCCAAGACCCATTCCACCCCCAGAAAAAGGTACAGAGAAAAATTTCCATTCCAAAGAAATGCACTCCAGGCCCCTCCAGTCTCGACTTTCCCCAGGGGTCCCCAGGTGGGGACGGGGGCAGCCCGGGAGACACCTCCGAGGCTGGGGGTGGGGAGGAGCCTCCGAGGTCGAGGGAGACCCAACTTCAGAAGCAGAGAAATCCCCTCTTTGTCTGCCAACTGGAGGCCGGGTGTGAAGCGGGCGCCCCAGCGCAGCCCCTCCCCCGCTCAGTTTTTTTCTTTTTTGGAGGGCGTGTGAAACTGACTTTTTTTGAGGACTACGAAACCGCACTTTTTTGTGGGGTAGCTGAAACCGATTTTAAGACAGACTTAGTTGGGGGGGTGGCGAGCTAAAACGGGCATTCTACGGGAGCTGGAAGACTTCTGGGGCGTCCCAAGGACTTTGAGAGACTTGGAGAATGTTTGAAGCCACTTTGCACGGCGCCGAAGGCGGGGGGCGCGCTGGAACGCCTTTTTCCCGGGGGGAGGCGGCCCGGGAAGCCGGACCCCCCTCCCCCCGCAGCCGGTGCAGGCGGTGCGGCCCGGGAGCCTTTGAAGCTCGCAGCGCGGCCGCCGCCTCGCCCCGCATTAACGCGGAGCAGATGTTACCCGCGCGCCCCCCCCCGGCCCGCCCGGCCCCGACCAGCGCCTGCAGCGCGCGGCACCTTCCCCGCGCAGACAAAAGGACGTCCCTCCCGCGCGCTCCCCACCCCAAACTCCGGCGCCCGGGCCGGGCCCCCCTCTACCCGAGAAAGGGGGCGCCCCGGGGTCCCCGTGCGCCCGGGCTGGGGGGGACGGTCCTCGCGCCTAAGTTGCACAGCCCGTCCGGCGCCCCCCGCGCCCCCGCCCGGGGCTGCTTAAAGTTTCCCGAAGTGCCCGGCCCGACGGGGGCGACGCGGGCCTGGCGAGCTCCGGGCTCCTCCACGTCGCCGCCCCCCCGGCGCCGCGCGAAGTTGGAGAACAATGACTCCCGGGCCGCGGGGCGCCCCCCGACACCGCCCCCGCCCCAACTTCCTCCGCGCCCCCCCCCAACAAGCGCGCGCGGGGCGGGCCGGGGTTCCCTGGGCACAAAGCACGGGGGTACCGGGCGCGCCCCCCGCCCCCCGCCGGGCTCACCTGCTGGGCGCGGCCGGGCACGCGGCGCGTGGGGGGGGGCGGCGGCATGAAGCGGGGGGGCCCCCCCCCGGACAAAGGTGCGTCGCGGCCGGGCCCCCGAGGGTCGCGCGTGGGCGGCGGCGGCGGCGCGCGTGGCCCGGGCCCCTCCCACCCCCGCGTGGCCCGTCCCGCGGGGCCCGTGCGCGCGGCCGGCCGGGGCGCCCCTGGGGCAGCGGCGTGCGCGGTGCCCGCGGTGCCCGCCGCCGCGTCGGCTCCGGCCCGCTACGCCCGCAGCCGCCGCCGCTGCCTCATCTTCCTGCGGCGGGAGACATGTTCCGCCCCCCGCCCGCGCCGCCCCGCCCCGCCCCGTGCAGGCCCCGCCCCTGCCCCGCCCCCGAGTGCCCCGCCCGGCGGCCCACGCGGATCCCTCCGCCACCTCCGGGCGGCTCGGGCCCGAACGCCCTAGCTCGGCCTCTCGAGCACCCTCGTGAGGACCCCGAATCCCGTGAGGTCCAGAGCCTGGGAGCGGGGACGCGCAGAGGAGGCGGTCGGGCCACGGCGCGGGGAGAAATCACGGACTATCCCCGTCCGCGGAAGCACACACGAGCTGTGCGCTTAGTCCATGACGCAAGCGAGTAAGGCCCGTGAGATTGAAAGCTAAGGCAGAGCAGTCTGGTCAATCGGAAGCCGCGAAAGTCTGATGGGCGGGGATCCTAGCCATTCGTGGTGAGGCCCCGCCTCCTTTCTTCTCGGCCCCGCCCCTCAGCAGAGGCGGGACTCTGCGAGCGAGAGGCCGCGAGAGGCGGCCGGGGTGGGTCCTGGAGTTTTGTTCTCAGGTTGGCGTGGCCGCCCGCGCGGAGCCTTCTGCTTGGTTATATTTGCGTTCCTCGGGCCGGCCCCGCGTGCTGAGTGGTGCGAGCGGGTATCACGGCCCCGAGGGGGCTACGTCAGACCCATTTTCCCGGCGGGAAAACCGACTCTGGCTCCGGCTCTGGGTCAGAGAGCCCCGCGGGGAGTCTCAGCGGTGCCTTTGCCGACTTGAGTCTCCGTCTCGGCATCTGTGAATTTGGACCTGACTTTGGACAGAACTCAGGCCAGATCTGGCTTCCTGATTCTTAGTAGTCCGTGTCTACATTTTAGTAAAAAGTGACCCCGCCTAGGATCGGGCGCCGTGGCTCCTGCCTGTGATCCCAGCGCTTTGAAGGAGGCCGAGGCGGGAAGATCGCTTGAGGCCAGGAGTTCGAGAACAGCCTGAACAACATAGTGAAACCCCCCCCACCCACACCCGTCTCTAAAAATATTTAAAATAATTTAAAATAATAATTTAAAAAGTTGACCGGACGCGGTGGCCCACGCTTGTATTCCCAGCACTTTGGGAGGCCAAGGCGGGCAGATCACCTGAAGTCAGGAGTTCGAGACCTCTCTGGCCAACACGGTGAAACCCCATCTCTACTAAAAATACAAAAATTAGCCGGGCATGGTGGCGGGCACCTGTAGTCCTAGCTACTCGGGAGGCTGAGGCAGCAGAATCGCTTTCACCCGAAAGGCGGAGGTTGCAATGAGCCGAGAGCACGCCATTGTACTCCAGCCTGGGCAACAAGGACGAAACTCCGTCTCAAAATAAATAAATAAATAAGTAAAATAAAATAAAAATACAAAAATTAGCTGGGCGTGGTGGCATACACCTATAATCTCAGCTACTCGGGAAGCTGAGGCAGGAGAATCGCTTAAACCCAGGAGGCAGAGGTTGCAGTGAGCAGAGATCGCAGCACTGCACTCCAGGCTGGGCGACAGAACGAGGCTCCGTCTCAAAAAAAAAAGTAAAATAACTAAACAAATAAATGAAAATAACACAATCTCCCAGGGCTCCCTGGGGCCCCAAAGGGAAATTTACACTCCACTCCCAGCCTGGGAAGATGCCACCATCTCGCTGGCCCGCTTGGCTCCAGCCATCCTGCCCTCTGGATGGTCCAGAACTTGCTAAGCTCATCCCCACCCCGGGCCTCTACGTTTGCTTTGTCCTCTACCTGGGAGGCTTTTCCCACCCCTATCTGGAGCCCCTGAGTCATCACAGTTCAATGCTGCACCTATGCCAGGCCGGCGGGGAGGCGGGGCCACAGGGGCCCCCCACCAAAGCCACAAGCCCCTCCTGCTATACACCCAAACTGGGCTGTCCACAGTCCGACCCTCCGTGCCCAGAGAGTTCCACGTGCCGCAGGTCTGGGGAGAGGGCTGTGGGTCCCAGGGTCTGTGCTGCAAATCCCTCATCCCTCTCCACCTCACTGTGACCTCAGGCAAGTTCGTGCTACTCTCCGGGCCTCGGTTTCTCCATCTGGACAGTGGAAGGGGGGAGTCTGGCACACAGTAGGTGCTCACAGCTGATGCCTGCCTTCCTCAGCCGCCCCCCACCCCCGCAGAGGCCTCTCCGGAGCCAGGGTCTCCAAGCAGCTCCAATCCCACCCCAGCCTCCTCAGCCCCCGGCCCTTCCTTGTGGCCCAGCCCTGACCCCATGGGTCTGAGGGTGTCTGTGGCCGGGTCTGGCTCTCCCCATTCCAGTGTAGGGAGCTCACTGTGGGCCACTCCCCACCCACACTCAGGGTCCAAGCCATAGTGTGGCAGCCGGAGTCCTCCCGAGGAGCCCTTCAGTTTCACCCACGGAAGGGAAGCAACCATCCAATCACGGACTTCTTCTTCTTCTTCTTCTTCTTCTTCTTCTTCTTATTATTATTATTATTATTTTGAGAAAGAGTCTCGCTCTGTTGCCCAGGCTGGAGTGCAGTGGTGAGATCACAGCTCACTGCAGCCTTGACCTCCTGGGCTCAAACGATCCTCCCGCCTCAGTTTCCCGAGTAGCTGGGACCACAGGCACGCGCCACCACACCCAGCTAATTTTGTATTTTTTGTAGAGACGGGGTTCTCCCTATGTTGCCCAGGCTGGTCTTGAACTCCTAGGCACAAGTGATCCTCCCGCCTTGGCTTCCCAGAGTGCTGGGATTACAGGCGTGTGCCACTGCGCCGTACAAGACTATTCAATTATCGGGCACTGACAGCGAACGGGGCCTTGTGCCGCGCATCGTAGCACTGTGGACAGTGATGGACTCAGTCCCTGCTGTCCCGGCAGGATGACCCATGAGGGACCCCTTGTCTAGTCCTGAATGTGGCTCTTTCCTGTGAGGTCCTCCTGCCTGTGTGGTTCCACGTATCGTACAGATGAGGAAACTGAGACTAGGGGTCTCCTCCCTGGGCCCCAGGGCACCCTGGGGCTCGCGCCTGCCAGGAGGTTCCGCTGGTAACCACAAGCCACCATTGTTTTCCCCAAGGAGGTCAGTCCTGGGGCTGAGTCACTGGGTGGAGCAGCCCGTGGGGGCCCCCCACTTGGCCACCACCTCTGCCCAGCCCCGAGGCCTGGGTGCTCCCTCCAGGGCCCTGGTACGGGGACAGGCAGCAAGCTATCCTCCTGACTGTGGCCTTTGTTTTGCTCTGGGGCCGGGCAGGAGGAGGAGCAGGGCCTCTGCACCTGCCGCCTGTTCCCTCCACACCTACTGTGTGCGCCCCCGCCAACATGAACCACGTATGTCAGAAAAACTGAGGCCAAGGACAACTTCCCACTAGGGAGACACAGAAGCGAGGGGGGCGAGGGGCGGCGATGGCGAGGTTTCCAGAGACAGACGCAGTAGGTGTGCAGGCCACAGCTGTCCGCAGAGAGACTGGGCTTGGATTAGGACTTCGGGGCCACCCTCCAGATTTCTGTTTCCATTTGTCCCTAAAGTGGGCACCTTTGACTTCTCCCAGGGTATGAACACACTCCCCCAACCCCCAGCGCCCTCCAGCAGGGGCGGAGAAGGGAGTGGCGGCCCAGCACTTATCACCCACGTCAGGCCCTGGGACAAACCTCGCTCCGGCGTCCACTGAGCACGGGCAGCTGGGGCGATCGGTGTCGCCTCCCAAAGTGGGGGCTTCCTGCTCGAGCTCAGACCTCCAGTGAGGGGCCTGATCCCAACACGACCAGATCAGGACCACCCCACAGAGCCCTGGGCTGGGACTCGGCCAGGGTAGGGCCCATTCCCTTATTCTCCACAACTTCGTTTTTATTTTATTTTAGCAGAGATGGGGTGAGGTGGAAGGATCGCTTGAGCCCAGGAGTTTGAGACCAGACTGGACAACACAGCAAGACCCCATCTCTTAAAAAAAAATTTTTTTTTTTAGATGAAATCTCACTCTGTCGTCCAGGCTGGAGGGCAGTGGTGCCAGCTCAGCTCACTACAACCTCCACCTCCTGGGGTCAAGCGATTCTCCTGCCTCAGCCTCCTGAGTAGCTGGGATTATAGGTGCCCACTGCCACGCCTGGCTAATTTTTGTATTTTTTTATAGAGACGGGGTTTCACCCTGTCGCCCAGGCTGGTCTAGAACTCCTGGCCTCAAGCGATCTTCCTGCCTTGGCCTACCCAAAGTGATGGGCTTACCAGCATGAGCCACCACACCCGGCCCCATTCTTCCTGCCTTCTGGGAGGAGGCGTCTCCAGGCTTGCTGGTTGGACCTGGGCAGGGAAGCCTCCTGAGATTGGGAGTGCTAGGGGCTTATGATTGTTCTCCCCTAGCGGAGGGAGGAGATTCTGGTGTGAAATGGAGCAGTGGGGACACACTCCAGTTCCTGGGGTCTGATCACAAGGGTTCCTGACTCCTCGGGCACTTCCAGCTATGAGGACACCAAGGAAGGGAAGAGGCTTGTCGGTGATCAGACCCCTACCCCTCCACCCAGACTTATGGGAGCCAGAGGGCCAGGAGAGCTGGGCAGGAGGCTCTGAGGTTGACGGGAATGGGAACACAGCCTCACACCTCCTGCTGTAGGGCATTCAGGGGAAGAAGGACCATCTCCCACAGGGAGTGGGTCCCCTGGGGCAGTGACTCTTGGGCTATGACCTCAAGATGCATGCGGTCGACAGGCAGAGAGCGGATACCATGCCAGGCAGGGGAAGCTGAGGGACAAAGGTACTGAGGTGGGAGGGGGTGTGGGGTGTTCAAGGAACGGGGCCTGTGAGGCTGGAGCCCAGAGAAGACCAGAGAAGAGGAGCCAAGATCAGAGAGAGGGGCAGGGCCTCCTATGCCACAGGGAGGAATTGGGTCTTCATGGTGAGAGGACTAGGGAACCATGGTGGGAGTTTGAGCAAGAGACGGACGTGATCACAGGGACCATGAGTTGGGGTGGATCTGGGGTACATTTGGAGGATAACTGAGGGCTCTCCCAGGGGGTGGGTATGAGGGGTTAGCAGCCTGCCTACTAGGTGTGGGGTTAGGGACCTGGGCCTGTGAATGGTGGTATCGTTCTCTGAGTGGGGCCAGCGTGGGTCAAGGGAGAGGCGTGAAGGGGGAACAGGAGGCTCATGTCCCAGGGTGGTGTCCAGGCCCCATGAGACAAGGCGGGTCATGGCCAGGAGGGGCTGCGTGAGAGGGGGCACCAGTGAAGAAGGCACAGTCCCCAGTCGGGGGGAGCCCAGCTCTGGATGCAGCCTGGCCTCCCCGAGCCCTCCTTCTGTCCGAGCCCCCCACGCAGCCCCTCTGCACCTGCCGGGTGCCCGTCCACCCCAGGGCCAGGGCCAACTGCCGAGGATGGTCCCACCCCCTCTTGGCCAGGCGCCCACAGCTCCTGACTCAGGGGCCCCCGGGGGCCTGTCCTGCCACATTCCGGGGCCGCCCGTGCAAACACAGGGCGCCTGCCCATCACCCCCCATGGGGCATTGTTTGGCCCAGTTACCCCGAGGCGGGGGCAGGGCAGGGGACAGGGAGCCCAGCCAGATTCTCAGTTCCCGCCACCCATGCACCTGCCCACAGGCAGCCCTGCTGACCTGCACCCGCCTTGACATGGGGGGACGGCGCCTCTGCAGTGTACCCTGGGCACAATGGGGGCATCTCCCTTCTTCCCGGGGGTCTTCACCTCCCCTGAACTTTGCTCAAGGCACAGAGGACGTCATCCCATTGTTCAGATGGGGAAACCGAGGCAGGACTCAAGTGGCCTCATGCCTGAAGCTGAGCCAGGCTCCCATCCCCGGCCCACCTGTCCTGTCCCCCACCGACCCCACCTCACCCCGCCAGGCTCCTTCACCTGCACCTGGTGCCTTCCAGAAACGGGGGAGGCCACTCCAGGCTGTCAGCCCTCTGGCACAAAGGCTGGGAGGTCAGAAGCCATCCAGGGACGCCTTGCCACGCTAAGAAGGTTGGGTTTCATTCGCGGGTTTGGAGGAGCCGAGGGGGCCACGTGGTCTCACTGGGGGTTGGGAAGGGCATCTGGGAGACCGAGGTGGAGGCCGGTGACGTGGCTGTGGAGTGGGATGCCCAAGGCAACAGGAGGGGTGGAAAGAGATGCCTGTTAGACGGGAAACTGGGGGGGCGCCCCTGGGGAAAGACGACAAGGATCCTAGGAGGGCGGGGAGCACAGGTGCCCCCAACCCCAAGGGGTGAGAACTAGACTCAGGAGGAGACTCAGGGCTTGGGGGCTGCAGGGATGGCTGCCTGGAGCTGAGCCTGCAAAGCTGGAACAGGGAGGAAGGGTAACTGAGCAGAGGGAACAGCAGAGGCAAAAGCTACGAGACGAGGAAATGCAAGTTGTTCCCTGGGTTTGGGCCGAGGGCCAGGGGGCGGGGGCGGGTGGCACTGATGGATGTGCCACCCACCCCCATCCGGGCCATCCTGTCTGGATCCGGGACCCTGCCCTCGCCCCTCCCTCCCTCCGTCAGACCGGCCCTGCACTCCACAGACATTGTATGTCTTGCTGCTGCCCAGAGCCCGAAAGTCCCTGCCCACCTCCCCGTCTCCGCCACTCCTGGTTGTCCCTCCAAGCGCCTGTTGGTTTCTGGGCCTGTTTCCTGGCTGTGTCCTCTCCTGGAACAACTTTCCTCTCTTTGTACCTGGCTGTCTTCTCTTCCTCATCCTTCCACCCTCAGCTTGGGGGCCACCTCCTCCGGGGAGCCTTCCTTGCTTTGTTTGTTTGTTTGTTTGTTTGTTTGTTTGTTTGTTTGTTTCCAGAGACAGAGTTTCGCTCTTGTTGCCCAGGCTGGAGTGCAATGGTGCCATCTTGGCTCACTGCAATCTTTGCCCCCTGGGTTCAAGCAATTTTCCTGCCTCAGTCTCCTGAGAAGCTGGAATTACAGGTGCCTGCCACCACGCCCAGCTAATTTTTTGTGTTTTTATTAGAGACGGGGTTTCACCATGTTGGCCAGGCTGGTCTTGAACTTCTCTGACCTCAGGTGATCCACCCCCCTTGGCCTCCCAAAGTTCTGGGATTCCAGGTGTGGGCCACTGTGCCCGGCCTTGGTCGGCAGTTTTCTAACAGCTGGGGGTGGCTGCGTGTGAGACAGGAGAGGGTGAGCAGGAGGTGCTGGGATCAGAAGAGGCTCAGCAAAGGTTGGCCCCACACCCAGCCCCCTTGTCCTTTTCAGGCATAGAGAAGATACAAAATCCAGAACCATGCAAGGAGAAAATTCTTCAAATTTGACCACACAGGCCAGACACGGCAGCTCATGTCTGTATTCCCAGCACTTTGGGAGGCCAAGGCGGCGGGATCACTTGAGGCCAGGAGGTTGAGGCCAACCTTGGCAACATAGCGAGACCACCATCTCTACAAAAAAAATACAAAAATTAGGCCGGGCCTGGTGGCATGTGCCTGTAGTCCCGGCTACTCTGGAGGCTGAGGCAGGAGGATCACCTGAGTCTGGGGAGGTTGAGGCTGCATTGAGCCATGGTTGTGTGACTGCACTCCAGCCTGGGCAACAGAACGAGACTCAGACTCAAAAAAAAAAATGTTTTTTAGGCTGGGTATGATGGCTCACGCCTGTTATCCTAGCGCTTTGGGAGGCCGAGGTGGGCAGATCACTTGAGATCAGGAGTTCGAGATCAGCCTGGCCAACATGATGAAATCCACTCTGTACTAAAAATACAAAAATTAGCCGAGCACAGAGGCAGGCGCCTGTAATCCGAGCTACTTGGAGGCTGAGGCAGGAGAATTACTTGAACCTGGAAGGAAGAGGTTGCAGTGAGCCGAGATCATGCCACTGCATTCCAGCCTGGGACACAAGAATGAGACTCTGACTCAAAAAAAAAAAAAAAAAAGTTTTTCGACTACATAAAAATTAAACACTTTTGTGTGGTCACAGACTCACAATGAAGTTAGATGAGATGAGAAAGCTAGGGAGAAACTATTTGCAACATCATAACAGACAAAGGGTTTGGGCTCTTCGTATACAAAGAGTTCCAACAAATCAATAAGGAAAAAACTCAAAAAAAAAAAGAAACCATGCAAAGAAATGAGTGATTAATTCATACAGGAAAAAATTAAAATGGCCACTGGATACACAGACGAATAAAAAACCTAAAGTCACTCTTGGTGAAAAAGATACAAATGGGCCGGGCGCGGTGGCTCATGCCTGTATAATCCTCGCACTTTGGGAGGCTGAGGCGGGCAGATCACGAGGTCAGGAGATCGAGACCATCCTGTCTGATATGGTGAATCCCCATCTCTACTAAAAATACAAAAAATCAGCCAGGCGTGGTGGCGGGCACCTGTAGTCCCAGCTACTCGGGAGGCTGAGGCAGGAGAATGGCGTGAACCCGGGAGGCGGAGCTTGCAGTGAGCCGAGATGGCGCCACTGCACTCCAGCCTGGGTGACAGAGCAAGACTCTGTCTCAAAAAAAAAAAAAAAAAACCAAACTAATAAATCTAATAAAAATGGTGGCATGACCACTGCTCACCCATGCCAAGGCCGTTTTTTAAAAACAAGACAAAACGTGACGGCATGAGCAGGGCTGTGCATTAGAACGTGGTTTGTGGCACAGAACACTTGATTTGAAAACTGCCCAAGTGTCCAACAACAAGGGCTGTAGAAGAAGATTCTGTCATGGCTGCACTAGGAACCCGACTGTTGACCGTCCAGCAAGTCAGGTTCCCGTGCCTGCTTGGAGCCAAGAGACGCCTGAGGCCGCCTCTCTGGGGGAATGAAATACAAGTTAAAGACCCGCCATGCCACTTTTGGTTGAAGCTTTTGTAAAGGAAAAAAGCATATTGAAAAAGTGCAGGAGGAAATGCCCCAAGGGCTTGGTGGTTACTCTGGGGGTGGGGGACACTTTCAGTTCTTACTTTATCTTTTTTTTTTTTTTTTTTTTCACTCTGTCGCCCAGGCTGGAGTGCGGTGGCGCGATCTCGGCTCACTGCAAGCTCCGCCTCCCGGGTTCACGCCATTCTCCTGCCTCAGCCTCCCGAGTGGCTGGGACTACAGGTGCCCGCCACCATGCCCGGCTAATTTTTTGTATTTTTAGTACAGACGGGGTTTCACCGAGTTAGCCAGGATGGTCTCCATCTGCTGACCTCGTGATCCACCCGCCTTGGCCTCCTAAAGTGCTGGGATTACAGGCGTGAGCCACTGCGCCCGGCCCTTACTTTATCTTTTGAAGAGGCAGGATTAGCTTGAGAGTTTACATTGGACATTATTTTCTCTTTTCCTTGGTTGAAAATGTTTGTTTTGGGGGCCGGGAGTGGTGGTTCACGCCTGTAATCCCAGCCCTTCGGGAGGTCAAAGTGGGAGGATTGCTTGAGTCCAGGAGTTCGAGACCAGCCTGGGCAACATAGCAATACCCCATCTCTACCATAAATTAATAAATAAAATTAGCCAGGCATGGTGGTGTGCAACTGTAGTCCCAGCTACTAGGGAGGCTGAAGTGGGAGGATCCCTTGAGTCCAGGAGTTGGAGGCTGCAGTGAGCTATGATTGTGCCACTGCACTCCAGCCTGGGGGATAGACCGAGACCTTGCCTCTTAAAAAAAATTTCATTTTGACAATATGCATAAGGCCACATGCGTGAAGCTCAGTTGGAATGTCACTTGCAACATCATAAGAGGCAAAGGATTTGGGTTCTTCATATACAAAGAGTTCCAACAAATCAATAAGAAAAAACTCAAAAAGAAAACCATGTAAAGAAATGAATGATTAATTCATACAAGAAGAAATGCAAATGGCCACTGGATACAAGGCCACAGAATATTTGGAAGGTGAGGCTGACAGGAGAGCTGCTGTCCTGGAGACATTGAATAAATACTGCCAGGGGCCGGGCACGGTGGCTCACACCTGTCATCCCAGCACTTTGGGAGGACAAGGTGGGCCGATCATTTCAGGCCAGGAGTTTGAGATCAGCCTGGCCAGCATGGCGAAACCCCCCTCTGCTAAAAATACAAAAATTAGCCAGGCATGGTGGTGTGGGCACCTGTAGTCTCAGCTACTCAGGAAGCTGAGGTGGGAGAATCGTTTGAACCCAGGAGGCAGAGGCTGCAGTGAGCTGAGATTGTGCCACAGCACTCTAGCCTGTGTGACAGAGTGAGATTCCCTCTCAAAAAAAAAAAAAAAAAAAAAAGACTGCCAGCATCCACTTCATCTTCATGTTCTAAGATGATGGTTTATCTTTGTGTGTATTTTATGTTTTTTAGTTTTAATTTTTTTTTTTTAAGAGATGGGGTCTCAGCTGGGCGTGGTGGCTCACGCCTGTAATCACAGCACTTTGGGAGGCCGAGGCAGGTGGATCATAAGGTCAAGAGATCGAGAGCATCTTCGCCAACATGGTGAAACCTCGTCTCTACTAAAAATACAAAAAATTAGCCGGGCATGGTGGCGGGCGCCTGTAGTCCTAGCTACTCGGGAGGCTGAGGCAGGAGAATCGCTTGAACCCGGGAGGTGGAGGTTGCAGTGAGCTGAGATCGCGCCATTGCACTCCAGCCTGGGTGACAGAATGAGACTCCATCTCAAAAAAAAAAAAAAAAAATTAGCTGGGCGTGGTGGGCGGGGGTGGGGGGCGCCTGTAATCCCAGTTACTCAGGAGGCTGAGGTAGCAGAATCGCTTGAAACTGGAAGGCAGAGGTTGCAGTGAGCGGAGATTGCGCCACTGCACTCCAGCCTGGGCAACAGAGTGAAACTGTGTCTCAAAAAAAAAAAAAAAAAAAAAAAAAAAAGATGGGGTCTTACTCTGTTACCCAGGCTGGAGTGTAGTAGCACGATCATGGCTCACTGTAGCCTCAAACTCCTGGGATCAAGCCATCCTCCATCCTTAGCCTCCCAAGTAGCTGGGACTGCAGGCATGTACCACCACACCTGGCTAATTTTTCTTTATTTTGTTTGTAGAGACGGGATCTTGCTATGTTGCCCAGGCTGGTCTCCAACCTCTGGACTCAAGCCATCCTCTCATTTTGGCCTTCCAAAGTGTTGGGATTACAGGCATGAGCCACCATGCCCGGACCCCCGCCACCCCGCTTTTTTTTTTTTTGAGACGGAGTTTTGCTCTTGTTGCCCAGGCTGGAGTGCAATGGCGTGATCTCAGCTCACTGCAACCTCCACCTCCCGGGTTCAATCGATTCTCCTGCCTCAGCCTCCCTGGTAGCTGAGATTGCAGGCGCCCACCACCACGCCCAGCTAATTTTGTATTTTTAGTAGAGACGGGGTTTCTCCATGTTGGTCAGGCTGGTCTCGAACTCCCAACCTCAGGTGATCAGCCCCACCTCGGCCTCCGAAAGTGCTGGGATTACAGGCATGAGCCACTGTGCCCTGGTCCCGGCCGCTTTTTAAAATTAAAGAATGTTTAGTTTTTCACCTCACCATAGATGCTGCATGACTGAGATTGCAGAACCACAGAACGGGCGTGGGTGGGCTTCCACCGGGGCACCCCCTCCTCCTGCAGGATCCGCACTGCCCGGGCATTTCCCTGGGGGTGGGGAGGCCTCTTGCTGTCCCAGGGTTCCCTGGGGGAAACCCCTGGTGTCCTGGGGAGGCCCCACCAGGTTGATCGTGAGCTTGAGCTCAGGGCAAGGAGCACTGCTCAGCGAGTCCACTGTGGTTGTGGTCACACGATGGTGTGAGCTCTCATCTGTCAAAGGAGTTTAACAAGAGCACCCACCAGGGTGAGTTCAATCTGTCCATCGAACGCAACAGGCCCAGGCCCCGGAGGCTTTTAGGGCCCATGAAAATGTCTGTCTTCCTTCCTCCCTCCCTCCTTCCCTCCCTCTCTCCCTCCCTTCCTCCCTTCCTTCTTTTCTTTCTCTCTTTCTCTCTCTTTCTTTCTCTTCTTTCCCTTCCCTCCCTCCCCTCCCCCCTCCCCTCCCCTCCCTCCCTCTCTCTCTGTCTCTTTTTCTTTCTTTCTTTCTTTCTTCCTTTGTTGCAGAGTCTTGCTCTGTTACCCAGGCTGCAGTGTGATGGCACAATCTCGGCTCGCTGCAAACTCTGCCTCCCAGGTTCAAGCAATTCTTCTGCCTCAGCTTCCCAAGTAGCTGAGATTACAGGTGCCCACTACCATGCCTGGCTAATTTTTGTATTTTTACTAGAGATGGGGTTTCACCATGTTGGTCAGGCTGGTCTCAAACCCCTGACCTCAGGTGATCCACCTGCTTCAGCCTCTCAAAGTGCTGGGATTACAGGCATGAACCACCATATCTGGCCAAAAATGTTTTAATTTCTTTTAAAATCAGGGCCGGGCACTGTGTGGCTCACACCTGTAATCCTAACACTTTGGGAGGCTGAGGCGGGAAGATCGCTTGAGCCCAGGAGTTTGAGACCAGCCTGGGCAATACAGCGAGACCTCGTCTCAAAAAAAAACAAAAACAGAAACAAAAAAACAAAAAGCCAGGCGTGGTGGCAGGCACCTGTATTCCAGCTACTGGAGAGGCTCAGACAGGAGGATGGTTTGAGCCCAAGAGGTTGAGGCTGCAGTGACCCAAGTTTGTGTCACTGCACTGCAGGATGGGAGACAGAGTGACACCCTGTCTCAGGAAGAAAAAAAAATTTAATCAGAAGAAAAATGATGAATAATAATTGTTTTCCGATGAACAATAATAATAACGAATTAAGGCCGGGCACAGTGGCTCTCACACCTGTAATCCCAGCGCTTTGGGAGGCCGAGGCGGACGGATCATGAGGTCAGGAGTTCAAGACCAGCCTGGCCAACATGGTGAAACCCCGTCTCTACTAAAAATACAAAAATTAGCTGGGTGTAGTGGTGGGTGCCTGTAATCCCAGCTACTAGGGAGGTTGAGGCAGGAGAATCGCTTGAACCTGGGAGGCAGAAGTTGCAGTGAGCCGAGATCGTGCCACTGCACTCCAGCCTAGGTGACAGAGTGAGACTCCGTCTCAAATAATAATAATAATAAATTAATAATAACAATTCTAGTCTCAATTTTACTTTTTTTTTTCAATAGAGGAAAGGACTCAGGATGGCAAAAGTGACTTGGTCCCAGACAGCCCTACAGGGCAGTCCTGCCCGGGAAGGAGCAGGTGCTCTCTGCTGCTGAGGCCCCTAGCAGAGGCTGGGCCTCTGGGTCTCCCAGCAGGTGGCAGGGGTGTGAGAAGGGGAGGCCCCTTTCCAGAGGCCAGGGACGGCCCCAAGGGCTGCCCGGGAGATACTGGGTCATGTGACCCCCCGGAGCCACCCCCTGAAGCTTGGTCTCAGGTTTTCTATTTGCTTCAGACTCTTGTTAGTCCCCCCCAGCTCCTGCTCCATCAGGCCTGGCCTCCTTATCACCCCGGCTGTCTGGGTGGGGGCATGGCCCCCTCGTAACCTCAGCTACCTGCAGGGCAGGGCAGAACCCCGGGTCTCCGGCCGGTCCGTGGCCGGTATGTACCTCACGCATACAGTCTGCACACTGGGCAGAGACAGACAAGAAATTCACCAGCCACTCCTCACTCCTGTCCTGACCCTGAACCTGACCCTGTCAGGGAGACCTGGGCTGAGACGGGATACAGAACTGGGTACAGGAGCCTGCAGCTAGGGCTGAGTCAGGGCAGGCCCAGGGGCACGGGAGGAATCCAGGGGACACAGCAAACTGGAGAGGGGCGGGAAGCATGTGCCCTGCACCTGGCCGGGCCCTACTTCTCCCTTCCTTCTCTTCCTCCTCTTCCTCCTCTTTTTTTTTTTTTTTTTTTTTTGAGAAGGAGTTTCACTCTTGTTGCCCAGGCTGGAGTGCAATGGCGTGATTTCAGCTCACCGCAGCCTCTGCCTCCCGGGTTCAAGCAATTCTCCTGCCTCAGTCTCCCGAGCAGCTGGGATTACAGGCACCTGCCACCACGCCCGGCTAATTTTGTATTTTTAGTAGAGACGGGGTTTCTCCATGTTGGTCAGGCTGGTCTCGAACTCCTGACCTCGGGTGATCTGCCCTCCTTGGCCTCCCAAAGTGCTGGGATTACAGGCGTGAGCCACCGCGCCCGGCCTCTCCTCCTCCTCCTTCTTCCTTCTTCTCCTTATTCGTTATTATTATTTTGAGACAAGTTCTTGCTCTGTCGCCCAGGCTGGAGTGCAGTGGCGCCATCTTAGCTCACTGCAAGCTCCGCCTCCCGGGTTCACGCCATTCTCCTGCCTCAGCCTCCCGAGTAGCTGGGACTACAGGCGCTCACCACCATGCCTGGCTAATTGTTTGTATTTTTAGTAGAGACGGGGTTTCACCGTGTTAGCCAGGATGGTCTCGATATCCTGACCTCGTGATCCACCTGTCTCGGCCTCCCAAAGTGCTGGGATTACAGGCGTGAGCCACTGCACCTGACCACACCCTGCTGATTTTTATTTTTTGTGTAGAGGGGGGTCTTGCTGTGTTGCCCAGGCTGGTCTCAAACTCCTGGCCTCAAGGAATCCTCCACTTCAGTCTCCCACAGCACTGGGATCCCAGGTGGGAACGCCCTGGCCTGGCTGACCCTGAACTTTTTTTTTTTTTTTTTTTTTGAGACGGAGTCTCGCTCTGTCGCCCAGGCTGGAGTGCAGCGGTGCCATCTTAGCTCACTGCAAGCTCCGCCTCCCGGGTTCATGCCATTCTCCTGCCTCAGCCTCCCGAGTAGCTGGGACTACAGGCGCCTGACACCACGCCTGGCTAATTTTTTGTATTTTTAGTAGAGATGGGGTTTCACCATGTTAGCCAGGATGGTCTCGATCTCCTGACCTCGTGATCTGCTCGCCTCGGCCTCCCAAAGTGCTGGGATTACAGGCGTGAGCCGCCGTGCCCGGCCGACCCTGAGCTTTATTTTGTCTCGGAGGACTCCACTGCCCTCCATGTCCGGCCTCCCGAGCCCCCTCTGCCCACCTCCCTCCAGCTGCGCTGGCCACCTCCTCGCTGCTGCTTGGACACCGTTTTCTCCCTGTGACCTCAGGGTCTGTGCCCAGGATGTCCCTCGGCCGGGAGCCGTTCCTCCCCACTCTCAGGCCCCTTTGCCGGTGTATCATCAGTTTATCGTTCCTCCCACTCTCAGGCCCCTGTTTCTCCCCCTTGCGCCTGTGGGGCTTGCCTGGCTCTGTAAGGGGAGCCCCGGGCCCAGCCTGGCCGCCCCACACCTCCAGCATCCATCTGGGGCCTGACACACAGTAGGTGCTCCATAAATGCACAGGCTAAGTTGGGGGGTTCCCCATCTTACAGGTGAGGAAACTGAGGCTCCGAAGAGGGCGGCCTGACAGGCATCTGGGAGCCCCGGCCCAGGCGAAGGTATTTCCTCCTGGCCCAGGGCGCCGTGGGGTCCCGGGGCAGCTGGTGGGGCCGCCAAAGGGTGGCCGTGTGTGTGGCGGTGGCAGCTGGGGCTCTGGCAGTGGGGGAGGGTGGGCGGGAGGCAGCAGCTGGTGGCTGGCCCCAGGCCAGCTGGAGCCTGTGCAGAGGGAGGGCGCTGGGTCGGCTCACGCTGCCTCTGGGTCCCCTTCTGAGTCCCCCTCAGCCTTTCTCGGTTGGTCTCCATCTCTGTCTTTGTCTCTCTGTCTCTGTCTCTTTCTGTCTGTTTCTCTCTGTCTTCTTTCTCTGTGCTCTCTCTGTGTCAGCCTCCCTGTCTCTGTCTCTTTCTCTTCCCCATCTCTGTCTGTCTTTTTGTCTCTGTCTCTGTTTCTTTCTGTCTCTGCGTATCTCTTTCTGTCCCTCTGTCTCTGTCAGTCTCTCTGTGTCTGTGTGTGTCTCCATCTCTCTCTGTCTCCATCTCTCTCGTTGTCTCTCTGTTTCTCTTTATCTCTTTCTGTCTCTCTCTGCCTGTCTCTCTGCCTCTCTGTCTCTCTGTTTCTCTGCCTGTCTCTCTCTCTGCCTCTCTGTATCTCTATCTCTCTGTCTCTTTGTCTGTTTCTGTTCTTCTCTGTCTCCTTCTCTGCTTCTCTGTCTCCTTCTCTTTCTGTTCCTATCTCTTGTCTTTTTCTCTGTCTCTCTCTGCCTCTCTGTCTCCCTCTGTCTCTGCCTCTCTCTCCTTCCCCTTCACACTGGGGACTCCCCTGACTGGCCCGGACAGGGGCTGGTTACACTGCTGCACCCTCTCTTCCAGACCTCCCGCTCCACCCCACTCCCTGCTGCCTGCACCCCTGCGTCAGCCAGCACCTCTGTGCTGGCATGAAGGTCTCTACCCACCGGGAGGAGCCCAGGACCCTCTCACGGGCTGGGGACCCTGTGCGCATCGCTCCCCCTGTGAGCCTGCATTTCCCCACATGCAGGGTGTTTGCAGAGCCCTCTCAGAGCGGTGCTCTGGGGAACCACAGGGCAGAGGTCTCAGCCCGTCGGGGCTCCCAGCCAGATGGGGAAGGAGAATTTCGAAGGAATCGCCTTACAGGCATTTGAAACTCTGCAGGCAGAGGCCAGGGGAATCCCGGGTGGAGGAGCAGGCAGGGTGAGGGCCCTGAGAGTCCCTCCCCGGGTTAGGAGCAGGCAGGGTGAGGGCCCTGAGAGTCCCTCCCCGGGCCACCCCCAGCCACACTCCCCCGTCACACAGGGAACCTGGCCCAGTTGCCCGTACCCACTGGTCCTGGGGAGGGCAGCTGGGAGGGGCTGTGTGTGCACTAGGGGGGCGGAGCTGGGACTCCCCCCAAGGACCCTCCCTTCCGGGATCTACACCCCTGATCCCCCCTCGCCAGCACATCCACCCACCACCCTCGCAGACAATAGAATTCATCACTGTAGAAACATCCTCTGGGGCTGGGGCTTAATCAGTTCCTGATTTGCATTTTTGCATATTAATGACAGCAGAGCTGCTAATTTTGGCACATGATTTTAAAGGTGCAGTAGCTCTGAAACTACGGAGGCGGTGAGGGGGTGAGGACCGGGGCCTTCCTCACCTGGCCTGGGGGGTGCTGGCCCTCAGGTTACAGGTTACAGGGTCTCTGCCCTGGGAGCGGCCCCTGCCTCTGGGAGCTGCAGGGACCCTTGGGGATTATGGGGTCCCTGCCTCTGGGGCTCACAGGAATCACAGAGTCTCTGCCACTCTATCTTTCTTTCCTTCCCTTCCCTCCCTCCCCTCCCTCCTCTCTCTCTCTCTCTCTCTCTCTCTCTCTCTCTCTCTCTCGCTCTCTCTCTCTCGCTCTCTCTTTCCTTTCTTTCCTTCCCTTCCTTCCCTCCCTTCCCTCCCTCCCCTCTCTCTCTTTCCTTTCTTTCCTTTCCTTCCCTTCCTTCCCTCCCTCCCCTCCCTCCCCTCTCTCTCCTCTCTCTCCTCTCTCTCTCTCTCTCTTTCTTTCCTTTCTTTCCTTTCCTTCCTTTCCTTCCCTCCCTCCCCTCTCTCCTCTCTCTCTCTCTCGCTCTCTCTCTCTTTCCTTTCCTTCCTTTCCTTCCCTCCCTCCCCTCTCTCTCTCTCTCTTTCCTTTCCTTTCCTTCCTTTCCTCCCCTTCCTTCCCTCCCTCCCCTCTCTCTCTCTCTCTTTCCTTTCCTTCCCTTCCTTCCCTTCCTTCCCTCCCTTCCCTCGCTTCTCTCTCTCTCTCTCCTTCCCTTCCTTCCCTTCCCTCCCTCCCCCTTCTCTCTCTCTCTTTCTTTTCTTCCCTTCCTTCCCTCCCTCCCCTCTCTCTCTCTTTCCTTTCCTTCCTTTCCTTCCCTTCCTTCCCTCCCTTCCCCCCCCTTTCCTTTCCTTCCTTTCCTTCTCTTCCTTCCCTTCCTTCCCTCCCTTCCCTCCCTCCCCTCTCTCTCTCTCTTTCGTTCCTTTCCTTCCCTTCCTTCCCTCCCTTCCCTCCCTCGTCTCTCTCTCTCTCTCTCTCTCTTTCTTTCTTTCTTTCGCTCTTGTTGCCCAAGCTGGAGTGCAGTGGCACAATCTTGGCTCACTGCAACCTCCGCCTCCCGGGTTCAAGTGATTCTCCTGCCTCAGCCTCCCGAGTAGCTGGGATTACAGGTGTGCGCCACTATGCCCAGCTAATTTTTGTTTGTTTGTTTTTTGAGACGGAGTTTTGCTCAGTCGCCCAGGTTGGAGTGCAGTGGCGCGATCTCAGCTCACTGCAAGCTCTGCCTCCCGGGTTCACGCCATTCTCCTGCCTCAGCCTTGCGAGTAGCTGGGACTACAGGCGCCCACCACTATGCCTGGCTAATTTTTTGAATTTTTTTTTAGTAGAGACGGAGTTTCACCTTGTTAGCCAGGATGGTCTCGAACTCCTGACCTCAGGCGATCCGCCTGCCTCGGCCTCCCAAAGTGCTGGGATTATAGGTGTGAGCCACCGCGCCCGGCCCATGCCCGGCTAACTTTTTGTATTTTTAGTAGTTTCACCATGTTGGCAAGGCTGGTCTCGAACTCCCGACCTCAGGAGATCCGCCCACCTCGGCCTCCCAAAATGCTGGGATTACAGGCATGAGCCACCGCGCCCGGCCCACTCTTTTTCTTCTCTTTTGAGGCAGGATCTTGCTCTGTTACCCAAGCTGGAGTGCGGTGGTGCAATCATAGCTCACTGCAGCCTCCACCTCCTGGCTCAAGTGATCCTCCCACCTCCCACGTGGCTCGGACCACAGGCGTGTACCACCACACTAGCCTAATTATTTAAAATTTTGAGTTTGGGTGCCGTGGCTCACGCCTGTAATCCCAGCACTTCGGGAGGCAGAGGCTGGTGGGTCACTTGAGATCAGGAGTTGGAGACCAGCCTGACCAACATAGGGGAACCCCTTCTCTACTAAAAATACAAAAATTAGCTGGGCATGGTGGCACGTGCGTGTAATCCCAGCTACTCGGGAGGCTGAGGCAGGGAGAATCGCTTGAACCCAGGAAGCAGAGGTTGCAGTGAGCCAAGATCGCTACTGCACTCCAGTCTGGGCGACAGAGTGAAACTCCGTCTCAAAAATAAATAAATAAATACATTTTTGTAGGACAGGGGTCTTGCTATGTTTCTCAGGCTGGTCTCGAACTCCTGGGCTTAAATGAGCCTTCTGCCTCAGCCACCTAAAGTGCTGGGATTACAAGTGTGAGCCATCACGCCCTGTCTTTGCCACTCTTGCATTTGGGCATCAACGCTGGCATTGGCCAGGGGAACTGGGATTCTGGAATTTTCTCCAATTGGCTCCATCCTGAGAATCCCATATTTGGAAAGCTGTGAATTCAAGTTCCGAGTATCTTAAAACCTTTGGATTTTACCCATCGAGGCTGAGGATAGTAAGAATATTTACCGGCCAAGAATATCACTTTAAAAAAAAATCAAAACAAACCTTTGTATTCTCTGTCCTAGGTAGACCCTAAATCCTGCCCTTGTCCTCACCTCCTGCGCTCAGATCGGAAACCTGGGACCTTTGCCTCCAAACCCCACCCCACAATCCCGCCCAGGCTCAGGACTCAGTTCCCTTCGCCCCCACCGCGCCCTCCCCCGGCCCTCTGCACCTGCCGCGTCCCGTACCCGGCCTGCTCTTCTTCACCATTGGTGCCTTTTCCTTCAACCCCACCTCCCCAGGGAAGCCCTCCTGGTGACTTCACCACGCCTGTGTGTTCAGTTATTCTCCCTCTCCCTGGGAGGTGGGGAAACCGAGGCATAGAGCGGCGAGGCTGGTGCTCACGGCCCCCCGGGGTCCTCCCCAGACCCCTCCCCTCCCTGTGGTCCGGGGGTGCATGGGGTGGGGCGCGGGGGCCTCGCTGGTCCTGGGGTTCAGTCGGGCGCGCGTGCTGCCACCTGGTGGCCAATGGGGCAAGGCCGCGGGTCCTCCCCGGGCGTCGGGGCCCCCACCCCACGGAGCCCACCCTGCGCTGGGGGAGGTGGGCTCAGGAAAGCCGCGGCCCCCGCTCGGGACGCCAGGGGTGGGGGACACGGAGCTTCGCCAGACTCCCCCAAACTCGGGCGCGTCATGGGAAGAATGGAGGGAGCTGGATGATGGGGGTCCTGCGGGCTGCCTTCCCTGGGTCTTCTGGTGTTGTCCCCGTCCCGTCCCCTTCTTACCCCTGCGTGACGCCCAGACCGAGGGAGGTGGGACTGGGACCCCCTTCCAGGGACAGAGCTGCAGCGGGTCTGGCGTCCACCAGGGCGCGCCCGCAGCCCAGAAACCCGCGGGCGCTCCCCACGTGCGCGCTCACACGTGCATCCGCGGCTACCCCAGTGCCTCGCGGCTCGGGCTTTTTTTAATTTTTATTTTATTTTTATTTTTTTGAGACGGAGTCTCGCTCTGTCACTCAGGCTGGGGTGCAGTGGCGCGATCTCGGCTCACGGCAACCTCCACCTCCCTGGTTCAAACGATTCTCCTGCCTCAGCCTCCAGAGTAGCTGGGACTACAGGCACGTGCCACCACGCCCAGCTAATTTTTGTATTTTTAGTAGAGCTAGGGTTTCACCATGTTGGTCAGGCTGGTCCCCAACTCCTGACCTTGTCATCCGCCCACCTCGGCCTCCCAAGGTGCTGGGATGACAGGCATGAGCCACCGCGCCTGGCCGGCTCAGGCATTTTGACCCGAGGCACACGTGGTCCTGTGTGGTTGGTGTGTTTCTGAATGAACAGTGTTCACGTAGATTCAGGTGTGCCACACGTGATGTATACGGGGCATGCTTATGCGTGTTCTCGCATGCTCGTGTGCATTCTAGCATGTGTGCTCACTCCTATACACAGGTTTGCATGCGTGTGCTGGCATGTCCGTGTGGGTGCACACAGAGGCTGTGACATGTTCGCTCGTTGCCACGAGCTCAGGTGTGTTTGTACATGGTCAGTCCCGTTTATACATGTGCACGCATGGGCACGTATGTGCCAGGAAGGTTCACACATACACCTTCTCATGTGCGGCCTGCTGTATCTGCACATGTGTGTCCTGGTAAACGCGTGTGTTTGCGTGTTCTGGTGTGCTTGCGCATGTTTGTGTGTGTGCATGTGGGCGCACTCACAGCCACAGCCCATGCTGGCGTCCCTGAGTGCAATGGCCCCTTATGGACTGGGTCCTACAGGACACCCCTGAGTCAGGCCCCACATACCCCAGGGCCCTCCCACAGCTCCACTGCCCCAAACCCCCTGGCCCTGTGAGCCGATCCCTGCAGCCAAAGGGTCCAGGTCGCCCCCAGTCAGCCTCTCCCTGGTCTGCCCCAACCCCCAGCTCTCCACTCGATCTCCCCCACTTCAGTGGCTGCAGCCTCCTGCACCCGCACCCTCTTCCTGCTGTGGTGGCTTCTGGGTCCGGTCCCCAGTCAGCCCCAGCTGCTGCCTGTGCCCCCAAGAGATGCAGAGCTCTTAGGAGGCAGGGCCGTGTCTGGGGTCCACGGCTGCACCCTGATCTCTGGTATCCAGCCGGCACGCGGTAACCAGGTCAGAAGCCTAACCGTCCTTCAGCCGGGCCCAGCAGCTCCCGTCGCTATGGGAAATCCATGCTCAGCTCCCACAAACCCAGCAGTCACCAGCTGGCCTCAGCCAGAGGTTCCCCTGTCACAGAGCCTGCCAAGCAGAGACCCTCCTGACACTCACTCACCCCTTCCTCTCCAGTGGTGGGGCTGGATGAGCGGGCCGCCTCCCTCCTCTTTACCGTTCCCTCTCCACCTGGCAAACTCCTATTCATCCTGTGGGGCCCTGGAACATGGGCCCCACTTCTAGGATACCTACCCCAGTCCTGGGGGTGAATGGACCAGAAGCTACCTTGGAGAGCAGACCAGGTGCCAGCTCCCAGGCTCCCAGCCCTCCTGGGTGAACTTGGGTGGTGGCAGCTGCGTCTCATTTCCAAGCCAAGCCTGTAGACAGGAGCCCAATGGCGGTTAGTCAATGGCAGACCGCCAGGGAGGGGTGAATGCTGGTTCCCAGGCTGTGTCAACATAGCCAACCAGCTGCCCAGGAGGCTCTGATGTGAGGACCGTACCCACTGCTGGTGCCTCCCTCCCTCCCTCCCTCCCTCTCTGTCTCTCCCTCCCCTCTGTCCCTCCCTCCTTTCCTTCATCCCTCCCTCCCTCTGTCCCTCTGTCACTCCCTGGCCCTGGCCACCCACACAGCCCCCAAGGGCCATCTCCTTGGCAACAGTGGCCACAAGGTCGTCTGCTGGATCAATCTCCTCTCACCCCTGCAGCCCCGACCCCGGACCCGGAAGGTGACAAGGAAGTGGGGTCAGGCCTGGCTTCCCGGGAGGGACCCAGTGTGTGTAGGACAGGGGGGGTCCTTTGGCTGGAGCAGGGGTGGCAGGACTCAGATAGGGTGAGCCGGTCCCTGTTGAGAGGGTCAGCAGGGCCAAAGGTCCGGCGAGCCCTGGGCCACACACTGCGTGTGACCCTCCCTGGGCCTCAGTTTCCCTTGAGGCACAGCCTCTCTGATGTCTGGACTCCGGGTCCAGTCCAGGACAGTCCTTTGGAGAGCCCAGTGCGTGGGAGACACAGTCCCTGGGCTGACGGTGAGAAAGGACAACGCTGCCCTCATCCCAATTTACACGCCCCGAAGACACTGGCCTCAGGCCGCTGGGCCAGGCAGTGGTCAGGGCTGGGGACCAACCAGAAAAGAAGTCACTATTACTGGCCGGGCGCGGTGGCTCACGCTTGTAATCCCAGCACTTTGGGAGGCCGAGGCGGGCGGATCACGAGGTCAGGAGATCGAGACCACGGTGAAACCCCGTCTCTACTAAAAATACAAAAAACATTAGCCGGGCGTGGTGGCGGGCGCCTGTAGTCCCAGCTACTAGGGAGGCTGAGGCAGGAGAATGGCGTGAACCCGGGAGGCGGGGCTTGCAGTGAGCCGAGATGGCGCCACTGCACTCCAGCCTGGGCGACAGAGCGAGACTCCGTCTCAAAATAAATAAGTAAATAAATAAATAAATAAAGGTCACCACTATAGCTCCTGGGCAGTCCACCACTGCTGCTTCTAGAAGATTCCACCATTGCCATTTCTGGAAGCTTCCATCTTTGTCTCTCTGGGCAGCTCCGCATTCCAGTCACCAGGGCAGAAGGAAGAAGGTGCCCTGAGGTTTTTCCCTTTGGGGAACAGGTGGGCAGGCTAGGCAGGGAGAGGACCCTCCAAGCACACGGGAGAAGCTGGCCCCCCCTCCTCGGTGGGGCGCTGGGGACACCTCCTCGGGGCGGCACAGCCCGGGTGGGGCCACCAGGCGTCCCGCGGCAGGTCGGTGAGCCGGCCCGGGAGGACTGGCATGCTGAAGACGTTTGTATGGATTCTGGGGCAGGAGGGGCGGCAGGGTCTTGGGGGGCCAGAGGCGGGAGAGGGTGGGATCGCCTGCAGAACCTAGCTCAGGCTGCTCTCTTCCTTTCCCAAGCCTCAGTTTCCCCATCCGGGCAATGGGGGAAGACGCAGATAGGGAATAGATTTGCCCTTGGCCTCCGGGGACCTCGTTTTCCGGCTGCGGCACTGCAGCTCAGAGAGGTCAGGCTGCCTGCCTAGGGCCACACAGCCTGGAGGTGGGGGCCGGCCGGGGGGCGCAGACGCGCAAAGCCTGTCCCCACCTCACGGCCCCCTCCCCGCCGGCCCGGGCGGGGCTGCTGGCCCTTTAAGAGCCTCGTTTTGGCGCCGCCTCGGGGTTATCGATCGCAGCCTTGGAAACGCGATTAGATTATCCCGGCTGGGAACGGCAGCCTGGCGGGGGCCGCGCGGGGGAAGCGCGCCGCTTCTTGTAAACGGTTCCCCGAAGGGCGCTGGGCCAGGGGCCTGGGAGGGGGCTCGTTCCCGGTGGGGGGGGCGTCCCGGTGCGGCGCGGCCCAGCGCTCCCGGGAACGGGGGATGGGTAACTGGGGCCCCCATTTTGTGTTTTGGGTTTGGAAATTGAGGCGCAGAGAGGGGTGCGCCTTTCTGCGAGGCCGCATACCCAGGAAGACGGGTTTATTTGTTCAGCTGCATTTATTGAGCGCCTAGTGTGTGCCGCGCATGCGCGGGGCCTATTAATCCGATTAGCGTTTCGCATAAAAATAGAGTCGCGGATGATGATGATGGTGATAATGAATATCCGTGCTCCTGACTCGCTCCTGCCGTGCCACCAAGCCTTTATGTGCGTTGTCTCAGATCCTCACCCCAACACTTAGAGTGGCAGAGGCCCTGGTCCCATTATACAGATGGGGAAACTGAGGCCGGAGCTCAAACAAGCCAGAGGGGCCGAACCGGGACAGGCGGGCCCCCGGCTCGCTCCTGGGAGCCTCCCTAGTAGGGTCACCGTAGAAGGAAGGGAAGGGATGGGTTGTGGGGGGAGTTGGGGACCAGCCCCTCCATCCACTGTGACCCCTTCTGCATCCGCCAAGGCCTCTGGTAGGTGCCTGAGCTGAAGCAGATGAACCCTTGAGTGTGGGAGGAAAGGATGGGCCAGCGGATGGGTGGGGGCAGGAGGAGGCCCTTCCACCACCAACTTCTGACGCCTCAGCAGAAAGGCCCCGGGCCCATGAGCTTGAGTCGGGGGCTGGTGGGCAGTGGACAGGACCAGCTTCCCTTCCACTCCGCGGTCGTTTGCTCCCACATGTGACCCCATGCCCACGGGGGGCTGGAGGGTGGGCAAGCACGCATTCGTTGAACACCTGCTGTGTGCCAGGCCCTGAACCGTCCCCCTGCCAATTGTGGCACAGTAGGAGCTGGTTCCAATGCCCACCCACATTCACCCTGATGCACCCCCAGAGACCCAGTCCAGTGGTCCCACAGTCAACGTTTGTTGATTGACCAAATGACAGTATTTTGCAATAGCAGTAAATACAAACCACTTAGACTGGACTTCACTTGGGTCTCAATGACCCTTCCTGCCCCATCGTCCCTGAAAACCTCTATCCTTCCATCGTTCCTAACATTATGGAGCACCGACTGTATGCCCCAACTACCTTCTTCATCCTCTCAGCAGCCTGTGAGGCAGGAAATATGACTGGCCTAGTCTACAGAGGGGGAAACTGAGGATCTGGGGGGTGGAGGGCCTTGTCTGAGGCCGCAGAGCCCAGAAGATGAGATTGTAAACCCAGACCCAACTGTGTCTTTTTTTTTTTTTTTCTCAGACAGAGTCTTGGTCTGTTGCCCAGGCTGGAGTGCAGTGGCATGATCTCAGCTCTCTGCAACCTCCATCTCCTGGGTTCAAGCGATTCTCCTGCCTCAGCCTCCTGAGTAGCTGGGACTACAGGCACCCGCCTCCACACCCGGCTAGTTTTTGTATTTTTAGTAGAGAGGGGGGGTTTCACCATGTTGGCCAGGCTTGTCTCGAACTCCTGACCTCAGGTGATCTGCCCGCCTCAGCCTCCCAAAGTGCTGGGATGACAGGTGTGAGCCACCCCTCCCAGCCAGGCCCATCTGTGTCTGAACCTTAGGTTGTTTCCTAGGAAAGGGGCCGGGGCTTGTACTTCTGAGGCTCTGAATGGGAGGAAACCGAGGCACAGAGCTTTCATGAGGAGACAGGAGGCCAAGACTCACCCTCCAGGTTGCAGGCAGAAGGAGGGGATGTGGCTGGCTTGAGCTACAACCACACGGTACCACCTGGGACCTCTTCAGTAGGGACCAGCTGGGCGAGGACCCCGCCATGGTGGGGAGGACAGGAGAGGAGGGAGCTCAGGAGAGGAATGTCAGGGAGGTCACACTTAGGGGTCGAGGCAGGTGATTCCTTCTGCTGGAGAGGGTTGCCAGGGTGTCTCAGCCTCTGGGCAGGGCCAGAGCAGGGATGGGGGGCCCACCCGTGTCCCCCCAGAGTCTCCCCTGCAGCCCCCCAATGCCGGACATCCAGAAGGGCGAGCCTGTGTCTCTCTCCTCTGTCTCTCTCCTTCTCTCTCTCTTCATCTCTCTTTTTCCATCTCTGCCACTGTCTCCCTCTCTATCTCTCTCTTTCCTTCTCTCCATCTCCATCTCTTTCTGTCTCTCTCCATGTCTCTGTCTCTTACTCTTTCTTAATCTTTGCCTCTTTCTCTCCATCACTGTCTCCATCTCTGTCTCTCTCTGTCTCTATTCCATCTCTGCCACTGTCTCTCCCTCTCTCCCTTTTTGTCTCTCTCCATCTTCATCTCTCTCCATCTCTGTCTCTCTGTCTCTCTCTCTCTCCCTTTGTGTCTCTCTCTCCATCTTCACCTCTCTCCATCTCTGTCTCTCTGTCTCTCTCTCTCTCCCTTTGTGTCTCTCTCTCCATCTTCACCTCTCTCCATCTCTGTCTCTCTGTGTCTCTCTCTTCCATCTCTGCCACTGTCTCTGTCTCCCTCTCCCTTTGTGTCTCTCTCTTTCCATCTTTTCTGTCTCCCTATCTCCATGTCTCTGTCTCTTACTCTTTCTTCATCTCTATCTCTTCGACCCTCTCTCCTCGTCCCCCAGTCCCTCTCTCTGTCTCTGTCTCTCTCTTTGTCTCTCCATCTCTCTCCATGCTCCTATCTCTGTCTCTGGCCCTCTCCTCCCCCTGACTCCGGAGCCACATCTCTCCCCTTCCCAGCTCCCTGGCCCCCTCCCCACCCGCCTCAGGAGCCCTCAGCTGTGGTCTCTCCAAGTGCCCCCACTCCTGCCGGGAAGGGCCTCATGGGGCCCTGGTGGGCCTTGGTGCTGGACAGGTAGAGACTTGAGAAGCTCCTGGGTGCCCCAGCTCCACCCTGTCCCCTGACCCGAGCAGGCCGCATGGCCTTGGCCAGCCGCTGCCCTCTCTGAGCCCTGCCCTGCCCTTGAAATCTGGGAGGGTCGGTGTCTGGCTTGGTCCCCCCAGCCTAGGACTTCATAAAAGCCCAGCACCCATCGAAGGTGGACACCCTAGAGCTGGGAGAAGAGAATAAATGAGCCAACCAGGACCAGCCCCTCAGGCCTCACCTCACTTCTGCCAGATCCCCGCAGAGACCCCCCATCTTCTGGGGAAACTGAGGCACAGGCAGGGTACAGGTGCCGGAGGAGGGCTAAAGGCGGCTAAAGGCTCCCGCGCCCGGGCGTCCCTCTCGTTGTCTGCAGGGTGTGGAGATGCCTCAGGCCAGGGGCTGGGGCTGGGACCACCTCCCCCATGGCATCCCCCCAGGTGCTCCCATGCTGGTTCCTGGCCCTCTTTCCAGCCTTGATGAAGGCAGGCGCAGGAAGGGGCTCGGCCTGCACGTCCCTGCCAGGAGCATCGTCATGAGCGTGAAGGGGGCAGGCGCCTGGTCAGGGTCACTTCCCGCTGGACAGATGGGGAAACTGAGGCCGGGGTCTGTAGGAGGCTTTGGTCCTATCCACTCCTCAACGCACTTCCCTAAAGCCAACTCCATGCCCGACCCAGCAGTGATCCGGCCAGGTCCTGTCCTGCCCTCCCAGGCTTCAGGGCAAAGAAGGAGGTTCATTCTGGCCAGGCGTGGTGGCTCATGCCTGTAATCCCAGCACTTTGGGAGGCCGAGGTGGGCGGATCATGAGGTCACGAGATCGAGACTATCCTGGCTAATACGGTGAAACCCCATCTCTACTGAAAATACAAAAAATTAGCCGGGCGTGGTGGCGGGTGCCTGTAGTCCCAGCTACTCAGGAGGCTGAGGCAGAATGGTGTGAACCCAGGAGGTGGAGCTTGCAGTGAGCCGAGATCATGCCAGTGCACCCCAAAAAAAAAGGAGGTGCATTCAACAAAAGGACCCCTAAATACAGCAGTATAGCCCAGGGTGGGGCCGGCAGGCAGAGAAGCGACCCCCCGGGGCAGCTGCCAAGGGCCCAACACGGGCTGGGGTCAGGGAGGGCTTCCTGGAGGAGGGGACACTTGAGCTGTGGCCTGAGGTGAGCAGGAGCTCAGAGAGTAGACAGCACTTCTGGTACAGGAAGGAGGAGGACAGCGCCCTGAGGCCGGAACCAGGCTGTGGGGAAGCAAGACCGGACACTGGAGCTGGAGGCTGGGCCATGCAGGGTCCCGTGGGCTGCGTTGAGGACGTGGGTCTTTTTCTGGGGTGCACTGGGAGCCACAGGAGGCTGTTGTGAACAGAGTCATGTTTCCTTGTTTCTTTTTCCCTTCTTTTTTTTTTTTTTAGAGATAGGATTTTGCAAATTAGCCGGGCATGGTGGCGCGTGCCTGTAAGCCCAGCTACTAAGGAGGCTGAGGCAGGAGAATCACTTCAACCTGGGAAGTGGAGGTTGCAGTGAGCCGAGATCACGCCGTTGCACTCCAGCCTGGGCAACAGAGAAAGACTCAGTCTAAAAAAAATTTAAAAAAAAAAAAAAAAAAGAGAGAGAGAGATGGGGTCTTCCTATGTTGCCCAGACTGGTCTTGAACTCCTGGACTCAAGTGATCCTCCCGTCTTGGCCTCCCAAAGCTCTGGGCACTCTTGTCACCCAGGCTGGAGTGCAATGGTGCAGCCTTGGCTCACTACATCCTCTGCCTCCCAGGTTCAAGCAGTTCTCCTGCCTCAGCCTCTTGAGTAGCTAGGATTACAGGCATGCGCCACCACGCCTGGCTAATTTTTGTATCTTTAGTAGAGATGGGGGTTTCACCATGTTGGTCAGGCTGGTCTCGAACTCCTGACCTCAGGTGATCCTCCTGCCTCAGCCTCCCAAAGTGCTGGGAGTACAGGCGTGAGCCACCGCACCCGGGCCTAAAGTCATGTTTTTTAAGCCACCAGCCCTGGTGGCTTCCAGGGAAGGGCTGTTGGAGGCAGATGGGGAGGCTGGAAGGCTGGGTTGAGGCTGAGTCAAGTCCACGCAGATGGTCTCTGCCAGGCGACTGTGTCAGAGATGGAGAGACAGGGAGAGACAGGCAAGGTTTGCCTTCCTGCCCAGCTTCTGTGACCCAGGGGGCAGCTGGACGGCTGGGCAGGGGTCTGGGGACCAAGGGGTGCAGGGCAGTGGCCGTGGCCCTGCCGGCCCCTCCACAGCAGTAATTAAGGGCTCCCGGCGTCCCCGCGGCGTGATGTATGTGTACCTTAACTAATCATTTATTAGGTCACTGATGGTTCGTCAATATTAATTCATTTATTTAAACAACTCAGCTCTGTAATGAAGATGTTGTCTGAGAGGGGAGGCTAGTTGGTGGCGGGGCCAGGATGCAGAAAGGGGGCTCAGATTTGGGTCTTAGGGTGGCCTCAAGAAATGTCAGCTGGGCACGGTGGCACATGCCTGTAATCCCAGCACTTTGGGAGGTTGAGGCGGGAGGAGGACTTGAGCCTAGGAGTTTGAGAACAGTCTGTGCAACATTGAGACCACATCTCTACAAAAAAAAAAAAAGAAAAATTTAAATACAGGCCAGGCGCAGTGGCTTACTCCTATAATCCCAGCACTTTGGGAGGCCGAGGCGTGTGGATCACATGAAGCCAGGAGTTCAAGACCAGCCTGGTCAACATGGTGAAACCCCATCTCTACTAAAAATACAAAAATTAGCCAGGTGTGGTTGGCGTGCACCTGTAATCCCAGCTACTCGGGAGGCGGAGGCAGGAGAATCACTTGAACCCAGGAGGCGGAGGTTGCAGCGAGCTGAGATCACACCACTGCACTCCAGCCTGGGTGATAGAGCGAGACTCTGTCTCAAAAATTAAAAAAAATATATAAAATAAATTAAAAATACAAAAATTTTTTTTAGCTGGGTGTGGTAGTGTGTGCCTGTAGTCCCAGCTACTGGGGAGGCTGAGATGGAAGGATCACTTGAGCGTGGAGGTTGAGGCTGCAGTGAGCTATGATTGCACCACTGCACTCCAGCCTGGGCCACACAGCAAGACCCTGTATCAAAAAAAAAAAAAAAGGAATCATGCCTGTAATCCCAGCACTTTGGGAGGCCGAGGTGGGTAGATCACCTGAGGTTAGGAGCTCGAGACCAGCCTGGCCAACATGGCGAAACCCCATCTCTACTAAAAATACAAAAAATTAGCTGGGCAGGGTGGTGGGCTACTTGGGAGGCTGAGGCAGGAGAATTGCTTGAACCAGGGAGGCGGAGGTTGCAGTGAGCTGAGATCGTGCCACTGCACTCCAGCCTGGGCAACAGAGTGGGACTCTGTCTAAAAAATAAAATAAAATAAAATAAAATAAAATAATAATTAAATAATCAGATGACACCCCTACCCTGCTCAAGAATAGTCCATGGCTCCCCAGTGCCCTGAGGAGAAAACCCACACTCATCCGACCCTGGGTGACCTTTGCGGCTCCGTCTTCACTCACTCTCCACTCACTGTCTCCCTTTGCCCATTGCTACTGCTGGAAACTTCCCAGCTCCTTCCCGCCACATGGACTCTGCCCTTGCTGTGCCCTCGCCTGGGAGCCGCCGTCCCGCATCTCCTCCCGGCTCCTTCACTCCCTGGGGTCTCAGCGTCAGTGTCATCTCCCAGAAGCACCTTCTCCAATCTCCCCAGTCCCAGGGCCCCCAGCACCTCCCCGTCACCCATGATCCTGTTTGATTTCCCTCCGAGATCTTCTTGGTGATGTACGGGTTTAGCTGTTTATCGTCTGTTTTTCCTCCATCTTCACCTTGGTCTGTCCCAGAGAGTAGATGGCACTCAGCTGCTGCTGCCCCTCCACAGCAGACATTTCTGGGGCCCCGTATTTTGGCTCCTTGGCCCCCGTTGCTGGTTCCCTGCAGGCGCTGGGTGCCTCCTCCGGGTCTCCGGGTTTTTTGTTTCGTGTTTGTTTTGAGACGGAGTCTCGCTCTGTCACCCAGGCTGGAGTGCAGTGGCGCGATCTTGGCTCACTGTAAGCTCCGCCTCCCGGGTTCACACCATTCTCCTGCCTCAGCCTCCTGAGTAGCTGGGATTACAGGCACCTGCCACCACTCCTGGCTACTTTTTTGTATTTTTTGGTACAGACGGGGTTTCACCGTGTTAGCCAGGATGGTCTCGATCTCCTGATCTCGTGATCCACCCGCCTCGGCCTCCCAAAGTGCCGGGATTACAGGCGTGAGCCACCTATTTATTACATTTTTAATAGAGATGGGGTTCCACCATGTTGGCCAGGCCGGTCTCGAGCTCCTGACCTCAGGTGATCTGCCTGCCTTGGCCTCCCGAAGTGCTGGGAGCCACCACACCTGGCCACTGCCAATTTTATAGATGAGGAAACAGAGGGGCAGCAGTTAGCAGGCTTGCCCAGCAGGCACTAATAATAATAATAATAATAATAATAATAATAATAATAATAATAGGCAGGGTGCGGTGGCTCACGCCTGTAATCCCAGCACTTGAGGTCAGGAGTTTGAGACCAGCCTGGTCAACATGGTGAAACCCCGTCTCTACTAAAACACAAAAATTAGCCAGGAGGGATGGTGCACACCTGTAATCCCAGCTACTCGGGAGGCTGAGGCAGGAGAATCACTTGAACCCGGGAGGCAGAGGTTGCAGTGAGCTGAGATCACACCACTGCACTCCAGCCTGGGCAACAGAGTGAGACTCTGTCTCAATAATAATAATAATAGTAGTAATATTAATAATAAGGCTGGGTGTGGTGGCTCGCACTTGTAATCCCAGCAGTTTGGGGGGCTGAGGAAGGAGGATCGCTTGAGCCCAGGAGTTCGAGACCAGCCTGGACAACACAGGGAAACCCCTTGTCTCTACAAACAATACAACAAATTAGCCGGGCATGCATCTGAACTCCCAGCTACTCTGAGGCGGAAGGATCGCCTGAACCTGGGAGATTGAGGGTGCAGTGAGCTAAGATTGCACCACTGCACTCCAGCCTGGGCCACCAGAGTGAGACCCTGTCTCAAAATAATAACGATAATGGTAAAAACCCTTACTACACGGCTGTCATGCGAACTGTGTCAGCTGTTCGTTCATTCATTCATTCATTCATTCACTCGGACACCCAGGTGTCTGAATCTCTTTGTGCTCAGACCCCACCCTGGAGGATTTGGAGCCTGAGTGGGTGCATCCCGGGCATGGTCTGGACAGAGCTGGACACCGGCATTCCCGGCTCTGTGCAGTCAGGGTGGGATCAGAGGGAGAGACCTGAGATTGGGGAATAGGGGCAGAGGGGCTGAGGGCTGGGCCTGGGGGGGATGGGAGGGCTGCAGGGAGTGGGGCTTGGAGGATGAGTGGGGGACATCGGCTAAGGGAAGCAGGAAGGGACCCCTGGCAGAGACCGGCACGTGCAAAGGCTCGGAGATGTGAAGGGGCAGCCCTAGAGACTCCTCCGGGCTGGAGTGCAGCGGTGCCGTCTCAGCTCACTGCAGCCTCCACCTCCCGGACTCAGCCTCCCGAGTAGCTGGAACTACAGGTGCCACCATAGCAGGGCAATATCTTAACTTTTTTGTGGAGATGGGGTCTCACCATGTTGCCCAGGCTGGACTTGAGCTCCTGGCCTCAAGTGATAGTCCCGCCTCGGTCTCCCAAAGTTCCAGTTAGGGATTCTGATCTGGGGAGGGCACTGGGGAGCCACGCAGGGTCTCAAGCAGGGGGAGGGATGTGTCCCAACTGGCCTTCAAGAGTGATCGCTGCACTCTGAGTACAAGTGGGAGCATTCGAAGTTCCATTAGCAAGCTCCGGTTTGGCAAGCATGGATTGAGCACCTACTGTGTGCCCGTCTTTGGCCTCAGCCTTAGAGGCCAGATCACACGAAGGCTTGTGGGCACGCAGTTGGGGGCCAGCCCCACAGGCGAGTCCAGGCTTTCAAATCAGGAATCCCCCTGCCCTGTCTGCACTGGTGGAAACTGCTGAAGCCGTCAGGAGCTGGGAGCCGGCTCTTGGTGGCTTGATAGTGTGCGATGGGCCAGTGTAGGCTCCATCCCAGGCTGGACACCGGTCAGTCCCCAGAGGAAGTATCGCCGAGTCTGGGGGTGGCCCTGGCGCACGTGCAGAACCTCTCAGCCACTCTGATGGTGCTTAAGGCAGGCGGTCAGGGTATTCAAGTTAACTTCCTCTTAAACAGACTTAATTAGTGTTCTCCAGTCCCACATAAATTAATCGTGGCCGGCCACGGAGGCTGAAACACCCGATCGATGGGGTGGCTCGGCGACGGCCAGGAATTCTCCGTCTCATCCGTCACCACAGCACCGGCTGATAACGGCTCACGGCTTTATCTTCTCCAACCTGGCATGACCAGCCGGGGGAAGGCGGCCAGAGGGGTCTGGGGGGGTGCTGGCTGCTCTCTGAGCCTCAGTTTCCACTTCTACAGGATGGGATCGTGCTCCCACAATAGCAGATTGGCAAAGGGGCTGGAAAACAGCTAATAATAACAACTTGGCCAGGCGCAGTGGCTCACACCTGTAATTCCAGCACTATGGGAGGCTGAAGTGGGAGAATCTCTTGAGCCCAGGAGTTGGAGACCAGCCTGGGCAACAGAGCAAAACCTGTTGCACAAAAAAATAAAAAAAATATTGGCCGGACGTGGTGGCTCACACCTGTAATCCCAGCACTTTGGGAGGCCGAGGCAGGCGGATCACAAGGTCAGGAGTTTGAGACCAGACTGACCAACATGGTGAAACCCTGTCTCTACTAAAAATACAAAAATTAGCCGGGTGTGGTGGTGCATGCCTGTAATCTCAGCTACTCAGGAGGCTGAGGCAGGAGAATCGCTTGAACCAGGGAGGCAGAGGTTGCAGTGAACCAAGATCACGCCATTGCACTTCAACCTGGGTGACAGAGTGAGACTCCATCTAAAAGTAAATAAATAAATAAAAACCAAAAAATATTTACCCAAACATGGTGGTACGTGCCTGTAGTCCCAGCTACCCAGGAGTCTAAGGTGGGAAGATCACTTGAGGCCAGGAGTTTGAGACCAGCCTGGACAACATAGCAAGACCCCACCTCTACAAAAAAATTAAAAAATAATTAGCAGAATTTGGTGGTGCATGCCTGTAGTCCCAGCTACTCTGGAGGCTGAGGTTGGAGGACTGCTTGAGCCCAGGAGATAGTGACTGCAGTGAGCCGTGATCGCACCACTGCACTACAGCCTGGGCGACAGAGTGAGACTGTCTCTCAAAAACAAAACAAACAAACAAGAAAAATAGTGTAACAACCACCGCATAGGGTCATGTGGCTGACCCCAGTGCTAAGCATCATCTAATTTATTTTAACTAATTAATTAATGATTTATTTATTTGAGACGAGTTTCACTGTTGTTGCCCAGGCTGGAGTGCAATGGAGCCATCTCAGCTTAGAACAACCTCCGCCTCCCGGGTTCAAGCAATGCTCCTGCCTCAACCTCCTGAGTAGCTGCAACTACAGGCATGAGCCACCACGCCCAGCTAATTTTTATATTTTTTGGTAGAGACGAGGTTTCACCATGTTGTCCAGGCTGGTCTCCAACTCTTGGCCTTAAGTGATCCGTCCACCTCGGCCTCCCAGAGTGCTGGGATTCCAGGCGGGAGCCACCGCGCCTGGCCAGTATCATTTCCTTTAATCCCCACAAGAGGCCTGCAGGGCCCTCCATTCTTCTCTCCTTTTCCAGCGTTGAGTGACCCCTGTGAGGTCCCACCACCGGCAAATGGCTTTGTCTGGATTTGAATCCAGTGAGGAGCCCCAGAACCTCAGCCTCAAGGGTCTGGGATTTTGTGGATAAGGGCTGCAGTGGTAGAGACTGCATAGCTGCTATATCTCACCCGGCACGCAGGAGCGGCTGAGGCCACCCTAGAAGGCTCTGCACCCCAGTCTTCAGGCATCCATGGATTTGAAGGCGGGGCTAGGGGGGATTCCAGGAGGTGCCGGGTGCAGGCAGTTCACGGGGGACCCCTCCGGATGAGCCCAGCCAGGCTGATGTTCGTGCCCCTGGGGTCTGGAGGTCCTCCCTCCGAGTGGGACCGAAACCTACATTCGAGACTGTCTATACAAAGGTATTGCGAATCCCTGCTGCACACCAACCCCTGGGCTGGGGGCTTCGGGGGCTGTGGGCACGGTCGTCATCACAGTGGACATGACCTCTTTTCATGGAAGAGAAAAACCAATGAATGTCCAATGAGAAAACCACGGAGGGGGCCGGGCGCGGTGGCTCATGCCTGTAATCCCAGCACTTTGGAAGGCCGAGGTGGGTGGATCACCTGAGGTCAGGAATTCGAGACCAGCCTGCCCAACATTTTTGGTAGAGTAGTACCCTGTCTCTACTAAAATACAAAAAATTAGCCGGGCGTGGTCATGGGCGCCAGTAATCCCAGCTACTTGGGAGGCTGAGGCAGGAGAATCGCTTGAACCTGGGAGGCAGAGGTTGCAGTGAGCCGAGATCGCACCACTGCACTCCAGCCTGGGTGACAAGAGCAAAACTTCGTCACACACACACACACACACACACACACACACACACACACACACACAAGAAAACCACGGAGGGGTCAGAGAGGGCTTCCTGGAGGAGGGGGCGTAAGACCTGGAGGAAGAAGGGCCAAGAGGGAGGGGTGGCCAAGGGCCTATCATTGTCCCCAAGAGGAGAAGAAGAGTGGGGTTGCTATGAAGCAGTTCTAGAAAACCTATGATCAGGGATTATGCCTGTAATCCTAGCACTTTGTGAGGCCGAGGTGGGTGGATCACCTGAAGTCAGGAGTTCGAGACCAGCCTGGCCAACATGGTGAAACCCCGTCTCTACTAAAAATACAAAAATTAGCCGGGCGTGGTGGCGGGCGCCTGTAATCCCAACTACTTGGGAGGCTGAGGCAGGAGAATCGCTTGAACCCGGGAGGCTGAGGTTGCAGTGAGCTGAGATTGTGCCACGGCACTCCAGCATGGGCGACAGAGCCAGACTCTGTCTCAAAAAACACAAACAAAACAAGAGAAAACATGTGATCAGAAAAGCCCCCAAACCTGGAGCCACTCCGGAGCTGGGGGAGCCGAATGGGTGGGATGGATAGGGCGTGGCCGCATCGGAGGGCGACTGACGAGGGGGCGGGGCCAAGTGAGTGAGGCTTTTGTGGAGGGGCGGGGCCAAACGCGCTAACTGCATGTGGACGTCGTCTATAGGGGCCGGCTTTCCCAGGGGGCGTGGCCTGCGTGCGACAGGGCCAAGGTGGGGCCCAGGCAGGTTCTCCCCTCTTTGAGGACCAGGCCTAAAGCAGCAAAGACCCATCCACCCAAGGAGTTGTTGAGACCCCGTAGACCTTTGCTAGGTGTGGATGACCTCCAGCCCTGTGGGACCAGAATGGGGTGGGAGAGGGAGACCCGGAGCTGAGGAGGACCCGGAGGGTACCTCGGAAGCTCTGCCTGGGATCGGGGAGGGCTCCTGAAGGAGGCGGCTTTGAGGATACAGAGGACAGCCAGCTGACAAGACAGAGAGGGTGCATGTGCAAAGGCCTTGAGACACCAGCAGAGTAAAAGCCAGTTTGCCTGGAGCAGGGTGCATGGTGCGTGGAAGAGCCTGGGAGACCAGGTGGAGACGGGGACAGGGCGGGGATTTGTGCTTTCCGGAGAAGTGGAGAAGCCATGGGGGCTTCTGGCAGGTGGAGATGGGCAACGATGCAGTTCGTATAAAAATATAAAAATTAGGGCAGGGTGCGGTGGCTCACACCTATAATTCCGCACTTTGGGAGGCCGAGGCAGGTGGATCGCCTGAGGTCAGGGGTTTGAGACCAGCCTGGCCAACATGGTGAAACTCCAGACTTTGAAAAGTCCCTTCTGGCCGGGCGCGGTGGCTCACGCCTGTAATCTCAGTACTTTGGGAGGCTGAGGCAGGTGGATCAACTGAGGTCAGGGGTTTGAGACCCACCTGGCCAACATGGTGAAACCCTGTCTCTACTAAAAATACAAAAAATTAGCCAGGCGAGGTGGCAGGTGCCTGTAATCCCAGCTACTCGGGAGGGTGAGGCAGGAGAATCGCTTGAAGCCGGGAGGCAGATGTTGCAGTGAGCCGAGATCACGCCATTGCACTCCAGCCTGGGCGACAGAGCCAGACTCTGTCTCAAAAAAAAAAAAAAAAGTCATTTCTTGGACTACCTGGAGGGCAGGAGGGGAGACAAAAGGAGGTCTGGGAGCAACGTCCAGGCTGGGGGCAAGGGGTGCTGAGGACTGCGGAGGGCTGCAGAGGTGGGGAGAAGTCGCTAGATTAGAAACAGATTTTTTTTTTTTTTTGAGACAGGGTCTCACTCTGTCTCCCAGGCTGGAGTGCAGTGGCTCAAACACAGCTCACTGTGCCAGCCTCGGCCTCCTGGGCCCAAGTGATCCTCCCACCTCAGCCTCCAGAGGAGCTGGGACCACAGGTGCACACCGCCAGGTCTGATTTTTTTTTTTTTTTTTAAGGCAGAGCCTCATTCTGTCACCCAAGCTGGAGTGCGATGGCGCGATCTCGGCTCACTGCAACCTCTGCCTCCCGGGTTCAAGCGATTCTCCTGCCTCAGCCTCCTGAGTAGTTGGGATTACAGGCATGCACCACCATGCCCGGCTATTTTTTTTTTTTTTAGACGGAGTCTGGCTCTGTCACCAGGCTGGAGTGCAATGGCATGATCTCGGCTAACTGCGACCTCTGTCTCCAGGGTTCAAGCGATTCTCCTGCCTCAGCCTCCCAAGTAGCTGGGACTACAGGCATATGCCACCATGCCCAGCTAATTTTTTGTATCTTTAGTAGAGACGGGGTTTCACCATGTTGGCCAGGCTGGTCTTGAACTCCTGACCTTGTGATCCACCTGCCTCAGCCTCCCAAAGTGTTGGTACTACATGGTGAGCCACCATGCCCAGCCTAATTTTTGTATTTTTAGTAGAGTAGAGACTGGGTTTCTTTTTTTTTTTTTTTTTTTGAGACAAAGTCTCACTCTGTCGCCCAGGCTGAAATGCAGTGGCGCGATCTCGGCTCACTACAAGCTCCACCTCCCAGGTTCACGCCATTCTCCTGTCTCAGCCTCCGGAGTAGCTGGGACTACAGGCGCCCACCATCACGCCCGGCTAATTTTTTTTTATATTTTTAGTAAGACGGGGTTTCACCGTGTTAGCCAGGATGGTCTCGATCTCCTGACCTCGTGATCCGCCCGCCTCGGCCTCCCAAAGTGCTGGGATTACAGGCGTGAGCCACCGCGCCCGGCGAGACTGGGTTTCACCATGTTTGCCAGGATGGTCTCGAACTTCTGACCTCATGATCAGCCCGACTCGGTCTCCTAAAGTGTTGGGATTACAGGTGTGAGCCACCGCGCCCGGCCTGATTTTTTATTTTTTGTTAGAGACGGGGGTCTCTCTGTGTTGCTCAGGCTGATCTCAACCCCCTGGCCTCAAGCGATCCTCCCACCTCAGCCTCCCAACGTGCTGGGATTACAGGCGTGAGCCACTGCGCCCGACAGACAGTTGGCATTTCTTTCTGGAGCCGCCTGGTAGGAAGGAGGAGGTTGGCAGTTTGAGGACAATTTTGCATGAGTTTGGAAATTGGTGGTCTGGGGGAGGCTGAGGCCGGATTCCCTGTAAGCCTTCTAGAGGCAGCCGGACCCGAGTTCAGACCCTCTGTGGGCCTTGGGCAAGCTGCTTGGCTTCTCAGAGCCTCAGTTTCCCCATCTGTGAGACAGGTGATTTGCAGCGAGGGTGAAATGAGGTGGAGTTCCAAAGCAGCAAGTCAGAGGCTGGGTGGCAAGAACGAAATATACTCCGTGTCAAAGGAACCACTGCTGCAGTCCACACCCCCGCCCTGCTAGACCCTCAGCTCCTGCAGGGAGAGGCCGGCTGACTGCGTTCTGTGTCGCTTCTCCAGAGCCTGGATGTGGAAGGGAGGGAGGGAGGTCGCAAATGTCCCCTTCCCTCTAGGGGACCTGGCGTCACGCCCCATGAGAAAGCCGGCCACAGCAGGCCACGCCCAAACACAGGCCACGCCCACACAAGGCAGCGCCCCTCCACCAAAGCCACGCCCACCTGCCCCGCCCCTCGTCAGTTGCCTCCACATGAGGCCACGCCGCACCCACTCGGTTCCCCTCTCTGAACTCATGGGAATGACCCAAGCAGGTCTTGTCTTTGCGCCTCAGTTTCTCCAACACGGAAGTGGCCACAGCTGATTTCCGTGCCTCTGTCTGAGCTGGGAAACGACCCTCACCGGCTTGGAGGAAGCCTTGGTCCCCAGCCCGGCCCCCATCTCCGCGCCGGCTTGCACTCCCCAGGGACGGGGAGCTCACCCCCTCCCAGAGCCCTGGAGTGGAGGTTTGATGCCTGTCAGGCTGGGGCCCGGGGATGGGTCTGGGGGAGGCACTTCTGAGAAAAGGTGGAAACGGTTCTCAGAAACCCCGAAACCCTGAGGGACTCTTTTCCTTCTCAGAAATGCTCCCCCCGCCCCAGACTCGGGAAAACGCCTGTTCGAGAAAGCTGGGCTGGCTGTGGGCAAGAGGCTTGGACCGGCCCCTGTGGAGCCCCTGCTCCAGGCTGCTGGGAATGTCCCCCTTCTCCAGCTGTGACCTCCACCCCAGGCAAGTGTTTCCTGCCACCTGCCTGTCCCCAAGGGGTCCCCATGTTCCCCGCCTGCTGCCGTCCACCTGCCGTGTCCTCTGTCCCTCCCCACACGGGGCAGGGGGCCACTGTGACCTGAAGCCCGTCCTCCCCACCAGCTTGGCCATGCTAGACACAGGGGCCTCCCCAGAGTGTATCCTCCCCAAAACAGCCCAGGAACACACCACACCCCACCCCCGAATTTGCAGCCCTGGGGCGGGCTGTGGACTCACCAGCTGATGGCGGCCCCTGACGGTGGTCTCAGCCAGGGCCCTGCCGGGAAGAGAGAGACTCATCCTCAGTCAGGTGTTAATCCACCTGTGCCCCTCACTTGTCCCAGGTGCCCATGAGAAGGAAGGGGGCCGTGGGCAGCTGATGGCCAAAATGCAGGGGAGCCCCAGTGTCAGGGAGGGACACAGCACCTGCCCCGAAAATCCAGGCAGTCCTTCCGGAAGGAGCCGGAGCCTCTGTGTGTGGAGACGGGTGGGAGGTCCCCAGCCTGGCGCCCGGCTGCCCCTGTGCCTAGGGTGTCCTAGTTCAGAGGTCCCCACTGTCCCCGCTTTGGGGTCTCCCATAGGGTAACCCCCCCATGAAGGCCCTGCAACCCTCTCCCCTCCCCTGGTGTGTCCCCCCTCCTTCTGAAATCACTAATGGGTTACCTCCTCTAGCCTCCAAATTTCCCAGCCTCCAAATTGATTCTTCCAATATAGCATCCTGACAGGGCGCGGTGGCTCACGCCTGTAATCCCAGCACTTTGGGAGGCAGAGGCGGGCGGATCATCTGAAGTCAGGAGTTTGAGACTAGCCTGGCAAATATGCTGAAACCCCATCTCTGCTAAAAATACAAAATTTTGAGACGGGGGTCTCACTCTGTCGCCCACGCTGGAGTGCAATGGCACGATCTCGGCTCACTGCAACCTCCGCGTCCCGGGTTCAAGAGATTCTCCTGCCTCAGCCTCCTAAGTAGCTGAGATTACAGGCATGTGCCACCATACCCGGCTAATTTGGCATTTTTAGCAGAGATGGGGTTTCAGCATGTTTTCCAGGCTTGTCTCAAACTTCTGAATTCAGACGATCCGCCCACCTCGGTCTCCAAAGTGCTGGTATTACAGGTGTGAGCCACTGCACCTGGTCAGAATGCCTTATTGGAAGAATCAATCTTCTTTCTTTCTTTCTTTCTTTCTTTCTTTCTTTCTTTCTTTCTTTCTTTCTTTCTTTCTTTCTTTTTTTTTTGGGTTGGAGTCTCGCTCTTGTCGCCCAGGCTGGAGTGCAGTGGCACGATCTCAGCTCACTGCAACTTCTGCCTCCCAGGTTCAAGCAATTCTCCTGGCTCGGCCTCCTGAGTAGCTGGGATTACAGGCACCCACTGTCACACCCTACTAATTTTTGTATTTTTAGTAGAGATGGGGTTTCACCGCGTTGGCCAGGCTGGTCTGGAACTCCTGACCTCAAATGATCCTCTCGCCTTGGACTTCCAAAGTGCTGGGATAACAGGCGTGAGCCACCGCGCCCGGCAAGAAGAATCAATTTTCAGAATGTGGGTGTGTCAGACAGATGCAAGCAGAGTCCTGTCCTCCAGGTGGGGGTGCAGGCTGGGTGCCTGCCCTGCAGCTGCTGTAATAAATGACCTCAAATTTATTGGCTCGAAACTTCACAGATTTATGCTTTCATGGTTCAGGAGATAAGAAATCCTAAAATCAAGGCATGGGCAGGGCTGGTCCCTCCTGGAGGCTCCAGGGGAGAACCCATTTCCTGCCTTTCCCAGGGTCTAGAGGCGTCCGCATCCCTCATCTTAGGGCCCTTTCTCCCCCTTCACAGCCACAGTGCTGCCTTTTCCAGTCTCTCTCTGACTCCCCAGGCTGGGGTGCAGTGGCACCATCTCAGCTCACTGCAACCTCTGCCTCCCAGGTTCAAGCGATTCTCCTGGCTCAGCCTCCTGAGTAGCTGGGATTACAGGCACCTGCCACCACGCCCAGCTAATTTTGTATTTTTAGTAGAGACGGGGTTACACCATGTTGGCCAGGCTGGTCTCGAACTCCTGACCTCAAGTGATCCACCCACCTTGGCTTCCCAAAGTGCTGGGATCACAAGCATGAGCCACTGCTCCTGGCCCTCCCGCCGCCTCTTAAAAGAACCCTGTGAGGACATTGGGCATCCCCCAGATAATCCAGTATGATCTCCTATCCAAGGTCCTTCATTTAGTCCCATCTGCAGAGTCCCTTTAGGGATGTAAAGTGACCTATCCATAGGTTTCAGGGATTAGGATTCGGGGGTGCACATCTGTGGGGGGCCACTATTCAGCTCGCCCAGAGGACACTTCCCTACACAACTCCCCCATTCCTGACCCTACCTTGGAGCTGGGAGATGTTCACAGCCTCTGAGGCTGCCAGGAACACTGCAAACCCCCAGAGATTAGATGATCTCCAACATATTCCAACGATTTACTTGGCAAGCATTTGTTAAGTGCCTGCTGTCTACCAGGCCCATCTGGCTGGTCCGGCTTCATGGATGTGTAGCCCAGTGGTTCAGGGTTTCATGTTTGGCTTAATGCTCTGGTGTCTGTCACCATCTTGATGCTTTTGCTAATTTGATCTTTGAACTTGTGTGTGTGTGTGTGTGTGTGTGTGTGTGTGTGTGTGTTTGTTTGTTTTTAATGCAGTCTCGCTCTGTCACCCAGGCTGGAGTGCAGTGGTGTGATCTCAGCTTACTGTAATCTTTGCCTCCCAGGTTCAAGTGATTCTTCTGCCTCAGCCTCCTAAGTAGCTGGGATTACAGGTGTGAGCCACCACACCCGGCTAATTTTTTTGTATTTTTAGTAGAGATGGGGTTTCACCACATTGGCCAGGCTGGCCTCAAACTCCTGACCTCGTGATCTACCCACCTTGGCCACGCCCAGCCTGAACTTGTGTTTTATAAGTGAAGTCCAGTGGAACAGTGGAGCGAGCCTGTGAGCAAGGGAGGTCCTGAAAACGTGTGTGCTTAGCTATTCCATGTTGGTCTGTTTGCACCTAGTGGTCACTATGCCCAGGGGCACAGAGATCCAGGATCCCACAGCTCATGAGAGTTCAGCGAGACCCAAAACGAGTACCAGGTGAGTGTGTGAGAGAGTTGGTAGAATAGGCGTGCACGAAGAGGTAAAATAAAGGCTGGGCATGGTGGCTCATACCTGTAATCCCAGCGCTTTGGGAGGCCAAGGTGGGAGGATTGCTTGAGCCCAGGAGCTCAAGACTAGCCTGGAAAACATAGCAAGACCCCATCTCTAAAAAACAAAAAAATGAACAAACAATAAGCCGAGCATGGTGGTACATGCCTCCAGTCCCAGCTACTCTGAAGGCTGATGCTGGAGGGTTGCTTGAGCCCAGGAGGTTGAGGTGGCAGTGAGCTGTGATTGCACCACTGCATTCCCACCTTGGCAACAGAGTGAGATCCCATCTCCAAAAAAAAGAAAAGAAAAGGAAAGAAAAAGTGAAATAAAAACAGGTTAATTTTGTTCAGTGTTTCAGTTGTTCCCATCAGAACCAAACACATATGCTCATGCAATCTCCAAAACACAAATGGCCTAATTTAGGTGATTCTGTAGACAAGTCACATGTTCTTAAAGAACCATAGCCAATATTTCCAGACCAAATGATGAAATTCTTTCAATAGTTGTATTTAAACCTGGCATTACATAGCATAAAGATGAATGGTCAAATTCACAATAATAAATTAAATTTTAAAAATTTTAGGCTTAAAAAAATTTAAAAGTTTTTTAAAATTTAAAAATTAAAAAAATTTTAGGTGGTTCACGCCTTTGGGATCCCAGCACTTTGGGAATTCGAGGTGAGAGGATCATGCGAGCCCAGGAGTTTGAGACCTTCCTGGCTAACACAGTGAGACCCCATCTCTACAAAACAATGAAAACATCAGTCAAGTGTGGTGGATATGGCTTGGCTGTGTCCCCACCCAAATCTCATCTTGCATTGTAGCTCCCACAATTCCCACGTGTCGTGGGAGGAACCCTGTGGGAGGTGATTGAATTATGGGGGCGGGTCTTTTCTGCGCTGTTCTCGTGATAGTAAATGAGTCTCGCGAGATCTGATGGTTTAAAAACGGGCGTTTCCCTGCACAAGCTCTCTCTGCCTGCTGCCATCCATGTAAGGCATGACTTGCTCCTCCTTGCCTTCCACCATGATTGTGAGGCCTCCTCAGACGTGTGGAAGTGTGAGTCCATTAAACCTCTTTTTTTTTTCTTTTCTTTTCTTTTATTGAGGTGGAGTCTCGCTCTGTCACCCAGGCTGCAGTGCAGTGGCGTAATCTTGGCTTACTGTAACCTCTACCTCCTGGGTTCACACCATTCTCCTGCCTCAGCCTCCTGAGTAGCTGGGACTACAGGTGCACACCACCAGGCCCAGCTAATTTTTTGTATTTTTAGTAGAGATGGGGTTTCACCATGTTAGCCAGGATAGCCTCGATCTCCTGACTTCATGATCTTCCCACCTCAGCCTCCCAAAGTGCTGGGATTACAGGCGTGAGCCACTGTGCCCAGACCATTAAACCTCTTTTTCTTCCCAGTCTCAGGTACGTCTTTATCAGCAGCATGAAAACAGGCTAATACAGTGGTGGTGCATGCCTGTGGTGCCAGCTACTTGGGAGGCTGAGATGGGAGGATCACTTGAGCCCAGGAAGTCAAGGCCTCAGCAAGCTGTGATTGCACCACTGCACTCCAGCCTGGGCGAAAGTGAGACTCTGTCTAAAAAATATGTAAAATAAACTGTAGAATGATGTGGAATAGCAAATTGAAGAAAACTATGACAAGTTGAGAGAGACTGTAGAAGAAAGAAAAAAGCTTTAATGTTAGCACTTTGAATGATACTTTTTTCTTACTTTTTTTTTTCTTTCTTTTTCTGAGACAGTCTCACTCTGTCACTCAGGCTGGAGTGCAGTGGTGCGATCTCAGCTCGCTGCAACCTCTGCCTCCCGGGTTCAAGTGATTCTCCTGCCTCAGCCTCCCAAGTAGCTGGGACTACAGGTGCGTGCAACCATGCCCGGCTAATTTTTGTAATTTTAGTAGAGATGAAGTTTCACCACGTTAGTCAGGCTGGATGGTCTTGAACTCCTAACCTGGGGTGATCTACCAGCCTTGGCCTCCCAAAGTACAGGCATGAGCCACAGCACCTGGCCAGTCTGTCTTTATAAATAAAGCTTTATTGACACACAGCCACAGCCACTCACTTATATATTGTCTGTGGTGGTTTTACTGCCACTGCAGAGCTGAGCAGTCCTGACAGAGACTGTCCAATTCAAAAAGCCAAAAACATTGGCTACCTGGTCCCTTATAGAAAGTTTGCAGAGGGCCGGGCGTGGTGGCTGACGCCTGTCATCCCAGCACTTTGGGAGGCCAAGGTGCGCGGATCACGAGGTCAGGAGATCGAGACCATCCTGGCTAACATGGTGAAACCCCGTCTCTACTAAAAATACAAAAAATTAGCCGGGCGAGGTGGCGGGTGCCTGTAGTCTCAGCTACTCGGGAGGCTGAGGCAGGAGAATGGCGTGAACCCGGGAGGCGGAGCTCGCAGTGAGCTGAGATCGCGCCACTGCACTCCAGCCTGGGTGAGAGAGTGAGACTCCATCTCAAAAAAAAAAAAAAAAAAAGAAAGAAAGAAAGAAAGTTTGCAGAGCCTGGTCTCGAGGGTGGAGTCCAGAGGTGAGGCTGGGAGAAGGTGAGGGCTGCTGGAACATGGCAGAGCGGGCGTATTCCAGGGAGACTTGGGTGAGACTCGAGGATGCTGGAGAAGGTAACCATCGGGGTGGGGTGCGAAGGAGGGCAGCAACTCTCCTGGGAGATGGGATGGATGGTGGGGCCGTGGGTGAGATGGGGTCATGCAGAGAGGACAGACCAAGGCCCCAGTGGACCCTGGGGGACCCTGTGGCTGTCTTCAGAGCAGCCCCCGAGGTATCAGTGCTCACAGCAACTTGCGGATACAGCCTAGAAGGCCCCATGCCTCAAAAATTCTTAGAGTCTGAGGAGCTCAAGAGGCTCACATCAGCTTCGGGAAGCTCTGTAGGGCGGCCACCAAGCTGGACTGAGGGATGGGCGGAAGCAGCTAAGGCCTAAATTGGTGGAGGTTGGCCGGACACAGTGGCTCATGCCTGTAATCCCAGCACTTTGGGAGGCCGAGGCGAGGATTGCTTGAACTCAGGAGTTCGAGATCAGCCTGGGCAACATAGTGAGACCACCCCCCACCCCCGCCAACTTATACAAAAATTTCAAAAATTCAGGCCGGCACGGTGCTCATGCCGGTAATCCCAGCACTTTGGGAGGTTGAGGTTGGTGGATCACCTGAGGTCAGGAGTTCAAGACCAGCCTGACCAACATGGTAAAACCTTGTCTCTACTAAAGATACAAAATTAGCTGGGCCTGATAGCTCATGCCTGTAATCTCAGCTGCTTGGGAGGCTGAAGCAAGAGAATCGCTTCCACCCAGCAGATGGAGGTTGCAGTGAGCCGAGATCGTGTCATTGCACTCCAGCCTGGGCAACAAGAGTGAAACTCCGTCTCAAAAAACAAAACAAAGCAAACAAAAAAATTCAAAAATTAGCCGAGTGTGGTGATGCACACCTGTAGTCCCAACTACTTTGGAGGCTGAGGTGGGAGGATCGTTTGAGTCCAGGAGGTTGAGGCTGCAGTCAGCTATGATTGCGCCACCGCACTCCAGCCTGGGTGACAGAGCGAGACCCTGTCTCAAGAAATAAGAAGAGAAGGAAGTTGGTGGAGGACATTCCACGCCAAGGAGCCCATGAGCCCCGGCTGGTGGTGCACGTGGAGCATTTGAAGTCACCACCAGTGACCCGGCCCAGGTGCCTCTGCAGTGGGACGGGAGGCCGGCTTTGGTCCAGCTCAGACAGAGCTTCAGATGCCCATCAAGGGATGGGGGGCTTTGTTGGGAACCCCATGGTGCCCCCTGGGCCTGCACATGTCGCCCCAGTCCCAAATATGCTCCCACCTCTGGGGCCAGGCCACTGAACGCCCTTCAGGACACTGTCCAGGGGCCAGAGTCACCATCTGCTGACCCGGCACCCAAATCTTCCGCCTCAGACCCTCCTGGCCCTCCGGTTCTCCCTCTGGCTGGCCCTCAGCCCTCCCTGGCACGGACCACGTCTTCCGAGGATGCCCCGGAAGATGCACCGTGGATAAGGCCATGCGATCAATAGGTCCATCGGCCGCCGGGGGGGCGGAAGCGCGGCTCATCAGGGCGCCTGCTGTCCCCTCCCCACCCTCCAGGAAGGCGGATAAGGCCCGGGGACCCTCTTAAGGGACGCCTGGCACCCGCCCGCCGCCCGGCACTCCTATCTCCCATGGAAGGACCCAGTTCCTGAATTGCCCCATGGGCCGCGCCGCAGGCCTGCACCGAAGCTCTTAATAGCCTGGGCCTAATGTTTTATTGTTGGTTTTAAAAGTGTAATTAGTTCAAGTGTAAACAGAAAAAACCTGCTTAATTAAGAATTTTTAAACAGGGGCATAAAGCGGGAGCGGGAGCATTGACGAACCCCAAGCTGCTTCATAACATCGATCGGAAGAGGCTCCGAGTGGAGGGCCGGGCGGGGCGGGCGCCGCGGGGGCCTGGGAGCCTCCCCTGGATGCCATTTGCCGCCCGGGTGAGGGCCCCGGGGACCTGCTGGTTTACGATCGGGGTCTCGGGACCGGTGCCTAATGATTTTTATGCATTAATGGAGATGACAGTTGGCCAAGCAGGCTGTTTAAGAAGCCTTTATGGGGGGCTGGGAGCCCAGTCCTGTGACCCTGGGCTGTCTCGGGGGTGAGAACCCCCGCTGGGAGGGAGGCCCTGGCGCTCCCACCCTCCTGGGGCCGGCTTGCTGGGCGGGGTCCGGGTGTTGCCCCCTCTCCAAGTGGCACCCACCGAGGGAGTCTCAGCATCACCGTGTCACCTCCCGGCCGATCCGGCCTGTCTCGGAGTCAGGACTTGAATTTCCTTCGAACTGCAAGGGGCTCTGCCTTCTACAGAGCCGGGGCGGGGCGGCCCTGACAGTGGGGCTGGGGGCGTGGGCTGTGCCATGTGCCTGGCATGGGGCCTCATGCCGGAATGAACCAGAGCCCAGGGTATGCTCAGCCTGGCCCCGGCCGCTGGGGAGGGGAGGGTGGGGCCCTGACCCTTCACCAGGAGGTGGGGAAGACCCCAGGCGGGGCTTAGGGGCACCCTGGGTTTGGAGATTTGGCTGCTCTAAACGTAGAGAGCCTGGTGGCCCTTGGCACCCATGACCCTGGAGAGCAAGGCCTGGGGGTCTTGGGGGGCCACAGGCGAGCCCAGGCAGGGGCTCTGCTCCAGCCTCAGTGCCCTGGTCTGTGGCAGGTCTGGGGGTTCCTGCCCTTGTGAGCCCCCAAGGATGCATACACGGAGGGGGGCTCAGAAGGCACCAGCACGTGGAAGCTGGTGGGGTCCTGCTCTCCGCCTGAGCCTCACAGAGCCGGGGGGTTGCTGGTCCCGGTCACTTCCCACCCCCATACCGACCCCTATGTGGAGATGGGGGACAGGAGCTGGCCTGGACTTTGGTCCTTGCCTTCCAGGAGGAGCCCAGGCTCTGGAGTTACTGTGACCGCCTCCCTTGTGGCCGAGACGCGGCCCCATTTGACAGGCGTGGCCACCAAGGCTGGCCCAGGCCCCATGGGGACCCAGGTGTCGGATCCGACTGTGCCCGGCTTCAAGGCTCCAGCCTGGACCTGGCAGGGAGCCAGAGAGGGCCCAGGCTTGAGGCCCCAGATGGATGCTCTGTTTCCAGAACAAAGAGGTGTCAAGACCCACTGTGTGCTGGGGGTCCCACCCCCGGCCCTGGAACCTGGGGCAGGAAGGATACTCCATGCACACCTTTCAGGGGGTCAGAGGCTGAGACGGTGCCTGGGGCAGACCCGTGGGTTGGGGTGGGGGTGCCCAGATCTTGACCCCCATCCGTATTCCCAAGGGGCAGAGATGGGACGTGACTCCTCCTGGCCCCCGCCGCCGGCCCGCAGGTGTTGGGGTCTCTGGGCTGGGTCTCCCGGCGTTGTGGCTGCTGCCGAGGGAGATGAGGCCACCCTGATCCCCGCCTGCTCCAGCCGCAGCAACCAAGGACGATCGATAGCCGAGGCGGCCGCTGGGGCTTCTCTCCTCTTGCTGTGGGGTGGGGGCTGGGTGCGGGGCAGCCAGAACTGGGGCCAGAGGTGCAGACGGGCGGGAGCATCTGCAGCCCACCGGTGTCCCTGGCTCCTGCGCGCTCTCCGTCTCTCTCTATCTCTCCGTGTCTCTCTATGTCTCTGTGGGTCTCTGTCTCTCCCTCTTAGTTTCCATTTCTTCTGCCTCTGTCTCTGTGTCTTTTTGTCTCTCTGTCTCTCTGTTTCTGCCTCTCTCTGATTGTGTCTCTTCCTATCTCTCTATCTCTGTCTTTGACTCTCTGTCTCTCTCTGCCTCTATCTCTGTTTCTGTCTCTCTGTGTCTCTCTCTGTCTCTATCTCTTCTCTATTTCACTCTCTGCCTCTCTCTGTCTGTGTCTCTGTCTTTTTCTGTCTCTTTCTCTGTCTCTCTGTGTCTCTCTCTGCCTCTATCTTTCTCTCTGTCTCTGTGTCTGTCTCTGTCTCTCTGTCTCTGCCTCTCTCTCTCTCTGTCTCTATCTCATTCTCTGTCTCTCTGTCTCCCTCTCTCCTCCTCCCTCTCTCTCTTTGCTCCCCCCTCTCCATCACAGAACCCAAAGCAGGACCTGAGATCTCCCCCAGAAGGTGCCCTGGGGAGCCCCCATCACAGCTGAGGACGGGCAGACTCAGGATCACCCCCGTGGCTCCTGGCCCCCGCCCGGCCCTGGCCGAGTCTCCTGTCCACCCAGCCTTTGTTCAAGTTTGAACCTTCCCCACACATCAGAGGCTTCAGATTTCCCCGGAGAATCCGATTTGGGCCACTCCGACGCTGCAGCTGCGTCTGTATTCCGGGCGGGTCCCGGCCCCACAGACTTCCCGCCATGGCCCACTTCCTGGCACGGGTTGGTTGGCCCCTCACCGGCTGTGAGGTGGGGTCCCTCGCCAGTGGGCAGATGAAAGCAGTCTCCCCTCCTTTCCCCAGCCCCCCGGCCGGAATCCACAGCCTCAGGTGGTGGAAAGAGCACTGTGCGGGGGGAGTCACACCCTCCCAGGTTGGAGTGTCCCTCACAGTGGGACCCTGGAGCCTCAGGGCTCTCGTCTGCAAAGTGGGGGTGAGTTTGAGGAAACAACACCATTTCCTGGAGACAGGCAAGGGCCCCTTAACGGCCAAGACACTTGCAGTACAAGAACTAGGAAACTGGGCTGGGCACGGTCGCTCACACCTGTCATCCCGGCGCTTTGGGAGGCCTAGGTGGGTGGATCACCTGAGGTCAGGAGTTCGAGACCAGTCTGTTCAAGACCAACCTGGCCAACACGGTGAAACCCCGTCTCTACTAAAAATACAAAAATTAGCTGGGCGTGGTGGTGTGCACCTGTAATTCCAGCTACTCAGAAGGCTGAGGCAGGAGAATCGCTTGAACCCGGGAGATGGAGGTTGCAGTGAGCCGAGACCACACCACTGCACCCCAGCCTGGGCAACACAGCGAGACTCCATCTCAAAAAAAAAAAAAAAACAGAAAACAAACAAAATAACTAGGAAACTGTACTTAAATGGCAAGAACAATTGAGTGAAGGTGGGGTGGAAATTCAAATCCAGCTGCAGTATCAGTATTTTCCAAAATGTCTACAATTTTCACTTGTTACCTTGGGCGAGGCACAGTGGCTCTTGTCTATAAACCCAGCTACTCAGGAGGTTGAAGCGGGAGGATCGCTTGAGCCTGGAGGTTGAGGCTGCAGTGAGCTGAGATCACACCACCGCATTCCAGTCTGGGCGACAGACGGAAACCCTGTATCTAAAGAGAAGAGAAGAGAAGAGAAGAGAAGAGAAGAGAAGAGAAGAGAAGAGAAGAGAAGAGAAGAAGAGGAAGAGAAGAGAAGAGAAGAGAAGAGAAGAGAAGAGAAGAGAAGAGAAGAGAAGAGAAGAGAAGAGAAAAGAGAAGAGAAGAGAAGAAGACACCACAGGCCAGGCGCAGTGGCTCATGCGTATAATCACAGCGCTTTGGGAGGCCAAGGTGGGAGAATTGCTTGAGCTCAGGAGTTCGAGACCACCCTGGCCAACGTAGCAAGGCCCCATCTCCAGAAGTTTTGTTTTGTTTTTTTTTTTTTTTTTGAGACGGAGTCTCATTCTGTTCGCCCAGGCTGGAGTGCAGTGGCATGATCTCGGCTCATTGCAACCTCTGCCTCCCGGGTTCAAGCGATTCTCCTGCCTCAGCCTCCCGAGTAGATGGGATTAAAGGCGCTCGCCACCATGCCCAGCTAATTTTTGTATTTTTGTAGAGACGGGGTTTCACCATATTGGCCAGGCTGGTCTCGAACTCCTGACCTCGGCCTCCCAAAGTGCTGGGATTACAGGCATGAGCCACTGCACCTGGCCGAAAATTTTTTTTAGAAAAGAAAAGGCGCAACAATGAGCATCCTTGGACATGAATCTCTTACACTCTCTGAAGTTTTTCTTCAGGACAAATTCATCCTGGAGTTGCTTGTCAAGAGACCATAAAACAAATAGTAAGGCTTTTGATACATTTTATCAAATTATCTCTGAAACTTCATAAAATACATATCCTTCCATTGTACATCAGCCTGTTCATTTACTCTCATCCATGCCAATAATGGGAGTTGTTATATATATATAATATATAATATTATGTATATCACATATTATATATAGTATATATAATATAATTATATATAATAAATATATTAAAAATTATATAGTTTATATAATTATATAATATATAAATATATATTTCATATATAAATATATGTATTTATATATAAATGTATATTTCATATATAAATATATGTATTTATATATAAATGTATATTTCATATATAAATATATGTATTTATATATATAAATACATATATTTAAATATATATATTTTTAGACGGAGTCTTGCTCTGTCGCCCAGGCTGGAGTGCAGTGGTGTGATCTCAGCTCACTGCAAGCTGCGCCTCCCAGGTTCATGCCATTCTCCTGCCTCAGCCTCCCGAGTAGCTGGGACTACAGGCGCCCGCCACCATGCCTGGCTAATTTTTTGTATTTTTAATAGAGACGGGGTTTCACCGTGTTAGCCAGGATGGTCTCAATCTCCTGACCTCGTGATCCACTCGCCTCGGCCTTCCGCCCACCTCAGTCTCTCAAAGTGCTGGGATTACAGGCATGAGCCACCGTGCCCAGCCCCAGGAGTTGTTATATTTTAAAAATCAAGGTATATCATCTAGCAAGTCTACTTCTAGATCTGTGTCCAAAATAGTTGAAAAGAGGTGTTTAAACAAATACATGGCTGGGCACGGTGGCTCACACCTGTAATCCCAGCACTTTGGGAGGCTGAGGTGGGCGGATCACAAGGTCAGGAGATTGAGACCATTCAGGCTAACACGGTGAAACCCCATCTGTACTAAAAATAGAAAAATTAGCCGGGAGTGGTGGCGGGTGCCTGTAGTCCCAGCTACTTGGGAGGAGAATGGCGTGAACCCGGGAGGTGGAGCTTGCAGTGAGCCGAGATCATGCCACTGCACTCCAGCCTGGGTGACAGAGCAAGACTCCATCTCTAAATAAATAAATAAATAAATAAATAAACATAAATATATTTGTTTGTAAATATCAATATATTAATAAATAATATCAATAAATGGTTGGTGGATGAATGGAAGAGATGGATTGATAGATCAGTGGGTAGGCAGTGTATGGATGAATGGTTGGATGCGTGTATGGATGAATGATCACAGGAATAGATGGATGAATGGGTGTACAGATGAATGGAAGAATGGATGGACAGATGAATGGACGGATGAATTTATGGAAGGTGTATTATAATAGATGATGGATGTATAGATGGAAAAATTGATGATAGGTGGATAGATGAATGAATGGATGGATAGGCGAATGGATGAGTCTATAGATGGATGATGAATGTATGGTGGCAGTACGGACGGACAGATCAATGGACAGATGGATGGATAGTGAATGTATGGTGGGAGTATGGATGGACAGATCAATGGACGGATGGATGGGTAGACAGTTGGGTAATAGTGGGTGGATGGATGGTGTCTTAGTCTGTTTGTGTTGCTACAAAGGAATGCCTAAGTCTGGGTAATTAATTTTTTTAAAGAAGAGGCTTATTTGGCTCATAGTCCTTTTTTTTTTTTTTTTTTGGAGATGGAGTCTCACTCTGTCGCCCAGGCTGGAGTGCAGTGGCGCAGTCTCAGCTCACTGCAAGCTCCATCTCCCATGTTCACGTCATTCTCCTGCCTCAGCCTCCCCAGCAGCTGGGACTACAGGCACCCGCCACCATACCTGGCTAATTTTTTTGTATTTTTAATGGAGACGCGGTTTCACCGTGTTAGCCAGGATGGCTAACCTGACCTCGTGATCTGCCCGCCTCAGCCTCCCAAAGTGCTGGGATTACAGGCGTGAGCCACCGCGCCTGGCCTTGGCTCATAGTTCTGCATGCTGTACAAGAAGCATGGCACCAATATCTTCTTCTGATGAGGGCTTCAGGAAGCTTCCACTCAAGGCAGGAAGCCTCCCTGTGCAGATTACATGGTGAGAGAGAGAAGGAAGATGCCAGGCGCTTTTCAACAATGAGTTCTGGCAGAAAATAAGAGTGAGAACTCACTCCTGTGAGAATGGCACAAAGCCATTAATGACAAATCCCTCCCACCAGACCCCACCTTCAATGTTGGGGATCAAATTTCAACATGAGACTTGGGACCAAACAAATCATATCCAAACCATAGCAGATGGATGAGTGGGTGGGTGATGGATGGAGGGAGGGAGGGAGGAAGGGATGAATGGGTGGATGGACGACAGAATGGATGGATGGATAGGTAGATGGATGGATGAATGGGTGGGCAGGTGGATAGGTGGATGAGTGGATGGGTAGATGAGTGGATGGATGGGTGGGTAGATGAGTGGGTGGATGGATGGATGGATGGATGGATGGATGGATGGGTCAATGGGTGGATGGGTGGATGGATGGATGGGCACATGGGAGGATAGATGGATGGATGGACGGATGGGTCAATAATTGGGTGGATGGATGGATAGAGAAATGGATGGGTCAATGGATGGATGGGTGGGTGGATGGATGGATGGATGGATGGATGGATGGATAGAGAAATGGATGGGTCAATGGATGGATGGGTGGGTGGATGGATGGATGGATGGATGGATGGATGGATGGATGGATGGATATGTGAATGGATGGATGAATGGATGGATGAGTGGGTGGGTGGCTGGATAGATGGATGGATGGGCAGGTATATGTGTGGGTGGATGGATGGGTGGGTGGATGGATGGATGGATGGGCAGGTGCATGTGTGGGTGGATGGATGGGTGGGTGGATGGATGGATGGATGGGCAGGTGCATGTGTAGATGGATGGATGGGTGGATGGATGTGTGAATGGATGGATGAGTGGGTGGGTGGGTGGACAGATGGATGGATGGGCAGGTGCATGTGTGGGTGGATGGATGGATGGATGAATGGATGGATTAATGGATGGATGGATGGATGAGTGGATGGGTGCATGGATAAGGATACACATGGATGGGTGAGGAGATGAATAGACAGGTAGTTGGGCAATTGTCCCTGTGAGTCCCGCATCAATGGGAATGCATGCCACCCCTTCCAAGGGCCTCTTGGCTCACAGGTGTTGCACTTCCAGGATTGAATGCAGCCATCTGCCACTCCCTGGATCCCAGTCTCCCTGCACAGACTCATCCTGGGGGAGGGGACACAGAGTCCACGTTGCTGCCCCTCCCATGCTAGCCTGCAAACCTCCTCCCCAGCAAGAGCAGATCCAGGAGCCACGAATACGGTGGAGGATGCAAAACGGTAATTAATCTGTGGTGGGAGGGGGGTGTTAATACCTTAAAGACACGGGGACACACTGGCAGCTCCTACCAATTAGTGACCTAACCCTGCCAGTGTGCTCTCCGCGGTGTGGCCGAGTTGATTACTCTAATTAATTTTGCATCGACCTACATGGATCTGCTGGGAGAGGGCTGATCGGCATGGGAGACAGATGCTGCCAACCCGTAGCACCCCCCTCATTGCCCAGTCCACAAGGTCAAACGCCATCCCACCTGGCCTCCCGGGCCCTGGGAAGGTGGGGTCGCTCCCGACTCTCCAGGACACACACCAAGACCTGCCTCCCTCCCATCCTCAAAAAGCAGAGGGGGGCCGGGCGCGGCGGCTCATGCCTGTAATCCCAGCACTTTGGGAGGCCAAGGTGGGTGGATCACCTGAGGTCAGGAGTTCAAGACCAGCCTGGCCAACATGGTGAAACCCCATCTCTACTGAAAAATACAAAAATTAGCCGGGCGTGGTGGCGGGCACCTGTCATCCCAGCTACTTGGGAGGCTGAGGCAGAAGAATCACTTGCACCTGGGAGGCGGAGGTTGCAGTGAGCCGAGATTGCGCCATTGCACTCCATCCTGGGTGACAGAGCAAGACTCTGTCTCAAAAAAAAAAAAAGAAAGAAAGAAAGAAAAGAAAAGAAAAGCAGAGGCGGGTACAGTTGGACAACCCACACTCACTCCCGCCTTGGTGTCCTTGTCCAGCAGTGGCAGGGAGGGCTGGGAGCAGAGCGCCTTCCAGGGCCAACAGACACCCCTGAATTGGTCTTGATGTCATTTCAACCTGAGAATGAACAGCAGTGATGGACCAGGTGTGGTGGTTCATACCTGTGATCCCAGCACTTTGGGGAGGCCAAGGTGGGAGGATCGCTTGAGCCCAGAAGTCGAGGCTGCAGTGAGCCGTGATTGCACCACTGCACTCCAGCCTGGACAATAGAGCAAGACCCTGTCTCAAAATAAATAAATAAATAAAAGACAATAGCAGTGATGGGGGCGTCAGATGGGAGAGAATGGAGGCGGCATGAACTAGATGCTTACAGTTCTTGAGGCTTCCCTGTCTTGGCTTTTACCACAGCCCAGGCTAACCTTACCATGCATGGGGGAGCTGCCCTACATCCCAAGGTGTATTAATTTCCTATTCCTGCCATAACAAATTACCACAAACGTGGTGGCATTAAGACAACATAAATGGGCCGGGAGTGGTGGCTCATGCCTCCTGTAATCCCAGCACTTTGGGAGGCCGAGGCGGGTGGATCACTCGAGGTCAGGAGTTCAAGACCAGCCTGGCCAACACGGTGAAACCTCCTCTCTACTAAAAATACAAAAAAAAAAAAAAATTAGCCAGGAGTGGTGGCGGGCGCCTGTAATCCCAGCTAGTCAGGAGGCTGAGGCAGGAGAATTGCTTGAACCCAGGAAGGACAGGTTGCAGTGAGCCAGGATCACACCACTACATTCCAGCCTGGGCGACAGAGCGAGACTCTGTCTCAGACAGACACAAACAAACTAACAAAACAAATGTATTAGCTTACAATTCTGGAGGTCAGAATTCTGCAATAGGCCTTACTGAGCTAAAATCAAGGTGTGGGCAGCACTGGGTCCTCCCAGAGGCTCCAGGGGAGAACCTGTTTCCCACACCCCTCAGCTGGGGGCCCCTTCCTCCACCTCCACAGCCAGCAGCACAGCCTCCTCCAGTCTCTGATTGTCACCTTCCTGCCTCCTTCCAGGAGGGCCCTGTGATGACGTTGGGGCCCCGGATAACCCCGGATCACCTCCCATTCCAAGTTCCTTAACCCAATCCCACCTGTAAAGTCCCTTTGGCCATGTGAGGTGACAGGTGACATATCCGCAGGTCCTGGAGGTTAGGACGTAGACTTTGGGGAGGGGAGTTACTATTCTGCTGACCACACAGGAGCATCTTCCTACTGAGGCAAGTGATCCCCAACTCATGTTCAGAGCTGGATACAGCCGCACCTGAATGCAATGTTAATTTTATTATTATTTTATTTTATTTTATTTTATGTTTGAGACAGGCTCTCACTCTGTCACCCAGGCTGGAGTGCAGTGGCATGATCTCGGCTCACTGCAACTTCTGCCTCCTGGGTTCAAGCGATTCTCCTGCCTCAGCCTCCCGAGTAGCTGGGATTACAGGCACCTGCCACCATACTCAGCTAATTTTTATATTTTTAGTAGAGACGGGGTTTCACCATGTTGGTCAAGCTGGTCTTGAACTCCTGACTTCAAGTGATCCACCTGCCTAGGCCTCCCAAAGTGCTGGAGTTACAGGCGTGAGCCATCGCGCCTGGCCGTGAATGCACCGTTTAACTTGAACTAACCCATCCTGAGACAACAGCCTGGGGACCAAGAATCTCTCCCGGCTTTTCCCAACACCCCAGTTCCCCGCCCCGTTTTCTCCATTACCAGATGAATGATGAGGAAGGACTACAGTGTTGAGTTGAACTACAGACAAGATTTTGTTGTTTACAGCTAGGTGCATGTTCATATATACATACACCTTTGTAATCCCCATCCAAAACCAAGATCTGAAACATTTTCTTTACCCCAGAAGGCCCCCTTGTTCCCCTACCAGTCTCCACCCCCTGGGGTAATCACTGCCCTGACTTCCATCATTAAGAACTGGTTGGCCGGGCGCGGTGGCTCACGCCTGTAATCCCAGTACTGGGGAAGCCGAGATGGGCGGATCACCTGAGGTCGTAAGTTCTAGACAAGCCTGGCCAACATGGTGAAACCTCATCTCTACTAAAAATACAAAAATTAGCTGGGTGTGGTGGTGCACGCCTGTAATCCCAGCTACTTGGGAGGCTGAGGTAGGAGAATCACTTGAACTCGGGGGGCAGAGGTTTTGGTAAGCCGAGATCATGCCACTGCCCTCCAGTCTGGGCAACAGAGCGAGACTCCATCTCAAAAAAAAAAAAAAAAAAAAAAAAAAAAAAGAACTGGTTATAACATCTGCTCTGGAAATTCATCAGAATGGAATTTATGCATGTTCAGTTGTGTCTGCTCCTTTTATTTAAGAATATGTTTGAGAGATTCGTCCGTGATACTGGATGTTTCGATGCTTGTAGTTATTTATTGTTCTGTAGCATTCTATTATATGAAGATACAACCACTGGGTCTACCTTGAGCAAATCTGCTATGAACAATCTTTTTTTTTTTTCTTTTTTGAGACAACATCTCACTCTGTTCCCCAGGCTGGAGCACAGTGGCACAATCATGGCTCACTGCAACCTCGACCTCCCGGGCTCAAGCAATCCTCCTGCCTCAGTCTCCCAAGTAGCTGGGACTACAGGCATGCACCACCATGCCTGGCTAACTAAAAAAAGATTTTTTTTTTTTAGAGACAGGGTCTCGCTATGTTGTCCAGGCTGGTCTTGAACTCCTGAGCACACGTGATCTCCTGAGGAGATGTCTCTGCAAAAAATTGTATCTGCAAAAAATTGTAACAATTAGCTGGGTAGCCGGGCACCATGGCTCACGCCTGTAATCCCAGCACTTTGGGAGGCCGAGGCGGGTGGATCAGAAGGTCAGGAGATCGAGACCATCCTGGCTAACATGCTGAAACCCCGTCTCTACTGAAAATATTAAAAAAAATTACCCGGGTGTGGTGGCGGGCGCCTGTAGTCCCAGCTACTCTGGAGACTGAGGCAGAAGAATGGCATGAACCCGGGAGGTGGAGCTTGCAGTGAGCTGAGATTGCGCCACTGCACTCCAGCCTGGGTGACAGAGCGAGACTCTGTCTCAAAAAAAAAAAAAAAATTGTCAATTATATTTCAATAAAACTGAGGTGGGGGGAAGAAAAATACAAAACAATTGAAGGACAAAAAAGAACGTGGAAGAAATGGAGAGACATCCCAACTGCCAGGTGAAATGGCCAAATAATGTTAAAATGTCAATTTCCTCTATGTGAATCCATACATCTTTATTTCAATACCAATCAAAATTCCAATCTGACTTTTGTTCAGAGTGAAGGAGAACCGAACACAATTATTTTAAAATTCATATGAAAGAATATACATTTCAGACTCACCAGGAATTTTTTTTTAAGAAAAGAGTAGAGGAAGGGCATTTGTTTTTGTAAGAAGTTGAAATGTATTGTAAAATGACAATAATTATAAAGTTACAATATCGTTTACCTAAAAACTAATCAAAGTGTATATTAACTTAGAGTGGAATTGAGGCGTCTTTCCCTTTTTGGCGGGGAAGGCTGTGGTTGGCATAACTGGGTACCATTAAGAATATAATAGGCTGGGTGCGGTGGCTCACGCCTGTAATCCCAGCACTTTGGGAGGCTGAGGCAGGTGGATCACCTGAGGTCAGGAGTTCGAGACCAGCCAGACCAACATGGTGAAACCCTATCTCTATTAAAAAACACAAAAATTAGCCGAGCATGGTGGTGGGTGCCTGAATCCTACCTACTCGGGAGGCTGAGGCAGGAGAATCGCTTGAACCCGGGCCGAGATCGCTCCATTGCACTCCAGCCTGGGCGACAGAGCAAGACTCTGTCTCAAAAAAACAAACAACAAAAAAAGAATATAATAAAGAAGCTGGGGACAGTGGTGCACACCTGTAACTGCAGCTACTCAGGAGGCTGAGGCGGGAGGATCCCTAGAGCCAGGGAGTTCAAGGCTGCAGTGAGCTCTGATTGCACCATTGTACTCCAGCCTGGGCAACAGATCAAGACCCTATCTTTACAAAAAAGTAGAGACTCTGTCTCAAAAAAAAAAAAAAGAAAGAAAAAATATATATAAAATAACGTGGGTTGTGTATTCCAGTATGTCAAAGAAAATCTATTTCTCAGAATCTAAAATCTCTCTCACAACTATAAAGAGATATTTATATAATGGTCATTGCAGTATTCTTTGACTAGTTTTTTTTTTTAAATTGGCAATAATCTAAATGTCTGTATTAATCAGGGTCCCTGCTATGGTAAATTGATTGCAAAACTGGTCTCAATTCTTCATGCTGTCCCGGCGCGGTGGCTCAAGCCTGTAATCCCAGCACTTTGGAGGGCCAAGGCAGGTGGATAACTTGAGGCCAGGAGTTCGAGACCAGCCTGGTGAACAAGGCAAAACCCTGCCCGTACTAAAAATGCAAAAATTAGCCAGGTGTGGTAGCAGGTGTCTATAGTTAGTCCCAGCTACTTGGGAGGCTGAGGCAGAAGAATGGCGTGAACCCGGGAGGCAGAGGTTGCAGTGAGCCAAGATCGAGTCATTGCACTCCAGCCTGGGCGACAGAGTGAGACTCCGTCTCAAAAAAAAAAAAAAAAAAAAAAGTTTAATAAAGAGGGTTGCTTTATTTTATTTTATTTATTTTTTATTTATTTATTTTTTTCAGACGGAGTTTCGCTCTTGTTGCCCAGGCTGGAGTGCAATGGTGAGATCTCGGCCCACTACAACCTCCACCTCCCAGGTTCAAGCAATTCTCCTGCCTCAGCCTCCTGAGTAGCTGGGATTACAGGTGCATGCCACCACACCCAGCTCGTGTTTTTATTTTTATTTATTTTATTTTATTTATGTATTTATTTTTGAGATGGAGCCTGGCTCTGTCACCCAGGCTGGATCTCAGCTGCACTGGCAGGATCTCAGCTCACTACAAACTCCTCCTCCCCGGTTCAAGCTATTCTCCTGCCTCAGCCTCCCGAGTAGCTGGGATTACAGGCATGCACCACCATGCCCAGCTGATTTCATATTTTTAGTAGAGACAAGGTTTCACCATGTTGGCCAAGCTGGTCTTGAACTCCTGACCTCAGGTGATCTGCCCGCCTCAGCTTCCCAAAGTGCTGGGATTACAGGCATGAGACACCGTGCCTGGCTCCTATTTATTTTGTTGAAACAGGGTCTCACTACATTGGCCAGGCTGGTCTTGAACTCCTGGGCTCAAGCCATCCTCCTGCCTCAGCCTCCCAAAGTGCTGGGATCACAGGTGTGAGCCACCACACCTGTTCCTATAAAGAAGATTTTTTTAAAAAGGGCTGGGTGCGGTGGCTCACGCCTGTAATCCCAGCCCTTTGGGAGGCCAAGGCGGGTGGATCACAAGGTCAGGAGTTCGAGACCAGCCTGACCAACATGGTGAAACCCCATCTCTACTAAAAATACAAAAATTAGCTGGGTGTGGTGGCATGCACCTGTAATCCCAGCTACTCAGGAGGCTGAGGCAGGAGAATCTCTTGAACCCAGGAGACGGAGGTTGCAGTGAGCCGAGATTGTGCCACTGCACTCCAGCCTGGGCGACAGAGCAAGACTCCATCTCAAAAAAAATAAAAAAATTAAAATAAATAAATTTTTGAAAGATGTAGAGGCCTTGAGAAACAAGACGAATGGTGCAGAATCTCCAGGCTAGGAACATGTGGGAGCCGTGAGCATCAGAGACTGAAGGGGTTCAGGGAGACAGTGGCCACGGGAACTTCTCCTCCCACTCTCCAATGTCCTATAAGAATTGTTTGTTGGTCAAACCCAGCTGGAAACCAGAGAGCAAGGAAACCCCACGGGTCAGCCTCCCTGGGCACAGAGCAGGGCCCTGGGGAGAAAATGGAATTTAACCAGCTCAGTGTTTATCAATACAAGAATGGTTACATTCTCAACAGAGCATCAGCATGTGCACATGGGGTATATAAAGCCATTAACAGTCCAGGCATCAAGGCTCACACCTGCAATTCCAGCACTTGAGGAGGCTGAGGTGGGAGGATCCCTTGTGTCAGGAGTTAGAGACGAGCCTGGGCAACACAGTAAGACCCTGTCTCTACAAAAAGTACAAAAATTACCTGGGCATGGTAGTGTGTGCCTATAATCCCAGATAGTCTAAGGAGGCTGAGTTGGGAGGATGGCTTGAGCCCAGGAGTTTGAGACCAGACTGGGCAATATAGCAAGACCCCATCTCAAATATTTTTTGTTTTTGTTTTTAGATGACATCTTGCTCTGTCGTCCAGGCTGGAGTGCAGTGATGCCATCTCAGCTCACTGCAAACTCCACCTCCTGGGCTCAAGTGATTTTCCTGCCTCAGCCTCCTGAGTAGCTGGGATTACAGGTGCCTGCTGCCACGCCTAGCCAATTTTTGTATTTTTTTTGGAGATGGGGTTTCACCATGTTGGCCAAGCTGGTCTCAAACTGTTGACTTCAAGTAATCCACCTGCCTCATCCTCCCAAAGTGCTGGGATTACAGGCATGAGCCACTGTACCCGGCCTCTGTGAAAATTTTTAGGCCGGGCGTGGTGGCTAATGCCTGTAATCCCAGCACTTTGGGAGGCCGAGGCGGGTGAATCATGAGGTCAGGAGTTCAAGACCAGCCTGATCAAAATGGTGAAACCCCCATCTCTACTAAATATACGAAAATTAGCCAGGCACGGTGGCTCACGCCTGTAATCCCAGCACTTTGGGAGGCCGAGGCGGGTGGATCATGAGGTCAGGAGATCGAGACCATCCTGGCTAACACGGTAAACCCCGTCTCTACTAAAAACACAAAAAATTAGCCAGGTGTGGTGGCGGGTGCCTGTAGTCCCAACTACTTGGGAGGCTGAGGCAAGAGAATGGCGTGAATCCGGGAGGCGGAGCTTGCAGTGAGCCGAGATCACCCCCACTGCACTCCAGCCTGGGCAACAGAGCAAGACTCCGTCTCAAAAATAAATAAATAAATAAATAAATAAATAAAAATACAAAAATTATCCGTGTGTGGTGATGCGTGCCTTAATCCCACCTACTCCGGAGGCTGAGGCAGGAGAATCGCTTGAACCCAGGAGGCGGAGGTTGCAGTGAGCAGAGATTGCGCCACTGCACTCCAGCCTGGGCAACAAGAGTGAAACTCCATCTCCAAAAACAAAAAACAAAACAAAACAAAAAACAAAAAGGGATGTTCATATCTCTAAGTGCAGCTACATTTTTAAAAGCCTAAATTATTATGAATCAAAATAAGAGAGGTATCAACGCCATGTAGGAGCGTGGAACAGAAAAAGAACATTCCTGAAAAGCCTGGTGATAGACAAATAAAGTCTGTAAGATGTCAGACTGTAGGCTGGGGACGGTGGCTCACGCCTGTAATCCCAGCACTTTGGGAGGCCGAGGTGGGTGGATCACCTGAGGTCAGGAGTTTGAGACCAGCCTGGCCAACATGGCGAAACCCCATGTCTACTAAAAATACGAAAATTAGCCGGACATAGTGGCACATTCCTGTAATCCCAGCTACTCAGGAGGCTGAGGCAGGAGAATCGCTTGAACCTGGGAGGCGGAGGTTGCAGTGAGCCAAGATCACACCATTGCACTCCAGCCTGGGCAACAGGAGCGAAACTCCGTCTCAAAAAAAAATAAATAAATAAAAAATAAAAAAAGAACTGAAATTAATTATCAATGATGACATTTTCTTCATTTTACTTTTTAATATTTTCTAATTAGTTTTTCAGTCAGAAAGAAAGAACGGCCAACCATGTACGGCAGGTCACAGATAATATGCAAAGCCATTTCTGTAAACGTCTTTAATATTTATGTACAATTATTTTGCACGTATGTGCATGTTTACAGGCAAGACACTTCCAAAGCTTTCTCTCTGGAACAGTGAGATTGATAATTTTTTGTTGTGGTGGTTGATGGTCTCCATTTTACTACAGTTTTACCACCCAAGACACGCATTGTTTGTGTAATAAAAAATAATAACTAGATTTATTTTTCTACCTCCTTCACTTCCCCTGTGGCCTCTCTCGAATTTGCCCGACAACCTTTCCCAACACCCATGATAATTGATCCTTAATCAAATATTCAAATGGGTGCTTCAAGGAAAGGCACGGTGCTTTGGCAATTTGGATGATAAATAATATTTCTTCGCTTTGTCCCCCCCACGCTGCTTCTCCCTCCCTAGTCCCCCTCTTTTTGCAGCCCAACCCCGACGTCGCCCCCCGCCCCACTAGAATCTCGCAAATATCTTTTGGTTTTAAGAGTTCCCTGGGGAAGCCTTGTTCTAAATGAGGTGTAAAAATCTAAGCGGCACAAAAAAAAAAAATAGTGCGAGGTTGGAATCAATATTCTCTTCACAGCTCCATCGATTAACAACCATATTCTTCATTTATTAATTATGAAGGGGGATTTCAGAGCCTCCGTCTCCTTCTTTCGTGGTAACATGGCGGCTTCCCCTCCTCCCTGCCTCCCCCAGGTCTGGGGCCTGTGGTACCCAGGGCTCAGCATCCCCGGGGCCAGGGGAAGAGGGAGGGAAGTGGGCGTTCTGCCCCCACTGGCAGGTCCAGCCAGGAGCAGAGAGCTCTGTCTGGCTTTGGAATCTGCCTCAACGCAAAGGAGTCTAGTTCTCCGTTCCCGTGCTGGCTTTGCCATCTGTCTCTTTAGAAGACAAGCTCCATGGCCGGGTGTGGTGGCTCACGCCTGTCATCCCAGCACTTTGGGAGGCCGAGGCAGGTGGATCATCTGAGGTCAGGAGTTTGAAACCAGCCTGGCCAACATGGTGAAACCCCGTCTCTGCTAAAAATACAAAAAATTAGTCAGGTGTGGTGGTGCGCACCTGCAATCCCAGCTACTCGGGAGGCTGAGGTAGGAGAATCGCTTGAACCCAGGAAGGCAGAGGTTGCAGTGAGCCGAGATGCTGCCACTGCACTCCAGCCTGGGCAACAGAGTGAGACTCTGTCTCAAAAAAAAAAAAAAAAGGGGGAGATAAGCTCCATGTGGGACCTTGTTTGCTTTCCCCAGCTGTGTTTCTGACTCTGGGCGCACGTGCTCTATGAAACTGTGCTGAGTGAGTGATAAGACAGTGGCAGAATCACATACACAAGAGACGGGAAGGAAAGAGTGGAGTTCAAAAGCTGGCTCTGACTACGGTCCATTCATGTGCGTTGGCCTCTGGGAGTCTCGCCTCCCTTTCTGCTGCTCTATTTCTGACCCTGGACACACATGCTCAGTAAAGCTGTGCTGAGCCAGTTAACCATGAGCAGGGTGGCGGAGTGCGGCACCTGGCAGCCCTGGATCTCGCTTTCCTAACCTCGTGGGCCTCAGTTTTCTCATCTGTAAAATGGCACCTCCATCAGATGAGGCCATACCTCATGTCAGCCTTTGTTTGGGCTGAACCCCCTTGTTTATATTGGGGGGATGTCTTTGATCTGGGAAGTCACTGGGTCAGGACGCAGGTCAGATTCACCTTTGTCCCCAGAGCACAGCATCAGGATGGCCCAGAAGTGATCACTGAAAGTTCTTGCGGGTGGACAAATGGATGGGTGGGAGGTTGGATGGGATGGATGCATGAGTGAGTGTGTGGGTGGGGGATGAACGGATGTATGGGAGGGCAGACGAGTGAATGGGTATGTAAGTGGATAGATGCGTGAATGAATTGGTCAATGAGTCTGAGTGTAGTTGGATGGGTGACTGGAGGAATTGAGTGAATGGATGTATGGATAGATGGGTACATGGGTGTGTGGATGGGTGGAAGGGTGAGTGGATAGGTAGAACAATGAATGGGTGGATGGCAAAATAAAAGATAAACAATGAATGAGTGGATGAATAGATGGGTAAATGGTCTGGTGAATGGATCGGTGGGTGGCTGGTTGGCTAGGTGGGTGAGTGGATCGATATATGAGTGAATATATGTGTAATGAGTGGGAGAATAGACAAATGGCTAGATGGATGGGTGGACGGATGGCTAGAAAGACAGACAAATGGATGAGTGGATGGGAGGATAAATGGGTGGATGGATGGGAGGGTGGATGGATGGGTGGATGGATGGATAGGTGGGTGGATGGATGAGAGGATGGGTGGGTGGGTGGATGGATGAGAGGATGGATGGGTGGATGGATGGACAGATGGGTAGATGGATAGAAGGATGGCTGGGTGCAGGAGGATGAATGGGTGGATGGGAGGATGGATGTATGGGTGGATGGATGGATAGGTGGGTGGATGGATGGATGTATAAATGGATAGGATAGATGAATGGATAGATGGATAAGTGGGTGGATGGATGAGAGGATGGATGGGTGTAGAGGATGAATGGGTGGATGGGAGGATGGATGGATGAGAAAATCAGTGGGTGGATAGATGAATGAATGGATGAGAGGATGGAGGACAAATGGGTGGGAGGTTGAATAGATGAATGGATGAATAGGTGGGAGGATGGATGGAGGGTTGGGTGAGTGAGTGGATGGATGGACAGAGGGGTGGGAGGATGGATGGATGGATGGATGGATGGATGGATGGATGGAACATGGATGGATGGATGGATGGATGGATAGATGGAAAGATGGATGGATGGGTGGATGGATGGATGTGTAGATGGGTAGATGGATGGGAGAATGAATGGGTGTGAGAGGTTGGATGGATGGATGGGAGGGTGGATGGAGGGATGGGTGGATGGATGGATTCATGGGTAGATGGAGGACGGATAAGTGTGGGAAAATGGTTGGATGATAAATGGGTGAGTGTCTTGATGGAGGGGCAGGTGGGTGGGTTGGTGGGTGGATGGATGGGTAGATGGGTAGATGGATGAGAGAATGAACGAGTGTGAGAGGATGGATGGATGGGAGAATGGATGGACAGGTGGATGGATGGATGGATGGATTCATGGGTAGATGGAGGATGGATGAGTGTGGGAGAATGGATGGATGATAAATGGGTGAGTGTCTTGATGGAGGGGCAGGTGGGTGGGTTGGTGGGTGGATGGTGGGTGAGTGGGTGGGTTGGTGGGTGGATGGTGGGTGGGTGGGTGGATGGTGGGTGAGCGGGTGTGTGGTGGATGGTGGGTGGGTGGGTGGATGGTGGGTGGGTGGATGGTGGGTGAGTGGGTGGGTGGTGGGTGGGTGGGTAGGTATAGGTGGGTGAACACAGGGCCTCAGCGGGATTATTTTGCGTTGGTTCCCGGTGCAGCACTTAAGCTTTCCGGAGCTCCCTTTCCAAGTATTTGTTGTACCTGTAGGAGGACACCTAGTCCGGCTCAGTTCTCTGTAAAGGACAGTGGGGTGCAGTGGGGAGGGGGAGGGGAGGCCTATAAGAGGGTCTCATCAGTTCTCCAGCCGGGGACTGGAGCTGGGATCAAGTGGTGGGCGGAGGAGGGGTGCAGGGGGGAAGAGCAGAATTCCAGGGCCAGAAGGGACTCCAGGTTGAGTGGGAAGCCCAGCCACCCAGCCTGGCCCCCTCTCCACCTCCCTGACGGACCCTCTAACAACCGAGCTGGCCGCTCCCCTCCCTGCCCACCACCACCCTCCAGGGCTCCCGACGCCCCTGCCCATCCCCCCGCCCCTCCCCCACTCCAAGCGCTCCCAGCCTCCCCCTCCCCCGGCCGTGTCTGTACCCCGCCCCCCTGCTCTCCGCGGGGGCCCGGGAGGAGAGGAGGCGGCTCCGTGCTGCGGGGTGCCGGGGCGCAGAGCCCGCGGCGGGAGCTGTCAGCGCCGATCGTGGGGAGGGGGCTCCTCTGCCCCAGGTCGATGGGAGCGGGGGCCCAGGCTGCGGTTTACACTGAATCCACAAAAATCACCGAAGCTTGAAAAGTGCTCAATAAGCCATCGATCGCTCTCTGCTGATCGGTGCCGCCGCCGCAGCGGGGCTGGGGGGAAAGGCGGGGCGAGCAGACCCAGGCTCCCTGCCTGTGCCCCACGCGGGACCGCGGCCCTGCATCTGCCCCCCACCCACGCGAGGCTGCAGCCCCAGGGCCTGGGCAAGAGGTTCCCATCCCGCCTGCAGGCCCGGGCTGCAGGCCTGACCACGCTGAGGGGTGGGGAGGGAGGGGGTTAGAAAGAACGCCCCCTCCTCTGTCCTCCCAAAGCTCTCTGTGGCCCTGGGACTGCAAAATTCTTCCCCAGGCCGGGCGCGGTGGCTCACGCCTGTCATCCCTGCACTTTGGGAGGCCGACGAGGGTGGATCGCCTGAAGTCAGGAGTTCCACACCAGCCTGGCCAACATGGTGAAACCCCGGCTCTACTAAAAATACAAAAATTAGCCTGGCGTGGTGGTGTGCACCTGTAATCCCAACTACTCGGGAGGCGGAGGCAGGAGAATCCCTTGAACCTGGGAGGCAGAGGTTGCAGTGAGCCAAGATGGAGATACTGCACTCCAGCCTGGGCAACAGAGCGAAACTCCGCCTAAAAAAAAAAAATCCTTCCCCAGATACTTCCAGAGATATGGAATTAAGACAAATCCTGGCTCATTCACTGTGACTGCTGTGTGACCTTGAGTGTGTTTCTTAACCTCTCTGTGCCTCCATTGCCATATCTGTAAGATGGATATGGCAGCACGCACCCTGCCTGCAATTCATGGCTTCCTTAGGGTCTCACTTGTGAATCTCCTCTGGCCTTTTGGCAACTTCTTTCCTTCTCAGCTGGGGAAGCCGTTTTCCTGCCTGAAAAACCTCTTCCCCAGTGCAAGGCTTGGAGGCTGGACACAGTTCGGGGCATTCAGGGAACTGCCAGCACCAGTGGCCATGTATTCGGGAGGAGGTGAGTGGGAAGAGGTGAGGCCATGGGGTGGGCAGCCACTTGCCAGGGGCAGTGTTTGTTCTTAATTCTGGAGGTAGCAGGGAGCCATGGAGGATCTAGAGCAGAGGTGTGACCTGAATCAAATCGCTCCTTCCCCAGAGCTGAGCCTCTGTCCTGGGTTGGCCTCTGTGCTGATCTCACCTCCTCTTCCTCTCCCCCCATGGCCCACTGGTCACCACTCCTGGCCCTTCTCCCTCTGAAGTCTCTCCCATTGACCCCACACTGGCTCTCTAGGGACCTCCCAAGGCCAGATCTGAACTCGGCCCTCCCTCACTCTAAGCCCTCCCAAAGCTCCCTGTGGCCAACCCAAGCCCTTGGCCCAGTGCTCTACCCCCACTCTATGAACGAGCTGTTCCACTGCAAGTCCAGCCACGCGCCGCCCAGCCCGCCAGGCCCACCTCCCACCGCAGCACCCCCTGGCTGTTGTCACACTCGCCCGCATCCCACCCAGCCTTTGCCCAGCAGTTCCTCTGGACTGGAGGTCGTTCCCCACCCTGCATGCTGGCGAAAGCACTCCTCATCCTTCAAGCCTCTTTTCCAGGAGCCCTCCCAGGCAGCATCTCCCAGAGACAGCCCCAGCCCGAGGCCTCCTCCGAGCCCTGTCTGCGTCTTCTCTTGCAGCCCAGGCTGGGGGTGCCTTCTGGCTGGGGGCACCTTCTGCCTGTTTTGTAGAAGGCGGAAGAACGAGGTATTGGTAGCAGGGGCTGGGGTTGGAGGAGCCCAAGAGACACAAAGCCAGAACCTTCCTCCAACTGCCTGGAAATCTGAGGCCCCACTGGTAGATCTTGCCTCCCACAGCTCCCTCTGGCCTTTCAGCACAGCCCCCAACTGACACCCAGAAGGACCCCCCCACACCAGGTCCCAAGGGGAGAGAGAGAAGAGAAAAAAACAGAGAGAAAAGGCAAGTGGGATCAGGGCCTCCCTCCACTACCCGTTTCACAAGACCCCCCCTTCTTTCTGGAGGCCCCCACTCTGAGAGTCTCAGCTCCCCCACCCGAGCCCCCCATCTGATCTGTGCAGGCTCAGGGGCCGCCCCCACTCCCTCCCTCACCCTCTCCCCAAAGGTCAGGGAGCAAATTTCATCCCCACGTGTCTCTCACACCTCGATGATTAATAATTGAAGAAAACGTATTTCTTTGGGGGCCCAGGATACATCAGAAATAACTACAGAATTCATATGCTGCCAGAGGCACGACACCCATGGGAAGACAGAGCCAGGAGAGGGGCACGGGCTTCTGAGGGCCCAGAAGCTGACGGCGCTGCAGAATGATTTCAAAACCACCCTAATAGAATCACCCATGGAGGACGTTCTCAGCACTGGGAAGGCACCGTGCTGAGGCTTTGGAAGCCAATGACCTCACCAGCTCCATTTTACAGATAGGGAAACCGAGGCACAGACCAGGGAAGTGACTTGCTCGTGGTCACACAGTGGGATTCAAGCAAAGACCGTCCCCCACACCCCTTTAACCTGTCCTCCCGTCACCAGTGCCACACTTCCTGCACCCAGGATGGCACAAGGGCATAGAGGCCGGGGGCATGGGGAAGCTCTCGGTCCTGCACCCTGACAGCCTGTGGCCTGCTCATCACAGACGCGTCATCCCCACTCACCCAGCATGTCTTGAAATTTTTTTTTTTTGAGACGGAGTCTCGCTCTGTTGCCCAGGCTGGAGTATAGTGGCGCGATCTCAGCTCACTGCAACCTCCACCTCCTGGGTTCAAGCAATTCTCCTGCCTCAGCCTCCTGAATAGCTGGGACTACAGGCATCCGCCACCAAGCCCGGCTAATTTTTGTATTTTTAGTAGAGACGGGGTTTCACCACGTTGGCCAGGCTGGTCTCAGACTCCTGACCTCAGGTGATCCACCCGCCTTGGCCTCCCCAAGTGCTGGGATTACAGGCGTGAGCCACCATGCCCAGTCATGTCCTGAAAATCTTGAGGCATCTAAGTTCCGATGCCTTGCCCAGGCTCGTTTAATCCTCACAACCACCCCTGCTCACACAGGAGAAGACCAAAGCTCAGAGAGGTGAAGCCACCTGCCTGGGGTCCCATGACACAGGGAGGCAAATTCAGGTGTGTCCTTCTTATGAGTCTGTCTTATGAGTCCTGGCATTGCCCCTCTCATTGGCATCTTTTTTTTTTTGAGACAGAGTCTTGCTCTGTTGCCTAGTCTGGAGAGCTCTGCAGCCTCTGCCTCTCGGGTTCAAGTGATTCTCCTGCCTCAGGCTCCTGAGTAGCTGGGATTACAGGTATCCACCACCATGCCGGGCTAATTTTTTTTTTTTTTTTGTATTTTTAGTAGAGATGGGGTTTTGCCATGTTGGCCAAGCTGGTCTCGAACTCCTGATCTCAAGTGATCCGCCCGCCTTAGCCTCCCAAAGGGCTGGGATTACAGGTGTGAACCACCATGCCTGGCCCCATTGGCATCTTGAGGCTCAGCCCCATGTGAGGTGGGACGGGTGATGCTTGACCCCATATGGGGCCTGCCCCAGGATCTACTTGATGGAAATTGAAGATGTCAGAAGACACTGAGGTGCATCCAGGTTCAGAGATGTAGCTGCTGCACTAGCCAATGGGTGGAGGTGCCCAAGCGTCCATCACCAGAAGGATGGATCCACACAACTCAGCCACAAAAAGGAATGAGGCTCTGACCCAGGCCACAGCATGGATGAAGCTTGAGGACATCACACTCAGTGAGAGATGCCAGACACAGAAGGACAAATCCTGTGTCACTCCACGCATGAAAGTGCCCTAGAGTCATCAGATCCAGAGATAGAAAGTAACATGGGGGCTGGGCATGGTGGCTCATGTCTGTAATCCCAGTGCTTTGGGAGGCTAAGTTGGGAGGATGGCTTGAACCCAGGGGTTTGAGATCGGCCTAGGCAACGTGGCGAGAGCCTGTCTCTACGGAACATACAAAAATTAGCCGAACGTGGTGGCACCTGTAATCCTAGCACTTTGGAAGGCTGAGGCAGGAGCATGGCTTGAACCCGGGAGGCAGAGGTTGCAGTGAGCCAAGATCGTGCCACTGCACTCCAGCCTGGGCAACAAAGTGAGACTCTGTCTCAGAAAAAAAAAAAAAAAAAAGCTTGAGATGGGAAACTTTATTTATATATGTTTTAACACCGTTTAAAAAATTTTGGGCCAGGCGTGGTGGCTCTCGTCTGTAATCCCCGCACTCTGGGGGGCCGAGATGGGTGGATCACCTGAGGTCAGGAGTTTGAGACCAGCCTGACCAACATGGTGAAATCCCATCTCTACTAAAAGTACAAAAATTAGCCTGGCGTGGTGGCGTGCGCCTGTAATCTAAGCTACTCAGGAGGCTGAGGCAGGAGAATTGCTTGAACCTGGGAAACGGAGGTTGCAGTGAGCTGAGATTGTGCCACTGCACTCCAGCCTATGTGACACAGCAAGACTTTGTCTCAAGAAATAAAATAAAATAAAATAAAACAAAATTTTTCAGAAAGGGATGAAGTTCTGACCCAGACCACAGCATAGATGCACCTTGAGGACGTCACGCTCAGTGAGAGACGCCAGACACAAAAGGACACACAGTGTGTGATCCTGTTTCTATGAAATGCCCAGGAAAGGCCCATCCACAGAGACAGGAGGGGATGGAGGGGTCAGAAATTCTAGATGCTTTTTCATTCAGGTGTACGTGCTGGGGGGGCCTTTATTATTCACGTGCCCATCCTCCGCTTATTTCAATGTGTTACCCTTGCCCGATGCTGCTCTTCTGCTGTGTTCCGGAACAAAACGTACTGGGCATAGCTTTGCTACCCAAGCGAAGGGGACTGAGAAACAGCGGTGGCCTCCTCCTTGGGTGGAATGCTGGGTGGTCATCAAAGGTGATGGGGGAGGAGACATTTAAATGACACGGGAAGATGCCCGTGAGATAACAGGAAAGACACAGACCACATGAGAGTCAGAGGTCAGGTGAGCCCATTTTGGTAAAACCCCTGTCTGTTGTTTTTTTAAGAGACCGGGTTGGCCGGGCGCAGTGGCTTACGCCTGGAATCCCAGCACTTCGGGAGGCCGAGGCGAGTGGATCACCTGAGGCCAGGAGTTCGAGACCAGCCTGATCAACACGGTGAAACCCCGTCTCTACAAAAAATACAAAAGTAGCCAGGCGTGGTGGCGCATGCCTGTAATCCCAGCTACTCGGGAGGCTGAGGCAGGAGGATTGCTTGAACCCAGGAGACGGAGGTTGCAGTGAGCCAAGATGGTGCCATTGTACTGCAGCCTGGGCAACAAGAGCAAAGCCCTGTCTCAAAAAAAAAAAAAAAAAAAAAAGAGAGAGAGAGAGAGAGAGGGTCTTGCTCTGTCACCCAGGCTGGAGTGCAGTGATGCAATCATAGTTCACTGAAGCCTCCAACTCCTGGGCTCAAGAGATCCTCCTGCCTCAGCCTTCCAAAGTAATGGGACCATGGCCAGGCAGGTAGCTCATGCCTGTAATCCCAACACTTTGAGAGGCCGAGGTGGGCGGATCACCTGAGGTCAGGAGTTCAAGACCAGCCTGACCAACATGGTGAAACCCCATCTCTACTAAAAATACAAAATTAACCAGGTGTGGTGGTGCATGCCTACAATCCCAGCTACTTGGGAGGCTGAGGCAGGAGAATTGCTTGAATCCAGTAGGTGGAGGTTGCAGTGAGCCAAGATGGTGCCATTGTACTCCAGCCTGGGCAACAAGAGCGAAACTCCATCTCAAAAAAAAAAAAAAAAGAAAAGAAAGAAAGAAAAGAAAAAGTAATGGGACCACAGGAACTCACCACTCTGGCTATTTTTCTAATTTTTATTTTTGTAGAGATGAGATCTCGCCATGTTGCTCAGGTTGGTCGCAAACTCCTGGCCTCAAGTGATCCTCCGACCTCAGCCTCCCAAAGTGCTGTTTTTATAGGCAAGAGCGATGGCGCCCGGCCTCCTAGAGCTTTAGGAGGGAGTATGGCCCTGCCCACACCTTGATTTCAAATTTCAGGCCTCTAGACTGTAGAAAAATACATCTGTGGGGTTTTTTGTTTTGTTTTTAGAGACAGGGTCTCATTCTGTCACCCAGGCTGGAGTGCAGTGGTGCGATATCAGCTCACTGCAGCCTTGACCTCCTGGGCTCAAGTGACCCTCCTACCTCAGCCTCCCAAATAATTGGGACAAAAGGCACCACCACACCTGGCTAATTTTTGTATTTTTTTGTAGAGATCGGAGTCTCGCTATGTTGCCCAGGCTGGTCTCCAACTCCTGGCCTCAAATAATCCTCCTGCTTCAGCCTCCCAAATCATTGGGACCAAAGGCACCACCACGCCTGGCAAATTTTTGTAGATATGGGTGGGGTGGGTCTCGCTATGTTGTCCGGACTGGTCTCTTAACTCCAGGCCTCAAGCGATCCTCCCGCCTCGGACTCCCACAGCGCTGGGATCACAGCCTCCCCCCGCCCCGAGGTAGCGGGTGGTGGGAACGGGATTGGAATCCCGACTGTGGGGCCCCTGCGGCCACCTCCAGGATACAGCGGACCCCGATGAAGCCCTGGCCTGGGTGCTGGGGGAGGCTCCGCGGCGCGGTCCCGCAGGCGGGAGGCGATGCTGCCGACGCTATTGCTGCCATTACTATTACGGAGAGATGGGGCGGGGCGGGAGCACCGGGCCCTTCCCGGAAGCCCTTCCTGAGCTTATTCAGTGCCTGGGGCCGCGGCGATCGATGACAGCTGGGCGCCGGCCGAGCCCCCTCCGGGCCGCGCGGGGGCGCATGCGCGGGGCCGCGGGATCGATCGGCCGCGCTCGGGCCTCCCCGCACCCGCCCGACCCCGCCCCCCCGGCTCGTTGCCCGGCAACCTCTGCCCGGCGCGCTCCCATTGGCTGGCGGCGGCCCGGGCCCCGGCCGCGCGTGGTCACTTGGTCAGCGCGGGCTCGGCGTGGCCGGGGGCCTGGCTCCGGGCGCGGGTCGATGCCGCCTCGCATCTGACCTTTCCCGGCGCGGGGAGGGGGCCCGAGAGGATGGAGAGAGCTGGACCATCTTGGAAGAAAACTTTATTGACCCGTCTCTTATCTTGGGGACGCACGGTTCCAGCGGCGGGGGGCGAGGGTACGGCTGGGTGGGGGCAGGGGCGGCCAGGACCTTCCTCCCGGACATGCACGGACCCCCTGACCGCCGCCCCGGCCATCTCCCTGGGCGGGCTGCTCTCCATTCCCTAGACAGGAAAATTGAGGCTCACGAGGGCCCGGGGATTACCCAAGGCGCAAAGGGTTTATGAGGTGCAAGGGGCCTGGAGCCCAGAGAGTGTGGCTCGAGGGCTTCAGACTCTCTCTGCCACGCCGTGCTGACATCTGCACCCTCCAAGCAAAGCTAAAACATCTTCCCGCGTTGCTGGGTCCCACACCGTCGCAGCCTGGAACCCACCACCCCATAAGGAGGGACCGTTCCTTAAATTGAAATGCGATGTTGAACAGCCACGAAAAAGGACGAAATCGTGTCCTTTACAGCAACATACGTGCAGCTGGAGGCCATTATCCTAAGCGAATGAAAGCAGAAACAGAAAACCAAGTACCCATGTTCTCGCTTATCAGTGGAGGCTAAACATTGGGTACTCATGGACACGAGGATGGGAATAATAGACCCTGAGGACTTCTAAATCGGGGAAGGTGGGGGACAGGGGCTGAGAAACTCCTGGGTACCATGCTTAGCACCTGGATGACGACGGGATCGGTCATATCCCAAACCTCAGCATCACACCATATACCCATGGAACAAACCCGCATATGTACTCCTGAATCTAAAATTAAAAAGATGAAATTTCAAAATAGTAATAGGAAGGGGCCAGGCGCGGTGGCTCACGCCTGTAATCCCAGCACTTTGGGAGGTCAAGGCAGTGGATTCCTTGAGGTCAGGAGTTCCAGACCAGCCTGGCCGACTTGGAGAAACCCCGTCTCTACTAAAAGTACAAAAATTAGCCGGGCATGGTGGTGAATGCCTGTAGTCCCAGCTACTCGGGAGGCTGAGGCAGGAGAATCGCTTGAACCCAGCAGACGGAGGTTGCAGTGAGCTGAGATCGCACCACTGCACTCCTGCCTGAGCGACAGAGCAAGACTCTGCCTACAAAAATTAATTAAAAATAATAATAATAGGCCAGGTGTGGTGTGGCTCACGCCTGTAATCCCAGCACTTTGGGAGACCGAGACAGGAGTATCGCTTGAGCCTAGCAGTTCCAGACTAGCCTGGACAACAGAGCGAGACCCCATCTCTAAAAAATAATATATATATTTTTTTGAGATGGAGTTTAGCTTTGTCGCCCAGGCTGGAGTGCAGTGGTGCGATCTTGGCTCACTGCAACCTCCACCTCCTGGGTTCAAGCAATTATCCTGCCTCAGCCTCCCAAGTAGCTGGGACTACAGGCACGCACCACCATGTCCCACTAATTTTTGTATTTTTAGTAGAGACGGAGTTTGGCCATATTGGCCAGGCTGGTCTCAAACTCCTGGCCTCAAGTGATCCTCCAACCTCAGCCTCCCAAAGTGCTGGGATTACAGGCGTGAGCCACTGCGCCCAGCCTAAAAAATAATAATAATTTAAAAATAATAAATGCAATGTTGAAATTAAAAGGCTTAGGAACAGTGTGAGATCTTCATGTCCAAACGAAACTCCCATTACACAGAGGCCCTGTGAGGGGAAGCCCCAAGTCAAGGTCACAGACTTGAGAAAAGCTTATGGTTATTTTGAAGGGGATATGGGTAGTGCCCTAAACATTCCAATTTAGTAAAAAAAAAAAAAAAAAAAATCGCAAATCCCCCAACAACCACTTGGGCTCATTCAAATGAACACCTGGACTTTGTCAAAAGAAGAGTTATTGTCAGAATAAAGACGCTGCTTATAAAATGCTAGGGTTCCCTGTGTGGAGCCAAGAAGATTTCTTCTTTCTTTAAGGGTGAAAAACAAGATTGGCTTATTTGACAGATCTGTGCATTTTTTTTTTTTTGAGACGGAGTCTCGTTCTGTTGTCCAGACTAGTGTGCAGTGGTGTGATCTCTGCTCACTGCAACCTCCACCTCCCGTGTACAAGCGATTCTCCTGCCTCAACCTCCTAAGTAGCTGGGATTACGGGCACATGCCACCACACCTGGCTAATTTCTGTATTTTTAGTAGAGACAGGGTTTTGCCATGTTAGTCAGTATGGTCTCGAACTCCTGACCTCATGATCCGCTCACTTTGGCCTCCCAAAGTGCTGGGATTACAGGCATGAGCCACCGCGCCTGGCCGTAAATGTTTTAATATTTAGCACGCATGATGCTTTTGATATACGTGCCATGCCAAGTCCAGGGCTCAGAGATTTGTTTAAAGGTCTCCATTAATCCCACATGTACCCCAAATCGCTGTGGTTTTAGAAAAGAAAACCTTCTGTGCAACTCCGTAACCACCTTAAAGGAAATACAAAAGGAGAAAATCGCTGGCCGTAGCCTTCTCCACCCCCTAAACTCAGCCCTGGCCACTTTGCTCAGGCCTCCCAGCTTCTGTGTCCTGCACGTAAGCCTCGGTCTTCACACAGTCCCTGATATCTGCATTTATTTCATATTTTTCCCATAACGTTCCACCTGACATCTCCATCTCCTTCCTCTGCCGCTGCGTTTCTAATTCCTAACAGCTGAGGAAGGTTGCATTGACCGGCGGATTGTGTGGGGTGATTTTTGAAAGCAGATCCTGGAATTCAATTTTTATTTTAACCTGGTTATTGAGTGGGGAGGGAGAGGGAGGCGGAGGTTGGCCGATTCGTGTGCAAGATGAAAAAGCTGGATTTTCACAAAGGTTGTGCTGTTTGGAAATGGCTGGTTAGGTTTTCAACGTAGGAATGGTTCAACGACAGCCCTACGAGAGTGTGCGCGAGCGTGCGTGGCTCCGTGTGGTTTCGTGTGTGTGTGTGTGTAAGTGAGCTGCAGGGTGTGTGGACAAGTGTGTTGTGTGAATGTGCATGTGTGGGTTCGTGTGTGCTCCTGTGTGTTCCCGTGTGTGCATGTTGTGTTCCTGCATGTACATGTGTGGCTTCGTGTGTGTGCGTGTGTGGTTTTGTGTGTGTGCATGTGTGTGCGCCTGTGCGTGTTCGTGTGTGTTTGTGTGTGTGCATGCGTGTGAGAGGGTGCACTCAGCGGCTGTGCCTTTGTACACGTGTGAATGTGGGTGTGAGTGTGTAAGTGCTTTGTGTGAGCATGTGGGGGGAAGGACGCAGAGGCACGCCAGCGTCTGACTGTGTGTATTGTTAAGAGTGTTGTGGGGTACACGTGTGTATGTGAGCTCGTGAGGGTGTGCAAGGGATACACGCGTGTTGTGTGTATATGTGTATGTGCATGTGTGTGTGCAGGTGTGTACATATTAGTATGTGCAGATCAGTGCATACCTACGTGTGTGTTCCTGTGTGCAGATGTGCGGCCATTTGAGGGTGGCAGTGCGCCTGTGTGAGTAGGTACCTAGGACAGCGTGCCTGTGCATTTGTATGTGAGTGTGTGTGCTGTTTTTGCACGCATGCACCGGTGTGAGGGTGTGTGTGTATCGGTGCACATCTATGAGCATGTCAGTGTGTGTGAGTGGCAGAAGGTACACGGGTGTGTACGTGCGTGTGTATACCTGTTCGTGTACCTGGCAGTGTGTGGGCATGTGCGGGTGTGAGGGTGTGTGTGCCGGTGCACACCAGTGTCTGCACCTGCGACCACCCCGACCCCGTGCCCAGCCCCCTGACCCTCTCCTGCTGTTCTCACTGCGGGGAAACGGGTCCAACCCCACCACTGACCCCAGCTCATCTCAGGCCTCCCGTCCACAGCCACTTCCTCAGGAGCCCTCCTGGACCCGCCAGCCCGGGTCTGACCCCGGTATCAGCCCGAGGGGCCTCGTCTTGAACGGAGGAGCCGCTGGTTCCACTCATGCATTTATTTCATAAATGTTGGCCTCCCGGGAGCTCCATAATGGCAGAGGCCTGTCCGCCTTGAGCAGGGGTCCCTCCCCAGAGCCTGGGATTAAAGAAGAGAACCCAGTGGTCCTAGGTGCGCCGTGAGAACATCAAACATCGGCCAGGGCTGCACACGGGAGGCCCTCGGGGGTGCAGCGTGGAAGCCCCCTGGACAGATGGAGAAGCTGAGGCCCTGTCAACAGGTCCCCCGCGTCCTCCCCGGCCCTGTGTTGATGGGCGGCAGCTGTGTCCAGGCACGCTGTCCCCGTTGGACATGGCCGGACGCATGGATTTCCGAAGCCATCTCTCCATCTGGCAGCTTTATTAACCCAATTCCAGGGATCGAGTGATTGACGTGTTTGCTTATCGGCTCCTCCTGTCTCTCCAGGGACGGGTGCCCAGGTGCCCCCACCCCACCTCCATCGGCCCAGGGGGAGAGGGGACACCAGATCCCCCCCACAGCCCCGAGACCAACGCGCGCACGCACACACACACACACACTCACAGTGACTCCCGCTCAGGGGCTCTTGGTGGCTGGATCAATTCAAGTGGATCTTTGGAGAACATGATGGGCCAATGTCTAACAAAATTTAAAATGTGAACTCAGGCCAGGAGTGGTGGCTCACGCCTGTAATCCCAGCATTTTGGGAGGCCGAGGCGGGCAGATCACCCGAGGTCAGGAGTTCGAGACCAGCCTGGCCAACATGGTGAAACCCCGTCTCTACTAAAAATACAAAAATTAGCCGGGTGTGGTGGTGGGTGCCTGTAATCCAAGCTACTCGGGAGGCTGAGGCAGGAGGATCCCTTGAAACTGGGAGGCAGAGGTTGCAGTGAGCTGAGATCTCGCCACTTCACTCCAGCCTGGGCAACAAGAGAAAAACTCCATCTCAAAAGAAAGAAAAAAAGAAAAAAAAATTAGCCAGGTGTGGTGGTGAGCACCTGTGGTCCCAGCTATGGAGGAGGCTGAGGTGGGAGGATTGCTTGACTCTGGGAGGTTGAGGCTGCAGTGTGCTGACACTGCGTCACTGCACTCCAGCCTGGGAGACAGAGCAAGACCCTGTCTCAAAAAAAAAAAAAAAAAAAAAGCCAGACACGGTGGCTCACACCTGTAAATCCCAGCAGTGTGGGAGGCTGAGGCAGGTGGTTCACCTGAGGTCAGGAGTTTGATACTAGCCTGGCCAACATGGTGAAACCCCATGTCTACTAAAAATATTTTAAAAATTAGCTGGGTGTGGTGGCAGGCACCTGTAATCCCAGCTACTCAGGAGGCTCAGACAGGAGAATCGCTTGAACCCAGGAGACGGGGGTTGCAGTGAGCCGACATCACACCATTGCACTCCAGCCTGGGCAACAAACGTGAAACTCTGTCTAAAAAAAAAAAAAGCTGGGTGCAATTGCTCATGCCTGTAATCCCAGCACTTTGGGAGGCTGAGGTAGGCAGATCACAAGGTCAGGAGTTTGAGACCAGCCTGGCCAACATAGTGAAACCCCATTTCTACTAAAAATACAAAAATTAGCCGGGTGTGGTGGCGAGCGCCTGTAATCCCAGCTACGTGGGAGGCTGAGGCAGGAGAATTGCTTGAACCCGGGAGGCAGAGGTTGCAGTGAGCCGAGATTGTGCCATTACACTCCAGCTCTGGGTGACAGAGCAAGACTCCGTCTGAGGAAAAACAAAAACAAAAACAAAAACAAAAACCTTTCTAGATATATTCATTGAAAAGGCTAGGTGCCCCCAAATGAGTTGGCAACTTGTGTCCACACAAAACCCTGCACACGAAAGCTTATGGCAGCTTTATTCATAGCTGGCCAAATCAGGAAGCAACCAAGCTTCCCTTGAGCAGGTGAACGTATCAGTGGGCTGTGGTGTATTCAGACAGAGGAGGATCATTCAGTGCTGGAGGAATGGCATGTCCAGCCTTGGAAAATATGGAAAGGAGGGTAGGAGTGGGGAGGGATGAAAAACTACCCACCGAAGCTGGGCGCGGTGGCTCACACCTGTGATCCCAGCACTTTCGGTGGCCAAGGTGGGAGGATCACCTGAGGCCAGGAGCTCCAGACCAGCCTGGCCAACAAGGTGAAAGCCCGTCTCTACTAAAAATATAAAAATTAGCCGGGCGTGGTGGCGGGCGCCTGTAATCCCAGCTACTCGGGAGTCTGAGGCAGGAGAATCGCTTGAACCCCAGAGGCGGAGGTTGCAGTGAGCCGAGATTGCACCACTGCACTCCAGCCTGGGTGACAGAGGGACATTTGTCTTTAAAAAAAAACAAAAAAAAAAGCTACATGCTGAACAGTGAGTAGAGACTGGTCACATTAAGTCAGAGTATGTCTCTAAGTATATACAGATACTTTTTTTTTTTTTTCCCCTTGAGACAGAGTCTTGCTCTGTCACCCAGGCTGGAGTGCAGTGGCGCGATCTCGGCTCACTGTAACCTCCGCCTTCTGGGTTCAAGCGATTCTCCTGTCTCAGCCTCCCGAGTAGCTGGGATTACAGGTGTCCACCACCACGCCCGGCTAATTTTTGTATTTTTAGTAGAGATGGGGTTTCACCGTGTTGGCGAGGCTGGTCTTGAACTCCTGACCTCAGATGATCCACCTGCCAGGCCCTCCCAAAGTGCAAGGATTACAGGCGTGAGCCACCGTGCCCGGCCACGGATACTCTTCATGGTGTGTATCATGAGGCCCTAGGACAGATAATGAAGGCTTCCACGTCCAAGGGCACAGGGTGGCACGGGAAGGGTTGAGGTGGGCATTTATTTTTTTGCTGTTTCCATGTAAGTTTTGTTTCTCCCACGTATATATGTATATTACTTGCTCAAAAACAGATTGCAAATGTGACAAAAATTACAGATACCTATTTTGTAGTTCAGCTTTTCTGAGGTTCGCAGGACAGGGGACGCCCCTCCCACAGCCCAGCTCCTCTGCAGATGGCTCTGATCTGACTTCCCCAGGGACCCAGGGCTTTTCTCCCGTGATCCCTGCTCCTGGCCTCCAGTTCCCGAAACTCACCAGCTCTGAGCAGGTAGGAAAAAGTGGCTTGTGTCTACAGAGCCCAGTTCTTCTATAAAGTGAAAACAGGCAGCATCGACAAGCATAACCGCCGGGCACGGTGGCTCACGCCTGTAATCCCAGCACTTTGGGAGGCCGAGGTGGGTGGATCACCTAAGATCAGGAGTTCGAGACCAGCCTGACCAACATGGAGAAACCCCGTCTCTACTAAAAATACAAAATTAGCCAGGCATGCTGGCTCATGCCTGTAATCTCAGCTACTCAGGAGGCTGAGGCAGGAGAATCGCTTGAACCTGGGAGGCGGAGGTTGCTGTGAGCTGAGATCGTGTCATTTGCACTCCAGCCTGGGTAACAACAGTGAAACTCCGTCTCAAAAAAAAAAAAAAATCCACTCCAGGCTGGACATGGTGGAGGGCACCTGTAGTCCCAGCTACTCGGGAGGCCGAGGCAGGAGGATCTCTTGAACCCAGGAGGTCGAGGCTGCAGTGAGCCAATTCTCCTGTCTCAGCCTCCCTAGTAGCTGGGATTACAGGTGCCCTCCACCACTACACTCCACCCTGGACAACAGAGTGAGACCCTGCCTCAAAAAACAAAAAAAACAAAACAAATAAAAAAACAATGCAGTCCTACCCCTTGCCTGGCTGCCCCTGACTCTTAAGGGAATGATGACACCTCCCCGCCAGGCCCACAGACGCTGCCGACCCAGCCCCTCCTCACCTCAATGCTCTCCTAACCCCCAAGCCTTTGCCTGCTTTTCCTACTTCTCTTCACTGAATGAACTCCTGCACCTCCTACGCCTTTCGGGGCAACGGTGCCCTTCTCAACTCAGGCTCCCAGACCCGCTGTCAGCCATGGTTTAAAGTCTGCCACTGGCCGGGCACAGTGGCTCATGCCTGTAATCCCAGCACTTTGGGAGGTCAAGGTGGAGGACCACTTGAGGCCAGGAGTTCAAGACCAGCCCGGGCAATATAAAATTCGCTGAGCATGGCGGTGCAAGCCTGTAGTCCCAGCTACTCAGGAGCTGAGTGGGGAGGATGGCTTGAGCCCAGGAGTTCGAGGCTGCAGTAAGCTATGATTGCACCACTGCACTCCAGCCTGGGTAACAGAGCAAGACCCTGTCTCTAAAAAAATAAAGTCAGCCACCACCCTCACACTGTGAGCCTCTCCCATCACCACAGGGCCTTCCATGGCCAGCTCCAGGCCTGGCATCAGCGGGTGCAGGAAAAGCTCAGTGGAGCGATTCCACATCTAGGGCTCGGCTTGTAAAATTAAAATAAGTGGAGACCCCCCCACAACCCCCAGCCACACGCAGGCAGTAGGAACCCGGGAGATGGGACGAGCGCCGAAGGGTTATTAGCAGATGCCTCGAGCCCCCTCGAGCCCCGCAGAGTGGGGGAGGATGGCGGAGGCCCTTTTAAGGACCCAGTATCACCGTCCTTTCTCGGCCAGCCGGGCACCCACCCACCTGAGTGAGCCTGGAGCAGCCCATTAAGCGATTTTTTTCCTCCACTTACGGTTGGCAGCATCGACAAGCATGCTCGATATCTGACGAGGTGCTGGCCTTGGAAGAGAGCGAGCCGCCTCGATAAACTATTCCCTCTTGTCAGCGCCTCCTCCCGCACCCAGCCCGGAGCTTCGCGTTTGATCCCCTCCCCTAATGAGCTCGGTTTTCTCCCCTCCAGGCGGATGAGACGCTCCCCCCACCCTCGCCCGCTCAGCCTTTCAAGTTCAGCTGGGCTGAGATTCAAGGTGGGGGCGGCGGTGGTGGAAGGAAAACCATTTCCAGGTTCCGATGGGGTCACCTCCCCCAGGAAGTCCTCCCAGAATTTCTGCAGCTCAGATGGTCTCGTGCATTTGTGGGGAGGGTCTGGGGTACAGAAAGAGACTGGGACCTAGATATGGGGGGTCGTACAGCAGTGTCCAGGTGCCACGATTGTCATCTGTCCATTCATTCAACAAAGGGTTTGGGGGTGCAGAGCTGGGCACAGGTGCTCCCAGCTGAGGACTGTGCCAACGTGAGGGGCTGGGCAGGATGGGGCAGGGGCCCAGGAGGCGGCAGAGCAGCAGAGACCCTCAAGAGGGGACGATGACAGCCTGATGAACGGACACAGAGTTGGCCAAACCGGGCTTGGTCAGCCTGCCTGGAGGTGGGGGAGAGAGTCTGAACCCCACCCGGGGAGGGGCAGGCAGGTGGCAGGGTTGGGAGAAGCCCCCTTCCCAGACCAGAGACCCTCCAGTCTGGCTTCAGCACCAAGAACAGCTCCCTGCCTCTTCCTCTCTGGAGCTCCAGAGGGACCCCCATTTGTCAGATGTCCCCCAGTCGTCGCCCAGATGGACCAGCTTCTTCCTGCCGAGGCCTTCAGGGCCTCCCAGGACCTCCCTGGGCTCTAGTATTTTCAATAAAATAGGAATCGTGCCGCAACCTCAGGGGGTGGGCACGCACAGACATCAATGTTGTTTGCAGACAATGAGTCACTGGACACTGGCCGATTTTTCTCAGCATCTCCAATATTGCAAAGTCTACCCATGGAAGGGGCTTGGGGCCAGGTGCAGTGGCTCACATCTGTAATCCCAGCACTTTGGGAGGCCGAGGCGGGAGGATCACTTGAGGTCAAGAGTTCAAGACCAACCTGGCCAATGTAGTGAGACCCTGTCTCTGCAAAAATTTAAAAATTAGCTGGGTGTGGTGGTGAATGCCTGTAGTTCCAGCTACTCAGGAGGCTGAGGTGGGAGGATCGCTTGAGCCTGGGAGGTCGAGGCTGCAGTGAGCCAAGATTGCGCCACTGCACTCCAGCCTGGGCGACAGAGGCAGATCCTGTCTCTAAGAAAGAGCTCAGGAAGAGTTGGGGGAAATGAGCCAATAAATCATTTCAAAATTTAAAATCAGATCCAACCCCCTAGTTTTATTAAAATGGAACCTGAGGCCTGAGAAGAATTATGCCCCTCCCACCAGCCAGATTCCAGAATCTTCTCTCCAGGATGAAGGGCCTCATGGGCAAGAGGAGGCCAGGAGGGAAGGGGGCTTCCAAGGAAGACTTCCACCCACCAAAAGGAGCCCCAGTCAGGCGCGGCAGCTCACGCCTGTAATTCCAGCACTTTGGGAGTCCAAGGCAGGCGGATCACCTGAGGTCAGGAGTTCGAAACTAGCCTGGCAAGCATGGACAAACCCCGTCTCTACTAAAAATACAAAAAATTAGCTGGGCGTGGTCGCAGGCGCTTGTAATCCCAGCTACTCTGGAGGCTGAGGCAGGAGAATCGCTTGAACCCGGGAGGCAGAGGTTGTGGTGAGCTGAGATCGTGCCATTGCACTCCAGCCTGGGCAACAAGAGTGAAACTTCGTCTCAAAAAAATAAAAAAAAGGAGCCCCATCCATTCTCCAAATTATAATGGTGCACTGTGCAGGGTGTTGCTGAGGTCCTGGAAGAGAGCCAGAGCCCCCAGGAAGCCCCCCCAGGGTCAGGGAAGACAAGGGACCCAGAACTGGGCCAGAGGGAGAGACCTGAGTCTAGGGGAAGAGGAAGTAAAGGCCCTGCGGTAGAGTGGGCATTGAAGCTGGGTTCTGCAGGTAGAGTAGGAGTTTCTTAGCAAGAGCTAGGAGAACATGGCCCATGTGGACAGAGTCGAGAGGGGCTGACACCTGGGCTCAGGTTGGGGGATGCCACCTCCTCAGAGGGGACTGTAATGGTGGATCTGGAAGACCCAGGCTTGGAGCCAGGCTGGTGAGCCCGGCTCACAGCCCAAGGTTTGCTGGGGCCTCAGCCAGGACTAGGAGCAGGTGGTGGCAGTTGGAGGTGGGCTGGAGGAGCCGGGCCTGCCCAGAGGGACCCAGGCACCCACGGGGCGAGCGGCGAGGGAGGCAGAAAGCAAAGCCTCACCAACCCCCCCCTCCACTCACCAGACATCAAACCCAGCCTCCCCACCTTTCGAGGTTATTAATTTTTCAGAGAAGAAAATGCTTTTTGTATTTTTTCCAGGCAAAATATTGATAATGGGCTTAATGTGGCCTTCCTGCTTTTGTGTGTCGGGAGAGAGAGCTTTTCTGTCCTGGCCGCTGCAGAAGCTGTTCGCCCCCCTCCAGCCCCCGCAGCCTCCATCGGCAGACCCCATGCACTTGGCCGCTGAAGCCCAGGCAGGGAGTGGGGGCGCGTTTTGATCGCCACCGAGCGGGTTGGTGCAGCCCCCCTCCCCATCTCGAGCCCTCCTACCTCCGCCTGCACAAAGCCGGACGCCTGCCCGCCCCACCGTGGGTCGATGCACCCTGCCAGGGGAGCTGGTGTTTCCCGCGGCTCCAGGCTGATACATCTTTGAGTTGTTTGAAATTTTGCTTCCTTTCTCTCATGGCGACGGGGAGGCAGGAAGGCAGGGGCCTCTGTGCATTCACTCCTTCATTCATGCATTCATTCATTCACTCACTCACTCACCCAGCCCCCAGTCACCATGCACCTGCTGTGCCCCAGGCTCTGTGCTGGATGCTGGGGCCACCGGCCGGGACAGATCGGGCCCCTGCCTCCTCAAAGTTCATAGTCCAGGAGAGAGAAGAATAGGTACAAAGCCAAAAACTTCCAGGAGAAAATATGGCATTACGGACGGTGATGAGAACCCTGTAAGACAGACACAGGAGGCCTGGTGCAGTGGCTCACACCTGTAATCCCAGCACTTTGGGAGGCCAAAGCGGGCAGATCATGAGGTCAGGAGTTTGAGACCAGCCTAACCAACATGGCAAAACCCAGTCTCTACTAAAAATACAAAAATTAGCTGGGCATGGTGGCAGGCATCTGTAATCCCAGCTACTCAGGAGGCTGAGGCAGGAGAATCGCTTGAACCCAGGAGGCGGAGGTGGCAGTGAGCCAAGATCGTGCCACTGCACTCTAGCCTGGGCGACAGAGTGAGACTCGGTCAAAAAAAAAAAACAGACACAGGAGAGAGAAACTGTGACACAGGGGAGAGCCAATGGAGGCTGGGGTCTCAGGGAGGGCTTCCCTGAGGCAGTGACCTCAGCTGAGACCTACAGAATGAGGATGAGGCCGGGTGCGGTGGCTCATGCCTGTGAGCCTGGCACTTTGGGAGGCCGAGGTGGGAGGATCATTTGAGGCCGGGAGTTTGAGACCAACCTGCACAACATTGTGAAACCCTTTCCGTATAAAAAATAGAAAAAAAATAGCCAGGCATGGTGGTGTGTGCCTGTGGTCCCAGCCACGCAGGAGGCTGAAGTGGGAGGATCGCCTGAGCCCAGAAGGTCAAGGCTGCAGTAAGCTGTGATGGCACCACTGCACTCCAGCCTGGGCAACATAGCGAGATGGTGTCTCTACAAAAATTTTTAAAATTAGGCCGGGCGCGGTGGCTCTTGCCTGTAATCCCAGCACTTTGGGAGGCTGAGGCGGGCGGATCATGAGGTCAGGAGATCGAGACCATCCTGGCTAACACGGTGAAACCCCGTCTCTACTAAAAATACAAAAAATTAGCCGGGCACGGTGGCGGGTGCCTGTAGTCCCAGCTACTCGGGAGGCTGAGGCAGGAGAATGGCGTGAACCCGGGGGGGTGGAGCTTACAGTGAGCCGAGATTGCCCCACTGCACTGCAGCCTGGGGGACAGAGTGAGACTCTGTCTCAGAAAAAAAAAAAAAAAAAGAAGGATAAGAGGCCTCAGTGAGATGGGGCAGCGAGGACCTGCCCTTCCTGGGGGGGAACAGCCTGTGTGAAGGCCCAGAGGCGTGAGGTAGCAGAACCTGCCCATTCAGTGGTTTTCAGACCTGAACGTGCAGCAGGACCCCCGGGGGCCTCATTGAAGCCCAGATTCCCGCTCCCTCCCATATCCAGAAGCCCCCCACATTGGCAGGCCCTCATTCAGAGAAGCTGGGGTTGCAGAATTTGCACTTCTCACAAGTTCTCGGGTCACACTGATGCTCTTGGCCCGGGGCCCTCACTCCGAGAACCACAGACTCAGGGGCTTTGTGAGATGAAGACACCGGCCAACCCTCGACCCCAAGGAGCAGGCAAGGGGTGGGGGCCAGAGCCGGACAACCCCAGAGCCCTCACTTACCCTCTGGGTTCTCTAGGAGAATTCCCTTGAAACTCCGGTCCTTGATTTCCCCATCTGGAAAGCGGGTGCTTGATAAGTTTCCTGGTTTCCTGTGGCTGGTGAAGGCACGAACCAAGACGACACAGGTAGGGTGGTTAATGCAGAGCCTGGCCCACAGCAAGTGTTTAATAAATGTAAGCAGTGACTGTGAGCGCTGATGAAGGCTGTGTATGGGATTGATGAAGGGGCAAGAGGCCTTCACCAGGCTGGTGGCCGGTGAAAATGCAGAAACTGGATGGGCGTGGTGGCTCACACCTGCTACATGAGCACTTTGGGAGGCCATGGCAGGAGAATCACTTGAGCCCAGGAGTTTGAGACCAGCCTGGGTAACATACCCAGATCCCCCATCTCTACAAAAAATAAAAACTTGCCGGCTGCAGTGGCTCACGCTTGTAATCCCAGCACTTTGGTAGGATGAGGCGGGCGGATTACTTGATGCCAGGAGTTCGAGACCAGCCTGGCCAACGTGGTGAAATCCTGTCTCTACTAAAAATACAAAAGCTAGTTGGGCATGGTGGCACGCACCTGTAATCCCAGCTACTCTGGAGGCTGAGGCATGAAAATTGCTGGAACCCAGGAGGTGGAAGTTGCAGTGAGCCGAGATCGTGCCACTGCACTCCAGACTGGGTGTCAGAGCAAGACTGTGTCTCAGAAACAAAAACAAAAACAAAGGCGGGCGCGGTGGCTCACACCTGTAATCCCAGAACTTTGGGAGGCAGAGGCGGGCAGATCACAAGGTCAGGAGATTGAGACCATCCTGGCTAACACGGTGAAACCCCGTCTCTACTAAAAATATAAAAACTTAGCCAGGCAGGGTGGTGGGTGCCTGTAGTCCCAGCTACTTGGGAGGCTGAGGCAGGAGAATGGCGGGAACCTGGGAGGCAGAGCTTGCAGTGAGCTGAGATCACACCACTGCACTCCAGCCTGGGCGACAGAGCGAGACTCTATCTCAAAAAAACAAAACAAAACAAACAAAAAACAGTTAGCCAGGTATGGTGGTATATGCCTGGGAAGTTTGCTTGAGCCCAGGATGTCAAGTCCGCAGTGAGCTATGATGGCATTGTTGCACTCCAGGCTGGGTGACAGAGCAAGATCCTGTCTCTAAATAAATAATGCAGAAACCAAGGGCATGGCACCCATGAATGTGCTAGCTGCAGCTGCGTAACAAATCACTCCAAGTTTACCAGCTTACAGCAACACGCAGGCACTGTCTCCCGGCTTCCGTGGCTCAGGAGTGGCTTGACTGGGTCCTCTTTCCACCTTCTCCCACGGTGCCGATCAAGGTGCTGGCTGCGTTGAGCTCCTTCCTGAAGTTGAAAGTCCTTGACCAAACTCCTGTGGTTGTCAGAGGAATGCGAGTCCTTGAGGTTGTGGGACTGAAGTCCCTGATTTGTTTTATTTTGGTAGAGAAGGGGTCTCACTATGTTGCCCAGGCTGGTGTCAAACTCCTGGGCTCAAGTGATCCTCCCACCTCAACCTTGTTTTCTTCCTGACTGTCAGAGTTCACCCACCCACCGTTCCCTGCCTGGCCTCTTCCAGGGACCAGGAGAGAAGGTTCTCAGTTTGCTAAATGGAGGCTTTTTTTATTTTGAGACAGAGTCTCACTCTGTTGCCCTGGCTGGAGTGCAATGGTGCGATCATAGCTCACGACAGCGATTCTCCTGCCTCAGCTTCTTGAATCACTGGGATGACAGGTGTGTGAGCCACTGTGCCCAACTCCAGAGTGGAGTCTTATACAACACAAGTTATCGTGGTGGTGACACCTAACACCTTTGCCCTATTCTGTTGGCTACACGGAAGTCACAAGCCCAGGCCTCACTTAAGGGGAAGGGATTTGCAGGATGAAACACCAGAGGGCTGAGACCATGGGGCCACTTTCTTTTTTTTTTTTTTGAGACGGAGTCTCGCTCTGTCGCCCAGGCTGGAGTGCAGTGGCGCGATCTCGGCTCACTGCAAGCTCTGCCTCCCGGGTTCACGCCATTCTCCTGCCTCAGCCTCCCGAGTAGCTAGGACTACAGGCGCCCGCCACCATGCCCGGCTAATTTTTTTTTTGTATTTTTGGTAGAGACGGGGTTTCACCGTGTTAGCCAGGATGGTCTCGATCTCCTGACCTCGTGATCTGCCTGCCTTGGCCTCCCAAAGTGCTAGGATTACAGGCGTGAGCCACCGCGCCCGGCCACTGGGGCCACTTTCTATCAACCACACCTGGCTCGGGCATGCACCTGCCCTCCCCCATGCATACAGGCCCACATCCATGCCTTCAAATGGCCACAAAAGTGTGCGTGGCCATAGACATACATACTTGCAAGTGTTTCTCTTTTTGTGTTTTGTTTTTTGTTTTTTTTGAGACGGAGTCTTGCTCTGTCACCCAGGCTGGAGTGCAATGGCACAATCGCAGCTCACTGCAACCTCCGCCTCCTGGGTTCAACTGATTCTCCTGCCTCAGCCTCCTGAGTAGCTGGGATTACAGGTGCGTGCCACCACACCTGGCTAATTTTTGTATTTTTAGTAGAGACAGGGTTTCACCATGTTGGTCAGGCTGGTCTCAAACCCCTGACCTCGTGATCCTCCCGCCTCAGCCTCCCAAAGTGCTGGGATGACAGGCATGAGCCACCATACCCGGCCAGTGTTTCTCTTTTTGCATTGCCCACTGGGAAGCTCAGAGACAAAATTATGGCCTGTGTGTAGCAAAGGTTCAGAACCACCTATTGTGACTTCTCTTCCAGCGACATCTCTCGACCTTGGTTGTAATTCATTTTCTCTGGCTGCCTTGTCTGTTTGCAATTCTTTCCTCCCCAGTCTTTCTGGGCCCATAGAGGCTGACAATGGCAGCGGCTTCTGTCTGCTCAGCATCTGAGTGCAGTTCTAAGGACCTTATAAGAATTTTCTCATTTTATGCTTTCAAGAAATCTCCTCCTACAGAGGAGGGATCTGCCACACAGAGAGGTCGTGAGAGCCACCCCAAGGACACCAGCTGGGAGATGGGAGAGCTGGGATGAGAACCTGGACTCAATCCCCAGCGGGCAGATTTTTTTTTCTTTTTAGACGGAGTCTCGCTCTGTCGCCAGGCTGGAGTGCAGTGGTGCAATCTCGGCTGACTGCAACCTCCAACTCCCTGCTTCAAGTGATTCTCCTGCCTCAGCCTCATGAGTAGCTGGGATTACAGGCATGTGCCACCACACCCAGCTAATTTTTGTATTTTTAGTAGAGATGGGGTTTCACCACGTTGGCCAGGATGGTCTCAAACTCCTGACCTTGTGATCCACCAGCGGGCAGATTTGAGAGCTGGGCTACACACTGACATGCTTTACATGCAGAGTGACCAAGCCAGGAGAATCCACCAGCAGGGGACTGTGGCGTCGCAACCCCCTCCCTGGGGTCGCAACCTCCTCCCCGGGGTCTCAGCCCAAGCTTTGAATGTGGGCTGCCACTGGCATAAATAATCGTTTATAGGCCGGGCACGGTGGCTCACGCCTGTCATCCCAACACTTTGGGAGGCCGAGGCGGGTGCATCACGAGGTCAGGAGTTCAAGACCAGCCTGGCCAAGATGGTGAAACCCCATCTCTACTAAAAATACAACAATTAGCCGGGTGTGGTGGCGGACGCCTGTAATCCCAGCTACTCGGGAGGCTGAGGCAGGAGAATCACTTGAACCCAGGAAGTGGAGGTTTCAGTGAGCCAAGATTGCATCACTGCACTCCAGCCTGGGCAACGGAGCAAGACTCCGTCTCAAAAAAAAAAAAAAAATCGTTTACAAATGTGTTCCACCACACATTGATCCCCCACGAGAGAAAGTGCTGCTTCAGGGAATTCTCCCTCGAGTGGCGTCCCCAGGCCGGCCCAGCTGCACCCAACGAAGTCCACACGCCAGGCCTGTCCAGGAGCCCCTTTTGGCCACTGGACAAGGGTCTGGCTGGGCCCTACAGCCCTCCCAGATCTGATCCCCCAACAAAGGGAAGACCAGGATCCAGCGCCACGGTGCCTTCATGAGCTAGACAGGCCCTGAGTCCCGTGCTCCGGATTCCACTGAACAGAACTCTCGTGCACGTTTCCCCACGGCGTGCCCCCCAGCCGGAGCCGGGTGATGGGGACATCATCACAAACTCTGTGCCCTCCAAGGGCTCCCAGGCTTGGAGAGGGAGACAACAGAAAAAGGAGCCCGCCATGCTGGCAGCAGGGGGCACACAGTAGGTCCGCAGCAGGGGAACAGGAGGACGGATTTTACAGGACCGGGCAGGGGCACAGTAGGGCCCTGTTGGCCATACCGACCTCTGACTCCTAGTTCCCCGCCGAAGCCACCTCTTTGCAGCTTTGTGCCCGGGGTCCTCCTTGCACACCTGGGTTTTCCTCGGGCCGCCCTCCGGGTAGAACAGCTGACGTGGATGAGCGCTGACCACGTACCAGGGCCCGGGCCAAGCATGCGACTTACATCTATTCAATAAGTCAACGTGGTCCCCATTTTACAGATGGAGAAACTGAGGCACGGCGAGTGACTTGAGCTGCCCAGGGCCCGTCAGCAGGGGAAGGGGTGCCAGCTGAACTCGGGAGCTCTGGCCTGTCCCGTGGTGAGCCCCACGGCCTGAGTCCACATCCCAGTTCTGCCCTTTTTAAGGTTCAGGGAGCTGCGGCCTCAGTTTGCTCACTCACAAAATGGGAACGAGTGTCCGGAAGGGATGGAAGGGCACATGAACAGAGGCCCCCATTCTGACCATTCTTTTTTTTTTTTTTTTTTGAGACGGAGTCTTGCTCTGTCACCCAGGCTGGAGGGCAGTGGCGCGATCTCGGCTCACTGCAAGCTCCGCCTCTCGGGTTCACGCCATTCTCCTGCCTCAGCCTCCCGAGTAGCTGGGACTACAGGTGCCCGCCACCATACCCGGCTAATTGTTGTATTTTTAGTAGAGACGGGGTTTCACCATGTTGGCCAGGCTGGTCTCAAACTCCTGACCTCAGGTGATCCGCCCACCTCAGCCTCCCAAAGTGCTGGGATTACAGGTGTCAGCCACTGCACCCCGCCTGACGATTCTTAAAGAAGCAAAATCCAGGCCCCCACCCCAGCCCGGCCCCACACCAGCTGGCTCCCAGGAGGCCTGGGCTCTGCCTCGAGCACCCCATTCACTCCTCTCCTGCAGCCCCAGCATTTCTACCCATTGAGAGGAATCAAAAAACAGCCCCAGCCCCAGGAAGGTGGAAGGAACAGAAAACCAGGGCTGGTGCCCACAGGGAAACTGGAACAAACCCATAAAACTGAGGCTGGTGAACCCCAGGCCACCTAACTCCAACTGCACGGGAGCCCCGGTACCATCTCCCCAGAATCCGCCCCTCAGGCCTCAGTTTGCTCACCTGTGAAGTGGGGCCTGCACCGCCCAGCTCAAGGGACTATGAGGGAATCTGCGCAGATGGGGACAAAGCAGCCTCCCTTCGCTTTGTGCAAACCTCTCCTCCTTGCCCCGGCCTCCTCCTGGCCTCCAGAGCAGAGCTGGCCCCCGACTCCAGCTCCCCCAGGATCGATGGGAGGATCAATTCCAGCAGCAGCACCGGGCTGTGGGGGGAGGGGGGCTCCTCTGGGAAGCCTCCAGTTCCCCTCCTCCCTCCCCCTCCTTTCCTCCCCCCTCCCCTTCCTCCCCTTTCTCACCCTCCTCCCATCTCCCCTCTGCTTCCTCCCCCTCCTCCTCTTCCTCCCCCTCCTCCCCATCCCTTCTTCCTCATCCTTTTCCCTCACCTCCCCCTCCCTCCTCCTCTTCCCCCCTCCAGCTTCTGTCCTCTGAGCCTGGCCCAGGATTCCTTGCCCCTCCCCCACCGGTCCACCCTGGCTGTTTATGGGGTGGGCAGAGGCTGGTGGCCGCCCTTGTCACAGCCTTTCCTGAGCACTGTCAGATGTCCTCAAGGGTGCACTGTGTGTGTTTTATCCCCATTCCACAGATGGGGAAACTGAGGCTCCAGAAGGGTCCCTGATGTGGGAAATGAAGGCGGGGCTGGGATTTGAGTCTGGAACCCACCCTCAACCCCAAAGGGGAGAAGCCCCGGACACCACGCAGGCGCTTTGGGAATGAGGCACCCTTGGCGGATGGACTGGGCGGGCTGGGGTCAGAGGTCACCTGCCCTGCCCAGCAGCCGCATGGAGATCACCCAGTAGCCCTCAGGAGTCGGGGCTCCCACTTGTGAACCGGGTACGCCACCCCTGGAGATGCAGAGCTGGCTGGACACGCACCTACCTCCATCTTCTATTCCCCTCTGAGAGCTGGGGGCGGGTGGTTCTTTGGTTTTTCTCCAGGGAATGAGAGGCGCCCTCTCTGGGGGGTAAGAGCCTTGGATCTGCCTGTTTCCTCATCGGTAAAAGCAAGGGGTCAACAGGATGACCCCATCCCTCCCCAATCCCCTTCTCTTCTTGCCGGCGCTATGACCCCTGGGGAGCCCCTGCCCCCAGGCCTGGCAGCCCCCAGGGACCCTCCTACTGGGGCCTGCCACGGTGGGGGGACAATGTTTCCCATTTTCTGCGGAGCCCCCCAACTCTCACCTCCAGGCAGAGGTGAGGTGATGAGGGGCTGGAGGAGGCTCCCCCTCCAATTCCATCCTTGGGAAATGCCACCCTCTCACCTCCTGGCGCCCAGGGAGTTCAGTAATAACAGAAACGTTTTGTTTGGTTTTGCTTAAAGCGAGCAGGAGGGAGAGCGCGAAGCCAACGGCTCCTGCCCAGCCCAATTGTGGGGATTTACCATGGAGGCGATTACTGAGCGGAACTGCGGGCGGCTCTGCTCGGAGGGTCCCGTGCTTGTTAGGGAGGTGGGAGAAACAGCAATTACAGCTGTTAGCACCGAGGGGAGGGGAGGAGGGGGAAGGAGAAACGGAGGAAGCAGAGGAGAGGGGAGCAGGGAGAAGGAAGAAGGAAGAGTGGATGGGGGAGGGAGAGGAGGCTGGAAGGGAGGAGGGGAGGGCTGGAAGGAGAAGGGGGAGTAGAAGGAAGGAAAGGGAGGAGCCAGGAGGGAGACTAGGAATGGGAGGAGGGGGGAAGAGGGAGAGGAGGAGGGGGAAGGAGGGGGGAAGGGGGAAGGAAAGTAGAGGAGGGGGTAGGAGGAGTGGGAAGAATGGGGAAGGATGGGGAGGAGGGAGAAGGGGGAGTAGAAGGGGGAAGGATGGGGAGGGAGGGGAGAGGAGGAGTGGGAAGAATGGGGAAGGATGGGGAGGAGGGGCAGGAAGGGGGAGGAGGGAGAGGAGGAGGAGGATGGAGGAGGAGTGGGGAGGAAGAGGGAGGGTGAGGAGGAGGGAGAGGAGGAAGGAAATGGAGGAGGAGTGGGGAGGAAGGGGGAGGATGGGGGAGGAGGGAGAGGAGGAGGGAGATGGAGGAGGAGGGGGAGGAAGGGGGAGGATGGGGAGGAGGGAGAGGAGGAGGAGGATGGAGGAGGAGGGGGAGGACGAGGTAGGAGGATCCTCACCCTTCAAGAGCATCAAGTTTTCCTCCCCAGTGGGAGAAGCTGAGGCCCAGAGAGAAGTCTCTGCTCTGACACCCCACAAGAGCTTTCCCAACCAACAGGCCCCTCTGGGACTCCCTCTATGCCCTGCCCAGGGCCCCACAGGGCTCGCTCTGCTTCCTGCTCTCTTGCTGCAGGCCTGGAGCTGGGAGGTGGGCAGGTGATGGCCAGAGCAGGAGGCGGCTGGCCCCTTCCCCTGTCCGCTGCCTCAAATGATTAACCAGTGCGGCTGGAGTGAGGAGTGGACACTGGGAGCCGGTTCCTCAAATACCCTCCACACCTTTGACCGGCGCATGGGCCAGAACGGGGGACCCCTCCAGCTCAGGCTGAAGAGCTCCCCCAACTGCCGGGTCCAGAGGGTCCTGCGCTCCCTGGGATCGCCCGAAGGGCTGGGTCGGAGGGGGACCCTGGCGCAGGGAACGTTCTCTGTAACTGAGATCCGCGTTTCTACTCAGGAGCTCAGCTGAGACTCTCTGCGTGGCCAACCCTCTCCAGAGACCGGCTCCACCGCCAGCCAGATTGGATGCTGAGCGTGTCCACACAGCACGCACTCACTGGGACTCAGCGTGCTGGGACTCAGCTCCCCGCCGCCCAGTCCCTCGGGCCTAGGTCAGCTCGCCAGCTGGTGGCCTGAGGCAGATCTCAGGACCTCCCTGTGCCTCAGTTTCCTCACCTGAAAAATGGGAATAATTGGAGTTGCTTCCTCAGAGTACCCCTGCCCCTAGCTCCCTGCAGGTACAGTGGGGATGGGGCAGGAGATAGAGCGGGGACCTGCAGGACGTACCCCTCCCCCAGGGAATGGGGGACGCCACCCCACCCCTGGCGAGCCCGGAAGGTGGCTGCTGATTGAACAATGGGAGAAACAAGCTTTCTTCTAGCGCAAGGTGACTCACCTGCTGGCCCAGGGACAAAGCTCCCCCAGCCACTCCCCACCGCCCGCCACCCCCCACCGCCCGCCACACACACACACACACACACATACACACACACACACCGCACAGCACGGAGAGGGGGTGAGTCATTCCACCCCACCACATCTGTGATGGCCTCCCTGGGTGCGTACTAACCTGTGGGGTGGGGGGATTATACTAAGGGCCGCCCGGGACCCTCCCTGCTTGGCCTCACAGCCAGGGAGAGAAGGCCCAACCACCCCCAGCCTGGCATTCAAGGCCTGGCTTTGAACACATGCCCCCCCCCCACACACCCCAGCTTCATTCAGTTTTATCTCATTGACTCATTCAACAAACATTCCCTAATGAAGTCCTGTGAGGGCCCCGAAACTGGGCTAACGCCAGACGCCTCCCCAGCCCCACCGCCTCTTCCTCAGATGACAAGGAGTCTTTTCGTCCTTCCATTGGCCTACCTGACTTGGACTCCTACACATCCTACAAAACCCAACCTCAGGGCTCCTCCTCCAGGAAGGGAGGACTGCCGCCTCCCCAGTTCTGATCTCAGGGGGATGGGGATGACTTTTCCCCTCCCTAAGTATGGGAGCCCCAGCGGGAGGGACAGAGGCTGTGGCCGCAGCTCTAGGGTGGTGGGGGCAGGGGAGCAGGAGTGATCTGAGAAGTTTGCTAAATCCAGCGAATGGCCTGGTTCCCCTCCCCCATCCCCGGTCTGCAGATTCTGCCTAAGGAGGTGCGAATCCCTTCCCCTTTCCCCATTCCCCATTCCCCAGTCCAACACCCCCTCCCCACCCAGAGGTCCACGAGGCGAGACAGACCCAAAGAGAGAGGCAAGGACGTGGGCGTTGGTCGGTCTTGCGGGGAGGAGGTGCCGTGCTCTCCCCACTTCCTGACCCAGCAGAAAGCGCCCGGGCGTGTCCAGATAAACCGCGCCTTAATCGAGGCGCCATTCCGGCCCGGAACAGGCCAGGCCCAGGTGAGGCTCAGAGCCAGATGCGCCCAGCCTAACCCACCTGGGGACGCCCCTCGGACCCTCCCGGGGCGGGGTCCTCACTCCCGACCAGGACCTCTGTCTCTGCATCTGCGAAGTGGGCGCCCCCAGGCCTGTGCTCCCCCCACCCACCTGTCGTCTCGTCTCGGCTTTCAGGGTGCAGAGTGGACACTCCCAGGTGTCCAAGCCGGCGAGCTCGGGTCCCGCAGAACCGGCGGCCCTGGAGACGCCCCGAGGGCAGCCCCGCTGCAGCCTTGCTCGGGTCCCCTAGCCCGGCGCCTCCGCAAACCAACCCACCGCGGGCCGCCGAGCCCCGCTCCGGGATCCGCCGGCTGCCTCCATCCCAGAAGAGTGCGCAGAGAATTAAATCTAGATATTTACATGTTTAATGGCTAAAGGAGCCTGTCTTCTGGCAGGGCAGGGAGGGCGCTCAGGTGGTTTAACTCAGCGCCGGGATCCCGCTCAGCTGCGGGGGCCGCGAACCCCGCCGCTGGGCCGACGATTGGGCCCCTCCGGAGCGCGGCGCCCAACGCGGGTTTCGTTGCGTCGGGGAAGTCCGTGGCCTGCAGCGTCCAGTCCCCAGGCTGTCAGCCGAGCCCTGGAGTGGGGCGTTCTCCAGGCCCCCAACCCCTGATCCAGGCCGTTCCCCTCCCGCGCACCCTCCGGCGGGGGCTGCAGCCCGCGCCCCTCGCCGCCAAGCCCCATTTTCCCACAGTGCAAACTGCAGCAAACGAACTGGTTTTCTCCTGAGCGCACGCTGCGGGGAGACGATTCCAACGGCGTCCAGTGAGGAGGGGCCCAGGCCTGCGAGACGGGGCGCGTTCCTGTCCCCAGACCCCTCCGGCTGCGCCTCAACCCCCAGCCCGGCTCTCTGACCTGCATCGGTCGGGCCGGGCACAGAGGAGGCAAAGCAGGCGGAGGCCGCGAGAGGAGAGCAGCCTGACCTCCCGCCTGAGCCCGGACCCTTCCCCTCGGGCACCCTCGGACGCCCCCGCCCCAGCGTGTTACTTTCTAGATGGGGAAACTGAGGCGCGGCCAGGGCGATGCGGCGGAAGTCCCGCGCCCGGCCGTCTCCCGCGCCTGCCAGACAGAGCCCCGAGAAGAGGGCATAGAATTCCCTCCTCTAATTGTGTCCCAGAACTCTGGGACGACGGAGGCCAAGCTGCTGAGGGAGGGGACGAGGACGCGGGGCCCCAGGGACCAACCCCTCCGCTCCCCGGCCAGCCGCGGCCGCCCAGCCTCGGTGCCCCGGCGCAAACAAGCGCGGTGTTTGCCGAGCGCGAGGCGGGCGGCGCGGCCCGAGAGCGATGAGGATTCGATGGAGCCGCTCGCCGCGGCGGGGGCAACGGAGCCCGGGCGGGCGCGGGGATCGATCGGGCACAGCTGTCGCCTAAGAGCCCGCGGGAGCATCCACCCGCGGGCCAGAGCTGCCCGGGCGCCCCGCAACTGCGGGCAGGAAATCCGGGACGTCGGGCCCGCCAGGGGCGAAACCCCAAAGTCGCGACACCCGGGGTGGGGAGGTCAGGACGTCCCCACGGCCAACGTGGAACCTTCGGGAGCCGCGCGCTCAGCCTCGCCGGGACCCCCGCCAGGCCGTAAAAGCCCAGAGTCTCCCCCCAAATCTAAATAAAATCCCCAGACCCCGCCCGAACGAAGGCGGCTGGAGTCCAGAGGGAGAACTCCTGCCACACACTAGGCACCGGCGGCCGGGATTTGGGGCGCCCGCAGGTTTCGGGGGCCGGGAGTGGGAGCAGAGCGGATCTAGGGCTGCGGCTGGGCTTGGGTGGGGCGCGCATTCATTGCCATCGTTTAGTAAAACCTCGCTTTAATAAAAGCAGGGAGGGGTGCGCAGAGCCCGGACACTTTCATTTCGGTGGGAGACAAATCGAATCAGAAAGTCAGTTGGGGGCGCACTGTGCAGGGTTCTGGGGGAGCCCCAGGAAAGGAAAACTTGAGGTATCTGACTCTGCCTTTGATATTTTTAGCTGCAATGGGAGAGTCAATAACAACAGGGAAGGTGGTGTGTCCAAAAATGGGGGAGGTGTGGAGGATTAAAGAGGGGGTTCAAGCTTAGGGGGTCCGTTTAGGGAGTTTGAAGCCGTGGAGAGTGCGCACCCCTGGGGCATGGGTGGAGGCCCCCAGTCCTCCCCTCCACCCGCGGGACTCTCCAAGCCCTGAGGTTGGCAGGACCAGAGGCTGCCCTTTTTGACTCCTCCCAGACGCAGGCCAGGCACAGAGAGGGTGAGCGTTGGTCTGGGGCAGCCCAGCACCTGCTGAGGTCCCCCTCCCCAACTCCCAGACACAGACTCGGGCTCTGGGAGTCAAACTTTCATCTTCCTGGAGGGGATACTGAGGCCAGAGAGCTTCCTCGAGGTGGCTGAGGTCCCTGTGGGGTGGGGAAGGGGGACTTCTTGTCCCGATCCAGCCCACCCCTCCCCCTGCCCACAATTTGCCTAATGACCCAGGATCGATCTGGGCCTGGGCAGCCAGCCTACCCGGTGGCCGGCTCAATTCTATTTTACTAATTACTAAAAGGCTGCTGCTGGTGGGGAGAAGCAAGCTGGGGGCTCCAGGGGGCCACAGTCCCTCTCTTGGGGCCAGCAAAATTCTGTTCAATCTCTCAACGGGACCACAGCCTCTACAAGGAGTGAGATCCCCATCCCTGGGGGAGTCCAAGTGTCCATCAGCCGAAGGGAGGGGTGAGGGGCTTCGCAGACCTGGATAGGGTTAGGTCCACCAGGCTGGGCTGCCCCTTCCAAGTCTAGGGAGCTTTGGAAGGGGTCTGTGGCCACCTTAGCGTGTCCTGAGGCAGCAGAGGGGAGAGGCCCTCTTCCTCTCGGAGTCCCTGACCCTCGTCTTCTCTTTCAAAATGGATGCTTTCCCTGCTAGAAAAGCCACACACGCTTGCTATTAAAATGAACACGATCATCAAGCTGTAAAAAATATATTTAAAAGGAAGCCTGCAAAATCCCAGCTCCCTAGGAGCTCCCCCACATTGGCATTTGGGGGAACTTCCTTCCACCTTGTTATCCTCCCACCCGTAGAGACCCCCAGCCCCCACCTGGTCTGCGCTTCTTGAGCCTGGGATGCTAGCGTTTTATGGCGGCTGATTGATTTTTAGATCTCACGATTATTTTTAATTATCTGTGATTGTTGGAGGGTGAGAATGAGGAGCGCAGGCTGGGGCTCTGTGCAGCCACATCCCCCCCGCCGAGATTCAGCATCTGCACGGGGAGTGGGGTACGCGACTGTTCGGACCTGCCCCTCTCTTCCCACCTGGAAGATGGGTGTAATTATGTAAACTCCAGAAATTATACCTGAACCCTGGAACTGGAAAGTTTAGGGACCGACACTTCAGGGGGCAGGAGTTAGCACTTGGGCAGATGTAGGAATGAAGGGGGGAACTCTAGGGCCACCACCCCCCCACCTTGGGCCAGAGACACCCGGAAAAATTGTGATTTGACTTCCCCCTCTCTGGGGCTGAGAGAGGAGAGTATGCCTGGTAAATAACAGGCACTTACTAAATGCCGAGCCCTAAGCAGCGAGTACTAACAGGGGTCCCCTTCAGCCCTATCCCTCCCCAGGACTTGGATCAGGCCACCTCAGGCTGGGGGCCCAGATCATTCAGGCCCCCTCTCTCTCTGGCTGTTGTGGTCAGCATAGACTCACCTCCGGCTCCCAGCTGGGCAGGCTGGAGGGCACCCCCTCCCACACCAGAGAAGGGGAAACTGAGGCACAGAAAGGGCCCTATTCCAGAGCCAACCTAGTCTTGGTTCAGAAAATCGCATCTCCAATGTGTAGCCACGTCTACAGGGGCCAGGAAATCTGGATGCAGGTGCAAAGCTGGGGCCGGGGTTTGCCCAGAAGGTTTGCACCAAAGGGGAAGTGACAGCCTGACTGTGTCCTCCCCTCTTCCTTCAGCTTTGAGCCCTGATGCAACCCTCTGAGATGGGGGTAACTGGGGGCTCCCGCGAACCGACTGCCTGACCCATCCCCTTCCTCTTCTAGAAAGTGCACAAGCGTTACCCCGGGGGTGGGGGGGGCAGAGGCAACGGGGAAGCAGGAAGGGGCTGAGGCTGGTTTTGGACTCTGCACCGTAGCCTCTGGCCTACAAGACAGAGCATCCTCTAGATTCTGGTCTGGCCCCTCCAGATCCGCAGCCCTGACCTTACCCCACTGGCGGGATCTAGTCCCCTGGGGGTCTCTCTGATTATAGGAGCCCTTCCCCCATCTATCCCAGTTCCCAGGGGCCCCTGGGGCTCACCTGTCTCCAGGTGCTGAGAAAAAGGAGACCCCTGCCTCCCCCCACATTGAAGAGAAGCCCCAGGGACAAAGAGGAGTTTGCACCAGCGACGTCTCAGAAGACAGGGGATCCAGCCTCAGCCTCCGTGGGCTGGAGGGTGACAGGGGCTCTTAGTGGTCACCCCCAGGCTCCAGTGCCTCCAGCGGCCGCACTGTAAAAAGGCCCTGCAATTAGAAGGGGCCTTTGGCAACCCCGAGGCCGGGCAGCCCATTGTACAGTTGGGGAAACGGAGGCCCAGGTGCCCACACATGGGCAGAGGCTGACCCCTGGGGCGCACGGAGGCCCTGACCTAGCCTTAGGACCTCCCTTTTCCCCCACTTCCTCCACAAAGAGGTTGTGGGAAGGGGGCTGTGACTCCGTAGGTGTGAGTGGGAGTCGGGGGAAGCTGAGCTTGCAGTGGGGATCTAGCTCCTGGGGGTCTGTAGGGAACGGGGGGGGGGGGGGACACGTACATTACAGGCGACCGTCCAGCCACACTCCCAGAAACTCCCTGGAGATGGACTTGGGGGTGCCAGGCAGAAAGCCACATCTGGGACTCTGGAGAGAATCACACAGAGACGCGAAATCGGAGACTCTGGGTCGAGGCCCCCAGCCCCACCTGGGCAGAGTCTGTCCTCGGACCCCCGCCCGCTGTCCCCCGGGTACGGCCTGCCCCAGCGGGCGCGGGCGGGCGCAGTGGCCAGGGACGCCGAAGCCCCAAGTCTGGCCGACTTCGGCCTGCTTGGTGCTCGAGTGGGGCCGGGGCGGGCGGAGAGCGAGGCTGCGGGAGGCAGCGGTGGCAGGAGCGGGTGGGCGGGGGCGCTGACGTCAGACCCGGGCCCGGGCGCCGGCGGCCGCTCCCCTGCCACATCCTGGTGGCCGCGCTCGCAGCCGGGCCGGGCCGTGCGCCGCGCAGCCTGGCAGCCTCGCGCGCAGCCACCGGGGAGCGGGCGGGAGTCATGCAGCGGCCTTGAGCACTAGGGGCCGGCGCTGAGGAGCGCGCGCGGCGGGAGGGCAGCCGAGCATGGAGCTGAGCCTGGAGAGCCTGGGGGGCCTGCACAGCGTGGCCCACGCGCAGGCGGGCGAGCTGCTGAGCCCGGGCCACGCGCGCTCGGCGGCGGCGCAGCACCGCGGCCTGGTGGCGCCCGGGCGCCCGGGCCTGGTGGCCGGCATGGCGAGCCTGCTGGACGGCGGCGGCGGCGGCGGCGGTGGGGGCGCCGGGGGCGCGGGCGGCGCGGGCAGCGCGGGCGGCGGCGCGGACTTCCGCGGGGAACTGGCGGGCCCGCTGCACCCGGCAATGGGCATGGCCTGCGAGGCGCCGGGCCTGGGCGGCACCTACACGACGCTCACGCCCCTGCAGCACCTGCCGCCGCTCGCGGCCGTGGCCGACAAGTTCCACCAGCACGCGGCGGCCGCGGCCGTGGCCGGGGCGCACGGCGGCCATCCCCACGCGCACCCGCACCCGGCGGCCGCGCCGCCCCCGCCACCCCCGCCGCAGCGTCTGGCGGCCAGCGTGAGCGGCAGCTTCACCCTCATGCGCGACGAGCGGGCGGCGCTCGCCTCCGTGGGCCACCTCTACGGACCCTACGGCAAGGAGCTGCCCGCCATGGGGTCGCCGCTGTCGCCGCTGCCCAACGCGCTGCCGCCCGCGCTGCACGGCGCCCCGCAGCCCCCGCCGCCGCCACCACCCCCGCCGCTGGCCGCCTACGGCCCGCCAGGCCACCTGGCTGGGGACAAGCTGCTGCCGCCCGCCGCCTTCGAGCCGCACGCCGCGCTGCTGGGACGCGCGGAGGACGCACTGGCCCGCGGGCTGCCCGGAGGCGGCGGCGGCACAGGCAGCGGCGGAGCGGGCAGCGGGAGCGCCGCGGGGCTGCTGGCGCCGCTGGGCGGGCTGGCGGCGGCCGGGGCGCACGGGCCGCACGGGGGAGGCGGCGGCCCCGGCGGGAGCGGCGGCGGCCCCAGCGCGGGCGCAGCGGCCGAGGAGATCAACACCAAGGAGGTGGCGCAGCGCATCACGGCGGAGCTGAAGCGCTACAGCATCCCGCAGGCAATCTTCGCGCAGCGGATCCTGTGTCGCTCTCAGGGCACGCTCTCCGACCTGCTGCGCAACCCCAAGCCGTGGAGCAAGCTCAAATCCGGCCGCGAGACCTTCCGCAGGATGTGGAAGTGGCTGCAGGAGCCAGAGTTCCAGCGCATGTCGGCGCTGCGCTTGGCAGGTAGGAGCGTGGCGCGCAGGGCCAGACCCTGGGGGCGCCGGCTCTGGACTCCCGAGCACCTAGCGGGGCGGCGGCCGATGCCCGGGGCCAGCGCCCCAAGCCCCGCCCGTGCGCCCCGGCAGCCCGGGACCCCCTATCAGGAAGCTAGACCGCGATCCGCGCCGCTGCCCGTTTGTACCGTTGCCAAAAGGGAGAAAGGGATTGTGCCGCCTCCCCGCCCCCCGGTCGCCGCTTCTGCCCCTTTCGGGAGCGCGTAGGGGTTCTCTAGTCCTTGTTAGACTGCTGGGAGGCTCCGAGCCTCTCCCCAAGCAGCCCTCAGGGAAGCTCATTGTGTGTGTGCGTGTGTGTGTGTGAGCGCGCGCCTGTTGGGGGGAGCTGTGTCCCCGAACGAGCTGCTGTTGTCGGCTAAGGTGCCACTCCCCTCCTCCAGAGTGGGTGGAGAGGGGCTGTTGAGCCCCCAGCCCCGGGCCACAGAGCTCCGAGACGTTGCGGCGGGCGCCTGCAGCTCAGCAGCAGAGGCCGAGCCCGCGCTCATCCCCCCACCTGCCCCAGCGCGCGCTTCTTTGTAGTTCGGCCCCGCGATCGATACCCCCTCCCTCTCCCCTCCGGCCGCTGGCAAAGGTCACCCGAGAATGGCGGGGGAGGGGCGGCCCCGGGGACCCTCGGCCCGCGCCGCCCGGAGGCCTTCACACCCCGACCCGGCGCCCGCCCCGCGCAGTTTGGTCGTGGCTCGGGTGCGCGCGCCCCTGCCCGCCTGGCTTTGGGGTTTTGTGTCTCTCATGTCCACTTCTCTCCTCTCTCGGTCGGAACACACTGGTATCTCTATGTTTTTCTCTTGCTCTCCGTTTTGCTCTTGTTCCTGCTCATTATCTCTTCTCCCTGTCGGTCTCTCCGCCTCTGTCTCTGTCTCATACTCAGCCACCGGCCCCCTGGGGACCCTCCTCCCTCCTCCCTCCCAGCTGACAACAGCTAAGTCCACACCTGCCCTCTGACAGGCAGCCCGGCCAGGCCCCCATTTCCTAGGTGGGGGTGTAAGGGTGCAGGAGGGCCCCTGGCCTAGGTGGGGGTTTCTTTCCCTGGTGGTGCTGGGGAGGGGGCTGTCCACCCGGGCCACAGGGACAATAGCCGCGGCGGCTGGCGCCTGATCGATCGCTTCTCCGAGCACAAGGGCGAGAAAGGCGGGGGCTCTGGGAGGCGCCCCACTAGCAAAGAGGCAGAGGGGCTTGCGGCTGTGCCCCCAGGCAGCCCGTCCAGGCAGGGGGGCTGGGCGAAGAGAGGACAGCGGGGTGTCCTGTGCTGTTCCTCCCTAGAAAGCCATTCCCTCCCTCCACCCCAGGAGGACCAGACAACCCCCTGGGAGCCTGGACCCACAGGCCGGCCTCAGTTTCCCCCTTCTGCAGAGCAAGCAAGGTGACTAGCTGGAACCTCTTATGGGATTCTTAGATTTTTCTGCTTTGGGGCACGGGAAAATAAATAGTCTTTCGCGTGTGGCAGGGTAACCTTGTGCTCAGGGAGGTCCGGGAACCTGGACGATTTCAGTCTGTCCTGCTCCCCTCCCCATGACACATACAGCGGCACTCGTGCGCTCACCATAGACCGGCGGTCATATCCGCACACAGCCACGGCCCTCGAGGTGCAGTGCGAGGCCTCAGGTGGCAGAGGGCACACCCCTGGCAGCTCTATTTATTTATTGAGACGGAGTTTCACTCTTGTCGCCCAGGCTGTAGTGTAGTGGTGCGATCTCGGCTCACTGCAGCCTCTGCCTCCCAGGTTCAAGCGATTCTTCCGCCTTAGCCTCCTGAATAGCTGGGATTACAGACGCCCGCCACCACGCCTGGCTATTTTTTTTTTTTTTTTTTTTTTTTGTATTTTTAGTAGAGATGGAGTTTCACCATGTTGGCCAGGCTGGTCTCAAACTCCTGACCTCAGGTGATCCGCCCGCTTCTGCCTCCCAAAGTGCTGGGATTACACAGGCTTGAGCCACCCCGCCGGGCCTCCCTCTGACGTTTAAACACCAACTGGTTGCCATCACACCAGTAAGGCAGGGACAGTTTCTATAGCCCGATACCCACCACCTCCTGCCTCCTCTCTAGCACATATTTGGGGGACATTGTGTCCACCGTGGGTGCACCCAGAGTCCACACCACTCTCCATTTTTCCCACTGTCACGTTATGTAACTAATGACCCATTAGCAGTACTGGAATTGCAGATTTGGGGGCCACAGAAAACATCAGCCAGAGCGTCACAGAAGGGCAAACCGCAGGCGAGAAGTCCCATGGGGGGGGGGTGGGCTCCCCGCAGCCGGGTCAGCAGCACCCAGCACCCGCCCTGAGTGGACACCGCCTGCTTCGCCTGCACCTGACCCTGCACCCAGGTGGGTGTTCGCTCCTGCCGACCCCACAGCCATCCAGGCCTCCGCCGTCCCCTTTCTGCCACGGGGAGAGTTGCAGATGGGGAAACAGGCTCCGTTTGTGCCTCGCCTTCCTGACTTGTGACAATGACAAACAGTCTCAGCTCTGGGAGTCTGGGTTTCCTGTCGAGGAAGGGAGAGTTAGAACAGTCGCCGTCTCAGGGGTGCGTGGGGGAACCGGAGGGGTGAGCGCAGCTCCTGGCACCCCGAGCCTCCCGCAGGGCGCTGGGGCGTTGAGGATGATAAACCCGGACCACGCTGCCCGCCTGCTCTCTGCCGGGTCCGCTGCCCACGCCGTGGCCCCGCCGCGCGGCCCCGCGGCCGCGGGGTTCACGCCGTCAACCTTGCGCACCTGTCGCGTCTCAGGTGCCCTGGGGGCCGCGTCTACACCACCGGACTCCGCCTGGGGCGTAAGAGGTGGCGGGGGCGAGGGCCGCGGGGTCACTAGGCTCCGGCCCAGGCCTTTAGTTCCGGTCGCTGCGCAAATGAAAAGCGGTTAAGTGGCGGCAAATCGCGGCGGTTAGGGGGAGACGGCCGGATGCGTCCCCATCTCCACCTAACACGGCGACGCCCCAACGCTGGTGCTCGGAAAGGGAACTCTGCCCCCGCCCCGCCCCCGCACCATTTCAACCCCGCAGCAGAGGACTCGCCGCCCTTTCTACTCCGGCATCCCCATTCCCCGCTCCGCGAGCACCGCGGGCCTCCCCAGGCCTCCTCCAAGGAGAACTTTGCGCCCCGGGTCTCCCGTCGCGCTTGCCCGGCTCGGGGCGGGCCACGCGTTTCCGCAGGTGCCGAGTGTCCTGCCGGGCGCCGGGGCCAGGACAGAGACGGGGACAGGGAGGGAGAAAGACCCGCAGGTGCAGACGGAGAGGGAGGGGGAGACGGGGAGATGGAGAGAGAGGGAGGGGTCGCGAGACAAAACCAGAGAGTGGGGAGGGAGAGACCGGGAGCGGGAGAAACAGACGGGGAGAAGAGAAAAAGAAGCCCAGAAAGGAACAGAGGTGAAGGAGAGACGAAAAGAGAGGCAGAGAGACCAAAAAAAAAAAAAAAAGAGAGAGAGAGAGAGAGAGACAGAGATGGGAGAGGAACTCTGGGTGCTGGAGGCTGCCTCTGTGTCCACCCCCGCCCTCCCACAGCCCCCTCCTTCTTCCCCATGGGGTAGGACTTGGGAGAGGGGAATAGGTGTTTTCCTTGTTTCACCAAAGCACGCAAGAAATCCCACCGCAGACCTCGGAGTCCCGGCCCCACTGCCCGTTCTGCGTGCCTCAGTTTACCCATCTGTAAAATGTGCGTGTGGTGGGCCGAATTCTGGGTCTGACACTGTCAGATTCTGGACCCCGTCGTCTGGGAGTCCTGCAGCCCCCAAGCCCATTCCCATGGGGCTGGGAGCCTCACCCTACCCCCACCCCATGGTCCTCCGAGTCCCGCACTTCGGAGCTGCCTCCTGGTCAAAGCTCTCCCCTGGCGCCGTCTCCAACAGTAATTATGGGAGAGGGGCTGGGGGAGGGGCGGGCGGGCTCCTCGGCGGGGGTGGGGGCGGTCGATGAATTCGAATTACCGTCTCTAATTCATCACCGTCGCCGGGTCGATAGCTTCGGCCGTCTTCAAATATTGTTTAAATTGCAACTCCGGAGGAAAAGTATTTTTTGTAACTGATCAGAAAAAAAATACGTATATAGATAATACAAAGTTAGATGGAGGTGGTTGAAAGAAGGGCCTCATCTCCTCCTGTGGGCACCATGGGGAGGCAGGAGCCCAGAATCCCTGAGGGATGGTGGAGCCCAGCATGGAGGAAACTGAGGCAGGGAGGACCCCCCACCCCCACCCCAGGTGGATGGGATGCTTTGCCCTTAAGCAGAACGAAGTGTCCTAGGGACAAAAACCAGAGCTGTGTATGGAGTTGCATGCTGAGGGCAGCTGGTGCAGGAATTGGGCACCTCTGTTTGGTGGTGGGTGAGCAGGGGGGATGCCAGGGACTGGGGACCTGAGGGGAAGGACATGGAAAGGAAAAAGAGGCAGAACCTCTTCCCCACCCAGGCTCATACAGGCCCTCCCTCCCCGGCTTCTCCCCCCTACCCGCTGCCACCATCAAGGGCTGAGGTTGAAATGGGCGAGGCAATCTGGGAGTCCCCCTTAAAGGGACAGGTGTCCACCCCCCACAAGCACTCTGGAACCCCCACCCAAACTCTGGATGAAGGGGAGGGATGAGCAGGGAGAGGAGGAGGAGGAGGAGAGGGAAGGGAGGGAAGGAAGGGGAGAGAGGAGAGAGGGAAAGACCCCTGTGCCTTTTGCAAAAACCCCACTTTCCACTGCAAGGGGTCCACGCCTCTTACGGACACCCCCAGAAAAATATGCCCCACGCCACTAGACAGTAGAGATAACCAAGGTTGGGGGCTTGGAGACCCGGGCCTTCCCTGGGCTCTGTCCCTGGCTGATCCCTGGCAAAAGGACTTGAGCCTCAGTTTTCTTATCTGAGAAATGGGCAGAATGAAATGACGCCTAGGAGAGGGGGTATGAGGGGCTGGAGGGGCTCAGGGGTCTGAAGGGGCCACCGTAGGTTTCCACAGGGATGCACGGAGTGTGGATAGACCGAGACCGTGCCCAGGGCCACGAGAACCAGACCCACGTGGGGCTGCGCGCGAGACTCAGGTGACTCTGGTGCCCCCACACCAGCACCCTCCCACAAAACTTCAGGGCCCGGGGAGGAGCAGCCCTAGCTAGGGACCTGGGCCAGGATCAGGGATCAGGCTCCCGCCTCCCGTGCAGAGGGGGAGGGAGATGGGGAGGGGTCCCACTGGATGCCCACAGCCCTTCCCCTCCTCCTCAGCTCACCTGCCCGGAACGACATTTTGAACCCGATGCGGTTCCCATGCCCACCCTACAGACCAGCAAGCTGAGGCCGAAGAGAAAGGCGCTTGCCAGAGCCCCGCACTGCTTCTGATGCGGAGTCAGCTTCCGCTAGGAGGGGCCGTAACAGGACCAGGGCGTGGCTTTCGGCTGCTCTGACCCCGCTGAGTCTGGTGGGCCTAACACTAGGCTGGAGATGCCCAGGCTCCCTGACCTCCAGCAGAGATGGGGGAGCATTCCAGGAAGGTGACGCTTCGGGACGAAGTCTTGGAGGTGTATTGAGGTCAAGGACCACAGAGAAGGGACCGGCGGGGGGGCGGGGGGTGGCACTTTCCACGTTCTCAGCCACTTGGCCGATCCTCAGGTGGGGCCAGGTGACCGGCCAGTTCCACCTCCCCACCCCACAGGAGCCACATCCTTTAGGGGTGGTGAGGCCTGCGCTGCGCTTCCCCCTGTGCCCCAGCTCCTCCAAGTATGATGATGTTGTGGGCATGTGAGTCCTCTCACCTGGGAGACCACCGGAGACTCCCAGAGAGGATGGGCGGTGGGGGGGGGCCAGGTCCCAGCCTCATCGAGTCCAGCTCAGAGCCCCCAGGACCATCCCCGCTTTTGCTTTTCCCAGCAGACCTCCCCCTCCCAACGCCAGCCTCGGTCCCAATAATTCCTTTCTGTAGCCTGGGAGACAGGGACGCTCGCCCCCAACACAGAGGAGTCTGGGGGAGTCTCTTGAGTGGTGAGGGGCTGGAGCTGGCCTTTGGCTCTGAAGTCCTCTTAGCCTGAAGTCCTAGAAGTAATCATGACCATTCATTCTTCTCTCTGAATCTCCCTCCCATTCCGTGCTGCTTCTCCAACAACCATTACCACTCTAGTCTAAACCACTATGGTGGTCTCCTCCTCCACCTCCATCATGGCTTCCCAGCTCCATTCCTGCTCTTTTTTTTTTTTTTTTTTTTTTTGGAGATGGAGTTTTGCTCTTGTCGTCCAGGCTGGAGTGCAGTGGCGCAACCTCGGCTCACTGCAACCTCTGCCTCCCAGGTTCAAGTGATTCTCCTGCCTCAGCCTACCAAGTAGCTGAGATTACAGGCATGAGCCACCACGCCCAGCTAATTTTTGTGTTTTTAGTAGAGACCGGGTTTCACCACGTTGACCAGGCTGGTCTCAAATTCCTGACCTCAGATGATCCACCCACCTCGGCCACCCAAAGTGCTGGGATGACAGGCATGAACCACCGTGCCCAGCCTTCTCCTCCTTCTCACTGCCGTCTCCCCCACATCCTAAGGGAGCTTTGCATGGCCACTTTGGGTTGGCACCCCGGGTTGGCACCCTGCCCCGTGGCTCCCCAGAGCCCTAAAATATAAATGTGGTTTCCTGTGGTGGCCTACAGTGCCTGACCCTGGCCTCCTGCGTGGATGTGGGAGGGGACTTCTGGCCGGTGGGACCAGCAGGGACAAAGGCTGGGAGGTGGGAAAGTCCTGAGCAGCTGTTAGGAGGGAGGCTGAGCCGGGCAGGTAGCCCGGCTTACCCGGGAGAGCTGGCGCTGGGTGGAATCAAGTTCTTAATTAAATATGGGCCCTGATCAATAGGGAGGGAAGCACTGGTGGGGTAGGGGAGAGGCTGAACAAGGAGCCAGGGAGACCCACCTGACCTTGGGCAGCCTTGGGACACCTACGGCCTCAGTTTTCCCTCTGCCAAGTAGGTGCTAATGTGAGAGGGGCTGAGAAACCGGCACCCCTCCTGAGTCCCGAGTGTGGGCAGATGTGGGGGGCGATGGGGGACCCCTCCGAGCTACCAAGTCATGACCTCAGAGCCACAGATTCACAGAAGAGAGAAACAAAGACTGGAAGATGTGCCTGGCACAGGCTGCTGGAGAGGCGTGCCCGGGTCACAAGTGTAGACGCACCCGGAGACACGTGTGTAGACGCCTCCGTTCACACTGGGACGAGTGCAGACTGACCCAGGACCCCCATCCGCCCTCTGGCAGTCTTGAGCCAGCAACTCCCCTAAGTGGGGTGCGGGGACATCTGGAAGACGCCCCATCTCCCCCTGGACGCAGTGGCTGCGCCATCTGGAGACCCTCGTGCTGGCTGCTGGGGGTCCTGCGTGCCTTCCGCGCGCCCCCAGCTGCGCCCGCCAGCCCTCCAACCCTCCTGCCCTCCTGCCCTCCTGCCCTCCTCTCTGGGAGTCGGGACAGAAGCTGCTGGGCTCTCCTCCCTGGAGCTGGGGCTTTGGGAAGGTCGAGTAGACCCTCAGTGAGTGGGATGCGCGAGTTGGGGACGCTAGTTGCGGGGCAGCAGGGGTCCACGCATTTCCAAGCGCCCTTTCCCGTCCAAGGACCTGCTGGGGGGATGACTGTGCCTCAGTTTCCATCACCCAGCAAACGCCGTCCCGCAGCACCCGGGAAGCTGCGGAGTCGGGCTGGGGCCGCCGCGTTGCGCACATCGGTCCTTGGCGGGTGTGTGGATCCCAGAGCGCGCCCGGCCCCCAACAGCCTGACAGGACCTGGACGCACGTGCCCCGGCGCCAGGAGACCCGGGACCCGGGACCACGCGCCCGCGGCCTTGGAGCCTCAGGGTCACTGGTGCGGGCTCCGCAGGAAAGCGCAGCCCCCAGCAGGCACCCACCATCCCACCCCCGCATCCCACCCCAGGGGAAACCGCGCCGCACCAGGCGCGAGTGTTCTTCTTCCTTGTCTGGCGCCCCAGAACCGCGGCCGTCCTGGGTGCGCTCAGCTCCAGCGCAGTGGGAGGACAAGACACGTTCCTCCTCCCCTCCTCCACCTCCCTTGTTTTTGCTCCCTGGTTCCCTAAAATATTCTACATTCTTTTGGCCCGGCGGGGAGGCTCAAACCTGTAGTCCCAGCACTTTGGGAGGCCAAGGCAAGAGGATCTCTTGAGGCCAGGAGTTCCAGACCAGCCTGGGCAATAGGGAGACCGCATCTCTATAAAAATGTTTTTAAATTAGCCAGATGTGGCCGGGTGCGGTGGCTCACGCCTGTAATCTCAGCACTTTGGGAGGCCGAGGTGGGTAGATCATCTGAGGCCAGGAGTTCGAGACCAGCCTGGCCAACACGGCGAAACCCCATGTCTACTAAAAATACAAAAATTAGCCGGGCGTGGTGGCACATGCCTGCAATCCCAGCTACTCCGGAGGCTGCGACAGGAGAATCGCTTGAACCCAGGAGGCAGAGGTTGCAGTGAGCCGAGATTGCACCATTGCACTCCGGCAGCCTGGGTGACAGAGTGAGACTCCATCTCAAAAAAAAAAAAAAAAAAAAAAAAAAAAAATTAGCCAGATGTGGTGGTGTACATCTGTGGCCCCGGCTACTCAGGAGGCTGAGCCAGGAGGATCTCTTGAGCAAGGGAGGTCGAGGCTGCAGTGAGACATGACTGCGTCACTTCATTCCAGCCTGGGCAACACAGGCTGACCCTGTCTCAAAAAATGATAAACAAATAAATAAATCGACATGATTTTACAATAGTTAACGCATTCGCCAGTTTCCGAATTTCAATGCAAGATGAGGTGGCTTCCATTGCCCTCCCTTCTGCAAATCACAGTCTGTATTTCTCCTTCTTGCAAAAGGCTGCGCTCCAGGGATAAATTCTTTTTATTTCCCTTTTTTGTTTTTTTTTTTTTTTTAACAGAAAGGGGAGCTTCAGATGCTCCGAGATTCTTCCCCCCGGCTCAGATCCGTGAAGCGCGCATCCTGGTCATTTTTGCCGGCCGCCTAGTACTCTCTGACTCGGCGGTGGTTTCAGGTTTTCCTGAACCACTTCCCCGCCCCGCTGACATTTAGGCTGTTTCCAATCGTTCGCGGTCACCATAGCGGCTGCAATGAATACGTCCGGGGCGGATCATTTTACGAGTGTGAGTTTATCTGTGGATTAATTTCCCAATAATTGAAACGCTGGGTCAGCCTCCCCAGCCCCTTTCTGGGTGGCCGCTTCAGCCGCTTCTTATCACTGATTCCTTTCCTGTCATCTTTTTCAAATCCATTTCCCACTGCAGGCGCTGTGTCTCCGTAACATTTTTTTTAAAAATCAACGCCTTGTGCGTGCGTGTGTTTGCCCACTGGCTTTGCTCCTGTTTGAGGGTGCCTGAATGGGGTGGGTCTCTGTAGCTGAATGTCCGAGGGTGAGAGGTGCCCCCTGACACCCCCATGCCCCCACCCCATGGCGGCCCAGCCTCCAGATGGAGCCACGAGGGAGGGACAGCCCGAGAGTCCAAGTGGAAATGCGTTTCCCGGTTAAGTCTTTGAAGGCTCAGAACTAATTTGAAAATGCAGTCATTAAAATCCCATCAGGGGAGGCTGGCGGGGAAAGCTGGAGGGAGAGGGGTGGGGACAAGAGGGAGGCTGGGCGCCTGCTGAGGCCAAGGTGGGCTCCGCGTGAGATGTGGGCAGGGCAGGCATGGGGAGGGTAAGCCACCCAGAGTGGAGGGGTAGTGGGAACAGAGTGGGGCCAGATGAGGGGCTGGGGAGGCCTCTGGGGGTCCACGCCTGGGGCATGACTCAGCCCCATCTCCTTGGAGAAGGTTCCACTGCCTCCCACCCATGGGAATCAATTTTCCAGCTCCCCGAGGGGTGCAGGGTGTAGACAGAGGGTGTAGGTATGTGACCCGGGCCCCCCACAGTAACTGGACATGTGACCTTGGGCAAGTCACCCACTGACTCGAGTCTGGAGAGGCCACGGGGGGGGGATGCGCAGGGGGGACAAGACACCAGCATGGGGGTGGGGGGCATCAGTACAACCCACATCTGGGGCAGGGCAGCTGGTGGCGGGGACAGGACGCGTCGCCAAGGAAACCGGTCATCATCCCAGCCGGAGACCGGGCTCCATATTGAATTGTCTGCTCCCTGAAGCCAGAGGTGGCTGAGGGAGGGGATCTCCAGCTCCAGGACACAGGGAGGACGGGCACACAGCGGGGTAGACTCACGTGGCTTGGTGGTTTGGGGCACTGTACAGACTGTCGGGCACAGAGGGACATGGGATGGTCACTTGAATCGCCCATTGCTGCATCCTGGGGCGTCTTCTTCTCCCTTGGGCATTGCCCAGCTGGTCTCCATCTCCTCTAGTTGCTCTTTGATCTCCTCCCTGGACCTTGGGGACCCCCCAGGAGCCTCCACATCCCTCCCGTCCTGGTGCCACCCTGGCTTGTGTCTCTCCTGCCGTGCCGCCCCCAGCACTGCTGGCGTCCACTGGGATTCAGGGACCTTCCCTCCAGCTGTCCCGAAGCCTGGGCCTGGTCTTCTGGTCCATCCTCCCTCCCAGCCAGCAGTGTATCCACTCGAAGGCCTCAGAGAGCCCAGTGGAGCCCGCGCCTCCCCTCCAGTACCCACCCAAAGGCGTCCTCTCTCCCCCTTTCCTGGACTCAGAGCGGAGCTGGCCTCCTCATTGGGGAACAGAGTCCCAGGCAGCCGCCGCTTCACGCTGTCCTGTGACTGTGAGTGGAGGCCAGCTCCTGGAGCTGCCTCTCTCTGGCCTCACGCAGCAGCTGCTCCCTGAATGGTGAATGGATGAGTCGGTTGCAGGTCCGTGCTTCGGCGTTCATTCCTTCGTGACTCTCGGGACTGCGGCCCGGTGGGGACACAGGGCTCTGGGTCACTGCGTCCACTTGATAAACCAGGAACCTGATGTCCAGAGAGGCCAGGGTGCGCGTTCAAGGCCACTCGGCCCGCAGAGCCCACCCGCGTCCCCATGGCTGCAGTGGTGAGGGGAGCAGGGGGAGGCAGAGAGGAGCCCACCCTGGGGCTGGGCGGACATGGATGCGTAACCCACACCGCAGGCTTCTGCGGGGTGACACCCAGACTCACCCCAAGACCCTGCACACCCTACAGCTCTCACGTCTCACGTCCACACCGCGAGCCAGCTGCATCCCACACAGGGATGTCACACCAAGATCCGTTGCCTCATCCACCGCCCGTCCAAGGCCCCACAAGCTGATGCCGGTTTTCCCGCCCAGAACTGGAACAGCTTTCCTAACGGTCACAGGTTTCTTAGCTTCTCACTTGGGTGGGGTTTGGATGTGCAAGGCTGCCGACCCCCATCGTGGTTGAGCGCCCGTGCAGGCGCCACCCACCCACCCACAGCACCTCGCTCAGACTTCGCCCTCCACCCCGCCGGGACATTTGGGAAGCCTCAGGCAGCCCCACGCGGGCACACCCGATGGTGGACGGAGGCTGGCACCCTCAGCCCGCACGCGGCCAACGTCAGGCGCGCGCAGAGGCACCCACGGGCCCGCCTTCAGGGGCGAGGCGGATGCTGCATCCTGAAGCCCTCCCTGTTACAAGCCCAGCCCCTCCAAAGGCCTCTGGATGAAGGGGAGGATGAAGGGGGAGAGAAGGAGGAGGAGGGGGAGAGGGAAGGAAGGGAAGTGAGGGAAGGAAGGGGAAGAGGGGAGGGAGGTAAAGAGAGGGAGGGAAGGAAAGGGAGGAAAAGAAAAGAGCAGAGAGGGGAGAGGGAGGGAGGGTGAGTGGAAAAGGAGGGGTGAGGAGGAGGAGAGGGGATGGTCCCCTCTTGGAGGGTGATGGGGGTTGACAGGTGGGCCCCAGCTTGGGTTGCAGCAATGACTGAATTCAGGGCCCCTACTCAGCTACTGGCTTCCTGCTGAGGGCACTCGGGGAGCCCCACTGTCCCACCCGGCGCTCCAGGGCAGTGGCTACTGGTCTTCCGCAGCAGGGTCTTGCAGGCTGGGCTGAGACCCCCCCCCCATGCTCCACCACCCTCGTGTAGGACAACCCAGGAACATGTTAGTCACTGCACACTCACTCAGCCACTGCTATACCTCCGCTCTGTGCTGGGCCACAGAAAGATCTCAGGCCCCACGAGGCTAAAAGGAGGAACAGTGGCCCCTGGGAGTCCCAGAGGAGGGGCCCCGGGCTCCGCTGCGGGGGGAGGGAGGGACTTCCTGGGGAGAGGCCATTGCTCCTGGGCGTTGAGGAATGTGTAGGAGTTCTCTGGCTGGAGTGACCCAACTTTCTACTCTTGGCCCCAGTTTCTCCATTTCTCCCCTCTCCAGGAAGATCCTGAGAGAAAACCTGAGGCTCAAGGCCTTCCTTGAGGGAGGGGGAAACTTCGTGGTTGGAAGGCAAGTGTCGCCCAGAGCCCAGCTCCTCTCAGGGACCCCCAGATGGGAGCTGGGAGCCTCTTGTTAGCCCTGCCGTATTCATTCAGGACTTTTCTGGCTAGACCCTTCCCCACAGCCCAACCATGATCAAGACCATCTTACAGTTGGGGAAACTGAGGCTAAGATGGTCCAACACCAGGCAGGGCCCAAGAGGGCAGCAGGTCAGACCACCCTCTTGGGCCCCGGGGTGGTTGGCTGTCCCCAGCAACTTTTAGAAAGGCAGGAAGTGGGATAGAGCTGGTGTGTGTGGGCCAAATCCCAAGGGGTCTGCAGGAAACGCCTTCATCCGGAACTTGAGGGTCTCCCCCCAGTCCAGCCCCCTTTCCCCCGCATGAGACACAGCCTACAGCCCCCGCCCTTTCCTGGGTTGGGGCGGGGACGGCTGCCCTCTGCTGGACACAGCGGGAACAGCAGGGATAACTGAGCGAAGGGGCGGCCACATCCCCGGGACCTCCCCGCCCAGAGATTTCCTGATCCCACCTGCCCAGAAAAGAAAACGACCCTTGTTGATGCTGGGGGCGGCGGCGCAGGCCCAGGACGGTGCCCTGGGGCGGGAGGCTGGATGCTACAGTAAAGCCACCATGACTGCGTTTGCCGGGCTCCCTGTGCATGGGCTCAGATGTGGGCATGGGGTCTCCGTCTCTTCTAGTTGATCTCTGATCTCCTCCCAGGGCCCCGGGGACCCCCAGGAACCAGCCCCAGATCCTCCTCATCCTTAGATTCCAAAAAGACTGATAACCGTTGGGGAGATGGGATGGGTGGTGTACCTGGAGTCCTCAGATCAGAGCCTCTCGGGGGTGATTGCTCCTGGAATCAGGGCCTCAGTCCCCAGGGTCCTGGAGGAGGTGCAGGGCTGGCTGCATGGAGTGGGCATCCTGTCAGGACCCAAACCCTCACTCAATGGGGCCCCTGGACAGAGCAGGTGAATTGTTGTAAAAAGAAGGGGTGTGGCAGGGGTGACAGGGAGAGTTGTGGGATTAGACAAGGGGTGTTGGGGTAGCCTCGCAGGGAAGGAGATACCTGAGCAGAGACTAGAAGGAGCTGAGGGGGGCGGGAGGGGACTTGGGGAAGAGCAACCAGGCAGAGAGAACCGTCGTGCAAAGGAGCTGAGTGAGTGAGGCCAGCGGGGGAGGCCAGACAGAGAGGCGGCTGGTGGTGGATGGGGAGAGGGAAGCGGCTGGAAGAGCTCAGGAGCCCAGGAAGGACTGGCCTGCACCGGGACATGCCTGAAGGGGGCGCACTGTCTTTACAAAGGAAGGGACTGAGGCCTCCAAGGGAATGGGACTCGCCTGGGGTCCCAGAGCAAGCTTGACAGCCTGGCCCCGCCCCACTCCTCCGCCAGCTTGGTGGCCAAGGTCTGTGTTGGGGGCCACTCTCTATCCCCCCGACTACAGGTCGGGAGCTGCTGGTGATGGAACCAGGGGCTGAGTATGCAGTGCTGGCCACATACTAGGAGAATCCCAGGATGGGGTTCAGCAGTGTTGATGAGGATAATGAAGGAAATCAGGGGGAGGTGAAGAAAACAGAGGAAGGGGGTGAGTAAAAGAAAGGTCATGGAGGAGGTGTGGGGAGGTGGAAGGTGGAGGTGATGGAGGTGGTGATGGGGGTGGAAGGTGGAGACGATGGAGGAGGTGGCGGAGGTAGAGGTGGAGGTGGTGGAGGTGGAGGTGGTGGAGGTGGAGGTGGTGGAGGTGAAGGTGGAGGAGGTAGAGGTAGAGGTGCTGGAGGTGGAGGTAATGGAGGTGGAAGTGGAGGTGGAGGTGATGGTGGAGGTGGTGGAGGTGGAAGTGGAGGTGGAGGTGACGGTGGAGGTGGTGGAGTTGCTGGAGGTGGAGGTGGTGGAAGTGGAGGTGGAGGTGATGGAGGAGGAGATGCTGGAGGTGGAGGTGATGGAGATGGAGGTGGAGGTCGTGGCGGTGGAGGTGGTGAAGGAAGAGGTGCTGGAGGTGGAGGTGATGGAGGTGGAGGTGGTGAAGGAAGAGGTGATGAAGGAGGAGGTGGAGGTGCTGGAGGTGGTGGAGGAGGAGGAGGTGCTGGAGTTGGAGGTGATATGGAGGGTGTGATGGGATAGCACTGACATTGGTGGTGCAGGAGTGATGGTGGAGGAGAGGACGGAGGTGGAGACCTCATTGGAGGCTGGTGGAGGTCGCGTGGCAGAGGTGGCAATGGTGGGCCCTGGCAGCATGAGGCTGGTGGTTGGTACCAGGGCCAAGTCCAGGGCTTCACCCCCGTCCCCACTCTGAACCCCATCAGTCCTTCTCTCCAAGTCTCAGTTTTCACTTCTGCACAAGGGGTCCATAACCACCATGGCCTCTGGGTTGGCACAGGGGTGGCCTTTAGGATTGGTGTGGGGGTGAACCTGATGTTGGGTGGGGTGCTGGCGGGGGTCAGGTGGCGGTGGTGATGGGTAGGGGATGCACAGAGGGGGCATCCAGGCGGCCCCCCTACTCCAACTCACACCTCTGTCAGCGGCTGTGGGGGATGGGAGCAATGACAAAGCTGCTCGCGGTAAACAGCTCCGACTGGATCGATCTGGGCTGTGAGGAGCTGTAATTAGATTGAACGCCGGGAAGGGGGGCAGCAGAGCCTCTTTTTGCTGCAATCGACAAAACGGGAAGTTTTTTCAGACTCTGCCTGGCCCGGCCCCTCCCCCAGCCTCTGCCTCTGGGGTCCCCATTAGGCACCAGATTGGAGCCTGGGAGGTGGGGTGGGAAAGGGACGATATGCATCCTACCTCCCTCCCCCATCTAGGCCAGTGGACTCTGTTTTCTGGGCTGCCCTATTGGGACTGGCTGGGCAAGCCTGAGGGGTGGCTCACATTCTCTGAGTAAATAAGGAGAAAACCCCCTGCCTTGTAGAATTATTGTAAGGATTGAGGCTGGGTACTGTGATTCATGCCTGTAACCCCAGCACTTTGGGAAGCTGAAGCTAGAGGATTGCTTGAACCCAGGAGTTAGAGACCAGCCTGGACAACATAGTGAGACCACATTTCTACAAACAAACAAAAAACATATATATATGTTTGTGGGGGTTTTTTGTTTTTTGTTTTTTAATTAGCCAGATGTGGTGATGTGCACCCGTGGTCCCACCTACTTGGGAGGCTGAGGTGGAAGGATTGCTTGAGCCCAGGAGTTCAAGGATGCAGTGAGTCATGATTGCACCACTGCACTCCAGCCTGGGCGACACAGCAAGACCCTGTCTCAAAACAAAACAAGAATTATTGTTAAGAATTGAGTGACCAGATACATATAAAGCTCTTGACACAAAGCTCTTGTGAGCTTTCTGAGGAGCATTTGTATTTCTGTCCCTACTGTAAATGTAGGATAAATTTGTGAGTAAATTGCTAAGTGAATGAATAAATGAGTGAGTGAATGAATTAAACATTACAACAGGTGAGCGAGAAGGGCCTCCCTTGGAATTTCAAGGCCCCGGTTGAGTTTTGACTCAGCTTTCCCTTTGAAAGAATGGAGGACTGGGTCCTCTCCTGTAATCCTCATAGGGTGGCCGAGTGCCAAAGAGGTGAGAGGTCAATTCAGTTTTTTGCATTTCCTTCCATGTTTCTTTATGCAGATAAAATATAAACATAGGTTCTTGTCTCTCCTTTCACACATAAAAGGCTCCCTGGTACACTGTTCACCCTTCAGGATTTCCTTTGCCATCTTTCCAGATTCATACCCATACTCTCCCTCTCTGTCAGTCTCTCAATATAATTACAAATACAGTCTGTTGCCTAAATTAACATTTAGTAATTAACATTATTACGCTTTTGGAAAACATTGTCCACAGCTGAGCCATGTAGAGTACTAGGACTGCATTTCCTTTCCTGTACAACTCTTTGGTTTTCCAGGAGTTGATAGCTGCCAAACAAAAATTCTTCCCACGCTCCCCAACAAAATTTAAAACCAACTCAATAGGACTTTCCACACATATTAGGTCATCTCTGATCTGGGTGGGGCTGCCCTCCATACCCTGGGTCCTTTTGTCTAGCTGTCTTCCAGGGTCCCCCTCATCCTGATTTGGAGGACCCCTTTTCTCTTTCAGCTAGGTTGGATCACATTTTCTGAATCCCACACCATCCTTTTTTTATTTACCTCCTCGTTTGAATGGAACACATCCTCCAGTAGCTTTCTGAGAAAGGGTATGTGGGAAGTTAAGTTTTGGAGTCCTTGAACATCCGATTATATCTTTATTGCACCTTCATGTTTGGTCTTTTGTTATTTAGCAATTCTAGCTGAAAATAACTTTTCCTTGGAACTTTGAAAGCCTTGCTCTGTTGTCTGCTAGTTTTTGCACACCCAAAGCTGCTTGGATTCTTGATCCTTTGCATGACATCTGGCTTTCCTCTAGGCGCTTTTTAGGATTTTCTCTTTATTCTTGGTGCTCTGAAATTTCACAACAACGAGGCTTGAGTGTCTTTTTCATTCAATGAGCTGAGGACTTGATGTCCCACCCCCATTTTTTTAGAGCTGGGGTCTCGCTCTGTCATCCAGGCTGGAGTGCAGTATCATGATCATAACTCACTGCAGCCTTGACCTTCTGGGCTCAAATGATCCTCCTACCTCAGCATCCTGAATAACTGGGACCACAGGTGTGAGTCACCATGCCTGGCTAATTTTAAATTTTTTGTAGCAATGGGGTCTCACTATATTCTCCAAGCTGCTCTCAACCTCTTGGGCTCAAGTGATCCTCCCACCTCAGCCTCCCAAAGTGCTGGGATTAGAGGCATGAGCCACTTCATCCAGCCTATTTAGTTATTATTTATTTATTTATTTATTTATTTATTTATTTATTTATTTTTGAGACGGAGTCTCGCTCTGTTGCCCAGGCTGGAGTGAGTGGTGTGATCTCAGCTCACACCTCTGCTTACTGGGTTCAAGCGACTCTCCTGCCTCAGCCTCCCCAGTAGCTGGGATTCCAAGCACCTGCCACCACACTCAGCTAATTTTTTTTGTATTTTTTGTGGAGACAGAGTTTCATCATGTTGACCAGGCTGGTCTCGAACTCCTGACCTCAAGCGATCCACCTACCTTGGCCTCCCAAAGTGCTGGGATTACAAGAATGAGCCACCATGCCCAGTGGGCCTATTTATATTTAAAAATTATTTATTTTAAAAGAGAGTCTTACTCTGTCACCCAGGCTGGAGTGCAGTGGTGAGATCATGCTCACTGTAGCCTTGAACCCCCAGCCTCAAGTGTTCCTCCTGCCTCAGCCTCCCAAAATGCTGAGATTACAGGCATGAGCCACTGCACCTGACCACATTTAAACTGGAAACTCATCTTTCAACGCTAGATTTTTTTTCATTATTTGATCATCTCTTCCTCTATTTTTGAACTGTCTCTTGATCAGGTGACAACCCTGCTTCATCTTAATTCATCCTCTAACTTTTTATTCTCTTTCATTTCCCATCTTTGCAGCTGCTTGTGTTCCATTTTCTGGGATATCTGCTTTACTCTTTTTTTTTTTTTTTTTTTTTTTTGAGATGGAGTTTCACTCTTGTTGCCCAGGCTGAAATGCAATGGCACGATCTTGGCTCACCACAACTTCTGCCTCCCAGATTCAAGCAATTCTCCTGCCTCAGCCTCCCGAGTAGCTGGGATTACAGGCATGCACCACCACGTCCAGCTAATTTTTTTTTTTTTTTTTTTTTTTTAGTAGAGACAGGGTTTCACCGTGTTAGCCAGGATGGTCTTGATCTCCTGACCTCGTGATCCGCCCGCCTCGGCCTCCCAAAGTGCTGGGATTACAGGCGTGAGCCACCGCGCCCGGCCAATATCTGCTTAACTTTATCTTCCAGTCCTTACATGGAATTATTTTACTCTGGCTGTTATATATTCACATTTTAAGAGCATTTCCTCACTCTCTAATGGTCCCTTTTACTTAACAGCATCCTGTACTTGTTTCATGGATACGATATTTTTCTCTTACTCCTCTGGGAATATTAATTATAGCTTTGCCTGCCTTGTCGGTTCCTTCTGAGTTTATTCCTCCCCCACCAAACCATTTTTCTCCATTGTTCTCCCCCCTCCTGCCTCCCTCCCTCTCTCTCTCTCCCTCTCTTTTTCATGTTAGACGCTTTTCTAAAATGTGCAGTAACCCACAGGCATCACTTGCATTTAATCATAAAACCTGAAACCGCAGTTAGAAGCCCCACACATTCCAGGTCAGAGGGAGTGAAGTGTGCGTCAGCTCACACCCTAGACGGGTGAACCTGTTGTCCCCGAGACATGAGTCATGGCAGAAGGAACATTCATTTATTTCTGTGGACGTGTATGGACATTGATCTAGCATGTCATGTTCCAGGCTGTTCTGCAACGAAAAGAAAAGCTCTCTGTGCCATTCCAGTAGGCCACGACGGCTGGCACAGAGAAGAGACTGGGAGCAGAGACCCACTAGTACTACCTGCACCACCGGCCACTTCTGGGGGTCACAGAGTAGCTGGAACTCCGGGATGGAGACAAGGGCAGGACAGCCTCTTCAGCACCACAGTCCCAGTCTGGATGCAGGAGAGAAATTGAGATTCTGATGGAGTTTCAAGCTGATGCCACAAATGAGCCCATCTGACTTGTGGCCCAGCTCCTAGTGGGGGAAGCCTGTGTTTTGTACCCACTGACACCCACTGCATTGAGGGGAGGGGTTCACTTCGCTGCTGGAGCAGGAAGAGCAGGACTCGGCTTCAGCCCTGCCCCATCACCCCGAGCCTTTGCTTTTCTCCCCTTTGCAAGTGTCTGGTCTGCAGGCCATGGGGCAGCCTCCTTCAGCCCTCTCCGTGATCTGTGCGGGCTGACCAAGAGGAAGGGTGACCTGCTCATCTGGGAGAGGAAGAGGTGGTCCCTGCACTCTCCCCTCCTCCTCCAAAGTCTTCTTTCTTAGATGTTCTGCGCTCCAGAGGGTCCACTGGGTGCTCGAGGGAGGCCAAGTCTGGGTGGTCTCAGCCTGTGGATAGGGGCAGGAGCAGGAGGCAGGGATTCAGATGTCGGAATTGGGCTGTGGACTCACAGGGTCCCTAAGGGTATCAGGCCTTACAGGAGTGTCGCTGCTGCTCATTCGTAGAGCTTGGTTGTCACAGCCAGTTGCCATGGCACACACCTGTAATCCCAGTGCTTTGGGAGGCTGAGGCCAGAGGATCACTTGAGGCCAGGCGTTCGAGACCAGCCTGGGCAACATAGCAAGACTTCCCCTCCGCAAAAAAAAAAAAGAAAAGAAAGAAAGGAAAGGCCCTGGTTAGCCCACCATTTCTGGGGAAGGCTGCTGGGTTTTGTGATGCACCCCAGGACCTAGTAATTAACCAGTTATTTCACCCAAGTCTACACTGAGCCAAAAACTCTCATGTGCAGTTTCCATGTCATTTCCCCAACACCCCCAGGTTGGGGCTGCAGAAAGGAGAGGAGAAAGTTACCAATATCAATTTCTGTGGTCCTTTAGGTAGGGAGCGTTTGAGGGTAGGACGGGGTTTGGGGGGTATGAGGCTTGGGGGGTGCCTGAGTGGGCTCCATGGAGAAGGGGGCTGGAGGGGGTGGTAGCCATGCCTGCAGAGGGGCACTCACACTGTGTCCCCTTCTTTGTCCTCCCCCCACCCCCACCGCATCTGCTTTCCCTGCCTGTCCTCGCCTTCCATTCTGTCTCCACCGCCCTCTGGCTGCATCCTGGACTTTCCTGTTGTCTCCCTGTTGACCTTGCTGTTTCCCTGTCTCTGTCTCTGTGCGTCCCTGTGTTCCCCGCTGTCTCCCCCTCCGCCTCTCCCTGCATTCTTGTTGCTTCTGGGCTCTCCCTGGGACCTTATGTGCATTCGCCTTTCCCCAACGTGTCCCTTCTCCCCTCCTCCTCATCCTCCGGGCGGCGTGCGCCTCCTGCCTCTCCCCGGCCGGCCACACGGTGGCGCTGTGTCCCGCTCGCCCGCCCGCCCGCCGCTCGCCCGCAGCCTGCAAGCGCAAGGAACAGGAGCAGCAGAAGGAGCGCGCCCTGCAGCCCAAGAAGCAGCGCCTGGTGTTCACCGACCTGCAGCGACGCACGCTGATCGCCATCTTCAAGGAGAACAAGCGGCCGTCCAAGGAGATGCAGGTCACCATCTCGCAGCAGCTCGGCTTGGAGCTCAACACCGTCAGCAACTTCTTCATGAACGCGCGGCGCCGCTGCATGAACCGCTGGGCTGAGGAGCCCAGCACGGCCCCCGGGGGCCCCGCCGGCGCCACGGCCACTTTCTCCAAGGCCTGAGGCGCCCCGGCCCCGCGCCCTCCCTGCCTCCACGGCCTGGGCGCTGTGCCCCCACGTCACCTCCCCACATCCTGCCGGCCCGGAGACCCGCCCCCAGGGGGCACCTGGAGGGGGTGCTATCCGGGCCCCCCACACCCGGGGAGGGGGAAGCAGCACACCCCCCAGCCCAAGTGCACAAAAAGGGCCCCCCTTCCTCCCTCCATGCCCACTCCCTCCAGGCCAAAGGAAGCCCTCCACCCCCCCCCGGAGGGGAGGGAGTGACAGAAAGGGGTTTCCCAGCCCCCTCTCCATTCAGGACGCCCAGAGGGCCTCGAGAAAAACCAGGGCTCACTGTGTTGTCCCCTAAAGCGGGTCAAGAAGCACATACTAGAAATATAAACCGGGTATTTAAAAATGGAATTTTAAAGAATAACCCCTCCTCCGTCAGATCCCCTGCCCCACCGAGGGAGGTAGTAGAAAACTTCCTTCCTCCCCACCCGCCCCGGCCCCCTCCCCAGGGACCTCAGCCCTTTCCAAAGTCGCCAAAAACCCACATCAAGCCGGATCCTTACGGTCCCCCACCCTCTCCAAAACCAACCCCACCCGCTGGCAGGACGGCCCCTGCGGCCGAGAACTGAGCTGCCCCTCTCTGCGGCCAGGATTCCTCGTGCCAAGAATCGCCTGCCTTAAAGTCTGGGGAGGGGCCTGCGGCGGGCGCCCAGCACCTACGGGCGAGCACCCTTCCCACCCCATCCCAGGCCGCAGGGGACGGGGGGCTCCCACGTGCGGGTAAATTCCAGACGCCCCCGCCCCGCCCCGTCTGTTGAGTTCACTTTACCTTTAGGCACCTTCGTGGAGCGCAAGGAAGGACGCAGCTCCGGACACGGGAGACCACGCCCAGGCTCCCAGGAGAAGGGGACCCGGCCGGAGAAGGCGCCGCTGGGGCCGCCCGGAGGAGCCCCTCTGCACGGGCCCGTGGAGACGCTTCCTGCGTGGAACCTTCTGGAATCCACCGCCCCCCTTTCCGCCCGCGTCAGGGTCTGAACTGGGCTTGCAGGGGGGCAGCGGGGTTGAACGTGGTGTTGGTTTCCACTCTCGCCAAAGAGAGAAGACGCCGAGGAAGGTGGATTCCGCTTGCTCCATTTTTTGCCAAAAATATTTACAAATGGGAAGGGTCGGAAATGAAGATGAGCGCCCCCCTCCCACCCCGCGCTCTCCCCCGCTCCTCTCATCTGGTCTGGGTGACCTCCGAGACTGGCCGGCCGCGGGATCCCAGGAGCCCGCCTCCTCCGGGGGTTCAAGATCCGAGTCTAGAAGGAACCTCCTCCCTGAAATCCCCCCACTCATCGGCTGCCTCCCAGGGAGGAGGCGGCCCCCCTACCCCCCTTGAAAATGCAAAAGACATTTCTAGTGAAATGCCCCTCCCCTCCCCCAGGTAAAGGCTACCTCACTCAAGCTCATGTCTGTGATTGGAAAATCACGCCTGATACCAAAGATTTCTCCCAAGGATTTGTGCTGGATGACAGGATTCCCTGGCCTGGGACCCGGCTCGGGGCCCCGCCTGCCGAGTGCCACCCCTTCCCGAACCTGAGAGCGAAAGAGAGAGAGAGAGAGAGGGAGAGAGAGGGAGAGAAAGGGAGAGAGGGAGGGAGAGGATCGTGAGGTCGAAGAGTGCCTTCTTCTTGAACCAAAGACGTGTATGGAGTGTTCTCTTGTCCTTATCGACTTGCTCTGCTCCCAGCTTTCCAAGCGACCGGATCTGAGTGATGCTTCTAGAACATTTGGGTGTTGGGGGGTTCCCAATAGTAGAAAGGGTCCCCATTCCTGCTCAGCACCGCACCTCTCTACCCCCCCACAGACACACATGCAGACACACACATGCAGACAACACGCAGACACACACATGCAGGCACTCACATGCAGGCCCATGCACACACACGTGCACACACATGCAGAGACATGCAGACACGCAGGCACACATGCACACATGCAAAGACACGCATGCAGGCACACGCAGACGCACACAGAGACACACATGCAGATACACATGCACACACACATACACACACTGGCCCCTGTTTTTCTGTGGTGTCACTGGGTGCCAGCAACTCGGTATCTCCCACCTCCCACTAAAACCTGGGCCTTAATTTCTCTCCCGTCCCCACCCCTAAATTCCTGATGGATGAACCTAGAGCTGTCCTGTCCACTCCAGGCCGGACTGACGTAGCCTATGGGCCCAGCAGGTCCAGGGCCCACGTTTTAATTTCTTTTTAAAAAGCTTTAGGTCTTGCCGGGCGCGGTGGTTCACGCCTGGAATCCCAGCATTTTGGGAGGCCGAGGCGGGTGGATCACAAGGTCAGCAGTTCAAGACCAGCCTGACCAACATGGTGAAACCCTGTCTCTACTAAAAATACAAAAAAATTAGCTGGGCGAGGTGGCAGGCACCTGTAATCCCAGCCACCTGGGAGGCTGAGGCAGGAGAATCTCTTGAAACTGGAAGGCAGAGGTTGCAGTGAGCCGAGATTGCGCCACTACACTCTAGCCTGGGCAACGAGAGCAAAACTCCCTCTCAAAAAAAAAAAAAAAAAAAAAAACTTTAGGTCCAAGAAGATGCACCCCATTCAACATACCATATTATTTGTCTTTATACCAAGGTAGCCTATAGATATACAATGTTTTAAATTTCTTTTTTAGAAACAGGGTTTTGCTCTGTTACCCAGGCTGGAGTGCAGTGGTGCAATCGTAGCTCACTGCAGCCTCGACCACCTGGGCTCAAGTGATCCTCCTGCCTCAGCCTCCCAGTAGCTGGGGCCACAAGCACACCCCACCATGCCCATTTAATTTTTTAAGGGATTTCTTGTAGATATGGGGTCTCACTATGCTGCCCAGGCTGGTCTTGAACTCCTGGCCCCAAGGGGGTCCTCCTGCCTCGGCCTCCAAAAGTGCTAGGATTACAGGTAGATAGACATTTAGTGGAGGAAGAGGCTCTCAAAGGCAATAAAATGCTTCTGATCCAAGAGAATCACGCTGCAGCCCTGGCCCAGTGAGCTTCTTAGAAAATCGATGCCTGGGCTTCAGGCACTGGCCGGAGCACGGGCCTGGCGGGGTGCTGGGTCTCCTAGATGCCCTCTGCTTGGCCTTCAAGGCCCCAAGGGTAACACGCTAGGGGGCCTCCAGTTTTGTCCCCTGCTGGAAATTTAGGACTTGGCTTGGGATCGTTCTGGTTGTGGAATGTTTTAGCTATGCTGAACTGTGGTCAGATCAGGTCAAGCCTCTTGGTCACAGAAGTGGCCCAGCAGCACTTTGGGAGGCCGAGACAGGAGGATCGCTTGAGGCCAGGAGTTTGAGACCAGCCTGGGCAACACAGCAAGACCCCACTTCTACAAAAAAAAATAAATAAAGTGGCCCAGGACTCCTGGATCCTTTTCAGATATCTTCGTATCACACACACACACACACACACACACACACACACACACACACACACACCCCTACCTGTTTCCGGACCCCACCCCAAACTTGGCCAGACCCCCACAGAAGGCTCTATCCCCGACCTGCCCGCCGGCCCCTCAGGCCCTCTCCTGCCTCCCCGCATGCCCACTTGGCTGTCACATACCAAAGAGCATGCGTTCTCCATGCAGGGATCAACACCTCCAGCACAATTCCTTCGAGCCTTTGACAATTTTCTCTGAAATACCTCAAAATATTTAATGTATAGTTTATGTGATTAAAAAAAAATCCTTAGCTAGTTTTTGGAATACGTGACTTGAAGCTTTATACCGTTAAATTATAATTTTGCAGACGATGGCATGTCGTTTCTTTGACGAGTTCCGTGGGAGACGCATTGAATGTCAGGGCTGGAGACCAGAGGGAAAGTTAGAGGGAGCGTGATCGCGAGAGAGACTGCGGCAGAAAGGACCAGTGGCGTTTACAGATTTCTTATTTAAATGAGTCCTTTAGGAAAGAAAGGAAGAGAGAGAGAGAGCGAGCGCAAGAGAGAGAGAGAGGGAGAGAGAGGGAGAGGGAGAGAGAGAGGCAGAGGTATACCTTTCTGTTCTCTGGCTTGTTCTGTTTCTTGTTTTCTGGAGTCATGTCTTATAAGAGTATTTATTATTCTCTGTGTTCTGTGTTCAAATGTAATTTAAGAAAAAAAAAGGAAGAAAAATGCAAAAAAAAAAGACAAAATGGAATTTGAGTTGGTGCATGACTAATGTACTCTTTCTTGACGCTAATTGTAATAAAGTGGTCAGGGTGGGGGGCGGGGGGCGTGGCCCGGTTCCGTGTCGCATCTGTGTGTCTGGTGCCTGATCGGTGCTGTTCAGTGGTTTTTCGTTACTGTTTCTTTCCTCCTTTCTAAGGAACTGTGTCCAGCCGGGACAGGTGGACGGGGCCCCAGGTAGAGGGGGCGGGAACAGAGCCTCAGTAGCCGGGTCTCCTCCACCTGCCTGTCCATCTCCACCCGAGATGCCACCTGCCTGCCCCAGCCAGGCGGGAGCCACCGAGCGTCCCCCCCTCAGTTCCTGGTTCTTGGGGGCACTCTGGTGTCATCGATATCTTAGACCCCCCCAACCCCCCATCACCCGGTTGCTTTCACTCTAGCATGAATTCCCAAGTGTCTTGTTCAGAGGAGACAGACAATCAGCCTATTCTTGTCTTGTTGCCCAGGGTGGTGGGGGACGGGAGTGTGCCCCAACTTCCTGAGATCTGAAGGACCCTCCTGAGGGCCCCAACAGCAGGCACCAGCACCCCCTCCCCCCCCACCTCCACCCAGACAGCCTCGGCCTCCCTCCCTGGGCTGGGCATGAGTCCGCCTTTCTGTCCAGCCCGGGAGGCAGGGGGTGTACGCCTGCAGAGACCCCTCCCTCCCAGCCCACTTTCGGAGCCTACAGAACAGAGGACTCCCCAAAATCATCAAAGGGGGCTCTGGGACAATGTCCTCTGCCTCTGACTCCTCTTGTGCCATGAGGCCACGTCCCTGAGCCATCCCCAGATAGTCCCTGGAGGTGGAAAGGGGCACAGATGTGCCAGCTTGGGAACAGAGGCTGGAGGAGAGGGCGGCAGGGGAGAGATGAGAGGGGCCGCTTTTGGGACAGGCCCCAGTAGGGGGGGGCGGGGTAGCTAAACGGGGTGCTTCTCACCCCATAAAGCAGCAAGCCCTGGTCTGGAGGGCTGGGCCTGGGGCTGAGGGCTCAGCTGACCTCAAATCTGAAATGATGCCGGGGCCAGGATGCTCCTTGCACCAGCAGGAGCTTGGGCCATTTCACATTCTCTGCCCCAAGCGGTTTAAGCAAAATCAGGCCAGTAGACTCCTGGGGCTCCTCCTCGTGGCCCTGTCAGACCACGCAGGGGCTGGTTTTGGTGGAATGAGCTCAGCCGGGGGTGACGGAAGAGCCAGGAGGCCCTGCGGCCTTGAGTGTTTTGAATAGACTGGAACTGAGGGCTGCTTTCAGGGGAGACACCACTTGGACCCTCCAAAGTCCCCTCCCCTCCAGGGACAGGGGAGAGAAGCCCTTTTCCACCTTCACCCTTGGGCGACAGGCTTAAAAGCTAAAAAAAAAAAAAAATCTCGTCATTGTTAACCATTGCTGTGCTGGGTTTGTTGATTTGTTTTTCTTCAATAAATTATTTTCTAGTCACTCACCTGGGCGTGTGTGTTAGCTGACGGGTCGGGCACAGATAGGGGGCGGGAATGGAACTCGCCCACCTCGAGGCTGGGGAGGGAGGACCGGAGTGCAGGGAAGACGGACTTTGCTTCCACCCAGCTCGCCCCTCTCTGCTCTGAGTCCCGTCTTCTTCCTGGGCCAGTGGCCAGCTCTGAGCCTCCACAATCCACACAACTCCACCACCCACACAAGTCCACCACCCACAGGGAATGGTAAGAATCAGAAAGAGGCCAGGCGCGGTGGCTCACACCTGTAATCCCAGCACTTTGGGAGGCCAAGGCAGGCGGATCACGAGGTCAGGAGATCAAGACCATCCTGGCTAACACGGTGAAACCCCGTCTCTACTAAAAAATACAAAAAATTAGCCAGGCATGGTGGTGGGCGCCTGTATTCCCAGCTACTCAGGAGGCTGAGGCAGGAGAATGCTGTGAACCCGGAAGGTGGAGCTTGCAGTGAGCCGAGATCGCGCCACTGCACTCCAGCCTGGGCGACAGAGTGAGACTCCGTCTCAAAAAAAAAAAAAAAAAAAGAATCAGAAAGAAAAGCTTGGCGCCTTAGAAGGAAAAGCTTGGCGCCTTTGAGTCAACCAAGCCCCAAGATGCACACCTTGTCAGGACCTGCTTCTGTGACATCACTGCTCATTGCTTTCTGGAGTCTAAAGTGAACGGAGGCCCCAGTGAATGAAGGTGTATTTGAATGGGAGAAACCAGGGCTTCCCGATAGAGGAAGAAGCTAGATGGTACAAGAACTGGAATTTATAAACTTTCTTGGGAGGGGCCAGCTGTCAGGCAGCGGGGGAGCCACAGCTTTTAATAAGCAACTTTTGAGAGCAATGAAGCTTTACCCACATTATCTTACCCCAGCATGAAGAAGGAAAGTTTTCCCTGCAAATACCCGGCTGGACCACTAGAGGTCAGTGTTTTGATTTTAAAAACCGGGAAGGAATATTCCATCACAAAAAAAGTGTAGGGAAAGAGGGAGCCTGAATTAGCGCTGGGGTCAGATGGACCCTGGTTTATTAGAAAAAGAAAAGCATGTGGAGTCCTTGTCTTTAGAGGAAGGCCCCCTGCATGCTGGTTGACTTGCAGCAGAACTGGCTGGAGCTTCTTCTTCCCAGGAAGGACATCTTCCTGATATGCCAGCGTGACTCCTTTGGGCTCGAAGATGCCTCTTCATCAGATGGGTCTAGGGATTCAGATGCTACGTCACTGCTGAACCCTGGTCCCCTCCGCAGAGGGCAATGACTGCTCCTCTGGGGGCAAGGATAGCTGCTCCTCCCCGGGCACCAGCAGCCACTCCATGGATGATGATGACTGCTTCTCCGCGGGCCACAGCTCCACCTCCATAGGCTGCTCGCTCGTGGACGTGGACGATTCTTCCAGACTTGGTGGCAGAGTCTCCACCTGAGATTTGTGGGTCTTGTCTGGAAGTGGCACCGTCCCCTCCTTGGGGGTGTGAGGCTCCTTTTGCCAGCTCTTCCGGAACGGTGTGGAGGGCTTCAAAAATGCTGACTTCTCCTCCGAGGAGTCTGGCTGGCTCTCCAACGTCAGCTGGCCTGAAAGAAATGACTGGCTCCCCAGAGGCTGTGGCTGGCTCTCAAATGACGACAGCTGGCTTTCTCTGTGCAACAGTGATTTCTCCTGAAAAGAATGTGACCTCTCCTTGGTCAACAGCAACTTCTCAGGAGAAGGTGGCCTCTGCTTGGGTGACAATGACCTCTCCTGTGCCCTTGGCAATTGCTCTTGGAAAGACTCAGATAGCCTGTTGCTGCTGGTGAGCACATATTTGGGGAGGGCAGGTTGGTTTTCTGGATGAAGAGCGGATTGTCTATCCATAGAAAATGATGAGCTAGGTGTAGGGGGGAGCTGTACTTCCTGGGAGGACACCTGCCCCTGTGGCTGGTGCTTCTTCTTCCCCAGGAAGGACATCTTCCTGAGGTGTCACTGTGACTCTTTTGGGCTCGAAGCTGCCTCTTCATCAGATGGGTCTAGGGATTCAGATGCTATGTCACTGCTGACCCCTGGTCCCCTCCGCAGAATTGTGCCCTGAGTGATGAGGTTTGCATATCCCTCACGGTGGGAGAAAGCATAGCTGGAACGGCGGGCACGAGACTCCCGGTGTACATGAGGCAAGGGCTCCATGGTGAAAATCTCCTCGCTGGGGCCCTCCTCCACCTTCTCCTCCTGAAGAGCAAAGGGGAGAGCAGGGGAAGCAGACTCCTATGCTTGGCTGATGGCTCTCAGGTCCCCCAAGTAGGAGAGGCAGGATTCAAAGCCCTTGGCCACTATTGATTGGCTACGTTCTTCCCTACCCAAGTTGAGCCAATTAGAGTCCTCGACTCTCAGTGTTGAGTTCTAAGGAGGACTCTAGTCCTTTGCTTTTCAAGACCCACTAATTGGCCTTGCCCTGGAAACTAACCCTGGATCAGCCAATCAGAGTTATTCCCTGGGACTTAACTCGGGACCACCCAATCAGAGTCCTTCCCTGGGACTTAACCCTGGCTCAGCCAATCAGAGTCCTTCCCCGACTCTGGACCAGCCACCAGGTGCCTTGGCTGCCCTTTGGTGGCAAATCCAGGAGAGGTGAGCCTGGGACAGCCAGGTGCCCAGCCTGTGCAGTAAAGGTGGCAGGAGCTGGGCAGGGAGAACAGAGGTGGCAGGGCAGGTACACCATTCCAGTCAATTCTGGGGCCCATCTCAGCTGCAACTTGCTTTTCCATGCATGCTTTGGTTACGTGGGCTAGTAAGTCCCCTCCCTTTTTTTTGAGGTGGGGTCTTGCTCTGTTGCCCAGATAGGAGTGCAGTGGCAAAAATCATAGCTCACTGCAGCCTCAACCTCCCAGGCTCAAGCAAGCCACCTGCTTCAGCCTCTCAAAGTGCTGGGATTACAGGTGTGAACCGCTGCGCCTGGCCTTGAGCACATGTCCTCAAGGTGCATCCACGCTGTGGCCTGTGTCAGAGCCTCACTCCTTCTCACGGCTCAGGCGTGTTTCATTGCACAGATGGAGCGTGCCGTGTTGACCCACTCATCTGTCAACAGACTCTTATTTCTAAGTTCCTCCTTTTGCCTAAACCATTTCAAGGTTGTTTCCGTCATCTCAACCCCCAAGCTCTAGATCATTCACGGTAGAATCTGATGGTGTCAGCCAGGCACAGTGTGGCTCATGCCTGAAATCCCAACATGTTATGAGGCCAAGGCAGGAGGATTGCGTGAGCCCAGGAGTTTGAACCAGCCTGGGCACCATAATGAGTCTCCATCTCTAGAAAATAACTACAAAATTAGCTGGGCGTGGTGGTACATGCCCGTGGTCTCAGCTACTTGGAAAGCTGAGGTGGGAGGATCCTTTGAGCCCGGAAGGTCGAGGCTGCAGTGAGCCGAGATTGTGCCACTGCACTCCAGCCTGGGTGACAGCACAAGACCCTTCTCAAAAAGTAAAAATAAATAAATAAATAAAACCTTAAGAGCCCGATGGCATCAGCACTGGAATCCAGGGCGGCGTTTGGGTGCTCTCTGCTGCTTTGTCGGGGGAGTGAGGTCTCCCTTCTTGGGAAATCGGGCCCCGGGGGCACTGGGCGTGTGTCCGGGGCTCCGCACCCACCCTTCCCCCAAGCCTAGTGTCTTGGAGGGCCGAGAGGGGCCGGGACACCTTGCAGTCCCTACGCCCTGCACGGCTCCCCAACCAGGGTCCTGGAATGTACCAGATGAGGACCCCAGGCCCAGGCCCACCTCACCTTGGCACGTAGCTCCTTGAGGGCTGGGAAGATGACTCGGAGGGCCAGGACAGGGAAGGTGTTTATGGACACACTCAGCAGGACCACCAGCAGGATGGAGGGAGAGGACATCACGCTGAGGTCGGCATCTGGGGACAGGGCGGGGTCACAGCAGAGCCTACCCCCAGCTCCAAGGATGCCCCCAGGCTAGGGAGCGCCTTGGTGCCTTTGTGCCTGGTCCATAAAGGAGCGCCTTCCCCAGGACACTTTGCCGGACGACTGTCATGAGCAACCTGCAACCTCTTCCATCGGGGCTCCCCTGCACCACGACCGCCCGTCCCACTTCCCCATGGGGGCTCACACAGAAACGGGAAGGTCGTGGGGGATACTCTGAAGAGCCAGAAGCTCTGGGTGGTGGTAGTCATGATGGCGTAGAAACCAAGGCTGAGGAGGATGGTCGCCACGCACAGGGCGGTCCAGTACTTGATGATAAGAATGACCTGGACAGGCAGCGGTGGGGTAAATCCGGGGCCTAGCGGGGCTTGCACCAGGACACCAGCCCCTGGGGTCCAGGAAGGGCACCTGGCAATGCCCCCAAAGCAGGGGTCCCCAGGGGAGGAGGCCTCCATAGGCCATGTCCAAGGCCCCGGGGAGGTGAGGACCTTGCCCACCTCCATGGTGATGGACAGCAGGCAAGACAGGGCCACCACGACCGCAAAGGACTGGTGGTCGCTGAAGCTGGCGGGTCCCGCCGTGTCGCGGCTGATCCACAGTGTCATGAAGAAGTTGACCAGAGAGGTGGTCACACCATGGGCGATGGCTTGGACGAAGACCCAGTAGTTGAAGAGCTCGTCCTTCTGCCCCACCACGTACAGCTCCGGCTTCTCCAGGCTCTGCTCTGCGCTCACGTCCTTGGGGCAAGCAGAAGCTCTTGGGATTGGGTGGGGGGCGGGGGACACCCAACAGAGATCAGGATCTCCTCGGGCAGGCCAGTAGGGTGGCCACTCTCTGTGTGTGGCTCTTTGAGTTTAAGTGAGTTAAAATAAAGTAAGGCCAGGCACGGTGGCACACGCCTGTAATCTCAGCACTTTAGGAGGTCAAGGTGGGAGGATCGCTTAAGGCCAGGAGTTTGAGACCAGCCTGGACAACATAGTGAAACCCCCCATCTCCAAAAAAACCTTTTAAAGGAGCTGGGTGTGGTGGTGCGCACCTGTAATCCCATCTACTTGGGCGGCTGAGGCAGGAGGATCATTTGAGCCCAGGAGTGGAGGCTGCAGTGAGCTGTGATCGCACCACTGCACTCCAGCCTGGGTGAGAGAATGGGACCTCGTCTACAGAATAAAATAAAATGAAATGGAAAGAGCTCTGGAGGTTGGTCACTTGGCCACACGAACGCACTAGGTGATGCTGGGCTGTGCGCATGAGTCTGGCTGAGACGGGGCAGTTTACGTGATTTGTATTCCACCACAGTTAAAGATACCAGCAAGGCCAGGTGCGGTGGCTCACGCCTGTAATCCCAGCACTTGGGGAGGCCGAGGTGGGAGGATCACCTGAGGTCAGGAGTTCAAGACCAGCCTGGCCAACATGGCGAAATCCTGTCTCTACTAAAAATAAAAAAATTAGCCGGGCATGGTGGTGCACGCCTGTAATCCCAGCTACTCAGGAGGCTGAGGCAGGAGAATCGCTTGAACCCGGGAGGCAGAGGTTGCAGTGAGCTGAGATTGTGCCACTGCACTCCAGCCTGGGCGACAGAGCGAGACCCTGTCTCAAAAAAAAAAAAAAAAAGATTCTAGCAAACATGAAATGAGATGTAAAATCCAGTCCCTGGGTCACACCAGCCGCAACACAAGCGTTCCTCATGGGCACGTATGGCTGCTGGCTTCTGTGTTGGATTGCATAGCTGTGGGACACTTCCATCATCTGGAACGTTCCATGTGACCCACCCTCCCAACCCCAGATCACGTAGCCAGGGCCTCTTGGAGCTGGGGGATGATAAACCTAGCAGAGTCATCTGCTCTGATCCTCTCTCCCCATTGCATGGATGGGTAGACAGAGGCACGGGGGCTCCAGCACAGGGTGGGGGCTCCCACACACAGGAGGAGCTGGATGGCCCCGGGATGAGCGTAGGCTCCGGTGGGAGAAGGTCAATGGCAGTGGGCAGGGAGAGGTACTGGACTGCACCCCCTGAGCCCCACCCCATGGCCTGAAGGTCTCCCAGGCTCCCTCTCCCCGCCCCAAGGAGCGGAGGAGAGGAGGAGAGGCTAAGCAGAGACCTGGAAGGAAGACCCGGCCTTGCCCTGCTCACCTGCTCAAAGAGCCCAATGTAGAGAACTGGCAGGGTGCTGTACAGGAGGTTGAAAAGAGCCAGGAACCATCCTTCATACAGGGGCTGAGCCGGGGGAGAAGGGCAAGGAGAACAAGTCAGCCTCCAGGCACCCAAGGAGCCTGCCAAGCAGGCACCCAGGGAGGGTTCTGGGTGAGGTAACTCTGGTCGAGTTACACTCAAGGTTGGGGCTGGGACTGGGGTGGGGTGAAGTGCGGCCTGATAAAGGCGGCAAGATAAAGGGAGGGAGGAAAGCATGATCAAATTCCCTCATAATGGCACCTCTGAGTTTTTGTTTTAATTGGATGGCATCAAAAAAGGATACAGGCTGGGCACGGTGGCTCACGCCTATAATCTCAGCACTTTGGAAGGCCGAGGCGGGCAGATCACTTGAGGTCAGGAGTTTGATACTAGCCTGGCCAACACGGTGAAACCCCGTCTCTACTAAAAATATAAAAAGTAGCTGGGCGTGGTAGCAGGCGCCTGTAATCCCAGCTACTTGGGAGGCTGAGACAGGAGAATCGCTTGAACCCAGGAGACGGAGGTTGCAGTGAGCCGAGATCACACTATTGCACTCCAGCCTGGGCAACAAGTGTGAAACTCTGTCTAAAAAAAAAAAAAAAAAAAAAAAAAAAAAAAAACGCTGGGTGCGATTGCTCATGCCTGTAATCCCAGCACTTTGGGAGGCTGAGATGGGCAGATCACGAGGTCAGGAGTTCGAGACCAGCCTGGCCAACATGGCAAAACCCTGTCTCTACTAAAAATATAAAAATTAGCCAGGCATGGTGGCAGGTGTCTGTAATCTCAGCCACTAGAGGGGCTGAGGCAGGAGGATCACTTGAACCCGGGAGGCAGAGGTTGCAGTGAGCCAAGATCATGCCACTGCACGACAGCCTGGGCAACAGAGTGAGACTCTGTCTCAAAAGGTAATAATAATAAAAATAAAACAGAAACCAATATATACTTACTAAGGGGTTTCTGTAAAGCTCCCTCTCAAATGCCCAGGTATTAGTGATGGGAGCTCATTCCTTCTCCAAGGCACCTGCTTCCCAGCAGTTTCCCTACACGCAGGGAATAGCACTGCCCTGGGGCTCCTCTAGTCCTTGTCAGGATACCGCTCAGAGTCTGGACCAGAGCCCCAGCTCCCACAATCGGATCTTCTCTGGGGTTCAAGGTCTTGTTCACTCAACTCTCCCCAGAAGAGGAGGTCCATGTGCAGTGCCTGCCCTTGCTTGAAAGCTCTGAGTGTGCCGGGCACGGTGGCTCACGCTGTAATCCCAGCACTTTGGGAGGCCAAAGTGAGCAGGTCACCTGAGGTCAGGAGTTCGAGACCAGCCTGGCCAACATGGTGAAACCCTGTCTCTGCTAAAAATACAAAAATTAGCCAGGCGTGATGGTACACGCCTGTAATCCCAGCTACTTGGGAGGTGGAGGCAAGAGAATCACTTGAACCCGGGAGGCGGAGGCTGCAGTGAGCCGAGATCGTGCCATTGCACTCCAGCCTGGGTGACAGAGTGAGACTCTGTCTCAAAACAAAACAAAACGAAACAAATATCCTGGAAGGTGTTGGGCACAGAGCTAGACAGGGACCGTCACCTCCCTTCACCTGGACTCTAGGCCTCCACTAACGCAGCCTTGCCATGTGGCCTCAGGCAAGCCCTGTCCACCGAGGATCCCAGGGTTCTCAGTGCGTCCAGGGCTGCTCCTGGCAGCTATGGGAGGGGCAGGGCATCCCCAGAGGCCCTGGTCATGGGGCAGCCAGGGTGGGGGACGCACCTGGCCGGTGAAGCCGTTGTAGCAGGCAAACCAGACCTGCACCATCATGCTGGCCATGCTCTTGTAGAAGAAGTAGCGCAGGAACTTGCAGATCCGCACGTAGGACCAGCGGCCGTGCACCAGCAGGAGGCGCTGCAGGAAGCAGAACTGGCCGAGCACGAAGTCGCTGTTCTGAACTGCCTGCATGCCCTCCTGGCCCGCCAGCCCCACGCCCACGTCCGCGGCTGCAGGGCACAAGCAGCTGGTCAGCCCCCCGCACGCCCCCAGTCCCGCCCGCCCCCCCAGACCCCCGCACTGTTCTGCCCCCTATCAGCCCCCCCCATCTGCTTCAGGTCCCCCCAGTCCCACCGCCGCCTCCATCAGCGCCCCCCTCACCTGCCCCAGGTCCCCCCAGTCCCACCACCGCCTCCGTCAGCCGCCCCCCACTCGTCCCAGGCACCCCCAGCCCCGCCGCCGCCACCCACTCTTGATCATGTTGATGTCGTTGGCACCGTCCCCGATGGCCAGGGTCACCACCTGGTGGTACTTCTTGACCAGGGCCACGATCAGGGCCTTCTGCTTGGGCGTCACGCGGCAGCAGATGACCGCCTGGCACTTGGACGCCAGGTCCACGAAGGCGCGCTCCTGCAGCACCTCGGAGCTACGGCGGGCTCTGGAGTCCTGGGCTGGCGGTGCAGCCAGCGGGAGCCCGAACCTCCGGCACAGCAGGGACAGGCGCCTGGCGTAGAGGAAATCCCTCCTGGACTGGCCGAGCTCCTGCCACGCCTCGTCCATGTTCACGTTCTGCGCCAGGGCGCGCGGCTCCTTCCGCAGGGACACCAGCAGTTTGTCCTGGCCGGCGGGGAGGGGGCTGTGCCAGGCGCCGTGGCCTCCAGGCCAGACTGGACCCTACCCGGCCCTCGGCCTCGCCAGCAGTCCCCACCCCGAGCCCGCCGCCCCTCCAGGCCCCTCCCTGGCGCCGGGACCCCGCCGTCCACCCTGAGCGACACTGACCAGGAAGTCTCCGTTAATGACCAAGGCCAGCTTGACCTGCGACAGGGACTCCCTGGTTAGAAGGTTGTTACTGTTTTCCCAGTAGGTCTCCAGGATGCGGCTGCGGGGCGCAGGGGTCAGCGGGGCAGGGGAGGGGGCGGGCTTCTCCCCACTTCCCCGGGGGCTCCACTGCCCCTCCCACCCCTTCCACTGCCCACTCCCCCACCCCTGCCCCTTCTCCTCCCCACTTCCCTCTTCCCCTCCCCTTTCCTCCTCCTCCCGCCGCTGCCCCTCCCCTTCCCCTCCACTGCCCACTCCCCCACCCCTGCCCCTCCCCCTTCCCTCTCTCCTCCCCTCTGCCTCCTCTCTCCTCCCCTCCCCCTCCACCGCCCACTCCCCTCCGCTGCTCCCCCCTCCCCTCCCTCTCCCCTCCCCCTCCCTCCACTGCCCCTCCCCTCCTCCCCACTGCCCCCATCCTTCCCCTCCACTGCCCACTCCCTCACCCCTGCACCTCCCCCTCCCCTCCCTTCCCTCTCCCCTCCCCTCTCCCCTCCCCTCCCTTCCCTCTCCCCTACCCTCTCCCTCCACTGCCCACTTCGCCACCCCTGCCCCTCCCCCTGCCCTCACCTTCCCTCCCTCTTCCCCCTCCCTCCTCTGCTCCTCCCCCTCCTCTGCCTCTCCCCTTCTCCCTCCACTGCCCCTCCCCCTTCCCTCCAAGCTCCCTCCACTCCCCATTACCACACTCCTTCCTCCTACCCTTCCCTCCCCTCTCAATCCCCCCCTTCCCACTGTGCCTTGGGCTCCCCGTCCAGTGAGACACGCACCTGGGTGCTCCTTGTCCTCACCTCCCCACTCCCCTTGCTCACCCCCCAACTCCCCACTTCTTACCTAATCTCCTTCTCCTCCAGAATGAGCATATTCTCTGACAGCAGCTCGCAGGCGAAGCCGATGTTCACAGCCGTTTCTGCGAAGCAGACCAGCTCAGCGCCTCTGCGACCCGCCCCGCACTGGCTGCCTGGGGGCCACGCCCACTCTGCCCGGTGAATCCTGGCCCGACCAATGGCAGCCACATGCCCCACCCCCTGGCCATGGTGATTGGTTCAGAGAAGGGCTTGTAACCCAGGCTCACCAATGAGAGCCAGCCCTGAGATTTTGGCTGTAGTTCTGGCCGGGACTGGGCTGCCCAGAGATGTGTCTGAGGCCAGGATCAGCAGGCACATGTGCCTAGGATCCACAGTGCCTTCAGGAACCCACAAAATGTCTCAATATCTTTTTAAATCAGAAGGGAAATAATTGAATATGTTTCCCTGGGCTGGCTCCTGGCCGACAGAGGGCACCCTGAAAATCACTTTTTTTTTTTTTGACAAGGGCTCACTCTGTCACCCAGGCTGGAGGGCAGTGGCGCAATCACGGCTCACTGCAGCCTCAACCTCCTGGGCATAAGCGAGCCTCCTGCCTCGTTTCTCTGGAGTAGCTGAGACCACAAGCATGTGCCACTGCGCTCCTCTGAGAGTTGCAGCATTTTTTTTTTTTTTTTGAGACAGAGTCTCGCTCTGTCGCCCAGGCTGGAGTGCAATGGTGCGATCTTGGCTCACTGCAACCTCTGCCTCCCAGGTTCAAGCGATTCTCCTGCCTCAGCCTCCTGAGTAGCTGGGATTACAGATGCGCACCACCACACCTGGCCAGGCCCATTTTTGTATTTTTAGCAGAGACGGGGTTTGACCATGTTGGCCCTGCTGGTCTCGAACTTCTGACCTCAAGTGATCCGCCCGCCTCGGCCTCCCAAAGTGCTGGGATGACAGGTGTGAGCCTTCAAACTTCAGGGAAGTTTGAAGACCCATGCTGCAGGGGCTTAGCCACCCGGAGCTGCCCGGGACTCACCCTGCTTGTCCCCGGTGAGCACCCATATTTTGATGTTGCTCTTCTTGAGACATTTGATGGTTTCAGGGACACCGTCCTGGAGTCTGTCCTCGATGGCTGTGGCTCCCAGCAGCTGGTGGGGGAGGAGGGCAGGGCGGGGAAGATGCTGAGCAGCCGTCCAGCTCCCTGGCGGGGGCAGGAGAGTCCCAGGGCCCCCTTGGGTGCCCCCGCTGCCCACCCACCCTGAGGTCCTGCTCCATCTCGTTGTACACCTGTTGCAGGGCCTGTGCCCGGTTCTGCAGCAGGAGGCTGGCCTCCTGGTGGCGCTGCTGCCAGTCCTCGTAAATGTCCTCAGCCACCTCCCTGTAGGCCAGGCACAGTGTCCGCAGGGTCTCCTGGGCAAAGGCCTGGGGGCCGGGCAGGTGGAAGCTGTCACCATGCTGAAGCCGACATCCGAGGCTCAGCCCTCCCCAACCCCCTGCCGGGCTCCGGAGCCTGGGTCCCCCAACCAAAAGCCTGTTGCCTCCCCAGCCAACAGCAGCCAGAAGGGATTCAGAAAACTGGTCTGAGGCCGGGTACGGTGGCTCACGCCTGCAATCCCAGCACTTTGGGAGGCTGAGGCAGGCGGATCATTTGAGGCCAGGAGTTTGAGACCAGGTTGGCCAACATGGTGAAACCCTGTCTCTACCCAAAATACAAAGATTAGCCAGGCATGGTGGTGGGTGCCTGTAGTCCCAGCTACTTGAGAGGCTGAGGCAGGAGAATTGCTTGAACTTGGGAGGCGGAGGTTGCAGCGAGCTGAGATCACACCACTGCACTCCAGCCTGGGCGACAAAGTGAGACTCCATCTCAAAAAAAAAAAAAAAAATAGAAAAAACAATAGAAAGAAAGCGGGGAAGAGGGCTGGGCGTGGTGGCTCACACCTGTAATCCCAGCACTTTGGGAGGCCGAGGCAGGCGGATCACTTGAGGCCAGGAGTTTGAGACCAGCTTAACCAATACGGTGAAACCGCGTCTCCACTCGAAACACATAAAAAATTAGCCAGGTGTGGTGGCGCATGCCTGGAATCCCAGCTACTCAGGAGGCTGAGGTGGGAGGATCCCTCGAACCTGGGAGGCCGAGGTTGCAGTGAGCTGAGATCGCCCTATCGCACTCCAGCCTGAGTATCAGAGCAAGATTCTGTTTCAAAAAAAAAAAAAAAGAAAAGAAAACTGAGCTGCCCCTGCTCCCCACCTACTCTGTCTCAGACACCTGCTCCCACCCCCAGACCCTCAGCTCTCTTTTGCCTCCAGACCTTCTTGGAGGACTGTTTCCCTGCCAGGAACACCTTCCCTATGCTTTGCACAGCAAATTCTTTTTTTTTTTTTTTCTCGGGGGTGGGGGATAGGGTCTCACTTTGTCACCCAGGCTGGAGTGCAGTGGCCCAATCATAGCTCACTGCAGCCTCGAACTCCTGGGCTCAAGTGATTCTCCTGTCTCTACCTTCCAAATAGCTGGGATCATAGGCACATGCCATCACACCCGGCTAATTTCTTTGTATATATATATATTTTTTAAATAGAGGTGGTTTCACCATGTTGCCTGGGCTGGTCTCGAACTCCAGAGCTCAAGCAAGCTGCACACCTGAGCCTCAAAACGCTGAGATTACAGGCAGAAGCCACCACACCTGGCCTGCATGGCGAATTCTGACTATCACTCAAGACCTTCTATGCAGTCCACCCACCCGGTGCCTTCCCCAGCTGGGGCTCCCCCAGTCCCAGGCCCCTCCCTCTGACCCCTCAACTTTGGCTCTCTGAGCCCCTTCCTTGGGCCCCTCATTTCTCAAGGGCCAGACCCAGGGTTGGGGCCTCTAGGGGCTGGGAGGAAACTGGGCAGGCCCAGAGAGCAGGCACCCCAAGGGTGGTCGGGGGGTCCCCAAGGAAGGTGCCCTTACGGCTTCTTACCCCCCGACCCTGCCCCCAGCTTTGTGCTCCAAGGGGTGGCCTTAGGTCTCAAATTTGTTTATTTATTTATTTTTATTTATTTATTTTTTGAGATGGAGTCTCACTCTGTTGCCCAGGCTGGAGTGTAGTGGCGCGATCTTGGCTCACTGCAAGCTCTGCCTCCCGGGTTCAAGCGATTCTCCTGCCTCAGCCTCCCGAGTAGCTGAGACTACAGGCCTGCACCACCACATCTGGCTGATTTTGTAGTTTTAGTAGAGACAGGGTTTCACCAGGTTGGTCAGGCTGGCCTCGAACTCCTGACCTCAAATGATCTGCCCGCCTCCCAAAGCACTGGGATTACAGGCGTGAGCCATCGCGCCAGCCTGTTTATTAAGAGACAGGGGTCTCGCCCTGTCGCCCAGGCTGGAGTGCAGTGGTGCGATCACAGCTTGCTGTAGCCTCCACCTCCTGCACTCAAGCGATCCTCCTGCCTCAGGCTCCCAAAGTGCTGGGACCACAGGCACGCGCCACCATGTCTGATTTCCCTTTTGTTGTTGATGGGGCACGGGTCCAAGAGCTTGGGCTTGACACAGCAGAGGAGCTTCACGGACATTGGCAGCCTCCGACAGGCCTTGACCCTTCTTCCGGCCTCAATTTACCCATCCATTCCCTGGGGTGGCTGAGCTAAGCTGACCTGCTGAGCTCCTGGGCTCTAGGTCATTATTGTGACCGCACTTCCAGTTCAGAGTGCCCCCACATCCTGGCAGAGCAGGGGACACAGGACATCTTCCCACACACACCCCGCTGCCCTGTGCTCCATGCTGCTGGGGCCCCAGCAGAACCTGTGAGGAGCCCCCAGGCTGGACGCAGAATCCTCTGGCCCTGTAGGGTCAGGGCTGGACCAGGGGGAGGCAGCCTGGGGTGATGACAGCCCCATGTTGGCAGGGGGTGGGGCAGGAAAGGCCCCATGTGTGGGGAGCTTGTGGCTGAGTCATGAGGACACCGAAAGCTTCTGAATGACAAAGGTGCAGGGAAGACCCTCCCAGCACAGGAAACAGCATGTGCAAAGGTGCCAAGGCAGCACCTGAGAGTGGGGAAGTCACAAGCCAGAAACTGGGTCCTAGGGAGTCCCTTGGTGAGGCCAAAGAGAGACCAGGCTGGAGAGGTCAGCAGGGGACAGAAAAAGCCTCAAATCCTGGGCCGAGGAGTTCGGGCTTCCCCCACAGAGTGGGAAGCTTTGGAGCAGACGGAGCTGAGTGTGTCCTGGCAGCTGGGCCAGCTCAACCGCACGGTCGTCTTGTGCAAATGAGAAAAATACACCCTTGGCCGGGCGCGGTGGCCTACGCCTGTAATCCCAGCACTTTGAGAGGGCGAGGCGGGTGGATCACCTGAGGTCACGAGTTGGAGACCAGCCTGGCAACATGGTGAAACCCCATCTCTACTAAAAATACAAAATTGGCCGGGCGTGGTGGCGGGCGCCTGTAGTCTCAGCTACTCAGGAGGCTGAGGCAGGAGGATAGCTTAAGCCTGGGAGGCAGAGGTTGCAGTGACTCAAGATTGCACCATTGCACTCCAGCCTGGGCAACAGTGCAAGACTCCCTCTCAAAAAAGAAAAGGCAGGCTGGGCGCGATGGCTCATGTCTGTAATCCCAGCACTTTGGGAGGCCAAGGGGGCAGATCACCTGAGGTCAGGAGTTCAAGACCAGCCTGGCCCACATGGCGAAAACCCATCTCTACTAAAAATATTAAAATTAGCTGGGTGCACTGGCGTGTGCCTGTAATTCCAGCTCCTCGGGAGGCTGAGGCAGGAGAATCACTTGAACCCGGGAGGCGGAGGTTGCAGCGAGCCAAGACTGTGCCACTGCACTCCAGCCTGGGCGACAGAGCAAGACTCTGTCTCAAAGAAAAGAAAAGAAAGACAAGACAAGAAAAAGAAAAAGACGCTCTCTCTCTGGGGGCTACACTTGGGAGTTCAGCTGCCTCCCAGCCGGTGTGTGTGTGTTTTGTGTGTTGCCGGGGGAGGGTGTTTTGTACAGTGCACAACATACCTCACTGTACATAGCCATCCCAGGTACCTGCAGCCTTCCATTTCTCCGTACAGTCTCCTCCCCTGCCTCCTCCTCCTCCTGTCCCTACACACACACACACACACACACACACACACACACACACACACACACACACACACACACACACATAAGCCAGCCTTCCTGAAGGGACTCACAGCCAAGGCCTCCTCTGTGGCAAATTCCATTGCCCCCCTCCTGTGCAAGCGTTCGAAGATGACCGTGTCGGCGCCCTTGGTGTACAGGCAGATGGCGCCCTCTGGCTTTCGAACTGTGGGGGAACAGGCCCTGCTGCCCACAGAGGCTCCCCGTCTGCCCGCCCCACCTTGGGGGGCCCAGGGCTTGGGTGGCGGGGCTCACCCAGCACCGACATCCGTTTGCGCGTGCTGTTGAAGTCCATTATGGCCAGGACCTGGTAGACCCGTTCCTCCCCCAGCTCCATGATCGTGACGGTGTCCTGGGTGCGGGACAGGAACACGTAGCCGAAGTTCCGGGCTGCGGTGACCAGCGCCCCCTCGTCGGGGGAGGCCGCCTGGTACAACAGCTGGTCTGGTAGGGAGGGGGGCCATTTTGGGGTCACGTGGTGGAGCCCGTCTCCATCTCCACAGTGCAGGGAGGAGATGGGTATCGCCTGGGCTACACCTTTATTGATGGTGGCCGGGGACCCCCGCCTGTACAACCCAATGCATGGAGGTGAGCACTTGAGACTAGACGACCTTCCCGCTCAACAACAGATCCTCGGGCTCCGACCGCAGGCCTGGACATCCTTTAGCCCTGACGATGACACGTCCGCCCTCCCGCCACGATGCTTGTCAGCACTGTCTGGGCTCCAGGCCCGGACGCCCTCGAGGTGCGGCTGGTGTCACACCGGCCTCAGCGCCCCCCAAGCCAGCTGAAAGCCCTGGAAGATGGGCCGGGTGAGCTGCGGGGCTGGGGACACTGCCGTGCCCCGGGGGCTGAGCGGCCTCAGAGATGGGGAGGTGGGTGGGCGCACCTGGGCGCTCACGGGGGCTCTCCCGCACCATCACCGTGTGGCAGATGGCCAGCAGGCGCCAGAACTCCCGCACGGCCTCGTCCCCGTTGGTCCGCACGAGGTGCAGCAGGGCCGCATTGTGGAAGAGCAGCTTCCCGTCGGCGAACTTGTTCCAGAGGTAGGGGTTCTCCTGGGGGTGGCGGGGGCACGGGCCGGCTGTGGGTGGGCCGCTCCCCGTGCCCCGTCCCCCTCACCGTCCCGCGCTGCAAGCCAGGCAGGCTCACCTTAGGTCGGGTCGTGGCCTCTGAATCCGGCCCTGGGGAAAGACACAGCTTCCTGCTTCAGCTCCCACAGGCCCCCCATTCGGGATCCCATAGCCCCTGACCCCTAGTTTCAGGCTTCCGGGGGCCACTGGTGCAGCCACACAAGCCAGGCCTGTGGCCCTGGAACCGACACCCCGAGCAATCTTGGGGCGAAAGCTGACCTCAGTTTCCACCACCTGCAGAAAGCGGGGAAGAGGGGAGCACACCCATCCTGTCTCCCAGGGACCCCAAAAGGACAGCCTGGAGCCGGATGCGGCCCCGTCCCGTCTCCCAGGGACCCCAAAAGGACAGCCTGGAGCGGGATGCGGGCTAGGGACCCCAAAAGGACAGCCTGGAGCGGGATGTGGCCCCTTCCTGTCTCCCAGGGACCCCAAAAGGACAGCCTGGAGCGGGATGCAGCCCCATCCGTGGGACACACTTTGTTTCCTCCTCCTGGGGTTTTTGTTCTTTTTTATTTTTATTTATTTATTTATTTATTTATTTATTTATTTATTTATTTATTTTTGAGACAGAGTCCTGCTCTGTCGCCCAGACTGGAGTGCAGTGGCACAAGCTCAGCTCACTGCAACCTCAGCCTCCTGGGTTCAAGTGACTCTCCTGTCTCAGCCTCCCGAGTAGCTGGGATTACAAGCTCATGTCACCACGCCTGGCTCATTTTTGTATTTTTAGTAGAGATGGGGTTTCACCATGTTGGCCAGGCTGGTCTCAAACTCCTGACCTCCAGTGATCCGCCCGCCTCAGCCTCCCAAAGTGCTGGGATTACAGGCGTAGCCACCGCACCCAGCCACTTTTTATGCTTTATTGTTCTTAGAAATGGGGTCCTACTCTGTGGCCCAGGCTGCAGTGCAGTGGTGCGATCATAGCTCACTGCAGCCTCAACCTCCCGGGCTCAAGACATCTTCCCTCTTCAGCCTTCCAAGTTGCTGGGGCAACAGGTGCATGCCACCCCTTTGTGGTGTCTTTTGTGTGTGTGTGTGATGGAGTCTCTCTCTATCACCCAGGCTGCTGGAGTGCAGTGGCGTGACCTTGGCTCACTGCAACCTCCACCTCCGGGTTCAAGCAGTTCTCCTGCCTCAGCCTCCTGAGTAGCTGGGACTACAGGTGCCTGCCACCATGCCTGGCTAATTTTTGTATTTTTAGTAGAGACGGGGTTTTGTCATGTTGGCCAGGCTGCTCTCGAACTCCTGACCTCAGGTGATCCACCCGCCTCAACCTCGGGCCCATTTTTCTATAGCTGAACTTGAACCATTTCTTGGGGACTTCTCACTACACTAAATTATGACCCAGTCCAAACCACGTGCCCTGGTTATAAATTAGACCCGGGGCTGTCAAACTACACCCCACCACATCATCAATTTTTGTACGGCCTGCGAGCTAAGAATTGTTTTTGGATTTTTAATGGTCAGGAAAAAAAATGACTAGAATAATACTAATACTGTTTTGTGGCCGGGCGCGGTGGCTCACGCCTGTAATCCCAGCACTTTGGGAGGCTGAGGCAGGCAGATCACGAGGTCAGGAGATCGAGACCATCCTGGCTAACACGGTGAAACCCTGTCTCTATTAAAAATACAAAAAATTAGCCGGGCGTGGTGGCGGGCGCCTGTAGTCCCAGCTACTTGGGAGGCTGAGGCAGGAGAATGGCGTGAACCCGGGAAGTGGAGCTTGCAGTGAGCCGAGATCGCGCCACTGCACTCCAGCCTGGGCGACAGAGCGAGACTCTGTCTCAAAAAAAAAACAAAAAACAAACAAACAAACAAAACTATTTTATTTTGTGATCTGAGAAATACTCAGCAATTCGAATTTCAGCATCCACAAATAAAGGCTTGTGAAAGTCAAAAGAAGAGCAGTGGCCGGGTGTGGTGGCTCACATCTGTAATTCCAGTGCTTTGAAAAGCGGAGGCAGGCGGATCGCTTAAGCCCAGGAGTTCAAGACCAGCCTGGGCAACATAGGGATTCCCTGTCTTGACAAAAAATACAAAAATAAGCTGGGTAAGGTGGCACTCTCCTGTAGTCCCGGCTACTTGGGAAGCTGAAGTGGGAGGATTGCTTGAGCCCAGGAATTCGAGGCTGCAATAAGCTATGATTGCACCACTGCATTCCAGCCTGGGCGGCAGAGCAAGACCCCATCTCAAAAAATAAATAAATACACACTGTTTAAAAGTTTGGCTAGGTGTGGTGGCTCATGCCTGCAATGCCAATATTTTGGAGGCTGAGGCAGGCAGATCACCTGAAGTCAGGAGTTCGAGACCAGCCTGGGAAACAGGGTGAAACCCCATCTCTACTGAAAAAAAAAATACAAAAATTAGCCAGGCGGGGTGGCACGCAACTGTAATCCCAGCTACTTGGGAGGCTGAGGCGGGAGAATCAACCCAGGAGGCGGAGGTTTCAGTGAGCAGAGATCGCACCACTGCACTCCAGCCTGGGCAACGAGAGCAAAACTCCGTCTCAGAGAGAAAAAAAAAAAAAAAGTCGGCCGGGCGTGGTGGCTCACGCCTGTAATCCCAGCACTTTGGGAGGCCGAGGCAGGTGGATCGCCGGAGGCCAGGAGTTCGAGACCAGCATGGCCAACATGGTGAAACCCCATCTCTGCTAAAAATACAAAAAAATTAGGTGTGGTGGCAGGTGCCTGTAATCCCAGCTACTCGGGAGGCTGAGCCAGGAGAATCGCTTGAACCTGGGAGGTGGAGATTGCAGTGAGCCAAGATTGCACCACTGCATTCCTGCCTGGGTAGACAGAGTGAGACTCTGCCTCAAAAAAAAAAAAAAATTTTCCTGGCCCCCTCCAAAGGAAACCAGGCCATCTGGCTACGGTTCCCTGGTTCAGATTCGGGCGGAGGTGCTGGGCATGGGGCCAGACGTGGCTCTGGTTCTCAGGCACCCTGAGCCCCTTGAAGATCGAGGACCCAGCTGGGAGCTCAGGTGTCGGGGCCGCACCATAGACGCGGCCGCTGATGCAGCACTTGTTGAAGGTCAAGATGTTCTGCGTGAGCGTGCCCGTCTTGTCCGAGAAGATGTATTCCACCTGGCCCAGGTGGTCGTTGAGGCTGGTGCTGCGGGCCTTGGCAGGCACGTCCTGCGGCTTGTAGTACATCTGCACGTCCCAGTCGATGAAGACGCTGTTCCCCAGGTAGATGAACTCGGACCTGCAGAGGCACTCAGGGTCACGGTCAGCCCCGCCTGCTGTGTGCCATCCCCATGCCTCCCCGTTCCGCGTTTGCACCGGGGACGCAGCCGGCGGAGACTCACAGGATGAACATGGACATCGGGATGGTGACGCTGAGCAGGATGAGGAAGCTCCAGAAGACGAAGAAGGACTCTGCGGCCACGCTGCTCCCATGCACCCCCGAGAGGTAGTAGTGGTGGTCTTTGAATTCTTTGACTGAGAAACCGAAGCCGAAGGCCAACACCAGGCAGACAAGCACCACGGAGATGAAGATCTGGAAGGCAGACGCGACAGGGTGGGTGAGGGGGGCGGGGGTCCCCCACTCTGCCATCAGGATGGGGTAAACACAAAGATAAGGCTGGGGCTGGGCACAGTGGCTCATGCCTGTAATCTCAGCACTTCAGGAGGCTAAGGCAGGCGGATGGCTTGACGTCAGGAGTTCAAGACCAGCCTGGGCGACAAAGTGAGACCTCATCTCGACGAAAAACTTAAAAAATAAATTAGTCAGGCATGGTGGCGCACACCTGTAGTCTCAGCTGCTCAGAAGGCTGAGGCCGAGGATCGCTTGAGCCCAGGAGGCTGCAGTGAGATATCATGGCGCCACTGCACTCCATCCTGGGCAATAGAGTGAGATAGAAAAACTTTTTTTTTTTTAATTTTTTTTTTTTTTTGAGACAGAGTCTCGCTCTCTCTCCCAGGCTGGAGTGCAGTGGCGCGATCTTGGCTCACAGCAAGCTCCGCCTCCCGGGTTCACACCATTCTCCTGCCTCAGCCTCCCGAGTAGCTGGGACTACAGGCGCCCGCCACCACGCCCGGCTAATTTTTTGTATTTTTAGTAGAGACGGGGTTTCACTGTGTTAGCCAGGATGGTCTTGATCTCCTGACCTCGTGATCCACCTGCCTCAGCCTCCCAAGGTGCTGGGATTACAGGTGTGAGCCACTGCACCCAGCCGAAAAACATTTATTTATTTTTATTTTTATTTATTTATTTATTGAGACAGAGTCTTGCTCAGTTGTCCAGGCTGGAGTGCAGTGGTGCAATCTCAGCTCACTGCAACCTCCACCTCTGGGGTTCAAGCGATTCTCCTGCCTCAGCCTCCCAAGTAGCTGGGATTACAGGTGTGAGCCACCACGCCCAGCTAATTTTCGATTTTCTGTAGAGACGGGGTTTCACCATGTTGTTCAGGCTGGTCTCAAACTCCCAACCTCAGGTGATTCACCCACCTCGGCCCCAGAACGTGCTGGGATTACAGGCATGAGCCATCTCACCCAGCCTAAAAATATATTTATTCTGGCCAGGCACGGTGGCTCATGCCTGTAATCCTAGCACTTTGGGAGGCTGAGGAGGGCGGATTGCTTGAGCTCAGGAGTTCGAGACCAGCCTGGGCAACATGGTAAAACTCCGTCTCTACTAAAATACAAAAAAATTAGCCAGGCGTGGCGGCGTGCACCTATAGTCCCAGCTACTCGAGGGGCTGAGGCAGGAGACTTGCTTGAACCCGGGAGGCAGAGGTTGCAGTGAGCCAAGATCACGCCACTGCACTCCGGCCTGGTGACAGAGTGAGACTCCATCTCTAAAAAATAAATAAATACATAATTATTATTATTTTATAAAACTTTTTAAAAAATTACTTTAATGAAAAATTTTCTGGCCCAAAGACCTGCCCACAGGATCAGGCCGCACATTTTGCAGAAGAAGGAAACTGAGGCCTGGAAGATGACATCCCTGACCCTGCACTCCTCTGTGTTCCTGGGGCAGGGGCACTTGTTGGCAGCTCACCACAACCACCAGCTTGTTCATCAGGAGGTCCAGCTTGGTTCTCTTCAAATGGATCTTGCCACAGTTCTTCATAATTTTTGTGTCAAAACCTACAAACATGTATCCATCTATCCACCCACCCACCCACCCATCCACCCCTCACCCACCCATCACTCACCCATCCACCCACTCCCCCACTCATCCACCCACCTACCCATCCACCCCTCACCCACCCATCACTCACCCATCCACCCCTCACCCACCCATCACTCACCCACCCACCCTTCCACCCCTACCCACCCATCACTCACCCATCCACCCACCCCCCACTCATCCACCCACCCACCCACCCATCCCCACATCCAGGCACCCACCCACCCACCCATCCCCACATCCATCCACCCACCCATCTGCCCATCTATTTGTCTATCCATCCATGCACTCATCCTCTCACACATCCATCCACCCACCTACCCACCCACCCATCCCCACATCCATCTACCACGCTCCCATCAGTACAGCTCCCACTCCAGGACCCTGGAGCAGCCGTACCAGCATAAATGACCAGTCCATAGCAGGTGTCTGTGTTGCGAATCCTGCAGCCTCGGAGGAGGAGGTTGCCAATGTCCAGGGAGTATTTCTTGTCATTCCATTCCAGGCACCCCACGAAGTGGTGCATCCGACTGTTAGGCGCCTCACACGTCACTGTGCCTGTGGGTGGCCAGGTGGTCAGTGGGTCAGTGGGCTCAGGCCCTCCTCCCCAGGTTCCCTGCACCGGGTGCAGGTGAGAACATTCCGGCCACCCTCACGAGCCCCTCTGTGCCCCAAACTTGCCCTATGGTGCCCCAGCACTGGGCTGCCTCCAAAGCCTTCCTGTCCCCACCTGGCCTCAGGGACTTTGGGCAGGCTGTTCCTTCCACGGGGACTCACACTTCCCTGATCCTCCAGCCAGATCAGCCCCTCCTAGCTCCTAGCTCCCTCCCTCGTGGTTCTGATCCCAGCATGTGACGAGACATTTATCTGTGCAAAGCTATTGTTAATGTCTGTGAACTCCATGAGAACTGGTGCCAGCCTCATCTCGGCCACACTCTGACCCCAGGGCACGGACCAGCACCTGCATGCAGTAGGTGCTCAATAAATGTGTCAAGAGGGAAGAGGAGAAGGGACGCCTGATCGATGAGCCTCCTTTTGGGTGCCGGAGCCTGTCTACCACCACCACCAGCCCCCCATTCACCAACACCCTGCAATGGCCTCACTTCATTGGAGAACTGCACAGACTGGCCCGGGGCAGCATTCAGTGAGGGTTAAAATGACAATGGGGCATGGGTTGGGACCCCAGAAGAGAGAGGGGCCACAGGGTTCCTGAAGGGTCCTCACCTGCCTCCCCATCGCGTCTTAGGGATGGGGACCCTGACTCCATCCTGGATGCAGGAATTGGAGACGCTCATGGTGGGACGGCCAGAGGGCAGAGAACCACAGGGCAAGCCCACACCTCAGGCCACCTCTCTGAACCTCAGTGTCTTCCTCTGAAAAATGGGTCTATGCCCAGTGAGAATGCTGGGGCAGATGGACGAGGCCAGGGCCCACAAAAGCCTCCTTGCTCAGCCCGGGAGGAAATGCTAGAGGAAGAGCCGCTGCCTGTCTATGAGTCTGTGTCCCAGTGGTGTTAAAGAAGGAAGCCGGCCGGGTGCGGTGGCTATGCCTGCCATCCCAGCAATTTCAGAGGCCGAGGCGGGTGGATCACCTGAGGTCAGGAGTTCGAGACCAGCCTCACCAACATGGTGAAACCCCGTCTCTACTGAAAATACAAAATTAGCTGGGCGTGGTGGCGGGCGCCTGGGATCCCAGCTGCTCGGGAGGCTGAGGCAGGAGAATCGCTTGAACCCGGGAGGCGGAGGTTGCCGTGAACCAAGATCGCGCCACTGCACTCCAGCCTGGGCAACAAGAGCGAGACTCTGTCTCAAAAAAAAAAAAAAAAAAAAAAAGGAACCTTTAGCCAAGTTCTGGGACTGTCAGGGAAATTAGAGAGGATGGGTGTGGCCCCCTCCACCAGGGCTAAGCCTTTCCCCAGATATCACAGACAGATGGGGAAAACCTCTTTGGGTGTCAGGAGCAAGGAAAAGATTCTGTCCTCAAACCAATTAGAGTGACTCTCCTTCACAATAAGATAAGAAAACCAAACAAAACTGTACCCCCAGACTGGGCTGCAGCAAAGAGTAACTGTTTCCACATCACGTGTGAAACATCTCCAGGTGGAAAATAAGAAACCGTCAAGCAGGCCGGGTGTGGTGGCTCACACCTGTCACCCCAGAACTTTGTGAGGCCAAGGTGGGTGGATCACCTGAGGTGAGGAGTTCGAGACCAGCCTGACCAATATGATGAAACCCCGTCTCGGCCGGGTGCGGTGGCTCATGCCTGTAATCCCAACACTTTGGGAAGCCGAGGCAGGTGGATCACAAGGTCAGGAGATCGAGACCATCCTGGCTAACACGGTGAAACCCTGTATCTACTAAAAATACAAAAAATTAGCCAGCCTGGTGGCGGGCGCCTGTAGTCCCAGCTACTCGGAAGGCTGAGGCAGGAGAATGGCGTGAACCCAGGAGGCGGAGCTTGCAGTGAGCCGAGATTGCGCCACTGCACTCCAGCCTGGGCAACAGAGCGAGACTCCGTCTCAAAAAAAAAAAAGAAAAAAGAAACCCCGTCTCTATTAAAAATACAAAAATTAGCTGGGAGTGGTGGCACGCACCTGTAATCCCAGCTACTCAGGAGGCTGAGGCAGGAGAAACGCTTGAACCTGGGAGGCAGAGGTTGCAGTGAGCCAAGATCGCACCACTGCACTCCAGCCTGGGAGACAAGAGCGAAACTCCGTCTCAAAAAAAGAAAAAGAAAAAGAAACAGCCAAGCATTGGAGGTGTCAGCACTCTGTTCTCAGAGGCCTTCCCACCACAGGAATTGCCAGCCCATGCACGCAGGTGCCTTTTCAATGAAACAACCAAACGTGACTGTGTTATGGTTAAATTTTACACTTAATAGAATGTAGCACTTTATTTTTGGTTTTGACACAGGGGTCTCACTCTGTTGCCCAGGCTGAGTGCAGTGATGTGATCACAGCTCACTGCAGCCTCAGCCTCCCTGAGCTCAAGCGAGCCTCCCACCTCAGCCTCCCAAGTAGCTGGGACCACCGGCATGTGCCACCACGCCCAGCTACTTGTTTTATTTTTGTAGAGATGGGGTCTCGTTATGTTGTCCAGGCTGGTCTTGAATTCCTGGGCTGAAGTGATTCTCCTGCCTCAGCCTCCCAAAGTGCTGGGATTCCAGGTGTGAGCCACTGGGCCTGGCCAGCACCTTGTTTTAAAAACAGTAATAACAACAACAAAATACCCTAACTTTTAACTTTTACAGATTCGAGGGACGTGACTCCCTGCTCAACGCCTCTCACCTTGAAAGGACGCCATCTTCTTTATAGTGGCCAGTTCTTTGTGGGTGACCATCAGGGCCTGTCTGAACTTCAAGTTGGTCTCCCTGGTGACGAGGAGAGGAGGGAGGTGAAAGTGGAGTTGATGGATGCTTCGAGGAGCCCCCAGACCCCTTCTGGAGTCACTCAAACATTTTCACTGAGCACCTACTAGTTCGCCAGCTGCCAGTCAGATGGCTGAGGCCCAGAGAGGGAGAAGGCCTTGCCCAAGGCCACACAGCACATTTGCAAAGTGCTGAGGCCAGGGCCTAGGGCCTAGGGCCTCCTGCCCGTATGCACACAATGGAAACAATGGGGAGGGTGGGCGTCTTCCTCCCCTCAGTGCCTGGCAGCACCCACGCCCCAGACACTCATGGGGTGAGTGACCAAAGTCTCTGAGCGACCTTGGCTGGCCGCCTCCTTGGTGACTGGGGAAGGGGGCTCCTCCGGGCCATGCTCCCCACCCCCCAGGGTCCCCAGCGATGCCACAGCTCCTCACCCGTCAATGTCCACCGTCTCCACATAGCACAGGCTGCTGGGCTCCGTGCTGGCCAGCAAGAGCATGTCGGCCTGGTGTGGAGTGGGGGGCAGCGTTGCAAGAGGGGATGCAAGACAAATTGGGGGTGCGGCAGCCCTCCCCACCCTGGGAGGGGTGCTCTCGGTGAGGGGGCGCGTGGTTCTGGGACCTCGGGGTCAACCCCAGCTCACTGGGACGATGTTGTCCTTGCGGAGACAGACCACATCCCCCACGCACAGATCCTGCCATTTCTTCTGCTTGAAGCTGCGGGGAGAGGGGGTTGTGAAGGAGGCCCCTCCCTCTGCCAACCCTCCCCACACCGGGAGACCAGAGGCACGGGATGACGGGGGGCCCGCAGCTGCAGTCCCCACCTCCGGGCCTTTGCCCCCTCAGGAAGCCTTCCCCGGGCTCCCACCCCACTCCCCGCGGGTCCACGCTCCCACCCAGTGACCTCCAGGGTCCTGCACCCACGTCCTCTTCAGACTTTCCTTGTCCTCCCCATCGCCCGAGCCCTAAGCTCTGCAAGGGTTCGCCATCAGGGCCTCGGCCTCTGTCCTCGTCCCGGCCAAACGCCTAATGAATGCAGGCCCGGTTCCTGTCGGACTCAACCAGCCGGGAGATCAGGGAGCACGGAAGGTGATGGACACTTGCCGAGGCCGATGACCCTGCTGGGCTGGAGCCCCCGTGTCCCCGCGGATCCCCAGCTGCAGCCCCAGCCTCACCTCTTCCCCATCAGAATCTGGCAGGGTCTGTTGTTGATGGCTCTGTCACTCTTGTGTCTCCCCTGGGCCAGGAGGGAAAGGATCAGAGAGACCGTCCAGCCTCTCCTGCCCCCGCCCAGGCCGCTGCCGCACTGCAGCCCAGCAGTGCCCGCCCGCAACACGGGGTCCCTGTCCGCTGGCCCCACGCCACGTTGCGTCTGCTCAGGGATCCCGGACGTGGGGGCCACTGGACCCACTGCTATTGGCGGGGAGAAGACAGGCGTGCTGCCCACCACCTAGAGTGCCTGCCAGACCACCCCCCACCAAAGCTCAATGGCCCCAAAACCACGCACCGACAGAGCCAACGCCACCTGCGGCACCTGCCCAATGTGGGTGCTAGCAGATAAGGACAATGTAGCCCCAGCAGCTGAGGCTCCCAGGCCCACGTTCCCCTAATGCTCCAGGAAGCCCAGCCCTCCTCCCACTCTCGCCCAGGGATCAAGAGACCCCCCCGACCGGCCCCGCTCCCTCCCCCAGGCAGCTGCATCCAACAGCACTCACCATGTCGTCCACCAGGTCCCGGGTGGCACGGATGAAGAGGAGGCAGACCATAGGGGTACTGAGCGAGAACCAGGGCAGCGTGGAGATGTCGGGAATGCTCTGACGTGAGGGGGCCACAGGAAGGGTCACACCAGCCCACTCCCCCGTCCCCTGCCCTTCCACCAAGCCGACCTAGCCCCGCACTCGACACCACGTGACACATCTGCTGGCCACCTTGACCGGGGTCCAGCCATCTCCTGCAACCCCCAGCCCTCGGGACAAACGCCCCGGCATCCCTCCACCTGCCTGGAACTTCTCCCACACGCCTCGTCTCCCCAGCAAACTCCCCTTCTCCCGTCCAAGCCCAGCTCCCACGGTGCCTTCTCCAGGGAGCCTCCCCCAGCCCCAAGCTTGGCCGCCACTGCTCCCCCTCCCTCCCATGTCCCTGCTTCCCCAGGTCACCCTGCAGGTGTGAGCTCCACCATCCCCTACCCTGGCACCCGGCCAGCGGCCTGCACACAGTAGGTACTCCATTAATGCTGAATGACTCGATGGATGAAAGGAGAACCTCTCCATCCAGAACAGAAATGAGATGTTGGGTGAGAGTGTTTGCTCTGAAAACAGCGCCCCTGGCCGGATGCCGGCCCCACGCTGGCCTGGACCACCCAGGTACCGGGAAGTGGCTCCACAGGTCCTGAGAACATGCTCTGGGCTCCTCCTTCCCCCTCGCCTCTGAGGTCAGCTGGGAGGGCGGGGGCCAGGGGAGCTGCGTGGCCGAGGCCGTTTAGGCTGGGGAACAGCTATGCCTCCCGATGCCCAGCCCTGCCCAGCAGGAACCAGCGGGGCGTGGAGAGGGTGCCGTCATCAGACCTGGAGGGTGCATCCATCCACCTTTGTCATTCAACATGTACTGAGCGCCTCTTGTGTGCCAGGCCCTGGGCAGGGTAGTAGGGACTCAGCGCTGAGGGTCCCAGTCTGTGGGGAGTGGGACGTGAACCCACCCATCACACAGACAAACACATCGATGCTGCCAGGTGGCTAGGGGGGACTTCCTGGAGGAGGCAACACGCCTCACCTGCAGGATGATGATGATGAGGAAGAACAGGTTGGACACGCGGTGGAACTGCTCGTACAGGTTCAGCGGCAGGAACGAGTAGAAGTTGTACTTGGCCGTGCGGATGACATTGGTCTGGAACGAGAGCCGCGGGCTGCCTGGCAGAGGGGTGCCATCCAGGCCAGGGGATGGGGGTGCCCGAGGCCAGACCTGCCTCACTTGGCCTCGCCCAGCATCCTCTGGGCTATGGGACACACACCATTCATTAAGCATCTACTGAGCCAGCAGTTACTGAGCACCTGCTGAATGCAAGGCCTCAGACCAGCATTTACTGAGCACCTGCTGAATGCAAGGCCTCAGGCCAGCATTTACTGAGCACCTGCTGAATGCAAGGCCTCAGACCAGCATTTACTGAGCACCTGCTCAGTAATGTAAAAGCCTGGAGCCAGCATTAATCAAGCTTCTACTGAGTGCAAAGACTCATGGAGCTGTGACCAGCATTTCCCAAAGCAAGACACCCAAGAGGATTTCAGGTAGGGCCGCGATGGACACATTGTACTTTCAGGTTGGGTATTAACTGACCCTCACGTGCACTGGGACAGGGCAAATGAGACACACAGAACTCTTGTGCCAAACCAGTGATTTGGTTAGGACGGGCGGTTCGGTCCTCGAGATGAAAATAAAAATATCGGCCAGACATGGTGGCTCACCCCTGTAATCCCAGCATTTCGGGAGGTCAAGGTGGGTGGATCACTTGAGGTCAGGAGTTCCAGACCAGCCTGGCCAACATGACAAAACCCCATCTCTACTAAAGATGCAAAAAATTAGCCGGGCGTGGTTGTGGGTGCCTGTAATCCCAGCTACTTGGGAGTCTCAGGCAGGAGAATCACTAGAACCCGGGAGGCAGAGGTTGCAGTGAGCCGAGATCTCGCCACTGCATTCCAGCCTGGGCGACAGAGCGAGACTCCATCTTAAAACAAAACAGAAAAAAGAAAAAAGAGGCTGGGCGCAGTGGCTTACGCCTGTAATCCCAGCACTTTGGGAGGCCGAGGTGGGTGGATCACCTGAGATCAGGAGTTCGAGACCAGCCTGGCCAACATGGTGAAACTGTCTCTACTAAAAATACAAAAATTAGTCAGGCGTGGTGGTGCATGCCTGTAATCCCAGCTACTTGGGAGGCTGAGGCAGGAGAATTGCTTGAACCCCGGAGGTGGAGGTTGCAGTGAGCCGAGATGTCGCCACTGCACTCCAGCCTGGGCAACAGAGGGAGACTCTGTCTCAAAAAAAAAAAAGAAAGAAAGAAAAAGAAAACGAAAACCAAAAAAAGAAAACTATCGAGCAAATACAAGCAGAGGCAGGACTCAGGAGGAGCAAAAAATAGATTCCCCGAGGGTACCACGGCAGCTCCTCTGGAGCAGGGAGGCGCGGGAGGGGCCGCCCACCTTGTATTTCTTCCTTTGCCAGCACAGGATCACCTTCTCCTTGAACTGCCCGTTGTAGGCACGGTTGTTGGCCTGGACCTTCCAGGTGAATGCTGCAGCGAGAGAGCCGGGCGTCGCTGGAGCTCGAGGCCCAGGACAAACACCCCTAATGACCGCCCGGAGGAGGGCTCATGGGGCCCGTGGGACCCAGGCACTGGGGAGGCCCGAGATGTCAGAGCCCGTAAACAGACAGTCGGGCAGCAGGCACCACCTGGGGACCTACCAGACCCTGCCCATAGTTGGCGCCGGCACAAGTGGATTCCGAGAGTGGCCACCCACACCCCCAGCCAGGGGCCTGTCCTGAGACGCAGAGAACAGGCCCTGGGAGACCGTTCAGGCCTGTACATTTTACAGAGGGGGGTAAACTGAGGCTTGGTGATGGGCTCTTGGGTGTCCAAGGCCATACATCCAGCTGGCGGCCCAGATCTTTCTGGGCATGCAGCCCCCAAATCCTGAGCCAAATCCCCCAAACCCAGTCAGTACTAGGGTTGGAGACTACTAGAAACCAAATGAGAATCCTAGGCAAGGCCTGACGTGCAGGTCTGGGGGCCCCAGCCCGTCTCAGCCTCAGCCCTGCACTTTTTTCTTTTTTTTGAGATGGAGTCTCGCTCTGTCACCCAGGCTGGAGTGCAGTAGCACAATCGCAGCTCACTGCAACCTCCACCTCCTGGGTCTCCTGGGTTCAAGTGATTCTCCTGTCTCAGCCTCCCAAGTAGCTAGAATTACAGGCATACGCCACCACGCCCAGCTAATCTTCGTACTTTTAGTAGAAACGGGGTTTCTCCATGTTGCCCAGGCTCTCGAACCCCTGACCTCAAGTGATCCACCCGCCTCAGCCTCCCAAAGTGCCGGGATTACAGGGGAGAGCCACCACGCCTGGCCAGCCCTGAACTTCATAATCCCTCCCACCTGCACCGCCCCCTCTGCCCAGGATCAGCACCTGAGTTCCTGTCCTCATCTTGGAGATCTTCTCTCTGGCCGAGGCTGCCCATGCTGGTGGGGCTGTGGGAGAGAAGGGCCCCGGGTCACAGCAGTGACCCCAGCCCTTGCTGGGCACCACTCGGTCTTCAAGGAGCTCACAGCCTAGGGGCCGACCCTCTCAAATGCTACCTCCCACACTCATCTGCAGCCTCCCCGCCAGGCTCTGAATGTCCAGCCATAGGCTGTGTGTCTTGCCTTGGACATCCTGAGACCTAGGGGACCCCAAGATGATCCTCAAACCTGCAACAGCCCATCTGCCAGTGTCCCCCGCCAGCCACCCTGGTCGCCTCCCGCCAGTACAGCCTAGAAGGACTCTACCGCCAGCCATGCCAGCCTCTGGCCATGCCAGCCTCCGGCCACTGCTCCCCACACCTCGCTTTTCCTGAAAGGACCACTCTCACCTCCTCCTGGTTTCACTGACGGCCTCCTGCCCCTCTCCCCATGTGGCACCAGCTTAGGGGCTCAGTCATCTGTTCACTGACTGAATGGGACCCCCGGGCTATATGTTATATCTCAAAACACAGCATGAGGGTCAGGCATGGCCACTCCCCTCCTCACCCCCCCAGGCTGGGCAGCAAACTCTGATGGGGGCGATGGAGGCAGACGGACATCGTCAGAAGATCCTGGAATCTTCTCCACTAGCAGGTTCAGGAATGTGGGTCTGGCTCTAGCCCTGCACCGGGGGCCCTGGTTTGGCCCCCTATGAGGATGGGCAAACCACCCCTAGACGCCAGCAACTGGCCCCCCACCTGCCAGCTCTCTAGCAGTGCCCTCCCCGCCAAGCCCCTGCCCCTGTGTTCCGGCCACCCGATGCACCCGTCCTCACCCTTCTGGTCTCCATTCATACTTCCTAGCCCGGCCAGGCTGGGCCTTGTGCCTCCTCTCAGGTGCCCCTCTGCCTGGGGAGTCTCCCATCCCAGCTCTGATCACCGTCTCACCTCCGCGGATGCCAGCAGGACCTGAGCCTTCCTGAGTCACGTCTGAGTCACCCGTGTCCCCAGGTCCTGGTGGGGCAGGGCTTGGCTCAGGGCCAGCTCTGGTGCTCCTGGGAGTCTGAGCGGGGCCAGTGCCCATTCACCGCATGAGGAAAAGGGAGGTTCAGGGCGAAGAGGGGTTTAGGCTGTGGGACGGGGGAGAGGTGGGGGAGACCCCCGTGGGGGCAGACTGGGGATTGGAGAGTTGGAGAGAATGCTCAAATGGCCAGAATCCACTCGAAGTGTATCTGGGGGCAGAAAGAGACACGGACACAGCGCTGGCTTCCTGCCCCCTCACTAACTGGGATGCCCCATTACTCGGAAGCCCCCCACCCCGTCTTCCCGCAGCCGCAGGGGCACAGGACCGCCCTGGACAGGGCTCCAGAGTCCAGGGCTGTCTGCACCCGCCCCGGGGCCCCGACCGCGCGAACCTCTAGGGGCGCGCTCTCCACCCCCGCCGCCACGACCCCAGCTCTCAGCCTGGGTGGAGCCCAGAGAGGGTGCGCGGGCTCCCGGGGACGCACAGCAGTGGGAGCACCCGCCGCTCACCGGCGCAGGAGAGGCAGGGGGGGGCAGGCCGCGGGCGTCCAGGGCGGCGGACGTGGTGGAACCGTTAGCCCGGTGCCAACGGTCCTGAAACGGGGGGCGGGATCTCGGGGCGGGGCCTCGGGGCCCGGCCAAGGCGAAGGTGGAGCCAGTTCGGACCCCGGAAGGGGGCCGGGGGCGGGGCCTGGAGGGGGTGGGTGGGGCCAAGGCGAAGAAGGGGCGGGGCCTCGAGGGTGGGGCCGAGCGGAGCACGGCCGAGCAGGATGGGGGCCAGGCCTCAGGGACGCGGTCACGGCCGAAGGGCGGGGCCTCGCAGAGCCTCGCAGAACAGGCCGGGATAGAAGACGCTCGGGAGCAGTGCCTGGGTCTGGGGAGGGGCCGGGACTTTGGGGAAGGGACTAGAAGGAAGGCGAGGACGAGCGGGGTCTCGCTGAGCAAAGTCAGAGTAGGGGCGGGGCCAGGACTCAGGGGCTTGGCCAGAGCGGGAAGCGGGGTTGAGCATGGCCTTGCGGAGCAGTGTTATGGTAGGGGCGGGGCTGGGATCCGGAGCCGTTACAAAGGAGGAAGGCGGGGCCGCGCAGAGCAGGGTCAGGGTAGGAGGGCGCTCAGGGTGGGTCCAGGACAGAAGGCAGGGCCTTGGGAGGGCCTTAGGGAGCAGTGCCAGTGCAGGGGCGGAGCCTGAAAGGGAAGAGGGTGTCAGGGCAGGGCCGGGCCGGGCTTGGTCAGGGAGCAGAAAGAACCTGCACCGCAGGGCGGGGTTGGAAGGGTTCTTGGAAAGGTGGGCCTGGGTCAGGTCGGAATGGGCCTTGCAGACCTGACGGGGCTGAGGCTGGTGCGGCCAGCGTGGCAGAGTGCAGGAGGAAGGACCACAGGTAACGGCGGTTATGTAAGTCATGTCTGATCCGTGTCCTGGGTTCGTTCATTCATCCCATACACGTTCAACGAGCGCCTCCTAGGCGCAGATGCAGGGCTGAGCACCAGGCTGGGGAGAGGCGGTTATAGCCATTGAGACCACCCTAAGGCCAAGAGGAAGCCCGCAGGGTTCTTTCCAGCAGGTGGCAGGGGCTCAGGGATCCTTACTGAAGAAGTGGCAGGGGTGAGTTCAGCGACGAGGCTAGGGCGGGTCCAGGCCAGCGATAGGGCCTGGAGCCAGGGTCAGAAAGTGTGTGCGGAGGGGCTGCTGAAGATGAAATGCCCCCAAGAGTGAGGCTACCTGGGGTGAGGGCCCAAAGGGAGAGGCAAACATGGGTGGAGGGGGATAGGGAAGCCACCTCCCCCATCAAAGCGGCAACCACCTGAGGGCTCTCGGTGATCACAAACCCTCTTTCTTTGGAAGCCCAAATTGGAAGCCTGCTTGGCCCTGGAGGCTGCCAGGGAACCTCTCTTTTTTTGGAGACAGAGTCTCACTGTGTCACCCGGGCTGGAGTGCAGTGGTGCGATCAGAGCTCACTGCAGCCTCCACCTCCTGGGCTCAAGCGATCCTCCTGCCTCAGCCTCCAGAGTAGCTGGGACCACAAGCAGGCAGGCAGGCCACTGTGTTTGACTTCTCTCCTTTCATTCCTTCAACACTTCCCCTGTGCTTGCTTGCTTGCTCAGTGGTTACGAAAAAAAGCCGGGGCTGGGAGTTTGAACACACTGTTCTAATAAACTTTAGAAGAGACCTGGTTGGGTGCAGCTGTGAGGACCAGATTCCCCCACCCCAGCCTTCGCAGGGGGCACTATCTGGGGGCAGGAGCTTGCCCAGGGCACTTGTGCAAAGGCCCTGAAGCCTCCAGTGGCAACAGGTGGCTTCACAAGCTGAAGGGAGTCCCTGGGGGCTGAAGCCAGGGCTGGCCAGCCTTGGGACCCCCCGTGGGCTATGTCCTGAGGCACCAGGTGCGTTCTGGGAAGGGGGAGGCAGACATCACATGGGAATGCACAGAAACAGAGCGCATACACGCCTGCGCCATTTATTTAGAACACAGAGCCGGGCACAGTGGCTCATGCCTGTAATCCCAACGCTTTGGGAGGCCGAGGCAGGTGGATCACTTGAGGTCAGGAGTTCGAGACCAGCTTGGCCAACGTGGTGAAACCCCATCTCTACTAAAAATACGAAATTAGCCAGGTGTGATGGCACAGCCATAATCCCAGCTACTCGGCAGACAGAGGTTGCAGCCAGCTGAGACTGGGTGACAAAGCGAGACTGTGTCTCAAAAATAAAGAAGAAAAAGAAAACAACTCCTTTACAGAAGAGGTGGGAGAGTCACTAGTCACAAGAACAGCCCTCGAGGGTGGAAGGGCCTGGCCTAACCACGGTCCCCCAGGAGGGCCCTGGAGAGATGCAGAGCCCAGAACCGGGAAGGGAGCCTTGGGATGGAGTCCTCTGGGGAGGGCCCCCACGTCCTCATCCCGGGACCTGTGCCCTTGGCCTTGCCCTTCAGCAGAAGCCCAAGACCAGGGTGGCAGGAAACCCACTCCAGGCAACCTGCCCCCAGCTGCTGGGTCCTGTCCCGCAAGGCTCATCACTTTTTCTACTTGAGGTCAATAAAAAGTGGGGCCTAAACACCCCTGGGCCTCCCATTTCCAAATGGGGTCCCGATGCAACCACAGTTGCCCGAGACGTGCGTGCACTACACAATGTGTGGCGTTTCCTGGCAAGGGCCGGAGCAGCTTTCCGTGTCTGCACTCCATCCTTTGACGGGCAACACACAGCAGCTCCCAGTCTCTTTAACCCCCTCTCACCATCTGTGTGCAGTCCCTATCTCTGGGCAGGGCAGAGAGGGAAGCCAGCTCTGTGCACAGGGCCCAGCTCCACACAGGGCTGGGGACACCACCCACTGTCCGAGAGGCACTAGAAGCTGCAGGATGGTGGCCCATGATCTGGGGCTGGAACTGGGACCCCACAGCAGGTGTGGCCCAGCCCTGGGGGAGCCAGCCCTGGGCCAGCTTTTGTGAGGGAAAGTTTCACTGCTCTGTTTTCTCTGCGTTGATGGGAAGAGAATCAGTCCCGGCTGCAGGGACAGTGGCCTCCCCGGGGCACATGCAGAGGCCTCACCAGGCACCAAGACCAAGACCACCACAAAATCTAAAATCCATACAAACATTTATTCTGTCCCTGCCTGGAGGTGAGGGGGAAGGGGGTCCGGAGAGCCCCGCAGAGGAGGACGGGGCTCTAGCGGGAAGACAGTGTCCGGAGGCCGGTGGGCTCCCTCTAGACGGCAGACCCTGGGGCTAACGAGGGGCCAGCTGGGTTCTCAGAGGTCACGGAGTGCAGGGGTGGGGCGGCGAGTGGTGGAAGCCGGCGCCCCCGAAGACCGGCCAGCCCCTGGAGCACAGAGGCGGGTCCAGCCCACACTGCGCTGAGTGTGGCCCTGGCCCCCACTGGGGTCTGTCCCACCCCCACCCCGCAGGAGGGAAGGCAGCAGGCCCGCTCTTCCCGGTGGGAAAGATGCTGTGCAAGTCATCAGGTTTAAATTAAAAATAATAAAAATAACAATACAAAATAAAAAAAGACTGTCTCAAACAAACCTGGGACAAGCCCGCCCCGCGACCCACGTGAGGAGCAGAGGTGCCGGCCACCACCCGGGAGGGAGGGCCTGGCAGGAGGGGCAGGAGGGGCTGCGGGCCGGGTGGGGGCGGGCTCTGTCCTGGTCTCCATCAGCAGCAGTTTCTAGAGACGCCAGAGGGCTGGGGGGCAGAGGGTGGGGACCGGCGGAGGGGTGCGGCAGGACGTGAGCGGGGGTGGGCTGGGCTGGGCGTTCTCTGGCCGCCAGCTCATCCCGCTGCTCTGGGCTGCCTCGGCCAGGTGGACGGGTTACCGGAGATTTATTGCACTGTTTTGGAAGAGGCATGGGGCTAAGGACCAGCGGGACGGCAGGAGAGGCGGGTGGGAGGCGGGCAGGCGTCATCGCTTGGTCTTGGCGTCTTCTCGAACCTTCCAGATCACCAGGTGCATGCAGGCGCCGGCGTCCTCGCTGGAGCTGTGCCCATCCACTGCGGGGCAGATGCGGTGAGCACCCGGCCCCTGCGCAGGGACGGCCCCAGGGCAGGCACCGGCACTCACCATTGTCCTGGATGATCTGTCTGAGGTAGTCGGCCATGAGGTTCCGCAGGGACCGCTTGTAGGGGAGGCCCAGGCGGTGGGGGAAGAGCACAGACGTGTCCACCACGGTGCTGTGGATGACCTGTGGGCAGCGGCAGAGATCAGCGCACGTGGGGCCTGCGCAGGTCCTGCTGGAGAACCGCGCGGGACCCGGGCCGGCAGGGCACCTTCAGGGCCAGGAGGTCGCTCTCCAGGCTGTGTCCGATGAGGATGGTGTCAGCGCTGAACATGCTCAGCAGAACGGCCTGGACGTCACGCAGCGTGACACTTGTGTCGGCAAGGTCAGCCTCCGTCACCCCCGAAAACCTGGGGGAACGGGCAGGAGGGGCACCAGGGCTCAGCCTGGAAGCACTGGCTGGTGGGGCGGGGGAGGGTGGGTCCCTGGGGAGAGGCGGCTGGGAGGGCTCCCAGCTCGTGGAGGGCACTGGCCACACCTGGTGTTGTAGTCCACGATCTCGTTGTCAGGCTTCACGAAGGTGTCATAAACCACGTGCACGTCCGTGTCGACCACCGTGACGCGCGTCAGCTCCAGGCCATATGTGGTGTAGGACTGCGGGCAAGGGATGCACCTCAGATGTGTCCCAGGCACCGGCCTCCCTCCCTCCCCTTCCCTGCCCCTTTGAGTCTCCAGAGCCCCTCCAGGCAGAGGCAGTGACCAGAGACTCTGTGGGACTTCTAGGAGAGGCCGAGTGGGGTGTGACCTCAGTAACCCCCTTTCGCAAAGCCCTCCTGCCTCCCATTCAGAGGCAGAGCCGGGGCCCAGTGCCCGGTGTGCTTGGCTCTGCTGGGAAGTATGGGGTGTTGGTCCAGGGCAGGAGCCACAGGCACCGGTGCTGCGAGAGAAACCCTGAGCGCTGGCCGGTGAGCCAGGCCCAGATGGGGCCAGATGGGGCGGCCGCACCAGGCCAGGTCCTCCCCAATCCTGAACCCGACGCTGGGCAGAGAACAGCCTCACCATCTCGCAGTCCAGGGCGTAGATCCCCGGGTGGGTGTCTCCTGAGAGCTCTTTCTCAAAGGTCTTCACGAAGCCCTCAAGGCGCTCCTTCCGGCCATCCTGCACGTGTTGCTGGGGGTGGAGAAGGCAGGTGAGGGCAGCTTCGGGGTGCAGTGGGGGCGGGGGTGGCAGCAGCAGCACATCTCTGAGCCCTTCGGGACCATCCTATCCATCCATCACGCCCATTCACTGGTTGGGACCCTGGTGAGCAGGTGGGGAAGGGGGCTTGCCAAGAAGACACAGGGAGGACGGCTTCCCAGGATGGGAAGTGGCCAGGGACAGGGCCTGGGGCCTACGGGTGCTACGTTCTCTGGGTAACACAAGAAAGGCTGCCCGGGGGCCCAGACCCTGAGCCCAGGACTGTGCTGTGTCCCGAGACCCCACACCAACGATGGGGAGGCAGAAGTCTGTTGAGAACAGGCAGAGGGGACTGGGACGCCAGGGCTCACCTTTGCGACTTGGCAGCCGACAGAGCCGGCGGCAGCCGAGCAGCACATGTACTGGGTCTCCCAGCCTCCGGCCACTGCAGGGGACACAGACACACAGTCAGGGCCCGGCCAGGCCCACTCCACAGCCCCCGGGGCACTGACCACCTGCATCTACCGAGCCCTACTAGGGAGTGAGGACTGAGGACAGGAGGCCTCAGCCTCTTGGTGGAGCTGGAAGCAGACCAGGCCCCGGCAGTCGTGTGGCAGCCAGGACGCCCAGGCCTGGATCCAGGGAGACCAGTGCCCTCTGCAGAGGCCTCTTGGCAGCGCTGCCCCGGGCAGCACCCTCCAGGTATCCCTGAGGCGATGGCTTTAGGGGCCGCCACAGGGCTGTGCAAGGCTGGCCATGTGCCCTGAGCGTGGCTGCGTGGTTGCCTGGGGGATTGAATAGAACCACCAGGCCAAGGGTGGGACAAGCCCCTCCGCTCCTGGGGCCAGCAACCTCCACATTTCCATGGACCAAGGGCACAGGAAGGCAGGGACACAGGGCCTTTCAGGTGGTGGCATTTGAACCTTGTCATGGGAAAGCTCTTGTCTTACTTTTGCATAAAGAACAGGTGGAGAGAAAATGAGGCCAAGGGCTAGCCCCGGCTCTGCCAAAGACGGTGCAGCCCAGGGACCCTGAGTGGGATGGAGGGCCTGGGTAAAGCCTTACCCCAGTTCTGGGGGCCTCAAGGGAGGGCCCAGGTTCCGGGGGCCATGGGTGGGAAGGGGAAGGACCCGGGTAAGGCCTTACCCCGGTTCCGGCGCAGCCGTCCCCAGTGGTAATAACACTCCTCGTCCCGGATGCAGCGGCCTGAAGAGGACACGAGGTACTCGGTGCCACAGCGGCAGCAGGTCCTGCAGGAAGCTGTGGGTGGGGACCCAGGTGGAAGCTGAGGCTCACGCTGGGGCCCGCATGCCCGGCCTTGCCCACATCCCGCACCTGCCCACCTAGGCCGTCGCAGGCCAGCGACTCACAGTCCTTGGGCCTCTTCTCCTCAGCTGTGAAGATGATTGCGCCCCCGGGCCGCTCTGGGTGCGGGAAGGGGTAGCCGTTCTCCTTGAGCTGGTCCTGGGTGAGCAGGTACTCCCTGAGGCGGCTGTACAGGGCAGCCCCTGTGGACAGGCACAGTGGTCAGCCCCTGCCTGGGATGGCCCACGGGGCGGTAGACACCACCGGGAAAGGCGGCTGGGCCGGCAGGGGCCCACGAAGCACCGTGTGGCACAGCAGGGGCTGGGCCGGCAGAGGCCCACGAAGCACCGTGTGGCAGAGCAGGGGCAGGGCCTTACCTTTCAGGTCCTCCACCCGGGGGCTGCTTGGACGGCTGAGCGAGAAGCTGGTCTTGGCGGCCAACCTGCCCCCCAACACCACCTCGTGGGACACAACCCTGCGGCCACTGGTTTCTGGAAGGAAGGGAGGGAGGGGAGGAGGGTGTGAAGTAGCTGGCTCAGACCCCTGCCCCGCCTGCTCTCCCACCCACCCTGCCCTCCTCAGACCTCTGCCTCAACTCCCCCTTTCTGGGACAGCACCCCACTGACCCCGGGTTCCAGCCTGACCCGAACAGGAGAGGCAGACATGCGGTGAGCCAGGGACGCAGGGCAGCCGCCAGCTCTGCAGGCCCCAGAGCTGCACGGAGGCCCCACACCCAAAGTCTTCGTCCCCTCCCCTCAAGCGAAGGGGGAAGGGCGGGGAGAACAGCACGGGGGATCTAATGGCTTTCGAGGGCTTTGAGCCTTCATGGGCCACCCAGCCTGCGACGCCAACCCAGGGCCCCTCCGAGTGCTAATGCAGGCGGGGACGGGGGCAGGGGCCGGTGATAGCTTAATGCAGCCTGGAGAGGCTGCAATGAAACGCCCAGGTCTCCGCTTTCTTCCTCCCCAGAGCTTAATGCATGGAGCTCGCCCAGCCCTGGGCCTCCTGCTTTGAAGAAGCTGCCGCAGCTCCATTAGCAGGCGGCCCCTCGGCTCGGCTTGGAGACCCCACTCAGCGGAGGAAGGCGGCTGACAGCGAGGACACCAGGGCCAGGTCCGTCCTACACAGAAGCCTGGGAACCAGGCAGCAGGCAGCCCCCCCACAGCACCGCGCTTTCCTTTTGTCTGAGACTGTGGCTGAGCTCAGGGCTGTGAAGGTCCCAGCGAGGGTCCCAGCCCAGCTGCCACCCCAAGAGCAACCCTGAGCCTCCCCCGCCCACCCGCCAGGACTCACTGCTGAGGCCGGGCACAGCGCTGGGGGCCAGGCCCCTGAGCTTCTTGAGGGTGTTCACGGCCACATTCAGGTAGATGTTCTTGCTGGGGCTGCGGTCATAGGCCACCTTCTCCTCGTTCAGTGCCTGGGGGACAGGCGGTGCCCAGCTGAGGCCATGCCTGCCTGGTGCCGGGGAGCCCCAGCGGTGGGGTCGCCATGGGGTCGGGGACTTGCATCTCTCCCAGGCAGCTCCGGGTCACAGCTGCGGCTGAGAGGCCGGGGGATGTCTGGGGACCACCCTGGACCCCTAGTCCCCACCCGACCGGCCAGATAGGAACTCCAGGACCTCACCTTCTCTATGGCCTCCTGGTTGGAGGTACAGAACTTGAGACACTCCTCGATGAACAGGTTGAGATAGCGCTGGCGGATGACGGTGGGGACTTTGCCCCCAAACTCTTTGGGGATAATGGGTTTCTTTAAACTCTAGAGGGAAGGCAAAAGCTGCCATGGGTGAGGGCCTCCACAAGGCCTCCAGCGGGGAACGCAGACGCGATGAGGCCGTGCCCATGGCTGGAGGCAAGAGTGAGGTGCGCTGGGACAGATCAGCCTGGCTGCAGTAGGGACAGACACGCCAAGGCAAGACAGGAGCAGCAGGGGAAACTGAGGGCAGCGGAACTAAGGTCATGGGAAACTGAGGCCATGGGGGCACAAGGGAACTTGCTGTACTTTCTGCTCAATTTTCCTAGAAACCTAAAGTTGCTCAAAAAACATAAAGTCTATTAATTAAAAACAAAACAAGGCCAAGCGTGGTGGCTCACGCCTATAATCCCAGCACTTTGGGAGGCTGAGGCAGGAGGATCACTTGAGGACAAGAGTTCAAGATCAGCCTGGACAACGTGGCAAAACCCTGTCTCTACAAAATAAAAAACAAAATTATTAGCTGGGGTGTGATGACACCGGCTTGTGGTCCCAGCTACTCAGGAGGCTGAGGTGGAAGGATCACTTGAGCCCAGGAGGTCGAGGTTGCAGTGAGCCATGATTGCGCCCCTGCACTCTAGCCTGGGCAACAGAGACCCTGTCTCTAAACAAAAAAAAAAAACACCAACCAACCAAAAAAACAAAACAAGACAAAACAAAAAAACACCGCCAGGGCGGTCGGGCATGGTGGCTCACGCCTGTAATCCCAGCACTTTGGGAGGCCGAGGCGGGTGGATCACGAGGTCAGAAGATCGAGACCATCCTGGCTAACATGGTGAAACCCCGTTTCTACTAAAAATACAAAAACAGCCAGGCGTGGTGGCGGGCGCCTGTAGTCCCAGCTACTCAGGAGGCTGAGGCCAGAGAATGGCGTGAACCCAGGAAGCAGAGCTTGCAGTGAGCCAAGATCGTGCCACTGCACTCCAGCCTGGGCGACAGAGCGAGACTCCATCTCAAAAAAAAAAAAAAAACACCAAGGCATGGGGAGGGAAGGTGAAGGCTGTACTGCGGTGTGGAGCACGAAGGCCCGCAGGGCAGGGGCGAGGCTGGCCCTCCGCAGGTCCCATGTGGCCGGGCCTCAGGGCGTGGTCTTGGGGGTGGTGGTCCTGGCCGAGATGGGAGGGGCTACCTGTAAGGATGGACTGTGGGCGATTCGCTTAGGGATGATGGTGGTGGTAGTCTTGGACGCCATCCCCGACAATGTGCGTGTTTTCAGCTGCTGGCCACCTGGCTCAGGGCCGTTGGAGGACTGGCTGCCGCTGGCCGCAAGGGTCCTCTTGGCACCTGTGGGGGCTGGCGGGGCACAGGGGGTGTGGGCACAGGGCGAGTGGCTGCCCATCACCACGTGGCGGAGCACCAGGCAGCCGCGGCCGCTCAGCGCCAGCAGCACGTGCATCTCCGCGTGCAGGGGGCCGGGCCAGGGTGAGGGGCTGGGGCTGCGCAATGGCATCAGGCTCTAGCTGCCTTCAGGCAAGTCCATCGAGGCAGAGGACACAGGTCAGGCTGCGGAGGCCGCTGAGGACACGTCACCGGTGGGGTGGTCCAGGCCTCTGCCACGTGTTCTGACCCCAAGCCCAAGGCGTCGATGTCTGAGGGAAAGGCCCTGGCTCCCGGACAGAGGACCGAAGGGTCTCGGGTGCCCCCACCTGCTCATTGGCTTTGCCCTGCCCTGCGGCCTCTGTGTTCTGCCTTGCCCTTTGATGAAGTCACAAACCAGAGGGAGGAGGCCAGGCCTGCAGGGGCTGCTTCGGAGGGCTGGCCACGCGGGCAGCTGCAACCTGGGCATGTACGTCTGTGTGGCAGGGGGGCTTCTGGACTGGGGGCTCGGCACCGACCCAGGAAGGGGAGCTGTGAGCAGGGACATCTGGCCCTAGTCTCAGAGCAACATCCCTCGAAATGCCATCTGGCCCTGGAAGGTGCAAGGGAGGCAGGATGAGTCTGCTCATGCTACCGCGGGCCGCCCAGCAAGGAAGCAGGCTGCCCGCCAGGCTGGCACGCGCCTCTTGCAGTGGAGGGTTTGCTCTTCAGGAACGGACAGAGAACCTCCAGACTCCCTCGGCTGCACGCTGGGGGCGAGCCCAGGCAGCCACAGGAGTCCTCCAAGCCAGATGAGCCCGCCCTGCGGCACTGCCAGCACTTGGGACGCCAGACTCCCTTCAGGCGGCGGGCCCCAAGGGCACTGCGACAGCTCAGCACCCACCACAGATCAGCAACAGGACAACCCGAGCGCGGAGACACAGACGGGAAGCGTGTGGGGTCCTGGGATAGGCCCAACTCAATGATTTCCCCTCCCTGGGGCTAAGGTCTCAGCCGTGAGGGGGCTCTGGGGAGGGGAGGTCAGAGTAGCCTGGAGAGCTCTCCCTAAGGAGGGCCGTGGGATCCATGGGATCTGCAGGGGAATCGCCGGGGCTGGCCCTAAGGCTCTCCAGCCAGCGCCAGGGAGGCAGGGGCTCCAAACCAGCAGGCTGCTCAGGGTGGTCCTCGGACAGCAGCCATGCCCTCCCAGGGAGCTTGCCAGACACACAGACCTTTCCCAGCCTCCAGACCAGAACCTGCATTTTTTAGGAGCTTTCTGGGGGACCCTCATCTGTGACCTGCCTCCAGGGATACTTTCTCGCTCTACAGACACCACTGATGTGAAGACGCAGGAGACAGGACAACCCCCCGTGAAGGGTCCTGTCCACCCACCACTGAGGCCTGGCCCGACTTTCTACAAGACCCTGCTGGGGGGGAAGTGCCCCTCGGAGTAAAGGAAATACAGCCCCACTCCTGGGAAGACAGCACTCATTTCCATCAGAGGCCACGCCCCCCACTCACACGCCAGGAGAAAGCCACACCTGCAGAAGCCTGCTCCCCACCCAATGCCAGGTACCCCGACATGGCTCCCCATTCCCTGGAACCACAGGCTCAGGCCCTGGTTCAGCCCAGTCCCCAGCAGGCTGTTGGACTCCTAGTAACCCCGGAGCTGGGTCAGGGAAGGAAGGTGCTGGGCCAGGCCTCCTGCACCCCTCAACAGTCCCCATTTCACAGACAGGCAGGCTGAGGGCCCCAGGGAGGGGGCCCAAAGTCATCCCATGAGCAAGCACCATGTGGTTCAGGTGAGCTCAGAGACCTCAGGGTGCCACCTCTCCTGCCCACATGCCCACGGCCCCCCGGCACAGGCCCCCTGGGCCAGGACTCACCTGCAGCCAGGCGGGGGTTGGGGATGTGGGCGATCCTCCTCTTCTCGCCAGGGGCGGAAATGTGGACGGAGGGCGACTTCTCTGCCAGCCTGGCGGGGGCCTGCAGCAAGCTCGCCGATGCCCTCTGCGCCTGCTGGGCCCGCAGGTAGCACACCTCCTGCGCCGTCGGGGGCCGGGCCGGGGGCACCGCGGGACCCCTCCTCGGGGGCTCCACCTGCGTCACCACAAATGCTAAGGCCTGGCAGCACAGCGGGGGCACCTGGAGCAGGCGACCCCGGGCAGGCTTGGGAGAGGGTGGCTGGAGCTCGGGGGCCGGAGGCACCACCTCCCTGGCTGCCTTCTGAGCTGCTGGGCACACTGGGGGGAAGCAGCAGGGGGCAGTGGTCCTCAATGCCATGTGGCTCCAGGCTCCCCCACTCCCAGTGTCTCCCGGTGCCCAGGCTATGTCCTCAGCCCTGATAAGGCACGGGTGGGCGGGACTACCCCGATTACACTGGCACTCCAATCCAATCCCACTACGCCTAATCTTCCTCAAAGCCCCTCCTCTGGGGAGGCTCTGGGACTGGAGCAACTGGGACTCTCCTGGCTGCTGACCCCGGAGCCAGGCTCTCTGCTTGTCCTGCACTACCTCGCCACGTCTGCACAGGGGCCTGACAAGCGCTACTGTCTCCGGGCTACAGAGGACACTGGAGCTCAGAGCTGGACAACCGGCCCAGGCCCAGGCCGCACACGGCGCAGCAGGCCGTCTGCCGCACTCTGGGGGAGGTCACCCTGGGGCTGCTGACCTGCTCTGTCCCTCGCCCCAGCACCGTGGCAATCTAACAGGAAGGGGCAGGGCCAGCTCCCTCTGGAACTCGGGCAGCGTCAAAGATAAGGTGTCTTCAAAAAGCTCATGGAAAACGTGCGTTGTGACGAAACTTGCATGGCTTTCAAGTTTTTTTGCCCCAAAATAAACTGATACTAACTTGTCATAACATGTCTGAACCAGACGGAGTTTGAGGCACTAAAAAAAAGTAAGACATCAGTTAGAACAGAGCCCCAGTCAGAGCAACAGGAGTTCTGCTAAAATTGAAGCAAATGTTAAGCATCAAATTTATGGTAAAACTTGGGTGGAAGAACGAATGGGGAAATCACTGATGCTTTACAAAAAGCGTCACAGATTTACAGGAACAATGTCCCAAAGAAATCAGAAGTTTATGAATGGATAACTCATTTTATGTATTTATCTTTTTGAGACAGAGTCTTGCCTTGTCGCCCAGGCTGGAGCGCAATGGCACGATCTTGGCTCATTGAATCCTCCACCTCCCGGGTTCAAGCAATTCTCCTGCCTCAGCCTCCCGAGTAGCTGGGATTACAGGTGCGTGCCACCGCGCCCAGCTAATATTTTGTATCTTTAGTAGAGACGGGGTTTCACCATGTTGGCCAGGCTGGTCTCGAACTCCTGACCTCGTGATCTGCCCACCTCTGGGCGCAGTGCCTCATGCTTGTAATCCCAGCATTTTGGGAGGCCGAGGTAGGCAGATCACGAGACCAGTCTGGCCAACATGGTGAAACCCCGTCTCTACTAAAGATACAAAAATTAGCCTGGTGTGGTGGTGGGCACCTGTAATCCCAGGTACTCGGGAGGCTGAAGCAGGAAAATCACTTAAGCCCGGGAGGCGGAAGTTGCAGTGAGCAGAGATCGTGCCACTGCACTCCAGCCTGGGTAACAGAGCGAGACTCCGTCTCAAAAAAAAAAAAAAAAAAAAAAACAACCAAAAAACAAACAAACAGAAAACAGAGGGATGAAGCTGGGAGCAGTGGCTCACGCCTGTAATCCCAACGCTGGGAAGCCGAGGCAGGAGGATCACTTGAGGTCAGGAGTTGGAAGACCAGCCTGGGTGACAAAGCAAGACCCCCTTTTTTTATAATTTTTTTTTTTTGAGACAGAGTCTTGCTCTATCACCCAGGCTGGAGTGCAGTGGTGCAATCTTGGCTCACTGTAACCTCTGCCTCCTGAGTTCAAGCGATTCTCCTGCCTCAGCCTCTCTAGTAGCTGGTATTACAGGCACCCATCACCATGCCCAGCTAATTTTTGTATTTTTAGTACAGATGGGGTTTTGCCATGCTGGCCAGGCTGGTCTCGAACTCCTGGCCTCAGGTGATCCACCCGCCTTGGCCTCCCAAAGTGCTGGGATTACAGGCGTGAGCCACCAAACCAGGCCAACCTCGTCTTTAAAAAAAAAAAAAAAAAAGGCTCCTGCTGGCCTGGCCTCTGCGGACCTTACCTCCTGGCCTTGCTTGGAAAGGTGGGAGATCCTCCTCTTCTGCCCGGGGAACAGAGTGGTCAGACCCGAAAGCCCCTTCTCCTCACTCTTCTCTTCCTTGGGGGGCTAAGACACATGTCCGTCCGTCAGCACAGGTCTGCCCTCGCTGCCAACACCAACACACCCCAACCTCAAACTGCCCCCGGCAAGTGGGGAATGGAACAGTCCAGCCCCCAGGCACAGCAGCTGAGGGCTCAGGGCCAACAGTCCCTGGGCTTTGTGTGGGTGCAGTCGGAGGGGTGGGCAGGTGTCACACGTTCTGCAGATGCCCAAGGCTACCTCTCCTGGGCACCCAGGGCCCCAGCTTGGAGACCCCAGGGCTGCAGAATGAAAGCACACTGGGAAAGCGAGGCCACCTTGGGCCGAACCAGCTGCTGCGGGCTGAGCACTTGGGCTCAGTCTGTGTGGAGTGAGCTCCCCCTGGTGGCCAATTTGGGGACACGGGGCCAGGAGACCCAGGGGTCCAGGGCTGGCCCAGGAGAGCAAGAGCTCGCCACGCTGGGAGTAGGGAGGAGGGAGGGGAGGAGAAAGGAGCCGGAGGGGATGAGGAGGAGGCAAGGAGAGGAGACAGAGGAGCTGGAAGAGAAGAGACAGAGATGGGGGAAGGGAGGAGGGGAGAAGAGAGGGGGAAGGGAGGAAAGGGGAGGCGAGGGGAGAGGGGCTAGAAGGGTGTGCCGGAGGTGGATTCCCCTGAGGTGGGTGGGTGGGCCAATATCCCCCTGCCAGTCAGTGGGAACAGACCGTGTGCACGTGGCCACAGAAGCCTGGCTGGTGGCCACGGGCCAGTGACCTCTGGGTGGGTGAGGGGCAACAGGAGCAACAGGGCTGCCCGGGTGCTCCTGAGCTCCTGAGATTTCAACGGGCTCAGGGACCAGCACTGAGGAGCTGCCTCCACCCCGTGCCTCCGAGCCAACTGGAAACCACTCCAGATAGAAGGTCTCTCACCAGGCCCTCGGCTCTGCCTCTGCCCGAGCCCAGCCCCAGCACCCGCGCGCCTCACCTGCCGGGCCAGCCGGCCTCTGTCCTCCGTCTTGACGCTGGTGGACTCGTTGAAGATCCGCAGGCACTCCTCCATGGGGTCGGAGTCAAAGTCCACCTCCTTCTCCAGGGCCGAGTAGTCCACATCCGCCCCCGCGCTGGAGGTGGAGGAGGAGGAGGAGGAGGAGGAGGATGGGGCGGGGGAGGGGGGCGGGGAGGCCTTGAGCCGCTTGGGCGGCCCCTGCGCCTCCGGGAAGCCCAGGCTGGAGTCTGAGTCGGAGTCTGAGTCCGAGCTGAGGCTGGGGAGGGCAGAGGGCCACACGCTCGGCACCCCTGGCCCTGCGGCCTCGTCCTCACTCTCGTCCCCAAAGAGGTCGGCGTGGCTCAGGGCCCGCTTCTTCAGCTTGGGGGCGTCCTGGGAGGCGCCCTCGTCTAGTGAGCGGGCTTTCCGCTCCACTAGCTTCCCCGACGGGGCCTTGGTGCTCTTCCTGTCGGGCAGCTGGAGGGGGCGGGGTGGGCCTCTGCCGGCCGCCGGTCGGGAGTCCCCGCTTGTGGGGCTCGGCCGCCGCGCTGGCCGGTCAGGCCTCCCTTTCCCTGAGGTGGCCACAGGAGTGGCCGAAGATGGCTTCTTCTTGGTCCCTTCCGGCCGCTCTGCCTTGCGCCGGGGGCTGCTGGCCTGCGGGCCCTTCTTGTCCGCACGGGGCTTCTCCACAGGCCGCCCTCGGCCCTTGTCCTTGGTCTTGTCCTTCCCCTGGGCCCCGTCTTTGCAGCTGGGGGCAGGTGGGGCCCCGGTTTTTTTCTTCTTGGGTTTTCCCTCCTTGGGGCAGCCCCCATCCTGTGAGGACTGGACCTGGGCTGGGGAGGCGGGCTTGGCTGGGGGCGGCTGGAGGTCCCCCACGTCGCACTGCACGGCCGTCTCCTTGGTCTCCCGCAGGCCGCCCCCCTCGGCCTCCAGGCCCTCTTTGGAGGGTGGCTGCCCGGTGGCCTTGATCTCAGGGTCGGCCCTGGCTTTGGGGGTGCTGGCCGTGGTGGGCTCGTTACCTGGGACCGTGGCGGCCTCATCTTCTGAGTCTGAGAACCTTGCATCGCAACTGCCAAAGGGGTCACAGAGCTTCTTGGGAGCAGGTGTGTAGGGCTCACTGCCGCGGGAGCCCCGGGGCCGCTTGGCGGCCCGCTCATCCCGGGAGCTGGCCCTGCTGAGGTGCCGGGCCGAGTAGTTGGAGAGAGGGTCATACTCCAGGTCTGTGGGTGGCCTGGAGTTGTCCACCACGTACTTGCCACTGGGAACGGGGCGGCTGTGCCGCCGGGGCTGGCTCACAGCCTTGGGGACGTATTCCAGGGCACCGCCACCCCCTCCACCTCTGCCCTGACCCCTGTCCAGGGACGCCAGCGAGTACTTGCTGCCCGGCTCGGCAGGGGCGGCCAGTGGGGTGGGCTGGTAGCCGGCATCAGGGCTTAATAGGCCGTGGCTGCCGGGGCTGTAGTCGAAGGCCAGTGGGAAGGCATCCTCGTCCGGGCCCACAGTGGGGCTGGCGTTGGGGCCGCGGGGCGCCAGGGCGGGGGCCTCGGCGGAGCGGTGCTCACGGGTCGTCTCCAGCAGCTCCCGGTAGCGCCGCTGCTCCAGCTCCACCTCACTGCGCACGGCCTCGATGGCCTGGTTGACCAGCTCCAACTCCAGCACATCCGGGCGCGGCTCCTCCCCCAGGCCCAGGGTGCCATTCTCCCTCTGCGCGGGGGGCTTGGGCAGCTCAGGGTTGTAGGGGTCGTAACCCAGCCCTGAAGGGAACAGAGAGCACAGCTGTGACCAGCCTGCCGGAGAGGAGCCCGCAGCATGGGGGCGGCCCCGGTCTCAAACTGCAGGGAAGGGAAGAGACCTGCCTCCGAAACCCACCACGCACTGGCGCCCGCCAAGGCTCTGGGGTGCCCAGCTGGGTACAGGCCATGGCGCCATCTCAGGCCCTGTGCCGGGCCCCGCCTTGCCCTGACCAATGGGCGCTGGATGGGCCTGGGCTGCGTGACACACAGCTCCCTGGGTACTGGAGGCTCCCTCACACGGCTCATGAAATGCGCACAATGACCATGGTGGGGTGGACACTCGACAGGCTGGAACTCCCCGGGGCAGGCGGGTGTGGAGCTCCCAGCATTCAGGGTGCCGGGCTGAGGCAGGACTGGGCTGGGCCGACAACCACAGCCTGACGGTGGACACAGGAGAGCCCTTCCTCAGCCAACACGGCCCCACCCAGCCAGCAGTGTGCCCGCGGTGTGGCGGAGGTGTGCCAGCAGTGTGCCAGCGGTGGTGTGGTGGCGGTGTGCCTGCGGTGATGTGGCTGAGCAGGGCCGGGGGATGGGGACATGCCCAGTTGATGGGCCACCCTGCAAAATCCACAGGAAGATTTTTTTTTTTTGAGACAGTCTCTCTGCTGCCCAAGCTGGAGTATAGTGGTGCGATCTTGGCTCACCGCAGCCTCTATCTCCCGAGTTCAAGCAAACCTCCTGCCTCAGCCCCCCAAGTAGCTGGGATTACAGGCGTGCGCCATCACACCCAGCTAATTTTTGTATTTTTAGTAGAGATGGGGTTTCACCATGTTGGCCAGTCTCGAACTCCTGACCTCAAGTGATCCACTGCACCTGGCCTACTTTAAATTAATTTTTTAATTTCAAAACTTTTTGTAGCTGGGCGCGGTGGCGCACGCCTGTAATCCCAACATTTTGGGAGGCCAAGGCGGGCGGATCACCTGAGGTCGGGAGTTCAAGACCAGCCAGACCGACATGGAGAAACCCCGTCTCTACTAAAAATACAAAATTAGCCGGGCGTGGTGGCGCATGCCTGTAATCCCAGCTACTCAGGAGGCTGAGGCAGGAGAATCGCTTGAACCTGGGAGGCAGAGGTTTCGGTGAGCCGAGATCACACCATTGCACTCCAGCCTGCGCGACAAGAGTGAAACCCCGTCTCAACAAAAAAAAATTTGTAGAGGTGGAGTCTCACCATATTGGCCAGGCTGGCTTTGAACTCGTAGACTCAAGCAATCCTCCCACCTCAGCCTCCAAGATAGCTGGGACTATAGCCCAAGCTGCTGTGCCTGGCTTAAAGCACACGGCTGAAATGTCTTCCCGGGGGGCAGCTGGGAACATGAGACTCGCATGTTATTTACGTGGTTCCAGAACATAGTGTAGCAGACCCTCACAACCTCAATGCCACCAACGTCAGCACAGAAGTCAGAACCACAGAAGCCTCCCGTGGGGACAGGCCGAAGGAGTCTAAAGAAAACATGAGCAAGTGGAGCCCAGTATTCCAGCGAAGCAATAAAAACCAAGTTCAAATATTTACTCCAGAAACTTGGAAGTTGACCATTAGAAATTCTACTGAGCACGGCCAGGCACAGTGGCTCACGCCGATCATCTCAGCACTTTGGGAGGCTGAGGCGGGAGGATACTGCTTGAGCTCAGGAGTTTAAGACCAGCCTGGATGACACAGATCCCATCTCTTAAAAAAATACTTAAAAATAAGCTGAGCATGGTGATGCACACCTGTGCTCCTAGCTATGTGGGAGGCTAAAGTGGGAGAATCACTTGAGCCCAGGGGCTTGAGGCTGCAGCGAGCCAGGATTGTGCCTCTGCACTCTGGCCTGGACAACAAAACAAGACCCCAGCTCTTAAAAAAATAAAATAAAGTTCCACTGAATGTAATTCCGTAACATCTCTAAAGGTCTCTAAAGGTCAACAGGTCTGATCCTCTGGAGTTGGCAGGAAATGGCGCCAAAGACGTCTGCGTCCTAATTCCTGGAACCTGTAGATGGTATATCCCCTTAGATGGCAAATGGGGCTCTAGATGGGGTGAAATCTCCCTTGCCCGTCACTGAGGGGGCCATGGACAGGCCGAGATCTTGCAGAGCAGTTTCGCAACCATCCCATGCAGCTTCAACACCACCACCTTCAGACTCGGAATCCTCAGAACCCGTGCCACAGACAGACCGCACAGGGCAGGTACAGATGCGTCTGGTGCAGCCTTCACTGCAAAAACACAACAATAAATAACGCAGGAGATGACCTAGAAGCCGAAACGCAGGTCACCTGTGGTTAAGGGGGAGGCGTGCGCCCTGGAGGGACCTCCAAGTCACACTGCTATGGGGAAGAAGAGGGGCAAGGAATGTTGCACACTCTCACCTTTGAAAAGCAGCTCCACAAACCCAGTGAGATCAGATTCCAACAAAGGCGCACGGGCCCACACCAAGCCCGCAGTCCCATGGGGTACAGCAAATGCAATCTGGCCTTCATTTATGCTGCACCCAACACCAACTGCCCAAGAGGGACGTGAATGCTGACACACATCCCCGACAGGCTGATAAGGAGCTGTGACACCATGTAGCAAAAGGCAACAGCCCCATGGGAACCTGCCCGCACCAAGACGCCACTTGGCTCTGACTTGATTCTGACTGAACGTGCAGCTTGTCTGAAGGTCGGGCCTCAGGTGTGTTTCTTCCACTCAGAAAACCTGCCTGCCCTTCGGCCCACCTGGAGATCGACCCCCACAGCGTGCTAAGACTTCCGTGCAGAGAAATGGCTGGACGCAGCCAAGGGGAGGCAGGCACAAGACCTCCCACTGTGGGCGACGCAGAGAACAGCAACAGAACTGGAGGCTTCCCCTATGGCCCCCACCCACACCCCCTCAAGCCCCAGCAGGCATAAGAAAGAAATGGCTGGTTTCGGCCGGTTGTGGTGGCTCACACCTGTAATCCCAGCACTTTGGGAGGCTGAGGCGGGCGGATCACCTGAGGTCAGGAGTTCGAGACCAGCCTGACCAACAAGGAAAAACCCCATCTCTACTAAAAATACAAAAAAATTACCCAGCCGTGGTGACCCATGCCTGTAATCCCAGCTACTCGGGAGGCTGAGGCAAGAGAATCGCTTGAACCTGGGAGGCGGAAGTTGCAGTGAGCCAAGATTGAGCCATTGCACTCTATCCTGGGCAACAAGAGCAAAACTCCATCTCAAAAAAAAAAAAAAAAAAAAAAGAAAGAAAAAGAAAAAGAAAAAAAGAAATGGCTGGTTTCCCAAGCTGCTCCCCCGAGACACACCCACCAGCAGAACAAAAGCCTCCCCAGGTAAGTCCCCATCCTAATCCCTGGGACCTGTGGCCAGGCCACCTCACTCAGCCAATAGACTGCAGGTGCGACTTGAACAAAGGACCCTGAGGGTGGGTGAACATCTTGCATTATCCGGGAACCCAGTGTCCTCACAGGGTCCTTTAAAGAGGGAGGCAGGAGGGTGAGAGTCAGAGAGACTGGAAAAGGCTGTGCTGTGGGTTTGAAGGGGAGGAAGGCGCCCTGAGCCGAGGGATGCAGGTGCCTCCAGATGCTGGGAAAGGCGGGCACTGACTCTCCCCGGAAGCCTTCGGGAGGCCCAGTCCTGCCCACAGCTTGACTTGAGCCCAGCGAGGCTGACTTTGGACTTCCCAGCCCAGCGCTGAGAGAGAGTGTGCTGCTTTAAGGCCCACGGGGACGAATGCAGCCTCACCGGGTGATGAAAGTGCAGTGGAAAACAGCTGCCCGCTGCCTGTACCTGCGAAGGCGGAAGGCCCCTCCTGTTCCCGGGAACCCTGCAGGGACAGCGGGAGGCCGGGACCCGGAGGCTGCAGAGGAGGTGGGAGGAGGCCTGGTCACGGGCAGCTGCCGCCTTTCCCTTGAAATCACAGCAGTGTTGTGCCCATCTTTAAAATTACATTTAGGGACCAGGCACGGTGGCTCACGCCTGTCATCCCAGCACGGTGGCTCACGCCTGTCATCCCAGGCACGGTGGCTCACGCCTGTCATCCCAGCACTTTGGGAGACCAAGGCGGGCAGATCACCAGCTCAGGAGTTCAAGACCATCCTGGCCAACATGGTGAAACCCCATCTCTACTAAAAATACAAAATTAGCCAGGCATGGGGGCGTGCACCTGTAATCCCAGCTACTGAGGAGGCTGAGGCAGGAGAATCGCTTGAACCCAGGAGGCAGAGGTTGCAGTGAGCCAAGATCACACCACTACACTCCAGCCTGGCGACAGAGCAAGACTCTGTCTCAAAAAAAAAAAAAAAAAAAAAAATTACACTTAGTGCCAGGCTCAGTGGCTCACGCCTGTAATCCCAGCACTTTGGAAGGCCAAGATGAGCAGACTGCTTGAGTTCAAGACCAGCCTAGGCAACACGGCGAGACCCCGTCTCTACAAAAAAATACAAAAAATGAGCTGGGTGTGATGGTTGCATGCCTGTGGTCCCAGCTACTTGGAAGGCTGAGGTGGGAGGATCTCTTGAGCCTAAGAGGTCAAGGCTTCAATGAGCTGTGATCACACCACCGCATTCCAGCCTGGGCAACAGAGCAAGATCCTGTCTCTAAAACAAATAAAATTAAGTAGCATTTAGACAAGAGGAAGGATCCGTGTGTCTGTTTTGGACCACTCGGAACTCCGCGGGACTGTGTGGAGGGCCACGAGGTACGGGCAGGCAGGGGAACATCACACAGAAGCCACAGGTTCTTCTTTGCCTGTGCCAGGCTACAGCCAAGGCATTTCCAGGAAACGTCACCCCATGTGCCCAGCAGGCGCAGAGGGGCCCATTCTGGCACCATCTCACAGCCAAGGACCCTGGGAGTCAGCGAGGGCACCCAACTAGGATCAGCAACTGTGGCTGCCAGTTCCTCTGTGCGGGGAGGGACAGCTGCCAGGCCAGGAGGATGCTCCCGGCAGGGAAACGGCCGGCTGGGGCTGGGTGTCAGCCCCCACCCAGGGGGAGGGCTGCGGAGGCCAGCAGCAGCTCAAGGGCGCCCTCCCGGCCCACTTCACTGGGGGAGGCTCCGGCTCCTCCCTGACCCAGCCGGCTGCAGAGCACGCCACCCTGCCACCCGCCTGGTGAACAGGGCAACTAGTGCCAGCCCTCCCCCAGCCCCGGAAGCCCGGCTGCCCAGTGACGTGGAGGGGCCAGGCCAAGGCCACTGTGGCGTGAGCTGCAGAGATTCATGAAGGGGAGGTGACAGAGCACAATTACTGAGGAGGAGCAAGGCCAGGTCAGGGAGACACTGGTCTCCCCTCCCAAGGCTCCAGCTAACGGGGATGCAGAGAGGAGGAAGAGCCCGCCTAACGGGAAGGCTCTCCTCCCCAGGCAGGGGTGGGCAGCAGTGAGACTGGGCCCCAGGAGGGCAGGCGGGGGTGGAGGGGACTGAGGCATCTCTAAGGGGCTAAGGATAAGGGACTCCACTCAGGGGCTTCCACCTCCTTGTCCTGGACCCCAGGGCTCTAAGACACAGCCTGCAAGATCAACCCAGCCCAGGGGAGCCAAGAGTCACAGGCAATACACACACCAGCCAGCAGACACCCGCGAGCCCTTCCCAAAGGAAGGAAATTCAGACCTCTGGACATTGTGGACTCTGAAAGGAGAGACCATTTCCCCAAAAGGTGCTTTTGGAAGGTCTTGGAAGGAATAGCACCTGCCTCCCAGGAGTGGAGCCAGGCCCCCAAGCAGAGCGCAGGACAGGTGATAAGGGTCCAATCTGGGGGACGTGGGCTTGTCTTTCTAACTGGAAGCCTGTGTGAGTACTTGTTTTGTTGTTTTGTGGAGACAGGCATTGCCCAGGCTGGAGTGCAGTGGTACCATGATGGCTCGCTGAAGCTTTGCCTCCCCGGCTCCAGCGATCCTCCCGCCTCAGCCTCGCAAGTAGCTGGGACCACCTGCGTGCACCACCACATCCAGCTAATTCTTTTCTTTTTTTGGTAGAGACGGGGGTCTCGCTGTAATTGCCCAGGCTGGTCTCAAACTTCTAAGCTCAAGCGGTCTTCTCGCCTCGGCCTCCCAAAGCACTGCTTGTCTTTTAAGGGCTGTGAAACCTGCCCCAGCCTTTAGCCAACAGATGGGAAAGAGCAGGGGCACCTGGAGGCCGGAGGGCACACTCTGCAGAGGGGGTTTCAGCATTTTCACTCCCGGGTGGAGGCTGCTACCACCTCCACAAAGACTGCACCAAAAAGAAAGCAGGCATGCTAGGCGGGTCCGAGAAGACTGAGATCAGGATCTGCACCACGGCCTCTCCTCCCTGTGGTCACTGGGCTCCCCCACCCTGCAGCCTGTGACCCACTGGTGCTGGAAGGCAGCATCCTGGCCTGGGCGCTCCAGCCAGGTCTGGAAGTTTCACACAGGAAGTTGCCTGGGGCTCGGCCATGGCTGCCTGCAGCTCAGAACAGGGGGTACGGCGTGCTGAGCCCCTGAAAGGTCACCTGAAGCTGGTACACACCACTGCCTCCCTGGACCTCCCTGTCCCACCATGCCTCAGAGGGTTGGATCTGGGTACCTGTCAGGACTGGAAAGGCCCCAGGGTGGCATGTGCATGCTGCTAGGTGCCCTGGGAGCCCACCCAGGGGGTCACATCTAAAGGCCGAGTTTGGGCCAGGCGTGGTGGCTCACACTTGTAATGCTAGCACTTTGGGAGGCGGAGGCGGGAGGATCACCGAGGTCAGGAGTTCGAAACCAGCCTGGCCAACATGGTGAAACTCCACCTCTACTAAAAAATACAAAAAAAAATTAGCCAGGCCTGGTGGCAGGCGCCTGTAATCCCAGCTAGTCGGGAAGCTGAGGCAGGAGAATCACCTAAACCTGGGAAGTGGAGGTTGCAGTGAGCCGAGAACGCACCACTGCACTCCAACCTGGGCGACAGAGCTATACATGCATACACACATACATACATACATACACACACACATACATAAATGAATGCCGACTCTGGAAGTAGGAGGGGCCCGTCCAGGCCCCGTCCCACGGCTGGGAATTACTTTGGATAGGAGCAGGTGGGCTCCTTCCTGGATGTGGCCCAGGTCAGTCTGTTTCTGGGAAACATGGTGAATTGGCTGACAGGAAAAGCCTACCTCCAGAGGCCTGGGAGCTGCCCCTTCCTCCCTGCTTCACCCCAAGGCCAGGACTGGGAGGTACCACCCAGCCCCAGTGGTCCTGAGAGGCCACAACGCCTGGCTGGCTATCTTCCCCAGCCTCTCCAGCCAGGGCTCAGCCCAGGGCAACGCAGCCCAGCCTTGTCCCGGCCTAGGAGAGAGCCCACTCCCTACACCACCCATCCTGACCGCATCTCCTGAGACCAGTGCCCTGCAGCCCCGGGACGGGCTGGATGACAAAGATGATATTTCTTCCCAGGGTTCTAGGTGTGGGGCCTGGGACCAGCACTATCTGCCCAAGGCCATCTCCTGGCCCCCAAACCTTCCCTTGGCCCAGAAACCCCTCACCCTGGGCATCCACTCTCCTCTCTGCTCCCACTGCCCCCGCCCCACCACACTCAATCCACCCACACAGCTGTCCTGTCCCCAGCAATGGGGAGAACCTGGCATGAGCTCCAACCCCACACGGAGACTGAAAGGCAGCAAAAATGACAAGATCATGGAGCACGAAGATCCCAACCTGAACTTCCAGAACGTTCTCTAGTGAGACCCGTCCAAACTCCTGTCTTCTCTCAGTCAGCCCATTTCAAAGATGAGGACACCCAGTGCCAGCGAGAGCCGGCAGCTCCTAGCCCCACAAGGAGCCCCAGGCCCCTCCCACCCAGACGGGGAGACTCAGTGGCTCTAAAGAACCCGGCAGGCTGGCTGGACACGATGGCTCATGCCTGTAATCCCAGCACTGTAGGAGGCCGAGACGGGTGGATCACCTGAGGTCAGGAGTTCGAGACCAGCCTGGACAATAAGGTAAAACCCCGTCTCTACTAAGAAAACACAAATTAGCCGGGCGTGGCGGCAGGCGCCTATAGTCCCAGCTACTTGGGAGGCTGAGACAGGAGAATCACTTGAACCCGGGAGGCGGAGACTGCGGTGAGCCAAGATTACGCCATCGCACTGCAGCCTGGGCAACAGAGCAAGACTGTCTCAAAAAAAAAAAAAAAAAAAAAAAAGAACCCGGCAGGCCCAGCCCCTGCTCCGGACACCGTTCGGTGGGCCCGCAGGGCTCTCAACGCAACCAGGCATCAGCAGGACTGGCCCCTCCAGCCCAGGCAGTGGGCCCCGCATGCTGGCCCAGAACAGGCCAGGCAGAGACCCCAGATGGAAACAGACAGTCCCTCCCGCCTGGGGCTTAGCTGGACAAAAAAGATAAGCCTGACACTGCGGCATGAGATAAGCAAGACTACCCCCAACCTAGCCCCTGGGGGAGCCATCTGGGCGGCCTGAGGCTTTGAAGGTGGAGACAGAAGAGGACATTCCCAAAACAGCCACAGCGGCAGAGAAGGCACGGGGCTGACCCTCGCGAAGCGCAAGGCAGGGGCTGGTTGTGTCCACGGGAGCGCCCATCCCATAACAGACCCTCTGGGAAGAGGGGTCTGGAGGACAGCACCCCTGAAGTCCACCTCCTGCGGACGGCAGAGTAACCATAAGGTCCCCACAAATGGCCATACGTCCACTCTGGGGGTCCCTGCTCCTGGGGCCTCCCCTCCAACCCTCACAGTGGGACGTCCTCCAGCCCCATCCTTGGACATGCGGGCGCCCGGGGCCCTCCATGCACAGCCCACTGGACAGATAGGAACCCGCTGCTCAGAGGCAAAGGGACCAGCACTCTGCACCCAGAGGAGGTCCCACAGCTCCTAGACCACACGGGGCAGAAACAGGGTCACCTGGAGAGGGCTTCGAGGAAAAGTCCAGCCAGTGCCGGGGGCCTGGACCTCCACCACCCAGCAGCTTCCAATACCCTCTCTGAAATCCAAGGTGGCCCAGCTCTGCCCCACCCCCCACACCAGACTCCACCCAGGTCTCAGAGCTTGCTGTGGAGGCTGGGCTGTGCCTGCAGCAGCGGCACCTGGGGTCTACCCCACTGCCCCCAGGGTTCTCCTCGACCCCCAGGGCTGCGATCCGAGCCTCCCCTCTGCTCCAAGGCACCGCCCTCCCCACCTCGACAGCGCAGTGTGCAGTGCCAGGACCGCCCAGCAGGTGGAGCCACACGGCAGGGTCCAGGGGAGAAAAAGAAAAAGGTCCCGGCCTGACCGGGGACCACCAGCTCTGCTCTCTGGGGCGTCCTGGGCATTTATTCACCTCATGGGGCGGCCGTCCCCACATGCCATGACTGGACGCGCTGCTGTCCCAAGGCTTACAGCTCGAGGCTAGGGGACAGGGACGGTAACCAGGACAGAGGTCACTGCCTTTCAAAACAATGTAGAAACAGGCTGGGCGCAGTAGCTCACGGCTCTAATCCCCGCGCTCTGGGAGGCTGAGCCCAAGGCCGAGGCAGGTGGATGATTTGAGGTGAGGAGTTTGAGACCAGCCTGGCCAACATGGGGAAACCCCGTCCCTACTAAAACTACAAAAAATTAGCCGGGTGTGGGGGTGCCTATAACCCCAGCTACTCAGGAGGCTGAGGCAGGAGAATTGCTTGAACCCGGAAGGTGGAGTCTGCAGTGAGCTGAGATGGCGCCACCGCACTCCAGCCTGGGCAACAAGAACGAAACTCCATCTCAAAAAAAAAAAAAAAAACCAGCTGGGCGTGGTGGCTCACACCTGTAATCCCAGCACTTTGGAAAGTCGAAGCGGGCGGATCACCTGAGGTTGGGAGTTCGAGACCAGCCTGAGCAACATGCAGAAATCCTGTCTCTACTTAAAAAAATACAAAATTAGCCAGCTGTGGTGGCACATGCCTGTAATCCCAGGTAATCCCATGCCTGGGCGCAGTAGCTCACGCCTGTAATCCCAGCTACTCGGGAGGCTGAGGCAGGAGAATCGTTTGAACTCGGGAGGCGGACGTTGCGGTGAGCCGAGATCGTGACATTGCTCTCCAGCCTGGGTGACAGGGCGAGACTCCTTTTCAAAAAAAAAAAAAAACTGAAACAGAAGGGTACAAATGGCAAAGGACAAGAACCGGCAGGGAGGAGCCAGCGGGACCTTCTCCCCCTATGCCTCTCCATCCCTGCCAAGAGCCCACCTTGGCTGTGAGCCACTTTCATGGTCCACACAGAGTAAGTTAAGAGTCCAGCTCTCAGCCGGGCACGGTAGCTCACGCCTGTAACCCCAGCACTTGGGAGGACAAGGCTGGTGGATCTCTTGAGCCCAGGAGTTCGAGACCAGCCTGGGCAACATGGTGAAACCCTGTGTCTACTAAAAATACAAAAATCAGCAGCTGGGCACGGTGGCTCACGCCTATAATCCCAGCACTTCGGAAAGCTGAGGCGGGCGGACTGCCTTGAGCTCAGGAGTTTGAGACCAGCCTGGGCAACACGGTGAAACTCTGTCTCTACTAAAATACAAAAAATTAGCTGGGCGTGGCGGCGTGCTCCTGTAATCCCAGCTACTCGGGAGGCTGAGGCAAAAGTATCACTTGAACCCAGCAGCGGAAGTTGCAGTGAGCCAAGATCACGCCACTGCACTCCAGCCAGGGCGACAGAGCGAGACTCTATCTCCAAAAAAAAAAAAAAAGAGTCCAGCTCTCAGCTCCTCCTCATCCCAGGGCCTTTTCTGTCCCCAAAGGACATTTCCCAGTGGGTGTTTCTGGGACTCCTGTGCTCCCCGTCAGGCACAGAGGACTAAAAGCATCCAGGAGCCCTGCAGCCTCTTCCAGGGGCTCACAGAGAAGCTGGAGTGGGCACCTCCACGGGGCGCTGCCCCTCAGCCAGGGGTTCACAGGCTGTTCCTAGGATGGGTGCCGTGGCGCCTAAGGAGGAACCCACACACCAGGGTGACTGCAAGCACAAGCTGTTTTTGTTACTTGGTGACCTGTGTGCAGATGCTGGGGGGACGGGGTGCTGGCTGGCAATGTGGGCCGACCCCGGCCCCATCATTCATTCCTCCAGCACATGTTCTCTGAATACCTGCCCAGGACCTCAGAGAGGGCACGCAGCCTGCAGGGCACAAAGGGCAGGGCCCTCCCTCTCTGTCTCATCCACTTCCCCAAAGTCCACTTCCTCCAGGCAGCCCTCCGAAGTCCTCCCTGCAGAAGCAGCAGTGCCTGGCATAGTGCCTGGGATACAGAGGTGGAAGGCATGGTGGAGCCCTCACCTCACTCCACCTCCTCGGCCGTGGTGCACGGGGCGGTGGCCAACTCAGGACTGCGCAGGCCCACTTCCATGGCTTCCAGATCCTGTCTCCCTAGGGCCTGCTCCTGAGGCAGTGCTGGCTCCCTTTTGGTCTCTGAGGGCCTCTGAGCCACTGTGAGAGGAGGAGGGAGGGGTCTCAGAAAAATGGACTGTGACCCGTGACCGTTAACAGGGTGGGGATGGACCTGTCGCCAGGACAAATGGACAGGCTGGGAAGCCACAGGGCGGGGATACGCCTGGAGTGCACGCCAGGCCCACACCCCCAAGCACACGCTCTCTGCCACCTTCCTGGCCCTGCCCCCTGCCAGGCTCTTCTGAGCACCCCAGCGTCGACGGAGCTGGCCCAGGGCAGGTGTCTGCAGAGATCTGAGGAAGGAAGGAAAGTGGGAAGGGGAAGGAAACACTGACCCAGAGGCACGGGCCCCTCCACACCTGCAGCACACCGACTCTCCAGACATGAGTCTCTGTGGGAACAGGAAGAGACTCCAGAAAGCTGAGAATCGCAGACTGCCCAACCGCAGGAGCGCTCCCAGGCTGGGGACAGATGAGACAGCATATCAACAGTGAGCCCCATCGGCGGCAAGCTCCCAAGCAGCCCCAAGCCCAGAGCAGGAGAACATCCCAGGCTTTCCTCGAGCTGTCTCCATCCCCAGAGCCCACAGCCCTAATCCCACTTCCAGCCACAGGCAAACTCCTATTCATCCTCCAAAACCCAGCCCAGTAATCCTGTGTTTGGAAACACTCGCCCCACCCCCCTGCAACTCTGAGTGACACCCGGGCCCGCCCCACGTCACCCCTCCACTCCCTGCAACTCCAAGTGACAGCTGCCCTGTCTCCTGGACCCGGGCCCACCCCACATCACCCCCTCCGCTTCTGCTTCCCGAGTCCCCTCAGCCTGGCGCCACAGACACTGAGTCTAGATGGACCCAGACAGGGCCTTGGAGGGCACCAGGACCAGCTCCTGGCTTTACAGAGAACACTGAAGTCCTGTGGTGTGTGTGTCCAGGCTCAGCCCACAGCTCGTCCCGAGTCCTCCCCCAACCACTCCTTTCCTGAGGCCGGAAGCAGGGGCAGGTCCCAGAACCCCGGGCTCCAGGCACGCAGCCTGTCATGGGACGGGAGGCGCTCCGTCCTCGCAGCCGTTCCCAAAAACCTCTCGGAGCCTAAGGGAGGGATCGCCCCGAAACAGCCAGTGCACATGCGGCTCCTCCAAGGGTCCCAGAGGACTTGGCTGTTAGAGGAGGAAGAGGAATGGCAACTCGAGAGGTCCCCGTGAGGCTCAGGGACCCCCAGGATTGCCCTGACAGTCTCCCTTCTACCCTGTTTATTTTCTTTTCAGGTTTTTGCTTTTTGTTCTGCAGCAGATCATACCAACAGAATCTACCCACTGCGCGGACAGCGTAAGGAACAAGCCACGGCCGGGCGCACCCAGCGCTCCCCGGAAACCTGCCTGCTCCTCTCTAGGGATTGCTTTGCAGAAGGGATTCTGAGGGTGGGGAGGAGGGCGGAGGAGGACAGAGTTTTCTCGTCAAAGTGAGGCCTGCTACAGCACAGCCCGCACGACGCTTCCCGTCACACTCAGATGCCACGACCCCATCGTGCAGAAGAGCTCGCAGAGGCCGAGGGAGGTTCAGGAGGCAACAGGCTCAAGGGGGTAACGCCCAGCAGGAGGAGGCCGGGGCCTTCCTAGCGAGCTCTGCCCCACAGAAAGCCAAGCAAGACGCCTTCATTCCGGGGTACGGTCTCCAGAGGGACAGAGGCCGGCCACTGGCACCTGAACCTCCAGTCTGCAGTCCCTGGAGGAGACGGTAAAGCTGCACAGGGCTCTGGGGGGAGCGCTCTGGGGAGCGGCTCAGGCACTGCAAGAGTCCCCGGAACCCCTCCCAGCAGGCACGCTTGTCCCCGCTGACCCCAGCCCCAGCGAGCTGCTCTGCCTCTCCCATCTCAGGCTCTGGGGGCAGGGACGGTGCTTCTCAGGGTCTCTGCCTCTCCCTACAGGCAGAGCGCCAGCTCAGCCATCCCTCTCGAAAACACAAAAACAGGCCCAGCACAGTGGCTCACGCTTGTAATCCCAGCACTTTGGGAGGCTGAGGCGGGTGGATCACTTGAGGCCAGGAGTTCGAGACCAGCCTGGCCAACATGGTGAAACCCCATCTCTACTAAAAATACAAAAATTAGCCAGGCGTGGTAGCAGGTGCCTGTAATCCCAGCTACCTGGGACACTGAGGCAGAAGAATCACTTGAATCCAGGAGGCGGAGGTTACAGGAAGCTAAGATGGAGCCACTGCACTCCAACAGCCTAGACGACAGAGCCAGATTCCGTTGCAAAAAAAAAAAAAAAAAGCAGCAGCAGCAAAGAAAACACAAAAACAGCAGGCGGGGCCGCCAGACCGGCATCCTCATCCTCAGGACTACTGCCCCAAGCTAGATCTCTGTCTGTGGGGTTGTCCCCAGCACTGAAGGGTGCTGAGCAGTGCCCCTGGCCTCTGCCCTCTCTGTGCCTGCACCCCCAAACTGGCAACCAAAACATCTCCAGACATCTCCTAACATTCCCAAGGTGCAGAACCGCCCTGTCGGGATCAGTCACTGCTCTACTGAAGACCTAAGCAAAGAATCCTAAAATATGAATACCAAAACCAGCCTCGACTGGCACGGCCCACGCCTGGAGGCAGCTCCGGGCCCAGCAGCCAGGTTTTCAAAGCTGCCCAGGCGCTCCGGAAGTCAGGTGAGGACCTCAGAACCTTGGGAAAAGCCCCCCCAAAAAAACAGAATCCAACCTCATCTGTGAGGCAGGGTCCCAGCCATGGCTCAAGCACAGCAAGCCCGGGACCTCTGGTGTGGAGTCTGGAGGAGGCCCGGCAAGCGGCCTGGTGCCGGACTCGGCAAAGGAAGCCACACTTCTCCTCTGGCTCTTCCGTATTCTCTGATGTTTCTAAAACAAACATTTCCCCAGGCCAGAAAATAGTACCTTCAAAAGTAAAGCACCCAGAGACCCGTGGCAACACGGACAGGCCCCCAGGCCCTGGGAACCCAGCGCTTTTCCCATCGCCATCCACCTGGGGGAGAGCTGCCAGCACAATCCTGCCAGCATCTGCAAGAAGGCGGCTGCTCTGGAAACCCCAGGCCCCTTTCCTCTAACCCCCTCCACACAGGAACATCAAGAGTCACGGGGCAGCAGAGCCACCCACTCTGTGGTAGGAGTGTGGGGGAGGGCTCCTCCTCCTCGAGGCCAGGGCAAAGCTTCAACCCCCCGCCCGGAGGGTCCCAGCTCCCCGGGCCCAGAGCCGCAGCTGGGCGAAGCTTCAACCCCCAGCCCGGAGGGTCCCAGCTCCCCGGGCCCAGAGCCGCAGCTGGGCAAAGCTTCAACCCCCCGCCCGGAGGGTCCCAGCTCCCCAGGGCCCAGAGCCACAGCTGGGCAAAGCTTCAACCCCCCGCCCGGAGGGTCCCAGCTCCCCAGGGCCCAGAGCCGCAGCTGGACTCGCAGGCTCGCCGGCGAGGGCTGAAAAAGAAACGGCCTCAGCACCACCGCTGGTTGTCACCACTGGGGTCAGGGAAGCCCAGGGACGCTGCTCAACATCCTACAACGCAAAGGACAGCCCACCAGACGACAATCTGGCCCCCAGTGTCCCTAGCACCAACCGTCCCTCCAGCAAGCTCCATAGCTGCCACTCCAGGCCAGGCAGGCAGGCGGCCCCGGTGGCCCGATTGCCCACCTGCCACCCGCTGGTAAAATCACCCCCGGGTCCTCATACGCCCTGGTCAGGCCTGGGGAACCAAAAGACAATACTGCTGGCTGCGGGGGTTCTCCCCTAGAGTCCATTCCTTCCTGGACGCGGCTCACTGAGGATGAAAAGTCGGACCGAGGAGAGCACACACTGTCACGTCTCTGAAGGTGACACAGGTGGTCAGACGGTGCCTTCACTGCCCCACGGAAAGCCGGCTGTCTCCCATCCACCAGGAGGAGGCAGCACAGGACGCAGCCAGCGGGAGCTCCTGACCCTCCTGAGAGGCCAGAGGAAATGAAGGCAAGCCATCCTCTGCAGCGAGGCGCCATTCTTGGCCTCCTTCTCCCTTCTCGCCTGACTCGGGGCCTCAGAGTTTCCGAGGAGAGCTGGCAAGCCCTAACAGATCAGTAGGATCCCAGGGCTCACCTGCCTAGCAGGGGTATGGGAGGCTGTCACCGACACCGGAGAGCCAGGCCTGCTTCAGGCCCATCCTTGGAAGGTTTCAAGTTCCCTTCTGTGCCCAGCCCACAGAGGCTGGCAGCAAAAACGGCAGAGGAGGCAGGCAGGGCCCCGGCCCACCCACATCCAACCCAGCACTGCCAGTTACCAGCCACGCGTACACAGGTGAGCAGCCTCCCGGCGCTGGGCCTCAGTTTCCTCATCTGTAAACTGGGAAGAGCCACTCCCACTGCTGTTTGGGGGTCACAGGCAGAGTCCGCCCAGTACTGCTGTGGTAGTGGCCAAGTCAAGAGGTAGGGACCCCAGAGCCCATGTGAGGGGCCACATCTGAAGAGCCAGAAGGAGGAGGACCCCTGCCTGACCCGACTCTGCTAGAAGGCTCAGGAGATACTGGGTACATGGTGGCTGGGCTTCAGGAGATATTGGGTACACGGTGGGTGGGCTTCAGTAGATACTGGGTACACAGTGGGTGGGCTTCAGGGCTCCCCATGTACCTGGGGCTGCTCCCTGAGCGCCTCTACCCCAGGACTCCTGCCCTCTACAGATGCAGTTCTGGAGAGTCGCCTGGAGCCCCAGCTGGGACGCCGCCAACAGCCCCACCCAGAACCACTGGCACCGGGCTGCCAGATCCTGAACCCGACTGCGGGATCCCCGAGGGCAGGAGCTGTGCGCCCCGCACACACGTCTGCCGCTCACTTTGCAGTATAGGATGGCCCCTTCCCCAGGCCTGGGACTGTCCTGCTGGGGCCTGAGTCAGCCTGTGGCGCAGCACTAGCATCCCCTCAACGTGGTGCCCTCAGCCTCTGCCTCCCTCAGGAGAAGCATCATCTGGGAGCACGTTCCTGCCGGAGCTGTGAAGCCCTGAGCTGGGGCCCACCGCACCTCTGGAGAGCCCTGGACTTTCCTGCAATCCTCCCCGGAAGGGTTCCCTCTCCTGGAAGACAGTGTCCTGCCTCTCAGTAGGACACAGACTCCCTGAGACACCACAGGGAGTGCGGGGCAGTGGGCAGAGGCCTGGGTTCTGAGGTCAGATGGGAGGAAGGTGGGATCTAGCCCTGCCCACTCCACATAGACAACCGAGGCCCCTCACCTACCACCAGGCTGCAGCCAAGGCCCAGGCAGCAGAGAGCGGCCACTGGGGGGATAGTAACGCTCATTCCCAACTCACAAGGCTGGGATAGAACGTGCCCCTCTAGGCCGGGGATGCACATCCCTGCGTCCCAGGGCTACACGGTGCCCGCCGTAAGGGCTGCTGGACCATCCCTCCAAGCCACCCTGGGCAGGTCCAGCCGGCTCTGAAATGGCTGTGCAGCCCAGCGCGGTGCTTCACGCCTGTCATCCCAGCACTTCAGGAGGCTGAGGAGAGAGGATCGCTTGAGTCCAGGAGCTCAAGACCAGCATGGGCAACAAAGTGAGACCCCGTCTCGGCAAAAATTTTAAACATTAGCGAGGTGTGATGTCACATGCCTGTGGTCTCAGCTAGTCAGGAGGCTGAGCCAGGTGGATCCCTTGAGTCCAGGAGGTCGAGGCTGCAGTAAGCTGTGATCGCACCACTGCACTCCAGCCTGGGTGATAAAGTGAGACCCTGTCTCAAAAATTAATTCATTAAATAAAATGGCTGAGCAGGTCCAGGGATAAGAGCCCAGAAGGAAACCTGAGTCCTTCAGCAGTGCTGCTCAAGGTCGCCAATGACCCGCTGAGCCTGTGACCCAGGGCCCAGGAGCACCAGCCACCTTCCTGTTCCCGTCGCAGCTCCGCCAAGCCTCCCAACCCTGCCTGCCTTGGTGCCCTCATCAGATGCCCTCTCCTTCTCCCAGAGGCCCTGGAGGCTCCAGCCCTGCCCTGGCCAGGTGGTAGTATGGGCAAAACACGTTCCTCGATAAGCCTCCGTTTCCCCACCGGCAGCAAATAGCTCACAGGGTCACCATGCAGCGCGTGTCCAGCACAGAGCATGGCCCCACAGGTGCTCCAGGGCTAGCTGAGGGCTTTTCACCTGAACCTCTGTCCACTCTCAATCCTGGGAGGCCAGCGTTCCTGTCTATCTCCTCTCTGGAGGCCGCTGCCCTGTGCACCCTAAAATCCCCTTGAGAAGACATGGCAAAGGCTAGATCACGCCAGCCTCTTCAAATCTCATAGGAAACTGGGTGTGTGTAAATCTGGAGGTGTGGACATGGGACATGCATCCCCCCCTGTCCTCAGAGGGCAGCCTGATGAACATGTCACGGAGGCGGAAACAGAGGGTCAGAGAAACCTCACCGCAAGGAAGATGGATCCTGCCTTCTGCGGGGGGAGGCAGTCTTCTACCAGACAGTAACAAGAAGCCCTACCACCCCACCAGAGATGGGAAAAGGAGTTCATTCTCACCAGCAAAAGGGAAATGCAGACACGCCATGGTAAGAGGCAGGCAGCTGCCTTTTTCCCATAGGAACGGGGGGCAGACAGGAAGACGACATCACCAAAGGGACCCTCAAAAATAAGCCTTTGGGAAACAAATGAGCCATTTGGGATGCAGACAGATATCATAAGCCTGACTTGCGCCGGGTGCAGTAGCTCACACCTGTAACCCCAGCACTTTGGGAGGCCGAAGCAGGAGGTCGGCTCGAGGCCAGGAGTTTTGAGACAAGCCTGGACAACATAGCGAGACCCTATCTCCACGAAAACATACAAAGTTAGCCAGGCTTGGTGGCACCCGCCGCCCATAGTCCCAGCTACTCAGGAGGTTCAGGCAGGAGGATCCCTTGAGCCCAGGAGGTCGAGGCCTCAAAGAGCTGTGATCGCACCACTGCACTCCAGCCTGGACTATAGAGTGAGACCCTGTCTCTAAAAATAGGGTTAAAATGAGCATCGTGAGTCTGGTGTCACAGCCTCCGAGAAGCCTCTCCCACGCGTTGCCTTCTTCACCAACTCCCAGCCCCCGCCAAAGCCGGCTGCGTGCTCCCAGGACATCACGACCTATGCTACGGGATCTGTAGGCACAGCTGTCGGCAGGTCCCTGAGAGCACAGCCGGCATCGTACGCAGCTCTGAATCCCCCGCCTCAAACACAGCGAAGACGCTGGGCTGTGGGGAGCTGACAAGTGATTGCTTGCATCTGTCCACCTGCAAACAACCGCCCACAGGTGCAGGTGTCCCAAGCACACTTATCAGGGAAATCAGAAAAAAATGCTACCTTTTCTGGCAAAACAGGAAAATAAACCTATTCTTAAATCCTAGAGAAGATGTTTCTCTTTTGCAGGAAAAGGTTCTGAGCTGAGACTGTTTCATGGTTAAAGTAAAAACAGTGCTTGAAACTCACGCCCAATGAGGAAATCTGGGACGAAGGAAGTCAGGGGCTGGGTGAAGCAGAGAGCCACTATCAAGGGACAGAGGTAACAGGGGAGTCTGAATGACATCACACTCGATAACCCTCCCTCCACGACTTTCCTTGCGATGTCCCTCTTTTTCTCCAATCCAAATCCCACATCTCCTCCAAGAAACGCTGCCATGACGATGAAAACCACCATGACGCTGTGAGGTGGAGTCCACCAACGTCCTCTGCCCGACCAAAAGCATGGAATTCCTCGGAGCCCACTCGAGTAAGCTTTGACTTCCTCCCTGCCAGTCATGCTGGACACAGGGCTCGACAAACACAAGAGACGATCCTCGGACCATCCTAACTCAACGACTGGAGACTGAGGTGGCCGCTGCCAGAGGCGCGGCCGGAGGAAACGTCATGGAAATAAACAAGGGCGGCCACAAGCACATGGGGTCCGGGAAGCGGCGGGCGCCAATCAGGGGCAGGAGGAGTCCAGGACCTGCCTAGCGCCGGCCGCGCCCGTCTCCCGAGCCCCCTTGTGTCAGGCCCGGTGCCCGGTACTCAACATGCGCTCGCACTCCGCCCTCTAGACAGCCCTGGCAGGACGCGTCCTCCTAGTTGACATTTCACACTCGTGAAGACGAAGGCTTAGGGACATCTAGTGCTTTGCACCGGGTCCCAGGGTGGGTGGTTCCGGTCCCGACTGGGAAAACCGTCGCCCGCGAACGTGTGGGGAGGAGGCTGGGCCGAGAACGGGGACCCCGGGCGGGACCGGGGTGGGGTCCAGACCCGGGCAGGGGAGCCGAGCCCAAGGCAAGCAGGCGGGCGGGCATTACCTGCTGCGGGGGGCGCCTCTCCGCCGTCACCGGGCGCGCCGGAGCCCCGGGCCCCGCGGTGCCGGAAGTGGCAGTAGGGCCGCCGGCAGGGCCCCCCGGGCGCCCCAGACCAATAGGGGCAGTCAATGGCCCGGAAGAAGCCAGTGGAGCGTAGCATGGTCCGTCCCGCGGCGGGGCCCCGGCCCGGAGCCGCCCGGGCCCCAGGGCCCCCTCACTGGCGCCGCGGTCGCCGCCGCCCGCGCCTCACGGACCCCGCCGCCGCCATCTTGCTCCGAGGCCCCCGGAGGCCCTCGGGACGCCGCCGCAAGGGACCCCGGGAGGGGCTGCCCGCAGCGCGCCTGCTCAGAAACGCCTGCTCCTGCGCGACCAAGGCTGGTGACGGACCCCTGGGCCGGGACAGACGGCCGCGGGAGGAAGTAAGGAGGGCAGGGGCTGCCCTGCCTGCGGTCTCCGGGAGCCTCGCCAGCGCCGCCGCCCGACCTTCGGCGGCTGTAGCGGCGCCATCTTGAGCCCCAGGCCCCTGCGGCGCCAGGGCTGTCCACGGCGCGCCTGACCAAAAAAGCCCCGCGGGGCCCGCTATTACTCATTTGCATATTATTTCCTTTCGTTAGCATATCACCTTAAGGCGCCCTCTGCTGGACGAGGAGAGTTCTGCGGGGAGGTGGCCTTAAACCTGGGCCAGGTGAAACTCATGGTTGAATTACTCCGTTCACAGTCTTTAAAAATCCCCTCGCCCTGGTATACAGCTGGCTCTCAAGAAACGCCTTAATCTCCCCAACCTCGACTCTTGTCATCAGTCTAATGACCAGGTCCACGTTCACTCATTTGTTCAACAAATATTGAGCGCCTACTGTATACCAGCTAGAGGGTGCATTTTAACAGACAAACGAGGAACAAGGCTGGGATGGGGCAACTCTGTAGTCTGGTGGAGTAGGCCCACGTCTTAATGGGAAGTTTAACCTGGTGCATTTTGGTGGGATTGTAAAATAGTGCCACTGCTATGTAAAACAAAAAACCCAAAAAGTTTGTTTTTAAGAGACAGGGTCTTGCTCTGTCACCCAGGCTGGAGAGCAGTGGTGCGATCACGGCTCACTGCAGCCTCGACTTCCCTGGCTCAGGTGATTCTCCCACCTCAGCCTCCCGAGTAGCTAAAACCACAGGTGTGCACCATCATGCCTGGCTAATTTTTTGTATTTTGTGTAGAGATGGAAAAAGTTAAACAGAATTACCCTATGAGCAACTCTATTCCTGGGTATACACCCAAAAAGAATAGAAAGCAAAGTCTTAGGTCGGGCACAGTGGCTCATGTCTGTAATCCCAACACTCTGGGAGGCTGAGGCGGGTGGATCACTTGAGCCCAGGATTTCAAGACCAGCTTGGCCAATATGGCAAAACCCTGTCCTACTAAAAATACAAAAATTAGCTGGGCGCGATGGCTCACGCCTGTAATCCCAGCTCTTTGGGAGGCCGAGGAGGGAAGATCAACCGAGGTCAGGAGTTTGAGACCAGCCTGGCCAAGATGGCGAAACCCCACCTCTATTAAAAATACAAAAATTAGCTGGGCGTGGTGGCGGGCGCCTGTAGTCCCAACTACTTGGGAGGCTGAAGCAGGAGAATCACTTGAACCTGGGAAGCGGAGGTTGCAGTGAGCCAAGATTGCACCACTGCACTCCAGCCTGGGTGACAGAGTGACAGTCCGTCTCAAATAACAATACAATGGTTAAGATGACAAATTTTATGTTATGTGCATGTGATTTTACCACAATTATAAATAAATGACAGGATGCAATGATGAGGGGACGTGGGTTGGGATGGGTCATGGGCGACTCTGCAGAGGACCTGATCTAATCTCAAAGCTGTCCTATCATGGGCAGTGGAGGCGTAGACTCCCTGTCATGGCTCCTGATGATGCGTGAGAGATGAACTCTCATTTATGCGATTGCTCCATCCGTGCCGGCTGGTGTCGGTCATTCATTCAGCAAATAGTTACTGAGCACCTACTGTGTGCCACAAAATGCTAGAAACATCCATAAGCAGAGCAGAGAACCCCACTCTGGTGGAGGTGATGGTGTAGGCAGGGAGGCCGACAATGAACACAGCAATAAGTGAGACAGCCTGAAGCCAGGTGGAAAGTGCTTTGAGAACAGAAACAGGAGAAGAGCCTGGACTGGGCACAGGGCTGGTCTGGGTGATTCTATGGGGAAGGCGGGATTTGTGCGGTTTTACAGAAAATTAGGGGCCAGGCATGGTGCCTCTCGCCTGTAATCCCAGCACTTTGGGAGGCTGAGGCAGGCAGATCACTTGAGGTCAGGAGTTCGAGACCAGCCTGACTAACATGGTGAAACCCCATCTCTACTAAAATTACAAAAATTAGCTGGGTGTGGTGGCCCATGCCTGTAATCCCAGCTACTCGGGAGGCTGAGGCAGGAGAATCCCTTGAACCTGGGAGGCGGAGGTTGCAGTGAGCCAAGATTGCACCACTGCACTCCAGCCTGGGTGACAGAGTGAGACAGTGTCTCGAAAAAATAAAAGATAAATAAATAAATAAAAGATGATGAGGGAGCCAAGCAGGCTTCTGGAGGAAAAGCATTCCGGGCAGAGGGCACAGGCCATGGGCAGGACTGCGCCTGGTGTGTTGGAGGAACAGCGAGGAGGCCAGTGTGGCTGGACCAGGGTGAGGAGGGGGAGAGAGGCAGGAGGGAAGAGCAGGGAGAGGACGGGGCAGGTCATGCAGAACCCTATGGGCCTCAGGGAGGACTTGGGCTTTGACTGTGAGGGCAGTGGGAGCCATGGAGGGTTGCGGGCAGAGGAGGAACCAGACTTGCCCCAGGTGTTCACGGACACCCTCTGGTGGCCGTGGGGAGGACAAACCGTGAGGAGACCAGGGCCAAGGTGATTGCACTGGTTCAGGTGAGTCGTGAGGAGGCTAGACCGTCGCGGTGGAAGCCCTTACAGCAGGGAAAGGCGGCCAGATCCTGGATCTATTTTGAAGGTAGAGCCCAAGGAGGTTTCAGATGGGCCAGATGTGGGTGGTGAGACACACAGTGGGGTCCAGGGTGACTCCCCAAGGATTTTGGCCTTGCAGGATGGAACTGCCCTCGACCGAGGAGGGGGCATGGCAAGAGCAGCCTGCGGGTGGGAGGGACGCCCGGGAGGGTCGGGGTCCCAAAGGCACCAAAAGGATGGTGCTGCTTCTGGGCACGTGTGTGTGCTGGGGGTGGGGCGTGTAATTTAAAAGCCTAATGCGAGTGTGTCCGTCAGAGAGAGGGGTGAGGCTGCGAGTGTAGACCCCATATTCTAGACATTTTGCTCCAGAGGGGCAGAAAACCAGGCAGGAGCTGGAGGGGTGCGAGAGTCCCGGGAGTGATGTTTGTGGGGCGTCCGGTAGGATGGGAGGATGGGTCGGGCAGGATTGGGGGTGCACGAGGGAGGCTGCCCTCGAGTAAAGCCGGGAATTTGCCGCCCAGGTTGGGGAGGGGTCTGGCGTGAGCCGGCGCCGGCCGCGCGATACGAGAGGCCGACCACCCCCTTCCCCGGGCGGGCAGCAGGCGAAGCCCCAGGGCTCAGCAGGTGTGTAGGAGTGGCCTGCCCGGCCCCATCCCAGCCCCGCCGGCCTCCAGGCTCTGGGGAGCGCTGGAGTCCACAGTGGTTTTTTCCTGGGGAGGGCCTCAAAGCTCTCACCGCCCCCTCTTCCCTATTCCCACTAGGGGAGCTGGCATACAGTAGGCGCTCAATACAGGAGCACAGGAGCCTGGGAGGCGGCCGGGGGACCCTCCGTGGAGGAGCCTGTCCCGCGCCGGCGAGCAGCCCCGGGGGCGCAGGCTCCCCCATCCCCTGCGGCACCGGAAGGGGCGGGCGGTGGACGCCCCCGGGCGCCCTGTCACTGTGCCTCGGTTGCCAGGCAACGGGGCGGGCGGGAAGCTGGGCGGGGGGCGCAGCTGCGCCAGGCGTGGGTGACACCCGGCGGGCGCAGCGCGCGCTGCTGCAGGCAGCCCCCTCCGCGGGGCTTAGGGCTAGGGGCAGGGCATTTTGTGTCTCAGCCAGAGGGGCCTGGCCAAGACCCCCTTCACTAGCCCGCTGCCTCGGTTTCCCCACGAGGTGGATGAACTTGGGACCACACTGGTGGGTGGGACAGAGGGATTCAGAGCGTGCCCACAGGTGGGGACTGCCACGGGAGAGACCACACACACGCTGGAGTAGGGTTTAAAAAGGGGCTTGTTTAATTAATTAAATACAAGGATGAGGCCAGGCAGGGCGGGGGAGGGGCGCCACCCACGGAAAGCACACGCCTCTCGGAGCCGCCTCCCCTGCAAACGGCTGGAACCAGGTCCCAGTGATCAGCGACTCCTGGGAGAGTGGAGGGGTGGGCGCAGGTCTCTCCAAGCCCCTGGACACTGGAGAGGGGCCCAGTTATAGAGTTCTGGAACCCACAGCCCTACCTACCCCTGCTCCAGACAGGCCCCTGCCAGGGCTGGGGCCAACCAAGACTCACAAAGGAAAACGGGGCCCCAGTCCCCCACCCACCCCCACAGACTAAGGCATCTCACTAGCGCTGCCAGAAGAGGGTTTGAGGCTAGGGACAGAGAACACAGAGAGCCGAGGGCTGGATGGGGCAGGACCCTCCGAGCCCAGCTCCAGAAGGGCGTCCCCTGCCTCCCTCCCCCCAGGATCCCAGGCACCCATCCCTGGATCCTGCCAGGCCGGGGCTGGGTCCAGGTGCACACCAGTGCCATCCAAAGCCCCCCTGTCCCCAAGCGAGAGGCAGGACGGTTCTGGAACAAAAGGGGGTACCAAAAACCTCCTGCAGCCAACAGTGGGGGGATCCACCTTTCTGGGTCTGACATGGAACCGGGGACCCTTCTCATTCCAGGCTGGGGGTCCTCAATACCCCCCCCAAGAGGAAATGCAACCCAGGCCACAGCAGGACGACCGCTGACAAGGACACAAAGGTGGCCCCCGAGGAACAAGTCCCCACCCCACCCAAGTTCAGCTCAGAGACCCCCCACACACACTCACACCCCCTGAGGATGCCGGACCACCCATGGGGGCCCAGAAAAAAAGGAATCCGTGCCTGAAAAAATATTCTACCCGGTGCAAAAAAAACGAGCTACCCCAGGAGGCTGCACAGCCAGCCCTCTGCTTCCAGTCCACGAGGCAAGACCTCAACCACGGGCCAGGACCCACCTCTTCCAAGCACCCAGGAGAAGGAGGGGAGGCCAGGGAAGCAGGGCCGGGCCAGGCTGCAGCCCAGGCCCGGAAGAGCCTGCAACCCCGGCGGGCATGGGCTCCACGGCCCCACCTGCAGGCCAGGGAGGGCAGCGCAGCCCAACAGCCGCAGTCGTCGTTAAGGGAGAGTTGATTGTCACGTGATACCGCAACGGCCAAAGTCAGCAAGGCAGGGACTGGAGGCCCAAGCCCGGTGCCAGCCTCCCCTGCAGCCTCTCTCACCCACCCACCCAGAGAGGGCGAGCTAGGGCCCCCACACCCGAGGACAGAGGAAAATAAATAAGCCAGGATTCCCTCCCGACCCCACTGAGTCAAATGTTCTTTGGAAGAACCCAGAGGTCCCCTCCCTCCCCATCCCAGGTCTCAGAAGCAACACCTGGAGCCCCTCCGGGCATCCTAACGCTGCCCCACTCCTGGCTCTACCCCCGAGGTCTGGGGGGCCAGGCAGCCCCTACCGTGGGCAGAACTTGTGGACACCTGAGATTGAGTACCCGAATGGGGGGTGGCTGGGCTGCACCCCCATTTCCCTGAACTACTCCCATGGCTTTCGGTGGGGTGGGGGTGGGGTGGGGAGAGGCAGGGGCCGTGTCAACCCCCGACTCCTCTATGGCTGTCTGAACACTTCATCCCAATCTGCAGGGATGGGGCAGGGGGTGCTTTCCCCGGGCCGGCTCCCAGAAGTCCACTCCACCCCCCCAAACCCCACCCCGGGAGGGGGGCAGCAGGGGGTGGTGGAGAGGAGAGGGGAGGACCTCCTAGCTGCCCTGGGGGGGCCCCGTTGCACAGATGGGAAGAAAGTTAGTATCATGGCTATTTACAGACACAAGCCCCCGTCACCCATCCTGAGAGCCACCTCTGAGGTCAGGCAGACCCAGGTCCAGTCTCAGGCCCCCTCCTCACTCTCTGGAGGGGGGCAGGGGTGTCTTCAGGGTTTGCCCACGGCTGGAAGGGGCCCAGGCTCCCCGTGGGTCCTCACTACACCCCTGGATGGCAGAAGCATCCTGGCGGTCAGGGTGGGCTGCACGAGGGCCCTACAGGCCTGCGGGGGCTGGGCTGGGCGCGGGGCTGGGCGCAGGGCTCCCGGCCAGGCTGCAGGGCAGCGAGTCGCTGGGGGAGGTACTGCGGGCACCAGGGCGCCGGAGCAGGTCCGGGTGGAAGCCGGGGTGGCGGCGGGCGTGCTTGGCCAGGTGGTCACTGCGGGTGAAGCGCTTGGAGCACAGAGGGCAGGAGAAGCGCTTCTCGCCCGTGTGCGTCCGGTGGTGGCGGGCCAGCTCGTCGGAGCGGGCGAACTTCTTGTCGCAGCCCTGCCAGTCACAAGCAAAAGGGCGTTCCCCTGGACGGAGAGACAGAGACAGACAGCGGGTCAGCGGGGGCGGGGGGAGATGACAGACACGTTCCAGCAGATCCCAAAGGGTGGCGGGCATTTGTCCCGTGCCGTTTTAGAGGCTGAGCTCTGGTGTGAGTTCAAAACATGGAGAAGCACAAAGAATACAACCCTTACCCGCCCCCCGGTGGCCCAACACGAGACCCTAATAAATAATCCTCTTATTTCCTACCAGCTCTTAGAAAGGACTCTCCGGCGAGCCCAGAATCTGTTAACCGTAAGTAACCGCCGCAGACCCCCAAGGCTGAAGCTCCCCAGGCCCTCGCAGCCTCTGGCCCCAGGCGGGACCCTGGCAGGGATTAGCAAAGGCCTCCCAGTGTCTGTCCCAGGCACAGGCACGCTCAGAAGGCATGCTCGGCCTTCAGGCTGTCCCTGCCCCCCACCCAGGGGCATGCAGGGGCCTCCATCTGTGCATGATCCCCTCCTTTTCCAAATGACCACCTGGGATGCAAAGGCTGGGTTAAGGGGGTACAATCATGGCAACCTCCCTAACCCTCCTGGCCCCTCCACGAGCAAGGGGGCATGGGAGGAACCCGCAGGCACAGTCAGTCTGGGCCCCGATCTCGGGGTGTGGTTAGATGGAAGACAGGCAGGAAAGCTCACAGGGAGGGGAGGGGGCGGGGTCTCCCGGGAAGGGGCGGGGCCCGGCGGGCTGGACTCGCCCCACCCCCACGGGACAGATGGCGCTGGGCAGGGGCGGGCCACCACCCGGCCACTTCCTCCACAGTCCCCTCCCACCGCCAAGGCCGGGCCTCGCCCATCCTGCCCCTAACCAGCCGTCACCATCTGGGCCTGCCTGTGCGCCTCCAGGCGGTGTGGGTCTTTGCTCTAGAACTGTGCCACCCGACCCCTTCCTTTAGCCGGGGTCTCACGCCCACAGCATGTGGCATCGTGATGTCAGCGTCTCCCCAGCAGATAGGGGTCTCCAACGACTGGGGAGGGGCAGGTCAGTCCACCTCCACCCAGGGACCGAAGCAGGACAAAGGGCCCTGCATCCCCGAAGCTCCCACCCTTTCGGGCCCTGCACCAGGTACCCTGGACCCTGGCATTCCGGGACGTTATTCCCGTGACACCCCAGGGTGGGTTGTGTGGATGGAGACCGGATGTGCATGCCCCTCGTGGCACTGGTTGGAGCCCTGAGTAGCAAAAGAGACGTCAGAACCAACTCCCCTGAGTGGCCCCAAAGCCTATTCTCAAGGAAGCCACAGCAGGGCCAGGAGGGTAGTCACCCGGTGGGTTACAAACTGGGCAGCCCACGCCCAGCACTGGAGGTTGCTCTGGCCCTGGGAGCACTCCCACCGGTCCATGAAGAACTGCAGCCAGCCAGGGGCCTAGAAGGACCCACAGCAGGGACCATGGTGAGGGGTACAGAGACGGCGGGAGGGGCACGGCCATGCTCAGGGTGACCGAGTGACATCTCTGCTCTAAGATCAGGGGCTGCCCTGGGGAGCCCAGCTGAGGAGGGGCACGGGAGGGTGGAGGGGTCTGCCCACTGAGGGGCACCAGCGATCACCCGTGACCCAAGAAGAGCTGGAAGAAAAAACCTTCCCTTCTCATCTCATCCTTCCTCCCTGCCACACCCCGACACCCTCAGCAAAACAAGACTGCAGACAGAGACCAGCAGCCCCCCTCCCCAAGAGGTTGTGAATCCAGGCAGCTGGAGAGGGGGAGAGACCAGCTGTCACCAAGACCAACAGTAGCCTCAAATCCCTGGGGCTGCCTGCTCCACACCCCAAGTCTCCCCCAAGCAACCCAGGATGCAGCTGGGGTCGCGGGTCCGCCCCAGCTGGGGGCCGTCTACAACCCAAGCAAGAGGCGCAGAGCAGCCCTGGAAGGGACCCCACTCCCATCTCAACCACTGGGCCCTGACAGCTCCCAAGGGCCTCAGTCTGGGGACGGGGTCTGGCTGTGGGAGCGCGGCTGGAGCAGACCACGGGATTGGGGCTCGCGCCCCTCCAGGGAACATGCCGCCGTGTCGCCATCTTGCAAGGCACAGGCGGGGAGGCGGCAGGAGGGAAGGGGGAACATCCCACGGCTGGGTGCCGGACAGTCAGTTGGTTCACTTCCCCTTTCAGGGCGGCGGGGCTGGTCTCCACTCCCTCTCCCCCAGTTCCACTTTGCAAGGAGGAGCAGGTTGCCGGGGTGGGGGGGGCGACCGGGGCAGGGGCGCGCAGCCGCTGGGAACACAGCTGCCGCACGTAGCTCGGCGGCGGCGGCGGGGACATCCGCAGCCCCAGCCGGCCCCGCTCACGTGGTCCCACTCCCGCCGGGGCCAGGGGGCCCGGGCCAGGGTCGCCTCTCCGGCCTGGGTGCCTGCCAGCCCCGCCCCGCGCTTGGAGACTGAGGCGCGCACATGCGCACGTGGGTGGCGGGGCAGGGGGTGCACGGGCTACCCACCCACGCTGCGCTGGGCGAAGCGCCTCTGCGAAATGCCAGGCCCTGCCTCGCACACAATCCACTCGCAGGGAGGAGGGTGGGGTGAACTTGTGGGGGCCCAGAGCGCGCTGCTCCTAGCCAGCCGGGCCCCCAGGTGCACAGCCACCCAGCTGCTCCGCGCTACCTGGCCGAGACGCAGCGCCCTGAGGATGCGGTGGGTGGGGACAACGCGGGAGGGCAGTGTGGGCGGGGCCGCGGTGGACTTGACCCTCTGACTCAGGCTGGGCCCGGGTGAGCTCAGGACAGCCTCGGAAACAGGCAGGCTCAGAAAAATGGAGTCCAGGAAGTCCTGGAAACCTGGCCCGGCCCCGTCTGAGCCGGCACAGGAGGGGCCTGGAGACAGGACTGCGGGACTGTGCCAAGGGCCCTGGTTCCGACAGGGAAGCCTCACCTCCTGAGCTTGTCTGGGGGGCCTTGGGGTGGGGAGGGGGGCTGTGGCCGGCTGCCTGCCGGGGCACTCACGTCCACCTAACAGGTGGGGTCGGGTCTGTAGGGGAGGGCACAGGTGGGGAAGACCAGCCCCAGCCGCAAAGCAAGCATCCCAGGAGAGCCAGGAAAGGCTGGGGCTGGGGAGGCCTCTTACCCACCCAGGGAAGGGAGGAGCTCCTGAAGGTGATCCTTGAGCAGGTTCTATAGAACCTATAGGCAGCTGCTTCTGGGAGCCGCTGCAGAAAAGGGGGAACACTGGTGGTGAGGCCCTGCCAGCCTGGGGGTGGGGTCTCGAATACTACTGGGCCATAGCAACCCCCACACCCACTCTGCCCCTAGCTCCCCTGACTTCCCAAAGCCAAAGCTTCCTTCCTCCCCCATCCCCACTCCTCCAGTAGACTTCCCCTTTCCAAACCCCCTGCTGTTCCCGCCAAACACGCAGGCAGGCATACCCACCCTTGTGTCAATCCCGTACCTCCCCACGTGCCACCTGCCAGCCAAATCCCATCACCTTCGGGATCCGTCCAGGCCCCACCCTGCCCCTCCCAGCTCACTCCTGGACTAGTGCAGTAGTCCAGCAGCTCCCGCCTGGGCACCCAGACTGCGCTTGGCTTTCCTGAGTTCCGCCCTGGCCTAGGGTCAAAACTGATGGCTGATCCTGCCCGGAGCTTCTCTGAGCAGCAGTGCCCCTCACAGTGGCCTGGTGCCCCCCAAGCACCCTTGGTCAGCTTCTCTGTCTTTGTACCAGGCTTCCAAAAACGCATGCATCTTGTGGGTGTAATATCTGCACCCCTGCACTCCAGTGGGAGCAGAAGGCAGGCACTTCATTGACGGCTGGGTCCCCGGCAATGCCCAGCACAGGCCTGGTATACAGCAGGTGCTTAATGCATATCTGTGGAAAAGGAGAATGCAGGCCTAGGGGATCAAGCTCTGGTTCCAACAAGAGCAAGGGCAGATAATGTTTGCTCAGCATCTTGAATACTCCTGTCCTCCCCACCCCGCCGCCAAACTATCACTACTCCCTTCTACATAAAAGGAGGCCCACCTGAGGCCCAACCCAGGCCAGGACCTCCTGCACCAGACTCTGGGTACCTGGGGGTCGGCAGGGGACAACCCCCTCAAGGACCCTGGTGCCTGTGTAACCTCTGTTCCAGAAATGGTCTAAGCCAGGGTGGTGCCCCCCGCCCCCACAGCTCACCCTGCTGGTATCATGTGCCTCCTCCCCACCGATCTGGGCTGCTTTTATCAGAGAGCCTGGGTGGGGGTGGTTATCGCCCCCCACAACCCTGGGGGAGCCCTCCCCATCCCACTAGCTGGGGCACCTGCAGGCAGTTCCAGCTGCTCTCTGCACTCTGCAGGCTGGAGAGGCGGTGGGTGGGGGAGGGCAGTCCCTGGCCCCCTACCCCCCACCCCCTATGGCCTGGCACTGCCCCACTCCGACCCTCCCCAGATAAGCTGCCAGTTCTCCCAAGCTCTGCCCACCAGCACTGCCATCCCAACCCTACAGGAGCGCATAGTTCTGCCTGGGGGTGGAGGAGAGAATGAAGTGGGGCATGGCTGCTTCCCCCTCTGGGCCTCAGTTTCCCCACCCACCTGTCCTCCTGGGGCCCTCTTCAGCAAGGGATCAGAAACCTGGCAGGCACTCAGACACTCCTCTGCACACCTCGTCCTGAGGAGTCTCCCTCCAACCCAGTGCGTAGACCAGCACGCCTCGATCCCTCCCACATCTCGTCCTGCCCTCCTCAACCCCTCTCTGATCCTAATCCCTTCTCCATAAATGGATTTGCCTCTGCAAAGCCCAGCCTGCCTCACTGCCGCCCCCAGCGTCCCCACCCTCGGGATTAAGTGCAGGGATTCACCTTGCCGAGGTGCCCCCTCCCCACCTCAAGTCCCTACCTCCACAGCAGACCCCAGAGCCAGCACGCCCTTCCTCTCCCATTCCCTGCCCCACCCAGCCCAGTGGGCCTCAGGCTGCCTCCTCCAGGAAGCGCTTTCCGTCATCACTAGCATCCCTGTTGCCACCCCCCACCCCGCCCCCCGCCACCACGGACACAGTTCCCTAAGTCCTGGGGCGCGGGGACTGGGATGCTGGGTGCTGGCCTGCGGCAGGGGACTTCAGAGTGGGATACAACTGGGGGTGACCCTGCAGCCCCCTGGGGGGCACCTGACAAGGTCTGGGGACATTTGTGATTGTCACGACTGGGGAGGGGGTGCTCCTGCCATGGAGTGCGTAGAGGCTGGGGACACTGCATAACCCCCTGCAGTGCCCAGGACAGCCCCTCCCCAGAAAACGATCAGGCCCCAAATGTCTCGGTAAGTGCGGAGGAGAGAAGCCCTGGGTGAGAAGAACCCTTCCAGGTCTGAGCCCCTCTCCTGGGGAGGGTGTCGGCAAACCCTCTGGAGGTGCAGGCTGACGGTGTGCCGGGCACTGGCATGCCGGGGGCGGGGGGGGGGCCCTCCGGGGATGCAGGGGGTTTGGAGAGCAGGGAGCCGACAGCCAGCCTCTCCTCCCGCCCCCGCCCCAACTCGCTGGCTCGCTCACTCTCCGTAACCATAGCAACGGCGTCAACATCACCCACAGCTTCCAAAGTCCTTCCCCGCCCCACGCAGGGGAGAGAGAGCCGAGAGCTGGCCGGGCTAGGATAGGGGCTGTGGGCCAGACCCAGGGGACGGGAGGTGCAGTCCTGCCGCCTGCTGCCCCCATGAAGAACATCCCACTGCTCCCCTGGCCTCCCTGCTCCCAGGGCCAAATGTGGCCGAAATCACAGGTGGGGCTCCTCCAGTGTGCCTCAGTTGGTTTATCTGTAAAAATGGGGCCAGGCCACGACTGGTGTTCCCTTTACAGAGAAGCACTCCAGGCAGGGGTGGGTGGGGGTGGAACTCGTTCTCAATGGCCCCCGGGACAGCCCTGCAGCCACCGGTGACTCGGGTTCGTCTGCGGATCTTTCCCGGCCTCCACTCCATTCAGGGACAGCCCTGCAATGGGGCTCCCTCCCAAAAAAACGCATGGCCTTCCTGTCCCCCAAAACCAGCTTAACGGCAGCCATTCCCTCCCTCCTCCGGGGGCTGAAAAACCAGACCACCTTCCACTAAAAGAGGCCGTTTACACAGACCCCTTGGTGGTCCTGGGGGCTGGGGAGGCCCGGAAGAGGAGCCTGGAAAGCCACAAGTATCCAAAACCCTTTGGAAACCGAATCCAAGGTGCCTGGGCCTGGGACTGCCCTCCCAGTCCCCAAATCGTTACTGTAAAGGGGGCTTTGGAATGGGACGTCAGCAGGCTCAAGGGGTGGGGGAGGGTGCCAGGAGATCCGCCCTGCCCTCCCCCACCACACAGGGTAGACGGTGGCGCGCCATCAGCACAACTGCATCCACCCCTGGGGATGCCCGACTGGGCACCCCCAGGCCTGTTTCTTACTGCAATCCCGGGATAACAATACTGCCTTCCCAGGACTCCAAACCCATCCCTCCCCTCCCTGCTGGCTTAGGGACCGCTGCCCCAATACCCGGGGGCCTATGGAAGCGCCTCTTGGGTGCCACTCAGGGAGGTGGCCATCCCGTCCACTTAACCCAGAAACTCAGAAAACCCAAATGGAGCTCTCAGGCCACGCCATCTGGCAAGAAAAGAATGACCTGGGTAGACAGGTGGGAGTCGCTTTCCCAACAGGCTCCCACTTCAGCCCCGTCTGTTCAGATCGCCCAACTTACCCCCAAAAAGCCAGGGCACTCCTGGACCCCTGCCCACCGCCCGGAGAGGCACCTCCCTTTCTGTTCCCAACGCTGCCTCGCCATCTTCACAGACCCCCAATGTCCCTCCCCGCGGAGATACACGGACCCCATTGCCCTCAAAAAGAGGTAACACCCTGGGACCCCTCCGCCGAGGATGTGTGGCTCCTCGCAGAAAACGCAGACCCCACCCAAGTCCTGTCTTGACGCCCTCGGTTCCCGTCTGTGTCTCAAGGTGGGCAGAGCCTCCAGGCCCCTGGGACCAGGACAGGGACTGAGCGAGGGGTGAAAAGAGTGCAGAACAGAGAGGGGGCGGCCGGCAGGCTACACACCACCGCCCCCACCCGCCCTCCTGCTCTCCACCCTCAGGCGTCCCAGCGCGGCTCCCCATACCCCAAAGATGGACCCTCAATTCTTCCGCAAGGCATTCGCGGCCCCTGCTCATCTCAGCCCCACCACTCTGGACGGCCCACTTCCCTTCGGCTGCTCCACGTGTCCCTACAATCCGAGCCCACGGACCAAGCCTCCTTGGAGTGTCCAGCTGCCCAAAGCGGCCACCGCTATGGCTATGAAATAGAGGCAGCATCGCACTCTTGATAGAAATGAGAAAATTGAGACCCAGATCGGGTAGAGGTCTTCTGTTTGGTGGCAAGGCCAGAATGCCAAGCCCAAGGGCAGCCGCACAGCTTTCCCCCAGCCCCCCACCCTCCCCGGAAGGGACAAGCACCTCTAATGCCCAAACCAGGGCCGGCCATCAAGGCCCACCGTCCCCTGTTGCCCAGTCCAAACTCCCAGTCCAGAAAGTGGAACCCTAGGAGGGGACGGAGTGAAAAAATACAGCCAGGCCCACCAGGCTCCCGGTTCCCCTCGCCGCCCCGGGGACTGCGCTAGGAGGGGCGTTGGTGTAGCCGAAGCGCTCCAACTACGCGCACCTTCCCGAATCGCCCGCCAGGTAGGGGTGAACAAACACGCCAGGGAAATACAGCAGTGTGGACCCGAGCCCCTCGAGGGTCCTCCAATACTATGAAGTTCCCCCGCCCAGACTCAGGCCCCAACCCGCGCTCCTAGCCTCGCCCTCCCCCTCGTTAAAATACAGAGAACGCAGAGAAAACGTGCCGGGCTCCCCCCATCCTGGCCCCACGCCAGGTGCTCTGCCGACCTCTGGGGAGAATCCGCGCGGCCACCCCGGCGGCGGCGACGCGGTTCCTCCTCCATTTTCACAGATAAGGAAACTGAGGCTGGGGGAGGGGGAGAACCCAGAACCCCAGAGCCGGATGCTCCAACCACGGTGCCCACCGCCCAGACCAGAACGCAAAAGAAAAAAAAAAAAACGGAACAAGGCCCAGAAAGGGAGAGAGGTGGTCTGCCCAGGAGTCTCAATCCCGCCCGCAGACCTCGCTGGGCCCCCGGAGCCCCCGCCACTGCCGCCGGGGCGGCCATCCGCTCGCCGCCCGACCGCGTGGCCGCCACGCCCCCCGCGCGCGCCCCACCCACCGAGGCCCCGCCCTGCCGGCCGGCGCGGCGGCGGCCCGGGCGCGCCCCCCTCCCCGCCCCCCACGCGCCACGCAGTTTCGGGGTCCTGGCGGGGGAGGGGTCTCAGGCGGCCGCCCCCGCAAGGGCCGGGATCGCGGCTGCACTCACCTGTGTGCGTCCGCAGGTGCGACTTTAGGTGCGAGGACTTGTAGTAGGCTTTGGCGCAGTCCGGGAAGGGACAGCGGTGGCTCTTGGCGGCGGCGGAGGGCGCGGCGCCGGGGGCGCGGCCCGAGGACGGGGACGAGGCGGCTGAGGAGGAGGAGGCGGGCGAGGCGCCCCCCGGGGCGGCTCCGGGTCCGCCGCGCAGGTCGGCCAGGATGCTGGCGGCCAGCAGGTGGGGCGCCGCGGCGGCGCCGGGGCCCGGGCCAGAAGCGGCGGGGGGCGGCGGGGGTGGCCCCGGGGTCCCGGGTGAGGCGGCCTCGCGGCGCGCCGCGCGCACATCCAGGCCGGCGGCGGGGCCCGCGCCCTCGGGGCCGGGCCGCCCGCGGTGCACCACGGCGCCCGAAGAGATGGCCATGAGCACGTCGGCGGCGAAGTAATCCACGCACGCCACGGCCGCCGACATGCCGAGCAAGGGCGCGCGGCGCGGCGGGCGGAGCGGAGGCGGCGGGAGCGGCGTCCGTCCGGCCGGCGGCGGCTGCTCGAGTGCGGGAGGCGGAGGAGGAGGAGGAGGAGGCCCGGCGCGCGCCGCCGCCGACGCCCGCGCTCGGCCTGCCCCGCCCCGCCTGACGCGTCCTGACGCACCGGAGCCCGCGGGGGCGGCCACAGCCCGCCCCGCCCGGAGGACGCCCCCTCGGGGCGCCGCAGCCACGCCCCCCGCCCGGCGCGCCCTCCACCACTCTCCGAGCCGCGCGCGGCCGCCGGGGGCGGGGCTCGGGCCGGAGGAACCCGCCCCCCGGCGCGCCCACTCCGGCCTCCGCCAGCGCCTAGCGTCTTAGGCCCGGAGCGCGCCTTCTCCGCGCTAGGGTGCAAGGCCGGGAGCCCCGCCCCCTCCCGGCGCGCCCCACTCCAGCGCGCGCCCCCGTACCCTTTCCCGGAGCACCACCCCCTCAAGCCGGGGCGGGAGGCCGAGGACCCCGCCCCCTCTCCGGCACGCCCCTCCTTCCGAGAGCGCGCCCCGCCCCATCCCGGCACGCCCCTCCCTCCCAGAGCGCGCCCCGCCTCCTCGCTGGCGCGCCCACCCCACGCCGGGGCGCGCGGCCGGCGGGAGCCCGCCCCCTCCCCGGATGCTTCCCTCCTGGCCCCGGGCGCGCCCCCGTTCGCGATGGAGGAGGGCTCCGATCCCCACGTGGCCGGGGTTGGAGGGGTGCGGAAGCGGCCGGCCCCGCCCCCAGGCCACGTGCGCGACCCTTCCCCCCTCTTCTCCCGGCCTGGGGCCCTGCTTTGACCCCGCACTCAGGCATCTGCTCGTCCTCTTCTCTGGGGTTCCCCCTCGCCGCTCACAGAGCCCCTCGGAGCCTCCCGGCCGAGACACCCGGTATCCCGCGCCCGCGGCGGGGCCCGGGAGGGTGGGGCAAGGCTGCGTTCGTTCCTCTTTTTGCACCCAGTTCCGGAGCTACTAGAGCGCGCCCCACTGGGGGTGGGGAGGGCCGGTTGGGTCCCAGAGGGTCGGGATAGGGGGACGGGAAGAGGGGGCCGAACGCAAAGGGCTGGGCTGGGCTGGGGGCGCCTGAGCGGGTCAGAGGTTCCCCGCCCTGCTGGGACACCGGGGTCCGGGGCTTCTCTTTCCATTCCCAGGCATCGATTCTTGGGGTTCGGACGGGAAAACTGAGGCCAGGTATTCGGGCCTCCCGGCCGCGAGGACGTCCAGGCCAACTTGTTAAATATTAGGGGGGACACCAGGGACGCGGATGGCCCAGTTCGCAGGCCCAAGGCGGCGGGGGCACAGAAACTGGGCGGCCCCCCTCGGTCGCGACCGCGCTCCCGCCCCTTCCCAGCTCCGGCGGGGCGGCGGGGACTGCGCAGTGGCCGGAGCTGCCTCCAGGGGGCGGAGCTGCTTTGGCCTGCGGCGACCTCCTGCTCTGGGTTGGGCATGGACAGAGGCCCTGACCCGATTCGGGGCTTCTCTAGCCCCATCCCCCGCCCACCTGCAACCCCAGCTGACGCCCTGAGGCTGACCACTGTTCCCTGGGTCGCCCGCACTGCGCCTGGGCTCAACCATGCTTGGTTAAGCCAGCTGAGCCCTCCCTGGGCCCCAGTAAGCCCACTCTACGTGGCTGGACAGAGCGGAGCCGAGAGAGAGGAGGTTCAGCGAAGTGTGGGAGGGTACAGGGTGCCCTGCACACACTTGCCCCTCTCCTAGGCCTGGGCTCCAGAGCCCTCTCTGCACCCCTACCATTCGGTGGGCGCTGGGGGTCGGCGTTCCTGCTCCTGCTGGGCCTCTGTTGTCTTTGAACTTCTAGGACGATGGGCCACTTGGGCAGGTCCCCCAGGTCCCCACCATCCCAGCAGCCCCCAGGGTCCTGGAACCCCGCATTGGCTTGTGGACAGGTGTGTCTTGAGGCCTCAGGGTCCACACCCAACCATGCGTCTTCCACTGATGTTTCCTGGGCTTAGAGCAGAACCAACCAGCCCTGCCCTCAAGGGGCTTACAGTTGTAACTGGGAGGCTAACGATGGGGGGCAGGGGTGAGCAGCCTCCAGGGGTGGGCCACATGGCCCCAGGCAGGACCTTCACTGTGAGACTCCATTGTCTGCCCACTCCAGCCATTATCAGGGTTTCAAGTGAGTGGCCTCATCTGCAGGTCATGCCAGCCACTCCACAGGCAGGAGACCCCAGGTGAGGGCACACAGCCCACACCCCACCCATGAGGCTTCTATTCACACCCCTAAGCCCCAGGAACACTCAGGCAACCCATGACCCCTGCGGTGAACACAGACAAACCTCCAGCAGCGCCCGGCACAGGGCTCTGTCCTCTCTTCCTTACTCTCTATGACCCTGTAAATTCTCCACCGGGTGCGGTGGCTCACGCCTGGAATGCCAGCACTTTGAGAGACCAGGGTAGGAGGATCACTTGAAGCTATCAGTTCAAGACCAGCCGGGGCAACGTAATGAAACCCCCAACTCTCCACATTAAAAAATGAGCTGCAGGCCGGGTGCAGTGGCTCACGCCTGTAATCCCAGCACTTTGGGAGGCCAAGGCTGGCAGATCACCTGAGGTCAGGAGTTCGAGACTAGCCTGGCCAATGTGGTGAAATCCCGTCTCTACTAAAAATACAAGAAAAAATTAGCCGGGCCAGGTGGTGGGCACCTGTAATCCCAGCTACTCAGAAGGCTGAGGCAGGAGAATCGCTTGAATCTGGGAGGTGGAGGTTGCAGTGAGTTGAGATCGAACATTGTACTTCAACCTGGGCGACAAGAGCAAAAACTCCATCTCAAAAAAAAAAATTAGCTGGAGGCCAGTCATGGTGGCTCACGCCTGTAATCCCAGCACTTTGGGAGGCCGAGGCAGGCGGATGACCTGAGGTCGAGAGTTCGAGACCAGCCTGACCAATATGAAGAAACCCCGTCTCTACTAAAAATACAAAAAAAATTAGCCGGGCCTGGTGGCGCATGCCTGTAATCCCAGCTACTCAGGAGGCTGGGGTAGGAGAATCGCTTGAACCCAGGAGGCGGAGGTTGCAGTGAGCCGAGATCGTGCCACTGCACTCCAGCCTGGGTGACAAGAGAGAAACTGTCTCAAAAAAAAAAAAAATTAGCGGGCGCAGTGGCCTCACACCTGTAGTCCCAGCTACTCAGGAGGCTAAGGTGGAAGGGTCGCTTGAGCCCAGGAGGTCAAGGCTGCAGTGAGCTGTGACTGCACCACTGCACTCCAGCCTGGGTGACAGAGTGGGACCCTGTCTCAAAAAAAAAAAAAAAAAAAGGAGTTGTCATTCCCATTCTACAGATGAAAAAATCAAGACTGGGAGAGGACCGAGAACAGCCGGCTCCTGCTCACAGCTAAGAGGCAGCAGACACTTTGGGGCATCCATAACTCAGCCCCTTCTTTCTTCAAACCTGTTCCTCACCTATAAATGGGGGCTCACCTCTACCCTTCCCTGACAGCGCCCAAGAGGATCAGGGGGACAGCTCCTCCCAGCCCCAAAGATGGACCTCCCAAGCCTGAGGGCTATGGAGCAAAGCTCAGCAGGGGACAGACAGCACCCAGGTGTTGCTGGGAGTGGGTCTCTAGCAGGGCAGGAAGAACACAACGGGACTCTCAGAGGGGCCACGGAGCCAGGAACTGGGGCCTTGCCTCATAGAGGGCAAAGAACACAGTCTCCCAGAGGACAGATGAGGGCAGAGGTCACATAACCGGGGGTGCACCCACAACATGGATACCCCAAGGTAGGTGAGGGCCAAAAACAAGGCTGCAGGGCCGGGTGCAGTGACTCACGCCTGTAACCCCAACACTTTAGGGGGCTGAGATGGGAGGACTGCTTGAGCCCAGGAGTTCAAGACCAGCCTGGGCAATATAGTGAGACCCCTGTCTGCATAAAAAACAAATTCAAAACTTACCCAGGCATGGTAGTGCACGCCTGTGGTCCCAGCTCTTCGGGAGGCCGAGGCGGGAGGATTGCTTGCGGCCCCGAGGTCAAGGCTGCAGAGAGCTGTGATACACCCCAGCCTGGGCAACAGAGCGAGATCCTGTCTCTAAAAATAGTGATAGATTGTCTGGGTGTGGTGGCTGATGCCTGTAATCTCAGCACTTTGGGAGGCCAAGGCAGATGTATCACCTGAGGTCAGGAGTTCAAGAACAGCCTGGTCGACATGATGAAACCCTGTCTCTACGAACAGTACAAAAATTAGCCAGGTGTGGTGGGGGGCCGCCTGTAATCCCAGCTACTCGGGAGGCTGAGGCAGGAGAATTGCTTGAACTGGAGAGGTGGAGGTTACAGTGAGCCAAGATTGTACTACTGCACTCCAGCCTGAGTGACAGTGAGACTCCCTCTCAAATAAATAAAAACAATAGTAAATAACAAAGATGCAGCAGAAGAGGGGGTAATATGTAAGGACGTGTGTGTGTGTGTGTGTGTGTGTGTGTGTGTGTGCGTGCGCGCATGCACTGGAACTGCCATATCTTCTTGATTTAAGACAGTCGGGTCTTTGCTTTGTGATAGTTTTAATAGTACTTTTCTGTAGTACTCAAACATTTTTTTTTACCATGTGTATTTACTACATGCCTCTGAATGTCAACAGGCATCTAAGCAATGCAATGATGGGCCATTTGTCCTTTCATTTTTAGGCTTTTCTGTATGAAAATTCATCTTCTAAATAAAACTCCCCCCACCCCCTGCCCAGTGTGGGCTGGACTGAGGGACTCGCTGCCGCAGAACAGGGCAGGGACAGGAGACGATGGCAATGGGCCCCGGGACATCCAGTGACCCCACCTGCACCAGGGGGCCGAGGTCAACATCAGGGGTGAAGTCGTCAGGGTCTCGGCGACCCCTGCTAGGATGTGAGGAGAAAGGGGCCTCCAGGAGGGTGTCCTGCCCCAAACCCTGTCACCTCAGTGTGACCTCAGGAAGACAGGCAAACCCAGATTAGGGCTTTTTTTTTTTTTTTTTTTTTTTTTTTTTTTTTTTTTGAGACAGAGTCTCACTGTTACCCAGGCTGGAGTGCAGTGACACGATCTCGGCTCACTGCAGCCTCTGCCTCCCAGGTTTCAGCGATTCTCCTGCCTCAGCCTCCTAGGTAGCTGGGATTACAGGTGCCCACCACCACACCGGGCTTTTTTTTTTTTTTTTTTGGAAATAGAGTTTCGCTCTTGTTGTCCAGGCTGCAGTGCAATGGCACAATCTCGGCTCATTGCAAACTCCCTCCTGGGTTCAAGCAATTCTCCAGCCTTGGCTTCCCGAGTAGCCGCGATTACAGGCATATACCACCATGCCCAGATAATTTTTGTACTTTTACTAGAAACAGGGTTTCATCATGTTGACCGGGCTGGTCTTGAACCCCTGACCTCAGGTGATCCACCCACCTCAGCCTCCCAAAGTGCTAGGATTATAGGCGTGAGCCACCGCACCCGGCCGATGAGGGGACGTTTTACAGAACACTTGAGCAGGCCTCCTCAAGACTGTCAAAGTCATTAAAGACAAGGAAAGCCTGAAGAACCAAGATAGACTTTTAAGAGACTCAAGAGACATAAGGATGAAATGCCATGTGGGACCCTGGATGGGGGCCGGGCCAGGAAAGGAAAAGACTTTGGGGGAAAACAGGAAGCTGGAACAGAGAGCCCGGGGTTTCACTGTCAGAGCTGTACCCATGTTAATCTCCTGGCTTTAGCCAGGCATGATGACTCACGCCCGTAATCCCAGCACTTCCAGAGGCCGAGACAGGTGGATCACTTCAGGTCAGAAGTTCGAAACCAGCCTGGCCAACATGGTGAAACCCCATCTCTACTAAAAACACAAAAAAAATTAGCCAGGTTTGGTGGTGGGCGCCTGTAATCCCAGCTACTCAGGAGGCTGAGGCAGGAAAATCACTTGATCCCAGGAGGCGGAGGTTGCAGTGAACCAAGATCACACCACTGCACTCCAGCCTGTGTGAAAGAGTGAAACTCCAGCTCAATAAAAAAAGAAAATGTTCTGGTTTTGACGGGGTGTTACCACAAGGGAAGCCAGTGAAGGGTTGATGGGATTCTCTGCACCACCCGTGCAGCTCTTCTGTAGACCTCAAACTATTCCAAAATAAAAAATGTTTTATTATTGTCTTTAAGATGAGATTTCACTGTTGCCCAGGCTGGAGTGCAGTGGAGCAATCATAGCTTACTGCAGCCTCTACCTCCTGGGCTCCAGTGATCCTCACACCTCAGCTTCCCAAGTAACTGGAACCACAGGTGCACACCGCCACGCCCGGCTAAATTTTTTAAATTTCATTTTCTAGAGATAGGGTCTTACTTTTGCTGTCCAGGCTGATCTCCAACTTCTGGGCTCAAACAATCCTCCTGCTTTGGCCTCCCAAAGTGCTAGGACTACAGGCGTGAGCCACCACACCCAACCCAAGATAAATACTTTTTCTTTTTTTTTTTTTTTTTTTTTGAGACGGAGTCTCCCTCTGTCGCCAGGCTGGAGTACAGTGGTGCAATCTCGGCTCACTGCAACCTCTGACTCTCTGGTTCAAGTGATTCTCCTGCCTCAGCCTCCTGAGTAGCTGGGATTACAGGCACGTGCCACCAAACCCGGCTAATTTTGTATTTTTAGTAGAGACGGGGTTTCTCCACATTGGCCAGGCTGGTCTCGAACTGCTGACCTCATGATCTGCCCGCCTCGGCCTCCCAAAGTGCTGGGATTACAGGCGTGAGCCACCACACCCGGCCAAAACTTACTTTTTAAACAAATATGAAAAGTGGATGTGGGGGTGACTGGACTGAATAATAATAATGACAATGGCAGCACGGCAGCAGCTCACATTTGCAGCACTGCTTGGAGTTGCTTTAAAGTCCACTCCTAGAAAGGCACCCAGGAAATACTCCTAAGGGCCAGGGATGGTGGCTCATGACTGTAATCCCAGCACTTTGGAAGGCCAAGGCGGGAGAATCGCTTAAGGCCAGGAGTTCGAGACCAGCCTGGGCAACAAAGCAAGACTGCATTTCTACACAAAATACAATTAGCCAAGTGTGGTGACGTGTGCCTGTCGTCCCAGGTAATTGGGAGGCTGAGGTGGAAAGATCACTCGAGCCTAGGACTGGGAGGTTGGGGCTGCAGGGAGCCATGATCACACCACTACACTCCAGCCCAGGTAACAGGGTGACAGTCTGACCCAAAAAAAAAGAAAGAAAAAAAGAAAGATTCCTGATTCCTGGCCTGGCGTGGTGGCTCACGCCTTTAATCCCAGCACTTTGGGAGGCAGAGGCGGGCAGGTCACCTGAGGTCAGGAGTTTCAGACCAGCTTGGCCAACATGGTGAAACCCCGTCTCTACTAAAAATACAAAAATTAACCAGGCGTGGTGGCACGCGCCCGTAATCCCAGCTACTCGGGAGGCTGAGGCAGGAGAATCACTTGAACCCAGGAGGTGGAGATTGCTGTAAGCCAAGATTGCGCCACTGCACTCCGGCCTGGGCCACAGAGTGAGACTCTGTCTCAAAAAAAAGAAAAAAGAAAGATCCGTAAGGAAAGAGTGCACAGGGTTGTGCACTGTACTGCTGGTAACAGAAAAAACAGGGAATGGACCCCAGTATCAGCGGCGGGGTCACAGAGACCCTGAGGCTGCTGGAGAATCAGGCAGAACCGTCAGTCCTGCTGCAGAGCCTCACAGATGGGGTGGCAAAAGCAAGCTTCACAGTAAAGCCTGTGCCCCAGACATGGCCTCAATTCTCCGTGTGTTGTCACCTGTACCCACAGGCTGTTTATTCACGGATGACCTTTGCCAACCTGTGGAAGCCACCTCCGGACAGGCCTGCAGGGACCCAGGGCCGTAGCAGGAGGGACTGGACGGGCTGCGGAGGTGGCCATGAGGCCTGCAGAGGACGCACTCAGCGGTCTGTGCCACCCATTTGAGTATCTGACGGTGTGACCCTGACCTCTCCCGGTGATCCTGATTGTCAACAAAACCCTAAAGTCCCCACCCCCCCGGGGCTGGCGCTCCTGCAGGACACTGTGGTCTGGTGATAGCCTTTATTTACATTACTGCAGGTGTTGCATTATGTGACCAAAACGCCGACCCCCAAAGCCACTCAGGGTATATTTCTGTGTTAAGGCGTTAAATCACTTACCATGGTCCAGTCCAGGGGGGCCACCACGCACGGTGGGGGGCGGGGGGGCAGCTGCAAGCTCCTGGGGGACAGAGGACAAGGTTCCACCAGCCAGGTGGGAAGGTGGGGCAGCAGCTGCCACCCTCCAACCGGAGGACACAGCGAGGTCACCCTGCTGGCCGACTGCAAGGAAGCCCCTGCGTGGGGTCCTGCAGGGAGCATCTCTGGGGTCCACGGCATCCATGCTAGGAGCTGCTTCAGGGACACCAAGGCCTCCTCCATCCTGCACAGGGTGGGCAGCAGGGGCAGGATCCGGCTGGCATTTCCTTTCCCGTGCGAATCCCCCAACCCCTGCACCCCCAGCCCCTCCTCAGCAGGACTGCAGGGCCAGGGCCGGGGATTTTATCTGCACAGAGTCGGGAGGGGACCAGGACCCCCAGGCACCCCGCTTCCTTGGCCTCCCAAAGATGATGAAAAGCTTCCATAAGAGCTTTCCCCCTTGAACAGGGTCAGACAGGTGGCGGTGGTTTTTCGTTGTTTTTTTAAGATGGAGTCTTGCTGTGTTGCCCAGGCTGGAGTGCAGTGGTGCAATCTTGGCTCACTGCAACCTCCGCCCCCTGGGTTCAAGCGATTCTCCTGCCTCAGCCTCCCGAGTAGCTGGGACTACAGGCGCCCGCCACCATGCCAGCTAATTTTTGTACTTTTTTAGTAGAGACAGGGTTTCACCATGTTGGTCAGGCTGGTCTCGACCTCCTGACCTCAGGTCATCCACCGCCTCGGCCTCCCAGAGTGCTGGCATTACAGGCGTGAGCCACCGCGCCCAGCCTAGTGGTGGGGTTTCAGGGCACTCTGCTAACAGCCACAGGCTTCATTCACATAAAGCACCCCGCCTGGGCCTGTTCCCTCCGTGAGGCTATTGGGGAGGGCGGGTCCCAGAGTCGCGCTCTTATCCTCCACGGACACACACACTGCCTGTTCTGAGCTCCACTTCCGGCTGGGTGCTGGGGAGAGAATAGGCTCTGGTCTGGCGGGAGGTGCTCGCTGTCTGGCCGGGCAGATGTGTGTCCCGGGACCTTATTTCTGAGCCACCTGTGCTGTCGTGGCTGGGAGACGCCGAGTGCCGAGGGAGCGCGGGCCTGGCCGGGGTCTCGGCTACTTCTCTCGGTGGGGAAGCAGGGACAGTCACCCCAGCAGCCCAGAATCGTTGTGAAGATCGACGTGGCCCGTGGCCGGAGCCCGGAACCGGGAGGGAAGTGGGACCAGGGGCTTGTGCTGGCCCCTGGGCCGCTCTGATACCAGTTGGGCGCCCACTGGATGGACTCCCAGTTAACAAGGCGGCCCTGCACTCCCACCTTGATCCTGACACCCGGACTCAGAGGTGGACAGGCAGGTGCCTGCCATAGGGGAGGAAAGAGGAGGCGCCTGCTCCCAGAGGCCCCACCTCAGGTCACGGCCACCACAGGCCAAGAGGACAGAATCACAGCCAAGCAGGGATGGTCTCCATCCTCTTCCAGAACCCCAGAGGGCCCTCAGGTCATGCAGAACAGAGCCAGCCGGGTGGGTCCCACCAGCTTGGCATTAATGGGACGACGGATGAATGCAGCCACAGCGTCATAAGAGCTTGGTCAGCCGCCCACACACACATGCTGGGACCCCACGAATGCCAGTCGGGGCTGACAGGCCACTGGTCCCCTGGGGAGCAGCTGGAGGGTGCACAGCCCTGGGCACCGCCCCAGACCTGACCCACTGGAAGGGCCTAGCCCACATCTCAGGCAAGCCTCTGCCACACCCACAGCCATGCTCCAGCCACTGGCCCTGGGGAGGGTCTGCCCTCCCCCCGGGCTCCGGGTACCAGAGTGGGCCTAGGCCATAGGGTCACCTGGCTGGTGTCTGTCCCGTCACCCAGGGCCCCGTGCTGGGGTGTACCAGGAGCAGGTGACACAGGGTGGACCAGAGACTCAGCCCCCAGGCGCCCTACCCGGGAGAACGCTGTTGCAGGGCTTGAACAAGTGTGTCCTGGAAAATCCACAAAATGGAGAACGGGAAGTTGGCCCTACTCCCAGGTGGCCTGGCCCCGGGCCATACCAAGTGGGAGGTGGGGAGAGCGCGCGTCCTGGAATAGAGTGCTGGCCTCCCCTGTCGCCACCCCTGCGGGGTCCTCCCGGGTCCCAAGAGCAGGGGGTGGTGGGGAGAGGCCGAGGGTGGAAGTTGGCCTGACAGCCTGGAGCCTGAAGGCCCGGACTCGGTTTACCCCATGTGAGAGGGACAGGCAGAGGGAACACAGTGTACGCTGAAGGCGTCTGGGAGCCCTGCCGAAGCCTCGGTGCTGAGTTCGCAGCAGCTTGAGAATGGGGCTGCCTGAAACCAAGGCCAGCATCGCGCACCGTGAATATCCACAGCCCGCAGGGAGGGAGGGGCGGCCCCAAATACTTCGATTTCCAAAATCCTCTTCATCACAGTGTCTTGTGGAACTAGTACCACATGGATCAGATGAAGTCGTCAACTATTTTAAGATGAGAATTTTATCTCAGTTTGATCTGTAAATCTAAGAATCTAAGCAATCTCAATGTTTTCAAAGAAGATCACGGTGGGAGAACCAGATAAACTTGCCTGCTGTTCAGGAGAAAAAAGAAACGTGCAAAATAATGCAAGGAGGAGGGGCCTCCGGACATGAGGTCAGGAAGACAATGGGGTTCTGGAAAACTGGGATAAGAGTCTAGGGACAGACCCAAATCTACTTGCCATAAAGACAGCACTTCAGTGGGGAAAAGAATGCTTTTTTGGGAAATAAAGTTGGGACAATTTGTGGAAAAAAAGTTTTGCTTCCTACCTTACTCCTTACCAGGAATACTTTCTAAAATTAGACATAAGCATTTAAATATATGGGGAAAAAAAAACCCCACTACATTTCTAGAAGAAAATCTCAAATGTTTTATGATCTTACAGCGGAGAAGATATTCCTGAGATGACACAAAAATGCAGGAGCCGTAAAGAGAAAAAAACTAATGACCAGTAACAATTTTAGATGCTTAGCTTAAAGAAAAAAATACAAACAAAGTCAAAGACTAATGACAGATAGAAAAAAGAAACACTTCCGGGTCAGCCGAGAAATGGTATTCAGCAATAAATGTGTCAGAGTCCCAAAAAAAAAAAAAAAAAAAAAAAAAAAAAAACACTTCTACTAGACAGAAAGCGAATTTTCTTAATCTGTAAAGTGCACCTAGAAACCACCACCATCCACCCAACAGAAAAATGAGCCAAGAAGATAAAATACAAATGGCTTTTAAATAGTCAAACGTTTATAATAAACATATTTTCCAATCTCGAAACGACTGTCAGTGGTAACAATGATCAACGTAACATAGATGTAACAGGAACATCACGACGTTCGACTATACTTACAGGAAACACAAGCTACAGTGAAATACTATCTCACGCCTACCAGGTCTGCAAAATCCAGCTTGGGCAAGGGTGTCGCCGGCCCCCTCTTATGCTGGTGGGGGAGGGCGATTTGGTACCACCCCTTTAGGGGCCTAAATACAGCCCTCGCACTTCTGCACCAAGGAATTTAACCTAAGAAAATAGTCCGACTTGGGCAAAAAACGGTTTGTACAAGCAATAGTCAAGCTAGCATTGTTCGTTATAAAAGACAGCAAAAACCCTAAATTTCTACAGGAAAGGGGATAAAGTCTGGTGCTATAAAACTCCGTTTCCGGAGGAATCCCACCTGTATCTGAATGCATGGGGCGCTCTCCGAGCTACGTTAAGTATAAGAGCCCCAAGTAAAGTAACTGACCTTTTGCAGAAACGCACGTAGATGTTCCTGCATAGACTTTCTTTGCAGACCCGTAAGAAACGGGTTTCCCTCTGCCCCAGGGGAGAACTGGGCCTTGGAGGTTAGGACTGGGAAAAACACATCAAGTCTTCACCAAATACCCTTTCAGGCTCCTTGAATTTTCTACTCTGTGCACCTGAACACACTTTTGTTCTCTTGCAAGCAGTTGCTTTGCACTGGAGGCAATGAAGACACGGCGGAGTCCCAGCTCGCAGGGAGCTCAGGTTCTGACGGCGTCAGAGGACAACACGCTCTGGACCAGCGCAGCGCCCAAGGGTCAGCGGCAGCAGCGAGCAGGGGGCACGGGATGCGGGGAGGCTCTTCGGGAGGCATGAAAGGCAGACGTGTTCCGAAACGTGAGCCGCGCTGAGGGGCACGGCGCACGACCGGGGACAGAAGGAAGACACTGCGGTCGCAAAGCCCTGGCCGTGCAAAGGCCCCGTGGTCAGCCAGGAGCCCAGGCGTCCCCTGCTCTAGCGAGGTTTCCTTCCGAACGTCCCGTAGCACCGCTTACCATGGAACGGCGGGCGCTGCCTCGCAGCCCCGACCCCGCGGCGGCCCCCACGGGCCTACGAGGAACTCGAGGCCGAGGGAAGGAGTGAGAGCGGCCGGAAAGGGGCAGGGCCGAGCCGGACCGGTACCTGGCTGGGTCCCAGCGGCCGCCACTTACCACCGAGGCCGCCTCTTCGTCCACAGCCTGACGCCAGCCACCGCCGCCGCCGTCTCCACTGCCGCACGCACGCCGCCACTTCCGCTTCCGTCCGTGCTGCGGCCCCGCACGTGACGCAGCGCCTTCTCGCGCCCAGACTGAAGCACCGCCCCCCCTTAAAGGGGCCGCGGACTAGAGCTAGCTGGATGCAGCTTGGGATCCCGGCCTCGCCACCGCCTGGTCGCGCGACACAGGCTGAACCCTGCCCAACCCTAAGGTGGACAACAGGCCACCGGTTCCCGAGTCCTCCCGGTCCTAAGCCTTCTGCCCTAGAGATCGTAGGAACTCTTCTCGTGATCCCAGCTCCAGTGTCGGCTCCCTCTTCCAGGGGAGACCCTCGGGGCCCAAGCACCTGCCACCGCCCTCTGCTGGACCCCAGCTTCGCCATCTACGAAGGAAGCGGCCTGTCCGAGCTCTGAGGTCCGTCAAGCGCGGCACCTCAGGACCCAGAGTGCGCTGTCCTGGCCCCTCTGCAGTAGGACTGACGGGAAGCTGTCGAGGGGGCAGTCCCGCGATGGCAGCAGGGCCCCCACGCCTGGCGTCCTCATCGCGCCCACCCAGCAGGGCTCACCAGCCTCCCTAGGAAGCAGGCAGGGGTCCTGGGCTCAAACGCTGCCCCACCCATCATCGCCCAGGCAACCAGCTCCCTAAGGGCTCCCCGGACTAGACAGAGACCCACCCCACTTCCGCAGAGTAAAACCTATAAGGGGGTCCGTGCCGATCTCTCCTAGGGACTCAGGGACGAAACCTGGGAACCCCGGCCCCCTTTCGAGCTCGCTGAGCGCTCGAGAGAGTGAGCAGAGCCATGAAAGGAAGGAGAGCAGCCCTAAAATTTTAAATCTTTAATTTCCGTTTTCACGTATTTTCTTCTTGCTTCCAAAAGGAAAGGAGTGCGTAGCTCTGTTGCCTGTACATCGTCCACAGCCCCTGGGTCGGGGCGGGGTCCCCTGGGCCGCCCGGGGGGTCCACATGCAGCCCCTGGGTGGGGGCCGGCGCGGGGTGAGGTCCGGGGGCCGCCTTATTGCTGAGGTCCGGCCGGTTGGGGCCGCCGCTAGGCGCGCTGGCTGGGCAGCTCCTGGGAGATGAAGCGACGCAGGCGCTCCAGGTACTGGCTGTAGAGCTCGATGTCGTTGTGCCCGGCGCCCTCCACCCACAGCGGCTCCACCGCCTTGGGGCAGCGCTCGTAGAGCGCCAGCCCGTGCGAGAAGTCGATCACCTCGTCCTCCGTGCCGTGGATGATGAGCACGGGAGACGTGATCTTGGACACCTTCTCGATGCTGCGGGAGGGTCGTGGAGCCGGTGAGACTTCGCGCCCGGCCCGGGCCCCGCCCCGCCCCCGTCCCCGCCCGGGCCGCTCACTTAGGGAAGGCGTCGAAGCAGTAGGTCTTCTTGGTGTCGGGGAAGGCGACGCGCATGCCCGAGGTGAGCGGCGAGTGCAGCACCACCGCGGCACACTCGTAGCGCGAGGCCAGGTCCACGGTGGGCACCGTGCCGATGCTCTGCCCGTACAGGATGATGCTGTCCGGGCTGATGCCGTACCTGGCGGCGCCGGAGCAGGGTCAGCCGCGGCCTCCGACGCGCGCGCACCCTTCCCACCAGCGGGCGTCCCCGGGCCCAGCTCCGGATGCGACCCTCCAGTCTCCCCACTCAGCCAAGTCAGTGGGTCAGGCTCAGGCTCCACACCAGTCCCGAGGGCCACCCCCAGCCCCCAACACCGTGGCGGTGGGCGAAGCCAGCGGCCCCGCCCCGTTCCCTGCGCTGCCGTTCACTGGCGTTTCCTAGCTAGGATCTGCAGGGATCCTGCCTACGGAGTGCCCCTGGGGCGGGGGTAAGGGAGGCCCTGGCGCCTCTCCTCCTCCTGGTCACCCCTAGGTGCACACTGGGAACTGTGTGGCCCCCACATCCTGAATGCTTCACACCTTCCTGCCAGGGTTAGAAAACCGTTCCTGGTGCACTGGCCAGGACAGCGGACACTATTCCTCCCTGCAGCCCTTGCCCACCCCCTTGGCCATGAGGAATTCAGGCAGCTGTGTCCCCAAATGTCTCCACCCAATTTTGGACTCTCGGAGTCCCCACGCCCAATGAGATGCCAGTGCAACCCAGGTCAGCATCGAGGGTGGTGGCTGCGGAGGTGGCACCCCCTCCCACCAGCACCTTCCCTTGGGAGTGGACAAGTCCTCGGCCACCTCAGCACCACCAGCTCCCACCCAGGGGCACCCTCACCCCCAGGTCATTGGTGTGCGGCCCCTGACCCAGCTGATCCAGCACCAGTTACAAGGCCTCCTCGTGCCCAGTCCCAAGCACACGGGACCCACCTGCCACCCTGCCCATGCCGGGACCCCACAACTCTCCTCCCACACGCTCTAGGCTCTGATCCCAGGCAGACGCCCTCTTGCAAGGCAGGAGCATGGGCAGGTGTGCGTCCCCTCTGCCTGGCATCTCCACCAGCAGGGCTGTCCCCGTCCCTGGCCTGGAATCCCAGCCTCCTGGCAGCACTCCACAGCTCGCCACTCACCCATGCCCCAAAGGATGCTGCCTGGCTGGTGCCTGTGGCTCCAGCTCTGCCTCGGCCTCCCTGGCCTGCTCCCTGGCAGCCATGGTCAGTAGTGTGCTGAGCCAGCCCAGCCCTGCCACCTGCTACAGGCAGGAGCCCCGAGCTGCCACCTGGATGTCACCACTCAAACGAACAGGACACATCCCCGGTGGAGGCCCTGGGCACGCTCTGGCCTCCCCCTCACAGCTCTGGGCCTAGGTTCCTGCAGGACAAAGTGGCAGCAGGACAGATGGCCGAGCAGACAGAGCTCAGAGCTGGCCATGGCAGGTGTGACTCTGCCAGTGGCCCAGGCAGTAGAGACAGGAGGGGCCGAGGAAGTCGCATGAAGTGGTGATTGGTGTCAGCGTCCCACACTGCTGGGAGGCCCCCAGAGCCAGGGTGGTGCCAGGGGACCAGCTCCCAGGCCCACTGCAGGGACTGCCTGCATATCACCAAGGCAACGACGACCCCACCTCCCTAGGGCCTCTGACTTCTCAGAGCTGTGCCTGGTCCCTGTGGGAGCAGGTCAGACCAGTGGGCTGGGCAGGGCCAGGACGAGACAGGCCCAGTGGATGGTGAGCAGGAAAAGCCACCAGAGGCCCACCCGGGTCTCCTCGTCCAAAGCAGCACTGGCCCGGGCGGTGCTCAAACACCGGTGAAGGGCCCAGGCAAGCGCAGGGCTGGGGACGTGGATGACTAGGAGGGCTGGATCTGGAATCGAGGCTGGCCCAGACCTCGGATGTGTGCTGCGGGTCTGCACCTTACCCTGTAGGCCCTGCCCCAGGATGGCCAAGCTCCGCAGCCACAGGGCCTCATGGGCCAGTCCTCCGGACCTGGATGCAGCAGCCTCGCCTCACTTGGCCCCAAGTGCTGCCTCGGCCGATGGGCTCCCAGCCACACGTGCACAGACCCCCAGACCACCACCCACTCCCTCCCGCCGGGTGGCATCCACACCCCTGTGACAAGCTCAGCCCCTTCCCATCCTCAGGCCAGGGGTTCCCAGGGAACCTGGCTCCACAGGCCAGGGTGTGGGAGGACCGCCTGGCCACACCTCAGCCATGTGGAGGCGGCACCTGCACACCCAAGCTCGCCTGTCCGGCTCTCTGGCCCTGTGCATCCACTGTGGCTCCCCTCCTGCAGGGCCGCCCACCTTCCTCCCAGGGAAGCCCGCCCCCCGGCCCCCCGCCTGGTCCCCTCTTGGGTGTGCCCAGGCTGAGCTGCCCCCAGGGTCGCCCTCACCTGGTGCGCAGGGCCTGCCAGGCGGCGTCGATGTCGGCATAGAGGTTCCTCTCGGAAGGCCTGCCCGAGCTGGCACCGTAGCCGGAGTAGTCGTAGGAGAAGATGTTGCAGTGGAGGCGGGAGCCCAGGCCAATGTAGAAGCTGCTCATCTGGCCCAGGTCCACGGCATTGCCGTGCGAGAAGAGGACCGTGTACCTGGGACAGGCCGAGAAGGGCCGTTCACATCCTCGCTCCCAGCGCCCAGCTGCAGGGCAGGAGGATGCGTAGTGACAGCCCACCCCGGTGGCCAGCCATGCCCAGTGCCTCATTTACTCCCCTCCCAAGGGGGCCAGAAGCCAGTGAATGGAGAGGGGAGGCTACGACAGCACAGCTCCATCTCCGAGGGTTCCCCATGGGGAGAGGACAGGACAGCTGGCAGGGGGACAGGCAGCCTGGGCTGCAGAGGCCAGCCAGGGAGCCTCAGGATTCCCATCTGTGAAGCGGGACACTGGGACCATCGGTCGCATCCTCTCTCAGGGCAGACTCGCAGTGTGTGCTCAGATACTGCAGGCTTCACTGCCCTTCCTCCTGGAAGAACCTGGACCCCCGGGGATGGAGCGCACAGGCCCACCTTTCAGGACCTTCCCAGGGGAGCCCATGCTGCTGCTGGCAGGGCTATCTCCCCTCACCTCACAGAATGGTGCCCTCACTGTTGGGGCACAACTGGACCCCACCCCTGCCCCCAACAAGCAAATGCGGCCAATCTCTGCTCACACTCATGCAGCCCCTCCTGGCCCACCACCCTGCCCAAGCCCCAAGGCTGTGCTGCAAGGCCTGTCTGCTTCCCAGCACGGGAGCTGCCCCAGGTGGTGCCAGGAGCAGGTGGCCAGGCTGGCCCTGCCATGGACTGCTTCCTCCAGTTCCCCCAGGCCCCCACCTAGCCCAGCCAGAAGGTAAAGGCTCGCCCTCTGGACTCAGATCTGGTCAGAACCCCACCTGGCGAGAAGGTGGATGTACCCGCAGGCCAGGGCAGCCCCTGTGCCCCAGCTCTTGCCCAGCAGGCAACCACCAGGCGCTGGGTTGTTGGAGTCGCCCAGCCTGCCCACCCATGCCAGCTGGGGATGGCCTCCCTGAGCCTGGTGTCCTTGTCTGCGAGAGAAAATTGCCAGAGGGACGAGGCCGGCCTGACGGGGGATACCACCCTTGCTGGCTGGATGGCCCTTCACGGCAGGCTCGGGCCCTCGGGGGCACCACCAACCACACCAAGCACCGCAGGCAGAAACGGGAGCCCCAAGAACAGGGTGACCCAGCCCAGGCGCGGCCACAGCTGCTCACCTGGCACCAGGCACGCAGCGAACATACATGCAGGAGACGCGGTTGCCGCGGGCGCTCTTGGTGGGGAAGACCTCGATGGTGTCCAGCTCGCGCTGGCTGTACTGGAAGTCGGCACGCTCCGTCAGGTGCAGCTTCCAGCGCCCGGGTGCGCCCGAGGAGGCTCTCAGGGTCCCCAAGGGGGCGGCCCCGGCCCCACCAGGCCCCGGCTCGGGCTCAGGCACCAGGGAGTAGGTGGCCTCCGGCGGCAGGAAGGCGAGCTTGGCAGCGATGCGGCCGGGGCAGGGCGGGCAGCAGAAGAGGCAGCAGAGCTCACTCAGCGACAGCCCATTCATGGCGGGCGCCGCCCAGGCCGGGCCTCCACCGGGGCCCCCGCCAACAACGCCGCCCGGCCTGGCCCGGCAGGGGAGGGGTGGGGGTGCTCCGAGTCGCGGGCAGGGGGGAGAGCGCCCCCCCAGCTACCGCCCCAGACAGCAGCCCCGTTAGGAGGCCAGGGCCCAGCCCCATCGCGGTCCAAGCCGAGCCCCAGGGAGCCTCGCAACCACAGGTCTCCATGTCGTGCCGTGGGAAGCCCTGCGGGGGAACAGTGACATGTGGGGTCCTTTGGGGGTGCCACAGTCCAGCTGGGCACCCCCGGGAGGCGGGGCATCCACCCGTGCCAGGGGGCGGCATGGGCCCGGGGCCTGTCAGTCCCCATCCCCTCGGCCCTCCCCACGGCCTGTCAGGCACTGCACCCTACAGCTCAGGGGACCCCAATTCAGCCCCCTCTCCACAGGATGAAGGAACCCCCACCTTCCCTGAGCTGGCGATCACCACCTCTTGCCATGTGAGTACAGCCATGGCATGCGGGGCATGCAGGGGATATGACCCCAGCCCCGCCCACACCCCCGAAACGCCCGGCTCCAGCACCAGGGAAACCCCATGCGCCAGGACTCGGTCCGCACTGCTGCCCACTCCCTCCCCCGGCCCATCTCTGCCACCCTATGGGTGACGGGCCGCTGAGGCAAGGACAGAGCTCGAACTGAAGGGACCCACGAGGGACCCGAACAGGCCCCGCTACGTGAGCGTGCACAGGCGCCGGGTCCCACCGGCCTGCGATGTCTGGAGACAGAGGAAATACAACAAACAAAGGCTCTAGAAACAAAGGCAGGATACATCCCAGGCTCCTAGGGCCCCCAGAGCAGCAACAATGGCTCTTCTCTGTGCTGGAGCCAGGCCTGCTGAGGGGCAGGGGAGGTGGGCTGGCGTCAGGGGGTCCTTCTCCACCCCTGACTTAGGGTTCCGTGACCGTGGGCGAGTCCCTTGCCCTCCTGAGGCCTCAGCATTCTCATCTATAAGTGCAGACACCACACACCCCACAGGAAGTCAAGTGAGGGGGGAGGGGAACGAAGGTGCCTGATTGAGAGTGGAAACTCGGACCTTCTTCCTTGCTGCAGAACGTCATGAAACACATTAAGTCGACAACAGCTAAGTTGCTAAAGCAACCACAATAGTGTAAGGACCTGCCAACAGACAGACGTGAAGAAAACACGAAGGTCTGAGACGTCTATCTACCGACCACGCTTCTCCTTCAGACTGGAGCGAGGAGAGAGACACGCTCACAACTCAATTTCAGCAGAACACCCTGGAATGCTTGGCTTTTGGGTCACAGCATGAGAAAACCGTGGGGCCAGGAAGATGAGGCTCAAAGGCAGATGTGGACACAGATGGACATGCAGGCAGCTGCAGGCGCCACAGACACGGCTCGTGGGGACACCCTCACTACCAAGGAGCAGCCTCAGGCCCAGAAACACACCTGCTCCCTCAGGACCTGATGTGAGACCCACGTTCCTGTGAGCCGGACTCATGGGCACACGAGGAGGAGAGGAGAGAGCTCTGAAAGCCAGGGTGGGGCAAGGATGGCATCCCAGTGCCCCCAGACTCCCAGGCGGAAGGCAAATCGCACATGCAAGCACTTTTCAGCCGGGAGGTGGACTGTCAGGCTGGTTCTGCTTCTCAGATGGAGGCGAGTCTCCCTCCTGGAGACACCTGTCAATGTCTGGACACAGTTTTGGGTGTCACCACTGGGGACTGGGTGGAGGCTGCTTAGCACCCTGCAGTGCCCAGGACAGACCCACCCCAAAGAATGATCAGGCCCAACATCCACAGCGTCGAGGTTGATGTCAGCTTTTCAACATATTCTCAAAGAGGTCCAGGCCCTACCGGTGCTGCCCCGCTGGTGCTGGGGACTTGGAGGGCCCTGCAGTTTAGGTGGCATCATGCAGCTGGGTCCTGAGAGCCCAGTGGACAGCAGCAGGCCCCTGGAGACCCCGGAGACGAAGGGGCACACCGAGGTGGCCAGGGCCCCACTATCCAGGCCAGAAACAAAGATGTTATCCTTGACACCTCCTTCCACCCACTGGATCTGAGCCGGTCCATCACCAGCCCGGTGGCTCTGCCTGTCTCCCATCAGCCACCGCCCGGTCCCTGCCTCCATCACCTTTCACCAGAGCCACAGCAACAGCCTCCCTCCTTGCTGATCACCTGCTCCAGGACATTCTCCCCCAGCAGCCAAACAATCTTTCACGACACAAATGCAATGGAGCCGCTTCCCTCTTGGGGTGTCCTGGGGGCCTCCCATTATTCCCTGGATAGAGATCAAAGCCCTCCCCACAGCCTGCCAGGTCCGCATTCCGGCTCAGGCCGACCTCTCCAGACTCACTCATCTCACACCCTGCCACTCCTGGCTCCCTCAAGACAAGCCAAATTGCCCCTTCCTGCCTCTGCTCCTCTGCCAGGAACTCCCTTCCCCAACCTCACTAGACAGCCTTGCCCAACCCAACCACCCTTTGCACCTCACTGCCAACGCTCTCAGAGTCCTCAAAGCTGGGACAGGACCCCTTACACGCTCTTTCCACAGCTTGTATTTTTCACACGTTTGGCCAGATCTCCCCCCACCTCCAAACCAGAAACTCTATGAGAGCAGGACCATGACCTGCCACTCACTAAAGGAATGGGCAGGTGGTAGGCAGCACAGAATTAAGGAGGAAGCACAGGAGGAAAAGAATCCCCAAGGTCCGCCAGCTTTGACAGGGAAGGGAAAGTCTAGTCTCCTCTCCTCTCCAGCCACAGGTACCTGGAACCTCCCTAGTGTCACTAATGGGCGTGGACTGGGGAGTGCAAACCCAGACGCCTCACTCACTGGGCACACACCCTTGACACCCTGAATCCCACCAATTCCGTTCCCACGCACTTAACTGGGCAACCCTCTGCAAGCTAGAGGTGTTCTGAGGACCAGCAAGCAACCGAGCAGCCAAAATACTGGAAGATGACCTACATATGGGAGACGGTGACTGCACCTCACTCAACCAGTCAGGGTGGGAAACCCGCCTGGGGGGAGGCGCGGCCATATCAGAGGGCAGACAAACGGGCCAGGTGACAGGGGGATGGGACAGAGGGACAAGCAGGAGCAAAATCCGAGGTGACAGAGCAGGCTCCTGGCTAGAGCAGACCCTGGGAGGAAGAAGTGAGCAGAAGGGTCCTAAGAGAGAGCCTGGGACGGGTGAGGTCGCGCCCCCGAGAGTTTGCACTTCATCCTGGGAGAAATGGCGGGGCCGCGAAGAAGTCCCGAGCAAGCGATGGACAACATAGGAGAAGGGCTGCATCCCGGAGAACGGACGCGAGCGGAGGCCGGGAAGCCCGCCCAGGAGTCAGGGTGGCAGGAAGAAGCCTGACAAGGGAAACAGCGACTGGGAGCTGGTTGGGAAGCAGGGCTCGGGAGGGCCCCTGGGAGCTGCCTTGGGGGGCGAGAGGCCGAAGCGTTTGTCGGACTGGGGGCAGTTTCGGGGCAAAAGAGCGGAATCCGCGGCTCGGACGGGTGCTCCCCGAAGGCAAGGGCCGCGTCCGCAGGAGGGTGGGAGCGCAACCCACGCCGGAGGGCTGAATGGATGGGGACAGGGCTTTCCCAATCACAGACGCTCATCCGCGGTCCGCGCCCCTGCTCTGGGCTCCTCGGGCAGGACCCGCGGAAGCCCTGGGACTGCAGGGGTCTCGGGGACGTCCAACCGGGCTGTCAGGCCCTCGAGGCCCGGCCCGGGACCCCGCGCGGCCGCGCCCGCCCCCGCCCCTGCCCGGCACTCACCACCCCGGCCCGCGCCCCCGGGCCCCAGGGCCGCGCTCCATGGCTCCCGGCCGCCCGCCCGTGCGTCCGTCGGTCCCTCCGCACCCCTGCCCGGCCTCCTGCACCGCCACCGCCGCAGCTCCCCCCACGGACGGAAGTGAGCCTCGTTCTCACCACCGCCCCGGAAGTGACGCGAGGAGCGCGCGGGGCGGGGGTCTGCAGGCACAGAGCGACCGCGCGACTAGCGTCCTGGGGGCGGGGCTGATATGTCGAGGGGCGTGGCCTGCTGCTCTGTGGGCGGGGCCAAACTTAGGTTTCATTCACTTGGGGACCCGGAATAGGTTGAGGCCAGTAAAGTTCTCGCCTGGAAAACAAAATTTACAGGGACGCCAAAAAAAACTCAGACATCAACATTTAGAAATGTTTTAAAATATTTTTCTTTATGAGATGGAGTCGCGCTCTGTCGCCCAGGCTGGAGTACAATGGCGCGATCTCAGCTCACTGCAACTTCTGCCTCCTGGGATCAAGCGATTCTCCTGCCTCAGCCTCCTGAGTAGCTGGGATTACCGGCGCCCACCACCATGCCCAGCTAATTTTTGTGTTTTCAGTAGAGACGGGGTTTCCCCATGTTGGCCAGTGTGGCCTCGAACTCCTGACCCCAGAATCCTCCTGCCTCAGCCTCCCAAAGTGTTGGGATTACAGGCATCAGCCACCGCACCTGGCCTCTTTTTTTTAACATAGAGTCTACTCTGTCACCCAGGCTGGTGCCATCATAGCTCACTGCAGCCTCGACCTCCCAGGATCAAGTGAACCTCCTACTTCAGCCTCCTGAGTAGCTAGGACTATAGGCACAAGCCACCATGACCAGCTTATTTAAAGTCTTTATATATTGCTCATCAGAAATTCTTTTGCATTAGTTTTTAAAATATTACATTAGGCCGGGCACGGTGGCTCATGCCTGTAATCCCAGCACTTTGGGAGACTGAAACAGGTAGATCACCTGAAGTCAGGAGTTTGAGACCAAGCCTGACCAACGTGGTGAAACCCTGTCTCTACTAAAAATACAAATATTAGCCGGGCATGGTGGCACGCGCCTGTAGTCCCAGCTACTCCGGAGGCTGAGGCAGGAGAATCGCTTGAACCCGGGAGGCGAAGGTTGCAGTGAGCCAAGATCGGGCCACTGTGCTCCAGCCCAAGTGACAGAGCAAGAAGACTGTCTCAGATAAATAAATAAATAAATAAATAAATAAATAAATAAATAAATAAAACTATGATCACTCCACTGCATTCCAGCCTGGGCGAGAGAGCAAGATCCTGTCTCTTAAAAAAATTTCATTATGGGCTGGGCGCGGTGGCTCACGCCTATAATCCCAGCACTTTGGGAGGCCGAGTCGGGCAGATCATGAGGTTAGGAGATCAAGACCATCCTGGCTAACACGGTGAAACCTCATCTCTACTAAAAATACAAAAAGATAGCCGGGCGTGGTGGCGGGCGCCTGTAGTCCCAGCTACTCGGGAGGCTGAGGCAGGAGAACGGCGTGAACCCAGGAGGCAGAGCTTGCAGTGAGCTGAGACCGCGCCACTGCACTCCAGACTGGGCGACAGAGCGAGACTCCGTCTCAAAAAAAAAAAAAATTGCATTATGGCAGGGCCTAGTGGCTCACGCCTGTAATCTCAGCACTTTGGGAGAACGAGGCAGGCAGATCACCTGAAGTTAGGAGTTCAGCCTGGCCAACATGGTGAAATCCTGTCTCTACTAAAAATACAAAAATTAGGCCACCCTGGCCAACATGGTGAAACCCCATCTCTACTAAAAATACAAAAATTAGCCGGCTGTTGTGGCGCGCACCTGTAATCTCAGCTACTCCACGCCACTGCACTCCAGCCTGGGCGACAGAGCAAGACTCTGCCTCAAAAAAAAAAAAAGTAAAGAAAAGAAAATGGAAGAAGGTTACTGGAGAATCTCAGAGCGTGGTCAGGGCAGGCCTTTCTAAGGAAGTGACAGGGACAGGGGCAGAAAGGGCTGCAGACACCAAAGGGGCCCAGCCTGGAAGTGTGAGTGTGAATTGGTGGGAAGCCTTGCTTTTCAGGCCTTCTCTCATATGTGCCTTCCCCCCAGCTTTCGTGCCTTTTCCAGCTCAAAATGCTCCTCCAGCCTGCAGGCAACCGCAGCCCCCGCTCCGTCCCAGGGACTCTCATCTTAGCTCCACTGTTCTGAGATAAGCCTGAGGCTCCTGGGCCAATCCTGCCCCCAGGGGCTCATTCCTCAAATTCAGGACACAGCTGCCAGGGAAGGAATCAGGCTCAAAAGACTAGAGACTTAGAGATAGCCCAGGGTTTCTTTGCCTCATTTTCTTTCCTCTTTTTTTTTTTGGTTGTTGTTGTTTTGAGACAGAGTCTTATTCTGTCACCCATGTTGGAGTGCAGTGGCGCGATCTCGGCTCACTGCAACCTCCACCTCTCAGATTCAAGCTATTCTTCTGCCTCAGCCTCCCGAGTAGCTGAGCTAACAGGCACCCGCCACTGCACCCGGCTAATTTTTGTATTTTTAGTAGAGATGGGGTTTCGCTATGTTGGCCAGGCTGGTCTCGAACTCCTGACCTCAAGTGATCTGCCAGCCTCGGCCTCCCAAAGTGCTGGGATTACAGGCGTGAACCACCGCACCTGGCTGCTTTGCCTCATTTTCTGATTTTCCGGTGTTGTTGGACCTCTGGCGCCCCTGCTCAGGACTCAGCTGCCTGGGTCTCCCTGGGGCTGTCAAGAGCTGCCCCAGCGTTCCCCTGCCTCTGCTGTCCCCCTCGAGGCTCCCAGCCTCCGCTGAGGTTCTCCTGAGGTCCAAAGGCCAAAACAAGTCCAGGCTTCTTCCTAGGTCCTTGTGAATTCTCTGAGCACCAGGGCCAGAAGAGGCCTGTCCCCAGCCTCCTTCCCCCCTCCCATCTTCCCTGCAGCCCCTTCCCACTGTGAGCTAGGCAGGACCAGGGCTGGACCGCACCAGAAAGCCCAGCTCCACTTGTAAACGACAGCCCCCACAGGGACACAGGGAGACACCATCCAAGGGGAGGAGGATAAGCCCGCAGGGTGGCCCACCAATCCAAGGCCACCTGGTGAAAGGTAAACGCACGCTGTAAACACTCAAATGTCTCAGAAGGACACCCATCCCTTCCTCCTCCCCAGAGACCCTTTGTGATCGAGCCTCTGTCCCAATTGTCCCAGAAAATAGTGGGTGCTGTGGCTCATGTCTGAACCCCAGCATTTTGGGAGGCCAAGGTGGGAGGATTCTTTGAGGCCAGGAGTTCAAGGCTGCAGTGAGGTGTGATTGCACCACTGCACTCCAGCCTGGATGACAGAGGGAGATGCTGACTCTAAAAAATAAAAATGAGGGCTGGGCATGGTGGCTCACGCCTGTAATCTCAGCACTTTGGAGGCTGAGGCTGGAGGATCACTTGAAGTCAGGAGTTAAAGACCGGCCTGGCCAACGTGGTGAAACCCCATCTTTTTTACGTTGTTGTTTCTTTTTTGAAATGTTGTCTCTCACTGTTGCCCAGGTTGAAGTGCAGGGGGGTGATCTTGGCTCACTGCAACCTCCGTCTCCCGGGTTCAAGCAATTCTCTGCTTCAGCCTCCCGAGTAACTGGGATTATAGGCGCCTATCACCACATCCAGCTAATTTTTGTATTCTTAGTAGAGATGGGGTTTCACCATCTTGGCCAGGCTGGTCTTGAACTCCTGACCTCGTGATCCACTCGCCTTGGCCTCCCAAAATGCTGGGATTACAGGCGTGAGCCACCGTGCCTGGCCGATGAAACCCCATCTCTACTAAAAATACAAAAATTATCTGGGCATGGTGGCAGATGCCTGTAATCCCAGCTACTCTGGAGGCTGAGGCAGGAGACTCACTTGAACCCAGGAGGCAGACGTTGAAGTGAGTCGAGATTGTGCCACTGCACTTCAGCCAGGGCGACAAAGTGAGACTTGGTCTAAAAATAAAATAAAATAAAATAAAAAATGAAAATGAGGCCAGGTGCTGAGGTTCACACCTGTCATCCCAGCACTTCGAGAGGCCAAGCCGAGTGCATCACTTGAGGTCAGGAGTTCAAGATCAGGCTGGTCAACATGGAGAAACTCCATTTCTACTAAAAATACAAAAATTAGCTGGGTGTAGTGGTTCAAGCCTGTAACCCCAGCTACTCAGGAGGCTGAGGCAAGAGAACTGCTTGAGCCAGGGCGGCAGAGGTCACAGTGAGCCGAGATCACAGCGTTGCACTCCAGCCTGGGCGACAGAGCAAGACTCTGACTTCAAAAAAATAAAATAATAAAAAATAAGTCCGGGCGCCGTGGCTCACGCCTGTAATCCTAGAACTTTGGGAGCCCGAGGCGGGCGGATCACGAGGTCAGGAGATAGAGACCATCCTGGCTAACACGGTAAAACCCTGTTTCTACTAAAAATACAAAAAATTAGCCGGGCGTGGTGGCGGGCACCTGGAGTCCCAGCTACTCGGGAGGTTGAGGCAGGAGAATGGCGTGAACCCGGGAGGCGGAGCTTGCAGTGAGCTGAGATGGCGCCACTGCACTCCAGCCTGGGTGAAAATGCGAGACTCTGTCTCAAAAACAAATAAAAATAAAAATAAAAATAAAAATAAATAAATAAAAAAAAATGAAAAAAATCATACATTGAAAATGGGGGGAGCCACTAGTCCCTCTTCCCCTTCATGGTCTGCCCCAGCCATGCTGGCCTGGCCAGGAGTGCTGCTGCCTCAGGGCCTTTGCAGGTACTATGGCTCCTGCCTGCAGGGCCCTTCCCCATATGGCCCCCTGGCTTCCTTCTCCAGCATCCTCTGGCTCTACAGGAGGGCCACAACATCCAAGAGCTTCTGCTAACCACCCCAGCTAAATCCCAACCACATACATACACCTCTACCCCATTACCTCTATCCCATCACCCTGTTTATTTCCACTGCAATACTTACCACTCTCAGATTCTCTTTTTTTTGAGACAAGAGTCTCACTCTGTTACCCAGGCTGGAGTGCAGTGACTCGATCTTGGCCCACAGCAGCCTCCACCTCCCAAGTTCAAGTGATTCTCCTGCCTCAGCCTGCCGAGTAGCTGGGACCAAAGGCGTGCACCACCATGCCCAGCTAATTTTTGTATTTTTTGTAGAGATGGGATTTCATCATGTTGGCCAGGCTGGTCTCAAACTCTCAGGCTCAAGCAATCCTCCCATCTCGGCCTTTCAAAGTGCTAAGATTACAGGCGTGAGCCACCATGCCTGGCAATTGTTGGGTTTTATTCTGTTTTGTTTTTTGAAATGAAGTTTCACTCTTGTTGCCCATGCTGGAGTGCAATGGCACGATCTCAGCTCACTGCAACCTCTGCCTCCCGGGTTCAAGCGATTCTCCTGGGTTCAAGCGATTCTCCTGCCTCAGTCTCCCGAGTAGCATGCGCCACCACATTTAGTTAATTTTGTATTTTTAGTAGAGACGGGGTTTCACCATGTTGGTCAGGCTGGTCTCGAACTCCCGACCTCAGGTGATCCACCGGCCTCGGCCCCCCAAAGTGGTGGGATTACAGGGGTGAGCCACCATGCCTGCCCAATTGTTGTTTTTTTTTTTTTTAGTTTTATTTATGTTTATGGGAAATACATCTGCAAGATGTGGTGGTTACTCTTTTTTTTTTTTTGAGAGGGAGTCTCACTCTGTTGCCCAGGCTGGAGTGCAGTGGTGCGATCTCCGCTCACTGCAAGCTCTGCCTCCCGGGTTCACGCCATTCTCCTGCCTCAACCTCCCGAGTAGCTGGGATTACAGGCGCCCGCCACCACGCCTGGCTAATTTTTTAAATTTTTAGTAGAGATGGGGTTTCACTGTGTTAGCTAGGATGGTCTCAATCTCCTGACCTCGTGATCCGCCTGCCTTGGCCTCCCAAAGTGCTGGGATTACAGGCGTGAGCCACCGCGCCTTTTTTTTTTTTTTTTTTTTTTTGAGACGGAGTTTTGCTCTTACTGCCCAGGCTATAGTGCAGTGGTGCAATCTCAGCTCACTGCAACCTCCGCCTTCTGGTTTCAAGTGATTCTCCTGCCTCAGCCTCCCAAGTCTCTGGGATTACAGGCCCCTGCCACCATAACCAGCTAATTTTTTTTGTATTTTTAGTAGAGATGGGGTTTCACCATGTTCATCAGGCTGGTCTCGAACTGCTGACCTCGTGATCCACCCATCTCAGCCTCCCAAAGTGCTGGGATTGCAGGCATGAGCCACTGCTCCTGGCCAATGGTTACTCTTATGTGTCACCTTGACTGGGCTACCATATATATAGCTGGCACAACATCATTTCTGAGTATTTCTGTAAGAATGTTTCCGAAGAGATTAACATTTGAATCAGTGGAGTGGCTATACCCAGTTAATTTTCAATTTTTTTGTAGAGATGAGGTCATGCTATGTTGCCCAGGCTGGTCTCCAACTCTTGGCCTCAAGCAATCCTCCCACCTCAGTCTTCTAAAGTGCTGGGATTACAGACATGAGCCACCATGCCCGGCTAATTTTTGTATTTTTTTTTTTTTTTGAGACGAAGTTTCGCTCTTGTTGCCCAGGCTGGAGCACAATGGTGCGATCTCAGCTCACTGCAACCTCCACCTCCCGGGTACAAGCAATCCTCCTGCCTCAGCCTCCCGCGTACCTTGGATTACAGGTGACTGCCACCACCCCTGGCTAATTTTTGTATATTTAGTAGAGACGGGGTTTCATCATGTTGACCAGTCTGGTCTTGAACTTCTGACCTCAAGTGATCCACCCACCTCAGCCTCCCAAAGTGCTGGGATTACAGGCGTGAGCCACCGCGCCCAGCCACATATGCTATTTGTTTCGGGAATCCTCTCATGCAAAGCAAGGGGCCCCAGGAGCTGACCTGCCGTCTCCATGCTCAGTCCCCTCTTGACGGACATGTAGGGTGTTTCTGGCTTTGGCTGCAACAATAATGGCACATGAGACGTTTCACACTGATGGATAGGACCCTGCAGGGAGGATTCCTGGAAGAGGAGGTCCCATGAGAAGGTCCATGCTGCTGTGTTCAGAAAGCAATCCTGGGTCTCCCCCTGAGAAAACCCCCCACAGAGGGACCGAGATAGATGATGTGGGAGAACAAGGTACTGGGTGACTTTTTTTTTTTTTTTTTTTGAGTAGGAGTCTCACTCTGTCATCCAGGCTGGAGTGCAGTGATGTAATCTTAGTTTACTGCAAACTCCGCCTCCCGAGTCCAAGCAATTCTCCTGCCTCAGCCTCCCGAGTAGCTGGGATTACAGGTGCCCGCCACCACGCCCAGCTAATTTTTGTATTTTTAATAGAGACAGGGTTTCACCATGTTGGCCAGGATGGTCTCGAACTCCGACCTTGTGATCCACCCGCCTCGGCCTCCCAAAGTGCTAGGATTACAGGCGTGAGCCACCGCGCCCAGCCATAATTTTTGTATTTTTAGTAGAGACAGGGTTTCACCATGTTGGGCAGGCTGGTCTAGAACTCCTGACCTCCAGTGATGTGGCTCTCTTGGCCTCCCAAAGTGCTGAGATGACAGGCGTGAGCCACAGCACCTGGCCTAAAACTAGATTTCTCTTTTTTTTTTTTTTTTTGAGACAGAGTCTCGCTCTGTCGCCCAGGCTGGAGTGCAGTGGCACGAGCTCGGCTCACAGCAAGCTCTGCCTCCCAGGCTAAAACTAGATTTCTAAATAAGCTTTGTGATTAAATACTAATATTTATACTTTTCAGCATATACTTACAAGAATGGGACTGGGCGCGGTGGCTCATACCTGTACTTCCAGCACTTTGAGAGGCCGAGGCGGGCAGATCACGAGGTCAAGAGTTCGAGACCATCCTGGTCAAGATCGTAAAACCCCATCTCTACTAAAAATACAAAAACTAGCTGGGCGTGGTGGTGCGCACCTGTAGACCCAGCTGCTCAGGAGGCTGAGGCAGGATAATCGCCTGAACCCGGGAGGCGGAGGTTGCAGTGAGCCGAGATTGTGCCAATGCACTCTAGCCTGGGCGACAGAACGAGACTCCGTCTCAAAAAAATAATGGAAAACAGGGATTTCCATAGATATTTGCACACCTATGTCAGTAGTACCTTGATTCCCAACAGCCACAAGGTAGCAACAGTCCCAGTGGCTATGGACAGATGACTGGGTGAACACAGCATGGCCTATACACACGCTGGAATAGGAGGCAGCCATGAAAAGGAGCGAGGCCGGGCATGGTGGCTCACACTTGTAATCCCAGCACTTTGGGAGACCGAGGCAGGTGGATCACGAGGTCAGGAGATTGAGACCATCCTGGCTAACACGGTGAAACCCCATCTCTACCAAAAATACAAAAAATTAGCCAGGCGTGGTGGCGGGCGCCTGTAGTCCCACCTACTGGGGAGGCTGAGGCAGGAGAATGGTGTGAACCCGGGAGGCGGAGCTTGCAGTGAACCGATATCGCGCCACCACACTCCAGCCTGGGAGACAGAGCGAGACTCCGTCTCAAAAAAAAATATATAATATAATATAAAAAAAGAAAAAAGAAAAAAAGAAAAGGAGCGAGGCTCTGACTCAGGCCACAACGCGCGGATGCACTTTGAGGACGTTACACTCAGCGGGAGGCGCCAGACACAAAAGGACACGTCTTGTGTGATCCACTCCTAGGAGGTCCCTCGAGTCCTCAGATTCACAGAGACACAAAGTAGGATGGAGGCCGCCAGGAGCTGGGGAGGGGAATGGGGAGTGAGCGTTTCATGGGGCCAAGTTTCAGTTTGCAAAGATCAGAAAGTTCTGGAGGTGATGGTCGCACAACCGTGTGAATGAGTTTAATACGGCTGAACTGTGCACTTAAAATGGTTAAGAGGCCGGGCGCGGTGGCTCACGCCTGTAATCCCAGCACTTTGGGAGGCCGAGGCGGGTGGATCACGAGGTCAGGAGATCGAGACCATCCTGGCTAACACGGTGAAACCCCGTCTCTACTAAAAATACAAAAAATTAGCCGGGCGTGGTGGTGGGCGCCTGTAGTCCCAGCTACTCGGGAGGCTGAGGCAGGAGAATGGCGTGAACCGGTAAGGCGGAGTTTGCAGTGAGCGGAGCTTGCGCCACTGCACTCCAGCCTGGGCGACAGAGCGAGACTGTCTCAAAAAAATAAATAAATAAATAAAATAAAAGGGTTAAGATGGTCAACTTTATATTATGCGTATTTTACCACAACCAAATAAATCAATGTTCATAAAACCACGGAGTTAGACGAGCTGTTTGGTTAGCGCCAGCTTCGCAGGCAGAGGCCTCAGGGGTCCGCTGGGGACCCACACTCAGAGGAATCTAGGCATGATATAATGCTCTGTGGTTGCTGTCTCAAAATTCCTAAAAATTGGCTGGGTGCGGTGGCTCACTCCTGTAATCCCATCACTTTGGGAGGCCCAGGCGGGCGGATCAGCTGAGGTCAGGAGTTCGAGACCAGCCTGACCAACATGGTGAAACCTTGTCTCTACTGAAAAAACAAAAATTAGCTGGGCGTGGTGGCGCATGCCTGTAGACCCAGCTACTTGGGAACCTGAGGCAGGAGAATTGCTTGAACTCAGGAGGCGGAGGTTGCAGTAAGCTGAGATCATGTCACTACACTCCAGCCTGGGCGAGAGAGCAAGACTCCGTCTCTTTAAAAAAAAAAAAAAAAAAAAAAAAAAAAAAAAGGCCGGGCTCGGTGGCTCACGCTTGTAATCCCAGCACTTTGGGAGGCCGAGGCGGGCGGATCACCTGAAGTCGGGAGTTCAAGACCAGCCTGACCAACATGGAGAAACCCCGTCTCTACTAAAAACACAAAATCAGCCGGGCGTGGAGGCACATGCCTGTAATCGCAGCTACTTGGGAGGCTGAGGCAGGAGAATCGCTTGAACCCAGGAGGCAGAGGTTGTCGTGACTCGAGATAGCACCATTGTATTCCGACTGGGCAACAAGAGCAAAAAAACTGTCTTAGAAAAAAAAAAATTCTAAACATTTTTAAACAAGGGGCCCTGTATTGTCATTCTGAGCTTGGCCTCAAAGATTCTGTAGCCAGGCTTCTTTTGGGGAAAGGACCGGGAGGCCTCCTTCCAGGGTCAGGGGCGTTAAGCGCTGCGGAGGGATACCCCTCCCAGAGGGGAGAGAGTGGAACCCGCTCAGGAAGTGGGTTCCTGACATGAGAAGGAAGGAAGTTGGCGGGGGCATCTTAAAATAGCATCACCCAACCACGCGGTCAGAGGTGCGGGGAGGGAGCAGGGCCAGGGCCGGGGACCCTCCCAGCGACCTTCCCTGCAGGCACCCAGCCCCGTCCCCTCGACACACCAGACCCAGCACCCTCTGCTCCCACCAGCCCACCAGGAATTGGGTTATTTAAGTTATTTATTTATTTCCTTATTTTCTTTTTCTTTTGAGATAGAGTCTCACTTTGTCACCCAGGCTGGAGTGCAGTGGCGTGATCTCGGCTCACTGCAACCTCCACCGCCTGGGATCACGCGACTCTTCTGCCACAGCCTTCTGAGTAGCTGGGATTACAGGCGCCCGCCACCAAGCCTGGCTAATTTTTGTATTTTTAGTAGATACAGGGTTTCACCATATTGGCCAGTCTGGTCTCAACTCCTGACCTCAAGTGATCCACCCGCCTTGGCCTCCCAAAGTGCTGGGATTACAGGCGTGAGCCACCGCGCCTGGTCTATTTCTTTTTTTTTTTTTTTGAGATGAAGTCTTGCTCCCTCGCCCAGGCTGGGGTGCAGAGGCACAATCTCGGCTCACTGCAACCTCCGCCTCCCAGGTTCAAGCGATTCTTCTGCCTCAGCCTCCCAAGTAGCTGGGATTACAGGTGCCCGCCAACCACACCTGGCTAATTTTTGTATTTTTAGTAGAGACAGGATTTCACCATGGTGGCCAGGCTGATCTCAAACTCCTGACCTCAGGTTATCCGCCCACCTCGGCCTCCCAAAGTGCTGGGATTACAGGTGTGAGCCACCGCGCCTGGCTGTAATTGCCTCTTAAAGAGAAACAAGTCAGATTGGATTTGGGCGCACCCTCAGGACGTCATTTGAACCTAATAATCTCTTTAAAAAGTCCTGTCTCGGCGGGGGCCAAGCACAGTGGCTCAAGCTTGTAATCCAAATACTTTGAGAGGCCAAGGCAGGAGGATCACTGGTGCCCAGGAGTTTGAGACTAGCGTGGGCAACACAGCAAGACCCCATCTCTACAAAAAAAAAAAAAAATATTTGGTTAGCCAGGTGTCGGGGCACATGCCTGTGGTCTGAGCTACTCCGGAGCCCAATGTGGGAGGATCCCCTGAGCCCAGGAGTTTGAGGCTGTGGTGAGCCGTGATCAGCTCCCACTGCACTCCAGCCTGGGCCACAGAGAGAGACTTCCTATCTCCACGCCAAGTGCCTTAGGTCACGCCTATAATCCCAGCAGTTTGGCAGGCAGAGTGGGAGGATCACTTGAGCCTTACAAGTTCAAGACCAACCCGGGGCTGGGCGCGGTGGCACACGCCTGTAATCCCAGCACTTTGGGAGGCCGAGGTGGGCGAATCACGAGGTTAGGAGATCAAAACCATCCTGGCTAATACGGTGAAACCCCGTCTCTACTAAAAATACAAAAAATTAGCCGGGCGTGGTGGTGGGCGCCTGTAGTCCCAGGTACTCGGGAGGCTGAGGCAGGAGAATGGCGTGAACCCGGGAGGTGGAGCTTGCAGTGAGCTGAGATCACGCCTCTGCACTCCAGCCTGGACCACAGAGCGAGACTCTGTCTCAAAAAAATAAAAAAAAAATAGCCGGGGGTGGTGTCGGGAAGCTGAGGCAGGAGAATGGCGTGAACGCAGGAGGCGGAGCTTGCAGTGAGCCAAGATCATGCCACTGCACTCCTAGGCGACAGAGCGAGACTCCATCTCAAAAAAAAAAAAAAAAAAAAAAAAAAAAAAAAAGACCAGCCTGGGCAACTAAGAGAGACCTCTGTCTCTGCAAAAAAAAAAAAAAAATTTTTTTTTTGAGACGGAGTCTGGCACTGTCACCCAGGCTGGAATGCATTGGCGTGATCTCAGGGTTCACGCCATTCTCCTGCCTCAGCCCCCCGGATAGCTGGATTACAGGCGCCCACCACCACACCCGGCTAATTTTTTGTATATTTAGTAGAGACGGGGTTTCACCGTGTTAGCCAGGGTGGTCTCGATCTCCTGACCTCGTGATCCACCTGCCTCGGCCTCCCAAAGTGCTGGGATTACAGGCGTGAGCCACCGCACCCGGGTGACACTCCATTTTTGACCCCAGTGTTAGCACAGAGCTTTTAAACTTCCGCACTGCTGATGAGGGAGTGTGATTGTTCTCTGTTACCAGCACTGTCTCCCGCCCACCGGAGCCGAGTGTGGTGGGTGTGGACCTTCTGGGAAAGGGTGTAAACACGTGCTTAGATCCGGCCGGAAGCCCCGTGACCGGGGTGCAGCTGCCTTTGGTCAGTAGGTGGCAACCGTGTCCGCTTGATTTTGGGAGGGTCCGAGAGGCTGGTGCAGGGCTCCCAGGAGAGGCGGGGGCGATCCCACTTGCCTTGCCAGGATAACAGCAACAAGGGCTGCCCACGTGCATGCTGGGCAATAGGGATACCGCAGAGAATGAAAGTCCAGCCCTAGCAGGGCAGCAAGACCTCGACTCTACAAAAATTTCAACCACAACAAAAATTAGCTGGGCGTGACGGAACACATCTGTGGTCCCAGCTACATGGGAGGCTGAGGTGGGAGGATCGCTTGAGCCCGGGTGGCAAAGGCCACAGTGAGCTATGACTGCACAACTGCACTCCAGCCTGGGTGACAGAGGCAGATCTTGTCTCAAAAAAAAAAAAAAAAACAAAAAACAAAACAAAAACACCAAGGCCAGGCACGGTGGCTCATGCCTGTAATCCTAGCACTTTAGGTGGCTGAGGCGGGAGGATCACCTGAGATCAGGAGTTCCAGACCAGCCTGGCCATCACAGCGAACTCCCATCTCTACTAAAAATCCAAAAATTAGCCAGGTGTGGTGGCAGGCACCTGTAATTGCAACTACTCAGGAGGCTGAGGCACAAGAATCGCTTGAACCCGGGAGGCGAAGGTTGCAGTGAACCGAGATGTCACTGCACTCCAGCCTGGGGGACAGAGTGAGACTCCATCTCAAAAACAAAACAAAAAACACCAAAACGTCCTGTCCTGGTGGAGGTGAAATAAATGAGACATCCTTGGCCGGGCGCTGTGGCTCACGCCTGTAATTCCAACAATTTGGGAGGCCAGGCGGGTGGATCATGAGGTGAGACCGAGACCATCCTGGCTAACATGGTGAAACCCCGTCTATACTAAAAATACAAAAGTTAGCTAGGCGTGGTGGCAGGCATCTGTAATCCCAGCTACTTGGGAGGCTGAGGCATGAGAATCGCTTGAACCCGGGAAGCACAGGTAGCAGTGAGCTGAGATCGTGCCACTGCACTCCAGCCTGGGAGACAGAGCGAGACTCCGTCTCGAAAAAATATATGTATAGCCAGGCGTGGTGGCTCACGCCTGTAATTCCAGCACTTTGGGAGGCCGAGGCGGGCGGATCGCTAGGTCAGGAGATCAAGACCATCCTGGCTAATGTGGTGAAACCCCATCTCTACTAAAACTATAAAACAATTAGCCGGGCGTGGTGGCGGGCACCTGCAGTCCCAGCTACTCAGGAGGCTGAGGCAGGAGAATCGCTTGAACCTGGGAGGCGGAGGTTGCACTGAGCCAAGATTATGCCACTGCACTCCAGCCTGGGTGACAGAGCGAGAGTCCGTCTCAAAACAAACAAACAAACAAATCAGAAAGTTAATGGGATGCTGACGCAAAGAAACAAGCTGAACAAGGTGGTGACAGGGAAGTTGATACTGATTTTGGCCTCAGCCATGTGGAAACAGACAGAGGGTCTTGCGGGGAACTCCTCTCCTTTTTTGGACGCATTCCTGTTTTGTTTTGTTTTGTTTTGTTTTTTTAACTTTCTTAATTTTTTTCAGTTTTCGTCACACTTTGTCTAATACTATTTCTTTTTTGTTTTTGAGACAGAGTTTCGCTCTTGTTGCCCAGGCTGGAGTACAGTGGCACAATCTCAGCTCACTGCATCCTCTGCCTCCCAGGTTCAAGTGATTCTCCTGCCTCAGCCTCCCGAGTAGCTGGGACTACAGGTGCCCGCCACCACGCCCGGCTAATTTTGTATTTTTAGTAGAGACAGGGTTTTTCCATGTTGGCCAGGCTGGTCTCAAACTGATCTCATGATCCGCCTGCCTCGGCCTCCCAAAGTGCTGGGATTACAGACATGAGCCACCACGCCCTGCCTAAAATATTTGTTTTCATAATTAAAAACATTGTTTCTTAGCCAGGCCCTGTGGCTCATGCCTATAATCTTAGGACTTTGATTTTTTGTTTTTGTTTTTGTTTTTGAGACGGAGTTTCCCTCTTGTTGCCCAGGCTGGAGTGCAATGGTGCAATCTTGGCTCACTGCAACCTCTGCCTCCTGGGTTCAAGCGATTCTCCTGCCTCAGCCTCCTGAGTAGCTGGGACTACAGGCATGCGCCACCACACCTGGCTAATTTTTCGTATTTCTAGTAGAGACGGGGTTTCACCATGTTAGTCATGTTGGTCTCGAACTCTTGACCTCAGGTGATCCACCCGCCTCAGCCTTCCGAAGTGTTGGCATTACAGGCGTGAGCCACTGTGCTGGCTTTTTTTTTTTTTTTTTCTGCGACGGAGTCTCGCTCTGTCACCCAGGCTGGAGTGCAGTGGCGCCATCTCCGCTCAGTGCAAGCTCCGCCTCCCGGGTTCACGCCATTCTCCTGCCTCAGCCTCCCGAGTAGCTGGAACTACAGGCGCCCGCCACCACGCCCGGCTAATCTTTTTATTTTTTTTAGTAGAGATGGGGTTTCAGCGTGTTAGCCAGGATGGTCTCAATCTCCTGACCTCATGATCCACCCACCTCGGCCTCTGTACTTTTTTCCTATTGGCTGGGGTCGGGTCACACAATCTAAACTAACTTTGGTTGGCTAAACATTTGATTTTTTTTAGATAGGGTGGGTATGTAAAAGAAAGGGGAGGCCGGGCGCGGTGGCTCGCGCCTGTAATCCCAGCACTTTGGGAGACCGAGGAGGGCGGATCACGAGGTCAGGAGATCGAGACCATCCTGGCTAACACAGAGAAACCCCGTCTCTACTAAAAATACAAAAAATTAGCCGGGCGTGGTGGCGGGCGCCTGTAGTCCCAGCTACTCGGGAGGCTGAGGCAGGAGAATGGCGTGAATCCGGGAGGCGGAGCTTGCAGTGAGCGGAAATCGTGCCACTGCACTCCAGCCTGGGCAACAGAGCGAGACTCTGTCTCAAAAAAAAAAAAGAAAGAAAAAGAAAGTGGAGAGAATGGGGAAGGGGGTGTCTGTGATGAGCTAGAAAGTTAGTCTTTTTTTAAAATAAGGAAAGGAATGTAAGCTGATGCTGATAACGCTTGGTATTGAGGCGTGTCTAGGCATTTAACAAAGGCAAAAAGGAAAAAGAAAAAGAAGGGAAAGGAGGGGTACTATGAATTAAAGAATAAATGATTGATCAGATTATTTGAAGAGAAACCCCATTATATCCCACAACTAGAACCCCTGGCCTGAAGTGGTCCACCCGCCTCGGCCTCCCAAAGTGCTGGGATTACAGGCGTGAGCCACCACTCCCAGTCTTATTTTTATTTTATTTTGTTTTGTTTTGTTTTATTTATTTTTTTAGAGTCTCGCTCTGTCACACAGGCTGGAGTGCAGTGGCGTGATCTCAGCTCACCGCAACCTCCACCTCCCGGGTTCAAGCTATTCTCCTGCCTCAGCCTCCTGAGTAGCTGGGATTACAGGCGTGCGCCACCACATCCGGCTAATTCTTGTATATTTAGTAGAGACGGGGTTTCACCATGTTGGTCAGGCTGGTCTCAGACTCCTGACCTTGTGATCCACCCACCTCGGCCTCCCAAAGCGCTGGGATTACAGCTGTGAGCCACCATGCCTGGCCTATTTTTTTTTTCCTTTTTTTTTTTTAGACACAGTCTCCATCTGTCACCCAGGCTGGTGTGCAGTGGCGCAATCTCAGCTCACTGCAAGCTCCACCTCCTGGGTTCACGCCATTCTTCTGCCTCAGCCTCTCGAGTAGCTGGGACTTCAGGCGCCCGCCACCACGCCTGGCTTTTTTATTTTTAGTAGAGACGGGGTTTCACCATGTTAGCCAGGATGGTCTCGATCTCCTGACCTCGTGATCCGCCCACCTTGGCCTCCCAAAGTGCTGGGATTACAGGCGTGAGCCACCGTGCCCCGCCCAGGCCTATTTTTTTAAAGACAGGATCTCCCTCTGTTGCCCAGGCTGGAGTGCAGTAATGCTGATCAAAGCCCACTGCAGTCTTGACCTCTTGGGTTCAAGTGATCCTGCCACCTCAGCCTCCCAAGTAGCTGGGACCACAGGCACACACCACACCTGGGTAATTTAAAATTTTTGTGTAGAGACAAGGTCTCACTATGTTGCCCAGGCTGGTCTCAAACTCCTGGGCTCAAGCGATCCTTCCACCTTGGACTCTCAAAGTGCTGGGATTACAGGCGTGAGCCCCCGAGCTTGGTCCTGGTCATTTCTTGACTGCCTGTCACTTGGGGCCACCCAGCCCGCCAGTGTCTGACTTAGGCTTCTGGCTGATTCTCTGCGGCCACTAAGCTCACAATTGGGGAACCGACTCCATGATTTTGCAACATTTCGATGCCGGACCCTGACGCATTACTGTGAGTCGGGAGGGTCACGTTCCGTTTGTTTTTTGAGACGGTCTGGCTGTCACCCAGGCTGGAGTGAAGTGGCATTGGTGTGATCTCAGCTCACTGCAACCTCTGCCTCCTGGGCTCAAGCCATCCTTCTGCCGCAGCCTCCCGGCATGTAGCTGAGACTACAGGCGCCACCATTCCCAGCTATGTTGTTTTTTTTTTTTTAAAGAAAGAGACAAGGTCTCGCTGTGTTGCCCAGGGCAATTTCAAAATTCCTAGACTCAAGCAATCCCTCCGCCTCGGCCTCCCAAAGTCCTGGGATTACACTGGGATTACAGGTGTGAGCCAGCACACCGGCTGTGGGCCACATTACTTTTGAAAAGTTCTGGATAAAGGCCGGGCGCGGTGGCTCATGCCTGTAATCCCAGCACTTTGGGAGGCCGAGGCGGGCGGATCACGAGGTCAACAGATCGAGACCATCCTGGCGAACATGGTGAAACCCCCGTCTCTACTAAAAATACAAAAAAATTTGCGGGGCGTGGTGGTGGGCGCCTGTAGTCCCAGCTACTCGGGAGGCTGAGGCAGGAGAATGGCGTGAATCCGGGAGGTGGAGCTTGCAGGGAGGTGGAGCTTGCAGTGAGCTGAGATCGCGCCACTGCACTCCAGCCTGGGCGACAGAGTGAGACTCCTTCTCAAAAAAAAAAAAAAAAAAAAAAGAAAGAAAAAGAAAAGTTCTGGATAAAGAACAATGTCAATTAAAAAAGGGGTCCCATCAGTAGAGGCTGAAATCATGACTGAAACTAGCTTAAAGCCCAAAGCAAAACAAAAACCCGAAAGAAGGCCAGGCATGGTGGCTCGCACTATCCCAGCATTTTGGGAGGCTGAGGCAGGTAGATCACCAGAGGTCAGGAGTTTGAGACCAGCCTGGCCAACATGGTGTACTAAAAAATACAAAAATTAGCCAGCTGGAGCGCAGTGGCGCAATCATAGCTCACTTCAGCCTTGACCTTCTGGACTCCAGTGATCCTCCCACCTCGGCCTCCTGAGTAGCTGTCCCAGCTGTCCCACTTACTCAGTGCCCCTCCGGACCCAGCAATTCTTTTTTTTTTTTTTTTTGCAGAGATGGCAGCATGTCTCAAACTCCTGGCCTCAGGCAAACCTCATGTGTCAGCCTCCCAAAGTGCTGGAATTACAGGCACGAGCCACCATGCCTGGCCTAGATTCATTTTTTTAGATGCAGAGAATCTGGGCTTTGGATTTAATGACTTACCAAATAAAGGCTGTCTTTTTTTTTTTTAAAACAAATCAGCAAAACAGGGGCTCTTGGCTAGTTTGCATGAGGCATCCAGGGATGGAGAGATGTGTATTTAAGCTAAAAAAAGAAAAAGTGAAACTCACAGCAGTCTGAGTTTTTATTCAGAAAAGGAAAAAAGAAAGCAACTGAGAGCGAAATAGTTTCCTGGAATGCTGTTTTTTTTTTTTTTTTTTTTTTTTTTTTTTTTTGAGATGGAGTCTCACTCTGTCGCCCAGGCAACAGAGTGCAATGGTGCGATCTCAGCTCATCGCAACCTTCGTCTCCCGGGTTCAAGTGATTCTCCTGCCTCAGCCTTCCCAGCAGCTGGGATTAAAGGCCCCTGCCACCATGCCTGGCTAATTTTTGTATTTTTAGTGGAGATGGGGTTTCGCCATGTTGGCCAGGCTGGTCTCGAACCCCTGACCTCAGGTGATCCACCCACCTTGGCCTCTCAAAGTGCTGGGAGTACAGGCATGAGCCACCGCATCCGACCTTGAAATGCACTTTCTTTGAAACACGTCCTCCCCTTTCTCACCATAAACTCCCTCACACTCTGCAGGTTTACCTAACTGTATGCATCTAATTATGTGATTACCTAAAAGTTCCAGGAACAGGCTGGGCACGGTGGCTCACGCCTGTAATCTCAGCACTTTGGGAGGCCGAGGCGGGCAGATCACCTGAAGTCAGGAGTTTGAGACCAGCCTGACCAACATGGAGAAACCCCATCTCTATTAAAAATACAAAATTAGCCAGGTGTGGTGGCGTGTGCCTGTAATCCCAGCTACTCGGGAGGCTGAGGCAGGAGAATCACTTGAATCTGGGAGGTGGAGGTTGCGGTGAGCTGAGATCGTGCTGCTGCACTCCAGCCTCGGTGACAAGAGCGAGACTGTCTCGAAAAAAAAGAAAAAAGAAAGAACGTTTTAGAGCTAATCTGGAGACAGGCCAAGCACGGAGACCCACCTGCAAAATCCCAGAGATTTCCTCAAGGTGGTCTGCAACCCGGCCCTTATTAGGATGAGGCCAGCCTGCGCTTTTAAGCCACCAAAATTCATGAACACACAGAGCTTATAATCAGCACCTCCCCTGCACACCCACCATTCCCAGTTCCCCTTTTTTAGCCCCTCACCCCAGCCTCAAGTTTGAAGGGGTTTCTGGAGGCCTAAACCAGCTGCCTCCCTGCTGCGAACTCTGAAAGGAAGTCACCTTCCTTTCACTGCACTTTTTCCTCCTTACTGGTTTGTCAAGACTCTGGCATCGGAGCCTGAGCTGGTTACAGCCAGGCACTGTCAAGCTGTTGGGGGAGGGGATGACAAATTCCCTCCCGTTGAGAACCACTTGGTTAAACCTGTCCAACTGGAAGGAGTAACAAATTGCTCATAAAATATGCATGTTTTGGTGAAACCCCTTCTCTACTAAAAGTACAAAAACTAGCCAGAAATCGCTTGAACCCAGGAGGTGGAGGTTGCAGTGAGCCTAGCACTGCACTCCAGCCTGGGTGACAGACTGAGGCTACGTCTCAAAAAAAAAAAAAAAAATGTGCTTGTTTGGCCCAGGAGAGGCAAGAGGTCTTCTTCACCTACGTTACTGGTGAGAAAACTCAAACCTGAGGGCGGCCCACGCCGGAGTGCAGTAACAGGCAGAACTGGAACCTGGCCCCATCCCGGACTCAGGGGACGGGTGTCATATACCCCCTCTGCCTCATCCTTCCCACTCTGCTAACCTTCCAAAGATCCCCCGGGTTCCGAGTTTTCCCTGGCCGCTTGATGGGATTCGAACCTGCAAACTCAGCGCTCGCCCAGCGCAGCGGCCCCGCCTCTCCTCCCCTCCCGCCGCCCGGAGGTCATGTGAGCGCAGTGCCGGAGCGGGGCGGGGCGAGGCGGCGGCGCGCAGTGCCTACTAGCAATTGTAGTCCTTGCCCCACCTTGGCCTGGCGAAGATCCCGCCCCTGGAACTACGCTCCCGTCGTGCTCCGCGGCTCCAGGCGGAGACGAGGCGGGGTGAGGTGGGTTGGGCCGGGCCGGTTGCTAAGACTTGGCGAAGCGCTGCGCTCGCGCCCGGATCCCTCAGGTAAGCGCGCGGCCCCGAGGTCTCGGGTTCTCCAGGCTCAGACTTCCCCAGAGGGGGAGTAGGGGCTGACATGGGGGGTCTCGGCGGTGAGGGGCGCCGGCCGTTTGTGGGGAGAAAACGGGGGGCCCAGGCCAGCCTCGCGCGCGTCTCGGGCGGGCCGGTGGGCGACGCGGGGAGGCGGCGCGAATGCGCGTGCGCGCGCGCGCGCGGCGCTGGCCTGGGGGAAGCCTCAGGACCGCGCTCCCCCGGGCCTAGCGCCTTTCTGCGCGTGTGCGCCCTTATGGTCGGTGCGGGAGACCCCGTATCCTCCAGCTGCTTCCGGTGGCCCTTCCTCAGGTCATGTCCCGCAGTCCCCTGCCTCTGAACCGCGCTCTCGCGAGTTTCCGTAGCCTTCGCGTCCTTCCTCCCCAGCTCTGATTCGCCTTTATGTGGAGATTCCCCTAGGCCTTGGTACATCCCCAGAATTGACCATCGTTCCTCATCGTTACCTAGAGTATGAGTTTTTCAGGTTTTTGTATCACAGGCCCCCAGTTATCTCCCACACACTACCCCGAGGACCGAGGTTCCCCGCTGTCTTGCAGAGAAGGCCTCCTTGTAGGGTGGCCAGAAACAGAGGATCGACTCCGTGGAAACAAGGACGGCTGGGTGCAGTTCCTCACCCTATAACCCCAGCACTTTGGGAGGCCAAGGCGAGTGGATCACCTGAGGTCCGGAGTTCGAGACCAGCCTGTCTAACATGGTGAAACTCCATCTCTGCCAAAAATACAAAAATTAGCTGGGCGTGGTGTCACGCGCCTGTAAAACCAGCTACTGGGGAGGCCAAGGCAGGAGAATCGCTTGGACTTGGGAGGTGGAGGTTGCAGTGAGCCAAGATGGCACCATTGTACTCCAGGCTGAGCAAGCTAGCAAGACTCACTCTCCAAAAAAAAGAAAAAAAGATTTTTTTTTAATAAGCCAGGCATGGTGACACATGTCTGTGGTCCCAGCTACTTGGGAGGCTGAGGCAGGAGGATTGCTTGAGCCCCGGAGGTTGAGGCTGCAGTGAACTGTGATGGCACTACTGCATTCCAGCCTGGGCAACAGAGCGAGACCCTGTCTCTAAATAAATAAATAAAATACATACGTGTAGCGCCGGCCGTGGTGGCTCACGCCTGTAATCCTAGCACTTTGGGAGGCCAAGGCGGGTGGATCACGAGATCAGGAGATCAAGACCATCCTGGCTAACACGGTGAAACCCTGTCTCTACTAAAAATAAAAAAAAGCCAGGCATGGTGGTGGACGCCTGTGGTCCCGGCTACTCCCAAAGGAGGCTGAGGCAGGAAAATGGTGTGAACTCAGGAGGCAGAGCTTGCAGTGAGCCAGGATCGTGCCACTGCACTCCAGCCTGGGCGACAGAGTGAGACTCCGTCTCAAAAAAAAAAAAAAATTGTGTGTGTGTGTGTGTGTGTGTAAAGAAACAAGCCCCAGGCTGGGCGCAGTGGCTCACGCCTGTAATCCCAGCACTTTGGGGGGCCTAGGCAGGTATATCACAAGGTCAGGAGTTCGAGAGCAGCCTGACCAATATGGTGAAATCCCACCTCTACTAAAAATATAAAAAATTAGCCAGGCATAGTGGTGCACATCTGTTGTCCCAGCTGCTTGGGAGGCTAAGGCAGGAGAATTGCTTGAACCAGGGAGGCAGAGGTTGCAGTGAGCCAGGATCGCGCCACTGCCCTCCAGCCTGGGGGACAGAGTGAGACTGTCCCAAAAAAAAAAAAGCCCCCACGCAGACTATTGGTGTGCCCTGGAACTGAGCATTAGCTGTTCCCTCTCCGAGTTCTCTCCCCTACTTCCCCAGCCTTCCAGGCTGGGCTGTGGGTCACTGCCTCCGAGGAGCCCTCCTGGATTCTGCTGAAGATGGTCAGGCCCCTCCATCCCCCCATTTTCTCTTATGTACCTGACAGCCCTGCCTTAAAAAAAAAAAAAAGGTAGAGCAGGAATTCCCATTTCACAGGGGTGGAAGCCGAGGCTTGGAGGAGTCAGGACTGGTGCCTGAGTTCTCGCAGTCAGGAATTGACCGCGCTGGGCTGAACGCCTCTAGGGCAGGTTGGGGACTGGGTGTGTTTTCTGGGTGGACATACCCAGGTCCCGGCGCGGACCTTGGCCTCCTCATCTGTGGGCTTAGATAAAGGCCTCCCAGCCTCCTGTTCACCAGGGTTGTCACCACGCAGGGTCTGACTCACCTGCCTGGAGCTATGCCGGTTCCCAGCCCAGGCTGGCGGCCGTGTTCTGCTGGGACCTGGGACCTGGGCTGCCTGCCCTCCTGAGGGGTCCCAGTGGTCGGTCGCCTGCCTTCTGGGTGGGTGTGGTAGAGGGAGGGTCAGGTGGCCCCCTGCTGTTGGGGGGCAGTCGCTGTGGGAGTGAGTCGTCCCCCCGGGCCATAGCAGGTAGGTAGGAGGTGCTCTGGCAGTTGAGGCCGCCCTGGCCTGGGACAGTCAATCAGCCTGAACACTGTGCCTGTTCCGGGATTTTGACCTGCCCTCCAAGGGCGCGGCGGGCCCAGCCTGCAGTGTCCCGGCAGCTGCCTCCTCTCTGGGTCGTTTGTTTTTCATCAGACAGAGGTTGTACTCTTGGAGGGACAAGCGAGGCTGTGTTTGTCTTTTACCCTGGAGACAGTGGAGTGTTTGTGGCCTAGCAGGGCCGTGCGGGCCTCTCGGTCCTGGTCGCGCGTGGTGTGCGTTTTGGGAGGGCCCAGCGAGTCGGCTGCTATGGGCCCCACCTGGCACGGGGCCTCGGGCAGCGGCAGCACCTGGCGCTGCCTCCGCGCTTCCTGCTCCCGGCTCCCACTGCATCTCCGGTTCTGTGCTTTGTTGAACGCGTGAGCTTCGGGCAGCGCTGGGGCCGCTTCAGCGTGACCTCCAAGGCCACTGGCCTGGAGTTCCACTGGCTGCTGGTCCCCCATCTGTGGGGCGCCCCGGCGGCTGAGGCGTGGACCAGGCAGTGCATGTCGAGGAGTAGCACCCACAGCTGCGCGGCTGCGAAATGATCCAGAGACACATCCCTGTCTGCGGGAGGAGCCGTCCATACCAGCGGGGATGTGTAGTCCAGGCTGGCAGTTCAGGATCACCCGGCTGGAGTCATTTTAAGATCATCTGCGGCTTAGCCCCAGCACCATCTGAGGCAGTACTGTCTGCTAGAAATAACTGTGAGCACACAGGTAGTAAGGTTTTTAGGATTTTATTATTATTTATTTATTTGAAAAAAGGAACAGGGTCTCTCTATCTTGCCCACGTTGGTCTCAAACTCCTGTGCTTAAGTGATCCTCTCGCCTTGGTCTCCTGAGTAGCTGGGACTACATGTGCACACCACCGTGCCCAACTAATTTATACTTTTAAGCAATGTGGGCTGGGCACGGTGGCTCACACCTGTAATCCCAGCACTTTGGGAGGCTGAGGCAGGTGGATCACCTGAGGTCAGGAGTTCCAAGACCAGCCTGGCCAACATGGTGGAACCCCGTCTCTACTGAAAATACAAAAATTAGCCGGGCGTGGTGGCATGTGCCTGTATTCCCAGCTACTAGGGGGGCTGAGGCAGGAGAATCGCTTGAACCTGGGAAGTGGAGGTTGCAGTGAGCTGAGATCATGCCACTGCACTCCAGCCTGGGCAACAGAGTGAGACTCTGTCTGAAAAAAAAAAAAATGTGGGCTGGGCATGGTGGCTTACGCCTGTAATCCAACCTCAGGCCTGCGGTGCGAGTCTGTGGGGGCAGATGCAGGTGGGGGAAGGCTGGCCAGCTGAGACTGTGGTTTGGGGGTGTTCAGGTGGGGTGGATGCCAGAGATGTGGGAGCCAGAGGCGCTGTCCCCCAGGGCCCTGTGAGCAGTCCCTGCAGGCTGGCTGTCCCCACGCCTGCCTCTCTGCTGTGCTGTCTGCCCGCCTAGGGCAGGCTCCCTTCTAATGGGCGGATCCCGAGAGCTGGGGGCCCCACCAGCCCTTCCTCTCCAGTGGAGTGGCCCTACTGCCTCATGTCCACCTGTGCCAGCAGCAGGGATGGTAATGGCTCTACTATCTCCTGTCCTCACCTGTGCCAGCAGCAGGGATGGTAACGGCTTTACTGCCTCCCGTCCTCACCTGTGCCAGTGGCTGGGATGTCTTCACCTGTGCCAGCAGCAGGGATGTCCTCACCTGTGCCAGCGGCAGGGATGGTAACAGTGCTGGTGATGTCAGGCCGGGAGGTTCTCACCCGAGAGCCGCCTTGGCACACTGCCCGGCAGTCAGGGATGTTAGCAGGAGCCCCGGGAGTGATCCCAGCTCTTCCCGCAGCCCCACTCCAGCCAGGGCCTCCTCTGTGACTGAGTAAGCAGGGACACCCCAGTGGCTGCCTGCTCCACCCGACAGCCAGGGCCCACCACAGCTGCAGGAATGTGGTCAAGGGATGGGAAGTCGGGCCCACCAGGGGAGGGGCTGCGCTCCGGGGCTTACGTTTCGTGGCTTGTCTTCTGAGGTCTCTCTTTTCCTAGCCCTTGGCCGACTAGGGGGCGAGTGTTTACAGAAACCACTGGAGGTGGGTGTTCCGTGTCAGTGCCAGGCTGTGTGCTGTTCTGGGAGGGGGCCCCGTGTCCCCCACACTTGGCATGCTTGCTTTCTGTCACTGCATAGCAGACTCCGTGCATCTGTGGGCTTAATACAACACCCGCCAGCTCCCGGTTCTGTGGGTCGGGGCCTGAATGTGACATGGCTGGCTCCTCTCTGCGGGGTCTCACCGGGCTGGAACCCAGGTGTCAGCCAGGGCTGTGTTGTCATCTGGAGGCTCAACGGGGGTGGCATCTGCTTGCAACTCACGCAGGCGTTGGCGGAATTCAGCAGCTTGCGGCCGGGGGACCAAGGGTCCTGCTCAGTTCCTGGCCACATGGCCCTTCTGTCTGGAAGCCAGGCGCCGCCTGTCCCCGCTTCTGCTTCCAGGCTCTGGCTTCTGGAGATGCAGAGATCACATCAGTGGTTGCCTGGGTTGCTGTGTGTGTTGTAGGGTGGTGAGACAAGTTTTCTCTTAGGGGTGATGGAATGTTCTGGAATTTTATAGTGGTGATGGTTGCACAACTCCAAGTGTCCTAAGAGCCACTGAATAGGACACTTGATAGTTTTTGGTTTTTGAGGTGTCTTTTTTTTTTTTTTTTTTTTGAGACAGAGTCTCGCTCTGTCACCAGGCTGGAGTGCAGTGGCACGATCTCGGCTCACTGCAACCTCTGCCTCCCAGGTTCAAGCAATTCTCTTGCCTCAGCTTCCTGAGTAGCTGGGATTACAGGTGCGTGGCACCATGCCCAGCTAATTTTTGTATTTTTAGTAGAGATGGGGTTTCACCATGTTGGTCAGGCTGGTCTCGATCTCGTGGCCTCATGATCTGCCCGCCTCAGCCTCCCAAAGTGCTGGGATTACAGGCTTAAGCCACCACGCCTGGCTTTTTTGTTGTTTTTTGACAGTCTCGCGCTGTTACCAGGCTGGAGTGCAGTGGCGCGATCTCGGCTCAATGTAACCTGCGCCTCCCAGGTTCAACCTTCTGGGTTCTCCTGCAAGCCTCAGCCTCCCTAGTAGCTGGGACTACAGGTGCGTGCCACCAGGCCTGGCCAATTCTTTGTATTTTTAGTAGAGACGGGGTTTCACCGTGTTAGCCAGGATGGTCTTGATCTCCTGACCTTGTGATCCGCCTGCCTCGGCCTCCCAAAGTGCTAGGATTACAGGCGTGAGCCACCGTGCCCGGGTTTTCATTTTTTTTTTGAGATGGCATCTTGCTCTGTCAGCCAGGCTGGGGTACAGTGGCACGATTGTAGCTCACTGCAGCCTTGAATTTCCGGCCTCAAGTGCTCCTCCTGTTTCAGCTTCTCGAGTAGCTGAAACCACCGGTGTGTGCCACCACGCCCAGCTAATTTTTTGATATTTAGTAGAAATGGGGTGTTGTTATGTTGCCTAGGCTGGTCTTAAACTCCTGGGCTCAAGTGATCCCCCCACCTCGGCCTCCCATAGTGCTGGGATTACAGGCGTGAGCCGCTGGTACCTAGCCATGAATTGTGCTTTTGAAAATGACCTGTCTTGGCTGGGCGCAGTGACTCACACCTGTAATCCCACCACCAGGTTGAAGCGGGTGGATCACGTGAGGTTAGGAGTTCGAGACCAGCCTGAACGACGTGGTGAAATCCCATCTCTACTAAAAATACACAAAAATTAGTCGGGCGTGGTGGCGCATGCCTGTAATCCCAGTTACTCTGGAGGCTGAGGCATGAGAATAGCTTGAACCCGGGAGGCGGAGGTTGCAGTGAGCTGAGATCATGCCACTGTACTCCAGCCTGGGCGACAGCGAGACTCCGTCTCAGAAGTAAAAAAATAAAATAAAAAAAAAAGAAAATGATCTGTCTTCTGGTAGGTGAATTATATCTTCGTTTTTAAAAACCAATGGCTGTTTAAACTCTGTGCACACCAGGGGTTAGCAGGACATGAGGGAGTGTAGCTCTGATGCGGTGACCTGGGCCGGAGCCCTCGGACTAGCCTCAGCTTTGGTGGCAGCACGCCCTGCCTTGTGGAGCCACGGCCTCCCGGGACGGACTCCCCGGCTCTCCCCCAGCCGCCCGCAGCCGCCGGATGATCCTCTGCTCCCGTCTCTGTCTCCCACAGTCGGCCTCGCTGAGGATGGAGCCCGCCCCGGGCCTCGTGGAGCAGCCCAAGTGCTTGGAGGCCGGGAGCCCGGAGCCTGAGCCGGCGCCGTGGCAGGCCCTCCCTGTCCTGTCCGAGAAGCAGTCAGGGGACGTGGAGCTGGTGCTGGCCTACGCCGCGCCCGTCCTGGACAAGCGCCAGACCTCACGCCTCCTGAAGGAGGTGTCGGCCCTGCACCCGCTCCCCGCCCAGCCTCACCTCAAGCGGGTGCGGCCCAGCCGCGATGCCGGCAGCCCCCACGCCCTGGAGATGCTGCTTTGCCTGGCTGGGCCGGCCTCGGGCCCGCGCTCGCTGGCTGAGCTCCTGCCACGGCCGGCTGTGGACCCCCGCGGCCTGGGGCAACCCTTCCTGGTGCCCGTGCCCGCCCGGCCGCCTCTGACCAGGGGCCAGTTCGAGGAGGCCCGGGCCCACTGGCCCACGTCCTTCCACGAGGACAAGCAGGTGACCAGCGCCCTGGCTGGGCGGCTCTTCTCCACGCAGGAGCGCGCCGCCATGCAGAGCCACATGGAGCGGGCGGTGTGGGCGGCCCGGCGGGCAGCAGCGCGGGGCTTGCGGGCCGTGGGGGCCGTGGTAGTGGACCCGGCCTCGGACCGCGTGCTGGCCACCGGCCACGACTGCAGCTGCGCGGACAACCCCCTCCTGCACGCCGTCATGGTGTGCGTGGACCTCGTGGCGCGCGGCCAGGGCCGCGGCACCTACGACTTCAGACCCTTCCCCGCCTGCTCCTTCGCCCCGGCCGCTGCCCCCCAGGCCGTCCGCGCAGGCGCCGTGCGTAAACTGGACGCAGACGAGGACGGCCTCCCCTACCTGTGCACTGGCTACGACCTGTACGTGACCCGCGAGCCCTGCGCCATGTGCGCCATGGCCCTGGTGCACGCACGCATCCTGCGCGTCTTCTACGGTGCGCCCTCGCCCGACGGCGCCCTGGGCACCCGCTTCCGCATCCACGCACGGCCCGACCTCAACCACCGCTTCCAGGTGTTCCGCGGGGTGCTGGAGGAGCAGTGCCGCTGGCTGGACCCCGACACGTAGGCGCCGCCCTCCTGCCTCCGGACCCTTCCCGCTCCCGGCCGTGGGGCGCCCCTCCTGGACTTCCGGGCCTCGATTTCTTCCGCACAAGCCTGACCGTGGATTTCAGGGACACATACCGCCTCCAGCGGGGAGCACGGGTGCTGCCTTCCGTGCGGATCGAGCTTTCCTGGACTCGGTCATTGGGGCCACCCCGTGCCAGCGGTGCCCTTCTGCGGCCGCCCTTGCTGCGTTTGTGTCCCCTCTGTCTCGCGGGCCGGGAAACTGCTCTGATGGGAAAATAAACAGCCCAAAACCAAGTGGGTGTCTGTTAGGAGGTGTGTGCCTTTGTGGCCAGGGTCCCGAGTGGGGTGGGGTCTGTACAGGGCCTGGTGGCTCAGCCGGAGGGGACCTGCTGAGCCACGTGTGGTCAGAGACCTGGGCTGATTCTGGGGTAGAGCAAGGCCCCCAGCTGCTGCCTCCTTTCCCGCTTCTGGAGTCCTGATGGTTCCAGGCGTGCCTGGCCCAAGTGTGTGGACACTAGGCGTAGTCCACAGGGCACCGACCCTAAGGAAGGGCCCTGGGATTTCGTGTCCTTCACAAGTGGCAACAGGGGACCCCAAAGGGCTGATGCTAGTCGGTCACAGCACAGTGAGGACTAGAGCCGTTTTTGCAGAACTTGGAGCAGGACCTGTGGGTCCACCCGGCAAGTGTCCATTGCCTGACCATGTGGGTGCAGCTTTGCCTCCAGACACGCCTGCTGTGAGCCCCCAGCCCATAGGGGAGGGGATCCGGCAGGTGGGGGCTCTGCGTGGGGAGCTCATGCAGTGGACAGAACACCACTGCTGGCCAGGAGCCCGCCAGGCCTGCAGTGGGGGAGTCCGTGCCTGGGGGTGGGACTGAGGTGGGCTGGAGGGTCCCGGATGGGGCCAGAGCCACAGCGTGGAGTGAGGAGGTGGGAGCCGCAGAGGCGTGCCCAGTTGAGTGGTAGAGGCAGCATTTGGGCCTCCTTCATGCTCAGGTGCTCAGCTCCTTCCCCTGAGGGGCAGGAAGTCAGGGAGGAGGGAGTGAGAGGTGGGAGGTGGCAGGCGGGCGGAGGGGAAGATGTCCTGTCCCAAGAGCCAGGGGTGCCCCACCCCACGGTGACATGTTCCTGAACGGGTTGTGAGTGGAGGGCTCAGTTCCTGGGAACTGCCTCACCTGGACTGTGGGCGGGAGGCAGCTCCTGGCCCCGTGCCCGCCCCCTCGGGCCTGTTCCCCTGCCAGGATCTGGGATGGTTCACACCCCACTGGTCTGTGATGCCCAGTGGGCAGCAGGCATGCCCCTGCTGGGCTGGCCCACCTCCCGATGGCAGGTCCGCCCCCAGGATCACGGAAGCAGCTAGATCCACTCAGTCGTGGGTGGATGTCAGGCCAGGTGGGGCTGCTCTGGTGGGTGAGCTCATGGGGTTCCCTTTCAGAACGGCCAGGGTGCCATGCGGATGCGATGGGGTCTTAGGCCCTGCAGCGTTCACCTTGTGGCGCCCACCCCTTGTGGGCTGAAGCCGGGATTTGGGGGACGCAGGGGCCTAGGACAGCGGGGAAGGGGCATCCTGGCTGGGGCGGTGGGTGGGAGGGGCTGCGGCCAGCCCTGCCCGTTTTGCCAGCATGGGTGGTGTGCACTGGAGCCGAGGGGAGGGGGACCTGTGGGGTAACACATTGGGTCGAGTCAGGCCTGTGGCTCCCGCTTAGCCCACTGCTGTTTCCAGAGCACAGGGCACGATGAAGGGCTTTTCAGCCACGGTGGGTGGGTGGTTAGCGCTCTGCCCAGGGCAGCTCAGGGTTCCCTGACTGTGGTTGTCTTCCTTCCAGGCGGCTGCAGGCTTCAGCCTGCGCTGGTTGGTGAAACAGAGATGTCAGGTGAGTCCTGCCTGCCTGGGAGCCTCCAGCAGCGTGGGCGGGAGGGAGATGCCAGCAGTTCCCACAGGAGCCCTCGGTCCTGGCCGTTGGCAAACAGTGTCCTCCTGGCCCACCTGGCCTCTGACTCCTCGGGTCCCGTAGCCCAGCACAGCTGGAGTCACGCCTCTGCTGGGGGCAAAGGACAGCAGAGCCGCCTGTGTATCCGCTCGGACGCCTCACTGACCCGAAGCACAGCCCAGCCGGGTGCCCCTGCCATCACAGCTGCTCTTTCCTTATAGCAGCGGGCGTGTTCTCATGTGCCCCGGGGTCCCTCACCCACTCATTTACTGGCAGCCTTCCCCAGTGGGGCGTAAGCCCCTGAGGACAGGGCCTCTTGCTGTCTGACTCCCCATCTGGCCCTCGCAGGCGCCCAGGGACACTTCCTCAGGCAGTGCTGGCTGAGCAGAAGCTCCTGGGGGGCTCCCAGTGCCACGCTGAGTGCCCCAAAGGCTGTGTTCCCATCTTGATCCCTGGAACCTGTGAGTGGGACCTCATTTGGGAATATGGCCTTAACTCCGGACGTGATGGAGTTAAGATAAAGTACTGGAGCAGGGCGAGCTCTCATCCCAGTGCCTGCTGTGTTTATAAGAAGAGATGGAGGCCGGGCACGGTGGCTCACGCCTGTAATCCCAGCACTTTGGGAGGCCGAGGCGGGTGGATCACGAGGTCAGGAGATCGAGACCATCCTGGCTAACACGGTGAAACCCCGTCTCTACTAAAAATACAAAAAATTAGCTGGGCGTGGTGGCGGGTGCCTGTAGTCCCAGCTACTCGAGAGGCTGAGGCAGGAGAATGGTGTGAACCCGGGAGGCGGAGCTTGCAGTGAGCGAGATCGGGCCACTGCACTCCAGCCTGGGTGACAGAGCGAGACTGTCTCAGAAAAAAAAAAAAGAGATGGTCCGGGCGTGGTGGCTCACGCCTGTAATCCCAGCACTTTTGGGAGGCCGAGGTGGGCAGATGATGAGGTCAGGAGTTTGAGACCAGCCTGGACAGCATAGTGAAACCCCATCCCTACTAAAAATATTAGCTGGGCATGGTGGCACAGCACCTGTAGTCCCAGCTACTTGGGAGGCTGAGGCAGGAGAATCGCTTGAACCTGGGAGGCGGAGTTGTGGTGAGCCGAGATCACGCCACTGCACTCCAGCCTGGGTGACAGAGTGAGACTGGATCTCAAAAAAAAAAAAAAGACATGGAGATACAGGAGGAGTCGTCGTGGAGATGGAGGCAGAGGCCAGAGCTATGCGGCCATGAGCCAAGGGCGCTGGGATCCCCCAGAAGCTGCTTGAGAGAGGCAGGAAGGCTCCTTCCCCGGAGCCTGCAGAGGGAGCGCGTTCCTGAGACACCTTGATCTCAGATTTCTGGCCTCCAGGACTGTTAGCAGATAAATATTTGTTGTGTTCTTTGTTTTGTTTTGAGACAGGGTCTGGGTCTCTCCCAGGCTGGAGTGCAGTGGTGTGATCATAGCTCACTGCAGCTTTAACTTCCTGGGTTCAAGCGATCCTCCTGCCTCAGCCTCCCGAGAAGCTGGGACCACAGGCACGCACCACCACGCTTGGCTAATTTTTGTAGTTTTTGTAGAGTTGGGGTCTCGCTAGGTTGCCAGGCTGATCTGGAACTCCTGGGCTCCAGCAGCCCTCCTGCCTCAGCCTCCAAAAGTGCTGAGATCACAGGTGGGAGCCCCCACACCTGGGCAGTTTCTGTTGTTCTAAGCCTCCCAGTCGGTGGTGGTTTCTCACAGCAGCCATGGGGAACGGAAGCGTCCCCAGGCCACAGCCTCCCCGCAGTGTGCGGACTCGGCCTGCTGAGCCTGCATGTTGGCGTCCCTGCCTGCCGGAGGGAATGATACTAAATGCAGCCTGCTGCAGCCGCACCCACACTAAACATGGAGGAGGGCTACGAAGAGTAGCAGGGCCCTGCATGAAGGGTGACACGTAAATTTAAAAAACAATTTCGGCCGGGCGCGGTGGCTCACGCCTGTTATCCCAGCACTTTGGGAGGCAGAGGTGGGCGGATTATTTGAGGTCAGGAGTTCAAAACCAGCCTGGCCAACATGGTGAAACCTCGTGTCTACTAAAAAGAAAAATCCAAAAATTAGCCGGGTGTGGTGGTGGGCGCCTGTAATCCCAGCTACTTGGGAGGCTGAGGCAGAAGAATCACTTGAGCTTGGGAGGCAGAGGCTGCAGTGAGCCGAGATCGCACCACTGCCCTCTAGCCTGGGAGACAGCGCGAGACTCCGTCTCAAAAAAAGAGTCATAAACTTAGTTCCTTAAAACAGTGAAATCAGTTATCTGACAGTTCTGGAGACCAGAAACGCTAACATCAAGCTGTAGGCCGGTTCCCGCCTTGCCCAGCGTCTAGAGGCGCCCCCATCCCTCCACTCAGGGCCCCTTTCTCCCCCTTCACAGCCTCAGCGCAGCCTCTTCCCGTTTCTCTCTGACTCCCACCCTCCCGTCTCCTCTCGTGAGGCTGCCACGAGGACCCTCTCCTGTCTCAGCGTCCTGCCCTCAATCCCAACTGCAGAGTCCCTTCTGCCATGAGAGGCAACCCAGCCTTGGGTCGAAGGGATGAGGTGGGGCCTCCTTCAAGAGACAAAGTCTGGTTCTGTCCGTGGGTTCTCTGTCCCTACAGAAAAGGAGAACAACTTCCCGCCACTGCCCAAGTTCATCCCTGTGAAGCCCTGCTTCTACCAGAACTTCTCCGACGAGATCCCAGTGGAGCACCAGGTCCTGGTGAAGAGGATCTACCGGCTGTGGATGTGTGAGTGCGCCTGGGGGCAGGAGGCGGGAAGCGGGAGGCAGGGCTCCCCGAGGGAGGGAGTGGCATTCAGGCAGGGGCAGCCCGTCGGGGGCCCACCGTCTACTGAAGCCGTCCTGGGCCTGGTGGTCCCTGCGGTGAACGAGGCTGGTGTCCAGGCCCCAGTGTCTTGGCTTGCACAGTTCATCCTCGACATGGGGTCACTGGGCTGGGGAGGCGGACAGCGGGTGCCCCATTGCTGGGCCCATGCTTTCCCACGGCCACACCCTCCCGTGCCTGCTCATCCGTCCTCCCTCTCTCTTCGCAGTTTACTGCGCCACCCTCGGCGTCAACCTCATTGCCTGCCTGGCCTGGTGGATCGGCGGAGGCTCGGGGACCAACTTCGGCCTGGCCTTCGTGTGGCTGCTCCTGTTCACGCCTTGCGGCTACGTGTGCTGGTTCCGGCCTGTCTACAAGGCCTTCCGGTGAGCAGAGCTGCCGGGGGCCGTCTGCACCCAGAGGGAACCAGGGCCCACTCTGCACCCCAGTCCCAGCCCAGCTGTGAGGAGCTGTCCCTTTCTCTGCCCAGTGTGAAAGACAGTTCACATCTGGGGGTGGCAAACTGTGGCCCACAAGCCAGAGCCAACTACTGTCTGTTTTGTTTTGCTTTCTAGTAATTTTGGCTGGGTGCAGTGGCTCAGGCCTATAATCCCAGCACTTTGGGAGGCCGAGGCAGGCGGATCACCTGAGGTCAGGAGTTCAAGACCAGCCTGGCCAACATGGTGAAACGCTGTCTCTACTATAGGTACAAAAATTAGCCAGGCGTGGTTGCGGGCGCCTATAATCCCAGCTACTCAGGAGGCTGAGGCAAGAGAATCGCTTGAACCCGGGAGGCAGAGGTTGCAGTGAGCCGAGATCTCGACACTGCTCTCCAGCCTGGGCGACAGAGTGAGACTCCATCTCAAAAAAAAAAAAAAAGGAATAAAATAGAGCCTCCGCTCTCACCATCTCTGACTGGCCCGTTCCTCTCTAGGCGCGTCTGGGAGAAGCCAGGGCTGTGGTAACCGTCGTGTTTTCTGTCCCTCCCCAGAGCCGACAGCTCCTTTAATTTCATGGCGTTTTTCTTCATCTTCGGAGCCCAGTTTGTCCTGACCGTCATCCAGGCGATTGGCTTCTCCGGCTGGGGCGCGTGGTAAGCCTCTCTCTGATGGGCGTGGTGGCTGTGATGTGGCTCAGCTGCCAGGTTGTGGGCCTGCTGGGAAGCCAGGCGGCCACCGGAGCGTGCTGGTCCGGGATTGTACGCGCTCTCCTAGGGAGGGGTCTGAGCTCACCCTGGCAGCGCCCGCGTCCTCGCCAGCGCCCGCGTCCTCGCCAGCACCCAGCCATGGTTCGCGATTGTAGGCACTCTCCTAGGGAGGGGTCCGAGCTCGCCCTGGCAGTGCCTGCGTCCTCGCCAGCGCCCAGCCAGGCTTGTCTCCTGAGTGTTGATCACACCCCTGACCCGGGGTCTGGGAGCCAGTTCCTGGCTGCTGATGTTTCTGCACGGATCGCTGCAGGAGGAAGACCTGTACATCTGTAAAAACACACATACCTGGTGCTGTTACCACACCTGAGAAACTCACAGTCACTCTCTAAGGCTGCCAGGTGCCCAGAAGTGTTTGTGTTGGTGTCTTAAATTTCTGCCTTTTTTCTTTTCTTTTTTTTTTTTTTTTTTTTGAGACAGAGTCTTGCTCTGTCACCCAGGCTGGGGCGCAGTGGTGCAATCTCAGCTCACTGCAACCTCCACATCCTGGGTTCAAGCAATTCTCCTGCCTCAGCCTCCCGAGTAGCTGGGACTACAGGCGCCCGCCACCACGCCTGGCTAATTTCTTTTGTATTTTAGTAGAGACGGGGTTTCACCGTGTTGCCCAGGCTGGTATCGAACTCCCGAGCTCAGGCAATCCGCCTTTCTCAGCCTCCCAAAGTGCTAGGATTACAGGTGTGAGCCACTGCACCCGGCCCTTTTTTTAAACTATTATTATTTTTTTTTGAGATGGAGTCGCTCTCTGTCACTCAGGCTGGGGTGCAGTGACATGATCTTGGCTCACTGCAACCTTCACCTCCCAGGTTCAAGCGATTCTCCTGCCTCAGCCTCCCGAGTAGCTGGGACTACAGGTGTGTGCCCCCACACCCAGCAAATTTTTGTATTTTTAGTAAGAGACGGGGTTTCACCATGTGTTGGTCAGGCTGGTCTGAAACTCCTAACCTCGTGATCCACCCGCCTCGGCCTCCCAAAGTGCTGGGATTACAGGCGTGAGCCACTGTGCCTGGCCAAATTTGTGGCTTTTTAAATAGGCTTTTTATTTTGGAATAATTTGTAATTCTCAGTTGCAGAGAGTGACTGTTCTCGCCCACGTCCCCGACGTGTCTCCCTTGTCCTTGGCACGGCGGGAGCTCCCCACGGGTGACGCTGCTCACGGAGCCGTGGGTGCCTTTGGTTTCCTGGGCTCCCATTAGCAAGCTCCTGTTCTGGGGTTCCTGCCCCACAAGACTGCGGTACTCTCACGCCAGTGCACAGATCAGAATCCAGATAAGGTCCCAGGTTTCCTGGGATGGTGACTCCTCTCCCTTCAGGGCCCCTCGATCTGCAGGCCTCTCCCCTCCTGCACCTGCGCCTGGCGCCAGGCCCTCCAGGGTGGCTGGGATCTGTGGTTTGTGCACCCCTCGGATGTGCCGCTGAAGCTGGTCTGTCACCTGCCACCCCAAGAGCCTGAGTGACGTTGCCCCAGGGATCTGAGTTAGAGTCATAGTGAGCGTGTGCCTGGGACTCCCAGCTCTGCCAGCCTTTGGGGTGCTTCCCCCTCCTGCAGAGGCTGTGGCTGCAGGTCAAGGCACTGCTCGTCATCCTCCGAGTCCTCCTGAGCTCCCAGCTGCCAGCTCGGCTCCCACTGGCCCTTCCCTGGGCTCCAGTGCCTCCTGTGAGCCGCCTCCCCGGTGCGTCCCCAGCTCTCCCAGGCTGAGCTGGGTGGACAGGCCTGTGCCCGTGTTGGGTGGTCCTGAGATCCCGGCATGAGGTGAGTGCCCACATGTGACCCTCAGAGACCTCCCTGCCCCCTCGGCCCTCGTGCACGTGCGGCAGCAGCGACTTGGCTCTTCTCATTGGAGCCTGGGTCATCTCCCGCAGGTCACGGGAGAAGCTGAGCATGCGGTCCCTGCCCGAGGTGGACAGAAGGTGAACGCTCTTGAGAAAGAAACCCAGCGGGTCTTAGGAGAGCCCGGCCCCCCTTGTAATGAGAGAAATCAAACCACAGCGCACAGCGACTTCATGTCCACCGTTGGCTTAGTGAGGCCCCACGCTCAGTGCGCTGCTGTGGGGCGAGAGGGGACAGCCCCGCTCTCCCTGTCCTGGGCGGCTTCACCAGCGCCACCTCCCCACACACTCTGTGCACTGCTGTGGGGCAAGAGGCGACAGCCCCGCTCTCCCTGCCCCGGGCAGCTTCACCAGCGTCACCTCCCCAGGGGTGACGCATGCCCGAGGCCATGAGCCACGGCAGCATCTGTGGTGGCAGAGGACTGGAAACTCCAGAGAAATGACCCCCAGCGGGGCCTAGCTGTGTAGATGGTGAGGGTGGCCACATGGCGGCAGCCAGGTACTGAGGACACGGTGCAGCAGGGGCCCCCGGTGGGCCCCGCCAGGAATCGGACATCAGCGGGCGCCGCAGCCTCTAAGCGGAGCATGCAGCCCACTGACAGTGTGCTGGGTGCCTCCCTAGACCTGACACTTGCATGCGGGGGCGTGCGATGCTGGCCAGTGGGAAGCTGCGGGGGCGGCGGCAGGAGTCCTCAAATGCCTTTGCCGCTTTTCATAAATCTAAAATTACATCCAAACAGAGGTTTACTTTTTTAAAAAATAAAAGAGGCCAGGCATGGTGGCTGACGCCTGTAATCCCAGCGCTTTGGGAGGCCAAAGCAGGAGAATCACTGCTTGAGGCCAGGAGTTCAGACTGGCCTGGGCAACATAGGGAGAAACCATCTCTCCAGAAAAAAAAAAAGAGGAAGGAATGACCCAAAGACCATGCAGCCTGTGATGCTGTGGAGGCTCCAAGCAGGCGAACACAGGACAGGCCAGCATCTTGCAGGGACGCGGCGGGGGGTACCGCGTGTGCGTGCATATCACGCCCCGTGCATGTGTGTGCATAAGCTCCCCGGACACATCCGGGGGTGTGGGTCCTGCGGGCTGCCTGTGCACCAGGGAGGGGAGTCAGCAGGAGAGAGACTGTACGTCGTGCCTGCCTTTAAGTTCCCTGAATTTTAAACCCTGTGGTTTCATCACCTGTTAAGACAAAAATCTCAAAATGACTGTTTTCTGCCTCCTGGGTCTCAAAGGCAGGTGCAATGCCCAGAGGCTGGTCCTGCACAGAGGGACCCAGGGCGTGCTGGCCTTCCCAGTGTCCCACTGGTGGCTGATCTAAGCAGTGCTTTCCCTCGTTTTTTTATTTTGAGACAGAATCTTGCTCTGTCCCCCAGGCTGGAGAGCAACGGCACGATCTCGGCTCACTGCAGCCTCCCGCTTCAGCCTCCCAGATAGCTGGGATTACAGGCATGCGCCCTCATGCCTGGCTAATTTTTGTATTTTTAGTAGAGACGGGGTTTCACCTTGTTGGTCAGGCTGGTCTCCAGTTCCTGGCCTCAAGTGATCCGCCCGCCTCGGCCTCCCAAAGTGCTGGGACGACAGGCGTAAGCCTCTGCGCCCGGCCTCCTCATTGTTTCTAATGGTCCCTCAGTGCCCACCGGGTGATGGTGGCAGATTTTCCATCCGCATTGCTCCCGGACATGCGGATGTAGGTTTCAGCAGTTCCCATCATTAGACACAGTTGCCGTAGGCTGGGTTCTTAGTAGCAGGCTCAGTGGGGCCTTTGAGTCTTTCCATGGCTGGTGCCCGCCGGACTCACTGAGGGAAACTAATGGGGAAGCACTGGTCTCCATTCCCTGCACGCACAGCCCACTGCTGCGATGGTGAAGGGATAAGGTTGTGTTCACGCGTCGAAGTTTGTGTCCACTGCACACGCGGCTCACTGCTGCGATGGTGGAGGGATAAGGTCGTATTCACGCGTTGAAGTTGGTGCCTCTCAGTATCGCTTTATGTTTGTTGGCCACTTGGTCGTCCTTGTATGAGCTGTCCACTCCTTGTTGATTGGCCAGAGCTCTTTACATGGGGAGGACCATGGGCCGGACCATGGGCCCTCATCCAGCAGGTGTGCAGGCACCCACGCACTCTCTTGTCCCTTGCAGCGGCTGGCTGTCGGCAATTGGATTCTTCCAGTACAGCCCGGGCGCTGCCGTGGTCATGCTGCTTCCAGCCATCATGTTCTCCGTGTCGGCTGCCATGATGGCCATCGCGATCATGAAGGTGAGTCCTCGGCTTTGTGACGTCCAGCCCTTACCCCTTCTCCATGAACCTCGTCACCCAACTGTCCCAGGTGGGTGAACGTCGAGGAGCCGGGCCCTCTCCCCACGGTGTCACGCAGGCCGCACTTCATCCCCAGCAGTGAGCTGGGATGACAGCAGGAGGCACTGTCACCAGGGACACTCCCAGGGACCCAGCGCCTGGGTTCCTATGGGGCCAGTCCTGTGGCCCCCTGGGCCGGGAGTCCAGACTCCAGAGGGAAGCAGGGGTTGTGTGTAAACCGCAGTGTTTGCAGGAACAGCTGAGGCCCTGGAGCTGTCCTGTCAGTGAGGGTGGGGCCCCTTGCAGGTTCCCGGTCACAGTTTCCATCTGAAGATAGCGGAAGTGTTGAGCTGGGCTCATAACAGAAACTTTCAGTTACAGCAAAATGCTTTTTTTTTTTTTTTTTTTTTTAGACAGAGTCTCGCTCTGTCACCCAGGCTGGAGTGTAGTGGTGCGATCTCTGCTCACTGCAAGCTCCGCCTCTGGGGTTCATGCCATTCTCCTGCCTCAGCCTCCCGAGTAGCTGGGACTACAGGCGCCCGCTACCGCACCTGGCTAATTATTTTGTTTTTGTATTTTTGGTAGAGACAGGTTTTCACCGTGTTAGCCAGGATGGTCTCAATCTCCTGACCTCGTGATCCTCCCGCCTCGGCCTCCCGAAGTGCTGGGATGACAGGCGTGAGCCACCGTGCCCGGCCTATTTTTTATATTGTAGTAGAGACAGGGTTTCACCATGTTGTTTGGACTGGTCTCGAACTCCAGAGCTCAGACAGTCTGTCTGCCTCGGCCTCCCGAAGTGCTGGGATGACAGGCGTGAGTCCCCGTGCCCGGCCGCCATGCTCATTTTCTGTCTTCTGCCTCCCTGTCCTCTGTCCTTGCAGGTGCACAGGATCTACCGAGGGGCTGGCGGAAGCTTCCAGAAGGCACAGACGGAGTGGAACACGGGCACTTGGCGGAACCCACCGTCGAGGGAGGCCCAGTACAACAACTTCTCAGGCAACAGCCTGCCCGAGTACCCCACTGTGCCCAGCTACCCGGGCAGTGGCCAGTGGCCTTAGAGGGAGCCTGCCCTGCCCCCACCGCCCACCACCTCCTCCCCTTCATTCCTGCTGCTACCCCTGGTCCCGAGGGCTGGGAGTACCTGGGGCCCCATCCCCCCAGCTGGGATGGTGGAAGCCGGTGGTGGCCACGGACCGCCCCCCTCCTGCCAGGGCCACAGAACCCGTGTTCATCTCATCCGAGAGCGGAGTTCCTCACAAGCACTCCCCAGCAGCCCTTGGCCTCTGCCGTCCACAGGACGCCCTCTTGCTCCCGGAAACGTGTGGTCACCCGCCGTCCACTGCACGGCTGGTACGGCCTTGTCTTCAGGTCTCGAGGCCTGACTCCGGGGGACAGGTGGCAGCAGGTCGGCCGCCCTCCCGTCCTCCCAGAGCTGCTGGCGCTGAGGTCAGAGCGGGTCTGATGGGGAGCTCCGTCTCACCGGCCACCCGCCGTCACCATGGCAGATGCCCTTGGCCGGAACTAATAAGAGGCGTCGGGGCCAGCTTCCGGTCCCCTGCAGTGATAGAGGGCTTGGTGCCTAGCTGAGTCCTCGCTGTCCCCGCCATCCCCTGATCTGTGCGGCTCCAGCCTCGCCCCCTCCCCACGTGCACCATACCTGGGGAGTTCCTGGTCCAGGGTATCCTGGGGCCACCCTCCCTGCCTCCAAAACAGGGATCCCTGGCAGGCTGTCTTTCCACGCCCCTGAGTTCAGAGTCGGGGACCCAGGCCAGGTCGGGAGCACAGCCGCTCCCCAAACCCAGCAAACCGGCAGAGAGCCGGTTTCCCAGCAGCCGGAGCCCTGCAGGAGAGGCCTTTGTGTTTTGTTTTGTTTTGTTTTTTCTCTTTTGAGACAAGAGTTTCACTCTGTCGCCCAGGCTGGAGTGCAGTGGTGTGATCTCGGCTCACTGCAACCTCTGCCTCCCGTGTTCAAGCAGTTCTCCTGCCTCAGCCTCCCAAATAGCTGGGATTACAGTTGCCTGCCACCACGCCCAGCTAATTTTTATATTTTTAGTACAGATGGGGTTTCACCATGTTGGCCAGGCTGGTCTCGAACTCCTGACCTCAAGTGATCCACCCGCCTTGGCCTCCCAAAGTGCTGGGATAATAGGTGTCAGCCACCGCGCCCAGCCTGGAGTGGCCTTTTATGAGAGGGGACCCGTCAAATCTGTGCCTTATGGAGGGGTCCGGCAGCGGCCACAATTGTCTTGTCCCCTCACCCCCCAACTCCCCCTGGAACACCTCTCCCAGGCAAGACATTTTCACAGCACCATTCACAACGGTTGGGCCAAAAAGAAACTTTTCCTTCATCATTTCCTGCACTCGCTGACCACAACTTTGGACACCCCAGGCTGCCACCCCTCCCCACCCGTTCACCCCCAGGATGCTGTTGCTGTAGGACGCCTGCTGCCCTGGAGCCCTCCCCAGGATGTGAGCCAGTCCCCTCGCTGGTACGGAATGCCGCTGGGTGCCCGGAGGCGGCCATGGTGTCTCGATGGACGGCAGCCAGGATGGAGCACCCATGGGTCTCACGGCCATGCTTCAGGGTCTTCAGGTCCTGCCCCCGGCCAGTCTGCCAAGAGGCACCCCCTTCCCCAGCCTCTCGCCTGCACTGATGCAGACAAAATCTCACCTGGCAGGCCCAACCCCCCCCCACCCCTCCCCCGCCGTGTGTGGCCCCTCGCCGCATCGTTGGGGTTTTGTTATGTGAAAATATCCTGGAAATAAATACATGTTTCTGCACTTAGAGCCAGGGACCTGCCGCGTTTGTGCTGTGAGCATGTGTGGTTCCCCCAGGCCGTCTTCTCCCTTGGGAGACCCCTCAGCATATGGCCTCTGGCAGGATGCCCCCCTGCAGCGCCTCCTCCCACCCAGGCCCCGGGTGCCCTGTAGCCAGGTGTGCCCAGGGCTGACCCTGCCATCCTGGCCAACGTGGTGAAACCCGGCCTCTACTAAAAATACAAAAATTAGCCGGGCGCGGTGGCGGGTGCCTGTAGTTCTAGCTACTCAGGAGGCTGAGGCAGGAGAATTGCTTGAACCCGGGAGGCGGAGGTTGCCGTGAACCCAGATCGCGCCACTGCACTCCCCACCGGCTCAAAAAAAAAGGAAACTTGCACAGATGGAAAGCCAGTGTCACTGGCCCTACGTAAAAAGCAAACATCGGCCAGACGCAGTGGCTCACGCCTGTAATCCCAGCACGTTGGGAGGCCGAGGTGGGCGGATCATCTGAGGTCAGGGGTTCAAGACCAGTCTGGCCAACATAGTGAAACTCTGTCTCTACTGAAAACACAAAAAATTAGCTGGGCGTGGTGGCACACGCCTGTAATCCCAGCTACTCGGGAGGCTGAGGCAGGAGAATCGCTTGAACCTGGGAGGCAGAGGTTGCACTAAGCCAAGATTGCACCATTGCACTCCAGCCTGGGTGACAGAGTGAGACTCTGGAGAGAAAAAAAGGGGGGTTGTGGGGTGTGGTGGCTCACACCTGTAATACCAGCACTTTGGGAGGCCGAGGCAGGCAGATCACCCAAGGTCAGGAGTTCAAAACCAGCCTGGCCCACATGGTGAAACCCTGTCTCTACTAGAAATACAAAAATTAGCCAGGTGTGGTGGCAGGTGCCTGTAATCCCAGCTACTTGGGAGGCTGAGGCAGAAGAATCAGTTGAACCTGGGAGGCAGAGGTTGCTGTGAGCCAAGATAACGCCACTGCACTGCCACCTGGGTGACAGAGCAAGATTCTGTCTCAAAAAACAAACCCAGCCGGGCGCGGTGGCTCACGCCTGTAATCCCAGCACTTTGGGAGGCCGAGGCGGGCGGATCACGAGGTCAGGAGATCGAGACCATGCTGGCTAACACGGTGAAACCCCATCTCCACTAAAAATACAAAAAATTCTCCGGGCATGCTGGCGGGCGCCTGTATTCCCAGCTACTCGGGAGGCTGAGGCAGGAGAATGGCATCAACCTGGGCGGGGAGCTTGCAGTGAGCGGAGATCGCTCCATTGCACTCCAGTGTGGGCGACAGAGCGAGACTCTGTCTCAAAAAAAAAAAAAAAAACCAAAAAACAACAAAAGAATAAACTTACTACATGTTAATATTTTTTTTCAAATACTTTGTTTTTTGAGACCGAGTCTCACTCCGTCGCCCACACTGGAGTGCAATGGCGCGATCTCCGCTCACTGCAAGCTCCGCCTCCCGGGTTCACGCCATTCCCCTGCCTCAGCCTCCCGAGTAGCTGGGACTACAGGCGCCCGCCACCACGCCCGGCTAATTTTTTGTATTTTTAATAGAGACGGGGTTTCACTGTGTTAGCCAGGATGGTCTCGATCTCCTGACCTCGTGACCCACCCGCCTCGGCCTCCCAAAGTGCTGGGATTACAGGTGTGAGCCACGGTGCCCGGCCTCAAATACATTTTTTAAACAGGAGGATGGGTGGCATACTTTTTTAAATGTGTGCAAAACTCTTGAACATCTGGCTTCATAGAGGACAAGAGGGATGGCTCAGCAGCTCTGTCGCAAAAGGGTGTTTTACCACAACAAAGATTGAGGGCAAATGGTCTATCTAGGATGTGAGCCCAGGAAGTACCGAAGGGGTGTGGGGATGGGGAGTGGCCCATAGGGAGGCATGAACAGGGAGGTTACAGCTCCAGGCTGCTGGAGCTCAGTCCCTCTGAGGATCTGGCTCAGGTTGTCGTCCGGAGGTGAGGGAGCTGGGGTATTTATCCTCCAACTCCCCTGCAAATGGTATGGGGGCTGGGGAGGCTTAGCTCCGCCCTCAGGTAGAGAGTCATAGATGCTGGTCTGTGTGTGTTGTGCTTGTGTTGCGTGTGTATCGTATGTGTGTGTGTGTATGTGCATCTGTGTGTCTATGAGTGTCTGTGCTTTATTACAGATTGAATTAGGTCCTCCCCAATACCCATATGTTCACACCCTAAGCCCCAGGACCTCAGAATGTGACTTTGCTTGGAAATAAGGTCATTGAGGATGAAATTATATAGTTAAGATGACTTCATTCTGGAGTAGGGTGGGCACTGATCCAGTGTGACTGGTGTCCTTTACATAAAACAGGAAATTTGAGCTGGGCCCAGTGGCTCTCACCTGTAATCCCAGCAATTTGGGAGGCAGAGGCAGGAGGATTGCTTGAGCCCAGGAGTTCAAGACCAGCCTTGGCAACATAGTGAGACCCTATATCTACAAAAAAAATTAAAATTAGCCAGGTATGGTGGCATGCGCCTGTAGTCCCAGCTACTCAGGAGGCCGAGGTGGGAGGATTGCTTGAGACCAAGAGTTTGAAACCAGTCTGGGCAACATAGCAAGATCTCATTTCCACAAAAAATACAAAAAGTGTCAGGGCATGGTGGCACATGCGTGCATTCCCAGCTACTCAGGAGGCTGAGGTGGGAGGATTGCTTGAGTCCAGGAGATTGAGGCTGCAGTGAGCTGTTAACGGCGCCACTGCACTCCAGCCTGGGTGCCAGAGAGAGACCCTATCTCAAAAAAAAAAAAAAAAAAAAAAAGCCAGGTGCAGTGGCTCACGTCTGTAATCCCGGCACTTTGGCACACCGAGGCGGGTGGATTATCTGAGGTCAGGAGTTCAAGACCAGCCTGGCCAACATGGTGAAACTCCGTCTCTACTAAAAATACAAAAAATTAGCCAGGCGTGGTGATGCACACCTGTAATCCCAGCTACTTGGGAGGCTGAGGTGGGAGAATCGCTTGAACCGGGAGGTGTAGGTTGCAGTGAGCCAAGATCACACCACTGCACTTCAGCCTGGGTGACAGAGCAAGACAAAAAAAAAAGGGAAATTTGGGACACAGACACACACAGGACGAACACCATGGTGAAGCTTTCGCAAGCCAAGAACGCCGGTCACCGCCAAGAGAGGCCTGGGACAGAGTCCACTCGGGCTCAGAAGGATCCAGCGTCGCTCACACCTTCGTCTGGGACTCGCAGCCCCAGAACCGAGAGAGAATAAACAGGTGTTTGCGCCGCCGGGTCTGCGGTACCTGTCAAGGCAGCCCTAGCAAACCGATGCGTGTTTGCATGTGTGAATGCGTGTGTGCGTTTACATGTTCAGGAGTGACAGGTGCTGCAGGGTACTGACGGGGACCGCAGCCTCTGCTGTGCGTCCTAAATATCACGCCCCTCTTTCTGCAAACTGTCGCCCCAGTCACTGCCCCGTCTTCCCTTCGGAGGTCGACCCCGCCGCCCTCCGCTCGGCCGCCAGAGGGCGACCTCGGACTCCAGTCGGACGGGCTCTGCCCTGGCTCCCGGGCTTCAGGTTCTAATAGAAACTCTCGCAGGGGTGGGTCACGCCTGTAATCTCAGCCCTTTGGGAGGCTGAGGCAGGAGAATCTGCCGGGAGGCAGAGGTTGCAGTGAGCTGAGAGCGCACCATTGCACTCCAGCCTGGGCGACAAGAGTGAAACTCCTTCTCAAAAAAAAAAAAAAAAAAAGAAAAGAAAAGAAAAAAAATGGGGAGTGTCCGCCTCTGGACAAGGTGCAGCCGGCATGATGTGGCTCCTGAGTGGCCACGTCCCCTTCAGGGTCACAGGGGCGATCCAGGGAATGAGGAAAGGAAGACGGAACTGCAGGCATGGCGGGGGACCTGGCGGGCAGCTGGGGGCATCGTGTGCCCCCCCCCATGGCTACTGCCCCTGGTGGTGAGTCCCCGGGGTGGGCATCACTAAAAGAGTGACTGTGATGGCTTCATTGGGCTGGGCCCTCCAGGCTCCCCCTCCACCCCTGCCACTGAGCTCCACGCCCGGACCCAGGCCTGGGGGCACTGCAGGGACGGATCCTCAACCCTCTGGCTTCAGCTTCCATCCCAGCGGGGTCCAGCTGGGGACTTGCACCAGGGGGCAGGGGGCTGGGAGAGTGAGGGAGGAAGAGTGAGGGAGGGGAAGTGAGGCCGATTGTCGGTCCCTGGCCTCCTCCCTCTAGAGGACAGCCTGTCCATGGGGGTCCCTCTCTGCAGCCCATCCCCCACCTGTAAGGCGCCCACTGTTGCCAACCCCAGGGGCTGTGTCATTCCGCGTTGCTGCCCCTCACCCTGCCTACGCCTCCACAAACCCCACTGCTAAATCCTTCTTCCACATGAGGGAGCCATCGCCTTCCAACAGCAATTTAGGAGGGTGAATGTGATGTTTGGGATGTCTCACGATTTCCCAGCATGAACGCACAATCTCAAGCTGTGTGTGTGTGTGTGTGTGTGTGTGTGTGTGTGAGAGAGAGAGAGAGAGAGACAGACAGAGAGACTCACTCTGTCGCCCACACTGGAGTGCAGTGGCACAATCTCGGCTCACTGCAACCTCCACCTCCCAGGTTCAAGCGATCCTCTTGCCTCAGCCTCCCAAGTAGCTGGGATTACAGGTGCACGCCACCAACCACACCCAGCTAATTTTTATATTTTTAGTAGAAACTAGTTTTTGCCATGTTGGCCAGGTTGGTATCGAACTCCTGGCTTCAAGTGATCCACCCGCCTCAGCCTCCCAAAGTGCTGGGACTACAGGCGTGAGCCACCCAGTTGAGTCATTTTTTTCTTTTCTTTTTTTTTTTTTGAGACGGAGTTTTGTTCTTGTTGCCCAGGCTGGAGTGCAGTGGCGTGATCTCGGCTCACTACAACCACCACCTCCTGGGTTCAAGCAATTCTCCTGCCTCAGCCTCCAGAGTAGCTGGGACTACAGGCATGTGCCACCATGCCCAGCTAACTTTTGTATTTTTAGCAGAGACAGGGTTTCTGTTTCTCCTTGCTGGTCAGGCTGGTCTCAAACTCCCAACCTCAGGTGATTCACCCGCCTCAGCCTCCCAAAGTGCTGGGATTACAGGCATGAGCCACCATGCCTGGCCCCCCAGTTGAGTCATTTCCAGTCTTCTGAGCCCCAGAAACTTGATAAGATGTCTGTTGTTTTATTTATTAATTTTATTTTTGTTTTATTTATTTATTTATTTATTTATTTATTTGAGATGGAGTCTTGCTCTTTGCCCAGGCTGGAGTGTAGTGGTGCGATCTCGGTTCACTGCAACCTCTGCTTCCCAGGTTCAAGAGATTTCCCTGCCTCAGCCGCCCAAGTAGCCAGGACTACAGGCGCCCGCCACCACACCCAGCTAATTTTTGTGTATTTTTAGTAGAGATTGGGTTTCACCATATTGGCCAAGCTGGTCTCAAACCCCTGACCTCAGGTGATCTGCCTGCCTCAGCCTCCCAAAGTGCTGGGATTACAGGCATGAGCCATGGCTCCCAGCCTCTTCTTTTTTATTAAAAAAAATAATAATTTGTTTTTGCTTAATTTATTTCACCAGTCATATCACAAAGACATGTGTTGTTTTAGGCCACTGAGTTTGGTATAATTTGTTATGCAGCAGTAGCTGACTGATACAATAGGTGTTCCTGGATTATCTTCAGAAACCTGATAATAATATGTACACTAACTAGGGCTGTATCAGGGTGCATGGCAGGGTTTTTGAAGGCATTTTAAAGAGGTTTAGTTCCTGTCCTCAGGAGCTGCTGCCTAGTGGGGCAGACAGACCATGAATATCCATCATGGAAGGCAGAACACATAAGTACATGGACGAAAGCAGTTCCAGAGGCTGGTGGGTTGGATTCATTTGGCCTGATGTATCATGGAGTCCTCCCAAAAGAGGTGATCATCTGCCTGAGCTTTGCCAGACCTGTTGGGCTGAGAGAAGCCAGACAAGGCTCAGATGGGTGGAGGGTCAGGGTGGGTTGGAAAGGAACAAGTCAGTATGGGTGCAGAGGGCGTCCTGATGGATAGATGGGGCTGCGAAGTGGAACCAGCCATTGAGGCAGCCTCGAATGCTGTCCCCATTGTGGGGACTTTGAAAAGCCACCCTCCTTTGAAACACAGAAGGGGCAAGGAGTAAATTTATATTTCTTTTTTTCTTTTTTTTTGTTTTGAGACGGAGTCTCACTCTGTCACCCAGGCTGGAGTGCAGCGGCACCATCTTGGCTCACTGCAAGCTCTGCCTCCTGGGTTCACGCCATTCTCCTGCCTCAGCCTCCCAAGTACCTGAGACTACTGGCGCCCGCCACCATGCCTGGCTAATTTTTTGTATTTTTAGTAGAGACGGGGTTTCACCATGTTAGCCAGGATGGCCTCGATCTCCTGACCTCGTGATCTGCCTGCCTCAGCCTCCCAAAGTGCTGAGATTACAGGCATGAGCCACCGCGCCCGGCCAATTTATATTTCTGGTAAGGGGTGGGAAGAAGGAGCTTTCTCAGGCTGGAGGGGAGAGAAGACAGATGAGCACAGACACTCCTGGCAGCGGCATGAGGGCCGGGGAGCAGGTGCAGGGCACAGCGGGGCTCTGCAGGGCGGTTGTAGTTGGTGAGGACCACTGGAGCAGGGCCTTGAAGGGCGTCACCCCTCACCTGGCTGCCTCTGGGCCATCCTCCAGTCTGCCAGGGACTAGCAGAGGGGAGAAAGTGGGAGAGGAATCATTATTTGATGACCTCATTCAGCCCTAGGGATTTGGGGTGGCTAAGGTAGAATGGCAGTGGATTATATCTGACATGATGCGGGGTGTCCGGGCTCAGCTGGGCAGTTCTGCTCCCTGTGGTGATGGGGGGTAATCAGCAATCATTTAGTGGCTTTCCCTGGCCGGGAATGTTTGAGGTAGCTCACTCACAGGGCTGGCAGGTGGTGCCTGCTCAGTGGTGCCATCACCCAGGGGCTTCCAGGTGGCTGCCTCACAAGATGGCAGCTGGGTTCCAAGCAGAAAGGACGCTGTTGAGTTCTTTTTTTTTTTTTTTTTTTTTTGAGACACAGTCTCACTCTGTCACCCAGGCTGGAGTGTAATGGCGCAGTCTCGGCTCACTGCAACCTCCACCTCCCAGGTTCAAGTGATTCTACTGCCTCAGCTTCCCGAGTAGCTGGGATTACAGGTGCCCACCACCACGCCCAGCTAATTTTGTATTTTTAGTAGAGACAGGGTTTCACCGTGCTGGCTAGGCTGGTCTCAAACTCCTGACCTCGGGTGATCTGCCCGCCTCGGCCTCCCCAAGTGCTGGGATGACAGGTGTAAGCACCATGCCCAGCCTACTGTCGAGCTCGTAAGACCCTCCCTCAGAAGTCTCAAGGCACCACTTCCCCTGCCTTCTGTTGCTAAAACAGGTCACAGGAGCAGCTACATTCAGGGGAGGGGAAATGAACTGTGTCTTTCCGTGGGAGGAGCAGCAAAGAATCTGTGACCATCACACCCAGCTTTTGAACCACTTCTTCTTTGTGTCTCAGTGTTTGTGGCATGCAGCATCCCTGTTGCCTGGGTCCAGGATGCCACCCTCCTACTGGGGTTGCAGCACCAAGGGGCTGGGCATTCCATCGAGCTGAGGGGTGGGGGCTCTGGATGGGAGGCTCCCTGGGGGGAGCTCACATCTTCCATGAAGCATCATGGTCATTGTTGCCCTGTCCTGCACCCTGTCCACTGCAGGCTGCCCTCTGTGGCTGGCCTTGGTGACAAGAGATGTGGGAGAGACCCTGGTCACCACCATGGGAGGAGTCCCCAGGCACCAGGGGCAAATGAACAGAGTGAATGCCAGGAGGACCATTTAGGTGCAATATGACCAAAAATAAGTTAAGTCCAAGTGGGCTGCATCATCAACAAGAACATCCCCCAGCCTCCATGAAACAGCCCAAAACCTGGAGCAAGACGGTTCCCTGACGCTGAGCGATGCCATTCACAGCAGCGTTCCTGAATACCCCCCATGCAGGCACTCACATGCTCACACACACAATACACAAACCAACACACACCACACACAGGCATGCCAAACACAGGCACACAAATGCACACCCCCCCATAGACCCACCGACGAACACACACACACACACCCAGATGCACAGGTGCGCACACACACCCACGCACACAAAGACCCAGAGACAGACATGTGCACACACATACATATGCACACATGTACGCAGATACATATGACACAAATGCATGAACACATGGACCACACATACCAACATGCCACCTCACACAGACACACCTAACACACACACACCCGTGCACACATGTACATGGACATACACACTGGAAAACAACAAACACATATACAAAATGCAGGCCGGTTGCGGTGGCTCATGCCTGTAATCCCAACACTTTGGGAGGCCGAGGCAGGGGGATCACTTGAGCCTGGGAAGTGAGGGCTGCAGTGAGCTATGATTGAATCTCTGCACTCCAGCCTGGGTGACAGAGGGAGACCCTGTCTCAGAAAAACAAAACACGAAACACAAAATATGACCGGGCGCAGTGGCTCGCGCTTGTAATCCCAGCACTTTGCAAGGCCGAGGTGGGTGGATCACAAGGTCAGGAGATCTAGACCATCCTGGCTAACACGGTGAAACCCCGTTTCTACTAAAAATACCAAAAATTAGCTGGGCGTGGTGGTGGGCGCCGGTAGTCCCAGGTACTCGGGAGGCTGAGGCAGGAAAATGGTGGGAACCCGGGAGGTGGAGCTTGCGCCACTGCACTCCAGCCTGGGCGACAGAGCGAGACTCCGTCTCAAAAAAAAAAAAAAACCCAAAATACAAATGCATGGACATGTATCCACACACACCAACATGTTACATCATAGACAGACACACAAAACACACAAACATACACCCATCCATGGACATACACACAGACACACACAAACATCAACACACAGCATCCCACACAGACACACAAACACACAGCCATGTACCCTCAAAGGACGCTGCAGGATGAGCCTTCATTCTCTGGGACAGCAGAGAAAGTAGACAAAGGAGAGAAACTTCTCTCAGAGTCACCCATCCTCTGACTGGATCCCGTGCCCCTGTGAAGAGGCAGATCCCAGTGCCCCACACTTGGCTCTGGGGCCACCCACTGCCGCCAGGCTCTGTCCCTGCGGTTGGTGGGGGTGAGGGCAGACCCTGCTCTGTGCTGCTTCCTCACCCACCAAAACTTCCTGACGTCGCCCTGTTCCGTTGGCTGCGCTGCATATGGGAATGCAGTGCTGGGCAGGCCCAGCCTCCCAGCTGGGAAGGGGTGTCGCCACTGGCTGCAAAGACAGGTCTTCTTTTCCCCCAAGTCTGTGTTTATGCCCTACTAGAGACTGTTGGGTGTAATTCCCAGAAAGTTCTGGAATGATCTAAAATGAGGAAATAGAAAAAAGTTGTAGAATCGGGCCAGGCGCAGTGGCTCATGCCTGTAAACCCAGCACTTTGGGAGGCTGAGGCAGGTGGATCACCTGAGGTCATGAGTTGGAGACCAACCTGGCCAACATGGCAACATGGGCAGACATCACCAATTAATCATCGAATGATGTTTCTCCTGACCTCCTTCCTCCTGTGTACAGGGTAGGCATCACCAATCAAGCAATGATGTTGGTTGACTGGGGAACGCTGCTGTTTGTCCTGCCTTCCTTCCTCTTGTGCACAGGGCAGACATCACCAATCAACCAATGATGCCCACACTGCTTCCCTCCCATGCACAAAGCAGACATCACCAATCAATCGAGCAGCACCAGGAGGAAACCAATTTGGCAGTTCAATCCGTCTTCAACTCTATCCTTTTATAGATAAGGTTGAGGCCCAGGGACCTGGTCAAGGGCAACTACAGGGCAGATCCCTCCTCCTCTTCCTGGGAATTAGCTTTGTCTCTTGTTCCTGGAGCAAATTCAGGAAAATTGCAAGGTCATGTACATTTTCAGCCCAGGGCATGAGTCACTTGATCCCTGCTGTCCAGAGCTGGACCCGGAGATGATGGCCAGGACTGTCCCCTTGCAGGGAGGCCACTGAGGCTGGCAGGGCCAAGACTGGGCAGTGAGCCACTCCAGGCGGGAAAGCCCTTTGTCACTGGAGCTGCTCTGAACGCTGCCGCCAAGTCGCAGGCAGCTGTTGTCATCTGCTCAGCGTCCTTCCCCTTCCCCGGCAACTACTCCTCCTGCTGTGGGGAACCTGGCCCACCCGACTCCTGTGTTCTCAGGGCGCTGCCCCTCGTGGAACCTGCCCTTCTGGTCACCAGGACATTGCCTAAACCAGGCCTGGCCAGTCATCTGGGAGGGGCCAATGCCAGACAATAAGAGACTTTCCTGGGATTTTATAGCGATCCTGGGAGAGAAGAGCTCTGTTTTATTTGGGGGTTGCTAAACTAAGCCACAGCTGCCACCACGGACGGAAGAAGCTTGGAGTGAAAGAATGAAGCCAAGGCACAGAGACGGAGAGACAAGGAGAGGGAGAGAGAGAGGGAAAGGTAGAGACAGAGAGAGATGTGGGGAGGGAGAGAGAGACAGAGAGATAGAGAGGTAGAGATAGAGACAGAGGGATATAGAGAGGGAGAGAGAGACGGAGACAGAGGATGAAAGAGACGAGACACAGTTGGAGATAGAGGGAGAGATGCAGAGACAGAGAGAGATAGAGAGGGAGAAATAGAGACAGACAGAGCTAGGAAGGGAGAGAGAGACAGAGAGAGGAAGAGAAAGGGAGAGACACAGAGACAGAGACAGAGAGCTTGAGAGACAGAGAGAGAGGCAGAGGAAGAAAGAGGCAGAAAGACAAATAGAGAGACAGAGACAGGGAGAGACAGAGACATAGACAGAAAGATGGCGAGCACTCCAGCCTGGGCAATAGAGCAAGGTTCCATCTCAAAAAAAAAGAGAGACATAGAGACAGAGACAGGAAAAGACAGAGAGATAGAGACAGAGAGAGAGAAAAAAGAGAGAGAGAGAGACATGAGGACAAAGAGAAAGGTCCACAGGCACTGAGCTTGAGTCACCCCTGGTTGCAGCCATGCCTGAAGGCAGCTCTGCCCGACCGCTGAGTTCCACAGCCCAGCATCTGTGATGGGCTGCACCTGTGTATTAGCACGTTACTGATAAGGCCCAGCTGCTTTAACAAATCGGCCCGCCTGGCGTAGCGGCTCCGGCACAGTGGACGTTTACTTCTTGCTCCAGGCCGGCGACCCAGGCAGCTCCACAGGTGACCTGAGGACTCACGGTCCCTCATCTGGGCTCCATGACCCCCCAGGGCCCCATGTGCTCCTCCTCCTGGGGTTGGAAGGGGAATGGAGGCCCAGGGTGGACAGCAGGAAGAAGACACGTGGCTGGAGGCACAAGCCCGCGGCGGCCTCAGCAACAGGACCCAGCTTTCCTTCCTGCGAGGCATGAGTCTGGCCCCTGCCCCCGGGCTCCTGACCCTCCAGCCAACCCGGCCTCAGAATGAGTGGCCCCGAGAGGGCCCCGGGCCACAGGGCTGTGGGGACACCTCCAGCTGTAACAGGCGGCAGGACCAGGAGGTGAGCAAGGGGGGAAAAGCTTCCAGAAGTTTTCCCAGACGCTGCGACCCTGAGGCTGGGCCTTCAAGGATGAATGGGGCGAGAGTGGGAGAAGGGCTTCCTGGGCAGAGGATGTGCGGCTGTTGGGACAGTGGCATCTCTAACAAAATACCGTAGGTGGGGCAGCTTAGACACAACAAATTTACTTCTCACAGCTTTGGAGAGCGTGGAGGTTCAAGACCAAGGTGTGGGCAGCTTTGGTATCTGCTGAGGGCCTGTTTTTGTTTTTTCGTTGTTTTTGAGGTTAGAGTGCAGTGGCATAATCTTGACTCACTGCAACCTCTGCCTCCCAGGTTCTAGTGATTCTTCTGCCTCGTCCTCCTGAGTAGACAGGATTACAGGCGCCCACCACCAAGACTGGCTAATGTTTGCATTTTTTGTAGAGACGGGGTTTCACCATGTTGACCAGGCTGGTCTTGAACTACCGACCTCAGGTGATCCACCAGCCTCGGCCTCCCAAAGTGCTGGGATTACAGGCGTGAGCCACCGCGCCTGGCCCTCACTCTGTATTTTTAGCCTCACTAAGGCTGATCTTGAACACCTGGTCTTACGCGATCCTCCCACCTCAGCCTCCCTAACTGCTGGGATTACAAGTGTGAACGTCTCTTTATGTGAGTATAGGAATAGAACAGAAGGGGGCACTTCCTGCCTGCCTCCTCCCCCAAACCTACGCTGTTTGGGATTTACTGGGAGGCTGGGAGATCTTCTCTCTAGAGGATGGGATGGGCGTGGACAAGTTGTTATCTTTATAATGTTCTTATTAGATTAAGACCTCCAAAGGGTGCTGGGCGCATTGGCTCAGGCCTGTAATCCCAGCACTTTCGGAGGCTGAGGTGGGTGCTATTGCTTGAGCTCAGGAGTTGGAGACCAGCCTGGGGAACATAGCAAAACCCTGTCTCTATAAAAAATTAGCCGGGCGTAGTCGGGCACGGTGGCTCACGCCTGTAGTCCCAGCACTTTGGGAGGCCGAGGCGGGGGGATCACAAGGTCAGGAGATCAAGACCATCCTGGCTAATACAGTGAAACCCCGTCTCCACTAACAATACAAAAAATGAGACGGGCGCAGTGGCGGGCGCCTGTAGTCCCAACTACTCGGGAGGCTGAGGCCAGGAGAATGGCGTGAACCCGGGAGATGGAGCTTGCAGTGAGCCGAGATAGTGCCACTGCAGTCTGGCCTAGGCGAAAGAGCAAGACTCCGTCTCAAAAAAAAAAAAAAAAAAAAAAATTAGGCGGGCGTGGTGGCGCGTGTCTGTGATCCCAGCTACTGGGGAGGCTTAGGTGGGAAGACTGCTTGAGCCTGGGGAGGTAGAGGCTGCGGTGAGCCGAGACTGTGCCACTGCACTCTAGCCTGGGTGACAAAGTCAGATCCTGTCTCAAAATAAAAAAGACCCGGCTGGGCGCGGTGGCTCAAGCCTGTCATCCTAGCACTTTGGGAGGCCAAGGCAGGCGCATCACCTGAGGTCAGGAGTTCGAGACCAGCCTGGCCAACATGGTGAAACCCCATCTCTATTAAAGGTACAAAAATCAGCTGGGCATGGTGGCGGGCGCCTGTAGTCCCACCTACTCAGGAGGCTGAGGCAGGAGAATCCCTTGAACCCGTGAGGCGGAGGTTGCAATGTGCCGAGATCATGCCACTGCACTCCAGCCTGGGCAACAGAGCGAAACTCTGTCTCTAAATAAATAAATAAATAAAAACCCTCAAAGGGGCTAGTCTCACCCCCCCACCAGCTGTCCCCAATGACATCCTCATGATTAAAGCTGAAATGAATCAGGAACATGTGGACCACATTTGAAGTGGGTTAAAAATGAGAAAGCAAGGTTGGCCACGGTGGTTTACACCTGGAATCGCAGCTTTTTTACAGTTTTTTTTTTTTTTTTGAGACGGAGTCTTGCTCTGTCACCCGGGCTGGAGTGCAGTGGCACGATCCTGGCTGACTACAACCTCCGCCTCCCAGGTTCAAGCGATTCTCCTGCCTCAGCCTCCAGACTAGTTGGGATTACAGGTGCTCACCATCACGCCCGCCTAATTTTTGTATTTTTAGTAGAGACGAGGTTTCGCCATGTTGGTCAGGCTGTCTCCAATTCCTGACCTCAGGGGATCCACCCATCTCGGCCTCTCAAAGTGCTGGGATTACAGGCGTGAGCCACCGCCCCCGGCCTTGGCCTTATTAAGACAGTCTTGCTCTGTCAGGCAGGCTAGAGTGCAGTGGTGCAATCACAGCCCACTGCAGCCTCGACCTCCTGGTTGAAGCAATCCTCCTGCCTCAGGATCCCAAGTAGCTGGGGCCACAGGCATGCGTCACCACGTCCCGCTACTTTTATTTTTTGTAGAGACAGGGTCTCTGCTACTCAGGCTGGTCTTGAACTCCTGGGCTCAACGAAGCCTCCTCCTCCGTCAGCCTCACAAAGTGCTGGGATTACAGGCGTGAGCAACCGCGCCCGCCCCACACCCTACCTTATAACATCATCTGAAATCATTACACAGGGCTCTCTCCTCCCCCTAGGACCGAGGACTCCCTAGGAAACGATGCCAAGAGTCTAGCTCACTGTTCTATTCTCAGAGCCACTGGCAGGCACTTAATACATATTTGAATGAATGTGTCTCCTTCGACTTTAAAAATGCCCCCACCGGGAAGTGCGTGGGGGATGTGGGAAGGCCGGAAACCATTTCTGCAGCTGCCAGTCCCCTTCCAGGCCCTGTCATGGGATGGAGCAGGGCATCACTGTGCGGCGCCTTGGCCTGTGGATCCCCTCCCCACGTTTCTTGCCCGGTGCAGGCCGGAAGGCAGGCAGGTACAAGCAAGGAGTCGGCTCTACGCGCAGAGCCCCAGGGGAGCGGCCCGTGCTGGGCATGGCAGTCCCAGCAGTGCATTTGTCTAGCTGCCGGCCGCGGGTCCGGGGCCACTTCCTCTCTGCTCCTTGCTGATGTCACGGTGGATGAAGACAACGGGGCACCCACGTCACCGCTGTTCTCCCCCTGAACACGGAGCAGTTATTCTAGAACTGTTTTCCCCTCCTCGCCCAGGAAAGCCAGATGGAAAAACCCTCTTGCCCTGAACCAGCTCATTTTCTGGCCAGTCGCCCCTTCCAGCGCCTGTCCCGGAAACCTCGCGGCCTAGCGCGCGCAGCCCGCCGCCTCCCCGCGCCGCGCCCGCCACCGCCCCACGCACGGAACATCCCGCGGCGCCGCCCGTCCGTGACGTCAGGTGGCGAGACTGTGACGTAACACACGGCGGCAGGGCGGTGCCAGGACGACCAGCCACGCGTCGCCATGGCAACAGCGGGCGGGGAGGGGCGGGCGGCGGAAGGCCCGCCCCTAGAAGGGTGTGGAAACCGTTAGACCCCCTTTCCTGCCCGCGCGCGCCCTCGCGGCCACGCGCTTTCGGTGTCCCCCGCGGGCAGCGGCCCGGCGGCCTCGTAGCGGCCGCAAAACGCCGTGGCCGTCGCGCGGCGCCATCCGTTGTCGCAAAGCGGCGCGAGAAACGCCCAGCCGGGTGTTGGCCCCGCCCCGCGCTGTGACGTCGGCGGCGCGCGCCCCCGGCGCCGTGGCCGCGGCTGCGCAGTGGGGCGCGTATGGCTGCCGCCCCCCGCTGGCAGACGCTGGCGGCGTAAGGCGCGCGGGCCCCGGAGCGGGCGCGGCGGAGCGCGGCGAGCCCGGCGCCTCCCGTCCCGAACATGCGGAGGCCGGCCCAGGCGGCGCGGGAGCCGGAGCGGGGGCCCAAGCGGCACCGGAGCCGGAGCGCGAGGGGGCGCGGGGCCCGGAGCGGGGGTCCGCGCTGCGCTGCTGAGGCCGGGCCGGCCGCCCAGACGCTGCCCGCGGGCCCGGCCACGGCGGAGCCAAGGTAACGACGCGCGCGCCCGCCCCGGCCCCTTCGCCCCCTGCACCCTGGCCCTGGGCGCCCCCAGTGACCCCCGGCGCCCCCGCCCCCACACTCGGTGTCCACTGCCCTCCTGCGCCCTGCCGACCCCGTGCTCCGGACCCCAGCGCCCCCCAACCCGTCTAACCGCCCCGCAAGCTGACCCCCACACTCAGGGCCCCACCGCCGCAACACCCCGTTGACCCTGCACTCGGGACCCCAGCGTCCCCCACCGCCCTAACCCGCGCTCAGGACCTCCGGACACAGCCCCACGCTGACCTCCACACTCAGGAGTCTGCCGCCCCAGTGACCCTCACACTCCAGACCCTGCCCCCGCCGCTCCAGTGACCCCCCCACTCTGCACCCCGGTGACTGTCGTGCTCCAACTCTCCTGCCCTCCGCTGAGCCTTTAGTCCCCACCCCACCTCCCGCCTTCTTCCCCCACCCAGTGCTCAAGCCCACCGCCCACTCACCCGCGTCCCTCACGCCTCCCCGCGTTCTGGTCCCGAGGCCCCTGCCCACCTGGCCCCATCGCCTCCTCCTGTCTTGGCCTGGCCCCTCCCCACGCAGCTGTGTCCCCGTCCTCACTTTGTGGTCCTAAAGCTCTTGAGGGGGAGAGCAGGGGGTGGTGGGGGGGAGGAAGGTGGTCTGATCCGCAGGGACCTGTTGCGGCACTGCCTGGGAACTCCCGGCTGGGCTCGCTGCCCCCTCCCCCTTCCGCTGTGGCCACCGGCTTTGTTTTCCGGAAACGCACGGATCAGGGAGGGAGGGTGAGATGTCTGAGCAGGGCCTGCGGTGGCCTCACCGATCCCCGATCCCCGCCTGGCTCCTCTCTCCCAACTTTCTTAGGGGAAGACTTTCCCGTTGAGGGGCGTGGGGGCTGAGAGGACATTCGGGGACTGTTGCGTCTTGAGCCAGAATGGCTTTGGGACAGCTGGTTCTTATTCCTGTGGCCTCCGGATGGCATTGTTTGCAGGAAGCGGGCCGGAGGGTTGTCTGTGTAGGTGGAGTCCAGCATCTTCTCCCCGTTACGCTCCACCGTGTGGCCCAGTGCGCCGGGGCGGTCCACAAGGCCATGTGGGGCTCTGCCTCCCCACCCCAGGACATGCAGGAGCCTTCTTGGTGTTTCCTGGCTCCCGGAGGCCCTGGTAGCTCGTGGGTGTGGGAGCTGAGCAGGAAGGTACAAAGGCTCCTGTCTGGGGGAAAAACCCAGCCGTCCCGCCACGGGAAGGCGCTCGGATTAGGGAGGGGGCTGGGCGGGGGTTGGCAGCTGGGGATGGAAGCACCCCGGGCTACTCTGCCCTGCACAGCCCAGCCTAGCCTGGGGTGCCTCTGTGCAGAGGAAAGACTGTGTGCCAGGGCCCCCAGGTTTGAAAGGGGGAAGTTCGCGGTTGTCACTGGTACTTTGTTTTGTTTTCCCCTGTGTCTCCACCAAAACGAAACGCTCTGGGCTGGGCTGACTGATGAGTTTCCCAGGCAGGCAGCCCCCGGGAGTGTGTGCAGGTACGCGCACGCCTGCCTTGACGTCTCTAGGGCCGAGAGTGTTTTGCTCAGCCCCCCACAGTGAGCTCTGAGAGCCGCTCCTGCACAGACGAGAGGGAACGGGAGACCTGCATGCAGGGGAGCCGGGTCTGGACGGGGTCCCAATGGGAGGGCCAGGTCTGGGGGTGAGAGGCCAACCATGTGTCCTGCAGGACCGTGCAGCGGGCAAATGGGGTGAGATGTTGGAGGAGCTGGCTCTGTTCCCTTCACCCCGGTGGGAGGCGAAACCCCAAGTGGTCTGTAGTGTCTGGATTTACTGTGCCTGCTGTGCCTTCGGACTTCCTTGTGTGTCTAGGGGCTTCCTGTCTGATTTGAACCTGTCTAGTTCCTCTGAAGAGGATGAGGGAGCAGCGCCTCATTGCCTGGGCTCTGGGCAGGTCTGGGAGCCAGGCCGTTTGCAGGATGGCCCGCGATGGTGCAGCACTTTGTGCAGACAGATTTTGTGGAATTGCCGATTTGGGTTTCTTCTTTTCTTCTCCTCCTTTTTAATAATACAGTAATTACTCTGGGCTACAAAGGAAGTAGGCGAGGGTTTTTTTAATTGAAAGTTCCTGTTGCTCATCCCAAGCTTAGGGGAAGCCAGTATGCCAGCCATTAATTTGGGGATTGGGGTAGTCCTGTTGGTGTGCCAGGCACGGTTGGGAGGGGGGGCACTGTGTCTTTTGGAACTGGTGGGGGTTACCGCGCGCCCGAGTGGCAGACTCTAGCGCCCCAGCAGATGCGTCCGCAGAGCCACTGGGACGGACGGAAGCTGAGCTTAGGGACAGCCGGAGTTGCTTGCCCTGGGGCATCTGGAGAGGGGGATCCTGTTGAGCGTTTGATGTTGCCTCCTTTCTGCACCCCCCACCGAGCTGCCCCAGGCCCCCAGGGGCTCATGGTCCGTCAAGGCCTTGACCGAGGCCTGGCGGAGGGCGGGTGGTGGATGGAGGCAGCGCTGTGGGTGCTGTTGGGGCCGAGTGCCGGGCACAGCCTGGCAGGGGCTGCGGGCCTCGGGTGGCAGTGGGCAGGCCAGCATGTGGGGCTGGCTGACTTTCTCTGAACCCAGAGGGGACACAGGGCCCATGTGAAGGAGGCCTGGCCCGAGTCCTGGTTAGGGTTGCGGTGGTGGCGGGCAGCTGTGGGCTTCGTCCTCAGGTCAGCCTCAAGTCCTGTGTCCAGCTAGGGCTCGGTGGCCGTGCGCGTGTTGGGTCGAGCTCTGGTGTCAGGCGTGCCGGGTCCGCCTCCCCCATCCCGCGGATCTGCAGATCTGCAAATGCTCCGCCGGCAGCCACACGAGAGAACCTGTTGGTTGGCGGCCTCTGTGCAAGGCCGTCTGAGTGAGGCCTGCAGTCTGGAGGCTCCCTAGGTCGGGAGGCTCCGCGTCTGCTTCTTCCTCATTCTGGAGTTCTCGTGGGGCCCGTGCTGTGGGGCTTCCTGGGAAGTGGGTGGAGCGCCCATTTTACAGATGAGGAAGTCGAGGCCTACCTGGCCTGCTTGGGTAGAGGAGAAGGTGGTGTTTCCCGAGGGCTGACTCCCACACCTGTGCTTCTCTGGTCACCCGCCGTGCCAGTGGGAGCAGTGACAGCGAGGGGTGGTGGCCCTGCGGCCAGGGGACGGGCCTCACCGCCTTCCCCATCCTCTCTGCTGGCTCTGTCCAGAGGGCTGTGCCGCCCTGTGACTGGCACGTGGGTGCAGCCGTCTGCTGGGTGGGTCTGTCCGGGAGCTTGACTGGCCTGGCTGGGTGGGGGGGGGTACCCCTTTGTGCTACCTCAGCGAGGGCTCAAAGTGAGGGTCTGGGACCACCAGAACGGTGTATTCAATGCACTGCGGGCAGCCCTGCAGCGGGCAGGGATTGAGTGAGGGGTGGGGCCTGCCTGGCTCCTGGCAAGCACCCGTCTGGCGGGCGGGGCCCAGTGAGCCTCCTCCCTTTGCCGGGTCCTCCTGTAGTGGGGCAGGAACCTCTAGCATCCCACCCTTGCTGCCCTTTTTCTGCCCCGCTCACCACCCACATCAACTTGTCACCAGCAAGGGCATGGGACAAAGCAGGACATGCCCCGGGTGGCCAGCGTGAGCTAGCTGTGCCCAGGAGCATTGCCCATGCTGTCCCCCAGGCACTGTCCTGAAGCCCTGCTGGGTTCTGAGTCCTCCAGGCTCCGCGGCCCCTTCTCGCCCTGCCCAGAGTCTCTGGCCACCACCGCTGCTTGGGGCCCTGCACCAGCCTGTGCGCCCGCAAGGTTGCCAGGGCCCCTCTGCAGGTGCAGCGTGAGCTGTGTCCTGGGCCCACAGGGGAGCCGCTTCTCAGACCCCCGGGCTGGCCCCAGGCTCCCCCGGCAGCACTCAGGCGGCCCTGGCCCCCGGTGCGGCTGACTGTTCGGGGCACGCGTCTGAGGTGTGGGGATCATCTCCCCCTTGCTCAGAGCCCCCAACGTGTCCCCTGCACAGGGAATCGGGGCAGCCCCCTGCCAGCCCTGCCCAGGGATCCCTCCTGTCACCCTCAGGCGTGCTCCTGGGTGGCCCAGCGGCCTCCCTGCACCGTGAGGCCCGAGACAGTTTCGCGTGACATCATGTTGAAAACAGCCAGCTCTGGCCGGGCGCGGGGGCTCCCACCTGTCATCCCAGCACTTTGGGAGGCCGAGGTGGGCGGATCACCTGAGGTCAGGAGTTCAAGACTAGTCTGGCCAACATGGCAAAACCCCATCTCCACTAAAAATACAAAAATTAGCCGGGCGTGGTGGCGTGCGCCCATAATCCCAGCTACTCGAGAGGCTGAGGCAGGAGAATCACTTGAACCCGGGAGGTGGAGGTTTTAGTGAGCCAGGATCGCGCCACTGCACTCCAGCCTGGGCAACAGAGCGAGACTCCGTCTCAAAAAAAAAAAAAAAAAAAGCTGGTTCTCCCTTGATGCGCATCTGCTGAACTTCTGGGGCACGCTGGGGTAGAGCAGTGGGTCCCTCCCTGGAGAGGCCATGGGGTGAGGACCGAAGCTGTGGGTGCCAAGTGGGGCAGGCAGCCCAGTGGAGTGGGGCAAGAGACTCTGGTCTGGCCGGCCTGACCCGTGGGGTATGACTCTTGTTACGGCAGATTCCATCTAGGAGCGGAGGCCACGCGTATGTTCCCGGGAGAGGTGGGAAGTGCATCCCGTGGCCTATCCCGGGGAGGTCACTCCCATTCCATACCTGCAGGGGGAGCTAGCTGCCTCACGTCTGTGTCTCAGGCCGCGCAGAGGAGGGGGCGCAGGTGAGGGCAGCGGGAAGAAAGACTGCAAGAGGCTCGGGGGTCACGGGCCAGGGCTGGCCCATCACTATTTATTCGTTTATTTATTTATTTATTTATTTTTTATTTATTTATTTTTTTTAAGATGGAGTCTTGCACTGTTGCCCAGGCTGGAGTGCAGTGGCCCGATCTCAGCTCACTGCAAGCTCCGCCTCTTGGGTTCACGCCATTCTCCTGCCTCAGCTTCCCGAGTAGCTGGGACTACAGGCGACCGCCACCACGCCTGGCTAGTTTTTTGTACTTTTAGTAGAGACGGGGTTTCACCGTGTTAGCCAGGATGGTCTCGATCTCCTGACCTCGTGATCTGCCCGCCTCGGCCTCCCAAAGTGCTGGGATTACAGGCGTGAGCCACCGCGCCCGGCTATTTATTTATTTATTTATTATTATTATTATTATTTTCTTTGAGATGGAGTCTCGCTCTGTTGCCCAGGCTAGAGTGCAGTGGCGCAATCTTGGCTCACTGCAAGCTCCGCCTCCCGGGTTCACGCCATTCTCCTGCCTCAGCCTCTCCAGCAGCTGGGACTACAGGTACATGCCATCACGCCTGGCTAATTTTTGTATTTTTAGTACAGACGGGGTTTCACTGTGTTAGCCAGGATGGTCTCCATCTCCTGACCTTGTGATCTGCCCGCCTCGGCCTCTCAAAGTGCTGGGATTACAGGCATGAGCCACTGTGCCCGGCCTATTCATTTATTTATTTAGAGACAGAGTCTCGCTCTGTTGTCCATGTTGGCCAAGCTGGTCTTGAACTCCTGACCTCAGGTGATCCACCTGCTTCAGCCTCCCTCATAGCTGGGATTACAGGCGTGAGCCACCGTGCCCGGCCCTATCGCTATTTAAAAGGCAGAGAAAATCTTAGAGGTTTTTTTATTGTCACCAGCGGTGTTTCGTTGATGCGTAATTGCCTTTGGAGGCTTGAAAAAAGTTGTGCTTAAAGGTAATCCCTCAATTATCTGGAAACTTCCACCCTCCAGAGTGAGGCACCCCAAGTCCTGGTCTGGATTCGTGGACAGAGTCCCTGCCTGTGAGGCCTGATGGCCAGTCCTCTCGCCTTGGCCGTGGTGCTTCAGGCCCTGTTGCAGGTGGGACCCGCCCTCCTTAGGGACCTTGTTTCCCAGGTGATGCTCATGTAATCTGCGGTGACCTCTGCCCCTTCCCATCTGACCTCTGTCCCCAGGAAAGATGGCAGGCGTGCGAGGGCTCATCCTGTCCGCGGCAGTTGTGCCCCTCGGGCTTCTGCTCCAGTGGTCCTGGGGCAGGGCAGCTGGCGCTGATGCCCAGGCTCTGCCTGGGGACAGTTCCCAGGACGGGAGCCTGAGGGCAGCGCACGGGACCAGCGTGAGGACACGGACTGGCCCGTGTCTGCCTCTGACTTGCTGGGTGTGCCTTTGAGTTCCTCTGAGGGTGGGTGCGCCGAGGGGGATCCAGCTGGGCCCTGGCCACGTGCAGGCCAGCCAGAGCCCTGGAGCCTGCAGGTGGGCTGGGACAGGGCTTGCGACCGCAGGGGTGGTGTGCGTTTGCGCTGGCGTCTGCACAGGTGTGTGCGTGCTGTGCCATCACGCTGGTCAGGCCTGTACGCCGTGGAGAGGGGCGCTGTGTGGGGCTCGCTGCCTGAGCCCTGGGTGGACCGTGGCTGCCCCATGAGTTGTCGGGGACCTCCGCTGCCCCTTGGACCTCGCCCGCGGCCCTGGGCAATGGGTGTGGTGACGTCCTGGGGCCCCCATGAGTCAGCTCGTCCTCGTGCCCGGGCACTGGCCTCTCCTTCCTGTGGGCGCACAGCCCCGGTTCCTCTGAAAGCTTCGTGGGCCGGGACCCGGGATGAGCTGGTTAAACCCTGGCCCTGTGAGCAGGAGGTGTGGCTTCGGGGGGCGGCCCCGCCCTGGGCTCAGACTTGATCCTGCACCGGAGGGAGCCATTCTGGAAGGCCGCTGCCCCGGGCCCTGTCCCTCCCCCTCTCATCCCCAGGGTGCTGGCCAGAGCCGGGCTCACAGCGTTTCTTAAAATTAACGATCCCGGCCGGGCGTGGTGGCTCACGCCTGTAATCCCAGCACTTTGGGAGGCCGAGGCGGGTGGATCACGAGGTCAGGAGATCGAGACCATCCTGGCTAACACAGTGAAACCCCGTCTCTACTAAAAAGACAAAAAATTAGCCGGGCGCGGTGGCAGGCGCCTGTACTCCCAGCTACTCGGGAGGCTGAGGGAGGAGAATGGCATGAACCCGGGAGGCGAAGCTTACAGTGAGCTGAGACCGCGCCATTGCACTCCATGTGGGCGACAGAGTGAGACTCCGTCTCAAAAAAAAAAAAAAAAAACGCAAAAAAAAAAAAGATCCCGTCACACTGACCCAGCTCACTGTTCTCTTACCAGCCTTATTTCGGTGTGGTCCTTAGAGCATGAGCCACTTTTTTTTGCTGGGAACATAATCCACGTTTGGTAAAATTCGGCAACGTGTGCACGCAAGTGGTTTTTGTACAGCTGACCCTTGAGCAGGGTGGGGTTTAGGGCAGCAGCCCCTCATGTAGCAAAATACCCTCGTATAGCTTTCGAGTCCTCCAGATGCCGCTGCCGACAGCCTGCTGGTGACCAGAGGCCTCGGGAGGACACGTGGTCCGCGCACACATACCTCGTGTGTTGTGTTAGGTGCTGCGTTCTCACAGTGAGGGAAGCTGGAGACCAGAACATGTGGAGAAAAGCAGAAGGAAGAGAAACCCTGTTTGCTCTTCACGCAGTGGAAGTAATGCTCATGGAAGCCTCTGTCCTCGTCGTGTTCACGTTGAGGGCTGAGGAAGGGAGGGTGGGTCTCGCTGTCTCGGGTGGCAGAGCGGGAAGGAGCCAGGAGAGGCTGGCGCCCTCAGGGCAACCTTTATTGAAAAAATCCACGTCAGAGTGGACCTGTCAGTTCAAACCTGCCGTGGTCAAGGCTCCTCTGTGAGTGCAGCCACCACCTGTAATTCCAGAGTGTTCTCATCACCTGCAAAGGGAGCCCTGGCCCCATCAGCAGCCAGCCTTCCACACCATCCTTTCCAGAACCTTCCCACCTTCCCAAATTGAGACGCTGTCTTCGTGAAACGTTCACTCCCGTGCCCTCTCCAGCCCCTGGCACCCCCATCCTACTTTCTGGCTCTGTGACTCTGAGGGCTCCAGGGACCTCCTAGGGGTGGAATCACACGGGATGAGGCCTGGTGTGTTTGGCGTCTCTCACTGAGTGTGACACCCTCGGTGCATCCGCGCCATGGCCCGCGTCCGAGTCTCGCTCCTGTTCGTGGCTGAGTCGTGTTCCGGCGTGTGGGTGGCCACGTGTTTATTTCTGTGATAGATGTTTGCATGGCATCCGCGTGTGGCTGCTGCGAGCACCCGTGTCCGGTTCCCGTGTGGCTGCGTGATTCTTCTGTCAGGTGGACTTCTAGCGGTGGAACCGCTGGTCACAGGGCCACTCCCGGTTGGACCATTTGAGGAGCCGCAGACGGCCATCCATACCTGCACTGTTTGGGTCCCCTGCCGGGTTTTGGGGACTGGATCTCTGCACAGCGACGACCACTCCCCTCTTCCGGTGACTTGGTTTCTCCTGTCCTTCGGCCCGATGCTTCTCTGGCCTGCAGGGCATCAGGGACCCTGCTGTCCTGATCCCCATGCCGTCTAGAAAGCCAGGGGTCCTGCATGTGCCCGGTGTCCCCACTGCCTTGTCAGGCACAGGGCCAGATCCTGCACCCTGTGACGAGCACGGCCAGTGGGACAGACAGATGGATGTGCTGCCCGTGACCTTCGCCACAGCGAGTTCAGAGGCCGGAGGCATCCAGTGTCCACAGAGTGACCGGTAGGCCCCAGCCCCACAGGATCATCGAGGTGGCCCTGGCCTTTCGAGGCCACAAAAATCAACGTTTATTTTTATTTATTTTATTTATTTATATATTTATTTATATATTTATTTATGAGACGGAGTCTCGCTCTGTCCCCCAGGCTGGAGTGTGGTGGCGTGAGCTCTGCTCACTGCAAGCTCTGCCTCCCGGGTTCACACCATTCTCCTGCCTCAGCCTCCCGAGTAGCTGGGACTACAGGCACCCGCCACCACACCCAGCTAATTGTTTGTATTTTTAGTAGAGACGGGGTTTCACTGTGTTTGCCAGGATGGTCTTGATCTCCAGACCTCGTGATCCGCCCTCCTCGGCCTCCCAAAGTGCTGGGATTACAGGCGTGAGCCACCGCGCCTGGCCATCAATGTTTATTTTTAAGTAGCAAAAGAGAACTCAGCAGTGTTGGAGAACTTGAACATTACAGCAACATCTGAAGAAGATGTTCTTTCACAAACCTCAGATTCCAGGAGATGAGCACCGTCCGCTTTCCAGAGAAAATTGTCTGAGGCCTCTGGGAGACAGGAGGGGGTGCACTTAGAAACAGCCAAGGCCTCCTTCCATGTTGGGACGGACGGGCCTTCCTGGGCTGGCCCGGCCTAAATCTGCTGCCGCCCACCGAACACCAAGGCACCTTCTCGTGCCCCAGAGGCCACCAGCACCCGTCCCCCTGCCTCCCTCCAGCCAGTGTCAGGTGGGGACCTGGCCGCTGGAAGGGAGGTGTCACCTGCTCTGGGGCATCCAGGAGGGAGGGGCTGCGGGAGTTTTGCTGGAGACCCTCCAGGTGGGGGTTATGGGGTATCATGGCGGAGCGTGTTGGGAAGTTTTCGGTGAGCTGGGCGTTTATTCGCCTTGGTGCCCCCCTAGATCCCTGGGTGATCCCCGTGCCCAGTTTTCAGGGGAGACCATGGGGGTCAGAGAGCTGGCCAGGCGGGTGGTCTGTGTCTGTCCCCTGCTGTTGAAATGAGGGGAGGTGAGAGGAGACGCCGTGTGCCTGGGGAGGCAACACTTTCTACCGTTTGCTGGTTTATAAAAATCAAAGATGGCCAGGCACGGTGGCTCACGCCTGTAATCCCAGCACTTTGGGAGGCCGAGACGGGCAGATCACGAGGTCAGGAGATTGAGACCATCCTGGCTCTACTAAAATACCCTGTCTCTACTAAAAAAAATACAAAAAATTAGCCGGGCGTGGTGGCGGGCGCCTGTAGTCCCAGCTACTCGGGAGGCTGAGGCAGGAGAATGGCGTGAACCCGGGAGGCGGAGCTTGCAGTGAGCCGAGATCGCACCACTGCACTCCAGCCTGGGCGACAGAGTGAGACTCCGTCTCAAAAAAAAAATAAAAAAAATCAAAGATGGGGGCCTGCTGGGACCGTTTGATTTCTTCCCATTCAGACCCTGCCAGATCCTGAGGCTGGCCCAGCTGCCTGTGTCCTCTGGGGCTCCCTGAGGAGGCAGCACCAGCTGTGGTGTGCATGACGGACAGGGGTCCCAGTTGGGGGGTGCAGCCTCCCGATGGGCCAGGATGGGGGATGCTTGGGTGCCCTCAGGATGTGCAGGCTGGGCGGGAGGAAGCGGTGAGAGTCCACCCCTCCCCACCTTCCTCTTCTCTGCTGTTTTTTTTTGGAGACAGAGTCTCACTGTGTCGCCCAGGCTGGAGTGCAGTGGTGTGATCTCCGTTCACTGCACGCTCCGCCTCCCGGGTTCACACCATTCTCTTGCCTCAGCCTCCCGAGCAGCTGGGACCACAGGCGCCCGCCACCACAGCTGGCTAATTTTTTGTATTTTTAGTAGAGACGGGGTTTCACCGTGTTAGCGAAGATGGTCTCGATCTCCTGACCTCGTGATCCACCCGCCTCGGCCTTCCAAAGTGCTGGGATTACAGGCGAGAGCCACCGGGCCCGGCCATTCTCTGCTGTTTTCTGACTCAACATCATGAAACAGGACCTTAAGCTGAGAAGTGGTGAGATTGGGGCCATCCTCATTTCCACATAAGGCCGTGTTCCTGTTTACTGGGGGCTAGGACTTGGCATGTCTTTTTCGGGGATAGCCCAACCCTTCTGTGTGAAAGGGGTCGTGATGGTCACTGCAGGACAGCAAGCACACCTTGGCCCCTCAGTGGGCAGTGGGTGCAGGGCTGGACGAGGGCCCAGGGGGCAGAAGCTAGTGCGCCGATAGCGTGTGTCATCTGCGGCCTGTGAGCACTGATGATGCCCGAGTGGCGGAGGGCGGGATGCTTCCACGTGCTCAACTTTTTTTTTTTTTCTTGAGACAGAGTCTTGCTCTGTCGCTCAGGCTGGAGTGCAGTGGTGCCATCTTGGCTTACTGCAGCCTCCACTTCCCGGGTTCAAGTGATTCTCCTGCCTCAGCCTCCCGAGTAGCTGGGATTACAGGCGTCCGCCACCATGCCCGGATAATTTTTGTATTTTTAGAAGAGACCGGGGTTACACCATGTTGTCCAGGATGGTCTCAAACTCCTGACCTCAAGTGATCTTCCCACCTCGGCCTCCCAAAGTGTACGTATCTTTTTAGTAACGATATATTTGACGATGATTAAAAAAACCCGATCCTTGAAGGCCCTTGATAGATGCTGAGGTGAGTACAGGCCTGACTCTGAGGGTCATGCGCCTAGCAGGCGTCGCCCGGTGCACAGGGCCAGGAGCTGAGTCGTGCGGGACTGGATGGAGGCCAGGGGATATAGAAGACCTGGGCAGCTCCCCAGGACCAAGCCCTCTCGCCTAGGGCTCCCCGGGGAGTTAGGCCGAACCCTGCTGTGCCCTTCACTCTGCAGCCCTCGTGGGGATCATCACAGAGGCAGGAGCTGGCAACCGAGGTGACTGCCTTCGAGTGGAGGGAAACCGGGGCGGGATGTCGCCCGGCGGCTCCCACACGATGAGGGGAAAAGGCACTCCAGTCTGGGTGGCAGAGCGAGACTCCGTCTGAAAAAAAAAACAAAGGAAATGTAGAAACGCAGCCCACCCAGGTTTTCCACGGCCGTTCATGGTTACGCTTCTGGAAGGACCCGTGTCCTCTCAGATGTAGCAGGATTCCGATGGGAGCCACCCCGGGTCCCACTCGCCCCCGGGACCTGCCGTGGGAGCTTTCTTTCCTGGTGGGGTGCCTGACTCTGCCTGCACGTTCCCCCCGCTGTCTGTGGCACCACTTGGGACCGGGGACCCCTGCCCCCCTGGCAAGACCAGGTCAGCTCTGCCCCCGGGCCACGGAGCAGGAAGCAGAGCTGAGGCTGCTGAGGTGGCGCAGGGTTGCTGTGGGGGCCTGTGCGCCATGGGGGCCTGGGTGGGGGTGTTCTCACTTCCCCCGGAGTCTGGAAGGCCGTCTTTGTGATGGATTTGATGCAGATGTGTCCACTTTGCTTTTGTTGATGGCGTCTGAGGCTCTGGAGTCCATGGCAGCCTTGCCTCCGTTTGCATAATCTGAATTTTGGGAAAATTGCCCCTATGTGGACTAGTTGCAGGGACAGTGCCCTCCGCCAAGGCTGCCGGTGGTGTTTGCCTTATGTGTCCGGTGCTGGGTGAGTGCCAGCTTTTCCCTGGTCAGCTCTGCCCGTGGCCCTCACCTGTGGTCTGTGCCATCACCAGGGCGAGGCTGACCTGTGGGACGGGGTCCCTGCACAGCCTCGCCGTCCCCCACATCCCCCCAACAGGGTCTGGTCCCAGCTGCCATTGTGCAGCCTTGCCCCCTCCCCCCGCATCAGGGTCCGGTCCTGGCCGCTGTACCGCGATCACCTGTGGCCCTCCTGTGTTCTTTACCTGGACTCTTGCCTTTGCTGATGGCGACCTGTGACGGCTCAGCTGCGTTCTCAGAGGCCGGCTGTCCTCGTGGGCGTCTCCGGTGCAGTCGGCGCGGTGAGGTTGGCTTCTGCCATGGACGGGGCCTTCTCGTGGTGATGACAGTCGCCCTTGGTCTGGTGTCTGCAGTGCTCCGAGGACCGGCCCTGCCCATCCCTGGCGTTCACTCCTCAGCTTCCTCCCATGGGGTGGGCGGCTTCCCTCCTCTCCCTGATTTGTGGGGTGTTTCTCTTTTGCACCTGATGCGTTAAACCCATTACCGGCCTAGGTCAGCCTGAGGTTGGTTTGTCCTGGCCGCGGCAGCTCCTGCGCCCCTCCATTGTGGAGGGCGCCCTTCCGTCTGCCCTGCGTCACTGGGCTGGGCCTGGCCCCGCTCTGCTGTGGCCCTGGCACTGGAAGTATGTGCTGCCCTGGTGTTCGGGGGCTCTTGGGTCCTGGGGCGCTGCAACCCCTCATTTTCTTTCCTTGGGGTGCAGATGAATTGGGGTGGCAGGGAACCGAGCCCACAGTGGCCAGCCCCTGCGGCCCCAGGTCAGAGGGCAGGGCCGGCCTGGACAGAGCTGCCCAGAACGGTCTGCGGCCGGGTCCACATGAGTCTAGGTGCCTCTGAGGGCACTGGGACGGCGGTGGCCTGCACCTGCCCAGCCCAGTGAGGTCCCTGGCCTCCCTTCAGCTTTGCCCTGGGCTCTGGGCTGAGGGCTGTGTGGTGATGTCAGCCCAGGGACTGTGACATCACTCAGTGGAGACAGTCAGAGAAGGGGGCTCCCGGGGCCCTCCCCAGGGAACTGGCCCTGGGCCCAGACCAGATGGAGGACCCCGAAAAGAACAGGGCAGGTAGCAGCCTGAGGCTAGGGCTGGGGAAGGGGATGGGAGCTGACGGGGAGAGAGCAGCCCCTTGTGGGATGGCTGCAATCCCCTCGTTGGCGCCCGGGAGCCATCCTTGGCGTGTGACCCGGAGCCGGCACTCGCCCCCTGGGACGGAATCGTGGCTGCGTGGGTTGGGTGGAGGCTGGGTGAGGATCAGCGTCCCTTCGTCCCTCCCTGGGGTTGTTGCTTTTCGCTGTGGCCCTCAGGCAACAGGGCAGGCCCCCAACCCCCAGGCCTGCGTGGGCACTGTGGGTGCCCAGCCTTTACGTCCTCGCTTCCTTCCAGGCCCCGGCCTTGTCTGGCTTCCCTTGGGCACCCCCTGGGGTTCGGAGAGCCCCAGAAGAGGCCGGGCTCTTCCTCCTTGGTGATGGACGGGTGCTGGGCCCTGACCGAGTGGTGACCGCCTCCAGGGAGTGATCTGCGCCCTCGGAAGCTGCTGAGTCTTGGAGTGGCGGCTCTTGTTTGTGGGGGCAGGGGGAGCTGGGCACCCGCCCTGTGCCCACGGAACACAGCCCAGGGTGGCGGCCCTGCCTGTCCTCTGACTGCCCTCCTGCTGCTGCTGCTGCTGCTGCGAGGGCCTCAGGCGCAGGCGGTGACTCTCGGGGCCACTCCTGAGGTGGGGGATGTGGGCTAGCGGCCACCGTGGGCGGCAGGTGTGCAAGCAGTGCTCCCGTTTTCCACTGGGCTGCCCTTCACCGGCTGTGGGTCAGCGCCCCCCACTGAGGCTCAGGCTGAGGCGAGGCTCCGCGGGGTGGGCGTGTGCCAGGGTGAGGCTCCGCGGGGTGGGCGTGTGCCTGGGCGAGGCTCCGCGAGTCGGGGGCAGCGCCCAGGTCAGGGGCTTCTCCGTCCATGTCAGGCTTAGGGTGGGTGTGGCTGGGCCCTCCCTCTGCTGTCCGCCCACGACCCCCTCAGAGGGGCTGTCGTGAGATGCTTGGAGGCGGGATCCAGCCCTGAGGGTGCAGGGAGTGCTCAGCGGACCCCCGTGCCACTGCTGTCACCGGAGGAGGCTGCTGCTCGGCTCCGGGCTCCATCTGCAAAGCCGGGTGTGCATCTGTGTGGCTCAGCTCTGCAGGGCACAGTGGGGTTTGCTCCCGGCCGGCCCTGAGGCCGGGCACAGGGAGGCCAGTGCTCATCCAGGGGGCCAGAGAGAAAGTAGCAACCCCAACCTGCCTGGGCCACAACAGCCAAGACCACTGTATCAGAACAGACGCCAGCGGGGCAGCCTGCTCGTTGGCCGGGCGGAGCAGGGTCGGCACACAGCCCGGGCTGGCCTTCACCCCAGCTCCCGACAGCGTTGGGTCCCTGAGTGCAGGGCCTGCCCCTTTCTCATCCTCCTGCCTCCAGGTCATGGGGCAGGGGTGCCGAGAGGCCCTGCGGGAGCCAGGACCTGAGAGGTGATGGTCACCACCCAGACGAGGGGCCGGGGGTCGCACAAGGAGGCTTCCAGGGGGATGCCAGGAGCAGTGGGGCCCTAGACCCAGCAGTGGGTAGACCCAGCAGGGCAGCGCTCACGTCACAGGTTCTGGGGGTTGGGGCTTGTCATCTGTGCAGGTGCAGCTGGGATGGGGATTTGGTGCTTTTTGTTCTGCAAAAGCCAGAACGCATGTAGCTGAGCCAAGATCAGACGGCATGGTGCCTCATGCCTGTGGTCCCAGCTACCTGGGAGGATGAGGCGGGAAAATTGCTTGAACTCGGGAGGCGGAGGTTGTAATGAGCCGAGATCCTGCCACTGCACTCCAGCCTGGGTGATGGAGCTAGATCCTGTCTCAAAAAACAAAAGACCACGCATCCTAGCCGGCAAGGCCACTCTGTACTCAGACCCGGCAGCTGTGGCTGTGGCACAGGCGCTTACCCTGCGGCATTGGCCCTTTCAGTGGTTGGTGTTGACCCTCCACAGAGGGGCTGGGTGGGGTGTGTCCAGTCCCATCTGGGTAGACTGAGTGTTGGGGATGGGAGAGTGTTTAAGGAGGTGGCGGTTACAGACTCCAGCATCGGGACACGGGGCCGTGGGTCATACCCACATCCGTGGGGGCTGTGAGACAGCCGTCCAGAAGCTTCTGTCTCCGGGCCAGGAGGACACCCCAGAGAGCCCCAGGAGGCTCGTTCCGGAATTTAGGGCTCAGCCTCGATGAACCTGGCCAGGCGGCGGTTGATGGGTTAATTCAGTTAATCACACATCACTCAGGGTTTCTCAGCAGAAGGAACTGACCAAGCCAATGGCTCACCTGGAAGAGAGAAGGAGGGAGGAGGAGGGGATTCTGCAGAGGGAAGGCTGGTGGTGGCGCCCCCCTTCGACGGTCGTGCCCTGATGCTGCGTGGCTTAAACGGTGCCACCCGGAGATTGGTGGGCGGGATTGGGCCTCTGGGGTCCCCGGCTGTGGAGAGGGCAAGGCAGGGGCGGCTAGAAAGAAAAGCAACCTGGACGCAGGCCCCACCTCCCTCCAGGCAGCCCCACAGGCCCGAGGGCCACCGTGTCAGGAGGGATAGCCTACACGGAGAGCAGGCCAGTGGCCCTGTGCCCAGGAGGGTGCCTTGCCCAGCCTGGAGGCCCGCAAGGATGAGAAGCAGTGTGTGCCCGGGAGGTCACGTGGGCACCACAGACGAAAGTGGAGCCGGGGGAGAGATGTCCCGGGATGCACCAGGCGCTCGTGCAAACCAAGTGCTGAGCAGAGAGCAGCCTGGGAGAGAAGGGGGCTGCCCCGAGCGGCTTGGGTGGCCGGGCCTGTGGGAGACCTTGGGTTTGCTGTTAGGAGGGACAGTGAGCGCAGGCACCTCTCTCTCCACTTCATGTTTGTCCTCACTGAGGGAGCCGAGCAGATGCCTTTGCCCCTGCAGGTCCCCCATGTCCCCTCGCCCGGGGCGCGCTCCACAGGCTAGGCCACTTTCACAGCTCACCACACAGGCAGAGACTGGAGGGTGCGCAGGACCCCGGGTGACTGCAGACGTGGGCACAGAGGGGCCTCTGAGGGCGTCTGGCGGCATTTGAGCAGCTGCCAGATCTCCCCTGGAAACACTGGGGTGTGTGCTCGGTGGGTGCCGTGTGTGGGGGGTATGTGCTCGGCGGGCGCCGTGTTTGTGGGGTGGGAGCTAGGCGGGCGCCGTTTATGTGGGGTGGGCGCTCGGCGGGCACTGTGTGTGTGGCACGGCCACTGCTTAGGGCCCCCTGGAGCTGCGGGGCACACGGCAGAGCCAGCCTCATGTCACCACGTGCTTCCCCCGTGTGCAGGGAGGGGTTGGAGGTGTGCGCTTGTCTTGTCCGGAAGCCGGGTGTTGGGACGCGTCCTGACGACGGCACTGCCCACATCCTAATGGGACACCTGAGGGACATCGGTGGCTGAGTAAGGGGCCCCTCCCGAGCAGGTCTGGAGGCGTTGGAAGCACAGCGCAGCCTCATGGGGCACCTGCCTGCTCTGCCTGGAATTGAGGGGCGATTGGGACTCCCACTGCCCCCACCAAAGCCTGTGCCCCTGATGTCTGTCCAGAGCACGGCTTCCTTCTCGGTGGTTCCCAGAGGCCGCTGGGCCTCGCTTCGTCCTTTTTGGGCAGCGAGTGTGTATGTTAGGGGAACAGGAGCCCGGCAGGGCCGTCTTGCAGGGCTCAGCAGTGGGGGCCGTGGGGTTGGTGCACCAGGGCAGGAGAGCTGCCCGGCTCCTGCTAGGTGTCTAGAGGGCCTCAGCTCTCCCAGGCACTGTCCCCTGTCCCCCCATCTCCCCTGTCCCCCCCATCTCCCCATCCCCCCGTCCAGGGCCGCAGCAGCTCAGCTCTCCCAGGCACTGTCCCCTGTCCCTCCGTCCCCCCGTCCAGGGCTGCAGCAGCTCAGCTCTCCCAGGTACTGTCCCCCGTCCCCCTGTCCCCCCGTCCCCCCGTCCAGGGCCGCAGCAGCTCAGCTCTCCTAGGCACTGTCCCCCGTCCCCTCGTCCCCCCATCCAGGGCTGCAGCAGCTCAGCTCTCTCAGGCACTGTCCCCCCTCCCCTCGTCCCCCCATCCAGGGCCGCAGCAGCTCAGCTCTCCCAGGCACTGTCCCCCGTCCCCCTGTCCCCCCATCCAGGGCCGCAGCAGCCCAGCTCTCCCAGGCACTGTCCTCCGTTACCCCGTCCAGGCACTCTCCCCCCGTCCCCCATCCCCCGTCCAGGCACTGTCCCCCCTCCCCCCGTCCCCCCCACCCCCGTCCAGGGCCACAGCAGCCGGTATTGAGTGTGGGTATGAGCTTTGGCTCTGGGTCCTGAGCGTCCCTTCCCCAAATTCCCCATGTGGCTTCCCAGTCTGCATCTCCATCTGCTCCCAGGGTGCGAGTTGGTTTTTGTATTAATAACTGAGGTGTGACACTCGGGCTGTACCCGCTAGCTGTGTAACTCATGCAGCTCAGTGCCTTTAGCTCATCATGAGGCTGTGTCTCTGTCTGTGCCATCTAATAGAGGATATTTTCATCCTCATGGCGAGAAGGGATGGATTTGTTTTCCTCGTGAAGTCGGTGACGTTTGCTTTTCAGGTTTGGTTGGTGGCCTCCAGTCTCTTGTCCTCAACGAGGGTTTTGGCAGCTCCCTCTCAGTGGCCTGTGAGTGTCCCCACTCCCTTGTCTGGGAAAGGGCTGGAGCTCTGGGGCTCACAGAGAGGGTGGGTGTGATGTCTTTTTCCTGACGTGGCATCGGGGTGTCTTACCTGCCCGGACACCTGCCTGCGCAGGGTAGCACAGACCCTACAGGCTGCGGCTGAGCCCCCAGCACCCGCCCCACCTTTAATGCTCGGCCCCCAGCACCCGCCCCACCTTTAGTACCACCCTGAGTCCCCCAGCACCTGTGCCACCTTTAGTGCCACCGTGGGTCCCCCAGCACCCGTCCCACCTTTAGTGCCACCCTGAGTCCCCCAGCACCCGTGCCACCTTTAGTGCCACCGTGGGTCCCCCAGCACCCGCCCCACCTTTAGTGCCACCGTGGGTCCCCCAGCACCCGTCCCACCTTTAGTGCCACCCTGAGTCCTCCAGCACCTGTGCCACCTTTAGTGCCACCGTGGGTCCCCCAGCACCCGTCCCACCTTTAGTGCCACCCTGGGTCCCCCAGCACCCGCCCCACCTTTAGTACCACCCTGAGTCCCCCAGCACCTGTGCCACCTTTAGTGCCACCGTGGGTCCCCCAGCACCCGCCCCACCTTTAGTGCCACCCTGGGTCCCCACATCCCTGGCTACACATTGTGGCTCCCACAACCCCGTTTGGGTTCACGGTCCTCCTGCAGGACTCTCGGAACTGGGGAGTGAGAGTTTGTTCCCTGCTGTTGTAAAGGGCATAACCTGGGGGAAGCCAGGCAGGCAGAAACCCCCACCCACGTCCAGGGCCCCATGTAGGGTCCGGAGCTTCCCTGCCCTCCCTGGTGCCAGTCCTGACCCTACCACAGCCGAATGTCTGCGTCAGCACAGGGGCGTGTAGGAAGAAAAGGCGTCCTGCTTAGGAGATAGGTACATCCGGGACCTGGGGCCTTCTCGCCCTCAGTCCACAGGGAAGGTCCCCCGGATGGCGCCTGCCCCTTCCCCCTCCCTACCCGGCTTCTGCACGCAGTCCCCTGAGATGGCCCACACGTCCTGCCGCTTTCTGGCAGGGGAGAGCTGAGGCCTGTGTCTTCAGGATGCTGCCTCTCGGGCAGCCTCCAGCCCTCGTCGAGAAAGGCAGGCAGTGTGGCGCGAGCAGGCTGGCCTCAGGCGGGGCCTCTGGGCAGTGTCCCCTCGGGATGTTTGCCGTGCTGGATCTCACACCCGGCTCTGACACGCTGCCGTGTCCCCCGTGTGCCTGCGCCTGGGGTCTCCGTGTGTGTGTCTGTGTACACGCATGTGGTTTTGCTTTCTTGTGGGCTGGAAAATCTAATAGTAGTCAGGGCGTGGTGGTTGACACCTATAATCCCAGCACTTTGGGAGGCTAAGGTGGGTGGATCACTTGAAGTCGGGAGTTTGAGACCAGCCTGGCCAACGTGGCAAAACCTTGTCTCTACCAGAAATATCAAAAATTAACCGGGCATGGTGGCACATGCCTCTAATCACAGCTACCTGGGAGGCCGAGGTAGGACAATCACTTGAACCCGGGAGGCGGAGGCTGCGGTGAGCCGAGATCGCACCACTACACTCCAGCCTGGGCGACAGAGCGAGACTCTGTCTCAAAACAAAACAAAATGCAGGCACGGACGTTTCAGCCCCCTCTTCCTGTGGATGCTGAGAGGGTTTCCAGAAGAAGGAGAATGTCCCCGTGCTGGTGGCTCATCCAGGTGTGGGCCGGTGTGCGGCGGGGCGTGGGCAGAGGAGAGGCTTCGGGCTCCGGTTTCCTCTCCTGTGGATGCGTCGCCCCCGCATGGTGGTCCTCTGCGGAAGTCCCCCTGTCCGTCCCGTTGGCAGCCGCAGTGGAAAGACGGATGGACGGGCTGTGACAGGGACAGCCCAGTGTGACCCCAGCCCTGGCCGTCGCGGTTGTGGCATTCTCGCTGTCAGGGGGCTGTTCCCGTGGCTCTCATGGCTGTGGAGGGGCGTGGAGGGGGCGGTCCCCATGGCCAGAACCTGGCCGTGGCGGGTGGAGGACTTGAGGCCGGCTCAGTGGTCAGCGCTGCTGCTTGTTCCCCTACACAGAGGCGTTGGGTGGAGCTGCCTCAGGTATCCCTCCTGGCTGGGGTGTGTGCGTCACCCTGAGTCTCCAGCCCATGCTGAGGAGCCTCGCAGGCAGGGCCCAGCAGCCTATACTCCAGGCCATTGCTGTCCGTTTCTCCAGAAGGCCCTGCTGGTGGGTGGTCCCAGGAGCTGGGCCTCAGTGGGGGATCCCAGGACAGTGGAGCCTGGGAGGGGCCCCAGTGTTGAGGCGTGAGGTACTGTCTGGAACTAGGGGGTGCCCCCAAAGCGGCACGGCGCCCAGTCCCTGTGCTGGAAGAGAGATGAGCTGCGGTGGGGGGTGGGGGACTACGTCTCACAGATCCCTCTCCCAGGGCACATGAGGAGATTCCTCCCCCAAAACGCCCAGGAAGGAAGTTAAATTTTAATATGGGTCTGGTTTAGAGAAACTAGGTTAGCCATGCGTGGGTGTTTCTGGATGTTTGGGCAGTAAGGAGAGTCGGTAGCTCAAGAAATCCGCTGGCCGCTAAGCAGGGGTGAGGGGCACCGACTGCCATCCCTTCTTCAACCACGGCCACTCGGCCACATCAGTGTCTCCTGCCACCTCCCTCGTGTCCAGCATCAACACAGCACTGCATCCCTGACCCAGTGCAGTGGAGAAAACTCGCATCCAAAAATAAACCAGGAGTCAGCCAAAAACACGCAAATTAAAATTACACCCTGGCCAGGCGCGGTGGCTCACGCCTGTAATCCCAACACTTTGGGAGGCCGAGGCAGGCGGATCACCTGGGGTCAGGAGTTCAAGACCATCCTGGCCAAGATGGTGAAACCCCGTGTCTGCTAAAAATAACAAAAATTAGCCAGATGTGGTGGCAGGTGCCTTGTAGTCCCAGCTACTCGGGAGGCTGAGGCAGAGAACTGCACGAACCTGGGAGGCAGAGGTTACAGTGAGTCGAGTTCGTGCCACTGCACTCCAGCCTGGGCGAAAGAGTGAGACTCTGTCAACAACAACAACAAAAAAAGCACACCCCCAGCATGGCTGTGCCCAGAAGCACAGAAGTGGGGTCACCACAGCTCACGCCTATAATCCCAGCACTTTGGGAGGCCGAGGAGGGAGGATTGTTTGAGCCCAGGAGTTTGAGACCAGCCTAGGCAACATAGCAAGATCCCATCTCTACAAAAAAAAAAAATTAGCCAGACATGGGGGTCCATGCCTGTGGTCCCAGCTACTCGGGAGGCTGAGGCAAGAGGATTGCTTGAGCCCGGGAGACAAGTTACAGTGAGCTGAGATGGTACCATTGTGCTCCAGCCTGGGCGACAGAGCCAGACCCTGTCTCAAAACAAACACAAAAGCTCACAGAAGCGCTGGGGTGGGTGTGTAGAAGTCAGACCCCCGGGAGCGGCAGGTGGAGGACGACTCGGTGCAGCAGCCACTGTGGAGACGACCTGGTGGCTCCTCAAAGATGCACAGATCTCCCATCCGACCCAGCACGACCACTCCCAGCTATGTACCCAGGTGGAGTGGAAGCCCGCAGCCACGCAGAAGCCCGTGCGCAGACGCCGCCGTGGACTCCAGCAGCCGGACGGTGGCTACAACCCAGATGGCCGTCAGCAGAGGAGGAGGCGTAGTGTGGCCCTCCATGCACTGGAACACAACCCAGCCATGAAAAGGAAGAAGCTCTGACTCAGGCCACGGCGTGGACGCACCTTCAGGACGCCAGGCTCAATGAGACACTCCAGGCTCAATGAGACACGCCAGACACAGAGGACATGCCGTGTGTGATCCCATTTCTATGAAATGTCCAGGGCAGGCCCAGCCACAGAGACAGGGAGTAACGTGGTGGTTTATTATAAATTTTTCATGAAAATAAAATATACAGTACTCTCGTGAGTTTATTATAGCCCATTGATTCTTTTTGTTTGTTTTTGTTTTGTTTTTTGAGACAGAGTCTCCCTCTGTCGCCCAAGCTCCACCTCCCGGGTTCATGCCATTCTCCTGCCTCACCCTCCCGAGTAGCTGGGAGTACAGGTGCCCGCCACCATGCCTGGCTAATTTTTTTGTATTTTTAGTAGAGACAGGGTTTCACCGTGTCAGCCAGGATGGTCTCTATCTCCTGACCTCGTGATCCCCCTGCCTCGGCCTCCCAAAGTGCTGAGATTACAGGCATGAGCCACCGCGCCCAGCCTATTTTCTTTCTTTGAGGCAGTGTCTCGCTGTATCACCCAGGCTGGAGTGCAGTGGTGTGATCTCGGCTCACTGCAACCTTCGCCTTGCAGGTTCAAGCGATTCTCCTGCCTCAGCCTCCCGAGTAGCTGGAGTTACAGGTGCACGCCACCACACCTAGCTAATTTTTGTATTTTTAGTAGGGACAGGGTTTCACCATGTTGGCCGTGCTGGTCTTGAACTCCTGACCTCAAGTGATCCACCCACTTTGGCCTTCCAAAGTGCTGGGATTACAGGTGTGAACCACTGCGCCCAGCCTCTACAAATTTTTTTTTTTTTTTTTTGGAGACAGAATCTCGCTCTGTCGCCCAGGCTGGAGTGCAATGGCACGATCTTGGCTCACTGCAACCTCTGCCTCCTGGGTTCCAGTGATTCTCCTGCCTCAGCCTCCTGAGTAGCTGGGATTACAGGCACCCGCCACCATGCCCAGCTAATTTTTGTATTTTTAGTAGAGACAGGGTTTCACCATGTTGGCCAGGCTTGTCTCAAACTCCTGACCTCAGGTGATCCCAAAGTGCTGGGCCTTGGCCTCCCAAGGTGCTGGGATTACAGGCATGAGCCACCGCTCCTGGCCTACAAAAATTTTTTTAAAAATTAGCTGGGCATGGTGATGTGTGCCTGTAGTTCCAGCTACTCTGGAGGCTGAGGTGGGAGGATCACTTGGGCCCAGGAGGTCGAGGCTGCAGCAAGCTGTGATTGCGCCATGGCACTCCTGCCTGGGTGACAGAGTGAGACCCTGTGTTAAAAAAAAAACAAAAAAAAACCAGGTTCAAGGTGAAAAGGATTAAGTGTTCCTTGAGACGTGTCAGCCAGCATTCAGACGATCTAGCCAAGGTCACTGCTGGAGGTGGCTTTTCAGGGTAGAAGAAACAGCCTTCTGGAAGAAGATGCCACCCAGGACTTTCCTCGTGTGGAAGAAGCGGTTCCCTGGCTTCCAAGGAGAGGCCCACCCTCTTCACCCTCTTGTTAGGGGCTAACGCAGCTGGTGACTTGAAGGTGATGCCAGGGCTTTTTACCATTCCACAAATCCTAGGGCCCACGAGAATTATGCTAAATCTACTCTGTGCTCTATAAATAGAACAACAGAGCCTGGGTGACAGCACATCTGTTTAACACCTGGCTTATGGAATATTTGAAGCCCACTTTTGAGACCTATTGTTCAGAAAAAAGTTTTTGTTTTTTTGTTTTTTTTTTTGAGACTGATTCTCGCTCGTCACCCAGGCTGGAGTGCAGTGGTGCCATCTCGGTTCACTGCAAGCTCCCCCTCCCGGGTTCACCCCATTCTCCTGCCTCAGCTTCCCGAGTAGCTGGGACTACAGGAGCCCACGACCATGCCCAGCTAATGTTTTTGTAATTTTAGTAGAAACGGGGTTTCAGCGTATTAGCCAGGATGGTCTCGATCTCCTGACTTCATGATCCGCCTGCCTCGGCCTCCCAAACTGCTGGGATTACAGGTGTGAGCCACCGCGCCTGGCCAAAAAGATTTCTTTCAAAATATGACTGCTCACTGACAACGCACCTGGTCACCCAAGATCCCTAGTGGAGACGTACACGATCAGTTTCCGGCCGGGCGCGGTGGCTCACACCTGTGATCCCAGCACTTCGGGAGGCCAAGGCGGGCAGATCACGAGGTCAGGAGATCGAGACCACAGTGAAACCGCGTCTCTACTAAAAATACAAAAAATTAACCGGCCGTGGTGGCGGGCGCCTTTAGTCCCAGCTACTCAGGAGGCTGAGGCAGGAGAATGGCATGAACCCAGGAGGCGGAGGTTGCAGTGAGCCGAGATTGTGCCACTGCACTCCAGCCTGGGCGACAGAGCGAGACTCCGTTTCCAAAAAAAAAAAAAAGATCATTGTTTCCATCCCTGCTAGCACAACATCCAGCCTGTAGCCTGTGGATCAATGAATGAATGAATGACTCGGAAATCAAGATGACTCCTTGACATGTCATTCATTCATTTATTTATGCATGACAAGGTGTCCCACTGTCACCCAGGCTGGAGTGCAGTAGCACGATCTTGGCTCACTGCATCCTCCACCTCCCGGGTTGAAGCAATTGTCTTTCCTCAGCCTCCTGAGTAGCTGGGGCTACAGGTGCGTGCCACCATGCCCAGCTAATTTTTATATTTTTTCATAGGGGGTTTCACCATGTTCCTCAGGCTGGTCTTGAACTCCTGAGCTCAAAGCAGTCTGCCCGCCTCAGCCTCCCAAAGTGCTGGGACTACAGGCCTGAGCCACTGTGCCTGGCCAAGTCTTAGTGTTTTTGAGGCACGGTCTCACTGTGTCTCCCAGGCTGCAGTGGAGAAGCAGAATCACAGCTCACTTTAGCCTCCACCTCCCAGGCTCAAGCGATCCTCTCACCTCAGTCTCCTAAGTAGCTAGGACCACAGGTGCGCACCGCCATGACTGGCTAATTTTGTTTTTATTTTTGTAAAGATAGGGTCTCCCTGTGTTGCCCAGGCTGGTCTTGAACTCCCGGCCTCAAGCAGTCTGCCTGCGTCAGCCTCCCAAAGTGTCGGGGTTACAGGCAGGAGCCACCGCAGCCGCCCATGACTCTCATTATTGAGAAATACATTTGTAAGGCTCTAGGTGCCTGTAGGTGCCGTGGAGAGCAATTCCTCTGATGGAGCTGGGGAAATTGGGTAAATTGAAACCCCCGGAAAGGCTTTGCCGTTCTAGAGGCTGTGAAGGACACGCGTGATCCATGGGAGGAGGTAACATGTCAGGATGAGCGGAAGTTTGGAAGAAGTTGGTCCCAGGCCTGAAAGATCACTGTGAGGGTTCAGGACTTCAGTGGAGGAGGGACTGTAGAGGTTTTAGAAGCAGCAAGAGAACTAGAATGAGAAGGACTTGGAGATGTGACTGCATTGTCGCTGTCTCGCGAGAAAACTTTAACACGTGAGGAGTTGCCTCTGAAGGGTGAGCAGGGGAGTTGCTTCAGTTGCGCTCTAGTCCCAGTGAAGATTCTGTGAACCTGGGGGTAATGAGGACAAAGAACTTGGAACAGCCCGGAACCTCGGTTGATGAAGCCGCGGCCGGGTTGAGAGGACCGACTGCAGTTCTGAAAGACGTTCTGCTGTGGGTAATCAATGCTATCAGACAGCATCACGCCCCACAGAGAAATCTTTCATGAAAGGAAGAGTCCATCGCTGTGGCCAACTTTTTTGTGGTCATAGTTTAAGAAGTTGCCCCAGCCTCCAGCAGCCACCGCCCCAACGAGTCAGCCGCCGTCCACATTGAGGCAAGACCCTTCTCCGGGGAGATTAGGGCCACTCCCGGTTCCCATGATCATTACCATTGCTTAGCAGTAAAGTATTTTTATTTCTTTATTATTTATTTAAGATGGGGTCTTGCTGTATCCCCCAGGCTGGAGTGCAGTGGTGCGATCATAGCTCACTGCAGCCTCCGCCTCCTGGGCTCAAACGATCCTCCCGCCTCAGTCTCCCGAGTAGCTGGGACCACAGGCTTGCACACCACGCCCCGCTTAATTAAAGTGTGTCCTTTGATTAGACACAACGCTACTGCACACTTCCTAGACCACGGTATACTGTGAACGTAACTTGTGTGTGCACTGGGAAACCAGAACATTCGAGCGGCTGTTGCCGTGCGGAACCCAAGGCCTGTGATCCCCACAGGGTGTTTCTGGCACCGGAACGCAGGGGCCACATCCAGGGGGGCAGTGCTTGTGACGCCGGTGCCTTCGTTTCTGATGTGGCTTACTCAGCTGGGAGTTCCTGTCCTAACATTTTCGGCGATGGCTGTGCACCCACGGCCCCTCTTCACCCGCGGCCCCTACGTCCTGCCGGTTGGCAGGAAACCTCTTCCCCTGCACATCTGGGGCACAGCAGCAAACTGTGGTCCCCCTTCTTCAGTGAGGGTGGGGCTTCTGTCTGTCTGGAGCCCTAGAATGGGGCCAGGGGTGGCTGGGGCCTGGGTCAGGGAGGACCCGGCAGGATCTGTGCAGACAGGCAGGTGGCTGCGGTGGCTCCCGGTGCAGGGTTCTTGGCCTCCTGGGCGGGTACCTGGCTTGAGGGCGACGAGGTGACAGCCGCGTCCCTGGGGTTGCACCACCCGAGCGTCCAGTTAACACCACAGCTGCCACCCTTCAGTTCTGCAGGTGGGGCTCCTCCCTCCTCCCCAGGCTGCCCCCACCACCCTTCAGTTCTGCAGGTGGGGCTCCTCCTTCCTCCCTCCTCCCCAGGCTGCCCCCGACCACCCTTCAGTTCTGCAGGTGGGGCTCCTCCTTCCTCCCTCCTCCCCAGGCTGCCCCCGACCACCCTTCAGTTCTGCAGGTGGGGCTCCTCCCTCCTCCCTTCTCCCCAGGCTGCCCCCGACCACCCTTCAGTTCTGCAGGTGGGGCTCCTCCCTCCTCCCTTCTCCCCAGGCTGCCCCCGACCACCCTTCAGTTCTGCAGGTGGGGCTCCTCCCTCCTCCCCAGGCTGCCCCCGACCACCCTTCAGTTCTGCAGGTGGGGGCTCCTCCCTCCTCCCCAGGCTGCCCCCACCACCCTTCAGTTCTGCAGGTGGGGCTCCTCCCTCCTCCCTCCTCCCCAGGCTGCCCCCGACCACCCTTCAGTTCTGCAGGTGGGGCTCCTCCCCAGGCTGTCCCTGACCACCCTTCAGTTCTGCAGGTGGGGCTCCTCCCTCCTCCCTCCTCCCCAGGCTGCCCCAGACCACCCTTCAGTTCTGCAGGTGGGGCTCCTCCCTCCTCCCCAGGCTGCCCCCGACCACCCTTCAGTTCTGCAGGTGGGGGCTCCTCCCTCCTCCCCAGGCTGCCCCTGACCACCCTTCAGTTCTGCAGGTGGGGCTCCTCCCTCCTCCCTCCTCCCCAGGCTGTCCCGAGGCTCCTTGCTGGGGACCGTCCTGCCTCCCGTCGGGGCCTGCGCTGAGACTGGGCTCCATGCCAGCCGGGGCTGGCTGGCCCCCTCGCTCCAGAGAGCGACCTGCACAGAGTCCCCTCAGCCATGAGCCCCTGTCCAGACACGGCGTTTCTCTGTGGGTGGCAACAGGCTCTGGGGCCCTCAGCTCTGGGCTCGGGAGCATTTAAGGTGGTGCAGACTCAGCGAGGGGCTGTGGGCTGGGGTCCCACCATCCCGGGAGCAGGGACTGCGTGTTCCTTCTCAGGACCAGAGGCTTCTGTCTTTTCCCCTGGGGTAGAAGTTTGCTGCCTGCCCCGTGCCCAGCCTTGCTTAGGTGGCTGTTGGCTCCGCTGGTCCCTCAAGCCCCGCCATTCCCTCCTCAGCTCCGCTCTGCACCGAAGGGGATGGGTCCGACCCAGCCTGGCATCATCACAGCCTCGAGTGGCGTCCAGCCTGCCCCGCTCCACCAGTGGCTGCTGGAGAAGAACCCGAGCCTGGGTCAGGCCCTGGGGGCTCCTGCATCAGTGCCCGGCTCTCCGGGGCCTCCTGCCCTCCGGCCCACTCTCCCCGCTCTCAGCATCAACCAGTCGCCATGGGCAGGGGCAGCTCGGTGGCTCCTGTGTCCCTGCCTCGGGCCTGCCTGCTGTCATCTGCCTCCCTCCCTCTTTCCCAGAGCGGCCCTGGGCCTGGATACGGGGACTGTTGTGTGGCCCCTCTGTGTCTGGGGGTGCGACTGCTCCCCTGGCTTCAGGATCCTCAGGGCTTCTACCCGGGATTGGCAGTCATGCTCTCCTGGCAGTACACTCTCCCACCTGTGCCACCCACCCACCCACCCACCCATCCCGCTTTACAGAAAGCCCCCTGAGCCCTACCCTGTTCGTCCCCAGGCAGCCACGCCGAGATCTCTGGCCTCTGATGTCATGTGATGTGTGCTTCCCAGCTGGGTTCCGGGCAGGGACGGTGCTCATCATGCCCCGGCCTTCAGAGCTCCTTCCAGCCCAGCAGTCTCCTGGCTGTGTCCTCTGTGGCCTCCGCCCCGTGTCCTCAGTGGCCCCGCGGGGGCCTTGCCGGTGCTCACCTGTGCCTCTGTTTCTCTGCAGCTGTGAGCCGTGAGCTTTGAGGCGGTGGGATGTGTCAGCAGAATGTCTCCTGCCCCCGAGAGCGACCCCGAGGCCACTGAGAAGAGCAGCGCGGCCTGGCCGGCCCGAACGCCTGCGTCTCAGTAGCTGGGAGCCACGGGCCCACGCCCGCCCACCGGCCGCAGTGATGTTCTAGCCACAGAGGAGCCAAGACCTCAGGTTTCCAGAGACTTGGGATTTGCACGGCAGCAGAGTCACCGTGGAGAGGCCAGGGTATCACAAACTTATGGATTTTGACAAGAAAGGAGGGAAAGGGGAGACGGAGGAGGGCCGGAGAATGTCCAAGGCCGGCGGGGGCCGGAGCAGCCACGGCATCCGGAGCTCGGGGACCAGCTCGGGGGTCCTGATGGTGGGCCCCAACTTCCGCGTCGGCAAGAAGATCGGCTGCGGCAACTTCGGGGAGCTCCGCCTAGGTGAGGCCCTGCTCGGTGGTAGGTGGGGTCGGGAGGCTGCTGGCAGGGCCGCCCCGAGTCACCGGAGCCTCTGGTGGGGCCGCCCGGGGTCACTGGAGCCTCTGGCGGGGCCGCCCCATGTCACTGGCAGGTGCGTTGAATCATCAGTCCGTCGTGGTGCGAGTGCCACTTCCCTTCGAGGAGGTTCTGTGGGGAGAGTGGGTTTCTGGCCCTGTCACCTTTTCGGGAAACAGTTCTGTTGGGAGGCAGGTGGCCCAGAGCAGGCCAGGCCACGCCGCAAGGAGCCCGATGTTAAGTTGTGAATGACTTTCATGGCCCATGTGCACGCTGGGCGAAGCCCCGGCTTTAACGGCAGGTGCCTGCCCGGCACTCAGCTCGTGGGAGGTCTTGGCCAGCCCGGAGCTGGCGTCAGGTGGCTGGAGTGACTGTTCTGTGGTGATGATACTGCTGTGTGCCACTCCCAGCTTCACCATGTAAAAGGCCGCACCTGGCCCACCTGGCTCCGTCCCTTCTGCTCACACCAACCTCTCCCGGGTCGGGGTCTGATTGCCCGGGCAGGCGTGAGGAGCAGGGCCGAGGACTGAGCCTCTCATTGGCCAGGGGTGCCTTCCCTGGGGTGGGGGTGCCTGAAGATGACCATCAGGCCTGGGGGAGCTCTGAGCACCTTTGGGGCCGTTCCCAGTCTGTGATTAGCTGGGCCAGGGAGCTGAATCATCCCCGGAAATGTGGTTAAATTTATTGCTGGTGCTGCCGGAGCTCCTGCGGGAGGGCATTTGGCGTCTGTTGCTGGGGTTGTCCGGGGAACCCAGGTGCACCCCCAGTCAGTGTCTGTCGTGGTGGGAATCAGGGTCCCTGGGAAAGAGCGCAGGATGGGCAGGTCCGAGAGGCCACGGCAGTGGATCGGCCTCACGTGGGCACCCATGGCAGGCGGTGCCCATGGCACCCATGGCAGGCACTCAGCCCGATGAGGTTGTCAGATGAGGGAAACAGGCCCACGCAGTGGTCATGATGTGGCTGCATCTTCAAGAGCGGCCGCCCAGGGGCGCAGGAGCATGGGCTGTGGCGGCCTGGACCCCAGGCATGTTTTGTGGCCCTGCTTCCCACCTCCTGCCTCACTTTACCCACCTGTTAAATGAGGATGAATGGTAGTTGCCACTCGTGGGCAGAAGGGTTCAGCAGGCAGTTATGCGGCAGAAGTGTGTGTCCTATGAGTCAAGCAGCTTCTCCCAGGCGAGGGCAGCTGTTGGGGTCACTGTTGGCTGTTTCTGTGTTCCCATTGGTTGCACCCAGGGCCCCAGGAGGCCGGGGTTTGAGACCCCACCCGAACCAGATCCCACCCCAGCCCTTGGGGAGGCTGCTGGGATTCCACCTCTGCGCAGAGGCTGGGCTTGGGCCACGAAGCCTCACTGCCGGTCCGACGGCCTGTGGCTCAGGAGGCCCGGGCTCCGTTTCTCAGCCAAGAGACTGAGCTTTTCCCAACAGGAGCTGTGGCCTCCCAACCCCGTGTGTGTGTGCACGCTCAGACACACGTGCAGACACATGCAGACATGTACACACGTGCCCACAAATGCACATGTGCACACTAAAGCACACGCACACAGGCGCACACAGCCACAACCACGCATACACAGGCACACAGGCTCATCTGCACACACATGCCTGGCACAGCCCCGTGACCTGCAGCCTGCGGGGTATGGCTTTTGGGAACCCAGATGGCTATGTGGGTCCTGTCCTTGGGCGGCGGTTGCAGGCTGCTGAATAGTGCAGGTCCCTGTAGGCAGATGAGAGTGACGTGGGTGATGCCAGCTTTTTTTTTTTTTTTTTTTTTGAGACGGAGTCTCGCTCGGTCACCCAGGCTGGAGTGCAGTGGCGCAATCTCGGCTCACTGCAAGCTCCGCGTCCCGGGTTCACGCCATTCTCCTGCCTCAGCCTCCCGAGTAGCTGGGACTACAGGCGCCCGCCACCACACCCGGCTAATATTTTGTATTTTTAGTAGAGATGGGGTTTCACTGTGTTAGCCAGGATGGTCTTGATCTCCTGACCTTGTGATCCACCCACCTCGGCCTCCCAAAGTGCTGGGATTACAGGCGTGAGCCACTGCGCCCGGCCTGGTGACGCCAGCTTTTACTGAGTTGCGGTTTGCGCTCTCTTCAGCCTGGCATTTTGGGCGCTGTGTGCTTCGCGGGCAGCCGCACATCGTGGTTTCTCAGGGGTGCCGGGAGGCCGTCCATCGGAGGACACACCAGCCCTTCTTCATCTGCTCCCAGCGCAGGGACGCTTGGCTGTTTCTGGATTTGGGCCCTTCTGAATAGAACTAACTGCCCAAATAGAACTGAATAGCACTGGGCTCCTCGAGCACTCCACGTCCCCAGCACTCAGGACTGTTGGTGGCTTTGATGTTGAGCCTGTTGTGGACTCCGGTTGTTGAATGTTGTTCCGTTGTCTAGAATGTTCTAGAATGTGTCGTTTTTTCTGTTTTTAAGGTTTTTATCTTTGATTTAAAATATTGACTATGCTCTCCTTAGATGAGGCTTTCTGTTTTTATCCTGCTTGGGATCCACTGACTTCTTGGATCTCTGTGTTGGTACTTTTTCAAATTAACTTTGGAAAAATGTGAGCCATTATTTCATGAAACGTTTTTCCATCTCAGCTTTGCTTTGCTTTGTTTTGTTTTGTTTTTGAGATGGAGTTTCACTCTTGTTGCCCAGCCTGGAGTGCAGTGGCACCATCTCGGCTCACCACAACCTCTGCCTCTCGGGTTCAAGCAATTCTCTTGCCTCAGCCTCCCGAGTAGCTGGGATTACAGGCGTGAGCCACCATGCCTGGCTAATTTTTTATATTTTTAGTAGAGATGGGGTTTCACCTTGTTGGCCAGGCTGGTCTTGAACTCCTGACCTCAGGTGATCCACCTGCCTCGGCCTCCCAAAGTGCTGGGATTACACATGTGAGTTACCGCGCCTCGCCTGCTTTGTTTTTTTTTTTTTTTGAGACAGAGTCTCGCTCTGTCACCCAGGCTGGAGTGCAGTGGCGTAACCTCAGCTCACTGCAAGCTCTGCCTCCCAGGTTCGTGCCATTCTCCTGCCTCAGTCTCCCAAGTAGCTGGGACTACAGCCGCCCGCCACCACACCCAGCTAATTTTTTGTATTTTTAGTAGAGACGGGGTTTCGCCGTGTTAGCCAGGATGGTCTCCATTTCCTGACCTCGTGATCTGCCCGCCTCGGCCTCCCAAAGTGCTGGGATTACAGGCGTGAGCCACCGCGCCTGGCCTTGCTTTGGTTTTTTGAGACAGAGTCTCACTCTCTTGCCCAGGCTGGAGTGCAGTGGCGCGATCTCGGCTCACTGCAACCTCCGCCTCCTGGGTTCAAGCAATTCTGCCTCAGCCTCCCAAGTAGATGAGATTACAGGTGCCTGCCACCACGCCCAGCTAAATTTTTGTATTTTTAGTAGAGACAGGGTTTTGCCATGTTGGCAAACTCCTGACCTCAGGTGATCTGCCCGCCTTGGCCTCTGAAAGTGCTGGGATTACAGGCGTGGGCCACCATACCCAGCCTTGCTCTCATTCCTGGGTTCTGGTTCTGCGTGTGACAGGAGTGCTTGGCCCTGTCCCCAGGTCCCTCAGCCCTGGCTGTTTTCCGTCTGCCTCTGTGCTCTCCTGGTGTCAGGCTGTGCGGCTGCTGCTGCTGCTGCTTGAAAGTTTACTCTTTTTCTGCAGCCTCCAACCCCAGAAGTCCATGTGGTGAATCTTTGATTGCTTAGTGGCATTTTTCGGTTTCGTCTGATTGTCCATTCGCTCTCAGCTGAGATTTCCCATGTGCACATTCACTTTGGCCATCTTTTCCTTTAAATCTTTGAACATGTTTGTGCTGTTTCTTAGTCCATTTTGTGCTGCTGTAACAGAATGCCACAGACTGGGTCATTTATTTTTATTTATTATTTATTATTTTTTGAGATGGAGTCTTGCTCTGTTGCCCAGGCTGGAGTGCAGTGGTACTATCTTGGCTCACCACAACCTCCGCCTCCCGGGTTCAAGCAATTCTCCTGCCTCAGCCTCCCGAGTAGCTGGGATTACAGGCGCCCGTCACCACACCCAGCTAATTTTTGTATTTTCAGTAGAGACAGGGTTTCACTGTGTGTTGGTTGGCTAGGCTGGTCTCAAACTCCTGACCTCGTGATCTACCTGCCTCAGCCTCCCAAAGTGCTAGGGTTACAGGCATGAGCCACTGCACCTGGCCAGATCATTTATAATGAACAGAAATTGATGGGCTCACCGTTCTGGAGGCTGGTGAGCCCCAGATTGAGGGTGGCGTCTGGCAAAGACCTTCTTGCCATGTCATGGCAAGAAGGCATGGTGGAAGGCAGGACGGCACAGACCGGAGGGGGCTGGATTCGCCCTTTAGTCAGGAACCCACTCCCCTGCTGATGGCATTCACTCATCCACGAGGGCAGCGACTCAGATCCTCTCTCTAGGCCCCAGCCCCAGCCCCAGCAGTGCTGGATTGGGGACCAGGTTCCCAACACATGACCCTTGGGGGGTGCATCAAAGACACAGCACTGTGTGGAGTGACGTCTGTGCTGCTTCTTCCTCCCTTGTCACGGTCACACCTCCCTCACTCACCTGTGGGACAGCCTCACTGGGCGTGGCCGTGGTGTGTGCCGTGAGGTGTGGAGGGTGCCGTCTCCCGGCTTGAGCGCTGAGTTTGTCCCCGTGGCTCACCTTGTTTCTGTCAGGTTGGTTTCAGCGTTGCTGGGGCAAGGCTGAGGGTAAACATGAGCGACTCCAAGGCCAGGGAGCCCTGTGCCAAGGTGTGGACCTTTTGGGTTCTCAGCTGAAGTAGAGAATCCAGGGAGGACCCCGCACTCCGGCCATTGGAGCTGTGGCGTCCTCCCTCCTGTGTGTCCCCCGGAACCTCCTGAGCCTCTCTGGAGCTGTTCTCTGCCAGGCCCCGTGGGCTCTCCTGCCCTCTGCATGCATCGCGAGTACTGCCGGAGGAGGCCCCTTTGGCTTTCAGAGCCCAGAGCGCCCGACCTCCTCCAGGAGTCTGCAGATCCACAGGCCTCAGATGCTGCCACACCCACCCAGCACACACCCAGGTCTCTGACACGCCAGCCGCACACAGCGGTGGGGTTCAGGCGAAGGTTTCTTCCACAGTGCAGAGTAGAAGAGCCGGGAAGGACCCCATCACCATCAGATGCATCAGAGCTTCAAAGGCCCGCCCATCAAGACGCTGCCAAGAGCATGAGGCCAGCCAGGCTGGGGAGGACGTTGGCGAGCATCCGCCTGCCCGTCAGGGAGCCACAGCTGGATGATACATCGACAGACAGCAGAGGGACGGTGTAGCACACAGGCGAGGGCTTGTCCTCCTCAGCCTGGGGGAGCGCAGCTCAGTGCTTGGTGGTCAGCACGTGACTGACACTTTGCCGGAGAAGGGGACGGCTGCCCGCAGGAAGAGCTACACAGCCGTGTTCGCCGGAACTCCGCTCTGGAGAGTCAGAACTGGAGACGGGAGGGCGTGCCTCAAGGGCAGATGGGCAAACCAAACCCCATCCTCCCTGTGAGCCGCGGCACAGCACCAGGCGGGCACACGCAGCACGACACGGCGAGGAGCCCACCGCAGGGGCAGCCTTTTGGGCGGGGAAGGGGGGATGAATCCACTGTGAATCCCACCTCCGAAGGGCAGCGCAGGAAGGACACGCAAATGCTGGACTGAACCTGCAGCTGATTCAGGGGGCAGTGTCCTGAGCTCTAAAACTTCAAACCTGGGGCAGTGTCCTGAGCTCTAAAACTTCGAAATCTGACCAGGCACAGTGGCTCACGCCTGTAATCCCAACACTTTGGGAGGCTGATGTGGGCGGATCACCTGACGTCAGGAGTTCGAGACCAGCCTGGACAACATGGAGAAAGCCCATCTCTAGTAAAAATACAAAAATTAGCCAGGTTGATGGTGCCTGCCTGTAATTCCAGCTACTCAGGAGGCTGAGGCAGGAGAATCGCTTGAACCCAGGAGGCAGAGGTTCCAGTGAGCCGTGATCGCGCCAGTGCACTCCAGCCTGGGCAACAGAACGAGACTCTGCTCCAAAAAGAAAAAAACTTTGAAATCCCTCTAAAAATAAAATGGACCGGTGGATGGTAGCTGTGAGGATGGACCGTGTGGCAGGTTTAGTTCTGGGGCCTCGGCAATGAGTGTTGGGTGTTTGGGGCACGGCTCCTGTTGTTTTACGAGGAGAATTTCCTAATAACGTGTTACACTGGGGAGAACGTAGGAGGGGAGCCCATTTGTTCTGAAAACGCGGGGACCAGCCCTGGTCCCCGGCTCAGGACTGGAGGGGTTGCCCTGGTCCCTGGCTCAGGACTGGAGAGACCAGCCCTGGTCCCGGGCTCAGGGCTGCAGGGAGGCACCTGGTCTTCCCTCGTCCTCACGATCCTGCACCCTCAAGATGCCACGTTGTTGAGGCTGTTTAGGGAACTTGACAAGCTGATTGGAAACTGTGCTGAAATAGAGCCCAGGTAGTGATGCGGACAGGGCAGTGCCAGAAGGAGCCCCAGCGATTCCTGTGCTGCAAGGCACGCCCAGGACGGGGCACTAGCCGGGGGAAGAGGCTCTCAGGGCCCAGGTGGGACCCCAGCCTCAGACTATGAGGTCATGACTGTGTACAGCTCAGCCACCGGGCTTTGGGACTTTGAATCCACCTTAGCAGGGTTTCCAAACCCATTGTCTCCACGGCCACCCTGCCAGTCCAGCTGCAGCAGGGCGGAACAAAGTGGAGGCCTCTTTCTTGCTTTCTTTTTTTTTTTTTTTGAGACAGAGTTTCTCTCTTGTTGCCCAGGCTGGAGTGCAATGGCACCATCTCAGCTCACCACAACCTTCACCTCCCGGGTTCAGGCAATTCTCCTGCCTCAGCCTCCCTGGTAGCTGGGATTACAGGCATGCATCACCATGCCAGGCTAATTTTGTATTTTTAGTAGAGATGGGGTTTCTCCATGTTTGTCAGGCTGGTCTCGAACTCCCGACCTCAGGTGATCCGCCTGCGTCAGCCTCCCAAAGTGCTGGGATTACAGGCATAAGCCACCGTGCCCGGCCACAGAGGCCTCATTCTGCAGCGTATGCTACTCGGGCAAAGGCAGCTGACTGCAGACCCAACACGGTGACCCAGCTGGATGGTGCCTGAGAGACGGGGCTGCCCCACATGGTGCCCTGTCATGCCGCGGGACAGGTCGCCCAGCAGATGGTAGCTATGGCCCCAGTGCCATCCTGGGCTGGAGACACATGGGTGCCAGACACGTTCATGCCTGTCGTCTGGCCCAGCTGCCGTGGGGAGCCCTCCAGGGCCGTGTGCCTGCAGGGACCGGCCTGTTCACCTCTAGGCTCACCCCTCGGGTGCTGAGTCACCACAGTGGGTGGGGCCGTGCCCCCTCCCAGGCCGGCTTCCACAGCTGCCCCTGCAGAGCGCCTCTGTGTTAAGGGCTGGCCGCCTCCTTCCTCAGGGGGTGTAACATGTAAAAAGCTGCACCCTGGCCTGTACAGGGGCTCCCGCCTGTTATCCCAGCCCTGTGGGAGGCTGAGGCAGGCAGATCGCTTGAGCTCAGGAGTTCAAGATCAGCCCGGGCAACTTGGAGAAACCCCGTCTCTACTAAAAATACAAAAATTAGTTGGGTGTGGTGGTGCGCACCTGTAGTCCCAGCTACTTGGGAGGCTGAGATGGGAGGATGGCTTGAGCCTGGGAGACAAAGGCTGCAGTGAACTGCGATCTCGCCACTACACTCCAGACTGGGCAACAGAGCGACACCGTCTCAAAAAAAAAAAAAAAAAAAAGGTTCTGGGCCTCGTACCTTCTGCGCTTTCATGAGACTCAGCCCTGGAAGTCCTATGTGGCTGGTGGCCCCAGGGAACAGGACCTGGGCTCCTCTCTTCTAACCCATGTGGGCCACAGGTCCCTGTCCATCTGTGCTGGGGCTCACCTGGGGGCCGAGGGCCTCGGGCATGTGGGAGATTTGTCTTTGAGAAAGGGGTGGAGGAGTGTGGAGCCCTTGGGGCTGCCTGCAGGCCGTGAGAGACCTCCCCAGTGCCGCTTCTGTCCTGGGCTAGGGAGGTGGGGGGGCGGGGGAGGAGGAGTGGCAGACACTGAGGCGGTGACCACACGGGCAGGGTGCAGGTGTCGGGATGACTTGGCAGGCCATGGTGCAGTGCTCTGGCAGGCTGGGCCCAGGCCCTGCTGCTGGGCAGTGGTGTCATTTGGAGGGTGGTCCTTCAGGGACCCCCTCCTGCCTCCTGCCTCGGGGGTGGGCTGGGGAGGTCGGGGCTAGGTGGGCCCTGCGCTGGCGGTGCTGATGGTCTCTGTCCCCGCAGGAAAGAATCTCTATACAAATGAATACGTGGCTATCAAATTGGTGAGTCGGCCCCTCCACCCCACCCCCGCTGACGTGCCCCCCAGGGATTTCAGGGCAGCGACCCGGTCCCCTGGTGACTCGCTCTTGTGCCCCCAGGAGCCGATCAAGTCCCGGGCCCCGCAGCTGCACCTGGAGTACCGGTTCTACAAGCAGCTCAGCGCCACAGGTACCGGGCGGCCCGCGGGTGGGGCGGGGGCTGCGCAGGGGCAGGGAGGGGGCTGCCGCCGCACGCCCGTGCGTCTGTCCTCCGCCGCAGAGGGCGTCCCTCAGGTCTACTACTTCGGTCCGTGCGGGAAGTACAACGCCATGGTGCTGGAGCTGCTGGGGCCCAGCCTGGAGGACCTGTTCGACCTGTGCGACCGGACCTTCACGCTCAAGACGGTGCTGATGATCGCCATCCAGCTGGTGCGCGGCGGGCGGGGCGGGGCGGGGCTCGGAGGGAAGAGGGTGGCCCTGGAGGGGAGCGCGTGGGACGGGGAGGGGCCCGGCCGACACCGCCGTGCCCCCCTGCAGATCACGCGCATGGAGTATGTGCACACCAAGAGCCTAATCTACCGGGACGTGAAGCCCGAGAACTTCCTGGTGGGCCGCCCGGGGACCAAGCGGCAGCATGCCATCCACATCATCGACTTCGGGCTGGCCAAGGAGTACATCGACCCCGAGACCAAGAAGCACATCCCGTACCGCGAGCACAAGAGCCTGACGGGCACGGCGCGCTACATGAGCATCAACACGCACCTGGGCAAGGGTGAGCTGCGCGCGCGCGGCGGGGGGCGGGCGCCCGGACCCCGCTGAGGCTGCGCCCCTGTCCCCGCAGAGCAGAGCCGCCGCGACGACCTGGAGGCGCTGGGCCACATGTTCATGTACTTCCTGCGCGGCAGCCTCCCCTGGCAGGGGCTCAAGGTGGGCGAGGAGGCCGGGCAGGCGGGCGGGGACGCAGGGCGGGAGCAAGGCTGACCACAGACCCCCGCAGGCCGACACGCTCAAGGAGCGGTACCAGAAGATCGGGGACACCAAACGCGCCACGCCCATCGAGGTGCTCTGCGAGAACTTCCCAGGTAAGGGGTCCCTGCGCCCCCGCCCTGTGCCCCCCACCCCCCACCCCCCACCCCCACCCCCGCCGAGGCCCCGCTGGCGCTCTCTCTGCAGAGGAGATGGCCACGTACCTGCGCTATGTGCGGCGCCTGGACTTCTTCGAGAAGCCCGACTATGACTACCTGCGGAAGCTCTTCACCGACCTCTTCGACCGCAGTGGCTTCGTGTTCGACTATGAGTACGACTGGGCCGGGAAGCCCCTGGTAGGTGGGGGGGTGCCGGTATGTGGGAGCGGGGGACCGGGAAACTGCCCTGAGGGAGATGGGAACCGGCGCTGCAGCCCATCCTGACCCCTGCTCCCTCACCCACAGCCGACCCCCATCGGCACCGTCCACACCGACCTGCCCTCCCAGCCTCAGCTCCGGGACAAAACCCAGCCGCACAGCAAAAACCAGGTGAGGCCCGGGCGGGACCGACCGCCCCAGGGAGGGGCATGGGCGGCCAGCGTGACCCCCTACTGCCCCCACCAGGCGTTGAACTCCACCAACGGGGAGCTGAATGCGGACGACCCCACGGCCGGCCACTCCAACGCCCCGATCACAGCGCCTGCAGAGGTGGAGGTGGCCGATGAAACCAAGTAAGGCTCTGGGGCGGTGCCTTCGGGGAGGTGGGGGTGCCCTGGGTCCCCATGGGGGTGGGAGGGCCTGAGGCCTGGGCTGCCCCCGCCCTGCACCCCGGTCCTCCTACCTGAGCCACTGCCCTCCTCAGATGCTGCTGTTTCTTCAAGAGGAGAAAGAGAAAATCGCTGCAGCGACACAAGTGACCCTGGGCGCGTGCAGCCCCCTGAATCTTCTCCGTGCAGCCCCTTGGGGCGCGACCTTGTGCGAGGCCCTCGGGGCCCACCCACAGCGGCCCAGGGCCAGACCCTGGCTGGAAGCCAGAACGCAGACTGCAGGGGCCGCGCCTGGCTCAGGCGGCCCCACCCCCGGGACGTGGGGTCACTTCCTTCATGTAAGACTTTGGCCGAAATTTCTACACCTGTGTCTAGTCCTCCCCTCCAAGAGCATTAACTATTTAAAACAAGGAAAAGAGGAAAAAAAAAACAGAGGCCCGCCCTACCCCACTCCTGCCCCTCCGTTTCTTTGCTGAAGTGAGTAGTGTGATCCTGGAGGCCCCCCGGCCTGGCCCCGCCCCGCCAGCCGCCCCCGTTAGCGTCATAAAGTCCAGCTTGTCTCCCTCGATCCAAAGGCCGTTTTCTCGAGGGGAGGGCAGGCCCGGCCTGGAGGGGTGCTGTGGAGCTGTCTTGCCCAGGCCCTCCTGGGAGGGGGACAGGCATTGTTGCCAGGGGTGAGGCCGTGCCCCAGGCCTCCCCGAAACCAAAGGGGAAGGCAGGGGTGGGGCCGTGGCTGAAGCCGGCTCCCCAACCAAAATGCTGCACCAAAGCTCGGGCGCCGCGGGCACGGCTGCTGCAGTCTCTTCCCAGCCTGGCCCTGGCAAGGGGCGGGTGGGCGCTGCCAGGCGGGTGCTTCTCGACGCACTTGCTCCCGGAGGCTGCGCCCCGGCGCCTGGAACCCGAGGTGGGAGGACCGGTTGGTGTCACCCTGCTCGGCCCTCAGCCCTGCCGCGTGGGGCGCGTGGGCACGGAGCTTCCTGCCTCTCTGCTCCGACACCCGGCAAGCAGCCGGAGACAAAACGCCTTAAAGCCCCCGGCCCAGCCCTGCAGGTATATTGCAGGGGCCTGGGGGCGGCCCTGGACTGGCGGGCGGTTCCCCAGTGGGGTGCCCTGGAGGCTGCCGGGCAGAGTGGAGCAGCTTGGGGCCGTGCCCAGGGCGGTGGCTGTGAGTCTAGTTTTTGCTTTACCAAGTGTACAGAAATGGCATTTACGTTTCTCTGATGCTCCCTTGAAGCCATAGAATTTAGGGGCTTTTTTAAAAAAATAAAAGAAAAATGAAACCAAACCCAAGTGTAGAGGGATTTGTCTGGGCTTTCCACGAAGCTTGACCTGGAACGGGCGTTGCTTCCATCCCCATCCTGCCTGTCCGGGACGAGTCCGGAGCGGCTGGCGGCCTCCGGTAACAGAAACCGACTGATGAGGCGGAAGGTAAGGAAGATGGAAGCAGAGGGCAGAGCTGGGCTCTGTCTGGGGAGAGGGCAGGAGACGAGTGTTCACGTACCATGGAAAGGGGAAGTCACACACATGCGACTTGGCCCCGGGGGTCCCGTTCCCCGACACTACACAAATATACCTGAAAGCCTCAGCGACGGGGCCCAGGCAGGATGGTCCTGGCTGCTCTGACGGCGGAAGGCCTCCTTGACTCCCTCTGTTCACGCAGCAGGGCAGAAAACATCTCCACGGGGGCCACGACACTGTGAAGGGAATCAGCAGTAGCTCCCAGAAGAACAGCGGAAACTGCAGGCAGGTGAAGACCTTGGCAGCACTAGCCCCGGCTCCGCCCCGTGCCTTCTCCCCAGACAACACCCCATACCCGGCAGCAAGGGTGGAAGACCAGTACCACCGTAATATGTTGTGACAAAGCAGAAATAATGCACCTGTAAGAGTCAGATGGCAAGAGGGAAATGGAATGAGCTCATCGATGGTTTTCCCGGCAGTAGCTTGGGGATAAGGACTACTTGTCATGTGCTTTATATATTTACCCACATGTTAACCTTTTCTGATGCTCTTCATTTCTTTCTGCTGATCAGAAATTACATCTGGGACCGGGCAGGGTAGCTCACTCCTGTAATCCCAGCACTTTGGGAGGCCGAGGCTGGCGGATCACGAGGTCAGGAGTGCGAGACCATCCTGGCTAACATGGTGAAACCCTGTCTCTACTAAAAATACAAAAAATTAGCCGGGCGCCTGTAGTCCTAGCTACTGGGGAGGCTGAGGCAGGAGAATAGCGTGAACCCGGGAGGCGGAGCTTGCAGTGAGCCCAGATCTCGCCACCGCACTCCAGCCCGGGCGACAGAATCCCAAAACTACCTCTGGGATAATTTTCAGCCTGAAGAACTTCAATATTTCTTACAGTGCAGCTTTTTTTTTTTTTTTTTTGAGACAGGGCCTGGCCTAGGCTGGCGTGCAGTTGCACAGTCATAGCTCCCTGGAGCCTCCACCTCTTGGGCTCAAGCGATCCTCCCACCTCAGCCTCCCAAGTATCTGGGACCATAGACGTGCACCACCACACTCAGCTAATTGTTTTGTTCTGTTTTGTTTTTAGGTAGAGATAGGGTTGCCTGTCTGGCTCTGTTGTCCAGGCACTTGCGGAGGACGAGGTGGGAAAGTGACCCTGGGATGAGAGGCGTGAGCCACCACGCCGGGCCGAGTGCAGCTTTGTCGGTAACAAATTACAAATTAGCATTTGTTCCCTGAAAAAAATATTTATTTCACCTTTCTTAATAAGGATGTTTTTGCTGGTAGTGGCATTCCAGGTTGACAAAGTGTTTGTTTGGGACAGAGTCTCGCTGTCACCCAGGCTGGAGTGCATTGGCGTGGTCTCGGCTCACTGCAGCCTCCACCTCCCGGGTTCAAGCAGTTCTCCTGCCTCAGCCTCCCGAGTAGCTGGGATTACAAGCGTGTGCCACCACACCTGGATAATGTTTGTATTTTTAGTAGAGTCGGGGTTTCACCATGTTGGCCAGGCTGGTCTTGAACTCCTGACCTCAAGTGATCCACCCACCTCGGCCTCCCAAAGTGCTGGGATGACAGGCATGAGCCAGCATGCTCCACTGACAAAGTTTTTAAAACGCGGCGGCTCACGCCTGCAATCCCAGCACTTTGGGAGGCCGAGGCTGGTGGATCACAAGGTCAGGAGATCGAGACCATCCTGGCCAACACGGTGAGACCCCATCTCTACTAAAAATACAAAAAATTAGCCGGGCGTGGCGGCAGGCACCTATAGGCCCAGCTCCTCGGGAGGCTGAGGCAGGAGAATGGCGTGAACCCGGGAGGCGGAGCTTGCAGTGAGCCGAGATTGCACCACTGCACTCCAGCCTGGGTGACAGAGAGAGACTCTGTCTCAAAAAAAAAAAAAAAAAAAAAAAAAAAAAAATTGTGGGTCAACGTCTTTCATTCATTTTGGAAAATTCTTGGCTGTCATATAGCTTGAGTCTCATTCTCTCTCTCTCCTTCTGGGACTCCACTTACACATACGTTCAACCCTTTGGCTGTGTCACGTATCTCGATCTGTTCTGTTTTTCCATTGTTTTTACTCACTGTGCTTCACCTTGCATGTTTGTTTGTTTGTTTTTTGAGACAGAGTCTTGCTGTGTTGCCCAGGCTGGAGTGCAGTGGCGAGATCTCGGCTCACTGGCAAGCTCCACCTCCCGGGTTCACGCCATTCTCCTGCCTCAGCCTCCCAAGTAGCTGGGACCACAGGCACCTGTCACCACACCTGGCTAATTTTTGTAGTTTTTTTTAGTAGAGACGGGGTTTCATCATGTTAGCCAGGATGGTCTTGATCTCCTGACCTCGTGATCTGCCTGCCTCAGCCTCCCAAAGTGCTGGGATTACAGGCATGAGCCACCATACCTGGCTTTTTTTTTTTTTTTTTTTTTTTTTGAGACAGTCTTGCTCTGTCTCCCTGGGCTGGAGTGCAGTGGCACAATCGTGGCTTACTGCAACCTCTGCCTCCCAGGTTCAAGTGATTCTCCTGCCTCAGCCTCCCAAGTAGCTGGGATTACAGATGCACGCCACCACGCCTCGCTAATTTTTGTATTTTTAGTGGAGACGGGTTTCGCCATGTTGGCCAGGCTGGTCTCGAACTCCTGACCTCAGATGATCCACCTGCCTCGGCCTCCCAAAGTGCTGGGATTGCAGGCATGAGCCACCACGCCCAGCCTGTCATTTTTAAATGGATGCTGGACGTTGTAAATGACAGATGGTAGAAGCTGGTGCTGATGTTTCTTCACAGGGCTGTGTTTTCTTTTGGCAGGGTCCAGCGTAACAGCAGCCCAGTGAGACCCTACCAGGGTTTTGTTTTGGAGTGATGACGGCTTCCGTTCTGTCCTCCCCACAGGAGTGTTGCCCTAGCTCCTGGTGGGTGGCCCTTCTGGTGTCTTCATTAGAAGCCCAAGGTGTTTCCTTTTAATATGTATTTTTTTAGAGATGGGGTCTTGCTGTGTTGCCCAGGCTGGTCTCAAACTCCTGGCCCCTAGCAGTTCTGCCTCAGCCTGCCAAAGTGCTGGGATTGCAGGTGTGAGCCAGCACGCCCGGCCCCCAGGGTGTTCGACAAGGCCCCCTACCCCGCCAGCCTCCATCTCCATTGCCTGCTCCCAGCACTGCGCACTGTGGAGATCTGCTCAGCCTTCAGCCTCCTGGCAACTGTTTGCGGCTGGCTTTTTTTTTTTTAGACGGAGTCTTGCTTTCTCGCCCAGGCTGGAGTGCAATGGCACCATCTTGGCTCACTGCAACCTCCATCTCCCAGGTTCAAGCGATTCGCCTGCCTCAGCCTCCCAAGTAGCTGGGATTACAGGTGCCTGCCACCATACCTGGCTAATTTTTGTGTTTTTAGTAGAGATGGGGTTTCACCATGTCGGCCAGGTTGGTCCTGAACTCCTGACCTCAGGTGATCCACCCGCCCGGCCTCCCAAGGTGCTGTAATGACGTGTGAGCCACCACGCGGCCTTGCTGCCGGGTTTCTTGATGTCTTGCCCTGCACGTGTGCTCCTGAGGCAGCAGCCAACGGCTTGACTTCTCTGGCCACTGAGGCCACAACTGGGCACTCCCTGCTTTCTCTCCATCTCTCACATCCACGGTCCCCCAGCAGCCAGCAGGGCCTCCCCACGGGGAAATCGGCACACACGTCCATTGCATTTGGGTTTGGGGGGAGGTGTTGAGTTAGTTAGGGTCTTGCTCTTGCCCAGGGGGGAGGGCAGTGGTGCATCACTGCTCACTGCAGTCTCGACCTCCCGGGCTTCAGTGTGGCCTGTGGGTACTTAAGGAGGGTCTCGCAGCACTGGCGACCAGACCCGGGGTTCAGGGCCCCTCTCGGCGCACGACATCCCTCGCCCACTGCAGCCCGGATGACAGGGCAGAGAGTGAAGGGGAGCAAAGCAGTGTGCGCTCAAGGCAGGTGCATTTGTTTCTTTATTTAAAAAAATCATCTGGGGGCATGGTCTGAGGAGGACACCCCTCCCATGGCTTTGGGGAGGACGCAGGTTCCAGGAGTCACAGGGCAGAAACACGCGGGGTGGGTGGGGGCGTGGCCGGAGTGGGGAGGGGCTGTGCCCCCAGCACCTGGGGGTGGCTCCCACGGCACCAGGTGGGCTAGGGCAACAGTATGTACAGGCGAGCAGTGCTCCTGGACCCGGTCGGGGCCGGCTGGGGCCCCATTCTGCGGCAGGGGAGCTCTGGGGCACAGGGTCTGAGTCCCATCTTGGGCTGCAGGGACCGCGAGGGCCGTCCAGGGAGGCTGGACAGCGGGGGCCTTTATCTGGGCCCATCAGGTGGATGAGAACGGACACTGCAAACCGCTCACCACCTGGGCCAGGGCTAGGCCTATCCGGCAGGGGCCGTCCCCACACTGAATCCTGCGTGCGCAGAACTCAAGCCGGCATCCAGGCAGTGGGAACGCCCCGCAGGCTGGGCTTGGGTGGCCTCGGGCACGTGACAGGTGGGGCCCGTGTCCTGATAAACGGACAGGAACAAAAGGAACGCAAGGTCTGGGACCCACGGCTCTGGGAGCAGCGCCACCCAGGCTGGCTCCTAGCAGAGAAATGGGAATCGCAAATGCATTGCAATGTGCAGTGAAGAGACGCGAGGGACGCCCGCGGCGCACCGCCGGCAGACGACGTGGGCAGGCGCCCTGAGCTGCGGGTCCGTGGGCCCTGGCCCAGGCCGGCACAGCCCTGTCCCTAGTCCTGAGGGATTGTCTCCACAGGGCCTGGCCACTGGCCTGGCCACCTCCCCGGCTGCCCTGATCCAGCAGCCACACTCGTGGTGAACACAGGGCAACCCCGTCCTGATGCTGAGAAAGGTGGCATGGAGTGGACAGACGGCCTGGGGGACACTGGGCCTGGCACCGCGTGGTGGGGGGGCCCCAGCAGCAGATGATGGCCTGGGGCTGCGGCTATCCCCACGGAGGGAGGGCGGTGTCGGTGTCGGGCAGCCTAGGTGTAGAAGATGACCTCGGGGATCTGGCCGTCCTCCACGGATGTGCCATTGTTGTTCCCGGCCGCGTAGCAAAAGGTGAAGCAGGTCTTGGCGCCCGTGGTGGGCGACTCGTGTGTCACCTTGCGCAGGCCTTTGGTGCCGTAGTGGGAGTCTGGGCCCTGTAGGGAATAGGGGTACAGTGAGGTCAAGGACCACCAGGCTGGGATGCCCCAGGTGTGGACAGGGCAAGGCCCCGACTGGGCCAGGGTGGCTGCCTCTGGAGAGTGTGTGCTGTGCCCCGGTGGCTTCAGGATGGGCCAGAGACTCCCACGGAGGGACCCCTGTCCCCGGCGGCGCACCTTGAGCGTGGCACAGGCCGTGTAGTTGACGTTGGGCAGCACCTCCACCGGCTCCTTGAACATGACGCGGAAGGTGCTGGCTGAGCCGTCGCAGCTGAAGCCCGTGTCGTTCTGGCCCAAGACGGTGTTGCTATCGGTGTGAATAATCTGCGGGGAGGTGGGAAGTGGGAGGCTCAGGCCTGGGGAGGGCCAACGGGGACCCCTCGAGGCCCAGCCCACCTGCCCAGGGTGGGGGCAGCACAGGGACCAGGGCCGGGGGTTCAGCCAGGGTTCCATGGAGGTGGAGAGAGGACATGGGCCTGAGTGGGGCCTGGGGATGAGGCTTGGGGCTGGTACCTGGATGTTCACTTGGTAGTCGGTGGGCCCGTGGATGGATCCATACAGCCCAAATCCCACCACGAAGATGCGCTTGTTGACTGAGAACCTGCCGTGGCAGATGACAGGCAGCAGCGTGGATACCCAGGGATAGCCTAAGGTGAGCTGGGGCGAGCCCACCCCCATGCCCGGTCCCCTCCATCGTCCCTGAGTCCTCCACCCCCATGCCCGGCGGCCCCCCCGCCGTCTTCATCATCCCTGAGTTCTCCACCCCCATGCCCGGCCCCCCATCTCCGTCATCCCCGAGTCCTCCACCCCCATGTCCGGACCCCCCCGCCTGCACCCCAAGCCCCACCTGATGCGGTCACTGGTCCCGCTGTAGCCCCAGCGACTCTCCACCTGCTGGAAGCGGTTGATGCTGCACTCCTTCCCACGCAGGCAGCAGCGGGGCCGGTCAATGAACTCCACTCGTGGCTTGGGGTTGACGGTGAAGTGCAGGAAGAGGCTGACCACCTCGCGGTCCACCAGGATGCCCGACTGTGCGGGACCTGCAGCACAGGGAGGGTGTGGGGGAGGGCCGGGCTGCACCCCAGGATCCCGAGTGCCTGGGAGGACACGCTCCTTCCCCCTAAGATGTCTGCGTCGGACTTTCAAGGTGCAGGGACCTGGGCAGCCCCTCCCCGGGGGACTAGCCACCAGCCATGGCCCCTGCTGCCTGGGCTTTTAGGGAGAGGTCCCAGGGCACAGACCAGAGGCCGACAGATACGCTCACTCAGGGGCGATGCCTCAGGGTCTGACAGATGCACTCACTCAGGGGTGATGTCTCAGGGTCTGGCCCCACTGTAGGGACCACCCGTCACTTCACTGTGGGTGGGGGCGGGGGGCTCCACTGCCTGTTCTCTCAGGGCCATTGGCTGGGAGGGGTCACTGTGGCTCCCTGCTAGGCCTGTACCCCCCAGGCTGCAGCCCTGGCTTCTAGAAGCAGTCTGGGGGTTCCTCTCCACGGTGGGCCCTAGGCAGACACCTTCTCAAGCGCTTACACCCCCAGGGGTGATGGCTAGCGGACCCCAGGCAGACTCCAAGAGCCAGGCTCTTAATCCCGGTGCAGAGATGTCACAGGCAGAGGGACTGTGCATGGGATGTGAAGGGGCTCTGGGTAGGGAGGGGAGGCCAGGAGGGGCAGAATTGGGGGTCCACCATCCACCCCCAGGAGTGCCAGGACACAGCACCCTCTGCTCTAATGAGAGCAGCCCTGCCTGCCTGAGACCTAATCACTCATCAACCAAGGTGGGCTCAACTCCGCATCGCTCAGCTGCAAGCCAGCCCAGTGCAGACACAGTTTAATAACTGGTGAGAAACAGACCATTATGGGTTAAGTGAATCAGGAAGACTGAGTATCAAAACTCAATAAACAATGTTAACAATTTTTTTTTTTTTTGAGACGGAGTTTCGCTCTTGTCCCCCAGGCTAGAGTGCAGGACGGAGTTTCGCTCTTGTCCCCCAGGCTAGAGTGCAGTGGCGTAATCTCGGCTCACCGCAACATCCGTCTCCAGGGTTCAAGCAATTCTCCTGCCTCAGCCTCCAGCATAGCTGGGTTTACAGGCATGCGCCACCATGCCCAGCTAATCTTGTATTTTTAGTAGAGACGGGGTTTCACCCTGTTGGTCAGGCTGGTCTCAAACTCCTGACCTCAAGTGATTCCCCCCATCTTGGGCCTCCCAAAGTGCTGGGATTACAGGAGTGAGTGACCCAGCCTGGCCAACAATTGTATATATTTTTTTATTTTAAATGGAGTTTCACTCTTGTTGCCCAGGCTGGAGTGCAGTGGCGCGATCTCGGCTCATCACAACCTCCACCTCCTGGGTTCAAGTGATTCTCCTGCCTCAGCCTCCCGGGTAGCTGGGATTACAGGCATGAGCCACCACACCCAGCTGATCAACAGTTGTATTTTTAAGAAGTATGTATCTAGCCAGGCTCGGTGGCCCATGTCCATAATCCCAGCACTTTGTGAGGCCGAGATGGGAGGATGGCTGGAGCCCAGTTCATGACCAGCCCAGGTGACATAGCAAGACCCTGTCCCCACAAAAAAATACAAATATAAGCCTTGTGTGGTGGTGGCACCTGTGATCCCAGCTACTCCGGAGTCTGAAGCAGGAGGATCACTTGAGCCCAGGAGGTCGAGGCTGCAGTGAGCTGTGATTGTACCACCGCACTCAGCCTGGGCGACAGAGACCCTCTTGCTAAATCTGGCGACCTTCAGCTAAGCAAGAGCGGGGGCCGCGTGGACCTGGGGAAGGCCAGACGGCGAGTGTGCACCAGCCCCAGGGCTCTGTCCCAGCCCCTTCTGGAAAGTTCCAGGCCTGTTTTGCTCCAGAGCTGGATGGCGTCAGGCAGTGAGCAGCCACGAGGGCAGGAGGCATCGTTAGCGCTGCCCCTTCACGTCACCCTGGAACCCAGGCCCTGCAGCAGGGGACCCCAAGGCCCACTCGGGCGCATGACAGCCACCCCGGCCATGTCAGAGCCCTCCTGAGCTCGTCACAGACACTGGTACCTGCACCAGCAGGTAGCACAAGGGCGCGAGACGGGGACTCCCTTCCCTCCTGGGAAGATGCCACCAAAACAGCTGGACAGACACGAGAGGCGGGGTCTGGCAGTGTGCACGGTGGGGACAGAGCCGGGCCGGGGCTAACAGATGGCCCTGTGGACGCGTCCTCACAAGCCAGGTTTCTTCCTATCTGTATATGCCAGGCATCTGCCAGGCTTTCCGCAGTGAACTCGGGGGCACTATCCTCGGTACCCAGATGCCCACCTGTGTGCCACTCCCCTCCCAAACCAGCCCCTGAGCCCGAGCTCTGTTACCTGCAGCGAACTCCTCGATGGTCATGAGCGGGAAGCGAATGAGGCCCAGGGCCTTGCCCAGAACCTTCCGCCTGTTCTCTGGCGTCACCTGCAGCTGCTGCCGCTGACACTCGGCCTCGGACCAGCGGACAACGGCATTGAACAGCCGCACCTCACGGATGCCCAGTGTGTCGCGCTCCAGGACAGCCACCAGCGTGTCTGTGGGGTGGAGGAAGGGGCTGCGTGAACACGACACCCACATGCCCACCCTGCAGGAGGCAGTGAGACTAACGTGAGGACCAGCAGTTAAAGCCGGGCTGGCAACTATGGCCCGTGGCCCAAATCTGGCCCTGTGAGTGTGTTTATAAATAAAGCTTTATCAACACAAGACCACGCCCCTTCATTTTCCTCGGCTGTGGTTGTTTTTAAGCCACAAGGACAGACTTGAGTAGCTTTGACAAAAGCTGTTCAACAGCAAAGTCAAAGCCATGGACCATCGGAGGACGAGATGGTCACCATCAGCTGGGATGGTGGGCTCTGGCCTGTGGCCTCCTGGCCAAGGCCCCGGACTCCCGTGGGGCTGTGCTAGGACCCAAACTCCTGACCTGCTGCAAGTGGTGAGGCCCCAGCTCACCTGTGCAACTCCCCCAGGCCCAAAGCTCCCACTGTCAATCCCCGGACCCTCCCGCCGAGGCCCCGCTGGGATTCCCACACCTGGGCTCCTGGGCCCTTACCCAGGTCAATGTCGGTGAAGCCCTCCGCGGTGATGGCGTCTGCAGTGTTTTTGTCGATGTTCTCCAGGCACAGGCTGGCCAGCTGCGGTTCATCGAAGAGTCGCGCCTGGCAAGAGACATCGACGGGGGGCGCGGTGGGGACATCAGCACCCAGCCCTCGGCAGATCCCCAGTGCGGGGCCGGTTCAAATGCAGCCCTGACCACACGGGCCTTCCTGAGCGTGGCCAGGAGCCACCAGGGTCTCAGCCACCAGGCCGGCCCTGTTGTGGGCCCAGAGACTCCCCTGTGACCGCTGACTGGGGCGGGAGAGTTGGGGAGTTCCCTCTCAGGACCTCAGAGGCCAAGGAAGGAAGAAAAAGATGCTCAGGTCCCTGTCGGCAGGGCCTGCTGCTTTAGGCAAAAGGGGCGTTGCAGCTGCACTCGGGGGGCAGCAGGGCCCAGGACCCCGAGTGGCAGGCAGAGGTGAGGTGGCCGGGGCCGACCGGTGAAGCTTCCCGACCACAACATGCCCTTGGCCACTTGTGGTGGGAGGGGCCGTGTCCCCGGCAGCTCCATCCCAAGACAAACAGCAGACATGACTTCTGACAGTCAGGTGACAGAGCTGGAGGACGCCTGTGCTCTTAGGGAAACAGAGGCTTAGTTAGTGGAAGGTGCTGGAAGGGCCTATGCCAGCAGGGACCCGGGCAGGCCTTTCTGCGGGCATCCTCCCGAGGACACCTCTCAAGTGGGTTCGTAGTGGTTTTAGGGGCAGGGAGGCTGAGGCAGCCACAAGATGAAGCCCGGGGAGTGAGCTCCAGCCTCCTCTCAGCTCAGGCAGAGGCCTCTCCAGCAAGGCGACCAGATGACCCGGACAAGAAACCCCTCCCTGTGGGAGTCCGGGATGCCCTGCATCTGACCTGCCAGGATGGAGGGGGAGAAGGTTCTGGGTCCTTTCCAGGATGCCGGACCCCCAAAGCCCATTGGAGGACCCAGTGCCGCTGTCCCCTCTGGCCACCCTCCACCCCCGACCAGGAGCTCACGGCTCCCAAGCGGCCGTCCACCCGTACTGGCCCCACGTCCTCTCAGCCTCCCTGGCCTGCACGACCTCCCCAGCCCCCGCCCTTTGGGCTGCACAGAGCCCAACTGGGGTCCCCTGAGATCCCTGGCCCTGCTCTGTCTACCTGACATTTCCTTAGAGAGAGAGAGAAAGTTCTCTCTGGTTTTTTTTTTTCTTTTTTTTTAGCCAGGCGCGGTGGTGGGGGCCTGTAATCCCAGCTACTGTGGAGGCTGAGGCAGGAGAATCGCTTGAACGCTGGAGGCGGAGGTTGCAGTGAGCTGAGATCGTGCCATTGCACTCCAGCCTGGGCAACAAGAGAAACCCCGTCTCAAAAAAAAATTATTTTACTTTTTTTTTAGAGACAGGGTCTCACTCTGTCACTCAGGCTGGAGTGCAGTGGCGCCATCTCCACTCACTGCAGCCTCAACCTCCCGGGCTCAGGCAATCTTCCTGCTTTGGTCCCCCAAGTAGTTGAGATTCCAGACATGCACCAGCGTGCTTGGCTAATTTATGAAATATTTTTTTTTAGTAGAGATGAGGTTTCACCATGTTGGCCAGGCTGGTCTCAAACTCCTGACCTCTGGTGATCTGCCTGTCTCAGCCTCCCAAAATGCTGGGATTACAGGCATGAACCACAGTGCCCGGCCTGAATCTTTTTTTAATTTTTTGTAGAAACGGGGTCTCTCTATGTTGCCTAGGCTGGTCTAGAACTCCGGGCCTCAAGCAATCCTCCCTACTTGGCCTCCCAAAGTGCTGGGGTTACAGGCGTGAGCCACCGCACCCTGCCAATAATTTTTTGAAGTATCACGGAAAAGTCCAAAACACATCTTTTTTTTTCAGGTGGAGTCTCGCTCTGTCATGCACGCTGGAGTGCAGTGGTGCGATCTCGGCTCACTGCAACCTCCACCTCCCAGGTTCATGCAATTCTCCTGCCTCAGCCTCCCAAGTAGCTGGAATTACAGGTGCCCGCCACCACGCCCGGCTCTTTTTTGTGTTTTTAGTAGAGATAGGATTTCGCCATGTTGGCCAGGCTGGTCTGGAACGCCTGAGCTCAGGTGATCTGCCCGCCTCGGCCTCCCAAAGTGCCGGGATTACAGGCGTGAGCAACCACGCCCGGCCCAAAACACATTTTACTACCAGGCAGGAGCCTGCTGCCTCCCGGGCCCGCCCCCGGCCCCGCCTCCGCCTCCAGCCTCGGTCCGCCCCACCCCGGCCCCGCCTCCAGCCAGGCCTGGCCCCGCCCCCGCCTCGTACCGGCCCCGCCCACCTGCGTGAGCAGCATGAAGGCGTTGTCGGCTCGCAGGTTCTTCTTCAGGAACTCCACGCAATGGGCCTCGAGCGCTGGCACCGCGTACTTCTTGGCGGTGTATAGCGTGGTCATCACCGTCTCCGGGCCAATCTGCACCTCGTCCGAGTAGAGAAACCTGCAGAAGCAACGCGGGTGGCCGTGAGGTGGGACCGCCATGCCCGCCCCCAGGGGAGAGCGTCAGGGGACCACTCAGACCGTTAGACTCGGCCACCGGCCCTTGAGCTGGCAGGACCCAAACACCCACATCAGGTTCCCCGAGGAACCTTCCAGAATTAGCCCCTGTCCGTTGCCCTCTGACATAGGGACACGACTTGGCAAGGTGGTCACCCATGAAAACGAGCAAGAGGCTGAACCCATCTACACAGCACACACCCGGAAGCGTCTATATGGCCTGTCTTGTTCTGCCCGGGATGCCCCAGGAGAGGGCACTGGGAGCTGGGTGTCTCCTTCTTGGGCACCTTTTCCATGAGGAACTGTTGGTTCCCCACCTCGGGCACCACCGAAAACCTCAACCACTTCTGGGTGGATCATAGAACCCAACACGCTAATTAGGATCATGGATAATCATGGACGCTATTACCACCTGCCAGCGAGGGGCCCACACGACACTGAATACAGATCAGAAGTTGGGCCGATCAAAAATAGAAGCACAGGCTGGGCCTGGTGGTTCACGCCTGTAACCCCAGCACTTTGGGAGGCTGAGGCGGGCAGATCGCCTGAGGTCAAGAAGTGCCAGACCAGCCTGGCCAACATGGTGAAACCCCGTCTCTACTAAAAATACAAAAATTAGCTGGGCGTGGTGGTGGGCGCCTGTAGTCCCAGCTACTTGGGAGGCTGAGGCAAGAGAATCGCTTGAACCTGGGAGGCAGATGTTGCAGTGAGCTGAGATCTCGCCACTGCACTCCAGCCTGGAGACAGAGCGAGAATCCGTCTCAAAAAAAAAAAAAAAAAAAAAAAAAAAAAAAAGCAGCACAGGCCGGCCTGGTGGTTCACGCCTGTAATCCCAGCACTTTGAGAGGCCGAGGCGGGCAGATCACTTGAGGCCAGGAGTTAGAGACTAGCCTGGCCGACATGGCAAAATCCCCCTCTACTAAAAATACAAAAATTAGCCAGGTGTGGTGGCAGACACCTGTAATCCCAGCTACCTGGGAGGCTGAGGCACAAGAATCGCTTGAACCCAGGAGGCGGAGGTTGCAGTGAGCCAAGATCGTATCACTGCACTGCAGCCTGGGAGACAGAGTGAGACTCCCTCTCAAAAAAAAAATAAAAAATAAAAAAATGTCTCCAGCCTGGAGCAGTGGCTCACATCTGTAATCCCAGCACGTTGGGAGGCAGAGGCGAGAGGATTGCCTGAGACCAGGAGTTGGAAACCAGTGTGGGCATGGTGAGATCCTGTCTCTAAACACATTTTTTTTTCAGCTGGGCACAGTGGCTCAGGCCTGTAATCCCAGCACTTTGGGAGGCTGAGGCAGGCGGATCATGAGATCAGGAGATCGAGACCATCCTGGCCAACATGATGAAACCGGGTCTCTACTAAAAATACAAAAATTAGCCAGGCGTGGTGGCGTGTGCCTGTAGTCCCAGGTACTCAGGAGGCTGATGCAGGAGAATCACTTGAACCCGGGAGGCAGAGGTTGCAGTGAGCCAGGATCGTGCCACTGCACTCCAGCCATGGTGGCAGAGCGCTACTCCATCTCAAAAAATGAAAAAATAAAAAAATATTTTTTTTCTCTCCCAGCCTGTGGGTGGCATTTCCACTCTGCCGGTATTGTCCTTTGAGGTATACATTTTTAACATTTTCCCTAAGTCCAATGTCTTTGTTTATTCTTTTCTTGGCTGTGTCTTTGGTGTCATATCCAAGTAATCATGGTCAAACCCAATGTCATGAAGATTTGATTCTGGTTTTTCTTTTTTTGTTGTTGTTGAGACAGAGTCTCGCTCTGTCGCCCAAGCTGGAGTGCAGTGGCGCAGTCTTGGTTTACTAAAACCTCTGCCTCCCAGGTTCAAGCGATTCTCCTGCCTCAGCTTCCTGAGTAGCTGGGGTTACAGGTGCCTGCTACCATGCCCAGCTAATTTTTGTATGTTTGTAGAGATGGGGTTTTGCCTTGTTGCCCAGGCTGGTCTCCAACTCCTGACCTCAGGTGATCCACCCACCTCAGCCTCCCAAAGTGCTGGGATTACAGGTGTGAGCCACCGCGCCTAGCCATACTTTGGATTCTTTTTTTTTTTTTTTTTTTTGAGAGGGAGTCTTGCTCTGTTGCCCAAGCTGGAGTGCAGTGGCATGACCTCAGCTCACTGCAAGCTCTGCCACCTGGGTTCACACCATTCTCCTGCCTCAGCCTCCTGAGTAGCTGGGACTACAGGCGCCTGCCACCATGCCCGGCTAATTTTTTTGTATTTTTAGTAGAGACGGGGTTTCACCGTGTTAGCCAGGATGGTCTCGATCTCCTGACCTCATGATCCACCCACCTCGGCCTCCCAAAGTGCTGGGATTACAGGCCTGAGCCACTGCGCCTGGCCACTTTGGATTCTTCTAAGTATTTTACAGGTCTAGATCTTACATTTTGGACTTTGATCTATTTTTTTTTTTTTTGAGACAGAGTCTCGCTCTGTCGCCCAGGCTGGAGTGCAGTGGCATGATCTCAGTCCACTCCAACCTCCATCTCCCGGGTTCACGCCATTCTCCTGCCTCAGCCTCCCAAGTAGCTGCGACTACGGGCGTCCGCCACCATGCCCGGCTAATTTTCTTATTTTTTATTTATTTTTTCTATTTTTAATAGAGACGAGGTTTCACCATGTTAGCCAGCATGGTCTCAATCTCCTGATCTCGTGATCCGCCCATCTCAGCCTCCCAAAGTACTGGGATTACAGGCGTGAGCCACCGTGCCCAGCCTGGACTTTGATCTATTTGAGTTAATTTTTATATACAGTAAGGTAAGGGTCTAACTTCATTCTTCTGCATGTGTATTTCTAGTTGTGCCTGTGCTATTTGTTAAACTCTCTTTTCTGTTGAATGGCCTTGGCACCCTTGCAAAAAATTATTTAACCCTATGTGCAAAGGTATTTATTTCTGAGCTCTCTGTTCCATTCCATTGGTCCCCACGTTCTGTCCTTACGCCAGTACCACACTGTTTTGATGATTGTAGCTTTGCAGTGAGTTTTGAAATCAGAAAGTATGAGCCCTCCAACTTTGTTCTTTTTCAAGATCGTTGTGGCTATTCAGGGTCCCTTGGGATTCCATATGAATTCTAGGATAGTTTTTCTATTTTTGCAAAAAACAGTAATTCTGATAGGATTATACTGACTGCAGATCGCAGTGGGTTGTGTGGACATCTTAACAATATTCTCTTCAATCCATGGACATGGGATGTGTTTCCATTTATTGTGTCTTTTTAAATTTCTTTCACTGATGTTTCCTTTTTTTTGTTGTTGTTGTTATTTTTTGTTTGTGTACTCCAGCTTGGGCAACAGGAGCAAAACTGTCAAAAAAAAAAAAAAAAAGAAGGAAAGAAAAGAAAAGAAAAAGAAAAGCAGGGAACTGGCTGGACACAGTGGCTCATGCCTGTAATCCCAGCACTTTGGGAGGCTGAGGCAGGCGGATCACCTGAGGCCAGGAGTCTGAGACCAGCCTGGCCAACATAGAGAAACGCTGTCTCTACTGAAAAACACACAAATGAGCTGGGTGTGGTGGTGAACACCTGTAATCCCAGGTACTCAGGAGAATCACTTGAACCAGGAAGTCGGAGGTCTCAATGAGCTGAGATCACACCACTGCACTCCATCCTGGGCAACAGAGCAAGACCACGTCTAAAAAATATAAAATAAAAAGGGTGCCTCTGGGCTGGGCGCGGTGGCTCAGGCTTGTAATCCCAGCACTTTGGGAGGCTGAGGTGGGTGGATCATGATGTCAGATCGAGACCATCCTGACTAACACAGTGAAACCCCATCTCTACTAAAAATACAAAAAAATTAGCCGGGCGTGGTGGCACGAGCCTGTAGTCCCAGCTACTTAGGAGGTTGAGGCAGGAAAATCACTTGAACCTGGAAGACTGAGGTTGCAGTGAGCCAAGATCACGGCACTGCACTCCAGCCTGGGCAACAGAGCGAGACTCCATCTCAAAAAGAAAAAAAAAAGTGCCTCTGGAACCCCTCATTGCACAGGAACGTTCTAGAAATCTCCACCAAGCCAGGGCCTCTGAGCTGGTGTCAGACAGGGTCTACGTTCTCTGAGGTCCCCCTCCCCAGGCCCAGCTCCCCAGCAGGAAGCATCCGGAAGCATTACTTGAGCAGTGCGAGGAAGGCAGCGGGTTCCACGTCGGGCAGCTCAATCTCCGTGGATGTTGTGGCCATTCCCCCGTTGAACATGGCATCAAAGACGGCGCTGCCCACGGCCAGCACGAACCTGGTACGGGAGAGAGAAGGCCCTGGTTAAGCCCGTGGCCGCCACCCCACGGCCGGGAGGGCCAGCCCGGTATCCTGGGTGACCACCCCACTAGGGCTCCCTGCCAGCCTCCAGCAGGCATGTACCAGGCCCCCCGATGGCAGAGGCTTCTGGAAGGGGCCTGGGACAGCAGGAGGGTGATGCAGACGGACCCACGGCAAGGACAGGCAGGGCTAGGACCATGCCCTGGGCCACACAGGGCCTCACGCTCTGCCAGCCCTCACCATCCTCTCTCTTTCCTTCCAGGCGTCAGGCACGCACTCATTCACTCATTCCCATATGCATGCATTTATTCACACGTGTTCATTCACACATGCATTCACACATACGTTCATTCATGCATGCATTCACTCGCTCATTCACATGCATTCATTCACACAGGCGTTCATTCACTCATTCATTCACATATTCATTCATTAACTAATTTCCATGTACATTCACTCAACTCATACACATGCACTCATTCATTCATCCACACATGCATTCATTGATCCACTGATTCATTCCCGTGGGCATGCATTCACTTGCTCATTTATGACACATGCATTCATTCACTTTCTCATTCATCGCACACTCATTCACTCACCCATTCACACACACACACATTCGTTCATTCCCACATGCACTCATCCACTTAGTCTCATTATTCACTCATTCATTCACACTCGTCTACTCTCTATCACTCTCCTGCTCACGCATTCCCTCATCAGCACAAGCTTTCCCAGGGAGTCAGCTACAGGCACAGGGCCTGGCCTCACTGAGGGAGACAGACGAGGACCAAATGGCCGAACAGCCCCCACTGAGTGAGAGAAGAGAGAGGAGCGTGGTCCCATCAGGAACGCAAGGCCCAGGGAAGCCCTGTGGGGTCATCTGAGCCGCCACGTCCATGGGGAAGGGCATGGAGGCCCAGGAACAGCAGGAGCGTGGGAGGAGCGTTAGGAGGCAGCAGGGGTGGCCCCAGCTGGGAAAGCGGTGGCTGTGAGGACGCTGGGGGTTCTGCCCCGTGTGAAGCTCAGGCTGCCTATGGGGCCCACTCAGTGGCTCAGATCTTCGATATCGCCACAGGCAGGAGGGTGCGGTGAGCAGAGAAAGGCTGCTGGTGCCTCCCCAAGAGCCGGCTATGAACCCGCGTTTGGCCAGGTCTGTATGGGGTGGGGAGAACTCCACGGCTCCCAGGCTCAAGACGCCACTCTGTGCTGTCCATGTACAGTCCCCAGGGCCTGCCCACACGATGGCCTCCCAGGGGGCTGAGAGCACACACAGCATAGGGGGGTCACAGACACTCAGCAGGGGCACAGACGCTGGTGGGGCGGGTTCACAGACGCTCGCGAAGTGGGATCACAGACGCTCGGCCTGCGCGCGGCGGAGCACCTGCCCCAGGACGTTGCGGTCCCTGCGTCACCTCTTCCCCACCTGTCCCCTTCCAAGTCTCCCACCACAGCAAGTGCCGGCTCTCAACAGCCTCCCCACGCCCGGAAAGCTCCGGAGCTACAGGTGGTTCCGCACGGATGGGACCTGCTTCTCACTCCTGCACAGCTGAACCTCCAGGACTGGCTGGGCGACCTCCACACAGCTCCCGGGAAAGCCCCCGTCTTCCGAGGAGAAGCTCCTCGCTCTCCTCCCACCACACGCGCCCCCCTAAACCCCGCAGGCCCTCAGCCCACCCGGTCCAGCCCAGGGCTTGACTGCACCCCAGAGTCAGGTCAGAAACCAACGCAGTGGCTTCCACATGGGCCCCGACCACAGCTTCCACATCCGCCCCGAACCTCGGAATGCGAGGCCCGGCGGAAACAGGCCGGTGCTAACTCCGTGAGTCAGGACGAAGGCGCCGGGGAAGGCTGGCCCTAAACAGTGGCTGGTGTTTTTGGAAGGAGGAGAAACAGGCCGGGCACGGTGGCCCACACCCGTCATCCCAGCATGTGGGAGACCAAGGCGGGAGGATCGCTTGAGCCCAGGAGTTTGAGACCAGCCTGGGCAACATAGTGAGACCCCATCTCTACAAAAACATTGAAAATTAGCCAGGCATCGTGGTGAGCAAGTGCAATCCTAGCGACTCAGGAGGCTGAGGCAGGAGGACTGCTTAAGCCCAGGAGGTCAAGGCTTCAGAGAGCCAGGACTGCGCCACTGCACTCCAGCCTGGGCAACAGAGCAAGACTCTGTCTCAAAAAAAAAAAAAGGCCAGGTGCAGTGGCTCACGCCTGTAATCCCACCACTTTGGGAGGCCAAGGCAGGCAAATCACCTGGGGTCAGGAGTTGGGAGACCAGCCTGGCCAACATGGTGAAACCCCGTCTCTACTAAAAATACAAAAATTAGCTGGGCGTGGTGGTGGGTGCCTGTAATCCCAGCTACTCAGGAGGCTGAGGCAGGAGAATTGCTTGAACCCGGGAGGCGGAGGTTTCAGTGAGCCAAGATCACGCCATTGCACTCCTGCTTGGGTGACAGAGCAAGACTAAAGACTCCACCTCAAAAAAAAAAAAAAAAAGAAAAAGAAAAAAGAAACAGAGTGGGCGGCCGCATGAAGCAGGGACTGGAGCGATGCGGCCACAGGCCAAGGACGTCTGGAGTCCCCAGAAGCTGGGTGGGGCAGGAGGATCCTCCCTTGAGCCTCCAGAGGGAGCGCCGCCCTCGGACGCCTTGATCCATGGTCCTGGGCTCCGGGACTGGCAGAGGATGAACCCACTGAGTTTGACCCCCCCAGTGTGTGGGCATTGGGACTGCCGCCCGCCCGTCTGCCCTCCTGGCCGCGTCCTCAAGGGCCCAGGCCTCAGGGCCCTGCGCCATCACCCACAGCTGGTGCCCCAGGACAAACGCTCCCCTCCCACACGATGTTCCAGAAATAGAGTACCTGTGCGTGGGACTTCTCTTTCTTGATTTAAAAATGTATCTTGGTCTCCTGTGGGGAAAACCTTTGAGGAGGGTTCAAAAGCAGAAAGCAGGAGGCACTCAAGTGGGCCCGGCGTGGGCCGTCCATGCAGTTTGGAATCAGGGAGCACCTCTGACATGGGCGGGTCCCCAGGCAGCTCTGCCGGTCCCCAAGGCAGGGGCTCCTCCAACACCGAGCCCCTCCCTGGAGACACCTGCATGGGCCTTCAGGATTCGACCCCTGGGCACCGCTACTGCCTCCTCTGCCCACCGTGAGTCCCCAGCCCCACTCCCGGCTGTTCCCCCCTTCATGTATCTGTAACCCCTTCCCCTTCCAAACAAATCGAGAACACACGGCCACACAAAAACACATCCACAATTGCTCACAGCAGCACGATTCCCAACTCCGAACGGGGGAAACAACCAGCGTCCATTGACAGACACGGTGCGACCACCCACGCACTGGAACACGACCCAGCCACAAACAGGAACGAGGCTCTGATGCAGGACCCGGTGCAGATGCGCCTTGAAGACGTCGTGCTCTATGACAGACGCCAGGCACAGAAGGACAAATCCTGTGTGATCCACTCCTAGGAGGTCCCCAGAGTCCTCAGATTCAGAGACAGAAAGGATGGGGGACGGGCACAGTGGCTCACGCCTGTACTCCCAGCACTTTGGGAGGCTGAGGCGGGCGGCTCACCTAAGATCAGGAGTTCGAGACCAGCCTGGCCAACATGGTGAAACCCTGTCTCTATGAAAAATACAAAAATTAGCCAGGTGTGGTGGTGGACACCTGTAGTCCCAGCTACTCAGGAGGCTGAGGCAGGAGAATCACTTAGAACCCAGGAGGCACCGGGCACGGTGGCTCACACCTGTAATCCCAGCACTTTGGGGGGCCGAGGCAGTGGATCACGAGGTCAGGAGATCAAGACCATCCTGGCTAACACGGTGAAACCCCGTCTCTACTAAAAATACAAAATATTAGCCGGGCGTGGTGGCACCTGTAATCCCAGATACTCAGGAGGCTGAGGCAGGAGAATTGCTTGAACCCTGGAGGCGGAGGTCGCAGTGAGCTGAGATCGTACCACTGCACTGCACCCTGGGCTACAAGCCTGAGACTCCATCTCAAAAAGAAAAGAAAACAGGTTAAAGACCGAAAGAATTGTGTGGTGCACAAAGGGCCAATGATTCCGTGATGTAATCTACGCAATGCAACGTCCATGAAGAGCCTTAAACCACAGGGCTGAACCTCCAAGCTGGTGACTTTATCCACGTGCCACGAGGGTGGCCGTCCCGAGCCCACAGGACACAGGTGCAGGTGCTCCGATACCCTCTGGACATGTGAACCTCTTCATCTGGCTGCAAGATGTCCTTGCTGTTTTTGTGTTTTGAGACGGAGTCTCGCTCTGCCGCCCAGGCTGGAGTGCAGTGGCGCAATCTTGGCTCACTGCAACCTCCGCCTCCCGAGTTCCAGTGAGCCTCCTACTTCAGCCTCCCGAGTAGCTGGGACTACAAGCATAGCACCACCATGCCTGGCTAATTTGTGTATTTTTTTAGTAGAGATGGGGTTTCACCATGTTGGCCAGGGTGGCCTCGAACTCCTGACGTCAGATGATCCGCCCGCCTCCGTCTCCCAAAGTGCTGGGATTACAGGTGTGAGCCCCCACGCCTGGAAGAGATGTCCTTTATTAAATCTTTCATTTATTTTTATTTCATTTTTATTTTTAGTTTTTACAGGTGTGGTCTCACTCTGTCACCCAGGCTGAAGTGCAGTGGCACGATCATAGCTCACTGCAGCCTCAACCTCCTGGACTCAAGCAATGATCCCACCTCAGCCTCCCGGTAGCTGGGAACACACACACAAGCCACAATGCCCAGCTAACTGTTAAATGTTTTGTACAGACGGGGTCTCGCTATGTTGCCCAGGCTGGTCTCAAACCCCTGGGCTCAAGCGATCCTCCCAGTTCAGCTGCCCAAAGCGCTGTGATTACAGGCAAACTGATAACTGTATTTCTCGAAGTTCTGTAAGCTGTTATGGCTAATTATCAAGCTCAAGGACGGAGATGTGGGACTCCTGATTTTAGTCAGAGAGAAGTGTGGGTCACCTGGGGACTCGCCCCTGCAACAGGCATCTGACGTGGGTGGCACGGGGCTCAGCTGACCACCTGTGGGGTCTGTGCTCACTCTGGATGGTGGGTGTGAGGGTTGAGTTAAATTGTAGGATGCCGCCGGGCACAGGGGCTCATGCCTGTAATCCCAGCACTTTAGGAGGCCGAGGCGGGTGGATCATGAGGTCAGGAGATCGAGACCATCCTGGCTAACACGGTGAAACCCCGTCTCTACTAAAGATACCAAAAACAAATTAGCCAGGCGTGGTGGTGGGCGCCTGTAGTCCCAGCTACTCGGGAGGCTGAGGCAAGAGAATGGTGTGAACCCAGGAGGCGGAGCTTGCAGTGAGCTGAGATTGCGCCACGGCACTCCAGCCTGGGCGACAGAGTGAGACTCCGTCTCAAAAAAAAAAAAAAAAAAGAAAAAAAAATTGTAGTATGCCCAGTTTGTATCTACAAGATGAGGAATCACTTGCTGTGGAAAACCCACACACAGTGCCAGAACTCCTATGAGGAGTAAAAACAGATTTTCCTTTATATCCAAACAGAAACCATGAGAGCTGGAGTGGCTACGTCAACATCAAAAGAAAGACGCCACTTTGGGAGGCCAAGGCAGGAGGATCGTTTTAGCCCAAGAGCTGAAGATCAGCCTGAGCAATGTAGCAAGACTCCGCCTTGCCTACTTTTCTACGAAAAGTTTAAAACTTAGCCGCACACAGGCTGGGTGCAGTGGCTCACCCCTGTAATCCCAGCACTTTGGGAGGCCGAGGCAGGCAGATCACAAGGTCGGGAGTTCAAGACCAGCCTGGCCAACATGGTGAAACCCCGTCTCTGCTAAAAAAGTACAAAAATTAGCCAGGCATGGTGGCGTGCACCTGTAATCCCAGCTACTCGGGAGGCTGAAGCAAGAGACTTGCTTGAACCCAGGAGGTGGAGGTCGCAGTGAGCCAAGATTGCATCACTGCACTCGAGCCTGGGCGACAGGGCAAGACTCCGTCTCAAACAAACAAAAAAGGCCAGGTGCGGTGGCTCACGCCTGTAATCCCAGCACTATGGGAGGCCAAGGCAGGTGATCACATGAGGTTGGGAGTTCAAGACCAGCCTAACCAACATGGAGAAATCCCGTCTCTACTAAAAATACAAAATTAGCCGGGTGTGGTGATGCATGCCTGTAATCCCAGCTATTCGGGAGGCTGAGGCAGGAGAAGAATCGCTTGAACCCGGGAGGCGGAGGTTGTGATGAGCCGAGATCACGCCATTGCACTCCAGCCTGGGCAACAAAAACGAAACTCCGTCAAAGAAAAAAAAAAAAAAGAGAAAGAAAAGAAAAGAAAAGAAAAAGGAATCTCTGGACCCCAAAATCACTACTCCAAAGGGAAAAATCAAGCTGGAACCGCTTAGGGCAAACCAGCCTTCTGTTCTATTCCTTAAAAAGACAGCTACCAAGATAAAAAAGCTACATACCTCCCTCCCAATCTGTCCACAAGGAAATTCCTTGCAGACAAAGGACAGAGAGAACTCAGCCATCCCTCCGCTCACCGAGATAAATGCGTATCTGATTGCTGCCTTTGGAAAGGCTCATCAGAAACTCAATGCAATGGTCTGTTTCTTACCTATGACCTGGAAGCCCCTCCCAGCTAAGAGTTTCCCCCCTTTCTGGACTGAACCAATGTTCATTTTACATATATTGATTGATGTCTCATGTCCCCTAACATGTATAAAACCAACCTGTGCCCCACCCACCCTGGGAACATACCGTCAGGACCTCCTGAGGCTGTGTCACAGGCACACATCCTTAATGTTGGCAAAACAAACTTTTTTTTTTTTTTTTTTGAGATGGAGTTTCACTAGTGTTGCCTAGGCTGGAGTGCAATGGCATGATCTCAGCTCACCACAAAATCACAAAATCTGCCTCCCGGGTGCAAGCAATTCTCCTGCTTCAGCCTCCCGAGTAGCTGGGATTACAGGCATGCATCACCACGCCCAGCTAATTCTGCATTTTTAGTAGAGACGGGGTTTCTCCATGTTGTTCAGGCTGGTCTCCAACTCCTGACCTCAGGTGATTCGCCCGCCTCGGCCTCCCGAAGTGCTGGGATTACAGGCGTGAGCCACCGCCCCCGGCCAGGCAAAATAAACTTTCTAAATTGACTGAGACCTGTCTCAGATATTCAGGGTTCACATAACAAACCTTCATATATACCCCCTGAGTCGAAAATAAAATCAGGCCAGGAGCAGTGGCTCATGCCTGTAATCCCAGGACTTCGAGAGGCCAAGGCAGGAGGATCACTTGAGCCCAGGAGTTTGAGACCAGCCTCGGCAACATAGAAAGACCCCATCTCTACAAAAAAAAAATTATTATTTTTTTTTAGATGGAGTCTTGCTCTGTCACCCAGGCTGGAGTGCAGTGGTGCCATCTCGGTTCACTGCAACCCGTCTCCCAAGTTCAAGCGATTCTCCTGCCTCAGCCTCCCGAGTAGCTGGGACTACAGGCGCCCACCACCACGCCCGGCTAATTTTTTTGTATTTTTAGTAGAGACGGGGTTTCACCGTGTTAGTCAGGATGGTCTCAATCTCCTGACCTCGTGATCTGCCTGTCTCGGCCTCCCAAAGTGCTGGGATTACAGGCGTGAGCCACTGCGCCCAGCCAGGAATTCTTTTGACTGCCAAATTCCATGGAATCTGTGAACCGCGGTTTGTTTCTGCACTCACTGGCTGGTCTGCGGGTTTTCCGGTTTTGAGCTACTGTGAATCATGCTGCTCTGGGCATTCACGCACGAGGCTGTGTGAGGACACAGATTCTCCTTCTCCTGGATAAATGCCTCGGAGTGGAATGACCCTGACGTTTAACATTTTCTTTTTTGAGGCAGGGTCTCACTCTGTCACCCAGGCTGGAGTGCAGTGCTATGATCACAGCTCACTGCAGCCTTGACTTCCTGGGCTCAAGTGATCCTCTCACCTCAGCCTCCTGAGTATCCGGGACTAGGGCGTGCACCACCATGCCTGGCTAATTTTTAAAATTATTTTTTAGCCAGGCGCAGTGGCTCATGTCTGTCATCCCAGCACTTTGGGAGGCCGAGGCGGGTGGATCACCTGAGGTCAGGAGTTCGAGACCAGCCTGACCAATAGGATGAAACGCCATCTCTCCTAAAAATACAAAACGTAGTCAGGTGCAGTGGCCGGAGCCTGTAATCCCAGCTACTAAGGAGGCTGAGACAGGAGAATCGCTTGAACCTGGGAGGCAGAGGTTGCAGTGAACCAAGATCACACCATCGCGCTCCAGCCTGGGAACAAGAGCAAAACTCCGTCTCAAAAAAAAAAAAAAAAATTATTTTTTAGCCAAAGCAGTGGCTCACACCTGTAATCCCAGTGCTTTGGGAGGCCAAGTTGGGAGGATCACCTGAACCCACAAGTTCAAGACCAGCCTGAGCAACACAGCAGACCCCATCTCTACTAAACAGAAAAAAATCAGCCGAGCATAGTGGTGCATGTCTATAGTCCCAGCTACTTGGGAGGCTAAGGTGGGAGGACTGTTTGAGCCCAGAAGCTGGAGGCTGCAGTGAGCTATGATCGAGCCACTGAACTCCAGTGTGGGTGACAGAGTGAGACCCTGTCTCTAAAAAAAAAAAAAAAAATTTAATTTTTAAAAAGTCTAAGAGTCCAAGGGGTCAATACTAGACACACATGGCTATTTAAATCTATATCCAAATTCAGCTGAATTCAACATTCAACTCCTCGGTCACACTGTCCACATCTGTAGTCCGTACTGGCACATGAGTGCCTAGTATTGGACAGCACACATCCAAACCATCCCGCTTACTACAGGATACTCTACTGCAGAGCACAAGACCACAGAAAAACTGTTAAACCTAATAAGGCTTCAGGAAGAAACAGTTCAAACCAGATAAAAGTAAACATGCCAGCTACTCGGGAGGCTGAGGCAGGAGAATCACTTGAACCCAGGAAGCGGAGCTTGCAGTGAGCTGACACTGTGCCACTGCACTCCAGCCTGGGCGACAGAGCGAGACTCCGTCTCAAAAAAAAAAAAAAAGAAAAGAAAAATCACCCAACTTTATGTCCTTAGAAAGACCAATCTCCTCAGTAAATTCCTTTATCACTTGACAAACTGATTCTCAAGATCATCAGGCACCGTTAGCCCAGGGCTGGCAAACTATGGCCCTTAGAGTGAATCTGGCCCACCACTTGTTTTTGTAAATTAAGTTTTTTTTTTTTCTGAGACGGAGTTTCACTCTTGTTGACCAGGCTGGCCTGCACTGGCACTACCTCAGCTCACTGCAACCTCCTCCTCCCAGATTCAAGCGATTCTCCTGCCTCAGCCTCCTACGTAGCTGGGATTACAGGTGCTCACCACCATGCCCAGCTAATTTTTTTATTTTTTATTTTTTTGAGACGGTCTCACTCTATCGCCCAGGCTGGAGTGCAGTGACGCGATCTCGGCTCGCTGCAACCTCTGCTGCCCAGGTTCAAGCAATTCTCCTGCCTCAGCCTCCCAAGCAGCTGGGATTACAGGCGCTCGCCACCACGCCCGGCTAATTTTTGTATATTTAGTAGAGATGGGGTTTCACCATCTTGGCCAGGCTGGTCTTGAACTCCTGACCTCATGATCCACCTGCCTCGGCCTCCCAAAGTGCTGGGATTACAGGCGTGAGCCACTGCGCCCAGCCACTTTTTGTATTTTTAGTAGAGACGGAGTATCACCATGTTGGCCAGGCTGGTCTTGAACTCCTGACCTGAGGTGATACTCCTGCCTCGGCCTCCGAAAGTGCCAGGATTACAGGTGTAATCCACTGCACCTGGCCAATAAAGTTTTATTAGAACACAGCTCTTCTTGCTCAGTTACATGTTGTTGATTTATGGCTTTTTGTGCTGCTACGGCAGAATTAAGTAGCTGCAACTGAGACAGTATGGCCTGCCAAAAATATTTACTATCTGACCCTTCACATGAATTTGCTGGCACCTGTGTCTTTTATCTGTTTTGGTTTTGTTTTACACACAGTCAAGGTCTCACTATGTTGCCCACACTGGTACCAAACTCTTGGCTTCAAAAGATCTTCCCGCCTTAGGCCAGGGACGGTAGCTCACACCTGTAATCCCAGTACTTTGGGAGGCCGGGGATAGCCTGAGGTCAGGAGTTTGAGACCAGCCCGGCCAAAATGGCGAAACCCCGTCTCTAAAAATACAAAAATTAGCCGGGTGTGGTGGTGCACACCTGTAATCCCAGCCACTCGGGAGGCTGAGGCAAGAGAACTGCCGGGAACCCAGGAGGCAGAGCTTTGCAGCGAGCCAAGATCATGCCACTGCACTTCAGCCTGGGCAACAGAGCGAGACTCTGTCTCAAAAAATAATAAAACAAAACACAGAATATAAGTTCCATAAGGAAGGAGATGTTTTTCTGTCATATGCACCTCCTGTAGCCAGGACTGTATTTCAGTGAGTATCTGTAGGGTGGACAGATGGGTGGATGTGGGTGACTGATTCTAGAAGAGTAATAAATGTGTCAGACCAGCTGAGAAAGTCTTTTTTTTTTTTTGAGACAGAATTTTACTCTTTTTGCCCAGGCTGGAGTGCAGCAGCACGATCTCAGCTCACTGCAACCTCCACCTCCCAGGTTCAAGCAATTCTCCTGCCTCAACCTCCCGAGTAGCTGGGATTACAGGCACCTGCCACCACGCCTGGCTAATTTTGTATTTTTAGTAGAGACAAGGTTTCACTATGTTTGCCAGGCTGCTCTCAAACTCCTGACCTCAGGTGATCCGCCTGCCTCAGCCTCCCAAAGTGCTGGGATTACAGGGGTGAGCCACTGCGCCCACTCTTTTTTTTTTTTTCTAGGTGGAGTCTCGCTGTGTTGCCCAAGCTGGAGCCCAGTCGTGCGATCTCAGATCACCACAACCTCTGCCACCCAGGTTTAAGCGGTTCTCCTGCCTCAGCCTCTCAAGCAGCAGGTGCAAGCCACCATGCCTGGGTACTTTTTGTATTTTTAATACAGACAGAGTTTCACTATGTTGGCCAAGTTGATCTCGAACTCCTGACCTCAGGTGATCTGCCCGCCTTGGCCTCCCAAAATGCTGGGATTACAGGCGTGAGCCACTGTGCCCAGCTTTTTTTTTTTTTTTTTTTAGGGACAGAGTCTCACTCTATCGCCCAGGATGGAGTGCAGTGGTAGGATCATGGCTCACTGCAGCGGCAACCTCCCAGGCTCAGGTGATCCTCCTACCCGAGCCTCCTGAGTAGCAGGGACCACAGGCACACACCACCATGTCCAAGTAATGAGGTCTCGCTATATTGGCCAGACTGGTCTCGAACTCCTGGGGTCAAGTGATCCTCCCACCTCAGCCTCCCAAAGTGCTGGGATTACAGATGTGAGCCACTGCACTCAGCCTGAAAAGTCTTCACAAAGAATAAAGTTGGGAAGAATTTGGTGAGCAGTTCTCAAAACATACCACAAAGCAGCAATCATCAAACAATGTGTTATGGGAACAAGGACTCACAAAGCAGTCAATGAAATGTGAGACCCCAGAACACACTGTTCTTTTTTTTTTTTTTCCAAGACAGAGTCTCGCTTTGTCACCCAGGCTGAAGTGCAGTGGCACAATCCTGGCTCACTGCAACCTCCGCCTCCCAGGTTCAAACGATTATCCTGCCTCAGCCTCCCCAGTAGCTGGGGTTACAGGCGCTCGCCACCACGCCCGGCTAATTTTTGTGGTTTTTCTTTTTTCTTCTTTTTTGAGGCGGAGTCTCAGTCTGTCACCCAGGTTGGAGTGTGGTGGCGTGATCTTGGCTCACTGCAACCTCCGCCTCCCGGGTTCAAGCAATTCTCCTGCCTCAGCCTCCCAAGTAGCTGGGATTACAGGTGCCCACCGCCACACCAGGCTAATTTTTTGTATTTTTAGTAGAGACGGGGTTTCACCATGTTGTCCAGGCTGGTCTCAAATTCCTGACCTCGTGATCCGCCTGACTCGGCCTCCCAAAGTGCTGGGATTACAGGCGTGAGCCACCACACCCACCCAGATTGTTCTACTTCTAGACCTCGCTACAATGCTGACAGTTCCATGATAGAGTGAATAAAGATACGTTAGGCTGGGCGCGGTGGCTCACACCTGGAATCCCAGCACTTTGGGAGGCCGAGGTGGGTGGATCACCTGAGCTCAGGAGTTCACCATCACCCTGGGCAACATGACGGAAATACTGTCTCTACTAAAAATACAAAAATTAGCTGGGCGTGGTGGCGCACACCTGTAATCCCAGCTACTCAGAAGGCTGAGACAGGAGAATTGCTTGAGCCAGGGAGCTGAAGGCTGCAGCATGCGGAGATCACGCCACTGTACCCCAGCCTGGGCAATAGAGCAAGATTCTGTCTCAAAAAAACAAAAAAGGAGGGGAGGCCAGGTGCGGTGGCTCACGCCTGTAATCCCAGCACTTTGGGAGGCCGAGGTGGGCGGATCACCTGAGGTCGGGAGTTTGAGACTAGCCCGGCTAACATGGTGAAACCCCGTCTCTACTAAAAAATACAATTAGCCAAGTGTGGTGGCGGGTGCCTGTAGTCCCAGCTACTCGGGAGGCTGAGGCAGGAGAATGGCATGAACCTGGGAGGCGGAGCTTGCAGTGAGCGGAGATCGCGCCACTGGACTCCAGCCTGGGCAACAGAGCGAGACTCCGTCTCAAAAAAAAGAAAAAGGTATTTTAGATACTAACTTCATGGGACCAGCCAATGTGCACATCTACAAAAGTGCAACCCTGGAGATCTTCAGTTCTCCCTTCAAGCCCCATGAGAGAATCAGATGTTTAATTCCCACAGATCATTCAATGCACAATCACTGCGTGCCTACTGTGTGCCAGGCTCCAGCGCGCTGAGATGGACGGGTGCCCATCCAGGACCGGGGAACAGCCCAGAAGCCGCGTGCAACCCCTGGCCTCCTCCCCAGCACAAACGCCGACCCCTGCGCGACGGTCCAGACACTGGGGCCACCACCAAGGCCTGCTCCCAGCCTCCTCTCTGCCATGTCTCAGCTCACCCTGCACCCCCGCCAGGGACCAGGCCCAAGCCCAGGCCACTTGCTCTCCTCACAGCTGGCAAGGCCCGGCCCCTCTCTGCTCATCGGTGAACTCCAGACTTTATCCCAGCACCCCCAGTTCGTCCCGACATCCCCCCACCTTTTTTTTTTTTTTGAGACGGAGTCTCGCCCTGTCACCCAGGCTGGAGTGCAGTGGCGCAATCTTGGCTCACTGCAATTTCTGCCTTCCGGATTCAAGCCATCCTCCTGCCTCAGACTCTGAGTAGCTGGGATTACAGGTGCGTGCCACCGCGCCCAGCTTATTTGTGTATTTTTAGTAGAGACGGGGTTTTGCCACGATGGCCAGGCTGGTCTCAAACCCCTGACCTCAGATGTCTGCCCATCTCGGCCTCCCGAAGTGCTGGGATGATAGGCGTGAGCCACTGCGCCCGGCCTCAGCTGCTGTTTTCTTTCTCTCTGCTGTGTGGCCTGTGGCTGTCAGCAACCCATCGGGTCCGTTTGTTCCCACAGCCCCAGGACAGATGTGTCTGAGTGACCTTGTTTCAATCATGGAAACTGAGGCACAGAGCACTTGGGACACACTGCTCTGCGGACCTCTCAGCCCCAGGTCCCGCCAACACATCCAAGCCAGTACTTGTCCCTCCTGAGCCTGTCCTGGCTTGTGATGCTCCAGCCAGAAGTCTGGGGACCCCCACCACAGCCCCCCACGCCCTCACCTGCCAAGCTGCCTCCTCTCCTGGCCACAGGAACTCGCTTCCTCCAAAGAGGACCTGCATCCTCTACCCCTCATTTCTGCCGTCCCCACCGAGCCCGCTGCTGTCTCCTGCCTGGAGTCTGCAGCTGCTACTCCCCAGCCTCGCTCCTGGGCCCATCCACGGCGCGTTCCACCCTCAATGCGGATCTGGTCACACTGGGCCACAGGGCCTCCCTCACTCCTCCTGCTCCGGCCTTGCCATGGCTCCCACCTGCCCAGCCCCTCTGGGCTCTGGGCCTTCCATCCCTGAGCCTGGGGCACTGCACTCTCCATCAACATCACTTGCTCAGGGGGTCGTTCTGGACCAGGTCAGTGCCCCCTCTCCATTTTCAACCCTCCTGAAATGCTAAGGAAACACAGATGACCTTTCAACAAGGCAGGCTTCAACTGCACAGGTCCACTCATATGTGAATTTTTTCAATAAAGGCTGCCCCAACGGTGCCGGCCTCTCCTGCCTCCCCTTCCACCTCTGCCACCCCGGAGACAGACCCACCCTCCTGCTCCTGCTCCTCAGCCCTCAATATGAACACAAGGACACAGGCCTTCATCGTGGCCACCTCCACTGTGTGAACAGCAAACAGGATTTCTCCTTTTATTTTTTTTCCTTTTTTTTTTGAGACAGAGTCTTGCTCTGTCGCCCAGGCTGGAGTGCAGTAGCGCAACCTCGGCTCACTGCAACCTCCGCCTCCCGGGTTCAAGTGATTCTCCTGCCTCAGCCTCCCAAGTAGCTGGGACTACAGTTGTGCACCACCACACCCGGCTAATTTTTTGTATTTTTAGTAGAGACGGTGTTTCACCACGTTGGCCAGGATGGTCTCAAACTCCTGACCTCATGATTCGCCCGCCTCGGCCTCCCAAAGTGCTGGGATTACAGGCGTGAGCCACCGCGCCCAGCCTGTCCTTTATTTTTTTTGAGATGGTGTGTCACTGTGTCGCCTGGGCTGGAGTGCAATGGCGCAATCTCGGTTCCCTGCAACCTCCACCTCCTGGGTTCACGAGATTCTCCTGCCTCAGCCTCCTGAGTAGCTGGGATTACAGGTGTGCGCCACCACGCCCGGCTAATTTTTGTATTTTTGTAGAGACAGGGTTTCACCGTGTTGACCAGGCTGGTCTCGATCTCCCGACCTCGTGATCTGCCCGCCTCGGCCTCCCAAAGTGCTGGGATTCCAGGCGTGCGCCCCCGCACCCGGCCCCTTAGACTTTTCTGAATGTATTTTCTGTTCTCCAGCCTGTTATTGTGAGAACAGGAGGCTGGTGTGCATTGACCAAGTGTCCTCACAAGGCCTCCGGTCAGCGAGAAGCCATTCCTAGTTAAGTTCGTGGGAGTCAAAAGTTGTACTTGGATTTGAGCTGAGTGGGGGTCCACGCCCCTAACCCCGCATGTCGAGGGTCCGCTGTCCCAGGCCCGCCCACCTTACCTTGCTGCTATCTCCCGCTGGGCCTCATTGCCCTCTCCTGAGCCCCCCGGGGGCAGACCCCTCACCTACTTTTCTCCAAGGGGTCCTTGTCCTGCCTCCATCTTCCCCACTTTGCAACCGAGCCAGCGGTCCCTCAAGTGCAATCGCATACATGTCCCAAGGTCAGCCGGTGCCCGGGGCGCCCCACCTCCCCCCTCAAACAGAAAGCCTGGGATTCTCCAGCTGCACCTGCTGCTGGGTGAGTTCCAGCTGCATCCAACCTACCCCCTCCCCAAAGAGCACAAAGACCACCCAGGTGGAGGGAGCAAACCCACCGCCCCTCACTCCAAGCTAGGAGAGGCCCAGCAGCTAAGGACGACAGAGACAGGGACGGCGACACGGACGGCACAAGCCGTAGGAGGCCCCGGAACCCTCCAGGGGCAGGAACCTCTGCTAAGTACCGCCCAGGGCAGGACCCCACGAAAGGAGACCCAGCTGCCCATAAACACCCAGGAAGAAGCCAGAACACGTTAACAAAAGCACCCGAAGGTCAGAAGGGAGGGCAGGACCCTCCCCCTCCAGTGCCCGCAGCAAGAAAACCCAGCCCCTGCCCCCGACCAATGAGGGGCAGGGTAAGAGGGACCGGGGAGTGGAGGGAACCTGGGGCCTGGGGCCGGTACCCCGCACACTGGCAAAGACAGATACTGGGCCAAACCCACTTCTTTCCCAGAAAGGAGGGCTGGGGGCTGGGGAGGGAGGGACCCCGGAGCTGGGGGTCTCTGGGTTGGAAGGGCCCGGAGATGGGAGTCTGGGCAGGGGTCTAGGGTGGTGGCCTGGTGGCAGGGGATCATAGGATGGGGTGCAGGGGGTAGCAGGGCCCAGGGGAGACAACCTTCTGCAGAGTCCAGGGTCCAGAGCCTGGCAGTGGCGGAGCTGGAGGTGGGTGGTCACTGAAGTGGGAGGTGGCAGGGCCCAGGGGTCTCTGGCTGAGGTGGGGGTCCGGGGCTGGAGGGGCTGTGGATGGTAGTCTATGATCTGGACTGCAGGGCGGGCAGGGGGTATCCCTGGAGGGGAGCAGCATGGTTTGAAGGTCTCTGATCCAGATCATGTGCTGAGCCTGGGGGTCTCCGGTGGGGGTCACTGGGTCTGGAGGCAGCAGGGAGGACGCAGGGAGCAAGGCCTAGGGGTCTTGGCGCACAGGGGTGCGGGTGGGAGTGGCAGGGTCCCTGGATGGTGGGGGAAGAGGGAGGGGTCTTGTGGTCATGGGTGGGGGTGGAGGAAATAGCACGACCCCTGAAGGGAGGGGTCCTGGAGTTCAGGAGTCATAGGTTGGGGGTTACGGACTGAGGTGGTGAGGACTGGGGACGGGGGGTCTCAGGTGAGAGCGGAGAAGTCTCTCCATCCTGGGATGCAGGGGTGACACACTTGAGTGTAGTGGGGTCCCAGGGGGCCCCGGGAGTAGAGAGTGGAAGGGCAGTGGGCAGGGGTGAAGGACCTGGGGAAGGAGGGGTCCTGGAGAGTCCCTGGGTACAGGGACGGAGGGGTCACCAGTAGGGGTCCCAGGGGGAGAGGGGCGGCAGGCAAGGGTGCAGGGCCTGGGGATGGAGGGGTCCTGAGGATCCCCGGGTATAGGGATGGAGGGGTGTGGCATGTGGGGTCATGGGTCCTAGAAACAGTGGGTTGGGGTCCTGGGAATGGAGGAGCAGATAGGGGTACACGTCCCAGGGTTGGAGGGTCACAGGAGTCCCAGGGGTGGTGGGTGGGGGTGCAGGGCCAGGGCATGGAGGGGACCCAGGGATGCAGGCCAGGTGGGGTCCAGGGATGGAGGGGCCTGGGGTGTAGGCAGGGGTTCCAGCCGGAGGTGGAGGGGCCCAGGGATCTGGGGGCAGAGGTGTCTGGGGACCTGGGGTGCAGGGAGGGGTGAGGTCCAGGGATGGAGCGTCCTGGGGATGGAAGAATGGAGGGTCCTAGGGTGCAGGCGGGGGGTGGAGGGCCCTGAGGATGGGGTATTCAGGGTTCTGGGGTGCGGGCTGGGTGGGGTTTGAGGATGGAGGGGCCCAGGGGCTCCAAGTGCAGGCCGAGTTGGAGGGTCCCAGGAACGGAGGGTACCGGAGTGCAGGCTGGGTGGGTCCAGGGACGGAGGAGAGCAGGGGTCCCAGGGGTACAGGGCCTGGGATCCCGGGGAACAGGCTGGGGGCGCAAGCCAGAGGTGGAGGATCCAGGGGGGCCTGGGGATGGAGGGGTGCAGAGGCCCAGAGTGCAGGCCTGGTGGGGTCTGGGGACAGAGAGGTGCAGAGGCAGGGACAGAGGGGTGCAGAGCCCAGGGAACTGGGTGGAGTCTAGGGATGGAAGGGTGCAGGCCCCGGGGTGCAGGCCGGGTCGGTTTCAGGACCGGAGGGGTGCAGGGGTCCCAGGGACAGAGGGGTGCAGGGCCTCAGGTGCAGGCCCCGGGGTGCAGGCCGAGTTGGGTTCGGAGCCTGAGGATGCAGGGGTGCAGGGGTCCCGGGGACAGAGGGGTGCAGGGCTCGGGGATGGAGGGGTGCGGGGGTCTCGGGGACAGAGGGGTGCAGGGCCTCAGGTGCAGGGCCCGGGCAGCAGGCTGGGTGGGTCGGGGCCAGGGCTGGCGGGGTCGGGGCGCCCACCTGTGCGCGGGGATGCGCTGCGAGCTGAGCCCCTTGCCCACCAGGAAGTGCACGTCGCACAGCACCTCGTTGTTGAAGAGGAAGGCGAAGCGCTCCTGCACGGTGGGCTTGCTGGCCTGCCAGTTGTACGCGGCCTCGCGCTGCAGCGCCGCCGCCCCCGGGCCCGCCGCCTCCTCCGCCCGCTCCGCGCCCGCGGCCTGCGCGTCTGTCCCGGGGCCCGGCGGGGCGGGCGGCGTCGGCCCAGGGGCGGCGGCGGCGGCGGCGGCGGCGGCGGCGGCGGCGGCCGCGTTGCCGGGGGCCGGGGTGGCGGCGGCGTTGGCGCTGGGCCCGGGACTGCCCCCCGTGCCCGGGCCGACCCCGACCCCCGGCGGGCACGACGCACGCCCGCCGCTCCCACCCGCCGCCATTTTGTGGCTGCGGCGTGGGCGGGGGAGGGGAGGAGGGAAGGAGGGAGGGGAGGAGGGAAGGAGGGAGGGGAAAGGAGGAGAGTAGGGGGAGGAGGGGGAGGAGGGAGGGGAGGGGAAAAGAGGAGGGAGGGGAAAGGAGGGGAGGAGGGAGGGGAGGGGAAGCGGGAAGGAGGGAGGGGAGGAGAGGGAGGGGAAAGGAGGGGGAAGGAGGGAGGGGAGGAGAGGGAGGGGAAAGGAGGGGGAAGGAGGGAGGGGAGGAGAGGGAGGGGAAAGGAGGGGGAAGGAGGGAGGGGAGGAGAGGGAGGGGAAAGGAGGGGGAAGGAGGGAGGGGAGGAGAGGGAGGGGAAAGGAGGGGAGGTGGGAGGGGAGGAGGGAGGGGAGAAGGGAGGTGAATGGGGGAGGCTGTTGCAGGGGAGGGGACGGGGAGGAGAGGGAAGAGTAGGAGGGGCCTGTAGAGGGGAGGAGCTGGTGGAAGACCTCTTGCTCCACTCCCTAAGCATCCTGACCTGAAGCCCAGACTCCAGACCGAGGTCCAGAATTTGGGGTCCAGGCACCAGGCCCCAGACTCCAGACCGGGAATCCTAAACCCTGGAGCACAGACCTCAGTCCGGGATCCCAGGCCTCAGACCTTGAATCCTAGATCCCAGACTCTGAACCCCAGACTTCAGACTCCGGATTCCAGATCCCATACCTCAGACCCGGAACCCCCAACCCAAAGACCAAGCGCAAACTCCAGACCCCAGACCCCGGACCCAGGTGGCGGGCCTGCTCCGTGGCGCAGGCTCCGCTGTACAGAGACATAGCCTGAGGCCGGGAAGCTGCGGATGAGCGAGCAGGATGCAGGCCACGTGCACTGACACTCAGCAGACGCCCAGCACCCTCTCCAGGCCAGGTGTGGGGGGTGGTCAGTGTGGACGGAGCTGGGACTCCCCCAAAACGCTTACTACATACATAATGTCAAGGTAGACAAATGCCACAAAGATTGAGGAACCAGGTCGGGCGCAGTGGCTCACGCCTGTAATCCCAGCACTTCAGGAGGCCAAGGCGGGGGGTGCATCACCTAAGGTCAAGAGTTGGAGACCAGCCTGGGCAACATGGCAAAACCCTGTCTCTACAAAAAATACAAAAATTAGCCAGGCGCGGTGGCTCACGTCTGTAATCCCAGCACTTTGGGAGGCCGAGGCGGGCGGATCACCAGGTCGGGAGATCGAGACCATCCTGGTGAAACCCCATCATGGTGAAACCCCATCTCTACTAAAAATACGAAAATTAGCCAGGCTTGGTGGCGGGTGCCTGTAATCCCAGCTACTCGGGAGGCTGAGGCAGGAGAATCACTTGAACCTGGGAGGCGGAGGTTGCAGTGAGCCGAGACCGCGCCATTGCACTCCAGCCTGAACAACAAGAACAAAACTCCGTCTCAAACAAACAAACAAACAAACAAAACAAAACAAAAAAAAAACTAGGCGTGGTGGTACGCACCTGTTGTCCCAGCTACTCAGAAGGCTGAGACGGAAGCATCACTTGAGCCTGGAAGGTTGAGCTTTTGATGAGCTATGACTCCACCACTGCCCTCCAGCCTGGGCAACAGAGCAAGATCCTGTCTCGAAAAAAAAAAAAAACAAAGAAGAAAAAGAAAATAGGGTATTAAAAAAACCCAAGTGATAATGCTATTTTCAGTTCTCCAGAGTGGGTGGTTGAGGTAGTTACAATTTTTTTTTCTTTTTTCTTTTTTCTTTTTAGAGTCTCCCTCTATTGCCCAGGCTGGGGTGCAGTGATGGCGATCTTGGCTCACTGCAATCTCAGCCTCCTGGTTCAAGCAATTCTCCCGCCTCAGCCTCCTGAGTAGCTGGGGTTACAGGTACCCGCCACCACGCCTGGCTAAGGCTAATTTTTTTTTGTTTGTTTGTTTTGTTTTTGAGACAGTCTCGTTCTGTCGCCCAGGCTGGAGTGCAGTGGCGCGATCTTGGCTCACTGTAAGCTCCGCCTCCCAGATTCACGCCATTCTCCTGCCTCAGCCTCCCGAGTAGCTGGAACTACAGGCGCCTGCCACCATGCCTGGCTAATTTTATATGTGTGTGTGTGTATGTATATACATATATATATATATATATATATTTTTTTTTTTTTTTTTTTTTTTTTTTGAGACAGTCTTGCTCTGTCGCCCAGGCTGGAGTGCAGTGGCACGATCTCAGCTCACCACAACCTCCGCCTCCCGGATTCAAGCGATTCTCCTGCCTCAGCCTCCTGAGTAGCTGGGATTACATGCACCACCACGCCCGGCTAATTTTGTATTTTTAGTAGAGACGGGGTTTCTCCATGTTGGTCAGGCTGGTCTCGAACTCCCGACCTCAGGTGATCCGCCTGCCTTGGCCTCCCCAAGTGCTGGGATTACAGGCGGGAGCCATCACAGCCGGCCTCTAAATGTCAACTTTCTTATCTCTCATCTCATACATTTGCAAAGTGACATCTTTCCAGCCAAATCCTAAAGAGGACATCTGTGCAGTCCCTTCTAGATGAAGGTGCAGAACAGGCATACCTGCCATGGTGACAGAAATTAACAAAATGGTAGGTTGTCTGAGGAAAGGGTGAACTTTACGGAATGCTGAGATGTTCACGATTTTTTTTTTTTTTTTTTTTTTTTTTTTTTTTGAGATGGAGTCTCGTTCTGCCACCCAGGCCAGAGTGCAGTGGTGCAATCTCGGCTCACTGTAAGCTCTGCCTTCCAGGTTCATGCCATTCTCCTGCCTCAGCCCCCCGAGTAGCTGGGACTACAGGCGCCTGCCACCATGCCCGGCTAATTTTTTTTTTTTTTTTGTATTTTTAGTAGAGTCGGGGTTTCATCGTGTTAGCCAGGATGGTCTCTATCTCCTGACCTCGTGATCCGCCCACCTCGGCCTCCTAAAGTGCTGGGATTACAGATGTGAGCCACCGCGCCTGGACTTTTTTTTTTTTAAAGAGCTGTAGGCCAGCCATGGTAGCTCACGCCTGTAATCCCAGCACTTTCGGAGGCCGAGGCAGGCAGATTACTTGAGTTCAGGAGTTCGAGACCAGCCTGGCCAACATAGTGAAACCCTGTCTCCACAAAAAAATACAAAATTAACAAGGTGTTCTGGTGTGTGCCGGTAGTCCCAGCTTTTGGGAGGCTGAAGTGGGAGGATGGCTACAGCTGGGGAGGCTGAGATTGTGCCACTGCACTCCAGCCTGGGCGACAAAGTGAGGCCCTGCCTAACACACACGCACGCGTGCGCGCACACACAGGCACACACACACACGGGATCTCACTTTGTCGCCCAGGCTGCTCATGAACTCCTAGGCTCAAGCAATCTTCTCGCTAGGCCTCCCAAAACGCTGGGATTACAGGTGTGAACCACTCGGCCATGTGGAGATTTTTTTTTTTTTTTTTTTTTTCTTGAGACAGAGTCTTGCTCTGTCGCCCAAGCTGGAGTGCAGTGGCGCGATCTCGGCTCACTGCAAGCTCTGCCTCCCGGGTTAACACCATTCTTCTGCCTCAGCCTCCCAAGTAGCTGGGACTACAGGCGCCTGCCACCACGCCCGGCTAATTTTTTTGTATTTTTAGTAGAGACGGAGTTTCACCGTGTTAGCCAGGATGGTCTCGATCTCCTGACCTCCTGATCTGCCCATCTTGGCCTCCCAAAATACTGGGATTACAGGCGGGAGCCACCGCACCCGGCCCATGTGATTTTGAGAGGGGTGTGAGTGATACAGGTTCATGCATTTGCCTAAATTAACCAAACTACGCTTAAGATTTGTGCATTCGCTGTAAGTAAACCATACCTCTCACTAGACCTAAACATATTACGGATGGAGATTATCTATGAAGGCAGAAACATGAGTCCACCTCAGCCCTAGGGCTGGCAAGGGAAGCTTGCGGAGCCTTTTTGTCCTTTGTCAGTGCTTTTTTTTTTTTTTTTTTTTTTTTTTTTTTTTTTGCTGGCTATTGAGCCAACACCTGCCCCTGGCAGTGCGTTTTGAGCGTTTTTGAGTTTTCCCCGGGTTTCTGGAACCAATCCCAGCCCTGTCTATGCGGTGATGGCGTCTAGAGGGCGCTCGTCACCAAGCTGATTGCTGGATTTCCATTCATTTCCAGAGAAGTGTGCAGTTCACATAATAGAACCATCCTTGGCCAGGAGGGTGGGATGTCATTTCTTCCCTCCCACGGTCCCCTTTCCTCTTCTCTGACTCCAGGACACTCAGGCTGGCTGGCTTTCTTTCTTTGGCTGGCTTGCTTTCTTTCTTGTTCCTTTCTTTCTTTCTTTTTTCCTTCCTTCCTTCCTTCCTTCCTTCTTTTTTCTGCAAAGTCTCGCTCTATCTTCCAGGGCTGGACTGCAATGGTGCGGTCACAGCTCACTGCAGCCTCCACCTCCTGGGCTCAAGTGATCCTCCCGCCTCAGCCTCCTGAGTAGCTGGGACCACAGGCGCGCACCACCATGACTAATTTTTTTTTTTTTAAAGAGTCTCTCGCGGCCAGGCGTGGTGGCTCACACCTGTAATCCTAGCACTTTGAGAGGCTGAAGCAGGAGAATCGCTTGAACCCGGGAGACGGTGTTCAAGACCATCCTGGCTAACACGGTGAAACCCCGTCTCTACTAAAAATACAAAATATTAGCCGGGCGTGGTGGTGGGCGCCTGTAGTCCCAGCTACTCGGGAGGCTGAGGCAGGAGAATATCAAGAACTCAGGAGGCGGAGCTTGCAGTGAGCTGAGATCATGCCACTGCACTCCAGCCTGGGCAACAGAGCAAGACTCTGTCTCAAAAAAAAAAAAAAGTCTCTCGCTCTGTTGCCCAGGCTGAAGTGCAGTGGTGTGGTCTTAGCAAACTGCAACCTCCGCCTCCCAGGTTCAAGCGATTCTCCTGCTTCAGCCTCCCAAGTAGCTGGGATTACGGGTGCCCACCACCACACCCGGCTAATTTTTGTATTTTTAGTAGAGACGGGGTTTCACCATCTTGGCCAGGCTGATCTTGAACTCCTGACCTCGTGATCCAGCCACCTCGGCCTCCCAAAGTTCTGGGATTACAGGCGTGAGCCACTGCGCCAGCCAACACTGGGACTCACTCAGGAATATTATGCACACCAGAAAGGCCTGATGTGGAAGAAAATATTTAAAGGGTTCACAAAAAAATTTAGAGGGAGCAACTGAAGGAGATTAGAATATGCCATGTCAAAATATGCCACCTTAGGAGCCGGGCGCAGTGGCTCACGCCTGCAATCCCAGCATTTTGGGAGACTGAAGCAGGTGGATCACCTGAGGTCAGGAGTTTGAAACCAGCTTGGCCAACATGGTGAAACCCCATCTCTACTAAAAATACAAAATTAAGGCCAGGCACAGTTGCTCATGCCTGTAATCCCAGCACTTTGGGAGGCCAAGGCAAGCGGATCACGAGGTCAGATCGAGACCATCCTGGTTAATGCACTAAAACCCCGTCTCTACTAAAAATACAAAAAAAAATTAGCCGGGCATGGTGGCGGGCGCCTGTAGTCCCGGCTACTAGGGAGGCTGAGGCAGGAGAATGGCGTGAACCCGGGAGGTGGAGCTTGTCGTGAGCCGAGATCGCGCCACTGCACTCCAGCCTCGGTGACAGAGTGAGACTCTGTCCCAAAAAAAAAAAAAAAAAAAAATTAGCTGGGCGTGGTGGCACACACCTGTAATTCCAGTTACTCGAGAGGCTGAGCCAGGAGAATCGCTTGAACCTGGGAGGCAGAGGCTGCAGTGAGCCAAGATCACACCACTGCACCCCATCCTGGGCGAAAGAGGGAGATTCTGTCTTATGAGATAAGAGAAGATAAGATAAGATGATGGGATAAGCCAAGCCTCAGGAGGAAATAAAGAAGAGACCTTTGGATTGAATTGTGACCAGGACAGAAGGGGGCATGTCAACCCCTCTGTCTCACTGGGCTCTCCTTGCCCTTCAAGTGCTGGCCCCAAGTCCCCTTCTCTGCAAGCCCTGCCCACCAGCCCCTCTCTCTGGCTGCAGAGAAAAGCCAGTGGTGGCAGACGCCTGGGGACAGCCATGTCCTGGCCACCTGGCCCAGCCCCAGGCTGGGGCAACCAGTGAGGCTCTTCCTTGTGGATTTCAGGCACTCTCATTGGCAATGAAGTGCTGTGTGCTTAGTTCCTTACGGCTGTGTCACCTGAACAGTTCTGCCCAGTGAGTTATGAACAGAAGAGGTGTGACTCTTCTAGCCTGTAGCATTTAATGGCCAGGGCAAGACCCTCCAGAGACCTCTCCTGTGTGCTCCATTGGAGATGGTGGCTGTGAGCCAGGAGTGAGGAGATGTGGGCAGAGCCACAGCCACCCAGCAAAAGAGCTGGAAAGCAACCTGTGCGTGCTTTATACTTCATTTTTTGTTGTAGTGGTAAATAAAATACACATAATGTAAAATTTGCCTTCTTTTGTTTTGAGATGGACTCTCACCCTGTCACCCAGGCTGGAGTGCAGTGGCGCGATCTTGGCTTACTGCAACCTCCGCCTCCCGGGTTCAGGTGATTCTCCTGCCTCAGCCTCCCGAGTGGCTGGGATTACAGGTGTGCACCACCACACCCAGCTAATTTTTGTATTTTTAGTAGAGACAGGGTTATGTCATGTTGCCCAGGCTGGTCTTGAACTCCTGGGCTCAAGTGATTCTTCCCCTGTCTTGGTCTCCCAAAGTGCTGGGATTACAGGTGTGAGCCGCCACACCTGGCCGGCTTGCTTGCTTTCTCTTTTTTCTTTCTTTCTTTCTCTCTTTCTTTCTTTCCTTCCTTCCTTCTTTCTTTGTCTTTTCTTTCTTTCCTTCTTGTCTTTTTTCTTTCATTCCTTCCTTCCTTCCTCCCTCCATCCCTCCCTCCTTTCTCTCTCTGTCCTTCCTTCCTCCCTCTCTTTCTTTCTTTTTCCTTTTTTTTTTTCCCTGAGACAGGGTCTTGCTCTGTCACTCAGGCTGGAGAGCACTGGTACAAACATGGCTCACCCACTGCAGCCTTGACTTCCTGGGCTCAAGCAATCCTCTTGACTCAACCTCCCAAGTAGCTGGGACCACAGGTGCACACCACCACGCACGGCTAATTTTTTTTATTTTTTGTAGAGATGGAGTTTCACCATGTTGCCCAGGCTGGCCTCAAACTCCTGGGCTCAAGTGATCCTCCCACCTTGGCCTCCCAAAGTGTTGGGATTACCGGCGTGAGCCTCGGTGCCCGGCCTCACATGTTAAGTCCTTTCAGGAGAGTGAGGTGTGTGCAGATAAACCAGATCCCAGGCGGGCGTCTCCCACTTGAAGTCTAAATGATGCTGCCTGAACACACCCGGTGGTAGCTTGCTTCCAAGAAGGCAGCTGTTGGTTTCTTCCCTCCCATGAGGAGGCTGAGTTCATTCTTCCAGCTCCTTGAATCTGAGCTGGCTTTGACCAAGAGAAGATGATGGAAGTGACTGTGCCAGTCCCTGGCCTCAAAGTTCCTGCTTCCTTTCTCCGGGGTCACTTGTGCTTATGGAAGCCACATGCCATGCAAGAGATGTGACTGCTGAGCACGGTGGCTCATGCCTGTAATCCCAGCATGTTGGGAGGCTGAGGTGGGTGGATCACCTGAGGTCAGGAGATCGAGACCATCCTGACTAACATGGTGAAACCCCATCTCTACTAAAAATACAAAATTAGCCGGGAGTGGTGGCAAGCACCTGTAGTCCCAGCTACTCGGGAGGCTTAGGCAGGAGAATGGCGTGAACCTGGGAGGCGGAGCTTGCAGTGAGCCGAGATCGCGCCACTGCACTCCAGCCTGGGTGACAGAGCGAGACTCTCTCAAAAAACAAAAACAAAAATTAGCCAGGCGTGGTGGTGGGCACCTGTAATCCCAGCTGCTTGGGAGGCTGAGGCAGGAGAATTGCTTGAACCCGGGAATCAGAGGTTGCAGTGAGCTGAGATTGTGCCATTGCACTGCAGGCTGGGTGACAAGAGCAAGACTCCGTCTCAAAAAAAAAGAGAGATGTGACCACCTCACTGTGTGTGAAAAGCCATGAAGGGTGGAACATGCCAGCCATGAAAACAGAGAGAAGCCAGAGAGCACAGAGGGGTTGGACGTGTGTGAAGAAGCCCCCTTGTTGGGAGGCCGAGATGGGTGGATCACTTGAGGTCAGGAGTTGGAGACCAGCCTGGTGACCATGGCAAAACCTCATCTCTACTAAAAATACAAAAAAAAAAAAAAGGCCAGGCCTGGTGGCTCACACCTGTAATCCCAACACTTTGGGAGGCCGAGACAGGCAGATCACAAGGTCAGGATATCGAGACCATCCTGGCTAACACGGTGAAACCTGTCTCTACTAAAAATACAAAAAAATTAGCTGGGTGTGGTGGCAGGTGCCTGTAATCCCAGCTACTTGGGAGGCTGAAGCAGGAGAATGGCATGAACCCGGGAAGCAGAGCTTGCAGTGAGCCAAGATTGTGCCACTGCACTCCAGCCTGGGCGACAGAGCAAGACTGTCTGAAAAAAAAAAAAAAAAAAAAAAAAAGCCAGGCATGGTAGCACGTGCCTGTAATCCAATCTTCCCATCTACCCAGGAAGCTGAGGCAGGGGAATAATTTGAACTTGGGAGGCAGAGGTTGCAATGAGCCAAGATCATGCCACTGCACTCCAGCCTGGGCAACAGAGCAAGACTGTCTCAAAAAAAAAAAAAAAAAAAAAAAAAAAAACACAACAAACAAACAAACAAAAAGAAGCCACCTTGAGTGAATACTCCTTCCCAGTGGCCTCAGCCAATGCTGCGTGGATCGGAGACAAACTGCCTAGGCAGGATGAACCACCTAGCTGAGCCCTTCCCAAACTCCTGACCCACAAAATCCTGAGCAAAATAAAATGGTTGCTTTTGAAACCACCCCCGTTCGGCTGACACAAATTGCATGCTAGGTTCTGGACAGAGACACAGGTAGAAATAAGCATGACACAGGCTGCGCTCTGGCCCACTTCTTTGGTGCTAAAAGACATGGAGCACTGGATTCTGAGCACTTGCATCCTGTTGTTCCTATAGAAAGGATTTCTGCTGTTAGGACTCTAAGACTGTTTAAGAATTGATTTGGGGCCAGGTGCAGTGGCTCACGGCTGTAATGCCAGCAGTTTGGGAGGCTGAGGCAGGAGGATCACGAGGTCAGGAGATCGAGACCATCCTGGCTAACACAGTGAAACCCCATCTCTACTAAAAAAATACAAAAAATTAGCCAGGCGTGGTGGTGGGTGCCTGTAGTCCCAGCTACTCAGGAGGCTGAGACAGGAGAATTGCTTGAACTTGGGAGGCAGAGGTTGCAATGAGCCAAGATCACGCCACTGCACTCCAGCCTGGGCAACAGAGCAAGACTGTCTCAAAAAAAAAAATTGATTTGGGGTCAGGCACAGTGGCTCATGCCTGTAATCCCAGTGCTTTGGGAGGTTGAGTCGGGGGATCGCTTGAGCCCAGGGATTCCAGACCACCCTGGGGAACATAGCAAGCCCCTGTCTCTACAAATAATTTTTTTTTTTTGAGACAGAGTCTTGCTCTATTGCCCAGGCTGGAGGGCAGTGGCGCGATCTCGGCTCACTGCAAGCTCTGCCTCCCGGGTTCATGCCATTCTCCTGCCTCAGCCTCCCGAGTAGCTGAGACTATAGGCGCCCGCCAAGACGCCTGGCTAATTTTTTGTATTTTTAGTAGAGATGGGGTTTCGCCTTGTAAGCCAGGATGGTCTCGATTTCCTGACCTCGTGATCCGCCCGCCTCGGCCTCCCAAAGTGCTGGGATTACAGGCGTGAGCCACCGCGCCCGGCCTTCTTTTTTCTTTCATTCCTTCCTTCCTCCCTCCCTCCTTCCTCTCTCTCTCCTTCCTTCCTTCCACTCTCTTTCTTTCTATCTTTCTTCTTCCTTTTTTTTTTTTCTGAGACAGGGTCTTGCTCTGTCACTCAGGCTGGAGAGCACTGGTACAAACAAGGCTCACTCACTGCAGCCTTGACTTCCTGGGCTCAAGCAATCCTCTTGCCTCAGCCTCCCAAGTAGCTGGCACCACAGGGGCACACCACCACGCACGGCTAATTTTTTTTTATTTTTTGTAGAGATGGGGTTTCACCATGTTGCCCAGGCTGGCCTCAAACTCCTGGGCTCAAGTGATCCTCCCACCTTGGCCTCCCAAAGTGCTGGGATTACAGGCGCGAGCCATCGCGCCCGGCCTCTACAAATAATCTTAAACATTAGCTGGAAGTGGTGTCATGCCTCTGTGGCTTCAGCTACTTCAGAAGCTAAGGTGGGAGGATTGGTTGAGCTGGGGAGGTTGAGGCTGCAGTGAGCTAAGAGCAGGCCACTGCACTCTACTCTGGGGGACAGAGCCAGACCTTGTCTCAAAAAAAAAAAAAGAAAAAAAAATTGATTACTGGATCTCTGATGTTAGACTCATAAAACTTTTTTTTTTTTTTTTTTTTTTGAGACAGTCTCACTCTGTCACTCAGGCTAGAGTGCAGTGGCTTGATCTCGGCTCCCTGCAACCTCTGCCTCCCGGGTTCAAGTGACTGTCCTGCCTCAACCTCCAGAGTAGCTGGAATTACAGGCGTGCACCACAAGGCCCAGCTAATTTTTTTTGTTTGTTTTTGTATTTTTAGTAGAGACGGGGGTTTCACCATGTTGGCCAGACTGGTCTTGAACTCTTGACCTCAAGGGATCCTCCCAGTGCGGCCTCCCAAAGAGCTGGGATTACAGGCGTGAGCCACTGCACCTGGTGCCTATATTTTCATTCTGGAAACTAAAACGGTTCCTGATACACAGTATACCAAATATATGTCACTTCCTTTATGATAGGAGGGCAGGAGGAAGGGAGAGAGGAAAAGATAAAGAGAGTGAAGGAGGTTGGGCGCGGTGGCTCACACCTGTAATCCCAGCACTTTGGGAAGCCAGGGCAGGCGGATCACCTCAGGTCAGGAGTTCGAGACCAGCCTTACCAACATGGTGAAACCCCGTCTCTACTAAAAATACAAAAAAATTAGCAGGGTGTAGTGGCACATGCCTATAATCCCAGCTACTGGGGAGGCTGAGGCAGGAGAATCGCTGGAACCTGGGAGGCAGAGTTTGCAGTGAGCCAAGACGGCGCCACTGCACTCCAGCCTGGGCAACAGAGCATGACTCCATCTAAGAAAAAAAAAAAAAAAGAAGACAGGAGGAGCCCCTATCCTGGTACAGTGAGCCCCCCCACACACCCCATTTTACAGATGGCCATGGTGAGGCCCAGGTGGAGAGAAGCCCGGGCTCACATGGAAGGTCCGGAGTCCGGAGTCCGGAGTCCAGGTTAGGAGGCACGGCCAGAGATCGCCGCCCACTCAGCCTCCTGGATTGCACGGTTCAGTTTGATGCACTTTTATTTCCAAGAACAAAGGATAAAGGGACTGTTATTAAATTATACCACCAGTGCCCTGCTCAAGCACACACACCAGACACACACACACACCAGACACACACACACACCAGACACACACACAGGGCCACAAGTGAAACTGGCCAGGTCTGGCTGGGTGTGGTGGCTCACACCTCTCATCCCAGCACCTTGGGAGGCCGAAGCAGGTGGATCACCTGAAGTCAGGAGTTCGAGATCAGCCTGGCCAACATGGAGAAACCCGCATCTCTACTAAAAATACAAAAATTAGCCAGGCGTGGTGGTGGGCACCTGTAATCCCAGCTACCTGGGAGACTGAGGCAGGAAAATCGCTTGAATCCGGGAGGTGGAGGTTGCAGTGAGCTGAGATCACGCCACTGCACTACAGCCTGGGTGACAGAGCGAGACGCCAGAGTGAGAGCGAGAGCCAGAGAGAGAGAGAGAGAGAGAAAGAAAGAAAGAAACGGGCCAGGTCTGAATAAAGTGGATGAATTGTATCAATGCCAACAGCGTGGTTATGACATTGTAATAGACTGTTGCAAAATGTTACCACTGGGGGAAACTAGGCAAAGTGCTATTTCTTATAACTGCATGTGTTTCCAATCATTACAGCAAAAAATTCAATTACAAAATATATATATTTTTTGAAACATGATCCAAAGTGCAGGGGCGTGATCACAGCTCACTGCAGCCTCAAACTCCTGGGCTCAATCCTCCTCCCTCAGCCTCCTATGTAGCTGGGACCACAGGCAGGCACCACCACACCTGGCTAATTTTTTATATTTTTAGTAGAGATGGGGTTTCACCATCTTTGCCAGGCTGATCTTGAACTCCTGACCTCGTAATCCACCCACCTCGGCCTCCCAAAGTGCTGGGATTACAGGCGTGAGCCACCGCGCCCGGCCGACAAGCCCTCTTTGTTGATGTCTGTATCTTCTGCCATTTCACAAAAGGTGCTCACAAAAGGGAAACCGAGGCAGGGCATGGTGGTTCACACCTGTAATCCCAGCACTTTGGGAGGCCAAGGCAGGAGGATCACTTGAGCCCAGGGGCTCCAGACCAGCCTGGGCAACATAATGAGACCCCACCTCTAAAAAAAAAAATTACAAAAATTAGCTGGGCCTGGTGGCGCACACCTGAGGTCACAGCTACTCAGGAGACTGAGGTGGGAGGATGATTTGAGCATGGGAGGTCAAGGCTGCAGTGAGCCATGACAGCACCACTGCACTCCAGCCTGGGTGACAGAATGAGACCTCATCTCAAAAAAAGGGAAACTGAGGCAGGGGAGCGCTGGAGCTGTTGCCCTCACACTTCACGCGGGGAAACTGAGTCTCCCTGGGGGTGGCGGGATGAATGTACCCCAGGGCATCTTCCCGAGGCTGCCCACAGACCCCAAGCCCTGCATGGCAGGGAGTGAAATGTTAGCTTGATAGAAGGAATGAAGACAGCCAGAAATGGAATGAACAGGGCAGGCACCACCGGGGAGTCAGTGAGGTTCCAACCCAGGGGTGCCAGTTCTATCCGGCCACCCAAACCCCAGGTGGGAACACTCGTATCAGCGGGACCCCCAGCTCACCCAGGCTTCCCCGACACAGGGAGCTGGCCCTCCCACCCTCCCTTCCTCTCTCCCCAACGCTTACCCCATCCCAGCTTTGACCAAGGAGGTAGGTCCTTCCTCACGTCTGACTTGATTCCATCACACTTCACTTTAAACAGGTTTCTCATTCTTCAGGGTGAGTCAGAGACCAGGACAGGCCACAGGGTTGCCTTTGGCAAGGGGACAATTAAAGGCCAGAATGAAAGGGGCTGATCCAGCAGGAGGGATCCCTGTGGTTAGTGACAATGGCAGGAAGTAAAATTTGTGTGAGTCCTTTTATGCTGCAGAGGGAGGAGAGACATCCTGCTGGCCTTCTCCCAGTCCTGGGGCAATAAATTAGTCCTCAACACATTTTGTTTCTGTTTTGAGAGGGAATCTCGCTCTGTCGCCCAGGCTGGAGTGCAGTGGTGCGGTCTCTGCTCACTGCAAGCTCCACCTCCCAGGTTCATGCCATTCTCCTGCCTCAGCCTCCTGAGTAGCTGGGACTACAGGTTCCCGCCACCACGCCCGGCTAATTTTTTGTATTTTTTTAGTAGAGACGGGGTTTCACTGTGTTAGCCAGGATGGTCTCGATCTCCTGACCTCGTGATCTGCCAGCCTCGGCCTCCCAAAGTGCTGGGATTACAGGCGTGAGCCACTGCGCCCGGCCCATTATTATTATTTTATTGTTTTTTACAATAGAGACGGGGGTCTCACTGTGTTGCCCAGGCTGGTGTCAAACTCCTGGCCTCAAGCGATCCACTGGTCTCAGCCTCTCAGTGTTGGAATTACAGGCATGAGCCACCGTGCCCGGCCATTATTACTATTATTAATTGAGACAGGGTCTTAGTTTGTTACTAAGTTTGTTACTTAGTTTGTTACTAAGTTTGTTACTTAGTTTGTTACAGGCTGGAGGGCGGTGATATGATCATAGCTCACTGCAGCCTCAAATTCCTGGGCTCAAGGGATCCTCCTGCCTCAGCCTCCCGAGTAGCTGGAACTACAGGTATGTGCCACCACACCTGGCTAATTTTTGTATTTTTTGTAGAGATACGGGTCTCACTATATTGTCCAGTGTGCTCTTGAACTCCTGGGCTCAAGCAATCCTCCCACCTCAGCCTCCCAAAGTGCTGGGATTACAGGCGTGAGCCATTGCATCCAGCCTAAATAAAATTGTTATTATTATTATCCATCCGGGCATGGTGGCTCACACCTGCAATCCCAGAACTTTGGGAGGCTGAGGCGGGTGGATAACCTGAGGTCAGGAGTTTGAGATCAGCCTGGCCACCATGGTGAAATCCTGTCTCTATTAAAAATACAAAAATTAGCCAGGCATGGTGGCGGGCACCTGTAATCCCAGCTACTTGGGAGGCTGAGGCAGGAGAATCGCTTGAACCTGGGAGGCGGAGGTTGCAGTGCGCCAAGATTGCACTACTGAACTCCAGCCTGGTGACAGAGCGAGACTCTGTCACCAAAAAAAAAAAAAAAAAAAAGACCAAGTGCGGTGGCTCACGCCTGTAATCCCAACACTTTGGGAGGCCAAAGTGGGTAGAGCACTTGAGGTCAGGAGTTCAAGACCAGCCTGGGCACCATGGCAAAACCCTGTTTCCACTAAAAATACAAAAATTAGCTGAGTGTGGTGGCGCATGCCTATAATCTCAGCTACCCAGGGGGCTGAGGCATGAGAATCGCTTGAACCCAGGAGGCAGAGGTTGCAGTGAGCCGAGATCTCGCCACTGAACTCCAGCCCGGGCGACAGAGCGAGACTCCGTCTCAAAAAATAAAAAAATAAAAACGATGGCACTGTGAACGGGTCTGTTGACTATTTCTTGGTCTCTTGGTTTATCTCCTCCCAGCTCAGGCTTGCTCCTCGCCACAGTGGGGCTCAAGGCAGTTGCACCTCGGCACAATTTTCTTTTTTTTTTTGGAGACGGAGTCTTGCTGTCTCCCAGGCTGGAGTGCAGTGGTGCGATCTCGGCTCACTGCAAGCTCCTCCTCCCGGGTTTATGCCATTCTCCTGCCTCAGCCTCCCGAGTAGCTGGGACTACAGGTGCCCACCACCATGCCCAGCTAATTTTTTGTATTTTTAGTAGAGACGGGGTTTTACCGTGTTAGCCAGGATGGTCTCGATCTCCTGACCTTGTGATCCACCCGCCTCGGCCTCCCAAAGTGCTGAGATTACAGGCGTGAGCCACCGCGCCCGGCCACCTCAGCACAATTTTCTTCGTGGTTTTAGCTTTTTCTGGAAAATCGACTTAATCCGCCTACCACAGCCACTCTGCTTCCTGTAAGGCCACTTTCCCTGGGTTCAGAGAGAGTCCTCGCTCCTCTAGCGCTGCCTCACTTTGTAGGATTGGCGCTGGCCACACTTCTTACAGAAAGGCTTTTGGGGCCGGGCACGGTGGCTCACGCCTGTAATCCCAGCACTTTGGGAGGCCGGATCACCTGAGGTTGGGAGTTTGAGCCCAGCCTGGCTAACACGGTGAAACCCCATCTCTACTAAAAATACAAACAATTAGCCGGGTGTGGTGGCGGGCACCTGTCGTCCCAGCTACTGGGGAGGCTGAGGCAGGAGAATGGCGTGAACCCGGCAGGCGGAGGTTGCAGTGAGCCAAGATTGCACCACTGCACTCCAGCCTGGGTGACAAAGCGAGACTCCATCTCAAAAAAAAAAAATAAAAAAGGCTCTTGGGGCCGGGCGCAGTGGCTCACGCCTGTAATCTCAGCACTTTGGGAGGCCGAGGCAGGCGGATCACCTGAGGTCGGGAGTTCGAGACCAGCCTGGCCAACATGGAGAAACCCCGTCTCTGCTAAACACACACACGCGCGTGCACACACACACACACACACACACACACAGAAAAAGTTAGCTGGGCGTGATGGCCTGTGCCTGTAATCCCAGTCACTCAGAAAGCTGAGCAGGTGAATCGCTTGAATCCGGGAGGTGGAGGTCGTAGTGAGCTGAGATCGTGCCACTGCACTCCAGCCTGGGCAACAGAGGGAGACGTCGTCTCAAAAAGCACCTGTGTTTTCGGAACATTCACCATGTTTGCAGGAGCACTATTGGCACGGAAAAAAAAATGTTTTGTTTTGTTTTGTTTTTTCTTTTTGTTTTTGCCAGAGTCTTGCTCTTGTTGTCTAGGCTGGAGTGCAGTGGTACAATCTCAGCTCACTGCAACCTCCGCCTCCCAGGTTCAAGCGATTCTCCTGCCTCAGCCTCCTGAGTAACTGGGATTATAGGCGCCCGACACCACGCCCGGCTAATTTTTTGACTCTTAGTAGAGACAGGGTTTCACCATGTTAGCCAAGCTGGTCTCGAACTCCTGACCTCAGATATCTCCCCGCCTCGGCCTCCCAAAGTGCTGGGATTACAGGCATGAGCCACCACGCACAGCCAAAAATGTATGTTTCTAAAGAACAGCTTTGGGGTTTCAAAGAAATTGTGAAGGTCACAGGGTTTCCGCACAGTCCACACCCCACACCTGGTTTCTCTGACAATCTGTGTGGTGCAGTAGCATGTGCTGCTGTCTTTTTAAAGGATCCCCGAATCACTGCTGCAATGTAGAGGTGATTTTGCCATGAAGGATTCAGTTTGCTCCCACCCCTGACCCGGTGGGACACGTGGGCAGACCCCGGCCCGGGCACCTGTGCGCCAGAGCTGGTGGTTCCCTTCACAGAGGGGCAGACTGGGCTCTGGAGGCTGGGGGTGGCCTCGGTCACCGCCTGTGAAAGGCTCCCAGTTCCTCCAGCTCCAGAATTTTCCTGCCACTCTACAAGAAGAGACTGGAAGAGGGCGGGACTGGCAGAGAGGAAACCACAAAAACAGGATTGAGAGCAGCAGCTCAGAAGACAAGCTGTTCCTGGCAGGCGGCCGGGGGCAGGCAGCGGTCAGCGGGGGGGCCTGGCAGGGCTGGGCGGGGCTCGGTGCCACCCGGGAGGGAAGTGACTTGGCCTATGGCACCTCCCACACTTCCTACACACAAGCCAGGCTGGGCAAGGGACAAGGGCAACAGGCCAGGGAGCCCTGAGGATGGCCGGGTGGGGGCCGTCTGTGTGCCTTCATTCATTCATTCATTCAATCTGTTATGTGCGAGTTCACAAACTAGGACAAAGGAGGAGACAGCTGAGCTCAGCCCACCTTCAAGGGTGGCAGATGAGTAACCCAGGGCGAGGAACATTCACGGATGGTCATGCGGCTGCAACACGGCCCGAGCTCCTAGGGAGCACCTCCAGAAGTGATCCCAGATCCGGGGGCTGAAGGGTGCAGAGGAGAAACCAGGTGCAGAGGATGTTGGGGAGGCCCCGCTGGAAGGGGGAGCAGGTGCATAGGCCCGGCATCCAGAAGGAGCTGGGGCTGGAGAAACTGAGAGGAGGGCAGAGTTTGAGGGGGAGGCTTGCAGGCTGGGTACTCTGAGCCTTGAACTCCTGGGCTCATGCAATCCTCCCACCTCAGCCTTCCAAAGTATTGAGATTACAGGTGTGGGCCACTGTACCCAGACTAAATAAAATAATAATAATTATTATTATTATCATTATTATTATTATTATTATTATTAGAACCTAAACTAGGTGCCAGGGCAGCCAAGAGCACTTTGTTTTTGTGCTGTGGGCAATGGGGAGCCATGGGAGGTGTTAGAGTAGGGGTGGGCTGTGATTGGTTTTAAGTCACTAGGAGAAAAGAGGCAGAGGCAGGAATGGGGGCTAGAAGGTCAGCAAGGAGTCTGGGGCCTTGGCCTGGGGTAGCAGTAAGGGGGAGGACAAAAGTGGGGGTGATTTTGAGAGGAGACTTGGGAGTTGAGATTCAAAGGGTGTGATGGGGGGAAAGGAGGAGAAGACAGGGAAGACCAAAGCCAGAGAGAAGAGAGACCCTAGGGATGGGGCTGAGGAGAGAGAGCCGTCCCCAGCTCGGATGAGGCTCAGACAGGTTGGCCGCAGCACCCAGAGAAAACCTGGGAGCTGGGACCCTCTGGGTTTCTGGGGGCTGCCACTGTCCAGGGTAGAGGCCTGGCCAGGCCCCACCCTGTGGTCATCTGGCCCAGCCCTCTGTTTTCCAGATGGGGAAACTGAGGCCCAGGTTGGCAGTCATCTTGCCAGCCCCATAGCCCCTTTTCCAGGGGACAGCTCGGAACCTCGATTTCCAGTCTGTGCCTTGAGGCTGTGGGGGAAGCTAACGGAGGACCCTGAGCCCCTCCCTCCCACTGCAGCTGCAGAACAGGGCTAGAAGGACTTCATGGGTCATGGGGTTCAGTCGGGACTGTGGGGTAGCCACGAAGTGCCCTGCAGGGGGTGACAGACCCCCGGTGCCCGGCCCACCCTTCACCTCCCCCAGCAGTTAGCCCTGCAGGGCTGGGCCCGTCCTGGCCATGGCCGTGGTCTCTGCTCCACCTGGGTCTCCCCGGACCCTTCCTCCTCTAGGCCCAGCTGGAATCCACCACCCCCGGGGCCATTCACATGAAAAGTCCAGAACAGGCAAATCCCCAGAGACAGAGAGTGCACTAGTGACCACCGGGGGCTGGGGAGGTGGGGAAAGGCAGTGACTGCCGGTGGGGCGGGCTTGCTGTTCCGGGTGATGAGAATGTTGCAGAATTGGATTAGAGGCGAAGGCTGCACAACTTTGCGTGTGCTAAAACCATTGAATTTTAGACGCAGTGGGTGAACAGCGGTGCTGAGGTTTTTTTGTTTTGTTTTGTTTTGTTTTTTAGAAAGAGTCTCGCTGTGTTGCCCAGGCTGGAGTACGGTGGTGCAATCTCGGCTCACTGCAACCTCAGCCTCCTGGGCTCAAGCGATCCTCCTGCCTCAGCCTCCCTAGCAGCTGGGATTACAGGCAACTGCCACCACGCCCGGCTAATTTTGTATTTTTAGTGGAGATGGGGTTTCACCATGTTGGCCAGGCTGGTCTCAAACTCCTGACCTCAGGTGATCCTCCCGCCTCGGCCTCGCAAAGGGCTGGGATTACGTGAGTGAGCCACCGCACCCGGCCAGGTGCTGAGTTTTATCACAGTAAAGCTGTTATCTGAAAAAATAAAATGCTGCCTGGGTTCCCTGTTGCCTTTGGGGTGCCGCCCCCTCCCCGGCCGTGGTCGGGTGTGTCCCCACACGGTGCTTACTCTCGCGCTCCAGCCTGTCGGTGTGCAGGTACCATAAGCTTCCTTCACCTCCTCACGCCTTCTCCCATGCAGGCTCCTGGGGCAGGGCAGGGAACCCTTCCGTCCCGAGCGCCATCTCTCTTGCCTCCAGCCCCCTCCAGGCCCAAACCCCGCCCCTCCAGACCGCAAGCCCCGCCTTTCCAGGCCCAAACCTGGCCCCAGACACAAGCCTCACCCCCACCTCCAGTTCATAAGCCCCGCTCCCTCCAGGCAAAAGCTCCGCCCCCCAGGCCATAAGTCTCTGCCTTCCAGGCCTCAAACCTCACCCAATACACAAGCCCCGCCCCGTCTGGGAACCTCCCCCAAGCCTCGCCCCTCCAGGCCCCAAACTTCGCCCCAGACGAGGCCCTAACCCTTCAGATTCCAAGCTCCGCCCACCAAGTCCAAGGCTCCGCCCCATATAATAAGCCCCACCCCCAGACGCCAAGCCTCGCCCCCTCCAGGCCTCAAGTCCCGCCCCCTCAGGCGACGTCATCGGTTTCTTTCTTGCTGGGTTTTGTCCCTGCACTGCGCTACCAGCCTGTAGCTCACCTGGCTGCCCTTGGCTCCCGCTTGATGAATCCGGAAACTGAGGCACACAGTAGCCTGGATACAGCTGGGATTTCAGCCCAGGCTGGCCTCCTTAACCACTAGGCTTCGCTGTCCTCCTTCCGCTCCCGCCTCCAGGAAGCCCTTCCTGGTCTACACCCAACTCCAGGATCTGAGGTCAGCCCTTGGCCGTCCAGCTCATCTTCTCTGCCACCAGCCCCAGCACAGCGTCCTGCCTGCAACAAAAACTTAATAATGGCTGAGGGGGGTGAACCCTAAAGCAGGCAGGGGCCGGCCATGTGCAGAAGGTTACAATTACTAGGACTTGTTAGGTTGCACAGTCCCAAGGCAGCGGCAACAACGTCTCTCACCCTCTCCCAGGAGGAGACCCTTCCCCTTCCCTTGAACCTGGGCGGGCCTCGCGTCTTCTGTGAAACCAGAGAAGGTGGCGGGGGTGGCGCTGCCTGGCTTCTCAGCAGGTCAGCCTGGCAGCTTCTGCTTTGTTTGCTTGGAACCCTGCTTACTGGAGCCCGAGCTTGGGAACACAGCTGCCATGTTGTGAGGAAGCCCAAGCCACACGGGGAGGCTCCCTGCAGGCGCTGGCCCTGGTGAAGAGCTCGCAGCTGAGCCCTGACTGGGTGTGGTGGCTCACGCCTGTAATCCCAGCACGCTGGGAGGCCAAGGCAGCTGGATTACTTGAGGCCAGGAGTTCGAGAACAGCCTGGCCAACATAACAAAACCCTGTCTCTACTAAAAATACAAAAAATTGACTTGGTGCGGTGGCTCACGCCTGTAATCTCAGCACTTTGAGGGGCCGAGGTGGGCAGATTACCTGAGGCCGGGAGTTCAAGACCAGCCTGACCAACGTGGAGAAACCCCGAGTCTACTAAAAATACAAAATTAGCTGGACGTGGTGGCACATGTCTGTGATCCCAGCTACTCGGGAGGCTGAGGCGGGAGAATCGCTTGAACCTGGGAGGCGGAGGTTGCGGTGAGCTGAGATCACGCCATTGCACTCCAGCCTGGGCAACAAGATCGAAACTGTCTCAAAAAGGAAAAAAAAAAAATACAAAAAATTAGCTGGGCCGTGGTGACGCACGCCTATAATCCCAAACTACTCGGGAGGCTGAGGCAGGAGTATCCCTGAACTCAGGAGGCAGAGGTTGCAGTGAGCCGAGACATGGCACCACTGCTCTCCATCCAGCCTGGGCTGTGAATGAGATTCTGTCTCAAAAAAAAAAAAAAGGACAGGGTCTCACTCTATCACCCAGCCTAGAGTCAGTGGCATGCTCACGGCTCACTGCAGCCTCTACCTCCTTGGGCTCAAGTTGTCCAACCGCTTCGGCCTCCCATGCAGCTGGGACTATGGGTGTGCACCACCACGCCTGGGTTTTTTTTTTTTTTTTGAGATGGAGTCTTGCTCTGTCACCCAGGCTGGAGTGCAGTGGCATCGTCTCGGCTCACTGCAACCTCCACCTCCCAGGTTCAAGCAATTCTCCTGCCTCAGCCTCCCAAGTACCTGGGACTATAGGCACCCGCCACCTCGCCCGGCTAATTTTTGTAGTTTTTTAGTAGAGACAGGGTTTCCCCAAGTTGCACAGGCCAGTCTCGAACTCCTGGCCTCAAGCAATCTCCCTACCTCGGCCTCCCAAAGTGCTGGGATTACAGGCGTGAGCCACCGCGCCAGGCCTGTTTTGTTTTTTTTTGAGACAGTCTTGCTCATCGCCCAGACTGGAGTGCAGTGGCATCATCTCGGCTCACTGCAGCCTCCGCCTTCTGGGTTCAAGCAATTCTTGTGTCTCAGCCTCCAGAGTAGCTGGGATTACAGGCATGTTGCACCACACCGGGCTAATTTTTGTATTTTTGGTAGAGGCGGGATTTCATCATGTTGGCCAGACCTCGAGTGATCCACCTGCCTTGGCCTCCCAAAGTGCTGGGTAATTACAGGCGTGAGCCACTGCTCCCAGCCGAGCTCAGCTTTTTGCCTGTCTTCCCAGCAGTGCATCCAGGCATCCTGGAGCAGAGACAGACCCCACAGGAGCGCACCCCCTCAAAACTCCTGACTCAGCATCACCAGCAACAACGTGGTTTTGCACCAACTGGTTGTGGATGGCTCCTTATGCGGTGACAGAAAACTAAAACTCAGGCACACAGCAAGTTTTTTGACTTTTATTAAATCTTTACAAAACAGAATACAAAATTCCGGCATTGACAGTTGGTGTAAAGGAAAACTTCTGAGCTCCGTCAGTTCACCTGGTACATTGGAATTAAAGTGCTTGGATGTTTTTCCCCCACTTTAAAAAAACTTTTGAGGTTTTTTTTTTTTTTTTGTCTTTTAAAAACATCGTAACATTAACACATGGCCGTTCACCGTCCCCCAGCGATGGGAGCTGGCCTGGGGCCCAGGGTCCTCCAGGATCTTCACTCATTCACAGTAACGGTTCTGACCAGTCCTCCAGGTCGCACGTGGATGCGACAGGGGTGGGGAGGGAGGAGGAAGTGACTGTCCCACCTTCAGAAAAAAAAAAAAAAACAAACAAACAAACGCTGCTAGCCACTCAGCTTTAGAGACCCGATGGCTATGGGCGCCTGCAGCGGGCGGGGGTCCATTTGCTTGTTCTTTGATACAAAAAGGCAGAGAATCCCCCGTTACGAAACATGGAATCACTGACAGGCGAGAAGTGATGGGGGAAAGGGGTGGGCGGAATGCCCCACCCCCCCCAGGGGTCTTTGGAAGGGGCAGTCCACAGATATGGGCAGTGGGGACCAGGGAAGGCAGAGCACCCCCACGGCCACCGGACTGTGACCATCATACGAGATTCAGGAGGGGCAGCAGGGCCAGGCAGACGGTCTCCGAGGCCCCCACCCCCAGGCCCCCCGACATTCAAGTATTCTTCAAGAACAGGGAAGCAAAGTCCATCGATGTGTTGTTTTTTTTTAAGGAAAAACTAAAAAACTAAACAGGAGGAAGAATCCCGACCGCGGATTTAGAAGCCAGAGGGGCTGCCCCAGCTGTGGAGCTCGGGGGCTGCGCCGGGAAGGGCGGGCGGTGACCCTAGCCGCGCGCACTTCTAAAGTGGAACCCTGTATTGCATAGAACGTCCCCACCCGCGGGGAGGGGGCAGCAGGCTCCGCAGCCCCCGGGGGTTGGAGCATGGAGGGTGGGGGGACTGAGCAGACCCCCGCATTCCTGGGTGCCCGAAGGGAGGCCGAGGCCGCAGCCGTTTTCCTGAAGGTGGCAGACCAAAAACACTGCCCTGGGGGTGAGGATTCGGCCAGACCCCGGGGTCTGGGCTCAGCTCTAAGGACAAGGACGGAGCTGACGGAGCTTCCAGGTCAGGCCCGAGGGGCGGCGCGAGGCAGGACGTGGCTACGGTCAGACTGAGCCCTGAGAAGGGGCACTCGGGTGCCCCAAGGGGGTGTCTTCAGGACCCCCCACATTGGCTGACAGTGCCTGTCCAGCCCCTCTGCCTGCTGCGGTGGAAACGGCTTCGGGCCAGGCGGGGCTCCTGCTGTCTCAGGCCTTGGTGTGGAGGGGAGGGGCAGCGGCGAGCCCCTGGGGTCAGCTGCAGTTTAAGGTCAAGGTCGGAGGCCGAATCTGGCCACCAGGAGTCCTGGACAGACAGACGGGCCTTGCAGGAAGCCCCGATTGTCAACTATCATGGGGACAAGGCAGGCGCGGGTGAAGGGCTGGGGGATCCCATGGGGTGGGTGGGTGAGCTGCCTGCCACCTGCCTGCCTGACACCTCCAGAGACAGGCAGCCCCTCCCTTCCCCAACCAAGCCACCAGGGGTGCTCTCAGGGTGAGGGATAGAGGGGAAGAGCCTGTCCCTGAAATACTGCGGGCTGGGAGGGAACACGAGGGCAGGGTCCTGTGCCCCTCCCCAGCTCTGCAAGATGGCAAACGCTGTGGGCCTGCTCTCCTGAGTCACTGCAAGCCACGTGGGCAGATGGCGGGCAGCACAGGTGACCTGGGGGCACCTTCATAGTAGAGGTGAGCAGGGCGGGGGACCGGGGAGGGGACAAGCCCACCCACCTACCCTCTGCTCACCTTCCCGGGTGCCTGCAATGCTTTTAACCATCCAAAGGAAAAAATAACGGGGAGGGGTGGAAACAGGAAAAAAAAAACCCAAAAGCAAAAACCTTCTATAAAACACCCCCCTCAGCTGAGCTTAGTGCCTGGGAATCCAGGCAGAGGAGGGGCAGCCCGCTGGACACCGGCTGGCGATAGCTTAAAAAACCTTTAGATTTGATTGGGGGACGGGTGACCTATGTACAGAGGGGAGATGGGAGGGTCAGGCGTGGTCTCCCACCAGGACCACTGGGGCCGAGGACAGACTGGCCCTTTGCCGCCGCTGCGCCAGCTTGGACTGGGAGGGTGGAGACAGCTGCAGGCAGCGTGAGGTAGCTCGGACCAGGACGGGCTGGCCCTGCCCCGCGGCCTCCTCCTCAGCCAGGTCCTCGTCGTGCTGGGCCAGCTGCCGGTTCATGGCAATGGCCTCAGCCGCGAAGGACGTGAGGTCTTTGGCACAGCTGTTCCTGGGAAACGGGGTGGGGGTAGGTGGTCACCAAGAGGCACCCCTCAGGGGACCCCTGGGGTCTGTGAAGGCCCTGGGGGAAGGGGCTTCATGCCCCCCTCCCAGCCCCCACCCTGGGGCTCCTCTGAGCACCAGGGCCCCACCGGGAGCTTCACTGAGTCACCAGGCTTGCCTGCCTCCCCGACCCCAAAGCAGTTCTCCGGGTCTTTCACAAATGTCTTAACCTGGAAACCCCGCCCCCTGGACTCAGGGGTCCCGAGCACCCCTGCGGGCCTTACCTCTGCAGGACCATGGGAGTGGGCAAGGTGTTCTCCGGGGCGCACTGCAACGAGAGTGGGCGGGGGCAGGGCTGGAGAGCAGCTGGGGCCGCCTGGGGCGCTGGGTGGGGTGTCTGGCCAAGGGATGCCATGCCCATCCCATCACCAGGACCCCACCGGAGACCAGGAGTGCACCTGGGTGCCCCGGGAGCCAAGCGCCCACCCCGAGGTCCCTATGGTGAGGCTCCATGTCCCCCTGCCCAGGGAACCCGAGGCTGGGCCAGGCTGAGGCCTGGTGTTACAGGACCCAGTGAGGGTGGGGGCAGAGCCCCAAGCCCCATCTCTCCCGGCTGTTCCCAGCCCAAACCCACCTCCGCCCCCCTCTTAACCCATGGGTCTCTGGATGCTTCTGCAAGGAGATTGGAGGCCCCCAGCCCCTCGCCTGGGGACACAGAGTGACCCCAGCTTCTATTTTTAGTAAATCCTCACTCCCTGGGGTGGCAGCTCAGCTCAGATGACCTCTGGCAGGAGAAACACCCGACTCCTCCTCGACTGGAGGCCACACAGGGAAGGGTGGAGGCACAGCCTGGGCTTGAGACTGACGGCAGGCTAGGCTGGGGTCTATGTGAGCTGGGCTCGCTGCCCGCTTCGCTCCAGCCTGCTGCAGGCTGTGGGTCCCCACCACCCTCCAGGAAGGTTCTCTGAGTAGCTGCTCCTGGGAGCCGCCTGGCTGGCCAGCGGGCACCGTGCACAGGCGGGCGGTGGGGATTTCGGCTGCACCCCTCATCCCAGGGCAGAGCCTGTGCTCTCAAGCCTCAGTGCATCTCAGGGTGTCCAGGCTACACCCTCAGGGCTTCCCATGCTCGCTCTGAGGCCACCCTGCAGCGCCCCCATACCCCTCCTGCCGCCCGTGCGGCTGGTACTCACCCCCTGAACCCAGGGGTGCTGCAGGACTTGGGCGGCACTCAGCCTCTGCTTGGCGTCACGGACCAGCAGCTTGGAGATGAGGTCTTTGGCAGCGCAGGAGATGTGGGCCCAGTCCTTGTCGGGGAACTCGTACTTGCCCTCCTGGATGCTCTCAAACAGCATGTTCTGGGGACATAGAACACAGGGGAGCTTAGACCTGCCCAAGGGCCTGGATACTGTGCACTGACACGTGGCTCCAACCGGACCCCAACCAGGCCCTAGACCAGGCCCTAGACCACGCACGCCTGGGGCAGAGGGGGCTGGGAGCCGGACCAGGAGAGTCAGCTCCACCCAAGTGGAGCTGGATTTACAAAAAAGCAGCTCTGAGGGACCTGGTTCCAGGGACCACAGGCCACAGATGCTGAGCCTTAAGCCGCGGGCAGGGAGCCTGAGCCTGATCCCCCCAAACCAGGGGCCTCACTCCACCTCTCAGCTCTCTGAACCCTGTCTGGGGTTTCCCTTGGGCAGGCAAACCTGAAAAGCCTTCGGGAAACTGGCAGACAGGGCGGCACTGCCCTGTGGATGGCATCAGGGAGTAGGGCACACCGGGCAGGTCCCCAGGGGTTAGGGGGAGTACAGAGTAGGTCCCCGGGGGTCTGGGGAGCACACAGGGCAGGTCCCCGAGGGTTAGGGGGTGGTCAGGGGGCAGGTCCCCTGGACTTAGAGGGTGCGCAGGGCAGGTCCCCTGGGGTTAGGGGGTGTTCAGGGCAGGCCCGGGGGAGGAGGGTGCCCAGGAGAGGAGGGTGCGCGGGCCGCCGCACCTGGCAGGCAGGGCAGGCCTCGCCGCGGTCCCAGCCGCAGTCGCTGCCACAGCGGCCCACGAAGGGCGGGTAGCCGCTGAGTAGGATATACAAGATGACGCCCAGGCTCCACAGGTCGCAGCGCTTGTCGTAGATGCTAGCCTCCTCGCTGAAGGCCTCCACTACCTCCGGGGCCATGTACTCCGCCGAGCCGCACTGCGGGCGGGGGAGGGGCGCGTCAGCCGGGGTTTCCCAGCATTACGTGGGAACCGAGCCCGGGTAACTGCGGGTCACCTGCGCCAGCCGGCTCGGACCCCGCCCCGCCGGGCCCGACCAATCAGCGGCTGCCGGGAACGCGCCCCCGCCCAATCAGCAGGTGCAGAGCTCGCCCCTCCCCCGCCGCGGCCCCGCCCCACCCGGCCAAACACCGACGCGTTGGGGCGCCTGCTCGAGGCCCCGCCGCGACACCCCGCCCAACCAATCAGCGGCTGTTGCTAGGCGGAAGCCCGAGCTCCGCGGCCTGGAGCTGCTGGATGGCCCAGGCTCCGCGAGGTTATGCAACCGCAGAGCAGGCGGCCGAGCCCCCAGCCCTCCCCGCGGGCCCTCACCGGAGTGAGCAGCTCCGGGGTGGAGATAGGGGAGCAGTCCCCGTTGAGTTTGATGCCGCTGCCCAGGTCGAAGTCACAGATCTTCACGGGGGAGACCTGGGAGGGGCCAAAAGGTCCGTGAGCCTGGGGTCCCACGCGGTCCACCCCTCCCGCGGGGCCACCCTGCCGGAACTGGCCTACCTGGTTGGGGTGCTCACAGAGGATGTTTTCCGGCTTTAGGTCCCTGTGGGCGATGCCTGGGGGAGAAGCCACAGAACCACGACGGGGTGAGGGTCTGGAGGTCTTCCAGGAGTCCTTGGCAGGCGGCCCTAGGAGACTCCGGGCGGGGTCACCACCTACCTTTGTTATGCAGAAAGTCCAAGGCGCTGGCCACGTCCTGCACCACCACGCTGGCCTCCAGCTCGTTGAAGTGCCGGCGCTTGTGGATGTGGCTCAGGATGGAGCCTGGGCAGGGCAGGGCAGGGCAGGACAGGGGGAACACGCAGGTCACCTCAAAGTCCCCTCAAGGCCAGCACCCACCTCCACTTTGGCGGGGACGCCCCCACACTGGCTTCCTCCAGCACAAAGGCCTCACCCCTGAGCCACCATTTGGGCAGGACACTCACCCCACAAGCCCCCTCCTGCAGGTGGCACTAGGCCCCCATCCCGTAATACCTCCCAGCTCCCTCCCTCCTCACAGCCTGGAGCCCCCAGGTACCTCCCCGCATCTTCTCAAACACCAGGTAGAAGCGGTCCTCCTCCTCGAAGAACTCAATCAGCTCTAGGACGTTCCTGGGGTGGGGGTGGGGGCAGGAGAGGAGCTGAGGCTTCCTGAGGCCCCTGGGTACCTGCTGCCCGGCCTAGGAGGGGCCCACCCTCTTGGTGCTGGCCTGTCCACCGGAAGCTGGGACTGGGGCAATAGGCCAGCTTCACACTGCCCGCCTGGGGCTGTCAGCCAGCCTGCTTCAGGGAGGGGAATGCAGGGCCTGGGAAACTGGGTGCCCTACAGACGCTTGCTGGGGGTGATGTGGCACTCAGGCCCTTCATCCACTGAAAGACAGCTCAGGCCAGTGCGGTGGCAAGGGTGGCTCACCTACCTGTGTCCCTGGCACTGGTACAGCATCTCCACCTCCCTGAAAACCCTGCTCCGAATGTGGCCTGGCTGCTTCTCAATGATCTGAAACAGGCGAAAGGACACAGCACCTGGGTTGGTGGGACGCTCATAGTCGAGAAGGGGCCAGAAACTCCACTGCCACGGCTGGAATTCACCACACTTAACGCCCTGCAACTCTAGAAAGCAGGGCTCACGCCTGTCATCCCAGCACTTTGGGAGGCCAAGGCGGGTGGATCATGAGGTCAGGAGATTGAGACCATCCTGGCCAACATGGCAAAACCCTGTCTCTACTGAAAATATAAAAATTAGCTGGGTGTGGTGGTACACGCCTGTAATCCCAACTACTTGTGAGGCTGAGGCAGGAGAATCACTTGAACCCGGGAGGTGGAGGTTGCAGGGAGCTGAGATCGCGCCATTGCACTCCAGCATCCTGGTGACAGAGTGAGACTTCGCCTCAAAAAAAAAAAAAAAAAAAAAAAAAAAAAGCCAGTGGAGGCTGCTCTCCACCTGTGACCCTGACAGCCCTCAGAGACACATTTGAGACCTATGACTTCTGCAAAATACCCCCACAGGACGTGAGGGTTCCCTGCCCTGGGCGGCCACCCTCCCTGACCCAGAGACAGTCAGCTGTAGTCCTCTTTCCCCACAGGGTGGGTACCTGGTCACCCATAGAACTAGGGAGGCCTCAGGACACCTGGCTGCCAGCCCACCAGGCCCCACCTCACATGTGGCCACAGCACCAAGTCCTGCTCCCCAGCTCCGTGCCAGCCTGGGCAGACACTTGCCTGCCGCCTCAGCCAATATCTGTTTCGGGCCCACCCTGGTTGGCTGTCCCAGCCACTGGCGGATCCAGCCTCCCTGAGCCCCAGAGCCTCAGGAAGCCACTCTACTGCCCCCAGCAGCTCCAGCTGCTCCCTGCCACCTTCACTCACAGAGGTGGGGTGAGGAGGCGTCTGCAGCTTCCCCTGGCACCTGCTGGGACCCTCCTGCCAGGCTGGACATGTTAGCCCCTCTCACTGGGCGGGTGCCTGGCTGCATGAGCACTCTGCCCAGGGTTCCCTGCCCAGTGCGATGGCCTGGTGGCAGCAGGGATGTGGCATTCCACCCTTGAGTCCCTGGCTCCTGCCTCTGCAGTCCCATGTCTATACTGACAGACAACACTGTCCCAGCGAGGGGCAAGAGAACAACTGGACGCCAGGGTGTCCTGAAATACCACCACCCAGGCCGCTGCTGAAAGCTGTGCCCAGCAGGCACTGCAGATGGTTCTGGACAAAACTGAACCTCGTCCTGTCCCTTGGGTGGCTGGCTAGAATGCTGCTTCAGGGAGGGGGCGCAGCCCCTCCTGGCATGGAAGGGGCCTATTCTGAGGTCCCAGCATGGGGGCTCTGCATCCAGCCAGCAGCCTCACGGCACCAGGTGACCCCAGGGTGGCTTCCCGCAGCATGACCCCGAGGGCAGAGGGCCCACACCCCAGTCCCCATAGAACGAAACAACGCTCCTCAGACCCACAGGCCCAGCGATTCGCCTCTCTGACTCGCCCAGGACACCTCCTCCTCCCACTGCCACCTGGCCAGACCAACTCCCGGACGTCAGTGGCCAACAACACCTCCAGCAGGAAGTCCCCCAGGCTCTGCAGATCCCAACACTGACCACACCAGGTCAATGTGGCAAGATGACCAGGGAGGTGGCTCTGAGACACCAGTTAGGATCCCCCAGAGGCCACACAGCATGAGTCAGGCTACCTAACCCCCTGAGCCTCAGTGTCCCTATCTGTCAAACAAAGACAGGAAGCAAGGCTGGGCCACCAGGAGAGGGCTGTGCTCAGAGGAACGCCTGCTGTGTGGAAGTGCTTCCGGAGGGGCCTAGTGCTCCTGCACCATTGCCTTGGCCTGCCTGGGGGCTCCCAGGAGGCAGGGACCGTCCGTACTGTGTCTGTCCCTGCCTGCTGCCACTGTGGTCCCAGCACCTAGCCAGTAACCTCCCCAGGTTGGCCACCCCTCTTCTTCCTCCTTCTCCTCAGAGGAAAGCTCTAGCCTGGCCGTCCACCAGGACCCACAGGCTCCTGGCGAGCCCTGCTCGCCAGGGCACACCTGGCCCTCTTTCCCAGGCAGCCAGCCCTCCTGGGACCCCACCCAGCCCGGGAGCCGGATGCCAGGTCACGAGGGAAGCCTGGAAGATTTCTTGGAACACGGGATCCAACCGGCCCACAAGGTCACAGGGTCACAACCAGAGCCTCAACAGGGCTCCTGCTCCCAGCCCTTCGGCCACACCCTGGGTCCAGCAGCCGCCCAGGGCTAGAGTGACACAGGGGGCTCTCACGGGCCTGCACTGAGGTTCCCCAAACGCAGAGCCCCTCTGGGCCCTGGGATATGACATTGCATTTTGATCCTTGAAACCAAACTGTCATGTACCCTCAGGGACAGCTCAGAGGCAGGGACGGCCCAGGGGACCCAATGGGCACAGTGCCTCTGTCTGAAGCCCCCACCCTGGTACCAGAGGGGCCACCCTCACTGTCATTCCCGACTGGACTCAGGGCCCGGTGGCCACTTTTAGACACGGGTCTTCCCGGCTGTAGGACGGACAGCCGGAATGCCACACACTGTTTCCACCCCCGCTCAACACCGATCCCAAGGCGCTGGGTTCCCCAGGGCGCGGCGCGGGCCCACCTTGACGGCGTACTCCTGGCTGGTGATCAGGTTGATGCAGGTCTGCACTCGGGCATGAGCGCCCTCCCCCAGCACATCTTCCTGCAGCTGGTAGACGTCTGCCGGGCAGCGGGGCGGGCGTGAGAGGGACCCTGGCTTTTCCCCGCTCCCGGCTCCCCCAATGCCCGCCATCCCCGCTCACCTTCAAACCTGCCCGAGAAGCTGTCGGTGGCCCGGCCGCGCTTCTTCTTCTTGCCCCTCTTCTTGGCGTCCGGGATGTCAATGGGCTGGCTGGCGGGCATGTCTGTTCCAGGAGGCACGCCCAGGGGGCTCAGGACATGGCCCTGGCCGGCCGGCCCCCACCCCCCTGCAGGGGCTGGCCACTGCCATGGCAGCGACAGCAGCTGCCCTGTGCCCTCCTCCCCCTCGGGCCCCTCACCAGGGCGGGCTGAGCACTGCAGGCCAAAGTCAGAGTCTCCGTGGTCGGGCTGGTCTAGGGAGAAGGCCAGCTCGAAGGGGTTCTGCCCCTGCAGGGGAGAGGAGAGGAGAGGCACTCAGGCCCCATCCCTGCCCACGCAGCAGGGAGACCTATCCTGCCCCAGTGTCGCAGCGTCCACACTGACAAGCCCTGCGCTGAGCATTACGGAAAAATCAACTCCGTCCCCGCTCACACACCAGGATCAACTCCCACCAGGATCAACTCCCGAAGGGGCAGACAGCATAAACCAGGGGACCCCCAAGCTCCTGGGATTCACCTCCTCGCTGCCCCACACTCAGTGTGTGTGTGGATTTCTCTCTTTTTTAAATTTATGTTTTGTAGAGATAAAGTCTTGCTACGTTGCCCAGGCTGGTCTTAAACCCCTGGCCTCAAGCGATCCTCCTGCCTTGGCCTCCCAAAGTGCTGGGATCACAGGTGTGGGCCACATGTGGAAGGCGTGAGGCCTCCTAGCACCTCAGCAAGGCAAGATCAGGGGACGCAGAGTCTCTTAGGGGGTCCATGGAATTTGCCAACCCAGGGGGTGATTCTGTCCCCCAGGAGACACTGGGCCATGTCTGGGGACATCTGTGGTTGTGACCGGTTGGGGGAGCTCCTGGCACGGAGTGGGGTGGGGCAGGGGTGCTGCTCAGCACCCTGCAGTGCCCAGGACAGCCCCACCCCAGAGAAAGATGGGCCCCAACCTCCACAGGGCCGTGGGGAAGACCTCCTCCCACCTGCAGAGCCCTGGGGGCCTCTGGGAAAGGGGTGCATTGCGGGGAGGGGACAGACACAAGCAGCTGGCTCTTGGGAACCCTGCCTCTGATGCCAGGATTGAGTCACCGTGGGGCCCAAGCCGTGTCTTGCACCTCCGTCTGCTTGTCCACAGAATGGGGACGGCTGACCTCTGGGGCGGGTCGCGGGGATCAAAGGCAGCGGGGCAGTGGGAAGGAGGTGAGTCACTAGGCGGGCTGCCAGCCTGGTGGCTGTGCCTGCTTTCCCACGGCCTCCTGGGCCATCTCAGGGCAGCTGAGTCCTCCCTGGGCCTCAGTTTCCCCCATCTAAGATGGCACACAACCACCTCTCCTTCCCCTAAGCTGCTCCCCTCCCTTTCGCTCAGTGCCTGGGGCTGGCGGGGTAAGAATTCAGTGCCTGGTGCTCTGGGGCCTGCTGAAGGTGGGGGCTCTGCTTCCATCACCCCTGCCTTCTGCCCCTACCCAAGCCCAGACACCTGCATTCCTCCGCCCATGTCCCGCAGCTGCCCGGCACACCTTTCCCCTGCCAGCTCTGTGCACCTACGCCCCCGCCACCCACCAGAGGCTCATCTGCTTCCAGCCCCCCAACCCCGCAGCTACCAGTTACCGAGTCAGTATACACAGTGCTGTACTGGTCCTGGGGGCTCACGGGAGAGGCACCCACAGGCGCGAGTGTGCCAGGCCCTGCCCAGACCACATCCTGCACTCTCCCATTTCAGTGCCAGACACCCCTGGAGGGAGCCCCTGGTGGGCCCTGATACCCGGCTAAGGAAGCCGCCTTGGGCCCTGGGGGCCAGGATTCAAATCCAGGCCTGTTGCACTGGGCAGGCTGGGGCTGGGTCATTTCTTGACCCAGCCCCAGGACCATGGGAGCAAGACCCTGACCAGGGTGCAAGGAACAGTGCAGATTAGAGTAGGCTTTGCCCAGCCCCCGTGGAAGATGGTGGCATACATATGTACGTTTCCACAGAGCAAATGGCCCAGCGCAGGGACTGCCGGCCCTTTACGAGGGGCCGGGCCTTTGAAGCTGGGGAACCGAGGCCCGGTCAGGTTCCTTGTACCACTGAGCTCTCACTCAGCTTCACCCGTCTGGGTGAACCCAGGCGGGAGGGGCCCACAGAGGTGGCGGGGGTCCCAGTCCCAGTGAGGATGCTGGCTGCTCTGGGCCAAGTCACTGCCCCTCTCTGGGCCCCAGACAACCTGAGTGGGGCTCTAACAAGAGGGTCGTTCAGCAGAAGTGAGACTCCAGTGGAGCCCGTGGGAGACCCAAGGCCAGGAGATGGGTGGAGGCCAGAGGGCAGAGTCTGGGAGGGGCCGTGAGCCAAGCTGCCCTCCTGCCTCCCCACCCACCCTGGCTCGGGCAGATAGCTACCAGGAGGCTGCTGGGGGAGGAGGGAAGGAAGGGGGGGGCTCCAACTAGCCCCCATGGGAGTCAGCATTCCCATAAGGCTCCTGTCCAGAGGCCCCTGGTGGCCCTGGGGCAGCCACCACAAGGCAGGTGACCAGGGTCTAAGGCCAGACTGGAGTTCACCTGCTGTCTGACCTTGGCCTAGTGACCTCACCCTGGGGTCTGTCAGCGGTGAGACGGGAGGCAGCTGCCCCCAACTCGTGGGAGCTCACGAGAGTGAAATGACCTAAGGGGCCACAGAGCCCAGCGTGAGCTCCTGGCCCTGTCTGGCCACCGTTCCCCTGTGCCAGCCACAGCCTCCAACTCAGCAAAGCTACAGATGGACGGCCGCAGCCACCACAGCGGAGGGGCCAGGCACCACGAGACTCCGCGGCCTCCTCGCCCGTGTACAGGGGAGCCCCAGGCACACGCGCCTGCAGTCTCAGAGCCTCACTTTCCCATCTGCGAACGGAAAGAAACCCAAGGCACCCACAGACGTGCCTCCCTGCTGGGCTGCTGCCTGCTGGAGGCAAGGAGAGTATTTCAGGAGAGGTGGCCCCAATCCAGGGAGCAGCCGTGCATGGTGGGGGCTGTGGGGGGAGATTCCTAGAGCAACCGGTCCCGGCCACCTGGAGGAACACCTCACAGCCAGGACTGCCTGCCAGGCCCTCCTCCACCAAGACGCCCACCTTCCCAGCTCCCAGCCAGGCTGCCCTGGCCATGCACAGAGGCCGGCCCACAATCCTGGGCAGTGTGGGCGGTCCTGGTCCCACTGTTCTAGGTCTGGCTGTGGGACTCGAGTCAGCAGGCCTTGGCAGGAGGTGGCTGGAACCATCTAGAAAGTTCAAGTGTGCTTTAGCTGCCTGGCTGGCCCCATGCACTGACTCTGTATCAGCTCATGCCTGGCCCTAGGAGGGAGAAGACCACTGTCAGGTCCTCCTCTTTCCCGCCCAGCCCCTGACACTCTGATGGTGCCAGGCCTGCTGCCCTAGGGGAAAACTGGGCAGGGGTGGCAGGGGTGGAGTGCTGCCCTGGGGCACTGGCTGGACAGACCTGGGAATTCTTCCCAGTCTCTCTTTGCTCCTCCCACCCTGGAGCACCGCGTTGTGTGTACACACAAGACAGAGACACACACACACACAAACACACACACATACACTCACACTCTCTCTTCCTCTCTCCAGTCCTGCCTTCCCTACCGGGCAACAGGTCCCTGCCCAAGGAAGCCCAGTGAAGCGATTACATAACCCCGGCCTGAGGGGTGGGGCGGGCCGGCTGACATCACTGCGTCCCCTGGGCCAGGTCCTGCGGGGCCCCTGCCCAGCACCTGCCCTCCCCTTCCCCCCCAAGATTTGCTCATCTGAAACCAGCACTCAACAGCAGTCACCACCCGGGCTGCGCAGAAACTTCCCGCTCCGACAGGAAACAGCACTTGGGCCTGGGGTGTCTGCGAAGTGCAGGGCTGAGGGGACATCCCATCCCCTCCCCCACGGCACAGGCCCCCTGGGGGTGGGTGCACCTGACCAGCCCGGCCTGGGGATTCTGAAAGAAAGTCCCCAGAAGCCACATGGAGGTGGGAATGGGACTGTGGCCCGCTGACCCGTCCCCACCAGGGCACAACCAGCTGGAGCTTGCAGGGGACACCCCCCATAAGCCACATGCAGCGACTGGGACAGGACTGCAGCCTGCTGACCCCCCAGAACATACCCGGCGGGGGCTTGCAGGGGACACACAGCCTGGTGCCCTGACCCGGAGGGGGCTCCTGCTCCCAGCCTCACTTGGGGGTCCTGGAGGAAGGACCCGGCGGCCATGGCTGGAGAGAGGACTGTGGCCTGCTGAACCCCCATCCTCGCACACCGACCCCGCTTCAGCGCACGGCCGGCCCGGGCAGCCCCGGGTGTAGGGCGGGGGCCAGGCACGAGCCCCGGGAGCCGATCTTAGGGGCGGGCCCCGCGCCCCCCACGCCGGCCATTCCGGTGGTCCAGCCCGGAGCGCCCCCAAACCGACCCCGGGCCTCACCTTGAACGAACGGTGGAAACCCTGAAGTTCGGCTGGTTTCTTCTGCACCATCTTCTGTCCGGGCCCCGCCAGCGGGGGAGGGGACCGAGGGCCCGGGGGGAGGCCCGAGGGCGGGCGGCCGGGCGGGGGGCGGCCGAGGAGGGGACCCTGCGGGCGGGAGCAGACAAAGGGAGGGCGGTGAGCGGAGCCCGGCCTGCCAGGAGCGCGGACCGGGCGGGGGCGGCGAGGGCTCCGCGGGGCCCGTTTCCCGCTACCGGGTCGGTGTCCTCGGGGCCGCCCTGGGGTTCGCACTCACCGGGGTCGGGCTTGGGCCGGGGCCGCAGTGCCGCCGCCGCCCCACGTCGCGCAGCCCGGACCCCGCTCCGCGGACCGCGCGGGGAACAGCGCCGCCGCCGCCGCCAGCGCGGACCCCTCTACCTGGGCCACCGCCGCTGAGAGGAGCCGGGCGCGTCGCCGCCGCCGCCACCTTTATAGGCCCGGACCTGCTCTGGCCCCGCCCCCGACGCAGGCTCCGCCCGGCCTCACCCCCTGCGCACGACGTGGGCGGAGCCAGAAGAGGGCGCTCTCCGGGAACCCAGTGCGGCTGCGCGCTCCGGCGGTGGGGCGTGTCCGAAACGGCTAGCGCACGCCTGCGCAGTGCGGCGCACGGGGGTCTCGGTGCGGAACCTAGGCAGCGACCCTGCGGCGCGCCCGGAGCTGGCCTGTTTTTGCCGCCTGAGGCTCGCGGGGCCCGTGGGACCTGCGAGGCCCTGGGCCGTGTCCTACCGCCTGGCCCCACACAGGGCAACTCCCTTGGCCTGTCAACCCAGGCCTAGTATACCCCGACTCCCTTGGTTCATGCCCTCGCTCTAGAACCTGCCATGGCTCCCTCTTGCAGTTCTCCAGTGCTGGCTCCAGCAGTCCCCCTCGTGCACCACCAGCACGCTTGGAGTCCCAGCCACTCCCTTCTAGTGCTGGGGGACCAGCCACCGCCACCTACTTTCTTCTTCCCCTGGGCCACCCTGCCTGGGGAGCACTGAGCTCCCCGAGTTTGCTTTGTGGTTGGCAGGAACCAGAGTAGAGGGTGGGGACCGAGGTCTGTGAAGGACCCTTCCTCTGTCCTCGAATAGCATTTCAGGGAGAACTGGGACCTGAGACCCACTGGGAAAGAGCCCAAGGGGTGGATGGTCGCCAGGACAGGAAGTAAAACACAGTCCCATTTTGGCTGGGGCCCCAAACCAGGCTTAGATAGAATCAGCCTGTCCTGAGCTGCCAGTCCCCCATCCCACAGCATCCTGGTTCAAAGTGCTCCCCAGGCCCCGGGCCTGGGGCACACAAGGAGTGGGGGTTCCCCTGCTGGGTGGACTGTGGTCTCCTCTTCTGCAGGGGTTTCCAGAAGCTTCGCACAGCCCATCCCACCATCCCCCAACCAGGCCCTGAGCTCAAGAGGGGCTGGAGCCCCACTGACCTGAAGCTGGAGGGCCCCTGCCTGCAAGGCCACAGCTCTCAGGCCACAGGGGCTGGGAGGCCTGGCCTCAGCCACCCCCGGGGCATTGGGGGGAAGCCTGTGGGGAATTCCCAGCCAGAACCCAGCCCAGCACCTGGCATTGCCCTGACTCTTGGCAATGGGGGGACAGAAAACCAGGTCCCCCAGCCCCCCTTATTGTGCATGTGGGTGCGTGTGTGTGCGTGTGAACACATACACGCACAAACACACGTTAGCTCCAGGTGCCAACTAGGGGTGGAGCTGCTAGACCTGCTTGCCTGGGCCTGGCTCACAGAGGGCGCCTAGTAAATAGTGCTTGGAGGAAAGGATAAGAGTGTGTGTGTGTGTGCACGCGCACACGCGCACGTAGGGGTTGTGTGGTCGTGTGAGCTTCCTGGGGCCACTGTAATGCAGGACCACAAACTGGGGGGCTTAAAACAACAGAAATGTGTGCTCTCACAGTCCTGGAGCCCAGAAGTCTAGAAGTGTGGGCAGAGCTTTGCTTCCTCCAAGTGCTCTAGGAGGATGCTTCCTGCCTCTGCCAGCTTCTGGGGGCTCTGGTGGTCCTCGGTTTGTGGCCGCATCACTCCAGTCTCTGCCTCCTCCTCTGTGTGTGTGTCTCCTCTTCTTATTTTATTTTCCTTTTTTTTTTTTTTTTTTTTTGAGATGGAGTCTCATTCTGTCACCCAGGCTGGAGTACGGTGGCACAATCTCAGCTCACTGCAACCTTCGCCTCCCGGGTTCAAGTGATTCTTCTGCCTCAGCCTCCTAAGTAGCTGGGAATACAGGCGCGCACCACCACACCCGGATAGTTTTTTGTATTTTTAGTAGAGATGGGGTTTCACCATGTTGGCCAGGCTGGTTTTGAACTCCTGACCTCATGATCCACCCGCCTTGGCCTCCCAAAGTGCTGGGATTACAGGCGTGAGCCACTGCACCCGGCCTATTTTACTATTTTTTGAGACAGGGTCTCACTCTGTCGCCCAAGCTGGAGTGCAGGGACACATTCATAGCTCACGGCAGCCTCAACTTCCTGGGCTCAAGCGATCCTCCTATCCCAGCCTCCTGAGTAGATGGGACAACAGCACCTTGCCTGCTGATTTTTAAACATTTTGTAGAGATGGGGTCTCACTATGTTGCCCAAGCTGCACTAGAATTCCTGACCTCAAGGGACCCTCCCACCTTGGCTTTTCAAAGTGCTGGAATTACAGATATGAGCCACTGAGCCTGCTGTCTCCTCTTTTTATTTTTTATTTTTTTTTGAGATGGAGTTTCCTCTTGTTCCCCAGGCTGGAGTGCAACGGCACGATCTCGGCTCATCACAACCTCTGCCTCCCAGGTTCAAGCAATTCTCCTGCCTCAGCCTCCCAAATAGCTGGGACTACAGGTACGCGCCACCACGCCCAGCTAACTTCTTTGTGTGTATTTTTAGTAGAGACAGGGTTTCACCATGTTGGCCAGGCTAGTCTTGAACTCCTGACCTCAGGTGATTCGCCCACCTGGGCCTCCCAAAGTGCCGGGATTACAGGCGTGAGCCACCGCGCCCGGTCTCCTCTTCTTCTAAGGACGCCAGTCATTGGCTTAGGGCCCACTCAGTGTGATCTCATCTTAACTTGGTTCCATCTGCAAAGACCCTATTTTCAAATAGTTTCTCGTTCACAGGTACCAGGGTTAGGACATGGATGGGTTTTTCCGGGAGACTCAGCTCAGTCCACAGAGTAAGTGGGACCATTTCGTGGTATGCGGCTGTGGCACACTGTCCTTGGTGCAGGTGTGGGGCTGTGTCCATCTTTCAGTGTGGACCGACATGGGTTCAACATTCACCCTGACCATGAGGAGCAGACCTGAACCAAGGCTCAGCCCATGCCTGGGCTCTGTGTCCAGCCAAGCTCAGGCACCAGACAGGAAAGGCTGATCTGGGAGCCAGGCCAGAGGGGCAGGTCTGTTCCCGGCACCATAGCCAGGCCCTGCCCCAGGTCCTGTCCTCTCCCACAGCCCCAGCAGGTGGGAGCCATCAAGAGCCTCATGCGGGCCGGGCGCGGTGCCACACGTCTATAATCCCAGCACTATGGGAGGCCGAGGCGGGCCAATCACAAGGTCAGGAGTTCGAGATCAGTCTGACCAACATGGTGAAACCCCGTCTCTACTAAAAATACAAAAAAAATGGCCGGGCGCGGTGGCTCTCGCCTGTAATCCCAGCACTTTGGGAGGCCGAGGCAGGCGGATCACGAGGTCAGGAGATCGAGACCATCCTGGCTAACACGGTGAAACCCCGTCTCTACTAAAAATACAAAAATCAGCCGGGCGTGGTGGCGGGCGCCTATAGTCCCAGCTACTCGGGAGGCTGAGGCAGGAGACTGGCATGAACCCGGGAGGCAGAGCTTTCAGTGAACTGAGATCGCGCCACTGCACTCCAGCCTGGGCAACAGAGCGAGACTCCGTCTCAACAAAAAAAAAGAAACTCGCGCAGCAATTGGGAAAACTGAGGAAGCTCAGAGACAGGCAGATGACCCCTGGCTCTAGGGATGCTCCACCGGGGGTTCCTCCCCATCGCCCTGTGGACGTTCAAGGCTCAGTCATCCTCTGGGGTGGGGCCGCCCTGGGCACTGCAGGGAGCTGAGCAGCGTCCCTGGCCTCCACCCACTCCCTGCCAGCACTCAGCCGGTCACCTGGCTTCCTCTCCTCCTCCTCCTATTACCCCAGGGTGGAGCCCAGAAGACACCCAGATGGCTCTCAGAGGGACACAGGGAGCCTGGTGCCCTGTGCCCTGGTCCCAGCTGATCTGTTCCCCAACAAGCCCTTCGTTTCTTTCTGGGGGCGTCTTTTGGGATGCAGATCCTGGAAGGGGCATGGCCAAGGGAACTTCCTAGGTGAAAGGGATTCTGCAGGCAGGACTGAGTTAGAATTTTTTTTTTTTTTTTTTTTTTGAGAGGAAGTCTCGCTCTGTCGCCTAGGCTGGAGTGCAGTGGTGCGATCTCGGCTCACTGCAACCTCTGCCTCCTGGGTTCAAGCGATTCTCCTGCCTCAGCCTCCTGAGTAGCTGGGACTACAGGCACGTGCCACCACGCCTGGCTAATTTTTGTATTTTTCGTAGAGACGGGGTTTCACCATCTTGGCCAGGCGGGTCTCGAACTCCTGACCTTGTGATCCACCCGCCTCGGCCTCCCAAAGTGCTGGGATTACAGGCACGAGCCACCGCGCCTGACTGAGTTAGAATTTTGAGACTGTTGTCTCCCCTTAGTCGTGACAACCACAGATATCCCCACGTGTTGCCCAGTGTCCCCTGGGGACAGGATCTCCCCTGGGGTGAGACCCCCTGGTTTAGGGGATTTCACGGACCCTCCCAAGAAACTCTGCATCCCGTGATGCTCTGACCTGGTGAGGTCCTGGGAGGCTGCACACATTGAAGTCCACACCCTGAGCAGGGAGAGAGAAAGGAGGTGAATCCCAGCAGTGGGGTTCCCCCTGGTTTACGCTGTCTGCCCCATGGGGCGTTTATCCGATGTCTGGTGTGAGCAGGGAGAAAACTCAATATTTTCCAAATAATCGACAAGGGGTTTGTCAGCCTCAACAGTGTGGACGTTTGGGCGGGATTGTTCTGTGTGCTAGGGGCTATGCCAACAGGGATGGGGCCTTGGCACCCTCTCCTCTCCTTTCCTCCCCAACAGAGGCAGAATCCTCTCTAGCCGACCTTCTCCCTAGACCAGCCCTGGACAGGCAGACAGGCCCAGGCTGGGGGCGCGGGATGGCCAGTGGCCTCCGGAGAAGGGGAGGGTCGCCCACCTGCCTGTGTGGGCCGTGCCTGGCCCTGCCCTGCTGTGGGCCGTGCCTGGCCCTGCCCTGCTTTGGGCCGTGCCAGCCCCTGGGGGCGCTACCAGGCTGGCCACCCCTGCCAGCCTCGCCCCCTGCCCCCACCTCCACCCCCAGCTGGAGCCCTGGGAGGGAGACCCCCACCTGCCTTGGTGGGGGAAAAAGCCTGCCTGGTGGGAGGCAGGAAGCCTGGTCCGTGCCCCGGGTGACCGTCTCCTTGATCCTCCTGCAGTGTGGTCTGGGCTGGGGCAGTGAGGGTGGGCACTAGCCGGCCCGGACGTGGGTGGGTGGGACAGGCAGGGCCTGGGGCCAGGACCGCAGGTCCATGACCCCAGTGCTGGTCAGCCAGCCTGGGAGGGAGCTCAGGGTTGCCCTGGGGGAGCACCAGAGTGAAGAGGAGGGCCTGGGAGACGCTAGCCCCAGAAGGAGGACAAACAGGAAATGAGGTGTGGCTGCGGACAGGAATCAGCATCAGCTGGAGCCGATCTCTGGCTCCTCTCCTCCCCTTCCTCCCTCCTTCCCTCGTCCCCTTCTCTCCTTCCTCCTCCCCTCCTTTCCTCCCCTCTCGGTCCTTCTCTCCCTCCTCCCCTCCTCATCCTTCCTCCTCTCCTCCCTTCCACCCCTTCTCTCCTCTCCTCCCCTCCTCTCCTCCCCTCCCCTCCCTCCCCTCTCCTCCTCCCCCCTCCTCCTCCCCCCTTCTTCCTCCCCTCCCTTCCTGCCCTCCTCCCTTCTTCTTCCTCCCCTCCCCTCCTCCCCTTCCCCCTCCTCTCTCCTTCCCTCCCACTGCAGTTCAACCCCTGCCCCACCTCCAGCACCCAGCACCCAGCACCCGGCTGCACCACTACCAAATCCATAGCTGAAAAATGCCCAATGCCCCCAGACACAAGGACAGAGACCCCCACTCCGCCAACGCACTGACATCCCTCCCACTCTCCAGTGGGCTCCCCCTGCTGCGTTCCTGGCATGGCCACCACCCTGTACCGCACTGTCTTGCCTGGCCCTGGGGTGGCTTGGAATGGCTTCCAGATAACCTGGGACCTGGCCAGGGTGGGTGGTGGGGGGCAGCATCTCCAGCAGGTGGCTTCTTTTTTTTTTATTTTTATTTTTTGAGACAGAGTTTTGCTCTTGTCGCCCAGGCTAGAGTGCAATGTCACCATTTCGGCTCACCATAACCTCTGCCTCCCGGGCTCAAGCGATTCTCCTGCCTCAGCCTCCCAAGTAGCTGGGATTACAGGCACACACCATCAACCTGGCTAATTTTTGTATTTTTACTAGAGACGGGGTTTCTCCATGTTGGTCAGGCTGGTCTTGAACTCCCGACCTCAGGTGATCCGCCTGCCTCAGCCTCCCAGAGTGCTGGGATTACAGGCGTGAGCCACTGCGCCTAGCCTAGCAGGTGGCTTCTTTCTCTCTCCTAACCCCCCGGGTCCCCCACCCTGGAGCCCTCACCAGGCCTAACTTGGGGTTTGGCCGTGGCTTCCTCTTCCGGGAGGTCACGGCAGGGCCCAGCCAAGGCCCTGGGGCCAAGGTGAACCCGATCCTGGCTGGGAGGTGCTGCGGCTCCTTTAAGGAGGGGTCAGGACCTGCCCTGGACCCTGTGGGCCCCCCCAACCCAAGCTAGGCCTGGTGGCTTCTCCCAGGGCACCCCAGCCCCTCCTCACCTAGTCACCAGCTAGCCTCATTATCTGGGACAGGTGAGAGTTGACCCCAGCCCAGAACCTGCTTTGGGTGCACTTGGAGCAGGCCAGGCCCAGGGAGGTGCTGATGGAATGGAGCCAGAACTGGCCACACAGGTGGGTGACTGACCTGAGGGTGTGGTGGGTCGGGGGATGTGCTCCAGGACTCACCTGTGGCTGAGCTGTCTCTGCCCAATTTCTGGCTTTGACCCCGACGTACAGCCCCCATGGACACCCAGTGAGCACCCAGTGACCCGCACTGGAGATCCCAGCTGTCTGGGCCATGCTGGCCCCATGCCCCTCTCCTATAGGAGACCCCCAGTAAACCTAGCTTCTTCTCTGGCTGACCCGCCACTGGTCCCACCTCCCTCAACCTCCCAGGGCCCTGGCAGAGTGGCCTGGAGCACACAGAAGGTTCAGGGATGAGCTCGAGTTCCCTGCAGGCCGGCCCTGGGGTGACCCAGACCCCTGCGCCACCTCCCGCCCTCACGGCTACTTCCTAGGGTCCCACAGCCACTGGGTGGCACGGCCTTCCCTCCAGGACAGGGACAGACTCCTGCTTACTTCCTGGGACAACAGACGCCTTGTGACAGTGGAGGCCGCACCACCCACCCCACCATGAGACTCCAGCGGTGGAGGCCCAAAGGCTCAGCCTGCCCCGGGTCCTGCAGCTCCCTGGAGGCGACCTGTCCTGCCCCTGGTCTCGGAGCAGGCTTGGCCGGCCTCTGCCCAAAGGTGCACAGCCCCCGCTTCCTTGGGGGCAACCTGTCTGCCTCCTGCCAGCCTTTGAGCGCTTCCTCAATCTGTAGAGTGATTCTTTTTGCTTTTTTTCTTTAGTTCTGCAGAATGCAGGGCGATTTTCAGCCTGTGTGGCATGTAGGGTGTCCCCAAAGCCCCAGAAGAGGTGCCCAGGCAGGTCCTGACTTGCCAGCCCTGGGCTTCTCCCTCCACCCATCTCCCTCAAGCCAGGGAGGCTGGCCACACAGCCCACCCTGACCACCCCCGACCACCCAGCACAGGGCCCGGCTGGATGTGTGCAACAAGGGATCCTATGGGGGGCTCCATTGTCTGGAGGCTTTTTGTTTGTTTGTTTGTTTGTTTTGAGACGGAGTCTCGCTCTGTTGCCAGGCTGGAGTGCAGTGGCTCGATCTCGGCTCACGGTAACCTCCACCTCCCAGGTTCAGGAGATCCTCATGCTTCAGCCTCCTGACGACCTGGGACTACAGGCGCGCACCACCACGACAAGCTAATTTTTGTATTTTTAGTAGAGACGGGCTTTTGCCCTGTTGGCCAGGCTGGTCTGGAACTCCTGAGCTCAGGTGACCCACCCACCTCCACCTCCCAAAGCGTGAGCCACCGCGCCCAGCAACGCTCAGCTAATTTTATTTTCGGTAGAGATGGGGGGGTCTCAACATGTTGCCTAGGCTGGTCTTGAACTCCTGGCCTCAAATGATTCTCCCGCCTCAGCCTCCCAAAATGCTGGGATCACCACGCCAGGCCCAGTTATTCACTGTTTATTTGCCATTCAAAGTTAGCTTGGTGTCCGTATTATATCAGACAACCCTACGGGGGCGGGGGGCGGTGACAATAAAGACCTTTCCCCTACAACATAAAAAAAAAAAAACTTGGTGTGGGTACGAGTGTGAGCAGATCGGGGCGTGTGTCTGTGTGCCCGCGGAGGCAGGCGTCCCTGGGGGAGGCCCCAAGCCTAGGTCCTTGCAGGGTCAGCCATGGGCCCATGTGGGAGTGAAAGGTGGGGGTGGGCTGTGCACGCCTGTACACACTTGCAAGTGTAGTGGGTGGCACGAGAGACCACCTCACAGTTCCCACCTGCTTGGCTCTCCAGGGACCAGAACCACGGCCCAAGGGCCATCCCTTGCTATGAAGGGCCGTGGGCAGGGTCATTTCAGGACCCCTGCGGGGCTGAGAGCTCTGGCCATGGGGCCACGAGGCAGGAATATCTGATGTAAGTGGCCGCAAGCGTCCCTTCTTGCCGGCTGACTCACACTCACTCCACTCCAGTGGCTCGGCAGGCCTGCCTGGGGACACAGCCAGGGCCCGCGGTCCTCCAGTGGGGGCAGGGAGTGGGCAGGGCAGGTGTGGCCTGGAGCCTGGGGCTGCCTACCTGCCCGGGCTGTGGGTGTCTGGCCAGGAGCCCGGGGCAGCCATGGGGCCATCCACGCTGCTCTGACGGAGTGGCATCAGGAGCAGCGTGCATGCCCCACCTCCCTGGGGTTCAGCCCCTGCACAGTCCCCAAGGAAGTGTGGGGCAGGGCTGGCCCAGGAGATGGCCAAAGGCCACCGCCCTGCCCCAGTGACCGTGAACAAAGCACTCCGCTGATCTCCTGGCGTCCTCTCCTCCTCCTATTACCAGGGGGTGGAGCCCAGAAGACACCCAGATGACTCTCAGAGAACCACTGGGAGCCTGGTGCCCTGTGCCCTGGTCCCAGCTGATCTGTCTCCCAACAAGGCCTTAGTTTTTTTGTTGTTTTTTTGTGTTTTTTTGAGATGGAGTCTCGCTCTTTCGCCCAGTCTGGAGTGCAGTGGCAGGATCTCTGCTCACTGCAACCTCCGCCTCCCAGGTTCAAGCAATTGTCCCGCCTCAACTTCCCAAGTAGCTGGGATTACAGGTGCATGTCACCACCCCCGGCTAATTTTTGTATTTACTATTTAGTAGAGACGGGGTTTCACCATGTTGGCCAGGCTGGTCTTGAACTTCCACCTCAGAAAATCCGCCCACCTCAGCCTCCCAAAGTGCTGGGATTACAGGCGTGAGCCACCGCGCCCGGCCACAAGGCCTTTTCAGGGTGTTTTTCAGGGTGCACATCCTGGGAAGGGCATGGCCAGGGAAACTTCCAAGGCGCAAGGCACTCTGCAGGTGGGACTGGGTTAGGATTTTGAGATGGGAGATCACCCTGGATGATCGGGGAGCCCAGTGTCCTCACAGGGTCCTCATGAGAGGAGGCAGCCGGGTGAGAGTCAGAGACCGGAAGAGGCTGCTCTTGGCTGTGAGTGGGAAGGGGCCCAAGCTGAAGGATGTGGGCGCCTCTAAACGCTGGGAAAGGCAGGAACTGGATTCTCCCCTGGAGCCCCCAGGAGGGACCAGCCCTGCGCACACCTTGATGTTAGCCCAGTGAGGCCCCCATGTCGGGTTTCTGACCTCCAGAACCGTGAGAGAATCGATGTGGGTCGTTTCAAGCCACTGCACGTGTGTGATTCATTGCACAGCTCCAGGAGGCTCACACAGGCGGTGTTTTCCTGAGTTTCCACTGTGCAGATGAGAAGGCTGAAGCCAGGGCAGCCCCGGTCAAGCCCCCCGGACTGTCACAGGTCCTGGGAGGCGCCAGGGGCAGGGAGATGCGGCTGGGGGCGGGCGAGGCCCTGCAGCCTGGGCATGGGGCCGGCCCAGGGACAGGGCCCCCTCCCCGCAGGGCTGGATTTGCTGCGTCGCCAAATGCCGGGGCTGATCGGCTGCTGGGCGTGTGACCCCGCGCCTTTGAAATCCGCAGAGCCACGGGTCGGGCCCTCCCGCCCCGCCCGCCGACCGCACCCGCGCTAGGCCAGTCCCCGGGCGCCGCCTCCTCCTCCTCCCGGCGGCCGGGGCTCTGGGCGCCCCCCACACGGTGTCCCGGGGTGACAGGAGGGTCGGAGAGCACGGACTCGGGGGTCCGGGCCGCGCGCCCTGGGAACCCCCTCCCCGGCGGCGGCCGCGCGCCTGCGCACTGGCTCCAGTGCCGGGGCCCCTTTGCCCCGGGGACGGGGAGAGGTTGCCGGGGCAACGCGTTTGCGTCAGCGAACCTGGCGCGGCGCCCGGGCTCAGAGGGCGAGGGAGGCGGGGCCCGGGCTCTGGACCAGTAGGACTCCAAATATTTAGTGTGGGGGCGTGGCCAGAGATCACGCTCCAGCCAATGGAATTGTTGTTGTCGGGGCCGCGCGATCAGGGCCTTGTGCCTCTTAAAGGGACCGTGCGCATTACTCCACACTTCGCTCGCCGCTGTGTTCTGGGCGGAGGCCTAGGGCTCAGGGTTGGGGGTCAGTGGGCCTGGCTGGGGGCAGAGGTAAGGGAGGGCGCAGACTCGGAGTTGGAGGTCAGCGGGCCGGGCCCAGCCCCACGTCCTCCTGTTTTGCCCGTTTGTGTGACTCTGGGTCCGGTCTCGGTCTCCCGAGCTTCAGTTTCCGCAGGTGCACAGAGCTGGAGTTGCGGAGTTGTGGGCGCGATGCATTCACGGCTACTCCTCCCCTGGCGGGCGCCCCTGCATTTATGCAGCGCCCACGTTTTGCACTAGCACCCTATGCAACGACCGGTCTCTCTGCAGGTCACAGAGGAGCTGGGGGGGGTTGGGGGACCCCAGAAGGTGACCAGGCCTGGATGACCAGGACTGAACCGCAGGCCTTGGCCCTGCACCAACACCTCTTCCTCTGTGGCCAGGAAACATTCCTTCCAAGGACCCCTACTGGAGGGGGTGGGAGGGTTGGTCCCCCAGGTCCTCCAGGTCCCGGGCGCTGTGCAACTGAGTGAAAGCACAGAGGCAGGTGGTCAGAATCTGACCCCCAGCGGCCACAGCCACAACCCCTCACCCCAGGCAGGCCTCACTCTCCACTGTAGCCCTGATCAATGAATCACAAGTGAGGGGCAGGAAACGAGATTGAAGGACCCACGGTGTAGACAGCAGGGGAGGTGACCCCACCAACCCACCCATCTGGCACCCTCTACGTCCCAAGTCTGGAGTGTCCCAGTGGCAGCCCTCAGGGCATGGATAGGCTGGAGGCCCGGCACCCCTGCCGAGGCTAGCCTAGAAGAATGGGGGTGGCCCCTTTGGCCATGGGAAGTGGTACATTCACAGATCGCGGGAATGACATGGGCATCTTTGGGGGCTGTGATTCAGCCGACCACAGAGTGTCTCAGGCTTCCCCCAAGGATCCCATCTTCACCATGTACCGCCCTCCTGCTGGGACCTTGGGGTCTCCTGTCTGCGGCCAGCCCAGGACCCTACGAGTTCCTCATTCCTGCTTCTCTCAGGAGAGACCTTTTAAAGGTCTGCATTTCTCTTTGACTTTTTTTTCCGCAATAGTTTTCTTCATTATAGAAATACACACGCAGCCTCACTCTGTGGCCCAGGCTGGAGTGGAGTGGCACGATCTCAGCTCACTGCAATCTCTCTCCGGGTTCAGGCAGTCTTGTGCTTCAGCTTCCCCAGTAGCTGCACGGAGACACCCAGCTAATTTGTTTTGGAGACGGAGACTCACTCTGTCGCCTGGGCTGGAGCGCAGAGGTGCAATCTCAGCTCACTGCAACCTCTGCCTCCTGGGTTCAAGTGATTCAACTGTCTCAGCCTCCTGAGTAGCTAGGATTACAGGTGTGCACCGCCACACCCAGCTAATTTTTGTATTTATTTGTTTTTATTTTTTATTTTTTTGAGACGGAGTCTCGCTCTTTCGCCCAGGCCGGAGTGCAGTGGCGCGATCTCGGCTCACTGCAAGCTCCGTCTCCCGGGTTCACGCCATTCTCCTCCCTCAGCCTCCCGAGTAGCTGGGATTACAGGCGTGAGTCACCGCGCCTGGCCTATTTATTTTTTGAGACGAAGTTTCACTCTTGTCACCCAGGCTGTAGTGCAATGGTGCGATCTTGGCTCACTGCAACCTCCACCTCCCGGGTTCAAGCAATTCTCTTGCCTCAGCCTCCCGAGTAACTGGGATTACAGGTGCCCGCCACCACGTCCAGCTAATTTTTGAATTTTTAGTAGAGACAGCGTTTCACCATGTGAAAGGCTGGTCTCGAACTCCTGATCTCAGGTGATCTGCTCATCTCGACCTCCCTAATTTTTGTATTTTTAGTAGAGACGGGGTTTCACCATGTTGGCCAGGCTGCTCTTGAACTCCTGATCTCAAGTGATCCACTGGTCTCAGCTTCCCAAAATGCTGAGATTACAGGTGTGAGCCACAGCACCCAGCTTTATTTTATTTTTTTTGAGACAGGGTCTTGCTCTGTTACCCAAGCTTAAGTTCAGTGGCCTGATCTCGGCTCACTGCACCCTCGACTTCCTGGGCTAACGCAATCCTCCCACCTCGGCCTCCTGAGTAGCTGGGATTACAGGAGAGTGCCTCCATCCCCATGTAATTTTTGTATTTTTTAGTAGTGACGGAGTTTAACCTTGTTGGTCAGGCTGGTCTTGAACTCCTGACCTCAGCTGATCTGCCCATCTCAGCCTCCCAAAGTACTGGGATCACAGGCCTGAGCCACTGTGCCGGCCGCTATTGTCGTTTCTGAGTGACATCATCTTGGCGATGGTTTTGATTTGCATTTCCCTGACAGCTTGTGTGTTCCGTCTTTTCTCACCTGGATGTTGACCAACACGTGTGTAAATGTTCAAGACCCACATATTTTAAAAAGTAAAAAGAAACAGATGACATTGGCTGGGCACAACATGGCCAACGTGGCCAAACCCCATCTCTACTAAAAATATAAATATTAGCCGGGTGTGGTGGCACGCGCCTGTAATCCCAACTACTCAGGAGGCTGAGGCAGGAGAATCACCTGAACCCAGGAGGCGGTGGTTGCAGTGAGCCGAGATCGCGCCACTGCACTCCAGCCTGGGTGATGGAGCGAGACTCCGTCTCAAAAATAAAATAAAATAATAAAAATAGAATCTTAAAAATTGCCCGTCCTTCTGAGGCCTCCTGCACAGTCATAGCGCCCTGTGGCCCCGCGGCCAAGCGGGAGGAGCAGGCAGGGGAGGTTGCTTCCAGGACGCCAGGACACTGGCTGCAGGTGGAGAGAAACAGGAGGGGCGGCTGTGGTGAGCCGGGGCTGGCATCCACCTCCTGGCGACGCGACCTACCAGGGACCTTGCCAAGGGGCCTCAGTCAGCCTTCTGTTGATGACACGCTGAGGTCAGGACCAGGGCCACAGCCTGTGTCTGACAAGAAGCAGTTTCCAGTTATTTGGTGAATCAGTGCTGGGGGCCTGGCCTGAGGGGTCCAGGGAGTCACACCTGACTCCATGTCCCTCTTTCCCACAAAGTAGGAGAGCGCCATGGGTCACCTGCCCGAAAAGGCAGGTCCATCCTCTGCCTGCAGTCAGAACTCAGGGGGATCCCTGAGGCCGGCAGCAGAGCCACGAGGACGCAGTGGCCTGGCGGCGGGTGGGGCAGCGCGGGAGCTGCTTTCCAGGCCAGACAGACGGAGCCGTTCTCCTGCCGGCCTTCCCGGGAGCAGGATCCCATCCAGTGATGCGTAGGCCTGTGGCGGGGACAAGGAGGGCGGGCAGCTGCTTTTGTTTCCCATCTGCTTCTCTGGCTTGGAAAGAAGGGCAGACAGCTCCAGAAATATCGAGGAACGTGGGCCACGCCTCCGGGGCGGCCACCAGGCGGTGGCACCAGAAGGTCAGCAGAGACAGAGCATAAACAGCAGCCACACAAGACACCCACGCGGGACACGGGCCGTGTGCGCACATGGGCACCTGATGCCTGGTGGCCGAGAGGACAGCACGGCCTGAACACCCGGCAGGAGGGGACGGATGGTCCATCCACACTGGAACATTATCCCATGACGAACCGGAGCCAGGCCACAGCGTGAACCTGGAGGACATCATGCTCAGTCACAGATGCCAAACTCAGAAGGCCACGCAGTGTGTGATCCCATTTCTATGAACTGTCCGGGACAGGCCCATCCAGAGACAGGGAGGGGATGTGTGGGTGTCGGGGAGTGACGGCTGATGGGGACAAGGTTTGTTCTTCTCGAGGTGATAGAATGCTGTAGAATTGGAGGTGGTAGTTGCACACTTTTCTGAATGTACTACATGCGACTGAATTGTACACCTTAAATGAGTGAATTGTATGGAATGTGAATTACAAATCAATGAAGATGCCCAGGCCGGGTGCGGTGGCTCACGCCTGTAATCCCAGCACTTTGGGAGGCCAAGGTGGGCAGATCACCTGAGGTCAGGAGTTCAAGACCAGCCTGGTCAACATGGCGAAACCCAGTCTCTACTAAAAATACAGAAATTAGCTGGGTGGTGGCTTACGCCTGTAATCCCAGCTACTCAGGAGGGTGAGGCAGGAGAATCGCTTGAACCCAGGAGGCAGAAGTTGCAGTGAGCTGAGATGGCGCCATTGCACTCCAGCCTGGGTGACAGAGAGAGGCTCTGTCTCAAAAAGTAAGTAGGCCGGGCGTGGTGGTTCACGCCTGTAATCCCAGCACCTTGGGAGGCCAAGGGACGCAGAACACAAGGTCAGGAGTTCAAGACCAGCCTGGCCAAGATAGTGAAACCCCGTCTCTACTAAAAATGCAAAAATTAGCTAGGCGTGGTGGTGGGCGCCTGTAGTCCCAGCTACTCGGGAGGCTGAGGTAGAGAAGTGCTTGAACCCGGGAGGCAGAGGTTGCAGTGAGCCAAGATCGTGCCATTGAACTCCAGCCTGCTCCGTCTCAATAAAAAAAATAAAAAATAAATAAGTACATACATAAAATGTTTATTAAATCATTTACCATGATTTTTAAATGTTAATTTGTATTTTATATAATGTATTTCAGCACATGAAGTTTTCTGACTAACGTATCTTTCCTGTACATTTTCCCTCTGGTCACAATGAGTGTACTTTGTCCCATATACTTTTTTTTTTTTTTTGAGACAGAGTCTCGCTCTGTCACCCAGGCTAGAGTGCAGTGGCACTATCTCAGCTCACTGCAAGCTCCGCCTCATGCCGGATTAATTTTTTTTTTTTTTTTGTATTTTTAGTAGAGACGGGGTTTCACTCTGTTAGCCAGGATGGTCTTGATCTCCTGACCTTGTGATCCGCCCGTCTCGGCCTCCCAAAATTCTGGGATTACAGGCGTGAGCCACCGTGCCCAGCCTGTCCCATATACATTTGGATTCACCTTGATCATTAAGACTGCAATTGCTGGCCAGGTGTGGAGGCTCATGTCTGTAATCCCAGCACTTTGGGAGTTGAGGCTGGTAGATCACAAGGTCAGGAGTTCAAAACCAGCCTGGCCAAGATGGTGAAACCCCGTCTCTACTAAAAATACAAAAAAATTAGCTGGATGTGGTGGCGGGTGCTGGTAGTCCCAGCTACTTGGGAGGCTGAGGCAGAAGAATCGCTTGAACACAGGACGCAGAGGTTGCAGTGAGCCAAGATTGTTTCACTGCACTCCAGCCTGGGTGAAAGAGTGAGACTCTGTCTCAAAAAAAAAAAAAAAGAAAAAAAAAAAAGAAAGGCCCGGCGCAGTGGCTCACACCTGTAATCCCAGCACTTTGGGAGGCCGAGGCAGGTGGATCACAAGGCCAGGTGTTCGAGACCAGCCTGACCAACATGGTGAAACCCTGTCTCTACTAAAAATACAAAAATTAGCCGGGGGTGGTGGCAGGTGCCTGTAATCCCAGCTACTCAGGAGGCTGAGGCAGGAGAATTGCTTGAACCTGGGAGGCGGAGGTTGCAGTGAGCCGAGATGACGCCACTGCACTCCAGCCTGGGCGACAGAGCGAGACTCTGTCTCAAAAAAAAAAAAAAAAAAAAAAAAGGATTGCAATTGCTTTTTCCTCCTGGTTTGCTTTATTTGATATAATTATGCTGGCTGGGAACAATGGCTCACATCTACAATCCCAGCACTTTGGGAGGCCAAAGAGGGAGGATCGCTTGAGGCCAGGAGTCCAAGATCAGCCTGAGCAATGTAGGGAGACTTCATCTCTACAAAAAAGAAACACAATCAGCTAGGCATGGAGGCACATGCCTGTAGGCCCAGCTACTCAGGAGGCTGAGGCGGGAGGATTGCTTGAGCCCAGGAAGTTGAGGCTGCAGTGAGCTGTGATTTGTGCCACTGCACTCCAGCCTAGGCGACAGAGCAAGACCCTGTCTGAAGAAAAAATTATATATATACATAAAAACTTTGCCTAAGCTTCTGCTTCTGCCAGTCTATGTCTTTGTTACAGCAATTTTATGGGGACATAGTTCACATCTCATAAAATTCCCCCACTAATGTATACAGTTCAGGGCGGTGCGGTGGCTCATGCCTGTAATCCCAGCATTTCGGGAGGCCAAGGTGGGTGGATCACCTGAGGTCAGGAGTTCAAGACCAGCATGGCTAACATGGTGAAACCCCGTCTCTACTAAAAATAAAAAAATTAGCCAGGTGTGGTGGCTGGTGCCTATAATCCCAGCTACTCAGGAACCTGAGGCAGGAGAATCGCTTGAACCCAGGAGGTGGATTGTTGCAGTGAACTGAGACTGCACCACTGCAGTTCAGCCTGGGTGACAGAGTGAGACTCCGTTTAAAAAAAAAAAATGTGTATAGTTCAGAGGTATTTATAAATTCATGGAGTTATGCAAACATTATCTGAAAAGAAAATGTTTTGTGTTGATTTTTACTGGATATGAGGGGTTCTTCACATTTTAACAGGAGGATCTTTCTGTATATTTTTGTTTGTTTGTTTTTTTGAGATGGAGTTTCACTCTGTCACCCAGGCTGGAGTGCAGTGGCAGTGTAGTCCCGAGTAGCTGGGACTACGGGCGCCCGCCACCACGCCCGGCTAATTTTTTGTATTTTTAGTAGAGACGGGGTTTCACCGTGTTAGCCAGGATGGTCTCGATCTCCTGACCTCGTGATCCGCCCACCTCGGCCTCCCAAAGTGCTGGGATTCCAGGTGTGAGCCACCGCACCAGGCCATCTTTCTGTGTATTTCTATAGGCGTCCGCAAACTTTTTCTTTTTTCACTTGATACTCACCTCAATTAAGAGCAGGGATATTTACATATGATCAGTTTATTTTTTTTCCTAACACTATTTATTGAAAATCTTTCAATGTCAGCTCTCTCTCCCCACCTCCCCCGCTTTCTTTTTTTCTGAGACAGGGTCTTGCTCTGTTGCCCAGGCTGGAGTGCAGTAGTGCTATCTCAACTTACTGCAGCCTCCGCCTCCAGGGCTTAAGTGATCTTCCTGCCTCAGCCTCCTGAGTGGCTGGAATCACAGGTGCACCATCATGCCTGGCTTGGTCACCAAACTTTTACTGTAAGGGGCAGACTGTCAATATTTTTGGCTTTGTCGGGTGCGGTGGCTCACGCCTGTAATCCCAACACTTTGGGAGTCCAAGGTGGGTGGATCACGAGGTCAGGAGTTAGAGACCAGCTTGGCCAACATGGTGAAACCCCATCTCTACTAAAAATACAAAAATTAGCTGGGGGTGGTGGCGGGCGCCTGTAATACCAGCTGCTCGGGAGGCTGAGGCAGGAGAATCGCTTGAGCCCAGGAGGCGGAGGTTGTAGTGAGCTGAGATCACGCCATTGCACTCCAGCCTGGGCAACACAGCAAGACTCCCTTTAAAAAAAAAAATGGCACTGTGGAGCAGATGGTCTCTGTTGGTTAACTCTACAGCCACAGACAATATGTAAATAATATGTAAATGTATGAGCATGGCTGTGCGCCAATAAAACTTTATTTACACAACAGACTGTGTGGCTGGCCTGGCAGGGTGGCTCACGGCTGTAATCCCAGCACTTTGAGAGGCTGAGGCAGGTAGATCACTTGAGGTTAGGAGTTCAAGACTTGAGGTCAGGAGTTCGAGACCAGCCTGGCCAACATGGTGAAACCCTGTCTCTGCTAATATATAAAACATTACCCAGGCATGGTGGCTTGCACCTGTAGTCCCAGCTACTGGGGAGGCTGAGGCAGGAGGCTGGCTTGAACCTGGGAGGTGGAGGTTGCAGTGAGCCACTGCACTGTAGCCTGGGTGACAGAGGGAGACTCCATCTCCAAATAAGTAAAATTTAAAACCACATTGATTTTGGGAGGCCGAGGTAGGCAGATCATGAGGTTAGGAGTTCAATATCAGCCTGGACAACATGGTGAAATCCCGTCTCTACTAAAAATACAAAAATTATCCAGTCATGCTGGTGCACACCTGTAATCCCAGCTACTTGGGAGGCTGAGGCGGGAGAATCGTTTGAACCCGGGAGGGAGAGGCTGCAGTGATCTGAGGTCGCATCATTGCACTCCAGCCTGGGCAACAAGGGTGAAACTCCGTCTCAGAACAAACAAACAAACAAACAACTAGGAAACAGCAGCCTCTCTGGAAGGCGGTTCCCGATCCCCGCTCTTTGCCTAACAGGAGCCTGTCCCTTCCCAGCGCCGTGGTGCCCTCTAGGGGCGAGGTGCAGCAGCACAGCGCTGACGGGCACAGGGCTAAGGGTCCACCCTGTGGGGCCCGGGCTGCCCCTCTCTGCCATGCTGCTGAGGTGCAAAATACCAAATTCGTGAGCCAAAGCTGGTCTTCCGTTAGGCTCCGGACTCACGACGTTTCACGCTGGAAGGGACCCCGGAGACTCACTCACCCAATGCCCACATTTTTCACATACAGAAAACAAAAAGCAGCTGGGCACAGTGGTTCATGCCTGCAATCCCACACTTGGGAGGCCGAGGCAGGGGGATCGCCTGAGGCCAGGAGTTCGAGACCAGCCTGGCCAACATGGTGAAACCCTGTCACTACCAAAAATACAAAAATTAGGGCCGGGTGTGGTGGCTCACGCTTGTAATCCCAGCACTTTGGTAGGCTGAGGCAGGAGAATCACTTGAGCCTGGGAGGCCAAGGTTGCAGTGAGCCAAGATTGCACCACTGCCCTCCTGCCTGGGCAAGAGTAAGACTCCATCTTAAAAAAAAAAAAAAATTAGCTGGGCGTGGTGGCGGGCACCTGTAGTCCCAATTCCTTGGGAGGCTGAGGTTGCAGTGAGCCGAGATCAGGCCACTGCACTACAGCCTGGGTGACGGCGAGACTGTCTCAAAAAAAAAAAAAAAAAAAGAAAGGAAGAAAGAGAATGAAATAAACAAGTCAATAAAAAGTTGTAGTGTACGCTAATTTGTCCATGTCCAAGGCCACAGCGGGCTAGGGAGTCACGGGCTGGCCTGGACTCCACCCCTTCGGTCTTTTCCCTCTGATCTGTTCCTTGGCACAGGGTAAAAACTTTTGTGCTTCATTTTCTTTTCTTTTCTTTTTTTTTTTTTTTGAGACAGCGTCTTGCTCTGTCACACAGGCTGGAGTGCAGTGGTGCCATCTCGGCTCACTGCAACCTCTGCCGCCAGGGTTCAGGCAATTCTCCTGCCTCAGCCTCCCAAGTAGCTGGGATTTAAAAAAAAAAAAAAAAGAAAGAAAGAAAGAAAGAAAGAAAGAAAAGCTGAGTAGCTGTCTAAAAAAAAAAAAAAAGAAAGAAAAATAAAAAAGATTTTCTCAGCCCCAAAGCCTGAGGCTCACCCCTAGGACAGGGCACCCTGTTAACACTGGCAGGAAAACGACACCATTTATTCCGACGTCTGCGTCTGTAGTTTTATTCCGTATCTGGCTGGGGGAGGGTGGTCTCCGAGGTGGATGGAGTGAGGGTGGAGGGGACAGAGATGGTCCCTGCTCCCACCTCCCCGAGCCCACCTGGGAAGCTGCGTGGCCGGGCTGCTGGAGACATCCCGAGCCCTGGGGGAGACAGAGGTGTGGGTGTTTGGGCTTCATCTTCCAGGTACAAGGAGATACATTTCATCAAGCAGTTCCTGATTTCATGGAGTTCTTTGAGGGCTCGGCTGGGAGGTCCCTCTCCGGGGGGCTCCAAGTGCCGGACCTGGTGGTTTCTGGAAGGATCAAGGACAAGTCCTGGGAGTTTCAGGCTTCGGCAGTAACAGTGTGTTAATTGCACTTGTTCGATTTTCTGGCAGAAGCCAGGAGAGACGGGGACAGCGTGCTTCTCTTCGGTGACCATCCCAGGCGCCCAGAGGTGACCAGACTTCTGTGTGGTCTGGGACAGTGCAGGGCTCAGGCAGGAAGGACCACTGTGGTGAAAGGCCACTGACAATTCTGGTGAGGAGTAGGGTGGCAGGGGTTCAGCCAGGGAGAGGAGGTGGCTGCCTTTTCTCAGGGCCCTGCTCTCACCTTCCAAAGGTCTAGGGTACACAGAACTCATGGATTTTGGTCTCGCAGCCCCAGGGGCCACACAGAAAAAGGGGTTCAACTGGAAGTTTGCAGCATCTGGGAAAGGCCAATTCTGGCAGAACTGGAAGATTCCAGACCAGGGGAGAGGCGTCCAGGGAGAGAAGAGTCCTGCTTGGGTTGATCATAAGCAAAGTGGACATCGTTCCGAAGAGGCAGAGAGCTCACTATGTTATCGATAAAAAAATTCTTGGCCGGGCACAGTGGCTCACGCCTGTAATCCCAGCACTTTGGGAGGCTGAGGCTGGTGGATCACAAGGTCAGGAGATCAAGACCATCCTGGCTAACACGGTGAAACCCTGTCTCTACTAAAATACAAAAAAATTAGCCGGGTGTGACGGTGGGTGCCTGTAGTCCCAGCTGCTGGGGAGGCTGAGGCAGGAGAATGGCGTGAATCTGGGAGGCGGAGCTTGCAGTGAGCCGAGATCCCACCACTGCACTCCAGCCTGGTTAGGCCGGGTGCAGTAGCTCATGCCTGTAATCCCAGCACTTTTGGAGGCCAAGGTAGGCGGATCACCTGAAGTCAGGAGTTTGAGACCAGCCTGGCCAACATGGTGAAATCTTGTCTCTACTAAAACTACAATAATTTCCTGGGCGTGGTGGCGCACACCTGTAATCCCAGCTACTTGGGAGGCTGAAGCAGGAGAATCACTTGAACCCAGGAGGTGGAGGATGCAGTGAGCCGAGATTGTGCCACTGGACTCCAGTCTGGGCGACAGTGGGAGACTCCGTTCAAAAAAAATAAAAATCTCAAGATGGTTGTAAATGTGACTATAAAAATCAAACCCTTTATGATACACAAAGGGGCCCTTAGGAAATGAGTCAGAAGCCGGGGTGCAGGACGTGGGGTCCCAGGAGTCCAGGAAGCCCTGGATACAGTCAGCTGAATGTTTCGGAAGAACGGAAGAAGCAGAGTGCATTGAGGAAGAGAGAGGGCTGGGTGCGGTGGCTCACCCCTGTGATTCCAGCACTTTGGGAGGCCGAGGATGGAGGATCACTGGAGGCCAGGAGTTCAGCGAGACCCCTGTCTCTAGTATGACCAAAAAAAAAAAAATCTGTAGAAAAATGGAAGAGATTGGGGAGGGAGGAAAGAGGCTGCCTGGGTCCAGGTTGTGCCTCTGTGTGAAGAGACACCAGCGGCTGCCAGTGGGGAGTGCGGAGTAAAGGCCTGCGGGAGGAGATGTCCGCTCTCAGGGGCTCGGAAGCCCCTCAGCCTCTTGCCTCCCCAACGGGAGACATGTAGGAGGCCGAGCAAGCTGGGTGCCCTTGAGAGACAGGCCCAGGCAGGGCTGTGGCCACAGCAGCCCTGGGGGCTCCCCAGCGAGGTGGAGGCAGAAGTTCCAGGAGCCTGGGAGCCACCCAGGGCAAGGAGTGACCCTGGAAGCCATCCAGCCTCCTGGAAAGTGGAAGTGGTTTAAAAACACAGTGGGCTTTTCCGGTTGCTAGTAACACATAGAATTACAGAGTTCACGTTTTAGTCCCAGACGGGAGACTGAGGCTCGAGACTGAGGAAGGCATCTGCCGTCCGGGGTTGGAGCTCCTGAGGACCAACACCTGCTCAGCGGCTCGGCCCCTGGTCTCCCTGAGATGCTCAGGCCGGAGAGAAGCGGGATGATGGTTCCAGAGCGTCCTCCTCCAAGTCTCCGAGGCCCCAGCGGCGGTTCGGGCACCGGGAGACCCGCGGGGCTCTCAGTGGCACATCCGGGCGGTCATTTCTTTCTGTAAAGAGCAAGCAAGACATCAGCTCCCACCAGCCACTCCTAAAAGGGGTGATGCGAACAGCAGACACACGGAGACGCACAGGCAGAGAAACGGCAGCTGGGGGCTTCCCTGAACACCCAAACAACAAAAACCACACAGGCAATGGCACACCTGAGACCAGGGGCAGCAGGCTACCCCATGAGGCCAGAGAGTCAGCATTTTCAGATCTGTGGGCCAGACGGTCCCTGTCATGATGGCTCAACTCTGTCTTGTACCTCAAAAGCCACCTCAGACGATGGTAACCTCACAAGTGTACCTCGCTGCCAATAAAACTGTATTTACAGCCAGGCTTGGTGGCTCACGCCTGTAATCCCAGCACTTTGGGAGGCAGAGGTAGGCAGATCACCTGAGGTCAGGAGTTCAAGACCAGCCTGGATAACACGGTGAAATCCTGTCTCTACTAAAAATATAGAAATTAGCCTGGCATGGTGGCAGGCACCTGTAATCCCAGCTACTCAGGAGGCTGAGGGAGGAGAATCGCTTGAACCTGGGAGACAGAGGTTACCGTGAGCCAAGATCGCGCCACTGCACTCCAGCCTGGGTGACAGAGCGAGACTCTGTCTCAAAAAAGAAAAAAACAACTTTGGGAGGCTGAGGTGGGCGGATCATGAGGTCAGGAGATCGAGACCATCCTGGCTAACATGGTGAAACCCCGTCTCTACTAAAAATACAAAAAAATAAGCCAGGTATGGTGGCACATGCCTGTAGTCCCAGCTACTCAGGAGGCTGAGGGAGGGGAATCACTTGAACCTGTGAGGTGGAGGTTGCAGTGGCTGAGATCAAACAAACAAACAAACAAAAAAACCCCAGAAACTTTATTTACAAAAACAGGAAGCCAGGCCAGAGGGCTGCAGTTTGCTGATCCCTGTCTTATACAGACTGGGACACTAGAAGGAAAGTTCTGGAATACAGAAAAAAAGAAAAAGAAAAAAGAAAAGAAAAAGAAAGAAAAAAGAGGAAGACCCCACTACCATCTTTAGAGCCACTGAGTATGCAACTATTAATTTTAAATTTAGCAAAATGTTTACCAGTAGCAAAGCCTGAAAGGGGATGCACAAAAATGAGGAAGTTATGTGAAGATGTTTTTAGTCTTTTTTTTTTTTTGAGACGGAGTTTCACTCTGTCATTCAGGCTGGAGAGCTGTGGCGCAATCTTGGCTCACTGCAACCTCCACCTCCTGGGTTCAAACGATTCTCCTGCCTCAGCCTCCTGAGTAGCTGGGATCACAAGTGCCCACCACCATGCCTGGCTAATTTTTTTTTTTCCCCTGAGACAGAGTCTTGCTCTGTCACCCAGGCTGGAGTGCAATGGCGCGATCTCAGCTCACTGCAACCTCTGCCTCCTGGGTTCAAGTGATTCTTCTGCCTCAGCCTCCCGAGTAGCTGGAATTACAGGCGCGTGCCACCATGCCCAGCTAATTTTTTGTATTTTTAGTAGCGATGGGGTTTCACCATGTTGGCCAGGCTGGTCTTGAACTCCTGACCTCATGAGCTGCCCGTCTTGGCATTCCAAAGTGCTGGGATTACAGGCGTGAGCCACCACGCCGGGCCTTAATCTTTTCTTTTCTTTTTTTTTTTTTTTGAGACAGGTTACTGGCTGTCACCCAGGCTGGACTACAGTGGCGTGATCTCGGCTTACTGCAGCCTCAACCTCCCAGGCACAAGCAATTCTCCTGTCTCAGCCCCCTGAGTAGCTAGGACCACAGGCACGCACCACTGTGCCTGGCTCATTTTTTTCATTTTTTGTAGAGATGAGGTCTCACTATGTTGTCCAGGCTGTTCTCAAACTTCTGAGCTCGAGTGATTCTCCCTCTTTGGCCTCCCAAAGGGCTGGGATTACTGGTGGGAGCCACCTCGTCCGTCCATTTTTAACCATTTTTTAAAGTTGTAAGAGAGTGGTGGCTCCCACCTGTCATCTGAATACTTTGGGAGGCCAAGGTGGGAGGATTGCTTGCATCCATGAGTTCAGACCAGCCTGGGCATCATAGTGAGACCCCATCTCTACACACAATAAAAAATCAGCCGGGCGTGCTGGCTGTGGTCCCAGCTACTCGGAGGCTGGTGGGGTCCCGCTCTCACATCAGGATCCCCACATCCATACAGCGCCCAGCAGCCTGGGGAACAATGCAGCCTCTGGGCAGGTTCCAGTGCCAGGCCCTGAATCACGGGCACCCACTCCACTGCTGGTCCCCATCACCGAGACACAATTGTGGGCCCCAATTTCAAGAAGCAACATTGGCTTCAGGGATGTGGACCCCACACCGAGGAATCTGGTCCCTGGGTTCGTCTCCCGATAAAACCTGGTAACGTGGAAAGCAGACAGGCTAGGGCAGATGCAGAGGTACCCGGCTGGCTACAGAAGTCGGGTGGAATCTAGGCAGGTGCGGTGGCTCCTGTCTGTCATTCCAGCACTTTGGGAGGCCGAGACAGGGAGATCACCTGAGTTCAGGAGTTTGAGACCAGCCTGGCCAACATGGCAAAACCTGGTCTCTACTAAAAATACAAAAATTAGCGGGGTGTGGTGGCACGTGCCTGTAATCCCAGCTACTCAGGAGACTGAGGCAGGAGAACTGCTTGAACCCGGAAGGTGGGGGTTGCAGTAAGCCAAGATGGCGCCACTGCACTCCAGCCTGGGTGAGGGAGGCAGACTCCATCTCCAAAAAAAAAAAAAAAAAAAAAAAGGCCAGGCACAGTGGCTCCCGCCTGTAATCCCAGCACTTTGAGAGGCTGAGATGGGCAAACCACATGGTCAGGAGATCCATCGAGACAATCCTGGCTAACACGGTGAAACCCCCTCTCTCCTAAAAACACAAAAAATTAGCTGGACGTGGTGGCGCGTGCCTGTAATCCCAGCTACTTGGGAGGCTGAGGCAGGAGAATCACTTGAACTCGGGAGGCGGAGGTTGCAGTGAGCCGAGATCGCACCACTGCACTCCAGCCTGGGTGACAGAGTGAGACTCCGTCTCAAAACAAACAAAAACAAACAAACAAAAAAAGTCGGGGTGGAGTCTGCTTGTGCCGGCTCGCATCCCTTTCATAAGGGACACTGAGCGGCGCTCTGGGACACCTGAGCTCAGGACGGTGAAGGCGGAGTGAGCTGGACGCGGGGCGGCGCGGAGGAAACTGCACCTGTCGCCGGCATTTGTTCCGTGGGAGAACGCAGGATCCCTCCCAGCTACCTCACCACTTGTCCCATCAGCAGGGTCCCCGGGGCCCAACTCCAGCCGGGGCCGCCAGCTGCTGGGCCGACCGCAAGCAGTCAGGGTCCTGGCCCCGGAAGGGTTCCTCTGCCACGGGCCACCAGCCCCACCGTAACCGCACGCCCTCAGCCCCAAGCCCGCGCACCAGTGGCTCCAGCTCCTTGGTGTCGATGAGGCCGAACTCCTTGACGAAATAGTAGAAGTGCTTGTAGCAGGTGTTCACGTGGGCCTCGGAGCCCATCTGCGCGATGCGGTCAAAGTGGTGGATGTAGACGTGCACGAACACGCGGAACAGCCGCGACAGGATCTTCCGCACCGTCTGCAGGAAGTTCTTGGGAAACGGAGTGCCTGCAGGGAGAGGGGTGGGACGGGTCCACGGACTCAGCCAAGTCCATGTCCAGAACCCTTTGCTCCTGGATGTGACAAGGGGCTTCCAGACAGAAATTGCTGGCAGATCGGGCGCGGTGGCTGACGCCTGTAATCCCAGCACTTTGGGAGGCCGAGGCAGGCAGATCACTTGAGGTCTGGAGTTCGAGACCAGCCTGGCCAACATGGAGAAACCCCATCTTTACTAAAAAATACAAATATTAGCCGGGTGTGGTGGCTCATGCCTGTAATCCCAGCTACTCAGGAGGCTGAGGCAGAAGAATCGCTTGAACCTGGGAGGTAGAGGTTGAAGTGAGCCGAGATCGTGCCACTGCACTCCAGCCTGGGTGACAGAGTGAGACACTGTCTCAAAAAAAAAAAGAAAAAGAAAAGAAAAGAAAGGTACGCTGTACTCTGGAGGGACGTGCCCTAATGATCATCCTCAAACCCACGTTTATGGGGTGTCCCTGAGAGCCATGCAGTGCATTACACATCGAGCTGGGCAGGGGGTCCCGCCAACGGGGTGATGATCCTGGTGGGCCCAGGGGCTCCATGGCAGTGATTCTGAAACCACTGAGAACACTGGGCCCAGCACTGGCAGGGGTGCTTGTCTCCTCTGCGAAGGACTCCAGGCCTGATGCTGATCCTGTCATTCTCTGCTTTGGGGTGAGGAGACAGGAGTCACCAGGAGTGATTCAGGATGAAGGGGGGCTACTAAGAGCAGCCCAACTTAGGAGAATACTCAGAAATGGAATCCTTTTTTTTTTTTTGAGACAGGGTCTTGCTCTGTCACCCAGGCTGGAGTACAGTGGCACGATCATAGTTTACTGCAGCCTCAACCTCCTAGCCTCAAGCGATCCTCCCACCTTAGCCTCCCGAGTAGCTGCGACCAAAGGCGTGTGCCACCATGCCTGGCTAATTTTTAAAATTTTTTGTAGAGATGGGATCTTGCTATGTTGCCCAGGCTGAGCTCAAACTCCTGGGCTCAAGCGATCCCTGGGCTCGGCCTCCCAAAGCGCTGGCATTACGGGTGTGAGCCACTGTGCTCGGCCTCCCTGACTTTTCTGGAAGGCTCTGTATCCCCGAGCCCCTGCCAGCTCTGACTCACCAACGTTGGTGGGGAAGAGGTCCTCGTTGTTGATCTGCGCCTCGATCCAGTCCATCAGCAGGTCCATGTACCTGGGCGCGGAGAGTGCCGTGGGCTTCCGGAACTTATGCTCATCCTGCCAGCGGTACTCATACTTGGGGCCCCCCGACATGACGGGGCAGGACTGCTCCGTGCAGCCGTCGCTGATGGTGCCGTAGATGAGGTTGACGCGGTTAAAGAAGTCCACCACGTGAACAGCCACCCAGTCGTTCAGGTCCTCGCCCGGGGGCAACTGCACGGCCAGCCGCAGGTCCAGCCCGGCGTTCAGCGACGCCTGCGCCTTCTTGTGCAGCTCGAAGCGCTGGGTGCCTGGCTCAAACTTGCGCTTGGGGCGGAATGTCTTGTCCTTGTTGAAGACTTGCTTCAGGAAGGGGTTGGACATCTTGGTGACGCCTGCTCTCCTGGACTTCTGTAGAGGGGTCCTGGGCCAGCTGGCTGGGGGTGCTGACCAACCCGAGAGGCCACGAAACACTCACCAAGCCCCACAGCTCTCCCGCGGACCTGAAATACACAGGGGAATCATGACCTGCTGGAGGCGACAGAATTTCCCGGAAACTCGTGCTGAGGGCACAAGCGGCAGGATTTTGTTTTGTTTTTTGAGACAGGGTCTTACTCTGTTGCCCCGGCTGGAGTACAGTGGTGCCATCACAGCTCACTGCAACCTCTGCCTCCCAGGCCCAAGCGATCCTCTCAACTTAGCCTCCTGAATAGCTGGGACTATAGGCACACACCACCACACCTGGGTAAGTTTCTTTATTTTTAGTAGAAACGAGGTCTCACTATGTTGCCCAGGATGGTCTCCAACTCCTGGGCTCACATGATCCTCTCACCTCTGCCTCCCAAAGTGCTGGGCTTACAGGTGTGAGCCACTAGTGGCAGGGTTCAAAACATCCCCTGGACTTTTGACTTTAAGGAGTTTCACCCAAAGGGGGCCACCTCCTCAGTGGACAGAAGAGAACTGCGCGTGGCGAGGCCTGACCGATTCACAGCAGAAGGTGCGCAGAGCCGGGCCCCAAGAGCCCGCAGGGGCCGCATCTTCCCCGGTGCCGATGCCTGGCCCGGACCTAGACTTGCTGCTACCCAGCACTGTGGGGCTTGAGTGTGGGGCAGGCTGAGATGCCAGTCACAGGGGACTGCATGGCCGGACTACGGCCTCCACAAAGGAAGCCACACCGCAATGCCCGCAGCCTGTGCATGGCAGCCTAGGTGGAAGAAGGTCTCAAGGGACGTCATCTTGGATTCCTTGGGTGGCCCCACAGTCAGTGACAAACATCCTCAGGAGTGAGGCAGATACGGGGGAGACGGCTGTGCGAGGATGCAGGCAGAGATGGGGGTGCTGCTTCCACAAGCGAAGGGTCGCCCAGGATGCTGGCCACCGCCAGGAGCAGAGAGAAGCCTGGCAGATGCCCCTCGGCCTCAGAGGGACCCAGCCCCGCCCACACCTTCGTCTCAGACGTGCAGCCCCAGAACTGAGAATGAGTCCCTATCGTGTCAGCATTCTCCCCATGTTGCTGTGCCCAAGTCACTGGTCACTGGGTCAGGGACCCCACGATTGGGTGACCCCTCTTCCCTTGATTTCATCCACAAAGACCCCCTTCCAGGTCGGGTCACATGGCGAGATGCCGGGTGATTCCAGGGGCAGCTGTCCACCCCAAGGCACCGTATAAATGAGGAAGCCTCCAGGAGCCGGCCCAAGTCTCATGCACGCCTGAGCGGTGACTTGTGAGACACCCACGGGTTGCTCTGGGGTGGGGACCCGGCGTCCTCCTACTCCCCTGAGAATTCTCAGGGGACAGAGACAGAGTCCATCCCGCACAGGGCGGAGGGGCGACCTGGATCACACACCGCGCGTGTGCCGGGCTCACGCTCACCACGCAGGGCCTGTCACCGCCAACACCGTTATTGTCACTGCCAGGACGCCGGCACCGTGGCAGGCCCAGAGTGGATGCAGACCCCACCCTGCTCTGCTGGGTGCACCTTCTGGACGGGCAGAGACTTGACTGTGACACTTGGGGCAAGGCCCACGCAGGGTGCTGGGCAGGGCGGGGGTCCTCACCACAGCATGAAGAGGACCCAGCAGAAGGGGGAGTCAGAGAGGGGAGAGGGAGTGAGGCCCACACATGCCCAGGCCTCCTGGGCTCCACGCAACGCTCACAAGTAATAAACACACATTCATCACGTTCTAGTACATTCCAACCCCCACCTCTTTTTTTTTTTGAGGCAGAGTCTCGCTCTGTCACCCAGGCTGGAGTGCAGTAGCGCGATCTCAGCTCACTGCAGCCTCCACCTCCCGGGTTCACGCGATTCTCCTGCCTCAGCCTCCCGAGTAGCTGGCACTACAGGCACGTGCAACCACACCCAGCTAATTTTTGTATTTTTAGTAGAGACGGGTTTTACCATGCTGGCCAGGCTGGTCTCGAATTCCTGACCTCATCTGATCCGCCCACCTTGGCCTCCAAAGTGCTGGGATTGCAAGCGAGCACCACCGCGCCCGGCTGTGTTGCTGTTGCTTGTGACGAAGTCCTGTCTTGTGTCTCATCCCTCACGATACATGACTGGGCGAGTGTTTGGGGCTGCCATCACAAATCACCACAAATTTCAGGCTGAAAACAACACCAATCTAGCACGGGGAAGCTCTCAGCTGTTGGGAATGGATCCTGCAGGGCTAAATTTAAGGTGTGGACAGGCCGGGTGCAGTGGTTCACACCTGTAAGTACTTTGAGAGGGTGAGGTAGGTAGATGGCTTGCGTCCAGGAGTTTGAGGTCAGCCTGAGCAACATGGCAAGACCTCGTCTCTACAAAAAAATTTAAAAATTAGCTGGGTGTAGTGGCGCATGCCTGTAATCCCAGAACTGAGGTGGGAGGACTGTTTGAGCCCGGGAGTTCGAGGCTGCAGTGAGCCTCGAACCCCAGCCTGGGCAACAGAGTAAGACCCTGTCTCAAAAAATAAAAAATAAGGTGTGAGCAGAGCTGGATCCTTCTGGAGGCCCCAGGGCTTAGGGTTAGGGTACCCCCCAACAGTCAACAGAACGGCCCCCACCAGAGAATGATCTGGACCCAAATGTTCACAGGGCCTGGGGGTCGGGGGGAAGAGATGCTGCATTGTTTGGAAAAAAAGCAAGTTAGAGGCCGGGCGTGGTGGCTCACGCCTGTAATCCCGGCACTTTGGGAGGCCGAGGCGGGTGGATCACCTGAGGTCGGGAATTCGAGATCAGCCTGGCCAACATGGTGAAACCCCATCTCTACTAAAAATACAAAAATTAGCCAGACATGGTGGCGGGCGCCTGTAATCCCAGCTACTCGGGAGGCTGAGGCAGGAGAATCGCTTGAACCCGGGGGACAAAGGTTGCAGTGAGCCGAGATCACACCATTGCACTCCAGCCTGGGCGACAGAGCGAGATTCTGCTTCAAAACAAAACAAAACAGGCCTGGCGCGGTGGCCCACGCCTGTAATCCCAGCACTTTGAGAGGCTGAGGCGGGCGGATCACGAGGTCAGGAGTTCAAGACCAGCCTGACCAACATGATGAAACCCTGTCTCTACTAAAAATACAAAAATTAGCCAGGCGTGATGGTGCATGCCTGAAATTCCGGCTACTTGGGAGGCTGAGGCAGGAGAATCGCTTGAACCTGGGAGGCAGAGGTTGCAGTGAGCCAAGGTCGGGCCTCTGTACTCCAGCCTGGGTGAGAGAGCAAGACTCTGTCTCAAAAACACAACACAACACAACACGGTGCCCACTGTGAACGCAGTGACGACAGAGTCTGCACCATAAGAAGGTCCAGGGTCAATGGTTTGTCACAAGGGAGCCCCTGGTGAGGACCGGCTGGGGGACACTGCTCAGGGCAGCCTGGGCACAGGTGGCAGGAGGACTTGAGTCCCACCCACGCTGCAGTGACCAGAAAGGCCTGAACTTCCCCAGCCCATCCTGGGGCCCTTAGCCACCATCGTCACTTCCTGCCACCAGGGTTAACACCCAACTAGGAACTTGAACTTTTCATCTGCCTGGGACAAAAACCCTGTCTCCACTTTACAGATGAGAAAACCAGGGCCCAGAAAACCAGGCCTCTAACCCCTGGCTCTGTGGACATCGGGGTTGGATCGTTCTCTGGGGTGGGGCCGTCAGGGGCACTGCAAGGTGCTGAGCGGCATCCCTGGCCGCCGCCCCTCCCTGCCAGGAGCTCCCCCAAGTTATGACAACCACAGATGTGCCCAGACATCACCCAGTGTCCCTTTGGGTTAAGATTAGATCGCCCTGGGTGAGATCGTGGCTCAGATGATTATGACTGATTCTACAGCAGTGTCTCACGCCACAGAGCTAGTGGGTGGATCGGCTGGGGCTCGAACCCTGGACTCTGTGGGTGGATCGGCCGGGTCTCGAACCCTGGACTCTGTGGGTGAAGCCACCGCTCTTTCTGCCCCACAACTCCCTAAATTCAGCAACTCTCAGGGATGCAGGCAGCCGTCTGATCACAAGCCTAGTGACACACGCTTCCCGGGCCAGCGCTGCTCCACCACGGGGCCCCTCCACTGCCTAGCAGAGCCACGTGGATGCTCCAAGTCCAGGGACTGCTGACCCATCTTGGTTTTGCTCGGCGGGGCACAACCCCAGGGTCACCACACAGGTCCCCCCGCTTGCTTCTCTTCCATTTTTAGAGACAGGTTCTCGCTCTGCTGCTCAGGCTAGAGTGCAGTGGCAGGATCATGGCTCACACTTCAGCCTCGACCTCCTAGCTCAAGGGATCCTCCTGCCTCAGCCTCCTGAGTAGCTGGGACCACGGGCACTCACTGCCATAATTTTTTATAATTTTTTCACCACCAGTTAATTTTTTGTTGTTGTTGTTGTATTTTTTGTAGAGACGGGAGCTCACTATGTTGCCTAGGCTGGTCTTGAACTCCTGGACTCAAGCGATCCATCCGCCTTAGCCTCTCAAGGGGCTGAGATCACTGGCGTGAGCCACTGTGCCTGGCCACCCCTGCCTGCTTCCCAAGGAAGGAGTAATCCCGCAGCCCAGCCTCAGACCCTCCCTGGGAAGCCCCTGATTCAAAGAGGCCACCTCTGTGCTTATGGTATCCCCCGGGGCCGGGGAGCCCGGGACGCATCCACGCTGTGGCTGAGCAGGTGGGAGCTGTTGGGGGGGACCTGAGGCCCTTCGCCAGTGACAGCTCAGCACCCCAGAGCCCTGCACCTGCCCCAGTGATGAGCTCTGCAAGCCACACCTGCCCTCAGGCCACACCACCTGCAGCACAAGATCAATAAATCCCCTCAGGAGAAGGGAAAATGCCGGCCACCTCCAGGCCATGGTCCGCCTGGCACTGAGCGAGATGCTCCTCCACGCTGGGAATCAATCACCTCAGTCCCCACATGCCTGTCTAGATGGGGCGAGTGCAGGCCCCACTTTACCAAAGAGGAAACCGTGCAGGCGAGCAGATCCCCATCCACCCAGCCAGGCCCACTCACCTCCCTCCTCCCCGTTTCCGCTTCACATCTGGGCCGACTCACAGCCAACTTTCCAACTCCAACAGAAATCACAGCACAGAGCAAAACCCAACCTGCCACAGCCTGGTGCTGCCGTTTGTTGATTTCAGGGCCTCCCATGCCAATTTGGGGGCTTAGCTTCCAACCGTGCCACCTGGTTGGGCAGGCGGGGCCTTCCAGCAGTGGTATTGCAGCCCTGGGCTGACTGCAGCCATGGGAGGAGACCCCCTACCTGGGCTGAGCCTCAGGGAGAAAGCGGCTGTTCCCACAGGCCCCCGCTTGTCTTTTTAAAACTTTTTGTAGAGATAGGGTCTCACTACATTGCCCAGGCTGGTCTTGAACTCCTGGTCTCAAGTGATCCTCCTACGTCAGCTTCCCAAAGTGCTGGGATTACAGGCGTGAGCCACCGTGCCTGGCTGAGGCTTATCTTTGTCTATATCCTTTTAAGCTTGTCTACCAGACTCACACCAAGACAGTTCCAGAAAACAAGACAGGGCAGCCCGAGGAGCTTGTAAACTTCCTCTTGGCATGTCTGTCTCCTTTCAGAAGGTGAGGGGTGCCAGGCGAGGTGGCTCATGCCTGTAATCCCTGCACTTTGGGAGGCCGAGGTGGGTGGATCACTTGAGGTCAGGAGTTCGAGACCAGCCTGGCCAACATGGTGAAACCCTATCTCCACTAAAAATACAAAAAACTAGCCGGGTGTGGTGGCATGTGCCTATAATCCCAGCTACTCAGGAGGCTGAGGCAGGAGAATCGCTTGAACCCAGGGAGGCGGAGGCTACAGTGAGCTGAGATCACGCCACTGCACTCCAGCCCTGGTGACAGAGTGAGACTCCGTCACAAAAAGAAAAAGGTGCAGGATTTTCAGTGGAAGTTAACATCTTCTGAAGAACCTTGTGGACTGGCAGAGTTCCCGTCACAGCAGACGGTTTTTTTTTTCCTTTTTATTTTTTTTGAGACAGGATCTTACTCTGTCGCCCAGGCTGGAGTGCAGTGGCATGATCTTGGCTCACTGCAAACTCTGCCTCCCAGGTTCAAGCAATTCTCCTGTCTCAGCCTCCTGAGTAGCTGGGACTACAGGCGCCCGCCACCACACCCAGCTAATTTTTGTACTTTTAGTAGAGATGGCGTTTCACCATGCTGGCCAGGCTGGTCTCAAACTCTTTACCTCGTGATCTGCCCGCTTTGCCCTCCCAAAGTGCTGGGATTACAGGCGTGAGCCACCGTGCCCGGCCTAGTTTTTTTTTTATTTAGAGACAGGGGTTTCACCATGTTGCCTAGGCTGCTCTCCAATTCCTGGCCTCACGCAATCCTCCCACCTCAGCCTCCCAAAGTGCTGGGATTACAGACGTGAGCCACCATGTCCGGCCCGAGCAAAGCGTTTTCTATCAGGAACAAACACAGGCTCCTTGGCGGAGGGGTGATTGGCCACAGAAAGGGGTCTTTTCCAAAGAAAGGCCGGGGTGGCCTCGGGACCCTGACTCCCGCCCTCGTTGTCCCCTGAGGCCGGGGGCAGGTTACCGTGTCTGGGGCTCCCTCCGCTCTGCTCTTCTCGGATTCCTCCAGGAACAGTGGAGAAGACAAGGCAGGAATCAGCTCTCAGAATTCCACACCAAGGCCTTCTGGGCTCCCCCGGTCTTCCCACGGACGAGACACAAGTGACCCTTGGAAACTTCTAGAGAAATGAAAGGTGAAATGACAAATTCCCCTGCTGCAACACTTTTTTTTTTTTTTTTTTTGAACAACACAGTTTCTCTAAGCAACCAACTGGTATGACCCCTCCCCCACCGAGGTGTAGCAGCTCACGGACCACAGTCACCCACTTCCTTCCGGAGGTTTCCACATCCTGCCACTGCCTCGGGGACCGCTGCCCCAGAGCACGGGAGGCGCCTGAGAGACAAGCCCTGAGTGGAGAAGTCAGTTCCATATGTTCTAGGTCAGTGCACAACACTGGCTCCCGGCCTGGCAGCCCAGCCCTCATACTTGGCTGGAAGATGCTCCCAGCCCAGAATCTGTCCTGCTAAAAAAGGCGCTGGGCGCGGTGGCTCACGCCTGTAATCCCAGCACTCTGGGAGGCCGAGGTGGGCGGATCACAAGATCAGGAGATCAAGACCATCCTGGCTAACTCGGTGAAACTCGTCTCTACTAAAAATACAAAAAAATAGCCGGGCGTAGTGGTGGGCACCTGTAGTCCCAGCTACTTGGGAGGCTGAGGCAGGAGAATGGCCTGAACCCGGGAGGCAGAGCTTGCAGTGAGCGGAGATTGTGCCACTGCACTCCAGCCTGGGCGACAGAGCAAGACTCTGTCTCAAAAAAAAAAAAAAAAAAAAAAAGGCAGCATCCCGGAGCCACCTTCCAAAATCTGAGTATTTATTTATTTTTACTTTCATTTATTTATTTTTTTGAGACGGAGTTTTGCTCTTGTTGCCCAGGCTGGAGTGCAGTGGTACGATCTCAGCTCACTACAACCTCTGTCTCCCAGGTTCAAGCGATTCTCCTGCCTCAGCCTCCCAAGTAACAGGGACTACAGGTGCCCGCTACAACGCCCGACTAATTTTGTATTTTTAGTAGAGGTGGGGTTTCGCCATGTTGGCCAGGCTGGTCTCGAACTCCTGACCTCAAGTGATCTGCCCACCTCGGCCTCCCAAAGTGCTGGGATTACAGGCGTGAACCATAACGCCCAGCCTCTGAGTGTTTATTTTTACTTTTTTATTTTTATTTTTTTGAGGTGAAGTGTTGCTCTGTCACCCAGGCTGGAGTGCAGTGGCGTGATCTCGGCTCACTGCAACCTCTGCCTCCTGGGTTCAAGCGATTCTCCTGGTCAGCCTCCTGTATAGCTGGGATTACAGACACACGCCACCATGCCTGCCTAATTTTTGTATTTTTAGGAGAAACTGTTCCACCATGTTGGCCAGGCTGGTCTCAAACTCCTGACCTCAGGTGATCTGCCCACCTCGGCCTCCCAAAGTGCTGGGATTACAGGCGTGAGCCAGCATGCCTGGCCTGAGGGTTTACTTTTAAACGTTACAACTGCTCCTGGTGCTGGTAGGCCACCCTCACTCCTGCTGGAGGATGGCTGCGTCTTCCCTGATCACCCAGGCGTGCATCCTGTCACTGTTTTGTGCTTTTGTCTGGTTTACATTTTTGTTTTTTTTAGAGACAGGGTCTTGCTCTGTTGCCCAGGCTGGAGTGCAGTAGTGCAATCACAGCTCACTGCAGCCTTGACCTCCCGGGCTCAAGTGATCCTCCCACCTCAGCCTCTTGAGTAGCTGGGACTACAGGCACACAACACCACACCTGTATAATTTTTGTATTTTTGTAGAGATGGGGTCTTGCTATGTTGTCCAGGCTGGTCTTGAGCTTCTGGAGTCAAGCGATCTTCCCACCTCAGCCACCCAAAGTGCAGGGATTACAGGTGTGAGCCACTGTGCCTACTGCATCTCTGACTTCTCTCGTGGGAAAGCAGACAGGCAGGAAGCAAGGCCTGCCCAGGCCCCTCTGGGCCAGGTGCTATCGAGGGCTTAGCATACTGTCCTAATTCTCCTGATAGTCTTTTCTTCTGTTTTTAGATTGACATATGACTCACATCCCACACGTTTTAACCTTTTCAGTTACAGTTCAGGAGTACAGTTACGTGACTCCTGGCACGTTTGGCGTTGCGCAAACACCACCTTTATCTAATTCCAGAACACTTTCCTCACCCCTAAAAGAAGCCCTGGCCAGCTGCAGTGGCTCACGCCTGTAATCCTGGCACTTTGGGAGGCCAAGGCAGGAGGACTGCTTGAGGCCAGGAGCTCAAGACCAGCCTGGGCAACATAGTGAGACCCATCTCTGTACGAAATAGTTAAGAAATTAGCCAGGCATGGTGGATGTGCCTGTATAGTCCCAGCCACTTGGAGGCTGAGGTGGGAGGATTGCTTGAGCCCAGGAGATCAAGGCTGCAGTGAGCTATGATTGTGCCACTGCACTGCAGCCTGGGGGACAAAGTAAGACCCTGTCTCAAAACAAAGCTAAGATCGTGTCACCTAGGGGACAGTTACAGTGATGAGACGTCACGGACACCTGTGGTGCCTGCTTCAGAGGACTCAGCCCAAAGTTTCAAGAGACAAGAGACCAAGTGTCAGAAAGAGGAAGCCACAGGGAGGAACGCCCCAAGCTACCATCCCAACCCAGGGCCACACTCCTTTCACGGAACTTTTTCCTAACCCAGGGCCGCAGGATCTGGGCTTGACTGGGCACCACCGACTTGGCACCGCCTTCTTGGCCTCCTGGATGGCTTCAGTCTGAACGTGGGGGCAGGAGCCATGCTCTGAGCCCGCCCAGTGGGAGCCAGGGGCCCACCCCAGTCTCGCCTCCTCGTGGCCACTGTGAAGAGCTCTCAGCCACACTCAGCTGCAGTGGGGGTCTCACCTGGGGGGCGATTCTGCACCCCGGGGACTCATACTGGGTGATGTCTGGGGGCATTTGTGGTTGTCATAACTGGAGGATGCTCCTGGCACAGAGTGGGTGGTGGCCAGGGATGCTGCCCAGTGCCCTGCAGTGCCCAGGATACCCCACCCCAGAGACTAATCAGCCTTGAATGTCCACAGTGCCGAGGGGGACAAAGCTTGTCCTGCGAGTGGCAAGGCCGGGGATCTAACTGTTCTTGTTTGCTTTATTTTATTTTTTGAGACAAAGTCTTGCTCTGTCATCCAGGCTGGAGTGCAGTGGCACAATCACAGCCCACTCCAGCCTCAACCTCCGGGGCTCAAGCAATCCTCCCACCTCAGCCTCCTGCGTAGCTGGGACTCCTGGCGTGCGTCCAGATAATTTTTCTATTTTTTTTCTTTTTTGAGATGGGGTCCCGCTGTGTTGCCCAGGTTGGAGTGCAGTGGTGCGATCTTGGCTCACTGCAACCTCCGCCTCACGGGTTCAAGGATTCTTCTGCCTCAGCCTCCTGAGTAGCTGGGACTACAGGTGCGCACCACCACACCCAGCTAATTTTTTTTGTATTTTTAGTAGAGACAGGGTTTCACCATATTGGCCAGGCTGGTCTCCAACTCCTGACCTCATGATCCGCCCGCCTCGACCTCCCAAAGTGCTGGGATTACAGGCATGAGCCACCACACCCGGCAATTTTTGTATTTTTTGTAGAGACGGGGGTCTTGCTATGTTGTCCAGGCTGGTCTTAAACTCCTGACCTCGAGCAGTCCTCCCACCTTGGCCTCCCAAAGTGCTGGGATTATAGACATGAGCCACGGAGCCTGGCTCTGTCTCCCTCTTTAATGAGTAATTTTTACAAATTGCCAACCTCACCACTAGTTAGTACACAGTGACTGTAGTTGTCAGAGGCTCAAACGTGTATCTGGCCATCCGTGTTTCTCCTGCTTTCTGGGGAGCACTTCCCTACGCACTCATAAACTAACCCTACAGGGGTTCATGCCGCAGCCCTGTGAGGCTGGCAGGGCAGGCTGAAAGCGAATGCTCTCATTCCTGCTAAGTGATGGTGGACCTTTGCTGTCATTAGTAAACAGGCCTGGCATTTGCTGGGGCCCTGGAGGACCTGCTCTCGTGAAACTCATCATTTCCTGGCTGGCGGGAGGGGCTCACCCGTGCTGCACGTCCAGAAGCTGAGGCCAGTTGCCTCGCCTGAGGGTGGGAGGTAAAAGGTACAAGTCTGGGCTTGAACTCAGATCCTTCAATTCTGAATCTGCTGCGTCTGCCACTAGGGCAGCGTTTCCACTCTCTGCACTGTGGACATCGGCGTGGGTCACTCTCTGGGGAGGGGCCATCCTGGGCACTGCAGGGTGCTGAGCAGCGTCCCTGGCCTCCACCCACTCCATGCCAGGAGCACCCCCAGTCATGAGAAAAACACAAATGTCCCAGACTTGGCCCAGTGTCCCCTGGGGGCAGAATTACCCTCAATTGACACCTCTTGGGTTAGGGGATTCCACGGACCCCCAAGAGACTCCGTGGCCCATGATCCTCTGCTCTGCTGAGGTCCCAGGAGGCTACACACATTGAAATCCACAGAGGGGGAGAGGAAGAGAATCCCAGGAGCTGAGGTCCCCTGGTTTACACCGTCTGCCATATTGGGAGTTTATTCTGGTGTCTGGTGTGAGCAGGGAGCAGACTTGATTTTTTTTTCCCAAATAACTAATGCAGTCCCCCACTTGGCATTCAGGGCTGGATCCTTCTCTGGGTGAGTTTGTCCTGGGCACTGCAGGTGCTGAGCAATGTCCCTGGCCTCCACCCACTCCATGCCAGGGGCAGCCCCTCCTCTAGTTGTGACAAACACAAATGCACCCCCCGCACTGCCCCGTATTTCCAAGTCCCCTGGGGGCAAAACTGCCCTGGGGCAAGACCTCAGCTAGATTGGCAGCTTCCCCTCTGATCTAATCTACCAGGGACTCCACTGAGGGGATTCTGGGGGCCCCGATACCCGATCCATCTTAGCCCAGCCAAGTCCGCATCCCCAGAGCTCCGCAGCTGCCAGGCGCTTCTGAAACCAGCATCTGCAGCCCGGCAGAGCTGGCATGGTGACTCAGGCTGCCTTGGTTCTCCAGGGCACGTAGGGTGCGACTCCCCACCCAGGTGTCCCAGCTCAGCCCATCCCTTTGTCCCCGGTGGGAATTGTCTGTGCTTGGAGTGGCTCACACCCCCGACCACTTCCTTTTTCTTCTCATTTGCCTCGTGGCCCAGAGGATGTTGGCGGGCTGAGTCAGGGATAGACCACCCTGCCCCCTGCCCCCACAGGCCTGAACACGGTGAAGATTCTGCCCCTCAACACCGGACGATGTCTGGGGACATCTGTGGTTGTCAGGTTTTGGGGGAACTCCTGGCATGGAGTGGGTGGAGGCCAGGAACGCTACTCAGCACCCTGCAGTGCCCAGGACACTCCACCCCAGAGAATGACTCAATACCCAGGGGGAGACCCTGGCCCCAGCCCCACACAGGAAGTAACAACTTCCTCCTTCCCTGTGGGACTTATGGTCAATGAAATACGACATTAAACATAGCAATGATACAAATACGTTATTTTTTTTTTTAAGACGGAGTCTCGCTCTGTTGCCCAGGCTGGAGTGCAGTGGCGCGATCTCGTCTCACTGCAACCTCCGCCTACTGGGTTCACGCCATTCTCCTGCCTCAGCCTCCCGAGTAGCTGGGATTACAGCTGCCTGCAACCGTGCTCAGCTAATTTTTGAATTTTTAGTAGAGACGGGGTTTCACCGTGTTAGTCAGGATGGTCTCGATCTCCTGACCTCGTGATCCGCCCACCTTGGCCTCCCAAAGTGTTGGGATTACAGGCGTGAGCCACCGCGCCCGGCCAAAATACGTGCATTATTTTAACACACTTTTAAAACTAATAAGCTGAATATAAAGCTCTGCATTAAAGCCAGAAGACCTAAGAGAAAACCCACAACCTGTGGGGAAGAAAAGGGAGGGAAACCTCCGTGAAACTGACCCCTGCAGTAAGTAACCCTACAACCAAGATTCCAGTGCCGGCTGCTGGCCAGATCAGGGGAACACGCGCTTCCTGCAGAGTCATTCCCAAGCCCATCTGGCTGGAAAGAAAAGCCTTAAACTTGAGCCAAAACCTCTCAACCCAGAGGAGACTTCTCATCCTTGTGTAACCCAGGACGGCCCGGCCACACAGTTTTAAGAAGAATGAGACACAGGCTCTGACACGGAAGGACACCCAATATCCGATAAGTGCAAAAAATAAGTTGCAAAACAGTATGGATACCCAGACCTTTTTTTCTTTTTTGGAGACCGAGTCTTGCTCTGTCACCCAGGCTGGAGTGCAGTGGCGCAATCTCGGCTCACTGCAAGCTCTGCCTCCCGGGCTCAAGCAATTCTCCTGCCTCAGCCTCCCAAGTAGCTGGGATTACAGGCGCCCGCCACTACGCCCAGCTAATTTTTGTATTTTTGGTAGAGACGGGGTTCCACCATGTTGGCCAGGCTGGTCTCAAACTCCTGACCTCAAGTGATCCACCCACCTCGGCCTCCCAAAGTGCTGGGATTACAGGCGTGAGCTACTGCGCCCAGGCTCTAAGACCTTTTTTGTTAAAGAAGGAATAAAAGCCGGGGTGCGGTGGCTCATGCCTGTAATCCCAGCACTTTGGGAGGCCAAGGCAGGTGGATCACAAGGTCAGGAGTTTGAGACTGGCCTGGCCGAGATGGTGAAACCCTGTCTCTACTAAAAATACAAAAATTAGCCAGGCGTGGTGGCGGGCGCCTGTAATCCCAGCTATTCAGGAGGCTGAGACAGGAGAATCGCTTGAACCTGGGAGGCGGAGGTTGCAGTGAGCCGAGATTGTGCCACTGCACTCCAGCCTGGGCGACGAGCAAAACTCTGTCTGTAACAGAAAAAAAAAAGAGAAAGAAAGAATAATAAATTGCTACAACCATGAAAAAAAATAAGGAACTATTGTGTCTGGAAGGAAAGGTTTTTTTTTTTTTTTTTTTTAGCTGCCTGTTTGTTTGAGATGAGGTTTCGCTCTATCCCCCAGGCTGGAGTGCAGTGGTGCAATCACGGCTCACTGCAGCCTCAACCTCCTGGGCTCAAATGACCCTCCCACCTCAGCCTCTCAAGTAGCTGGGACCACAGGTGCACGCCACCACGCCCAGCTAACTTTTGTATTTTTGGTAGAGATGGGGTCTTACTATGTTGCCCAGGCTGGTCTCAAACTCCTGGGTTCAAGCTATCCTTCTGCCTTGGCCTCCCAGAGTGCTGGGATCACAGGCATGAGCCATAGCGCCCGACCCTCTGTGAATCTTTGTGGTAAACTGACATACTTTTCCCAGTCTGGGTATATAAGGAAAAAAACAGTCATTTTGATATACTCAAAAGGAAAAGGGGGTGAGGCGCGGTGGCTTACGCCTGTAATCCCAGCACTTTGGGAGGCTGAGGCAGGCAGACTGCCTGAGCTGGGCAACATGGTGAAATCCAGTCTCTACTAAAACACCAAAAAATTAGCCGGGCGTGGTGGCGCATGCCTGTAATCCCAGCTACTCAGGAGGCTGAGGCACGAGAATCTCTTGAGCTCAGGAGGCGGAGGCTGCAGTGGGCCCTGGTTGCGCCACTGCACTCCAGCCTGGGCAAGAGAAACTCCATCTCAAAAAAAAAAAAAAAAAAAAAAAGGAAAAGGGAAGAGGCCAGGCATGGTCCCCAGAAGGTATTGTGTCAAAGTCTGAAAGAAAACCCAAGTTCAGCTTTCTTTTGTGTGCAGCCAGGCACACGCTGGACCACAGCCACCCACTGTGTGTTCCAGAGACTTCTCTGGGACTCCGAAAGGCAGAAGTGAAGGCCTCCTCCCAGAATCCCGTTTCTGAAGTCGGATTTACCTTTTCGGCTTAAGCCATTTGACCTTCTAAATGCCAGGAAAACAGGAACAGAGCTCATCGGCTGGGGAAGGTCTAAAACTCCCCACCTTAAAACCCCAAGCTCAGTCAGCTGTGTGGGGAATTTTTCTGAAACCTCCACCATCAGGTCCCTAAGGTGGGAGGATACCTCCTTGGAAGGGAATTTTTTTTTTTTTCGAGACGTTGTCTTACTCTGTTGCCCAGGCTGGAGTGCAGTGGCGTGATCTTGGCTCACTGCAAGCTCCGCCTCCCGGGTTCAAGTGATTCTCCTGCCTCAGCCTCCTGAGTAGCTGGGACTACAGGCACGCGCCAGCATGCCCGGGTAAATTTTGTATTCCTCAGCCGATGAGCTCTGTTCCTGTCTTCCTGGCATTTAGAAGGTCAAATGGCTTAAGCTGAAAAGGCAAATCCGACTTCAGAAACGGGATTCTGGGAGGAGGCCTTCACTTCTGCCTTTCGGAATCCCAGAGAAGTCTCTGGAACACACAGTGGGTGGCTGTGGTCCAGCGTGTGCCTGGCTGTGTATTTAGTAGAGATGGGGTTTTGCCATGTTGGCCAGGCTGGTCTTGAATGCCTGACCTCAGGTGATCTGCTCTCCTCGGCCTCCCAAAGTGCTGGGATTACAGGTATGAGCCACCCGCACCTGGCCAGCACATCCCAATTCGGACCAGCCACATTGCAAGGCCTCCACAGCCACAGGTAGTAAGCTCAGCTCCAGAGTTAAAAGAGAAAAATCAACCTGTGGAAAGAGAGGGAGCTGGGAAGGGTGCAGTGGAACGGGTGTTGCTTGAGGTGGGTGCCTGTGTCGTCCCTGGGGAAAGGGAAACACATCCAGGGGGTCCGGAGGACAGGGACGTGACATGCTGGGATTTCACTTTCTTAGTTCTCACTCTGTAATCGGTAGATCTCAGTGAGTTCTAATAAACAGGTCCCTGACAACTGCGGTTAAGAACCCGGCTTCTGGAAGTTCTCAGGGCTGCAACTCTGCAACTCTGACAGCCCGGGGGGCTCATCCAGCCCTCCTTCCTTCCCTATGTAAGTTCTTTTTTTTTTTTTTTTTTTTTTTGAGACAGAGTCTCACTCTGTCGCCCAGGCTGGAGTGCAGTGGTGCGATCTCGGCTCACTGCAGGCTTCGCCTCCAGGGTTCATGCCATTCTCTTGCCTCAGCCTCCCGAGTAGCTGGGACTACGGGCACCCGCCGCCACGCCCGGCTAATTTTTTTGTCTTTTTAGTAGAGACGGGGTTTCACTGTGTTAGCCAGTATGGTCTCGATCTCCTGACCTCGTGATCCACCCGCCTCAGCCTCCCAAAGTGTTGGGATCACAGGCACGAACGACTGCGCCGGGCCACCCTCTTGCACTTCTGAAACAACCAGCAAACCAACCAACCGAACAAATAAACATCCAGCTTCCCCTACATGAAAGCAAGACCAGGCCTGGAAAGGAAGTGAATCCAGGAGAACAGAAACGGAAGGTGGGTTTTGTCTCACGGGTCAAAACCTAGATCATCCCACACACGCAGGGAAATGAATGACTAGTTCCTCAAGGCATCACTGTGGGCTCTGACGGCTCCAGCCTTCAGCAGCTCCTCAGCTCTGCGTCCCAGCGCCTCTTCCGTAAAAGGGAAGCCCCTGTGACTGCGTGATGCACAAGAAGGAAGGCGGTCTTGGGACCACGGCCTAGAGGGCGGCCAGGGCACTCCCCGCTGCCTATGCAGGAGGCAACTCCCAAAGCAGAAAGCACAGATGGGATGTGAAACACGCAAAACACAATGTCAACATTTATCCAACCATCTGCTTTGAATACGGGCAGTTTATTGCATGTCAATTAAACCCGTATAAACTGTTAAGGAGAAAACGAAGAAAAAAGCAAGTGCGAAAAAAGCAGTGTGGGCCGGGCGCGGTGGCTCACGCCTGTAATCCCAGCACTTTGGGAGGCCGAGGCGGGCGGATCACCTGAGGTCAGGAGCTCAAGACCAGCCTGGCCAACATGGCGAAACTCCGTCTCTACTAAAAGTACAAAAATTAACTGGGTGTGGTGGTTGGCGCCTGTAATCCCAGCTACTCAGGAGGCTGAGGCAGGAGGATCACTTGCACCCGGGAGGCAGAGTTTGCAGTGAGCAGAGATCGCGCCACTGCTCTCCAGCCTGGGCGTGAGTGAGACTCCAAACTCCGTCTCAAAAACAAACAAACAAACAAACAAACAAACAAAAAAACAGTGTGTACAAAGACTGGAAATCTTACCCCCAGGATGAGCTGCGGCTTGGAGCACTGATTTTCTGCTCTGTGACTGCATTTTCCAATTTCCCCTCCCCTCTCAGTGACTCCTAATAAAATGCACCCTCGCTTACACTTTCTAGCCCCTCTTCGCTGCAGGGAGGAGGGGCAGCTTGTCCCTGGCGGGCGCCTCCTTCCGGGGTGGGGGGGCCCTGCCAGCGACTTTGGGGACCCCGAGCAAGAAGGGCCTATTCGAAAGGGCCCGACCGCCGCGTTGGCTTGGGGATCCTGAAGCCCTGCAGAATTTTAATCCACACCGGGAGGTGCGGGGTCCTGCGGGAGGGCAGCGGGCAGGGCCAGGAGTTCACCCCCGCAGCTCGACCCCGCACCCTGTATCCCCCTCCGGGGTAATCGGTCTCCCCGCCGCCCGCGTTCGCCCCTCCTGGGGGATCGGCCTCCTCGCCGCCTAAGTTCACCCCTCCTGAAGGATCCGGCTTCCCTGCCGCCTGAGTTCGCCCTTCCTTTTTTCTTTTTTCTTTTGTTCTTTTTTTTTTTTCCCCCGCTCTGGTTGCCCAGGCTGGAGTGCAGTGATGTGATCTCGGCTCACTGCAACCTCTGCCTCCTGGGTTCAAGTGATTCTCCTGCCTCAGCCTCCTCAGCAGCTGGGATTACAGGTGCGCGCCACCTCGTCCGGCTAATTTTGTATTTTTGGTACAGACGGGGTTTCACCATGTTGGCCAGACTGGTCTCGAACTCCCGACCTCAGGTGATCCACCCGCGTCGGCCTCCCAAAGTGCTGGGATTACAGGCGTGAGCCACCGCGCCCGGCCTCGCCCTTCCTGAAGGCTCGGCCTCCCCGTAGCCTAAGTTCGCCCGTCTGAGGGATCCAGCTTCCCCGCCGCCAGGGTTCGCCCTTCCTGAGAACTCGGTCTCCTCGCCGCCTAAGTTCACCCCTCCCGGGCACCCACCTGGCCGCCTCTGCCGCCCGCCTTCGCCCCTCCCGGACACCCACCTGATCGCCTCTGCCGCCCGCCTTCGCCCCTCCCGGTACCCAACTGGCCGCCTCGGCCGCCTCAGCCGCCGCACCGCCTCGCAGCCGCCGCGGAGGGACACGGCCGCGGGAACGCCCCACACGCATGCCCGACCGCACCCGCGGACCGGACCTACTTTCCTTAAAGGGCCCGGGGCTCCGCGCAGAAGCGGCGTGCAGGGGTCTCCCAGACTCGGTCCCGCGGGCTTTAAGGGGCCCGGGCGGCGAAGGCGCACGGAGCCAAGTTCCGGGCAGCAGCCCTGGGATGCCCTGAGCCGGGCCGGGCGGAGGTCTCCGTTGCCTAGCAACCGGGGCCGCGGCCTGTGGGCGGAGCCTGCACCGTGGCTGCGACACGGGGCGGGGCCTCAGCGGGAGCCGGCCGAGGAGCGGGCACCGGCCATTGGCACAGGCACGGGCCATTGGCGCATGCGTAGGGCGCGGCCTTGGGGCGGGGCCCACCCAGTGGCGGAGTCTTCTGAGGGGCGGGTCGTGGGCGGGGCCTGGAGGCGGAGCCGGCGCCGTCAGTAGTCGGCTGAGGACGGAGGCGGGGCTGGGCCTGGGATGGGGCGGGGCCTGCGCTGGTGGGGCGGGCGGGGGAGGAGACACGGCCAAGCGCCCGAGTGGGGGCCGTTGGTTGGTGCGCGGCTGAAGGGTGTGGCGCGAGCAGCGTCGTTGGTTGGCCGGCGGCGGGCCGGGACGGGCATGGCCCTGCTGCTGTGCCTGGTGTGCCTGACGGCGGCGCTGGCCCACGGCTGTCTGCACTGCCACAGCAACTTCTCCAAGAAGTTCTCCTTCTACCGCCACCATGTGAACTTCAAGTCCTGGTGGGTGGGCGACATCCCCGTGTCAGGGGCGCTGCTCACCGACTGGAGCGACGACACGATGAAGGAGCTGCACCTGGCCATCCCCGCCAAGATCAGTGAGTGCCGGAGCCCAGCCCAGTCCCGACTACCCCGCCAGCGAGACCCCGGGGCAGGCCGGTCACCTGGCTTCTCCTCCTGCCCGCAGCCCGGGAGAAGCTGGACCAAGTGGCGACAGCAGTGTACCAGATGATGGATCAGCTGTACCAGGGGAAGATGTACTTCCCCGGTAAGGGGCGCGAAACCGAGGCGGGGCCCCCCCACCCCGGGACACCCCGCCCACCGCCTGAGCCTGACCTTCTCCTGCCTCGACGACTCAGGGTATTTCCCCAACGAGCTGCGAAACATCTTCCGGGAGCAGGTGCACCTCATCCAGAACGCCATCATCGAAAGTGAGCAAATAAGGCTTCAGAGGAGGGAGGTGTTGCCCAGAGCCTCGGAGACCCACGGGGCTTGGCTGAGGCTGGAGTGATGTGAACAGGGCACCTGGCACCAGGCAGCTGGGGAGGAGGGCAGCTCTCCAGGGAGGGACCCAGCCTAGCACCTGAAGGATCAATGCCATCACCCCGCGGGGACCTCCCCTAAGTAGCCCCCAGAGGCGCTGGGAGTGTTGCCACCGCCCTCCCCTGAAGTTTGCTCCATCTCACGCTGGGGGTCAACCTGGGGACCCCTTCCCTCCGGGCCATGGACACACATACATGAAAACCAGGTGAGCCTGGGCCCCAGTGCCGAGGGACAGGCCCTGAGGCTTTGGAGGGTTGGGAGGAGGCAGGACTGGGGACAAGGCTGGGCCTGGTAAGATGGCGCTGTCCTGCCCTCCCACAGGCCGCATCGACTGTCAGCACCGCTGTGGTAAGCAAGGCTCCGTCCAGGCTGAGGGGCGTGCCGGTGGCAGCTCGGGGCCCTGGAGGCTGAGGGGAGCCCTGGCGGCTCTTGTACGTGTTTCAGGCATCTTCCAGTACGAGACCATCTCCTGCAACAACTGCACAGACTCGCACGTCGCCTGCTTTGGCTATAACTGCGAGTAGGGCTCAGGCATCACACCCACCCGTGCCAGGGCCCTACTGTCCCTGGGGTCCCAGGCTCTCCTTGGAGGGGGCTCCCCGCCTTCCACCTGGCTGTCATCGGGTAGGGCGGGGCCGTGGGTTCAGGGGCGCACCACTTCCAAGCCTGTGTCCCACAGGTCCTCGGCGCAGTGGAAGTCAGCTGTCCAGGGCCTCCTGAACTACATGTGAGTGGGGTCTTTGGGTGGCAGCAAGCTCACCTGGGCCTGGGAGGGAACACTGGCCACGGCCACTCGGCCTCCTGAGTCCAAACCCACTGTCTTTGTAGAAATAACTGGCACAAGTAAGTCCCCTCCTCAAACCAACACAGGCAGTGTGTGTATGTGAGCACCTCGTGGGTGAGTATGTGTGGGGCACAGGCTGGCTCCCTCAGCTCCCACGTCCTAGAGGGGCTCCCGAGGAGGTGGAACCTCAACCCAGCTCTGCGCAGGAGGCGGCTGCAGTCCTTTTCTCCCTCAAAGGTCTCCGACCCTCAGCTGGAGGCGGGCATCTTTCCTAAAGGGTCCCCATAGGGTCTGGTTCCACCCCATCCCAGGTCTGTGGTCAGAGCCTGGGAGGGTTCCCTACGATGGTTAGGGGTGCCCCATGGAGGGGCTGACTGCCCCACATTGCCTTTCAGACAGGACACGAGCATGAGGTAAGGCCGCCCTGACCTGGACTTCAGGGGGAGGGGGTAAAGGGAGAGAGGAGGGGGGCTAGGGGGTCCTCTAGATCAGTGGGGGCACTGCAGGTGGGGCTCTCCCTATACCTGGGACACCTGCTGGATGTCACCTCTGCAACCACACCCATGTGGTGGTTTCATGAACAGACCACGCTCCTCTGCCTTCTCCTGGCCTGGGACACACAGAGCCACCCCGGCCTTGTGAGTGACCCAGAGAAGGGAGGCCTCGGGAGAAGGGGTGCTCGTAAGCCAACACCAGCGTGCCGCGGCCTGCACACCCTGCTGACATCCCAGGCACGAGGGTGTCGTGGATGTGGCCACACATAGGACCACACGTCCCAGCTGGGAGGAGAGGCCTGGGGCCCCCAGGGAGGGAGGCAGGGGGTGGGGGACATGGAGAGCTGAGGCAGCCTCGTCTCCCCGCAGCCTGGTATCGCCAGCCTTAAGGTGTCTGGAGCCCCCACACTTGGCCAACCTGACCTTGGAAGATGCTGCTGAGTGTCTCAAGCAGCACTGACAGCAGCTGGGCCTGCCCCAGGGCAACGTGGGGGCGGAGACTCAGCTGGACAGCCCCTGCCTGTCACTCTGGAGCTGGGCTGCTGCTGCCTCAGGACCCCCTCTCCGACCCCGGACAGAGCTGAGCTGGCCAGGGCCAGGAGGGCGGGAGGGAGGGAATGGGGGTGGGCTGTGCGCAGCATCAGCGCCTGGGCAGGTCCGCAGAGCTGCGGGATGTGATTAAAGTCCCTGATGTTTCTCTTTGCAGAAGAGTTCTTGTTGGGGCAGGGGGAAGCCTCTAGGGGCTGGAGGTGGGCTTCTGGGGAGGCCTAAAGGTCCCAGACAGAGCAGGGCAGGTCCTGGCCTTGGGTCCACAGCCATGAGGGACCGACTTGGAGCCACACTCACAGGGCCTCAGGGAGTGTCCCCGGACTCCTAGGTGTGGGGCCGTGGCCCACCTGAGCACACATGGGTAGGCTCACACAAGCCCACAGAGCACCTGGGTTCTTCCACCCAAAGCGAGGCCACAGTGTGGTTGAGACCAGGGCCAGCACTAGTGCGTTTAGGTGTTGCAGTCACTTACGTCAGACCCGAGCCAAGGAACGCAGGAACTATGGGCTGTCTCATCTGTGGCAGTGACAGGCGTGGCATCATGGCCAGAGTCGGGGCCACGACGGCCTGACTCTGGCTGATGGGGCCTGACACACAGGAGGGAGGGAGTCGTGTTCCATCTGTGCAGGGGCGCAGCTCCAAGTCCCATTCTCACTCGGGCGACCTCAGCCCGGCAGTCTCCTTGCTTCCTCGAGCGTCCCTTTGCTCCGGCATTGGGGCGGCTGCAGGACACCAGCAAGAACATCCTCGAGCACACTGTTGCTGCCACCATGGGTCCCACACACTGTCTTGTGGCCGCCTCAGGCTCCCGTCACGGGAGGGGTGCACGGGCACATTTGCTGAGGTCAGGAACGGCGTGTGGGAAGGTCACCGAGTGCCTCCCAGGCTCCCTGGGACATGGGAGCCACACGCATGTTGGGGGAGAATGTGGTAGTGGCCACTGGGGACAGTGTCAGGAGTGATGGCGCTGGGTCCTGGCTGTGAAGGATGCTGCTTTCGAGGCCGGCAAGCGTGTTTAGGTAACGGCAAAGAGGCTCGCGGCAGGTGCTTTCAAGGCATGGTTTTCTAGAAAGGATGCTGGTGTGGGCCGGGGCTGGGGTCCCGTCTGTGCTGCTCTGAGCCCCCTGACATCCAACGCCCGCCACCACGGCCGCGTCTTGGGTTAGAGTGGACAGGGGCTTCCCTTCACTGACCCAGCGTCACCTTGCTCGAGGCTCCCGTCTTCAAGGTGTAAGGCTGGTGTAAAGGAGGCAAATTCACCCAGGGGTGGGGTGGCTGCTCTTCCGCGGTTCTCAATTCTGGATCTGCCCCTGCCCCGGGGGCTCCTGGGGAAGGGGAGGGAAAGCAGGCACCTGCTCCCCTGCACGGCCTTGGGTGGAGATGCTGGGGACCGAGGCCACCACGGGGTGGGGGACTCCCTGGCCTGTGACTGCCCGAGCCCCAGGCCTGGATGGTGCTGGGGACCGAGGCCCCCTCCCAAGGGCCCGTGAGCTGAGGTGCAGAGGCTCCAGTCCTGCAGCGCTGCATGACCCAGGCCAGGCAGAAGACCCATGTGGAAATGCCTGTTTTACAACTTTATTGGATCATCTTGACACAAAATCATGACAGCAGCGTGATATGTCTCTCTCTTTATACGGGAATGTCGATAGCAAATAAATTCTTATGTAACACATCATACAATTTCAAATCCTGGAATCACTGCATGGGATTCTGTAATGGATTACATGCTAAAGTGACAGTTTTCATCAAAAGGAGAAGATAAAATGTCATTATCTCTGAAGAAGGGTCAGTCCTGTGCCCACGCTGGCCGTGGGGAGTGAGCGGAGTCTCCTTGCCCTGCCTGGTGGGGGCTCTGCCTGTGAGGTGGCTCTCACAGGTCCTGCCCAAGGGCACTGGGCACACTCCTTCAACACAGAACAGCCCAGGTCCGCTGCTTCCAGGCCCTGCCTGGGCCTTCCTAAGGGTGCTGGGAAGGATGTGGGGAAACCTTGGTGCGCATAGTGGCAAGCAGGGGATGCGGACCACCCCAAACCCAAGCCGAGATGCACTTCTGCTGACCAGGAAGACGGGTGGCAGAGAGGCCTCAACCCACCCCGTCCACGGTTCTGACTGCAACCTCTCTTTGGCGTCCCTGGCCCCGCCCTGCCCACAGCCTGGCTGGCGCGTGGCCTGGGATCCCAAGACCCAGTCACCAGCCCACGAGCACACTGACAATGGACAACGCCTGGCAAGACCGCTTTCCCACTGTGGGTTCTGGGAGAGAAAACCTTGGCGACAGCGGCCCTTCCTTCCCCTCCCCCGGACGCAACCGTCAGGACCTTTGGGTCAAAAGCAGGCGACCCCAGAGGAGGCCACGTCAGCCCCGCCCTGTCCACCAAGTGCCCCTCACGTGGTGCCCATCAGGCCCTGGCCCAGGACAGGAGCCCCTGAAGCCACATTCAAGGACTCGGCCCCCAGCGCGGGGCAGGGCACAGACCCAGGTGGGGGAGTCCCTTGCTGGTTTGGGGGCGAGAAGGGGACTTCTTGCCAAAGAGAATGGGAAGAGTCACAGTAAAAAAGGATGGTCAGATAATTCAACGCAACAAATGACCTCGGATGTCTACACGGCGGACAACATAGAGTTAAATTAACACTCAGGCTTGGGTACAGTACACACGACTGAGGAGAGGCGAGACACGTCAGGGCTGCGGTCCCTGGGTACGTGCTCCGCGGGGTGGTGCGGGGCTCGCAGGCAGCTCTCAACACTTGGCCAGCGTCGCCTTCATCTCTTCTAACAAGTTGCTCAGTAGCGTGGAGTCACTGCACTTCCCGTCGACTGAGACAGAGTTCTCACCCTGTGTAAGGAAAAAAGATGGATATTTTAAAAGTGTGTGCAGGGGCTAGGCACGGTGGCTCAAGTCTGTGATCCCAGCATTTTGGGAGGCCAAGGTGGGTGGATCACCTGAGGTCAGGAGTTCAAAACCAGCCTGGTCAACACGGTGAAACCCTGTCTCTACTAAAAATACAAAAAATGGCCGGGTGCGGTGGCTCACGCCTGTAATCCCAGCACTTTAGGAGGCTGAGGCAGGCAGATCACCAGGTCAGGATATTGAGACCATCCTGGCTAACAGGGTGAAACCCCGTCTCTACTAAAAATATAAAAAATTAGCCAGGCAGGGTGGCGGGTGCCTGTAGTCCCAGCTACATGGGAGGCTGAGGCAGGAGAATGGCGTGAACCCGGGAGGTGGACCTTGCAGTGAGCCGAGATCGCGCCACTGCACTCCAGCCTGGGCGACACAGCGAGACTGTCTCAAAAAATAAATAAATAAATAAATAAATAAATAAATAAATAAATAAATAAATAAATAAAATAAAAATAAAAAATGTGCCGGGCATCGTGGCAGGACACCTGTAATCCCAGCTACTTGGGAGGCTGAAGCAGGAGACTCTCTTGAACCCAGGGGGTGGAGGTTGCATGTGAGTTGAGATCATTCCACCACACTCCAGCCTGGGCAACAAGAGCAAAACTCCATCTCAAAAATAAATAAATAAAAGTACATGCAGGCCAGGCCGGATGGCTCATGCCTGTGGTCCCAGCTATGCGGGAGGCTGAGGCGGGAGGGTCGCTTGAGCCCAGGAGGGTGAAGTTGCAGTGAGCCGTGTTTGCACCACTGCACACCAGCCTGGGCGATAAGAGTGAGTTCCTACCTCAAAAAAATTAAAAAACAAACAAAAAAACACTATGTGCAAATATTGCCTCGCAGCTGTATGTGTTGTCCTTTTAATTTTGCGAATTTGCTAATTATTAAAAAAAAAAATGGGAAGGGCTCGGGTGAGGGAGCGGCCCAAGGCACCTGGGTCTCCCGTGGGAGGGGCTCCAGCCTACATAGAAGTGGGAGCCGGCACCTGAGGGCCCTGAGGCAGCCAGAGGCAGCCGGGGATGAAGACCAGAATCCGAAGAGCTCCTGAGCTAGCAGACAGTTGAGCACTGTCTGTCCTTCCGCCCTCCTGCCACTGGGCCCCTGAAGTGACTGTGGAAGAAGCCAGTGGAGTGGGGTAACCAGAGCCCCCAGAGAGGGAGGTACGCGGGGAAAGCCACCCCGTGAAGCTGCTCACGATCTGCTAGGCTCACTCCATGCTGCGGATCCCGTTCCAAAGAGCAACCGAAGGCACTGAGTCCAGAGGCCGCTGCCGGGTCCCAAGGCCAGGGACAAGAGGCAGCACTGACAGGAGAGGCTGGGCAGGTGGTGGTGTGCTTGGGGCCACAGTCCCCAGAAGGCAGGGGGGACTTGCAGCTGGGACCTGACCACCCACGTCCTCCACAGGATGGAACAAGGCCCAGAGGCTCACAGCACTCCACGGAAAACGACCAGGAGAATCCACTCATACAGAGAGGCCCTCGGCAGACCCCAGTGCCAAGACCCCAGTGCCAAGGCACCAACACCAAGACACCAGTGCTAAGGCACTAATGGCAAGGCCGTCGGTAGACCCCAATGCCAAGATCACATCACCCAGATGCCAACACCAAGGCACCAATGCCAAGGCCATCAGCAGACCAAACACCAAGACACTAACACCCAGACCCTAATGCTGAAGCACCAATGCCAAGACCCCACGCTCAAGACCCCAACACCAAGGCCGTGAGCAGACACCAACACCAAGACACCAACACCCAGACCCCAACGCCGAGGCACCAACTCCAAGACGCCAACACTCAGACCCCAACGCCAAGACACCAACACTCAGACTCCAACACCGAGACACCAACGCTGAGACCGCAACACCGAGACACCAACACTGAGACTCCAACACCGAGATGCCGAAACCCAGACCCCAACACCGAGGCACCAACTCCAAGACGCCAACACCCAGACCCCAACGCCAAGACACCAACACGCAGACCCCAACACCCAGACCCCAATGCCGAGACCGCAACACTGAGACGCCAACACCCAGACCCCAACGCCAAGGCACCAACTCCAAGACGCCAACACCCAGACCCCAATGCCGAGGCACCAACTCCAAGATGCCAACACCCAGACCCCAACGCCAAGACACCAATGCCCAGACCCCAACACCAAGACACCAATGCCCAGACCCCAATGCCAAGACACCAACACCCAGACCCCAACGCCAAGACACCAATGCCAAGGCCATTGGCAGAAACCAACACGAAGACCCCAACGTGCAGACCCCAACACCAAGGCCATCAGCGTACCAAGGTGGACGGACACTAGGACTCTCTGACACAAGTTTTTTTTTTTTTTTTTTTTTTTGGAGTCTCACTCTGTTGCCCAGGCTAGAGTACAGTGGCACAATCAGGGCTCACCGTAGCCTTAAACTCCTGGGCTCAAGAGATCCTCCCACCCCAGCCTCCCAAGTAGCAGGGACTACAGGCTCACTGTACTAATTTCTTAGTACTGGCTAATTTTTTTAATTTTTTGTAGACCTGGGGTCTTGCCATGTTCCCAGGCTGATCTTGACCTCCAGGGCTCAAGCGATCCTCCTGCCTCAGCCTCCCAAGTAGCTGGGACCACAGTCACACACCACCATGCCCAGCTGGCCTAAGCTTTAAAGTAGCTGTTAGGAAAATGCTCCAACAGATCACCAGGGCATCAGCAAAGACATGGAAGATACAAGAAGGGCCCAGTGGGAATTTCAGACCTGAAAAATAAGACCCTCCCTGTGTGGGCTCAATGGCAGAACAGCTAGGACGAGGCAGACTGGTGAGCTTGGCAAGAGAGCAACAGCCATGAACCCATCTGAATACGGCCTCTGGGGCGTGAGGGGCAGCAGCCCAGGCTGGGGAGGTGTTGGGAGCAGGCCCCCCAAAATCTGGCCATAAACTGACCCCAAAACTGGCCATAAACAAAATCTCTGCAGCACTGTGACATGTTCATAATGGCCCTAACGCCCACGCTGGAAGGTTGTGGGTTGATGGGAATGAGGGCAAGGAACACCTGGCTGGCCCAGGGTGGAAAACCACTTAAAGGCATTCTTAAGCCACAAACAATAGCATGAGCGAGCTGTGTCTTCAGGGCGTGTTCCTGCTGCAGTTAACTAGCCCAACCTATTCCTTTAATTCGGCCCATCCATTCGTTTCCCGTAGGGGATACTTTTAGTTAATTTAATATCTATAGAAACAATGCTAATGACTGGCTTGCTGTTAATAAATGTGGGTAAATCTCTGTTCGGGGCTCTCAGCTCTGAAGACTGTGAGATCCCTGATTTCCCACTTCACACCTCTGTATTTCTGTGTGAGTGTCTTTAATTCCTCTAGCGCCACTGGGTTAGGGTCTCCCTGACCAAGCTGGTCTCGGCAGGGAGGAAGTGTGCAGCACCCAAAAAGCAGCAACAGATCAGCTCCAGCCGCCTCAGGCCCAGCAGAATGGCTGCCGTCAGCCGGGCGCGGGGGCTCGTGCTTCTAATACCAGCACTTTGGGAGTCTGAGGCAGGCGGATCAGGAGTTTGAGACCAGCCTGACCAACATGGTGAAACCCTGGAAACCCCGTCTCTACTAAAGAGACAAAAAGATTATCCAGGCGTGGTCGTGGGCACCTGTAATCCCAACTACTCAGGAGGCTGAGGCAGGAGAATCGCTTGAACCCGGGAGGAGCTGCAGTGAGCTGAGATCGCACCACTGCACTCCAGCCTGGGCGACAGAGCGAGACTCCATCTCAAAAAAAAAGAATGGCTGCTGTCAGCACGATGACGACAGGTGAAGAAACAGGGCCTCCTGCACGGCAGCAGGCGGGAAACAAAGTGCAGCACTGGGGAAGACAGTCTGGCAGCTCCTCAAAACCTCAAACGTGGCATTACCACAGGACCCAGCAATCACACTCCCGGGTGTATATTCAGAACAAATGGGCTCACTCCTGCAATCCCAGCACTTTGGGAGGCCGAGGCAGGCAGATCACCCGGGGTCAGGAGTTCCACATCAGTCTGGCCAACCTGGCAAAACCCCATCTCTACTAAAAATACAAAAATTAGTGGGGCGAGGTGGCATGTGCCTGTAATCCCAGCTACTCAGGAGGCTGAGGCAGAAGAACTGCTTGAACCTGGGAGGCGGAGGTTGTGGTGAGCCCTTGGCTCCACTGTACTCTAGCCTGGGTAACAGAACAAGACTCTGTTTCCAAAACAAAAAAATAAAAAAAAACAAAAGTACTGAAGGCAGGGACTCCAACAGTTATTTGTTTAACAACAATGTTGATAGCAGCACAATTCACAACAGCCAGAAGGTGGGAGCAGCGATGGATGAGTGGACACACAGCATGGTCCATCTGTACAACAAAATATGATTCTGCTGTGAAAAGGAAGGGAATCCTGACAGAGGCTGCGATGTGGATGCACCTTAAGGACATGAGGTGTAATAACAGCAGCCAGACACAGAAGGATACATTCCGTGTGGTTCCACTCCTAGGAGGTCCCTAGAGCCATCAGATTCACAAAGACACAAAGTAGAATACATGGTGCCAGGGGCTGGGGAGGCAACGGGGAGTGAGTGTTTCATGGGAGGCAGTGAATCAGGAGAAAACTGAACATTAGGAATGAAAAGAACAGCAATGACAGGCCGGACGCAGTGGCTCACACCTGTAATCCCAGCACTTTGGGAGGCCGAGGCAGACAGATCATGAGGTCAGAAGATTGAGACCATCCTGGCTAACATGGTGAAACCCTGTCTCTACTAAAAATACAAAAAATTAGCCGGATGTGGTGGCGGGCGCTTGTATTCCCAGCTACTGCGGAGGCTGAGGCAGAATGGCATGAGCCCGGGAGGCGGAGCTTGCAGTGAGCCGAGACCGCGCCACTGCAGTCCAGCCTGGGCGACAGAGTGAGACTCCATCTCAAAAAAAAAAAAACAAAGCAAGGGTATCAAAACCACAACAGACCTCTAGGAACGGAATGCTGAGTAGTGAACATGAGCCAGAAGAAGGCAGAGAAGCGAAAGAAACACGTGCAAACTGGAAATCCTCAGTATGCTCCCAGAGGGCACTGGAACCAAACCGGACATCAAGAAAAATTGGTTGTTTGAAAAGTGCAATAAAGGCCGGGCGCGGTGGCTCAAGCCTGTAATCCTAGCACTTTGGGAGGCCGAGGCGGGCAGATCATGAGGTCAGGAGATTGAGACCATCCTGGCTAACACGGTGAAACCCTGTCTCTACTAAAAATACAAAAAATTAGCCGGGCGTGGTGGCAGGTGCTTGTAGTCCCAGCTACTTGGGAGGCTGAGGCAGGAGAATGGCGTGAACCAGGGAGGCGGAGCTTGCAGTGAGCTGAGACTGCACCACTGCACTCCAGCCTGGGCGACAGAGCGAGACTCCGTCTCAAAAAAAAAAAAAAAGAAAAGTGCAATAAAATGGTTCTACCCAGGAGAACCAGGAAAAAAGAGACACAAACCGTGACCATCAGAACGGAAAGTGACCCGGTATCATCACAAGGAGCAGCGCGAATACGGCACGCACCGCCACGCGTCAACTCAGTGACTGATGATTCCTTGCGCTAATTCTTTGAAAAGTACAAAACTACCAAACTCACCCAACGTGAACGGTAACTTGGGGATTCCTACAACTGTTAAAACAAAAAACTGAGGATGTAGCTAAAAGCCTGCAGAAAAGGAACTCCCCAGGCCCGATGGTTTTCTGGTGAATTCTGTATACACATTTCTTTCTAAGGAAGAAATGCCACTTATCACACAGTCTGCCCCAAAACAGAGAGGACACACTCTACTGCACGTCTGATGAAGCCACTGGATGACAAAACCAAAGAAGCCACCAGAAAAGAAAACTAAAGACCCAACTCCTCATATACAGACACAAAAGCCCTCAACAAAATATTCACACACTGCGTTTGGCAGTCGACACACTGCGAAGACAACCACCCTGCAGTACTCAGGAGAGGGAGGCCCGGAGCGGAGGGAGCGAGGAGTCATTCTAGAAGCGCAGCAGTGAGAGGTGGAGAGTCCGACCCCAGGGCCTTGGCTGCCTTGTGCACAGGGGTGGGGTGGTGGGCAGGAGTGCAGTGGGAGTGGGGCCCCTGGAGCCATGTGTCAGCCTGCGGTGAGCAGCGCAGCAGGAGGCAGAAGCCCTGTCTTGCTGAGGGAGAGTCTGTGCTGCTGAGTGGGGCTGGCACAGGTGAGGGGCTCATGGCAGCAGTGCTGCCATCACTGTCCTCGAGCCCTCTAAGTCCCAAAGCGCGCCTCTGGGGATGAAGGCCTGGGCATGACCCCAGGAGAGGTGGCAGGAGCCAGGGTGTGCACAGCAGCCCGAGGCTCACCTTTTTCACCAGGAGGCAGACATGGTGGCCCTGGATGGAGCGGCTGTACATGGAGGCGCAGGAGTCCACTCGCTCCACAACTGCAACAGAGCGGGCAGTGTTAGGCTTCCCGGACATTGCATGGCTGCAGCCCCACCCCCAGAGCAGGGGCCACCTTCTTGGGCTGCCCTTGGCCACAGCTTCAGGAGGCCTGTAGGAGCAGGGTGTGGCCCTGAGAGGCCTGGGGTGTGGGGAATGCAGCCCCCGCACCAGCTCCCAGGCCTCGGGGCCACCAGCCACCCGGGATCCCAAAGGGTGTGAGTTTGGGTGGGAGGGCCACAGGCCCGGCTCCAATAGGAAGGGACAGCTGCCGCGTGCGTGAAAGCCCCGTGCAATCCATCAGCCCCTCACTCTCCTTACCGGAAAAATGGTGGTGAAAACAGATCTTCGCCAGAAGATTCTGGAAGGACATCCGAATGCCATCGACTTTGATTGAGCTCATGCTCAAGTCCCCAGACTCCAGCAACTTAGCAAAGGCGTCACTGTGGGAGGGACAGGGAGGCTGACTGCGGTGGGGCCGGGCTCCTCAGGCTTCCTGGCACAGAGGCCAACAAAACCTGCCACACACGCTGCGCTTGGACACCCTCCTGTGTGTCTGGGCCGGGAGGTCTTGGGGGTCCTGGAAGGTGTGGCTCATTTTCATGTGCGGAAGCCGTCACACCCAGAAACTGACAATGACTTGTCTTTAAAGAGGTCACAGAGGTGCCTGAAGCCATGGGATGGGCCCTCCTCCGACAAGGACGGATGTCCTGTAGGAAGGGACTGGGGGGATAGGCTAGGATGCAGGCACGCAGAGGACGGCCTGTGAGGACTCAGGGGGGAGGGGGTGCCGCACGCCAAGCCGTGCCGAGGAGAGGCTTCAGGAGGAGCCTGCCCTGCTGGCTCCTTGGTCTCACCCCTCCAGCCTTCAGGACTTCCAGGGGCCTGGACCTCTATGGGTGACGCTGCCTGGCCTGTGGCTTCAACTACACGGCCCCGGCTGGCGCAGACACCAGGCAGCCTGACCTGCACCAGTCACGAGCCAGCGCCTCCAAATCCGTCTCTAAAGTCCTGCCCAGAAGCCTCAGTCCCCGGGGCACAGGTGTCTGCAAGGTAGAGGGGAGGCGGAGGGGGTTCGGGGACATAGGGGAGTGGGCCTGGGCCCCACCTGTAGCAGGGAGTGGTGATCAAGTAGGAGCTGCAGCTGAAGTGCAGCCTGAAGTCCAGCTTCTCGTGGGTCGCACCCTCGTCATTCTGCGGTGGAGTGAAGGTGGTGCAGTTGAGAGGGGAGTCGGGCCCAGCTCAGGGCTCAGGGTTCCCCAGGCAGGTGGCCCACTTCCCCTAGGGACACCTGGACACCCACTGCGATGGGGCAGGAGGAGCCCCTGCCTGCAGAGTCGGCTCTTCAACGCCAAGTGGAGCCCTGCATACCTTGGCAATGAAGGACAGGGTCCCCTTGAGCTTCTGCGCCATGACGATGCTCTGGATGGTGAACACATACTGGGCTTCGTTGGAGACGCCTGGCGGGGGCGAGAGGGAGTGGGGCCTGAGACGCTGCGGGGGCTCAGCATGGGTGGGGCCTCCAGGTCTGTCCTCAGTCCCAAGTCCTCTGTGGCTGATTAGGAAACTGAGCTCAGCCCCCAAGGGAGCACCAGGGGACAGGAGCAGAAACAAGAGGCTACTGGTGTCCCTAATTTGGCCTGGACTTGGTCCCATCCCTGTTTCAGAGGGCAGACTTGGCCACTGGAACCGTGGAACCCAAGAAGGCCCCAGAATCCAGCCCCCAGCACAACCCTTGGGACTCTAGCCAGGTCCATCCGAGGCCATTGCGCTTCTCAGAGAGCTGTGGCGAGACCCCGACACTCAGGAGGTACTGAGGTGCAGCCTGGGGACAAAGGGGACATGGGGAGGAAGCAACAAGAACCAGCGGATCCGGGCAGTCACCAGCTGCCACTGCGCTCCCACAGTCCCCAGGAGAGGCCGTGAGTGGGGCAGGGCTCACCTGGGGGCAGCTGGAAAGGCACGGGGACGCCATCGTGGACGGAGGAGCCCTGCGGCCGGGCCATCCTGGCATTGAGTGAGTCCAGCACGCTGAGCTCCATGCCCTTGAGGATGCTGCTGCTCCTGTTCTCCAGCACGATGGCCACAGTGACCTGGCTGTCCTCCTGCAGACTGCCCCGGATGTCACAGGTCTGCAGGGCATGGCCAGTGTTAGCAGGGCAGGCGGGCCCGCCACAGGGAACAGGCACAGCCACCTGTCTCTTAATGACCACAGAGGCAGCAGGGGTCCCACAGGCACAGGAAGGCACGGAGAGGGGCGCCCCCTAGCCGCAGGCCAAGCGCCTCCTATGGCTGCTCTTTGAGTGCATGGCGGGGACCCTCCTGCCAGTCCAAGTCTCAGGGCATGTCTCCAACCTTACCCCAAGCCAGAGGTGCTGCCCAAGCAACGCCCCTGCCAGGAATCACAGGCCCTGGGTATACCAACATCCGGGAGCTGTGGGGGCTGCCCGGGTTCCGCGCGATCCCATGCCAAAGAGTGTGGGCTGGCCCACCCTGCCCCTGGGAGCGGCTGCCACTCACCATTTTAACATAGGAATTTTCAGCGAGGAGGGAGTAGCTGGACTCAGGCTGGAAATAGAAAAGGCGCATCAGCCTTGGGGGCCCCGAGCTCCGTCTCAGCGAAGACTCCAGTATGGCCCAATACCCCAGGTCGAATGCCACGACTCCAAGAATGCTTGGGGCAAGGGGCTTCAAAGGAGCCGATGAGGGATCCCCGGCTCCCAGGACCACACAGCCCACCACGGGGGTGCCTAATGTGGGGCTGCGGGCCAGGGCCAGTCCCCTGCCCCCGCCAGGCTCGGCTTCTTCTCGAATCTGCTCAGTTCTCTCCCGCATGGAGGCTGCAGGAGTGGGGAGCAGCGCACAGCCCGCCAGGAACCCCGGCGTGGGGCGGGGGCGCTGAAGTACCCCTCACCGGGAGCTGCTCCTCCTCTGGCGCGCCATTCTGCACCGGCTCCCCCGCTGCCTCCTCGCTGCCTGGAGGCTGCTTCTTGGACTTCTTCTTGCCTTTGGTCCGCTCCTCCTTCTCCTTCCTGTGCTTCTTCTTCTTAGGCTTGGGAGATTTCTGGAGCAAGAGGAGGGTCGGGTTCAGTGCCCAGGCTGCTCCAGCACGCCCCCATCACAGTGTGAGGTCAGGATCACAGCAGGGCTGCTCAGGCTGAGGGTCCCACGTGCCTGGGTGGGATGGCAGGACCAGCCACGCCTCAGGCCTACCGGGACAAGCTCAGGCCAGACCAGGCCCAGCGGAGGCTGGGGCCGTCTCTGGTTGGCGGCAAGCGCCAAAGCAGCCCGGGGAACAGTCCCCACCGACCAGGGAGCCATGCAGGGCAAACCAGTGAGGACACCACACTTGACGCAGCAACCCCACGCCCATGTGCACATCCGAGAGGGAACACACACATCCACGCGCACTGCGCAGATGTTCAAAGCGGCATACTGTGTCACCACAAAGGGGAAGCGGCCCAAGTGGCTATCAACAGATGAGTGGGTCAGCACAGTGTGGCCCATCCGCGGAGGAACGGGGTCAGCAGAGGGTGACCTGTCCACGCACTGGAACATGACCCGGCCACGAACAGGAACCAGGCTCTGACCCAAGCCATAGTGTGGATGCACCTTGAGGACATCACACTCAGTGAGACGCCACACACAAAAGACCACACGGTGTATGACCCCATTTCTATGAAATGTCCAGGACACACTGATCCACAGAGACAGGAAGGGGATGCGTGGGTGCCAGGGCAGGGAAGGGAGTGAGAAGTAACGGCTGGTGGGAATGGAGCTTCTTTAGGGGTCATGGAAAGTTCTGGAACTAGACAGAGGTGATGATGGTTGCACAACTCTGTGAATATACAGAAAACCACTGTATACATACTTCAAATGAATAAACTCTATGAGACTTATGAACCATGTGTGAATAAGAAGGTTATTAAAAAAACACAAGACCACAACCACAACAAAAGGCCCGTGAGAACGCCAACACAAATGCGAGAGCAGGGCTGCCCTGGGACCTGGGTGGCGGAAGCTGTGTCCGGCCCCACGTTGGGGTGCTGGGGCTCATGCAGCCCTCCACAGCCCCTGGGGGAGTGACAGCCTCACCTTGTCCTGGTCTTGCCCCTCGGCATCGTCCTCCTCGCCCTGCGCCTCCGTCTTGGCGTCCTCACACTCGTCCTTCGGGGTAGTGACAGTGTTCACACTGAGCTCCCCCTGCAGGGAGCCAGGGCTTGGGGCTCATGCTGGGCAATGAGGGGCCCCACTCCACTGCACCCCAGACAGCCTCCATGCCACACACCCTCAGCTTGCCCTCACGCCTGCCTGAGAGGCCACAGTGCCCTCCGAGTGACAGGGAGCCTGTGAGCACAGAGGCCCTGGCTGTCCTCCCCTTCCCCTGGCCCCTGCTTGGCCCACTGGGACCCGGGAGCATGACCCCGGCTCCACTCAGTGCTGGGTCCCACAGGTGCACGGTGCTGACCGCGAGAGCACAGGGCCTCAGGAGACCCAGGGCTCTTCCCTGAGTGCCAGGTATGACCTCTGCAGACACCGAGGCTGGCACTGGCCAGCTGCCAGTCTCTTACCGTGGATGGAACGGGGGCGGGGGCGGGGGCGGGGGCAGGCGGTGGGGTGGTAGACAGCCAGAAGTCCAGGTCCTCAGCCTGAAACCACAAGACAGGCTGTCAGCAAACGCAGTGCAATGGTCCTGGGAAGAGGGGACGGGGACAGCAGGGCCAAGGAGGCCCCAGCTGCCCTCGCTGCCCCCAGGGTCCTGGACTAGCTGGGCCTTGCAGAGCCTGGGAATCCAGGAGCTGAAGGCGATGTCCTCAGCCAGCCCTGCTGGCTCTGGCTTTCGCTGCCAGAAGAGGGCCGGGGACAAAGCTGTGGGTGGGTGTGTGCCATTCCAGTGGTCAGAAGGCCCGTGGCGGCCCATATGTCTTATGTCTGCCTGGGCCACCTGACGTGGGTGTGGACAGGCTCCCAGGCCCTGCAAACACATGCTCCTTTGAAAAACCCATTTCTTTCTCTATGTGAAAATCTGCACACAGACACTGCAGAAACGGTTCTGGAGCTGCACGTGAGGGTGGCATCTGGACCACGCCGAGCTCTGACCATGTCCCCCCAACACAGGTGAGGACACGGCTCACCCATGGGATCGTTGGGTCCTCCTCAGTCTCCCCTGACACAAGTGCACAGTCAGCTCCCCTCAGAAGCCACATGTCCTCACTCCGCCGGGGCACAGGGCGAGGCGGCTGGCACTCGCTGCCTGACTCAGACTCACAGCCATTTCCCCTGAGCTCACCGCTGTCTCCTGGGAGTTCACGGCAAGGGAGGGGAATGGAGAAGGCCGCCGCCCTGGGCACTAGCCTTACCTTCTTCTCCTTCTCCTTCTTCTTCTCCTTGTCTCTCTCTTTCTCTTTGTGTTTTTTCTCTTTCTTCTTGGGTTTCTTGCTCTTCTTTTCTACCATGGGAACGTCCTTCTCAGGGGATTTTGAGGTCTCGGTGTTTCTGTGTTTCTGAATAGGCAGTTTCTCGCTGTCGGCTAAGGGCCTGGAGGAGGAATGACCGGGCCACACATCAGCACCACTGGCCACCCCCCAGGACCACTCAGTACATGCCGTGTCCAAGCATGTGGCAGTGCGGGACCTGCTCCTCCAGCCCCTGGCCCCAGCCATGGCCCAACATAGATCTACTCAACACAGCCTGCTGGAGGCTCTCATGGGAGGGTCTGTGGTGGCCACACCCTGCCCTGTCAAGGCATGGAGACCTCCCGAGCACCCCAGGCCTGGAGACTTCAGAGTCCACACTTAAGAGTCTTGGTTGGGAGGGCCAGCCAAGAGCAGTGCAGTGAGGACGTGGTCTGGGGAAGGCCCGCCCGCACCCCACCCCAGCCTGCCCACCCTGCAGAGCCCGGCCCCACCCGGAAGGGAGGACGAGAGGAAGGGAAGCAACCACATGTGGCCTCCACCCTCACCCTGAACCCATATGGACTCACTTATCCAGGTCAATATCCAGAGCCCTGTAGGGGTCGTTGGGGTCTTTGTCATCCTCGTCGCTGGGCAGAGCATTCTGACAGGAAGAGAGGAACCCCATCACTGGAACCCGCCCTTGTGGCCTGGTGGAACGCCATCTATCTGGGACGCAGTGGGACTGCCCATGCGGGCCACACGCACAGGTGGGCAGTGACGTGGCTCCACCAGAGGCTCCGCTCAGCGTCTAGGCACTAAGGGCGGCTGGGCCCCAGGACGCAGCCAACCTGCATCTGCCTCTGAAGCTGCTGGCCCTGGGGCGGTGCGTCGGGACGCGTGCTCGAGGACAGAGAGGCCTCTCCTCCTATGCTCTCCGGGGTGGGGCCTCATCCCAGCCACCAACGAAGACCATGGGGAGAGGCCACTGTGCATGGCCCCAGGACACACACATGCGGAAAGATAGACATCCTAGGACCGGGACCTCCAGCGAGGCTGACCTCAGGCATCTCCTCTGTGACGATGTCCACCTGCTGGGCAGGGGCGATGTCCTCGTCGCTCTCCGTGGGCAGCGAGCTGTGGCGGCGCTTGCCCTTCTTCTCCTTCTCCTTCCTCTTTTTCCTCCTCTTGTCCTTCTCCAGCTTCTGCCGGTGCCGCCGCTCCTCCTCCAGCTTCACATACTGATCTGACATAGGCAGCCCTGCGGGCCGGCAGCGGGCAGCCACTCAGCACTGCACCCCAGGGGCTCACGGGGAGGGCGGCGGGAGCACCCCACAGCCCATGTGACAAATGCGGCGCCGACACACCGGAGACACTTGCCTGGAACCTTCAAGGGGACGGAGAGGTCAATCTGCACCACGGGAATGTGCTCCACGCCCGGGGTGTCCTGGTACCGCTGCAAAGGCAACACCCAGGCGTTACCGGTGCACCGAGGGGTGACACACGTGCAAGACAAGCCTCGGGGATGCAGGGAGCGTGACGCAGCCCCAACATCCTAAGGAGCTGGGGTCCTGCCAGAGCCCTGGGCCGCGAGGAGCGCCGTGAGCGAGCGCATCCCGAGGACCCGACTCTTTAAGACAGTGAGGACTGGAAAGCTTGTCACACGAGTGACCCCACAGGCCTATGAGCAGAGAGAAGCAAATCCTCGTTCACTTTTTTTACGTGAATATTCTGTTTTCTCCTCAAATGAGAAAAGTAATGCGGCCTCAAGCCCAGAGTGAGGCAGCAGGTTGCCCACGACCGTGGGGTCAGGGCTGGACAGCAGCTGGGCTGCCAGGCGCAGGGAACAGGGCCCCCCGGCTGGAGGCTCGAATGAATGGGGCCCACAGGGAGGCGCCTGCCCCTCAAAGGCTCCGCACAGTCACCGTGTGGCCCCAGCTCCATTCCCAGGATCTTCCTGAGGGAACCCGAAACTCAGATGGATGCCGCGGGGCTCGGGTGGTGAGGGTAGAGGGTGCTGAGGGACAGGCACCCGGGGACGGGCCTCACCTTCTGTGGCGATGGCGAGCTCTTGATGTAGAAGGGGTTGTTGGCCTGCTCCTGCTTCCGGGCCTCTCGGCGCTGTGGGACACAGCTTGGCATGAGCCCGAGAGAAGCGGGCAGGATACCCCTCTGTGGACGTCCACCACCAGCCACCCAGCTGGGGAAGGCTGGATCTCTGGCTATTTTCACTACTGAGCTTTCACTAACAGGGAAACCAAGGCCCGCAATTGGGAAGAGCACGTATTGGGGGAAAAGGAATCGCTAACGCTCTGGGAGGCAGGGACGCCCATGCCTCCACTGCCAGGGTCAGGGCCAGGACCCACAGAGGCCGCTGACCTGCCTCAAAGACTCCCTGGGACAGGAGGGAGGAGACGAGGGCTCGCCAGGGGCAGCCAGCAGCTCACCCGAGCCAGCTCTTCCTCGTCCGCCTCCGACGGCCGGTGCTTGGGACGCCGCTGCTCCTCCTCGTGGAAGACGGCCCTGGGCCTCTCGTCCTCTGACTCGCTGTCCGAGAGTGGCTCATTGATCCAGGCGTCCAGGTCCAGGCTGCACCGGACAGGAGGGCCACACAAGGCAGTGTGTGACCGAGCACGCGCCTGCAGGCGTCCGCCCTGAGCAGGCTCACCACGTGCCTGGCCATGTGATATCCCAAACAGTGGGGCCTGCCACCCACACAGGGCCAGCGAGGCAGGTGTCACTGCCCCTTAAGAGGACGCAGGGACCCAGGAAGACTGCGGCAGGGTCACAGTGGGGCCCCCACGGCAGGCTCAGGCTGCCTCAGAGCTTTATGGCAAGGGTGGGAGCAGGCCCACTTCGCAGGGAGCATCCCCAGGCAGAAGCCAGATCCCAGAACCAGTGAGAGACCTGGTGAGTCCGTGTGAGGGATATACCCGCCTGAGGCCTCCAATCAGCCCCACACCCTCCTGGCTGTTCAGGGGTGCAGGAGCCCCCGCTGTGCCACCAGGCATCAAGGGACCATGTCAGGGCCATGGTTGCAATGCCCCCACCCCCGTATCCTTACCCTTCGGGGACTGGAACCTTCTTCTGGGCCTTGGGGGCCACTGGGTTCAGCTCCCCAGCAAAGAGAGCGCTGACCTCCTCTGCCACAGGCACGTCCTTGGCCTGAAGCTTCTGGATGTGCTTGACCAGCTGCAGGATGCAGGACGCCTGTGGGGGACACAGGGGTCACTGCTGGCACCTGCCCGGAAGGCCACTCGGCCACCTTCAGGGACACGGGGTGGCTCAGCCCCTGGCACAGTGACGTGTGGGCCCCCTGGTACAGCCACATAGCCACAGAGAGCCCAGCCTTCATGCCGTCTCTGTCGTCATCATCCTCGCCAGGAAGCGGCAGAAACAGACCAGTCCGGAAACAGAACAGAGATGGGGGCACAACAGGGAGCTTTGCCCACTGCAGAAATGCCTCCCATCAGGTCAGTGCCCCGACACCAGAAGCACCACCTCCCTCGGCCCCCGCGGGCTCCCCGCCTCTGTGCTGGCTCCAACTCAGACACAGCCAGGCTGGGCAGCTCCAACAGTGACCATGGGCCAAGGATCATGGCCAGCCCCGAGCTAATGCCACCGCACAGAGGAGCCCGGGGCCACGCCCCATGCAGCCTTGAAGCTGGGTCTCCTCAGCCATTGGACAGGCTGACGCCACTCCCGACCTCTCTCACAGATGGCCAGGTGCGATGGTTCACACCCGTAATCCTTGCACTTTGGGAGGCTGTGGAGTGTGGATCACCTGACGTCAGGAGTTTGAGACCAGCCTGGCCAACAAGGTGAAACTCCGTCTTTACTAAAAATACAAAAATTAGCCGGGCGTGGTGGCGGGTACCTATAATCCCAGCTACTAGGGAGGCTGAGGCAGAAGAATCCCTTGAACCCAGGGGATGGAGGTTGTCATGAGCTGAGATCGCACCACTTGACTCCAGCCTGGGCAAAGGAGTGAAACTCCATCTCGAAAAATCAAAACAAAACAAAAAACAAGCAGAAAAACAGACACCTGGGAAGTGGTGGGCACCGCCTGGCACAGGTGTACAGTCTGCTCAACCTAGAACCCACGTCACCTGCAGCCACCAGAAAGAGCCACTGCCAGCCCCAGGCTCTCACACCTGCTGTCTCGCCGCATGTGAAACAACCTCTTCCTGTGGCCAGGAGCAGCACCCTCACATACCCAGCACCCCAGAGACCTGCCCCAGTCCTACTGACGGATCCCCCGTCCTGCTGACCTCCAGGTCCCACTGACTAACCCCAAACCCCAGCTGGCACAAGTGGCAACAAAAGAATCTCAGTGAGTGGCTTCGGAAGAGGAAGCGAGGCCCCGTCGACCTGGCCGCCACTGGACAGAAAGGCACTGAGGGCTCCCTGAGGCTCGGCCCAACACGGAGTGTTGGATCTTACCCGCTCCTGCACCTCCAGGTCTGCGCTCTGCACAAACTGGGGCAGCCGGTCCACCATGAGCTGGGTGACGGCCTGAGCGCCCTCTGCCTCCCCGGCCTGCTCCTTCTGCTGCAGGATGGAGGCGTAGAGCTTGACCACGTTCTGCACATACACGGCCTGGATGTGGCCTGGCAGCGTGGTGACTCTGGGCCGCAGCATGGCCTCCAAAGTGTGGTGTGGTTCCTGCAGATGCCTGAGGACAGGAAACACTGTGAGCCCCCAGGATGCCAATCCCGGGGCTCCTCTCTAGCAGGTGAGGACCTAGGAGGCCTGGGCTCGTCACCAACAAGGTGACTCTGGGCCCTTCCCATTCCCTGAGCGGTCTCCAGGGGCTGAGACACGAAGTAGAAGAAACCACAGGCCGTCAACAGCCCGTAACACAAACAAGGCAGAGATGTGGAGATGACAGAGCCACTGAATGGAGGAAAGGTCAGAAGAGGAAAAAGGACAACGGGGTCAACTGTGCAGCTGGCCCTGGGAGGATAAGCAGGATGGGCAGGGAACAGACGGAACCGGGAGACCCTGATCTGTGGGACAGTGGGGCCTCGGGGTGCGCCTCACTGGCGTCTGACACAATGCCTTGGGACTTGAATATGTTTCTAGTCCACTTTTTTCCCAATAAGAAAATGATAGAAGTGGCCGGGTGTGGTGGCTCACGCCTATAATCCCAGCACTCTGGGAGGCCGAGGCAGGCAGATCACGAGGTCAGGAGTTTGAGACCAGCCTGGCCAACACGGTGAAACCCCATCTCTACTAAAAATACAGAAAGTGAGGGCGGGCACGGTGGCTAACGCCTGTAATCCCAGCACTTTGGGACGCCGAGGCGGGCGGATCATGAGGTCAACAGATCGAGACCATCCTGGCTAACACGGTGAAACCCCATCTCTACTAAAAAATGCAAAAAAAATTAGCAGGGCATGGTGGCGGGCGCCTGTAGTCCCAGCTACTTGCGAGGCTGAGGCAGGAGAATGGCGTGAACCCAGGAGGCAGAGCTTGCAGTGAGCCGAGATCATGCCACTGCACTCCAGCCTGGAAAACAGATAGAGCAAGACTCTGTCTCAAAAAAAAAAAAAAAAAAAAAAAAAGAGTTAAGAGACCAGCCTGGCCAACATGGTGAAACCCCATCTCTAATAAGAATACAAAAAAATTAGCCAGGCTTGAGCTTGGTGGCAGGTGCCTGTAATCCCAGCTACTCGGGAAGCTGAAGCAGGACAATCACTTGAACCCGAGAGGCAGAAGTTGCAGTGAGCCGAGATCACGCCACTGCACTCCAGCCTGGGCAAAGCTTGGGAGATAGCCAGACTCTGTCTCGGGGCGAGGGGAAAAAAAGAAAATGACAGAAGTGCTCATCTCCAGGATGCAGGCTGGCTGGGGACCCTTTCGGGATCCCAGAAGTCAGGCGCCTTCCTGAGCCGGGGCAGGCCCAGGGTGGGGAGTGCTCGGTGTGGCCGTGATGAGCAGCAGGTAGCGGCCAGTGGTGGTGATGGGGCCGGGCCCGAGGCAGTGAGGCATAGCAGCAAATCTCATAAATTTCCAAGAGAGCCTGGAAATCCAGACTGCTGTGAGAACCGTGAGTCTCAGCAACACATTCCCACCTCCAGGCAGGCCCGGTGACCCGAGCCTGCCCAGCAGTGGCTGTGATCTGTCCTCTTGGCCAGGGAGAACCTGACATTCCTGGAGACGGCAGGGGCAGTGTCGATAAGACCCATCCCTGCGGCCCACCTGGAACCTGGCACTGAGACCCCTGTGCCTCCAGAGGGGCCTGGCGCAGGCAGGCTGGGGCTGAGCAGGTGCCTCCCTGGGCCACCTAACTGCCACACGGAGCTCCCACCTCACCTACAGCAAACAGGGCTCAGAAGGGCTGCCACGCGCCCAGCTGGAACTGAGCCTTGCAGATGCCCAGGGCCAGCCCCCCGTCTGCAGCCCACCCCATGGATCCTCCCACCTCCCAGTCCTAGTGCCCACGGGATCTACAATCTCCTGGGAACGCCACAGATGCCCGAGGGCAGAGGGCAGACAGGGCAGCACAGACTCGCCTCTGTAAAGGGGGAATGGGCCCGACCATTGTCAGGGGACAGGTGCTGGAAACCCACGGACCTGCAAGACGGCCGGGGTGGCAGGGCGATGGGAGACGGTAGGAAGGATCTGCCAGGCACATCCCTGGTCCCTACCCCTCAGAAGCTTGGAGAAGCTGCCAGCCCAGAGGCCCAGCGCCCACTCACTCTGAGAACTCCCCGCAGATCCAGGCGGCAGCGTACAGCACCTCACAGATCCCGTTCCGCTGGGTGCTGCTGGCCAGCAGGTGTGCACTGTCAAGCAGCGCAGACATCTGGGACACGGCGAACTTGCGGATGGCCTTCACGCGGATGGCCACGTCCAGCATTTGGGCGGCGATGAGGTGGCCGTGCCGTGTGCCCTCCAGCCGGGTCAGCTCCACCAGGATGCTGATGTACCTGTGGGGCAGAGGCGGTGAGTGAGCGGCGCCACGGAACCCCCGGCCACACCCCTGGGAGCGGGACGCACCACTCGAAGTTGGTGATGTACTGGTAGTTGGACTGGCTGCAGATGTCAATGATCTTGGTGAGCAGCTCGTCACGGTAGGTGGTACCCTCTGCCTTGTCTACGTGGGTCATCAGCTTCTTCACGATCTCCATCAGGTTCTTCTTGGACACCTGGGCAAAAGTGTACAGACAGTGGTGAGAGCGGACCCAGCCTGGGGCCTGCTTGGTGAGACACCCAACACCTGCTCCTGAGACAGAATCCACGGGACACAGGCGGACCCGGATTCACAGATCGATGCCAGGGAGGCAGCAGGCCCCTGCGATGTGGGCTGGGTTAGAGGCACACGACCCCAGCCAGGGAGCAACAACTGGCCCAGCACAGTCTGTTCTGCAGGCTCGGCCCCGCCCCCTCCACACAGGCCCTGGAAGACAGGCATGGACCAGGACTGGCGCCCCTCTGCCCTGCCCCACCACACTAACTGATGGCCGAGTGTGAGGGGACTCCATGCATTCCACGTGGCTCTGCACCTGACACTTAATGTCCCTTAGAGAACTAAGGCCAGGCGGGCGGGCGGCGGACAGAGGGCACGCACCATCCCATAGAGCAGGTCCAGGGCCCGCAGCCGGATGGACTCGTCCTTGTCGTCCAGGCACTGCAGGATGAGGTCCTTGTGGGACTGCACGGACTTGGGGTGGGTCTTCAGGATCTTGGACATTGCCAGCAGCCCCAGGTACTTCACTGCAGAGAGAGGCCAGAGCCGGGTCACTGGGACGGACACAGGCAGCAGGGTGCAGGCAGGGCCCACGGCTCTCCGGGCCGGGTCTCCACCTCGGGAGGCTGCCTGGCCTTGGCAACCTGGGGGTGGACAGAGCAAGTATCCCAGCTGGAGCTCACCACGAGGGATGTCGCCCTAGCAGAGCCCCCTCCCTGGGAGCCGGGGTGCAGGCTGCCCCCATGCCGGCTCCCTCAGGAAGGCCTCCCCTACCTACTACCACGTTGTAGTAGCTGCTGTCAGCTCTCCTCTTCCCACCCAGCCAGTGCAGGGAAGAACGCAGAGAAGACTTTCCAGCAGCAGCAGCAGATACCCTTGGCCCAAGGCAGGGTCTCACCTGTACCCAGTACTCACTGTTCACCCGACTAGCCCAAACCAGCTCACGGACAGCTAAGGGTGGCTGGGCATGAGGCACAGATGCCACAACCTAAGCCAGGGCCACCCCAGCCACAGGGCACACAGCTGAACCCATTCACATACTGCCATCCACGGTGGCTTTCAGGCCACGGGGCAGCACTGAGCAGAGACAGACACCGTGAGGTCCACGGAGAAAACGCAGTAGTCCCCACCTACCCGTGGGGGATGGGCCCATGACCCCAGTGGAAGGCTGACACGGCGGGCGGTACTGAGACCCGCGTGTGGGTGTTTTTCTGACACGTCTGTGCCTATGGCGAAGTTCAGTGTGTACATTAGGCACAATAAGAAATGAACAACTAATAGTAACTAAGAACAGAACAACCATAAAACACGGTCACGAAAGGTATGTGATCGCGGTCTCTCTTGCAATACCCGACTGTGGGGTGCTTGCCTATTTTTGGACTGTGTTGGGGGTACCTGAAACCTCAGATAAGGAGGGCCACTCCACTATCTGGGCTGTTGCAGGCGAGTTTGCCAACTCCTGCTCTCAACAAAAAGACCTGGCTTCAAAATGAGCATCCAAAACACCGCCCAGGTACAAGGTACCAGGCAGGGGCCGCTAATTCTGATTCCTCAACAGAGCAGCACGGGGGCACCCACATGCAGGCAGGCACCTGGGCAAGGGTGCTGTGTGCTGCTCTATCTCACAACGCAAAGCCTCACGCACCCCCGCAAAAACATGCAGAGGCTGAAATATCCAGAAATTTCGGACCAAGGTGCTCAGTGAGTGGCATCTGTCCAACTGCCAGGATCTCCCCAGTGGGGGCCTTTGCCATGCCCCCTGCATCTCCCCTGGGACTGGGGCTCAGAGGAGCTGGTGTTTCCCAGCCACCCCACGCAGATAGGTCGGGGTGCAAGGGCGCCACAGGGCACTGGCAGAGGGCTGCCTCTGAGGCAGAGTGCCATCCATCAGGGAGACAGCTGGGGTTGCAGATGCCGTGTCCACTTCCTCCTCACACTAGGAGGACCCCTAACTTCACAGAGCTGGGGACACGAAAATGACAGCACTGGGGAGGGGATGACTCACAGTTCTGATCGGAGTCCTCGATCAATATCCTTAATTTCTGAACACAAAGCTGAAAAGAAGAAAAAAACGATGCTGGTTACATCCTCTAAACCAAGGGTGAGTCCCACAGGTACCCTCCAGATTCAACCTCAACCTGGCCTAAGGCCCGGCGTCAGCCCCACCCACCAATCAAAGCCCAGGAGGGAAACAAGCATGGCCCACATGGGGCACTGGAGACAAGGGAGGCCCTGCTTCCCACGGGCGCTCTCCCCCACTCCTCAGTGCCCCATGCATCCACCCCACAGACACATGATGGGGATCCCAAGCAGGCTCGGGTAGGTAGTGCACACAGGACGCGGCTGTGCCCTCCCAAGCCGCAAGATGGCGTGGGGGGACCAGCACCTTGGTCACAGGGTGGGCAAGCTCCCGCCTGTGGAAAGGTGTGGCCTCTGCAGTGTGGGACCCCATGGGCCCCGCCCAGTGCGGGACGTACCTGGATGCTGGCGCTGTGGTTGGGCATGCCGGAGGACAGCGAGATGAGCACTGCAACAGACAGCTTGGTCAGCACCACGGTCAGCACCATGGCCAGCGCCGACACCAACTCAGGGCCACGGGGCACCAGCACCCCCTCGCCGGGAGGAGGGATGGGAGGGAGGACAGAAATGCCACTGAGTTTGGGACCACGCAGCCCAACTGTGTTTGCAAAAACCTAGCTCCATCACAGGCCTGAGGATAGGAACCTGCAGGGGCCCCCACCCTCACTGACAGGATGGCTCGGGGCCTCAGCTGTTCCTGCAAACACTGGTTCACTCGCAACCCCTGCTTCCCTCTGGAGTCTGGAATCCCGGCAGGGGCCAGGCCCCGAGGCCACAGGACCAGACCCTGTAGGAACCCAGGCGCTGGGTCTCTGGGAGCCTCCATGGTGACACTTCACAAATTATCATCACAGCTCACTGCTGGGGGATGAAGCACATCCGGCAGGACTCCACTGAAAGAAGGCTCTAGAAGCTGGGCCTGGCCTCCCCAACATCCCCGGAGCCATTCCCCTTTGCTGACTCTGCTGCGTCCTTTGGGCAGGGACAGGCAGGCAGCGAGAAGCCGACCCTCAGAGCCCCAGCTCTAACAGCTTTAAAAGAAAGACATGAAGCCAGGGGACCGCCAGGCACATGCAGGGACAGAGACTCATTTTCCACCAAGCCAGTGGCATGGAATGAAGGTGTACAGGAGACCGTGTGTGCGTGTGCGTGTGCATGTGTTTTCTTTTTAAGACATGGGTTCTTGGAAGCTAAGCTATGAGGACGCAAAAGCATAACAATGATCTAGGCCAGGCGCGGTGGCTCATGCCTGTAATCCCAGCGCTTTGGGAGGCTGAGGCGGGCAGATGACCTGAGGTCAGGAGTTCAAGACCAGCCTGACCAACATGGAGAAACTCTGTCTCTACTAAAAATACAAAAATAAGCGGGAGTGGTGGAGCATGTCTGTAACCCCAGCTACTCTGGAGGCTGAGGCAGGAGAATCGCTTGACCTGGGAGGCAGAGGTTGCGGTGAGCCAAGATTGTGCCATTGAACTCCAGCCTGGGCAACAAGAGAGAAACTCCGCGATCCCCCCCACCGCCCCAAAAAAGAATGATCTAATGGACTCCAGGGACTTGTGGGAGGTGGGGGGTGAGGGATAAGAGACTGCACATGGGGTGCAGTGTACACTGCCTGGGTGTTGGTGCACATAAATCTCAGAAATCACCGCTAAAGAACTGATCCCTGTAACCAAATACCACCAAATGCCGCCCAAAAACTACTGAAATAATAATTTTTTTAATACAAAAAATACAAATATCTGGAAATGAATAACCCTGGACAGAAAGTCTACATATAAATGTAAATACGAACGAAGAAATGTGGCAAAATAAATGCATATTCACGCATGCAAGATTTCAGAAATGTCACACCCAATCTTTGTAGGAGTGTTGTTTTTTTGTTTTGTTTTGTTTCGTTTTTTGAGAAGAAGTTTCGCTCTTGTTGCCCAGGCTGGAGTGCAACGGCACAATCTTGGCTCACTGCAACCTCTGCCTCCCTGGTTCAAGCAATTCTCCTGCTTCAGCCTCCCAAGTAGTCGGGATTACAGGCGCCCGACACCAAGCCCTGCTAATTTTTGTATTTTTTAGGTAGAGATGGGGTTTCACCATTATTGGCTAGGCTGGTCTTGAACTCCTAACCTCAGGTGATCCACCTGCCTCGGCCTCCCAAAGTGCTGGGATTACAGGCGTGAGCCACCACGCCCGGCCAGGAGTGTTATGTGAATATAAAAGTAGATGGTAATTTTTTTTTCTTAAAATAGGTGTATAGATTACCCAGGTAGGAACAAATGTATTTTAAACAGAAATGTAGGCCGGGCGCGGTGTGTAGATGTGTTAATTATCTGAATTGTGCTATTTGACAATCTAGAGGTGTACCTTAAAAATATACCATTTTTAATTGTCAACTATACCTAAGTAAAGCTAGAAAAAAAAAAACAAAAGAGATGGGGTGCTGGCTGAGTACAGTAACTCAGGCCTGTAATCCCATCACTTTGAGAGGTCAAGGCAGGAGGATGGCTTGAGCCCAGGAGTTCAAGAACAGCCTGGGCAACATAGTGAGACCTTGTCTCTACCAAAAATTCAAAAAATTACCTGGGTGGGGTGGCATGCGCCTGTAGAAGCAAGAGGACTGCTTAAGCCCGGGAGGTCAAGGCTGCAGTGAGCTATGATCGCACCACTGCACACCAGCCTCAAGAGAGACGGGGTCTCACTCTGTCTGCAGCCTGGAACTCCCGGGCTCAAGTGATGCTCTTGCCTCGGCCTCCTGAATAGCTGGGCCCTCCTACTGGTGAGAAGCTTCTGCTTTATCAACCATAAGGAAGTCCACCGCCCAATGCCCCGTGAGGCTTTGGCTGACTTGGAGCAGCTTGGCAGAGACCACTGGGGACATTGGTCGTTGGCCCTTGTGCCCTGGCCCAGCCGGAGGTGTGGATTCTGACTCTGCCTTAGAAAATATTTTTGTGGGCCAGGCGCAGTGGCTCAGGCCTGTAATCCCAGCACTTTGGGAGGCCGAGGCAGGCGGATCAAGAGGTCAGGAGTTCGAGACCAGCCTGATCAATGTAGTGAAACCCCGTGTCTACTAAAAATACAAAAATTAGCCAGGCGTGGTGGCGGGCGCCTATAGTCCCTGCTACTCGGGAGGCTGAGGTAGGAGAATGGCGTGAACCTGGGAGGCGGAGGTTGCAGTAAGCCAAGTTGCGCCACTGCCCTCCAGCCTGGGCAACAGAGTGAGACTCTGCCTCAAAAAAAAAAAAAAAAAAAGAAAGAAAAAGAAAATATTTTTGTGGTAGATGCTGCTATTTAAGTATCCACGGGTGAAACGATATGCTGTCTCAGGAGTGCTTTAAAGTCTCAGAAAAAATGCAGTGTACTGTGAGAGCGGATGGCAGGCCCTGAGCAGCAGGGGCCGGCATCTGTGGAAGCAGGTATGAGGAGGGGCTTTATCTGCAGGTGAATCTTTCATACCCAAGGGGACTCCAGAGTGGCTGGGCCACCAGGCAGCTTAAGAAGCAAACACCCAGCACCAATGGCGGTGGAAGACCAGGCAGACGCATGGCCACCTTGACAGCAGAGGCCTGGGACGGACTCCCAGCCAGCCCCAGGCCCCACCAGCCAGCTTTCCTTCTCAGTTCCAGCAGGGGTGGCGCTCGGAGACACCAGGCCTGGCGCCCTCCTGTCCCCACCTGAGACCCCAGCCTGGCAGTGCCAGCCCTTCCAGATGGGGAGAGTGCCAGTTCTCACCTGCAATCACGGTGTTCACACATTCATAGAGGAGAGACATGGCAGACGTGCTAAGGAAAGGAACACAGGGAAGCGGCATGAGGACTGGGGGCCTCGTCAGATGCAGTGACCCAGTGCCGGCAGCTCAGCTGGAGACGGCCTCCGCCCCACGGCTCAGGGAGTGTGCCCCAGGAGGGAGCCCGTGCCTTGCTCTCCAAGGCCTGTGGTGCTCGGCTGGTCATCGTCTCATCTTCCCAGAAAGGGCAGGTGAGCAATCCCTCTGCAACTGCAGGCCCGTGACAGCATCCACGCAGGGACGGACCACGCACCCCCGGCGGCCTGTGAGATGGCAATACCGCCTTCCTACTGCATCTTTTCTAGAGTTTTTTTTGTTTTGTTTTTTGTCTTTTCTGAGACGGAGTCTCGCTCTGTTGCCCAGGCCGGAGTGCAATGGCGCGGCCTCGGCTCACTGCGACCTCCGCCTCTCAGGTTCAAGCGGTTCTCCTGCCTCAGCCTCCCGTGCAGCTGGGATTGCAAGCGTGCACCACCACGCCCGGCTAATTTTTGTATTTTTTAGGTAGAGACGGGGTTTCACCATGTTGCCTAGACTGGTCTTGAACTCCTGACCTCAAGTGATCTACTCGCCTTGGCCTCCCAAAGCGCTGGGATCACAGGCGTGAGCCACAGCTCCCAGCCCTTTTCGGTGTTTCGATGTGTTCAGACACACAGATAATCACCATGGAGTCGCAGCTGCTTACAGCTTTACAGTCACCTGCAGCGTAGGGCCGCAGCCAGGAGAATGGCCACGCGCCATAGCCTAGGAGTGTGGCGAGCTTCAGCAGTGAAGTCCGTGTGCGCGTATGCTACACTGCTCACATGGTGAAATGTACTAATGACACCCTTCTGTGAATGTGTCCTTGTTGCCGACACATGACTGCATCTGAAAGTCATGGCGATGACGCCTCTGCCTGCGGCCCACTGCACCCCTCCCCTTCCCTGCAGTGGGGGCCGGGGAGGGGTCCTGGCTCCGCCTCAGCACTTGGTCTGAGGAATTAAAGTGTCCCCTTCTAGCAACCAAAGGCAGCCTGGCCTGAAAAGGCTCCTAACATAGGATCCCATTCCACAACCTTGCAGTGCGGAGACCCACAAAGAAAACCCAAACTCCCCAAACGTCTCTAAGCAGCATGGAGAAGAGTCTAGTGGCCGGGAATGCCACTACAGGCTTCCAGTCTAGGACGGACAGTCATCTTTCAGCTGCTTCACGCCCAGCCCCCGCTGTACCGCACTGGGGCCGGGCTTGCAGCCACTCCAGCACTGCACCCCGTGGAGCCGGCCCGCCCCCGCCGCTCCGACACTGCACCCCGTGGAGCCGGCCCGCCCCACAGCTCCGACACTGCACCCCGTGGAGCCGGCCCGCCCCACAGCTCCGACACTGCACCCCGTGGAGCCGGCCCGCCCCCGCCGCTCCGACACTGCACCCCGTGGAGCCGGCCCGCCCCCGCCGCTCCGACACTGCACCCCGTGGAGCCGGCCCGCCCCACAGCTCCGACACTGCACCCCGTGGAGCCGGCCCGCCCCCGCCGCTCCGACACTGCACCCCGTGGAGCCGGCCCGCCCCACAGCTCCGACACTGCACCCCGTGGAGCCGGCCCGCCCCCGCCGCTCCGACACTGCACCCCGTGGAGCCGGCCCGCCCCACAGCTCCGACACTGCACCCCGTGGAGCCGGCCCGCCCCCGCCGCTCCGACACTGCACCCCGTGGAGCCGGCCCGCCCCCGCCGCTCCAACACTGCACCCCGTGGAGCCGGCCCGCCCCCGCCGCTCCGACACTGCACCCCGTGGAGCCGGCCCGCCCCCGCCGCTCCGACACTGCACCCCGTGGAGCCGGCCCGCCCCCGCCGCTCCGACACTGCACCCCGTGGAGCCGGCCCGCCCCCACCGCGCATGGCCTGCACTCACCTGTGGATGAGATTGGTGAGGGGCTCGATCAGCTTCTTGCCCAGCCGCGGTTCCAAAGGAGTAAGAGCACCGAACTGTGGGGACAGCAGGGCCTCGGTCACCCGCAGGGAATGCCCCACGCAGGGTGAGGGACAGGGGGGGCCTCGGTCACCCGCAGGGAATGCCCCACACAGGGTGAGGGAATGCCCCACACAGGGTGAGGAGGCCACATTCCCGGGCAGTACTTGCCAGCTTGATGATCTTGATGAGGACCCAGTTGTTGGTGGAGGACGTCATCAGCTTGAAAAAGAGCGGGGCCAGGGACAGGTAGTTCTTAGGGTTGCGTCTGGCCAGCTCGCAGATGACATTGACGGCAGCCGACTGAACCCCTGGGGAACAAGGGGTTCTCATCAGCATGCCTGTCCTTCCACCTAGAAAACCATCCTACTGTCTTCCTGGCCCGCGAGGAAGTTCTGGGGCCTGCAGCAGCTCCCACTGAACATGGCCCTGGCTCTGCCACCTCCTCCTGGTGACAGGGACAGCAGCCACAGACCTGATCCTCCAGGGAACAGGCCACAGCAGCCAGCTCCTGGCGCTGAGAAAGCATTGCTCGGCACTGTTGCCAGGAACAAGTGCGCACAAGCGTCACCAAGCTCAGGACAGCCTGACAGCGGCCCTCTGAGTGGGGGTTTCAGCATGAGGGCTCCAGAAACAGCTGCCCAGCCATCGGGGCTCAGGGAGTCTTCCTGCTGCATCCATGCCCACCACTCCAGGGAGAAGCTCGCCCATCGGGTCCCGGGCTTAGGGCTGGGGTCTCCCCTCCTGCACACAGGGCCTTGGGATTCCTGTGGGCTGGCTTTGGGGTCCACCGACCCACGCCTGCCACACGCCAGAGGCTTCACACACCAGCCCAGGGAAACTCAGTGAAACTGAATCTGCAGCCGCGTCCCGCAGTCACCACACCACAAATACACAACAGCTACACTAGGTGGAGGCAGCTCCTGCACGGGACATATGGTCTAGACCATCCCCTGCCCTGTGGAAGGTGCCTCCTGGTGGCACTGGTCCTAAGAGGGGCTGGCGGGGGTGGGTACACCTCTGCTCAGGGACACGCCAGACTCACCGCCAGCTGCCACATTGGATCTTACTGCCCCCACCACCAGCACCTCCCTCCTGGCTGCCCCAGCAAGGGGAGGCCCAGCCACCTCCAACAGGCATGTTCCTGGACTGAGCCCTTCACCACTCCCCGCAGCACCCCCCAAAACACGCCACCACCTCTTCCCAGGGCACCGGCTGAGCCCCCACCCTCAACCCTGAGGCTTAACTCAAATCCACAAACCGGGGTCGGGGTCCTCCAGCTTCTCCTTCAGCCGGGGAAAGGCAGGGCGCAGCGACTCGGGGTACTTCAGGAACACCTTGTACATGATCAGCACAGCCTTCTTCCTGATGTAGGGCTTGGTGTGTGACATCTGCGGGGCAGCGGGCTTCAGCCTGCGCGGGCTTTCTGCGCCTCATCCCTGCTCTCGCCCCTCCCAGCCGCCTCCTCCACAGAGAGGAGATGCCCTCCAGCCCGACGCTGTGGCTGCACACCAGTCCCAGGGGCCACAGACCAGCATCTTGGATGGCATGGAAGCCAGCCTCACTGTGCCCCTGACTCAGGCCTGCCCTCCAGAGAGAGCCCTCTTCCCTTGTGGCCTTCCTGCCCCAGGGTCCTGGGTCCCACAGTGGGAGGAAGGCTGGAGAGGAAAGTCACACAGGGAACGAGGGTGTGCTGGGAACACAGCCTACAGCCCAGCTCCTCACGGCTGTGCCCTGCGACTGCTCAAATTCCCCAGCGGGAGCCCTCCCATCTAACAGGCCCAGGGAGTCGCCTCGAACTGCCTGGTCCTGACAGAGCCAATCCATGATGGGGCACTGACATCCACCCTCTCGTGGGCTCCCCACTGCTTTACTCTAGAGGAGCCGGCACTCTGTGAAGGCCAGCAGTCAGTGTTTTCAGCTTCATGGGCCAGACAGCCTCTGTCATGACCACACAGCTGTGCCTTCACAACCAAGGCCACCAGAGACAACACAACACGTGAAAAGAAGGTGCAGCCGGCTGGATTTGGCCCTGTGCCGCAGCCTGCTGATCCCTGATCTAGAAGCTTAGCAGGCTGTGCTGACAATCTCCAAGACCATCAGCCACGATCTAGACACCTCCAGGTGGACAGGCAGCCACATGGGGACGGCGCCCATCGGCCACGATCTAGACACCAGGTGGACAGGCAGCCACGTGGGGACAGTGCCCATCGGCCACGATCTAGACACCAGGTGGACAGGCAGCCACGCGGGGACAGCGCCCATCGGCCACGATCTAGACACCGGGTGGACAGGCAGCCACGAGGGGACAGGGCCCATCGGCCACGATCTAGACACCCGGTGGACAGGCAGCCACGAGGGGACAGGGCCCATCGGCCACGATCTAGGCACCCGGTGGACAGGCAGCCACGCGGGGACAGCGCCCATCGGCCACGATCTAGACACCAGGTGGACAGGCAGCCACGCGGGGACAGCGCCCATCGGCCACGATCTAGACACCTCCAGGCGGACAGGCAGCCACGCGGGGACTGCGCCCATCGGCCACGATCTAGACACCTCCGGGCGGACAGGCAGCCACGCGGGGACCGCGCCCATCGGCCACGATCTAGACACCTCCGGGCGGACAGGCAGCCACACGGGGACCGCGCCCATCGGCCACGATCTAGACACCTCCGGGCGGACAGGCAGCCACGCGGGGACAGCGCCCATCGGCCACGATCTAGACACCTCCGGGCGGACAGGCAGCCATGTGAGGACAGTGCTTCCCAGGGAGGAAAGCATGCCCGCTCCACACTGTTAATCTGGCTACTGTGTTTTAAATGAAAAGGAACAAAGGTCCCCTCATGAGCTGGAGGTTAAGTCAGGCACAAAACAGATGTTTCTGGGGCCAAAATTTCCAGGGGCTTCCCAGGTTTTAGACTGTCACAGCCGGGGGCGTAGCCTTTGACAAGCAGAGTGGCAAGGAGGAGTCAAGCTGTGGCCAGGGATGGAGGAAAGAGGACCACACAGAAGCCCACTGGCAGCTCAGACAGGAGCCACTGTCAGACCTCAGGGCAAACATCCCCCACCGTGCCTGGCCTGTCAGGGACACCCTGTTGCTCCTCTCGGCAAGATGATTTCAAATATCAACTTAAGACACGCAGGAACCAAAGCGGCCCAAGAGCCGCTCCACCAGCTGACAGTGATTTGGTTCCCATTTCAGGCAGGCCACGCACCGGGGACCCCGGCCGGTTTCCGCATAGCCAAGCTTCCCAGGCATGCCACTTTGACCGAGTTTTTCCCAGAGCAGACATGCAGGGGTGGTGGGCAGGCTTACAAACTCACCAGTGTCATGATGTCATTTGCCAGGTCTCTGGCAAGGTCTGGGGTGACGAAGCAGGACAGACCCGTCAGTGCAACACCTGTGTCGTACTGGCTGGGGCTGCTCAAGTCCTGGAAAGTGAGAGAAAGGGGCCGTGGCCAGGATGCCCTGGGTGGCACATCCGACGCCTGGGTCACCAGGAGCAGCAGGAGCGAAATTCTCCCAGGATGCCCCAGGACTCGGCATATCCTCTTGGGGTGCAGCTGTGCCTTAGCACCCCTGCTGCTGAGGGGTCTGAAGCTGAACTCGGACAAGGAGGAAGAATTTACAGCCCATGGGAGACTCTGTCACCAAGAGAGGAGCCGGGATGGGCGCGGCTGGGAACAGTGAGGTCTGAGGCACAGGCTGAAACGCTCTGTGGGTGGGAATCAACCAAGTTTCTTGGCTCCTCCTGGATGGGCAGGGCTGGGGACAGAGAGGTCTGAGGCACAGGCTGAAGCACTCTGCGTGGGAATCAACCGAGTTTCCTGGCACCTCCTGGGACAGAGGCGCCTGTCACAAGTCACTCCAAGTGTGGGGAAGGGCCACCCCGGGTGCAAGAGCAGAGCGTTCCAGGCCTAAAACCAGGGCTTCCCTCACGTATCACTGGCAGCTCCCAGCTTGCAGAGACGGCGGTGCTGGGCCTGGCACAGAATGGGCAGGAAAGCCCCACAGGATGGGGTCCTCAGAGACCCTGCTCCCATTTGGGGTCCCTTTCCGCAACAACTGAGGGGAAGGGCCCAGGAACAGCTCCCATGGGTCCCTCTCAAAGTTCAGCTGGCAGCTGCCCACGCCCTCCCATGAACTCTGCCCCAGCTCTTCACTCCCGCAGCTCTCACTAAAACACGGAATCTGCCCCAGCTCCTGTGTCAGCACTTGGGGAAATAAATCCTCTCTTGATATCACAAACCTGCTCTTGGGGAGAGATCTTCTTAAGGAAACTCCCGAGACTTCATCTATATATGCATCTACCAAGATCCGTTTTCAGGGTTAATATTCTGTGGTCAAAATATGACAAGGCCAGCTTTTTTTTTTTTGAGACGAGTCTCACTCTGTCCCCCAGGCTGGAATGCAGTGGTGCGATCTCAGCTCACTGCAACCTCCACCTCCCAAGTTCAAGCAATTCTCTGCCTCAGCCTCCCAAGTAGCTGGGATTACAGGTGCGTGTCACCACGCCTGGCTAATTTTTGTATTTTTAGTACAGATGGGGTTTTACCATGTTGGCCAGGCTGGTCTTGAACTCTTGATCTCATGATCCGCCCGCCATGGCCTCCCAAAGTGCTGGGATTACAGGCGTGAGCCACAGTGCGGGGCCAACTGGTTCTTTTAAAAGGACACAGTGGCCGTGCGCGGTGGCTCACGCCTGTAATCCCAGCACTTTGGGAGTCTGAGGCGGGAAGATCACGAGGTCAGGAGATCGAGACCATCCTGACCAACATGGTGAAACCCTGTCTCTCCTAAAATAAAAAAAATTAGTCGGACACGGTGGTGCACACTTGTAGTTCCAGCTACTTGAGAGGCTGAGGCAGGAGAATTGCTTGAACCCAGGAGGCAGAGGTTGCAGTGAGCCGACATTGTACTCCAGATGGCGACAGAGTGAGACTCTGTCTCAAAAAATAAATAAAATAAAATAAAATAACACAGTGAGCTGAAGTGGTGGCACACACTTCTAATCCTACCACTTTGGAAGGCCGAAGCAGGAGGATCACTTGAGCCCAGGGGTTTGAGACCAGCCTAGGCAACGCAGTGAAACCCTCCCTGCCTCTACAAAAAATACAAAAAAAATCAGCCAGGTGTGGTGGTGTATGCCTGCAGTCCCAGCTACTCAGGAGGCTAAGGTGGGGAGATCGCTTGAGCCTAGGAGGTCGAGGCTGCAGTGAGCTGCAATTGCGCTACTGCTCTCCAGCCTGGGTGACAGAGCAAAACCCTGTCTCAAAAAAAAAAAAGTAAGAAAATAATTTTTTTTAGGGCTGGGCGTGGTGGCTCACGCCTTTAATTCCAGCACTTTGGGAGGCCGAGGCAGGCAGATCATGAGGTCAGGAGTTCAAGACTAGCCTGACCAACATGGTGAAATCCTGTCTGTACTAAAAATACCCTAAAAAAAAAAAAGAAAGAAAATAATTTTTTTTTTTTGAGACGGAGTCTCGCTCTGTCACCCAGGCTGGAGTGCAATGGCACAATCTTGGCTCACCACAACCTCCGCCTCCTGGGTTCAAACAATTCTCCTGCCTCAGCCTCCTGAGTAGCTGGGATTATAGGCACGCACCACCACGCCCGGCTAATTTTGTATTTTTAGTACAGACGGGGTTTCACCATGTTGGTCAGGCTAGTCTCAAACTCCCAACCTCAGAAGATCCACCCGCCTCAGCTTCCCAAAATGCTGGGATTACAGGCATGAGCCACCGCACCCGGCCCAGGAAATAATTTTTTTTATTAAAAAACAAGCCAGGCGCAGTAATCCCAGCACTTGGTGAGGCTGAGGTGGGCAGATCACCTGAGGTCAGGAGTTCCAGACCAGCCTGGCCAACATGGTGAAACCCTGTCTCTATTAAAAACACAAAAAAATTAGCCGGGTGTGGTGGCACATGCGTGTACTCCCAGCTACTTGGGAGGCTGACGCAGGAGAATTGCTTGAACCTGGGAGGCAGAGGTTGCAGTGAGCCAAGATCACGCCATTGCACTCCAGCCTGGACGACAGAGCAAGACTCCATCTCAAAAACAAAATAAAACAAAACAAAACAAAAAAATAAAATAAAAAACAAAATGAGGCCAGGCACAGTGGCTCATGCCTGTAATCCCAGCACTTTGGGAAGCCAAGGCGGGCAGATCACTTGAGGCTGGGAGTTCAAGACCAGCCTGGCCAACATGGTGAAACCCCATCTCTACTAAAAATACAAAAATTAGCCAGGCATGGTGGCGGGCACCTGTAATTCCAGCTACTCGGGAGGCTGAGGCAGTAGAATCGCTTGAACCCAGGAGGCAGAGGTTGCGGTGAGCCGACATCACGCCACTGCTCTCCAGCCTGGGCAATAGAGTGAGACTCAGTCTCAAAACAAAACAAAACAAAACAAACAAATGACACACTGGACTGCAAACATCGGAAGCACGTGATCCTACACAGAGGAAGCAGGTGCTAACTGGCTGAGCCAGGGCCCACCTGCGTCCGAGGCCAGGCCAGGGGCAGGCACCAGGTCAGAGCCGCGCCCGACACACAGGGTCTAACAGCCCTGAGCACCTCGCAAGGCAGCGGCGGATCTAAGTCCCCAGTGAGGTGCTCACACAGGGACCGGCCGTGCCGAGCCCATCAGCAAGAGACACAAAGCTGGGCACGACACGTGGCCCTCCTTGCTGGGCAGCTGCCACCTGGGTACCTAGGGCGGCTGGAGCCCTCCACCCTCCTCCCTCCCAGTTACCACCTGCAAAACCCGCCCCCATCCTCCTCTTAGCGGGCCAGACTCCCGCCCAGGCCCCACCTGCTACACGGCCACGACCCAAGGAGACTCCCGCCCAGGCCCCTCCCGCTACACGGCCACGACCCAAGAAGACTCCCGCCCAGGCCCCTCCCGCTACACGGCCACGACCCAAGAAGACTCCCGCCCAGGTCCCTCCTGCTACATGGCCATGACCCAAGAGCCCCACGGCATCTAGGGCGCATGTCGCCCGCGGCCCAGGCGGGACGCCCAGCTCTATAACCTTGCCCACAACGGTGAGCCCAGCAGAGCCAACAGTCCCAGGACCTGCACCACACCCTGTGCCGGACATCAGTCACAGCCAGTGCCCCCACACCTGTCCCTCGGCGTGCTGGGAGCCCCCAGCCCAGGACTTCAGGTCACACTGTGGGGTCGACAACACAGCCACAGGGTCCCGCCCTTGCACATGGACATTGGAGAGCCGGGACCGTGGCCTCTGACGTGCGGTCTGGGGCCAGAAAGGGGCCAGCTGCCCATGAAAAGGGTGGGCCTGATTCTCCAACACCCCAACCCCTCTATTGAGAGGCGGGAACCAAAGGTGTTCAGAGCTCGGGGCCAATAAGGACCTTTACTACTACCCAGTGGCCTCCGTGACCATTTCAAAATGCAACATTTACATGGTGCTGAAAAATGCACCTCGTGGGACTCAAAAAAAGCCGCGGGCAGGAAGCACCCCACATGGGCAGGGAAGGGCCCACAGCTACACCAGGCACTACCATGAGGGGAGAAGGGAAGAAAGTGGGTGACCGCAGAGGCCAGCTGCGAGTGGACCCTGGAGCCCCATTCGCCGGCCCCTCCAGGTGGTGAGCGAGGGAAGGGGGCACCGCACCACTCAGCATCCCTCCACCTCACAAGCCCACCAGGGAGCGCAGGCTCAGACCCGCCGGGCCTCCTCTCTGCGTCTGCTGGGAGGACTGTGGCTCCGGAAGCCCCGCTCGCACTCAAGGGGGCCACAGGCACCTGCTGCCCACAGGAAGACGCGTGTGGGAACCAGACGCTCCGGCAAGGGCAGACTGCACTCAGCACAGAGCGGCCCCGGCCCGGGAACACCCACCTTACGGATCTGATTGGTGGTCAGCATGATGACGTCGGTGCCTTCGTGAAAGCTCTGGGAAGCAGCGAGGTAGCCAATTCGCTGGGAGAGAACAGATGAGCACATCAGAGGCAGGACACCCGCAGCCTCCAGGAGCTCCAGCTCTGCTCTGCAGCGACCACACCAGGCAGCGCCAGCCCAGAAGCAACACCCTGCAGCCTGGACGCTGGGGCCACCAGCAAGTGGGAACCAACCCGCATTTGAAAACCAACGCAGATTTCTTCAAAATTCCATGAGGAAATTCCCAGTTTGGAATATGTATGTGTTTTTTTTTTTTTCTTGGAGACAAAGTCTCGCTCTGTTGCCCAGGCTGGAGTGCAATGGCACGATCTCAGCTCACTGCAACTTCCACCTCCCGGGTTCAAGCAATTCTCCTGTCTGAGCCTCCCAAGTAGCTAGGATTATAGCCGCGTGCGCCACCACGCCCCACTAAATTTTGTATTTTTAGTAGAGATGGGGTTTCACCATGTTGGCCAGCCTGGTCTCCAACTCCCAACCTCAGGTGATCCGCCTGTCTCAGCCTCCCAAAGTGCTGGGATTACAGGCCACTGAATCCACCTTGGGTAACAGAGCTAGACTCTGTCTCAAGAATAATAATAATAAAAATTGGCCAGTCACGGTGCCTCACACCTGTAATCACTCCCCACCCCACCAGCCTTGCCGTCCCAGAACCTCACCTTGAAGGTGAACTTGGAGGCACTCATCACTTCTATGATGTTGAAGGCGGCCCAGCTGATGTCGTATCCCAACATCTGTAACTGTTAAGGGACGCACAGGAAATTGCACTCACAAGCCAAAGCAGAGAGAAAGGTTTTGAGCCGCGGCATCAAGCGCTCCCTCCCAGCACACGGTGCTGGAACAGACTCATTCACTGTCAGCAAACCACCCAATACGTACCCCTGGGGCCTTTAATTTCTTCTTTTGACAAACGACTCTGACATTTAAAAGCTACAGGGACAAGTTAGTAACAGGCACTAAAAAGAGACTCAATGTCTGCAATTGGTTAACTGGCGCTTACGGGTACTGGCTACATTCCCCTACCAACCCTTGGCGAATCGGCTCCTTGAAATAGTTACGAGACGAGCAGCAGCATGGGGGACCCTGGACGAGCCCTTTGTCTCGTCCTCCCACGGGGAAACGGGCCAGAGGGAGGAGTGCCTGTCCCCAGCTCACGCACTGACCTGGAACTGCAGCCAGGAAAGGAGCCAGCCCTGGAAGGTCCAGGGCCCTAGCTCTCCCCACTAGGTGTCCTGGCCCAGCCTGTGGTGGGAGGGAGCCGAGACTGCAGGCGAGGGGCGTCCCCAGTGAATCCCACCCAGAAGAGGACCCCATGGGGCTCCCTCAGGGCTACCACCAGGGCCTGTGGGTTGCCACCCTCTGGCCTGTTTGCCAGCCATGTGACCAACATGGCTTTCTGCTCCAGGACTCTGGGTTGGCCCTGAGTGGCTCACCGACAGCAGGTGGTACCAATGACTGACAGGTGGACAGACAGGCTGATGAATAGGGGACACGTGCTGAGTGGAGAAGCAGCCCGACAGTGCTGGGCGCTGGCCACTGGGAGGCACTTACATACGTCAGCTTGCAGACCGCGTTCGCCTTCACCGCTATGTTGTCCTGCTTCAGCTCCTGCTTGATCTCATCAATGCACTGAGATATGTATTTTGCCTATAATGGGGGATAAACACAGAGATTACAAACATCCAGCTAAGAGGGCTGGAATAATGATTTCGGGCCAGGCACAGTGGCTCACGCCTGTAATCCCAGCACTTTGGGAGGCCGAGGCAGGCAGATCACGAGGTCGGGAGTTTGAGATCATCCTGGCCAACATGGTGAAACCCCGCCTCTACTAAAAATACAAAAATTAGCTGGGCGTGGTGGCGGGCGCCTGTAATCCCAGCTACTCAGGAGGCTAAGGCAGGAGAATCGTTTAAACCTGGGAGGCAGAGGTTGCACTGAGCCAAGATGACACCACTGCATTCCAGCCCAGGTGAGAGAGCCAGACTCCGTCTCAAAAAAAAAAAAAAAAAAAAAAAAAAAGGAAAGAAGCCAGGCATAAGAGAGAGCACACCGTGTAATCCATTTCTATGAAATGTCCAGATCAGGCCAATCCAGAGACAGGAAGGGGATTCGTGGGTGCCACAGGCTGGGAGAGGAGACGGGAGGGTTCGCTTTCTTTCTAGGCTGATAATGTTCTGGAACTTGGCCGTGGTGGTGGCGCACAGCATTCCGCTATACACGCCCCACCGTTTGCCAACTCCTTGGTGGACGAACATGTGGGGCCTTCCCACCTTCAGCCAGGGTGACTCTCACTGCTGTGAAAACCACACTCAGGTTTTGAGGGGATGTGTCTGGTGTGTCTGGATCCCCCTGGGCCTGCTCACTAACTGCGCGTGTCTCCAGAACACCATCAAGGACAATTCTGACCCAAGCGAACTCAGGCACGAGGTCCAGAATGGCAGACAAGGTTCCCAAGGGACAGGCAGACGTGAGGCGCCCAACATAGCACCAGAGACAAGCCGAGTCGATGCCATGCTGGCCCCAGAGACAACCCACCCCACCTGGAAGGAGAGGAGGGAGCAGCAGAGGCTTGGAGTGCCTCCATCAGTGAACGATGAGGCACCCACAAGCCCTCCTAATGCACAGGAGCCCCTCTCCATCATCCGACAGGTCAGGAGTGACGGCTGCCCGGGCCCCGTCCTGCCAGCCCCTACGTCGGGATGCAATGTTCCTCCTGCTGTGCCCACCAGAGGCAAGGATGGCAAGCCCACCCCATCACGCTTCTGTCCTCAGCCCCACTGTAGCTGGCCTCGAAGCAGCCCCAGGAGTACCCACCACTCATGTGTCACCCAGGACCACACCCCAACCTCGGCTGCCAGCTGCACCGGGCTGGGGAAGGAGACACAGCTGTGGGGGAGTGGGGGGGTGGGGGAGGGCACAGACACATAATATTTTCCTCCATGCTTTATGATCCAACTTTGTACAATGGAAAGAGTGCCACCCGATCCTCCAGACGGGCTTCAAATTACTACACCTCACCCCAGGACTGTGCTCCCATCCCCGGAGCAAGGATAACCCACTCCTCCTGCTCAAAGGGTCAGGACTGTTGATTTAAAAGGAAAAGAACAAAAAGACCATCCCAGGCGTGGAGAGGTCAGACCCTCACGAGGGCAAAGGGGATGTCAAACGGCGCGGCTGCTGTGGAAAGCAGCCTGGGGTTCCTCCACGGTTCCATGTGGAGTTACCGCCCCAGCAATTCCACTTCTGGGCGTGCACCCGAGGGGATGGAAAACAGGTGTCCAAACAAAAACAAGCACACGAACACACAGGGCAGCACCATTTCTAGTGGCCTGAAACAGGAACAGCCCCCACGCTCGCCGCTGATGAATGGATACACACCATGTGGTGGGTCTGCTCCAGTCAACTTGCTTGACTTTTTTTTTTTTTGAGACAGGGTCTCACTCTGTCGCCCAGGCTGGAGTGCAGTGGTGAGATCACTGCTCACTGCAGCCTCCACACCCCAGACTCAAGTGATCCTCCCCGCTAGCCTCCCAAAGCACTGGGACCACAGGTGTGCGCCACCACGCCCAGCCACTAGTCAGCTTTCTAGGAACTCGGCAGTGGGTCACAACCCTGGGACTCCCTCTTGGCTTTTAACTTCTGATAAAGTCCAAGTAGCTCCTCTCAGACCAAGCCTCACACAAACGTCTTTTTTTTTTTTTTTTTTTTTTGAGACGGAGTCTCGCTCTGATGCCAGGCTGGAGTGCAGTGGCACAATCTCGGCTCACTGCAACCTTCACCTCCCAGGTTCAAGTGATTCTCCTGGCTCAGCCTCCTGAGTAGCTAGGATTACAGGGGCACACCACCATGCCCAGCTAATTCTTGTATTTTTGGTAGAGACGGGGTTTCGCCACGTTGGCCAGGCTGGTCTCGAATTCCTGACCTCAGGTGATCTGCTCGCCTCAGCCTCCCAAAGTGCCAGGATAACAGGCATGAGCCACTGCGCCCGGCCTGAATTAGAAAAAAAATGTATTAGTTGGGGTAGGGAGACATGACCTAGACCCAAAAGATTATATTATAAACATAGATGTAAATTAGCTGAAGCTATAATGTGGCTATACATCATTGACACTTTCTACAAAAACACCGGGAAATCAGAGGAGCAACATGGTGAAATTTCTCAAACACCTCAGCTAGTTCCACACTAAATTCACACTTCACCACACAGCAAGTGAGATACTAAAACAATGATGCTGGTCTCAGCATCTATTTAATTCTGGGATGTAATTTAGAACACAGGGTGCGTATTTCCTTTATACACTAAGTCCTCAGGACTGCAGTAAGACAGGCCATTTAAACCCTAGATACACAGGAAAACTCCCTGGGGTACTTTTTTTTTTTTTTTTTTAATGGAGTCTTGCTCTGTCACCAGGCTGGAGTGCAGTGGTACGATCTCGGCTCACTGCAACCTCCGCCTCTCGGTTCAAGTGATTCAAGTGATTCTCCTGCCTCAGCCTCCCGAGTGGCTACGATTACAGGTACACACCACCACGCCCAGCTAATTTTTGCATTTTTAGCAGAGACAGGATTTCACCATTTTGGCCATGACGGTCTCGATCTCTTGACCTCATGATCCACCTGTCTCAGCCTACCAAAGTGCTGGGATTACAGGCGTGAGCCACCATGCCCGGCCTTTTTTTTTTCTTTTATTGAGATAGGGTCTTCCTCTATTGCACAGGCTAAAGTGCAGTGGCCTAACCATGGCTAACTGCAGCCTCAACCTCCCAGGCTCAAGAGATTCTCCCACCTCAGTATTTGGGAGTACAGTAAATAGCTGGGATTACAGGGCCATGCCACCATATTGGGCGAATTTTTAAAATTATATATATTTATATATATTTATTTTTGCATATATTTATGTATATACTTGTTTACATATATATACATTTATTTACATATATGTTTATTTATATATATATATGTATCTTTTGAGACAGAGTTTTGCTCGTCGCCCATGCTGGAGTGCAGTGGTGTGATCTCGGCTCACTGTAACCTCCGCCTCCCGGGTTCAAGCAATTCTCCTGCCTCAGCCTTCCCAGTAGCTGGGGTTACAAGCAGGTACTACCACGCCTGGCTAATTTCTATATTTTTAGAGGGGGTTTAGCCATGTTGGCCAGGCTGGTCTTGAACTCCTGACCTCAAGTAATTCGCCAGCCTCAGCCTCCCAAAGTGCTGGGATTTACAGGTGTGAGCTACTGCACCCGACCTAACATTTTTTACTTTTGTAGAGTTGGGGTCTCACTATGTTGCCCAGGCTGGTCTTGAACTCCTGGCCTCAAGTGATCCTCCCACCTTGGCCTCCCACAGTGCTGGGATTAAAGGTGTGAGCCACCGCACCTGGCTGGCGCTTTTTCTAGTTTTAAACTTCCGATTCTCAGTCCTTCGCCTCCAATGAATTAAGTCAGCATCTTGAGACCAGGGAGGCCACATGGTCACAACCTCAGCAGCTGATTCTCAGGTGCTGTCCAGTTCAAAGACCAACGAGCTGAGCCCTTGGCACATCCCACGGTGCTTTCCACGTGGCCGCCTGGCTGAGGGGAGCCGGGCCGCTGAGCCGCATGCAGGCTGAGGGCCTGGGAGCTCACCCAGCTCATGAGAGCAAAGCCCGGTCCCCCTCACCCCAATGGGGGCTCTGAGGGGTTTTTTCTGTTTTTTTTTTTTCTTTTTTTATTTGAGACAGAGTTTCACTCTTGTTGCCCAGGCTGGAGTACAATGGTGTGATCTTGGCTCACCACAACCTCCGCCTCCCAAGCTCAAGTGTGATTCTCCTGTCTCAGCCTCCCAAGTAGCTGGGATTACAGGCACGAGCCACCACGCCAAGCTAATTTTATATTTTTAGTAGAGACAGGGTTTCTCCATGTTGGCCAGGCTGATCTCGAACTCCCGACCTCAGGTGATCTGCCCACCTCGGCCTCCCAAAGTGCGGGGATTACAGGAGTGAGCCACCACGCCCAGCCTCTTTTTCTTTTTTTTCTGAGATGGAGTCTCACTCTATCGTCCAAGTTGGAGTGCAGTGGTATGATCTCTGCTCACTGCAAACTCCACCTCCCAGGTTGAAGTGATTCTCCTGCCTCAGCTTTCCAAGCAGCTAGGACTACAGGCACGTGCCACCATGCCTGCCTAATTTTTTTTTTTTTTTTTTTTTTTTTTTTGAGACAGAGTCCTGCTCTGTCGCCCAGGCTGGAGTGCAGCAGCGCGATCTCAGCTCACTGCAAGCTCCACCTCCTGGGTTCATGCCATTCTCCTGCCTCAGCCTCCCAAGTAGCTGGGACTACAGGCGCCCGCGACCATGCCTGGCTAATTTTTTGTATTTTTAGTAGAGACGGGATTTCGCCGTGTTAGCCAGGATGGTCTCGATCTCCTGACCTTGTGATCCGCCCACCTTGGCCTCTCAAAGTGCTGGGATTACAGGCGTGAGCCACCGTGCCAGGCCAAGCCTGCCTAATTTTTGTATTTTTGTGTAGAGAGGAGGTTTTTGAAGCCCTGTTTCAAAAAAATCAAAAAATAAAAAATTAGCTGGGCGTGGTGGCACATCGTGTAGTCACAGCTACTTGCAAGGTTGAGGTAAGAGGATTGATTAAGCCCAGGAAGTCAATGCTGTAGGGGGCCGCGATCGCACCACTGCACTCCAGCCTGGGCAACAGAGCAAGACTGCCTCAAAAAAAAAATAAAAAAGGAAATAAATGAAAGTGCTGCCTCGGCCAGGTGCGGTGGCTCACGCCTGTAATCCCAGCACTTTGGGAGGCCGAGGCGGGTGCATCGCCTGAGGTTGGGAGTTCGAGACCAGTCTGACCAACGTGGAGAAACCCCATCTCCGCTAAAAATACAAAATTAGCCGGGGTGGTGGCTCGCACCTGTAATCCCAGCTACTCGGGAGGCTGAGGCAAGAGAATCGCTTGCACCCGGGAGGCAGACGTTGCGGTGAGCCGAGATCGCGCCATTGCACTTCAGCCTGGGCAACAAGAGTGAAACTCCGTCTCAAAAAAAAAAAAAAAGAATTCCAAGTCCCAACAGTAACTGAGTCAGGAAAGGGGACGCGCCGGCGAAGTGGTCCATCCTGCCCAGGATAAGTTACTATCCACAATCACCATCACTTCGAATTCAAACAGAAAAGCCACCAAACCCCAGAACCCCAGAAGCAGCATGAAAGGAGCTTCTCCTGCGGAGCGCTCTGCTCTTTCAACAGCCCGGGACACCGTCCTGCTTTATTCTCTTGTTGTGGACAGGCTCAACGCCCTCTGCACCCAGGAGCAGAGCGGCCGCGGCCACCCTGAGGCAGCATGGAACCGAGGCCCCCACACCGGGACCTACCTCCACTCCCACAACTGAGGCTGGTGCAGCACACTAACACGCAACAGGGCAGAAACCAGAAACAGCCCCATCCAGGACCAGACCCCGGCCAGCCCTGCCTAGTCCAGCCCCAGCCCGTCTCTGTGCTCAGTCCTGTAACTTGCGGCCCCTCAGCTCAGCCTGGATGTCTGTGGGGTGGCACGGTCACCATTAAAACCCTCTGAGTCAAGGCGGGGCACAATGGCTCACACCTGTAATCCCAGCACTTTGGGAGGCCGAGCAGATCACTTGAGGTCAGGGGTTTGAGACCAGCTTGGTCAACATGGTGAAACACCGTCTCCACTAAAAATACAAAAATTAGCTTGGTATGGTGGTGCATGCCTGTAATCCCAGCTACTCAGGAGGCTGAGGCAGGAGAATTGCTTGAACCTGGGAGGAAGAGGCTGCAGTGAGCCAAGATCGCACCACTGCACTCCAGCCTGGGCGACAGAGGGAGACTATGTCTCCAAAAACAAACAAACAAACAAACAAAACAAAAACGCTTCTGGCTCAAATCCACAGAGACAGCAGGTCAGTGGTCGCCAGGGCATAGGTTTCTCTGTTCTGAACGTATTGTGCTGAATCACTGCACGTTTGTAAATATACTGAAATCTACTTCATTTCATGCCTAGAACAGGCAGATTTTGTGGCATGTAAATTATATCTCAACTGTTCAAAGAAAGGAACCACCTTGGCTCAGCAGCATCACAGGACAGGACAAAACACCAGGAAGGACGTGAGGCTCCATCTGGACCGCAGCTCCCTGAGGGCTGGAGGCCTGGGCAGAGCAGAGGAGGGTCCTCAGGCCCCAGTCACAGATGAGCAGGAGCATTAGGGACCACTCAGCACAGAGTGGGCCACATGGTGGATGCCCAGCAGGCCACCCGGGGTCCCCACATCCCTCCGCCTGTCTCACTGCCACGTGGACAAATCAGCCACCAGCCAGTCCAAGAACTCCTAAGGCAGTGGTTCCCAGCAGGTGACTCTGCCCCTCCAGGGGACACTGGGCGATGTATGCAGCATCTGTGGTTGCCACGACTTGCAGATATCTAGGCATGGAGTGGGTGGAGGCCGGGTACGCTGCTCAGTGCCCTGCAGTGCCCCAACACCCCCACCCCAAGAACAATCCAGCCTGATGTCCACAGTGCCACGGCTGGGCCAGAGCACACCCAGGGCTGGCGTCGCCGCTCCTGCCCTCTGGTCTTCCTGGCTCTCCAAAGCTCAACGCAAGTGAGCATCACCCAGAAGCTGGTTACAAGGGCAGAACTCACCCCCACCCACATGCCCCTCCAGGACCCACATGCCTCGGCCTTGAAGCCACCTCCACACACACACACCAAGCCTTCTGCCCAGAGATTGCCTTTTGAAAACCCCTGCAAAGGAGTAAAATAGACAAAGAGGCCCAAGCCTCTTTGAAGAGAGAGCTTCAGGAAGAACGCAAGCGGCTAAACGCCTGTGAATGAGTGAACCGCACTCATAAGCAGGGCAGCTGACACTACAGCTGCACCCCCCAAACACCCCAGCCCTGCTGGTGGTGCGGGAGGCGAGGCTGCGGCTTTCATGCTTGCTGCTGGGAGAAGCTCTGTGGGGAGCGGGCGCTTTCCTGAGGGCCTCTACGGCTTGAGTCCATTCATAAAACGACCCCACATGGAAACCACCCACATGTCCGACTATGTATGGAAGCTGTGTGTAAACAACAGAGCACAGCCACCCACGTCAAGGACCGAGGACAGCTCCCTCCCCACCATGACGGCTGCAAAGCACACACACCTTAGGCAATCACGCCTATGGTTCAGGGACACAAATTTAAGTGATAAAACTACAAGCAAGTCAAGGAAATTAAACTTACAGAAGTCAGGATCATTACCATAATAATTAGCTGTACAGGCCGGGCACACTGGCTCACGCCTGCCATCCCAGCACTTTGGGAGGCCAAGGTGGGTGGGTTACTTGAGGTCAGGAGTTTGAGACCAGCCTGGCCGATACAGTGAAACCCCGTCTCTGCTAAAAATACAAAAATTAGCCAGGTGTGATGGCGGCCACCTGTAATCCCAGCTACTTCGGAGGCTGAGGCAGGAGAATCACTTGAACCCAGGAGGCAGAGGTTGCAGTGAGCCAAGATTGTGCCGCTGCATTCCAGCCTGGGTGACAGACGGAGCAAGACCCTGTCTCAAAAAAAAAAAAAAAAAAAAGCCGTACAATGTCCTATGCACTGCATATTTTGCAATCAAAGCAGCTCAGAGGGAAAACAAAGCACATTTAGAATCCACGCCCTCTGGTCCACCACCACCGTGACAGCACGGGGGACGAGGGCACCTGGACAACAGGGACGCATTCGGGAATTCTGGGAGACTTTTCTTACCATCAAGGGGGGTCAGGGGCTTTTAATTTGGGGTTGATTCTACCTCCAAGAGACATTCTGGTCTGGGCACACCTGTGGCTGGCATGACCAGAGGAGCCCCTGGCACGGAGTGGGTGGGGGCGGGGATGCTGCTCAGCACCCTGTAGTGCCCAGAATAGCTCTACCCAGAGAATGATCCAGCCCCAACATCCACAGTGGTGAGGGGCAGACGCTGATCTAGTGGAATGACTGACGTTATTAAAAGGAGAGAAAACCCGCTCAGTTCGGCTGGGCGTGGTGGCTCACGCCTGTCATCCCAGCTCTTTGGGAGGCCGAGGCTGGTGGATCACCTGAGGTCGGGAGTTCAAGACCAGCCTGACCAACATGGAGAAACCCCGTCTCTACTAAAAATACAAAAAATTAGCCGGGGTGGTGGCACATGCCTGTAATCCCAGCTACTAGGGAGGCTGAGGCAGGAGAATTGCTTGAACCTGGGAGGCGGAGGTTGCGGTGAGCCGAGATCGCGCCATTGCACTCCAGCCTGGGCAACAAGAGCAAAACTCTGTCTCAAAAAAAAAAAAAAAAAAAGAAAAGAAAACACACTCAGTTCAAATTTAATCTCTTTATATCTTTTCCTTTCTTTTTTTTTTTTTTTTAGTTGGAGTCCGCTGGGGAGGCTGAGGCAGGGAGAACTGCTTGAACCCAGGAGGCGGAACTTGCAGTGAGCCAAGATTGTGCCACTGCACTCCAGCCTGGGCAACACAGCGAGACTCTGACTTGGAAAAAAAACAAGAAGAAGAAAAAAAAAACAAAAAAGAAAAAAGAAAAAGAATATATGGGCTGGGCACAGTGGCTCACCCTGTAATCCCAGCACTTTGGGAGGCAAAGGTGGGCAGATCACGAGGTCAAGAGATTGAGACCATACTGGCCAACATGGGGAAACCCCATCTCTACTAAAAATACAAAAATTAGCTGGATGTGGTGGCACTCGCCTGTTGTCCCAGCTGCTTGGGAGGTTGAGTCACTTGAACCTGGGAGGTGGAGGTTGCAGTGAGCCGAGATCGTGCCACTGCACTCCAGCCTGGCGACAGAGCGAGACTTAGTCTCAAAAAAAAAAAGAAAAAAAGGCTGGGCACCGTGGCTCACACCTGTAATCCAGCACTTTGGGAGGCCGAGGCGGGAGGATCACGAGGACAGGAGATTGAGACCACGGTGAAAGCCCATCTCTACTAAAAATACAAAAAATTAGACGGGCGTGGTGGCGGGAGGCTGAGGCAGGAGAATGGCGTGAACCCGGGAGGCACAGCTTGCAGTGAGCCCAGATCGCACCACTGCACTGCAGCCTGGGGGACAGAGCAAGACTCCGTCTCAAAAAAAAAAAAAAAAAGAAAAAGAAAAAATGGAGAAAACTTTCCCAAAACTATGAAAAGGACTTGTGAGAACAAAATATTAAAAGTCGTTTGTTTTTTGTGCCAATTCTATCGAGCTTTAGAAGCTGAGGACACTCCCAAGTGGACCAAGACACATACACATGAGACCACTACTTCTCACGCTTTTTGGACTCATCTTAATAGGTTTTGCATGGGAACCCGATACGTTTACACGTACACACAAGTATCACATGCAGAAATCAAAGTTTCAGGACAGGACGGTTACTGTATGTGCCTGCACTCTGGTCTCTTCTAGTTTCTTTTCCTTTTTCTTACCTAGCATAACCATTAAATTGAATTCACAACCCACAAAGAGGTCACAGCCTGAGGACTGGAAAACAGTGAACTAGACAACCTCAGCGCTCTGGCGCTTCCAGAAAACCGCGTGTCACTGCAGCATCCTCCGCATCATCCAGCAAGGAGGGAGGTGACTGTCATCCCCATTTACAAGGGAGGAGACAGAGCAGGGGGCTCTAGATGGGCCGCCCCATGAAGTCAGCCAGTCAGCCCAAGCACCTGGACTCGGATCTCCCAAACCTCATGCGATTTCTACTCCATCGCACTGCCTTTCCACGTGGCTTTCAAAGTCATTGCTAAGCCTTGTTTCCATGATGCCACACTCAAGTTTTAGGTGAAAATCTATTACGAAATGGAAACTTTTTTTGGAAACTATACTGCTGCAGAAAATGCGCACACTGTCTAGAGTCTTTGTTCCGGGTGCAGTGGGCGGGAGGGAAGAACCTACAACATACGGTCTATAGGATAGCTGCTTTTTCAAAGTGAGTGGGGGTGCTGGAGGTACAACTAGAACTGTCATTGAACAGTCATTTGCTGCTCTCCAATCAGGAGACTCCAGCAGCTGCAGAGAACATCCAGAATCAGACATGAACACCTGAGTTACCACCCTCTGGACCATAACAATCGTCTTCCAGTGAGAAAGCCAGGGTCCCCAGACACTGCGTGTCCTGCCTGAAATCACCCACCCGCCAATGGCAGGGCCAATGAGGAAGCCTGGGACTTTCAAGGACAACCCTGCGCCGTTTTAAAAATGTTTCCCAGCCGGGTGCAGTGGCTCACGCCTGTAATTCTAACACTCTGGGAGGCTAAGGCGGGTGGATCACTGAGGTCAGGAGTTTGAGACCAGCCCGACCAACATGGTGAAACCCTGTCTCTACTAAAAATACAAAATTAGCTGGGTGTGGTGGTGCATGCCTGTAATCCCAGCTACTCAGGAGCTGGGGCAGGAGAATCGCTTGAACCTGGGAGGTGAAGGTTGTGGTGAGCCAAGATCATGCCTCTGCACTCCGGCCTGGGCAACAAGAGTGAAACTCCGTCTCAAAAAAAAAAAAAAAAAGTTTCCACCACCAAGACCCCCTTGAAGGGGCCCAGACTTGTGGGGAAGGCGCTATCAACTCACACCAATTCCAAAGGAAGAAAACCAGGCTCAGGGGCTTCCCAGTGAAGACAGGCACATCCCCCTGAAAACCATGCCCCAGACTAGAGGTGTGGTCCTCCACTGGACAGACCCCCTGGCCCATCGTCAGGGTCCCAGAACAGGCTGCTCAGTGACATGCGCTGAAGGGAGCAGGGACGGGCGCTGGGAGATCCTGCCTGTGCAGAAAAAGTCCTCTCGGGAAGTGAACCACATTTCCAATCTGAACCAAGCTCAGTAAAAACCAGGCCCATCAGCGATGCTTTCAACTCACAAAGAATCTGAACATTACTCCAGTTAGTTACACGTTGTAACCAAAGCAGTTAGGGAGAGCTTCTGAGATGAAGAAAACCAAGGAGGCCGAAGGGAAGTGGGGTGGAGAAGAACAAAAATGACCTCATTAAGGTGGGGGCAGGCGAAGCCACACCACTTCCAGGAAAGTGTAAAGGTGTAACAATACGGCAAGAGCTCGGGTTCCCAGAGAGAGGGACATGGGCTGAGGGACATGGTGCCAGGAAGCAAGTCCCTTAACTTCCCTGCCCTCCTGGGCACCTCGTCCTGGACACAGCCTCTGGTACTGGGACTGGTGCGGTATCAGACGGCGGCTCTCTTTCAGGCCTGCCTTGCTGTCCACGCAGGGAAGCAGGCAGGCAGTCGCTCAAGTAGGACACTTTCTAAGGCTCCCACTGCCCAAGGGCTGCACGGGTATCCTTAATGAAGCCAGACACGTGGTGGCCACTCTGCCCATTCTTCTTCAATCTAGGTCACAGGTTGGGGGAAGGGAGGAGCGGGAAGGAAACGATCCCCACGGTTGTAATTTTACTTCTGGAAAACTATTTCCTCGCCCTGGCTTTCAGGTTCCTACTTGAAGTCAGCTTCCCCATTCCAGCTTCCCGCAAGCTGCTACCTCACTGGGGATCAGGATGCCGCTGTCCTTCCTCCCTCCTGGCAGCAGCCCCACCTTCCTGGGAACGGGGGCACTGGAGGCAACGCCCCAAGACCCTGCCTGGTTCCGAGCCAGGCCTCAGGGAGCGACCTGGACACGCATTTACACGACCCAGAAGGAAGAAGGAGTTTCTCCAGGGACGGCCCAGGACCCCCTGCCTCGGTCTCCCGGGGAGGGTCCGGGGGCGGGGCCCGGGCCCCTGCATTTTTAATCGGTGATTCGGAAACACACTCAGGTTGAAGAAGCTCTGCCCAGAGACCTCGCAAGTCTCCTGGGAGGGTGGCCCGAGACGGGGGCAGGTGGGCCCGAATCTCCCTCTGAGAGAGTAAACTGAGGGTCCAGGGGGAGGGCACCTATAGGCGGGGCCCAGGGCATTGCATTTTGAACAGCGCTTCCCCCAGGTGATCCGATGAGGCGAGGATCCGAGATGTGCTGCTCCAAGGCCTTCGCCCCTCGTGGGGAAACTGATGCTGGGGGACCGAGGAGGTGGGCGGCGCCCCAGGCCCAGGCCAGGCAGGGCCGGAGCCCTAAGCGGGACCTCCAACTAAGACAGAGCCCGGGCGGGCGGCAGGCCGAGCAGGCCCAGTGAGCAGGGCTGGGCCCTGGGCCGGGGCTGTGACCAGGCCGAGCAGCCCCTTGGCGCGCCGGGCTCACCTCGTCCTCCTTGTGGTTACGGATGCCGCGGACCAAGTCCTGCAGATTCTTGTCGAACATGCGGTCGATGCTGCCCTTCACCATCTTGAGGGCCATCGCGGCGGCCCACGGGCTTTTGCCTCGGGAGGCCCGCGGCTGGGCGCCGTGAGGGGGCCCGGGGCCCGTGCCTGCCGCCCGCGGAGCGCCGCGCTGCCGGCCGCTGCGGCGGGGCAAGCTCCCAGGCCAGGGCGGCGGCGGGGTCCAAGGACCGCGGCAGAGGCGGCGACCCGCTCGGCAGGTGCCGCGATCCCGCTCCGGGCCCCTTGCAAATGGCGGACAAGATGGCGGCGGGTCAGCTGACGACGAGCGCCCGGTCCCAGCCGAGCCGGCCCCGGAAGCCCCGCCTCCCAGAAAGCCCCGCCCCGCCACCTCCCCGGCAGGGAGACGCTGCGTTTCCCTGACGACGACAGGTAGTCCAATGGAAATGTGGCACCTCTTTCTCCTGCGCGCGGCCCCGCCTTTTCCGGCCCCAAAACTTGCGCTCTCATTGGTCAGTGGCCTCCGGAACTCCGCCTTCTTCCTAGTTCTGAGCCCTAGCCACGCCCCTTAGAGGCTGGTCCTGACCCTCCCACCAGCTGACAGGTGTGAGCGTGGCTGGATGTGGGCGGGGCGCCCACGTGGAGCTTAGCCGGCAAGTTCCCGAGGAAGACTGGAGCTCCGCCTTTCCTGAATGTAATAGCTGACGCGGCCTGAGAGCCTCCAAACCCAACTCCTGGGTGGGTGGGGGAACGGATCCTGTGGTTCCCGCAGCCTCACAACATCCTGTGAAATGGGCAAGACAGACATTAACATGCCCACAGGAAGAAAATGAGGCCAGAGACAGGACTACGACATTGTCATTCATTCAGTAAACATTTGTCGAAGGCCCATTGTGTGCCAGGCATGGTAAGGGGTGCTGGGCATGCAGCGGTAAATGAGATATACTGAGTCCCTGCCTTCCGAGATACATCATTGAGATTGTAAAAAAAAGCTCTGGAAACTTGGCCAGCCGTGGTGGCTCACGCCTGTAATCCCAGCACTTTGAGAGGCCGTAAGCGGGAAGATCACTTGAGGTCAGGAGTTCGAAACCAGCCAGGCCAACATGGTGAAACCCTGTCTCTACTAAAAATACAAAAACTAGCTGGGTGTGATGGTGGGCACCTGTAATCCCAGCTATTCGGGAGGGTGAGTCAGGAGAATCCCTTGAAACCAGAAGGCAGAGGTTGCAGTGAGCCGAGATGGCGCCACTGCACTCCAGCCTGGCAACAGAGCAAGACTCCGTCTAAAAAAAAAAGAGAGGGAGAAAGAAAGTAATCGCAATAAAAACTGGGGTAAGATGGGCCAGGCGCGGTGGCTCACACCTGTAATCCCAGCACTTTGGGAGGCCGAGGCAGGTGGATCATGAGGTCAGGAGTTCGAGACTAGCCTGGCCAATATGGTGAAACCCCATCTCTACTAAAAATACAAAAATTAGCCGGGCGTGGTGGCATGCACCTGTAATCCCAGCTACTTGGGAGGCTGAGGCAGAAGAATCTCTTGAACCCAGGAGGCAGAGGTTGCAGTGAGCCGAGATCGCGCCACTGCACTGTACTCTGGGCAACAGAGCGAGACTCTTGTCTCAAAAAAACAAAACAAACCAAAAAAACTGGGGTAAGATATTTACAATACATATATCTGACAAATGACTTATATCCTGGTGGGGCAGGATGGCTGACACCTGTAAAATCCCAGAGTTTAGGAAGAATTGCTTGAGCCCAGGAGATAAAGGACAGCTAGAGCAATATAGTCAGACACCCATCTTAAAAAAAAAAAAAAAAAAAGGCAGGGGGAGGGGAGGATGGGCGCAGTGGTTCAAACCAGTAATTCCAGCACTTCGGGAGGCCTAAAGGGACAGATCACATGAGGTCAGGAGTTCGAGACCAGCCTGGCCAACATGATGAAAGCCCATCTCTACTAAAAATTAAAAAATTAGCCAGACGTGGTGGAGGGCACCTGTAATTCCAGCCACTTGGGAGACTGAGGCAGGAGAATGACATGAGTCCAGGAGGCAGAGGTTGCAGTGAGCTGAGATTGCGCCACTGCACTCTAGGCTGGGCAAAAGAGCGAAACATGGTCTCAAAAAAGAAGTGGGGGGGGGGACCGGGCACAGCGGTTCACGCCTATAACCCCAGCACTTCGGGAGGCCGAGGAGGACAGATCACTTGAGGTCAGGAGTTTGAGACCAGCGTGGCCAACATGGTGAAATTCCACCTCTACTAAAAATACAAAAATTAGTCAGGCATGGTTGTGGGCACCTGTAATCCCAGCTATTGGGGAGGCTGAGGCAGGAGAATGGCTCCGCCCAGGGGGCGGAGGTTGCAGTGAGCTGAGATTGCCCCATTACACTCAAGCCTGGGAGACAGAGCAAGATTCCGTCTCAAAAAAAAAAAAAAAAGGAGGGGAACTGCTGGGCATGGTGGCTCCATATCTTTGGAGGATGTATTCATGCATTTCTATCGGGAACAGTAGAGGAATCGCTGGGTAATAGAATATGTGTGCGTTAGCATTGCAAGCTAGTGCTAAACAGTTTCCGGGCGTCCTTGTGATTTCTTTCCCCTCGCCCGAGATAGAGTCTTGCTCTGTAGCCCAGGCTGGAATGCAGTGGCGCGATCTCCGCTCACTGCGGCCTCTGCCACTGTGCCCAGCCTGAATTTTTTTTTTTTTTTTTTTGAGACAGAGTCTCGCTCTGTTGCCCAGGCTGGAATGCAGTGGTGCGATCTCAGCTCACTGCAACCTCTGCCTCCTGGGTTCAAGCAATTCTCCTGCCTCAGCCTCCCGAGTAGCTGGGATTACAGCTGCCCACCACCACCTCCAGCTAATTTTTGTATTTTTAGTAGAGACTGGGTTTCACCATGTTGGCCAGGCTGGCCTCAAACTACTGACCTCAGGTGATCCGCCTTCCTTGGCCTCCCCAAAGTGCTGGAATTACAGGTGTGAGCCACTGCACCAGCCTCAGAAATATTTATTTATTTATTTATGGTTTTTTTTTTCTTTTTTTTTTTTTGAGACAGTCTCATTCTGTCACCAGGGCTGGAGTGCAGTGGCTCAATCTTGGCTCACTGCAACCTCCACCTCCCTAGTTCAAGCGATTCTCCTGCCTCAGCTTCCTGAATAGCTGGGACTACAGGCGCTCGCCACCACGCCCAGCTAATTTTTGTATTTTAGTAGAGACAGGGTTTCACCATGTTGGCCAGGATGGTCTCGATCTCTTGACCTCGTGATCTGCCTGCTTCAGCCTCCCAAAGTGCTGGGAATACAGTCGTGAGCCACCACGCCCCATCCTATTTATAGGTTCTTTAGTCCTCAGGCGAAGCCCTAGGGAAACAGAATTTCTCTCTCCACTTTCTGTCCCTTTTCACTGCCCAAGGCAGGACTCTAATCTGATTGGGAGCCCAAACACCTCATTCCAGAGAAGGTCATGCCCCATACCCTGGAGGAAGAAAAGCTACAGAGAGACCAAGACAAATCTGGACAGACAGGCCCTGCCTGGCTCCCCAGTCAGTCTATTCATATGAGATCATACTAATTTTTGGCCCAATTACGTTTCTTTATGATTGTGAGTCATGTCTGTTTAATGAAGCTGCCATTAAAACCCAAAAGGAGGCCAGGCGGGGCGGCCAGTGCCTGCATTCCCAGCACTTCCGGAGGCTGAGGTGGGTGGATCACCTGAGGTCAGGAGTTGGAGACCATCCTGGCGAACATGGTGAAACCCTGACTCTATTAAAAGTACAAAAATTAGCCGGGCGTGGTGGCGAGCACCTGTAATCCCAGCTACTTCCGGAGGCTGAGGCAGGAGAATTGCTTGAACCCAGGAGGTGGAGGTTGCAGTGAGCCGAGATCGCGCCATTGCACTCCAGCCTGGGTGACAAGAGCAAAACTCTCTCAAATAAATGAAAATAAAAATAAAAAAACAAAATTAGCCAGGCGTGGTTGCCATACCTGTAGTCCCATCTACTCAGGGAGGCTGAGGCAGGAGAATAGCTTGAACCCAGGAGGCAGAGGTTGCAGTGAGTGGAGATTGCGCCACTGCACTCCAGCCTGGGCGACAGAGTGAGACTCCATCTCAAAAAAAAAACCAAAAAAAACAAAAAATTAGCTGGGTGTGTCACACACCTGTAATCCCAGCTACTCAGAAGGCTGAGGCAGGAGAATCACTTGTATCCAGGAGGTGGAGGTTGCAGTGAGCCGAAATTGTGCCCCTGCACTCCAGCCTGGGTGACAGCGAGACTCTGTCTCAAAAAAAAAAAAAAAAAAAAAAAAATTAAGTACCCATCATACTCCCTGCCCGCTTCTCTGCTGGACTTTTCCCCTATTTTCCAACACACTGTGTTTTCTACCTAGCATTTTGTTTATTATTGGTCTCCACCTCCTCCTCCCACCTGAACACAAATTCTATGATATTGGGACTTTGTCCTTTTGTTTTCTGTATGGGTGGACATTTAAAAAATGTTTAACTTGATGAAAAAGGAAGAATGGGCCGGGCGCGGTGGCTCACGGCTGACATGCCAGCACTCTGGGAGGCCGAGGTGGGCGGATCAGGAGGTCAGGAGATTGAGACCATCCTGGCTAACACGGTGAAACACCATCTCTACTAAAAATACAAAAAAATTAGCCCGGCTTGGTGGCGGGCGCCTGTAGTCCCAGCTACTCGGGAGGCTGAGGCAGGAGAATGGCGTGTACCCGGGAGGCGGAGCTTGCAGTGAGCCACGATTGCGCCACTGCACTCCAGCCTGGACGACAGAGCGAGACTCCGTCTCAAAAAAAAAAAAAAAGAAAAAAGAAAAAGGAAGAATGGTTTTGACAAGAGTGCTGATTCTTCCATCACTGGGAGTTGGTGGGCTGGCTGCAACCTCCAGGGTGACCAGCAGAGAGCAGTGCTAGCCAGGCTCAAAGTAGGGGCAGCTTCTCTCTGGAAAGATCCTGGCCTGGAGCCCTGAGCTCTGGCAGGAGATGGGGACATTTGTCATCAGTCCTAGCTCCAGCCCGAATCAGTTACCTTGTCCCCAAATTATCCATCCTTTCATCCATCCTTCCACCTCCCCATCCACCCAGCCACATATCAAATCATCCATTCATACATACATACATCTACCCACCCATCATCCATCCATCCACCAATCCACTCATGCATCCATTCACCCACTCTTCCATCTATCCATCCACCTACCTATCCATTCACCCATCCACCGATCCACTCACCCACTAACCCATCCATCCACCCACCCACCCATCCATCCACCCACCAATCAACAACGTTTATTGAAAAAAAACAGGGCAGGGCGCGGTGGCTCACGCCTGTAATCCCAGCCCTTTGGGAGGTTGAGGCGGGTGGATCATGGGGTCAGGAGATCGAGACCATCCTGGCTAACACAGTGAAACCCCGTCTCTACTAAAAATACAAAAATTAGCCAGGCTTGGTGGCGGGTGCCTGTAATCCCAGTTACTCGGGAGGCTGAGGCAGGAGAATCGCTTGAACCTGGCAGTTGGAGGTTGCAGTGAGCCAAGATTGCACCACTGCACTCCAGCCTGATGACAGAGCGAGACTCTGTCTCAAAAAACTAAATAAATAAAACAAAACTAAACAAAAAACAAACAGCCACCCACCCATCCACCCACCCACCTATCCACCCACCCATCTATCCATTCACCCATCCACGAATCCATCCATTTATCCATCCATCTACCCATCCACCCATCAACAAGGTTTGTTGAAAAAAACAAACATACACCCATCTATCATTCATCCATCCACCCATCTGTCATCCATCCATCCACCCATCCATCTATCGATCTATCCACCCATCATCCATCCATCCATCCATCCACCCACCCATCCACAACGTTTCTTGAAAAAAACAAACATCTGGCCGGGTGCGGTGGCTCACGCCTGTAATCCCAGCACTTTGGGAGGCCGAGGCGGGCGGATCACGAGGTCAGGAGATCGAGACCATCCCGGCTAAAACGGTGAAACCCCGTCTCTACTAAAAATACAAAAAATTAGCCGGGCGTAGTGGCGGGCGCCTGTAGTCCCAGCTACTTGGGAGGCTGAGGCAGGAGAATGGCGTGAACCCGGGAGGCAGAGCTTGCAGTGAGCCGAGATTGCGCCACTGCACTCCAGCCTGGGCGACAGAGCGAGACTCCGTCTCAAAAAAAAAAAAAAAAAAAGAAAAAAACAAACATCTACCCCACCTATCCAGCCAACCATCCACCTATCCACCCATACAGTAACCCATCCATCCATCCATCCATCCATCCATCCATCTACCCATCTACCCATCCACCCATCCACCCACCGACTCATCCATCCACCCACCCACTAACCCATCCACCCACCCACCCATCCACCCATCAACGTTAGTTGAAAAAAACAAACATCCACCCACCCATCCATCCCCATCCACCCATCCACCCACCCATCAACCAACCCACCCATCCACCCATCCATCCATTCAACAACATACTGAGTATCTACTGTATGCCACTTTGGCAAGGAGCAGGAATGGAGAACAAAGCTGTAGGCAGCAGCAGGATTGGGGAAAAGTGATCCAGGCAGATGTCAGGACAAATGGAAGAGCTTGCTCAAGTTTGTCATGTGGAGGAGCAGAGAGGAGACTGGCAAGGATAGTGGTGATGGAGGAAATTGAGCTTGATGGGTTGATAAAGGACACATTAGACATCATTCTACAGAAGCATTCATTTAGCAACTATGTTGTACCCCACATGTGCTCTTTTTTTTTCTTCCCTCCACGGCTCAGCAGAATTTTGTTTGTTTGTTTTTGAGACAGAGTCTTGCTCTGTCGCCCAGGCTGCAGTGCAGTGGTGCGATCTCGGCTCACTGCAAGCTCCACCTCCTGGGTTCACGCCATTCTCCTGCCTCAGCCTTTCCAGTAGCTGGGACTACAGGCACCCGCCACCACGCCCGGCTAATTTTTTCGTATTTTTAGTAGAGACGGGGTTTCACCACATTAGCCAGGATGGTCTCGATCTCCTGACCTTGTGATCCGCCCACCTCGGCCTCCCAAAGTGCTGGGATTACAGGCATGAGCCAACGTGCTCGACCTGTTTTTTTTTTTTTTTTAGAGATAGGGTCTTGCTCTGTTCCCTGGGTTGTAGTGGAGTGGCACCATCTGAGCTCACTGCAGCCTCAACTCCTGGGCTCAAGCAGGGGCCCAGCTACTTTTTGTGTATTTTTTGTAGATAATGGGTCTCACTATATTGCCCAGGCTGATCTAGAACTCCTGGCCTCAAGTTGTCCTCCCACCTTGGCCTCCCAAAGTGCTAGGATTACAAGCCTGAGCCACCGATCCCAGCTCTTTTTTTTTTTTTTGAGATGGAGATTCGCTCTTGTCACCCAGGCTGGAGTGCAACGGCGCAATCCGCTTACTGCAACCTCCGCCTCCCAGGTTCAAACGATTCTCTTGCCTCAGCTTCCCTAGGAGCCACCACCACACCCAGCATGAACCATAATTTCTAATCTCCTTGCTAATCTGTTAGTCCTGCAAAGGCAGTCTAGTCCCCAGGCAAGAAAGGAGTTTGTTTGGGGAAAGCTGTTACCGTCTTTGTTTCAAAGTTAAACTATAAACTAAGTTACTCCCAAAATTAGTTTGGCCTGAGCCCAGGAATGAACAAGGACAGCTTGGAGGTTAGAAGCAAAATGGAGTCGTCTAGGTCAGATCTCTTTCACTGTCAACATTTTCTGTTATAATTTTTTTTTTTAATGGAGTCTAGATCTGTCACCAGGCTAGAGTGCAGTGGTGTGATCTTGGCTCACTGCAACCTCCGACTCCGGGCTCAAGTGATTCTCCTGCCTCAGCCTCCCGAGTAGCTGGGATTACAGGCACACACCACCAGGCCAGGCTAATTTTTTTATTTTTAGTAGAGACGGGGTTTCACCATGTTGGCCACGATGGTTTCCATCTCTCTCTCTTTTTTTTTTTTTTTGAGACGGAGTCTCCCTCTGTCACCCAGGCTGGAGTGCAATGGCGCGATCTCAGCTCACTACAACCTCCGCCTCCCAGGTTCAAGCGATTCTCCTGCCTCAGCCTCCCGAGCAGCCGGGATTACAGGCATGCGCCACCATGCCTAGCTAATTTTTTTTGTTTTTTTTTTTTGAGACGGAGTCTCGCTCTGTGGCCCAGGCTGGAGTGCGGTGGCGCGATCTCAGCTCACCGCAAGCTCCGCCTCCCGGGTTCAAGCGATTCTCCCGCCTCGGCCTCCCGAGTAGCTGGGACTACAGGTGCCCGCCACAGCTCCCGGCTAATTTTTTGTATTTTTAGTAGAGACGGGGTTTCACCATGTTAGCCAGGATGGTCTCGATCTCCTGACCTCATGATCCACCCACCTCGGCCTTCCAAAGTGCTGGGATTATAGGTGTGAGCCACCGTGCCCGGCCGCCTAGCTAATTTTTGTATTTTTTTTTTTTTGAGACGGAGTCTTGTTCTGTCTCCCAGGCTGGAGTGCAGTGGCGCTATCTTGGTTCACTGCAAGCTCCACCTCCCAGGTTCATGCCATTCTCTTGCCTCAGCCTCCAGAGTAGCTGGGACTATGAGTAGCTGGGTCTACAGGCGCCTGCCAACATGCCCGGCTAATTTTTTGTATTTTTAGTAGAGACGGGGTTTCACCACGTTAGCCAGAATGGTCTCGATCTCCTGACCCCGTGATCTGCCCGCCTCAGCCTCCCAAAGTGCTGGGATTGCAGGCATTAGCCACTGCGCCTGGCCATTTTGTATTTTTTTAGTAGAGACGGGGTTTCACCATGTTGGTCAGGCTGGTATTGAACTCCTGACCTCATGATCTGCCCGCCTCAGCCTCCCAAAGTGCTGGAATTACAGGCGTGAGCCACCGTGCCCAGCCTTCTAATTTTTGCAAAGGCAGTTTCAAACCTGTAACAGGAACTATGGGAATGACCAGAGGAAATGGCTCAGGAAAGAGATGTACAAAAGTGGGAGGAGGCCAGGTGTGGTGGCTCAAGCCTGTAATCCCAGCACCTTGGGAGACCAAAGCAGGGTGGATAGCCTGAGGTCAGGAGTTCGAGACCAGCCTAGCCAACATGGTGAAACCCCATCTCTACTAAAAATACAAAAATCAGCCGGGAGTGGTGGCGCATGCCTGTAATCCCCGCTACTCGGGAGGCTGAGGCAGGAGAATCGAATCGCTTGAAACCAGGAGGCGGGGGTTGCAGTAAGCCAAGATCACACCATTGCACTTTAGCCTAATGACAGAGCTAGACTCCTCCGTCTCAAAAAAAAAAAAGTGGGCGGAGATACAGGTTGCCACACCTGGAGTCCAGTCCATCCTCCACCAGCTCCCAGTAGCCTATGGGAGGGGCACAGGCATTGGTCCATTCATCCCCAAAGTGTGTCTTAGCCCGGATAACCTGTACTCAGTGATCCTGAGGATATAGATAGAGTGCCTGCCTACACAGGATTCTGGAGAAATCAACTGTTCAGAATAATGTTAGACCAGGATCTCTCCCCTGGAGAACCACGGACATCAGGGCCAGATTGTTCTCTGGGGTGGGCTATCCTGGGCACTGCAGGGTGGTAAGCAGCGTCCGTGGCCTCCACCCACTCCATGCCAGGAGCTTCCTTGCACCTTAGCTGTGACAATCACAAATGTTCCCAGACATCGCCCAGTGTTTCCTGGGTGCAGAATCACCCCTGGTTGAGACCGCCTGGGTAAGGGATTCCAAGAGCCCCCAAGAGACTGCATCCCATGATCCACCACCCTGCTGAGGTCCCAGGAGGCTGCCCACATTGAAATCCACACCCTGAGTGGGTAGGGAGAGAGAGGAGGTGAGTCCTAGGACCCCCAGGGTCCTCCTGGTTTACACTGTCTGGCCCATCAGGAGCTTCTCCTAGTTTTTTTTTTTTTTTTTTTTTTTGAGACAGAGTCTTGCTCTTGTTGCTCAGGCTGGAGTGCAGTGGCACAATCTCTGCTCACTGCCACCTCCGCCTCCCAGGTTCAAGCCATTCTGTTGCCTCAGCCTCCCGAGTAGCTGGGATTACAGGTGCCTGCCACCATGCCTGGCTAATTTTTGCACTTTTAGTAGAGACGGGGTTTCACCATGTTGGCCAGGCTGGTCTCGAACTCCTGACCTCAGGTGATCCGCCCCCCTCAGCCTCCCAAAGTGCTGGGATTACAGGCGTGAGTCACCGCTCCTGGCTGTCTGGGCCTGATAATTAAAAATGACTTGCATTCCTTAGATAAAAGTTCTTTTTTTTTCCACAAGGAAAATAATGTCAAGGTCAAAATAAGTATGTAGAGATGAATCTCTAAAGTTAATGTTTTATTTGGCAAGAAAGAATTGGAATTTGAGGCATACATGCAGACCAAAGAGGAGTCTGGGGTTTTATAGAAAAAGAGGAGTGTGGCTGGGCATGATGGTTTATGCCTGTAATCCCAGCACTTAGGAAGGCTGAGGTGGGAATATAACTTGAGATCAAGAGTTCGAGACCAGCCTGGCCAACATGGCGAGACCCTATCTCTACTAAAAATACAAAAATTAGCTGGGCACAATAGTGGGCACTTAGAATCCCAGCTACTTGGGAGGCTGAGGCGGGAGAATCGCTGGAACCTAGGAGGCGCTGGTTGTAGTGACTGGAGATCCCAGTCACTACTCCAGCCTAGGCGAGAGTAAGACTATGTCAATAAATAAATAAATAAATAAATAAAAAGACCAGCCTGGGTTACATAGCAGGACCGCATCTTTCCAACAACAAAGAAAAAGCCCATTGAGTTTTTTTTTTTTTTTTTTTTGAGACACAGTCTCACTCTGTCGCCCAGGCTGGAGTGCAGTGGCACGATCTCGGGTCACTGCAGCCTCTGCCTCCCGGACTCAAGTGATTTCTCCTGCCTCAGCCTCATGAGTAGCTGGGACTACAGGCACGAGTCACCACGCCCGGCTAATTTTTTGTATTTTTAGTAGAGACGGGGTTTCACCATGTTAGCCAGGATGGTCTCGATCTCCTGACCTCGTGATCCACCCGCCTCGGCCTCCCAAAGTGTTGGGATTACAAGCGTGAGCCACCGCACCCGGCCCCTGTTGAGATCTTGATCAACACTAAAGGGGCCGGGTGCGGTGGCTGATGCCTATAAATCTCCGAATTTCGAATTTCGGGAGGCTGAGGAGGGCGGATCACTTGAGTTTGAGATTAGGAGTTAGAGACCAGCCTGGCCAACATGGCGGAAATGCATCTCTACTAAAACTACAAAAATTAACCGGGCGTGGTGACTCGTGCCTGTAGTCCCAGCTACTCGGGAGGCTGAGGCAGGAGAAATCTCTTGAGCCTGGGAGGCAGAGGATGCAGTGACCCGAGATCGTGCCACTGCACTCCAGCCTGGGCGACAGAGCGAGACTGTGTGTCAAAAAACAAACCCCCCCACTCAAAAAAAAAACCCCAAAAAACAGTACAAGGCACTTGTACTTGACACTGAAAGGCTTTAATCACCAGGGGCTGTGGCAGTGACTGCGGGACTCTATTGCTGAGAGGAGGAAAGCATCGGAGGTCAAGTGACTCTCCCAACGTCACCCAGCAGGGAAGGGGTGGGGCAGGGCTGGAATCTGGCTGGGCAGGGAGGGTGTTGGTGTCCCCCGGGGACTTGGGGAGGTGCTGGTGGTGAAACCGCCTTTGCAAAATTATGACTGAGACAGTTAAAGAGATCTAACTTCACCGACTCCCTCTTCCTTCTAACCTCCAAGCTGTCCTTGTTCATCCCTGGGCATAGGCTGAACTAACTTTGGGAGAAACTTATAGTTTAATTAAATTAATTAATTAATTAATTAATTATTTTTTTGAGACGGAGTCTTGCTCTGTTGCCCAGGCCGGAGTGCAGTGGTGCAATATCGGCTCACTGCAACCTCTGCCTCCTGGGTTCAAGCGATTCTCCTACCTCAGCCCCCGCAGTAGCTGGGATTACAGGCGCCCGCCACCGCGCCCAGCTAATTTTTGTATTTTTAATAGAGACAGGGTTTCACCATGTTGGCCAGGCTGATCTCGAACTCCTGACCTCAGGTGATCTTCCCGCCTCGGCCTCACAAAGTGCTGGGATTACAGGCATGAGCCAGGGCTCCTGGCCGTGAGAGGGGGTTTCTCCATGTTGGTCAGGCTGGTCTCGAACTCCTGACCTCAGGTGATCTGCCCGCCTTGGCCTCCCAAAGTGCTGGGATTACAGGGGTGAATCACCGCGCCTGGCCTTTTTTTTTTTTTTTGTACCCAATAAACAGCATTGTTGTCGAATGAATACTGGACTTGGAGCTACAGCAAGTCCTGGACCGTGACTCTTATGGGGGGAAATTCGGATTTTTGGTTTTACTAAGCCGTGTGTGGGGAGGTGTCCGGCGTCCTCCTCCTGGGACGGGATTCGAACCCGCTATCCGACGGGCCCGCCCACAGGGTCTCCCCGGGTCCCCGCTTCGGGCCGGCGAGTGGGGGAAGGGGTCGGCCGAGGGCAACCGAGGACGTGCGTGCGTACGTTCGTGCGTGCGTGGATTCGGGCGGGCGGGCGAGTCCACGGGGCGGGGCGCCGAGGGGGTGGCGCGCGCGGGTCGGCCCGCTGGGCGGCGGGCACGCGCCGGCGTCTTCGCTCCGGGCTCCCCTAGCGCGCGGGGCGAGTGGTTCCGCCCGGCCCCCGGCTCATTGTGCTCGCTTCACGCCGGCCCAAGATGGCGGAGGCGCTGGAGGCCCCGGGCCTGTGACTACAAAGAGGGAGTCGGGGGCCGGGCCGGACCGGAGCGCGGCGGCGGCGGCGGCGGCGGCCGAGGCCGAGGCCAGGCCCCCTCCCCTCAGCCTCCCGCCCCTCCCTCCCGCCCGCCCTCCTCCGCCCACCGGCGGCCCCGCCCCTCCCCCAACCGCCCGCCTAGCATGGTGCGGCGGCCGCGCGCGCGGACATGGGGGAGAAGCTGGAGCTGAGACTGAAGTCGCCCGTGGGGGCTGAGCCCGCCGTCTACCCGTGGCCGCTGCCGGTCTACGTGAGTGCCGCCCTCCACCGTCCCTACCTCCCGGCCTCCCCTCCTCCGCCGCCCCTGGGGACACCCCAAACCCCCCCAAGCCGCGCTCACCGGTCCCCCCTGCGGAACGGAGACCCTGGACTCCACTGTCGCTGCTCCACCCCCGTTGCTTCCCGGCCGAGGGCCCCGCGGCTGTTTCCCGCAGGGTGGGAGCCCCGCGCGCCTGGGGTGGGAGCGGGAGCCGGCGCCCCCGAGCCCTACCGCGGTGCCGTTGCCCCCGCCGGGCTGTCCCGGGCGCGGAACGGAAGGGGTAACTCGTGCCGGCCGCGTTTTGACTGGAAGCCCGCCCGCCCGCCCCGCTCGTTCCCGGCGCTGTCAGTGTGTCCGCCGCCTTATTTTTCTTTTTGAGGGCATCCTTTCCTGTCTCCTCTTCTCTTCTTTTTAAAAATTGGGCGTTTGTCACGCTTTTCCTACTCGGGCACGGCGGGCCCGACCCTGCGAAGGTGGGAGTTAACGTCCCCTTGAGTGGGCGGGAGCGGTCTGACCTTTGGAAATGGGGAATTTTTGTCCCCGTAATTTTGAGTGGGTATGGGCTGCCCTGGCCCTGGGAAATTAGGCATCTTTGACCTGTTAATCCTAGTTGGTTGGGGACAGGCTTTATTTATCCTTGGAAATTGGGACTTCTCCCCGATCTTGAGTGGGCAGGATTGGGCTCACCCCCGGAGTTAGTAAATTTTGTCTTCTTCATCTTGGTGACCGTTGGAAAATGACAGGCCGGGTGGAATGTTACAGAGGCACCCCACCGGGTGGTTCCAGAAACCCGCGTGCGGCTCCCGGGGTGCGAGTCCCGGCGTGGCCCCTGAGGAGGCGGGGCGCGTGCGTCCGCGCTTGGGACCCTCTGGCCACGCTCCGGGCTGGGCAGGGCGCGTTTTCGGGGAAAAGTGAAGCAGGCGCTGTCAGCGAGCGTGTCCGGGGCGCGAGTTTTGGGGGGCGCGTCTGCAGGGCCCGGCCGGGCATCCCCGCGCGCCCTGGGACTCCCGCGCGCGCTGGGCTTGTGTCAGTTTTTGGAAACGTGCTCGCTGGGGGCGGGGTCAGGACGCGGAGAGCGCTGGGGAGCCCGGGCTGGCTCACTGCCCCGGGTCGGTGCGAGTGGATGGGAGAGGGAGCGCAGCTTCCAGCCTGGCCGCACGTCCCGCGCGCGGGGCTGGCGGGGTAGGGCCCTGGGGCTCTGGCTTCTCTGGTTGGGCAGCTCCGGGTGTGCGCCTGGGCGGCCTGAGCCGGGATCCCGCCAGGAGAGGTCCTAGGACAAAAACTGAAAGCAGAGGCCGCGCTTCAGCGCCCCGACCGGTTTCCTCCCTCGAAAGTTCAAACTCCAGAACCCTTCCAGCCTCCACTTCTCTCTGTTGGGCTCTCATCGTTTTAGGTGGTAGAAGGCATATGACCATAAGAGTTCTAACTGTAACTGACTGAAGATCAATTGAGGTGGCTTACCACCGTCCGACCAGCCCCAGTACATGGCTTCACATTTTTTTTTTTTTTTTTGAGACGGAGTCTCGATCTGTCGCCAAAGCTGGAGTGCAGCGGCGCGATCTCGGCTCGCTGCAAGCTCCGCCTCCCGGGTTCACGCCATTCTCCTGCCTCAGCCTCCCCAGTAGCTAGGACTATAGGCGCCCGCCACCACGCCCGGCTAATGTTTTTTGTGTTTTTAGTAGAGACGGGGTTTCACCGTGTTAGCCAGGATGGTCTCGATCTCCTGACTTCGTGATCCACCCACCTCGGCCTCCCAAAGTGCTGGGATTACAGGTGTGAGCCACCGCGCCCGGCCCACATTTATATGTTATGTTATGTTATGTTATGTTGTTATTTTTGGAGTCGGAGTTTCGCTCTTGTTGCCCAGGCTGGAGTGCAATGGTGCGATCTCGGCTCACTGAAACCTCAGCCTCCCGGGTTCAAGCGATTCTCCTGCCTCGGCCTCCCTGGTAGGTGGGATTACAGGCATGCGCCACCACACCCTGCTAATTTTGTATTTTTAGTAGAGACGGGGTTTCTCCATGTTCATCAGGCTGCTCTTGAACTCCTGACCTCTGGTGATCCGCCTGCCTCGGCCTCCCAAAGTGCTGGGATTACAGGCACGAGCCACCTCGCCTGGCCTCACATTTATTTATTTATATTTATTTATTTTTTGAGAGGAAGTGTTGCTTTTGTTGCCCAGACTGGAGTGCAGTGGTGCCATCTCTGCTCACTGCATCGTCTGCCTCCCGGGTTCAAGCGATTCTCCTGCCTCAGCCTCCTGAGTAGCTGGGATTACTGGCATGAGCCACCACGTCCGGCTAATTTTGTATTTTTAGTAGATACCAGGTTTCTTCATGTTGGCTAGGCTGGTCTCGAACTCCTAACCTCAGGTGATCCGCCTGCCTTGGCTTCCCAAAGTGCCGGGATTACAGGGGTGAGCCACCGCACCTGGCCTCACATTTATTCGTATATCTTCCTCTTTCAGTTCACCTAGGGCGTAGTTCGCTGGTTGCAGGGTACAGTTCTATACGTTTTGACAAACTCATTGGGTGGTGCCCTGACCAGTGCTGCCGTCCAGGTGCAGAACCCCCAGCTTCCCTGCGGCGCCCCCATCCTCAGCTTGCCTGGGAGCTCCTGGCTGCTCCCCACCTGGCCTTACCTGTAGTTCTGCCATTCTCAGAAAGTTGGCTGAATGGAATCAACAGCATGTTGCCCTTTGGTCCTGGTGGCTTTCAGGCGGCCAAATCCGTGTTGCTGCAGGTTTCAAAAGTTACCCCATTTTTTTGCTGACTGTAAATCCATTGGACAGTTGGGCCACAGATTGTTGACGTGTTTGCCTGTGGGTCACAGGACTGTGGGCTGTTTCCAATTTTTGGTGATTAGAATAAACCCGCACTAAACACCACTGGCGGGATTTTTGGTGAAAGTCAGTGTTCGCGTGGCGAGGTTCTCAGGGGTGGACCGCACGGCCTGTGCTAAGCGTCTGTTTAACATCTGCATCCCAACAGTTGCCACTTGTCAGTGCTAAGAAACCCACTGGAACCCAGCGTCGGGGCCTGGGGTAGTGGTCTTGCCAGGGACCCTTTGCCTTTTCCTTGGTACTGAAGTGAACATTCACGTGAAGGCAGCCCTGGTGTCCCCGCCCGCATGCCTGCTGCCCTGCCTGGCCAGTGCTCCATTGTAAATAGTAAGGGCGAGAGCTGGCGGGAGCGGGCTTTCTAGTGGTGGGCGGGACTGTGCCGTGTCTTTCCCTCCCTGGCCAGGCCCTGGCTTGGCAGGGTGTGCTGGTCCTGGCGCCGTCTACGGCCTCTTCCTGCTCTGGTTGGCCCACTGCCGGGCCCAGCATCTTCATTCGCCCAAGTGCCAGAGGCAGCCTTCTGACAACCTCGCCGTGACATTTGTCATTTTCTGTGTTCCCGTTGAGGAATTTTGCTTTCTCACAAGAAGTGAGGGGTGGTTCTGATTTTCTTTTCTTTTCTTTTTTTTTTTTTTTTTTTGAGACAGAGTCTTGCTCTATCGCCCAGGCTGGAGTGCAGTGGCACAATCTCCACTCACTGCAAGCTCCGCCTCCCAGGTTTCAGTGATTCTCCTGCCTCAGCCTCCCCAGTAGCTGGGATTACAGACCTGTGCCACCATGCCTGGCTTATTTTGTATTTTTAGTAGAGACAGGGTTTCACCATATTGGCCAGGCTGGTCTCAAACTCCTGACCTCAGGTGATCCGTCCACCTCGGCCTCCCAGAGTGCTGGGATGACAGGCGTGAACCACCGTGCCCAGACGCAGCTGCAGCAGCACATTTATTCATGATTCATTCCAACAGCAGCTACTGAATACTCAGTGTTGTGGGGGCACAGAGGACAACAAGCCAATATTCTCCCCCCGCCACCGCCCCAGCATTCTTAGTCTCAAGAAACCTGTCAAATGAAGACAGGCCGGGCACAGGGGCTCATGCCTGTAGTCCCTGCACTTTGGGAAGCCCAGGCGGGAGGATTGCTTGAGCCCAGGAGTTTGAGACAAGCCAGGGCAACATAGGGAGACTCCATCTCTACCAAAAAATTTAAAACAGTGAAGTTAAGTAGATTATAAATAGAAGTTCAGCAGAGATACTGTGCTGAGTACAAGGTCAGCTGAGGTCCCCAGGGAGGGGCTGCCACTTCTGCCCTGGGGGACCTGTGGGTGGCTGCTTGGAGGAGGGGCCATCCGGAGGAGGAAGCAGAAATAGCCACAACTGTCCACGCTCGGAAATGAGCAGTTCGGAAGGGGTTTGCCCAATTGGCAAACGCAAGGGGGAGGAAGGGAGATTTTTATTCTTACATGACCTGGGAGTTCCTGGATAACCGCTTTTCTCAAGCCCCGCATGGCATTTCTTATTTTTTTGAGAGGGAATCTCGTACTGTTGCCTGGGCTGGAGTACAACGGTGTGATCTCGGTTCACTGCAACATCTGCCTCCTGGGTTCAAGTGATTCTCCTGTCTCAGCCTCCCCAGTAGGTGGGACTACAGGCACCCGCCACCACGCCCAGCTAATTTTTTGTATTTTTAGTAGCGACAGGTTTTCACTATGTTGGCCAGGCTGGTCTCGAACTCCTGACCTTGTCATCTACCTGCCTGGGCCTCCCAGAGTGCTAGGATTACAGGCATGAGCCACCGTGCCTGGCCCTGCGTGGTATTTCTAGGGCAGGATGGCCCTGCCCTTCTTCTAGTGGGAAGGGCACAAGTGGCATTATTGGTTGTTTGCTCGGAAAGAACCTTCAAAGGCCACAGAACGGGACCTTCCCCCTGGTGACTCACAGGCTGTGGGCGGGCAGGGGCGGCCTCCACTGGCCAAGGGTCCGGACTCTCTGACTCTCATTAATGAGTGAGTACATGTTCCGCCTGACAGCCTGGCCTGGAGCCCGGCTGTGGGCGGCGGTGAGTGGGCAGCCAGCAGTGAGTAGCAGCCGGGGCGGGGTGAGCTGTCCCCACCGTGACTCAGAAGGTATTTTCTGCTGCTGACCTCTGAGCTTGAGTGTCCTGAGTAATCCCAGCTCCCCCGGAGGCAGATTAACCTTTAGGCAGCTTTGTGTGAGTAAAGGAGTCGCTTTAAATAGGAAGGAATAATAGAAAAAACCCAAGTGTTCCGTTTTATAGCAAATGCACACTGCTTTGTTCCTGCTGGCCTGAAAGAGGTTGCAGGGGGTACTGGGGCGGGGAATTGTCCAGAAACTCTGCAGATGATACAGGGACACTCCAGCCTAGCCTCTGAGGAGAGTTTTTTTTGAGACGGACTCGCTCTGTCTCCCAGGCTGGAGTGCAGTGGCCCAATCTCGGCTCACTGCAGCCTCCGCCTCCTGGGTTCAAGTGATTCTCCTGCCTCAGCCTCCCGAGTAGCTGGGATTACAGGTGTGAGCCACCACGCCCAGCTCTTTTTTTCCTTTAAAAATCTGCTTGTTATCTGCTGCTCATCAGAGTGTATATTTGGGGTAATTCGAGCCTGTGCTCCCAGGTTGCAGTCCTCAAATGTGGCCCAAATAAATGCTCCACTTATATTAATTTTGCTCCAGTTCCTTTCCTTTAGCTCGACAGTGTGAATCTACAATTATCTTAAAATAAAAAGTTTAATTAAAAAAAACACACGGTTGCCCAGGCACGGTGGCTCATGCCTGTAATCCCGGCACTTTGGGAGGCCAAGGCGGGCAGATCACCTGCGGTCAGGAGTTCGAGACCAGCTTGGCCAACATGACGAAACCCCGTATTTACCAAAAATACAAAAATTAGCTGGGCGTGGTGGCGGTTGCCTATAATCCGGAGAATTGCTTGAACCCGAGAGGGGGAGGCTGCAGTGAGCTGAGATCATGCCATTACACTCCAGACTGGTCGACAGAGTGAGACTCTGTCTCAAACAAACAGACAAAATTAGATAAAGGAAAAAAGAATTTTTGTTCAAGTAATATTGGCCATTGATGGCTGCAAATCACTCTTGGTGTTACAGATTCCAGGAACAGGAAGATAGTGTCCGAGACCAGGATGCAGGAACAGATAGATGCCTTTCCACGCTTGCCCCTGGTGTGGTTGGGAGGCGTGACTGAAATCCTTGCTCTTGTCTCTCTGGACCTGATGCATTTTGCATGCCTCACTGGGCACGGACTGCTTGGAGCTGTTTTTATCTTCCAGCAGTGTGAGGTGTAGGAAGGACCCAACACGGTTCCTCCTGTGCTCTCCGCAGTCAACACAGAGGAGTTGCGGAACCAGATACGGGTACCCGGGGATTCATCAGTTCTGTGTTTCCTACTGGGCAGCCCCGATTCAACTCACTTCCAGCATGTCTACCTCGACACAGGCTCAGATCCCACGGGGTAAGGGCTCAGTCCCCAAGACTCCCCCACTTTCCATGCCAGTTAGAGGCCTCACGTTGTGACCTGTGCTTCTGAGTGACCGGTCGGCTGTAAATCCAGGTTCCCGTCACCCTTACCTCGGCTTGATTACATTGCCTCAGTGGCTCACAGAACTCCCGAGAAACACTTAGGTCCTTTGGTTAATGATAAAGGACGATCTGTGGGATGCCCATGAATACTGAGAAATGGATCCTCAGGGCAAGGCATGGGGGAAGGGCCCACTCCCTCCAGGAGTCTCCCGGAACGTGTGTCTCCCGGGACCTGTCCCCCTCCAGGAGTCTCCTGGAACCTGTCCCCCTCCAAGAGTCTCCCAGAACCTGTCCTTTAGAGTGTTGTTTCTCTCATTATTTTTGGGATAGGGTCTTGCTTTGTCACCCAGGCTGGAGTGCAGTGGCTCGATATCTGCTGACTGCATTCTCCGCCTCCCAGGCTGAAAGGATTCTCTTCCTTCAGCCTCCTGAGTAGCTGGGATTACAGGCATGAGCCACCACGCCTGGCTAAATTTTGTATTTTTTGGTGGGGCCTTGCTGTGTTGCCCCAGGCTAGTGGTAACTTTGATAAGCTTTGGGCCTCAGCCTCAGGCTGTGTGGTGGGGTCTAAGGTACAGCAGGGGCCCCAGAGGAGTCCTCCAGGGGAAGGACTGCGAGAATGCTGTGGCACTGGCAGAGCCTTTTACCTGGAGGATCCCTGCATTGAGCCCTTCTGGTCCCGAATTGTACTGAGCCCTCTTCTTCCTGCCTGTAGGCTGAAAGAATGAATTCCTGGCCCTGGAAGGTTCAAACAGCAGTTCTCAGGGGTGGAGGTGGCTCTGCCCCCAGGGGACACCTGGTGGCGTCTAGAGACCTTTGCGGTTGTCACCACCGGGGTGGGGGAAGCCCAAGGATGCTGCTCATCACTCACAGAGCTTGGGGCAGCCCCACCACCGAGGGCGGGCCAGGAGACGCCAAGAGCTGTGCCTTTCATCGCCTGGGGTCCCGGGCACCGACCGCCGCCGGGTGTCGCTCCGTGTTCGTGTACATGCCTTCTCCTGGGGGTAGCCCTGCTTTTATTTCCTGAGTGCTTCCTGGGACCATGCATGTCCGGCAGGCCCTGGCCAAGATCCAGGCTTGCTGCGTGCAGTCCCCGCCCACTGTGTCCCCCTGAGGGAAGGACCTGAGGTGAAGTTAGCGTAATGGGAGTGTATTTGGGCCTCGTTTGCGGGCTGCAGCTCTGGAGACACAGATTCAAGTGCCCAGAATGTATGCGCGGCAGTTACAAGTGGGGCTTCCTGGAGAAAAGAAGGGGCGGCTTTTGCATTGGAATCACAGAAGTGATTGCCCGGCTCCACGTCCTTCCTGGTATCTCAGACTCCAGGGACGTGAAGATAACAGATGGTCACATTGTGCAAATAGTGATAACCTTGTAGGTAATTCATCAGCTAGTGTGGAAACCCCAGGGGAGGAAAGAAGGCCCTGGGAGGGAGTGACTGAAACTCACTTGGAGGCTCTCTGGGCCTGTGGAGTTCTGCACAGCATGCAGCTCCCACTCCTCGGACGCACTTTTCTTTTTTGTTTTCTTTTCTTTCCTTTTTTTTTTTTTTGAGACGGAGTCTCGCTCTGTGGCCCAGGCTGGAGTGCAGTGGCGCGATCTCTGCTCACTGCAAGCTCCGCCTTCAGGGTTCAAGTGATTCCCCTGCCTCAGCCTCCCGAGTAGCTGGGACTACAGGCGCCCGCCGCCACGCCCAGCTAATTTTTTGTATTTTTAGCAGAGATGGGGTTTCACCATGTTAGCCAGGATGGTCTCGATCTCCTGACCTCATGATCCACCCGCCTTGGGCTCCCAAAGTGCTGGGATCACAGGTGTGAGCCACCGTGCCCGGCCAGCCACTTTTCTTTCTTTCTTTTTTTTTTTTTGAAGACAGAGTCTCACTCTTTTTACTCAGGCTGGAGTGCAGTGGCGCCATCTCGGCTTACTGAAACCTCCGCCTCCTGGGTTCAAGCCATTCTCCTGCCTCAGCCTCCCGAGTAGCTGGGATTACAGATGTGTGCCACCAGGCCCAGCTAGTTTTTGTATTTTTAGTGGAGACGGGGTTTCACCATGTTAATCAGGCTGGTCTCAAACTCCTGACCTCGTGGTCTGCCTGCCCTGCCTCCCAAAGTGCTGGGATTACAGGCGTGAGCCACTGCGCCTGGCAATATTTTTCCTCTTTTTTTTGAAATAACATCCTTGTTGTGACAGTTCACGTATCATAAAGTTCACCTGTTTTAGGCTGGACGTGAGAATGGCATGAACCCAGGAGGCGGAGCTTGCAGTGAGCTGAGATCGTGCCACTGCACTCCAGCCTGGGCAACTGCGCGAGACTCCATCTCAAAAAAAAAAAAAAAGTTCACCCGTTTTAAGTGTACATTTCAGTGTGTTTTAGTATATTCACAGATTGTGCAGTCGTCACCATTGTCTAATTCCAGAACGTTCTAATCACCCCAAAAGGAAACGCTGCCGCCTCAGCAGTCAGTGCTGGTCTCCCCTAGCGTCCTGGAGCGTTTTTCCCTGCATGGAGGCCCACGAGTCCCGCGCTTTCCTCCTTCCCTGTCACGCTGTGGCTTTAGGAGGCCCACGAGTCCCGCGCTTTCCTCCTTCCCTGTCACGCTGTGGCTTTGGCCTCAGGCTAGAGGGTCGGTGTCTGTCAGCCTGTGCTCAGACGAGGGCGAGGAGAGTTCTGGTCAGCGCGTCCAGCCTCCCTCCTGTGTTGCTTTGCTGCTGGAAAAAGAGGGTCCTGATGCAGACCCCAAGAGAGGAGAGAACTCGAGGTGAGCCGCGGATCACAGTGAGAGCAGCCACCAAGCCGCTTCCTTACACAGCGGGCCTCCCTGACAGAGCAGGGCGTCCTCGGGGAGCAGGCAGAGGGTGCCTGCTCTTCCTTAGCGCCTCCGTCTGTGAGAAACGGCCAGGGTTGCGAGTAAACCTGGAACGTGCAGACACTCACTGGAGGCCAGCCGGGTGGTGCCATCCGACCACCCTTCAAGCCCAGCCTGCTCACCGGCCCTCTCAGTACAGCGGGCACGGGTTCTGCGGGCTGCCCGGAAGACCTCCCCCAGACCCATAGATGCTCTGTGTCCTTGGTGGGCAGCTCATAAGTGTGAACCTTCCCGGTACCTTGCGAGTGCCTCACTACGCACTTCAAGACGGGGTCGCTCCGGTTGTGTTTTATGAAACCAGAGGCCTGGTGAGCTGAGCTTCCTCTCACAGCTTCACAGCAGCCTGTGTGGGTGGCCTCAGCCCTCCTGAGCCCCTCCAGTGTCGAGTTGCTTTGACTGTTTCCAGGGAACTCCTTTGGTTGTTGCGTAGCTTGGGCTGTTTGTTTGTTTGTTTGAGACAAACTCTGTCACCCGGGCTGGAGTATTGGAGTTTAGTGGCGTGATCATAACAGTGCAACCTTGAACTCCTGGCTCAAGCGATCCTTCCACCTCAGCCTCCTAAAGTGCTAGCACTACAGGCGTGCACAGCTGTGCCCAGCCAGCTGGGGCTGTTGCACATGGGCTAGTTATTATCAAGTCAGCTGAAGCCTTGTCAGCCATCCTTGGTCTGAGCTCTCCCTGGCTCTCGGGCAGCACCGTCTTCCTCCTGTGGAGGTCTGAGTCCCCTTTTCACACTGCCCTTGATCCTACAGACAGATGCTCAGCCAGGAAGCAACATGCTCTGATGTCCAGGCCCAGCTCTGCTGTGAAGTAGCTGCATGGACTTGGGCCAGGGCCTGTGTGGACCTTGGGTTGAGGGTCAAGTCTAAAAATGCTCTGTCAGGTTGGGCACAGTGGCTCACATCTGTAATCCCAGGACTTGGGGAGGCCGAGGCGGGCAGATCACCTGAGGTTGGGAGTTTGAAACCAGCCTGACCAACGTGGAGAAACCCCGTCTCTGTTAAAAATACAAAATTAGCTGGGTGTGGTGGCGCACGCCTGTAATCCCAGCTACTTGGGAGGCTGAGGCAGGAGAATCGCAAAAGCTAAGATAAATTTTGTTTTTTTCTTTTTTTAGAGATGGGGTCTTGCTGTTCACCCAGGCTGGAGTGCAGTGGTGTGATCACAGCTCACTGCAGCCTTGAACTCCTGGGCTCAAGTGATCCTCCCACTTCAGTCTCCCAAACAGCTGAGACTACAGGTGTACCTGTCATGCCCAGCTAGTTAAAAAAAAAAAAAAGCAAAAACTTTTTTTGAAGAGATGAGGGTCTCAATATGTTGTCCAGGCTGATCTCAAACTCCTAGCTTCAAGCAGTCCTCCCGCCTCAACCTCCCAGAGTGCTGGGATTACAGGCATAAGCCATTATGTCTGATCTCTTTTTAAGTTTTTAAATATATGTGTGTGTGTGTGTGTGTGTGTGTGTGTGTGTGTGTATATATATATTTTTTTTTTTTTAGATGGAGTCTTGCTCTGTTGCCCAGGCTGGAGTGCAGTGGCGCCATCTCGGCTCACTGCAAGCCCCGCCTCCCGGGTTCATGCCATTCTCCTGCCTCATCCTCCCAAGTAGCTGGGACTACAGGCGCCCACCACCACGCCCGGTTAATTTTTTATATTTTTAGTAGAGACAGGGTTTCACTGTGTTAGCCAGGATGGTCTCGATCTCTTGACCTCATGATCCTGCCCGCCTTGGCCTCCCAAAGTGCTTGGGGATTACAGGCGTGAGCCATGGCGCCTGGCCGATATTTTGTATCTTTTTAAGAGTTGAGGTCTTGCTATGTTGCCCAGGTTAGAGTGCAGTGACGATCATGATTCACTGTGGCCTCAAACTCCTGGGCTCCAGTGATCCTCCTGCCTCAGCCTCCTAAGTTGCTGGGACCCCAGGCATGGGCCACTGCATCTGGCCAAGGAGATAAATTTTCATAACTTATTTAACCAAGTATAACTGGAATATTATCATTTTATCATGTAATTAAAAAATTGTTCTGGCTGGACGCAGTGGCTCACGCCTATAATCCCAGCACTTTGGGAGGCTGAGGTGGGTGGATCATCTGAGGTCAGGAGTTCAAGACCAGCCTGGCCAACGTGATGAAACCCCATCTCTACTAAAAATACAAAAAATTAGCCAGGCGTGGTGGCTGACGCCTATAATCCCAGCTACTCAGGAGGCTGAGACGGGAAAATCGCTTGAACCCAGGAAGTGGAGGTTGCAGTGAGCCGAGACTGCGCCATTGAACCTGGGAGGTAGAGGTTGCAGTGAGCCGAGACCACACCACTGCACTCCAGCCTCGGCAACGAGCAAAACTCCGTCTCAAAAAAAGAAAGGAACTCCCACACGAGCTGGAAGCCAGCACTGGGCTCTTCCGCACAGAGGCTCCCACCCATAGACCAGGAGTACGAACCCAACCGTGCTGCTCTAGACATGGGCCCTGGGATGATCACCCAACCTCTGTGTCCCGGCTCTGCCTGTCCCCTGGGCTCTCCAGGAACAGGTCTGTGCTGGAAACGCCTCTTGGCCGAGGCTGCTTTTACTAGACATCCACTCTCAGTTGGGGGTCCTCCAGGCCCTGCACACCCACCCACCATGAGAGGGAATGTCACCGCTTGGCCTTTGGGATTCAGAAAAACCTGGTGAAGTCTGCACAAAGCCCTGTCCCCCAGCCCTCGGTCCACACAGCATCCCACACCACAAGGCACCTCTGGACAGGAGGCAGTGCGAGCAAGAGGGGACAGGGGCAGTAACTCGGGGTGCACTGCCTGGTGGGGACACTGTCTCCCTAGCTGTGAATGACAGGGAATGAGGCACAAGGACGAAACAGGCGTGGGGCAGAGGGCACGGCTCGCGGGAGTTGCAGAGCGAGTTCACCCTGCTACTGCTTCTGCGGGGCACTCATTTTTAGAAGTACACTTACGTGGCCCCCAAAATAATGTCACGCTGCCAAGGAGAGCAGGCAAGGGCAGGTGACACCGCTGTCAATCAGAGCATTTCCAGCCCTCACACCTGTGAGTCATCTGGCTCCCAGGAACATTCTCTGTTCCAGTAAGGCCTGCGCCTGTGAGAAGCGCTTGGCTGAATCCTAGGAAGGGGGACTTGGGCCGACAGCCCCCTCCAACCTGCGCAGCCTCAGGACACTCAAACCACAGCTGCAAACACTGCCAGCCAGACATGCAGCTCCCGCGGCCACCACTTTGAGACAGCGACTCCCTGTGACAAGAAAACTCTGAAACCAGGCGAGGCAGGGCCCTCTGTCAGATGATCACTGGGGAAGACGCTATGGACAGACAGGAACTTCTGGGACCACAGCAGGCTGGAATTCCAGCTTGAGGAGGGAGAGGGGAACCCTGCCGTGGGCCCTGACAGTGAGCAGGAGGAAAGGGGTCTCACAGAAGCAGGACCCCGATATGAGGGAGCAGGCCCAGCACCCCTTCCTCCCGCCCCCAGCCCCTATCCAGAGAGCAGGCTGGCCCTCTGGGTCTCGCTTCAGATGCGTAGAACCCAGTGCTTCCGGCTGCACCCTGCAACATCCCGCAGCAGTCTGTGGGGGTCCGCAGGAAGAAGACTCCCCCGTGAGGGGGAGCTCTGTGGAGCGGCACTGTCCTGACGGCAGCCACTAGCCACTCGGCTGTGGGCACCCGACATGTGGCTGGCGGGAAGGAGCTGTGCAGAGCACAGAACATACAGGAAACGACCAGGTGTGCTGCACTCGCCCCACACACGCAGTCAAATCACGCAGGAACAATTTTTTTTTTTTGGGAGAAAAAGTTTTGCTCTTGTCGCCCAGGCTGGAGTGCAATGCCGCGATCTCGGCTCACTGTAACCTCTGCCTCCCGGGTTCAAGCAAGTCTCCTCTCTCAGCCTCCCTAGTAGCTGGAATTACAGGCACCCGCCACCACACCCAGCTAATTTTTGTATTATTAGTACTACTAACAATTTTTATATTATTAGTGGTAATAATTTTTGTATTACTAGTGATAGAGCTAATATTTGTGTTATTAGTATTCGCCACGTTGGCCAGGCTGGCCTCGAATTCCTGACCTCATGATCTGCGCCCAGCTCGTGTTGAAGTTCTTTAGCCACCTTTGAGCAAGGGACCCTATTTTCACTTTGTCCGGGGCCTGCAAGTTCTGCCTGCTCCCTCGCCAACCCTCGCCAGCCCTGCTCTCCGCTCTGCCCAGCCCCGGCTCTTGCCTCCTCCTATTTCTTTTTCCTTTTTTTTTTTGAGCTGGAATCTCACTCTGCTGCCCAGATTGGAGTGCAGTGGTGCGACCTTGGCTCACTGCAAGCTCTGCTTCCTGGGTTCAAGAGATTCTCCTGCCTCAGCCACTGAGTATCTTGGATTACAGGTGTGTGCCACCACACCTAGCAATTTTTTTTTTTTTTGAGATGGATTCTCACTCTGTATCCCAGGCTGGAGTGCAGTGGTGCAGTCTCAGCTCACTGCAACCTCTGCCTCCTGAGTTCAAGTGAATCTCCTGGCTCAGCCTCCTGAGTAGCTGGGATTACAGGCACGCACCACCATGCCCAGCTAATTTTTTTTTTTTTTGTATTTTTCATAGAGATGGGGTTTCACTGTGTTAGCCAGGCTGGTCTTGAACTCCTGACCTCGAGTGATCCACCCGCCTCGGCCTCCCAAAGTGCTGGGATTACAGGTGTGAACCACCATGCCTGGCCATTTTTTTTTTTTTTTTGGTATTTTTTTGTAGAGATGGCGTTTCACCATGTCTTTGGGAGGCCAAGGCAGACAGCTCACTTGAGGCCAGGAGTTTGAGACCAGCCTGGCCAACATGGTGAAACCTTGTCTCTACCAGAAAAAAAAAAAAAACAAAAAATCTCCAAAACACACTTCACTTTGAAATTTTTTTTTTTTTTTTTTTTGAGACGGAGTCTTGCTCTTTTGCCCAGGCTGGAGTGCAGTGGCGCGATCTTGGCTCACTGCAAGCTCCGCTTCCCGGGTTCACGCCATTCTCCTGCCTCTGCCTCCCGAGTAGCTGGACTACAGGCACCCGTCACTACGCCTGGCTAACTTTTTGTATTTTTTAGTAGAGATGGGGTTTCATTGTGTTAGCCAGGATGGTCTTGATCTCCTGACCTTGTGATCCACCCGCCTCAGCTGGCCTCCCAGAGTGCTGGGATTACAGGTGTGAGCTACCGCGCCCGGCCACGCCCAGCTAATTTTTTCTATTTTTAGTAGAGACGGGGTTTCACCTTGTTAGCCAGGATGGTCTCTATCTCCTGACCTCGTGATCCACCTGCCTCAGCTTCCCAAAGCGCTGGGATTCCAGGTGTGAGCCACCACGCCAACCCCTAAAGTGGTTTTAGACTTAGAAGAAAGTTGCAAAGCACCGCACAGACTTTCTATGTGGCTTTATTTCATCACAGTACCCTGATCCGAACCAGGAGGTGGACGGAGCTGTGGCCTCAGTGGCATATACGTCCCATCCCATCATTGCCATGAGCCCTTGTGTCTCCTGTCTCCCCTATCTAGGCTGATCCCTCAGTGCATAAGGAAAGCTGGGGGGGGGTCTCCTATGGTCTGGCCTTTGGAGGAGAGCCAGCTGGGGTCTCTGTGTGGCACCCCTCAGTCAGGCTTGGCTGCTTCTCTCAGGGTTATACTGAGGTTCTGCATCCTGGCAGGAGCCCCACAGATGGGGTTGCGTCCCGCTGGGCCTTGGGAGGCTCGTGGCGGCTGCGTGTCTCACTGTGATGACGCTGGCCTTGTGTTTCGTCAGGTGGTGTCCACAGGTGCCCTGCTGGTTGCTTTTTCTCTGCCCTGGGAGAGGCTCGCTGAGGCTGCACGGCTGCCTGGGAGAGGCTCGCTGAGGCTGCACGGCTGCCTGGGCGGCCTCTGACGCGCCCTGTGGACTGCAGCATCCAGGGGATCGCGTCTGCAACTCTTATTGCTTTGGCGTTTACCTATTGGGGATTTAAAAAAAAATTGTTCATTTTTATAAAAAAGACATGGGCTGGCTGGGCACGGTGGCTCAGGCCTGTAATCCCAATACTTTGGGAGGCTGAGGTGGGCGGATCACCTGAGGTAAGGATTTCGAGACCAGCCTGATCAACATGGAGAAACCCTGTCTCTACCAAAAATACAAAGTTAGCCAGGCGTGGTGGCTCATGCCAGTAATCCCAGCTACTCGGGAGGCTGAGGCAGGAGAATCCCTTGAACCTGGGAGGTGGAGGTTGCAGTGAGCCGAGATTGCACCACTTCACTCCAGCCTGGGCGACAAACAAACAAACAAACAGAAAAAAGACATGGGCTCTCGCTGTTTCCCAGGCTGGCCTCGAACTCCTGGCTCAAGTGATTCGCTCCCTGCACCCAGCCTGTTGTGGGTTTATATCAGCACAGTAGCACGCAGACGCGACGAAAGTGCACGTGTCCTGGTGGCGTGCACTTGGTCTCTGATTCTCGGTGATGGGTGTGGAGTCGGAGAGGCTTGGGTGGCCCTGCTGGGTGTGAACCTGCCTTTGACATTGGCCTTGTAGAGGGAGCGAAGGGCAGGGTGCTGGACGGGGAGGGATCTGTGTTAGGCCAAGGACCTTGGTTTTAGTTGTGGCAGGTTCTGGGCTATGGCGAGGCCGCCCACGTGGGCTAGCCCAGTGGTTTTTTTCCCATGGTACAGTTGGGGAAACAGGCCCCGTGGAGGCTCTATCACCTGCGGTCACATACCAGGCCTTTGCCAACGCAGGACTCCCAGCCAGGCTGGAGCTCCCTGGCTGGAGCAGCGTCGGGAGAATTCCCGGTGGGCCTGCGGAGCGCGGTCTGAGGGACTTGGGCTGTGTTGAGGGATCAACTGACCTCCAGGGAAAAAATGGGGAGACATGTGGAGCGGAGCTTGGGGCGGCCGTTTGCTTTAGGGTGGGAGAGGAGCAGGACCGGGGGCCATAGACTCCATCCCAGGCCGCTGCCTGCTCGCTGCCTGTAGTAGGACACAGCGTGCCAGAATAGGTCCCCGGCAAGGTCTGTGTTCCCTTCGTGGTCCAGGGTCTGGGAGTGTCTCTGGTGGTACCCGCTGGGTGGTGGGCTTGGGAGCTGCACCAGTTGGGAAATGAAGAGATGGGAAGTTGACGGCATCGCTTGTCCGGGAAGAGAGCGATGGGCTCACGGGGTGGAGGATGGCTCTGCGTCTCAAACTTCTCTCTCTGTTTCAGGATAAACATCACGATGCTGCTCATGAAATCATCGAGACCATCCGGTGAGTGCACGGCCTGCAGTGTGTTGTCTTCACAGCCCTGAGCCACTTCCGTGGACACCCGTGCCCTGCAGATTCTGTTGTGGGGATGGCTCCTGCAGGGGTGGACTCCTGGAGGTGTTGTGAAGCGGATCAGGGGTGACTCAGGGACGGGTAGAGCTGCTTCTCCCAGCTCCATTCCTGGCCAGTGGGTGCAGAAGTCTTGAGCTGCTGGGGTGTCCAGTGGGTCCTCCAGGGGCGTTGCCCTGCCTTCCTCTGTCTCCTTGTCAGTCTCCCTGCTGTGGGTTTTGGGCCGACCTTCACCCTCACGCGCCCTCGACGGCCTCCTGTGTCTGTGCCCCATGGGTGCAGAGAGGAGCATTCTGGGGGTGACTTGGATGGGCAGGAGGCGGAGGCCGTCCTGTCCTCGTAAGCTCCAGCCTGGGCTCCAGGATCTGCAGCAACAGTGCAGGGAGGCCCTCTGGGTGCCTCTCTGCTGCCCACTGGGAAGCTGCCCATGGTGGCCGGCATTCTGCGTGTCTCAGGTGCTCAGGGTCAGAACCCTCATTGTGTGGCACCTGCACGGAGGCCACATGTGTCCATGTGGCCCTGGCGTCTTGCTGGTCTGTTCCTTAGCATACTGGGCTGTGAGGACACCGCCCGTGCCCATGCCCAGCATCTGCCCAGGCCTGCAGCTGCCATAAGGGCCATGCTGAGCTCCTCTTGGCCGGGTGGCTCTGTGCCAGGCCCCTAGCTCCTGAGGCCCTGTAGTTCAGTGTTGGGGCCCAGCGGCACCTCCCTGGCCAGGTTGTTTGAGGATTAAGTGAAATCGTTTGTGTAGGTCGGCCAGGGTGGGCCTGACCCAGGGTCCGTGCTTAGAATGTGGGATCTGCTTTTTTTTAATGTCATGATCCGTGGACCAGGCAGTGGAGTAGGGGCCCCTCTGTTCTTTGTAAAAGAAGTCTGGTGTTATGGTTGGAGGGAGGGCTCTGGATCAGGCAGCTGGACCCCAGCCCAGCCCCCGCCCAGCACCAGCCCCAGCCCCAGCCCCAGCCCCAGCCCCAGCCCAGCTGCAGCATGCTTCTGGCGGCCAGCCGCCTCTCTCTGCCTGGGTTTCTCTTGTTGCAGCTGGGGGCCAAGACTCTGCTGGCGTGGGCCTCTGTGGGTGCTCCTCACAGAGGGCCGGGCAGTCTTTTTAAGAATGCTCAAGCTGTGCACGGTGGCTCACGCCTATAATCCCAGCGCTTTGGAAGGCCAAGGCAGGGAGATCGCTTGAGGCCAGGAGTTCGAGACTGGCCTGGGCACCTTGGGGAAACCCTGTCTCTACTAAAAAAAAACACAAAAATTAGCCGGGTGAGGTAGCAGGTGCCTATAGTCCCAGCTACTTTGGAGGCTGAGGCAGGAGAATAGCTTGAACCCAGGGGGCGGAGGTTGCAGTGACCCAAGATGGTGCCACTGCACTGCAGCCTGGGTGATAAGAGTGAGACTCCATCTCAAAAATAAATAAATAAATAAATAAATAATGCTCAGCTGGGCATGGTGGCTCACACCTGGAATCCCAGTGCTTTGAGAGGCTGGGAGGGTTGATCACTTGAATCCAGGAGCTGGAGATTGGCCGGGCAACATAATGAGACCCCAAGTCTACAAAAAAGTAAAAAATTAGCTGGGCATGGTGGTGCACACCTGTGGTCCCAGCTACTTGCGGGGCTGAGGTGGGAGGATCACTTGAGACCAGTGGCGCTGTGATTGTGCCACCGCCCTCCAGCCAGGCAACAGAGTGAGACCCTGTCTCAAGAAACAAAACCCAAACAAGAAAGAGTGCTCCAGGGCTGTGGCTTCCCGGGGCTGTGACTGTGCAGGTTCTGCCAGTGCTGCCCAGACGTGGTCTCTCTGGGTTAGGATCTCGGTGCAGCAGGGGTGGAAGCCCCTCTCTGACCAGGCGCTTGCTAGTGTGTCTGGAGGTGCTCAGCAGCAGGGGAGCTGCACCTGCTCCCCATGGGAAGGGGCCTGCACAGACTTCTGGGGTCAGAGGAGACCCCAGGCCCCCGGATCTCAGGCAGTGGCGGTGAGAGTGCCTCTCTGGCTGCATGCTCGCCTTCTGCAGGGCTCGGAGCTGACTGTCTTGTTTGAACCTTGTGTGTTTTCTGGGGAGCGCATCTGGAGTCTGGAGCTTAAGCGTTGTAGGGAGCAGGGTCCAGGCACAGGGGCGTGCACCAACACCTGGGCATCCGCGACGTAGGCAGAGACCTCGAAACTCGAACCCCCACCACCTGGAGAGGCTGCTTTCTCCCGTGCATCCCCAGCATGTGGCCAGGGTTCTCACGGTGTGGCTGCACAGACCTTTTCTGTCTCACTTCCTCTAGAAACACCGACGACGTTCTTACACAGCAAACACCATTCAGTCCCCATACGGCCAGTGTCCCAAGCACGTCCTCCCACAGTGGTGTTGTTTTTTTGAGTCAGCGTCTGGCTCTGCTGCTCAGGCTGGGGTGCAGTGGTGCCATCTCAGCTCACTGCAACTTCCACCTCCCAGGTTCAAGCAATTCTCCTGCCTCAGCCTCCCGAGTAGCAGGGATTACAGGTGCCTGCAACCACGCCCAGCTAATTTTTGTATTTTTAGTAGAGGCGAGGTTTTGCCACCTTGGCCAGGCTGGTCTCAAACTCCTGGCCTCAAGTGATCCACCCGCCTCGGCCTCCCGAAGTGTGGGGAGGGCTGTTGTTTAAAGATGATTGGGCTGTCCTAGGCTCTCCTCGTTTGGATGTCCGTTGAGAATCAGCCTTTCCATTTCTCCAGAAAAGCTAGCTGGGCTTTTTCTAGAAATTGGTTTGAGCCTGCAGTTCAGCTTGGGGAAAGGGGCGTTTAAACAGTGTCACTCCCAGGTATTCCTGCTTCAGTGCTTTTTTTTTTTTTTAAGGCGGAGTCTCACTCTGTTGCCCGGGCTGGAGTGTGGTGGCGCATCCTCGGCTCCCTGCAGCCTCCGTCTCCGGGGTTCAAGTGATTCTTCTTCCTCAGCCTCCCGAGTAGCTGGGATTAGAGGCGCCCGTCACCATGCCCAGCAAATTTTTGTGTTTTTAGTAGAGACAGGGTTTCACCATGTTGATCAGGCTGGTCTCGAACTCCTGACCTCGTGATCCGCCTGCCTCGGCCTCCCAAAGCACTGGGATTATAGGCATGAGCCACCACGCCCGGCCTTTGGTGCTTTTTTATGTGGCATTTTGACAATCCTTTGCTGCTAGTATGTGTAAAGACTGCTCCCTTTTGCCTATCGGCCATGCCCCTGCTGAGCTCTGGCGGTGTCCGCGCGTATTCCTCAGCACGCTCTGTGGCGCAGAACCACGGGACTGAGTGAAGACCGTGCGGCCGCTCCTTTCAGGCTCCTTGCTGCTTTGAGTGTTTTTCTTGCCGAGTTGCGCTGGCCGGAACCTCCTGGACAGTGTGATGAGAAGTGACTGCAGATGGCCTTGCTTGGGTTGCTCTCGGGGCCTCGCTCGGTGCCTGGGGCTTTTGATGATCTGCATTGTGAGGTCCCCTGCCGGTGTTGGCCAGGTGTGCAGGCGTTGACCATGCTGGGGACGGGTGACGAGAGGCACCAATAATCACAGAGGGCGGATGCCACAGCCCTTCTGACAGGATGCTGTGTCTTTCAGTGTGGAAGGGTCTTGGAGGGCACCCGGACCTGAGGTCAGGTCCTGGCCAGCTGGTTGGGGAGTCTGGGGACTTGGCGTGGGGTAGGGGGCAATGAAGCTACTCTCGGAGTTCTGGGAAGCTGCCCGCTGGACTTAGCAGGTCAAGAGGACTGGGGAGCAGAGGCCGAACCCCCATCCCTCCCTGACCCCTCCTGCAGAGCCGCAGGCCAGGTGGCTGCGGAAGGTGGGCCTGCTGCTGTCACAGCGGCTCAGTGACTGGTCCCGTGCCCTTTCCAAGCGGAAGGCGTGTCCTTCCATTTCTGGCCTCTTGGAGGGTACCGTCCTGATGGCACCGAATGCCGTCCTGTGGGCTTTCCGTACTCGCCCACACGGGGCTGCTCAGATCTCCGTCCTTGTTCCTTCGGTGAATTGCAGTGACTAATTTTAGAGTGAAGCAGCTTTTCCTCCCCAGGAGGTGCTGTGTGTGGTTGTGAGGTGCCGCTGCGGTTTCCTCACGTTTTTAAGGGATAGTGGGGTGTGTTGGTCAGGGATGTTGGTCAGCTGTTGCCTTTCTTGTCCTTTCTTTCCAGCCCTTTGCGTCTCTATGGTTTTGGTGTCAAGATGACGCTGGCTGCATAAAACTCTGAGAAAGTTTCTGTAGGTTTAGTGTTTGTCTTGTCAGTGTTTGATGGAATTCACCAGTGTGTTTTTGTATTTTGTATTTTTAGTAGAGACGGGGTTTCTCCATGTTGGTCAGGCTGGTCTCCAACTCCTGACCTCGTGATCTGCCCACCTCGGCCTCCCAGAGTGCTGGGATTACAGGTGTGAGCCACCGCACCCGGCACCAGTTGGCTTTAGTTTCTAGTCAGTCAGTTGCTTTTCGAGCTCTGATGTGGCCAGTGGGTCCCTAGACCAGCCCTGTAGCAGATAAGTTCACTTAGGTCCCCAGAGCCACTGGTGTGTGGCCTCGAAGCCACGTAATACCTGTGTGATTCAGTAACAGCTTCGTGGTAAACATCGTAGCCTTCGTTTTGAAGTCACGCCTCCCTTCTCTCTCCACTTTGAGTGGAGGGGTAAGGATGTTTGTTTTCTGTTGGAGAGGATGCAGTGTTTAAGAACATGCGGGGTAATACTCAAGATTGTTTACACCTGTCATCCCAGCACTGTGGGAGGCTGAAGTGGGCGGATCACTTCAGGTCAGGAGTTTGAGACCAGCCTTGCCAAAATGGCCTAACCCGGTCTCTACTAAAAATACAAAAATTAGCCAGGCGTGGTGGTGGGCACCTGTAGTCCCAGCTACTTGGGAGGCTGAGGCAGGAGAATCGCTTGAACCCAGGAGGCGGAGCTTGCAGTGAGCCAAGATCACGACACTGCACTCCAGCCTGGGCAACAGAGTGAGACTCCGTCTCAAAACAAAAACAAAAACAAAAACAAAACACAAAACAAAACAAAAAAAACCAAACCCTTCCTGATCGTTTCTGCTGCTGTGTTTCAGATGGGTCTGTGAAGAAATCCCGGATCTCAAGCTCGCTATGGAGAATTACGTTTTAATTGACTATGACACCAAAAGGTAAGCAGAGTCCTGTCCAGCCGCTCCGCTCCGAGGACAGACTCGGCTCTTGGGGAGGACAGGAGGACGCATCCTATAATTAGCTCTTCTTAGATGGTGCAAGCTGATCTGAAATTTCCTTTTAGAGTTGGCCGTGGCCACCATAAAGTTATTTTGGTAGGAAATGTTTATCAACTCTTGGCAAAGGCTGTCAGAGGCCGGACAGAATTGGAAACTCCGGTTGTGGAAAGTGGGATTGGCATGTGTGGAGTCAGCCCGCGCTAGTGATCGCTCTTTTTATAGCGGGCGGCTGACGGCCAGAAGTCCGCGTTCCTGCCTGAGGCTGCTGGGAGGGCCTGGGCGGCCTTAGGCTGCTTGGCAGCTCTGTTTAGATCTCAGCTGGGTTTGGTTAGTCCCTCTGTCTCCAGCCCTGTGGCTGCGTTAGCAATTTCGCCCTGGCAGCTCCTGGGTCTCGGAGGAGGGTCTTGTGGGTGGAGAGGGGCAGGGCTGTCTCTGGAATGCTTGCTTGGAAGTGTTTTGTTTTTCTTTGACAAGGAAGACATTCCAGGCTCATGCCTTTTTCAGCTCTTGAGTCTGAAATCAACAGAGTAGTCCTCCATCAAGGGCTGTGCTGTCGTGAGCTTAGGTGAGCCCCTCTCCACAGAGAGTCAAGCCCAGAGGGCCACGCGGCTGCACTTTACCTGGCTCTCCGGCCTCACTGGCATGTGGGAGGGACTCTTGTCTGGGGTCAGCGGTCTCAGCCTCAGTAAACCTCGAGATCCTGTGCCCCTCCCTCGAGCCCTGCCCATTCCCTGGTCAGCACCCTGGTGCCCCACAGGCAGACAAGCGTGTTGCTGGCAGGGTCCTGCGTGCCGACCTGCTGCTGTGGATTTCACGCCACCTGCCTCGCATGTCGGGGCCTCTCGCCACCCCCCCTCATTGGGCGTGATGGTGTGCTGGGCCCTTCCCTGGTTTAGTATGAAGAGTGTGATGCAGCGTGCAGATCAACAGCCGCATGGCAGGGTCCACAGGGAGGGGCCTGCAGGGCCCTGCACAGAGCTCTGTGTCCGTGGAGTTGGGGAGCACTAACCCCAAAGCTCTGCACCCTGTGCTTTCGGGTTTTCACGGAGGCTTCTCGGAGACTTGCTTGATGATTGCCTCCATCTCCAGTCCCCTCTTTCTAAGCTTCTTACCGCAGCTTGGGCTTTACCTCACCCAGGAGCCCCCCACAAGTCGCTTCCTTACAACAGAAGACACTCCTGTCACCTAGAAGTTCCCAGGGATCAGGAGCTTTGTTAGGAACTAGAGTCCCCTCGGATGAGTGGGTGTTGTCGGGCTGAGCCCTTTCACATTAACCTGGGGCAGTTATGGCACCTCACTTGTGTGTGGCCAGCTTCTGCCTTGGCTCTGAGCAGCGAGCGTGTCAGACGCTGTGCTCACGGCGCCCCTCCACGTGGGTGTGTGGCGTCCTTCCTCTTCGCGTGGGATGGGCTTAGCCAAGGCTGGAAGGACATCAGGGACAGGCTGGGCAGGGGGTCTTCGTTGGAGCTGGCAGGGCCACCTGAGGGACCGAGCCATTAGGGCTTCAGACCAAGGACAGCCCCAGCTCCTCTGAGCACCTGCATTTGCACAGCCTGCCAGGGAAGAGTCTCTTCCCAGGAGCGTGCAGAGGTGATTTTGGGAAGGTCTGGTTGTCAGGGTTGAAGGCGGCGTGTAGAAGTGGAAACACAGGGGCTGGGCACCGTGGCTCACACCTGTAATCCCAGCACTTTGGGAGGCCGAGGCGGATGGATCACGAGGTCAGGAGATCGAGACCATCCTCGCTAGCACAGTGAAACCCCGTCTCTACTAAAAATACAAAAAATTAGCCGGGCGTGGTGGCGGGTGCCTGTAGTCCCAGTTAGTCAGGAGGCTGAGGCAGGAGAATGGTGTGAACCCGGGAGGCGGAGCTTGCAGTGAGCTGAGATCGCGCCACCGCACTCCAGCCTGGGTGACAGAGCGAGACTCCATCTCAGAAAAAAAAAAAAAAAGGGAAGTGAAAAGACAGGAAGGGCCAGGGCTGCTCCTCTGGAGCTGCGGGGAAGGCGGGAGGCAGCAGGCCGGCTCTGTGGGTTCCTCCGGCCCGCATGGTGCCTGCTGGCCCTCTGCACCACCTGGGCTCCTTCCACCCCCGTGTCCTTCGTCCTCCGGAGGATCCAGGTCCTGTGTGGCCGTGCTCCCGGGGCTGTCGGCAGGCTCTTGTTCTTGGTGTTTGCTCCTCTTAAGTTCTCTTGCTTTATCCTATGCAGCTGCTGGTTAAGGAAAACATGAACTTGGCCTGTGGAGCACTGGTTTTCCTATGAGGAAGGGGAAGTGTGAACCTCGGCACATGCAGTGCCCAGGTGAATTCAGGGTGGCCAGGGCAGGGCAGGAAGAGCATGGGGCTGGGGCTGGGGTGGGAGCAGGGGTGTGATTGTTTAGCCACGTCTCGGAGCATCTGCCAGGCTCTTGGGGTTGCCATTGGGAGGAAACTGCTTGCGTGCACGTGGAGGTGGCGGAGGACGGAGGCGGAGGAAAGAGTCCCCAGCCGCCGCCCCCCCCCCCCCCACCCGCACAGGTGCAGGCCCCCTCGGCGCTGGGGATGTGGAAGTCGGATTGTTCTCTGGGAGGGGCCGTCCTGGGCACTGCAGGGTGCCGAGCAGGGTCCCTGCCTCCATCTCTTGCTTGCCTCGCCACATTCCTGGGGTCCCCGGTGAGAGCCACTGTGTGTGACAGTGTTCACTGGACAGGTACGCCTCCTCCTCCTGTCTCTTGCTCTGCTCTGGACACCTTCTGAGGTGGAGGGACAGACGCTGTTGTCCACATTTTGCCAGTGGGTCCAACAGACTTGGAAGATGAGCAAGTTATCCCAGGTGGAGACTGGACAGACTAGGCCAGGCAGACCCCGTAGCAGGCTTGCCCCCACCCCGGAAGCCCCTCTGAGCCCAGGCCTGGCTGGGCCGCGTGGCCGGTGTTTCTTGTGGCTCACGTGCCCCACAGACAGTGGGCACTCCCTGGAGCACAGGTGCCCCCTGCCCTCTGGTGGGCTCTGCCCCGATGCTGTTGGGTTGTGGGCACTTAGGTAATGAGGGTTTGCCTTGCGGCCAGGGCAAGGAGGGCAGAGTTGCTGCGGGGGGACTGAGTCTCACTGTGGACCCTGCTGTGCCGTGTCTGACATGACACACTGCTGACGTGACACACTGCTGACGTGACACACTGCTGACATGACACACTGCTGACGTGTGAATGAGTTGGAGCTTTGGAAGGACACGCTCACAGAGCAGTGTGGGTGGGGGTGAGGCATCTTCCTTTCTGCAGTGCTCACTCCTCCTGCACCTGCCCGGGCAGAGGCCTGGTGGTCCCTGGGAGACCCCAGCCGTTCACCTGCCTCTGGCGATGGTGGCTGTCCCCAGCCAGGGCAAGGAAGACCCTCTAAGGCCGGCCCCAGGGTTTCCCACTTGGGGGGCTGGCCTCAGTCCCCCTCGAGCCCTCTTTCTCTCCTCACGCCTCCAGCACACGTGGACCTCGGCTTTGCGCGGGAGCCTGGGCAGGTCCAGACTGCCTCAGGGCTCAGTGCTTCCCTGCACCGGACTCTCGGCCGGCCACCTCGCTTGTGTGTCAAACCTGAAATCTCCTGCATCAGGGCGGAAAGCGAGGCTTCTGCCAGAAGGGTCTTGGCCAGCTGGCTGGTGGCTGTCCAGGCAGGGACCACACCTTGGAGCCTGCCTTATCCACATGCTGTCCCCTCCCATGCATGCGGCTGGCTCCTGCCCGCATGACCAGGGCCTTCCCTTGCCTTTTTCAGCTTCGAGAGCATGCAGAGGCTCTGCGACAAGTACAACCGTGCCATCGACAGCATCCACCAGCTGGTAGGTGGCTTGCCCCTGCCCAGAGGGGGTTAGTAGTGCCAGGCTCCCGGACCCCTCCAGACCCCTTATGTCACCGCCTCGGGGCACAGAGCTCCCCTTAGAGCCCCTGGGGATTGGAATGTGCAGCGTGGGGGGACGATGGGCTGTGGGTGAGTGGTGTGGGGGCTGCCGAGGCTGGGCTGTGTGCTGTGGCCGTGTGCCAAAGCAGAGCCGTCCGTGGTTTGTGTGCTGAGGCAGGGCCCTGAGGGTTGTGGTGTCTGCACACGCCTCTGCAGCCCTGGGTTGGTGTCCGCAGGTCCCAGCAGAGGCGGGGTCCCTGTCCTCCCCGGGCTGTGTGAATGCCGGCCTTCCCCCTTGGACCTCCCCCACACCGCCTGCCTTCATCAGGCTGGATGCCGGCCTGGGCTGCACCCTTGGGCACCCCGGTCCTGCTGTGTCTCGTGAGGCTTTCCTCACAGAGGACGGGGCACACAGTGAGCTGGGGTGTAGCAGGGAGGGGAACGTGCTGCTTCCCATGTTCTAGAAAGCACCGGGGGCCCCTGGTGCATGGGGGTAGGGGAGCTCTTTCTTGAAGGTCTTGCTGTGGAGGGAGCCCTGGTGGGGGTGGCATGGGCTCACTTGGCCCTCCTGAGTGGGACTGGGCTGGGCTGGGCTGCCCCATCAGCCTGCCACCCGGCTCTGGCTTCCCCTCAACCTCATGCATGCAGCTCTGTGGGCCCCTGAGAGCTGAGCTGGCCTGGGCGAGAGGGGACCACCTCAGCCTGCTGCAGCTGGTGGGGAGGAAGGCGGGGTCCCACGTAGTCGAGTCAGATGAGGTGTGGTAGGCTCAGGGCTTTCACGGGGCTCGTGGCACCTGACGGGGGTCCCTTGGTGTCAGCGCCCCACCCTGCTGCCTTGGCCCAGAGGAGGGGTGGTGGTCTTGGTGGCCTGTGTGGTTTTGGTGGTCTTGCCAGTGGGGAGAGAGGCCCGTGGCAGGAGGTGGAGCCTCCTAGGACCCCTCTGAGTTGGGGCCTGTCCCTGGGGATGCTGCTTTACTGCTTGTAGGAAATGGGGCTGGGTTGGAAACTGACCTGGGAGCCCGGCAGCCACCCTGCAGGGGGACGAGAGGCCATGCAGCCGACTCCCTGCTTCCGCTGGGAAAGGTCCCGGGTCTTGGTGGTGGAGGGGCTGGGCCGTGAGGTTTATGTGACATGGCCGGGCCACCCTCCGTCCGCAGTGGAAGGGCACCACGCAGCCCATGAAGCTGAACACGCGGCCGTCCACTGGACTCCTGCGCCATATCCTGCAGCAGGTCTACAACCACTCGGTGACCGACCCCGAGAAGCTCAACAACTACGAGCCCTTCTCCCCCGAGGTGTACGGGGAGACCTCCTTCGACCTGGTGGCCCAGATGATTGATGAGATCAAGATGACCGACGACGACCTGTTTGTGGACTTGGGGAGCGGTGAGTGTCGCCCGCCATGCCCGGCTCCTGTGCACTTCCAGGCCACACGCTCTGTGCCTGCCCCATGCCTGCTTGGAGAAGAGTTTATCAGGGACTTGCGACGTTGGCGTGGACAGTGCTTCCTTCTCCCAGCGCCTCTGTCCCGCTGTGGGGCCGTTCCTTTCCCCAGCCCTGACCGGGCTCCACCCAGAGGGGAGAAATCGCAGGAACCCAGTGGCTCCCAGACCAGGCCCATCCTCCCAGGTGCCCGGAGACTCTGCTTTCGTCCTGCTTCCCACCAGCTGGGGAGCTAGACCTGTGCACCCTCTACTGCTCGCTCCCAGAAGCTGCCACTCGCTAGCCTGGGCCCCAGCCCGGGCCCCACCCACGGCTGCAGCCTGCCGCAGTCCTTCCCTGGGCACACCTGCTCCCTCCACAGCGGCTGGAAAGGTCCCCCGCGGAGGAAGACCCCAGGTCCCTGGGCTCCCGGAGGCCCTCGCGCCCTCCCTGCATCCCCAGTCTCCCTCGGCACCCCTGCGTCTGGGCCGTGCCCTGCCCCTCCCAGGTTGGGGCTCCCACCTGCTGGCATTCTTTCAGCCTCTGCCTGCACTCAGACTCTGCTTGTGAGGTGTCGTCTCCTCTCAACCACGGGCGGGGCTCCTTGAAACGAGGCCCTAGGTGTGTCTTCAGCAGCAGCGTGGCCTGGCTGAAGCACAGATGAGCGGCCCGTACACGAACAGCCTCAGTAGCCTGACGAATTCTTGATAGGACCACCCCATCCAGGCTGCAGGGCTGACGGGGCCACCCAAGGGTCAGACAGTGAAGGCCCCTTCTCCACAGTGTCTAGGCTGTCCCTGGGCTCCTTGGACCTCGATGGACATGTGAACCTTGTGCCTGCAGGCACGCGAGCCCCACGTCTGCCCCCTTTCCACAGTCCTGGCTTTGACGTGGGGAAGGGGCCCCAGGGGCAGGGACCAAGAGGACTTTGCACAGACTGGGTGTGGCAGCTCACGCCTGTCATCTTAGCACTTGGAAGGCTGAGATGGGAGGGTCACTTGAGGCTAGGAGTTCAAGACCAGGCTGGTCAGCATAGCAAGATCCCACTTCTGTTTATTTATTTAAATTTATTTTCAAATTTAAAAAATGCAATAAAAAGAATGTGTATCGTCTGGACGTGGTGGCTCACGCCTGTAATCCCAGCACTTTGGGAGGCCAAAGCAGGCGGATCTGAGCTCCTGAGGTCAGGAGTTCGAGACCAGCCTGGCCAACATGGTGAAACTTTCCCTCTACTAAAAGTACAAAAATCAGTTGGGTGTGGTGGCGCGCGCCTGTAATCCCAGCTACTTGGGAGGCTGAGGCAGGGGAATTGCTTGAACTTTGAAGGCGGAGGTTGTGGTGAGACGAGATCGCATCACGGCACTCCGGCCTGGGTGACAGAGTGAGACTCCGTCTCAAAAAAAAAAAAAAAAAAAATGGGGCATATCTGGCTGGGCTCTTTGGCTCCTGCCTGTAATCCCAATGCTTTGGAAGGCTGAGGTGGGAGGATCGCTTGAGCCCAAGAGGTTGAGGCTGCAGTGAGCCAGGATCACACCACTGCAGTCCAGCCTGGGTGACAGAATCAGACCCTGTCTCAAAAACAAAAAATTAAAAAGGCTTATATGTTTTAGATGATGACGGCCTAGCACTTGCTGGCCGGGCCCTGGCCCCCCGTCCCTGTGTGCTTCTCTTCCCACTGGTGTGGTGGCGGCGGTCTGTGCCCATTGTGGTCGCTCCATGGTTCATGCCCGTTCCCTGGAGCACAGAGCTGCCTAGCAGGGGAGGAGAGGTGGCTTGACACCCCCGGTGTGCGCCGCTGCCTCCACCCTCCTGACGCTGGCGTATCTGCAGCCCCTGTTCCCTCCTTCTCCCTTAGAGCCGGGTGTTGCTGGGTTGTGTGCTGATGCTGTGAAACCGCAGCGGCCGGGAGACTGTCCTGGCTGCGGGGGACCCCTCACTGCCTCTCCCACCCTACATTGAGCCTCAGTCAGATCCTGCTCATGAGCCTTCCTGGGGTGCCATAAGATTTTATCAGCCAGGTTGCTGTGTGTCTGTGTGCTGGTGACGTGGGGATAATTTGAGGTGGACGGCAGCCTTTCCAGACCTGCAAAGTCTTGGGCAGCCCTGTCTGTCTGAACAGTGAACATCACATAGGGCCCTGAGACTCAAAATGGATTCTGGTTTCGGGGGCCACCAAGTGATGTCCATGGATGACGCGTTGTGATGACCGTCCCCTCGTGGGGGCTCTGTCAGGGGCCTGGTCTCTGGGAAGGATCCTGAGTGACCTTGGAGCATCGGATATGTGTGGAGACTGTGGCCTCCCCTGTGGGTCTTCATGGCCGCATTCTTGTGGCCTCTGTCTCCGAGCCTAGCACGGCCTCCCGGGTGGCATCTGAGCGCTGTGTGGTATCTGATGGATCTCTCTGATCATAGGTGTGGGCCAGGTCGTGCTCCAGGTTGCTGCTGCCACCAACTGCAAACATCACTATGGCGTCGAGAAAGCAGACATCCCGGCCAAGTATGCGGAGGTGAGCGGATCTGAGGGCCAGGGTGTGTTGGAGGCAGGGGACCATCAGAGAAAGTGACGCCCTGGGTGCCTGCACCCCACTGCTGTGGGACTTCCGAGTCTGGGTGGCGTTCTTTCCAGGCCCAAGACGTCTTGGTTGCCTGCAGCGTGTGCCTGTGAATAGGGTGCCCGATCGCCCTCACGGCCCATTACAGGCCGGCCCTCCAGGCCTGTCCAAGCGCTGCAGGGGTGTCTCGGAGCCTGTTTCATGGCACGTGCCACTAGTGAGGCGAGAGGTGCTCAGCTCTACCTCGTGGCACAGCCCTCCGAGAAGCGGGGTGTTTTGGGTGGCCTGCCCAGGCAGGCGCATTGAGGCCCTGTTGCTCTGAGAGTTTGTTGTTGTTTTTTTTTGTTTTGTTTTGTTTTTGAGACAGAGTCTCGCTCAGTCGCCCAGGCTGGAGTGCAGTGACTCGATCTCGGCTCACTGCAAGCTCCGCCACCTGGGTTCACACCATTCTCCTGCCTCAGCCTCCCGAGTAGCTGGGACTACAGGCGCCCCCCAACACACCCAGCTAATTTTTTTGTATTTTTAGTAGAGACGGGGTTTCACCGTGTTAGCCAGGATGGTCGCAATCTCCTGACCTCATGATCCGCCCTCCTCAGCCTCCCAAAGTGCCGGGATTACAGGCGTGAGCCACCGCGCCTGGCTTGCCCTGAGAGTTTGTAACGGGCGTTTGGTTTCTTTCCTTCCAGACCATGGACCGCGAGTTCAGGAAGTGGATGAAATGGTATGGAAAAAAGCATGCAGAATACACAGTGAGTGCCATCGCTCCGCCCCGGCTCCCATCGCCGGCCCCACCCCCGCTCCCACCCTCCTGTCAGCCCCTCCTTTCTTGCCGATGTTGGCACATGGCTGTTGGCACATGGTGTGCCCCCTGGAGTCCCCTCTGGTTCTCGTAGGGCTGCCTGGGCGTGGCGTCTGAGCCGGCAGCAGGCGCCTCTGTTGGTACCGTCCCTCTCGTCCTCTCTGACATGGCTTCTGTCCCTCGGCAGCATGCGGTGCACAGAGGTGGTGCAGGGAATGGGCTTGGGGCTCCATGGAGCGGAGGCCTGTGGGACAGGCTGGGTTCTGGGCTGGCTGCGGCATCCTTGGGGTGTCATCCCTCACTGGGGACAGCCTTGTTTGGACGGGTTCCTGGTCCTCAGTGCTGTGTTCTTCATGACAAGCCAGCAACCTCGGGGTGGGCAGTGTTCTCTCCCGCCCTGTTGTGATGCAGTCTCAGGTGCTCCTCCCATGGACCCTGGGGATGGCGTCGCGTGTGGCCCTCCCTGTAGGGTGTGCGCTCCCCTTTCAGTGGCTGAGTGGCAGTGGGATGGGTGTGGGGGTGGGAAGGGGATGCTGTTTAGGGAGCAGGAAGGACAGTTTTCCTGACCCAGGTTGGGTGATTAATGGGCCATAGCTTCCAGGAGTAGCCACCACTCCTGCATCCTCCTGGGAACTCCTTCCCACCCCACGCTGAGTCCTTAGACACCAGGCTCCGCCCTGGTCCTTTCCACACAGAGGCCTGCAGAGCTGGGTCCTTCCTTGACCTGTGTGCTCCTCCTCACAGTCCCAGCTGCTCAGGCGCTCACCTGTGGTGGAGGCTGATGGCGCCCCGGGCCCATCTGCTCTGTCTCCCAGCGACGTCCCAGACCTCCCCGCCCTTATGGGGTGTGGGCTTGGTGCTGGTGCAGCTGCTCCCGTGATGTGGATTGGAGGGTGGCTTGGGGTCTGGGGACTGCAGGAAGGTGGATGCTTCCTATTCTAGACCTGGAGCCCCTGGAGTACAGAGCCCGCAGCCCCTCGAGCCTCAGAGCCCGCAGCCCCTTGAGTCCTGAGAAGCTTCCCTTATAAGGCAGAAGGAGTGCTGGGTGGGGCGGGCACCAGGTCACCACCCTGGGAGGACGATGGCACAGGGGTTGCCAAGCTGCCCAGCAGAGCGGCTCAGGATGGAACATGGCAAGGCCAACTCGTGATCCCAGGTGCCTGCGACGACCCAGTTCCTGGGTGGAATCCGCAAGTTTGCAGAAGCAACAGAAACAAAGTGTTCAGGGGTCCTGTTGTCATTCGACTCTCACAGTTCAGAGGGATGCATGAGGGACACAGGTGGCATACAGTTCCAGTCCCCTCCCAGGTGGTGCCCACCCCTCACTGTCTCCTCAGCAGGGTGCGTGGAGGCGTGGCTGGGGCTGTGTGCCCGCCCGTCTGCCTGGAGCTCCCTGCTGAGGTGCCCTCTGTGGGCCTGTCAGCCAGGGCCTTCCTCGGATCGCCGTGAGGCCTCGACATTCCTGTCATTGCCACGAGTGGGCGTGCGTCCTGCCTAGCACGCGCCCCTGTCCCCAGCTCAGACCCCTCCGCACTGTCCCACAGCACAAGTGAAGGCCGGTGTCAGGGTGCAGGGCCCCGATCCCTGGTGGCCCCGACCGGGGTCAGGAGCCCTTGCCAACTGGCTCTGCCTTGGGCGTCCTGGCTGTGGTGGTCTGGCAGATGAACCTTTTGGAGGATCACTTGAGCCCAGGAGTTCGGACACATTTTTTTTGTGCATGTGTGAAAGAAAGTCTTGTTCTGTCGCCCAGGCTGGAGGGCAGTGGCGCAATCTTGGCTCACTGTAGCCTCCGCCCCCTGGGTTCAAGTGATTCTCCTGCCTTTGCCTCCTGAGTAGCTGGAATTAAAGGCGCATGCCACCACGCCCGGCTAATTTTTGTATTTTTAGTAGGGATGGAGTTTCACCATGTTGGTCAGGCGGGTCTCAAATTCCTGACCTCGTGATCCGCCTGCCTCTGCCTCCCAAAGTGCTGGGATGACAGGTGTGAGCCACCGCGCCGGGCCTCCTTGGGGTTTCCTACGTTGACAGTTGTGTCGCCTGCAAACACGGAGCTTTGCCTTTTCCTTAGCAGTCCGTGTGCCTTTCCTCTCCCTTTCCCGTACCCTCGTGCTGGCCGGCGCTGGCATTTCCCATGCCATGTGAGTCGTGAGGGCAAGACGGGTACCCTTCCCTGCCCTGGTCTTGGCGGTCAGCTGAGCCCCTGGCCGCGGAGCACGGTGTTAGCGGCGGGCTCGTGTGGATGCTCTCCCTCGGGTGGAGGATAAGCCCGTGGTCCTGAGTGTGCAGCGTGCGCTTTTTCGTTGCTGCTTCTAGTGTCAGCGCGGTGCTGTGGTTTCTGTTCCTCACCCCGTTGCTGTGATGGGTTTCCAGTGCTGAACGCGTCCGCCTTGGTCGGCGTGCGATTCTGTTTATCCAAGGTGGGATTCTGCTGGCTGATGGGCCGCTGAGGGGTTTTCTGCCGTGGTGGGAGCCGTGGCCTGCGGTGCTTCCTTGCGGCCACGCCTGTCTGGTTTGGTCTCTGGGTGGCGCTCCCTCGGCTTCTGTTCTGCTGTCTTTGACCAGGACTTGCGCATCCAGGGCTGTGGGCCCGGCTCTCCTTCCCTTTCTCATGGTGATTGTTCCCAAATGCTGTGCCCACAGTGGAAGCTGTGTGGTGTCCTGGGTTCTGGGTCCACTTGCACTCTGGCCGGAAGTTCCCACATGGGTTCCTGGCTGTGGCAGGCGAGCCACACAGATCCCAGCACAGAGGATGGAAGCCCTCGCCATGGTTCCCAGCGATGGCCAGGAGGGCGCCATGGTGCCTTCCTCCGCGCGGTCTGGCTGGGCTGAGCCTTGCTCAGGAGAGGGGTGCTGTCGGGTGGTGGGGCTGCCGCAGCACTGCTCCCCCTTCTGCCTCATCTTGTCAGCGTCTGGGTCAGCACCCTGCCTCCTGGGGCCTGGGTCCATGACACGGCTGAGCAGCATGGTGTCTAGTGTGGCACAGGTGCTCCTGGCATGGAGCTGCGTTCGTGGTCTGGATTCCGTGCAGGTTTAGGTGCTCACGGTCAGGCCAGTGGCTCCTGAGATGTGTCTGGGAGCATGATTTGGGGGAAAGCGTGGCATTCTTCGTGGCTTTGGCAACACGTGTCAGAAAGAACCTGGTGGTGGGGAAAGCAGGTGTCAGTACCAGCCTCTGCCTCTGGCATCCGTCCTGTTTACAGCCAACCCTGCTGCGGAGGGTGGGTCAGAGAGGCTTCCACCTGACTGTTCCCTGCCCTTTCTGATGGAAACTTGCATCTGATATTGGAGGAAACCCTCGGAGCAACTCTCTGTGGCTTTGCCTGTGCTCCACTTGGGAGGCTCCAAGTCCTCCCGCCTGAGCAGTGTCACCAGGGAGGCTCCTAGAGACCCAGACCCCCGCTTCCTATGGGGCCGGCATTTCAGACTCCAGAGGGAAGCAGGGTTGCATATAAACCACGGTGTTTGCAGGAACAGCTTCGGCCCCAGAGCCCATCCTGTCATGGAGCGTGGGGGACCCCAGGGAGGGTTCCCAGCCCCAGGCCTGTGATGCGAGCCCGGATCTGCTTAGTGCTGCTCAGGACTTGGGATTTGAGTCATTTCCTGGGTGGCTTGTTCACGGGGAATGAGGGATGTTCAGAGGGTCTGTCAGGTGTGGAGAGGGAGGAGACGGGTGTGGGGGGTGGCCCAGCACCTGCAGAGGCTCAGGATGGCTCGCCTGCGCACCTCCCATCCCGTCTCCTCCCCTCCTGGGGGCTTCCCGCGGCCTTGGAGAGCGGAGGATGTGCAGCTGCTCCTGGCCGGGGCGGGTGGCCCTGCCCTCTGGATCTGCGTCTGGGTGGACGAGTGGCCCTGTCCTCCGGGCCCGGGGGGGTGTCCCTGTCTCTCTGGGGCTGAGTGGGTGGGCCACCCTGTTGCTTGGGGCGGCGGCTTGCTTGCGTTACCCTCTCTGCTCGGGGACTCCGTCCCCATCCTGAGAGACGCTGGGTGGGGCGCGAGGCCTGTGGCTGTTGTGTGGAAAGGAGTGTCGCTGGTCCTCCCTCGGCTCTTGGGGTGCTGGTGTGGGCTTCTGCTGTGGCCCAGGTGCCCTCACCCCCAACTACTCCAGCCCCCAGCATGAATCCCCTTCCTGTCTCTGGATGGGCCTGTCCCGGACATTTCACAGAAACAGGATCACACACTGCGTGGCCCTCTGTGTCCGGCGTCTCTCACTGAGCGTGGCGTCCTCAAGGTGCATCCGCGATGTGGCCTGGGTTGGAGCCTGGCTCCTGTTCTCATTGGGGTCCTGCTTCCAGGTGTGCGCGGCCTCGCTGTGCTGTGTTGATCTTTCATCTGCTGATGGACGCTTGGCTGCTTCCACCTTTTGGCTGTGATGAGTTGTGTTGGCTTTTGGAGGCATTTGTGTCCGGGCTTTTGTGTGGACATGTTTTTATTTCTCCTGGGAATGGAGGTGGTAGTGTTTTTGAAGGATTTGAAAGGCGGTGTCTTGATTGTCCAGATGCTACCGTGTTGGACAGCTAGGTTAATAAGAGGTGTTTTCTCCTGGACGGTGCCAGGTCTTGAGGTCTGGAGGTGGACTGGCGTCGGGCTGCAGCTGGCCTTGCTGTGAGTGTGGCGTGGAGCTGTGGGGACAGCGCTGCTGTTAGCAGGCCGTCAGCGGTGCTCAGGGCAGACGCCCCCAGGGACTGGCGGCTCAGCTTCCCTGTGTGCGTGTTTCTTGTGGTTGGTGAGGGAGGGACAGAGCTCGGCGCTAGGCTTTCTCAGCCTGGCCGAGTGTCGCTGCCTGCCGCAGAGGGTGCCCCCCAGCGCCCTGTGGCCTCCCTCAGGCCCTGCCTGGAGCCCAGCATGGTGGGGACTGCAGGCCCTGCCTCGGGGCGCCCCTGCTGGCCGCCTCTGGTCCTGAGAGTGGCTGCAGCCCCTGATTTTGAGCTTACATTTCTAGGAGACTGCAGCGTGGCTTGCAGGTGTGTGTTGGTGTGGCCGCAGTCCCCTTGGCTGGGCCTGGCCTCCCCAAGCGGATGCTGGAGCACGAGGACCTGTCCCGGCTTCTCAGGAGGTCCTGCCCGTTCTCTGCGCATCCCTCTCACGGACCCTTCTGCCTGCAGCTCCCAGGGCTGCAGCCGGTGGGGCCTGGGCCTCCTCCTGCTCCTTCACTGCAAGCGGAGCTGTGTTCATTCCATTCTTTCTTCACAGGGGCTGGGCGGGCTGGGAGTGCCAGGGAGGCCGGGGGTCCGCGCTCACACCTGTTTTCCCTTTCAGTTGGAGAGAGGCGATTTCCTCTCAGAAGAGTGGAGGGAGCGAATCGCCAACACGAGGTATGGCCAGCGTGGGGCATGCAGGGCATGTGGGGTGTGCGCTCACAGGCGGGCGGTGGCCATGGCACCGGGGACCGGGAGCGGCCCCTCGCTCCTGTGCTGGCTGTGGCAGGAAAGAGGCCGGTGGGGACAGGAAGGGCGCCTTTCCCTCACGCTGGGTCTCCCTCTGCGGGCGCGCAGAGCAGACGTGCCCAGCAGAGCCCCTGTCGGCCCTGCAGACCCTGCTGGCAGTGAGCCCGTTCCTGCTGCCTGTCCCCTTGACTTTGGGACACTGTGGGCCCCTCTCGCCTGGTTTCCTGGGCCTCCTCCCCGCTCAGGCTTGGTCTGGGGGTCTTCCTGTCTCCATCCATCCCTTCTGGAGTGGCTGGCACCCACACAGCACTATGAGGGCTGCTCGAGGGAGCGGCCCCTCGTGGTCCCAAAAGCCATCTCTGCACTGCCTGGGCTTGCCCCTCCGCGCCACCTCGCACCCAGGCCTGGGAGCTCAGGGCACTGTCCAGGTCCGTCCCCACCGCCACCTGTTTGTCCTGGTGGCCACGGGCTCTGTATGGTTGGGCTGGGCCCCCGTGCTTTCCACTGCCCAGCCTGGGTGTGGCCACAGCACTCCAGCGTGTGCCAGGGACCCTGGAGGCCCAAGGCGCTTGTGAGGGCAGCCGGGGAGGTGGGGTCAGCAGCCGGCTGGGCCCTGCTCCCCCAGTCCCGCCATCCTCCCTGCTCCCCTCATCCTCCCAGCACTCTTTGTCCTCTCTGCGCCCCTCGTCCTCCCCACATTCCTCGTCCTCCCCGCATTCCTCATCTTCCCTGTATTCCTCGTCCTCCCCGCATTCTTCATCCTCCCCTCATTCCTCGTCCTCCCCGCATTCCTCGTCCTCCCCACGCCTCTCGTCCTCCCCGCATTCCTCGTCCTCCCCTCATTCCTCATCTTCCCTGTATTCCTCTTCCTCCCCGCATTCTTCATCCTCCCCTCATTCCTCGTCCTCCCCGTATTCCTCATCCTCCCCGCATTCCTCGTCCTCCCCGCATTCCTCGTCCTCCCCTCATTCCTCGTCGTCCCCTCATTCCTCGTCCTCCCCGCATTCCTCGTCCTCCCCGCATTCCTCGTCCTCCCCGCATTCCTCGTCCTCCCTGCATTCCTCGTCGTCCCCTCATTCCTCGTCCTCCCCGCATTCCTCGTCCTCCCCGCATTCCTCGTCCTCCCCGCATTCCTCGTCCTCCCCTCATTCCTCGTCCTCCCCGCATTCCTCGTCCTCCCCTCATTCCTCGTCCTCCCCGCATTCCTCGTCCTCCCTGCATTCCTCGTCCTCCCCTCATTCCTCGTCCTCCCCGCATTCCTCGTCCTCCCCATGCCCGTCATCCTCCCTGTATTCCTCATTCTCCCTGCATTCCTCGTCCTCCCTGCGCCCGTCGTCCTCCCCGCTCCCCTCCTTCTCCCTGCATTCCTCATCCTCCCCATGCCTCTCGTCCTCCCCGCACCCTCGCTCCTGCTGTCTTCCCTGTGCTCTTCTTCCTCGGGTGTGCTCGTGGCTTGTGGTTGAGTGTCCCCCATGGGCAGGGTTTGGGGAACAAGTAGAAAATGGGGGTTTCTTTTCCCAAAAGTTTCCTAGGTTCGCTCTCCTGTGTGAACTTCCATTTGGGTTGGGGTGCTGTGCCCGCCGGCGGGTGTTCTGCCATCTGGAGGGAATCGTGCTGACCCTGTGGTGTCCCCATCCCATGGGGTGGTGGTGGGAGCGCAGGGGGACCCGCAGTGGTCAGGCCGTGATTACTGTCTTATAACAAACTCTTAAGAAGCCGAGAGATTTCTGGCGTCCCGTTGACATCTGGGCTCGGCCCAGGCTCTCACAGTTCCTCTCCAGGAGCTGCCAGCCTCGCTGCCTTGTCAGGCAGCCCCAGCCCTAGGCTCAGCCTGCTCTGGCTCTGGGCACAGCGTGCAGGTCTTGACCAGGAGGGACTCCTCCCACAGGCTGCCCACTGGTTGTGGGATCTTGCACTGTCTCTGGCCTCAGCCTGTTTTCCCTTTCCTGGGTCTGACTCACGATGGTGGTGGCTTTGGAGGTGTGCATCACGGAGCTTCCTTCCCTGAACACCCAGTTACCCAGGTCTTTCTGGCTCACACCGCTCAGCCACCTTGGCCACCTGAGCTCAGCCGACCTCACGTCTAGCCTCCCTAAGTGCGGTCCTGAGTGGGGAACACGGGCAGCCCAAGGAGCCTCGTTTGAGGATGCCTGGCCTGGGAAAGCAGTGCTGGGCCTGCAGGGGAGCCTCTGGTTCCCCTGTCCTTGCCAGAGTGTCTGAAATGCTGCCAAGGGCGCCTCACCTGGGACCCGTTGTCTGCGGTCTCTGCAGCAGTTGAGCGGGAGCCTCTGCTTGGCGCCCCCTGTTGCAGTCCAGCCCCGTGCTGGGCCTCTGTTTTTGGCCACCCACCTTCTTCCCTTGGCCTGTGGGTACTTCACGGCTGCTCTTCCCACCTTGTGTGGGCTGCTTGTGAACCTTCCCAGATCACTGGACTCCAAGATTCACAATAAGAGACTTGGTCACGAATCCTGCCCCCTCTGTTTTTGGCCCCACTCAGAAGAGGCTGCAGTTGCCTTTTCCCTGCACCTGAAACCCACGGCGTGCGCTCAGCTGCGTGGGCTTGGCCCTGGAGGTGGCGGGCGGGTGTGGGCAGGGCCTAGCACCGACAGCAGCGGTTGTTGGCTGCGCCGGGTGGCTGTGCCCGTGAGACGAGCCTTCATGGCACTGAACTGGAGTATTGTTTTGCAGTGTTATATTTGTGAATAATTTTGCCTTTGGTCCTGAGGTGGATCACCAGCTGAAGGAGCGGTTTGCAAACATGAAGGAAGGTAAGGCGCCCTCCTCGCCGGTCTGTGCTGGTGTGACATGATTGAGGAAGGGTGGCCAGGAGGTCCCCGCAGGGTGTCCTGCAGAAGGCAGCTCAGACTTGGGGTCTTCAGTCCCCTTGGAGCCAGGTGGTCTTCCTTTATGCTTTTTTTTCTTTTTTTATTGAGACAGTTTTCCTCTGTCACCCAGGCTGGAGTGTAGTGGCACAATCTCTGCTCACTGCAACCTCCGCCTCCCGGGTTCAAGCGATTCTTCTGCGTCAGTCTCCCGAGTAGCTGGGACTACGGGTCTGTGCCACCATGCTCAGCTAATTTTTGTTTTTATTTTATTTTATTTATTTTTTGAGACGGAGTCTCACTGTGTCCCCCAGGCTGTAGTGCAGTGGCGCGATCTCAGCTTACCGCAACCTCTGCCTCCCGGGTTCAAGCAATTCTGCCTCAGCCTCCCAAGTAGCTGGGATTACAGGCACATGCCACCATGCCTGGCTAATTTTTGTACTTTTAGTAGAGACAGGATTTCACCATGTTGGCCAGGCTGGTCTCGAACTCCCGATGTCAGGGTGATCTGCCCGCCTCGGCCCCCGCAAAGTTTTGAGATTACAGGCGTGAGCCATTGTGCCCAGCCCTGGAATCTTCTTGAGTTGAGCCTACAGCTTGCTTATGGCCAGCTGACCACCCAGGGGCAAGAGTCCCCTTTATTCTTGACCTAAGCACATGGAACTTGGTGTCCATACTGAGCAGGAGTGGGGCTCTCAGCTGTTTTGTTTTCTCCCTCCGGAGAAAGGTCACCAGGCCCATGCAGGGCCCTTCACGCTGTTTTCTGAACCCCAAGCCCTGGCGTAGTTTCAGGAGCGGAGAACTCAGCCCATGACATCGATTCCAGTCCTGCAGTCGAGGGTGGTACCCAGACCACACTCTGTGGACTGCCCATTCCCTAAACATGGAGACTGAGCCTGCCATTGTCTCCCAGCCCCTGCCAGCCCTCCAGCAGGACATAGGGCAGGTTTGGGGTCTTCCTTGAGGGGATTGTGCTGCCTGCCTTCCTAGGCTCTCCACCAAGCCCTGCAGCAAGCACCACCTCATCTGTATCCTGGCGGACGTGGCTTCCAGAGCCACTGCTGGGCTCGAAGACAGGCGCTCTGGGGGTACCCCCTCTTCCTCCCAACTGCTCCCCACCTGTCCTCTCTAGGGAGGCCTCCAGAGGCTAGGGGAGAACTGCGGTGGGCTCCTCAGGCCTCCCAAACAAAACCCAGAGGGTCTGCAGCTGCCTTCAGCACCAACGCCCCACAACCTGGGGGTTTGGAGGGTGCTTGTGTGCCTGTGTCTGTGTGTGCGTGTCTGTGTCTCTGTGCATGCCTGTGTCTCTGTGTGTGCCCGTGTGCCTGTGTGTCTGTTAGCGTGTCTCTGTGTGCGTGCCTGTGCGTGCCTGTGTCTGCATGTCTGTGCCTGTGTGCATGCCTGTGTGTGTGCGTGCCCGTGTGCCTCCGTGTCTATGTATGTGTCTGCTTGTTTGTCTGTGTGTGTGCATGCATGCCTGTGTCTCTCTGCGTCTGTGTGCCTTGGGAGTTTGTTTGCATATCTGTGTGTGTGTGTGCGTGTGGCAGTGGTGTTTCTGACTTATCTTAGAACCACGTGAGGACACCATGCTTCCCCGCCCAGTCGCCCCCACACCCCAGCAGCACTACGGGCCTCCCTGCACCCTGCAGCTGCATGCAGGAAGGCAGCAGTGGCTTCAGGCAGCTCCTGTCACCCCCTCCATGGTCCTCGTACCCGCTGCCCTAGAACGCCTCTTCTGGCTGTTTCTCGCCAGCTTTCTCTGCACGATCAGACGTGGTGGCTGAGTCAGGGTACTGCAGTGGCGTCTTCTGTCCGGCCCCTCCCTGTTTTGAACATGTCCAGTGAAGGGCAGGTGGCCAGTAGTGCTGATTCTAGGGGCCTTGATGGTCCCAGACATGCCCATGAGCATTTGTTAGCCTGGCTCTGCAACCATTAGACGTGGCCCTGCTCATGTTTGAGGTCCTCTGGTAGGGATACTGGCCTAACCTGTGTGCCCAGCCTGGCCCTGGAACCGCCCTTCCTGCTCCTCCTGAGGGGAGTGGTGTGTAGAATGCCAGGCCTGGGCTGGTGTGGCGTCCAGGGGAGGAGAGCTGGGATGGCGGAGTGTGCATGTGTTTAAATGGATCCACTTTGACTTTTAATTTTTTTTTTTTTGGAGACGGAGTCTCACTCTGTCGCCCAGGCTGGAGTGCAGTGGCGCAGTTTCTGGTCACTGCAAGCTCCGCCTCCCAGGTTCACGCCATTCTCCCGCCTCAGCCTCCCGAGTAGCTGGGACTACAGGCGCCCGCCACCACACCTGGCTAATTTTTTTGTATTTTTAGTAGAGACAGGGTTTCACTGTGTTAGCCAGGATGGTCTCGATCTCCTGACCTCGTGATCTCCCTGCCTCGGCCTCCCAAAGTGCTGGGTTACAGGCATGAGCCACCGCACCTGGCCCACATTTTGACTTTTATGATTACCTTCTTTATATGTGTAAAAACAGAAGGCTCTGTTTCTCTCGGTCCTGCGAAGTTCGGCTCCTGACACCAAGTTCTTCCTGCAGCACACACAAGATGCCCCATAGTGGCTGGTGATAGTGAGACTGACGCTTAGCAGCAGCCTTGCAGGTGCCTGGCTGACTTTTTTGTATTTTTAGTAGAGACGGGGTTTCACTGTGTTGGTCAGACTGAGGCTGAAGGTGTCCATCCGGTCTGTTTGTCTTTGCATTTATCACTGACAGTCAGTTAGAATCCCAGGGTTCAGAGGTATTTGAAATAATTCTTTTCGCATGACTGTTTCCAGTTTGCATCTACAGTTAGATTTTGTTCCTGCTTGTGTACGGCTTGGGGGTTTGCTCTTCCTGCCTCTCAAACCTTAGTTTTTTGTTTTGTTTTTTTTTGAGACAGGGTCTTCATCCTTGGCCCAGGCTGGAGTGCACTGGTGTGATCATAGCTCCCTGCAGCCTTGACCTCCTGGGCTCAAGTGATCCTCCTGCCCCAGCCTCCCGAGTAGCTGGGATCACAGGCATGCACCATCATGCCCAGCTAATTTTTTATTTTAATTTTTTGTAGAGATGGGGTCTCCCTGTGTCCCAGGCTGGGCTGGAACTTCTGGCAGTCTGCCCGCCTTGGCCTCCCATAATGCTGGGTTTACAGGCGTGAGCCTGTGCGCCTGGCAGCGTAGTGGGTTTTTTTTTTCTTTTGAGGCAGAGTCTCTCTCTATCGCCCAGGCTGGAGTGCAGTGGCGCGATCTCGACTCACTTGCAGCTTCCACCTCCCAGGTTCAAGTGATTCTCCTGCCTCAGCCTCCCGAGTAGCTGGGATTACAGATGTGCGCCACCACACCTGGCTAGTTTTTGTATTTTTTTAGTAGAGACACGGTTTTACCCTGTTAGCCAGGCTGGCCTCGGGTGATCCACCTGCCTCAGCCTCCCAAAGTGCTGGGATTACAGGCATGAGCCACTGCACCGCGCCGAGAATGTTTTTTAAAGAAGCATTATTTGTAGGAGGTTGGGCGTGGTGGCTCACTTGAGGCCAGGAGTTCCAGACAAGCCTGGCCAGCAGGGTGAAACCCGCTCTCTACTAAAAATCCAAAAATTAGCCAGGTGTGGTGGTGTGCGCCTGTAATCACAGCTACTCGCAAGGCTGAGGCAGGAGAACCGCTTGAACCAGGGAGGTGGAGGTTGCAGTGAGCCGGGAGACTCTGTCTCAAAAAAAAAAAAAAAAAAAAAAAGTTATTTGTAGAATAGGCTTCAACTTGGAAGGTGTTTCCTAGTGTTGCTTGTAGGCAGGTGGACAGGACCCGGAGCCCAGTGTGTGTGTGTTCCGTGTCATTGTTCCTTCTCTGTCACCTTGAGTGGTGTCTGCTCTTCTGTTTCCTCTCTCCTGTGTGGCAGTAAGCAGTGTCTGTGTTTCAGGTGGCAGAATCGTGTCCTCGAAACCCTTTGCACCTCTGAACTTCAGAATAAACAGTAGAAACTTGAGTGGTAAGAAACTCTCATGTTGTTAATGATGAACACGGGTAATTTTAACCATCTGACACGCAGTATTCCTAGGTCCCTCTTCCTTGACCCTGTGGACACTGGGGCTGGATCCTTCTGTGGGGTGGGGCTGTCCTGGGCAGTGCAGGGTGCTGAGCAGCGTCCCTGGTGTCCACCCACTCCATGCCAGGAGCACCCCTGGTCGCGACAACCACACACGTCCCCATAGAGCACTGTGTGCCATGGGGGTAGAATCACTCCTCGGGGAGACCCCGGCTTCGAGGGGAGGCGTGAAGGATTTACAGGACTTTTGTGGACAGAGACAGGCCCACGGTGGGAAGGAGCCGGCCCCTCCCATGCCCCCTGCCTGCCTTACTGTGCTGCGTGCTCTGTCAGCTCCCAGCCTTGCGGGGCAGCACGGCCTCCTCTGAGGGGCTTCCCTGAGGAGCGCCCACCCGGGAGGTGCCTGTGTTGCTGGATGCTGGCCGTTCTTGCAGCCGTGATCTAAGTCGCTTCCAGATCTTCTCCCCCTCCTTTTCCATTCCACTCAGCTGGGTTTGTGGCTGTTTTTCTGAGGTTGGAGGGGCCCAGGCCAGGTGGTGTTGAATGGTGCACCTCCCTGGGCCGGCCTCTGTGGGCCACTGTGGCCTGACGCAGTGTGGGAGAAGAGGGAAGACGCGCAGCTCAGGCTTCTGTCCCCACGCCTGCCCTGGGGTGGGTGAGGTCTGCATGGAGGGGCTGTGGGCAGGCGCAGGCCCCGGCCTCACCTGTGGCTCCTGCAGACATCGGCACCATCATGCGCGTGGTGGAGCTCTCGCCCCTGAAGGGCTCGGTGTCGTGGACGGGGAAGCCAGTCTCCTACTACCTGCACACTATCGACCGCACCATAGTGAGTATCTCGCTGCGCCTCAGCCGCAGGGCCGTCCTGGTCTTCCACCCCGCCCACGTCACACTGCTCTCTCCTTTCTCATGTGGCCTCTGAGACCCTCCCCTCAGAGCCCTCAACGCCCCCCGGCCCCTGAGCTCAGGCCCAGCTCCTCAAGGCCCCTCAGTACTGCTTGCACCGCAGGACCCACCAGGGTCCTCCCAGGCACTGGGCGTGTCCTGGGTGAGGGCTGAGTGCTGTCTCCCCTAGTCTACGCTCAGCTCCTGGGGTGGGGCGGGGCCATCAGAGTGATGTGTGACCATAAGGGTCCCGGCCGCCATATCCAGAGGCCCCTGTGGATAGGAGTCCCACGTCCCTGTTCCCAGCTTCCTCCATGTGAGAGGGTCCTGAGCGGGGAGACACCAGGGTCCATGGGTGGGGTCTGGGATGCTTCTTCCCTCCCTGTGTTCCCCAGGGTCCTCTGACACAGCCCTGGGCCAGTGTGCGGCCTGCCTGCCTCCCACGGTGCTTCCCCCCCGGGCACGAGTATCCCGAGCCTCCTGGCATGTGGGCAGCGCCAGCCCTCCAGGGCTGGGAGGCTTCCCCTGGTCTCTTTCCCGTCCTTTGGTTGGGCACTCTGTTCCTGTTGTTGGGGTAGCGGTGGTTTTCCTTACGGTGGTGCTGGTGTGTCTGCACCCTCACTGTCCAGTGCTCGGAGCCTCCACTAGAGCCTGCCTGGGGAGCGCTGGTGCCGTCTGGGGACCGACAGCCCCAGGCAGATGCACCCCGCCCTCCCACTGCTCCCCCGAGGGCCCTGGGACGAGAGGCATGGTGAGCTGAGGCTGAGGCTCTGGGGGCTTGGCCTACCGTGCGGCCCCCACCTCCACGCAGTGCTGCTGCTTCAGCTGCCCTGGCACTGACGCCCTCGGCGCAGCCTCTCGCCTTCTCCTCTGAGGCGGGCGCGGTTCTTCTGTGCAGAAAGCCCTCCCTCTTCCAGAAGCAGAGACACATCCCAGGGCCCTGTGTCTGTTCTGAAGGCTTAAACCAGCCCCGCCCACCCGTCGCGTGCTGGTGAATTGAGGGTGACGCCTGGCCACAGCTGGGTTAGTCACATCCGCGTTTGCCACTGGGGGGCTCTAGCTGCATGCCTGCTGTCCCCAGATACCAGAACAGCCTCCCCAGCCACTGTCCAGGTTGCTGTTGTTACCTGGGTGTCCAGACAAATCCGAACAGAGATTGGGACTCCCTTCTAATCAGGGTTCTCTTTCTTCTTTTTAGCTTGAAAACTATTTTTCTAGTCTGAAAAACCCAAAACTCAGGGTAAGTTTGTGTGTTTTTTCTCTTGGGTTAATAACACGCATGCACTGATGTGGGGAAATGCAAAGCCGTGCGCAGCCGGGTTCAGGAGCCACGACTGGAGCACAGCCCTGCCGCCCCTCGGGGCCCGGCCCTGTGCCCTTTCCCGCCTCCTTCCTGCTCCTCCCCACTGTCACTCCTGGTCCTCTCCCTACCCTTTCCTCCCTGTCCTCCCCCTCTTCCTCTCCTCTCCCAGCCCTTTTCTCTCACCATTCAATCTCTCTCTCTCTCCCCCACCCTCCCTCTCCGTTTCTCTCTCTCTCCCACCCTCTCTCTGTCTCTTTGCCTGTCTTCATGCTTTGCCTTGTCTTTGATGGTTTGGCCTGGGACATCCTTCCCCTTGTTAATACTTATTTTTGGGGAGGTGGCTTGGCTTAGTTTTGGTGGTGGGGTGAGTTGCACTGAAGGGCTGGGTGGGTGAAAAGCTTGTGCGTCACTGCTGGCTGCCCCCTCTTGAGGCCTGGGGGGCCACACATGTGCGCTTGTCCCACCCTCGGTGCAGAGTGCAGCTCCTGGGCCCCCGCGCCCTGCACGCGCTGCACCGTCGGAGGCAGGGCTGTCCCCTCCTCTCCCACCTTAAAGCAGCGGTGGGAAAGCCTGGCTTGGGGAGCCACAGTGGCCGCCCTGCCCGCTGGCGCTTCTGCAGCCTCAGACCTGCCTGCTTATTTGCCACCAAAGCTGAGAGGATGTTTGTCCGGGCGTCCTTTCCTTTTGGAGGGGGTCAGACAAGACCAGCATGCGGAGAACCCCGTACAGGAAGGGCTCTGTCACTGCCTGGATTTGTAGCCAGGGCTGGGCTCCAACCCGGCCTCAGAGCCTGGTACCCCTCGGGGGCCCTCTGTCCTTCCCACCATGCTTAGGGGGATGTGGGTCTTCCCTGGAGAGCAGGGAACGGCCCGAGGTGGCCGGCGCACCCTGTGTTCCCCTTCCCGTGGGTCGCGCCCTCCACTAACTCACATCAGAGAACTTGTGCATGGCGTCCCATGTGTGGGCCTCGGTGCCTTTCGAAGAGAGGAGAGAGGGCAGGGGAGGCTGTGGGCTGTGGCTTCTAGGTCCTGCTGCCTGAGGGGCTTCTCGTCTCCTGTCTTGGATGTGGTTCTTTTTCTCTGTGGCTCACAGTCTGGCTTCTTACTGACAGGCATCTGTGATTGTGGGAGTGGCTGTGAATGCCGTTATCCGTGCCCACGGGTCACGTCCTGGCCTGCGGGGCCCCAAGCAGCCCACTGCTGTCTCTGGGCCTCAGTTTCCTGATTTGTGCCACAGAGGACTTGCAGTGGACAGAGTTGGGCCCGTGGCCCCCTTGAGTCTGAGCTCCGCGTGCCTCTCGGTGCAGGAGGGCCGTGGGCAGCGCTGGGGCTTCCTGTGGCTCAACCTGCTCTCCTTCCAGGAGGAACAGGAGGCAGCCCGGCGCCGCCAGCAGCGCGAGAGCAAGAGCAACGCGGCCACGCCCACTAAGGGCCCAGAGGGCAAGGTGGCCGGCCCCGCCGACGCCCCCATGGTAAGGCCCCAGCCTGGCTCCTGCTGCTGGAGGGCACCCGCCCCCTGCCCGGGAGACCCCATGGGTGGGAGGCTCTGTGCCCATCCCTGTTCTTCCCTTGTGTCCTCCAGGACTCTGGTGCTGAGGAAGAGAAGGCGGGAGCAGCCACCGTGAAGAAGCCGTCTCCCTCCAAAGCCCGCAAGAAGAAGCTAAACAAGAAGGGGAGGAAGATGGCTGGCCGCAAGCGCGGGCGCCCCAAGAAGATGAACACTGCGAACCCCGAGCGGAAGCCCAAGAAGAACCAAACTGCACTGGATGCCCTGCACGCTCAGACCGTGTCTCAGACGGCGGCCTCCTCACCCCAGGGTGAGCCGCCCCCACGCCACGGCCCCCGCTCTCCCCGAGTGCGGATGCCTGGGGTCCCCTCTGCTGGGACGCTGCCCTCCTGAGCCCCGTGTGTTCAGGGTGTCCCTGGAGCCTCCCTGTTGTGGCTGTGCCTTCAGGGTGGCCCCATCCTAAGGGGTTGCTGGGCACCTGCCCCATGCTGACGCCTCTGCCCACCGCTCTCCCGACCCGCCCTGTGCTGACGCCTGCCCTCCGCTCTCCCAGATGCCTACAGATCCCCTCACAGCCCGTTCTACCAGCTACCTCCGAGCGTGCAGCGGCACTCCCCCAACCCGCTGCTGGTGGCGCCCACCCCGCCCGCGCTGCAGAAGCTTCTAGGTGAGCCCGTGTGAGGCGTCCGGCGAAGGGTTCTGGGCTTGGGGTCATCCCAGGAGGACCGTGGGTTGTGACGCTGACCTCGCAGCAGCCCCCGTGACCTCCATGCTGGACCCCACTGAAGTTTACCCAGGGTTGGGGTCTGCCTGCTGCAGGGGTCAGTAGAGGCTCAGATGCAGCCTGTGGGTTGTCTGAGGTCTTACCCAGGAGATGCTGGGTGACACTTGGGACGTCTGCAGTTGTCATAACTTAGGGATGTTGCTGGCATGGGGTGGGTGCAGGCCAGGGATGCTGCTCAGGGCCTTGCAGTGCCCAGGATGGCCCCACGCGGTGAACACTTGGCTGCGCAGGGGTCAGAGGGCCTGAGTGCTCTGCGAGCTTGGGGCGTGTGGCATGGGCCCCGCCAGGCTCTGCTGAGCTCCTGCCTCATGAGTGCCTGACACCTGCCGAGGCCTGGGACTCGTTCTCAAGGGCTGCTCCCACCTCTTCCCTCTCAGTCTCAGCTGCTCTCTTCTCACCTGTGTTCCGCCTCTCTTCCCAGAGTCCTTCAAGATCCAGTACCTGCAGTTCCTGGCATACACAAAGACCCCCCAGTACAAGGCCAGCCTGCAGGAGCTGCTGGGCCAGGAGAAGGTGGGTCCTGGCCCCCTTGGCATTCCGCCTTCCCGCACAGAGGCAGTTCGTTCCTGTTCCTGGGCATCTGTCCCCTGTGGCAGAGGCCCTGGAGCGCAGGCCTGAGTGGGCTCCCTCCTCTGCTCACCTGCTGCGAGAAACAAACCTACCCGTTTAAACCCAAAGAATGGACTGAGAGACCCGGAAAACAGCGAAAATGAGACTTTTAATCATGGTTTTGCAAGACCTGGTGTCTGATAGGCACACCCAGCACAGTTTGAACAAGCAACCTTCCCCCTAGTGCACAGGTCCCTCCCCCGGTTCCTCAAAGGCTGAGTACTGTGAGGTCACAGTCTTCCCAGTTGTCGCCTATTGGTTCGGCAGGGGCTGGAGTGCAGTGGTGTGATCTCGGCTCACTGCAAACTCCGCCTCCCGGGTTCACGCCATTCTCCTGCCTCAGCCTCCCAAGTAGCTGGGACTACAGGCACCCACCACCACATCCGGCTAATTTTTTGTATTTTTAGTAGAGACGGGGTCTCACTGTGTTGGCCAGGATGGTCTTGATCTCCTAATCTCGTGATCCTCCCGCCTCGGACTCCCAAAGTGCTGGGATTACAGGCATGAGCCACCACGCCCGGTTGTAGGTGTTTTCTTTAGGGTTGTCCTGCTGCATTTTGTGCATTGCAATCCCAGTCAGCTCAGGGACTGTTCAAGTATTTGACTTATGATCTAAGTAGCTGGGCAGGCTGATTAAGAACAGACAAAGCCAGCTCTTTTGCAGGCTGGTAAACCTTCATCTTAGGCTAAACTTCTTTGGTTCGGGTGAGGGCAACTAAGCCGGGGGAAGCGGGGGCAGGGGAGGCTGACAAGCAGGCATCAGCGATCCAAGCAGGGGCCTAGTACATGCTGTCTCTTCTGTAGTTTGCTGACCTAAGCCAATTCAAGGCAGTTTGTCCTGGAAATGGACCACTGTATACATGATTTCCTTCACCTGAGGTCCCGGCTGTGGGGCCCCGCCCTGGGAGTCTCCGAGGACCTGCTTTAGTGGGGAGCTAGGGCCGGGCTATGGGGTGGAAGTTCTGGCGGCCCAGAGATAACTCCAAAAGCCATTGGAGCCACAAGGTCGGCTGTCCCTGAGCCCTGGTTTGCATTTTGGACTTTGGCTTTGCTTTTAAAAAAAAGCTTACAGCGTGCTTTGAGCATATATGCACATGCATTGCTCACTGTGTAGCTGACAGCATGCCTGGGCCGGGGCCCTGTTCTCTGCTGGTGTCTGAAGGTTGTCCTGTGTCAGTGGCTCCTGGGGTCTTCCCTTGGAGGTGGGCCTCCGGACACTGAGTGTTTGCTGTTACGCTGCAGAAGGCTTCCTTGCAGATCCATGTGAAAAGTCCATCCCCTGGTATTGCCTTGGGATAAACTCCTTGGCATTGGCCGGCCTCTGCGTGGCTGGGGGCGCTGCCCTGGCTGAGTCCAGGTGGGGTGGCAGGTGCAGTCCCTCCAGCTGGCGAGAGTTCTTTGCAGTGAACCTGATGCAGAGCTGGTCCCCTCCCGCCGTGGCCTGAGTATTTCTTGACATCTCAGCCCGGTGTGGGTCCCCTCAGGCATGTCTGTCCTTGAGCGTGTCTTCAGGAAGCATGAGAGGCAGGGCGTGGGCCCTCCCTGTGGGCCCTCAGTCACCTGCCCTGGCCCTTAGTCACCTGCCCTGTTTGTCCTACAGGAGAAGAACGCCCAGCTCCTGGGTGCGGCTCAGCAGCTCCTCAGCCACTGCCAGGCCCAGAAGGAGGAGATCAGGAGGCTGTTTCAGCAAAAATTGGATGAGGTAGTGGACCCCAGAGGGCAGGTGGCAGGTGGCAGCTGGGGCGCAGGCTGGGGTGGTCCATGTCCGTCGGTATGGCTTCCTGTGGCTTCCTGTCTATGCCTCTGTCCAGCTGTGTCCCAGGGGCTGGGCTGCAGGGGTGGTCATGCCTGGGGGCTTACTTCACCTTGGAGGCCACCAGCATGACCTCTCCCCCGCCCCATGTCCCCAGCTGGGTGTGAAGGCGCTGACCTACAACGACCTGATTCAAGCGCAGAAGGAGATCTCCGCCCATAACCAGCAGCTGCGGGAGCAGTCGGAGCAGCTGGAGCAGGACAACCGCGCGCTCCGCGGCCAGAGCTTGCAGCTGGTGGGTGCCGCGGCGCAAGGACAGGGACGTGGAACCAGAGGGGCCCTGCCTGGGCGGGTGTGTCCTCTGTGCGGGTGGGAGGCTCTGGAAGGCCCGCCTCTGTTGTGGGGTTTGTTCCCAGACGAATTGCGCCACCTGTGAAAGCTTGTCGAGCGCGTCACAGCAGGCAGGCCTGGGCCCCTCGGCTGGATGGTTTCTCAGCGGCCCTGGGTGTCATGGAGCCACACTCTGGCAGGCTCGAGGTGTGGGGTCATGCGAGCATCCCACCATCGTGGTGTGGGTGCTGGAGCTGCCTCATCTGTCCGTGGGGGGCCCCAGTCTCCGCGTGTTCCGCATCCTCAGCCTGCTATTCCAGAAACGGGGTCTGTGCCCTAAGCACACATGCTGTTGGCTGAGGCAGGCCCAGGGAACCCTGCCCTGAGAGTGTGGGGTGTGCTGGGCAGGCAGCCAGCCAGTCGCAACTGTCCCATCCCTATCCCCTCAGCTCAAGGCTCGCTGCGAGGAGCTGCAGCTGGACTGGGCCACGCTGTCGCTGGAGAAGCTGTTGAAGGAGAAGCAGGCCCTGAAGAGCCAGATCTCGGAGAAGCAGAGGCACTGCCTGGAGCTGCAGGTGGGCTGCGCGCGAGGCTGCACTCCGTGGTGTCCGAGCCTCTCCCATCAGCCTCCCTGTGACGTCGTTGAGCCTAGGGTGGTTGCGGTTGCAGCAGCCTAGGAAGAAGGTGGAGGAGGACAGTTGGGTGGAGGCTTATGGAACCTTCTGTCTTGGGCCGCAGGCTGCCCGTGTGGATGACTCTGCCTCACTCTAGCCCTCAGCTCTCGGGGGCATCTCGGGATTGCTTGGCTGAATGCGCAGCGCTAACCTAGGATTTCCTGATTTCCTGGCTGCCTCCTTGCAAATCATTTCTGTAACAGTCATAGGGGAGAATTTGCTCATTAGAAAAACAGCTGGATCGGTGCAGGGGCTTATGCCTGTAATCCCAGCACCTTGGGAGGCTGAGGCGGGCAGATCACCTGAGGCTAGGAGTTGGAGAACAGCCTGGCCAACACAGTGGGACTCTGTCTCTAGCAAAAATACAAAAATTAGCCGGGTGTGGTGGTGTGTGCCTATAGTCCCAGCTCCCAGGGAGGCTGAGGCAGGAGTTCTGGCTCCCAGGATGGCATCCCCAAGGGCCATATTGAGGCAAAAAGGGCCGTGTTTGAGCCCGGGAGGTGGAGGCTGCAGCAAGCTGAGATTGCACCACTGCACTCCAGCCTGGGTGACAGAGCCAGGCCCCATCTGAAAAATAAAATAGCTTGTACTTTCTGACACCGAGAAACGCATTCGTGGAGGCCGAGTAGAGGAAGTGTGGAGGAGGGTGTGCAGCGGGAAGGTGCTCTCCTCCCTGCTCCCAGGCAGAGGCAGGTGCTGGTGGGCGGTGCCCACAGCTGCCGTGCAGCCTAGAAAGCAGCAGGTCACGGGCTTTGTTCCCAGAGCCCCATCCCGTCGACACTGTGCCCGCCTGCTCACCTTACGTGTCCCCAGCGTGGTTTCACTGTTGATGGACCTGGTGCCCTGTCGCTGGACCTCTGCTGCCTTTTCAAATGACTGCACCAAACCGTTGCTGCAAGGCTGTCCCCGGAGGCGGGCTCTCACGGGCGGCTGACGGACGTCGGGAAGCACCACTCACGTGCTCCCGAGCTGCTCCCTCACGTGTGTGGCCCAGGCGAGCCTCACCAGCGTACATTAGAGAAACGGAGGTCGCCGACCTCTTTACCACAGCCGGGCCCTGTGGGTCTGCCTGGAGTAGAGCCCTCGGGAAGAGCATATTTGGGTTCTGACCATTTTTGTCATCATCTTTTCTGTGTAATAAAAAAACAATGTGTTTGTTAAAAGAAAGGAAAGCAGGTAAACAGAACAGATAAACTAAAAGGAAAAAGCCCCTCTCAGACTCAGCGCCCGGGGAAGCTGCCACGCTCGAGTGGCGTGTCCCTCCACAGGTTTTACACTTAGTGAAACTGGATGTTTTACACTTAGAGTCTATTTTGAGAGACGAGAGCTCTTTGTATCTTCCTGTTGCTCTTTTTGAAGAAGGTGCTTCCATGTCAGCAAAAACCATCCTCGGCCCTCCACATGACTTTATTTGACGCCCCCAGCTTCCCGACCCCGCCTCTATGTGGTCGGCAGCTTTGGTTTTTCCATCCCACACAAGCAGCGGGGGTCCTGGCCACCCCTCCGGGTGTCCATCTGTGGCAGTCTTGGTTCCCTGGAGTGGTCCCCCGGTGGGGCGGGCCTGACACCATCTCTCCTCCTGCAGATCAGCATTGTGGAGCTAGAGAAGAGCCAGCGGCAGCAGGAGCTCCTGCAGCTCAAGTCCTGTGTGCCGCCTGACGACGCCCTGTCCCTGCACCTGCGTGGGAAGGGCGCCCTGGGCCGCGAGCTGGAGCCTGACGCCAGCCGGCTGCACCTGGAGCTGGACTGCACCAAGTTCTCGCTGCCTCACTTGAGCAGCATGAGCCCGGAGCTCTCCATGAACGGCCAGGCTGCTGGCTATGAGCTCTGCGGTGTGCTGAGCCGGCCTTCGTCGAAGCAGAACACGCCCCAGTACCTGGCCTCACCCCTGGACCAGGAGGTGGTGCCCTGTACCCCTAGCCACGTCGGCCGGCCGCGCCTGGAGAAGCTGTCTGGCCTAGCCGCACCCGACTACACTAGGCTGTCCCCGGCCAAGATTGTGCTGAGGCGGCACCTGAGCCAGGACCACACGGTGCCCGGCAGGCCGGCTGCCAGTGAGCTGCATTCGAGGTGAGTGCCCTGGTGGGGCTGGGGGTCTGCAGCTGGTACCTGCCGACTCTGCCTGGTGTGCTCAGGCTGTCGGGTTCTCAGCAGGAGTGTGTTTGTTGAGGAGACTGAGGTGGGGAGGTGCTGGGCCAGGCCGCTGCCTCTGAGTGCCAGCCCACGGCCCTCGAGAGTGACTGCAGCTTCTCATTCCAGAGCTGAGCACACCAAGGAGAACGGCCTTCCCTACCAGAGCCCCAGCGTGCCTGGCAGCATGAAGCTGAGCCCTCAGGACCCGCGGCCCCTGTCCCCTGGGGCCTTGCAGCTTGCTGGAGAGAAGAGCAGTGAGAAGGTGCGGGCCGCGACCCCTGCCCCGGGCTCAGGGAGGTGCTCAGCAGAGGCGGCCTGAGCGAGTTGCTAGCAGGAGGGCTTGTCCTAGTTGACCTTGGGGCACGGTGAGGTACTGGGGCTGACCTGGAGTAGGATGTTGTGGCAGAGTTGGGGGCAACCAGTAAGGACAGGTCACAGGTGACGTTGGGCAGGTGCCATGGAGGACATGGGGTTTGTCAGGGTGTCCCTGATGCCTCTTAGTTCTCAGTGACGGACGGCAAGTGCTGGTAGAGACACAGAGCCCAGTTTGGGAGGCCGCTGCCCATGAGGACTTCCCCGGGGGCACTGGCCTGTGTGCACAGGGATGGAGAGGGAAGGACGGTGACGTTGCATGGACTTGGCAGTGATGGATGTGGGCCCTGGGAGGCTTGGTGGCCCCACGGGTGACTGCCCACCGAGCCGGGCGGGCAGGCTGGAGGGGACAGATGGGCATTGCTTTCAGACACCAGGAGCGTGCCGTCCCTCTGGAGTGTCCCAAAGCCGGTGTCCAGGAGGGCCTGACTGCGTGGGGAAGGTTGCAGGGCCTTGGCAGCGTGGGGGCCGCCTTGAGAGAGCTGTAGCAGGCCCCCGTCCTGTGGCTGTGGTCCCTGTGTCCTGGAGGGGTTTGTTGACCCACGACTGGGGGTCGGGCCTTCGTCTGCAGGGCCTGAGAGAGCGCGCCTACGGCAGCAGCGGGGAGCTCATCACCAGCCTGCCCATCAGCATCCCGCTCAGCACCGTGCAGCCCAACAAGCTCCCGGTCAGCATTCCCCTGGCCAGCGTGGTGCTGCCCAGCCGCGCCGAGAGGGCGGTGAGTGGCTCCCAGGTGGCTGTCCCCAAGGGCCACGTTGAGGCAAAACAGTCTGGGGTGCTCGAGACCTGGCTCACTTTGCGAAGTCTCACGCTGTAAAATGTCGAGCGTGAGGCAATGCAGTCAAGGTGGGCTGTCCAAAGCCGGGGCGTGTCCGGTGACCTGGGCCGTTGTTTTCGCCAGTCTTTTTCTTTTGGGTGAAAGGTACGTGTGCAAGTGGAGAGGGCCTCACACCTTCTGGGTTGAGGAGGAGCTCAGAGGCCCACCCTGGCTCCCAGCCTCACTCCTCACGAGGCCACATTGGCTGCCGTGGCCCCTGTCCTCACAGCTGCCTCTGGGTTCTCCCACCCAGCGCTGTGCATGCAGAGAATCTCGTCTTGTGTAGCATGGGCGGGATTTTCTGGGCATTGAACTATTTTTTAAAAATTGTGCGCTTCAAGTATATGCTTCAGTGGTTTTTAGCATTTATTTTTTATTTTTTATTTTTATTTTTCAGACGGAGTCTCACTCTGTCGCCCAGGCTGGAGTGCAGTGGTGCGATCTCGGCTCACTGCAAGCTCCACCTCCCGGGTTCACGCCATTCTCCTGCCTCAGCCTCCCGAGTAGCTGGGACTACAGGCGCCCGCCACCACGCCTGGCTAATTTTTTGTATTTTTAGTAGAGATGGGGTTTCACCGTGTTAGCCAGGATGGTCTTGATCTCCTGACCTAGTGATCCGCCCGCCTGGGCCTCCCAAAGTGCTGGGATTACAGGCGTGAGCCACGACGTCTGGCCTCTTTCTTTTTTTTTATTTTTCGAGATGGAGACTCATTCTGTCCCCCAGGCTGGAGTGCAATTGTGTGATCTCGGCTCACTGCAATCTCTGCCTCCCAGGTTCATGCCATTCTCCTGCCTCAGCCTCCCGAGTAGCTGGGATTACAGGTGCCCACCACCACGCCCGGTTAATCCCCGCCCCCACCAGCTGAGACGGAGTCTTGCTCTGTTGCCCAGGCTGGAGGGCAGTGGCACGATCTTGTGATCTTTACTCACTGCAGCCTCCGCCTGCTGGGTTCAAGCAGTTCTCCTGCCTCAGCCTCCCGAGTAGCTGGGATTACAGGCATGCACCACTATGCCCAGCTGATTTTTGTATTTTTAGTAGAGACAGGGTTTCACCATCTTGGCCGAGCTGGTCTCAAACTCCTGACCTCAGGTGATCTGCCCACCTCAGCCTCCGAAATTGATGGGATGACAGGCATGAGCCACCGCACCCGGCCAATTTTTGTATTTTTAATAGAGGTGGAGGTTTTGCCCTGTTGGCCAGGGTGGTCTCGAACTCCTGGCCTCAGTCGACCCACCCGCCTCGGCCTCCCACAGTGCTGGGATTCCAAGTGTCAGCCCCCGTGCCCGGCCGGTTTTTTGTACTTTTATACACCTCTGTCTAATTCAGGACATTTTCTTCACCCGGGAAAAAGCGTTGCCCGCCTCAGCAGTCACTCCCTAGTCGTCCCCCAGCCCCCGGGCCCCCGAACACGCTCATGTCTGGGCCTGTCCCTTCTCTTGGCACGTGAGGGCATTCCCTGTGTGGATGGAGTGTGCCATCTTCATCCGTGCCCAGTTGATGGACCCCGGCTTGATTCCCTGTTTTGGCGATTGTGAATCGTTCTGCTGTGAGCGCTGGGGTCCAGGTTTCTGTGTGGATGTAGGTTTGCTCTTTGGCCCATGTGGGAGTGGAGCTACTGGGTTCTGCGGTCACTCTACTGACCTTTGTTGGACTTGGAGTGTGGTGTGGGGAAGTGCAGTGGGTGGTGGCCGGCAGGTGTGTTCTCGCAAGCGCCCTCCTCACCCCACCCGACTGCTGGCATTTGTGCTGCTTGGAGAACACAGCCGCTTCCCGGTGAGGGCGGGCTGTGGGTTGCTTGGGTTGTGCCCAGTACCCCCTCCCCACAGCTGGACCCCGGGACCCCCGCCTCCTGACCTCCCTGCCTCAGGCCCGCTGCCCATTCACACGCAGGCACCGCGCACTCTCGCTGCGCCACTCGCCTGGGGCCCCGCTCAAGTTCCCCCGCTGCCCTCTTCCCACGCGGTACTGGACGGTGACCCCGGCGGCCTCCCCCAGCCAGCTGCAGGCCTCAACACTCACTGTTTCCAGCTGGGTTCTGGGTCTCCTGGGGCACCTGCTGCCCCTGACACACAGGGTTTTCTCTCTGCAGAGGAGCACCCCCAGTCCCGTGCTGCAGCCCCGTGACCCCTCGTCCACACTTGAAAAGCAGATTGGTGCTAATGCCCACGGTGCTGGGAGCAGAAGCCTTGCCCTGGCCCCCGCAGGTAACGCCCCTCCTGTGCCCTACCCTCAGGACTCTGCTGCTGCTGCTGCTCTTCAGGCAGGAGGGCTGGGTTGCTGGGAGTGGAACAGGGCTTCCTGGGGTGATCATGGGGGCTGCTGCCCCAAACCGCCACGCCTCATTACTGACACCCTTTCCTGCATCCCACGAGCTGGGATGCGGATCGGGCTCAGCTGCAGCCATCTCGGCCTCATACCTGGGTCTCCCGACACTGACACCTCCTGCTTGGGTGTATTAATTCAGCCCGTGAGGTCGGCCCCAGTGCTCTCGGGGGCTCCTGTACTCACAGCTGGGAGGCCCCTGACTCAGGATCGGCTCCACACACAGCAGTGCCCAATGGCACACGACCGTGGGCCTCCGTGCTGGTAGCGGCATGGTTTCTGGTTCCTTGAGAAGGTGCCGCCTGAGCAGTCTCTGCTGTTAGCCCAGTTTCTGCAGAGAGCCAGAGAGGATGCCACTTTGGCTTTTGTTGACACTGCAGGCCTGTCTGTTGTGGAAGCCGCAGAGACAGCATGTCAGCGGGCATGGCTGTGTGCCAGCAAAACTGTACTTAAAACAGCAGAGGACATGAGACCCCCAGGCTGGTTTGCTGGCCCCAGGTTGAGATGCGGTATGATGCGGCAGCTACTTTTTTAGGAGTAAAAAGTAAAATGTGGCCGGGCGTGGTGGCTCATGCCTGTAATCCCAGCACCTTGGGATGCCGAGGTGGGCGGATCACCTGAGGACAGGAGTTTGAGACCAGCCTGGCCAACATGGTGAAACCACCGTCTGTACTAAAAATACAAAAATTAGCCGGATGTGGTGGCAGACGCCTGTAATCCCAGCCACTCGAGAGGCTGAGGCAGGAGAATCGTTTGATCCTGGGAGGTGGAGGTTGCAGTGAGCTGAGATCGCACCACTGCACTCCCGCCTGGGCAAAAAGAGTAAAACTCCATCTCAAAAACAAAACAACAACAAAACAAGTAAAATGTACATGGCCGCTATTGAGACAGGAGGGGCTCTAGGGAGGCTGGGCAGGCTTCACGGTTGGCCACGTGAGGGCCCTGGAGAGGCCACCGAAGCCCGGGCAGTTCTGCCCTCGCAGGGCTGGGTTGTGCCCTTGGGGTGAGGTCTGCTCTGCGAGAGGCAGTGACAGTTTCAGGAGATTTTCAACTGGGTGGCAAACAGCCAACTCCAGAAGCGCCTTGCTGCGCCCCTGCACTGAGGCCTCATTGGCAGAAGCAGGGAGGCCGCCCTTTGTCCCCGGGTGGTCATGGAAGTGCACCACTCATCGTGGGCTGGGAAGCATGGCTGCGGCCTTCAAGGCGGCCATAGCTTGGAGTATCCAAGCTGAGTTGTCTTCTGAGAACAGGAGGGAGGGAGGCCACGCAGCCATGGGCTTTCCTCATGGTGTCTCTGAGATCACGGGGCCAGAGGGCAACTTACTCAGAGGAAGCCTAGCTCAGCGGGGAGCCCGCACCAGGAGGCTTCTTGGGAGGCAGCGTCTCAGCCGGGACCTGCAGGGCACAGGCAGCCCAGATGGGCGGGAGGAGGCACAGGGTCAGCCCTGAGCCTTGAGCTTGCCCACAGAGCCTTCTGGTTCCACCCCAGAGGGGCCGTTTTCAGACTCCCAACCCCTTCCCCACTTCCCCGCCTCTCCTGGAGCCCACAGAGCTCCTAGGGGGTGGTGCTCCCACAGCAAGGCTTTCTCTTTGGCCATCCTGTGTCCCCTGAGACCCCCATGTCCTTCCCGGCAGGCTTCTCCTACGCTGGCTCGGTGGCCATCAGCGGGGCCTTGGCGGGCAGCCCGGCCTCTCTCACACCTGGAGCCGAGCCGGCCACCTTGGATGAGTCCTCCAGCTCTGGGAGCCTTTTTGCCACCGTGGGGTCCCGCAGCTCCACGCCACAGCACCCCCTGCTGCTGGCACAGCCCCGGAACTCGCTTCCTGCCTCTCCCGCCCACCAGCTCTCCTCCAGTCCCCGGCTTGGTGGGGCCGCCCAGGGCCCGTTGCCCGAGGCCAGCAAGGGAGACCTGCCCTCCGATTCCGGCTTCTCAGATCCTGAGAGTGAAGCCAAGAGGAGGATTGTGTTCACCATCACCACTGGTGCGGGCAGTGCCAAGCAGTCGCCCTCCAGCAAGCACAGCCCCCTGACCGCCAGCGCCCGTGGGGACTGTGTGCCGAGCCACGGGCAGGACAGTCGCAGGCGCGGCCGGCGGAAGCGAGCATCTGCGGGGACGCCCAGCTTGAGCGCAGGCGTGTCCCCCAAGCGCCGAGCCCTGCCGTCCGTCGCTGGCCTTTTCACACAGCCTTCGGGGTCTCCCCTCAACCTCAACTCCATGGTAAGGATGGGGACCGGCAGGGCTGGGGAGCGCGGCCTGTGAAAGAAAGACCAGAGGGAGACCGGGCGCGGTGGCTCACGCCTGTAATCCCAGCATTTTGGGAGGCCGAGGCGGGTGGATCACAAGATCAGGACATCAAGACCATCCTGGCTAACACGGTGAAACCCCGTCTCTACCAAAAATACAAAAGATTAGCCGGGCGTGGTGGCGGGTGCCTGGGAGGCTGAGGCAGGAGAATGATGTGAACCCGGGAGGCGGGGCTTGCAGTGAACTGAGATCGGCCACTGCCTGGGCCACAGAGCGAGACTCCCTCTCGGGGGGACAAAAAAAAACACAAAAAAAAACAGGTGGAGGCAGGGGGCCATGACTGAGCCCGGCCATCCTCCACCACGTGCGGCCTGGCAGCCTGGGAAGAGGCGGCCGACAGCTGTCTCTGGGGTTCGGAGTGCGATGCGCTGCCTGCAAGCTTCTTCATTCTCGGCTGTGGGGCCTTAGTGGTGGTGGGCACATCAGGAGGGGGCATGGGGGGCTCTGGGATTGCGGGGTGGTGTGTGAGGACCAGGAAGAACCAGGACAGGGGCTGTACTGGCCGCTGGGCAGGGCATCAGTTTCCTCAGGAGACCCTGGGGTGCAGACAGGAGCCTCCTGGGGCGGGGGGGCTCTCCTGCCTTGGGGTCCCGGGTCTGTGGTATGTGCATCCATTGTGTCTGTCTGCCCTCAGGTCAGTAACATCAACCAGCCCCTGGAGATTACAGCCATCTCGTCCCCGGAGACCTCCCTGAAGAGCTCCCCTGTGCCCTACCAGGACCACGACCAGCCCCCCGTGCTCAAGAAGGAGCGGCCTCTGAGCCAGACCAATGGGGCACACTACTCCCCACTCACCTCAGACGAGGAGCCAGGCTCTGAGGACGAGCCCAGCAGTGCTCGGCGAGTCCAGGGGCCCGGAGGGGGGCGGGGCCTGGCAGCAGGGGCAGGAGGTGCCTGCTCACTGTGTGTGTGTGGGTGGGTGGGTGGGGAGGACCGGCAGGCTCTTAGGGGGTGCCCTGGATGGGAGGAAGGCGTCTGTTTTGTGAGGGGCCTCCCCACAGGTCCTGGGCCCCGTTCCGGGCAGGGCCGGCCTCCCGGGCCATTCGGGGTGGGACACGAGCAGGGCCATCGGTTAGAAGAGGCAAGCTGAGGAGGAGCTGAGCGCAGCAGGAGAGAAGCTTCAGCAGTGAGGCGTTGGAGGTCTCATCCACACGTCTTGCCGAGTGTATTACAGTAGCTTTATTAGATAAAATTCACATATCGTATTCTCCATTTAAAGTGTGCAATTCAGAGGTCTTTGGTATATCCACATTACCACTGCCTAAATCCAGAACCTTCCATCATGTCCTGAGAAAATCTCATCATCCCCTTGAAACACTCACTCCCCTTCTCCTCCCAAGAGCCCCTGGCACCCCCCGCCCCCATCCTACTTTCTGTCTCTGAATCTGAGGGCTCTAGGGACCTCCTAGGAGCGGAGTCACACAGGATGTGGCCTTTTGTGTCTGGCATCTCTCACTGAGCGTGACGTCCTCAAGGTGCATCCTCGGTCCCTGTCGTGGCTGGGTGGTGCTCCACCATCCATCCGCCCTCCGTGCTAGGCTTGCTTACCCTGGGCGGTTGTGAGCAGCACTGCTGTGGCCATGGGTGTGCGTGTTTGTGTTTGGGAGCAAGTTTCCCGTTTCCTGGTGCCTGGGCGGAGGTGCTGGGTGGCCCGGCCCCCTGGGCTCTCCAGCAGCCACACCATTCCACCCTGCCACCATGGGTGCACGAGGGTCTGAGGTCCTCAGTCCCCACATCCTCAACACACTGAATTTCTTGTTTTGATTCTAGCCATCCGAGTCGTCGTGAAGTGATATAACATGGTAGGGTTTTTTGCTTTTTTTTTTTTTTTTTTCCTGAGACACAGAGTTTTGGTCTGTGGCCCAGGCTGGAGTGCGGTGGCGCGATCTCGGCTCACTGACCCTCCGCCTCCTGGGTTCAAGTGATTCTCCTGCCTCAGCCTCCTGAGTAGTTGTGTCTACAGGCACACGCTACCACCGTGCCTCGTTCGTTTTTTTGTTTTATAGAGATCGGGTTTTGCCATGTTGCCCAGGCTGGTCTCAAACTCCTGGCCTCAAGCCTTCTGCCTCCCAGTGCCTCCCAGCGTGCGCCATCACAGCCGGCCCTAAGTGTGCTTTTGGTGGTGTTCTGTGTTAGTTCGTTCTGCTCCTTGCCCACGTGTGCGTGCACGTGTTACACGAGAAACATTGTAGCACCTGGATGCTCTGTTTTGCATTGGGATTGCTCAGCTTAGTGGTTTCCAGGATCTTTAGGAATTTGTGTGTCCCTGGTGTGTTCTTGGGACATTGGATCAAAGCGACCCCATGCAGTGTGTGGTTGGGCATGTCTTCACGTGCTGGCCTGCAATGCTGTGGCATTGTTTGCCACCTGAGGCACCGAGGTCTGAGAGGGGCCGGGAGAGGGAGGTAGGAAGAGAGCTCTGTCTGGGATTCTCACACTTCTGTGTGCTGGGAAATTGCTTCTCCCATTCAGCTGCTGTGCCTGATCTCTTGGCTGCTTGTCCCAGCAGAGGCCCTGGAGTCCCTGCCAGGACAGTACCCTTGTGGCACAACAGGGGTGGATCCCAGGGCCCAGCCACCCAGTCCAGGCCTGGCCCAGGGTGGCTGCACGGGTCCCCTGTCTGGGCCGAGTGCTTCTCGTTCACCACCTCCGGAGCTCCCTGGGCTGTTGGCTGTCAGCATTTGTGTCATTCTTAGTATGCAGCTGGGTTTCAAGCATTAATGACCTTTTTTTCTTAACAGAATTGAGAGAAAAATTGCAACAATCTCCTTAGAAAGCAAATCTCCCCCGAAAACCTTGGAAAATGGTGAGTAACAAGTGTTTTGCGGCGTGGCCAGGCCTGTCCGTGTGGCCGTGGTGCCCAGTCAGTGCTGCTGACCCACCTGCTGGCCCGCTGCATCGTGTCCCGCATGGTGCTGGCCCGCTGCGTCGTGTCCTGCGTGGTGCTGGCCTGCTGCGTCGTGTCCTGCGTGGGCGCCGACACTGGGGGCGCTGGGCTTCCAGAACTGCCTCTGGGAGGCCCTCACTGCAGCCCAGGGCCTCCGCGCACACGCCATGCTCTCACAGTGGGTGGCTGACCTGCGGGGATCGTCACCTTGGGTCCCCTGTTTGCTTTGCACCCTGGCCTTCCCCCCGAGTGGTGCCTGCGTCCTCAGTGAGGACCCTGACCTGCTCTGGGGCAGCCCCACCTTCCCTCCCGCAGGCTGCTGACCTCAGCATTTTCCCCAGAGCTCATCCCGCATGGCCTCTGAGACCCGCTTCAGCTGCCTCTGTCCTGTCTTCCGCCCTCCTGTCCCATCCAGTCCCGTCCCCTGCCATCTCATCCTGTGCTGTAGTCCTCCTGTCCCATCCCATCTTGTCCCCTCCCGTCCCCTTCCCTCCTGTCCTCTCCCATCCTGTCCCGCTTGGCATCTTGAGTGTCTGTGACCAGCCCTGCCTGCAGAGTTGCCCGGGCCGTGGCAGCAGCCCCGGTTAGCCTCATGGGTAGCCCGGGCAGGTGCTCTGGGCTCACGGCTTCTGCCTTTCCTCTTTGCCAGGTGGTGGCTTGGCGGGAAGGAAGCCCGCGCCCGCCGGCGAGCCAGTCAATAGCAGCAAGTGGAAGTCCACCTTCTCGCCCATCTCCGACATCGGCCTGGCCAAGTCGGCGGACAGCCCGCTGCAGGCCAGCTCCGCCCTCAGCCAGAACTCCCTGTTCACGTTCCGGCCCGCCCTGGAGGAGCCCTCTGCCGATGCCAAGCTGGCCGCTCACCCCAGGAAAGGCTTTCCCGGCTCCCTGTCGGGGGCTGACGGACTCAGCCCGGGCACCAACCCTGCCAACGGCTGCACCTTCGGCGGGGGCCTGGCCGCGGACCTGAGTTTACACAGCTTCAGTGATGGTGCTTCTCTTCCCCACAAGGGCCCCGAGGCGGCCGGCCTGAGCTCCCCGCTGAGCTTCCCCTCGCAGCGCGGCAAGGAGGGCTCGGACGCCAACCCTTTCCTGAGCAAGAGGCAGCTGGACGGCCTGGCTGGGCTGAAGGGCGAGGGCAGCCGCGGCAAGGAGGCAGGGGAGGGCGGCCTACCGCTGTGCGGGCCCACGGACAAGACCCCACTGCTGAGCGGCAAGGCCGCCAAGGCCCGGGACCGCGAGGTCGACCTCAAGAATGGCCACAACCTCTTCATCTCTGCGGCGGCCGTGCCTCCCGGAAGCCTCCTCAGCGGCCCCGGCCTGGCCCCGGCGGCGTCCTCCGCAGGCGGCGCGGCGTCCTCCGCCCAGACGCACCGGTCCTTCCTGGGCCCCTTCCCGCCGGGACCGCAGTTCGCGCTCGGCCCCATGTCCCTGCAGGCCAACCTCGGCTCCGTGGCCGGCTCCTCCGTGCTGCAGTCGCTGTTCAGCTCTGTGCCGGCCGCCGCAGGCCTGGTGCACGTGTCGTCCGCTGCCACCAGACTGACCAACTCGCACGCCATGGGCAGCTTTTCCGGGGTGGCAGGCGGCACAGTTGGAGGTAGGCAGGGCGGCCGTCCGTCCGCCCCCCGCCCCGGCCCCCGCCGGAGGCCCCTTCCTTTGCAGGTTCCCTTCCGCACTCTCTTGCAGCAGGAGCTGAGCTGCAGGTCCCCTGGTGCCGGCCGGCCCCCGCCATCCGTGCACGGTGGCGAACTCCAGTCCTGTGGGGAGAGGGCTCACGCTGAGTCCGTGTGTCTTGGGTTCTCTGGTTGTAACCGCGTCCCTCTTGTTTTCAGAAGGCCACCGTGCGCAGGGCCACCAGAGCATTACTTTCTCCCGTGGAGGTCACCTGCTAGGTGTGGCCGCCCGGGCTCTGGCAAGGCTCTGGGAGCTGGTGTTGGGTAAGAGCGAGTCCCCGCAGTGCCTGCCCAGACAGGGCGGAGAGGAGCCGCCGGGGGGAGCGGCCTGGCCCTGGGGCTGCTGCGGGGCGGGGGGCCGGAGGGCGGAGGGCGGGCCACCACGAGCCTGGCCGAGCCGCTGCTTGTGCTTGGTGCCCGCACACGCCTGGCGGCGCCGTTTCGCTTCCCTTTTTGTGAGCCTGCGGCTGCTGCTCTGCGCTTGCCTGGATGCTGCCGCTTGTTGAAGCTGCGTTTTTCTCTCCTATTTGCAGGTGTCTTTAACCACGCGGTGCCCTCCGCCTCTGCTCATCCGTTTGGAGCCCGTGTCGGCCGCGGGGCTGCATGTGGCAGCGCCACACTGGGCCCGAGCCCGCTGCAGGCGGCGGCCAGCGCCTCGGCCTCTTCCTTTCAGGCCCCGGCCTCGGTTGAGACCCGGCCGCCCCCTCCGCCTCCGCCTCCGCCTCCCCCGCTGCCCCCGCCTGCGCACCTGGGCCGGTCCCCCGCGGGGCCGCCCGTCCTCCACGCCCCCCCTCCACCTAACGCCGCCTTGCCTCCTCCCCCAACGCTGCTGGCCTCTAACCCTGAGCCCGCGCTTCTGCAGAGCCTCGCGTCCCTCCCGCCTAACCAAGCTTTCTTGCCCCCCACCTCTGCTGCCTCTCTGCCGCCTGCTAACGCCTCTTTGTCTATCAAGCTCACCTCCCTCCCGCACAAGGGCGCCCGCCCCTCCTTCACGGTGCACCACCAGCCCCTGCCCCGGCTGGCCCTGGCCCAGGCCGCGCCCGGGATCCCACAGGCCAGCGCCACGGGGCCGTCCGCGGTGTGGGTGTCCCTCGGCATGCCGCCTCCCTATGCCGCGCACCTTTCGGGGGTTAAGCCGCGATAAAGACCTTGCTTAGCTAGCAGTGCGTATTGTGTAAGGTAAGGCCAGAGCCCTGCGCGGTGGCTCACTCCAGACACTGAACTGTCCTTCCTTTGGCAGAGAAGACGGCCACAGGGCTCGGCAGAAGTTCCGGGGGTCCTGAGGAGGGAAGAGGGAGAGAGCCAGGGAGACCAGGGAGATGGTCGCGAGAGGAGGGACTACAGGACGGGCACCAGCCATGGAGTGGCCTGAGTGTGTTGGGTTCCAGCTGCCCGCAGCTGGGTTCCTGCGGTGACGCCGCAGGACTGAGGCCAGCCCTGGGGGCAGCTGTGCCAGCCCCTGTGGGCGAGGCTCACGGGGTGCCAGGCCAGGGGGCTGGGAGCTCTAGCTCCTAGAGCAGTCTCCAGGGCTCCATCCGCACCAGGCCCAGGTCACTCATGACGGGTGGCGTGGCTTGGTGCTGTTCCCCAGGCGCCCAGCATGTAGCAGGCACGGTGCCGGCTGCAGAGGTCCTGGAGAGCCAGGGTGGCTGGCTGGATGCCTCTGGTCGGGGCTGTCTGGCCAGTAGCCTCGGATGCCCTCATAGGGAGCCAGTGAAGCCCCAAGTGCCCTGCCTGCCTGGGGGCTGATGGGTTCCCGGCGGGGTCGAGAGGCAAGCTCTGTGCCCTGCGTGTTGAGGCCCCCTTGCTGGACACGGCTGATGGCCACACTGCCCTGTGGTCATGGCCCACAGCCGAGGGGCTTTCAGCTGCTCAGATGTCAGCACCAAGCTGGGCAGGTTAGTGTAGACGGTGCCCACCTTTGAGACCAGAAGGAAGTTGGAAGCAGGAGTGATTTTGATGATGTGAGGCCTTCAGGGAATGTCCTGTTCACTCCTCCCCCAAGAGGCTGTGGAGACTGTGGCCGCTGACCCCTGAGGGCAGTTGGCCACCCGTGCCCTCCAGGGACATGGCGTGCCTGGCGGCGTAGTGCAAAGGTGCCCTCTGCTTGCCCCTGGCCTTCTGCCTCAGGGGCCCCTGGGACACAGGCCTTCCTGGGCGAGTCCAAAGCCCACCGGGCAAGGAGAGGAGGACTGGGAGCCAGGAGCCAAGGCGGAGGCTGTGGCCAGGGCTGGTCAGCCTGGCGGGTCAATGCGGGCACCTGCGGGCTGGACAAGCTATGCTGGGTCTCTTAGGAGATGAGCTGCAGGTAGGGTGGCTTTAGCTGGACTCGGCTGTGTGTCTCCTTTGGAGGAAGGCTGGAGCTTGGCCGGCGTGTCCAGGTGTCAGGCTCCCTGGTCTGTCACGGGGCACGCCCGTCGTCTGTTGTGGTTAGAGGAGCTGGCACTATGCCTGTCATGGTGCTGGCCCCAGGTGGCGTGTGTGCTCGTGGGAGGCCTCGGTCCCCAGCCTGGGTGAGTGTTGGGCTCCCCCAGGCGCGATGGTAACCTCAGGCCGCTCTTCCCGCTGTGCCCTTCTGCAGGTAACTAGGATTTCTACCTCAACCGCGAGACCTATGCAAGGACGGTGTGGACCAACTCGCGCCCGCGGCATGGTGCCCGCCGGCCTGCCGGGCTCCCACCCCTGGACGGCAGAGGCAAGGACGGACGGGAGCTCCACTGTGAATCGGCGGCACGCGCCGCAGGAGGCTGGGACTGGTCCAGTTTGTACTGTCGATAGTTTTAGATAAAGTATTTATCATTTTTTAAAAAGTATAAACAATTCTGACTTATTTTATTCCATCTAAGTGGTAAAAGGCAACTTATTGAGAAATATAAATATCTATATATGAGAGCTCTATATAAAGACACGTGTCTGCAGGGCGGGCCCGCCAGCGGATTCGCCACAGCCTGCCCCGGTGCTATCTCGTCCCCAGGCCCGCGCCTGCCTCCACCCGCTTGGTGCTGACTAGACGCTGACAACGCCGAACCCCGTTCTCGGAAACGCCGCCCGGCCGGCTCCCCCGACGCGCTGCTCCCGTACCAAAGGCAGGCCCGTCGCCACCACATTCCTCGGAGGCCTCCCCGCGGCCTGAGCCCCTTCCTGAGCGCCCTGGCGCCTGCCCTGAGCTCTTCACCTTTACCCCGGCACTGTGAACCCCCAGACTGTTCACCCTCCGGGGCGTGGGTTGCGCCCTTGCATGTGAAGGGGCCTGCGCGGTGACGCAGCTGGCCATGTGCTGCGCGATGGTGCTGTGAGGACGGCGCGGGCACGTTGAACAAGTGCATTTACTTTTGTATTTCTCGGCTGTCCATGGCTCGCAGCATGCCCTGCGATGCGGGGCAGGCCTGTCGTGGGTCCCTTGGTGTTTCTGTACAGGAGAGAGTCACACTAATGAGTGGCAGTATTTTATAGAGATGTGATGAGAATTTATAAATTTCATAGATTTGACAGCTTTTATTTTTAGATGGTATAATGCACAGTGAAGAGGAAAGAAAAGCGAGGGGAAAAAACCTTATTTATTCAAACAGTGCACAAAATGGCCCCAGCGTCAGCCCCGACCCTAGACCCCTCAGTTGCAGCTCCCAGCAGCCCAGACAGAGCTGCCGGCGCCCCTGCCTGCCCCACATCCCTTCCTGTCAGGGCCACGCCTGGCACCCATCCCTTGGAGCCTGTGCTGGTTCTCCCAGCTGCTGTGGGTGTGCTGGGGCCAGGGTGCACTGCTGAAACCTGGCCTCTCTGGCCCTAGGCCCCAGGGTGACGTCGGCCCCCCACTCTGCAGCCTTGGCGGGTGCCTGGGACTGGGTGTGGAAGGAGAGGAGCTGAGGCCGGGGTGTAGCAGGCAGGCAGGGCCACTCCAGTGCTTCTGGAGCCCTGAGCAGTCAGGGCCTGGGTTGTCTGAGCAGTGGTGGCTCTGTGCCCTCCCTGGAGGATGGGATCTGGGAGTCTGAGCTCCCCGCATCTGGCCCTGGGCTGTGTGGCACTTGCTGAGCCCACCTTCTCAAGTGCTTGCTCCTGTGAGATGGCATCGGGGAGCCCCTTCCCCAAGGTGCCACAGATCCACCCTCCAGGGAGCTGCCAGCCCTGTGTTCTGGTTCCCAAGGGCAGGATGGACACACGTCACATCCCTACCACGTGGCCTCCAAAGGGAGCCACGGAGGAAAGGCTTCTGTGGTTGCTAGGTGGGGGAGTCCTGTGTGGGAGGGCCTGAAGACCCCTGCTTGTGCCTGGTGAGGGGGGTGCTGCCTCCCCCAGCCCCCAACAACCTCTCAGACCCCCACCCTCCAACATAGCTGAGTTCTGAAGATGGTGCTCCGGACCTGTCCTCTTAAGTGGTGCCCAGTGCCCTCCCCACCCCACGTTGGTGCTCTCAGCTAGAAGGTGCTGTGCCTCTGCCTGAGCCCCAAGCCCCGAGCCTGGCCTTCAGGACAGGCAGCCTGCTCTGTGTCGCCACGGGCCGGATACGCCACAGGGTTGATGGCAGAGACGGCCGAGTCCCTGGTCTAGAACAAGACACATTCTTTAAACACTGTATTACTTCTGCCTCCCTCTAGGTGACAGTGGCAGTCCGGGTGCCATCACGGGTCCTGCAGATGGCCATGCAGGGCTCCTGCCCACGCAGGCCACCGTATGTTCAGGACACGCACTGGGTCTCAGAGCCACTGGCCCAGGCAGAAGTCTCCTTGAGCCCACTGGGTCATATGCGTGTCACCACACGTGAACTAGTGTGGTGGCTGCCTGCGGACACCCTCCTGTTCTGAGCCCTGGGCCTGTGTTCTTCTCAGACACTCCCAGACTGAGGGGTGGTGTGTGGCGGGTGGCAGGGTGGCTGTGGAGACTGGGGATCTGGAGCCTGGTGCTGGCACCTGGCCTGAGTTTCCGTGGGCAGCTGGCGGGGACCTGTGCTGCTGCTGCTGACTGTGGGTGGGCGGGCGGCGCCTGGGAGTGGCTCTTGCTCAGGAATTGATAGGAACCCTAAAAACTAGGATACCCCCTCCTCGGCCCATGAGGCACGCACAGTGACTTATTTAAGACTTCCCCCTTAATTTATCTGCCCCCAGGATGCGTCAGTCTGTTCAGTGGTCAGCAGGCCCCCCACCCCCCGCCGACTGCCCTCGCCATCGTGGTCAGACCCCCCTCCCAACACAACACGCTGCTGGTCTGTGTCAGCCTTTGTAACGTGGGAGGCTCTGCCGTGTCTTCCGGGTGAACTGTATTTGGATTGCGCGCATTGTCACGGTCCGCCCCTGGGCTGCAGGCGCCCCTTCCTCTGGGCACCCCTGCATTCTGCATCCCCACCTCTAGACGCTGTAATAAACAGACTGTTTTCACTCGGACCTGGTGTGAATGGCAGCCTTTCTTCCAGGTGGCATGAGGCGTCTCCTGGCGGCCAGTGAGAGGCCCCGGCTAGTGTGTCATCGCCGAAACGGGGAGTGGAGGGCCTAGGGGTGCTCCTAGCAGAAGCTCCGGGGGCTGACACCAGGACACCCTGGCCTTGGGGAGGCTTATGAGGGCACCAGGCCACAGGCAAGGGGAGGCTTATGAGGGCACCAGGCCACAGGCAAAGTGCCTTTTGATGAACGGAAAACCAGATCTGCGACCCCAATGACATCGGCAAAGTCCTTTTCACATCAGATGGACCAAAGCCCGCCCAGGCCCCAGCCACACTCCGGGAGGGCCCGTGAATGCCAGAGGCAGGACCCCAGGTCACCACAGGATTCCTGATACCACACAGCAGCTCTGTTCTCCCCAGGCCTGGGTCCCAGCCTCCACCTGTCCTGGCTGGGGGTTCTAGCTCTCCCCTCAGTGCAGGAGGCCCAGCCACTGCCTCTCAGGACCCTGAGCCTTACTTCCCTTGGGTGGGGGCTCCCTGGCTGCCCCTCCCCTCTCCTTCACTTCACCGCCATCCAGTGTGGAAAAGAGGTACCTTTATTTGAACAGAACAAGCACCCTGGCCCCAGGGCAACCACTTCCCCAGGTGCACAGCCAGGGCCCTCCTGTCTGCAGGAGAATTCACAGCTGGTGTGGGACTCAGCCCCTAGGCCATTCACAGCTTTGTCTGGCTCTGTACATTCATTCAGCACGGGGCAGGGGGGCCATGCCACCAGCCTGGGGGCTCACCAGGCCCCTGGATGCACACAACTCAGGCAGGGCACCTGTGGGAAGGCGCATATCCTGGCGGCAGCAGCACGTGGCACCAGGTGCCAGGCCAGTTAGGTGGATCCTGGGGCCCCAGGGAGCGCAGCTTGCTGGGCAGTTTCATAAAATGCAGCCCCTGCCCACACCCACCTGGCTTCAGGCTTTGGATGTCTCCAAACCAAAAACCTCCCACTGAAAATCCAGGTGTGATGGCCGGGTGTGGCGGCTCATGCCTGTGATCCCCGCTACTTGGGAAGCTGAGGCAGGAGGATCACTTGAGTCCAGAAGGTCAAGGTCACAGTGAGCTGTGGCACCACTGCACTCTAGCCTGGGCAACACAGTGAAACCCTGACCCAAAAACCAAAAACCAAAACAAAACAGATCCAGGCATGGCCAAGCGATTCATGGCTGGGCAGGGCCAGTCCCGTCCCGCTGCACGCTGACCACCGTGCCCTGCGCTCACGCCTGCAAGCCACTCAGCTGGAACCTGGCCTCCTCGGATATGCCGAACTGTTCCAGGGGGTCCTGTGGGGAGGACGGGTGGCCATGAGCCAGGGCTGGAGGACTGCCTCTGCCACCTGCAGCCCCACCCCGGCCCTCTGCAGCCCTGCACACACCTTGCCCGTCACCTTCCGGATTTCGTTCCTGTAGAAGATGAGGCTTCTCCGCATGAACTCGTAGCTGGGGAAAAGGGTGGCACGGGGTCAAATGCCCGCTCTGCATGGCTGCTGTGCCCACCCCAGCAGTGCCCACCACCGCCTGGCCCCACCTGGCCCGACGCAGAGCCTCCATCCACTCCTGACACTGCTCCTCGCTGCTGCACTCAAAGTGATACTTCCTCTCAGGGTCCTCAATGAAGCCTGGGGATGGAACACCTGTGGTCGGTCCTACCCACAGCCACAAGCAGCTTCCTCTTGCCATTGCCCATAAACTGTCCCTTCTCTGGCCCCCACAAAGATGTGTTCATGTCCTGACCCCCCAGAACCCATGAGTATGGCCCTGTATATAAACAGGGTCTTTGCATATAAACTAGTCAAAATGAGGTTGTCGCCAGGTGCGGTGGCTCATGCCTATAATCCCAGCGCTTTGAGAGGCCAAGGTGGGAGGATTGCTTGAGCTCAGGAGTTCGAGACCAGCCTGGGTGACATGGCAAAATCCCCATCTCTACAAAAACAAAAATTAGCCAGGTGTGGTGGTGGGGCCTTGTAGGCCCAGCCACTCCGGAGTCAGAAGTGGGAGGACTGCTTGAGCCAAGGGGGTTGAGGCTGCAGTGAGCTGTGATCACGCCACTGCACTCCAGCCTCGGAAACAAAAGATCCTGTCTCAAAAATAAAGAGGGCCGGGTACGGTGGCTCAAGACCGTAATCCCAGCACTTTGGGAGGCCGAGGTGGGAGGATCACCTGAGGTCAGGAGTTCGAGAGCAGCCTGGCCAATATGGCGAAACCCCGTCTCTACTAAAAATACAAAAATTAGCTGGGCATGGTGGCGCGTGCCTGTAGTACCAGCTACTCGGGAGGCTGAGGCAGGAGAATCACTTGAACCCGAGAGGGGGAAGTTACAGGGAGCCGAGATTGCACCACTGCACTCCAGCCTGGGCGACATACCAAGACCCTGTCTCAAAAAATAAGCAAATAAAATAATAAAGTGAAGTAAAAAGGGGTTGTCAGGGTGGGCCCTAAATTCTGCTTGGCGTCTGTGTAGAAGGGGAAATGTGGGCACAGACGTGATGCAAGGAGGACAAGGTGACGCTTCCACAAGCCAAGGAACCTGGAGGATACTGGCCACCACTAGGAACTGGGAGATTCCCCTCGGCCTCAGAAGGATTCGGCCCCACCCACACCTTCATCTAGGATTTCTGGCCTCCAGAACTGTAGAGAATGTTTCTGATATTTAAGCCACCTGGCCTGTGGAATTTTGACAGCCACTCTGGGCAAACTAGCAGGGACTCCATCTTTCCCCGCAGAAGGGAATCTCTTAAGACCCAGGAGAACACCCCCCTCTCACTCCTCCTACCCCCACCTGGGATTTCCAGCCCGGGGCCATATAACAATGCTAGACCCATGCTACTCTTGGCAGCTGGGGAAACGCTTTGGGTGGGGCTGGCCCACCTGCCCTGTAAGTACAGCCTGGGCCCACAGGGAACAAAGAGCAGAGTCTGGGAGGGACCCAAGCTTAAGTGGACTCGGCAGGTGGGAAGGGTGGTGCCCGCCAGGAGAACTTGACCTTGAGCTGCCCGTGGACAATGCACTCTTGTGTTTGAGGAGGGTGGCGCCAGGCTGGGGACACAGAGGAGACCTTGGGCGCCCGGGGAGGGGAAAGTGCGGCGCTGCGGGTGCCCCGGGCTGCGGGAAGCGCCGCTGGCTTCCCTAGCCCCACTCACTGATGGAGAAGGTGCCGGGCTCTTCCCGGACGACTCTGCAGCGCTCCAGCAGCAGGGCTCCGACGGGCTGGAGGAGACACGGGCGCCGGGACGGGGCAGTGAGCACCCGGCCTCCGAGGGGCCCAGCCTGGGACCCGCCCGCGCGCCCGGGACGCCCCTACCTCGGCCTCGTCTGTCCGAAAGTAGAAGAGGAAATTCACCACCAGCTTCACCAGCCGCCGCTTCAGCACTGCGGGCACAGCGCGCACTCAGGGGCGCAGGCAGCCCCCGCCCGGACCCCGGCCTCCCGTCCCCGGCGCCCCGACCCGGACTCCGGCCTCCGGCACCCCCGCCCAGACCCCGGCCCCGGCCTCCCGCCCCTGGCACTGTCTCGGTCTCCCGGGTCCCGCTCACCGCTGCCCTTCTTGGGGCCCCTCATGCCCAGCTCGGCCGCCATCTCGGCCGGCTGCCGGGACAGAGCCTGCAGCTCCTTCTCGTTGTACCGCATGGCTCCGCGGGGAACGGGAACCCGGGCCGCGCCCTCCCGGCCGCCGTCCCCGCTCAGGCTGGGGCCGGCGCCAAAAATGTCTCAGGGCGCAGACACGGAAGCACCCCCAGGGCTAGTGCGCCTGCGCACCTTGGGCCAGCCATGCCGCCCGCCTCCGCTGCGTGGCGCTGGCGACCCGTGGCTGCTGGCGTGGGCGGGGTACCGGTTGGTAGGAGAGACGGACCGTTGTTACATAACCATTAAACTGAAATAAACCGGACCAAGGTGGAACAGAATCAAGGCACCCCAGCGATGGCTGGCACCCCTTTCTAGAGCGGCCAGGCGCAGGCGGAGGGAGCGATAACGTCGCCCGGAGAGTGTCAGCCGCTCCCTCGCGAAAGTTGGCCCCGTGCGGCCGCAGCGGACCGAGGGTTCGTTGAGAGCGTTGTGCGCACGCGCAGTTTGCCTTCCAGGCCGCGCTTTCAGCCTCTCCCCCTCCAGCCTTTTCCTTCGCGCCTCGGGACCCTCTGACTCACGCCGCTGGGCGGGCCAGGCATGCGCACACCAGAGGGCCCGTCTCATTTGCCCCGGAAGTGCTTTCTTTGCCCGCCGTTCGCCAAACGAAGTCGTGGAGGTGGCGAAACGAGGAGGAGATAACGCGGCCTTGGGCTCTGGTGAGGAGTAGAGGCGGTTGAGGGCGGCGGCCGACGCGGACCGGGGGTTCCCTGGGGGACAGCGGACGTAGGAGAGAGGCGCTTGCGACAGGCCGCGGGCCGAGGGTGGGGCGGCGGCGTCGCTCCCCTCCCTCCTCCCGTGAGCGTCCGGCCTTGTGCATCCTGAGGCCCCGCGCTGGGCGGGCCTGGAGGGTCGGGCCCGCCAGGAACTCTATTTCCAAACTCCTGTTGGGAGGCCGCGCGCGGGGCCTCACGCCTGTAATCTCACTGCTCAGGGAGGCCTTGGCGGGAGGATCGCTTGAGGCCAGGAGTTCGAGACCAGCCTGGACAACACACCGAGACCCCCATCTCTACAAAAAATTTTAAAAAATTAGCCAGGAGTGGTGGTTGTACCTGTAGGCCCAGCTACTCGAGAGGATCGCTTGAGCTCGGAATGTCGAGGCTGCAGTGAGCCATGATCCCACCACTGCACTCCAGCCTGGGCAACATAGCGAGACCCCATCACTGCAAAAAAAAAAAAAAAAAAAATTAGCCGGGCGTGGTTGGTGACGCGCGCCTGTAGTCCCAGCTACTCTGGAGGCTGAAGCGGGAAGATCGCTTGAGTCCAGGAGGTCGAGGCTGCAGTGAGTTGTGATTGTGCCGTTGCACTCCAGCCTGGACAACAGAGCAAGACCCTGTTTGACAAAATAAAAAAGAAACAACCAAGATTCGTTGGGGTCGAATCGGGATCGCGGCTGAAATGGTTTCGGCCGCCTTCCTTGTAGCCGAGAACGCTTCTGTATGCTCATCTATACCTGTTAGTTGACTGGGGCTCTGTGATGTAATTCCTGTGAGCCTCAGTTCCCTTAAAATGGGAGTGACGGCTTCAACATCATGCCAAAGGCGACCAGAACACGTTAGCTGGCCCCATTTTGCAGGTGCACCCCGCTGTGACCGTTGTTCTTGTGTATCCTTGGACGACACCAAACAGCCAGGCGGAGCTCTGGAAAATAGGTTGTTGGCTAGGTTAAGGAGAGAACGGTGTTGCCACGAAAAACTAATTCCTTCTCAATGGTCTAGTCCCAGGTCCCAGAGGCCACTTTTCCTCAATTCTTAAGCTCATTTCCCCTGGTCGTCATCGGTTTTTTGTTTGTTTTGAGACAGGGTCTTGCTCTGTCACCCAGGCTGGAGTGAGTGCAGTGGTGCAATCACAGCTTACTCCAGCCTCAAACTCCCATGCTCAAGCCATCCTCCTGCCTCAACCTCTCGAGTAGCTGGGATCACAGGTGCTCACCACCATGTCCGGCGAATTTTTGTATTTTTTGTAGAGACGAGGTTTCGCCATGTTGCCCAGGCTGGTCTCGAACTCCTGACCAGGTGATCCACCTGCCACGGCCTCCCAAAGTGGTAGGATTACAGGCATGAGCCACTGCACCCGGCTAATTTTTGTATTTTTTGTAGAGATGGGGTTTTACCAGGTTGGCCAGGCTGTCCCCTGATCTTTACCTTAGTAAGTAACAGATTTCTTCATGGATTTATCAATTTGTAGACATCATCTGCTGATTTCTTGTCACGGCTGTTGAGATCTTCTCCCTCCCATCCACCCACTGCACCTTCACCTTCCATATCCTGAATGAGTTTATGTCATGAGCATAGTTGGTCATTGGTTGTGTTTTCTAAATAAGATGCAAAATATTGTTGGCTGCTAAAACAAGTAATATGTTCAGCTAGGCTTTTCTTGTACCATTCTATCTTCCCTTAAAGCTAATTAACTTTGTTTTTACCATGAGCCTGATTTTCTTTTACCTGCTGTTTGTTTTTTCCCCACAAAGCTCCCACCTCTCACACACCTATCAGTTGTATTTTGCATAGGTTTAAATAAATTGATCTCCCCTCACCACTTCCCTCCAAGACCCCCTTATCCTCCTCCTCCAAATGGGACTGGTTGTGCTCTGACCTGGAAGTGGAGCTGTTGTCCCAAACCTTCCTGTCCTTGCTCCCCTGTGCTGACCTCTGTTTCCAGTGTGGTCATCTCTTTCCCTTCATGCTGTCCGAGCAAAACTTCTGGGAGCTTTTGAAGAAACAGATGATTTTTTTCGGGGGGTGGGGGAAGTCCTTGATTGTCTGAAAACGAGTTTATTTACCCTCATAGTTAGAAGTTTGGTGGGGTATAAAAATCTAGATTGAAAATCTGTATTTGTAGGCCGGGCGTGGTGGCTCACGCCTGTAATCCCAGCACTTTGGGAGGCTGAGGCGGGCGGATGACCTGAGTTTGGGAGTTTGAGACCAGCCTCGCCAACCTGGCGAAATCCCATCTCCACTAAAAATATAAAAATTTGCCAGGCGTTTTGGCATGTGCCTGTAATCTCAGCTACTCGGGAGGCTAAGGCAGGAGAATGGCTTGAACCTGGGAGGTGGAGGTTGCAGTGAGCCAAGATCGAGCTACTGCCTGGGCGACAGAGCGAGAATCCGTCTCAAAAAAAAAAAAAAAAAAAGAGAGAGAAAAAAATCTGTATTTGCTCAGAACTGTGAAAGCATTGTTTTCAGTGCTGTTCTCAAAAGATCAGTTCCTATGCTGGTTTCTGATGTTTTCTGCTCAGTTGTCTTTCTGTCTAGTAGAAGCTTAACATCTTCCTTGGTGTCGTAAAATTTCCTGATTTCCTCATTTACCGGGGATCTTTTTATTTGCTGATCCTGGTGGGTGCTTGGTATCTGGACAGTTTGGTTCCTTTAGTCCTGGGTTTTGTTTTTGTTTTTAATTTTCTTGCTAATGTTCTTATGTTATTTCTGTGATAATATTTTTCCTGTTTTATTTTGTTGGGTGTTTTTTCAGTTCTCACTCTGGAATGTCCTCTAGGTTCTTGCTTTTCCTCCTGTTTTTTTAACTTTTGACTTTCCTTTATGAAAGATTTGTTTGGCTCAGCTTCCAACTCTGGTATGGAATTTTTTGTTTGGATCGTCCTGTCTGTATTTTTCAAGGGCTTTTTGTTTTAATTCAGCTTGTCATTCAGCTTCCTGTTCTGGGTTTGTGGTGCAGTGGCTTCCCCCGATAATGAAGGAGGGTGTCAGCGATCTCTTACTGGGATACCCATCAGTCTCTTTGTTCTCGGATGCGTGTGTTTCTCTTTAAGAACAAAGCGGCCGGCAGCTCTGTGTGAGCGCCACTTCTCATCCAGGGAGGTCAACTGCCCAGTGGCCTGGCAAGGAGCGGGCCTTTTCTTTGAGGTGTGGGGACCCTGAATGTCAGTATTTGAGAACTCTTCCTCTGGCGCTGTTTCCCCGGAAAAGACTCCTGGCCTCCCCCGGGGTGGGGGGCGTCCGTGCTGGGCCGCCTGCCACCTGAGCTGTGCGGAGGAACCGCCAGACTTCCCGCTGCCCAGGCGGCAGGTCGTGATTCAGTCCCCCCTTTTCAGCCTGACCCTGGACCCCCTTGCTCTGCTGGGCCTGTCTCTCTAACTCTAGAGGCCCTTTTATACCAGTTCTTCTGGGAATAAAGTTCTGATCTCCTCGAGGGTTGTGGGCGATCCGAGCGTGGGACCTTCCCCGGGGTGCCGCCCCATTTCAGCTGCTGAGGAGGGACAGTGTGGGTGTTCGGTGGCTGCGATGGCTTGGGTTCGGATGGTTTCTGGTTTTCGGATCAGAGCTTTACTTGGTGAGTGGTTGAGTATTGGTCTGGGTTTAGGTTTCAGTGGGCCAGACTCCACAGGTGCTCCCTGTGACAGCTGGAGCTTGTGTCCTGAGCCAGCCACTGGCCGCTGGGGCGTTCTGTCTGGCCAGTTTTAAGAAGTAACTTGGCTTGCCCTAGATGGATTTGAACTCTTGGCTTTGTTAGCATTTTGCCATCTAAGTTCCTTCTCCAAGTCCTCCCAGCCATCGTGTCATTAGAACGTTCTGGAAATGTCACTAAAATGTGCCCGGAAATAAGTGCATCAAGATAGATTGGTGGCTCTTGGTGTGGCCATCTGCACCTGTCCTGGCCCCAGAAGCTGTGCTGCCTCTTCCGCATGGAGGAGCAAAGCGCAGGTCGCTCCTGAGGCTGAGCTCCGCTCCTCCTGGGCCCTGGGTCCTCCGCAGACACGTCCCACCCACTGCTCTTCTCTCTGCCAGAAGCTGCCGGCCATGAGGACGCATGGGTGGGCGCTGTGGAGAGTGCAGGCTTGGGGGTAGAGACCAGTGATGGCTCTGCAGAGCTTAGCCTCAGAGTAGGGGCGTGGTCCAGGAGAGGCCACGACAGGGACAAGCAGGGCGTTCGCATGCTGTTGAATTCCTTCATGACGAAAGGAGCAGGTCGTCCTCCCGGGAGAGGGGAGCGCTTGATGACGCCCCGAGATCTGTGTGTGGGAGTGCCTCTCAGCACCAGGCCCCTCCTGGGTTCTTGGAGTGCATCCGTGAAAGAAGGCCGATTCCCTGCCTTCTCACACGTTCCCCCGAGCGAGGGCTTGGTTCGGTGCTGAGATGCGTGGAGGACTGTGGTTTCTGTGATGTGTGGAGAGGCAAGTGCGGCTGCGGCCTGGTGGGAGGCTGCTTGCTGGGCTCCCCACGCACGTCCCCTGATGTGAGTTTCATGTCACTTGACCAGGAAATGCTTGAATGTCCTCCAGAGAAAAATGAGGCACTTCATGAACCTGTCCGGGCGGCACCCACACAATCCTGCCCGCCTGTGGGCCGTCCGGAGACAGAACCTCCCAGGCAGCTGTAAGCTGTTGTGGCAGCAGGGACTGTAGGAGTTGGCGTGGCCTGCAGCTGACGGCGCCAGCATGGAGAGGGTGCAGTTCTCCCTGGTCCTGAAGAATGTGTGGCCAAGAAGCCCGAGGCGGGGAGGGTTCCTTGGGGCCAGAGGGTGGCGTTCCCAGCAAAGGACAGTCCTTCTGGTGTCACAGTCTCCTTTTTCACACTGGAATGTTCTTTGTTTTGTGAAGGGATGGCGATGGTCACAGTGGTGGTTTCTCGAAGTTTACGTGACAACATGTAAAAATGGGCATCTCTAGGTGGGCTTTTGTGACATCTGAACTTCTGATGGGGCAGCCGTGATACTGCAGTGAGCTGGGAGGTCCACCTCACCAGTTACCATGCTTGATCATTTTCATAAACTTGCCCAGGGAATAAAAACTGGTTGGGGAGGGCTCCTGGGCCCCCATAGAGTAAGGGGTGACTTCAGGCCCCACCACAAGTCAGCAGTACAGCTGGCCTGTCCCTCAGCATGCCCCTGCACACCTGCGGCCACTGTGGCCTGTCCCTCAGCGTGCCCCTGCACACCTGCCGCCACTGTGGCCTGTCCCTCAGCGTGCCCCTGCACACCTGCGGCCACTGTGCCCTGTCCCTCAGCGTGCCCCTGCACACCTGCAGACACTGTGACACATCACTGCAGACGCAGTAGTTCAGATGACACGGCTGTATCAGCTTCTGGTTCTGGGGTCAGAGTCCAAACAGTCCACAGGGCTCCATTCCTTCTGGAGGCTCTGGGGGACAACTCGTTTCCTGCCTTTCCCAGTGTCCAGAGGCACCTGTGTGCCTTGCCTCGGGGCCCCTTCCTCCCCATTCACAGCCACAGCGCAGCCTCTCTGACTCTCAGCCTCCCGCCTCCTCTCATGAGGTCACCCAGGATCACCTGCCATTTTAAGATCCTCAAGCCCACCTGCACATCCCTTTTCTGCCATGAGGGGACATGTTCACAGGTCCCAGGGATTAGGATGTGGACATCTTTTGGGGGCAGTGATTCACTCAGTCTCATGGGCCCCATCTCTCTGAGCTCACCCAAGACCCTTAAACCAGGGCCCGGGGCCAACATTGAGCAGGCAAGGGAAAGACTACCAGGAGATGAGAGGAGGCTGCCTGGAACTCAGATTTGCACAGAGCCTGAAAGGGCGTGGGAGACCTTGGCAGAGGCCTGCATCAGGAAGAGGATGTTGGGGACTCAGCAGAGCCCCCTGCGCCACAAGCAGATGTGGCAGATCTCCCAGGTGTTACTCAGTGAGGATGCGAAGATCAGTGTCCTCACTGATCTCCGCCTAACAAATTTACATCGAGCCCAAGAGATTAGGTTGGGACAAGTAAGCGTAGCCAACCAGAGAGGGAATTCAGAGGAAGGCGTGAACACTAGGGGCTTGGGCAGTCCGGGATGGCTTCCTGGAGGTGGTGACTCGTTTGTGAGATCTTGGTCTTGTCTTCCCTTTATGCCTTCTCTGGGCTCCCTATTACAATTTCAGGTCTCCAGGCCTTGGCACCCTGGGCTGGAGCGGCTTCCTCTCCATCCCTCATGCCTGGTCACTTGGAGACAGGCTCCAGCTTCCTTGTGTCTGTGCCTGTCCACAGTGGGCCTCAGCCTCCTGGAAGAGACTGGGTGCGCTATGGGGTGGCCCCCTCAGGGCTGGTTAGACCCTGGCGCTGGGAGTGCAGGGTGAGGGGCAGTCTCGAGGGCTCCAGCCCAGCCCGCCCAGGGAGGTCCCAGCAGCAGCCCCGAGTTCTGAGCCATCTTCCTCACTCTCCTCTTGGCCTCCACAGGTGTCTCCCAGTCTGCTAAAGCCCTAAGGCCATCACCATGGACTTCCAGCATCGCCCCGGGGGCAAGACCGGGAGCGGGGGCGTGGCCTCCTCCTCCGAGAGCAACCGTGACCGCAGGGAGCGCCTCCGGCAGCTGGCCCTGGAGACCATCGACATCAACAAGGTGGGCCAGCCACCGTGCAGCTGCCTGTGGTGGGTGCTGGGCTTTCCAGGGCAGCCCTGGAGAGGGTGCCAGAGGCTCTTCTTGGGCCTCCGCCCAGGCTGGGCGATGCAGCCCCGTGTCCAGACGCTCCCCTGTTGCCCCCGAGCAGCCACAGCTCCCATCTGTCCACCCCAGAGAGCAGACCCTCTGTGGCTCTGAGTCCCATGTGGACATGTTTTGTTCTGTCCACAGCCTTCTGTTTTGCATTATTTAATTTTCTGGGAGTGGGGAGAGCTGATGTCAGTCCAGCCAGATGTGGTGAAGGGCAGCCTTTGATTTTAGCTTGTGCAGAGGCAGGGGTGAGCCGAGTCCCCTCAGCACCGTGGACATCGGGGCTGGAGCACTCTTTGTGTACCCTGACATGCCCCACGGGCCTGGCCTATGGCAAGGGCTCTGTTACCGTCCCCGTCTTCCAGATGAGGTCATGGGTAGAGGGGGTGCCACAGCCGCAGATGGTGGAGTTAGACTTTGAACTCCAGCGTCTGAGACGAGATGTGTGCGCCCGGCTGCCCCAGCTTAGGGCCTGCAGATGGGCGGGTCTTTGGGTCTTCAGTGTAGCCCATTTGCTTTTCTTGTGCCTGTGTCTGCCTTGTGCCTACTGCTGGCGTGGTGGCGTGGGCAGTGGACGGCTCCCTGCCTCGGGAGTGACCGGCGGTGCTGTCCTGGCTGTGCCTCCCTCTGACTCAGAACCACCAGGAAGGTGGTGTCGGGGGCTCCCTGGGAACCCCCACTGCTCGAAGCCTGGCCCACAGCCCCAGGTGGTGACACCCGTGCTCACGAAGGCCTCCCGCTGGATCCCCCGTTTTCAGAAATGCTTGACCACTGTCAGCGGTAGCCATGCCTCTACAGAAGGGGGGTTCTGCCTCCATGCCTCTACAGAAAGGGGATCCCGCCTCTGAGGGCCTTGACGGCAGCAGGCCGCGATCTTCTGTCTAACGGGCCCCTGTTCTTCCCCTCCAGGACCCGTACTTCATGAAGAACCACCTGGGCTCCTATGAATGCAAACTCTGCCTGACACTTCACAACAATGAGGTGCGGCCTCTGCCTGGCTCCGGGCGGCTCGCGGCGGGCTGAGTGGCTGACGTCAGGGGGACCTGCCTGTGTCTGTCCGCCCGGCCTCGAGTCATGCGTGTTTCCTTTCCACTCCAGGGGAGCTACCTGGCACATACGCAGGGGAAGAAGCACCAGACCAACCTGTGAGTACCTCATGTCCCTTTGATGCCTGGTGCTCCAGCAGCCGTTGGCTCAAGTCTCTGTGAGCCTCGCGGGCCACTGCTCCACAGCCGGGGAGCCAGCCTGGCCTGAGCCTCCCTGGGCGCTTGAGTACGGTTCCTGGGGAGCATTAGAGAACAGAGGCATGGATGGCTGAGGCGGGCAGATCACTTGAGGTCAGGAGTTCGAGACCAGCCTGGCCAACATTGTGAAACTCCATCTCTACTAAAAATACAAAAATTAGGCCAGGCATGGTGGCACACGTCTGTAATCACAGCTACTATGGAGGCTGAGGCAGGAGAATCTTGAATCTGGGAGGCAGAGATTGCAGTGAACCAAGGTGCTGCCACTGTACTCCATCCTGGGCGACAGAGTGAGACTCTTGTCTTATTAAAAAAAAAAAAAAAGAGCAGAGGCATGGAGTTGTTGGAAGGGCCCCAGCCAGGGACAGTGAGGAGCATGACAGGAAGAGAACATGCCTGTCCTATCCCTGTCCTCAGCCAAACCCCAGGGCCCCTCCCAGGCCCCTGGCCCTCCTCATCTCTCAGCTTGTAGTGAGCTCCAAGGTCAGGGGGCTCCTGGCACCTGGGCCCATGGCTTTGGTGCCTGTGTGTGGAGGGGTCCCAGCAGCACCTCCATCCTGTCCGCAGGGCCCGGCGAGCAGCCAAGGAGGCCAAGGAGGCCCCTGCCCAGCCCGCGCCTGAGAAGGTCAAGGTGGAGGTGAAGAAGTTTGTGAAGATCGGCCGCCCGGGCTACAAAGGTGAGTCTGCCCGCAGCGGGGCCGGCCACAGCCGCTGCCGTGACATAAGTGTGTTCTTTAGTCTCCAGTGCGGGAGGTGCAGCCCTGATAGCCTCCTCCCTGAGCCACTGTTTTCCGGCCTTGGTGGCCGTCCCTCACCCACCTGCAGCCTCTGGCGTTGTGTCTGGGAGCTGTCAGGCTGGGCCCGATAAGCACCCATCTCACCCAGCAGCCCATTTCCCAGCTGAGCCACAGTCTGTGCCCTCCTGTCCGGGTCTTGTGGAAGCTTCTGGGAATTCTTGCCAAGCAAAAGAGTGGAAGTGGAGGTGTGGTGAGCCCTGGCACATCCCTCCGGTTAACCTTGAAGCCTTTGAAGGAGGACAGGGAGAAGCGGCTGTTAGAGGCAGCTCCTCCCGGACCCTCAGCAGTGGGAATGGCTAGAGGTGACCCCGGTTCAGAAAGCTGGGGAAGTGACCAGGGTGGAAGATAGAGACTTGTGTCCATAGGGTTCAGGAAGGCGGGCACGCTACCCAGCAAGTGTTCTTTACAGAAGGCGGGGACAGCCTGTGTGCCTGGCCTCCAGACAGAAGCCTGCAGGGCAGAGGTCCCGGGGCAGGTGCACCGGGTGGGCGAGGGTGGCTAGAGCGGCAGGCTCCTGGTGGGGAGGCCCTGACAGGTCCTGGGCTTGGGCTCAGGACGGTGAGGCGGCAGAGGGCTTGTGAGTGTGCGTGTCTGAGGCCGCATGGAGAGTGGCCGGGCGGCAGGCAGCCCAGCAGCCATTCTCGGGGTCCAGGCTGCTGAGCTCTGGCGGGAAGGGCATCCTCTCTCGCTCACCGTATACATGGTGTCAGCCCTGTTCAGGCGGCCCCGCTCGAATCCCAGAGCCAGGGTGCCGAGGGCCCCTCCCTACCCAGTGGCCCCAACTCCTGCTGGGTGGTATCCCAGCACCCCTGGTGAAGGGCTCTGGGGATTGGGACAAAGGAGCACCATCCTCGGTCCCTGCCTGAGTGACTCCGCAGGTAGCTCAGCTCTGGCGCACCTGTGCCTTCACCTATACCAGAATCCCAGAGCCTGGGCGGAGATTGTCTAATGGTTGCCAGAGCTGCAGGGCCTCCCCCGGGGTCCCGCTCTCGTTCAGTGGGTGGCATTAGCCTGCCCCAGGTTCCTCAGCTTCGGAGAGGACAAGCAGCCGGGACCTGAGAGCTTTCTGTGTTGCAGTGACCAAGCAGAGAGACTCGGAGATGGGCCAGCAGAGCCTCCTCTTCCAGGTGAGATCAGGGACTTGGGCGTGGGGGGCGGCCAAAGGCACCCAAGAGGCGGCTCTGCCACCCGGCCGTGTCCCTGCAGATTGACTACCCTGAGATCGCCGAGGGCATCATGCCACGTCACCGCTTCATGTCTGCGTACGAGCAGAGGATCGAGCCTCCGGACCGGCGCTGGCAGTACCTGCTCATGGCCGCCGAGCCCTACGAGACCATTGCCTTCAAGGTAGCGTGGCTGCGGGGTTCCCTGGGCCCCCTTGAGATGTGCAAGCCAGAAGGATCTGCATAGGCTGGGCAGGATGCCCCTCCCATCGGGCTTGGGGTCCCCTGGGCCCCCCCCAAGTCGGAGCCAGAAGGGTCTGCACAGGCCGGGCAGGGCACCTCTCCCATTGGGCTCTGCAGGAGGGCCTGCTTGGGCTCCACTGGGCCAATGAGAAGGGAGGCCGGCAGGGCTGAGCGCCAGGCCTGTGAGGCCTTTGCCAAGTGACCTCACTTCCTGGGCCAGGCTGCTGGAGGGCTTCCTACAGCCTGTCCCCATGCCTGGACAGGGCGGCCATCAGGAAACAAATAATACAAACGGTGACTGCCCAGGGAGGGGGCCAACAGCGTGCTAGCATTGAGGCCAGGTCTGTTTCACTCCAGAACTGAACCCTGTGCCCCACGAAAGTCTTACCAGCCTTCTCCTGGGCTCCCAGGGTAGAGTCCGGGCTGGGGAGGCTAGTGCCTCGGGCTCCCTGCCTGATGGTCGCCCTGAGGTCACAGGGACCAGGAGCCCTCTCTGTCCCCCGCCCTCCCAGGTGCCGAGCAGAGAGATCGACAAGGCGGAGGGCAAGTTCTGGACACACTGGAACCGGGAGACCAAGCAGGTGAGTGGCTCGCCCCGAGCCTGGCTCCTTCCCACCCAGCCCTGGCGGCCCTAGCCCTGCCCTAGCCCCACCCGTGCCTGCTGAACCTTTCTCCGTCTCTCTAGTTCTTCCTCCAGTTCCACTTTAAGATGGAGAAGCCCCCGGCTCCACCCAGCCTCCCTGCTGGCCCCCCTGGGGTGAAGCGGCCTCCACCCCCGCTGATGAACGGTCTGCCCCCTCGGCCACCGCTGCCTGAGTCTTTGCCACCGCCCCCGCCAGGAGGCCTGCCTCTGCCACCCATGCCCCCCACAGGGCCTGCGCCCTCAGGGCCCCCGGGACCACCCCAGCTACCCCCGCCAGCTCCAGGGGTCCACCCCCCGGCCCCAGTGGTGCATCCCCCTGCATCTGGGGTCCATCCCCCAGCTCCTGGCGTCCACCCCCCAGCTCCTGGCGTCCATCCCCCAGCCCCTGGGGTCCACCCACCAACCTCTGGGGTCCACCCCCCAGCTCCTGGAGTCCACCCTCCAGCCCCCGGGGTTCACCCACCAGCCCCCGGAGTCCACCCACCAGCCCCTGGGGTTCACCCACCAGCCCCAGGGGTCCATCCTCCCCCATCAGCGGGGGTTCACCCCCAGGCCCCGGGGGTGCACCCAGCAGCCCCCGCCGTTCACCCTCAGGCCCCAGGGGTGCACCCACCAGCCCCAGGGATGCACCCTCAGGCCCCGGGGGTCCACCCCCAACCTCCCGGGGTCCATCCGTCGGCTCCTGGGGTCCACCCTCAGCCTCCGGGAGTTCACCCCTCAAATCCTGGGGTGCACCCCCCAACTCCCATGCCCCCAATGCTGAGGCCCCCACTTCCCTCCGAAGGCCCAGGGAACATACCTCCCCCTCCCCCAACCAACTGAGAAGCTGCTCCCTCCCCCAGCAAGCCCAGCGCCAGGTGCTCTTGCCTTTTCCCACTGAGAGAAGGCTGCTCTTTTGTACTGCCCCCCGCTCATTAAACAGCCTCCCCCAGCCCTGAGTGCACTGATGTCCGCAGCGCCGCCCTACTGTGTCAGTGTGTGTGGGAGTGCCAGGCACAGCACCATCCCCCAGTTTGGGCCGACTGGGGAGGGCCTGGGGCCCGCCAGGAGACACCTGTGGGAGGCCTGAGAGATGGCTGTACCTTGGAGATGGCCTGGTGGAGGACAGACCCCACCAGCCAGCTAGGAGGGGATCTGGGGTCCTGTTCTGGGGAGGGAAGAGCAGACTCCACGATATCCTTGGGGTCTCCAGATAGCCCACCAGGGGTGGGGAGGGTGAGCAGGGACAGGGCGCCCCCACTGACTTGGGACCCTCCTCCTCCAGGCCCACACCTCAGCACCCAGGACATCTGGGCCCCCCGCCCCCAGCGCTGTCTAGTTTGGTTGCCTGGCCGTCACTCCCAGCCTGGTTCCCACTCCTGTGTCTTCTGGGGATGGCCCTCAAGGACGGCATGTTGACACATCAGGCCCAGCTCTATCACTGGGGAGGGAGATAGGCTGCCAGGGACAGAAAGGGCTCTTTGAGAAGGCCACTCTGCCTGGAGTGGGGGCGCCGGGCACTGTCCCCCAAGGTCGCGGCAGAGGAGATAGGGGTCTGTCCTGCACAAACACCCCACCTTCCACTCGGCTCACTTAAGGCAGGCAGCCCAGCCCCTGGCAGCACCCACGATGCGGGACCTGCCTCTCACCAGCCTGGCCCTAGTGCTGTCTGCCCTGGGGGCTCTGCTGGGGACTGAGGCCCTCAGAGCAGAGGAGCCAGCTGTGGGCACCAGTGGCCTCATCTTCCGAGAAGACTTGGACTGGCCTCCAGGCAGCCCACAAGAGCCTCTGTGCCTGGTGGCACTGGGCGGGGACAGCAATGGCAGCAGCTCCCCCCTGCGGGTGGTGGGGGCTCTAAGCGCCTATGAGCAGGCCTTCCTGGGGGCCGTGCAGAGGGCCCGCTGGGGCCCCCGAGACCTGGCCACCTTCGGGGTCTGCAACACCGGTGACAGGCAGGCTGCCTTGCCCTCTCTACGGCGGCTGGGGGCCTGGCTGCGGGACCCTGGGGGGCAGCGCCTGGTGGTCCTACACCTGGAGGAAGGTATGTGGGGCCCAGCCCCAAGCTTGGCACCGCCGTCTTCCTTCAGGTGGGCCGGGTCCTCCTAGGGAAGATCAGGGGCTGGCAGAGCCCCCACCCTGGGCAGGGAGGCTGTGGTCTTGTTCCTAGGACTGGGTTGCGGGTCCGTGGCCTGGAAGGTGGGCACCACACTCTGTCCTGTCCCCGAAGCCCAGCTCTTAGACTTGCCCCTGCCTCGGTGCCAGGGAGAGAGCTGCTGCCTTCTCCCCACCCCTGAAGACGACGCAGGGCTCGGGGCCAGTGGAACCCTTCTTCCCACAGCCCCAGCCTGTTCTCAGGGCCGCTGGCCTAAGATACTCCCTGCGGGGAAGGGGCTTCATCGGGCACCCCAACCCAGAGACCCCAGGGCGGCAGCCCCACCCACAGCCTCAGACGCAGCCCCTGCCTGCCCCTGCCGTCACCGCTCCCTGGCTGCAGGAAGGCAGCTAAGAGGGGCACCCTTGTCCCCCGCTTGAGGTCCCCTGCACAGTGGCCAGAGCGGCAGGGACAGATCCCAAAGATTCCCGGGGGGTGTGGCCTTCAATGGCTCAGGCGTCCCCTGCTGTCCCGGCTGCAGTGACCTGGGAGCCAACACCCTCGCTGAGGTTCCAGGAGCCCCCGCCTGGAGGAGCTGGCCCCCCAGAGCTGGCGCTGCTGGTGCTGTACCCTGGGCCTGGCCCTGAGGTCACTGTGACGAGGGCTGGGCTGCCGGGTGCCCAGGTACCAGGGAGTTGCATGGGGCAGTGCCCGGGCCGTGGCGGGGGGCATGGATTTGTTGCAGGGTCTGCAGTACTGAGAACAGCGTAGAACCAGTGGCGATGGGAGGAAGGGGACCGGTAGAGCGGGGCTGGGTAAGCCTCCATCCAGCCGGGCTGAGCCCTGGTCTCCGCAGAGCCTCTGCCCCTCCCGAGACACCCGCTACCTGGTGTTAGCGGTGGACCGCCCTGCGGGGGCCTGGCGCGGCTCCGGGCTGGCCTTGACCCTGCAGCCCCGCGGAGAGGGTAGGTCCGCGTGGAGAGGGACGGGGAGCCGGGTCGACTGCCCCCGGGCCCCCAGCCCCTGAGCCAGCCGCGTGCCCACCCACCGCAGACTCCCGGCTGAGTACCGCCCGGCTGCAGGCACTGCTGTTCGGCGACGACCACCGCTGCTTCACACGGATGACCCCGGCCCTGCTCCTGCTGCCGCGGTCCGAGCCCGCGCCGCTGCCTGCGCACGGCCAGCTGGACACCGTGCCCTTCCCGCCGCCCAGGTGCGCGCAGGCACCGGGACACGGGGCAGGAGCGGGCGGGGGCGGCGTGGCCTCGTGGCCGCTCTCAACTCCTCCAATTGCGGGTTCCAGGCCATCCGCGGAACTCGAGGAGTCGCCACCCAGCGCAGACCCCTTCCTGGAGACGCTCACGCGCCTGGTGCGGGCGCTGCGGGTCCCCCCGGCCCGGGCCTCCGCGCCGCGCCTGGCCCTGGATCCGGACGCGCTGGCCGGCTTCCCGCAGGGCCTAGTCAACCTGTCGGACCCCGCGGCGCTGGAGCGCCTACTCGACGGCGAGGAGCCGCTGCTGCTGCTGCTGAGGCCCACTGCGGCCACCACCGGGGATCCTGCGCCCCTGCACGACCCCACGTCGGCGCCGTGGGCCACGGCCCTGGCGCGCCGCGTGGCTGCTGAACTGCAAGCGGCGGCTGCCGAGCTGCGAAGCCTCCCGGGTCTGCCTCCGGCCACAGCCCCGCTGCTGGCGCGCCTGCTCGCGCTCTGCCCAGGTGGCCCCGGCGGCCTCGGCGATCCCCTGCGAGCGCTGCTGCTCCTGAAGGCGCTGCAGGGCCTGCGCGTGGAGTGGCGCGGGCGGGATCCGCGCGGGCCGGGTCGGGCACAGCGCAGCGCGGGGGCCACCGCCGCCGACGGGCCGTGCGCGCTGCGCGAGCTCAGCGTAGACCTCCGCGCCGAGCGCTCCGTACTCATCCCCGAGACCTACCAGGCCAACAATTGCCAGGGCGTGTGCGGCTGGCCTCAGTCCGACCGCAACCCGCGCTACGGCAACCACGTGGTGCTGCTGCTGAAGATGCAGGTCCGTGGGGCCGCCCTGGCGCGCCCACCCTGCTGCGTGCCCACCGCCTACGCGGGCAAGCTGCTCATCAGCCTGTCGGAGGAGCGCATCAGCGCGCACCACGTGCCCAACATGGTGGCCACCGAGTGTGGCTGCCGGTGACCCCTGCGCCGCGCGGACTCCTGCCCCGAGGGTCCGGACGCGCCCCAGCTCGCGCCCCTTCCCATATTTATTCGGACCCCAAGCATCGCCCCAATAAAGACCAGCAAGCAACCGGCTGGGGTGTCCGTGCGTGTTAGGGGGCCCGTGGGACCTCCCTTGCCGTCTCTCCTCGCGCACGGCCCGGGTCCGCCCTGTAGCGCTCGCTGTCTCTCCCCTGCCTGAAGCGCCCCACCACCGTCTTTCAGGCCCCGGACTTGGTGCCGGGTCCAGGCGTAAAGGAGCAGGTGACTCTGCGGCCGCAGCACTCGCTTTATTTCGCCAGAGTCGCGGGGCGTCCAGAAGGGGCCCCTGGACTCCGGCGCGGGGCCGGCTCAGTCCCGCCCCTTGCCTGCGCGGAGCTTCTGGCGACTCCCAGGCCGCTGCTCCTCGTCGGGACGCCTCGGGGACACCCAGGCCTGCTTCTTCCTGGGCTCGGCGTCCCTGGAGTCCCGTGCCCACGGCCGGTGGCCCCCTTCGCGTGACTCCCAGCGCTGGGGTAGGGCTTCCCGGGGCTCCCTGGCGGCCCGTGGCCTCTCCTCTTTCCGCGGCCTCTCTTTCTTAGGTCTCTCCTCCTTCCGCGGCTTCTCCTTCCGCGGCTTCCCCTCTCTCCGAGGCCTCTCCTTGGGTCCCCGGTCTGCGAGGGTCACACGGTCCTCCCGGACGGCCTCTCCGGTGGCCTCGCCGGGCTCCTCTTCGTCGTTCTCTGCAGCCTCCCGACTCCCGGGAATCTTGGGTCTGACCTCTGCCTCGGCCCGGGGCGCAGGCGGCGCTGATGGAGGCGCCTGGGCCTCGAACTTAGGCTGCAAGACAGAGTGGGGTCCTGGGGTAAGCGCCCACCTTCCCCCCGGCCCGGGCTCCTTCTTTCCTTGGGGATGAAGGTCCCAATGCCCGCGGTCAGTGGAAGGAAGCTCTTACCAGGGGCGACGATGGCTCCCTCGGGGCTGAGCTTGGCGGGACCCAGGGCTCGGGCACACGTGCTTGGAGTGCTGCCTCCCCAGGGACGGCGTCTGCAGCGACAGGGTCGGGACCCGAGTCAGCTGGGCCGAGGCACGGTCCACACTGTCCATCCCTCCCTCACCCCTAGAGCCCCCCTCCCTGGACAGTTGGAGTGGGGCTCCCCCGGTACGGCTGAGACTAAGGATGCCCCCGAGCCGTGGGAAGGGACTCCGGGACTCCGCTGCCGCGGCGCCCCTTCTCCGAACCTCGCTCTTTCAATTGGTCATTCTTCCCCCCGACCACGGGCTGTAGGAGGCCCCTAGCAAGGGAGGGGTCGCAGGAGTGCCCCCGGGGGGCGCTCACGAGCTGAGCGGTCCCCAGAGAGGGCGCAGGGGAAAGGCGGCAGAACGCTACGAGGCAGGAGGGGTTGCACAAGGTTCATCCGGAAGCCAGAACCTACTCGCGGCGAGGGGAATGGGCCCCGCAAAAGGTCCACACCGGGTGAGAGGGGCGCGCAAGGCCCGTCACTTAAGGGGAGATGCACAAACCAACTTTGGGGGCGTGCAAGACCCAGCCCTGGAGAGGAGGCTCCCAGACCCCACCCTGGCGGCACAGCGCCTTTCCTTGGAGGAATAGGCGCACAGGTGGACCCCAGCCTCGCCCCACCTCTGGGGAGCCTGCGCTCACCGCGGCACAGCTGGAAAGCCGAGCCCAGCAGCGCCACCAGCGAGGCGAGCACCAGGCACTTGTTGAGCGACAGGTCTCCCCAGGGCAGCTCCTCGCTCAGGGCCGGGGGCGGCGGCGGCGGCTGCAGGGGCGGCGCGGTCTGCGCCTTCTTGCGCGCGGGGACGCTCCGAGGGCCTGCGGGGGCAAGTGCGCGCTGCGCTGTGGTCACTGGCTCTGTGCCGCCCCCTTCCCCGGGCGCAGGGGACAAGAGACAGGCCTGTGCCCTGAACCCGGCTCTCTCTGCCTGCCTGTGCGGCCCCGGGCGCAGGTGAACCCAGCCCCGGGTGCCCCGCAGCTGCACGGGGATGCCTAGAGTTTCTGGAAGGTAACTTCCCGGAGCTGAGTGGCATAGCTGGTATTATTACGCATTAGTAGAGGCTCCCTGCCCGTTGACTCGCTGCCTGCCACACTTCGACGCCACTCAACCAGGACACCACCCTCCAAGATCCAAGGACCCAGCTCCGGCACCTGAGCCTCACACCAGTCCGTTCCCACCCCACACCTCACCCATGCCTCCTGCAAACCCACTCGCTCCGGCTTTCAGCCTCTCCTTCCCCGTTCCTGGGGTCCCCCTGGCGGCAGGCTCTTTTTCCATCTTCTTGGGCCTGGTGTCCACACTGGGGCCTTCAGCCACCTGAGAGTCCTGTGGTTATCACGAGACATTCCACATGTTTCCTTCCAGTGCCAAACCCTTCCCGTGGGCTTTAGACACCTGCCTCCCTTGGTCGGCTTGTCCCCAACTCCCCAGGCGTCCTGGGTTAAAGGCTGAGGGTCCCAGCTACTCACGTGGGGCACGCTGCCGGAGTCGGCCAGCCTGGGTGTCGCTGTGGGAACACAGGCAGAGTCAAGGTTGTGGGGACCCCCAGGCCAATCCCACCCTCTCCCCTGGCCCTGCTGGGTGACGTGCGGGTGACTAACCCCATCTTATAGATAAGAAAGTAGGTGGAGGCCAGCACAGTGGTTCACACCTGGAATCCAGCATTTTGGGGAGACTGAGGTGGGAGGATCACCTGAGCCCAGGAGTTTGAGACCAGCCTGGGCAACATAGTGAGACCCCATCTCTAAAAAAAAAAAAAAAAAAAAATTAGCGAGGCATGGTGGCCTGCACCTGTGGCCCCAGCTACTTGGGAGGCTGAGGCAGGAGGATCACTTGAGCCTGGGAGGTCAAGGCTGCAGTGACTTATGATCATGTCACTGTACTCCAGCATGGAAGACAGAATGAGGCTCTGTCTCAAAAAATAATAATAAAAATATATAAAAATATAAAGAAAGCAGACAGGCTTGGAGACAGCTTTGCCCAAAGACACCCAGCATTTCAGTGGCAACGTGGGATTCGAACCTAGATCTGTGTGGCCCAGCACCTGTCTTCCTTGGGGGCTCCTTACAGACCCCTGAGGCAGAAATGAGGGCCAGGGGTTGAACATGGGGAGCACACTATAAGCCAGTCCAGTGTGGGAGGCTAAGAAGCTCTAGTCTCTGAAGATGGGCCTCCTGGCTCAAGGGGACCATCAGGGAAGGGCTTCCTCCCGCCAGCGCCACAAGGGTACCTGAAGCCCTGTCCTCCTGGGTCTCGGCCAGCGCAGAGTGGTCCTCCAGGGCCTGGCAGCTGCCCAGGCCGCCATCCAGCTCCTCCCAGGCTCTGGTTGTCATGGACATGGCTGGAGCAGCAGCAGGTCCCAGGCCAGGCTGGGAGGGGTGGGGAACAAGGTCTTGCATTTACTGAGTCTCTGCCACAGGCCTGGGCCTGACCTGGAGGTTCTGCGGACACCAACTAACAGGCCCCGTCCTCCCACCCCTCCTCACTCGGCAAATTCATACTCATGCCAGGCATGGCCCGGCGCCCACTCCAGGCATCTCTCTGACCCCGCATGCCTGCCCTGGGACCCCTCCCTACCGCCCAGCCTCACTGGGGTCCAGTATCCATCAGTACAGTAGCCCAGGCTGCTCTGGCCCAGAGAGGGCGGGAGCCCCTGCAGGACAACACAGCAATGAGTCCCAGACGCACCCCAAACCGAAACTCTTGGCCCCAGAGTCAGCTCATGTTCTCTGAGACCAGGGACTATTTTTATCTGGTGCCTGAGGCCAGCGGGACAGGCTAACAGGTGCCCCAGCCCCTCCCAGGCCTCTGCTCTCATGGGGTCTCCCTCTGGGCCACCCTGACTTGCCATTCTGGGCACCCACATCCTGCTGCGTGACCCTGTGAGTCTACAGGCTCAGGCCCCAGCAGCAGAACCATCCTGGCTCTGGTCGTGACAGGCCGGGGCAGGGGAGGAGGGTCCCGGTTGTGGTTGGGGGTCTTCTGATCCTGACACAGAGTACCCTGCCTTGTCCCACTAACTCTGTTCCCATAGGACAGATGAGGAAACCGAGGCTAGAGACAGTGCCATTGGCTGGAGGTCGCAAGGAGCTTCAAGTCAGACCCAAAGCTGTACTCTTCAGGGTCCCCATGGCCTCTGGCTGCTGGGATTAGGGTGTCCCTGTATCTAGGCTGAAAAACCACCCAGCCCTGGGGCTCCAAGACCTGGAAGGGGCCTATTGCGTGGCAGTGGGGGAGGGGCCCAAGAAGCATGGGAGGCTGGTGTGTGGCCCCTGGGTGTGCATGGGGGCAGCTCCAGGAATTGGGGACCCTTACAGTCCTCTGCAACACCCCTTCACACCCCGGGAGCCCACACCTCTGCCCGGGATTCCCCCAGCCTCACTTCCTTACCCCCGAGCCTCGCTTACCCGCCAGCCGCTTTGCTGAGCCTTGTGGACAGGACGGAGGATGGGGAGGGTGGCCCCGTGATGGACGGCAACAGGTGGCCAGAGACCGCGGGTGGGCCAATCAGCATGCCCGCTGGAGTGAGGTCACAGCCGGGGAGTCCCCCACCCTTCCCTGCCATTGCAGCAGGGCAGGGCATTGCTCCTACTCAGCACTCGCCACTGCCACCCAGGGAGACGTAGCGCCTGCAGCTGGGACTACAGGCGCGCACCATCACACCCGGTAAGTTTTCAATTTTTTTTGAGACGGAGTCTCGCTCTGTCTCCCAGGCTGGAGTGCGGTGGCGCGATCTCCACTCACTGCAAGCTCCGCCTCCCGGGTTCACGCCATTCCCGTGCCTCAGCCTCCCGAGTAGCTGGGACTACAGGCGCCCGCCACCGCGCCCGGCTAATTTTTTTTGTATTTTTAGTAGAGATGGGGTTTCACCGTGTTAGCCAGGATGGTCTCGGTCTCCTGACCTCGGAATCCGCCCACCTTGGCCTCCCAAATTGCTGGAATTACAGGCGTGAGCCACTGCACCCGGACTAATTTTTGTATTTTTTTTTCAGTAGAGACAGGGTTTCCCTATGTTGGCCAGGCTGCTCTCGAACTCCTGACCGCAAGTAATCCATGTGATCCGCTCGCCTTGGCCACCCAAAGTGCTGGGATCCCAGGCGGGAGCCCCTGCAATGCATTCATTCCTGCTGTTTAAAGCCACTGTATTTGGGGTCATTTGTTTCTGTGGCTCTGGCAGGCTCATACACTCGGAACTGCCTGCTCCCACACCGTCATGCAGAGAAACCTGACGCCTCTGCTCTGGAGAGGACCCGGGGTCTCTCAGCCCCCAAAGGCACATTCTAAGGCCTGCAGGCAGATGTTTGAGCCCTACCTGCAAAGCATGGTGACTCTGGGAGTCCTGAGGGAAGAGGGGAAGTGGATTTTGGTGGTGAGGCCTGTGTGTTAAAAATCCTGAGTGAATGGCCGGGCGCGGTGGCTCACGCCTGTAATCCCAGCACTGTGGGAGGCTGAGGCGGGCGGATCGCCTGAGGTCGGGAGTTTGACACCAGCCTGGCCAACATGGTGAAATCTTGTCTCTATTAAAAATACAAAAATTAGTGAGGCGTGATAGTGGATGCCTGTAATCCCAGCTACTGGGGAGGCTGAGGCAGGAGAATTGCTTGAACCCGGGAGGTGGAGGTTGCAGTGAGCCGAGATCACATCATTGCACTCCAGCCTGGGCGACAGAGTGAGACTCTGTCTCAAATAATAATAATAATTCTGAGTGAATAGGGCCTCCCCAGGAACTACCAAGAGACCCAGAAGGCCAGCCCGCCTTCAGCAAAGCAAGGGCTGGGGTTCCCTGGTCCCCACTCCCTCCGCTTTAGAAACGGCTCTCGGCCGGGCGCGGTGGCTCACGCCTGTAATCCCAGCACTTTGGGAGGCCAAGGCAGGTGGATCACAAGGTCAGGAGATTGAGACCCTCCTGGCTAACACGGTGAAACCCCGTCTCTACTAAAAATACAAAAAATTAGCTGAGTGTCGTGGCGGGCGCCTGTAGTCCCAGCTACTCGGGAGGCTGAGGCAGGAGAATGGCGTGAACCCGGGAGGCAGAGTTTGCAGTGAGCCGAGATGGCACCACTGCACTCCAGCCTGGGCGACAGAGCGAGACTCTGTCTCAAAAAGAAAAAAAAAAAGAAATGGCTCTCATTTTTTTCTGTATGACACAAGGCAGAGACAAACAGGAAACAAAGAGAAGCTGAAAGCAAAAACTGTAAAGCACCTGTCATCTTCCCGCCCCCAAACAGACACTGTTTAATAGTTTGACATGTTCTTTCCGCTGTTTGTAACTTGTGATTTTATTATTAGTTCCATATTTATTTTTATAAAGCTGGCATAATTAGCGAAGGGCTGAACATCTTGTTTGTAACCTAGATTTATTTTTTCTTCCTAAAAGTTTTTTTGTTGTTGTTGAGATGGAGTCTCTCTCTGTCACCCAGGCTGGAGTGCAATGGCGCGATCTCGGCTCACTGCAACCTCTGCCTCCTGGGTTCAAGCGATTCTCCTGCCTCAGCCTCCCGAGGACCTAGGATTACAGGCATGCACCACTGCGCCTGGCTAATTTTCATATTTTTAGCAGAGATGGGGTTTCACCATGTTAATCAGGCTGGTCTCAAACTCCTGACCTCAGGCGATCTGCCCACTCTGGCCTCCTGAAGTGTTGGGATTACAGGCGTGAGCCACAGTGCTTGGCCCCTCCTAAAAGTATATTACAGCTTGGCAGTTCCTCAAAAAGCTAAAATAGAATGACCATAAGATGCAGAAACTCTACTCCTAGGTATCTACGAAAAGGAATCCGAAGCTTGGACTCAGATATTTGCACACCCAAGTTCAGGGCAGCACGATTCTCCGCAGCCACATGGTGTAGGCAGCTCTAGCGTTCCATCCTCAGATACACGGATCAACACAGCGTGGCCCTTCCACACGGTGAAGTACGACACAGCCGTGAACAGGAACGAGGCTCTGACTGCGGCCATGGCGTGAATGCACTTTAAGGATGTCACGCTCGGTGAGAGGTGCCAGACACAGAAGGCCATGCTGTATGTGATCCCATTTCTATGAAATGTCCAGGACAGGGCCGGGTACAGTGGCTCATGCCTGTAATCCCAGCACTTTGGGAGGCCAAGGTGGGTGGATCACGAGGTCAGGAGATCGAGACCATCCTGGCTAACACGGTGAAACCCCGTCTCTACTAAAAATACAAAAAATCAGCCGGGCGTGGTGGCGGGCGCCTGTAGTCCCAGCTACTTGGGAGGCTGAGGCAGGAGAATGGCGTGAACCCGGGAGGCGGAGCTTGCAGTGAGCTGAGATCACGCCACTGCACTCCAGCCCGGGCGACAGAGCGAGACTCCGTCTCAAAAAAAAAAAAAAAAAAAAAAAGAAATGTCCAGGACAGGCCAATTCACAGAGACAGGAAGGGGATTTGTGGGTGCCGGGGCTGGGAAGGGGATGGGGAGTGATGGCTGATGGGGATGGAGCTTCATTTAGGGTGACAAGAATGTTCTGGAATAAGACAGGGGTGGTGGTTGCTGAGTCATTTCACTTAGGATGATGATCTCCAGCTCCATCCATGTTGCTGCAAAATATGATTTCATTTGTTTGTTTTTTGAGACAGGCTCTCATCTCCGTCACCCAGGCTGGCATGCGTTGGCGCAATCAGGGCTCACTACAGCCTCAGCCTCTTCAGCTCAGGTGGTCATCCCACCTCAGCCTCCTGAGTAGCTGGGACCACAGGTGCCTGACACCACACGCAGCTAATTTTTTATTTTCTATTTATGAGACAGAGTCTCACTCTGTGGCCCAGGCTCCAGTGCAGTGGGGCCATCTCTGCTCATTGCAACCTCTGCCTCCCAGGCTCAAGCGATTCTCCTGCCTCAGTCTCCTGAGGAGCTGGGATTACAGGCATATGCCACCATGCCCAGCTAATTTTTTTTTTTTTTTGAGATGGAGTTTCGCTCTTGTCACCCAGACTGGAGTGCAGTGGCACAATCTCGGCTCTCTGCAACCTCTGCCTCCCGGGTTCAAGTGATTCTCCTGCCCCAGCCTCCCAAGTAGCTGCGATTACAGGTGCCTGCCACCACATCCAGCTAATTTTTGTATTTTTAGTAGTGACAGCGTTTTGCCATGTCGACCAGGCTGGTCTCAAACTCCTGACCTCAGGTGATCCACCTGCCTCGGCCTCCCAAAGTGCTGAGATTACAGGCGTGAGCCACTGCGCCCAGCTGCTAATTTTTGCATTTTTAGTAGAGATGGTGTTTCACCATGTTGCCCAGGCTGGTCTCGAACTCCTGGGCTCAAGTGATCCACCGGCCCTGGCCTCCTGAAATGCTGGGATTACAGGTGTGAGCCACCACGCCCTGTCTCTATGCTTAACTTTTTGAAGAGCCACCAGTCTCTCTTCCAAAGCGACTGAACTGTTTTACCTGCCCAGCAGCCATACAGGAGCGTTCCAACTTCTCCACGTCCAACTCGTCATTTTCCAGTTTCTTTGTTTGTGTTTTTATTGCCAGCCTAGTGGGTGTGAACGGCATGATCTCATTGTGGTTTCGATTTGCATTTCTCTGGTCAAAATAAATAGCTTTTTTTTTTTTTAAGAGACCAGGTCTCCCTATGTTAGCGAGGGTAGTCTGAAACCCTTGGCCTCAAGCAATCCTCCTGCCTTGGCCTCCCAAAGTGCTGGGATCACAGGCGTGAGCCACCGCGCCCAGCCTCAACAGCATTTTCACCTTCTTATTCTCATAGTGTCTCCCTTTGCATTCCTTTCCTGGAAGGCTCAGCTTTCCCAGAAGCAAAGCCTGGACACGGGGCCTCTGTGGGACTTTCTTTTTTTATCTTTTTTTTTTTTGAGACGGAGTCCAGCCCTGTTGCCCAGGCTGGAGTGCAATGGCGCAATCTCGGCTCACTACAACCTCTGCCTCCTGGGTACAAGCAATTCTCCTGCCTCAGCCTCCCAAGTAGCTGGGATTACAGGTGCGCACCACCATGCCCAGCTAATTTTTTGTATCTTTAGTAGAGATGGGGTTTCACCATGTTGGCCAGGGTGATCTTGAACTCCTGACCTAGTGATCCACCTGCCCCGGCCTCCCAAAGTGCTGGGGTTACAAGTGTGAGCCACTGAGCCCGGCCTGGACTTTTTTTTTTTTTTAAGACTGAGTCTGCCCAGGCTGGAGTGCAGTGGCACAATCTCGGCTCACTGCAACCTCTGCCTCCCAGGTTCAAGTGATTCTCCTGCCCCAGCCTCCCAAGTAGCTGGGATTACAGGTGCATGCCACCACACCCAGCTAATTTGTGTATTTTTAGTACTGACAGGGTTTTGCCATGTCATCCAGGCTGGTCTTGAATTCCTGACCTCAGGTGATCCTCCTGCCTCGGCCTCCCAAAGTGCTGGGATTACAGGCATGAGCCACCACACCCGGCCTATTTTTGCTAATTTTGTGAAGAACAGTGTCAGCTGAGGGCACTGACTCTGGATGGAGACGACTCAGATTCTGACCCTGACTCCACTGCTGCCTGGCTGTGCCACAGTTTCTTTTCCTGTAAAATGGAAATAAAATGGAGACCCCACCTCCTGGGGTCCTTGTGAGCATTAAGCCAAGCACGGGGACAGGTGCTTGGCTCCTGTACACAGCTTGAGCTGTGTACTCATATTGTTATCGCTGCCATGACAAAGGTGCGGAAGCCACTGAGGCTGTGAGATTCCGCACCCCGTGGAAGCCCAATGGTGACACCCCCCACAGCAGGGTCCTTCCAGCCTCTGGAACACAAAACACCTGAGTGGGAAACCCCCAGGGGACCCTCAGCATGGGCCACTGAGGCAGGAGGTTGAGAACTGTGGGGAGTGCTGGGCAGTGGCCAACTTCCTGCCTCTGCCAGGGCAGCACACCAGTTTCATTTGTGTCCACCCTACTTGTTCTCAGGGAGAGGTGGCTCCTTTCCTGGGGTGACTTCTAGGCTGGGGCATTTAATTGCTAGTGTGAGATCTTCCAGGGTCTTCCTCTCTTGGCCATAGTGACGTTCAAGATGGCAGGGGAGGTGAGCAGCGCCCCCTAGGGCCTGAGAAGCTCATGGAGCAAGAACAAGAAATAGACCTTTCCTGGTTTGCAGGTGTGTTTACAATTTTTTTGTTTTGTATTTATTTATTTATTTTAAAAATTTTATTCATCTATTTATTTTTGAATGGGGGTCTTGCTATATTGCCCAGGCAGGTCTTGAACTCCTGGACTCAAGCTATCCTCCTGACTCTGCCTCTCTAAGAGCTGGCATTATAGGTGTGAGCCACCATGCCTGGCCCGTTTTGTTTTGTTTTTTAAAGAGATAGGGCTGGGCACAGTGGCTCACACCTGGGAGGCCGAGGCAAGTGGATCACTTGAGGCTCGGAGTTCAAGAGCAGCCTGGGCAACGTAGCAAGACCCTGTCTGTACAAGAAAAAGAAAAAAAAAGAAAAGAAAAACAATAAAAAACAATTTTACGACTGGGCGTGGTGGCTCACGCCAGTAATCTCAGCACTTTGGGAGGCCGAGGCGGGTGGATCACGAGGTCAGGAGTTCAAAACCAGCCTGGCCAAGATGGTGAAACCCCATCTCTACTAAAAATACAAAAGAAATTAGCCAGGCGTGGTGGCAGGTACCTGTAATCCCAGTTACTTGGGAGGCTGAGGCAGAGAAGTGCTTGAACCCGGGAGGCAGAGGTTGCAGTGAGCCAAGATTGCGCTACTGCACTCCAGCCTGGGTGACTCCGTCTCAAAAAAAAAAAATTTACAAAAGTAAAGGTCAAACTCCATGAAAATAGAGACATGGACAATGTGGGGCAGGAAATACTGAAGAGCCGCAGAGAATGAGGTTCAGATGCTCTGCGCATAAAGCTTTCTTCCTTTTTCTATAACAAACCTTTGTGAATGCATTAGGCCAGGCACGGTGGCTCACACATGTAATCCCAGCACTTTGGGAGGCTGAGCCACGAGGATCACCTGAGCCCAGGAGTTTGAGACCAGCCTGGGCAACATGGTGAAAACCCATCTCTACAAAAATACAATAAAATAAACATGACAAATACTGCAAAATAAAATCCTGAAAATTATAGCAAGGGGCAAAACCATAAGAAATATAGGCTGGGCGCGGTGGCTCACCCCTGTAATCCCAGAATTTTGGGAGGCCGAGGCGGGCGGATCACCTGAGGTTGGGAGTTCCAGACCACCCTGGACAACATGGTGAAACCCCATCTCTACTAAAAATACAAAAATTAGCCAGCCGTGTGGTGCACGCCTGTAATCCCAGCTACTGAGGAGGCTGAGACACGATAATCCCTTGGACCTGGCAGGTGGAGGTTGCAGTAAACTGAGATGGCGCCTCTGCACTCCAGCCTGGGGGACAGAGTGAAACTCCATCTCAAAAAAAAAAAAAGAGGCCGGGCGCGGTGGCTCACGCCTGTAATCCCAGCACTTTGGGAGGCCGAGGCGGGCGGATCACGAGGTCAGGAGATTGAGACCATCCTGGCTAACACAGTGTAACCCCGTCTCTACTAAAAATACAAAAAATTAGCCGTGCATGGTGGCGGGTGCCTGTAGTCCCAGCTACTCAGGAGGTGGAGGCAGTAGAATGGCGTGAACCTAGGAGGCAGAGCTTGCAGTGAGCTGAGATCGTGACACTGCACTCCAGCCTGGGCGACAGAGGGAGACTCTGTCTGAAAGAAAAAAAAAAGAAATATAAGTACGGTAAAGGGAAAAACAACAACTTGCTCGAGATAAGCCCTGTTTACTTGGGGGCCTCGCTTTTCCATGTGTGTTTGCCCAGCTCATCCTGAGGCTGCCCACACGGCTGTGGGTCCTGCTTTATCACCCAGCAGCAGATGCCTCTGCGGCTTTGTGGCCAAACCCTGGCCCTGCACAGCCTCCTTGTGGCCTGAGCTTATTGCAGGCTGCACGGTGCACATTACAAATGGTCAGTTGGAGGCCAGGCGCGGTGGCTCACGCCTGTAATCCCAGCACTTTGGGAGGCCGAGGCGGGTGGATCATGGGGTCAAGAGATCGAGACCATCTTGGCTAACATGGTGAAACCCCGTCTCTACTAAAAATACAAAAAATTAGCCGGGTGTGGTGGGGGTCACCTGTAGTCCCAGCTACTTGGGAGGCTGAGGCAGGAGAATGGTGTGAACCCGGGAGGCGGAGGTTGCAGTGAGCCGAGATTGTGCCACTGCACTCCAGCCTGGGCGACAGGGCAAGACTCCGTCTCAAAAAAAAAAAAAAAAAAAGTTGGTTCAGCCTGGCGCGGTGGCTCACGCCTGTAATCCCAGCACTTTGGGAGCCCGAGGCGGGCAGACCACGAGATCAAGAGATCGAGATCATCCTGGCCAACATGGTGAAACTCCGTCTCTACTAAAAATACAAAAATTAGCCAGGCGTGGTGGCCTGTGCCTGTAATCCCAGCTACTTGAGAGGCCGAGGCAGGAGAATCGCTTGAACCTGGGAGGTGGAGGTTGCAGTGAGCCGAGATCACGCCACTGCACTCCAGTCTGGGTGACAGAGCAAGACTCCGTCTCAAAAAAAATGGTCGGTTCCCCAGGAGGCGGAGGTTGCAGTGAGTGGCCACTGCACTCTAGCCTGTGCGACATGTCAAAAAAAAAAAAAAAAAAAGGCCGGTTCTTGTTTACTTCCCTTTTTCTTCCCCACACTGTTTGCTCAAAAGAGTTCAAGCGCCTTCTGAGTTTTTCTTCAGGAGACAGAGCCAGGCTTGAATATAATGCCAGGCAGGAACACATGGAGAAAAGGAGGCCCAGATTCTGCCTTATTTTCCTGATTTTTCTTTTTTTTTTTTTTTTTTGAGATGGAGCCTCTCTCTGTCACCCAGGCTGGAGTGCAGTGACGCGATCTCGGCTCACTGCAAGCTTCGCCTCCTGGGTTCACACCATTCTCCTGCCTCAGCCTCCCGAGTAGCTGGGACTACAGGCACCCACCACCGCACCCGGCTAATTTTTGCTGTATTTTTAGTAGAGACGGGGTTTCACCGTGTTAGCCAGGATGGTCTCGATCTCCTGACCTCGTGATCCGCCTGCCTTGGCCTCTCAAAGTGCTGGGATTACAGGCGTGAGCCACCACGCTTGGCCATTTTCCTGCTTGCTTTCATTTTTTTTTGAGACAGTGTCTTGCTCTGTCCCCCAGGCTGGAGTGCAGTGGTGTGATCACAGCTCACTGCAGCCTTGACCTCCTGGGCTCAAGTGATCCTCTTGGTTCAGCCTCCCAAGTAGCTGGGATCACAGATGCCCACCCAATCCCAGCTAATTAAAATTTTTTTAATTTTTTAAAATTTCTAGAAGTTTTTAAAATTCTCAACAAAGTGAGAACCTAGAGATAGGGTCTTGCTATGTTGGCCAGGCTGGTCTGCAACTCCTGGGCTCAAGCGATCTTCTTGCTTCAGCCTCCCAAAGTGCTGGGATTACAGGCGTGAGCCACTGTGCGCGGCCCCAATCCTTCTTTATTTTTACCTGTTTACATTTTATTTTATTTAACTCATTATTATAATTCTTTTAGAGACAAGGTCTCCCTCTGTCACCCAGGCTGCAGTGCAGTTGAGAGACCATAGTTCACTGCAGCCTTGACCTTCCTGGCTCAGGGGATCCTCCTGCCTCAGCCGCTGGAGTAGCTGGAACTACAGGTGTGCACCACCATGTCCCTAATTTTTAAATTTGCTGCAGAGATGGGGTCTGGCTATGTAGCCCTGGCTGGTCTTGAACTCCTGAGCTCAAGCGATCCTCTTGCCTCTGCCTCCCAAAGTGCACACCGGGCCCACATACCCTCTTTTAAATCAGAGTCAGCCGGGTGCGGTGGCTCACGCCTGTAATCCCAGCACTTTGGAAGGGTGAGATGGGTGGATCACCTGAGTTCAGGAGTTCGAGACCAGCCTGACCAATATGGTGAAATCCCGTCTCTACTAAAAATACCAAAATTAACTGGGCCTGGTGGCGTGAGCCTGTAATTCCCAACTACTTGGGAGGCCGAGGCAGGAGAATCACTTGAACCTGGGAAGGGGAGGTTGCAGTGAGCCGCCGAGATCATGACCCTGAACTCCAGCCTGGTGACAAAGTGAGACTCTGTCTCAAAAACCAAACAGCCAGGTGCGGTGGCACACCTGTAATCCCAGCACTTTGGGAGGCACGTAGATCATGAAGTCAGGAGTTTGAGACCGTCCTGGCCAATATGGTGAAACCCTGTCTCCACTAAACACAAAAATTAGCCGGGAATGGTGGTGCACGCCTGTAGTCCCAGCTTCTCGGGAGGCTGAGGCAGGAGAATCGCTTGAACCCTGTAGGTGGAGGTTGCAGTGAGCCAAGGTTACGCCACTGCACTCCAGCCTGGGCTACAGGTGAGACTCTGTCTCAAAAAAAAAAAAAAAAAATCAGTCCATCAATCAATCAATCAGAGTCATACTCTCTGCGTCCTCTGCCAGCAGCCGTATCCCCTCAACCTTGATTTCAGAAGAAAACCCAGGCATGGGCCCTCTATCCTTGACCACCCCACATCCTCTGCTGTCCCTTTCAGACAGTTCAAGCCTCACCACCTCCAGAGAAAGATATGCCTCTTTCTCTCCCTGCTGTCCGGGAGGCCCCTCACCAGTCACAGACTCCCCAGCTCCCAGCAAAGCACCTCCCACCCTGGGGAGTTTCTGGGGAACCCGGCCAGGTGGGCCAGCAGGGCGCAGTTGCTGATCCTAGCGCTCATCCCACGTGGCCTGGCCAGTGTGGGGGTGGCCCTTCTAGAAGCCTCACAGCATTGGCAGGCGGCCATCAGAGGCAGGCAGGAGGAGGAAGTGAGAGCTGCTGCAGTCAGGATGGAGGGATGGGGCTCCCTGGTCGTGGCTGTTCTGGAAATCGCACCGGTGACCTGTTCATTTCGAGCAGGCTCTTGCCTCTGTTCCCAGAGGAGGTCCTCAACTTAGGGGCGTCATTCTGCCCCCAAGGGACATTGGATGATGTTTGGGACATTTCTGGTTGTCATGACTTGGAGTGCTCCTGGCATGGAGTGGGTGGAGGCCAGGGACGCTGCTCAGTACCCTGCAGTGCCCAGGACGCTGCAGTCCAGCCTGGCAACAGAGCGAGACTCCGTCTCAAAAAACAAAAAAACAAAAAAAAAAGCAATCCACACCCTGAGTGGGGAAGGAGAGAGGAGAAGCATCCCAGGAGCTGGGGCCCTCCTGGTTCATACCATTTGCCCAGGATGCCCCACCCCAGAGAACAATCCAAGCCCAATGTCCACGGGTCCGAGGGAGGAGACCCTGAGTTAATTATTTGAAACAGAGTCTGTTCTCTGCTCACACCAGACACCAGAATAAACTCCTTTTTTTTGAGATGGAGTCTCGCTCTGTAGCCCAGGCTGGAGTGTAGTGGTGCAATCTTGGCTCACTGCAACCTCCACCTCCCGGGTGCCAGTTCAAGCAATTCTCCTGCCTCAGCCCCCTGAGTAGCTGGGATTACAGGCACGCGCCACCATGCCCAGCTAATTTTTGTATTTTTAGTAGAGACGGGGTTTCACCATGTTGGCCAGACTGGTCTTGCACTCCTGACCTCGTGATCCACCCGCCTCGGCCTCCCAAAGTGCTGGGATTACAGGCGTGAGCCACCGTGCCCAGCCTCAGGATAAACTCCTAATGGGGCAAACGGTATAAACCAGGAGGCCCCCAGCTCCTGGGATGCTTCTCCTCTCTCCTTCCCCACTCAGGGTGTGGATTGCTTTTTTTTTGTTTTTTTTGTGACAGAGTCTCGCTCTGTCACCAGGCTGGAGTGCAGCGGCGCCATCTCAGCTCACTGCAACCTCTGCCTCAAGGTGTGGATTTCAACGTGCGCAGTCTCCTGGGACCTCAGCAGGGCAGAGGATCATGGGATGCAGAGTCTCTTGGGGGGGTCCGTGGAATCCCCTAACTCGGGAGTCTCACCCAGGGTGATTCTGCCCCCGCCAAGGGACACTGGGTGATGTCTGCGGATACTTGTGGTTGTCACAACTGGGGGTGCTCAAGGCATGGAGTGGGTGGAGGCCAGGGACGCTGCTCAGCGCCCTGCAGTGCCCAGGGCGGCCCCAAATGTCAACCGCAGGAGTTAATTTCTGCCTCAACACCTGAATAGCGAATGCTCGTAGCAGAGATGCAACAACAGCCTTCTGGTGCAGTACGAAATCTCGAAAGACAGGCAGGCGCGGTGGCTCACGCCTGTTAATCCCCAAACTTTGGGAGGTCGAGGCAGGCGGATCACCTGAGGTCAGGAGTTCCAGACCAGCCTTGCCAACATGGTGAAACCCCATCTCTACTAAAAATACAAAAATTAGCCGGGCGTGGTGGCGGGCACCTGTAATCCCAGCTCCTCAGGAGGCTGAAGCAGGAGAATCGCTTGAACCTGGGAGGCGGAGGTTGCAGCGAGCCGAGATTGCGCCACTGCACTCCAGCCTGGGTGACAGCCAGGCCCGGTCGCAAACAAAACAAAATTAAAACCATGAAAGGAATCAGGATTTGCCAGGAGTAGCATTTTTGCTTGGTAAGAACAAAATTTTGTTTATACATGAAATAAAAAATATTTTATTAAACCTCACTGCAAAGTGGCAACTTTTTGCTAAATTCATAATTTAGTCTACACACAAGCTATGTACCCGTATGTGACTGCCAAGAGTTATATCTTTGCTTATTAAAAGCAAAGTGCAGTTCATACCTGAGATTTTTTTTCTGGATTTAACCAGGAGGGGAAATATTTTTGCTAGGTAAGTCCACATTTTACCTCACAGGCGAAACAGTTTACCGAACTTGACCACCAAAGAAATCGTTTTTTCCTTGGGAGATCCACATTTTAGTTCATACATGAGATGTGTTTCTGAATTTTAACTGCCAGGAGTAGTGTTTTTCCTTAGGGTAAGTTTCAGTTTCCACAGGAAAAATCTGAATTTATCTGCAAGGAGTAAAATTTTTGCTTAAGTCCAAATTGTACACGAAATATTTTACTAAATTTGAATATCTTTAACATTGGAAGTTCTTTTTTTTTAAACACTGGAAGCATTTTAAGAACTGCAAGACCAAATTTAAAAAAATAAAACCAGTAATATCATCGATGATTACCAGGTGTTACTGGAAATAATTCTGGCGCGGTTGGACAACCCCCCAAGCACCCGGGGGCCTACCCAGGGGAGGGGTCCCGCTGCGTGAAGGGACCCTAGGGAGGGCGACGTGGACCACGACAGACAAACGGGCACTCGAAGACCCCCGAAAATCGGCCCCAGCGAGCCGCCCCCGCCCCCAAGGCACGATTGTGGGGGCGGGGACGGCTCGGGGCGCGCGCAGCGCGTACCCGGCGCCACGGCAGCCCCGCCCCCAGAAGGACGCGCGCAGGAGGGGGCGTGGCCCGAGGCTCACCAACCAATCTCCAGAGAGCCTCTTCCTTTCCCTTTCCCTTTCACCAATCAGGCGCTGGGAGGGGCGGGCGCGACTTTTTTTCCCGGCGGCCCCGCGGCTCTGCCCCTCGTGCGGTCGCGTTCCCGGCGGCGCGGGGGGCGTGGCCTGGGCGCAGCATCTATAAAGGCGGGCGGCGGCAGAGGCGCCATTTTGCGAACGGCGAGCAGCGGCGGCGGCGCGGAGAGACGCAGCGGAGGTTTTCCTGGTTTCGGACCCCAGCGGCCGGATGGTGAAATCCTCCCTGCAGCGGATCCTCAATAGCCACTGCTTCGCCAGAGAGAAGGAAGGGGATAAACCCAGCGCCACCATCCACGCCAGCCGCACCATGCCGCTCCTAAGCCTGCACAGCCGCGGCGGCAGCAGCAGTGAGAGGTAAGTGCCCCGCCCCCGTCCGAAGCTTCCAGAAGCGCCGGCCGCGCAGGCCTGCGGGGGGCCGTCCTCGGGGCGCCAGATAGGTCCCCGGCGCGCGAGATCCGCCCCTTTGTCAAGGCCAGAATCGCGCCGGGGACGAGGTAGGCGCAGGGCGGGCCTGGAGGTCCCCCCCGGCCTTAGCAGTGCTCTCGGGGGAGTCGGGTTTGGGGGGCAAGGGTGCGGAGTTGGATTTGGGGGGCACCGTCCGGGGCGCCTGATTTGCGGGAGGGGCATGGGTCGGAGGTCGGATTTGGGCGCAGGACGGGGAGTCGGGGGAGGCGTGTGTCTTTTGCGGGGTTCGCGGGATGGGACTCGGCTTCGGAGGAGGGGAGAGGCTTCTGGTCGAGGGTTGGATTTGCGGGGCGCAGACTGGGAATTCGGTTTGGAGGAAGGGTGTGCGGTCGGGTCGGATTTGGGAGGCGCAGGATGGGGCAATCTGGTTGGGGGCGGGGTCGGCCTTGGGGGGCTGGTCCGCGGACAGGCAGGGCCCGCGGGGCTGGTGAATCTGCACTTTTCGGTCCCGGCCGTCGAGCGTGCGCTGCGGGAGCGGGGAGCGCTTTGCGGTGGACGAGCTCCCGCGGGTCCCTGTTGCCTCGATGTGGCCCCTGCACGCGACGGACCTCGTGGGCCCCGTTTTTCGCCCCTGAGCGAGTCGGTCTGGATGGCCCGGGACGCGCCGGGCGAGGCCGCGCACGTAGACGGCACCCAGGGCTTCTCCGCGGGGGCCGCCGGGGAGCTGGGGGTGGCGCACTCCGACAGCCCGGCAGCGCCCTGGGAAGACCCCCGCCGCTTCCCGGGAAGACGCGTCCCGCTTCCGGGGGCGCGGGTGCCAGCTGCGGTTGTGGGGGAGCCCGCGGGGTCTCGGTCGAGCTTTCCCGACTGCGTCCCCCGAGGTGGGCGTCGCTCAGCCCCGGATCGGGAGGTTGGGCCGCGGTGCTGGCGGTGCCGCGGTTTGGGGGCCGTGCAAAATGGAGGCAACTTTGGGGCCTGTTTACCCTGCGCAGCAAATGGCTGCTGGCGCTGCCGGCTGCGCGATTGTGAAAATCTCCCCCGGGGCGCGAGGCCGCGTCTGCCTGGATGACGCAACCGGGAGGGCCCGGGCCTGGAGCGGGGGCGGGGGGGCGGGCGGCCGGGAGCCGGAGCGGGGCGCGTCCTCCATGAGGTCAGGCTAGGCCCGCCCGGTCTTCGCGGGGACAAGCAAGAGTCCCAGATTTTGGCCGTAGTGCAGGGTGGAAAGGGGAAGCCGCGACAGAACTGAAAAGGGGAAGCGCTGGCTGTCTTGGTGGCCGGGGGGTGAGGCTCTGCCCCGGCGGGGCTGCGTGAGGGGAAGGGGCCCCCCGCCCTGGGAAGGTTGGGCTGTCCTGGGCGGCGCCGCCCGAGGAGTCGGGGCTCAGTGACTGCTGCCCTTGTAGGTGCTTGGGGCAGGCGTTGGAGCTGCCTTCGGGAAGCCTCGGGGGTGTGGGACCGGGTGGGCCCCTGCCTGGGCGGGGCGGGGTCTTTTGGCCGAGGCAGGGGTGGGGATGTGCTGAAGGCCGCCCGGACGCCCTGGAGGGGTCTCCGCCCGGAGCCTGGCGCTGCCTCGTGACCTGCATCATCTTCAGTTCCAGGGTCTCCCTCCACTGCTGTAGTAACCCGGGTCCGGGGCCTCGGTGGTGCTCCTGATGCCCCTCACCCACCCCTGAAGATCCCAGGTGGGCGAGGGAATAGTCAGAGGGATCACAATCTTTCAGCTAACTTATTCTACTCCGTGAGTATGGGGCCGGGCCTGCTGGGGCTGCTCTGGGGCCACAGGTACTTTCTTGTGCACCTTGCTGCCCGTACCTGTGATTGAATGTAATCGTGGGAACCCTGAGTTTCATCAGAGCCGGCGCACAGTCTCCTGCAGCCCAGGCGTTGCCTGAGCTCAACACGGCCTAGGCCCAAGCTTTAGCGCTGCCGGGTTCTTGGAGTCCTGTGGGGTGAGTCAGGGTTCTGAATTGGGCTGCACCCCCTGGACAGGATGATCGGCTGAATGTAACAGAGGAACTAACGTCCAACGACAAGACGAGGATTCTCAACGTCCAGTCCAGGCTCACAGACGCCAAACGCATTAACTGGCGAACAGTGCTGAGTGGCGGCAGCCTCTACATCGAGATCCCGGGCGGCGCGCTGCCCGAGGGGAGCAAGGACAGGTGAGGGGCAAGGACAGGCAGGGAGTGCTCACCCAGGGGAGCAGGGACCAGGTGAGGGGCAAGGACAGGCGGGGAGTGCTCACCCAGGGGAGCAGGGACCAGGTGCGGGTTGCTGCCCAAGGGGTGCAGGGACAGATGAGGGAGGGCACTGCCTTCAGGCAGCACATATGGGGGCCACCATCGCTTTGTTGGTGGGGACAGGGTCCCCCCTTTTTTTTTTTTTTGAGATGGAGTCTTGCTTTTGTTGCCCAGGCTGGAGTGCAGTGGCATGATCTTGGCTCACTGCAACCTCTGCCTTCCGGGTTCAAGCGATTCTCCTGCCTCAGCCTCCCGAGTAGCTGGGCTTACAGGCGCCCGCCACCGATGCCCAGCTAATTTTTGTGTTTTTAGTAGAGACGAGGTTTCGCTATGTTGGCCAGGCTGGTCTTGAACTCCTGACCTCGTGATCCGCCCACCTCGGCCTCCCAAAGTGCTGGGATTACAGGCGTGAGCTACCGCTCCCGGCCTGGGGTCCCTTTTTAAAAAGTGCACTCCAAATTCGTACCCTGGGATTCTACCCTCCAAGGGATGCCAGGCAGTGTCAGAGCTTTTCTGTCATGGGGCATGCACGTGGGTGGGTGCAGCGGTGCTGCTCAACACTGTGGTGTCAGGACGGCCCCACCCAGAGGACGATCTGGGCCCCAGGGGGACCCTGGAGTAGAGCGGGCCTCAGGGTAGCTGCTAAGGCCCAGGAGGTAGGCAGGTGGGTCGGGCCAGCCGAGACGCTGACACTCGCTGCAGCTTTGCAGTTCTCCTGGAGTTCGCTGAGGAGCAGCTGCGAGCCGACCATGTCTTCATTTGCTTCCACAAGAACCGCGAGGACAGAGGTAGGTGACCCGTATCGCCTGCAGTAGGGTGCGTGGGGGTGCCTGCGCCGCCCCTTCATTCTCAGCCCGCAGGCACGGTCTCCCTGCGGGGGTGGGGGGTGCGGGCGGGGGGTTCTGGTCGGCAGGGGTTCTGACGGCTTCTCCCCCGCAGCCGCCTTGCTCCGAACCTTCAGCTTTTTGGGCTTTGAGATTGTGAGACCGGGGCATCCCCTTGTCCCCAAGAGACCCGACGCTTGCTTCATGGCCTACACGTTCGAGAGAGAGTCTTCGGGAGAGGAGGAGGAGTAGGGCCGCCTCGGGGCTGGGCATCCGGCCCCTGGGGCCACCCCTTGTCAGCCGGGTGGGTAGGAACCGTAGACTCGCTCATCTCGCCTGGGTTTGTCCGCATGTTGTAATCGTGCAAATAAACGCTCACTCCGAATTAGCGGTGTATTTCTTGAAGTTTAATATTGTGTTTGTGATACTGAAGTATTTGCTTTAATTCTAAATAAAAATTTATATTTTACTTTTTTATTGCTGGTTTAAGATGATTCAGATTATCCTTGTACTTTGAGGAGAAGTTTCTTATTTGGAGTCTTTTGGAAACAGTCTTAGTCTTTTAACTTGGAAAGATGAGGTATTAATCCCCTCCATTGCTCTCCAAAAGCCAATAAAGTGATTACACCCGATGCACCTGGCTCTGTGGTGGTGACGCTGGGGACTGGTGGGAGGAGTGCCTGGGACCACAGAGGGCCCTGGGTGGAGGGGTCGCGGGGGATTTGGCACCCAGGCAGCTGCGGGACCCCTCCCACGGAGGAGACCCCCTGGGCTGGGAGGCCGGGCCCTCAGCTTGGCGCCAGCCTTGCCACTGCTCGCTTGAAGCCCCTTCCTGCCTCGCGTCCCCTTCCGCCCCAGCCTGGGCCTGCGCATGGGGATGTCTGTGCTCCCAACTCAACTTTTGAGTTCGCCGTGTTACTGGCCGCCCCTAGGGACCTGCAGCGCCGTTCGGGGCAGCAGCACTTCCGGCGGGGTCGTGGCCTGGAGCGCTTCCGGGTCTGCAACCCCGCCGTCTGCCCGGCCGCAGCGCCACCTGCCGGCCGCATCCGGGAGCGCCACCCGGAAAATCAGGGCCAGGCCTGGCCGGGAAACCGGCTGGAAAGAGGAGGAAAGGAGGAACTCGAAAAGATTGTAGACTTGGCGAGCGGGCCGGGGGGATATTCAGCCGTCTGAGCGGTGGTGGGGTCGGCCGGGAGGACAAACCTGGACACAGATACCCCCAGCTCATTTGGGCAGCGCAAATGCAGAGAAGGGGCATTAGAGCTGAGGCCATGCAGGATGAATAGGAGTATGAAGCAGAGTAGAGGGGGCTGTTTTCTGGTGTAAAAAACAACTTGGGCAAAGGCGTGGAGGCTGGAAAGTAACCTCCAGGGATGAACGACATGGGGTTGGAGACTCTGAGGAGACTTTGGAAGAGCCCTGTATGTATTCTGAGGCACTGGGGAGCCATGGGAGGTGTTTGAGCTGGAGAGGGACCTCATATCTGGGGTTGGAAAGATCCTCCCAGGACTGCCATGGGGAATGGAATGGAGGGGCAACTCTGAGTCTCCAGGAAGGAAGCCACAGGCAAGGGCAGTGCAGTGTGTCAGAGGCATAAAGGAAGACTCCATCCCCCTCCAGTGAGTCTCCTCTGTGCCTGTTTATTACATCATCCTGTGGTATTAAGTGAGCACCTACTGTGTGCCAAGCCTGGCCTTTGCCCCCAGGGAACTCACAGCCTTGTGGACAGTAACAGAGGAATAAATGCTCCTGAGAGTGGGCGGAGAACGCAGGGTAAGGAGCTAGCGATGGCCCAGAGTGGGCACCTTTATTTGTTTAGAGAAAGTGAAACTGTAGCCGGGCGCGGTGGCTCACGCCTGTAATCCCAGCACTTTGGGAGGCCGAGGCGGACGGATCACGAGGTCAGGAGATGGAGACCATCCTGGCTAACACGGAGAAACCCCGTCTCTACTAAAAATACAAAAAATTAGCCGGGCGTGGTGGCGGGCGCCTGTAGTCCCAGCTACTCGGGAGGCTGAGGCAGGAGAATGGCGTGAACCCGGGAGGCGGAGCTTGCAGTAAGCCGAGATCGTCTCAAAAAAAAAAAAAAAAAAAAAAGAAAAAGAAAGTGGAACTGGAACAGTATGGCAGAGGGAACAGCCTACACAAATGCTTGGGGGCGCGAAAGAAGTTGGTGTGTCACGGAGGAACAGGGAGGGAGGCAGGGTGGGCGCAGAGGGATTGAGGGGAGGTGGCAGGGAACCGCGGGGACTGTTTTAGGGAAGGTGAGTCCAGACCCCGCTGAGATGAGCTGGGTGTCTAAGGTCCCAGGGAGCCTTCCCTTCCCGTGACACCACCAAGCAATTCTCCACCAGGGACAGGGGCATTCACATGCCCAAAATCACTGGCCATCTTCAGCACAAGGGGGTGCTCCAGAGCCAGGAATGCCTCTGGTCCCGGCATTGGCCTCTCATGGAGACAATGACAGAACCCACGCGGAAGAGCGCCCTGGCTGCTGGGGAAGGCAGAACACAGAGAGACATTGATCAGCGGGGTTGTCCACACCTGGAAGTGGCGTGGGGGCCCTGGCTTCAGAGAGCTGCTGCCCAACACAGGAGGCGCTGGCCAGCCCCCAGCCCTGGAGGGGCAGCTGCATTCCTGGGAAGCCCTTGACCCACATCCCCAGCACGGGAGGGGAGGCTCTGGAGTGGGGCATTGCTCTCTCTGCTGCGCTCCTGGACTCTGCAGGAAGAGGGTGTCTTGGCTATCATGGAGACGCTGACCTCAGCCCCAGCCCTGCCTCCTGGGCAGGCCTGGACCAGGTGTGTTCGCCCTGGGTTGGGGTCAGTCCCACAGCAGCGCCAGGGCCTGGCCCATCGAGGACTCGGTGGCCTCGGCCAGGTATTCGCAACACAGCCAGTCCTCGAGGCTGGGAGCTTCCCCACCTGCGGCCCGCTCTGCTAGGCGCAGGACCAGCAGCCCGCGGCGCACCCGCAGCCAGGGCCCGAGCGCTCGGAGCCAGGGACCAAGCGGTGCTCCGCGGCCGCGCAGCTCAGGCCCGGGCCCCCAGAGCAGCGCCTGCAGCGCGCCCCGCGTCCGGGACGCCGAGGGCCGCAAGCGGGTCAGCTGTGCTGCCAGGAGCTCCAGGCCCGCGGCCAAAGGCGTGGTCGAGGGCGCAGCAAGGCTGAGCAGCGCTCGGAGGAGGCTGCCCAGCTGCGGCGCGTGGGGGCCCGGGGATCCCGGGGGTCCAGGGGGCTGCAGACAGACGCGGCCAAAGTCAGTGAGGAGCAGGCGTGGGGGCCCCGTCGTCGCACAGCCCCGAGGTGCCACCAGCAGCAAGTTCTCCGGCCGCAACTCGACTAGGGCCGCGCCCCACGCCTCCAGGAACTTCAGGGCCGCGCTCAGCTGCAGCAGCAGCAGGGCCACAGCCCACACGAACTCCTCCGGCGGCTGCGTGCAGGCCTCCGCCAGCCACTGCGCCACCGTGCGCTCTGGAACCTCGGCTGCCAGCGCCACTGCGCCTCTCCAGGGCGCCCCGGGCAGTGTGCCTTCAGGCACCAGGCCACACAGCCCCTGCAGATTGAAGTGTGGAGACAGGGAGGCCTGCAGCTCCAGGCCCCACGGGTGGGGCACGTCCGCCCCGGGCTTGGGCACCTGCAAGGCAGAGGGGGTGTCGGGGCCTGGATCACTGGGCCCCCCACAAGCACCGCCTGCCCCAGTGCTACCTGCCCCGAAGCCTCCCACGCACACCCCCAAACTGCCCCCACTACGGCTAGGGGCTGCCTGCATCCCTCCAGCAGCAGGAGGTCAGTGTTAATTTGGAAGTTAGTCACCAGTAAGGACTTTCAGGAAAGTTAAGCCAGGGAAGAAGATGTTCCTGGGCAATGAGTTCGAAAGCAGATTCCTGGGCCGGGCGCGGTGGCTCACGCCTTCCCAGCACTTTGGGAGGCAGGGGGATCGCTGAGGTCAGGAGTTCGAGACCAGCCTGGCCAACGCAGGGAACGCTCGTCTCTACTAAAAAATGCAAAACTAGCTGGGCGTGGTGGCGCGCCTGTCATCCCAGCTACTTCGGAGGCTGAGGTGAGAGAATCGCTTGAGCCCGGGAGGTGGAGGTTGCAGTGAGCCGAGAACGCGCCACTGCACTCCAGCCTGGGCAACAGAGTGAGACTCTGTCTCAAAAACAAAAAACAAAACAAAAAACACAAAAGCAGATCCCCGGCCAGAGAGGTGTGGGAGGGGTTTTGACAAGAGCTCCAAGGCCATACCCATGGCCCCATACTTTAGAAACATGGTTTCCTGGGTTAACTGCGTTGATTCACGTGTTAGTTGCAAAATAAACAAGTCTAATATGGTCTGGATCTGTGTCCCCACCAAATCTCATTCCCCAGTGTTGGAGGTGGGGTCTGGTGGGAGGCGACTTGGATCTTGGGGGTGGTTTATCATGAATGGCTCAGCACCATCTCCCTTGGCACTGTCGTTGGGATAACGAGTGAGTTCTCGTGAGATCTGGCTGTGTAAAGGTGAGTAGCACCTCCTCCCTCCCTTCCTCCTGCTCCCACCGTGTGAGATGCCTGCTCCCGCCTCGCCTTCCACTATGATTGGAAGCTTCCTGAGGCCTCCCCAGAAGCAGAAGCCACCAGAACCATGAGCCAATTAAGGCCCTTTTCTCTATAAATTACCCAGTCTCCAGTATTCCTTTTTCTTTTCTTTTCTTTTTTCTTCTCTTTTGTTTTTCTTTTTTGAGACAGAGTCTCACTCTGTCGCCCAGGCTGGAGTGCAATAGCCCAATTTTCGAATCTCAGCTCACTGCAACCTCCGCCTCCCAGGTTCAAGTGATTCTCCTGCCTTAGCCTCCAAGTAGCTGGGACTTCAGGTGCGCACCACCGCGCCCGGCTAATTTTTGTATTTTTAGTAGAGATGGGGGTTTCACTATGTTGGCCAGGCTGGTCTCGAACTCCTGACCTCATGATCTGCCCGCCTTGGCCTTCCAAAGTGCTGAGATTACAGGCGTCAGCCACTGTGCTGCCCAGCCTTTTTTTTTTTTTTTAGACGGAGTCTCGCTCTGTCGCCCAGGCTGGAGCGCAGTGGTGCGTTCTCGGCTCACCGCAAGCTCTGCCCCCTGGGTTCATGCCATTCTCCTGCTTCAGCCTCCCAAATAGCTGGGACTACAGGTGCCCACCACCACGCCCGGCTAATTTTTTGTCTTTTTAGTAGAAACAGGGTTTCACCGTGTTAGCCAGGATGGTCTGTATCTCCTGACCTCGTGATCTGCCCGCCTCGGCCTCCCAAAGTGCTGGGATTACAGGTGTGAGCCACTGTGCCCGGCCTTTTTCTTTTTTTTTTTTTTGAGACGGAGTCTCACTCTGTTGCCCAGGCTGGAGTGCAATGGCCCAATCTTGGCTTACTGCAACCTCTGCCTCCCGGGTTCAAGCAATTCTCCTGCCTCAGTCTCCCAAGTAGCTGGGTTTACAGGCGCCCGCCACCACACCTAATTTTTGTATTTTTAGTAGAGGCTGGGTTTCACCATGTTGGCCAGGCTGGTCTTGAACTCCTGACCTCAGCTGATCCGCCCGCCTTGGCCTCCCAAAGTGCTGGGATGACAGGCGTGAGCCACCGCGCCCGGCTCCAGTATTTCTTTACAGCAGTGTGAGAACTGACTCACAGAAAGGCCAAATGAAACAAGCCCTGGGTTATGTCTAAGATGGGGCACTGGGGACACCTCAGAGAGGGTGGGGCTGTGGGGCTCACCTTGGCGACCAGGATGTGCCAGGCGTCCTCGTGCGCGCGCACCACGCGGTAATACAGGGCGTCCCCGCTCTCTGCGCAGGGTGAGCTGTCTAGGAGGCGGAAGCTGTGGCCGGGGTGGCAGGGCCCGGGGTGGCCCCCCATGAGCCGGGCACGGAGCCGGGCATAGATGGTACGGAGGCCCTGCAGCTGCCGCGCAGCCAGTGCAGTGTGCACAGCCTCCGGGCTGTGCAGATCGCGGAGGGAGAGGCCCAGTGGGGCGTCAGCCGGGCCAAAGGTCAGCTCTGCAGGGAGACAGGCTGGTCCCACTGCAGCCTGGCTCTTGTCCACACTGTGGGACCCCAGAAAGGGTCTCCGAGGCGGCTGTACTTGGATGGAGCTGGGATGGAGGGTCCTGCGGGTGGGCAGTGACTGGGTCCGGGTTAGGATCTTCTTGGGCAGGGGTGGGGGCAGGGGCTCTGGGTTGGTGGAGAGGGACCCAGGGGTCCGGAGGCGGCAGGCCTTGGAGGGCAGCAGGTGGGCACGGATCTGACCTGCAGGGAGAGACAGTGGGGGAGGGTTGAGGACAGGCGGAGTGGGAACGGGACACGTGACTCCACCTCTCAGCCTCGGTTTCCCCATCTCTAACATGGAAGTAATGAGGCTGGGCGCCGGTGGCTCATGCTTGTAATCCCAGCACTTAGGAAGGTGGAAGCCGAGGCAGGAGGATCACTGGAACCTAGGGTTTGAGACCAGCCTGGGCAACATAGTGAGACCCTGTCTCTGCAAAAATTTTTTAAAAATTTGCCGGACGCGGCCATGCACAATGGCTCATGCCTGTAATTCCAGCACTTTGGGAGGCCGAGATGGGTGGATCACGAGGTCAGGAGATCGAGACCATCCTGGCTAACACGGTGAAACCCCGTCTTTACTAAAAATACAAAAAATTAGCCGGGCTTGGTGGTGGGCGCCTGTGGTCCCAGCTACTCGGGAGGCTGAGGCAGGAAAATTGTGTGAACTTGAGAAGTGGAGCTTGCAGTGAACCGAGATTGTGCCACTGCACTCCAGCCTGGGCGGCAGAGCTTACAGAAGGGGAAACTGAGGCTTATAGGAGGATGGATCAGTTTCAGAGAGTGATGCCACCCAGCACTCAGCGACTCCCACTTACCTCCGTGGCTTTGCACAAGCGTCTGTCTTGCTTTTTTTCTTTTTTGAAGTCTTGCTCTGTCGCCCAGCCTGGAGTGCAGTGGCACGATCTCGGCTCACTGCAACCTCCGCCTCCTAGGTTCAAGCGATTCTCCTACCTCAGCCTCCCAAGTAGCTGGGACTACAGGTGCCCGCCCGCCACTATGCCCAGCTAATTTTTGTATTTTTAGTAGAGATGGGGTTTCACCATGTTAGCCAGGCTGGTTTCAAACTCCTGACCTCAGGTGATCTGCCTGACTCGGCCTCCCAAAGTGCTGGGATTACAGGCTTGAACCATTGCACCTGGCCTTTTTTTTTTTTTTTTTTTTTTTTTTTGAGATGGAGTCTCCCTCTGTCGCCCAGGCTGGAGTGCGGTGGCTCAGTCTTGGCTCACTGCACCCTCTGCCTCACAGGTTCAAGCGATTCTCCTGCCTCAGCCTCCCGAGTAGCTGGAATTACAGGCATGCACCACCATGTCTGGCTAATTTTTGTATTTTTAGCAGAGACAGGTTTTGCCATGTTGGCCAGGCTGGTCTTGAACTCCTGGCCTCAAGTGATCCTCCTCCTTGGCCTCCCAAAGTGCTGGGATTAAAGGGTGGGATTACAGGCATGAGTTACCGTGCCCAGCCTCTCTCTCTTTTTAATGGTATATATTTTTTTCTATTTCATGGCTCACTGCAGCCTTGACCTCCTGGGCTCAAGGGATCCTCCCACCTCAGCTTCCCGAGCAGCTGGGACTGCAGGCTCTTGACACCATGTCCATCTCATTTTTTTTGTTTTGTAGAGATGGGGGGCGGGTCTCATTATATTGCCCAGGCCGGTCTTGAACTCCTGGCCTCAAGGGATCCACCTGCCTCAGCCTCCCAAGGTGCTGGGATTACAGGCGTGAGCCACCACGCCCCGCCCACCAACCCACAGGTTATTTTTCAGCCCTGGCCTACTCCGGGCCTTCCCGGAGGTCACTCATTTTACCAGCTGCTGCTGTTCCCAGAGGCCATGGTGCCCGGCAACCTCCTGCCGCTCCCTGCACCCACCTGCCGCTCCCTGCACCCCCCTGCCGCTCCCTGCACCCCCGCAGCCCAGGGCTCCCTGGGGAGCTGCTTACCAAGGTTGCTATACGTGGGCTGAGTCGACCAGGTGGGGTTGTCGGGCTCGGGGGGCTCTGTGGGGGGCTCCGGGCTGCTCATGTTGCTGGGGAAAGGTCAAACGGGGCGTGTGTGGGGTGACCGTGTGCACGCACAGGGCGACATGGGGAGGGGTCCGTGAGTGCTGGGGCCTGGGAGACCGTCGAGGCCTCCTGCTCCAGGGCCCTTGGTGAGAACAGGCGCACCCACACTCCACTCCCTTGTCCAGTTTTGACCCTGCTGTGTGATCCCGAGTGGGTTTCCTGTCCTCTCTGGGCCCCTGCTGTGTGATCCCGAGTGGGTTTCCTGTCCTCTCTGGGCCCCTGCTGTGTGATCCCGAGTGGGTTTCCTACTCTCTCTGGGCCCCTGCTGTGTGATTCTGAGTGGGTTTGCTGCCCTCTCTGGGGCCCTGCTGTGTGATCCTGAGTGGGTTTGCTGCCCTCTCTGGGCCCCTGATGTGTGATCCCGAGTGGGTTTCCTGCCCTCTCTGGGGCCCTGCTGTGTGATCCCGAGTGGGTTTCCTACTCTCTCTGGGCCCCTGCTGTGTGATTCTGAGTGGGTTTCCTGCCCTCTCTGGGGCCCTGCTGTGTGATCCCGAGTGGGTTTCCTACTCTCTCTGGGCCCCTGCTGTGTGATTCTGAGTGGGTTTGCTGCCCTCTCTGGGGCCCTGCTGTGTGATCCTGAGTGGGTTTGCTGCCCTCTCTGGGCCCCTGATGTGTGATCCCGAGTGGGTTTCCTGCCCTCTCTGGGGCCCTGCTGTGTGATCCCGAGTGGGTTTCCTGCCCTCTCTGGGGCCCTGCTGTGTGATCCCGAGTGGGTTTCCTACTCTCTCTGGGCCCCTGCTGTGTGATTCTGAGTGGGTTTCCTGCCCTCTCTGGGGCCCTGCTGTGTGATCCCGAGTGGGTTTCCTGCCCTCTCTGGGCCCACTTCCTCAATCATGAGGCAGGTCTGTCACCCATCAATTTTCCAGGCAGTGGGAAGGACCCCCCTCTGCACGTTTGGGATGGGGACAGAGTGTTCAGCCTGAGGACAGGCCTTTGGGGGTCAGTTGCGGGGGAGACAGTGTCCAGGGACCCAGGGATCCACACTCAGGCCTCATCCCCGAGGGCTCAGCCGTGCGGTTGCTGCCGGCAGCCAGGCCTCGACCCACCCCCGCCCAGATCCCAACCTCAAAAAGTGGCCGCTTCTGTCCAGCTCCCCGCTCCAGGAGCCCCCTACCTTCAAGACTGGCGTGCCCTCTGGGGGAGGAGGGGTCCGTGGGGACAAACTCCCAATGGCCACAGCCCCTGGCCTCGCAGGAGGGGTCTGACCTGGCGCCGGCAGCTGACAGGAAAACGTCCGGCCCACTGTCAGACCGCAGCCCGGGGTGGGGAGGGGACATTTCTGCAACACTTCCCCAGCAGCCGAGGCCGCCGCCTCCCCTGCCCGCCCGCAGAGGACAGGATGTAACCGGGAGGGAACAGCCTGGACAGAGACCAGGAGGTGGGATCTGAAAGTCAATAGCCCCAGGGCTGACAGCCGGGTGGGGGCAGTGGAAGGCCCCCCACAGCCTCAGAGGCCAGGCTGGGGTGCGGGGCAGTGGGGAGCCCTGTGAGATGGGGAGAGAGGGGCAGAGCTGGCCCACCGTAGGGGAGCGCACAGAACACGGTGGCGGCTGTCCCTGGAGAAGGTGCAAGTGGGGTCTGTGGGTTTCACTTCCCCGGGAACCACCTCCCCTCCTGCGGCAGCATCTGAGGAGCCCCCAGCGGCCCCCTGCCCCATCCCAGGGCCCCCGAATGTGGAGCGTGGGCGAGGACCCTCCCGGCTCTGCCGCGCCTCGCTGTGTGACTGCGGGCAAATCCCCACCCTCTCCGTGCTCCGGCGAAGAAAGAAGAGTGGCTCCCACATCCCGCCTGCTAACAGCCACGCCTGCTGGATTTTTCTTTGAAAAGATGGAATCGGCTCGTTTTCCCCCTTCCCCCTTCCTCACTGCCTCGATGCATTTATTTAGAAAAGACGTTTTAGATAAAATCACCATAAATGGAAAAATCAAGAATGGAAAAAACCCAAGGAAAAGCAGACGCGGGGTGAAATTCCAGCTGAACTGCGTGCCTGTCAAAACTGTCTTTTTCTTTGGAGACAGGGTCTCACACTGTTGCCCAGGCTGGAGCGCAGTGGTGCAATCCCAGCTCACTGCAGCCTGGAACGAGCTCCTGGGGCGATCCTCCCTCCTCGGCCTCCCAAAGTGCTAGGATCACAGGTGTGAGCCACCCTGCCCGGCCCCAAAGATGTTTTTGCTGCAAGGATTGAGTGTATTTTATGTGGGATCCCCGATCCCGTTTCCCTTAGGGAAAATGGGCCCAGAAAGAGTAGGGGCTCCATCCAGGGTCACGCAGCAGCTCGAGGCTGGGAGCAGAGGTCCACAGAGCCACTGCTGAGTCCCCCTGGCCTCCCCCAATCCCCTGAGAAGGGGCAGGAGGGGAAGGAGACTACATTTTTCTTATGAACTTCCCTTGAGTGGGTCCCATGCCACACTTTTTTTTCTTTGAGGCAGGGTCTAGCTCCGTCCCCTAGGCTGGAGTGCCGTGGTGTGATCATAGCTCACTGCAGCCTCCGCCTCCTGGGCTCAAGTGATTCTCCCACCTCAGCCTCCTGAGTAGCTGGGACCACTGGTGTGCACCACCATGCCTGGTTAATTTTTATTTTATTTATTTATTTTTGAGATGGAGTCTCACTCTGTTGTCCAGGCTGCAGTGCAGTGGCGCAATCTTGGCTGACTGCAACCTCCGCCTCCCGGGTTCAAGCAATTCTCCTGCCTCAGGCTCCCAAGTAGCTGGTACTACAGGCGTGCACCACCACACCTGGCTAATTTTTGTATTATTATTATTATTTTTAGTAGAGTTGGGGTTTCACCGTGTTGGCCAGCCTGGTCTCGAACTCCTGACCTCAGGTGACCTGCCCGCCTCAGCCTCCCAAAATGCTGGGATTACAGGCGTGAGCCACTGCGCCCGCCACAGAGTTTAAAATGATGCAAAGGCTGGGCACATGCCTGTAATCCCAGCACTTTGAGAGGCTGAGGTGGGTGGATCACTTGAGCCCAGGAGTTTGGTACCATCCTGGGCAACACAGTGAGACCCCATCTCTACAAAAAATAAAACATGAGCCTGGCACAGTGGCGTGTGCCTGTGGTCCCAGCTACTCAGAAGGCTGAGGTGGGGGCATTGCTTGAGTCCAGGAGGTCGAGGCTGCAGGGAGCTATGATCATAACACTGAACTCCAGCCTGGGCAACAGAGTGAGACCCTATCACAAAAATAAATCAATAATAAATAATAAAACAATGCAAAAACAGACAAACATGCACCTCAGTAATCAAGATAAACATCATTTTACTGAATGTTTCACAAAACCTAACCGGCAAACTATGGGCCGAGCCTCTGTTTTTGTCAATAAAGTTTTATTGGAACCCGGGTGGAGGAGCAGGGTAAGGCAAAGAGAAGCAGGGTTAAACAAGTGCAGATCAGATCCTGTCTTTATTTAAAATATTGATAGGCCAGGTGTGGTGGCTCATGCCTGTAATCCCAGCCCTTTGGGAGGCTGAGGCTGGTGGATCACCTGAGGTCAGGAGTTTGAGACCAGCCTGGCCAACATGCTGAAACCCCATCTCTACTAAAAATACAAAAAAAAAAAAAAAATTATTCGGGCATGGAGGTGGGTGCCTGTGATCCCAGCTACTCTGGAGGCTGAGGCAGGAGAATCGCTTGAACCCGGGAGGCGGAGGTTGCAGTGAGATGAGATTGCACCACTGCACTCCAGCCTGGGTGACAGAGCAAGACTCCGTTTAAAAAAAAAAAAAAAAAGGCTGGGCGTAGTGGCTCATGCCTGTAATCCCAGCACTTTGGGAGGCTGAGGCAGGCAGATCACCTGAGGTCGGGAGATCGAGACCATCCTAGCCAAGATGGTGAAACCCCGTCTCTACTAAAAACACAAAATTAGCCAGGCATGGTAGCCTGCACCTGTAATCCCAGTTACTCGGGAGGCTGAGGCAGGAGAATCGCTTGAACCCGGGAGGCAGAGGTTGCAGTGAGCTGAGATCGTGCACTCCAGCCTGGGTGAAACTCTGTCTTCAAAAAAAAAAAAAATGTTGGTAGCGTGGTGTGGCCTCTGGATCAGGCCCCTCCAGATCCTACAGCTGTCCTTTCATTTGAGAAGCCCTTATTGAGCCATGGGAGCTGGGGCCACATTTTCTCTGGATCCCCAGCATCACCCAGTACGGGGCAGGGCAGGGATGCCGTATGCTGATGGATTTTTACATGACATCGGCCTTTTGGAGAAAAATGCCTGTGTTTTGTTTGTTTGAGACAGGGTCTCACTCTGTAGCCAGGCTGGAGTTCAGTGGTGCGATCTCGGCTCACTGTAACCTTCCCCTCCCCGGTTCAAGCGATTCTCCTGCCTCAGCCCCCTGAGTAGCTGGGATTACAGGTGGCCGCCACCACGCCCAGCAAATTTTTGTATTTTCGAAAAGATGGGGTTTCGCCATGTTGGCGAGGCTGGTCTCGAACTCCTGACCACAGGTGATCCACCCGCCTCGGCCTCCCAAAGTGCTGGGATTACAGACGTGAGCCACCATGCCCAGCCTATTGCAGGACTATTAGCTTCCAAATTACAGACAAACAAACCGAGGCACAGAGAGGGGCAGTGACTTGCCCCAGGCCACACAGCAATGGAAGCCGGAGACCTGAGCCTCCAGCTTCCCTTGGCTCCACAAGCAAAAGCTCACATGTGGGAATTGTGCCTCTGTCTTGTGGAGGAAAACAGGAGGAAGTTCATACGCAGGGCTCAGGAATCACCTGGAAAAGATGCCGGCTTGTCGGGGGATGTGGGAGAGAGAGAGACACCCCAAACGCGTGTCCCTGTCCAGAAGATGGGGGTGAGAGATCCACGAGGGTGCCGGCATGGGCTGGGGCACCCCGAGTGCTGTCCTAGCTCCGTCTGGGAGGGGAAGTCAAGTCAGGCTTGGTCAGAAGCCACCCAGACATGGGGCGTGAGGATGGCTTGGTCTGGTCCTGGTTTTAGGGGTCCCCTCTTAGGTTTCCAGCCACCAAGGAGATGGGTGTTACTTTAGCTGGGTCTTGGCTGCCTGAGCAGGGAGGGCCTCTCAGCTGGGGTCTCCCCTGCCCTCCCCCGAGTGCACCCCATAAATGAGTCAGGGTTCATGGAAACCTTGGAGGTTGCACCTGGTTCATGTCAGGCACTCAGAGCATTGCACAGGGAAGAGGCGGCTCTCCTGGACGGGGACTCTGAGGCCTACAGGACAATAGTTTCACCTGCCTTTGCTGTAGGAGAGAACGGGAAATCAGTCCCCACGGGAGAGTCCCACAGCTTAGAGCCCCCCTCACCCTCCAGCTGCCTTGAAACCAGGCATGGAGAGAGGGCCGCCTCACAGTCCCTGACAGGCCTCTGTTCTGCCCCCGAAGGGCAGGGAAATAAAGGAACCTTAGTCCCAGGTTCAAATGGGGGAACCGAGGCCCAGAGAGTGACACTGGGCTGTGGCGAGTGGGAGACTGCTCTTGGCCGGGTCTTCTGCATCCTAGTTCCGTCCACTTCCATCCTGAAAAAGCACAAGCTTCTCCCTGTGCCTTCCCGGGCGGGTGGGGTTTGAGACTTCATGCCCACTGTGCCTCAGTTTCCCCACCTGTCACCGCTCCGTGCCTCGGTTTCTCCATCTGTTGCCGCTCTGTGCCTCAATTTCCCCATCTGTCAGTGAGGACTGGGGTGGGGCTAAAGCACTTTATTAGTCTCACTTCCAAAGCCAAGACTCCCTGGCTTTTCTCGGAGCCCTCAGAGACAGGCAGGGCAGACATGGGACCCTGTCAGCAGCACCCAGACTCCCCGACAGACCAATTCCAGGAGGCACAGTGGGGACCCATGTCTTCTTTCTTCCCCGGCCTGAGTTTGGGGCAGGAGTTTCCCAATGGCCCAGCTTTGCCCACTCTTCTCAGCCCCCACCTGTCCCCAGCTGGGGTCTCAGAGCGGCTTCCCTCCACCCTCTGCCCCTTGCTCGACCCATCTGTAAAATGGGTTCGTTAGCAGGACCCACCCAGCTCACAGGGCTGGCCTCAGCGTGAAAGGAGGGAACACACACAGCGCCTGGAACAGCGCCGGGAACAGCATGGGCGCTGCAGAAGTGTGGCCTATCACATGTCACTAGTGGCGTGGAATTCCCTCAGGGTTGGCTTCCCCTGGGGACCCCAGCAGCCCCTCATCCCTCAGCCCTGCCCCCTGTTGCTCCCATGGGAGTAAGAACAAAATCTGAAGTTTGTTATTAAATCGGTTCCATTTTTATTGGATTTGAACCAAATACAGCAGGATGAGGGGTGGGGGTGCTGAGGGGTCTTAGTTCATGTTGGGATGGGGTGGGGGGCTCAGGGGGCTGGGAAATCCTAATATACGGATGCTCTGTGAACCCTAACCTGGCCGAGAATGCACCCCCTCCTGTCTTTGATAGGCTAAAGGCACTTGGATATCAATTCTGGGGGGCCCTTGGGGTTGTCATGGTAAGCAGAGTCAGACAGGTGCTAAGAAAAAAATTGGTTCTGCCCAATTCAGGGGTGGCGGTTGGGGTTGCACGAACTTCAGCCCTCACTCATGTCGAGCCCCCTGGGCCATCTGTACATCGTGGTGCTGGCCTGGGCCCTCCCGGCCACAGCTCAGGGAGAACGGGCTGTTGTCTCCTTCCAGCTCCTTCTGAAACTTTTGCTCAAAGCCTTCAGGGCTGAGCCAGCTTTCTCTCTGTTTCTCTCTGGCTGATCGATCTCAGAGCAGTCTTCAGGGATCCAGGATCCAAGTCAAGCCATCAAGCTCATCTGCAGGCCTGGCCTCTGAATACAGGGTAATAGGTTTGACCCTCAGACCCATTTTACAGATGAGGACACTGATGGTCTAGGTGGTCTTCAGTCACCAGCTGAGATCACATAGCCGGGCAGGAGCAGAGCTGCTTTTGAGCCCTTCCCGCAAAGTCCTGGAGGGTCTGTCCTAACCTCTTGGTTGGCAGCCAAGCCCCTTTCTGGCTGAGGTTTTGGCCCAACAGTGGTTCCTGTCCCTGCCCCCAGCAATGTCCTAACTGTCCTCTGGAGGATGTGGAGGGGAGGGGCAAGAACTGGCTGTGAGGAGGCCAGGTCACAGATGGTCCCTGTGGTCCCGGTCTGGTGCCTGAATCCTTCTGCAAAACCTCAGCTCCTGCTTGTTTGCCCCCCGTGACAGGATGCCCACCATCTGCAGAGCAACCGGGCGGTGACCTCAGGGAAGCTCTTCCTTGACCAGAGCTGCAGTCGGCCTGTGACCCCAGCTTTGGTCCTGGATCTGCCCCACCTCTGCAGGTGCAGAGACCCAGCTTCCTCCATCACCTTCTCCCGAGGACCCGGGTCCAGGCCTCCCTGCAGGGTGAAGCCCTTGTTCCGGCCTTGTTCTTGTCACTACACTGCACCGCACGTAGCCGGGATCCCCGGGAACCCCCTGTGCTCTTTGGTCTCGTTCCCCACCTGAGCCACGGGTCAGCAGGGCCGGCCATGATGGGGCCACGCTCAGGGCTTGTCTGAGGCCGGCTCAGAGGTCATGTGTACCTAGGGGCAAAAGTCCCTCCAGTAGACCCATTTGGAAGGACACTCAGCACCCCAGAAGCCATGGTTCTGGGCCGGGGCAGGGTGGCCACCTCTCCCTTGTGGGGTGGCCCTCTCTTGCCTGCTGTTCTGGGAAGCACGTGGCAGCGGAGGGAGGCGGAGGGCTGGGGTGATGGCTCCTTCTTGTGGACAGCCCTGCTGGGCTGTGGGGAGGACGGAGGACAGGGCGTGTGGACCCCTGACTGTGACCACCGTGTGTGCTGGGTCCTCAGCAAGACCTGAGCCCAGGCCCCGAGGTCGGCTGGGAGATGCTCAGCTGAGCAGGCGCTGGGGTGGGCTCTGTGTCCCAGGTGTGAGCTGTGTCTCAGTTATGCGTTGTGCCTGTCCCAGGTGTGAACTGAGCATGTCCCTGGTGTGAGCTGTGCTCTCACGAGAGCCCTGCCTGCCTCTGTGGTCAGCTCTGGTGCCCAGGGCTTGGTTTTAGTGTCAGCTGGGTGTGAGGGTGTGTGTCTCGGGTGTGAGCTGTGTGTGTCCCAGATGTGAGTTCTGTGTTCTGGGTGTGAGCTGTGTGTTCCAGTGTGAGCTGAGTGTGTCCTGGGTGTGAGCTGTATCCCGGGTGTGAGCTGTGTGTTCCACTGTGAGCTGTCCTTGTATCAGGTGTGAGCTGAGTGTGTCCTGCGTATGAGCTGTGTGTCCCGGGTGTGAGCTCTGTGTTCCGGGTGTGAGCTGTGTGTCCCGGGTGTGAGCTGTGTTTCCCGGGTGTAAGCTGTGTGTCCCGGGTGTGAGCTGTGTGTTCTGGGTGTGAGCTGTGTGTGTCCTGGGTGTGAGCTGTGTGTCCCGGGTGTGAGTTGCGCCTGTCCCGGGTGTGAGCTTTGCTCTCACGAGAGCCCTGCCTGCCCCCTGCGGTCAGCTCTGGTGCCCCGGGTCTGGTTTTAGTGTCGGCTGGGTGTGAGGTGTGTTGCACCTGTGTGATTGGGTTCCAGGTGTGAGTGTGTCTCTGGGTGTGAGGTGTAGGACGGCCAGGTGTGAGCAATGCAGACTTTCTGCGCACCCTCCCCTTGGGGCTGTGGGGCCCTTTGTGGGACCCGGGTGTCCACCGTCTCCCCGATGCGATCTGTGTACAAAGGGCTGGGGGAGCGGAAGCCCAGGGCTTGGGGGCAGCAGTCTTGTGCCTCCTGGGTGTGAATTGCGGGCCCTGAGGATCCTGGGGTCTCTGAGCGCCCCCAGCCACCCCGGGTTGGTAGACGGGAGCCCATCCCCCCATCCTTGCAGCCCGCACCCCCACCCCCCAGCTCAGCCACCATAGCAGGGACAGGAAGACGGGTTGAAATCTTTAGAAAACGCTTGAGAAACTGCAAAAAAGACGCATGCTGATGAAAAACAGTCCTGCGGTTGGGCGTCTACAAAAAAAGGGGAAGTTCTGCCTGGGGAGCGCCGTGCAGCCGTCCCCTTCCCCTCCGGGAAATGCATAGGTGGACACGCGAGCGGCCGGCCCGCGGGGGAGGGGAGGGGAGGGTCCGCCCTGGGGACCCCTCAGATCATCTTCATGTTGAACTTGCGCGCGCCTCCCTGGCCCGCCGCGGCGGCCGGCCCATCCACCTTGCGGAAGGAGTACTCCACCGAGAAGTTGTTTTTGTGCTGCCCGCGGCCGCGGCTCCACACGAACAGCAGCACGAAGCAGAAGAGGACCACGCCCAGGAAGGTGATGCAGCCCATGGCGGTGGACACCAGGATGGTGGTGAGGTCGAGCGGCGCGCGCAGGGCCGCCAGCGTCTCGTTGTGGGCCTCGCCCGGGGTCCGGTTGGCGGCCGGCTCGGGGCGCACGGTCAGCGTGGCGAAGTAGGTGTCGTTGCCGCCCGCGTTGCTGGCCACGCACGTGTAGGTGCCGCTGTCCTGCGGCCGCGCGTCCTGGATCTCCAGCGTCCCCCCGGGGAGCACGCGCGCCCGGCCCGCGCTGGTGGCCGTCACCGGCCGGTGCTGGGGGGTCACCCAGGCCACGGTGGGCGCCGGCTCGCCCTCGGCGCGGCAGAGGAAGCGGACGTCTTCGCCCGCGGTGGCCGTGACGCGCTGCAGCCGCCGCTCCCGGATCTTGGGTTTGCGGCACACGAAGTACTCGAACAGCACGGAGTCCGGCAGGTTTCGCAGCGCGTCGCCGCGCACCTCGGCCGGGGTGGCGCAGGCCGGCAGCCGCCCGTCGAAGTTGAGGGTCTTGCGACGCTGCACGATCCACAGCAGGCGACAGTCGCAGGCCAGCGGGTTCCCGTCCACGCGCAGCGTCTCTAGCGTGTTCACCGAGTGGAAGGTGCTCTCCTCCAACGTGGAGAGCAGGTTGTTGGAGAGGTTGAGCAGGCGGATCTGGCGCAGGCCCAGGAAGGCCTGCGGCTCCACCACAGCCAGCAGGGCCCCGGCCAGGTGCAGCTCGCGCAGGCGGACCAGGTCCCGGAACGACCCCCGCGGCACCGTGCTGATGGGGTTGTGCGACAGATTGAGGCAGGTGAGGTGCGCCTGGTGCCGCAGCGCGGCGGCCGGCACGGCGGTGATGTTGGTGTGGGTGACCGACAGCGAGGTCAGGTTCAGGCCCCGCAGGCTGCCCGCCGCCACCTCCTCCAGCAGCGGCCAGTTGTCAATCTCCAGGTGCAGCAGCCCGGGCAGCCTGCGGAAGTTCTGGTCCTCCAGGGAGGCGATGGCCAGGTGGCGCAGCCGCAGGGCGCCCAGGCTGCGCAGATGGCCCAGCGACTCCCCGGACAGAGCCGTGAGGTTGCAGCGCTCCAGGGTCAGCTCCTCCAGGGCCAGCAGCCCCGCGAAGGCGCGGCGCGAGACGAATACCAGGTCGTTGTCGCCCACTTCCAGCCGGCGCAGGCTGTGCAGGTCCTGGAAAGTGTAGTCCAGCAGGATTACCAGCTTGTTCTCGCTCAGGTCCAGCAGCGTGAGGTTGTCCAGGCGCGTGAAGACCCCGGGCGGGATGAGCTTCAGCTGGTTGCCACGGAGACGCAGGACGCGCAGGCGCGGCAGGTTGGCGAAGGCGCCGGGCTCCACGTGCGCGATGGCGTTCTCGCTCAGGTCCAGCTCCTCCAGCGCGGGCAGCGCGGCCAGGTCGCCCGGGTTCAGGCAGCGGATGCGGTTGCGGCTGAGCTCCAGCAGGCGGGTCTCGGCCGGGATGCCGTCGGGCACGGCGGTCAGGCGGCGGCGCGTGCAGGCCACCGCGCGGGTCTGCACGGTGCACTCGCAGCGGGCCGGGCAGCCTCCAGCCGGGGGCGGCGCCGCGGGCAGCAGGAGCAGGGGCAGGCTCAGGACGCACAGCCAGCAGGTCATGGTGCGGAGCGTGGGCCTAGGGCCGCGCCACCATCCTCCTGCGCACCTGCGGGCGGGCGGGGAGCGGGCAGCGTTAGCACCGTTAGCACCCCTCCGCGGCGCCTCTGCCGCCAGCCCGCCCCTAACCCGTCCCAGCACGGCGGCTCGCTCCTGTAAACCCAGCATTTTGGGAGGCTGAGATGGAAGAATTGCTTGAGTTCAAGAGTTCGAGACCAGCCTGCACAACATAGCAAGACTCCCATCTCTACAAAAAAATAAAAGATGAGCCGCATGTGGTGGTGTAGGCCTGTGGTCCCAGCTACTCAGGAGGCTGAGGCAGGAGGATGGCTTGGGCCCAGGAGGTGGAGGCTGCAGTGAGATATGCTTGTGCCACTGCACTCCAGCCTGGGCAACACGGTGAGACCCCTGTCTCTTAAAAAAAAAAAAATTAAAAATTAGCTGGTTTTCAAGTAATTGTGAAATATTGAAAAGTTTACCCAGGCATGGTGGCCTGCACCTGTGGTCCCAGCTACTCAGGAGGCTGAGCCAGGAGGATTGCTTGAGCCCAGGGGGTTGAGGCCACAGTGAGCTGTGATCGTGCCACTGCACTCCAGCCTGGGAGATAGAGCAAAAAACCCTGTCTCAAAAAAAAAAAAAAAAAAAAAAAAAAGCAGCATTGATCCACCGTGTGGCTGCAATTCCAATCTCCTGGGTTTTTTTGTTTTGTTTTGTTTGTGTTTGTTTGTCTGTTTGAGATGGAGGCTCACTCTGTCATCCAGGCTGGAGTGCAGTGGCTTGATCTCGGCTCACTGAAACCTCCACCTCCCGGGTTCAAGCAATTCTCCTGCCTCAGCCTCCTGAGTAGCTGGGATTACAGGTGCCCGCCACCACGTCCGGCTAATTTTTGTATTTTTAGTAGAGACGGGGTTTTACCATATTGGCCAGGTTGGTCTCAAACTCCTGACCTCAGGTGATCCACCTGCCTCCGCCTCCCAAAGTGCTGGGATTACAGGTGTGAGCCACCGCGCCCACCCGCTCCTGGGTGTCTTTGCATAAGAGAATGGAACACACAGCGCACGGAAAACCTGGGAACATTCACAGCCGCATCTGTAACAGCCAAACAGTGGAAAAGGCTGGAATGTGCCCCAAGGAATGGATGGGTCAGCACCGTGCAGCCACCCACACACGAACACGACTCAGCCATGAAAAGGAGTGAGGCTCTGACCCAGGCCACGGTGGGGATGCACCTTGAGGACGCCATGCTCAGTGAGAGACGCGACACAAAAGGCCACACTGTATGACCCCGTTTCTTTCTTTCTTTCTTTTTGAGACGGAGTCTTGCTCTGTCACCCAGGCTGGAGTGCGGTGGCACAATCTCACCTCACTGCAAGCTCTGCCTCCCGGGTTCACGCCATTCTCCTGCCTCAGCCTCCCGAGTAACTGGGGCTACAGGTGCCAGCCACCACGCCTGGCTAATTTTTTGTGTTTTTAGTAGAGACGGGATTTCACCGTGTTAGCCAGGATGGTCTCGATCTCCTGACCTCGTGATCCACCCTCCTTGGCCTCCCAAAGTGCTGGGATTACAGGAGTGAGCCACCGCGCCTGGCCTTTTTTTTTTTTTGGAGACAGAGTCTCACTCTGGCCCAGGCTGGAATGCAGTGGTGCGATCTCAGCTCACTGCAAGCTCCCCCTCCCCAGGGTTTAAGTGATTCTCCTGCCTCAGCCTCCTGAGTAGCTGGGACTACAGGCACCCGCCACCATGCCCAGCTAATTTTTGTAGTTTTAGTACAGATGGGGTTTTGCCATGTTGGCCAGGCTGGTCTTGAACTCCTGACCTCGGGTAATCCACCGGCCTTGGCCTCCCAAAGTGCTGGGATTACAGGTGTGAGCCACCGCGCCCGTCCGTGTGATCTCATTTCTATGAAATGTCCAGGACAGGCCCATCCACAGACAGGGAGATGACATTTGATCTCAGACCCTGTTGTAGGTGGAACTGTGTTCCCGCAAATGTTCAAGGCCGGGCGCGGTGGCTCACGCCTGTAAATCCAGCATTTTGGGAGGCCGAGGTGGGTGGATCACCTGAGGTCAGGAGTTCGAGACCAGCCTGGGCAACATGGGGAACCCCCGTCTCAACTAAAAATACAAAAGTTAGCCTGGCGTGGTGGCGCGCATCTATAGTCCTAACTAGGGGAATCTGGGGTGGGAGGATCGCTTGATCCCAGGAGTTGAGGCTTCAGTGAGCTGTGATCGTGCCACTGCGCTCTAGCCACTGGGCAACAGAGTGAGACTGTCTCAAGGGAAAAAAAAAGGTATGTTCACGTCCTGCCCTCCGTGCCTGCTGTGCACGGGACCTCATTTGGAATCAGGGTCTTTACAGATGTGCTCAGGGCTAGATGAGACTGCAGTGGATTACAGTGAGCCTTTTCCAACGACTCCTGTCCTTACAACAAGAGGGAGACTTGGACACACACCTAGCCCTATACAGGGGAAATAGAGCCGTGTGAACACGGAGGCAGAGGCTAGGGTGACACAGCCACAAGCCGGGGATTGCTGAGAGCCCCAGGAAGCCGGGAGAGGCAGGAAGGACGCGCCCCGGGAGCTTCCAGAGGGCCCCCGGCCCTGCGGACACCTTGATTTTGGACTTCCGCCTCCGGAGCTGGGAAGGCATATATTTCGGTTGTTTTAAACCCCCCGGGGTTTGTGGCGCCGTGTTCTGGCAGGAAACAGGCCGACCCAAAAGTTGAACAGAGCCCATGGTTTTCTGGAGGAAGGGTGTGTGGGCTGGGGGAACAGCCACGGCAGAGGCCCCGAGGTGTGGCGGGAGTCTGGTGAAGCTAAAGGAGAGAGTGGAGGGGGGCGGGGAGCTGGGTTAGGAGGGGCCTCTGGGTGGGGGGCAGATGACATGGAGCCGTGGTGGCCCAGAGGAACAGGCGCCAATGCTCCGTGGGTCCTGGTAGCTGTGCCTCCTGGGCTGTTTCCGTCTCTCCTGGGAGCCTGCTGCACCCTTACCAGCTCTTCTTGGCTGCAGCCAAGATTCTGGGGGCTGGGGTGGCGGGTGGAGGTGGGGTTGGAGGGAGCGGGAGGAAGCAGCCAGAACTACCAGGCGGCATTGCCCAGCTTCTTCTGCTTGGCCGCCTCCCCCGCCAGCCGGCCGGCTATTTTTGGCATCTTGGCAGCTGAGCCCCCCTCGGCATCCCCCCAGGCCCCGTGGCCCAAACCAGGTTGTGCGTCTCCTCACGGTTCCCACTGGCCTTCGATCCTCATTTGCTAAATATCTGCGAAGGCAGCTCCCGCCTCCCCAGTGCCTACGCGAATTTAATCCCAGAGCGAACAGACGCGGAGCCCCGGGAGACTGCTTCATGTCAGAGATGAATTGTACGTAAGTGAGGACAGGGTTTGTATCTTGCAGCTGTAATTCATTAAGATGAGGTCACGCAGGAGCAGGGAGAGCCCTAATTCAATGACTGGCATCCTTATAAGAGGGAAATCTGGACACAGAGACACAGGCAACGGCCAAGTCACAACACAGGCAGAGACTGGAGTGATTCATCCACAAGTCAAGTGACACCAGGGATGGCCAGCTACCACCGGAAGCTGGAAGAGTCAGAAAGGGTCTCCCCAAAAGCCCCCAAAGGAAGCTGGACCTGCTTGAGCTTCGACTTCCAGACTCCAGAACTGTGAGAGCAGCAGCTCCTCTTGCCCGGCGCGGTGGCTCACGCCTGTCATCCCAGCACTTCGGGAGGCTGAGGCGGGTGGATCACTTGAGGTCAGGAGTTCGAGAGCAGCCTAAGCAACATGGAGAAACCCTGTCTCTACTAAAAAATACAAAAACTAGCCGGGCGTGGTGATGGGCGCCTGTAATCCCAGCTCCTTGTGAGGCTGAGGGAGGAGAATCGCTTGAACCTGGCAGGCGGAGGTGGCAGTGAGCCGAGATTGTGCCACTGCACTCCAGCCTGGGCGACAAGAGGGGAAACTCCGTCTCAATAAATACATAAATAAATAAGGTGAAACGCCAAACTGAATTCTGGATTTAGGTGGACAGGACACATATGTACAGATGCCAAAACTGGGCATTCACATGCCACGTGGAACAGCACAGAGTGTGGTGGAAAGGAAGGTGTCGCAGGTGAGAATGTGGTCCCACCGAGAGAAAAGCGAGGGGCCCCTGGTTCCCAGGAGGCCTTGGTCCTCCTGCCCCCAGCTTGGGAACATAGGAAACTCGAGGGAGGGAGGAAGGGAGGGAGCGAGAGAGGGGGCATGCCCCCCCCAACCCCGGAATCATCCTTAATCCCAACCTGGGCATGTTACAGGGAAGGCAATCCTTCCCTCCCAGCAAGCTCCCTCCCAGCACTGTTTTTCTGGGTCATTCTCTCCCGAGCTGCTGCCCTGCCGACAGCACACTCAGGGGCTGTGTCACGGGAGGGGACAAGAGTGCTAGGGCGGTGATGGCACTTTTATCTGCCCCCCGACCCTGCACCTCCCCCCTTACTGTCCGCTCCACAGTGTTTACAAAACCACTGGTGAAAACCTGCCCACAGCCCAGGTGTGGCGGCTCACACCTGTAATCCCAGCCCACAGGCCGGGCGCGGTGGTTCACGCCTGTCATCCCAGAACTTTGGGAGGCCAAGGCGGGGGGATCACTGGAGCCCAGGAGGTCCAGGATGCAGTGAGCTGAGATCGCGCCGCTGCACTCTAGCTTGGGCAACAGAGCGAGACTCTGTCTTTTGGTTCTTTTTTTTTTGAGTTAGGGTCTCACTCTGTCGCCTGGGCTGGAATGCAATGGCATGATCTCAGCTCACTGCAACCTCCACCTCCTGGGTTCAGGTGATTATCCTGCCTCAGCCTCCCAAGTAGCTGGGGTTACAGGTGCCCACTACCACACCCGGCTAATTTTTGTATTTTTAGTAGAGACGGGGTTTCACCATGTGGGCCAGGTTGGTTTCGAACTCCACTTCAAATGATCCACCCACCTCGGCCTCTCAAAGTGCTGGGATTACAGGTGTGAGCCACCGTGCCCAGCTGCAAGACCCTGTTTTTAAAAAAGAAGAATAGGCCGGGCATGGTGGCTCACACCTGTAATCCCAGCACTTTGGGAGGCCGAGGCGGGCAGATCACAAGGTCAGGAGATCGAGACCATCCTGGCTAACATGGTGAAACCCCGTCTCTACTAAAAAAACATACAAAAAATTAGCCGGGCGTGGTGGCGGGCGCCCGTAGTCCCAGCTACTCGGGAGGCTGAGGCAGGAGAATGGCGTGAACCCGGGAGGCGGAGCTTGCAGTGAGCTGAGATCACGCCACTGCACTCCAACCTGGGCGACAGAGCGAGACTCCGTCTCAAAAAAAAATAAAAAAGAAGAAGAATAAAGTAAACCTACCCACAGCTCTCAGGCGAGAAACATCCATCTGTTGGCCTGCAAGACCCTACAGCAAGCAGCCCTCACCCCCACCCTAGACTCATCCAGATACTGCAAAAGCTCTTTCCTCTCAGTGCAGACCCCTCACCCTGCTCTGCTCCCCCAGGACCCGGGCATGCACCCTCCCTCCCCCCCTTTTTTTTTTTTTTTTCTGAGACAGAGTCTCGCTCTGTCGCCCAGGCTGGAGTGCAGTGGCATGATCTCTGTTCACTGCAACCTCCGCCTCCCAGGTTCACGCCATTCTCCTGCTTCAGCCTCCCGAGGAGCTGGGACTACAGGTGCCCGCCACCACGCCCGGCTAATTTTTGTATTTTTAGTAGAGACGGGATTTCACCACGTTGGCCAGGATGGTCTCGATCTCCTGACCTCGTGATCCACCTGCCTCAGCTTCCCAAAGTGCTGGGATTACAGGCATAAGCCACCGCACCCGGCCTTTTTTTTTTTTTTTTTTTGAAATGGAGCTTCATTCTTTTTGTCCAGGCTGGAGTGCAATGGCACGATCTCAACTTACTGCAACCTCTGCCTCCCGAGTTTAAGTGATTCTCCTGTCTCAGCCTACCAAGTAGCTGGGATTACAGGCATACGCCACCACGCCCAGCTAATTTTTGTATTTTTAGTAGCGATGGGGTTTCACCATGTTAGCCAGGCTGGTCTCAAACTCCTAACCTCAAGTGATCCACCCGCCTCGGCCTCCCAAAGTGCTGGAATTACAGTGTGAGCCACCGCGCCTGGCCTGTTTGTTTTTTGAGACAAGGTCTTGCTCTGTCGCCCAGTCTGGAATGGCAGGATCTCCTGGGAGGCCTTTGCCTTCCAGCTTCAAGCGATTCTCCTGCCTCAGCCTCCTGAGTAGCTGGGACTACAGGCGCCCGCCACCACATCCAGCTTATTTTTGTATTTTTAGTAGAGATGGGGTTTCATCATGTTAGCCAGGCTGGTCTCAAACTCCTGGGCTCAAGTGATCTGCCTGCCTCAGCCTCCTAAAGTGCTGAGATTATAGGTGTGAGCCACTGGGCCTGGTCCATTTTCTAAATTAGAGGTTTCTTTTTAAGTTGGAATTTATTTATTTATTTATTTATTTAGAGACAGGTTCTTGCTCTGTTGCCCAGGTTGGAGTGCAGTGGTGTGATCTCGGCTCACTGCAGCCTCCACCTCCCCAGCTCAAGCGATCCTCCCACCTCAGCCTCTCAAGTAGCTGGGATTATAGGCAAGTGCCAGCACACCTGGTTAATTTTTTCATTTTTTTGTAGAGATAGGGTCTCACTCTATTGCCCAGGCTGGTCTCGAACTCCTGGGCTGAAGTGATCCACCTGCCTTGGCCTCCGAAGGTGCCGGGAACACAGGCATGAGCCACCGTGCTGGGCCAATAATTTTTTTTTTTTTTTTTTTTTTGACATAGAGTCTTGCTCTGTCATCCAGGCTGGAGTGCAGTGGTGTGATCTCAGCTCACTGCAACCTCTGCCTCCTGGGTTCAAGAGATTCTGCTGTCTCAGCCTCCCGAGTAGCTGGGATTACAAGCACGCACCACCAGGTCTGGCTAATTTTTGTATTTTTAGTAGAGATGGGATTTCACCATGTTGGTCAGGCTGGTCTCGAACTCCTGACCTCGTGATCCGCCCACCTCGGCCTCTCAAAGTGCTGGGATTACAGGCGTGAGCCACCGCACCCGGCCCAAGAAATTTTTTTTAAAGCAGTTCCCATAGAGCACAGATAAGGGCAAAATCAGGAAGTTTCCTGGAGAGATGACAGGTCTGGAATCGCTAGGTCACAGTCACACTGATCCAGTGGCAGAAGTGCCTGCGGGAGGCCTCAATTCGGATGCGCTGTGTGACCTCTGTTGAGAAACCTACCCTCTCTGGACCTCGCCTGTCACGGTATAGGTACAAGAGCCCTCCGGGGCACCCTCCAAGCTCTGGCTCTATAATTACTCCTGGGATGAGAGGACAGCTGATCCCTCGCGCCCAGCAGGGGCCACTCAAGCTGTGACCTAGTTTTACAACCCTGACTCCCCCACTCGACGGCCTGGCCCTGTCATTTCCTCTGCAGGGTGCTGCCGGGGAGGCAGGAGGGGGGATCTGGCAGCTGGACTCAGGCTTCTGACATGTCCCCTAAGGGTCTGGTGTTCCCCAACTTGGGAGGAAGAACTGGTTCCTGGAGAGGGGACATGGGAGACTCGATTCTGTGTACACGGCCTGCATCTGCTCACCATGTGCCCTGAATGCATCCGGTTGTCCTCCCTGGTCTCTTATTTTTTATTTTATTTTATTTTTTTTTTGAGATGGAGTCTCGCTCTGTCGCCCAGGCTGGAGTGCAGTGGTGCGATCTCGGCTCACTGCAAGCTCCACCTCCCATGTTCAAGCAATTCTCCTGCCTCAGCCTGCCGAGTAGCTGGGACTGCAGGCGCCCACCACTATGCCCGGCTAATTTTTTTGTATTTTTAGTAGAGACGGGGTTTCACTGTGTTAGCCAGGATGGTCTCGATCTCCTGACCTGGTGATCCGCCCGCCTCTGCCTCCCAAAGTGCTGGGATTACAGGCGTGAGCCACTGTGCCCTGCCTTTTTTTTTTTTTTTTTTGAGACGGAGTCTTGCTGTGACGCCCAGGCTGGAGTGCAGTGGTGCGATCTCGGCTCACTGCAAGCTTCGCCCCCTGGGTTCATGCCATTCTCCTGCCTCAGCCTACCAAGTAGCTGGGACTACAGGCGCCCGCCACCACGCCCGGCTAATTTTTTGTATTTTTAGCAGAGATGGGGTTTCACCGTGTTAGCCAGGATGGTCTTACTCTCCTGATCTCGTGATCCACCGGCCTCGGCCTCCCAAAGTGCTGGGATTACCGGGGTGAACCACATGCCTGGCCTCTTTTTTTTTTTTTTTTTTTTTTATTGAGTCGGAGTCTCACTCTGTCACCCAGGCTGAGAGTGCAATGGCGCGATCTCTGCTCACCGCAGCCTTCGCCTCCCGGGTTCAAGGGAGTCTCCTGCCTCAGCCTCCTGAGTAGCTGGGATTAAAGGTGCATGCCACCACACCTGGCTCATTTTTGTAGTTTTAGTAGAGACGGGGTTTCACCTTGTTGGCCAGGCTGGTCTCGAACTCCTGACCTCAGGTGATCCACCTGCCTCAGCCTCCCAAGGTGCTAGGATGACAGGTATGAGCCACTGCGCCCGGCCCCAGGCTGATTCTTTAGGGGCCTCTGTCCCCTCCCTTGTCCTCATGCTGTGGTCCTGGGGGAAGGCGACACTTTCAGGGCTCTCTATCTCCATCCTCATCGGTCCCTCGGACCACCCCCCTCCCAGGAAGCTGCCACCCACCTGGGGCATTACCTCCCATCCTCCCAGGATGGGAACACCATCTGCTCACAGATACCTCCTGATGGTGTGTCCCAGCCACCTGAACTGCAGCCCAGGGACCCAGCCCCATCCCTGACCTCTCCCAGGGCGACCCACAGAACCCCAGCGTAACCCCGGCCACGCGGAGCCAACCCCAGCTCCACCCTTCCTCTCCCACAGGCCAGAGTCCTCCCTCGCTCTGGGCCTCCCGCCACTGCCAGGCCTCCGTCCCCCACCCCGAACTCCCCTCCTTCCAGCCGGGCTCCAGTTCGCCCCCAACATTCAACGCGCTCCTCCTGTTCTGGCATTGGTGTCCCCAGCTGCCAAATGGAACTGGAGTAGGGGGAGGATCAGGCCAGCCCCTGCAAACCGCGGTCTCCCCAGGCTCTGTGAACACTGGGGCCTGGTCGTTCTCTGGGGTGGGGCCGTCCTGGGCACTGCAGGGTGCTGAGAAGCGTCCCTGGCCTCCACCCACTCCATGCCAGGGACACCACAGATGTCCCCAGACTTTACCAAATGTCCCCTGGGAGCAGAATCACCCTGGTTCAGACCCTCTGGGTTAGGGGATTCCACAGACCCCCAAGAGACTCTGCATCCCACAATCCTCAGCCCTGCTGAGGTCCCAGGAGGCTGTGCACGTTGAAATCCACGCCCTGAGTGGGAGGGAGAGAGGAGGTGAATCCCAGGAGCTGGGGACCCCTGGTTTACACCGTCTGCCGGGTCAGGAGTTGATCCTGGTGTCTGGTGTGAGCAGGGGACAGATTTAGTGTTTTTTTTTTTAATTTAAATAATTAATGCAGGTCTCTCTTTCTTGGCCCCATGGACATCTTATGTGGATGACTCTCTGTCTTGGGCACTGCCGGGTGCTGAGAAGCGTCCCTGGCCTCTACCCACTCCAAGCCAGGAGCACCCCCTTCCCAGTCGTGACAGGCACAAATGTCCCTGGACACGGCCCAGAGTCCCCGGCGGGGCAGAACCTCCCTGAGTGGGTCCTTGCTGTAGAGGACGCTGGCACACAGTGCGCCTCCAGTTCATGCCCCAGGAGGAGCCAGGGTGATTCAGCCTGTTTTACACGGGGAGGCGGAGACCCAGAGACGGACGGCGACGTGCTCAGGGCCACACAGCAGAGAGGAAGCAGGTACAAGACGCGACCCCGGGGCTGGGTGCGGTGGCTCACGCGTCATCCCAGCACTTTGGGAGGCCGAGGAGGGCGGATCACAAGTTCAAGAGATGGAGACCATCCTGGTTAACATGGTGAAACCCCGTCTCTACTAAAAAATACAAAAAATTAGCCGGGCATGGTGGCGGGCACCTGTAGTCCCAGCTACTTGGGAGGCTGAGGCAGGAGAATGGCGTGAACCCGGAAGGTGGAGGTTGCAGTGAGCTGAGATCGCGCCACTGCACTCCAGCCTGGGCGACAGAGCGAGACTCCATCTCAAAAAAAAAAAAAAAAAAAAGAGGAAAAGAAAAGAAAATGTACCAGTTGCCCTTCGATGAACTGGAAACACAACAGAGAACAGAGGCCAGAAAGTCCCTGTTCTTTTATTTTTATTTATTTATTTGTGGGTAGTTTTTTTTTTTTTTTTTTTTTGAGACAGTCTCACTCTGTCATCCAGGCTGGAGTGCAATGGTTCAATCTAGGCTCACTGCAACCTCTGCCTCCCGGGTTAAAGCGATTCTCCTGCCTCAGTCTCCTGAGTAGCTGGGATTACAGACATGCGCCACTACGCCCAGCTAATTTTTGGATTTTTAGTAGAGACAGGGTTTTGCCATGTGCCCAGGATGGTCTCGAACTCCTGACCTCAGGTGATCAGCCCGCCCCAGCCTCCCAAAGTGCTGGGATGACAGGCCCTGAGCCACAATGCCCGGCCCCCTGTCCTTAAGGAGCTTACATTCTGGTGCGGGTGACACCGTGAAATCAGTGTACGGGACATCAGCTGGTAATAAACGTCACGGAGGTCAGAACAGCTGTGTCCTCGGGTGACGTCACCTCCTCGGCTCTGCGCCCCGCCGTCCACAGGCGCGAAGCCGGAGCTGGGGTTGGCGACCGAGAACCTTCCTGCCTCCCCTCCCCAGCAAGGGGCACGTCCCACCAGGCCCGGACTGCCCGTCTGCCCCTGCAGGGCCCCTCGCTCTGGTGGCGGGCTCGGTGAGCTCTGCTGCCCGGTCTCGGGAGTCTGGGGGAGCGCGGCGTCGACCCCTGTGGAGGGAGGACTCGTGTTTCAAGGACAGAGCCTCATTACCATGCACGACCAGCCGCAGCTGAGGCCGCAGAGGCCTTTGGCAGGGGGGCCGGGCCGGCGGCAGGGACGGCGTTGGCGGTGGTGGACGGGAGTGGGGGTCTGTCCTGAACAGGTGGGGGTGGTCCCTGTGCTGGCCCCCGCCATGCGATCGCACCCCAGGACTCTCCTCCTCTTCCTAAGCCCCAGCATGTGCCTGGTGCCGCGCGGGTGCTGGAGGCACAGCGGCTTCCACGCAGACGCCCGCAGCACCACAGCCTGTGCACGGCGCATCCACGCCCTGTTACAAATGTTCCATTCAACGCCTTCTAGCACATTCACAGATCGTCCGCCCGCACCTCTAGTTCCAGAACATTCCATCACCCCCAAAAGGAAGCCCCGTCCCCTTCAGCAGTCACTCCCAGCCCCTCCCCAGCCCGGACCCCCACCCATCTGCTTCCTGTCTCTGCGAATTGGCCCGTCTGGACATCTCGCATCAATGCAATCGGACTGGCTGTGGCCCCCAGGGACTGGCGTCTTTCCCCCAGCGTCAAGGTGGGGGCACAAACAGGTGAGAATCGTGCAGCCCAGCTAATGAGCAGATTGTCTGAAAAAAGCGCTGAGGAGCGGAGCTAGCAGGGAGCTGTGGGGGGGGGGGTCTGTTCCGGGCTGTGGCTGTGTTTGACGGGCCCAGGGAAGACCCTGTCTGAGCTGAGACCTGGATGGGGAGCCGGGGTCAGCAGGGTACAGCTAAGCGAGGGGCGAGGCTGGCCGGGGGTGTGTCTGCGCTTGCGGGGGTGGGAGCCCTAGCTGGCAACGGCAAAACCACACGGGGCACTGAACCCCCAGGGAGGTGTCCGGACTTGCATCCACAGGCAATGGGGAGCCATGGGAGGATATGGAGCAAGAGCATGGCGAGATCTGGGTTGCAGTTGGAAGGCGCGTCCAGCTCTGCGTGGTCCGACCCCAGGTCGCCCTGCCTCACCCAAACCTGGAAAGTCTTGACTCTCGGCTGCACCTCCATCTCCAGAGAGCAGGGCACTATTATCTCCCTCTCCACCCGGTTACCCACACGCAGAGCTGTGGCCAATGATGGAGCATGGGGAGGCTGAACTGGACACCAGGTGCTGAATCAATGGCCCCTTGTCCACTCCAGAGCCAGGACAAGAACTCACGGGTCCTCACCTGAATCGGCCACTGACTGCCTTGGGCAGAGACATCGAAGTCTCTGAGCCTCAGTTTCCTCTTCTGCAAAAGGGAACTGCAGGGTTCCCAGTCACTTCCCTGGGCTGAGCGAGTGAGAAGTCAGGCAAGGAGGTTCCTTCCGGGGAAGTCTCCATTGGGTGCCGGCTGGGGTCAGGAGCCCAGAGTCCTAGGCCCTGGTTTGCTCCTGGCCATGTGTTCACCTCATTCATTCATTCAACAAACATTCATTCAACAAGCATTCATTCATTCATTCAACAAGCACTTAAAAACAATGCCTGTGTGCCAGGCACTGGTTTTAAGAGAAACAGCAGTGAACAAAACAGACAAATCCCTGCTTTCTGTCTATGGGCAAGAAACAGAAGAAACAAGTAAAGCCGACTGTCACATGGCAGGCCATGGTATGGGAAAAAATAAACAGGGAAGGGGGGCCTGGGGTTGGCAGAATGGGGTTGGCAGAATGAAGGCCTCCCCACAGCCAGCCGGTTCTAATCCCCGGAACTGCAGATAAGGCCACCCTTACATGGAAAAAGGGCCTCTGCAGATGGGATTAAGTAAGAATTGTGAGATCAGGAGATCATTCCGGATCATCCAGAGGCCCAACATCTCACAGGGTCCTCACGAGAGGAGGCGGGAGGGTGAAAGTCAGAGACTGGAAGAGGCTGTGCTGAGGCTATGAAGGGATAGGGTGGGGCCCTGAGCCAAGGGATGCGGGTGCCTCTGGGCAATGGGAAAGATGGGAACCGGATTTTCACCTGGAATGCGCAGCAGGAGGGCCCAGCCTTGGCCATGTCCTGCTTTTTTTTTTTTTTTTTTTTTTTTTGAGACAGAGTCTCGCTCTGTCACCCAGGCTGGTGCGATCTTGGCTCACTGCAACCTCTGCCTCCCAGGTTCAAGTGATTCTCCTGTCTCAGCCTCCTGAGAAGCTGGAACTACAGGCATGAGCCACCACGTCCGGCTAATTTTTTGTATTTTCAGTAGAGATGGGGTTTCACCATGTTGGCCAGGCTGGTCTCGAACTCCTGATCTCCAGTGATCTGCCTGCCTCGGCCTTCCAAAATGCTCAGACTACAAGCGTGAGCCACCACACCCAGCCTCATGCCCTGGTTTTACGCCAGTGAGGCCCATTTTGGACTCTGGCCTCCAGAACGGTGCAATAATAAATGTGTGTGGTTCCCAGCCACTGCTGTCACAGCAGCCAGAACTCATCAGGGTCATTGCAGTCTTGAAGAGGGAGGTCGCTCGAGGCCTCCCGGATCTGTGCACCTGCCTTCTGGGGCGTGGAAGGCAGGGGACATTGACCTCTCCTTGGGGTCTGAGATCTGCACCAACCACGGTGCAGGCACCGGCCTTGAGGACCCCCTCCCCAAAACTGTCCCCCACAGCAGGACCTGGGCAATGGAGGCCTCTCTTCCCTGTACCCCCAGCTGTCCTTAGATATGGATCCTGGATTAATGGTCCTGGAAGCTCTTAGCTCAAGGAGAAGGCAGAGTGTGGCTGTGAGTGGCCGGGGTCCCTCCCTAGAACAGAGGTGGCCCTACCCTCTTGGTGCCTGGTGGTGTGGGCAGCTCCTTCCCTCAGCTCCTGGCTAAGCCCCCGGCCCTTCCAATCCGCCTCCTCTATTCTGAGCAGGGCTCTTCCCCTCCCTCTTGCAAGGTTACCTCAAACACATCCCCCTCCAGTCCCCGCCCAGGGCAAGGGATGCTGACATCTCCCTTGGGAAAGGCCCTCCTAGAGGCCGGCCAAACCCAGAGGGGGCAGGAGTGAGAAGTGTGGTAGCGGTCCCCTCTGTTTCCAGGCCCACAGTGACCTCCATCTCCCTCCCTCTGCCCCCCACCACAACCAGGGCGGTGGGAGTAAGGGGAGTGTGCTCTGGATGCCCCGTTTGAGCTTCTAAGACGGATATGGGAGGAGGGGGCCCAGCCCCTCACAGCACGTGGCCCTCCAAGGTCTGCTTTTGGGGACACGCTGCCAGTCCCCCAGGACCCCTGCATCCTCTGCCCTAGATCCAGGCCCTCCCGGGGCTTCATCCATGACAATTCATTAAGCCCTAATTAGCTTCCATCTGCTGTTAGTCCCCGTCAACCCCTCGAGGGGCTGGGGGCCTCCCGACCCACTTTCCTTCCCAGCCTGTACACGGGGGGCCGTGGACTGCCCTCTGCAGGCAGGGCCTCTGGATCTGGAACCAGTTTTGGAGCACCCACTGTCTACACCGGCCACTTCACCCACTAGCCCAGCCCTGACTAGGGGGAATAATAAAGTTCGTTTTGGAGAGAAGGAGACTGAGGGTCAGAGTGGGCCCCAGCTCACTGCACAACTTAGCTGCAGACAGTCAGCATTTGAACCTGGATCTGACGCCAGCTCCTACCCACAAAATCCCAGCTCCCCACTAGAGGGTGAAGGGCGCTCTTTGGAGGCCCGAGATTGACATGTGGTGGTGGGCGGCTTGATGGGGCCCACCCGGGGCCAACTTTGCTCGCAGAGTTCTTCAAGAGGCTCTACCTGGTGACGAGGTAGTGACTCAGGGGGCGCCGGGGAATGACAGTGCTGTGGGAAGAGACATCAAACTGCCTTCTATTCCCACTCAGCAAGGCACCTTCAGGTCCCGGCTTACCCTGGGGGTGGACGGCTGAGGCTGAGGGAGGCCAGGCAGGGCTGCTGCCGTAACCATCGTGACCTGAGCATCTGTTTTATGGTGGCACCACACTGCAGCCGAGGTGGGCAGCATCTCATTTAATCCCATGTGGGGTGGATCTGAGAGAGGGGACGTCATTTGCCGGAAGTCACCGGTGAAGACCAGACAGGCAGGGCAGGGAAGGCTGAGTTGAACCCTCCTAAGCCCCCATCCCACCGCCCGGCTGCCCCCTTCCTGCCACCCCACATCATCGAGATGGGGACAGGAGCTGGGTCTACAGGGGAAGCCCGTGGGTTCTTCCCACTCAGATCCTGTCTCCGACGATGGCTGCTGCTTCGGCTCAGAGAACAGCCAGGGTAAGGCCATGCCGCGGCAGCCCACCCCACACCAGCCTCCTGATAAAGCCAGCACCACCCTCCCTGAACCTGTTTCCAGCCTGCGTCCTCCACCTGACCACTCACACCTCACACCTTCTGCATCCTCTCCAGGCCACTTCCAGGGAGCCCTCCTGGGTTGCTCTGGTTCTCACAGCTCTGTTGTCCCTGAAGGCTCCCCCCAGCCAAGCCCCAGATCGTCCCTCTGCAAATACCACTGCACAGCAGACGCCCGCTCCCCACCCCCGCCGGAGCAAGGGTGTCTGCAGCCTCGCTGCGTCCATGGTTTAGCCAGGGACCGCTTGCTAAAATGCAGCTTCTGGGGCACATCGCCTCAGAAGTTCTGACTCCTCAGAACTGGGGGGGCCGGGACACCGGCACCGTTAGCGCCCCAAGCACACGTTGAGAAACCCAGTTACATGGTGGTCTCCAGCGTAAGGACCCGGGGCTTTTCTTGTGCCCGGACCAAGGCACGAGGTGCTGCTCCCCTAAACTTGTTGAATGGGACTCAGGGCCTCCCCTGGCCAGGCCCCAGAGGCCCGGGAGGTGGCGGCACCCACTCAGGGTGCCCAGGCCCACCATTTCTGGTGCTATTCAGACGCCCCCAGAGCAGGGGGACTCAGCCCTATGCCCCCAGGTCCCTCCCCGCCAGGCCGGGCCGTCAGCTCCAGCGATGGAGCAGGCTCCGGTGTGGACCCCAGATACCCTTTGCGTCTTCCAGCTCCGCACCCCCAGGCTGGACCAGACCCGGCTCGGGGGAGACAGGGCAGGAAGGCGCGGGCTGCAGGCTCTATTCGGACGTTCCCCACACCCCAGACCCAACCAGTGCCCCCTTCATCTCCTCCTGGAGAGGAGCGCATCCTCCCAGCGTCCCCAGTGCCCCGGGGAGATGCCCACCCGATTCCCCGCTCCTTGGCGCCCCAGAGGAGGGGCGGGGGGCCCCAGGGTGGGGAGTTCGCCCCCAAAGTTTCCAGGGGGAGCGTCGGGGGCCTGGCAAGGAGCGATGAGCCCGGGAGGGGTGCGCGGGGCAATTTCCCCCGGCTGAGGATGGGGTCGCGGGTTGGGGGCTTTGGGCGGCAGGGTCGCAGGGTGCAGGTGAGGGGTCCCCAGGTCTGCGGGCGCGCCCCACGCCGGGCCCCGGCACGGCCACTCACCTGGGCGGCTCCGCCGCGGACACGGCGCGGGCTGCGGCGCGGGGGCCGCCCGGAGCCGACACGAGCAGCCGCCGCCGCCGCCGCCGCCGCCGCCGCCGCCTCCCGGGCTCCGCCGTGCGCGCCGCCGCCGCGCGCAACCGCCCGCCGGTCTCCTCGGCGCGCCTGGCGGGGGCGCGCGGGGGCTGCGCTGGGCCGCGTGCGCGGCGGCTGGGGCCGCAGGTGTGAGAGGCCACGTGGGCGCAGGTGCGGGGACACTGGGAGCGCGGGTGCAGAACCCCTCCGTGCGCATCCCGGGCGCTTCGTGTCCGAGGACCTCCTGTCCCCACGGCCTGGGTGAGCCTGCGGAGACGGCCGTGCCGTGCAATAAACGCAGGGGCACCCCAAGTGCAGCAGGTTGTTCCGTGTGGAACCTTCTGGAAGCTACCATCGCCTCCTCTGCCCCCCGTCCCCCACCCCTAGTCCAGGCCGCCACCATCTGCACCTGGACATCTGCCACAGCCCAGCCCAGGCCCATTCCTTATGTGGCCCTCAGAGGAAGCCCCTCAGAGGAAGCTTAGCCACTGGGCTCCAGAACCTGCCGTGATTCCCTATTGCCGTGAGGGTCCCGTCTGCACCCCACCTACCCTGGAATTTCTCTTTCTTTCGTTCTTTCTTTCTTTCTTTCTTTCTTTTTTTTTTTGAGATGGAGTCTTGCTCTGTTGCCCAGGCTGGAGTACAGCGGTGCCATCTTGGCTCACTGCAACCTCCGCCTCCTGGGTTCAAGCGATTCTCCTGCCTCAGCCTCCCAAGTAGCTGGGATTACAGGCACCCGCCACCACGCCCGGCTAATTTTTGTATTTTTATTAGAGACGGATTTTCAGCATGTTGGCCAGGCTGGTCTCAAACCCCTGACCTCGGGTGATCCACCCACCTCGGCCTCCCAAAGTGCTGGGATGACAGGTGTGAGCCACCGCCCGGCTGCCTGCACTGTTTGGTCTGCCGCACCACCTCCTTCCCCCTGGCCTGTCCTCACTCACTCTTTCCCGGGCTCCACCCCCTCAGCCTTCCTCAAACAGGCCAAGTCCCTCCAGTCCCAGGCCTTTGATCTTCGCTGTGCCCAGCTTGGACAGCCTTTCTCTCTGTCCCTCCATCGAGCAGCTTGGAGCCTCTCAGTTTGTCTAATGGGCTTGTTCCCCAATGTGCCTTCCGCCTAGCACACAGCAGCGCACACACCAAGTGCACTGCGAGTGCTCATGGAAAGTTTTTTACCTTTTTTTTTGTCTTTTTTTTTTTTTTTTTTTTTTGAAATGGAGTTTTGCTCTCGTCACCCATTCTGGAGTGCAGTGGTGCAATCTTGGCTCACTGCAACTTCCACCTCCCGGGTTCAGGCGATTCTCCTGTCTCAGTCTCCCAAGTAGCTGGGATTACAGGCGCCCATGACCATGCCTGGCTAATTTTTGTATTTTTAGGGGAGATAGAGTTTCACCATGTTGGCCAGGCTGGTCTCGAACTCCTGACCTCAGGTGATCCACCCGCCTCGGCCTCCCAAAGTGCTGGGATGACAGACGTGAGCTACTATGCCCGGCCCCTCACTGCATCTTCTAAAAGCCACATTTAGCCTCCCTGTCTCACAGATGAGCAAACCAAGGCTGGGAGATGCCATTTGTCCCAAGTGAGGGGTGAGAAGGAGGCCTCGGGAACCTGTGTGTGTAACCTTGCCCTGTCTGCCCCCTTCACCCACTCTGCAGTCCTCCCCACCAGCTGTGTATTCCCAGTGGCTTTGGCGGTGGCCTGGCACTCACGCAGCCACCTGTGACTCAAGCAGGCTCTGTTCCCAGACTGTCGCGTTGGCTGGAGGCCCAGAAACCGCATCCCTGGGAGGCTGCAGGCCAGGCCCCCCACAGGATGCTGTGGGGGGCGGGTATGGTTCAATTCCTGGCCCCAGAGAGGTCCAGAAGGACTTCATGACACCCCATGCTCTCCCCACCAAATGGCCCTGGGCTGCTGTGCTGTGTGACCCCAGTAGGGGAGGTCTCCTTCTCTCTCTGAACGTGTTTCTTTCTCTGTAAAGTGATGCTCCTGATAGCTGGCTCTCAGGGCTCTTGGAGGAAGGTGTTCATTGAGCACCTACTGTATACCAGGCCAAGGGCTGGAGGGAGGAGGAGGAGACGCTTCCAGCCTCAAGGGGGATTTCTTCGGACAGAGGGAGCAGATGCCTGAAATATGAAATCGTCACAAAGCGGCGTGGAAGAGGCAGTAGTGACACCGGGTCCCGGACCGAAGCCAGGGGCCAGGGAGGCTTCCCGGAGGAGGAGACACTTGCTATGAGTCCTGGAGGGTGAGGGATGCCAGCTGGGGTCCAGTCGAGGCCCTGCCTGTGTAACCGTGGGGGATGTCCCTCTAGCCTCGGTCTCCACCTCTGCAAAATGGAGATCGGAACAGTTCCCATCTTCTCCCGGGGCTGCAGAGACTCTGCAGTGGTTCTGCCCGGTTTGTGGCCAGTGCTCCCGAGCCCTTGGGGGTGGAGATTGGGCCAGGCTCCTACTGCAGGGCCTGAGCACGGGCTGCTCCCTCTGCCTAGAACGCCCTTCCCCCAGACCTCTGCCCGCCCCTTTCCCCCTCTTCACTCGCGTCTCCACCCCGACCTTCCATCTCTCCCTGCGTGGCACATGCCTGCTAAGATGTCCAGTAATTTGCTGATGGGTCCAGTGCAAGCTCTACCCTCTCTTCTTTTTTTTTTTTTTTTTTGAGATGGAGTCTCACCCTGTCGGTTGCCCAGGCTGGAGTGCAGTGGCGCGATCTCGGCTCACTGCAAGCCCCACCGCCCGGGTTCACGCCATTCTCCTGACTCAGCCTCCCGAGTAGCTGGGACCACAGGCACCCGCCACCAGGCCCGGCTAATTTTTTTTTGTATTTTTAGTAGAGACAGGGTTTCACCATGTTAGCCAGGATGGTGTCAATCTCCTGACCTCATGATCGGCCCGCCTCAGCCTCCCAAAGTGCTGGGATTACAGGCGTGAGCCACCGAGCCCGGCCCCAGCCTTTTTTAAGACAGGGTTTCGCTCTGTCACCCAGGCTGGAGTGCAGTGGCGCAGTCATAGCTCACTGCAGCCTTGAACCCCCTGGGCTCAAGTGATCCTCCTACCCCAGCCTCCCGAGAAGCTGGGACTGCAAGTGAGTGGCAACACACCTGGCTAATTTTTTTATTTTTTGTAGAGATGGGGTCTCACTAAGTTGCCCAGGCTGGTCTTGAACTCCTGGCCTAATGTGATCTTCTCTTCTTGGCCTCCCCAAGTGCTAGTATTACGGGTGTGAGCCACTGTGCCCAGCCCAGTCTTGTAATATTATGTGTCCATTTACTCCTCCCCAAAATGATGAGGGATTAGTTTTTATTATTATTTTTTAAGAGACAGGGTCTCATTCTGTCACCCAGGCTGGAGTGCAGTGGTGTGATCATGGCTCACTGCAGCCTGGAACTCCTGGGCTGAAGTGGTCCTCCTGCCTCAGCCTCCCAAGTAGCTGGGACTACAGGCATGTGCCACCACACCTGGCTTTTTTAAATTAGCTTTTTTTATATCTTGTGAGACAGAGTTTCACTCTGTTTGCCCAGGCTGGAGTGCAGCGGTGCAAATCTTGGCTCACTGCAACCTCCACCTCCTGGGTTCAAGCAATTCTCCTGCCTCAGCCTCCCGAGTAGCTGAGACTACAGGCGCATGCCACCAGGCTCATTAAATTTTTGTATTTTTAGTAGAGATGGGGTTTCTCCATGTTGGCCAGGCTGGACTAGAACTCCTGACCTCAAGTGATCCGCTCACCTCGGCCCCCCAATGTGCTGGGATTACAGGCATGAGCCACTGAGCCTGGGTCAGATTAACTTTTTTTTTTTTTTTTTTTTTTTGAGACGGAGTCTCACTCTATCGCCCAGGCTGGAGTGCAGTGGCGCGATCTCAGCTCACTGCAAGCTCCGCCTCCCGGGTTCACGCCATTCTCCTGCCTCAGCCTTCCAAGTAGCTGGGACCACAGGCGCCTGCCACCACGCCCAGCTAATTTTTTTGTATTTTTAGTAGAGACGGGGTTTCGCCATGTTAGCCAGGATGGTCTCAATCTCCTGACCTCGTGATCTGCCCGCCTTGGCTTCCCAAAGTGCTGGGATCACCGGCGTGAGCCACGGTGCCCGGCCCCCAGATTAACTTTTAATTAACAGGGTCTTGCTATTTTGCCCAGGCTGGAGTGCAGTGGTGCAATCATAGCTCACTGCAGTCCTGAACTGGCCTCAAGTGATCCTCCCATCTCAGCCTCCCAAAGTGCTGGGATTACATGTGTGAGCCACTGTGCCTGGCCTGGATTCATTATTATTCCCACTTTACAGATGAGAATTTGGGGACTCAGAGAGGTTAGGTCACTAGCCTCAGGTCACACAGCATCTGCCTGCTGAAGCTGGGGCTTGACCTCAGGCATCTGGAGCCCAAGGCTTCCAGGACTCTACACGTTTGCCTCTTAGCAGCCAAGGACTCTTTCCCCAGTTACAGAGGGTGGCCACTTGTCTGGGGCCACACGGGAGGCTCCCAGGCCACCTGCCCCCGCAGCCTCCCTCCCTGGGACATGACTGCCACTCCCGCCCGCATCTGGTCCCGTCCCTCACGCTGGAGAGAGCGAGCGAGAGGAGGAGGGCTTTTAATTTTAGAAATGGTTCCTGCTGCAGAAGAGTTCCTGCTGGTTTTCCCAGGCAGGAGAGCACAGGACAGGAGACCCCTCGGCCCCACCACGGCCGTCCCCAGAAGGATGCCCCCCTCTGCGGGCTGCTGCCTCCCTGCCCCCCAGCCTCTCCCACGGCTTCCCCATCTGGAGCCGCCCTCTCCGCCCAGGTGGTAAGTCTCCATGGCAACGTCCCATCACAGGTGGTCGTAACCTTAGCAACCAGGTGCTCCCACCCCACCGCCTGGGAGGCTCAAAGCCGCGCCTGCATCCCCCTCCCACGCTCTCCCTGCCCCCGCCCCCCGGGCAGCTCTCCAAGAGGAACCGAGGGAGATGCATCCTGCCAGGGATGCTGGGCCCAGAGACTTGAGGGACACCCCAAGATCACCCAGCAGCTGAGCTGCTGGGCCTGGGGTGCTCCACGGGACATCAAACCCACCTCCCTCGTCCTGCAGGATGCAAAAGAAACTGCACTTCTCGACATCGCCTGGGCTCCTACTAGGTGCTGCGTCCATGCCAGGCTCAGGCGCCGTCCCTGCCCTCAGGAGGCTTCCACTCAGGACAAGGGGTGGGGAGACACTGACCGAGGACAGGAAGGGGACAATGGCCGGGCGTAGTGGCTCGTGCCTGGAATCCCAGCACTTTGGGAGGGAGAGGCAGGAGGATCGCTTGAGCTCAGGAGTCTGGGCAACATAGCGAGACCCTCATCTCTTTAAAAAAAAAATTATCTGGACATGGTGTTGCATGCCTGTAGCCCCAGCTACTCAGGAGGCTGAGGTGGGAGGATCGCTTGAGGCTAGGAGGAGGAGATTGCAGTGAGCCAGGATCTCACCACTGCATTCCATTCTGGGCGACTGAGCAAGACCCTGTCTCAAAAAATATATATGCATATTGGCCAAGTGCGCTGGCTCACACCAGTAATCCCAGCACTTTGGGAGGCCAAGGCAGGTGGATCGGTTGACGTCAAGAGTTTGAGACCAGCTTGGCCAACACGATGAAAATACAAAAATTAGCTGTCCCCACAAATAAGTGACCCCCAGAGTAAGTTCTAGGTTTAGAATGAAATTTATCCATCTACTATTAAAAAAAAATTCTCTCAGCCAGGCGCAGTGGCCGAGAAAAAAAAAAAACACAACTCTCCTCTGATTTACATGGAAATTAATCACCCACATCAGATTCTGAAGGAAACTCTTGCTTATATTACTTTTTTTTTTTTTTGAGGCAGAGTCTCACTCTGTCGCCCAGGCTGGAGTGCAGTGGCGCGATCTCGGCTCATTGCAACCCCCGCCTCCTGGGTTCAAGCAATTCTCCTGCCTCAGCCTCCTGAGTAGCTAGGATTACAGGTGTGCACCAACACGCCCAGCTAATTTTTGTATTTTTAGTAGAGACGGGGTTTCACCATGTTGGCCAGGATGGTATCGAACTCCTGACGTCGTGATCTACCCTCCTCAGCCTTCCAAAGTGCTGAGATTACAGGCGTGAGCCACAGCGCCTGGCTTAACCTTTTATTATGGAAAATTTTATACACAAACAAAGGCTTAGAGAATCACGTAATGAACCCCCATAAAGCCATCCCCAAAGTGTGATGCATCTGGTTCCATAAGTCCCTCTCCACCCTCCCCAACAGACTATATCAAAGCAAATCCCAGACACGAAGTAATTTCATCCATAAATATTTGCATTTCTAAAATACAATGACTTAAAAAACACAGCCAACAATTCCATTATCATTTTTTAAGAAAATGGACAGTAATTCCTTAATATGCTCAAATATCCAGGCAGTGTCCAGTTTCCCTGACTGCCTTCTAAAATTTTTTCACACTTTGTTCAGCTCAGAATCCAAATAAGGTCCATTTACTGCAATTGGTTGATATGCCTGTCTCTTTCTCTCTCTCTCTCTCTCTCTCTCTTTTTTTTTTCCAGAGACAGGGTCTCGCTTTGTCACCCAGGCTGGAATGCAGTGGTGCAGTCATAGCTCACTGTAGCCTTCAACTCCCAGGCTCAGGTGACCCCCACCCCCGTCTCAGCCTCCTGAGTAGCCAGGACCACAGGTGCATGCCAGCATGCCCATTAATTTTTTCTTTTTTTGGTAGAAACAGGGTCTTGCCATGTTGCCCCGGCTGGTTTTGAACTCCTGGGTTTAAGTGATCCTCCTGCCTCAGCTTCCCAAAGTGCTGGGATTACAGGCATGAGCTGCTGAACCACTGTGCCTGGCCTTAGTTCTTCCTTTCTGCTGTTTGTCTTATATGTCATTTTCCTGTCTTATTGCACCGTGTGGCACCTCCAGTACAATGTTGAAAAGAACCAGTGGAACTGGACATCTTTCTTTTGTTTCTGGCCTTAGGGGGAGAGCACCCAGTCCTTCGCCATTGAGGATGACAGCTGTAGGGTTTTTATAGACATCTTTTATCTGGTTGAGGATATGCCATTCTATTCCTAGTTGCGTGTTTTTAATCTGCATGAATGCTGAATTTTGTCCAAGTGAGTGCTGAATTTTCTGCATCTACTGAGATGATCATATGGTTTTCCTCTCTTATGCTAATGTGGTTAATCACATTGATTCTTGGGTATTAAACCAACCTTGCATTCCTGGGATAAACCCCACTTGGTGGTCATGATGGAGAATCCCTTTTATAGACAGCTGGATTCAATTTGTTAATATTAAGGATTTGTGCATCGATATTCATGAGGGATATTGGCCTTTGATTTTCAGTAATGTGTTTTGGTTACGCTGGCCTCATAAAACACATTGGGAAGTGTTCCTTCCTCCTCTAGTTTCTGAAAGAGTTTGGGTAGGATTGGTGCTGTTTGTTCCTTAAAAGCTTCAGGATCAATTCTGTTGTTTTCCAGAGAAGGGGGTCTCTCTATGTTGCCCAGGCTGGCCTTGAACTCTTGGGCTCAAGCCATCCTCCTGCCTCGGCCTCCCAAAGCACTGGGATTTCAGGCGTGAGCCACCGTGCCTGGCCTGGGAACAATTCTGAAGGTAGAATTGTCAGCATTTGCTGATGGCTGGGATGTGGGAGGCAAGAGAAACAGCAGGGAAGGGCACCCGAGGGTGTAAGCCTGAATCATGGAGCTGTTTCCTTGGATGCAGAAAGCTGGAGCGGCACCTGGTGGAAGGAGCATTGGTTTGGGGTGTGCATTAATTTTGGGGCGCCTCTGGTGCTGGGGCAGAGATGAGGTCAGGGAAATGGAAGTCAGAAGCATTTTCAACAATGAAAGCGGAACCCACGGGCATCTCTGTCTCTGACTTCGTGCCCATTACCCCCAGCTTCCTGTTCCCTTACTGCTTCTGGTCTGTGTTCACTGGCCGGCGTGCAGAACTCTGTCTTCTGTCGGGCACTGGAACCCTAGCGGCCTCGGGCCCGTCATTCCTGGGTGAATCCTGACCCCTGCTGGCTCTGGTCAGCACGGTCGAGGCCAGCGTGGCCACGCAGTGGCGGTGGGGGGCGGGGGTCCACGGAGCTGAGTCCTGAAGGGAGGTAGAGAGTGTGAGACACTGGAGGCAGAAGGGCCCGGAGTTCATAGACAGACCTAGGCCTGCCCGGAAAGCCCCTGTCTAATGGGCAAGGCGGAGGAGCCCGGACTTATTCCTGTGGACAATGGGGGCTTTGGGGAGGCGCAGAGTGGGAGGGACCTGGTGAGATCCCAGGAGCTTGAGCCCTAGCCGTGGAGCTGGGACCCCCAGGACTGTCCTTTTTATTTTAAGACAGGGTCTCGCTCTGTCACCCAAGCTGCAGTGAGGTGGCGGAATCATAGATCACTGCAGCCTTGGCCTCCTAGGCTCAAGAGATCCTCCCACCTCCTCCTCCCTAAGTGCTGGGATTACAAGTGTGAGCCACAGTGCCTGGCCCCAGGGGTGTGCTAACCTCTCTCACCCTGGGCGGTCCCCAGGCTCAAACCAACAATTCCTGAACCCTAGGAGCTCTCCTCGTGGGCACAGCTTCTTCTGTTTACAAACCTTCTTCCCTTCATATCCATGTCCTTGTCTGGGTCCAGGCAGGAAATCGACACCCAGAAACAGGCGGTGATGGGCAGCAGGGGCCTCTGTGGCAGAAGGTCTCACGCTACACGGTACTGTCCGGGTCCTTGCACGGGTGTTCTGGAGGTGCAGGGAGGCCTCCCCTCGGTCGTTCAAGGCAGGAATGGATCTGCGGCGTGAGGCCGACGGTGACTTGCTTTCTCCCAGCTCCTGGGGCCACAGTGCGTTCATTCCCCTCCCCTCCCCTCCACTCCCCTCCCCTCCCTTCCCCTCTCCTCCACTCTCCTTTCCTCTCCTTTCCTTTCCTTCTTTTTTTGAGATGGAGTCTCACTCTGTCACCCAGGCTGGAGTGCAATGGCGTGATCTCAGCTCCTTGCAACCTCCATCTCCTGGGTTCAAGGGATTCTTCCGCCTCAGCCTCCTGAGTAGCTGGGATTACAGGCACCCGCTGCCACGCCCAGCTAATTTTTGTACTTTTAGTAGAGATGGGGTTTCGCTATGTTGGCCAGGCTGCTCTCCAACTCCTTACCTCAAGTGATCCGCCCGCCTCGGCCTCCCAAAGTGTTGGGATTACAGGCGTGAGCCACCGCACCCGGTCTCATTCCCTTTTCTCTTTGCCTCTTTTAGGCACTGGGACTTCATTTCTATGCCCACAAGATGCGGGTGGCTGGGAGCCCCATTGGCTTGGGGCAGAGGAAAGGCACGGTGGGGTAGATGGAGCGGCAGGCAGCCTACCTCCTACGCTAGGATTCTGGCTGTGTTACCCTGTGCAAGCTGCTTAACCTCTCTGGGCCTCAGCTGCCTCATCTGTGAACGGGAATGACAAAAGGACCCGCCTGAGGTCCTCCTTTGGGGGAGGGTTCCGTGAACCAGAGCTACCTTGGAGAAGGCAGTGGGGTCAGTGTCTGGGGCAGACGCCCCAGACTGACTATCAGTAACATCCAGCTCCCGTCCTCCTTCGGAACCTGCAGTGGGGTGGTACCCTGAGGATCTCTGGCTGGTCTGGGGGCAAGAAGGGCCCATCTGTCTTATCTACCAGGGCCTCCGCCAATGTCTCCCAGAGTGGGGCCTCCGAGGACAAGACTCGAGGGCTCTCGGCCAGCACTTGACCGCGGGCACAGGCAGCAAAGCTGGTTCCCGGGCCAACGGCCACGGCCCCGACATCGTGATCCGAGGGCTGCGCTGACCATGGGCAGGGAGTTGAAAGGGTGAGGTCTGGGCCAGGGGCAGGGGGCAGCCTGCAGTTGGCACGGCGGGCTGGCTGGCGGGACCTGCTGGGGCTGGGGCTTTATACGGGGCCAGGAGAGTGGAGGCCTGGGGGATCCAGTGTCTCGGGCCGGGCCGGCCGCCGTGTCCTCATTTCTCTCTCGGTTCCCTCTCTACGTCTCCGCCTCTGTTTCTGCCTCTCCCTATCTCTCTCCAAATCTCTCTGTGCCTTCTGGCTGTAACTGGGTTTTTCTTCTCTGACTCTTTGTAAAATATTAAATTTTCAATGTAATGTGGAATGTAAAATATTAAATTTCTCCTTTTAAAATATTAAAAGCAGGCCAGGTGCAGTGGTGCGCACCTGTCATCCCAGCACTTTGGGAAGCCAAGGTGGGAGGATTTCTTGAGCCCAGGAGGTCAAGGCTGCAGTGAGCTGTGCTCACACCACAGCACTCTGGCCTGGGCCACAGAGTGAGACCTTGTCTCTTAAAAATAAATACATAGATAAAATTAAAAGTGGCTTTGTAGTTGGCTGGAGGTCCTGGACTCCTCCAGCGTATCCTCTAGTGATGGGCAGCTGGGTTACTTCCAGTCTTTTCCGAGCAGGTCAGAGTGGCTCTCTGGGGTGGAAATGGTTGAGAGGAACAGGCTCATTCTGGTCTATTCTCTGGGGACTTCTGTCTGCCTCCCCAGGAAGTTGACCTCTCCCTCTCCCGGTCTGCACAGCCTTCTGTTTTTGTCTGTGGGCCTCATTTCAAAGCTTCGTGCCCTGGGCTGGGCATGGTGGCTCATGCCTGTAATCCCAGCACTTTGGGAGGCTGAGGCAGGAGGATCACCTGAGGTCAGGAGCTCGAGATCAGCCTGGCCAACATGGTGAAACCCCATTTCTACTAAAAATACATAGCCAGGCATGGTGGCGGGCACCTGTAATCCCAGCTACTTAGGAGGCTGAGGTGAGAGAATCACTTGAACCCAGGAGGCGGAGGTTGCAGTGAGCTGAGATCGTGCCACTACACTCCAGCCTGGGCAATAAAGTCAGACTCCATTGCAAAAAAAAAAAAAAAAAAAAAAAAAGCTTCGTGCTCTGAACTCTGTCCCCACATGACTGTGGCCGAGGGCCCAGCCACAGAGTGGATACTCAACACCTTTTTCAACACTTCAGAGAGAAGGAATTGGATTTCAGAGAGGTTGGGACACCTTCCCTAAGCCACACAGCATGTGGTGGGGGGAGCCTTGGGCTCAGGGCTTTGTGGCTGCAGAGGGCTTTGCAAAGTTCATCAGCTCACTAGGAGGTGACGGAGTGGGCAGAGAGCAGTCTACAGTGTGGGGGGCTGTTCTGAGGGGTGCAGCGGTGAGGCAGGCCTTGCTTCCTCTGCGGGAGAAACCGTGGGGCTGGAAAACGGGACTTCCTTCCTCTCCTGCCTCCCTGCCGTTCCTGGAGGTTCTAACGAGGCCAGTTAGCCTCTAAGGCCTTGACACGTTCTCCCACTGGGGGTTGAGGCCTCTGGGCCACTGGGACCCTGGGTTTCAGCCTTTGCATCTGGCTCAGACAGGGCAGGCAGGTGTGCCGCGTGGACAGCGTGTTGGTTTCCAGGCCGGTCAGCTCTGGTGTCAGGGTTGTGTTTCTCCATCACGTGACATCCTGATCCCCCACCTGTCAAATGGACGCAGGGAACTGGTCCCGGACAGCGAGGCTTGTAGGCTTGTGGGTTGAACGTCAGCAGTCCGGGCACACCTGAACTCTGTCTGTCCTTCGCTGGAGGCTGTGACCCCGCAGCTATCCCAGCAAACCCCCGCCATCCCCGGTGCGAGGCTGGAGGCTGGGGCTTGGGATGAGGTCTCGGCCGGTGGTGGCAGGGCTGGGCTAGGTGGCCGGGGCCGGGGAGGGATGAACAGCGGATGCAGGGGTTGGCCACGAGGTCCGATAACTAATTCCCCAGCCACAGGGGCTAGTGCCGCTGGGCCCCAGCAAAGCCAGTGTCTATGGGGCCCAGATACCCCTGCCGAGAAGCCAGCTGGTTCCACTTATTCGGAGGCAGCCAGGGAGCGTGAGCCCATCCAGACCCGAGGCTGAGCTCCGTCCTGTTCTGCTGCTATAGCTTCCTGGCAACCTGGACCACACGCTGCCTCGGTTTCCCGAGCTGGGGATGAAGGGGTTAGCGGCCAGGATGACCCTCTCACGCTCAGGTCATAAGGGACAGCCTATCCTCTCTCAACCCGAGTGATGAATCAGACAGGCCCTGCCCTCCTCTGGGAAGACAGTGCCTGGGGGACAGAGGTGCAACCAGGAAACGGAGTCCAGGAGGATTGCCCGGCTGTCGGGAAGAGACATTTAGGGGTATGCAGGATGGGCTGGCCCGCTGGAGTGTGGGAAGTCCTAGTGCAGGTGTGGGAGGCCGGTGCCAGGGCCTGTATCTGCCCAGTCAGGACACGTTTTTAACATTTTTTGTAGGCCAGGTGTGGTGGCTCATGCCTGTAATCCCAGCAATTGGGGAGGGTGAGGAGGGTGATCACTCGAGGTCAGGAGTTCAAAACCAGCCTGGCCAACATGGTGAAACCCCATCTCTACTAAAAATACAAAAATTAGGCCGGGCGCGGTGGCTCACGCCTGTAATCCCAGCACATGGGGAGGTTGAGGCGGGTGGATTACCTTAGGTCAGGAGTTCGAAACCAGCCTGGCCAACATGGCAAAACCTCATCTCTACTAATACAGAAATTAGCTGGGCATGGTGGCGGGTGCCTGTAATCCCAGCTACTTGGGAGGCTGAGGCAGGAGAATCACTTGAACCAGGAAGGCGGAGTTTGCAGTGAGCCGAGATCACGCCACTGCACTCCAGTCTGAGTGAGAGTGAGGACTGTCTCAAAGGAAAAAATATATATATTTTTTGTAGAGACGAGGTCTCCCTATTTTCCCAGGCTGGTCTTGAACTCCGGGGCTCAAAGAGATCCTCCTACTTCACCCTCCCAAAGTGCTGGGATTCCAGGCGAGAGCCACTGCACCCGACCTCAGGACATGCTGTGAGCACGGAAGGAACCCAGAAGGGGCTGGCTGTAGGTGACCAGTCCATCTCACAAGCGGGGGCAGCAGCGGGGGCAGGTGTTAGCTGCATGGGCTGTGGGGTCTGGCCTCTTGATGCACCCCGGCTCCTGATGCACCCCAGCCTCCTGATGCACCCCGGCTCCTGATTCACCCCAGGTCCTGACACACCCAGCTCCTGACACACCCAGCCTCCTAATGCACCCCAGCCTCCTAATGCACCCCGGCTCCTGACGCACCCCGGCCTCCTGATGCACCCCGGCCTCCTGATATACCCCAGCCTCCTGATGCATCCCGGCTCCTGATGCACCCCAGCTCCTGCTGTCTTGGGGGCGGGCCTGGGGTTCCACAAGCCCCTCATCAGACTGAGGTTCCAAACTCGCCTGTCTCGGCCTTGGCTGTGCCCGCCTTGGTCACTCCTGAACCCTCACCCCCAGGAGGGACCATGGCTGGTATTTGATGAGCTCCAGGGACTGAGTCCAATCTCCAGGAATCCAGGTTTCCTCAGAAGGTCAAGGGAAAAGCAAGATTCGGGGCTCAGACACATTGAGGTTTGCAATTTTATTAAGAAAACAAAAATTCAACCTATACAAAAAGGAAAATGCTTCCGTTCCAGGAGGCGGTACTGCGGTGGGAGCAGCAGCCAAGTCCGCGGGAAACCGAGCTGCTCGGGCCTGCCCTGCACCCCCCGCGCCCCCGGCCAGGCTAGGCGTCCTGCTGCTGGATGAAGGGGTTGGGGATGGCCTCCATGCCGTCCTGCGGGCAGATTAGCACCACGGACGTGCCCCGGCACACCACGAGGCCCAGCTGCCGGGTGTCCTCCGTGAGCTTGTACTGGTCGTCAGGGTCTGGGGAGGAGCAGATAGAGAGGACTGAGGGACCTCCAGGAAGCCTCCGAGACCCCCCACCCACCCAAGACCCTCGCTCCGACCTCCCCACCTGCACCCTGCAGGCGCCACGAGCACGCAGGGACCTCAGACGGGATGCGCTCTGTGGGGCAGGTCCCCGGCTCCCACGGCTGAGACCCATGGCCCCTAGAGACCAGTGGCAGCTCCACAGACAGCAGCCACAGCCCTCCCTCACTCCACAAACCATGGGAACAAGAAGGCCCAGGTGATAGCCGGCTACCCCGCGTCTCAGAGCTCACTGGGGCCCAGGCACCAGGGCCGGGAACCAGGTTATCAGATGGCCGGCCAGAATACAGGCACCCTGGGCCTCCTGGTCTCTGCAAGGTCCCTGGAGCCCTAGGGGGCCAATATTCACCCTATAACAAAGAGGCTGGGGGCCGGGCGCGGTGGCTCACGCCTGTAATCCCAGCACTTTGGGAGGCCAAGGCAGGCGGATCACGAGGTCAGGAGATCGAGACCATCCTGGCTAACTTGGTGAAACCCCGTCTCTACTAAAAAATACAAAAAAATTAGCCGGGCGTGGTGGCAGGCACTTGGAGTCCCAGCTACTCGGGAGGCTGAGGCAGGAGAATGGTGTGAACCCAGGAGGCGGAGCTTGCAGTGAGCCGAGATCGCGCCACTGCACTCCAGCCTGGGTGACAGAGCGAGATTCCATCTCAAAAAATAAAAAAATAAAGAGGCTGTTCATGTGGGGTGGGGACCATGTGGGCTGGCACCCCAGGGAAGTGCCAGCAAGCCCAAGACAAGCTCTCAAGAGGCTGAAGGCGATTAAAACTCCTCACTACTGTGGTCCTGCAGTGGTGGGGGCATGGGAGAACCATGGGGCCCAGGTTTTTAAACTTTTTTTCAGACACCAGGTCTTGCTCTGTTGCTCAGGTTGGAGTGCAGCAGTGCAATCACAGCTCACAGCCTCAACCTCCTGGGCTCAAACAATCCTCCTGCCTTAGCCTCCTGAGTAGCTGGGGCCACAGGCACATGTACCGCCATGCCTGGCTAATTACATTTTTTTTTTTTTTGTAGAGACAGGGTCTCACTATGTTGCCCAGGCTGGTCTCAAATTCCTGGGCTCGAGTGATCCTCCTGTCTTGGCCTCCCAAAGTGCTGGGATTACAGGCATGAGCCACCATGGCCAGCTACAAGAATAAATCTTGTCTCAGTATCAATGGATCCAAGGGGCAAGACCCTCTCTCTCCTAAGTCCTGACATTCCCCCAGTGCCCGGGCCGGGATGGGGACTTGCCAGCTGGGGACTTGCCGCAGGAGCTTCTGGGGGAGAGTCTGAGGACTTGGCGGCCTCACTGGGGAGGGGAGCGAGCGGGGGCAGGGAAATGAGGGAGGGTCCTCTGGGGAGGAGACAGGGACCCTGCGTTCATAGCGGGAATTAACAAGGGCAGAAGAGGAAAGGCGCCCGAGAGGAGCCCCACGGCACGCTCACTACCCCACAGCAAGGCTGCTCTCCGCTGGGCGCCACAGCTCACGCCTGGAACCCCAGCACTGTGGGAGGCTGAAGCAGGAGGATGGCTTGAGCCCAGGAGTTCGAGACCAGCCCGGGCAACACAGTGAGACCTCAGCTTATCTCTTTTTTTTGAGACGGAGTCTCACTCTGTTACTCAGGCTGGAGTGCAGTTGCACCATCTCGGCTCACTGCAACCTCCGCCTCCCAGGTTCAAGCGATTCTCCTGCGTCAGCCTCCCGAGCAGCTGGGATTACAGGCATGCGCCACCACACCCAGCAATTTTTTTGCATTTTTAGCGGAGACGGGGTTTCACCATGTTGGTCAGGCTGGTCTCAAACTCCTGACCTCAAGAGATCCTCCTGCCTTGGCCTCCCAAAGCGCTGGGATTATAGGTGTGAGCCATTGTGCCTGGCCTCTCACGTCACCAATTTAACAAAAATTAAAATAATAAAACATTTAAAAAGGTTGTCCTCTAACTGTGCCGGGCGCCCCGTCAGTGTGTAGAGACCAGTGGGTGAGCTGGCAGCTCCCGTCTCTCCAGGCCCCACAACAATGGGGTTTCCTGCTTTGTGAGGACGTCTAGGACCAGTGAGCGCTCAAGCCCGTCCATCGGCCGCCACGAGGCTTCACGTTGGTAACTCAGAGGTTTTGTGGGTTTGAGAGAAGAAGAGCCAGCAGGGAGCCCCACGGCTGCCCCCCTCGTCCCACTGCCCCCCTCGTCCCGCTGCCCCCCTCACCCCACTATCCCCCTCGTCCCGCTGCCTGCCTCGGCCGCCACCCCACTCACCTCGCATGTACTCAATGGTGCCGTCCAGCACAAGGTTGAGGAGTGGGTCGAAGCCCTTCAGGATTCCACTGGCTTGGAGAAATCACCGGGGGAGAGAAAAGAGAAGGCATGAGATCCGTCCTGGGCGCAGGGCCCGCCCCAGCATGGCCCAGGTATGGGGCTAACTGCTCCAGGGATGGAGGACTGAGGGTAGGAGAGGGCTCCCGGGAGTGGCCGATGACAGCCGCCTCCAGAGTGATCTCCACCACAGGCAGCAGACCACGTCTGCGGGGGGCCAGATGGCAAACACTTCTGGCCGTGTGGGCCACAGGGTGCCGGTCACAGCTGCTGGCTCGGGCTGCCTGGGTGGAGGCAGCTTCGGTAATGAGTCCATGTGTGGCTGAACTGCGGCCGGTCAGCTCTACTCACAGGCACTGAACTGTGAATTTCATGTAATTTCCACATCGTGAGACAGTCTTGTTTTGATCCCTTTCTAGCTATTTAAAAGTCATAAAAACAATTCTCAGCTCAAAAGCAGCAGCAAAACAGGCGGCGGCACGTGTACGCGGTGGGACCACCAGCCAGGAAGAGGAGCGAGGCTGGCGCAGGCCACAGCGCGGATGCGCCTGAGGACGCACCTGAGGACGTCACGCTCAGTGAGAGACGCCAGACACAGAAGGCTGCGCACCGTGAGATCCCATTTCTATGAAATGTCCAGGACAGGCCAATCCACAAAGACAGGGAAGGGATGCGTGGGTGCCAGGGCCAGGGATGGGACAGGCAGTGATGGCTGATGGGGACAGGGCTTCCTGTAGGGGAGACAGAGTGCTCCGCTCTGACAGCGGTGATGACTGCGCTGCCTGACCTGTGCTGAGTCCCTCAGTGAGTTCACGGAATACAAAAGAACAAATCCCAGCCCTGCTGCTTAGGGCTTGCGGGGAGCAGGCAACAGAGATGCTCTGAGACCCAGGTGCAAAGGCTTCGGGGGCTGAGACGGTCTCTGTGGCTTCTCTCTCCACGCTGCCTGCCCCACCCCTCAAGCTTCGCCGCCTTGGGCCACAACTTGCCAACTTAGGTTAGGGCTCTCTGACCCGGTGGTGATCTCTGCCATCTGATCCTGCTCCGCAGTGTCTGGTGACACTGAGAAGGGTGAAGGGGGAGCTGTGTGTCCCCAGCAGAGGCCAGCCCACCCTCTCTGCCTGGGACTCCCCTCCACTGCCCTGCAGGCTCCTGCAGCCGAGGCCCAGCAGCAGCTCCACCTCTGCGCTCACTGAGGGGCGTCCCGCAGCCACCCCCTCCCTGCTCTCCTTCTTACCCCTGTCATCTTTCAGGTGCTTCCTCCAGACACCAACCCACAGCCCTTACGGTGCTGCCCTCTGCACGCCCACGCCAATCTCAGGAAGCAGGCACCACCAATCTCGGGAAGCAGGCACCACCAATCTCGGGAAGCAGGCACCCCGGGCATTATTCTGCCTGCCTGTCTCCTCCCAAGGCAGGGCCGAGAGCCCGTCCACGGCTGCTCCACACACACCGAGGGCCGCCCTGTGCGGTGGTGCGGGGGAGGGTCTGCAAACTACGACCCCCAGGTGAACCTGCCCGCCGCTCCTCTCTGTAAGTCAGAGTCTCGCTGGCCCACCACCACACTCGCCCGCTCAGGCGCTGACCAGGGTGGCTCTCCTGCTCTGCTGGCATAGCTCAGTGGTTGTGACAGAGACCATCTGGGCTGCAAAGCTAAAGATATTTGCCGTCTGGCCTTCTACAGAGAAGGTCTGCCCGCCTGCATACAAGCTTCCGTCCACCTCCACAGGCTTCAGCTTCCACCTCCACGGCTCCCTCTCTCTTTGCTCAAGTCCCTCCCCTGCAAAATGAAACTCACCTATAAGATGGGGTCAGATGCAGATGTTCAGGTCCTTGGCACCAGCCTGACCAGTGAGCCCGCCCTCCTCACGGGGAGAGATGTGAGCACTGAGGTAGGTAGGTCTCTAACATGGAGCCAAGGTGCCCCTCCTCTGGAGTGTGGGCTAGGGCCTGTGACTCTGACGGGACAAGATGTCACTCCTGCGCTTAGGTTATGTGGCAAAGACAAGGAACTTTGCAGCTGTAATTAGAGCCCCTGAATCAGCTGACTGAGCCAATCAAGAGAGAAACACCCTGGGTGGGCCTGACTGCATCAGGTGAGCCCTTCAGGGACCAAACCCTTTCTGCTTTTTGTGTGTGTGTGTGTGTGTGTGTGTGTGTGTGTGTGTGTGTGTGTTTGAGATGGAGTCTTGCTCTGTCGCCCAGGCTGGAATGCAGTGGCGCGATCTCAGCTCACTGCAACCTCTGCCTCCAGGGCGATTCTCCTGCCTCAGCCTCCCAAGTAGCTGGGACTACAGGCATGCGCCACCATGCCCAAATAATTTTTGTATTTTTAGTAGAGATGGGGCCTTGCCATGTAGGCCAGGCTGGTCTCAAACTCCTGAACTCAAGTGATCTGCCCGCCTCAGCCTCCCAAAGTGCTGGGATTACAGGCGTGAGCCACAGCGCCCAGTTAATTGTTGTACTTTTAGTAGAGATGGGGTTTCGCCATGTTGGCCAGGCTGGTCTCGAACTCCTGACCTCAGGTGATCCACCTGCCTTAGCCTCCCAGACTGCTGGGATTAAGGCGTGAGCCCCCGCACCCGGCCCCAAACCCTTTCTGAAAGATGATTCTCCCACTGGCCCGAATAACTGAATATGGACAAATGTCAGCTCAGCCTGCAGCACTGTAGGGGCAGACCACCACGGTGGAACAGAGTCCCGAGCTGGCAGCGTCCGGGAGCTGCAAGTGTCCCTAGCCAACACTGGCCAGAACGGGGACCCTGGCCCTGCAAAGGTAAGGCACTGAGCTCTGTCAATAACCAGTGGGCTCAGAAGAAGACCCCAAGATGATGGACCCCAAAAAACAACCCTCAGTTACAACCTCCTGAGAGCCCTTGAGGCTGTGGTACCCTGGCTCCTGACTCACAGATCCTGTGAGATAATAAAATGGTGCTGTTTCAGCTGCTAAATGGGTGATTTGCTATGAAGGGCAGAAAACAAAGGGAAGCAGTGTGACCAGCAAGAGCGGCCGCTCACTCATGTCCTTCCATGTCCGGAGTCAGCATGGTGTAGACTGAGAAAACATTTTATTCATATTCCTTTTTCTTTTTGTTTTGAGACGGAGTCTTGCCCTATCGCCAGGCTGGAGTGCGGTGGCACAATCTCGCCTCTGGGGTTCAAGCAATTCTCCTGCCTCAGCCCCCCGAGTAGCTGGGACTACAAGCGTGCGCCACCATGCCCAGCTAACTTTTTGTATTTTAGTAGAGACAGGGTTTCACCACGTAGGCCAGGATGGTCTTGATCTCCTGACCTCCTGATCTGCCTGCCTCGGCCTCCCAAAGTGTCAAGATTAAAGGCATGAGCCACTGTGCCTGGCCTCCTTTTTCTCTTTTGAGACTGGGCCTTGCTCTGTGGCCCAGGCTGGAGTGCAGTGGTGCGGTCATAGCTCACTGCAGCCTCAAACCCTAGGGTGAAGCCACCCTCCTGCTTCAGACTCCCAAATTGCTGGGATTACACACGTGAGCCGCCCCGTCCGGCTGGGGCACTGTGATTTTTAATAACTCTCATGCCACCCAGTTGTCTACAATCCAGGGACAAAGAGGTTTGGGTCCCCGTCTTACAAAAAAAAGAAACCAAAGATCCAAGAGGCTATTGAATAAGTGACGTGTTGTCTGACTGCTTACTTCCTGCTGAGAGCTGCCTCAATTACATTACATGCCTGTAACCATTCATTCTCACCACCCCCTGTGAAGTGGGTGGAGTTACCAGCCCCATTTGACAAATGAGGAAACGGAGGCTAGGAGAAGGCAGCTCACTTGCCCAGTCAAAAATGCTAGGCTGGGCATGGTGGCTCATGCCTGAAATCCCAGCAATTTAGGGGGCTGAGGCAGGCAGATCGCTTGAGGCCAGGAGTTTGAGACCATCCTGGCCAACATGGCCTCTCTACTAAAAATACAAATATTAGCCGGGCGTGGTGGTACACATTAATTCCAGCTACTCGGGAGGCTGAGGCACAAGAATCACTTGAACCTGGGAGGCGGAGGTTGCAGTGAGCTGAGATCGCACCACTGCACTCCAGCCCGGGTGACAGAGCGAGACTGCGTCTCAAAAAAAATAATGAAAATAAATAAAAGAGGTGCTTCCGCATGCGTCCTCATCATCTCTGTTGCTGGGTTTATTTGAAATTTTTAAAGAGGGGGTACCGACAGCGGGAGCCTCCTCACCTTCGCGGCCTCCCTGGAACTTTACCCGGATCGTCTTGTCGATGTACTTGGACAAGTCCAAGATGCTCTCCTTTTTCTTCTTCTCCTTATCCTGCGGGGAAAGCAGAGCGCATGAGACCTGGAGCGCGGCCCGAGCTCCACGCCCCCCGGCTCCAGATTCCGCCGCGCGCTCACCGCCATCTTGTCGCGCCGTGTGGCTCTTCGCAGGCACCGCCCCGCGCCCTTTGACCTCCCCCACGCGCATGCGCGGCGCATGCGTGGCCCGGGGTCTCGGGGCGTTGCTGGGAAACATCTGCCGTTGGTTGCGGCGGGCACCGGCCGACATGGCGGCAGCGGTGGCGGCTGCGCTGGCGCGGCTTTTGGCGGCCTTTCTGCTCCTCGCGGCCCAGGTGAGCGCGGCACCGGTCCCGACGGCACCGCGGGCTGCGGCCCTTCGGCCTCTCTGTCCCCGGGCTACGCGCAGGAACGACCCCGCTCGGCCCGTCTTGGGGGTCCAGCCTCGGGGATCCGCCGTCCCCGCGTTGTCGGCCGGCGGTGCCGGGGCTCGGCCGTGACCTTGCGGGTCTGTCCCCGGCTCCTCTCCTTTCCCCGCCTCGGAGGCCCTCCGCCGCTGCAGCGCCACTCACTTCCCACCGGGTCTGAAATTTGTGCCCCCTCCATCCTCCGGTTCTGCTTCTCCGTTTCGGGGTCTCCAGTTGCCGCCGGGGACGCCTCTCTCCGGCTCTGTGGCCTTGAGCAGGCGGCTGCCCACCCCTCTCCGAGCCTCAGTTTCCCCTTAGGCGGAACGGGCACGGTGCTAAGCTAACCTCACCCTAGGGGGTGCGGTGGGGGAACCCAGAGGCGTCCCGCGCGTCCCCCAGTAACTGGCAGCATCCTGGAGCGGCCAGGAGTCCAGCCCTGCACTGGGGTCGGATCCCCGCTCCATCTTTTACTCCGTGACCTTGGACGATGGAATTCGTGTGCAGAAGGAGGACCGACTATGGTGTGGATTCTGGAGGTTCTGTCCAGGGTGACCAGCGCCCAGGGCCAACAGGCCTTCATTATGTTCATTGTGTGTCATTTGATGTAAAGAGTGTCAGGTTCTAGTGGGGACAGTCTACGAGATCGCACTGTCATAACTGCATCTTTTATTTTCTTAATTCCAAATCTTCCCTCTCTCCTGAGTTCGGTGGCTCAGGCAATGGAACCTGGAGCAGCCCCACAAATGCAGCCCTTAACCTTCACTACCCCCTCAGAGTTCTCACTCTTAAGGCGTCGCCGCCACCTGGCTCCTCAGTCTCCACTCCTCCAGCCCCACCGCTATCCCTCTGCTGTGGCTGCCTTTGTCCACCACATCCCCAGTCCATCCTCGACACAGCAGGGGTGACCCTTTCAAAGTATGTCAGACCGTGTCGCATCCAGATGAGTGCGCCGTCCAGTTGTGACCTGGCTGCTGGGGAAGCCTGCAGCTCATTGCAGTCGCTTCACTCTCTAGTCTTTTCTCTTACCCTGAGATGCCCCTGGTCTCTGCAAGGCTGTCGGGCCCCCTCGGAAGCTTTCTGAGAACCCCAGTCCTACCCCCAGCTGCTCTGTCAGCCCCCTTTGGACTCCCCCCATTCTGCAGCCAGGCACCTAGAGCTCCCCAGACATTTGGAAGGAGGGGGAAAGCCAGAGGTGGAAGAAAGATCACAGAACTCTGTGGAGAGAGGGACTCAGTTTGCCTGGGAAGGCTTTTCCGAAGCAGATCTATTTTTTTTTTTTGAGACGGAGTCTCGCTCTGTCGCCCAGGCTGGAGTGCAGTGGCATGATCTAGGCTCACTGCAACCTCTGCCTCCCGGTTCAAGCAATTCTCCCACCTCAGCCTCCCGAATAGCTGGGATTACAGGTGCATGCCACCACTCCTGGCTAAATTTTTTTTTTTTTTTTTTTAGTAGAGACGAGGTTTCACCATGTTGGTCAGGCTGGTCTCGAACTTCAGACCTCAGGTGATCCACCTGCTTCGGCCACCCAAAGTGCTGGGATGACAGGCGTGAGCCACCGTGCCCGGCCCCGAGGCAGGTGTTCTGAATGATGAGTAGGAGTTTGCCGGGTCGGCAGGAGGGGAAGGGTGTTGGAAGCACCAGAAGCAGCATAAGCGGGGGCTGGGAGGTGTGAGAGCTGGCAGGTTATTTGGGGTTGGCAAGGGGTGGGCTGTGGCTGGAGTGTAGGGTGGAATAATGCTGGAAGGAAGGGTTTACACCCTGAAAGATGTCACCACCAAGGAGGCCCGGGGGGTGGGCCGTGGAGGGTTGCTGGAGCAGGGGCACAGAGGAGGGGGCAGTGGTGCGAGTGGCCCCAGGCAGAGAGTGAAGGCAGAGCATTCAGCCTCCTAGTCTGGATGACAGGTTGTCTGGTGGAAGCCAGGCCGTGGAAGGCGCTTGGTGCTGGGGTGCGTGGACTTTAACCTGGGCGGGCTGAGGAGTGTGAGCTTTATCCGGAGGGTGGGGAGTCAAAGGATGTGTCAGAGGGACGTGAGAGAGCAGGTGTTCCTGCCCCTTCCAGAACCCTGGTTGTAAATACACCCTGAGACGCCTGTCCCTGGAGGGGGGCAGTGCTTCGCGGCAGTGGAAATTTGAGTCCGATTGCCCAAGAATGAGACTTGCTCTCAGGGCAGGAGCCTGGTTGGTGACAGTCCTCAACTCGCTTGCTTGCTACCATTCTGTGACCCTGAGCAAGGAAGTCGACCTCCCCAGTGAGACACCTCCCTTCCCCCACCCCACGGAGCCCGCTCCTCAGCAGATCTGAGCTGGAGCTGGTGGCCCTGGCTGGACCCGGCCCGGCTCCTGGAACTCCTCAGTCTTCCCAGAAGGGAGGCTCTCCCCGCCTGGACTCACTGGCCTGTTTCAAAGGCCCTTGATGTGGATGCTTTCACAGTCACTTGGAAGCGGGGTTTCTAAGCCTAGTAGTTTCTGAACCTGTGTGCGGTTGCAAAGCGTTTGTGCTGCAATTGTGAAGGATTTGGAGGTCGAGGCTTGGGCTTTGAGCCTGTCCTTGTAGCCTGAGCTTTTTCTGCTCCTCCAAATTTCGGTGGGCCTGTCTAGAACTCAGGGCCCTCTTAGAGCTGTGGCCTTTGGAAGAATTGTTCCCCGTTCCTTTAACTCAGCAGGTGAGGAAACTCTTCCCGGTGAGATGCCGCGTTCTCTGGCCTTTGATAGAGGCACAGGCTTGTTTTTTTAATGGAAAACCAGTTTTGCGAATTGTGGAGAGGAAAATGCATGAATGTGCTTTTGTGCTTTTAAATGACCCTTTTAGAGAGAAGCAGAGAAGCAGTTCTATCAGTTCCCATTTTACACAAAAGACACTTTTCACCAGAGTCCCTGATCCCATAGAACAGAGCTTGGCAAGTGTTTTCTGGGAAGGGCTAGACAGTAGTTTTGCTGGGCTCTGTGGCCCACGTGGCCTCTGGTTTGGTTGCTTGGTTTCTCCTGTTGTTCTTCCAGAGCCGGAGACCCTTCCTTAGGAATGGGCTTGGCTGTGTTCCAATAAAACTTTATTTACAAACACAGAAGGTGGGCCGGACTGTGGATTCTTGGCCTCTGCCGTGACCCATAACATCCCTCCTGGAGGAGGGGTTCTGGGGGGCTGTGTTGGAAGGGGCACCCTCCGGGCTCGGCACCGGGGCCAGACTAAGGGGTGCTCTCACGGGCAGGCAGTCTGGTGGGCAGAACTGGAAAGAAAGGGCTCCTGACTCTGCCTGGGCTCTGGGGGAGGTCACATGGGAGGTGCTTGGAGTGGGGCTGGGGCAGCTGTGGGAAGGAAGCAGCATTAGCCAAGAGCTATGAGACCCCCAGTCGATTGTGGGGACCGGGGCTCCGTGGGCTTTCACCATGCTGCCACCCCGAGGTCACCAGGGCCTTGACCCAGATGCTCCCAGACCAGGCCGGAGACTTTGCATGATTTCAGTGATGAGGGCCCGGCTGTTGGAGAGCCCGTCTGTGCCTGTGTGCTGGGGTTGGTGTCTGGCACCAGGGACCTTTGGGACCTTTAGCCAAGCCAGAGCTGTCCTTCCCCAGTCCTAGCTTGGCAGAGCTGCGTCTGCACTGTTTTCCCTTGTGGCGTTGTGGTGTCGGCCCGTTTGGTGCGCAGCTCAGCATCCGTTCAGACATGTGGCTGCCATCCTGTTCCTGATGAGGCAAATGGCTGTGGCCTGTTTGTTTCCGTGACAGGTCCCCTGGGGACCAGGGGGTGCGGCTGTCTCTCTGTCTGGGAGGTTTACAGCCTGGCAGGAGCCCTGCAGCCCCAGAAGGCTGAGGGCTGGGTGCTCCTGAGAACGGGCAGGCCTAGGGCATGGGGTGGGTCTCCTTGGTCCCTGGCACGTGGTTTTTCTTCTGGGACCCCTCCTCCCTGTGCAGGCCGGGCTCCCCTGGGGGCCCACACTGAGGGTCTGCAGTGTGGCACAGCAGCTGGGACCTGGGCCCCATCGCTGTGAGACCCTCTGGTGACTGGCATCCTGGCGAGATGGAGATGTCTTTGTCAGCTGCTGGGTGGGGGCCCTGGGCAGGGGAGCAGAAGGAAGGTGGGGATGGCAGGTGCGGGCGGCTGGACTGGGCTCTGCTGGGAGGGGGAGCAGGAGGAGGGTGGGGATGGCAGGTGCGGGCGGCTGGACTGGGCTCTGCTGGGAGGGGGAGCAGGAGGAGGGTGGGGATGGCAGGTGTGGGCGGCTGGACTAGACTCTGCTGGGAGGGGAGCAGGAGGAGGGTGGGGATGGCAGGTGCAGGCGGCTGGACTGGGCTCTGCTGGGAGGGGGAGCAGGAGGAGGGTGGGGATGGCAGGTGCGGGCGGCTGGACTAGACTCTGCTGGGAGGGGAGCAGGAGGAGGGTGGGGATGGCAGGTGCGGGCAGCTGGACTGGGCTCTGCTGGGAGGGGAGCAGGAGGAGGTGGGGACGGCAGGTGCGGGAGGCTGGACTGGGCTTTGCGGGAGCAGGAGGAAGGTGGGGATGGCAGGTGCGGGCGGCTGGACTGGGCTCTGCTGGGAGGACCGTGGTTCTGCCTAGGCCAGAGCCCTGCAGTGTCCGCCGTGGTCCCTGCGGTGGGAGGCGTGGTGAGCAGTGCCAGCTTCCTGCTTGTGGAATCCGTCTTTCCTCATAGCTCCATCCTGCTCTGTTAAGCATTAAATTGAAGAGGTGGGGGTCGTCCCTTCTGGTCCAGGCCCGTCTACTCCGCAGCCCTCCTGGGAGGCGTCCAGGGCTTTGGGGCCTGGTCCTGCCCCCTACTTCATTTTGAGAGCGTGGCAAGGGCCCCAGCCCGTTCTGTCCTGGGCGCGGTGGCCACCACCCCTGCTTCTCTTGGCTGGCTTTGGCCTGTTGTCCCCGTTGTGTGTCAGGGGCTCCTGCCCGTGGATCCGGGCCTTCTCCCTGTGGCCTTCTCTGAGCTGCTGCTGCTGCAGGCTGGAGAGCAGGAACTTGAAGCCCTGGCTGGCTGTTCCTTCTCCCTCCTGCGAAGTGGGAGCTGCTGTGCTGGACTCTGCTGCTTTGGGGCTTCATGGGGAACATGACGCTGTCTGTCCTGCTGGTGGCAGCGTGACCTGTTGCAAACCTCAGCCTGTCCCACTCAGGACCCGGTGCCCGTAGGCCCCTTGGCCCACCTGCTTCCTGCTGTTCTACCAGTGGGAGCTGAGGGGTGCTGATCTGGGGATCCCCCTCGTCTGGGCCCCACCGTGTGCCTGGGCCCCCGTGTGCCTTGGAGCACCAGCCAACAAGCAGTGCCCACGGGGCTGTGGGTCAAAGGCCACCCAGACCTGAGGGGTGCAGAGGCTTGCTTGTCCAGGCCTCCCGCCCAGGCTGGGGGCCAGGTCCGCTGGGGCCCTGCCCTGCTTCCCTGCTCAGGGCTCTGCCCGTGGCTCTGCCCGTGGCTGTCATTCTCCCACCGTGCCCACTGATCCTGGGAGGCCCAGGAGGTGGTGCGATCCCTGTTTTTTGGTGCAGAAACTCGGGAGCCACAAAGGGGTGACCTGACACACTCATGGTCACCAGCCTGGGGCTCCCTGAGGAAGGTGAGCCAGTCTGGGTCTTTGCTGTAAACCACGTATGGTCACGTCCCTGTCTGTCCTGTCGAGAGGGGGAAGCATCCCAGACCACCTGGTGAACATGGGCGCCCTTCCTGGAGGCGTCCTCCCCTCCTCGGGCCTGTTTCTCGTGGGGCGGTGCAGCCCCGCACGTCCCGTGCTGTGGCTCTGACTGCTGGCCTTGTCCTGCAGGTGGCCTGTGAGTACGGCATGGTGCACGTGGTCTCCCAGGCCGGGGGCCCCGAAGGCAAAGACTACTGCATCCTCTACAACCCGCAGTGGGCCCATCTTCCGCACGACCTCAGCAAGGCAGTGAGTACCCGCTGGCCGGGCGCCGCTGCGGAGGAGAATGCGGGGGCCCCGGGGCTCTAGAGACACATCCGGCTGGGGTTGCAGGAAAGATCCAGAGGCGAGAGGCAGGCCCTGACCAGGTCTGGGGGACTCTTAGCTGGCCCCCAGTTCCCCTGGGCCTCCCCAACCCTGGTCATCAATGCAAGCTGTCCATGCGGCCTTGGGGTGCAGATCCAGAGGCACCGGCCGAGCTCCATGTGGTAGATAAGGGTCTCTACTGCTCCATGCCGGGGACCCTATCCAGTGGGCCCAGACAGAGGGGTCCTCAGAGGAGTAACAGCAGAGGGCACAGTGGGGCCCCAGGGACGAGACCTGTTCCTTTCACCGTCTTCCTGACTGGGGCACTAACACCTGCTGCTGGATGAGTCCCTCCCTCAGAGGCCCCACCTCCTTTCCCACTTAGTCCTCATGCCCCGCCTCCTTTCCCACCGCATCCCTCAGGCCCCGCCTCCTTTCCACTGCATCCTTCAGGCCCCGCCTCCTTTCCCACTGCATCCTTCAGGCCCCGCCTCCTTTCCCACTGCATCCTTCAGGCCCCGCCTCCTTTCCCACTGCATCCTTCAGGCCCCGCCTCATTTCCCACTGCATCCTTCAGGCCCCGCCTCCTTTCTCACTGCATCCTTCAGGCCCCGCCTTCTTTCCCACTGCATGCTTCAGGCCCCGCCTCCTTTCCCACTGCATGCTTCAGGCCCCGCCTCCTTTCTCATTGCATCCTTCAGGCCCCGCCTCCTTTCCCACTGCATCCCTCAGGCCCCGCCTCCTTTCTCACTTCATCCCTCAGGCCCTGCCTCCTTTTCCACTGCATCCCTCTGGCCCCGCCTCCTTTCCCACCACACCCCTCTGTCCCTGCCTCCTTTCCCACTGCATCCTTCAGGCCCCGCCTCCTTTCCCACCCCATCCCTCAGGCCCTGCCTCCTTTCCCACCGTATCCCTCAGGCCCTCTCTCCTTTCCCACCGCATCCCTCAGGCCCCGCCTCCTTTCCCACTGAGTCCCTCAGGCCCCGCCTCCTTTCCCACTGTGTCCCGCCCCCTCCTGGAGCCCTCGAGGTGTGCCGGCGAAGAGGCACTAGCATCTTCCTGTCAGCTTTATGCATAGTGTGTGCGTGTGAGCACGTGTGTAATCAGTATGTGCCTGGACATGCTCATGTGTCTGCATGTTTATGTGAGTTTGCATCAGTGTATGTGTGCATGTGCCTGAGTGTTTTTTTGTGTGTGAACACATAGGTGTGTGTCAACACATGTAATAGGTATGTGAACACATGTAATAGGTATGTGTGAAGACATGTGCCTGAGTGCATATTTCTGAGTTTGTGTGTGTGAGCACATGTGTACTAGATATGTGCATGGACATGTGTGCCTTAGTGCGTGTTTGTGTGTCAGCACACCTGTGTGTGTGAGCATGTGTGTAATAGGTGTGTGGGGGCATGTGCATGGGTCTGAATGTGTATGTCTGTTTTTATGTGCACATGTGCCTGTGAGTGTGCATGCAATAGTTTTGTGTATGGATGTGTGAGTGCATGTGTGTCTGTATGTGTGCAGGTGTGTGTAAGCATGTAGCTACATAATAGTTATGTTTGTGGATGTGTGCATGTGTCTGCACATGTGTGCGTGTGTACATGTGTAATAGGTCTGTGTGTATGTGTGTGTACATGTGGATAATAGGTTTGTGTGTGGATGTGTATGTGCCTGTGTGTTTGGGTTCGTGTGTGTGCATGAGTGTGTGTGAGTGCATGTGTAATAGGTATGTGCGTGTGAGTGTGTGAGTTCATGTGGCGTGTGTGTATGCATGTGTGTGTAATAGGTGTGTGTGCGTGAGCTTGAGTGCACAGGTATGTGCTTGTATATGCACACGTGTGCTGTGTGCTCTGGCCTGGCTGTGTGTGCGTGTGTGTGTGCATGTGTGTAATAGGCATGTGTCTGCTTGAGTGTGAGTGTGCATGTGTGTGCTTGCGTGTGCATATGTGTGCCATGTGGTCCGGCCTGGCTGTGTATGTGTGCACGTGTGTGTGCATGCACTCCAGCCTGGCTGTGGGTGTGTGTGTGTGTGCGCGCTGGCCTGGCTGCGGCTATGTGCGTGTGTGTGTGTGTGCACTCCAGCCTGGCTGTGGGTGTGTGCGTGTGCACTGGTCTGGCTGTGGGTGTGTGTGTGTGTGTGCATGTATGCATGTGTGTGCCGTGTGCTCCAGCCTGGCTGTGGACGTGTGCTTGTGTGTGCGCGTGTTCCGGCCTGGCTGTGGGTGTGTGTGTGCGTGTGCGTGTGTGTGTGCGTGTGTGTCTTGGCTTCAGGGGCTGTGAGGCCCCTGAGAGTTGGGGCTTTGTTCTCTGCACACTGGAAACCCTCCCCCTTCTCACAGATGCCTGGCCGTGGTGGGGCTGCGGTGGGGACCCACTTGGTCTTGCTGAGTGATCTGTGACGGCTCGCGGGGTGGCTCAGGTATCAGGGGACAGCCATGTCTGTGAGGACTCCGGCCCCGCTCAGATGAGGCAGCCCAGCCCGTCGCCCAGGGTCCGGCTGTGGGAGCTGCAGTAGGGATGGCTCTGCCTAGGTGGGCCGAGGCCGTGCGGGGCTTTAGGTGAGGGCTGGGATCTAACTCAGCGCAGGCTTCAGGTGGGAGAACGGGCAGCTGGGCCCTCCTGGTGACTCACATCACGTGAGACAACACTGTGCCCTGGCCTTTCCAGTCTTTCCTGCAGCTGCGCAACTGGACGGCCTCCCTGCTCTGCTCCGCAGCCGACCTCCCCGCCCGTGGCTTCAGCAACCAGATCCCGCTGGTGGCGCGGGGGAACTGCACCTTCTATGAGAAAGTGAGGCTGGCCCAGGGCAGCGGAGCACGCGGGCTGCTCATCGTCAGCAGGGAGAGGCTGGTACGGCCCTGTGCGTCCCCCGCTGGGCCAGCTCTCAGGGGCAGGAGGGGGGTGCAGGAGGCAGAGATGGCAGCAGCTGGGGCTGGTCTTCCGACTTCTCGCTAAAGGCAGATCCATCTGTGGGGAGGATCTGGGCCGAGTGTGAACATGGGGAGGATCCGGGCCGAGTGTGGCCGTGGGGAGGGCGGAGATGAGTCTGTTCTTCCTGAGCTGCTGGCTGGGGCTGTGGAACTTTGGCCGTGGTCTTGTTGGGTGCCTGTCCTAGAGCAGCCCCCAGGGGTGACGGAGACCACACTCTCTGTGGGGATGGGATTGGGGTGGCTTCTGAGGAGCAGGTGGCCTGGCCCTGAGCTGGTCCTTTCTGGGTACCCTGGTGCCCTTGCCCTCTAGCCGGTGGGGCCGTGCTCGCCTGTGGTCCTAGCCAGGTGGCCTGAAGCCTGGCCCCTTTTCCATCTTCTGTGAAATGGGGCTGTGGTTGAGAGCTGGGGGCCTGGCAGGGCTGGTCACAGCACAGGGACATGCCGACTGCTGGGCTGGGCAGGGTGCGTGGCCGCCCCTGAAGTGTAGTTTTGGAGTAAGAAGGAATGGAGTTCAGGAATTCCCTCACAGCTCTGCCTGTGGCTCTGGGCTGCCCCCGCCAGTGTTGCACCCTGAGCCTGGCAATCCACGGAGGCCTGGTGCAGGGGCTCAGGGCCGAGGGCAGAGCAGGCCGGGCAGAGCCGAGAGTGCCATCCCTGTCCGCACACGCTGCCGTCGTAGTTGAGAGAGGCCCTCAGTGGGTGCGGGGCTCAAGGCGGCTTAGTGGGCAGGCATGGGCTGTGACAAGTATCACTCAGGACTTGTATGTGCGGTTCGGGAGTCCCACGGCCGAGGGAGGGATTAGTGGCGCTTTTAGGCCTGGGGCCCTGTTGTCAGGTGAAGAAGGCTTGATGCCCTTCGGCCTCCCTGTTCTTGGGTCCTCCTGGGGGGCCGGAGGCTGTCAGCTGCAGAGGGGGAGCCAGCAGGCGCCCCCAGCCTGACCCGAGCCTCGAGTGAGGGTCCCAGGAGAGGAGGCGAATGGGCACAGAGCTGGGGGCCCACCCACTGCTGCGGGTGATGCCTGCCGCTCCCTCCTCTGGGCCCCCAGGTCCCCCCGGGGGGTAATAAGACGCAGTATGATGAGATTGGCATTCCCGTGGCCCTGCTCAGCTACAAAGACATGCTGGACATCTTCACGGTAGGTCTGCGCCGGCTCAGACCCACGCTCCCGAGGAGATGGGGCAGGGGGCTTCGGGCTGGCTGCCGGGGGGGTTTGTGCCTCAGTTGGTGGGATCAGGGTGGTGGGTGAGGCGTGGCCCCTGCAGGCCAGGGTCTCCAGCCCCAGCCCCACAGCCCACAGCTGCACGTCGACCCATGGCTGGCGGGTGGCTCTGACGCCTGCCTCCGGTGTGTTCCTTGAGGCAGCGTTTCGGCCGCACGGTGAGGGCGGCGCTGTATGCGCCTAAGGAGCCGGTGCTGGACTACAACATGGTCATCATCTTCATCATGGCTGTGGGCACCGTCGCCATCGGCGGCTACTGGGCCGGGAGTCGGGACGTGAAGAAGTGAGTTTCGCATCGTGCGTGTGCTGTGACGGGGTCGGGCGGCTCTGACACGGGCCGGGACGGCCAGTCTTCCAGAACAGCAGTGAGTGCTTTGGCCTCGGCAGGCACGGCTCGCCCCGTGGAGCCCTTCGTTTCTTCCTCAGGAGGTCCTGGGACAGAATCAGTCTCTTTTCCTGCCAGGGTGGGCTCCGGGCACCTGGTGGGTGTGTAGGGCTGGGCAGGTGTGGATGTGGCAGGTACGGGCGTGGCAGGTGCAGGGCTGGGCAGGTGGCTGGGGCCAGCTACCCTCTTCCTGCTGAGCCGCCTGGGTCTGGGGAGGCCCCATGTCCAGGGCTCTTTATGCAGATCCAAGCTGCGGTTGCTGCCCACACGCCAGCCTCTGGCCCGGCCTAGTGGCCACCCCAGCTCAACCCAGGGACGCGGGCCCTGCCACCCTCTGCTGTGTGGTCTCCTCTGCCCTGGGGACGTTCGGGGCGGTTCCTTGCACTTCAGTCCCCCCCGGGTCCCCTCCTGCTCCCGGGTTTTCTGCCCCGTTCCCCCGGGTGGCTGTGGGCTCCCGAGCCCCGTGTCGGCCAGCCGGCCCCAGGGCCCCACGACCCCATGGTGTCTCCCAAGAAGGTACATGAAGCACAAGCGCGACGATGGGCCCGAGAAGCAGGAGGACGAGGCGGTGGACGTGACGCCGGTGATGACCTGCGTGTTTGTGGTGATGTGCTGCTCCATGCTGGTGCTGCTCTACTATTTCTACGATCTCCTCGGTGCGCGGCCCCGGGCGGGTGGGCCGCGGCGTGGAGATGCAGCCCGCCCCGTGCGGAGGGAGGGTGGCGTGCGGGCCTGGCCCCCGGCCTCACGGCCCTGCCCCTGCAGTGTACGTGGTCATCGGGATCTTCTGCCTGGCCTCCGCCACCGGCCTCTACAGCTGCCTGGCGCCCTGTGTGCGGCGGCTGCCCTTCGGCAAGTGCAGGTGAGTCTGCCCTGCTGGCCCCGACGTGCCTGACTCTGTGCGGTGATGGCCACGGCCCCTTTGCCGCCCCATAGCCCCCCATGGTGCAATATTGCTCAGAGTCTACAGCAGGCGCTCCCTCAGTGCTGGCCTGGGGCTCCTAGGCCCAGGAGCAGGGCGGAGTCTGGGCGAGCTATCAATGGAGCCCACCAGCAGCCAGGCGCCAGGGGTGGCGGGGGGAGGGTGCCCTTGTCCCCAGGAACCCTGCCCCAGGTCGCAGGCCGAACCCTGGGTTCCCCAGGGTTCTCCGGGGAACCCAGAAGGTTCCCCACAGCCCAGAGCTTGGCCTGGCTCTTAGGGGTAAAGGGAGCTGCTGGGGGGTCTCCAACAAAGTCAGACCTGGGTCTAGGAAGCGGGGCTAGCCCAGGGGGAGACCTTTTTGTGTTGCCGTCCCTGGGTGAGGAGGTGGGAGGTCTGGAGCAGGCAGGGCCTCGGGCGAAGGGGCGCAGCGCAGGCGAGGGGCTCTGTGGGTACAGCCCGTGGCCCCCAGCGCCTGCCCGGGTCGGGCTCTGCCCTGCCCTTGGGGTGCCTACTGTTGTCATCGTGTGGGATGTGGAGTTTAATGAGGACAACAGAGTGGGGGCTGCCACTCTGCAGGGGGTGCCTGGGCCGGTCCCAAGGGTGGTGGGCAGTGGGATGAGGCCGGGAGCTGGTGGGCTTGGCTCTGACTGCCCCGTGCCCCCCAGGATCCCCAACAACAGCCTGCCCTACTTCCACAAGCGCCCGCAGGCCCGTATGCTGCTCCTGGCGCTCTTCTGCGTGGCCGTCAGCGTGGTGTGGGGCGTCTTCCGCAACGAGGACCAGTAAGTGCTGCTTCCCCCGGGCCCCGGCGGGCAGCGGAGTCCTCGGGTGCACCAGGGCTCCTGGGGCCCTGACTCCCTGCCCTCCCTGGAGGCCGCCCCAGCCTGGAGCTGCTTCAGCACCGCGTGATGAAGAGCCCTGGCCCCGGGCTGCTCTGACAGGGCTGCGAGGGCGTTTCACCTGGGGTTTGTCCGGGTGTCATGGGAACCCTGACTGGAATCCGGGAGGAGAGGCCGGAGCCCCTGTGGCCAGGAGCCACGTCCTCCAGCCTGGATGGGACTCCTTTGTGGGGCATCGCTGCCCAGGGCCACAGTCTGTCCCCCGCTGTCCCTTTCCTGGCACCCACGTGCACGCCGCAGGTTCGAGGCCCAGGGTGTGGGCACCAGGGCACCCGGTCCTCTTGGTCATGACTGCTGCGGCTTCTGAGCAGTGGTGGAGGTGGGGCAGGCACTGCTCCCCCCACGCTCACCTCCCACGTGGCCTGGACTTGTGGCTGCCTCCCGCTGGCCGGGCCTCCCCCATGAGGCCGAGTGCCTGGTGCCGTGTTGGGAGGACAGAGCTGGCCCGTCCCCGCCCGGTCCCCACCGCTGTCGCTGATACCATCTGGCACTTCCTCCCAGCCTTCCTGAGGCAGCCAAGTACGCTTGGCTTTGGTGTGTATTGGAGCCACGGCACGTTTAACTGGCAGAAGGAAGATGTGAAAATATTTTGAATCCTTTGTACACAAAGAGAAAATGAATCTTTTCAGTTATTTCCAAGCCAGGAAACTCGCTCCGTCACATGAAGTTAGAGCAGGCCTCAGTCAGCTGGGCGCAGGGGCTCACGCCTGGGATCCCAGCATTTGGTAGGCCAAGGCAGGACGATCACTTTGCCCAGGAGTTCAAGACCAGCCTGGGCAACAAGCGAGACGCCCTATTTAAGAAATAATATAAAATCAGAAAAAATAACTGGCCGCAGTTCTCTGGGTGCTTGAAGTACGTGGCGCCTGGAATTGGCTGTACCAGCGTCTCCCATGGAGGCCTCTGCTGTTAGCAGCCGCCCCGCCCTGGAGATGTTTTTATCCCATTTTCAAATGAAGCCTTTGATGTTTGAGACGCTGAGGAACGCTGGGGAACTCGTCCAGCAAGTGACAGGCAGAGCCTGCATTGGGGGCAGGGGCCAGCGGGGAGGGGACTCTGGGGCTTCGTGGGGCCAGGAGAGAGCCGAAGTTGCGGCTGGCTGCAGGGGCCGTGGCCTTGTGCAGGAGGCAGTTCTGTGCTTTGCCCCAGGGCACCAACCGCATGGCAGCCCCACCCACTGTGGACCCAGAGGTTCTTTGAGGAAACCTGGTGTGGCACAAGTTTTAATTTAATAAACAGTTTGGGCACGGGGGCTCATGCCTGTAATCCCAGCACTTTGGGAGGTGAGGCGGGCAGATCACTTGAGGTCAGGAGTTTGAGACCAGCCTGGCCAACATGACAAAACCCCATCTCTACTAAAAATACAAAAAAATTTGCCTGGCATTGTGGTGTGTGCCTGTAATCCCAGCTACTTGGGAGGCTGAGGCAGGAGAATTGCTTGAACCTGGGAGGTGGAGGTTGCAGCGAGTCAAGATCGTGCCACCAAACTCCAGCCTGGGTGACAGAGTGAGACTCCATCTCAAAAACAAAATAAAAACAGTTTGGAGGGGTCAGTGCCCAAGCCCTCCTGCGCACGCACCCTCTGCCTGGCCCCTGCCTACAGCCTGTGACCCCTGCCTACAGCGTGACGCCCACCATCCGGGGACAGTGACTGAGGGGACGCAGCCGGCCAGGCCCGTGTCCACCATCCTGGCCCCACCATCCGGGGACAGCGACTGAGGGGACGCAGCCGGCCAGGCCCGTGTCCACCGTCCTGGCCCCACCATCTGGGGACAGCGACCGAGGAGACGCAGCCGGCCAGGCCTGTGTCCACTGTCCTGGCTGCCGAGTGGTGGGCTCCTCTACCTGCTTCCGCAGGGTGGGCCCTGGGGTGGGGCCTGTGCCGCCAGCCCTGCTGGAGTTGTAACAGCAGGGGTCCTCCCACAGGTCTGGGGTCCTCAGAGTCATCCCCTGGGCAGGTGGAAGGGCAGTGGGGCTGCGTGCTGGCTGAGAGCAAGGGCCCTGTGTGGCTCGTGGGAGGCGGCGTCCTGGGTGGTCAGCCAGCCTCTGCCCCGGCGAGGATGCTGCTTTGTCTTGCAGGTGGGCCTGGGTCCTCCAGGATGCCCTGGGCATCGCCTTCTGCCTCTACATGCTGAAGACCATCCGTCTGCCCACCTTCAAGGTGAGTGCAGGGAGGGCACGGCTGCGGGGCAGCATGGGTAGTGGGGGCCCTTCATCCTAGCCTGGCCCGTGTGGGGCTGTGGTCCTTGCAGGTCTGTGCTCCTGCTCACTGCCCTGGGGATGGCCGCCTAGGCCTGTTGTGAAGGGTGGGGCTTGAAGATTGGGTCCCAAAGCCCCCGCTGAGGCGGCCTGGGTGGGTGGCTGCGGGGCGGTTCCCGGCAGGGGCAACTCATGTCTAGATGAGGTGGTGGTGAGAGTGGTTGAATAGGGCTGGAGGAACTGGCCTCAGGTGGTACCGGGAGTGCGGGGATGTTGTCAAGCCCCAGGCGGCTGCACTCCCGTGAGGGCCCCACAGCACCCCAAGCAAGCGGCATTTGAATGCCCAGGATGGCCCTCTGTATCCCCAGAGCCGGCCCTGCGTGGCACAGGCCTCCGCCCTCCCGTCCCCGCCTTCCTGTTACGTGGAGACTCTAAAAGCCTGACTTTTGCCCGTAAATCCCTACCTGATGTTGCTTCCAAAGCTCCTCCTGCGTGGTGCGTCCCTGGCACTGGGCACGCTCTGCTCAGGTTCCTTTAAAGGCTGCCTCCCAGGAGGAGGCGCTGGGCCTCATGAGATGGGAGTGGGGGAGGCACGGGCCGGGGTGGGGGCCGCCCTCAGCCGTGGGCTTCGCAGGCCTGCACGCTGCTGCTGCTGGTGCTGTTCCTCTACGACATCTTCTTCGTGTTCATCACGCCCTTCCTGACCAAGGTAGGCGACTGCCTGTCCCTGCTCCACCCCATCACCCCGCTCCCCCGCCCCCTCGCAACCCCCGCCCCATCACCCCCCCCATCACCCCGCCCCCTCGTCCCGCCCCCTCGTCCCCCTCCACCCCACACCGTGCTCCCCTGCCCCCCACCCCATCACCCCGCTCACCTCCACCCCATCACCCTGCTCCCCTGCCCCATCACCCCCCATCACCCTGCCCCTTGCACCCCCCCATCGCATCACCCTGCCCCCTCGCCCCATCACCCCACTCCCCTGCCCCCCCACCCCATCACCACGCTCCCTCACTCAACCCCATTCTGTGCAGAGTGGGAGCAGCATCATGGTGGAGGTGGCCACTGGGCCCTCGGACTCAGCCACCCGTGAGAAGGTGTGTCTTCTGACTGCAGGGTCTCAGGTTGCCATGGGTCAAGGTGTTGCGCGGAGCGGATAGGGCTCGAGGCATCCCGCGGCCGGGTGAGGGTCCTGGAGGACATTGTCCTCTTCCCGTCTTTGCAGCTGCCCATGGTCCTGAAGGTGCCCAGGCTGAACTCCTCACCTCTGGCCCTGTGTGACCGGCCCTTCTCCCTCCTGGGTTTCGGAGACATTTTGGTGCCAGGTACTGAGGCGGGTGGAGCACACGGGTCCACGCTGTGGGGCAGGGCCCCGGGCGGCTGAGGTTTGCCTTTGGGAGTGAGTGGCCCGCACACCGTCGGCTGGAGATAAAGCCCTGAGGGTCAGAGTCGGGCAGGTTGGGGCCGTTGAGGCCTGGGTGCCTGGGCAGCGAGGGCATTGCCTGGGTGGGGTAGGGACCCCCTTTGTTCCTAGGGAGCGGGGAAGGCCCCCCGATTGCAGACAGCCTCACCCCATCCTGCTCGGGGTTGTGCAGGGGTCCTTGCTGGGGCCTGGATCCCGGGTCCCAGTGAGCTCATGTTGCTGCAGAAGGCAGAGACTGTACCCTCGCAGCCTCAGTGTCCCCAGGGTCCTGCCAGGTGTGTCTGCCTGGACTTTGTTCTCACTGTGGTCTCAGTTTACCCACTGAGAGTCATGGCAGCCCTGTCCCGAGCGAGCGTGTGGCCTGTCTGTGAAATGACAGCAGCCACCAGGCAGCGAGAGGCCCACGGCGCCCACAGGTGCTCAGGTGCCCGCCCGCTCCCAGGAAGCCCCTGCTCTGAGGCTCTGCGGGCCCGAGTAAGCCTCCGCCCTGTGCCTCCCCCAGGGCTGCTGGTGGCCTACTGCCACAGGTTTGACATCCAGGTACAGTCCTCCAGGGTATACTTCGTGGCCTGCACCATCGGTAAGTGCCTCGGTTGGGCCCGTGCTGGCCTCTCTGGCTCCAGCCCCACCCCGACTTAGCCTCTGTCCTGACCCTGACCCCTAACCCCAACCCCAACCCTAACCCTAATTCCAACTCTAACACCGTAACCATAACACCCTAACCCTAACCCCCTGGCCACTCCGGGAGCTGGGCTCGGGTGGCTGGGCCTGTGCCTGCATCCCCCTCTTTCTCATTCTCCCCGGGCCTGTGCCTGCAACCCCCTCTTTCTCATTCTTCCTGGGCCTGTGCCTCTGTCCCCATCTTCCTCATTCTTCCTGGGCCCGTGCCTGCATCCCCCTCTTTCTCATTCTCCCCGGGCCTGTGCCTGCAACCCCCTCTTTCTCATTCTTCCTGGGCCTGTGCCTCCGTCCCCGTCTTTCTCATTCTCCCTGGGCCTGTGCCTCCGTCCCCCTCTTTCTCATTCTCCCTGGGCCCGTGCCTCCATCCCCGTCTTTCTCATTCTCCCTGGGTCCGTGCCTCCGTCCCTGTCTTTCTCATTCTCCCTGGGCCTGTGCCTCCGTCCCCGTCTTTCTCATTCTCCTTTGGCCTGTGTCCACATCCTGGTCTTTCTCATTCTCCCTGGGCCTGTGCCTCCGTCCCCGTCTTTCTCATTTTCCCTGGCTTCCATTGTTCTGTTCTTTTCTTTTCCTTTTCTTTCCTGTTTTCCTCTTTTTGTCTTTTTCTTCTTTGCCTTGTCTTCTACTGTTTCTTTTGTTATGAACGTATTTACGCAAAGTGCTGTTATCTGTTGACCCACATTGTTTTGAAAAATGTCCCCCACCGCAGCTGGCCCTAAGGAAAGAAGCTGTGGTGCTTTCTGGTTCCTGGGCACAGGGCCAGGCCAGGCCTCCTCTGCCGAGCCACGCCCCCGACCCTGCCCTCCACGTGGCTCCCTAAACGGCCACTCCCAGGGCCAGGAGAGTTCAGGCCGGCCTGTCCCCTCACACCTGCCTCCTGCAGCTGCAGGTGCCCCTGGCTTTCCCCTCGCCCGATTTTACTGTCTTCATGATTATCCTTTAAAATCACGGCTGAGGCCGGGTACGGGGGCTCATGTCTGTGATCCCAGCTTTCTGGGAGGCTGAAGTGGGAGGATTGCTTGAGTCCAGGAGTTCAAGACCAGCCTGGGCAACATAGTAAGACCCTGTCTCTGCAGAAGAATGCAAAAATTAGCCGGGCATGGTGACATGTGCCTGTAGCCCCAGCTACTCTGCAGGCTGAGGTGGGAGGATCGCTTGAGCCTGGGAGTTCAAGGCTGCAGTGAGCCATGATCGTGCCACCGCACTCCAGCCTAGGCAACAGAGTGAGACCCTGTCTCGAAAAAATAATAATAAAATGAAAGAAAAAATAAAAACACAGCTGCAGAGATTTGTCTCTCCTGAAACATAACTTGTCAAGTTGTCCCTGTAATTCCTGAGACTGAAGCCGCTGAGGCTTTATAGGTGCCAGCCCTCCCTGTTTGTGTCTGTCTGCGTCTGTTGATGATGGCTGATGGACACGTGGATGGCCTAAAATGGACCAATAGGGACGCTCCCCGTGGCATGGCGTCAGAAATACAGAGATGGGTGTTAGAAAAAGTGCCGGGAGCAGTGTGCTTGCTGGACACAGCGGCTCTTTTTTTAAGAGTGTTCTAGCAAATAATTAATTTTCTCAGAGCTTTATTTTGAAATAATTTCAAATGACAGTTGCAGGATCGCTACAGAGAACTCCCGTGTGCCCCGTTCTCAGAGGGACTGGTCATTTCTTCACATTCGCTTGATTCCGTTCTCTCTCCCTCCACACACACTTACGCGCTCTCATTCACCTGATTCCGTTCTCTCTCCACACACACGCGCTCTCATTCGCCTGATTCCGTTCTCTCCCTCCACACACACACTCACGCGCTCTCATTCGCTTGATGCCGTTCTCTCTCCACACACACTCACGCACTCTCATTCGCCTGATTCCGTTCTCCTTCTCTCCACACACACTCACGCGCTCTCATTCGCCTGATTCCGTTCTCTCTCCACACACACACACTCTCATTCGCCTGATTCCGTTCTCTCTCTCCACACACGCGCTCTCATTCGCCTGATTCCGTTCTCTCTCTCCACACACACACACTCTCATTCGCCTGATTCCGTTCTCTCTCCACACACACTCACGCACTCTTATTCGCCTGATTCCGTTCTCTCCCTCCACACACACACTCACGCGCTCTCATTCGCTTGATGCCGTTCTCTCTCCACACACACTCACGCACTCTCATTCGCCTGATTCCGTTCTCTCCCTCCACACACACACTCACGCGCTCTCATTCGCTTGATGCCGTTCTCTCTCCACACACACTCACGCACTCTCATTCGCCTGATTCCGTTCTCCTTCTCTCCACACACACTCACGCGCTCTCATTCGCCTGATTCCGTTCTCTCTCCACACACACACACTCTCATTCGCCTGATTCCGTTCTCTCTCTCCACACACACGCGCTCTCATTCGCCTGATTCCGTTCTCTCTCCACACACACACACTCTCATTCGCCTGATTCCGTTCTCTCTCCACACACACTCACGCACTCTTATTCGCCTGATTCCGTTCTCTCCCTCCACACACACACTCGCGCTCTCATTCGCTTGATGCGGTTCTCTCTCCACACACACACTCACGCGCTCTCATTTGCCTGATTCCGTTCTCTCCCTCCACACACAGACTCACGCGCTCTCATTCGCTTGATTCCATTCTCTCCCTCCACACACACTCATGCGCTGTCATTCGCTTGATTCCGTTCTCTCTCCACACACACTCACGCTCTCATTCGCTTGATTCCGTTCTCTCTCCACACACACTCGCGCTCTCATTCGCTTGATTCCGTTCTCTCTCCACACACACACACTCTCATTCGCCTGATTCCGTTCTCTCTCCACACACACTCACGCACTCTTATTCGCCTGATTCCGTTCTCTCCCTCCACACACACACTCGCGCTCTCATTCGCTTGATGCGGTTCTCTCTCCACACACACACTCACGCGCTCTCATTTGCCTGATTCCGTTCTCTCCCTCCACACACAGACTCACGCGCTCTCATTCGCTTGATTCCATTCTCTCCCTCCACACACACTCATGCGCTGTCATTCGCTTGATTCCGTTCTCTCTCCACACACACTCACGCTCTCATTCGCTTGATTCCGTTCTCTCTCCCTCCACACACACTCACGTTCTCATTCGCGTGATTCCGTTCTCTCTCCACACAGACTCATGCACTCTCATTCGCCTGATTCCATTCTCTCTCTCCACACACACTCACACGCTGTCATTCGCTTGATTCCGTTCTCTCTCCACACACACTCACGCTCTCATTCGCTTGATTCCGTTCTCTCTCCACACACACTCACGCTCTCATTCGCTTGATTCCGTTCTCTCTCTCCACACACACTCACGCGCTCTCATTCGCTTGATTCCGTTCTCTCCCTCCACACACACTCGTGTTCTCATTCGCTTGATTCCATTCTCTCCCTCCACACACACTCACGCGCTGTCATTCGCTTGATTCCATTCTCTCTCTCCACACACACTCACGCGCTCTCATTCGCTTGATTCTGTTCTCTCTCTCCACACACACTCACGCGCTGTCATTCGCTTGATTCCGTTCTCTCTCCACACACACTCACGCTCTCATTCGCTTGATTCCGTTCTCTCTCTCTCCACACACACTCACGCGCTCTCATTCGCTTGATTCCGTTCTCTCCCTCCACACACACTCGCGTTCTCATTCGCTTGATTCCATTCTCTCCCTCCACACACACTCGCGTTCTCATTCGCTTGATTCCATTCTCTCCCTCCACACACACTCACGCGCTGTCATTCGCTTGATTCCGTTCTCTCTCTCCACACACACTCGTGTTCTCATTCGCCTGATTCCGTTCTCTCTCTCCACACACACTCGTGTTCTCATTCGCTTGATTCCGTTCTCTCTCCACACACACGCGCTCTCATTCGCTTGATTCCGTTCTCTCTCTCCACACACACTCGTGTTCTCATTCGCCTGATTCCGTTCTCTCTCTCCACACACACTCGTGTTCTCATTCGCTTGATTCCGTTCTCTCTCTCCACACACACGCGCTCTCATTCGCTTGATTCCGTTCTCTCTCTCCACACACACTCGTGTTCTCATTCGCCTGATTCCGTTCTCTCTCTCCACACACACTCGTGTTCTCATTCGCCTGATTCCGTTCTCTCTCTCCACACACACTCGTGTTCTCATTCGCTTGATTCCGTTCTCTCTCTCCACACACACGCGCTCTCATTCGCTTGATTCCGTTCTCTCTCTCCACACACACTCGTGTTCTCATTCGCCTGATTCCGTTCTCTCTCCACACACACTCGTGTTCTCATTCGCTTGATTCCGTTCTCTCTCTCCACACACATGCGCTCTCATTTGCTTGATTCCGTTCTCTCTCCACACACACTCACGCGCTCTCATTCGCTTGACTCTGTTCTCTCTCTCCACACACACTCACGCTCTCATTCGCTTGATTCCGTTCTCTCTCTCCACACACACTCGCGCCCTCATTCGCTTGATTCCATTCTCTCTCTCCACACACACTCACATGCTCTCATTTGCTTGATTCTGTTCTCTCTCTACACACACTCACGCGCTCTCATTTGCTTGATTCCGTTCTCTCCCTCGACACACACTCGCTCTCATTCGCTTGATTCCGTTCTCTCTCTCCACACACTCACGCGCTCTCATTCGCTTGACTCTGTTCTCTCTCTCCACACACACTCGCGCTCTCATTTGCTTGATTCCGTTCTCTCTCTCCACACACACTCACGCGCTCTCATTCGCTTGATTCCGTTCTCTCTCCACACACACTCGTGCTCTCATTGGCTTGATTCCGTTCTCTCTCCACACACACACTTGCGCTCTTATTCGCTTGATTCCGTTCTCTCTCTCCACACACTCACGCGCTGTCATTCGCTTGACTCCGTTCTCTCTCCACACACACACTCACGTGCTCTCATTCGCTTGATTCCGTTCTCTCTCTCCACACACACTCGCGTTCTCATTCGCTTGATTCCGTTCTCTCTCCACACACACACTCGCGCTCTCATTCGCTTGATTCCGTTCTCTCTCTCCACACACACTCACGCTTTCATTCGCTTGATTCCATTCTCTCTCTCTCCACACACACACTCACGCTCCCCCGTGTACTGCAGTTGGCCCTCACTAGCCATGGGTTCCTGCAGCTGTGGATTTCACTAGCTGTAGGTTGAAAATATTTGGGGAAAAGATTTGTGTTCTTATCTGTACTGAACACATGCAGATTTTTTGGGCCAGTTTTCCCGAAGCAATGCCATGCGACAGCCATTGCCTGCGGCGACATCACGTTTGCGTTTGTAGGAACCTATGGTGATTTATGGTTTGGCAGGACGCGGGTGGGTTCTAGGCAGACACTGCACCAGTTTACGTCAGGGACATGAGCAAGGGGGTCCTGGCAGCCCTCCCCTGCGGGTGCCAAGGGTGGCCATGTGTGCGTTTGTGTATTTACATGCACACGTATGTAAATCACAGGCTGCGTTCTCAGGGGACTGGGGGCACGGCCCCGGTGGGTGGACACCGTGCCCTTTGACCCCAAACATTTCACTGGGTGTCTCCTGAGAACATAGTTTATATGCCCACAGCTCAGTGTTCAAGGGTTTTCTGGTCAGGCACATGTGTCACCTTCGGCTGATTTTCTCAGAGGTTCATAGAAACTGCATCCCAGACACGTCTCGCAGCCCCCTCCGCTATCACGTCTGCCTCCCGCTGTCCTGCAGCTGCCCGGACCCTGCCCCTCCCTGTCCCTCTCCTTGCCCTGGCCCTTCCATGTCCTCGGTGACCCTGGCTCCGGTAGGGTCAGGGTGGGATTGTGGCCCAGGAGGTGCCGGAAGGATCCATGTACTTTGGGGAGCCTGTGGCCCTGCCGGCTGAACCCCCACTGTACCTCTCCCGTCCTCGCACACCCCTGCCCTCCACCAACCCCAGCCCGCTCACGTTCTTCCCAGGGAAATGGGTGGTGGCCCTGGCCTGCCTGGCTGAGGTGATGCCTCCTCTGTCCCCACAGCCTATGGCGTTGGCCTCCTTGTGACATTCGTGGCACTGGCCCTGATGCAGCGTGGCCAGCCCGCTCTCCTCTACCTGGTGCCCTGCACGCTGGTGACGAGCTGCGCTGTGGCGCTCTGGCGCCGGGAGCTGGGCGTGTTCTGGACGGGCAGCGGCTTTGCGGTGAATACCAGTTTGCTCTGACTGTGAGAAATACTCGCCTAGTGAGCCCTAACTAGAGTTAAAGTTGAGTGAGACCTCCAGCCACAGCCAGCCCTGCGGCCGCGACGGGGCTCAGGGTCCTGGTACCTTCTGCTTTGGGTGTCATGCGCGTGAGGCCCCGGTGGAAGGACGTGCGTGCAGCTCCTGTGCCGGGTGGGATGCGGGGGTGCCAGGTGGGGCCCGGGGGTGCCGGGTGGGACGCGGGGGTGCCGGGTGGGGCCCAGGGGTGCCGGGTGGGACGCGGGGGTGCCGGCTGGGACTCGGGGGTGCCATGTCCTTTCTAAAGTTGCTTCTCCCAAATAGTAGTGCCCCACCTGCGTGGGCATCGGGCATCCATCGCCTCTCCTGCCGAGAGCGAGGCGCCTGACTGGGGGTGGGGCCGCAGGGCCCTGGACGAGGGGAGCAGGCCTGCCCTGGCTGTGGAAGCCCTGTCCCCTGTCCCCCTTGGCAAGGCAGGGGGTGGTTGGCAAGGGTTAAACGTGAGATGCAGGGAGGGCTTACGCCACGTCGGTTCTGCTCTTGTGATTTTTTGTGAACAGGAGTGGGTGGGACCCCCCCTTCCAGTGTGCCGCTCAGGTGACTTCCTGGGTTCCCGGGACTCAGGCGCATTGCGCCCGAGAGCTGCCCCCGCCCCTCCGGGCAGCGCCTCTTGGAGTCCATGACCGCCCAGGGAGCAGCCCTGCGCCATAGGGCGATCCTCAGGCTGTTGGGCATGGGTGCAGCTCCTCCCATAGCTGATCTCCCTCTGGGGGAGATGCCGCGCTTCTCAGCGGTGCTGGCCGCGCATGGGGTCCTACGTCATGTTTTTGTGGAGGTTAAACCACACCCGTCCCTGCCGCACTGGTGTGATGCATTGGGTCGAGCTGTGGTTCCAGTGCCGAGCTGGGCTCATGGGTCCCACAGATGGGACCATGGCCTGAGACCAGGCCCCAGGGAGAAGTCTCCTGGGGCCAGCACCCCCACCCCAAAGGTCTCCCCATTCTGATGGGCATTTCAGAAGGTTCAGGAGAAGCCGGGGACCAGGCCCAGGGGCGAGAGACGGTAGTCCAGGCTTTTCTTTGGAGAGGCTTTGCACAGCTCCCAGCCTCTGCTGGCCTCGGATGGCCCTCCCGCGGCACCTGTGCCGATGGACAGGGTCCTGGGTGCCCGTAGGTTATGGAGCCGGCCCCCTCCTTGGGTCCAGAGCCCCTGGGGATGGCGCCTCATTTTGACCCTGCCCCCGTGGCCTGCGGGTGCTGGGTGTCCTGGCCCCTGCCAGGGTCCTCCTCTGGGTCCCTGTCTCCGCCTCACCTCTGCCTCCCTTCTCCTGTAGAAAGTCCTACCTCCATCTCCGTGGGCCCCAGCACCAGCCGACGGCCCGCAGCCTCCCAAAGACTCTGCCACGCCACTCTCCCCGCAGCCGCCCAGCGAAGAACCAGCCACATCCCCCTGGCCTGCTGAGCAGTCCCCAAAATCACGCACGTCCGAGGAGATGGGGGCTGGAGCCCCCATGCGGGAGCCTGGGAGCCCAGCTGAATCCGAGGGCCGGGACCAGGCCCAGCCGTCCCCGGTAACCCAGCCTGGCGCCTCGGCCTAGGGGAGGGGTGAGACGCTCGCTGCCGTGCCCGCCACACCAAGATGTTGGGGCTGCCTGGCGCCCACTGGAGACAGACAGACAGACGCCTGTCCCCCGGGACCGAGGCCTGTGCCGTCCCCACCCGCCCCAACATGGTGCTCATCCTTGCCGAGACCCCTGCGGTCTGTGCCCGCGCCCAGCCCAGCTGCCCCGGCTGCACGCCTGCTGCTCCCAGCTCGCCCGGCTGCCACAAGCTCTCTGCGGGTCCATCCTCCCCACCGGGGTCCGTCCTCGCAGGCCCTGCCCGGCCTCTCTGCAGACCCTCAAGCGTCGTCTGCATGAGTGAGCAGGCGTGGGTGGACTCTGGCCGCGGCCACACTTGGTGCTCACCAGCTGCTTCGGCCTTCAGGTGACCTCCCTCCCCACGGCATCCTGCTCTCCGGGTGGAAGAGCAGCTTTCTGTCTCCCAGAAGGCATCGCTTTTCCCTCTTGAGCAGATCGGAGCCCCTGGGAGGTTTGGAAGCTGCCTCCAAGCCTAGGACACGGACCAGTGGCCGGGGCGGCCTCTGGCCCCTGACGCTGGCTGAGACAGGCCCGTGGGGCGGGGTTTTGGGGCGTGAACAAGGCTGGCAGTAAGTGGACAAGCTGCTCCCCTGGCTAAGGCCCTGCCCTGCCCTCAGCCAGAGGTGCCTGGCCATGCCTGCACACTCCTCCCCATTTTAATAAATGGTCGCAACTTCTAGAAGTCCTGCTGGTGCCACCTGGTGGGGTGGACGTCTCTCAGACTGCCCTTCTGACAAGCAGGGGTGGGCGCCAGGCAGGCTGGGTCAGGCCCTCAGGGGTCCCTGGAGCCCTGGGAGGGAGGGACTGGGTCGTGGGAGGTCCTGGTAGCTCCCGGCACCCAACCTCGCTTCCCGTGTGGGCCCCGTGTTGCTTTTCTGCTGAGAGGGGCTTGGGCCTCGGTTCTCCCTGTGGCAGCGGCATTGGTGCCTGGGTTCTTAACCCTCTGGACCCAGCAGCTAGGAGCTTCTGGAACCCACGAGGACATCTGCCACTGGCATGGTCTACTCACTGATGGGGTCCTCCTGACTCCAGGGCAGAGACGTCCGTGCGGGAACTGACCGAGGCGTGGCCCCAGGCCCCGGCATCCTCCCCTCGCTGCACGTGGTCACTTCCGAAGCAGCGCTCCCTGTGGCCGCAGAGACAGAGCCCGCACCCTGGCTGTCTGTGGTGCCTGGGCCCCAGCTCCCGCCCGCCACCCGCCCTGTTGAGTGCGGCCTCCAGACTCGAGTCCAGAATCTGTTTCTGTCAAGTCAGTCGTCCCCAGCTGCACACGGGGACTGCTGAGCGCTGCGCTCTCACGGGTCTGTTCCGGACAGAGGGTGGCAGGGGTGAGCCCTGATCCCTTACAAAAAATACCAGCTTCCCAGGGAGTAATGGCGCCTTCACTGAAGCCATTTTGTACATGGGGACGGGGTGGGGACGTCTCTTTTTTGGTGTTGGACGTTTGACCAGTGGGGAGGGGTTCAGAGGCGGCGGTCCTGTCCTTGGCTCCGTCTGTCCGTGTGGCCTTGCTGCCATTCCGTCTGATCATTAAACACAGCTTTTGATACATATGGCCCGGCCTCTGCCTCCGCAGTGCACGGCTTGGGGCATCTGCTCTGTGCAGGTCCCGGTGAGCAGAACTGAGAGCTGGCAGGCCGCCTGGCTGTCCTGCAGAGGACGGATTGGAATTGCCACCGCAGGGCCGGCCAGTGCTGTGAGGTGCCCAGCGTCACTCCCATGGGCTCTGTGGGCCATGTGGTCCCTGTCACGCTTCTCAGCTCTGCCACTGTTGCTGGAAAGCATCACAGACCATGTGTAAAATGGGCCAAAATACCTTTTACAAAATTAAAATAGAGATGGGGTCTTGCAGTGTTGCTGAGGCTGATCTCGAACTGCTGAGCTCAGACAATCCTCCTGTCTCGGCCTCCCAAAGCGCTGCAATTACAGGCACGAGCCACCACGCCCATCCCTCAAGTAATTTTCTCGCCAGACCCTGAAATTGGAATTGTATAGCATCCTCACGTCTCAAAAGAGTTTATTATTATTTTTTTCTCTTTAAAAATGCAAAGACCTGTCTTAGCCGCTTTGGGACAAGGTTTGGTTTCCAGCTGCTGCTGGCTGGCGCTGGGCCTGTGGGCACGTGGGTGATGGATGCGGGTTTGTGTGCGGGCCGAGAGGCCAGTGAGTCCTGAGCATCTGCCAGGCATCAGGGGCTGCTGTGTGTGTTGTTCTAGTCTCACAAAGTTCTCCGCTACGTTAGAGAAAGTGAGACCCAGGCTGGGCATGGTGGCTCACGCCTGTAACCCCAGTGCTTTGGGAGGCTGAGGTGGGAGGATTGCTTGAGCCTGGGAGTTTAAGACCAGCCTGGGCAACGTAGCAAGACCCCATTTCTACACAAATTACCTGGGTGTGGTGGCACACACCTGTAGTCCCAGCTGTTCAGGAGGCTGGGGTGGGAGAATTACTTGAGCCCAGGAGGTCAAGGCTGCAGTGAACTGTGATCGCACCACTGCACTCCAGCCTGGGTAACAGAGCGAGACCTTGTCTCCAAAAAAAAAAAAGGCCACCAGCAAGCCTCTGAGGCCACATGGCTGTGAGGGATCAGAGACATGGATTCCTCCAGGCCCTGAGCCAAACCACGACTGCCTGGCAGCGTGACGCCCTTGGCCTTAATGTGGAACAGGGTGAGGACGCAGCGGGAGATGGAGGCTCAGGCCTTACCACTCACAGCAAACCTGAATTCAAACCCACTGGGGAAGGGACGGCTTAATCACGGAAAGCGAATTCCAGAATACTTGAAGTCACACTTAGGTTTCGGTTTTTTAACTTGAGCAGTTCCTCGATACGCTCCAGAAGGAGCACCCCCAATTGCCTTTCCACGGGGGAGCTCACTGCTCGGAGGCCACTCGGCGCTGGCTCTGAACACCTCCCCTGTGTGCCTCTAGTGGTGATTTGTCCTGTCCAGGAAAAGAAAAAGTCGCTATGTCATTAGCTCCGGTGGACCTGAGCCTCAGGGCTGAAAGTTACAGTCAGGACTCAGCGCACAGAGCCCTGGGCTCACACCACGTCCACCTGTGACCACCTGCGGTCGTGGGCAAGTCCCTCTGCCTCCAACTCCCTGTCCTCTGGAAAGAGGGTTAGTAATGTACCTACTGCAAGGCACGACAGCCAGGATGTCACCAAATCAGCCATCTGATTGGACGCTTAGAAGCAGTCGGGACTTTTGTGCTAGTGACACACTTGATTCAGGAAGACGGGCTCCTGCCAGGCTCAGCCGGTGCCTGAGCTCCGGGGGGTGTGCACACCTCGACTGTCCAGGTCACACACGGTCCAGGGATGTCAGGGAGAGGTAGAGCTGGGGAAATGGAAACAGGCTGCTTGTTGGCACTGGGGAGGGTATTTTGTTTCTTTTCGTGGGGAGCATCCCTCTGTCTTGCAGTTTAAGTTACAAAGTGGAGCAATATGGTAACAATAGTGATTTTCTTTCACTAAGCTGACCAGAGCTTACACATTTTTTATCCACCCACCTATCCATCCATTTATCCAACTGGCCATCCACCCATCCATCCATCCACCCACCCACCCATTTATGTAACCATCCATCCATCCGTCCGTCCGTCTGTCCATCCATCCATCCGTCCATGCATCCATCCACCCACCCACCCACCCATTTATGCAACCATCTGTCCACACATTTATCCATCTGTTCATCCACACACCCACCCATTCACCCACCTGTCTGTTCAGTTATCCATCCGTCCATACACATACCCTCCATCCACTCATTTATCCAACCATCTATCCACACACCCATCCACCCATTTATCCACCCATTCATCCACCCATTCACCTATCCACCCACTCATCCATTTATCTACCCATCCATCCACTCATTCATCTATCCACCCATCCATTTATCCAACATCCATCCACACACCCATCCATCTATCCGTCCATCCACCCGCCCACCCACCCACCCATCCACACACCTATCCATTTATCCAACCATCCATCCACCTATCCACATACCCATCCACCCAGTTATCCAACCACCCATCCACTTATCCACATATCCATCCATCCAGCCACCCATCCACACACCCATCCACCTACTTATCCACCCATCCGTCTCCATCCATTGATCCACCATCCATTTGTCCATCCATTTACCCATTCACACATCTATTCATCCATCCATCCATCCATCCATCCATCCATCCATCCATCCATCCATCCATCTACACACCCAACCATCCACTCACCCACACACCCACCCATCCACACACCCATTCATCCATCTATCCATCCATCCATCCATCCATCCATCCATCCATCCATCCATTCATCCATCCATTCAACCACCCACTCACCCATCTATCCACCCATCCACCCATCTACCCATTCATTCATCCACCCACCCACCCATTTATCCATCCATCCACCTATCCACCCACCCACCAATCCATCCATCCATCTACCTGCCCATCTAGCCATTCATCCATCTACCCACCCCTCCACTCATCCATCCATTTGCCCATCCATCCACCCATTATTTACCCCTCCACCCATCCATCCATCTGCCCACCCACCCATCCATCCATCTACCCACCCACCCATCCATCCATTTGCCCTTCCATTCAACCATCCATCCACCCACCTTCCACCCACCCACCCACTCATCCATTTACCCATCTATCCACCTGTCTACTCACCCACCCATCCATCCATCCATCCACCCATCCACTCATCCATTCATCCACCCACTCACCCACCCATCCACACACACACCCATCTATCCATTTATCCACACACACACCCATCTATCCATTTATCCACACACACACCCATCTATCCATTCACCCATTTACCGTCCGTCTGTCCATCCATCCATCCATCCCTCCATCCACCCAACCACCCATCCACCCATCCACACACACTCATCCACCCACCACTCTTCACTGCTGTGTGCCAGGTCCTCTACTAAGCACCCCGTCTGGCCCAGGCAGAGAGCTGCTATAGCTGCACGAGGAACCGGGACTCAGTGTTTGGGGCCAGGTGGGAAGTCATCAGAAGGTGAGAGGGTGGAGTTCTGGAAAGAGTCCACCAATGGCCCTGAGGAAGAGAGGAGGGGGTTCCCATGGGGTCACAGGCTCTTCTCCACACGGCTCAGAGCAGGTTAGAAATGCCTCTTGGGAACCAACCGCAGCCTGCAGCCTGACAGGAGGGTGGGCAGAAGAATGCAGCAATAGGAGGCCCTGGGTGTGGAGCCCCAGCTTGAATCCCAGGAGCTGGATGACTGGCTCTCAGGGCTGTAGCCACTTCTTCTGCTTAAAAGGAGGTGACAGCTACTTTTGTGAGGCCATCATGAGAACCTAGGGGAGTCCCTGCCGAGTGCCGGGCACACAGCACATACTCAGTAGACTGGACCATTCTGCGGGCGACTGGGGAAACGTGGACCCAGGAGCTGGATCCTCCAGGACTGCTCTCCCTCCAGCACCAGGCGTGGCTCCCCGGGACTTGCGGCACTTCTCAAAAGCAAATCACCAACAAAGACGCTCTGCCAAAGGTAATAAAATGGGGCTGGTCTCTAAAGGCAGTTCCAAAAAAAATTTCCGCAAAGTCTCTTGAGATAAGAGAGGAGACAGTGGTTCTAACGAAGTGCACCGTCTCCTTCGACGGCACGGAGGAACGTGAACAACCTGGTGACCTAAGCAGGAGGGGCGGCCAGCGTGGCAGCGGGTGGCGCGTCAAAACTGAGGCCACCCAGTCTGACCATGAGGGAGAAAAGCACCAGACAAACCCACTTGAGGCGTGTCCTGCAAAACACCTGACCTGCCTTCCCCAGGAGCGGGCAGGGTGTCAGAAATAGGAATGTCTGGGAAACTGCGACAGCCCAGAGAGATCCGAGGAGGCGTGACGCCTAAATGCCACGTGGGATCTCGGGTGGGGCCCTGAGCAGGAAAGGGCATTGGGGGAAACTGAGGAAACTGGAATCAAGTGTGGACTTCACAGTCGTGCATCAATAGTTGTTCATTGGTTGTGACAAATGTATCACACTGGCCTGGATGCCAGTAACAGGGGACCCGGGATGTGGCGCACAGGGGAGTTCTGAACTGTCTTTGCACATTTTGTGGGAATCTAAAACTCTTCTAAAACGTTTAGGCTGGGCACGTTGCTGACTCCTGTAATCCCAGCGCTTTGGGAGGTCGAGGTGGGAGGATGGCTTGAGCCCAGGAGTTCGAGACCAGCCTGGGCAACATGGCAAGACCCCATCTCTATTTTTTTAAAAAATTAAAAATTTATATTAAAAATACTGTAGTTCCTTCCCGGGCAACATGGTGAGACCCCCATCTCTACTAAAAATACAAAAATTAGCCTGGTGTGGTGGCAGGCGGCTGTAGTCTCAGCTACTCCAGACTCTGAGGTGGGAGGATCACCTGAGCCCGGGAGGTCAAGGCTGCAGTGAGCTAAGATCGCGCCACTGCAATCCAGCCTGGGCGACAGAGAATGAGACCCTGTCTCAAAACACACACACACACACACACACACACACACACACAAAATGGTTACACCAGTGCCCTAGAAAACGCCCTCAGCACCTCGCCCCCAGGGCTGTCCTGGGCACACCCCTCCCTGCGCCCTGTCCTGAGTCACCTGCCCAGGTGGGCCCACCTGCCCACAGCGCCCACTCTGCGGGCAACCCCCACCCCATGGCTCCCAGCTGCGAAGCCCACTCCCATCCCTGGCTACCCCCAACCCCTCCCCATCTCCATCGTCTTCCACTCTGGGTTGGCTCCCGCCAGGGTTGGGAATCCAGGGTGGAGGTGGCAGAGCCCTGGGACCCCTGTCCTCCGGAGACTCCAAGCCTGGGCGGCACCCCCGGCCCGGAGCAGGAGGTACTGGGGAAGGGGCTTGGCAGGGGGCCGGGGGAGGGGCGGCTCCCCCACCCGGCCCCGCCCCGCCCCTCCCTTCCTCCAGCCCCGGGCCCAGCTCCGGCTTCTGCTCCACTTCGGGGTGGGCGGGATCCGGGCAGTAGCGGTGCAGCCTCGTCGTCCGGAGCGCGGTGAGTCGGGGTCTCCTGCGGGCTCAGCCTCCCCTCGGAACAGCCCCCACTTCCTCCAACCCCGGTGAGTCGGGGTCTCCTGCGGGCTCAGCCTCCCCTCGGAACAGCCCCCACTTCCTCCAACCCCATTCGCCAAGCCCCGGGGCTGTTTGGTTGCCTCTGGGGCTGTGTAGAGGTGGCGTGGCGGGAGTGTGTAGATGCAGCCAGGCTGTGTAGACACCACCGGGGTTGTGGAGAGGCAGCCGGGGCTGTGTGGACGCCACTGGGGTGTGTAGACATGGCCAGGTTGTGTAGATGCGGCCAGGGTTGTGTGGACTCAGGTGCCGCGTGTAGATGTGGCCGGGGTTGTGTGGACGCAGGTGCGGCGTGTAGATGCGGCAGGGGTTGTGTGGACGCAGGTGTGGTGTGTAGATGCGGCGGGGGTTATGTGGACGCAGGTGTGGCGTGTGGATGCGGCCGGGGTTGTGTGGACTCAGGTGTGGTGTGTAGATGCACGTAGGGTTGTGTGGACGCAGCCGGGATTGTGTGGATGTATCTAGCGTGTGTAGATGTGGCTGAGATTTCTAGACGAGGCCAGGCTGGGTAGATGCCGCCAGGGTGTGTGGACGTAGCCGGGATTGTGTGGATGCAGCTGAGATGTGTAGATACAGCTGGGGTGTGTAGATTCGGCCTAGTTCCTGGAGGGGCCTGGGACCGCCGAAGCCCTCCCCATCCCTGTTCCCACCCAGAGTCCTCCCTTCTTTTCTACCCGTGAACTTCACCTAAAGCAAGAACCAAGCATCAGCCTGGAGCCCTCTGGGGTCAGGGGTGGCGGGAAAGGGGCTGACAGCTACTGGGATGGGGTGCAGGGCTGGGGTGGGAGGTGAGTCTGGGGTGTGGTGCGGGGCTGGGGTGGGAGGCTGGGGTGGGAGGTGGGGCTGGGGTGGGAGGCTGGGGTGGGAGGTGGGGCTGGGGTAGGGTGCAGGGTTGGGATGGGGTGGGGTGCTGGGATGGGTTGGTGGGGTGCAGGGCTGGGATGGGTTGGTGGGGTGGGGTGCGGGGCTGGGATGGGGTGGGAGGTGAGTCTGGGGTGGGAGGGGGGGCTGGGGTGGGAGGCGGGGCTGGAGTGGGTGCCAGGCATCTGACTGGAGCCTCTCCTCCCGCCCCAGTTCTCACCCTCGGAGCCGCTTCTGAGTAAACACACACTGGGATGTAACAATTGGAGGTGGGTGAAGGGCCTGAGATGGGGTGGGTTGTTGGTATTTGCCTGAGGGAGGGTCCTCCTGGATTCAATTAGCCCCGGCAGGAAACCCAGGCTGGGGACCGTGGCGTTATCCCCGCATGACCGGGAATGACCCACATTCTGGGAATTAGGGCGGGGTCCCCAGGACAGGCGTCCGTGCTCGAGGGTCCTCTGTGGCCCAGGGACCTTCGACTTCCTTCCGTCATTTTATAGGGGGTCAAACCAGGCCTCGGACCCAGGCATGGGCTCCAGAGGTTGCCAGAGGTTTTGGGGACTTGCCAAAGGGTTCAGGCACTGCCCCGCAGGACTGCATGGCCGGAAACACCTTGTGGGCCGCGTGGTGGCCACCGCCTTGCAGATCAGGGATGCCCCGCAGGACACCTGTGGTCCTGGCTTCCTGACGCCTTCCTGGGGGCCTGGCTGGGTGGGGCTGTGTGAGATTCTGGGTGAGTTGTCTGTGTGGCTGTGTGTGATTGTGTGTGATCATGTGATTGTGTGTGATGTGTGGTTGTGTGTGGCAATATATATAATTGTGTCTGTAGCTGCATATGGCCATGTGATTTGTGTGTGATTGTGTATTATATGTGTGTGTGGGGTCATGAGTGATCGTTTATGTTGTGTAATTGTGTGATTGTGTATGGTTGTGTGTGGTCATGTGTCATGTCATGCGTGATTGTGTATGGTTGTGTAATTGTGTGGTCGGGTGGGATCGTATATGGTTGTGTGTCGATGGCTGTATAACTGTGTGTATAGTTGTGTGGTCATGTGTGGTTGCGTATAGTTATGTCATGATGTTTGTGTGATTGTATAGGATTGTGTGTGGTTGTGCGAGATTGTGTGACTGTGCAGCCATGTGTGTCATTGTGCCTGTGATTGTGGTGGAGGTGTAATTGTGTGTATGGGTGTGTGACTGCATGTGTGAGACCGTGTATGGTTGTGTGTTGTATGGGAGGTTTCTGCAGCTGTGTGGTTATAGTGTACGGTTGTGTGTGTGATTGCATGATGAGAATTGCATGATTTTGTGGATGGCTTTGTGTGGTTGTGTATGGTTGTATAATTGTGTTTGTGTGTGATTGCATATGATTGTGGCAATATGTGTAATCGTGTCTGTATGACTGTGTATGGTGGAGTTGTGATTGTATCAGTGTATGACTATATGTGTGAAGTTGTGTTTAGCTGTATGGTCATTGTATGTGAGATTTGTGGAGTTGTAACGTGGTTGTGTGTGTACTTGCATGATGAGATTGTGTATAATTTGTGGATGGTGGAGTGAGGTTGTGTGTGGTTGTATGTGGTTGTGTGAGGTGTGTTTTGTGAGGGTGTGTGTGGTTGTGGTGTGTGGTTGTGTGAGGTTGTAATGTGTGGTTGTGTTTGGTTGTGTGAGGTTGTGTGTGGTAATGTGTTGTGTGTGGTTGTGTGTTGTGTGTGTGTTGTGTGAGGTTGTGGTTGTGTGTGCAAATCCCCTCTTCCTAGTCTTCTCATCTGGGGCATGGGGATCAGGGTCCCAGCGCTCAGGCTGGCCTGACCGTGGGGTAATTGGGCCCTGCAGAGCCTCACGCCGCCTGCTTGTCCTGCCACGCGGAATGGGAGTCCGTGTGTGCCCCGCTGCCCACAGCGTGTGAACGTGAGTTGGGGACCATGTGGCCCACTGCGCGCTGGGTCCCGTCCCTAAAGAGCATTCTTGGACTGTCTAAAATTCCCTTTGCAGAATTTGGAATGTTTAGGGTGTAAAATACGGAGCTTGGAGAGTCCTTAGGCAAAAGGTGTTGGTGGCCGGTTGCCCAGGCTGGGGACTCTGTCCGCGGGGCGAGAGCTTGCAGGAACGCTGGAGCATCGGAGTTCAAACCCTGTTGTCACTGTGGTTGGTTAAGGGCTTTGCGGAGACGTGGAGGCATGGTAGATGGATCGCAGGTGAGGGCGGAATGAAGGCAAAGGCGTCCCTTCTCTGATGGCAGACACATGGGTGGAGATTTGAGGTAGGAGCAGTTGTGGGGGGGTGGGGGGACAGGCGAGAGTGTGGGAGGGAGTGAGGTCGCGTGATTCCCCGTGCATCTGTGCGTGCAACTGTGGGTGATGGAGCTGGTGCTTGGGGAGGCAGGACTGGACCCTGGGTGCCGACACTGGGGCAGGGTTTAGAGCTCCCGGCCCTGCGCCCCTCGGTCCCCCAGGCTCACCTGGCTTAGCTGGGGAGCAGGGTTCTCGGGGAGCATAACAGGGAAGCTGCCCAGCAATGTGGAGGAGTCACTAGAATTCCAAGAACTCTGTGTGTGAGTGTGTGTGTGTGTGCGTGCGCGCGTGTGTGTGTGAGAGAGAGAGAGAGAGTGAGAGTGGGAGGGAGGGAGGGAGGGAGAGGCAGAGAGAGCCTTAATCTCCTCCTCTGTAAATGGGCATGCTGATATTAGCTGGACCTGTCTCCTGTATACCCTGGGATTATTGGGAGGGCTGGATCAACTCTCATAAGCCTATGAGCCCTACACCAACAGGACGCTGTTGGTATAAGCACATCTCAGCCTCCCGGTAGTCCTGTAGACCCAGCACCTGTAGTCCCAGCTACTCAGGAGGCTGAGATGGGAGGATCGCTTGAGCCCGGGAGTTGGAGGCTGCAGTGAACTGTGATCACACCACTGCACTCCAGCCTGGGTGACGGAGTGAGACCCTGTCTCAAATAAATAAGTGAATGAATGAATGAATGAATGAATGAAAGACGCATAAATAGAAGAAATTTAGAAGCCCAAGAATGAAGCTGAGGCGAACCTTGGGGTTTTATTGAAGTTGATGGTTGACGCAGCCCTGCAGGCTGTTCTAAGCCATTGATGTTTCTGTGTGTTGCTCTGAAATGGATGCAGAGGATAACATATTCTGGGTGATCCACTCATAACTGCATAAGGCTTCCTTTGTTGTTGTTGTTTTGCAGAGATGGGATCTCACTATGTTGATCAGGCTGGTCTTGAATTCCTGGGCTCAAGGAATCCTCCCACCTTGGCCTCCCAAAGTGCTGAGATTACAGGCGGGAGCCACGGCACCCAGCCCTTTGTTGTTTTGTTTACACTTTACCTTTATGAAAAAAAAAATTGGGGGGGATAATTTTAGTTGTGAAGATGGTGCAGAGAGTCCCCGCACACCCACCTTCCACCCAGTGTCCCCTTGCGTTGACACCTTTGACCACAGAACAAAGAGCAAAACTGGGCCGGGAACGGTGGCTCACGCCTGTAATCCCAGCACTTTGGGAGGCTGAGGCGGGCCGATCATGAGGTCAGGAGATCGAGACCATCCTGGCTAACACGCTGAAACCCCATCTCTACTAAAAATACAAAAAAAATTAGCCGGGCCTGGTGGCGGGCGCCTGTAATCTCGGGAGGCTGAAGCAGGAGAATGGCGTGAACCCGGGAGGCAGAGCTTGCAGTGAGCCAGGATCGCGCCACTGCACTCCAGCCTGGGCGACGGAGCGAGACTCCATCTCAAAAAAAAAAAAAAGAGCAAAACTGACGCACGACTGTGGGTGCCACACTCTGTCTTCCCACCAATATTTCTGTTCTACGTTGCAATCCAGGATCCCACATTGCATTTAGGAGCTGTATTAATTTTAAATGATACAACTCATAAGTGATTGGAAGGTTATTTTTTAATCTCTGCGTTTTCCTCTGGGTCCCTTAGTATCACTCATGTTTATCGGCGTCTTCCCTCCCACACGATTACTGACTCCTTTCTCCTCTGTCCACATTATAAAGCTAAAAGAACACAAGATACCATTGCTGCAAATAGTTTTCTCACAAACACCTCTTCCCATGAAAGCCTAACAAAAAGACCATAGACAAAATGAAAAAAAAAAGGAGACCAAGCTTATTAAATTTCCTGTAGGCTTGCTGAGTGATTTATTTCATGATGTTGGGGCGATGGAGGAGGGGAGGATTTCCTGACTAGATTCAGGCCTGAGGACAGGGGACAGGAAGAAATAAGAGAGGCCATGGCGTAGACAACAGCTGTCTGTTCTATAAACGGGCTTTGGCTGCCGTGGGACCAAAGATGCGGAATCGAATGGGATGGACGTGTCCGAAAACTGTGATCATCTTGGATTAGGTGAAGGAAAAAACAAACAAACAAACAAAAAAAACAAAAAAACTACACAGACAGGTGGGCAAGACAGCTAAAGAGCCCAGACCGAGGCTGGGGGCATGATGGTGCAGGCTTGTAGTCCCAGCTATTTGGGAGGCTGAGGCAGGAGGATCACTTGAGCACAGGAAGTTGAGACCAGCTGGGCAACATAGCAAGACCCCATCTGTACAAAAACTAAAAAAATGAGCCAGGCATGGTGGTGTGCACCCATAGCCCCAACTATTTAGGAAGCTGAGGTGGGAGGATTGCTTCAACCCAGGAGTTGGAGGCTGCAGTGAGCTGTGATAACACCACTGCACTCCAGCCTGGGTGATAGAGTGAGATTCTGTCTCAAAATAAATAAATAAATAATTTTAAAAAAGAGATGGAGAAAGAGAAGAGAAGAAATTTAGAAGCTCAAGAATGAAGCTGAGGTGAACCTTTGGGTTTTATTGAAACTGCTTGGAAAAAAAGGGAACCCCCTGAATTTCTCCTTGGAGAGGTTGAACCATGGTTTTGAGCAACTAGAAAACATTGGCCATTAAAAGCAGAGAGTGAGACCCTGTCTCTACCAAAAATTTAAAAAATTAGCCGGGTGTGGTGGTGCACACCTGTAGTCCTAGCTACTCAGGCGGCCGAGGTGGGAGGATTGCTTGAGTCCAGGAGGTTGAGGCTTCAGTGAGCTGTGATAGCATCAGTGCACTCCAGCCTGGGTGACAGAGTGAAACCCTATCTCAAAAACCAAAAAAGTAAATAAGGAACACCAGACAGAAGAGCCCTGGGACCTGCCGTCCTGTGTATTAGTTTTTGGTTACTGCATAACAAATGTCTCTCAAATTTAGCCAATTAAAACAACAGACATTTATTCTGTCACAGTTTCTGTGGGCCAAGGATTTGGGAGTGATTTATCTGGGTGGTTCTGGCCCATGGTCTCTCATGAGGTTGCAGTTAAGACATGGGCCAGGGGCTGGGTGCGGTGGCTCACGCCTGTAATCCCAGCACTTTGGGAGGCTGAGGAGGGCAGATCACAAGGTCAGGAGATCAAGACCATCCTGGCTAACACGATGAAACCCCACCTCTACTAAAAATACAAAAAATTAGCCGGGCGTGGTGGCGGGCACCTGTAGTCCCAGCTACTCAGGAGGCGGAGGCAGGAGAATGGCGTGAACCCAGGAGGTGGAGCTTGCAGTGAGCCAAGATTGCGCCACTGCACTCCAGCCTGGGCGACAGAGCGAGACTCCATTTCAAAAAAAAAAAAAAAAAAAAGACATGGGCCAGGGCTGCCTCATCTGAAAGCTCGTCTGGGCCTGGAAGAGCCACTTCAAAGCTGGTGTCCTCATGTGGCTGTTGGTGGGAGGCCTCAGTTCCTCACCACATGGGAATCACCATAGTGCTGCTCGAGCATCCTGACAACATGGCTGCTTGCTTCCCCCAGGGCTGGTGATTCAAGGGAGAGAAAGAACAAAGCCATAGTGCTTCTATGATCTAACCTCAGAAGCCTAGATCCATTGCTTCTGGTATATTCTATTCATTACAAGTGAGTCAATAAGTCCAACACACACTCGGAGAGGGAAATTAGGCTCTGCTAGGTGAGGATAGCAAATAATTTTTGGAGATATTTAAAAACCACCACATCTATAACCTTGGGCAAGTTACCTAACTCTTCGGTGCCTCCAATTCATCTTTGGTCAGAATAGAACCAGTCTCATAGGAGAAATGTGGCAATAAATGAGATGATGACTGTAAATATTGTTTAATACAACACCTGTCACATAGAAAATGCTTATGTACTTTTTTTTTTCAAGATGGAGTCTTGCTCCATTGCCCAGGCTGGAGTGCAGTGGTGGAAACTTGGCTCCCTGCAACCTCTGCCTCCTGGGTTCAAGTGATTCTCCTGCCTCAGCCTCCCAAGTAGCTGGGATTACAGGTGTGCACCACCATGACTGGCTAATTTTTTTTTTTTTTTTTTTTGAGAGGGAGTCTTGCTCCGTCGCCCAGGCTAGAATTCAGTGGCACGATCTCAGCTCACTGCAAGTTCTGCCTCCCGGGTTGACACCATTCTCCTGCCTCAGCCTCCCAAGTAGCTGGGACTACAGTCACCTGCCACCATGCCTGGCTAATTTTTTGTATTTTTAGTAGAGATGGGGTTTCACTGTGTTAGCCAGGCTGGTCTTGAACTCTTGACCTCAGGTGATCCACCCACCTTGGCCTCCCAAAGTGCTGGGATTACAGGCATGAGCCACTGCACCCAGCCCATGACTGGCTAATTTTTGTATTTTTAGTAGAGACAGGGTTTTACCATGTTGGCCAGGCTGGTCTCGAACTCTGGATCTCAAGTGATCCACCTGCCTCAGCTTCCCAAAATGTTGGGATTATAGGCATGAGCCACCATGCCTGGCTTTATCCACTTACTTTTATTAAAGGTATATTTTTCAGTGTTACAGCTCTTGAGGAATGATGTGCCAGCTATAGTTATCAAATTGTAACTCTCTGGATTTGTGGGGCCGGAGAGGCAGAGGGAAATAACTTGCTCTTTCAGGAGGCATTAGGCTACGGAACGGAGAGACTGCACATGGCGGCTGCGTTTTTCCTGGCTCCCCTTTTCCAATGGTTAAGGGAAGACAAATGGGAATTAAGCAGTTCCAGGCTCTGCATGTGGCAGAAACCATCCTACCATCTACTCCCATGGGTGCAGTTTGCAAAATTTGAGAGACCAAAAAAAAAAAAAAAGCAGAGAATGTGAAGGGCACATTAGGGTATAGCTGAGGATGTCAGGCAGGAGACACAGCCTGTGCCTTTGAAGGCACTGAGGCTGGACCATGCTGTGCATGTTTGGGGATCGGCGAGGAGGCCAGTGAAGCTGGGGCTGAAGGAGGGAGGGGTTGGAGATGAGGACAGTTAGACCCGGTCGCTGTGGGGAGGTTTGGGCAGAGGTGGGATGTCACCTGACGCGGGTCTTAGCTGTCTCCCTGAGGCTTCCCGTTGAGAATAGACCCAGGGAGGGGAAGATGGAAGTGGCATTTTGTGAGCCTGGGCGATGCCCTGCTTAGACCAGGCTAGACATGGCGTAGGGGCCCAATTCTAGAGCTACCCTGCAGACGGTCTGACAACGTTTTTGGATGGACTGGGTTTGGGATGTGCCAGGGCATCAAGGATAAACCCAGTTTTTTTTTTTTTTTTTTTTTTTTTTTAAAGACAGAGTCTCACTCTGTCGCCCAGGCTGGAGCACAGTGGCGCAATCTCAGCTCACTGCAACCTCCGCCTCCTGGGCTCAAGCAATTCTCCTGCCTCAGCCTCCTGAGTAGCTGGGATTACAGGTGTACGCCACCATGCCCGGCTAATTCTTTTTTTTTTTTTTGAGACAGAGTTTTGCTCTCATTGTCCAGGCTGTAGTGCAAAGGTGTGATCTCGGCTCACTGTAACCTCCACCTCCCGGGTTCAAGTGATTCTCCTGCCTCAGCCTCCAGAGTAACTGGGATTACAGGCGCCCACCACCACACCCAGCTAATTTTGTATTTTTAGTACAGATGGGGTTTCACCATGTTGGCCATGCTGGTCTCAAACTCCTGACTTCAGGTGATCCACCCATCTCCCAAAGTGATGGGATTACAGGCGTGAGCCACTGTGCCCGGCCAAACCCAGGTTTTAAAAAAAATTTTTTTGTACCTGGGTGAGTACGAAAGTGGAGCTGCTGTCTGAGCTGAGAAGACTGTGGGAGGAGCAGGCATTTTTGTGAAGAGGAGACTGAGGAGGGATATGAGAGCTCAGTTTGGTCAGTGTCAAATTTAAGAAGCCTGTTAATGATTGTATTAGCTTTTGTTTGTTTAAGACAGGGTCTTGCTCTGTCACCCTCACCCAGGCTGCAGTGTAGTGGCTTGATCGCAGCTCACTGCAGCCTCAACCTCCTGGGCTCAAGTGATCTTCCTGCCTCAGCCTCCCAAGTAGCTGGGACTACAGGTGTGTGCTACCACCCTGGCTAATTTGTAATTTTTTTTTTTTTTTTTTTTTTTTAGAGATGGGATCTCATTATGTTGCCTACACTGATCTCAAAGTCCTGGGCTCAAGCGATCCTCCTGCCACAGCCTCCAAAAGTGCTGGGATTACAGACCTGAGCCACTGCACCTGGCCTAGTTTTCTGCAAATTACCACAAATGTAGCAACTTGAAACACCTCCTGTTTACTGTCTCATGGTTTTGTGGTTTCTGTGGGTTGGGTGGCTGGGCATGGTTTGGCTGGATCCTCTGCTCAGGGTCTGACAAGACTGCAGTCAGAGTGTTGGCTGGGCTGTGGTCTCATCAGAAACTCAACTGGGGATGCCCAAATGCAGTGGCTCATGCCTGTAATCCCAGCACTTTGGGAGGCCAAGGCTGGCAGGTCACTTGAGGTCAGGAGTTCAAGACCAGCCTGGGCAATATAGCGAAACCCCTTCTCTACTGAAAATACAAAAATTAGCCGGGCATGATGGCGGGCACCAGTGTAATCCCAGCTACTTGGGAGGCTGAGGCAGGAAATCACGTGAACCCAGGAGGCAGAGATTGCATTGAGCTGATATTGTGCCACTGCACTCTAGCCTGGGTGACAAGAGACTTCATTTCAAAAAAATATATACACATCCTGGCTAACACGGTGAAACCCTGTCTCTACTAAAAATAACAAAAAAATTAGCCAGGCACAGTGGCGGGAGCCTGTAGTCCCAGATACTCAGGAGGCTGAGGCAGGAGAATGGTGTGAACCTGGGAGGTGGAGCTTGCAGTGAGCCAAGATCACGCCACTGCACTCCAGCCTGGGTGATAGAGTGAGACTCTGTCTCAAAAAAAAAAAAAAAAAAAAAGTGGGTAGGTTGGCCAGATGTCCCAGGTTGCAGGCTACACCATGCCTGGCTCATTATTTTTATTTTTTGTGGAGATGGGGGTCTCGCTATGTTCCTCAGGCTGGTCTCAACCCCTGGCCTCAAGTGATCCTCCCTCCTTGGCCTCCCAAGGTGCTGGGATTACAGGCGTGAGCCACCACGCCCAGCCAGAAACTTGGGTTTAAAATGGACTTTGCATTATAATGAGATGGGTAATTCACCCAGGATGAATCCAGCCTTCAGCTTTTGCTTTCTTTTGCTTTTGCTTTCTCTCTCTGTCTCTCTTTATATATATATTGCCCAGACTGGACAACATTGCAAGACCTCGTCTCTACAAAAACTTAAAAAAAAAATTAACCCAGCGTGGTGGCATGCATTTGTAGTCCCATCTACTCGGGAGGCTGAGGCAGGAGGATCCCTTGAGCCCAAGAGTTCAAGGCTGCAGTGAGCCGAGATCATAACACTGTACTTCAGCCTGGGTGACAGAGCCAGACCCTATCTCAAAAAGAAAAAAATGCATGACAATATTATGTATCTTGATGACCGAGGTTTTTGGAACTCACTTTAATTTTTCTCCCAGGGCCAATACCTACCTCCTGTCACCCTACTCCCTGGCCCCGGATGTCCTCTGCGAAGGCTCTGAGCCCACAGCTCACTCCTGTTTGAAAACAGACACTGGCAGGTCTCAGAGTGGCATTAAGGACACGCTGGCCCTAAACCAAGACTCTCCCCAGCTGGCCTCATCTGGAGGCTGGAAACAGACATTGCTATTGCCTCGTTCACAGTCGCTCACTCGTTCACAGTCACTCGTGGCTCTGCTAACAAAGTCCTTGCCTAGTCCCTCCTTGGGGGCCCCCACACGGCTCCAGATGGTTCCTGACAGATGAAGACGGAAGTCGGTAGGTTGGCCAGATGTCCCAGGTTCCAGGTTAAAACTGGAATAGCTGCCGGGCGCAGCGGCTCACGCCTGTAATCCCAGCACTTTGGGAGGCTGAGGCAGGCGGATTGCCTGAGTTCAGGTGTTTGTGACTACCCTGGGTGACACAGCAAAACCCTGTCTCTACTAAAATACAAAAGAAAAAAAAAATTTAGCTGGATGTGGTGACGGGCACCTATAATCTCCGCTACCTGGGAGGCTGAGGCAGGAGAATCGGTTGAACCCAGGAGGTGGAGGTTGCAGCGAGCCAACATCGTGCCACTGCACTCCAGCCTGGCGACAGAGCAAGACTCCGTCTCAAAAACAACAAAACCAAGAAAAAAAAAAAACAAAACTAGAATAGCCTTGAGCAAACCAGGGCCAGGACAACTGGTCACCCCAAAGCAAACTGACTCACTGGGTGACAGGGACTCTCACCCCATCACCACCGCGTTGGGATGAGTCGGACTTCCTGCCTCCCGCCTGGGCCAGAGGATGCCGAGAGAGTGGCGTCTGTTGGGCTGGAGGCTGGTCGAGCCACAGGCTCAATTTGGAGACATCAATGCTGATGGTTCATGATTTTGGTGCGATCTCGGCTCACTGCAACCTCCGTCTCCCGGGTTCAAGCTGGGATTATAGGCGCCCGCCACCATGCCCGGCTAAATTTTATATTTTTAGTAGATGGGGGCCAGGCTGGTCTCAAACTCTTGACCTCAAGTGATCCGCCTGCCTTGACCTCCCAAAGTCTGGGATTACAGGCGTGAGCCACTGTGCCTGGCCCCTTCTTTTTTCTTCCCTGTATCTTGGTGCGCAGTTCAGATCTGAGATCCCACGTCCATTCTTCTCGAAGCTTTTTCCTGTCACGCAGGCGGGCGAGTCTCCTCCTACTGATCTCTTTGGTTTTACAGCTACACACTTTTCTTTTTGGTTTGCCTGGGGGCATTCTCACATATCTCTCAAACCCGGCCAGTAACACCCTCCTACGTTGCTTTAAAAAAAAAATAAATGATGCCTCTTCTTGTCAAGGGCTTCCTCCCACCTCAAGGTCACCTGTCAACCTCCATGCCCACTCTTGTTTCTCGAAATGGGCTATCTTCCCTCCTTCTACCTGTGTATTTCATTCTCTCCCACCCCCAGTCTTTGGAAAAAAAGATAATAAAACTCTAGAAGATATTTTTACTCTGAGATTAGCAGTGTGAAGGACCTTCCAGAACCTTCTCTCTCTGCCTTTCTCTGAATTAAAACGCTCGCTTGTCTGAGACCGGCTGTCTCCATTGCATCTGAGTGATAAGAGAAAGATTCATTGAAACAGGCAGGTTTTATTTTTGGTCTGTCCAGCACTAAATGATTTTCTTTTGGCTGACTTATTTTTTTTTAACTCTAAACAGACTTTGCAGCTTAGTAAGAATTTATTTCAATTTAGAAATATGGGTGTTCTAAACTTTTTTTAAATTAAAAAAATTTATTTTTTCCTGAGACAAAGTCTTGCTCTATCACCCATGCTGGAGTGCAGTGGCACAATCATAGTTCACTTCAGCCTTGACCTCGTGGGGACAAGTGATCTTCCTGCCTCAGCCTCCAAAGTAGCTGGAACCACAGGCGTGCACCACCACCCCTGGCTAATTATTTTTATTTTTTGTGGAGATGGGGGTCTCGCCATGTTGCTCAGGCTGGTCTCAACCCCTGGCCTCAAGTGATCCTCCCTCCTTGGCCTCCCAAGGTGCTGGGATTACAGGCATGAGCCACTGCGCCCAGCCAGAAACTTGGGTTTAAAATGGACTTTGCATTATAATGAGATGGGTAATTCACCCAGGATGAATCCAGCCTTCAGCTTTTGCTTTCTTTTTTTATTTTTATATATTTATTGATTTTTGAGACACAGTCTCACTCTGTCGCCCAGGCCGGAGTGCAATGGAGCAATCTGGGCTCACTTCAACCTCTGCCTCCCGGGTTCAAGTGATTCTCATGCCTCAGCCTCCCAAGTAGCTGGGATTACAGGCACGCCACCACACTTGGCTAATTTTTTGTATTTTTAGTAGAGATAGGGTTTTGTGATGTTGGCCAGGCTGGTCTCAAACGCCTGGCCTCAAGGGATCCTCCCACTTTGGCCTCCCAAAGTGCTGGGATTACAGGCGTGTACCACCATGCCCAGCTAATTTTTGCATTTTTAGTAGAGACGGGGTTTCGCCGTGTTGGCCAGGGTGGTCTCGAACTCCTGACCTCAGGTGATCCACCCACCTCGGCCTCCCAAAGTGCTGGGATTACAGGCATGCACCACCATGCCCAGCTAATATTCGTATTTTTAGTAGAGACGGGGTTTCGCCATGTTGGCCAGGCTGGTCTCGAACTCCTGGCCTCAAGCGATCCACCCGCCTCAGCCTCTTAAGGCGCTGGGATTACAGGCATGAGCCACAGTGCCCGGCCAACTTTTGCTTTCTTTGCCGTACACGTGGCCTAGGGAGGTTGCAGCTTGGAGGTTTTCAGCCAACTTTTTGCGAAACTAATACACACCATGCTGATTTATTCTTTAGGAAACTTGTCAGCTTTTCACTGAAGCAACAAATGCTTTTGTCTGTACCAACTATTTGCAAAGTGCTTTACAGGGAGATCTGAGCAAGGCAGAGAGGTAAAGAAGGCTCGTGTCTATCCTTGAGGAGTTGAGAGGAGTCTAGAAGTTTCTGTACATTGGGCAAATCTGGGCAGTGCTTTATAACATTTTCCCGAGCTACAGAGCTCTGACCCCTCCGCGGCTTCACTGCTTTTCAAGCTATTACATCAGCACCAAAGATTCCTTTTTCTTGTATTCACGGTGACAAGGAGAGGCTCAAAGTCCTGCCTGTCCATTAATTTCATGCTGATTTCTCTCAACAATCTTTTTTTTTTTTTTTTTTTTTTTTTTTTTTTTTTTTTAAAGAGGTAGGGCGCGGTGGCTCACGCCTGTAATCCCCGCACTTTGGGAGGCCGAGGCCGGTGGATCACCTGAGGTCAGGAGTTCGAGACCACCCTGACCAATATGGTGAAACCCCGTCTCTACTAAAAAATACAAAAATTAGCTGGGTGTGGTGGTGGGCGCCTGTAGTCCCAGCTACTTGGGAGACTGAGGCTAGAGGATTGCTTGAACCTGGGAGGCGGAGGTTGCAGTGAGCCGAGATCGCGCCACTGCACTCCAGCCTGGAGACAGAGCGAGACTCCGTCTCAAAAAAAGAAAAAAAAGAAAACAAAAACACCCCTCAAAAACAGGGTCTTTGTTTGAGACCCTGTTGGAGGCCTCTGCGTTGCTCTGGTTGTCTCTGGGGAGCCCCTAACCAGGCTTGGAAGAGGTTCTTGGAGGAAGGTTTCTCCTCTGACCACCGGCTGGCTCTGGCCCCTTACCCACGAGCCTCTGTGGCCTTGGTGAGGTGGGCGCCGAGTGCATACGGTGGATAAGCCTGATGTTGTGTTGATTGTATTGTGTTCTTCTCCAGACAGCAGCAAAGGAGGGGAAGAGCGTTTCCTTTAGGGACCATCCCTGTAGAAGTTCCTGCTCTCCGCTTCGGTTTGTTCACAAACTACATATCCTGGCACCAGGGGGCACAGAACTTGGCTCCACGACGAAACAGGTCCCGTGGAGGAGCTGGTGCTGGGCGGGGCTGCGCCTGACTCACTCTGGTGTCTGCTGAGGTCCTTCCCTGGTGGAGACTCCTGCCTCCAACTCTATCCCCTTTTGGTCTCTTCCTCCACGGCACTGACCTCATCCTTTCCTTCTGTTGGCCACCAAGATGGAGGCCAATGGCCCCACGTCTACACGTGGCAGTTTAGGAGCCCCACTGGGAAGAAGGCGTCTCCGTCCCTGCTTCTGTGAGTTGAACCATAAGAAACTGATCTTGTTCTATAGACTTTGGTCTTAAAAAGTGACAGTTTTATAAAGTTGAAACTCAAGGATCCAAAAGAACTTGGTGTCCTGCTTGGGTCATATGCAACCTCTTGGGTCCATCACTGATGGGGATGGAGGGGTGGGCCCTGTGATTGCTAGGTCAGGGTCTAGTGTGGACCAATCACTGATGGGGATGGAGGGGTAGGCACTGTGATTGCCAGGTCAGGGTCCAGTGCGGACCAATCACTGATGGGGGATGGAGGGGTGGGAACTGTGATTGGCAGGCCAGGGTCCAGTGTGGACCAATCACTGATGGGGATGGAGGGGTGGGAACTGTGATTGGCAGGCCAGGGTCCAGTGTGGACCAATCACTGGCTGGAGATGGAAGGGTGGAAGCTGTGATTGGCAGGCTTGTGTTCAGTATGGACCAATCATCACTGATGGGGAGAGGGAGTAAACACTGTGATTGGCAGACCTGGTGGCTAGCACCATGATCGACCACCCCACCAGGACAGCAGGGATGAGGTGGACCTTCATTGAAGAAAGGGATGCTGGGCAGACAAAAAACACATACCCTAGAAAATTACAACTGAAGGGACAAAGCAGATCAACGACCTGGGGAAACTGAGGCCTGGAGAATTTCATTGCCTTGCTGGGACTCCTGGAAGTCTCAGGATGAGTGAGGATCTGGATATTATGAGTTGGGCAGCTCCCATTTGCAGGGTGTTCCTCCTGTAAAGATGCCAGATGCCCAGTAAACCATTCGGCTCTCTCCGAAGTCAGCATCGAGTAGCATTGTCCCCAGGGAGCGTGTGTTGGCTTCCTGGTGCTGCTGGAACAAGATGGGCCTCCCTGGGCCAAAGTCAAGGTGTGGGCAGGGCTGGTCCCTCCTGGGGGCTCCAGGCGAGAATGTGTTCCCGCCTTTCCCAGCGTCTAGAGGCACCCACATCCCTTGCTCGGGGCCCCTTCCTCTCCCTTCACAGCCACAGCGCAGCACAGCCTCTTCCAGTCTCCCTGACCCTCACCCTCCCACCTCCTCTCATGAGAACACTGTGGGGATATGAGGCCCGCCAGATCATCAGGATTATCTCCCATCTCCATGCCCTTCACTCAGTCCCACTTGCAGAGTCGCTTTGGCCATGGAAGGCACCACATTTACAGATTCTGGGGATTAGGACCTGGATGTCAGAGTTATTATTCTGTGGCCACAGGACCGACCTGAGATGTCATTTCTTTTTTTTTTCTTTTTGAGATAGAGTCTTGTTCTGTTGCCCAGGCTGAAGTGCAGTGGCACGACCTTGGCTCACTGCAACCTCTGCCTCCCAGGTTCAAGCGATTCTTCTGCCTCAGCCTCTCGAGTAGCTGGGATTACAGGCATGTGCCCCCACGCCCGGCTAATTTTTGTATTTTTAGTAGAGATGGGGTTTCACCATGTTGGCCAGGCTGATCTCAAACTGACCTCAAATGATCCGCTCTCCTTGGCCTCCCAAAGTGCTGGGATTACAGGCATGAGTCGCTGTGTCCAGCCCCAAGATGCATTTCTAGGAACGTACCCAGAGACACTGTCAGATTCTCTGTACCAAGGAGTCAAGGCTCTTTCTGACCTTTGCTTGGTTCAAAGGAAGATTCTGCCGCCTGATTTCTGCCTGCTCTCCACCCGGCCTGCCAGCTGCCAGGATGCAATTTCTCTGGCCTCCAAGGAAGGCCAGGCAGGGTCGCGCCGGGGCAGAGGCACACCAGCGCGTGTCTGGCCCAGTGTGCCCAGAACCCGAGAAACTGGAGTGGCCACGGGTGGGCGGCTCCCTCACGCTGGCTTCTCCTGAGTCCCTTTCTGTTCACAGATCCCCACTCCTGGCTATCCGCATGCTGGTCATTTCTGCTTGGAGACAGTTCAGGTGTGTCCCACAGTTGCTGTCCCTGGGGCTCTTGGCTCTATTGTTAATGGCCACCGGCTGTGACGGCTCACATTTCAGTCCTGCATATGTCAGTTCCTCGTACTTTCTTTCTTTTTTTACTGTATGTATGTATGTATGTATGTATGTATGTATGTATGTATGTATGTATATATGTATGTATGTATGTATGTATTTGAGATGGGGTCTCACTGTGTTGCCCAGGCTGGTCTCAACATCATGGGCTCAAGCAGTCCTTCTGCCTCAGCCTCCCAAAGTGCTGGTATTACAGGCATGAGCCACCACACCTGGTCTTCCTTTCTTTCCTTCTCCCCTCCCCTCTCCCCTCTCCCCTCTCCTCTCTCCCCCCCACCCCTCTCCCCTTCCCCCTCCCCTCACCTTCCCTTCCCCTCTCCCCTCTCCCCTCCCCTCTCCCCTCTCTCCCCTCTCCTCTCCCCTCTCTCCCCTCTCCTCCCCCTCCCCTACCCCTACCCCTTCCCCTACCCCCCTGCCCTCCCCTCTCCCCTCCCCTCTCCCCTCCCCCTCCCTCTCTCCCTTCCTTCCTTCTTTCCTTCCTTCCTTCCTTCTCTCTCTCTCTCTTTATTTTTTTCTGAGACAAGGTCTCACTGTCACCCAGGCTGGAGTGCAGTGGTGTGATCATAACTCACTGCAGCCTCGACCTTCCAGGCTCAAGTGATCCTCCTGCCTCAGCCTCCTGAGTGGCTGGGACTACAGATATGTGCCACTATGCCTGGCTAATTTTTACAATTTTTTTGCAGAGACAGGGTCTCCCTCTGCCACCCAGGCTGGCACAGTCATAGCTCACTGCAGCTTCGATCTCCTGGGCTCGAGTGATGAACCCTCCCACCTCAGCCTCCTGAGTAGCTGAGACTACTGGCATGCACCACCATGAAAGGTCAATTTTTAAATTTTACATTTCGTAGAGATGGGGTCTCACTATGTTGCCCAGGCTGGTCTCAAACTCCTGGCCTCAAGCAATTCTCTTGCCTTGGTTTCCCAAAGTGTTGGAATGACAGGCATGAGCTGCCACACCTGACCCCCCTTTTCCTTATAAATCACCCAGTCTCAGGTATTTCTTTACAGCAGGACAAAAATAGACTCAGACAACTGTGTTTAGGCATTACTTATAGGGTGACAACTGTCCTGGTTTGATTGGAATTGAGTGGTTTCCTGAGACATGAGACTTTCAGTGCTGAACAGGGACAGTCCTGGGCAAACTGGGACCATTGGTCCCTGTAAGTGTTGACGGGACACTGTGTCAGTCTGTTCTCATGCTGCTAATGAAAGCATACCCAAGGCTGGGTGCAGTGGCTCATGCCTGTAATCCCAGCACTTTGGGAGGCCAAGGTGAGTGGATCACAAGCCCAGGAGTTCAAGACCAGCCTGGCCAATATGGTGAAACCCCATCTCTACTAAAAATACAAAAATTAGCCAGGCATGGTGGTGCACACCTGTAGTCCCAGCTACTTGGGAGGCTGAGGCAGAAGAATTGCTTGAACCTGGGAGGCAGAGGTTGCAGTGAGCCAAGATTGTGCCACTGCACTCCAGCCTGGGGGACAGAGCGAGACTCCGTCTAAAAACAAAACCTACCTGAGACTAGGTAATTTATAAAAGAAAAAGAGTTTTAATTGACTCACAGTTCAGCATGGCTGGGGAGGCCTCAGGAAACTTACAATCATGGCGGAAGGAGGAGCAAACATGTCCTTCTTCACATGGCGGTAGGAGAGAGAAGAATGAAAGCCCAACAAAGGGGAAGCCCCTTATAAAACCATAAGATCTTGTGAGAACTCACTATTATGAGAACAGGATGGGGGAAAGCATCCCCATGATTTAATGATCTCCACCTAGTCCCTCCCATGACACATGGGGATTATGAGAACTACAATTGAAGATGAGATTTGGGTGGGGACACAGCCAAACCATATTAGATACCTGGAGGGAGAAGTCAAGAATGTAGGTGGCAAAACTTTCTAAATGTGCTTGATGTGGAACAGCTCTCCAGCAACGTGTGTCCTAAGACAAAGCCTGAGCTTCTTTCTCTTTTTTTTTTTTTTTTTTTTTTGAGACAGAGTCTTGCTCTGTCGCCCAGGCTGGAGTGCAGTGGCACAATCTCAGCTCACTGCAAGCTCCACCTCCCAGGTTCATGCCATTCTCCTGCCTCAGCCTCCCGAGTAGCTGGGACTACAGGTGCCCGCCACCACGCCTGGCTAATTTTTTGTATTTTTAGTAGAGATGGGGTTTCACTGTGTTAGCCAGGATAGTCTCAATCTCCTGACCTCGTGTTCTGCCCGCCTCGGCCTCCCAAAGTGCTGGGATTACAGGCATGAGCCACCGTGCCCAGCAAGCCTGAGCTTCTGAGTGTGGTGCACAGCAGCCTTCCAGATGGGGCTGTTGGGCCTTCCTGCCTCACCTCTCACAGTTCTCCTACCCCACCCCACACTAGGCCCTGACATTCCCTAAACTAACTTTCTTTCTCTTTCTTTCTTTCTTTCTTTCTTTCTTTCTTTCTTTCTTTCTTTCTTTCTTTCTTTCTTTCTCTTTTTCTTTCTTTCCTTCCTTCCTTCCTCTCTCCCTTCCTCTTTTTCTCTTTCTCTCTCTCTCTCTCTCTCATTCTCTCTTTTCTCTCTTTCTTTCTCTCTTTCTTTCTTTTCTCTTGCCCATCTCAAGTGCAGTGGCACAATCACACCTCACTGTAGTCTCGACCTCCTTGGCTCACTGATCCTCAGCCTCAAGAGTAGCTGGGACTACAGGTGCATGCTACCATGCCCAGCTACTTTTTCTATTTTTTATAGAGATGGGGTCTTATTATGTTGCCCAAGCTGGTCTCGACCTCCCATAGTGCTCAGCCTCCCATAGTGCCTCAGCCTCCCATGGTGCTGGGATTACAGGCATGAGCCACTGCACCTGGCTGGTTGTAATTAACTTTAGTTTTAATAGCCACATGGGGCCAGTGGCTGCCATTTTGGACCTTGCTGGTGTTGTATGACTGTTTATGCTCTCAGCTCCCACTTAGTGGGAGAATCATGCAGAGAGTCATGAGACTGAGGCAAGAGGATCATTTGAGCCCAAGAAATCGAGGCTGCAATGAGCTACAATTGTGCCACTGCACCCTAGCCTGGGTCACAGAGTGAAACCCTGTCTTAAAAAAAAACAACAAAAAAACCCCACAAAAAACCAGGTACAGTGGCTCATGCCTGTAATCCCAGGACTTTGGGAGGCCAAGGTGGGTGGATCGTTTGAGGTCTGGAGTTCAAGACCAGCCTGGCCAACATGGCAAAACCCCGTCTCTACTAAAAATAAAAAAAAAAAATTAGCCAGGCATGGTGGCATGCACCTGTAATCCCAGCTACTGGGGAAGCTGAGGCAGTAGAATCACTTGAACCTGAGAGGCAGAGGTTGCAGTGAGCCAAAGTTGTGCCACTGCACTCCAGCCTGGGCAACAGAGCAAGACTCCACCAAAAAAAAAAAAAAAGACAGTGGATTCTTCCCCAGTCAAGCCTCAGATGAGAATGCAGCCCAGCTAACACCTGGATTGCAGCCTCATGAGATGCTGAGCAGAAGGCCCAGCTAAACCCTGTCAGAATCCTGACCCCAGGAAGTGAGGAGGTAACAAGTGCATGTTGTTTGAAGCTGCTAAGTTTGTGCTGATTTGTTACACAGCAATAGCTGACTAATACAGTTTCTCTACAATAGCCTTGACTTCCTTACTTCTGCCACAGGGATTCTAGATACTTTATCCCTGCCATGTAGGATCCGTTCCTTCCACTGGAGGCTTACTCAATTCCTATTTATCCTTCCGAACTTGAATAACTCATCACTCTCTCAGAAAACCCTCCCCTGACGGCGTGTCTAAATCAAAGACCCCTGTACACAGATTCAAAGTTTCTGGTTGTGCTTCTAGTTTTGAGCCATTCTTGTAGCATCATGTTAATGGATCTGGGCCTCTTCCACTTGGATTGAAGCTCTCTGAGCTCAGAGAATCGTATCTGTCTCATTCAGGGTTCGACGCAGCCAGGCCTGGCCCATCGTAAAGGTTGGCTGGATGGAGAGAGTGAAATGAATGGCGCTTCTATGTTTGATGCTAAATAGCTGTGGAGTTCTTTCTGTGAACCAATAATGGTGATGACAAGACCATTTAGAGAACACAGGAATCCTTAGAAAACCCGCGGGGCAGGGTCAGCAGAGGCAGCTGGGGTTGAATGAACACTGTGTGTGTGTGTGCGTGTGTGTGTGTGTGTTGGGGAGTGAGCTCATACTCTAAATGTGCCTTTCCAGCTCTAATCACAGAAGTGAATCTCGGTGTCTTTTGTTTCTAAACCATCCATCAAGTGATTCTTGGAGATTCTCTGGCTCGTCTGAAGGCAGTTCAACTCAAGCGTAAGAGTAAATGGGAAAGTGTGGTGCAGCTTCACTCCCCGCTGCCCCTGCCTCCCCACCGCCCCTGCCTCGCTCCACGCTGCCCCTGCCTTGCTCCATGCCGCCCCTGCCTCACTCCCCGCCACCCTGGTACATCTCTCCTTTCTCATTGGCTCTGGATGGTAGCGGCCAGGCATGGAGTGGCTGTTCCCAGAGGAACACGTTCCCCTGAGGAGGGAACATTCTGGCTGGGCCCCAGCATAGGGTTGCCAGACTCAACAATAAAACATTTAGCACCCTCGGAGACATTAGAATTTCAGATATGTATTCATTCATTCATTCATTCATTCATTCATTTATTTTGAGACGGAGTCTCGCTCTGTCGCCCAGGCTTGAGTGCAGTGGCGCAATCTCAGCTCACTGCAACCTCCACCTCCTGGGTTCAAGAGATTGACCTATCTTAGGCTCCCAAATAGCTGGGATTACAGGCGTGTGCCATCACGCCCAGCTAATTTTGTATTTTTAGTAGAGACGGGGTTTCACTATGTTGTCAGGCTGGTCTCGAACTCCTGACCTCAGGTGATCCACTTGCCTCAGCCTCCCAGACTGTTGGGATAACAGGCATGAGCCACAGCACCCAGCCAGAATTTCAGATTAACAACCAAAACGTTTCTTTTTTTTAAACAGGGTCTCACTCTGTGTTGCCCAGGCTGGAGTGCTCACTGCAACCTCTGCCTCTGAGGTTCAAGTGATTTTCCTGCCTCATCCTCCCAAGAAACCATGTGCCACCATGCCCGGCTAATTTTTTTATTTTGGTAGAGATGGGGTTTCGCCATGTTGGCCAGGCTGTTCTCAAACTCCTGACATCAGGCGATCCTCCCACCTTGGCCTCCCAAAGTGCTGGGATTACAGGCGTGAGCCACCGCGCCCGGTCAAAACATTTTTTTAGTAGGAGTCGGAGAATGTCCTACATTTTGCACAAGAGAGACATACTTATACTAAAATACAGATTAGAGACAGAATTCTTCAGAGAAACAGGACCAATTGAGTGGATACACAGACATATACGCACAGATGCACACACAGATGCACATGCACACACACACAGACACATGCACACACAAATGCACACGTACACACAGACCACACATGCACACATACACACATGCACACGTGCACACATACACACATGCACACATGCACACACAAAAGCACACATGCACACAGATACATACGCACAAACGCACACATCCACACATACACAGATGCACACACGCACACACAGATGCACACCCGCACACAGACTCACACATGTACACACACACAGATTGAGATTTATTTTAGGGATTTGGCTCATACCATTGAGGGGCTGCAGGTCTGGAATCTGCAGGGCAGGCCAGAGACCTAGGGAAGAGCTGATGCTGCAGTCTCAAGCCCAAAGGCTATCTGGAGGCAGATTTCCTTCCTCTTGGGGAACCTCAGTCTTTTAAGGCCTTCGACTGATTGGGTGAGGCCCACCACATTATGGAGGGTCACCTGCTTTATTTAATATCTACCGATTTAAATGTTAATTGGGCTTGGCGCAGTGGCTCACGCCTGTAATCTCAGCACTTTGGGAGGCCGAGGCAGGTGGATCACCTGAGATCAGGAGTTCCACACCAGCCTGGCCAACATAGCAAGATCCCGTCTCTACTAAAAATACAAAAATTAGCCAGGCATGGTGGCAGGCACCTGTAATCCCAGCTACTTGGGAAGCTGAGGCACAAGAATTGCTTGAACCTGGGAGGCAGAGTTTGCAGTGAGCCAAGATTGCACCACTGCACTCCAGCCTGGGTGACACAGCTAGATTCCGTCAAAAAAAAAAAAGGAGAAGTTAATTGGGCTGGGTGGGTGCAGTGGTTCTCAGCACTTTGAGAGGCTGAGGCAGGAAGATGGCTTGAAGCCAGTAGTTCCAGACCAGCCTGGGCAACATAGCAAGACCCCGTCTCTAAAAAAAAAAATTACGATTTTTAAAATTTTCTTAGAGGCAGGGTCTCCCTACATGATCCAGGCTGGTCTTGAGCTCTGGGCTCCAGTGATCCTCCTATCTCGGCCTCCCAAGGTGCTGGGATTACAGGTGTGAGCCACTGCACCCTGACTCTACAAAGAAATTTTTTAACTTAGCTGGCATAGTGGTACACATCCATATTCCAGCTACTCTGGAGGCTGAGGTGGGAGGATCGCTTGAGCCCAGGAGGTCGAGGCTGCAGTGAGCTATGATCACACCACTGCACTCCAGCCTGGGGGACAGAGTGAGACCCCCCCATCTCAAAACAATAAAAATAAATAAATAGATGTTAATTGTATCTAAAAATTACCTTCACAGAAACAGCTAGAATAATGTTTGACCAAAGAACCAAAGCCCGGCCAAGGTATTGCATAGACTGAACCATCCCAGGGACACACTTAGGCTACAAAAGGATGTTTGATTGTCTGAAACTCAAGCTCCATGCGGTGTTCTGTATCTTATCTGCCCACCGAGGCCTGGTTTTCATCCCCACGGGTGTCCAGAGCAACTCCACTCCCTCCAGAGAAGCCCTCGGCCACGTGGGCACGTCCAGGGGACCCCGCCCGGGGAAACAGAATGGCATTGTTCCCCCAGCTTCCTTTTCTGTGGGTTTCTAATGGGGAAAAGTGTGTTGGAGGCCAGGCATGAATCATTCTCCGCCCACGCAGCAGACACAGCATCCCAGGGGAGCTGAGGCGGAGGGGAGGCAATGAGATCCACCTTTGCAGACAATGTGGAGGTGATCCCCCACCCTCTGCAGAGAAAGGCGTCCCTGCAGACTGAGAACATGCAGAGTTTGAGGTTAAGGTCTCTTGGGGTCTCACGAGAGTAAAAGAATGTAAGCTAGAGAACCAGGTGTGGTGGCTCCCGCCTGTAATCCCAGCACTTTGGGAGGCCGAGGCGAGCAGATCACCCGGGGTCAGGAATTCGAGACCAGCCAACATGGCGAAACCCCATCTCTACTGAAAGTACAAAGATTAGCTGGGTGTGGTCAGGCGCGGTGGCTCACGCCTGTAATCCCAGCACTTTGGGAGGCCAAGGCGGGAGGATCACGAGGTCAGGAGATCGAGACCATCCTGGCTAACGTGGTGAAACCCCGTCTCTACTAAAAATACAAAAAATTAGCCAGGCGTGGTGGCGGGCGCCTGTAGTCCAAGCTACTCAGGAGGCGGAGTCAGGAGAATGGTGTGAACCTGGGAAATGGAGCTTGCAGTGAGCCAAGATCGCACCACCGCACTCCAGCCTGGGCGACAGAGTAAGGCTCCGTCAAAAAAAAAAAAAAAAAAAATTAGCTGGGTGTGGTGGCATGCACCTGTAATCCCAGCTACTCGGGAAGCTGAGGCAGGAGAATTGCTTGAACCCGGGAGGCAGAAGTTGCAGTGAGCTGAGATCATGCCACTGCACTCCAGCCTGGGGGACAGAGCCAAACTCCATCTCAAAAAAAAAAAAAAAGAGAGAAAAGCCCAGGCGCGGTGGCCTACACCTGTAATCCTATAATCCCAGCACTTTGGGAGGCCGAGGCGGGCGGATTACCTGAGGCCACCGTGGCTACCTTGGCCCATCCATTGGTGAGAAGGGGTCACAGCCGGAGCTCGCAGGGGGCGGAGCTCGCGGAGGGCGGGGCTCGCGGGGGGCGGGGCTCGCGGGGGCGGGGCTCGAGGGGGCGGGGCTCGAGGGGGCGGGGCTCGCACAGGGCTTGAATCCCAGGAGGAGGGATCCCAGTGCTCCCGGTGGAGTCTGCCTGCCCCAGGTGTCCTGTTACATCCCTCAGGGGCCGACAGCTGCCCAGTTCTGCTTAGGGATCCATGCGACACAGGCAGTTTCTCGCGGAAAATGGGTGGATCCCCTGCTCCAACGAGACTGAAAGCGGCAGGAGCATGGATGAACGTTGCGGTGTTGCCGTTGCACATGGCTGCCACCTGGCCATGTTCTGGGACTCATGCTTGTAAATCCTTTTACATTTCAAAGCCTTAGTGATGACTCATCAGTGGGAGAACACCCGGAACAGGGACTGGCAAATGATTATAAACGGTCAGAGAGGTGGCCGGGTACAGCGGCTCACATCTGGAGGCCGAGGCAGGAGGATCACTTGAGGCCAGGAGTTCAAGGCCAGACTGGACAACATAGTGAGACCCCAATCTCTACAGAGTATAAAAAAATTAACCGGGTGTGGTGGCATGCCTGTAGTCCTATCTACTCTGGAATCTAAGGCAGGAGGATCGTTTGAGCCTGCGAGGTAGAGGCTGCAGTGAGCTATGATAGCACCACTGCATTCCAGCCTGGGTGACAGAGCAGGACCTTGTCTCTAAAAAATAAAAAAAGATTACGTATCTATTCCAGGGGTCAGGAAACAACATCCTGTGGGCCAGAGCCAGATCTGGTCTGCAGAATTATTTTTTCATTTTATTATTATTACTAGAGACTGGGTGTTGCTCTGTCACCCAGGCTGGAGTGCAGTGGTGTGATCACAGGTCCTTGCAGCCTCAACCTCCTGGTCTCAAGCAGTCCTCCCACCTCAGCCTTCTGAGTAGCTGGGATCACAGATACGTGCCCCACCATGCCCAGCTAATTTAATTTTTATTTTCTGTCGACATGGGGTCTTGCTATGTTGCCCAGGCTGGTCTCAAACTCCTGGACTCAAGCGATTGTCCTGCCGCGGCCTCTTAAGGAGATGGGATTGGCCGGGCACGGTGGCTCACGCCTGTAATCCCAGCATTTTGGGAGGCTGAGGTGGGCAGATCACGAGATCAGGAGATTGAGACCATCCTGGCTAACATGGTGAAACCCCGTCTCTACTAAAAATACAAAAAATTAGCTGGGCGTGGTGGCGGGCGCCTGTAGTCCCAGCTACTTGGGAGGCTGAGGCAGGAGAATGGCGTGAACCTGGGAGGCGGAGCTTGCAGTGAGCCGAGATCGCGCCACTGGACTCCAGCCTGGGTGACAGAGCAAGACTCCGTCTCAAAAAAAAAAAAACCAAAAAAACAAAGATAGGATTACAGGCGTGAGCCACTGCACCCAGCCAGGATTTGAATTTTAGTGTCCATAAAGTGTGACGAGAACATAGTTGTGTCTAATTCTTTACACGTGGTCGGCTGCTTTAGCGTGACAATGGGAGAGTGAAGGGACACAGTCCTGACTGCCTTGTGAGCATGAAAATATTTACTGCTGCCAGCACAGTGGCTCACACCTGTCATCCCAGCACTTTGGGAGGCCAAGGCAGGTGGGTCACTTGAGGCCAGGAGTTTGAGAACAGCCTGGCCAATATGGTGAAACCCCATCTCTACTAGAAATACAAAAATTAGCCAGGTGTGATGGCACACGCCTGTGGTCCCAGCTACTTGGGAGACTGAGGCATGAGAATCACTTGAACCTGAGAGGCGGAGCTTGTAGTGAGATCACGCCACTGCACAGTGCACCTGTGGTCCCAGCACTTTGGGAGGCTGAGGAGGGAAGGTTGCCTGAGGCCAGGAGTTCAAAACCAGCCTGGGCAATGTAGCAAGATCCCCTCTCCACAAAAAACAGAAAAATGAGGCCGGGTGCAGTGGCTCACGCCTGTAATCCCAGCACTTTGGGAGGCCAAGGCGGGTGGATCACCTGAGGTCAGGAGTTCAAAACCAGCCTGGGCAACATAACAAGATTCCCCTCTCTACAAAAAAATAGAAAAGTGAGGCTGGGTGAGGTGGCTCATGCCTGTAATCCCAGCACTTTGGGAGGCCGAGGTGGGTGGATCAACTGAGGTCAGGAGTTCGAGACCAGCCTGGCCAACATGGCAAAACCCCCTCTCTACTAAAAATATAAAAATTAGCCAGGTGTGGTGCTGGGCGCCTGTAATCCCAGCTATTGGGGAGGCTGAGGAAGGAGAATCGCTTGAACCTGGGAGGCAGAGGTTGCAGTGAGCAGAGACTGTGCCACTGCACTCCAGCCAGGTCAACAAGAGTAAGACTCCATCTCAATAGAAAAGAAAGGAAAGGAAAGGAAAGGAAGGGAAGGGAAAGGAAGGGAAGGGAAAGGAAGGGAGGAAGGGAGAAAGGGAAGGGAAGGGAGAAAGGAAAATGAGCATGGCGTGGTGACGTACACCTGTGGTCCCAGCTATGGGAGGCTGAGGTGGGAGGATCACTTAAGCCCGGAAATTTGAAGTTGCAGTGAGCCGAGATCGCACCACAGCACTCCAGTATGGGCAACAGAGAGACTCTCTCTCTCTTTAAAAAAGAAAAAATAAAAATCAGGGGTGGGGTGTGAAGGTCAGGAGCACTTTGGGTTTTAGGCTGCTGGAGGGATTTTAGTGTGTGTGTCGCAGGGATGATGTAATCTGATGGACACTTCAAAGGCACCCTTAACGGCTGTGACCAGCTCACAGAGGGGCAGGGGAGGGAGGAAAGAGGCCAGTCCCTCCAGACGGGATGCTGGTGGGCTGTCCAGAGCCGTAGCTGCACAGATGGTGAGGAATGACTGGATTAGGAATCTCTTTTGAACACTAGCCAACAGGAGTTGTTGATGAGTGTGACAGAAAAAGAGTCTGTGGTCACAAATTCTTTGATGCACCTCCCTTCGAAAGCTGGCACTCAGGCTGGGCGCGGTGGCTCACGCCGGTAATCCCAGCACTTTGGGAGGCCCAGGTGGGAGGATCGCGTGAGGTCAGGAGTTTGAGACCAGCTTGGGCAGCATAGGAAGACTCCCTCTCTACAAAAAACTTAATTAGCTGGGCATAGTGGCACACACGTGGCCCTAGCTACTAGGAGGCGGAGGTGGGAGGATCGCTTGAGCCCAGGAGGTGGAGGCTGCAGTGAGCTGTGATCACACCATTGCACTCCAGCCTGGGCAACAGAGAAAGACCCTGTCTCAAAAACAAACAAAAAAGGAGGCGGGAGGGTGAGAAAGAGAGACTGGAAGAGGCTGCACTGTGGCTGTGAAGGGAGAAGAAGGGGCCCTGAGGCTTAAGACGCTGGTAAAGATGGGAAACGTATTCTCCCCTGGAGCCCCCAGAAGGGCCCAGGCCTGCCCACAGCTCGATGGTGAGCCCTGCAAGATGGATCTCAGACTTCTGACTTTCAGAACTGTGAGATAATCAATCAGTATTCCATTTTTAAATTCTTTGAGACAGGGTCTGGCTCTGTCACCCAGGCTGGAGTACAGTGGCACAATCACAGCTCACTGCAGCTTCCACCTCCTGGGCTCAAGTGATCCTCCTGCCTCAGCCTCCTGAGTGGCTAGGATTACAGGCATGAGCCACCACATCTGGCTAATTTTTGTTCATTTTTTGTGGAGATGGGGGTCTCACTATATTGCCCAGGCTGGTCTCAAACTCCTGGGCTCGAGCAATCCTCTCACCTCAGCCTCCCACAATGCTGGGATTACAGGTGTGAGCCACCACGCCTGGCCGAAAACTCGGTGTCCCTCTAAGCCCCCAAGCGTGGGGTCCTTTGTTACAGCAGCTGTGGGAACTTCAGACTTACTCTTTCTAGCAATGGACCGCAGCGACCCACGGGAGTCCTCATCCTCACACAGCCGCCCAGCCAGCAGTCACGTTCCACCTTTTTTTTTTTTTTTTGAGATGGCGTCTTGCTCTGTCGCCAGGCTGGAGTGCAGTGGCGTGATCTCAGCTCCCTGCAACCTCCGCCTCCCGGGTTCAAGCGATTCTCCTGCCTCAGCCTCCCGAGTAGCTGGGATTACAGGCGCCCACCACCACGCCTGACTAATTTTTTGTATTTTTAGTAGAGATGGGGTTTCACCATGTTGGCCAGGCTGGTCTCAAACTCTTGACCTCAAGTGATTCACCCACCTTGGCCTCCCAAAGTGCTGGGATTACAGGCATAAGCCACCGCATCTGGTCTTTTTTTTTTTTTTTTTTGGAGTCTCGCTCTGTCACCCGGGCTGGAGTGCAGTAGCGTGATCTCGGTTCACTGCAGCCTCCGCCTCCCGGGTTCAAGCGATTCTCCTGCCTCAGCCTCCTGGGTAGCTGGATTACAGGTGTGCACCAACATGCCTGGCTAATTTTGGATTTTTAGTAGAGATGGGGTTTCTCCATGTTGGCCGGGCTGATCTGGAATTCCCGACCTCAAATCGTCCTCCTGCCTCAGCCTCCCAAAGTGCTGGGATGACAGGCGTGAGCCACCGCGCCCCGCCGTTTTTAAGGGTATAGTTGCAACCCTTGCTTATGGGAAGAGAAGCACCTTCAGCCTCTGACCCCGTGTTTCTGTCTTGCTGTGTGGCATCCAGCTCGCTGTCTGCGTGTCTCTGAGCCATGGAGCCCACTGTGGCTGACGTACACCTCGTGCCCAGGACAACCAAGGAAGTCCCCGCTCTGGATGCCGCGTGCTGTCGAGCGGCCAGCATTGGCGTGGTGGCCACCAGCCTTGTCGTCCTCACCCTGGGAGTCCTTTTGGGTAAGTGGCTATGGGATTGGCTGGGTTCGCAATACAAGGGACATGTGCAAAGTCACCGGGAAGTGACTTGATGGTGTCTCCTTGGCCATCTGGAATCAAAGGGCAGTGTCTAGGCGTGGAGATGAAGGCTGCCCTAGGCCAGGCGGGTGGGCGGGGAGTGGAGCAGATGAGTTCCTACGTGTGTCAGTTTTCCCGACTAAAGAAGCTCCCGAAGGAAGTTTTCACAGCTGGGGTGACAGAGAAACAGAGACAGGGAAATGACCTTGTTTTAAATTTTGGCAAATCAGCAAAATACCCAAAGTAGTTTTTTTTTTTGTTTTTTTTTTTTTTTGAGACGGAGTCTCTCTCTGTCGCCCAGGCTGGAGTGCAGTGGTGTGATATCTCGGCTCACTGCAAGCTCCACCTCCCGGGTTCACACCGTTCTCCTGTGTCAGCCTCCCCGAGTAGCTGGGACTACAGGCGCCCGCCACCACCCCCGGCTAATTTTTTGTATTTTTAGTAGAGACGGGGTTTCACCGTGTTAGCCAGGATGGTCTCGATCTCCTGACCTCATGATCCGCCCGCCTCAGCCTCCCAAAGTGCTGGGATTACAGGCATGAGCCACCGCGCCCGGCCCCAAAAGTATTTTTATAAAACCGAGCAACTGGGTTGGGCGTGGTGGCTCCCGCCTGTAATCCCAGCACTTTGGGAGGCTGAGGCGGGAGGACCATCGGAGCCCAGGAGTTTGAGAACAGCCTAGGCAACATGATAAAGCCCTGCCTCTACAGAAAATACAAAAAATTACCCAGGCGTGGTGGCACCTGCAGTCCCAGCTACTCAGGAGGCTGAGGCAGGAGAATCGCTTGAACCTGGGAGGCAGAGGTTGCAGTGAGCTGAGATCGCACCACTGCACTCCAGCCTGGGTGACAGAGTGAGACTCTATCTCAAAAAATAAAAACATAATAATAAATTTAAAATAAGGCCGGGTGCAGTGGCTCATACCTGTAATCTCAACTTTTTGGGAGGCTGAAGTGAGCAGATCATGAGGTCAGGAGTTCGAGACCACCCTGACCAACATGGTGAAACCCCATCTCTACTAAAAATACAAGAAAGAAAGAAAGAAAGAAAGGGAGGGAGGGAGGGAGGGAGGCAGGCAGGCAGGTAGGCAGGAAGGAAGGAAGATAGCTGAGCATGGTGGTGCACGCCTGTTATCCCAGCTACTTGGGAGGCTGAGGCAGGAGAATTGCTTGAGCCCAGGAGGAGGCAGAGATTGCAGTGAGCCGAGATCATGCCCTTGCAGTCCAGCCTGGGCAACAGAGCAATTCCATCTCAAAAAAAAAAAAAAAAAAAAAAGTTAATTTTAACATTTAAATGATGATAATAAACAGCAATTTGGGGAGAAATGCTCTCGTGTGGCAAAATAGTAAGTTCGCGATCCTATGAGAATCCTCCTAGGTTTTTTTTTTTCTTTTTTCTTTTTTTTAAAAAATATTTGTGGAACTTCTGGAAACTCCCAGAGCCAGACATGTTTGACTGAGGCCCTCTAGTGGCTGTAGGTACCAAGTACAATACAATTTGGGTTCCTCGTGTGAGTGTATTTGTGTGTTCATGAGTGTGTGCATGGTGCACACGTGTTCATTTGCATGCGTTTGTGCATGCATGTGTGTGTCTGCGTGTGTATCTATGTGTGCATGCGTGTGTGTGTGTGTGTGTCCATCACCTAGTGAGAGGCAGGGGCGGGGCAGAGTTTCTCATCTGCATTGTAACAAATACATTTTGGGAAAAACAGATAAATATAATTCCCATCAGGACCCCCCTGAAAGGAAAGGAAGTCTTTTTTTTTTTTTTTGAGATGGAGTCTCACTCTGTCTCCCAGGCGCGACAGAGTGCAGTGGCACAATCTCAGCTCATCACAACCTCCACCACCCAGGTTCAAGCGATTCTCCTGCCTCAGCCTCCTGGGTAGCTGAGATTACAGGTGTGTGCCACTACGCCGAGCTAATTTTTGTATTTTTAGTAGAGATAGGGTTTTGCCATATTGGCCAGGATGGTCTCAAACTGCTGACCTCAAGTGATCCACCTGCCTTGGCCTCCGAAAGTGCTGGGATTACAGACATGAGCCACCACGCCCCATCAGGAAGTCTTTCAAGAAGCACTTAAGGCCAAGTGTGGTGGCTCCTGCCTGTAATCCCAGCACTCTGGGAGGCTGAGGCAGGAGGATTGCTTGAGCTCAGGAGTTCGAGACCAACCTAGGCAACATAGCAAGACCCCATCTCTACAAAAAATTAAATAATGAAGACAAGAAACATTTAAAATTAAAATTTTATAATGTTTTCAGTGAAAATGAGTGGTTGTGCGTGCCAGTAGTCCCTGCTACTCGGGAGACTGAGGTGGGAGGATTGCTTGAGCCCAGGAGTTGGAGCCTGCAGTGAGCTATGATCACACCACTGCACTCCAGCTTGGGAGACAGAGTGACACCCTGATAAAAAATAAAAAAGAAAAAGAAAAAAGGACATGATGCCAGGCGTAGTGGCTCACGCCAGTAATCCCAGCTCTCTGGGACGCTGAAACGGGAGGATTGCTTGAGCCCAGGAGTTCCAGTTCAGCCTGGTAACATGGTGAAACCCTGTCTCTACAAAAAATGCAGAAAATTAGCCAGGGCCGGGCGAAGCCAGCTGGGCTCCTGAGTCGAGTGGGGACTTGAAGAATTGTTATGTCTAGCTGGAGGATTGTATATGCACCAGTGAACACTCTGTGTCTAGCTAATCTGGTGGGGACTTGGATAACTTTTATGTCTAACTAGAGGATTGTAAATGCACCAATAAGCACTCTGTGTCTAGCTCAAGGTTTATAAACACACCAATCAGTGCTCTGTGTCTAGCTAATCTAGTGGGGACTTGGAGAAATTTTAAGTCTAGCTAAAGGTTTGTAAATGCACCAATGAGCACCCTGTGTCTAGCTCAAGGTTTGCAAATGCACCAATCGCACCAATCAGTGTTCTGTGTCTAGCTAATCTAGTGGGGACTTGGAGAACTTTTGTGTCTAGCTAAAGATTTGTAAATGCACCAATCAGCACCCTGCGTCTAGCTCAGGGATTGTAAACACACCAATCAGCACCCTGTCAAAACGGACCAGTCAGCTCTCTGTAAAATGGACCAATCAGCGCTCTGTAAAATGGGCCAATCAGGAGGATGTGGGTGGGGCCAGATAAGGGAATAAAAGCGGACTGCTGGAGCCAGCAGCGGCAACCGGCTTGGGGACCTTTTCACAGTGTAGAGGATTTGTTTTTTAATTCTCTGCGAGAAATCTTGCTGCTGCTCACTCGTTGGGTGTGAGATGCTTTTATGAGCTGTAACACTCACTGTGAAGGTCTGCAGTTTCACTCCTGAGGCCAGCAAAACCACAAACCCACCAGGAGGAATGAACAACTCCAGACACGCTGCCTTAAGAGCTGCAACACTCCCTGGGAAGGTCTACAGCGTCACTCCTGAAGCAAGCAAGACCACGAACCCACCAGAAGGAAGAAATTCCGAACACATCCGAACATCAGCAAGAACAAACTCCGGACACACCATCTTTAAGAAATGTAACACTCAGCGTGAGGATCCGCAGCTTCATTCTTGAAGTCAGTGAGACCAAGAACCCACGAATTTCGGACACAGTAACATGGGGAAACCCTGTCTCTACAAAAGAATGCAAACAATTAGCCAGGGCCAGGCATAGTAGCTCACCCCGGTAATCCCAGCACTTTGGGAGGCTGAGGCAGGTAGATCATGAGGTCAGGAGTTTGAGACCAGCCTGGCCAACATGGGTGAAACCCTGTCTTTACTAAAATACAAAAATTAGCTGGGCAGACTGGTACGCGCCTGTAATCCCAGCTACTCAGGAGGCTGAGGTTGGAGAATTGCTTGAACCCGGGAAGTGGAGGTTGCAGTGAGCCGAGATCATGCCACTGCACTCCAACCTGGGCAACAAAGGGAGACCATGTCTCCAAAAAAAAAAAAAAAAAAAAAAAGCTGGGCGCGGTGGCTCCCACCTGTAATCCCAGCACTCTGGGAGGCCGGGTTGGGCGGATCATGAGGTCAGGAGATTGAAACCATCCTGGCCAACATGATGAAACCCCGTCTCTACTAAAATACAAAAAACATTAGTTGGTCATGGTGGCATGTGCCTGTAGTCCTAGCTACTCGGGAAGCTAAGGCAAGGGAATCGCTTGGACCCAGGAGGCAGAGGTTGCACTGAGCCAAGATCGTGCCACTGCATCCCAGCCTGGCAACAGAGTGTGAGACTGTGTCAAGAAAAGAGAAGGAAAGAGAAAGCTAGCCAGCCAGGCGTGATAGTGGGCGCCTGTGGTCTCTGTGGTCTAGCTACTTGGGAGGCTAAGGCAGGAGGATCACCTGAGCCCATGAGGTCGAGGCTGCAGTGAGCAGTGATTGTGCCACTGCACTGAAGCCCGAACAATAGAGACCTTGTCTCAAAAAAATAAAACATTTAAAAAAATAAAAATGAGAATTCAGCCCTTCGCAAACAGCTCACCATTTTAGTTGGAGATGAGAGGCTGAGTGGAGAGCGGGAGGCGTTCTGAACTATTTCTGCAACTTCCTGAATCTGCAGTTGTTTAGAGTAGAAACAGAGTGAGGTTGGGACACAGAGGCGGGGCAATTCAGTCCGCCCACCAGGGTGCTCGTGTTTCTTTAGTTTCTTGAACGAGAAAACATACCGTTTTTAGAATTGGTTCAGAATATTCTATCTACTGAATATATGGCTACGTAAATACCCATCTAGCATATCTATCCATTTAGGATAAACGGAATTGGGACCCAGCTTTCACGGTTTACGCGGTTGCTATTTGCATGGTTTAAATGTTGTAATTACGGCCATTTTTTTTGCGCTGGTGTGCACTTCTGGTAGTTTTAACGTATTTTTGACCAAAACTCGTGCTCTCATGGTTTCTGTGGTTGCTCTCGTAGTTTTTATTTAGATTTTTTTCTGCTGCTGCTTGCATCAGCATAGGAATTTTTTATGACTATTATTTTTGCTGTACTTTGTACTTTGGACACAACACAGCCAACAGCTAAAAACCAGTGCTTTCTGCCTGGCGTGGTGGCTCACGCCTGTCATCCCGGCACTTTGGCAGGCTGAGGCGGGCAGATCACCTGAGGTCAGGAGTTCCCGACCAGCCTGGCCAATGTGGCGAAACCCCATCTCTGCTAAAAATACAAAAATTAACGCTGGGTGCAGTGGCTCACGCCTGTAATCTCAGCACTTCGGGAGGCCAAGGCGGGTGGATCACCTGAGGTCAGGAGTTCCAGAGCAGCCTGGCCAACATGGTGAAATCCAGTCTGTACTAAAAATACAAAAAAACTAGCCAGGTGTGGTGGTCCACGCCTGTAATCCCAGCTACTCAGCAGGTTGAGGCAGGAGGCTGAGGCAGGAGGATCGCTTGAACCCGGGAGATGGAGGTTGCAGCGAGCTGAGAAAACACCACTGCACTCCAGCCTGGGTGACAGAGTGAGACCCTATCTCAAAACAAACAAGGCCGGGCGCGGTGGCTCATGCCTGTTAATCCCAGTGCTTTGGGAAGCCAAGGCTGGCGGATCATCTGAGGTCGGGAGTTTGAGACCAGCCTGGCCAACATGGAGAAACCCCATCTGTACTAGCTGGGTATGGTGGTGCATGCCTGTAATCTCAGCTACTCCGGAGGCTGAGGCGGCAGGAGAATTGCTTGAACCCGGGAGGCGGAGGTTACAGTGAGGCGAGATCATGCCATTGCACTCCAGTGTGGGCAACAAGAGCAAAACTCTGTCTCAAAACAAACAGGCCGGGTGTGGTGGCTCACGCCTGTAATCTGAGCACTTTGGGAGGCCGAGGAGGGCGGATCACGAGGTCAGGAGATAGAGACCATCCTGGCTAACACAGTGAAATCCCGTCTCTACTAAAAATACAAAAAAATTAGCCACGCGTGGTCGTGGGTGCCTGTAGTCCCAGCTACTCGGGAGGCTGAGGCAGGAGAATGGCATGAACCCGGGAGGCGCAGCTTGCAGTGAGCCGAGATTGCGCCACCGCACTCCAGCCTGGGCGACAGAGCGAGACTCTGTCTCAAACAAACAAACACAAACCAACCAGTGGTTTTTGAAGATGACCTCATGGGACTGTGGCCGGAGAGTCCTGATGGCCTCTGGCTGTGCTCATGCCCCTGCCATAGGAGGCGGGGACTGTCATTTCACCGTCTCCTGATGCCATTCCAGAGGTTACGCCCTGAAGTCAGCTCAGATCCTGGGCCAGGCACTGCATGGGAGACAGGCATGAGCAGGACCTCTTTCTGCCTTCGAGGAAAACACGGGGGCATCTGGGGCTCACTTGGCACTCATCCACCTTGTGCTGTACCTGGGGACCTCCGGGTGGGTGGCTGTCATAGAATTCGGCTCCAAACCAGGATGCTTTTGGGAATTGAGGGAGAGCCCTGTGAGTAGCTATTCAGGGCTATCACGGGGGCGTCGACCACCCCACTGCGTGTCAGGAGTGACCACCAGGGTGTGTGAGTGCAAACAGGGCGGGGCCTGGGTGGCAGCTCAGCGGAGCCCTGAGCCCCCAAAGGTGGGCTCTCTCACGGGCCCTGGTCTCGTCCCCAGCCTTCCTCTCTACACAGGGCTTCCACGTGGACCACACGGCCGAGCTGCGGGGAATCCGGTGGACCAGCAGTTTGCGGCGGGAGACCTCGGACTATCACCGCACGCTGACGCCCACCCTGGAGGCACTGGTGAGGGTGGTCTGTGTTTGGGGGCCAGGGAGGAAGAGCGGGTGGCCGGGGGCTTTGACCTGGAGGTGCTTTCCGTGTGGGAGGGAGGCAGGCCACAGGCAACGAAGCTGAGGTGGAGGCTGTGAGACCGGGAGGCCAGGCCAGGGGGCGGGCAGGACGAGGCCAGGTGGCCAAGGCAGATACCTGCAAGGCAGAGCTGTATCCACTGAGGACACACTCACATGGGACTTTAGGCCACATTTAGAGGTTTTTTTTTTTTTCTTTTTTTTCTTGAGACGGAGTCTCACTCTGTCACCCAGGCTGGGGTGCAGTGGAATGATCTCGGCTCACTGCAAGCTCCGCTGCTCAGGTTCAAGCGATTCTCCTGCCTCAGCCTCCCGAGTAGCTGGGATTACAGGTGCACGCCACCACGTCCAGCTGATTTTTGTATTTTTAGTAGAGACGGGGTTTCACCATGTAGGACAGGATGGTCTTGAACTCCTGACCTCAAATGATCTTCCCTCCACGGCCTCCCAAAGTGCTGGGATTACAGGCGTGAGTCACCGTACCCAACCTGCCACATTTAGAGTTTTACATTTTATTCTAAAGGGGAATCAGAGCCCTCATGCACAGCTGGGGGAAGGTATTTTATTTTATTTTTTTGAGACGGAGTCTTGCTCTGTTGTCCAGGCTGGAGTGCAGTGGCAGGATCATGGCTCACTGCAACCTCTGCCTCCCGGGTTCAAGCGATTCTCCTGTCTCAGCCTCCTGAGTAGCCAGGGTTACAGGCACCCACCACCTAGGATGAACAGGGAAACACAGCGTGGCTATGCACACACTGGAATATGACTCAGCCAGGAAAAGGGGCCAGGCTTGGACACAGGACACAGCGAATTATATTTTAATGAAAAAATAATGTTTTCCATTTTATTCGAAGAGAAACAGACGTGTGACCACATCAGCAATCACGTATTAAAAACAGCACTCCAGGCGGGCACGGTGGGTGGCTCACATCTGTAATCCCAGCACTTTGGGAGGCCGAGGAGAGTGGATACCTGAGGTCAGGAGTTTTGAGACCAGCCTGAGCAACATGACAAAATCCCACCATTAGTAAAAACACAAAAATTAGCGGGGCGTGGTGGTGTGTGCCTGTAGTCTCAGCTACTCGGGAGGCTGAGGTGGGAGGATTGCCTGAGCCCAGGAGGCAGAAGTTGCAGTGAGCCAAGATCGTGCCATTGCACTCCAGCCTGGGTGACCGAGTGAGACTCCATCTTAAAAAACAATTTTTAAAAATAGGCTGGGCGTGGTGGCTCACGCCTGTGACGCCTCCTGGGCTCAAGCAATCCTCCCACCTCAGCCTCCCGAGTAGCTGGGAGTGCAGGCACACACCACCATGCCCAGCTAATTTGGGAGGCTGAGGTGGGCGGATCACGAGGTCAGGAGTTCAAGACCAGCCTGGCCAACATAGTGAAACCCTGTCCCTACTAAAAAATACAAAAAATTAGCCACGCATGGTGGTGTGTGCCTGTAATCCCAGCTACTTGGGAGGCTGAGGCAGGAGAATTGCTTGAACCTGAGAGACGGAAGTTGCAATGAGCCGAGATCGTGCCACTGCACTCCACCCCAGGCGACAGAGCAAGACTCTGTCTCAAAATAATAATAATAATAAAAAATTTAAAAATAAAACATAAGTCTGGGCGTGGTGGCTCACAACTGTAATCCTAGCACTGTGGAAAACCAAGGCAGGTGGATCACAAGGTCAGGAGTTCGAGACCAGCCTGGCCAACATAGTGAAACCCCATTTCTACTAAAAATACAAAAAATTAGTTGGGCATGGTGGCGGGCACCTGTAATCCCAGCTTCTTGGGAGGCTGAGGCAGCAGAATCGCTTGAACCTGGGAGGCGGAGGTTGCAGTGAGTGGAGAATGCACTACTGCACTCCAGCCTGGGTGACAGAGCAAGACTCTGTCTCACAATACATACATACATACATACGTACATATAGATAAAAATTTAAAATAATAAAAGGAAATGCTTTCCCATGGAACCAACCCCTTCTCCAGCTCCCTCCAACACCTGACAGGCCTCTGCAGTGCCAGGGTGCCCATGCTGTGGGTCTCAACATTTGATATTCTTGTTTCTATTGCAGTTTGTAAGTAGTTTTCAGAAGACAGAGTTAGAGGCAAGCTGCGTGGGTTGCTCGGTACTGAATTATAGGTGAGTTGGAGCTTCCATTGGGTGAAGGAAACTTGGTGGACATCTGGGAGTTTCTGGAGGAGTCCAGAAAAGTTTGGAAGATTCTAGAAGATTCCAGAAGATTCCAGCAGGGCGGAGCCCCTCCCTCTCCAAGGGCCTCTCCTCCATACCTGTAGGGATGGGAACTCCAGTGTCCTCGTACATTTCCAGCTGCACTTTCTGCTGCGACCCCTCCAGACGCTGAGCCTGGGCCTGGAGGAGGAGCTATTGCAGCGAGGGATCCGGGCAAGGCTGCGGGAGCACGGCATCTCCCTGGCTGCCTATGGCACAATTGTGTCGGCTGAGCTCACAGGTGAGTGGGCAGCCGAGACCGAAACCCCATCACGAGGAGGCTGGAGTGGGGCAGGAGCTGCAAGATACATTTTGATAACCACCCCTTCCCATAAAAAGAAAACAAACTGGCCGGGTGTGGTGGCTCATGCCTGCAACCCCAGCATTTTGGGAGGCCGAGGCGGGTGGATCACCTGAGGTCAGGAGTTTGAGACCAGCCTGGCCAACACCCCATCTGTACTAAAAATACAAAAATCAGTTGGGCGTGGTGGTGTGCACCTGTAATCCTACCTACACAGGAGGCTGAGGCAGGAGAACTGCTTCAACCTGGGAGGCGGAGGTTGCAGTGAGCCGAGATCGTGCCATTGCACTCCAGCCTGGGCAAAAAGAGTGAAACTTCGTTTCAAAAACAAACAAACAAACAAATGTAAAAACTGACATTGCCTTTGCCTTAATGGTGTGGATAAGGGGTCAGCCATCTTGTTCTGTAAAGAGCCAGAGTGTTGTGTTGTGTTGTGTTGTCTTGTCTTGTCTTCTCTTTTCTTTTCCATTTTTTTTATTTTTGAGACAGGATCTCACTCTGTTGCCCAGTCTGGAGTGCAATAATGAAGTCTTGGCTCACTGCAGCTTCTGCCTCCCAGGTTCAAGCAATTTTCCTGCCTCAGTAGCTCCCGACTCACTCCCGAGTAGCTGGGATTACAGGCACGCACCACCACGCCTGGCTAATTTTTGTATTTTTAGTGAGATGGGGTTTCACCATGTGTACTGGGCTGGTCTTGGACTCCTGACCTCAGGTGATCCTCCTGCCTTGGCCTCCCAAAGTGCTGGGATTATAGGTGTGAGCCACGTGCCCAGTTAATATTTTCATCTTTGTGGTCCGTTGGGTTTCTGTGACAAGCACTCAGCTCTGTTATTTGTAGCACAAAAGTAGCCACAGACAATACATAAATGAATAGGTGTGGCTGTTTACCAATAAAACTTATTAAAAATAACAAGCAGTGGGCTGGATTTGGCCTATGGCCGTAGTTGGCCAACCCCCTACTGTAGAATCAAGGATAAATGCTACACTCTAATAAAATTGTATGGAAGGCCGGGTGTGGTGGCTTATGCCTGTAATTCCAGCAATTTGGGAGGCCAAGGTGGGCTGATCACTTCAGATCAGGAGTTCGAGACCAGCCTGGCCAACATGGCGAAACCCCGTCTCTACTAAAAATACAAAAATGAGCTGGGTGTGGTGGCACGTGCCTGTAATCCCAGCTGCTCAGGAGGCTGAGGCAGGAGAATTGCTGGAACCCAGGAGGCGGAGGTTGCAGTGAGCCAAGGTTGCACTACTGCACTCCAGCCTGGGTGACAGAGTGAGACTCCATCTCAAAAAAAAATTAATAAAAATAAAAAATAAAATTATACAGTGCATGATTTTGTATGCACCTGGTTTTAAAAAATAAAAAACAAAATTGTACGGTGCAGCAGGTCATGATTGGAGAGTCAGATGCAAGTTCAGACCATTGTTAAAGATTTGTTGCCAGGTGTGGTGGCTCATGCCTGTAATCCCAGCACTTTGGGAGGCCGAGGTGGGTGGATCACCTGAGGTCAGGAGTTTGAGACCAGCCGGGCCAACACGGTGAAACCCCATCTCTACTAAAAATAAAAAAATTAGCCGGGCATGGTGGCGGGCGCCTATAATCCCAGCTACTTGGGAGGCTGAGGCAGGAGAATTGCTTAAACCTGGTGGAGGTGGAGGTTGCAGTGAGCCAAGATAGCACCACTGCACTGTAGCCTGGGTAACAGAGTGAGACTCTGTCTTAAAAAAAAAAAAAAAATGGCCGGGCGCGGTGGCTTACGCCTGTAATCCCAGCACTTTAGGAGGCCGAGGTGGGCAGATCACAAGGTCAGGAGATCGAGACCATCCTGGCTAACACGGTGAAACCCCGTCTCTACTAAAAATACAAAAAATCAGCCGGGCGTGGTGGCGGGCGCCTGTAGTCCCAGCTGCTTGGGACGCTGAGGCAGGAGAATAGCGTGAACCCGGGAGGCGGAGCTTGAAGTGAGCCGAGATCGCGCCACTGCTCTCCAGCCTGGGCGACAGAGGGAGACTCCGTCTCAAAAAAAAAAAGTCACCTTGACCTTGACATGCAGGACATTTATGGTTCCCTCCCCACCAACCGTCACATGCTGGTCGAGGTCTTAATAACCTCTGCTCCAGCGTTCACAGAACTTCCCTTGGTGATAGGGAGGTTCCAGGCCTTGTGCAGTTTGGTGGCCGTCCGAGCCCTGGGGCTGGTGAGTGCTCCCCGTGGGGCAAGTGAGACTGAGGATCGGTGTTGAAGTAGATTTCATCCTCGCTGATTGAAGGCAGAATTTAAGTGACGCCAGGGTGGACAAGGCAGCTGCTCACTTTACTCCATGACCTGCCTGCAATAGGACGTTTTCTTTCTTTCTTTTTTCTTTTTTTTTGAGATGGAGTCTCGCTCTGTCGCCCAGGCTGGAGTACAATGGTGTGATCTCGGCTCACTGCAACCTCTGCCTCCCGGGTTCAAGCGATTGTCCTGCCTCAGCCTCCCGAGTAGCTGGGATTACAGGCGCCCGGCACCACACCCGTCTAATTTTTGTATTTTTAGTAGAGACAGGGTTTCACCATGTTGGCCAGGCTGGTCTGTAACTCCTGACCGCAAATGATCCACCCGCCTCAGCCTCCCAAAGTGCTGGGATTACAGGTGTGAGCCACCGCGCCCGGCCAATAGGATGTGTTCAAAGGGTTTTACCGCTTATTCAGTGAGCTTCTATCTTCTCTGTTTTGTTGCAGGGAGACATAAGGGACCCTTGGCAGAAAGAGACTTCAAATCAGGTATGTTTTTCTCTCTGGCCTTTTCTCTGATTGCAGTTACTGACAGAGGTTTCCTAAGACTCATTTCAAGGAAGTGAAGGAATCCCTGGAACGAGGCTGGGCGCGGTGGCTCACATCTGTCGTCCCAGCACTTCAGGAGGCTGAGGCAGGAGGATCACTTGAGGCCAGGAGTTTGAGACCAGGCTGGACAACAGAGCGAGACCCTATCTCTACAAAAATAATAATAAAAAAAGGCCAAAAATAATTTTTAAAATTATTATAAAAAATAATAAAAATTAGCCGGGCATAGTGGCGTATTGCCTGTACTCTCAGCTACTTGGGAGGCTGAGGAAGGAGGATCGCTTGAACCCAGGAGGCAGAGGCTGCGGTGAGCTGAGATCACGCCACTGCACTCCAGCCTGGGTGACAGAGTGAAACTGTGTCTCAAAAAATAATACATAAGGCCGGGCGCACTGGCTCATGCCTGTAATCCCAGCACTTTGGGAGGCCGAGGTGGGTGGATCACCTGAGGTCAGGAGTTCGAGACCAGCCTGACCAACATGGAGAAACCCCATCTCACTAAAAATACAAAATTAGCCAGGCGTGGTGGGGCGTGCCTGTAATCCCAGCTACTCAGGAGGCTGAGGCATGAGAATCACTTCAACCAGGGAGGCGGAGGTTGCGGTGAGCCGCGATTGTGCCATTGCACTCCAGGCTGGGCAACAAGAGTGAAACTCTGTCTCAAAAAAATAAATAAATAAAATAAAATAAAAATAAATAAAATAAATAGCCTGGGTTGGTGGTGTGCACCTGTGGTCCCAACTACTCAGGAGGCTGAGGCAGGAGGATTGCTTGAACCTGGAGTTAGAGGCTGCGGTGAGCTGTGATTGCACCACTGCACTCCCGTTTGGGTAACAGAGCTAGACCCTGTCTCAAAAACAAAAATAAAAACAAGGAAAAGGAAAGAAAAGGAGAGAGAGAGTTTCCACATTTCCGTACCCTGGTGGTACTAAGTATAGCATGGTGCCTTACTCCAACCAGGAGATGTAGCATGAGGTCAGAAAGTCGGTTCTTTTCTGTCCTCAGGCCGCTGTCCAGGGAACTCCTTTTCCTGCGGGAACAGCCAGTGTGTGACCAAGGTGAACCCGGAGTGTGACGACCAGGAGGACTGCTCCGATGGGTCCGACGAGGCGCACTGCGGTCAGTCTGCCTGTCTGGCCTGGTCTCTGGGCCCCTTCCCTTTTCCAGGGTCAGCTGCTGGCTCTGGTCTGTGGTCACTGTGCTTATTTCACTGGGCACACAGGCCTGGCATTTATGGGGGCTGGGCAGAGAAAAGAAAGGGGCACCCATGGTATGGGGAGAAACATGAGCAAACAGCAGAGTAAAGGAAAAGTGCAGGTGTGTGATGGGAAGAAGCCTGGGGAGAGGAGGGAGAAGATATCAGGCTGAAAACAGAGGTTGTGGCCACAGCCTGGGAAGTGTTGAATACCAGGAACTGGAGCTCTGTCCTATAAGCAGTGGGGCGTGGCCACAGGGATGTGAGCAACGGAAAGAGACAATTAAAATGCCGTAAGAGATTAGCAGGGTGCGGTGGCTCACACCTGTCATCCCAGCACTTTGGGAGGCCAAGGCAGGAGGATCACTTGAGGCCAGGAGTTTCAGACCAGCCTGGACAATATAGTGAGACCCCATCTCTACTAAAAAAAAAAAAAAATTGGCCAGGCACGGTGGCTCACACCTGTAATCCCAGCACTTTGGGAGGCTGAGGCAGGTAGATCACGAGGTCAGGAGATCGAGACCATCGTGGCTAACACGGTGAAACCCCCTCTCTACTAAAAATACAAAAAATTAGCCGGGCGTGGTGGCGGGCGCCTGTAGTCCCAGCTATTTGGGAGGCTGAGGCAGGAGAATGGCGTGAACCCGGGAGGTGGAGCTTGCAGTGAGCCAAGATCACGCCACTGCACTCCAGCCTGGCAACAGAGCGAGACTCTGTCTCAAAAAAAAAAAAAAAAAAGAAAAAAAAATTAGCCAGCGTGGTGGTGGGCGCCTGTGGCCCCAGCTACTCAGGAGGCTGAGGTGGAAGGATTGCTTGAGCCCAGTAGATTGAGGCTGCAGTGAGCTATGATTGCACTACTGCACTGTCCAGCCTGGATAATAGAGTGAGACCTTGTCTCAAAAATAAATAAAATGCTGGAAGAGTAGCCAATGTTTCTATAAAAATACTAGCCCATGCAATAAGGTAAGGACAGCAGTTTAAGTATTGAAAAGGAAGAGGAAAATCTTAATTCATTTGAAATCATTGTCTGTCTAAAATAAATCAATATCCAAACAGAAGGAGAGAAGCTGAAAGAGTAAAATAAAATGAATCAAGAAATTGACTAAAAAGCTATTTAGAATAAAGGCTGGGTGCAGTGGGTCACGCCTGTAATCCCAGCACTTTGGGAGGCTGAGGCAGGAGAATCCCTTGAACCTGGGAGGTGGAGGTTACAGTGAGCCAAGATCACGCCACTGTACTCCAGCCTGAGCTACAGAGCAAAACTCTGTCTCAAAAAAAAAAAAGCTGTCATTTTGCTTTATACAGTAATAATAAGATAGAAGATACAAAGGAAAAAATATCTTTCATGATCAGTAGTGACAAAAAATATCAAGACTAGGCCTGATGCCGTGGCTCAGGCCTGTAATCCCAGCACTTTGGGACGCCGAGGCAGGCAGATCACTTGATGTCAGGAGTTCGAGACCAGCCTGGTCAATTTGGTGAAACCCCGGCTCTACTAAAAGTACAAAAAATTAGCCAGGTGTGGTGGCGGGTGCCTGTAATCCCAGCTACTCAGGAGGCTGAGGTAGGAGAATCCCTTGAACCCGGGAGGCAGAGCTTGCAGTGAGTTGAGATCACGCCACTGCACTCCAGCCTGGACAACAGAGCGAGACTCCATCTCAAAAAAAAAAAAAAAAAATCAAAGACTAAACTTACAAACGTGCCATGCCTGTGATGATAATTATTATATATAATTATAGAATTACAAAATTTTGTGAAGGACATAAAAGTAGACTAAATAAGCAGACAGACACAATATCCTATACAAACATGTACGTGGGGTCATCGCCCCTTACCCACAGCTAAGATAGAGACCTTTCTCTGCCACTCACTGGTGCACGTGACCTTGAATGCTTGACCTACGTGCCAGGATGGGGCAGCCGAGGAGTTGAAGAGGAAGGGATGGGGAGACCCCAGAAGAGTCAGGGAAGCCAAGGAGGGGCCCCCAAGCATCTCTTTGAACTTAGGGACTGTAGACGAGAGACTCAGAGATGCATGTTCTGGGAGTTCAGGGTGAGGTCCTGCCTTCGTGGGGTCATGGCTGGTGACCTGCTGTCTTGCAGAGTGTGGCTTGCAGCCTGCCTGGAGGATGGCCGGCAGGATCGTGGGCGGCATGGAAGCATCCCCGGGGGAGTTTCCGTGGCAAGCCAGCCTTCGAGAGAACAAGGAGCACTTCTGTGGGGCCGCCATCATCAACGCCAGGTGGCTGGTGTCTGCTGCTCACTGCTTCAATGAGTAAGCCCCCATCCCAAAGCACCAAACCCGAACCCTCTGTATTTCTCCTGCCTTCCCTCGTGCACTGGGGACGTCACTTCTGGTTTCCTTAGAGCCCCTGGAAGTAATTTTTTCTTTTCCTTTCTTTCTTGCTTTTGCTGTTGTTGAATCTGAGGGCATTCTTTTTTTTTTTTTTTTTGAGACAGAATCTCGCTCTGTTGTCCAGGCTGGAGTGCAGTGACGCGATCTTGGCTCACTGCAAGCTCCGCCTCCTGGGTTCACGCCATTCTCCTGCCTCAGCCTCCCGAGTAGCTGGGACTACAGGCGCCCGCCACCACGCCTGTTGTATTTTTAGTAGAGACGGGGTTTCACCGTGTTAGCCAGGATGGTCTCAATCTCCTGACCTTGTGATCTGCCTGCCTTGGCCTCCCAAAGTGCTGGGATTACAGGTGTGAGCCATCGTGCCCGGCCTCTTTTCTTTCTTTCTTTCTTTTTTTTTTTTTTGAGATGGAGTCTCGCTCTGTCACCCAGGCTGGAGTGCAGTGGCGTGATCTCGGCTCACTGCAAGCTCCGCCTCCCGGGTTCACGCCATTCTCCTGCCTCAGCCTCCCGAGTAGCTGGGAATACAGGCGCCCGCCACCACGCCCAGCTAATTTAATTTTTTTTTGTATTTTTAGTAGAGTCGGGGTTTCACCATGTTAGTCAGGATGGTCTCGATCTCCTGACCTCGTGATCCGCCCACCTCGGCCTCCCAAAGCGCTGGGATTACAGGCGTGAGCCACTGCGCCCGGCCTCTTTATTTTATTTTATTTTTTCTTTTGAGACAGAGTCTCAGTCTGTCGCCCTGGCTGGAGTGCAGTGGTGCGATCTCAGCTCACTGCAACCTCCACCTCCTGGGATAAAGCAATTCTCTTGCCTCAGCCTCCCAAGTAGCTGGGACTACAGGTGCACGCCACCATGCCTGGCTAATTTTTTTTTTTTTGTATAATTAGTAGAGATGGGTTTTCGCCATGTTGGCCAGGCTGGTCTCGAACTCCTGTCCTCAGGTGATCCGCCCACCTCAGCCTCCCAAAGTGCTGGGATTACAGGCGTGAGCCACCGTGCCTGGCCCACTTGCTGTTCTTTTGAGAGTAGCCATGCCAGTGGGTGTGAAGTAGCATCTCCCTGTGGTTTTGACTTGGATTTCTCGGTGACCAATGACATTTTGTTGATGTTTTGCTCATTGTGGACATTTTTTGCATTCACTTTGATTTTTTAAAATATTCTGTCGTGATATTATCCTTTTTTTTTTTTTGAGACAGAGTCTCACTCTGTCGCCCTGCTGGAGTACAGTGGTGCAGTTTTGGCTCTCTGTAAGCTCCACCTCCCGGGATCAAGCGATTCTCCTGCCTCAGCCTCCCGAGTAGCTGGGATTACAGGCACCCGCCACCATGGCTGGCTAATTTTTGTATTTTTAGTAGAGACGTGGTTTTGCCATGTTGGCCAGGCTGGTCTTGAACTCCTGGCCTCAAGTGATCTGCCCGTCTCTGCCTCCCAAAGTGCTGGGATTACATGTGTGAGCCACTGCACCCGGCTCGATATCATTTATCTTGATGGCTGAGATTTTTGGCAACTCTTTAAATTTTGTGCCCAAGGCTCATGGCTGGCTCCCCTCACCCTAATCCCAACTCTGTCTCATCCTGTCTTTGTTTAAAATGTTGATACTTGGACAGGCTATAGTGAGCTTGTGGCTCATGAGTGTAATCCCAGCACTTTGGGAGGCTGAGGTGGGGGGATCACTTGAGGTCAGGAGTTTGAGACCAGCCTGGCCAACATGGTGAAAGCTTGTCTCTACTAAAAACACACAAAAAAATTAGTCGGGCATAGGGGGCGCAAACCTGTCATCCCAGTTACTTGGGAGGCTGAGGCACGAGGATCACTTGAACCCGGGAGGTGGAAGTTGCAGTGAGCTGAGATCACGCCACTGCACTCCAGTCTGGGAGACAGAGCGAGACTCTGTCTCAAAAAAACAAAACAAAACAAAAATGTTGATACTTCATGCATCATGCATTCTCCTGCACCTGTGATTTTTTTCTTTTCTTTTCTTTTTTTTTTTTTTTTTTTTTGAGACAGGTTACCTGTTGCCCAGGCTGGAGTGCAGTGGCGCAGTGATAGCTCACTATAGCTCATGACAGCCTCAACCTCCCAGGCTCAGGCAATCCTCCTACCTCAGCCTCCTGAGGAGCTGAAACCACAGGTGCACATCGCCACACCCCGCTAATATATATATATTTTTTCTGAGACAGAGTCTTGCTCTGTCGCCCAGGCTGGAGTGCAGTGGCACAATATCAGCTCACTGCAACCTCCACCTCCCGGGTTCAAGCAATTCTCTGCCTCAGCCTCCTGAGTGGCTGGGATTACAGGCGCCCATCACTATGCCCGGCTAATTTTTGTATTTTTAGTAGAGATGGGGTTTCACCATCTTGGCCAGGCTGGTCTTGAATTCCTGCCTTCGTGATCCTCCCGCCTCAGCCTCCCAAAGTGCTGGGATTACAGGCATGAGCCACCGCACCTGGCCTGTTTTTTGTTGTTGTTTTTAAAGACTGTGTTTCGCTATGTTGCCCAGGCTCGTCTTGAACTCCTGGGCTCAGGTGATCCTCCCGCTTCAGCCTCCAAAAGTGTGGGATTACAGGCATGAGCCACTGTGTCTGGCCTGATTTTTATAAATACTATTCATAAATATTAATGTGGGGGGATACCCCTTACATTTTGCACCCAAGGCGAGTGTCCCGTCTGCCTCCCCCGACGGCTCTGACCCTCGGTGGCTTCTGAGCTGGGGTTTGCTCCTGCAGGTTCCAAGACCCGACGAAGTGGGTGGCCTACGTGGGTGCGACCTACCTCAGCGGCTCGGAGGCCAGCACCGTGCGGGCCCAGGTGGTCCAGATCGTCAAGCACCCCCTGTACAACGCGGACACGGCCGACTTTGACGTGGCTGTGCTGGAGCTGACCAGCCCTCTGCCTTTCGGCCGGCACATCCAGCCCGTGTGCCTCCCGGCTGCCACACACATCTTCCCACCCAGCAAGAAGTGCCTGATCTCAGGCTGGGGCTACCTCAAGGAGGACTTCCGTAAGCATCTTCCTCGGCCTGCAAGTGAGCTCAGGCAGGCAGGCGGGCAAATAACGCAGAAAAGGGCCAGGTGAGGTGGCTCACGCCTGTCATCCCAGCACTTTGGGAGGCCGAGGCGGGTGGATCACGAGGTCAGGCGTTTGAGACCAGCCTGGCCAACATAGTGAAAACCCGTCTCTACTAAAAAATACACACACACACACACAAAATTAGCCAGGCATGGTGGTGCGTGCCTATAATTCCAGCTACTCAGGAGGCTAAGGCAGGAGAATTGCTTGAACCCAGGAGATGGAGGTTGCACTGAGCCAAGATCGCACCACTGGACTCCAGCCTGGGTGACAGTGGGAGGCTCCATCTCAAAATAATAATAATAATAATAATAATAATAATAATAATAATAATGATGATGCAGAAAAACACAGTGGGTCTGCATTATTCTCTGATTCTGTATTCACGAATTCCACTGCTTGCTAAGATATATTTATAACCCATCATCGATGCTACTGCGATTTTTTTTTTTTTTTTTTGAGATGGAGTTTTGCTCTTGTTGCCCAGGCTGGAGTGCAGTGGTGCGATCTCTGCTCACTGCAGCCTCCGCCTCCGGGTTCAAGCGATTCTCTTGCCTCAGCCTCTGAGTAGCTGGGACTATAGGCATGCACCACCACACCCGGCAACTTTATTTTTGTATTTTTTAGTAGAGACAAAGTTTCACCGTGTTGGCCGGGCTGGTCTTGATCTCCTGACCTCGTGATCTTCCTGCCTCAGCTTCCCAAAGTGTTGGGATTACAGGTGTGAGCCACCTCACCCGGCCAAAAAAATTGATCTTAATGTACTAAAATGCACATCTAAATAGTCACCTGTGGCCAGTGGCTACTATATTGGGTGGTGTAGTTCCAGGGGGTTGTCAATCAGCCACAAGATGACTGACAGAGGGAAATGAATCCAGTGGAGAAAAATAAGGTGGGGGTGGCAGCTGCAGCTTTAAATAGGGAGGTCAGGAGATGCCTCCTGGAGAGAGGAGATGAAGGAGCAAGTCAGGCAAATTCTGCAGGGACAAGCATTTCAGACAGCGGGAACAGCATGTGCAAAGGCCCTGGGGTGGGAGGACAGCAGGGCAGGGGTTGATGTGACTGATTTAATATTTAGCAAGGGTGGTGCTGGCTGCCGGGTTGGGAATGGATTTCAGTGGGGTGGGACCAGAGTAAGAGAAGTGAGTGGGGAACAGCTATAATGACCCGGGCAAGGATGGGCGTGAGACAGGGGCTGATTCTGTGTATATTTGGGGGCTGACCTGAGGCCAACTTGGAATTTGAGGACTGTGGACCTGGAATGAGGGGCCTGAGATCCCTGAGATGGGGAATGCTGAGGGGTGGAGCTTGCGGAAGGGAGATGAGGACCTCGGGCTGGGGGTGTTAAGTCTGATGCCTCTTCCTTGTCCAGGCAGAGAGTGTTACCAGGTGGGGTGTTTACCTTTTGTAGTTTCAGAGCCATGTGTTGTAGGTGGCCATGCTTGGAGCTGGGGAAACTGAGGGAGGCTTGGAGAGGAGCTGTCCTTCAGCCTCCCAGCTCAAAGTGGCTGCCAGGGCTCCGGCACTCTCACCCTGCTTTTCTCTCCCCATTCGGCCAGTGGTCAAGCCAGAGGTGCTGCAGAAAGCCACTGTGGAGCTGCTGGACCAGGCACTGTGTGCCAGCTTGTACGGCCATTCACTCACTGACAGGATGGTGTGCGCTGGCTACCTGGACGGGAAGGTGGACTCCTGCCAGGTGAGCCCCCGATGCCCCAGACCCCAGAAAAACACAGAAATAGACACGAGCATGTTCAAATGCTGAGCAATTCACAGATATCTGGATGCCCGCTGTGAGCCCCCAACGCCCCAGACCCCAGAAAAACACAGACACGAGCGTGTTCAAATGCTGGGCGATTCACAGATATCTGGATGCCCGTTCTTGAGGAATTTTAAAGCAGTTGGGATTGAGAGGCAGGTGCTGCTTAGAGGATCTTCCAGAAGCTCTAACCTGACTTCAATCCCTCCTCTGCCCTCCATGGCTCCCTGCTCCCTTCCAGTGGGCCCCAGGTGCGTGCCACAGAGCCTGGGGTCCCTGAGTAATCTCCCTGGCTATGATGGGGTCCCTGTGTAAATCCCCCCCAGCTGCCCTCCAAACCGGGACTTGTGTGGGGACACAGACACTGTTCCCAGCACTGGGCCTGATACAACGTGGCACCCAAGAAACACCTCTTGTATGAATGATGCCAGCACATACCCTGGGCATCAGATTCTCTCCGTCTGTATGGGAAGGGTTGGTCTATGGGAACCCCGTGGACTTTTGCCCCTGGGTGGTCAGCTGGGCCATGAGTGAGCTGCAGGCTCAACTCAAGAAGGTTCCAGGGCTGGGCACGGTGGCTCACGCCTGTAATCCCAGCACTATGCGAGGCCAAGGCGGGTGGATCACTTGAGGTCAGGAGTTTGAGACCAGCCTGAGCAACATGGCGAAACCTTGTCTCTACTAAAAATACAAAAATTAGCCTGGCGTGGTGGCAGGTGCCTGTAATCCCAGCTCCTCGGGTGGCTGAGGCAGGAGAATCATCTGAACCTGGGAGCTGGAGGTTGCAGTGAGCTGAGATCACGCCATTGCACTCCAGCCTGGGCGACAAAGCAAGACTCTGTCTCAAAAAAAAAAAAAAAAAAAAAAAAAAAAAAAAAAGAGAAAATCAGGGGTCATCCAAAGCTGCTTCTGCTGTATACCTGGAACCTTCTTTTTCTTCTTCTTCTTTTTTTTTTTTTTTGAGATGGAGTCTCACTCTGTCACCCAGGCTGGAGTGCAGTGGTGTGATCTCAGCTCACTGCAACCTCCGCCTCCCAGGTTCAAGCGAGTCTCCTGCCTCAGCCTCCAGAGTAGCTGTGATTATAGGCATGCGCCACCACACCTAGCTAATTTTTGTATTTTTAATTAAGACACTGTCTCGCTCTGTCACCCAGGCTGGAGTGCAGTGGCACCATCTTGGCTCACCTCCCAGTTTCAAGTGGTTCTCATGCCTCAGCCTCCCGAGTAGCTGGAATAACAGGTGCCCACCACCACGCCTGGATAATTTTTATACTTTTAGTAAAGACAGGGTTTCGCCATGTTGGCCAGGCTGGTCTCGAAATCCTGGCTTCAGGTGATCTGCCCACCTTGTCCTCCCAAAGTGCTAGGATTACAGGTGTGAGCCACCAGGCCCGGCCGACAATTATAATTTTTGTTTTCAAGGTGTCTCATTCTTTCTTCTTTCAGCCACCTGGTCTTGTTTGCAGTGTCCTGTTCTTGTTTCGTGGATACCATTTCTTTCTTTTTCTCTGAGGATCGTAATTTAATCCGTTATGTTTCTTCTATATTCTATATTTGTGGTTAACTGTATTTCAGGCAAACGTAAGTTATTCTGTTGTAACTGAGTGTCTTTATTTCATGGAGATTGGAATCCCTCAACTGGTGCTTAAGAATGAAAAGCTGGGTGCAGTGGCTCACACCTGTAATCCCAGTACTTTGGGAGGCTGAGGCAGCCAGGTCGCTTGAGGCCAGGAGTTTGAGACCAGTTAGGGCAACATAGCAAAACTTTTGTCTCTACAAAAACAAAAACAAAAACAAAAATTAGCTGGGTTTGGTGGTGCATGCCTGTAGTCCCAGCTACTTGAGAGGCTGAGGTGGGAGGATTATTTGAGCCCAGGAGGTGGAGGTTGCAGTAAGCCAAGATCACGCCACTGTACTCTAGCCTGAGTGACAGAGTGAGACGCCGTCTCAAACAAAATTGAAAATTTAAAAATGTCGCTCAATTCTTGCCGTGATCTTATATTTGCTATTCACTTTCTCTTGGCGAGGGACATTAACAGTTTGTGTTCTTGGATTCTATGTACCCTTTCAAGGGACCAAAGACCTCCTGGTCTCATTTATCCTTTGTGGTTGCCCAAATCCCTTTTCTACCCCAACCAACCCAGGTCCTCTTGAGAAAGCTTTCTCTTGTGTCTTGAGCTTCTGCACATGGGCTGGGCTGCCACTTCCTCTGTCAGCCTCTCGTGAGTCTTCATGGTTTCTGGTCCACAACCAGGGATCTCTCCTGCCTAATTTTTTTAGCATGGCTGTGGATTCCTGTCTTTCTTGTGCATACCTTTGCTCTTGTTTCTAAGGCCTGGTGGGTGAGGAAAAGATGGGAGAGACTGCTACATGTGCTTAGATTGCCATATTGAAACCAGAATCTGGAGAAAATGCTAGGAACTAATGAGAGGGCTCATGTTTAAGAATGTAAGAGTCGGCCAGGCACGGTGGCTCACGCCTGTCATCCCAGCACTTTGGGAGGCTGAGGTGGGCAGATCACTTAAGGTCAGGAGTTCAAGACCAGCCTGGCCAACATGGTGAAACCCCGTCTCTACTAAAAATACAAGAAATTAGCCGGGCGTGGTGATGCGTGCCTATAATCACAGCTACTTGGGAGGCTGAGGCAGGAGAATTGCTTGAACCTGGGAGGAGGAGGTTGCAGTGAGCCGAGATCACGCCATTGCACTCCAGCCTGGGCAACAGAGCAAAACTCTATCTCAAAAACAAAAACAAACAAAAAAACGATACACAGAACGTAAGGGTCAGGGTGAACTGGATATGGGAAGGTAAAAAATGGTGAGGCCGGACGAGTGACAGCAGATGAGCACTTTGGGAGCAATGCTGCAGCTACCAGTGAGATATATGGAGGCACCCGCGTGGCAGCCATACTGCCAGCCTAAGCAAGTGGTGACATTATCAAAGATCTACTGAGTTAAGAAGAGGAGGGGATGTTATTTATTTGGGTCACGTTTTGGCCTGCCAGAGGTAGGACTGAAAGACATCTTAGAGATCCTATAGTCCAACTGTCTTGGGTTTTGTTTTTTTTCCTCCACAGAAGAGGAAACAGGTTCTGAGATGTCAATGATCAGCCCCAGGTGCTCTGTGAGCTTGTGTGGAGAGAGGTCCTGGCTGTCCCAGCTCAGAGCTCCTTCTTGGGCCTCGTAGCACTGGTGTCTGGACTGGCTGCTGCCGACCCATCCTGAGGGTGTGTGTTGGTTTCCTAGGGTGACTCAGGAGGACCCCTGGTCTGCGAGGAGCCCTCTGGCCGGTTCTTTCTGGCTGGCATCGTGAGCTGGGGAATCGGGTGTGCGGAAGCCCGGCGTCCAGGGGTCTATGCCCGAGTCACCAGGCTACGTGACTGGATCCTGGAGGCCACCACCAAAGCCAGCATGCCTCTGGCCCCCACCATGGCTCCTGCCCCTGCCGCCCCCAGCACAGCCTGGCCCACCAGTCCTGAGAGCCCTGTGGTCAGCACCCCCACCAAATCGATGCAGGCCCTCAGTACCGTGCCTCTTGACTGGGTCACCGTTCCTAAGCTACAAGGTATTTTCGGGGCAGAAAGGTAGAAGATGATGTACGTGCCTATCTTGATTTAGGGAGAACGGATATCGTCATAGTATCTTCATAATTTTGGATCTTCCTGTTCAAGGAAAGGTCACATGTGTATCCGTTTATTCCCATCTTACGTTGCGTGTACCCTCATGGTATCTTTCTGTCCACAGGTCTTGCCCATGTCTTGTTAACTATGGCGATCTATCAATGGGATACTTTTTTTTTTTTTTGAGACGCAGTCTTGCTCCGTCGCCCAGGCTGGAGTGCAGTGGCGTGATCTCGGCTCACTGCAACCTCCGCCTCCCAGGTTCAAGTGATTCTCCTGCCTCAGCCTCCTGAACAGCCGGGATTACAGGCACAGGCCACCACACCCGGCTAATTTTTGTATTTTTAGTAGAGACGGGGTTTCCCCATGTTGGTCAGGCTGGCCTCGAACTCCTGACTTCATCATCTGCCCACCTCAGCCTCCCAAAATGCTGGGATGACAGGTGTGAGCCACCATGCCCGGTCTGGAATACTTTCTATTGTATTTTCAAATAGTTTGTACCCAGACAACTTGTAGGACTGGCAGGGTGCGGTGGCTCGTGCCTGTCATCGCACACTTTGGGAGGCAGAGGTGGGCAGATCGCTTGAGGTCAGGAGTTCAAGACCAGCCTGGCCAACATGGCAAAACCCCATCTATACTAAAAATTAGCTGGGCATGGTGGAGGGCACCTGTAATCCCAGCTACTTGGGAGGCTGAGGCAGGAGAATCGCTTGAACCCAGGAAGCGGAGGTTGCAGTGAGCTGATACGGTGACATGGTGCCACTGCACTCCAGCCCGGGCAACAAGAGCACAACTCCATCTCGAAAAAGAAAAAAGAAAACTTGTAGGACTATATCTCTGTTTCCAAAAACTGTTAGTTGCATTCCTATTTTTTTTTTTTTTTTTTTCTGAGACGGAGTTTCACTCTTGTCGCCCAGGCTGGAGTGCAGTGGTGTGATCTCGGCTCACTGCAACCTCCACCTCCCGGTTCAAGTGATTCTCCTGCCTCAGCCTCCTGAATAGCTGGGATTACAGGTGCCCATCACCATGCTTGGCTAATTTTTGTATTTTTAGTAGAGTTGGGGTTTCGCCATGTTGGCCAGGCTGGTCTCGAACTCCTGACCTCAGGTGATCTGCCCGCCTTGGCCTCCCAAAGTGCTGGGATAACAGGCATGAGCCACCGCGCCCGGCCATGCTTCATTTCAGTTCACCTACACCCCACACTCTGTTCCGAAACCCCCTAACAATCGTACCCTTCCTTTTCTCAGCCGCCCCATGGGTCTCCTGGAGTGCAGCCCCGTCTTTGCAAGGAGGCCATAAACCTGGCTTTGTGGGCTGCGGGTCTGTGGTGGGGTCTGTTGCGGGGGGTCCTCGGGCTGACTGGGCCGCTGTATGTTTCTTTCTTAACTTCTGTCCCCGAAGCGAGGCCACGAACTTGCTGCAGGACCTTGGGCAAACTACGGACACCTTGAAGCCTCCACGGCTTCTTGTGTGGAACGGGAGGGATTGCGGCATCTTCAGGGCCTGGCTGCAACCGGTGTCCTGGGACCACCCCACCGGATGCTCCCACCCGAGCAGGCCAAGATCCCCAGACCTGGTCTTGTGTCCTCCTTCCAGAATGTGGGGCCAGGCCTGCAATGGAGAAGCCCACCCGGGTCGTGGGCGGGTTCGGAGCTGCCTCCGGGGAGGTGCCCTGGCAGGTCAGCCTGAAGGAAGGGTCCCGGCACTTCTGCGGAGCAACTGTGGTGGGGGACCGCTGGCTGCTGTCTGCCGCCCACTGCTTCAACCAGTAAGGCCCGCCTCCTCCAGGAAGGCTGCCCGGCTTCCCCTCCTCACCAGCCCCTCCCTGTCAGAAACCATCCTGCTGGGGCTGCTGCATGGACCCCACTGGGGAGCAGCCCTTCCTCTCCTGAGGGCAGCTGAGAGACAGGAGGGAGCCGGTGCCAAGGCTTCTAAGGACAAACAGGGCCTAACCAGGGGAGGGGGAGGAGGGTTCCTTCCCCATTGCTTGCTACCCAGGCAGCGTTTATCTTGGAGATTCCCAGGCATGGTGGCCCGCATCTGTGGTCCCAGCTACTCAGGAGCGTGAGGCAGGAGAATTGCTTGAGCCCAGGAGGTCGAGGCTGCAGTGAGCCTGATGGTGCCACTGCACTCCATCTGGGGCAACAGAGCGAGACCCTGTCTCAACAAAAAAGAGACTCATAAAGCTGTAGGGGGTTGGGGGGGGGCATTGGCACAGGTGTAGAAAATGAAGCCTGAGGGTCCCCTGACTTGTCCGAGGTCCCCCAGCTTGGGATCCTTTTCAGGAGGAGCCCAGCAGCCCCTCTTTCCCTGGTCCTCCTCCCTGGAGCCGAAGGTCAGAGGATGGTCCTGGGGCCCAGGCAGCCCTGTGTGGCTTCCTGGGGGTGTGCATCAGCCCTGTCCCTCCCCAAGAAGGCGGGCATGTGCTGGAGGGCAGGCATGTCTGAGGGCCCTGTCTCCATAGCACGAAGGTGGAGCAGGTTCGGGCCCACCTGGGCACTGCGTCCCTCCTGGGCCTGGGCGGGAGCCCGGTGAAGATCGGGCTGCGGCGGGTAGTGCTGCACCCCCTCTACAACCCTGGCATCCTGGACTTCGACCTGGCTGTCCTGGAGCTGGCCAGCCCCCTGGCCTTCAACAAATACATCCAGCCTGTCTGCCTGCCCCTGGCCATCCAGAAGTTCCCTGTGGGCCGGAAGTGCATGATCTCCGGATGGGGAAATACGCAGGAAGGAAATGGTGAGCGCTGCCCCATCGAGGGGAACGGTGGATTTATTCTCCAGGGCCTGGCCTGGGGAGGGTCAGGATGGGCATCTCTTACCTGGACCCTAAACCAATTCCACTGCACAGGGACCTCTGTGGCTGATCCCTTTGTCTTTGGTCCCGCTGCCCACACACCTCTCACTTCCCCATTCCATCTGGGGGCAAAATCTGGCTGTTGCCTGTTTGTATAAACAAAGTTTTATTGGAACAGGGGCCATGTTCACACATCAACAGATTGTCTATGGCTGCTTTCCTGCAATAGCAGCAGAGTTAAATACTTGTGACAGAGACTGGCCCTTAAAGCTGAAAATATTTAATTCTCTGACCATTTATAGAAAATGTTTGCCGGCGGCCACATGTGGTGGCTCACACCTGTAATCCCAGCACTTTGGGAGGCCCAGGAGGGTGGATCATTTGAGGTCAGGAGTTTGAGATCAGCCTGGCCAACATGGTGAAACCCCGTCTCTACTAGAAATACAAAAATTAGCCGGGTGTGGTGATGCATGCCTGTAATCCCAGCTACTCGGGAGGCTGAGGCAGGAGAATTGCTTGAATCTGGGAGGCAGAGGCTGCAGTGAGCTGAGATTGTGCCACTGCACTCCAGCCTGGGTGACAGAGCGAGACTCCCATCTCAAAAAAAAAAAAAAAAATAGAAAAATAAAAAATTAGCCGAGTATGGTGGCACATGCCTGTAGTCCCAGCTACTTAGGAGGCTGAGGCAGGAGAATCACTTGAGCCTGGGAGTTCAAGGCCGCAGTGAGCCATGATCATGCCACTGCACTCCAGCCTGGGCAACAGAGCAAGACCCTGTCTCAAAAAACAAAAAAAGCAAATGCTCACTGGTGCTTGCTTGCGCTAGTCTATCCCGAGACCCCTCCCACTCCAACAGTTAATGCTTCCCTTGACCTCAGAATGGCCTCCTACACCTTACCCAGGTGCTAGGGCGGCAGCCCCATGGGGACAGTGGGGAGACTCTTGCGCTCTGAGCGGGCCATCAGGCCCACCTCCTCCTCACTCTGTGGCTTTGTGAGATTCCTGCAACTCTGTGAGCCCTGGTTTCTTCGTCTGTGGGGTGGGGATGCTGCATCTCGGGGCTGTTATCGGAGCGGAACTGGAGCTGCTCTGATGATCACTGTGCACGTGGCCTTTCTGGCTCTTTCCCTGGTAGCCACCAAGCCCGAGCTCCTGCAGAAGGCGTCCGTGGGCATCATAGACCAGAAAACCTGTAGTGTGCTCTACAACTTCTCCCTCACAGACCGCATGATCTGCGCAGGCTTCCTGGAAGGCAAAGTCGACTCCTGCCAGGTAAGCATTCAAAGGGGGAAAGCGGGCAATATTTCCATGAAATGCCCACAGCCGTTCACCCAGCAGTTCTTTGTGTGCAGACCTAGATTTTTTTCCTTTCTTTCCTTCCCCCCCTCCTTCCCTCCTTGTCCTTCCCTCCTTTTCCTTTCCTCCTTTCCTTCCCTCCCTTTCCCTCCCTCCCTCCCTCCCTCCCTTTCCTTCCCTCCCTTTCCCTCCCTCCCTCCCTTCCCTTCCCTCCCTCCCTTTCCTTCCCTCCCTGGCCTTTCCTTCCATTCCTTCCCTCCCTCCCTTTCCTTCCCTCCCTCCCCTTCCCTCCCTCCCTTTCCTTCCCTCCCTCCCCTTCCCTCCCTACCTTTCCTTCCCTCCCTCCCTCCCTTTCCTTCCCTCTCCTCCCTCCCTTCCCTTCCCTCCCTCCCTTTCCTTCCCTCCCTGGCCTTTCCTTCCATTCCTTCCCTCCCTCCCTTTCCTTCCCTCCCTCCGTTTCCTTCCCTCCCTCCCTCCCTTTCCTTCCCTTCCCTCCCTACCTTTCCTTTCCTTCCCTCCCTCCCTTTCCTTCCCTCCCTCCCCTTCCCTCCCTACCTTTCCTTTCCTTCCCTCCCTCCCTTTCCTTCCCTCCCTCCCTTTCCTTCCCTCCCTCCCCTTCCCTCCCTACCTTTCCTTTCCTTCCCTCCCTCCCTTTCCTTCCCTCCCTCCGTTTCCTTCCCTCCCTCCCTCCCTTTCCTTCCCTTCCCTCCCTACCTTTCCTTTCCTTCCCTCCCTCCCTTTCCTTCCCTCCCTTCCCTTCCCTCCCTACCTTTCCTTTCCTTCCCTCCCTCCCTTTCCTTCCCTCCCTTCCCTTCCCTCCCTACCTTTCCTTTCCTTCCCTCCCTCCCTTTCCTTCCCCTCCCGCCCTCTCCTTCCCTTCCCTCCCACCCTCTCCTTCCCTTCCCTCCCGCCCTCTCCTTCCCTTCCCTCCCACCGTCTCCTTCCCTCCCTCCCTTTCCTTCTCTTCCCTCCCTCCCTTTCCTTCCCTTCCCTCCCTACCTTTCCTTCCTTTCCTTTCCTTCTCTCTCTCTCTCTGTCTTTCTCTCTGTTTCTTTCTTTCTGACGGAGTCTGGCTCTGTCGCCCAGGCTGGAGTGCAGTGGTGCGATCTTGGCTCACTGCAACCTCCGCCTCCCAGGTTCAAGCGAGTCTCCTGCCTCAGCCTCCCGAGTAGCTGGGATTATAGGCGCCCGCCACCATGCCCAGCTAATTTTTGTATTTTTAGTAGAGACGGGGTTTCACTATGTTGGCCAGGATGGTCTCGATCTCCTGATGTCGTGATCTGCCCACCTGGGCCTCCCAAAGTGCTAGGATTACAGGCGTGAGCCACTGTACCCAGCCTAGATTTCTTTTTCTTTTTCCTTTTTTTTTTTTGAGATGGAGTCTTACTCTGTCGCCCAGGCTGGAGTGTAGTGGCGTGATCTCGGCTCACTGCAACCTCTGCCTCCTGGGTTCAAGTGATTCTCCTGCCTCAGCCTCTGGAGTAGCTGGGACTACAGGCATGTGCCTCCACGTCCAGCTAATTTTTGTATTTTTAGTAGAGACGTGGTTTCACCATGTTGGCCAGGCTGGTCTCGAACTCCTGACCTCAGGTGATCCGCCCGCCTCAGCCTCCCAAACTGCTAGGATGGCAGGCCTGAGCCACTGCACCCGGCCATAGCCACCATGCCCAGATTTCTGAAGGGCTCAACCGTGCACACACAGACAGGTTAATTTTCAGGCTGGGTGCAGTGCCTCATGCCTGTAATTCCAGTGCTTCAGGAGGCTGAGGTAGGATCAGTCGAGGCCAGGATTGCAAGACCAGTCTGGACAACATAGTGAGACCCCGTCTCTACAAAAATTTAAAAAAAAAATTTGTCAGGCAGAGTGGCAGGTGCCTGTGGTCCCAGCTCCTTGGGCAGCTGAACTGGGAGGATCTCTTGAGGCCAGGTGTCTAGGCTGCAGTAAACTGTGATCACACAGCTGCACTCCATCCTGGGCGACACAGCAAGACCCTATCTCAAAAAACGAAGGGCGGGTGCAGTGGCATGCATTTTGGGAGGCCGAGGCAGGCAGATCACCTGAGGTAGGCAGTTCAAGACTGGCCTGGCCAACATGGCGAAACCCTGTCTCTACTAAAAAACTACAAGAATTTAGCCAGGCATGGTGGCGGGTGCTGGTAATTCTAGCTACTCCGGAGGCTGAGGCAGGAGAATTGCTTGAGCCCAGGAGGCGGAGGTCACAGTGAGCCGAGATCATGTCACTGCACTCCAGCCCGGGCAACAGAGTGAGACTCCACCTCAAAAAAAAAAAAAAAAAAATGGCATCAGATTTCAATAGTAACTCTCAAAGTTAGATGCCATTATTACTAATCAATACAAAATATCAATGACAGTGTAAATGCCCATTCACACACAGTAGTTAAAAGGAAGGTGGTAAATAACCTGCAATGGGAACCTACCCAGCCCAAGTTCTTCAATCAGACTTCTGAGTTCAAATCCTGCTTCAACTACTGTGTGACCCCAGGCAAGTGCCTTAACCTCTCTGGGACTCTGATCCCCATATGTAAAGTGGGAAGCATAGCAATGCCTGTCTTCTAGGAGTGTTGTGAGATCGGTGTCTTGCATAGTCTTTTCTTCCTATATATTCATTATATTTGTTCTTTATATCTGACAATAAAAATAGAATAATAGGTATTTATAGTATCTATTATTATACTATTTATTCTCTATATAAATGGGCGATTCACAATAGTTAGCTTTTTATCTTGAAAAGAATGTTGAGGCCAGGCCAGGTGGCTCACATCTGTAATCCCAGCACTTTAGGAGGCCAAGGCGGGTGGATCATCTGAGGTCAGGAGTTGGAGACCAGCCTGGCCGACGTGGTGAAGCCCCCATCTCTACTAAAAATACAAAAATTAGCCGGGCGTTGTGGCTTATGCCTGTAGTTCCAGCTACTCGGGAGGCTGAGGCAGGAGAATCACTTGAACCCAGGAGGTGGAGGTTGCAGTGAGCCGAGATCATCCCACTGCACTCTGGCCTGGGCAACAAGAGCGAGACTCTGCCTCAAGAAAAGAAATAAGCTTGGCAGCTAGTGGTCAGGGGCTACTTCTAGATGGTGGGACTATTCATGGCTGTTATTGTTGTTATTTATTTATTTTTTTTTTTGAGAGGGAGTCTTGTTCCGTTGCCCAGGCTGGAGTGCAGTGGTGCGATCTCAGCTCACTGCAAGCTCCGCCTCCCGGGTTCACGCCATTCTCCTGCCTCAGCCTCCCTAGTAGGTGGAACTACAGGCGCCCACCACCACGCCCAGCTAATTTTTGTATTTTTAGTAGAGACGGGGTTTCACCATGTTGGTCAGGCTGGCCTGGAACTCCTGACTTCATCATCTGCCTGCCTCAGCCTCCTAAAGTGCTGGGATTACAGGCGTGAGCCACCACGCCTGGCCTTATTGTTATTATTTTTAGAGTTTTTCTGCATTGTTTTACCTCCTCAAAACAAAAGCAAGAATGATGGAAACTCAGAGAGGAGAAGTGACTCACTCCAGGTCACACAGCCAGGCATGGGGCTGCAGTCAGGTCTCCAGACCCGCGCTGTGCCCTCTGCCCCCCGCCCTCGATGGCTCCCACCCACTGTAGGAACGCAGGAGGGTATGGCAGTGCTGGGAAGAGAGGGTCCCTGGAGGACCAACCAGTGCTCTTTCCTTCCTTTCTAGGGTGACTCTGGGGGCCCCCTGGCCTGCGAGGAGGCCCCTGGCGTGTTTTATCTGGCAGGGATCGTGAGCTGGGGTATTGGCTGCGCTCAGGTTAAGAAGCCGGGCGTGTACACGCGCATCACCAGGCTAAAGGGCTGGATCCTGGAGATCATGTCCTCCCAGCCCCTTCCCATGTCTCCCCCCTCGACCACAAGGATGCTGGCCACCACCAGCCCCAGGACGACAGCTGGCCTCACAGTCCCGGGGGCCACACCCAGCAGACCCACCCCTGGGGCTGCCAGCAGGGTGACGGGCCAACCTGCCAACTCAACCTTATCTGCCGTGAGCACCACTGCTAGGGGACAGACGCCATTTCCAGACGCCCCGGAGGCCACCACACACACCCAGCTACCAGGTACCGGGAGAGACGGAGGGATCCCTGGGAGTGGAGGGTCCCATGTTAATCAGCCTGGGCTGCCTAACAAGACATAACGTCGTCCACTTTGGGAGGCCGAGGCGGGCGGATCAAGAGGTCAGGAGATCGAGACCATCCTGGCGAACACGGTGAAACCTTGTCTCTACTAAAAAAATACAAAAAATTAGCCAGGCGTGGTGGTGGGCGCCTGTAGTCCCAACTACGCGGGAGGCTAAGGCAGGAGAATGGCATGAAGCCGGGAGGCGGAGCTTGCAGTGAGCTGCATGCCACTGCACTCCAGCCTGGCAACAAGCGAAACTCCGTCTCAAAAAAGAAAAAGACATAACGGCCTCTCTGGCTGGGCGCGGTGGCTCATGCCTGTAATCCCAGCACTTTGGGAGGCCAAGGCGGGTGGATCGCCAGAGGTCAGGAGTTCCAGACCAGCCTGGCCAACATGGTGAAACCCCATCTCTACAAAAAAATAAATAAAAAAAGCCAGGCATGGTGACAGGTGCCTGTAATCCCAGCTACTTGGGAGGCTGAGGCAGGAGAATCGCTTGAACCCAGGAGGTGGAGGTTGCAGTGAGCCGAGATCGTGCCATTGCACTCCAGCCTGGGCAACAGAGTGAGACTCCAGCTAGATAATAGTAATAAAAATAAAAAGCCAGGCGTGATGGTGCATGCCTGTGGTTCCAGCTACTGGGGAGGCTGAGACAGGAGAATCATTTGAGCTCAGGAAGCAGAGGCTGCAGTGAGCCGAGATCATGCCATTATACTCCAGCCTGGGTGACACAGCCTGTCTCTAAAAAAATTAAAAAAAAAAAAAAAAATGAAAGCAGGGACTTTGATGGTTCACAGCTGTGCCATGTCCTTGGGTGCGTGTTTCTTGCTAACTTGGCAGCTGCCCTCATGTAGGTCTGTCCCTGCAGCCTGGGGGCTCTCACTTTCTCAGTCTCAGCTGATTTTGACTTTTTCAATAGCTATGGCGTGGGATCTCTTTGGGCCCAAAAGAGGTGGAGAAGGCCCCCCTCAAAATACAGGCGGGTTCTGTGTGGAGGTAGCTGGTGTTCCCAAGGACAGCGGCTGCGGCTGCTGTCAGATTATCCAAGGCCACCTGGTCTTATGTCAGGGCCAGACGGTGCCAAGGCTGGTGGGGAACTGGCATTTCCCCTTACTGGCCTTGGTAGCTGCTGCGGGTTGGATGGCGGTTGGTGGGGGGTGGGGGGCGGGGGGGACCCAGGGAAGCCAGCTGGGTGGTGATAGAGGGCGGCGGGGGGGCTTGCCCCTGAGGAGGAAAACACGCCTCTGGAGACAGCAGGTGGGTATGGGACCCCCTCCATGGGTGGTAACAGGGTCCCTGAAACCCCCTGGAAACCACCCACGTGTTCTTTCCACAGCTGGGTTCTGAGGAAGGCCTTTGCGCTTGGCACCGTCTGGGGAGGGCTTGGAGGTGATCAGGGATCCAGGCAGAGGGCACCAAGGCAGGGCTGGGGCCTCTGGGGCGGGGCCCTGGTGTGTGCAAAGGCCTTGGGGTGGGAGGGAACTCCTGGAAGACGGAGATGTGGGAGGCTGCCATGAGAGGGGCCTCCGGCAGGGGAAACGTATGGTCCCAAAACTGAAGTCATAGGAAACAAATGCATTTCCAATGTTATTTGAGAAAAGCCCAAAGACCAAGCAGCAGGCCCAGTGTCCTTTCCTGCTGAGTTTTCCTGGGATAGGTCCCCCATCACAACCTACTCCCTGGGGCTCCCAGGGGGATTCGTGGAGAGGCGGCGCCCAGGGGGGCCTTCGTGGAGGAGGTGCCCTGGGTCCGCCTGCCCACGCGCCTGGCTCCCCCGCAGACTGTGGCCTGGCGCCGGCCGCGCTCACCAGGATTGTGGGCGGCAGCGCAGCGGGCCGTGGGGAGTGGCCGTGGCAGGTGAGCCTGTGGCTGCGGCGCCGGGAACACCGTTGCGGGGCCGTGCTGGTGGCAGAGAGGTGGCTGCTGTCGGCGGCGCACTGCTTCGACGTGTGAGTTCCAAACGCTCCAAATGCCCCTACATGTCTCTGTAGCTCACCCGGAACCGAACTGTTGCCCGAAAACGCACCCTGACCCCCTCCTTTGCCGGGAGTGCCCTCCCCAACCCCGGCTCCCACTGCCCCAGGCCACTCCTCCCACCCCCCATCTCCCCATCCTCGCTCCCTGCAGCCCTCCCCTGACCACCCACCCCCTAGCCTGACCACACGGGGCTGGGGCTGCGAAGGCCGAGTCCTACCCCGCGGTCCCCACCTAACCCGGAAGCTGCGGCCCCCCCCCTCCAGCTCCAGGCTAAGCCCACGGGAACATTGGGGTCACTTCTTTCCCCAGCCCTCGCCCCTGGGACTTGGCTCCAGCCCCCCAAAGCCCACCCAGTAGAAAGCTGCCCTCCCCAGGGCCCAAGCCCTGGCAGTCGAGGGGTCCGGTTTTCCAGAGGGGACACCCAGCTCTGGGCTCTGCAGGGCTGGAGGTCAGAAGGGGAGGGCAGGCGGGGGGCGGGACTCGCACGGCCACTAGACCCCTTTTCAGAGCGCTCATATTAGGTGGTGACGGCTGCAGTTCCCGGTGCCGCCTCGGTGCCTGATGGGGGAGACTGAGCCCATTCCCAGACCGACAGCCAGAGACCAAGAGGCCAATAACCCTGCCCAGGGTGCCAGCCGGCCGCTGGGGGACACCACAGGGGCGGGGGCCGGGGGCGTGGGGGCTCGGGCCGACGCCTGTCCTCGCGCGCCCCGCAGCTACGGGGACCCCAAGCAGTGGGCGGCCTTCCTAGGCACGCCGTTCCTGAGCGGCGCGGAGGGGCAGCTGGAGCGCGTGGCGCGCATCTACAAGCACCCGTTCTACAATCTCTACACGCTCGACTACGACGTGGCGCTGCTGGAGCTGGCGGGGCCGGTGCGTCGCAGCCGCCTGGTGCGTCCCATCTGCCTGCCCGAGCCCGCGCCGCGACCCCCGGACGGCACGCGCTGCGTCATCACCGGCTGGGGCTCGGTGCGCGAAGGAGGTAGGCGCGCCCGGGGCCGCGGTGGTGCGGGGCTCGGGGGGCGGCCGGACGCGGTCCCCACCCGCCCCGTCTCGCTCGCCCGCCCGCAGGCTCCATGGCGCGGCAGCTGCAGAAGGCGGCCGTGCGCCTCCTCAGCGAGCAGACCTGCCGCCGCTTCTACCCAGTGCAGATCAGCAGCCGCATGCTGTGTGCCGGCTTCCCGCAGGGTGGCGTGGACAGCTGCTCGGTGAGCCCCGCCCCGGCCCAGGGGACCAGGTCCCGCCCAGCCGCCGGGGAGGGCGGGTTCCCGCTGCCACGAAGCCCACCATCCGGGAGCCACCCTCCGGTGCAGGCTTCTCCAGCGGATCAAGCAGGGAGCCTTTTTGGCTCTGGAGGAATTTCCACTCCACAGCCGTTTATTGGGCAACCCACCGCATCCCATCCCCGGGCCTCGGCGGCAGAGCAGGCAGAGGCTGCAGTGGGAGGCACCGTTCCACTCCGGGACCACGTGGCGGGTGTCCATAAATGTCTGCCACCTTTGCATTGAGCCCATTTTCCAGATAGTGAAAATGCGGCTCCCAGGGGAAGTCACTAGGGTCACTCCTAGAGGGGCCAATGACCCAAGGGCTGCTGTAGGGGAGGTACCGGCCTCTGAACCCCCTTTCTTCTCTCCCCAACAGGGTGACGCTGGGGGACCCCTGGCCTGCAGGGAGCCCTCTGGACGGTGGGTGCTAACTGGGGTCACTAGCTGGGGCTATGGCTGTGGCCGGCCCCACTTCCCAGGTGTCTATACCCGGGTGGCAGCTGTGAGAGGCTGGATAGGACAGCACATCCAGGAGTGACCACCACGTGACTGCCCAGGCCGAGACTCTACGTGAAAGCAACAGGAGCAGCAGGCCACCCAACACCCCACCCCACCGTACCCTACCCAAGGACGGGTGTGGGGGGGCTGTGGGTCATGGGGATGCATTTTGGTACCACCCTTTGTTCCAATAAACACAGCCCCTCCACCCTAGCTCACTGGCTCAGCACCTCAGTGTCACAGCGAGGACCACCTGCCTGGTGCTCCACCAGGACCCGGGGTGGAACGAAGCAGGGTCAAAGCAAGCCCTGACAAGGGGAAGGCTGTCCCCCTTAGCCTTTGGGGCAGGGGTGGCAGCAGCAACACATTCCTCGTGACTCAGCAGCCCGGTGGCACTAAGGGGAAAGATGGACTTCTCCCAACCCAGGGGAGGCTGAGACCCTCCGAGCTGGGGTTCCAGGGACACGCGTCACCTCTTCCCAGAGACCCCTCAGGAGGGAAATAAAGAGGTTTCTCTCCGTCCTCCACCAATTTATTTGCCCATCCGCAGGAGGTGACAGCTCCTGTGGTGTCTGACCACCCCCAACTCCGAAGTCCAGACAAGCTGTCCGCCCAGAATATGAGGCTGACTTGGGCACACTAGGGGAATACCCCAAAGGCCTGAAGGAGGTGCCACTGGGCTGCCAGCACTTCAGGAAGGCACAGGGCCCCACACCCCCGAGATCCAAGCTGCACTGGCTGGCAGGGGGCAGGGCGGGGGGTGGCGAGGACACAGTCCCGTGTGTCCCAGCACCGGTGCCACCCTCCTAAGCCCCGGGCAGGCAGTACGTACATGCGGACCCCGCCTCTCAAAGCACGTTTATGGAAATGAACAGGGTGGGGTGGCCCGCGCTCGCCGGTCACATGTTGGCTCGTTCCCGCTGCAGCCGCGAGTTGTAGGCGCGAGACACGGTGTTCCAGGCGTCCATGTAGCGGTCCATGCACATGGCGATGCACTTCTGCGGGAGCGGAGGGGCGCACGGCTCAGCTCGGGACTTCGCGGCCCCGGGGACCGCCCTGACCCCGGCTCCAGGACGCCCGGGCTGCAGACTACGCACGTGCAGTGACCACTCCGTCGCACCTCCCCGTTAGTCTGCGCACGCGCAGACACCTCCCCCCTCGAATCTAGGCCCTCGCGACCCTTGCCCCGAACCTCCGCGGGTCTCACCTGCTCGGAGTTGTCCAGGGAGCCCCCAGGTTTCCCTATACACTTCCGGAAACACTTGTCCGTCATCCTCTGTGGAGACACGCGAGGCTTTAGCCGCGACGTCGGCCCCCAGGGGTGGCCCTGTCGCCCCCAGCGCCCGTCCCCGGCCAGCCCCGCACCTGCAGCAGCTCCTGCGCGTTGGCCACGGCGATCTGCACTTTCACCTGCTCCATTATGAGCCCTGGGTCCAGCTTCCCGCTGCCGGAGCCCCCGAAATCGGAGCCGAAGCCGCCCTCCATGGCTCCGCAAAGTCAACCGGACCGAGGCCGCGTGCGCCGACTCGTAACTAACTGCGCCGGAAGCGGGCCGCCCGGGGCACCACGGGAAACGGAGTCCGCGCGGACGGGGACGGAGGACTACAACTCCCACACGACCGCGCGCGCCCGGGCCATTCAAGGTCGCGCGGGGGGCCCTCCGCTCATGCGGAGGCCTGGACCTGCCGTTACCTACACGAGCTACCCGTGGTTGCGACTCCGCGGGAAGAGGGAGGCCCTGACTTGGCCGGGGAGTAGGGGGGCTACTACGTGCGGCCGAGGCCGATCACTTTGTACTCACGCTCTGCCTCCAGCTCGTCCCGAAGGGCCTGCCGCGCATGCGCACGAGGCACCCGGCGCGTCTATACAGCGTGTTGCCGCCGGGGCGGAGCCCGGTCGCATCACGTGACGAAGAGTCAGCTTGTGCAACAGCGTCGGAGGCTCACTAGAAAAAAAAGGGCAGGGTCCCATGCATCGCCTGGGTCCTGTTTACACTAGCTACACTAGCCAGTGACCTTTTTCCTTGGGGGTGGAGGGATCTTTCTTAGACATCCGCTTCATTAGGGCAGAGGCCCCGGCTCGAGCTTCCCCTCAGGAATAAACTCAGAGGCAGAACCTAAAATCAAAATGTTTATTGGAGTGTTGTACAAAAAAGTTTCCAGTCATAAAATGTATATTACAAATCATTGGAAAAAAAAAAGAACACATTAGGCATGCATCTTCTTAAAAACCGAATCTCTGAAATGAAAGTCCATGCCAGCCCCAGCTGCAGCCCAGCTCCGTTTTTGCAGGTTGTGCTGTGACGCTCGCTGGACGCAGGGCTTGGAAGAGGCTGCAGGCGGCGACGCCCCAGGACTGAGGAGTCCCTCAGATCTTTAACAAAGAACTGCCGCGTGCAGGCTTCAGACCAACCCCAGCCAAAGCCGCTGGCATGAGGACAGGTGCATGATCGGATTCTGGGTCAGCCCGCAGGCCTCCCGGCTCCTGGGCTCAGCGGGGCAGGCTTCAGCGTTAACCTGGCGCTGTGCACCCCAGAACCCGCGTTGGTCCAGCAGGCGTGGGCCTCCCCCCAGGGCTGGGTGGCGTCTGATGCTTCGCAGGGAGGGCGCTAGGCTTCGAGTCACACGGCACGGGCTTACACAGAGGGATGGTTTCGCATCGTTCTAAGCGGCACACAGCTAAGCGTATTTGGGGACAAATGCAAATTGTTTCCCAGGCCATAAATAACTTTTAAAAATTTGATTTTCTTAGTGTTTCCAAAGACTCAATTCTCAATGAACCTCCAATTACCCACAGGCTGCCCAGTCCACGCTTCTCCCCACCCCCTTCAGCTAAGGGCACCCGCAGTCCTAGGACCACCCCCAGCTCCACCCAAGGCAAATGTAGGGTGGGGGGTTCTGTGGGCCTGGGGCGTGCTGTTTTCAGGACAGGACTGGGCAGCGTCTGGACATGAGGACCTGCGGGTTTTGGGGGGGACTTTGTCCCTGAGCCCAGCCTGCAAGGCTGTCGGCAAATCACAGACCAACTCCAGGATACAGCTTTGCTCCTCCAGAGCCAAAATACATAGGATGTGGCTGAGACCACTGCAGACTCCCCATAGGACAAGATCACCAAGACCCACCCCCAGAACCCTCGCTAGCACGAAGCCCAGCCAGTCGGGTCCGGGTGATTCCTGCTATGAAGGTGGGAAAGAGGACACAGTCTGTCGCCAGCATTCCCACTTCCAGCGGCTGGCAGAGGGTATCCCCGGGGCAGGCAAAGCTCCCTACCAGCCGCCTGACTGGGAGCACAGCGGCGTAGCCTCCAGGAGGAAATGCTTTGGTAAGATGCGCCCCCCTCTATCTACATGGGACCGGGACTTCTGAGAGCAAGGACAGCGAGCAGGGGCTACGTGGAGCAGCGGGTGTTTCTGCTTTGTCGGCCGCTGGCTCCTTCCCGGCCTGGGGCTGGGGCCCCCCATTCCTTCCTGCCACAGGCAGGTCCCCAGGGAGGCGGGATGCAGTCACAGGGGAGCGGTGCCGCCCCCGCCCTGCAGTGAACGCCATGGCCCGGAGACGGCGCGTGCCCATGGCTCAGTTTTGGTGTCTTTAAGACTTGAGCTGCACTTTCTGAAGGAGGCTCTGCCGTCGGAGGGTGCCCCAGCCCCACGCCACCCCGGGGAGGAGGGTCAGCCTGTCCTCAAGGCCCTGGCGTGAGCTCCTGACCTGTGTACTGACCAATGTAAAAAAATAAATATCCATTAAAAAAATAACTTCTGTGTATCTATGAGGGAGGGTGTAAACGGTGAGCTATTGCCGAAGGGGGGTGCCAGGCATTGGGAAGCTGGACTGAGGGGCTTGGGTGCGTCGTGATAGGAGTCAGGTGGCCTTGGCCTGTCTGAGAAACATGGTTTCAGCGAGAAAATCACAGATAAAAGCACAGTATGGATAGACGCATGTGTATATATAGGCACAGGGCAGACGGAGCTGGAACACGGGAGGGGCTCCACAGCGCTCTCCTCCAGAGGGTCAACATGGTGGCGTTCCCTGCAGACAGCTGTTCTGAAACTCACAGCTTCTGCCTCCAAGGCAACCAGATGTGTCCCCTCCACATCTCCCCTCCCTGCTTATTGTTGTGACAGGTCTTACGACGGGACTGTCCTCATTCTTCCTTCCCCAGGTCTTCCCCTCCCCTGCCCTGTTGGCCTTGCACAGTCAGGAACTGAACTGCGGGAAAACTCCCCCAAATAAAGTCAACGGTCCGAGAAACCCGGCCGGTGCGCTGCCAGAACGGGAATCTGGAAGCCCAGGCAGCGGAGTGAAAACCCGCCCTGGGGGCCACGCCATCCCCATGCTGGCCCACACCCGCTGCGTGGCTGCCTGAGGAGTTCCCGCTGTCCGAAGCTGGGCAGCCAGAATGCAGGCTTGGCCCCGGGCCCCACCAGGTCGACGCCTGGATTCTGAATTTGGTTTTGTAGAAAGCCTTAAAAAAACCCACCACCACTGAATTCCTACGCAGTTTCCGCGCTCCGTCCGCAGCAGGGCCGTCTCCTGTCCCCTCGCTAGCCTCGCCGGCCCTCCTCCCTCCAAGCCCAAGCATCTTCTAAACCTCCGGGTCCTGGCCCTGGGCTTCCAATTTGACCAAATGGTGAGATGAGGAGTGGGGTGGGATTGAAAAGTCTCCGGGGCAGCGGCGAAGTGGCAGCGAAGTGAGGCTGGAGGAGACCCGCCAGGAGGGAGGGCTGGGGGAGACCCACCCACACGTTCTGGCAGTTCGCTTAGAAATTCTCTAGAAATGTATCAAGAACTAAAGAAAGCCAATGATATAAAAATAGTTTTCAGTGGCTCTGGGTAAAGAAAGGTGTGTGGATGAGGAGTGTGGGTTCACATCACGTAGCAGCCTCTTGAGGTGGTCCTCGGGTCCCCCTGCAGGAAGGAAGGAAGGAAGGTCGGCCATGATCAGGGCCAGCCTGGAGGCAGCCGGCAGGTAGATGGCTGCCCCCACCTCCCCACCAGGGAGGGGCTGAGCAACAACAGTGTCTATTTCTAGAGCCTTCCATTCCACTTCCATGTCCCCATGAGCCCGCCTGTGAGCTACACATTCTGTTCTGGGTTCCAAAACAGTCACAGGAACTTGCGACGCACGCGTTTAATGCAGCTGTGGTTTCTGCACTCATCTTCTCCCCAGAAGCCAGTATTGAAGGGACCTGTGTCTTCGACTGAGGAAGCCGGTTGACCAGAGAGCATTTGGGGAGCTGTTCAACACCCACCTCTCAGGGGACCCCCTGGCCAGCTACCCTGAGGTCTGTGATGTCGCAAATTCACACGATGGGCACGACCCAGGAGGCAAGAACAGGTCTCTGCCGTGCTGGTAACAGCCAAGGCTGGCTTCACCCTGAGCCACGGCAGCCAGATGGAGCTCCCGTCGGGGATGCGGCCAGCACGCATGTGTATGTGTGTGCACGAGCTCACTCTGCCCCAGAGGCTGCCCCCCAGCCGCAAGTGGGCACAGGGGTCCTACCTGTTGGTGGAAAAGATCCTCCTCGCCAAACTCGGCTTCCTCCTCCTCTTCCTCCCCATTCTCATTCTCACGCATCACCGAGGACTTCTTCACAGTCCTCATGGCCACTTCCTGTGCGGGACAGGACACGGCGGCATGTCCCGGGATCGGGCCCAGAGCTGCTGTGGCGGCCCCGAGGGTGCCCAGACCCTGCCCAGGACTCCAGCCGAGCACCCCCCAAGCCACACACACCCACCTCGCCATCCGCGTTAACCAGGACGGTGCGGAAGCTCTCGCCCGTGCCCCAGCTGCTCTGGCCCTTCCACACCAGCGTCGAGGGGGGGCTGTGGGCCACCCCCGCACCAGCTGCCCACACCTGAGGACCCAATAACAATGGCCCCATCAGGGTCACCTCTGGTTCCAGGGACGTGGGCCAGCCAGTGGCCCCTACCACAAAGCCCCCTTCAATGCCCTGGGCGTTCAGTCCTTCCAGCCCGACGCAGGCTTATCCAGGGTGATGGTCCCCAGGATACACAAGAAGAGACCAGGGTTCACAGAGGCCAAGGGCTCTTGGCAAGCAGGGGCTGAACTGGGATCTGACACCCACCAGGCTCCATGGCCCATGCGCCTGACTGTTAACACTTCACGGGGACGCCTGCCAGCCCCAGCAGCCTGGACTCAGACCCAGGGCACACCACTCAGGCTCCAGGGAGGCCCAGTGGGGTGACACCAGCACATGGAGGTTCTATGACTGCGGCAGCCGCTCTGAGACGGTGCCTGGTGCCACCATCATCCCCACCCACCCCCGCCAAGTCCTGTGCCTCCAGTCCCCTGACCCCACCTCACACCCCATCCGTGGCCACCCTCGCCCTCCTGCCCCACCACCTACCGTGACCATCTGGCCGGCGCGCAGGATGTACTTGGGCGTGAACTTGTAGGCGATCTCCTCCCCCTCCAAGACCTGCCTCTTGATTCTCCAGTTCCCCAGAGACTGATCCTGGAAGACACGGCACACACCTGACCCTCAGCCACCAGGACTGTGACACCGCCCCCATCGCCCTGGCTGGTGGCCCCATCACCCTGACCCTGGTCACCCCCACCAGCTAGGTCACCCCATTACCCCCATGCCCTGGTCATTCCAGTCACCTTGTCCCCTGCCTCGTCCTGACCGGCGGCCCTGTCACCCTGACCCTGGTCACCCCCATCAGCTAGGTCACTCCATTACCCCTGTGCCCCGGTCTTTCCAGTCATCTTGTCCCCTGCCTCGCATTGGCCGGCAGCCCCGTCACCCTGACCCTGGTCACCCCATCAGCTGGGTCACCCCGTTACCCCCATGCCCCGGTCTTTCCGGTCACCTTGTCCCCTGCCTCGCATTGGCCGGCGGCCCCGTCACCCTGACCCTGGTCACCCCATCAGCTGGGTCACCCCGTTACCCCCATGCCCCGGTCTTTCCGGTCACCTTGTCCCCTGCCTCGCATTGGCCGGCGGCCCCGTCACCCTGACCCTGATCACCCCCATCAGCTGGGTCACCCCGTTACCCCCATGCCCCGGTCATTCCAGTCACCTTGTCCCCTGCCTCGCATTGGCCGGCGGCCCCGTCACCCTGATCCTGGTCACCCCCATCAGCTGGGTCACCCCGTTACCCCCATGCCCCGGTCTTTCCGGTCACCTTGTCCCCTGCCTCGTATTGGCCGGCGGCCCCGTCACCCTGACCCTGATCACCCCCATCAGCTGGGTCACCCCGTTACCCCCATGCCCCGGTCATTCCGGTCACCTTGTCCCCTGCCTCGTATTGGCCGGCGGCCCCGTCACCCTGACCCTGATCACCCCCATCAGCTGGGTCACCCCGTTACCCCCATGCCCCAGTCATTCCGGTCACCTTGTCCCCTGCCTCGCATTGGCCGACAGCCCCGTCACCCTGACCCTGGTCACCCCCATCAGCTGGGTCACCCCGTTACCCCCATGCCCCGGTCATTCCGGTCACCTTGTCCCCTGCCTCGCATTGGCCGACGGCCCCGTCACCCTGACCCTGGTCACCCCCATCAGCTGGGTCACCCCGTTACCCCCATGCCCCGGTCATTCCGGTCACCTTGTCCCCTGCCTCGTATTGGCCGGCGGCCCCGTCACCCTGACCCTGATCACCCCCATCAGCTGGGTCACCCCGTTACCCCCATGCCCCGGTCATTCCGGTCACCTTGTCCCCTGCCTCGCATTGGCCGGCAGCCCCGTCACCCTGACCCTGGTCACCCCCATCAGCTGGGTCACCCCGTTACCCCCATGCCCCGGTCTTTCCGGTCACCTTGTCCGAGTTGTTCTTGAGCTGCACAAACTTGCCCTCCAGGTCGATCTCCTCGATGCTGACGCTACCCGAGGCCGAGGCCTGCTGGGCCAGGTGGAAGCCACCGCTGCCACCCGTGCCCGTGCCCAGGACGCTTGGGCCGCTGCCCAAGGGCTCCTCCACCTCCAGCCGCTTCCGCTTACTGCGGCCCAGGCGCCCGGTGGCGGACAAGCTGCCGCTGCTGCTCGAGGTGGCTCGTGAGACGGTGACGCGCGAGGATGGGCTGGGGGACAGCTTCAGCCTGTGGGGAAGGCAAGGAAGGTGGGACTGGTAGTGGGAGCCCCAGACAGCCCAGGGCACGCAGAGTGGCGGCCACGGCCCGGCCCCACCTCCACCCCTGCCCAGCACTCCCCGCAGCCCCGTCCCGCCTCTCCTCCTGCCCTGCCCCTCCTCCTCACTCTGTGCTCCCAAGCCTCCTGGCCTGCCGCACCTCTCCTCCTCGCCCTCCAGGAGCTTCCGGTAGGCGTTGATCTCCATGTCCAGGGCCAGCTTCACGTCCAGCAGCTCCTGGTACTCGGCCAGCTGCTGCTGCATCACGTCCCGCATCTCCGTCATCTCCTGCTCCTTGGCGTCCAGCATCTTCCGGAACTTGTCCCGCTCCCCGGCCATGGCCTCCTCCAGCTCCCGAATGCGATCTTCAGCGGCACTGGCCTGCGGAGGGGGCGGGTGGCGAAGGTCAGGGCAGCCCATGGGTCACAAGGCCCAGGTGATCCTGGGACTGCGGGAGATGGGCCCTCACCACAGACTGGGGCAGAGACCAGGCCTGGGCATGGGGCGCACGGGAGGGGAGGGAAGGGGCATCGCTGGGCGCCCCGAGGGCTGCATCCGATGCCAAGAGGCCAGAGCCCCACGCCCCGCACATCCAGGGCAGGGCCCAGAAGTTGGGCCAGGGGGACGGCAGACGGTGGCGCTGTGCTCATCACCTGCTTCTGGAGGCCGGAGAGCTGGTAGCTGAGGGACTCCAGGCGCATGCGGGCCTCCTTCAGCTCCTCGCGAGCCGCACTGGCCGCCTTGTCGTTCTGGTCAGAGCTCAGCTTGGCGCTGTCCAGCTGTGGGGAGACGGGCGGGTGAGTGCGGGCGCGGGGCGGGGCGGGGTTCCCACCGGCCGCCCCCGCCCACCCGCCTGCCGGCCACACCTTGGCCTGGTAGGTCTGCTCCAGCTCCAGCTTGTAGAGCCGCACTTGCTCGTCGTGCTGGCTCCGCAGCTCCTCCAGCGCCTGTGCCATCTTGAAGTCGTACTCCTGCTGCCGGCTGCTGTCCACCTCCACCAGGCGCCGCTCGTGCCGCCGCCGCGTCTCCCGCACCTCCTGCGGACCAAGGCTTCGTGACCCTCTGGTCCCGCCTGGGCCCCAAGCACCAGGCCCAAGGGAGGGCTCAAAAATGTGCCAAGAGGAACCTCCAGGCAATTCCTGGTTCCTTGTGCACAAGTTACAAACCGATACACGTGCAGGTGAGAGGCGACCCAGGGGCCGTCCACGCGCTAGAACGTGACTCAGCCACGAAAAGGAGCGAGGCTCTGACACCGCCACAGCATGGATGCACCTTGAGGACGTCACACTCAATGAGAGACGCCAGACACAAAAGGCCACACGGTGCGTGATCCCATTTCCATGAAATGTCCTGAAATGTCCAGGACAGGCCCATCCACAGAGACAGGGAGGGGATGCGTGGGGGCCAGGGCTGGGGACTGCTGATGGGGAGGGGGTTCTTTTTGGGTGATGGAATGTTCTAGAATTAGAGGTGGTGGTTGCACAACCCTGTGGAGATCCTGCCAATGCTGAACTGTACACTTTAAAAAGGTGGACTTAAAATAGCCAGGTGTGGTGGCGGGCACCTGTGGTCCCAGCTACTCAGGAGGCTGAGACAAGAGAATCGCTTGACCTTGGGAGGTTGCAGTGAGCCAGGATCGCACCATTGCACTCCAACCTGGGTAACAAAGTGAGACTGCGTCTCAAAAAAAAAAAAAGTGACTCTCTCTTATAAAAGCCATTATTGAAGAAAGCGGGCCAGGCGTGGTGGCTCATGCCTGTAATCCCAGCACTTTGGGAGGCTGAGGCAGGCAGATCACGAGGTCAGGAGTTCGAGACCAGCCTAGCCAACATGGTGAAACCCCATCTCTATTAAAAATACAAAAATTAGGCCGGGCACAGTGGCTCAAGCCTGTAATCCCAGCACTTTGGGAGGCTAAGACAGGTGGATCATGAGGTCAGAAGTTCAAGACCAGCCTGACAAACATGGTGAAAACCCCGTCTGTACTAAAAATACAAAAATTAGTCGGGTTGGTGGCACCCGCCTATAATCCCAGCTACTCAGGAGGCTGAGGCAGGAGAATCGCTTGAACCCAGGAGGCGGAGGTTGCAGTGAGCTGAGATCATGCCACCGTACTCCAGCCTGGGTGACAGAGCAAGACTCCGTCTCAAAAGAAAAAAATTAGCTGGGTGTGGTGCTGTGCACCTATAATCCCAGCTACTCGGGAGGCTGGGCCCAGTGTGGGCAACAGAGCAAGACTCCATCTCAAAAACAAAACAAAACAAAACAAAACAAAACAAAAACAGTAGAAACGCTTCTGAAGGAAGCTGGCCACCTTTGCAGTCAGCAAGGCGGGTAGCCCAGGCAAGCAGAGCCCTGCGGGCCGCGCACCCACCTCCACGGCCGCCCTCCCGCCTCCACGGCCGCGCACCCGCCTGCACAGCCGCCCTCCCGCCTTCACGGCTGCGCACCCACCTCCACGGCCGCTCACCCACCTGCACTGCCGCCCTCCCACCCCCACAGCCGCGCACCCACCTCCACGGCCGCCCTCTCGCCTCCACGGCCACCCTCCCGCCACCACGGCCGCGCACCCACCTCCACGGCCGCCCTCCCGCCACCACAGCCGCGCACCCACCTCCACGGCCGCCCTTCCGCCCCCACGGCCGCCCTCTCCAGGACTCCGCACCCTGTGGGCTGCACAGGCCTGCATCATCAAGCTCCCTACCGCAGCTCCCTGTGAGGGCCCCTCCAGGGCCTCTTCCCGGCCCCTGCACCGCCTTCGTGGGTCTTTTCCCAGGTGCCCTGTGGGTTCCACCTGGGGCACGTTCCTGGGCCCCCGCACAGAAGCTCTCGTGAGTCTCTTCACGGGCTGTCTCACAGGTTTCCCCACAGGCCCCTTCACAACTGCCCTGGCGGCCTCCCCTCTGGCTCCTGTGGGGCCCCCCCCACTCCCTGGGCCTGGCCAGAGCGGGGCGCAGCTCCTGAGCGGCCTGGACATCCCTCCACCAGCAGCCAGCAGCTCTCCCTGGGCAGGGAGTGTGGGCCCGGCCGGCCCCGGCATTCCACCCTGCACTGTGACAGCACAATTGGTTCTAAAGGACACAGGCTGACGCCTTTCCTCCCCACTCCCCTCTCCGAGCCCCCGGAGGCAGAGGCCCCAGGTGAGGGGCTGCAGGTCAGGGAAGGAGGCTGGGTGGGGAGAGCGGGCCTCACCCTCGCTTTGGACAAGGAGGCCCTGTGGGAGGCTGGACGGTGGCACCCAGAAGATGCACCTGACGCCTGCCTCATGGTCTAGCAGTTAGGATCCCAGGCGGCCAGGGTTCAGCTCTCAGGGTGGGAACACCAAGCTTTTAGAAAGGCAAGAAATCAAAATAGACCTTCCTTGACACTGAAGAGATATGTTTTGGCTGGGCATGGTGACTCACGCCTGGAATCCCAGCAGTTTGGGAGGCCGAGGCGGATGAAGCACCTGAGGTCAGGAGTTCGAGACCAGCCTGGCCAACGTGGTGAAACCTCGTCTCTACTAAAAATACATAAATTACCTGGGCATGGTGGTGCACGCCTATAATCCAGCTACTCGGGAGGCTGAGGCAGGAGAATTGCTTGAACCTGGGAGGCGGAGGTTGCAGTGAGCCAAGATCGTGCCACCGCACTCCAGCATGGGTGACAGAGTGAAACTCCATCTCAAAAAAAGACGTGCCCACATCCCGATCCCCAGCAGCTGTGAATGGACCTTATTTGGAAATGGGGTCTCTGCAGATGCCATTAGGTCACTCTGGATGATCCAGGCAGGCCCCAAATCCAATGACAAGTGTCCTTGTAGGATACACAGAGTATGGACACAGGGGAGGCAGCCGCGGGAAGACAGAGGCAGACACTGGGGAGACGCAGCCGAAGCCAAGGGCACCCTAAGAGGCAGGAAGGAGCCTCCCTAGAGCCGTGGGAGGGACCCCGGCCACACGGTGCCCTCAGGCTTCCGCCCTCCACAGCCATGAGGGTGGACTTTGCGTTTCCGCTGTGCCAGGCTGGAGGCCAGGCCACTCACTCACCTCCTCGAACACACTCTTCCGGAAGTCCAGCTCCTCCTGCAGGCTCTGGCAGCGGTTCTCCAGGTCCACACGCATCAGCGTCTCCTTCTCCAGCTGCTTTTTGGCCACTGCATGACCGTCCTCGGCCTGGGAGACACAGGACAGCGAGCTGGTGTGACAATCTGTCTGTTGCATATACCCTGCTGGGGCGTCCCGTGGCTCCTGGCACCTACCTTGGCCAGCTGGGCCCGCAGCTCAGCCACGTCACTCTCCAGGCCGCGCTTGTCGCTGAGGGCAGCTGCCAGCTCCACCTCGCTCCGGTGGAACAGGGACTCCAGGTCCTTCACACGGCCCTGGGCCACCGTAAGCTCGCCCTCCCTCTTCTTGGCGCTGAAAGTCAAGAGGGCAAGTGAGTGGGGAGGGGCAAGGTCCATGGGGCCACAGGGAGCACCTCAGGGGGCGTCAGGCAAGCCCAAAGACAAGGTCACCGAGGCCTCCGAGCCCCAGACCTTCCCGTCCTGCAGACGACGCGGCCCCACGCGCCCAGGCAAAGGCACACGTGCCCTCATCATCTGCCCTGCACTGTCAGGAGTCCAGCAAGTGACAGGCACCAGCGCTTGGGACCACCCTGGAGGCATGGGCTTTCCCAGCCTCTCCTGCCTGTTCTGGACCCAGGACGACCATTTGGGGAGAAATTAATGCATCCTCTGTAAATGTTACAAAGACCCTGGCCTTTGAAGGGTCAGCCTTGTTTGTAAACTTAAGCTGTCTGAAGCAGGCTCACCTGGTTTTCCACTAAACCAAATTAGCTCCAACATTAGATATTTAAGATAGCAAATACTCAGGCTTTTTAAACACACAAATACTACCAGTGTGGATTGTAGGCACTTAAGCTTTTTTTTTTTTTTTTTTTTTTTTTTTTTTAAGAGACAGGGGTTCACTTGTTTGCACAGGCTGGTCTCGAACTCCTGGGCTCAAGGAATCCTCCTGTCTCAGCCTCCCAAAGTGCTGGGATTACAGGTGCGAGCCACCGCGTACGGCTGACTCTTAAATGTTTTTAAGCATAATTATAAGTCTTGGAGCTGAATTTTACCCCCTCCCGACAGGGAACTAACTATATCCTCCCAAGAAACAGTGAGGACACCCAGGGTTCCGCAGCGTCACAACTGCTGACATCTGGGGTGGTCTTGAGTGAGGGCACCCAGGGTTCTGCAGCGTCACAACTGCTGACATTTGGGGTGGTCGAGTGAGGACATCCAGGGTTCCGCAGCGTCACAACTGCTGACATTTGGGGTGGTCCTAGGCACTGCAGGGTGCTGAGCACTGTCCCTGGCCTCCACCCACTTCAGACCAGGAGCTTCTTGCTGCCCAGTTTTGACAACCACAAGTGTCCCCAGGAATCACCCAGTGTCCCCTGGGGACAGAATCACCCCAGGATGGGGACAACTGGGTGTATCTGGAATAACACAGCCAAGGCTGCTGGCTGGACATTCAAAGAACATCCACATCCAGGCGGCTCGAGCCCGTGGCCAGAGGTCAGAAGTGACAGGGACCTCTCCTGCCCAGCAGAATGCACTCCCGACTCTCCCTAGAGCCTTTTTTTTTTTTTGAGTTGGAGTTTCGCTCTTGTTGCCCAGGCTGGATTGCAATGGCGTGATCTCGGCTCACTGCAACCTCCGCCTCCCGGGTTCAAACAATTCTCCTGCCTCAGCCTCCTGTGTAGCTGGGATTACAGGCATGCGCCACCAGCGTCCGCTAATTTTTTATTTTTAGTAGAGATGGGGTTTCTCCATGTTGGCCAGGCTGGTCTCGAACTCCCAACCTCAGGTGATCTGCCCGCCTCGGCCTCCAAAGTGCTGGGATTACAGGCGTGAACCACTGCGCCTGGTCCCCCAGGGCCTTTCAAAAGACCACCTAGGCATTTGCCCAAGAAATGAAAGTGACCCATAGCTGAAAGTGACCGTATGTCTGTCTAAGTATATCTCCATCAATAACTGTATTTATCTATATAATCTATGTCCGTATATATCAATTCTACAGATGGCTGTATCTTTTTTTTTTTTTTTGAGATGGAGTTTCGCTCTTGTTGCCCAGGCTGGAGTGCAATGGTGCGATCTCGGTTCACTGCAACCTCCACCTCCCGGGTTCAAGCGATTCTCCTCCCTCAGCCTCCCAAGTAGCTGAGATTACAGGCAAGTGCCAGCACGCCCAGATAATTTTGTATTTTTAGTAGAGACGGGGTTTCTCCATGTTGGTTAGCCTGGTCTTGAACTCCCATCCTCAAGTGATCTGTCCGCCTTGGCCTCCCAAAGTGCTGGGATTACAGGCATGAGCCACCGCACCCAGCCTTACAGATAGCTATATCTATCTATTGCTCTATCTATTACTGTCTATCCATCTACCCATCATCCATCCATCCATCCACCCATCATCCATCCATCCATCCACTCATCTGTCCATCTATCCATCCACCCATCATCCATCCATCCATCTACTCATCCATCCATCATCTATCCATCATCTCCATCCATCCATCCTTCCATCCATCCCTCAATCATCTATCCATTCATCCATCTACTCATCCATCCATCCATCCATCTATCCACTCATCCATCCATCATCTATCTATCCATTATCTATCCATCATCCATCCATCTACTCATCCATCCATCATCCGTCCACCCATCCAGCCATCCATCCATCATCCACCCATCTCCCTCTCTCTCTCACTAGCTGCCAAGCTCTCACTCTCTGTGGGACTCTTCCTTCCTTCCTTGTGTGACCCGGGGAGGGAGGGCTGCCTTCCCAGCTCACAGTGCCCTCCCTGCCTAGGATCCGTAATAAATCTTCAAACTTGTTTCCTATCGCTGTGCTGAATTTGCGCCTTCTGTCAGAAGAACCAGGAGCTGCCCCAGGCTGGGATCCCAGTGCCAGAGCGATGGTCGGACAGGCATACCCTGGACACAGGTCAGACACGAGCTACGGGGCAGCCACTGTGTAAACAGGTCTCTCGTGTGAGGGGTCCCTGGTCGGGGGTCAGACAACCAGGTCTAAGGCCACCTGCCAGGTAAAAGCATCCGTGCCGGGTACCCTGAATCCCGGGTCTGGCTCCGGTTGTGTCCCGCCAGGGCAGGGCGGCCAGCCGCTCTGGCGCTGGACCTGGTGTAGCCAGGGCTCTCCACACACTAGAGGTGTGGCATCTGCTTGCTTTTGAGAGGCGTGAAGGCCAGAGACTTCGGCCACAAGGCTGATGCACCCCTGTCCGCAGCCCTCAGGGACACTAAGCTCTACTTCCCCACATGGAGCAGATCTCCAGCAGGGTCTGGGGTGCAGATCCCGCATCTCTGAGCACATGCCACACAGGCCAGGCCCTTTCGCTCAGAGGGCTGCGAGCCCTGCGGCCCTGCTGGGGATTTTTGCAGGGGTTTGGGGGAAGGTGGAATCTGTTGGGCAAATCCCGAGTGCCCGCTGTGTGGAAGGCACCGCTCTCACACCAGAGGTGCATCTAGAACCCTTGCCTTACACTGCGGGACGTCCTTGCGGAGGGAGGCATCAGCGACACAGGCTGCCTACCAGACAGGAGGTTGCCTGGGGGCAGGGCTGGAGTGGGGCTGGGAGACAACCCTGGGGGCAGAGACCTGAAGGAGCAGTGCTGGAGGAGCCAGGGCCACCGCTGCTGAAAGAGCCTTCCAGGCAGGCGAGCAGCAGTGCAAAGGCCCAGGGGTGAGGTGGAAGAGGCAGGCTGCAGACCAGCTCAGAGGACTGGAGCGGAGATCGGGGAATCCGGGAAGCTCCTCAGCAACTCGGTCTAAACCACAGGGTTCCGCAGGACTGCAGGGCACACCCAGAAGGCAGGGTGCGGGCTCCCAGGGCTCAGACCCGTTTCCTAAGCGCCAGGTGCTGAGTTAGAATCTTCAGCTGGGTGCCCGGGGTTTTGTGGCAGGCTCTGGCTTGTTAGGTCCTGCACGCTGCTCCCAGTGTTTCTCTCATTGTGGGGTTTTGGAGATAAATTTGTTAGGATAAGAAAAACATTAGGCTTGGCCCAGTGGCTCATACCTATACCCAGTGCTTTGGGAGGCTGAGGTGGGAGGATCACTTTAGCCTGGGAGTTGAAGACCAGCTTGAGCAACATAGCGAGACCTCATCTCTACAAATAATAAAAAAATTAGGCCAGGCATGGTGGTTTACATCTGTAATCCCAGCACTCTGGGAGGCCAAGGCGGGTGGATCGCTTAAGTCCAGGAGTTTGAGACCAGCCTGGCCAACTTGGTAAAAAAATTAGCTGGGCAAGGTGGTGTGAGCCTCTAATCCCAACTATTCAGGAGGCTGAGGCAGGAGAATCGTTTGAATTTGGGAGGTGGATGTTGCAGTGAGCCGAGATTGCACCACTGCACTCCAGCCTGGGTGACAGAGCAAGACTATGTCTCAAAAGGAAATAAATAAAAAATAAAAAAAATTAGTTGGGTGTAGTGGTGCATGCCTGGGGTCCCAGCTACTCGGGGTGGGGCTGAGGCAGGATCACCTGAGCCTGGGAGTTCGAGGCTGCAGCGAGCTATGATTGTGCCACTGAGCTCCAGCCTAGGCAACAGAGACCCTGTCTTAATGAAAAGGAAAAGACGGGCCTCTCTGTAGATGCCACGCACTGCTCAGGAGATTGTGAACTGGGAATTCCTCAACACCTAGGGCGGGCACTGTGTACCATTTTCTTTTTTTAATGTTTTAATTTGAGGTGAAATTCACATCCTGTACATTTCAACATCTTAAAGTGAACAGTTGAGAGGCGCCTGGTGCGGGGCCAGCAGCAGCTCTGTCCCATCTGCACGGTGTAGTTCTGACATTTCAGAGCTCCGTGCACCCCTGACCAAGCTCTAGTCATCCCACAGCCTGCATGGCTCCACTGATGAACCTGCTTATTAAACACGGTGGGTGCTGGAGGTAGACAGCACAGAGCTGCTGCCTGAGCAGGTCCCGGGGTGCACCTGTGCTGTGTGGGATGTGCTGAGAGTGGGCAGCCTGTCCTGGCTGGTGCCTGGCCCCAGGGTCCCCGGCTCATGGCCACCATCAGGGCACAAATGGTCCCTCCTGGAGCCCCAGGCCCCGGGCAGGCGGGCGGTGGTCCCTGGGCTGACCTGGAGGGTCTCCTGTTGGGGAAGGGAAGTCAGCTCTCCACGGGAGCAGCGCCAGCCCAGGAAGGAGGAGGGCGTCGGATGGAGAGGTCACCTGCAACCACGCATGGGGGCCCCGGCACTGTTGGACACAGGGTCCCCGGTCATTCCTCTGGCCACACTCCAACTCAGGGACAACGTGGATTCTCAAGCCACTGGCTGCTGTCACCCCCGTACCAGGTGGCCGAGGTGCCACCCCTCCTGCCAGCAGATCCCTCCATGCTGAGCCAGGCCTGCGTGGCTCTGGGAGAATGAGCAGTGTGGGAAGACCCTGACCCACCCCAGCCTGAGGAAATCCGAGGCACCTGCAGGTGCCTGAATGCCGGTGGCCGGAGACCACGGAAGACAGTGTCCACACGCAGGGCACCAGAGACCTCGCTCTAGCTGGAGCCTCACATCAAGAAAAGCCTTGAGCTCAGTGTTTCATTGGCCTCCTGGCTCCTCTGAATAAATATTCCTTTTGTCATCATCGTTCTGTTTAAATTGCCGCCCAACCACATCCCACGCCCAGAATCAGGCAAGACTCACTGCCAGGCTGAGAGGGGAGATCGTTTCTGCCGATGGACACAGTTGTCACCCAGAAGGACTTTGCAGCCAACCCTGGGGCAGCCCAACAACCCATGAGCACCCTGGTCACACACCACACACCCGAGCGTCCCAACAGCTGGGACAAAACCCCGGCACCAAGAACATCCAACCACAGGGAAATGCCTACGATGGGGCCTGAGGTCAAACGCGTCTCACGGTGTCCACTGGGTGCCGCCCGGGGTCTAGGTAAGCATGTGCAAGCGCGTGTGCACACTAAGGAGACAGGCCAGGCTGACCAGGAAGCCCTCTCTGGGGAGGCTCGCGGGAGATTTTACTTGTGAGCTTAAGCTGCCCTGCGCTTCCTGCTGTCCGATGTGAGCATCTATCACTTTCCTCAGAACAGAAAAAGTGACGTGGCAGCCACTGGTGGGGGAGAGAGGATGGGAGCTGTGAGCTCCAGGCTGTGCCCGTATCAGAGCATGCCCCGCACGAGCCCAGCGCCCACCTGCCCCCGTCCACCCCGTGGTGCCAGGATCAGGGTGACGTCGTGCCCAGCCGTGACCACTCACCTCTTGTTGACCTCGTCCAACTCTGCCCTCAGCTTCCCAATCTCTATCTGCAGCCGGGCACGCTCTCGAGCCGTCTCATCCAGGACTCTCCGGGCATCGGCCAGCTCCGACTCGTACAGCGCCTTGATGCCACTCACCTGGGGAGACCCAGGACAGGGTGAAGCGAGAGGGACCCTTCCCCTTGGACTACAGCAGTCAGGGGGCCCGGCCACTGGCCCTGCTCAGATTCCCAGGGACTGGCACGCAGAGAGAGAGGATGGCAGCCTGGGGACACTGGGACACCCTGTGTTGCCCATCTCACAGACACAGCAAAGGGAGCCCCCTGTCGGGGAGGGTCCGGTAACCAGGAGGAAGCCAGGCGACCCTGGGTCCCAGCCATCCCAGGAGCCTCCTCCTCTGCTGCGGCCCCCTCTGGAATGATCGTCTCTCCACGAGCTCCAGCTCCCAGAACAGCGGCGCCCAGTGCTGGAGACCAAAGGCCCTGGGCCTGGACCAGCACAGCAGCTGGATGGAGCCTGTCCCCTTCCCCGGAGGACCAGCCACACCTGGACATGCAGCCCCTTGGCCGCTGTCATAGCGACACGATGCCTGGCCATTAGATGCATTTTTCACACTCTCGGTTTCAGAACCAGAAAACTGGTGGGATGTTTAATCAAGGATCTCTCCCGCTGGGCACCATGGACACTGGGCTGATCACTCTCGGACAACTGGTGATGACAGCAACCCGGGGCCCTCCCAGACCCCACTGGGCCTGAGAGCCCCCTGCCCCCACCAGCCTTTGCAACCTGGAGTCCCCTCCCAGACCCCTCTGGGCCCCTGAGACTCCCCCCAGGCCTCTGCAACCTGGAGCCCCCGCTCCCCCAGACCCCGCTGAGCCCAAGATCCCCCACTTCTGCCAACCGGGGGCCAGCCCGTGCCCCTCTGTGCCCCTACCTCACACGCAGGCACATGGCCCAGGCTCAGGCTGGGCTGTTCCCTGGGATGGAGGGAGGAGCATCTGGCCTTCCCATGCTGTGTCCCCCCGACAGGCCAGCTGCCAATGTGGTGGCTCGGAGGCTCCAGGACAGAAGCTCCCACCCCTCAATCACAGAGATCTGCAGTCAGAGTCCCCAGCTCCCCACCCCACCAGCGGCCCCCACCTTTCACCCCTCGATCACAGGGATCTGTAGTCAGAGTCCCCAACTCCCCACCCCACCAGCGGCCCCCACCTTTCACCCCTCGATCACAGGGATCTGCAGTCAGAGTCCCCAGCTCCCTACCCCACCAGCGGCCCCCACCTTTCACCCCTCGATCACAGGGATCTGCAGTCAGAGTCCCCAGCTCCCCACCCCACCAGCGGCCCCCACGTTTCACCCCTCGATCACAGGGATCTGCAGTCAGAGTCCCCAGCTCCCCACCCCACCAGCGGCCCCCACCTTTCACCCCTCGATCACAGCGATCTGTAGTCAGAGTCCCCAACTCCCCACCCCACCAGCCGCCCCCACCTTTCACCCCTCGATCACAGGGATCTGTAGTCAGTCCCCAGCTGCCCCCCCCAACCAGCCGCCCCCACCTTTCACCCGTCGATCACAGGGATCTGTAGTCAGAGTCCCCAACTCCCCACCCCACCAGCTGCCCCCACCTTTCACCCCTCAATCACAGGGATCTGTAGTCAGAGTCCCCAACTCCCCACCCCACCAGCCGCCCCCACCTTTCACCCCTCGATCACAGGGATCTGTAGTCAGTCCCCAGCTGCCCCCCCCACCAGTCACCCCCACCTTTCACCCCTCGATCACAGGGATCTGTAGTCAGAGTCTCCAGCTCCCCACCCCACCAGCGGCCCCCACCTTTCCCGACGGAGACCCAGCCCAGCCAGCAAGGACATGGGGAGGGGCTGGAGAGCCAGGGGTCACCAGGGCAGGCAGAAGCGACTGGAACACCCTCTGGGCCGCCCAGCTAAAGAAAGCCCCTCCCTAAGCCCCGCGCAAAGCCCCCAAACCCGCCCCTCTCGAGGGCCTCCAGGTGAACTCGAGGCACATGCGGTGCCAGGGAAGGCGACCTCTTCACTTCCTACTAATCCTGCTGCAACCACAGCCGCCACCTGCCCGGCCTCTGCACGCGCCAGCTGGGGGCACAGCTCAGGCTTCTAGTGGCCTTCCTGCCTCCCCTCCTCCCACAGGGCCATGCACTCAGTGAGTTTAAAAATATGTGGAAGCAAACCGCAGTGAGATGCCACTTCGCACCAGCCAGGGCGTCCGTCAAGAAGACAGACAGTCGCAGGTGCGGGCGAGTACGCAGAGAAATCGGAACCTCACAGGCAGCGGCAGGAACCTGAGCTGAGACAGCTCTACAGAAAACAGTCCAGGGGCTCCCCCAAGAGTCACAGAGCCACCCTGTGACCCGGTAACTCCACTCCTGGGTGTGGACCCAGAAGACATGAAATTCACATCCATGCATGTTTGAAAACTACACATGGTGCCGGGCGCAGTGGCTCACACCTGTAATCCCAGCACTTTGGGAAGCCGAGGCGGGCGGATCACAAGGTCAGGAGATCGAGACCATCCTGGCTAACACAGTGAAACCCCGTCTCTACTAAAAAAACATACAAAAAATTAGCCAGGCGTGGTGGTGGGCGCCTGTGGTCCCAGCTACTTGGGAGGCTGAGGCAGGAGAATGGCATGAACCCGGGAGGTGGAACTTGCAGTGAGCCGAGATCGCACCACTGCCCTCCAGCCTGGGAGACAGAGCGAGACTCAGTTTCAAAATAAATAAATAAATAAATAAAATGAAAAATAAAAATAAATAAAAAAATAAAAGCAATGCGGTCCCTCCACCATCCACACACAGGAACATGACCCAGCTGTGTAACGGAGCAAGGTTCTGACACCACAGTGTGGATGCCCCTTGAGGATGTCACACTCATGAGACGCCAGACACAAAACGCCACACAGTGTGTAATCCCATTTCCATGAAATGTCCAGGTCAGGCCAGTGCACAGACACAGGCAGCGGGTGTGTGGGCAGCGGGGCTGGAGAAGGGGACGGGGAGTGACCGCTGAGGGGGACAGGCTTCTTTTAGTGGGGATGAACGTTCTAAAATTGGACACATTGGTGGTGGCACAGCTGTGGAGATATGAAAACGCGAAACCTACGGGTGAGCTGGGTGAACCTTATGAGGCGGGAATTAACTGCTCCGGCTCTGGCGCTGAGGAAAAGGAGGACCGGAGGATGGTAGGCGGAACCAGGCCCAGCACCACCCGCTAGAACGCCGTGATGTTCCCACAGCCCTACAGGGCCAAGGGTGTCTATGCAAGGTGGGTACAGGGTCGGCCTGCATCTGGAGGGCCACACCCCCATGTTACAGGCGAGGCTCCTGTGCAGAGGGCTGGGGGCCTGCCAGGACGCACCCCTTGGCAGTGACCGGGCCTCTTCTGAGGTGGGACCCTCAGCCTCAAACCAACGCATGCTGGGCCATCTGGACAAGTCAGAGTCTCAGGCTGCCCCAGCACCGCAGCTCCAAGTCCCGTCAGCCTACAGTGGGGCGGGATAAGGGTTCCCAACCTGATTTTATGTATGGGAAAACTGAGGCACGGGTCAGTAAAAAGCCGCCTCCTGACCACCGCTGGGTCCTAGACATATCAGGTCTGCGGGGACCAATTGTAGGACGGGGACCCACAGAGGCAGCAGTGCAAAGCGAGCTCCTCCCGCGGCACCCCGGCCACCCCCAAGCCCTCCCTCCCATGCAGGCGATCATCTGGGCCGTGCCCTCCACATCTGTGTCCTGGGAACAGACTTCTAGAAAAACCCAAATCAGGAAAAAGCGGCCAGCTCCACGCTGCAAACAGCTGGGCACCAGGTGCAGGCATGGTGGTGTCTGCCTCTCCCTCAAAGCTCCCAAATACCCCTAACCTCAAGGGAGGGGCTGACGGGACACCCTCAGGATGGGGGTCACACACGAGCTCTCCTGTCCCCACAGAGAGAGAGCTGACTGCGGCTCACGAGGCAGAGGGGCCAGGATGAACAAAACAGCAGAGTTTCCAACAAAGACAAGATCAGCGCCGGGACACACAGGAGCCCGTTCAAGGTGAGAAAAAACAGCAACTCTGCAATGGCAGCCACACGCACAGAGGCATGCTGAGCACCCCCAGACCATGTGCACGGCGGTCCTGTAAGACTCTAATGCAAACCTGGCATGGGGGCTCACCCCTGTCATCCCAGCACTTTGGGAGGCTGAGGTGGGCGGATTACGAGGTTAGGAGATCAAGACCATCCTTGTTAACACGGTGAAACCCTGTCTCTACTAAAAATACAAAAAAATTAGCCGGGCATGGTGGCGTGCACCTGTAATACCAGCTACTCAGGAGGCTGAGGCAGGAAAATTGCTTGAACCCAGGAGGCAGGGGTTGCTGTGAGCCAAGATTGGGCCATTGCACTCCAGCCTGGCGACAGCCAGACTCCACTTCAAAAAATAAAAAGAAAAAGAATCTAATACCATATTCTTACTGCACCTTTCTTGTGTTTATTTACTTATTTTGAGACAGAGCCACACCCAGCCTGGAGAGCAATGCCGCAATCACAGCTCACTGCAGCCTCAAACTCTGGGCTCAAGCAATCCTCCTGTCTCAGCTGCCCCAATAGCTGGGACTATAGGCACACATACTACTATGCCTGCCTAATTAGTTTCTAACTTTTTTTTTAAGAGATGGGGTCTTGCTATGTTGCCCAGGCTGGTCTCAAACTCCTGGACTCAAGCAATCTGCCTGCCCCAGCCTCCCAAAGTACTGGGATTATAGGCGGGAGCCACCGCACCCAGCCCTTTCTCGTGTTTAAATGCTCACATACTTACCATTGTGTAACCGGTGCCCACAGCATTCCACAGAGGAGCGGGCGGTGTGGGTCTGTGGCCTAGGAGGCCACGCCCAAGCCTGGGTGTGTGGTGGCTTCCACCATCCGGGAGTGTGGGAGTGCACTCTACCATGCCCACACAAGGGGCACGTCTCCTAACGACACGCTTTCCACAAGGTATCCCTGTCACTAAACGACACCTGACTTGAATTAATAGTTTGTTCATTGTAGATTTTTTGAATTAATTGATTTTTAAAAGATAATCCATTAGGGCCCGGTGCGCTGGTGCATGCCTGAAATCCCAGCACTTTGGGAGGCTGAGGCGGGCGAATTACTTGAGGTCAGCAGTTCGAGACCAGCCTGGCCAACATGGTGAAACCCTGTCTCTATTAAAACACAAATTAGCTGGGTGTGGTGGTAGGCGCCTGTAATCCCAGCTACTCGGGAGGCTGAGACAGGAGAATCACTTGAACCCGGGAGGCAGAGGTTGCAGTGAGCTGAGATCACGCCACTACGCTGCAGCCTGGGTGGTACAGAGAGACCCTGTCTCAAAAAAAATATACATATGTCTGGGCGCCGTGGCTCACGCCTGTCATCCCAGCACTTCGGGAGGCCAAGGCAGTTGGATCACCTGAGGTCAGGAGTTCGAGACCAGCCTGACCAACATGGAGAAACCCTGTCTCTACTAAAAATACAGAATTAGCCGGGCATGGTGGTGTATGCCTGTAATCCCAGCTACCCAGGAGGCTGAGGCAGGAGAATCGCTTGAACCAGGGAGGCGGAGGTTGTGGTGAGCCAAGATCACGCCACTGCACTCCAGCCTGGGCAACAGAGTGAAACTCCGTCTCAAAAAAAAGAAAATAAAATACATATACATATACATATATATATACACATATATATATATATTCCATTAAAACATTACTCATCCCATCGCCCCAGCGTGACGATGAGCAAAACAACACACAAACCCCCATTGAGGAACATCCTACTGCACACCTGCCCAGCCCGCTCAGGACCAACCAGAACCTCTAACCAGGAACGTGGGGGAAACTATCAGCCTGGAGGAGCCTGGGAGACAGTGACGTAGTCACTAAATGTCACGTGAGATAGTGGATGGGGTCTTGGGGCAGGAAAGGACATCGGGGAAACTGAGGAAGTCTGAATACATGATGGATGTTGCTGGGAGCAGTGGCTCACAGCTGCAGTCCTACAACTTTGGGAGGCTGAGGCAGGAGGATCAGCCTGCCTCAGCCTTCCAAAGTGCTGGGATTACAGGCATGAGCCACCGCACCTGGCATAAGATGATGGGAGGCTGAGGCGGGCAGATCACCTGAGGTCAGGAATTTAAGACCAGTCTGGTCAACATGGTGAAACCCCATCTCTACTAAAAACACAAAAATTGCACCATTGCATTCCAGCCTGGGCGAGCACAGGGCAAGACTCTGTTGCCCAGGCTGGAGTGCAGTGGCATGATCTGAGCTCACAGCAACCTCTGCTTCCCGGGTTCAAGCGATTCTCCTGCCTCCCAAGTAACTGGGACTATAGCCGTGCACCACCACGCCCAGCTAATTTTTGTATTTTTAGTAGAGACGGGGCTTCACCATGTTGGCCAGGCTGGTTTCAATCTCCTGACCTCGTGATCCGCCCACCTCGGCCTCCCAAAGTGCTGGGATTATAGGTGTGAGCCACTGCGCCCAGACGGTTTTTACATTTTTAAATGGCTAGGGGTAGCCAGGAGAGGTGGCTCATGCCTATAATCCCAGCACTTTGGGAGGCAGAGGCTGGCAGATCCCCTGAGGTCAGGAGTTCGAGACCAGCCTGACCAGCATGGTGAAACCCCATCTCTGCTAAAAATACAAAAATTAGCTGGGCGTGGCAGTGCAAACCTGTGATCCCAGCTACTGGGGAGGCTGAGGCACAAGAATCGCTTCATCGCCTGAATCCGGGAGGCAGAGGTTGAAGTGAGCGGAGATTGTGCCACTGCATTCCAGCCTGGAAAACGAGACTGTCTCAAAAACAAAAACGATAAAGGCCAGGGGGGAAGATGAAGAGACTTTGTGACACAGGCAGATTCTATGCACTTCACAGTTCCATGTGTATAAATAAAGTTTTATTGACACATAGCAGCACCCACTTATTCACCTATGGGCTAAGGCAGCTTTCATCCTATGGCAGAGCTGAGTGGTTCAGATGCAGACAGTCTGGCCTTTTTTAGAAAAAGTCTGCTGACCATGCCTGGTCTGCCGTGCTGTGATGATGAGGAAAGTTCTAGAGGCTGGGGCACCTCACAAAGACCCTTTGAGCCTGCGGAACGGGTGTGCCGGGGCAGGACGGCCTCCTTGTGCTTGTGAGGCGCTGCAAAGGGCTGGGGACAGGCTGGGCCTTTTCTTTCATCTTTCACGGCATCTAGCAAGTGCTAGGCTTGAGGGAAGTCAACAAGTGTGTCCACACATGTGGGCCTGGCAGGGCTCAGATAGCCTGAGATGGCCTTTGCCTGGGACCCCTCGGACACACAGAGCAGCATAACTCGGCTGGAGGAGGCCACGGTGGGACAAAATGGCCCGGCTAAGAACTACAGCCCTGTGCAGAAAATGCAAACACCGGCTTGGGGTCACTTCCAAAGTGGACTCCATCCTCCACGCTCGCCTGGGCCGCCTCCGAGACCCCCTCCAGCAGCCCTGAGCAGCCAGGGGACACCGGGGCAGGGGAAGACAGAAGATGCCGAAGCCAGGTCTCCTCCCTCGGGAACGTAAGGCCTGGCAGGGAAGTACCTGGAGTACCTGCCTCTCCCGCGCCTGGACACGGGCCACAGCGCGGCCTCCCTGCACCTGCCCCCGCCCCCAGCACTCAGTGATCCTCCTTCAACAAATACCCATCTGGCCAGCCCCCACCCCACCCTTTCCCAAGCCCTCCAACGATGCTTGTATATGGCGATTCATCCACACCGCCAAAAGACACCCCCTAGTGTCACATGGGAATGTGGAACCCATGCTTGGCCTGGTTTTGTACGAGTGTGCAAGGGTGAACTCCTGCGGGCAGGAAAGAAGTGAGCAAGTTAGCCGGGCATGGTGGTGGGCGCCTGTAATCCCAGCTACTCAGAAGGCTGAGGCACGAGAAGCCCTTGAACCCAGGAGGTAGAGGTTGCAGTGAGCCAAGATCACGCCACTGCACACCAGCCTGGGCGACAGAGAGAGACTCTGTCTAGAAAAAAAAAAAGGCCAGGCATACTGGCTCACACCTGCAATCCCAGCATTTTGGAAAGCTGAGGCGGGCAGATCACAAGGTCAAGAGATAGAGACCATCCTGGCCAACATGGTGAAATCCCATCTCTACTAAAAATACAAAAATTAGCCGGGTGTGGTGGTACACGCCTGTAATCCCAGCTACTTAGGAGGGTGAGGCAGGAGAATTGCTTGAACCTGGGAGGCAGAGGTTGCAGTCAGCCGAGATCACACCACTGCACTCCAGCCTGGGCGACAGAGTGAGACTCTATCTCAAAAAAGAAGTGAGAAAGGCGTGTGTGAGGACCTCGGGGGCCGCCACACACCAGGATGCTGTGAGTCGTGTTATGAGCCTGAAAAAATCTGAACTGAGTCCCTCACGCCTCCCAGCAGGCTCCTCGGCCTGGCCATTCTCATGGGGGCCGTGTTACCCTCATGGAGGCTGCGTCATCCTCGTGGGGGATGGGTCATCCTCATGGGGGCTGCGTCATCCTCATGGGGGCTGGGTCATCCTAATGGGGGATGGGTCATCCTAATGGGGGCTGGGTCATCCTAATGGGGGCTGGGTCATCCTCGTGGGGGCTGGGTCATCCTCGTGGGGGCTGGGTCATCCTCATGGGGCTGGGTCATCCTCGTGAGGGCTGCGTCATCCTCGTGGGGGCCAGGTGATTCTCTTCTCGGGGCGCTGAGCAGTACCCAGCCTCCACCCACGCTGTGCCGATGCCGTCTCCCTCCCAATGTGACAACCAAGGGCATGCCCAGCCTTGGCCAAGAGTCCCCTGGGGGCAGAAGCTGGCCAGGTGAGAGAGGCCCTGCTGTCCAGGTGACCTGCATGCTCTTAGGCCTGACACCCCAGGTCCCTCCTCGTTCAGAGCTCCCTCCCCTGCCCCCATCCTGCCAGCCTGAGCCTGAGGCTGCTCTCTGAACCCCACGTGGCCCACCTGTGTCTAGAAGGCCCCCAGCTATTCCAGGTCACTCCCTCCATGTGGGCCCACATGACGTCCCCCCACCAGCGGCCCCCACCCCAGCAGGCTTCCAACTCTGCTCCCCACTAGCCGGGTTCCTGGCCCACTAGTCGCAGGCGGAACTCCCAGCTGTCCCCTGCCACATGCCCTGCAGACACGGCTGGGTGACAGGGCTCACGGAGGGGCCAGTGTGTCACCTGCTAAATGGCTGCCTTCACTGGAGTCAGACCCGCATTTCACCCAGCCTGAGTGAACTGAGTTGTAAAGGATGCTGCTGCGGCCCCGAGAGGTGGCTGGGCCAGGCTCCCTCTAGGGCACAGGGCCGGTCCAATGGGGCGTCCAGTGGGGCTGGGGCTGGTACCTCCCCAGCACTCACCAGGCCCTGCACCCTCAAAGCTCCCTGCAGCTGTTCGTCCCATTGGCAGGTGGGATAACAGAGGCCCAAAGACAAGAAACCAGCTCTAACCCTGCACGCCACGGGTCCAGCAGGCGGCCTCTAAGTTGGGACAACTCCGCACTGGACAGATGGCAAGATGGAGGCTCCAAGAGACACAGGGGCCTGCCCAAAGCCACACTAATTGAAAAGCAGGGGACTGGCCAGGCACGGCGGCTCACACCTGTAATCCCAGTACTTTGGGAGGCCGAGGCAGGCAGATCACCTGAGGCCAGGAGTTTGAGACCAGCCTGACCAACAAGGCCAAACTCTGTCTCTACTAAAAATACAAAAATGAGCCGGGCATGGTGGTGAACACCTGTAATCCCAGCTACTCGGGAGACGGGGGCAGGAGAATCACTTGAACCCGGGAGGCAGAGGGTGCGGGGAGCTAAGATCGCGCCACTGCACTCCAGCCTGGACGACGGAGCGAGACTCTATCTCAAAAAAAAAAAAAAAAAAAAAGAAAGAAAAGCAGGGGATCCCACCAAGCACTGATCTTCCTTCTACCTCCCTGAAGGCACCAGCTACATTCTTTCAGGTTCCCTGTCCCCAGGGCACTGTGAAAACAACCCACAGGGAGCTACTGAACAAAAGTTAACCTGCTGTGGCCCCACACACAAGTAAGAGGTGGGTATTATAATTACACCCATTCCAAAGGCGAGGGCACTGAGACCCAGAGAGGGTAAGCGACTAGCCCAAGGTCACACAGAGGGTAAGTGGCTCCCAGAAATGACCCGACCCCCTCAACAAGCAGCTCTTCTCCCAGAAGCCCACCACGTCCTCTGATCTCCAGATGGGCGAGTGGGGACTGGGCGCTGCAAATCCCGACTTCGGCACCCAGCTCTCCCAACAGGACACTGGGGCCTAGGGACCCCAGGACCCCAACCCATGGCAGGAATCAAGTGGGTGCTCCTGCCTGCCCCCCGTTCTGGAGTCCTGTCCTTGGATTGGGCATGGCCAGTGGGAGGGACAAAGAGCCTCCCCAGGGTTAGGTTGGGGGGCAGGACAGATTGCACCCAGACCCCAAGACACCCCGACCTCATGTCCCCTTGGTGGGCAGACTTTCCCGCCTCTTCTCCTTCAGTCTGCACTGAAGCCTCGGGGCCCATTCAGAACCTCAACACTTTCCACCGGACCCAAGATCCCAACTCTCACCCTTCCTTCATATTCTCTTGGGGGCAGAACCTGCCAGACCACCGCTGACACCAGGGCACAAATAAGGGACTCCCAAATTTCCCGTGGGACCCCAAGGTATCAGAACCTCTCCCTCGGCCCCCTACCCACCCTGGGCCTGGTGAGAGATGAGGGGCCTAATTCCCACCCCAGTCACCAATCTCTTCTGGATTCATCAGGGAACTCGCTAAAGCTCCAGGGAGAACTGAGACCACGTGACTCACCCCAGAGACTCCAGGGAGACCCCCCACACACCCCATCTTGGGCCTCCTCAGAGGGCCTGGGCCCCCCAGTCTCCTTGGAGCCCAGAGACCACCCCCATTCCACCCCAGATACCCCAATACCCAGCTTCATCCCCAGAGACTCCCACTCACACCCCCTCAGTTGGGGGGGGTCCGCCAAGTCTCCTTGGAATCCTCTGAGGGACGAGGCATATGGGGGGCTGCAGCCCAATACTCAGGGAGCCCCCAAATCCCCAGGACCTCTCTTTGGTGGGGAGCCCTAGTCTGTAACCCCCATGGCCCCAAAATGCACCTCTCACGGAAGGGTCCCCAGAGCTAGCTGGAGGCCCCTCTGCAGCCCTCACTCAGGACACGGAAGATCTCCTGGGACCCCCTCCATAGGTGGGGCATTCCTGGTCTGCACTTTTCACTCAGTGCCCTAGAAACCCCCTGGAGGTCCCCAAGAGAATGGGCCACTCCGGTCTGCACCCCTCCCAAGGGGTCCCCCAAGATCTCGGAAACTGCGGTGGGCAGGGCCTGCCCAGGTGGCACCCCTCACTCAGGGTCTCCCCCTGGAGATCCCCGAGGCCAGGCTGACCCCACCCCTGCTCAGGGTCCCCCGTGATCGCGTACTCCGCGGTGGGCTGGGCCTGGCCGAGCTGCACCCCTCACTCAGGGACCCCTTGAAACCCCCTGGAGACCCCCAAGCCGGGACCCTTCCCGGTCTGCACCCCTGCCCAGGGTCCCCGCGATCGCGCACCCCGCGGTGGCCAGGACCTGCACCCTTCATCCAGGAGCCCCCCGCAAACCCCCTGGAGACCCCAAGCCGGGAGTCGTTCAGAGTCCCCCGCGATCGCGCGCCCCGTGGTGGGCGGGGCCTGGCCGAGTAGCACCTTTCACTCAGGGACTCTCCGAAACGCGGCGGAGATCCCCGAGGCCGGACTGTCCCCGTCTGCATCCCAGCTCAGGGTTCCCCGCGACTGGGAGCCCCGCAGTGGGCTGGGCCTAGCCGAGCAGCACCCCTCACTCAGAAGCCCCCAAACCTCCTGGAGACCCCCGAGCCGGAGCCTGTCCCCGTCTGCACCCCCGCCCAGGGTCCCCGCGATCACGCACCCCGCGGTGGGCGGGGCCTGGCCGAACTGCACCGCTCACTCAGGGGCCCCTCGAAACCCCCTGGAGACCCTCGAGACCCGGGCCCGTCCCTGTCTGCACCCAGGGTCCCAGCGATTGCCCACCCCGCGGTGGGAGGGACCTGGCCGAGCTGCACCCCTCACTCAGGGGCCCCCCGAAACCCCGCGGAAACCCCCGAAGCCGGGGCCCGTCCCCGTCTGCACCCCCGCCCAGGGTCCCCGCGATCGCGCGCCCCGCGGTGGGCGGGGCCTGCCGGCTGCACCCCCGCCCGGCCCCTAAGCCCCGGCGCCCACCTCGCGCGTGGTCACCTCCTCCTTCTCTGAGATCTTGAGCAGGAGCCGGTCGTTCTCCAGCTCCAGCGCGCGGACGCGGTCGATGTAGTGCGCCAGGCGGTCGTTGAGCTCGCGCAGCTCCTCCTTCTCCTGCAGCCGCGACAGGCGCGTGGGCGACAGCGGCGTGGCGGGCCCGCCCGCGCGGCCGGGCAGCGGCGTGGCCATGGTGGCGGCGGCTCGCGGCCTGCGCTGCTCCCGACGGCGGCCCGGGCTCGGCGGGCTCATTCAATCCGCGCCGCCGGCTGCAAGATGGCGCCGCGCCGCGCCGCGCCCGCCGCCCGCCGCGGCGGGGCAGCCTGGGACTGGTAGTCCGACCGCCGGGCGCGCGCGGGGCACGCCGGAAGTTGAAGTCTCCGTCCAGCTCTCGCTTCGCAGAGGCGCTGACTCCAGAGACAGACTTCCTGGCTGCAAACTCCCAGCTCCGCCACGAGGAAACAGCGTTGGGTTGCTTTCTAGTACCTGTTTCCCCACTTAGAGAACCTCAAAACGTGTTCAAAGAACCAGACACAAAAGGCCATATAGGGCCGGGCGTGGTGGCTCACGCCTGTAATCCCAGCACTTTGGGAGGCCAAGGCCGGTGGATCACTTGAGAAAAGAATTTCGAGATCAGCCTGGACCACATAGGGAGACCCCCCCACACCATCTCTACTACGGAGGCGCGCGCCGGTAATCCCAGCTACTTGGGAGGCTGAGGCAGGAGAATCTCTTGAACTTGGGACGTGGAGGTTGCAGTAAGCCAAGATCGCGGCACTGCACTCCAGCCTGGGCAACAATGAGAAACTTTGTCTCAAAAAAAAAAAAAAAAAAAAAAAAAAGCCATATAGTGTACAATGCCACTGATATAAAATGTCCAGAAGAGGCTGTCAAGGAGTATGAATTTCAACAAATTGAGTTTAATGATCTCATTGGCTCTTATTAGCAATTCATGAATTGGATAGCATTCAATCTATTAAATAGGCACTCCAATGAGCTGAGCAGAGAGGATGGGCATTCTGCATTACAGGCAGAAAAGGCTGAAGAAAGGAGAAATAAGAATTAAAATAAAAGCCAGGCCAGGTACAGTGGTTTGCTCACGCCTGTAATGCCAGCACTTTGGGAGGCGGAGGTGGGAGGATAGCCTGAGCCCAGGAGTTTGAGACTGGCCTGGGCAACATAGCAAGACCCCATTTCTAAAAATAAAAATAAAAAAATTAGCCAGGTGCAGTGGCTCACACCTGTATTCCCAGCACTTTAGGAGGCCAAGCCGGGCAGATCATGAGGTCAGGAGTTCGAGACCAGCCTGACCAATATGGTGAAATCCCGTCTCTACTAAAAATACAAAAATTAGCCAGGCATGGTGGCACATGCCTGTAGTCTCAGCTACTCGGGAAGCTGAGGCAGGAGAATTGCTTTAACCCGGGAGGCGGAGGTTGCAGGGAGCCAAGATTGAACCACTGCACTCCAGCCTAGGCAACAGAGTAAGACTCCACCTCAAAAAAAAAAAAAAAAAAAAATTAGCTGGGCGCCTATAGTCCTAGGTATTTGGGAGGCTAAGGTGGCAGGATTGTTTGAGCAAGAGAGGTCAAGGTTGCAGTGAGCCCTGATCACATCACTGCATTCCAGCCTGGGTGACAGAGTGAGAGTTTGTCTCAAAAAAAGTAAAAATAAAAATACGAAATAAAAACCAATTGGTTGTTTCAAAGTTACTTTTTTCATAGGGTCTGTTTTAACCCCCTCTATTTTGAGGGTACTTCCCTATCAGGTTAACCGGTCCCCTTTGGCTTGGTGGCTGTGAATGTTTTTTTTTGAAAACCTGCACCCTTTAAAGTTCAGTTTGAGGCCAGGTACGGGTGGCTCTCACCTGTAATCTCAGCACTTTGGGAGGCTGAGATGGGGAGATCGCTTAAGCCTAGGAGTTTGAGAACATCCTGGGCAACATAGTGAGACTCTGTCTCCAAAAAAAAAAATTTTTTTTTTTTGGAGACAGAGTCTTGCTCTTGTCACCCAGGCTGGAGTGCAATGGCATGATCTCGGCTCACTGCAACCTCCACCTCCTGGGTTCAAGCAATTCTCTGCCTCCCGAGTAGCTGGGATTACAGGCACCCGCCACCATGCCCAGCTAATGTTTGTATTTTTAGTAGAGACCTGGTTTCACCATCTTGGCCAGGCTGGTCCTGAACTCCTGACCTCGTGATCCACCCACCTCGACCTCCCAAAGTGCTGCAGTTACAGGCGTGAGCCACGGCACCCAGCCAAAAAAATTTTTAATAATTAGCCACATGTGCTGGCACACACCTGTAGTCCCAGCTCCTCGGGAGGCTGAGGCAGGAGAATGGCTTGCATCCAGGAGTTCAAGTCTGCAGTCAGCCATGATTGCGCCACTGCACTCCAGTGTGGGCAACGGAGCGAGACCCTATTTCAAAAAATAAAAAAAATAAAAGATCAGTTTGACTACGTGGTACCTGGCACTAGTGACTCCATTCCAATTTTATCTGGTCTGCTGGGGACTAGAGACCCCATTGTCTAAAACAATGGCCTGCCATACATTTTATTTAACAAGGCCAGGCGCGGTGGCTCATGCCTGTAATCTCAGCACTTTGGGAGGCCGAGGCGGGCAGACCACCTGAGGCCAGGAGTTCGAGACCAGCCTGGCCAAAATGGCAAAAACCTGTCTCTCCAAAAAGTACAAAAATTAGCCAGGCGTGGTGGTGTACGCCTGTAATCCCAGCTACTTGGGAGGCTGAGGCACGAGAATCGCTTGAACCCAGGAGGCAAAGGTTGCAGTGAGCTGAGATCACACCACTGCACTCCAGCCTGGGCGACAGAGCAAGACTCCGTCTCCAAAAAAAACCCCCCAAAATTGTAATTTAACAAGACAACCTATACAGCAGTGTTTCTCCAACTCTGCACTAGATATTTGGGGCCAGATCACTCTCTGTTGCAGGGGGTTGGAGTCAGGAGGTGCTGTCCATTACAGGGTATTGAGCAGCATCCTCGGTCTCCACCCACTCCATGCCACGAGCATCCCAGCCTCATACTTATTTTTTATTTTATTTTTATTTTTAGTTGAGGCGGGTCTCGCTCTGTGGCCCAGGCTGCAGTGCAGTGGCGTGATCTCGGCTCATTGCAACCTCCGCCTCCCGGGTTCCAGCGATTCTCCTGCCTCACTCTCCCGAGTAGCTGGGATTACAGGCACTTGCCACCATGCCCGGCTAAGTTTCTGTATTTTTAGTAGAGACAGGGTTTTGCCATGTTGGCCAGGCTGGTCTTGAACTCCTGACCTCAAATGATCTGCCCGCCTTGGCCTCCCACGTTGCTGGGATTACAGGCGTCAGCCACCGCGTCCGACCCCGGCCCCCTAGTTATGAAAACCAAGTATGTCTCCAGAGATTGCCACATGTCACCAGAGGGGCAAAATTGCCCCAATTGGAGAATAACTTCCTCCTGACCTAGAACTGGCCCGGTCTTCCTTCTGCCTGGGGAACTCCTCCTTTTTACACATCTCACCTTGGGGGTTTGGCTCAGCCTCTGCCAGAGACCCCAGTAAATCACACACTGAGAATCTAATGCCCTTTCCAGCCTACTGAGGACACCAGGGGAAAGAGCCCACCTGCCTCCAACAGCCAACATTCACTCGCTATTATTCCCCTCTTACCAGATAGACCCCCAGCCTTAGAACCCAGGCAGGAAGCCTGGCATGGTGGCTCACACCTGCAATCCCAGCCACTCTGGGAGGCTGAGACAAGAAAATGGCTTGAGCCCAGGAGTTTGAGACCAGCCTGGGCAACATAGCAAGACCCAACTCTACAATACTCTACAGTTTTTTTTTTTTTTTTTTTTTTGGAGACAGAGTCTTTCTGTCCCCCAGGCTGGAGTGCAGTGGCCCAATCTTGGCTCACTGCAACCTCCTCCTCCTGGGTTCAAGAGATTCTCCTGCCTCAGCCTCCTGAGTAGCTGGGATGACAGGCATGCGCCACCATGCCTGGCTAATTTTTGTATTTTTGTAGAGTTTCCTCATGTTGGCCAGGCTGGTCTTGAACTCTGGACCTCAAGTGATCTGCTCACCTCGGTTTCGCAAAGTGCTGGGATTACAGGTGTGAGCCACTGCACCCGGCCCCTACAAAAAAATTTTTTTAATTAGTTGGTCGTGGTGGCGTGCATCTGTATCCCCAGCTACTTGGGAGGCCGAGTCAAGGAGATGGCTTAAGCCCAGGAGGTGGAGGCTGCAGTGAGCTATGATTGCACCATTTCACTCCAGCCTGGATGACAGCGCAAGACTCTCTCTCTCTTTTTTTTTTTTTTTGGCAGGGGGGACAGGGTCTCACCCTGTCACCCAGATTGCAGTGCAGTGGCTTGATCTCGGCTTACTACAACCTCCACCTCCCAGGGTCAAGTGATTCTCCTGCCTCAGCCTCCCGAGTAGCTGGGATTACAGGCGTGCGCCACTACGGCCCAGCTAATTTTTGCTAGAGACGGGGTTTCACCATGTTGGCCAGGCTGGTCTTGAACTCCTGACCTCAAATGATCCGCCCACCTCGGCCCTGCAAAGTGCTGGGATTACAGGCGTGAGACACCGTGCCCAGCTGCAAGACTCTTTCTCAAAACAAACAACAAATAAACCAGCCAGGCAAGAGGGAGCTAAGCAGTGACTGCGTATTTAGAGGACTGATACTGTTTTCCTTCCTCATAAAGGGAGGAATATAAAATATAAAGACAGATGGTAAAGCACAATGGGAAATAAATAATACTACAGGAGGCGGGGCCAGAGGGGAGAAGGATGATTGAGGTTTGGGTGGGAAATGGGGTCACTTTTTTTTTTTTTTGAGACAGAGTCTTGCTCTGTAGCCCAGGCTGAAGTGCACGATCTCAGCTCTCTGCAACCTCCGCCTCCTGGGTTCTTGTGATTCTCCTGCCTGAGCCTCCTGAGTAGCTGGGACTACAGGCATGTGCCACAACGCCCGGCTAATTTTTGTGTTTTTAGTAGAGACGGGGTTTCACCATGTTGGACCAGGCTGGTCTCGAACTCCTGATCTCAGGTGATCTGCCAGCCTCGGCCTCCCAAAGTGCTGGGATTACTGGTATGAGCCACCACGCCCGGCCGGGTCACTTTTCCTATTCTCCACCCTCAGACTGATCTGAAACCGCCCCCCCGCTCCGCATCAACTTCTCACTGACCACCGGCCTTGGCCACTGGCTGACCAGATCCCCCAACTAGCCCCTTACTGGAGGCCCTGCGGGGTCCCGCCCCCAACCCCATCGCGCTGCCCCTCTGGGCACTTCCATCCCCACATACCCCCATACCCAGCCTTTGCCCGTGCTGTTCCATCCGCCAGGAGCGCCGTTTCCTGCCTGACTGCGCGGCCCTGGGCCTCAGTCTTGCGCTCTGCAAACCGGGGTCTCGAATCTACCCCAGCCCTCCTGTCTCGGCGCTGGGGAGGGGCTTCGGGTGCCCAGAGCCATCCCCGCGGGACCCCCAGGGACTGGACTCCAAGTCCCAGAAAGCCCCGCGCTTCCCGTGGGTGGGGCCCGGGGCTTTCCCCCTCCCAGCGCGCAGTTTGGGAGGCGCTGGGCAATTTTCAAATTTTGGCGCCGAACGGGAGGGGCGGTGACAGCTGAGACCGTGGTCCCCCCGGGGGCACCCACGCCCAGGCTGCTGCTGGCAGCTGCGCCCAGAGCCCGAGGTCTGGGGCATCCCGCAAAGCTGCCCCGTCCATTCCGAGGGGCCTCCCAAGGCACCACACGCGCCAGGGGGCTCCGGGCCCATTTCCATTATGGAAAACTGAGGCACAGGAAGGTTAGGGACCGGTCGGGGAATCCGCACCAGGGGCGTAGCGGAGGCGGGATTCGAACGCGGGACCCTCTTTCCCCCGGGAGCTAGAAATTAGTGACCAATTGGCTGGGCGCGGTGGCTCACGCCTGTAATCCCAACTTTGGGAGTCCGAGGCGGGCGGATCACCTGAGGTCAGGAGTGCGAGACCAGAATGACCACCATGGCGAAACCCCGTCTCCACTTAAAAAAAAAAAAAAAAAAATTAGCCGGGCGTGGTGGCAGGCGCCTGTGACCCCAGCTACTCGGAAGGCTGAGGCAGGAGAATCGCTTGAACCCAGGAGGCGGAGGTTGCAGTGAGCCAAGATCGCGCCATTGCACTCCAGCCCGGGCTACAAAAGCGAACCTTCGTCTGAAAAAAAAAAAAAGAAAAGAAAAGAAAAGAAAGTTAGTGACCAACTGCTGTCTGCTTTTGGGGAGAGGGTACGGGGCCGCGGGAGAGAAATCCCGGACCCTGGGACTATGCAGCCCGTGAGGGCCCCAGTCCCGACCCGTCCATTCCACTGACCTCCACCCGGCACCGCCACTCCCACCCGGGGAGTGGATTTTGGCGCCAGATTTTAAAAATCTCAGCCTAACGGCTGTGGCTGGCTCCCAGCCCGGAATGCGAGCCTGGAGCCCGGATTCCGGAACCTGGATCTGGAGGAGCCCGGATTCCAGAGCCTGGTTCTGAGGGAGCTCGGATTCCGGAGCCTGGATCTCGGGGAGCCCGGATTCCGGAACCTGGATCTGAGGGAGCTCGGATTCCGGAGCCTGGATCTCCAGGAGCCCGGATTCCGGAACCTGGATCTCAGGGAGCCCGGATTCGGAGCTTGGGTCTGAGGGAGCTCGGATTCTGAAGCCTGGATCTCGGGGAGCCTGAATTCTGGAGCCTGGATTCTGGGCTGTGGGTCTTGGGAAGCCGAATTCTGGAACATAGATTCCAGAACTTGAAGGCCAAACCTGGTATCTAAGATCAGAATTCAGGACCCTGGAGTTGGAACCTTGTGACCCCAACAGAAATCCGGGAGGCAAGCAGAGCTCTGGGGCCGTGGCTGGCAGCTGCCTGTTAAATGAGTGAATGGAACAGTGAAATCAACACATATTTGCGTGGCTTCTACTTTGTGGCAGGCACTGGGGGGACAGAGGGGAAGCGAGTACACATTATAAATAAGTGAATTAGGTAGGGCGCAGTGGTTCACACCTGCTATCCCAGCATTTAGAGAGGCCGAGGCAGAAGGATTGCTTGAGGCCAGGAGTTCGAGACCAGCCTGGACAACATAGTGAAAGCCCATCTCTACAAAATATACAAAAATTAGCTAGGCGTGGTGACTCATGCCTGCAGTCCCAGCTACTTGGGAGGCTCAGGTGGGAGGATCACTTGAGCCCAGAAGGTAGAGGCTGCAGTGAGCAGAGATTGAGTCACTGCCCTCCAGCCTGGGTGACAAGAGTAAGACCCTGTCTCAAAAATAAATAAATAGGGCTGGGCTTGGTGGCTCACACCTGTAATCCCAACACTTTGGGAGGCCGAGGCGGGCAGATCACCTGAAGCCAAGAGTTTGAGACCAGCCCAGCCAACACAGTGAAACCCTATCTCTATTAAAAATACAAAAATTAGCCGGGCATGAGGGAGCACGCTTGTAATTTCAGCTACTTAGGAGGCTGAGGCACGAGAATTGCTTGAACTCGGGAGGCGGAGGTTGCAGTGAGCCGAGATTATGCCACTGCACTCCAGCCTGGGTGATGGAGTGAGACTCTGTCTCAAAAATAAATAAATAAATAAATAAATAAGTGAATTGTATGGCATGCTAGAGGATGGTGAGCATGAGGAAGAAAGAAAGTGGGGTAAATGCTGGGGCATGTGTGGAGTAGGGGTAGAGGTGGGCCTCTTAGAAAAGGGCAAGACAGGGTCTCGCTATGTTGCCCAGGCTGGTCTCAAACTCCTTGGCTCAAGTCATCTGCCTGCCTTGGCCTCCCAGAGTGCTGGAATTACCGGCATGAGCCACCGTGCCCAGCTTATATTCACTTTTCTTATCTCACAGTTTCTGTGGGTCAGGAATCCAGATGTGGCTTAACTTTGGCATCCTCTGTCTCAGGGCTCTGAAAGGTGGCAACCAAGGTGTCTCTGGGGCAGAGTCCACTTCTAGACTCACTCACACGTGGTCAGAAGGATTCTGTTCCTTGCAGACTGTTAGACCAAGAGCCTCAAATCCTGGCCCACTGCTGTCCAGGGCCTGCCTCCGTTCATCAGGAGGAGCTGGGGGTGAATTAGTCAGGGTTCTCCAGAGAAACAGAACCAGCAGGAGGGGAGAGAGAATAAGAGATTTTTTTTTTTTTTTTGAGACAGAGTTTTGCTCTTGTTGCCCAGGCTGGAGTGCAATGATGCAATCTCGGCTCACCACAATCTCTGCTTCCCGGGTTCAAGCGATTCTCCTGCCTCAGCCTCCCCAGTAGCTGGGATTACAGGCATGCGCCACCACACCTGGCTAATTTTGTATTTCTAGTAGAGATGGGGTTTCTCCATGTTGATTAGGCTGGTCTTGAACTTCCGACTTCAGGTGATCCGCCTGCCTTGGCCTCCCAAAGTGCTGGGATTACAGGCGTGAGCCACCACACTCGGCCAAGAGATTTATTATAAGGTATTGATGCACGGGGGCTGACAAGTCACAACATCTGAAGTCTGCAAGCTGGAGACCCAAGAGAGCCGATGTTCCTTTTTATTTTTATTTTTTTTGAGATGGAGCTTCGCTCTGTTGCCCCAGCTGGAGAGCAGTGGCATGATCTCGGCTCACTGCAACCTCTGCCTCCTGGGCTCAAATGATCCTCCCCCCTTAGCCTCCCGAGTAGCTGGGATTACAGGCATGCGCCATCACGCCCGGCTAATTTTTGTATTTTTAGTAGAGACAGGGTTTCACCATGTTGGAAAGGCTGGTCTCAAACTCCTGACCTCAAGTCTCCTGCCTCCCAAAATGCTGGGATTACAGGCGTGAGCCACCATGCCCGGCTGAGAGCTGATCTTTCTGTTTGAGTCTGAAGACAGGAAAAAGCTGATGTTCCAGTCTGAAGGCCTTCAGGTGGGAGGAATTCTCTGCTCCCCAGGGGAGTGGCAGCCTCTGTATTCCATCCGGGCCTTCAGTGAATTCCGCAAGGCCCACCCGTGCTAGGGAGGGTAGTGGGTTTGAGTGACTCAGTGAGTCTACTGATGCAAAGGGTCAAAGGCTCATCTCATCTAATAACCCCCTCACCGGCATGCACAGAGTAATGTTTGACCAAATATGCAGGCACCCACAGCCCAGCCATGATGGCATATAAAATTAACCACCGGGCGGGGCGCGGTGGCTCACGCCTGTAATCCCAGCACTTTGGGAGGCTGAGGCTGGTGGATCACTTGAGGTCAGGAGTTCAAGACCAGCCTGGCCAACATGGCAAAACCCCGTCTCTACTAAAAAATACATAAATTAGCCAGGCGTGGTGGTAGGTGCCTGTAGTCCCAGCTACTGGGGAGGTTGAGGCATAAGAATCACTTGAACCCATGAGGTGGAGGTTGCAGTGAGCCAAGATTGCACCACTGCACTCCATCCCGGGTGACAGACTGAGACTGAGATTCTGTCACCAAAAAAAAAAAAAAAAAAAAAAAAATTAAGCATCATACAGCCGGGTGCAGTAGCTGCTCATCCTGTGATCCCAGCCCTTTGGGAGGCCAAGGAGGAAGGATCGCTTGAGGCCAGGAGTTCAAGACCAGCCTGGGTAACAGAGCAGGGCCCCATATCTACAAAAAATAAAATTAGCTGAAAGCGCCTTTGCAAAAGTTCTATCAGTGAGAAAAAAAAATTTTTTTTTTTTGAGACGGAGTCTCGCTCTGTCGCCCAGGCTGGAGTGCAGTGGCACAATCTCGGCTCACTGCAACCTCCGCCTCCCGGGTTCAAGCGATTCTGCTGCCTCAGCCTCCCAAATAGCTGGGACTACAGGCACGCGCCACCATGCCCAGCTAAGTTTTGTATTTTTAGTAGAGATGGGGTTTCACCATGTTGGCCAGGATGGTCTCGATCTCATGACCTCGTGATCCGCCCGCCTTGGCCTCCCAAAGTGCTGGAATTACAGGCGTGAGCCACCACGTCCAGCCGAGAAAATTATAACAGTAGGCTAAACTAACTAACCCCCATCTTGCCTTAATTATTCCTGGGCTATTGGGCCCAGCTAACTTGGGAAGACATTTAGGCTACAGTTTAAGTGATAGTAGACCTTGCACAAAACCCAACAGCTTTTGTCAAGCTAACCTGAGGCCTTCAGGTTGAGGGAGGAGGGGAGCCTGACATCTGTTAAGGTGCAAACGTTATTCTGGAGGTTATAAGATATGCAGCTTCCAGGCCAGGTGCGGCGGCTCACGCCTGTAATCCCAGCACTTTGGGAGGCCAAGGCGGGTGGATCACTTGAGGCCAGGAGTTCAAGACCAGCCTGGCCAACATGGTGCAACCCCATCTGTACTAAAAATACAAAAATTAACCAGGCTTGGTAGCCCATGCCTGTAGTCCCAAATACTTGGGAGGCTGAGGCAGGAGAATCGCTTGAACCTGGGAGGCAGAGGTTGCAGTGAGCCGAGATCTCACCACTGCACTCCAGCCTGGGCGACAAAGCGAAACTCAGCATGCAAAAAAACAAAAAAAAAACAAAAAAAAAACAAAAAAAAAGAGATGTGGTTCCCCCAATTACTCCTGCAAATAACACCATTATTGTAGTTTGGCCTTTTGAGATGTCTTTCCACGTGTTTTGCATGTCTGACACCCGTGGCTCCACCTGGACTGACAACCCTGCTCCTGAGGTTCCACACAGAAGCGATCTGGCCGGCAGGAGGACCCCTGCAACCTGCTGTGAGTCCATCTCTGCCCCCAACCAACCAGCAGCAAGCACCTGTTTACCTGGCCCACTCCCACTCCTTCCCACAAAACTGCCCTTGAAAAACCCCTAACCTAGGCTGGGCGTGGAGGCTCACGCCTGGAATCTCAGCACTTTGGGAGGCTGAGGTGAACGGATCACCTGAGGTTAGGAGTTCGAGACCAGCTTGGCCAACATGGTGAAACTCCATCTCCACCAAAAAAAAAAAAAAAAAAATTAGCTGGATGTGGTGGCGTGCACCTGTAATCCCAGCTATTCAGAAGGCTGAGGCGGGAGAACCTCCTGAACCCAGGAGGCAGAGGTTGCGAATTGCTTGAACCCAGGAGGCAGAGGTTGCAGTGAGCTGAGGTGGCGCCACTGCACCCCAGCCTTGGTGACAGAGCGAGACTCGTCGCAATAAAGAAAAACCTCTAACCTATGAGGTTTGAACAAGTTGATTTATGAATTCCATCTCCCACGTGGCGTGGCCAGCCTCATGTCTATTAAACTCTTTCTCTACTACAATGCTGTGGTCTCTTTCTCTTTCGTTGTTTCCTTTCTTTTCTTTTTTTTTTTTTTGAGACAGTCTCACCCTGTTGCCCAGGCTGGAGTGCAGTGGCTCAATCTCAGCTCACTGCAATCTCCGCCTCCCGGGTTCAAGCGATTCTCCTGCCTCAGCCTCCCGAATAGCTGGGATTACAGGCGCCCGCCACCACTATGCTCGGCTAATTTTGTATTTTTAGTAGAGACGGGGTTTCTCCATGTTGGCCAGGCTGGTCTCGAACTCCCGACCTCAGGTGATCTGCCCACCTCGGCCTCCCAAAGTGCTGGGATTACAGGTGTGAACCACCGCGCCCAGCCTCTATTTTTTTTTTTTTTTTAAGTAAAATACTTTGTTAGACTGGGGGTCTCCCTATGTTGCCCAGGCTGGTCTCAAACTCCTGGACTCAAGGAATCCTCCCACTTTGGCCTCCCAAAGTGCTGGGATTACAGGCGTGAGCCCCTGCACCCAGTCACGTGGTCTTTCTTTATGCAGTGGGCAGGAAGAACCCCTGCATAGCGGGGTGTGGTGGCCCATGCCTGCAATCCCAGCTATTTGGGAGGCTGAGATGGGAAGATTCCTTAAGTCAGGAGTTCAAGGCTGCAGTGAGCTGCGATGTCACTGCATTCAAGCCTGGGCAATAGAGCGAAGCCCATCTCTAAGAAAAAAAAAAAAAAAAAAATTAACCACCCTGGGGGATCACTGGAGCCAGGCCCGAAGCTGCCCACCATGCTAGCATTGTCTGCAATGCCTGCTGCCGGGGGTTCCAGCTGTTCCGATGTCTGTGAGCAAGTGTGTAAGTTGTAAAATACTCAGTGCAAGGCGAATGATTCCTGTCCATTGTGTAGCAAGAAATTTTGCCTCGACCAGAGAGAGATCTGGCTTTTGTTTCAGCCACTGGGAGGTGACTCTTAGGCCCCAGGAATGTCCTGCCTGATGGATATACCGTTCTGTTTTTTTTTTTTTTTTGAGACAGAGTCAGAGTCTCACTCTGTCTCCCAGGCTGGAGTGCAGTGGTGCGATCTCAGCTCACTGCAAGCTCCGTCTCCCGGGTTCAAGCGATTCTCGTGCCTCAGCCTCTCGGAGTAGCTGGGATTACAGGCGCCTTCCGCCACACCCAGCTAATTTTTGCATTTTTAGGAGAGAGGGGGTTTCACCATGTGGGCCAGGCTGGTCTCGAACTCCTGACCTCAAGTGATCCATTCGCCTTGGCCTCCCAAAGTGTTGGGATTACAGGTGTGAGTCACCGCGTCCGGCATTCGAGTGGCTTTCGAGGTCACTACAGTAGGGGAGGTGTACGGAGCACTTTCTATGCCAAGCCCATTCTAGGTCCTTGTTTTGGGTAAACATTTCCACAACCTGACTTTTCCCATGAAAAGAGGGAGTTTCAGGGAGGCTAAGCCACCAACCCAAGGACACACAGCTGATGACGGCTGCAGGTGGGATTTGAACCAGGCAAACGTGACCTCAGACAGAGCCTCTCCTTCTCCCTCTCTCTGCGAGGCATAGTCCCAGACCTGCCAGCCTCTTGCTGTGCACAGTTTCCCTGCCCCTCCCCTGCCACTGTCCTCAGAATTTCCCAAATGTGCCTCAGCCTTCGCCGTAGCCTCCGCTGCCACCTGGCGTGGTGATCCCACCTCCTCCCACCCCAGGCCTGTCTTACAAATGTCTGCAAGTTCAAATGATGACTCAGCTCCATCCCGAAACCTCTCCTTGGGGACAGGAGTCATGTCTTGCTCGTTTTGTTCATCTTTGCAGAAAAACATGATGTCAGAGCCCAGCCGCTGCCAATCACTTCCTGGCTACATCCGGAGTGACACGCAGACCCCTCCCCGCAGCCCCCAAAGCCCGTCTCTGTGAGCTCATCTTCCCGGCTCTCCCTCTTGCTTACTCTGTTCCACCCCCAGGGCCTCCTTGGGATTCCTCAAATGCAACAGGTGAGGTCCTGCGTCAGGGCCTTTTCAAACACTGTGCCTGCTGCCTGGGACCTCTGCCCCCAGAGCCCCTTGAACCTGACTTTTTACCGTTTTTTTTTTTTGAGACAGAGTCCTGCTCTGTTGTCCAGGTGGGGTGCAGTGGCATGATCTCGGCTCACTGCAATGTCTACCTCCCAGGCTCAAGTGAGTCTCCTGACTCGGCCTCCTGAGTAGCTGGGATTACAGGCATCTGCCACCACGCCTGGCCAACTTTTTGTATTTTTAGTAGAGACGGGGTTTCGCCATGTTGTCCGGGCTAGTCTCGAACTCCTGACCTCAAGTGATCTGCCCTCCTTGGCCTTCCAAAGTGCTGGGATCACAGGCATGAGCCACTGCACCCAGCCCGCCCCCACTTTTTTTTTTCTTTTTGAGGCAGGGCCTTGTTTTGTCGCCCAGGCTGGAGTGCAGTGGTGCGATCATAGCTCACTGCAGCCTCAAACTCCTGGGCTCAAGTGATCCTCCTGCTTTAGCCTCCCGAGTAGTTGGGACTACAGGTGTGCCCATCAGACCTGGCTAATTTTTAAAAAATTATTTGTGGCTGCGTGCGGTAGCTCACACCTGTAATCCCAGCACTTTGGGAACTCGAGGCGGGTGGATCATGAGGTCAGGAGTACGAAACCAACCTGGCCAAGATGTGAAACCCCATCTCTACTAAAAATTAGCCGGGCGCAGTGTAATCCCAGCTACTTGGGAGGCTGAGGCAGAAGAATCACTTGAACTCGGGAGGCAGAGGTTGCAGTGAGCTGAGATTGTGCCACTGCACTCCAGCCTGGGAGACAGAGAGAGACTTCGTCTCAAAAAAAAAAAAAAAAAAAAAGGCCAGGCGTGGTGGGTAACACCTGTAATCCCAGCATTTTGGGAGGCCGAGGTGGGCGGATCACGAGGTCAGGAGATCGAGACCATCCTGGCTAACACGGTGAAACCCCATCTCTACTAAAAATACAAACAATTAGCCGGGCGAGGTGGCGGGCGCCTGTAGTCCCAGCTACTCTGGAGGCTGAGGCAGGAGAATGGCGTGAACCTGGGAGGCGGAGCTTGCAGTAGCCGAGATCACACCACTGCACTCCTGGGTGACAGAGCCTGGGTGACAGAGCGAGACTCCGTCTCAAAAAAAAAATTATTTGTAGAGATGGGAGTCTTGCCAGGTTGCCCAGGCTGGTCTCGAACTCCTGAGCTCAAGCGATCCTCCCCACTTGGCCCCCAAGGGGCTGAGATTACAGGCATGAGTCTACCCTTAGAGACAGAGGCTGCACGAAGTCATGATCACACCACTGCACTCCAGCCTGGGCAATACAGGGAGACCTTGTCTCAAAAAAGAAAAAGAGAAAGGAACTAATCTCATTAGAAGACTCCACTCTCATGAGCTCATCTGACCCTAATCACTTCAAAGCCCCCCCGCAACACCGTGCCCAGCCTGCAGTACGTTTTTTTATTTTTTATTTTTATTTACTTATTTTTTTGAGATGGAGTCTTGCTCTGTCACCCAGGCTGGAGTGCAGTAGCGCGATCTCGGTTCACTGCAAGCTCCACCTCCTGGGTTCACACCATTCTCCTGCCTCAGCCTCCTGAGTAGCTGGCACTACAGGCGCCCGCCACCACGCCCGGCTAATTTTTTGTATTTTTAGTAGAGACAGGGTTTCACTGTGTTAGCTGGGATGGTCTCGATCTCCTGACCTCGTGATCTGCCCACCTCAGCCTCCCAAAGTGCTGGGATTACAGGCGTGAGCCACCACACCCGGCCACATTTTTTTTTTAACTCTGAATGAATGCAAAAACCTCTATGCTGGATAAAATTTTAAAAATTTATTTTGTTTAAAGCCAAATACGGTGACTCACGCCTGTAATTCCAACACTTTGGGAGGCCGAGGCAGGCAGATCATTTGAGGTCAGGAGTTCGAGATCAGCCTGGCCAACATGGCAAAACCCTGTCTCTACTAAAAATACAAAAAATTAGCTAGGTGTGGTGGAGGGCGCCTGTAGTCCTAGCTACTTGAGAAGCTGAGGCAGGAGAGTCACTTGAACCCAGGAGGTGGAGGTTGCAGTGAGCTGAGATTGCGCCACTGCACTCCAGTCTGGGTGACAGAGCGAGATTCTGTCTAAAAAAAAAAAAAAAAAAAAAGATTATGACAGGATTACTCATACTGATTATTCCTCTCACCTCAGGCTCCAAGATGGCCTCGGCGACACTGTTATTGATCTCATTTTTTATTTTATTTTATTTTTAGACACAGGGTCTCCCTCTGTTGCCCAGGCTGGAGTGCAGCGACACAATCATAGCTCACTGCAGCCTCAAACTCCCAGGCTCAAGTGATCCTCCCACCTCAGCCTCTCACGTAGCTGGGACTACAGGTGCGCACCACCACGGTCGGCTAATTTTTAAAATTTTTGTAGAGATGGGGTCTCCCTATGTTGCCCAGGCTGGTCTCAAACTCCTGGGCTCAAGCAATCCTCCTGCCTCGGCCTCCAAAAGTGCTGGGATTACAGAGGTGAGTTCTGGCGCCCAGCCCAAAGATAATAGCACACATTTCCTGAGTGCTTACCTGATTCTGGGAATTTCCTCCTTCAATGCCTGTGATGAAGCCTTTGTGTGACTGTTCCCATCTTACAGAGAAAGAAACTGAGGCTGGAGCTCATTTTCTTTTTTTTTTTTTTTTTGAGAAAGAGTCTCACTCTTGTTGTCCAGGCTGGAGTGCAGTGGCACGATCTCGGCTCATTGCAACCTCCACCTCCCGAGTTCAAGCGATTCTCCTGCCTCAGCCTCCTGAGTAGCTGGGACTACAGGCATGCGCCACCATGCCTGGCTAATTTTTATATTTTTAGTAGAGATGGAGTTTCACCATGCTGGCCAGGCTGGTCTTGAACTCCTGACCTCGGGTGATCCACCCGCCTCGGCCTCCCAACATGCTGGGATTACAGGCATGAGCCACCACGCCTGGCCCGGCTGGAGCTCATTTTCTGAGCTCAAAGGCACAGAGCTCAGAGTCTCTTGAAGATATTCCAAGATACTCCAGATATTCTAAGATGCCTGGAGCCAGGGCTGGAAAAAGGAGGCACAGGTGGGCTTGGGGTCTAGAAAGAGAAGCCTGGAGGGTGGAGGACCATGGGGGTCCAGGCAGTCAGTCTGGGAGAAAACAAGGCCAAGTCAGTGTTGACAGAGGAGTAGGGTTTTCCTGCTGAAGACCAGAGGAAGACAGCATCCCAGGCGGAGGAAACAGCTGACAAAGGCTGGGCCTCTCGCAGAGGAGGTTGTTATGGCTGGCACGGGGGACACACGGAAGAAGGACTTGGACACATATTCTCTGAGGCCCTGCTTTGCTCGCCTTATTTTATTTATTTTATTTGCTTTATTTTTGACACAGTGTCTCGCTCTGTCTCCCAGGCTGGAATGCAGTGGTGCAATCTCGGCTCACTGCAACCTCCACCTCCCGGGTTCAAGCGATTCTCCTGCCTCAGCCTCCCGAGTAGCTGGGATTATAGGCATGTGCCACCATGCCCAGGTAATTTTTGTATTTTTTGTAGAGACGGGGTTTCACCATGTTGGCCAGGTTGGTTTTGAACTCCTGACCCCAGATGATCCACCTGCCTCAGCCTCCCAAAGTGCTGGGATTACAGGCATGAGCCACCGTGCCCAGCCCTTATTTTATTTATTTATTTGAGACGGGGTCTCACTCTGTTGCCCAGGCTGGAATGCAACTGTGCAATCCCGGCTCACTGCAGCCAGGAACCCCTGGGCTCAAGTGATCCTCCTGTCTCAGCCTCCGGAGTAGCTGGGTGCACACAACACACCCCATTCTTTCTTTCTTTTTTTTTTTTTTAAAGACTGAGTCTCACTCTGTCACTCAGGCTGGAGTGCAGTGGCACGATCTCGGCTCACTGCAATCTCGGCTTACTGCAACCTCTGCCTCCCAAGTTCAAGCAATTCTCCTGCCTCAGCCCCCAGAGTAGCTGGGATTACAGGCATGTGCCACCACGCCCGACTGATTTTGTATTTTTAGTAGAGATGGGGTTTCTCCAGGTTGGTCAGGCTGGTCTTGAATTCCCAGCCTCAGGTGATCCTCCTGCCTCAGACTCCCCAAGTGCTGGGATTACAGGAGTGAGCTACCGTGCCCGGCCTTTTTGTTTGTTTGTTTGTTTGTTTGTTTGTTTTGGGGAGGATGGAGTCTCTCTCTGTCACCATGCCATGTGCAGTGGCATGATCTCGGCTCACTGCAACCTCCACCTCCTGGGTTCAAGTGATACTCCTGCCTCAGCCTCCTGAGTAAGCTGGGATTACAGGCGCGTGCCACCACGCCCAGCTAATTTTTGTGTTTTTAGTAGAGACAGGGTTTCACCATGTTGGTCAGGCTGGTCTCGAACTGACCTCACGATCTGCCCGCCTCAGCCTCCTAATGTGCTGGGATTACCCAGCCTGCAATACTTTTTAAAAATCAAAATCAATGCCCAAGTATCCATGAGGAACAAAATATCAAAATTGTAAATAAAGACAGAATCTGACTTTGCACTTATCCCACCCACCTCCCTGATCTTCCTTATCTTCAGCTCATGTTGGCCATGTTGGTCAGGTTGGTCTCGAACTCCTGACCTCAGTTGATCCGCCCGCCTCGGACTCCCAAAGTGCTGGGATTACAGGCGTAAGCCACCGCGCCCGGCCGATTTAACTTTTAAATTGAAATTATAAAATATAAATATGTATGTTGCATGCGTAAAACATTGCATAAAGTTACATAAAACGTTGCAACCGCCACGGTCCCCTTATCCCCCGCCTCCAGCCCAGTGCCCCGCCCGTCCGTCCCTCTCTTCCGGCGCTGAGGGCGCAGAAACTCGGCGCGGCCACCAGATGGCGCCACCGCGCCTCGCAGCCCCGGGACATTTCGTGCCCCAGCGGTGGGCGGCGCGGAGGAGGTGGGATGCGTCAGCCGGACCCGCGGGCCGGGGAGCCGGGCAACTGGGGAAAGTGAGCCGCCGGGCGGAGGCCAGACCCCAGGCTGGCGGGGGAGGGGACTCAGATGTGAGTCACCCGGGAGCCCCCAGTCGACCGTGGGAGACGTTGTCATGCGGGGCCTGCCAGCCTCGCTCCTGAACAGCCTTCCCGGGGCGGCGGAGTCCTGCAGGCGGCCGTGCCTGGCGCACACGCGTGGCTCCAACACGAACTAGCCTATGGCCTCACCAAGCCTCAGTTTCCCCTTTTGCATAATGCACATAAGCATCCCCCCTGCTTCCCAGGTCTTGGATTAAATCATCCATGAATCCGGAGGGGTGGGGGGTACCAGGTCCGCACCACGCACTCAATGCAGGTCAGCGCCCACCCCGGAGTGAGAAATAAAAGTAGCCGTCATCCTTGCACGTGGGCCCTGGGTGGCGGCGTGCAGCCGGAGCCTGCACCATTCCCCTCAACAATGGCTTTCTCCAGGGCCTGGAGGCCTCCGCACGGGCAAAGGCTGGAACGCCAGGCAGCCGGCGGGGGCGGGGCCGCGCCACCTGCACCTCCCACGCGCACCCCACCCTGATACTCGCGGGGTCGGCGAGGAGGCGCCCACTTTCTTCTCCAGAGCGCCCCGGGCTTTGCAACCTCCCACTTTCGGGGCCCTCGAGGAGGCCTCCCGCGACCACCAGGTGACAGCTGATGTGTATTGGGCTCTTACTGTCAGCCGTATTTTATGCCATGCTCTGCAAACCAGCGAGGCCGGCGCTGCAGACCCATTACTCAGACGGGAACAGAGAGGCCGGGAGAAGCGAAATCACCCAGGGGCTGGGGTCGTCGCAGCCAGGAGAGACTCCGGCCCTCACCACCACCTGGGCGAGATCACGCTGCAAACGGGGCCCCTTCCCGGTGCAGCCCCTCCACCCCCAGCAGAACTTGGGAAAGGCGCGGTCCGGGACTCTCCGCGGATCGGGAGGGGATTCCAGGCCCCCCCGAAAGTCCGGGCCGCCTCGCGCGCTGGAAATCCCGCGCGCGCCCCGAACCGCGGCTCGGCTGCCGGGAAATCAGGAGAAAAAAACTTCTGCTTTTTTTTCTTTTCTGGCATTCGCGGTCACCTACCCGGCCCCCGCGCGCCCTCCTCCCGGTTCTCGCCCCCACGTGGGGCGCCCCCGCACGCCGCTCCTCCCCCTCCCCTCCGTCGGCCAACCGCAGAGCTAGCTGCACTCGCCCTTGTCTTTCCACCAATAGGAGGGGCGAATGACTCCACTGAGGCCACGCCCAATGTTCAAGTCTATAAAAGTCGGTGCCGGAGGCTCCCAGCTCAGATCGCCGAAGCGTCGGACTACCGTTGGTTTCCGCAACTTCCTGGATTATCCTCGCCAAGGACTTTGCAATATATTTTTCCGCCTTTTCTGGAAGGATTTCGCTGCTTCCCGAAGGTCTTGGACGAGCGCTCTAGCTCTGTGGGAAGGTTTTGGGCTCTCTGGCTCGGATTTTGCAATTTCTCCCTGGGGACTGCCGTGGAGCCGCATCCACTGTGGATTATAATTGCAACATGACGCTGGAAGAGCTCGTGGCGTGCGACAACGCGGCGCAGAAGTAAGTAGCCGGGGCTGCCGCCGCCTGAGGTCAGCCGGGACGGGATGGGTCGGGTTGGGCCGGGCCGGGAGCGGAACGTAGCACCCGGTGGTCCGCCCGTCACTGATCCCTCTTTCCTGGTCTCAGGATGCAGACGGTGACCGCCGCGGTGGAGGAGCTTTTGGTGGCCGCTCAGCGCCAGGATCGCCTCACAGTGGGGGTGTACGAGTCGGCCAAGTTGATGAATGTGTGAGTCAGACCCCCTTCCCGGGCTGGGCGCGGGTGGGACGGGACCTCCCCTCCGCTCTGGACGCTTTCCGCACGCTTGTCTTGCATGGAGCTGGGACTTCCCCAAGTGCCCCCCGCTGTGGATGCAGAGCTTCTCTGCCGTTTTGTGGATCGGGGGCTGCCGTATCCTGATGTATCGTCTGCAAACACCCCTCCCGCCGTGGGCCTGTCTCCCCCTACCCCATACTTTGAACCGTGTGCCCTCCCCTCCCCCCACCGTCACCAGCTTGCAGAGGCAATCCCCTGCACCCTTGCAGTTTCTCTTTTGCTCTTGCACGCTCCTTTTTTGCAAACTCCCCCTGCACGGTGGCCCCTCCCCTGTCCCCGGCTGACCCATCCCTACCCTTTGGCCCCCTCAGGGACCCAGACAGCGTGGTCCTCTGCCTCTTGGCCATTGACGAGGAGGAGGAGGATGACATCGCCCTGCAAATCCACTTCACGCTCATCCAGTCCTTCTGCTGTGACAACGACATCAACATCGTGCGGGTGTCGGGCATGCAGCGCCTGGCGCAGCTCCTGGGAGAGCCGGCCGAGACCCAGGGCACCACCGAGGCCCGAGACCTGCATTGTCTCCTGGTCACGGTGAGTCGGGCCTCTGCCCTGCCCCGCCACGCCCGGGCACCTGGGCCGGTGTTTGTCAACAAAGTCGGGCTGACTGGTCCTGCACAGCTCAGCGCTCAGCCACGTTTGGCATGTCCCGTGGGCAGCCGGGCTGGGGCCTCCTCACCCAGGAAGCTATTTTGAGCCTGACTGTTTTCCCCACACAGGGGCCCCGGGAGAGGGAGGCTCCACTAAACCCCTTCTTTTCCCTCCTACAGAACCCTCACACGGACGCCTGGAAGAGCCACGGCTTGGTGGAGGTGGCCAGCTACTGCGAAGAAAGCCGGGGCAACAACCAGTGGGTCCCCTACATCTCTCTTCAGGAACGCTGAGGCCCTTCCCAGCAGCAGAATCTGTTGAGTTGCTGCCACAAACAAAAAATACAATAAATATTTGAACCCCCTCCCCCCCAGCACAACCCCCCCAAAACAACCCAACCCACGAGGACCATCGGGGGCAGAGTCGTTGGAGACTGAAGAGGAAGAGGAGGAGGAGAAGGGGAGTGAGCGGCCGCCCCCAGGGCGGAGATCCAGGAGCTGGCGGCCGCCGATCCGATGGAGAAGGGGGGACCCAGGCCAGCAGGAGACAGGACCCCCGAAGCTGAGGCCTTGGGATGGAGCAGAAGCCGGAGTGGCGGGGCACGCTGCCGCCTTCCCCATCACGGAGGGTCCAGACTGTCCACTCGGGGGTGGAGTGAGACTGACTGCAAGCCCCACCCTCCTTGAGACTGGAGCTGGCGTCTGCATACGAGAGACTTGGTTGAACTTGGTTGGTCCTTGTCTGCACCCTCGACAAGACCACACTTTGGGACTTGGGAGCTGGGGCTGAAGTTGCTCTGTACCCATGAACTCCCAGTTTGCGAATTATAGAGACAATCTATTTTGTTACTTGCACTTGTTATTCGAACCACTGAGAGCGAGATGGGAAGCATAGATATCTATATTTTTATTTCTACTATGAGGGCCTTGTAATAAATTTCTAAAGCCTCTGGTTGCTTGTATGTTTTCGGCTTCTAGAACAACTAGGACCCCTGCCCCCTCCCCGGGGACACGCTTCACCCCCCACAACCCCCGCCAGCTCACCAGGAAGTGTTACTTAAGCCCCTGTTAGCAGCTCCAGGCTCCCGTGCAGAAACAGTACCCCTTCTCTCCGCAGCAGGCGCCGCCACCGACTCCAACAAATCTATGCCTCTTTTTTTTTTTCCTTCTCCTCCTACCCTGCAGCAATTAAGAGACCGGTTTATTACGAAACCTGGCCGCCGTGCCACCACTGTTACTGGCTGTGCAGGAGCCAACCCCAAGCTCTGGGCACATATGGAGGCATTTCAGCGGGAGGGGGTGCTGGCTGCAGCCCCTGACCGCCTAGGCGGCCACCGCAGCCCAAGGTCCGGATCGGTCAAGGGGGCACCTGGTACCACACAGCGAGGTGAGCTCAGGGCTTGCAAGGAAGAGCGCTTTTGGAGGCTTCCCCAGGGAGTGCCCCCCCAGCCCACCACAGCCTTCTCCATCCCAGGATAGGCCTCTCTTTTGCACTAAAGAAAAAAACTTTTTTTATTTCCGCAAACTAAAATCAACAAGCAGAAAAATACCCCAGGAAGTCGGCCTCCGGGCCAGCCGGGCTTGGCGCAGTGCTGCGTTTTGCCTGTAAACCGAAACTGCGAGCCCTGGCCAGCCACCTCCTACTTCTCCCAAAGTTGCAGGCGCGGTGGTGACTCCCCCTGCCCCGGGCTGGGAGCGTGGCCCAGCCCTTCCGTGCCCGGCCTCAGTCTTCCCGCCCCGGGTCTGCAGAGTGGGCCCGCCCTGGCCAGGCGCCGGGACGACCTCGGTTCCCCTCTGCCCTGCAGCCCCCAAGCCTGGGAACTAGGGGGGAGTGGGGAGGGGGTGGGGTGGTCCTGCCCGCAGGCCGCGACCTTTCCACGGAGCCTCACGTGGGCGCATGAGGAAAACCCCAGCGGCTCCCTAGGAGTCACGGGGATCGGGGGAGCCCCGACGGGGGAGGGAGAGAGAGAAGGAGGGGGAAGTCCCAGAGGGAGAAGCGGGGAGGGGAGAGGATCCCGCCTGGGGCTAGGAGGAGGGGAGAACTGAAGTGGGGAGAGGGGAGCCCAAGAAGGGGAAGGGGAATCCCCCACAGCCCTGAACCAACAGGGAAACCCCGGGAGGGGGGTAGACAGGTAGGAGTCCCGAAGGGGTTGGGGGAGGGGAGAATGGAGGCGAAGAGGCGGGAGCCCCGAGGGGGTAGGGGGTGATGGAGTGGGGATCCCTGAGATGGAGCCCAAGAGGGGAGGGCACCTGGGAAGAGTGACAGAGGGCGAGGGGCTCTTGAGGGATTGGGGTGCGGGAGAACATGTGGGGCCAAAACCCAAGGGGGCTCCAGGTGGGGAAGGACCAGGTGGGGCAAGGGTGCGCCTAGCGGCGGCCTGGAAAAGCTCTGGCTTTTCTTTTTCTTTCTTTTGAGACAGTCTCACTCCATCGCCCAGGCTGGAGTGCAGTGGCACGATCTCGCCTCCCTGCAGCCTCCACCTCCTGGGTTCAAGCGATTCTCCTGAGTAGCTGGGACCACAAGGACCCACTACCACACCCACTAGTTTTTGTATTTTTAGTAGAGATGGGGTTTCACCATGTTGGCCAGACTGGTCTCAAACTCCTGACCTCACGCCCGACTTGGCCTGCAAAATGCTGAGATTACAGGTCTGAGCCACCGCTCCCAGTCTCTGGCTCTTCGTTGGTCAACCTCGTAGGGTAGGGAGGCGAGGCCAGCTCGGAGGGCTATGCCCCCGGGGATCGGATGGTCTGTCTCCATCCGGATTGTTCCATTCTTGCTCCTCGGTCTCTAGAACTGTGCAGCAGGATCTCAGGCTCCTGAGCCCCAAGTGGAGACAGGGCATGGAGGGGCCCCAGTGGTGGGACCCTCAGCCAGGACCTTCACCTGTCTGTGCCTCAGTTTCTCCCTCTGAAAAATGGGGGATAATGCTACCTAGCTCATAGATTGTTGAGGAGGTTAAATGATATATAGATTCCTGGGCCGGCCCTGTGGCTCACTCTCTGTAATCCCAAGACTTTGGGAGGCTTGGGGGAGGTGGGGAGGAATCCCTGAACCCAGGAGTTTGAGACCAGCATGGGCAAACATAGAGAGATCCAGATCTCTACAAAAAAATTTAAAAATTAGCTGGGCATGGTGGTGTGGGCCTGTGGTCCCAGCTACTTGGGAGCCTGAGGCGGGAGGAGCACTTGAGCCCTGAAGATTGAGGCTGCAGTGAGCTGTGATGGCACCACCACACTCCAGCCTGGGTGACAGAGTGAGACCCTGTCTCAAAACAAACAAACAAACAAACAACAGACCCTGAAATATAGATTCCTTGACCGGCTTCCTTCAATGTACTTCCAGAATCATGGTTTTTTTTCCCCAATTTTTAAAAGATCATTCATTTAAAAATTTTAGATTTAGCTGGGCGTGGTGGCTTATGCCTGTTATGGTTTGAATTGTCTTCCCCACAAAAGATGTGGAAGGCTGGGCGCAGTGGCTCACGCCTGTAATCCCAGGACTGTGGGAGGCCGAGGTGGGCGGATCATGTGAGGTCAAGAGTTCGAGACCAGCCTGGCCAAGAGGGTGAAACCCTGTCTCTACTAAAAATACGAAAGTTAGCTGGGTGTGGTGGCGTGCACCTGTAGTCCCAGCTACTCGGGAGGCTGAGGCAGGAGAATGGCGTGAACCCGGGAGGCGGAGCTTGCAGTGAGCTGAGATTGCGCCACTGCACTCCAGCCTGGGCGACAGAGAGAGACTCCATCTCAAAAAAAAGAAAAAAAAGAAAAGAAATAGGGTCTCACTATATTACCCAGTCTGGTCTCAAATTCCTGGCCTTAAGTGATCCTCCAGCCACGGCCTCCCACAGTGTTGGGATTACAGGCGGGAGCCACCGCGCCCGGCCCTCTCCTATTGTTAGTACTCTTGCAGTTGTTATTGTTGTTGTCATTTATGAAAGTATTCCACGGTCTCCCTGACCGAAGCCAGGGAAGTACAGGAACTGGCTTTGAAGGATGCTGTTTCATTGAATTAATAATAGCAGCTAGGTTGATTCAGTCTTCTCTGGGACTCAACTGTAAACACCTATAAACTTACTGTGGCCCCGTGAGGAAGATGCTGTTGTCCCATCTTCCCAAAGAAGAGACTGAGGCTCAGAATGGAGGAGCCACAGCCTGGCTAGGAGTCTTGAATTGTCGGTGTCTGGCTGGTCAGTCTCTGGGGAAAACTCTGGGTTGAGAGGACCCGGGGGATGCAACACCCCCAGCTCCCCAGACCCCTTCAAGTTCACGCTGGGTCAGGAAGGAGTAGTCACAGGGCACCAAGCCTCAGTCAGCTGGCACGGGCCGTTCTGGGCTCCCACACTCAGGACTGGATGCCAGGATACATGTGTGTATTCCTTGGACGACGGTGAGTGGAAGAGTTGGCAGTGCCCACCGCAGGTTGCAGGCAGACACGCTTCCCAGGCCGGACTCGTGAAGTTGGGTGCGTGCTCACCCCAGGGTGCCCACGATGGCCTGTGTCTGAACCTACACTCACAGGCTGAAACGCATACACACGCTCACACCCCGCTATGCAGTCATATTCACAGCTGGAGACATGGACATGTTCACACGCACGCACACACATACTGCATGCCACGGACACAGAGTCGCCTGCAAGAGGACACATGAGTCCATAGAAATGCCTCCCATGGCCGGGTGTGGTGGCTCACACCTGTAACCCCAGTACTTTGGGAGGCCAAGGAGGGTGGATCATCTGAGGTCAGGAGTTTGAGACCAGCCTGGCCAACATGGTGCAACCCTGTCTCTACTAAAAATACAAAAAAATTAGCCAGGCGTGGTGGTGGATGTCTGTAATCCCAACTACTTGGGAGGCTGAGACAGAAGAATCGCTTGAACCCAGGAGGTGGAGGTTGCAGTGAGCTGAGATTGTGCCACTGCACTCCAGCCTGGGTGAGAGAGAGAGACTCCATCTCTCAGATGATCCACCTGCCTCAGCCTCCCAAAGTTCTGGGATTACAGGTGTGAACCACTTCACTCGGCCTTATTTTTTAATTTTTTTTCCTTTGAGACAGGGTCTCACTCAGTTGTCCAGGCTGGAATGCAGTGCTGCGATCTTGGCTCACTGTAACCTCTGCCTCCTCAGCTCAAACGATCCTCCCACCTCAGCCTCCTGAGTAGCTGGGGTTACAGACGTGTGCCACCACGCCCAGCCATTGTTGTTTTTTGAGACAGTGTCTCCCTCTGTCATCCAGGCTGAAGTGCAGTGATGTGGTCATAGCTCGCTGCAGCCTCAACCTGCTGGGCTCCAGTGATCCTCCTGCCTTGGCCTCCCAAAATGGTGGGAGCCACACGCCCAGCCACTATCTGCTTTTTATAGAAAGAGAATGTGGAGTTCAGATAGGTGCAGTGACTTGTCCAAAGTCACAAGGTACAATGGCAGAGCCAGGAACCAAACCAAGGCCAGCGTGGCTCAAAGTACTGTTTTTTCAGACACACGCATGCACACACACACACACACATGCACACACGCATGCACACACACACATGCACACACACGCACACACACGTACACACACATACACAGACATGCACACATGTACACACACATACACAGTATATATACTGTATATATGTACACATATATAGTACGTATACACACTATATATAAATATAATGATATATATTATTGAGATATAGTTCATATACCATAAATTCACCCCTTTAAAGTCTTTAACTAAGTGGTTTTTAGTATATTCACAAAATTGTGCAACCATCACCACTATTGAATTCCAGAATATTTTCATCACCCCCAAAAGAAGCCCTGTCACCATTAGCAGTCACTCTTCACGCCCCCTCCCCCAACCCCTGACAACCGCTACTCCACATTTTTTCCATGAATTCACCTGTTCTGGACATTTCATATAAATGAAATCATAAAATGTGCAACCTTTTGTGTCTGGCTTCTTTTGCTTGCACACTGTTTTGGGGGCTCATCCATGATGTTGTATGTATCGGTATCAAAGTTTGAACATACTGGATGCAGTGGCGGAGGCCTGTAATCCCAGTACTTTGGAAAACTGAGGCAGGAGGATTGCTTGAGCCCAGGAGTTCGAGACCAGCCTGGGCAACATGGCAAGACCTCGTTTCTAAAAAAAAACAAAAACAAAAACAAAAATTAAGCCAGGTGTGGTGGTGCATGCCTGTAATCTTAGCTACTGGGGAGGCTAAGGTGGGAGGATTGCTTAAGCCTGGGAGGCTGGAGCTGCAGTGAGCTGTGATCACACCACTGCACTCCAGCCTGGGCAACAGAGTGAGACCCTGCCTCAAAACACAAAAGATTTGAACTTGTGTGGCCTGCCCTGTGCCTCTGCTCCCCAGAACATGTGCCTGGGAATCCCAGCAGTATACTAGCACCCTCACGTGTGGACGGCCATCCCTGGGAAGGCACTCAGAGTCACACACACAATTCGTATTTAGTGACCAGCCACTATGTGTGGGCCTTGCACATGCAAATCCTCAACCCACATGTTGTTTATACACCTGGCTCTCTAACATCCAACCAGGGCCTGTGCTGATGCCTCTGGCCAGAACACTCTTCCCTACCTTTCTCCTAGTTAACACCTACTCTCCTTTTGCTCACATCTCAGATGCCACCTCCTCCAGGAAGCCCTCCAAACAAGACCTGGAATGACCTCTGTACTATCTCTGCCCACCTGCCCTTCTTGGTACTTGCACCATTTATTTGTTTGTTTGTTTTTTGAGACAGAGTCTTGCTCTGCCCAGCCCCTGCACCCATTTGTAATGACATATTTATAATCCTGTTATTTGCTTCTTGTCTATCTTCTGCGTGAAGCTGCAGACTCCCAGAGGGAGGGGAGAAGGTCTGTTTTTCTCACCCCCAGATCCCTAGTGGCTAGCCCAGAACCTGGGACACAGGCGGCACTTCATAAATGCTTATGGCATAAAGACTCAGTCAAGTCTGTATGATGAGAGGTTGAACTGCTGATGACCTTCTGTGTCCATGCTCCAGCACAGACAGTTTCGGCCCTAAGGGACACACGTTGATCTGCCAGGTGCTGGGTCCTGGCCAGGTAGAGTGACACCTCTCAGCTCAGGAAGGCTGGAACCTGGCTCTGTGGAGGAGGCCAGCCGCGTGGCCTCGGGCAAGTTGCTTCACCTCTTTGCATTCAGTTTTCTTGTTGGTGCAATGGGGATGCCAATGGTGGTGCCCATCTCTCTCGGGGCTGTTGTGAACATTAAATTAATTACATTATGCAAAGCATTTAGAACGGGGAGAAGCTTGCAGAAAAGTTAGCTATTATTAGTGAGCTAGTACACCATACAATGCTTTCTGCCTGTACATGAATATCTGCATAGCTGCCTGTTAATGTGAGTTGGAATTTGTCTCTGAATCTCTGCACACCGCGGTGTGTTGGGCCATGAGGACTTGTGCTGCTATGTGGGAACACAGCAATATACGTACACGTGTGGCTGTTGCTACAATTCTTGGCATCCTTGGAGTGAGCCCTGGACACCCAGAACTCCTGACCAACTGGGGACTCGTGATTGCACCTTCCTCATCACCCCAAATAGGAGGTCCATAGCTGCTGATGCTGCTCACCTCTCCCCCAGAGTGGCCCCAGGGCACGACCTCTGTGGCTGGTGGTTTGGAGGTCTATTTATTATTTTTTGAGACAGTCTCACTGTGTTGCCCAGGCTGTAGTGCAGTGGCATGATCATAGCTCACTGCAGCTCAAGCAATTCTCCCACCTCAACCTCCCAAGCAGCTGGGATTACAGGTGCCTGCCACCACGCCTGGCTAATTTTTGTATTTTTAGTAAAGACAGGGTTGCGCCATGGTGGCCAAGCTGGTCTCAAACTCCTGACCTCAAGTGATCCACCTGCCTTGGCCTCCCAAAGTGCTGGGATTACAGATGTGAGTCACCGAGCCCTGCCATTTTTTATTTTTATTTTTCTAAGAGATGGGGTCTTCCTCTGTCACCCAGGCTGGAGTGCAGTGGTGCTGTCACAGTTCACTGCAGCCTCGACCTCCCAGACTCAAGCAATCCTCCCACCTCAGTCTCCCCAGCCTCCCAAGTAGCGGGAACTATAGGCAAGTACCACCATGACTGGCTAGGGTTTCACTATGTTGCCTAGGCTGGTCTCGAACTCCTGGCCTCAGGTGATGTCCCCATCTCAGCCTCCCAAAGTGCTGGGGTTACAGGCCTGAGCCATCACACCCTGCCTGACTCATTCAATATTTATTTAGCCCCTACTGTGTGCGAGGGCCTGTGTTAGGCTTAGAAAAACAAGAGAGAACGAGATAAAGAGAGGCATCTGTGTGTATGGGTGTGTGGGTGTCTGTTGCGTGTTGAGTATGAATTCTCATTCACGTTTCCAGCATGCGTGGCCGGAAAGACTTGGGTGGGTGTTTTTGTGTGAGGATGTTATGGTTTGAATTGTGTCCTCCACAAAAGATGTGGAAGGCTGGGCATGGTAACTCACGCTTGTAATCTCAACACTTTGGGAGGCCAAGGCAGGAGAATCTCTTGAGGCCAGGAGTTCGAGACCAGTCTGGGCAACAGAGAGAGACCTTGATTCTACAAAAAATAAAAAAAGATATGGCCGGGCACAGTGGTTCACGCCTGTAATCCCAGCACTTTGGGAGGTCGAGGTGGGCGGATCACAAAGTCAAGAGATTGAGACCATCCTGGCCAACACAGTGAAACCCTGTCTCTACTAAAAATACAAAATTTAGCTGAGTGTGGTGGAGTGCACCTGTAGTCCCAGTTACTCGAGAGGTTGAGGCAAGAGAGTTGCTTGAACCCGGTAGGCAGAGGCTGCAGTGAGCTGAGATCGCGCCACTGCACTCCAGCCTGTCGACAGAGCAAGACTCCATCTAAATAAAAAAAAAAAAGATATTAGCCTGGCATGGTGGCATGTCTCAAAAAACACTGAAGGAATCAAAGCACACACCCAGGGCCACCTGGTCTCAGACACACAGATGTGTGCATTTGCATATCAACCCCCTATTCATGGGTGAACGTGCATCTGCAATGACGCAGTCCAGAGCACAGAAGGAAAGAGACGATGGTGCCTCCCTGAAGAGGTCCCTGCTGTGGGCATCTGGGGCTGAGCCCCGTAGGGAACTGTGAGAGGTGTGGTCACAATGGGGCAAGACAGCCAGTGGGGGCATCTACTTATTTTATTTTATTTTATTTTATTTTATTTTATTTTATTTTATTTTATTTTTGAGACGGAGTCTCACTCTGTCGCCCGGGCTGGAGTGCAGTGGCGCGATCTCGGCTCATTGCAAGCTCCGCCTCCCGGGTTCACGCCATTCTCCTGCCTCAGCCTCCCGAGTAGCTGGGACTACAGGCGCCCGTCACCACGCCCGGCTAATTTTTTAATATTTTTTAGTAGAGACGGGGTTTCACCATGTTAGCCAGGATGGTCTCGATCTCCTGACCTTGTGATCCGCCTGTGTCGGCCTCCCAAAGTGCTGGGATTACAGGCGTGAGCCACCGCGCCCGGCTATTTTATTTTGAGGCACAGTTTTGCTCTTGTTGCCCAGGCTGGAGTGCAGTGGCACGATCTCAGCTCACTCAGGTTCAACCGATTCTCCTGCCTCAGCCTCCCAAATAGCTGGGATTACAGGTGCGTGCCACCTTGCCCGGCTAATTTTTTGTATTTTTAGTAGAGATGGGGTTTCGCCATGTTGGCCAGGCTGGTCTCGAACTCCTGACCATGTGATCTGCCTGCCTCGGCCTCCCAAAGTGCTAGATTACAAGTGTGAGCCACCGTGCCCGGCTGGCATCTACTTATTAACCAACTGCATCCCCCGTTTGAGGGGTGTTCTGGGGTGTTGACTCCCTGGTACTTCCTGCCTACCCAGAGGGGGTTCTCGGTGAGTGTCTGTACGCAGGTGGGTGCCTGCACACAGTAGGTGCTGCATGTCTCTGGGTGTCTGCACACAGTAGGCATGGCACGCAGGTGGGGCTCTGCACACAGTAGGCCTTGCGTGCAATAAAGACGCTGCACACAGCAGGTGTTTGCATGAAGGAGAGGGGCTGCACGCAGTAGGTTTGCACACTGTTAGAGAAAGACCCCAGGCAAAGGGACACGGGAAGCCGTTGGACTGTAGGAAATTGTCGGAAGCCAGCTCCCAGGTGGCCAAGGGGACATAGCAGCATCTGCCATGCCCTTTTGTGCACTTTAAGCACTGGTTCTCAGACTTCAGGGTGCATTGGCAACCCCCTGGGTACCCCCCTTTTTTTTTTTTTAAATAGAGACAGGATCTCCCTATGTTGCCCAGGCTGGTCTGGAACTCCTGGGCTCAAAGGATCCTCCTGCCTCCCAAAATGCGAGGATTACAGGTGTGAGCCACCATGGCCGGCCCCTGGGTACACTTTCAATGTGGTGGGTTGGATGTTGTGGCAGGGGACCCTAAACCGGGTCTCCCCTTTTCTAGGACACAGCAGAAGGAATGCAGAGGCTTCCTGAGCCGTCACTCTTCCTTACTTTCTCCCGGGACCCCCTTCTCTCTGCAGACCACCGCCAAGAGCCCAGCCCTCAGAGCCCCAGAACTCCCTGCAGCTTCCCAGCTCTAGGCCTTGGCCCCTGTGATCTCCACCTCGTGGTCGGGGCAGTGCCCAGCCAGGGCTCCGGGGAGGCGAGGGAGGAACCAGGGTGGGTCTCCTTGGAGGAAGCAGAGAGTCACGGAGTCTTGCAGAGAGAGGCTCAGAGCCCTGCACGTCACTTTCTCCAGCCCCCACCCCAGAGCCTGGAGCATGCTCCCCGGACATGTAGGTCACGCGACCCACAGCTTTACAGATCCCTAGGGATCCAGGAGGGACCCCCGAGACCCAGAACGACCCATAGCCACACAGTGGGAAGGCCAAGGACCTGCTCCCCAGGACGCTGGGCCAGGGAGACCGCAGGCACACGGGACAGCCACACCAGAGCTGCATCTGGAGAAGGGGTGGGGGGTTTCCTCTCGCCGCTCCTCGCTATTCTTTCCCTACATTGTTCCGTTCCGTGCTCCCAGTTCCCACCCCACTCCCTCCACCCGGACGCCGGCGGTTCCCAGGCCCCGGAGCCGGGGTGCATTGGGGGTGGGGGTGGGGTAGAGTGAGGGGCCTCGTGAAGAGCGCTGCGGGCCAAGACCCTCTTGCGCATGTGACGAGAGCGCACGAGTGTGGGAGCTTCGGCCTGCGCTCACAGGCGTGTGCGTGGGGAAGTGTTTGGGCCGCCGTGTACACAGCAGGCACGCCATAAACGCTTCTTGGATGGCTCCATGCGAGGGAAGGGAGGGAGGGCAGAGTTCAGGCCCTACAGGGAGGAAAAGGGAGGGGCGGAGGCCTGGCTTTAGGTTTGAATCTCCGCGGCTTACTAGCTCCAGCAGCTCAGCAAAAGCGTGACTCAGTTTCCCTCGTCCATAAAAGGGAAAGCCGAATCGCCCTCCCACGTGTCGAGGTGAAACTAGACAGTGCACTAAGGCACTTAGCAAAACGCGCTGCCTTGAGAACCCTTATTACGCCTTCCTTCCTTCCACCTCACCCCCTGGCCAGACACTCTGGGGGTGGAGAGGGGCGCTGACCCAGGCCCCAGACGCCCCTCCCGTCCGCCCTCCCTAGCAGGCAGGAGTCCCGGCTTTCCCGTTCCTTAAATTGGATAATTGGAGACAGAGGCGGGTGCTCGAGACGGAGAAATCCCCAAGTGGGCGAAAGGCAAGGGGCCTGTCCTAGTTTCCCTGCACTGGGGGCCCCCACCCTCGCCAGCGCTCCCTCCGGTGCGCCCTGGGCGCGCAGTCTGTGCGCTCGGGAGCCCCCAGCGCCGGCTGTCGACCCCCTCCAGAGCCCGGCGGTGCCAGCCTCCCTCTGTTGCCCGCCAGGCGCGGTGTCTGCGGCCGCCCCGGCAGGAGGGGTTGGGGGGTCCGGGCCGGCGGCAGCTCCGGCGGCGTCTCCCTCCTCCAAGCCCCTGGCGGCGGGCGGCCGGGCCGAGGGCGGGGCGTCTGCACAGACCCTCCTTTTGTGAGCGGCGCCTTCCCCGGGCGGCCTGGCGCGCAGGGCTCGGGCACTGCGCCAGGGCCCGGAATAGCCTCCCTGCCCGGCCGCCCGCCCCACGCCCCGGCGGAGCCGCCTGACCTGCCCGGTCGGGCGCAGAAGAGCCTGGGGCCGCGGTGGCACAGGAACCGGGTGCGTGCTCAGCTGCACGGGGCTGCAGCCGCTACTCTCCGCTGGGCCGGCACTGGACGCGTGCAGCCGGGCCTACTGTGCGCAGCCCGTCTTTTGTGTGAAAACGCCCGCTGTGTGCAGATCTCCGTCTTCGTGCAGGGCCTACTGTGCGCCGCACCCCCCTTCCATGCAAAGCCTACTGTGTGCAGAACCCCATTTGCCTGCAATGCCTACTGTGTGCGGCCCCTCTCCTGCGTGCAAACGCCTGCTGTGTGTGACCCTTTTCTTGCATGCAAGGCCTACTGTGTGCAGAGCCCTACCTTCTTGCAGTGCCTACAGGGTGCAGCCCCTCTCCTGCGTGCAGACGTCCACTGTGTGCAGATCGCTGTCTTCGCGCTGGGCTTACTGTATGCAGCACCTCTCTTCCATGCAAAGCCCACTGTGTGCAGAGCCCCACCTGGCCGCAATGCCTACTGCGTGCAGACACCCAGATACATACAAAACCGACTGTGTGCAGGCATCCACCTACATGCAAACACCTGCACCTGCACTCGTGCAAACACCCACCGTGCACAGGCACCCACTGACAAACATTCATGTGAGGAGCCCCCAAGCTCCCACACTCCCAAACGGCCTTGTCTTTTTGTCTTTTTTTTTTTTTTTTTTTTTTTTTAAGATGGAATCTTGCTCTGTCGCCCAGGCTGGGGTGCAGTGGCACGATCTCAACTCACTGCATCCTCCCCCTCCCAGGCTCAAGCGATTCTCCTGTCTCAGCCTCCTGAGTAGCTGGGACTACAGGCGCGCGCCACCACGCCCAGCTTGTATTGTATTTTTAGTTTTGTATTTTTAGCAGAGATGGGGTTTCACCATGTTGGCCAGGCTGGTCTTGAACTCCTGACCTCAGGTGATCCACTTGCCTCGGCCTCCCAAAGTGCTGGGATTACAGGGGTGAGCCACCGTGCCCAGCCTCATTTTTTTTTTTTTTTTTTTGAGATGAAGTCTCGCTCTTGTGCCCCAGGCTGGAGTGCAATGGCGCAATCTCAGCTCACTGTAACCTCCACCTCCTGGGTTCAAGAAATTCTTCTGCCTCAGCCTCCCGAGTAGCTGGGATTACAGGCACCTGCCACCACGCCCGGCTAATTTTTGTATTTTTAATAGAGACGGCATTTCACCATGTTGGCCAGGCTGGTCTCGAACTCCTGACCTCAGGTGATCTGCCTGTCTCAGCCTCCCAAACTGCTGGGATTACAGGCATGTGAGCCATGGTGCCCGGCACAAACAGCCTTGTCCATGCAAGCACAAGCACCCACATGTGTCTAAGACCCTGGTGTGCACACCTGCACTCTGACCTGCACTGCGTGTTCCCACTAGGGAAATGCAAATATTTCTAAGCTCCAATGCTCACTCCACAGAGCCCCGAGGCCTGTGAATACCCGCGGTATACAGAGATCCATGAGGTGCCAGTACTCAAACTGTGGAAGCCTGCACGTGCTGATTTGGGGTGGGAGTAGAGTGCAGGGAACTCATCTGTGTGCAGCCCCTTTCTCTGGGCCCTTTGTGTGCACCTCAGTTTACCCCACCTGGGTAAGAGACTCTGCCCTGCTGGAGTCTCTTCTGGTTCTGACTTTGAAGGGCTCCAAGGTGTGGGGGGAAAGGGGGCTGCATTCCCTCTCTGCTGTGTGCCTCTGGGTGGTGGATTCAGGCTAGCAGGGCTGGGGGCTGGGCCTCCAGGCCCTTCCCGGAAGCCCGGGAAGCAGGTGCAAGGGTAGGCAGTCTCCACGGGCAGGGCGCCAGACCTTGGCTTCCCTGAAACTGGGCACAGCAGCTGGGAGAGGTTTCCGGGCCCGCCTGGCCCCACCTGGCCCCTGGCACTTTCGGAAGATGGGCGGGGCAGGCAGGCAATGCCAAGGACGGGCGAGGCCCAGCCTGCACAAGAGTCGCCGGTGAACCTGTGCGCACACACGGGTGTGCATGTATATGTGTGCACACGTGCATGGGCCATGCTGATGTGAGTTCTGTACCCCACCTACAAACGGGTGTGCTCATGAACACGTGCAGGGTCACCCTGGCACATGAACCGTGCAGCACAGGCAATGGCCCAGCGGTAATTCACCCATAGCGGTGACAGGAAAGAGATGCTTGTCTGCTTTGCTCACTGTGCGTCTCCAGCACCCCACAGCTGGTTGGCACTTGGTGAATATTTGCTGAGTGGACAAATGAGTGAATACACGAACACATCATTTTGCAAATATGTACTGAATGTCTCTACTCTGCATACCAGACATTTGCACATCTTCAAACAACAAAAAGATCCTGGGAAACGACATTCTAGACATCCACGGGGTGGGAATAAGCCCACGCCTGAGAGTACACACTCATGTCCAGGAAACACCTGAGTCCACTTTGATTTGTTCACCTCCAGAAGCCAGAGCCTGGTGCCCACACACAGGCCCTCATGCAGAGACACGCATTTTCTTTCTTTTTTTTCTTTCTTTCTTTTTTTTTTTGAGATGGAGTTTTGCTCAGTTGCCCGGGCTGGAGTGCAGTGGCGCGATCTCGGCCCACTGCAAGCTCCGCCTCCCGGGCTCACGCCACTCTCCTGCCTCAGCCTCCCGAGTAGCTGGGACTACAGGCGCCTGCCACCACGCCTGGCTAATTTTTCATATTTTTTTAGTAGAGACGGGGTTTCACCTTGTTAGCCAGGATGGTCTCGATCTCCTGACCTTGTGATCTGCCCACCTCGGTCTCCCAAAGTGCTGGGATTACAGGCGTGAGCCACTGCGCCCGGCCGCATTTTATTTTTTCTTTTCTTTCTTTCTTTTTTTTTTTTGAGATGGAGTCTCGCTCCATCGCCCAGGCTGGAGTGCAATGGTGTGATCTCGGCTCACCGCAAACTCCGCCTCCGGCTTCAAGTGATTCTCCCACCTCAGCCTCCCGAGTAGCTGGGATTACAGGTGCATGCCACCACATCTGGCTAATTTTTGTATTTTTAGTAGAGACAGGGTTTCACCTTGTTGGTCAGGCTGGTCTTGAACCCCTGACCTCAAGTGATCTGCCCACCTTGGCCTCCTAAAGTGCTGGGATAACAGACGTCAGCCACCGTGCCCGGCCAGGATTTTGGACACACAAATATCCCCTCTCTTCCCCTGCAAGCCTACCTGTGCTACCCACCCCAGCCATCCCCTCCTGAGGTGTCTGTCCTTCCATGCCTGAAGGGGTTCATGGGAGTGTGGGGAGTCCTACACCCCACCTGTGATTTTCCATCATTTGAGTTCTCCTATGGCTCAGACCATTGCCTGCAGGAAGCTCCAGAAACAGCCAGGGTTGGTGGGATTAGAACTGCACAGGTGGGGAGGTGATGCCCATATACCCTAAGAAACTATCCTTCCATTTCACAGCCGGAGAAACCGAGGCCCAGAGACAGGAAGGTCTTCTTGTTGAGCTAAGAAGAGAAATAGAGGGATGATAAACGGATGCCCTGACTGGGCCCCCTCAACCATCTCCTCTTGCAGCCAGAAACAGTAGGTTCCTACCGCCAACAAGGGTGGGGACAGGAAGGTGGGGGACCAGGGTGGGAGGAGGAGATGGGAGTGAGGCCCTGGGGGGAGGTGGAGCCTATGTCCTGGAGACAGACACAGAGGTGGGCGGTCCGGAGACACCCACCTCCTCAGACAGGCACGGGCTCTGGCAGCTGGTGACAGAGACACAATCTGGGGCACATAGGCACTGTCTGTCCCTCCTGCCGCCGATCTTCCTCCCCAGCCTCTGATGGGGATTCTAGGGGCTGCTGGGGCCCCTGCAATTGTTTTGGCATGAGTGTGCATACCTGTGTGTTTGTGTGTTGGGTGCACATGCTTTATTTTTATTTTCATTTTATTTATTCCATTTCATTTCATTTATTTCATTTCATTTCATTTTTTGAGACTGAGTCGTGTTCTGTCACCCAGGCTGGAGTGCAGTGGCACTATCTCAACTCATTGCAACCTCCGCCTCCCAGGTTCAAGCGATTCTCCTGCTTCAGCCTCCGGAGTAGCTGGGACTACAGGTGCCCACCACCATGGCCGGCTAATTTTTTGTATTTTTAGTAGAGATGAGGTTTCACCACGCTGATCAGGCTGGTCTCAAACACCTGACCTCAAGTGATCCGCCCACCTGGGCCTCCCAAAGTGCTGGGATTACAGGCATAAACCACCGCGCCCGGCCTCACTGAGCATGTTTTGAAGGCGAGTGCGTTCCTCTTGACTGCTGAACTTTCATTCTATGAACCGACCTCCGTTGACCTGTTCCCCTCTGAATGGAGGGGTATTTGAGCTCTTCCCAGGTTTTGGTGATGAGGAACAAAGCTGCTACGTGCATTTACCTCCTGGTCTCTGTGTGCTCCTAAGTTGTGTATTTCTTTCAGATAGTACCAAGAGAAGTGAGGTTGCTGGGTCCCCGTAACCTTATAGGGTAAATACTATTATTACATCCACTTTGTTGATCGGGAGAATAGACGCCGCCAGGCCTCCTGTCTCTCGCTTTCACACAAAGGCACATACGGCAGACACGGACCCCCATCACTCATCCATCACTTTCCCATCACTCACCGCAGACCCTCCAGGACCCACGCAGAAACCCAGGGCTCCCCCACGGTGCACGCAGCACCCAGGCTGCCCGCCCTCCACCCAGGGCCGCGTCACGCCCGACACCCCCGGAACAGACGCCTATGAGGCCTGCAGCTCCAGACGGGCTGCAGACACACAGCGATTTGTTCATCTTTCCAGCCACCCCGTCTGGTCCTGACAGTAATTAGCTCCCAGACTGGTGGGGAGACGGTGAACAGCCTGAGAGTCATCGCCCACGGCTCCACGCCCACAGGCCACGGGCACCGGGAGAGAGGGTGAATGAGTGTGTGTGTGTGTGTGAGTGTGTGTGTCCGGAATCTGTACTCTCCAGCCAGGGCTCCCCATCCTCCTGCAAAGGGCCAGCACCGTGCACGGGTACCCACGGCGCCTTCCAAGGGGAACGTGCACAGGCATACCCACTGTTCATTCCACGAAGGATCGTGCACACGCATGCCTACCTTTGCATTTCACGCGGGATTGTGCACACGCATGTCCACCGTGCCTTCCACGCGGGATCGTGCACACGCATGTCCACGAACTCCTGCACACCTACACCCACCAGGCCTGCCCATGCGATGCGTCCCTGCAGACCCACTGTGGACGCCTGCTTGTCGGCGTCCTGCGCATCCCGCGTGAGTGGAGTGTGCACTCGTGGAGGGGGCGACTGAGTGCGGGGCAAGCGCAAGCGCAAGCACACTGGGCTCGCGGAGGGTGGAGAGAGGCCGTGCGCGTTCCCGGGGCTGGCGCGGAGGTGGGGTCAGCGGCGCGGGAGAACGCCCCGCCCCGCTACCGCCAGCCCGGAAGACCCACGGCGGCGGGCGCTGGCGTCACGGGTTTCCACTGGGGCCCCGGCGCCGGGGCCGGGATTCCCTGGCGCAGGAACGCCCGTGACGGCGGCGCCTGCCTGCGTCGGCCACGCTGGGAGGTTTGAGCCTGGGGATGACATCAGCCCCTGCGTTTCTGGAGCTGGCCCGGGCGGGACGGGGACTTGGAGAAAGCAGTGACACCCACTTTCGTTGACTGCCAACCCGTGCAGAGCGCTTAGTGCGTGTCCGACCGTGAGCTGAGCGCTGTGATGCGGGTGCTGTTAATGTCCCATTGCACAGATGGGGAAACTGAGGCCGGCGCACTGCCCGCCCCGCCGGGCCCCCAGAGTGAGGGCCCGGGGCTGGGAGCAGCCTTTTCCCAGCGCCCTCTGCAGTGTAGAGTCCCACCAGCTTGTCTCCCGCTCTCTCCTGCACAAGCCGGCTCAGAGAGGGTCTGCGGGTGTCCTGGCACCACCCAGCAAGTTGGGTGCTGCAGCCAGCTCTGTCCATACAGTTGGTCTCTGCCCAGCTGCGGTGGCCAGGGGCGGTGCCTGAGCCAGGGCGCCCGGGCGGCCCGGTGGGGTGTGCCCAGCCGCTGCCTTCCTGCTGACGCCGGTGCCAAGGGATCTAAATATAGCCTGGGAGGAGGCAAGGGCTATTTTTAACGCGAGTGGCTTGGCCCCTCCCAGTTCCCGGGTCAGGAGCCCTTTGGTCCAGGATTTTGGGGAGGGGCAGGGGCGAGGGGGAGCCAGGGGCCCCACACCCGCCTGGGCCTGCCCCTCTGCCCACACCTGGCCCTGGAAGACTCTAGGGGACGAAGGGCCGTAGAGGGAGGGCAGGGTGGGGGGGCTGTCGCAGGTCACCTTTCTTAAACGCCACCTCCTCTCTAGCTGCCGACCAGCCCTGGCCTTTTGTTGGGCCCAGAGACTGCTTTCTATTTTGGGAAGGTGTTGGAATAATTTCCTTGGCTATTTTTAGCCGGTTCGGGGATTCCTCCACTCAGGCTGGCCGCCCTGCCTCTCCTCCTCCTCCTCCTCCTCCTAGTCGTCTTCCTCCTCCCGGCAGACCCAAGGGCGGCCTCCTTCATGGAGGGCAGTCAGGGACACACAGTCCCTGAGCCAGACCCAGAATGGGGAGACCCCTATATTTCCTGGGTCGGGGAGGGAAGGGAGCTCTGAAGGGCGTTCCCACGTTCCAGGTGAGCAGGACTTTCAGACCTCTGGGAATCCATGACGCCAGGTATCTGAATTCTGTCTCCAGGGCAGGGTGGGGCGACCCAGCAGCCTCTGACCTTTCACCTCCTTTCAGGGTTGTCACAGGAAAGTGGCCTGCTGAGAACAGACCTTGACTCCCACATCCCTAGGCTAGGGGCTCCCATGTTCCCAAGAGGAAGATCAGTGTGATGAGGGTAAACTGAGGCACAGAGGGGACACTGGGATGGGACACATCTTGGGCTCATTCCCTGATGGTTTCATTTCCTTCCACATTCTACCTTTGTTTTTAATTTTTTTTTTTGATTGTTTTGAGACAAGACGGAGTCTCACTCTGTCACCCAGGCTGGAAGAGTATGCAGTGGCACAATCTCGGCTCTCTGCAACCTCTGTCCTCTGGGTTCAAGCGATTCTCCAGCTTCAGCCCCCTGAGTAGCTGGGATTACAGGTGCACGCCACCATGCCCAGCTAAGTTTTGTATTTTTAGTAGAGACGGGGTTTCACCATGTTGGCCAGGCTGGTCTCGAACTCCTGACCGCAGGTGATCCACCTGCCTCTCCTCCCAGAGTGATAGGATTACATGCGTGAGCCACTGTGCCTGGCAGCAGCGCCGTCATAGCTTATGGCAGCCTTGACTTCCTGGGCTCAAGTGATGCCCCCAACTCAGCCTCCTGAGTAGTGAGGCCTATATAGGCATGTACCACGATGACTGGCTAATTTTTGAAAATTTTTACTAGAGATGGGGTCTCTCTGTGTTGCCCAGGCTGGTCTTGAACTCCTGGGCTCAAGTGATCCTTCCACCTTGGCCTCCCAAAGTGCTGGGATTCCAGGCGTGAGCCACCGGGACCAGCCCTCATGCTGCCTTTTAACAGCTAAGCAACCTTGGGGCGATGACTTCACCTCTATGTGCCTCTTTCAGGAAAGGGGGTGACAGTCACATGGACTAATGGTAAATAGGTGAGGGAATATATGAAAGGTCTTAGAACAAGCTCCTGGCAGAATGGAGCTGAGGGTCCTGGAAAGGACGCTGGGATATGGCTGGCTGCAGGACAGAGGAACATCCCGGGTGCTGGCTGGTTCCACATTTTGAGAGGACACACCCCCTTACTTATCCCAGTCCGTGAGGCTGGCGAGAGTGACCCCGGCGTTTCAGATCAGGAAACTGAGACCCTGGGATAATTTCCCAGGCCCAGGGTCTCATGACAGCTGACACACAGGAGGCCAGCACAGTCCCCTGGCTCCCCCGGGCCGTATTCCACAGCTGCTCCGCATTCTTTCACCGGTGCCCTCACTCATGCAGCAAGCATTTGTGAGCACCGTATGAGTTTCCTCCCGCTGCTGTAACAAATCACTGCCAACCCAGTGGCTGGAAACAACACAGAGTTATTATCTGACAAGTCTGGAGGCCAGGAATCCAAAATCAGTCTCCCTGGGCTCCAAATCAAGCTGTGAGCAGGGCTGGGCCCTCCTGGAGGATCCAGGGGAGAACCTGGCTTCCACGTTTGCCAGCATTTAGAGGCAGCTGCTTCCCTCAGCTTGGGGCCTCTTCCTCCACGTTCATGGCTGGCCGTGCAGCCTCTTCCAGTCTCTGACTCTCACCTCCCACCACCTCTTATTTATTATTATTATTATTATTATTATTATTAATTTTAGTGGAGTTTTGCTCTTTTTGCCCAGGCTGGAGTGCGATGGTGCCATCTTGGCTCACTGCAACCTCCACCTCCCGGGCTCAAGTGATTCTCCTGCCTCAGCCTCCCGAGTAGCTGGGATTACAGGCATGCGCCACCACGCCCAGCTAATTTTGTATTTTTAGTAGAGATGGGGTTTCTCCATATTGGCCGGGCTGGTCTCGAACTCTTGATCTCAGGTGATCTGCCTGTCCTGGCCTCCCAAAGTGCTGGGATTACAGGCATAAGCCACTGCACCTGGTTGTTTGTTTGTTTTAAGAAAAATCTTTTTCACTGTGCAAGTTGATTTTTTTTTTTTTAAGAGATAGGGTCTTGCTCCATAGCCCAGGCCGGAGTGCAGTGATGCAATCATAGCTCACTGAAGCTGCAAACTCCTGGGCTCAAGGAATCCTCCCACCTCAGCCTCCCGAGTAGCTGGGACCACAGGCACTCACCACCATGTCTGGCTAATTTTTTAAAATTATTTTTTGTAGAGTCGGGGTCTTGCTATGTTGCCCAGACTGGTCTCCAAATCCTGAGCTCAAGTGATCCTCATGTCTTGGCCTCCCAAAGTGCTGGGATTACAGGCGTGAGCCACCACGCCTGGCCCGCAAGTTGATTTTTTATGAGTATATTGCTTCTCTCCAAGGGCGGATGGCCTGACCGGGATAAGACCCGTGAACAGATAGTAAATGTGGGTTTGGCATTTGGCAGGAAATGCTTGTGGAATTCAGGAGGCAACTGTCATTTATCTGTCCTGTATGCCAGCTGGATATCAAGTACATTTCTGTATCTTAAGACCATCAGCCAGTTTTATTTATTGGATGCTTATTAAGTACTTAATGCCAATTTAATATCTTCACAGCCACCTTAGTGCTAATAATCATCCTCACCTTACAGATGAGGAAACTGACATGGAGCCATGACTTGTCGAAAGTCCCCGGCCGGGCGTGGTGGCTCACGCCTGTAATCCCAGCACTTTGGGAGGCTGAGGTGGGTGGATCATCTGAGGTTAGGAGATTGAGACCATCCTGGCTAACACGGTGAAACCCCGTCTCTACTAAAAATACAAAAAATAAGCCGGGCGTGGTGGCGGGCGCCTGTAGTCCCAGCTACTCGGGAGGCTGAGGCAGGAGAATGGCGTGAACCCGGGAGGCAGAACTTGCAGTGAGCCGAGATCGCGCCACTGCACTCCAGTCTGGGCAACAGAGAGACTCCGTTTCAAAAAAACAAAGAAAGAAAGTCCCTCAGCCAAGTTGGTGGCAGAAGCTACCCAGCCGGTTCTGTTTCCATTTGGCCTTGCTGCTGCCTCTTGCTTGAATGCTTTCAGGGACCATGCAGGCACACTCCTCAGCTATCCCCTTGTTCTGGTCCTCCAGCAACAGTCTTGGGAAGTTAGTGGGTTCCACAATCCTGAGCCCAAGCTCAGTGCAGCTCTCCCACCCTCAGGTGTCTTCTGCAAACAAAGGACCTCCCAGAGCCCACGGAGGGGGAATGTTTCGAAAGTGTGCTGGCCAGGAAAGAGACCAGACGTGAACCACACTTCCTCCCTCCCTCTGCTCCAGATGTCTGCACCAGAGGTGGTCGGGAGGAGGCTGCCAGATAGACAAGACAACAGGAGCGTTGGAAAAGGGCGGCTTCCACTACTACCTCCCAATGTGGGGATGTGACTGGAAGAGCAGCTCCATGACCCAAGGATGGGACTTTGGCTTTCTTTTATCCCCAAGCCAGCCCGTGACATGCCTTCTGCTAGATGGATGGCTGTCTGCAGCTCTGACCCTGTAGTTTTGCGCAGATTATCTGTCCCATGAAACGTTTAGACTCTGGCCTGAGAATTCCTCCTTTCGTCTTCTTTTTTTTTTTTTTTTTTTTTGAGACGGAGTCTCGCTCTGTTGCCCAGGCTGGAGTGCAGTGGCGCGATCTCAGCTCACTGCAACCCCCCGCCCCCCAGGTTCAAGCAATTCTCCTGCCTCAGCCTCCTGAGTAGCTGGGATTACAGGCACGTGCAAGCATGCCTGGCTAATTTTTTGTATTTTTTAGTAGAGACAGGGTTTCATCGTGTTAGCCAGGATGGTCCCGATCTCCTGACCTCGTGATCCGCCTGCCTCGGCCTCCCAAAGTGTTGAGATTACAGGCGTGAGCCACCGCGCCTGGCTGAGAATTCTTCCTTTCTAGAGGCCACTGCATGTGGCCTTCGAGGGGAGGGGTCGTGGGACAGGAGTAGTTACCAAAGGCAGAACCCTTTTAGATTCCCCTGATTCTCACAGAGTGGGCTGGAGGCACGTAAACCACCTGATAATGCAAGCCGGGTTTTCCTGAATGTTCTCTGGAGTAGGTCGCTCATCCTAGGTGAAAGCAGATCTTTTCCCTAGGATCTGAGGCTTTAGACGCAGGAATTGTCACTGCCATTTGCTCCAGAATCCCAGTGCTGCTCCGACTGTAATTGCTCATTTTACTGATCAATTGAGACAGACAAATGCAGTTAGAAGACACAGGGATGACCTCTGGAAGGTCCAAGGGACCAGAGTGAATGTTGTCGCCAAAGATCCTGTAAGTGAGAGGCGGAGCCGGGGCCGAGACTGGACACCTGTCAGCAAGCTCATTCCCCCAACGACACCCTGGCCTGTCTTGGCGTACGCTGGCAGTCTGCGTTCTGAACAGGGGAGATGTTTCTTTCTCAACCTTGGCTTGGAGTTCTCCCCAGAGTGATAAATGTTGGCGAGAAAGAGCGGCACATTCTTTTTTTTTTTTTTTTTTAGACAGAGTTTCACTCTTGTCGCCCAGGCTGGAGTGCCACGGTGCGATCTTGGCTCACCACAACCTCCGCCTCCCGGGTTCAAGCGATTCTTCTTCCTCAGCCTCCCGAGTAGCTGGGATTACAGGCATGAGCCACCACGCCCGGCTAATTTTGTATTTTTAGTAGAGACGGGGTTTCTCCGTGTGGGTCAGGCTGGTCTCAAACTCCTGACCACAGGTGATCCGCCCGCCTCAGCCTCCCACAGTGCTGGGATTACAGGCTTGAGCCACTGCGTCCGGCCAGGAGTGGCACATTCTTAGGGCCGGCTCACCCGTGAGGCCCTACATCACTCTTTCCACTGTAAACCCTGTGGTGGCTGCTACAGATCAGCCACAAGTGCAGAAAGCGCTGAACCCGACGCGGCCACCCAGGGGGAGCCCCCATCCCGGAGACTTTGCTGTGCCCTCCCAGGCCCCTCGTGGGATTTTTTCTCTTTTCTTTGGATCCCTGGCGGGGGTCGGAGAGGGTGTGGGAGGGCGCAGAATAAACCCTGAGCCTGCCTCATTGGCTGCCTGGGCTCCAGAGCCCTGCCGTTGCTTGTGGAGGACTTTCTGGGAATCACGTGGACTGGCCAGAAGGGCTGGGAACTGGAGAGCAGGCAAGGATTCTGGAAGAGGGGAGATCCCAGTGGGAGGGATTTGAGGCTGGCAGTGGGTCAGAGACAGAAGTCCAGATGGACAGGTTTAAAGTCTCTGCTTAAGGCGGGGCGTGGTGGCTCACGCCTGTAATTCCAGCACTTTGGCAGGCCAAGGCGGGTGGATCACTTGAGGTCAGGAGTTTGAGACCAGCCTGGGCAACATACTGAAACCCCGTCTCTACTAAAAATACAAAAATTAGTCAGGAGTGGTGGCGAGCGCCTGTAATCCCAGCTACTCAGGAGGCTGAGGCAAGAGAATCACTTGAACCCAGGAGGCGGAGGTTGCAGTGAGCCGAGATTGCGCCACTGCACTCCAGCCTGGGTGACAGAGTGAGACTCTGTCTCAAAAAAAATAAATAAAATAAATAAATAAAAATAAAAGTCTCTGCTTAGATAAGCACTATGCTTCTGCTGCCTGTAAATGGCTCTTTTACCCTTTCTTTAGCATGAAAACAAATTTTCTAATTATTATAAACAAAATGTGTGCAATGTGGAGGCTGGCTGTTGGTACTCATTATCCTTCTCTTGCTTGACGTCAAGTGAAAGATAAATTGTTGCCTCTGGCCCTTCCCAGGACCAAAGAGAAGGCACGACGTCAAATGCATCTCCTTGGATTTGGGAGGCAATGTATACTTAATTTGGGTGTGCTTCCCCGGCCTGGTTGAGGAGGCCATCGTGCCCTCCCTCCATCAGTCTGCGCTCTGTGGCATCTGTGGCGTGGACCCTTCTTTGCTTTGCAGAGGCAGAGTGTCTGCATTCGGCATCGTACCCAGCCCAGTCCAGAGTTTACAGTAGGGGTCACCCTTGGAGGTCTGTGTTCTGTGGGTTTTACCCAATGCATGAGGTTACATATCCACCATGACAGTGTCACATACAGTAATTTCACTGCTCCCCAAATCCTCTGTGCTCCACCTATTCACCCTTATCCCCGCTTCCTTCAACCTGGGTAACCCCTGATTTTTTTTTTTTTTTTTTTTTTTTGATGGAGTCTCATTCTGTCACCCAGGCTGGAGTACAGCAGTGCCATCTGGGCTCACTGCAACCTCCGCCTCCCGGGTTCGAGCGATTCTCCTGCCTCAGCCTCCCGAGTAGCTGGGATTACAGGCCTGCACCACCACATCCAGCTAATTTTGTATTTTCAGTAGAGACAGGGTTTCTCCATGTTGGTCAGGCTGGTCTCCAACTCCCGACCTCAGGTGATCCACCCGCCTCAGCCTCCCAAAGTGCTGGGATAACAGGCGTGAGCCACCACTGATGTTTTTACTCATGTATAGCTTTGCCTTTTGCGGAATCTTTTCTAGTTGGGATCGTAGCATGGAGGCTGTGAAGGCTGCAGCTTCTTTCACTTGTTTCCCGGTGTATTCCAGATTTCAGGAGTTATTCGTACAACTCGGCTTGTGACTTCACATCACTCCAGCCTCTTGTTTCTGTTGTTATGTCTCCTTCTCTGACTGACCTTCCTGCCACCCTCTTACAAGGACCCTGTGATGACATTGGGCCTACCTGGATAATCCAGACAAGATCTCTAATTTTTTTTTTTTTTTTGAGACAGAGTCTTGCTCTGTTGCCCAGGCTAGAGTACAGCGGCTCCATCTCGGCTCACTGCAACCTCTGCCTCCCGGGTTCAAGCCATTCTCCTGCCTCAGCCTCCCAAGTAGCTGGGACTAGAGGTGCCCGCCACCACGCCTGGCGAATTTTTTGTACTTTTTTTTAGTAAAGACGGGGTTTCACCGTGTTAGCCAGGATGGTCTCGATCTCCTGACCTCGTGATCCACCCGCCTTGGCCTCCCAAAGTGCTGGGATTACAGGCGTGAGCCACCCGCCTGGCAATTTTTAATTATTATTATTTCTTTTTTAAAAATATGAAATGCTTCATGTCATCCTTACGCAGGGGCAATACTAATCTTTGCATCCTTCCAACTTTTTGAATATGTGCTACTGAAGTGAGCATGTTATAAGGGTAAGGTTTTGTTTTTTTGTTTTTTTTTTTTAATTTTGAGATGGAGTTTTGCTCTTGTTGCAATGATGCGATCTCATCTCACTGCAATCTCTGCCTCCCAGGTTCAAGTGATTCTCCTGCCTTAGCCTCCTGAGTAGCTGGGATCACAGGCATGAGCCACCACGTCCAGCTAATTTTGTACTTCTAGTAGAGACGGGGTTTCGCCATGTTGGTTAGGCTGGTCTCGAACTCCTGACCTCAGGTGATCCACCCACCTTGGCCTCCCAAAGTGCTGGGATTACAGGCATGAACCACTGTACCCGGCCAGTAAAGGCTTTAAATGTTTAATGACTTCAATCTGTTGTGACTTTTTTTCTGTCCTAATAGCTTAAGCAAACCCCTTCTGGAATATCTGAAAAATATGTTGGTGGGTGTATGAGACAGGGCCGACTTCATGGGTGTGCGACTTGTGAGTCACCCAGGGCCCCATGATCAGAAGCGCTGTGTGGTCGGAAGGGCCCCACCCTTGGTTTAATGCTGCTGTCATTGTCTTGAAATTCTTAAACATTTTTGAAAAAGGGCCCTGTGTTTTCATTTTTTACTGAGCCCTGCACGTTACATGGCCGGTCCTGGTATGAGACCCTCTTATGCTCCCCTGCAGAGCCCCTCGACCTCACCCACTCACGGGCTAGCTCCGTCAGGTGTTGACGGATGTCACTCAGGTGTGAGCTCTGCACCTGAGCTCCCCCCTGCACACAGGCAGCCACAACCAGTCAGTGCAGAGGTGAGCCTGTGGCCAGTGAGGAGCCGGTGAGTCAACCTCCTCCCGCCTACGGGCCCTGAGACGCCGGCTCCGTGAGCTTGCGGGGTCGAGGGCGCCTATATTAAGCCAAGGCTGAGGCAGTGACACACCCTCTTATGGGCCTGCTCTCGCTCCCTGCTTCATTGTCCTGGTCTCTCCCTCTCGTATGGAGGATCAGACTGGACTCCCCCAGAAAACAAGAGCATATGAACCTTCTGTCTCAGGCTCTGCCTCTGGGGAGCCCAAGCTATGGTTGGCTGAATAGCAGCCGGCAAAGATGTCCTTGTTCTAATTCCGGGAGCACAGGGGTATGTCACCTTCCACGGCAACAGAGACTCTGCAGGTGCGATTGAGTGAAGGACTCTGAGATGGGAGAGCAGCCTGGATGATCTGGAGTCCCCAGTGTCCTCACAGGGTCCCTCATAAGAAAGACTAGAAGAGGCTGCGCTCCTGGCTGCGAAGGTGGAGGAAGGGGCCCCGAGCTGAGGGATGTGAGCCCCTCGACGCTGGGAAAGACGAGGAGTTGGATTCTTTTTTTTTTTTTTAATTTAAAATAATTTAATTTTAAGTCTGGGATACATGTGCAGATCTAAATGATAGTCTAGGAGAAAATATTTGCAACACCTATAACAGATCAGAATTCCCAAGCCTGCAGGTTTGTTACATAGGTAAACATGTGCCATGGTGGTTTGCTGCAATCAACCCGTCACCTAGGTATTAAGCCCCACATGTTGCTGGGCGCGGCGGCTCATGCCTGTAATCCCAGCACTTTGGGAGGCCGAGGTGGGTGGCTTGCTCGAGGTCAGGAGTTCGAGACCAGCCTGACCCACATGGTGAAACCCCGTCTCTACTAAAAATACAAAAATTAGCTGGGTGTGGTGGCGGACGCCTGTAATCCCAGCTACTCAGGAGGCTGAGGCAGGAGAATCACTTGAACCTGGGAAGCAGAGGTTGCAGTGAGCTGAGATTGCACCATTGCACTCCAGCCTGGGTGACAGAGCGAGACTCCGTCTCAAACAAACAAAAAGCCCCACGTACGTCAGCTCTTTATCCTGGAGCCCTCCCTCCCTTCCCCCTCACCTCACCCCCCAGCGGCCCCAGTGTGTGTTGTTCCCCTCCCTGTGTCCATGTGTTCTCAGTATTCAGCTCCCACTTATAAGTGAGAACATGTGGTGTTTGATTTTCTGTTCTGTGTTAGTTTGCTGAGGACAACGGCTTCCAGCTCCATCCATGTCCCTGCAAAGGACATGATCCCGTTCCTTTTTGTGGCTGCATAATATTCCATGCTGTGTATGTACAACATTTTTGTCTTTTGAGACAGAGTCTTGCTCTTGTCACCCAGGCTGGAGTGCAATGGCGGGATCTCAGCTCACTGCAACTTCCACCTCCCGGGTTCAAGCAATTCTCCTGCCTCAGCCTCCCGAGTAGCTGGGACTACAGGTGCCCACCACCACACTCAGCTAATTTTTTGTATTTTCAGTAGAAACAGGGTTTCACCGTGTTAGCCAGGATGGTCTCGATTTCCTGACCTCGCGATCCACCCTCCTCAGCCTCCCAAAGTGCTGGGATTACAGGCGTGAGCCACCGCGCCCAGCCAGGATGTATCATTTTAAATCTTAGTTTGTGGAACAGTTTTCTAACTAAGCATGTCACAAAACCTAGAGAATCAAGAAAGGAACATGTTGATGAGTTTTGTGTGCCAGACATAAAAATCTAAATGATAGTCTAGGAGAAAATATTTGCAACACTTGTAACAGACCAGAATTAACAAGCCTGCGTAAAAAGTGTCTTTCATCCCAAAGAAATACGCAAGTGATTTAATTAGGAAATAAACAGACTGGGTGCAGTGGCACACACCTGTAATCCCAGCACTTTAGGAGGCCAAGATAGGAGGATCACCTGAGCCCAGGAATTGGAGACCAGCCTGGGCAACACAGCAAGAACTCATCTTTAAAATTTTTTTTTAAATTAGCTGAGTGTGGTGGTGCTTCCATGTAGTCCCAGCTACTTGGGAGGCTGAGGTGGGAAGACTGCTTGAATTTGGGAGATCAAGGCTGCAGTGAGCTATGATAGCACCACTGGACTCCAGCCCGGGCGACAGAGCCAGCAGGCCCTGTCTCAAAAAAGAAAAAAAAAAAAAAAAGAAAAGAAAAGAAACAAAAAGTATGAATAGGCATTTTACATATGAGGGAATAAAAATGTCTCATAATTCTAGGGACCGGTACACACACATATGCTGGAATGCACACACACATCCAAGTGTGTGTACAGAAATTAATATGTAGGCTGGGTACGGTGGCTAATGCCTGTAATCCCAGCACTTTGGGAGGCTGAGGAAGGCGGATCACCTGAGGTCAGGAGTTCGAGACCAGCCTGACCAACATGGCGAAATCCCGTCTTTCCTAAAAATACAAAATTAGCTGGGCGTGGTGGGTGCATGCCTGTAATCCCAGCTAAATCCCAGCTACTCGGGAGGCTGAGGCAGGAGAATCACTTGAATCCGGGAGGTGGAGGTTGCAGTGAGCCGAGAACACGCCATTGCACTCTATCCTGGGCGGCAAGAGTGAAACTCCGTGTCAAAAAAAAAGAAAGAAAGAAACATGTTCATAAGGCACTTTATTGAAAGATAGTGTGTAAAAGTAGCAAAACTCAGAAATAATCTAAATGTCCATCAATAGTATATAATTTTTTTTTTTTTGAGATGGAGTCTCGCTCTGTTGCCCAGGCTGGAGTGCAGTGGCACAATCTTGGCTCACTGCAACCTCTGCCCCCCAGGTTCATTGCCTGCCTCATCTTCCTGAGTAGCTGGGATCACAGGTGCCTGCCACCATGCCTGGCTAATTTTTATTTTTTATTTTGGTATTTTTAGTAGAGACGGGGTTTCACCATGTTGACCAGGCTGGCCTTGAACTCCTGACCTCAGGTGATCCTCCCGCCTCGGCCTCTCAAAGTGCTGGGATTTCAGGTGTGAGCCACCGCGTCCGGCTAAGCATGTAAATTAAATTACTCTGGAGTTGTTAAAATGCACTGATTTTTAAAAAATTATTATTTTTATATCTTTTTTGTTTTCCTTCATAAAAATGCAATGACTTAGCAAGCTGTCGGTCATAGGAAGTTAAGCGAAAAAAAAAAAAAGCTAAGCCAGCCTCAGAGCAGTCTGTGTTGAGTGAGTCCAGTTTTAAAAACAAATGGCAAGTGTTGGTATGAAATAGTGCCGATCTCCATTACAGAAGACGGTCTTGGGCACATGTGCGGGAGCCCTACGGTCTGGCTGAAAATGCTGCCCAGTTCTGGCCGTACCACTTTCTAGCTGTGGACTCAAGGGAGTTGTTTACCTTCTGTCAGTCCATGTTTATTCATCTGCACAATCAATGCGTAGAACCATAGCCCTTACCTCACAGCGTTTCCGGGAGGATCAGATGACACAATCCGAGGAAATGAACCATTATTGCTACTTACTGTCACTGCTTTCTTCTGAGGCCAACGTTTGGGCACGCCTAGAAGTTTGAAGGATTTGCCTCAGCTGTGAACAAATGGTGGCTACAGGTGCTGAGAATGGGTCTGAAGAAGGGCGTGGAGGGATCTTCCCTCCCCTCCCCTCCCCACCCCTCCCCTTCTCTTTCTCTCTCCCTCCCTCCCTCTCTTCTTTTTCTTTCTCTCTCTCCCCTCCCTCCCTCCCTCTCTCTCTCTTTCTTTTTTTCTCTCTCTCCCCTCCCCCCCTTCTCTCTTTTCTTTCTTTCTCTTTTTTGACAGAGTCTCACTTTGTCGCCCAGTCTGGAGTGCAGTGGTGTGATCTCAGCTCACTGCAACCTCTGCCTCCCAGATTCACGCCATTCTCCTGCCTCAGCCTCCTGAGTAGCTGGGATTACAGGCGTGCGCCACCACGCCCGGCTAATTTTTGTATATTTAGTGGAGACGGCGTTTCACCGTGTTAGCCAGGATGGTCTCCATCTCCTGACCTCGTGATCCGCCCGCCTCGGCCTCCCAAAGTGCTGGGATTACAGGCATGAGCCACCGTGCCCGGCCGCATGTGGGTTTTTCAATGGCTATTATTTAAGCATCTTCCATGTCCTTTGTGTGTGTGTGTGTGGTGTGTGTGTTTTGTGTTTTTTTTGTTTTTGACAAGAGTCTCGCTCTGTTGCCCAGGCTGGAGTGCAGTGGCGTGATCTCAGCTCACTACAACCTCCACCTCCCAGGTTCAAACGATTCTCCTGCCTCAGCCTCCTGGGTAGGTGGGACTACAGGTGCATGCCACCACACCCAGCTAATGTTTCTATTTTTAGTGGAAACGGGGTTTCACCATGTTGGCCAGGCTGGTCTCGAACTTCTGACCTCAGGTGATCCGCCCACCTCAGTCTTCCAAAGTGCTGGGATTACAGGCATGAGCCACAGTGCCCAGCCAAGGATGACTTTTGAATGCTGTATGATTTTATGTAACTTCTTCTTCTTCTTCTTTTTTTTTGAGACGGAGTTTCACTCTTGTTGCCCAGGCTGGAGTGTAATGGCACGACCTCAGCTCACTGCAACCTCCGCCTCCCAGGTTCAAGTGATTCTCCTGCCTCAGCCTCCCGAGTAGCTGGGATTACAAGCATGGGCCACCACACCCGGCTAATTTTTTTGTATTTTTAGTAGAAACGGGGTTTCTCCATGTTGGTCAGGCTACTCTTGAACTCCCGACCTGAGGTGATCTGCCAGCCTCGGCCTCCCAAAGCATTGGGATTACAGGCGTGAGCCACTGTGCCCGGCCTATTTTATGTAACTTCTATAGTTATTATATTTTGTTTTGGGGACCAGGAAAAGAAATTGTAAACCTTTTTGGCTTATTTCCCATGTCTTTTTTTCTGTGCATTAAAACAAAACAAAACAAATAAAACAAGGCTGGGCGTGGTGGCTCACGCCTGTAATCCCAGCACTTTGGGAGGCTGAGGCGGGCGGATCATGAGGTCAGGAGATCGAGACCGTCCTGGCTAACACGGTGAAACCCTGTCTCTACTGAAAATACAAAAAATTAGCCGGGCGTGGTGGTGGGCGCCTGTAGTCCCAGCTACTCGGGAGACTGAGGCAGGAGAATGGCCTGAACCCGGGAGGCGGAGCTTGCAGTGAGCTGAGATCGCGCCACTGCACTCCAGCCTGGGCGACAGAGCGAGACTCCGTCTCAAAAAACAAAACAAAACAAAACAAAAAACCCATTGCTAATAATGTGTACGATTTTGCATGTAAGTTTTTCAGTGACTGTATTATTAGGCTGGTGCAAAAGTAATTGCGATTTTGCCGTTAAAAAGGTGAAAACCACAACTACTTTTGCACCAACCTAATATTTAAGCATCTTCCATGTCCTTAAATACAAATCGTAATGGATAAATACAAGGTGGTCTGTCTGGAAAAAGGAATATTACTCAGCCATGAAAAGGAACGAAGCTCTGACATAGGCTAGCACCTGGATGAACCCTGAGGACATCACGGCCAGGGAGAGGTGCCAGACATAAAAGGCCACACAATACATGATCCCATTTATGTGAACTGCGAAGGACAGGCTAATCCACCGAGACAGTAAAGGGATTCACGGTGGCCTGCGGCTGGGGAGGGGTGGAGAGTGACTGCTGATGGGGATGGGATGTCTTTGGGGTGATGACAGTATTCTGGAACTACACAGAGGTGATGGTTACACAACTCCTACATTTTACATTTTATTTAATTAATTAATTAATTTATTTATTTCTGAGACGGGGTCTTGCTCTTGTTGCCCAGGCTGGAGTGCAGTGGTGCGATCTCGGCTCACTGCAACCTCCACCTCCCAGGTTCAAGCGATTCTCCTGCCTCAACCTCCTGAGTAGCTGGGATTACAGGTGCCCGCCATCACTCCCGGCTAATTTTTGTATTTTTAATAGAGACGGGCTTTCACCATGTTGGCCAGGCTGGTCTCAAGCTCCTGACATCAGGTGATCCACCTGCCTCAGCCTCCCAAAGTGCTGGGATAGCTGTCACGAGCCACTGCGCCCAGCCGCCAAAACACTTTCAGGGAAGGTTGTACCCGCGTAGAGGTCCTTTGGCAGCATGTGACAGCTTGTATCCTCCTGTGTTGCTGCCAGCATAGAGCCCAAAAGCTCTTCTTAATCTTTCTTTGTTTTGTTTTGTTTTGAGACAGAGTCTCACTCTTGTTTCCCAGGCTAGAGTGCAGTGGTGCGATCTCGGCTCACTGCAACCTCTGCCTTCTGGGTTCAAGCAACTCTCCTGCCTCAGCCTCCCAAGCAGCTGGGATTACAGGCACCCGCCACCATACTCAGCTAATTTTTATATTTTTAGTAGAGACAGGGTTTCACTGTGTTGCCCAGGCTGGTGTTGAACTCCTGACCTCAGATGATCCGCCCACCTCAGCCTCCCAAAGTGCTGGGATTACAGGTGTGAACCATTGAGCCCAGCCTTCCTCCTAGATTTTCTTTTCTTTTCTTTTTTTTTGAGACACAGTCTCACTCTGTTGCCCAGGCTGGAGTGCAGTGGCGCAATCTCGGCTCACTGCAACCTCCGCCTCCTGGGTTCAAGTGATTCTCCCGCCTCAGCCTCCCGAGTAGCTGGGACTACAGGAGCCCACCACCACGCCCAGCTAATTTTTTTTTTTGTATTTTTAGTAGAGACAAGGTTTCACCATGTTGGCCAGGCTGGTCTCGAACACCTGACCTCATGATCCGCCCTCCTCAGCCTTCCAAAGTGCTGGGATTGCAGGTGTGAGCCACCGCGCCCGGCCTTTTTTTTTTTTTTGAGATGGAGTCTTGATCTGTTGCCCAGGCTGGAGTGCAGTGGCGTGATCTTGGTTCACTGCAGCCTTTGCCTCTTGGGTTCAAGCAATTCTCCTGCCTCATCCTCTTGAGGAGCTGGGATTATAATCACTTGCCATCACGGCCAGCTAATTTTTATAGTTTTAGCAGAGACGTGGTTTCACCGTGTTGACCAGGCTGGTCTCGAACTCCTGACCTCAGGTGACCCGCCCGCCTCGGGCTTCCAAAGTGCTGGGATTCCAGGCCTGAGCCACCGCGCCCGGCCCCTCCTAGATGTTCTAAGTACAAATCCGAAAGCCCACTGGGCCTGAACGTCCCTGGTTTGTGGTGCTGCCTCCAGGGGTCCCCTCCTGTTACCTCTTCCCTGGGCCGGTGAAGGGAGGGTGGACGGGATGGTGTGGGGCCGCGGGTCCCCATGCCTGGAGCCAAGCCTGGGGCATCTGCTTGCATGCTAGGAGCTCCCTCCCCAGCAAGGCCCGGGCCAGAGAGAGAAGGAACAGCCCAGAGCCAGGAGAAAAGGGAGAGTGAGGCTTTTTATTGTGTATGAATTCACGTGGTATCGACAACTCCACACAATATTAAAACACTGCGAGAAAGTGGGTGCGGCACACCTGGAATTTTAAAAAAGTCAGAAATAAAAACAACCAGACATCCCAATGCAGATGGCATAGAACCTGCTAGAACCACAGGCGGCGGCTGGAAACAGGAGACAGGTCTTTACGAAGGTTAGATGGGCAGCGGTTCCGTGGACAGAGGAGGAGGCGCGGCTGGCCGGCATATGGCTTCTGTGCAGAGGGCCTGGCCTCAGGCCGTGGACTTTTTAATAAGTGACCCCTTGAGGAAGGGCGTGGTGGCTCCACCTCCACCCGGAAGCCCCCCCGGGTCACTCACGGGCGGACAGGTGTGTGACGGCCCTCTCCTACCTGCCCCAGAACTTGGGCAGGACGGGCTGTTAACTTGGAGATGGATGCGTGGCCTGGAGGCCTAGCGTTGCGCCTCGGACACGGTGGCCGGCCCGTCAAAGGGACCACGCAGAAGGAGGGAAACAGGAGCACCTTCCGCCCTGGCCCAGCCGCCCCGTTTATGTCCCCAGAGGCCAGAGGTCGCAGCTGAGCTATCTGTGCTTGGCCTGGGGTTACCCCTGGGGAGGGTGGGAGAGGGGTGAGGGTTCTGGCTCCTTCCTGGAGAGAGGAGGGCAGGGGAGGCGGAGCTGGTCCGGGAAGGTGCCCAGGTGGGTCACAACAGGGTCGGGGCCTGGCCCGCTGTGGCCCTTCACCTGGCTACTGGTGTCTCGCTCAGCAGCGGGGAAGGCCCGTGGGAGACCCAGGCTACAGAAGGAGAAACGGCCTTCTCTCTCCCACCCGACGCTGCCTTGTGTGTGTGCGTGGGTGGGGGTGAGTGTCCTTAACTCTCTTTTCCCCTGGCGTAGCTGAGAGAGGCTTGTCCCCCCAAGGCTAGAGCTGCTGCTGCCACCCCCGCCCGCCAGCTCCCCGTCTGGAGGTGCACGCGCGCTCCTGGAAACGCCCATAAAACATGCGTTCACCCCAGGGATTCCCGGCAGAAAAGCACATGTGGCGGTCGGTGTGTGCACTCGGGTGCCACGTCTGCAAAGGTATTTTCCACAGTGTGGTCACTGAAGTCTACTCAAGAAAAAAAAAAGTGGAGAATTTTTTTTTTAATCCCCCAAGCTAGAAAGAAACCCACAGGCTTCTGGCAATGGCCACCTCCCTGGGGTCCGGGAGATGGTGGGGTCTGGACAGCTCAGGGAACCCAAGGCCCTGTGGACAGTGAAGGAGAGGCCAGCCTGTCCTTCCCCTCCCCGAGCCTCAGTTTACCTGGAACGCTCAGCCCGTTTAACCCCACCATCTGCACCAGCCTAGGAGCCCCGGCTGCCTGGGGCTGCGTCTCTGCAGCAGCCTCCGTTCCCTGCTGGCATTTCTGGGGTCACATTGTGAGGACACACCAGTGGGGCCGGGCTTGGCACAGCTGTGCCCCCTCCTCCCTCTGCCCTGGCAGCGGGGGCTCGGGGATTAAGGCCTCTTTTAAGGAAAAACGGGGTGGGGTGTGTTTGTTCCCAGTTACCAAGATGGCTTGTTGGAAAGGGTGGAGGCAGGCGGGCTCTCCCTGCCTGGGGTCCTCCCAGGGTCTCTGGAACAGGCTTTTGTCCCTTCCTGCCATTCCTGCTATGCGTGGTGGGGACGCCCACACCCCAAACCCTGCCGGCTCCCAGCCCAACCACAGGAGGCTGCAGTCTCCGGGAGCCTCTGGGGCTCTCCCGGGCCAACAGCAGGTTTGGCGGGTAGGGCTCCCCGAAGCCCCAGCCCTCCCGGACCTGCCGTAGAGAGCTGGGTGCCGGGGGTGGGGAGCCCGGCTGTGGCCTGTGGGAGCTGCCCGAGGTTGAGGAGTGGAGGTCACTCCCCCGACACCTGCACACACACCCGGAGCCCTCTAGCCTTGGCGAGGTGGGAACCCTGGCAGTCACCAGCTCAGGAAGTGAGCCAAGCAGGGATCCCCGCCTCACGGGCCTGCACGGAGGACCTGGGCGGCCGTCCAGGAACCCTCTCGGCACGGGTTCTTAGACGCCTGTCTCCACTGGGGCCGGAGGGACAGGACTAGGCTAGTTTTATTCTACTACTTGCTTCTAGGCCAGCCCCGTGGAGGGGGTCGGGGCGGCCAGGCCTCCTGCGATCAGGGCTGCGTGGGGTCCATCTCAGGTGTGGCCGCAGGTGATGCCGGCAGGCCCTGGAAGATGTGGCTGCACCTGCTCCCGTCCGTGCCGCAGAGGAGGACGCAGTCATCTTTCAGAAGCCTCCCCCCGACCCCATGACATCTTCGATTTCCACTTGCCGCTGGGAGGAGTGGCCCATCCTGCGTCTAAGGCATCTCCCGGCCTCAGACAGCCGTCCTGGGTTGCACGGGGGTGGAAAAGCAAAAAGATCGGGTTCGAGCGACAGGGTAACGTTTTGAGCGGACGTTTTGATCTCCGGGACAACGTCTCACCTCCCAGAGTCCTTCAGAGTCACTCCAAGATCATGGAACAATTTTGTACACACAGCAGCACAGGGTAGCCCCACCCGCCCTGCCGCGGCTCCCCAGCCTGCATTTTCTGTTTGAAAAACGTCTATGGTGGATGCCAGAGGGTAGGACAACCTGGAAGAGCCAAGGATGGTCAAAGCCTCTCCCAGCCACGCGGATGCCTCATGCTTAAAACACACTGGGCGCGGTGGCTCATGCCTGTAATCCCAGCACTTTGGGAGGCCGAGGTGGGCGGATCCCGAGGTCAGGAGTTTGAGAGCGGCCTGGCCAATACGGTGAAACCCCGTCTCTACTAAAAATACAACAATTAGCCGGGCGTAGTGGCACACGCCTGTAGTCTCAGCTACTCGGGAGGCTGAGGCAGGAGAATCGCTTGAACCGGGGAGGCAGAGGTTGCGGTGAGCTGAAATCATGCAGCTGCACTCCAGCCTGGGTAACAAGAATGAAACTCCATCTCAAAAAAAGAAAAAAAAAAAAAATCCAAAAACATGATGGGCCGGGCCGGTGACGGCTTCCCTGGGGCAAGTCCCGAAAACCCATTTCTGGCACAGAGGGGACCCTGCAGAAAGGACCCATGGCTAACATCATGCAGGGGAGTCACACTTGGCAACTTTTCATAGACGAAGCCCCCTCCAGACCCCCACACTCCATCGTGCATTCATTGCAGGATCGTGCAGTTTAGCGACGGGTTCAACCATCACAATCCGAGTTTAGCCGTATGGAGTAACAATTTTTTAAATAAAGAGATATTTCCAAAAAACTTCATGATGTCACCTCCCGCCCCCCATCTCAATTTTACCTCTACTTAAAAACAACACAAAGCATTCCAGTGACCCTATGAAGTCTTTTTACCAATGGCCAATTCTCCCGGAACTATTGCCACCGGGCGAAGTCACCTCCCTTTCCCCCTCGGCGCCGGTCCACAATTGAAACGGCAATCGAGAGTTTTAAAAAATTGTTACCCCATCGCTGGGGGATTTCAGTTATTCCGAACGGGAAGTGGCCGTAAAGCCTCCATCCCTTTTGGCCCAAACTGAGAGGGCCATGGGGTCGGACCTGAAAATTCATCTCCACCTACAAGGTCCATTCTACCCCATCCGGGCGGTGGGAACGCCTTTTTTGGCGGGGAGAGGGGGGATTTCTTTTGGAATTAAAGGTTTTGGGGACTTGAGATGTTTTGTTTGAGCTAATTACTGAATGATGCCCTGCCTGAGACAGAGACAGAGACAGAGAGAGAGAGAGAGAAAGAGAGAGAGAGAGAGAGAACATATGAGAACACAGTTATAAAATAATACAAGGTTTCTTGTCCTTAAAGGGGTTCTCCGAGGCAGGGACTCCGACCAGCAGGGGGTCGTTCCGGGCATGTTGCTCACAGTAGCTCATGAGGTCAGACGCCGCTTTGGAGACCTGTGTTTGAGCACAAGGAGGAGACAGAGGAGACATAAGAAGAGGCTGGCACACCCGGGTTCACAGCAGCACCATTCCCAAGAGCCACAGGCGGAAACAGCTCAGGAGCCCATTGATGGGGGCGTGGGCAAACAGTGCGGCCCGTCCACACGCTGGAATATTACTCAGCCATGAAAAGGAGTGAGGCTCTGACATAGGCCACAACGTGGATGCATCTCAAGGGCCTCATGCTCAGTGAGAGATGCCAGACACAGAAGGCCACACAGTGTGTGATCCCATTTCTTTCTTTTTTTTTTTTGAGACAGAGACTCTATTTGTCGCCCAGGCTCTAGTGCAGTGGCACGATCTCGGCTCACTGCAACCTCCACCTCGCGGGTTCAAGTGATTCTCCTGCCTCAGCCTCCCGAGTAGCTGGGATTACCTTCATGCACCACCACACCCAGCTAATTTTTGTATTTTTAGTAGAGACAGGGTTTCACCATGTTGATCAGGCTGGTCTCGAACTCCTGACCTCGCGATATGCCTGCCTCAGCCTCCCACAGTGCTGGGATTACAGGTGTGAGCCACTGCGCCCGGCCGTGTGATCCCATTTCTATGAAATGTCCAGGACAGGCCTATCCACAGAGACAGGAAGGGGATGCGTGGGTGCCGGTGCTGGGGAGTGATGGCTGATGGGGGACAGGGTTTCCTTTTGGGGTGATGGAATGTCCTGGAATAAACGTGATTGGATGCACAGCATTGTGACTATATTAAATATCACTAGTGGTAAACTTTATATGTGTCTTGGCCAGGTGCGGTGGCTCACACCTGTAATCCCAACATGTTGGGAGGCGGAGGCGGGAGGATCACTTGAGCCCAGGAGTTTGAGACCAGCCTAGGCAACACAGTGAGGCCCTATCTCTACAAAAAATACAAAAATGAGCCAGGCATAGTGATGTGGGCATCTGTAGTCCCAGCTAACTGGGGGGCTGAGGCTGGAGGATTGCTTGAGCCTGGGAGGTTAAGGCTGCAGTGAGTCAAGATTACACCATTGCACTCCAGCCTGGGGGATGGAGCAAGACCCTGTCTCAATTAAGATAAATAAACAAATAAATAAATTTATGTGTGTCTTTTCCCAAAATTAAAAAAAGAAAAATGCAGTGGTGTGATCACTGCAATCTCTTGCTCCCCGGGTTCAAGCAATTCTCCTGCCTCAGCCTCCTGAGTAGCTGGGACTACAGGTGCCTGCCACCACGCCCAGCTAATTTTTGTATTTTTAGTAGAGACGGGTTTCAGCATGTTGGCCAGGCTGGTCTCAAACTCCTAACTTCAAGTGATCCACCTGCCTTAGCCTCCCAAAGTGCTGGGATTACAGGCGTGAGCCACGGCACCTGGCCTAAAAAATATTTTTTTAAAAAAGAAAAGGCTGAGCTTCCTTCAGCAAGCGTTGCCAGATTTTGAACACAAAGGGTCAGGGACAGATGGACCCCGTTTTCGGAGTCCAAGACCTCATTCTCACCCCAAGGAAGGAAGGTCCTGATAGGAAAACGCTGCCTGCACATTTGATGAGCTTGAGGGAGGTTTCACGGTGACACCCGGCCAGGGGGCTGGGCCCGGTGAGGACGAGATAAGCCCGTCTCCATGTTTCTCTTGCAGCCTGAACCCCCTGATGACTCCAACCCTCTGAGGGGCTGATGCTTCCGGTCACAGGAGGGACCCCCTGCCCCGGGCTGCTGCCAGCCCGCCCCAGGCTACACGCCCGTCTCTCCTGGCCATGCCTTTGGGGGTGCCGCTGCCACTCCCCGCTTAGCTCACCCCAGCAGGGCTGGGGCTGGGGTGTCCGGTGTCCTGGGTCAGGCTACACGGGGACACGTCCATCTGGCCCTGGATCTCATCCCGTAACCGGTAACTGTGTCTCTGTGGGACTCAGCGACCTTTCTCTCCTTGCTTTCTTTCCTGGAAGGCGAGAGGGCGATCACAGGGGGAGGATTAGATGTGGCAGAGGTGAGGGGATGATCCGAGAAGGATCGCAGTGTCGCTTCACGGAGGTGCCTTTGTTATCTGTTTTTGAGACAGGGTCTCGCTCTGTCCCCCAGGCTGGAATGCAGTGGTGCTATCATAGCTCAATGCAGCCTCCACCTCCTGGGCTCAAGTGATTCTCCCGCCTCAGCTGGGAGTACCTGAGTAGCTGGGACTACGGGAGTGAGCCACTACACCTGGCCATAATTTTCATTTTTATTATTTATTTATTTTTTTGAGACAGAGTCTCACTCTGTCAGCCAGGCTGGAGTGCAGTGGCGTGATCTCGGCTCACTGCAACCTCCGCCCCCTGGGTCCAAGCAATTCTCCCACCTCAGCCTCCCAAGTGGCTGGGACTCCAGGCGCACGCCACCACGCCAGGGTAATTTTTGTATTTTTAGTAGAGACGGGGTTTCACCATGTTGGCCAGGCTGGTCTCAATCTCCTGACCTCAGGTGGCCCGCCCACCTCAGCCTGCCAAAGTGCTGGGATTACAGGCATGAGCCACCGTGCCTGGCCTGGCCATAATTTTTAGAATAATTTTCTGGTACAGATGAGGTCTCACTATGTTGCTCAGGCTGGTCTCGAACTCCTAGGCTCAGGCGACCCTCCCGCCTAGACCTCTGAAAGTGCTGGGGTTACAGGCATGAGCCGCCTCGCCTGGCCAGTACCTCTGCATCCCAGATCCTCTGTCCTCCTTTGGACCCCAAGGATACCTGGGACCTGGGCCCTTCAAACGGCCAGGAGCCTGTGGGACAGCTTTGGGGTCTTGCCCAGCTGGGCAGCCGGGGGACGCTCATGCCCACAGAGTGAGCCCGCCGGCTGCGGCCTGTGATGACTCGGACCTGGCCTGCTTTCTAGACTTCTATTTGGGAAGCGGCCCTCCTGGACGACAGAAATAGCCTCCAGACCCCGAAAATAGCTGGCATTGTGGCTCCAGCACGTGGCACCTTGGCACCACCCCCCATGCCCACTGCGCTGGGCTGGTGAGCCCCAAGATCGTCGCCGTTGAGGTTCTGTGGTTCTGGTCGCCGCGTTGGAGCTGGGGATGTAAAACCTCAGGCGGGACTGGGAGTGGGGACGGGTCAAATCCTGGCTCCCCCCGAGGCCCGACATTCAAAGGGGCGGTGGGGGCCCCTCCTCAACATCAAACAGGGCAGGATGAGTCACCGCCCTCCGCCCGGGCTGGGGGCTGGCACCCACTCGTAAAAGGAAAACCACTTCAACCAGGGCTTTCTCTCTTTTCAGCCCGAAGGAATGCTTTGAATGCTCAGGTCTGTCCTCAGCAGTCAGATTGCTGGAACATTCAGACACCTCGTGGGAGGCAGACCCCTCCCCTACTGGTTGGATCCCGGCCAGCAGCAGCGTGATGGGGTCTGGGAGGGCTCAGAGCTGCGCTGGAGGGAGACTCACCGGCCGATCAGAACCACCTGTGCCACCTGGCCAGCAGGGACGACTCTGTCCGCCTCCCCGCTGGGAGCAAAGCAAGGGCCGGTCACCCCTTCCTAATAAATTCCCGTGGCCAATAATGACAAGCTGGTGACAGGTGCTGGAGAGCTGAGTTCTGAGTGGATACGTGGGGTGATGGCTGATTTTATGGGTGCACTAGGGCGGGCCATGGTGCCCCAGGGTTTGGTTAAATGTTTTTTTGTTTTTGTTTTTTTTCTGAGATGGAGTCTCACCCTGTCGCTTGGGGTTGGAGGGCAGTGGCGCAATCTCAGCTCACTGCAACCTCTGCCTCTCGGGTTCAAGCTATTCTCCTGACTCAGTCTCCCAAGTAGCTGGGACTATAGGAGCCTGCCACCACGCCTGGCTAATTTTTTTGTAATTTTAGTAGAGATGGGGTTTCACCATATTGGCCAGGCTGGTCTCGAACTCCTGACCTTGTGATCCGCCCACCTCAGCCTCCCAAAGTGCTGCGATTCCAGGCGTGAGTCACCGTGCCTGGCCAGTTAAATGTTTTTTTAGATGTTGCTGTGAAGGTTGTTTTTTTCTTGTTTCTTTTTTTTTTTTTTTTTTTTTTGAGATAGAGTCTCGCTCTGTTCCCCAGGCTGGAGTGCAATGGTGCGATCTCGGCTCACTGCAACCTCCACCTCCCAGGTTCAAGTGATTCTCCTGCCTCAGCCTCCCAAATAGCTGGGATTACAGGCATGCACCACCATACCCGGGTAATCTTTTTTTTGTATTTTTAGGAGAGACGGGGTTTCACCATGTTGGCCAGGCTGGTCTCGAACCCCTGACCTCAGGTGATCTGCCCACCTCAGCTTCCCAAAGTGCTGGAATTATAAGTGTGAGTCACCGCGCTCAGCCTGTTTTTTATTTTGTAGAGATGGGGTCTTGCTATGTTGTTGCCCAGGCTGGAATTGAACGCCTGACCTCAAGTGATCCTCCTGCCTCGGCCTCCCAATGTGCTGGGATTACAGCTGTGAGCCACTGTGCCTCACATGCAAAATTTTTTTTTTTTTTTTGATGTGATTCACATTTAAATCCGTAGACTTCAAGCACAGCAGGTGACCGTCTGTAATGCAGATGGGCCTCATCTAATCAGTTGAAGGGCTTAAGAGAAAAAGCCTGGGGTCCTTCCAGGAGGAGGGAACTCTGCCTCCAGGTGGCCTTGGGGTTCCAGCTGCAGCACCAACTCTTCCCTGGGTCTCCAGCCTGCTGGCCTACACTGCAGATTTCAGAGCTTGCCTTAAAATAAATCTCGACAAGGCGCAGCCTCAAGTGTGATCCTTGTAAAAAACTTCAAACGGGCCAGGCATGGTGGCTCACGCCTGGAATCCCAGGACTTTGGGAGGCCGAGGCAGGCGGATCACCTGAAGTTAGGAGTTCAAGACCAGCCTGGGCAACATGGCGAAACGCCGTCTCTACTAAAAATACAAAAAATTAGCCAGGCATGGTGGTGCATGCCTGTAATCCCAGCTATTTGGGAGGTTGAGGCAGAAGAATTGCTTGAACCCGGGAGGCAGAGGTTGCAGTGAGCCGAGATCGCGCCACTGCACTCCAGCCTGGGTGACAGAGCAAGACTCCGTCTCAAACAAACAAAACAAACAAATCCTTCAAACAACACAGAAGTGAAAAGTAGATACGACATGCAGTCTCCTCCCGCCTGGGACTGTGTCTCTCAGTTTAATTTGCATCTGTCATTGCCAAGGAGCTGGACAGATCAATGCAGATGAGGACGACAAAGCGCTCTGTCACGATGACCGTCTCCACGGGGCCCCAGTGTGTTTACAAAGCACGTTACATTGCTGCACGAAGGCAGGAGATAGGTGTTAGATCAGCTGCCTCTTTCTGCCGAGGAAATGGAGGCTCAGAGAGGTTAAGGGAGGGCCTCAAGGTCACACAGCAAGAGACACAGTTGGGGTGCAAGCCTCTGCCCTCCTGCCGAGCCTCCTGTTCATCATTTGCGGGGCCCCCAAGGGTCTCTCCCCTCCTCTTCCTGATGCCCGCTGGGCTCACCTTGATGCGCTCAATCCCGGCTTCTATGCGTAGCTGTTCCACCAGCTTCCGGGCCTGGGCTATGTTGTTAGTGGCTGACATTGTCTGCCATCAGCTCTGGGCCCCGTTGTTCAGAGAGCTGTGGGGGAAGCAGAGGGGTGTGGGTCAAAGTTCAGGTCAGGCCTCTGGGTGGCAGCAGGGGCGCCCGGCCTTGGCTCAACCTTCCCGACTCTAGGCACGGCCACTTTGCCTCTGGGTGGGGACCAGGGGCCTCCGTGTACAAAGAGCTGGCACTCGTTTAACTCTCAGCATAGAGCCTGGCACGCGGTCAGCCGTCACAATCCTCTGTGGGAGTTTGCAGAACGAGAGAATGAAAGGGCGAAGGCAGGCTGGGCGTGGTGGCTCACGCCTGTAATCCCAGCACTTTGGGAGGCTGAGGCAGGTGGATCATGAGGTCAGGAGATCGAGACCATCCTGGCTAACACGGTGAAACCTCATCGTTACTAAAAAAAAAAAAAAAAATACAAAAATTAGCCAGGCATGGTGGTGGGTGCCTATAGTCCCAGCTACTCTGGAGGCTGAGGCAGGAGAATGACGTGAACCCGGGAGGTGGAGCTTGCAGTGAGCCGAGATGGTGCCCCTGCACTCCAGCCTGGACGACAGAGCAAGACTCCGTCTCAAAAAAAAAAATAAAGAAAAAATAAAGAAAGGGCAAAGGCAATAGGCCAGGCCCTCTGGAGAAGGGAGGACCCACGCAGGCTCCCGGGTGGCCTGCCTCAGTCCATGGCAGGGGTTCTTGCCCTCCAGGGGACACTGGGTGATATCTGGGGACATCTGTGGCTGTGGGGGGTGCTCCTGGCATGGAGTGGGTTGGGTGGAGGCCAGGGACATTGCTCAGCTCCCTGCAGTGCCCCGGACGGCCCCACGCCAGGGAAGGATCCGAACGCGATATCCATAGTACCCAGGGGAGACCCTGGGTCAGGGCAGGGATCACAGCAGAACCCCTGGTGACTGTCCCCCTCCGTGTTTTTTTTTTTTTTTTTTTGAGACAGAGTCTTGCTCTGTTGCCCAGGCTGGAGTGCAGTGGTGTGATCTCGGCTCACTGCAACCTCTGCCTCCCGGGTTCAAGCGATTCTCCTGCCTCAGCCTCCCGAGTAGCTGGGATTACAGGCACGTGCCACCACACCCGGCTAATTTTTGTATTTTTAGTACAGACAGCGTTTCACCATGTTGGCCAGGCTGGTCTTGAACTCCTGACCTCAGGTGATCCACCCTCCTCGGCCTCTCAAAGTGCTGGGATGACAGGTGTGAGCCCGGCCTCTCCTCCGTGTCCTTCATATTGAACCAGTCAGGAGCCCATGCTGTTGCTTCTTGAATTCTCCTGGAAAAACCCAGGACCTCAACAGGGCAGACGATCACAGGACGCAGAGTCTCTTGGGAGTCCGTGGAATCCCCAGATCTCATCTGGGGATGACTCTGCCCTCCATGGAGCACTGGGTGATGTCTGGGACATTTGTGGCTGTCATGACTTGGGGGTGCTCCTGGCAGGGAGTGGGTGGAGGCCACGGATGCTGCTCAGCACCCTGCAGTGCCCAGGACGGCCCCGCTCCAGGGAACGATCCAGCCCCACGTGTCAGTAGTGTCCAGCCTAGAGAAACCTGCTTCGTAGGACCCAGTGAGGGGGTTGGTGCTGATGGGGGTGGCAGGGGCAGGGGCCAGGTTCAAGAGTCCTGGGCAGCCGCAGTCCCAGCCGGGCGTCTGTGAGCAGTTAATTAAGCCGCACCCTGTCTCTGTCATAACTCATGGCATCGCTGTCTGTTTTGCAGAGCCAGGCAGCCGCAGAGAAGTCAAGGCAGATTCCAGAGTTCTCAAAAAATGCCTACTTAGTGATAAGAAGGAAAGGACTGGCCGGGCGCGGTGGCTCACGCCTGTAATCCCAGCACTTTGGGAGGCCGAGGCGGGCGGGTCACAAGGTCAGGAGATCAAGACCATCCTGGCTAACACGGTGAAACCCCGTCTCCCGGGCGTGGTGGCGGGTGCCTGTAGTCCCAGCTACTCGGGAGGCTGAGGCAGGAGAATGGGGTGAACCCGGAAGGCGGAGCTTGCAGTGAGCAGAGATCACGCCACTGCACTCCAGCCTGGGGGACAGAGTGAGACTCTGTCTCAAAAAAAAAAAAAAAAAAAAAAAAAAAAGAAGGAAAGGACCATCCATGCATACCACACCGCAGGGGAATCTCCAGGGCCTGGGATGTGTAGCATGCTTCTGTTTGTGTAATGTGTTTAAGAGGACTTTTTTTAGACAGAGTCTCGCTCTGTTGCCCAGGCTGGAGTGCAGTGGCATGATCTCAGCTCACTGCAAGCTCCGCTTCTCCAGCTCCAGCGATACTCTCACTTCTGCCTCCTGAGTAGCTGGGATTACAGGTGCATGTGCCACCATGCCTGGCTAATCTTTGTATTTTTGGTAGAGACATGGTTTTACCATGTTGGCCAGGCTGGTCTCAAACTCCTGGCCTCAAGTGATCTGCCTGTCTCGACCTCCCAAAGTGCTGGGATTACAGGCATGAGCCACCATGCCCGGCCCAAGGACGAAATTTTAGAAATGGAGAACAGATTAGCGGCTGCCAGGGATCAGGGAGGGGCAGGGGCTGGGAGGGAGATAGGTCTCTGTATAAAAGGGCAACACAGCCAGGCATGGTGGCTCTTGCCTGTAATACCAGCACTTTGGGAGGCTGAGATGCGAGGATCACTTGAGTCCAGGAGTTTGAGGCCAGCCTAGGCAACATAGCAAGACCCCCTCTCTACAAAAAATTAGAAAATTAGCTGGGCATGGGTAGCGCACTCCTGTGGTCCCAGCTACTTGGGAGGCTGAGGTGGGAGGATCACTTGAGCCTGGGAGGTTGAGGCCAGACTGGGCAATTTAGTGAGACCCCATCTCTGAATAAATAATAAAAGGGCAACACGAATGATCCCTGTTAGTGCCTCAACTACGGTGATGAATCCACAAGCCTACATGAGTGATAAACTCACAGAGAGCCTCACACACTCACACACCAGCGGGCACAATACTGAATACTGTGGAACCTGAGTGAGGCTGGTGGGTGTGTGACTGTCTGGCTGCGATCCTGCCCATAGCTTTACCAAATGTTACCACCAGGGACGGCCGGGGAATGACACACAGAATTCCTCTACATTCTTTGTTAGCACTGGCTGTGACTCCACGGCGATCTCAATAAAAGGGGCAATTAAACAAAAAATCCCTTTGACACCGCCCAGCCTCCTTGGTTTCCAGCAGACGTCCCACCCCCACTTTTTGGGGGCAGAGAAGGCCCAATCTGTCTGCTCTGGAGGCAGAGCCCACGTGTGGCCGCTCAGAGGGCTCTGATTCCAGAGAGCTTCAAAGCAGCCACAAAACATCCAACTCAGGGAAAACCGCCCTTGGTTGGGCTTAAAAATACCTAAATTACTCAGTGCTAAAAATACGTGCACGCAGAGAACAAACGGGCTGGCCGCACCTCCTGTTTTCCTTGGAAGGCCAGGGGGTCCTATTTAGCATCCACAGTCAGGAGTGTCCACCCAGACCCTGGGCCCCTGCTGCCCTGGGCAGCCACCGCCCGCAATTTCCATGTGAGCATCAGGTCCTGAGCCGTGCTGGCTTTTCTGTTTTGGGCGAAATTCCCTGCGAGATGCTGCCTTTGGGCTGGGTAATAACCCAGGCCTGCCAGGAAGGCCAGAGAGGACTGCGCTGTGTGTGTGTGTCTATGTTTATTTGCATGTATGTCAATGATGCACATGTGACTGTACACGTGTGTACACGTGGTGTGCATGTCAGTGTGCACATGTGTATGTGTGTGCACATGTGCATGTATGTGTACCTTGCGTGTGCATGTATGTGTGTATGTGTATACTGGCATTCATGAGTGTGCATATATGCGTGTGTGCACACATATCTGCATGTGTATGTGTACCTGCATATGCATGGGTGTGCACGTCAGCATGCATATGAGTGTGCATCCTTGCATGTGTGTACATGTGCATGTGTCTATATGAGTGCATGTACACATCTACGTGTGTGCGTCTGCATATGAGTGTGTGCATAGGTGCATTTGCATACGTGCATGTGTGTGGACATGCATGCCAGTGTGCACGTGTGTATGTGCACGTGTGTGGACACGGCACTGCATGTGCGTGTGCGCACACGTGTGTGGGCATGCATGTCACTATGGGTGTGTGCATGCGTGTTGGCGTGTGTGTACGTCACTGTAGGTGCGTGGATATGTGCGTGCGTGGGTGTGTACATGTGTCTGCATGTGTACATGCGTGTGCGTGTGTGTGCGCACGGGAGTGCATGTGGATGCTTGGGCTGAGATGCCGAGACTCAGACACAGATTGCATCACCCATGCAGTCGCCTCCCTAAGTCCCCGTCTCGGTGGTGTCACCAGCCGGCACTGACTCAGGAGCAGCCATGCCCCCAGCAGAGGACTAAGCCAACAGCAGCAGAACTGGCCACGCACTGAGTCAGCCAGGAACGCCCCTCCCAACTGCCTCCCTGCAGAGGCGCACGGGTGCCGGGCACCCCGACCTGAATGAGCTTGCCTCGGGGCCCGTGGCCCGGGGAAGCTGTGGGAGGGGCGGGAGCAGGCAGCTCCGGGGGCAGGGCCAGGTGGTCAAAGGTGCACACAGTCCCCACGGCTCCCTCCTGACGGTCGGGCTCTGCCTCGGTGCACAGGCTCCTGCAGGCAGGCAAGGCTCCAGGCCAGGCTCTCCAAAAATAAAACTGAAGAGGGACGCCGCCCGGCCCCGCGCTGGCCTCCTAGCAAAAGGCTCATAGCCACACCCGAGTCTAAGCCCGCCTCGTGCAGAAAAATCCCACTCGCGCCTGAAAGTCAAGAAGGATGAGGGTACCCCCCCACTCCAGGACATAGTGGAAATCTGTGGTCGCTCAGGGAAGGGTGACCAGCCCCGAAACAGAGCAGACCTGAGCTGATCAGACACGAGGCTCCAGTGCACAGAAGGGCTGAACAAAACCGCAGGACAGGAGCTGGCAGCACCGGCAGGGAGGGAGGTGGGACCACAGGGACCCCCAGGGAGCAGCCGCCCTCTAACCCCTTGCTCCGGCAGTTATCCCGAGGGCAAAAAATGAAAAGAAATAAAAATCTACATATAGAAAGGCGTTTATAATTGCGTTATGTGTAAGAGTGAAAAGTTAGAATGAAAGCAAGTGCTCTGCCTCTTTTTTTTTTGAGTCGGAGTCTCGCTCTGTCGCCCAGGCTGAAGTGCGGTGGCGCGATCTCAGCTCACTGCAACCTCCGCCTTCCGGGTTCAAGCGATTCTCTTGCCTCAGCCTCCCGAGTGGCTGGGATTACAGGTGCCTGCCTCCACGCCAATTTTTTTTTTTTTTTTTGAGACAGAGTCTGGCTCTGTCTCCGAGGCTGGAGTGCAGTGGCGCGATCTTGGCTCACTGCAACCTCCTCCTCCAGGGTTCACGCCATTCTCCTGCTTCAGCTTCCCAAGTAGCTGAGACTACAGGCGCCCGCCACCACGCCTGGCTAATTTTTTATATTTTTAGTAGATACGGGGTTTCACCGTGTTAGCCAGGATGGTCTCGATCTCCTGATCTTGTGATCCGCCTGCCTCGGCCTCCCAGAGTGCTGGGATTAAAGGCGTGAGCCACTGCGCCTGGCCAATTTTTGTATTTTTAATAGAGACGGGGTTTCCCCATGTTGGCCAGGCTGGTCTCAAACGCCTGACCTCAGGTGATCCACCCGCCTCGACCTCCCAAAGTGCTGGGATTACAGGCGTGAGCCACCGCGCCTGGTCTACTATTAGTTTATAATATAAACTTATACTATATTATACTATAGTATTATACATTTATTACATATTTATATATTTTATTATATATTTGTTTACTCATATATTTATATTTATACTCATATTTATATTTATGTCATTTATCATGCATTTATTACATATTTGAAGATTCATTCACTATATATTCATATCAGTTTTGTATTACTAATATATAGTTTTAGTATTTAGTATGTATTATACACTTATTGCATACATATTTTATATTTATTCATCATTTACATAATTTATACATTATTAATTATATAGTTTGATTTCTATTTTGACATTTACATTGTTTGCTATTGATTTTATATTTGTATTTATAATATATTTAGATTACTATTTTATATCTGTATATATGTATTATATAGTTATAGAATCTGTTATAGGTTTATTGAATATTGTTTATCTTAACTTTTTTTTTTTGAGAGGGAGTCTCGCTCTGTCGCCCAGGCTGGAGTGCAGTGGCACAATCTCGGCTCACTGCAACCTCCACCTCCTGAGTTCATGCCATTCTCCTGCCTCAGCCTCCCGAGTAGCTGGGACTACAGGCGCGCGCCACCACACCGGGCTAATTTTTGTATTTTTAGTAGAGACGGGGTTTCACCATGTTGGTCAGGCTGGTCTCAAACTCCTGACCTAGTGATCCACCCGCCTCAGCCTCCCAAAGTGCTGGGATTACAGGCGTGAGCCACTGCTCCCGGCCCTATCTTAACTTTTTATTTTGAAACAATTATGGACTCAGGCAGTTGCAAACATAGTCCAGGGAGCCCCACGCACCCTCTCCCGGTCCCCTCCAGGGCGACGTCACCTGTGACTATGAGACACTATCAGAACCGGGACCCTGAGGTCAGCCCAATGCTGTGTCTCACTCAGACGGCACCACTCCCACCGGCCCTCATCTGGGGGTGCAGAGGGAGTTTTGGTGTCGCGCATCCCTCCAGGAAGGGGGCCTGGGTTCCTGCCTGGAGGCATCGCCCCTCTGGAGCTGTGCCCCCGCCCTCGAACCTGTCCCCACTGGGAGGAGGAGAGGAGGTGAGGAGGTGTGGCCTAAACGTTTGCTGAGCAGATGGCTGAGCAGACAAAGACCCAAAACTGCGACAAAATTGACAGTGGTGTCAGTAAAGAGAGACACAGCCTAGGGCCCCAGTCTGCAAAATGGGCTGAACTCCGAAGTTCCTAAAATCCTAAAGAGACCTGATCTACACCGGGAAGTTTAACTCACTCCAGTACAGGCCCTCTCCCTCTGGCTGGATCCTTTTCTGGGGTGGGGCTGTCCTGGGCACTGCAGGGTGCTGGGCAGCATCCCTGGTCTCCACCCACTCCTTGCCAGGAAACCCCCCCCCCCACCAGTGCGCCCACAGTCATGACCAGCACAAATGTCCCCAGACTTGGACAGGTGTCCCCTGGGGGAAAATTTTAGGCCTTTATGGAACTCCCTTATCAGGAGAAATCCTGCAGCTCAGAGTGGTTCCCTTAGGCAAAACGCAAAGAGTTTGAACCCAGCTGACTGAAGGCCCCAAAAATAAATGGTACTGAATGAAAATATGCTAGGCGTGGTGGCTCATGCCTGTAATCCCAGAACTTTGGGAGGTTGAGGCGGGTGGGTCATTTGAGGTCAGGAGTTCAAGACCAGCCTGGCCAACATGGTGAAACCCCCACGTCTGCTAAAAATACAAAAAAATGAGCCAGGCATGGTAGTGCGTGCCTGTAATTCTAGCTACTCAGGAGGCTGAGGCACAAGAATCGCTTGAACCCAGGAGGTGGAGGTTGCAGTGAGCCAAGATCGCGCCACTGCACTCCGGCCTGGGTGACAGAGTGAGACCCTGTCTAAAAAAAAAAAAAAAAAAAAAGGCCTGGCTCAGTGGCTCACGCCTGTAATCCCAGCACTTTGGGAGGCCGAGGCGGGCAGATCACGAGGCCAGGAGATACAGACCATCCTGGCTAACACGGTGAAACCCTGTCTCTACTAAAAAAAAAAAAAAATACAAAAAAATTAGCCGGGCATGGCGGCGGGCACCTGTAGTCCCAGCTACTCAGGAGGCTGAGGCAGGAGAATGGTCTCAAAAAAAAAAAAAAAAGTAAATACAGGGGTGTTTCCAAAAGGGCTTTAATTTTATTAGCATCCCAGAATGCTTTGTGACTAGGAGAGGCCCCACAGGGCGGGAGTCTTCCCCCAGATGTGAGCCCCGTTGCATTTGAAGGGAGTGAGACCACAGCTCCCACAGAGGAGGGAACTCGGGAAGGTGGTAGGCCAGAAATCTGCCCTTGCTCTACCAAGCTGTGTGGCCTTGGGAAAGTTTCCTTCCCTCTCTGAGCCCCAGTGACCTCTGTTGGAATTCTCAGAGGGACACTCTCATCTCTGCACCAGGCCTGGCCCCCAGGTTCCTGTGTGAGGAAACAGGGGTTCCAGAGTCTGGCAGGCAGGAAGAGGACCCTCTTCCAGGGACCTGTGGCAACTGCCAAATATAAACACAGCTGCTGGAAAGACAAGGTGGCTGGAACATCCTGCACCCAGCGAATGTGGAAGGGCCGGTTTGCCCGGAGCTCTTGAGAAATCTCACTCCCCGTGGACTTGCACCCTGTCGCCACTCCCCTGACCTGCCCTGAGGCTGGGGTGCAGCAGGGAATTGCAACAGCCCCCCACCGCCGGCCCTGGAGAGACCTGGGCAGAGCTGGAAGCTGATCAGATTAAAAATCAGCATGGATCGGATTCGGGATAGAGCCACAAACTGGGTGTCCTGAAATTACCCATTTTTGTGTTGGTGGGTTTTTTTGTTTGTTTGTTTGTTTTTTGGAGATGATGGCTCACTCTGTCGCCCAGGCTGGAGTGCAGTGGCACCAACTCGGCTCACTGCAACCTCCGCCTCCCAGGTTCAAGCGATTCTCTTGCCTCAGCCTCCCGGAGTAGCTGGGATTACAAGCATGCGCCACCACGCCCGGCTAATTTTTGTATTTTTAGTGGAGACAGGGTTTTGCCATGTTGGCCAGGCTGGTCTCGAACTCCTGACCTCAGGTGATCCACCTGCCTGGGCCTCCCAAAGTGCTGGGATGACAGGCGTGAGCCACCACGCCCGGCCCATTTTTGTGTTGTTGAACTTAAAGCATGAGCTTGGGCAAATCCCTTCTTCTTCTGAGCCATAGGGTAAAGGTGAGAGGAGAGTCTTGTAAGCTCCGTGATGAGTTCCAGAAGTCCAGGGTGACCAGTCATGCTTAGATCATTTCCGTGTCATTTATGGACTCGATGAGAGACAAAAGGGCCTCTGGGGACTGTGAGTTGCATCAGCCTCTTGCTGAACTGACAGAACATTCAGGTTTCAGGGAGAGGTGAGGTCATTGCCAGGGATCTTGTTCAAGGGATAAGGGCTGACACCTGCTCCTGAAGAGGGACCACACGGTGCCTGCCTGGAAATGGAAAATCCGGGCTCGCACTCTGGCTCTGCTCCTGGTTTTTGGGTCTTGGCTTCCTCAGCTGGAAGATGAGAGGGCTCCTCTCAAGGCTGAGGATGGGTCCCCATTTGTCATCCTGTGGCTCCAAGATCAAGAGGATCTAGAATATCCATGACCTCCTTCTAAACGACTTGGACTTTGGGTTAAAAATCTCTCTTGGCAGATTTTGGCTTGCACAATGGTGGATTAGCAGCTAAGGACAAACCCACTCTCTTGCTGAGGTCCACTAGAAAAGCTGGACAGGGCCGGGTGCGGCGGCTCACGCCTGTGATCCCAGCACTGTGGGAGGTCGAGGCGGGAGGATCACTTGAGGTCGGGAGTTTGAGACCAGCCTGGCCAACATGGTGAAACCCCATCTCTGCTAAAAATACAAAAATTAGCTGGGCATGGTGGCACGTGCCTGTAGTCCCAGCTACTTGGGAGGCTGAGGCACAAGAATCACTTAAACCCGGGAGGCAGTGGTTGCAGTGAGCTGAGATTGTGCCACTGCACTCCAGCCTGGGCGACAGAGAGAGACCCTGTCTCAAAAAAAAGAAAAAAAAGCTGGACAGGGCTGGGTGCGGTGGCTCAAGCCTGTAATCCCAGCACTTTGGGAGGCTGAGGTGGGAGGATCACTTGAAGTCGGGAGTTTGAGACCAGCCTGGCCAACATGGTGAAACCCCGTCTCTATTAAAATACAAAAATTAGCTGGACGTGGTGGCGGGTGCCTGTAGTCCCAGCTACTCAGGAGGCTGAGGTACAACAATCACTTAAACCCGGGAGGCAGAGGTTGCAGTGAGCTGACGTTGTGCCACTGCACTCCAGCCTGGGTGACAGAGTGAGACCCTGTCTCAAAAAAGAAAGAAAAGCTGGACAGAATGTCAAAGCATCTGCTCAAGGGCCTGCAGGGTTATTAAGATAATGGAGAATTTCCAGCCAGGATTTAGGGGAGGATCGAAAGAGAGCCTGGGTTTGGGGTCACTTTTTCCTGGGGTTGGGAGGGTTTGCTGAGAGGCCGAGTGATATTTCTATCAGCTTCACGAGGCCAAGGGTACAGAAATTGAGGTCCAGGGTTTCCTGAGGAGAGAAGGCTTGGTAAATTCCCCCTTGGTGTGAATTGGGACAACTTAATATTGCACTGTAAGAGTAACGGTCACAGCTGGGCACAGTGGCTCACGCCTGGAATCCCAGCACTTTGGGAGACCGAGGCAGGTGGATGACCTGAGGTCGGGAGTTCAAGACTAGCCTGGTCAACATGGTGAAACCCCGTCTCTACTAAAATACAAAAATTAGCTGGGCATGATGGCGGGTTCTTGTAATCCCAGCTAGTCAGGAGCTGAGATGAGAGAATCCCTTGAATCCGGGAGACGGTGGTTGCAGTGAACCGAGATCGTGCCACTGTATTCCAGCTTTGGCAGCTGAGTGAGATTCCGTCTCAAAAAAAAAAAAAAAAAAAAAAAAAGGAGTAAAGATCAAGAGGAAGCAGACAGGTCCTTCTAGCAACTACAGCAGAGTTTTGAATAATCTCAATCCCTAATATTGGATTAAGGTGATGCGAGATTGCTGGTGGCCCCAAATGCCTGGAAGAAGTAAACATAAATCCCCTCTGGAGGAAAATAATACGATCCCAGGCCTCAGATTATTTCTACATGCAAATCCGCAATACAGGCCGGGCGCGGTGGCTCACGAGGTCAGGAGATCAAGACCATCCTGGCTAACATGGTGAAACCCCGTCTCTACTAAAAATACAAAAAATTAGCCAGGCTTGGTGGCAGGCACCTGTAGTCCCAGCTACTCCGGAGGCTGAGGCAGGAGAGTGGCATGAACCCGGGAGGTGGAGCTTGCAGTGAACCGAGATCGTGCCACTGCACTCCAGCCTGGGTAACAGAGCGAGACTCCGTCCCAAAAAAAAAAAAAAATGCACAATACAATATCTGGCATGCAAGTAAGACATACGAGGAGCCAGGACCACATAAACAAAAATCAGCAGAAATAACCAGCACTGCCAGGTGCGGTGGCTCACGCCTGTAATCCCAGCACTTTGGGAGGCCTAGGCAGGCGGATCATGAGGTCAGGAGATCAAGACCATCCTGGCTGACACGGTGAAACCCCGTCTCTACTAAAAACACAAAAAATTAGCCGGGCGCCATGGCAGGCGCCTCTAGTCCCAGCTACTTGGGAGGCTGAAGCAGGAGAATGGCATGAACCCGGGAGGCGGAGCTTGCAGTGAGCTGAGATCACGCCACTGCACTGCAGCCTGGGCAAAAGAACGAGACTCCGTCTCAAAAAAAAAAACAAAAAAAAAAACAAAAACCAGCACTACAAAGAGACCCACAGGGTTTCCATATACTGGGAATTGACAGAGACTTTAAATTAATTGTGTTAATTACGTTCAAAGAGATAAAAAGATGAGATTGGAATTTTCGCTGCAAATTGGAACAATGGGGAAAAAAAGGAACCAGTGGATATGGAGAAAATGACAATATCTGAAAAGTAAGAATTCAATGGAAGAAATAAAAATTAGTGAACTGGAAGACAGAACAGAGAAAAATATCCAGAATGAAGCAAGACGACACAAAGGGAAAGAAACTACAGAAGAAAGAGCAAAAGACATAGAAGATGCAGTGACGTCTAATATACGTGTTATTGGAACACCAGAAGGAGGAGAGAGAGAATGAAGCAGGAACAATCTTTGAAGAGATAATGACCAATAACTTTCTAAAACTGATAAAAAGACCTCAAGCCACAGATTTCAGAATCCCTAGAACCTCAGGCAAAAGAAATGTCCTAAAAAGTGGCAGAGAAATGGCCAATAAGCACATGAAATGGTGTCTAATGATTAGTCATGAAGGAAATATGAATTAAAGTCATCAAGAGAGACTGCCTCTCAACCACTAGAGTGGCAAAAATTTAAAAGACTGACAACACTAAATATTTGGGAGGATGTAGAAGAACTGGAGGCATCATCCATTACTGACAGGAATGTGAAATAGTACAACCACCATGGAAAATGGCTTAGCAGTTTCTTATAAGGCTGAACACATACCTCACCTATGACCCAGCAATTCCACTCCTAGGGATTTATTCAAGATAAATAAAAACATGTCTCCATAAAAGGACTTGTACGAGATGTTCATAAGCTTTTACTCATAACAGCAAAACCTGGAAACAACCCAAATGCCTGTCAACGAGAGAATAAACAAGCCATGGCATTTCACACAATGAAATACGGCTGCACACAAAAAAAGAATAAACTATTGAGAGATCAAGCAACGTGTATGATTCTCAAAAATATAAATGTATTCTAAAAAAATAAAAGATAATACATTATTCAATATTAAATATTAGTATTTAATTAATATTAATATATTAAATATTAATATTAAATATTTAAAAAATAAATGCCTCTCAAAAATAAAAAAAGTAAAGCAACAGAAGCTGGATATTAGAGGTGCATATTATATAATTCCATTTATATAAAGTTCAAGAATAGGCAAAACTATGGTGATAGAAATGAAAACAGAGGTTGCTGCCTCTGGCCAGGGTGTTGGCTAGAAAGGGCCATGAAATAACTTCTAGGGTGATGGCGATGTTCTCTATGTTGGTTGAGCTGTTGGTGTACACAGGTGTACACATTTGCTAAAATCCATCAAACTGTATCTTTAAGATCTGTTCATCTTACTGCATTTGAATTGGACTTTGATAAAATCAGTTAATTACAAACAAAAATCAACAAACAAAAGTTGCCAGAGGAAAAAACAGCAGCAATTAGGTGGACCCAGTGAAAATATCCTTCAAGAATTAGGGGGAAATAAGGGCATTTTCAGATAAACAAAACCAGACTTTCTCACCAACAGACTTGCCTTTTAAAAGGTAAAACTAGAGAAAGATAATTCCAGATGAAAGGTAGAAAATGCAGGAAGAAGTGAAAAACAACAAAAATGTTGTAGAGAGGAAAGAGCTTGATAAGATAATTCTAAAATTCCAGTGGAAAGATCAACAGGAAGTGAAAAACTCTGCAAAAGCCTTAGAACAAACACACATGAATCATATCAGCCTTCAGCTCAGTCCTCACCTCCAACCAACCCACAACAGAAGATGTTCTATGCTTCTGCCTTCACATTTTTATTATACGATTTTTATTATATAATTTTGGTCACGGGATTCCAGTGATAGGAGTTATAAATATTATTTCAGGAGTTTACTAGTGACATTAATTGAATTTTGCAATTCTACACACACACAAAATGAAGTCAGCATCTGAAAAAATATATATACATCCTCATCCGCTGTGACTGGTCCAATGTCAGTGTGATAAGACTCAATGCCAGCTGTCCCCAGAGACTTTTCTTCAGTCCAGCCAGCCCCTCCTTGGATGTCCACTTCAGCAGTGCTCTGCAGCCTCAGGCAGATCCCCGTGTACTCCACCAGTGGCCTCCGCTCCACTCCCCACTCCCTCCATCTCCTAACAGCTAGAGTGCGCTTCTGAAAATGCAGTTGAATCTGTTCCTCCCCTACTCAGAAACCACCAGCAGCTTCCAATTCCTTACAAAATCAAGTGCAAAAATCAAGGCTTATTGTTCAATTCCCACTGCTAGGAATTCTTCCCCCAGCTCCAATCCCATCAAAGAACTGCCTTCTCTGATGCATGGCTCCAGGATCATCTCCTTTCTCACCCTGTGGCCTCATGAGCTCAGCATTTTCCAGATTCGGAAATCCTGGAGGGGGCCATGAGGGAGATGGCTGTCCCTGGGAAACTAAGACCCAGAGAAGGTAGATGGCTTGCCCAGAAGATATTTATTATAAGAAATTGGCTCACATAATTATGGAGGCTGAGAAGCCATAAGATGTACAATTGGCAAGCTAGAGAGACACGAGAACTGATAGTTTCTGTCTGAAAGCCAGCAGGCTTGAGACCCAAGAGCAGATGTTTCCACTGGAGTCCAAAGGCTGGAAAAACCTATCTGTCAGCTTGAAGGCTGCCAGGCAGGAGGAATTATCTCTTACTTAGCATTTTTGTTCTATTGAGGGCTTTAACTGATTAGATGAGGCCCCCACATTGGGGAGGGGGAGGAATATGCTTTACACAGCCTATGGTTCATTTCATCCAGAAACATTCTCACAGACACACAGAATAACATTTAAACAGATATCTGTGCACCCCATGGACCAGTCAAGTTAACACATAAAATTAACAGTTACAACAATCTTGGAGCCAGTCATTCAGCCCACCACATCATTCTCTCATGGCCCTCTGTTTCTTTTCTTGTAGTATTTATAATTTGATATTTGAGTTGTATGCCTACTGGACTGTCAGCCTCATGAGGCCAAAGATCTGGGGGCTGGGTGCAGTGGCTCATGCTGGTAGTCCCAGCACTTTGGGAGGCTGAGGCAGGAGGATCACTTGAGCCCAAGAGTTCGAGACCAGCCTGGGCAACATGGCAAAACCTTGACTCTACAAAAAAAAAAAAAAAATACAAAAAACTAGTTGGGTGTGGTGGTGCACACCTGTAGTCCCAGCTACTCAGGAGGCTGAGGTGGGAGAATCGCTTGAGCCCAGGAAGTGGAGGTTGCAGTGAGCCGAGATCATGCCACTGCACTCCAGCCTGGGTGACAGAGTAAGACCTTGTCTCAAAAAAAAAAAAAAAGATCTGAATTGTTGTCCCCAGAACCTGGTATATAAATGTTCAAGAGACATTTGCTTGGGGCCTGAAGCGGGGGCTATGCCTGTCTTTGCAGATGTCGACCTTAACCCTGGAAGATCTCTTTCCCCTGTGACATATTCCTTCTTTATGATGCGGGCTTCAAATGTTATTTCTTTTTGGAACACATGTTTTTTAATGGCTTCTAGCACCAGGTGACCTTGACTCGGAATTCCTAGAACACGGTACACTCGGAAAGTCATATGGGCTGTTTGTTGCAGACTAAATATTTGTGTCCTCCTCTGACCCCATCAAGTTCATATGTTGAAATCCTGGGCCAGGTGTGGTGGCTCATGCTTGGAATTCCAGTGCTTTGGGAGGCCAAGGTGGGAGGGTCACTTGAGCCCAGGAGTTTGAAACCAGCCCGAGCAACAGAGTGAAACCCCACCTGTACAAAAATAAGAAAATTAACTGGGTGTGGTGGTGTGTGCCTATAGTCTCAGCTACTTGGATGGCTGAGGCAGGAGGATCGCTTGAGTCCAGGAGTTGGAGGCTGCGGTGAGTTGTGACCACACCACTGTACTTCAGCCGGGCAACAGAGTGAGACATATCTCAAAAAGAAAAGAAGGCCGGGCGCGGTGGCTCCCACCCGTAATCCCAGCACTTTGGGAGGCCGAGGTGGGCGGATCACGAGGTCAGGAGTTTGAGACCAGCCTGGCCAACATGATGAAATCCCGTCTCTACTAAAAATACAAAAACAGTAGCTGGGTGTGGTGGCGGGCGCCTGTAGTCCCAGCTACTCAGGAGGCTGAGGCAGGAGAATTGCTTGAACCTGGGAGGCGGCGGTTGCAGTGAGCCGAGATTGCACCATTGCACTCCAGCCTGGGCAACAGGAGCGAAACTCCATCTCAAAAAAAAAAAGAAAAGAAAAGAAAAGAAAAGGGCCTCAGCTTGCTGTTTTTGAAACTGAAGCCACATGTTTTCTTCCTAATCAGAACTAAAGTGAAAGATTAAAACAATCGATGTTTTGTTTGTCTTGGAGCAAGAAATATAAGATCTGTGTTTCTGGCTTGCAGACAAGAGCACTGCCGCACTGAAGCGTGTGTGGGTCGTATATGTGACAGAGCACAGGAGGCCTGCAGCGAGGTCCCGACAGGGAGGACTTTCTTGGGCCGGAGACCTGGTTCTGAGCACGTCCCCTGGACTTCCCTGAGCCTCAGCTTTCTCGGCTGTAAAGTTCAGAACTAGACAGCGGTTTCCCCTGTGCTCCACGACACCCTAGGGGTTCTGTGCAGAGGCTGGGCCACCCTGGGTTCTCGGGAGGGGCTCTCTTGGCCTTGGGGTACAGTCTGTGCTTCCTGGTCGGACTCCATTTGTGTATGTGTATATTTTATTATACAGATAATAAAATATATATACATACATATTTTTATTTTTATTTTTATTTTTTTTTTTTGAGACGGAGTCTCGCTCTGTCGCCCAGGCTGGAGTGCAGTGGTGTGATCTCTGCTCACTGCAAGCTCCGCCTCCCGGGTTCACGCCATTCTCCTGCCTCAGCCTCCCGAGTAGCTGGGACTACAGGTGCCCGCCACCGCGCCCGGCTAATTTTTTGTATTTTGTTTAGTAGAGACGGGGTTTCACCGTGTTAGCCAGGATGGTCTCCATCTCCTGACCTCGTGATCCGCCCGCCTCGGCCTCCCAAAGTGCTGGGATTACAAGCATGAGCCACCGCGCCCGGCCACATACATATTTTTAGAGCCAGGTTCTCACTCTGTTGTCCAGGCTGGAGTGCAGTGGTGCAATCATAGCTCACTGCAGCCTCCAACTCCCGGGCTCAAGCGATCCTCCTGCCTGGGCCTCCTGAGTAGCTGGGACTACAGGTGCATGCCACTAGGCCTGGCTAGTTTTTTATTTTTTGTAGAGATGAAGTCTCTACAGCTATGTTGCCCAGGCTGGTCTCAAGCGATCCTCCTGCCTCAGCCTCCCAAATCACTGGGGCTGCAAGCGTGAGCCATGGCACCTGGCTATAATAAAATAAATCTGATATAGAATATAGAATAGGGTCATAATATATAAATGTAATCAACATATAATACACTGAGCATGCTCAAAGTGTACGGTTCTGATGGGACAGGAAGCTGGAGGCGGGAAACTGGCCCTGGAGTGGGGGTTGTGGTGAAGCTGGAGGCGGGAAACTGGCCCTGGAGTGGGGGTTGTGGTGTTAGGCTGGGACCCGGTTACAGTGACTGCAGGGCTGACAAGAAATTATGAAAGGTCTTGAGGGAAGCGACACAGAATTTCAAAAGAACATAATGAATGCACTTTGGGAGGCCGAGGCAGGCAGATCACTTGCGGTCAGGAGTTCCAGACCAGCCTGGCCAACACGGTGAAACCCCATCTCTACCAAAAAATACAAACATCAGCCGGATGTGGTGGTGCATGCCTGTAGTCCCAGCTACTCAGGAGGCTGAGGTGGGAGAATTGCTTGAACCTGGAAGGCGGAGGCTGTAGTGAGCTATGATTGCGCCACTGCCCTCCAGCCTGGACAACAGAGCAAGACTCTCTCTCAAACAAAACAAAACAAAACAAAACAAAACAACAATGAATGGAGAGGAGAAAAGCTGCAGTGGCTACGGAGGCCCTGATGCCATGGATGGTAAACTGGTATCTTCTGACGATGATGACTTTATTGTAAAAAGAGAACATACACGAGCATCAGGAATAAGGAAAGCCGTGCTGAGTGGCCCAGGTCAGTCTGCTGAGAATGAAACCGACCAGGTCAATTTTAGAGAGATCCCTCCACGATGCTATCCAAAGCATGCGTCAGGCCATCAGCAGTGGTGGTGACTCATGCCTGTGATCCTACCACTTTGGGAGGCCAAGGCTGGAGGATCATTTGAGGCCAGGAGTTTGAGACCAGCCTGGGCAACATAGTGAGACCCCCGTCTCTGCAAAAAAAAAAAAAAAAAAAAATTAGCCTGGCATGGTGGTGCACACCTGTAGTTCCAGCTACCCGGGAGGCTGAGGCAGGAAGACTGCTTGAGCCCAGGAGTTGGAAGCTGAAGTGAGCTATGATTGCACCGCTGCACTCCAGCCTGGGCAACAGAGCAAGACCCTGTCTTTAAAAAAACACAATAGAAAGGCATGCATATATTTTACTTACAAGGTTCACTACTCTAACAGCTCCACTGAGATTCCTGAATTCCTCACTGCATTGGAAGTGCTGATGGCTTCAGACTTCCTAGATATATATATTTTTCTTTTTTTTCTTTTTTTTTGAGACGGAGTCTCACTCTGTCTCCCAGGCTGGAGTGCAGTGGCGCAATCTCAGCTCACTGCAAACTCTGCGTCCTGGGTTCAAGCCATTCTCCTGCCTCAACCTCCCGAGTAGCTGGGATTACAGGCGCCCGCCACCATGCCCGGCTAATTTTTTTTTGTATTTTTAGTAGAGACAGGGTTTCACCGTGTTAGCCAGGATGGTCTCGATCTCCTGACCTCATGATCTGCCCACCTCGGCCTCCCAAAGTGCTGGGATTACAGGCGTGAGCCACGGCACCCAGCCCTAGATTGTTAAATAAATTATAATAAACTGTTAACTAATTTAGGTATTTAATACTTGTAGTTTAGTTAGTAATTTTTCATATATTGCATGTTCCTGTAAACAAATGAACTATAAACTGCGTTGCAAAGCAGATTATCTTCTGTTTTTTCCTTGCATAGTAATCAGAATTGAAATTTGTTTGTGACGACAATAAATTAAGGATATTTTCACAAACTGAGAAATAAACATATATACCAACTTTTTTTTTTTTTTTGGATGGTGTTTCCCTCTTGTCACCCAGGCTGGAGTACAAAGGCGTGATCTCGGCTCACTGCAACCTTTGCTTCCTGATTCAAGCGATTCTCCTGCCTCAGCCTCCCGAGCAGCTGGGATTACAGGTGTCCGCCACCACGCCTGGCTAATTTTTGTATTTTTAGTAGAGACGGGGTTTCACCATGTTGGCCAGGCTGGTCTCGAACTCCTGAACTCAGGTGATCTGCCCGCCTCGGCCTCCCAAAGCGCTGGGATTACAGGCGGGAGACACTGCGCCCGGCCATAAGCTCAATTTTAGACACATACGATATCCAATGGGGGATGGACACACACCTGACACGGTCCCAGTGGAGCCCTGAATGGACCTCTGTGCTGGAGGCTGGGTGTCGTCCCTCCCCCAGCTGCCCTGTCTCATTGGCCAAAGGGTTTAGGGAGAACAACCTAGAGGCCTTGCTCATCCAGTGGCCTAAAGTTCTGCATTCTAAATACACACCATCGCAGGAACTCACACCTCTCCTTTCTCCTTCCTGCCTCCCTCCCTTCTTCTTTCTCTCTCCCTCTCCTTCCTTCCTTCCTCCTTCCCTCCCTCCCTCTTTCTCTTTCTTTCTTCTCTCTCCCTCTCCTTCCTGCCTTCCTTCCTTCCTCCCTCCCTCCTTCTCTCTCTCTTTCCTTCCTTTTTTCTTTCTTCTTTCTTTCTCTTTCTCTCTGGCTCTCCCTCCCTCCCTCCCTCCCTTCCTTCCCTCCTCCCTCCCTCTCTCTCTCTCTCTGTTTCTTTCTCAATTTCTTTCTTTTCTTTTCTCCTTCCTTCCTTCCGTCTCTCTCTCTCTTTCTTTCTTTTTCTTCTCTGAGAAGGGGTCTTACTCTGTTGCCCAGGCTAGAGTACAGTAGTGTGATCCCACCTCACTGAAAACTTGAACTCCTGGGCCTAAGCCGTTCTCCTGCCCCAGCCTCCCAAGTAGCTGGGACCACAGGCACACACCACCATGCCCCCCTAATTTTTTAATTTTTTGTAGAGATGGGGGTCTCACTATGTTGTCCAGGCTGGTTTTGATCTCCTGGCCTCCGGTGATCCTCCTGCCTCAGCCTCCCAAAGTGCTGGGATTACAGACGGAGCCTCCACACTCGGCCTGTGCTCTAAGACTGATTCTTGCCGGGACCCTTAGCCCGACGGCGTGCCCAGCCTGTGCAGAGGGTGGGTGCGTGGGCCCCTGCTCGGGGGTGGGTGGGCTGAATCCAGGTGTCCTGGGCTGTAAAGCCAAGAAGCAGACAGCAGGCCTGGGGTGGTTGGAGATTTTGCGGGGACCCTGGGGGCGCTGAGGCTGGAGCATCCCGAGAAGTCCAAACCTGCCTGGCCTGTCTCTGCCGAGCAGACAGCGAGGCCCGCCGGGCAGCGGGACAGACTGGCTTCCCTCCTCCCGGGGAGACCTGCCGGAGCAAACCCAGCTCCTTTTTTAGGTCTGTGATGCCACGGCCACTCTTGGAGGTGTTTTCCAGCTGCACAGGAAGCCGTGACAGCGAGACCCAGAGAGGCTGGCGGTGGCTCTGAATTCCAAGCATAGTTCTCATAGTTGGGAAAGTGCCACTCCCGGCTCGATAAACCGACCAGGAGCCGCCGCCGCCAGGGCCATCTTCTCACCAGCAGGGAGAGAGCATGCAGCCGGTGGAGGCTTCTGAGAGCTGGCCGGGGCGGCCTGCGTAAAAGGACAGGAATGTCAAGAATGCACCCGGCCTGGCAGAGACAGGGACTTTACCGAGCGGCTCCTGGGCCTGGCGGCCAGAGAGGCGAGGGAGCGGGAGCTACCGAGGGTTCCTCCATCGGCAGGGAAGGTCCTGAGTCCCCCAGACCCTGTTAAAAGAGGCTGATCAGGTTGGGTGCGGTGGCTCGTGCCTGTAATCCCAGCACTTTGGGAGGCTGAGTCAGGAGAATTGCTTGAGGCCAGGAGTTCAAAGCCAGCCTGGGGCAACACAGTGAGACCCTGTCTCTAAAATAAAAAAATAAAAATAAATGTTCTTGGGGAAGCGAAGCCGAATTTCAGGAGAACATAATGAGGGTGCAGTGAGCTGGGATGGCACCACTGCACTCCAGCCTGGGCAATACAGCGAGACCCTGCCTCTAAGTAAAAAAATCAAGGCCGGGGGCAGTGGCTCACGCCTGTAATCCCAGCAGGTTGGGAGGCCGAGGTGGGTGGATCACGAGGTCAGGAGTTCGAGACCAGCCTGGCCAAGATGGTGAAACCCCGTCTCTACTAAAAATACAAAAAACAAAAAAATTAGCCTGGCATGGTGGTGGGCACCTGTAATCCCAGCTACTCAGGAGGCTGAGGCAGGAGAATCGCTTGAACCTGGGAGGCGGAGGTTGCAGTGAGCCGAGATCACGCCACTGCACTCTAGCCTGGGCGACACAGCAAGACTCCATCAAAAAAAAAAAAAAAAATTAAAAGGTAAGCTGGGTGTGGTCGCACAAGCCTGTAGTCTCAGCTACTCCGGGAGGCTGAGGCGGGAGGATGGCTTGAGGCCAGGAGTTTGAGGTTGCAGTGAGCTAGGGTTTCACCATTGCACTCCAGACTGGGGGACAAAGTGAGACTCTGTCTCAAGAAAATAAAAATAAAATAAGAAAGGCTGATCAGGGCCGAGGGCTGAGATGGGAAGAAATGGTGCTTCTGTACCCAGTGCTGCTGGGCCTCCTGTCTGGGGCTGGCTGCAGGGCGGCCCTTCCAAAGAGCTCCCTGTGGCAGGTGCACAGTCGGGCCTTGGCTAGGCTCATGGGAGGCAGCGCTGTGTGTTCTTTTTTTTTTTTTTTTTTTTTTTTTGAGATGGAGTCTTGCTCTGTCACCCAGGCTGGAGTGCAATGGCGTGATCTCGGCTCACCGCAACCTCCGCCTCCCAGGTTCAAGTGATTCTCCTGCCTCAGCCTCCCGAGTAACTGCGATTACAGGCGCTCACAACCACATCCAGCTAACTTTTGTATTTTTTAGTCGAGACGGGGTTTCACCATGTTGCCCAGGCTGGTCTTGAACTCCTGGCCTCAAGCAATCCACCCACCGCGGCCTCCCAAAGTGCTGGGATTACAGGTGCGAGTCACCGCGCCTGGCCTGGGGTGGGTTTTTTCATTTGTGCACTGAATGTTTATTACTGACAGCCAGCAAGGAAAGGGGGACTGCGCCCTACGACTGCAAGGAAGTGAATTCAGGAAGAACCTGAATGAGCTGGGGACGACAACTGGAAGCTTCGCGTCAGACAGCAGGCGGCTCACGTTTCAGTTTCAGCCTGGGAGACCCTGGGCAGAGGACGTCATTGCACCATGACCTCCAGAACTGTAAGCTCAGGCAGGCGTGTTGCTCTAAGCCACCACATATGCAGTAGTTTCTTATGCAGTGTAAGGAGCTGATACGCAAGGCCAGGATGGGACTGGTTGGGGTCTCCAGGCTGGAGGGCCCCCCGGTGAGCAGGCATGGGGTCCCACAGCCCAGGACAGCTTCAGCTCTTATTTGCCATCTGCTGCTGCTAGGTGTTAGACGCTGGACTGAGCATGCTGCACACATCATCTCTGCTGTTTTCCTTTTTTTTTTTTTTTTTTGGTGGTTTTTGTTTTGTTTTGTTTTGTTTTTGAGGCAGAGTCTCGCTCTGTCACCCAGGCTGGAGTGCAATGACGCCATCTCGGCTCCCTGCAACCTCCGCCTCCCAGGTTCAAGTGATTCTCCTGCCTCAGTCTCCCGAGTAGCTGGGATTACAGGCATCCACCACCACACCAGGCTTATTTTTTATTTTTATTTTTTTGTAGAGACAGGGTTTCACCATGTTGGCCAGGCTGGTCTCAAACTCCTGATCTCAAGTGATCCACCTGCCTTGGCCTCCCAAAGTCCTGGGATTCCATGTATGAGACGCCGTGCCTGGCCTCCTTTTTTTTTTTTTTTTTGACACAGGGTCTTGCTCTGTCACCCAGGCTGGAGTGCAGTGGTGCAATCACAGCTCACTGCAGCCTTGACCTCCTGGCCTCCAGAGATCCTCCCACCTCAGCCTTCTGAGTAGCTGGGACTACAGGTGTGCACCACCATGCCCGGCTAATTTTTAATATTTTTTCTTTTAGAGCTGGGGCCTCACCGTATTGCTCAGGCCAGTCTCAAACTCCTGGGCTCAAGCAATCCCTCTGCTTCGGCCTCCCAAAGTGCTAGGATCCCGGGCATGAACCCCCGCTCCCGGCCTGCAATTTTTCTTTTCACAGCCCTGAGATGAGGGTGCAGCATTAAAACCCGTGCAGAGGGTGGCTGCTTCTCCATGAGCCGAGCAAACCGTCCTCCCATGGCTGCTTCCTGTAAACCGGCTCCTAAGGCCAGCGGGCGTTTGCTCTCCTGACGGCACAGGAAGTCAGGCTCAGCGAATTCCAGCTCAGAGCGGGCTCTGGCGGCTTCCAGGCAGCTCCACAATGAGGCGGCTGCGCTTTTCCAGTCTGCTCATCAAAGCAGAGCCAGCCTTGTGTGGCGCGGCGTGCCGGGGTGAGTCAGCCCCGGGGGAAGGTGGCCTTGAAGGCGGGAGGGGCGGCCGGCCTGCAGCAGCAACGTGAGAACAGAAGCAACCTTCATCTGGCTCTAAAACTTCCAGAACCAGTAGCTTTATAGCTCGCAGAGCTCCTGGACTCTTTCCTCCTGGGGGTCTGGCAATCCCCCACCTCTCACCCCTCCAAACCTCTGCCTGCCTCGAAAAAGGAAAGAAAAATAAACCCCAAGCAACAAAACCAGCAACCAGATTTGGCAGGAGGGGAGACAATGCTTGGAGTGGAAACGTCAGCCCTTCCCCGTGGAGGGATGACTGCTTCTGAGAACACAGTGTTCAGAGACAAGAGAGACAGGGTGTTATGTTTAGAGAGGAAAAGATCCAAACCCAAACAAAATGGAACAGTAGTTTGGGAGAGAAGAGAAGGCTCCGAGGCACTGTGAGGAACAAGTCGCCTTCGTACAGTGGCTGGGGCAGCTGGGTTTGCAGAGAGCTGTGTCCCTGGGCACCTGCGTCAATGTGCACATCTGCACGCCTGCTGTGGGCACGAGGGCCTCAGCCATGAGCACCCCCGGGAGCCATGAGGACCTCAGTGCATCTCACAGAAGCCCCTGAGGACAGTGTGCAGTGGCGCGATCTCGGCTCACTGCAACCTCCGCCTCCCGGGTTCAGGAGATTCTCCTGCCTCAGCCTCCTGAGTAGCTGGGGTTATAGGCGCCCCCCACCCCCACCACGCCCAGCTAATTTTTGCATTTTTAGTAGAGATGGGGTTTCACCATGTTGGCCAGGTTGGTCTCAAACTCCTGACCTCAGGTGATCTGCCCACCTTGGCCTCTCAAAGTGCTGGGATTTTAGGCATGAGCCACCGTGCTGGGCCAACAGTGGCTCTTAATTGGGGGGGTGGGTGATTCAGCCCCGCCAGGAAACCCTGGGCGATGCCTGAGACATCTGTGGTTGTCGGGGTTGGGGGAGCTCCTGGCATGGAGTGGGTGGAGGCCAGGGGCGCTGCTCAGCAACCGTAAGTGCCCAGCACAGCCTCACCCCAGAGAAGGATCTTACCCCACTGTCCACAGTGCTGAGGGAGAAGACCCTGAGTTAATTATTTGGGGAAAATGGGGTTCAATCCCTACCCACACTAGAATAAGCTCCCAACGGGATGGATGGTGTGAACCAGGGGGACCCCCAACTCCTGGGATTCACCTCCTCTCTCCCTCCCAGCTCGGTGTGGATTTCATTGTGTGCAGCCTCCTGGGACCTCAGCACAGCAGAGGATCATGGGACGCAGAGTCTCTTGGGGGTCCGTGGAATCCCCTATCCCTGGGGGTTTCACCTAGAGGTAATTCCGTCCCCCAGGGGACCCTGGGCGCTGTCTGGCGACATCTGTGGTTGTCGTAACTGGGGGGTGCTCCTGGCATGGAGTGGGTGGAGGCCAGGGATACTGCTCAGCACCCTGCAGTGCCCAGGACAGGCCCACCTCAGAGAACAATCTGGCCGCCATGTCTACAGTGCCTAGGGGACCCTGGTTTAGACTCTGCAGAAAGGTGCACACATAGGCCGGGCACGGTGGCTTATGCCTGTATTTCCAGCACTTTGGGAGACCGAGGCGGGCGGATCACTTGACGTCAGGGGTTCGAGACCAGCCTGGTCAACATAGTGAAACCCCATCTCTACTAAAAAAAAAATCAAAATTAGCTGGGCATGGTAGCGCATGCCTGTAATCCCAGCTACTCAGGAGGCTGAGGCAGGAGAATTGCCTGAACCTGGGAGGCAGAGGTTGCAGTGAGCCAAGATTGCGCCACTATACTCCAGCCTAAGCAACAAGAGCGAAACTGTCTTAAAAAAAAAAAAAAAAAAAAAAGGCCAGGTGCAGTGGCTCATGCCTGTAATACCAGCACTTTGGGAGGCTGAGGTGGGTGGATCACCTGAGATCAGGAGTTTGAGACCAGCCTGGCCAACACGGTGAAACCCCCTCTCTACTAAAAATACAAAAAAATTAGCCGTGAGTGGTGGTGGGCACCTGTAATGCCACTACTCAGGAGTCTGAGGCAGGAGAATTGCTTGAACCCGGGAGGTAAAGGTTGCGGTGAGCCAAAATCGCGCCACTGCACTCCAGCCTGGGCAACGGAGCGAGACTCTGCCTCAAAAACAAAACAAAACAAAACAAAACAAACAAACGAAAAAGAAAGGTGCACACAGCTTCCAGAGCGGACACAGGGCATCAGGGTGAGAAGGCACAGGGCAACGATCAGGCGTTGATGTGTCCCCTGGCAGCTGGGATGCAGGCCCCCCACGGCCTGCCATGTTCTCACCAGGACGCCAAAGAGGGGACCCACGCAGAGCCCGGGGAGCCCGACTGAAATGGAAACTTCAATACAAGAGACAGGTCTGAGACTGGCCACACCTGCTGCCCGCTCCACAGAACCCCAGGGCCCCCTCAGCAACCAGGGTCTGCATGCAGAGACCCTGCACCCAGCGTGGGCACCCACCCTGCACCTGCAGCCTCTCCAGGGCCAGGTCGCCCAGCAGGGCCTGGGAGGGCGGCTGTGTGTGGGGCCTTCCGTGCCAGCTCTGACCGTTGGTGGCTCTGTGACCTCAAGGCAGGGCCGTGGGGCCCAGGGCTGCGGGCGGGAGGGCCTCTGCCACATGGAAGGGAGGGCCGCACTGGCTGGAAAATAGTGCCTTGTGACTGTCCCTGTCAGTGTGGGCCCTTTGCTCTCAGGCTAAATCGGTCCCCGGGGCAGCTATATTTAGAAGGGGCTAAAGAGAGGGAATGAATGAGGTGCCCACGAGAAAGTGAAAAATAGACCAGCGGGGCAGGTCCCGCCGCTGCCTTCAGCCGGAGCTTGGAGCCTAAGAATGAGCCGGCTTGTTCAGACAAAGAGGCCGCGACGACAGAGGGTGACGCGCCGCCAGTGTGGGTTTGGTCGCCGCGGTGACGGGAGCAGGAGAAAAGAAAAGCTGCTCTCTGTCCACCCGGCGGTGGGGTCGGCGGGGGCGGGGGATGACCACGGTCATGTGAGAGTTTGCAAGCCCGGGAACCGGGGCCGGGCCAGGACACTGAACCCCGTGGCTCCTGTCACTCCAGTTCTGGGCTTCCCGGCTGAGGAAATGCTGTCACCCTGGCCCCGGGCCAGGGCAAGGGGCAGCGCCGGCCTCGTGACGGTGGTGCTCGGGAGCTGAAGGGCAGGAGGGTTAGGAAGAGAACAGAGGGCAGTACCGGGCCTTCCCACCTCAGCACAGGTGGGTCTTTCTCCACGCATGCCCCCCCCCCAGAAAACTCCTACACATCCTGCAAAGCCCCACCGATGTCATCCCCTCTGAGAAGCCCCTGATTGCAACCATCTATGCACAGCCAGGCTGCACTAAAACCCCTTCTCCGCACACTGGCAGCTCCCTGGACGTTCGTTGTGTCCTGTGACATTGTGGCTGCTGCACACGACCCATGTTTCTCATCTCACAGCTCTGGGCTCAGAGTCCAACATGGGCCTCACTGGTTTAAAATCAAGGCACAGGCAGGGCTGGTCCCTCCTGGAGGCTCCAGGGGAGAATCTCTTTCCCGCCTTTCGCCTAGAGGTGCCCGTATCCCTCGGCTCGGGACCCTTCCTCCCCCTTCACAGACACAGCACAGCCTCTTCAGTCTCTCTCTGACTCTCACCCTCCTGCCTCCTCTCGTGAGGATCCTGTGAGGTCACTGCGCCCCCCCACCCCGGATCATCCACGGTGGTGCTCTCATGACTCAGGTGGTCCTTCACTCAATCCCACCTGCAGAGTCCCTTTTTCCATGTGTGGTGACACAGCCACAGCTCCCAGGGATTAGGACATGGATGTCTTTGAGGCCTTTGTTCTGCCAACCCCAGCACATCCCAGACACTGGGTACCAAAGATGCCACTTGGATGGAAGGGGCTGGAGGCCATGGTGCAGGGAGTTCACAAAGGGTGTTACTTCCTGGAACCCACTCTGTTCCCAGGGCCGATCTCCTTCCCAGGACAGAGGCTCCCAGGCCCAGGCAGCCCTCGGATGTGAAGTGCCTGCCCCACCTCCATCCATAGCAGGTGCTGCTGCTGTGCATGGGCACACGTGGCCTGGTAGGCCCACCCCTCTGGGCTCTGCAGCAGGGGCCGGCCCGTCCGGGCACACACATGGCCAAGGATGGACCTCGAGCCTGGGGTTCTCTGCTGTGGCCCGTGGGCTCCAGGTCACATCATCAGAATGGCTAGAGGTCACCAGTATCATGTGTGACATCTCCAGGGCCACCCCACTCCAGCCCTGGTGTTGTTAGAAAGTCCCGGAAAACTACAGGCCCAGGGAGCTTCTCCCTGAGGGCTAGGGATCATTACGGATGTTTTCATGTTAACAATGGAAAACAAAAATCAAAAAACAAAAACCAGGTATGGTGGCTCACGCCTGTAATCCCAGCACTTTGGGAGGCCGAGGAGGGCGGATTGCCTGAGCTCAGGAGTTCGAGACCAGCCTGGGCAACGTGGTGAAACCTGGTCTCTACTAAAATACAAAAGAAATTTGCTGGGTGTGGTGGCGGGCGCCTGTAATCCCAGCTACTCGGGAGGCTAAGGCAGGAGAATGCCGTGAACTCGGGAGGCGGAGGTTGCAGTGGGTTGAGATCGCGCCATTGCACTCCAGCCCGGGCGACAGAGCGAGGCTCTGTCTGGAAAAAAAAAAAAAAAAAAAAAACCTAGCCAGGCCCAGTGGCTCACACCTGTAATCCCAGCACTTTGGGTGGCTGAGGTGTGTGGCTCACTTGAGGTCAGGAGTTCGATACCAGCCTGGCCAACGTGGTGAAACCCCATCTCTACTAAAAATACAAAAATTAGCCGGGCCTGGTGGCGCTCGTCTGAAATTCCAGCTACTCGGGAGGCTGAGGCAGAAGAATCGCTTGAACCCACGTGGCGGAGGTCGCAGTGAGCCAAGATCGTGCCACTACACTCCAGCCTGGGTGCAGAGCGAGACTCTGTCTCAAAAAACAAAACACAACAAAACAAACAAACAAACAGCGACAACCCCCTCTCAAGAATAATCTGACCCTAATGTCAGAGATGCTGATACCCAGAGACCCTGGTCGAAGGGATGTTCCAGCCAGGAGCGGCTTTCTCGTGAACTGTGCATGTTGTTTGCATCCCGACAGGTTCAAGTGACAAAGCTGGGCAGGCTGAGGCCACCAAAGGGTTTCCTGGGTCCCTGTTCCTGCCACACACCTTGAATCCTCAATGCCAAGGCAACTGCAAACCCGAGGGACCCCAGGGGGGACACTAGGTCTGGACATGAAGGTTTGGCAGCAAACTGTCAGGACCCCCGGAGAGAACCCTGACTCCTGTGCCAACCCAACTGTGTCTGGCTCAACGCTCGACGCTCAAACACAGCAAACGGCAAGAAGGCAAGTCCAGGATATACGTTTTGGCAAAAATGGCAGCCGTGGGGGTGGAGGTGGAGGAGGACATGCACGGAGGGCTTAAACAGGGCTGTGTTTTTTTTTTTTTCTTTTAGATGGAGTCTCACTCTGTCACCCAGGTTGGAGTGCAGTGGCGGATCTCGGCTCACTGCAAACTCCACCCCCTGGGTTCAAGCAATTCTCTGCCTCAGCCTCCTGAGTAGCTGAGATTACAGGCGCCCGCCACCGCACCCGGCTAATTTTTGTATTTTTAGTAGAGACGGGGTTTCACTATCTTGGCCAGGCTGGTCTTGAACTCCTGACCTTGTGATCCACGTGTCTCGGCCTCCCAAAGTGCTGGGATGACAGACGTGAGCCACCGCACTGGCCGGGGCTGTGTTTTCATCTGGAGGTTTGCACGGGGCCGGGGCATTGTAAGGCTAAGCATGGGAATTTCAGTCTCTCCCCCAGAACCTTCTGGAGAGACACCACTGCAGCTACCACCGCTGCAGCTACCAGGCACCAGCTGACCAGGAGGGAGGAAACACAAGGCTGCTGTGTCTGGGGTCAGCCAGCAGGCCGGGGGTGAGGGCGGGGGTGACAGGGGAGCCAGCACACTTGTTGTGCACAAAGTTCCTTGTGACAGTGAGTTCGTCTTGGCCTCTGTCCCAAGATGAGGTTTTGATGACACGCATGGAATTTCTAACAATGAAATGGAGTGTGTGGTTTTGCTCACGCTTACATCCCCTTTTCTTGTCTATCCAAATTCCATTACGCCTTTTCTTGCTAATGCAGAAACACGGCCAAATCCTGGGCTGCCCCAGGAAGTGCCGAGGCCTCTTTCCGCTCTCAGTGGAAAAGGGAAATGTGGCTGCCTTGGGTCTGGGGTGCCCTGATTCTCAGAATCCCTGTGGGATGGGGAAAGAGTGTTTGGGTTGAGACTGGCTCACAGGAAGTGGGTAGAATGCAGCAGAAGGAGCGGCTGGGAGGCACTCTCTCATCCAGCCCCCGTGGCGACCCTCCTTGCTGGCTTATTTTGAGACGGAGTCTTGCTCTGTCGCCGAGGCTGGAGTGCAGTGGCGCAATCTCGGCTCACTGCAACCTCCGCCTCCCGGGTTCAAGCGATTCTCCTGCCTCAGCCTCCTGAGTAGCTGGTAGCTGGGATTACAGGCATCCAACACCAAGCCCGGCTAATTTTTTTATTTTTTGGTAGAGTCGCGGTTTCACCATGTTGTTCAGGCTGGCCTTGAACTCCTGACCTCAAGTGATCTCCGCCCACCTCAGCCTCCCAAAGTGCTGCGATTACAGGCAGGAGCCACCGCTCCCGGCCACCTCTGCTCACCTCCTCACCAAGCCCCAGCTTCTGTGACTGTCCCCCAGGGAGAGTGACCATGGCCCTGCTGGGCTCTGAGGGGCTTGTGCAGATGAGCAGGTGGCCTACACAGCCTGAGGGACCACCAGCTGCTCTGTGGCAAGTCTCGTGACTCCAATCCCGCTCTGCCTCTGGCCAGCCCCCGGGCCTTGCCACATCTTTTGGTTGCCGAGCCTCAGTTTCCCCACCTATAAAATGGGGACAATGAGCCCTGCTCCCCAGGGATCCTAGGAGAACTAAAGGAATTGGAGCAGTGGACCTGGCCTGCAGGGGGCACGGGAGAGGTATCTGCTGAGTCGCTGAGTAGGGGGAGCTGAGGATCAGGGAGGCGTCAGTGGTGGGGATGGCCCGGCTGCTGGGAACAGGGCCAGGGGACTTAGCCAGGGCCCGACGAGAGCTGCCTGATGTCATTGCTGGAGCCTCTTGTCATCCCTCCCAGCAGATGCTGCAGCATAGGGACCTAATCCCCACGGCACGTGGCCACATGGCTGGCAGCTTGAGCTTGCGGCCTGGAGACACCTGAGCCTTGCCCAGGCAGCTCCGTGCCACCTGCCGTCCAGCCACGCTGCCATCAGCCAGCACTTGTGTGTCCCAGAGGACGGGGCTCAGGGCAGGCTCCAGGGACCTCACCCTGGCCGTTTGACCTCCAGCAAAGGAGGTCTGGTCTCCCGGTCAGAAAACAGGAGAGAGGGCAGGGACTTCTCCATGGAGAATATATTCATGGAGAAGGACGTAAAAGGATCCAGACCAGACACCACGGGCACATGCGACCCCTCGGCCATCGGCCAGGTTTTAAATCATCACTGTCTTCGTCGTCATCCTGAGTGTCATTTGTGTGGGGGCCGGGACTAGGGTGAGGCCATGCGGCACTCACCTTGGGGGCAAAATCTAGGGAACGCCAAAAAGCCCTGCCGTGCTGGTAAATTATATTTTCATACAATCTTTTATTATTTATATAAAAATATATTTATATGTATTTATTAATATATATTTATCTATTATCTATAATATATAAATATGCATTTATAAATATATAAACAAATATATATTTATAAATATATAAAAACACATATACATATTTATAAATAAAATATATATTTAAAAAATATATATATATACACACACATATTTTGAGACAGAGTCTCGCTCTGGCCCCCAGGCTGGAGTGCAACGGCACGATCTCAGCTCACTGCAACCTCTGCCTCCCGGGCTCAAGTGAGTTTTCTGCCTCAGCCTCCCAAGTAGCTGGGATTACAGGCATGCGTCACCACGCCCGGCTAATTTTTTTTATTTTCAGTAGAGATGGGGTTTTGCCATGTTGGCCAGTCTGGTCTCGAGCTTCTGACCTCAGGCGATCCACCCACCTTGACCTCCCAAAGTGCTGGGATTACAGGCGTGAGCCACGGCGCCTGACTGCTTGTGTGTTCACAGCTGCCCCCCAACGCTTGCATTCCCGCCTGAGCTCCGCCTCCTGTCCCATCAGCAGTGGCATCAGATTCTCATAGAAGCGTGAACCCAATTGTGAACTGTGCATGTAAGGGATCTTGGTTGCACGCTCCTTATGAGAATCTAATGCCTAATGGCCTCGACTGGCCAACATGATAAAACCCCATCTCTACTAAAAAATACAAAAAATCAGCCGGAAATTGCTTGAACCCAGGAGGCGGAGTTTGCAGTAAGCTAAGATCATGCCACTGCACTCCAGACTGGGCAACAGAGAGAGACTCTGTCTCAAAACAAGCAAACAGAAATAATCTAATGCCTGATGATCTGTCACTGTCTCCCATCACCTCCAGATGGGACCATCTAGTTTTTATTTGTTTGTTTGTTATTGAGACAGAGTCTCGCTCTGTTGCCGAGGCTGGAGTACAATGGTGCGATCTCGGCTCACTACAACCTCCGCCTCCCGGGTTCAAGCGATTCTCCTACCTCAGCCTCCCAAGTAGCTGGGACTACAGGTGCCCACCACCACGCCTGGCTAATTTTTGTATTTTTAGTAGAGATGAGGTTTCATCTTGTTGGTCAGGCTAGTCTCGAACTCCTGACCTCAAGTGATCCACCCGCCTCAGCCTCCCAAAATGCTGGGGTTATAGGCGTGAGCCACCACACCCAGCCCAGGGACCATCTAGTTGCAGGAAACAAGCTCCGGGCTCCCAGTGATCCCACATTATGGTGAGTTGTGGAATTATTTTATTATATATTACAATGTCATAATAACAGAAACAAAGTGCACAAAAAAAGTAATGCGTTTGAATCGTCCCCAAACCATCCTCCCGGCTCCACCCCCCCCACCTCCCCACTGTCTGTGGAAAAACTGTCTTCCACGAATCCACTCCCTGGGGCCAAAAAGGTTGAGGACTGCTGCCTTAAGGAACCAGAAAAGGAAGAACGAAGGCAGCCCCAAGCCAGCAGGAGGAAGGAAATTGTAAAGATCAGAGCAGCGATAAACGAGACAGAGATGAGAAAAACTGGCGAGTCGACGAAACCAAAAGTTGGTTCTTTGAAAAGAGCTAGGTGATTGACAAACCTCTAGCGGGGCTGACCAAAAGCAAAACCAAAAAAAAAAAAAAAAAGAGGAAATAAGATGCAGATAACTACACGCAGAAACGAAAGGAGGACATTACTACCAACTGTATGGAAATAAAAGGCATTATCAGAGAACACGGTAGCATTATGAACCAGTGTGTGACATCCAATTAGGTAATCTACACGAAATGGACAAATTCCTAGAAAAACGCGAATGAAACAGATCAGCGATGGTTTCAGGTTCAGCTCACATCTCTTAGATACTGACATGCCAGCATGGTGCTGAGCATATATATATATACATATATATATGTAATATACATTTTATATGCAATATATATGTTATATATTATATGCAATATATTATGTTATATATTATATACTATATATTATATTTTATATGTACATCTCATTACATATATGTACACATTACATGTAACATCACATTACATATATGTAATATCACATGTAATAAATCATATCACATACACGCACATATTACATGCAATATATCATACTACATACATGCACACGTTACATGTAATATGTTATATTACATACATGCACACGTTACATGTAATATGTTATATTACACACATGTGCACATTACATATAATATATTACATATATGTACATATTACATGCAATATATTACATATATGCACATATTGCATGTAATGTTATATCACACACATGTACGTATCATGTGTAATATATCACATACATGTACATATTATATGTAATATTGCATACATGTACATATTATATGTAACATTGCATACATGTACATATTCTATGTAATATTACATACATGTGCATATTGCATGTAATATATTGTATGTAATATATTATATGTAATATATATTACACATATGTATATATTATATGTAATATATATTACACATATGTATATATTATATGTATATATGTATACACAGTGGCGTGCACCTATAGTCCCAGCTACTCAGGAGGCTGAGGCAAAGGGATTGCTTGAACCCAGGAGTTCAAGATTGCAGTGAGCTATGATATAATAGTATATTATAGCAGTGAACTATAATATATTATATATAATATATAATATATATATTTTTTTCTTTTCTTTAGAGACCTGGTCTCACTCTGTTGCCCAGCGTGGAGTCCCATGGTGCAATCACAATCACAGCTCACAGTAGCCTCCACCTCCTGGGCTCAAGTGATCCTTCTGCCTCAGCCTCCCAAAATGCTAGGATGACAGGCACGTGCCACCACACTGGGTATATTTTTTAAGAGACCGGGTCTCACTCTGTCACCTAGGCTGGAGTACAGTGGTGCAATCATAGCTCACTGCAACCCCGAACTCCTGGGTTCAAGCAATCCTCTTGCCTCAGCCTCCTGAGTAGCTGGGACTACAGGCGCACGCCACTGTGTATACATATATATAGGTATATGTGTGTATAAAATATATATGCTATATATATATATATATTTTTTTTTTTTTGAGACAGAGTCTCACTCTGTTGCCCAGGCTGGTGTACGGTGGCATGATCTTAGCTCACTGCAACCTCCATCTCCCAGGTTCAAGCGATTCTCCTGCCTCAGCTTCCAGAGTAGCTGGGATTACAGGCACCTGCCACCATGCCCTGCTAATTTTTGTACTTTTGGTAGAGACGGGGTTTCGCTGTGTTGGTCAGCCTGGTCTCAAACACCTGACCTCAGGTGACCCACCTGCCTCAGCCTCCCAAAGTGCTGGGATTACAGGCGTGAGCCACTGCACCTGGCTATTTTTATATTTTTGTATCTATATGCTTGTTTAATCTTTGCAACCTTCCTGCAAAACGGAGAACGTCATCTCCACTGCAGACAGTTGACGCGAACCCACCCAAACGGGGCAGAGCTGGTAAAAGGGGATCTGGGATTTGAACTCAGGTTTCCTGGCTCTGAGCCCGGAGCCCTTTTATGGGATGACTCAACCTCCCAAAGTGTCAGGCACACATAAAAGACTGGGGCTTGTTTGTTCCTTTTTCTAAAAAACAAGAGATTCCAACCTCATGAAGTAAGAGAAAATGCCACATACCTTTTTTAGTTTTCCCAGGAATCACAGCTTGCTGTACACCCTGTTTAAAAAAGGAGAGAGAAAGAGAAAAGCATGGTTACATATTTTTTACTTACAAGGAACTCACAGAGCTACCTCCAGCTTTTATCGGAGAACGACGTTGCTGTCCCCAAAAATGAGGCATGGGAATTCGAAAGGGCCGTGCCCTCCGGAGAAAACGGGGGCAGAATCCACTTTATTCTTTACCACCGATCCGTGCGGAGAAGACCTGGATGCTTCTCTTGCTGGACAACAGGGCAAATTATCTTCCAGAAACTTGTGTTATTCCATTTCAGAACAAGGAAGCCCCAACCCCACAGTCAAAGTCCAGTCCATCAGACACACCAGTGCAAGAAAAACAAAATACCCAGGCACGGCGCCTTCCCATGGAATACTTCGGTGTTTTTCCATCTCTGATTTCTACTTTTATGTAAGCCACGTGCCGGGCAAAGGGAGAGGTGGAAAGTGGAAACTGGGGACAAACCAATTAACCCCGAATGGAGGAAGTGACAGGTATACGGGGGGCAGGAAGGCCGGGGGTCTCATGTGAGCCGCCCAGGGCCAGGAGGTCAATAGGAAGGAAAGAACGTCTCCAGGCCCCGGTGATTGGTCTCCGGGGGTCGGGGCGGTTGGGGCCTTTGGAGCTGCGGTTTTCCATGGAACGGAATCCTCTGTTCCAAGCCGGACCCTGCACAGGGCCAGGCCCCGTATCCGTCTCCAATGCACAGTGCACGGATCGCGAGGGGGGGCCCACGGCCGTCTCCAATGCACAGTGCACGGATCGCGAGGGGGGCCCACGGGGACCACCTTCCGTGGTCTTTCCTGACTCCCACTAAGGTCTGGAGGGAGATCCAGGCAGCGATCTGCCCCCTCCAGCTTCGCGGCAGCCTCCTATTTCGTGGACAAGGAGGCCCGAGGCAGGCAAAGGCCCCTGCCTTGCGGAGCGTCTACACCGGCCGAGGTCATGGGGCCGGGACTTGCGCACAATGAACCCAGATGCCAGGTTCTGTGTCTCCCGGTTAGGCCACCACTGCTCTGCTGCTGAGCCGGCAGCCCCACTTGGAGAAGCCAGGAGCTGCACCACTGTCAGCTCTAGGGGAGGCCCCGTCCTGCCTAGCGGGGCTCACCCTGCAGTGGGCTTGCCCGGCGAGGTCAGCAGACGCCCCTGCACCGGGCCCAACCCAGGCCCAGCTTCCTGAGCTGCTCGAGGCCGGGCTGGGCCGGGTTCACGTGGCCAAGGCTGTTTCCCTCCTGCCCTGAAGGGCCCCTGTGGTCTCTGAAGCCGGCCAGGCCCCTCTTCCGTCACAAACATTTGCTATTTCCACAAACCAATGGGTTTTTTTCCACCGACACAAAGAAGAGCCACATGGCTGCTGCTCCTGGGCTGGAGTCCGGGCCACCCACACACGACACTTTCTCAGCAGCCCTGCGCCCCGGGGCTGCATTGGAGGCCAAGGAAGCTGAGGTCGGCGGGAAGCCTCCTCACCTTGCAGCCCAGCTGGGGAGGCCGAGTCCCGGCTTTCCCAGAGGCTCCCGGGTCTCAGCTGCAGGAAGGCGGTGACTGAGGTCACCTTCTCCTAAGCCAGGGTCTCTCCTCCCACCCAGCAATACGGACACCAGCGCCGGATTGTTCTCCGGGGCGGGAGCATCCTGGGCTCTGCAGGGTGGTGAGCTGCGTCCCTGGCATCCACCTGCTCCGTGCCAGGAGCACCCCCCAGATGTGTTGGCCACAAATGTCCCCAGACACTGCCCCGGGTCCCCTGGGGGGCAGAATCACTCCGTGTGAGATCCCTAACCTCTTAGTGACCTAGAGACATCCAGGGGGGCTGCCTCCCCTCCCACCTCTACACACACACACGCACACACAGACACACGCACACTCACACACATATGCACGCACACAGACACACGCACACACGTGCACACAGGAATACTCAGACACACGCACACACGTACACACGTGTACTGCACACTCACGCACATGCACACAAAGACACGCGCACACACGTACACACAAGACACGTGCACACACATTTGCATGCACACACAGACACACATGCACACACAGACGCACATGTGCACACACACGTGCACACACATTTGCACACACAGACACGTGCACACACAGAGGTGCACATACACGCACAGACACACATGTGCACACAGACACACACATGTGCACACACACAGACACACACACACGTGCACGCACACATGCACGCAGGAGCGAGCGCCTCCACCCAGCCCTGCATCTGAAGCAAGGTCCTGCTAGTAAACATGCACAGACTCAAGAAACGAGGGGCTGCAGGACTTTTCCTCCTCCTGCCCAAAGGCACCTGCACTCACAAAAGACTCAGAGGCTCCGCCTGGCCGGGTCAGCGAATGGAGTTGTAGCACCGTTTCAGGACCGTGATAGAGAAAGACGGGAAGTTAGACTTCTGACCCATCACAAACTCTGAGTCAAAGTGCGATGTGCCCAGGCCAGCCCGGTGTGACCTCAGCTCCTGATCCATAAAATCAGGACAGTGACCGAGGATGCTGGGGCCACCTCACCTGCAGCCCCGGGTCAGCCTCAGAACCCACAGGACTTTGACCCTGCCCCAGGCCATGGTCCTTGACCAGGGAACCACAGCTCCTTATTCTGATGGGGTGACTCGGTGCATTTCTCTCTCAGGCTTACTTTTTTTCTCTTTGAGACAGAGTCTCACTCTGTCGCCCAGGCTGGACTGCAGTAGTGCGATCTCGGCTCACTGCAACCTCTGCCTCCTGGGTACAAGCGACTCTCCTGCCTCAGCCTCTCAAGTAGCTGGGACTACAGGCACGGGCCACCAGGCCTGGGTAATTTTTTGTGTTTTTAGTAGAGAGGGGGTTTCACCGTGTTAGCCAGGATGGCCTTGATCTCCTGACCTCGTGATCCGCCCACCTCGGCCTCCGAAAGTGCTGGGATTACAGGCGTGAGCCACCGCGCCCGGCCTCTCAGGCTTACTTTTAGGTGGCTGGAAATACTGCTTTTCATGTGCACACTGTATTATTTTCATCATCCTTGCCACAGATGGGCACCGTGTTTTTTTGTTTTTGTTTTTGTTTTTTTTTTGAGATAGGGTCTGTTACCCAGGCTGGAGTGCAATGGCGTGATCACAGCTCACTGCAGCCTCAACCTCCTGGGCTCAAGCGATCCTCCCTCCTCAGCCTCCTGAGTAGCTGAGACTACAGCCACATGCCACCACACCCAGCTAATTTTTATTCCTGTAGAGATGGGGTTTTGCCATGTTGCCCAGGCTGGTCTCAAACTCCTGGGCCCAAGCGATCCTCCCACCTTGGCCTCCTAAAGTGCTGGATGACAGGTGTGTGCCACTGCACCCGGCCAGCAAAAATGGGTTTAAAGGCAGATGATCAAACCATGTTGTAGAACCTCAATTTTTAAAAATAAGAGAGTGTGTGTAGATGTCTGGGGAAAGGATAAAGTGCTGGGATTGTGGATGATTTTCCTCTCCTTATGTGATTCTCAGATTCTGTAAAATGAAGTTATATAACTTTCTTTCCTCTTCTTTCTTTCTTTCTCTTTTCTTTCTTCCTTCCTTTCCTTCTCTTTCTTTCTTTTTTCTTTCTTTCTTCTCTCTCTTTCCTTTTTATTTATTTATTATTTTTTTTGGGACAGGTGTCATTTTGTCACCCAGGATGGAGTGCAATGGCGCGATCTCTGCTCACTGCAACCTCTGCCTCCTGGGCTCAAGCAATTCTCCTGCCTCAGACTCCCAAGTAGCTGGCATTACAGGCATGCACCACCACTCTTGGCTAATTTTTGTATTTTCAGTAGAGACGGGGTTTCACCAACATGGCCAGGCTGGTCTCAAACTCCTGACCTCATGTGATCCACCCACCTTGGCCCCCCCAAAGTGCTGGGATTATAAGCGTGAGCCATCGCGCCCAGCCAGTTATATTCCTTTCATAGTCACAAAGAATATATATATATACACACACACACATATATATACATATACATATATATCCACAGTTGATTAGATTCTCATTATTTGTGGTAGTTCTGTTCTGTGAAGTCACCACAAAAACTGAGTTTGCGAACACAAATCATTACTCCTAGAGAACATTTTTGTAGGGGTAGTTTCCTTTGAGTTTCAGGAAACTTTCCTTTATCTGATCAATACATGACCTGTTCTGTGTGTCTTTTTTTTTTTTTTTTTGGAGACAGGGTCTCGCTCTGTTGCCCAGGCTGGAGTGCAATGGTGCAATCTCAGCTCACTGCAGCCTCAGTCTCCTGGGCTCAAGTGATTCTACTGCCTTGGCCTCCAGAGTAGCTGGGATTACAGGCACCCACCACCATGTCCGGCTAATTTTTTTTTCTCTCAAGATGGAGTTTGGCTCTTGTTGCCCAGGCTGGAGTACAATGGTGGATGTCGGCTCACTGCAACCTCCGCCTCCTGGGTTCAAGCGATTCTCCTGCCTCAGCCTCCCGAGTAGCTGGGATTACAGGCATGCACCGCCATGCCCAGCTAATTTTGCATTTTTAGTAGAGACAGGGTTTCTCCATGTTGGTCAGACTGGTCTCGATCTCTTGACCTCGTGATCCGCCTGCCTCAGCCTCCCAAAGTGCTGGGATTACAGGCGTGAGCCACCGTGCCTGGCTCAAAGGTGTCTTCTTGAATGCCTATCGATGATGTGAGTGTTGAATAGGGCAGCTGCTCTCTCAGTCCTGCCTGAGCAAAGCTTTTCTCACCTACCAGTTCCTCCACGAGGCCCTGAGGGACACGAGAAGGGGCCTCAGCACGATGCCTGGGGCCACTGCAAACAGCAAAATCACCAAAAAGAGCACAAAAACGCAAACCCCGAGGCTCTCGCTAGACAGTAATGAGGGCGTGGTCCACCTAGGAGGGGAAACGGGGAGGCGGAGCGTGGCCTGGGCTCAGGGAACGCACGTCCATGACTCTAATTTCTTGTCTCTCTCTGCGTGTCCAAGGATAAGAGGGAAAGTACCCCAGGCATTGATTTGGGGTTCACAAATACACACCAAGCCGGCGAATTCGCAAATACGGACTCCGTGAATGACAAAGGGGACTACAGTACAAACCCAGCCTGTCCCTCGCGCCCCTAGTGTGCTGAGGGCCTGGCCGTGGCAGGAAGGAAGGGACCGCCTCAGACCCCACATCACCCCATCCCCCAGGTCTGTCTCCCACCGGCCCCCAGGGTCGATTCTCAGGAGAGGAGGTCCGACCTGCTTTAGGGGGCCCAAGCAGGACCCCTTACCTCCACATCTTATTTCTGTGTCCCACCCAGCCCTTCCCTTGAGGCAGTGATTCTCACCTGGGAGTGGCCCTGCTCCCAGGGGACCCTGGGCGGTGGCTGGGGACATTGTGGTTATCCAGACTTGGGGGTGCTCCTGGCATGGGGTAGGCGGACGCTGCGGTGCCCAGGACGGCCCTGCTCCAGAGAAGGATCCAGCCCCGATGTCCACAGGGCCTGGGGGGACCCTGAATTCATTATTTGGAAAAAAGCTGGGCGCGGTGGCTCACGCCTGTCATCCCAGCACTTTGGGAGGCCGAGGTGGGTGGATCACTTGATGTCAGGAGTTCGAGACCAGCCTGACCAACATGGGTAGACCCCGTCTCTACTAAAAATACAAAAATTAGCCAGGCGTGGTGGTGGGTGCCTGTAATCCCAGGTACTCAGGAGGCTGAGGCAGGAGAACTGCCTGAACCTGGGAGGCGGATGTTGCAGTGAGCCGAGATCGTACCATTGCACTCCAGCCTGGGCGACAGAAGGAGACTGTTTCAAAAAAAAAAAAAAAAAAATTATTTGGGAAAACAGTTGAATGCAATTTCTGCTCACAGTAGGCATCAGAATAAGCTCCCGATGGGGCAGACGGTGTGTAAACCAGAGGGATCCCAGCTCCTGGGACTCACCTCCTCTCTCCCTCCCCCATTCAAGGTGTGGATTGCAATGTGTGCAGCCTCCTGGGACCTCAGCAGGGCAGAGGATCATGGGACGCAGAGTCTCTTGGGGGTCCGTGGAATCCCATAACCCAGGGGGGCTCAACCAGGATGATTCTGCTCCCAGGGGATGCTGGGCCATGTCTGGGGACATCTGTGGCTGTCACGACTGGGGGTGCTCCTGGAATGGAGTGGGTGGAGGCCAGGGACGCTGTTCAGCACCCTGCAGTGCCCAGGTTGGCCCAACCCCAGAGAATGACCCAGGCCCCAATATCCACGGTGCCCTGGGGAGACCCTGGTTAGGTCCTGTCACAGTTTTGGTGTCAGCACCACTGCCCTTCTGTGCCCAGGAGGGGCCCTGTCCTCCCCTTGTCCCTTCCTCTCTGCACCCTGGCCTGGGTCTTTGACCCTCCCAGCTCTTAGCACTCTTGGACACACAATCCCCACAAGAGCCTCTCTCAGAAAGATAGAAATGACACTGGTTGGCCGGGCGCAGTGGCTCATTCCTGTAATCCCAGCACTTTGGGAGGCCGAGGCGGGTGGATCACCTGAAGTAGGAGTTCAAGACCAGTCTGCCCAACATGGTGAAACTCCGTCTCTACTAAAAAAAAAAAAAAAAATTAGCTGGGCATAGCGGCAGGCGCCTGTGATCCCAGCTACTCGGGAGGCTGAGGCAGGAGAATCGCTTGAACCTGGGAGGCAGAGGTTGCAGTGAGCCGAGATTGCACCATTGCACTCCAGCCTGGGTGACAAGAGCAAAACTCTGTCTAAAAAAAAAGAAATGACACTGGCTTCTTTCTCTTCTTTGCACTCTGAAAAGCACCTGAGAGCAAAGTGCCCAGCAGAGGCAGCTGCCCCGGGGCGACCCGAGAAACAGGAAACCCTGTTTCTGAGCTTCGCAGGCTCTTCTGGGAGACCAGCGGGTAATCCCCTTCCTCCGACATTTCTCTGAGAAGTCTCTCTGCGTTCTGCTTCTCAGAAAGAAACCAGGGTCCGGGGCAGGCATTCACGCCCTCCACCCACTCAGGGGTTTGCAGTAACACCCTTGGGATCTGCAGGTTCACACAGAGCCAGAGCCGTGAGTCACCGCAGCCCCGGAGCTGCCGGGGTCCCCACCTGCTCAGCCCCAGGAACACACATCTACAGCGGGTTCCTTTTTCTTTTCTTTCTTTTTCTTTCTTTTTTTTTTTGAGACAGAGTCTGGCTCTGTCGCCCAGGCTGGAGTGCAGTGGCGCGATCTCGGCTCACTGCAACCTCCGCCTCCCAGGTTCAAGTGATTCTCCTGCCTCAGCCTCCCAAAGTGCCGGGATTACAGGCGTGAGCCACCGCGCCCCGCTCCTTTTCCTTTTCTTTTAAATGATTAATACTCATGATTTCTGTTCAGCTGAAAGCTACACTCACTTTCAATACCTACAACAGGGTTTTTCCCCCCGGGCACTGTGGACACTGGGGCCAGATCCTTCTCTGGGGTGGGGCCATCCTGGGCACTGCAGGGTGCTGAGCAGTGTCCCTGACCTCCACACACTCCATGCCAGCAGCAGGTGCCCCCAGACATTTACTGAGTGTACCCTGGTCAGGGGGGACAGGATCGCTCCCAGCGTACACTGGAATCTTAGGGGATTCCACAGACCCCCAAGAGACTCTGCGTCCATAATCCTCTGCCCTGCTGAGTTCCCAGAAGGCTGCACACATTGAAATCCACACTCTGAGTGGGGAGGGAGAGAGGATGTGAGTCCCAGGAGCTGCAGTCCCTCTGGTTTACACCATCGGCCCCATCGGGAGTTTATTCTGGTGTCCAGTGTGAGCAAGGGACAGATTCAATCTTTTTCTTTTTCTTTTTTTTTGTTTTTTGAGACAGAGTCTCGCTCTGTCGCCCAGGCTGGAGTGCAGTGGCGTGATCTCGGCTCACTGCAAGCTCCTCCTCCCGGGTTCACGCCATTCTCCTGCCTCAGCCTCCCAAGTAGCTGGGACTACAGGCGCCCACCACCACGCCCAGCTAATTTTTTTTTTGTACTTTTAGTAAAGACGGGGTTTCACCGTGTTAGCCAGGATGGTCTCGATCTCCTGACCTCGCGATCCACCTGCCTCAGCCTCCCAAAGTGCTGGGATTACAGGTGTGAGCCACTGCGTCCGGCCCAGTATTTTTCAAATAATGAACACAGGTCTCTCCCGTTCTGTACTCTGGACATTGGGCCTGGATCATTCTCTGGGGTGGGGCCGTCCTCGGCACTGTAGGCTGCTGAGCAGCGTCCCTGGCCTCCACCCACTCCATGCTGGGAGCACCCCGTAGTCGTGACTACCAGAAATGTCCCCACATTCTACTCAGGATCCTAAGAGAACCACTCCCAAGCATTATTGAGGTCACACTTTTTTTTGTTTTTGTTTTGAGATAGGTTTCATTTCTGTCGCCCAGGCTGGAGTGCAGTGGCACGATCTTGGCTCACTGCAACCTCTGACTCCCGGGTTCAAGTGATTCTCCTGCCTCAGCCTCCCTATAGTAGTTGGAACTACGGGTGTGCACCACCACGCCTGGCTAATTTTGGAATTTTTAGTAGAGATGGGGTTTCGCCATGTTGCCCAGGCTGGTCTTGAACTCCTGACCTCAAGTGATCTGCCCACCTCGGCCTCCCAAAGTGCTGGGATAATAGGCATGAGCCACCGCGCCCGGCCCAGGTCACACCTTTGAACACTTCAGTGGGCTCATTTTATGTGTGAATTTTTAGCCTAATTGTGAACTGTTGAGTTATTTAAACCTTCGCACCCAAACTTCCTTGGTCCAGAGAGGATTTGAAGCTCATACATAAACAACACAGCAGCATTGCAAATCAAGGAATGGAGGAGACGGTGAAGGTGGTATTTGGGGGTGTTGGGTGGGGTGGGAGAAACAGCAGGGAAAAATCAAAGGATGGTTAGCCAATGAGAATGGTGTTCGTGTGTGTAAGGGCAGGCTCCTAAACAGGAGTGTAGCTAATTTTCAACTCAAGAAAAAGAATGTGTATTGAATGCAGTGGGTTGAATAGTGTCCCGCAAAAGCTCACGTCCTCCTGGAAGCTTGGCACGTAACCTTCTCAGAGATGGGGTCTCTGCAGATGGAAGATGATACGGATCTTGGGATGAAATCATCATCCTGTTTGTAGGGTGGGCCCTAAATCCAATGACTGGTGTCCTTTTAAGAAGGAGAGACACAGGCTGAGATTGGTGGCTCACACCTGTAAACCCAGAACTTTGGGAGGCCGAGGCGGGAGGATCGCTTGAGGCCAGGAGTTCGAGACCAGCCTGGCCAACGTGGTGAAACCCCATCTCTACCAAAAATACAAAAATTAGCCAGGCATGGTGGCGTGCACCTGTACCACTCGGGAGGCGGAGGCACGAGAATTGCTTGAACCCAAGAGGCGGAGGTTGCAATGAGCCAAGATGGTGCCACCGCACTCCAGCCTGGGTGACAGAGCAAGACTCTGTCTCAAAACAGACAAACAAACACCAAGAAGGAGAGATTTAGAGATGCAGAGGAGAGGACATGGCTGTGTGGAGATGGAGGCAGAGACTGGGGTGACACGGCCACAAGCCAGACTCCTAGAGCCCCCAGAAGCTGGGAGAGGCCGGAAGGACCCTGCCCCTGGAGTCTCTGGAGGGAGCCTAGCCCTGCAGACACCTTGATCTCAGACTTCTGGCCTCCAAAAGTAGGAGAGGAGACTGTCACAAAATGTCTGTTATTTAAAGCCCCGCAATCTGTAATAATTTGCATGGCACTCTAGGAAATGAATACATTGGTCATTTAAAAAAAAAAAAAAGAATCAGGCCAGATGCGGTGGCTCATGCCTGCAATCCCAGCACTCTGGGAGGCTGAGGCAGGAGGACCACTTGAGACTAGGAGGTTGAGACCACTCTGGTCAACACAGTGAGACCCTGTCTTGAAATGGAATGAAATGAAATAAATACAATAAAATATCCGCTAAGCTTCTGTGTCTCCCTGTAGCCATGACAACAGAAGACCCTGAGGTGGAGAAGATGACGCCTTCCTGTTGGAATCACGGGCTCAGACTACATGGGGAAAACGGAAAACACACGTGCAACCCTCACACAACGTGTGCACCCTGCAGGCTCAAAAACCAAAGCTGTGCCAGGCGCGGTGGCTCACACCTGTCATCCCAGCACTTTGGGAGGCCGAGGCGGGTGGATCATGAGGTCAGGAGATCGAGACCAGCCTGGCCAACATGGTGAAACCCCGTCTCTACTAAAAAAATACAAAAATTAGCTGGACGTGGTGGCACACGCCTGTAATTCCAGCTACTCAGGAGACTGAGGCAAGAGAATCACTTGAACCCGAGAGGCGGAGGTTGCAGTGAGCCGAGATCGTGCCATTGCACTCCAGCCTGGGCAATAGAGAGAGACTCTGTCTCAAAAAAAAAAAAACAAAAACAAAAGCTGTTTGCGTCAAAGGAAGGGTCGGTTAGTTCCTTCCCTCCAGGACTGAATCCATGAGAACTGCAGAAATTTAGGATTAGGAACCAGTTCGCCCAGGGTTCCTAAAACCTGCAATCACTGGGAGAGGCCCATCCCACCCGGAAGAACCTGATTGAGTGGTCTGGGGTGTGCCGGGCACAGGGCAGTTGAGACTCCAGGTGACAGTTACCGGCAGCTCAGGGTGGAGGCTGTGTGAGCCCGGCCGAGTCCTACAGGAAGCGTCTGCAGAGTGTAATGTGCTCAGCGCTTCTGCAGGGGACGGGCGGAATGATGTGTGCAGACATTTTAAACCATGGTAGAGGCCGGGCACGGTGGCTCACGCCTGTTATCCCAGCACTTCGGGAGGCCAGGGCAGGCGGATCATCTGAGGTTAGGAGTTCGAGACCAGCCTGGCCAACATGGTGAAACCCCGTCTCTACTAAAAATACAAAAATTAGTCAGGCGTGGTGGTGGGCACCTGTAATCCCAGCTACTCGGGAGGCTGAGGCAGGAGAATCGCTTGAACCTGGGAGGCGGAGGTGGCAGTGAGCCAAAATCGCACCACTGCACTCCAGCCTGGGCGACAGAGCCAGACTCCGTCTCATAAATAAATAAATAAATAAATATAAAAAATAAATAAAGGGGACATTTGGACACAGATGCACACGGGAGGGAGAATGCTGTATAGATAGGAGATTGGGGTGACAAGGCAGAGATTGGGGGTGTCACTTCCACAAGCCAGGGAAGGCCAAGGATCTCCGGCCATCACCAGGAGCTGGGAGTGGCCCTGGGATGGATTCTCCCCACTGGCTTCGGAAGAACCCAGCCCTGCCTACACCTTGGCCTTGGACTTCCGGTCTCCAGAGCGGAGAGAGAATGAACCCGTGGTGTCTAAACGGCTAGGTCTGTGGACCTTGTACGAGCACCCCATGAAACTCACACAAAGCCCTAAAAGGCGTCTCAGCCTGGCTCCGGGGGAAGGGTCCGAGACAGCAGACCAGAACTGGGGCCACAGCAATGGTCGGGGGACACCTCCTTCCCCTCCCACCCCCACTGCTAAAGGACTGGCTAGAGGTTGTAAGGCCAGGGTTGGCAACATTTTCCTGTAAAAGGCCAGAGAGCAAACTTCTCTGGCTTTGTGGGTCAGATGGTCTCTGTTGCAACTGCTCGACTCAGCCACAGAGGCAGGAGAGGCTGCTGTGGACGATTTCTCAATGAGTGGGCATGGTGGGTGCCAATAAAACTTTATTTACAAAAACACACTGTCGCTGGGCATGGTGGCTCAAGCCTGTAATCCCAGCACTTTGGGAGGCCGAGGCAGGCGGATCATCTGAGGCCAGGAGTTCGAGACCAGCCTGACCAACATGGTGAAACCCCGTGTCTACTAAAAATACAAAAAAATTAGCCGGGCGCGGTGGCGGGCGTCTGTAATCCCAGCTACTCGAGAGGCTGAGGCAGGAGAATCGCTTGAATCCGGGAGGCGGAGCTTGCAGTGAGCCGAGATCGCGCCACTGCAGTCCACAGTCCGGCCTGGGCGACAGAGCGAGACTCCGTCTCAAAAAAAAAAACAAAAAAAACAAAAAAAAAACAAAAAAAAAAACACAAAAACAATAACAAAAAACCCACACTGTCCATCATGGGCCCTTGCTGGCTGACCTCTGCTCTAGAATCTCCTTAATTTCAAGTCATTGGGTTGGCCGTGATCATTCCTGTAGTGATGCTTCCAGAACACACCTTTTCCATCTGCAGGTTTATTTCTTCTCAGTTGTCGTCGATTTGTGTGTGTGTGTGTGTGTGACATAGGGTCTCACTCTGTCACCCAGGCTGGAGTGCCCGTGGTGCAATCACGCTGCCTCGACCTCCCAGGCTCAAGCGACCTCCCTGCCTCAGCCTCCTGAGCAGCTGGGACTACAGGTGCACACTACCACACCAGCTAATTTTTGCATTTTTTTGTATAGATGGGGTTTCGCCATTTTGCCCAGGCTGGTCTTGAGCTCCTGAGCTCAAGCGATCGTCCCACCTCGGCCTCCCAAAGTGCTGGGATTGCAAGCGTGAGCCGCTGCACTGGGCCGGTGTCCTCTGTCGTATCCTACTTAGGCACTGCCTCTGACGCTTCTGTGCTCCAGCGGCAGAGCTGAGTGCTGGAGCCGGAGACTGGGCCACAGAGCCGAAAACAGCAACCCTCTGGCCCTTTACAGGAAAAGCTCGCTGCCTTGTGGTCTAGGATGAGACCTAAAAGGTCACAAGTCTCCTCTTCAGAGCACCAGACTCCGACGGGGGCAGGGCAATGTCAACTGGGCAACAGGGAAGTCACCCATCTGTTCCCGGGCACCACGCGCTCAGGCATGGAAGGGAGAGAAGGGCGTTGCCATTCAGCAGGAACTCAGGAAGTAGGGCGTTCACAACGCCTTCCTGGAAAATGCATCTCACCAGGCACTCCAGCCACCCAAAAACAGAGACACGGGCATGCAAGCACACATGCACACACGTGCAGATACACACACATATAGACATACACACATATACACATGCACACACACACACTTACACACATGCACATACACACATATAGACATACACACATATACACATGCACACACATACACATACATACACACACATACACACATGCACATACACACACATATAGACATACACATACAGACATGCACACACGTGCACATACACACATATAGACATACACACATATAGAGACACATATAGACTTACACACATATACACACGCACACACATACACACGCACACACACATATACACACATATAGACATACATACACACACGTGCACATACACACATATAGACACACATATACAACACAAACACACACACATATACACATAGACATACACACATACATATACATACACACATACATATACATACACACACACATGCACATACACACAGACTTACGCACATACACAGGGTCTCTGTGTGTGCACATACACGTGCACATATACACACATACACATATATATACACACATATACACACATACACATGCACAAATACACACATATATAGACATACACACATATATACACATACACACATATATACACATATACACAAATACACATATACACATACACATACACATATATACACATACACACATACATAAAATATAGACACACATATACACATACAGACACATATACATACATACACACATACACACATACACATATACACATAAATACACATACACACATATACACGCACATATATACACACACATATACACACAAATATATACACATATGCAAATACACACAAATATACACACAAGTACACACACATACTCATGTGCACACACATATCCACACTATACACATATACATACATATACAAATATACAAATACACACAAATATACGCATACAGATCTGTGCACAAAAACATACACATACACATATTTACACACATATACACACAAGCAGACACATATACACAAAAGCACAAACATATACACAGAAGCGCACACACATACACACAAGCATGCAAGCACACACACACATACACACAAATGCACACATGCATATACCCACAGGTGCGCGCACACACACACAACTCAGTGAAGGGAGAGGCCCCAGCATGAGGCACCTGCTGGGGATCAGTTCCACAAAGGGTGCAGCATAACTGCTGGAGCAGGAACAGCTACACAGTGGATGGCGATCATCTCCATTCTCTCTCTCTCTCTCTTTCTTTTTTTTGTGAGACAGAGTCTCGCTCTGTCGCCCAGGCTGGAGTGCAGTGGCGCGATCTCGGCTCACTGCAAGCTCCGCCTCCTGGGTTGACACCATTCTCCTGCCTCAGCCTCCCGAGTAGCTGGGACTACAGGCGCCCGCCACCACACCCGGCTAATTTTTTGTATTTTTAGTAGAGACGAGGGTTCACCGGGTTAGCCAGGATGGTCTCGATCTCCTGACCTCGGGATCCACCCGCCTCGGCCTCCCAAAGTGCTGGGATTACAGGCGTGAGTCACCGCACCTGGCCAATCATCTCCATTCTTAAACAAAAAGTGTGAGACATGACAATTATGTCGCTATCATACTAAATAGGGTCTCTCTTAGCACTGTGGACACTGTAGCCAGACCGTTCTCTGGGGTGGAGCCATCCTGGGCACTGCAGGGTGCTGAGCAGCGTCCCTGGCTTCCACTCACTCCATGCCAAGAGCATCCCCATCGGGACAACCACAGATGTCCCCAGACATCACCCGTCCCCCAGTCATGACAACCACAAACGTCACCAGACATCTCCCGGTGTCCCCTGGGAGCAGGATCAGCCCCAGCTGAGAACCACCACACTAGAACAACTGCGACAAAAATAGCCACAAAATCCTAGAATCCAGCAGCACAGGACTGAGCAATGTCAGTGACATGGGGCCAATGTTTGTGCCTCCGGATCTCACACTGAAATGCGACCCCCTATGTTGGAGGTGAGGCTGGGTGGGCGGCATTTGGGTTGTGGCGGGAGGGGGGTCCCTCATGGCTTGGTGCTCTCCCCTCGGGAATGAGCGAGTTCCCACTCTGTTAGTTCACGGACGACCTGGTTGTTAAAAAAAGCCTGGCACCTCCTCCCTCCTTTCTCTCGCTCCCTCTCTGGCCGTATGAGATGCCCGTTCCCCCTTCACCTTCTGCCATGAGTGGAAACTTCCTGAGGCCTCACCAGAAGCCCAGGAGATGCTGGCACCATGCTTGTATGGTCTGTAGAACTGTATGGTCTGTAGAACTGTGAACCAGATAAACTTCTATGCTTTATAAACCCCTCAGCCTCAGCTCTATTCCTTTATAGCAACACAAAACAGACTATGACAGTCAGGCACGGGGAGACACGCAGAGCTTGACTGGGCCTCAGGTCAGGAAGGAAACTTCCCTTTCCAGCCACATGTGGATGGGGCCCGTGTTCACTGGGGAAGTGGCATCTGCAAACCTCAGCTCTTCCATCTGTAAAATGGGCATCTCCACACCCACTTAGCCGAGAACTCATGAGAGCAAAGGAGAAGCTAAATCCCTAAGGACGCAGCCCCATAATGGGCCCCAGGAGGAGCTTGAGAGAGACAGACAGCCCAGGAGCCAAGTCTCAGCCATGAACAGAAGGTACTGGAAGGTTTTCCAGGAGCAGACAGCGCTCCTCGGACAGTGGAGAGATGGTAAAGGACGTGAACCCACAATTCACACAAGGAAACAAAACCCCAAGCCTAAAAACAGATGTTCAGCTTGGCTTTTTAATTTTTTGAGACAGGGTCTTGCTCTGTCACCCAGGCTGGAGTACAGTGGTGCAATCACAGCTCACTGCAGCCTTGACCTCCTGAGCTCAACCGATCCTCCTGCCTCAGCCTCCCCAGTAGCTGGGATTACATGTGCACGCCACCACGCCTGGCTAATGTTTGTATTTTTTTTTTTTAGAGATGGGGTCTCACTATGTTGTCCAGGTGGGTCTCAAACTCTTAGACTCAAGTGATCCACCCACCTTGGCCTCCCAAAGTGCTGAGATGATAGGCGTGAGCCACCGTGCCCGGCGGAGTTGTCCAGCTTTAACAAACAACAACACATGCACCAATAACAGGATTCCACCCTGGCCTCTCGGACTGTCACCGATGGAAGCCTGACGACGCCCAGTGTCTTCTAGGATCTGCGGAATGGGGGCCTCTCCAGCACAGATAACAGAGGGTCCCTGGTCAACATTTTTGGAAGAAAATGTGGCGGCATTGTCGGAACCGAGAAGGTGCTACCTGCTGATGCGACAATTCCATACCTACGAATTTATTGCAAAGACCTTGTTGGACACGTGGGCAAAGATGTCTACCTATATCCTTATCCTTGTTCTGATTGCAGAACTGTGAATGCTTCCAAACTGGAACCATCTCAATCTGCCTGCAGAGGCGTGGTTAGGCCACGTTGCATTTCTAGGATGGGTAGCGTGCAGGGGTGGCTTGGAGGGTGCCTGCAGGCTACGTTAAGTGAAAGAGTTATCAGATGTGTGGTCACTTTTCTTTTCATTTCTTTCCTTTTTTTTTTTTTTTTTTTTTTTTTGAGATGGAGTCTTGCTCTGTCGCCCAGGCTAGAGTGCAGAGGTGCGGTCTCGGCTCACTGCAACCTCTGCCTCCCGGGGTTAAGTGATCCTCCTGCCTCACCCTTCTGAGTAGCTGGGATTATAGGCGAGTGCCACCACGCCTGGCTAATTTTTGTATTTTCAGTAGAGACGGGGTTTCACCATGTTGGCCAGGCTGGTCTCGAACTCCTGACCTCAGGTGATCTGCCCACCTTGGCCTCCCAAAGTGTTGGGATTACAGGTGTGAGCCACTGCGCCCGGCCAGTTGACCGTTTTATATGAGTCATATAAAATATGGGCTACCTACCTATCCTGTCCCATTGGCCTATTTGTCTGTTCTTTTGACAATGCCACATTGTCCCTCTCTCTTTGTGTTTTTGTTGTTTTGTTTTGTTTTGTTTTTCTTTGAGATGGGGTCTCACTGTGTCCACCAGGCTGGAGTGCAGTGGTGTGATCATAGCTCACTGCAGCCTCCACCTCCCGAGCTCAAGCGATCCTCCCAGCTCAGCCTGCCGAGTGGCTGGGACCACAGGGGCACACCACAACACCAGGCTAATTTTTTGTTTTTTAGAGACAGGGTCTTGCTGTGTTGCCCAGGCTGGTCTTTAACTCCTGGGCTCAAGCAATCCTCCTGCCTCAGCTTCCCACGTATCTGGGACTATAGGTGCATGCCACCATGCTTGCTTAATTTTTTTGTTTTTTGTAGAGACGGGTTTCGCTACGTTGCCTAGGCTGGTCGAGCAAGTTTTTAATTCCTTCACAGAGCTGTGCAACCATCAACACTACGTAGTTCCAACACTTTTTCTTTTCTTTTTTTTGAGACGGAGTCTCGCTCTGTCGCCAGGCTGGAGTGCAGTGGCCTGATCTCGGCTCACTGCAACCTCTGCCTCCCCGGTTCAAGCGATTCTCCTGCCTCAGCCTCCTGAGTAGCTGGGACTACAGGTGTAAGCCACCGCGCCCGGCCCTTTTTTTTTTTTTTTTTAAGAGTTAACGATCTGTTGCCCAGGCCGGACTACAGTGGCACCTCCTTATCTCGGTGAAGCCTTGAATTCCTGGGCTCAAGCGATCCTCCCATCTCAGCCTCCCGAGTAGCTGGGGCTGCAGACATGAACCAGCATGCACGGCTAACTTAAAATTCTTTTCTTCTAGAGATGGGGTCTCACTATATTGCCCAGGCTGGTCTTGAACTCCTGGTCTCAAGCAATCCTCCCACCTCGGACTCCCAGGTTGCTGAGATTACAGGTGTGAGCCACTGTGCTGGCTGAATTCCAGAACTGTTTCATCGCCTTAAATGGAAACCCCGTCCGCATTAGCAGTCACCCCCGTCTCCTCCAACCACACATCCATGCATATTCTCTGTGGATCTGCCTGTTCTGGAAATTTCTCCTTTTTTTTTTTTTTTTTTTGTTTTGAGACAGAGTCTTGCCCCGTCGCCTAGGCTGGAGTGCAGTGGTGCGATCATGGCTCACTGCAACCTCCGTCTCCCAGGTTCAAGCGATTCTCCTGCCTCAGCCTCCTGAGTAGCTGGGATTACAGGCGCCACCACACCCGGCTAATTTTTTGTATTTTTAGTAGCGACGGGGTTTCACCATGCTGCCCAGGCTGGTCTCGAACTCCCAACCTCAGGTGATCCGCCCGCCTCAGCCTCCCAAAGTGCTGGGATTACAGGCCTGAGCCCCCACGCCTGGCCTGGCTTCCTTCATGAAATAGGTATTGAGGGGACCACAGTTCCGAGCCCACTCCCCAGCCAAGTTTCTGCACTGATGGAGGAGGCGGGGCTAGTCTTAGGGAAGCGGCTAGAAGACTTAAGATCTTGTCTGTACCCTGTCCCCTCACAGCTGCGTGGCTTCCGACAAGCTGCTTCTGCGCTATCTGTGGAGAACGATCTAAAAGTGGGATTGGGGCTGGGGGTGGTGGCTCACACCTGTAATCCCAGCAGTTTCGGAGGCCGAGGCGGGCAGATTACCTGAGGTCAGGAGTTCGAGACCAGCCTGGTCAACATGGTGAAAGAGTTAGTGTCTTGTTCACGGCGAAACCCCGTCTCGACTAAAAATACAAAAATTAGCCAGGCGTGGTCGTGGGCGCCTGTAATCCCAGCTACTCGGGAGGCTGAGGCAGGAGAATCGCTTGAACCTGGGAGGCGGAGGTGGCAGTGAGCCGAGATCACGCCACTGCACTCCAGCCTGGGTGACAGAGCAAGACTCCATCTTAAAACAAAAACAAACAATAAAAGTGGGATTGGCATTTCCCTCCCGTGGTCATATGCGAACGGGTGAATTAAATTCTTTCTGGAAGAGGCTGGAAAGGCACTGCATGAATGGGACATACCGTGGGTGCCACGGACCAGCTGCTGCGAGGTACGGCCGGAGTTCTGCCGCCTCGGGGAGGCCTGGGTATCCCGAGACCAGAGATGCTGCCTTCTCACCTTGGGTGCCTGGGTCTGGCCCAGAGCCCGTCACACCTGGGCTGGTGCAGTCCAGGTGAAACCCGCCCTGCCAGCCACCCCCACCATCTCCCGGGGTGTCCCTGCTGGGCCTGCATTCTGACATCACGCCTTCAAACTCAACGGTGAGGCCGCGGGAACACGCATCTCATATGACGCTGGAGCCGGAAGATGGGGCTTGGGGCTTTCAGCCCTTCCTCTCCCTCTCTCTTTTCTCACTACAATGTTGTGCCGCCATCACCACCATCCTCTCCAGAACTTTCTCCTCTTCCCAAACTGAAACTCTGTCCCCATGAAACACTCACTCCCTGTCCCCCTCCCCAGCCCCTGGCACTCACTCATCCTACTTCCTGTCTCTGTGAATCTGACGACTCTAGGGACTTCCCAGGAGTGGGATCACACAGGATACGTCCTTTTGTGTCTGGATCCTCTCACTGAGCGTGAGGTCCTCAAGGTTCATCCACGCTGTAGCCCGTGTCTGGATTCCCTTCCTTTTCATGGCTGCGTAATATTCCACTGTCTGGTTGGACCATGCTGTGTTTATCCACTGATGGGCGCCTGGGGTGGCTTCCACCCTGGGGCTGTTGGGAATCATGCCGCTGTGCACTTGTGTGTGCAAACACCTCTTTCAGTCCCTGCTGTCAGTTCTGTGGGGTCTATCCCCAGGAGTGGGATTGCTGGGCCCTATGGTAATTCCGTGTTTACCATGTGAGAAGCTGCCAGGCTGGGCCTTGTTCCATCCCCACCAGCCACGCACGAGGGTCTGTTTCTCCATCTCCTCTCCCGCTCTTGTCCGAAACCGCACTTGTTATCAGAGCCTCAGCGTCCTGCCTGTTAAATGGGCTCGTGGTTTCTCCAAGGCTGCTGGCAGGCCCTGTGAAAGGCTATCAGCTCCAGCTGCTGTTAGGCTTAGGGGCACAATGGTTAACTCTGAGCTGTCAGGGAACCAGGGAAGAAAGGCTGGTTGGAATCTCTCTTTCTTTTTTCTTTTTCTTTCCTTTTTTTCTTTCTTTCTTTTTTTTTTTTTTAGATGGGGTCTTGCTCTATTGCCCAGGCTGGAGTGCAGTGGCACCGTCATAGCTTACTGCAGCCTGGACCTCCTGGGCTCAAGCTATCCTCCCACCTCAGCCTCCAGAGTAGCTAGGACCACAGGTTTGCACCAGCCTATCCAGCTAATTTTTAAAATTTTTTTGTAGAGACAGGGACTTGCTGTTGCCAGGAACTACTGGGTTCAAGCAATCCTCCTGCCTCGGCCTCTCAAAGTGCTGTGATTACGGGTGTGAGCCACAGTGCCCTGCTCGAGTCTTTTTGGGCATCCTTTGGGATTGATCTGGAAAGCTCCAGGGAAGTGTACAAAGCAGAACGGGCGCCTCCTCAGGGCGTGTGGACACGCAGGCACACGCAGGCACATGCAGACACGCAGGCACACACAGACATGCAGACACACGCAGGCACACGCAGACAGGCAGGCACACGCAGACACACGCAGGCACACGCAGACACGCAGGCACACGCAGACACGCAGGCACACGCAGGCACACACAGACATGCAGGCACACACAGGCACACGCAGACACGCAGGCACACGCAGGCACATGCAGACACGCAGGCACACGCAGACACACGCAGACAGGCAGGCACACGCAGACACGCAGGCACACGCACACGCAGGCACACGCAGACACGCAGGCACACGCAGGCACATGCAGACACGCAGGCACACACAGACATGCAGACACACGCAGGCACACGCAGACAGGCAGGCACACGCAGACACGCAGGCACACGCAGACACAGGCACACGCAGGCACACGCAGACACGCAGGCACACGCAGGCATACACAGACACACAGGCACATACAGACACACAAAGGCAGACACATGCAGACACAGGCACATGCAGGCAGACACACACATGCTCACACTCAGGTACACGCAGACATGCAGACACACACACAGACACACACAGACACATGCTCACACTCAGGTACACGCAGACATGCAGACACACACACAGACACACACAGAACCAGACACACAGATGCATGCAGACACACACAGACACATGCGGCACGGGCACGTGCTCCCAGAGCAGGAGTTGTGAGGCTGGCAGGCTCCAAGACTGAGTTTCCCAACCCACCGCAGTGGGGCGGCCTCGGATGACGTGCAGGCGTGCAGCCCGGACGGCCCCAGGGGACTGCAGCAAAAACAAACATGCCGGGTTGATTCCAGCAGAACCCTTCGACCCAGGCCTGCACACGGTGTGCTGGGAATCCGCCCTGGGTGGGGCTGACCCACTCCCTCCTAGAGTTCACCGTGGTCCCTGGATGCTTGCTGACCCCAGGGAGGACAGGGCGGGCCGCGGCAGGCGGGGGACGGGCACTGCAGCAGCTGGTGGCCACCCTCACACGTCTGGGAAACCAGGAACCCTTGGGAACTAAACTTGGTCTTTTTTATTTTATTATGTATTTATTTATTTATTTATTTAAGAAACAGGGGTCTTGCTTCACTGCCCAGGCTGAGTGCAGGGGTGCAATCACAGCTCAATGCAGCCTCCACCTCCTGGGCTCAAGCGATCCTCCCACCTCAGCCTCCTGAGTAGCTGGGACTACAGGTGCGTACCAGCCCATCTGGGTAATTTTTAAAACTTTTTTTTACAGATGGGGTCTCCCTGGGTTGCCCAGGCTGGTCTCAAACTCCTGAACGCAAGCGATCCTGCTGCCTCAGCCTCCTGAGTAGCTAAGATTACAGGAGTGCAGCATCACCCTGGCTAATTTTTAAAATTTGTTCTAAAGACAGGGTCTCGCTATGTGGCCCAGGCTGGTCTCAAACTCCTGGGCTCAAGTGATCCTCCCACCTCAGCCTCCCAAAGTGCCGGGATTACAGGCGTGGGCCTCTGTGCCCGGCCTGAATTTGCTCTTAAGTCATTCACGCTACGTGAGTCACCAGGGCTGTCCCGTGTGCAAAGTTCCAGTAAGTCTTTGTATTCCTGTTGGCAGGGTCAGGACAAGGTCCACCTCGCAAGCTGGGGCTGTGGGGCAGTGAGCTCAGTCTCTGTGTTGCGTAACCAATTGCCATCCATGTGGCGCCTTCCAACACACATCCACTTAGTACGTCACGGTTTGTGGGGTCAGGAGTCCGGGAACAGCCAAGCCAGGGCCTCTGTTCAGGGTACCCCCAGGGCTGCAGTCTGGGTGTTGGTTGGGGCTGCGTCTCATCCAAGGCTCGCCCGGGGAAGGCTCTTCATCCAGCATTCCCTCAGGCTGTTGGCACCATTTGCCTCCCTGTGGTTGTAGGACCGGGGTCCCTGTTTCCTTGCTGGCTGTTGCCTGGGGGACACTCCCAGCTCCTATGGGCCACCCTTGGGTCCTAGCTATCAGACCCTCCTCGGGCCTTCTCGCAATGCACCGCTCACTTCTTCACACCAGGAACCAGCAGGGGAGTGTCTTCCCACAACTCTGCTAAGCTAGAGTCTTCTGGGTGGGCGTGGTGGCTCACGCCTGTAATCCTAGCACTTTGGGAGGCTGAGGCAGGAAAATTGCTTTAAGCCAGGAGGCGGAGGTTGCAGTGAGCCGAGATCACGCCACTGCACTCCAGCCTGGGTGACAGAGCAAGATTCCATCTCAAAAAAAAAAAAAAAAAAAAAATCAGCGTAATATTTTACATATTATATATGCATGTAAGCATTTGCTACATATTTATATTGAGAAATAAATCTAAAAAGAAAATGTAGAACATCCCTATATAAAATGTTATGGTGTTATTTTCCTTTTTTTTTTTTTTTGAGATGAAGTCTTGCTGTCACCCAGGCTGGAATGCAATGGCGCAATCACAGCTCACTGCAGCCTCAACCTCCCAGGCTCCAGATCCTCCCACCTCAGCCCCTCGAGTAGCTGGGACCACAGGTGTGCACCACCACGCCCGGCTAATTCTTTTATTTTTTTGTAGAGACGGAGGTCTCGTTGTTGCCCAGGCTGGTCTTGAACTCTTGGGCTCAAGTGATCCTCCCACCTTGGCCTCCCAAAGTGCTGAGATTACAGGCGTGAGCCACCGCGCCCGGCTACGTGCTTGTCTTATTCAGCATTATGACATCATAGAGGGTGCTGATTCTTAGGGGCTTTGAGGGTCTCTGAGGGCTTTGAGGCTCAGAGATCTGCTGAGACACAGGTAGCGTAGGCAGAGCTGGGACAAATCCCCCGTTAGAGCCGGGGGCCCTCGGAGAACCCAATACGGGACCCAGAGGACCGAGGGCAGCCTAGTGCCAACTCCTGACTCGCCCTGTTCTCTACTATGTTAGGAAGCTATTTGCAGTTTTGTATTTGATAGAATCTCTTCCTGAATGCTTGCTCCGATCCTTTGTGGAATGAGGCAGAATATAAATAAATCAACAGAAAACGGTGCTCCAGCCACAAGCAAGAGACTGCCCGTCCTGCAGGGCCTAAGGAATTCACGAGCAACGCCCGCCCAGGGGCTGGGCTCAATGGCTGGCAGCCACAGGTTTCATCGCTAACCAGGCCGGAGAAGCTGGGCAGAAAAGCACCTGTTTGCAGCTTTTCAGCAGGACCTCTCCCCCTCAGCCCTGTGGACATTGGGGCTGGATCCTTCTCTCTGGGGTGGGGCCGTCCTGGGCACTGCAGGGTGCTGAGCAGCGTCTCTGGTCTCCACCCACTCCCTGCCAGGAAGCCCCCCAACACCCCGAGACCAAGAATCATCAGCTTCCAAATGTTAACATGCACAAGTAGGGAAACCGATGCTAAAGGATTTTAAGGTCACAGAGCTGGGAAGGGGTGGATCGGGGCCTCAAACCCCTGGCTCCCGGCCCCCCAGGGGCCGAGCTGTGGGGATGTGGATCCCAGACTGACCCCGGCATGGAAAACCACCAGCGTGGCCCGGCGCCAGACCTGCTTGTCTGTCGCTTGTCTGCGAGAGGCCAGGAAATGGCTGGGAGAGGGAGAGACGGTTAAACGAAAAAACATCCCAAGAATGCACATGGCTCGTCTCCGGCCCTGGCAGCCCGCCCCGCCGGTGCCTGCAGCAGAGGGTCCCGTGATTTGGGGCTCCGCCTCAGCATCTGCGGGATGGGTGCCCCCGGCCGGGCAGGTCCAGACGCCAAGGTCTGCACAGGGGTCACCCGGACACACCTGACTCGGACCATGTGGCTAAGTTTGTTTTGAAATTTCACTGCCCCAGCGTAACCCAGAGTCCAGGCCACGCCCAGCACGGCTGGCTCCCGTCCGGGTCTCTGTGTCCTGCAGCTCAGGGTGGCCAGGGCGGGCGGGCAGGAGGGCAGGCACCTGGCACCCACCCAGACCTGCGCCCTGGCCATCAGGCTGCCCCGGGAAGCCGGGCGACCGGGAAGATAGCAGAGTCAACAGGGCGGGTGCAGGAAAGGGCGCTCCCCATGCGAGCCTCTGAAGCCCTCGGCACACAGCCCTGGAGGCTGGGAATCCTTGAGCGTTTTCCTCTGAGGTCTCCAAGTGTTTATGGTAACAAGAGGAGGGAGGAGGGCGAGGGGACGGCCGCCGCTGGGCAGCAGCTCCGCCTGCTGGTCACCTTCCTCGGGGACATGCAAGGACAAGCTGCCGACGGAAGGGGCTTTGGCAGAAATGCGGGGAGCAGGGGACGCACCCCCACGGACAGGGGCTTTTCTGGTTGCCAAACGTGCAGACGACGGGCCTGACATCCCCATTTCCCAGGAACTCTGTGGATGGGTGTCCTGGGGCTGCCGTAAGAAAGTGCCACAAATGGGGGACTGGGAGGGGGTCTTAAAACCACAGACATGGATCCTCTCCCAGTTCTGGAGGCCAGAAGTCCAAAATCATGGGGTCTGCAAGCCTGTGCTCCCTCCAGAGGTTCCAGGGGAGAACGCTTTCTGCCTCCTCCAGTTCTGGGGGCGCAGGTGTCTCTCAGCTTGTGTCCTCCTCGGACACCTGGCCAGAATCCACTAGGACTTTAAAAAAAACCATTGCACCCCCCCAGTGCCATCCCAGAGGACCCACTCAATAAACACTGGAGCAACTCCCAGGGCAGGGGAATGCAGGTGTGCCCAGGGGTCAGGGCCCATACACGCAGCTGAGTGAGCCCTGCCAACCCTACCAGTCCCAGTCCTGGCCCCCGACATTGGTCCCGGCCTGGCCTGCTCACCCCTTCATGCCTCTCTGTCTAAGGGGCAGGGATAGGACGCAGCCCTGCTGCTCTCTGTCTGGTTCTATTTTTTTTTTTTTTTTTTTTTTGAGGCTGAGTCTCACTCTGTTGCCCAGGCTGGAGTGCAGTGGTGTGATCTCGGCTCACTGCAACCTCCGCCTCCTGGTTTCAAGAGATTCTCCTGCCTTGGCCTCCCAAGTAGCTGGGACTACAGGTGCACTCCACCATGTCCGGCTAATTTTTGTATTTTTAGTAGAGACGAGGTTTTGCCATGTTAGCCAGGCTGGTCTCGAACTCCTGACCTCAGGGGATCCACCTGCCTTGACCTCCCAAAGTGCTGGGATTGCAGGCATGAACCACCGTGCCCAGCTCTGTGCCTGGTTCTGTTTTATTTTATTTTAGAGACAAGGTCTTGCTGTTACCCAGGCTGGAGTGCAGTGGTGCAATCACAGCTCACTGCAGCCTCAAACTCTTGGCCTCAAGGGATCGTCCCCACTCAGCCTCCCAAGTAGCTGGGACTACAGGTGCCACCAAGCCCAGTTAATTTTTACATTTTTTTTTTTGAGACAGAGTCTTAGTCTGTCTCCCAGGCTGGAGTGCAGTGGTGCAATCACGGCTCACTGCAACCTCCCCCTCCCAGGTTCAAGCGATTCTCCTGCCTCAGCCTCCCGAGTAGCTGGGATTACAGGTGTGCACCACCACGCCCGGCTAATTTTTGTATTTTTAGTAGAGACAGGGTTTCACCATGTTGGCCAGGATGGTCTTGAACTCCCGATCCTAGATGCTCCACCCGCCTCAGCCTCCCAGAGTGTTGGGATTACAGGCGTGGGCCACTGCGCCCGGCCTCTGCCTGGTTGTTGAGGCAGAGACTGGTGTCTTCTTCCCTCGTCTTCCCCTCATATCAGGCCTCAAGAAAGACTTCCATGAACGCTGTGGGAAAATGCACTATGATGTCCCTCACTAGAAGTGCCTTCGCCGCAGGCCCAGCCTGAAAGTGATTAATCTCTGCTTCCTCCTCTCCCCTCCCCCAACAGAGTTTGTCTAAAAGTGCCCAGAGGCCTGGGTGACAGACTGATGGGGGGGGCCGCGGGGGTGGAGGGGTGATGGGGGTGGGGGGGTGGGGGGCGGAGGGTGTCTCTCGGGTGGCCTGGAGCACCAGCAGTCAATTCCTTCACTTGCAAATTGCCCAGGAGGGGTCAGCAGAGATACTGAGTTCCCAAACCACAGGGGGGTGAGAACAGGTCTGAGGCTGTGGGGTGGGATGTGGGGGCCCCCTCCCTGGTCCCTGGTGTTGTTTACCAAACACAGCAGCAAAGCTGTGTCTGCAGCCAGGACGCCTGCAGCCAAGCTCCTGGCTGCACTCCCAATGCCCACTTCTGCACGTGTTTTCACCCCACCCTGCAGGGATGGGACACCTCCCCTTCTTGAGGGTGAGGACACTGTGACATGTTCCTCAACAAGATGCCTGGCCAGGCCCCATTCACTCTGCATCACCCAACAGGTGTTGAAACAACGCATGAACCGTGTTATGGTCTAAGGTGTAGGCTCTACTCAAGATAGGCACAACTTTGTGGAATAAAATATCAAGGTTTCACAAGGTGACAAGTGGCCAGTTGCTCAATTTGTGTTAGAGAAACAGAGAATGTCTGGGAGGGGACAGGGAGGTGAGAACATTTTGTGGAGGGTTTGGCATGCAGCCTGTGCCCTATAACCCTCACTTTAAGCCAGGGTGCCAGCATCATCCTATGTCACCTACCACCCATCTCTTGAAGTCATCACCAAAGTGAAAAAGCAAAATGGAAATACTTTGCCAAAGGGACGAGAGACAAAAAGTTGAGGTCCTTAATATATAAAGATCTCCAAAAAATCAATAAAAGTGAACAAACCAGCTTAATAAATGTGGGATCCTGGATCAGATCATGGAACACAAAAGCACGTGGAAATGGAAAAAAGGATGAAATTTGAATCAGCCCTATACTTAATATTGCAGCAAGGTTGATTTTTTTAGTGGTGATAAATGTTCTGTAGTTATGGAAGATATCAGCCAATGGGAAGCTGGATGAAAGGTGTAAGGGAACACTCTGTACTATTTTTGCACCTCTTCTATAATTCACATATTATCTCAAAATGTAAAAAATAAAATTGTTAAAAGTGAACATAATCCACAAAAAGCATTATAAATGTTCATTATGAAAACTTTCAAGCTCTCCAGTAATAAAAAAGATTATAGATCATACAATGAGCTGTTACTTTTAGCCTTTAAATGACAATTTTTTTTTTTGAGACAGGGTCTTGCTCTGTTGCCCAGGCTGGAGTGTAGTGGTACAATTGTGCCTCACTGCAGCTTGGACTTCCTGGGCTCAAGAGATCCACCTAGCTCCACCTTCCAAGTAGCTGGGACTACAGGTGCATGCCACCATGGCTGGCTAATTGTTAATTTTTTTTTTTTTTTTTTTTTTTTTTTTTTGAGACAGAGTCTCGCTCTGTCACCCAGGCTGGAGTGCAGTAACTTGATCTTGGCTCACTGCAACCTCCACCTACCACGTTCAAGCGATTCTCCTGCCTCAGCTTCCCGAGTAGCTAGGACTGCAGGTGCAAGCCACCATGCCCAGCTATTTTTTGTATTTTTAGTAGAGATGGGGTTTCACCATGTTGGCCAGGATGGTCTCGATCTCTTGACCTCAGGTGATCTGCCCACCTCAGCCTCCCAAAGTGCTGGGATTATAGGCGTGAGCCACTGTGCCCAGCCAAATTGTTAAATATTTTTGTAGAGATGGGGTCTTGCTATGTTGCCCAGGTTGGTCTCAAACTCTTGGGCTTAAGCAATCCTCCTGCCTCAGCCTCCCAAAGTAATGAGATTACAGGCATGAGCCACTACACCTGGTCTAACTGGCAAGTATTTTTTTTTTAAATAGATAATATCCAGGGATGGTCAAGTTGTGATAAATCATGGACTAGCAGACAGTGGGTGGAGGACATTGGAATAACTGTTCTTGAAAGCAAATCTCCCTCTGGAAAACTGTCCTAAGGATATTTTTCTTTAAACCTTTGTGTGTTTTCTGAAAAAATTTTTTAGCAACAAGCCAGTGTTACTTTTGTAAACATAAAGTTGTACTATTTTGATGATTAAAAATGGACCTCTCACCCCCTTTGTAGACTGTGGAACCCGGGCTGGCTCAGCACAGTCTTGCAGCCGTCTTCATGGGGTGAGGTTGGGGAGGACCAAGAGCTCTCACCTTCGACTGCCCCACCCTCCAGCTTTGCCCGCCCCAGCCCAAGCTGTGTGGCAAGACCCCTTGTTGGTGCAGGTGCTGGGGGCTGGTGGCTGCTGGCATTCCCACCTTCTAGAGTGACTTTCACACTTCCTGATGAGTTTCCCATTCCGCTCAGCAGGCCCATAAATAGGATTGTGCAGAGGTGCATATGCAAGCACTTTACCTGAAGAATTATTATGGATAAAAGTAAAGAAATAATAAACAACTTAGATGCCTCCCTTGAGCCCAAGAGTCCCAGGCTACAGTGAGCCCTGATGGTGGCACTGCACTCCTATTTAATTTAGGAGATTAGTTCAGTAATCTGTGGTACAACCAAAAGATAAAACACTTAACATTCACTAAAAAGGATGTCGCAAATCCATATTTGATAATGTGGAAAGATTCCCATAATATATTGCTAAATTAAAAAAAACAGATTAAAGAACAGTATCAATAGTGTGATTCTATGATTATTCAGAAAAGTCCATACATGTGTGGGTGTGGTGCATATTTTTTAACAGTACATGTTTGGAAGAACTAAAAGTCACCAGGATGGGTTGGAGAAGAGGTTGGCTCCAGGACTGAGGCAGAAAAAAATATTATATTTCTGGAGCATCTTTTTGGGCCAGAAAGTAAGGAAACTCAAAGAATTATGGCAACGTATCAGAAGGACACAGAGCCAGCTTGGCTGGGTGCCAGTGGTTCATGCCTATAATCCTACCACTTCGGGAGGCTGAGGTGGGAGGATGGTTTAAGGTCAGGAGCTCAAGACCAGCCAGGGCAACATAGGGAGACCCTATCTCCGCAAAGAATTAAAAAAAAAAAAAAAAAGCGATGGCACGTGACTGTAGTTCCAGCTACTTGGGAGACTGAGGTGGGAGGATTGCTAGAGCCCAGAAGTTTGAGGCTGCAGTGAGCTGTGATTGCATCACTGTACTCCAGCCTAGGTGACAGGCAAGACCTTGTCTCAAAAAATAAAAAAATTAGCCAGGCATGGTGATGTGTCCCAGCTACTTGGGAGGCTGAGGAGGGAGGATCACTTGAGCCCAAGAGGTCAAGGCTGCAGTGAGGCATGATTGCAACACTGCACTCCAGCCTGGGCGACAGGGCAGACCCTGCCTTAAAAAGAGAGAGAGAGGGAAGGAAGGAGGAAGGAAGGAAGGAAGGAGGGAGGGAGGGAGGGAAGGAAGGAAAGAAGGAAGGAAGGAGGGAGGGAGGGATAGAGGGAGGGAGGGAAGTAAGGAAGGAAGGAAAGAAGGAAGGAAGGAGGGAGGGACGGATGGAGGGAGGGAGGGATGGAGGGAGGGAGGGAAAGAAGGAAGGAAAGAAGGAAGGAGGGAGGGAGGGACGGAGGGAGGGAGGGAAGGAAGGAAAGAAGGAAGGAAGGAGGGAGGGAGGGAGGGAGGGATAGAGGGAGGGAGGGAGGGAAGGAAGGAAGGAAAGAAGGAAGGAAGGAAGGAGGGAGGGAGGGAGGGAAGGAAGGAAAGAAGGAAGGAGGGAGGGAGGGATGGAGGGAGGGAGGGAAGGAAGGAAGGAAAGAAGGAAGGAGGGAGGGAGGGACGGAGGGAGGGAGGGAAGGAAGGAAGGAAGGAGGGAGGGAGGGATGGAGGGAGGGAAGAAAAGAAGGAAGGAAGGAAGGAAAGAAGGTAGGAATGAAGGAAGGAAGGGCCTTGTTCTTAGAAAATATCCACCAAGATCTTTAGGGTTAATGGGGCATGATGTCTCCAACTTAATTTCAAATGACTGGAAATAAATTAATATGCATACATGCACAATTACATACATATAATTCTGTGTATACATAACTGCATAATAATATATCTAGCATATATGCCATATAAGTAACTATCTTTCTGCGTATATATAGATATATACATACATATCCACCTGCAATTTATACATAAATACATAGACACACATAAATGTGTATACACACACACGGTGAACGATGGAGTGAGAGAATAATAAAAGAAAAAATAGGGCAAGGCAAGTGTAAACAGTTGGCATATTTGAGTATAAAGAGTATACGAAGTGCCTGCGGCTATTCTTGCAACTTCTCCGTAAGTTCAAAAGTATATTGAAAACAGCCAGTTAGAAACAGGCAGCCTGGAAGAGATTTTAACAGTCTTCATCTCCAGATTGGGATTACCAGGGGAACTTTTCCTTTTAAAAACAAAATGGAGACATCATTCATATACCATAAAATTCACCCTCATAAAGTGTAAAATTCAGTAATTTTTTTTTTGAGACAGAGGCTTGCCCTGTTTCCCAGGCTGGAGTGCAGTGGCGCGATCTCGGCTCACTGTAACCTCCGCCTCCCGGGTTCACGCCATTCTCCTGCCTCAGCCTCCCGAGTAGCTGGGATTACAGGCACCCGCCACCACGCCCGGCTATTTTTTTGTATTTTTAGTAGAGACGGGGTTTCACCATGTTGGCCAGGATGGTCTCACTCTCTTGACCTCGTGATCCACCCGCCTCGGCCTCCCAAAGTGCTGGGATTACAGGCGTGAACCGCCGTGCCCCGGCCAAAATGTATTGATTTTTCAGTATCCCTTTTTCTTTAAATCTTTGTGAGTTTTCTGAAATATTTTTTCAGCAACAAGCCAGTGTTACTTTTGTAAACATAAAGTTGTACGATTTTGATGATGAAAAACGGAACTCTCACCCCCTTTGTAGACTTGTGGAACCGGGGCTGGCTCAGCACAGTCTTGCAGCCGTCTTGATGGGGTGAGATCGGGGAGGATCAAGAGCTCCCACCTTCCACTGCCCCACCCTCCAGCTTTGCCCGCCCCAGCCCAAGCTGTGTGGCAAGACCCCTTGTTGGTGCAGGTGCTGGGGGCTGGTGGCTGCTGGCATTCCCACCTTCTAGAGTGACTTTCACACTCCCTGATGAGTTTCCCATTCCGCTCAGCAGGCCCATAAATTCAAAGCGAGGGCCGCAAATGGGGAATCTGGGATGGCGCGTCTGGCTTGGGGGGCTGGGAGCCAGCGGGCCCAGACAAGCTGCTGGTGACCTCGGTCCCCCAAGAGCTCAGCTGAGGCTGAAAGGGAAGGATGGGGAGGGAAGGACACTCACACACTCTGGAAATGAGGGCAAATCCCAGCCCTGACATTTGACAGCCAAGGGCTCAAATGAAAAAGAAGGTAGAATTTACACACACGCACGCAAGCATCCCTCAATGGGAACTCACAGTGAATATCGTGTGTAGATCCAGTAGAATGTCACCTTGGCCGGGTGCAGTGGCTCACGCCTGTAATCCCAGCACTTTGGGAGGCTGAGGTGGGCGGATTATTTGAGGTCAGGAGTTTGAAACCAGCCTGGCCAAAATGGTGAAACCCTGTCTCTACTAAAAATACAAAAATTAGCCGGGTGTGGTGTCACGTGCCTGTAGTCCCAGCTACTCGGGAGGCTGAGGCAGGAGAATCGCTTGAGCCGGGGAGGCAGAGGTTGCAGTGAGCAGAGATTGTGCCACCGCACTCCAGCCTGGGTGACAGAGCGGGACTCCATCTCAAAAAAAAAAAAAAAAAAAAAAAAAGAATGTCACCTTGAAATCATAATGACAGTGGAGAATCCTGGCATCCACTACCACGCAACACCACATCCGGCTAATTTTTGGCCCCAGACGTCACCCGATGTCCCCCAGGGGCTAGGATCAGCCGCAGGTTAGGACCCCTGGGTTGGAGGTTTCACCACGGAGAGTTGCGGCGGCAAGAAGACACCAGGAGGAAGTGACCTGCACACAATCACCAGATCGTCCCTGAGCATCTGGCTCTAGGGTCTCTGCCTGGACCGAAGCATTCCCAGGTGCAGACCCAGGGGTCTCTCCTGTCCCTCCGACCTCACCTGCGTACCCTGCGTTGCTTCCTCTGCCGGGGAAGCTCACCCACGTTCTCAGGTCCTGGGCGGAAGGGCAGAGGGCTCCCCGGGCACAATGTCTTCTGATGAGAATCACAGCTGCTGAGATGCAACTGCAAGGGGCTGGGAAAGTTCCTGGGACCCAAAGGAGCTGTGAGATCTAGCGCCTGGGATGGCAGAGGCTCTGGCCGGTGAGGACAACAGCCGGCGTCAGCTCGGGGGTCGGTACGCAGGCGGCCACCTTGTAACGGCCACAAACGGGCTTCAAAGGGGAGGCAGGCCTGGGCTGCTGAGTCACCCGGGCCTCATGCAGTTCACAAAAAGCTGTAACTCGAGGCAGCATCACACCGACCGTGGAAGCATGGAAGGGAGGGGGACGCTGTCTCAGCCTCCAGGAGCTACCTGGCAGGCTGAGGCAGGAGAATCACTTGAACCTGGGAGGCAGAGGTTGCGGTGAGCCAAGATCGTGCCACTGCACTCCAGCCTGGGCGACACAGCAAGACTCTCATCTCAAGAAAAGAGAGAGAAAGAGAGAAGGAAGGAAGGAAGGAAGGAAGGAAGGAAAGAAAAGAAAAGAAGGAGAGAGAGAGAGAAGGAAGGAAGGAAAGAAAAGAAAAAGAAAGAAAGAACAGGAACAAGATAAGGGTGGCCACTCTCACTGTTTCTATTCAGTATTGTTATTGCAAATTCAAGCCAGGGCAACTGGGCATGAAAAGGAAATGAAAAGCATCCAGATTGGAGCAAGAGAAGAAAAACCATCTCTCTATTTGCAAACGGCCTGTTGTGGTGTAAAAGGTCCCCGGGTACAATTTGTGCAGCAGAAATACGGCACTTCACAGGCTGCTTAGAAACCTAGCAAGTCCCTTGAGCACAAACTATTTTCCTAAGCTTGGTGGGGGCGTGAGAGGGTGGCCGGGGACTGGTGACAATGTTGTTTGTGCACTGGGAGAGTCCGGCTGAATTGCAACTGGCCTTTACATCCTAATCAGCTCCCTGAGGACAACCCGAAAGACATCAGATTAAAAAGTCACAATGAGATAAACCAGCACGACGCGGCTCTCTGCAAAGCGACAGGTAGTAAACAGACCTTAACGCACGTCATGAGGTTTGTTTTTCTTTTAAAAGTCAACAGCTGGTGAATCGCACAGGGCCGGGCAGGGCGGTCAAAGGGCCCGTTCCCCCGGCTGGGAAAAAAGCAGGAGCCCAGGGCGGCGGCAGCTGGACGCGGGCCCCGTGGAACTTTCTCCCGTCAGTCAGGGGCCGTATTTCTTAGCCATCCTCCTCTGACCTTCATTTCAAACCGCCTGCTGACGCATCTAACCTTGGCCCGTTCCGTGGGAACTCCAGACTCAGGGTGACCAACCCCAGCTGGGTTACCCAGGGTTGTCCTGGTTGGAGTGGCTCCAAGTCCTCAGACCCAGCAAACCCAGGCTTGCTGATCACACCGCAGACCCCACCAGGTGGTCATCTTTCTGGGGAAACTGGCTTCTTTTCCTCCCCGACTCCCTTGCTTTGTCTTCGTGGTGGCACCTCTCTTCCCAGGTGCTCAGGTGTGACATCAGCCGTCCCTTGCTGGCCCTGGTGCCAGCTGACTCCCAGGTCTCCTTTCTCTTCTTTAAGATGGAGTCTCCCTCTGTGACCCAGGCTGGAGTGTAATGGCGCGATCTTGGCTCACCACAACCTCCCCCTTCCAGGTTCAAGCGATTCTCCTGCCTCAGCCTCCCAAGTAGCTGGGATTACAGGCATGAGCCACCACACCTGGCTAATTTTGTATTTTTAGTAGAGATGGGGTTTCTCCACCTTGGTCAGGCTGGTCTCGAACTCCCAACCTCAGGTGATCCGCCTGCCTCAGCCTCCCAAAGTGCTGGGATTCCAGGCATGAGCCACCACGCCCGGCCGTCTCTTTCTTCTAAGATGGAGTCTCCCTCCGTGGCCCAGGCTGGAGTGCAGTGGCGCGATATCAGCTCACTGTAACCTCCGCCTCCTGGGTTCAAGTGATTCTCCTGCCTCAGCCTCCCAGGTAGCTGGGACTACAGGTGCACTTTTTTTTTTTTTTTTTTTTTTTTAAATAGCAGAGATGGTGTTTTGCCATGTTGAACAGGCTGGTCTTGAACTCCTGACCTCAAGTGATCCGTCCGCCTTGGCCTCCCTAAGTGCTGAGATCACAGGCATGAGCCACCATGCCTGGCCTCCCAGATGTCATTTCTTGCAGCTCTCGGAGTCTTCCACGTGTCTCTGGATCTTCCTGTGTCATTCCCACCTCCGCTGTTTGACTCTGGTCCCCTCCTCCCATGTCAGATGATGGCAGCAGTAAGGAAATGATGCCTTGATTTAGCTCTTTTAGGCCCTGCGCGTAGGGGGTTGTACTAAGTCCAGGAGCATTTAAAACCTCACTGCATACGCACTACAACGTGGATGAACTCCGAAAAATCACACTCAGTGAGAGAAGCCAGACAAAAGGCCACACAGTGTGTGATCCCATTGACATGAAATGTTCAGAACAGGCCAGTCTCGCTCTGTCGCCCAGGCTGGAGTACAGTGACATGATCTCAGCTCACTGCAACCTCCACCTCCCGGGTTCAAGCGATTCTTCTACCTCAGCCTCCCGAGTAGCTTGAATTACAGACATGCACTGCCGTACTCAGCTAATTTTTGTATTTTTAGTAGAGACAGGGTTTCACCCTGTTGGCCAGGCTGGTCTCGAACTCCTGACCTCAAGTGATCCACCTGCCTCGGCCTCCCAAAGTGCTGGGATTAGAGGTGTGTGAGTCACTGTGCCTGGCCTTTATAGCATATAATTTTATCTCAATAAAGCTGTTAGGAAATAAACTATAGGTAACAACATTATCAAGAGGTTGGGCCTCTTATCCAGGTGGATTTTTCAAATGAATCAGTTTTTAAAAGTACCATTAAAAAACAAAACTATAAGAGGTAAGGCAAAAAATAGAACAGGTAAAGAAAATGGGTCAGTCTTCCTTTTTTCTCTATCGGGCACATAACAATTTTCCATATCTTATAGATAAAACTGAGGCTTAGAAATGGTAGAATTGTGTGAATTATATCTTGATAAAGCTGTCGTCTATATCTATGTCTCTATATCTATTCATCCATCCACCCATCCATTCACTCATCTATCCATTCATCCACCCATCTGTTCATCCATCCATCCATCCATCCATCCATCCACCCACCCATCCACCCACCCAACCAACCATCCATCCATCCGCCCACTCATCCATTCACCCATTCATCCATCCATCCACCCACCCACCCACCCATCCATCCATCTATCCATTCATCCATCCATCCGTCCACCCACCTATCCATTCACCCATTCATTCATCCATCCACCCATCCATTCATCCATCCATCCATCCACCCATTCATCCATCCATCCATCCATCCATCCACCCACCCATCCACCCACCTAACCAACCAACCAACCATCCATCCATCCACCCAACCAACCATCCACCCATCCGCCCACCCAACCAACTATCCATCCATCCACTCATCCATCCACCCACCCATCCATTCACCCATCCATCCATCCACCCATCCATCCATTTATCCATCCATTCATCCATCCATCCAACCATCCATTTACTCATCCATCCATCCATCCACATACATACATACTAGAAATGGTAGAATTGCAACTAGAATTCAATATTTGCAAATCCTGGTGCAATAAATATTATTCTTACTCATTTTAAAATGTTAATATCTACTTTATTTTTCAAAGTTGAGCACGATATAAGTATGTTGTTCCTTGGATTCCTGATGCTCTCAGTAACCTAGCAACTCAGCACCTCACAGAGAACAAGAAGAACCTCTTGCGCGGTAGGTTTGGCTTGCAAACAAGCCGTTCCACGCTGGAAGGCTGTGTCAACCGATGATGTGGAAGAATAATCATCCCTCCTTGCTGTTTCTTATGAGATTTGTCAGGCATACTCCTACTTGCCAATACTATTTGCCAACATACTACTCCGCCTCCTCTCTGTTTCCTCTCTTGTAAGATGGCAATAATGCATGCAGGATGATTTCCATCCCTTTCTTTAAACCTTTTGGTATTTTTAAGATTTTCTAGTATGTCACTGTTTTCGTAATTTGAAAATAAAGGGTTTTTTTTTTTTTTTTTTTTTTAAGGGAGAGATTATAGGGGACTGAGTGTGTGGCCTTGAGTTTGTCTGTTTCCAAACTCCCTATTGAGGCTGTTCAACCAAAGAACCAAAGTTGGGGGAAAGTCTATCCCAAGGCTCCAGCCCAAAGGAAGCTCTCTTCTACAATGGGTGTGTTAGGATGGAGGAGAGCCACAAAGCCAGTAAAAAGGCACATAGCAAACTGGAAGAAAATAGTAATATGTAGCATATGTAACAAAGTGTTAGTGCCTGTCATATGTAAAGAGCACCTACAAATCAATAAGAAAAACTCAATAGCCAAATAGAAGATATACAGAGGTACTTAGTGCAAAGATACTAACAATCAGAAAAGAAAGGAATAGGTGACTGATCTCACTGATGGCCAAATAAATGAATATTATAACACCAAAGAGACACTAATTTCACATAACTGGCTGGCAAAACTTTTAAATTCAGTTGATAACCATTATGGCAAGGCTGTGGGGGAACTGGCATTTTCACTCACTGTTGACAGGAGTTCAAGTTGCTATAAACTTTGTGGAAGGTTATTCGTCAATGATTAACAGAATTGTAAATGCCACTATCTTCTAAAGCTGCATTTCTGCTTTTAGGAATTTACCTCCTGAGATATTTAGACAAGGTCAAAAGTGATGTATACCATGATGTTTCTGCTGCAACATTATTTGGATGTAAGAAAAACTGTAAAGATCAGTAGTGTGTTCTTCAAGTCACTCTGGCATATCCATACACAAGAACGCGCTAACTAAAAAGAATGAAGCTCACTGATCACACTGACAAAAAATGGCAACCAAAAACAACTCTTAACATTTTTCAAAAGGCTGAAAAGTAGAGTTGCTACATTAAAAAAAAATTGCTCCTTCTATCACAGCATTTTTATTTCTAGCAATGTGGCAGAAAACATCACTTTAAATCTCTCCTCCTCTAAAACCCAAGCAAGACTGGATGAAAGAAATGAACAAAGGCCAGGTGCAGTGGCTCATGCCTGTAATCCCAGCACTTTGGGAGACTGAGGCAGGAAGATCGCTTGAGCCCAGGAGTTCATGACCAGCCTGGGAAACATAGCAAGATCCTATCTCTAGAAAAAATTTTTAAAAAGCATCCAGGTGTGCTGGTATGTGCCCATGGTCCCAGCTACTCAGGACGTTGAGGCAGAAGGATTGCTTGAGCCCAGGAGGTCGAGGCTCTAGTGAGCTATGATTGCATCGTTTCACTCCAGCCTGGGTGACAGAGCAACAAGGAGAGGGAAGGAAGGGGAGGGGAGGGGAGGGGGAGGGGAAGGAAGGAAGGAGAGGGAGGGAGGGAAGAGAGAAAGAAAGAAAGAAAGAGAGAGAGAGAGAGGGAGGGAGGGAGAGAGGGAGAGAGGCAGGGGAGAGGAGAAGGAAAAAAAGAAAGAAGAAAACGAAGGAAGGAAGGAAAGAAGGAAGGAAGGAGAGGGAGGGAAGGAAGGAAGGAAGGACGGAAGAAAGAAAGAAAGGGAGGGAGGGAGAGAGGGACGGAGGGAGGGGAAAGGAGAAGGGAAAAAAAGAAAGAAGAAAAGGAAGGAAGGAAAGAAGGAAGGAAGGAAGGAGAGGGAGGGAGGAAAAAAAAAGAAAAGAAAATGCATACTCTTTCTAACCAACAGCTGAGGTCACAAAAAAGTAAGAAAATCCAGCACAGACTAAAAACTTCAAAGAGGACAGGGCACCGGGTGGTGAGAAGTGGCCTGTGGCCACCCAGATTGAGGGGAGAGGCTTCTGGTCTTGGTCACCAACGGCCTGATGTTGTTCTTAATCTCTGCCTCTCTTAAAAATGTATAGTGGAAAATTCCTTTTTTAAAAAAAAAACTTGGAATGTTTGTCTTTATTTTGTGCTTTATATTTTCAAAGTGAAAAGAAATAGTATTGAGTCAATTTTTGTTTTTTAAAATATTCGTTCTATATATTTACAAGCCTTCAAGCTGCTCTAAAGATTTCAAAAGTATTAAGAGTAGGACTGGGCGTGGTGGCTCACACCTGTAATCCCAGCACTTTGGGAGGCTGAGGTAGGTGGATCACCTGAGGTCAGAAGTTCGAGACCAGCCCGGGCAACAAGGCGAAACCTCGTCTCTACTAAAAATACAAAAATTAGCCGGGCATGGGGGCGGCTGCCTGTAGTCCCAGCTACTAGGGGTGCTGAGGCAGGAGAATCGCTTGAACCTGGGACACGGAGCTTGCAGTGAGCCGAGATTGTGCCACTGCACTCCTGCCTGGGCAACAGAGTGAGACTCCATCTAAAAAAAAAAAAAAATTGCAAATACTTTTCCCGGGGTAGCACTTTTTTTTTTTTTTTAAACAATCCTTGGAGTTCTGTGGTCCATGCCATTTCCTTCTGTTTCAATGTTATATATGTTTTGATTACTATTGTGATGTTTTAAGTTTTCTGAAGCAAGCTGAGAGGCAGGCCGAAATATTTGATGCCAAAAAAAAAAAAAAACTTTCTTACCTCATTCACCCCAAACCTTCTCAAATCTGGATTAAATACTATACTTTAAAACAAACATGAGGTGCTTCTGAAGGGGAGGAAAATTTATTTCTCTGCTTTTCTATTATACAAGTTGTTTACAGAAACTGCAAATCAAGGCCGGGCACAGTGGCTCACGCCTGTAATCCCAGCGCTTTGGGAGGCCAAGACGGGCGGATCACCTGAGCTCAGGAGTTCGAGACCAGCCTGGCCAACATGGAGAAACCCCATCTCTACTAAAAATACAAAACACTTAGCTGGGTGTGGTGGTGGGCACCTGTAGTCCCAGCTACTTGGGAGGCTGAGGCAGGAGAATCGCTTGAACCTGGGAGGTAGAGGTTGCAGTGAGCCGAGATATCACACCACTGCACTCCAGCCTAGGCGACAGAGTGAGACTCCCTCAAGAAAGAAAGAAAGAAGGAAAGAAAGAAGGAGGGAAGGAAGGAAGGAAGGAAGGAAGGAAGGAAGGAAGGAAGGAGGAAGAAAGAAACTGCAAATTTAAAAAATTACATATAGTGGAAAATTTCAAACACAGCCTGAAGCACGCAGGCCAGGACGAGGTCTCTCTGAGTGTCGTCACCTCCTGCAACGGGAATTAACATTCTGCCCTTCTTCTGTTCTCACTTCTCTCTCCAGCTTTGCACGGGTATTTCACACAAATTCAAGACATCATATGACTTTGCCTGTAGAACCTTCAGAATGTTCTCTAATCACTGAAGCTTTCTGATTTCCCAACACAGAACCACCCAATCAAATTAACACTGTCTTATTATCAACTTGCTCCATGATTATCAACAATAATTTCCTGTTACCAATAACCAGCCTGTGACCCATTGTCCATGATTATCTCAAAAATGTCTTTAATGGCCCGGCGTGGTGGCTCACGTCTGTAATCCCAGCCCTTTGGGAGGCTGAGGCGAGCTGATTGCTTCAGGACAGGAGTTTGAGACCAGCCTGGGCAACATACCAAGACCTCATCTCTACAAAAAATACAAAAAAATTAGCTGGGCATGGTGGCACGTACCTGTAGTCCCAGCTATTTGAAAGGATGAGGTGGGAGGATCGCTTGAGCCCAGGTGGTCAAGGTTGCAGTGAACCATGATGGCACCACTGCACTCCAGCCTGGGCAACAGAGCGAGACCCTGTCTCAAAAGAAATTAAATTTTTTTTTTTTTGAGACGGAGTCTCACTCTGTTGCCCAGGCTGGAGTGCAGTGGCGTGATCTTGGCTCACTGCAACCTCCACCTCCCGGGTTCAAGCGATTCTCCTGCCTCAGCCTCCCAAGTAGCTGGCATTACAGGCGCCCGCCACCACGTCCGGCTAATTTTTGTATTTTTAGTAGAGACGGGGTTTTGCCATGTTGGTCAGGCCGGTCTTGAACTCCTGACCTCAGTTGATTGATCCACACACCTCAGCCTCCCAAAGTGCTGGGATTATAGGTGTGAGCCACCATGCCCGGCTGAAAGGAAATTAAATTTAAGGGCCGAGTGCAGTGGCTCATGCCTGTAATCCCAGCACTTTGGGAGGCCGAGGCGGGTGGATTGCCTGAGCTCAGGAGTTTGAGACCAGCCTGGGCAACATAGCAAAACTCCGTCTCTAGTAAAAATACAAAAAATTAGCCGGGCGTGGTGGCGGGTGCCTGTAATCCCAGCTACTCGGGAGGCTGAGGCAGGAGAATGGCGTGAACCCGGGAGGCGGAGCTTGCAGCGAGCCAAGATCGCACCACTGCACTCCAGCCTGGGCAACAGAGTGAGACTCTGTCTCAAAAAAAAAAAAAAAGAAATTAAATTTAAAAAGGTAAAAAGCAGCTCAGGACCGCCAATGTACAATGCACTCCATATGGCTGTACGTATCTATGTGAGTGTGCATGTGTAGGAAAAGTCTAGGGAGTTTCAGTGGTTAGACGACAATGACCAGGACAACTGTGTGAGCAGCACCTGTGTGGCACTGAGTCATCTCAGGCTCTCCACTCGGCTCTGTCCATCAACGACCGAATCCAGCTCTCACGGCGACTCTACGCTGCATGCTTGTTACTCTACTACAGAGGAGGAAGCAACGCTTACGAAAACCAAGGACCAGAAGAACTCACAATCAAAACTAGTGGGCGGCCGGGCGCGGTGGCTCATATCTGTAATCTCAGCACTTTGAGAGGCCGAGGCGGGCGGATCACCTGAGGTCAGGAGTTTGGGACCAGCATGGCCAACATGGTGAAACCCCATCTCTACTGAAAATACAAAAATTAGCCGGGTGCGGTGGTGCATGCCTGTAATCCCAGCTACTTGGGAGGCTGAGACAGGAGAATCGCTTGAACCCAGGAGGTGGAGGTTGCAGTGAGCTGAGATCGTGCCTCTGCACTGCAGCCTGGGCGACAGAGTGAGAGTCGGTCCCTAAAATTAAAATAAAAAATAGTAGGCAGGCCCAGCGCGGGGCTCACACCTGCAATCCCAGCACTTTGAAAGGCTGAGGCAGGAAAATCACTTGAGCCCAGGAGTTTCAGACCAGCCTGGGTAACATAGTGAGACCCCGTCTCAATTAAAATTAAAAAAAAATTAAGCAGGTGTAGTGATATCCACCTGTGGTCCCAGCTACTCAGGAGGTTGAGGTGGGAGGATCGCTTGAGTCCAAGAGGTTGAGGCTGTAGTGAGCCATGATTATGCCACTGCACTCCAGCCTGGGTGACAAAGTGAGACCCTGTCCCCCCCCCAAAAAAAAAAGTGGGCAAATATCGACCCAGTTGTTCTCCTTTCACGTTCTGCACTGATGATCAGTTCCCATCCACCCCACACTGTTAACAGTGGTTAATTCTGGGGAGTGAGATTTGTGATGAAGATGTCTCCATTCTCACTCCTGCAGTACGAGACTTCTTTACAAATATATTCTCAACAGGGTGAACATCAATTCTTGGGGAGATGAAAACAAATTTTACTTTTTTTATGGATTAAGCCCAGAAAACAGAACATAAACAGATACACAGTCTATCTATGATATTGAAATTTCACAGGTATAGGCTGGGCTCGGTGGCTCACACCTGCAATCCCAGCACTTTTGGAGGCTGAGGTGGGAAGATCACTTGAGGCCAGGAGTTCAAGATCATCCTGGACAACATAGCAAGACCCAATCTCTAGAAAGAATAAAAATTTAAAAATTATCCAGGCATGGTGGTGTGCACCTGTTATCCCAGCTTTGGTGACTGAGGCGGGAGGATTGCTTGAGCCTGGGAGTTGGAAGCTGCTGCAGGGAGCTGAGATGGCGTTACTGCACTCCAGCTTGAGTGACAGAGAAAGAAGATCCTGTCTCTAAGATAAAAACAAACAAAAACTCCATTATATAATAATGCTACTTGGGGCCAGTCACAGTGGCTCACGCCTGTAATCCTAACACTGTGGGAGGCCGAGGCAGGCGGATCACCTAAGGTCAGGAGTTTGAGACCAGCCTGGCCAACATGGTGAAACCCCGTGTCTACTAAAAATACAAAAATTAGCTGGGCGTGGTGGCGGGCACCTGTAATCTTAGCTACTCAGGAGGCTGAGGCAGGAGAATCGCTTGAACCCAGGAGGTGGAGGTTGCAGTGAGCCGAGATCACGCCACTGCACTCCAGCCTGGGTGACAAGAGCAAAACTCCTTCTCAAAAATAATAATAATAAGGCCGAGTGTGGTGGCTCACACCTGTAATCCCAGCACTTTGGGAGGCCGAGGTGGGTGGATCACGAGGTCAGCAGATCGAGACCATCCTGGCTAACACGGTGAAACCCCGTCTCTACTAAAAATACAAAAAATTAGCCAGGCGTGGTGGCGGGCGCCTGTAGTGCCAGCTACTCGGGAGGCTGAGGCAGGAGAATGGCGTGAACCCAGGAGGCAGAGCTTGCAGTGAGCCGAGATTGCGCCACTGCACTCCAGCCTGGGCAACAGAGTGAGACTCTGTTTCAAAAAAAAAAAAAAAAAAGAAATTAAATTTAGAAAGGTAAAAAGCAGCTCAGGACTGCCAATGTACAATGCGCTCCATATTGCTGTACGTATCTATGTGAGTGTGCATGTGTAGGAAAAGTCTAGGGAGTTTCAGTGGTTAGACGACAATGACCAGGACAACTGTGTGAGCAGCACCTGTGTGGCACTGAGTCATCTCAGGCTCTCCACTCGGCTCTGTCCATCAACGACCGAATCCAGCTCTCACGGCGACTCTACGCTGCATGCTTGTTACTCTACTACAGAGGAGGAAGCAACGCTTACGAAAACCAAGGACCAAAAGAACTCACAATCAAAACTAGTGGGCGGCCGGGCGCGGTGGCTCATATCTGTTAATCCCAGCACTTTGGGAGGCCAAGGTGGGCGGATCACCTGAGGTCAGGAGTTCGAGACCAGCCTGGCCAACATGGTGAAACCACATCTCTACTGAAAATACAGAATTGGCCGGGCGTGGTGGCTCACGCCTGTACTCCCAGCACTTTGGGAGGCCGAGGCGGGCGGATCACGAGGTCAGGAGATCGAGACCATCCTGGCTAACACGGTGAAACCCCATCTCTACTAAAAATACAAAAAATTAGCTGGGTGTGGTGGCGGGCGCCTGTAGTCCCAGCTACTCGGGAGGCTGAGGCAGGAGAATGGTGTGAACCCAGGAGGCAGAGCTTGCAGTGAGCTGAGATCGCGCCACTGCACTCCAGCCTGAGCGACAGAGCGAGACTCCGTCTCAAAAAAAATGAAAAGTAATAAAATAATAATAATAATAATAATAATAATAATAATAATAATAATAATAATGCTACTTGGGCATCTTCCGTCAAAAGAATCAGACATCGGGTGCATTTAAATCTCTTGCCACCGTTATTCTTTCTAAGGAGCCACTAGGAAAAGGATGTCTCAAAAGAAGGTGATCACGGAAAAAGAAAGCTTATGAAACACTGACTTCTGTAATCACGTTTTCAGTTGAAAGAAATGGAAACTGATCTAACTTCCAGCTCACCTCAAGCTGGAAAGAAGTCTAGTTTCTAGAAGCATCTCCAAAATTGGAAAGTGAAGTTTCTAGCATACAGTTCCACCGAGGGCCCATGATGAAGAGGGGGAGAGGCGGGCACGAGGCGAAGCGGGTGCCCCGCGCTCGGCTGGAAAAAGCCAATGTCACCGGGCTGTGCTATTTGCTTGTGGGAGGGACGCCTGGGGTGGGGGCGTGCCGCTGGTTGCTCCGCCGCAGACACCACGTGGTGCTTTTTGAACTGATCAGAGCCCCAGCCTGCCTGCTTTGCTGTCCCGGGCTGACCTCCGAAAACACCGCACTTTCCCCTCGCTGACTTGGTAGATGTCTGTCTGTCTGCTTGAGTATCTCGAAGATCTGAGGTTTCCATTCCAGCAGAATAAATACTAGGAGGGCCCACCCCTTCCTCCTCCCAGCCGAGGCTGGATGAATCCAAATAAACCCAGCTGGTGGGGAAGAGCATTTCTAGGACTTCGGCGGGAGAAAGCACCGCCCACCCGGGTGGGTTTCCAGGAGGTGGAGGTGCGGACCTGGGAGGGGGGCCCTCGGGCAGCCCTGCCATGCAGCCGCGTCACTCCGCCTGCCTGATGTCACAGGAGCTGGGGGAGTTTGGGTATTTCATGAAGCTGTTGAGTTATTGTGGCTTTGGTTTGTGACACCGGCGTTCAGGCACGGCCTAAAGGCAACATCAAAGACGGTGCATGAAAACCGGGGGTTAGGCCGGGCGCGGTGGCTCACGCCTGTAATCCCAGCACTTTGGGAGACCGAGGCAGGCGGATCACCTGCGGTCAGGAGTTCGAGACCAGCCTGGGCAATACGGCGAAACCCCGTCTCTACTAAAAATACAAAAATTAGCCGGGGGTGGTGGTGCTGGCCTGTGATCCCAGCTACTCAGGAGGCTGAGGCAGGAGAATCGCTTGAGCCCTGGAGGTGGAGGTTGCAGAGAGCTGAGATGGCGCCACCGCACTCCAGCCTGGGCAACAGAGCAAGACTCCATCTCAAAAAAAAAAAAAAATTAGATTGTGGTAATGGTTACACAACTCTGGATATTCTAAAAACCACTGAATTGTACACTTTAAAAAGTGAATTCTATGGCATGTAAAAATCTCAATAAAGCTGTCATATAAAATAAATATATATAAATATGATGCCAAAATATATACATAAATATGGTAATAAAAAATTAAGGCCCTTAAACAGCTTGTGTTTATGTAGATTTTAGCTATACTCCTGTTACAAGTTAACATAATCCCATTAAATATTTTTTTAAACCATATATTTTATATTAGGAGGATGACACGTTTAAGTGAAAAGTAACTATTTTTCAAAAAAAAAAAACATTGAGGGGAAATAGTGGCATTGTTTTACATTTTTGCAAATTTCTTTCATGTCTGGCTTAATAGAAGACAGCTGGATTCTTGTATAAGCCTCTGAGTTCAATCCACTGTGATATCAAACGTCATGCAACCTCTGAAAACTCCACCATCTGTGTGGGAGAGACTGGGAGGAAGGAGACCCAGAGTATCTTGGCATTTTTTTTTTTTTTTTTTTGTGAGATGGAGTCTCGCTCTGTCACCCAGGCTGGAGTGCAGTGGCGCAATCTCAGCTCACTTCAACCTCCGCCTCCTGGGTTCAAGTGATTCTCCTGCCTCAGCCTCCCAAGTAGCTGGGATTACAGGCGCCACCACCACACCTGGCTAATTTTTTTTTTTAATTTTTAGTAGAGACAGGGTTTCACCATGTTGGCCAGGCTGGTCTCGAACTCCTGAGCTCAGGTGATCCACCCACCTTGACCTCTCAAAGCGCTGGGATTACAGGTGTGAGCCACAGTGCCTGGCTTCTATCTTAGCAGTTTTGACCTAGTGGTCCCCCACCAAAAGGGTCTCAGAGACCAACCCCTGGGTGTCCCTGGACCACACTTTGAGAACTCCAATACACAGGTATTCTCTCTACTTCACAGAAGAGAAAATGCGATCCAAGATGGTAATAAACCTGCTCAAGTCCTCAAAGCTGAAAAGTACGGCTGAAGGAGAATAAAAAAGAGAAACATAAAGCAGTTGTGGTGGTGTGTGCCTGTGCTCCCAGCTACTTGGGAGGCTGAAGTGGTAGGATCGCTTGAGCCCGGGAGTTTGAGGCTGCAGTGAGCTAGGATCACGCCACTACACTCCAGCCTGGGTGACAAGGAGAGACCTCCCCCCCGCCACCATCTCCAAAAACAAATTATTACTTATGTAAAAAATAGAACTAAGGAAGGTTTGCTTGACTCCAAAGCTGTGTTCTTTGCATCCATTCTAGTTCCATCCAGATGGCCCGGGGTACAGCTGGGATGCCTGTTGTCCCTAAAAACCATGGGGCACAAGTAGGTAAACCCTAGAGTAGGTAACTCCTCAATTCAGCTCAACCACTATCTGACCAGCCTCCAGTTACCAGGCAGTGTGTTTCCCCAGCCATGTGGACTCAGTCCTGCCACGGCGCGGCTCGTGCCTATTGCAGATACATGTACATGCTTGCAATATACGTGTCTGTCTCCCCTGCTCTACAATGAGCTCCCCAGGAACAAGGACTGGGCAATTTTTTTTGGCTTCCTGTCTCCACTGTTTGGCAGCAGGAAAAGAGAGGTGCCTGAAGAAAGGGTAACAGAGCAATGCAATCCCCCGATGTCAGATTTTTATTGAGGAAAAGAAAGGCAGTGAAGGCCGGGCATGGTGGCTCACGTCTGTAATCCCAAGCACGTTGGGAGGCCGGGGCAGGAGGATCCCTTGAGCCCAGGAGTTCGAGACCAGCCTGAGCAACATGGCGAGACCCTGTCTTTATAAAAAAATTAGCCGGGCATGGTGGTGTGAGCCTGTAGTCCCAGCTACTAGGGAGGTTGAAGCGGGAGGCTCACTTAAGGAGGCTGAGGTTGCAGTGAGTTATGATTTCATCACTGCACTTCAGCCTGGGCCACAGAGTAAGACCCTGTCTCAGAAAGAAGAAAAGAGAAGACAGGGGAGGGGAGGGGAGGAGAGGAGAGGGGAGGAGAGCAGTGGAATCCCAGATGATCCTTCCAGAATCTGCAAGCAGCACTGTGGAGGCACCCTGGGGAAGAAAGTCTGCTAGGATCTGGAGAAGCACTAGAAGCCGGGCACAGTGGCTCACGCCTGTAATCCCAGCACTCTGGGAGGCCGAGATGGGCAGGTCACCTGAGGTCAGGAGTTCGAGACCAGCCTGGCCAACATGGTGAAACCCCGTCTCTACTAAAAATGCAAAAATTAGCCGGGCGTGGTGGTGCACGCCTGTAATCTCAGCTACTTGGGAGGCTGAGACAGGAGGATTGCTTGAACCCGGGAGGCAGAGGTTGCAGTGAGCTGAGATCGCGCCACTGCACTCCAGCCTGGGCGACAGAGCGAGACTCCGTCTCAAAACAACAACAGAAAAAGCAGCACTGAGGACTGGGCTGCGGGCTGCGTCCTCTGCAGGCCCTGGCTCCCCTGTACCCACCCCCTCCTGCACGCTTTTAAGCAGATCCAGCACTCCCTTCAGGGCGCTGGGGAGGAGCTGCCAGCAGACAGGAATGCGCTGTGCAGAAGCAGCAGGTTCTGCCAGCTCCTCCCGAGCCTGCAGGGAAATGCAGGCAGATCTGTGGCCTCGCACAGGCGGACAGACGGGCAGCAGGGATCTCCAACCGGGCCCCGGAGCACGAACCACTACGCAATCGTCACAGCATGTGCTACCTTCCGTGGTGTTCTGGGAATCTAAATCAATCCCATACGCTGGACAGCAAGCCAGAAACGGAAGCCAATCTCGGGCTGGGCAGAGGGCCACCCGGCCCTCCCCTCACCACCACCCCTCCCTTTTCCTTCAATCAGAATTGCCTTTTATAGGCAGGTTGATAGTTCACAGCTGGAAGGGGGCTCACTGCGGCTCTGCAAGGAAAGATGCGCTACCCACCCTTTTCTCTCTTTCTCTTTCTTTTTCTCTTTTTCTTTCTTTCTTTCTTTCTTTCTTTTTGTTTCTTCCTTTCTTCCTTTCTTTCTTTTCTTTCTCTTTCTTTCTTTCTCTCTCTCTTTCCTTCCTTCCTTTCTTTTCTTTCTCCCTTTCCTTTCCCCTTCCTTCCTTCCCTTTCTTTCTTTCTTTTTCTCTTTTCTGTTCTGTTCTGTTCTTTTTTTTGATGGAGTTTCGCTCTTGTTGCCCAGGCTGGAGCACAATAGCACAGTCTTGCCTCACTGAAACCTCCGCCTCCCGGGTTCAAGCGATCCTCCTGCCTCAGCCTCCCGAGTAGCTGGGATTACAGGTGCGCACCACCATGCCTGGCTAATTTTTGTATTTTTAGTAGAGACGGGGTTTCACCGTGTTAGCCAGGGTGATCTCGATCTCCTGACCTCGTGATCCACCCGCCTCGGCCTCCCAAAGTGCTAGGATTACAGGCGTGAGCCGCCGTGCCCGGCCTAAAGCTGTGTTCTTTCTGTTCCACAGGCTGCAGAGAGGGAGCTGATGCCAGAATGAGGGGGAACCCCCGGAGCTTCTCGCATCGGGTGGGACCGGCATCCGGTGAGACCGCGGTGGCTCTCTGGGGCTGAAAATTCCAAGCAGAGTAGCCCGAGGAATCCAGCCATCCCCGAGGGTTCAGAAATGCAAATCAGGGCTGTGTATTCACAGCCTGGACTGGAGATCGACCAAAAACTATGCAGGGCTCACCCTTGCGGGGCGGCGGCTAAATTTAGGAAACCAACCATCTGGAGAATGCAGGCATCAGAAGCCCCTGCAGCTAGGAGGATCATTTCAGTTCATTTTTATTCACTGTTCATAGATCTCCCAGTTTTTCCTAGCGTGTTCAAGCTGGAAAGGATTTCAGAGATTGTGTCACCTAGATTTATTTTACAGAAGGAGGAACTAAGCGTTTAAGGGAGAAGTGCCTGTTCTTTTATTATTATTATTATTATTTTATTTTTTGAGACAGAGTCTCGCTCTGTCACCCAGGCTGGAGTGCAGTGGTGCAATCTCGGCTCACTGCAAGCTCTGCCTCCTGGGTTCACGCCATTCTCCTGCCTCAGCCTCCTGAGTAGCTGGGACTACAGGCGCCCGCCACCACGCCCCGCTAATTTTTTGTATTTTTAGTAGAGACGGGGTTTCACTGTGTTAGCCAGGATGGTATCGATCTCTTGACCTCGTGATCCACCCGCCTCGGCCCCCCAAAGTGCTAGGATTACAGGCGTGAGCCACCGTGCCGGGTCTCGAGAAGTGCCTGTTTTAACACACTGAAAAGTGGTCTTAGCCAGGTGCAGCATAATATGCCCGTCTCCCAGCACTTTGGGAGGCCGAGGCAGGAGGATCGCTTGAGGCCAGGAGTTTGAGACCAGCCTGGGCAACATAGCAAGACCCCATCACTACAAAAAATAAAAATAAATTAGCCGGATGTGGTGGCGTGTGCTTGTGGTCCCAGCTACTCTGGAGGCTGAAGCAGGAGGATGGCTTGAACCAGGAAGTCGAGGCTGCAGTGAGCTAGGACTGCGCCACTGCACTCCAGCCTGGGCAACGGAGCAAGACCCTGCTTCAAAAAAAAAAAAAAATGAATGAAAGGAAGGAAGGAAGGAAGCGAGGGAGGGAGGGAGGGAGGGAGCGAGGGAGGGAAGGAAGGAAGGAAGCGAGGGACAGAGGGAGGAAAAAGAGAAAGTTTTCTGCCCTAGACACTCCAGCCTGGGCAACGGAGCAAGACCCTCCTTCAAAAAAAAAAAAAAAAAGAATGAATGGAAGGAAGGAAGGAAGGGAGGGAGTGGGGAGGGAGGGAGGGAAAAGAGAAAGTTTTCTGCCCTATTATGTGATTTTCACACCACCCCAAGTTCAAGAACAAAGTGTGGTTTGTTTGAATGCTTTTCCCAGACAGAGATGCAGGGCAGTGGCGAGAAGGAAACAATCCAGTGGCGGCTTCCCCTCTCTTAGAAGTATTAGGCCCAAGAAACCACCTGAAATCCTGGGATGAACTAGATTCTGTCGTTGGAGTCCAAGTCCTTTTGGCTGTCAGTATGAGTGGCTTGAAGCCGCTATAACAAGTCACACGGATCTGGTGGCTTAAAACAATGGAAATGGATTCTCTATGGCTCTGGAGGTCAGAAATCTAGATGTGGGCAAGGCCGTGCTCCCTCTGGAGGCTCCAGGGGAGGATCCTTCCTGCCTCCTCCAGCTTCTGGGGCCTCCAGGCATCCTCTGGCTTGAGCCCACATGGCTCCAGTCTCTGCCTCCATCTCCCCATGCCTTTCCTCATGTGTCAAATCTCACTGTTGTTTTTTTTGTTTGTTTTTTGAGACAAGGTCTCTCTCTGTTGCCCAGGTTGGAGTGCACCAGACACCATCTCGGCTCACTGCAACCTCCGCCTCCTGGGTTCAAGTGATTCTCCTGCCTCAGCCTCCTGAGTAGCTGGGACTACAGGCACCTGCCACCATGCCCAGCTAATTTTTGTATTATTAGTAGAGACGGGGTTTCACCATGTTGGCCAAACAGGTCTCAAACTTGTGGCCTCAAGTGATCCTCCTGCCTCAGCCTCCCAAAGTGCTGGGATTACAGGTGTGAGCCACCACACCTGGCCAAATCTCACTTTTTTTTTTTTTTTTTTTTTTTTGAGGCAGAGTCTTGCTTTGTTGCCCAGGCTGGAGTGCAGTGGCTTGATCTTGGCTTACTGCAACCTCTGCCTCCTCAGCTGAAGTGATTCTCCTGCCTCAGCCTCCCGAGTAGCTGGGATTACAGGCATGCGCCACCACACCCAGCTAATTTTTGTATTTTTAGTAGAGACGGGGTTTCACCATGTTGGCCAGCATGGTCTCGATCTCCTGACCTCGTGATCTGCCCGCCTTGGCCTCCCAAAGTGCTGGGATGACAGGTGTGAGCCACCGCAGCCTGCCAAAATCTCACTCTTATAAGGACATTTGTAATTGTTTAGGGTCCACCTGGAGAACCCAGGATAATCTGCCGTCTGAAGATCCTTCATGTGATCACTTCTGCGACCTCTTTGTCCTATAAGGGAAAATTCACAGGTTCCAGACATTTAGGAGCCAATATCTTTGGGGGCATTACTCACACGACATACAAAGTCTCTTTTCAGGGCAAACATAGATGCTCACAGGAAATGCCTCCATGCCCCGCAGTCGGGCAAGCTTCCAAGCAAGCAAGCCGCTTTTAAGAGTCAGGAAGAGGCTGGGTGGCTCACGCCCGTAATCCCAGCACTGTGGGAGGCCGAGGTGGGTGGATTGCTTGAGCCCAGGAGTTTGAGACCAGCCTGGGCAACATAGTGAGATCCCATCTCTACAAAAAATACAAAAATTAGCTGGGCGTGGTGGTGTGCACCTGTAGTCCTTGGGGGGCTGAGGTGGGAGGATCACTTGAGCCCAGGAGTTGGAGGCTACAGTGAGCCGAGATTGCACCACTGCACTCCAACCTGCGTGACAAAGTTAGACTCTGTTTCTGGCCAGGTGCAGTGGCTCATGCCTGTAATCCCAGCACTTTGGGAAACTGAGGTGGGCAGATCACCTGAGGTCAGGAGTTCGAGACCAGCCTGACCAACATGGAGAAACCCCATCTCTACTAAAAATACAAAAATTAGCTGGGTGTGGTGGTGCACGCCTGTAATCCCAGCTATTCAGGAGGCTGAGGCAGCAGAATCGCTTGAACCCGGGAGGTGGAGGTTGCGGTGAGCCAAGATTGTGCCACTGCACTCCAGCCTGGGCAACAAGAGTGAAACTCTGTCTCAAAAAAAAATAATTAATTAATTAATTAATTAATTAATTTAAAAAAAAAGTTAGACCCTGTCTCAAAAATAAAAAGTCAGGATGAGAGAAGGCAGCCAAGGCAAGGAAGACCAATAACATGCTCGGATGGTGCAGTCTCTTTGGAACATTCCAAAACTAAACTGAGAAGGTTCCCATTCTCGGTGATGACAAGTTTCTGGAACTAGATAGATAGTGCTGGTGTTTGCACGCAGTGTTCATGGAAATAATGCCATGGAGTTGCAAACTTTTGAACAGTAAACAAGGGCCGGGCACCGTGGCTCATGCCTGTAATCCCAGCACCTCAGGAGGCCGAGGCGGGGGGATCATTTGAGCCCAGGATTTTGAGACCAGCCTGGGCAACACAGCGAGACCCTGTCTCCACGAAAAATTTAAAAATTAGCTGGGCATGGTGGTGTGTGTCTGTAGTCCCAGCTACTCAAGAGGCTGAGGTGGGAGGATCACTTGAGCCCAGGAGGTTGAGGCTGCAGTGAGCTGTGATCGCACCACTGCACTCCAGCCTGGGCGACAGAGCAAGACCCTGTGTCAAAAAAAAAAAAGAAGGCCAGGTGTGGTGGCTCACACCTGTAATCCCAGCACTTTGGGAGGTCGAGGCAGGCAGATCATCTGAGGTCGGGAGTTCAAGACCAGCCTGGCCAACATGGAGAAACCCTAACATTTTTAGTTTCTACTAAAAATTCAAAAAATTAGCCGAGCATGATGGCAGGCGCCTGTTATCCCAGCTACTTGGGAGGCTGAGGCAGGAGAATTGCTTGAACCTGGGAGGCAGAGGTTGCAGTGAGCCGAGATCGCACCATTGCACTCCAGCCTGGGCGACAAGAGTGAAACTCCATCTCAAAAAGAAAAAAAAAAAGAAAGACTAAAATGGTAAAAAAAAAAAAAAAAAGAAAGAAAGAAAAGAAAAAAGAAAAAGAAATACATATTAGGATGGGGCAAGCTAAACTACATTGTTATGTATTTTAACAACACATAAAACCCACTTGGGGCCAGTCTGCAAGTACCTCCCATGTAGGCTCAGCCTGGCACTTGAACCCCGTGCCCTCCGCCCCCCGCCCCTCCCAGTGGCGTCTCCGCTTCTCACTTCAGAGGCAGAGCTGTCATCGTGGGCACTGGGAAGTAGCCTGCAGTGTCAGCACAGACCGGCGCTCACCAACGACACGGCACGGAGGCTTTCTAGGGAGCAGTCCCCCCAGGACAGCAATACGTTCAGGCGACAGCGACACAGGGCAGCAACAGCGGTTCCCTCCTGGCAGGCAGCCAGACGCACACACGCACGCAGACCACACCATCCAGAAAGTTCACCTGCGACCTGAGACGCAGCTCTTTGAGGGAGATCAGAAGATCAGATGGTATTTGAGAAAAAAAAAAAAAAAAAGGTTAAGCCAAGTCAGTGGGAAGGTGGAGGAAAAAAAAAATAAATAAAGGTTAGGCTGAGGTCGCCGCCCTGCCACTCATGACACAGAGCGTGGCACGTCGGTTTCACACCTAAAAGTCAGAACGATTCACAGGTGGCGAAGCGTGGGTGGAGGAAAAGAGCGGGGATGTCTGAGGAGCAGAAAGACCGAAACGCAAGAGTAATACCTGCTGCGGAGAGGTTCCGCCCACGTGGGATTTGCCCCTGGGAAAAAAAAAAAAAGTCCCCGAAGCCCCTGCAAGGCAAGGCCTGCGGGCTGGAGGGACGGGCTCTTCACACACACGGGAGGACAGAGATCGTCTCTGGAGGTGGGCGCCCCAGCAGGCACACTGACGGCCTCGGTGCAGCTCCCCTGCACCCCCAAATGACGCAGGTCAGTAATCCAGGGACGGGCAGCAGGCTCACGTGTCCCCAGATGCAGGCACACCTGTGCCTCTCGAGTCATCTGCAGAGTCACGAGACCAGCAACCTGGAAACCTGGAGGAGCTCCCCTGGCTGCCACCGGACACCCCAGGGCAAGGGGCCGGGTGCCTCCCGGGCAACCCCCTCTCTCTGCAGCAGGGGATGCAGATGGCAGAGTCTCAAAGGCCTTCCCTGCATGGGGCAGACACGGAGGACACACTCTCCCGGGGTCTGCACTGAGGCTGTCAGGGGGCCTGCTGCGTTCCCCACTCCAGGTAACCCTGTCTGCTGGCACTGAGGGCCTCATCAGACCCCTGCAGGCCTGCAACCACAGCCAAAATCAGTGTGCCTTCTCCAAAGCCACCTTCTGACCCGCTTTTTAAAGAAACTGAGGTAAGGTTTGCATAATGTAAAATTAAGCATTTTAAAGTGAACAATTCAGTGGCATTCAACACATTCACAACGTTGTACAAACATCATGCCTACCTAGTTCTTGTACATTCTCTCTCTCTCTCTCTCTCTCTTTTTTTGTTTTGAGACAGGGTCTCACTCCATCTTCCAGGCTGGAGTGCAGTGGTGCGATCTTGGCTCACCGCAACCTCTGCCTCTCAGGTTCAAGCAATCCTCCTGCCTTAGCCTCCCGAGTAGCTGGGATTACAGGCATGCACCACCACACCTGGCTAATTTTTAATTTTTCGTAGAGATGGGGGTCTCACTATGTTGCCAAGGCTGGTCTTGAACTCCTAGCCTCATGATCCTCCCACCTCAGTGTCCTGTGGAGCTGGGACTACAGGCACGTACCACCCCACCCAGCTAATTTTTGTTTTACACTAAAGTGTTATTTCATCTTGGTCGCTGAGGTTTTTTAGCGCCCCCTTCAATTTTGTGCCCAGTGTGAATACATTGCTTGCCTGACCCTGGTCCTGCCCTGGGATTTGGGAGCCGACAGGTCCGGGTAACAACTGCAGTTTAGCCGCTCACTTGCTGGAGGACCTCAGGCTCTCTTCCGTGAGCCTTATTTTGGCCATTGCTGGAATCCCGTTGTGCAGGACAGCTGGGTGGATTGCAGTGATGTTTGCGCACCACGTCCCGAGTGCCAGAGCAGACAGGGTCCCACCTGTTACCGTCTTGGACTTCCAGCCTCCAGAACCAAGAGAGAGAAGAAATCTCTGTTGCTAAAGCCCTCCTCCAGTCTGTGGCTTGAGGTTACAGAGCCCCAGCAAACCATCACGCTGGGTTAAAGGAACTGGTCCCCAGAGCTCACAGCTGCAGACTGGCCACCGTAGGACAATCCAGTGGGACCTGGGGGTGCCTCTGGGCCATTGGGGGACCCTCGGTGAGCCAGTGAACTCAGTGCACTTCTGGAGCTCCCTGACCACGAGTGAGGAAATTGAACGGTACAGGAAAAGCAGGAGAGCGTGCACCTTAAACGGCCAAGGTCCGTCACTACCACCGAGCACCTGCCAGGCTCCCCACCCAGTGCTCCCAAAAGTAGAGGGCCCCCTCCCTCCCCTAAACTCTCAGAGGTTAGTATCACCGGGTCAAGATGATGACAGCACGGGGAAGCCTCTGGCAAGGGCCTTGCCCCAGGGGACAGCTCAGGTGGCCTCGGATAACATGACAAAGACCTTCTTTATTTATTATTATTATTAATTTTTTATTTTTTTTGGAGACAGGGTCTCACCCTGTCGCCCAGACTGGAGTGCAGTGGTGCAATCATGGCTCACTGCAGCCTCAGCCTCCTGGACTCAAGCAATACTCCTGCCTCAGCCTCCCGAGCAGCTTGGACTATAGGTGTGCACTGCCACACCTGGCTTTTTTTTTTTTAATTTTTATTTATTTATTATTACTTTTTTAAGACAGAGTCTTGCTCTGTCGCCCAGGCTGGAGTGTAGTGGTGTGATCCTGGGTCATTGCAACCTCTGCCTCCTGGGTTCAAGCGATTCTCCTGCCTCAGCCTCCTGAGTAGCTGGGATTACAGGCAACTGCCACCACGCTCAGCTAATTTTTGTGTTTTCAGTAGAGACGGGGTTTCACCATGTTGGCCAGGCTGATCTCAAACTCCTGACCTCAGGTGATCCACCCGCCTCGCAAAGTGGTGGGATTACAGGCATGAGCTATCACGCCCGGCCACTAATTTTTTTATTTTTTAGTAGAGACGGGGTCTTGCTGTCTTGTCCAGGCTGGTCTCAAACTCCTGGGCTTAAGCGATCCTCCCGCCTCAGCCTCCCAAAGTGCTGGGATTGCAGGCACAAGAGACCCTCTTTTATTGTTGCAAGATGCTGACAGGTTTCAGAAGAGGTTTGAACCAAAGCGGCCTCAGGGACCCAGGTGGCCCCTGGGATACGTTTCTCCCAGGCCAGGTTTGGTTTCAGTCGGCCTGAGCGTGCAGACACCTGTCTCCTGGGCACTAAACTTGACACTTTCAGTTCCTATCAGGCGGTGGGGACGAGGGGGCGGGTGGGAGGGGGGGAACGGGCTCACGTGCCAGGCTCGGGGGGGGGGAAGCGTCCTCAACATTCTCAGAAAGGACCACGCCCGGCACCGGCCTTGGATGGCTTCCCTCTCGCAATCTGCTTTCTGGGAAGTGGGCCCCTCGCACCGGGTGCGGCGCCCAGGGTTCCCCGCCACCCCGACCCTTACTAAGCCGCTCAGCCCAGGGATCCAGGGCCCTGGCGAGACAGCCTGGGAGACGCAGAGTGGGAAATGATGACTGGGAGCTGGTATCGCGAATGTCTACACGCAGACTGACTTCAGGGGCGAGGAATTCCGCCTGGCGAGCGTCTAGACTGCGGTGTTTCTGGGACGCTGGGAGCTGGAGCCAGGACAGGTCTCCCGGGAGCTGGTCTGTGCTGCCACCTGCTGGTCATGGCCCGACAGGCGGCCTCGCTGTCACCACTGAGTGAGCTCGAGGTGCCCCGTCCCAGGACCGTGGCAGGAGGGGGTCCCGTCCTGCGTGGGGCTTGAAGGCAGGTGGGCAAGACGGTGCATAGCCCGAATCTATTTAATGATTTATTTGATAATACCATTTAAAAATATCTCTTAGGCCGGGTGCAATGGCTCACGCCTGTAATCCCAGCACTTGGAGAGGCCAAGGTGGGAGGATAACTTGGGCTCAGAAGGTCGAGACCAGCCTGGCCAAGAGAGCAACACCAGGTCTCTACAAAAAATTAAAAATTAGCCGGGCATGCTGGCGGGCGCCTGTAATCCCATCTACTCAGGAGACCGAGGCAGGAGAATCGCTCGAACCGGGGAGGTGGAGGCTGCACTGAGCGTTGATCGCGCCACTGCTCTCCAGCCTGGGCGACAGAGGGAGATTCTGTCTCTAAAAAAATAAAAAGTAAAAGTAAAAGTAAATAAAAATAAAAATCTTTTTTTTTTTTGAGATGGAGTCTCGCTCTGTCACCAGGCTGAAGTGCAGTAGTGTGATCTCAGCTCACTGCAACCTCCGCCTCCCGAGTTTAAGCGATTCTCCTGCTTCAGCCTCCCCAAGTAGCTGGAACTACAGGCACCCGCCACCACGCCCAGCTAATTTTAGTATTTTTAGTAGAGACCGGGTTTCACCATGTTGGCCAGGATGGTCTCGATCTCTCAACCTCGTGATCCGCCTACCCTGGCCTCCCAAAGTGCTGGGACTACAGGTGTGAGCCAGCGCGCCCGGCCAAATCTTTCTTTCTTTTTAATAATTGGATTGACTTTGGTCTACGGTCTCCCCTGGGGCCCCATCCTTCTCTGGGGTGGGGCCATCCTGGGCACTGCAGGGTGCTCAGCAGCATCTCTGACCTCCGCCCACTCCATGCCAGGAGCATCCCAGTTGTGATAACCACACGTCCCCAAACATCGCCCAGTGCCCCCTGGGGGGCAGCATCACCCACATTTAAAAACAGTTCCAGGGTAGCAGCCTGCAAAGAAGGTGTGTCTGGGACCTGGGCATTTCATATCGGGGTGACCCAGCCTGGGAGAGGGGAGGGGCCTCAGTGAGAAGACTGAAGCCAGGACCCCCCCCAGGCAGGACCCAGGCTCCCACGGCACAAAAGCCCCAGGTCCAGGGTTCCTGGAAATGTTTTAAAATCCAGTCGACAAAAGATGAATAAAATACTTGTGAGTGTATAATCATGAATCCAGCCTGGATTCTGTTTGTCTTTATGCCAAGACAATTGTAAAATACAGCTTAGAATTTTTTTTTTTTTTTGAGAAATTTTTTTTTTTTTTTTGAGAGTCTTGCTGTGTCGCCCAGGCAGCGGTGCGATCTCGGCTCGCTGCAACTTCCACCTCCCAGTTCAAGCAATTCTCCTGCCTGAGCCTCCTGGGTAGCTGGGACTACAGGTACCCACCACCACACCCGGCTAATTTTGTATTTTTAGTAGAGACGGGTTTTCACCATGTTGGCCAGGATGGTCTCGAACTCCTGACCTCAGGTGATCCGTCCGCCTCGGCCTCCCAAAGTGTTGAGATTACAGATGTGAACAACGGTGCCTGGCCAACGTCGGACATTTTTAGAGCGGAGGAGGTAGCCTAGGAGGGCAAATGTGCCCCAGGCCCTGAGTGTCCCAACATGGCCCTGCAGCCAGGTAGAACCAGCCAGGGAAAGGGATGGTGTTTAAGGGACGTGGAAAAGGAATTCAGACAAAGAATTTCTGATGCAAGTTTAACCCGGCTGGTGGCTGCAGCCTACTTCCTGCTACAGGCTGCACAGTCTCTTGCTGAATTAGCACCTACGTTGAATTAGGTGAGTTTGCTTGAACTATACGTTGAATTAGGTGTTGAATTAACACATAGGGGGGCTTTGGGCTCTCAGCCCCTCATCTAAAGTCCATTGTCTCAAGCCACTGCCTCATTGGAAGAGCAGGTGTCTACACTACCTGGAGAGGGGGAGATCCTGCATTAATTATTTGGGGAGAATGCAATCTGTCCCCGCTCCTGCTCACAGTAGATACAAGAATAAACTCCCGACGGGGCAGATGGCATAAACCAGGGGGACCCCCAGCTCCTGGGACTCTTCCTCCTCTCTCCCTCCCCACTCAGGGTGTGGATTTCAATGTGTGCAGCCTCCTGGGACCTCAGTAGGAGAGATGGTCACGGAATGCAGAGTCTCTTGGGGAATCTGTGGATTCCCCTAACCTGGGCGGGGGGTCTCAATCAGGGGTGATCCTGCCCCCAGGGGACACTGGGCAATGTCTGGGGACATTTGTGGTTGTCATGCCTGGAGGTGCTCCCGGCATGGAGTGGGTGGAGGCCAGGACGCCACTCAGCACCCTGCAGTGCCCAGGATGGCCAGACCCCAGAGGATCTAGCCCCAGATGTCCACAGTACCTAGCAGGAGAGATCCTGATTTAATTAATTGGTGAGGGGGAAGATCAAGGGACCCTGGCTATGCCAAGAAACTCGGACTGCAGCAGTGTGTGGATCCTGAATGAGAAAGGTGCGAATCAGACAGAAGCTCGCAGCCTAAGGCCAGCGAAGGCCACGGCCACAGCGACATCTAAAGGCCGGCAAGTGCAATGCAGAATCCACCCAGGGAACTCGGGCCCCGCGCCTACCCCCGGGGTAAAGGGGGCCAGCCTCGCACAGGTGGGTCCGTTGCAGGCGTCTGTTGCGAGACCACATCCTCACCACCCGGTGAACGGCACTGGGAGCAGACTCAAGAGGCTCGAGAGGTCCCAGGAGGGCGGGAAGAGAGTTCCCCCAGCTACAGCCTGAGCATGGTCGCCAGAAAGCAGGTGCGGCGACTTTCCCTAGCACCCTCTCCCTGCCCTCTGTGTACCCGCAGGGGGGCCCTGCACGTCGGGTCTCAGGCACATGTGTGGTGAAATGCACACAACAAAAAAGCTCCCTTTCCAGACATCCAGTGGCATTCGTGCAGCCATCATCTCTAGCTAGCTCTAGAACATTCTCAGCCCCCCAAAAAGACACCCCATCCCTATCAGCTGTCACTTCCCATCCCCCTCCCCAGCCCCTGGCACCCACACATCCCCTTCCTGCCTCTCTAGACTGGCCTGTCCTGGACATTTCATAGAAATAGGATGACACACTGTGTGGCCTTTTGGATCTGGCATCTCTCACTGAGTGTGACATCCTCAAGGGGCATCCAGGCTGCACGTGGCCTGGGTCAGAGTCTCGTTCACGGCTGAGTCTCGTTCCAGTGTGTGGAGGGCCACGCTGTTTATCTATTTACCCACGGACGGACACTTGGGTCATTTCCACCTTTTAGCCATTGTGAATCGTACTGTATGAACATTTGTGGCAAGGTTCTATTTGAACACCTGCTTCCAATTCCTCTGGGCAGATAACTAGGAGCGGAATTGCTGGGTCATGTGGCGACTCCGCGTTCAGCCTTTTGAGGAACCACCAGACTGGTTTCCAAGGCGGCTGCCCCATCTTGCATCACACATCAATTCTCAATGCCAAGGCGTTCCTCAGCTTTTAAACAAGGCACTGAGGCAGGAGGCAGGCAGCTGATTGTTGAAGGTCACCCCGTAGCCATTGGCAGAGCCAGAACTTGCAGCTGTGATTTGTGCCGCGGCTCCTGCCCAAGCCCTCCTTCCCTGGCTTCAGTGCTGGGCTGGGCAAGGTGTGTGGAATAGCCCCGCTTTCTAGGCCACTTTCGGGGTACTGGGCGGCCACTGTCTGGTCTGAAGGTGCCATCTGTGACACTCTTTTTTTTTTTTTTGAGACGGAGTCTCGCTCTGTCGCCCAGGCTGGAGTGCAGTGGCGCGATCTCGGCTCACTGCAAACTCCACCTCCCAGGTTCCCACCATTCAGGCTCCCCCAGACCTCCGCCTCCAGGGAGCCCTCCAGAATGTCCTTCCTCCTGCCTTCAATGCTCCTCCCCATCCTGCAGGGGTCGGCAAGGATGTCCTCTCCTTAGAGACCTTCCTGGACACCACGTGGCACAGACTCTGTCCTCTTGGTGCCACCTCATCCTATTTTCTTTGTCTTTTCCGGTTTTTTTTTTTTTTTTTTTTTTTTTTGAGATAGGGTCTTGCTCTGTTGCCCAGGCTGGAGTGCAGTGGTGCAGTCACAGCTCACTGCAACCTCAGCCTCCTGGGCTCAAGTGATCCTCCTGCCTCAGCCTCCAGAGTAGCTGGAACTACAGGCACCCACCACCACGCCTGGCTAATTTTTTTGTATTTTTAGTAGACATGGGGTTTCACCATGTTAGCCAGGATGGTCTCGATGTCCTGACCTCATGATCTGCCCGCCTCGGCCTCCCAAAGTGCTGGGATTACAGGCATGAGCCACCACGCCTGGCCCATCTGTGAGATTCTGAAGAGCCACTGCTGAGCAATTAAGCTGCCCTCTGCAGTGGGAAATTTTCTTTGCAAGGAAGCAGCAAGGCGGAGGAGGCAGGAGGGTTCCCTAAGATTGTGCACCCACGGCAGCCAGCAATGTGCCTGACACAGTGAAGGGCCTCGGCAAAGGGGCGCCTCCTGTCCCCTTCAAATCCTTACGGGCCACCCCAGGATCTGGTGACCTGGAACAGACTCCTGTATGGGCCTTTTTCCCCTGGTGCCAGCAGGGAACAGGGCAGGATGGAAAAAACACCCAGTAGCCAGTGGCCCACTGATGTCACCAAGCTGCAGGGCTGCCCAGCATTGATTAAACACAGCTGGTGTGGGCCAGGCATGGCACCTCACACCTGTGATCCCAGTGCTTTGGGAGGCTGAGGCGAGAGGATCCCTTGAGCTCAGGAGTTCAAAACCAGCCTGGGCAAAATAGTGAGACCCCATCTCTAATTTATTATTATTATTTTGAGCCGGAGTCTCGCTCTGCTGCCCAGGCTGGAGTGCAATGGCACGATCTCGACTCATTGCAACCTCTGCCTCCCGTGTTCCAGCGATTCTCCTGCCTCAGCCTCCCGAGTAGCTGGGATTACAGGCGTGTGCCACCGTGCCCAGCTAATTTTTGTATTTTTAGTAGAGATGAGGTTTTGTCATGTTAGCCAGGCTAGAGACTCCATCTCTATTAAAAAACAAACAAAGAAAGGCTGGGTGTGGTGGCTCATGCCTATAATCCCAGCACTTTGGGAGGCCAAAGCGAGCGGATCACCTCAGGTCAGGAGTTTGAGACCAGCCTGACCAACAGGGAGAAACCCCGTCTCTCCTAAAAATACAAAATTAGCCGGGCATGGTGGCGGGTGCCTGTAATCCCAGCTACTCAGGAGGCTGAGGCAGAATTGCTTGAACCCGGGAGGCAGAGGTTGCAGGTTGCAGTGAGCCGAGATCACGCCATCGCACTCCAGCCTGAGCAAAACCCCATCTCAAAAAAAAAAACCAGACAAATATAGCTGGTGGGTTCTTGGGCAAGGCTGGTGACCAGGGCCCTAGGGGAGGATGTTTCCAAGAGCTGCCAAGAGCAGTGGGGCCCGGGTTCTGCCCGCCTCTTCCTCTGACTGTTTCCTCATCTGGGGTCACGGGATAAGTGCAGCTCCGCCTCCCTGGTCATGCAGGTGACTGTGAATGAAAGTGTCTTGGAATCAGAAGGTTCTGGCATGAAAGCTTTGCACCAGCCTTCCACCAGTGTGCTGCCCAGCACGTGACTATCGGAAAAACTTTAGCTTATTTCAGCCTAATTACATTCCGTTAACCCAAAGTCTCTGACGTTCAGGGCTGGATCATTCTCTGGGATGGGGCCATCCTGGTGCACTGCAGGGTGCTGAGTGGCGTCCCTGACCCCCACCCACTCCATGCCAGGAGCATCTCCAGTCGTGACAACCACAGATGTCCCCAGATATCACCCAGAGTCCCCTGGAGGCAAACCTGTCCCACTTAAGAACCGCTGGCCTGGACCAGAAACTGGATCTTTCAGGGAGGCAGAGCTCACCAGCCATCCAGGCACTGAGCCCGGCCCAGCCCTGCAGCTCTGACCCTGCCTTGGGCTGTGAGCTCTGAGGACCCCATCAATCTGATCAAGAAGCCACACTAGGTCACCTCAGACCAAGGACATTCTGCCATGATGCTTCAGACTGTTCTTCTCCCCATCCTCCTCTCCACCTCCAGCCCTCAAAGACCTGGCCTGGGTCCCCTCCCGTGGCTCCCAGACCTCCGCTTCCAGGGAGCCCTCCGGAATGTCCTTCCTCCTGCCTTCAATGCTCCTCCCCATCCTGCAGGGGTTGGCAAGGATGTCCCCTCCTTAGAGACCTTCCTGGACACCACGTGGCACAGACTCTCTCCTCTTGGTGCCACCTCATCCTATTTTGTCTTTTCCTTTTTATTTTTTTTTTTTTTGAGATAGGGTCTTGCTCTGTTGCCCAGGCTGGAGTGCAGTGGTGCAGTCACAGCTCACCGCAACCTCAGCCTCCTGGGCTCAAGTGATCCTCCTACCTCAGCCTCCAGAGCAGCTGGAACTACAGGTGTGCACCACCATGCCCGGCTAATTTTTTAAATGTTTTGTAGAGATACGGTCCTGCTATGTTGCCCAGGCTGGTCTCAAACTCCTGGCCTCAAGTGATCCTCCCACCTCGGCCTCCCAAAGCGCTGAGATTACAGGCGTGACTATTTCCTTATCTTCTAAGACCCTCTGTTTGGTTTGCCAGTGTGTCTGGGCATGTGCTGTCTCTGTGTGACACATGCTCCCTGAGAACAGGACTTGATTCCACCTGTATCAGGCTGGGCCCCCAGCACCTAGGCTGTCCCTGGCACACAGTGAGTGTCGGGTCAATATTTGCGACTGACCGACGGGTTGGCCTTCCATCTACTCTTCCACTCACCAGCTTCTCCATCTTGCCCAAATCCCTGCCAACCCCAGGGCACTGAGGACACAGATTACTCCTCACCCATGCCCCTTGCAAAGCTCTCAGCCACATTTTTCTCTTTTCTACCTGTATGTGTGTGGTGTGTGTGTGTGTGTGTGTGTGTGTGTGTGTATCTCACTCTGTTGCCCAGGCTGGAGTGCAGTGGTGCAACCTCAGCTCACTGCAACCTGCACCTCCCCTGTTCAAGCGATTCTCCTGCCTCAGCCTCCCAAGTAGCTGGGATTACAGGCACGTGCCACCACACCCACCTAATTTTTGTATTTTCAGTGGAGACGGGGTTTCGCCATGTTGTCCAGGCTGGTCTCGAACTCCTGACCTCAAATGATCCACCCGCCTCGGCCTCCCAAAGTGCTGGGATTACAGACGTGAGCCACCGTGCCCAGCCTGTTCTATTTTTTTTTTAATAAACAATTTTATTTGGAGTAATTTTAGATTTACAGGAAAGTTGCAAAGAGAGAGTCCCCGCCCACGCCTCACCAGCTTCCTCTTCAGGGGCCACCCTGTGTAACCACAGGGCATTGCTCACAGCTGGGGAACGCTGGCACCTTCCTAGTAACCAAATGCCACAGCGATTCAGCTTCCCTCAGTTTTCCCCTCACGACCTTTCCTGCCCCATTGTGACCCCATCCAGGAGCCCATGTGGCATCTGACCGTCCCATCTCCGTGGGTTCCTCTGGGCTCTCAGTTTCTTGGTCTTTCTTTGGTATTTCCATGAACTTTTTTGTTTGTCTCTTTAAGAAAACGGTTACTATCCATGAAAAACAAACAAACAAAAAATGTCATTCTGGCTACCCTGAGAGCTTATAATTGCTATTTTAAAATGAATGAATACCTATTTGATTGACATTTTCTCAGTTTTGATTTCAAATTCAACAAATATCCGTAAGTAGAAGGCATATAAACAAAAGCTCCTTGGAATAATCGTCAGGACCAGAGAGTTTGAGAACCTTTGTCCTAAGCCAGGGGTTAGCTAACTACGGCCCCTGGACCACATCTAGCTGACTGTGTGTTTTTGTAAATAAAGTTTTATTGGCACACGGCCACACCCACTTGTTGACATATTGCTTGTGGTGGCTTTCCCGCTACAATGGCAGGCAGAGACTGTCCAGCCTGCAAAGGCTAAAACATTTGCCATCTGGATCTCTGCAGAAAAGTTTGCTACCCCAGGCCTCGCACATAGTAAGTTCATAGCAAGTATTTGTTTATAGTAAGGCTGAGCCCTAATCAGGGTGAAGGGCAAGGTCAGACATCGGAGGACCACTGAAATGTCCATTCTGTCCCACCTGGTACAGCAAACGCCACCATGGAGCAGGACTCAGCCATGAAAAGGAACAAGGCTCTGATGCCGGCCACAGTGTGGATGGACCTTGAGGACATCACACTCTATGAAAGGAGCCAGAGACAGAGGGCCACGCAGTGTGTGATCCCATTTCTACGAAATGTCCAGGACAGGCCCATCCATGGGGACAGGGAGGGGATGCGTGTGTGGCAGGGCTGCCGGGGGGAGATGGGGAGTGACTGCTCATGGGGGACAGGGCTTCTTTTGGGGGTGATAGGATGTTCCGGAATTAGATAAAGGAGATGGTTGCACAACTCTGTGAATGTAAAAACCGCTGAGCTGCACATTTTTAAAGGGTGAGTTTTACGCTGTGTCAGTTATATCTCAATAAAGCTAATCCTAGCATTTTGGGAGGACGAGGGGGGGGCGCGGATCACCTGAGGTCGGGAGTTCAAGACCAGCCTGACCAACATAAAGAAACCCCGTCTCTACTAAAAATACAAAATTAGCCAGGCATGGTGGTGCGCGCCTGTATTCGCAGCTACTTGGGAGGCTGAGGCAGGAGAATTGCTTGAACCCGGGAGGTAGAGGTTGCAGGTTGCAGTGAGCCGAGATCGCGCCATAGCACTCCAGCCTGGGCAACAAGAGCAAAACTCTGTCTCAAAAACAGAAAAGAAAAGAGGAGAGGGGAGGGGAGGGGAGGGGAGGGGAGGGGAGGGGAGAGGAGAGGACCCTGTAGAATGAAAGAAAGGCAGATCCCCCTGCACCCTGGCTACAGGCCGTCGTCCCGACCCCTCTCTCTGCAGGCAGGTCACTGCCCCCCTCACAAACCTCTGTCCTGATCCCCCAACCCACACACCAGAGCTGGGCCCATGCACCGGGAAACCTGCCACCCCAGGGGCCACTCCAGTCTCAGACCAACAGGATATTAAAAAAGGCGAAACCTCAGAACCGTTTCCTATCGAAACCAATTAGAAAGCTCTTGGGTATGAGTCCAATGTTTTCAAGCAACTAAAGGCAAAAGAGAAGATTTTCAACGAAACATCCCAGCTGGGGGTGAGCTTCTTAGGGTCCTGTCATCGGCCACCCTAGAGGGACCTAGGGGTGAGCTTATGCCGTCAGCACCCCCAGCCAACGTGGGTCGGCCAGTTAGCTGGGCGTGGTGTTGTGCGCCTGTAATCCCAGCTACTTGGGAGGTTGAGGCAGGAGAATTGCTTGAACCCGGGAAGTGGAGGTTGCAGTGAGCCGAAATCGTGCCATTGCACTCTGGCTCCGGGCAACAGAGCAAGACAGCTCTGTGCAGAGAACAGACTCCTGCGGTGGAAATGCTGGCTGCCTTTGAGGCTGGGTTCTGTGACCTTGGGTTTCCCAGCCTGAGCTTCCAGTTTCATTTATAAAAGGGGTGACGTGGCCGCCTTCCTGCAGGCGCTCTGAAGGTGGCAGATTACACAGAGGTGGTACGACTCATACAGGTTTCTGCAAACGGGGGCCCCATCAACAGTCACCTTTCCTTAGCACAGCGCCTTCCTCCTGGGGTGACCTCGCCCCTTCCTGCACACCCCAGGAGCTTCCTGAGACCTGAGTAAAGCTCACTTCCCTTGCAAGGGGTTTAGTGACGTCCCTTCAAAATTCTTGTCCACGGGGAACCTCGGAAAATGACTGTTACGGACTAATTGCATTTGCTTAAAACTTATGTTGAAGCTGGATGTGGTGGTCCACACCTGTGGTCCCAGCTACTCGGGAAGCTGAGGCGGGAGGATTGCTTGAGCCCTAGGATTTCAGGGCTGCAGTGAGCTATGATGCTGCCACTGCACTCCAGCCTGTGCAACACAGCAGCAAGACTCCAGACACAAAAAATTAATTAAAGAAAAATGGCTGGGCACAGTGGCTCACTCCTGTAATCCCAGCACTTTGGGAGGCCGAGGTGGGCAGATCACCTGAGATAAGGAGTTCGAGACCAGCCTGACCAACATGGACAAACCTCATCTCTACTAAAAACACAAAGTTAGCCGGGCGTGTTGGTGCGCGCCTGTAATCCCAGCTACTCGGGAGGCTGAGGCAGGAGAATTGCTTGAACCTGGGAGGCAGAGGTTGCAGTGAGCCAAGATGGCACCACTGCACTCCAGCCTGGGTGACAGAGCAAGACCTCATCTAAAACAAACAAACAAACAAACAAACAAAAACAAAGAAGGAGACACAGAGAGACAGCAGAAAACAGAAGCAGAGACTGGAGCAATTCGACGGTAAGCACAAGCCAGGTTTGCCAGAGCCCCCAGAAGCCAGAGGACGCGGAAGGATCCTCTCCTGTAGCGCCCAGGGGAGCACAGCTCTGCAGACAGCTTGGTTTAGTACTTCTGCCCTCCAGAACCGTGAGAGGACACACGTCTGCGGATTGATACTTCCGGGTCTGTGGTCACCTGTTATGGCAGCCACAAGAGGCTCGTCTGCCCCTTTTCTCTCCCCTTCCTTCATGCTGATCACCACGGAGGAGTGAGTTCGATTCCCTCTGCCTGCCCAAAACCCTCATCAACTTTTTTTTTTTTTCTCTCTCTTTTGAGACGGAGTCTTGCTCTGTCACCCAGGCTGGAGTGCAGTGGCGAGATCTCGGCTCACTGCAAGCTCTGCCTCCCGGGTTCACGCCATTCTCCTGCCTCAGCCTCCTGAGTAGCTGGGACTACAGGCGCCCGCCACCACACCCGGCTAATTTTTTGTATTTTCAGTAGAGACGGGGTTTCACCATGTTAGCCAGGATGGTCTCGATCTCCTGACCTTGTGATCCGCCTGTGTCGGCCTCCCAAAGTGCTGGGATTACAGGCATGAGCCACCGCGCCCGGCTCCTGGTGGTTTTTAAGCTTGCAAAGGGTGCGGGATAAGCCCTGCAGAAGTCAATGGTCAGTAATGAGGGCTGGGGATTCAGCCCATCTCCAGGGAAAGCCCCCGAAACTGGCAACACCAGCTGCTTCCGGGAAGGGGAACCCAATGCGAGCAACGCGGCAGAGAGGGGGCTTCCGGGAAGGGGAACCCAACGCGAGCAACGCGGCAGAGAGGGGGGCTTCCGGGAAGGGGAACCCAACGCGAGCAACGCGGCAGAGAGGGGGGCTTCCGGGAAGGGGAACCCAACGCGAGCAACGCGGCAGATAGGGGGCTTCCGGGAAGGGGAACCCAATGCGAGCAACGCGGCAGAGAGGGAGGCTTCCGGGATGGGGAACCCAATGCGAGCAACGCGGCAGAGAGGGAGGCTTCCGGGATGGGGAACCCAATGCGAGCAACGCGGCAGAGAGGGGGCTTCCGGGAAAGGGAGCTCAATGCGAGAGCAACGTGGCAGAGAGGAGGGCTTTGTTTTCACTTTCACCGTGTATCATTTATACCACTAGAGCTCTGACACCCCGGGCACGGCCACTGATAGAAAACATTGGTCCTTCTTCCTGGGGGTGTGTGGCCAAGTGAGGGTGGGTGAGGGAGAAGCCACTTTCCGGCTAAGGTCCTCAACACCCAGGCTCAGTCTGAGCTCTTCTGTGTCCCAGGAGGCAAAAAGGTGACCACAGGTTGGGCTGTAGTATCAAACCCAGAACAAACGGGGTGTTCCAAGCCTGGGCAACATAGCCAGACCCCATCTCTACAAAAAAATAATTAGCCAGGCGTGGTGGTGCACCTGTAGTCCCAGCTACTTTGGAGGCTGAGATGGGAGGATCGCTTGAGCATGGGCATTTGAGGCTGCAGTGAGCTGTGATCGTGCCACTGCACTCCAGCCTGGGCAACAGAGCAAGACCAGGTCTCAAGAAAACAAATAAACAAGGTGTTCCTTACCCAAAGGAATTGCAAGGAGGGGCTCGGACAGATACTTGTACTGTTCACTCATGTTCACAGCACCCAAAAGGTGGAAGCAATCAATCCAAGCGTCCATCAACAGATGGACAGATAAACAGCATGGTGCATCTGTATGATGGAATATTACTCAGCCATGAAAAGGAAGGGAATCCCAACACAGGCTGCAACACGGATGCACCTTGAGGACGTCACGCTCAGTGAGAGAACCCAGACACAAAAAACCAAATTGGCCAGGTGTGGTGGCTCACGCCTTTAATCCCAGCACTTTGGGAGGCCAAGGCAGGTGGATCACTTGAGGTCAGGAGTTGGAGACCAGCCTGGGCAATGTGGTGAAACCCCATCTCTACTAAAAATACAAAAATTAGCCGGGCATAGTGGCAGGTGCCTGTAATTCCAGCTACTCAGGAGGCTGAAGCAGGAGAATTGCTTGAATCTGGGAGGCGGAGGTTGCAGTGAGCCGAGGTCGCACCGCTGCACTCCAGCCTGGGCCACAGAGCGAGACTGCATCTAAAAGAAAAGGACAAATCTTGTGTGACTGCACGCCTAGGAGGTCCCTAGAGCCGTCAGATTCACAGAGACAGTCCATCTGTTGATGGACGCTTGAGTTGCTTCCACCTTTTGGCTGCTGTGAACATGAGCGAACAGTACAAGGGAAGCAGGATGGGGGGTGCCAAGGGCTGGGAAGGGGACGGGGAGCAAGTGTTTCACGGGGACAGAGATTCAGTCTGGGAAGATGGAAAGTTCTGGAGATGACGGTGGTGATGGGTGCAGCACCATGCAAATGTGCTTAATGCCACTGAACTGAGCCCTTAGAAATGGCTAAGATGGTAAATACTATGTTTCATATATTTTACCACAATTAAAAAAAGAAAGAAAGGGCCGGGCGCGGTGGCTCACGCCTGTAATCCCAGCACTTTGGGAGGCCGAGGTGGAAGGATCACGAGGTCAGGAGATCGAGACCATCCTGGCTAACATGGTGAAACCCCGTCTCCAATAAAAATACAAAAAAAATTAGCCGGGCGTGGTGGTGGGCGCCTGTAGTCCCAGCTACTCCGGAGGCTGAGGCAGGAGAATGGCGAGAACCCGGGAGGCGGAGCTTGCAGTGAGCCGAGATTGTGCCACTTAACTCCAGCCTGGGAGACAGCGAGACTCCGTCTCAAAAAAAAAAAAAAAAAAGAAAAAGAAAAAAAGAAAAGAAAGAAAGAAAGGTGCTCCAGTGGCTCTCAGGCAGAGCTCCACCTCTGTCTGGTTGCCGGTGGTGCCACAGCACAGCAGGCCTCTCGTCTCCGGAGCAGTGACTGTGACCTGTTGCCAGCCCTGGCGGCTATTCCTAGCAGCTCCTGACCTGCAGGAGGCTGAGCCCAGCAGTGCCTTCTGGGAAGGAGGGAAGGAGGGAGGCTTTCTGGTAATTACCCCCAGGCAGAGGGCAGGCGGGCACAGGGGCCCGAGCCCCTCCAGCCCATCCCACAGGCTCCAGGGTGTTTACTGAGCTTGCAGAATTCCACGCTGTGGGCTGGGCCACTCCTGCCCTGAGACAGGAAGACAAGGTCAGCTCAGGGCACAGAAGCCATCTCCTGGCTGTCACCTTTCCTTGTGGGTGCAGAGCCGGACCCCAGGCAGGGGTGGACGCCTGTGGTTTACCTCCCTGGGGGCTCGGGCCCTGTGCCGAGGGTGCATGTGTTGTCCCCTGGGGCCTCTAGACCTCTTCCTTTCTTTTGAGACAAGATCTTGCTCTGTCGCCAGGCTGGAGTGCAGTGGTGCGATCTCAGCTCACTGCAACCTCCGCCTCCCGGGTTCAAGCAATCCTCCTGCCTCAGCCTCCCGAATAGCTGGGAATACAGGTGCACACCACTGCACCCGGCTAATTTTTAAAAATTTTTTTGTAGACAAGGGGGTCTCACTCTTTTACTGAGCCTGGTCCTGAATCCTGGCCTCAAGCAATTCTCTCACTTCAGCACCCCAAAGCACTGGGATTATAGGTGTGAGCCACTGTGCCCAGCCAGGGTTTTTATTTTTATTTTTTGCAGAAATAGAGGGGGGTCTCTGTTGCCCAGGCTGGTCTCAAACTCCCGGCCTCAAGCGATCTTCCCATGTCGGCCTCTGAAAGTGCTGGGATTACAGGCGTGAGCCACTGCTCCCAGATTAGCCAGACTTCTCTCTTCTCCTCGGTCACGGGGATCAGGAAGCAGAGAACCAAGGTTCTGCCACCAACTTGTAGAAGGGCCATGGGTCACCCATGCCCCTCCCAGTGTTTCCATGGTTGCCAGGGAAGCCAGTGAAGGGCAGAGTCTTTGGGGAGGAGGAAGCTGGGTCAGAGAGGAGATGAGGGTGTGAGAGGGTGAGCAGGTAGCGCCCTCACCGTGCTGGGCACAAGACAAGGACTTCAGAGCTGATTATTTTGGTTTTGGGGTTTTTTGTTTGTTTTTGTTTTTGTTTTGTTTTTGAGGCGGAGTCTCACTCTGTCGCCCAGGCTGGACTGCTCACTGATGCTCACCGCAACTCCGCCTCCCGGGTTCAAGCGATTCTCCTGCCTCAGCCTCCCAAGTAGCTAGGATTACAGGCGCCCACCACCACGCCTGGCTAATTTTTGTATTTTTAGTAGAGATGGGGTTTCACTATGTTGGCCAGGCTGGTCTCGAACTCCTGACCTCAGGTGATCCACCCGCCTCGGCCTCCCAAAGTGCTGGGATGACAGGCGTGAGCCATGGCGCCCGGCCTGATTATTTCATTTACTCCCTGCAGCAACCCTGGACTGCAGGGGTGGTGATCACCCCCCATTTTACCAAACAGAAGCAGAGAGTGACCGCGGGTGCCCACCTGACCCCGTGTCTCCAGCGGGAACGTGAAGCTGATGCTGCTCCCGCCCCAGGCCTGAAGCCGGCCCCCTGCCCCAAACCAGCCTGACCAGCGGCACCGTGGAAACCCACCGGGATCTCTGCCACCCACAGGAGGCTGGGGCATCTCTCACCCCCTCTGTGCCTCAGTTTCCTAATCTGTCACACAGGGAGGCTGGACCCAAACCAATTGATTGTTGTCATGGGTGGAGCCGGAACCCGCTATGGCTCCCTCCTGCCCTCGGGATAAAATGCAGCCTCTGCCGTGCGGCCTCCTCACTCCCTCCCTCTCACCTTTTCAAGGTCCTGGAACCATCTCTGCACCTGTATCCCCCACCCCACCTGTCACCTTCAGGGCACTAGCAACACTCAACTCATGTCACTTCCTCCAGGAAGCCCTCCCTGAATTCCCGAACAAAGCTCCTGGTGTGGGCACCTGCTTTCACTCTTGGGCGGTGTTGTCTTCATCGGTTCACTCAATCAGGGTCTCAACTGGGGTAATTCTGTCCCCTCAGGGGACACTGGGCGGTGTCGGGGGACATCTGTAATTGTCATGACGGAGGGAAGTGGGACCTTCCCTGACTAATATTCCCTCACATCGGTCCATGCTCCTGGCATGGAGTGGGTGGAGGCCAGGGATGCTGCTCAGCACCCTGCAGTGCCCAGGACGGCCTCACCCCAGAGAACAGTCCAGTGTCAGTGTCCACAGTGCCCAGGGGGAGAGACCTGCTTTAATTATTTGGGAATAAACTGAGTGTCCTCCCTACTCACACCAGACACTGGAATAAACTCCAGATGGAGCAGACGGCATAAACCCGGGAGCCCCAGCTCCTGGGACTCATCTCCTCTCTCTCTTCCCACTCAGGTGTGGATTTCAATGTGTGCAGCCTCCTGGGACCTCCGCAGGGCAGAGGATCATGGGATGCAGAATCTCTTGGGGTCTGTGGAATCTTCTATCCCAGAGGGTCTCAACCAAGGTGTTTCTGTCCCAGGGGACGCTGGGTGATGTCTGGGGATATTTGTGGTTGTCATGACTGGGGGTGCTCCTGGCATGGAGTTGGTGGAGGCCAGGGACACTGTCAGCACCCTGCAGTGCCCAGGATGACCCACCCCAGAGAACGATCCACCTCACATGTTAAATGGCGGTAAGGGGGTGAACCCACCCCCTGCATGGCTCCAGGGGCACCCAGAGTGGGGCCCCAGCCCTGTGGCCGCCTCTCCTCCCACTTCCTCCGGGCGCCTGTCCTCTGCACCTGCATCCTCTGGCCCTGGCTCCCTTCAGAGCTGGTCACAGCTGGCAGCCCGCGTGCTGTAAACACCCACCCAGGCGTGCCAGCCAGACCTGGCTTTCTGTCACTCCCGGCTGATTCTGAATTCCCAGTCTCACATGGGCCAGAGGGTGACTGGCTCGAGACTTGCCTCTCATTACGAGCAAAGCTCTGATTCAGCCGGAATATTAGTCAGGGTACAGCATGTCACATTCCAGGAGGCTGATCAGCTCCGACCTCAACACCGGCAGCTGACTCAGCCCGGGGAGTTGCATGTGCTGACTACTCCTTCTGAGCCTCACAGTTATGTTCTCGAGATTTCACTCAGTGTCCTATGGTGTCACTGGTCCTGGTCGCAGACACAGACTCACCTGTGTGCAGGAGGTCAGGTGAGGATCGGTCCCAGCACCTTCATTCTTTGTTTCTTTCACTCACTCAGTAAACATCTGGTGAAGACTTGGACCAGATCCCTGATCTTAATGAAGGAGGTGACGGTCCGGCCCAGGTGACAGGCACAGTTAATGTGATGATCACAACACAGTTGCCATGTGACCCTGGGCACGTCAGCCCCTCTCAGCTACTGTTTTCTCCTATGTGAAGTGGAGATCATTATCTCAATCTCAACATGGCAAACAACACGGCAAGTGTATGAGTCAGCTACTGCTGAGTAACAACAGCGGCAACAAAGACACCATTTGCCATCTCACAACTTCTGTGTGTCAAGAGTCTGGCTTAACTGGGTCCCCCGCTCAGAGTCTTATAAGCCTAAAATCAAGGTATGGGCTGGGCCGAGTTGTCATCTGGAATTTGGGGTCCTCTTCTGAGCTAGTTTGGTTATCGGCAGAATTCATTTCCTTGCAGCTCTAGGAATGAGGTCCCTGTTTACCTACTGGCTGTTGGATGTGAGTGCTCTGAGCCCCTAGAGGCTACTCTCAGGTGTCTGCCACATGGACCCTCCACAGGCAGCTCACGACATAGCTGTTTGCTTTCTTTAAGGCAAGAAACCCCTTCCCTTTCTCTCTTTCTTTCAACTGTGGTGTGTGTGTGTGTGTGTATATATATATATAACATAAGACGGATCATCTTAACCACGTTTATGTGTACGGTTCAGTGATGTTAAGTATACTCACACTGCTGTGCAATGGCTCTCCAGAACCTTCCATCTTGTAAAACTGAGACACTGTATCCACTGAACAACAGCTCCCCTCTTCCCTCCCCCAGCCCCTAGCACCCACCATTCTCCCTTCTGTCTCTCTGAATTTGACACCTCGGGATGTGCTTCTGGTCTCTTTTATGGGCTCACCTGATGAGGTCAGGCCCACCCAGGATGTCTCCTTTTTGATGAGCTCAGGTCAACTGACTAGGAATCTTCGTCGCATCTGCAAAATCCCTTTACCGAACACACGACCTAACTGCATTAACCTAACCACTGGAGTGACACCCCATCGTATTCGCAGGTCCAGCCCATCCTCAAGTGCAGGGGATTAGATAAGATGTGGGCACCAGGCGGTGGGGGTCTTGGGCGCCATCTTGGAATTCTGCCTAGGACTGTAGCTGTAAAAGACATGGTGGCCATTGCTGCTGTAGGTGCCATTAGTAGGAAACACACACAAAGTGGCCCCCAAGGAGCACGTACTATGCATCAGGCTCTGTGCAAGGCACAGAGAAAACAGCAAAGAACTTTGGGGAAAGTTGAAGACTTGAGGTGAACAACTGGATATCTTAGTAGGTCTCTCTGAAGGTTGAGCAAATGGATAGGGGATATTGGGAGATGGGTTATGTCCCTTGGAAAGAACTCCAAATGTCCCTTTCAATAACTTTCCACTCTACCAGTCATCTCCTCCTTCCAGAAATTCTCAGGAGGCAGCGCTTGGTGGCTCTTCTGCAGATGCCAGGATGGTGACGGTGACAGCAGGCCACGCTCTTGTGTTTAGAATAGGAGGTCCCCAAGGACACAGAGTCACAGACGGGTCAGGTAAGTTGCCTGGGCGCCCACACGAATAGGAGGTGCTTCTGGATTTGAAACAAGTCTTCTAGTGCTAGGAGCCCCAGAACACACCTAGTGCCACCCCCTCCCCACGACAAAGCCCACCAGAAGGGCTGGCTGCCTAAAGAGGTAGTGGACAAGACCTCACAGACTCACAGACTAGTGGGAGAAGACAGAAGAGCGTAGCCCTGAACGCAGTGTGGGGGCACACGGTGATTGGAACCTGGCACCCACATCAACGGTCAAAGTCTAGATGGTTTTGTTTGGTTGTACTCCCGCCTCCCTCTGACCCCATGCCCACGAGTAAGAGGAGCTCCGTCCACATTTATGGACACTTAATGTTCCTGCACACCCATAAATAAGGTGAAGCCGAGTCTGCATGTGTGCGAAAGGGCACAGAGCTTTGCACATACATGGTGCCAGGGTCCATTTCCTGGTTTTGTACTATGGTTACGTAAGATGTCACCACTGGGGGAAACTGTGAAGATACATGTGATGTTTTTTGCTCTGTGTGATTTTTGCAACTTCCTCTGAATCTGTAATGATTTCAAAATAAAGGTTGTTTTTTTTTTTTAATAAGTGGAGACACATTTAGGTGTAACTGGGACACAGCCTGCCACCTACTTTCCAAATGCCTCCTTTCTCCCAATAACCCCCACCCTCTCCCCAAAGACCTGGCAGTACTCCTGCAAGAGGAAGGGATGGACGCCAGAAAAAGGGAGTGAAGGTCCTGCTGATTCGGTCCTGGCTGAGGCCGAACGCAGGCCCCCCCTTCCCTTTGCCACCAAGAGGAGTCTAAGATCTCCCTGGAGAACATATCTTGTAGAACCCCCTCCCCTTGAGTGTGGGCAGGGCCCGTGGACATGATGAGATATCACTCCCCTGATTAGGTTGCTTTTCAGGAAAGAAGGGATTTTGAAGAGGTAAATAAGGTCCTAAATCAGTTGACCTTGAGTTCACTGAAAGGGCGATTATCCTAGGTGGGCCTGGTCTAATCAGGTGACCCTTTAAAAGGGATTGGGCCTTTCCTGAAATGAGAGCCTGGAAGCATGAGGGGCCTATGGAGAAGGCCAAGTGGCCTGAGAGTGGCCTCAAAGAGCTGAGAGTTGCCCCCTCCTGACAGCTAACAACGCAACAGAAACAGTCTATCAACCACAAAGAACTGAATTCTGAATGAGCCTGGAATGAGCTTGGAAGGGGATCCGTCACCACACAAACCTTCGGATGAGAATGCAGCCCTGGCTCACATCTCCGAGGTCAGAAGTTTGGACATAGTGTGGCTGGGTCCTCTGTGCAGGGTCTTACCCAGCCACACTACATCCAAACTTCTGACCTATGGAACCATGAGATAATAAATGGGTGTCACTCTAAGCTACTGCATTCATGGTAGTTGTTACGCAGCCATAGCTAGCTAATACACTCTTTATGTGCTGCAGACTAGAGCATTCTGGGATTTTATGGTCAGCTTTCAAACTTATTCATACACAAGGGTTTGGACATCATGTCCCTCCACAATCAGCCAAGCAACTCAGCAGTTTCCTCCTGAGTATGTCTGAGTATATCATCAAAAAGGTCTAATGACTATGACATTATCTGATTGTCTCAACAGCACTGTGTGGGGCTGAGGAGGCATAGCAGGCATGAAGACCAGAGGAAGAATGGTGCATTTAGTATTAGACAGCTTGACATGCATTAACCCCTTGAGAGGCAGGCACTGCCTATTCTCCCCCCTTTCACAGACGAGGGCATTGAGGTTCAGAAAAGCACAGAGATGGCCCAGGGTCACAGAGCCAGTAGGTGGCAGAGTTGGGAGCCCAAGCCCTAAACTGCTGGTTATGTCACCTCATGAAGCCACTTAACCTCGCTAGGTCTCAGCATCCTTATCTGTCCAGTGACGATCATTCTTTCCTCACGAGTGGTTATGAGATGAAATCAGATAACTCAAGGCCTCTAGGCTGAGGGTCAGCAAACCTTTTCTGCAAAAGGCCACTGAGCTCTGTCCTTGTAGTATGAAAGCAGTCACTGATGACAGGTAAATGAATGTCTGTGGCCGTGTGCCAATAAAACTTTATTCATAAAAACAGGAAGTGGAACAGAGAACTTGGCCCAGGGACCTGCAGTATGTCTGTGGCTGTGTGCCAATAAAACTTTATTTATACAAACAGGGAGTGGAGGGGGGAACTTGGCCCAGGGAGCTGCAGTTTGTCTGTGGCTGTGTGCCAATAAAACTTCATTTATAAAAACAGGAAGTGGAGGGCCAGACTGGGCCTGGGGTGGGGGCACAGCATGTCTGTGGCTGTATGCCAATAAAACTTTATTTATAAAAACAGGAACTAGATGGGGGACTTGGCCTGGGGGCCACAGTTTTCGACCCCGGCTTTAGCAGTTTTTTCCTTCTTTTGCTAACTTCTAAAATGAAGCCGACTGACCCTAGAAGTGCCATTTCTGAAAGAGGAAGAGAGAAAAGGGGTGAAAGGACGTTGAACCAGCCAAGGCAGACTACAGCATTTTCAGGGCGTCTCCCCAAGATCTCCAATAAGGACAACTAGCATCGACTAGGCTAATCCCGTGACGGCCTGTTCTGCGGGGACATCATCACCCTGGTGCTGCCCTCTCCCCCATTCTCTAGAGAAAGGAGCCCCAAAAGAACAGATAAACTCTGCCTCCTAGAAAGGTAAGACTCCTGGCCTGGCGCTGTGTGGGATCATGCCTGTAATCCCAGCACTTTGGGAGGCAGAGGCAGGTGGATCACTTGAGGTCAGGAGTTCGAGACCAGCCTGACCAACATGGTGAAACCCGTCTCTACTAAAAATACAAAAATTAGCCAGGCGTGGTGTCAGGCACCTGTAATCCCAGCTACTTGGGAGGCTGAGGCAGGAGAATTGCTTGAACCCGGGAGGTGGAGGTTGCAGTGAGCCGAGATTATGCTATTGCATTCTAGCCTGGGAGACAAGAGTGAAACTCCATCTCAAAAAAAAAAAAAACAAAAAAACCCAACCTGCTATAAACAAAACTCACACACACACACACACACACACACACACACACACACGCACACAGAAAACAGACTGGGAATTGTAAAAACAGCTGACGAACAGAGACTTTCTACTCTACAGGGAAGTCTCTCACCGTCAGCACTGTGGACATCGGGACTGGATCCATCTCTGGGGTGAGGCTGCCCTGGCACTGCAGGGTGCTGAGCAGAGTCCCTGGCCTCCACCCACTCCCTGCCAGGAGCACCCCTTAGTTACACTGAGCTATGATCGCACCACTGCACTCGCACCTGGGCAACAGAGTGAGACTCTGACTCTAAAATAATAATAATAACAAGAATATAAGAATAATAATTCAGATCCATGTCCGATAAAAATAATAAATAAGTAAAGCTGAGGCTCTAACATGAAGTCATTACGAGGCTCATCCAGCCACAGTGGGCTCTGCACTGGGGCACCCGCCTGGGCCTCTGCCTGGCCCATGTCTGCTCAGGAGCCCTCAGCCCCTTGAACCCTGCTGGTGGGACAGGGGGCCCCTCTACCAGGCCCCTAACTTCTCAACAGACCCCACCTTGGGCCTCCCCAGGCTGCACCTTAACCATCTATGACACGCATCCCCAGGCGGCACCGGGAGTGTCTGCGCAGAGATCCGAGGGTGTTAGCCTGGCAGGGGCCCTGCAGGTGGGTGCTGGTTCACTAAAACGATGAAGCGGATGGGAGGAAAATTAGCATCCAACGGGCCTCATCATTGCTGTCCTGGGCAATGGACTCTGACCCCTGCTGTAGAGGGTCAGAGAGGGTCAAGGTCAAGCCACAGATTGGCAGAGCCATCCTCTCTGGCCTCCACTCGGCTCCCCCATGTCCCCTGCCCCCAGCATCTCATCATATGCGACTGTCACCGCCGTGTGTATTTTGAGTCAAAGGCGGCCAAGGCTCGATGAATCTGCCGATGACCAAGTTGGTGCCTCATCCCTCGTTCTGTGGGAGGCTGACTGTTCAAGCGGTTGCTTAGCAACAGGCGCGCGCGCGCGCGCGCACACACACACACACACACACACACACACACACACACGAGAGGTGGCTGTGGTCTGCACACTGGGCTGGGGTACTCAGATCCCCGGGCTCGGTGGTCGTGGATGTGAGCCTCTCTGGGTATGGAGCCTCAATCAGTAGAGTCAGGTGGTCGCAATAACAGCTCTGAAACGGGGATTCATTGAGAGGACATCGGTGGGCTTGAAAACGGGTGTCTGTTTACCGGGGCTTGAGTGGGAGCTGTAGTAATTCTGTCCAGAAGAGGACAGAAGCCTGCTCTCAACTCACCCGGGAGGCAGGTTCTTCTGCACCGGGCCTTCTCCCCCCGGCACTGTGGGCATTTGGGGCTGAATCATTCTTGGTTGTGGGGCTGCCCCGGGCACTGCAGGGTGCTGAGTGGCACCCCTGACCTCCACCCCATGGCATCCACCAATCGAGGCAGCCACAAATGTCTCCTGGGTGCAAAATTGCCCCGAGTTGAGACCCCCTGGGATAGGGGATTCCACGGACCCCCAAGAGACTCCGCGTCCCATGATCCTCTGCCCTGCTGAGGTCCCCGGAGGCTGCACACATTGAAATCCACACCCTGAGTGAGGAGGGAGAGAGGAGGTGAGTCCCAGGAGCTGGGGGTCCTCCTGGTTTACACCGTCTGCCCCACTGGGCGTTTATGGTGCCTATCATGAGCAGGAAAATAACTCGAATTTTTTTCCCCAAAATAATGAACCCAGAGTTTCTCCCCCTCAGCACTGTGGACATTTGAGGCCCGATTGTTCTCTGGGGTGGGGCCGTCCTGGGCACTGCGGGGTGCTGAGCAGTATCCCTGGCCTCCACCCACTCCATGCCAGGAGCTCCCCCAAGTCGCGAAAACCACAGATGTCCCAGAAATTGCTCAGTGTCCCCGGGGTTGGGGGTGGGGGGCGGCATCACCCAGATGACCCCTGCTATAGAGGGTCAAGGTCATGTCCAAGCTCTCCTACCGCCGGGAAGCACTGCCTTGTCCTGGGCTACAGATGTGGAGGCTGCTGGGTACAGGGAGAGGTTTCTGAGTCCTGGAGACTGTGGCAGAGCCCCTGATTTCGGCACAGCGCCCCGTAATTACTTGCGGGCTGCACACACGTTTTCTCTCGGGGAGGGTGGTAGCAATGAGCTGTGACCTTCCGGGAGCAGAGCGTTTTCAGGCTCTGGCTGTATATCTTGGCAATTCTTTCAGGGGAACAACTTGTCCGCGAAAAGAACTGATAATAACGTGAATTTCAACACGACCAGGACATGCTGAAATCTGGTGACCGACCAGGGGGAAATAAACCCGCTCTGACTGGCCGCGGGGACTGGAGTTTGCTTACCACACAAGAGCCCTTCTCAGGATAAGAGGCTCCAGTAAAGCTCTCAGCAGAAATGTTACCAAAAAAAAAAAACCCTCGCCGGGAGAACAAGGAGCTACCAGAAAAACACACTCGGTGATCTGGAGGTCGCAAAGTTCTTCCGCACTCAGTGAGGCAAGAAGCAAAAAGGCTGAAGAAATGCTTATCCTGGAAGAGGGGTTCTCACCCGGGTTCTGTGGACATCGGAGCCGGATTGTTCTCTGGGGTGGGGTCGTCCTGGGCACTGCAGGCTGCTGAGCAGCGTCCCGGGCCTCCACCCACTCCATGCCAGGGGCACCCCCCAGTCGTGTAACCACAAATATCCCCAGACATTGCCCCAGATGAGTGAGGACAGAGGTGCAGGTGGGTGCAGGTGGGCACAGGTGGGTGCAGGTGCCCCGTGAACCCATCTCCATCTGCACCCTCTGCATCTCCAACCCCACCCCCAGCCCCAGTGTCTCCTAAGGGGTAGAAAGTCTTCAGTGCTGAATGTGAGAGACCCTGCCTTAATTTGAGGGAAAAAAAAGTAATCAAGTCTGTCCCCTGCTCACATCAGACACCACGACAAACTCCCAATGGAGCAGACGGTGTAAGACAGGGGGACCCCAGCTCCTGGGATTTGCCTCTTCTCTCCCTCCTCACTCGGAGTGTGGATTTCAGTGTGTGCAGCCTCCTGGAACCTCAGAGGTCCATATGATCATGGGACACACCTGAGACCCAGGAGGTCTCAACTTGGGGTGATTTTTTTTTTTTTTGAGACGGAGTCTCGCTGTATTGCCCAGGCTGTAGTGCAATGGTGCAATCTCGGCTCACTGCAACCTCTGCCTCCCAGGTTCAATTGATTCTCCTGCCTCAGCCTACGGAGTAGCTGGGATTGCAGGCGCCCGCCACCACACCCAGCTAATTTTTGTATTTTTAGTACAGAGGAGTTTTCACCATGTTGGCCAGGATGGTCTCGAACTCCTGACCTCAAGTGATCCGCCCACCTCAGCCTCCCAAAGTGCTGGGATTACAGGTGTGAGCCACCGTGCCTGGCCAACTTGGGGTGATTCTGTCCCCTAAGGGACACTGAGTGATATTTGGGGACATTTGTGGTTGTCACAACTGGCGGGTGCACCTGGCATGGAGTGGGTGGAGGCCCGGGACGCTGCTCAGCAGCCTGCAGTGCCCAGGACAGCCCCACCCCAGAGAAAAATGTGGCCCCAATGTCTACAGGAGCCAGGGGGAGAGAGACCCTGTGTTATTTGGAAAAAAACAGAGTCTGCTCTCTGCTCACACCGGACACCAGAATAAACTCCCAAAGGGGCAGACAGCATAAATCAGGGTAACTCCAGCTCCTGGGATTCACCTCCTCTCTCCCTCCCACTCAGGGGGTGGATGGAATTCTCCTCTGGCCAAACTGAACCAGCTCTCTACTGCCTTCACTCAGGGGCGCACGAGTCTCTAACTCACAGGCGAGGATCCAGGCCCTCTGCCCGCCAGGACAATGACCCCTCTCTGAGCTGGGGAGTGGCAGCCCCAGGTCCACAGCCAGTTCTCACCCTGAGGAGCATGACATCTGGGAGGGGGGATGACAGGCACCCCAGGGCCTGATGGTGGGGACAAGCCAGGGTCTGATTCCCATGGCAGGATGACCTGCACTCTCCCAGGGCCACCCAGCCCTCCAGGGATGCTTTATGCCTTCCATTCTCTGGTCCGAGCTCTGCTCTGGAGACACCTCTGTGCCCGAGTGTGAGGTGCATTCCCTGACTGCCTTAAGGCCACTCCTGGGGAGCAGAGCCAGTGCCTCCCGCCTCCTGCCACGCACAACACCCAGGGACCGCCTCTGGTTTTGGGCAGAGAGGCTCTGAGTGTGCCCACAGGGGCCCCTAGGGCAGGGGCCAACCATCTGGGTTTGCCTGGGACTTAGGGCTGTCAGTGTTGAACCAGGAAGGTATCAAGCAAACTGCAGTGGGGGTAGTGACAGAGCTTAAAGAGGGGCTCGGGGGTGACTGAAGACATCTGGGATACAGTCAGTATGCACTGCCTGCACCTCCATCCCCACCTGCACCCACCTGAACCCAACTACGCACACCTGCGCCCATCTGCACCTCCGTCCCCACTTGTGCCCACCTGCGCCCACCTGCACTTCCGTCCCCACCTGCACCTCTGTCCCCACCTGCACCTCCAACTCCACTTGTCCTCACCTGCACCCACCTGCACACCCACTGCACCCCCGTCCCTACCTGCACCCCCCGCATCTCCAGCCCCCTGCCGGCTCCAGGCCCGGGGCCAGGAAACTCCGTGGGCCTCCTCTGCCCCCTCGTGGCCGCCAGCGGTAACAGCAGCCCTCTGCAAATCGAGCTTCAGAGGCCCCAGGAACAGGCTCCCCCCGCCCCCGAGCCCGGCCCGTCTTTGCTGTTGTCGTTGTTGTTTTGCCCTGGGGCCTGCAGAAGGATAGGAGCAGGGGATCACGGTGCTGGTTTTGTCATCAGGACAGGCAGCCACGGCCCTCACTTGGCGGCGCACCTGCTCTCCTGGAGAGGCTGCCACCCAGAGGTCAGAGACCCCCGCAGGCGCCTGCACCCCTCACAGCCTCGCTCTCCTCCCCGTCCGTCCTTGTAGGGAGGTGAGTTTCCAAGCTTCCCACCCTGTGCCCGCAGGAGCCAAAGCCGCACTCGCCCAGCCCAGCGCCCAGCAAACAGGAGGTGCTCAATGAATGACTAGCAACATTATTAAAAGATCAGGAAAAGCCCGCATCCCACGCCACCCTTTGTAACAGAGAACCCCTTCAAGGTCAGCCGGCACCACACCTGCTCACCACTAATTCCGTCCCCTCTACTGGGGCCTCCCCTTGCGTGTGTGGACATCAGAGCCTGATGATTCTCTGGGGTGGGGCCGTCCTGGGCACCATAGGGTGCTGAGCAGCGTCCCTGGCCTCCATCCACTCCATGCCAGGAGCATCCCTCCATCATGACAATTACAGATGTCCCCTGGAGGCAGAATCACCCCTGGTTGAGACCCCCCGGGTTAGGGGATTCCACGGACCCCCAAGAGACTCCGCGTCCCATGATCCTCTGCCATGCTGAGGTCCCAGGAGGCTGCACACATTGAAATCCACACCCTGAGTTGGGAGGGAGAGAGGAGATGAATCCCAGGAGCTGGGGGTCCCCCTGATTTACACCATCTGCCCCATCGGGAGTTTATTCTGGTGTCCAGTGTGAGCAGGGACTGAAGTCAGTTTTGAAATAATGAATGGGCCGGGTGCGGTGGCTCACGCCTGTCACCCCAGCACTTTGGGAGGCCGAGGCAGGTGGATCACGAGGTCAGGAGTTCAAGACCAGCCTGGCTAACATGGTGAAACCCTGTCTCTACTAAATATACAAAAGTTAGCCGGGCGTGGTGGCATGCACCTGTAATCCCAGCTACTCGGGAGGCCGAGGCAGAGAATTACTTGAGCCTGGGAGGCAGAGGTTGCAGTGAGCTGAGATCATGCCACTGCACTCCAGCCTGGGTGACAGAGCGAGACTCTGTCAGAAAGAGAAAAGAAAAGAAAAGGGGAAGAGAAGGGGATGGGAAGGGAAAGGGGGAGGGGAAGGGGAAGGAGGGGAAGGGGAGGGGGAGGGGAGGGGGAGGGAAAGGGGAGGGGAAGGGGAGGGGAAGGGGAGGGGAGGGGAATGGAAGGGGAGGGGAGGGGAAGGGAAGAGGGAGGGGAGGAGAAGGGAAGGGGGAGGGGAGGGGAAGGGAAGGGAGAAAGAAAGAGTCTCTCCCTCCTGGGCACTGTAGACATTGGGGCTGGATGATTCTCTTGGATGGGGCCATGTTGAGCAGTGTCCCTGACCTCCAACCACTCATGCCAGGAGCACCCCCCAGTCGTGACAACCAGAGACATCCCTAGACATCTCCCAGCATCCCCTGGGGAGGGGAGGGGAGGGGAGGGTTGGGTCAGAATCACCCCTGCTTCCTCCGTGAGCCCCACTAGCATAGTTAAATTTCAAGTAGTTCAGAATTTAAGTGTAAAACATGCAATCGGAACAAAATACAGGTGATTTTTTTATAATCTTAAAATTTGGAAGAGATCCATAAAAAAAACAAAGGAGATGCTCATGTATAACAAACATTTAAAATCCTGGCCAGGTGCGGTGGCTCACACCTGTATCCCAGCATTTTGGGAGGCTGAGGCAGAAGGATCACTTGAGGTCAGGGGTTCGACACCAGCCTGGCCAACATGGTGAAACCCCATCTCTACTAAAAATACAAAAATTAGCTGGGCATGGTGGCGAACACCTGCAATCCCAGCTTGGGAGGCTGAGGCGGGAGAATCGCTTGAACCCGGAAGGAGGAGGTGGCAGTGAACCAAGATCGCGCCACTGCACTCCAGCCTGGACAACAGAGTGAGACTCTGTCAAAAAAAAAAAAAATTCCTCTTTGGCAAAACCCACCGTAAGCAAAGTCAAAAGACACGCTCAGGAAAATATTTGCAGAGTTCAAACAAACGTTTATAAACTGTTCAAACAAATCAATGCGCCTGAGACGCCGGAACAGAAAGGTCAGCAAAGACCCCAGCCTGGCAGCCCACAGAAGGATGCCCAGAGAACGGTCGGATTCACCGGCCACCAAGGACACCCAAACAAAACAAAGATGAGCGCCCCTACTTGCCAGCTTGGCAAAGATTTCACAGCTGCGGCTGGGAGGGTGGGGAACGAGCGCTCCAGGAAGGAATGGGGTGTTTCTGGAGGTTTTTGTGGCTGGATGTCAAATGTAGATGGCAGGCACAGAGCTCAGCAGCACATCCACTCGCAGGAATTTAACTTAAACCTCAACCATCCAAGGGGAGGGATTCAGGAAGGAAGGAGAGAGGGAGGGAGGCAGGGAGTGGGGGAGGAGGGGGGGAAGGGAGGGAAGGGAGAGAAGGAGGGAGGGAGGGGGAGGAAGGAGGGGGGAAGGGGGAAGAAGGGAGGGAAGGAGAGGGTAAGGGAGGGAAGGAGAGGGTAAGGGAGGGAGGGAGGGAAGGAGGGAGGGAAGGAAGGAAGGGGAGGGAGAAAGGAAGGAAGGAGGGAGGGAGAGAGGGAAGGAGGGAGGGAGAAAGGAAGGAGGGAGTGAAGGAAGAAAGGAAGGAGGGAGAGAGGAAGGAGGGAAGGAAGGAGGGGGGAGGGAGGGAAGGAAGAAAGAAGAGAGGGAGGGAAGGAGGGAGGGGGAGGGAGGAAGGGAGGGAAGGAAGAAAGGAAGGAAGGAGGGAGGGAGAGAGGGAAGGAGGGAGGGAGGAAGGAAGGAGGGAGGGAAGGAGGGAGGGAGGGGAGGAGGGAGGGAGGAGGGAGGGAAGGAAGCGGCAGAGGGAGGGAGATAGAGATAGGAAGGAAGGAGAGAGAAGGGGGAGAGGGAGGAAGGCGAGAGAAAGAGAGAGGGAGAAGGAAAGAAAGAGAGAGGAAGGAAGGAGAGAGAGAGGAAGAGAGAAAGAAAGACATCAAGAAAAAGAGAGACATTCCAAAAGCCCAGCTAGGGGGACCAGTTAAACACATTATAAAATCATTTTTAAAGTGATAAGTCACCACCCCCTATCACACAGAGTGCCTTAACGAGCGTCAAGAATGAGGGTGGATGTCGAGGTTTCTCGACAAGGAAAGATGCCCAGTGATGGGAATGAGGAATGAGAGAATAGAACCCTCCTTGTGTGAAATCTACAGGTGAATGTAATTCACGAAAATCCCAGCACAGGCTTGGCAAGATGCTGAGGCCCATCGGTGCTGGGCTGGGGAACTTAGGGGCTTGGCCTTCTTTGTACTTTTCTTCATTTTACCTTTTTAGCTGTTGCTTTTTTTGGAGACAGGGTCTTGCCCTGTTGCCCAGGCTGGAGTGCAGTGGTGTGATCTCGGCTCACTGCACCACTCGATCTCCTAGGCTCAAGTGATCCTCCTGCCTCAGCCTCCAGTGTAGCTGGGACCACAGGTACACACTGTAACACCCAGCTAATTGTTTAATTTTTTTGTAGAGATGGGGTCTTGCTATGTTGCCCAGGCTAGTCTCACACTCCTGGGCTCAAGCCATCCTCCCGCCTTGGCCTCCCAAAGTGCTGCGATGACAGGCGTGAGCCACCACACCCAGGCTCTCACCAAGTTCTGACGTCAATCAGGGATCAAAGGGCTTCAGGCCAAACTGCCATCCCTAAAATGACCTGCTTGAGAAACTTAAGTCTATGAAATGAAGGGGAGGCACTCCAGAAACTGGCAGATGGTCCCCAGAGGTGGTACAAGAAGAAGGGACTCGGGTCCCGCAGCTGACCCTCAGTGGCTCTTAGCCTCGAGAACTCAGCCCTGCGATGGCCAGAGTTGCGCCCGGCAGATCCCCACGGGGAGCCTCTTCCTCTCTCCTTGAGGTCACAGGCAGGTGAGTGACCAGGCAAGGGAGGAAGTCGGCTCTGCTCACCCCTCCAGCCCATTCCCCATGTCAGCAGAAGGAACAGCAGGCTCCCAGCGACAGCCCCATCCTAACCCCAGAAGCCGTGGACAGGTCAGCTCCATGTCAAAAGGGACCGCAGATGGGATGAAGTTAAGGATCGTGAGATAGGATAGCATCCGGGGTGATCTGGGGGCCCCAATGTCCTCATAGCGTCCTCAGGAGAAGAGGCAGGAGGGTGAGAGTCAAACAGAGACTGGAAGAGGCTTCACTGTGGCTGTGAAGGGGGAGGAGGGGGCCCCGAGCCAAGGGATGTGGGTGCCTCTAGACGCTGGGAAATGCGGGAACCAGATTTTCCCCTGGAGCCCCAAGGAGGGACTGGCCTGCCCACACCTTGATTTTCCATGATTTTAGCCCAGTGAGGCCTATGTTAGACTTCTTTTTTTTTTATTTTTTCTTTTTTTGAGATGGAGTCTCACTCTGTCGCCCAGGCTGGAGTGCAGTGGCGTGATCTTGGCTCTGCAACCTCCGCCTCCCGGGCTCAAGCGATTTTCCTGCCTCAGCCTCCTGAGTGGCTGGGACTACAGATGCACACCACCACACCTGGCTGGTTTTTTTTGTATTTTTAGTAGAGATGGGGTTTCACCATGTTAGCCAGGATGGTCTCAAACTCCTGACCTCAGGTGATCCGCCCACCTCGACCTCCCAAAGTGCTGGGATTACAGGAGTGAGCCACCGCGCCTGGCCCTACGTTAGACTTCTGAGCTTCAGCGCTGTCAGATAATAACTGTGTGGGAGAAGCCGTTCTACATCAGTAGTCACTTGTTACGTCTGGGGCAGGAGGTGCCTACATCCACCAGTGCCCAAAGAGGATCTAGCAGCTCCGATCCAGGCCCTCGGGGCTTAGTGGGCAGCCCCACCAGCCCACAGCCTGCCTGCCAGGGAGCTGTTCTCACAGACCCCCACCATGGGACACGTGTTTCTGGGACAGGTCATGGAGAACGATGACCCCATCACGGGCAGTCTTTCCAAAAGGGCCCACGGGAGATCAGAAATCGCAATGTTTCTTGCTGAGAATTGCCGTATCCTAGCTTGCAAACACTATTAGCTCCGCAGCTGCTAGCGTTTCCCTGTCGAAATGAATGGGGTTATTTGTTTCTGTTTTTTAGACAGGGTCTGGCTCTGTTGCCCAGGTTGGAGTGCAGTGGTGCAATCATAGCCCACTGCAGCCTCGACCTCCGGGGCTCAAGCGATCCTCCCACCTCAGCCTCTTCAGTAGCTGGGATTTCAGGTGTGCACCACCACGCCTGGCTAATTTCTGTATTTTTTGTAGAGATGGGGTTTCACCATGTTGCCTGGGCTGGTCTCAAACTCTCAGGCTCAAACGATCCTCCCCACTTCAGCCCCCCACTAGCAGGGACTACAGGTGCGTGCCACCATACCTGTCTAATTTTCTGTAGAGTTTAGGATATCGCTCTGTTGACCAGGCTGATCTCAAACTCCTGGGCTCAAGCCATCCTCCTGCCTTGGCCTCTCAAAGTGCTGGGATTACAGGCGTGAGCCATGGCGCCCGGCCAGAACTGAATGTTTGAAGAAGCCCAACACCAAACCTGTGGCAGCCCCAGGAAGCACCGGGAATGCATAGTCTGAGCCCTCTCCGGGCTCTGCACACCTTCCCGCCCTGCACCATGTGCACCGGAAATGCAGGAGACCTCTCCGGGCTCTGCACACCTTCTGGCCCTGCCGTCGGCACCCGAAATGCAAAGTCTGCGCCCTCTCCGGGCTCTACACACCTTCCCGCCCTGCACCATGTGCACCAGAAATGCAAAGTCTGAGCCCTCTCCGGGCTCTGCACACCTTTCCGCCTTGCGCCATTGGCACCGGAAATGCTAAGTCTGAGCCCTCTCCGGGCTCTGCACACCTTCCCACCCTGCACCATGTGCACCAGAAATGCAAAGTCGGAGACCTCTCCGGGCTCTGCACACCTTCCGGCCTTGCACTGTCCGCACTGGAAATGCAAAGTCTGAGCCTCTCCGGGCTCTGCACACCTTCCCGCCCTGCACCATGTGCACCGGAAATGCAAAGTCCGAGACCTCCCCGGACTCTGCACACCTTCCGGCCCGGCTCCGTCGGCACCGGAAATGCAAAGTCTGAGCCTCTCCGGGCTCTGCACACCTTCCGGCCCTGCACCATGTCCACTGGAAATGCAAAGTCCGAGACCTCTCCGGACTCTGCACACCTTCCGGCCCGGCTCCGTCGGCACCGGAAATGCAAAGTCTGAGCCTCTCCGGGCTCTGCACACCTTCCGGCCCTGCACCATGTCCACTGGAAATGCAAAGTCCGAGACCTCTCCGGACTCTGCACACCTTCCGGCCCGGCTCCGTCGGCACCGGAAATGCAAAGTCCGAGACCTCTCCGGGCTCTGCACACCTTCCAGCCCTGCGCCTCCTTTTTCGGGCTGAGCTTTTCTGTTGGTGTCACAGCTTCACTGGGGTGCAGTTACACACCCTGCGATGCACACTGGGCACGCTAATCTTCAAGCGCACATGGTTCTAAGGGTTGCCATTCATTTCTACAGCTATGCAACCATCAGCATAATCTCAATGGGACGCTGTCATCGACTCCCAGAGCTGCCCCGATCCCAACCCCCCAGCCTCCAGGCGACCTCTGATCTGTCACCTTTTCTAGAATTTTCCTGTAAGTGGAATTGTACAATATGAAGTCCTTTACATTTTTATGTTTGGCTTCATAAATAAATATTATACATATATTTTATATCTACACTTTTTGCATCTACACTTTATTTTATTTTATTATTTCTGAGATGGAGTCTCGCTCTGTCGCCCAGGCTGGAGTGCAGTGGCGCAATCTCAGCTCACTGCAACCTCCGTCTCCCGCGTTCAAGCAATCCTCCCACCTCAGCCCCCCAAGTAGCTGGGATTACAGGTGCCTAACACCACACCTGGCTAATTTTTGTATTTTTAGTAGAAACGGGGTTTCGCCATGTTGGCCAGGCTAGTCTCAAACTCCTGACCTCAGGTGATCCACCTGCCTTGGCCTCCCAAAGTGCTGGGATTACAGGTGTGAGCCACTGCACCCGGCCTACACTTTATATATATATATATATATATATATATATATATATATATATATATATATATATAATGCTCTATCTATACATGCATCATGTTATTGAGATGTAATTCATATGACATACAGTGCACCCATTTAAAATGCATAATTCTTTCTGAGTATTATCTGCGGCACCAAAAAGAAGAAAAAAATCATAAAATAAAAAGAAAACGCACAATTCAATGGCATTTAGTACATTCAGAGTCCTGCAACCATCACCACTAATTCCAGAACATTCTAATTATGCCAAGAAGAAGAAACCCATCAACCATCACTTCCCATGCCCCTCCCAGTCTCGGCACCCACGCATCCCCTCCCTGCCTCTGTGGATCGGCCCGTCCTGAACCTTTTGTAGAAAGGGGATCACATGCTGTGTGGCCTTTTGTGTCTGGCATCTCTTACTGAGCGTGACGTCCTCAAGGTACATCCACACTGTGGCCTGTGTCAAAGCTTCATTCCTTTTCATGGCTGAGTAACACTCCATGGTGTGGATGGAGGATGTTCTGCTGATCCATTCACCCATTGATGGACATTTGGAGTCTTTGCCTTATTGCTAAATTTGAACATATTCTTGACTTTTGAGTACATCTGTTTCTGAATTACCTCTCATGACCATTGACTACTAAGGATGAGACCAAAATGATTTATACTGGGCTTAGCTAAAATATGCATTTTTAAGGTACACATTACATGCCATAAAATTCAAGTGAAGTGTACTGCTCAAAGATACTTCAGGGCCGGGTGCAATGGTACGCACCTGTAATCCTGGCACTTTGGGAAGTCAAAGCAGGAAGATCACTTGAGCCACGGAGTTCAAGACCAGCCTGGGCAACAAAGCAAACCCTAACTCTTTTCTGTTTTTCTTTCTTTCTTTCTTTTCTCTCTCTCTCTCTCTTTTTTTTTTTTTTAGAAGGAGTTTCGCTCTGTCACCCAGGCTGGAGCGCAGTGGCATGATCTTGGCTCACTGCAACCACCATCTCCCAGGCTCAAGTGATTCTCGCACCTCAGCCTCCCGAGTAGCTTGGACTCTAGGCACCTGCCACCACGCCTGGCTGATTTTCCTATTTTTAGTAGAGATGGGGTTTCACCATGTTGGTCAGGCTGGTCTGGAACTCCTGACCTCAGGTGATCCACCCATCTCGGCCTCCCAAAGTGCTGGGATTACAGGCATGAGCCACCATGCCTGGCCAAAACCCTAACTCTTAAAAAAAAATTTTGTTTTAAGATTTTTAAGTAAGTTCACCAGGTTGCGGTCACCCCGACCCGACCATCGGGTCCATTTCCACGTCCCTGGCAAGTCTCTGGTGCACATTCATGTCCCCAGCCTCCAATCACCACGAGTCCCTTTCTGTCCCTATGGCTTTGCCTTTTCTGGACATTTCTGCCTTCCTTTCTACTTATTTTTAAATGGTTTCCTCTTCCTACATTTTAAAAGCCACTCATGATTCTCTAGGGAGAAAAACGAGGAGTAAATCAACAGAGGAGAGCTAAAGGGCCAGCGACGGGTCACTCTCCAGGTGCACAGGAGATACGGGTGAAGGCTCCTTAAAACTCCCTACCATGGCACGAAGACACCGGAAAGGCATGCAGCACCGCTGTGGGCTTCCCACCCTGACCCCATCCAGGGGCTCCGGCACCAGCAGGACCAGTGAGTGCCACGTTCCCTGCCTCGTGGGCGGGAAACTCTGCCAGGAGCTAGCAGCTGTTACCCACACCTGCTCCCCATTACCCATACTTGGTGGATACAAACAGCCGACAGACCCAGGTCAAGGCCAAGACGCCCGCCTTGACGGCAACCCCACGTCTTACATCCAGGGTGCAAAACAGCCAACTGAACCTCAAATCATAACAAAGAAATGCATTACAGCACCGACCTGTGCAGGAGGTCTCGCCGTCTGCAGCACCGAGATCCCGAAACCAAGCTCCACTCCCTGGAAAAAACACATAGAGTTAGTTTGGCGTGGCTTGGCTGGAGGCACCATGCATGTGTTGATGGGGTCAGCATTGGAGAACGGCCTCGCGCTTGTGATTGGACAAGGACAGAAATCATTTTGGCAACCAGGCGCGGTGGCTTAGGCCTGTAATCCCAGCACTTTGGGAGGCCAAGGCAGGTGGATCATGAGGTCAGAAGTTCGAGACCAGCCTGGCCAACATGGCAAAATCCCGTCTCTACTAAAAATATAAAAATTAGCCAACGTGGTGGTGGGTGCCTGTAGTCCCAGCTACTTAGGAGGCTGAGGCAGGAGAATCCCTTGAACCCGGGAGGCAGAGGGTGCAGTGAGCTGAGATCGAGCCACTGTCCTCCAGCCTGGGCAACAGGGCAAGACTCTGCTTCAAAAAAAAAAATAATAGAAAAGGAAAAAAGCAGAAGACAATTCACTGAAAATATTTATTATTAGAGATTTATGACGTTATTCCTAATACATTTTCCACGTGTTTGAAAACTGAACTGAGTGCAAGGATTGATGTTTCTACGGCTCTTCACAGTTTATCAAAAACATCTCTGTACATCTTTGGAGCCTCACGATCTCCCTGGGAGGAAGAAGAAGGGGCTGAGTTAGTCCCACGGTGCCCAGAAGGCACCCAACGTATCCAGGTCTGCCCAGGACTTTTCCAGAGTTAGCCTGAAAGTCCTGCATCCTGGGAAGTCCCTCAGCCCCAGCTCAGCTGGTACGGGCAGTCTCTGAGCAGAACCAGGCTGGCACCACATGCCTGAGGCTGCGACCAGGAACTCCCCACCTCGGGGGACTCGGGGGGACCCTGCCACCATCACTGACAGGACAAGCTCCAGGGCCAAAGCTGTTCCTGCAAACACCGTGGTTTATATGAAATCCTTGCCTCCCTCTGGAGCCTGGAATCCTGGCATGGGTCAGGCAGCAGGGGCAGCAGAACCAGCCCCCATAGGAACGTGGGTGCTGGGTCTCTGGGAGCCTCGCTGGTGACAGTGCTTTGGGCTGTTGTCCCAGCTCGCTGCTGGGGATGTGGCGTGTCCCGCGTGACACATGGGGAGAGGGCCTGGAAGCTGGGCCTAGAAGCCGGGCCTGGCCTCCCCGACCCACCCCACGAGCCTTTCCCTTCCCAAACTCTGCTCTGTGCTCCATGTCCTCTTGCTGGGACAAACCACAGTCACAAGGAGGCCTCATGCGGAGTCCAGGGTCCTCCCAGCGAGTCGCCCCATCTCTACAAAATGACCCCATCTTGACAAAAAAAATTTAAAAATTAGGAGGGTGTAGTGGTGCCCGCCTGTGACCCCAGCTACTCGAGAGGCTGAGATGGGAGGATCGCTTGATCCTGGGAGATCAAGGTTGCTGTGAGCTAGGATTGCACCACTGCACTCCAGCCTAGGCAACAGAGTGCAATCCTGTCTGAGAAAAAATAAAAATAAATGCCACATGGGGCCAGGCACGGTGGCTCACACCTGTAATCCCATCACTTTGGGGGGCCGAGGTGGGAGGATCACCTGAGGTCACGAGTTCGAGACCAGCCGGGTCAACATGTTGAAATCCTGTCTCTACTAAAAATACAAAAATTAGCCAGGTGTGGTGGTGGGCGCCCGTAATCCCAGCTACTTGGGAGGCTGAGGCAGGAGAATCGTTTGAACCCGGGAGGCGGAGGTTGCAGTGAGCTGAGATCATGCCACTGCACTCTAGCCTGGGTGACAGAACGAGACCCTGTCTCAAAAAAAAAAAAAAAAAAAAAAGCCACTTGGGATCCAGGATAGGATCCTAAAACAGAAAAAGGACATTAGAAGAAAAAAACCGTGAAACTGGGATAAAGAGTGAAATTTAGCTTATAGAAATGTACCCACATGGGCTTCTTGGTGGTCACAAGTATATGGTCCAGCCTGGGCAACATAGCAAGACCCCATCTGCCATCTCTATAAAAACAATGTAAAAATTAGCTGGGCATGGTGGTGCAAACCTGTAGTCCCAGCTACTTGGGAGGCCGAGGCAGGAGGATCACTTGAGCCCAGGAGGTCGAGGCTGCAGTGATCTGCGATTGTGCCACTGCACTCCAGCCTGGGCAACAGAGCACGGCACTGTCTCAAAAACAGACCAACCCCAAATGCATGGTGACTTCATAAGATGCTAACATAAGGGAAAACTGGTGAGAGGTAGACAGGAAATCTCTGGATTTCTTTGCAACTCTTCTGAAAATCTAAAATTAAAAGTTCATTTAAAAAAAATGCAGACTTTTTAAAATGCTAGTTTCCGTTCTACGAGCTCAGGGTAATTTACCATCAATAAAAGGTAGGGATAGGGAGCTGAAATCCTCACTGTCACCTGCAGGTGGTGCCCTTGCCACAGGAATGCCCTGGCACCCTTGGGCTCTGGCAGCAGCTGGAATCTTGCAGGATCTGCTACACCAGGGCCTGCCACTCAGGACAGCAGCAGCTCAGGGCAGCAGGGATGAGTGATGAAAGGGCTGGAGCGGCATGCCCACGGGGCTGCAGGAGGCCCAGACTCCTGCCCTCCACCTTGCAGGGCAGCTATGAACATAATCCTTCAACTCTGAATCATGTGTTTTTTTTTTTGTTTTTTGTTTTTTGTTTTTTTTGAGACAGGGCCTCACTCTATTGCCCAGGCTGGAGTGCAATGGTGTAATCACAGCTCACTGCAGCCTCCACCTCCTGGGCTCAAGCGATCCTCCTTCCTCAGCCTCCTGAGGAGCTGGGCCTACAGGTGGGCATCACTGTTGTAGTTTTTATGTTCTGGGAAGGGGGAAGGAATGTGCTTAATTTGTGGGCTAATTTTTAATTTTTTAAAAATAGAGACAGGGTCTTTGCTATGTTATCCAGCCTGGTCTTGAACTCCTGGGCTCAAGTGATCCTCTCACCACCTTGTCCTCTGAAAGGGCTGGGATTACAGGTGTAGCCATTTCACCTGGACAACCTTAAATTACTGAATGAATTTGAAGTGGTCTGGTGCGCCCTTCAACTCACTACCCTGCCAGCGACACCGTACACAACTAGGGCACATCTTATCAAAACCAGCAAACTGAGAGAGGCGGATACATTCAGTGTAGACGCTCACCCCTAGGAATTATTATTATTATTATTACTTTTTGAGACGGAGTCTTGCTCTGTCACCCAGGCTGGAGTGCGATCTCAGCTCACTGCAAGCTCCACCTCCCAGGTTCAAGCAATTCTCCTGCCTCAGCCTCCTGAGTAGCTGGGATTACAGGCACCTACCACCACCCCCGGCTAATTTTTGTATTTTTAGTAGAGACGGGGTTTCACCATGTTGGTCAGGCTGGTCTTGAGCCCCTGACCTCATGATCCACCCGCCTCAGCCTCCCAAAGTGCTGGGATTACAGGCGTGAGCCACCGCGCCCAGCCAGGAATCATTATTTTTAAACAGCCTTATTGTGAACTAACGCCTGTACCATACAACTCGCCCACTTGAAGTGTATAATTCATTGTTTTCAGTATATTTGCAAAACTGGCCAACCATCACCTTTATGTAGTTCCAGAACATTCTCATCACCCTACAAAGAAGCCCCCTCGCCATCAGCCCCCGATCCCCAGCCCCGGCCCCCACGCACACCCTCCCTGACTCTGCGGATGGGTCTGTCCTGGACATTTCATAGAAATGGGGTCACACACTGTGTGGCCTTTTGTGTCTGGTGTCTCTCACTGAGTGTGACGTCCTCAAGGTGCATCCATGCTGTGACCTGTGTCAAAGACTCGCTCCTTTCCATGGCTGAGTCTTACTCCTCCTGAGTATGGAAGGACGTGTTTTTTAAATCCATTCACCGGCGGATGGACAATCGGCTCGTTCCTTCTTGTTGGCAATTGTGAATCTGCTGCTGTGAATATTCGTGTCATAGGAATCTTTTTTTTTTTTTTTTTTGAGACAGAGTCTCGTTCTATCCCCCAGGCTGGAGTGCAGTGGGGCACGATCTCGGCTCACGGCAACCTCCACCTCCCGAGTTCAAGCGATTCTCCTGCCTCAGCCTCCAGAGTAACTGGGATTTCAGGTACCCACCACCATGCCTGGCTAGCTTTTTTTGTATTTTTAGTAGAGACGGGGTTTCCTCATGTTGGCCAGGCTGGTCTTGAACTCCTGACCTCAGGTGATCCGCCAGCCTTGGCCTCCCGAAGTTGTTGGGATTACAGGCAACAATGATTCCCAGCCCTAGGAATCATTTTTAAGATGAGTTCTCACTCTCTGCCTTCACTGCAAACCTCCCTGTCCCCAGCCCTTTAACCCCAGCCCCTGGCTGTCCTCAAGACCTTGGACTTGGCAGTGAGGCGATCCCTGCGGATGCCCCTTGGTCTGCACTCGGCCTCAGAGCAGCTTGGGTCAGAGGCGAGCACAGCGTGGGTGAAGCCGCATCCCAGCCGCTCTGTCCTCGGGCCTTGAGCCGCACCAGCTGGCGCCAGGCTGTCCCCCAGCGACCTTCAGCGGCTCACTCAGCCTGACAGAAACGCTGTGTTTTCATGTTCCCTGTGTGGACAAATCACAATCGACCCGGGCGGCCAGCAGTGGAGACAAGGAGGAGAGACCTCTCCGCGGGGGTTAGGTCCCCTCAGAAACTGCCGAGCTGGGGCAACACGAACCGCTGGGACCTCCTGTTCATAAATTAGTATGGATTTCAAGGCGCCAATAGCCCGGCTTTAAACCCAGCTCAGGGCCCTGGGCACCTATGGGCAGCTGGCCCTTCCACCCAGCAGGCAGGCAAGTCTCAGACACAGGCAAGAAACACTCCAGGTAGCAGGTGCCGAATGTCAGCAGGGAGAGATCAGTCCCCCTTGGGACACAGAGGCCATGGACAGTGGTGGTGGTCAGGGGACCTCGTGTACGAAGGGCTGCCACCGCCTCCCGGCCCTCCCCACTGTGTCCTGGAGGCACTTCTCCAGATCTCTGTCCGACTTCCTTCCTTCCTTCCTTCCTTTCCTTCCTTCCTTCCTTCCTTCCTTCCCTCCCTCCCTCCATCCCTCCCTCCCTACCTTCCCTCCATCCCTCCCTCCCTCCCTCCCTACCTTCCCTCCATCCCTCCCTCCCTCCCTTCCCTCCATCCCTCCCTCCCTCCCTTCCCTCCATCCCTCCCTCCCTCCTTCCCTCCTTCCTTTCTTCCTCCCTCCCTCCTGCCTTCCTTTCCTCCCTCTCTTTCTCTTTTTCTTTCTCTCTCTTACTCTCTTTCTGTCTTCCTTTGTCTCTCTCTTTCCTTCTTTCTTCTTTCTCTTTCTTTTCTCTCTCCCTTTCTCTCTCTCTCTCTCTCTCTTTTTTTTTTAAGACAGTCTCACTCTGTCACCCAGGCTGGAGTGCAGTGGTGCCATCTCAGCTCATTGCAACCTCCACCTCTCAGGTTTAAGAGATTCTCCTGCCTCAACCTCCCAAGTAGCTGGGATTACAGGTGCCCATCACCACGCCCAGCTAATTTTTGTAGTTTTTGTAGAGATGGTGTTATGCCATATTGGCCAGGCTGGTCTTGAATTCCTGGGCTCAGGCAATCCACCTGCTTCGGCCTCCCAAAGTGCTGGGATGACACGCATGAGCCACCGTGCCTGACCAATTTCTTTCTTTAAAAAATTAAAATAGGCCGGGTGCAGTGGCTCATGCCTGTTATCCCAGCACTTTGGGAGGCCAAGGCAGGCAGATCACCTGAGGTCAGGAGTTCAAGACCAGCCTGGGCAACACAGTGAAACCCCGTCTGTACTAAAAATACAAAAATTAGCCAGGTCTGGTGGCAGGCGCCTGTAATGCCAGCTACTCGGGAGGCTGAGATGGGAGAATCGCTTGAACCCGGGAGACAGTGGTTGCAGTGAGCCAAGATCGCACTACTGCACTCTAGCCTGGACGGCTAAGCGAGACTCCGTCTCAAAAAAAAAAAATTAAAATATTCGCATGCCATAAAATTCCCCCTTGTAGAACCTGGAGAATACGATGCCAAGTGAAATAGGCCAGACGCTGAGAGAGAAAAACACTGCGTAATCCCACGTATTGTGGAGTCCAAAAACAAAACAAGCAAAGAACCCCAAATACAGCCAGGCACGGTGGCTCATGCCTGTAATCCCAGCGCTTTGGGAGGCCGAGGCGGGTAAATCACCTGAGGTTGGGAGTTCAAGACCAGCCTGGCTAACATGGTGAAAGCCCGTCTCTACTAAAAATATAAAATTAGCCGGGCGTGGTGGTGCATGCCTGTAATCCCAGCTACTCAGGAGGCTGAGGCAGGAGAATCGCTTGAACCCGAGAGGCAGAGGTTGCAGTGAGCTGGGATCGTGCCACCTGCACTCCAGCCTGGGGAACAGAGCGAGACTCCATCTCAAAACAAACACACAATCAAAACCTCCCAAATACATAGAAACAGAAAGCAGAAGAGCGGTTAGTGGTAGAGGAGGGAAAGGAAGGGGGAGATGGGGGTCAGAGGATACATAGTTTCAGCTGTGTTGGAAACACTGAGAGATGTCACTGTAGCCTGTGAACCAGCTAAAGATATTGTACTATGGGCTGGGCACAAGGGCTCATGCCTGTAATCCTAGTGCTTTGGGAGGTTGAGGTGGGAGGATTGCTGAAGGCCAGAAGTTTGCAACCAGCCTGGGCAACATAGCAAGACCCTAGGCCAGAAGTTTGCAACCAGCCTGGGCAACATAGCAAGACCCTATCTCTACAAAAAATTTAAAAATTTGCTGGGCATGGTGGCTCCAGGGATCACGTGAGCCCAGAAGGCAGAGGCTGCAGTGAACCGAGATCACACCACTGCACTCCAGCCCGGGCAACAGAGCAAGACTCTGACTCAAATAAATAAATCAAAATAAAATAAAATAAATAATAGAAACTGAAAACAAAAACCAGGCCTCACCCACAGTGTCGAAGGCATGCATCTTCTAGGGTTATTAAGGTGCTGGTTGTTATTTTTGCTTGTAATTCTGAAAAGGCTGATAGATTTTATAGCCCAGTATCTCCAAGCAGCGCCCAAGGACACAAACAGCCAGACCCTCAGCTCCCAAACCTGGGGATTTGCAACAGACAAACACAGAGCTGGGAAATTCCGCAGCAGGGCAGATGAGGGATCGATCTGAGTCCCATGATCCTCGGCCCTGCTGAGGTCCCAGGAGGCTGCACACATTGAAATCCACATCCTGAGTGGGGCGGAGGGAGGAGGAGAATCCCAGGAGCTGGGGGGCCCCCCTGGTTTATACCGTCTTCCCCATCAGGAGTTTATCCTGGTGTCTGGAGTGAGAAGGGATCGAAGTCTATTTTTTTCCAGATGAATGTAGGGTCTCCCCCTCGGCACTGTGGGCATTGGGGCCGGATCATTCTCTGGGGTGGGGCTGTCCTGGGCACTGCGGGGAGCTGAGCAGCGTCCCTGGCCTCCACCCACCCCATGCCAGGGGCATCCCCCATCTAGAGCTGTTCCGTTGCCTTGAATTTCTGCCCTCTGGCCTCCCCTGTCCTCATCCTTATGGGATCTTCAGATGGTGCCCTTGAGGCCCAGGGCCCGTGTCCCCTCCTCACTCAGCCCTCCTATCCACAGGTGACTCACAGTCCCCTTGGCACCACCCAGGCGCTGTCCCTGGCCTCGCCCATGGCTAACCTTGGCAGGCATCCCCAACAGAGGCGAGGGGACAGCTCTCGCCTGCCTCGGCGAGCCCGGGTTCCAGAAGATGTGCCCAGCACCCTGGGCCCCCCACCGCCGGGTCTGGGACACAGATGCTCTCCTCCAAACCTCCCATTCAGACCCTCGCTGTGGCGGGGGCGGGGCCGTGTCTTTTGAGACTCTGCATATGCACGAGGGGGTGAGTTTGAGTGAGGCGGTCTCCATGCAGAGGAAGGTCTTTATTTAGGAAGCCAGGTGGGGGCGGGGCCGGCTGGGGAGGAGAGGCGGAGAGGAAAGACGAGCTTCTGCAGATTTCAAACCTGTCATTTCTTTTCTGACGCATACCCTCCCCTCCCGCTTCATGACAAGCTCTGTTCCCACCTTCCCCGGGTTCCCAGAGCAGCCTCCTAGACACGATCCGAAACAGCACGGGTCCCCCTCCCAACCCCCAGGCACTATGGACATTAGAGCTGGGTCACTCTCTGGGGTGGGGCCATCCTGGGCACTGCAGGGAGCTGAACAGCATCCCTGGCCTCCACCCACTCTATGCCAGGAGCACCCCCAGTCACGACAGTCACAGATGTCCCCAGACATTGCCTGATGTCCCCTGGGGAACAGAATCATCCCCAGAAAGACCTCCTCAGTTAGGGGGTTCCACAGATCCCCAAGAGACTGTGTCCCATGATCCTCCCCCTTGCTGAGGTCCCAGGAGGCTGCACACATTGAAATCCACACCCTGAGTGGGGGGAGGGAGAGAGGAGGAGAATCCCGGGAACTGGAGTCCCCTAGTTTATGTTGTCTGCCCCATTGGGAGCTTATTCTGGTGTCTGTTGTGAGCAGAGACGCAATTCAATTATTTTTTTCGAAATAATGAATGCAGGGTCTCCCCCCTCTGCACTGTGGACATTGGGGCTGGACCATTCTCTGGGCTGGGGCCATCCTGGGCACTGCAGGGTGCTAAGCAGCATCCCTGGCCTCCACCCACTCCATGCCAGGGGCACCCCCGAGTTGTGACAACCACAGATGTCCCCAGACATTGTCCAGTGTCCCCTGGGAGGCAGAGGCAGGAGGACTGATTGAGCTCAAGAGTTCAAGACCAGCCTGGACCACATAGCAAGACCCCATCTCTACAAAAAAAATTTTAAAACATAGCCAGGTGTGGTGGTCTGCACCTGTGATCCCAGTTACTCAGGAGGCTGAGATGGGAGGATTGCTGAGTCTGGGAGGTCGAGGCTACAGTGAGCTGAGATCACACCACTGCACTCCAGGCTGGGTGACAGAGCAAGACTCTGTCTCAAAAAAAAAAAAAAAAACCACACACACACAAAAACAAAAAGAGACCCTATCTCAAAAAAAAGAGGGGGTTAAATAATCTGACTAGATACCTCTCAAATAAAGACACGCAGGCAGCCAACAGGATTATGAAAAAACGCTGAAGATCATTAATCAGCCAGGAAATGCAAATTAAAACCAAAATGAGATACCTGTTAGAATGGCTATGATCCAAAAGATAAAAGATAAAAAACATTAGTAAAGATGGCCGGGTGCGGTGGCTCATATCTGTCATCCCAGCACTTTGGGAGGATGAGGCAGGCAGATCACGAGTTCGAGACCAGCCTGGCCAACATGGTGAAACTCTGTCTCTACTAAAAATATAAAAATTAGGCCGGGTGCGGTGGCTCATGCCTGTAATCTTAGCACTTTGGGAGGCTGAGGTGGGCGGCTCACAAGGTCAGGAGATGGAGACCATCCTGGCTAACACAGTGAAACTTTGTCTCTACTAAAAATACAAAAAAATTAGCCGGGCGTGGTGGCGGGCGCCTGTAGTCCCAGCTACTCGGGAGCCTGAGGCAAGAGAATGGCGTGAACCCGGGAGGTGGAGCTTGCAGTGAGTCGAGATCGCGCCACTGCACTCCAGCCTGGGTGACGGAGAGAGGCTCCGTCTGAAAAAAAAAAAAAAAAAAAAAATACATATATATATAAATTAGCCAGGCGTGGTGGTGGGCACCTGTAATCTCAGCTGCTTGGAGACTGAGGCAGGAGAATCACTTGAACCTGGGAGGCAGAGGTTGCAGTGAGCCAGGATCGTGCCACTGCACTCCAGCCCGGGTGACAGAGTGAGACTCCGATTCAAAACAAAAAAAAAAAAAAGAAAGAAAGAAAAAAAAAAGAAACATTGGTAAGGATGTGGAGAAAAGGGAACCCTGTGTGCTGTTGGTGGGAATGTAAATGAGCACAGCCATTCTGGAGAACGGAATGGAAGTTCCTCAAAAAATTAAAGATAGAACCACCATATGATCCAGTAATCCCACTTCTGGGTATACATCCAAAGGAAATGAAATCAGAATCTGTCAGCCTCATTCACAATAGCCGAGATAGGAAACCAACCTACATGTCCATCGTTGGATGAATGGATACAGAAAATGTGAGGCCGGGTGCGGTGGCTCACGCCTGTCATCCCAGCACTTTGGGAGGCCAAGGCAGGCGGATCACAAGGTTAGGAGTTCAAGACCAGCCTGGCCAACATGGCGAAACCCTGTCTCTACTAAAAATACAAAAATTAGCCGGGCATGGTGGTGCACGCCTGTAGTCCCAGCTACTCAGGAGGCTGAGGCAGGAGAAGCTTGAACCCAGGAGGCGGGGGTTGCAGTGCGCCAAGATCACGCCACTGCACTCCAGCCTGAGTGACAGAGTGAGGCTCCATCAAAAAAAGAGAAAGAAAGATGAACTAGACCAGAGGTTGGTAAACTCTGGCCCATGGGTCAAATGCAGCCCACTGCTTGCTTTTGTACATAAAGTTTTATTGGCACACAGCCGTGCGTGTTCACTTACATATCATCCATGGCTGCTTCTGGGCTCCTACAGCACAGCTGGGAGGCCTCGACAGAGAGCACATGGCCTGCAACGCCAAGAATTTACCTCCGGCCCTTTAGGAAGGGTTGATATAATCCGTGTACTAGAGTTAGATCTCAGAGGACCTTGAATGCCAGAAACGAGTAAGTCCTAATGATTTTTAGCAAAGAGTAACACTGTAAAACCAAATGTTTACAGATTTCATGTGCTGGAATCCTCTGGGGGTGGGGCAGCGGAGAGGCCTTAAAACATGAAACAGCGTCAGATCAATTTTCAATGATTGTCTTCAAAATTAAAACTGGCTCATTACAGGCGCGGTGGCTCATGCCTGTAATCCCAGCCCTTTGGGAGGTCTAGGAGGACAGATTTCTTGAGCCCAAGAGTTCGAGACCAGCCTGGGCAACATGGTGAAACCCGGTCTCTACTAAAAATACAAAAATTAGTTGGGTCTGGTGGTGCACACCTGTAGTTCCAGCTACTGGGGAGGCTGAAGCAGGAGGATGTCTTGAGCCTAGGAGTTCGAAGCTGCAGTGAGCTGAAATGGTGCCACTGCACTTCACCCTGGGTGACAAAGCAAGACCCCGTCTCAATTAAAAAAAAAAAAAAAAAAAAAAAAATATATATATATATATATATATATATATATATATATATACACATAATAACATTTATCCTAAAAAGAGAAACAGTACAAAGGCACTCAGAGCTGAAACTCAAAGTCGTCTGCCAGTCTCTAACTCCTGACTTTTGGGTTTCATGTCCTGCTTTATAGGACTTTTTGAATTCTGCCCCCAAGGATCCTTTTCAAAAATCTTTTGTTTCAGCCAGGCACAGGGGCTTGTGCCTGTAATCCCAGCTACTGGAGAGGCTGAGGCAGGAGGATCATTTGGAGCCAGGAGAGCTGGAGACCAGCCTGGGCAACATAGCAAGACACCATCTTTTAAAAAAATTTTGTTTCTGTTTTGGAAAAATTTTCGATTTACAGAAAAGTTGCAAATCTAGTCCAACGTTCCCTATGGGCAGCAGGCAACCTAGGTACCGAGGCAAGAGACTGAGGGCACGAGCTGCCTGGCTCTGCCTTCGAGATAGCAGTAACAGAATTAGTGAAAGTACTAAAAGTCTCTGAAATGCGGAAATAATGGCGTAAGCTGTCTCCTCTCTCTCTCTCTCTCTTTGCCTCGGCTGCCAAACAGGGAAGGGCCCCATGTCCAGTGGACACATGACCTTACCTATCATTGGAGATGGCTCATACTCCTTACCCTGCCCCCTTGTCTTGTATCCAATAAATAACAGTGCAGCCTGGCATTTGGGGCCACTACCGGTCTTCATGTCTTGGTGGTAGTGGTCCCCCGGGCCCAGCTGTCTTTTCTTTTACCTCTTTGTCTTGTGTCTTTATTTCTACGATCTCTCGTCTCCACACACGGGGAGAAAAACCCACAGACCCTATAGGGCTGGACCCTACAGTTCTCAAACGCCCCTCACCCAGTTTCCCCTCATGTTAGTATCTTACATCTGGGGTCTGCAAATTTTTTCTGCAAAGGGACAAAAAGTAAGTATTTTATGCTCTGTGAGCTAAAGGGTCACTGTTGCATATTCCTCTTTGTTATTTGTTTTTTTACAACACTTTTAAAATGGAAAAGGCTTTTTAGCCCCGAGCTTTATAAAAATAAGCCAAGTATAAACAAAACGTGGTACATCCCCCGAAACCAAAATGTACCCCCGTGTTCACAGCAGCACGATTCACCACACCCCAAAGGCAGAGACACCCAAGTGACCACCGAGAGATGAATGGATAAACACAATGTCATCCATTATGCCACGGAATATGATTCAGCCTGAAAAAGGAAGGAAATTTTGACATGGGCTAGAGAGTGGATGAACTTTGAGGGCATCACGCCCAGTGAAATGAGCCAGATGCAAAAGGACAAATCCTGTGTAACTCCACGCTTAGGAGGTCCCTAGAGAGTGAGCCACACCAAATGTAAACTGTAGCTGTTAGTCAATAATCATGTATCCACTGGCTCATTAGTTGTAACAAATGTAGCACATTAATGAGAGAGGGTAACATTGGGGGAAATGCGTACCTTTTCGGGGAGAGGAGATAGGTGGGAACTCTGCCTTCTGCTCAATTCTTCTTTAGGCCTAAAACTGCTCTAAAAATAGTCTATTAAAAGGGGGACTTGAAGAGACAAATTGTGAGAGTTGTATCACGAACCAAGCGTTCTGATTTTTTTTTTTTTTTGAAATGGAGTCTCGCTCTGTCACCCAGGCTGGAGGGCAGTGGCACAATCTCGGCTCACTGCAAGCTCCACCTCCCGGGTTCATGCCATTCTCCTGCCTCAGCCTCCCGAGTAGCTGGGACTACAGGCGCCCGCCACCACACCTGGCTAATTTTTTGTATTTTTAGTAGAGACGAGGTTTCACCGGGTTAGCCAGGATGGTCTCAATCTCCTGACCTCGTGATCCGCCCACCTTGGCCTCCCAAAGTCCTGGGATGACAGACGTGAGCCACTGCGCCTGGCCTTGATTTTTTTTAAATAAAGGAGAGGAGGGCCGGGCGCGGTGGCTCACGTCTGTCATCCCAGCACTTTGAGAGGCTGAGATGGGGGGATCACCTGAGGTCAGGAGTTTGACAGGAGTTTGAGACCAGCCTGGCCAACATGGCAAAACTCCATCTCTACTAAAAATACAAAAATTAGCCAGGCATGGTGGCACTTGCCTGTAATCCCAGCTACTTGGGAAGCTGAGGCAGGAGAATCGCTTGGACCTGGGAGGCGGAGGTTGCAGTGAGCTGAGATCACGCCACTACACTCCAGCCTGGGAAATAGAGGAGTGAGACTCCATCTTAAAAAAAAAAAAAAAAAAAGAGAGGAGGGGAGGGAAAGAGGGAGGGAAGGAAAGAGGAAGGGAGAGGAAGAGGGAGAAAGGGTGGGAGAGAGAGGAAAACAGAGTGAGAGGGAGGGAGAGAGGAAGGGAAGGGGAATGAGTGTGAGCGAGGGAGGGATGGAGGAAGGAAGGAAGGGAGGGAGGGAGGGAGGGATGAGGGAAGGAAGAGGAAAGGAGAGACACCCACTTTAGACAACATGATCCGTAAGCACTGACATTTATGACTGGATCCCCTTCCACAAGCTTCCTGAATAAGCCCCAGAGAGAAGACTGGTCAGTCTTGGCCAAATGGATTTTCTGCTTTCCCCCGAGCCCCTGTGAGTATCATCACAATGTAATACCATGAGGATCAAAATCTCCTGGCCACTTAAGCCTGGATTAACCCACACCAGAGCCATCCTCCTCACCGAGGGGCCATGGCGGCGAGCGGATCACACAGCAGTCCTCATGGAATCCGTCCCAATTAGCCTCTGTCGGATTACTCACAGAACCTGCCATCCGTGGAAGGCAGATTAGCCTAGGATGCATGTGTAAATCCCATTTGGTGAACGAAAGCATATTCTGGAGATGATTAGCTTATTTCTGCAAGATGGCATCAAGTGGGAGATAACACATCTTCATCCCCGTTACACCCACAAGGCTCTGTGTAATTCTCCCTGAGCCTCATCCCTTTCCAATCCTGATTCCCTGTGGGAGAAACACAATTCCTTCCATTGAAGGGTTGATGCTGTGGGTAAGACCTTTTCATCCTCCTGCTCCAAAACCACAGGGAAGGGAGAAACTGGACGTATATTTTTCATCTGTTTACCATGTTCCTGCCCTCAAAGGTACAAGAAGACAAGCTAGAAAGTAGACGAGGCTGGGTGTGGTGGCTCACGCCTGTGATCCCAGCACGTTGGGAGGCTGAGATGGGAGGATGGGGGCCTAGGAGTTCAAGACCAGCCTGGGCAACATAGTGAGACACCCCCACCACCAACACCCCACCACCATCTGTACAAAAAATACAAAAATTAGCCAGTCGTGATGGTGTGCCCCTGTAATCACAGCTACTTGGAAGCCTGAGGCAGGAGGATCACTGGAGCCCAGGAGTTCAAGACTGTGGGGAGCCATGCTCATACCACTGCACTCCAGCCTGGGCAATGGAGGAAGACCCTGTCTCAAATAAATAAATAAAGACACAGTGACTTTTGCTTGTTCTTTCTTGGGTCATGTGTTCTGGGGGAAGCCAGCTGCCATGTTGTGGGGAAATGCAGGCAGTGCTGTGAAGAAATCCATGTGTTGCAGAAATGGGCCCTCCAGGCCGGGCACGTTGGCTCACACCTGTAATCCCAGTACTCTGGGAGGCCGAGGCGGGCAGATCACCTGAGGTTGGGAGTTCGAGGTCAGCCTGACCAACATGGAGAAACCCTGTCTCTACTAAAAATACAAAATTAGCCGGGCGTGGTGGTGCATGCCTGTAATCCCAGCTACTAGAGAGGCTGAGACAGGAGAATTACTTGAACCTGGGAGGCGGAGGTTGCAGTGAGCCAAGATCGTGCCACTGCACTCCAGCCTGGGCAACAAGAGCAAAACTCTGTCTCAAAAAAAAAAAAAAGAAAAGGAAAGAAAGAAAGAAAAGAAAGAAAGAAAGAAAGAAAGAAAAGAAAGAAAGAAAGAAAGAAAGAAAGAAAGAGAAAGAAAGAAAGAAAGAAAGAAAGAAAGAAAGAAAGAAAGAAAGAAAGAAAGAAAGAAATGGGCCCTCCAGGCTGGGCACAGTGGCTCATGCCTATAATCCCAGCACTCTGGGAGGCCAAGGTTGGGGCAGGTCATTTGAGATCAGGAATTTGAGACCAGCCTGGCCAACACAGTGAAACCCTATCTCTACTAAAAAAAAATATAAAAATTAGCCAGTAATTGGCTAATTACTGTAATTATGCCTGTAATCTCAGCTACTCGGGAGGCTGAGGCAGAAGAATTGCATGAATCCAAGAGGCAGAGGTTGCAGTGAGCCAAGATTGTGCCACTGCACTCTAGCCTGGCTGACAAAGTGAGACTCCATTAAAAAAAAAAAAAAAAAAAAAGGAAGGAAGGAAGGAAAAAAGGAAAGAAGGAAGGAACGACTCATTTGGGCATTTTGCCCTCCTGTCAAGGCCAGTTGGAAGCTGAGGCCTCCACCAACAGCCACATGAGGGCGCCCTCTTGAAAGCAGCTCCTCCAGCTCCAATCGAGCCTTCAGATGATACAGCCCCAGCACATTCACTGCCAGAATCACCCAGTGGAGCTGCTTCCTAACTCCTGAGTGAGGGTGGAAAAAACTCAAACTCAAATTGCTTTTCCTCTTGCTCTCACATCAACAGCAATCAACATGGCCAGGTGCAGTGGCTCACGCCTGTAATCCCAGCACTTTCAGAGGCCAAGGCAGGTGGATCACTTAAGATCAGGAGTTTGAGACCAGCGTGACCAACACGGTGAAACCCTGTCTCTACCAAAAATACAAAAATTAGCCAGGCGTGGTTGTGGGCACCTGTAATCTCAGCTACTCAGGAGGCTGAGGCAGGAGAATCACTTGAACCTGGGGGGCGGAGGCTGCAGTGAGCAGAGATTGCACCATTGCACTCCAGTCTGGGCGACAGAGCGAGACTCCATCTCAAAAAAAAAAAAAAAAAAAAATCAACCCAAGATATTTCTGTGACCAAATGTGAGAGGAGTTTCCCCACACACCAGCTAGCTGTCCCCTAATTCGATTCAGTTCAATTCAATTCAGGTGCTATCTACCTGGAGACAGCCTTGGACCCCACAGGTTGAGGGCTAAATCCCCCCACAAGACTGCCCCTAACCTCTTCAGATACCAGTAGCAAGTTTGGGCCTCCAGAACTTCCAACTGACCAGCTTGAAGTTAGGGTTGGGTTTAATTTACTACAGCAGCTCTCGGAATTCAGGGAAACACATTTACTGGTTTAATATAAAGCATATTACAAAGAATACAGACGAAAAGATGCATAGGATGAGGTATAGGGAAGAAGGGCAAAGCTTCCTTGGCATGCTACCCTTCAGGAACCTCCATGTGCTCAGCTATCTCAAAGTTCTCCAAACCCCGTCCTTTTGAAGTTTTATGGAGGCTTTACTTCATAGGCATGACTGATCGCGTCACTGGCCACTGGTCATCACCTCAACCTTCAGCCCTTCTCCCCTCCCCAGAGGCTGGAGGGTACAGCTAAAGGTTCCAGCCCTCTCATCCTGCCTTGATCTTTCTGGTGGCCAGACCATTCCTGAAAATAACTAGAAGCTGTCAGCCATCAGTCGACTTATCATCATACAAAAAGACATGACTTTGCAGATTCCAAGGATTTTAGGAGTTCTGCACCAGAAAAAAATCAGGACAAAGACCAAATAATATAATAAATATAATGCAAGTAATATAATATCCCACTGACCCACAGAAACTGCAGGATAGTAAATGCTTGCTGTTTAAGCTAAGTGTTGGGGTAATTTGTTACACAGTGATAGATAACTGGTACATCTGCAAAGGGAAGGAAGGGCTGATCCACATGACTCCTCCAAGCAGATGTTGCTATAGTTTGAATGTGTCTCCCAAAAAGCATATTGTAGAAACTTTAATTCCCAATGCCACCATGTTGAGAGGTGAGAACTTTAAGAGGTGATTAGGTTATGAAGGCCCTACCCTCATTAATGCCATCTCTCTTTCTCTCTCCCTCTCACCCTTTCTCTCTCTCTCCCCCCCCTCCTCTTTCTTCCCCAGTTCCCCAATCTTTCATATATGTGCTCTTTTGCCCTTCCACCTCTGACGCAGCAAGAAGGCCCTCACCAGATGCCAGCACCTCGACATTGGACTTCCCAGTCCCTAGAACCGTTAAGAAACAAATCTCTATTATTTATAAATTATCCAGTCTATGGCATTCCATTATAGCAGCACAAAATAAAGACAGGTGTGTAGTCAAACATTACCTTTTCCTAAAAGCCAGCAATTGGATTTTTCATTTTCTTGTTTTTCCAATATCTATCAACCTGATAATTGGGAGAGATGCAAAAGCCCAGATGGATAAGGTACATTCACTGAGGGCAAATCAGAAGAATGACCAGGCCAAGAAAATGATTCATTTTGGCATTTTGCAAATTATCAAGATATGCATGCCAGCACCAGTTTTTAAAACTGAACAAATCCACTGGCTTTTATCTATTTCCTACTAAAGCAACGTGGCTTGATCTTGACACTATTAAACTGGGGCTTGATTATTCTCTGGGGTGGGGCCGTTCTGGGCACTGCACAGTGCTGAGTAGCATCCCTGGTCTCCACCTACTCCAGGCCAGGAGCACCCCCAAGTCACGGTACCCACAAATGTCCCCAGACATTACCAGTGTCCCCCAGGGGGCAGGCTTGCCCCCAGTTGAGACCCAATGCTCTAAGGCATGTCCCTCAAGGGCAGGACAGCCAGGGACCTGACATTTGATGACAGGCCTATCCTCCACCGCCCCCCAGGCCCGGCTGCACTTCCTCCTCTGGGAACTGAGTGGGCAGGACGGGCTGTCAGAGCCCCCTTCCCTTCCCACGCTGACATTCTGCCAGCACGTGGCAGGGGCGTCTTGTCTCGTTGGAGGCTGGATATAGAAACACAGCCCTGTCCTTTGTGCCATCGCTGAAGTTGTCAACCTCAGCCTTCACTCATCACCACAGCAACCATCTAAATATGTCACCAGCAAAGTGCTGATTGCAAAGGAAGGGGGCAGAGAGGCCTGGACGGGCTCTCACCCAGGTGCAGGCGCAGGGGAGGTGCCGGGACTGGGGGAGTGACGTGGCTGCTTCAGAGCCACGAGACTGATGACGGCCAGGCCGGGCGTGACCTGGAACAGGCTCCACTGCACCCTGGGGCACACAGAACAAAGGGGCAGGCCTGCTTGACCCTGAGGGTTCAAGGTCTCTGTGAGCCGAGGTCAAGGAGGGGGAAGGAACAATCAGACGGTTGGCTCTGTGTCCTGCACCCTCAGTGCTCTAGAGACCCTCCTCACCCAGTCCTCTAGGTCACTCTGGGAGGATGGCCCCGGCTGACACCGTCTGCCCCATCGGGAATCTATTCTGGTGTCTACTGTGAGCAGGGAGCAAACTCATTTTTTTGCCAGTTAATGCAAGGTCTCTCCCCTGGAAACCGTGGACATTCAGAGCTGGGTCATTCTCTAGGGTGCAGCTGTCCCGGACACTGCAGGGTGCTGAGCAGTGTCCCTGGCCTCCACCCACTCCACGCCACGACCATCCTCAAGTTGTGACAACGACAAATGTCCTCAGACAACACCCAGTGTCCCCTGGGGCAGAATCACCCTCAGTTGACACCCCCTGAATTAGGAAATTCCACGGACCCCCAAGATACTCTGTCCCCTGATCTTCTGTCCTGCTGAGGTCCCAGGAGGCTGCACACATTGAAATCCACACCTTTAGTTGGGGGGAGGGAGAGAGGAGGTGAATCCCACGAGCTGGGGTCCCCTGGTTTACACCGTCTGCCCCATCAGGAGTGTGTCCTGGTGAGCAGGAAGCAGACTCCATTTCTTCTCCAAATAATGAATGCTGAGTCTCTCCTCCCAGGCACGGTGGACACTGGGGCTGTACCATTCTCTGGGATGGAGCCGTCCTGAGCACTGCAGCACGCTGAGCGGCATCCGTGACCTCCAGCCACTGCATGCCCGGAGCACTTCTCAATGGTGACAGCCACAAATGTCCCCAGACATGGCCCAGTGTCCCCTGGGGGGGGGGGGGCAGGATCACCCTGCCGTGCTGGACAGTCCTCGCCACACCCCACCTCTTGGAACTGGAATGTCTGGTGAGACGGGCAACAAGGATTTGGGAAGAGGGCCATGCGGGACAAAAAAAAGAAAGAAAATGAGAACGAACGGATTTCTATTTCCCCTCAATGTGAAAATAGCTCCACTGAGTCCCGAGGAAGGATTGGGTGGGGACGTACGCTCTGGTATGGCCAAGGTGGAGTGCTGGACAAGAGCTACTCCATTCTGACTTCACGACTCGCTGTCTGGCTGGGTGACCTTCAGTCCCTTGCCACTGTCGCTGTGCCTCAGTTTCCCACTCTGTAGAATGCACATCGAAGCAGCATCCACCCTGTGAGACTGGTTTTGGAGATTACATAAATGAGTATCTATAAAATGTTTAAAGTGGTGTCTGAGCCATGGGTCATGGCACATACTGGCTTTATTATTTAGAACCTGGATTACCTCCTTTTATTATTCTTTTTCAATTTATTTTACTTATTTTTTGAGATGGAGTCTTGCTCTGTCATCCAGGCTAGAGTGCAGTGGTGCGAACTTGGCTCACTGCCTCTGCCTCCCGGGTTCAAGTGATTCTCCTGCCTCAGTCCCCCATATAGCCAGTATTAGAGGCGCCCGCCACCACGCCCAGCTAATTTTTGTATTTTTAGTAGAGACAGGGTTTCACCATGTTGGTCAGGCTGGTCTCGAACTCCTGACCTCAGGTGATCTGCCTGCTTCAGCCTCCCAAAGTGCCACCGTGCCCGGCTTATGTTTTAATTTTTATTGTATTTATTTATTCATTTTTATTTTGAGACAGAGTCTTGCTCTTGTCGCCCAGGCTGGAGTGCAGTGGCACGATCTCAGCTCACTGCAAACTCAGCCTCCCGGGTTCAAGGGATTCTCCTGCCTCAGCCTCCCGAGTAGCTGGGATTACAGGCACCTGCCAACATGCCCGGCTAATTTCTGTATTTTTAGTAGAGATGGGGTTTCGCCATGTCGGCCAGGCTGGTCTTAAACTCTTGACCTCAGGTGATCTGCCCACCTCAGCCTCCCAACGTCCTGGGATTACATAGGTGTGAGCCACCATGCCTGCTTTTTTAGTTTTTACTTTTCATAGAGATAGGATCTTGCTATGTTGCCCAGACTGGCCTTGAACTCCTGGGCTCAAGCGATCCTCCCTGCTCAGCCTCCCCAAGTGCTGGGATTACAAGTGTGAGCCACCTTGCCTGGCCAGATTACCTCCTTTCTGGACTAGACCAGAGCACAGCAAAGTGTTTCTGTCTAGGGCAGGATGTAAAAATTTTCAGCCTTACGGAACATATGTTCTCTGTTGCAGCTACACAGTTCTGCTGTTGTATTTTGAAAGCAGCCATAGACTATGCATAAATAAATGGGCATGGCCCATCGTGTGCCAATAAAACTTTATTTATAGTAACAGGTGGCCTGGATTTGCCCCCAAGGCCATTGGTTGAGACCCTCGCAAAACAGTCTAAGACAAAATAGCACCATTTCAGCAACTAAATACTCTCATCTAGGCAGTGTTCCAGTCTTCCATCCTGAAATTAGATGAGGGTCCTGTCAAAAAAGATTCACCTCCGATCCTCAACATCACACGGCAGAGTTAGCACAGAGCATCCCTTCACACAAAACACACACTCATCCGGGCGCGGTGGCTCACGCCTGTAATCCCAGCACTTTGGGAGGCTGAGGCGGGTGGATCACTTGAGGTCAGGAGTTCGAGACCAGCCTGGCTAACATGGTGAAACCCAACCCGTCTCTATTAAAAATACAAAAATCAGCCGGGCAAGGTGCTGCGCCTGTAATCCCGGATACTTGGGAGGCTGAGGCGGCAGAATCGCTTGAACCCGGGAGGCGGAGGTTGCAGTGAGCAGAGATCACGCCACTGCAACCCAGCCTGGGCCACAGAGTGAGACTCCCTCTCAAAAAACAAACAAACAAACAACAAAAATTTTCACAGCCCCAAGGTTTTGTTTCTTTGAAATGCAGAAAACGGCTGTTTCTTTTCTTACCATCTATCTTCTGTGCGTGAATACCTCACCTCTATGTGCTCGCCAGAAAACCTCGGCTGCAAAGGGCATTCGGAATATCTCATTTGGGGCCAGGTGCAGTGACTGACACCTGTCATCCCAGCACTTTGGGAGGCCGAGGCAGGAGGATCACTTCAGGCCAGGAGTTCAAGACCAGCTGGACAACACAGTGAGACCCCATCTCTACAAAAATAATTTAAAAGTAGGCCGAGCGCAATGGCTCATGCCTGTAATCCCAGCACTTTGGGAGGCGGAGGCAGGCAGATCAGCTGAGGTCAGGAGTTCAAGACCAGCCTGGCCAACATGGTGAAACCCCGTCTCTACTAAAAATACAAAAATAGGCCGGGCATGGTGGTGGGTGCCTGTAGTCCCAGCTACTGGGGAGGCTGAGGCAAGAGAATGATATGAATCCAGGAGGCAGAGATTACAGTGAGCCGAGATTGCACCACTGTACTCCAGCCTGGGAGACAGAGCAACTCTGTCTCCCAAAAAAAGAAAAAGCAAACAACAACAACAAAAAAGAAAATCTGAAAAACTGTCACAGGCCAGAGATGGGATCCTGGATGGGGCCCTGGGGCAGGAGAGGACATTAGAGGAAACTGAGGAAATCTGAACAGAGTGCAGACTTGGGTTAATGAAGATGTATCAATACTGGTTTATTCGCTGTGACAAACGCACCATGCCATTGGATGTGAATACTAAGGAAAATTGGGTGGTGAGGAGATGAAACTGTCTGCACTGCATTCCCAGTTTTTCTGTAAATCTGAAACTATTCTAAAATGAAAAGTTTATCAAAAAAAAAAAAGAGACAGAGAGAAGAGAAGGACGACAGGCAATTAGCTACTTACGCTAGAAAATGCTGTAAAATGTGATTGAGGGAACATTAAGTTCATGTGCCAGCATCTAATAATGAGATGATTATGTAAAACCTAGAAAAGAAAGACGCTAAAAACGGGATATGCAAATTGGCAGGGGAAATTTGCGCTTATGAAAAGAATGGGAGGGGTGGGGGAACCAGTGGCTGGGCGGTTGGTCTTGTCTCCTGTTTCCCTGGCTCGGTGACGGCCACCAAGGACCCCAACCCCAGGGAGATGGAGGGGCTGCTGGAGGGAGCCCCCGGAACACCCGAGGCCAATTTCGGCAGCATGGTGTATTCCCTACCAAGGCTGTCGGCATCCAGGCAGCGCTCAATGAATGCCTGCTAAGGGTGCAGCCGCTCCTGGGCTGGAGGAGGGCTGCAGTTTTATGGATGGAAAGTTCTAGAAAATAAGGGTGATGCTGTGGTCTGAAGGAAGAAGCAAGACAACTGATAATATGCCGTGACATCCTGATCTTTGCACAGCGGGTTAGATATTGTCACCCACACCTGGTGCTGACATTTGGGGCCAATGGCTGTGGTAGGGGGCTGTGCTGAGTACCGCAGGGTGCTGAGGAGCATCCCTGGCCTCCATCCTCTCTATGCTGGGAACACCCCTCAACCGCAAATGTCCCCAGACATTGCCAAATGTCCCCTGGGAAGTAGGATCATTCCTGCTGAGAAACCACGGTCCCACAATATCCAGCTTAATCCACCTGACAACCCCATAAGGGATACATATAATCCTCCTTCCACAGATGGGGAAACACACTGAAACGAGGTAAAGTCAGCTCAAGGTCACCACCCTAGGAGTAAGTCTCAAAGAAGGGGGTGGTCGTGTGTGTTGACTGCCACTTTAGTAACAGAGACCCCTATGCTGGGCAATGCTGGTCTAACATGGCAAGAATCAGAAAACTACCGCTGTGGGTTGGGCGCGGTGGCTCACACCTGCCATCCCAGCACTTTGGGAGGCTAAGGCGGGCAGATCACGAGGTCGGGAGTTCGAGACCAGCCTGACCAACATGGTGAAACCCCATCTCTACTAAAAATACAAAAATTAGCTGGGCGTGGTGGTGCATGCCTGTAATCCCAGCTACTTGGGAGACTGAGGCAAGAGAATCGCTTGAACCCAGGAGGCAGAGGTTGCAGTGAGCCGGGATCGTGCCACTGCACTCCAGCCTAGGTGATAGAGTGAGACTCTGTCTCAAAACAAACAAACAAAAACAAACACAAACAAACAAAAAAACTACCACTGTGGGTCAAATCCAGCCCACCACTTGCTTTCGTCAATAAGTTTTGTTGAAATACAGCCATGCCCGTTTATGTACTATCTAGGGCACTTTCCAACATCAACAGCAGAGTTGAGTGCCTGCAACGGAGAGCGCCTGGCTCAGAGCGTCGAAAATATTTACTCTCTGGCTCTTTACAGAAGAGGTCTGTTGATGGCTGGGTGCAGCGGCTCATGCCTGTTATCCCAGCACTTTGGGAGGCTGAGGCGGGAGGATCACTTGAGGCCAGGAGTTTAAGACCAGCCTGGCCAACACGGTGAAACCCCGTCTCTACTAAAAATACAAAAATTAGCCAGGCGTGGTGGCGGGTACCTATAATCCCAGCTACTCGGGAGGCTGAGGCATGAGAATCACTTGAACTCGGGAGGTAGAGGTTGCAGTGAGCTGAGATCGCGCCAATGCACTCCAGACTGGGTGACAGAGCGAGACTCTGTCTCAAAAAAAAAAAAAAAAGAAAGAAAAAGAAAAGGTGTGTGGACACCTCACAAGACAGAGCCCCAGAGCCCTACATCATTACTTCAAGGCCTCTGACTGTTTTCTTTTGAAACTCTCTGTCTCTCTCTCTCTCTGAGTGCTCCGTTAATATTTTGTTGGAGGAACAAAAACAGCAGGGTCAGCCTCCTCAGGGGGTGAAATAAGCTCTGTCTGGTGCAGCCTGGTTCTGGCCACGGAGACCCACCCTCCCCTCAGCCTGGCTCCAGAGGAAGGAGCACCAGTGGGGATAGACCCACCCCACTGTCGGGGGAGCAGAGACTGGCAGCAGGCCTGCCTCTGAGGCCCCCGCGGGAGCCGTGCTGTCACCTCGACCCCGCTGTCACGGGGGACAGAGCTGAGGCCTGCGCTCCCAGCGCCGGTGTCTGCAGGCACACAGGTCACCCTGACTCCACAAAGTCAGCCCTGCAGCCTCCAGACGGTCAGACTTGCTGAGCTAGGACGGCCACTGCGTCCCATGTGGCTTGTTTTCCCAGACCCTGAGCTGCCTCGGGCATGGCTGTGTGACGGGTGTGGAGATTCACAGAGCACCCTATTCTCTGAGGGTCACTTTGGTCCAGGGTCTCCTCCCCTAGGCACTGCTGAGGCACTGGGGCTGGAGTGTTCTCTCGGGCGGGGCTGTGCTGGGCACTGCAGGGTACTGAGCAGCATCCCTGGCCTGCACCCACTCCATGCCAGGAGCCCTCGCCCCGCCCCCCACAAGTTGTGACAACCACAATGTCCCAGACTTTACCAGGTGTCCCCTGGGGGACAGAATCATCCACCATTGACACCCCCTGGGTTACAGATTCCAAGGACCACCCCTCCCACAAAGAGACGGCGTCCCATGATCCTCTGCCCTGCTGAGGTCCCAGGAGGCTGCACATATTGATATCCCCACCCTGAGTGGGGAGGGAGAGAGGGGGTGAATCCCAGGAGCTGGGGGTCCCCCTGATTTTGGGAGTTTATTCTGGTGTCTGGTGTGAGCAGGGAGCAGACTCGATATTTTTCCAAATAATTAAAGCAGGGTCTCTCCCCCTTGGAATTCAAGGATGGATCGTTCTCTGTGGTCACCCTGGGCACGGCAGGGTGCTGAGCAGCATCCTTGGCCTCCACCCAGTCCATGCCAGGAGCTGCCCCTCTCTTAACTGTGACGACCACAAATCAGTACCCAACTATGTTTAAAACTCTCCAGCTGATCTCAGACAACCCACCTTCCACCAACTCCCAGCAGCTCAGGAGCCTTTCTGATGACCACCCTGGCAGTTGCAGGAAGGCCGAGGACCACCCCGGATCCCCCTGGACACCGGTGGCTCTGAGCCTCGACCTGGCCAGCACCAGCCAAAAGGACCAACCCTCCAAGTGCTGACGAACGAGGTGAATGAGGCTCAAGGTGACGTTGTCCGGCCTGCCTTCTGCCTCACACGCTTCCCCCAGCTTCAGCCGCCTCCCCGAGACCCGAGAGCTGGGGAGGAGCCAGGCAGGGGAACGTTCGTCCTGGCTGAGCTCCGAGGCCATGTCCAGGGGTCATGAATTTGAGGTCAGCCCTGAGGCGGGAAGGTGACGGGTAGCATGCGGAGCCCCAGAGAGACAACACCTGGCCCATTCAAAGGGCATCAGGCACCGCTCCTGCCCCAGTGGGTGTGAAGCCCAATGTCATCAGCTCCTCCAACTACTCTGAGAAGCTGGGAGATGTTCTATTGTAAAATCTCCTGATTTTTAGTTTCATTTTATTTTATTTTATTTTTTTTTAAGATGGAGTCTCTGGGAGGCCGAGGCGGGTGGATCACGAGGTCAGCAGATCGAGACCATCCTGGCTAACACAGTGAAACCTCGTCTCTACTAAAAATACAAAAAATTAGCCGGGCGTGGCAGTGGGCACCTGTAGTCCCAGCTACTCGGGAGGCTGAGGCAGGAGAATGGCATGAACCCGGGAGGTGGAGCTTGCAGTGAGCCGAGATTGCGTCACTGCCCTCCAGCCTGGGTGACAGAGTGAGACTCCGTCTCAAAAAAAAAAAAAAAAAAAGATGGAGTCTCGCTCTCTCACCCAGTGGCGCAGTCTCAGCTCACTGCAACTGCTGCCTGCCAGGTTCAAGCAATTCTCCTGCCTCAGCCTCCCGAGTAGCTGGGACCACAGGCACCTGCCACCATACCCAGCTAATTGTATTTTCAGTAGAGACAGGGTTTTGCCATGTGGGCCAGGCTAACCTCAAGTCATCCTCCTGCCTCAGCCTCCCAAAGCACTGGGATTGCAGGCGTGAGCCACTGCACCTGGCCTATTTTTAAATATTTTGTAGAGATGGGGTCTCACTGTGTTGCCCAGGGTGGTCTAGAACTCCCAGCCTCAAGCAATCCTCCTGCTTCAGCCTCCCAAAGTGTTGGAATTACAGGTGTGACGCCCGATTTTTTTTTTTTTCTTTTGAGACAGAGTCTCACTCTGTCATCCAGGCTGGAGTGCAGTGGTGCGATCTCAGCTCGCTGCAAACCCTGCCTCCCATGTTGAAGCAATTCTCCTGCCTCAGCCTCCTGAGTAGCTGGGATTACAAGTGTGTGTCACCACACCGGCTAATTTTTGTATTTTTAGTAGAGATAGGGTTTCACCATGTTGGCCAGCTTGGTCTCAAACTCCTGGCCTCAAGTGATTTGCCCGCCTCGACCTCCCAAAGTGCTGGGATTACAGGTGTGAGCCACCGCGCCTGGTCTGTGACCCCTGATTTTTAAATGCTGGCAATAATTCAAAGTTTAAAGCCACTGGGTTCTACCTTGGCCAGGTGACCAATGTCAACACCACCAGTGTGGACGTCACGTGCCCCTGATGTGTTCTCCCCAGAGCCCTGAACCCCAGACTATTCAAGAGCAAACATCATGGAAACTCACGTTGGGGGACATTTTACAAAACTCCTGACGAGTCCTCCTCAAAACCACTAGGTTGGCCGGGTGCGGTGGTTCATGCCTGTAATCCCAGCACTTTGGGAGGCCGAGGCGGGCAGATCACAAGGTCAGGAGATCGAGACCATCCTGGCTAACACGGTGAAACCCCGTCTCTACTAAACAATACAAAAAATTAGCTGGGCGTGGCAGCGGGCGCCTGTAGTCCCAGCTACTCAGGAGGGTGAGCCAGGAGAATGGCCGTGAACCCGGGAGGCGGAGCTTGCAGCGAGCTGAGATAGCACCACTGCACTCCAGCCTGGGTGACAGAGCGAGATTCCATCTCAAAAAAAAAACAAAACAAAACAAAACAAAACAAAAAAAAACCCAGCAGGTCATCAAAACCAATGAGTCTGAGAAGTGTCCCAGCAGAGTGTAAGGAGATGTCGGGAGTCAATGGCATGTGGGTTCCTGGAAAAAACAAGAAAATGGAAATAAAGACCGGGCGCCGTGGCTCACGCCTGTAATCCCAGCACTTTGGGAGGCCGAGGCGGGCGGCTCACCTGAGGTCAGGAATTCGAGACCAGCCTGGCCAACATGGTGAACCCCTGCCTCTATTAAAAATACAAAAATTAGCCGTGCAGGGTGGCAGGCACCTGAAATCCCAGCTACTTGGGAGGCTGAGGCAGGAGGATCATTTGAACCCAGGAGGTGGAGGTTGCAGTGAGCCAAGATCACACCACTGGCACTCCAGCCTGGGTGAAAGAGCGAGACTCCATCTAAAAAAAAAAAAAAAGAAAGAAAGAAAGAAAGAAAAATAAAATGTAAATAAAGTGTGGAGTTGAGTTCGTGATAATGTATGGATACTGGTCTTTTTAGAAAATTTCTTTCTTTCTTTTTTTAGAGAGAGGGCCTTGTACTGCTTTTGTATATTTTAAACATACAATTGTGTATATTTCCAATATATTTCAGAGTTTTCTTAGGATACATTTGTGATAATTTGTTACACAGAATTAGCTAACTAATATAGGCTGTTTCCAAAATTCAAAACTACCCTAAAAGAAATCTGAGGCCAGGGACCGTGGCTCACGCCTGTAATCCCAGCACTTTGGGAGGCCAAGGTGGGCGGATCACCCAAGGTCAGGAGTTTGAGACCAGCCTGGCCAACGTGGTGAAACCCCATCTCCACTAAAAATATAAAAACTAGCCAGGTGTAGTGGCACCTTGCCTATAATCCCAGCTACTCCAGAGGCTGAGGCAAAAGAATTGCCTGAACCTGGGAGCCAGAGGTTGCGGTGAGCCGAGATCACCCCACTGCACTCTAGCCTGAGCAACAGAGTGAGACTCCATCTCAAAAACAAAACAAACAAGAAAAAAGAATCTGAAATATAATGGAAATACACACAATTGTATGTTTGAAATATACAAAAGCAGTACAATCCACTCTTGAAGGGAATCAGAATCGTCACACTGCTGGGAAAAGGGCAAGGTCTCCAAAGGTGACTGGTGTTTTTGTTTTTTGTTTTTGTTTTGTTTTTTTTTGAGACAGAGTCTTGTTCCGTTGCCTAGGCTGGAGTGCAGTGGTGCAATCTCAGCTCGCTGCAACCTCCACCTCCTGGGCTCAAGCGATCCTCCTGCCTCAACCTCCCAAGTAGCTGGGATTACAGGCGCCCACAACCATGCCCGGCTAATTTTTGCATTTTTAGTAGAGACGAGTTTTTACCATGTTGGCCAGGCTGGTCTCGAACTCCTGACCTCAGGTGATCCACCCGCCTTGGCCTCCCACAGTGCTGGGATTACAGGCGTGAGCTACTGCGTCTGGCCTGCAAGGTGACTGTTTTAAAACACAGAGGACACCTGCTGAGATGCAAAGTCAGGGAGTGTTGAAGAAAACAGAGATCTCCTTATGTGATGGTCGTAACTCGCATTTCCACCCTCGACAGCGCCGACTCCATCGGGCAGCTTTTCTACATAGTCAAGTTTGAAAACTGTGCCATTGTACGTCACCAGAAACGGACTCGGTTAGAAAACAATGCTCTTTCGTAATGTATACCGTACTACTTTTCCTAAAACGGAACTGTCATAACGCCTCCCCCTCTGGCTGAGACTAGAATAGATAAAAATCCAGATTTTCACACACTCGGGACTGGTAATGTTTTAACACATGGAAAACGCGACAGGGTTACAGACTGCTTTAGCTTCTCCAAACAAATCCGCAACGGCGCCAAGCACTCCTAACAGTTGGACGTGTTCATAAATGAACCCAAACAGATCACGTTCTCGGAGACGGATGCACGCCAGAAATTCCTGTCGTGCCCCTGAAGAACTAACAGGTCTCTCTCTGCAACGGTGGACGACTGGTCAAACCCTGGAACCAGCCAGGAACAGCAGCAAGTGCACGGGCTCGGGAATGGGAATCTGGCTTTATGGAACCTCCAGGCTCAAGGGGACACCAGGAAGGGACAGCTTCGTGACCAAGCCCGGTGTGACCCACCAAAAATCTGCAACCACGAAGACCAGGAAATGCCAGCAGTGCCGAGCAGGAGAGGTCGCTTGACGGTAAAGAAGCAGGGAGCGTTATTTAGCAAACCAGGCTGGTTAAAGAGTAGAGAATATCAGATGTCGCGGCCCCTCTGCAGAGGACAGTTCTGAAGGACAGCGATGACCTAAATTGGCTCCTATGAGGGACTGCTGGGGGAAATATTTCCCCAGGATCCTATAAGATACAAAGAAAAACATATGAAAACAGAAAAGATATTCCCGACACTTGGGGGTCTCAATGGGGCGGGGGAGGTCTGAGGACATCTGTGGTTTTCACGATTGGGGGGAGCTCCTGGTATGGAGTGGGTGGAGGCCAGGGACACTGCTCAGCACCCTGCAGTGCCCAGGATGGCCCCTCCCCAGAGAATGATCCAGCCCCAATGTCCACAGCACCAGGGGGAAGAGACTCAAAGTTAATTATTTGGAAGAAAATATTGTTGAGCCAGATGCCTCAGAATGGGACCTTATTTGGAAACAGGGTTTCTGCAGATGGACTTATTATTAAGATGTGGTTGTGCTGGATTAAGATGAGCCCTAAATCCAATAACTGATGTCCTTATAAGACGAGGGAAATTTGGACACAGACCCACACAGGGAAGGGGGCCGTGTGAGGATGGAGGCAGAGACTGGAGCGATGTCACCAGCCCAGGGGCGCCAAGAACCGCCGGCCACTTGCCAGATGCTGGAAGAGGCAGGAAGGATCCTCCCCGGGAGCTTCTGGGCCGGGAACGGCCCTGCCCACACCTTCGTCTCAGACTTCTGGCTTCTAGAACTGCCAGAAAATCCATTTCTGTGGTTTTGAGCCATGCAGGTTGAAGTCATTTTCCATGGGCGCCCTCAAATATCCAAACTTCACCCCACAGAGACCCTCCCCTAGGCACCCACATCCTGGCATGTTCAGACACCCTCCTCGTGAACATGCACAGCCCCCAAGGCACCAGATAGACATTGATTTCCATCTAGAAGTGTCCGTCAAACCCTCAGCGATATATCTCTGCCGCCCAGGCTAGAGTGCAGTGGCACAGTCTCAGCTCACTGCAACCTCCACCGCCTGGCTCAAGCGATCCTCCCACCTCAGCCTCCCAAGGAACTGGGACCACAGGCGCGCACCATCATGCTTGCCTAATTTTTGTTTTCGCTTTCTGTAGAGATGGGGTTTCACCATGTTGCCCAAGCTGGTGTCAAACTCCCAGATTCAAGTGATCCTCCCGCCTCGGCCTCCCATAGTCCTGGGATTACAGGTGTGAGGCATCGCGCCCAGCCTCTTTGGTGGTTTTCAGGAACAGCTAGTTAGTTATTCTGCAGATGGAGGTTCAGGAGCTTGCACCACTTCCTAGACCCGGCTGGAGGAGTTGGGTGTAATTTTCAGCCGGGCGGGTGCAAGACTCAAAGAGATGTGTGGCAGAGAGAAGCTGTTCAGACAGCTTCTGGGGTTGCCAGGAAGAAACAAGCCACTTGCTCCGATCTGCACATTCCCTCCCTGTCCAGGGCTGATTTCCACCCAGGCAGGACTCCCGATTCCCAGAGAATCTCAAAGCAAGGCATTCTCCTGGCCGTGATCCGGCTCTCAGCTCTAAAGGGACTCCATATCTTTACTGCAGACCCAAATCTGTGTCACCACAGAGGAAAAACGGCCGCTTAATTACACTTGCATATATGCTCGCAAGAATTCTTCCAGGGAGCAGGATCTGGGAACGTCCTCTGGAGACAGGGCCTTCCAGGAGACGCTGAGCTCGGTGTTGGAGCATGGAGGCTGAATCTAATCCATCAACAGGATGCCACAGGGGAGCAGAGAATTCCATTTTTTTTTTTTTGCTTCAATTCCTTTCTATACAACCGTGGTTCTCAACCAGGGGTCCTTCTGGTCCCCAGGGGATGCTAGGTGGTGTCTGGGGGCATTTGTGACTGTTATGACTCAGGGATGCTCCTGGCGTGGAGTGGGTGGAGGCCAGGGATGCTGATCAGAACCTTGCAGTGGCCAGGACAACCCCACCCCAGAGAACGACCCAGCCCTGAATGCCAAGGGGGAGAGACTCTGCCTTAATTATTTGGAAAAATATTGTATCTGCTCCCTGTTGACACCAGACACTAGAAAAAATTCCCGATGGGGTGGATGGCAGAAACCAAGGGGGGCCCCAGCTCCTGCGATTCTCCTCCTCTCTCCCTCCCCACTCAGGGTGTGGATTACAATGTGTGCAGCCTCCTGGAACCTCAGGAGGACAGAGGATCATGAGACACAGAGTTTCTTGGGGATCTGTGGAATCCCCTAACCCCCGGGGGTCTCACCTGGGGGTGATTCTGCCCCCCATGGGGCACTGGGCAATGTCTGGGGACATCTTTGGTTGTCACAACTCGGGGTGTCCCTGGCATAGAGTGGGTGGAGGCCAGGGACGCTGCTCAGCACCCTACAGTGCCCAGGATGGCCCCACCTCAGAGAACGATCTGGCCCCAAGGTCCACAGTGACAGAGAGTGATAACCGCTGCCATAATCTATAGGACTGACCATAGCCACATGCATATGGTCACACAAACATGAGTGTGACTGTCCCTCTGACTCAAAGGACAAAGCCAGTCCCAACCTTTCTAACCCTGCCACCTGTGCTGACCACCAGTGGCCTCTGTGTGGATGTTAGTTAGGGTTCAGCAGCCTTAGGAAAACAGAACACCAGGCATCCAGACCTTCCACTGTGGCCCTGAGTGGAAGAGGAGGTGGCGGTGGCCGACGCCAACACTGTCACAGCAAGAAACAAGAGAGTGGGTGTGACTGTGGTCACTTCCATCTCAGGGCACATGCTACATTGAGGAAGTAAAACCTGGGGGGAGCGAGATATACAAGAAGTGAAAGGTGACTTGTAGAATGTTCTGGAATCTTCCAGAAGCTTCTGGAAACTTCCAGAATTTTCTGAAATATAGTAGGTATTGTGGCATAGCAAGGCTTTGGATTCAGAAGCTGCTGGGCTTGGGCACGGAGTCAAAAAAGTAACAGAGGAAAAGCCACGGAATGCAAACTTCCAGGGATGACATGGTTGCCACACAGTGGGCAGGTGGGTCACACCCACTGTACACAGGTCACACTTGGCTCTTTGAACTCAGTCACCTATTATGGGTGGAGGAACCAAATCCTGGGATGGGGTAATAAATGCATACGGTTTCAGTTTCCCCATCCACAACACAGGGAGAAGAATCAGATAAGGTGTCCAGTCTCGGAGGGTCCTGGGCAGCAGGCAGCGCCTCCAAGATCATCACCTCCAACCCTGATTCTGCCAAGCCCCAGCCTGGTAACTACTTCTCTCAAGGGGTCCCAGCTCTCAGAGCTAGGAGTGGCCTTCAACGCCAGGTCTACACCCCATGCCAACAGAATCCCTTCCCTGACCTTTGCACCAGCCAACCCATCCTCCGTCATGCAGCCTTCGACGATCGGAAACCAACAGCTTCTCATGACGGTCCCTCCGATTTCCAGACAAGCCTGATTCTTAAGCCAGCCCAGCCAAGCTACAGCTCCTATCCCATCTCCCCAAGAACAGACTTCATCGTTTTCTGAATTTGGTCCACGCCCATGGTGTCCGTGAGGAAAAATAACAACATAAGTAACATATAGTACAATGCTAATTTTTTGAGACGGGATCTTGCTGTTGCCCAGGCTGGAATGCAGTGGTGCAATCATAGCTCACTGCAGCCTCAACTTCCTAGGCTTCCAAGCAATCCTCCTGCCTCAGCCTCCCAAGCAGCTGGGACCACAGGTGTGCACCACCATATCTGGCTAATTTTTAATAAATTTTGTAGAGATAGAGTCTCACTATGTTGCTCAGGCTGGTCTCGAACTCCAGGGCTCAAGCAATCCTCCCACCTAAGCCTCCCAAAGTGCTGGAATTACAGGTGTGAGCCACCACACCCAGCCAATACTAATATTTATACATAATATATTGAATAATATTAGCAGTGATTCCAGCAATAACAGTGATAACCAGGACCACCACCCATCCAGGTCACAGCCTCGTAGTCCATCCCAATCTTTTCAATGACCCTAGGGAGTGATTCCTATCCTGTCTGACACACAAGGAAACAGAAAGGTTCCATGTTTTCTTCAAAATTCACACAGAAAGAAAGTCACATGGTGGCTAAGTAGGCATTCTAAATCCAATGCCTCACCATGCCTACATTCCAGAAAACTCTAGAAGGCTCTGGGAGTTTCTAGAAGGTTCCAGAAGATTCCAGAACCCTCCATGATTCGCCACCTTTCACTTTTTACATATCCTATTCCCCCAGGTCCCACTTCCTCAAAGCAGGACAGAATTTTCAACCCCTTGCATTCCCATCTGCATCTTCACCTTACTCATTGTATTAACTCCAGGCACCAGGTAGCACCTTCCTAAATTACCTGGGCTTGGCAAGACCTAAATCAAAGACATGACCTGCTCAGTAGTCCCAGATGTGAAGAAACTCAAAATCCAATGCCAGAATCCCTTAAAACAGAACCAGTCAGTGTCCACAGCTCTATTAGGCTTGACCCACAGTGGAGAAAGATGAGAAACCCACAGGGAGAAAAACAGGACCGTCTTCTTACAGTCTAAGACTGTCAGCCAGGCACGGCAGCTCACGCCTGTAACCCCAGCATCTTGGGAGACCGAGGAGGGAGGATCGCTTAAGCCCAGGAGTTCGAGCAGCCTGGGCATCATAGTAAGACCTTGTCTCTTTTTTTTTTTTTTTTTTTTTGAGACAGAGTCTCGCTCTGTTGCCCAGGCTGGAGTGCAGTTGTGCGATCTCGGCTCACCACAACCTCCACCTCCCAGGTTCAAGTGATTCTCTCTGCCTTAGCCTCCCCGAGTAACTGGGATAACAGGCACCCGCCACCATGCCTGGCCAATTTTAGTATTTTTAGTAGAGATGTGGTTTCACCATCTTGGCCAGGCTGGTCTCAAACTCCTGACCTCAGGTGATCCACCCGCCTCGGTCTCCCAAAGTGCTGGGATTACAGGCATGAGCCACCTTGCCCAGCCACCTGTCTCTATTTTTTAAAAAATTAAAACATTTTAAAATTAAAAATTAAAAGCTCTGAAAAGTGACCACATAGACTAACAGTGGGTTTTTTAGTAAAATACACTTAACACAAAATTTACAATTTTTTTTTTTTTTTTTTTTTGAGATGGAGTTTCCCTCTTGTTGCCCAGGCTGGAATGCAATGGTGAGATCTCAGCCCACTGCAACCTCCGCCTCCTGGGTTCAAGAGATTCTCCTGCCTCAGCCTCCTAAGTAGCTAGGATTACAGGCATGCATCACCACGCCTGGCTAATTTTGTATTTTAGTAGAGGCGGGGTTTCTCCATGTTGGTCAGGCTGGTCTTGAACTCCCGACTTCATTCGTTTCTTTTTTGAGACAGGGTCTTGCTCTGTTGCTCAGGCTGGAGTGCGGTGGTGTGATCACAGCTCACTGCAACCTTCGTCTCCCGAGCTCGCATGAGGGTCCCCATGTCCTACCTCCCCGTGAGCCCTTGTGATTGTTTGTTGTTCTGGTTTTTTAATTCTAGCCATCTTACTGGGCGTGAAGTGGTATCTCACCATGGCTCTGATTTGCATTTCCCTGAGGACTGACGCGGAGCATGTTTTGAAGTGAAACCGACAGTTTTTGTTTCTTTGATCCTCCTGTGTAACCCTCCCAAGTAGCTGGGACTACAGGTGTGCCCCAGCAGGCCTGGCTAATTTTTATTTTTATTTTTTTTGTAGCAACCAACTTTTTTTATTTTATTGTTTTTGAGACGGAGTCTTGCTCTGTTGCCCAGGCTGGAATGCAGTGGCACGATCTCGGCTCACTGCAACCTCCACCTCCCAGGTTCAAGCGATTCTCCTGCCTCAGCCTCCCGAGTAGCTGGGACTACAGGCGCCCGCCACCACGCCCGGCTAATTTTTTGTCCTTTTAGTAGAGATGGGGTTTCACCATATTAGTCAGGATGGCTTCGATCTCCTGACCTCATGATCCGCCCGCCTCGGCCTCCCAAAGTGCTGGGATTGCAGGCGTGAGCAACCTCACCCAGCCGGTCTCCAACTCTTGGACTCAAGTGATCCTCCCACCTCGGCCTCCCAAAGCGCTGGGATCACTAGCATTAGCCACATCACCGGGCCAGATCCTTCTTGCGCAGTGTTTGTGTGGACATACGCTTTCACTTCCCTTAGGTGTACGTCTAGGAGTCAACTCACAGGGTCATATGGAAACACTGTATGTAACCACTTCAGGAACTGCCAGGCTGTTTCCAGAGCAGCTGTACCACATGATGTTCCCAGCAGCGACGCATGAGGATCCCCGTGTCTCTACCTCCCCGTGAGCCCTTGTGATTGTTTGTTGTTTTGGTTTTTTTAATTCTAGCCATCCTACTGGGTGTGAAGTGGTATCTCACCATGGCTTTGATTTGCATTTCCCTGAGGACTGATGCGGAGCATGTTTTCAAGTGAAACTGATAGTTTCTGTTTCTTTGTTTTTGTTTGAGATGGAGTCTTGCTCTGTTGCCCAGGCTGGAGTGCAGTGGCGCAATCTCAGCTCACTGCAACCTCCGCCTCCCAGGTTCAAGGGATTCTCCTGCCTCAGCCTCCCAAGTAGCTGGGATTACAGGCGCGCGCCACCACGCCCGGCTAATTTTGTATTTTTAGCAGAGACTGGGTTTCACTATGTTGGCCAGGCTGGTCTTGAACTCCTCACCTCAGGTGATCCACCCACCTTGGCCTCCCAAAGTGCTGTGATTACAGGCGTGAGCCACCGCGCCCGGCCTGAAGCTGATAGTTTTTAACATGAGGGGTCCTGGTATAATCAACTCCACAGCTAGAAGGAAGCCGGAGTTTTACCTGGAAAAATGTGCAAGGAAACGTGGCTGGTTCCATCACGGAGATGAAAGAGTTTGTGCAAAATGCAGACAGAGCCATCTCATAAAAGAGCTACAGGGCGAGCTGGGCACGGAGGCTCACACCTGTCATCCCAGCATTTCGGGAGGCCAAGGCGGGCGGATCACGAGGTCAGGAGTTCGAGACCAGCCTGGCCAACATAGCGAAACCCCGTCTCTACTAGAAATACAAAAATTGGCCAGGCGTGGTGGCACGCACCTGTAGTCCCAGCTACTCAGGAGGCTGAGGCAGGAGAATCACTTGAACCCGGGAGACGGAGGTTGCAGAGATCACACCACTGCACTCCAGCCTGGGCAACAGGGCGAGACTCCATCTCAAAAAAAAAAAAAAAAAAAAAAAAAGAAGAGCTACAGGGAGGCAGGGGTCATCCCTGCCCCTGCTCCCACCCCATCCGGTGAAGTCTCCCACTCCACGCCATGAGCCTTGGTTTCCTCATCTGAAGACAGAGCCTCAGAAGAGCTGCCAGGGGTTGCTCTGGGGGTAACTGCAATGCTGGGGTGAGGGGCAATCGGAAACCTGCAGCTGCAACTGTAGGAGTGAGGGAGGCATTCAAATAACAGTCTACTGCATTCTAGAAGATTCCATCCTGGGCTCACTGAATAAGGACTCCCGGCAGGACACGGTGGCTCACGCCTGTAATCCCAGCACTTTGGGAGTCCGAGGCGGGCAGATCACGAGGTCAGGAGATCGAGACCAGCCTGGCCAACGTGGTGAAACCCCATCTCTTTAAATTTTGTAAAAATACAAAAATTAGCTGGGCGTGCTGGCGCATGCCTGTAATCCCAGCTACTCGGGACGCTGAGGCACGAGAATCGCTTGAACCCGGGAGGCAGAGGTTGCAGTGAGCCGAGATTGTGCCACTGCACTCCAGCCTGGGCGACAGAGAAAGACTCCGTCTCAAAAAAAAAAAATAGAGATGGGTTCTCACTATGTTGCCCTAGGCCAGCCTGGGTGGGAGGCCAGGCTGGTCTCGAACTCCTGACCTCAGGTGATGTGCCTGCCTCGGCTCCCAAAATGCTGGGATTACAGGTGTGAGCCACCACTCCCGGCCAAGACCCGCATCTCTAATTTTTTTAAAAAGACTATTTTCCCCGGAATACCTGCTAGATACTCTCCACGCCTTCTGTGTGGTCTTCTTACCTGCTCTTGAGGTAGGAGCCTCTTCTACAGATAAAGCCAACAAACAAAAACGATGCTCAGGCCAAAGAAGAAGATGCAGGCTCTGATAAAGACTGGCAGTGGGGAGGCGGGTGGGAGCCCGGAAACTTCAAGGTGTCACTGAAGCACAAGGTGACATCAGACAGGGAGAAGAAACAGGGGAGCTGGAGCAGGCGGAGATGGTGAAAGCCTGAACCGAGGGCATTCCAGGTGAGGAGAAAAACAAGAGAGAGACCCTGGAGGAGGAGGGAGGGAAATTAACTGAGCTGTGAAAAACCTGCCTGGGGCTGACCGGCTCTTGCACAGGGACGGGCCAGCTCGGGCAGGGACGGGCTTGCTGCCGGGAGGTACCCGTGCAGAAACAAGAAAGGAGCTCCTGCAGGGGCTGGCTAGGGAGCTGGTGGACAGCATCGGCCAGAGGAGCTCAAATCCGCCCTCAGCCCCAGGGGGCCGAGCTGCAAAAGCGACGTCAAATGGACAAAAATCCCACCGGGCACAGAAGTGCGACCAGCAAGTCTATGGGTTTAAAAATAAATGATGGGGCCGGGCGCGGTGGCTCACGCCTGTAATCGCAGCACTTGGAGAGGCTGAAGCCAGGTGGCTCACTTGAGGTCAGGAGTTCGAGACCAGCCTGGCCATTTTTTTTTTTTTTTTTTTGAGATGGAGTCTCACTCTGTCGCCCAGGCTGGAGTGCAATGGTGCGATCTCGGCTCACTGCAAGCTCCTCCTCCTGGGTTCAAGCAATTCTCCTGCCTCAGCCTCGCGAGTAGCTGGGATTACAGGGGTCCGCCACCACGCCCGGATAATTTTTGTATTTTTAGTAGAGACGGGGTTTCACCATGTTGGCCAGGATGGTCTCGATCTCTTGACCTCGTGATCCGCCTGCCTCAGGCTCCCAAAGTGCTGGGATGACAGGCGTGAGCCACCGTGCCCGGCCCGCACCAGTGCTGTTGATGGAGGCCCCAAAGTGGTAGCGACACAAGTGACCCTGGACGGATGCACGGATCAACGTAGCGTGGTCCATACACACCCCGGAGTATGATTCAGCCTTCAACAGCAGGCAATCCTGACACAGGCCACGATGAGGATGCACTTTGAGGACCTCAGTCTCAGTGAGAGAAGCCAGGCACAGAAGGACACATCCTCCGTGATCCACTCCTAAGAGGTTCCCAGAGCCCTCAGATTCACAGAGACGGAAAGTAGGATGGGGGCCGGGCACAGTGGCTCATGCCTGTAATCCCAGCACTTTGGGAGGCCGAGGCGGGTGGATCACCTGAGGTCAGGAGTTCACGACCAGCCTGGCCAACATGGAAAAACCTCGTCTCTACTAAAAATACAAAAATTGGACGGGCGCAGTGGCTCACGCCTGTAATCCCAACACTCTGGGAGGCCGAGGCGGGTGGATCACCTGAGGTCAGGAGTTCAACACCAGCCTGGCCAACATGGAGAAACCTTGTCTCTACTAAAAATACAAAAATTAGACAGGCGTGGCGGCACACGCCTGTAATCCCAGCTACTCAGGAGGCTGACGCAGGAGAATCGCTTGAACCCAGGAGGCAGAGGTTGCAGTGAGCCAAGATCGCACGACTGCACTCCAGCCTGGGTGACAAGAGCGAGACTCTGTCTAAAAAAAAAAAAGAAAGAAAAAAGAAAATAAAGTAGGATGGGAGTGCCAGGGGCTGGGGAGGGGGCTGGGGAGTCTGTGCTTCATGAGGACACAGTTTCAGTTTGGGAAGATGAGAAAGTTCTGGAGGGGACAGTGGTTGGTTAAATGTACCCAAAAAATGGTTAAACGGGGAAATTTTATGTTACATGTAATTTACCACAATGAAAAATGAAGAGAAGGCTGGGTGCAGTGGGTCACACCTGTAATCTCAGCACTTTGGGAGGCCGAGGCTGAAGGATAGCTTGAGCCTAGGGGTTGGAGACCAGCCTGGCCAATATAGCAAGACCCCATCTCTACAAAAAAATTTAAAAATCAGCCGGGCGTGGTGGCATGCACCTGTGGTCCCAGCTACTTGGGAGGTTGAGACAGGAGGATGGCTGGAACCCAGGAGGCAGAGGCTGCAGGGAGCTGTGATCGCACCACTGCACTCCAGCCTGGGTGACAGAGGGAGACCCTGTCTCAAAGTAAAGTAAGGGAAGCAAAACAAAAGAAAGTGAGAGAGGGGAAGCAGCTGAGAGTCAGAGACGGGGGACAGGGTGGGAAGTCACGAGGCCCCGTCCACTGTGTGTCAAACGTCGGATGCCCAGTAACGTCCGTGACCGCCCGGTGTCCTCCTCCCGAGACGAGGGCCTGGTGGGCAGGGGACGGCCTTGAACACCCAGCGACACCCTGCCGTTGTTTGCCCAGTGAAAAGAGGCCACTAAGAAAAGGGCCTTGGCAAAACAAAGGGCCCCATTCACTGTCCCCGCGAGAGGAGGCCTGAGCTCTTTCTCGCCAGAGCTCTCCTGTCCCGGCCCAGTTTCACTTTCCAAGGACACTCCAACCCCACCTCAGCCCCCACCGATATCCTGCTTTCCAACAATCCTCTGCCTTTACCAGACACTTCATCAGAGCGAGAATGTGGACCCAGGGGTGTCATCTTGGTCCCAGAGGCCAGGGGGCAGAAAGTGCCAGCTGTCAGGCAGTTTCCCAGCCGTGTGTGGTCTCTGTCTCAGCATTTTTTTTTTTTTTTGAGACAGAGTCTCACGCTGTCGCCCAGGCTGGAGTGCAGTGGTGCGATCTCAGCTCACTGCAACCTCCGCCACCCGCGTTCAAGCGATTCTCCTGCCTCAGCCTCCCGAGTAGCTGGGATTACAGGCACCCGCCACCACGCCTGGCTAATTCTTGTATTTTTAGTAGAGACGGGGTTTCACCACATTGGCCAGGCTGGTCTCCAACTACTGGCCTCAGGTGATCCACCCACCTCGGCCTCCCAAAGTGCTGGGATTATAGGCGTGAGCCACCGTACCCGGCCTCCCCCCTCCTTTTTAAAAATGTTGCATCTCAGGCAAAGCTGCGCTCAACACCCCGGCCCGGTGCCTGCTTGCTTCAGTCTCCAGCACTGGGATCCCGGCCAATCCCCGCAACACATTCGGGACCGGCAGGACGCATATGTCTCCAATCAGAAGGGAGATGTCTCTCCTGAGCTCTCTTCAGTGTTTGCCGCCAAGATGGGGAAGACGACGAGTTTCCAACACCCTGAAACGATCCCAAGGAGCGGAGCCTTTGTAGGGTGGGGTCAAAAGAGACTTTACTTACTTTTTTTCTTTCTTTTTTTTTTTTTTTTGAGACAGAGTCTCGCTCTCTCGCCCAGGGTGGAGTACAGTGGCACGATCTCGGCTCACTGCAAGCTCTGCCTCCCAGGTTCACACCATTCCCCTGCCTCAGCCTCCTGAGTAGCTGGGACTACAGGCGCCCGCCACCACATCCAGCTAACTTTTTGTATTTTTTAGTAGAGACGGGGTTTCACCGTGTTAGCCAGGATGGTCTCGATCTCCTGACCTCGTGATCCGCCCGCCTCGGCCTCCCAAAGTGCTGGGATTACAGGCGTGAGCCACCGCGCCTGGCCACTTTTTTTCTTTTTTTTTTTTTTGAGACAAGGTCTGGCTCTGTCACCCACACTGGAGTGCAGGGGCATGATCTTGGCTCACTGCAGCCTCAACTTCCTGGGCTCAAGCGACCCTCCTGCCTCGGACTCCCGAGTAGCTGGGATTACAGGCATGCGCCACTATACTCAGTTAATTTTTTTCTCTTTTTTGTAGAGATGGTGTCTTACTATGTTGTCCAGGCTGGTCTCAAGCTCCTGGGCTCAAGCAATCCTCTCATCTTGGCCTCCCAAAGTGCTGGGGTTAGGCTGGGCATGGTGGCTCACACCTGTAATGCCAGCACTTTGGGAGGCCGAGGCGGGTGGATCACCTGAGGTCAGGAGTTCGAGACCAGCCTGGCCAACATGGAGAAACCCTGCCTCTACTAAAAATACAAAATTAGCCAGGCATGGTGGCCCATGCCTGTAATCCCAGCTAGTTGGGAGGTTGAGGTAGGAGAATCGCTTGAGCCCGGGAGGCAGAGGTTGCGGTGAGCCGAGATCGCACCATTGCACTCCAGCCTGGGCAACAAGAGTGAAACTCCATCTCAAAAAACAAACAAACAAAAAAAAGTGCTGGCATGACAGGAGTAAGCCACCAGCCTGGCCAAGAAGTTTAAATCATGATGCCGGGCGCGGTGGCTCACGCCTGTAATTCCAGCACTTTGGGAGGCCGAGGCAGGCAGATCACATGGTCAGGAGTTCGAGACCAGCCTGGCCAACACGGCGAAACCCCATCTCTACTAAAAATACAAAAAATTAGCCGGGCAAGGTGGCACGCACCTGTAATCCCAACTATTTGGGAGGCTGAGGCAGGAGAATCAGTTGAACCTGAGTGAGCTGAGATCGTGCCACTGTACTCCAACCTGGGCAACAAGAACAAAACTCTGCCTCCAGATAAAATAGCCGGGCGCGGTGGCTCACGCCTGTAATCCCAGCACTTTGGGAGGCCGAGCTGGGCAGATCACAAGGTCAGGAGATCGAGACTATCCTGGCTAACACGGTGAAACCCCGTCCCTACTAAAAATAACAAAAAATTAGCCGGGCATGGTGGCGGGTGCCTGTAGTCCCAGTTACTCGGGAGGCTGAGGCAGGAGAATGGTGTAAACCCAGGAGGTGGAGCTTGCAGTGAGCCAAGATCGCGCCACTGCACTCCAGCCTGGGCGACAGAGCGAGACTCCGTCTCAACAAAAGAAAAAAGAAATCATGATGCAAAGATGAAAAGCAAAGTTTGCCGTACGAAGGATGGAGTCGGTGTCAGTGCTCTGGGGAAGTGGGGAGTTCCCTCAGCAAGAATGACCTCAGAGTAGCTGGTAGGTGGGCTAAGGCCACCTGGGCTGGGAGAACCAGGTTAACAGCACCAGTAGGAAGTCACCAGGGTCTCAAGGATCCCCAGCAGGGAGAGAGCAACAGGGCACCTCACCCCTACGTGTTCTTTCCCGAAACCCGTAACCCCGGTCTGATCACGAGAGAAATATCTGACAAACCTAGATCAGAAGTAAGTCTGCACAATACCCAGCCGGTCCCCCTAAGACCGTCCAGGTCACGAGAGGTAACGAACATCTAAGACATGGTCCCAACCTGGAAGAACCCCCGGAGACGAGCCGGCTAAATGTCACGTGGGATTCTAGATGGGTCCTGGGGCAGGAAAGGACATTAGGGGAAGATTAATGACATTTGAATAAAGTGTGGAGTTGAGAGAAATGAACCCATTGTTAGCCGGGCACAGTGGCTCCCGTCTGTCCTCCTAACACTTTGGGAGTCCGGGGTGGCAGGATCACTTGTGTTCAGGAGTTCGAGACCAGCCTAGGCAAAATAGCGAGACCTCATCTCTACAATAAAACAAAAATTAGCCAGGCACGGGGTTGCGTGCCTGTGGTCCCAGCTACTCAGGAGGCTGAGGTGGGAGGATCGCTTGAGCCCAGGAGTTGGAGGCTACAGTGAGCCATGATCACTCCACTGCACTTAGCCTGGGCGACAGAGTAAGACTCTGTCTCAAAAAAAAATGTAAATGTAAATTTAAAAAATATTACTTTTAATGGCAAAGACCACAATTATGTTTGCCCCAACATAATAAATACATACAATAAATAAATAAATAAGAAAAAAATAAACAAAAATAAAAATAATGCAAAAAAAAAGGGGGAAAAAAATGCCAATCATACTATGCATGGCACCGTGTTATAGGGGAAAAAAAATAATTATATAAAATTGTTCCCAAATCATTAAGCCCTTCTCATTATGGAGGCTACAGGAATAAACGCTCCTAACAAGACCACATTTGGGCCGGGCTCGGTGGGCCTCCCAGCACTTTGGGAGGCCAAGGCGGGTGGATCACCTGAGGTCAGAAGTTCGAGACCAGCCTGGCCATCATGGTGAAACCCCGTCTCTACTAAAAATACAAAAAATAGCCGGGTGTGGTGGTGGACGCCTGTAATCCCAGCTACTCAGGAGGCTAAGGCAGGAGGATCACTTGAACCTGGGAGGCGGAGGCTGCAGTGAGCTGAGATGGCGCCATTGCACTCCAGCCTGGGCTACAGAGTGAGACTCCAACTCAAAAAAAAAAAAAAAAAAAAAAAAAAACCATATTCGATGCAATTCTCTGAAGTTAACTGTTAGAGCTCTGACAACACAGAGGCTGAAATGACATGACAAATGCTAAAGTACAAAGTTCCAAGATCAAGTCCCAGCATGACCACTAACTCGTGAAACCTCCAGACCTCAGTTTTCCCATGCATAAAGCGTGCGAGATGGACTCGAGGGCCAACACGCTTTTTCGGTAAGAGTCCAGATACCCAGTGTTTTCAGCCTTGCGGTGGAGCCACTCTCTACGGCAACGACTTAACTACACCATGGTAGCAGAATACACAGAGCAGTGTGCCAATAAAACATTATTTCTGGACACTAAAATCTGAATGCCATATAATTGTCATGTGTCATGGCCTTTTCTTTGACTTTTGTTTTTTGCTTCTTTTGGCGGCGGGTAGAAGCAGGGCTTCCTTTGACTTTTTTTTCCAACCATTTAAAAATGGAGGCCGGGCACGGTGGCTCACGTCTGTAATCCCAGCACTTTGGGAGGCCGAAGCGAAAGGATCACTTGAGGTCAGGAGTTCGAGACCAGCCTGGCCAACATGGTGAAACCCCATCTCTACTAAAAATACAAAAATTAGCCGAGTGTGGTGTCAGGCGCTTGTAATCCCAGCTACCCGGGAGGCTGAGGCAGGAGAATGGCCTGAACCGGGAGGCAGAGTTTGCAGTGAGCCGAGATCACACCACTGCACTCCAACCTAGGTGACAGAACGAGATTCTGTCTCAAAAAATAAAATAAAATAAAAATAAAAATGGGATAATCATTCTTAGCCCAGGGGCCATATATAAAACCAGGCTGTGGGCCAGAGGTGGCCCAAGGGCGGTGGTTACTGACTCCTGGACTGGACGTGCTCCAAGCCCCTTCCTCAGCTGCCTTTCTAAGATTCTCTGATTACAAATCCATGTGAGTTTTTCTATTTCAACCTGTTGGCTCAGGTCTTTTTTTTTTTCTTCTTGAGACAGGGTCTTGCTCTGTCGCCCAGGCTGGAGTGCAGTGGCACAATCTTGGCTCACTGCAGCCTCCACCTCCCAGATTCAAGCAATACTCCCACCTCAGCCTCCTGAGTATCTGGGGTTACAGGCACGCACCACCACGCCCAACTAAGCTTTGTATTGTTAATAAAGACGGGGTTTCACCATGTTGGCCAGGCTGGTCTCGAACTTCTGACCTCAAGTTATCCACCCACCTCAGACTCCCAAACTGCTGGGATTACAGGTGCGAGCCACCGCGCCCGGCCAGGGCAGTGAAACTATAGGATACCACAATGGTGGACACGTATCCTTACACCCTTCTCCAAACCCGTAGAATCTTCAACACCAAGAGTAAACTCCAATAGAGACTGGGGACTCTGGGTGACAATGATGTGTCAACGTGGGTTCATCCATTGTGATTATAACGAATGTACCACTGTGGTACGGGGTGCTGGTAATGGGGGAGGCTGTGCCTGTGGGTTGCAGGGAGGTGTATGGGAACTTTCTGTTCTTACCGCTCGATTTTGCTGTAAACCTAAAATAGCTCTAAAAAAATAAAGTCTATTTAAAAACCCAACTGTATCTTTGTACTTTAATGCAATAAAAGAATCATAAAATCATTAGAAATGGTTTCGGCCTGGCTCAGTAACGCATATCCGTAATCCCAGCACTTTGGGAGGACGGGACCAGAGGATTGCTTGAGCTCAGGAGTTTGAGACCAACCTGGGCAACATGGCGAGACCCCATCTCTACTAAAAATGGAAAAATTAGCCAGTCGTGGTGTTACATGCTTATAGTCCCAGCTACTCAGGAGGCTGAGGTGGGAGAATCACTTGAGCCTGGGAGGCGGAGGTTGCAGTGAACCAAGATTGCATCACTACACTCCGGCCTGGGCAACAGAGCAAGACTCTGTCTCAAAAAAAATAAAAATTAAAAAAATAATAATAAAAGGAAAAGAGCCGGGCGTGGTGGCTCACGCCTGTAATCCCAGCACTTTGGGAAGCCGAGGTGGAAGGATCACCTGAGGTCAGGAGTTCGAGACCAGCCTGGCCAACATGGTGAAACCCCGTTTCTACTAAAAATACCAAAATTAGCTGGGCGTGGTGGCACACGCCTGTAATCCCAGCTACTCGGGAGGCTGAGGCAGGAGAATTGCTTGAACCCGGGAGGCGGAGGTTGCAGTGAGCTGAGATCATGCCACCGCACTCCAGCCTGGGCAGCAGAGCAAGATTGCATCTCAAAAAAAAAAAAAAAAAGAGGAGGGAAATTTCCACGGACACCCGGGGAGAAGGCCTTTTGTGATGACAGAGGCAGAAATTGGATCAATGAGGCCATAAGCCAAGGACTCCTGGAGCCCCCAGGGGGTGGGGGAGGCAGTACGCCTCCTTCCCTGGAGCCTCTAGAAGGAGCGCAGCCCTGCTCACACCGTGACTTCAGACTCCTGGTCTCCAGAACCATGAGACAATACATTTCTGTTATTTTACCACCCGGTCTGTGGTCATTCATGACGGCGGCAGCCCCAGGCTCCTCCTACAACTGGGTACTGCCAAGGCCAGCGAAGTCCAGGCCTTACTTTCCGACCACATTGAAGCCACAGCCGTCTCTGTGCCCAGCAGACTCTGCCAGGACATCTGCATTTGAACTTGGCTGGATTCACCTCTTTTCTTTGATTCCTCCTGGCTTTGTTGTCCATCAAGTTAGGGAGTTTTTTAAGAAGGCCAGGGGAGGCCGGGCGCGGTGGCTCACGCCTGTAATCCCAGCACTTTGGGAGGCCGAGGTAGGCAGATCATGAGGTCAGGAGATCGAGACCATCCTGGCTAACACGGTGAAACCCCATCTCTACTAAAAATACAAAAAATCAGCCGGGTGTGGTGGCGGGCGTCTGTAGTCCCAGCTACTCGGGAGGCTGAGGCAGGAGAATGGCGTGAACCCGGGAGGTGGAGCTTGCAGTGAGCCGAGATCGCGCCACTGCACTCCAGCCTGGGCGACAGAGTGAGACTCCATCTCGAAAAAAAAAAAAAAGAAGGCCAGGGGCAGCAGTCTTGGGCTTGTCAACAAAGGTCAAATGAACAATGAAGTCCGACGTGGTGGCTCACACCTGTAATTCTAGAATGTGGGCCGGCTGCGGTGGGCGAATCACTTGAGCCCAGGAGTTCAAGACCAGCCTGGACAACACAGCAAGACCCGGTCTCTACAAAAGATACAAAAATTAGCCAGGTGTGGTGGTACATGCTTGTGGTCTTGGCCATCTGGGAGGCTGAGGCAGGAGGATCACTTGAACCTGGGAGTTCAAGGCTGCAGTGAGCTGCGATTGTGCCACTGCACTCCAGCCTGGGTAACGGAGTAAGCCCCTATCTCATTAAAAAGAAAAGTAGATGTTCAGCCAGGCACAGTGGTTCATGTCTGTAATCCCAACACTTTGGGAGTCTGAAGTGGGTGGATCACTTGAGCTCAGGGGTTCAAGACCAGCCTGGGCAACATAGTGAGACTCCATCTCTACAAAAAATTAGCCGGATATGGTGACATGTGCCTGTAGTCCCAGCTACTCTGGAGGCTGAGGCAGGAGGATCGCTTGAGCCCAGGAGTTTGAGACCAGTCTAGGCAACATAGCAATATCCTATCTTTACAAAAAAAAAAAATTAGCTGGGCATAGTGATCTCTGCCTGTATTCCCAGCTACTCAGGAGGTCGAGGTGGGAGGATTGCTTGAGCCAGGGAGGTGGAGGTTGCAGTGAGCCAAGATCACACCACTGTACTCCAGCCTGGGTGACAGAGCGAGACTCTGCCTCAAAAAAAAAAAAAAAGAAAGAAAGAAAAAAAGAAAGAAAAGAAAAGCAGACTTTCAACTAATTAACATACATCAAAGGTAGTCTTTTTCTACTTTACCATCTTCCAAAGAGTAACTGTACAGAAACTCCAAAAAGGTAGCCATTTCTGCAAACCAGGGTCTCTCCCCTGGGCACTGTGGACATCGGAGCTCTGGACTATTCTCTGGGGTGCGGCCATCCTGGGCACTGCAGGGCGCTGAGCAGTGTCCATGGCATCCACCCACTCCATGCCAGGAGCAGCCCCGGTTGTGACAGCCACAAATGTCCCCAGACGTTGCTCAGTGTCCCCTGAAGGCCAGAATCACCCCCAGGGACAAGCTCTGATTTAGGGCATGGCTGGACATGAGACAGAGACAGCACCAGATAAATGCGTCAAGGGTTAAAGAATGAACGCCCACATTCTACCCACAACCCCCCCAAGTCTCTAATCAAATGCCGCCTCCTCTTGGAGGCTCTCAGAGGTCGAGGTCCCTGTCTTCATTTTGTAAACCCATCACTCGACACAATATCAGACACTTAATATTGTGTTGTGAACGTTAATAAATGTCTGTAAAATAAATGACTCTGACCTTGAAACGGCAATGTCTCTATGCCTAAGAAATCTTGGTTGTTTGAGGATAAAATTATCTTCCTTTCTCTCTCTGGGGTTGGGCTACATTTGAGATTGTAAGGCTGGGTAAGCACAGGGGATTTGGGTCAGAAATGTCAAGGCTATCTGGAATTGGTGACACTATTTTTGGAGGAATCTACATTTTGGGGAGATTTTTTTGTTGCTTTTTTTTGGGGGGGGGCAGGGAATAGCACTTAACTAGTTCAACCATAGTTTTTAGGGGAAAAAAAAAAGTTTTAGTTGAAAGGATCTGTTCTACCATAGCCTGGTATAGAGCAGTGGTTCTCAACCCCAGATGACTGTGGACAATGTCTGGGGACATCGGTGGCTGTCACAACTCAGAGATGCTCCTGGCGTGGAGTGGGTGGAGCCCAGAGACGCTGCTCAGCACCCTGCAGTGCCCAGGACGGCCCCACCCCAGAGAACAATCCGGTCCCCCCTATCTGCAGTACTAAGAGGGAGCCCCTACATTATTTGGGAAAAAAATCAAGTCTGCTTCCTGATCACACTAGACACCAGAATAAACTCCCAATGGGGCAGACAGTGTAAATCAGGGGGACCCCCAGCTTCTGGGGCTCACCTCCTCTCTCCCTCCCCACTCAGGGTGTGGATTTCAATGTGTGCAGCCTCCTGGGACCTCAGCAGGGCAGAGGATCATGGGACGCGGAGTCTCTTGGAGTCCGTGGACTCCCCTAGCCCAGGTGTGATCTGCTCCCTGAGGGACACTGGGCTATGTCTGGGGACATCTGTGGTTGTCACAACTGGAGGTGCTCCTGGCGTGGAGTGGGTGGAGGCCAGGGACGCTGCTCGGCACCTCAGGACCTGCAGTGCCCAGGACAGCCCTGCCCCAGAAAATGACCCTACTCAGGCCATCACAGGGTAGGGTTGAACTCGAGCTCAGGAGTTCGAGACCAGCCTAGGCAATACAGGGGGACCTCCACGTTTACAAAAAAAAGTTTTAATTAGCTGGGCATGGTGGCGTGCATCTGTAGTCCCAGCTACTCTGGGAGGCTGAGGTGGGAGGATTGCTTGAGCCCGGAGTTTGAGGCTGCAGTGAGCCAGGCTGAGAAAATGTGTGGTGAGTGGCATGGGGAGACCTAGCGCCCTCTGTGTACCCACCAAGATGGGCCAGTCTCCACCAATCCGTTCCCTGGCAAACTTGTATTCTACTCAAAGCTTCCTCGTGGCCTCCTGTCTGGACCTTCCGCAGCCCCCTCTCTACCCCCCTGGACGACTTCTTATCACCCCTGCACCTATTCAGCTCCTAGAACACACAGGCCCGAGGCCCCCACCTCTGTGCCACCCTGGGCTCAGGCCCCTCTGACCCAGACTGCCATCTCCACGGCCCCCACACCAGCACACAGATGCCTCATTCACGTGGTGCTCCCAGGGCCTGGCACCAGTTCTGAGGCTTAAAATAGGCACACAACGGGCCTTTGTCGGATAGAGGAAGGAAGGAAGGAGCGTTTCAGACAAAGGAGACAGCAACAGCAGCGTCCAGGAAACCCAGGGGCACCGGGGAGGTGGATGGAGCCAAGTGGGGGTGGGGTACTTGAAGGGTCAGAGGGCAGGGCCAGGCCATGCAGGACCCTGAAGACCCCATGAGGAACTGGGGTGCCATCATGTGGGTGCTGACTTGATAGGAGGCAGGGAAGTGACCGTCTGATCAGTGCCCAGGAAGCTTACTAGGAAGGTCCTGCTGGAGCTGGAGAAACCAGAGGCTGATTCGTCACCTCGGAGTCTCCCGCCAGGGATGATGAGGCTCTCGGCTCAAGAGGGAGCACTGAGATGGGAAAGAAAGCAGACAGAAGGGGCCGGGCATGGGGGCTCACGCCTGTAATCCCAGCACTTTGGGAGGCCGAGGCGGGCAGATCACCTGAGGTCAGGAGTTCGAGACCAGCCTGGGCAACATGGTGAAACCCTGTTTCTACTAAACATAAAAATTATCTGGGTGTGGTGGTGCATGCCTGTAATCCCAGCTACTCGGGAGGCTGAGGCAGGAGAATCACTGGAACCTGGGAGGTGGAGGTTGCAGTGAGCCGAGATTGCACCACTGCACTCCAGCCCGGGAGACAGAGCAAGACTCCGTCAAAAAAAAAGAAAAGAGAGAAAGAGAGAGAGGAGAGAGAGGGGAGAGAGGGGAGAGAGGGAAGAGAGGAGAGAGAGGAGAGAGAGAAAGAAAAAGAAAAAAGAAAGAAAGAGAAGGAGAGAAAGAAAAAGAGAGAGAGAGAAAGAAAGAAAGAAAGAAAGAAAGAAAGAAAGAAAGAAAGAAAGAAAGAAAGAAAAGAAAGAAAAGAAAGAAAGAAAGGAAAGGAAGGGAAGAAAGAAAGGAAAGACGAAGGAAGAAGGAAGGAAGGAAGGAAAGAAAGAAAGAAAGAGAAAGAAAGAACCACTAAACAAACATCCCAAGCTTCAGTGCAGTGGACTGCCTGTGCCCAGGAAAAAGCCATTTACATCCCAGCACTGTGCTCCATTGCCCAAAGGCAAAAGCGGCCGAGCGTGTGTTGCTGAATGGATGGATGAGCACAGCCCGGCCTGTCCACGCACCGGAACACGACTCAGCCCTGAAAAGGGTCGAGGCTCTGACGCAGGCCACAGCACGGATGCACCTTGAGCATGTCACACGCAGTGAGAGACACCAGACACAAAAGGCCACACAGTGTGTGACCCATTTCTTTGAAATGTCTAGGACAGGCCAGTCCAGAGACAGGAGGGAGAGGCGTGGGTGCCAGGGCTGGGGGAGGGGGTGGAGAGTCCCCCTCATGGGGACAAAAGATTTTACTAGGTGATGGAATGTTTTTTTGTTTGTTTGTTTTTTGAGACAGAGTCTCGCTCTGTTGCCCAGGCTGGAGTGCAGTGCTCACCGCAACCTCCGCCTCCCAGGTTCAAGCGATTCTCCTGCCTCAGCCTCCTGAGTAGCTGGGATTACAGGCGCCCGGCTAATTTTTGTATTTTTACTAGCGACAGGGTTTCGCCATGTTGGCCAGACTGGTCTCGAACTCCTGACCTCAACTGATCCACCTGCTTCGGCCTCCCAAAATGCTGGGATCACAGGAATGTTCTGAAAGGGGCTTATAGGGATGTTTGCACAGCTGATAAACTTATTTAAAAGATGGAATTGCATCCTTAAAAGGTCTGAATGTTATGAAGTGTAAATTATACCTCAATTTTTGTCATAAAAAGCAGTAAGACTTTTCCTTTTGCGAGGTTCAAGTAACTGTTCGTGGAAGCGTCTCGGAGCTGCCCACGAACCCCACCGCCCATCCGTGTCAGGAGCCGATGTGGGGGAGCAACCACACAGAGAGAGCGTGGCCCACTCACGCCGCAGGATGGGGGAGGAGGAGGACAGGAGTGACCCCTCGGGGGCCGCTGTGTGACTGAGGATGGGTCAGCCCATCTCCTTAGCTCTCACACTCATCGGTAGGGTCTCCTGGGTGACGTAAACCATGAACACTTTTCTCTAACCCTTAAGAGACAGAGGCCAGGCCAAAGAGTGCATGTATAAAAAGCAGTGACAAGTGAAGTCAAGAAATGTCAACGAGCGGGGAGAGGCGCCCGACATCAACAAGGACGCAGAATTGCAGAAATCAGCCGTGAAAGGACACAGCGGCCGGGCGCGGTGGCTCACGCCTGTCACCCCAGCACTTTGGGAGGCTGAGGTGGGTGGATGACCTAAGGTCAGGAGTTCGAGGCCAGCCTGGCCAACATGGTGAGGGCCCCGTCCCCCCCCCCGCCCGTCTCTACTAAAAATACAAAAATTAGCCGGGCGTGGTGGCACATGCCTGTAATGGAAGCTACTCGGGAGGCTGGGGCAGGAGAATCGCTTGAACCCGGGAGGCGGAGGTTGCAATGAGACAAGATGGCGCCACTGCACTCCAGCCTGGGCAATGAACGAGACCACATCTCAAAAACAAAAGACAGGCCGGGTGCGGGGGCTCATGCTTATAATCCCAGCACTTTGGGAGGTCGAGGCAGGTGGATCACCAGAGGTCAGGAGTTCCAGACCAGCCTGGCTAACATGGTGAAACTCCGTCTCTACTAAAAATACAAAAATTAGCTGGGTGTGGTGGTGGGTGCCTGTAGTCCCAGCTACTCGGGAGGCTGAGGCAGGAGAATGGCTTGAACCCAGGAGGCAGAGGTTGCAGTGAGCCGAGATCGCACCACTGTACTCCAGCCCGGGCAACGGAATGAGACCATGTCTCAAAAAAAAAAGGACAGGCCGGGCGCGGTGGCTCACGCCTGTAATCCCAACACTTTGGGAGGCCGAGGTAGGTGGATCACCTGAGGTCAGGAGTTTGAGACCAGCCTGGGCAATATGGTGAAACCCCGTCTCTACTAAAAATATAAAAATTAGCCGGGTGCAGTGGTGTACGCCCATAATCCCAGCTACTCGAGAGGATGAGGCAGAAGAATTGCTTGAGCCCTGGAGGCGGAGGTTGCAGTGAGCCAAGATTGCACCATTGCACTCCAGCCTTGGTGACAGAGAAAGACTGTGTTTCAAAAAAGAAAAAAAAAAGAAAGAAAAGAAAAAAAGAAAGCACCAGCTCCCAAGCCTATAGAGACCAGGCACGACCTTCCTGTAAGAAACCATGAAGCATCTTCAAAAATACAAATGACTCTGGATACGATTTTAAAGACCATCGCTGCTTCCAGATGGAACTGAAAAAATCCGAATAACACCTTGAATGAAGAAAGGAGTGTTTTCCACTACTATCGGTGAACAAGAAAAATGCCTCCATTCAGTAAACACGAAGCTGAATTGTCTACACGTGAGGGTAATTTGTGTTTAGTTCTCTTTGCCTTCAAACAGTGGGGCCCCAGGGTTTACGAAGCATGAAACAAGAACAGAAAATAACGGTATCGGTCAAAGGATGTTTTCTAAATAAAGCTCCTCTGTAAGATCGAGACGCACCTGCAGAATTTGAGCTTCGTTGGAAGCTTCACGTTCCAGGTTAAAACCAAGAAAGCACATTGCAAACATTGTCATCTTCCAATGCTTGCAACTGACAACTTCAGGCCATCTTCTAAATCAGTACTAAGTGTTCAAAAGCCACATAAAAGGCCCACCTAGAAAGGAGTAGCCTTTTTTTTTTTTTTTTTTTGAGACAGAGTCTCACTCTGTGGCCCAGGCTGGAGTGCAGTGGTGCAATCTCAGCTCACTGCAACCTCTGCCTCCTGGGTTCAGGTGATTCTCCTGCCTCAGCCCCCCAAGTAGCTGGGATTACAGGCGTGTGCTACCACGCCCAGTTAGTTTTTGTATTTTTAGTACAGATGGGGTTTCACCATGTTGGCCAGGATGGTCTTGAATTCCTGACCTCAAGTGATCCACCCACTTCGGCCTCCCAAAGTGCTGAGATTACAGGCGTGAGCCACCGCACCCAGCCATAAGTAGGCATTTCTAATGTTTTCTAAAAGCAGTGAGACCTTACTTCTCCCCTCTCCGAATGACAGCACTAAATGACTTAAAAGCAATCCTCAATTCTGAATGACCCCACTTCCTGCACATCAAAGGGGAGATGAGGTCGTTAAAGGAGAAAATAAATCAGTTTTGTCTATAACAAGGGTTCCACACTGGAGTATCTCTGTCCCTACAGGACGCTGGGTGATATCCGGAGACATCTGTGGTTGTCACAATGCGGGGAGCTCCTGGTGTGGAGTGGGTGGAGGTCAGGGATGCTGCTCGGCACCCTGCAGTGCCCAGAAGGCCCCACCCCAGAGGACAATCAGATCCCAAATGTCCGCAGCGCTGGGATAGAGAGACCCAGACGCACCCCATGAACTGAAGTTGTAAACTCAAAATTTCAAGCGTATAATCACAGCTCGATGTGGTTCCTTACGGGGTGCCCCTAATCAGAATGACCCAGGCAGCCTTCTCTTGAACAGGTGCATCTGTTACTTAACGAGCTTTGAGACTCTCCTGCCACCAGGTGTGGGCAAAGTCTTCTTTCTTTTCAGTTTTTTACTCACTTTTAATAATATGGAAACAGGCTCCATATTTGAGACTCTGTCTCAACATAATAATAATAATAACAATAATAATAAGACATATTTTTGTTGTTGTTGCAGTCCTTTTTTTTTTTTTCCTTTATTTTTTTGAGGCAGAGTCTCTCTCTGTTGCCCAGGCTGGAGTGCAATGGCGTGATCTTGGCTCACTGCAACCTCCACCTCCTGGGTTCAAGCGATTCTCCTGCTTCAGCCTCCCAAGTAGCTGGGATTACAGGCAAACGCCACTATGCCCAGCTAATTTTTGATATTTTTAGTAGAGACAGGTTTTCGCTATATTGGCCAGGCTGGTCTCAAACTCCTGACCTCAGGTGATCCACCCGCCTCGGCCTCCCAAAGCGCGGGGATTACAGGCATGAGCCACCACAACCAGCCATGCAGGTTATTTTTTAAAGCTTCTGGGGGTGACCCTGATGTGTGCTCCTAAGGTTGCAGGACTAGAGTCAAGTTCCAGTCACTTCCTTTCCTCTCCTCTGTGACAACCCAGTCATCCCACTCCTCCATCTCCAAACCCACCAAAGAAAAAAACTGGATTGAGTCCATTATTCTCCATGCTTCAGGTACCCTCACTATATGCTAGGAAATAGTCCATGCATACATCCCGTAATTCGACCCTGAGAGGCACATGCTACTGTTTTTATTATTCCCGCTTTGCAGGGGAGTAAACAACACCTCCAAAAGATGATACAGCCAAATCCGCAGCGAGAGGCTGGGTCGGAACACACACAGGCGCACCTCCCAGAGGCCCCCGACACTCCATCAAGGCAAGATCGCAGCATCCCACGACGGGAACAAGTTTGTGAACTTGGCATTTGCCTCGCTGACACCTAGCAACCGTGTGAAGACGCTTAGCTGGGGATCCGCTGCCTCTGTTCATCAAGCCTGTCTTCCACCGCCCACCTCCCAACCCCTAGCAACCCCCGCTCCCCAGGAAAAATAAAGTGCCACCCACGTCGCTCAATAGCACCGTCCCAAAAACTCCCACTTTAGTTCCTGAAAAATTCAGTCACCGACAGGAGCCTTTCTCCTTCCTGAAGCGTTCTCCTTGGCACCCTATATCCTAGAAATAAACCTCAAAAAGTATTCCGAACTCCCGTCTCCTTCAACTCACTGTTCCCCAGGGGGTTCTGCCCCGTGCCCAGTTCTAGAGCAAACAATTAACATCTCCCCCAAAAGTAGAGGGGTGAGTCCTCTCCAAATTCCTTTTAACTGGATCCTACCTGAGACACCTCCCCACACCCCGTTTTCCTCCTGATTAGTCAATGTCTAGCAAAACACCTGCCCCCAGGTGTCTCCAGCCTGGGACCTTACCCCCACCTCCCTTCTCACTAACTCACCCCAACTTCCTTCTCCCTGAACCCCCTTCCACCCCACACACTCACAAGCTCCCCATTTCCCCTGATAGCCCCCAGACCCTTTCTGGAACAAGCCTGACCCCCACCTGTATGCTCCAGCCACTCCCTGGCTCACCCCAGCTTTGTCCTTCTGCCCCTTTTCAGCTAACCCTAACCCCTGGGCCGTCAATCACACCCCCCCATCTTCACCAACCCCATTCCTCAGTCCTCTCCCCAGACAACCTCAACATCTAATTCCCTCTGCAGCCCCCTCTCCAATGAACCCCACTTCAAACTCCATCCCCAGCCCCCTCTCCAGCTCCCTGCAAACCTCAACCCCACTCCCAGCTCCCTCTTCAAAGAAGCTGCACCCTTGACTCAACCCCTGTTCCCCGCTCCAATTAACCTCAACCCCCAACACCATCCCCAGCGTCCTCCCCAGCTAACTCAGATTTCCAATTCCACTTCCAGCCCCCTCCCCAGCTAACCTCGACCTACAATTCCAGCCCCCTCCCCAGCTAGCTTGGACCTCCAATCCCACTCCAAGCCCCCTCGGCAGCTAACCTCGACCTGCGACTCTAGCCCCCTCCCCAGCAAACTCAAGACCTCCAATTCCACCACCAGCCCCTTCCTAGCTAACCTGGACCTGCAATTCCAGACCCCTCCCCAGCCAACTCAGACCTCCAATCCCGCTCCAAGCTCCCTCCCCAGCTAACCTCGACCTGCAACTCCAGTCCCCTCCCCAGATAACTCAGACCTCCAGTCTCACCCCCAGCCCCCTCCTCAGCTAACTCAGACCTCCAATCCCACCTCCAGCCCCCTCCCCAGCTAACCTGGACCTGCAACTCCAGCCTCCTCCCCAGCTGGCCCTGATTTCTAAGTGGAGTCCCAATGCCCAGACCCAATCCTTCCCCAGCTAACCTCGATCTGCACCCCCTGCCCCGTCCCCAGCTAACCTCGACCTGCAACTCCCGCCCCCTCCCCAGCTAGCCCTGAGCCCCAAGTGCAGTCCCAATCCCCAACCCCAGCCCCTCCCCAGCTAACTTCGACCCCCTAAGCGCAGCCCCGTCCCCAATTCCAACCCCAGCCTCCAGTTGCAGCCCGGGTCCCCAGACCCAGCCCCCCTCCTCAGCCGACTCCGACCCCCAACTCGGTCCGCAGCCGAATCCGAGCTGTCCCAGTCCCCTCTCCGGGACGCCGGCCGCGCCCTCACTTCCCCTGGCCCGGTTCGCGGGCGCCCTTACCTGCGCTCGGGCCCCGCGGCCGCCTCAGCCCCGCCGCGCAGCCGAACCCTCCGCCCCGGCCCGCGAGCGCTCGCTCCCCTCTGCGGGGGCGGGGCCGACACTCGGGGGGCGGGCCCTGGCGTCCCGGCAAGGCCAATCGCGAGCCCCGGCTGCGGGAGGCCGGAGCGGGGGCGGGGCGCGGGGCAGGCAGCGGGGTAGGCTGCGCCCAGGAGAGTGGGGCGGGGCTCCGGGCGCGGGCGGGGCCGGGGGCGGGGCGAAGAGCGGCTTTCCAGGGTGACTTCGTGACGTCAGGAAGGCGCGAGTAGTTTCGCGAGTTCGAATCCCGCGCTAGGTGAGCTGGTTCGAATCCTGCATGCCAGCTCCGGGGGCTCATTTGCTGGGGAAGAATGTCAGTGATCATAACTGCTGCACCGCTTTCTTGAAGACTTTATAGGCTCCCTCTCGTGGGACCCTCCGCATAAGGCCAGAAGGCGAGATTACTATCCACATTTTACAGAGGTGGAAACTGGGTCTCAGAAAGGTGAAACCTAAGGTCATTTGCCCAAGCCTGTCTCATCATTTCCAAGATTTCTCAGTTTCCTAACTCATGGCCCTGGATCCACAAATTCCTGAGCCCCAACACAGATGGAATGAACCAGAATCCTATAGGGAACTGGACCCTGAAATCTGTGTTTTGTTTAGTTTTCGTTTTGTTTTTGAGACAGGGTATCACTCAATTGCCGTGGCTGGACTGCAGTGGTGCAGTCATAGCTCACTGCAGCTTTGAAGTCCCAGGCTCAAGCAGTCCTTCCACCTCAGCCTTCCGGGTAGCTGGGGCCACAGGCACGCACCACCACATCCAGCTAATTTTTGTATTATTAGTAGAGACAGGGTTTCACCGTTTTGGCCAGGCTGGTCTCCAACTCCTGACCTCAGGTGATCCACCTTTCTTGGCCTCCCATAGTGCTGGGATTACAGGCGTGAGCCACCGTGCCTGGCCCTGGCTAATTTTTTTTTGTTAGAGATGGGGTCTTGCTATGTTGCCCAAACTGGTCTTGAACTCCTGGGCTCAAGTGATTCTCCTGCCTCTGCCTCCCAAAATGCTTGGATTACAGGCCTGGAATCTTCATTTTCCACAAGCTCCCTTGGGAATATTGGAAAACACTTTGTATGTCTCCAAAAGCAGTACACAGCCCTGGAAGGAAGATGGAGCCACCATATTCTGTGACCTCAGGGATTTCATCAGGCGCTGACACTGTGTGTCCTTGCCGCCCCACCTGAGCCCTGGGATTGGAGCTGCTGGCCAAAATCCAAGATAAACTTCCCCAGGGTTCCTGTCATCCCTGCAAGAACCTCCCTGCTCATCCTCTGGACTCCAGTGGCCTGCCCTGCAGGGCACAGAGAAACCTCCATCTCCCTGCTTGCCCTCCTCCAGGCTCTCCCCAGCTGGCATCCCCCAAGAGGAATGACTGTCTAGATAGAGCTTGGGAAGGGCACGGTGGCTCACGACTGTATTCCCAGCACTTTGGGAGGCTGAAGCGGGAGGATCGCTTGAGCCCAGGAGTTCAAGACCAGCCTGGCAACATACTGAGACCGCAACTCTACAAAAAAATTAAAATATTAGCCAGGCCTGGCGGCGCACACCAGTAGTCCCAGCTACTTCGGAGGCGAAAGCAGGAGGATCGCTTGAGCTTAGGAGGTTGAGGCTGCAGTGAGCTTTGATCACACCACTGCACTCCAGCCTGGGCGATAGAGTGAGACTCTGTCTCAAAAAAAAAAAAAAAAAGTGTTAAATACACAATGCAATATGATTCGGCCATAACAAAGAATAAAACCCTGTCATTTGCAGCAAAATGGATGGGACTGGAGGTCATTATATTAAGTGAAAAAGTGAAATAAGCCAGACACAGGAAGACAAATAGGGCATGTTGTCACTGATACGTGGGAACCAGAGAGTTGATCTCATGGAGGTAGAGAGTAGAATGATCAATACCAGAGGCTGGAAAGTTGTGTAGGTTGAGTGGGGGGGAAATGAAAAGAGGTGAGTTATGAGTACAAACATTCAGTTAGACAGAAGGAATACATTCTAATGTTTGATAGCAGAATAGGATGTATTCTGCTATCAAATATAGTATTAGAATAAATTCTAATGTTTGATAGCAGAATAGGGTGACTGTAGTTAGCAACAATGTATTGTACATTTCAAAATAGTTAGAATAATGGTGGCTTACGCCTCTAATCCAAACACTTTGGGAAGCCAAGGTAGGAGAATCCCTTGAGGGCAGGAGTTCGAGACCAGCTTGGGCAACATAGCGAGGCTTCATCTCTATTTAATTATTATTATTATTATTATTTTCTTTTTTGTGTGTGTGAGATGGAATTTCGCTCTTGTTGCCCAGGCTGGCATGCAATGACGTGACGTCAGCTCACCACAACCTCCGCCTCCCGGGTTCAAGCGATTCTCCTGCCTCAGCCTCCTGAGTAGCTGGGACTACAGGAACGTCCCACCACGCCAAGCTTATTTTTTAGTACAGACGGGGTTTCACCGTGTTAGCCAGAATGGGCTCGATCTCCGGACCTCGTGATCTGCCCATCTCGGCCTCCCAAAGTGCTGGGATTACAGGCGCCCACCCGGACACAGTGGCTCACGCCTGTAATCCCAGCACTTTGGGAGGCCAAGGCGGGTGGATCACCTGAGGTCAGGAGTTTGAGACCAGCCTGACCAACATGGAGAAACCCCGTCTCTACTGAAAATACAAAATTAGCCGGGTGTGGTGGCACATGCCTGTAATCCCAGCTACTCGGGAGGCTGAGGCAGGAGAATGGCTTGAACCCAGGAGGCAGAGGTTGTGGTGAGCCGAGGTCGTGCCATTGCACTCCAGCCTGGGCAACAAGAGCGAAGTTCTGTCTCAAAAAAAAAAAAAAGCTAGAAGAGAGTCCTTGAATTGTTCCCAACATATAGAAATGAGAAATAGTCTAAGTTATGAACACCCCAAATACCCAAACATGATCATTATATATTTTATGCATATAACAAATACCACATGTACCCCATACATAGATACAAGTATTTGTAACAATTTTGAAAAAGTGTCATGTGAAACCATGTTGGAGCCTAAGACAAATGGAAAAGGTGGCATGTCCCAATAGACATATTTTCACATATATTTTCCCATCAACTTCCCTTTGGTTTTTTGTTTGTTTGTTGTTTATTTGTTTTTTGTTTGTTTGTTTTGAGATGGAGTCTCACTCTTGTCGTCAAGGCTAAAGTACAGTGATGTGATCTCGGCTCACTGTAAACTCCATCTCCCAGGTTCAAGCTATTCTCCTGCCTTAGCCTCCCGAGTAGCTGGGCTTACAGGCGCCCACCATCATGTCCAGCTAACTTTTGTATTTTTAATAGAGACGGAGTTTCACCATGTTGGCCAGCCTGGTCTCAAACTACTGACCTCAGGTGATCCACCAACCTCGGCCTCCCAAAGTGCTGGGATTACAGGCATGAGCCATTGCGCCCGGCCCCTTTCTTTTGTTTTTTGGGTTTTTGTTGTTGTTGATGATGATGTTGTTTGGACACAGGGTCTTGCTCTGTCGCCCGGGCTGGAGTGCAGTGATTCTATCACAGCTCACTGCAGCCTTGATCTCCCAGGCTCAAGTAATCCTCCCACCTCAGCCTCCTGAGAAGCTGGGACCACAGATGCATGCCACCATGCCTAGCTAATTTTTACATTTTTTTTTTTTAGAGATGGGATCTTGCTATGTTGCCCAGGCTGGTCTCGAACTCCTGGGCTCAAGTGATCCTCCCGCCTCTGCCTTGTTTATTTTCTTTCTTTCTTTCTTTCCTTTTATCTGAGACAGGGTCTCACTCTCTCATCCAGGGTTGAGGGCAGTGGCTCGATCATTGCTCACTGCAGCCTCCAACTCCTGGGCTCCAGCGATCCTCCTGTCTCGGCCTCCTGAGTAGCTGGGACTGCAGGCACCCATTGGGATTACAGGCTTGAAGCCACCTCACCTGGCCCAATTCCCCTTTTTCAAATTTAGCAGTATCCCTGGTCAAAAAAAGAAACATTAAAAATTAAATTAAAATTGTAAATATTGAGATCACTGTGGATTCATACGCAGTTGTAAGACATAGCATAGAAGGAGGGCCAGTACCCTCTGCCCAGCTTCGCCCAATGGCAAACTCTTGCAAAACTGCAGTGAAATGTCATGAACGGGATATTAACATTGTTAAGCTTAAGATAGAGGATGTTGGCCAGGCGCGGTGGCTCACGCCTGTAATCCCAGCACTTTGGGAGGCCGAGGCGGGCGGATCACAAGGTCAGGAGATCGAGACCAGCCTGACCAACATGGAGAAACCCCGTCTCTACTAAAAATACAAAATTAGCCAGGCGTGGTGGCGCATGCCTGTAATCCCAGCTACTCAGGAGGCTGAGGCAGGAGAATCACCTAAACCTGGGAGGTGGAGATTGCAGTGAGCCGAGATCGCATCATTGTACTGCAGCCTAGGCAACAAGAGCAAAACTCCTTCTCAAAAGAAAGAAAGAAACAAACAAACAAAAAAAGGCAGAGGATGTTTCCATCCCTGCGAGGATCCCTCCTGGTGCCTTCTAAGAGCCACACCCACCTTCCTCCCATCCCCAAACCCCATCCCTAACCTCTGACCATCACCAATCTCTTCACCATTTCACTTATTTTTATCTTTTTTTTTTTTCTGAGACGGAGTCTCACCCTATCGCCCAGGCTGAAGTGCAATGGCGTGATCTAGGCTCACTGCAACCTCCGCCTCCCAGGTTCAAGCTATTCTCCAGCCTCAGCCTCCTGAGTAGCTGGGATTACAGGCGCCCACCACCTGGCTAATTTTTGTATTGTTAATAGAGATGGAGTTTCATCATGTTGGCCAGCCTGGTCTCAAACTCCTGACCTCAAGTGCTCCACCCGCCTCAGCCTCCCAAAGTGCTGGGATTACAGGAGTGAGCCACCGTGCTAGGCCCCTTTTTTTTTTTTTTTGAGACAAGGTCTTGCTCTGTCTCCCAGGCTGGAGTGCAGTGGCACATTCACAGCTTACTTGCAGCCTCAAACTCCTGGGCTCAAGTGATCCTCCTGCCTCAGCCTCCCAAGTAGCTGGGACTATAAGTGTGCACCACCATGTCTGGCTAGTTATTTTGTATTTTTATTTTATTTTAAGTTCTGGGATACATGTGCAGGCTGTGCAGGTTTGTTACATAGGTAAATGTGTGCCATGGTGGTTTGCTGCACCTATCTACCCATCATCTATGTTGTTTTGTTTTGATTTGATTTGTTTGAGACAGAGTCTCACTCTGTTGCCCAGGCTGGAGTACAGTGGCGTGATCTCGGCTCACTGCAGCGCCTCACGGGTTCCAGCGATTTTCCTGCCTCAGCCTCCCAAGTAGCTGGGATTATAGGCGCCTGCCACCATGCCTGACTAATTTTTGTATTTGTAATAGAGGCAAGGTTTCGCCATGTTGGCCAGGCTGGTCTCGAACTCCTGACCTCAACTGATTTGCCGGCCTTGGCCTCCCAAAGTGCTGGGATGACAGGCGTGAGCCACCTTACCTGGCCAACTTTTTTCACTTTTTATAATTATCTGATTCATCTAGGTGGTGGCTTGTCTTAGTATTTTGTTCCTTTTGACTGCTAAGTAATATTCCACAATGAGGATGGGGCACAATTTGTTCAACCATCCACCCACTGAAAACCAGTGTTTGGCTCTTACTAATAAAGCTGCCGTTAACATTCCTGTAAGGGTTTGTGTATGAACATAAATCATTTCTCTGAGATAAATGACCAGGACCACAATCGCTATGTCATATGGTAGCTGCATGATTTGTTCTTGAAGAAACTGCCAAATATTCTTCCAGAGAGTTATATATTTTTTAATGTTTTCTTTTGAGATAGGGTCTTACCAGTTTGCCCAGGCTGGTTTTGAACTCCTGGGCTCAAGTGATCCTCCTGCCTTAGCCTCCCAAAGTGCTGGGATTACAGGCATGAGCCTGTATTTTTTAATGGTTACTTTTTTTCCAGAACACTAAAGCAGTTGAAAGTATTCAAGGATTGAAAAGATGTTGTATTCAAACTCACAATGTCATGTGTCTTTTTACAATGTTATTATTAAGTTTCTTTATGTCCAAATAGACTTTATTATAATTTTACTGTCCTAGTTTTAGTAGAAGCAAATCCTACTAAATCATCAGTCATATTTTCAAAATCTACTTCTGGAAAAAATCAACCACTAAAAATGCATACAGATATATAAAGGTGCTGGGCCGGGCGCGGTGGCTCACGCCGGTAATCCCAGCACTTTGGGAGGCCAAGGCAGGTGGATCACGAGATCAAGAGATCGAGACCAGCCTTGCCAACATGGTGAAACCCCATCTCTACTAAAAATACAAAAATTAGCTGGGTGTGGTGGCACGCACCTGTAGTCCCAGCTACTCAGGAGGCTGAGGCAGGAGAATCGCTTGAACCCGGGAGGCGGAGGTTGCAGTGAGCCGAGACGTGCCACTGCACTCCAGCCTGGCAACACAGCAAGACTCCATCTCAAAAAAAACAAAAAGAAAAGAAAAGAAAAAAGAAAATTAGATGGGCACAGTGGCACACACCTGTAGTCCCAGCTACTCTGGAGGATGAGGCAGGAGAATCGCTTGAACTGGAAAGGAGGAGGTTGCAGTGAGCCGAGACTGCACCACTGCACTCCAGCCTGGACAACAAATTGAGACAGTCTCAAAAAAATAGAAAGATATGTAAAGATGCTTAAATATTTGGTATATGTACACATGCACACATTTTTCCTTTTGCCTGAGGCTCTCAGGGGAAGGTTGGATGCTGTCTTTATTTGGGACTTTAAAATTTTGTTCAATGCAGATTTTTTGTACTCATGTCAATTTTTAAAAAAATATTGCATTAGGACCAGGTGCAGTGGCTCATGCCTGTAATCCTAGCACTTTGAAAGGCCAAGATGGGAGGATTGCTTGAGGCTAGGAGTTCAAGACCAGACTGGCCAACATAGTGAGACCCCCATCTCTACTAATAATACAAAAAATAAAAATTAGCTGGGCCGTGGTGGTGCATGCCTATAATCCCGGCTACTCGGGAGGCTGAGGCAGGAGAATTGCTTGAACCTGGCAGGTAGAGGTTGCAGTGAGCAGAGATCATGCCACTGCACTCCAGCTTGGGCAACAGAGCAAGACTCTCAAATACATACATATTGCATTAGTGAGGGTGGCTAGCGTGGCTAGGAGGGATATCACGAGGGAGTCTTTGGTGTCGCTTAAGTGTCTTGTTTGTGCAGTGGCTTACACCTGTCATCCCAGCACTTTGGGAGGCCGAAGCAGGAAGATCCGTTGAGCCCAGGAGTTCGAGACCATTCTGGGCAACATGGCAAGACCCCCCCACCATATCTACAAATATATATATAAGAAAATTAGCCGGGCGTGCTGGCTCACTCCTGCAATCCCAGCACTTTGGGAGGCCGAGGTGGGCGGATCACGAGGTCAGGAGATTGAGACCATCCTGGCTAACACGGTGAAACCCGTCTCTACTAAAAATACAAAAAATTAGCCGGGCGTGGTGGCGGGCGCCTGTAGTCCCAGCTACTCGGGAGGCTGAGGCAGGAGAATGGCGTGAACTTGGGAGGCGGAGCTTGCAGTGAGCCGAGATCGCACCACTGCACTCCAGCCTGGGCGACAGAGCCAGACCCCGTCTCAAAAAAAAAAGAAAGAAAGAAAATTAGCCACATGTGGTGACGTGCATGTGTCTGTAGTCCCAGCTACTCAGTTACTCGGGGGGCGCTGAGGTGGGAGGATCACTTGAGCCCAAGAGATTGAGGCTGCAGTGAGCTGTGTTCACACCACTGCACCATTCCAGCCTGGGCGACGGAGCAAGACCCTGACCAAAAAAAAAAAAAAAAAGTATCTCGTGACGGTGTTTAGAGGAAGTTATGCGTGTGATAAAACTGCATAAACCACACACACACTCACACACTCAGATGAGTGCATGCAAATCCAGTGAAGCTTGCATCCTTCCACTGTGCTGGTTTTGAGGTTATACTGCAGTTATGCAAGATGTAAACATAGCTGGGGGGCTGGGTGCAGGGTGCATCAGACCTCCTTGTACCTTCCCGTGAATCAATAATTATTAATAAATAAAACGTTTTAAAAATTGCAATGAAGGCCAGGCACGGTGTCTCATGCCTGTAATCCCAGCGCTTTGGGAGGCCAAGGCAGGTGGATCACCTGAGGTCAGAAGTTTGAGACCAGCCTGGCCAACATGGTGAAACCCCATCTCTATTAAAACCACAAAAATTAGCCGGGCATGGTTGTGGGCGTCTGTAATCCCAGCTACTCGGGAGGCTGGGGCAGGAGAATTGTTTGAAGCCGAGATCACACCACTGCACTCCAGCCTGGGCGACAGAGCAAGACTCCGTCTCAAAAAAAAAATAATTTTTAAAAGAGGGTGTCTCAAAACCCATGGTCACTTGGAGAAATAGAGGAGGGGGTCCCAGGCAGGTGCTATGCTCCCTGCAGCTGCAGCTGGGATCCCACCATCTTCACATCTGACCTGGAGGACATATCACTAACCACGGCCCTCTCCCGCCTCCTGGGATCCTGGCAAGCCAGACTCCAACCATACATTCACATTACACAGATAGGGAAGCTGAGGTCCTGTGGGTTCCTGCCTTTGTAAAATAGGGCTCTTAGTGCCTGTCCGACCTCCTCAGCCAGCTGCGGTAAGTACACGGTACAGCGGGGCCCTCGAGGTCTCTTGAGGGAAATGCTGAAATGTTCCCGTAACCCCCTGGCATCCTTCTCGTGAAAGTCCAAACTCTTCCCACAGCCCACCAGGCACTGTTTGACCCCTGCTGGCGACCTTCAACTTCACTGGCCACCTTCCCTCTCCTCCCTCCACTCCTCCCAGCCAGGCCTCACCTGTTCCTGCTTTGACACCTTTGCTGGTCCCCCTGTCCAGTGCTCCGTCCCAGGTCCCCTTGGAGCTGGCCTCTCCCCCGCTTCCCACATCAGCAAACACGTCAGCTTCTGAGTCAGACCTCAGAAGGCCTGGGACTCCCAGCCACGTCACTTTTGTGATGCAGGTTTATCTTCTGCGTAGGGAGCATGTGTCTGCGATGATTTGATCCACTTCTTCATAGGGAATCATCGTCCCCAGTGGGTTATGCTCTCTGAGCAGGCAGGGGGCTCTGGGGCTGGTGTCTGTCACTGCTGTGTCCCCAGCATCAGGGCAGGACCAGGCATAGAGTGGTGCCTCTTACATACTGGATGAATGAATGAATGAATGAACCAATGAATACGTGAATGAATGATGTCTCAGCTCTTCCTTCCTTCCAGTCTGGTCCTGAACAACGCCTTACCTCTTCAGGTCAGATCCCTGCCCCAGCCTGCTCTGGGTTAGGGGTGAGGGGTGGGGGCTGGGCTGGCAGATGGGACAAGCAGGGAAGGTCCCCTGACATGGTTTGGCTCTCTGTCCCCACCCAAATCTCATGTTGAATTGTAGTCCCGTGTTGGAGGTAGTGCCTGATGGGAGGCGACTGGATCATGACGGTGGATCCTCATGAATGGATCCACCCCTCAGTCCTGTCTCATAATAGAGTTCTCACAAGATCCGGTATGGCACCTCCTCCCCTGTGCTCCTGCTCCGGCCGAGTGACCTGCCTGCTCCCCTCTGCCTTCCCCCATGACCGTAAGTTTCCTGAGGCCTCCCAGAAGCAGCTGCTGCCATGCTTCCTGCACAGGCTGTGGAACTATGAGCCAATTAAACCTCTTTTCTCTATCATTTACCTGTATCAGGTATTTCTTTTCTTTTTGTGGGGCGGCGGGGGGTTGGACAGAGTTTCATTCTCGTCACCCAGGCTGGAGTGTAGTGGCACGATCTCAGCTCACTGCAAGCTCCGCCTCCCGGGTTCAAGTGATCCTCCTGCCTCAGCCTCCCTAGTAGTTGGGATTACAGACTCCCGCCACCACGCCCAGCTAATTTTTTGTATTTTTAGTAGAGACAGGGTTTTGCCATGTGAGCCAGGCTGGTCTCAAACTTCTGGTCTCAGGTAATATGCCCTTCTCGGCCTCCCAAAGTGCTGGGACTACAGGCATGAGCCACCGTGCCCGGCCTGGGTATTTCTTTATAGCATTCCAAGAATGGACTAATACAGTCTCCTCTGCCCCAACGCCACTGGGCCTGCAAGGAAATTGTCCACGTTCACAGAAAGTCCAGCTGGGAGGATGTCCCCAGCTAATGTGCACAGAGTGAATCTGGAAACCAACACCCTAGAAAAAAGCCACATAAAGACATCTCCAAGCAGAGTCCCAGACGGGTCCTGCCTTGCCTCCCCTGCTGCATGTCCTCAACCCACTCCCTCCACCTCCCCACCACCATCCCATCCTTCGCTTCCTACACAGGTCCCCTCCTCCACTCTTCACCCCATCCCTCACTTTCTACACCCACCACCTCCTCCACCCTTCCTCCCATCCCTCACTTCCTCCACCCATCACCTCCTCCATCCTTCATCCCATCCCTCACTTCCTACACCCATCGCCTCCTCCACCCTTCACCCCATACCTCACTTCCTACACCCATCACCTCCTCCACCCTTCACCCCATACCTCACTTCCTACACCCACCACCTCCTCCACCCTTCATCCCATTCCTCACTTCCTACACCCACCACCTCCTCCACCCTTCATCCCATCCCTCACTTCCTACACCCATCACCTCCTCCACCCTTCATCCCATCCGTCACTGTCTACACCGATCACCTCCTCCACCCTTCATCCCATCCCTCACTTCCTACACCCACCACCTCCTCCACCCTTAATGCCATCTCTCACTTCCTACACCCATCACCTCCTCCACCCTTCATCCCATCCATCACTGTCTACACCCATCACCTCCTCCACCCTTCATCCCATCCCTCACTTCCTCCACGCACCACCTCCTCCACCCTTCATCCCATCCCTCACTTCCTACACCCGTCACCTCCTCCACCCTTCATCCCATTCCTCACTTCCTACACCCACCACCTCCTCCACCCTTCATCCCATCCCTCACTTCCTACACCCGTCACCTCCTCCACCCTTCATCCCATCCCTCACTTCCTACACCCACCACCTCCTCCACCCTTCATCCCATCCCTCACTTCCTACACCCGTCACCTCCTCCACCCTTCATCCCATCCCTCACTTCCTACACCCACCACCTCCTCCACCCTTCATCCCATCCCTCACTTCCTACACCCGTCACCTCCTCCACCCTTCATCCCATTCCTCACTTCCTACACCCACCACCTCCTCCACCCTTCATCCCATTCCTCACTTCCTACACCCACCACCTCCTCCACCCTTCATCCCATCCCTCACTTCCTACACCCATCACCTCCTCCACCCTTCATCCCATCCCTCACTTCCTCCACCCACCACCTCCTCCACCCTTCACCCCATCCCTCACTTCCTACACCCATCACCTCCTCCACCCTTCACACCATCCCTCACTTCCTACACCCACCACTTCCTCCACCCTTCATCCCATCCCTCACTTCCTACACCCACCACCTCCTCCACCCTTCACCCCATCCCTCACTTCCTACACCCGTCACCTCCTCCACCCTTCATCCCATCCCTCACTTCCTACACCCACCACCTTCTCAACCCTTCACCCCATCCCTCACTTCCTCCACCCACCACCTCCTCCACCCTTCATCCCATCCCTCACTTCCTACACCCATCACCTCCTCCACCCTTCATCCCATCCCTCACTTCCTACACCCATCACCTCCTCCACCCTTCATCCCATCCCTCACTTCCTACACCCATCACCTCCTTCACCCTTCACCCCATCCTGCACCTCCCCACCCTTCTTGATCCTTTACAGGCGGTGAGCTGACACCCCACGCCCACCACAGAGACAGGGCGCCATGCTGGTGGGGAATGCAGGATCCACTTTTTTATTGCAGGAAGACTATGTCTAGAGCGAAGGCTACACAGACCCCACGATGGGGGAGTGGGGGCACCCACATGCGGGGGGAGAGGGGGCAGGGGCGGAGTCACAGCAAGCATGGCCTGGCACAGTCCCCAGCACCAGGGATGCCCAGGCAGGATGGGCCAGCAGCCAGGACAGGCTCGGGTCCCCTCCTATTGCAGATGCCCTCTCTCCCCAGGGTCGGGCAGGGCCTGAGGTGGGAGAGGCCTGGAGGTGGGCAGGGCCCCAAGGAGATTGTGCTATCAGGGTGTGTCCCTGAGAAAGGGCCGCAGACCCCTGCCCAGCCTCACTCTCTCCGGCACCTTCAGAACCCAGAAGCTACTGCCAGGACAGGAGAGGAGGCAACATCAGCTGCTGGTGGGCCCTGGGCCAGCCCAAGTTTTGGGGGGACCCAGCTCTGCTCAGACACAATGCCAGCTCTTCTGGGAGCCCGGTCCACGTGCTGGATAGCAACACACACGCACGTGTGCACACTCCCTCTCTCTGAGTGTGTCCAATAAACATTTGTTGAGTAAACACTCACACGAACACAGAGGAAAACAAACATGCTTGTACCAAATCAGACACGAGCAATCTGTTACCTACATAGTCCCACCTGGCCACATGACTACAGAGACACATGTGTGCAATCTCTCTCTCTCTCTCACTGCACAAAAGGGCGTGCGCACACACACACGTTGCTTCCTCACACCCAATAAGACCAAAACCTCCATCTCACCTTCCCTCACTAACTTAGCTGCCATGCTCCGAGCCCCGCTGTGGAGAGACCCACATGGTACAGAACAAAGGGCAGCTTCCAGCCAACAGCCAGCGAGGAACTGAGGCCTTCAGTCTTGCAACAGCAAGGAACTGAATGCTGCAACAACCACATGAGCTTCTAAGAAGCAAATCCTTCCCCGATCAGGCCTTCAGATGAGACCTCTGCCTGGCGAATGCTTTGATTGCAGCCTCCTGAGATCCCAAGTAGAGGACCCAGCCAACCTGCACCCAGGCTCTTGACCCACAGAATCTATGAGATAATAAGCATGTGTTGTTTCTGGTTGCTACATTTGTGGTCATTTGTTACACAGCAGTAGCTGACTGATACAGATTTGGAACCGAAAGTCACATTGCTAGAGTCATGTTGCTATAGAGTGGAACACAGATCGTGTCCCTCAATCAGGACAAACATATTTACAGATAAATGCTCTCAGATAAACCATATCACCCACTCCCCAAAATATAGTCATGCTCATACAGGCACAAAGATTCACACAGACACCTCACACATATCCAGTCTTGCTGACAACCACACACAGGTATCTACAACTACCCACCTCTCTGTATACCCTACACCACTATTACACACACAGACTGCCACAAAAACATATCATCCCAGACAGACACACACAGGTATACACGCAGATGCACTTAGATACAAGTCACCCATCCGCGCACCCCAGGTTGCACAAATACACCATTCCATAGCCACTTCCGTGTATGTTGGACACAACCCTGTGGGGTCACACGAGTGTGGTGTCACTCAGACTCTCTCAAAAAACACCCAGAACCTCATGGCTGCAGGTACACTCGACTCCAGGACGCCACCTTCCCGGGCAGGCCCTGCTCTCTGGGGCACAGGTGGTGGGGAGGAAGTGGGTGGGGCAGACCTCTGTCCGGGGCGCCCTCGGATCCTGCTGGTGCTGGCTCCCATCGGCTGTCCCCCCACGGGGGTGTAATTGATGTATCTCTGGCCGGGGCCCCGGGTACCCCCTCCTGAGCACCCCAGGTCCCCACCCGCCATGCGTTGCTAACGTCTCTGTCTTGGTGGAAGAGGCGGGTCCCGGGTGGGCGGTGTCCGGGAAGCCCCTCCACGCCCATGGTGCCTCTCCAGCGGGGCAGTTGTGCTGTGGATGTGGCTGGTCCCGGGGGTGGGATTCGGGGCTGGCAGGGGCACTGCTGCAGGCCCTGTGGTTATTGCCTGGTGGCCTGAGGCCCATCCCACGGGCCCCACACCCCACTGTGAAGACAGAGGAGAGAGGTGCGTCTGGAACCGGAGGAGTGGGCACAGATCAGAGGTCACGACGGGCCGGGTGGGCTTGGGTGTATGTTAACACCAAATAGGAGAAAAAAGAAAAAAATATCTGAGGCCGATGTGCATTTTCAACTCCCCCCTCCCCCAGAAGGTCACAGTGATCAAATGTGAGGGACAGGACGCGCAGGTCTGGCTGGGGACACCCCAGGGAAAGAGATGGAAACGGGGAAACGCAGCCTCCTCTGGTCCTGGTGGGAACAAGCAGCTCCTCTTGCCAGCTCCCCATCCTGTTTTCCCATCTGCAGGACAAGGGGGCCACCTCCGGCTCTTGGTTTTGGAGGGTACAGACAGAACAGGAGGGTGGAGAGAGAGCAGGGGAGGAAGAAAAGCCCCAGCCCTGCCTCGGGGTGGGCAGGGGCAGCGGAGGGGGGGGCGGTGGCCTCGGTTTCCCCAGCCGAGGTGTCGGAGGAAGGATGAGAGAAGAGGAGGAGGCCGAGGAGGGTGTCGGTGTTGGGGGAGGCAGCGGGGGTCAGTGGGGGTGGGCGGCGGGCAGGCGGGCGTTCCGGGCTCACATGAGGGTGCATTTGCCCTTGACGCGGTCTGTCCTCTTCTGCTTCCCGGAGCGCTTGCCGTCGATGTTGAGGCTCATGTTCCGGCGCGTCTCCAGCGTCAGCAGCTCCTGGAAGAGCTCCTTGACGTTGTAGTTCATCTTGGCCGAGGTCTCCATGAAAGCGCACTTCCACTCCTGGGCCACCGCCTGCGCCTCGCGCGTGTCCACCTCCCGCTGCGTCTCATCGCACTTGTTGCCCACGAGCATCACGGGGATGTCCTCCACGCTGCCCTTGATCTGCACGATGAGCTTGTAGATGGGCCCCAGCTCCTCCAGCGACTGCTTGCTGGTGACGGAGAACACCAGGATGAAGGCGTGGCCCTTGGAGATGGACAGGCGCTGCATGGCCGGGAACTGGTGGCTGCCGGTGGTGTCTGTGATCTGCAGCGTGCACACGCTCTTGTCGCAGCTGATCACCTGCCGGTAGGTGTCCTCGATGGTGGGGATGTAGGTGTCGCGGAACGTGCCCTTCACGAAGCGCAGCACCAGCGAGCTCTTGCCCACGCCGCCCGCCCCGAACACCACCACGCGGTAATCGTTACTCTGTTCCGGCATCTTCCCCGCGGCGGGTGGGCGGCCGGGGCCGGGAGGGCTGGTGCCAGCTGCAAGAACCCCAGACCGAGCCTGTGCAGAGAGGAGGGTCACACGTCAAAGGCCACCCAGGCTTGAGGGGACAGCCCCACGCCCCGGGGAGGGAGGAGGACATGGCGGCTTCTCAGAGGAGGTGGCTGCCGTGCCTCCTGCCTCCTGAAAAGGCCCATTTGCTTGTGGCTGACTTTGCAGTTCTGTCCCACAGGCGGGCGCACAGCCAACACCCTTTGCTTACTTCTCCCTAACAAAATCTGGGGCCTGAGCTTCCCCGGGGGACGCTGAGCTAGGAGAGGCGTGGGAGACGCCGGGATGCCCACGAAACTCCTTCCCCGGGTGTGGGTGTCCCTTCCAGGCTGTGCCAGCTTCCCCCTCTCTTCCCAGTGTGGCAGGGGCCCCTGGAAGCTAGCAGGCCTGGCTTCCACCTCTCGCTCCACACCTGCCTGGCTCTGAGACCTTGCCGAGCCATCATGCCACCCTGAGCCTGTTTGGTGGCTCAAACGGTGCCCGTCTCCAACAACCATGGGTCCCCTGCTCTTCCGCCAACCCAGAGATGGCCAATCCTCATGGAAGCCGCACATGGTCGGGTGTTTAAGATGCATATGTCAGGGCCGCAGCCCTAGGTGTGATGAATCGGTCGGCCAGGGCAACGGCCCTGGGAACTCGTATTTTATTTTATTCTTCTTATTTATTTATTTATTTTTAGACAGAGTTTCGCTCTTGCTGCCCAGGCTGGAGTGCAATGGCACAATCTTGGCTCGCCGCAACCTCCACCTCCCGGGTTCAAGCTATTCTCTTGCCTCAGCCTCCCAAGTAGCTAGGATTACAGGCATGCACCACAAAGCCCGGCTAATTTTATATTTTTAGTAGAGGCAGGGTTTCTCCATGTTGGTCAGGCAGGTCTTGAACTCCTGACCTCAGGTGATCCACCCACCTCGGCCTCCCAAAGTGCTGGGGTTACAGGCGTGAGCCACTGCACCTGGCCTTCTTATTTTTTTTAAAACCAAGTCTTGCTCTGTTGCCCAGGTTGGAGTTCAGTGGTGCAATCTCGGCTCACTGCAACCTCTGCCTCCTCGGTTCAAGCAATTCTCCTGCCTCAGCCTCCAGAGTAGCTGGGATTACAGGCATGCACCACCACACCCGGCTAATTTTTGTATTTTCAGTAGAGACGGGGTTTCGCCATGTTGGCCAGGCTGGTCTTGAACTCCTGACCTCAGGTGCTCCTCTCGCCTCGGGCTCCCAAAGTGCTGGGATTCCAGGTGTGAGACACCGCATCCAGCTGGAACTTGTATTACAGGGCTGCTCTCCTCACCTGCCATAAATGGGATCCTGAGGCTGGGAATCTGAGAACCACAATTTGCAAATCAGGGCACTGATTCCCAATAGCCGCCCCAGGGAGGAAGGGTCTTGCAGCCCAGGTGGGACACAAAAATACAAAATCCAGAAGCTGAACGGGAAAATCGCCACTCCCTAAACTCTAAAATCAAACTATGGCCTGGTGTGCCCTAGCCCCTCCCGTTCAGGTCTGAAGGATCCTTAGAATAGCACTTCCTGGGAGGGGCACCTCTTAGCCCCTCTCTTCCTTCTTGGGCTCAGAGAGGTCCAGCAGCCTGAGGAGGTCACACAGCACAGCAGATCCTGAAATGATGGAGGTGGGGGAAGAACGCTGGGGGGAGGGCGGGTGGCTTATCTCCAGAATTGATGTCCTCCCCTCCCCTTCCTCCTTCCAGGCTCTGGGGCAGCGGTGGGGGGTGGGGGAGGGGTGTTCCCCAGCAAGGTGGTCTACAGTGGGAGAGGAGGAGGAACCAGTTTCTACCTGCTGCACTGGGGGTGGGGGTGTGTTTATGGGGAGGGTCCAGAGGTTCCCCGGGGGTCAGTGGTTTGAACCTAAACAGGCAAATTCAAGTCCCTAAGCCTCCGTTTTCTCTTCTGTGAAATGCGAGCCACTGTTGGGGCAAGTAAGGTGACAAGGTGGAGAAAGGCCCTAGGCAGTGCCCTGTACAGCGGAGACCCCGATCACAATTGTGATCACAGTCACAAGGGCTTGGGGCCGGTGGGCAGGGCACTTGGCTGTGCCTGTTGGTTGCAAAGGCACCTTCTGGATTATCAAGGGTAACAGATTTGCCAGGAAAAGAAAAGAGGCTGATGAAAGCGCCAGCTGACACAGTCCCCAGTTGTGATGAGCCAGGCAAACTTCTGGGCGCCTCGGCAATGCCAACTCATGTGATTGGCTGCCGGGTTTGTGGACTACATGCATAGTAATTTCTCGGCATTCGGAGGAGGCTGGGGGTGCTGGTGGTGGGGGGGAGGCGGCCTGTGCTGCAGACCCTGCCCTTTCCTGGGTGGGCGCCCTGAGAGGCGGGCACGCTGCTGTGCAGAAAGACGCCACCAAGACCGGCCTGGGGTCCTAATGGCCATGGGTTCTGTGGACCCAGATCCAGCCTTTGCCTTGCTGCGGGCACTGAAGCTCCAGCCCCCATGAGCAGTACTGTCCTCCCCGCTGGGTCTGGAATCCCTGACCAGAAAGGCGCTTGCACTCAACAGCCCCGAAGCCCACGCCACTTCCCACCTCCACCGCCTGGGGGGTGCGGGTGGAGGGAGGGGGTCGTGGGCACCGAGGCAGGAGCAGGAGGGGCTGGCTCAAGGTCACAGAGCAGGGGGGTGGAGGCGCACAGCGGGGCTGGAAGCCCACCCTGCTTGGCTAGACTCCTGGGGTTTCCCGCCTGTGCGGGGCAGCCCACCCCCAGACGTCCAGGCAGGGCCAATCTACCCCAGCCCTGGGTCCCTGAAGCCCGGCTCCCGGCCGGGCACGGCGTGGTTGGTGGGGGCGGGGGTGTCAAAGCAAAGCTCAGGGTCAGGAAAGCAGAGAGAGCCGCGACCCAGGGGTCTAGCGGGGGTCACGCCTGACCAAGGGTGGGGCGGGGGTCTGACCCAGGGCCGCCTGGCCGGTGAGGGGTTTGATGGAGAAAGGGCCTGCTCTAGGGGGCCCGAGGGCGCAGAGGCACAGTGCGGGGCCAGCCCAGGGGCGACCCTTGACTCAGGAGGACCTCAGTGGTGGAGAGGAGGAGCCCACCCCGGGGAGGGGGCGCGGAGGGAGGGGCTTGGCTGGGCAGCGGGGCGGAGGGCGAAGAAGGCGGCTGCAGGAGGGAGGAGGCCCTGCCCGAGGGGACCAATGCGGAGAGGGGCGGCGGGGTGGGCCTCGGTGGGGCGGGCTCGGCAGGGGGGCGCCCTCCGGGTGGGGGAGGGGAGGCGGCCGGGAGCTGTCCAAGGTGAGCGCGGAGGGGCCGGCCGGGCCCGGCGGGAAGGGACGGGGGACGCCCGGCGAGGGGCCCCGGAGCCACGCGGGGAAGGGCCCGGCCCCAAGGCCCGGGAGGCTGGGGCCGGGACAAAGGAGGGACGCGCGGCGGGGAGGACGGCCGGCTGGGGGCTGCGCAGGGACCCCCTCCCCGCCCCGGGCCGCCTACCTGGGCCCGCTGGTCCCTGCGGCGCCGCGGCCGCTGCTCCTGCCCGCTCCGGTGTCCGCTGGCGCCGCCGCCCCCCGCCCGCCCGAGCCGCCGCAGTCGCGCCCGCGCCGTCCCCGCCCGCCGGGCCCCGCGCTCCGCCCCGCCCCGCCCCGCCCCGCCCCGCCCCGGGGACCCGCGCCCACGGGGCCGGCGCGCCGCCCGGCCAAGGTCACCGCCGCCCCACGCGGGACCCCTGCCCGCGCCCGGGGTGGGAGAGGTCGCCAGGATCCGGGACCCCCGCCCTGCCACGTAGCCACCTGCGCGCGCCCTCCCTCGGGGTGGGAGCTGGGGCCGCTTCCCGGGGAACCCCGAGTGGGGGCCAGGAGCCCGGCTTGGGAGGAGCAGAGTCCAGCCGGGGGTGGAGGGCTTTGGCAGAAATGCGGATAAAGGGGGTGCAGAACGGGACCCCTGAGGCCGGCTGGGGCCCGGTCACACGCAGGGCGGGGAATCAGAGGGGTGCGTTGTGAAATGAGTAAGTCGATAATCAACAATCAATGAACAGGTTTAGAAGCGGGCAGAGGCGGGAGGGTTCAGGTCAATGGGGTGCACCTGGAGGCCCACCCATCCCAGGGGCCTGGGCAGGGGCGGGATGGGGGCAGAAGCGGACTCAGCGCTCTGTAGGGCTGGTTTTGTGGAGGCGGAGGCAGCCCATGGCAGTCAGGCCTAGGGAGGTGGGGGGTGAGCAAAGGGGGCTGGCGCTGCTCTGCAGCGGATGGGTTTGCCGTTTTCGGTTAGGAAAATGTTTGTGTTCCCCCAACAGGAGGTGTCTTAGGGGAGCACTGGCTTTTCTGATGCGTCTGTGTGTCCACAAGAGACCATGGTTCCGCCTCCATTTTGGAGACCGGGAGGCCGAGGTTCCTTTTGGCCTCATCGGGCAGATCCCAGAGGAGACTGGACTTTGGGGTCTAGTGACCAGGCCAGAAGGTGCTCTCAGGGGTGGGTGCGGGACAGTCCCAGGCCGCAAGGCTGTCAGAGGAAGGCGCCCCTTGGTGGAGAGGCCAACTCTGGGACCCACAGGGGTCTCTCCAGAGTCAGAGCCATCAGTGGGTGAGAGGCTGGTCTGGAAGGTGGTGAGCTCCCCATCACCAGGCCTGTGAGCAGGTGAACCCCTTGGGCCCTCAGCTCCTGGGGTTCTCCATGACCCACCATTTCCATGGCCCTGGATGAGGTGGGCCCATCTGCCTCTGCGGAGACTTGGCACTGCCTCCAAGACCACTCAGTCCCCTCTCCTGTTGCCACTGAGGCTGGGGCACTGAGGTTCAAGCGGCTTTGGGGCTCAAGGAGCTCTATTTCTCCCTGATTTGACCCCACTCCCCCTCCTGGCCTCCAGACCCCTTCCTCCAGCCCTCCTTCCACTCTGCCACTCAATGCTCCAACTGCAACATGGGCCTCCCCTGCTCTAACGCCACCCATGGCTCCCTTCTCCCAGGCCAAGGTCCAGCTTCTCAGCCTGGCATCCATGGCCCGGCCTGAGTGCTCCTGGCGTGCACCTCCCTCCCACCCTGACCCCAGCCCTGCGGGAGCACCTCAGAGCATGGCCCGGCCCCTGACCCTCATCTGGGGGTGCCCTCAGCAGGAGATGGAGACAGCCCTGAGGGCAGACAAATCCCAGCTTCTGCTCTACATGGCTGCCTGCAGGGAAGTGCCTTCTCAAGCATCGGTTCCCCCATCTGTGAGTGACGTCACTGTTGCCCGCCTGTAGGGTTGCTGGGAACACATGGGCAGGGCGCCCACCTACACGGGGCTGCTGGGCACCCAAGCACTCAGACGGCAGCCCTGCCCCTTCCCAGTCCGCCTGCCTGCCTTCGTCTCCTGAGTGACCCACCAGCGTGGGGCAGGGCGTCGGGCCGGCTCCCTGTCTCCTCCGGGCACCAGCTCAGGCCGGGGCAGGCTGACTCATGCGTAGGAGAGTGGGCAGGGCGGTAACTCCACGCTGCGGCTGCTATTTATAGCTCCCAGGCCAGGCTGTGGGCCGCGTGAGCCGGCGAGGCCAGGCCCTGTTCCCCTCCTCGCTGTCCCTGAGGAACGGGGTCTCCACACATGGCCCGCGGTGCCCAGGCCACAGATGGCAGTGAGCTCTTCCGAGCACCCAAACTAGGACAGCAGGAGCTTCTCCCCCATGGTGGGCCGGGGAGCAGAGGGTTCCGCCTGGCCTTTGTGAGTGGGGGTGGGTGGGCGCCCCAGCTCTGCCTCTCCATGGAAAGGTCCGTGATCCAAATCTCAGGGGCCAGGGCACTTGCACACTGGGGCACTGAGCAAGCCGGGGCTGGCACTGGAGTTTCCTGGGTTCCCTGCTGCCTCTCATACCCGAGTCCCTCTTTGGAGAGTCCCTCGGCATCCTGAGAGGCACAGAGGTGGGCGAGGAGGACTGAGGCCGGCTGCATCTTTGCCAAAGAGAAGAGGACCTGTCAACCTCTCCAGCTCGCGAGCTGGGCAGGATCCACAGGCGTCCACGTTGAGTCCCCAGGGTGAAACCCACCGGGGCAGTCTGCATGGGTCCTGCAAACACAAAGTGCCAGTGTAGTGGGTGCTGGGCCCTCAGCAGTCTGTACAAGGCCACTGTCCCTGCTCCCATCTGGAAACTGCTGCTCAGAGAAGGGAAGCGGCTCGCCCACGGTGGCCTAGTGGGAAAGAGGTCGGTCCGGATCCATCAGGCTCTGAAGCCATAGCCCAGCCTGCTGGGGATAGACGGCCACCCCCTTGTGATCCTCTTGCCCTGTCCCTGGCTATCTGCAGTCTTGTCCTGGGGACACTCGGCCGGTCCTGCCTTACAGATCTCCTTTCAGCAGAACAGCAAGGGACGGCGTTCATCTGCAATGTCCAGCTCCTCCCCCGGCCCTGCAGCTCCACGACCGCTCTCCTCACCCTGCTGCCCTGACCAGGGCCACGTGGGCCTCACTGAGCCCCGGCTAGCCTTTGGAGAGGAGGGCAGTGGGGTCCGGCCTCAGCTCTCTTCAGTGGTCTCTGGACCATGTGGGCAAAGCCGAGGTTGCACATCCTGGCCTCAGGGGGCAGAGTCACCCCAGGGGCTCAGCCACACAGTTGCTTTTCAAGTTTAGCATCTGTCAATCAATCAGTCAATCAATCTACCACCTATCTATCTATCATCTATCAATCATCTATCTGTCATCTATCAATTAATCTATCAATCATCATTTATTAATCATTTACCTATTATCTATCAATCATCTGTCACCTGTTCATCTATTATCTATTAATCATCTACTTATCTATCTATCTATCGAGACAGGGTCTCACTCCGCCACCTAAGCTGGAGTGCGTGGTGAGGTCGCAGATCACTGCAGCCTTGACTTTCTGGGCTCGAGCAATCCTTCCTCCTCAGCCGCCTGAGTAGCTGGGACTACAGGCACACACCACCAGGCCCGGCTAATTTTAAAAAATTTTTCTCGGCCGGGCACGATGGCTCATGCCTGTAATCCCTGCACTTTGGGAGGCTGAGGTGGGTGGATCACACGAGGTCAGGAGTTCAAGACCAGCCTGGCCAACATGGTAAAACCCCGTCTCTACTAAAATTATAAAAAATGAGCCCAATGTGGTGACATGCACCTGTAATCCCAGCTACTTGGGAGGCTGAGGCAGGATAATCACTTGAACTTGGGAGGCGGAGGTTGCAGTGAGCTGAGATCACACCACTGTACTCCAGCCTGGGCAACAGAGCAAGACTCTGACTTAAAAAAAAAAAAAATTCTCGAGACCATCCTGGCTAACAAGGTGAAACCCCGTCTCTACTAAAAATACAAAAAATTAGCCGGGCGCGGTGGCGGGCGCCTGTAGTCCCAGCTACTCGGGAGGCTGAGGCAGGAGAATGGCGTGAACCCGGGAAGCGGAGCTTGCAGTGAGCCGAGATTGCGCCACTGCAGTCCGCAGTCCGGCCTGGGCGACAGAGCGAGACTCCGTCTCAAAAAAAAAAAAAAAAAAAAAAAAAAAAAATTCTGGGCTGGGCGCAGTGGCTTACGCCTGTAATCCCAGCACTTTGGGAGGCTGAGGTGGGCAGATCATGAGGTCAGGAGTTTGAGACCAGCCTAACCAATATGGTGAAACCCCGTCTCTACTAAAAATACAAAAATTAGCCAGGAGTGGTGGCAGGCGCCTGTAAACCCAGCTACTCAGGAGGCCCAGGCAGGAGAATCGCTTGAACCCAGGAGGCACAGGTCACAGTGAGCCGAGATCGTGCTATTGTACTCCAGCCTGGGCGACAGAGCAAGACTCTGTCCCAAAAGAAAAAAAAAATTCTGTAGAGATAAGGTCTTACTATACTGCCCAGGCTGGTGGCATCAATATTTTAAAATACAGAGACCATTTGTCAAAAACCAGTTTGCCTTCAAAGATGAACAGGCTGACATCCCCAAGCCCATTTCTTTTTCGTTTGTTTGTTTGTTTTTGCCCTTTGGCATCTGCAGAGCTGCTCGCCGCTGCTCCCCCAGCCCCCAGGCCACCATGGAAGACCCACGCCTCACGCTGCCTGGCCCCTAGAGTCAGCATTGGGTTCCTCTCTAACATCAGGGGGCTATGATTTTTTGTGTTTGTTTTTAGACAGAGTCTCGCTCTGTCACCCAGACTGGAGTGCAGTGGTGTGATCTTGGCTCACTGCAACCTCCACCTCCCGGGTTCAAGCAACTCCCCTGCCTCAGCCTCCCAAGTAGCTGGGATTACAGGCGCCCACCGCCACACCCGGCTAATTTTTATACTTTTAGTAGAGATGGAGTTTCACCATGTTGCCCAGGCTGGTCTGGAACTCCTGACCTCAGGTGATCCGTCCGCCTCGGCCTCCCAAAGAGCTGGGATGACAGGCGTGAGCCACCGCGCCTGGCCAGGGTGCTGTTTCATCACCACCTCTAAGGAGTGGGGTTACTGAATCTTTAGCATTGGCAGGATAAACTCCGGTAACGCCTGGGTCTTCTTAGAGAGAAGAAGCCACTCTGATCATCAGAGAAAAAAGGCTGAGAACTACAGAGGCCCCAGGGCCTTTGCACATGCTGCTGCCTCAGCCAGATGAGCTCTCTCTCCCCCATCTCCTTCTCACTCACTTCCTCCAGTCCCCCTCACGTCACCCCAGAGACTGCTCCTGAGGAGACCACAGAACTAAAATCATCTCCTTTTGCTGTCTCTCACCGTGTCCTGATTCTTTTCAGGGCCTTTATTGCTACCTGGTACCGCCTAACATGCTGGCGTCGGCTCCCTCTCCAGAATGTGAGCCGCCTTAGTTCTGGGGCAGCAGTTCCCACGGGGGGGGGGGGGGGGGTGATTGTGTCCCAAGGGGAGACTGGGCACTAGATGGGAACGTCTGTGGTTCTCACAGCTGTGGGTGCACCTGGCATGGAGTGGGTGGAGGCCAGGGATACTGCTCAGCACCCTGCAGTGCCCAGGACAGCCCCGCCCCAGAGAACTATCTGGCCCCAGTGTCCACAGTGCCCACAGGGAGAGACCCTGGAGGGGTCCATGGGTCTCAAACTTTGCCCACCCCAGCATGGCCAGCGTTGCCTGGGAACTCGGTGGCATGCAAGTTCTCAGGCCTCACCCCAGAGCCAGGGCTGCAGCTCAGCTTCCCACAAGGCACAGGATGGCCCCAGATGTCCACAAAGCCCAGGCACAGAAGCCTGTTCTGGGGGCCAGCTCATCTAGCCTGAGTCTGGCTGGACCTCCACTAGCTGAGACGGAAGCCCAGCCAGCCCGCTCACCTCTTCCTGGAGAAGCCCGACGCAGCGCCCGCCACTCCCTCCCCTCCGTGTGCAGCTCCCCGGCTCTAAAGCACTCACTTGTCTAACCCGATTCTCACCCTACAAGACCGCAACCGGCCATCACTTCTGCCCTCCGCCAGGACACCGAGGCCAGCTGTGTCACTGCCCCGAGGGGTTGCAGGTGCAGAGCCGCAGAGGCCTGAGGGGTGGCAGGGAGAGAGGTGGGGGCATCTTCCCACTCCAGCCCCGTCTGGCCTCAGCACCTGACAGCCAGGAGAAGAGTTCTGGGGTCTTCCAGACAAGCCCCCACGTCCTGCAGCAGCCTGTGCTCCCTCGAAAGGGAGATGACTCCTCTACCTTCAGGAGCCTCCGCCTCCTTCCCACCTGCAGGGGGACCCTGGAAAGGCTGGGGCAGCCTCCGAGCATCGAGGTGAAGGCCGAGGAGTCTTTATTGGTGACAGGCTGCTCACCGGCTGTCCCAAAAGCAGACACAGCTCAGGGCACAAGCTGCGTGCAGGCTGGCGGCTGGAACAGGTGGGAGGCAGCCCCCTCTCTTCCCGGTGGGGCAGAGGGTCCAGAGCTGCTGGCCAGGACAGTCTGATGGTGCCAAGGGCTGGGAGACACCGTCCCATCCACCACCGACCTCCCCGTCCCGCCCCGAGCTAATAACTTGTGCAACAGAAATGCAGACAACAGACACGTAGGGCCAACAGGCTGTTATTACGGCTGACTCAACCCCGCAGGCCTGGGCGCTGCCTCATCATTTTCTCCCCTTTTGTCTCCGGATCCAGGTGAGGGAATCCAGTGATGCCATCCAGCTGTCCATGCTGAGAACCCAACGAGGGGCTTCCTTCCCGCTGGAGCCCACGCCTGCGCCCAGCGGGGACCCCGAGCTCAAGTCCCGGAGTTAATTCTCCAGCTTGCAGAGCTGAGAGACGCCCCCATCCTGGCCCACTCTCTCTGCCCCAATAGAAAAACCTGGACCCACCTGGGGTCTAGGCAAGGCTGCTGGGTCTGTTTCCGGTGGGGCAGCAGCTGAGCCTGACCTGGGTCCCTCCCGCCTGTGACCTGCCTGGTCATAGACAAGAGAAGCCCCTGGCCAGGCACTGGCCTAGGGGTGGCCGTGACCCAGCCAGGAGTGCTGCATTCGGACGAAGATGGCACTGGGTGCTCTGCGCTTGGAGTTTTGGTTTTTTGTGTGTGTTTTTGAGACCAAGTCTTGCTCTGTCGCCCAGGCTGGAGTGCAGTAGTGCAATCTCGGCTCACTGCAACCTCTGCCTCCCGGGTTCAAGCGATTCTCCTGCCTCGGCCTCCCAAGTTGCTGGGATTACAGGCACCTGCGTCCACACCCAGCTAATTTTTGTATTTTTAGTAGAGACGGGGTTTCGCCATGTTAGTCAGGCTGGTCTCCAACTTGTGGGCTCAAGTAATCTGCCCGCCTCAGCCTCCCAAAGTGCTGGGATTATAGGCGTGAGCCCCTGCTCCGGGCCGGAGTTTTGTTTTTTAAACAGGAAGCTGTCTTGTGTTATCCAGGAACAATCTGTCCAAGCTATTCCCGGTCTCTACCAGCGCATGAAACGGTTGGCAGGTGCCCCCTCTCCTCCCTGTGTCTCTCTCATGAACAGGTGGTTGACATAGACCACCATCACCTGTCCTGGGTCTTCTGTGAGTTGGGCTGGGTGTCTCCCCCTGGGCCCTGTGGACATTGGGACTGAACCGTTCTCAAGGGTGGGGCCGTCCTGGGCACTGCAGGGTGCCGAGCAGCATCCCTGGCCTCCACCCACTCCATGCCAGGAGCTCCCCTAGTCAAGACAACCACAGATGTCCCCAGACATGGCCCGGTGTCCCCTGGGGGCAGAAGATCCCCGGCTGGGAGTCACAGAGTCAGTAAAAGAGACCCCCAAGGAGGAGGACCCTTGGCTTCTGCAGGTCACGTGACATTTCTGTGACTCAAAGTTGTGTAGAGATGGAGGCGGCCATGTGCAGCTGGAGCTGGCCTGCTCTGCAGTGTCGTGACGTCGTTTTGAGGCAGGAGTAGTCTGTGGCTGCAGGCAGTGACAAACCCAGGCTTCCTCAAGCAGTGGCTCCTAGCATTGGGTGACAGTGTGTCTGTGGGCAGAGCCAGAGGAGACAGAGTCGCTGGGCTGCCTCACAGGAGCCTGGTCTAGGCCGGACCCGGCCGCCGTCGGCCAAGGGACCTTGGGAATGAGCCCTGCGCCTCTGGACTCTATATCGGATGGGCGAGACGACCACTCCACGTCTTTACCCCAACATGGACATGTGCTGGGTTCCTCCTCAAAAGCGGGTAAAGCCCCCAGGCGCGGTGGCTCACGCCTGTAATCCCAGCACTGTGGGAGGCTGAGGTGGGTAGATCACCTGAGCTCAAGAGTTTGAGACCAGCCTGACCAACACGGTGAAACCCCGTCTCTACTAAAAATACAAAATTAGCCGAGCGTGGTGCCGGGCACCTATGGTCCCTGCTACTCAGGAGGCCGAGGCAGGAGAATCACTTGAATCCGGGAGCAGAGGTTGCAGTGAGCCGAGATCATGCCACTGCACTCCAGCCTGGGAGACAGAGCGAAACTCCATCTCAAAAAAAAAAAAAAAAAAGTGGGCCGGGCACAGTGGCTCACACGTGTAATCCCAGCACTTTGGGAGGCCGAGGCCAGCGGATCACAAGGTCAGGAGTTCGAGACCAACCTGGCCACCATGGTGAAACCCCGTCTCTACTAAAAATACAAAAATTAGCTGGCCGTGGTGGTGCGCGCCTGTAATCCCAGCTACTTGGGAGGCTGAGGCAGGAGAATTGTTTGAAGCCGGGAGGTGGAGATTGCAGTAAGCCGAGATCGCGCCACTGCACTCCAGCCTGGGCGACAGAGCGAGGCTCTATCTCAAAAAAGAAAAAAGAGTGGTGACAGCCGACCAAAAGTGGCTCAAGAGACATCCTTCTGCCTTAGGGTCCCGCTGGCCCCAGGAAAGCTCCTTTCGTGCCTCCTGAGGACTCTGGGACGGAGAGGTCTGGAGGCCACAGCCAGCTCGCCCCCGCCCCCGCCTACGTCCTGCTTTCTGGCCGCTGCCTCTGGTCTGCTGCAGTCAAAGGAGCAGGGCCAGCCCTGAGCTCCCACCCAGCGCCAGTGGGGGACAACGTGGTGTCAGAGGCTCCTCTAGAGGGAAGGCGAAGAAGCCGCTTGGGATCCTTGGGGTGGGGTGGCTGGGCCTGCAGGGGTCGACAGCTTGGGTCCCTCGGGCCACCCTGGGGAGCTGATGGCTGGTGGAGGGTAGGGCCCCACTTTGTGCTTCCTGCTGTGATGGGCGAAGGTGGATGGGGATCCCTGGAGCAGCCGGTGCTCCGCCCCATGTGGGCTCCTGCGGGATTCGGGGGACAGGGACTCTGAGCCTTCCCATGTGGGGGGCCTGGATGTCTCTATCCCCTGGCAGTCACGAAAACTCAAGCCACATCCCCCACCAGTGCAGGGACCCAGTGGCTTCACAACCCACCCACCTGGGATAAAGGACAAATGGCCCAGGTGGGGTGAAGCCAGGGGAGGGACGGGCAGAACCACGTCAGGTTCAGGACACTGCGAAGCTCCTATACCCCTGGGGCCAGGGCCAGGCTGCACAGGGTTCAGAGATGGATCCCCGGTAAGAGGTTCAGACACAGGTTCCCAGAACAGGCCCCAAGCTTCCAACAGCAGTGGGGTAAGGACCTCCTGGAGTGGAAGTTGGGGGGTCTCAGGAGCAGAGGCTGAACCCCGGGTTACTTATAGACCCCCTAAAGTGGAAGTTGGGGGGTCTCAGGAGCAGGGGCTGAACCCCAGGTTACTTACAGACCCCCTGGAGTGGAAGTTGGGGGGTCTCAGGAGCAGAGGTGGAACCCTGGGTTACGTACCGACCTCCTGGAGTGGAAGTTGGGGGGGGTCTCAGGAGCAGAGGCTGAACCCCAGGTTACTTACAGACCCCCTGAAGTGGAAGTTGGCGGGGGGTCTCAGGAGCAGAGGCTGAACCCCAGGGTACTTACAGACCCCCTGGAGTGGAAGTTGGGGGGTCTCAGGAGCAGAGGCTGAACCCCGGGTTACGTACCAACCCCCTGGAGTGGAAGTTGGGGGGGGGTCTCAGGAGCAGAGGTGGAACCCCGGGTTACGTACCGACCCCCTGGAGTGGAAGTTACTTACAGGGGCTGTGTGACTACTCCGGCCTCCTGGGACCCCCATGGCAATGCTCCAGGCAGCCACCGCCCTCTCGAGGTCGTCCCTTCCTGTGACTGGCACCTGGGAGCTGAGCTGGCTGCAGCAGGGCCACCGGCCGGGACACCCCACAGAGCAGTCACTGGCTGGCCCTGGAGCTCCCCATCTGACTAGATTGATGGACTGATGGATAGGAGGCCCCGCCAGGCCCAAGCCCACAGGCCAGATGGGCACCTCTCCGTGCAGCCCCCCCCAGTCAGCCTTGTGGGTAGGTGTAGGGAGGCGTGGTGGCGAGGCAGGGCACGGGATGGGAGAAGGGTACCTGGGGCCTGGCACTCAAAGATGAGTGACGAGGTGGGAGGTGGGGACAGCCAGAGGCCCTCACAGCCCTGATGGGGCTGGAAGACGCCAAGGCCCAGAGATGGGGTCCGGGGCTCCAGGTCAGATCAAGGAAAAACCCAGCCCAGGCGGGCATGCCCGGCTCCCTTCCGCGGCGCCACAGCGGCTTCGAGCCAGGCAGAGCAAAATCCCCGAGGAAAGGCGTCCCTCCCCAGCTCTCACCTCCCCAGACCCGGCAGGGTTGCCGGGACGACGGCTCAGGCCTTCCGGAGGTTGCCACAGAGCCAGGAGCCCAGGGCTGCCCCAGCCCACGCCCGGCTGCTCGTCCCCCGTGCTCCTGCCCTCTCGGGAGCAGCGTCCCTGTGTCCACGGGAGGGATCGCACCGCGGGGCCCCTGCCCCACCGCTAGTGGGGTCCATCTTCCTCTGGAGACCCCGGTGTGTGTAAGCAGAGCTGAGGACTGATCTTTAAGCTGCCTCCTGGCCCTGCTCGTGAGTCTCAGGAAACTGTGACACTCACCTGGCCCGGGGGTCCTGGCCCAGGGGTCCCCGCTCCAGGAGCCACCCAGCAAAGGGAAAAGGAGAGGGCACTCCTGAGGGTACATGGCCCACTCACAGGGGGTACAGCCTTGTGTGGCAGGAGGGACGGAGCCCGGCTGTCCCATCGCAGTGACTCCAACCTCTAATAAGCCTCAAGACACTCGGGGCTCGGGCGGCGAGATCCTGGCAACAGAGTAGGGTAGACGTTGGGGCCTCAGGGCCCCCAGCTGGCTCCTGAGGCACAGGCGGCGCGGCCCTCACTCTGGCCACAGCAGCCAAATGCTCCCGTCCTTATTCACAGGCTGGGGGTGTGCGGCAGGGAGAGGAGGGTCCTGACCGATCTCACCGGGACCCAGGTCCTGGCCCTCCCGCCCGTGGGTTGCCACACCCCACGGCCCGAGGTTGACATGGCCACACAGCTTTGGTAAAGACTTTTAAGAGAAAGAAGTATTTTAAAAAGTAGCAGTGCTCTGAGGCTCAGGGTGTAGGATCGGGGGCACAGCCTGGTCCCGGGAGGCCCCTTGTGCACAGGTGGTGGCCCAGGGCCACAGTGCTCGCTCTTGGGGGACGCGCGGCCGGGGGACGCGGCCTGTGTCCGGCCCGGGGCTCCCGGCGGGCTCCGGCGGCAGGGACAATGGCGAGGCCGCTCACCACTTGAGGAAGACCATCCCGGCCAGGACGGTGTAGCCCAGCACCAGGAAGAGGACCTTGAGCAGACGGTCACTCTTCTCCTCCAGCTCCTTGGCCAGGATCTCCAGGAAGGTGATGAAGAGGAAGGTGCCGCCCGCCAGGCCCTGCAGCAGCACGGACGCCACGCTGCCCGGCACGCCCTGGGCGCTCTCAATGCCCAGGCCCAGGCCGATGCCCAGGGGGATCATGGCGCTTACGGTGACCGCCAGCTTGGCCGCGTCCCGCAGGGGCATGGCACTCCGGGCCATGCTGATGCCCAGGGCCACGGCCACCAGTGTCTCGTGGACGGCCACCCCCACGAACAGGCTCACCACTTTCTCCCCCTCCTCCTGCAGGCCCAGGGCCAGGCCCTCAAAGACCGAGTGGGCCGACAGCGCGAAGGCCAGGCTGAGCAGGCGCACGGGGCTGGCGCGCGAGAGGCCCTGCACGCTCAGGCTGGGGCCGTGGCCGTGGGGCTCCACGTACAGCGCGTGGCCCCGCGCGCCCCCCATGAAGGGGCTCTCATACTCCGAGTCGCTGCCCACGTCCGATCCGGCGTTGAAGGTCTCCAGGTCGATGAAGGACGGCTTCTCCTTGCGGAAGGTCAGGATCAGCTGCTCCAGGAAGACGGTCATGAAGAAGCCCAGCAGGAGGATGGTTTCGGCCAGCGGGTAGTCGGTGCTGATGTGGCCGAGGCTCAGGACCTTCTGGAGCTGCAGCCGGGGACACCCGAGAGAGAGAGAGAGACCCACGCTCAGGGGTGGCGGCGACAGGGCTGGCCAGATGTCACCGTTCAAAGCAAAGTCCAGAAATCCCCGATTCACACAGAGGTTAAAACAAGTGGGAGAGGAAGGGCTCGCCTGTGATGAATTAACACCACCACCACCAGCCAAGCGCGGTGGCTCATGCCTGTGACCCCAGCATTTTGGGAGACTGAGGCTGGCGGATTGCTTGAGCCCAGGAGTTCGAGACCAGCCTGGCCAATATGGGGAAACATGTTTCTACTAAAAATACAAAAATTAGCTGGGCATGGTGGCGAGCACCTGTAATCCCAGCTACTCAGGAGGCTGAGGCAGGAGAATGGCTTGAACCCAGGAGGCAGAGGTTGCAGTGAGACGAGATCGTGCCACTGCACTCCAGCCTGGGCGACAGAGGGAGACTCCGGCTCAAAATAAACACATAAAGAGCTGCACTGGCCTTGCGTGTTCTGCCGCGGGGCCTCCTCTCTGCTTCCCTGACCGACATGCCTGGGCCCGACTCTCCTCCTGGTCAGGGCTCTCCTAGCGAGGGGAGACTTTGGTGGGGAGAAACTAGACGTGGGTCAGACGGGAGCCGCAGGGCGTCTGCAAGAGGTACACACTCCTATGGGAGGGACAGCTGCTCACGGGGCGGACACGCAGGCATTAGGCTATGCGCCAGGATGAAATGTCTCATGAAAGGCAGGCTGTAAACGCCCACAACAGCTCCCTGGAGCCTCGTCACGGCAGGGCCAGAGTTCACAGCCACCCTCCAGAGAGACCTCGAGACCAAAGTGGAGGAAAATCACAACACAATCGACACTCAACAATGCCTGCTTCCCTGCTTCCTTCCCAGCGGAGACTTCATTACAACCTGCGCACGTGCACACACACACACACACACGCATATGTGCACACACGCACGCACACACACGCGCACACGCAGGTGCACACACAAGCACGCGCACACAGTGGTTCTCAACCAGGGCGATTCTGCCCGTGTGGACACCTGGCAATGTCTGGAAACATTTTTTATTTTCACAACTCGGGTAGGGGGAAGGTGCTGACATTCGGGGCTGGATTGTTCTCTGGGACGGGGCCGTCCTGGGCACTGCAGGGTGCTGCTGAGCAGTGTCTCTGGCCTCCACCCACTCCAGGCCAGGAGCACCCCCCATCGTGACAACCACAATGTCCCCAGGCATCGCCCAGTGTTCCCTGGGGGCAGTTCACGCTGGGTGAGCCTCTGCTGCAGCAGAAGGCTGTGTTTCCACGGAGAAGCCACTTAACTCCCTCACTGACCACCGGCTGGAGGCCTCATGCATGCCTCGCTTGAGGACAAGCTCATGAGGAACTCTAGCTACTCCCAAGAGACAGACGTTGATCAGGAGAGATGAGGCAGATGCACGGGAGCTGTGAACCAGGCACCATTTTCCAGGGGTGACTGAGAGCCTGGCCCTGCAGTGGGTGAGGCTGGGGGCTCGGGAGTAGGGACCTCATCCGCCTGACCAGCCCGAGGACAGGAGAACGGCGGGAAAGGTTTGGGTGCCATGAGAAGGCCACTGTGATGAGGGGGAGGGAAGAGCAAGCTCCCCGCAGTCGCCCAGGCCTGCAGTCAGAGGGTGACGGGGGTGACACCATGACCATGGGGGAAAAGGGGGGCTGGCAGTGGCCTCTGCGATGCAGGAGATGTCAGAGATGACCAAGATCTCCATCCTCGCAGTGCAGATGTCAGTCTTCACACACCGCGTAACGAACGAATGCAGACTCAGCCACGCGGAACAGCAGGAATGCGGTGTCTCGGCTCTGAACGGTGGAAATCCAGGTGCGGGCTAGCTGGGCCCTACGCTCCAGGTCTCGCAGGGTGTCATCAGGGCTGAGATCTCACTGACACCCAGGGTCCTCTTCCAAGCTCACTGGAGGTCGGAAGAGTCCACCTCCTGGTGGCTGTGGACTGAGGCCCCGTGTCCTGGCTGGCTGTTGGCGGGGATGGCTCTTGGCACCGAGAGGCTGCCCTCGGGTCCTCGCTTCATGCCCTTCTCCTGGCACACCCTGGCTTTTTGCTTCTCCAAGGCCAGCAGGAGGGTGAGTGGCTCACCTGATTAGGCCAGGCCCACCCCCTCCCTTTTGATGAACTCAGCGCTAACCGATCTGGGGCGGTCATCACAGCTGCAACATCCCCTCTGCTGGGATTCTGACATAATGGCAGGAGTGACACGCACGGCAGTCCCAGCCCTACCCACACTCGAGGGGAGGGAAGAGCATGGGGCGTGCGGAGCAGGGGCTGGAAGCTCAGGGAGCCACCCTGGAACTCTACTCTGCCACACTAACAGGCTCAGATGATTTAATCCCAGACAACAGCCCTTCTCCTCCTTTCTGGACACTAGGCACGAGGAAAAGCAGGGCCAGGGGTTGGGGGATAAGCTTAGGGCTTCCATGCTTTCGTTGGGAGGAAGAACAGGGGGTCCTCATATCTCCACCAAGTATGTAACCAACACAAATTCAATGTCACATCTGGCACTGGCCCAGAGAGAGGAAGCCACTCACCCAGGGTCACCCAGCAAGCATGGCCAGGGCTGGTCACACTGTGGCCTGACAGGGGACCCACACTCTGGGCTGCTGATATGGGGGAGCTCAAGGAACAGGTCAGCAGAGGATGATGCTGTCAGGAGTTGGGGTGGACAGACTCCAAGATGGCCCCAGAAGCCCCTGCCTCTTGACAGCCATACCCTGTGAGGTCCTGGCCACTTGAGTATGGGAAGGACTTGAACTTGCTTCTAACCAGCAGGACACTGGGGCAGAGGGGAAGGGATACCCTGTCACCTCTGCATGACATGGGACTGTGCCCTCTGTCTTACACAGAGTCATGGCCATCTTCTCCATTTGCTGATGAAGGAACTGATCATGCTGGGGAGGTCCACGTGGCCAGGCTCTGAGGGCTGCCCCAGCCAACAGACACTGACAAACAGACACCTTCGGTCTGACAACCAATGAGGAACTGAACCTGGCTTACAACCACATGAGCTTAGAGGCCGACCCATCCCCGGTTGAACGTTGAGATGAGACCACAGCCCAGGAGACACTGTGACTGCTGCCTTGTGAGCTCCTGAAGCAGTGCCCAGACCCCTGACTCACAGAAACTGTGAGATGATAAACGTCTGTAGTCCTAAGGTGCTCAGTTTGCTATAATTTGTTACGCAACAGTAGCTGACTGATATAGGAACCGAAGAGAGGCCATGCTTTCCAGCTTCAGGACAGAGTGTGCCCTACCTAGGTGGGTAGTCTGGTCTGATTATCAGGTGACAACCGACAAGTCCACCTGTTGGGAATCCCAGGTCTGGTCCAAACCCCTTGTTTGGCCGGTAGAGCACAGAGACAGAAAGTAACCAGTTCACAATCACACAGCAAATTCACTTCCTACTTTCCGTCACCCTTACAGCATCAAGGCCTTCACTGAACTTGGCATCAGTGTTGAAAATGCATCAGAGTCCCTTGGCCATAAGGTGCCAAGGGCTGCTGCTAGTGCCCAGGGAGCCCTTACCTTTTCCCTCACAGCGGGCAGCAGAGCGTTGAAGCACGTGGCCAGAAACACCCCTCCTCCAAAGGTGTTGCAGAGAGAGAGGATCTTTTTCGAGCGATGGGCCTTCTCAAAATCTGTCTCGATGATCTTCACGGGGAGCAGGGAGCCGAGCAGCATGAAGAAGAACACGCCCACCATGCACAGGATTTTGGCCACTAGCAATTTCACCATGGTGGCGGCTTGGGCTGCTCTGGTCACTGCAGGGCCAAACCATCTGTGGGCGCACACCCAAGTCCCACGATGTGCTACCGAGCCCAACCACACAGTTGGAGGCTCATGTCTCAGTCCAGCAACTGTGAACATCAGGGGCACTGCATTAGCTTTCTTTCTTTTTTCTTTTTTTTTTTTTAGACAGAGTCTCGCTCTGTTGCCAGGCTGGAGTGCAATGGTGCAATCTCCGCTCACTGCAACCTCCGCTTCCTGGATTCAAGCAATTCTCCTGCCTAGTAGCTGGGATTACAGACACGCGCCACCACTCCCAGCTAATTTTTTTTGTATTTGTAGTAGAGACGAGGTTTCATCATGTTGGCCAGGCTGGTCTCGAACTCCTGACCTCGTGATCCGCCTGCCTCGGCCTCCCAAAGTGCTAGGATTATAGGCGTGAGCCACTGCACCTGGCCAGTTCTTCAGTTTTGGAACTCGGACTGGCTCTCTTTGCTCCTCAATCTGCAGACAATGTATTGTGAGACCCTGTAATCGTGTGCAATTAATACTTAATAAACTTCCCTTTATATATATAACTATTCCATTAGTTCTGTCCCTCTAGAGAACCCTGACTAATACACTGTCTCAAAAAAAGAAAAAAGTTCATCAAAATTAAAAAAAATCCAGGCTGGGTGTAGTGGCTCACACCTGCAATCCCAGAACTTTGGGAGGCCGAGGTGGGTGGATCACCTGAGGTCAGGAATTCGAGACCAGCCTGGACAACATGGTGAAACGCCGTCTCTACCAAAAATACAAAAATTAGCCGGCCGTGGTGGCAGGCACCTGTAATCCCAGCTACTCTGGAGGCTGAGGCAAGAGAATCGCTTGAACCCAGGAGGCAGAGGTTGCAGTGAGCCAAGATGGCACCACCGCACTCCAGGCTGGGCAACAAGAGCAAAACTCCATCTCAAAAAAAAAAAAAAAAAAAAACTAAATAAAATACAAAATTCCGCTCCTCAGTCTCCCTGGCCATATTTCAAGCGCTCAGTAGTCACACAAGCCTACTTGACTTCTGTGGTTACCGTATTTGACAGCAAAGGGAACACTCTCATCACTGCAGAACATGCTATTGGATGGTGGTGGTCCATGGCTTCCCCATGCCCCGAAATAAAGTCTAAACTCTGTACCCTGAGGCTGAAGCTCTGCATGACAAGCTCCTGCCTCGCCTCGGCCCTCACTGGTCCTTTCTGTGCCAAGCTTGCTCGTGCCTCAGGACCTCTGCATGGGTTCTCCTCTCTCCACCTGGAACACTGCTCTCTTTCCCCTGACCTTCCAGCGAGGCCTCCTTCTTCTTTCTTGCTTCTCTGCATCCAGGACCCCTCAAAAGGGCCTCCCTCGGTTGGGAGTGGTGGCTCACACCTGTAATCTCAGCACTTTGGGAGGCTGAGGTGGGCAGATCACCTGAGGTCGAGAGTTCGAGACCAGCACCTGAGGTCGAGAGTTCAAGACCAGCCTGGCCAACACAGTGAAACACTGTCTCTACTAAAAATACAAAAATTAGCTGGGTGTGGTAGTGGGCACCTGTAATCCCAGCTACTTGGGAGGCTGAGGCAGGAGAATCACTTGAACCCAGGAGGTGGAGGTTGCAGTGAGCCAAGATCAAGCCATTGCACTCCAGCCTGGGTGACAGAGTAAGACTCTGTCTCAAAAAAAAAAAAAATTAGCTGGGCATGGTGGTACGTGCCTGTAATCCCAGTTACTCGGGAGGCTGAGGCAGGAGAATTGCTTCAACCCAGGAGGTGGAGCTTGCAGTGAGCCGAGATCGCGCCATTGTACTCCAGCCTGGGCTGCAGAGCAAGACTCCGTCTCAAAAAAAAAAAAAAAAAAAAAAAAAGGGCCTCCCTCTCTGCCCCTGGCTGACTCCTGCCCTAAACCATATCCCTGTACCCGCCGGAAGGCCTGCTGCAGAACAGATACTCAAAAACCGCTGGCTGAACACATGGACGAGGGGAAGCGTGTGGCCACTGATAAGGGCCGCATTTTACCTGATGCAATGGGCCAAAGTGAAGTCGGTTTCACCCTGGACCCCAAAATGTCACCGTTCTTAGGAGGAATCTCAGCTCCTCCCCTGTCCTTGAGTTTTCCCCAACTGGGTTTTCTCCCCCACCATCAGCCCCAAGCGCCTCATGGCCCCGCTACCTCACTGCATTCAGGTCTTCGGGTCACTGCTCAGATGTCTCCACTCAGAGCTCTCCCCGCCCCCTTCCCTGGTGTTATTTTCTTTTATTTTGTGCTACAGAGGGAGCTAGGAATTACATTATTTTAAGTCATTTAAAGTCGTCCCTCCCCCCCGGCGGTGAGCTGGGCGGGACCAGGCTGTCTGTCTTGCTCAGGGCCAGCTGCACCCAGCGCAGAGCCACCCAGGCACACAGTAGGCGCCCAATAAAGACCTGTCCGGCATCTGGATACCTCAGTCTGTACAGTGAAGGTGAGGGTGGCCTGCACGCTCTCAAACCGGAGGCTGCTCGGGCCGGGATGAGGAGGGCACGGGCTCATTCATTCAATCAGCACTTATTGAGCGCCTTCTGTGTGCCTCGCGCTACCGGGCACCGGAGACGGGCCTCGGCTAACGTGCGGGTAGAGTCCAACAGACCCCCGGCCGCTCAGCGCCGCCCCGCCCCGCCGCCCCAGGTCCTCTCTCTGCCCGCACCTACCTCCCGGGGGCCCCTCGTCCGCCGACTGGCGCCGCTGCACGCCCAACGGCCGCGCAGTCTCGACCCCACAGACGCGGCCCGGAGAGGCCCCGCTCGGCGCGGCTGGTCCACGCCCCGCCCACGCCCCTGCCCATTGGCCTCCCCGAGACCCGCTGGCAGAACTTTCCATACTATTGGCTGCGAAACCTGCCACTCATATGCGACTCCACCTCTCCTACCGGCACAGGAAAGGGGTTTCCTCCCGCTGAGCGGCGGGCGCAGCCACCAAGCGGCCCCGGCGGGAAACCCGGATTGGCGAGGAACGGTTCCGGCAGGGTTGGGTTTCCAGAGCTGTCCAGGGGCGCCTGGTGCTGAATCCCGCTTGGAAAGAGGCTTGGAGGTGGATGGGAAGGGATTTCCAACGGAGGCGGCTCCTCTCTCAGCGTCCTCGCTGCTGATCCCCTTACCGACGGCTGAAGAAGCAGATTCATCCCTTCAACAAATCTCTGTTGATAGGCAGGAGGAGTAAGTCCAAGAGATCGACTGTACATCATGGTGGCTACAGCTCGTAACAATGCATTGCATACTGCAAAATTGCTAAGAAAGTAGATGTTACATGTTCAAACCATGAAAAAATAAGTATAGGAGGTAACGCGTAAGTTAAAAACCAAATCTTGGCAGGGCGCAGTGGCTCACACTTGTAATCTCAGCACTTTAAGAGACCGAGGCGGGAGGATCGCTTGAGTCCAGGAGTTCAAGGCCAGCCTGGGCAGCATAGTGAGACCCCATCTCTAAAAAAAAAAAAAAGGTTTTTTTTGAGACAGAGTCTCGCTCTTGTCACTCAGGCTGGAGTGCAATGGCGCGATCTTGGCTCACTGCAACTTCCGACTCCCGTGTTCAAGCGATTCTCCTGCCTCAGCCTCCCGAGTAGCTGGGATTATAGGCGTGTGCCACTATGCCGGCTAATTTTTGTGTTTTTAGTAGAGACGGGGTTTCACCATGTTGGCCAGGCTGGTCTTGAACTCCTGACCTCAGGTGATCCTCTTACCTTGGCCTCCCAAAGTGCTGGGATTACAGGCATGAGCCACTGCGCTTGGCCTGATGACTTGATTCTAACAAATAGAAAATGGCAAATGAATGGGATGTCATTCTGCGATTAGGCTATGAGAGATTGTGACTTCTGTTTTGCCAGCAGAGCCTGTCTCTCGCCTTCTCAGCCTACGTGTCTTGACAAAGCAAGCTAAGATGCTGGAGAGATCCAGAGGGAAAGGAACTGAGGGTGTCCTCCAGCCAACAGTCAGCAAGGCAATGAGACCCTCAGCACAAGCGTCCATAAGGAACCAAATGCTACCAACAGCCATGAACGTGATCATGGAAGAGGGTCCTGCCCCAGTTGAGCCTTTGGATGACTGCTTCACTTCAATTGCAGCCTTTGAAACACCCTAAAACAGGGCTGCATGTGGTAGCTCATGCCTATAATCCCAGCACTTTGGAAGGCCGAGGTAGGCAGGTCACTTAAAGTCAGGAGTTTGAGACTAGCCTGGCCAACACGGCAAAACCCCATCTCTACTAAAAATACCAAAATTAGCCAGGCATGGTGGCGGGCACCTGTAGTCCCAGCTACTAAGGAGGCTGAGGCATCAGAATCACTTGGACCCAGGAGGCAGAGGTGACAGCGAGCTGAAATCATTACCATTACACTCCAGCCTGGGCAACAGAGTGAGACCCTGTCTCAAAAGAAAAAAAAAGAAGAAGAAGAAGAAGAAAGAAAGAAAAACAAAGACCCTGAAAACAGAAGACCCATATGAACTGCATCTGAATTCCTCACCCACAGAAACTGAGATAACACATGCTGTTCTAGCCACTTAGTTTTGTGTTTGTTTGCTTGTATTTTGAGACAGGGTCCTGCCCCATCACCCAGGCTGGAGTGCAGTGGTGCAATCACAGCTCACTGCAGCCATGACCTCCTGGGCTCAAGCAGTCCTCCCACCTCAGCCTCCCGAGTAGCTGGGAGCATGTGCCACCATGCCCAGCTAATTTTTTACCTAATGTCACACAGGCCAGTCTTGAACTCCTGGATTCAGGAAACCCTCCCACCTCAGCCTCCCAAAGTGCTGAGATTACAGGCATGAGCCACAATGCCTGCTGGCACTAAGTTTGGGGGAAAATTTGTCATATGGCAGTAGGTAACTAATACACATACATACTAGAAAAACTATAGGTTGTACTAAGTTCTGTGAAGAAAGAATGAGAGAGACTTCTGTGCAGGAATTAGCCAAGTCAAATGTACTGAGAAGGCCAGGTGTGGTGGCTCACACCTATAATCCCAGCACTTTGGGAGGCTGAGGTGGGTGGATCACTTGAGGTCAGGAGTTCAAGACCAGCCTGGCCAACATGGTGAAACCCTGTCTGTACCAAAAATATAAAAATTAGCAGGGCGTGGTGGTGGGCGCCTGTAATCCCAGCTACTCGGGAGGCTGAGGTAGGAGAATCGCTTGAACCTGTGAGGTGGAGGTCGCAGTGAACCGAGATCATGCCACTGCACTCCAGCCTGGGCGACAGAGCAAGACTCCGTCTCAAAAAAAAAAAAAAAAAAGAAAAAAAAGTACTGAGAAGTGGGGAGAGAAGAGAGGATAGTTGACAAAAAGATGGAGAAGGGCTTGCTGCATTTGAGGAGTTGGAAAGCCAGCCTGGCTGAATGTTCGTGAGCAGTAGGGAGATGGGAGATTAGGGACAGTCCCATAGACCGTGCTATGGAACTTGGATTTTACCGTAATTACAGTGTGATTCATTGAAGGATTTTAAGTAGGTGAAGGTTGTCATCTAATTTTAATTCTTAAGATTATTTTGACTCGTGTGTAAAGAAAGGCTGAATTATAGAGAAGCAAGAATGGAAGCAGGGAGACTACTTCAGAGCCCTCTGGGCAAGAGTTGGGCTGGGTGCCTTGGCGCACACCTGTAATCCTAGCACATTGGGAAGCCATTGCAGGAAGATCGCTTGAGCCCAGGAGTTCGAGACCAGCCTGGGCAACATAGTGAGACCCTATCTCTATTTCTAAGAAAAGACTTGACGGTAGTTTAGCTGAGGGCATTGACAGGAGAAAGGACAGTGGGTGAATTTGAGAAATATTTTGGAGGGTGAATTGACAGGACTTAGCACTGGTTTGTCTGTGTGGGTTGCAGGAGAAGGAGGTGTTGGGGGTGACTTCTGGTTTTCTGCTTTGAGCCATCCGATGGATTCTGGTGCTCACTAAAATAGGAAAGACTGGAGGAGGCACAGAGATTGAAAGCGTCAAAAGACAGAGTTCAGTTTCACAGAGGCTATAAATGAGACATCTACAAGTTCTTAGCATTTAATGCCATTTTCTGCCTGCGTGGCGCTGATGTCATCATGTGGAACACACTGTTTCTGGTAGCTATTTTTATTATTAGATGCAGAGTGATCTGACTCTGTTTCTGCTTTCCATAACTCACGACAAGAAAAAGATGGCTTGTAACATAAGCACACCAGGTAGACGCCACAGGACGACTCCTTCCTAAGGGGAATTCATAGCATGCGATATTTATTCATAATTGTTTGGAGAATCAGCCTGCTCAGGGAAAGAGCTACGTAAGCTTTGGGCTTTGATTCATTCAGTACGTGTTTTTGAAAACCTCCTGTGCACCAGAAGCCATGTAGGAGCAGATGTCTTCAGAGCGCAACAGAAAAAAAATACTAATAAAATATAAAATAACATAAAAGCAGCACAGTGGTGCATACCTATAATCCCAGCACTTTGGGAGGCTGAGGTAGGAGGATCTCTTGAGCCCAGGAGTTGGAGACAAGCCTGGGCAAGATGATGAGACCCTATCTCTATAAAAAAAAAATACTGACAAATTGACTGACTTCAGTATTTCAAAAATCTTCCATAGTAAAAAACACCATGAATGGGCTTAATAGACAAGTGACAGACTGGGAGAAAAATGTTGATACTATATGAGACAGAGCCCTTGATAGAAAATAGAAAATAAACATCTTAAAATAAAAATAGGAAGGGTGATGAATGAGCAATTCACAGGGGAACCAATATAAGAGGTGAATAAATATAAGAAAAGAGTCTCAATCCATGAAGATAATCATGAAAATACAAAATAAAACAAGGGGCCAGGCACGGTGGCTCACACCTATAATCCCAGTACTTTGGGAGGCTGAGGCAAGAGGATAACTTGAGCCCTGGAGTTCAAGACCAGCCTGAGCAACATAGTGAAACCCTGTCTCTTCAAAAGAAAAAAATAAAAAATAAAAAATAAATTAATCACCCAGGTGTGGTGACACATGCCTGTCACCCCAGCTACTGGGAGGAGGGAGGATTGCTTGAGCCCAGGAGATCAAGGCCACAGTGAGCTATGATCATGCCACTGACCTCCAGCCTGGGCAACAGAGCAAGTCCCTGTCTCAAAAACCCAAAACAAACAAACAACAACATCAAAACAACAACAAAAACGGCTGGGCAAGGTGGCTCACGCCTGTAATCTCAGTGCTGTAGGAGGCCAAGGCAGGCGGATCACTTGAGGTCAGGAGTTTGAGACCAGCCTGACCAACGTGGTAAAACCCTGTCTCTACTAAAAATACAAAAATTAGCTGTACCTGTAATACCAGCTAGGTGGGAGAATCACTTGAACCCAGGGGGCAGAGGTTGCAGTGAGCTGAGATTGGTCCACTGCACTCCAGTCTGGCAACAAGAGCAAAACTCCACTTCAAAAACAAAAACAAAAAAAACAGAGAAAAAATTGAAAAAATCTGAATGTAGACTGTTTATTAAATAATCATGTCAATATTCAGTAATGTTTAATTTCCTGAATTTAACAATTATACTGTATTTATGTAATAGAATGTCCTTGTTCTTAGGAGATACAAAATACATGATGTCTGGAACTTTCATTTGAATTGTTCGGCAAAAAAATAATAATTATTATACATATACACACACATAAGAAGAGAAAAAAGGAAATTTGGTAAAATGTGAAGAATAAGTGAATCTAGGTGAAGAGCATAAGAAAATTCACTGAAAGCCGGGCGCAGTGGCTCACGCCTATCATCCCAGGGAGGCCGAGGGGGGTGGATCACCTGAGGTCAGGGGTTCAAGCCCAGCCTGGGCAACGTGGAGAAACCCCGTCTGTACTAAAAATACAAAAATTAGCCAGGCGTGGTGGCATGCACCTGTAATCCCAGCTACTCAGGAGGCTGAGGCAGGAGAATCACTGAACCTGGGAGGCGGAGGTTGTGGTGAGCTGAGATCACGCCATTGTACTCCAGCCTGGGCAACAAGAGCAAACTCCATCTCCAGAAAAAAAGAAAGAAAAGAAGGAAGGAAGGAAGGAAATTCATTGAAATATAAACGTGGATTTTTTGTTTTGGTTTGGTTTGGTTTTTGGTTTTTGGGGGCTTTTTTTGGAGACGGAGTCTCACTCTTATTGCCCAGGCTGGAGTGCAGTGGTGCAGTCTTGGCTCACTGCAACCTCCACTTCCCAGGTTCAAGTGATTCTCGTGCCTCAGTCTCCCAAGTATCTGGGACTACAGGTGCCTACCACCATGCCCTGCTAATTTTTTGTATTTTTAGTAGAAACAGGATTTCTCCATATTGGCCAGGCTGGTCTCGAACTCCTGACCTCAAGTGATCCGCCCGCCTCAGCCTCCCAAAGTGCTGGGATGACAGGCATGAGCCACCGCATCCGGCCTCACATGACATTTCATTATCACATCTTCTTAGGCTCCTCCTGGCTGTCACAGTTTCTCAGATGTTCCTTGTTTCTCATGATCTGGACAGTTTTGAGGAGGACGGGTCAGATATTTTGTGGAATATTTCTTGACTGGGGTTTCCTGATAGTTTTCTCATCGTTGGACTAGAGCTGTGTTTCTGTTGTTTGTTTTTGAGGAAGACTATAGAAGTGAGAGGCCATCCCCATCACATCACATCATAGCAAAGCCCATGCAGTCAACATGACTTACCACTGTTGACACTGACTGGGTCACCTGGCTGACATAGTAGTTGTCAGGTTTTTCTACTGTAAAGATCCTTATTCTTTTTTTGTTTTCTTTTTTTTTTTTTTTTTTTTGAGATGGAGTCTCCCTCTGTAGCCCAGGCTGGAGTTCAATGGCATGATCTCAGCTCACTGCAACCTCCACCTCCCTGGTTCAAGCAATTCTCCTGCCTCAGTCTCCCAAGTAGATGGGATTATAGGCGCCCGCCACCATGCCTGGCTACTTTTCGTATTTTTAGTAGAGATGGGGTTTCACCATGTTGGCCAGGCTGGAGTTTTACCGTGTCGCTTAGGCTGGTGTTGAACTCCTGGTCTCAAGTGATCGTCCTGACTCAGCCTCTGAAAGTGCTGAGATTACAGGCATGAGCCACCAAGCCCAGCCAATTATTTTGTGTGTGTAGAGACAGACTCTTCCCATGTTGCTCAGGCTGGTCTTGAACTCCTGGATTCAAGCAATCCATCCGCCTCAGCCTCCCAAATAGCTGGGACTATAGGTGCGTATCACCACACCTGGCTAACACTTGTTTTTCAGGTCCTTCAACTTGAGCTATCCTGGTGTAGTTGTTTGCTACTATGGTTTTTTTGTTTGTTACTATGGTTTTTTTGTTTGTTTGTTTGTTTGTTTTTTGAGATGGAGTCTCACTCTGTCGCCCAGGCTGGAGTGCAGTGGTGGGATCTCAGCTCACTGCAACCTCCGCCTCCCAGGTTCACTCCATTCCCCTGCCTCAGCCTCTCGAGTAGCTGGGACTACAGGTGCCTGCCACCACGCCCGGCTAATTTTTTGTATTTTAGTAGAGATGAGGTTTCACCGTGTTAGCCAGGATGGTCTCGATCTCCTGACCTCGTGATCCGCCCACCTCGGCCTCCCAAAGTGCTGGGATTACAGGCGTGAGCCACCGCGCCCGGCGGCTACTATGGATTTAGTTAGTGTTCTCCTGATGTCTAATGACATTGAGCTCTTTTCCTCATACTTATGGGCCATTTGCCTATCCTGTTTTTTGGAATGTCTAAGTGTTTTGCCCATTAAGAGAATTGGGTCATCTCTCTTCTCACTGATTTGTAGGAGTACTTGATATTTTTATAAAGTACATATTGCAAATGTCTTCACCCACTCAATGGCTCAATTTATCCCTCTATTTTGATGGCATCATTATTTTAATGAAGTCTAATTGTTGATTAAAAAAAAAAAAACTTGGCCAGGTGCAGTGGCTCACACCTGTAATCCCAGCACTTTGGGAGGCCGAGGTGGGCGGATCACCTGAGGTTGGGAGTTCGAGACCAGCCTGACCAACATGGAGAAACCCCGTCTCTACTAAAAATACAAAATTAGCCGGGCGTGGTGGCAGGTGCCTGTAGTCCCAGCTACTTGGGAGGCTGAGGCAGGAGAATTGCTTGAACCCGGGAGGCAGAGGTTGTGGTGAGCCGAGATCTCGCCACTGCATTCCAGCCTGGGTAACAAGAGTGAAACTCTGTCTCAAAACAAAAACAAAAACAAAAACAAAAACAAAAAAAAACTTTATGGTTAGCGCTTTTTGCTTTCTAAGAAAATTTTGCCTACCCCAAAATAGACTCTATATTTTCTTCTGAAACCCTTGTGGCTTTACCTTTTGCAGATTGTATTTGTATAACTCTCAAAAACAGGCAGCACCCACCCATGGTATCAAACGCTAGGTCAGTGTCACCCTCTGGGGAGGCAGTGAGTAGCGGGAGTGTGGGGGGACTGGGAGGCAGTGAGTAGCGGGAATGTGGGGGCACTGCTTAGGTTTGGTTTCTTGGTGTAGGTGCCAATGATATGGGCGTGTTCCCCTCATGAAAATTCATCATGATGTTTGCTTCTTTTGAGACAGAGTCTCGCTCTTGTCACCCAGGCTGGAGTGCAGTGGCATGATCTCGGCTCACTGCAACCTCCGCCTCCTGGGTTCAAGCAATTCTCCTGCCTCAGCCTCCCGAGTAGCTGAGATTACAGGTACCCACCACCACGCCCGGCTAATTTTGGTATTTTTTAGTAGAAATGGGGTTTCGCCATGTTAGCCAGGCTGGTCTCGAACTCCTGACCTCAGGTGATCCACCTGCCTCGGCCTCCCAAACTGCTGGGATTATAGGTGTGAGCCACAGCACCCCACCCATGATGTTTGCTTATCATTCACACTTTGGTGTAGGTATGTTACACTTGCATTAAGTCTTTAAAATGCCTGTAGTCCCAGCTACTCAGGAGGCTGAAGTAAGAGGATCACTTGAGCCCAGGAGTCCAAGGCTGCTGTGAGCTATGATGGCGCCACTGCACTCCAGCCTGGGGAACCTATCTCTTAAAGAAAAAAAGAAGAAGGAGAAGGAGAAGAAGGAGAAGCCTGGCACAGTGGCTCACACCTGTAATCCCAACTTTGGGAGGCCAAGGCGGGAGCATCGCTTAAGATCAAGAGTTTGAGACCAGCCTGGGCAACACAGCAAGACCCTATCTCTAGAAAAAAAAAGTATCCAGGCATGATGGCACATGCCTCTAGTCCTGGCTACTCAGGAGGCTGAGGGAGGATTGCTTGAGCCCAGGAGGTCGAGGCTGCGATGAGCTGTGACTGCACCACTGCTCTCCAGCCTGGAAAGAAGACACACAGAAAGAGAGACCTTGTCTCAAAAATAAATAAAAACTGGCTAAGCACAGTGGCTCACGCCTGTATTCCCAGCACTTTAGGAGGCCGAGACAGGTGGATCACCTGAGGCCAGGAGTTTGAGACCATCCTGGCCAACATGGAGAAACCCCGTCTCTACTATAAATACAAAAAAAAAAAAAAATAGCCAGACATGGTGGTGTGTGACTGTAGTCCCACCTACTCTGGAGGCTGAGACATGAGAATCACTTGAACTCAGGAGGCAGAGGTTGCAGTGAGCCAAGATCGTGGCACTGTGCTCTAGCCTGGGCGACAGAGCAAGATTCTGTCTCAAAAAAACAAAAATTAAAATTAAAAAATAATAAATAAGTAAATAAAAATGTATAAAGGTTGAAAAAGCACCATTAACGAAAGAGAGGGAGACAGAGGAACGGGGCTCCCCAAGTCTACCTGGGCTTGGCAAGAATTCGGGACCACCGTGAGCTGATGAGAATTTCTGGTTTCTGGTGGGCTTCGCGGGTCCTCGCGCGCCCACGCTGCCGGGCCTCATGTCTTTGACCCTGCATCCCACAGGTATCTCAGGGCCAGCCTGGCTCCCTGGTCCACTGCGTGCATCCTCTTGGCTCCATCAAAGCACGAGCACCCGGTAGGACATCCCTGCTTCGGAGGATGTTTTCTCCGTGTCATTCTGAAAGGAGACCCGATTCTAAGAGCAAAACTCTAGCAGCAGGGCGGTCCCTAGGCTCTGGCCCAGGTGGCTGCAGAAGGAGCCACGCCTTGTCGATCACAGCCCTGGCAGCTGCGGACGCACGTGGGTGCCCGCGGGAGAGGCCGTGGCTGCCGCGCCCCCTGGCGGCTCCGTGCGGAATCGCCCCGGCTCCCCATTTCCGAGACCACATCCCGGATGCTTGGACTCCAATCCAATGTTAATTTTTTATTATTTAGTTATTTATTTAGAGACGGAGTCTCACTCTGTCGCCCAGGCTGGAGTGCAGTGGCACAATCTCGGCTCACTGCAACCTCTAACTCCCGAGTTCAAGCGATTCTCCTGTCTCAGCCTCCTGAGTAGCTGGGATTACAGGTGTGCACCACCACACCTGGCTAATTTCGTATTTTTAGAGATGGGGTTTCTCCATGTTGGTGAAGCTGGCCTCGAACTCCTGGCCTGAGGTGATCCTCCCGCCTCGGCCTTCCAAAGTGCTGGGATGACAGGCGTGAGCCACTGCGCCCGGCCTTTTTATTATTTATTTTATTATTTTTAATTTTATTATTTTATTTGAGACAGTCTCACTCTGTCGCCCAGGCTGGAGTGCAATGGTGTGATCTCGGCTCACTGCAACCTCCGCCTTCCAGTTCAAGCGATTCTCCTTCCTCAGCCTCCCGAGGAACTGTGATTACAGGCACCTGCCACCACACCCAGCTAATTTTTGTATTTTTAGTAGAGATGGGGTTTCACCATGTTGACCAGGTTCATCTTGATACCATAGTAAAGCAGGAGGAAGGAAGGGAGGACCCATGTACCCCTGAATCTAAAATTTAAAAACAGGCCGGCGCGGCAGCTCACCCCTGTAATCCCAGAAATTTGGGAGGCCGAGGTGGGTGGATCACTAGAGGTGAGGAGTTCGAGACCAACCTGGCCAACGTGGCAAAACCCCATCTCTACTAAAAATACAAAAAAATTAGCCGGGCATGGTGGTACATGCCTGTAATCCCAGCTACTGTGGAGGCTGAGGCAGGAGAATTGCTTGAATCCAGGAGGTTGAGCCTGCAGTGAGCTGAGATCGCCCCACTGCACTCCAGCCTGGGTGACAGAGCGTGACTCTGTCTCAAAAAATAAATAAAATTTAAAAATAATAACTAAAATTAGCTGGGCGTGGTGTCCATGCTTGTAGTCCCAGCTACTTGAAAGGCTGAGGTGGGAGGATCGCTTGAGCCCAGGAGGTTGAGGCTACAGTGAGCTATGCTCACGGTGCTACACTCCAGCCTGGGCAACAGAGCCAGACCCTGTCTCTAAAAAGAATAATTTGACCTAAGATATTTTTGCAAGATGGAGAACAGGATGGGGAAGGTCACTTTGTTTTAGGTTTTCAAGTTACTCAGTTTGGGGTGAAATGTTTTCCTTCAAAGATACCGGGACATTCCAGAGTCAGTGACAAATTATTTTTCCTAATGGCAAAACGGTTTGGGACATGGATTTGACACATTTATCTAGAGAGTACCATGTGTCTGGGCTTCTCCTCCTCTGTACTGTGGACATTTGGGGCTGAATTATTCTGTGGGGTGGGGCCATCTTGGGCACTGCAGGGTGCTGAGCAGCGTCTCTGGCCTCCACCCACTCAATGCCAGGCGCACCCCCCAGTTGTGACAACCACAGATGTCCGCAGACATCGCCCTGTGTCCCGGGGAGGACAACTGCGCCCGTTGAGAAGCACCAATTCTGCAAAAGAGAAAAACACTATTTGTTTCCTCCTCGTGGCTTCCTGGGACTTACCCTGGAGGGGTTTGCAACATAGTCCCTGCTGGGTCAGGCTTTGTAGGAACTGCACCCCAAGCGTACAGAGAAGCAGAGGGCAGAGCCTTCCTAATTCCACGATTACACCTGGAGGTTCAACCTACTCCTGGAGCCCTGAGTCACGACTTACATGAAACCCAAGTTTAATTACCGCTTCTTTGCTCTGCGCATCTCTGACAGGAATATTCAGAACTACCCTATTTCAAACTTGTGTGGGATCAAGCAGCCATTATCTATGACACGCTTCTCATCAAGTCGCGCAGAGAAGCCACTGGTTCTGGGATGAGATGACAGCTCCCCCTCGCCACCCCTCCTCTTCTCCACCCCTTGGTGATTCCAAAACAAACTTTCTGGAGGTCTCTCAAAGGCTTGGGCTGGGTTTGGGGTCAACTGGGAAGAGACTGTGCAGGCTTTCCTGGTGATGGACACGAGATGGGAGGAAATGAGCCGAGGTCGTCTACGAAGACTGAAGAGCGTGCCGGCTGCGGCTGGGATACACGGCTCCTGCAACAGTGTCCACAGGTGTTTCCGGGAGTGGGATTCTCCAAACAGAGGCATCGCGATCACCTGGGCTGCTTGTCTACAGTGCAGATCCGGCCCGGCGCGGTGGCTCACGCCTGTCATCCCAGCACTCTGGGAGGCCAAGGCGGGTGGATCACCTGAGGTCAAGAGTTCAAGACCCGCCTGGCCAACATGGTGAAACCCCCATCTCTACCCAAAATGCAAAAATTAGCTGGGCGTGGCGGCGGGCACCTGTAATTCCAGCTACTGGGGAGGCTGAGGCAGGAGAATCACTTGAACCCAGGAGGCAGAGGTTGCAGTGAGTCAAGATGGCACCACTGCACTCCAGCCTGGGCGACAGAGTGAGACTCTATCTCAAAAGAAAAAAAAAAAATGTAGGCCGGGCGCGGTGGCTCACACCTGTAATCCCAGCACTTTGGGAGGCCGAGGCAGGTGGATCACGAGGTCAGGAGATCGAGACCATCCTCACTAACACGGTGAAACCCCGTCTCTACTAAAAATACAAAAAATTAGCCGGGCTTGGTGGCGGGCGCCTGTGGTCCCAGCTACTCGGGAGGCTGAGGCAGGAGAAGGGCATGAACCCAGGAGGCGGAGCTTGCCGTGAGCGGAGATCGCACCACTGCACTCCAGCCTGGGCGACAAAGCCAGACTCCGTTTCCAAAAAAAAAAAAAAAAAAAATGTAGATACATGTGGGTGGGCCCCAGTTGTGTGTTCATCAAGCTCTCTGGGTGACTCTTGACACCCACCAAACTTTAAGACCCAGTGGTCCATCTCTGTCCTGCTTCGGGCATGAGCCACCAAGCCCGGCCCTGACTTATTTTTAATTTTTCGAGACAGGGTCTTGCTCTTTTGCCCAGGCTGGAGTGCAGTGCTGTGATCATGGCTCACTACAACCTCAAACTCCCAGGCTCCAGTGATCCTCCTGCCTCAGCCTCCTGAGGAGCTGGGACTACAGGTGAGCACCACCGTGTCTGGCTAATTTTTTTTTTGGTACAGATGGAGGCTCACCATCTTATTTTTTGTTTTTCAGACGGAGTTTCGCTCTTGTTGCCCAGGCTGGAGTACAGTGGTGCGATCTTGTCTCACTGCATCCTCCGCCTCCCAGGTTCAAGCGATTCTCCTGCCTCAGCCTCCCGAGTAGCTGAGGTTACAGGCTTGCGCCACCACGCCCAGCTAATTTTTGTATTTTTAGTAGAGACAGGGTTTCACCATGTTGGCCAGGCTAGTCTTGAACTCCTGACCTCAGGTGATCCGTCCGCCTTGGCCTCCCAAAGTGCTGGGATTGCAGGTGTGAGCCAGGGCGCCTGGCCTGGAGTGTCTGATTTAGGCCTGGGGTGAGGCCCAAGACTTGGTGTTTCTACTGTGCCCCCAGGCCACGCTGCTGCTGCTGAGCTGAGGACAGTCTAAAATGCATCCAGGGTTCCCCTTCTACCGCCCCGGCTCTGTGGACACTGGGGCCAGATCATTCTCTGGAGGGGGCCGTCCTGGGCCCTGCAGTGTGCTAAGCAGCAACCCTGGCCTCCACCCCCACCATTGCAACAACCACTCACGTCCCCAGATGCTGCCCAGCTAAGTGTGCCCCGGGGGAAGAGCCACCCAGGTGAGAAGCTCTGCCTGAGACCTGAAGCGCCCACCTGCCTCCCACAGCCAGGCCCCTTCAGCACTAGACCCAGCAACCCTGGGGTGGCTGTTCTTTGAATTTTGTGACTTTTTGGTGTGTCATTTTTGGGAGATGACAGAGGTAGTGGCTGAACCTGAAACTTCGCCCCTGCAGATCTCGGTTCTTCCTGCTATTGCAGGGGTGGAGAAGGTGGGTGCTTGAGCCAGGGTCCTGAGCCAGAGTCCCTGCCAGGGCTCCGCCAGGTTCAGACGCTCACGGGTGGGGTGACCTCGGGCCTGATAGCCAGGCCTCGGTTTCTCTGTCTCTAGCATGAGGGTGCCGGTGCCCAACCTTGGCTTGTGGGAAACAGGAATTCACAGTCCACGAAAGCTTAGAGGACTTTCAGGGAGTTGTTCTTTCATTTTTATGTTTTTGAGACGTAGTCTCGCTCTGTTCCCCAGGCTGGAGGGCAATGGTGCTATCTCAGCTCACAGCAACCTCCGTCTCCTGGGTTCCAGCGATTCTCCTGCCTCTGCCTCCTGAGTAGCTGGGATTACAGGCACCTGCCACCATGCCCGCCAATCTTTTTTTGTATTTGTAGTAGAGATGGAGTTTCATCATGTTGGCCAGGCTGGTCTTGAACTCCTGACCTCAAGTGATCCACCCGCCTCAGCCTCCCAAAGTCCTGGGATGACAGGCTTGAGCCACCACACCTGGCCAAGGGAGCAGCTTCTATGTTCACAACAAAACTCTGTGCAGCACCCTAGGGTTGGGGCTGAGATGGGCCTGGAAGCTTTCTGGGCTCCTTCTTGCCTGGGACTCCCTCACTGACCCATTCTCTCAACTGGAGCCGTTGTGAAAGGGAGGTGCCTTTGGTTACAGAATACAGAATTTATGGAGTTACAGTATGCTAGAAAAGCAACAGACAAAGCCAGGTGCGGTGGCTCACGCCTGTAATCCCTGCACTTTGGAAGGCTGAGGCAAATCACCTGAGGTTGGGAGTTTGAGACCAGCCTGACCAACATGGAGAAACCTCGTCTCTACTACAAATACAAAAAATTAGCTGGGCGTGGTGGTGCATGCCTGTAATCCCAGCTACTTGGAAGGCTGACGCAGGAGAATCACTTGAACCCGGGAGGTGGAGGTTGAGGTGAGCCGAGATTGCGCCATTGCACTCCAGCCTGGGCATCTAGGGTGAAAGTCTCAAAAAAAAAAAAAAAGCAAAGCAAAGCAACAGACAATACGATCACTCTCTGCTGAGGACCGAGGCATCTCACCCCACCCTGGGGTGACCCTCTACACCGGGATGCAGCTGGGGACGGAGGCGGAGGGAAGGGAGACAGCAGAGGGTAGAGGCTGACTGTCCGAAACCTCCCATGACCCGTGACCCGTGACCCAAGAAGTGCGGCTCCGGCGTCGCGGGGATTCACTCACAAGCAGCCCAGCTGATCCACAAACTCCGCGTCGGGGGTTTTCTCGAGGTTTGGGGTTGGAGGGTATCGGTGGCGCCAAGGTCAACACGAAGACAGACAGAGGTCACAACGCCTATTTATTCCCCACACGTCACGCCCTGCACCCCGGGTGGGCTTGGCACACACCTCACCGCCATGAGCGGCTGCAGGGCCGCGGCGGCCCCCGTTCCTACTGCTACCTACGATACACGGTACTGCGCCTACCTCACAGACGGCCAGGAGCCAGGGAGCCCCAGGATGCTCCGACTGACAACCCTGCTGCTGGGACCACGGCGCCGTGGGCTCGTCTGCCACCCCCAGGCCTCAGGAACCCAGACAGGCTGCCTGCTGTCCGGCTCTCCGGCTGCTTTCCTGGTGGCTGTTTTAGGGCCAAGGTGGGTGGCACCTGAGGTGTCCCGTGGCCTCCACCCAGCACAGGAGGGGTAAGCTTCCCTGGGGGGCCCCGGGCCCATGAAACATCCAGGACAGAAGGACAGCAGGATGGGACACAGACAGAAACGGCCCAGCTGCCTTCCCTGTGCCCGGGGCTAAGGCGGCCGGGACAGAAGGTCATGATGTCGCCCCTGGCTCTCAGTCGCGAGGACCAGAAAATGAGGGTGGGAGGAGGGGAAACATGTCTGTCAACATGCCCAACTGGAGAAAAGTCACAGAAACTGGTCCTATGCACCCAGGACGGCTCCTGAGCCGCGGAGGCGTGGGGTGACCGCAGCCGTCTCTTAGGTGTCTGCCACTAAAGAGTTCCTCATGCAAACACACATGGCCCGCGGTGCCCAGGCCGCAGCTGGCAGTGAGCTCTTCCGAGCAGGCACAGGGCCGGGGTGGCCGGGAGGTCGACTCGGAAAGAGGCTTCTCACAGACGGGAGAGTTCCTGCAGACAGACCACGGGATGGGGGGCGGGGGCTGTAAAAGGCTTTGGAAGCCACACGATCCGCCACACGGCTGAACGTGAAACCTGCCACTTCTCTGAGAGCGGCCCGGGAGCACCCCAGGATTCTAGAAAACACTCAAGTGACCGAGCTTTCTGGGGGCTGGAAGGGAGGTCGCTGCTGGTCTGTGCTCAGCTTGCTGGCTCTCGTTTCAAGAAGGGTCTGGGGGCTGTAAGGGAGTTACAAAAAGGGAGTGGAGGAGGGCAGAGATAAAAGGGGAAAATCCATCTTGACATGCAGGTCCGAGGTCTCTCTCTTCCCCTCTCTCAGGCAGTCCAACAGGAGGAAGTGGCAGACAACCAGAAGGCTTCCTTCGGGTCGGCCAGGGAAGGACGCGGTCACACCGGGAGCAGCTGGAAGGGGACAGACATGAAGGCTGTCAGAGCGCAGGTGGGGACCAAGGCTGCACCACACACTCCAGGCAGCAGGAGAGGCCCAGAGTGGACAGCCAGGGGCCACAGCGGCTATTTCAACGAACGTCAGAGCCACAGCTGCACCAGAAGCGTTCCACACACTCGGGGCCACGTGTGGCTGGTGGCGCAGAGAACATCGCCATGACCTAGAAGGGTCTACAGTATGGTGGTACTTTGTGTATGAGGTTACGGTGGTAAAAAATCCACCTCAACTATTAAAAAAAGAAAAGGAAAAATAAATAAAAGCTTATTTAAAAAAAAAAGGGAAGACTGGAAGAAAAGGCGGCCAAAATATTAATGTTGGTGGCTCTGGGTGAGAAGATTAAGGTTGGGCTGAATGCACGGCTCACACTTTGGGAGGCCGAGGCGGGAGGATCGCTTGAGCCCAGGAGGTTGAGGCTGCAGTGAGACGTGACTGCACCACTGCCCTCCAGCCGGGGGGACAGAGCAGGACGGTCTCAAAAAAAAAAAAAAAAGATTAAGATTGTTCTTGCTGCTTTTTAACATTTTTGTATTTTAAATTTGTCTACAGTAATTATGGTTTAAAAATGAAAGAGAGTGTATATGAGGAGGGGACAACGACAAAATGAAGAGGCCACATGGGAGCAGAATGGAAACACCTCTGGGGAGGCCCGGAGCCTCCCGCCCCCAGGGAGCCGGCGTCTGCTGGAGACAGACAGGACTGAACTCAGGGGAGCCTCCCACCCCTGGGAAGCCGGTGTCTGCTGGAGACGGACAGGACTGAACTCAGGGGCCCCTGGGGAAGGAAACCAAGCCAGCCACGGGCCCCTGGAACCCATGGGGGACACTGAGTGTATTTTTAAACAACTGTAAGTGCAACACCTGCTCACAGTGAGAAAAGGACAAAAAATCCCTCACAAAATGCAGGCAGAACGCTCGGGCGCAGTCAAAGGCAGGTACCCGGCTTGTCCTTTCCACCACTCGATGACCTCGCCCCCACCCCCGAGGTGGCAGCCCCGACACTGCAGAAACAAAGAGCTTCTGCAGGCGGCCTTAGGCAGGGGGGACCCCAGACACCAGCCCTTCCAGGGAGCTGTGGCTCTCCCCTAATCTCCACCCAGCGCCGATCCACAGATGGGAAAGGAGTGGGGAGCAGGACTTGGTGGCCACCTGGAAAGGGGCCCAATGCCCAGAGATGCCCCCACCTGCCTGGGCGGTTCAGGGTGATCTTCTGAGCTGGATGCACCCAGGACTCGCTGTCCAGTGTCCAGACAGGCTCCACAGCCCCCGGGCGTCACTCCTGCTGGCTGCCCTCACTGCCAGGCACTCACGTGGTGTCACTCCTGCTGGCCACCCCCCAGCCCCCGGCCCCATGCACTCACGCAGCGTCACTCCTGCTGGTCGTCGTTGCTGGCGCTGGGCGTCCGACTCCGGATCTGGCTCCTGAGCTGCTCTATCAACTCTGGGTTCTGCTGCTGCATCTGCTGGGCAAACTGCTGGCCCCTGCGGGGAAGGGCACATGGGGCTCAGCCAGGGCCAGGAGGCTGCCTGCTGCCTCCGTCCATCCCCAGCTGACCCCTCGGGCCCTCCACCCCAAAGACAGGCCTGACCCCTCGCTGGAGGACGCTGGGCCCTTCGGAGCAGGGGACGCAGCACTTTCGCTCTCCTCCTTCCCTTCCGCCTGCGAGCCCTGCCCGCCGCCCACGTCCTCCGTCCTCTTGGAAGCAGTTCCACTCACGCCTGGATGAGGCTGGCCAGGTCGTTCTGCGAGGGGCTGGTGCCGGGAGTTCCCAAGGGGTTGTTGCCACCCGAAATCATGCCGGACATGCTGCAGGAGAGAGCGCGTGACTCGCAGCCGGGACAGCCTGACCGCCACCCCCACTGCAGGCCCTCGCAGTGGCCCGGGAGAGAATCCCTCTCAGCCCTTCACCTTCCCCTGCAGGAGAGGATTCTCTCTCACCACCTGGTGGGCCTCCAGGGCCCAAACCCACCCTGTGACTTTCACCTGCTTTCCCAGAACACCCCTCTTTCTTTGGCCTAAAGAGCGTAGTTCTCAGCCAGGGGGTGATCCTGCCCCCAGAGGACCCCTGCAATGGCAGCGGACATTTGCAACAGCCATGATTGGGTTACGCCAAGACAGGGGCAGGGGGTGCTCCTGGCATGGAGTGGATGGAGGCTAGAGACAGTGCTCAGCACCCTGCAGTGCCCAGGACGGCCCTGCTCCAGAAACTGGTCCAGCTCAAATGGCCACGGTGCTGTGGCTGGGAAACCATGCTTTAAGATTTGACCGTGGGCCAGCCGCGGTGGCTCACACCTGTCATCCCTGCACTTTGGGAGGCTGAGGCGGGTGGATCACCTGAGGTCAGGAGTTCAAGACCAGCCTGGCCAACATGGTGAAACCCCATCTCTACTAAAAATGCAAAAATCAGCCGGGCATGGTGGTGGATGCCTGTAATTCCAGCTACTTGGGAAGACCCACTTGATCCCGGGAGGCAGAGGTTGCAGTGAGCCAAGATTCTGCCACTGCACTCCAGCCTGGGTGACAGAGCAAGATTCTGTCTCAAAAAAAAAAAAAGGAGAAAGAAAAAAAGATTTCACCATGAAAACAGGTGAGCAGCTCCCCAGTGCGCACAGCGCTTACTGGGGAGTGACCCTATGAGCCAGCGAGTGCACTCAGAAGTTTATATCCAAGAGAAACGAAAACAGGATTCACACAGACGATTGCACACCCGTGCTCAAGCAGCACCGTTCACAACAGACAAAAGGTAGAAACAGCCCAAATGTCCATGGATAGATGTGTGGATCAGCACAGCGTGGTCCCTCCACACTGGAATATTACTCAGCCATGAAAAGGAGCGAGGCCCTGACCCAGGCCCCAGCACACATGCACCTTGAGGACGTCACGCTCAGTGAGAGACGCCAGACACCAAAGTTCACGCAGTGTGTGATCCCATTTCTACGAAATGTCCAGGACAGGCCCATCCACAGAGACAGGAAGGGGATGCGTGGTTGTCAGGGGATAGGAGAGGGGTTGGGGAGTGACAGCTGAGGGGGAAGGGGCTTCTTTCGGAGGTGATGAAGATGGGTTGGTGCTCAATGGTGGTGACAGTTGCATGACAGTGTGATGGTGGTGACAGTTGCATGACAGTGTGATAGTGGTGACAGTTGCATGACAGTGTGAAAGTCCTTAATGCCATTAAGTTGCACACTTTAAAGTGGTTAGTTTTATGTTAAGTGAATTTACCCACAATAAAAGGAAATTTAACCACAACAAGACCCGAAGAAACCCGGTTGTCACTTACAGCTGCTGAATCTGGGGATTGTTCATTAGGTTCGAAGCCTGAAGAACAGAACAAATTTGTCAGGAAGACAAAGCTCCCAGCGCATCATTCTCTTTCATCAGACACTTTCCATCTTAACCAGCCTTGGTTCTGGACTCCAGCACGCCAACCAACAGTAAGAGCCGGGCATTCGGTCTTTCATACCCTTTTCCCTACATTTTCGCCCCCCCACCCACGAGCTGTGACCTCCACATTGTGACTTAAATCCTGTTTTGGGTTCCTGCTTCAGGAGCGATCTCGCAGCGCCACAGCGCTCTCTCACTGGCTGCTGCGGTTTTGCTGTGTGGAGGCGTTTTGGTTCTTTATTTTAGCTGCTGTCTGCTTTAGCATATTTCATTTAGCATATTTGGTTCCAGTTTTGCTCTATCAATAAATAGCACTGTGGCTGGGCGCGGTGGTTCACGCCTGGAATCCCAGCACTTTAGGAGGCCGAGGCAGGCAGATCGCTTGAGGTCAGGAGTTCGAGACCAGCCTAACCAACATGGTGAAACCCCGTCTCTACTAAAAATATGAAATTAGCCAGGTGTGGTGGTGCATGCCTGTAGTCCCAGCTACTTGGGAAACTGAGGCACAAGAATCGCCTGAACCTGGGAGGGGGAGGTTGCAGTGAGCCGAGATCACACCGCTGCACTCCAGCCTGGGTGACAGAGTGAGACTCTGTCTCAAAAAAGAAGTAAAAATAAATAAATAAATAAATAGCACTATACTGGGCACTTTCTCATGTTAACTTTCCACTTGGGATTATTCCTTTGGACCTGTTGAAAGGAGGTGGCTCAGAGGTGTGGCAAACTCTCTGTGTAAAGGGCCAGTGTGTAAATACTCTCAGCCTTTTCAGACACGGGTGCCTGACGCAACTACTCAGCTCTGCCGCCGTATCATGAAAGCCACCAGTGACACTAGGTGTATGAATGGGCATGGCTGTGTGCCAATAAAACTTTATTGGTCAGGTGTAGTGGCTCACACCTGTAATCCCAGCACTTTGGGGGGCCGAGGCGGGTGGATCACAAGGTCAGGAGTTCGAGACCAGCCTGGCAAACATGGTGAAACCCCATTTCTATTAAAAAATACCAAAATTAGCCAGGCATGGTGGTGGGCACCTGTAATCCCAGCTACTCGGGAGGCTGACGCAGGAGAATCGCTTGAACCTGGGAGGCGGAGGTTGCAGTGAGCTGAGATCACACCACTGCACTCCAACCTGGGCGACAGAGCGAGACTCCATCTCAAAAAAAAAAAAAAAAAAAAAAACCAAAAAAAACTTTATTAACAAAACCCAGCGGCGGGCCTTATTCTGCCAACCCCAGATGTCTGAAGGGAAAAGGCGTCTGTGACATGGCCAAGCTGAGAGGCCCCTTGAAAGACTGGGGCCCAGTCACCCTCCATCCCATGGTGAGGGAGAACATATTCCCCTGGCAGCTTGGCCAGCGGACGAGGGCTACAGTAAGAGGTGTGGCCTCTGCTGAATGGCACGACCCGGGCAGGGCTCCTGGCCCAGCTGGCTCATTTTTCTGACTGACAGTGAGACTGAGGGCTTTTCTCCCCGACAGCCTTAGGCGAGTCCCTGTACCCTGAGGCTGTGGGAGCCTGAAGAGTGGTCCCAGGGCACACAGACCTCCCAGGAAATGAACATGTGTGTGTGGGGGATGGCTCTCCGAGGATCCCAGTCAAGGAACTCCCTGCCAAAGGCCGTCCCTTTGGAAGCATGAGTGCCCGGGCATCGGGAGGTCCACCTGCGCCCGGCGCACCCGGCGCTCTGCTTCCCTTGCCTGAACCTTAGGAGGCAGACGCTGCTGTGTTGTGATCAGTGTCTCTGCACTGCGAGGAGGAGCCCACGCCAGGGTGGGGTGGGGGTGTGACCTCCCTGGGCTCAGCCAGGAGAGCCAGCTTTTGGTGCTCACTACTGATGGGTCTTGCTTGGGACATCAACATTGGGGACACTTTTGATTGTCGAAGCAGAGGGTGGGGGTGCTCCTGACATGGGGCGGGTGAGGCCAGGGGTGCTGCCAGCGCCCTGCGGTGCCCAGGACGACCCCACAGACAAGACCCATCTGGTTCCAGAAGCCAGCAGTGCCAAGGCAAGGAAGCCCTGGCCAGTAGCGGACACAGCAGATGCGGGCCTGGGGGGTGGCGCAGACACCATGGACAGGGAGGAGGGGCGGGCCGTTACCATGCTCATGAAGCCAGGGTTGTTCAGCAGGCCGGCGATGTCGAAGCTGCCCACGCCTCCCGTCTGAGGATGAGAACAGCCCTGGTTAGTGGGGCCTGGACCAGAGGCCACGGTGAATAACCCCCTGGAACTCAGAAACAACGGCCCCCCACGGGGCTCAGACATTCTATCAACCCTGCGGCCAGAGGGTGCTTTGAGGCAGGCAGCACGAAGCACATCGCAACCGCCCGGGGACGGCACAGTCTGTCATCCCGTGTTTATTCCCCGCACAGCGCGACCGCCCGGGGACGGCACAGTCTATCATCCCGTGTTTATTCCCCGCACAGCGCGACCGCCCGGGGACGGCACAGTCTATCATCCCGTGTTTATTCCCCGCACAGCGCGACCGCCCGGGGACGGCACAGTCTATCATCCCGTGTTTATTCCCCGTACAGCGCGACCGCCCGGGGACGGCACAGTCTATCATCCCGTGTTGATTTCCTGTATTCTGCCGCTTTGACACCTTGGGGCCTTGCTGGCCTGGCAGAGCCGCCCCCTCCTGGAGTAGCCAATTCCCAGAGAAAGCAAATGACTCACCCAGAAACGCACCTTTGAAATACAAACAAACTAACCCAGAACCCACACCCTCAGCACCTCCCCCATCACCCCAGGGCCACAGTCCACCTGCCCCACTCACCCCCAGGCCAGGGACCAGGCAACCAGGGGCAGCCCCCAGGCCTGGGTCTAATGAAATGGCTCCAACCAGCCAACCCGAAGCCTCCTCACCCGGCCTCGCCACAAAACCCACATCGAGGGTCCTTTCTGTGCCCCTCCCTCAGCCTCCGCGGGCAGCCCTGCGGCCGGCCTCCTGCTTCCAGGGGTCTGGGGGCATGAACCTTCTCACGACACTCACTTCCACGCCTGTGCATCTCACCACCAACTGAAACAAACCCCGGACCCTCACGACACCCAGGTTAAGCCTAGAGCCACTGGTGCGCCCGAGGACCTGTCCCCCACCCACACAGTCAGCTCGGCGTTCTGGAGCCACTCGCCCCCGCTGCACTCACGGGGCTGGGGGCCTCCCGCAGCTTCAGCTCCGCTATCTTGAGGTTGGACTTGTATGTCTCGTTGTCGGGGTCCAGCTCCAGAGCCTTCTTGTAGTAAGCCACGGCCTCCACGTGCTTGTTGAGGCTGGAGAGCGCCAGGCTGGAGGAGAGCACCGGGGATGGACTGTTCCCATCTGCCCAGCTCCAGGAGGCCCCGCCAAAGCCCTCGTCCCCGGCGGTCCTGGCAACCCCCAAACCACCTCGGATGGTGCCACCCCCTGCCCGCTGTCAGCTCAGTGGAGACAAACCTGGCTTTCGAGGGGCCCAGGGGCAGGACTGAGGGAGACAGACATGAGAACACCCCTGCCACACAAGAACTGGAGTCCCCATGGGGCCACACACAGGGCCTCAAAGCCCAGAGCGGGCTGAGAGGAGGGAGCGGGCCAGCTCAGGGTCACAGGAAATGCGTGGATGTTGTCTTGGCCCCGCTTCCCGGCACAGGGCACCAAGGACCCTCGGAACCTCTGAGCGACAGACATGTCTCCCGTCATCCACAAGCAGCCCCTGACCCCCACCTGAGTGAGTCTTCACTCGTGAGGTGACTCAGGGCCCCTACAGAGCCCAGGAGGAGGCGGGTCCTGGGGAGACTGGGCAGTTGAACAGGGCCCCTCCCCAGCCTCTGGGGAGACCCAATCCCACAAACTCTGAGCAAGGGCATTCAGAGAAGCAGGCGAATGCACGCTTATGCTGGGAGGGCGGCACCGGCTGCACGGGGCGCAGGCTCCTGCCCCGGGGACCCTCCTGGCCTCACTCTCGGACCTGTCCTGTGTCCTTCATCATAAACCAGGTGCTTCCCTGAGCTCTGTGAGCCGCCCCAGCAAACAATGGAGCCTGAGTAGGAGCCATGGGAACCCCAGGTGACAGCCAGTCAGGGAGAAGCAAGGGGCCCAGGGATCTCCGGGTGGCACCTGATGCGGGGCGTCTGTGGGGCTGAGCCTGTGACCTGTAGGGACTACGTTGGCTCCGAACAGCTAGTGTCAGAGTTGAACTGAACCGGGGTGGGAGAATTCGTTGTGGGTGGGAAAAAAGCCACACAAGAGAGGAAGCAGGAGCAGGAGAGGAGGGGTCCCGAGAGACTGGAAAGGCGCGGCCGTGGACAGGCACTCACCCCATCCTGCCGTAGGCCTTGCTGTAGGCCGGGTCAATGCAGATGGCCCGCTCACAGTCCTGCACCGCGCCTGCGTAGTTGCCGAGTTTGCTGTAGGCTGCGGCTCTGGGGAAGAAAAGGCAGGGCAGGTCCCTCACTGGCGGCTCTGAGCCCAGCGGGCAGCCCTTGAGGGGAGCCTGAGAGCTGCGTTCCTCTCCAACTTCCTGGAGGAACGGCCTCAGTTTTCCCCATCTGTAAAATGGGGCTGATGGGGAAAGCTGAGAGGTGTGGCCACTGAGATGCTCTTAGACAAATGTGGGCTCAAAGCACCAGCAGCCACTCAGGACTGCGACTCTGAATTTTATTTGCAAAAAATGTTCCGATCCATGGCTGTACAAGAGCAATGAGGGTAGGGAACTTATACCCAAGTTTCATTCACAAATTATTTACATATCAGTAAAAAAAGAACTCAGACCAATGTCAAAGCTCAAAGCTCTTGGCTTACAGCGTCTGAATCGTCTTCACCATTTTCGTGTTTAGTGTTTCTCTTTACAATTTTTTCAAAGTACAGAGAAGAGTGAGTGGAGACTAAACTACCCCATGACAGGCGGCCAGGAACCCTGCACTGCCTCTGCAACTGTCCTGTAAGCCTGAAGCAGATCCAAGACCACACATTCAAAAAACACAACCCTCCACATACTGGATTATTTTCTTGGCTTGACATCCACGTGGAATGCCATGATACCTGATTTTCTATGTATGTATTTATGTATTTATTATTTTTGAAACAGGGTTTTGCTCTGCTGCCCAGGCTGGAGTGCAGTGACACGATCTCAGCTCACTGCAACCTCTGCCTCCCGGGTTCAAGTGATTTTCCTGCCTCAGCCTCCCAGGTAGCTGGGACTACAGGCACCCACCACCACATCCAGCTAATTTTTGTGGTTTTTTTCGGGGTTTTTTTGAGACAGAGTCTCCCTGTCACCCAAGATGGAGGGCAGTGGCGCAATCTTGGCTCACTGCAACCTCTGCCTCCCAGGTTCAAACCATCCTCATACCTCAGCCTCTTGAGTAACTGGTGGTGCCCACCACTACACCCGGCTAATTTTGTATTTTTAGTAAAGACGGGGTTTCACCATGTTAGCCAGGCTGGTCTTGAACTCTCAACCTCAAGTGATCCCCCCCGCCTCAGCCTCCCAAAGTGCTGGAATTACAGACGTGAGCCACCGCGCCTGGCCCCCAGACTAATTTTTACATTTTCTGTAGAGACGGGGGTCTTGATATGTTGCCCAGGCTAGTCCCGAACTCCTAGCCTCAAGTGATCTTTCCCCCATGGCCTCCCAGAGTGCTGGGCGTGCTACCTGATTTTAAATCAGCATCGACTCTCCCCGACCCCGTTGCTGGTCACCTGATGCTCGCTCCTGGTCTGAGACCACCGGTGAATGGATCCCTCATCTACAGCGCAGAGGCCTCTCCCATCTCAGGTCCCTGCTAAGCATCCCGGAGGACGCCCCCGCACCCGGCCGCCCCTGCCCTGGGCAGGCCCTGAGCTGGTACCTGTTGCAGAAATAGACGGCGTTGGCTGGGTTGAGCTCGATGGCTTTTCCGTAGAAATGCACGGCAGCTTCAAAGTTTTCCACTTTCATCTGCTCGTTTCCTACAGGGAGAGAGGAAAACACCGGCCCGGTGTCCACACAGACCGGAGGGGGTGTCAGGGAGAGAGGAAAACACCGGCCTGGTGTCCACACAGACCCGAGGGGGCGTCACACTTGGCTCTTCTGGGCAGCCAGGACTCAACACAGATGCCGGCTCAGGAGGCATCTGCATCTATAGGGGGTTCGCTAGTCGCAAACAATCATATCTACATCCACTAAGGGGGATGGAGGTGGGGGCGGCAGGGCCTGGCCTGGCCTGTGCCTGGCGACGGTGGCTGTCACTGCCTGGATGGCGACCCCGGGAGCAGAACAGTTAATACAGCTCACCGGCCCGGGGACGGAAACTGTCCCTTTCGCTATTGCTTTTGGAAAGAGCCCAAGTGGAGGCCTGTATTTTGGAATACTCATGTGATACCTTCTCATTTCATAGGCAATGGGGCTTCTATCTGAGGCATGGGTCCCAGCTGGTAGGACGGTAAAAACCCCAGCTGCTATCCTAGAACTGAGAGCCCTGAAGACAGAAACCCACTCCCGCCCCCGAGATCCCAATTCAGGAGGGCGTGGGGGGAAGATGGGTATCAGCGTGTGTTTCCCTAAACAGTTTTATTGAGATATAATTTACATGCCACAAAGCTTACGCTTTAAAAATATAAGCCCGGGCGCGGTGGCTCATGCTTATAATCCCAGCACTTTGGGAGGCCGACGCAGGCGGATCGCAAGATCAGGAGACCAAGACCATCCTGGCCAACACAGTGAAACCTGTCTCTACTAGAAATACAAAAATTAGCCGGGCGTGGTGGTAGGCTTCTGTAGTCCCAGCTACTCAGAAGGCTGAGGCAGGAGAATTGCTTGAACCAGGGAGTCAGAGGTTGCAGTGAGCCGAGATCACGCCACTGCACTCCAGCCTGGGCGACAGAGCGAGACTCCATCTCAAAAAAGAAAAAAAAGAAATGGGATCACATGCTGTGCGTCCTTTTGTGTCTGGCCTCTCTCCCTGAGTGTGATGTCTTCACGGTGCATCTGCGCTGGGGCCTGGGTCAGAGCCTCACCCATCCACATTCCACCGTGTAGATGGGCCATGCTGTGCTGACCATTTAGCGTGGACAGGCATTTAAGCTGTTTTTGCTTCTTTTTATTGTTTTATTTTTTATTTTTTATTTTTTTTTGAGACGGAGTTTCACTCTTATCGCCCAGGCTGGAGTGCAGTGGCGCGATCTGGACTCACTGCAACCTCCGCCTCCCAGGTTCAAGCAACTCTCCTGCCTCAGCCTCCTGAGTAGTTGGGATTACAGGTGCCCACCACTGCACCTGGCTAATTTTTTTGCATTTTTAGTAGAGACGGGGTTTCACCATGTTGGCCCAGGCTAGGCTTGAACTCCTGACCTCAGGCAATCTGCCCGCCTCGGCCTCCCAAAGAGCTGGGACTGCAGGTGTGAGCCACCGCGCCCGGCCTCTTCTTGCTTTTTGACTCTTGTGAATACAGCTGCTGTGAACATGTGTCTGGGTTTTGGTGGACATGTGTCTCTCTTGGGCACATATCTAGTATCAGGGTGGAACCGGCGGGTCTCATGGAAGCTGTGCAACTTTTGGGGGCCACCAGCCAGTCTTCCACAGGGGCCGCTCCCGACAACCCCACCAGCCGTGCTGTGCCTGAAGGTCAAGTTTCTCTGCACCTCGCCAGTCCCCTCGCCAGTCCCCCTTCCGTCCCCGTCCCCACAAGCCAGCGTGCTGGTCATCAGGGCAATTCCCTCAGCTCCCTGGGCCCCAGGGACCAGCTGGCCTCTGCGAGGGTCCCACAGCCCCGGAGTCCAGGTAGGGCGAGGTGTCTGTGGGGATGGAGGTCCTCCCTTACCTTCGGTTTTGAGGCGCTCTGCCTCTGCTGAGTCCTCCTCGGAAGGCGGGGTTCGCGCGGGGCTCCTCAGGTCCTGCGGCATCTCCTGGACCCGGAGGCAAAGGCGGCCCGCTGTCCTCTCCTCCCAACCTGGCACCCTCCGGCCTTAGCTTCCCTCGGGACGCCAGAGAGGGCCACCAAGTTCCGAAGGACCCGGGGGCTCTGCAGGGGACTCCTGGCCCCCCATCATGTGGCCCTGGGCGAGTGACCACAGCGCTATGTGTCTCAGGACCCGCCGATAGGGGGAGGAGGGCCAAGTGCTCCTGCAGCCACGTCCCCAGCCCAGGAGAGGATGCAGGCAGAGTGCTGGGGGACGATGAGAGCGGGGCTCCTGGGGTCCCCAGGGCTGCCTGCTGTTGCTGTTCTTATTTTGGGGGCAGTGGCTGGGGAAGCATCGAGGCTCACCTTGCCCGTGGCAGCCGCTTCAAATATCTCCGGCAGAGTCTGAGGGAGCGCAAGGTCACTGTCTTCTACCGTCACCCCAAACGCAGTCTCCAGGCACTGGATGGCGACTGAAGCGGGGACAGAGGCGGTCCCATTCATTGCACGCAGCCCCGAGGTTACGTTTTTGGGTCTAGAGGGCGGGGTTGGTGCTCATGCTTCCCCAGGTGTGTTCATTCCCAAGGACCCCAGAACGCAGGGGCCGCCGCCTGTGCTCTGGGCTGGGACAGTGGACCCTCTTCCTTCCCGAAAAGAAAAGCCAGACAGAGACGCCCCGTGCCCCTGAGAGCAGCAGAGGCCGTGGGCAGAGTGGAGCCCAGGTGGTGACCTCAGGCCTCTGTGGGGTCCCAATGCTGGGGCTGCCCGGCTGCGGCGTGGTGGGGGCTTGGCCCCACCTGGAGGGCCACGTCAGGGGTGAGGTGCCCCGGATGCTGTTGCACCTCCAAGGGCGCCTGGCCTGAGTAAGGAGCTTGAAGCCAGCCCCCAGTAGAAGGCCTGTATGACTGGGTCTGTACCAGGGCAGGACCATTGAGAGCAGGACAAGAAACAGCCACAGGGCCCCTCTCTCTGCTGGCCCACCTGACAGACTCAGCACCCAGGGGGCCCTCCCACCGAGCCAGACAACACTAGCCCTGGCCGCCTCCTCGTGTGGACCCAGGGTCCTAACCCAGGTCAGAAGTGGGGGTCAGCCACTTCCTGCCCAGCACTGTGTCAAGGACCCCGGGCACATCCCTACAGCTGTCACTGGGTGTCCATGCTACAGAGGCCTGGCAGGCCCAGGACACAGGTGAGCGAGGCATAGGTGGGGAAGGAGGACCTAGAGCAGAACCTGCAGCCACACGAGGGTGCCTCCCCGAGCCCTCCTTTCCCTCCGAGCCCCGGATCCAGGTGTCGCAGAAGCGCAAGCAAGACCAGCCAGGAGACCAAGGCACCTGGGGAGCGGACAGGCCATGCAGGATGCCAACGAGTCTGGGACTCTGGGGCGGGGCCAGCACTAGGAGAGCTTTTTCCCCGTGACCGATGGTGACACACACACACTGGGTGGTGAGAACATTCCAGAACACACCTTGGTGGAAGATGGGGAGATGGAAAAAAGCCACTGGAAGGCAGCTCAGCCTGAAGGCATCAAGCAGTGGTGGCGCCACGCAGTGGCAGGCGGGAGGGCTCAGCTCGGCCCTGGCTCCCACGGCCGGGGGCTGTGTGGCCCTGGGCAGACCCCTGCCCTCTCTGGGCTTAGCTTCCACCCCCAAAAAGCCAGGCGGGGGACCAGGCATCTACACACCAGGTGTCTACACGAGGCGACTGTGCTGGCCGCTGCCCGGGGAGAGGGGGAAGTGGCAGGCACCCACCTACCTTCCAAGCTCTCCTGAGCATCGGACGAGAGGCCCCCGTGCCGGAGCTGGTCATGCAGGAACTGGATGATGGCGTAGGCCAGGCGCTTCTTGTTGTCCATCTTGAGCCCAGAAGAGGTGATACCTGGGGGTGCAGGAAAAACCCCCATCAGGCCCCCTCACACTCCCCACTCCAGGCACCCCAGGCCTGCCCCTAACTAGCTGGGCCTCACTTTAAGGGTGCTGGCTGATCTCAGCTCCAGGACAGCCCAGGTAGAAAGGCCTTAATACGCCCATTTCACAGATGATGACCTGAGGCCCAGAGCTCACCAATCCGGCTATGCACACAGCCAGAAAGTGTGAGGCCAGCAGGCAAGCAGGGCCTGCCCTAGAGAACCCGCGTGCTCCCAGGGCCTCCTGAGCACTCCCAGGGTGGTACTGAGGCGCCACGGAGGTCCCCTCCGCCCCTGCTTCTGGCATGAGGTGGGTGGGGGCCAGGGATGCTGCCCAGCACCCTGCAGTGCCCAGGACAGCTCCACTCCAGAGAACGATCCAGCCCCAATGTCCACAGTGCTGAGAGGGAGAGACCTTGTCCTCAGCCAGAGCCACTGCCCCTTTCCTCAATTTACCTCTTTTGTGGCATGTCAGCAAGCATTTCTTAGGTACCCAACGGGGCCAGGTGTGCCTGCCCTGGTATCACTGTTTCACAGGACTTGCAGAGGACTCCCCCCAGGGACTTCTTGGGGACCCGTCTTGTTCCCCCTGGGAGGCCTACCTACCTCATTCCACCTCAGACCCCCCTCTAGTTCCCCCTCGGACACCCTCCTGTGCCCCCCTCGGACACCCGCCTGGTTCCCCCACCTGACACCCTCCTGGTTCCCCCAGCGGACACCCTCCTGGTTCCCCCAGCGGACACCAGCCTGGTTCCCCCACCGGACACCCTCCTGGTTCCCCCAGCGGACACCAGCCTGGTTCCCCCACCGGACACCCGCCTGGTTCCCCCCTCGGACACCCGCCTAGTTCCCCCCTCGGACACCCGCCTGGTTCCCCCCTCGGACACCCGCCTGTGCCCCCCTCGGACACCCGCCTGTGCCCCCCTCGGACACCCGCCTGGTTCCCCCCCGGATACCCTCCTGGATGCCCCCTCGGACACCCTCCTGGTTCCCTCTCAGAAACCCTCCTGGTTCCCCCTCGGACATCCGCCTGGTCCCCCCTCGGATACCCTGTCTTGTTCCTCATTCCCAGGACTTGACAGCTGCTTCTGCTCATGTCTGTGGTCCCTGCAGTTTCCTGCCAAAGCTCTAAAGGGTGCCAGATGGTGACATCAGGAGAGGCTGTTCTGGAATCTGGAGCTGTAGTCTATGGACAGGTCTTTTTTTAGTACAAGACCTTTCACACAGGTTTCCTGGGTGCCTGGGCCAACTTGGAGGGGCCTCGGCCACAGTGACCTTCACGGCTCTGAGCAGGAAGCCCCGACGTGAGCTTCCCCCGGGGCAGGCTGGCCGGCTGCCTTGAGGCGCCAGCTCAGGAAGGCTTGGCCTCACTGTGCCTCCATTTCCCCCGAAGGCTGGCGATGGTGACTCTAAACATTCAGATGTAACAAGCTGCGTGGAGAAGCAGCCGCCCCCGCCCCCGCCGCTGGAGCAGCCAAGTTCTGGGCTAGTCACGTCCACCTGGGACCTGAGCACGGGACCTTGTCTGTGTCTTTGCAGATGGAAACAAGTGGAGATGAGGTCGCTGTGGTGGCCCTAATGCAGGGATTGAACATGGCCGCACGGAGACGGCCGCGTGAAGACGGAGGCAGAGGCTGAGGCCATGTGGCCACACGAAGAGAGGTGAGGCTCGCTGGCCCCCAGCAGCTGGAAGAGGCAGGACGGAGCCTCCCTTGGGGCCTTCAGAGGGAACGTGGCCCAGCCTGCACCTTCATCTCAGACTTCTGGCCTCCAGAACTGCGAGGGAAATCAATCTTGGTTGTTTTAAGCCAGCCGGGTTGTGAGGGAGAGGCCAGGCGGTTCCCGGATCGTGGCCTGCAAAGCCTGTGAGCTCGGACGGGTTGTTCGGCCTGAGCCTCCGCCTCCATGTCTGTAAAATGGGGAGCTCCATTGTGGCTGCTGTCAGGGGTCGGGGAAAAAATAACCCGGAAGCTGTCAGCCCAGCGCTTGGCGCCCTGCGATATCTGTTGTTAATATCACGATTCTGCCAGGCGTGGTGGCTCACGCCTGTAATCCCAGCACTTTGGGAGGCCGAGGCAGGCAGATCACGAGGTCAGGAGACAGAGACCATCCTGGCCAAACACGGTGAAACCCCATCTCTACTAAAAATACAAAAATTAGCTGGCATGGTGGCACGTGCCTGTAATCCCAGCTACTCGGGAGGCTGAGGCAGGAGAATCACTTGAACCAGGGAGTTGGAGGTTGCAGTGAGCTGAGATCACACCACTGCACTCCAGCCTGGCAACAGAGTGAGACTCCATGTCAAAAAAAAAAAATCATGATTCCTCGTGGTGAGTCTCGTGGCATAGACCTCGGTTGGCTGTTTTTGGCAGTGTGACCTAGGGGAAGCGACTTAACTCTGCTGAGCCTCAGTTTCCTCTTCTGTCCCCCATGGATGGCGACAGCACCTCCCCATCGGGGGGGGGGGGAGGGGTACGAGACCAGGCGTGCACAACGCTGAGTGAACACCCCCACACAGGCAGGTACGTGGACGGGTGCTGGTGCACCCTCCGTGTCCAGATCAACACATGCTGAGGCTATTCCAGAAACGCTGCCCGGCTGTGCAGTTTCACTGGGAGCATTTGGAGAACCTGCTCTGAGGCCAGAAGCAGGCATGGAGAGGGGTTGCTGTGGTGCTGGCGCATGGAGGGGCAGCCCTTGGGGAGGCCCTGGCCGTGGGATGGGACCCCCATCCTCTGTTCTTGCGATGAGGTTCCCTTGGCTGGGCCTCCCTTCTCCACCTGCTCCTTCCGGGCTGGGCTGGGCAGCCGCCTTCCCTGGAATCCACTCCCTGTCCAGGGCCTCTGGTGTCTCTGAGCAGCTGGGTCTTCCCCATCTCTGTCCCTCACTGGCTGACATACAGGGTGGCGGGGCTGTGTGTCACCGGCCTTCCTCCGGGGCCGGGCCCAGCCCGTGCATAGTGGACCTTATTCTTAGTTGCACTCTGTGTGCCAAGACGCATGAGGCAAGGGGCAGGCCTGAGGCCTCAGGAGCTGGGGAACCACCGTGAGGAGAAGCACAGGTTTGAGATCAGACGCTCGGATTCAGGCTGGGTCAGACAGGGCCTGGCCAAGAGGCCGCCAGCCTCGGGATGGACGAGGAAGGGCGAGGCCTGAAGGAATCTTCTACAGTGACAGCTGCCTCTGGATAATTTCTTATTCTTCTCTGCTCTGTGCCCAGATCTGCTCTCCAAGAAGTGACTAAAGCCACAAACACCTACAAGGAAACTCTGACCCAGCACCCAGGAGGCCACGGCTCCTCCTTCTGAGCCAGCACAGTGCAAGGGGTCTCTGCCGCCAGGTCCCACTCCCCAGCTGGGCCCCAGGGACCCTCTGCGCGCAGCCACGCTGACAGGCGGCTCCAGGGGCTGAATACTGTCGTGTGCTGAACTGTGTCCCCCAAATCCATACACTGAAGTCCTAACTGCCAGGACCTTGGAATGCGACCTCACCTGGAAATAAGATCTTGGCGGACAGAATTTGGTAAGATGACATCATACCAGTGTACGGCGGGTCCCTAGAGCAATAACCAATGTCCTTATAAAAAGGGGACATTTGGATGCAGACGCATGCACAGGGAGAACACTGTGTGGATGTGAAGGCAGAAATGGGTGACGCGGCCACACGGCAGGGACACCGAGGGCAGAGATGGGTGACGCGGCCACAGGGCAGGGACACCGAGGGCAGAGGTGGGTGACGCGGCCACAGGGCAGGGACACCGAGGGCAGAAATGGGTGACGCGGCCACAGGGCAGGGACACCGAGGGCAGAGGTGGGTGACGCGGCCACACGGCAGGGACACCGAGGGCAGAGGTGGGTGACGCAGCCACACGGCAGGGACTCCGAGGGCAGAGGTGGGTGACGCGGCCACACGGCAGGGACACCGAGGGCAGAGATGGGTGACGCGGCCACACGGCAGGGACACCGAGGGCAGAGGTGGGTGACGCGGCCACACGGCAGGGACACCGAGGGCAGAGGTGGGTGACGCGGCCACACGGCAGGGACTCCGAGGGCAGAGGTGGGTGACGCGGCCACACGGCAGGGACACCGAGGGCAGAGATGGGTGACGCGGCCACACGGCAGGGACACCGAGGGCAGAGATGGGTGACGCGGCCACAGGGCAGGGACACCGAGGGCAGAGATGGGTGACGCGGCCACACGGCGGGGACACCGAGGGCAGAGGTGGGTGACGCGGCCACACGGCAGGGACACCGAGGGCAGAGGTGGGTGACGCGGCCACACGGCAGGGACTCCGAGGGCAGAGGTGGGTGACGCGGCCACACGGCAGGGACACCGAGGGCAGAGATGGGTGACGCGGCCACACGGCAGGGACACCGAGGGCAGAGGTGGGTGACGCGGCCACAGGGCAGGGACACCGAGGGCAGAGGTGGGTGACGCGGCCACACGGCAGGGACACCGAGGGCAGAGGTGGGTGACACGGCCACACGGCAGGGACTCCGAGGGCAGAGATGGGTGACGCGGCCACAGGGCAGGGACACCGAGGGCAGAGATGGGTGACGCGGCCACACGGCAGGGACACCGAGGGCAGAGATGGGTGACGCGGCCACACGGCGGGGACACCGAGGGCAGAGGTGGGTGACGCGGCCACACGGCGGGGACACCGAGGGCAGAGGTGGGTGACGCGGCCACACGGCAGGGACACCGAGGGCAGAGGTGGGTGACGCGGCCACACGGCAGGGACACCGAGGGCAGAGGTGGGTGACACGGCCACACGGCAGGGACTCCGAGGGCAGAGATGGGTGACGCGGCCACACGGCAGGGACTCCGAGGGCAGAGATGGGTGACGCGGCCACAGGGCAGGGACACCGAGGGCAGAGATGGGTGACGCGGCCACACGGCAGGGACACCAGATTGCCCTCACGTCCTCACAAGGAACGAGCCCCGACAGAACCTTGATCATGGACTTCCGGCCTCCAGGACTGAGAGACGATGAACTCTGTTTCAGCTGCCTGGTCTATGGCACTCTGTCACCGCGGCCCCAGCAAACCGACACTAACACCTGGCAAGCAGGCATCTCAGGACGCACCTCAGTCCTCGTGACGACTCCAACAAGCGGGTCGGCCCTGTCTCCAGCTGAACTGAGCCAGGTTGGGCAGGGACGCGTGGTCGCATGCCCAGGATCACATAGACAGGAGAACAAACGGGCTGTCATCACACGGAAGGGAGCAGTGAAGGGCGGTGGCCGAGGGACACGGAGGGAGGGAGCAGCTGCGCGTTGCTCACTGTGCTGCGGTCCCAGGAGCCAGCTGCCCGAGGGGCAGCTTCTTTTATAAGAAAACGACACTTCCTATCACGTCTATGCAAATGTCCATTTTAACTTTAAGTGCACAGATGTCTAATGGCCCGAGACACGTAGGTTAACACCCGTGCACGCGTACACAGAGGCCTTCACCTACAACCATCCCCGTGTAGACAGCATCAGAGGCAGGGCACCAAAAGCATTAAAACCATGCAGATGACCTACCTGAGCACTTCGCAGACCTAGAACGTCAACTATGTAAAATACCTGCCCATGAACATTGGCAAACTCCTGGCCTCAAGCAATCCTCCCACCCTGGCCTCCCAAAGCGCTGGGATCACAGGTGTGAGCCACCATACCCGGCCTCCTCCAGGAGGCAAATGCTGAGGAAAGCCGTGGATTCTACTGACCCACTGGATTTTGCTGAAGCTGTGTGCGCGCGCATGTGTGTGTGTGCGTGCATGTCTCTCCAGATTCTGTCTCTCTCCCAGACCAGCGGTTCTCGATGGATGTGCTGAGACACTTGGTGTTGTCTCACATGGAGTGGGGGGAGGCCAGGGACGCTGCTCAGTGCCCTGGAGTGCCCAGGACGGCTCCATCCCAGAGGATGATCCGGCCTCAACATCCACAGCTCCCACTGGGAGAAAGCTGGACTAGAAGAGGAGGACCTGAAGAGCCTGTGGGTGCACCAGGCCCTTGACACAACACCGTCTCATGACCTCGGCGCAGTGACCTATGCGGCAGGACTGGGGATGGAGGTGTTCACTCAAGGCCACTGGAGCCACAGGCACGGCAGGATCCGCGCCCGGCAGGCGCCTGACCTGCCCCCACACTCAAGATCAGAGGCGTTCAGTGTCTTGGTTCCCCTAAAATGCCTCTACATGAGGTGAACAGCCACCACCCCCTAGAAAATGAGGCGTGGGCTGCCTGACCGCATAACCCACCCCGCGCCAGAGACAAGCAAGGCATTGGCCCGCCACGCTTTAAACAGTGGCTGACGTCAGACTCAGATGACACCGGCGACGTGGACCTCCACGCCACTAAACAAGCATAGTCCCAGACACACTGGGTGTGCCCACAGCTTTGTTTCCCTTTCAGGGAAAGCAACATCCATCAGCAATCATTAAAAAACAAAACAAAACAGAGAGCAAAAGAGCCAGACCCAAAGCACACACAGGGTGTGACACCGACTCCATTTCTATGAAATGTCCAGGACAGGCCCATCCAGAGACAGGAAGGAGACGCGTGGGTGCCGGGGCTTGGGGAGGGGAAGGGGAGTGACAGCTGGTGGGGACCAGCTTCCTTGCTCCCTTTTGGGGCGATGAGACAGCTCTGGAACCAGAGAGTGGTGATGGTTGCACAACCCTGTGAAGGCACCAAATGCCACTGAATTTCACGGTGTGGGGATCACAGCGGTGTGGGAATCACAGCTCAATGTTTTAAAGGGGGAGAAATCTACAAGAGCTGTGTTTTGTGTCGCTGGACAGGGAGTTACGGTCTTCCTGAAAGCTCCTGCGGGATGGTAATGAGTTTTCCGCCCCCATCTCAGGACACAATGGACAGCCCAGAACTTTGAGGTCTGGGATCAGGACTGCCTAGAGCCGGCGGGCAGCCAGTCCCAGAATCCAAAGATCTCATGTACGACACATCAGGGCCCACGGCAGTCAACCACCACCAGAAAGTGAAACCACAAAAGCTGACGTCATCCGCCCCGGCCAACAGGGTTCAGAGAGCAAACCAGTCAGGTCTCCTGACCCCCAAGCCCAAGGAAAACAGACACATGCCACCCGAAAGGTGAAGATTTTTGGTTTACGGAGTTTCTTTTGTTTTATTTTTAAGCACGTTTTGACAACAGCATTACAATAGCCAAAAGCAAACAGCCCAAGTGTCCACGGACAGGTGAGTGGATCAACACAATGTGGCCTAGCCACACGACGGAACGCTACGCAGCCATGAAAAGGAAATCCTGACCAGGCTACAACATGGGCGGACCTTGAGGACGTCGCACTCAGTGAAATAAGCCAGAAACAAAGGTACAAAACCTGTGTGACTCCCCTCCTAGGCGGTCCCTAGAGTCGTTGGATTCACAGAGACCAAAAGTGGAATTGGGGGTGCCAGGGGCTGGGGAGTGAATGTTTCATGGGGACAGAATTTCAGCCTGGGGAGATGAGAAACTTCTGGAGATGATGGTGGCGATGGCTACATAGCTGTGTGAATGTGCTTAAAGCCACTGAACTGTGCATTTATAACTGATTAAGATGGTAATTTTTGGCCTGGCATGGTGGCTCACGCCTGTAATCCCAGAACTTTTGGAGGCAGAGGCAGGTGGATCACCTGAGGTCAGGAGTTTGAGACCAACATGGTGAAACCCCATCTCTACTAAAAATGCAAACAAAATTAGCCAATCATGGTGGCGCACACCTGTAGTCCCAGCTACTCAGGAGGCTGAGGCGGGAGAATCGCTTGAACCCGGGAGGTGGAGGCTGCAGTGAGCTGCGATAGAGCCACTGCACTCCAGCCTGGGTGGCAGAGCAAAACTCCGTCTCAAAAAAAAAAGAAAGACTGGTCGGGCACAGTGGCTCATGCCTGTAATCCCAACACTTTGGGAAGCCGAGGCAGGCGGATCACCTGACATCAGGAGTTCGAGACCAGCCTGACCAACAGGTGAAACCCAGTGTACAAAAAATAGCCGGTCGTAGTGGTGCGCGCCTGTAATCCCAGCTACTTGGGAGGCTGAGGCAGGAGAATCACTTGAACTCGGGAGGTGGAGGTTGCCGTGAGCCAAGATCGCACTACTGTACTCCAGCCTGGGCAATAAGAGCAAAACTCCATCTCAGAAAAAAAAAAAAAGACCAGGCGCAGTGGCTCACACCTGTGATCCCAGCAGCACTTCGGGAGGCCAAAGCGGGGGGATCACTTGAGCATAGGAATTCAAGAGCAGCCTGGGCAACATAGGGAGACCCCATCTCTGCAAAACATTAAAAAATTAGCTGGGTGTGGTGGCACACATCTATAGCCCTAGCTGCTTGAGGGGCTGAGGCAGGAGGATCGCTTGAGCCCAGGAGGTCCGTGCTGCAGTGAGCTGTGATCACACCAATGCACTCCAGCCTGGGAAAGAGAGTGAGACCCTGCCTCAAGAAAAGAGTTTCTCTTCAAAGTCTGGGGTCTTTGAGATGAGGGTCACACCCAACCAGGTGTCTTTAGCTGAGAATGGTGCCGACATCTCTTCAGAGGTTTCATTGGAAATGATTCTGTAACAGGCGGCATCAGGTCAGGATCCCCAGGCAGACACACCTCACTTGGTGACCTCAGATTTGGAAGAGGCAACAGCAAGCAGCAGAAACAAGACCTGGGCCAGGAGCGGTGGCTCAGGCCTATAATCCCAGCACTTTGGGAGGCTGAAGTGGTCTGGAGTTCCTGACCAGCCTGGCTTCTACTAAAAATACAAAAATTAGCCGGGTGTGGTGGCGGGTGCCTGTAATCCCAGCTACTCGGGAGGCTGAGGCAGGAGAGTTGCTTGAACCTGGGAGGTGGAGACTGCACTGAGCTGAGATCGCACCACTGCACGCCAGTCTGGGTGACAAAGCAAGACGTCATCTCAAAAAAAAAAAAAAAAAAAGAAATCAGACCTGGCTGAGTCCCCGCATAAACCTAGAAGGCGGGGGTCACAGCCCCCTCTTACAGAGGGAGTGACAGGCCCAGACAGGTGGCACACGCAAGATCCTACCAGTGACAGCTGGAACTCGGCTTAGCATTCCAGGCACACAGGGCCTAGCACGATCCACGCTGAGGGGTGTGGGGGGCAGGGGTGTGTGTGTGGAGGGGGATGTGCGTTCCTTCGCAGGGAACTAACACAGAATAAACCAAGAAATCTCATCTTTGGTTCTTTGGTGTACCTGTTTCCTTCTCTCTTAAACTGAGGTGTGAGAACTGGACAGGGTGGCAGGTGGCTAGGGACCCAATGAGGGTTCAGAAAGTGGAAAGAGTTGCATTCACTGAGTCACACTCCTCTCTTCCAGTGCCGCCGGTGCCTCTGTACCCCAGGGCTTTTGCACGTGCTGCTTTCCCTCCTGGAACACCGCCCCCCCCGGCCCCCGCCGCCACATCCCAGAGAACCTCTTAGCCTCAGGGTCTCCACCCTACCCCATCCCTGTTACCCTGGGACAGAGCTGAGCAGAAGTGCCCCAGCTTAGACACCCTGGGCTAGGGGATGCCACGGATCCCCAAGAGACTCTGTGTCCCATGATCATTTGCTCTACTAAGGTCCCAGGAGGCTGCACACATTGAAATTCACAAACTATGGAGGATTGCTTGAGCCCAGGAGTTTGAGGCCAACTTGGGCAACAAAGTGAGGCCCTGTCTCTAACAAAACAAAACAAAACAAAAGATAAAATAAATCCACACACTAAGGGGAGAGGGAGCAAGGAGGTGAATCCTAGGAGCTGGGGACCCCCTGATTTCCACCCTCTGCCCAATCAGAAGTTTATTCTGCTGTCCAGTGTGAGCAGGAGCAAGCTCAATTTTTTTCCCAAATAATTAATGCAGGTCTGTCGCCTGTGGCACTGTGGGCATCTTGGGTGGATGATTCTGTCCTGCGCACGGCAGGGGGCTGAGCAGCACCCCTGGCTCCCCCCACTGCACACCAGAAACACTCTCCAGTTGAGACAACCACACATGTCCCCAGACACTGCCAAACCGCCCCCAGCTGTAAATCACTGATGGCCACTAAGTGGGAAGAAAGGCTGGAAGTCAGTACAGGTCAGCTTTTTCTGTCCAAAATGACTTTGCTGTGAGCTTTCTGAAAACCTTCTGCTTGTAGGCTATTCTGGGTTTCAGAACTGCGGGTCCACGGTGGAGGACTGCTCAACTAAGGGAAGCACAGGCCCTGCCCAGCATGTGACACAGGCCAGTGGTGCCAGGACCTGTGGCTTCTCTGCTGTCCCCAAGGTGGGGGACATCATCAAACGGTTCTCAAATCTGCTTCAACAGCCAGGCTTTCCCGTAAGAAAGTTTTCTGCTCTTCAGAGGGGGGTCCAGCAAGCATGAGGACGGCATTTTCCTCAACTGCCGTTTGGCACTCGGTGTCTTTGGAACAATCACAACTTGTAGGGTTTGGCTGTGGGACAGCATCTCAAAGAAGGCCTGCTGTGTCTCCCAACAGCGAGGGCTTTATGGATGCTCAGGAGCCATGGCCGAGGCCTGGTTTCAAGGCAGAGGCCGCAGAAGTGAGGGTGGGAGGGTGCTGGCCCATGGGGGTGGCGCCAGCTCCAATGTTGGGGGCTTCAGCGTCCCTTTCGGCTCTGAGCCGATGACTCCACATCCCACCTTTTCATTTTATCATTAAAATAAAAACAAAATCAAAACACAGCCACCTCGGTCGGGGCGGTGGCTCACACCTGTAATCCCAGCACTTTGGGAGGCCGAGGTGGGAGAATCGCTTGAGTCCAGGTGTTTAAGACCAGCTTGGGCAATACAGTGTATAGTGAGACCCTACAAAAGAGACTCTAAAAAAAAAAAATAGAATTAGCCTGATGTGGCGGCACACACTAGTAGTCCCAGCTACTTGGGAGGCTGAGGCGAGAGGATTGTTTAAGCCCAGGAGTTGGAGGCTGCAGTGAGCTGTGATTGGGCCCTGCACTCCAGCCTGGGTGACAAAGTGAGACCCTGTCTCTAAAAACAAACAAAAAACTCACAACCACCTCTCTTCCTTATTTCCCTGCCCAGAAGGGATCATTCAATGGAAAAAAATAGAACATCCTCGTAAACTGAGGTCGTCTTACCTCCTCACACCCCAGTAGGAAGGGCCCGCTCTTACCCACTACCTTCTGTGAACACTCTGCCCAACTCCATCCCAAATCCACGGTGCTTCTCACCAACAGCAGGGCAGGAGAGCCGGGTGCCCTGCTCCTCACTCCCTCTTAGGATACCCGAGTTCTAGCTCAGTCTCCTGCCCACTCCCCACATCGAAGCCTACTTCCTTCTAAAATGCCACCAGGAGATCGCTGCACACATAAAAGCTCTCAACTGCTCCTTGCAACCCCAGGAGTGTGCATAGGAGGCCTCTCACCAGCTGGGGGTCATCTGTGGGGCCTACACCAAACCCTGTACATGCCACTCAAACTCAAGTGCTCACCTCCCCTGCCCAACTCCGCCAGGAGAGAATCTAGTATTCCTGCAAACTCCTATCTCTGGCCCAGCATCTCTTACAAGGCTTTCTATCTCTTGACAGACCCATCTTCCCTTTGAACGCCAGCATCTGGCAGCGTCTAAACCCTATGGACTCAGGAAAGCCTGCGATTGTTGAAAAATTCACAGCCACATGGTCACGTTCCTTGGGGAGGCCATTTCTCTCTGGGTCTCTGTTTCCACCTCAGTAAAAGAGAAAACGGGCCAGGTGCAGTGGGGCACGCCTGTAATCACAGAACTCTGGAGGCCAAGGTGGAGGATCACTTGAACCCAGGAGTTTGAGACCAGCCTGGGCAACACAGTGAAACCCCATCTCTAAAACAAAATACAAAAATTAGCTGGGTGTAGTAGTGCATACCTGTAGTCCCAGCTACTCAGGAGGCTGAGGTGGGAGGGCCTGAGCCTGGGAGGTCGAGGCTGCAGTGAGCAGAGATTGTGCCACTGCACTCCAGCCTGGGCGACAGAGCAAGACCCTATCTCAAACCACCCCTTTGTTCCTTCAGCCTGTACTGAGCACTTCCTACCAGAGCCACTGTTGGGTCTTGGCATAAAAAAGAAAAAATGTAGAATTGAGTAAGACGACAGCTCTCAAGGATCCTCCAATCTGGGGCAGAGCTCACCCGCATTTGGAATCATTCACCCTTCTAGGAAGATTTAATTATAAACCTCAGCTCAAATCCTTGGCGTGCTTACAGCTTTCCAGGCACCCAGTTAAGTGCTGTACATGCGATAGCTTATTTTAGGGGTCAGCAAAGGTTTTTCTGAAAAGGGCCAGATTGTCTTCAGCTCTGCAGGCGTTAAGTTCCCTATGGCAACTGTTCAACTGTGCCTTCTTAGCTCGAAATCAACTACAGGTAACGCATAAACCAAGGAGTGTGGCTGTGTTCCTACAAACCTTCATTCACAAAAACAGGCCAGAGGTGGATTTGGCCTTCTGGTCAGTTTGCTGATACCTTGCCTGGTTTAATCCTCACACACCTGAGGTGGTTACTATTATAATCCCCATTCCACAGAAGAAAAACTGAGGCTTGGAAAGATGGGGACCACCCGAGACCACCCAGCTCCGAGGATGAAAATGAGGAGTTCTGAACCCAGGCAGTCTGACTTGAGAAGCTAAACTCCAAAGTACCCATTTCTCTCTGCACGAAATTGGGTGCACACACAAAACTTTGTACACGATTTCCCGGGCCCACACAGTCCCAGCTGCCCATGCTGGTGAAGAATCACTGATCTAGGGTAGATTTTTTTTTTTTATTTTTGACAGGGTCTCGCTCTGTCGCCCAGGCTGGAGTGCAGTGGCATGATGTTGGGTCACTGCAACCTCTGCCTCCTGGGTTCAAGGGATTCTCCTGCCTCAGCCTCCTGAGTAGCTGGGATTACAGGTGCACACCACCATGCCCAGCTAATTTTCATATTTTCAGTAGAGACGGGGTTTCACCACGTTGGCTAGGCTGGTCTTGAACTCCTGACCTCAGGTCATCAGCCCGTATGGTAGGGTTTTTAAAGCATTATTGACATTTAAAGCTGGATCATTTTCTGGGGTGAGGCCGTCCTGGGTACTGCAGGGTGCCGAGCAGCAACCCTGGCCTCCACCAACTCCAAACCAGGGGGTCCCCCAAATCATGACAAGCACAAATGTCACCAAGAATCCCTGGGGCACAGAATTGTTCCTGGTTGAGAACCACTGGTCAAGGGAGGGAAAAGGCAGACAAAAGGAATAATCAGAGACAGAAACAAAAGAAAATGGGACAATCATTCAACCTCTGAAGGGCACACTACACTGCAATTTTCTGGCACCTAATAACAAAAACAGCTATTCTCAAGCCAGCTCTCTCTTATCAAGTTCCAGGCACCTGATCAAATAATTGAATGTGGGTTTATCCTCATAATGACCCTCCGAGGCATCTGCTTTTACAACTCGTTTGCGAAAGAAGGAACAGTTTGCTCAGAGAGGGAAGGCGACTCACCCAGGTTTACACAGCGGGTGGGAGGTGGTGGTGGACGGTCCTGAATCCCAGATTTCCCCCACCTCTAGCACGATATGCAGAAGAAGACTCTAAACATGATATAAGACGAACGCCTGCTAATTCTTTGGAGTTCTCAGATTCCGCTGGACCCTGCGGCTCTCCTTCTCCTAGGCAGGGACTTTTGAACAACGCCCGTTTTACAGAGGGGAAAACTGAGGCTCCGAGAAGCCAAGAGGCTGGGCAAGGTCACCCAGGTAGGGACTGGCGGCGCTGGAACCAGAGTTCCGACTTCAGTCCCCACAAACGGGGGTCCCTGAGTCACAGGGACGACGTTTCCAGGCGGTTAATAAGAGCGGAACGGCAGCGAACACCCAGCGAGCGCTCACTACATGCGGGGCGCCTTCCCCTCCCGCCGTCCTCGCCACCAGGCCGCGGACCAGCATTTCCAGGACCTGGGGCCTGGGGAAGGGAGATCAGGGCTCGAAGGGCCTGCCCGATGGCGCCCGGCCTCAGTTTCCCCTCCGCACCGCCTACTCACAGGACCCCGCGGGTCGCGGTGACCCTGGCCTCACGATCCCCAAACTCTTACGAGCTTTGGGGCCCCGTGGGCCCCGAGCCGCAGACCCCAGACCCACCAGGCTCAGCGCAGTGCCCCTCACTCACCTCTCAGGCGACCGATCCCCGACCCACCGACGGTTGCGCTTGCGCACCGCGGTGCCGCCCGGCCCCGGCCCCAGGGCGCGACGCCTGCGCAAAAGAAAGGCGCCCGGAGTTGCTTCCCTTCTGCACAGGCGCGTTAATGATGGAGGCGGGCGTGGAAGGAAGTGACGCAACGTAGAGGCGGGAACCAGCTGGTTGTTAGGGCAACTGACCTCTGCGACCTAATGGAGGCCGGAAATCGGGTCTGGTTTGCCCTCTAGAGCGGGAATGAAGCGGTGCACGGTGGAACAGTGGCTGACTCCAGCCGGTCGCCGAGCTGACCACGTGGTGCTGGGCCGGCCACGTGGTGCAGCCGCGTTTGGACACCTGGACTCCAGAGCGTCACAGCTGCGCAATGAATGGGAGTCAGTGTTACCCGCTTACTATCTTTGTTCATTTATTCACCCACCCATCTACTCACCCACAAATGCATTCTTTCATGCAGTGTGAGACGTTTGTGAGTATAGAGCCATTTGTAGACAGCAGGTGCCTAATATTCATTCAATATTTATTGCAAAGCAGCCATAAAAACCAGCAAAGTGTCTACTCTCATTATTTTGCATTGGGGTAGACGGACTATAAACTAATAAACTAGTACATAAATAGAGAAACAAATTTCACAGCAAACACTAAGAAAAAAAAAATGAAGGTAGTGTGATTGTCACTGGGAGCTAAGTCGCATGGGATGGGTAGGAAAGATCATCCTTTACATTTGGATTTCAAGGATAGGAAAGTCCAAACGGACCCCAGGCACAGGGAACAGCGAAAATGAACGCCGATGTAAAATTAATCTTGGTGTTGCTCAAGACATGTGATGAGACATTTCCAAGGACGACAGAAAACTGATCACCATCTAAGTTACAGTTGCCAGAAATGTTCTCCCAATTCATTTTCGTCCTACTCAAAATACATGCACGATTAATGGCGTGGATTATTTTAATTTCTTTTGCAGAAATAAAGGAGGTGAGGCCGGCCGTGGTGGCTCACGCCTGTAATCCCAGCACTTTGGGAGGCCAGGGGGCAGATCACTTGATGTCAGGAGTTCGAGACCAGCCTGGCCAACACGGTGAAACCCTGTATCTACTAAAAATGCAAAAATTAGCCGGGCGTGGTGCGGGCATTTGTAGTCCCAGCTACTCGGGACGCTGAGACAGGAGAATCGCTTGAACCCGAGAGGCAGAGGTTGCAGCGAGCCGAGATCGCGCCATTGCACTCCAGCCTGGGCGACTGAGCGAGACTCCCTCCAGCCCCTCCAAAGCAAAAGAAAACAAAACAAAAACAAAAAAAGGGAAGAAAGGAGGTCGGTTGTTTTGGTTTTTGCCAGTTTAATTGTAGTACATTGTTTTTTCTGGGTGCCCTAACAGTTCAAGACAGATGGTTCAAGATGTTTTTTGTTTTAACCCACAACACTGCATGTAGGTCAGGCTACTGCACTGTTCCACAACACCTGTTATTTGACATGAATCCGTTTACTTGCTTTTGTTTCTGACAAAAAAAAAAAAAAAAAAAAAAACTTGGCCCGGCGCGGTGGCTCACACCTGTAATCCCAGCACTTTGGGAGGCCGAGGCGGGCGGATCACGAGGTCAAGAGATCAAGACCATCCTGGCCAACATGGTGAAACCCCCTCTTTACTAAAAATACAAAAATTAGCCGGGGTGGGGGCTGGCGCCTGTAGTCCCAGCTCCTGGAAAGGCTGAGGCAGGAAAATTACTTGAACCAGGGAGGCGGAGGTTGCAGTGAGCCGAGATTGCTGCTACTGCACTCCAGCCTGGGCGACAGAGCGAGACTCCGTCTCAAAAACAACCAAAGCACCAAAACTTCTGGTTAATTTAATTGATTCGTCGGATTCAGATGCTGGAAAGTGGGCCTGGGATATACAGTAAGCGATCAATAATAACACTGGCCCAACACACAGCTATAAGAAGCGAGGCAAGTACACATTAACGCGGTAGCCTGAAGCCCAAGCGAAGTCTCAGCGCAATGAGCCGCGCAGAGGCTCAGAGGCGTCAGCGGCGTGCGCGGTTTCCAAGGAAACCGTCCGTCCTAGCCACCCCAGCGGCTCTGGAATGGTAGAGCAAGAGGCTCCGCCCACGCACCGCCGAGACCAATAACGGACCGGGAGGGTTACGGCGAGTGCGCAGAGGGCTCCAGCGCACTCCCGGCCCTCCTCCTTTAGCTGTGGGCGGGGCTCAGGGGCGCGTGCGTCCTGCCCTCCCTGTGCGCGCGCCGCCCCAGCATGCCCCGGGAGCGCGGGCGGCGGGCCCCTTGGTCCTCAGGCGGCCGTGGCGGCGGTGGCGGCGGTTGGGCCGAGGCAGGCGGCCTCAGTGGCCGAGGTGGCTGGACGCGTAGCAGGTGGAAGGAGGGAGGGAGCCGCAGGCGCAGACCCACCCGCCATGAAGCCCCCCGCAGGTACCGACTACCCCGCTCGCCGGACCCGGGCGTCCCCTGCACCCTCGCTCCTCCCGGGGTCGCGACTTGGGCCTAAGGCTGGAGCGAAGCGACCCCCGAGCCACCCTCGGCCGGGCTGGAGGGGCAGCGGGGGAGGTGGACGACCCTGCTCTCTCGTTTGCCGAATGAATGAACCAGCTTTTCCAGCGCTTCATTCATTCTGCAAAGTTGATGGCGCTTCCCTTCCGGATGGGTCGGGCCCCGTGGCGGACCCTGGGGAGGCCGTGATTTAACGACTCCAGTCCCGTTTTCCTGGAATTCTAGAGCCACAGACAGACATTCAAAAATTAAATAAGAGAGGATCGAAGATAGGGAGGGATCGGTGCTCTGGTGCAGATAAACACGAACGGGGCAGTCCCAGGGACACGTTTTTAGAGAGAGGGTGGTTCCTGGGGGGCTTTTCTGAAGAGGTGAGCGTCGACTTGCTTGATTGGGAGAAGCAAGTGTCCTGCCAAGACCGGGGAAGGAGGCGTCCCGGGAGGAGGGAACGTGTTTGGAGAGCAGAAAGTCAGTTTGGCTGGAACGTAACGAGGGGACCTTTTAATTTTGTTATTTATTTACTTTGTCTCCCAAGCGGGAGTGCAGTGGTGCGATCACGACTCCCTGCAGCCTCGAACTCTTGGACTCAGTCAATCCTCCCGCCTCAGCCACCTGAGTAACTGGGACTACAGGCCTGCACCACCACACTTGGCTAATTTTTTGTAGAAACGAGGTTTCGCCATGTTGCCCAGGCTGGTCTTGAAGTCCTGGGTTCAAGCAATCCACCTGCCTCGGCCTCCCAAAGTGCTGGGATTACAGACATGAGCCACTGTACCCAGCCAAGACCCTTTTAATTTAGAGGCAAAGGGGCGATGTGACCTGTGTACTGTTTATTTATTTATTTGTTGGTTTATTTTTTGAGACAGTCTGTGTCTCCCAGGCTGGGGTGTAGTGGTGCAATCTCTGCTCACACAGGCTCACCGCAACCTCCGCCTCCCGGGTTCAAGCTATGCTGCTTCAGCCTCCCAAGCAGCTGGGATTTCAGGCGCCCACCACCACACCTGGCTAATTTTTTTTTTTTTTTGGAGATAGAGTCTTGGTCCGTCACCCAGGCTGGAGTGCAGTGGCGCGATCTCGGCTCACTGCAAGCTCCGCCTCCCAGGTTCACGCCATTCTCCTGCCTCAGCCTCCTGAGTAGCTGGGACTACAGGCGCCTGCCACCACGCCCAGCTAATTTTTTTTGTATTTTTAGTAGAGACGGTGCTAGCCAGGATGATCTCCATCTCCTGACCTCGTGATCCACCCGCCTCGGCCTCCCAAAGTGCTGGGATTACAGGCGTGAGTCACCACGCCCGTCACACCTGGCTAATTTTTGTATTATTAGTAGAGATGGGGTTTCACCATCTTGGCCAGGGTGGTCTCGAACTTCTGACCTCAAGTGATCCGTCTGCTTCGACCTCCGAAAGTGCTGGGATTACAGGCATGAGCCACCGTGCCCGGCCTGGGTTTTAGAAGGTCACTCAGGTTGTTGAAGCAACTCCTTGCCTGATCCTTGGCTTTTCTCTTGCCCAGCCACACTCCCCCAGCTCTTTGTCCAGCCCATTGCGATGAGGGTGATAATTGTAATAATGATAGTCAGGGATATTCAGGCCTTGGGAAGGAAGGAATGTTGTCTGCCTTGTTTGCTACTGGATCCTTGGCACAATCAGTAAATATTTACAGGATGAACTGACGTCCACAAGTTTTTCAAATCCTAACTCCTGCAGGAGAATTTTCTGACAGTTCCAGTTCCCATCCATCTCCATCCTTTCTGAGCCCCTGAAGCTCTTCTTTACCCCACGGTTTAATGTAGATCCACAGTCCCTTTTTTGCAGTTCTAAAATCCTAAATACTCTGTAAACTGAAAGGTTTGCCTTAAGTTTACAGCAAAGTCATTTGGCCAGAAAATGACCTCAACTGACCGACTGAGAGCCTTTCTTTTTCCCACTTAGCGAATATCATTGATTCTCAGCTGGGGTGATTGTGCTACCTCTGGGGACACTGGACGGTGTCTGGGGACATTTGTGGTTGTCACAGTTGGGGGGCGCTCCTGGTATGGAATGGATGGAGGCCGGGGACGCTGCTCAGCACCCTGCAGTGCCCAGGACAGCTCCACCCCAGAAAACGATCCGGCCCCAATGGCCACAGTGCAGACAGAGAGACACCCTGGTGCGTATTCCTGCATCTCACTGCAGAAAGAGTAATTTGATTTCGGAGTGCTGCCTCAGCCTCCCTAGTGATTTGGAATACATGGCACTTGGACTCTATTAATACTGTTCTACAATGGGGGGAAATTCTGAATGTTAAAATGTCCCCGGCCCCAAGACTTTTTGGACAGGAGAGCATGGTCTGTAATAACAGCTACCTCTTGAAAACTTTCTGGTGGTATTCAGGATACAAGATGTTTTGCCTTCATACCTCACTGAATTCTTAGACAGTTCTTGTTCTCTGCACCCTGAATTGTTCCCGTTTTGCAGGTGGGAAGCCTGAGAGTTAATGTTTCTTGCCAGAATCCCAGAACTAGCAACTGGCAGAGGTGGGGTCCGCACCCAGGCCATCTGACTTCAGCTTCTGCGTTCTGAGCTAGCTTGTTGTGCCTGCCCCAGCCTTTGTAAAAATGCACATCTGATTGTTAGTGCCACTGTCCCATCCCCTTCCTGTCCCTTTCCAGGGCTCCACCTTGCACTCAGGATTGAAGTTCAAAGCCTTCATTGTCATCTACACCAGGAGTTGGCAAACTCCAGCCTGCCTATTTTTTTTGAGACGGAGTTTCACTCTTGTTGCCCAGGCTGGAGTGCAGTGCTACGATCTCAGCTCACTGCACCCTCCACCTCCCAGGTCCAAGCGGTTCTCCTGCCTCAGCCTCCTGAGCAGCTAGGATTACAGGTGCCTGCCACCACACCCAGCTAATTTTTGTATTTTTAGTAGAGACGGGGTTTCTCCATGCTGGCCACACTGGTCTTGAACTCCTAGCCTCAGGTGATCCACCCGCCTTGGCCTCCCAAAGTGTTGGGATTACAGGCACAAGCCACAGCATCCGGCCAAGATGGAGTCTTGCTTTGTCGCCTAGGCTAGAGTGCAGTGGTGCAATCTCAGTTCACTGCAACCTCTGGCTCCTGGGTTCAAGCGATTTTCCTGTCTCGGCCTCCAGAGTAGCTAGGATTACAAGCCCGCACCACCACACCTGGCTAATTTTTGTATTTTTAGTAGAGACGGGGTTTCACCATGTTGTCCAGGCTGGTCTCGAACTCCTGACCTCAAGTGATCCGCCTGCCTTGGCCTCCCAAAGTGCTGGGATTACAGGCGTGAGCCACCGTACCTGGCCAGGCCTGCCTATTTTTGTACACCCCTGGAACTGAAGATGATTTTTGGATGAGACAGAAACCATATGTGGCCCACAAAGCTGAAAATCCTTGGCCCTTTGCAGAACTGTTTGTTGGCCCCCTGGGTCCTCTGCAGAACTGTTTGCTGGTCCCCTGGGTCCTCTGCAGAACTGTTTGCTGGCCCCCTGGACCCTCTGCAGAACTGTTTGCTGGCCCCCTGGGCCCTGCACGGTTAGGTGTTTCCAGGTGGTTTTGCCACCTTCTCTGTGCCGAGCCGCACTGACTTCACATAGTCGCCCTTCCCGCAGCTGCTCTCGCTGCCAGGAGCCCCCGCCTGCCATTCTTGTTTTCAGGCTCCATTTACCCGTTTCTCAGAGAGGCCCTGGTGTGAGTGGCCGGGCCACATATGACTCGCCCGTAGCACCTGTGGGTCTGGCACGACCACACGCCAGGCTGACTTTCTTGTTGAGTTCATGAATGGAGGCCTGCTTGTTCCCCCCACTGGGTGTGGGGTGTGGAAGAAGCAGACAGAAGAAGGGACTCCTCCCGAAAACCCCCCGATACCTCACCTTTCCCCTCTGGCATGGCAGGAGTTGAGCAGTGCGTGGGTGGTCCTGGACTTCCCCTTTTGTGAACACCCAGGGGTTTGTACAGGCTGATCTGTGCATGGTGTCTCCACTCTAGGGCAGGGGGATTTTTTTTTTTTCTCTTTGAGATGGAGTCTCGTTCTGTCGCCCAGGCTGGAGTGCAGTGGCGCGATCTTGGCTCACTGCAACCTCCACCTCCCGGGTTCAAGCAATTCTCCTGCCTCAGCCTCCTGAGTAGCTGGGATTACAGGCATGCGTGCCACCACGCCCAGCTAATTTTTGTATTTTTGGTACAGATGGGGTTTCACCATATTGTTCAGGCTGGTCTCAAACTCCTGACCTCGTGATCTGCCTGTCTCGGCCTCCCAAAGTGCTGGGATTACAGGCGTGAGCCACCAAGCCTGGCCGGGCAGGGGGATTTTTAACAGCAGTATCATCTCTATTCCGGGCTGATCGTTCTCTGCTGGGGCCGTCCTGGTCACTGCAGGGTACTAAGCAGGATCCCTGGCCTCCACCCACTCCACGCCAGGAGCATCTGCAACCGCGACAGCCACATGTGTCCTAGATGTCACCCAGGGTTCCCTGGATGGGATTGATGGCAGAGTAGCCTCCTGCTCTAGAGGACTGGTCAGTCTGTGCTTCCCTACAAGAGCCCTGGACCTCACTCTTCTGGATGAGAAGCGGGTGATCCCTTCCTTTCCCTCTGCCCTCCTGACTTTGACCCTAACTGAACCGAAAGCAGACCCGCCCGGCACTGGGTTTTGTTTCTGCGTAGCCTGTGCAGGAGACATGGCGGACGCAGCATCTCCGTGCTCTGTGGTAAACGACCTGCGGTGGGACCTGAGTGCCCAGCAGATAGAGGAGCGCACCAGGGAGCTCATCGAGCAGACCAAGCGCGTGTATGACCAGGTTGGCACCCAGGAGTTTGAGGACGTGTCCTACGAGAGCACGCTCAAGGCGCTGGCCGATGTGGAGGTCACCTACACAGGTAAGTCCCAGGCAGGGTCTGTGCGTGGGCCGCAGGTGCCGAGGGAGGTGGCACCGCAGGCGGGAGTAGCCCAGCCCGTGGAGCCGGTTCAGAACCTGGCTTGAAGTGTCACCAGCACCCTGCCCCTGAGCACAGGGCAGCGCCACCTGCTCCCAGGCTGGTCGTGGTGGCTAAATCAGATGGCTGGGCGGAAGCGTCTGGCAGGTGCTGGTCACTAGAGGTGTAGGAGAGAGGCAGTTCCTCCCGTGCTCCGCTCTGCTTCACAGCCTCGTCCATTCAAAGGACTCCCTGGTTGTGTGATCTGAGAGCCGGAGATGAGAAAATATGTCTAAACAGCACGCCTCTCCAGCCTCTCCCAGAGCCAGCAGCCTTGAACCCTGACCCCGTCTGGCCTCTTTCCCTGGCCCGGGAAGGCGGGTATTTGTTTCTCTCTGAATGACTGAACTTGGCCCCCTTGGCTTCTGCCTCTGCGCCCTCCGGCGGGGGTGACCTCATGTCCTCGGGCGTCCTCCTCACCCTCAGCCCGATCCTCCTCCTCTCCTTGGGGTCCCTGTGCTCACGGTGAGGAGTGAGGTGCCTAGTGACAGGGGTTAGGGACACTGCTTCCCGAGCTCTGCCTAAGGCTGACAGTGTACCTGCCTGACCAAGAGACCCAGAGAGTCTCCGCAGAGAGCTCTGAGTGAGGCAACTCCCCACCCTTCCATCTAGCGGAAGGCCTTTTTGCTGGGAACCATCGAGAATCCTTGAGTTCAAGCCCAGGGCTTCTCTCGTGTTCCAAGGCATCCCCTGAAAGGGTTGGCCTCCGTGGCCCATGCCATGAGGCCTCCAGAGGGTTTGTTGTCTGGGCCAGGGGCTGGAGGGAGGGCTGAAGCTCCGCAAGCACCCCAAGCCTGCAGGTCCCGCAGCCCCTGATTGGAATCCTGACCCTCTTCCCACTCCCTCTGGCTTCCGACAAGTGGCTTAGAGCCCGTATGACCTCGGTTTCCCCTCCTCGGCCACGTGGTGGCCCCTTGTCCCTCCCGTAGGAGTCTCATGAGGCTCAGGTGATACCAGTTCCCTCTTATGGCGCCCAGCGGTGCCAGGCATCATTTCCCCCGCCCGTGCCCCACCTTCCCCTCCTGCGGCCTTTCCTCTCCTCCTTCACATGGTGGCGAGACTAGCATTAAAGGAAACTGAATTCGGCCCCAGTGCTCCCCTCGGGGCCTTTCCGCTTCCCTCAGGGTGACGCCCAGCATCCTCGGTGTGGTCTTCAGCGCCCTGCACCGTCTGTGCCTGGACACCCAGTCTCCTCGTGCCTGGCACCCTCCCCCAGCCAGGGCCTCTCCAGCCGGCCCCTCGCGCCCCTCGCCCTGTGCTCTGCTGAATGCCTGGCTTCTCTCTGATCACAGATTAAGTCCACTTCGCCCAGGAGCCCTTCCTCCTCCTCCTGTCCCCATGCCAGCTGCCTGGATTAGTCCCTGCACGGTACTGACACTGTCGTCCCTGCGGTCACTTGTCTAATCGGTCGCCCGTAAATCCCGAGAGGACAGAGCTGATTTTCTTTCTGTCTTCAGCCCTAGCGTCAGGCCTGGCCCAGAGCCCCCACTACAGGCTTTTTTGTTGTTTTTTTGAGACAGGGTCTTGCTCTGTCACCCAGGCTGCTGTAGTGCAGTAGTGTGATCATGGCTCACTGCAGCCTCCATCTCCCAGGCTCAAGCCATCTTTAATTTTTGGTAGAGATGAGGTCTTGCTATATTGCCCAGGCTGGTCTAGAACTCCTGAGCTCAAGCTTCCTGCCTGCCTTGGCCTCCAAAAGTGTGGGGATTACAGGCATGAGCCACCGTGCCCAGCCCACCCCCCCTCTAAACACACGGAGCCTCCTCCAGACGTGCGGAGCCTCCTCCAAACATACCGAGGCCTGGGGACATTTCTGTTGACCCAGAACTGAGGTAGTGGCCAGACTGCAATTTGAATTCAGGTCTTTCTGCTGCAAAGTATATGCTTTTTTTTAAAAAAAATTATTATTATTAGGGTTTTTTTTTGTTTGTTTTTTGTTTTTTTAGAATGAGTCTCGCTCTGTCACCCAGGTTGGAGTGCATGGTGCTGTCATGGCTCACTGCAGCCTCAACCTCCCAGGCTCAAGCGATCCTCCTGCCTCAGCCTTCTAAGTAGCTGAGAGCACAAGTGTGTGCCACCGTGCCTGGCTAATTTGTTTTTTTAAACTGCTCCATTGAGATATGATTTGCATAACATACAGTTCACCCATTTAAACCACACACTTCAGGCTGGGTGGCGGCTCACACCTGTCATCCCAGCACTTTGGGAGGCCGAGGTGGGCGGATGACTTGAGGTCAGGAGTTCGAGACCAGCCTGACCAACATCCAGAAACCCTGTCTCTACTAAAAATACAAAATTATCCGGGCGTGGTGGCGCATGCCTGTAATTTCAACTACTCGGGAGACTGAGGCAGGAGAATCACTTGAACCCGGGAGGCGGAGGTGGCGGTGAGCCGAGATCACACCATTGCACTCCAGCCTGGGCAACAGCAGCGAAACTCTGTCTCAAACAAACAAACAAAAAAAAACCCACACACTTCAGTGGTTTTTAATAAATTTGCAGCATTGCTCAGCTGTTACCATTCTTTCATTTTAGAGCATTTTCATAACCCCAGAGAGAAATTTTATACCCTTAAGTGGTCACGCTCCATCTCCCCTGTCCCCAGCCCTGGCACCCACGCGTCCCCTCCTGTCTCTGTGGATGGGCCTGTCCTGGATATTTCGTAGAAATGGCACCACATGGCCGGGTGCAGTGGCTCATGCCTGTAATCCCTGCACATTGGGAGGCCGAGGCAGATGGATCATGAGGTCAGGAGTTCAAGACCAGCCTGGCCAACATAGTGAAACCCCATCTCTACTAAAAATACAAAAATTACCTGGGCGTGGTGGTGGGTACCTGTAATCCCAGCTACTCGGGAGGCCGAGGCAGGAGAATCGCTTGAACCCAGGAGTTGAAGGTTGCAGTGAGCCGAGACTGCACCACTGCACTCCAGCTTGGGCAACAGAGTGACACTTCGTCTCAAAAAAAAACAAATGGCATCACACACTGTGTGACTTTTGTGTCTGGCTTCTTTCTCTGCATGTGACATCATCGGGCTGCATCCACACCGCAGCCTGTTCCAGAGCCTCATTCCTTTTCATGGCTGAGTCGTGTTCCACTGGGCAGAGGCCACATCTTGTCAGTCCATTCACTCGTGGATGGACCTTTTGTCAATTGTGAATCGCGCTGCTGTGAGTGCACGTGTGCAGATTCCTGTGTGGATGTGTGTTCATGTCTCCTGGCTGGATCCTGGCACTGGAGTCTTGGGGGTCATGGGATGACTCCATTTTAAAGCTTTTTTTTTTTTCTTTTTTTTTCTTTTTTGAGATGGAGCCTCACTCTGTCGCCCAGGCTGGAGTGCAGTGGTACCATTTCAACTCGCTGCAACCTCCACCTCCCGGGTTCAAGCTATTCCCCTACCTCAGCCTCCCAAGTAGTTGGAATTACAGGCACGCGCCACCACGCCTGGCTAATTTTTGTATTTTTAGTAGAGATGGGGTTTCACCTTGTTGGCCAGGCTGGTCTCGGACTCCTGACCTCAAGTGATCTGCCTGCCTCGGCCTCCCAAAGGGCTGGGATTACAGGCTTGGCCACCACACCTGGCCTAAAGCTTATGCTTTTCTAGCCACTGACACTTCCTCTACTCAACCTAAAGCACAGATGTGCTCAGGAAATTGTAAGTAGTTTATGCATTTAAATGTGACCATCGGCAGCTGCAGCTCTCTCTGGAATGGAATTCCGTCAGCCTCTGTTTCGTCGTACCCAGCTCTGTTGGGTCCTCCTTGGCTTGGAGGGCTTTGAGTTGAATCCTTATTTTTCTTCGGTCTGTAAGATCTCCAAGGACACAGGCAACAGCACCTCCTTTCTCCATCCCAGGGCCCAGCCTGGAGGGGACGGTGGCGTGTGCCTCTAGTCCCAGCTACTTGGGAGGCTGAGGCAGGAGAGAGTTCACGGGGGGATTCAGCAGACAGGCCTGGGAGAGGGGTCCGGGCAACACCTGCCAGTTGTACTGGGGCCTGTTCTCACACCTGTCTCCCTGGTCTCCCCTGTTTTAGTTCAGAGGAATATCCTTGACTTCCCCCAGCATGTTTCCCCCTCCAAGGACATCCGGACAGCCAGCACAGAGGCCGACAAGAAGCTCTCTGAGTTCGACGTGGAGATGAGCATGAGGGAGGACGTGTACCAGAGGATCGTGTGGCTCCAGGTGAGGGGGCCCTGCGGGGAGTGCAAATAGCCTCCCAAGTAACTAGGATTACAGGCGCCCGCCACCACACCCGGCTAATTTTTGTATTTTTAGTAGAGACGGGGTTTCAACGTGTTGGTCAGGCTAGTCTCGAACTCCTGACCTCAAGTGATCCGCCCACCTCGGCCTCCCACAGTGCTGGGATGACAGGTGTGAGCCACTGTGCCCGGCCCATTTTTTGTATTTTTAGTAGGCACAGGGTTTTGCCATGTTGGTCAGGCTGTTCTCAAACTCCTGACCTCAGGTGATCCGCCCGCCTTGGCCTCCCAAAGTGCTGGGATCACAGGCCTGAGCCACCACGCCCGGCCACACATGTGCACTTTCATTTCCTTTCCTGGCCATCCTAGTGTGACCCAAACACCCCATCCCCACATGGCGTGAGCTGGCAGGGCCTGGCGGCATGGCTGCGTGGGCTCCTGCTCCCCCGGATGCTCCTCGCAGTATGCAGTGGGGCCTTTGCTGTTGATGTCACATGATCAGGAGAGACCCAGAGACCCTCCTGCTGCTGTTCATCCTCTTAGGCGAGGACCCCTGGGAATGTGCTGATGTGTCCCACAGTCTCAGGATCATGCAGCCCTAGTGCTTTGGTAAATCCAGATCAGGGTGACCCATGATAGCCGTGGATTGTTATTTCTTTTTATTTAAATACAGACAGGGTCTCACAACGTTGCCCACGCTTGTCTCGAACTCCTGGGCCCACGCAATCCTCCCACCTCCACTTTCCAGAGTTTCTGTTGAGACAATGAGAGGTTCCCATGCAGGTGCAGGAAAGAATCGAATGCCTTTGCCAACTTTGCCCAGGTCCCCAGTGATGACGTTTTGCAAAACTATGGTGTCATCTACACCCCGATACCGACCTGGAGACCACCAGCAATCTAATTCCCATTCAGCCATCGCACTGGTGAAGGAGCTCTGGACTGATGTCAGTGTGGGGCTCTTCCAAACAAAGCGAACGTTTGCACAGGTTTTATGTAGAGACAGGTCGTCATTTCTCTGAGATAAATGCCCAGGAGTGCAGTTGCCAAGTCACACGGGGGCCGGATGATCAGGTTTTTAAGAAACTGCCAAACTGCTCTTTGGAGCGGCTGCACTGGCCCACGTCCTACATGCTTTGATGTTTTTATTCCAGGAGAAAGTTCAGAAGGACTCACTGAGGCCCGAGGCTGCGCGGTACCTGGAGCGGCTAATCAAGCTGGGCCGGAGAAATGGGCTTCACCTCCCCAGAGAGACTCAGGAAGTGAGTGCTGGGTGTAGGGAGTGCTGGGCGTGGGCAATGGTCGATCCCGGGGAGTGCTGGGCACAGGGAGTGCTCAGTCCCAGGGAGTGGTGGGAGCAAGAAGCGCAGGGCAGGGGGAGTGCTGGGCTCGGGGAGTGCTCGGCTCAGGGAGTGCTTGGGGCATCAGGAGTGCTGGGTTCAGGGAGTGCTGCGTCCCGGGGAGTGCTGGACTCAGGGAGTGCTTGGGCACAGGGAGTGCTGGGTGCCGGGAGTGCTGGGTGTGAGGAGTGCTCGGTCCCAGGGAGCACTGGGCATGGGGAGTACTGAGCTCAGGGAGTGCTTGGGCTTGGGGAGTGCTGGGTGGGGGGAGTGCTCGGTCCCAGGGAGTACTGGGTGTGGGGAGTGCTCAGTCTGGGGAGTACTCGGCATGGGGAGTACTGGGCACGGGGAGTGCTCAGTCCTGGGGAGTGCTCAGTTGCGGGGAGTGCTGGGCTCAGGGAGTACTGGGTGCGGGGAGTGCTGGGCGTGGCCAGTGGAGCTTCTGTGGCCCCCTGCCCCTGCCTCCTCGGGAGCGTCCCCCCTTCAGGGCTGACCCCCGGCCTGATGTCCATCTTTCTTCTGCCTGAGGACCTGAACTCTGGCAAGGCAGGTCCACACAGACATGGGGCGCAGAGGCTCGGTAACGAGGGGAGCCCCTCCACCCACTGCCCGGTGTGCCTGATGTGGGCGTCTCAGGGGTGACATGAGTTAGTTGGTGCAGAGCTGGGAGCGCAGCGCTGAAGTCAAGCGTAGTGTGTTAGCAGAAGCCCAGTGTTCAGCGGCACCAACAGAGCAGTGGCGACCGCCACTGGAAAGATGCGTGTCACAGTTCCCAGGAACTGGCAGCTCGCCACATGGGAAGCATGGCTGGGTCAGGAGGTGTGCTCTGGGCAGGGCCTTCGCTGGGGTCCCTTGTGAAGGCATGGGTGTAGCGGGGAGTGGGCTCAGGGTTGGCCGGCTGGACCATCTCAGCCAGCCCTGGCATGGGGGCTGCCCCTCATCGGGTGCCTGGCCCTAGGGTAATGGGGGCCGGTGGATGGTGCCCCAGAGTGTAGGGGCTCGAGACTAGTTGATTTGCACGTGAAAGATGTTTGCAGGCGAGCTGTTGGCTGTCTCTGGGAGGGGCCATTTCTCGAGGGCCAGCAAGGCACCCAAATGTCAAAGCATCAGAATACAGGCCCCTGATTCACCATGGTGTGTGTTCAGTAGAAACCGTGCTTGGAATGCTGATCTTTCCGAGGCCGGCCACTTGGGCACTTGCTGTCCTGTGACGCTGGGCGCCAGCCACAGCTACCAGCTAGCCTGCAATGACGCAGGCAAACTGAAAACCGAAGTTACATGAGATACCCAACACCTCATATCCGATAGCCTTTGCCTTCGGCGATCTCACCAGAATGTGGGCTGCTGTGAGTTCCTGAGCACGCTTAAGACAGGCCAGGTTAAGCTGTGATGTTCGCTCCTATTAAATGCATTTGTGATTTATGATATTCACAACTCACGATGGGATTATTGGGACATACCCCTGTCCTAAGTCAGGGAGCATCTGTACAGGAAAGAAAGCACACAGTTCAATCAGGTCCCAGGCTGCAGCCATAGCCCCATGGCTGTCCCTGTTCCGGTTCCATAAAGCCACCGCTGTCCTGGTTAGGGGGCGTCTCCACCTTATGGCTGAGGCAACCAAGACTCAGAGAGGCCAGGTGGGTTTGTCAGTGAAACCAGCACTGACGAAAGCGGAGTCAGGGTCCGTCTCAGTACTCGGGGACTGGGGGTCCTCAGCTCAGCCGCAGCGGACAAGAGCCAGTTATTTTTATTTTTATTTATGCATTTATTTATTTATTTAGACAGGGAGTCACACTCTGTCTCCCAGGCTGGAGTGCAACGGTGTGATCTCAGCTCGCTGCAACCTCTGCCTCCTATGTTCAAGCGATTCTCCTGCCTCAGCCTCTGGAGTAGCTGGGATTACGGGCACCCGCCAACACAGCTGGCTAATTTTTTTTTATTTTTGATAGAGACAGGGTTTTACCACATTGGCCAGGCTGGTCTCAAACTCCTAACCTCAAGTGATTCACCCGCCTTGGCCTCCCAAACTGCTGGGATTACGGGTGTGAGCCACTGTACCACAGTTATTTTTAAAACCCCTTCGGCTTGTTGCATGCCCAGCATGTGTGGCCATGTGCATGGTAGAAGCCACAAACTCTCCCACAAGGGCCAGCAAGCAAGGAGGGAGCAGAGGCAGCCCCGCCTGGAGGACAGAAGCGCGGAAAAGGTGCGAGGTCCGGATGCTGGCGAGCAGAGTTCCAGCGCGTCCCCGCGGCCCTTAGGGCCAGCGCTGTGTGCTCATTGAGTCTCCAGAGCCTTCCCTGGCATGGCTGGGTTTGTTATGTGAGATGGCAAGAGGGGGAGACATTGGGAATTGCCCAGCATGGGGCCTGTTCCCAGGAGAGGCCCAGCAAACCCTCAGCTGGTTCTGAACCAGGGCCTTCCTGACAAGATACAGGCTCCCTGCAAAGTCCTGGGCACAGTTTCCCCCTGCTGCCGCCCTCTGTCCTGCGGATGAGCATTTCTGCTCTGGCCCCATGGAGCTGGGCTCCAGACCCGCCTGGCGGAGCTTCCAGCAGGAGAATCTGAGTCAAAGTACAGCCCTGCTGCCAGCCTGTCATGTGTCATGTGGCCTCAAGCCAGGTCCTTGTCACATAGTGGTCACCTCCCAGCCTTCAAGGCCACCAGAGGGACCACTCAAGATTCAGTTCCTTTGTTGATATCCCATATCACCAGGGTCGAGTTTTAGCTGTTTCTAAAACCAGCTTTACCAGATAAGGGGTAAAATGTTCAAAAGCTGCCAGACACGGTGACTCATGCCTGTAATCCCAGCACTTTGGGAGGCTGAGGTGGGAGGATTGCTTGAGCCCAGGAGTTCGAAACCAGCCTGAGCAACATGGTGAAACCCCGTCTGTACCAAACATACAAAAATTAGCTGGGTGTAGTGGCGTGTACCTGTAGTCCTAGCTACTCAGGAGGCTAAGGCAGGAGGATCAATTGAGTTGGGAGGTTGAGGCTGCAGTGAGTCGAGATCATGCCACTGCATTCCAGCCTGGGCAACAGAGCGAGTCCCTGTCTCAGAAGAATGTTGAAAAGCTTAGGCTGCAGGCTCTGAAGGTGATTCCTTAATGGATAGGAGGGTCTGGAGCACTCTTGGCCAGGGCCACACCTGACAGACCGGAGCACATCCCTGAGGTTGCCCGAGGTCACCCAGCTTTGGATGCCGCAGCTGGTGTTGAAATCCACACTGCGCAGCCTCGTGGCCTCCGTGTCTGTCTGTCCTCCGCCTCCCGTCTCACTCTTTCCTCCTCGGTTGCCTCTTCTTTCGGCCTGGTTCTTGGGGAAATCCCTCAGCCCTCGGCGAGAGGGTTCCCAGGCGTTGCGTCTCCCCGCGGAGCCCGCCCCGGTCTCTCCCTCCCCTCACGCCCCGCCTTTCTCTCCAGAACATCAAACGCATCAAGAAGAAGCTGAGCCTTCTGTGCATCGACTTCAACAAGAACCTGAACGAGGACACGACCTTCCTGCCCTTCACGCTCCAGGAGCTAGGTAGGGGCCGAGCAGTGGGGCACGGGTGGCCATCGGTCCTGGGACTCAGTGCAGGCCTGCCAGGCCCTCGGGGGCCGCCGCTTCCTCCTGTGGGCTTCTGTGCTGAAGGGCGGCGGGAGGCCGAAGTACGTGGACCTGACCGCCCTGGGCTGAGGACTTTCCTCACCGGAAGCGCTCCAGGGCCGTTTACAGCCAAAAGCTCTGAGCCCTCCTTGGGGAGGGCCATGGTCTGTCCCACCAAGATTCCACCCTGATAGAAAATGTCCCTGGCAGTGGCGGAAGCCCAGGCCGGACGGGGTGGCCAAGGGTGCCAGTCTCAGCCATGGCCCTGAGGGAACCACAATTTTCCCTTGAGACCCCACTTCCTGCCTGCCTTTATTTATTTAATTTAATTAATTAATTAATTTATTTTGAGATGGAGTCTTGCTCTGTTGCCCAGGCTGGAGTGCAGTGGTGCGACCTCCACTCACTGCAACCTCCGTCCCCCGGGTTCAAGTGATTCTCCTGTCTCAGCCTCCTGAGTAGCTGGGACTACAGACGTATGCCATCACACCTGGCAAATTTTTTTATTTTTAGTAGAGACGGTTTCGCCGTGTTGGCCAGGGTGGTCTCAGACTCCTGGGCTCAGGATCTGCCTGCCTCAACCTCCCAAAGTTCTGGGATTACAGGCATGAGCCACCGTGCCCAGGCAGGCCGGAATATTCTGATGGGTGCTATAGAATATAACCTCCAGTTCTAGACTCTGAATGTAGTTGCCTCTGAGGTGGTGGGTGGGGACAAGGCCCTCATGGCCGGAGGCCTCCGCAGGTGGCTTGATGTGTGGTCACCTGGGCGTATGTTTCCTGAGGGAACACTCGCAGGTCGGGCACTGCCAAGCTTGGCTGCCAGCCACTTGCTCAGCCCTCCCGTGTCTCGGGCAGCACATCCTACCCTCAGCTTCTGGCACTCAGGAGAGACGACGGGCTACAATCTGCCGTAAAGCACGTTTCCCAGCCTGCCCCTCAGTGGGTGCACTGATCACCCGCACCATTCCCGCAGCCACCCACGCCATCCCGCGGCCACCCGCACCGTCCCCGCGGCCACCCGCACCATCCCCGTGGGGCTGCTTCTCCTGCCTGCTCGTGTTAGCAAGCAGAAGGACTCGGTGCCTGATGTTCTAGAAGCCAATGCCATGGCACCAAGGATTTGAGGAAACAAAAGCTTCTCATTGCAAGTGACTCCCAAGGAGACTGGGCGTCCAGCTCAAATCTGCCTCCTGTGCCAGCTTTCAGGCAGTACTTTCATGAGAGAAGGTGCAGAGGTGGATTCTGGGATTAGCAGGTGATTGTTGGAAGGAAAGGGGAGGTCTGGAAGGTCCTTGGGCACGCACAGTTATCTGTCCGTGCCAGCTCGTGGGTCCTGGGTGTGAATCCTGGGGAAGTCTGTATGAAGCGCGGTGGAAGTTCAGTTGGCATCAGCCAGCTGGTTCTGCACAGACTCTGCTGGCTCATGTGGGTTCCAGCCGGTTTCAGCCAGTTTTGTTCTTGTCGGCGTTTCAGCTGCCTGTTTCTTTTCACGTTTGCCATCCTGCAAACTCGAATGTTTGTGGATTTTGGTGTCTAACTCTTTGGGGTGCCGTTCCATTTGTCGGGCCTGAGGGGTCTCCCGTGCAGGTGGCTTGAGTCCCATGTGGCCAGGTGACACCGTCATGCGGGTGGCTAGCGTGTTGGGTGACAGTCTCCAGGGCTGTCCGCTGCTGCTGCCCCGGGACCTGTTTCCCTTTGTGGTCCGTCATTTCTCAGGAGACGCCTTGCGATGGTCTTAGTTCCTTTTCTTCTGCTTACAACAGAAAACCTAAGGCCATGTAGTTTATAAGAAAAGGAATTAACTTGTCACAGCTCTGGAGGCTGAGAAGTCCCAGGTCGAGGGGCCATATCTGGCCAGGGCCTTCTTCCTGGTGGGGACTCTGGAGCCCTGAGGCGGCCAGGGTGTCACATGGCAAGGGGAGGGGGCTAAGCGAGCCGGTTCCACCCAGGTCTCTCCTCCTCACAAAGCCCCAGGCCCTCTGCCACATTAACCCATCTGTCCCTTCATCCATGAATCCATGAATGGATTCATCCATTCCTGAAGGCAGAGGCCACATGACCCAGCTGCCTCTTGAAGGCCCCAGTACCTAATCCTGCCATCTCCCAATACCACCATCTCCAACACCGCCATCTCCCGATACCCACATCTCCCAATACCCACATCTCCCGATACCGCTACCTCTCAATACCGCCACCTCCCAACACTGCCATCTCCCGATACCCACATCTCCCAATACTGCTACCTCTCAATACCACCACCTCCAACACCACCATCTCCAACACTGCCACCTCCAACACCACCATCTCCAACACCGCCACCTCCAACACCGCCGTCTCCCGATACCTCCACCTCCGGACACCCCCACCTCCTGACCCACCCACCTCCCAACACCAACACCTCCCGACACACCCACCTCCCGACACCCCCACCTCCCAATACCAACACCTCCCGACACCCCCACTTCCCGACACCCCCACCTCCCGACACCAACACCTCCCAACACCAACACTTCCCCACACCCCCACCTCCCAACACTAACACCTCCTGACACCCCCACCTCCCGACACCCCCACCTCCCAACACCAACACCTCCCGACACCCCCACCTCCCGACACCAACACCTCCCGACACCAACACCTCCCGACACCAACACCTCACGACACCCACACCTCCCGACACCAACACCTCCCGACACCAACACCTTCCGACACCCCCACCTCCCGACACCGCCACCTCCCGATACCCGCATCTCCCGACACCACCATCTCTGGCATTAAGTTCCTGGTGCATTTTGGAGGGGACGCACCCAACCAGAGCAGAGACCTGTGAGTGTCCATCACTCGCACATTGTCATACACTAGTTGCCATGTCCATGGATGACTTCTGCCGCCCTCACCCTCTGGGCATCAGTCATCCTGCCGTGACTCCGAACCTTCCCTCCTTGCCTGTCTTCTTACTGATTTGTTTCTGTCCGTGTGCATGAGGCTTCTGTCTTATTCCCGGGTTATCATTCATTATCATTTATCCCAGTGCTCAAATCGTCCCACATGGACCCTCAGGAGTCCCTCCGAACAATCCCTGTGTCCTTGTAATGCACCTGCTGTCCTCTGAACCTGCTCTTACTGTGGGGCACATGGTACCGCAGGCTCGGCCTCTGAGCCCGCGCTTACTGTGGGGCGCGCGGTACCGCAGGCTCGGCCTCTGAGCCCACTCTTACTGTTGGACATGTGATGTCGCAGGCTCGTCCCATGCTCTCCCTGCCCCAGCCCTCAGATGCTCCATTTCTTGGAGGAGACCTGGCGCCTTTGAGTGGAGGGTGACTTAGGCACCGGATGTGTTCACCACTGCCAGGGAGCAGCATTCCTGGGCACCGTTAACAGTTAGGAAGCAGACACGCATCTCTGCACCACACATGGACACACACACTCTTCTATTCTGTGTCTGTATATCAAATCCACAAGTGCAGCGGGGCATGCCGGCACACACCTGAGGTCCCAGCCACTCGGGAGGCTGAGGCAGGGGGATTGCTTGAGTCTGGGAGTTCAGGGCCACAGTGAACGTGAACTATGCATTCGTGAACTATCCATTGCAGCCTGGGCAACAGAGCAAGACCCTTTTTCTAAAAAAATAAAAACTTCCAGGAGTCCACTTTGCAGCTTCTCTTCCAGTCCAGCGCTGCTGGGCCCCCCAGCTGTCTCCCTTGCTGTCCTTTAACTCCCGTCTCCGACCGCCAGCCGTCACTCCTGGGTGACACACTGTCGAGATGGAGAGCTGCTGTTTGAAGGCCCGTGGTCCTTGGAAAGGACGATGTGCAGGTCCCGGGAGGCCTCCCCCTCATGCTGCAGTCACTCGGCAGACAATTGCCAGGCCCACGCTGGTGCTGGGGTACAAACGGGAAGGCGGGGGCTCTGCCGGCCACAGGACTCTCAGCTCCCTCATCACCACCCACACCCACGGGCTGGCCTCCCAAAATTTCCCCCATCTGCCTCTGGCCCCCCAACCGGATCATTCTTTCCACCCTTGCCTCCCTGGGGTCCCCGTGAGCTCCCGATCATTCTTTCCACCCCTACTGCCCTGGGGTCGGGGTGAGCTCCCAATCATTCTTTCCACCCTGACCGCCCTGGGGTCGGCGTGAGCTCCCGATCGTTCTTTCTACCCCTACTGCTCTGGGGTCCGTGTGAGCTCCGGATCATTCTTTCCACCCTGACTCCCCTGGGGTCGGAGTGAGCTCCCGATCATTCTTTCCACTCTGACCGCCCTGGGGTTGAGGTGAACCAGTCTTTGCATTGAAGCTGCAAGCCTGAGGCACGGTGGCCCTGGCGTCTCCCGAGCCATGAGGTAGGAACCCCAGAGGGTTTCAGTCCGGGATGCTGCCGCCCCCACTTCTCTTGAGGCTGTCGGGCAGGGGCCAGGTGGGAGGGTGTGGCTGCCGGGCAGCGGGGTGAACTGTGTCCTGCCAGGGGTTTTGTGGGTGGAGAAGGGACAGCAGGGCTCCAGTGAGAAGCTCTGGGAGTAGGAATTGGGTCTCTCTGGAGGGACACACTTGAAAGTGGTTGAGCCGTGGGGCTGCGTGCTGAGATCTCAGCTCTGAGCGGGAGGCTCTGCCTGGGGGTGGTTCTTCAGGAAAAGCAAAGCAGGACCTCCCTCTCCACGTGGGGCCTCCCTCTCCGCCCAGGGCCCAGCGTGCTCAGCTCTCCTGCTGTTTTTGTCTTTGATGGGAGGCACTGCCTCTAACGCTGGTTTCCTTGTGCAGTGGCCGGGCCACCCTTCCCGCCACCCTCCTCCCTTCACACATGAGGTTGGTGACGGCGCCCTGGAAGCCCACGATGTCCGGGGGTTGGGCTGGATTTAGCTTTAACCTCTCTGGGGCAGGAGATCCTGCTCTGAGGATGCTGGGGGGTTTCCTGGTGGGGTTAGAGGCGGGACGTGAGAAACGTGGCAGGTGGTGGCCAGGCTGTGGGGGAGCCAGGGTATTTCTTGATGGGGTTAGATGGGGGATGTAAGAATTGCAGCGGGTGGTGGCCAGGCTGCAGCTGCTCGCTGAGGGCCCCCTTGTAGCTTTCCAGGCAGAGGGGAAGCCCACCCCTTCCCTCACACGCTGTGTGCAGGCTGTGGGCCCATCAGTCCTGTCAAAGCCACCCTGGTTCTGTCCCCATAGGAGGGCTCCCCGAGGACTTTCTGAACTCCCTGGAGAAGATGGAGGACGGCAAGTTGAAGGTCACCCTCAAGTACCCCCATTACTTCCCCCTCCTGAAGAAATGCCACGTGCCTGAGACCAGGAGGAAAGTGGAGGAGGCCTTCAACTGCCGGTGCAAGGAGGTGAGAAGGCACGGCCAGGGGGCCCCAGAACAGTGGGTCTGGAGCTTGTGGGGCCCGTCTGCTCCATGTGTGTGAGGCACCTCCAGGCTTTGCACTTGGATGGCCTCCCAATCTCCCTGGCCAGGCCCAGTGGCCAGCAGAGGCCTCCCTGTGGGGCTCTGCCGTGCCCTGGAGGTGTCTGTGCTGGGCTCCACCCAGACCCTGGGGCCACAGCTCAGGGCCCAGTTCATCCTTCCCAAGCTGAGCCTCCTGCTGCTGCTCTGAGCATCTGGCCGCGCACACGTCTCGTCCCTCCCTTATCTGGAGCCGCCCCTCAGGTGTGTCAGCCCAGATCATTCCTTTTGTCTTAAATGATGGTGCCCGGACCTGAGCCTGGGTCCACAGGTGGGTTGTGACTGGGCTATCTCGCTGTGACTGGCGTCAGACGGCCGTTCCCACAGGGACACATGTAACTGTCCACGGCGCCATGGTGTGGTCGGTCAGGTGGTCTCTGCACGTCTCCCATTCGCCATCTGGAACAGGCAGAGGCTCTAGGAGTGGGCCTCTTGGTCCCCTGACGACACCAAGTTGGTGCTTGTGCGGCTGGCAAAAGGGGGATACACGCTGATCACTGCAAAGGGATGGGCGGGCACTGATCACTGCAAGGGGACGGGCGGGTGCCCATCACTGCGGGGGGACGGGCGGGTGCCCATCACTGCGGGGGGACGGGCGGGTGCCCATCACTGCGGGGGGACGGGCGGGTGCCCATCACTGCGGGGGGACGGGCGGGTGCCCATCACTGCGGGGGGATGGGCGGGTGCCCATCACTGCGGGGGGTGGGGGACGGGTGGGTACCAATGGGGGTACAGGTGGGCACCGATCACTGCAAGGCAGGGGGGTGCTCCTCGCTGTTCAGGGACCGGGAACTCAGTCTGCTCAGATGGGGCGTGGCCTGCCCTCTACATGTTGGCTATGAATTCATGTTGCTGTTAAGCCTAAGTAGGTGGACCCGTGGACTGGGCACACCTCGACTTCCCCACTGCGCCTTAGAAGGTCAACTGGGCAATCCCGTCCTGGTCCCCAGGCTTGGGTCCTAGTGGCAGAGTGAGGGCCAGGCCAAGAGGGCGCACACGGGTGGGCTGAGTTCCAGGTCCCGGGGGATGTGCCGCCTCAGAGACCTTGCTGCTGGCGGTCGGCCTGGCCCCTATTTGGCTGGCTGCTCTGCACGCACCTGCTGGTTACAGCTGGGTTTCCTGTGGACCCAGCTGGTGGGCACATCTGTCCTGAACAGGCCTCTGTTTCTCCTCGTAAACGCCTCACGTGGCTTTCATGCGTCCTCCCCCACCCCCACTGGCTTGGTTGGCAGTGCCAGTCCTCAGAAGTGAGGCTGTGTGCATGTCATTTGCTGGTGGCGATAGGCAGAGCCCGTGAGACTGGGAACCAAGGCCTGGACATGGAGGTGTCCCCACATGCAGCAGTGATGCCCTCGGAGGCTCCTCGGACAGCCCCTGGTCCCCATACCACGTTCCGTGTGAGGCCTTAGAGTCATCTGCACCCCTTCTGGTTCCAAAAAGGCCTTGGGATTATGATAACGCTGGTGGCATGACCAGAGGAGTTGTGTAGTAACACAGGCCGAGAGGGGCAGGGACCGGAGGTCAGACGGAGCTGGATATGAGCCTTTGGCCCTGGGACAGGGCGTGCTGGCCCTGGAGGTGGAGGGAGTGGCGCCCCTGGGTGACAGTGTGGTGGTGTCGGTTGCAGGAGAACTGCGCTATCCTCAAGGAGCTGGTGACGCTGCGGGCCCAGAAGTCCCGCCTGCTGGGGTTCCACACGCACGCCGACTATGTCCTGGAGATGAACATGGCCAAGACCAGCCAGACCGTGGCCACCTTCCTAGGTAGCCCTTCCTTCCTCCTCCACTGGGGTCCCTGTGGGGAAGGTTCTCAGGGTCACCCCAGGGGACAGTCGGTGCTACCCCTAGAGCCTTGTCCTTTCCCTCCATGAAGAGGGACTTCTGACGCCTGCCCTGGCTCCCTCACTCCCCCCGAGGGACCCTTACAGAACAGGGAAGCGCCCGGGCCCTGGGGTCAGTCCCATGCTTGCACCCGGCCCCGCCGCCCCCTCACCCTGAGCGTGAGGATGCTCGGCCCCTCGAGGGGTTGCCGGGAACTGCGGGTCCTCCCTTCCAAATGGGGAGCCTGACGAAGTCGCGGCCGCGGGCGGGCGAGCCCAGAGCCATGGAGGAGCCCGCGAGGCGAGAGGCCCACCTTTCTGCCCTCCCCGCAGATGAGCTGGCGCAGAAGCTGAAGCCCCTGGGGGAGCAGGAGCGTGCGGTGATTCTGGAGCTGAAGCGTGCGGAGTGCGAGCGCCGGGGCCTGCCCTTCGACGGCCGCATCCGTGCCTGGGACATGCGCTACTACATGAACCAGGTGGAGGAGACGCGCTACTGCGTGGACCAGAACCTGCTCAAGGAGTACTTCCCCGTGCAGGTGGTCACGCACGGGCTGCTGGGCATCTACCAGGAGCTCCTGGGGCTGGCCTTCCACCACGAGGAGGGCGCCAGTGCCTGGCATGAGGACGTGCGGCTCTACACCGCGAGGGACGCGGCCTCGGGGGAGGTGGTCGGCAAGTTCTACCTGGACCTGTACCCGCGGTGGGTGAGGGCAGCGGGGGCGGGGGGCGCACCCCGGCCCTGGGTCTCCTCGGAGCCCGGTGTGCCCGTCTGAGATGGGAAGGAAGTCGTTGCCTGCTCCATGGGGCCTCGGGGATGAACCCCGAGACGTAGCACCCGTGGGCACACCACAGGGGCCGAAAATGCAGCTGTCCCCGTTTCCAGTCTCACTCAGCCACCCCGACAGGGCGCAGCTCTGCCCAGGCCGGAGTCCTTTAGGGGAGGGATGGCAGCCGGGGCCTGGCCGTGGTTTTCATGCTGCCCTGCGCCAAGCCACCTCTGCTGAGAGGGAGGTTTAGAACCTCAGAGGTGCCCGGCGGTCTGGGTTAGCAGTCAGGTGGGCTGAGGGATGCGGAGTCAGGGACTCTTGCGGTGTCTCTAGTCCCTGCGGGGCCTGACGCTGCCTCCCTCCCCAGGGAAGGAAAGTACGGGCACGCGGCCTGCTTTGGCCTGCAGCCCGGCTGCCTGCGGCAGGATGGGAGCCGCCAGATCGCCATCGCGGCCATGGTGGCCAACTTCACCAAGCCCACAGCCGACGCGCCCTCGCTGCTGCAGCATGACGAGGTGGAGACCTACTTCCATGAGTTTGGCCACGTGATGCACCAGCTCTGCTCCCAGGTGGGTGCGGGCCCGGGCAGGGGCAGGGGCAGGGGCAGGGGCAGGGGCTGCCTGTGGTCAGCGAGGCCCAAGCCTGGGGCTTCGGCTTCCGGCTCTCTCTGCACCCGTCCGGTGGCTCCTTCATCCAATGCCACCCAAAGATGGTGACTCCCTGTCATGCCCGTGTCCTGGGGCTGCCCCAGCAAAACACCACAGACCAGGGCTTACACAAGGTGCGTGTATTTCCTCATGGTCCTAGAGGCTGGAGTCGGAGGTCACAGTGTCAGCAGGGTTGGCTCCCTCGAGGTCCCTCCTTGGCTTGTGGCCGCCACCACCTCCCCGCATCCTCATGTGGTCGTCCTTCTGTGTGGGTCCCCATCTCGTCTTCTTACAGGGACCCCAGTCATGCCGGATCAGGGCCCGCCCAACAACCTCACTTGACCGTAGTGACCTCCTTAGACATCCTGTCTCTAAGTAGTCACATCCTGGCCAGGCGTGGTGGTCCACGCCTGTAATCCCAGCACTTTGGGAGGCCGAGGTGGGTAGATCACCTGAGGTCAGGAGCTCAAGACCAGCCTGGCCAACATGGTGCCATCTTGTTGCAAGCATCTGTCCTAGCACACAGTCAGCAATCGCTCCTCAGAAAGGCTCTGTCCTATGAAGTCACTGAGAACCCTGAGAAGTGCATGCAGACCTGTCCCTCCAAGGGGACCCTGGTCACGTGTTCGCCAACTGATCATTCCAGAACCTTACTGTGTGTGTTTTGGGTTCAAGACACCTTACTGCTGTACAGCGCTGACGGGTTCACGTTGAACACATGGCTGGTGGCTCTGTCACCCACACCTGAGCACAGCTTGCACACACAGGGTGTCCCCATGAGGCACATCATGGCCTCCTGGTGCTGAAGGAGACGAGACAGTGCTCTGCACAACGCTTGGGGCCTTTTAAACACAAAATCACCAAGAGCAGAAAGATGCAAACACCGTGCCCCCACTAGACTGAGAAAAGGACGCTTGCTCATAAAATGAGCCGAAGTGAGAAGACAGAGTGCGGCCCTTCTGAGGACCGTCTGCTCAGGGGCGCCGCAGTGCTGGCCTCTGGGGTTTTTGTGGATCTTAGTAGGCGAGTTTGAAAACACGGAGTCCAGGAATGAGGATCGACCGTGTGTCCACCTTTCCTGGCTTCCCTGCCACACTGTTTGCACAGCACTCGTAGCCAGCACACGCGTGTGCACATCCACACAGGTGCTCACACAGGTGCCCACGCACGTGCCTGCAGGCCTGCTTTGCATGCTGCTTTCTGCGTGTCCCTGGCGCCTGGCACGGCGAGTCCCTTGGTGCATTCCGTCGGGACAAGGAGTGTGGCTGCGTGGTCCTTGGAACAGAAAAGCCTCGGTGTTGCAGAGAGGACCTTGAGGATCACCCAGGAGTTCCCTCGCCGTTGGCTGCCTGCCATGGTTCCAGCGGGACTCAGTCAAGGGCTGTGCTTTTAGGGAAGGTTCCACACACACACGAGCAGGGAGATGCAGCATGCCTCACAGCGTCCCCACCCGGACCTGGCCGTCCCCAGGTCCCAACCCCTCGGGGTGCGGAGCTTTCAGGGAGCAGCAGCTCTGTGGCTAGAGGAGAAGCGTGGGTGGCCTCCAGGGACGGGGTCATGTGGCCGGCATCTTCAGGTGTGTCCTGCTGCCACCGGCAGCCAGCAGCAGCCCAGGGGCCTCCGGGTCCCGGTCGTTTTCCAGTTTTGGGGTGGGAGGGCCGGGCCCAGCGCATCACCTGTGCACTCGCCCTGTTTGCACTGTGGCAGCTGACACGGGCCAGGCCGGCGGGAACGGGCTAGGCAGGACCTGGGCACTCTGAGGCTCTGCCCCATCCCTGCAGGCGGAGTTCGCCATGTTCAGCGGGACCCACGTGGAGCGGGACTTTGTGGAGGCGCCGTCGCAGATGCTGGAGAACTGGGTGTGGGAGCAGGAGCCGCTGCTGCGGATGTCGCGGCACTACCGCACAGGCAGCGCCGTGCCCCGGGAGCTCCTGGAGAAGCTCATTGAGTCCCGGCAGGCCAACACAGGTGCACCCGCCCCGTCCGGGGAAGGGTGCTAACCTCGGGGGGCGGCACACAGCTGGGGCCTGGCATGTGCCCCGGGTGGGGGTCGGAGCTCTGGGCAGAGTGGGCCGGGGCAGGTGCAGAGGCCAGCTCTCTCCTTCCCTCCCGCCCAGGCCTCTTCAACCTGCGCCAGATCGTCCTCGCCAAGGTGGACCAGGCCCTGCACACGCAGACGGACGCAGACCCCGCCGAGGAGTATGCGCGGCTCTGCCAGGAGATCCTCGGGGTCCCGGCCACGCCAGGTAGCCACCCTTGAGCCGGGCACACCCTGGAATTTGGAGCCTCAGCTGCTTCCCTGGGAAGGTGAAGGGAGTTGGTCCCCATGCTTCACTTAGCAAGTGCAGGAGTCCCTGCTGGGGAGCCACGGAGCGCGTCCCAGGCTCCTCGGGGGACAGCCCCAGCTGAGATGCAGCTGCAGGCCCAGGGTCGGGGACGGGTGTGCGGCCCCAGCCCCCAGGAGGAGTGTGTTCCCTGGAGCCTCTGCTTTGAATGAAGCTGGCGTTTTCCTGATTGAAATGTATGACACATGCTTTGTAAAAAGCCTGGAGAAGTACAGGAAGGCCTAGGAATTTCCGATCCTAATGATGAGAAGTGGGCCCTGTTTCCATGCTCACCTGTTGTCCTGTGTGCATGTGTGTTCACACACGCTTGCGAGGATCCAGAATTTGGAAATACAGCATGATTTTAACATGGGTGGTGTTTTGCTGGCTTAACACTCCATAGACTTCAAAAATCTTTCCAAAAGCGTTTTCAGCAGCGTGGCCTGTGATGTTGCGTGGGCGTGCCTTGCTTTATTGACGCAGTCTCAAAATGGGGACTTTGCTCTGTGGCAGCTGACAGCCCCGTTAAATGAGCTCCTGTCCTTCCAGGAGAGGGGGCGGAGACTTGTGGCCCTCGCTTTGTGGCTGACTCTGGTTCTAGAAGTATCCAGCTGGTCTCGGCCCTCACCGTGATCCTCCAGCTTCTCCCTGTTCCGGGCAGGGGTCTCAGGAGTCTGGCTGGTTGTCTTCTCCTGGAGGAGGAGCATGGGGTGGGGGCTACAGCGTGAACCCTGCCATGTGTCCGCCCCAGGAACCAACATGCCTGCAACCTTCGGCCATCTGGCAGGTGGCTACGACGCCCAGTACTACGGGTACCTGTGGAGCGAGGTGTATTCCATGGACATGTTCCACACGCGCTTCAAGCAGGAGGGTGTCCTGAACAGCAAGGTACGCGGGGACTGGGGACAGGGAGGGCGTCCTGAACGGCAAGGTACGCGGGGACTGGGGACAGGGAGGGCGTCCTGAATGGCAAGGTACGCGGGGACTGGGGACAGGGAGGGCGTCCTGAACGGCAAGGTACGCGGGGACTGGGGACAGGGAGGGCGTCCTCAACAGCAGGGTGGGGCCGAGAAAAGCACACCTTTGGCCTGGGCCTGGGTGTGCCGGGTGAGCCATCCCGGCCGAGGCACCTGCTGGTCTTGGTGCGGTGCTGCCCACAGCTCCTCCCTGGGCCCTGCAGGAAGCTCCACACTGGCCCCTCAGGCCTCGGGCTGTGAGTGCTGGGAGCTCCGTGTCTTCCCATACGAGTCCTTCCGGGATCTGCGTGATCGGCCTCAGAGCCATGGGCTGAGACAGACCCTTCTCTGGAGAAGGCTTGGCGTTTGCCATTCATTTGCTCCTCCAACCTCCAGTTTCCTCACTATGAAGTGCGGCCGTTACGCCATGTGAGCCTGTGCCTCCCGCTGACTTGGTGTGACCCAGGCTCGGGACAGCCGCCAGAGTCCCTCACAAGGAACAGGTGGCTACCAGCTTTGAGGGCCGGCCCTGCCCTGCCTGGGTGCAACATTGCACTGGGCAGCCTGCAGGTACCTCGGAGCCACCAAGCAGGCACTCAGCTGCTCCCTTTATAGAGGTGCAGAGGCCAGGACCTGGGGGAGCAATGGTCCGACAAGCCCCCTGTCTTCACAGCCCAGCAGGGACCTCCCCCCTCCTGAGGCAGCCTCCAGCAGCTCCCCCTGCTGCTGAGGTGAGGGGGTCCCACCTCTGAGGACCGGCCGGGGGCTGTAGAGGTGGAGTCCCCCGGGTGGGAGCTGGGACTGTGGCTCCCTGGCTCTGCAGCCTGCAGTCCGCGCAGGCTCCTGCGGGGCTCTGGGGCGTCGGGGTCTCCTTGGTGGCTGGCACCGGCGCCTCGCAGTCTCATCTGCCTCACCTGCCCGTAGTCCCGCAGTCACAGGGCTGGGCTCAAACCTGGGCCTTTAGGGCGGCCCAGAGCGCGAGCGGCTTCCACATTGTCCAGCCGGAGGCTCAGCCACTTCTGTTCATGGGCTCAGCCTGGGATTTCAGTGGGGGCTGATGGCGGGAGCCACCTCGGGAGTTTGGGGAGTTCGGGGCTCTGCTGGCCCCTCAGTGCACACCCCCGCTCTGAGATTCTGATGAAAGGCACCTGCGCTCTCCCACCTGTGCTGATGCAGGCGGCCCCCGGGCCTCCCTGGGAACCTGGAAGGGGTTGCTCCGAGGCCCCCCTGGGCGAGGGTGTGCAGACTCCTGGGGTCCTCTGCCTTCCTCCCTGGGTCCCCACCCGGCCACAGTGCCCTGTCTCCTCGGCAGGTTGGCATGGATTACAGAAGCTGCATCCTGAGACCCGGCGGTTCCGAGGATGCCAGCGCCATGCTGAGGCGCTTCCTGGGCCGTGACCCCAAGCAGGACGCCTTCCTCCTGAGCAAGGGGCTGCAGGTCGGGGGCTGCGAGCCCGAGCCGCAGGTCTGCTGAGGCCTGGCACTGCGACTGCCCAGTCTGGCCTGCGCTCCCGCCGCCCTGGTGCCTTAGCCCCCGGCACAGGATGGGGCAGGCTCTGGCACAGTGCCTGGGACTGGCAGGGTGGCTGAGCGGCTGTCTTGCCTCTTGTCATTGTCTGTCCCCACCCGGTCGTGGCCCACCCGGCTAGAGACGGCGTCCTCAAGGCATCTGGAGGGCTTTCGTGGCTGCCAGGGCCTGGTCTTTGTTGCACTAACACGTCTCCTCTCTGGGAAACGTCCCTTGTCAGGAGACGGCTCTTCTTTGAAATGAGGTCATTAAAAGGAAACAGAAAAAGAGAGAGGCTCCCTGGCCTGGTCACTGGCTCCTGCGCTTTTTTGGTCCGAGGACGGTGGGACGGCGGGTCAGGGTCCAGCCCTCGGGCTGTTGCCACACCAGGCCCTGGATTGGGGCTCAGGTCCTTGTGGGGGCGGGGGGTGGGGGAGTAAAGGGCTGGGAACCAGTTCTGCCAGCCAGGCCGGCCTGGGGGGTCTGAGAGACTTCGGCTTCCTGCATGCTTCTCACCTGTTGTCATTCTGGAACATTCCCCCCGCCCTGCTCAGCTCTGGCCATCAAGGACCAGGCTCCACTGGTCAGAGAGTCTGGAAAGTCAGGGCAGGCCCTGTGCGCACAGGCAGCCGGGGCGGGGCTGGGGGTCAGCAGCTGCCCACCCTCTCATCCACAGGGGAAGGCCGGGCTCACTCCAGCTTCCTAGGCAGAGTCTCTGGGGGTTCCTGTTGGACACAAGTGAACCAGGTGAACCAGGGCAGCTGCTGGAAGCTCGGCCATGGCCCTCATCCTCATGGCCTTGGGGACTGCCTGTGCCTGCCCTCCCTGGCGGCCCCACTCCCCTGGCTGTGGGCAACATGGCAAAGTCTTGATCGGGGGTGCAGGGTCGGGGGGGCGCTTCCTGGACCCTCCAACAGTGCTCAGAGATGCCTCAGGGATAGCTGTCGGCTGTGTCCCCACCTCCCGAGCAAGACAAGTGGATGCTCCCCGTCTCTTCAGTCCCAGTGCTCTGATGTTTTCTCCCGCGACTGTGAGTTTCTCAGGAGCCCCCCTCGTGCCCTGGGAGCGTCCCTCCCCAGTCTTAGTCCTCCACGAAGGACGCTGGTCAGCAGAACCTGTGACCCTGCTTCCCGAGGCCTATGGGTGGCCAGACATCCGCCTCGTCCTCACCTCCATTTGGACAGGACTCCGAGGGCTGTGCCATCTGCTTCAGCCCCTCCTGTCCCATTCCCACCCAGCCCAGGTCAGTGTGGCTGTGGCCACTGCCATGGGGCCTGCTTTGCACCTTACGCACGCCTGGCTCTGCTCCATGCACCTGCTTCTGTGTCTTTCCAACTCTGGGGGCTAAGGGGTGAGTCTTGTCTTTGCAGAGCTGGACGGCACAGCCTGTGGCCAGGAGGGTTATGCCAGCGAGGCGGGAATCCATAAGTGGGAACACCACAGTGGTCACGTTTCAGATACTCACAGCTCAGAGCGGGTCCCATAGCTTGCACCTGAAGCCCCAACTACTCAGGAGGCTGAGGCGGAAGGATTGCTTGAGCCCAGGAGGGCAAGGCCAGCCTGGGCAACGTGGCAAGACCCCATCTCTAAAAAAAATAAGTTCGGTGGGTGTGGGGCCAGTGCCTGTGGTCTGTTTTTTGGGAGGCTGAGGCAGGAGGATCGCTTGAGCCTAGGAGGTCAAGGCTGCAGTAAGCCGTGATCCCACCACTGCACTGCAGCCTGGGCAACAGAGCAAGACTGTCTCTAAAATAACAATAATAATAAAATACCTGGGGTTCAGAAAAGAAAAGCTGGAAGGCAAAGCCGACCGCACTGGGCAGAGGTGGAGATGGCAAGTCTGGGGGCTCCCTCATCTTCCCCTGCCCCGAGCCCTCAGGTGGCCTCCACCTGGTCCCCAGCGAAGTCCCAGTTGTGCAAGAGCACCCCAGCTGGGCCCTGGGCCATCACAGCCTTGTCACACACACAGCCTGGCCCATCACAGCAGAGCTGGGGTCACAGCCTTGGGCTGCTGGGCCGTGGGCGGATGGCCTGGACCATCCACACCCCACTCCCCTGGAAGTCACCAACTGGGCTTAGTTGCCGGATACCCCAGGCAGCCCCCCGCGGTGCTTCGCAAGTTGGGCCGCCTCCCCCAGCATGTCCCCTGCTCTGTGGACACCCAGGGATGTGGAGGTAGTAGCACAGAGTCTCGGTCCAGGGCCCTGTTCCCCAGGGAGCTGGGCGTCCTCAGAGCCTTCCCAAATGCCCACACCGGGGGCACCCGGGTTTCCCCAAACACTCCAGGACAGAGCGGGGGCTTTGATCACAGGGAGGGGGCTGCAGAGCTGCTGTGTCTCCTGGCTCCTCTGCCCCATGCTCCCCACTCAGGGCTCCAGCAGTGGGCTCAGAGGACAGTGTGGCATTAGCATCCCCTGCCCGTCCAGGTTGTCACTCTCCTTGGCCCCTTGCTGCTCCCCAGTGGAAAAAAAAGGGGGAAATAAAGAATCGTAAAAAATACATATATTGGAACCTGTATGTTTTGTGATCTTCGCAACATTTCTCTGTAAACTCTCCTTCTTTAGGTTTTTGACAAAACCTGAATGCAGAAGTGGTCTCCTCCCCAGTCACCCGTCCAGCCCCCGTGGGCTGTCCCCAGGTGTCCCTGGCTCTTCATCCCCACAATCCTGTCCCTGCCTGTGCTGCCTCCAACACACGCGCCCCAGGCTTTGTGCCTGTGGTTCCATTTTGGTCCTTCACGAAGTATTTCTCCAACCGAGAAGCTGCTGGGATCTCTGTGGTTGGTGGCCCCGAGCGGCCCCACTCCTCTCAAGGATGATACCAGTGGGGCCGTTGTAGGCAGGCTCCATGCTGCGGGCTGGGCAGGCGCGGTCGTCCCCATCCTCCCCATGGGACTTGTGTTACTGTCCCCGTGTCCCAGATGGGGCATCTCAGGAGCAGAGCCAGCGTCCCCCCTCCTCTCCCCAATGAGCAACACCGGCTGAAGGCCACAGCCTTGAAAGGGACAGGGGCCTCACTCTCCAGGGCTGTCCCTACTTCAAGGGACAAAATGTTTTGTGAAACTCAGTTCGATTCTGAGATTAATGGCCAGCTTGCGGGTGGTTTGAGCCCTGGGCTGGAAGGCAGGAGGTCTGGGTTCAAGTCTCCAGGTAGACAGGGCCCAGGGATGAGTTCCAGCATGGGCTAGGGGCCAGGGTGCTGCCCACGTGGCTCCCTGGGGAACTGGGCTCCCTGTGGCCATGCAGAGAGCTTTCTGGCTTTTCCAGGCTGCACCAGACCGGTGTGATGCTCTCCTCTTCAGACCCCAGACTGCCCTTGTGTGTTCCCTCTTGCCCCATCCTCAGCTCAGGAGGTCAGGGAGACGGAGCTCTGTCCCAAAGGCCATCCTGTGCCCCCGGCCACCTCTCATCGTTGGTTTGCGGATGGGCTGGTGACCTATTTTGGAGCACCTACATCAGTGCCGTCCTCCAGTCTGACTCGGTTTGAACGATTAGAGAATTTTATTTTTCCCTGAACTTGAAATTGGGAGGAGGGAATGCTGTCGGCACGTGGAGGTGCTTGGAGTGGGGCCTGCCAACCCGGAGGACGCTACGGCTGTGATGAAGGCTACCCCACTACATCGTCCAAGCACCTCCAACCCAGTTTACGGTGGGGTCCGGACCTGCCCCTGAACTTGGCGGTTATGTGAGCCTATAAATTCCCAGTTATTATTTATGTTTTTATTGGCTGGGCACAGTGGCTCACACCTGTAATTCCAGCACTTTGGGAGGCTGAGGCAGGCAGATCACTTGAGGCCAGAAGTTCAAGACCAGCCTGGCCAATATGAGGAAACCCCGTCTCTACTAAAAAATACAAACATTTAGTCAGACGTGGTGGCCCTTGCCTTAGTCGGTGTGAGAACTGACTAATGCAATTAGTGAGACTATATTATGAACCTTTATAGTGTTAGAAATAAATTTTCGGTGCCACAAAAGAAACAGCACTCGAACATTAATTTTCTCAGCACGGCAATTTTACTTCTATAGAAGGGTGCGTCTGGCAGGTGGAGCCCAGCGCCGCGCTGCGGGGCCTGCTGGGACTTGTAGTTCACAGGCTCAGGGTGCGCAGGCGCAATGCCGAGTTTGCCTCTGCGCGAGTCGGGGTTGGCGGCGCCTGAACGAGCACACCTGAACGAGGGAGGAGAAGGGGTTCTTACCCCTGACGCAGGTACCCCTACTGCTGTGTTGTTCCCCTATTGGCTAGGGTTGGCCCGCACAGTCTAAGCTGATTCTGATTGGCTGTTTTAAAGAGCAGGGGTATGAGCCAGAGTGGCGGGGTGAGTAGTTTGGCAGGAAGGACGGCTACAGAAAAGGTGACTCAGAATGACTAAGAACAGAGCAGGTGACCAAGGATAACTAAGGTCAGAGCAGGTGACAAGGGTGACTAAGAACAGAGCAGGTGACCAAGGATAACTAAGGTCAGAGCAGGTGACAAGGGTGACTAAGAACAGAGCAGGTGACCAAGGATAACTAAGGTCAGAGCAGGTGACCAAGGATAACTAAGGTCAGAGCAGGTGACCAAGGATGACTAAGGTCAGAGCAGGTGACAAGGGTGACTAAGAACAGAGCAGGTGACCAAGGATAACTAAGGTCAGAGCAGGTGACCAAGGATAACTAAGGTCAGAGCAGGTGACCAAGGATGACTAAGGTCAGAGCAGGTGACAAGGGTGACTAAGGTCAGAGCAGGTGACCAAGGATGACTAAGGTCAGAGCAGGTGACAAGGGTGACTAAGAACAGAGCAGGTGACCAAGGATAACTAAGGTCAGAGCAGGTGACAAGGGTGACTAAGGTCAGAGCAGGTGACCAAGGATAACTAAGGTCAGAGCAGGTGACCAAGGATGACTAAGGTCAGAGCAGGTGACAAGGGTGACTAAGAACAGAGCAGGTGACCAAGGATAACTAAGGTCAGAGCAGGTGACAAGGGTGACTAAGAACAGAGCAGGTGACCAAGGATGACTAAGGTCAGAGCAGGTGACCAAGGATAACTAAGGTCAGAGCAGGTGACAAGGGTGACTAAGAACAGAGCAGGTGACCAAGGATAACTAAGGTCAGAGCAGGTGACAAGGGTGACTAAGAACAGAGCAGGTGACCAAGGATAACTAAGGTCAGAGCAGGTGACAAGGATGACTAAGGTCAGAGCAGGTGACCAAGGATGACTAAGGTCAGAGCAGGTGACCAAGGATGACTAAGGTCAGAGCAGGTGACAAGGATGACTAAGGTCAGAGCAGGTGACCAAGGATGACTAAGGTCAGAGCAGGTGACCAAGGGTGACTAAGGTCAGAGCAGGTGATAGGGGCTAGGAGGGGTTGTTTACTGAAACTAGGGGCAAGGAAACGAAAAGAACGAGGAAGTTAAAGTTTAAAATGAAGAACAAAGAATAGGTGGCCGGGCGCGGTGGCTCACGCCTGTAATCCCAGCACTTTGGGAGGCTGAGGCAGGCGGATCACGAGGTCAGGAGATCGAGACCATCCTGGCTAACACGGTGAAACTCCGTCTCTACTAAAAATACAAAAAAATTAGCCGGGCGTGGTGGCGGGCGCCTGTGGTCCCAGCTGCTTGGGAGGCTGAGGCAGGAGAATGGCGTGAACCTGGGAGGCGGAGCTTGCAGTGAGCCGAGATCGCGCCGCTGCACTCCAGCCTGGGCGACAGAGCGAGACTCCATCTCAAAAAAAAAAAAAAAAAGAACAGGGGAGCTGAATATACGGAAACATTGGTTCTTTGGAGAGGAGCTCATAACTGATTGTACTTAACAATTTACAGGCTAAAACCTTTGAAGAGGAATTTGTTGTATCCTACAACAGTATATTAATTATAGTAGTTTTACTATTTTAATTTCTCATAAATAACAATCAGTAGAATATTAAATAAATATTTAAACAATAATTTAATTTGGCTGGGCGTGGTGGCTCACGCCTGTAATCCCAGCACTTTGGGAGGCCAAGGCGGGCAGATCACTGGAAGTCAGGAGTTCGAGACCAGCCTGGCCAACATGGTGAAACCGCGTCGCTACCAAAAATATAAAAAATTAGCCGAGTGTGGTTGTGCACGCCCGTAATCCCAGCTACTTGGGAGACTGAGGCAGGATAATCGCTTGAACCCGAGGGGGCGGAGGTTTCAGTGACCTGAGATCATGCCATTGCACTCCAGCCTGGGCGACAAGAGCGAAACTCAGTCTCAAAAACAAACAACAATTACTTAAGCAATCATTTTAATAAGTATGTAATACATTATACGTTTATATAACTTGCTTAATAAATAATAGTAGTTATTAATATCCAATGGCAAGCCGCCGGGAAACGACGGAGCTGGGATTTGAGGATTGGCTCCGCGAACCCCACAACACCCGGGGACTCCAGCGAACCACACGGGGTGGATCCAACAGCCGCAGGGGCATCGTGGTCCTGCGGAGACGCCGCCCGCCCGGAGGCGGCGCTGTGACCCAGGTTGGAGAGTCAGGAGCCCAGCGCCGCGCTGCGGGGCCTGCTGGGACTTGTAGTTCGCAGGTTCGGGGTGCGCAGGCGCAGTGCCGAGTTTACCTCTGCGCGCGTCGGGGTTGGTGGCGGCGGCTGCGGCGAGTTCCTGAGGGGCGCCTGCGGGGGGCGTCCGCTCCGAGCGCCGAGGAGCCGAGCGGAGGAGGCGTCCCAGGGACACGCAGGGGAGGCCGGCCGGCCTGCACGGGGCGCTCCCGCCTCGGGGGCCCTGTCTGGCGCCTCAGCGCGCGCCCCGATGGTCACCTGCGCCCACCTGGGCCGGCGCGCGCGGCTCCCGGCAGCTCAGCCGTAAGTGCCGCCGCCTCCCGCGCCGCGACCTCCGTGCCGGGCCTGCCGGGGCTCTGGTGGGGCTGGGTCTGGCGGGGCCGGGTGGCCGGGGCATGACCCTGTCGCGATAGGGTCCCCACGGGAGGGTCGGGAGCCGGCAGCTCGCCCAGGGCCCCAACGCCCAGGATGGCACGGTCTGCCCTTGCCCTGTGAAAACGCCCCTGGGTGAGAGACGCATAAGCTTTCCGAGGCCCAGCCTGCAAGGAGAGGGAGAAGACGCATTGACTCTACCCTAAAGGCAGAGAGGGGCTGCCACGCTCGCACTGCAGTGAGGCCACATCAGAGGGTCTGAGCGAGGGGCGGTCCTGCCCTCCAGGGGACACCGGGCGATGTCTGGGGACGTCTGTGGTTGTCATAACTGGGGGCAGTTCCTGGCATGGAGTAGGTGGAGGCCAGGGATGCAACTCAGCACCCTGCCCAGCCCAGAGAATGACCCAGGCTCCAGTGTCCACAGCGCCCTGAGGGAGAGACCTCACTTATACGTTAGCACCGCTGTCCTGGTGATAAGACAGCAAGGGTCCTTTTTTTTTTTTTTTTGAGACGGAGTCTGGAGTGCAATGGCATGATCTCGGCTCACTGCAACCTCCGCCTCCCGGGTTCAAGCCATTGTCCTGCCTCAGCCTCCCAAGTAGCTGGGATTACAGGCGTATGCCACCACGCCCGGCTAATTTTTGCATTTTTAGTAGAGACGGGGTTTCACCATGTTGGCCAGGCTGGTCTCGAACTCCCACCTCAGGTGATCCACCCGCCTCAGCCTCCCAAAGTGCTGGGATTACAGGCGTGAGCCACCGCGCAGCTGCAAGGGTCTATTCTGTTTATACCCACCACCCATGTTGAGGAATGAGGGAGGCAGCTGACCTTTCTGCTGCTCTAGCAACCCCAACCTCCCTGAACTCTCCCCTACCCAAACAGGTTGGTTTCTTTTTCTTCTTCTTTTTTTTTTCTTGAGACAGTCTCGCCCTATTGCCCAGGCTGGAGTGCAGTTGCACGATCTCGGCTCACTGCATCCACCTCGTGGGTTCAAGTGATTCTCCTGCCTCAGCCTCCCAAGTAGCTGGGATTACAGGTGCACGCCACCCCGCCTGGCTAATTTTTATATTTTTAGTAGATACAGAGTTTCTCCATGTTGGCCAGCCAGGCTGGTATCGAACTCCTGACCTCAGGTGATCCACCTACCTCGGCCTCCCAAAGTGACCACTGCGCCCGGCGCCTTTGGTTCTTACATGAGCCTCCTGGAGCTGCTGTGACAATGCACCACAAACCAGGGGGCAGGGGGAGGCTTGAAATTTATTCTCTCACAAGTCTGGAGGCCAGAAGCCCAACATGAAGATGTGGTGGGGCCGTGGTGCTTCTGAAGGCTCTGGCGGGAGGATCTTCTCTGTCTCTTCCAGCTTCTGGGGGTGGCCTGCCATAGTTGGTGTCCCTTGGCTTGGGGCCACATCACTCCAAGCTCTGCCTGCATCATCATGTGGCCTTCTTCCCTGTGTCTCTTTCTCCTTTTTTGTTTTTATTTTTATTTTTTGAGATGGGGTCTCGGTCTGTCACCTGGCTGGAGTGCAGTGGCACGATCTCGGCTCACTGCAATCTCTACCCCACAGGATCAAGCAATTCTGCCTCAGCCTCTCGAGTAGCTGGGATTACAGGTGCACGCCACCACACCCAGCTAATTTTTGTATTTTTAGTAGAGACGGGGGTTTTGCCATGTTGGCCAGGCTGGTCTCGAACTCCTGACCTCGTGGTCTGCCCGCCTTGGCCTTTCAAAATGCTGGGATTACAGACGTGAGTCACCTAGTCCAGCTGTCTCTTTCTCTTATAAGGACAATACTCATGACCCCAGTAGCTGGAAGAGGCGGAAGGATTTTTCCTGAGAGCTTTTGTTTCTTCTTTTCCTTATCTTTTCTTTTTGAGATAGAGTCTTGCTCCATTGCCCAGGCTGGAGTGCAGTGGCACAGTCTTGGCTCACTGTAACCCCTGTCTCCCAGGTTCAAATAATTATCGTGCCTCAGCCTCCTGAGTAGCTGGGTTTACAGGGATGTGCCACCACACCTGGCTATTTTTTTTGTATTTTTAGTAGACGAGGTTTCACCATGTTGGCCAGGCTGGTCTTGAACCCCTGGGCTCAAGTGATCCTCGCGCCTCAGCCTCCCAAAGTGCTGGGATTACAAGTATGAGCCACCATACCCGAGCTTTTCCCTAGAGCCTTCAGAGGGAGTACAGCCCTGCCCACACCTTGATCTCAGACTTCCAGAACTGGGAAAGGATATATTCCTGTTATTTTAAGCCCCCGGGTTACTGGCACCTTGTGAAAACAGCCTCAGGAAATGCATGGAGCGCTTCACTTCCTAATGGAGCCTGGGTGTTTTGTAAACTTGTTTGCTTCCAAGGGCCTCAGGACCTTCATCCATAAAATGGGGCCTTTAAGACCCCTGGCCATGGATGTGTGTGGCGTCTCACACCTTTAATCCCAGAATTTAGGGAGGCTGAGGAAGGTGGATCCCTTGAGCCCAGGAGCTATAGACCTGGGACAACATAGCAAGGCCCCGTCTCTACAGAAAATACAAAAAATTAGCCGGACATGGTGGTGCCTGTAGTTCCAGCCACAGGCTGAGGTAGGAGGATAGCTTGAGCCCAGGAGGTTGAAGCTGCCATGAGATGAGCTATGATTGCACCACTGCACTGCAGCCTGGGCAACGGAGGGAGACCCTATCTCTTAAAAAACACAAACCCTGGCTTCAGTCCTGGGTTCTGGCTTCAGTTTACCTCCCTCTGTGTATGGGGGGCCCCTTCAAGCAAATGGAGGTTCTCCAGGCCAAGGGCTCTGGGATCTGGGGACTGGCCTGGATCTGGTATTCGCAGCGCCTTTTTCCTCCCCACAGCTCTGCCTGCCCAGGAACCTGCTTTTCCCAAGAGGAGAGAATGGCTGCTGGGTACCTGCCCCGCTGGTCCCAGGTGAGATGTCCTCATTCTCCCAAAGGGCACCCAGTATATCCAGAGGGAACAATCCCACCAGAAACTCAGTCCTCGATAGAGGAGACCCCTTGCTATGTGAAAGTTCAGGAGAATTCCCCAGGAGTGGTGTGTGGGATGAGGTACTCCTGCTGCTCCCAGGTGTAAAGAGTGACCCTCAGTATTGGGACTGAGCACAGCCTCTCCCTAGGAGACAGTATTACGGGATCCCTGGGGTGTCAGTTTTTCTGGCTGGAAACCTCTGTGGCTGTGGTACCTTTGCCCAAGTTCTTGTCCTGCATCCAAGAAGAATGAGGTATACAGACAAGTGAAGGGTGAAGAAGAGTTGTATTTACTGTTAGAGCAGCTCAGAGGATTGAGCAGCTCCTCCCTGTTGGCAGGTTGTCTGGTCGAGTGTTCAGCTCTCAGCAGAGAGGAGGCCTAGGAGAGGGTGGCTCCTCTCCACAGGCAAGTCATTCGGACGTCTCTGCAGGTCTCTGAAGCTCTCAGCAGGGACGGTAGCTCCTCTCTGAAGCTCTCAGCAGGGATGGTAGCTCTTCTCTGCCGGCAGATCATCTCTGCAGCCTTCAGTGGAGAGGGTACTCCTCTCTGCAGCTGGTCGTCCGGTCCCATCCTGTCATCTGTCTGCCTTCTTTGTCCTCTGGCCGTCCTCTGCCCTGCTAAGCCTGAGCCCAGGGCTTTTACGGACCTCAGAGGGGAGGAAGTGTGTGCCGACTGGTTCATGGGCGGCCATGGGAGGGTCGAAAGAGGCACCATGAGTCCCCACTCTGGTCTGTAGGACTGGCAGCCTGGCCCCCAGTCTTCAGGCCCTCCCTGGCCTGAAGGTGGGGCCTTACTGGGGACCCACCCCCTTCTGCCCAGGAATTAATCTGCCTCCTGCTGCCATTCACGGCCCTAGGACTTGGCCCAAACCCCACTCTGAGAGAGGCCAGGCAGTGGGAGCAGACACCCCTGAACCTGCAGGGACTAGGGAGTCCTTCCTGAGACTCCTGAGGGTGCAGGTTGCAGAGATGCCTGGGTCCTGCGCCTGGGAGGACAGCCACGGCTGCACCCAGGAGCTCCTGCCTCGCCCACTTGGAGGAGGCAGGGCTCTCACTTGTCTCCAGCTCCTGCCTGCTTCCTGGAGTGCGAGGCCCAGGTCTGCAGCTGCGGGTCTGGCAGCTTCAGCTGCACCCAGGAGGGCAGATCCTGCCTCTTCTCAGTTCCCCCAAGAGCACAGGGAGGCTCGAATCCACAGCTACAGGAGGACGGGGCTCCCACTAGCTCCATGGAGTGTGCAGCCCCGGTGGCACCTCCCTGCTGCTGCTGACATGATGGCATCAGCCACTGCCATCAACAGGTGGGATCCAGCACCTTCCCCTGGAGAGCAGGCAGTGCTGCCCAGGAAGGCATCCTCCTCTTTACCTGAAAGAATATTTCTGTAACTGTGATAAAACACACATGAAATACATATGAACTTTACCATCTTAGCCGTTGATAAAACACACATGAAATACATATGAACTTTACCGTCTTAGCTGTTGATAAAACACACATGAAATACATATGAACTTTACCATCTTAGCCGTTGATGAAACACATGAAATACATATGAACTTTACCGTCTTAGCCGTTTTCAAGTGCACAGCTCAATGGCATTAAGTTGGACAACCATCACCACCCTCCTCTCTAGAACTTCCTCCTCTTCCCAAACTGAAGCTCTGTCCCCATGAGACACTCATTCCCTGTCCCCCTCCCCAGCCCCTGGTACCCCCCATCCTACTTTCTGTCTCTCTGAATCTGACAACTCTAGGGACCTCCTAGGAGTGGAACCACACAGGCTTTGTCCTTCTGTGTCTGGCTTCTCTCACTGAGCATAACGTGATTGCAGTTGTTTTTTTTTTTTTTTTTTTTTTTTTTTGAGACAAGGTCTTGCTCTGTTGCACAGGTTGGAGTGCAGTGGCGCGATCTTGGCTCACTGCAACCTCTGCCGCCCAAGCTCAAGCTATTCTTGTGTCTCAGCCTCCCAAGTAGTTGGGATTATGGGCATGTGCCACCATACCCAGCCAATTTTTGTATTATTAGTAGAGACGGGGTTTCACCATGTTGGCCCAGGCTGGCTGTGAACTCCTGGGTTCAGGTGATCCACCCACCTTGGCCTCCCAAAGTGCTGGGATTACAGGTGTGAGCCACCACGTCCGCCCTCTGCAGTTTTATTTAAGACAGAGTTTCGCTCTGTTGCCCAAGCTGAAGTGCAGTGGCACAATCTCAGCTCACGCTGAGATCCCACCTCCCGGGTTCAAGCGATTCTCCTGCCTCAGCCTCCCAAGTAGCTGAGATTACGGCACTCGCCACCATGCCTGGCTAATTTTTGTATTTTTAGTAGAGACAGGGTTTCACCATGTTGGCCAGGCTGGACTTGAACTCCTGGCCTCAAAGGCCAAAGTGCTGGGATTATAGGCACATCCTGGAGTGGGATTTTTAAAATATTTTAAAAATTTTTTGTAGAAACTGGGTGTCACTGTGTTGCTCAGTCTGGTCTTGAACTCCTGGGCTCAAACAGAGTCTTCCCAGCTTGGCTTCCCAAAGGGCTGGGATTACCAGTGTGAGCAAAGTCGGAAGAGTTTGTTTTTTTTTTCCAGGATGCAACTGAAGAGGGAGAGGTGAAGGCATAAGACAGGGGTGGACTGAAGCGAGTCCATACAGGGCCCTTAAGGCTGGGATTGAAAGCTCAGGGTGCCTCCTGTATGCCTATGGTTCAGGTGCTAGAAGTGGTTCTACATCTTTTCTTTCTTTCTTTCTTTTTTTGAGATGGAGTTTCACTCTTGTTGCCCAGGCTGGAGTGCAGTGGCGTGATCTTGGTTCACTGCAACCTCTGCCTCCCAGGTTCAAGCAATGCTCCTGCCTCAGCCTCCCGAGTAGCTGCAATTACAGGCACCCGTCACCACGCTTGACTAATTTTGTATTTTTGGTAGAGACGGGGTTTCTCCATATTGGTCAGGCTGGTCTCGAACTCCCAACCTCAGGTGATCCGCCTGCCTCGGCCTCCCAAAGTGCTGGGATTACAGGTGTGAGCCACCGTGCCCAGCCAGTAACTTTTTTTTTTTTTTTTTGAAATGGAGTCTTGCTTTGTCACCCAGGCTGGATTGCCGTGGCACAATCTCCGCTCACTGCAACCTCTGCCTCCCGGTTCAAGCGATTCTCCTGCCTCAGCCTCCTGAGTAGCTGGGACTACAGGTACGTGCCACCACGATTGGCTGATTTTTGTATTTGTAGTAGAGATGGGGTTTCACTATGTTGGCCAGGCTGGTCTTGAACTCCTGACCTTGTGATTCACCTGCCTCAGCCTCCCAAAGTGCTAGGATTACAGGCATGCGTCACAGTGCCCAGCCAACTTTTACATCTTACAGCAGATACCAGCTTACGTGCTGTTTTATACCATGGATTACCTGGATAGCCATTCAGGCCCTAAACACTCATCAGCCCCTTCATATGTTGAAACAACAAAGCTTTTGCCATATTTCAGTGGGTCAAGGTTGTTGTAGCAGATTCCTCTTTTTTTTTTTTTTTGAGATGGAGTCTCGCTCTGTCGCCCAGGCTGGAGTGCAGTGGCGTGATCTCGGCTCACTGCAAACTCCACCTCCTGGGTTCATGCCATTCTCATGCCTCAGCCTCCCGAGTAGCTAGGACTACAGGCGCCCGCCATCATGCCCGGCTAATTTTTTTGTATTTTTAGTAGAGACGGGGTTTCACTGCGTTCGCCAGGATGGTCTCGATCTCCTGACGTCGTGATCCACCCGCCTCGGCCTCTCAAAGTGCTGGGATTACAGGTGTGAGCCACTGCGACTGGCTGCAGATTCCTCTTCTTACATTGTCCATGCCTTGTAATGTGTAACTCTGAGTCATGGAAGCAAAGAGAACTAATCTCTAATAACTGTGAGTTTTGAGGAAGGTCCTGTTCCATCCTGCTTTTTGTTGGGTATTGCTTCTCAGTCTTCTGACTATGGCAATAGCAAATGCTGTGACTGATATTAACTAGTTAGTCCTCACGACAACACACTTTGGATAAAATTCTTCTTTCCATTGAACAGATGAGGAGGCTGTGTCCTGGATAGGTCAGCAATATACCTGCAGTCCCATAACTTGCAAGTGGCATATCCATGACATCCATTCATTTTCAGAATCAGCAGGGGGAGATTCTCACATGGGAATGTCAGGCTCAGAGATCCAGAGGTTAGAATCACCAGTTCAATAAGAAATGGGCAAAATGTTTCATCCAGACCTGTGTGCTGGTCGTCCTTGTTGTGTTGATGGTGGGCCTAGGGTCTGTATGTCCCTCTGATTTTAAGCCAAGGACAAGCACCCACAAGGCAGCTAGTAGAAACTGACTTATGGACTTTGCACCTTGACCTTTCTCAACTTCCCTGGTGCCACCAACCTCACCCCTCCTCCCATGAACGTGGGTGGCGATGGACCCATCTTGAGCAGAACTGCTGTGATATTCTAGGAATTAGTAACCTTTGAGGACGTGTCCATGGACTTCTCCCAGGAGGAGTGGGAGTTGCTGGAGCCTGCTCAGAAGAACCTGTACAGAGAGGTGATGCTGGAGAACTACAGGAACGTGGTCTCCCTGGGTAAGGCAAGCATCACTAATTCCTGTGTTCATTGATTCACATTTATCTGGTGTATTAGTCTGTTCTCACACTGCTAATAAAGAAATACCCAAGACTGGGTAATTTGTAAAGGAAAGGGGGTTTAATGGACTCAGTTCCACATGGCCGGGGAGGGCTCACAATCATGGTGGAAGGCGAATGAGGAACAAAGTCACATCTTACGTGGCGGTAGGCAAGAGAGCTTGTGCAGGGGAACTCCCATTTGTAAAACCGTCAGATCTCGTGAGACTTATTCATTACCACGAGAACAGTATGGGGAAAACCACCTCCGCCATGATTCAGTTATCTCCCCCTGGCTCCACCCTTGACGTCGGGATTATTACAATTCAAGGTGAGATTTGGATGGCAACACAGCCAAACCATGTCATCTAGCATCTACTATGTGTCTGGCACCATGCTGGGAATGGGGGATTCATTGGTAAGTAAGACAGACATGGGTCCTGGTTTTGTGGCTTTCGTGGTCTGGTTTCTCTGAGAACAGATGACCTTACTTGTTCAGTACGTGATAGCTGGAGCTGCAGTGCAATTGCATGTCTCAGCTCAGGCATAGATAACTTCTCTGATTCCCCTTGGGAACAAAGTCAGAGTGTCTTAGTCCGTTTCACACTGCTATAAAGAGTACCACCTAGGCTGGGTGTGGTGGCTCATGCCTGTTATCCAAGCACTTAGGGATCACAAGGGTGATCACCTGAGGTCAGGAGTTCAAGACCAGCCTGGCCACTGTGGTGAAACCCTGTCTCTACTAAAAATGGCGGGCACCTGTAATCCCAGCTACTCAGGAGGCTGAGGCAGGAGACTTGCTTGAACACGGGAGGCAGAGGTTGCAGGGTTGCAGTGAGCCAAGATTGCACCACTGCACTCCAGCCTGGGTGACAGAGCAAGACTCCGTCTCAAGAAAAAAAAAAAAAAAGCAAGAAAAGAGGTTTAATGGAGTCACAGTTCCACATGGCTCGGGAGGCCTCAGGACACTTACAATCACGGCAGAAGGGGAAGCAGGCACCTTCTTCAAAAGGCAGCAAGAGAGGGAAGAGAGCAGGGGAAACCTTATAAAACCATCAGATCTCATGAGAACTCACTATCACGAGAACAGCATGGGGGAACTGCCCCCATGATCTCATCACCTCCCATCAGGTACCTCCCTTGACACGTGGGGATTACGATTGGAGATTACAATTCGAGGTGAGATTTGGGTCGGGAGACAGCTCAACCATATCACAGAGCATTTGTACTCTTTCTGCCAAGGTAAAGAGCCATCATTAAAAAAAAAAATGTTTTTACTGTGATAAAAAATGTAGGCTGGGCGTGGTGGTTCATGTCTGTAATCCCAGCACTTCAGGAGGCCAAGGTGGGTGGATCACTTGAGGCCAGGAGTTTGAGACCAGCCTGACCAATGTGGCAAAACCCCATCTCTACTAAAAATACAAAAATTAGCTGGGCATGGTGATAGACGTCTGTAATCCCAGCTACTTGGGAGGTCGAGGCATGAGAATCGCTTGAACCTGAGAGGCAGAGGTTGCAGTGAGCCAAGATCGTACCACTGGACTCCAGCCTGGGCGACAGAGCGAGACTCTGTCTCAAAAAATATATATACAGCAGTGGCTCACGCCTGTAATCCCAGCACTCTGGGAGGCCAAGGCGGGGTAGATCACCTGAGAGACCAGCTTGACCAACATGGAGAAACCTTGTCTCTACTAAAAATACAAAATTAGCCAGGCGTGGTGGCGCATGCCTGTAATCCCAGCTACTCAGGAGGCTGAGGCAGGAGAATCGCTTGAACCCAGGAGGTGGAGGTTGCGGTAAGCTGAGATCGTGCCACTGGACTCCAGCCTGGGCAACAAGAGCAAAACTCCCTGTCAAAAAAATAAAAAAAGTATATATACATATATATATGCACACACGTATCTATCTATATATCTCTATATAAACATAAAATGTGCCTTTTTCACCCCTTTTAAGTGTGCAGTTCAGTGGCACTAAATGCATTCAGCATGTACTACAGCCACCACAACTGTCCATTTCCAGAACTTTTATCCTCAACCAAAACTCTGTACCCGTTAAATTCTCCCTCCCCAGCCCCTCCTTCAGCCCCTTGTAACCATGAGTCACTCTCCATCTCTATGGATTTGCCTACCCTGGACATTTCTTTTCTTTTCTTTTTTTGAGACGGAGTCTCGCTCTGTCGCCCAGGCTGGAGTGCAGTGGCGTGATCTTGGCTCACTGCAAGCTCCGCCTCCTGGGTTCACGCCATTCTCCTGCCTCAGCCTCCGGAGTAGCTGGGACTACAGGCGCCCGCCACCATGCCCGGCTAATTTTTTAATAATTTTTTGTATTTTTAGTAGAGATGGGATTTCACTGTGTTAGCCAGGATGGTCTCAATCTCCTGACCTTGTGATCTGCCCACCTCGGCCTCCCAGAGTGCTGGGATTACAGGCAGGAGTCACCGTGCCCGGCAGACATTTCATATAAATGGAATCATATAATATGTGGCCTTTTGTGTCTGGCTGATTTCACTGGGTGTGATGTTTTCAGTGTTCATTTACATTGTAGCCTGTGTCAGTGCTTTGTTCATAGATGAAGAAGATTCCATCGTGTGTATACAACACGCTGTGTCCATCCATTCACCAGTTGATGGACGCCTGGGTTTCCACCTTTCCGCTGTTGTGAATCCTGTTGCTGTCAGCATTGGCAAACAAGTATCTGTTTCAGTCACTGTTTTCAGTGCTTTGGGTCAATACTAGGAGTAGAATTGCTGGATCATGCGGTAATTCTATGTTTAGAATTTAGCTTTTTCAGGAACTGCCATACTGGCTTTTCTTTTGTTTTTTTGTTTTGAGACAGAGTCTCACTTTGTTGCCCAGGCTGGAGTGCAGTGGCACTCTCTCAGGTCACTGCAACCTCTGCCTCCGCAGTTCAAGTGATTCTCATGCCTCAGCCTCCCAAGTAGCTGGAATTACAAGTGTGCACCACCACACCTGTTTTTGTATTTTTTTTTTTTTATGAGACGGAGTTTCGCTCTCGTTGCCCAGGCTGAAGTGCAGTGGTACAATCTAGGCTCACCACAACCTCCACCTCCCAGGTTCAAGCGATTCTCCTGCCTCAGCCTCCCCAGTAGCTGGGATTACAGGCATGCGCCACCACACCCGGCTACTGTTTTTGTATTTTTAATAGAGATGGATTTTTGCCATGTTGGCCAGGGTGGTGTTGAACTCATGACCTCTAGTGATCCACCTACTTCCGCTTCCCAAAGTGCTGGGATTACAGACGTGAGCCACTGTGCCCAGCCCCATACTGGGTTTTGTATCAGCATGTATATTTTCCATTCCCACCAGCAGTGCAGACTGTTGCAATTTCTCCACATCCTTGGCAACACTTACTATTTTTTATTATGGCCTTTCTAATATGTGTGAAGTGGTATCTCATTGCGGTTTTGATATGCATTCCCCTAATGACCAATGACATCGAGCATCCATTCCTGTGTTTATTGACCATTTGTGTATCGATTTTTGGGGGAAATGTAAGATCTGTAATTTTTTTTTTTTTTTTACTCTGTCGCCCATGCTGGAATGCAGTGCTGCAATCTCGGCTCACTGCAAGCCCTGCCTCCCGAGTTCATGTCATTCTCCCGCCTCAGCCTCCCAAGTAGCTGGGACTACAGGCGCCTGCCACCACACCCGGCTAATTTTTTGTATTTTTAGTAGAGACGGGGTTTCACCGTGTTAGCCAGGATGGTCTTGATCTCCTGACCTCATGATCCACCCGCCCTGCCCTCCCAAAGTGATGGGATTACAGGTGTGAGCCACTGCACCCGCCCTTTTTTTTTTTTTTTTTTTTTGAGACAGAGTCTCACTCTCATTGCCCAGCCTGGGGTGCAGTGGTGTGATCACAGCTCACTGCAGCCTTGACCTCCCCAGGGCTCAAGTGATCTTCCCACCTCAATCTCCCAGGTAGCTGGGACTATAGGCTTAGACCACCACACCTGGCTAGTTTTTTTGTTTGTTTGTTTTTGGTTTTTTTTTGGTAGGTCCGGGGTCTTGTCATGTTGCTCAGGCTGGTCTCAAACTCCTGTGTTCCAGTGATCACCTGCCTCTGGGCCTCCCAAAGTGTTGGGATTACAGGTGTGAGCCACCACGCCCAACCAGATCTGTAATTTTTTTTTTCTTTGAGACTGAGTCTTGCTCTGTTGCCCAGGCTGGAGTGCAATGCCACGACCTCGGCTCACTGCAACCTCTGCCTCCTGGGTTCAAGTGATTCTCCCACCTCAGCCTCCTGAGTAACTGGGGTTACAGGCATGCACCACCACGCCCAGCTAATTTTTGTATTTTTAGTAGAGATGGGGTTTTACCATGTTGGCCAGGCTGGTCTCAAACTCCTGACCTCAGGTGATCCGCCTGCCTCGGCCTCCCAAATTGCTGGGATTACAGGAGTGAGCCACCATGCCTGGCACAGATCTGTAATTTTTTAACTAGAAAATAAAATCATTATCTTGTGCTACCTCTCAAGTATACTCTTGTCTTTTTCAGAAGCCTTGAAGAACCAATGTACTGATGTGGGGATTAAAGAGGGTCCACTTTCCCCAGCACAAACCTCACAAGTCACTAGTCTTTCCTCATGGACGGGGTATTTACTTTTTCAACCAGTGGCTTCTTCCCACTTGGAGCAAAGAGAAGCCCTGTGGATAGAGGAAAAAGGAACTCCTCAAGCCTCCTGTTCAGGTGAGAATCAGGCAGATAGAAACCATTGGGATGGCAGTGGCATCGTGGGAAACATTGGTCAGAGAGCTCTTCACAAGGCCCTGATTCTGTAAGGAGAATGCCAAGATCCCTTTCTCGGACACCTTCAGTTCATTTTCTGGCAGCTTTCTCCTTCTCTTTACTACCTTACATGACCTCTCTCTGGATACAGAGAAAAGAGTATCTCATTTTCTTGTTTTATTTATTTATCTTAAGACAGGGTCTCACTCTGTGGCCCAGGCTGGAGTGCAGTGGCATGGTCATATCTCACTGCATCCTCACCTTCCTGGGCTCAAGTGATCCTCCTGCCTCAGTCTCCTGAGCAGCTGGGACTATAGGCACATGCCATCACTCCCACCTATTTTGTTTTTCTCAGAGATGGAGTCTCACTGTGTTTCCCAAGCTGGTCTTGAATTCTTGGACTCAAGTGATCCTCCTTTCTCAGCCTCCCAAAGTGTTGGGAGTACAGGCATCAGCCATGACTCCTGGCCCCATTTTCTTCTATTTTTTCCCCCCATTTTCTTCTTGAAGCCATTTTGCCTATGTTTCTAGTTGTCTCTTCCCTCTTTGCTTTCTTGATAATTCTTTCTCTCTGCCAGACATATTCTCCCAGCTTAACAGGGTAATTTCTTTCTTTTTTTTTGAAACAGTCTCGCTCTTGTTGCCCAGGCTACAGTGCAGTGGTGTGATCTCGGCTCACTGCAACCTCCACCTCCCAGGTTCAAGCGATTCTTCTGCCTCAGCCTCTTGAGTACAGGTGTGTGTGCCACCACGCCTAGCTAATTTTTGTATTTTTAATAGAGACAGGGTTTCACCATGTTGATCAGGCTCAAACTCCTGACCTCAGGTGATCCACCTGCCTCGGCCTCCCAAGGTGCTGGGATTACAGGCGTGAGCCACTGCACCTGGCCTACAGAGTAATTTCTTTCTGCATTGATATTTCCCTGCCTTTTCCCATCACTGTCAATCTTCCACTGCTGCATCTCATCCTCAGTGGCCTTCCTTGCCACCCATCTCTCTTTTTCCCATCCTTCCCGCATGTTCAGAGTTGATATTTGAACATCAGTCCGCACAGGCCTTGTAGATGTCAGAAGGACTTCTGTCCCGCTGGTTTTCAAGTAGCTGTTTCTTCTTCTAAAAAAATGGTTTCCGCCTCAATTTATTTCAGATTGGATGACTGTACTAAGAAACCAAGACTCAACTTACAAGAAGGTGGCTTTGCAGGAGGAACCAGCCAGTGGTATAAATATGATAAAGCTTATCAGAGAAGATGGGGGATGGAAGCAGTTAGAGGACAGCCATGAAGACCCCCAGGGGCTTTTGAGCCAAAAGGCATCCCTTCACGTAGTGGCCGTTCCTCAGGAGAAGGCTACTGCATGGCATGGATTTGGGGAAAATGGTAATCTGAGCCCAGCCCTTGTTTTATCACAGGGAAGCTCTAAAGGGAACCACTTGTGTGGCAGCGAGTTAGATATTACAAGCTTGGCATCCGATTCAGTCTTAAACCACCATCAGCTGGGATATGCAGATCGGAGACCTTGTGAAAGTAATGAATGTGGAAATGCCATCCGCCAGAACAGTCACTTTATTCAACACGGGGGGAAGATGTTTGTGTATTTGGAAAATGGGCAGTCATTGAACCACGGTATGGCCCTGACTATCCACAACAAAATCAACACGGCAGAGAAACCCTTTGAGTGCCACCAGTGTGGGAAGGTGTTCAACCGGAGGCATTCTTTGAGCGAACATCAAAGAATTCACACGGGGGAGAAACCCTACGAGTGTCAGGAGTGTGGGCGAGCCTTTACGCACAGCTCCACCCTCACGCGCCATCTGAGAACTCATACTGGAGAGAAGCCCTACGGGTGCGGTGAGTGCGGGAAAGCCTTCAACAGGATCTCATCGCTGACTCAGCATCAGAGGATTCACACCGGGGAAAAGCCCTATAAATGTGAAGACTGTGGGAAATCCTTCTGCCAGAGCTCTTACCTGATCTTGCACAAGAGGACACACACCGGAGAGAAGCCCTACGAATGCAGTGAATGTGGAAAGGCCTTCAGTGACCGTTCCTCTCTCAACCAGCACGAGCGAACTCACACGGGCGAGAACCCCTATGAATGTAAGCAGTGTGGGAGAGCCTTCAGCCAGAGGTCTTCCCTTGTGAGGCACGAGAGAACTCACACTGGAGAGAAACCCTACAGGTGTCAGGAATGTGGGAAAGCCTTCAGCCAGAGCTCATCCCTTGTCACACATCAGAAAACTCACAGCAGCCAGAAAACCTATAAAATCATTGACTGTGGGAAAGCGTTCTACCAGAACAGACATCTTATTGGATATTAGCAATTGCACGCTGCTTTGTAAGCCACTTTTTAGTACTCTGACACATACATGTGGTTATCTTTTGCCCTGTTGTGATGGATAATTTGAAAAGAAGTGGGTTTATGTCACCTTCTCACCTTCTTATAAGAAAGCTCTGAGAATGGGCATTTTTGTATTTTGTTGTTGTTGTTGAGATGGAGTCTGCCACCCAGGCTGGAGTCCAGTGGCGTGATCATACCTCACTGCAGCTTCAACTTCCTGGGCTCAAGTAATCCTCCCACCCCAGCCTCCCAGGTAGCTAGTACTATAGGTGTGCACCACCACGCCCAGCAAATTTTTAAATTTATTATAGAGTGGGAGGCAGGGTGCGGTGGCTCATGCCTATAATCCTAACACTTTAGGAGGCCGAGGCGGGTGGATCATGAGGTCAGGAGATCGAGACCATCCTGGCTAACACAGTGAAACCCTGTCTCTACTAAAAATACAAAAAAGTAGCCGGGCGTGGTGGTGGGCGCCTGTAGTCCCAACTACTCAGGAGGCTGAGGCAGGAGAATGGTGTGAACCCGGGAGGTGGAGCTTGCAGTGAGCCGAGATCGCACCACTGCACTCCAGCCTGGGAGACAGAGCGAGACTCCGTCTCAAAAAAAAAAAAAAAATTATAGAGTTGGGGTCTTGCTACATTGCCAAGACTGGTCTTGAACTCCTGGGGTCAAGCATCCTCCTGTCTTGGCCTCCCAAAGTGTTGGGATTAGAAGCATGAGCCGCTGTGCCCAGCCTGACGGGGCCTTTTAGTGGGAGGAGTTGCCATTACACTACGTCCAGTAAGCTCCAGACTTTCGGAAAAGATTGGTGGACGGGAATGCTGTCATGGATGGGATCTTGCCAAGAACCATCACGTGTTAATTTAGTTGCTTAAACAAAAGGTGTTCTGTTTCTTAACTACTTCTGTGTCTTTACTTTTTATTTCATTGTTCATTGTTTTTATTTTAATATTCTTTTCTGGGTTTATATGAGACGAGTTTTCACTCTGTTGCTGAGGCTGAAGTGCAGTGGCGTGATCATAGCTCCCTGTAGTCAGCCTTCATCTCCTGGACTCAAGCAATCCTCCCACCTCAGCCTCTCCGGTAGCTGGGACTACACATGTGCACCGCTACCACACCCAGCTAAATTTTTTTTTTGTATTTTTGTAGTGATGGGCTTTCACCAGGTTGCCCAGGCTGGTCTCAAACTCCTGAGCTCAAGCAATCCACCCACCTTGGCCTCCCAAAGTGCTGGTATTACAGGTGTGAGCCACCGTGCTGGTATTACGGGTGTGAGCCACTGTGCTGGGATTACGGGCGTGAGCTGCCCATGCTGGGATTACGGGTGTGAGCCACCGTGCTGGTATTACGGGTGTGAGCCACCGTGCTGGGATTACGGGCGTGAGCCACTGTGCTGGGATTACGGGCGCGAGCCACTGTGCTGGGATTACAGGTGTGAGCCACCCTGCTGGGATTATGGGTGCGAGCCGCCGTGCTGGGATTACAGGTGTGAACCACTGCTCCTGGCCTTTATTTCAGCATTCTGTTTCAGTGTTTCACATTGGCCACTTAGCTAGATCCGTTTGTCTTCTGCAGTACTGTGCTGATCCAGAGTATATGCTAAGACGGAAAGCGCTTTGGAGGTAAAGTTTAAAAAATACAAGGGCTTCAAAATAGTACTAGTAATTTGATCCATTCACAAAAGGACAAAGGCTGGACAGAGACGTGAAGAAATGAATCATTTACGCAATGATTGGGGTGTTCCAATTATGTGTGATTTTGTGTTTTCTGCCGTTTCATTTTGTATTGCCATAATCATTTTGACAATGAATACAAATCAAATAGCACCCAAAATTGTGAAGGATACGGAACCTCATTGATGAGTCAGGATAGACTGTGGGTACCTAGATGGTAGAGACATAGTATAGTAGACTTTGGGACATAGAGGGTGGAATGACCTTTGGTGGCCTGGGAAAAGTCCCGCCTGTGAGATGTCCCTAGCAAAATCAAGACCAGGAGTGCTGATGTGCATTATCGTCATGAACATGTATTGGATGCTTACTGTATACCAAGCACCAGCCAAGTACTTCCATGTGGTTCTTCATTTAGCCCTCACGACCCCATGAGATAATCACTATTCACATTCCATTTTACAGAAGACAAAACGGAAATAATTTGCTCAAGGTCACACAATTAGAAAGGAGTAGAATCTGGGCTGGGCACAGTGGCTCACACCTGTGATCCCAGCACTTTGAGAGGCTGAGGTGGGTGGATCACTTGAGGTCAGGAGTTCGAGACCAGCCTGGCCAACATGGTGAAGCCCCATGTCTACCAAAAAATACAAAAATTAGGGAGGCCGAGATGGGCGGATCACCTGAGGTCAGGAGTTCGAGACCAGCCTGACCAACATGGAGAAACCGCATCTCTACTAAACATACAAAATTAGCCGGCATGGTGGTGCATGCCCGTAATCCCAGCTACTCGGAGGCTGAGGCAGGAGAATCGCTTGAACCCGGGAGGTGGAGGTTGCTGTGAGCTGGGACAGTACCATTACACTCCAGCTCTGGGCAACAAGAGTGAAACTCTGTCTCAAAAAAAAAAAAAAAAAAAAATCTGGGCGTCGTGGTGCACGCCTCTAGGCCCAGCTATTCAGGAGGCTGTGGCATGAGAATAGCTGATGTTTCAGTGAGCCGAGATGGTGCCATTGCACTCTAGCCTGGGTGACAGTGAGACTCTGTCTCAAAAAAAAAAAAAAAAAGTAGTGGACTCTGGATTTGACCTTGAGCACCCTGTACAAAGCCACACCTCATTTGCCAGGCCACCAAGCAGGGGAACTGTTTTCCAAATGTTCTCTTGGAAAGCTGGGTGTAGTGGCTCACAACTGCAATCCCAGTATTTTGGGAGCCTGAGGTGGGAGGATCACTTGAGCCCAGGTGTTCAAAACCAGCCTGGGCAACATTGACCCTGTCTCTGCAAAAAATACAAACATTAGCCAGGCATGGTGGCTCACGCCTGTAGTCCCAGCTACTCTGGGGGCTGAGGTGGAAGGACCGCTTGAGCCCAGGAGGCTGAGGCTGCAGTGAGCTATGAGCATACCACCGCACTGCAGCCTGAGTGACAAAGCAAGACCCTGTCTCAAAAAAATTTTACAAATTTTCTCTTAGGACTCATCTAACTTTCCTGTGAATGTTCCCTTTTTCCTTGAGCTAATGAGGGAGGTTGCCCGTCAGATCTCCTTTCACCCAAATGGAACATGTTGCTTTTCCTTAGAGATCCTTGATCCATGGTCAGTCTAGACCCTATTGGGTTGATGAGTAAGTTTCTTTAGGGGCTCTGTGAACAACTTTGAGAACAACTTTGTGTGCTGGTGCATTGATGTGTTTTTTGGGGAAAGCATCTGTAACTTCCAGCATATTCTTGAGAAGGGTTGACTTAGAAGTCTCCTGACTGTACTGTTTTCAGTCTTGTTATCTCCCTCCAGCAATTATATTTTATTTTTTGAGATGGAGTCTCACTGTGTTGCCCAGGCAGGAGTGCAATGGTGAGATTTCGGCTCACTGCAACCTCTGCCTCTGGGTTCAAGCGATTCTCCTGCCTCAGCTCCCAAGCAGCTGGGACTACAGGCATGCGCCACCACGCCCGGCTAATTTTTTTTGTATTTTTATTAGAGATGGGGCTTTCACCATGTTGGCCAGGCTGGTCTCAAACTCCTCACCTCAGGTTGTCCACCCACCTCAGCCTCCCAAAGTGCTGGGATTAGAGGCGTGAGCCACCGAGCCCGGGCACACTATTTTTAACTGGAAGCTGCTTTCCTATGTCAGTCCTCTAAACATTAATTTTTATAAAAGTGTGTAAAACCTTCCTAGGAAAGATAAAAATAAATTTTAAAAATTGTTTCTAAATGAAATGTCAATATCAGAATTTGAACAACCACTTAAGCTATGGAGTTTTCTGAAATGAATAACCATTAACTGTGTTTGGTTTTCAGCCCCTGTCTATTAAGTGTATTCAGTGTTTTCAGGCCTATCACAATCGTTTTTCCTTTTTTTAAAAAAAATTGAAGGCTGGGTGTGGTGGCTCACACCTGTAATCCAAGCACTTTGCAAGTCCGAGGCAGGTGGATCACCTGAGGTCAAGAGTTTGAGACCAGCCTGGCCAACATGGTGAAACCTCATCTCTACTAAAAAAATAAAAATTAGTAGGCCAGGCGTGGTGGCTCACACCTGTAATCCCAGCACTTTGGGAGGCCGAGGCGGGTGGATCACATAAGGTTGGGAGTTCGAGACCAGCCCGACCACCACGGAGAAACCCCGTCTCTACTAAAAATACAAAATTAGCCAGGCATGATGGCAGGTGCCTGTAGTCCCAGCTACTCGGGAAGCTGAACCAGGAGAATCGCTTGAACCTGGGAGGCAGAGGTTGCAGTGAGCCGAGATCTCGCCATTGCACTCCAGCCTGGGCAACAAGAGCGAAACTGCGTCTCAAAAAAACAAAAAACAAAAAAATTAGCTGGGTGTGGCGGGGCAGGTCTGTAGTCTCACCTACTCGGAAGGCTGAGGTACGATAATCACTTGAACCCGGGAGGTGGAGTTTACAGTGAGTCGGGATCCTGCCATTGCACTCCAGCCTGGGTGACAGAGCAAGACTGAAAAAACCAAAAATTTAAAAAAAAAACACTTCCCTCCTAAGGTTCAATCCAATTCATTTAAACTTTTGCGTGTTTTTCTTATATCAGTTAAAATAGGGATTCAATATCCTTAGAAATATAGCCTTTTCTGTTTTAAATATAACATCTAAAAATTGTAGTAAAATACAAATAACAAATATTTACCATGTTCATCATTTTTAAGTCTAAAGTTCAGTGGCGTTAGATACGTTCCTGTTGTGCAATATTATAGACTTCCTTTTTTTTTTTTTTTTTTTTTTGAGACGGAGTCTTGCTGTGTCCCCCAGGCTGGAGTGCAGTGGAATGATCTTGACTCACTGCAACCTCTGCCTCCCTGGGTTCAAGCGATTCTTTTTGTTTTTGTTGTTGTTGTTTGTTTGTTTGTTTGTTTTTGAGACGGAGTCTCGCTTTGTCACCCAGGCTGGAGTGGTGGAGTGCAGTGGCGCGATCTCGGCTCACTGCAACCTCTGCCTCCCGGGTTCACGCCATTCTCCCGCCTCAGCCTCCCGAGTAGCTGGGACTACAGGCACCCGCCACCAGGCCTGGCTAATTTTTTTGTATTTTTTAGTAGAGACGGGGTTTCACCGTGTTAGCCAGGATGGTCTCGATCTCCTGACCTCGTGATCCGCCCGCCTCGGCCTCCCAAAGTGCTGGGATTACAGGCGTGAGCCACCGTGCCCGGCCTCAAGCGATTCTCTTGCCTCAGCCTCCCTAGCTGGGATTACAGGTGCGCGCCACCACGCCCGGCTAATTTTGTATTTTTAGTAGAGACAGGGTTTTGCCATGTTGGGCAGGCTGGTCTTGAACTCCTGACCTCAGGTGATCCGCCCGCCTCGGCCTCCCAAAGTGCTGGGATTACAGGCGTGAGCCACAGCGCCCGGCCAGCTTTTCAATCTTCCAAATTTTGGGGGGATGTACTTAAAAAAATGATCTGAAAACATTTTCCTTAGAGTTTAAAATATGAACTTGAGAGTTTTTTTGTTTTTTAATATGGAGTCTCACTCTGTCGCCCAGGCTAGACTGCAGTGGGGCGATCTCGGGTCACTACAACCTCCACCTCTCGGGTTCAAGCAATTCTCCTGCCCCAGCATCCCCAGTAGCTGAGATTACAGGCGCCCGGCACCACGCCGGGCTGATTTCTGTATTTTTAGTAGAGAAAGGGTTTCACCATATTGGCCACGATGGTCTCAAACTCCTGAACTCAGATGATCCGTCCACCTCGGTCTCCCAAAGTGCTGGGATTACAGGCGTGAGCCACTGCGCCCAGCCAAATGTGAGGGTTTTAATGAACATCTCATATCTTCTGGTTGATTTGAGCAAAGCTCCTGCCCCCTGCCAGGCTTTGGGTTCGGCCTCCCCCAGACCGGGTCTCCGGATTCGCAGCCCCCTGGGCGGGGTCTCCATGTCGCCCGCAGCGCGATGACGTCACGTCTGCGGGTCCCGCCCCCACGTAGGTCTCGGCCCTTCGGACCCGGCGCCCAGCCCCCGTTCGCCCTGCCAGGCCCGGGCCGCCCGCTTGCATCCACCTCCTGTCCGGACAAGGGGTCGCCTCGTGAGGAAACTAGTCTGGAGTTCCCACGCCCGTCCCGGAGGAGGACGCGGGCGGGGCGCCCGAACTGCGGGGAGAGGGCGATTCCGCCCCGGGCTGAAACCAGTTCGCCCAGAAGCCAGTGTCCCCGCAGGGCGGGACAGCCACGCGTGTTCGCAACGCTCCCGTCACTCACCGGCAGGGGGTGGGCCCTAGGGAACTACCCAGTCAGGACGGGCGGGGGCGGGGCCGAGACAAGTATCCAATGAGGGACGCCCAATCGGAATCCGGGGAACTGCCCAATTTACAGCGCCAGGGGACGGACTGGGGAATTCTCCAATCAGAGTCGCCGACGTTGGCAGCACTGTCCAATCAGAAGCGCGGCTTCCCGAGCTCTGTCTAATCAGGCCCCTGGGACGGGACGCCTCTGTCCTAGCCGTGAGTGCCCCGCCTGCCCCTAGCGGTCCCTGGCGTCCCGGTTCCTGTCGCGCTCACCTGCGCCGGTAGCGAAGAAATCGCCCCGGGACATGGTGAGTGTGGCGCAGGAGAGGATCCCGGTGCGGGGCAGCAGGAACCGGCGACCGCCCGAGACCGCGGCTTGGGGGGAGCTGAGGGACGCGGGGGGCGGCCCCGGCGAGGGCGGCGCAGGACGGGAGCCTGGGCCCCGGGGGTCCCGCCCGGCCCCGCCTCCCGCGCTGAGGTCGCGGCTAGGGCGCTCCGAGCTCCGGGTCCCCGCCCGCCTCTGGCCCCAAGGCTGCAGAGCGGGGAGCGGCGCCCGGAGCCCGACTCCGTCCCCGTCGTCCCGGGGTCCCCGCGTCCCTGCGCTCCCGACCCCCCACGCCCCGCCCGGGGCCGCGACGCCTCGGAGCGTTTCGCTGCGGCTTCGGGACCCCCGGGCCGCGGGAGGCAGAGTCGCCCGAGACCCCGAGGTGCGGTCCAGGCTCCCCCGGGACCCGCCCTGGGGCCGACGCCGCGGTGCCTCCTGGGGTGCGGGTCCCTGGTCGGTGCCGCCTCCGCTCGCGCTCCCGCGGCTCAGCTCCTTGGAGGCCCCGCGCCTCCGGCCGCGGTCTCTGGGGGACCCTGGGTTCCTCCCGGGACAGCCCGGGAGCGGTGGGGCCTCGGCGGGGGCGGAGACGCCCCCACCTGCAAAGGCAGCCCCTGGGGCGTGCGAGGTTTCCTCCCCTGAGTCCCGGTTTTCCTTCTTGAGGACTTCTTGTCCCCTCTGACCCCAAGATGCCTGGGGTAGGTAAGGGGAAAAAAAACAAGGGTTCCTGGTCCCTGGGCTCTCACACACAAGGAAGAAAAGTAACTGAAAAGACTAGAGAAACAAGGGAGAGCGAGGACCCCAAAAGCAAACGCACGCAGACCCACAGCGGGGACGCCCGGGAGGCTGGTGCATTAGTGTCCTCGGACTGCTGTAGCAACTGACTGCAAACGAGGGGGCTAAAACCACGGAAATATATTCTTTCACGGTTCCCTAGAAAGTGTGGATTTGAAGACGTTTCTCAGTTCTGTTTTGAGTACTAGCAATGGGATTCCTTGCTGAGGCAACACCTGAGTTGGGGGTGGGAGGGCGTCCGTCGTGGTAGCCTGGCCAGACTTGACCCCTCCCTGGGTTTGTCACTGTGAAAAGATTTTCCTTTTTTCGAGTCAGCAGTTTTTAGGAAGTGAAACGTACATTTAATTAGTAGAAGTTGGAAGATAAAATATTTCCAGGCCGGGCGCGGTGGCTCAAGCCTGTCATCCCAGCACTGTGACAGGCCGAGGGGAGCAGATTACTTGAGGTCAGGAGTTGGGGACCAGCCTGGCCAACATGGAGAAACCCCGTCTCTGCTAGAAATACAAAAATTAGCTGGGCGTGGTGGCGGGTGCCTGTAGTCCCAGCTACTCGGGAGGCTGAGGCGGGAAAATCACTTGAACGCAGAAGGCGGAGGTTGCGGTGAGCTGAGAACGCGCCATTGCACTCCAGCCTGGGTGACAGAGCGAGACTCCGTCTCAAAAAAAAAAAAAAACTTCCAACGGGGTGAATTTCAGGAAAAAAATTAAAATCTGTGTCTTACATTCCATTTGTTAAACATTCCCTGGAGTGTGTGTCGTTTCTCAGATCTGTTATTTTCTGTTTTCTTTTATTACTATTATTTTTTTGGGAGCTCTGTTGCCCATGCTGGAGTGCACTGGTGCGATCACAGCTCACTGCAGCCTCCACCTCCTGGGCTCAAGCAATCTTCCTGCCTCAGCCTTCTGAACACAGGGACTCCAGGTGTGTGCCGCCATGCCTAAGCTTTTGTATTTTTTTGTTTCTAGGGATGGGGTCTCATTCTGTTACCCAGGCTGGTCTCGAACTCCTGAGCTCAGGTGATTCTCCCTCCTCGACCAGCCTTGTTCTTTTCTTTTGAATGACAATAAATAGGATTCCAGGGCCTAAACTTCAAAATGTTACTGGGGAGAAGAGTCTCAGAGAAACAGAGAAAATCTCCTTTCCACCATACGTGCAGAAAAATGAATACATTGCCACGAAACATGTTGCAGATAAATTATACAAATTTACCAAAATATGTTATTCTCCTTGACATGGTAGAGAATTTTTGACGGTGGATGATTCTGTTCTGCTTCCAATACTGCAGTACCCTTACCTTAATTCTATAATACATTTTTTGTTGTTCCTGAAATAGGTAGAATACAAGATATTTTTCTTGTTTAGATGACAATTTGTCCCAGCTCCTTATATTAAAGTGTTTATCCTCTGCAATGCCGGCCCTGGCACTGATCAGATTTCCCCGAACACAGGGGCTGCCTCAGGGCTGTGTCCCTTTACTTTGTTTTTTTGTTTTGTTTTGTTTTGAGACAGGGTCTCGCTCTATTGCCCAGGCTAGAATGCAGTGGTGCTGTCTCGGCTCATTGCAATCTCTGCCTACTGGGTTCAAGTGATTCTCCTGCCTCAGCCTCTAAAGTAGCTGGGACTGTAGGCACCTGCTACCATGCCTGCCTAATCTATCTTTCTTTTCTTTTCTTTTTTTTCTTTCTCCCTCTTTCCTTTCTCTCTCTCTCTTTTCTTTTTTTTTTTTTTTTTTTTAAAGAGGGAGTTTCACCCTTTTCGCCCAGGCTGGAGTGCAGTGGCAGGAACTTGGCTCACTGCAATCTCTGCCTCCTGTGTTCAAGCAATTCTCCTGCCTCAGCCTCCTGAGTAGCTGGGATTACAGGCATCCGCCACCACGCCCAGCTAATTTTTGTATTTTTAGTAGAAATGGGCTTTCACCACATTGGCCAGGCTGGTCTCGAACTCCTGACCTCAGTTGATCTGCCCGCCTCAGCCTCCCAAAGTGCTGGGATTACAGGCGGGAGCCACTGCACCTGGCCATTTTTATGTATTTCTAGCAGATACAGGGTTTTGCCATGTTGGCCAGGCTGGTCTCGAACTCCTGACCTCAGGTGGCCCGCCCGCCTCAGCCTCCCCGAGTGCTGGAATTATAGGTGTGAACCACCATGCCCCCAACCAGGGTGTTTTAAAATTGGCGGCTGGTCACAGAGGTCCCCTGTGCCTGGCTGTGCCAAGATTTCAGACACCCAGGAGGAAAGCAGATCTTTAGGGTAAACACATTGTTGCATAAACAGTTTCAGCACAATAAGCAACTCCTCTATTGGGATGAGAACCCTCCCCAAATCCAGGCTAGCTTATGCCAGCCAAGGGCCAACTTTGCAGGCAGGACTTTCTAAGGTTAGGGGCCCTCAGGCCTTTGGGTTGGCTCTTCCTGCGTCCACCCCCTAGCCCACTGCACAGGTGTCTCTACCACAGAATTATTATGGGAGGCCCCTATGAAGTAGGAGGAGACCACACTGCAGTAATGATTTCACTTGTGCTGTTTAGGGCTCCTGGACTTAGCCAGGTAAGGTAAATTCCATTGGCTGCAATGGAATCATTATTTTTTTAATTTCCATTTTTATTTCAGATTCATGGGCACATGTGCAGGTTACAAGGGAATATTGCATGATGCTGAGATTTGGGCTTCCATTGAGCTTGTCACCCAGATAGTGGACATGGTAGCCATGAGGAAGGGTGTCAGCCCTTTCCCCCTCTGTCCCTCCATTTGGAATCCCCAGCGTCTATTGTTTCCAGTTTTATGTCCATGTCTACCCAAGATTTACTTCCCACTTATAAGTAAGAACATGCCATATTTGGTTTTCTGTTTCTGCATGAGTTTGCTGAGGATAATGGCCTCCAGCTGCATCCATGTTGCTGCAAAGGACATGATTTCGTTCTTTTTTATGGCTGTGTAGTATTCCATGGTATAGATGGACCACATTTTCTTTAGTGCACTGTCTTTGGTCACCTAGGTTGATTCCATGTCTTTGCTATTGTGAATGCTGCTGCAGTGAACACACAAGTGATGTGTTTTTTGGTAGAATGATTTCTTTTCCTTTGGGTAGATGCCCAGTAGTGGGATTGCTGGGTTGAATGGTGGTTCTGTTTTTAGTTCTTTGAGAAATCTCCATACTGCTTTTCATAGAGGTTGTACTAACTTACATTCCCTCCAACCATGTGTAAGCATTCCCTTTCACAGCCCTGCCAACATCTGTTATTTTTTAGCTTTTTAATAACAGCCATTCTGACGGGTGTGAGATGGTATCTCATCGTGCTTTTTATTTGCATTTCTCTGATGATTAGTGGTGTTGAGCATTTTTTCATATGCTTGGACCACAAAGGTCTTAGAAAGCCAGGTGGCTTATTAAGTTTCTGTAGTATTCTCTTCCTTCCCCCGTTACTATTTTTTTACTGGAGAGAGGCACCAATTCCTGCACAGCATAACTCTGGCCAGTAAGTCAAACTTAGACCTGGGTGTCTTCCAGGGACAAGGCAGTGCCCTGAGTGCCAGGGTAAGTACAAAACAAGTCCAACCCCCTAGGGGACAGGTAGTCAGTCCCCTTGGAAGCACATTGTTTGCAATGGTCGGGACACCCCAAGCAGGACTTAACATTGGTCAGGCAGTCGGGTTAGCAGGGCTCCCAGTGTGACCTCCCACTGTGGGCCTCCTGTCCTAGGGTTCTCAGTGTAGACCGAATAATTCAGTTTAGTCCTCAGTTTCAGAGGCTCTGCCTGAGGCATCATTTTCAAGCAGTTTTGCATGTCTGTGATACCAGTTCATTGACCTCTCCAGTATGGACGACACCTGGAGATGTCCTTTGTGGGAAGTTCAGGAACTGGGGCCACTTGCTGCTGTCTCAGGGTTGTCGGATGTGATCAGAGGCTTAGCAGCCAACCTGAATTCAGAGCACTCACAGCTGCATGCAACACTTCCTTCAGGAAGAGGGGAGCGCTTCGGTCACAGCTCTGAATCAGACAGTTCCATCCAAGGTCAAGCCAGTCCTTCACTGTGGGCAACTGAGTGAGCCACATGGACCAGCCAGCACCCCTGATGTTTTTCGTAGTTCAGGGCCTTACCCGGGAGTGTCTAACTCTGCAGTGTTTCCTGAATTAGAGTCCTGTTCATTGAGCCTAGCCCTGCTGTCAGGTCAGCATAGTGAAGGCTGAGTTAGCAGTGGACATAGTGAGGATGAATTAGCAGTGGGCAGTGTCAGGTTTTAGCTTACAGTCAAGTCCACGCCGTTGGGATCTGAGTTCAGAATTCCATAAAACACCGAAGGCTTTGCTTCTGCAGCAGTAAAGCTAGGTATTGCCGGGTTGGACAGCTGTGTTCCAAGATCAAGTTGCAAGCAAGAGTTTCCTAAGCGCTTTTGGTCTCGTGAATCTTAGAGTCCAAATTGACAGTTAAAAATATGCACATGTGGTTTGAAAACCATCAACTCTTGAGGTTGTCAGAAATAGGTTTTCATAAGAGCGCATTAACAAACTAGAAACTACTACTTCACATTCCAAAAGTGTATCTCCACTTAGAGATTGCCTCTCTTTTCATTTGTTTCCCTTTTCCCTGAACCTCCAATAGGAAAAATGATAGTAAAAAATCAGTTGTGGAGACCTAATCTTAATACTTAGAGTTTAAATTCCAATCCATACACCAGGGGCAAAGAGCAAAGAAGTTGTGTCTGTCACTTAAAAAAACAAAACAAAAAACTGATTGAGATGATCCCTGTAGTGCTTTTAAAGTGACAAATATTTTACCATTTTCTCTCATTTTTATCACACATGCCGATGCGGTAGTATTCCTCGTCTCTTAGAGCTTCTGGTAGCCCCAAGTGTTCCTTTGCTTGTGGCACCATAATTCAGTCTCTCCCTCCATCTTCCACGTGGCCACCTTCCGTGTGTGTTTCTGTCTTCATGTGACATTTTCCTCTTATAAAGACACCAGTCAGCGGAGGGGGGAGGGATAGCATTTGGAGATATACCTAATGTTAAATAACGAGTTACTGGGTACAGCACACCAACATGGCACATGTATGCGTATGTAACTAACCTGCACATTGTGCACATGTACCCTAAAACTTAAAGTATAATAAAATGGTTAAGATGGTAAATTGTATGCTATATGTATTTACCACAGTTAAAAAATTGGAGAAAAAATCCTTGGAATATAGTAGATGCAGGTTCAAATCCTGCCTTCAGCATTTATTAGCTGAACTGATGCTAATAAAGTTACTTAATCTGAAAAAAATTTAAAAAAAATAAAAAATAAAGACACTAGTCATATTGGAGTAGGGCCCATTGGATTAGATGATGTCATTTTACTTGATTACATCTGCAAGGATCCTATTTACAAATAAGGTTATAGTCACAGGTACCAGGAATTAGGACACGGACATATCTTTCTGGGGGACCACGTCACAAGAAACCGCTGGCAGTTCAGCATTTACAGGGATAGCATTATGCTAGCAGGGAAGACCATGGCTGGTCAGGAGGTAAACCAAGGGGAAGCAGGGAACACTCCAGCCTTTTTTTTAACCAGCAACAGGTTTTAAAAAAGCACGGAGTGTCCCCTGCCTCCCCAGGGTTTACCTAAAGTTGTGCTCCAGCCTTGGTAATTAACTTTCTTTTCCCTCCCAATGCAACACAAACTTTTACCATTTTCCTCACCCAAAGCTTACCTTTCAGAACATGGGGGCCCTTTCTCCTACCTGGAGAAGAAAACAAAAACCAAACGCTGCTCTTTGTTTTCTTTTCTTTTTTTTTTTTTGAGCTGGAGTCTGGCTCTGTCGCCCAGGCTGGAGTGCAGTGGCGCCATCTCTGCTCACTACAAGCTCCGCCTCCCGGGTTCACGCCATTCTCCTGCCTCAGCCTCCCGAGTAGTTGGGACTACAGGCGCCCACCACCACGCCCGGCTAATTTTTTTGTATTTTTAGTAGAGTCGGGGTTTCACCGTGTTAGCCAGGATGGTCTCAATCTCCTGACCTCGTGATCCACCTGCCTTGGCCTCCCAAAGTGCTGGGATTACAGGCGTGAGCCACCGCACCCAGCCACCCAGGATTTTTTTTAGATGAAGTCTTACTGTGTTTCTCAGGCTGTAGTGCAGTGGCACGATCTTGGCTCACTGCAACCTCCACCTCCCGGGTTCAAGCTATTCTCGTGCCTCAGCCTCCCAAATAGCTGGGATTACAGGCACGTGCCACCACGCCCGGCTAATTTTGTATTTTTAGTAGAGATGGGGTTTCACCATGTTGGCCAGGCTGGTCTCAAACTCCTGACCTCAAGTGATCCGCCTGCCTCAGCCTCCCAAAGTGCTGGGGTGACAGGTGGGAGCCATTGCATCTGGCCAGTACCCAGGATTTTTATTGCTGGCTGATCACATAAGCATCCCCTGCCTGGTATGTACACAGATTCCATTTCCAGAAGGAAAGCAGCTGTTCAGCATTAACAGTGGTATTTGCACCATGAGTAATCTGAATTAGGGTGGGGGTGAACCTTCCCAAAACCCAAGTTCCCAGACACCAGCTAAGGGCAACATTGCCAGAAAGCCGTTCTAAGGATAGAGTCTAAGGCCCGCAATGTTAACTTCTTTCGGCATATGGGAACTTTATTATTAAAAAACACTGCAAATACACTGCACTATGAGCAATTAAGGCTAACCCAGGGAGCTCATATTGTCCCCTGTGCCAGTAGGAGGGTCCTGTAGATACTCTGCAGCTCTGTGAATAGGACTGTTCTAGCATCAGAATTGCTGCGTGACAGTATTTTGTCTGTCTCCTGCTCATAGACGGAAAGGAGTTGATCTTTCTCAGCAGGTTTGAGGGAACCGTGCATCTCGGGGGTTCCATGCACCTGTGCCCAATATGCAATATGGAAATAATGAGAAATTGAGAGTGCAGCCTCTAGAGTGGTATGTGGGGAATCACTTCCTCCTGGAATTTGAGACACAGAATTTTCTAGGAAGGCACTATTTTGTCTATGTCTTTTATAACCATTGAAAATTCGTAGTCAAATGGTTTGGACTTCAGTTAACTCCTTTGCAAAGTGGGACTCTTAACTTTATCCTTAAGGTTAGCAATAATACTTTTTTTTTTTTTTTTTCTGAGACTGAGTCCTGCCCTATCACCCAGGCTGGAGTGCAGTGGCATGATCTTGATGCATTGCAACCTCTGCCTCCCGGGTTCAAGCAATTTTCGTGCCTCAGCCTCCCAAGTAGCTGGGACTACAGGCGTGCACCACCATGCCCGGCTAATTTTTTTTTTTTTTTCAGTAGAGATGAGGTTTCACCATGTTGGCCAGGCTGGTTTTGAACTCCTGACCTCAAATGATCTGCCTGCCGCGGCCTCCCAAAGTGCTGGGGTTACAGGCATGAGCCACCACACTTGGCCCAAGAATACTTTCTTTCGGCTCTGGTGAAAAGAGCTGTTTTGGCATTGTGTGCACCTCGCTCTGTGTATACTTAGTGAGTGTGCCTGTGTGTACGAGAGAGAGCCAGCGTGTGAGAGAGAGAGAACCCAGAATTAATTGTTGGGCTTCCGTCACTGAGGCTCGAAGTATAGGGAATGTGTGGAGGTCTACGTTCTCGTGTCTTTTTCCTCTTTCCTAAGGTCTAATTTCTCAATAACTTCTAGTTTCCAAGTTAAAATCAATACTTCTCAAAAGAATGTTTTCATTCAGCCAGTTGGACCAGGAGTTCTTTAAGACGCTATGGCTACCTGGCCCTTATGAAGGAAATAGAAGGGAATGTTCCCAATCCTTCAGTGTTTTTATCCCATAAAACTTCAGTTTTGACCCTGTGCTTTGTGTAGTGCCGAATGATGGTGTGTGCAGCAGGGGAGGAGCTAAAACGGTTTGTGTGACAAGGCACTGATGGTCTTAAAATACAAGTATTTGTTTCACTTATATAGCATTTGTTTGATATCTCCAATGTGGTCTGAATCCTTTTGATAGAGAATAATGTCTTCAGTTGGTCCCAGTAAAAGTATAGAGAGAAATTCAGTGTGTTAATGGTCCTGTGAAATCTATGAGGAAGTGAGTGTAGACAGGAAGGAAGAGGTGTGACAACTGAGTCACAGGGTAGATGTCAGGGAATCACAGAATCTTGTTTGAACTACATACGAATTGAGTACAATGCTCCTGGGCTCTCGGTCTCAACCATCCTCCCATAAATATGTTGAATTGTTTTAGGACTCAGTGGTCTTTGAGGATGTGGCTGTGGACTTCACCCTGGAGGAGTGGGCTTTGCTGGATTCTGCTCAGAGGGACCTCTACAGAGATGTGATGCTGGAGACCTTTCAGAACCTGGCCTCAGTAGGTAAGGATGACATCATTCCTTCCTTCACGTAGTTATTGAGAGAACAAGTATTTCTTACACATCAGACCTGTTCCAAGGCTTGGAATGTGGAAAGGGAATAAATTGGTAAATAAGACAGACATAGTCACAGCTGTCATAGAGCTAGAATGTAATGTTTTTCCATGAGAATGAGAATCTGTATTTCAGCTTTTTATTTTTGTAGAGAAAGCTCCCTTCATGTCGTCATTGTGGATATAGCTTTGATAGGCCTAGTGAAATTTGTTTGTGCAAGCCAGTGAAAATTTGATTTTTTTTTTTTTTTTTGAGATGGAGTCTCACTCTGTCGCCCAGGCTGGAGTGCAGTGGTGTGATCTCGACTCACTGCAACCTCTGCCTCCCGAGTTCAAGCAATTATCTGCCTCAGGCGCCCAAGTAGCTGGGATTACAGGCGAGCGCCACCATCCCTGGCCAATTTTTGTATTTTTAGTAGAGACGGGGTTTCACCATGTCAGCCAGGCTGCTCTTGAACTCCTGACGTTGTGATCCACCCGCCTCAGCCTCCCAAAGTGCTGGGATTACAGGCATGAGCCACCGCGCCTGGCCGTGAATTTTTTTTTTTAATAATTTTTCTATGCTTACTAATACTGTGTTGATTGAGTTGCTTACCTTTTTGACCATTTTGTGTTTAATGAAGTCCTGAGATAGCTAAACTCCTCAGTGTCGTTTTCCGCTAACAAGTGCCTTCTTATATGATTTGTTTACTTTTTGGTTTCAGATGATGAAACTCAATTTAAGGCCAGTGGGTCAGTTTCTCAGCAGGATATTTATGGAGAGAAAATACCCAAGGAATCTAAAATAGCCACGTTCACCAGAAATGTTTCCTGGGCCTCTGTTTTAGGAAAAATTTGGGACAGTCTTAGCATCGAAGATCAAACCACAAACCAGGGGAGAAATCTCAGGTGAGTTGCACTCACAAGAGAACATAGTATTTCAGGAGAGAATCTTAGTCTGTCATTAAACTTTAAAAAAGCAAGCAAACAGAAAACTCATCCAAGCCTAGCTCCAATTTGTTTAATCCACAGAATTTTTACAAAAAAATATTTCTTTAAATGTGACATAGACAGTGAGTGACATTAGAAACATAATTCAGATGGAAACCATTATCAAGAAACCCTAGGCCAGGTACGGTGGCTCACACCTGTAATCCTGGCACTTTGGAAGGCTGAAGTGGGCAGATCACTTGAGGACAGGAGTTCGAGACCAGCCTGGCCAACATGGTGAAACCCTGTCTCTACTAAAAATACAAACATTAGCAGGGCATGGTGCCGCAGGCCTGTAATCCCAGCTACTCGGGAGGCTGAGGCAGAATTGCATGAACCCAGGAGGCAGAGGTTGCAGTGAGCTAAGACTGCACCACTGCACTCCAGCCTGGGTAACAGAGTAAGACTCTGTCTCAAAAAAAAAAAAAGAAAGAAAGAGAAAGAAACCCTATACATAAGAAACACTGTTTTAATAATGGCAGTGGTCAAACCATCTTCCAGGGCATTCAGTTTATTTCATTTTCAGACAGTTCCCATGGGGTGAAAAACCTATGCTTTCACTGAAAATGGTTAAGATGCAGTCCTAATCCTAATAAATACTAACAAATCATTATTAATCAAACCAATAACATGCTTCTCATTTTTAGTAGAAATCATGGGTTGGAGAGACTCTGTGAAAGTAATGATCAATGTGGAGAAGCCCTCAGCCAGATTCCACATCTTAATCTGTACAAGAAAATTCCACCTGGAGTAAAACAGTATGAATACAACACGTACGGAAAAGTCTTCATGCATCGCCGCACATCCCTCAAGAGTCCCATCACAGTTCACACTGGACACAAACCATATCAGTGCCAGGAATGTGGGCAGGCCTACAGTTGTCGTTCACACCTAAGAATGCATGTGAGAACCCACAATGGAGAGAGACCCTATGTGTGTAAATTATGTGGGAAAACCTTTCCTCGTACTTCCTCCCTCAATCGGCATGTAAGGATTCACACTGCTGAGAAAACCTACGAATGTAAGCAATGTGGGAAAGCCTTTATTGACTTCTCAAGTCTTACTAGTCATCTCAGAAGTCACACCGGAGAGAAGCCATATAAGTGTAAGGAATGTGGGAAAGCTTTCAGTTATTCCTCAACGTTTCGAAGACACACAATAACACACACTGGCGAGAAGCCATATAAATGTAAGGAATGTGCGGAAGCCTTTAGTTATTCCTCAACTTTTCGAAGACATATGATTTCACACACTGGAGAGAAGCCACATAAATGTAAAGAATGTGGGGAGGCCTTCAGTTATTCTTCGGCTTTTCGAAGACACATGATAACACACACTGGAGAGAAACCCTACGAATGCAAACAATGTGGGAAAACCTTCATTTATCTCCAGTCCTTTCGAAGACATGAAAGGATTCACACTGGAGAGAAACCCTACGAATGCAAACAGTGTGGGAAGACCTTCATTTATCCCCAGTCCTTTCGAAGACATGAAAGGACTCATGGTGGAGAGAAACCCTATGAATGCAACCAGTGCGGGAAAGCATTCAGTCACCCCTCCTCCTTTCGAGGACACATGAGGGTGCACACTGGAGAGAAACCCTATGAGTGCAAGCAATGTGGGAAAACTTTCAATTGGCCCATATCTTTACGAAAACATATGAGAACACATACTAGAGAGAAACCCTATGAATGTAAGCAGTGTGGGAAAGCCTTCAGCTTGTCTGCTTGCTTTCGAGAACATGTGAGAATGCACCCTGAAGACAAATCCTATGAATGCAAGCTATGTGGGAAAGCTTTCTATTGCCACATATCCTTACAAAAACATATGAGAAGACATACCGCAGAGAAACTCTATAAATGCAAGCAGTGTGGGAAAGCTTTCAGTTGGCCTGAACTTTTGCAACAACATGTGAGAACGCACACTGTAGAGAAGCCCTATGAATGTAAGGAATGTGGGAAGGTCTTCAAATGGCCATCATCTTTACCAATACATATGAGACTGCACACTGGAGAGAAACCTTATCAATGTAAGCATTGTGGGAAAGCATTCAATTGTTCCTCATCCTTAAGGCGACATGTGAGAATACACACTACAGAAAAACAGTATAAGTGTAATGTAGGACATCCTCCTGCAAATGAATTCATGTGCAGTGCTTCAGAAAAGTCACACCAGGAGAGAGATCTGATCAAAGTTGTAAATATGGTGTTGCCTTTATGAGTTCCTTATCCTGAAAGTGGACACTCAAGGAGTGTGTCTGTAGTTCATTTGCAAATAAACATTTAGTTGAAAAATAATTCTCCAAATACTCTCAGCTATCCTACATGAATTTGAACAGGTAGTTTCTTACGATTCAGTAAATAAAACTTTCATCTTAGAGTGTTTTGGACTCATGGATGATTTGAAGTGTATTTTTAATATGCAAGTAGGTTCAAGTTTTATTTAATTTCTTAAATTGTAACTGACTTAGTGTGACAGGTATTGGATATTACGTATCTATTATATTTTCCACCTTTTTTACTGGGAGTATTTTTATTGTTTGGCCAGAGGAGCCTTATTCCATTTTTTAAGAAGTAGTTGGCAGAATTTTGTAATTATGCAAAGTTGTTTAAGGAGTATAGCCTCAAATGAATTGTAATTTTTAATGTTTGCCCATTGCTGTTTGTCTTTGCTTGTGATTGTGAATTGGACAGTAGGCTTTGACTTGTGATGTGACGGAGAAATCCAGAGTTGCAGATAGTTCTTCTGCATTGTTGTCAGTGTGGGTAGTGTTAGGAACTTCATTTGCTGGAATGCATTTCCTTTATGGTTCCATGTCCAAATTTACCAATAGCAATAACTTGAATGAAATTTAGAATGAAGAAGAAGTAAGTCATCGCTGAGCTTTTGGGGTCACATTAAATGGAGATGGACAGATGCATAGGGGCTTTGTGAACATCAACCTTCAGCTTATTTTCCAGATTCTTATTCCTGCCAATCAAGAGTACCATCAAAAGAAACACTTAAGTGCTTGATTTCCACTGTGTCAGAGGTGTAGTCTTCCTCAGACATCTCCATTAACTTGATATTAGGGATATTCCTGTGTGGTCAGTCACCTAGAGTCTGGATTTTTCTCAAAACCCTGCATGACCTCTTGACCACTGATTCAGACTGTCTTGTTTGGCAGTCTCTGAGCTTCTGATTCTCCCGTTCTGTAGATCTTAACATATTTGCATGGGGTCTAATTTATATAGTGAACACCTTGTTATCTTAATACTTCCAGTGGCTCTGTGATCCTGATTCCACCACGAAAGCCACAGTGTTGCAGTCAAAGAAGAAAAACAACACATGGGACTTTGTACCCTATTGCATTTTTAAGTGTGCCTGCCGAGTCCTATGTGAGAACAAATACCTTCCTCATATATTAGATTTAGGGAGATTTCTGTTACTCAGAACTAAATGCAGTTTCTTGATATAGGTTAAATTATTAGGTTTGATTATGTATCATTAAAAATAATGTGGATTTTGTTTCAAGGAAAACCTTCTGTAGATATTTCTTAGAAATATCCTGTTTAGCTGGGCACAGTAGCTCATGCCTGTAATCCCTGCACTTTGGGAGGCTTGAGGTCAGGAGTTTGAGACCAGCCTGGTTAACATGGTGAAACCCTGTCTCTACTAAAAACACAAAAATTAGCCAGGCATGGTGGTGAGTACCTGTAACCCCAGCTACTTGGGAGGCTGAGACAGGAGAAGTGCTTGAACCTAGGAGGCGGAGGTTGCAGTGAGCCAAGATCACACCACTGCACTCCAGCCTGGGAGACGGGGAAAGACTCCATCACACAAGCAAGAAAAGAAAAAAAAATCCTATTTACTGTGCTTTCAAATTAGTTGTTTAGAGACTATATTAATTTCCCAGGGCTGCCATAACAAAGTACAAAAACTGGGTGACATAGGAAAACAAACTTTTTGTTTCTCAGTTCTGGACCCAGAAATCCAGAAACAAGGCATTGGCAGGACCATGCTTTTTCTGAAGATGCTAGGGAAGGATCTGTTTCAGAACTCACCTAGCTTCTGGTAGTTCCTTAGCTTGTGGCAGCATAACTCTAATTTTCACATGGCATTCTCCCTGTGTGTGTGTCTCTCCATGTGACAATATTTTTATACATACACACCACTCATTGGGTTAGGCCCCACTCTACTTCAGTATGATTTTACCTTAACTAATTACATTGGCAACAGCTCTCTTTTCGCATACTGAGGCACCGCGAATTAAGATTTCAACGTAAAAATTTTAGGAGACCCAATTCAACCCATAACACTAAGAAATGTTATTTTTTGTTTACCGAGAGAATTACAGATTTCAAATCAACTTTGTAATTTTGATAATTTAAGCATGTTACATTTTGAATCAGTATTACCAAGTATATACAAATACAGGTATTTTTTCATATAAATGTTATTTTTAATTGCTGTATACTTAACATTTGCCATTAAAATGATTTTTTTTTTTTGAGACAGAGTCTCGCTCTGTCACCCAGGCTGGAGTGCAGTGGCACGACCTTAGCTCACTGCAACCTTCATCTCCCAGGTTCAGTTGATTCTCCTGCCTCAGCCTCCCGAGTAGTTGGGATTACAGGCATGCACCACCACACCCAGCTAATTTTTTTATTTTTGGTAGAGATGGGGTTTCACCATGTTGGCCAGGCTGGTCTTGAACTCCTGACCTCAGGTGATCTGCCCACCTTGGCCTCCCAAAGTGTTGGGATTACAGGCATGAGCCACCACACCCGGCCTAAAATGATTTCTTATTTGTGGTTAATAACAATTAAAAAGCGGAAATAATGGTTTTGTCAAGGCCCTCTACCCAGAAACCACCAGGATCACACTGGTAGTCAAAGAAAATTTGCTGTGTTGAGTTGAAGTTTGAACACATGATCAAGAAAGGGCTGTGGCTTGTATCAGAGGGTGTTTAAAAGGATTTACTATCAGATTTGGCCTTGTGTTCTGTGATTTTGGTGAGCGTTCAAGGAAGCCAGGCTTTGGTCTGGATTGGATGTTCTCAGGTCATGAATATAATTCTCTGGGAACTCCCAAAGTTCTCATCTACAAAGCAGAAGTTAATTGGAGCTGAAAACTAATCAGTAAAGCCACAGCAGCCAGTCATATGGGGGAGAAGAGGGGAATGTTTGATGGTTTTTGTGGTTTAGAGGTGAGTTCCGGAAAAAAAGAAGACATGTTTGACATCCTCAAACGAGAAAATTTTTCATGTGTTTTATAGGCCAAGGAGGCAGAAGCTTTTGTTTTAATGAGCCAGAAAGCCCCAAAAGCCTATTTAAGTTTTCTCAGGTATCATTTCAACCTCTGAACTTCCAGAATTAACTAGGGAAGAGGAAAAACATGTAACACCTTAGAGTTTTATTAAAGAGCAAACAATATCCAGTAATCTCCATTACTTTCCATGTTAACATAAGTTTTCATAACGCTCTATAGATGAATGTGATTTGGCAGTCACTTGTATTTCTTAACACCCACTTACCCATCATTCCCTCTTAGATGAAAAAAGTTAAGCACGGGGACAACAGAGTCTTGTATATTCATGTAGCTCATGATGATGGAATCAAGTTTGAAGGCTTAACCTGTGCTTAACCTATATTGGGCATTGTCAAGACTTAAATTTAGAACACTGGAAAGCAAGTATAATTAATTTTACAAATAGGGCATCAAATTTTACAAAGACTCCTAAGGCTATATGGTATTCCTTTTATAAGACATGGAAAAGGCAAAGATAAGGGAAACGAACAAATCGCTGGTTAGAAGTAGGGGATTTGAGTACATATGGGCTTAAGAGTGTTCTGTCATGATTGTAGTGGTGAAAACAAGCATTTGCAAAAACTCATAAGGCTACTCTTAAAATAGCAAATTTTGTTGTATGTATATTTTAAAGTTAAACAATAAAAATGCTTTCAGTTTATTAAAGAACTCAAGACCAGGTGCAGTGGCTCATGCCTATAATCCCAGCACTTTGGGAAGCTGAGGCGGGAGGATTGCTTGTGGCCAGGAGGTTGAGGCTGCAGTGAACTATGATCATGCACTGCACTCTACACTGGGCGACAGAGCAAGACCCTGTCTCAAAAAAAAAGGAATACAAAACATTCCTGAAACTTGACATGTAAGTTCGCAATAAGACTTTTCCCTAGCTGGGCGCGGTGACTCATGCCTGTAATCTCAACATTTTGGGAGACTGAGGCAAGAGGATCACTTGAAGTCAGGAGCTAGACACCAGTCTGGGCAACATAGCGAGACCTCAACTCTACCAAAAAATTAAAAAGTGAGCCAGGCGGGGTGGTGCACGTCTGTGGTCCCAGCTACTTGGCAGGCTGAAGCAGGAGGATCACTTGAGGCCTTGAGGAGCCATGATCGTGCCACTGCACTCCAGCTTGGGTGACAGAGCAAGACTGTCTCAAAAAATAAAAATAAAAAAACAAGACTTCCCCCACCATCTTGGAATTCTCTGGAGGAAATGTAGGGCTGGTTGACAAGGACTTGTGCCTCGTCAGACCCTGTTTGAAACCCAGTCTGAAGTTTTGAAACACCCACAAGGGCCATACCTGACTTTATCTCACGCACATAACAGGAGAGAAGAAGGAGGTCTTCCAGAATCTGTCTTTGAGTTTACACCAGGTTCTTCCCATCTGATCTTTGGGAATGCTGTGGTTCTGAAACATAAAACGGGGACCCTACACTTCTTCCCAGGAATATCCTGCCTGGGAGCATCCTGATCCTGTCTTCAGACAAGGGGCATCCGCATCTTGTTTTCTAGGGCCTTTCCTGAGGCCACTTCCAGCTCCAAAGTTCTCATCTCAAGCTCAGCTCTGTGTCTTCATGCTGGGAAACGTCTTTATGGATCCCCAAACTCCTCTTGCTGTTGGGAACACGTGGCAGCCCTGCGTTGTGAGGTGAGAGAAGAGGCAGTGGCAGAACCCATGCCATGGAGACACGCCCATCAGCCACAGCAGCTCCTGCTACTGCATAAATCCATAGGCACAATCACACGCCTCACGGTGTCAACATCTCCCATGACATCACAAAGATGCCCAGCTGGGACCCACCTACAGTGATGGGGTGATGGGGTTTCACCTATAAGCGGGCAAACAGGCACTCCTCCTCACTGTCCAGTCACCTGACGTGCTTTTTCTGCGCACTCAGGTCGTGACACCCCAGGAGGTGCCTATCGCGCCCCAAGCTCCTCACGTGCCTCCTCCCCACAGTCCAGGACGCGTCTTACTAACGCCTCACCAGAGCGCATGCGCCCTCCTCAGGAGCAGCCTCAAAGCGCGCAGCCTCAGCCCATTGGCCTGCGGGAAGTGGAGTTCCCGAACAGAAGCCCCTCAGTCTCCGGAAGCCCCGCCCGGCAGACTGTTCCCAGGATGCAACACGGGCTCGCGTCTAAAAGAGCTGTGCTTTGTTGGGGCTATCTGGGAGTTTCCGCCTTCCATGAAGTGCGCAGGCGCACTTAGGCGAGGCGGGGCGACTCTAGGAAGTGGAGACATCAAGAGTGGTACTGGAAGTGGCGGAAGCTCTCCTCTTGCCCTCTTCAGCTTCCGGTGTGGTGGGTCCCGGATATCGCGTGGCTGTGGCAGGTAGACAGCCCGTGCTCCAGAGGCCTTCATCTTGTGATGGCAGATGTACTTGAGTAGACACGACAGACGGGGAAGGACCCTGATGGTCCGAGGGACCTTCCACAGCAAGTAGAAGGCACTGCTGTGAATATGATGGCGTCAGAGGTGACTGCAAAAAAGGACAGGGCAGCTGGGCGAGGAAGAGATACCAGTGATGTCCTAACTGAGCTCCCTGGGTCTGGTAGTGAGGAGCTCAGTCTTAGAATATGAGCCGTGTCAGGGGCTACAGCATCATCACTCTTGTCCTGTCGCAGACTCAGGCTCCCTGTTCTCAGGTTCTTATGTAGACAGTGAGGGCTCAGGGAGGCTCCCACCACCACCACCACCAGCACCACCACTCCATCAAAACGGCTGAAGGACCTTCCTTTAGGGTTCGGGGGATCTCCTCCTTCCACAAGGGATGGATGTGAAGACAACTCATTCTTTGATGTTCAGATGGTTGTGGCCCTCTGATGAGATGTGTGCACACCTTGCCAAATGCATATGTCTGTTGAGCCTGGACATTAAGTATTTCTTGATGTTCTTCTGTGTAACAGGTGATGTCCTAGGTGCTGCAGTGAACAGAAGAGACAAAATATCCTTGTTCCCTTGAAGCTAATGTCGTAGGGGCCCAAAACAAAGCAAACAAACAAAAAAAAGGAATGCAAGTCAAGTACACTTTGTATGGACAGTGGTAATTCCTAAGAAGGAAAACAAAGATGGACTTAAGGGGTGCAGAGGGCCTGGACTATGTGTGTCTGTGGGATAGTCTGTTACTACCTCTGGGACTCTCATCTCTTGAGTGTGCTTGGGTGTGTCCAACCGTTTTTCCTAGTGACAAAGTCTGGGTAATTCTGTGGGGACATATATTGGTGTATCTGGGAGGTCCCATGTGTCTCAGTGGTGGTCCCTGTTTTCAGGAAAGAGTGTCTGTGAATGTCCATGTGTCTCACTGCACAGCTGTGATTTTTCTGTGTCTCTGTGTTTTCCAGTCTTTGTGTGATGAAATATAAAGGCCTAGCAGGCTCAGAGTTATTAATGAATTGTACTTAAGCGTTGAGAGGCATATATTTATTGCACTATTAAATTCTTCCAAAATATAGTTAAAAAAAAAAGCTTCACAGTTTTTTAGTAAGTTTGAGTGAATTTTTTTTTCAGGGAGTGGGGAACAGAGTCTCCATCCATTGCCCAGGCTAGAGTGCCGTGGTGCAGTCTCAGCTCACTGCAACCTCTGCCTCCTGGGTTCAAGCGATTCTCGTGTCTCAGCCTCCCAAGTAGCTGGGATTACAGGTGTGTGGCACCATGCCCAGCTAATTTTTTGTATTTTTAGTAGAGATGGGGTTTCACTATGTTGGCCAGGTGGGTCTCAAACTCCTGATCTCAAGTGATCTTCCACCCACCTCAGCCTCCCAAAGTGCTGGGATTACAGGCGTGAGCCACTGCGCCCAGCCTCAAGTTGATTTTTTAAAGTTTGGCATTCATTGTTTATTTAAAAAACAACAATTGGGCAGGGACCAGAGGCTCACACCTTTAATTCCAGCACTTTGAAATGTCGAGGCAGGTGGATTCCTTGAGCTCAGGAGTTCAAGACCAGGCTGGGCAACTTGGAGATACCCCATCTCTGCAAAACATGAAAATTAGCCAGATATGGTGAGGCTCGCTTGTAGTCGCAGCTAATCAGGAGGCTGAAGCTGGAGGATAGCTTGGACCCAGGAGGTCGAGGCTGCTATAAGCCATGATTGTGCCACTGCACTCCAGCCTGGAAATAAGAGCAAGACCCTATCTCAAACAAACCCTATCTCAAACAAACAAATAAAAACAGCCATATTTTATTTTAAAATATGTATCAAATGAATTATTAACAGGAAGCCTATTTTCTAAATGGTAATCCTTTAAACACTAATTTTTATGAAAGTGGCCAGTGCTTTTTGTAAATCATAAAACATGAGTGTTTTCTTCAATTTGATTTGTAAATAAATAATATCAGAGTTTGCACTTCCCTTGGTTCTTAAATAGAATATTTTCAGAAATGGGAGCATATAAAATGCATCAGGAGTGTTGACCGAATTTCCTAGTGATTGATGGAGGCCAGCCAATCCTCAGTTGCACCTCAGAGCCTGCCATTAAATTTAAAATAGAAGATGAGAAACTAAACTTCTCAGTTGACAGTGGTCCGACTTTCTCTGCCAGCTTCTCAGAGGACTCATCTCTACTGTCACTTTTCATTCTTTTCAGAAAAGCTGTCAGAGTCTTTAGGCAACCTGTTTCATCACCCATGTCTCAGGCCACACCAATATCCTCAGTTCTGATTAACACTCATTATAGCTTTCCAGTTTCTGAAGCCTCACCGGTAAACTGTCTAGGTAGTGATTTGCTACATAAATTTAATGCCATCATGCAATGTAATGGGAAAGGTGTTTTTATTCCCCTGACCTGAGACCAAACTTCAAACTTTCTATTTTCCCTAATTGAGACTTGTCCTCTGAAGAGGATGCAACCTCAAGTGATGTTCCAACTACTTCTAATGACTGATGTTCCAGTTAGACTCTGGGCCTCATATGCAAAGGAAGTTGCATTGCTGCAGAGCGCAGAGACTGTGCACGTTGCCTGGAAAAGGAATAAGCCTTTTCTTTTTTTTTTTTTTTTTTTTTTTTTTTTTTGAGATGGAGTCTCGCTCTGTCGCCCAGGCTGGAGTGCAGTGGCGCGATCTCGGCTCACTGCAAGCTCCACCTTCTGGGTTCACGCCATTCTCCTGCCTCAGCCTCCTGAATAGCTGGGACTACAGGCGCCCACCACCATGCCTGGCTAATTTTTTGTATTTTTAGTAGAGATGGGGTTTCACCGTGTTAGCCAGGATGGTCTCGATCTCCTGACCTCTTGATCCGCCCGCCTTGGCCTCCCAAAGTGCTGGGATTACAGGTGGGAGCCACCGCGTCCAGCCTAAGCCTTTTCAATCAATAGCTCAATGCCCTCTCGTGTCAATATGCAGAACAAGGAACTGAATCTATACTAGACTTTATTACAGCACAGTGTCCATTATCTTTACTTTCTCCCACTATAATACCCCAGTCTTGCCCGTAAAGATGAGAAGGGAAGTTTGACTTTGATGAGCACCAAAGTTACCAATTTTACAAAATCTAATAGCCATAATTCTTGTAGTTCCTCACCACCCTACAGTTCCCACTATTTTTACCCTAGTTCCTGTGTCTGCAGCCTGGTTTGCATGAATGGACCTCTGCTCAGCTGTCTTTTCCATTCCTTTGCGTCCTGATTCACAGTTCCTCTTTGCACTTCTGTTTAGAGGAGGACAGTGGGTATGGCCTGCACACCTCAGGAATATTGCTGGTACCCCATCCATATTTTCCCAAGTCCTTAAGGCCTACTCAGACTTTGTAACATTTATCCAAGGCTCTACTCGTGTTCAGTATACTGATGATGCCTTTGTAGCCAAACTAAGCAAGGTGGTCTTATGGATTTCCTCATTCTCCTAGAGACACTAGCTGAATTAAGCCATAAAGTCTCCCAATCTAAATTTCAGTGGGTGTAGATAGCTATTACTTAGGATGCGAGGTATCTCAGGGCACCCAAAGCTCACCCAGAACACCTTGAATCAATTTTATCCATCGCTCTCCGCAAAATAAAAGCAGGTATGGGCCGGGTGAAGTGGCTCACGCCTGTAATCCCAGCACTTTGGGAGGCCAAGGTGGGTGGATCATGAGGTCAAGAGATCGAGACTATCCTGGCTAACACAGGGAGACCCTGTCTCTACTAAAAATGCAAAAAAAAGCTGGGCGTGGTGGCTCACGCCTGTAGTCCCAGCTACTCAGGAGGCTGAGGCAGGAGAATTGCTTGAACCCAGGAGGCAGAGGTTGCAGTGAGCCGAGATCGTGGCACTGCACTCCAGCCTGGGCAACAGAGCAAGACTCTGTCTAAAAAAACAAACAAAACAACAACAACAACAAAAAGATATGTATAATTCTAGGAGCAGCTGGCTCTCTTCACTGAGAATTCCTACTTTTGCTCCTTTGCTAAACCTCTGTATGCCGTCCTCTCACGTGCTGCCTCAGAGCCTAGTATCTGCCCCTCAGAGATATTGACCTTCTTTGTTTTTTTTTTTGTTTTGTTGTTGTTTTCAGACGGAGTCTCTCAGGCTGGAGTGCAGTGTCGCGATCTCGGCTCACTGTAAGCTCCGCCTCCTGGGTTCACATCATTCTTCTGCCTCAGCCTCCCAAGTAGCTGGGACTACAGGTGCCCGCCACCATGCCCGGCTAATTTTTTGTATTTTTAGTAGAGACAGGGTTTCACTGCGTTAGCCAGGATGCTCTCGATCTCCTGACCTTGTGATCCACCCGCCTCAGCCTCCCAAAGTGCTGGGATTATAGGCGTGAGCCACTGCACCTTGCCTCTTTATGCACTCTTAACCTGTCTCTTCTCATTCCTTCGTCACCACTGGACTTTGGGTACCCTACGGGTGATGTTAAGGCTGGTCCCCAACAATTGTTATTTGTGGAAACTTTCCAGTACCCACGTATAGCCAGCAGCCCCTTTAAGGGAACATAACTCTCCCTGGCTGGCCAACAAATAGCCCGGAGCCAAGCAGTCATCAGCTGTCGAGTCTGCCAGGGAGCGTTGTCCTTCACGGAAAGCATCTAAAGCATTAGCTCTCTGCTGCGTGTGGTTAGAGTGTGCTGAACGTTTTCCGATGGCTTCATGGTTTGAGTTGACAGGATGACATCATGTGTGCCTAAGGCAGTGCCCGTGGTGGCCCAAAAAGTATGTGCAATGAGCAGAAAATTAGCACACTTGTCTCAAGAGGAGGTTTGGGAGTGGGTGTGAGATGGAGCAGGGACTCCCTCTTCACGGCCTGTGGATCTCCCAGGCATAGAAATAAAGAACAATCTTGCTTTTCTTCAAGGTAAATTTCAGTCACCTAGTTAGCCCCAAGAAGTAAATATGCAACTTGATAAGCAAGAAGGTAACGGTAGCCTAAAACAATAGCCAAGGAAGCTAGAAGCATCGGATGTGTAGTTCTCCTGTAGAAACTAAAGATGGTGGCCGGGCGCGGCGGCTCACGCCTGTAATCCCAGCGCTTTGGGAGGCTGAGGCGGGCGGATCACGAGGTCAGGAGATCGAGACCATCCTGGCTAACACGGTGAAACCCTGTCTCTATTAAAAACACACAAAAAATTAGCCGGGCATGGTGGCAGGCGCCTGTAGTCCCAGCTATTCGGGAGGCTAAGGCAGGAGAATGGCGTGAACCCTGGAGGCAGAACTTGCAGTGAGCCCAGATCGTGCCACTGCACTCCAGCCTGGGCAACAGAGCGTGACTCTGTCTCAAAAAAAAAAAAAAAAAAAAAAAGAAAGAAAAAGAAAAAGAAAGAAAGAAGCATGTGTTATGGGTTGTACTCTAAGGTGCCAGTAAGTCTGATGATCAGGACAAAGTAGGGGGCCCTAAAGGCTGGGGTCGAGCCTAAGTAAAGCTGCACACAGTGGAGAAGACCCGTTTAGAAGACCATGTGTGGTCTGTAATGTCAGCAAGGTTTGTTTGAGCCATCAGTTCTAGGAGGCCTCTAGCCCGAGAGTATAAGAGAGCAGAAAGTTGCTTTGAACGCCTTGTTCAAGAGCCCAGCGTTGGCCAGGCATGGTGGCTCATGCCTGTAATCCCAGCACTTTGGGAGGCTGAGACAGGTGGATCACGAGGTCAAGAGACCAAGACCATCCTGACCAACATGGTGAAACCCTGTCTCTACTAAAAATACAAAAATTAGCTGGGCGTAGTGGCGGGCACCTGTAGTCCCAGCTACTGGGGATGCTGAGGCAGGAGAACCGCTTGAACCCGGGAGGTAGGGGTTGCAGTGAGCTGAGATTGCACCACTACACTCCAGCCTGGTGACTAAGCGAGACTCCATCTCAAAAAATTAAAATAAAATAAATAAATAAATAAATAAATAAAAGAGCCCAGTGTTGTGTTGGAACAGGAATTAAAACAGATTAAAGAATGTGTAAGCAGAAACTCAGTTGTATGTAAGAAAACCCAATTCCCCCTGAGAACAAGAAAGAGCTGGAGTCTTTTAAAAATTAACTGCCTGTTTTTCTGTGGCTAGTGAGCCTTATCTCTCCTCCCTTCCCAGGCATTGTGAAGGCCCTGTTTCCCTAGTTGTGCAGCTGCAAGTTCACTAGACAGATAAACTCAAGTTGCAAAACATGTTTTGCCTTGAAAAGTAAGAAATGATGTAATGCACGTCTCAATTAATTGAATAACTCTCTTTGTCTCTCGCTTCTGTAATATGCTTCCCCCTGCACAGATCTCCCCCGGCCCCACAAAATGCTTCAAAGGTAACTTAACTCTTTGTTCAGGGCTCAGTCCTTTGGGTGTTAATCGGACTGGGCTGGTGCAGCTAAATAATAAATATCCTCCTGAACCCCATCGGTCTCTCTGATTCCTTATCAATCTCGCTACAGTGTCGTTTGAGAAAAGAACTGAGCACCTTGATCACTGTCAGTAGCATCTGTAACCCCAAGGGAAGGGCGGGTCTTGGTGAAACCCTGTATTGTGGCTCAGCAGGAGAACGTCTGGTGGGATTGGTAAGGAATATTTGCATTTAAGTGGCTTCCGTGATCACAGTATACGGAATAGCCTCTGCAAAGGTGGGCGGGGACCCTATAAAATCTATTTGCTCTCAGCCCTACCAACAGGCTTCCAGGGATTATGCCTCCTTGATTATATGTCATTTGCCTGTAGACTATTCATCTGCCTGCACATTGAGCGCTCAGCTGTGGTGTTTGAGTTTTCATAGGTACACAGATATTCGTGACCTTGATTTTTACTTGAGAAACTGTGAGGCAAAATATCCCCAGAGTGCTTTAACCTCAAAATATTGACCTAGGATACAGTTGTTGCCACAGTTTTTTTTAAGTGTGTTTTCGGTTTTTTTGTTTTGTTTTGTTTTCTATGTTTTTGTTGTTGTTGTTGTTTTTGAGACGGAGTTTCCCTCTTGTTGCCTAGGCTGAGTGCAGTGGGGCAATCTCAGCTCACTGCAACCTCCGCCTTCCAGGTTCAAGCGATTCTTCCCCCTTAGCCTCCGAGTAGCTGGGATTACAGGCACCCACCACCACACCCGGCTAATTTTTTGTATTTTTAGTAAAGACAGGGTTTCATCATGTTGGCCACACTGGTCTCAAACTCCTGACCTCAGGTGATCCACCCACCTTGGCCTCCCAAAGTGCTGTGATTACAGGCATGAGCCACCGCGCCCGGCTGGCTAGACCATTGCTAATGGCTCAAGAGTTCAGTTCTAGCAATTGTGCTGACCCTAGTTAGGGAATGGTAAAGCTTTCGTTGGTCACTCACTTGACCCCATGGGCCTCCCCAGGTGTCTACTGGTCAGGAGAGAGAGGGGACCTCCTCCAGTGTCATGGAATCTGACAACAGACTGAGGACAGAAGAAGCTGCTTTTTTCTACGGTGGATACCCCAAGGGCCCAGGTTTCCCTCTAAGTCAGTACCACTTTCATTTCAGGAAGGAGACCACCGTGGATGGGGGCTGCTGCCTGCAGGACCCGAGACCTGAAAACTGACCAATCAGGCAGCTGGGGTGGGGCCTAGAGAACTGACCAATCAGGGGAGTTGAGGTGGAGCATCCGGATGAGAACTGTCAATCAGGGGGGTTGGGGCAGAGCCTGGAGACCTGTCAAATCAAAGGAGCTGAGGCAGGGCGTGGAAACATGACCAATTAGGAAAGCTGGGGTGGGGCCTGAAGAACTGCCCAATCAGGGGAGCTCAGGGGATAGCAAGCTGACCAACCAGAAGAGGAGGGGCAGAGTCTAAAGAACTGTCCAATCAGGGGAGTTGGGATGTGACTGGTGAACTCTCCAATCAGAGATGAGCAGAGAAGAGAACCATCCAATCACAGCCCCAGGGGCGGGGCGTTGCTGTCCTCCCTGCAGAGCACACCCGGCCTGCCCTGAGTGACCACAGGTGTCCCCGTCGTGCTCACCTGCACCGGCTGCGAGGAGCAGGGAGCTCCTCAAAGAGCTCAGGAACGGACAGGACATGGTGAGTGCAGGGCAGGAGCCGAGCCGGAGCCGGAGCCCTGGGAGGGGAGGGTTGGAAGCGGCCAGAACACGCTGAAACTCCCGGGGGAGCCGCCCGGAACCCCCATGCAGCCTCTGTCCCTGTGTCACCCCCGGGTCCTGCGGGGAGTTTCCTCCCCTGCCCCAGTCTTCATTCCCTGGAAAGTCGTAGTTGTCAGGACGCTGGGATGGAGGGGAAAAAAAGGCAGAAATGACTCCTGCCCTGTGGGGTCTCGCGAAGTTAATTGGAAGAAAAACTAACCCAAAGTACAAAAAACAAAACAAAAAAAAAAAAAACCTCACCCCAGCGAGGCGGTGCAACAGCCCCAAAGCAGAATGCGCTTTGGATGCAGACTTTGGGCCCAGGCCCACGTCCCTGGGAGGGGCGAGGGGTGGACAGGTGGTGCGGGCGCTCCACGTGGCGGCACGGGCTGGCCTGACCCCAAAGGCCCGCAGGCCGGACTCCAGCCCAGCCGCCCCTGCCTGGGCCTCTCTCCTTCTAAAGATTGATTTGGTTACTTGAGCCTCAGATTTTTTCAGTCAATGGAACATACAGTAAATAATAGAGTTTGAAAGATAAAATATTTCCAAGGAGGTGAATTTCAGAAAAAAATAAAGTTCTCGTCTTACATTCCATTTGTTAAAAATTCTAGCGTGCCTTTTTTTTTTCTTTTTATTTTCTGTTCCTTTTTTGCCCGTGTGGTTAAGTTTCTCACATCTGTTGTTTTATTTTCGGTGATGACAAATGGGATTCCAGGGCTTAGCCCTTGACGGGGCTCCCGGGAAAAAGAATCGCAGAGAAAGAGAGAAAATCTCTCTTTTATTATGACACGCCCCGAAATGAATACATTCCTACAAGAAAAAAATGTTTGGTATATAATTTGGTGAATTACAAAAACTCGCTAAAATATCAGTTATTCTCCTTTTCCAGGATGGAGAATTTGTGATAGATGATAATTCTGTTCTTTTATTTTTTGTTTTTATTTTTTGAAACGGAGTCTTGCTCTGTCACCCAGGCTGGAGTGCAGTGGCGCGATCTCGGCTCACTGCAACCTCCGCCTCCTGAGTTCAAGCGATTGATTCTCCTGCCTCAGCCTCCCCAGCAGCTGGGACTACAGGTGTGTGCCACCACGTCCAGCTAATTTTTGTATTTTTAGTGGAGACAGGGTTTTACCATGTTGGCCAAGCTGGTCTCCAACTCCTGACCTCAGGTGATCCACCCGCCTTGGCCTCCCAGAATGCTTGGATTACAGGCAGCATGTGCCACCATGACTAGCTAATTTTTTTTTTTTTTTCAGATGGAGCCTCGCTCTGTCACCCAGGCTGGAGTGCAATGGCGCGATCTCTGCTTACTGCAACCTCCGCCTCCTGGGTTCAAGCGATTCTCCTACCTCAGCCTCCCGAATAGCTGGGATTACAGGCACGTGTGGCCACACCCAGCTAATTTTTGTATTTTTAGTAGAGACGGGGTTCCACCATGTTGGCCAGGCTGGTCTCGAACTCCTGACCTCAGCTGATCCACCCACCTCAGCCTCCCAAAGTGCTGGGATTACAGGCGTGAGCCACCACACCTGGCCCCTTTATCACTCTTTTATATTCACTCATAGGGATATATTGTTAGTGTTCATTAATTCCACTGCTTGCTAGTGACTATTCGGGTATTTTCAAATTTTTTCCATTGTGACCAGTGCCCCTAAAGACATTATTACATGTGTGTCCACTTGAATGCCTTATTCTCAGCTGCACTGCAGTATATCCTCATCCTCTCCCCAAGAGCCTGGTCCACATATTACCGCCTACATCTCAGTTGCTGGTAACTCCATTATTCCAGCTTTCCTGTGTGAAATAATTAGTCTTCCTTGATTCTTCCTGCTCTGTCTTGCCCCACCTTGAGCCCATGAGGAAATTTTATATCTCCTCTTTTTTTAAATTTTTTATTTTTTGAGACGGAGTCTTGCTCTGTCACCGACGCTGGAGTGCAGTGGCGCGATCTCAGCTCACTGCAAGCTCCGCCTCCCGGGTTCATGCCATTCTCCTGCCTCAGCCTCCTGGGTAGCTGGGACTACAGGTGCCCTCCACCACGCCTGGCTAATTTTTTTGTACTTTAGTGGAGACGGGGTTTCACCTTGTCAGCCAGGATGGTCTCAATCTCCTGACCTCATGATCCGCCCACCTCGGCCTCCCAAAGTGCTGGGATTAACAGGCGTGAGCCACCGCGCCCGGCCTAGATCTCCTCTTATGCTGCTCTTGCACAGGACTGCACTGTGACACCCAAGCTGACACGCCTACTTCTCATCTAGTGCGGCTTTCGCCTCCTAACTGGTGTCCCGGTGTCTGTATGTGTCCCCTATGATCTAGTCTCAGCTGTCAGATGAGATCACTGCTCTGTGCAAAGGCCTGGAGGAGTCACTCAGAGCCAAAGTCCTTACTGTGGCTGATGAGTTCCCCACAAAGTGATGTGCCTCACTTCCTGTCACTCGACCCCCCTTGGCTGTCACTCCCCATTCCCCTCTGTCCAGTCACACAGGCTCTGGCTGTGCCTGAAAGAGCCAAGACCCGCTCCTTCCATAGGGCCTAACCTCTGGCTGTTTCTCCCACCCAGAACAATTTTCTCCTTTCTATATTTTTTCATTGTATACTACATTCGCCATGATTAATTTAAATTGGATCACATCTGAAAGCTTCTCTTGTCGCTAATTTCAGGGAACAGATGACATTTTACTATTTTGGGTTGGGCCCCCATGCCTGTAATCCCAGCACTTTGGGAGGCCGAGGCAGGTGGATCAGTTGAGGTCAGGAGTTCGAGACCAGCCTGACCAACATGGTAAAACCCTGAGTCTACTAAAAAATAATAATAATAATAAAAATTAGCCAGGCATGGCGGCACACACCTGTAATCCCAGTTAGTTGGGAAGCAGGAGGATGGCTTGAGCCCAGGAGTTCAAGGCTGCGGCGAGTTCTCATTGCGCCATTGCACTCCAGCCTGCACAGCAGAGTGAGACCTTGTCTCTAAAAAATTTTCTGGCCAGGCACGATGGCTCACGCCTGTAATCCCAGCACTTTGGGAGGCCGAGGCAGGCAGATCACTTGAGGTCAGGAGTTTGAGACCAGCCTGGCTAACATGGTGAAACCTCATCTCTACTAAAAATACAAAAATCAGTTGGACGTGGTGGCACACGCCTGTAATCCCAGCTACTCGGGAGGCTGAGGCAGGAGAATCGCTTGAACTCTGAAGGTGGAGTTTGCAGTGAGCCGAGATCATGCCATTGCACTCCAGCCTGGGCGACAGAGTGAGACTCCATCTCAAAAAAAAAAAGGCCGGGCGCGATGGCTCACACCTGTAATCCCAGCACTTTGGGAGGCCGAGGCAGGTGGATCACAAGGTCAGGAGATCGAGACTATCCTGGCTAACACGGTGAAACCCTGTCTCTACTAAAAATACAAAAAATTAGCCAGGCATGGTGATGTGTGCCTGTAATCCCAGCTACTCGGGAGGCTGAGGCGGGAGGATCACTTGAACCTTGGAGGTGGAGGTTGCAGTGAGCCGAGATCGCACCATTGCACTCCAGCCTAGGTGACAGAGCGAGACTCTATCTCAAAAAAAAAAAAAAATTCTAAAGACTATGACACAGGATAAAGAATATATGAAAACACAGAGGTTGCAGTGAGCTGAGATCACGCCACTGCACTCCAGCCTGGGCGACAGAGTGAGATGCCGTCTCAAGAAAAAAAAAAGTATATGACATACACATATATACAGTTAAATGTTATTCAGTCATAATAAAGAAGGAAATCCTGCCATTGGTGACAGCACTGATGAACCTGGGGCACATTATGCTATGTGAGACAAACCAGGCATAGAAAGATGAATACCGGATGATCTTACTTACATGAAGAATCAAAAAGAACCAGATTCCTAGAGGAAGAGAGTAGAAGAGTGATTGCCTGCGGCTGAGGGACAGGGGAAGTGGGGAGAGATGTTGGTCAAAGTGAACCAACTTTCCATTGTAAGGTGAATAAATTCTCTACATCCAGTGTCCAAATGGTGACTGTATTTAAGGATACTGTAATGTATACTTGAAATACACTGGGCCTGGTGCGGTGGTTCACGCCTGTAATCCCAGCACTTTGGGAGGCTGAGGTGGGTGGATCACGAGGCCAGGGGTTCGAGACCAGCCTGACCAACATGGTGAAACCCCATCTCTACTAAAAATACAAAAATTAGTTGGGCATGTATAGGGACCAGCCCCACAGGGTCGGTGGGTTTCTCCCCATGTGCAGAGACAAGAGAGCGTAGAAATAAAGACACAAGACAAAGAGATAAAAGACAGCTGGGCCCGGGGGACCACAACCACCAAGTCGCAGAGACCGGTAGTGGCCCCGAATGCCAGGCTGCACTGATATTTATTGGATACAAGACAAACGGGCAGGATAAGGAGTGTGAGCCATCTCCAATGATAGGTAAGGATGCATGGGTCACATGTCCACTGGACAGGGGGCCCTTCCCTGCGTGGCAGCCGAGGCAGAGAGAGAGAGGAGACAGAGAGTGAGACAGCTTATGCCATTATTTCTGCTTATCAGAGACTTTTAGTACTTTCACTAATTTGCTACTGCTATCTAGAAGGCAGAGCCAGGTGTACAGGATGGAACATGAAAGCGGACTAGGAGCGTGACCACTGAAGCACAGTATCACAGGGAGGCGGTTAGGCCTCGGGATAACTGCGGGCGGGCCTGACTGATGTCAGGCCCTCCACAAGAGGTGGAGGAGTAGAGTCTTCTCTAAACTCCCCCGGGGGAAGGGAGACTCCCCTTTCCTGGTCTGCTAAGTAGCGGGTGTTTTTCCTTGACACTTACGCTACCGCTAGACCACGGTTCACTTGGCAACAGGCGTCTTCCCAGACGCTGGCGTTACCGCTAGACCAAGGAGCCCTCTGGTGGCCCTGTCTGGGCATAACAGAAGGCTCGCACTCTTGTCTTCTGGTCACTCCTCACTATGTCCCCTCAGCTCCTATCTCTGTATGGCCTGGTTTTTCCTAGGTTATGATTATAGAGCGAGGATTATTATAATATTGGAATAAAGAGTAAGTACTACTAACTGATGATTAATTATATTCATATATAATCATATCTAAGATCTATATCTGGTATAACTATTCTTACTTGATATTTTATTATACTGGAACAGCTCATGTCCTCGGTCTCTTGCCTCGGCACCTGGGTGGCTTGCTGCCCACAGGTGTGGTGGCGGGCACCTGTAATCCCAGCTACTCAGGAGGCTGAGGCAGGAGAATTGCTTGAACCCGGGAGGTGGAGGTTGCAATGAGCCGGGATCGCGCCACTGCACTCCAGTCTGGGTGACAGAGCGAGACTCCATCTCAAAAAAAAAAAAAAAAAAGAAATATACTAAAAGGCCGGGTGTGGTGGCTCACGCCTGTAATCCCAGCATTTTGGGAGGCCAAGACAGCTGGATTACTTGAGGTCAGGAGTTCAAGTGCAGCCTGGCCAACATGGTGAAACCCCATCTCTACTAAAAATATAAAAATTATCCAGGCATGTTGGTGTGCATCTGTAATCCCAGCTACTTGGGAGACTGAGGCAGGACAATCGCTTGAACCCAGGAGGCGCAGCTTGCAGTGAGCCGAGATCGCCCTACTGCACTCCAGCCTGGGGCGACAGAGCAAGACTCCGTCTCAAAAAAAAAAAAAATGAAATGTACTAAGAGTGTAAATCTTACTTGTTCTTACCATCAGATTTTTTAAAAAGGTAACTGGTAACAGATGTGTTAATTAACTTCATGGCAGTCATTTCCCAGTGTATATGTGTATCAAATCATCACCTACACCTTAAATGTATACAACTTTTATTTGTCAAAGACAAAAAAACCTACGACACAGGAAGTGATTACAGACAGAGGGGAAGAGGTCTGAGGACTGAGTCTTAAATAGATATTGGCAGACTGCAGGATCTTGTGTGAGTGTCCTATGAACTGAGTTCAGTTCCGCAGTGCTGTGAGTTTTACCCCATCCTCATGTACACATATGTGGTTTGTTTTAGGACACAGTGGTCTTTGAAGACGTGGTTGTGGATTTCACGCTGGAGGAGTGGGCCTTGCTGAATCCTGCTCAGAGAAAACTCTACAGAGATGTCATGCTGGAGACCTTCAAGCACCTGGCCTCAGTAGGTGAGGATAGCATTATTTCTGCACTTAGTTATTAGATAATAAATGTTTTGTCTGGTTGCAGTGGTTCATGCCTGTATTCCCAGTGCTTTAGGAGGCTAAGGCAGGAGGATCACTTGAGGCTAGGAGTTGACAACCAGCCTGGGCAACATAGTGAGACCTTGTCTCTACAAAAAAAAAATCAAAAATTAGCCCGGTGTGGTAGCATGCTCCTGTAGTCCTAGCTACTTGAGAGGCTGAGGCAGGAGAATCGCTTGAGACCAGGAGTTCAAGGCTACAGTGACCCATGATCACACCACTGTACTCCAGCCAGGGTGACAACTTGAGACCCTGTCTCAAATAAAAAAGAAAAAAGAGCCAGGCACGGTGGCTCACGCCTGTCATCTCAGCACTTTGGGAGGCCAAGGCGGGTGGATTGCCTGAGCTCAGGAGTTCGAGACCAGCCTGGGCAACACGGTGAAATGCCATCTCTACTAAAATACAAAAAATTAGCTGGGCATGGTGGTGCGTGCCTGTAATCCCAGCTACTCGGGAGGCTGAGGCAGGAGAATTGCTTGAACCCGGGAGGCAGAGGTTGCAGTGAGCCAAGATCATGCCACTGCACTCTAGCCTGGGCCATAGAGTGAGACTCCGTCTCAAAAAATAAATAAATAAATAAATAAATATTTCTTGCTCATTAAGCCTATTCTAAGATTTAGAATGCAGAAGGGGAATACATTGGTTAATAAGACAGTTATAATCATTGATGTCCTGGACCTAAAATTCAGTAGCTTCTCTGTGATAATAAAAATCTACCTATCAATCTGTACTTTTCTTTCTGCCTTGTTGAAAAGACTTAGGATCAGCCAGGCGCGGTGGCTCATGCCTGTAATACCAGCACTTTGGGAGGCCGAGGCGGGCGGATCACGAGGTCAGGAGTTTGATACCATCCTGGCTAACATAGTGAAACCCTGTCTCTACTAAAAATACAAAAAATTAGCCAGGTGTGGCGGAGGGCACCTTTAGTCCCAGCTACTTGGGAGGCTGAGGCAGCAGAATCCCTTGAACTCGGGAGGCAGTGGCTGCAGTGAGTCGAGATTGTATCACTGCACTCCAGCCTGGGTGACAGAGTAAGACTCTGTCTCAAAAAAAAAAAAAAAAAAGAAAGAAAGAAAGAAAGAAAAAGAAAAGACTTAGGGTCCTTTTGTGTTACCAGCGCAGGTATATACTGGCGGCACAGAGAGGTTAATTGTTTGAAACCTTGTGATGATTTTTCTGTGTATTTAAAATTGTCTACCATTTTGACTGCTTGTACTTTTTTTTTTTTTTTTTTGCTTCTCATTAGTTGAAATCCTTGAGAGGGACAGCATCACAGGGACTCTGTGTCCAGTGGTCTTAGCAGGAAGATTGCTTCAGAATTTGGCATGAATCATGCCACTGTTTCTGTGGGCCTGAATGCCCTTCCCTCAGATGATTCTGGTTTGGTTTGGTTTGCCACCAGGAGTTACTGTGTTGTTGTTTGCTTTGTATACATAAGCATGTCTCTTACCCAAATAGAATTCAGTTTCATCTTGAACATAAACACCTTCAATTATTACTATTATTATTATTTTGAGACAGAATCCTGCTCTGTCGCCCAGGCTGGAGTGCAGTGGCACGATCTCGGCTCACTGCAAGCTCTGTGTCTCAGGTTCACGCCATTCTCCTGCCTCAGCCTCCCGAGTAGCTGGGACTACAGGCGCCCGCCACCACGCCCGGCTAATTTTTTGTATTTTTAGTAGAGACAGGGTTTCACCATGTTAGCCAGGATGGTCTCCATCCCCTGACCTCGTGATCCGCCCGCCTCGGCCTCCCAAAGTGCCAGGATTACAGGCGTGAGCCACTGCGCCCGGCCAAACACCTTCAATTTTAAGAAGAACTGTGTGCTCCCTTTGGTTCTGGAGACCCTGCTTATAGGCAGCCAAAATGGCCTTGGACCACCACCTTCCAGACACATTTTCTTTTGGGAGTCGTGTTCCCTGCAGGCCTCCACAGGCTCCAAGATGGCAGAAGGAGAGCTCTTGTACTTCTTCATAATGAAGTCAGGCCGGGCACAGTGGCTCACACCTGTAATCCCAGCACTTTGGGAGGCCAAGGCAGGCGAATCACAAGGTCAGGAGATCAAGACCAGCCTGGCCAATATGGTGAAACCCCGTCTCTACTAAAAATAAAAAAAATTAGCTGGGCATGGTGGCACGCACCTGTAATCCCAGCTACTTGGGAGGCTGAGACAGGAGAATCGCTTGAACCCGGGAGGCAGAGTTTGCAGTGAGCCGAGATCGCGCCGCTGCACTCCAGCCTGGGCGACAGAGTGAGACTCCGTCTCAAAAATAAATAAATAAATAGATAAATAAAATAAAATCACATAATGAAGTCATGAAACAATTAAACACCTGAATTACTTCTTTCTTTGCAGATGCCTTCCTCATCATATTGGTTCACTTTTTTGTTTCAGATAATGAGGCTCAGCTTAAAGCCAGTGGGTCTATTTCTCAGCAGGATACTTCTGGAGAAAAATTATCCCTCAAACAGAAAATAGAAAAGTTCACAAGAAAGAATATATGGGCCTCCCTTTTAGGAAAAAATTGGGAAGAACATAGCGTTAAAGACAAGCACAACACCAAGGAGAGACATTTGAGGTGAGTTGTACTTAGAAGAAAAAGGCAGTATCGCCAGGCACGGTGGCTCATGCCTGTAATCCCAGCACTTCGGGAGGCCAAGGGAGGCGGATCACCTGGGGTGAGGAGTTTGTGACCAGCCTGACCCATATGGTGAAACCTTGTCTCTACTAAAAATACAAAAATGGGCGCGGTGGCTCACACCTGTAATCCCAGCACTTTGGGAGGCCGAGGGAGGCGGATCACCTGGGGTGAGGAGTTTGTGACCAGCCTGACCGACATGGTGAAACCCTGTCTCTACTAAAAATACAAAAATAGGCGTGGTGGCATGTGGCTGTAATCCTAGCTGCTCAGGAGGCTGAGACAGGAGAATTGCTTGAACCCAGGAGGCGGAGGTTGCAGCAAGCCAAGATCGTGCCACTGCACTCCAGCCTGGGCTGGGCAACAGAGTGAGACTCTATCTCAAAAAAAAAAAATGATAATTCTGTTAGAAACAATTATCAGAGAGCCCCACATATTACTATTGTTTTTGTAATGGACTGTGGTTGAACTATCTACCAGAGTATTTCGTTTATTCTAGTTTGAAATAATTTCAACAGTACAGGAAACTTACCCTTGTATAGAAAATGGCAAAAATGTTATCCTAATATTCATTAATATATATTAAGAAATAATTGGCCGGTGCAGTGGCTTATGCCTGTAATCCCAGCACTTTGAGAGGCCAAGGTAGGTGGGTCACCTGTGGTGAGGAGTTTGTGACCAGCCTGACCAATATGGTGAAACCCTGTCTCTACCAAAAATACAAAAATTAGCTGGGCGTGGTGCCATGTGACTGTAATCCCAGCTGCTCAGGAGGCTGAGACAGAATTGTTTGAACCTGGGAGGCAGAGGTTGCAGTGAGCCAAGATCATGCCACTGCACTCCAGCCTGGGGAACAAGAGCAAAACTCCATCTCAAGGAAAAAAAAAAAGAAATTATTAAGGCATAAACCATTAATAATGTGCTACCCATTTTTAGCAGAAATCCAAGGGTGGAGAGACCATGTAAAAGCAGTAAAGGTAATAAACGTGGAAGAACCTTCAGAAAGACTCGAAATTGTAATCGTCATCTGCGCAAGAATTGTTGTACTAGTGTAAGACGGTACGAATGCAGTCAGTGTGGAAAACTCTTCACCCATTCCTCATCCCTGATAAGGCACAAAAGAGCTCACTCTGGACAAAAATTATATAAATGTAAGGAATGTGGGAAAGCCTTCAGTCGCCCTTCCTACCTACAGACGCATGAGAAAACTCACAGTGGAGAGAAACCCTATGCCTGTCAATCTTGCGGGAAGACATTTCTTCGTTCCCACTCTCTCACTGAACATGTAAGGACTCACACTGGAGAGAAACCCTACGAATGTGGGCAGTGTGGGAAAGGCTTCAGTTGTCCCAAATCCTTTCGCGCACATGTGATGATGCACGCCGGAGGGAGACCGTATGAGTGCAAGCACTGTGGGAAAGCCTTCAGGTGTCAGAAATCCTTTCGAGTCCATATGATCATGCACGCCGGAGGGAGACCGTATGAGTGCAAGCAGTGTGGGAAAGCCTACTGCTGGGCAACATCCTTTCAACGACACGTGAGAATTCACAACGGGGAGAAACCCTATAAGTGTGGAAAATGCGGGAAAGCATTCGGTTGGCCCTCATCCTTACACAAACACGCGAGAACGCATGCTAAAAAGAAACCTGTGAGTGGGGGCAGCGTGGGAAAGTCTTCCGCGAGGCCTCGCCCCTCCACAGATGTCAAATCACAAACTAGAGAGAAAGTCTATAAATGTGAAACGTGTGGGAAAACGTATGGTTGGTCCTCATCTTTACACAAACATGAGAGAAAGCACACTGGGGAGAAACCTGTAAATGCAGCCAGTGTGGGAAAACCTTCAGGCGGGCTTTGCTCTTCCAAAAATGTAAGAACGCAGATTGGACAGAAGCCCAGTAAATGCGAAAAATGTGGGAAAGCTTTCAGTTGTCCCAAAGCCTTTCAAGGTCATGTGAGAAGTCACACAGGAAAGAAATCCTGTACATCTAAGTAATGGGGGAAAACCTGTGCAAATTAATTCACATACATGGTTCAGAAAATTCACAGCAGGAGGGCCGGGCGCAGTGGCTCACGCCTGTAATCCCAGCACTTTGGGAGGCCGAGGCAGGCGGATCACGAGGTCAGGAGATCAAGACCATCCTGGCTATGGTGAAACCCCGTCTCTACTAAAAAAAAAAAAAATACAAAAAATTAGCCGGGCGTGGTGGCGGGCACCTGTAGTCCCAGCTGCTCAGGAGGCTGAGGCAGGAGAACGGCGTGAACCCGGGAGGCGGAGCTTGCAGTGAGCCGAGATGGCACCACTGCACTCCAGCCTGGGTGACAGAGCGAGACTCCATCTCCAAAAAAAGAAAATTCATGGCAGGAGAAGAATCTCATGACGTTTATAAATATGGTATTGCCTTTATCAGGACCACATCCTAAAAGTGGGCCTCTAGCAAATGAATTTGCAGTTCTCTTGCAGGTAAAGTTGAGGGGAGAATCCTGTAAGTCCTCTCTCACCTATAGTACTGAAATTTTGATACATAATGGTTTTTTCTTATAAATTACTAATGTTTCTCTTTTCATTTAGAAGTGTATTGCACCCATGGGTGATCTGATGTATTTTAATATGCATTAACTTTAATTTTTATATATTTTTTTTGTTACTCCGTGTGAGGCCATTAGACCAATGAAATATGGGTGTTTGTTGACATTTTCTGACTGGCCCTGTGTGTTCCAAGCTGGATATTACTACCATGTTACTTTTATTCCACCTTTCCATTTTACAGGGAAAAACTATTTTTAATGTTAATACTTTCTACTTATACAGGCAAGTAATTCAGTGGCTTTATGCTATTGGTCAGAGAATCCTTCTTCATTTTGCTTGTGGACTAATAGGTAGTTGGTAGAAATACGTATGCATGCAAATTCTTGGAGGAGTGTAGTCTCGTGGGAACTATTTTTTTCATCTGTTGCTGTTTGCTCTTTGACCTGGCTTCTGGGTTGGAATTGGAAAATAGGTTTTTTTGGGTTTTTTTTCTTTTTCTTTTTTGAGACAGAGTCCTGTTATGTTGCCCAAGCTGGAGTGCAACGGCACGATCTCGGCTCACTGCAACTTCCGCCTCCCGGTTTCAAGCGATTCTCCTGCCTCAGCCTCCCAAGTAGCTGGGACTATAGGCATGCACCACCATGTCCAGCTAATTTTTGTATTTTTAGTAGAGACGGGGTTTCACCATGTTGGCCAGGGTGGTCTCAAACTCCTGAAATCTGCCCGCCTTGGCCTCCCAAAGTGCTGGGATTACAGGTGTGAGCCACTATGCCTGGCCATATTATCATTATCTTAATACCTCATTGTCTCAGTATTTCTTGTGCTTCTGTGTTCCTGCTTCCATGACAGATACAATGGTACAACCATAAAAACACAGGGGATTGCGGCTGGGCGCGGTGACTCACGCCTGTAATCCCAGCACTTTGGGAGGCTGAGGTGGGCGGATCACGAGGTCAGGAAATCGAGACCATCCTGGCTATCATGGTGAAACCCCGTCTCTACTAAAAATACAAAAAATTAGCCAGGTGTGGTGGCGGGCGCCTGTAGTCCCAGCTACTCGGGAGGCTGAGGCAGGAGGATGGCGTGAACCTGGGAGGCGAAGCTTGCAGTGAGCTGGAATCGTGCCACTGTACTCCAGCCTGGGCGAAAGAGCGAGACTCTGTCTCAAAAATAAATAAATAAAGAATAATTTTTTAAAAAAGCACAGGGGATTGTTTCCCTACTGCATCTACTGTGACCTAGTATTCTTCGTGAGATAAATCTTACCTTTCATGAGAAAATGAAAGACAATACTGGCTTATCAGGTAAACTCTGGAAATTTCCTGTCACATAGAGCTGAATACAATCTCTCAGTATGTGTTCAGTTATTATGTTTGATTATGTATTATTAAAACAAAAGTTTCTGTTTCTGAGAAATATCTATTTACTGTGTTTGTGTTTTTAAAGAAGTTGGATTCTATACAAATGGATAAAATGTTTCTTAGAAATAGCCTATTTAACTGAGTTTTTCAAATAAGTTGTATACTAACAAATGTCAATCTCTGTTTTTTATTTACTGGGAGAATGTATTAAAATATTGAAAATTGCCAAATCAACATGGTGACTTTAAAAATGATACTTCTGGGCCAGGCACAGTGGCTCACGCCTGTAATCCCAGCACTTTGGGGAGGCCAAGGCGGGCAGATCATGAGGTCAAGAGATCGAGACCATCCTGGCTAACACGGTGAAACCCCATCTCTACTAAAAATACAAAATATTAGTGGGGTGTGCTGGTAGGTGCCTGTAGTCCCAGCTACTCGGGAGGCTGAGGAAGGAGAATGGCTTGAACCTGGGAGGCGGAGCTTGCCAAGATTGCGACACTGCACTCCAGCCTGGGTGACAGAGCGAGACTCCGTCTCAAAAAAAAGAATTATACTTCTGAATTAATATTACCAGATGCATTCAGATTTAGACATTTTCTTTCTAGTACATTTGTTTCCTATACTGTTATAATTTTGTCTAAGAAATTCTTTTTTTTTTTTTTGAGACAGATTCTCGCTCTGTTACCCAGGCTGGAGTGCAGTGCCGTGATCTTGGCTCACTGCAACCCCCCCGCCAAGGTTCAAGTGATTCTCCTACCTCAGCCTCCTGAAGAGCTGGGATTACAGGCACCCGCCACCACACCCGGCTAATTTTTGTATTTTTAGTAGAGACGGGGTTTCACTATGCTGGCCAGGCTGGTCTCGATCTCCTGACCTTGTGATCTGCCCACCTCGGCCTCCCAAAGTGCTGGGGTTACAGGCGTGAGCCACCGCGCCCAGCCTAATAAATTCTTGTTTATTCATAATGACAAAAACTTACGTAACGGTTTTATAAATTTAAGTATTAAATAAGTCTAGCAAAAGACATAAAAAGATAACTAATAAAACAAGTTTAAACTTTATTGGAGCCCAGTAGCAATGGCTCACGCCTGTAATCCCAGGACCCACCGAGGCGGGTGGATCACCTGATGTGAGGAGTTCGAGACCACGCTGGCCAACATGGTGAACATGGTGAAACCTTGTCTCTACTAAAAATACAAAAAATTGGCCAGGCGTGGTGGCAGGCGCCTGTAATCCCAGCTACTTGGGAGGCTGAGGCAGGAGAATCGCTTGAACCCGGGAGGCAGAGGTTGCAGTGAGCCAAGATTGCGCCACTGCACTCCAGCCTGGGCGACAAGAGTAAGACTCCATCTCAAAAAAAAAAAAATTTTTTTTTTGGATAATATCAAGGCAGAATAAAGTATAGTATCAAACTTGACAAGGTAGATAATAGGGAATGCAGAATAAAGGATCGGGCTTCAGTAAGTGACAATCTCATCATGAATTCATTTATAGTTCCACCATGTAATATGTCTTAAATACTATTTCTTTTTTTTTAATACTATTTCAAGAACTGCTCATGAGTTAGGAAATAGTGAGCAGTAATACAGAAATAACGGCAGGACCAGGGGCAGTGGCTCACACTTGTAATTCCAAAGCTTCGGGAGGCTGAGGCAGGAGGATCACTTGAGCACAGGAGTTCAAGGCCAGTCTGGGCACATAGTGAGACACAGTCTCTATAAAAAGAAATTTTTAAAAGTATCTAGGCATGGTGATGTGCACTTGTAGAGCCAGCTACTCAGGAGGCTGAGGGTGGAGGATGGCTTGAGACCAAGAGGTCCAGGCTGCAATGAGTTATCTTGCCACTGTACTCCAGCCAGGGTGACAGAATGAGACCGTGTGTCAAATTAAAAAGAAAAAAAGAAACAATAATTATTTCCCTGGCCGGGCGCGGTGGCTCACGCCTGTAATCCCAGCACTTTGGGAGGCTGAGGCGGGTGGATCACGAGGTCAGGAGATCAAGACCATCCTGGCTAACCCGGTGAAACCCTGTCTCTAGTAAAAAATACAAAAAATTAGCTGGGCGTGGTGGCAGGTGCCTGTAGTCCCAGCTACTCGGGAGGCTGAGGCAGGAGAATGGCGTGAACCCAGGAGGCGGAACTTGCAGTGAGCAGAGATCGAACCACTACACTCCAGCCTGGGCGACTGAGTGGGACTCTGTCTCAAAAAAAAAAAGAGACAAAAGGTATATTTATGGTTCAGCCTCATTTCTGCAAATATTAAAAATTTTAGGGCATGATGTATACATTTTATATATATATATATATAGTGTGTGTGTGTGTGTGTGTGTGTGTGTGTGTGTGAATGTGTGTGACGGAGTTTTGCTCTGTTGCCAGGCTGGAGTGCAGTGGTGCGATCTCAGCTCACTGCAACCTCCACCTCCCAGGTTCAAGCGATTCTCCTGCCTCACCCTCCCAAGTGGCTGGGAATACAGGCGTGCCCCGCCACGCCCAGCTAATTTTTTGTATTTTTAGTACAGGTGGGGTTTCACCTTGTTGGCCAGGATGGTCTCGATCTCTTCACCTCGTGATCTGCCCGCCTTGGCCTCCCGCAGAGCTGGGATTACAGGCGTGAGCCACCGCACCAGGCCCATGTCATATGTTTTTATGAGTTTGGACATTGGCATCTGGGACCAGGTACTTCATCTGGATTTGAACCACAATGTGGGTGTTTGTTTTTAATACCTTTGTGAAATAATTTTAAATTGCCTTATATATTTGGCATTGTCACTTTGCTGCCCCTACACACTGATGGAAAAATTGTGTTCTGCAGAAAACTAGAGTTCCTCACAGGGTGAGGAAGAGTTATGGTCATCTGCACAGTTGTAGCCCGTTGCGAGTGTTTTCCCATGTGCACAGTGATATCTAGGCAAGTGTGCCATGATTTCCTGGTGAGGATAAAATCTATGGACGGTGAGAGAACTAGTCAAGGAATAACTGAAGTGAGCTGCAGACAGGATTATCATTTTGAGTAACATCCCAATGTATTTGTCATCCTTTAATTAATTTTTATTTTTTTAATTAAAAAATAATTTTTAAGTGTAAACCTTTAATGATCCACAAAGCCCAAAATGTCCATTTGATTTTCATAGGTATCGTTTCCATATGCTTAGACTTCCAGCAGCTATTAGAAGAGAAAAATATGTAACAGCTTTGTGTTTAATTAAAGGCAAATGAAATCCAGTCTGTGTCCATTTTCAATGTTAATAGTCTTGATAGCGGGCCGGGCGCAGTGGCTCACGCCTGTAATCCCAGCACTTTGGGAGGCTGAGGTGGGCAGATCACCGGAGGTCGGGAGTTCGAGACCAGCCTGACCAACATGGAGAAACGCTGTCTCTACTAAAAATACAAAAATTAGCTGGGCATGGTGGTGCGTGCCTGTAATCCCAGCTACTTGGGAGGTTGAGGCAGGAGAATTGCTTGAACCCGGGAGGCGGAGGTTGCAGCGAGCCGAGATGGCGTCACTGCACTCCAGCCTGGGCAACAAAAGCGAAACTCCACCTCAAAAAAAAAATAGTCTTGATAGCACTGCAAAGACTTCGTGTCATTTCACAATCACAGTTAGCTTATTTGATCACTCCTTCCCTACATTCCTCTCATTGTACAAATTGGTACCAGATGGAAAGTGCTGACTGTGAGATGTCCAGGTTCTTGACGCATTGAACAAAGAATTGAACAAAACACACAAAGCAATGACAGCGCAGATTTATTTAAATGAAAGTACACTCCACGGAGCGGGAGCCGGCCCTAGCGGGCAGCTCAAGAGCCCTGATTGCAATGTTCTTTAGGGTTTTTATAAGGCTACAAGAATTTTGTAACACCCCTAGGTGCCCTTTAGAGAACTCCAATTGGTTACCCCCTATGAAGGATTCGCCTGCAACCAATCAGAGGCTGAAGTGAAGACTTGGCCATGGCCAATCAGAGGCTGAGGTGGAGACTTGGCCCTGTCAAATCAGAGTCTGAAGTGGAGACTTCTATCTTGTTATCACAGCAGTGAGGATGTGGCCTGTTTCTGCCTAATCTTGCCTAGAAGTGGCTGCACCTGCTGTTCCTTTGCTTATGCCTTAACTGGTTATCCTAATTCCCTATTCTCCTGCCTCAAAATGACAAGTTAATCACAAGCAGCAGACTCATGGTTAACCTTACATATCCCAAAATAGTAATGGAATGTCTCCATAGTGAAAGCCTGATGTGTCTTACCACCTGTATTGGGCACTGTTCGAATTTTTATATTTCAAGACAAGTCATCTTCTTCTGGATAAAAAATAAAATTACACAGTTTGCCAAGTATGGCATTAGGTGTTTTGTTGTTGTTGTTGTTTGTTTGTTTTGAGATGGAGTTTTGCTCTTGTTGCCCAGGCTGGGGTGCAATGGCGTGATCTCAGCTCACTGCAACCTCCAACTCCCAGGTTCAAGTGATTCTCCTGCCTCAGCCTCCCAAGTAGCTGGGGTTACAGGCGCATGCCACCACACCCAGCTAATTTTGTATTTTTAGTACAGACAGGGTTTCACCATGTAGGCCAGGCTGGTCTCGAACTCCTGACCTCAGGTGATCCACCCACCTCGGCCTCCGAAAATGTTGGGATTACAGGCGTGAGCCACCGTGCCCGGCCAGCGTTAGTTTTTAACCAGAGTATTCAAAAGCATCCATTTATATGACATTCTGGATAGAGCAAGAGTATAGGAATTTAGAACCAGATGAGGCATTAAGGGTCACAGGACAGTTTGTCTCCAAAAGGGCAGAAGGAGGCTTTTAGGGGTGACAGAGTGTTTTGTATCTTGATTATGGTGGTACAAGTATGCATTTGTGAAAACCCAGCTCCATTTAAATTGTAAAGTTTACTAATTTTAAATAACGGAAAACAAAATAAGCAAAGTCTCATTGATGAACTAAGAAAAAATTAAAACTCATCCAATCTTTGATGTTTAGTTTGCAACAATAGTAGTTTCCACTTCTCAAAGACTCGTGACCCATCAAGACTTTTTTGGAACCCATTATAAAGTTAGGAAGCACTTGCCAGGGTCATAGCTGCCCTCACCGCAGCCACTTAACCTGAGGGAAGCCACAGGGCACCAGCAATGCCCCTCTAAGTTCACACCAAGTTCCTGGGGTCAGAACTCTGAGAATGCTGTGGTTTGGAACCTAAAAGGAATTCTACAGAGTTCCAAAGGGGATCCTTGGGTGGAGGGAAGGAGTGTCTTATCCTTGGGCATTTGAATCACGTCTTCCAAGGTTCTATCCTGAGGCCATTTGCAGCTCAGTTCTAGCTCCCTGACATATCAGGGTCAAACCCAGTTTTGTTTTTGTTTTGAGACGGAGTTTTGCTCTTGTTGCCCAGGCTGGAGTGAAATGGCGCGATCTCAGCTCACTGCAACCTCCGCCTCCCGGATTCAAGCGATTCTCCTGCCTCAGCCTCCCGGGTAGCTGGGATTACAGGCATGCACGACCCTGCCCGGCTAATTCTGTATTTTTAGTAGAGACTGGGTTTCTCCATGTTGGTCAGGCTGGTCTCGAACTCCTGACCTCAGGTGATTCGCCCGCCTGGGCCTGCAAGTTGAACCTGCATATCTTTGGAGATCTGGAACACACGCTAAGTTCAGAACCAGAACCGGAAGTGCTGAGGAGCTTTCCTTCTAGTCCCGCCCCTCACGCTGTCGCTTACGCTTCCAGTTAGCAACTTGGTCGTGGAAAACACCTGCCTGTGGCCAAGAGACGTGAAGTTAGAGCTTCAGAAGCGTCCAGGCCGGGCACAGTGGCTCACGCCTGTAATCCCACCACTTTGGGAGGACAAGGCGGGCGGATCACTTGAGGTCAGGACTTAGAGGCCAGCCTGGCCAACATGGCGAATTCCTGTCTCTGCTAAAAGTACAAAAATTAGCCGGGCGTGGTGACGCATGCCTGTAGTCCCATGTACTCGGGAGGCTAATGCAGGAGAATCGCTTGAACCCGGGAGGCGGAGCTTGCAGTGAGCCGAGATCGCGCCACTGCACTCCAGCCTGGGCGACAGAGCAAGACTCCATCTCAAAAAAAAAAAAAAAATATATATATATATATATATATATGAATAAAGTAATCTCACATTTGAATGAAGAATCATGAATCCTAATGGGACAATAGGGTGCCCAACTGTTCATATATTTATAAAGGAGTGGGACTTATTCCAGGAACTTAAATGTTTCCATATTGGAAAATCCAAATACGTTCATATAATTCACCAAGGAGATGAGAAATATCCTCAGGGAGGTAAGGGTGTATTTGTACATAAGTAAATTTCTATTTCTGTTTAGAAATACTTGTTTAGATCGCTTCTCGGCCTTTTGGGTAAGATCAAGCGTAAAAATACTTGTTTAGGAAAATAATTCCTTAAAGTGATTAAAAATACAACTATCTCAAAATTAGAGCCAAATTCAAAGACTTCATACATTAGTAGGGTCACCTGGTGTGGATGGAAGGACATGTCACATAATGCCAGTGTTCTGACTTTCTATGGCTGCATAATGCCGCCCCCAAAATTATTTATTTATTTTTTATTTTTTGAGACGGAGGTTTGCTCTTATTGTCCAGGCTGGAGTGCAATGGTGCGATCTCGGCTCACCGCAACCTCTGCCTCCCGGGTTCAAGCGATTCTCCCGCCTCAGCCTCCCGAGTAGCTGGGATTAGAGATATGTGCCACCACGCCTGGCTAATTTTGTATTTTTAGGAGAGACGCGGTTTCTCCAGGTTGGTCAGGCTGGTCTCAAACTCCTGACCTCAGGTGATCCGCCCTTCTCGGTCTCCCAAAGTGCTGGGATTACAGGTGTGAGCCACCGCGCCTGCCCCCGCCCCCCTAAAATTTAGATCACAACAACCACATTTATTTTGCTGAGGAACCTGATATTTATCCAGGACTGGGCAGAGGCAGCTCATCTTTGCCATTCTCCAGTTCCACACGGGCACAAATTGGGGTGGTTTTTTCGCATTCGTTTTTATAGGGCCTTTCACGATGTCTTTTTATCTCGGGAACCATGGGGAACTTTACGGCAAGTAACAATGTTCACACATAAAACAGGACGGTGTCATTTTTCTCTTTTTGTGCACACAAGTGTCAATTTTTACTGCACCATCAGTAAGTCTAGATTTAATCCAATATGAAAGAAAGTCAAACCCATCACAAAAGAGCAAGGTTATTCTGGCTTGAGCTCTAAAATGCACAAGTCATTGTCCTCTGCAGTCTTGTAAATAGCCTGACATCAGTTGTTTTAAGGTTTTAAGTAGTCTGCGTTTTCATTAGTTATCACTAGATGGTAGCAGAGAGCATCGGTCAGAATTAATAAAAGAGGGTTAAACCAGCTCAAGCAAGCGAAGCCAATGGCTGTAGTATTTAGGAAGCTGCTCAGACCAAGGCTATGGCTGAAGCAGCCCACCCATTCTACACACACGTGGGGCCCAGGAACCTTTGTAAAGTCCTCTACTGTTGGACCTTGTGTCTTGCCAAGTGGCTGTCAGTGTAGGCTGGCATTTAGTGCTGCGTGGCCTTATTGATGGTTACAACCATTTTTTCTGCTTTGGTACCACCCGCCATCTACCGGAACTCTTCAGTACATCTCCACGTGGATCTGAGCTGAGCTTCTCCCGCTTTCTCTGAGAGCATTTCCAGCCAATATGTGTCTGCTTGGTCATGTCCTTGCCTCTGCCCCTTAGCCAGGAACTTTACACAAACATAAAATGTATCTATACCTCTACATCATGCCATAAATGAAAATTGTTTCCAGATTTATCACCGAAGATAAATGTGAAAACATAAGAGATCATGAATTGGAATAAGCAAACATTTCTGAAAACACAAAAACACCATAAAATAGAATGAACAGATATTAGAAGCTACAAAACAAAAGGCACCATAGCAGAGTGAAAAGAGAGTTTATAGAATGGAAGAAGAAACGTGCGATACACAGATCTGGCAAAGGGCTTGCATACAGAGTCTAAACGCTCCTATAAATTACTAAGAAGGCAGGCAGCACAATAGAGAAGTAAAATTACAGATTTGATTAATCATTCACAAAGGAAGCTTGTCCAAGTGGCTAATATTTAAATGATAATTCAGTTTTTTCTTAAGGGAAATGCAAATTAGAGCGAAAATGACATACTACTACTCCCTACCATACTGACTGAAAGCCCAAAACATCCAGGAAAATGCTATTGCTGAATATGTGCAACAGAAATGCTAAGTTGTGGCTGGCACAGTGGCTCACGCCTGTAGTCCCAGCATTTTGGGAGGCTGAGGCGGGAGGATCGCTTGCGCCCAGGAGTTCAAGACCAGCCTGGGCAACACAGTGAGACCACCCCCCCCATCTCTAAAAAGAAAAAATAAATAAAAATTAAAAAAATGCTAAGTTGCTACAACGTCTTTGGAAAACTGTGCCTTTTGCATGGCTCGGTATGTTTAGATACACAAATCCTTATTGTGGTGGAGCCCCTTCCTTCCGAGCTTTCCGGAAAACCAACGACACAACTCCCCAAACAGGAAGCACAACCCGCTTGCACCTGTGCACCATGCTCGGTTGGAGCTCCCAGCTGCCTCCAGGGCACAGCGGCTTTGGAGGAGGGGCCGCGTTGCATGCTGGGAGCAATCTGAGGGGCGGGACCCTAGCGTTTAAGGGCTGTCCTTTTTTGAACCACATTTCCAAAGCGCTCGGGTTCCCCGAGTGGTGCCCCAAGCAGTGGACGAGCAAGGTGCCCGAGAAGGAGGGGACCACAGACACCGCCTGGTGTCCACGGACTACCAGGAAGCCAGGGGGCGGTGGCCTCCGTGGGGAATGCGCATGTGCGGTCCCGAGCCTCAGGCTAGCGTTCGGGACTAGAGTGGGGCGTCGCCGCCGCATGTTGCACCTGTCGGCAGCGCGGCCTCTCCCGGATGTGACGTAGCGTGACGCCTGCAGGATTGATGCTGAAATGACGAGGTGGCAGCGCCGGTTCCTGTAGCTGAGGGGTGTGAGTTCGAGGTCTGATTGTCCTCGTTTTCTACTTCCGGTCACCTCACTGCCACATGGCAGGCCTCCAGGGGAATACGCTTAAGATGAGACACCTGCGCATCTCTCTTTTTTTTTTTTTTTTTTTTTGAGACGGAGTCTCGCTCTGTCACCCAGGCTGGAGTGCGGTGGCGCAATCTCGGCTCACTGCAAGCTCCGCCTCCTGGGTTCACGCCATTCTCCTGCCTCAGCCTCCCGAGTAGCTGGGACCACAGGCGCCCGCCACCACGCCCCGCTAATTTTTTGTATTTTTAGTAGAGACGGGGTTTCATCGTGTTAACCAGGATGGTCTCCATCTCCTGACCTTGTGATCTGCCTGCCTCGGCCTCCCAAAGTGCTGGGGTTACAGGCATGAGCCACCGCGCCTGGCCTCTTTTTTTTTTTTTCTTTTGAGACAGAGTTTCGCTCTGTCACCCAGGCTGGAGTGCCGTGGCCTCATCTTGGCTCCCTGCAACTTCCACCTCTCAGGTTCAAGCCATTCTCCTGCCTCAGCCTCCCGAGCAGCTGGGACTACAGACGCGCACCACCACGCCCAGCTAATTTTTGTATTTTTAGTAGAGACGGGGTTTCACCATGTTGGCCAGGCTGGTCTCGAACTCCTGACCTCAGGTGATCCACCCACCGCGGCCTGCCAAAGTGCTGGGATTACAGGCGCGAGCCAGCACACCCGGTCACACCTTTGCATCTCTAGGCAAGATTCGTAGTCAGAAGACACAAAACCAGACTTGGAATTCCTGATTTAGGGTTGAAATGGCCTCAAGCCTGGGAATACGTGCAGATACCTAAGGACTGGAATTCCGCCCAGGATGACCCTCAAAGGGAAGTTCACGTTTCAGACCTACGGTGTGTGCAGAGCTCAGGCCCCAGGAACTTGGGGACAGAGGTGCCTTCTCGCTTCTCTCTGAATCTGTGTCTGAGGTGAGAGAGGCATGGCCCTGGTGGCCTTTCTTAATTTCAGGTTGGGTTCCAAGAAAGCAATGACGGCTCGCGATTTCTTCTTTCTCACGCCATTCTCTGTTCGGTTGCCAAGGAAGTGGAAAAAAATTGGTTTTGCTTATCTAAAAAGGTTCAGGTGAGTTTATTTTTATTATTTATTTATATGTATTTATTTTTTGAGATGGAGCCTCGCTCTGTCGCCCAGGCTGGAGTGCAATGGTGCAACCTCTCTGCAACCTCCGCCTCGCGGGTTCAAGCGATTCTCCTGCTTCAGCCTCCTGAGTAGCTGGGATTACAGGCATTCGCAACCACGCCCAGTTAATTTTTGCATTTTTAGTAGAGACGGGTTTCACCGTGTTGACCAGGCTGGTCTTGAACTCCTGACCTCATGTGATCCACCTGTCTCCGCCTCCCAAAGTGCTGGGATGACAGGCGTGAGCCACCATACCTGGCCGACTTGCTGTTTAATTCAGCAAAAAGGTGTTGTATTTCTGCTTTGCTGTGACATGTATCGGAAAATTGAGCATATGGAAATAATGAGTGTGAAGAGCAGCATGTGCTCCTGTTTGGGCATTATGCCTCATTAGAAAAAAATCTGGCCTTTCCGGAGGTTGCAGTGAGCCGAGATTGTGCCACTGCACTCCAGCCTGGGTGACAGGGTGAGACTCAGTCTCAAAAACAAAACAAAACAAAAACTACCATCTCCTATAAAAGGGCATTAAAATTTTCCAAAATTTGGGATTTTGAACACCGTCCCAATTTAGTATCAAAGTATTTTTGAGAATGCCAAATATCCTTTGATACTAAATTGGGACGCTGTTCAAAATGACACAGTGTCTGCAGCTCACCTTCATTATTCCTAGACTCTCCCTTACCATCCACAGCTCTTCTTGCATCTACCGGATCACCAAGAACTTGCACAGCTATCATTCTGCTTGTAGGAAAGGGCACATGCTGGATTAAAACCGTGCAGATGACCACATCCTTTTACAAACCAGGGGCAACTCTGTGGCTTCCTAGGCTACAGATTCTCTCAGACTACACTAGCAGCAAATTGAGAAGGCCACCTCTTTAATACAATTTACAATTCATTCAAAAGGACTCTATAAACAGCCACACTTGATGGCCCGAATAACTGGTGAGACTCTGGTGACCTTTTCACTTCATAGGTACATATCATATTACCTAAAGCTTTTGAGCATTGCAAAAATAAAGATGGACCGGCCAGGCATGGTGGCTCACGCCTGTAATCCCAGCACTTTGGGAGGCCGTGGCAGGCAGATCACGAGGTCAGGAGATCGAGACCATCCTAGCTAACACGGTGAAACCCCATCTCTATTAAAAATACAAAAAATTAGCCGGGTGTGGTGGCGGGCACCTGTAATCCCAGCTACTCAAGAGGCTGAGCCAGGAGAATCACTTGAACCTGGGAGGCGGAGGTTGCAGTGAGCCACGATTGCGCCATTGTACTCCAGTCTGGGCAACAGAGCAAGACTTCATCTCAAAAAATCAATCAATAAATAAAGATGGACCATGAGAGTTTTATTTTGTAGGAAATTATTACTCTGTTAACTCCATGAATGCAGGACTGGGTATCACTCCACACTATTTACAAACACCCTGAGCAGTCCCTGTGATAGTGTTTACTTAACACATACTGAGTGATGGAAATATAAATTAATAAATACATCCTCATTCTCCAATGCCCCACCATCCATAGAAAAAATGCAAAATACGTCCCTCTGTTTTCCCGATTATCTCCCTTGTGGATTATTTTCTTCCAAGACCCATTTTTTTTTTTTTTTCGGACGAAATCTTGGTCTGTCGCCAGGCTGGAGTGCAGTGGCAGGATCTCGGCTGACGGCAACCTCCACTTCCCGGGTTCAAGTGATTCTCCTGCCTCAGCCTCCCCAGTAGCTGGGATTACAGGTGCCTGCCACCAGGCCCGGCTAATTTTTGTATTTTTAGTAGAGACGGGGTTTCACCATGTTGGCCAGGCTGATCTCGATCTCTTGACCTCATGAACCGCCCACCTCAGTCCCCCAAAGTGCTGGGATTACAGGCGTGAGCCACCGCGCCTGGTCCCCAAGACCCGTATTTTTTATATCAAGTCTCTACTTGTTACATTAAAATCTTTACTTTTTAAAAAAAATCTCTTTTCCCAGAAAAATACACGCCCTCGAACTGCGAGGACTTATTCTATATTGAGAGCCTGCTGTGTCTTGATTACTTTTCAGCCTAATTTTTTGTTTTGAGCTTACAATGCCTGGTATATAAGAGAGGCTCAAAAAGTAGGATCAGGTTAAAATCATGGTCTTTGGGCTAGAAGGAATTTTTCTTTTCTTTTCTTTTCTTTTTCTTTTTCTTTTTTCTTTTCTTTTTTTTTTTTTTTTGAGACAGAGTCTTTCTCTGTTGCCCAGGCTGGAGTGCAGTAGCACAAACTCGGCTCACTCCCGGGCTCAAGTGACTTTCCTGCCTCAGCCTCCCAAGTAGCTGGAACTACAGGCACATGCCACTGCACATGGCTAATTTTTGTATTTTTTATAGAGATGGGGTTTCTCCATGTTACCCAGGCTGGACTTGAGCTGCTGAGCTCAAGTGATCCGCCCACCTCAGCCTCCCAAAGTGCTGGGATTACAGGCGTGAGCTACTATACCCAGCCTACGAAGACTTGTTCTGAATCCTGATCCTACCTTATAACTTGCTAGCTTTGTAATCTGTAAGTCTGTTACCCACAAAAGGAGACAATAAATGTATCTACATTATAGTTTTGGAAGATTAAGTGAATTTATATATGTTCATTGAATTATAGGAAACAAAACCATACCAGATATATGGTAAGCAATATTCAACTCTTTACATGGAAGGAAAAATCAGCCCTTGAGAACTGGGACCTGGCCTGGCATTCGTCCCACGCCACATGATTCTGTTGAACAGCAATGATTTTACACCACCCCGACATCAGATGGGGCCACGGGGTGAGAATGAGCAAAGCAAAAACAAGAGTGCAGGGAAGTTCTCCAGGTGGCCTGAGACTGACCCAATCTTCCCCACTCTTGACTGTAGCTCTCAAGAATAACTAGAATGTACTGGGAATGCAGCCGGGCACGGCGGCTGATGCCTGTAATCCCAGCACTTTGGGAGGCCAAGGTGGGCGGATCACCTGAGGTCAGGAGTTCGAGACCAGCCTGGCCAACATAGTGAAACCACGTCTCTACTGAAAATACAGAATTGGCCGGGCGTGGTGGCTCACGCCTGTACTCCCAGCACTTTGGGAGGCCGAGGCGGGCGGATCACGAGGTCAGGAGATCGAGACCATCCTGGCTAACACAGTGAAACCCCGTCTCTACTAAAAATACAAAAAATTAGCCGGGCATGGTGGCGGGCGCCTGTAGTCCCAGCTACTCAGGAGGCTGAGGCAGGAAAATGGCATGAACCTGGGAGGCGGAGCTTGCAGTGAGCCGAGATTGCGCCACTGCACTCCAGCCTGGGCGACAGAGCCAGACTCCATCTCAAAAAAAAAAAAAAAAAGAAAGAATGTACTGGGAATGCAACATTCCGAGATAAGCGGGGAGCTGGCTAGAACACTCAGGTTCTGCTCTAGTCCCCGCAAGAACAGGATGTTCTGCTTTAGCCCAGCATGTTCTCTTGCCCCTGAGGTATATCACCTGGGGCAGGCTGCCTTTTGGGGTCCCTAATATGGAGTGCAAGTGAGGCTCCATCTGCTCCATTTGAGACTCCATCTGCTCCAGGCAGCTGTCTGAGCCTTGGAGGAGCAGCTCACAATGAATTGTAGGCTTCTGTTGTCCCTTGCTGCCTATCTGTAAGTAATAAACCCATGAAATTCCATGTAACTCAACGAGTTCCATGTAACTTGTTGTATGTGGGTGTTCTCTCTCACCAGAGTCAGATAAGTTGCTAACCAGTGCACACTGAACCTGCTTCACAAAGAGTACTGTGTAATCATGTCATTACACGGAATAAAAAATTATGCAAACAGGCCAGGCGCTGTGGCTCACGCCTGTAATCCCAGCACTTTGGGAGGCCGAAGCAGGTGGATCACGAGGTCAGGAGTTCGAGACCAGCCTGACCAACATGGTGAAACCCCGTCTCTACTAAAAATACAAAAATTAGCTGGGCGTGGTGGCAGCCGCCTGTAATCCCAGCTACTCGGGAGGCTGAGGCAGGAGAATCACTTGAACCCGGGAGGCGGAGGTTGCAGTGAGCTGAGATCAGGCCATTGCACTCCAGCCTGGGCGACAGAGTGAGACTCTGTCTCAAAAAAAAAAAAAAAAAAGAAGAAAGAATACCAAATTTTTTTTTTTTTTTGAGATGGAGTCTCACTCTGTCACCCAGGCTGGAGTGCAGTGGTGCGATCTCAGCTCACTGCAACCTCCGCCTCCCGGGTTCAAGCGATTCTCCTGCCTCAGCCTCCCGAGTAGATAGGATTACAGGCGCGCACCACCACACCCAGCTAATTTTGGTATTTTTAGTAGAGACGGGGTTTCACCGTGTTGGCCATGCTGGTCTCGAACTCCTGACCTCGTGATGTGCCCACCTCGGCCTCCCAAAGTGCTGGGATTACAGGCGTGAGCCACCACACCTGGCGCTCCCAGCCTTCTAACATGCAACTTCTGAGATTTCCATTCCTCATGCTGTGTGGTCACCTCATTGTGAAATAAGTCAACAGACCCTACTTTGTTCAACTGCAGTTGTGTTTCTCATGGGTTTGGGCTGGTGAGCATTGACATAATTAATGTGTGAGCTTTTCTTCTTCTGAATAAGTCATTTTAATGAGAAAAATGTTTAACATTATAAGAGTTTAAAAATTCACATAAAAATTCTGGAACATGCACTATAGCATCAGAACATATTTAAAAATATACAGTTATACACATGATTTGACAATCCATAATTGTACTGGAATATTTTAACATATCCCTTCTCAATACATGAAAGATAGTTAAAATTTTAAGTTTACAGCAAATATAAAAACAGTTCTAGGATTGTTCTAAGAAATACCTACAGAACCTTGTGTTTGGCAAAAAAGTAGATTATTTTTGCAAACATAAAAATTATGATAACACAAGTTTATCATTTAGAAACTGCATTCAGCTCTGAATGACAGAAGACTCCTATAATCTGTTTCGTATATCTACAAAGTGCATACTTCTCATATGTATTGTCCAGAAACAAAAAGTACAGGGTAAATGCAACCACCCAACACTACAATCAGGAAACAATTTCCTGATGCCATAATTGTAACTTTCAGGGTACAGTCAAGAACATGAGGACAGGCCGGGCACGGGGGCTCGCGCCTGTAATCCCAGCACTTGGGGAGGCTGAGGCGGGTGGATTACCTGAGATCGGGAGTTTGAGACCAGCCAGACCAACATGGAGAAACCCCGTCTATACTAAAAATACAAAATTAGCCGGGCATGGTGGCGGGTGCCTGTAGTCCCAGCTACTCGGAAGGCTGAGGCAGGAGAGTGGCGTGAACCCGGGAAGCGGAGCTTGCGGTGAGCAGAGATCACGCCACTGCACTCCAGCCTGGGCTAGGGAGTGAGACTCTGCCTCCAAAAAAAAAAAAAAAAGTACCGACGTTGACATGGGAAATCTTGTACAACACATGATGTACTCTAGATTTTATCATCTTCAAATAACAAGGTCTACCTTCTTACTTCATAACTTTTGTGTCCAATTCCCAGCCAGGAGCTGGGAGACACAGAAAAGGGTAAAAGAGAAAAATGAGTCAGATGAGGGTGTCCCTAGGCCACAGCCTTGTATTTTGCAATTTCTGCCAGGATCATGAAATACTGTGTCCACTGAGTAAAAAAAATGCTGAATATACATTTTCTAATACTAAAGACTAAAACCCTCAAAAAACATGGTGAAACCCCGTCTCTACTAAAAATACAAAAAAAATTAGCTGGGCATGGTGGTGGGCACCTGTAGTCCCAGCTATTCGGGAGGCTGAGGCAGGAGAATGGTGTGAACCCGGGAGGCGGAGCTTGCAGTGAGCCGAGATCGCGCCACTGCACTCCAGCATGGGAGACAGAGGGAGACTCCGTCTCAAAAAAAAAAAACAAAAAAACAAAAAAAACGAAAATAAATAACCTTTAAGTTCAAACTTTCAGCCTGCAGAACTATGAGAGAATAAATATGTTTCATTCGGCCACCAACTTTGTGGTGATTTGTTACAGCACCCCTTGCAAACACTTAAAGGAGTATTTACCAGCTGTTTCTCTCAAAAAGAATGAGAAATAATGGGCTAGAGGTCTACTTTAACATAAGGCACTAATAAACCCATGGCTCGACTTAAGACCTTTATAAACATTTTCTAACGGTATTGAATTTATTCAGTACAGTAAGTCATCCGCACGGAACCTTTGCCACATTACTTACTAACATAGGGTTTCCCTCCAGTGTGAGTTTTCATGTGTTATTTTAAGGATGGGAGACCACAGAAAGCTTTTCCATGCTGCATACATTTAGAGAGTTTCTCTCCAATGTGAATCCTTATGTCTTTGTAAGGACGAGAGTCTACCGAAGGCTTTTGTACACTCCTTACATTCGTAGGGTTTCTCTCTACTGTGAGTTCTCAAATGTCCTCGAAAAGATGATGACCAACTGAAGACTTTCCCACGCTGCTCACACACATAGGGTTTCTCTCCAATGTGAATTCTCACTTGTGTTCGGAAGTATGAGGGACTACTGAAGACTTTCCCACATTCCCTACAGGTGTACAGTTTCTCTCCAGTGTGAGTCCTTATGTGTCCCTTAAAGGAGGAGGGAGAACTGAAGGATTTTCCACACTGTTTGCATCCACAGCGCTTTTCCCCAGAGTGTGTTCTCATGTGAACCCTAAGGTCCGAGGGCCAACTGTAGGTGTTCCCACATTCCACACACCTGTAGGCTTTTTCTCCCGTGTGCATTCTGGCATGTATGATCAGGTAGAAGGAACGAAAGAAGGCCTTCCCACATTCTTTGCATTTGTAGGCTTTCTCTGGACTGTGAACATTTTTTTTTTTTTTTTGAGACGGAGTCTCGCTCTGTCGCCCAGGCTGGAGTGCAGTGGCACTATCTCAGCTCACTGCAAGCTCCGCCTCCCGTGTTCACACCATTCTCCTGCCTCAGCCTCCTGAGTAGCTGGGATTACAGGCACACACAACCATGCCTGGCTAATTTTGTATTTTTAGTAGAGACAGGGTTTCTCCATGTTGGTCAGGCTGGTCTTGAACTCCCAACCTCAGATGATCCACCTGCCTCGGCCTCCCAAAGTGCTGGGATTACAGGCATGAGCCACCGCGCCCGGCTTGTATTTTTTTTATAGAGATGGGCTCTCCCTATGTTGCCCAGGCTGATCTCGAACTCCTGGACTGAAACGATCCTCCTGCCTTGGCCTCCCAAAGTGCTGGGAATACAAGTGTGAGCAACCACATCTGGCCCAACTTGCATAAAACCTTCTAAGTAGGCGGCCACATTTTTTTCAATTACTTTCCATTGCTAAAATTTCTCTGGTCAATTTCAGACACAATGACTGACAGGCCAGCCTGCTACTCATAGAAGGTCTGGCTACAGAACATGAGAAGAACAGGTAGGTGCCAGCAGGCTTCCAAGTGAAAGGAACACCCATTTTCACTTCAATTATTTATCCCTGCTTGAATGTAACATCGTCAAAAATCACCATGATAGATAAAAAGAATGTAACGGTAGAAGTAAATCTTGTCATTGGAAGTGATAATATTGCTTTTCTGAGAAACTAAACATAACTGCAAAACTGCCAGAACTTGATAAAATACGTGCAATATACATAATTAAATGTATTGATGGACTAAAATTTCATTTTCTGGAAAAAGTATATAAAATATTGAGGAAGAGGCTAAACACCACCTGCCGGGTCTGTGTGAGGACAATTTCAGGTATCTCATGAGAAGGTGACAGAGAGGTCGCCCATGGGTATATAAACAACTTTGTGAGGGCGAAGACTCCTCAATTCAAATGCATTTGCATTCTGTAAGCATATTGAGTTCAGTGGGCCAGGCACGGTGGTTCATGCCTGTCATCCCAGCATTTTGGGGTCCTGGCGGGAGGCCATGAGTTCAAAATCAACCTGGGCAACATAGGTAGAGCCTGTCTACAAAAAATAAAAAGAGTTAACTGGTCCACGGGTTCTGGTTTACAGTGAGCTGGTTTTTTTGTTTTTTGTTTTTTGGTTTTTTTTTTTGAGATGGAGTCTCACTCTTTCACCAGGGCTGGAGTGCAATGGCACGATCTTAACTCACTGCAACCTCCACCTCCCTAGTTCAAGCCATTCTCCTGCCTCAGCTTCCCGAATAGCTGGGACTACAGGCGCTCGCCACCATGCCCAGCTAATTTTTGTATTTTTAGTAGAGACAGGGTTTCACCATGTTGGCCAGGATGGTCTCGATCTCTTGACCTCGTGATCCACCCGCCTCGGCCTCCCAAAGTGCTGGGATTACAGGCGTGAGCCACTGCACCCGGCCGAGCTATGATCTTGTCACTGCATTCTACCCTGGACAACAGAGCAAGACGTTGTCTCAAAAAAAAAAAAACACAAAAAAAACAAGAGAGAGAGATTGAGAGACAGTTAACTGGTTTATCCCAAATTTATTTATTTAATTTTATTTTTAAATTAAATTTAATTTTTTTTTTCAGACAGTATCTCATTCTTTTGCCCAGGCTGGAGTGCAGTGGCAGGATCTCAGCTCACTGCAACCTCCGCCTCCCAGGTTCAAGCGATTCTCCTGCCTCAGCCTCCTGAGTAGCTGGGATTACAGGCACGCGCCACCAGGCCCAGCTAATTTTTGTATTTTAGTAGAGACAGGGTTTCGCCATGTTGGCCAGGCTGGTCTTGAACTCCTGACCTCAGGTGATCCACCCACCTCAGCTTCCCAAAGTGCTGGGATTATAGGTGTGAGCCACCACGCCTGGCCTGGATTTTGTTTTTTTTTTTTTTTTTTGAGACGGAGTCTCCGTCTGTTGCCCAGGCTGGAGTGCAGTGGCGCCATCTCGGCTCACTGCAAGCTCCGTCTCCCGGGTTCAGCCATTCCCCTGCCTCAGCCTCCCGAGTAGCTGGGACTACAGGTGCCCGCCACCACGCCTGGCTAATTTTTTTGTATTTTTAGTAGAGATGGTTTCACCGTGTTAGCCAGGATGGTCTCGATCTCCTGACCTCGTGATCCACCCGCCTCGGCCTCCCAAAGTGCTGAGATTACAGGCTTGGGCCACCATGCCCGGCCCCGGATTTCTTGATCTAAAGAATGTCCGCCGGGCGCGGTAGCTCACGCCTCTAATTCCAGCACTTTGGGAGGCCGAGGCAGGCGGATCACGAGGTCAGGAGTTCAAGACCAGCTTGGCCAACATAGTGAAACCCCCGTCTCTACTAAAAATACAAAAATTAGCCGGACGTGGTGGCAGGCGCCTGTAATCTCAGCTACTCGGGAGGCTGAGGCAGGAGAATCGCTTTAACCCTGAAGGCGGAGGTTGCAGTGAGCCGAGATCACGCCACTGCACTCCAGCCGGGGCGACAGTGTGAGACTCCGTCTCAAAATAAAAAAATAAATAAAACAAAAAACAATGTCCAACAAAAAAACAAATCCAGCGAGGCCAGACAGGATAGGGGCTCCCTGGGGTCCGCCCATTTTCGGGATCAGGTGACTCGAGGTTTGGTCCTTATTTTAGTGCAGGCTCAGATGTCGGGGGCGAGCCAAAGTGCAGGGGCCTGTGGGAAGGACAGGAGGCTGGGAAACGTTTGGGTAAAAAAATCAGGACACTGGCCGTGCGCGGTGGCTCACGCCTGTAATCCCAGCACTTTGGGAGGCCGAGGCGGGCCGATCACGAGGTCAGGAGATCGAGACCATCCTGGCTAACACGGTGAAACCTCGTCTCTACTAAAAATACAAAAAAATTAGCCGGCGTGGTGGCGGGTGCCTGTGTCCCAGCTACTCGGGAGGCTGAGGTAGGAGAATGGCCTGAACCCGGGAGGCGGAGCTTGCAGTGAGCCGAGATGGCGCCACTGCACTCCAGCCTGGGCGACAGAGCGAGACTCCACCTCAAAAAAAAAAAAAAAAAAAAAAAAAAAAATCAGGACACTGACAGCACGTGCTCCAGCACGGGGCAGGGCCTCCATGGGGTCCGCGCCCACGCGGGGCAGCGCGGTGACGTCACGGCTGAGGACCCCGCCCCACGAAGGGCTCACCCCACGCGACCCACGCCGCTCGCTCGCCCCTCCCCTCCACGCAGCACTCCGGCTGCTCCGTGGGGAAACTGAGTCTGGACTTCTCGTGCCCGTTCGGGAGAAGGACGCGGGAGGCGCGGCCGAGCTGCGGGGAGAGGTTGGGCTCACCCCGGGCCAGAGCGAGTTCGCGCAAACGGGAGTGTCCACCGCTGGCGGGTCAGCCACTAGCGTTGGCTACGCGCCGGTCACTCGGGCGACAGGAGGCGGGGCGGCGCGGAAGTTATCTTCCAATCAGGTGCTCCGGGGGCGGGTCCGGAAAACTGTCCAATCAAGGCACGGGGCGGACACCGGGAAGCGGATTGCAGGTTTGCAGTAGTGTCCAATCGAAGGCCCCAGGGGTGAAGGGGGCGTGTCCAAAACGCTGTCCGCTCAGAGCGTTGAAAGGGCGGGGGCTTAGAGATTGTCCAATCAGGGCGCCGCTTCCTGAGCTCCGAGGCCCCGAGGGCGGGACGTTTCGTCCTCCCTGCCGCGCGTGCCCTGCCTACCACGAGCGGCCCGGGAGTACCTGTACCTTTCAGCTGCGCCGGCCGCGAGGCCACGGAGAGCTCGCCTTGGAGAGCCCAGGAGCAGGGGAGACATGGTGAGTGCGAGGCAGGAGCAGAGCCAGGGGACGGTCGGAGCGACGGGAACCGGCTGGAACCAGAGTCCGCCGAAGTCTGCGGCCGGGATTGGCTGAGGGACGCGCGGGGCGGCGCAGGACTAGCACCTGGGACCCGGGGACGCCATCACAGCGGCCGGGCTGGAGGACTGGGGGCAGTTTGGGGGGACGGAAGGGGCGGCAAGGAGCTTGGGGGTAACTTAGGGGGAGGCCTGGGCAGGAGGGGGGCTGGAGGTAGTTTGGGGGGACGGTAGGGGCGGTCAGGGGTCAGGGACCAGTTTGGGGGGACGGCAAGGGACGGTCAGCAGGTTGGGGATGTTACGCGTGTCCGTATAAGAGGTCACCTGAGCAGGCTTAGTGTGAGCCACAAGGCTGTTTACTCACTTGGGTGCAAGTGGGCTGAGTCTGAGAAAGGACTCAGCAAAGGGTGATGGGATTATTATTGGTTTTATTTTTTTATTTTTTTTATTTTTGGGACGGAGTCCCGCTCTGTCGCCAGGCTGGAGTGCAGTGGCGTGATCTCGGCTCACTGCAACTTCCGCCTCCCGGGTTCAAGCGATTCTCCTGCCTCAGCCTCCGGAGTAGCTGAGATTACAGGCGCCCGCCCTCACGCCCGGCTAATTTTTGTTTTTAGTAGAGACAGGGTTTCACCATGTTGGCCAGAATGGTCTCGATCTCTTGACCTTGTGATCCGCCCGCCTCGGCCTCCCAAAGTGCTGGGATTACAGGCGTGAGCCACCGCGCCCGGCAATCATTAGTCCTTATAGGTTTGGGACAGGCATCGGAGTTAGGAGCAGTTTTTTTGAGGACAGTTGGTGGGTGTTACAAAGTACATTCTCAAGGGCGGCGACGATGTTTCAAAGTACATTCACAAGGGCTTGGGGGATGTATTGTCACAAGGGCTGGGAGGAATATTACAAAGTACCTTCACAAGGGCGCGAGCGTGTATTGTCACAAGGGCGGGGTACATTCACAAGGGCGAGGAGGACGTATCGTACAAAGTACATTCACAAGGGCGGGGGAATATCACAAAGTACATTATCACAAGGGCGGGGGGCTTGACCATGGTGCGGCCAGCTCAGAGAACCTTACAGGGGACAGCTTGGGGGGATGGCAAGGGACGGCCTGGGGGTCAGAGGCAGTTTGGGGGACGACCTCAGCGGTGGGAGTTAGCTGCCCTGGGGGTTTTGTTGCAGGGTATCACTAATGCTGTGAAAGCTTTATTCGGGCAGCCGGTGTCAGTAAATGTACTGTACTGTTCTCCTGTTTGGCTTTTTTCTTCTCCTTAGTGACAATAGGAAAATGTTCAAGTGTGTTTTCTGCCTTCTGGTCCGTCAGGATAACACCTGTTTATCGTGGGGTACAGGCTAAGCATGGCCTAAGGAAGTCTCTCAGGAATATTCTGTCTCCCACCAGAATTGTAGAGAAAGTGTGCGCAGTTCCACATCTTATAGCAGCTAGAGATGGATTAAAATGTTCATAAAAATAGTAGTTTTTCAAATGCCAAAGCAATCAGACAAAAAATAATAGTTATTCTTCCATACAAGGTGCAGAGTTTGCGACAGTGTGTGATCGTGTTCCATTTCAGTTCAGCTAGACATGAGATTAATGCAAATTCTGCAAAAACCTGTAAAACTGAGGCGTGTTCCATTCTGGTTAGTTTCCAGTTTGTCACCAGGAGTATTGCTTCACTGATCCATCATCTGTTTGCTGACTGGGAAAAGCAGTTTCTGGCCATGTAAAGTCATAAAGACTGCCTTGGAACTCCCTTCCCCCACTTACACAAGGGGTGGAAAGCACTGATTCTGCTGCATTCTCACTCTACGGGATGAGGGTCTTTGTGGCATTTAAAGTGTAGCACCTGGAGCAGGGAGGTGAGCCCCAAGACCGGTGACTCCAGCTGAGCCCACAGTTGAGCCTGCACTGGAGGCCGCTGAGGGTGCAGCGGGGTCTGGCTGGGCAGCCTCCACTTGCTCAGTCCTCCTGCCTCGTAGAACAGCCGCAGCGGGAACTGTTCATGCTGATTGAGGCTGCTGAGCATGGGAAAGACGATTGTCCTGGAGATGTGCTTGTGGGCGTTTTAGCCTTTCTGAGGTTGCACCTGTGCTGTCTTGGAGCCGTTTCTAAGCAGTGGGTTTAGTTTATGCTTTAAGTGTTGTTTTTCTTTTTTGGAGACACTGTGTCTCCCAGGCTGGAGTACAGTGGCGTGATCTCCACACATTGTATCATCCGCCTCCCGGGTTCAAGCAATTCTCCTGCCTCAGCCTCCCGAGTAGCTGGGATTACAGGCACTTGCCACCACGACCGGCTAATTTTTATATTTTTAGTAGAGACGGGGTTTCGCCATGTTGGCCAGGCTGGTCTCAAACTCCTGACCTTAAGTGATCCACCCTCCTCCGCCTCCCAAAGTGCTGGGATTTCAGGCGTGAGCCACCGCGCCCGGCCTGGATTAAGTTTTAATATAAACACCAGTGGCCTTACTGCCCGCATAAATAGGCCTCCGGCCTCTCTTCAACACCTGTGTGCTGCTCCCAGCGCTCATCTCTGTTCTGCCCCCAGGGTAACCACTGTCCTGATTTTTTTTTTCATTCTCTCTACCTTTACCATTTATTATTTATCACCATACAGAGTTTTAATTTTGCCTCCTTTGAATTTTTTTTTTTTTTCAGGCAGGGTCTTACTCTGTCGCCCAGGCTGGAGTGCAGTGGTGCGATCTCGGCTCACTGCAGGCTCCGCCCTCCGGGGTTCACGCCATTCTCCTGCCTCAGCCTCCTGCGTAGCTGGGACTACAGGCGACCGCCACCTCGCCCGGCTAATTTTTTGTATTTTTAGTAGAGACGGGGTTTCACCCTGTTAGCCAGGATGGTCTTGATCTCCTGACCTGGTGTTCCGCTCGCCTCAGCCTCCGAAAGTGCTGGGATTACAGGCGTGAGCCACCGCGCCCGGCCCATTCCTGGCTAATTTTTATATTTTTTTGTAGAGACGGGGGGCCTCGCTGTTGCCCCAGGCTAGTCTCAAACTCCTGGACTCAAGCGATCTGCCCTCCTTGGCCTCCCAAAGTGCTGGGATTACAAGCATGGGCCACTGCACCTGGCCTGAAATTTCAATAAGTGACTGTGACCATTAATGCACCGTGAATAGCAGCTCAAAAGGCTTTTCTGTGGTTTCTTTCCTTTGCGCACATGCTGGTGTCTGAGACAGTGGGTGACGCAGTTAGTTCAATCATTCCAGCGTTTGTCAGGCTTGGGTTAATTCAAGTGTGTTCATTTATTTTGTGTACTTATTTATTTTTAGAGACAAGGTCTTGTTCTATTGCCCAAGCTGGAGTGCAGTGGTGTGATCGTGGCTCACTGCAGTCTCAAACTCCTGGCTTTAAGTCATCCCCTCACCTCAGCTTTCCAAGTAGCTGAGACCACAGGTGTGCACCACCACACCCAGCCAAAGTTTTTTTTGTTTGTTTCTTTGTTTTTGTTTGTTTGTTTTTGTTTTTTTTGAGACAGAGTTTCGCTCTGTGGCCCAGGCTGGAGTGCAGTGGCACCATCTCGGCTCACTGCAACCTCCACCTCCCGGGTTCAAGCAATCCTCCTACCTCAGCCTCCCGAATAGCTGTGGTTACAGGCATGTGCCACCAAGCCTGGCTAATTTTTACACTTTTAGTAGACACAGAGTTTCATAATGTTGGCCAGGTTGGTCTCAAACTCTTGGCCTCAAGTGATCTACCTGCCTCAGCCTCCCAAAGTGCTGGGATTACAGGTGTGAGCCACACTGCACCTGGCCTCCCTCGTAGCTTACTGTCTGTGTGTGGGCATATGTGAGCACTTTCCATGCCTGGACGTTGTAAGAACTAACTTCTGAATGGGCTCTGCTCTTGTCATTCACAGTGAGATGTGCATTATGCCGACGATTGAACTTGCAGTTGATGTGGATGTTCCTTATTCTCCCATAGATAGCATCTCTCCTTGCCCAGGTGTTAAACTGCCCCTCGTTTCCAGCATTGTTGCAACGCTTGCTCTGTCATATATTCATGCACCATAAACACAGCTTCCCATCCTTTTGTGTTGGTCTATTTGTCCATCCTGACGATACCATCCTCTAATTACTATTTTTTCTTTTTTTGAGATGGAGTCTTGCTTTGTTGCTCAGGTTGGAGTGCAGTGGCACAATCTTGGCTCACTGCATCCTCCGTCTCCAGGGTTCAAGCGATTCTTCTGCCTCAGCCTCCCGAGTAGCTGAGATTACAGGCACATGCCAGCACGCCCAGTTAATTTTTAAATTTTTAGTAGAGATGGGGTTTCATCATGTTGGCCAGGCTGGTCTCGAACTCTTGACTTCAGGTGATCGCCCCCCCCCCCTCGGCATTCCAAAGTATTTGCATTACAGGCGTGAGCCACTGCACCTGGCCCTCCTAATTATGATTGTGATTTAAGTGCCTTGATGTGTTTTAGAATTGTCCCTCTACCGGCGGAGGCGGGCGGATCACGAGGTCAGGAGATCGAGACCATCCTGGCTAATAGGGTGAAACCCCGTCTCTACTAAAAAATACAAAAAATTAGCCGGGTGTGGTGGTGGGCGCCTGTAGTCCCAGCTACTCGGGAGGCTGAGGCTGGAGAATGGCGTGAACCCAGGAGACGGAGGTTGCAGTGAGCTGAGATTGCGCCACTGCACTCCAGCCTGGGTGACAGAGCAAGACTCTGTCTCAAAAAAAAAAAAAAAAGAATTGTCCCTCTACCTTGTTCTGTAGGAAACCTGATTGTTCTTAGACATTTGCCTTTCATTTCAGTTCTTAGAAGTAGTTTTTCATAAATTCAAAAACAAGGAAAAAAAATGAGGCTGGTTTTGGATGTAATGGAATTGTATTCAAACCCCAGATCGGTCTGAGAGATCTGCTGACGTGGTGGCATTGTTTCCTTCCTCAGTCCGCGTGCCATCTCTCATTTCTCTCTCCTTTGATGTCATTCGGTAGTGTTTTATAATTGTTCCATGATGATTGTTTTATATCCTTCATTAGATATAAAATTCCTCTGTTGCCCAGGCTGGAGTGCAGTGATGCAATCATGGCTCACTGCAGCCTCAAACTCCTGCACTCAAGCGATCTTCGGCCTCAGCCTCCTGAGTAGCTGGGACTGCAGATTCATGCCACCACACCCAGCTAATTAAAAAAAATTTTTATAGAGCTGGGGTCTTGCTGTGTTGCCCAGGCTGGTCTCAAATTCCTGGGCTCAAGCGATCCTCCCGCCTCAGCCTCCCAAAGTGCTGGGAGGAAAGGCGTGAGCCATGGTGCCCGGCCCTGAGTGTGAATTTTAAAAGGCTAATGCCCAAGCAGTGTATCTTAGTAAGGACAAGCAGGCCTGAAGGAGCTTTGGAACACTGAAGACAGAGCAAGAAAAATATGCCAGTGGGGCTCAGATCAAGTATTTTAGCAATGTTGATTATTCTGTTGTCATTGTGGAGTTGATTGCACAGCCTTGCCCGTCTACCCATATGCAAGAAGCAGCCCCTTTGCCGAAACCGCCCCCTCCCTAGCTGGCCAGTAAAGAAACAGTCCAAAGCCACACGGTCATCTGCTGCGTGGCTACCAGGGAGCGTCGTCCTGGCTGTGAAGCTTCCAGACAGTCACTGTCTGCTGTGTGTGGTTAGAAGGACTTGGACATCCGTGTTGTGTGCGCACAAGACTGTCCTCGGGGGATGGGCCAGAGGGCCCAGGTTTGCCTCGGTGCCATAAGTATCATTTCCATTTCAGGAAGGAGGTTCTGTGGACCCGTGAGTGTCACCACCGGAGGCATCAGGGCAGCTCCGGGCAGAGAGGCACAGGGCCCGTGGGAGCCTCGGTCTCTAGTGGGCTGTGGAGGCCACATGGGAGGACAGTGTCTTGCACCAGATCCCCATGGCCAATTCACCGCCACTGGGACTGGTCTGAGATTCCCTGAGGCTGGAGCGGAGGCTTCGAGAACCTCTCCAGAGGAGTCCAGGCGGGGGGTGGGGGCGGGGCAGAGTGGAATCCTGTCGTCATTGCATTTTCCACAGAATCTAGAACCTCTGTTGTCCCACAAGTAGGCTGATTTCTGATCGCACAGATGGGTCAGAGTAAAACCTGTAAGTGAGGAATACGTTCTCTCCAAAACCCAGATAGACCTAAAAAGTGTTAGGCTTGCTCTGGCCGTGGGTGTTGATAAATGAGGTATGCTTCCTGCCTGGGCTGCTGCTTCAAATAACGACCAGAAATATGAACAAAGTGGTGGGGACTTGAGTCTAGTGGGGTGCAGCAGCTCGCCCCACCTGGAAAGTTCTGCAGCAGGCCCACGAGCCTGTCCCCGTGCCTGGCTCTTCCGAAAGCGCAAATTAAATCTCTAAAATCTAAAACCCTCTCATCCCCAAGGCCAGCTACCCTCTTGCACTTCATAATGTCATAGGAATTATTTTTCCCCCATCCTACACTTCAGTAGGATTTTCATTATCGTTATGTCACAGAGAGATCCATTCTTTTCCATTGGTTCGTTTGTCCATCCTTCTGCTAATACTGTACTGGCAAGATTGACAGCTCTTAAATCCTTGCCCTGTGTTAGGTAAGCCTTCACCCTGTTCTTCGGAAAGTTTTGGCTATTTTTAGACTCTTTTTCTCTGTTAGATTTGGAAAGTAGTTTTGTCAAGTCCTAAAAAGTCTCATTAAGAGAGGATCTCACTCTGTTGCCCAGACTGGAGTACAGTGGTGTGATCACAGCTCACTGAAACCTCCTGGGCTCAAGTGATCCTGCTGCCTCAGCCTCCCTAGTAGCTAGGACTGCAGGCACATGCCATCATGCCTGGCTAATTTTAAAAATAATAAAAAAATTGTAGACTGTGTCTCCTTATGTCGCCCAGGGTGGTCTCAAATTCCTGGCCTCAAGCAGTCTTCCTGCCTCGGCCTCCCAAAATGCTGGGATTATGGGCATGAACCACCTCACAGGGCCCCAATCAAGATTTGTTTCTCCATTGAAATCCTTTACTAGCCTTAAGTACTTATTTAACTTTGGATTTTCCCATAGTATGTATCAGCTTTTAAAAATTAATTTTCCAACTATTATGAAGTAGAAACATAATGCAATTTCTTGGAATCTTGGTAAAAATCTTTTTCTAGGATTATCTCTTTGTTCTGTTGGGGTTTTATGTGCATAATTCTTAGAAATTTGCAAAAAGACAAGTTTATGTTTTATAATTCTTGTATATTTCCTGGTGGTGCTGGAACTAGTATAACGTTGACTAGAGGTGAGGTCATGGGCGTCTTCATTTTGTGTATCATGTTTTTGAGGAAGACAGTGAACTTCACATTCTTTATGTTTTTTAAAAACCAGCTTTACTGACATATAGAACGTACAGCCATTTAACGTGCACATTTCATTGTTGTTGTTATTTTTTTGGTTTTTTTTTTTTTTTTTGAGACGGAGTCTTGCTCTGTCGCCCAGGCTGGAGTGCAGTAGCGCGCACTCGAAGCTCCGCCTCCCCAGTAGCTGGGACTACAGGCACCCGTCACCACGCCCGGCTAATTTTTTGCATTTTTAGTAGAGATAGCTAGGATGATCTCGACCTCCTGACCTCGTGATCCGCCCTCCTCGGCCTCCCAAAGTGCTGGGATGACAGGTGTGAGCCACTGCGCCCGGCCATTGGTTTTTACAGTCACAGAATCCTGCAACCAAGACCACAGTCAACTTGAGGACATTTCCATCACCTCACGAAGAAACCCCCAGACCCTTCAGTTATCACTCTCCTATTGCCCCGGAGCCCCTCCACCACCCTAAGAAATGACTCATCTGCCTCTGTCTCTAGAGATTTGGCTGTTCTTGACATTTCGTATGTTGTTTCTCTTTTTTTCCTTTTTATTCTTTTGTTCTTTTGACATTTCATATGAATGGAATCCTAATATGTGTTCTTTTCTGACGGCTTCTCTCACTGGGCATGTTTTCAGGGTCATTCATGTTTTAGCCTGTTAGAGCTCCATTCCTTACATGGCTGAGTCATATCTACTGTGTGGGCTGTACCACATTTTGTTTATCAGTTGATCAACTTTGAGTTGTTTCCACCTTTTGGCTATTGTGAATAGTGCTGCTGTGAACATTTGGGTACAAATGTTTCTTTAAATGTTTTCAAATTTCTTCAGTATATATTTAGGAGTGGAATTTCCATTTGATAATACTATGTTAACTTTTTTTCCTTATAATAGATTTTATTTTATTTATTTTTGTTTTTTTTTTTTTTTTTGAGACAGAGTCTCGCTCTGTCGCCCAGGCTGGAGTGCAGTGGCGCGATCTCGGCTCACTGCAAGCTCTGCCTCCTGGGTTCACGCCATTCTCCTGCCTCAGCCTCCCGAGTAGCTGGGACTACAGGCGCCCGACACCACGCCCGGCTAATTTTTTGTATTTTTAGTAGAGACGGGGTTTCACCATGTTAGCCAGGATAGTCTTGACGTCGTGATCCGCACGCCTCGGCCTCCCAAAGTGCTAGGATTACAGGCATGAGCCTCTGTGCCTGGCCGGTATCTTGTTTTAATTTGCATTTCCCTGATGACATGATGTGGAGCATTTTTTATATACTCATCTGCCATCTATATCTTCACAGATGAGTTGTCTTAAGGTCTTTAGCCTCCACACCTGGCTAATTTTTTCTTAATTTTAGAAATGGGGTCTCACTGTGTTGCCCAGGGTGATGTGAAACTCCTGAGCTCAAGCAATCCTCCCACCTTGGCCTCCCAACATGCTGGGATTACAGGCATGTGCCACCACACCTGGCCTATTTGTACATGCTTTACTCTACATCGCACTCTCCTGATGACTACAGCTCTCCAGAAAGCCTGGAAAATGCATAGTGTCAGTCTTCCAACTTGAACCTTCCCCTTCAATACTGTGTTGGTATTTTGAGTCTTTTACCTCTCCATATAAACTTTACAATCAGTTTGTCAATATCCACCAAATAACTTGCTGGGATTTTGATTGGGATTGTGTTGAATCTATAGATCAAGTTGGGAAGAACCAATGTCTTGACAATATTGGGTCTTCTATACGTGGACATGGAATAACTATTCACTTAGTTCTTTGATTTCTTCTGTCAGAGTTTTACAATTTTCCTAAGATCTTGTGCACATTTTGTTAGATTTATACCTGTATGTTTTATTTTAGGGCAATGCTGATTTAATTCCAGTATTGTCTAAGAGCATATGATGTACGATATTCTTTTAAACTTGTTAAGGTGTTTTATGTCCCAAAATACAGTCTAGGTTGAGGAGTGTTCCACGTGAGCTTGACAAGAATGTGTTTTCTGCTGTTGTTGAAGTTGTCTACAGACATTCATCATTGGGGGTGCTGTTGAATTCAACTCTGTGCTTATTGATGTTCCACGTGCTTGATCTGTTTCTTTTCTTTTCTTTTTTTTTTTTTTTTTTTTTGAGACAGAGTCTCACTCTGTTTCCCAGGCTGGAGTGCAGTGGCGCGATCTCTGCTCACTGCAAGCGCCGCCTCCTGGGTTCACGCCATTCTCCTGCCTCAGCCTCCCCAGCAGCTGGGACTACAGGTACTCCCCGCCATGCCCAGCTAATTTTTTGTATTTTTAGTAGAGACAGGGTTTCACCATGTTAGCCACGATGGTCTCAATCTCCTGACATCGTGATCTGCCCGCCTCGGCCTCCCGAAGTGTTGGGGTTACAGGCGTGAGCCAATGCGCCTGGCCTAATTTTTATATTTTTAGTAGAGACGGGGTTTCCCTGTGTTGGCCAGGATGGTCTCCATCTCCTGACGTCGTGATCCGCCCGCCTCGGCCTCCGGAAGTGCTGGGATGACGGGCGTGAGCCACCGGGCCCGGCCTGGTTACTGTTTTCTGTTTTTGTTGCCCTGGTTCGTTGTTCCTTATTTTGTCTTCCACTCTTTTTCTGCCTTTTTTGGTTTTGATTGCATGTTTTGTGTGATTCCATTTTTTCTCCTTTCTTAGCAAGTCAGGTATGCTTCTCTTTCCTTTTTTTAGTGATAGCCCTAGAGATATTTATTTATTTATTTGGCAGGGTCTTGCTCTATCAGCCAGGTTGGAGTGCAGTGGTACAATCATGGCTCACTGCAGCCTTAATCTCCTGGGCTCAAGCCATCCTGTTACCTCAGCTTCCCAAGTAGCTAGGACCACAGGGTATATGCCTCCAAGCCCAGCTTATTTTTAAAAACTTTTTGTGGCCGGGCACGGTGGCTCATGCCTGTAATCCCAGCACTCTGGGAGGCCGAGGTGGGTGGATCACCTGAGGTCAGGAGTTTGAGACCAGCCTGGCCAACATGGTGAAACCCTGTCTCTACAAAAATACCAAAAAAATTAGCTGGGCATGATGGCGGGTGCCTGTAATCCCAGCTGCTCGGGAGGCTGATGCGGGAGAATCTCCTGAACCCGAGAGGCAGAGGTTGCAGTGAACTGAGATTGTGTCATCGCACTCCAGCCTGGGCGACAGAGGGAGAGTCTGTCTCAAAAACAAAAAAAAACGACAACAAAAAAAACTTTGTAAAGACAGGGTGTCACTATGTTGCCCAGACTGGTCTTGAACTCCTGGCCTCAAGCAATCCTCCCGCCCCAGCCTCCCAAAATGCTGGCATTTCAGGCATGAGCCACCGCACCCAACCTAGAAGTTTTCATTACATGTCTTCAGGCTCAGAGTCTTTCCTCAGCCACACCCAGTCTACTCATGTGTCCATTAAAGTCATTCTCCATTTCTGTTACAGTGCTTTTCAAATCTCTCCCATGGCTTTTTCATTCTTAGGATTTCCACTTCTCAGCCTGTATTGCCTGTTTTTGCATGTTGTCTACTTTTTCCATTAGAGCACTTCACCTGTTAATCATACTTGTTTTAAATTCCCAGTCTGATAATTCCAATGTCCCTGCCATATATGAGGGGTTCTGCTTTATCTCTTCAAGCTCTGTCTTTTGCCTTTTAGTATGCCTTGTCATTTCTTTCTGGAAAGCCAGACGCAATGTACTGGGTGAAAGGCACTGAAGTAAATAGACCTTTAGTAACCCAGTGGTGAGATGTGGGCAGAGGGCAAGGATTCCCTGATCCTTTGATGACGTCTCAGTCTATTCTTGAGCCTGTGCCCCGCGACACTGAACTTCACAAGTGCTTCTCAGTTCTTCCTTCTCCTCTCACTTGGCGGGACAAGATGAATAGAGGAAGATGATGGGGGATACATCTCTTTCCACAGGTAATTTAGACACTGATGAAACCCCAACAGGTGAGGCTCTGATCAAATAGTTTTAAGGGAAAGGCCCGGTGAGAAAGAGCAGAAATATCTAGCCTATTTCAAAATCATTATTCTTCTCCTCTACAAGACTGGGCCCCCTGAGATTGCTAACTCAGACTTGGGCCCGCTGTGCCCCCAGCAATTCATCAGTTACAGCTCAGGGTTTCCCATCTAAGTAACGGTTCCCACAGAGGCTTCTGTTCATGGTTGCGTGTTCTGGTAAGTTATGACTCTCTGTATCCGCCTCTCTCTTCAGTTTGAGGGGGCAGAGCTTGCCTTGTGACATCAGTTCTCTGAAGGATGGAAGAAGAGCTTGTTGAGGTTTCAGTTTGTTCAGCTTTTTGTTACAAGGGAATAATAACTTCCAAGCTCCTTACATGCTGGACCAAAAACTAGAAGTCATTTAACTTTTAAAAAGAACTGCCACACTGTTTTCTTAATTGGTTGTACCATTTTACATTCCCACCAGCAATGTGTGAAGATTCCTGTTTCTCCATATCCTTGCCAAAACTTATTTTCTTTTTTAGTTTTTTATTTTACCCATCCTAGTGGGTGAGAAGTGGTATCTCCTTTTTGTTTTGATTTGCATTTCTTTGATGACTAATTACTGACAATGTTTATTTTTCTTGGAGAAATGTCTATTTACATCCTTTCCCCACTTTTTTGTTGTTGAGACTGAGTCTTGCCCTGTCACCCAGGCTGGAGTGCAATGGTGCGATCTCGGCTCACTGCAACCTCTGCCTCCTGGGTTCAAGCGATTCTCCCTCCTCAGCCTCCTGAGTAGCTGGGATTACAGGCATCCGCCACCACGCCCAGCTAATTTTTGTGTTTTTAGTAGAGACGGGGTTTCACCATATTGGCTCAGCTGGTCTCAAACTGCTGACCTTGTGATCCACCCACCTCTAAAGTGCTGAGATGACAGGTGTGAGCCACTGTGCCTGGCTGCTAAATCAGTTTTGTTTGATCTTTTCAAACAACTAGCTTTGGTTTCATTGATTTTTCTCTATTGTTTTACTGTTCTCTATTTCATTAATTTGCCTGTAATATTTATTATTTCCTTACTCCTAATTGCTTAGGTTTAGTTTTATTTTCCTATTGTGTCGAGGTGGACCACGTTAGGTTGTTGATTTGCAATCTTTAGGATAGGTATTTATAGCTATTAACTTCCTTTATATAAGTTTTGGTATATTATGTCTTTATTTTACATCCATCTCGAAGTATTTCCCTTTTGATTTCTCTTTGATCCATTAGTTATGGAGGAGTGTGTTAATATCCACATATTAGTGAATTTGCCAAATTTTCTGTATTAGTTTCAGATTTCATTTCTCATTCCATTGTGGTCAGAGAACATACTTATTTCTGGTTTTTTTTTTGGTGGGGGGAGACTAACTCTCACTCTGTCAGTGATGTGATCAGAGCTCACTGCAACTTCTGTCTTCAAGCAGTTCTCGTGCCTCACCCTCCCAAGTAGCTGGGAATCCACGTGTGTGCCACCATACCCAGCAAATTTTTGCATTTTTAGTAGAGACAGGGTCTCACTATGTTGCCCAGGCTGGTCTCGAACACCTGAGCTCCAGCGATCCATCTGCCTTGATCTCCCAAAATCCTGGGATTACAGGCGTGAGCCACCGCGCCCGGCCAATATTTTGTATTTCTATTGTTTAAAATGTGTTGAGGTTTCTTCTATGGCCTAGCAAAGGGTCTCTTTTACAGAACGTTCTTCTGCACTTGAGAAGAATGTGTGTTTTGCTGTTGTTGGGTTCAGTGTTCTGCAGATGTCTGCTATGTCTAAATGACTTATAGTGTTCAATTATTTTATTTCCTCGTATTTCACCTAGATGTTCTCTCATTAAAAAGTGGGGTAATTGATGATGCTGTGCTCAACTAAAAAAGAAAAAAGAATGGGTGTTTATGTTTCAACTTGTATTTTTAATTATCCATTTCTTTTATTTTTATTTATTTTTTTGAGTCTTGCTCTGTCACCTAGGCTAGAGTGACATTCTTGGCTGGAGAGCACAATCTTGGCTCACCGCAACCTCCACCTCCTGGGTTCAAGTGATTCTCCTGCCTCAGCCTCCTGAGTAGCTAGGATTACAGGCACGCACCACCATGCCCAGCAAAATTTGTATTTTTAGCAGAGACGGGGGTTTCTCCATGTTGGTCAGGCTGGTCTCAAACTCCCGACCTCAGGTGATCTGCCTGCCTCGGCCTCCCAAAGTGCTGGGATTACAGGCGTGAGCCACTGCACCCGGCCACTACTTTCATTTTCATTAAGTATTTTCTAATGAAACCTTTCAGTTGTTTAACTTTTTACTGTTTGTTGGTCTCTTTAGGGGTTACTGTATTGTCAATGCGAGGCTTATCAGATGAGCTTCGGGTTTATATTCATCGCTCGATTCCAGTGAGATACAGAAATGCTGCGTGTGTAGCTCTATTCCTTCCTGCCCCTCCAACTTCTATGGCAATATGAATACATGCTACATCCATGAATATTATATGCCAAAACAGTGCGTTTTAATTAGTACTTTACCATCTGTAGTCATGTCCCTTTGCTTAAATATGCCTTTGCTCCCTCCCACCCTCCTCCTCTGTGCTGTTATTGGCAAATAGGTATTCTTATGTGTTATACATCCAACAGTGCTTTCCAAACATATTCATACAGTTGCCTTTAAAATAATTTAAGAAAATAAAGGGGAATAAAGGGGGAAAACGGATACAATGTTGCCTAGGGCTCCAGGCAGACAAAGACAGGAATTCTTAAGTCACATTGTTAGAAACTCCCTGGCCAGCCTCAGGCCCGTCCATACAAAGATCCCCTCACCAGGCAGGGGATTCCAAGGACTTACCATTTTCTGCAGTAGCTGGTGGAAGGCTTTTCCGAAAGTCCTATGAAATGTGCATCGTTTGGACAACCGAGGCCTGCTGCGTTATGCAACGTTTCAAATGGAAAAGTTACTTCATTTGCATAGCATTTCTCTAGACCCTCCTGGTAGAGGAAAATAAGAGCAGTCGCAGTAAAAAGGCAGAGATAAGTTCAGACTGATAGTGGTGCCATGAAGTTTACTAGGAAGTGATTGTGAATAAGTAAAAGATCTAACATTCGCGTCATAGAGGAGGTGTTGGGACACCACAGAATCTTGTTTGAATTTATGAATTGAGTCCAGTTCCCCAGTACTTTCAGTGTCTCCAATCCTCCTGCACACCTGTGTGGTTTGTCTTAGGACTCAGTGGTCTTTGAGGATGTGGCTGTGGACTTCACCCTGGAGGAGTGGGCTTTGCTGGATTCTGCTCAGAGGGACCTCTACAGAGATGTGATGCTGGAGACCTTCCGGAACCTGGCCTCAGTAGGTGAGGATGGCATCATTCCTTCCCTTGGTTTTTAATGAACTCATTTCTTTCTCATCAGTTCTGTTGCAAGATGTGAAATGTGGGAAAGGACTAAGACAGACATGTTCACAGCCACCATGGACCTAGAATCTAGTCATTATTCCCTAACAGTGAAAACATGTGTGAAACAGATGTTATTTCTGTCTTGGTTTAAAGGACTTGAAGTTCCTTTAGTGTCATTAGTAGGGGTATAGATTTCACTGGTCATTTAGGATCACAGAGTGGTTCCTTGTTTGATACCTGTGACTTACTGTGTTTGTGAAATACCTAACATTTTGACCCCTTATGTCTGTTATTGATGAGGTCCTCAAAATGCTAAACTCCTCAGTGTCTTCCTTTGCTTAATACGTGTCTTATTCCTTTTGAGATTTGTTTACTTTTTTGTTGCAGATGATGGGACTCAATTTAAAGCCAATGGGTCAGTTTCTCTGCAGGATATGTACGGGCAAGAAAAATCTAAGGAACAGACAATACCAAACTTCACAGGAAATAATTCCTGTGCCTACACTTTAGAAAAAAATTGTGAAGGCTATGGCACTGAAGACCACCACAAAAATCTGAGGTGAGTTGCACTCACAAGAGAAAAATCCTTGTATGCAATTAAATATATATCTAAGTATTGCTCCAAATATAAGCATTGCTCCAAATTTGTTTATTCCTCAGAATTTTAACCAAAAAAAAAAATTTGTATTTGACTAAGACATTGAGAATTTGAAACATAATTGTTAGAAGTAATTACAGGGGGCCGGGCGCGATGGCTCACGCCTGTAATCCCAGCACTTTGGGAGGCTGAGGCAGGCGGATCACGAGGTCAGGAGATCAAGACCATTCTGGCTAACATGGTGAAAACCCGCCTCTACTAAAAATACCAAAAAAAAAATAGCCGAGCGTGGTGGCAGGCACCTGTAGTCCCAGCTACCTGTGAGGCGGAGGCAGGAGAATGCTGTGAACCTGGGAGGCAGAGCTTGCAGTGAGCTGAGATTGCGCCACTGCACTCCAGCCTGGGTGACAGAGTGAGACTCCATCTCAAAAAATAAATAAATAAAAAGAAATTACAGGAAAACCCCATATATAATAAATACTGCATTAAAAAATATGTCTCTTCAAACAATTCAGAATAGAAAAACTTCACGTATACTGAAATGTAGTTAGACATTATTTCTAATACTTGTTAATACATCTCAACACATCATTACTAAACATACCATACATAAAAATGTCTCTCATTTTTAACAGAAATCATATGGTGGACAGATTCTGTACACATAATGAAGGTAATCAATATGGAGAAGCCATCCATCAAATGCCAGATCTTACCCTGCACAAGAAAGTTTCTGCTGGAGAAAAACCATATGAATGCACCAAGTGCAGGACAGTCTTCACGCATCTTTCTTCTCTTAAAAGGCACGTCAAGTCTCACTGTGGACGAAAAGCACCTCCAGGTGAGGAATGTAAGCAGGCCTGCATTTGTCCCTCACACCTACACAGTCACGGAAGAACTGACACTGAGGAGAAGCCGTATAAGTGTCAAGCATGTGGGCAAACTTTCCAACATCCTCGTTACCTCTCCCACCACGTAAAGACTCACACAGCAGAGAAAACCTACAAATGCGAGCAGTGTCGGATGGCGTTTAATGGGTTCGCAAGCTTCACTAGACATGTGAGAACTCACACAAAAGACAGGCCATATAAATGTCAGGAATGTGGGAGAGCCTTCATTTATCCCTCGACATTTCAAAGACACATGACAACACACACTGGAGAGAAGCCCTATAAATGTCAGCACTGTGGGAAAGCCTTCACTTACCCCCAGGCTTTTCAAAGACATGAGAAGACGCACACGGGAGAGAAGCCCTATGAATGCAAGCAGTGTGGGAAAACATTCAGTTGGTCTGAAACCTTGCGAGTCCACATGAGGATCCACACTGGGGACAAACTCTATAAATGTGAACACTGTGGGAAGGCTTTTACCTCTTCCAGATCATTCCAAGGTCATTTGAGGACGCACACTGGAGAGAAACCTTATGAGTGTAAACAATGTGGGAAAGCCTTCACTTGGTCCTCAACGTTTAGAGAACATGTGAGAATTCACACGCAAGAGCAGCTCTATAAATGTGAACAATGTGGGAAGGCTTTTACCTCTTCCAGATCATTCCGAGGTCATTTGAGGACGCACACTGGAGAGAAGCCTTATGAGTGTAAACAATGTGGAAAAACCTTCACTTGGTCCTCAACGTTTAGAGAACATGTGAGAATTCACACGCAAGAGCAGCTCCATAAATGTGAACACTGTGGGAAGGCCTTTACCTCTTCCAGAGCATTCCAAGGTCATTTGAGGATGCACACTGGAGAGAAGCCTTATGAGTGTAAACAATGTGGAAAAACCTTCACTTGGTCCTCAACCTTACATAATCATGTGAGGATGCACACTGGAGAGAAACCTCACAAATGTAAACAATGTGGGATGTCCTTCAAGTGGCACTCCTCCTTCCGGAACCATCTGAGGATGCACACAGGACAGAAATCCCACGAATGTCAGTCATACTCAAAAGCCTTCAGTTGCCAAGTCATTCTTTCTAAAACCAGTGAGAGCACACACTAAAGAGAAATTCTATAACTTTAATGGGGTAACCTCACATTAATTCATGTATAATGCTCCAGAAAATTCACACCAGGAGAGAAATCTTACAAGTATGATATTGTCTTTGTCAATACCTCATTTGTAAAACAGACCCATTAGTCGTGAATTTCCAGCTCTTTCAAAAATAAATGTTTATGTGAGAAAATAATTCTCTAAGTCCTCTTTCAGCTATAGTACCTAAGTTTTAATAGTTAAGTGTTTTGTCTCTTAAATATTTTCATTTCGAACTGTATTAGACCCATGGTGATTTGAAGCATACTTTGAACATGACACAATTTTTTTTTTTATTTTTTTTTTGAGACAGTCTTGCTCTGTCACCCAGGCTGGGGTGCAGTGGTGCGATCTCCACTCACTGCAAGCTCCGCCTCCCAAGTTCACGCCATTCTCCTGCCTCAGCCTCCCAAGTAGCTGGGACTACAGCCACCTGCCACCACGCCTGGCTAATTTTTTGTATTTTTAGTAGAGATGGGGTTTCACCGTGTTAGCCAGGATGGTCTCGATCTCCTGACCTCATGGTCTGCCCACCTTGGCCTCCCAAAGTGCTGGGATTACAGGCGTGAGCCACCATGCCCGGCCAAACATGACATAATTTTTATAGTTTCTATATTTTTCTGTATGGGATCATTACAACAATAAAACTTTGGTATTTCTTACTGGCCTACTGCTACAGATAGTGGATATCACTTACCTATTTTATATATTGTACCTTACCAAATTTTTTTTTGCAAAACCTGGTAAATATGCAGAGTTCTCTATAAAGTATAGTCTCTAATCATCTTTTGCAATTTGTTTTTCCTCATTTCTCACTGGGAGTTAGACAGCAGCCTTTGAATTAGGAATGGGGACCTACAAAACAAGAATGAAATCTGTAGATGGTTTTGTTACGGATATATGTGTAAGGCTGGGAACGACATTTCCCTGAATGTCTTTCCTTTATGGCACCAAGTTAAAATCTGCTGATTTTCTACTGTGCATGAGGTTTGGCAGTCAGGACTAGAGAAGTCATTACCCGCTTTGTAGAGCCAGCATACTCAGAGACATAAAGGTGGCACACAGGCGCACCATGCACACAGCCTTCTGGATCATTGTACTCATTCCTGCCACTGTTAATGAAGAGTGTCTCTACAACAGACACCAGCTGCCTAACTTTCAGCCAGACATCTCCATGAGCTCTCCCAACATGAAGACATTTAGTGTGGATTGCTACAACACCTGCCACGTCCACCAGGCCACTGATTCTGACTGTCGTGGTGATCATCTCTGAAGCTAACTCCCTCCTTTAGGTCTTACCTTATTTTTATTTTATTTATTTATTTTTGAGACATAGTCTTGCTGTGTTGCCCAAGCTGAAGTGCAGTGGTGTGATCTCGGCTCACAACCTCTGCGCCTCCCGGGTTCAAGCGATTCTCCTGCCTCAGCCTCCCAAGTAGCTGAGACTACAGGTATGCACCACCATGCCCCGCTAACTTTTGTATTTTCAGTAGAGACAGGGTTTCACTATGTTGGCCGGGCTGGTCTTGAACTCCGGACCTCGTGATCCACCTGCCTTGGCCTCCCAAAGTGCTGGGATTACAGGTGTGAGCCACCGTGCCCAGCCCAGGTCTTACCTTATTTTTATACTAAACATTTTCTTTTGTTCTCTTAGTACTGCTTATGGTTCTGTGTGCAGACACAACCATGACAGCCTATGCACCAGCCAAAAAGCGCGCACACACACGTTTGATCGTGTACAGCATCGCTGAATGACTACTTAGTCCATGTAAGAATAATCACCTCTCATATCAGGCAGACTGGTGGAGTTTCCTATTACTCAGAGCCGAGTGCAACCCTTCAGTATATGTTCAATACTATGTTTAATTATATGCTATTAAGAACAAGACACTTTTTGTCAAATTCCTCTGTAGTGGTTTCTTAGATTTTATCAACCATGTTCAGATAAATTATATAATAACAAATATTTTTACTCTGAAGATATAAATATTCCATTGCAATTATGGAATATGAAATCAACTTTGTAATTCTGTCAGTTTAGGCACTATCTATTAGCATTCCCAGATGTGTACCAGCTCATGCACTCTTCTTAAAGGTCAATTTTTCATATACTTAAAACTTTTGACATTAACATAAATTCTTTTTTTTTTTTTTGAGATGGAGTCTCACTCTGTCGCCCAGGCTGGAGTGCAGTAGGGTGATCTCGGCTCACTGCAAGCTCCGCCTTTGGGTTCACGCCATTCTCCTGTCTCAGCCTCCCGAGTAGCTGGGACTACAGGTGCCCGCCACCACGCCCAGCTAATTTTTTTGTATTTTTAGTAGAGATGGGGTTTCACCGTGTTAGCCAGGATGGTCTCGATCTCCTGACCTCGTGATCCACCCGCCTCAGCCTCCCAAAGTGCTGGGATTACAGGCGTGAGCCACCACACCCGGCACTTCTACCCTGACAATCTTAACCAAAGAACTACTCAGGGCTGTTTAAATGGTGGGGAGCAATAGATACACAGGTGTGCATTGTTGGAGTTAACAGTAATGACTCCCCGTAACAATAAACACGGGTATGCTTCAGCTTCATTTTTGCAATGGTTTAAACTTTTAGGCCATGTGATATGCGGCCATGAATTTGAACATGATTGTCACTGATCAGAGGGTTCCCATTTGATGTGGACCACAGAGCATCTTACCTACACAAGTTGTAAGTTGAGTGTTAGCCTAGCTCCTGCTGCAGCAGGTCCCTCCCCCAGCCTCCTGCATTCCAACCTGGGTGCCGGGTGACATCCAACATCTGACGGCTATGATGTTAAGGCTACAAATGCTGCATTTGATACTGGGGGCACAATTGCCATTATTTTATAAAGGGGGGGCCTTCATAAAAGCCCGGGCGCGGTGGCTCACGCCTGGAATCCCAGCGCTTTGGGAAGCCGAGGCGGGCAGATCACGAGGTCAGGAGATTGAGACCCCAGTGAAACCCTGTCTCTAGTAAAAATACAAAAAATTAGCCGGGCGTGGTGGCGGGCGCCTGTAGTCCCAGCTACTCGGGAGGCTGAGGCAGGAGAATGGCGTGAACCCGGGAGATGGAGCTTGCAGTGAGCCGAGATCGCACCACTGCACTCCAGCCCGGGCGACAGAGCGAGACTCTGTCTTTAAAAAATAAAAAAGCCTTTGTATGGCAAGGCTCGCCAGGCCAGGTGGCTGACGCCCGTAAATCCCAACACTTTGGGACGCCAAGGCAGGCAGATCACTTGAGGTAAGGAGTTTGAGATCAGCCTGGCCAACGTGGTGAAACCCCGTCTTTACTTAAAAAATACAAAAATTGGCTGGGCGCAGTGACTGATGCCTGTAATCCCAGTTTCTCAGGAGGCTGAGGCTAGGAGAATTGCTTGAACCCGGGAGGCGGAGGTTGCAGTGAGCTGAGATCACACCACTGCACTCCAGCCTGGGCGACAGAACAAGACTCTGTCTCAAAAATAAATAAAAATAAAAGCCTTTGTCGTATGTGGCTCTTGCATCTGAATGTTAAAAATTGACATAAAACATTAAATTTTTGAAATTTCATAAATAGTAGAGGGTTCATCTTATACGGAGAATGACTGCATGGCAAACGTGATTGCTGCCAAAAGCTGGAGTTTGGTAAGGGCATAGCCAGGCACTGTGACCTCCACCCATTCCTGACACTGGGCTCTTGACCCCCCACCTGGGGGATGCCTCACTGCTGATGGCTTGTGTTTGGCTTTCTGGATTCACTGCAGTTTGTAACAGTGGATGGACAGTTTGACCCTGCTTCCCTCACCATCTCCTGGTACACACAACTTAGTAAGGTACTTATCCCTCGGAAACAGACATCTTTTCTGAGCTGCTCACTGGATAAATGATCAGGACAAAAGGGATGGGAGGTTACGTAAAGCCATCTTGAAATTTTTTTGATAATTTCATATTTTATCACAACCAATTTTTAAACCTGTGTCTTTGAGTAAATAGCATTAAAAGGTTTTTCTGTGGAAAAACTGTTCCTATTCCATACAACCCTTCCAGAAGAAAGGTCTGGATAACACTAAAGGATGATTTTTTTAAATGTAAAATGATTGCCCAATGGGACACAGTGACTTTGTAACAGGAGGAAATATCCAAAAGCATCTGAGGAGGTGGCTGGAGGAGGGCAGAGGCGAGTGTTCATCTTATTTTTCAGAATCTTTCCTGCAACTTTTTCCTTCCTCCTGAAGGAAAACCCTCTGTGCTGCTTTCCAAAGTCCCGTGAGTTCTTTTTATTTTATTTTATTTATTTTTTTGAGACAGAGTTTCACTCTTGTTGCCCAGGCTGGAGTGCAATGGCGTGATCCTGGCTTACTGCAACCTCCACCTCCTGGGTTCAAGCGATTCTCCTGCCTTGGCGTTCCAGGTAGCTGAGACTACAGGCATGCGCCACCATCCTCGGCTAATTTTGTATTTTGAGTAGAGATGAAGTTTCACCATGTTGGTCAGGCTCGTCTCAACCTCCTGACCTCAGGTGATCCACCTGCCTCAGCTTCCCAAAGTGCTGGGATTACAGGCGTGAGCCAATGTGCCCGCCCAGTAAGTTCTTTGAACGCAAACTGACTGCTGAGCCTAGACCACCCTGACACGCCGTGAGGGAGCCACCCAGCTGCTATTCCTGCCCTGCAGAACACCCTTAGGGCCACAGTGGTGAAAGTGATGATCTGTGGTCATAGACAAGCAAACCATGTGGAACTGACTGCCTCAGGCAGTCCCTCTGAAATCGGGGACTCAACTAACCTCATTGGACAGGACTGAGAATTCTCCCTACAGGGGGAGTCCGCGCTGAGTGTCTGTTAACCTTCACTGCTGACTAATGGATGTCTTGCTTAGGTTGCCCTGACAATTGTAAACTCAGTTTCCGGCAGTACCTTGTGTGTCCTGTGGGACTGTAATCAGGTGTGGAACCTATTGCAACACCGTCTGAGCTGTGGAAGCTTCAAATTACTGGCAAGAGTTCTGCTCTACCACACACTTGGTAAGTTAGGACAGGTAAAAAGGATTCATACACAAGTTTAAGGAGGAAGCCAGGTGGCTTTCTAAAATAGACCTTTATTTTAACTAAGTCCGAAACCCCTAAAGGGCATAGCTGGAATCATTCCTGCAAGCTCATTACCCCCATGCTGTGACGGTCTTACTGATGATTATTTTGTTGTAAAGCAGGGGCCAATAGGCTGCACTGCAAAAAACTTAGCAAAACAGGCCTGAGTGCTATCCCTTGAAAGGCCCGTTTACAAGGTCAGCTGTGTCAAAATTGCACAAGCAATATGGTTTATGCAAAACACCATTCATTCCAGGCATCTGGAATCTTGGTATTTGCCAAGCAGTGAGTGCATCATAACCAGCTGGCAATAAAAAAAAACCCTGGCAGAGTATCTATTGAGCTTCTCAGGTTGGTAAATAGTCACACATGCTGTTACAATTAGTTTCCCGGGCAGTAAAAGCATCTTGTACGCTGCCAACCAGGGAGGACCCTTGGAAGCTCATTCCTGGTTTCCCCGACTTCACCCCATGTGCCTCATCCCTTTGCTAATAGTTGGCTCTGTTTCCTTGCACTGTAATAAGTCTTAGCTGTAAGGCTGACTATATGCCAGTTCCCTTCAGTACCCCTAACAAATCACTGAACCACTGGGGGTGGCCTTGAGGCCCCCCAGTACACTTGACATCCTGAAACTGGGAAATTTTAAAGGCATTTTCATAAGAGTGGATGGAAGTTTTGTGTTTTAATAATCTGCAAAGCTCAAAAAGCCCATTTTGCTTTTCAAAGATATGATTTTCATAAGTTTGCACTTCCACCAAATGGGCTCACAGGAAAGAGAAGAAAATGTAATAGCTTTCTGTGTGCGTGTGGTGGGGGGCGTTGTTTCTTTGTAGAGATGAGGTCTCACTATGTTGACCAGGCTGGTCTGGAACTCCTGGACTCAAGTAATCCTCCTGCCTCAGCCTCCCAAAGCTCTGGGATTAAAGTTGAGAGCCACCACCCCTGGCCAATAGCTTTGCATTTTGTTAATGAGGAAAGCAAATGAAATTCTGTCAATTTCTCGATGTTAAGTACTGCAGAGATTAATATGACTTACCATCTCATTGCACCTCCTGTTCCCAGCTTCCCTCCCATCATACAAATGAAGAAAGTTAAGCACAAGGAACACAGAATCTTAACCTTAACTCACATATCTTGATGTAAACATAGTAATTTAACCTCTCAGTTTTGAAGGCCTGTTATCTGCCACCTCTTATACTTAGCTCTGTCGATTGTTTTTTTTTTTTTTTTTCCAGACGGAGCTTCGCTCTTGTTGCCCAGGCTGGAGTGCAATGGCGCGATCTCGGCTCACCGCAACGTCTGCCTCCTGGGTTCAAGCGATTCTCCTGCCTCAGCCTCCTGAGTAGCTGGGATTACAGGCATGCCCGGCCAACTTTTTGTATTTTTAGTAGAGACGGGGTTTCTCCGTATTGGTCAGGCTGGTCTCCAACTCCTGACCTCAGGTGATCCGCCCACCTCGGCCTCCCAAAAATGCTGGGATTACAGGTGTGAGCCACTGTGCCCAGCCTGTCAAATGTTTTTAAACTGAAAATTCTACAAGACAATAATAGGCTGGGCGCCATGGCTCACACCTGTAAACCCAGCACTTCGGGAGGCCAAAGTGGGAGGATTGCTTGAGCTCAGGAGTTCGAGGCCAGCCTGGGCAACATAAGGAGACCTTGTCTCTACTAAAAAAATTTTTTTTAATTAGCAAGGCATGGTGCTGCATGCCTGGAGTCCCAGCTACCGGGGAGGCTGAGGCGGGAGGATCACTTAAGCCCAGACGTTTGAGGCAGCAGTGAGCTATGACTGTGCCCCTCCCACTCCAGCCTAGGTGACAGGATGTGACCCTTGTCTCAATCAATCAATAAATGACAAGTATAATTAGCTAATTTTACAAATATGGCATCGAATTTTACAAACAGGGCTCAAAAGGCTACATATTTCACGTAACATGACATTCTGGAAAAGGCAAAGATACAGGTGGCTAAAGCAGATCAGTGGTTAGGGGTGAAAGGTTGAGTACAATTGGGCAATCCAAGAGTATTTGGGGAGTGATAGAATGTTCTCTGTTTTGGTGGTGTAAATATGCATTTATGAAAACTCATAGAAATACGCTTAAAATAGTCTTACTGTATGTATATTAAAAATAATCAACAACAACAAACCGCTTTCGCTTACTAAGAGAAAATGTAAACTCTCCTGAACTTTGAAAACATGCAATGTGGCTGGGCGCGGTGGATCACGCCTGTAATCCCAGCATTTTGGGAGGCCGAGGTGGGCGGATCACGTGAGGTCAGGAGTTCAAGGCCAGCCTGACCAACATGGTGAAACCCCGTCTCCACAAAAATACAAAAAATTAGCCGGGCGTGGTGGCAGGTGCCTATAATCCCAGCTACTCGGGAGGCTGAGGCAGGAGAATCGCTTGAACCTGGGAGGCGGAGGTTGCGGTGAGCCCGAGATAGCGCCACTGCACTCCAGCCTGGGCAACAAGAGCGAAACTCCATCTCAATAAATAAATAAATAAATAATTAAAATGAAAGAAAAGAAAAGAAAACGTGCAACGTTTCTTTTACCACCTTTGGATACTCAGGAAGCACTGAAGGTCTGAGGAAGGAGGGCTCATGCCCCAAATTTGCCTGTACTGATGTTAGGAAATGCCCTTTCGGGCCGCGCCTGCTAAGAACGCTTCTGTGAGATTTCAGTTTATTCACGTCCCCAGGGTCAGATCTTTGGAGATGCTGTGGTTTTGAAAACCTAAAAGCGCACTCCAGTTCTCCCAAAGGGGGACCCTTCCTAGTGGGGGGTCCTAATCCTCAAGCATCAGCCGAGGACTTGGCTTCAGGCCAGTTTCGACTCTCCAGCTCCCATAACAACCCAGTTCCACGACTTCTTCCCAACAAGCCTCATTAAAGACCCGCACCTGCACCCTCTCGGGAGCACAGTTGCGGCTGCCGGGAGAAAGAGCTGGAAAAAGAGTGGTTGGGTCCATGTTCCACGGACACCCGCCGACCACGGCCACAGCCACCCCACAGCCGCGTAGCCACCTCGGCTCCCCAGGACAACCGCAACCACCAACCTCAAAGGCGCCCCACCACGACCAGCGCAGACGCACCCACACCCACCCTAGGTTCCCCCGACCCACTGCCTCTCGGTCCCCGACATCTGCAGGCGCACCCACACCCACCCTCTGTCCCCCACACCGGCAGCCACACCCAAATGCACTGCCCCTCGGTCCCCCACACCCACAGGCGCACCCACACCCACCCTCACCAGCAGGCCCACCCACACCCACCGCCCCTCGGTCCCTCACACCTGCAGGCGCACCTGCACCCAACTGCCCCTCAGTTTCGCAATCACCGAGGCCGGAGGCAGTGGCTGCACAAGCACCAGCCATACCAGACCCCGAAGCTCACCGCAGCACCCGCGCAGTCCCAGCCCGACAACTGCGCCGGCGAGGTCCCTGCCCCGGGGGCTTGTGGGAAACGGCGACCTCAAACGGAGGCTGCACAGTCGCTCAAAGCCCCGCCCATCGAGCTCCTCCCGGCATGCAGCGCGCCTCGCCTCTTAAGCCTCGTCCCGTGGGGCCCCCTGGGATTGCGGACGCCGCTGTAGCACGGGCGAACTTCCCTACTTCTGCGAGGGCGGCTGCTGTGGTTTTTCCAGGCGACAGAAAAGGGGACTCAGACAGGGCGAGGCGGGAGATTACGGACATCCTGAACCCCTGCCCCGCGTTGCAGCAGCTTGCGGTCATCTTCTGGGTCTGGGGAGTGGCATCTGTGGCGGGGCCCCCACCCACGATGGACGATGCTCTGTGTATGGGGGTGACTGATGACAGAGATTCTGGAGGGACCAGGGGGCCGCTGTGAGGCTGAAGAGTGGGGGCGATGATTTGTGGGTGTGTCCGTGTCTCTGGATGTGTCCATCCTTTTGTCCCTGGAACAAATGTGATTTTTGTCAGCCTTGGGGGCTACTCCTGCGTGTCTGGGAGGACTCGCTTGTTCGTGGCGGTCCCTGTACCTGGAGTGCGGTGACTCCCAAGTGTCAGTGGTCTCAGTGCACAGCTGTAGTTTTCTGCGTCTCTGTATTCCTAGTCTGAAATAACCAAAATAGAAAATAGGGCCGGGTGTGGCGGCTCACGCCTGTAATTCCAACACTTTGGGAGGCTGAGGCGGGCGGATCACGAGGTCAGGAGATCAAGACCATCCTGGCCAACATGGTGAAACCCCGTCTCTACTAAAAATACAAAAATTAGCTGGGCATGGTGGCCTATGCCTGTAATCCCAGCTACTCAGGAGGCTGAGGCAGGAGAATCGCTTGAAGCCGGGAGGTGGAGGTTGCAGTGAGCCAAGATCTCGCCACTGCACTCCAGCCTGAGTGAAGCAGCAAGACTTCCATCTCAAAAAAAAAAAAAAGAAAGAAAATAAAATAGAGGCCAAGGACGCTGGCTCATGCCTATAATCCCAGCACTTTGGGAGGCCAAGATGGGTGGATCCTTTTAGCTCAAGAGTTCGAGACCACCCTGGGCAACATGGTGAAACCCTGTCTCTATTTTTTTTTTTTTAATAAAAAGAAGACCAGGCATGGTGGCTCATGCCTGTAATCCCAGCACTTTGGGAGGCCGAGCCAGCTGGATCGCTTGAGGTCAGGAGTTCGAGACCAGCCTGGCCAACATGGTGAAACCCTGTCTCTACTAAAAATACAAAATTAGCTGGGCATGGTGGCGTACGCCTGTAATCCCAGCTGCTCAGGAGGCTGAGGCAGGAGAATCGCTCGAAGCTGGGAGGTGGAGGTTGCAGTGAGCCAAGATATCACCAGTGCACTCCAGCCTGGGTGAAACAGCAAGACTCCATCTCAAAAAAAAAAAAAAAAAAAAAAAAAAAAAAAGAGAAAATAGAGGCCAAGCACGCTGGCTTATGCCTGTAATCCCAGCACTTTGGGAGGCCAAGGTGGATGGATCCCTTTAGCTCAAGAGTTCGAGACCACCGTGGGCAACATGGCGAAACCCTGTCTCTTTTTTTTTTTTTTTTTAATAATTAAAAAGAAGAAGACCAGGCATGGTGGCTCATGCCTGTAATCCCAGCACTTTGGGAGGCCGAGCCAGCTGGATCGGTTGAGGTCAGGAGTTCGAGACCAGCCTGGCCAACGTGGTGAAACCCTGTCTCTACTAAAAATACAAAATTAGCTGGGCATGGTGGTGTACGCCTGTAATCCCAGCTACTCAGGAGGCTGAGGCAGGAGAATCGCTCGAAGCCGGCAGGTGGATGTTGCAGTGAGCCAAGATCTCACCAGTGCACTCCAGCCTGGGTGAAGCAGCAAGACTCCATCTCAAAAAAAAAAAAAAAAGAGAAAATAGAGGCCAAGCACGCTGGCTTATGCCTGTAATTCCAGCACTTTGGGAGGCCAAGGTGGATGGATCCCTTTAGCTCAAGAGTTCGAGACCACCCTGGGCAACATGGCGAAACCCTGTCTCTTTTTTTTTTTTTTTTTTAATAATTAAAAAGAAGAAGACCAGGCATGGTGGCTCATGCCTGTAATCCCAGCACTTTGGGAGGCCGAGCCAGCTGCATCGGTTGAGGTCAGGAGTTCGAGACCAGCCTGGCCAACGTGGTGAAACCCTGTCTCTACTAAAAATACAAAATTAGCTGGGCATGGTGGCGTACACCTGTAATCCCAGCTACTCAGGAGGCTGAGGCAGGAGAATCGCTCGAAGCCGGCAGGTGGATGTTGCAGTGAGCCAAGATCTCACCAGTGCACTCCAGCCTGGGTGAAGCAGCAAGACTCCATCTCAAAAAAAAAAAAAAAAAGAGAAAATAGAGGCCAAGCACGCTGGCTTATGCCTGTAATTCCAGCACTTTGGGAGGCCAAGGTGGATGGATCCCTTTAGCTCAAGAGTTCGAGACCACCCTGGGCAACATGGCGAAACCCTGTCTCTTCTTTTTTTTAATAATTAAAAAGAAGAAGACCAGGCATGGTGGCTCATGCCTGTAATCCCAGCACTTTGGGAGGCTGAGCCAGCTGGATCGCTTGAGGTCAGGAGTTTGAGACCAGCTTGCCAACATGGTGAAACTCCGTCTCTACTAAAGATACAAAAAATTAGCTGGGTGTGGTGATGCACTCCTGTAATTTCAGCTACTCAGGAGACTGAGGCAAGAGAATTGCTTGAACCTGGGAATTGGAGGTTGCAGTGAGCCGAGACTGTGCCATTGCACTCCAGCCTGGGCAACAGAGTGAGACTTTGTCGCAAAAATAAGTAAATAGGCCGGGTGCAGTGACTCACACCTGTAATCCCAGCACTTTGGGAGGCCGAAGTGGGCGGGTCACTTGAGGTCAGGAGTTCGAGACCAGCCTGGCCAACATGGTGAAACCCCGTCTCTACTAAAAATACAAAAATTAGCTGGGTGTGGTGGCGCATGCCTGAAGTCCCAGCTACTTGGGAGGCTGAGGCAGGAGAATGGCTTGAACCCAGGAGACAGAGGTTGCAGTGAGCCAAGATCTCACCATTGCAGTCCAGCCTGGGCAACAGAGTGAGACACTGTCTCAAAAAATTAAATAGATAAATACAAATACAGAAAAGCCAGCTGTGGTGGTGTGCACCTGTAGTCCCAGTTACTCAGGAGGCTGAGGCAGGAAAATCACTTGAACCTGGGAGGCAGAGCTTGCAGTGAGCCAAGATCATGCCACTGCACTCCAGCCTGGGCAACAGAGTGAGACTCAGTATCAAAAAGGAAAAGAAAGGGTGGGTGTGGTGGCTCATGCCTGTAATCCCAGCAGTTTTGGAGGCCAAGGCAGGTGGATCACCTGACGTCAGGAGCTCGAGACCAGCCTGAGCAACATGGTGAAACCCTGTCTCTACTAAAAATACAAAAAAATTAGCCAGTTGTGGTGGCACACACTTGTAATCCCAGCTACTCGGGAGGCTGAAGCAGGAGAATCGCTTGAACCTAGGAGATAGAGGTTGAGCCGGGCACAGTGGCTCACGCCTGTAATCCCAGCACTTTGGGAGGCCGAGGCGGGCGGATCACCTGAGGTTGGGAGTTCGAGACCAGCCTGACCAACATGGAGAAACCCTGTCTCTACTAAAAATACAAAATTAGCTGGGCATAGTGGCGCATGCCTGTAATCCCAGCTACTCGGGAGGCTGAGGCAGGAGAATTGCTTGAACCCAGGAGGTGAAGGTTGCGGTGAGCAGAAGACGTGCCATTGCACTCCAGCCTGGGCAACAAGAGCAAAACTCCATCTCAAAAAAAAAAAGAAAAAAAAAAGGAGATAGAGGTTGTAGTGAGCTGAGATCATGCCATTGCACTCCAGCCTGGGTAACAAGAGTGAAAATCATCTCAAGGAAAAAAAGAAAAAGAAAATGGAGGCTCAGTGGTCACTGCCGCCACTCAGCATCAGCAATGCAACGAATGCATTCTTGGCTGCAACATTAAAACTGCCAGGGTGGAGTGAGGAAACAGGTTACGATTAAGGAACAAGACGCTTACTACAGAAATCATGTAAATATGAGAAGAGTTGGAGATAAAGGGGTTCACAGGAAGAAAGGAGATCACTAAATGCAGTAGCCTGGAATGGCCTGATGAAAACCAGAGGGATGGTGAAATCCAAGGATCTCTGTGTACCTGAATCCTAAAGAGGGGACGGTGGTGGGGATGCTTGTGGAACAGTCTATGGAGTGTGCTAAGAGGAAACTAAAGTCAAATGTCATGTTGGCTTTGGGGGCTGTTCTAGACTAGCAGAGCCAGAAGTCAGAAAAATGTATTGCAATTTAGGTCCGTAAGGTTACCACGTGTTTGTTTCCGGGTAGTCTATTAGAACTGAGAATAGGCAGGGTGCGGTGGCTCACACCTGTAATCCCAGCACTTTGGGAGGCCAAGGAGAGTGGATCACGAGGTCAGGAGATCGAGACCATCCTGGCTAACACAGTGAAACCCCGTCTCTACTGAAAAAAAAAAAAATACAAAAAATTAGCTGGGCATGGTGGCAGGTGCCTGTAGTCCCAGCTACTTGGGAGGCTGAGGCAGGAGAATGGCGTGAACCCGGGAGGTGGAGCTTGCAGTGAGCCAAGATCGCACCACTGCACTCCAGCTGGGGGAGAGCGTGAGACTCCATCTCAAAAAAAAAAAAAAAAAAAAAAAGAACTGAGAATAATGCCTTCTTCGCTTCTACTTTTCAAAACTCATGTGCCTTCATCTTCTCATGAACATTAACTCACAACCATAAACAGAAGGGAGTCTTGGATATATAGTTTCCAACCTTATTAGGGCTGACAGTACAATCAAGTAGAACAAGCTATACACTAACTTTCATCTTCATGTCAAAAGGTCTTTCTTCTTAATGCAGTTTGTCCAATTTCCAACCAAGATCAAGGACAGTGAACAAGAAAATAGGGCCAGGCGTGGTGGCTCATGCCTGTAATTCAGAATATGACCAGAAACCAGTTGAGAATGATGTCTGTCAAGAGTCTTCTATAAGGACTAATGTATCTGAGTTACACACAAGTGGTATCCACAAGGAACAAACAAATGTGGAAGACACATTTTTTTTTTTTTTGAGATGGAGTCTTGCTCTGTCACCCAGGCTGAAGTGCAGTGGCGCAATCTCTGCTCACTGCAAGCTCCGTCTCCCGGGTTCACACCATTCTCCTGCCTCAGCCTCCAGGGTAGCTGGGACTACAGGCGCCTGCCACCACGCCCAGCTAATTTTTTTGTATTTTTAGTAGAGACAAGGTTTCACTGTGTTAGCCAGGATGGTCTCAATCTCCTGACCTCGTGATTCGCCCGCCTTGGCCTCCCAAAGTGCTGGGATTACAGGCATGAGACACCGCACCCAGCTGGAAGACACATCTTTAAATAATAAAGACTGAAGGACACTGGGCATGGAGACTCATGCCTGTAATCCCAGCACTTTAGGAGGCCAAGGCGAGAGGACTGCTTGAGCCCAGGAGTTCGAGCCTAGCTTGGGCAACATAGCAAGACACTACCTCTATAAAATAAAACTTTTAATTAAAAAAAAAATGACTGAAGGGAAAGGCAGAGTGACAGCAAATTCCAGTACCTGCAATAGTGGACTGGAAAAGAAATAACAGTCTCATGATCACACACTGGAAACATAATGGCAAGTGGGAATGAGGCCAGGCATGGTGGCTCACACTTGTAATCCCAGCACTTTGGGAGCCTAAGGCGGGGAGATCCCCTGATGTCAGGAGTTCGAGACCAGCCTGGTCAACATGGCAAAACCCCCATATCTACTAAAAATACAAAAATTAGCTGGACATGATGGCACGTGCTTGTAGTCCCAGCTACTTGGGAGGCTGAGGCAGGAGAATTGCTTGAACCAGGGAGGTGGAGGTTGCTGTGAGCCAAGATCGTGCCTCTGCACTCCAGCCTGGGCAACACAGCAAGACTCCATCTCAAAAAAAAAAAATGGCCAGGCGCTGTGGCTCACGCCTATAATCCCAGCACTTTGGGAGGCCGAGGCGGGCGGATCACGAGGTCAGGAGATCAAGACCATCCTGGCTAACACGGTGAAACCCCGTCTCTACTGAAAAATAGAAAAAATTAGCCGGGCTATTCGGGAGGCTGAGGCAGGAGAATGGCATGAACCTGGGAGGCGGAGCTTGCAGTGAGCCGAGATGGCACCACTGCACTCCAGCCTGGGCAGCAGAGCAAGACTCTGTCTCAAAAAAAAAAAAAAAAAAAAAAACAAGAAAGTAGGAATCAAAAACGTTTCATCTAAACTCACACCAACTTGTGCATCCCTGGGTCCAAAAGACATTTCAATGGAAATGAGACAGATTTTATATAACTACAATTATTTAAAGTCCTAAATTACAAAATATACATAGCTGAAAGCGTACAAAACAGGATATTTATTAAATGTTTATATCACAAACATACACTAGAAATTAATACAAAAGGAATCACTATTAAGGCTGAGGCATGTAAAGGCAATACCATATTAATCATAATTAAGAGATTTCTCTCCTACTCTGAATTTTTAGGTACAAAATAAGTGCTATACCAGGTTTTCCTACATGCTCTACATAAATAACGTTTCTCACATTTACAACAAGGTTTTACGGTTGAACACTCTCCCAGGTCCACTGTATTCGTAGATTCACGCTCCAGCATGTGTTCTCACATGTGCTTGAAGCGATGCGAGATACCTGAAGGTTTTCCCACACTGCTTGCATTCATACGGTCTCTCTCCAGTGTGCGTTCTCACGTGCACACGAAGGGACGAGGAACAACTGTAGGCTTTCCCACATTCAGTACATTCGTAGGGTTTGACCCCACTGTGTGATCTCACATGCTTTTGAAAGTACTGAGCGTGGCTGAAGGCTTTCCCACATTGATTACATTCGTACGGTTTCTCTCCGCTGTGGGTTCGCACATGCTCTCGAAGGGAGGAGTGACAGCTGAAGGCTTTCCCACAATGCTTACACTCAAAGGGCTTCTCTCCAGTATGCGTCCTCACGTGGATTCGAAGGGAGGAGGAAAAACTGTAGGCTTTCCCACACTCTTTACATTGATAGGGCTTCACCCCGCTGTGTGTTTTCACATGTCTTCTAAAGTAAGTGGGACATCCGAAGGCCTTCCCACACTGCTTGCACACATAGGGCTTCTCTCCGGTGTGCATTCTCATGTGTGCTCGCAGAGAGGAGGGGTACCTGAAGGCTTTGCCGCATTCCTTACATTCATAGGGTTTCTCTCCACTGTGCGTTCTCCCATGTTCTCGAAGAGACGAGTAACAAGTGAACGCTTTTCCGCAATGTTTACACTGACAGGGTTTCTCTCCAGTGTGCGTCCTCACGTGATCTCTAAAGGAGGAGTAACAGCTGAATGATTTTCCACAATGCTTACATTCATACGGTTTCTCTCCAGTGTGTGTTCTGACATGTTCTCGAAAGTATGAGGGACAGCTGAAGGCTTTCCCACACTCCTTACACTCATAGGGTTTCTCTCCTGTGTGAGTTCTTACGTGCCGTGTAAGGTAGGAGTAATACATAAAGGTCTTCCCACATACTTTACATGCATGGGTTTTCTGCCCATGATGACTATTCACATGTCCCCTGAAAGATGAGGGACAAATGAAAGCTTTTCCACATTTCTGACATTCATAAGACTTTTTACTGCTGAGACTTTTCACGTATGTCACAGATGCTGTCCTTGAGTCCTGGCAATTACAGGGTTTCTCTACAGTCTGCGTTTTCATAGGAGGGCTTTGGCAGGAGAGGCAGCTGCAGGCTTGCCCACATTCCTTACACGGTCTCTGTCCAGTGTGAGATCTCTGCCGATTCTCGAAGGCTTTGCCACACTTAGTGCACTCAGAGGGTTTAGCTTCGGTAGGGTAACTCTTGTGCACAAGAAGGTTCGCAGTCTGGCTCAAGGTCTCTCCGCATTGATGACCTTCATTACTTTCACAGAGTCTCCCCAGCTGACTTCTGTTCAAAATGGGAAGCAAGCTACTAGTCATGAATGACTATAAGTGATTAATTTATTAATGGTTTTTAGTGATTATTTTGATTACATTATTTGCCAATTTCACTGAATGGTTCTATTTTCAGCACTGTCTGCCTGGTTTCTATGGAGAACAAGCTTAATGCTCTAGCTGAAGGCTCAACTGCAGCCATAAATTTCACGGTGTTTCTTTTCTTCTTTTTTTGAGATGGAGTCTCGCTCTGTCACCCAGGCTGGAGTGCAGTGGCGCCATCTCGGCTCACTGCAAGCTCCACCTCCCAGGTTCATGCCATTCTCCTGCCTCAGCCTCCCAAGTGGCTGGGATTACAGGCGCCTGCCACCACGCCTGGCTAATTTTTTTGTATTTTAGTAGAGATGAGGTTTCACCGTGTTAGCCAGGATGGTCTTGATCTCCTGACCTCGTGATCCGCCTGCCTCGGCCTCCCAAAGTGCTGGGATTACAGGTGTGAGCCACCACACCCAGCCTTTTTTTTTTTTTTTTTGAGATGGAGTTTCACTCTTGTTGCCCAGGCTGGAGTGCAATGGCATGATCTCAGCTCACCGCAACCTCCACCTCCCAGGTTCAAGCGATACTCCTGCCTCAGCCTCCCAAGTGGCTGGGATTACAGGCGTGCACCACTACACCTGGCTAATTCTTTTTCGTATTTTTTTTTTTTTCAGTAGAGATGGGGTTTCTCCATGTTGGTCAGGCTGGTCTCGAACTCCCGACCTCAGGTGATCCACCTGCCTCAGCCTCCCAAAGTGCTGGGATTACAGGCGTGAGCCACTGCGCCCAGCCCACGGTGTTTCTTATAGATGAAGTTTCCTGATATTGTTTCCAACTGTTTCAGACACGTGACATTGACATCACATTTATAAAAATACTCTCTTAGGAAAAGTCTCAGCCAGGGACGGTGAATCACACTTGTAATCCCAGCACTTTGGGAGGTTGAGATGGGTGGACTGCTTGAGTCCAGGAGTTTGATACCAGCCTGGGCAACACAGTGAAACTCCGTCTCTACAAAAACACAAAAATTAGCCAGGTGCAGTGGTGTGTGCCTATAGTCCCAGCTACTTGGGAGGATGAGGTGGGAGGATTGCTTGAGCCCAGGAGGCAAAGGTTGCAGTGAGCCAAGATCCGTGCCACTGCACTTCAGCCTGGTTGACAGAGTGAGACCCCCATCTCAAAAATAAATAAATAAATAAAATAAAAATAAAATAAAATAAATAAAAGTAATTATTAAAATATATTTTTAAAAAGAGAAAATAAAGAAAAAGAAAAAAAATGTCTCTGTGGGTCTGAAATTGTGTAGTTGGTTTATACTTTTTTTTTGAGATGGAGCTTTGCTCTTGTTGCCCAGGCTGGAGTGCAATGGTGCGATCTCAGCTCACTGCAACCTCCGCCTCCTGGGTTCAAGCGATTCTCCTTCCTCAGCCTCCTGAGTAGATGGGATTACAGGCATGAGCCACCACGCCCAGCTAATGTTTTGTATTTTTAGTAGAGATGGGGTTTCTCCGTGTTGGCCAAGCTGGTTTCGAACTACTAACCTCAGGTGATCCACCCGCCTCGGCCTCCCAAAGTGCTGGGATTACAGGCGCGAGCCCCTGTGCCCAGCCGATACTTTTCTTTGAATTGCAAGTTAGTTTGATGCTCTGCGGAGAGGCCCATCCCTCCGGTTGAGCGCCACTCACCTCAGATGCCTCTGTGGGATTTGGTGCTGATCTCCAGTGTTATCAAATCTCCAATTTTCTCCAAAAATAGACCAGGAATCACTTCCTGTGAACTTTACAATCTCTTCATCATTGGATATTCCATTCCCAAAAACGTCCCTCTGAGAACTTGATCCACTGGTTCTAACATAAATGTAACAATCTGCAACAATCAATTACACAATTTCTTAGGAGAAATATGTTGGGATAAAGGAAATAGACCACATACGGATTTCTTTTCATATAGTAATCCAAAAATGTACCGTTTATAAGGAAGAATAGACATGCTATCAAAGTGAGACTCTGAGGACCTCATCTACTTGAGAATTTGGCAATAATAAAAAGCAGATGAGCCGGGTGCAGTGGCTCATGCCTGTAATCTCAAAGCACTGCGGGGCCAAGGTAGAAGAATTGCTTGAGCCCAGGAGTTCAAGACAAGCCTGGGCAACATAGGAAAATAAGGAGACCTCATCTCTAAACAACAATAAAAAATTTAAATTAGCCAGGCGTGGTGTTGTGTGCCTATAATCCCAGCTCCTTGGGAGGCCAAGGAGGGAGGATCACTTGAGCCCAGGAGGTCAAAGCTGCAGTGGGCCATGATTGCACCACGGCACTGCAGCCTGTGTGACAGAGTGAGACCCTGTCTCAAAAAAAGAATAGTGCTGGATGCGGTGGCTCACGCCTGTAATCCCTGCACTTTGGGAGGCCGAAGCGGGTGGATCACCTGAGGTCAGGAGTTCGAAACCAGCCTGACCAACATGGTTAAACCCCATCTCCACTAAAAATACAAAAAATCAGCCGGGCATAGTGGCACGTGCCTGTAATCCCAGCTACTCGGGAGGCTGAGGCAGAAGAATCACTTGTACCTGGGAGGTGGGGGTTGCATTGAGCCAAGATCGCACCATTGCACTCCAGCCTGGGCAATGGGCAGTAAGAGTGAAACTGTGTCTCAAAAAAAAAAAAAGAAGAGATAAACGTGGCAACCCATTTACTAAGAAACAGAATAGTTCCAAACAGATGGAGACTGATGTTTAGTAAAATATTATCAGAAAAGCAAAGTTTGCACATGCACAAATGCTCCTCGTATACGAGGAAATCCAGAGGCTTTCCCCTGCGAAGGAGGACAGTGCAGGGGGGTGCAGGAGAAGCCACACAGGGCAGCTGAGAGAGGACACACCTCCTCCTCCTCAGAGAAGGGTTTGTGTTTCTTTTTTTTGTTTTGTTTTGTTTTTTGAGACAGAGTCTCACACTGTCACCAAGACTGGAGTGCAGTGGCACTTTGTTGGCTCACTGCAACCTCCGTGTCCTGGGTTCAAGCAATTCTCCTGCCTCAGCCTCCCGAGTAGCTGGGATTACAGGCACCTGCCACCACGCCCGACTACTTTTTATATTTTTAGTACACATGGGGTTTCACCACGTTGGCCAGGCTGGTCTTGAACTCCTGACCTTAGGTGAACCACCCACCTAGGCCTTCCAAAGTGCTGGGATTACAGGCGTGAGCCACTGCGTGCGGCCAGGGGTTTGTACTTCTAACCCACGATGCCAAACGGAACCTTCTTATCCAGAACCCACTCCTCCCGAGGGCTGCTGCTCTCCTGGTGCTCACAGGCACAGGGCCCTTACAGGAGTCCTTCCTCCACTATGCCCGGCTGCCCTCAGGTGTGAGCACCACCCATTCCTGGAGAATCACATGATGAGGAAGGATTGTGAAGGGCAACAAATGTTCCCCTGAGACAGGCCAACACTTTGACTTCCCAGACCACCGATGATGTCCGAGTGTGAGTTTTAATTGCAGCAAAATTACCATGTCAAACGTGGATTACTCACAGTGTAACTTGGATTTACTTTATCACAGTGTACTTTGATTTTCAAAGTACAGTTACTCTGTGTGGTGAACCACAAAGCTGCTTTTGTTGCCCCAACGTGACACAGAATACTCTACTCAGACTTATAAAATGTGGGCAGCCAAGGACTGGTGATCAAGAAAACCTAAATATCAATCATACACAAAACTTTGTTTTCATGGAGAAGCATTTTGACTCCCATGTTCCATGGGTGTTGGGATCATGTCTATCTCTTTTCCAACATATTTCAATTTTTGAGCTCAAATAAAAAGAAAAACAAGGTATCTTAGGCCGGGCGCGGTGGCTCACGCCTGTAATCCCAGCACTTTGGGAGGCCAAGGCGGGCGGATCACGAGGTCAGGAGATCGAGACCATCCTGGCTAACACGGTGAAACCCCATCTCTACTAAAGCTACAAAAAATTAGCCAGGCGTGGTGGTGGGCACCTGTAGTCCCAGCTATTCAGGAGGCTGAGGCAGGAGAATGGCATGAACCCGGGAGGCGGAGCTTGCAGTGAGCCGAGATCGTGCCACTGCACTCCAGCTTGGGCGAGAGAGCAAGACTCCGTCTCAAAAAAATAAAAAAAAAAAAAAAGAAAACCAAGGTCTCTTTGCTCTCCAGGACGCAGTGAGGGAATGATGCCACCCTTACCCAAGGAGGCAGTGAGGGAATGACGCCATCCTTACCCAAGGAGGCAGTGAGGGAATGACGCCACCCTTACCCAAGGAGGCAGTGAGGGAATGACGCCACCCTTACCCAAGGAGGCAGTGAGGGAATGACGCCACCCTTACCCAAGGAGGCAGTGAGGGAATGACGCCACCCTTACCCAAGGAGGCAGTGAGGGAATGACGCCACCCTTACCCAAGGAGGCAGTGAGGGAATGACACCACCCTTACCCAAGGAGGCAAGGTTCCTGCAGGTCTCCAGCATCACATCTCTGTAGAGGCTCCTCTGAGCATGATCCAGCAATGCCCACTCTTCTGGGGTGAAGTTCACAGCCACTTCCTCAAAGATCACGCAGTCCTAAAACATTCCACACATCCCACTTCAGCAAAGGCACCGCCTCCCCCATGTGCGCAGGAAGAGGGGTGAGGCTGACAGCCTGGGGAACTGAGCCACACAGAGCTTATGTCCTTGTGAGAGGTGACCAACAGTATGAAAAAGTGCAGTACACTCAATGCCGTGAGTACCTTCCCAACAGGGAGCAAAGCGCAATGACGGCCTCTGCCAGAGACTTACAAAGAATTACTGAGAAACGGCAGGTATGAGGGTGGGGAAACACTGAAAAATCTGAAAACATCATTAAGCTAAGGCTGGTGGCTCATGCCTGCAATCCCAGTACTTTGAGAGGCTCAGGTGCGAGGATTGCTTAGGGCCAGGAGTTGGCGACCAGCCTGGGCTGCATAGTGAGATCCCGTCTCTACAAAAAAAATAAAATACAATAAATTAACCAGCCATGGTGGTACACACCTGTAGTCCCGGCTACTTAGGAGGGTGAGGAGGGACAATCGCTTGAGCTCGGGGGTTCAAGGCTGCAGTGAACTATGACTGTGCCACTGCACTCCTGTCTGGGCCACAGAGTGAGACCCAATCTCAAAAAAATAAAATAAATCAATCATTCAGGTAACATGGAAATTGACATGACTTGCTCAAATTTTATTATTTCTTATTCAGCTATAATATCAGCACTTTGGGAGGCCAAGGTGAGAAGATCGCTTGAGGCCAGGAGTTCAAGACGAGCCTGGGTGACAGAGCAAAGACCCTGTCTCTTAAAAAAAAAAATTAAATTAAATTAAATTTTAAAAATACAACTATGAAGAAAAGCAAGGAGATTATTTCCTTATAATTTAGGATATTGGCCAGGTGTGGTGGTTCACGCCTGTAGTTCCAACACTTTGGGAGGCCAAGACAGGCAGATCACTTGAGTTCAGGAGTTCGAGATCACCCTGGACAACACAGTGAAACCCTGTCTCTACCAAAAAAAAAAAGGCTAAAAGAATTTAGGATAGGCCGGGCGTGGTGGCTCACGCCTATAATCCTAGCATTTTGGGAGGCTAAGGTGGGCGGATCACAAGGTTAAGAGATCAAGACCATCCTGGCCAACATGGTGAAACCCCATCTCTACTAAAAATACAAAAATTAGCTGGGCGTGGTGGCACACGCCTGTAGTCTCAGCTACTCAGGAGGCTGAGGCAGGAGAATCACTTGAACCCAGGAGGCAGAGGTTGCAGTGAGCCGAGATGGCGCCATTGCACTCCAGTCTAGCAACAGAGTGAGTCTCCATCACAAAAAAGAAAAAAAAAAAAAAAAAAAGAATGTAGAATACTGGCCTGATCTGGAGGGAGAAGCCTACCATTACACATCATTTCAAATTGGATGCCAAGGCTTCTTCGAAGACATGGCCTGGCTGTCGTTACACACTGTTCACTTGAGGACGTTTCCACTGACTCTGTAATTGTCTTACAAAAGTTCTACATGTGTTCAATTTTATAATAAAATGCTATCAGCAGCTGGGCTTGGTGGCTCAGGCCTATACTCCCAGCACTTTGGGAGACTGAGGTGGGAGGACTGTTTGAGCCCAGAAGCTTGGGACCAGCCTGAGCAATATGGTGAAACCCTGTCTCTACAAAAAATACAAAAATTAGCCAGGCATGGTGGGGCACACCTGGAGTCCCAGCTACTCAGGAGGCTGAGGTGGGAGGATCATTTGAGCCCAGGAGGTTGAGGCTGTAGTGAGCCACGATGTCACCACTGCACTCCAGCGTGGGTGACAGAGAGACGCCCTACCTCAAAAAAAAAAAAAAAAAAAAAGGCTGGGTGAGGTGGCTCACACCTGTAATCTCAGCACTTTGGGAGGCCAAGGCGGGAGGATCACTTGAGGTCAGGAGTTCATGAGCAGCCTGGCCAACATGGTGAAACCGCACCGCTACTAAAAATACAAAAATTAGCCAGGTGTGGTGGTGCATGCCTGTAATCCCAGCTACTTGGGAGGCTGAGGCAGGAAAATCACTTAAACCCAGAGGCAGAGGTTGCAGTGAGCTGAGATCAAGCCACTGCACTCTAGCCTGGGTGACAGAGTGAGACTGTCTCAAAAAAAAAATAAAAATAAGTAAGAACACAGCCAAATCACCACTTTCAGCCCGTGTTAAAGGACAAAGGGGTGAGTGGTGGATTCTAGAAGATCTAGAAGTTTTTCTGTCCCACAAAGGGTCCCATGCAGAAAACAGGTATCAGTTAATGATTAGGGTCTCATGCAGAAAACAGGTATCAGTTAATGATTATCCTCATGATAAATTGTTCGTCAGTCCCCTAATCGGAATTGCCGCTTCTCTGTACTGTGGGTCGTATATTACAGAATGCGCATCTGTCTGATGCGCAGATACTAACAGGAGACGGAGCAGGGTCCCCCACTGTCACAAACTCTGCACCCTGCCTAAGTCAGTGCTAGTTTCATGAATGTTTTCAATCCACACCTTCGCCCACCTCACAATATGGCATGGGGCTGTGTGTGCGCCTTTCCCCTCATCCTAATGGAAGATGCAACGTCTTCCGAGTTTGAGAGTTTTCCACAGCAGCCTTCTCGGGCTAAGCCATGGTATAACACCAGGCAGTGGCAGAAGGCAAAGAACACATCCAAGACAATGACTGCCCTCACTAAGGACAAGAAAAAAAAGGCAAAAAGCATTTATTCTTTTTTTTTTTTTTGAGACAGGGTCTTGCTCCGTCTCCCAGGCTGGAGTGCAGTGAAACAATCTCAGCTCGCTGCAACCTCCGCCTCCCCGGTTCAAGCGATTCTCCTGCCTCAGACTCCCAAGTAGCTGGGATTGCAGGCACTTGCCATCACACCTGGCTAATTTTGATATTTTTAGTAGAGACGGGGTTTCCCCATGTCAATCAGGGTGGTCTTGAATTCCTGACCTTGTGATCCGCCCACCTCAGCCACTCAAAGTGCTAGGATTACAGGTGTGAGCCACCGCGCCCGGCTCTTTTTTTTTTTTTTTTTTTTTCCAGACAGGGTCTAGCTCTGTTGCCCAGGCTGGAGTGGAGTGGTACAGCCTCAAACTCGTGGGCTCAAGCGATTCTCCCCCCTCAGCCTCTCAAGTGGCTGGGACCACAGGTGCGCATCCCCATGCCCGGCCTCATTATTTTACATTTACTAAAACCTGGGGCTGAAATAGGAACAATACCAATGCTGAGCTGGACACAGACGAGGCTGTTCGCAGCTGTCAGGTGACAATGTTGAACTGACTTCAGCTCTGTGCTCCTGGAAACCAGCAAAGGTGAAACCCCGTCCTGCTGTGCTCTGGAATTGGGACAGCCAGGACCCTCCCTTCCCATACGACTTAGATAAGATTCACGCAGATGACAAGGCCAGATTCAGACCCTCCGAAATCCCATTCTTTGTCATCAGAAATGATTCACTAGGTTAGGTGTGCCCAGGCTGGAGTGCAGTGGTGTGATCATGGCTCACTGCAACCTCTGCCTCCCGAGTTCAAGCAATTCTCCCTGCCTCAGCCTTCCAAGTAGCTGGGATTACAGGCACACACTACCACGCCCGGCTAATTTTTGTATTTTTTAGTAGAGATGGGATTTCACCATGTTGGCCAGGCTGGTCTTGAACTCCTGACCTCAGGTGATCCACCTGCCTCAGCCTCCCAAAGTGCTGGGAGTACAGGCATGAGCCACCGCGCCAGGCCTAGCCAACTCTTCAGATGCCTGCATACTTGACGGTCACAGAGCTCTCCCCCTGCAGCTGTCTCCCTGTGGCTACAGCATTAGTCCCGCAGCTCAATCATCAACTGTCCCCATGCCCCTGTTGCTTATACCCCCACCCCACTGCAATAGAACCTCAAGCCTCTGGCATTACTCTCCTGCCTCTAATCCAACTAACCCTTCTCCCTATTGCAACAGCCCCTTCTCCCCCTCCCCCAATACCTCGCAATAATCCTTTTTCATAAAAGTTTCCTTACTACGTTTGGGTTTACACAAGCTTGACCACATGTTCGCAGCCTCCCGTTTCTTCCCCAAACTTTACTCAGCCTTCTGTCCTCTCCGCAGGCCCCTGAACTTTGGCCCCCCCGAGTCTGAGCAAGCAGTAAGTGTGGAGTCCCCTGTCACCTCCCCTGAGCTAGCTGACCACGAGGAGGTACATTTACTGTCAACCTCCTTTCTGCTTGTCCCCTAAAACGTTCCTCCAAACCTTTTCTTGTGTATGAAAGTAAAGCCTTTTCCTGGTTGATTTTGAGACCTGGCAGGTTTCGGAGGCTGGGGCTTATCCCTATTTTTCTCTCTCCTTCTCTAGCCAGGATTTTTTTTTTTTTTTTTTTTTTTGGTTTTTGTTTTTGAGACGGAGTCTTTCTCTGTCGCCAGGCTGGAGTGCAGCGGCGCCATGTCGGCTCACTGCAAGCTCCACCTCCCAGGTTCACGCCATTCTCCTGTCTCAGCCTCCCTGGTAGCTGGGATTGCAGGCGCCCGCCACCACGCCGGGCTAATTTTTGTATTTTTAGTAGAGACGGGATTTCGCCATGTTGTCCAGGCTGGTCTGGAACTCCTGACCTCAGGTGATCCGCCCGCCTCGGCCTCCCAAAGTGCTGGGATTACAGGCGTGAGCCACCGCGCCCGGCCCAGGATTTTATTATTTGACAGGCTCCAGGACAGGGCACCACCTCCTCCTTGGCAGACCTTCCCAAACTGACCACCAAGCCCCTGACGGCTCCTGCCCTCTCCTCCCACTCTCCCCGATCCCCTGACTGCCTCTACTGTCCCCCAACACATCCCTCGAGCCCGACTCCCTTTACTGTCCCCCCAAACTTCCCTCAAGCCCCTGATCGCCTCTACTGCCCCCCTTAAAGTGCCCCTGAGCCCCTGACTGCTTCTGCTGTCCCCTCGAGCTGCCCCCAAACTCCCGACTGCAGCTACTGTCCCCCTAAACTGCCTTCGAGCCCCTGATCACCTGTCCCCCAAAACTGCCCCTTCAAACCCATGACCGCCTCTACGGCCCCCTCAAACTGTCCCCGAGTTCCTGACCGCTGCTATTGGCCCCCTAATCTGCCCTTGAGCCTGACTCCCTTCCACTGAACCCCCAAACTGCCGCCGAGCCCCTGACCGTGTCTGTTCCCGCAAACTGCCCCTGTGCCCCTTAAACCTCTACTGTCCACTTAAATTGCCTCAAGCCCCTGACCACCTCTGCTGTCCCCACAAGCTCTCCCCAAACTCCTGACCTGTACTGTCCCCAGAAACTACCCCTCGAGCCCCTGACCGCTTTTGCTGTCACCCCAGACTGCCCCCAGCCCTACCCCTCGGCCGCTGTGACCACGTCCCCGGGGCCCAGGCGCTCGTCGTGCGCCGCCCCGCGCGTCCCTCAGCTTTCTCCGGCTGCGAACTCGGGCGGAAGCCGGTTCCTGCCGCCCCACCTCGCCCTGGGCCCGGGCTCGGCTCCCGCCCGGCACTCACCATGTCCCGCCCGCTCCTGGGCTCTCCAGGGTTAGCGCCCCGCGGTCCAGCGACCGGCGCAGGTGAGCACGACAGGACACCTGAGCCGCTCGGGGTAGGCGGGGAAGCGCGCAAGGCAGAGGGGAACTCGGCTTACCGTCCTCGGGGTCTGATTGGACAGATCTCGGGAAGTGGAGACTCTGATTGGACAGTGCTGTCGACTCCGCACCCCTGATTGGAGAATTCTCCAGTCCGTCCCCCTAGCGCCCTTGATTGGGCAGGGCTCCGCTTCGGATTAACGTCTCTGATTGGACAGTTCCCTAGGCCCCGCCCCTGCCTGTCCTGATTGGATAATTCTCTCCTCAGTGACGGGCTCGTCGAGAACACGCGTGGCTGACCCTCTAGCCGGGCAGCCGCGGATCTGGGAGAACTCACTCCAGTCCAGGGAGGGCGCGGCGTCCTCCTCCCTGACTGCACGGCAACTCCAGACTCAGTTTCCCCTCGGAGCGGCCCCTCGTGCGGGGAGGAGAGGAAGGGCACGGAGTCCCATGGGGCGGAGTCCTGCGTGGGGGCGGGACCCGCGTGCGTGACGTCACCGTGCTGTCCCGCGTGGGCGCGGACGCCTGGGGTCCAGAGACCTGGAGATCTGGAGACCAGACGACGAGGCCCCAGGAGGCCGGACCCCACCAGGCGCTCCCTGTGTTCTTAAAACTCTCGGCCGGGCGCGGTGGTTCACGCCGGTAATCCCAGCACCGTGAGAGGCGGAGACCGGCGGATCATCAGAGGTCAGGAGTTCAAGTCCAGCCTGACCAAAATGGCGAAAACCACTTCTCTCCTAAAAATACAAAAATTAGCTGGGCACGGTGGCGGGCGCCTGTAATCCCAGCTACTCCGGAGGCTGAGGCAGGAGAATCGCTTGAACCCAGGAGGCGGAGATTGCAGTGAGCCAAGATCAGGACACTGCACTCCAGCCTGGGCAACAAGAGCGAAACTGAGTCTCAAAAAAAAAAAAAGCAGCCCTCCCACAAACAGAACCACGTAAGGTCATGAAGAGAGAGGTCTCACATTTATATGCTTAATAACGAAAAAGACTCTACAAAAACCACAGGCTTAAACAAAAAATACTTTTACAGGGACACTCAGACTGGTGTGACCCTTGTTACTGATCTTTGTAGACAAGGATAATTATTTCTGAAAAATGATGTAATCCTCATTTAAAATTTTTTTTTTCCTTTATAAACCTTTGTCCCAGTCTGGGCAACATGGCAAAACCCCATATATACAAAAAATACAAAAATTAGCTGGGAATAAAGGAGTGTGCGCCTATGGTCCCAACGACTTGATAGGCTGAAGCAGGAGGATCGCTCGAGCCCGTGGGGATTGAGGCTGCAGTGAGCTGTGATCTCACCATTGTACTCCAGCCTGGGCAACAGAGACCCCCGTCTCAAAAAAATGAAAACCAAAAACAACCTTTGTCTTCCTTTACCTCCCTGAATAAGCACATAGTTTGCTATGCCGCGCATATTCCCACTGCAATGAACTGTTACCACCGTTTTTAGACAGCCTGTTATTTAGGTCGACACAGTAAAAACATGAATTACGACAATTATGTTTGTATGTAAAATGGCAAGCGATATAGAGTTTATACTTCTACTCTGTCTCAAGCTGGAAAGTCTTTTCGGAGATGAGCAGTCGCGTTCCAGGCTTTAGGAATTGCGGCTCAACTGAATAAAAGTATTCAGAATTTTCACGTCGAGTTCAAATTTATTTAAACTTCTATGATTATTTTCTCAAATGAGTTAAAATAAGAATTCAATTACCATAGGAACAGTACAGCCTTTTACTTTAAGAAATTCTCTAGGGCCGGGCGCAGTGGCTCACGCCTATAATCCCAGCACTTTGGGAGGCTGAGGCAGGTGGATCACCTGAGGTCAAGAGTTCGAGACCAGCCTGGCCAACATGGCAAAACCCTTGTCTCTACTAAAAATATAAAAATTAGCCGGGCGTGGTGGCACATGCCTGTAATCCCAACTACTTGGGAGGCTGAGGCAGGAGAATCACTAGAGCCCGGGAGGCGGGGATTGCAGACCCAAGATCGCACCACTGCACTCCGCCTGGGTGACAGAGCGAGACTCCATCTCAAAACAAAAACAAACAAAAAAACGCCATTTGAACGACACGTTTTGTTTCCCCCCGCTTTATTATTTTTAAAAAGTACCATGGTGTACACATTGCATTACAATTGTTTTTGTGGCTCAATGAAAAAAATAAATCCTCCACCTCTCTTCATCTTAATAGGTGACTTCCTTACTCCTTACAGATGTAAGATGATGTAAGCTGATGTAACAAGGTCTCTCTAAATAGACAGTGGACTTGTTTCCAATCTTTTGCTACTCAAAGCTTGTCTTATGTTGCACCACCATGCCTGGCAGATTTTTGTATTTTTTGGTAGAGATGGGGTTTCACCATGCTGGCCAAGTTGGTCTGGAACTCCTGACCTCAAGTGATCCGCTTGCCTCAGCCTTCATCAATGGATATTAATGAAGCTTAGGATACTCACATTGTGTCAAAGATAAGAGGCAAGGAAACTACAAAGAAATTGGAAGTGATAGGAAACAGTGGAATAACTGTCAGAGAGGAAGCAGTGGGAACAAAAGACAGGAAAGAAAAACATGCCTATTATCAGAGTCCCTGAAGAAGTAAACAGTAGCACAGCTTTTCACCTTACATCATTAAGAAACACATAAATAGGCCGGGCGCGGTGGCTCACGCCTGTAATCCCAGCACTTTGGGATGCCAAGGTGGGCAGATCACCTGAGGTCCAAAGTCCGAGACCACCCTGACAAACATGGAGAAACCCCATCTCTACTAAAAATACAAAAATGAGCTGGACATGGTGGCAAATGCCTGGAACCCCCGCTAATCGGGAGGCTGAGGCAGGAGAATCACTTGAACCCAGGAGGTGGAGGTTGCAGTGAGCCGAGATCATGCCACTGCACTCCAGCCTGGGCAACAAGATCAAAACTCTGTCTCAAAAAAAAAAAAAAAAAAAGGAAAAGAAACACATAAATACTATAATAAATGTAGCAACGTACCTTGCAGAAGATCCAAAGGTTGCTTGTGGAATTGGGCAAGGGAATCTAAATTTCCAGAGTTAGTATGCAGTGGTGGAGAGAGGGTTGTCGGAAATCTAATGTTAAGTTTTAAAGCAGAGGAAACAGTGTGACTTGGTATTTGAGGTGTGTGCGCGCATTTTCTGTTTTCCTACCAGACTCTTCAGTTATGTGCAATTTCTTCTGTTCACTTAGTGTTTCTTAGGGTTGAAACTGAACATAAACAAATATGAAATTCGTGTTATACTCACATTACTCAACATATCAGGTAATTTGTGAAGACAGAGATGTTTCCTGATCAATTGTTCTAGCCGACTGACAGCCAATATCTACATAGAATTATTTCAAAGTCGCAGGGTGCGGTGGCTCACGTCTGTAATCCCAGCACTTTGGGAGGCCGAGTTGGGCGGATCACAAGGTCAGGAGATCAAGACCATCCTGGCTAACATGGTGAAACCCCGTCTCTACTAAAAATACAAAAAATCAGCTGGGCGTGGTGGCGAGTGCCTGTAGTCCCAGCTACTCGGAAGGCTGAGGCAGGAGAATGGCGTGAACCCAGGAGGCGGAGCTTGCGTTGAGCTGAGATCACGCCATTGTACTCTATCCTGGGCAACAGAGCAAAACTCTGTCTCAAAAAAAAAAAAAAAAAAAGAATTATTTCAAAGTCAATTGAGTGGCTGGGGGCAGTGGCTTACGCCTGTAATCCCAGCACTTTGGGAGGCCGAGGCAGGCGGGTCACGAGGTCAGGAGTTCAAGAGTAGCCTGGCCAAGATGGTGAAACCCCATCTCTACTAAAAATACAAAAATTAGCTGGGTGTGGTGGCGGGCACCTGTAGTCCCAGCTACTCGGGAGGGTGAGGCAGGAGAATCACTTGAACCCGGGAGGTGGAGGCTGCAGTGAGCCGAGATCACACCACTGCACTCCAGCCTGGGCGACAGCTCGAGACTCCGTCTCAAAAAAAAAAAAAAAAGTAAATTGAGGACACTGTAACACTCTGCTCTTAAACACCTCCCAAATGCTATTTTAGAGAAAAATCTGTATTTTTATCTAAAAGTCCACACTTCATATTCGCACTTTAGATAGTTAACAATCATTCCTTTATACCTAGCCCATAATCGTATTTCCTTCAATTATACCCCAAATGGTCTTTACAGCTGGTCCTCCGAAGATCCAACCCCAAACCAGGTATTGCATCTTCTTTTATTTTATAGTATTATATGGTCATGTTGAATTTTTCTTTTGAGGTGTAGTCTATGAATTTTTGTGTATGTATAGCGTTAACGGGTGAATTGCGTCCCCACAAATCCGTAAGGTGAAGGCCTAACCCACAGTACCTCAGAAGGTATTTGAAGATAGGCCTTTAAAGAGGCAATTCGATTAAAATGAGATTAAGGTGGGCTCAAATCCAAAAGACTGGCGTGCTATTCATTGCAGGGTGTTGAGCAGCACCCTAGACCTCCTCATCCACTGGATGCCAGTCGCCCCAACCCCATCCCCGGTTGTGACAACCAAGTCTGCAGACATTGTCCAGTGTCCCCTGGGCGTAAAATTTCTCCTCCCCTCTTTGATAATCACTGCTTTAGACTCTATTTGGTCTTAGAGTCTTTTCTCTGAAGTCCATCATTTTATCCGCCGTAACCCTGCTGTCTTCACTTAAGGGGTCCAAGACGTTTACAGGAGGGTGATAATGGTGATGATGAGCTGCCAATAATAATCCACACACAGCACTATTTGACAAATGCAGGTAATGTTATGTATTTTACAGACCTGGAAACTGAGGCACTTAGGGGCTTGGCAACTTGCCTAATATCACCCGAGAGCTGATTAAGGCTTGGGGCCAGGACTGGGACCCCAGGATGAAGCCCAGCTGAGCAGAAAACCTCTGTGCACAGGATGCAGCAATCAAGATAATAAAAATCAACTCCGACTGAGAAAGTATCTGCCTACACATTCATCAGGCTGGGAGGACAGACCCAGATGGTATCAGTTGGAAAATTAACAGAAAACAGTATTTTTGCCAAGGACACCTTTTTCTGAGCCATCAATGTCTTCTAGCTCGCTAAATGCCTTCCTTGCCCATTACAATCATACACAGTGATTGACATTTTATCAGTAAGAATAAACTTCCCTTTTCCGGCCGGAGGGTCTGATTTTCTTGGACACAGAGAATCCGTCTCCATTTCCAACCCAGGTGCAGGGCTCTGATAAGCGGTTTCCGGACATAACAATCTACAGCGGTCTTATCTTGTGGTTCCCAAGGAAACAGGTCCCGGCTGCACTTCGCAGCCCAGACCCGAGGGTGACCCCTTTACAAGCTTGCTCTTTGCCAAATGGAAACCACGCAGTATTTACATTTCACCTAAACCCCACCCTTCCCTCCAAATCCGATGGGTTACTCAGGCCTAGGATCCTCAGGCCTAGGGGGTCAAAACGCCCCGCGTCCCCAACCAAGACCCCTGAAGTCTAGCGGGGTTCCACTGGCCTCCGGAGCCTCCTCCCTGGGGCGCGGTGCCAGGACTTCGCCATTAAACGAGCCCGCCCCCTGCACTTTGAACTCTGCCCCCATCCTTTGACCCAAACCCCCCTACGCCCCGGCATCGGAGTCCCCTTGCTTGGCCTCTGCCACGAAGATACGGGGCCAGGTCCAGCAGTACAAGGAGGAGAAACCGCTCTCACGGGAGGCGCTGCGGCCACTGAGGGAGACGGCCGCCGCGGGTCACAGACGGATGCTTCCGTTTCCGGTTCCGGGGCGGCTGGGAGCTGAAAAGTGGGCTAGTAATGAGCTTGGGATTGGTGGAGCCTCAAAGATAGGCGGGACGACCTACGTCGTCCAATCGCTGAGCAGGAAAAGCTAGTTTCCGCCGTCTGGGAGATAATTGGCATTGTTGGCAGATCCGCCCCTCGAGGGCAAGTCTCGGGACAGAATCGCGCTGTGGGCGTGGCTTGTACTGGATCCTCCCCGGGGCGTGGCTAAAACAAGACCGAGGTCCCGGGACGAGGTTGGGGGCGTGGTCTTTCGCGCAATCCTCCAACGCCCAATTACCCTGATAAACAATAAACGCTAAAATAAGTAATAAATGCTCATTTCCTCCAGCCAACACATTCCTCGTGATAACATACTCCTGCACAAAGATATTCCCATTGTTGGGATTTTTCTTCCTTGAATGTCTGTTATTTCTTCCAGAAATAAGGTCATTTTTATGCATTTACATGTGGCTTTTCTTATTAATGAGTGCGTTGTGATGTTCCCTTCTGGCCACTAGATGGCCACGTAGCTCACATTTTCAAATTCGCGGATATTTTGTTTTAGTTGCTTTAGACATAGGTGTCCAATCTTTTGGCTTCACTGGGACACATTGGAATAATTGTCTTGGGCCACACATAAAATACAGGAACACTAACTATAGCTGATGAGCTAAAACAAGACAAAAATTGCAAAATAATCTCATAATGTTTTTTTTTTCTTTTTTTTTTTTTTTTTTTGAGACGGAGTCTCGCTCTGTCGCCCAGGCTGGAGTGCAGTGGCGCGATCTCGGCTCACTGCAAGCTCCGCCTCCCGGGTTCAAGCCATTCTCCTGCCTCAGCCTCCCGAGTAGCTGGGATTACAGGCGCCCGCCACCAAGCCCGGCTAATTTTTTGTATTTTTAGTAGAGACGGGGTTTCACCGTGTTAGCCAGGATGGTCTCGATCTCCTGACCTCGTGATCCGACTGCCTCGGCCTCCCAAGTGCTGGGATTACAGGCGTAAGCCACCACTCCCAGCCAATAATCTCATAATGTTTTAAGAAAGTTTACGAATTTGTGTTGGGTGCATTCAAAGCCATCCTGGGCTTCATCCGGCCTGCAGGCCCTGAGTTGGAGAACTTAGCTTTAGAGTTTAGACACAGGAAAAATGCAGGGGTCTTTGCCTTCCATTGTGAGGCATCATAACTAAGATTAGGAGGCCATCCTGACTTGTCCCCTTGTGTGACACCCAGCGGGCTCCGCATCCCTTGCATTCCCATGCCTGAGCACCTATCTCTTTTACAAGGTAAGCAGTCCTGAAGGATACCAGCAGACCGCCAGATGGGTTACAAATTCCTCATATCCGGTACTGCCAGCGAAAGAGAACAAAAGTCCCTTATTCCTGAATCGGCTTCATCAGCTTCCCCAATCTCCAGCCAATCAACACCAAAAAGCCCAAGAAGCTATTAGCTACAAATTCCTGCCTAAGGCCGGGTGTGGTGGCTCACACCTGTAATCCCAGCACTTTGGGAGGCTGAGGCGGGTGGATCCATCTAAGGTCGGAAGTTCAAGACCAGCCTGACCAACACGGTGAAACCCTGTCTCTACTAAAAATACAAAACTTAGCTGGGCTTGGTGGCACATGCCTGTAATCCCAGCTACTTGGGAGGCTGAGGCAGGAGAATCGCTTGAACCCAGGAGGTGGAGTTGCCGTGAGCCGAGATCGTGCCATTGCACTCCAGCCTGGGCAACAAGAGTGAAACTCCATCTCAAAAAAAAAAAAAAAAAAATTCCTGCCTTAAAAGGGGCCAGGGACTTCTTCCAGGCCCCACATGTGCAGCTAGAGTTAAGGTTTAGCTAATAGTAAACTTTTCCTCATTTTATTTTATTTTTTTGAGATGGAATCCCACTCTGTTGCCAACGCTGGAGTACAGTGGAACAATCAAGACTCACTGCAGCCTCCAAGTCCTGGGTCCAAGCGATTCTCCTGCCTCAAACTCCTAAGTAGCTGGGACTACCAGCACTTGCCAACACACCTGCCTAATTTTTGTATTTTTAGTAGAGACGGGGTTTCACCACGTTGGCCAGGCTGGTCTCAAACACCTGACCTCAGGTGATCTGCCCGCCTCAGCCTCCCAAAGTGTCGGGATTACTTTGGGATTACTGTGGCGTGAGCCACAGCGCCGGGCCAACATTTTCCTCATTTTAATAGTTAAAAAAAAAAAACCTGAGGCTGAGGCAGGAGAAATGCTTGAGCCCGGGAGGCGGAGGTTGCTGTGAGCCGAGATCGTGCCACTGCACTCCATCCTGTGTGACAGAGTAAGACTCTCGAAAACAAAAACAAAAACGAAAACAAAACCCACCCCTAGGTGGAGATTTTGTATGCTATTGATACATGCAATGTGTGTTAGAGCAGGCAGATGCTGAGTCCAACCGTAGGTCCACCTTTGCACACCTGACCTCACCGGTATTTTCTGACTATGTACGTACAGCCCCCAAAAAGGAATTTATCTTAAGGCACTAGCTGCTGCCTCTCCCTGTGAATAGTCTGCTCTGCCTCTTAGAGAGTACTTTCATTTTGCAATAAATTTCTTTGCTTACTCACACTTTGGACTTGCTCTCAAATTATTTGTGCAGTGAAGCCAAGAACCTGCCCAGCCCACCAGCAACAGTTGTAGCTGCCGGACAGGTTCTCCCTGCTCACTGCACAAACAAAATCGATTCACAAAGACCGTGGCATTGCAGTAAAAAGAGTTTAGTTGGCCTGAGGCTGGCTATGCCATGCAGGAAACGGAGTCATTACTCAAACCAAGCTCCCTGAAGGCTCTGTCGCCCAGGATGGAGTGTAGTGACATGATCTCAGCTCACTGCAACCTCCGCCTCCCAAGTTCAGGTGATTCTCCTGCCTCAGCCTCCTGAGTAGCTGGGATTAGAGGCACCCGCCACCACGCCCGGCTAATTTTTGTACTTTTAGTAGAGATGGGTTTTTGCCACATTGGCCAAGCTGGTCTTGAACTCCTGACTTCAAGGGATCCACCAGCCTTGGCCTCCCAAAGTGCTGGGATTACAGACGTGAGCCACTGCACCCACTCAGGGGTTTTTTGAAGATAGTTTGGTGGTCAGGAGGCTAGGGTCTAGGTGCTGCTGGCTAGTTGGGGATGGGATCATAGGGATGTGGAACACGGCCCTCATGCCGTGAGTCCACTTCTGGGTGGAGGCCACAGGATGGGCCAGGGGTGTCCATCTGGTTGTCAGAAATGCAAAAGCCTGGCCAGGCGCGGTGGCTCACACTTGTAATCCCAGCACTTTGGGAGGCCGAGGCAGGAGGATCACTTGAGGCCAGGAGTTCGAGAGCAGCCTGGCCAACATGGTAAAACTCCGTCTCCACTAAAAATACAAAAAAAATAGCTGGGCATGGTCGTGCATGCCTGTAATCCCAGCTACTCGGGAGGCTGTGGCAGGAGAATCGCTTGAACCCGGGGGGCAGAGGTTGCAGTGAGCCGAGATCACGTCACTGCACTCCATCCTGTGGGCAACAGAGCGAGACTCCGGCTCAAACAAACAAACAAACAAAAAAACCAGAGCGACTCCATCTTGAATAGGGGCTGGGTAAAATGAGGCTGAGACCTGCTGGGCCACATTCCCAGGAGGTCAGGCATTCTTACTCACAGGAGGAGATAGGAGGTTGGCAGGACAGTATCACAGGACACAGGTCACGAAGACCCTGCTGTTAGAACAGAACATGGTAAAGAAGCCGCCAAATCTCACCAAAACCAAGATGGCGAAGAAAGTGACCTCTGGTTGTCCTCATTGCTCATTATATGCTAATTATAATGTATTAGCATGCTAAGAGACACTCTCACCAGTGCCATGACCGTTCACAAATGCCATGGCAATGTCCGGAAGTTACCTTATATGGTCTGAAAAGGGGAGGAGGCTGAGGCGGGCGGATCACCTGAGGTCGGGAGTTCGAGACCAGCCTGATCAACACGGAGAAACCCCGTCTCTACTAAAAATGCAAAATTAGCCGGGCGTGATGGCACATGCCTGTAATCCCAGCTACTCGGGAGGCTGAGGCAGCAGAATCACTTGAACCTGGGAGGCGGAGGTTGCAGTGAGCCAAGATCGCACCATTGCACTCCAGCCCAGGCAACAAGAGTGAAACTCTATCTCAAAAAAAAAAAAAAAAAAAAAAAAAAAAAGACGTGTGTGTGTGCACACAGAAATGTGTGCCTATTGTCTAATAAATACTCATAAAGCATCTTCTATGTCCCAGACTCTGTTTTCTGCACTGGGAAACACAGCAGTAAACATCACACATATCCTTCTCTATATCCTTTAGATTCCAATAGGGAAGGACAGAAAGTTAACCATGTTGATAAATAGCATGTTAATAGATATATCCCAGCCGGGCACGGTGGGTCATGCCTGTAATCCCAGCACTTTGGGAGGCCAAGGAGGGCAGATCACCTAAGGTCAGGAGTTCGAAACCAGCCTGGCCAACATGGTGAAACACCATCTCTACTAAAAAAAAAAAAAAAAAAAAAATAGCCAGGCAAGGTGTCGCATGCCTGTAATCCCAGCTACTCAGGAGGCTGAAACAGGAGAGTTGCTTGAACTCAGGAGGTGCAGGTTGCAGTGAGAGAAGATCGTGCCACTGAACTCCAGCCTGGGCAACAGAACAAGACTCCATCCCCCCATAAAAAAAGAAAAAATATTTGTGAAATGTATACACGCAGTTGTCCCTCAATGTCTGCAGGAGATTGCAAGATCCCTGCAGGTATCAAAGTCAGTGGATGCTCAAGACCCTGATATAAAATGGTGCAGTAACCAGACGCGGTGGCTCACGCCTATATTCCTAGCTCTTTGGGAGGCCAAGGTGGGAGGATTGCTTGAGCTCAGGAGTTTGAGACCAGCTTGTCCAACATAGTGAGACCTCATCTCTACAAAAAATACAAATATTAACTGGGTGTGGTAGCTGGGGCCTGTGGTACTAGCTACTTGGGAGGCTGAGGTGAGAGGATCACTTAAGCCTGGGAGGCCAAGGCTGCAGTGAGCTGAGATCACACCATTGCCTCCTACCCTGGGGGACAGAGTGACAGCCTGTCTCAAAAAAATAAAATAAAAAGGCGTGGCCGGGTGCGGTGGCTCATGCCTGTAATCCCGGCACTTTGGGAGGCCAAGGCAGGTGGATCACCTGAGGTCAGGAGTTCGAGACCAGCCTGGCCAACATGGTGAAACCCCGTCTCCACTAAAAATACAAAAATCAGCTGGGCATGGTGGCAGGCACCTGTAATCCCAGCTACTCGGGAGGCTGAGGCAGGAGAATCACTTGAACCCAGGAGGCAGAGGTTGCAGTGAGCTGAAATCATGCCGTTGCACTTCAGCCTGGGCGACAAGAGCAAGACTCCGTCTTAAACAAAATAAATAAATTAATTAAAATAAAATAAAATGGTGCCGTATTTGTGTAAAACCTCCACACACCCTCCCATATACTGTAGATCAGTTCTAAGTTGCTTATAATAACTAGTGCAACATCAACGCTATGTAAATAGTTGTTATACTGTATTTTAAACTTTGCATTATTTTTCTTCTTGTATTGTTAATTTTATTGTTTTTATTAAAATGCTTTCTTCTTCTTTTCTCTCCATTTTTTTTTTAAATGTTTTGTTTTGAGACAGGGTCTTGCCCTGTCACCCAGGCTGGAGTGCAGTGGTGGGATGGCGGTTCACCGCAGCCTCGAACTCCTGGGCTCAAGCAATCCTCCTGCCTCAGCCTCCAGAGTAGCTGGGACCGCAGGTGCAGCCACCACGCCTGGCTTCAAATATTTTCGATTCTGCTGAATCCACGGGTATGGAACCAGCAAATACAGAATTCGAGGACAAGAAACCCGCAGATAACGAGAATCAATTATACTAATTGTATCTAGAATATATAATGACGTCAATGGAAAAATTGCATGACCACCAGAGGGCACACTTTTACACCCAAAACGTCCCACTTTGCTGTTTGTTTTTTTGTGGGTTTTGTTTTGTTTTGTTTTGTTTTGTTTTGTTTTGTTTTGTTTGAGACGGAGTTTCGCTCTTGTTGCCCAGGCTGGAGTGCAATGGTGTGATCGATCTGATCTCGGCTCACCGCAGCTTCTGTCTCCCGGGTTCAAGCAATTCTCCTGCCTCAGCCTCCCAAGTAGCTGGGATTACAGGCATGCGCCACCACGCCTGGCTAATTTTGTATTTTAGCAGAGACGGGGTTTCTCCATGTTGGTCAGGCTGGTCTCGAACTCTCAACCTCAGGTGATCCGCCCGCCTCGGCCTCCTAAAGTGCTGGGATTACAGGTGTGAGCCACCGCACCCAGCCCACCACTTTGCTGTTCTTTGGAAATGTTCACAGAAGGCAAACAATGCTGTTTGCTCTGAGTTAAGGGGGAGAATATGCATATATTAAATACGCATGTCCATACACACACAGAGAAGGATAAAGCAACAGAAGGCACAAAAATAGCATGGGGGAAGCGCGGGGAAAGATGCGTTCAGGGGTTCTTGGTACTATTCTTCCAACTTTTCTGTAAGTTTGAAGTTATATCAAAGTAAAAAGTTGGGCTGGGTGCAGTAGGTCACACCTGTAATGCCAGTACTTTGGGAGGCTGGGGCAGGAGGATCGATTGAGCCCAGGAGTTTGAGATCTGCCTGGGCAACATAGCCAGACCCCATCTCTACAAAAAAATATGAAAATTAGCAAGTGTGGCAGCAGTACCTGCAGCCTCATAGCTCACTAAAGCCTTGACCTCATGGGCTCAAGTGATCCTCCTACCTCAGCCTCCTGAGAAGTTGGGACTACAGGCACACGCCATCACACCCAGCTAATTTTTCTTTTTATTCTTTTCTTTTCTTTTCTTTTTTGTGAGATGGAGTCTTGCTCTGTCGCCCAGGCTGGAGTGCAGTGGCGTGATCTTGGCTTACTGCAACCTCCGCCTCCCAGGTTCAAGCAGTTCTCTGCCTCAGCCTCCTGAGTAGCTGGGATTGCAGGCACGTGCCACCACGCTCAGCTAATTTTTGTATTTTTAGTAGAGACGGGGTTTCACCATCTTGGCCAGGCTGGTCTTGAACTCCTGACCTCCTGATCCACCCGCCTCGGCTTCCCAAAGTATTGGGATTACAGGTGTGAGCCACGGTGCCCAGCCACGCCTGGCTAATTTTTCAATTTTCTTACATGTTGTCCAGGCTGGTCTCAAACTCTTGGTCTCAAGTGATCCTCCTGCCTTGGCCTCCCAAAGTGCCAGGTGCAGGAACCACTGCGCCTCGCCCTTTCAGGAATTTGAGAATAGTCTGTTGGCAGTTGAAGACGGGTCATCCAAAACAAAGTTGCTAACCTGAATCACCCAGAAGCTCTTTGCTTTTTGTATTTAATCCTGGATGTTATTCTTAAATTTATCGTGGTAAAAGCATTGTAATTGGACAATGACAGGGAAAATTCATTCATTTAGCTCCAAATGACCATTGCTTGCAATCTGCAGACAATGTATCCGTTTATTTTTCTTTTCTGGTTTCTAACGCTATTGGTATTCTCATCATAACATGGTTTTCTTACATTTCTATTAGCTTGTCTCTTTTTTTCACTGAAATTGTTATTGAGATAATTGTAGAATCATATGCAGTTCTAAGAAATAACACAGACATTGGCCGGGCACGGTGGCTCACTCCTGTAATCTCAGCACTTTGGGGAGCTGAGGCAGGTGGATCACCTGAGGTCAGGAGTTTGAGAGCAGCCTGGCCAACATGGCAAAACCCTGTCTCTACAAAAAATACAAAAAAAAAAAAAAAATTAGCCAGGCGTGGTGGCGGGCGCCTGTAATGCCAGCTACTCAGGAGGCTGAGGCAGGAGAATTGCTTGAACCTGGGAGGCGAAGTTTGCAGTGAGCAGAGATCATGCCACTACACTCCAGCCTGGAGGACAGAGCGAGACTCAGTCTCAAATAATAATAATAATAAATAATAATGATAAAAATACAGACAGATCTTTTCTTTTTTTTTTTTGAAACAGAGTCTTGCTGTACAGACATCTTTTCTATACTTGGCCTAGATTCCTCCAATGGTGACATTTGGAAAACTAAAGTACATTACCACATCCCTGATATTGACGCTGTTAAAATCTATCCATCTTCTTCCCATGGCCCCATTTTACTTGTGTGTGTGTGTGTGTGTGTGTGTGTGTCTGTGTGTGTGTGTGTGAAGTTAACCTGGGTAAGTCTGTGTATCCATCACAGTCAAGGTACAGAACTTTGTCCGCACCACAAGGATGTCCCCTTGGATCCTTCTACAATCACACCCACCTCCCTCTAACGCTCCCATCCCCCAAACCCATCAGGAAGCTCCCTAAAAAGATGTTAGTCTCCTAGGGATCCCCCAGGTTCTACTCCCCAGTCTGCTGAGCTAGAAGCCCAACGCTGGGGTCAGAAATCCGCATACTTAATAAGATGCCCAACTGACTCCAGGGCTGAAGATAGGATTGGTGCAAAAATTGAGCCCGGCTGGGTGCAGTGGTTCATGCCTATAATCTCAGCACTTTGGAAGGCTGAGGTGGGAGGATCTCTTGAGCCCAGAAGGCGGAGGTCGCAGTGAGTTATGATTGCACCACTGCACTCCAGCCTCCACAACACAGCAACAGAGCAAGATCCTGTGTCAAAAAAAAAAGGAAGAAAAGAAAAAAGAAAGAAGGAAGGAAGGAAAAAGAAATAAAAGAAAGAAAGAAGGAAAGGAAGGAAGGAAGGAAGGGAGGGAGGGAGGGAGGGAGGCAGGCAGGCAGGCAGGCAGGCAAGCAAGCAAGCAAGCAGGCCAGACGCGATAACTCACACCTGTAATCCCAGCACTTTCGGAGGCCGAGGCAGACGGATCACCTGAGGTCAGGAGTTCAAGACCAGCCTGGCCAACATGGTGAAACCCATCTCTACTAAAAATACAAAAATTAGCTGGGTGTGGTGGCGAGTGCCTGTAATCCCAGCTACTCAGGGGGCTGAGGCAGGAGAATCACTTGATCCCAGGAGGCAGAGGTTGCAGTGAGCTGAGATAGTGCCACTGCACTCCAGCCTGGGTGACAAGAGCGAGACTCTGTAGAAAGAAAGAAAGGAAAAGAAAAGATCCCAAGGGCCCTTCAAAAGCCATTCCAAAGATTTCAGTTTTGCCTCTGAGTGAGTGGGGCCATAGGATGAGTATCAGCAGAGGAGGGACGGGATCTTACCTAACTTTTTTTTTGAGTCTCTACAAAAAATACAAAAATTAGGGGAGCATGGTGGTACACACCTGTTGTTCCAGCTACTTGGGCAGGGCTGAGGCAGGAGGACTGCTTGAACCTGGGAGGTTGAGGCTGCAGTGAGCTATGATCGTGCCACTGCACTCCAGCCTGGGCAACAGAGCAAGACCCTGTCTCAAATAAGAAGACAGAGAGCGGGCAGCGAGATGGGGGGCAGGGTGGGGGTGTAGCAAAGCTCCGTCCTCTATTATTGCATGGAATCAAAAATCACCATTGCAAATCCAAAAATAGAACGCTGAGCTTTAGTTTTTTTTTTTTTTTTTTTTTTTTTTTTTTTAGACAAGGTCTCGCTCTGTAACCCAGGCTGGAGTGCAGTGACACAATCTTGGCTCACTGCAACCTCAGCCTCCCAGTTTCAAGAGATTGTCCTGCCTCAGCCTGTTGACTACCTGGGATTACAGGCATGCGCGACCATGCCCGGCTAATTTTTGTTTTGTTTCGTTTTGAGATGGAGTCTTGCTCTTGTCACCCAAGTTGGAATGCAGTGGCACGATCTCGGCTCACTGCAACCTCCGACTCCCGGGTTCAAGCAATTTTCCTGCCTCAGCCTCCCGAGTAGCTGGGATTAGAGGTGCGCGCCATCACTCCCGGCTAATTTTTTTATTTTTAGTAGAGACGGGGTTTCGCCATGTTGGCCAGGCTGGTCTCGAACTCCTGACCTCAGATGATCCGCCTGCCTCCGCCTCCCAAAGTGCTGGGATTACAGGCGTGAGCCACCGTGCCCGGCCCTAATTTTTATATTTTTAGTAAAGGTGGGTTTCACCGTGTTGGCCAGGCTGATCACCATGTTGGCCACTCCTGGGCTCAAGTGATCCTCCTGCCTCAGCCACCCAAAGTGCTGGGATTACAGGCGAGAGTCACCGTGCCCGGCCTGAGCTTTAGTATTGAGAGTAGCAGTTCTTGGCCGGGCGCGGTGGCTCACGCCTGTAATCCCAGCACTTTGGGTGGCTGAGGCGGGCGGATCATGAGCTCAGGAGATCTAGACCATCCTGGCTAACACGGTGAAACCCCGTCTCTACTAAAAACATAAAAAAATTAGCCGAGCCTGGTGGCGGGCGCCTGTAGTCCCAGCTACTTGGGAGGCTGAGGCAGGAGAATGGCGTGAACCCGGGAGGCGGAGCTTGCAGTGAGCCGAGATCGCGCCACTGCACTCCAGCCTGGGAGACAGCGAGACTCCGTCTCAAAAAAAAAAAAAAAAAGAGAGTAGCGGTTCTCAAACCGTGGTTCCCTGAGTGGCGGCAGCAGCATTGTCACCTGGGAGCTTGCTAGGAATGCACGTTTTCAGGCCCCAGGCCCAGATTTGCTGCCTGAAAAAGTCTTAGGTTGGGGGTCCACAATCTGAGTTTTAACACCCCCCGCCCCAGGTAATTGTGATGCACACTCAAATTTAAGAACCACTGACTTAAAGATATGAAAGTCTTTGGGAGGCTGAGGTGGGAGGATCGCTTGAGGCCAGGAGTTCAAGGCCACTCTGAGCAACACAGCGAGACCCCATCTTTGCAAAAAGAGAAACAAAAACAGAAGAGGCCGGCCGTGGTGGCTCATGCCTGTCATCCCAGCACTTTGGGAGGCCGAGACGGGCGGATCAGGAGTTCGAGACCAGCCTGACCAACATGGTGAAACCCTGTCTCTACTAAAAATACAAAAATTATCCGGGCATGGTGGCGCCTGTCTGTAATCCCAGCTGCTCAGGAGGCTGAGGCAGGAGAATTACTTGAACCCGGGATGCGGAGGTTGCAGTGAGCCAAGATCGCACCACTGCACTCCAGCCTGGGCGACAGAGCGAGACTTCGTCTGAAAACAACAACAAACAGACAAGAGGAACATTCTTCTGATGAGGGAAATTTCCTTCTTTCTTTCTTTCTTTTTTTGATACGGATTCTGTCGCCCAGGCTGGAGTGCAGTGGCGCCATCTCAGCTCATTGCAAGCTCCGCCTCCTGGGTTCACGCCATTCTCCTGCCCCAGCCTCCCGAGTAGCTGGGACTACAGGCGCCCGCCACCACACCCGGCTTATTTTTTTGTATTTTTAGTAGAGACGGGGGTTTCACCCTGTTAGCCGGGATGGCCTTGATCTCCTGACCTCGTGATCCGCCCGCCTCGATCTCCCAAAGTGCTGAGATTCCAGGCGTGAGCCACCACACCCGGCCTAGTGATGGAAATTTTCTAAAATTGGATTGTGGTTATGGTTGTGCAGTTGGACACATTTGCTAAAAGTCATTGAACAATATGCTTTAAATGTATGACGTCATCTTATGTAAATTACGTCAACGAAGCGCTCATATAACATTTGACCTGTAGGGGGTAGCAGAGACCATAAGTTCAATTCAGAACAGCCCCTCCCTGCCTTGAGAGTCTCAATGGGATGAACCCATCCCTTTCACTTAGGAGTCCTGATTGGAATGAAGAATTGGGCAGCTGGGAATTTCCCCTCAATAGCCTAAAATGCCTTGTTTAACTAACTGTGGCCACACTCAGTTCTAAATTTATACCAATTAGCTGGGGGAGTTGAGTCTCTTGACCACGGAACCAGGAGAAGCCACATCCCCTCTCCAAGCCCGGAAGAGATGGTTCTCTTCTTTTTTTTTTTTTTTTTTAAATGGAGTCTCACTCCATCGCCCAGGTTGGAGTACAGTGGCATGATCTCGGCTCACTGCAGCCTCCGCCTCCTGGGTTCAAGAAATTCTCCTGTCTCAGCCTCCCGAGTGGCTGGGACTACAGGTGCCCACCACCACGCCCAGCTAATTTTTGTATTTTTAGTAGAGACAGGGTTTCACCTTGTTGGTCAGGCTGGGCTTGAATTCCTGACCTTAGGTGATCCACCCGCCTCAGCCTCCCAAAGTGCTGGGATGACAGGCGTGAGCCACCGCGCCTGGCCTTCTTTTTTTTTTTTTTTTTTTGAGACAGAGTCTCCCTCTGTCACCCAGGCTGGAGTGTGGTGGTGCAATCTTGGCTCACTGCAACCTCCACCTTCCAAGTCCAAGCGATTCTCCTGCCTCAGCCTCCCAAGGAGCTTGGATTACTGACATGCACCACCATGCCTGGCTCATTTTTGTATTTTTAGTAGAGATGGGGTTTCACCATGTTGGCCAGGCTGGTCTCGAAATTCCGACCTCAGGTGATTTGCAAGCGTCAGCCTCCCAAAGTGCTGGGATTACAGGCTTGAGCCACTGCACCTGGCCCGAGGGGATGGTTCTTAAAGGGTAAAATGTAAACTACGATCCACAGCTTGACCTTCAAAAGACTCCAATCCTTTACTTTCTTTTTTTGTTTTTTATTTATTTATTTTTTGTAGAGATGGGATCTTGCTATGTTGCCCAGCTGGTCTCGAACTCCTAGGCTCAAGCAAGCCTCCTGCCACAGCCTCCAGAGTAGCTGGGACTGAGGGTGTGAGCTACCATAACTGGCCTTGATGGGAACCAGTGTCCAGAGGAAGTGCAGGGCCCCATCAGGCCCAGGCATGCCATAGGGGCAAAGCTAGCGTGGACCCTCGCAACTGAGACATCCAAGGAAAGCAGACACCAAAAAACATGCATGTGGGTGGGTTAAAGTGCTCCCCACTCTGGCCAGGCACGGTGGCTCACTCCTGTAATCCCAGCACTTTGGGAGGCTGAGGCGGGTGGATCACTTGAGGTCAGGAGTTCAAGCACAGGCTGGCCAACATGGTGAAACCCTGTCTCTACTAAAAATACAAAAATTAGCCGGGCATGGTGGCGCGCACCTGTAATCCCAGCTACTCAGGAGGCTGAGGCAGGGCAATTGCTTGAACCTGGGAGACGGAGACTGCAGTGAGCCGAGATCACGCCACTGAACTCCAGCTTGGGCGACAGAGCGAGACTCCATCTTAAAAAAAAAAAAAAGTTCTCCCCACTCAGTCATCTCCTTCTAGCAATAATTTACAGAGCCCGTCCAGGACAGACAAGGAAGAATGAAACAAACAAGAAAATATCACAGGGTGGTGGGACGATTAGGAAAACTCGGGAAAGATGGAGTGATTTAAATCAGAGAAGTGTCTGCTGGGTGCGATGGTTCACACCTGTAATCCCAGCACTTTGGGAGGCTGAGGCAGGGGGATCACCTGAGGTCAGGAGTTTGAGACCAGCCTGGCCAACATGGCAAAACCCCATCTCTACTAAAAAAAAAAGTAGACTGGGCGTGATGGCTCATGCCTGTAATCCCAGCACTTAGGGAGGCCGAGGCAGGCGGATCATGAGGTCAGGAGATCGAGACCATCCTGGCTAACACGGTGAAACCCCGTCTCTACTAAAAATACAAAAAAAAAAAAAAATTAGCCGGGCATGGTGGCAGGTGCCTGTAGTCCCAGCTACTTGGGAGGCTGAGGCAGGAGAATGGCGTGAATCCAGGAGGCGGAGCTTGCAGTGAGCCGAGATTGCGCCACTGCACTCCAGCCTGGGCGACAGAGCGAGACTCCATCTCAAAAACAAAACTAAACAAAACAAAAATTAGCTGGGCATGATAGTGCGCCCCTGTAATCTCAGCTACTCAGGAGGCTGAGGCAGGATAATCACTTGAACCCAGGAGGCAGAGGTTGCAGTGAGCCAAGATCACACCACTGCGCTCCAGCCTGGGCAAAAGAGAGAGACCCTGGGTCTCAAAATAAATAAATAAATAAATAAATAAATACAATAAGAGAAACATCACTGAGAAGAGATTTGTTAATTGAATTCTGGATGACAGAGGGTGTTCGATTGAAGAGGGGATAAAGAAAGACTCAAACACCCAGGAGTTCGAGACCAGCTTGTGCAATATAGGGAGACCCTGTCTCTGCAAAAACAAACAAAAATTACCTGGGCGTGGTGGCAGGGGACTGTAGTTCCAGTTACGCAGGAGGCTGAGGCCAGAGGATCGCTCGGGCCTGGAAGTTTGAGGCTGCAGTTAGCTGTGATCACCCTACTGCACTTAGCCTGTGAGTCTCAGTCCCTGTCTCAAAAAAAAAAAAAAAAATAGAGGCTTGAACATGAATAATTATTCATCAGTGACCCTATGTTGAACCAACAAAGCTGCCCCCTGATTCTGGACCATCAGAAACTGTGAGATAATAAATGTTGATTGTTTCAACAATTCGTGTAAATGGCCCAGCAAGTTTAGGGGCAATTTGTTACACAGCAATAGCTAACTAATGTCTCTGGATTTCTTTTGAGAGGAAAGCCAGGTCCAGGAGATTCAAAACCCACTTCTTTTTTTTTTTTTTTTTTTTTTGAGGTGGAGTCTCACTCTGTCACCCGGGCTGGAGTACAGTGGTGGGAGCTCGGCTCACTGCAGCCTCCGCCTCCCGGGTTCAAGTGATTCTCCTGCCTCAGCCTCCCGAGTAGGTGGGATTACAAGTGCGCGCCACTACACCCAGCTAGTTTTTTCATTTTTAGTAGAGACGAGGTTCCATCATGTTGACTCAGCTGGTCTTGAAATCCTGACCTCAGGTGATCCGCCCACCTCGGCCTCCCAAAGTGCTGGGATTACAGGCGTGAGCCACCGTGCCTGGCCCTCAAAACCCACTTTTGGAGTGGATGTGGATGCCCCTTCCTCCAAGCTTGGGTTCATGAGGAGGTCCAGTCTAATGCCACTACCTGAGCAGATCCTAACTGGATCTCTCTATGATGGCGTAAGGGTTATGGGAATACCTCCTGGAGCAAGACTGCCTGGGATAAAATCCTAGTTTACTTAGCAACTGTGTGGTCCTAAGTAGGTCACTTAGCTTCTCTGGGACTTAATTTCCTCCTATGTAAAATGGGATTTAGTGGTTGATGAAAACATTGAGTTGTTATAGTTACTCATATGAAAGTCGTCAGAATCAGGCTGGGTGCGGTGGCTCACACCTGTCATCCCAGCACTTTGGGAGGTCGAGGCGGGTGGATCATGAGGTCAAGAGATCGAGACCATCCTAACACGGTGAAACCCGTCTCTATTAAAAATACAAAAATTAGCCAGGTGTGGTGAAGTGCACCCGTAGTCCCAGCTACTTGCGAGGCTGAGGCAGGAGAATCGCTTGAACCCGGCAGGCGGAGGTTGCAGTGAGCCGAGATCATGCCATTGCACTCCAGCCTGGAAGACAGAGCGAGACTCCGTATGAAAGAAAAAAAAAAAAAAGAAAGTTGTCAGAATCAAAATGGAGTGACTTGTGTTAAAAAAAAAAAAAAAAAAAAAAAAAAAGGCCGGGCGCGGTGGCTCACGCCTGTAATCTCAACACATTGGGAGGCCGAGGCAGGCGGATCACAAGGTCAGGAGATCAAGACCATCCTGGCTAACACGGTGAAACCCCATCTCTACTAAAAATACAAAAAATTAGCCGGGCGTGGCAGCGGGCACCTGTTGTCCCAGCTACTGGGGGGCTGAGGCAGGAGAATGGTGTGAACCCGGGAGGCGGAGCTTGCAGTGAGCCGAGATTGTGCCACTGCATTCCAGCTGGGGCGACGAAACGAGACTCCGTCTCAAAAAAAAAAAAAAAAAGTGACGCCAGGTGCAGTGGCTCATGCCTGTAATCCTAGCACTTCGGGCGGCAGAGATTGGCAGATTGCCTGAGCTCAGGAGTTCAAGACCAGCCTGGGCAACATGGTGAAATCCAGTCTCTACTAAACTACAAAAAAAATCAGCTGGGCGTGGTGACGGGTGTCTATAATTCCAGCTACACAGGAGACTGAGGCATGAGAATTACTTGAACCCAGGAGGCAGAGGTTGCAGTGATCCGAGATCGCGCCACTGTACTCCAGCCCGGGTGACAAGGTGAAACTCTGTCTAAAAACAAAAAAACAACAACAACAGCAAAGTGACAAATAGAGCCAGGGACAGCTTTGAATAGTGCGTTCTCATGCATGGATGCCTGATAACAAGAAAATATCACAAAAGACTGCATGCCGGGCACGGGGCTCACACCTGTAATCCCAGCACTTTGGGAGGCCGAGACAGGAGGATCACTTGAGCCTAGGAGTTTGAGGCCAGCCGGAGCAACACAGCCAGACTCTGCCTCTACAAAACAATAAAAAATAAAAAATAGCCAGGCGTGGTGGCACATGCCTGTAGTCCCAGCTACTCAGAAGGCTAAGGTGGGAGGATGACTTAAGCCTCGTAGGTTGAGGCAACAGTGAGCCATGATGGGGCCACTGCACTCCAACCTGAGCAATAGCATGAGACCCTGTCTCAAAAAAATAAAAGAAAAAAATAAAAGGCTGCAAACCCCAAAAATTTGCATCAAACTTCCTTTTTTCTTTTTGTTTTTTGAGATGGAGTCTCGCTCTGTCACCCAGGCTAGAGTGCAGTGGCGCAATCTTGGCTCACTGCAAGCTCCGTCTGCCACTCTCCTGCCTCAGCCTCCCGAGTAGCTGGGACTACAGGCACCCGCCACCATGCCGGCTGATTTTTTTTTTTTTTTTGGAGATGGAGTCTCGCTCTGTTGCCCAGGCTGGAGTGCAGTGGCAGGATCTCGGCTCACTGCAAGCTCTGCCTCCTGGGTTCACGCCATTCTCCTGCCTCAGCCTCCTGAGTAGTTGGGACTACAGGCGCCCACCACCACGCCCGGCTAATTTTTTTTGTATTTTTAGTAGAGACAGGGTTTCACCGTGTTAGCCAGGATGGTCTCGATCTCCTGACCTCGTGATCCGCCCACCTCGGCCTCCCAAAGTGCTGTGATTAAAGGTGTGAGCCACCGCGCCCAGCCCTGATTTTTTAAATTTTTAGTAGAGACGGGGTTTCACTGTGTTAGCCAGGATGGTCTGGATCTCCTGACCTCGTGATCCGCCTGCCTCAGCCTCTCAAAGTGCTGGGATTACAGGCGTAAACCACCACGCCTGGCCGCATCAAACTTCCCGTCACAACCTTATTCTACAGGACATCTTTTCAACAAGACCAGCTTTATCCTTGTTTTTTGTTTGTTTGTTTGTTTGAGACAGGGTCTCACTCTGTCGTCCAGGCTGGAGTGCAGTGGTGTGATCTCAGCTCACTGCAACCTCCGCCTCCTGGGTTCAAGTGATTCTTGTGCTTCAGCCTCCCAAGTAGCTAGGATTACAGGCAGGCGCCAGCATGCCCGGTTAATTTTTGTATTTTTAGCAGAGATGGGGTTTCTCCATGTTGGCCAGGCTGATCTTGAACTCCTGGCCTCAGGTGATCTGCCCACCTCAACCTCCCAAAGTGCTGGGATTACACGCGTCAGCCACCGTGCCTGGCCTACCGTTGTTATTGATCCTTGTAGCGAAGGATAATTACCTCAAAATAGTTACGTCATCTTCCTCAATTCTCCTTTAGAAATCTTTGTCTTCTATTACCTCCCTCAGTATGTGCATAGCTTACTTACTATAGCACTGCAAAGCCCTATTTCCAAATAAATATCCTTTTGTTTTAGAGAGCTTCTCCTTGTTTGTTATTTAGGTTGACAGTTTCTTTTTTGAGCCTTGTAGTGGGTAGAACTTTGTCCCCCAAAAATATCTGTTGAAGTCCAAAAGCCCCCTCCATCCCCTGTACCTGGGAATGCGACCTTATTTGGAAATAGGGTCATTGCAGATATGATTAGTTATGGCCGAATGCAGTGGCTCACTCCTGTACTCCCAGCACTTTGGGAGGCCAAGGTGGGTGGATCACGTGAGGCCAGGAGCTTGAGACCAGACTGGGCAACACGCCAACACTCCCCTCGGCAAAAAAATACAAAAATTAGACGGGCATGGTGGCACACACCTGGAGTCCCAGCACTTTGGGAGGCCAACGCAGGCAGACCACAAGGGCAACAGATGGAGACCATCCTGGCCAACAGAGTGAAACCCCATCTCTACTAAAAATACAAAAATTAGTTGGGCGTGGTGGTGGCGGGCGCCTGTAGTCCCAGCTACTGGGGAGGTTGAGGCAGGAGAATCGCTTGAACCTGGGAGGCGGAGGTTGCAGCGAGCCGAGATCACATCGCTGCACTCCAGCCTGGCGACAGAGCAAGACTCCGAGTCAAAAAAAAAAAAAAGATTAGTTAAGATGAGGTCACATTGGATTAAGACAGCTTCTAAATCTGTTGTTTTTTTGTTGTTGTTGTTGTTGTTTTTTGTTTTTTTTGAGACAGGGTCTCACTCCCTCACCCAGGCTGGAGTGCAGTGGCGCCACCTCGGCTCACTGCAACCTCCGCCTCCCGGGTTCAAGCGATTCTCAAGGCAGCTCCTAAATCTAATAATTGGCGTTCTTATCAGGAGAGGGAAATTTGGACACAGACACAGAGACAAACAGGGAAGAAAGCCAAGCAGTGATGGAAGCAGAAATTGGAGTGAAGCCAAGTCACACCAAAGCCTGCTGGCCGCCACCAGAAACTGGAAGAGGCAGGGAGGACCCTCCCCTGGAGCCTTCAGAGGGAGCACAGTGGCCCTCCCCACACCTCGATTCTGGCCTCCGTCACTGTGCGAAAATACATTTCTGTTGTCTGAAGCCACCTGGTTTGCAGTCATCTGTTACAGCAGCTACAGAAAACAAATATCAGCTTCTTTCTACCAGGTGGCAGGAGGCAAACCTCATCAATCCTAGCCACTTCCACAAACTCACTCTTCCTGTGACAGGGGGTTGGTGTGGAGCCTGAGGGTGGGGGTGAAGCTGTCCTCACAGGGTTAACAAGAATTCTGTACAGATTGGCCGGGAGCGGTGGCTCACGCCTGTAATCCCAGCACTTTGGGAGGCCGAGGCGGGTGGATCACAAGGTCAGGAGTTCGAGACCAGCCTGGCCAAGATGGTGAAACCCCGTTTCTACTAAAAATAAAAAAAAATTAGCCAGGCGTGGTGGCAGGCGCCTGTAGTCCCAGCTACTTAGGAGGCTGAGGCAGGAGAATTCCTTGAACCTGGGAGGTGGAGGTTGCAGTGAGCCGAGATTGTGCCAATGCACTCTAGCCTGGGTGACAGAGCGAGACTCCATCTCAAAAAAAAAAAAAAAAAAAGAATTATGTACAGACATATAGTTATAATTAAGCATTAGGCTGGGCCTGGTGGCTCACGCCTGTAATCTTAGCACTTTGGGAGGCCGAGGCAGGTGGATCACCTGAGGTCAGGAGTTCGAGACCACCCTGACCAACATGGTGAAACCCTGTCTTTACTAAAAGGACAAAAAATTAGCCGGGCGTGGTGGCGGGCGCCTGTAATCCCAGCTACTAGGGAGGCTGATGCAGGAGAATTGCTTGAACCCGGGAGGTGGAGGTTGCAGTGAGTCGAGACTGCACCACTGCACTCCAGCCTGGGCAAAAAGAGCGAAACTCCATCTCAAAAAATAAAAAATTAAAATTAAAATGAAGCATTAATCTGGCTGCACTCTGACCTGCTTCCTTGTAACAGAAAAGCACATTGCACTAGACACTGACCATTTGCACCACATAGATACCATCTCTGACGTTAGAAGCAAAATACTTCTGTTTAAGAATTGCTTAAGCAGGCCAGGCTCATTCCTGTAATGCCAACAATTTGGGAGGCCCTGGCAGGAGGATTGCTTGAGCCCAGCTGTATAAGACTGGCTTGGGCAACATAGCCAGACCTCATCTCTACAGAAAATTTAAAAATTAGCCAGGCATGGTGGTGTACGCCTGTAGTCCCAGCTACTCAAAAGGCTGAGGTGGGAGGATCGCTTGAACCCAGGAGGTCACAGCTGAGTGAGCTATGATTGCACCACTGCACTCCAACCAGAGCAATAGAGCAAGACTCCATCTCTAAAAAAACAAGAACAGGGCCAGGCATGGTGGCCTGCGGCTGTAATCCTAGCATTCTGGGAGGCCGAGGTGGGTGGATCGGATCACCTGAGGTCAGGAGCTGGAGACCAGCCTGCCCAACATGGGAAAACCCCGTCCCTACTTAAAATACAAAAATTAGCTGGGCGTGGTGGCGGGCACCTGCAATCCCAGCTACTTGAGAGGCTGAAACAGGAGAGTCGCTTGAAACCGGGAGACAAAAGGTTGCAGTAAGCCGAGATGGCGCCACTGCACTCCAGCCTGGGTGACAGAGCGAGACTCCGTCTCAAAAAAAAAAAAAAAAAAAAAAAGCCAGGGATGGTGGCTCACGCCTGTAATCCCAGCACTTTGGGAAGCTGAGGCAGACAGATCACCTGAGGTCAGGAGTTCGAGACCAGCCTGGCCAACATGGTGAGACTCCCCCCCACCAACTAAAAATACAAAAATTAGCCGGGCATGGTGGCAAGTGCCTATAATCCCAGCTACTCGGGAGGCTGAGGCAGGAGAATTGCTTGAACCTGGGAGGCAGAGGTTGCAGTGAGATGAGATCATGCCGCTACACTCCAGCCTGGGGGACAGAATGAAACTCTGTCTGAAACATACAAACGAACAAAAAAAGTTTTGGAGTGTGGCGCCTGTTGACTGGTTGAAGAGTGCAGGGTGAAGTTCTGGGACGGGGGAGGGAGAAGCTATGTTCTCATGCTCATCCTGCTCCTCTCTGGGGGCCTTCACACTAGCTGGTGTCAGCTGTTCTGCTGGAATTCAGGATCTACTCAAGCAATTCTCTTTTTTCTTTCTTTCTTTCCCAGGCTGGAGTGCAGTGGCACAATCTTGGCTCACTGCAACCCCTGCCTCCCGGGTTCAAGAGATTCTCCTGCCTCAGGCTCCTGAGTAGCTGGGATTACAGGCATTTGCCACCGTGCCCCGCTAATTTTTGAGTTTTTAGTAGAGGTGGGGTTTCATCATATTGGCCAGACTGGTCTCAAACTCCTGACCTCAGGTGATCCACCCGCCTCAGCCTCCCGAAGTGCTGGGATTATAGGCATGGGTCACTGCGCCTGGCCGCAATTCTTTTTTCGACACAGGGTCTTGCTCTGTTGCCCAGGCTGGAGTGCAGTGGTACAGTCTCGGTTCAGAGCAGGCTCAACTTCCCAGGCTCAAGTGATCCTCCCACCTCAGCCTCCCGAGCAACTGGGACGACAGGTGTGTGCCACCGTGCCTGGCTAATTTTTTATTTTTTATAGAAATGGGGTCTCACTTTGTTGCCCAGGCTGGTCTTGAAGTCCTAGGCTCAAGCGATCGTCCTGCCTTGGCCTTCCAAAGTGCTGGCATTGCAGACATGAACCACGGCACCCAGCAAGGTAGTTTGCTTGTGTAAAACAAAAACTCCAAAGTATTTGGAATGCAAATGCCTTTTGTCTCAAACCTTCTAGACTTTGAGTTTCCAAGTCAACCAAACAACTCAAAAGCCAAGAACAAGGAGGAAATATTGGCTTCCTTCCTTCCTGTCTGCTGTGTCATCTGTCTCCTCCCTGAGGGGTCAAGGGAAATTGCTCCCTGCTGGCTGGGCTGGAGTGGCCAGGGCACAGCCAAAGGGAAGGACCCAGGGTGACCACACTCCAGGGAATTCCCTCCAACCCCACTCACGGGGGTTTTAAATCAGGGAGAAATGGGCCACGCTGGTGGCTCACGCCTGTAATCCCAGCACTTTGGGAGGCCAAGGTGGGCAGATCACAAGGTCAGGAGTTCGAGACCAGCCTGACCAACATGGTGAAACCCTGTCTCTACTAAAAATACAAAACCCTGTCTCTACTAAAAATACAAAAATTAGCTGGGCATGGTGGCGCACACCTGTAATCCCAGCTACTCAGGAGGCTGAGGCAGAAGGATTGCTTGAACCTGGGAGGCAGAGGGTGCAGTGAGCCAAGATCACACCACTGCACCCCAGCCTGGGTGATAGAGCGAGACTCCATCTCGGAAAAAAAAAAAAAAAAAAGGCAGGGGGAAACAGAATGGACCAGTCTCTGTGGCTCACCCCTGTAATCCCAGCACTTTAGGAGACTGAGGCAGGAGAATCGCTTGAGCCCAGGAGTTCAAAACCAGCCTGGGCAACACAGGAAGACCTTGTCCCTACAAAATACAAAAATGAGCTGGGTGTGCTGGGTGGCAAGCACCTGTGGTCCCACCTATTTGGGAGGCTGAGACGGGAGGACTGCTTGAGCCCAGGAGGTTGGGACTGCAGGGAGCCAAGATTGTGCCACCGCACTCCAGCCTGAGCAAGAGTGAGATCCTGTCTCAAAAAAAAAAAAAAAAAAAAAGGCTCAGGCCTGTAATCTCAACACTTTGGGAGAACGAGGTGGGGGTGGATCCCCTGAAGTCAGGAGTTCGAGACCAGCCTGGCCAACATGATGAAACCCTGTCTCTACTAAAAATACAAAAATTAGCCGAGTGTGGTGGCACGTGCCTGTAATACCAGCCACTCAGGAGGCTGAGGCAGAAGAATCGCTTGAACCCGGGAGGTGGAGGTTGCAGTGAGCTGAGGTTGCACCATTGCACTCCTGCCTGAGCAACAGAGTGAGACCCCTTCTCAAAAAAAAAAAAGAGTAGAAATGGAATGACTACTGAAAATGTGCTTCCGATTTCTACATGGACCCTGGAGGAATTTCTCTTTCCTAGGAGCCTCCAATCAGTGCTGTCCACTGGGACTTTCTGTGATGACAGAATGTTCTAGATCTTCGCTGTCCAGTACGGTGACCCCCAGACGCCAGTGACGACTGAGCGCCTGACATGCGGGCAGGGTGCCTGAGGAATGGAATTTTAAATTGTATTTCATTTTAATTAATTTTAACTTAAATAGCCACATGTGCTTACTGGATACCCTGTGAGACAACCCTGTGAGTCTTGGATAAAGCAACGTGCCCAGCTGAAAGTCTACAATCAGAGGGAGGGGAAAAAGCAAAGCCCATATTAGGAGGCTGGACCATAAATAAAACACACTTTAATTATGCAGCTGGGTGCAGTGGCTCACGCCTGTAATCCCAGCACTTTAGGAGGCCGAGATGAGTGGATCACTTGAGGTCAGGAGTTTGAGACCATCCTGGCCAACATGGTGAAACTCCATCTCTACTAAAAATACAACATTAGCTGGAGGTGGTGTGGTGGCGGGCGCCTGTCATCCAAGCTACTCAGGAGGCTGAGGTAGAAGAATCGCTTGAACCCAGGAGGCAAAGGTTGCAGTGAGCCAAGATCGTGCCACTGCACTCCAGCCTGGGCGACAGAGCAAGACTCTGTCACAAAAAAATAATAATAATAGCCAGGCGTGGTGGCTCACACCTGTAATCCCAGCACTTTGGGAGACCAAGGCAGGTGGATCACAAGATCAGGAGTTTGAGACCGATCCGGCCAATATGGTGAAACTCCATCTCTATTAAAAATACAAAAATTAGGCGGGTGTGGTGGCGGGCGCCTGTAGTCCCAGCTACTTGGGAGGCTGAGGCAGGAGAATCGCTTGAACCTGGGAGGTGGAGGATGCAGTGAGACAAGATCGCGCCACTGCACTCCAGCCTGAGGGACAGAGAGAGACTCTGTCTCAAAAAAATAAGTAATAAAAATTAAAAAATAATAATTATGGGACAGTGGAGGGTTCGTGGGTGGGAAGCTTTTCTGCAGGTCTTTCATGACGGCCCCTCCCTTTGTTCTCCATGGACCAGCTGCAAAACCCAAGTCACGTGTGCACATCACCACCTCTGGGGGCTACTTGTCCCAGCATTGAAACCCTCAGTTCCCCGCAGCGAGAGAGCACAGAACAGAAAACAGGGAAGAGTTTCTCTGGCTGGGTTTGGATCTGAAGTCAGCAGACCTATCGGGCATTTGTGTCACATGGGGAGGTCAGAGGATGGGAGGCGTCTCTGTAGGAGAATCCTGACAGCATTCTCTGCATTTAGAACATGCAGGGCTTAGAGCTATCGTGGGAGGCTCCCGCCACAGGAGCCACTGAGATTACAAGATTAGCTGCAATCCAAACCACATTCGGAAAAAAATAAAATAAGAAAGGGAGATACAGGCCCGGTGGCGGCACAGTGGCTCATGCCTGTAATCCATAGTACTTTGGGAGGTGGAGGTGGGAGGATCACTTGGGGTCAGGAGTTCAAGACCAGCCGGGGCAATGTACTGAGACTCCCCTCCCCCTCGCCCTGTGTTTAAAAAAAAAAAGAGGAAATAAAGGGAAATATAGGGAAGGGAAGGGAGGGTTGGGAGGTCTCTTCAATGAGATCCTTCCTTCCTTCCTTCCTTCCCTCCCTCCCTCCCTTCTTTTTTTTTTTTTGAGATGGAGTTTCACTCTTGTTGCCCAGGCTAGAGTGCAATGGCACGATCCTGGCTGACTGCAACCTCCACCTCCCGGGTTCAAGCGATTCTCCTGCATCAGCCTCCCAAGTAGCTGGGATTACAGGCGTCTGCCACCACACTCAGCTGACCTTTGTATTTTTAGTAGAGATGGGGTTTTGCCATGTTGGCCAGGCTGGTCATGAACTCTTTTCTTCTTTTGAGGCAGAGTACTCTGTCGCCCAGGGTGGAGTGCAATGGCGACATCTTGGCTCATTGCAACCTCTGCCTCCCAGGTTCAAGTAGCTGGGATTACAGATGTGCATCACCGTGCCCGGCTGATTTTTGTATTTTTAGTAGAGGTAGGGTTTCAGCATGTTGGCCAGGCTGGTCTGGAACTCCTGACCTCAAGTGATCTCCTGCTTCGGCCTCTCAAAGTGCTGGAATTACAGGCGTGAGCCACCACGCCTGGCCTGATGTGGTGATTTTTTTTTTTTTTTTCTGAGACAGAGTCTTGCTGTGTCACCCTGGCTGAAGTGCAGTGGCACAATCTCGACTCACTGCAACCTCCGCCTCCCAGGTTCAAGTGATTCTTCTGCCTAAGCCTCCAGAGTAGCTGGGACTACAGGTGCCTATCACCATGCCTGGCTAATTTTTGTATTTTAGTAGAGCTGGGGTTTTCTTTTTTTTTTTTTTTTTTTGAGACAGAGTCTTGTTCTGTCGCCCAGTCTGGAGTGCAGTGGCGCAATCTTGGCTCACTGCAAGCTCCGCCTCCCGGGTTCACGCCATTCTCCCGCCTCAGCCTCCTCAGTAGCTGGGATTACAGGCACCCACCGCCACGCCCGGCTAATTTTTTTGTATTTTTTATTAGAGATGGGGTTTCACCGTGTTAGCCAGGATGGTCTCGATCTCCTGACCTCGTGATCCACCCGCCTCGGCCTCCCAAAGTTCTGGGATTACAGGTGTGACCCGGCCAAGCTGGGGTTTCACCATGTTGGCCAGGCTGGTCTCGAACCCCTGACCTCAGATGATCCACCCACCTCTGCCTCCCAAAGTGCTGGGATTACAGGCGTGCACCACAGCACCTGGCCCAACGTGGTGATTTCTAAGTAGGGAGCTGAGGGAGTAAGGAGCCAGCCGGTGGCTGTCTGAGAGAGACTGTCCCTGGCAGAGTGAACTGCTAATGCCAGTACCAGGTCCTGGGCCAAACAGAAAGAAACGGGCTCTCACTCCAGAACTGCAGCTTGACCACTATATATATAATATATATACTTTATATATATTATAGCTATATATTTTTTTGAGATGGAGTCTTGCTCTGTTGCTCAGACTGGAGTGCAGTGGCACGATCATAGCTCACTCCAGACTCAACCTCCTGGGCTTACGCCATCCTCCTGCCTCAGCCTCCCCAGTAGCTGAGACTACAGGTGCATGACCACCACACTTGGCTAATTTTTAAATTTTTTGTAGAGACGCGGTGTCACTGTGTTGCCCAGGCTGGTCTCCAACTCCTGGCCTCAAGCAATCCTCCCACCTCAGCCTTCCAAAATGCTGGGATCACAGGTGTGAGCCATGGTGACTTGGCTTCATATTTTGAATAGGCCAAAACAAAACTCCGAAATCCCCTTACTCCTATCCCCACGACCCCACACAGCAGGTTTCTCTCGCTCTGCAGCAACCCACTTACCTCTCGGAAATCATCCCAGGCCTGTTCGGAGTGCACGCAGCCCCGTTAGCCTCCCTGGCTGCTCCTGTAACCAGCCCAGCTCTGCCTGAGAGGTTCCGCTATTCCCTCCGTCTGGAATACCCACCACTCTCTCCCACCCCGCGCTTGCATCCGGCAATACTGTATCAGCCTCAGGGCCTCTGCTGTCCCGCTTTCTGCTCTCAGAGCCTTTGTCACTGGGCTGGAAGAGCAGTTGGGAAAATTCGGTGATAAATGCATAGCCCGGGGCTGGGACCATCAAGGGGACCCAGTAAGTTGGCTCCAGAAAGAGGACTTGAAGCTTCGTTTGCATTGCACGTTATTTAATATTGAGGAAAATGTAATTAGCCCGTATCTAAGAATTGGGGTGACAGCGCTAAAGATTGAACCCACCCACCTCCCACTCCTCACCTCCAGCCATAAGCCACTTCCGGACAAGGCTAAAAATGCGTAAAACAATGCAACTACTCGCCACCTATCCCTGCCCAAGTTCCAGCCTCTGAGCCTCAAGCCCCACGCCCTCCTAAATATCCCCGCCCCCGCTGGGACCCCAAATTGCCTATAGCTCTGCAAGTCCGCCCTTCCCGGCAGCGGGACCGAAAGGGTAAAGCAGAGGCTCCCGGCTCGCTGAGTGACAGCATGGCCGGCGGCCGGGGAGAGCCGACCAATCAGGGAGGGCGTACGCGACCCACGTGCGTAAACGGCCTCGCTATTGGCCGGCGCCGCCAGAGGCCTGCCCCCCCCGGAGCCCGAACCCACGTGCAGCTACTGCGCCTTCATTGATCTGCTTCGCGGTCCAGGTGGCGGCTGGGTGGGGCCTGGGCGGGACGGGGCGGGGACAAGGCGGGACGAGGCGGGGCCCGATGGGTCAAATGGCCCCCGGTGGGGGAAGGAGGAGTTTCCTCTTGGCCTGAACTTGGCTGACCTCCGCAGCTTCCGCCCGGTGAGGGACGTGAGTTGCCAGGCGTGTTCTAGGGGGCTGGGGGGACTCCAGGATTCCCGGCCGGGGAAGGGGCTGCAGGGGCGTGGAGGGGCAGGACTGAGGCAAGGAAGAAGCTGGGTGCTGCAGCAGGGATGGAGGTGGAGAGAGGTCGTTTCTTCTGTCTGATGAATTCCGCCTAATGCACCTGGCTAACTCCTAGTCATCCTTCAAAACCCCTTTCTAGTGATCTCCCTGCGCTTTAGGAAATTGTCTCAAAACTAAGGTTGAGCTTTGGCGACCTTCCCTGGGCTCCCCCGTCCCTGACTGCCCCCAGCAGGGAGTGTATGTGCACTATCCACCCCAGCCTCCTAGGGTGAGGCCTGGGAGGCAAGGCTCAGTTCTTTCTGGGTCCCCGCCCCCATGAATCTGGGCAGCTGGAGGCATTGATAAGTGAGGACAGGACCTAGGGAACGCATGGGAGAACCGCAGGATTGGGTCCCTGGAGACTTACCAAACTGGGAGGTGCGGGTGGGGTAACGGGTGCCTTGCTTCCCTGGCACTGCCTTATTTTCTGTCCCTCAAGACCTGCCGTCTCCTTGTTGTTTTAGACTCTGGCTAAAGTCTTGGAGGCTACTGCCTTGAAGATGACCTCTAGGGACCAGCCCAGACCCAAGGGCCCCCCGAAAAGCACTTCGGTGAGGAGGGCATGTGGTGGGATCAGCCCTCAAGGGAAACCCGGGCCCAATGTGGTTCTGCCCCTTTTCCACCTGTGACCTGGGCTGGCCCCGCCCAGGCCTCGCAGCTGAAGACAATACTGGTCGCTGCTACACTCAAGACAGGTGCCAAGGAGCCGTGTTTTTTAAAAAAAATTAAGTGTAGGCTGGACACTGTGGCTCACAACTGTAATCTCAACATTTTTGGAGGCCGAGGCAGGAGGACCACTTGAGCCCAGGAGTTTGAAACCAGCCTGGACAACGTAGTGAGACCCTGTCTCTGTAAAAAATAAAACTAGAAGAATCAGCTGGGCCTAGTGACGTGGGCCTGTAGTTGCAGCTACTTGGGAGGCTGAGGCAGAGGGTTGGCTTGAGCCCAAGGAGTTTGAGGCTGCAGTGAACTATGATGGTGCCACTGCACTCCATCCTTGGTGACAGTGAGATCCCATCTAAAAAAAAATGTAGCATCTAATCACATATGTGATAAAAACACAGGAACACATCATGTATTTGGTTGATGTTTTACAAGCAATCCCCGCTCCCTGCACTTTGCGTCCCAGAGATGACCATTTGTAAATTTAGGCTCTCAGGGCTGAGCAGACGTTTTTTTTTGTAAAGGAGTCAGATGAGGGATATTTTGTTTTGAGACTTTATGATTTTATTATGTTTGAGACGGAGTCTCACACTCACCTCGGCTGGAATGCAATGGCGCAATCTCAGCTCACTGCAACCTCTGCCTCCCGGGTTCAAGTGATTCTCCTGCCTCGCCTCCCGAGTAGCTGGGACTACAAGCACCTGCCACCATGACCACCAAATTTTTCTTGTATTTTTAGTAGAGACTGGGTTTCACCATGTTGGCCAGGCTGGTCTCGAGCTCCTGACCTCGTGATCTGCCTGCCTCAGCCTCCCAAAGTGCTGGGGTTATAGGTGTGAGCCACCACACTTGGCCAAGAGACTTTATTTTATTGAGTCTTGCTCTTGTTGCCCAGGCTGGAGTGCAGTGGCGCGATCTCGGCTCACTGCAACCTCCACCTCCCAGGTTCAAGTGATTCTCCTGCCTCAGCCTCCCGAGTAGCTGGGATTACAGGTGCGCGCCACCACGCCCGGCTAATTTTTGTATTTTCAGTAGAGACGGGGTTTTGCTGAGTTGCCCAGGGTTGTCTCAAACTCCTGACCTCAGGTGTTCTGCTCACCTCGGCCTCCCAAAGTGCTGGGATTACAGGCATGAGCCACCTTGCCCGGACTTTTATTTTTAAAAATATTTTGTGCTTCTATTTTCATCACAAGAATGTGGTGAACATTTTAGACTTTAGGCCAAAGTGCAAAATGGAAGATGCTCTTTACTGAAATAAGAGAGGCCGGGCGCGGTGGTTCATGCCTGTCATTCCAGCACTTTAGGAGGCCGAGGCGGGTAGATCATGAGGTCAGGAGGTTGAGACCAGCCTGGCCAAGATGGTGAAACCCCATCTCTACTAAAAATACAAAAATAAGCCAGGTGTGTTGCCGGGGGCGGGCGGGGGAGGGGGGCGCGGGCGCATGTAATCCCAGCTACTCGGGAGGCTGAGGCAGGAGAATCGCTTGAACCCGGGAGGCAGAGTTTGCAGTGAGCTGAGATTGTGCCACTGCACTCCAGCCTGGGCGACAGAGCAAGACTCGGTTTCCAAAAAAAAAAAAAAAAGCAAAAACCACAATTACTTTTGCACCAACCTAATGCCTATGCCATGTTGAGGTGGAGACCGGGGGTCTTGGGTGTTGGAGCATTGTAAGTTTTATGTAACCTTGCTTTGACCTTTCCAGCCTTGTCCTGGGATCTCGAACTCTGAGAGCTCTCCGACGCTGAATTATCAGGGCATTCTAAATCGGCTCAAGCAGTTCCCCAGGTGAGAGCAATTCCAGGGGCCGGAGGTCTCACGCTGGGAAGGAGCCCCACCTGGCCTCTCTCCCGGGGGTCCTAGTGAGTGGTCTAGAGGCTGCTGGCCCAAGAGCCAGGCTCAGGAACAGGAAGCCATGCAGATACCCAGCATGGAGAACCCGGCAATACCCATCCCAGCTTTTGATTAAACAAAATTACCAACAAATATTAAAATTTTGATTTTCCTGTTCGACATGGATTTGTTGGCATTCAATTTTATTGTTGAAAAATACTGCAACGGCTGGGTATGGTGGCTCGCACCTGTAATCCCAGCACTTTGGGAGGCGGAGGCGGGCGGATTGCTTGAGGTCAGGAGATCAAGATCAGCCTGGCCAACATGGTGAAACCGCGTCTCTACAAAAAATACAAAAATCAGCCAGGCTTGGTGGTGGGTGCCTGTAATCCCAACTACTTGGGAAACTGAGGCAGGAGAATCTCTTGAACCCAGGAGGCGGAGGGTTGCAGTGAGCCAGGATCACACCATTACACTCAAGCCTAAGGCTACAGAGTGAGACTCGGTCTTTAAAAAAAAAAAAAAAAAAAAGTACTGCATGGGCTGGGTGCAGTGGCTTGCACTTGTAATCCCAGCACTTTGGGAGGCAGAGGCAGGAAGATCGCTTGAGCCCGGAGTTCAATACCAGCCTTGGCAACATAGCGAGATGCCATCTCTTAAAAAATAAAAAAAATCTAGCTGAGTGTGGTGGTGCACACCTGTAGTCCCAGCTACTCAGGAGACTGAGGCAGGAGGATCATCTGAGCCCAGGAATTGGAGGCTGCAGTGAGCCATGATTGTACCACTGCACCCTAGCCCGGGCAACAGGGTGAGATTCTGTTTAAAAAAAAAAAAATTGAAGAAAGTGGCGGGGCGCGGTGGCTCAAGCCTGTTGTAATCCCAGCACTTTGGGAGGCCGAGGTGGGCGGATCACCTGGAGTCAGGGGTTTGACACCAGCCTGGCCACCATGGTGAAACACTGTTTCTATTAAAAATACAAAAAAATAGCTGGGTGTGGTGGCAGGTGTCTGTAATCCCAGCTACTCGGGAGGTCGAGGCAGGAGGATCTCTTGAACCCAGGAGGCGGAGGTTGCAGTGACACTGCACTCCAGCCTGGGTGACAAGAGTGAGACTCTGTCTCAAAAAAAAAAAAAAAAGAATATACTGCATTAAAATCTTACTGAACTTCTTGACACTGCCTTAAATTTGGCTTCTGGAGCCAGTGCCTTCCAGCTTCATTGAGACCCTCCCTAGGGGTTGAGGGTGGGGCTCACTCTGGGGAGGGAGTCCTGAAGCCACAGGTCTTCCAGCCTGTCCTCCTTCCCCCTCAGGTTTTCTCCTCATTTTGCTGCGGAGTTGGAGAGCATTTACTACTCGGTGAGCCAGACCCAGGCAGCCCCAACCAAGGAGGGCCCCACTGGGACAAGCTGAGGCCCTGGTTTCCCGGCCCTGCCTCCTGAGTGCCCTAGAGAGGTTCTTTTCCGCCAAGCACTGTGCCTCACGCCTGTAATCCCAGCACTATGGGAGGGCGAGGCAGGTGGATCACCTGAGGTCAGGAGTTGGAGACCAGCCTGGCCAACATAGTAGAGACCCTGTCTCTACTAAAAATACAAAAATTAGCCGGGCATGGTGGCAGGTGCCTGTACTCCCAGCTACTCGGGAGGCTGAGGCAGGAGAATCGCTTGAGCCCAGGAGGCAGAGGTTGCGGTGAACTGAGATCACACTGTACTGCAGCCCAGGTAACAGAGCAAGACTCTCTCTGAGGAAAAAAAAGGTAGGGACCATACATCAGTGTAGTAAGAAAGTAAAAGAGAAAACAAGGTGAAAACAAAAATTTAAGGTGGGGGAGTAGGGGCCAGAGAGGTAGAGCAGCTTGCCCAGGGTCACACAGCATTCACACCCGGACCACCTCCCGATGGGATCTCTGTTTTCCCTTTGCAGCTGCACAAGATCCAGCAGGATGTGGCAGAACATCACAAGCAGGTGGGTGACCAGGAGCTCAGGGGTGCGGCTGTCCCTCCATGAAAGGCATGAGAAAGCACAGAGGGGGGCCGGGCACAGTGGCTCAAACCTGTAATCCCAGCACTTTGGGAGGCCGAGGAGGGTGGATCACTTGAGGTCAGGAGTTCGAGACCAGCCTGATCAACATGGTGAAACCCCGTCTCTACTAAAAATAAAAAAATTAGCCAGGCGTGGTGGCGGGCGCCTGTAGTCCCAGCTACTTGGGAGGCTGAGGCAGGAGAATTGCTTGAACCCGGGAGGTGGAGATTGCAGTGAGGCAAGATCGTGGAACTGCACTCCAGCCTGGGCGACAGCGAGACTCTGTCTCAAAAAAAAAAAAAAAAAAAAAAGGAGGTGGGGGATGGTGAAGACAGAGGACGAGGGGTAGGTCATGCTGAGCCTTGTGGGCCGTGGGAAGGACTTGGGCTTTGACCCCAAGGGAGGTGGGAGCCATGGAGGACTGCTGGCAGAGGAGGGACATGCCCTGACTTGGAAGCCCCCGTGATATTAGTGGAGGCCCCATATCTTGGGGAGCATCTCCTGTCCTGTCTCTGAGCTGCTTCCAAGAGAGGGTCAGTCCTGCTCCTTCCGCTCCCTGGGCCCCTGCGCAACCTAGATGACCCTTTGCCGGTCAGTTGCTTTGGACAGAGAGAGCCTGTGATGGGGCAGGCACCCGGCTGTGTTCCCCTGCGTGTCTGAGTGTTCAATGAGGGGCCATATGACATGGGAGTGAGGGGAGCTCTGCATGGGAGGGGGCGCCCGGGCTCCCATCTCCCAGCCCAGGGCGCCTGGCCCAAGCAGAAGTACGCCTTCCAGCCCTGCCTGTCCTCCCGCCACCTGGCCTTTTCTCCCAGGCGCTGGCAGGATTTTCCGCCTGTGCCAGATGTAACTGGCAGGGGCCCAGGGCCGTGTCTGCAACTTAGCAGGGCCTGGGAGGAGGGGGGCAGCGAAGGGAACAGGGTGAGGGGGGGCCAGGAAGCAACCAAAACATGGTTATTCATTCAGCAGATATTTATCCATCACCTCCTTGCCAAATACTGTTGTAGAAGCCAGGAAAATAGCAAAGAACGACGCAGAGCTTCCCACCCTTGGGGCGAGTGGAGCCTGGTAGATGGAGTGTTAGGGGATGAGGGCTGGGCAAGGCGGGGGATGGAAGAGAGCAGCCCCAAGGGGATTGGGGAGGCCAGGGTGGGCGAGGGTTGCAATTCAGGGTGGTCAGGGAAGGCATGCGAGAAGGTGACATCTGAGCGGAGGCTTAAAGGACATCAAAGAGGAAGTGTGGCTGTCTGGGATGGGAGGGATATTTCAGGCAGAGGGCACAGCCTGTGTGAAGGCCCTGAGGCAGGACGGTGCCTGTTGTGTTGGTCCTGAAGGCACTACGAGGAAGCCCGCATGGCTGGAGCAGAGTGAGAGGAGGAGGGGGGGAGGGCAGGCCACGCATGGCCCTGTGAGCTTCAGGGAGGACTTGGGCTTTGAACCCTGAGGGAGGGAGGTGGGAGCCATGGAGGGCTTCAGACAGAGGGCAGGCCCTGGCTACTGCGGAGAGGACAGAGAAGAAGGAGGAGGGATGAGGGCAGAAGCCCGGGAACCAGTTAGGACAGTCCAGGTGTGGAATGCTGGTTGCTTAGTGATGAGAAGTAATTGAATAATTGTGGACGTGTTTTGGGAGGAACTTGACCGCAGCTGCTGAGCATCAGGATACGCAGGGGGTGAGGGCTCCAGAGCAAAGGAGCCACTTCGGTTGCAGCCAGACCCAGGAGGGTCCCTGCCCAGCCCCCACTGCAGGGGGCCCCAGGATCCCTGGCAGCCCAGCCTGGCCTGTGGTCCTGGGCAGTCCGCTTCCCCCACCCGCTGCTTCCAGTTCCGGGCTTTCCCAGCCGCCTCGCTGTGCTTTCAAAATCGCCATCAGCACAGCCCCCTCCTCCGACAGCCCGCCTGCCACTCTCCCCCGGGAGGGCTGCTAGCAGGCACAAGGGAGCCACACTTTTCATGCTGAGCGCATTAAAGTGCCGGTAAATTGCGCATTAACGAGGCGGGGTGAATTGGAGAGGGCTCCCCTGGGATTTGCTGCTGCTGGGCGGGCTCAGCTGGGAAATCCATCACTGGCTGCCCCAGGAGGCATCAGCCTGGAGTCCCCCCCCCCCCGCGGGGCTCCGATGGAGGGTCTCCCCTCCCGGCCCCTCCCTCCGCCGTCCTGCTAAGGAAACAGACAGGTAGCCTTTTTGTAGAAAAAAACTTAAGAGATAGGATCACTCGCCTTGCTTTCTTTTTTTGTTGTTTTGACGGATCATGCTCCGTCTCCCAGGCTGGAGTGCAGTGGGAGGATCTCAGCTCACTGCAACCTCCACCTCCTGGGTTCAAGTGATTCTCCTGCCTCAGCCTCCCAAGTAGCTGGGATTACAGGTGTGTGTCACCATGCCTGGCTAACTTTTATGTTTTTAGTAGAGACAGGGTTTTGCCATGTTGGCCAGGCTGGTCTCGAACTTCTGACCTCAGGTGATCCGCCCGCCTCAGCCTCTCAAAGTGCTGGGATTACCGGTGTGAGCCATCGCACCTGGCCAATTTCTTTATACTTTGAACATGGCTACTAGACATTCCATATGCATGACTATATTTATGTATTATTCCAATTCTACTTGTACTGGATGGTATTGATCTCGATTTTATTCTGTTTACTGAGAAACTACATTTAACTTCGGGATTGACAGTGGTCAGATGGCTTGATTTTTGTTGTTGTTTGTTCGTTTTAAATAAAACACCAGACTGGGTGAGGTGGCTCACGCCTGTAATCCCAGCACTTTGGGAGGCTGAGGTGGGCAGATCACCTGACGTCAGGAGTTCGAGACCAGCCTGGCCAACATGGAGAAACCCCATTTCTACTAAAAATACAAAATTAGCTGGGCATGGTGGCGGGTGCCTGTAATCCCAGCTACTTGGGAGCCTGAGGCAGGAGAATTGCTTTAACCCAGGAGGCAGAGGTTACAGTGAGCAGAGGTGGTGCCATTGCACTCCAGCCTGGGCGACAGAGCAAGACTGTCTCAAAAGAGAAAAAAAAATTACCACTGACTTGTTTCTATCAATTCTCCCCAGCAGGTAACCCTCAGTTTCTTAGTATCTTTCCAAAGTTTAAGCAAATTAAAACGTCTTCCTCACCTAGGGAGACCTAGGTATGCTGTTTTGCTGCTTGAAGCCTTTTTTTTTTTTTTTTTTTTTGAGACAAGTCTCGCTCTGTCACCCAGGCTGGAGTGCGGTGGCATCATCTCGCATCTGGGCTCACTGCAAGCTCCGCCTCCTGGGTTCAAGCCATTCTCCTGCCTCAGCCTCCCGAGTAGCTGGGACTACAGGCACCTGCCACCATGCCTGGCTAATTTTTTTTTTTTTTTTTGTATTTTTAGTAGAGATGGAGTTTCACCATGTTAGCCAGGATGGTCTCAATCTCCTGACCTCATGATCCGCCCGCCTCGGCCTCCCAGAGTGCTGGGATTACAGGCGTGAGCCACCGCACCCGGCCTGCTTGAAGTCATTTGAAGCAAAGTGTGGTGGTGGTCAGGTTTTCTTTTTAAAACATCCCAAAAAGAGTAGCTGGGGCCAGGTGTGGTGGCTCACACCTGTAATCCCAGCACTTTGGGAGGCCAAGGCAGGAGAATCATCTTAGGTCAAGAGTTCAAGACCAGCCCGGCCAACATGGTGAAACCCTGTCTCCACCAAAAATACAAAAATCAGTCTGTGTAGTGGCACACGCCTGTAATCCAGCTACTTGGGAGGCTGAGGCAGGAGAATTGCTTGAACCCAGGAGGCGGAGGTTGCAGTGAGCCGAGATCACATCACTGCACTCCTGCCTGGGCCACAGCGTGAGACTGTCTCAAAAAAAAAAAAAAAAAAAAAAAAAAAAAAAAAAAAAAAGATATATGCCAGGTGCGATAGGCCGGATGCGGTGGCTTAAACCTGTTATCCCAGCACTTTGGGAGGCACACGTGGGAGGATAGTTTGAGGCCAGGAATTCAAGACCAGCCTGGCCAACATAATGAGACTCCCATTTCTACAAAAAGTGTATTTAAATTAGCTGAGCGTGGTGGTGCATACCTGTAACCCCAGCTACTCAGGAGGCTGAGATGGGAGGATCACTTGAGCCTGGGAGGTTGAGGGTGCAGTGAGCTGTAATCGCACCACTGCACTCCAGCCTGGGTGTCAGAGTGAGATCTTATCTGCAAAAAAGTAGATGAAGGCTGGGGGTGGTGGCTTATGCCTATAATCCCAGCACTTTGGGAGGCTGAGGTGGGCAGATCACCTGAGGTCAGGAGTTGGAGACCAGCCTGGCCAACATGGTGAAACCCCATCTTTACTAAAAATACAAAAATTAGCTGGGTGTGGTGGTGTGCACCTGTAATCCCAGCTACTCAGGAGGCTGAGGCAGGAGAACCACTTGAACCTGGGAGGCGGAGGTTGCAGTGAGCCGAGATTGCACCACTGCACTCCAGCTTGGGTGACAGAGTGAGACTCTGTCTCAAAAAAACAAGTAGATTGATATACCTTCTTCTACAGGTGGGGATAATCATGCTGTAGGATTGCAAACCCTTAACTGCAACAACATTTAACTGTTTTGCTGCCAACCTCCTTCTAGATAGGAAACGTCTTACAGATTGTGGAGAGCTGCAGCCAACTCCAGGGTTTCCAGTCTGAGGAGGTGAGTTTCTGGGTCTTCAAGGAGGGGAGGGGACAGGCTTGGGTGAAGGCTCATCCTCAAAGCTCTCACTGCCTTGTTCCTGCCGGGCCAGGTCTCACCTGCTGAACCAGCCAGCCCTGGGACGCCCCAGCAGGTGAAGGACAAGACCCTGCAGGAGTCGAGCTTTGAGGACATCATGGCCACCAGGTCCTCCGACTGGCTCCGGCGGCCTTTGGGGGAGGACAATCAGCCGGAGACCCAGCTGTTCTGGGACAAGGAGCCTTGGTTTTGGCACGACACTCTGACCGAGCAACTCTGGCGGATTTTTGCCGGCGTCCACGATGAGAAGGCAAAGCCCAGAGACAGACGTGAGTGTCCCTGAGGGTGAGGGGGAAGGGGCAGCCACAGGCTGCGTCTCAGGGGCTGTGCAGTGAACCCTGCTGTTCTCTCTGTCCCCCTCCTCCTCTCCGTTGTCATGGTGACAGAGCAGGCACCAGGCCTGGTGAGTAAACAACCTCAGCTCTATCCAGAGGGGTGGGCTTCCGGGCAGGCGGTTGGGCTCCCCCAGGTCAGGGCACTGGGGTTCCTGTGGGATTTGTCTTCCTTCCATCCTGCCCCTCGGGTCCCCCGGGGGGGACTTGGGTGATCCAGGAGGCTATACTGGAGTAGCCCAGGACCCACAGCCCAGGGCTTCCAGGACCCTATACCCTGACTCTCTCTCTGCAACTCTGCCTGGACCCGCAGACAGGACCCCAGGCAGCTGACAAGCCCTGTGCAAGCTGCCCAGGAATCCGAGGTCTTCTGGTCCTAACAGGCAGGTCAGCAGGCCTGATGAGACTTTTCCATTTTCCAGGGGCAGGAAAGCAAGGCACCAGGATCCTGTGACCCAGGAACAGACCCATGTCCTGAAGATGCCTCCAGTAATCCCAGCGGGCAGGGGCCGACCGACTCCAGGCGGGATGGGGTGGGGGCATCCTGTGCTGAGGAGCCAATGCAAGCCGCTTAGCCCCTCTTGTCTCCCCACTAGCCCCCAGGCCACCTGAGGCCTCCTCCAGTCCCCCTGAGGGTTCCCAAGACAGGAACACAAGTTGGGGTGTGGTCCAGGTGAGACCCAGGCCCGAGCTGGTAGCCCAGCGTGAAGGCTGCCCAGGGTGGGGTAGAGGAGGTGGGCACAGATGTGCGGGGAGGCTGGGGGCAGCTGTGATCTCCCCCGCCTGCAGGAGCCTCCTGGAAGAGCCTCTCGGTTTCTACAGTCCATGTAAGTGTCTGCACTGTTTGCTTTTGGGCGGGGTGAGGGGCAGCGGGAATTCCTTCCTGTCTATACCTCTGTTCCCGACACATAGAGGGGAACAGAGGTGTAAGACTTTCTTCCCCTTTTCCCATCACTACTCTGCCATCCTCTCCAACAGCCGCTGCAGAGGCTGGGTAGAAAAGTGCAGTGTTAGGCCGGGCGCGGTGGCTCACGCCTGTAATCCCAGCACTTTGGGAGGCCGAGGCGGGCAGATCACGAGGTCAGGAGATTGAGAACATCCTGGGTAACACGGTGAAACCCCGTCTCTACTAAAAATACAAAAAAAATTAGCCAGGCGTGGTGGTGGGTGCCTTTAGTCCCAGCTACTCGGGAGGCTGAGGCAGGAGAATGGCGTGAACCCGGGAGGTGGAGGTTGCAGTGAGTTGAGATCGCGCCACTGCACTCCAGCCTGAGTGACAGCAAGACTCCGTCTCAAAAAAAAAGTGCAGTGTTAGGCTCACAGGATCGCCGCCCCAACACTGGGCTCAAGGCATTTGGGGAAGACTTTTTCATGGAAGGGGATGGGGTGTAGCTGTGTTAGAACTGGATGCAGATTGTCCCAACCTTGTGGAGTGATGCTGGGAGAACCCAGGTGGGGCAAAGAAGGCTTTTCTGGGGAAGGAGCATAATAGCTAGGACCATAAAGGATGAATAGGAGTTCTTCCTCCTGGGGCAAAGCAGTCTAGGAAGAAGGCAGAAGTATGTGGAGGGCTGTGGCAAAGGGACAATACTTGAAGGAATATGAGCAGGACATTGAGGGGAGTCTAGAGGGTAAAACAAGGCCTGAGAGAGGGACCCCAAAATCTGAAAAAGAAGCCCCTCTAGGCCTTGATGTGTGGCTCCCACTGGGCAAAGGGGCTCACAAGCAGGTCAGTTACCCCAAGGCCTCCCCTCCCAAGATCCTGGGACCCTGAGGACTTTGAAGATGCATGGAAGAGGCCAGATGCCTTGCCCGGGCAGTCAAAGAGACTCGCCGTCCCGTGCAAACTGGAAAAGATGCGGATCTTGGCACACGGGGAGCTCGTGCTCGCCACGGCCATCAGCAGCTTCACGCGGCACGTGTTCACCTGTGGCAGAAGAGGCATCAAGGTGTGGAGCCTGACTGGACAGGTGGCTGAGGACAGGTTCCCTGAGAGCCACCTGCCTATACAGGTGAGGACGGCCTTGGTTTCCAGGGATGCAGGGCTTCTGGGAACAGGGGGTTTGAGGTTTGAGTCTGGCAGAGCCCAGATCGTGGAGAGAGGGCTTCCAGGGAAAAGGGGCATAATAGCTAGGAACCTAAAGGATGAATAGGAGTTCGCTCTCATGAGGCAAAGCAGTCCAGGCAGAATGCCACGGGGGGCGACAGCTCACAGTGACTCTGCCCATCCCAGACCCCTGGGGCCTTCCTGCGCACCTGCCTGCTGTCCTCAAACAGCAGGAGCCTGCTCACCGGTGGCTACAACCTGGCCAGCGTGAGCGTGTGGGACCTGGCGGCGCCCTCCCTGCATGTGAAGGAGCAGTTGCCCTGTGCAGGTCTCAACTGCCAGGCCCTGGATGCCAACCTGGATGCCAACCTGGCCTTCGCCAGCTTCACCAGTGGTGTGGTCAGGATCTGGGACCTGCGGGATCAGAGTGTGGTCAGGTGCGTTTGGGGGGTGGGAAGGGGAAGCATCCTGTGCCAGCCTCCTGTGGCCACCTCTGCCCACCTTACTGCTACCACCTCTGCCCGCCTTCCTGCCACCTCCTGAACCTGGGATATAGCACTCTCCCAGCCAAAACCCCTTGCCCCCTTGAACTTGGATTTGAGAAAGTTTAGAGGTGCGGACTTGAATCTTGGCTGGACTGCGTTCCTTGCAGCCCAGGGCATTTTACTTTTTGTCTGCCTCAGTTTCCCCACCTGGACACAGGATGTGACAGCCCCAAACTCAAAGGCTTGTTAGAGGGCAAATTTGTTGTAAAAATATAAAACAGCAGGCCAGGCCTGGTGCCTCAAACATGTAAACCCAGCACTTTGGGAGGTCAAGACGGGACAAATGCTTAAGCCCAGGAATTCGAGATTAACCTGGGTAATGAATAAAACGAATTTATTCTATTTTTATTAAATAGAATAAATTTTATTTAATAAAAATTAAATAGAATTTTTATATAGTCTATTTAAAAATATGTATATATAAATTGGCCGGGCGCAGTGGCTCACGCCTGTACTCCCAGCAGTTAGGGAGGCCGAGGCAGGCAGATCCACGAGGTCAGGAGATCAAGACCATTCTAGCTGACACGGTGAAACCCTGTCTCTACTAAAACTACAAAAAAATTAGCCAGGCGCGGTGGTGGGTACCTGTAGTCCCAGCTACTCGGGAGGCTGAGGCAGGAGAATCCCTTGAACCCGGGAGGCGGAGCTTGCGGTGAGCCGAGATCTGTGCCACTGCGTTCCCAGCCTGGGCGACAGAGCAAGACTCTGTCTCAAAAAAGAAAAAAAAATACACACATATATAAATAAATATATATATAAATACATAAATATATACATAAATATATACATAAATATATACATAAATATATACATATATAAAAAACAGTCTGGGTGCGGTGTCTCACACCTGTAATCCCAGCACTTTGGGAGGCCGAGGTGGGTGGATCACTTGAGGCCAGGAGCTCAAGACCAGCCTGGCCAACATGGCGAAACCCCCTCTCTACTAAAAAATATGAAAATTAGCCGGCGTGGTGGCACATGCCTGTAATCCCAGCTACCCCGGAGGCTGAGGCAGGAGAATCGCTTGAGAAGCGGAGTTTGTGGTGAGCCAAGATGGTGCCACTGCACTCCAGCCTGGGTCACAGAGTGAGACTCTGACTCAAAAAAAAATTTTACATACATACATACATACATACATACATACATACATATATGTATACACACACACATATTAAATATATGTAAATAGGCTGGGCATGGTGGCTCATGCCTGTAATCCCAGCACTTTGGGAAGCCGAGGCGGGCAGATCACCTGAGGTCGGGAGTTTGAGACCAGGCTAACATGGAGATACCCCATCTCTACTAAAAATACAAAATTAGTCAGGCGTGGTGGCCCATGCCTGTAATGCCAGCTACTCGGGAGGCTGAGGCAGGAGAATCGCTTGAACCCAGGAGGCAGAGGTTGCAGTGAGCTGAGATCGTGCTGCTGCACTCCAGCCTGGGCAACAAAACGAGACTCCATTTCAAAAAAAAAAAAAATACGTATATATATATATATATATACACACACACACACACACACACACACACACATATATATAATATATGTATTTATAACATATAAGATATCTATCAGCATATGTTTGCAGGAAGCAATGGCTGACGTAAAATACAGCACACCACCCGCCCGGCACTATTCCCCTTCCCTGCTTGAAGGGATTCCTGTAGACCTGCCTCAGAGCTCGGGTGGACTCAGGGTGGAAGAGGCAAGGGGAGGCCTAGGTGAGGCCAAGGGGAGGCCCAGGCGGACGGAGAAGGGAGGCTGAGGGCTGGGAGGGGCCGGCACTAGATCCTGTGTCTGTTTTCTGCCAACTTTGACACTCTGTGCAGGCAGAGATTTTTGGGTGGTGGCACTGTCCCTTTCATGCCCAAATGTAGTGACTGGTGTTTCCGGGGGCCCAAACCTCAGAGTCTTGACCTGATTGCCTCCCGATGTCCCTTCTGGCCAGGGACCTCAAGGGTTATCCTGATGGAGTCAAGAGTATCGTGGTCAAGGGCTACAACATCTGGACTGGGGGTCCGGATGCCTGTCTGCGGTGCTGGGACCAGAGGACCATCATGAAACCTCTGGAGTACCAATTCAAGTCTCAGGTGCGGAGGCCGGGATGGGGTCTGCTTGGCCAGGCATCCTCTGGTCCTCAGATTAAAAAATGAGGTTGAGGCCGGGCTCCGTGGCTCACGCCTATAATCCTAGCACTTTGGGAGGCCAAGGTGGGTGGATCACCTGAGGTCAGGAGTTTGAGACCAGCGTGGCCAACATAGTGAAACCCCATCTCCACTAAAAATACAAAAATCAGAGCTGGGCGCAGAGGCTCACACCTGTAATCCCAGCACTTTTGGAGGCCGAGGAGGGCAAATCACCTGAGGTCGGGAGTTCAAGACGAGCCTGACCAACATGGTGAAACCCCGTCTCTACTAAAAATACAAAATTGGCCAGGCATGGTGGCACATGCCTATAATCCCAGCTAGTCGGGAGGCTGAGGCAGGAGAATCGCTTAAACCCGGGAGGTGGAGGTTGTGGTGAGCCGAGATCGTGCCATTGCACTCCAGGCTGCGCAATAAGAGCGAAACTCTGTCTCAAAAACAAATGAGGTTGGCCAGGCACAGTGGCGTATGCCTGCAATCCCACCACTTTGGGAGGCAGAAGTGGGAGGAAGACTTGAGCCCAGGAGTTTGAGACCAGCCTGGGCAACATAGTGAGACCCTGTTTCTACAAAAAATAAAAATAAAAATTAGCTGAGCATGGTGGCACGTACCTGGGGTCGCAGCTAGTTGGGAGGCTGAGGTGAGAGAATGGCTTGAGCCCGGGGAGGCTGAGGCCACAGTGAACTGTGATCATACCAGTGACTGTAGTCCAGCCTGGGTGACAGAGTGAGACCCTGTCTCAAAAAAAAAAAAAAGGGGGGGAGGCGGGTGGGGGGGGGGGAGGATGAACTCTGGGAAGGAAAAAAGGTAGTGGTTCTAAGTCTCACTGATGCTCCAAACACAGAGATCATTAGAAATATTCTTTGCAGGCCGGGCGCAGTGTCTCACGCCTGTAATCCCAGCCCTTTGGGAGGCCAAGGCGGGTGGATCATTTGAGGTCAGAAGTTCAAGAACAGCCTGACCAACATGGTGAAACCCCGTCTCTACTAAAAAAAAAAAAAAAAAAAAAAAAAAACAGAATAATTAGCCAGGCATGGTGGCGCATGCCTGTAGTCCCAGCTACTCAAGAGGCTGAGGCGGGAGAATCGCTTAAACCCCAGGAGGCAGACGTTGTCGTAAGCCGAGATCGTACCATTGTACTCCAGCCCGGCAACAGAGCGAGACTCCGTCTCAAAATAAACACTCATGCTGTATCAGGTGCAAAGTAGGGAAGACTCTCCATTTTACACACCAACAAACTGAGGCACAGATACGAAGTTGCTTGTCCCAGGGCTGCACAGCTAGGAAGGGGTCAGTCACCCGGCCTCCAGGATAGGTCCCCAGGCTCCTGCCTGCTTCCTGGGCCAGGCTGGGACCTAACCAGGTTCCTCCCTCCCCACTGCCCATTACCTAGATAATGAGCCTGTCCCACAGCCCCCAGGAGGACTGGGTGCTGCTGGGCATGGCCAATGGCCAGCAGTGGCTGCAAAGCACCAGCGGGAGCCAGCGGCACATGGTGGGGCAAAAAGACAGCGTCATCCTGAGCGTCAAGTTCTCCCCCTTTGGTAAGCGGCTGGCGGAAGATGAGGGGACTCCCCTGCAGCCCCCAGCCTCCCACAAGACCCCACCTAATGCCAGCTCCCCACCCAACCCTCTAGGACACCTCAGAACCCTTCTGTAGCAGAAACCAATTTTGGGGATGCTCTTATAGTGGAATGAGGGAGGGAAGGGGGTGGGTGCCTGGGCCCTTCCTCCCCACCCGCCCCACCGGCGCGGTCCGCCTCCGCCCTTCCCCCTTCAGCCACTGGTGTCCCCATGAGCCCGGGGAGGCTGAGGCCACAGTGAACTGTGATCATACCACTGACTGTAGTCCAGCCTGGGTGACAGAGTGAGACCCTGTCTCAAAAAAAAAAAAAAAAAAAAAAGGTGGGTGGGGAGGATGAACTCTGGGAAGGAAAAAGGTAGTGGTTCTAAGTCTCGCTGATGCTCCATTTCTCCCAGGCCAGTGGTGGGCAAGCGTTGGAATGGACGACTTCCTTGGCGTCTACAGCATGCCGGCGGGGACAAAAGTGTTCGAGGTACTGCGGTGGGCTGGGGGCAGGACCCGGGGGTGGCCCCAAAGGGACCAGCCTGGGCAACACAGCAAGACCCTGTCTCCACAAAAAACTTAAAAAGTAGCCAGGTGTGGTGGCTCACGGCTTTAATCCCAGCATTTTGGGAGGCTGAGGCAGGAAGATCTCTTAAGTGTAGGAGTTCGAGACCAGCCTGGCCAACATAGTGAGACCCCATCTCTACAAAAAATAATTAGCTGAGCCGGGTGCGGTGGCTCACGCCTGTAATCCCAGCACTTTGGGAGGCCGAGACGGGCAGATCATGAGGTCAGGAGATCAAGACCATCCTGGCTAACACGGTGAATCCCTGTCTCTACTAAAAATACAAAAAATTAGTTGGGCGTGGTGGTGGGCGCCTGTAGTCCCAGCTACTTGGGAGGCTGAGGCAGGAGAATGGCGTGAGCCAGGGAGGCGGAGCTTGCAGTGAGCCAAGATTGTGCCACTGCACTCCAGCCTGGGTGACAGAGACTCCATCTAAAAAAATAATAATAATAATTAAAAACACTTTTAAAATTAAAAATAATAATTAGCTGAGTGTGGTGGTGCACACCTGCGGTCCCAGCTACTTGGGAGGCTGAGGCAGGAAGATTGTGTGAGTCCAGGAGGTCGAGGCTGCAGCAAGCTGAGATTGCACCACTGCACTCCAGCCTGGGCAACAGAGCAAGACCCTGTCTTTCTTTGAAGAGACGATGCTTCATGCTTGAGCTGACAGGTGGAGACCAGGGGTGTGTGAGCCCTACCCCAGCTCACTGCCCACTGCCCCCCCTCCAGGTGCCTGAGATGTCTCCAGTCACGTGCTGTGACGTCTCTTCCAACAACCGCCTCGTTGTCACAGGCTCCGGGGAGCACGCCTCCGTGTACCAGATCACCTACTGAGGGGCCTCGCTGCTGTCATCCCACTCCGGCTCCTCTTTTCATCCCCCCCCTTCCCCCCCCCCAACAAGGGGGACATGGTGGAGGGAAGCGGGAAGGCTCTTCTGTGGCATCGCACGATCTAGTCTGTGGTGTAGACTGGTCGCCATCACGTGTAATAAAGCACCCGGGAAAGGCAGAGTGTGGACGCGTCCTGTCCTCTGAAGGGAAAGGGGCCTTCCCATCCCGTCCCTGCTCAACTTGTGGAAATCTGGAAGGACTTCGTCCAGCCTGGTGGCTCTAAGCCTTTTTTTTTTTTTTTTTTTTTTTTTCTGAGGCAGGGTCTCACTTTGTTATGCAGGCTGGAGTGCAGTGGTGCCATCACGACTCCCTGCAGCCTCTCCAACTCCTGGGCTCAAGCCATCCTCCTGCCTCAGCCTCTTGAGTAGTTGAGACTACATATATGTACCACCGTGCTCGGCTAGTTTAATTTTTTTGTAGATGCTGGGTGTGGTGGCTCACACCTGTAATTCCAGCACTTTGAGGTCGGGGGTTTGAGACTAACACAGTGAAACCCCATCTCTACTAAAAATACAAAAATTAGCTGGGCATGGTGGCACGTGCCTGTAATCCCAGCTACTAAGGAGGCAGAGGCAGGAGAATCTCTTGAACCCGGGAGGTAGAGGTTGCAGTGAGCCAAGATCGTGCCACTGTACTCCAACCTGGCAACGGAGCGAGACTCTGTCTCAAATTAATAGAAATAACAAAATTTTGTGTAGACACAGGGTCTTGCTCTGTTGCCCAGGCTGGTCTCAAATTCCTGATTTTATGTGATTCTCCCACCTCGGCCTCCCAAAGTGCTGGGATTACAGGCGTGAGCCACTGTGCCTGGTCTCAAACTCCTGATTTAAGCGATCCTCCTACCTTGGCCTCCCAAAGTGCTGGGATTACAGGCATGAGCCACCGTGCCCAGCCCTCTGAGCCGTTTCCGTCCTCGTTCTCTGGGAATCTAGTCACAGCCACAGACTTTGCTGTTGGGGTAGCAGATCTCCACCTCCGCCGCCCGGAGCAGCTCCAATCTGGTCCGATGTTTCTGGTGTGATTCCAGGAGCAGTGTGAGTGGTCCTGTCCTAGACATGTCCCATTTGACCAGTAGTCTCCAGTAGGGTGATTCTGCCCCCCGGGGACTCTAGGCGATGTCTGGAGGCATTTCTGGTTGTCACGACTTGTGGGGTCCCCCTGGCATGGAGTGGGTGGGGGCAGGGACATTACTCACCATTCTGTGGTGCCCAAGACGGCCCCACCCCAGAGGATGGTCCAGTCCCGAGGTCCACAGTGCTAAGGTCGAAACAAATTTCCAATAGCTTCACTGGTCGGCCTTCTTCCCACACAAGCTAGGGCTCTGGAAACGCCACTTGCCCACCCTCCCTTTTCCAAGCTATGAAGGGGCCCAGATGTCAACGGGCCTAGGCTCCTTAACCCAGAGAATTATCCCCTTTCCTGCGGTGTCTCCAGAAACATCCACCAGGGCGTGCCTTCTGTTCTCAGCAGGAACCCTCCCATCTCCTTCTAGAATGTTCCCAGCGGCATCTACTCCGCCCAACCTATGCTGCCTTAAATTTTTTTTCTAGAGATGGAGTCCCACTATTGCCCAGGCTGGTCTCAAACTCCTGGGCTCAAGCAATCCTGCCGCCTCAGCCTCCCAAAGTGTTCAGATGACAGGTGTGAGCCCCAGCACCGGTCCTAACCCTTGCTGTACGTGGTAGCCCACCTGAGCTTCCAGAACACGGGGCTGATTGCCCCCCACTCTCCCCGCTCCCCACTGAAGCCTTGTCTGCAGGCCTCGTTCTCCAGAACCTGGCTGTCTTCTGGGTAACCACCAGGCCGAGTTCCCCTTGCCTCTGAGATATCGCATCCGCCATTCTCCTCTTTCCAGAACAGTCTTCTCAGGGCTCTGGGGGCTGTTTCTCATCCCTTAGTGCTCAGTGTACCCCTCCCCTCCACTGGGCAGGGACGTTTGCTCAGCCCTTTGCCATGCGCAGGGCTCTTAGAAATCCTTGGAATCTAGCCAGGTGCAGTGGCTCACGCCTGTAATCCCAGCACTTTGGGAGGCCGAGGTGGGTGGATCACCTGAGGTTAGGAGTTTGGGACCAGCCTAGTCAACATGGAGAAACATTGTCTCTACTAAAAATACAAAAATTAGCTGGGTGTGGTGGTGTTCCTGTAATCCCAGCTACTCGGGAGGCTGAGGGAGAAGAATTGCTTAAGCCCAGGAGGCAGAGGTTGCAGTGAGCTGAGATCGTACCACTGTACTCTCCAGCCTGGGAGACAGAGTGCGACTGTCTCAAAAAAATTTCTACCCGGAGGCCTGAGTGACTACCTGGAGTAGAGCCCCGTACACCATGTGGGTATGAGCAAGGAAAAAATGCATGAACCCTGAGACTCGGGGACTACTTGTTACGCAACAGCATCTTAACGATCCTGCCCAGCGCAACTCCTGTGTCTCAGAGTGGCTCTCACATACCAGGCAGACACCTCTGAATATCCTGCAGAAAGAATTCTCGTTACGTATGACCCCATCCCCAGGACATGGTTGCCTCCCAGTAACCGTGCCCAAGAGGAACAATGATCACCGGTTCCCCAGCCCGAGAGAGAAGTGCGGATGTGATAGATACATTTTATTTCCACCGAGGTCCCCTGCCCATCGGCCCCCACATGCAGCAGGGGAAGGTGTGAAGCCGTTGGCCAGAGAGCAGATGGGATGTACGGTTCCTAGGCAGGGCTGGGAGGCGGCTGCTAGGATGTCTGTCCTGGCTGCTGATTCCCCTGGGAGTCTGGACTTCGGGTACAGGAAGGGGGGTCATGTCTCAGTAGACCACCTCATACACGGTGGCCTTCTTGTCCCCCGAGCCTGTCACGATGTATTTGTTATTTCTGGAGATGTCACAACTCAGGACTGAGGACGACTCCTTGGACTGCCAAGGGAAGGGAGAGAGAAAAGGGCACAGTGAGGCATGGTCCCCACAGATGGGTGTGTGGGCAAGGCTGGGGCGGAGTCAGGAACGGGAGGTCAGGACTCGCCTACAGAGTGACGTGTTTCTTTTTTTGAGATGGAGTTTTGTTCTTGTCGCCCAGGCTGAAGTGCAGTGGTGCGATCTTGGCTCACTGCAACCTCCACCTCCCGGGTTCAAGACACTCTCCTGCCTCAGCCTCCCAAATAGCTGGGATTATAGGCGCCCGCAACCACGCCCGGCCAATGTGTGTGTGTGTGTGTGTGTGTGTGTGTGTGTGTGTGTAATTTTTTTTTTTTTTTGTGAGACAGGGTCTAACTCTGTTGCCCAGGCTAGAGTGCAATGGTGTGATCTCTGCTCACTGCAACCTCCGCCTCCCAGGTTCAGGCAATCCTCCTGTCTCGAACTCCCAAGCAGCTGGGATTGCAGGTGCATGCCACCATGCCTGGCTAATTTTTGTATTTTTAGAAGAGGCAGGGTTTCACCATGTTGGCCAGGTTGGGCTTGAACTCCTGACCTCAGGTGATCCGCCTGCCTTGGTCTCCCAAAGTGTTGAGATTACACGCATGAGCCACCGCACCCGGCCTAATTTTTGTATTTTTAGTAGAGACTGGGTTTCCCCATGTTGGCCAGGCTAGTCTCAAACTCCTGACCTCAGGCGATCCACCGCCTAGGCCTCCCAAAGTGCTGGGATTACAAGCGTGAGCCACCGCGCCCGGCAGAGCGACTTGTTTTCTACAGACAGGTGCTTTGGAGCTAAGTCCAATGGGCAGAACAGGGCCTCCATTCCCTCAATACCAAGAGAGATGGAACTGAAGTGCTGCCCTTTCTGGAAGCTCAGAGTGGGTGTGCACCAGGCATGATGTCACACAGCACAGCAGAGGGCCAAGGCAATGGCTTAGACCAGGGATCAGCAAACTTCACAAAGGGCCTGGTAAACATTTTAGGCTTTGCCTAAAGTCTAAATAAGTCCATGTCACATATTCTGGGATTTTTTTCTTACAACCCTTTGAAAATATAAAGGGTTGGCACGGTGGCTCGGCGCTTCCGGAGGCCGAGGCAGGTGGATCACCTGAGGTCAGGAGTTCCAGACCAGACTGGCCAACGTGGGGAATCCCCGTCTCTACTAAAAATACAAAACTTAGCCAGGCATGGTGGCGGGCACATGTAATGCCAGTTACTTGGGAAGCTGTGGGAGGAGAATCGCTTTAACTCAGGAGGTGGAGGCTGCAGTGAGCTGAGATTGCGCCACTGCACTCCAGGCTGGGCGACAGAGAAGGACTCCGTGTCAAAAAAACAAAAAAACACTGTACCAACCAGGACGGGCATATTAAAAACACTGTACCAACCAGGACGGGCATATTAAAAAGACAGCCAATAACAAGTGTTGGTGAGGATGCAGAGAATTTTAAAATTTCAATCACTGCTGATGGGGATATAAAATTTGAAAAACAGGCTGGGTGTGGTGGCTCACACCTGTAATCCCAGCACTTTGGGAGGCCAAGGCGGGTGGATCATGAGGTCAGGAGATCAAGACCATCCTGGCTAACACGGTGAAACCCCGTCTCTACTAAAAATACAAAAAATTAGCCAGGTGTGGTGGCGGGTACCTGGAGTCCCAGCTACTCGGGAGGCTGAGGCAGGAGAATGGTGTGAACCCAGGAGGCAGAGCTTGCAGTAAGCAGAGATAGTGCCGCTGCACTCCAGCCTGGGTGACAGAGTGAGACTCCATCTCAAAAAAAAAAAAAGAAAGAAAAACAGCTGGGCGCAGTGGCTCACGCCTGTAATCCCAACACTTTGGGAGGCCAAGGTAGGCAGATCACCTGAGGTCAGGAGTTTGAGACCAGCCTAGACAACATGGTGAAACCCCCTCTCTACTGAAAATACAAAAATTAGCCAGGCGTGGTGGTACATGCCTGTAATCCCAGCTACTCGGGAGGCTGTGGCAGGAGAATCGATTGAACCCGGGAGGTGGAGCTTGCAGTGAGCCGAGATCGCAACACTGCACTCCAGCCTGGGAGACAGAGCAAGATTCTGTCTCCAAAAAAAAAGAAGAAATGAGTAAGATGGCAAATTTTATTTTTATTTATTTATTTTTGAGGCAGAGCCTCACTCTGTCGCCCAGGCTGGAGTGCAGTGGTGCGATCTCAGCTCACTGCAAGCTCCACCTCCTGGGTTCATGCCATTCTCCTGCCTCAGCCTCTCGAGTAGCTGGGACTACAGGCGCCCACCACCACGCCTGGCTAATTTTTTTGTATTTTTTTTAGTAGAGACGGGTTTTCACCATATTAGCCAGGGTGGTCTCGATCTCCTGACCTCGTGATCCGCCTGCCTCAGCCTCCCAAAGTGCTGGGATTACAGGCATGAGCGACCGTGCCCGGCTGGCAAATTTTAAATTTTATAATATTATATGCATGTTACTGCAACTAAATTTTAGAAAAACCAACAGGCTACGGGCAGATGAGGCGAGGCCTCCGGCTGAAATTCCAACCTCTGCTTTAGTACCTGGGCGGTAGGGAGGCTTGCAGGACCCTGAGGAGGGGTTAGGGTGGCGGGGGGACCTGGGGGACAGGGACAGGGGCAATCTCTCTGTCTGACCCTGGCATACCCGGGCACATGGCCCTGCCAGAGTGGGGGCTCCAGACCGCCGAGTACCTGGAAAATGCTGGCCCCGTACGGCGTCCTCCAGGCGTTGAGCAGGTTGTCCTTCCCGGTGCTCACAAACCACCGTCCTTGGGGAAGGAGAGCAGCAGGGTTCAAGGAGGGGGCACTAACGAGAGACCCGGGCTGCAGGGGGAGGTCGGGGAAGCTGGGTCTGGGTCTGGCCTCTCCCTTTTTTTTTTTTTTTTTCCAAGAAAGGGTCTTGCTCTGTCACCCAGGCTGGAGTGCAGTGGTACAATCATAGCTCACTGCAGCCTCCACCACCTGGACTCAAGCGCTCCTCCCAAGCAGCTGGGACCACAGGTGTGCACCACCACGCCCAGCTAATATTTTTATTTTTTGCCGGGGGCAGTGGCTAACACCCGTAATCCCCACTTTGGGAGACAGAGGTGGCTGGGTCACTTGAGGTCAGGAGTTTGAGACCATCCTGGCCAACATGGTGAAACCCCTTCTCTACTAAAAATACAAAAATCAGCTGGGCATTGTGGCAGGCACCTGTAACTCCAGCTACTTGGGAGGCTGAGGCTTGAGAATCGCTTGAACCCAGGACGCAGAGGTTGCAGTGAGCTGAGATTGCGCCACTGCACTCCAGCCTGGGTAACGCAGTCAGACTCTGTCTCAAAAAAAAAAAAAAATATTTTTTGTAGAGTTGGGATCTCACTATGCTGCCCAGACTGGTCTCAAACTCCTGGCCTCAAGCGATCCTCCCACCGTGGTCTACCAAAGTGCTGGGATTACAGGTGTGAGCCACTGTGCCCAGCCCAAGTTTTGTTTGTTTGTTTGTTTGGTATAAGATATCCCATGTACTATTTAGGATATACTTACACTAATGAATGATTTTTTTTTAAAAAGAGATAGGGTCTCACTGTATTGCCCAGGCTGGAGGGCAGTGATGTCATCATAGCTCCCTACAGCCTCAAAGTCCTGGGCTCAAGCAATCCTCCTGCCTCAGCCTCCCTCGTACCTGGCACTACAGGTGCGACCTACTGGCTGTTTAATTTTTTTGTAGAGAAAGTCTTGCTATGTTGCCCAGGCTGGTCTTGAACTCCTGGTCTTGGGCGATCCTTCTGCCTTAGCCTCCCAAGTAGCTGAAACTACACACATCAGCTACTGTGCCTGGCTTAAATTTCTTTTCTTTCTTTTTTTTTTTTTTTTTTTTTTTAAGATAGAATCTCACTCTTGTCTCCCAGGCTGGAATGCAGTGGCATGATCTTGGCTCACTGCGACCTCCACCTCCCGGGTTCAGGCAATTCTCCTGCCTCAACCTCCCAAGTAGCTGGGATTACAGGCGCCCACCACCACGCCTGGCTAATTTTTGTACTTTTAATAGAGTCAGGGTTTCACCATGTTGGCCAGGCTTGTCTCGAACTCCTGACCTCAGGTGATCTGCCTGCCTTGGCCTCCCAAAGTGTTGGGATGACAGGCGTGAGCTACCACACCCAGCCTTAAATTTGAATCTCAGATAAGTCATCAGTAATTTTTAGGACAGGTATATCCCAAATACTTCATTATTTGGTTTTTAGTATAAGTATATCCCACACACCATTTGGGATATACTTGTACTAACGATTTGCTTTTGAGTATATAAAACTTAGTATATAAATAACATTATTTGTTATTTATCTAAGATTCAGATTGAATAGGCACCCTGGGTTTTGTTGGGGTTTTGAGGGCGTGCCACCCCGCCCCAGAAGACACACCGCAGGAGGCAAACTTCAGGGACAGCACGCAGCTCTCGTGGAGGTGCAGCTGGTATTTCTCCGGCTTGCGGACGTGCAGGATCTCCACGTTGCTACTCTCCATTCCGACCGCCAGCCAGTCCTGGTTAGGGCAGTGGCCCAGGGAGAAAATCTGGGGGTAAAGAGGGAAGAGATGGGGTCACGAGCCCCTCTTTGTTTTGTGTTGAGACAGGGTCTCACTCCGTCACCCAGGCTGGAGTGCAGTGGCACAATCATGGCTCACTGCAGCCTTGACCTCCAGGGCTCAAGAGATCCTCCTGCCTCAGCACCAGAAGCTGAGACTACAGGCATGCACCATCACGCTGGATAATCTTTTTTTTTTTTTGAGACAGAGTCTCACTGTGTCACCCAGGCTGGAGTGCAATGTTGCAGTCTCAGCTCACTGCAGCCTCTGCCTCCCAGGTTCAAGGGATTCTCCTGCCTCAGCCTCCAAAGTAGCTGGGATTACAGGTACCTGCTAGTACGCCCGGGTAATTTTTGTATTTTTAGTAAAGACGGCGTTTCACCGTATTGGCCAGGCTGGTCTCAAACTGCCAACCTCAAGTGATCTGCCCGCCTCGGCCTCCCAAAGTGCTGGGACTACAGGTGTGAGCCACCATGTCAGCCTACGAGCCCCTTTGGATATTGGGGGGTGCCCAGCACCATCAGGGGTTGCGGGGGTGGAGTCCAACATTCTCCCTCTTCAGCACCCCCCTAGAGAAAGGCAGCTGGCCCAGGACTGGGAACACAGCAGACAACTGCATGTCGAATCATTAATATTAATCAGAATTACACAGAACCCTAGGGCTGCACATCCATTATCTGCTCTGAGCGCACAACAGCACAGGGAGGAGGGAGAGAGGAGGGAGGAGGGACAGAGAAGGGAACAGCCAGGCAAGGACAATCACTCCCCTTAAGCAGATGATGGAAGCTGAGGCAGTGTCCCCTCAAGGTCACAGAGCAAGACTATGAAAGACCAGGCCTTGGCCGGGCTCTGTGGCTCAGGCCTGTAATCCCAACACTGTGGGAGGCCGAGGCGGGCGGATCATCTGAGGTCAGAAGTTCATGACCAGCCTGGCCAACATGGCGAAAACCCATCTCTACTAAAAATGCAAAAATTAGCTGGGCGTGGCTGCAGGCACCTGTAATCCCAGCTACTCGGGAGGCTGAGGCAGGAGAATCGCTTGAACTTGGGAGGTGGAGGTTGCAGTGACCTGAGATTGCACCACTGCACTCCAGCCTGGGTGACAGAGCAAGACTCTGTCTCAGAAACAAAAAACAAAAAAAATAAGACAGACCAGGCCTAGGAGACAGAACTTCTCACTCTTAGCTTGGAATGTTCCTTTTTGAGACAGACAGGGTCTTGCTCTGTCGCCCAGGCTGGAGTGCAGTGGTGCAATCATGACCCACTGCAGCCTCAACCTCCTCCCATGCTCAAGTGATCCTCCCGCCTCAGCCTCACAAGTAGCTTGGATTACAAGCATGTGCCACCACACCTGGCTAATTTTGTATTTTTGGTAGAGATGGAGTTTCTCCATGTTGGTCAGGCTGGTCTCGAACTCCTGACCTCAAGTGATCCACCCACCTCGGCCTCCCAAAGTGCTGAGATTACAGGCGTGAGCCACTGCACCCGGCCTCGGTTTGATTTTTAAAAGATTCAGGGTCCTCCACCTCATTTTAAGCACAAACAGGAATCAGGCTCTGTTCCACCCCAAACCTCTTGGAGTCTCACTAACAAGATGCCTGTGGAAATAACCACACATTTGCAGAAGAGAAGACTGGAGGGCTTCAAATGTCCTCTCCTGGCCATACAGAAGTGTTTCTGTGTAAAGACGCATTGGGGGACACCCAGTGAGCTAGGAGATATTCACCATGGGATCCCTAGAAATGTTCTTAGCCCACCTAAGCTTCGGGGCCACGGGATGGAGAGCTGTGTCCACCTGCACTCCTGAAAGAGAAGAGCAGGTTGGACATAAAGAGCTTGGGAGGGCAAGCGCGGTGGCTCAGGCCTGTAATTCCCACACTGGGAAGCCGAGGCAGGTGGATCACTTGAGGCCAGGAATCCAAGACCAACCTGGACAACACAGTGAAACCCTGTCTCTACCGACAAATACAAAAATTAGCCGAGCATGGTGGTGCGTTCCTGTAGTCCCAGCTACTCAGGTGGCTGAGGCACAAGAATCATTTGAACCTGGGAGGCGCAGGTTGCAGGGAGCTGAGATCACAACACAGCAACTCTGTCTCAAAAAAAAAAAAAAAAAAAGAGGAGCTTCGGAGTTAGGAGTTAGCTCCTCTTAGGTTTCAAGGAGGAGGGGCAAATGAGATGGGTCTTGAGGGATGAATAGGAGTTTGCCAATTACAGAAAGAAGAGAAAGGCATTTCAGCCACAGGGAACAAATGTGCAGAGGCCTCAGAGCTGTCCCGGAGTATGGTGTGCATGAGACCAGCCCATGGAAACCCTGAATGACAGAAGAAGGAGCTCACAGCTGCCCCCAAAGCAGTGAGAGGCAGGATCTGGGGTCACGGTGCCTGAAGATTCACTCTCTTTGCCCAGCCCTGAGGAGCCCCCAGCTCTGTCCAGCCTGTTCACCATGTCCTTCAGCTTAGACTCCACCTTCAATGGGGATCTCTCCATGCCCAGCTCCTCCTACATCAACCTCCACTCTGTCCTCCTGGCCAGTAGCTCCCCCATGGTTAGTCCTCAGTTGGGAAGTGTGTGTCCCGCGCTCTCGGCGGCGTCCAGAGATTAAAGGCTAGAAGAACCACCCAGCTACACGAGGAAAGGCACATATAAGGGTATGGCTGGACAAAAGCAGGTGGGGAAGATGATCTGGGGGTCTCAGTAGCCCCACAGCTTCCTATGAATCAGCTCTTTTGTGTTCCCCTACATCTTTAGAGAGTTACAGGGGAAGCCTGTGGATGTGTCTGGGGGACAAGAAAGATGGACACCACAGCAGATGGGAGTCCTGTCCTGTCCTGCCTCTGGAAGTGGGCACCTCACAAGGAGAGGAAGGGATGCTGTATTCCTAGAGCTTCCATCCCCCTCCTGCCAGAACCGAACAGCACCTGGGAGCTGAAGTCATGCTGCTGCAGCTGGCGGCCCTCCCGCAGGTCCCAGCAGCGCACCGTGTTGTCCAGGCCCCCTGTCCAGAGCCGAGTGCCGTAATCGGAAATATCAATGCAGCTGGCGCCGTCCGTGTGGCCCTGGAACTGCCTGGAGGGAGAAGGGCCCAGGCGTCCATCCTGGAATTCGAGCTGCCCCAGCATCGTCCCAGGTCACACTCCTCCACTCCCCCTGCACCGAGAGCGGCCGGGGGCTTGCCCAAGGTCCCAGCGCACCTGCCACCCACCTGACCATAGTCTGATTCTGCAGGTCCCAGACCACAATGTTGCCATCGCTGCAGCAGGAGAAGCAAACCTTGGCGTCGGGGCTGACGGCCAGGGCGTAGCAGGCTGGGGCTGAGGAAGTCAGCTCGGCCTTGATACGGGGGGTGGGCGCCGCCAGGTCCCAAATGGACAAGGTGCTGGCCTCACCGCCCACGATCAGACTCCGGCCATCCGGCAGCAACTTGCAGGAACGAATGTAGTTGTCTCGGTTCTGGGGTCGGGGAGAGAAGCAGGGGCTGGGGGTTGGTCCCAGGTGAGGTCTCTAGGAGCCTAGCTCAACGTGGGGGTCTCTGGAGCCCAATGTAGCCTCATCCTGATTAGCCTGCAAGCCCTACCCTGATTGGCTGGTGAGCCCCGCCCCTTTGACCTGCAAACACTGCCCCATCTGACTATAAGCTCCATCCTTTACCTATAAGCCCCACCCATGGTTGGCCTGCAAACCCTGTCCTGATTGTCTTGCAAGTCCAATTCAGATTGGCCAGAGCCCCACCCCTTTGGCCTGCAAGCCTTGTCCCATGCGACTACGAGCTCCGCCCCTCACCTATAAGCCCCGCCCTTCACCTGTAGCCCCACCCACGGCCAGCCTGCGAACACCGCCCCATTGGAACATAAGCCCCACCCCTCACCTGTGAGTCCCGCCCACTGTCCCACCCCGCCCTCACCAGGCAGTCGAGCTGGGCCACGGGCGTCTTGGCCCCAGGCTGGCCCACGTCCCACACCTTCACACAGCCCTTGCCGCCCGTGTACACATGCTGTGTGGAGCCGCTGATGGTGACCGCGCAGACCACCTCGCCATGGGCCAGCGTGTGCAGCTGCCGGGCGTGCCGCGGGATGCCCGCGCCTACCAGTGCATCCGAGGGGAAGGGAACCGGCTGCATCTGCCCGTCCGCAGACACGTGGAAGGAGTAGGCCCTGGAGAGAAAGCCGGGGCATGACCCAGCCCTGGGCACCACGCCCCCGCACCCGCACCTGGGAGGGCAGGGAGACGCCTTTGTCCTGCCTGGCACCCTCTGATGTGTTTTTTATTTTTTGTTTTGTTTTTTGAGAGGGAGTCTCGCCGTGTCGCCCAGGCTGGAGTGCAGTGGCCCGATCTCAGCTCACTGCAACCTCTGCCTCCTGGGTTCAAGCGATTCTCTTGCCTCAACCTCCCGAGTAGCTGGGATTACAGGCATGCGCCACCATGCCTGGCTAAGTTTTTTGTATTTTTAATAGAGACAGGGTTTCACCATGTTGGCCAGGCTGGTTTTGAACTCCTAACCTCAAGTGATCTGCCCGCCTCGGCCTCCCGAAGTGCTAGAATTACAGGCGTGAGCCACCATGCCCAGCCTGATGCGTTTGTTTCTTTTTTGAGATGGAGTCTCGCTCTGTCACCCAGGCTGGAGGGCAGTAGCGTGATCTGGACTCACTGCAAACTCTGCTTCCGGGGTTCAAGTGATTCTCCTGCCTCAGCCTCCCAAGGAGCTGGGATTACAGGTGCAGGCCACCACGCCTGGCTAATTTTTTTGTATTTTTAGTAGAGATGGGCTTTCACCATGTTGCTCAGGCTGGTCTCAAACTCCTGACTTCAAATGATCCTCCCACCTCGGCCTCCCAAAATGCTGGGATTACAGGCATGAGCCACCGGGCCCAGCCTCTGATGCATTTTTTAAAGTAATTTTCTCTGTTATTATTTTGTAGAGATGAGGTCTTGCTATGTTGCCCAGGCTGGCCTCAAACTCCTGGTTTCAAGTGATCCTCCCGCCTTGGCCTCCCAAAGCACTGGGATTACAGGAGTGAGCCATGGTGCTCGGCCTCTGATTTAGGAAAAAGGCAGGACAATGTGGTCAAAGGTGATATGGGACAGTCAGTGGGTGGCACAAATACACAGGGAGTCTAGGTTGTGGTGTGGCGCATGGTAAACAAGCACTTAATAAATGTTCGTTCAACCGAGGACCCACAAAGAAACCTTGAGTGTTCCAGACCAGCTAGAGGGTCTGTCCTAGGAGCCCCGGCCACCTGTGACCAGTTAAAACACTTAAATGAACTGAAATTAAATAAACATTTTCAGGCCGGCACAGTGGCTCACACCTGGAATCCCAGCACTTCGAGAGGCCAAGGTGGGTGGATCATTTGAGGTCAGGAGTTCAAAACCAGCCTGGCCAACATGGTGAAACCCTGTCTCTACTAAAAATACAAAAATTAGCCGGCGGTGGTCCGTGCCTGTAATCCCAGCTACTCAGGAGGCTGGAGCAGGAGAATCGCTTGAACCCAGGAGGTGGAGGTTGCAGTGAGCTCAGATCTCACCACCGTACTCCAGCCTGGGGGACAGAGCGAAACTCAGTCTCAGAAAACAAAACAAAACAAAACAAAACTTTTCAGCTCCTCAGTTGCACTGACCACATTTCAAGTACTGAAAGCCACGCCCAGCTGGTGGCGACTGGGTTGGCCAGCAGTGGGTCTAGAACACTTCCATCACTGCAGAAAGCTCTGTGGACACTGTGGCCAGATCTCCTCTGGTGGAGCCATCCTGGACAATGCAGGATGCTAAGCAGCATCCCTGGCCTCCACACTCCAGGCCAGGAACGTCTCCTCCCCCAGCTGTGACAACCACACGTGTCCCCCGACATCGCCCAGTGTCCCCTGGGGGGTCAGAGTCTACTTCTATGGAGAGCCAGTGGAACTCTGAGTAGCTTATGCAAGAGACTTTTTTTCTTTTTTCTTTTTTTTTTTTTGAGACTGAGTCTCGCTCTATTGCCCAGGCTGGAGTGCAATGGCACGGTCTCAGCTCACTGCAACCTCCACCTCCCAGGTTCAAGTGATTCTCCTGCCTCAGCCTCCCGAGTAGCTGGGATTACAGGTGCCCGCCACCACGTCCGGCTAATTTTTGTATTTTTAGCAGAGACATGGTTTTGCCATGTTGGCCAGGCTGGTCTTAAATTCCTGACCTAAAGTGATCCACCTGCCTCAGCCTTCCAAAGTGCTGGGATTACAGGAGTGAACCACTGTGCCCGGCCCACACAAGAGACTTTCTAGAAGGGAAGCAGGGAGACCCCAACCACAGAGGGTAAGACCTCAGAGGAGGTGGGGGGCTGGCCCGGGACCCCAGGCAGGGAGCCCCACCCTGGTACTCACGGCTTTCCCCCAGGGATGCTGGGTAGGGAGGAAGAGACGGATGACCCTCGGAGATGGGGATGAGACTCAAATGCCATCTGTGAGAATGCCAGGGGGGTGTCAGTGAGGCAGGTGACTCCAACCCACCTCTGTGCCACCCCACGCCCACCTGCCATACCCCTCTCTGTTTATCACCCCTCCCCAAGGCAGCAGAGATGCCTTCTCTCTGCCTGTCACACTACAGATGAGAGGGCTGAGGTTTTCACTTGAGCACACCGACACCAAAATCTCTATCCAGGAAATCCTAGAACTCCACGGTTCCAAGGATCCTGAAGGGTTCTCCATCCAATGCCCAGACTGGCTCTAGGCCAGGGTTCTGAAAACTCCAGCCCCTCCCAGGACAAATCTGGTCCACTGCCTGTTTTTGTAAACAGTGTCCCGAGGCCAAGGCCCTACTGCTCCTCTTCATGCAGCTTAATCGCTGTTGCGTTTTTCCACAATCAGAAGTCTTGCTTTGTATTAAGCTTGTGGGACTACTGAGACCCCCAGATTGTCTTCCCATGCATACTTGCTGAGCCAGGGCTCCCTTCCCTTTCTGCACTCCCTTGTCTCTCCTTGTGTAGTTGGTTTCTCCTCCCGGCCCCCAGCCCCTGGGCCCTGCTGACACCTCCTGCGCCCCCACCCAAGGACTCACCACGGGGGAGCGTCCGTACACCACAGAGCTGCTGACCTGGGGGGACAGGTGGAGGCTGACGTAGGAGCTGGGCACGGAGAGGTCTCCGTTGAGAGTGCTGTGGGAGCCCAGGCTGAAGGACGTGGTGAAGGGACTGGACAGAGTCAGGGGGCTCCTCAGGGCTGAGACGGAAGAGTCGGGGACAGGTTTTGACGCCCTGGACCCAGATCCCGCCTCCCACTGCCTTGGGAGCTCCCTGGCCTTTCATTTAGAGTTTCCATGTGCTGGTTCCACATTGGCCATAGCCTGGGACACCTCCAGACCTCTGCACTATCGTTCCTCCAGTGGACACGACTTTCTCTCTCTCTTTTTTTCTTTTGTTTGAGATGGAATCTTGCTCTGTCGCCAGGCTGGAGTTCAGTGGCGCGATCTCGGCTCACTGAAACCTCTGCCTCCTGGGTTCAAGCAATTCTGCTGCCTCAGCCTCCTGAGTAGCTGGGACTATGGCCATTCTCCTTCTTTTAATTGGCAAACTCCTATCCATCCTTCAAAACCCAGGCCCACCGAGCACAGTGGCTCACGCCTGTAATCCCAGCACTTTGGGAGGCCGAGGTGGGCGGATCACCTGAGGTCAGGAGTTCAAGACCAGCCTGACCAACATGGTGAAACCTGGTCTCTACTAAAAATACAAAAATTAGCTGGGCATGGTGGTGCATGCCCGTAATTCCAGCTACTCAGGAGGCTGGGGCAGGAGAATTGCTTGAACCTGGGAGCGGGAGGTTGCAGTGAGCTGAGATGGTGCCATTGCACTCCAGCCTGTGTAACAAGAGTGAAACTCCGTCTCAAAAAAAAAGGAAAAAAAAAAACAAAACCCAGGCCCAATGTCCATTAACATCTCAGAAACATCCTTGAGCCTCCCCATTGCCAACCTCCAGCCCTGCCCATCTTGGGTACCTGCCTTGGTACCAGCCCTGACTATACAGGGCTGTGAGTTTTGGGGTCTGGGTCCTGTCCCTTTTTGCCACCTGGGAGTTCCTTGAGGGCAGATTCCAAGGCCAGCTTCTTTCAGGGGCCCCAGAACCAGCCCAGGGCCTGACCATAAGGCAGAAAAGATGAGCACTGTCATTCCTCAGATTACTGATGGGGAAACTGAGGCTCAGAGAGGTTGGGTCACTTGCCCGAGGTCACCCAGCTGGTGAATGCCCAAGCCTGGTCTGAAACCCAAGTCTGTCTGGCCCCAAAGATTGTCTTTCCAGTGCACTAGGCTGAAACCCCCGACTAAGCCGCTTCCACTCTCCAGGCCTCAGTTTCCCTACCCGCCGAGCTGACACAATGAGGAACTGCCCAGAGGGAGGCAGCGTCTAACTTGAAGTCACAAAAAGGACCAAGGCAATGAACACCAAGCCTGGAATCCCAGCATTCTGCCTCTCCAGCCCCTTTTCCTAGATCTCCCCAGAGACGAGGCCTGCTCCAGACAGGCACCAACAGGCAAGGTGCTCACCGACGCTGTCCGTGGAAGGTGCTGGCTTGGCAGCAAGCTGGCAGAGGTGACTGGCCGAGCTGGGCCCGGGGGTGGAAGCGTCCTGGGGCGGGGAGGAGTCACAGGATTTGGAGGCAGGAGTGCTGGCGGGAAGGTCATTCTGCAGAGAAAGGGCAGGACTGAAGGCCACCAGGCACCTGGTGTCTTGTGGCCCAACGATCTGATCAGAAACTGGGGTTGGGGGCGGCCAGTCGCAGTGTCTCACACCTGTAATCCCAGCACTTTGGGAGGCCCAGTCGGGCGGATCACCTGAGGTCAGGAGTTCGAGACCAGCCTGGCCAACATGGTAAAACCCCATCTCTACTAAAAATACAAAAAAAGATTAGCCGGGCGTGGTGGCATGTGCCTGTGATCCCAGCTACTTGGGAGGCTGAGGCAGGAGAATGGCATGAACCCGGGAGACGGAGCTTGCAGTGAGCCGAGATCACGCCACTGCACTCCAGCCTGGGAGACAGAGCGACTCCATCTCAAAAAAAAAAAAAAAGACTCTGTCTCAAAACAACAACAGGCCAGGCGCAGTGGCTCACGCCTGTAATCCCACCACTTTGGGAGGCCGAGGCCGGTGGATCACTTGAGGTCAGGAGTTTGAGGCCAGCCTGGCGAACATGGTGAAAACCCCATCTCTACTAAAAATACAAAATTAGCTGGACGTGGTGGCGCATGCCTGTAATTCCAGCTACTTGGGAGGCTAAGGCAGGAGAATTGCTTGAACCCGGGAGGCAGAGGTTGCAGTGAGCCGAGATCACGCCATTGCACTCTAGCCTGGGCAACAAAAGCAAAACTCTACAAAAACAAAAAACAAAACAAAAAAAAGGCAACAAAGTTACAAAGTTATAGGCTGTCAAGATTTGCAATTCTTTTTTTTTTTAATACAGGGTCTTGCTCTCAAAACTAACATGATCAGACAGGCGCTGTGGCTCACGCCTGTAATCCCAGCACTTTAGGAGGCCAAGGTGGGCGGATCACCTGAGATCAGGAGATCTAGACCATCCTGGCTAACACAGTGAAACCTCGTCTCTACTAAAAATACAAAAAATTAGCCAGGCGTGGTGGCACGTGCCTGTAGTCCCAGCTACCCACTACCCGGGAGGCTGAGGCAGGAGAATCTCTTGAACCTGGGAGGCAGTGGTTGCAGTGAGCCAAGATTGCGCCACCACACTCCTCCCTGGGTGACAGAGCGAGACTCCATCTCCAAAACGAAAAACAAACAAAAGGCACGATCATAGCTCACTGCAGCCTCAACCTCCCATGCTCGAGTGATCCTCCCGACTGAGCCTCCCAAGTAGCTGGCACTACAGGCACACGACTCCATGCCCGGCTAACTTTTTAAATTTTTCATAGAGACAAGGTCTCACTATGTTGCCCAGGCTGGTCTCCAACTCCTGTTCTCGAGTGATCGTCCTGCCTTGGCCTCCCAAAGCCCTGGGATGACAGGGATGAGCCACAGCACCCAGCCACTGTTGAGATTCTTGAACAACAAGGAATTAGAAACTCCGGGATGGGCTCGTGGAGAGGCAGACCCCACAGCGGCATATTCCCAGGTGAAGGAAGAGTGCCTAGCACACACTGCAATCCTCCTTGAGCCCCCACAGAGAGGGAGGTGTCACCCAGAGCTGTCCCTCCCCAAGGAGAGCTCTGAGGAAAGCAGCAGCTGGACCTCCATCTAGGGGCAGGCTCTGTTATCTCGGCTTCATGTCATCGCCTCCCCTGCCTCCCCTGCCTCCCAAGAAACTTCGCATCCTTGTCTTGCGTCTGTCTCGGCTTCCCATGACACCATCGCACAAACAGTGACAGCCACGCAACACCGGCACCCGCGAGAGAGTGGATGGGACGACTGTGGGGTCAGGGAGGACCCCTGAGGGCTTCTCCAATACAACGGAGCTGACCCATCCCCTTGTAAGGTTTTTCCCGCAGTGGGAGGTGGGCACTTAAGATGGAATGGGAGCCCCAACCTCTGGCGGTTGCCATGGTAACCTGCCAGGAAGGGAGGCCTTGAAACCGGGAGGGGAGGCCTAGAAACCGACATACTCTTCCCTGGTAAGTGTAGGGGAGGGGTCTGGAGAAGATTTGGGGTGAGGGGAGCTGCAAAAGGAGCTGAATTTCTAATGCCCTGGGGGTGCTTTTAGATGGCTCACATGCCTGGCATTAAACTCCAGGAGGTCCAACTGAAAACTTGTTCCTATATTAATTATCTTTCCTTCCGGGGACAACATCTCAGCTTGGGGCCGGTGTGTCTCTAAGCGCCTCTGGAAGGGCTCAACACATGCAGGCCTGAGTCCAGCCTAGCTGGCTGGGCTTTCACTATGTTTATTTCCATGGGATTTCCTATTGATTGCAAGAGAGAGACCTGCTTTCCATGTAAGGTAGTGAATTGCCTTTTAAAATTTATCTACAAAGCTTCTTTACAAAGTTGCCTTTTAATATTTACTGAGGTTCAACAAAGTCAGTCCAAGCAGGAGGTTTAAAAAAAAAAGCACAGGGAAAGGGTGGACAATGCCAGCCCGGCTGGCTGATTTCTCATCACTGCCCTCTGCATCATGGGGTAGCGTCTGCTTCGGGGCCCCCGGGATGAATAAAGTGAGTTTCAAGGCCCTCCCCTCCTCCTTACCAGGATGAGCTCCTTGGCTCTAGGCAGCGGTGAGCCAAGGCTAGAGGCCAAGGAGGCTGGACTGTCCACCAGGTCCCGACGGGCAGGAATGCAGATGGGTACCTTTCCGCAGGGGGTGGTAGCCGGGCTGGGGGGCTCTGAGGGTTGGTCCTGGGTTTGAGGAGGTGACGTTGAGCAGAGTTGAAATGAGAGGGAAAGAAGAGTCCCTTCTCTATCCTCCTCCCGACTCCCACCCCAATCTCTAGAATGGGTACCCATGACCCACCATGGGAAGATTATGAAATCTTCTGCTGCCTCAGTTTACTCATCTGTAAAATGTATTTTTTTTTTTTTTGAGTCTCGCTCCGTTACCCAGGCTGGAGTAATGGCCCACTGCAACCTCCGCCTCCTGGGTTCAAGCGAGCACATCCAGCTAATTTTTTTGTATTTTTAGTAGAGACAAGGTTTCACCATGTTGGTCAGGCTGGTCTCAAACTCCTGACCTCAAGTGATCCATTCGCCTCAGCCTCCCAAAGTGCTGGGATCACAGGTGTGAGCCACCACGCCCGGCCTGTAAAATGGGTTTAATGATAGGCTCTACTCCATAAGCACCCATAGCGAGGACTATATAAAGGCTTGGTTTTATTTTCCCATTGAACAGATGGGGAAAAGTGAGGCCAGGGAAGGGGGTGTCACTGCCCACAAATCACTCAGTGAACCTGGGCTTGAAGTCACTCCCTGTGCAGTGGAGAGGAGGTCGGCCAGAGGTGTCCCGGAGTCCCTGACGCTTCCTGACCCCATCCCAGCTGTCCCACAGAGCGGGGAACCAGGATCCCCACTACCTCTGGGTCCTCCCAGTCCAGAAAACCCACCCCTTGCTCTGTGCCCAGAGTCGGGGAAGAGGCTGGACCCCTGGACTCACCTCGTCCACCACCAGATTGTAATCACTCTTGTCTTCGTCGCTTTCCTGGGGGAAGATGGGGGAGAGAGCTCATTGTGGTCATGCCCCTGCCTCCACACCCCCTATCCGCTCCTCAGGAGTTGGAGGCATGAGCCCAGCCAGCCCTGGGGCATGACTGGGATTCTCAGACCACTGCACCCGTTTGCTCATAGCAGAAGGGAAGGCTGCACGTGCCCGCATCCGGGAAGGATGTGGGGAGGCAGGGCAGGTGGGCACCTTGTGGAGAGGACTTTGAAGGATGTGGACTACATGAGTGCCCTGTGTGACTCCCGGCCCTCTCAGGCCTCAGTTTACCCCTCTGCATGGTGAGGGGAGAGCCAGAGACCAGCAATCATCCTTACCGCCTTCATAAAGACTCCGCCTTAATAAATAAATAAATAAAATTCATTGCCAAAGAAAATAAGACTCCACCTTAATAAATAAATAAATAAATAAATAAAATTCATTGCCAAAAAAAAAAAAAAAAAGCTATTAGGTAAAAAGGAAGATTTAAGGCTTCTCTGAGAAACAGCAATATTGGCCCACCCTGAGCCTGCCAGTCTCCGGGGATCAAGTTGCAGCTGCCCCTGTAGGTGGGAGAAGGGGCTCCCCAGCTGGCCACAGCCCCATTCCCCACATTCGGCCTGGCCCCTGGGATGCTAGAGTTGGAAACTACAAGTGTGCAGCCGTCTGGCAATGAGAGGAGGTCCCAGCCTCTAGGAGGTGGTCAGGGAAGGCTTCTTGTAGGAGGTGGCACTTTGTTTCTTGATAGAAAAATGGGTTTCTAAAACATGTGTGTTCTAGGGAAAGAAAACAGCTGGAGCAAAAGCTAGAGGGTGGGAAAATGGCTGTACGGCCAAGAGGCCGCAGAGACTTCAAGCAACTGGAGTTAAGCCTTGCATTACAGGATCTCCTCTGATTGGTCAGTACTCTGAGTAGTAGGGAGCTATGGGAGGCTCCGGAGTGAGAGAATTATGGCCAGAGCTGGGCTCTGGAAGGCTCTGAGGGGCCAGGCTGGTCTGGGCCATGCACGCCCATCCCAGTCCTGCACCTGCCCCCACTCACATAAGGTCCTGATGGCTCCTTCTCATCTGCTCTCTGCTTCCCGCCACCACCAGGGCCACTCGGTCGCTCCTCCTCCACGAGACTCTCAGGGGGCGAGGGAGATGCACTCTGCGGAGAGACAAAGGCCGGGGGGAGAAAGGGTCAGGGCCCTGGGCTCCTAGATTGCATTGTGATCCAGCCGAGACTGAGGGTCCCCCACCATTATTAGGGTCCGGACCTCAAGCTTCCCATCTGGGAAATGGGAGCTTCCAACGGCTGACTCAGTGCTAAGGTTTTGTTCTCTCTTCTGTTTTGTTTTGTTTTTGACGGAGTCTTGCTCTGCTGCCCAGGCTGGAGTGCAGTGGAGCCATCTCGGCCCACTGAGACCCCCGCCTCCCGGGTTCAAGCGATCCTCCTGCCTCAGCCTCCCCAGTAGCTGGGATTACAGGCGCCACCACCACGCCCAGCTAATTTTTGTATTTTTAATAGAGACAGGGTTTCGCCATGTTGGCCAGGCCTATCTCGAACTCCTGACCTCAGGTGATCCACCTGCCTCGGCCTCCCAAAGTGCTGGGATTACAGGCATGAGCCACCGCAACCAGCGCCTTACTTCTTCTGCAACCTCTCTGACATCTATAATTATTTCAAAATTAAACCATTTTGGCCGGGCGCAGTGGCTCACGCCTATAATCCCAGCACTTTGGGAGGCCGAGGCGGGCGGATCACAAGGTCAGGAGATTGAGACCATCCTGGCTAACACGGTGAAACCCCGTCTCTACTAAAAATACAAAAAAAAAAAAAAAAAAAAATTAGCCGGGCATGGTGGCGGGCACTTGTAGTCCCAGCTACTTGGGAGACTGAGGCAGGAGAATCACTTGAACCCAGGAGGCGGAGCTTACAGTGAGCCGAGATTGCACCACTGCGCTCCAGCCTGGGCGACAGGGCAAGACTCAGTCTCAAAAAAAAAAAAAAAAAATTAAACCATTTTTTGAAAAACTTACTGACACAGCTCACATGACATTTCTGTTGGGGAGCACCCACAGATATTGCTGAACGGCTGATGGCTAGGCGAACGGAAGTGAGGATGGGAAGAAGGGTCCAAGGTCATGCATTCATTTATTTAATTACCCGAAAAAAGCTGGAGGTTGAAATTTTTTTTTCTTTTGAGATGGAGTCTCGCTCTGTCGCCCAAGCTGGAGTGCAGTGGCGCAATCTCGGCTCACTGCAACCTCCGCCTCCCGGGTTCACGCCATTCTTCTGCCTCAGCCTCCAGAGTAGCTGGGATTACAGGCGCCCACCACCACACCCAGCTAATTTTGTATTTTTAGTAGAGATATGGTTTCGCCATGTTGGCCAAGCTGGTCTCGAACTCCTGACCTCAAGTGATCCACCCACCTTGGCCTCCCAAAGTACTGGGGTTTTAAACACTACAGCCTTCTGGGTATCTCCCACACAGAAAGGCTTCAGGAAACCGGGCTATGGATCTTGTTTTTTTATTGTTGTGGTTGCTGTTGTTTGTTTTTTGAGACAGAGTCTCATACTGTCGCACAGGCTGGAGTGCGGTGGTGCAATCTCGGCTCACTGCAACCTCTGTCTCCCAGGTCCAAGTGATTCTCCTGCCTTGACCTCCCGAGTAGCTGGGATTACAGGCACCCGCCGCCACGTTTGGCTAATTTTTGAATTTTTAGTAGAGACAGGGTTTTGCCATGTTGGCCAGGCTGCTTTTGAACTCCTGGCCTCAAGTGATCTGCCCACCTTGGCCTCCCAAAGTGCTGGGATTACAGGCACGCACCTGGCCTGGTTTTTTTTTTTCTTTCTTTCTTTTTTTTTTTTTTTTGAGACAGGGTCTTACTCTGTCACCCAGGTTGGAGTGCAGTGGCACGATCACAGCTCCCTTCAGCCTTGGCCTTCTGGGCTCAAGTGATCCTCCCACCTCAGGCTCCCGAGTAGCTGACACAACAGGCATGGACCACCACACCCAGCCAACTTTTTGTATTTTTCTGTAGAGACGGGGTTTTGCCATGTTGCTCAGCTGGTCTCAAACTCCTGGCCTCAAATGATTCTCCTACCTCTGCCTACCAAAGTGCTGGGATCAAAGGCGTGAGCCACCATGATCGACCTAGGTCTCATTCTGAGGCCCCCATCAGCTCAGAACCAGCGTTGGCCTCCCAAGAATATAAAAAGAGTCCCAGGGTGCCACTCACTTACCCTGCTCGGGGCTCTCTCCACTGACAGATTGGGAATGGGATAAAGAGAAAGAAGGAGAAAGAATGAGGCGTTTGTATCCACGGCGCCAGAGGGTACAGCCCTCCAGTTTATAAAGCCCCCCGCCCCCACCACCCCACTCAGAGTCTCTCTACCCTTCCAACACCCTTGCAAGTGGTGGATTATCCCTCCCCTGCATTCAGATCAATGCCCAGAGAGGGATAGTGACTTGCCTCAAGACACACAGCCCATTGGGGGTGATGTTGAACCCCAGGGCCTTGCAGCCGCTCTCATTGATCCCCTCACACTTTACGAGTTGGGGTCTTGCTCTGTTGCCCAGGCTGGAGTGCAGTGGCCCAGTCACAGTTCACTGCAGCCTCGAGTTCCCGGGCTCAAGTGATTGTCCCATCTCAGCCTCCCGAGTAGCTGGGACTCCAGGGGCATGCCACCATGCTTGGCATTTATTTATTTATTTATTTATTTATGAATGAGACAGAGTCTCACTCTGTCGCCCAGGCTGGACTTGGCTCACTGCAACCTCTGCCTCCCAGGTTCAAGCAATTCTCTTGCCTCAGCCTCCCGAGTAGCTCAGATTACAGGCACCCACCACCATGCCCAGCTAATTTTTGTATTTTTAGTAGAGACAAGGTTTCACCACGTTGACCAGGCTGGTCTCAAACTCCTGACCTCAGGTGATCTGCCCGCCTCGGTCTCCCAGAGTGCTGGGATTACAGGCGTGAACCACCGTGCCTGGCTATCTATTTTTATTTATTTATTTATTTATTTTAATTTTTTTGAGACAGAGTCTCACTCTCTCACTCAGGCTGGAGTACAGTGGCACAATCTTGGCTCACTGCAACCTCCGCCTCCCAGGTTCAAGCGATTCTCCTGCCTCAGCCTCCCGAGTAGCTGAGATTACAGGCACCCGCCACCACTCCTGCCTAATTTTTTTTGTATTTTTAGTAGAGATGGGGTTTTCCCATGTTGGCCAGGCTGCTCTCGAACTCCTGGCCTCAGGTGATCCAGCCACCTCGGCCTCCCAAAGTGCTGGGATTACAGGCATAAGCCACCATGCCCAGCCTGTGCTTGACTAATTTTTAAATTTTTCATAGAGATGGCGTCTTGCTATGTTGCTTGGGCTGGCCTCTAACTCCCGGCCTCAAGTGATCCTCCTGCCTCGGCCTCCTAAGTACCTGGGAATACAGGTGTGCACCATCCCACCCAGCAAATTTTTAAATTTTTGTAGAGACGGGGTCTCGCTCTGTTGCCCAGGCTGGTCATGAACTCCTGGGCTCAAGCGATCCTCCCGCCTCGGCCTCCCAAATTGTTGGGATTATAGGCATGAGCCACTTCATCCCCTCACGCTGATGTTTGCTACCCTGGACTGCCAGTCGTCCTCCCCAGCCCCGTCTCCCCAGCCAATGCCACCCCGTGCTGCCCACTCACCTCTGGACCCCTCGGCCTCCACGCCCGCACGGTCCTCCTTGACAGCCGCCGCCAGCTGAGCCTGGGCAGCCAGGGCTCCAGACAGAGCAAGCAGCCCCGTAGCACTGCCGCCCACCAGCCCGGCTGGGCGGGGGGTGAGGGGCACAGGGGGTGCGTGGTGGGACAGCGGCTGGAGCTGCTGCTGCTAGAAAGGAGGCAGGATGGGCCGGGGCGGGGGGCGGCAGGAGCCCAGCGGTCCCCAGCCCAAGAGGTAGACACAGGGGATGGGACCTAAGCACAGCATGTGCCCCTGGGGTTCCCAGGACCACTGGAGCCAAGGCCCACACACCACCCCAGCTTTAACACCTCCTGGGTGGGTGCCAGGGACCTGGGAGTGGGCGTCTCCCCATGGCGGGGCAGGGGCTAGAGAGACTCACCCCGATGAGGCTGTTCAGCTCCCCCACGGTGACCTGCTTGGCGCGTTCTACGGCCTGGAGCACCTGCTGCTGATGCTGGCGGGTGGAAGGGATCAGGTAGAGGGTACATTGAGCCCCTGCTCATGCTAGCGGTGCCCTTGGGGACCTGACCTCTCCCCGCCACCCTCTCATCTTTGCCCCGGTACTTCCCATTTCTCTTTTATCTTTTTCCCTCTCACTCTCTCCCTTTCCTTTTGGAATTTTGAAATAAGCACACGGAGAAAGAAACCAAACCTAAGTGCAGGTAGAATAGTTACAAATCAGGCCGGGCATGGTGGCTCACGCCTGGAATCCCAGCGCTTTGGAAGGCTGAGGTGGGCAGATCACCTGAGGCCAGGAGTTCGAGACCAGCCTGGCCAACATGGTGAAACACCTGTAATCCCAGCTACTCAGGAGGCTGAGGCAGGAGAATCGCTTGAACCCGGGAGGTGGAGGTTGCAGTGAGCCGAGATCGTGCCAATGCATTCCAGCCTGGGTGACAGAGCGAGACTCTGTCTCAAGAAAAAATATATATATATTACAAATCACAGTCTCTCCTTTGGAGCATCGAAGAACCAAAGACATCTGGGGCTGGATTGTTCTCTGGGGCGGGGCTGTTCCAGGCACTACAAGGAGCCGAGCAGCATCCCTGGCCTCCACCCACTCCATGCCAGGGGCACCCCCAGTTGTGACAACCACAGACGTCTCCTGGTGGTAAAACTACCCCCAAGAAAAAAAAAACACTGTGATAAATCGGCACCATGGACCCTTCTCCTAGGTTAAGGAACAGAAAGTACCAGACTCCAGGGGCCCCCTACACTCCCTGCCATCAGAACACCCTCCCTCCTCCACCTTCATGACAATAATTTCTTTGTTTTTCTGTATAATTCTGCCTCCTACGATCGCCTTCCTAAACCTGCGTGGATTTGTCCGTTTTCAACTACGTTGTGGGCTCATTCTCTGAGTTCTCTTTGGCATCTGGCCTCTCAGCATAACATTTTAAGCTTCTTCCATGATGTGGTGGGTGGCGGCAGCATATTCAGCTTTCAGAGCTGTGGGACTCTGCTGCGAGAAAATGTTATATCTGAGCCGGGCGCGGCGGCTCATGCCTGTAATCACAGCACTTTGGGAGGCCAAGGCAGGTGGATCACTTGAGGTCAGGAGTTCAAGACCAGCCTGGCCAACATGGTGAAACCCTATCTCTACTAAAAATACAAAAAAAATTAGCCAGACGTGGCGGCGGGTGCCTATAATACCAGCTACTCGTGAGGCTGACACAGGAGAATCACTTGAACCCAAGAGGCACAGGTTGCAGTGAGCCAAGATTGCACCACTGCACTCCAGCCTGGGAGACAGAGTGAGACCCAGTCTCAAAAAAAAAAAAAAAAAAAAAAAAAAGGGGGGGGGGTGCTGAGCGTGGTGACTCACACCTGTAATCCCAGCACTTTGGGAGGCTGAGGCAGGTGGATCACGAGATCAGGAGTTCGAGACCAACCTGACCAAGATGGTGAAACCCCATCTCTACTAAAAATACAAAAATTAGTCAGGCATGGTGGCATGCACCTGTAATCCCAGCTACTCGGGAGGCTGGGGCAGGAGAAACACTTGAACCCGGGAGTTAGAGATTGCAGTGAGCCAAGATCGTGCCATGCACTCCCGCCTGGGTGACAGAGCGAGACTCAGTCTCAAAAAAAAAAGAAAGAAAGAAAATGTTGTATTTTTGCTGTTCCACACAGAAGCCACTGGCCATGTGTGTGGCCACCAGGCATTTGACATGTGGCTGGTGCAACTGATGAATAGAATGATTAATTTTATTAAATTTAAGTGAATACAAGTTTAAATATAAAATAAATTTAATAGGCTTATTTTTATTTTTACTTTTTTGAGACGTAGTCTCACTCTGTTGCCCAGGCTGGAGTGCAATGGCATGCTCTTGGCTCACTGCAACCTCCGCCTCCCAGGTTCAAACAATTCTCCTGCCTCAGCCTCCCAAGTAGGTGAGATTACAGGTGCGCACCACCACACCCAACTAATTTTCATACTTTTAGTAGAGACGGGGTTTCACCATGTTGACCAGGCTGGTCTTGAACTCCTGATCTCAAGTGATTTGCCCCCCTCAGCCTCCCAAAGTGCTGGTATTACAGGTGTGAGCCACTGCGCCCAGCCTAAATATAAATTTAAATATAAAATTAACTTAATAGATTTCAGGTCGGGCGCAGTGGCTCATGCCTGTAATCCCAGTACTTTAGGATGCTGGAGTGGGAGGATTACGCTAGTCCAGGAGTTTGAGACCAGCCTGGGCAACATGGTGAGACTCCCTCTCTGTTACATTATACATATATACTTATTTAAGCCGGAGTCTCACTCTGTCGCACAGGCTGGAATGCAGTGGCGTGATCTCGGTTCACGCTAACCTCCGCCTCCCAGGTTCAAGCAATTCTCCTGCCTCAGCCTCCCGAGTAGCTGGGATTACAGGCACCTGCCACCACACCCAGCTAATTTTTGTAAAAAAAAATTTTTTTAGGCCAGGTGCGGTGGCTCACGCGTGTAATCCCAGCATTTTGGGAGGCCGAGCCAGATGGATCACCTGAGGTCAGTAGTTCAAGACCAGCCTGGCCAACATGGTGAAACCACCCCCCCACCCCATCTACAAAAATACAAAAACTAGCCGGCATGATGGTGGGTGCCTGTAATCCCAACTACTCGGGAGGCTGAGGTGGAAGAATCGCTTGAACCCAGGAGGCAGAGATTGCAGTGAGCTGAGATCGTGCCATTGCACTCCAGCCCGGGCGACAGAGCAAGACTCTGTCTCAAAAAAAAAAAAAATTTTTTTAAGGAAAAAAATAATAGATTTAAATATTATTAATAGTTAACCTAAGTGTAAATGATCACACGGGGCTGGTGACTGCCGTGTAGGATAGCGGAACAGTAGTATATTCCACTGTATGCACTCTGAGGCTGCTTGTGTATACACGCTCCTGAAGACAGACATCTGGGCTGTCTCCACCAAGGAGGTATCAGGATGCGGATACAGAGCTCCCATGGGGGTGCACCTGTGTGTGGGTGTGTGTAGGATGGGTTGGAAGACTTTCTAGAAAGGGCCAGAGAGTGAAAACATTTTCCCTCTGCAGGCCAGAGGTCTCTGTTGCAACTACCAAACTCTGTCACTGTAATGGGAAAGCTGCTGGAAATGATATGTACATGAGTGGGCGTGGCTATGTCAATAAAACTTTATTTGCAAAAACAAGTGGAGGGGTGGAGCTGGCCCTCGAGCTGCAGTTTGCTAATTCCTGGAAATGTGTGCCTTACTCATTCCTTTCAACAGTCATTTTACCTAATCTTTTTTTTTTTTTTTTGAGACAGAATCTCGCTGTGTTGCCCAGGCTGGAGTGCAATGGTGCGAACTCGGCTCACTGCAACCTCCACCCCCCGGGTTCAAGCAATTCTCCTGCCTCAGCCTCCCGAGTAGCTGGGACTAGCCCAGCTAATTTTTGTATTTTTAGTAGAAATGAGGTTTCACCATACTGGCCAGGTGGGTCTCAAACTCCTGACCTCATGACCCGCACGCCTTGGCCTCCCAAAGTGCTGGGATTACAGGCGTGAGCCACTGGGCTCGGCCTACCTAAACTTCTTGCGGCTCTTGCCTTTCTCTAGACCACCTCGTCCCCACTTTCCGCTGCAGATGCTCTTTATGTTCTGTGTCTACACAGGACCTCTCCCCACCCCAAGCTTCCAGAAATCTCAGACTCAGTGGAATCTGAACAAACTGAGCATCTCCCCTCTGGGTTTGGTCCTCAAGGCATCAAGGATCCTCCCAGTGTATCCACTCTGAAGTAGAACTATCTTTCACGTCTCTCTGAAGAGAGAACGTACCACACAGAAACAGGGACAGTGCAGGCTGGGTACAGTGGCTCACACCTGTAAACCCAACACTCGGAGCCTGACACGGGCGGATTGCTTGAGTCCGGGGGTTCGAGACCAGCCCGGGCAACATAGGGAGACCCGTCTCTACTAAAAATACAAAAATTAGCCGGGCGTGGTGGTGCACGCCTGTAATCCCAGCTACTCAGGAGGCTGAGGCATGAGAATCGCTTGCACCCAGGAGGTGGAGGTTGCAGTCAGCCAAGATCATGCCACTGCACTCCAGCCTGGGTAACAGAGCAAGAATCCATCACACACACACACACACACAAAAGAAAAGAAAAAGAAAAAAGAAACAGGGACTGTGCAAAGGTACTGAGGATGAAAGGAACCTGGGGCACTCTCAGAAGAGCTAACTTTTTTTTTTTTTTTTTTTGAGATGGAGTCTAACTCTCTCACCCAGGCTGGAGTGCAGCGGCGCAATCTCTGCTCACTGCAACCCCCGCCTCCTGAGTTCAAGCAATTCTATTCTCCTGCCTCAGCCTCCCGAGTAGCTGGGATTACAGGCAAACACCACCATGCCCGGCTAATTTTTTTTTTTAAGTTTTAGCAGAGACAGGGTTTCACCATGTTGGACAGGCTGGTCTCGAACTCCTGACCTCTGGTGATCCACCTGCCTCAGCCTCCCAAAATGCTGGGATTACAGGCAGGAGCCACCGCACCTGGCCGAATTACAGTCCATTTTAACCATTTGTAAGTGCACAGCTCAGCAGCATAAAGCACACACACGGTTGTGCAGCCATCCCCAGCACCATCTCCAGAATTTTCCCATCTTCCCAAACTGAATTTCTGTCCCCATAAAACTCTCACTCCCCGTCCCCTCCCCAACCCCTGGCACCCCCCATTCTGCTTTCTGTCTCAGTGAACCTGACGACCCTGGGACCTCCTAGGAGTGGATCACCCAGTGTTTGTCCCTCAGTGACTTCTTCTAGCAAGACGGTAGGGTTAACTTTCATCAGGTGCTGAGTAAGCGTACCCATCATCTCCAGCACCCTGGGTGTATGAGCTCATCTCAACTTCACACCTACGCTACTGAAAAAACAGAGACAAGTGTCCTGCCTGAGGCCACACAGCCAGGATTCAGACCCAGGCAGCCAACTTGCAGGGCTTGAGGGGGTCAGCTCTATGCCTTGCTTCCCATCAAGGGGGAAAACAGCCCCCAGTCCTCACCCTCAGCCAACACCTCCCTCCATCCCTGCAGCCCCTGCCCCAGCGGGATGCCTGGCCTCAGGGCTGCGGGACTACTGCAGTGAAAATGGTCTCTATCCGTGCTGCAGGCTACGCGGCAGAATCAGTGCCTGGGGCGTCCTCGCCCAGACCTACCCCCTCCCGTCTTCTTCCGGCTCCCTTCCCCTCCTCCCCCCACCCCCAGGCCCACTCACCTCCTGGGTCAGGAAGGGGATAATCTGAGCGCAGATACCGCTCAGACGCTTCACAATCTCCGCCTGGCAGGAAGCAATGAGAGGAAGCTTGGAGCGGGGTAGAGATTTGCAACCCAGCTCTGGACTCCCAGGCGGACCAGGTGTTGGCAAAGCCGAAGGGTTGGGGAGGTGACGCCCGCAGGTGCACAGAGGGAACTCAGGCTAGCATGGCATGGGCCGAGGTGGGATTCAGAGCCCCACCAGGCTGCGTGCTCAGCTGAGCGAGGCCCAGGGTGGCCTGGAGCTGGGAAGACCAGGGCTGAGGTCCTACGAGTCACAGATACACCACCCGCCAGACGCACACCCGCCAGGGATTTGCAGGAGGCAGACGCTCAGACACCCAACTCAGACGCAGACACTCAGAGGTGCTGGGCTCAGCTGAAACAAAGGAAAGGGGCCTCCGCCTGGAGTCCCAGATTCCAGCCCCGGCTTGGCCCACGTCTGTCCCAGGCAAGGCCCCTTTCTTGGTCTCCTCCGCTTCCCAGGACTGATCTACCAGCTGGGGATGCCTCCAGGTGGAGATCTCAGCACGCCACACTCAAGGGAAGGATTTCATCTGGAGAGGGTCTGGGCCCAGGTGCCCCAAAGAGGCTGAGCAGACGAGAAGGCGTGTGGGTGGGGAAGGGGGCGGGCATACAATGGCCACGGACTTTGCCTCTGCCTGAGTTACAGGTGTGCTGTGTGTCTGGCGAAGTCTGTGTCTCCTATTCCCACCAGGAGGGTGGAACTGGGATCCCAGGGTGTCCCGCACCCCATAAAGGGGGGTCTATTGCGTGGACCCATGGGACCACGCCATGCTTCAGCAGACAAGCCCCCTCCTGCCCACATCAGAACCAACAGAACCCCCACACATGCAGGAAAGCATGCCAGGGTGGGCAACCCCAGGCACCCCACACTCCCAGCCCACCCCCTTCTCCTTCCCAGCCACCGGGAAGTCCCAATACAAGGTTCTGCTCATTGATTCTAATATTCTGATAGAATCTAGGAGCCCATGAAGCTCAGAAGTTTGGGACCCCTCTCATCCCTTTAGAAACCACTGGCCAGTCTCAGGATCTCAGGATTAAGCATGGACCACTAAAGTCAATTTTAGAATCTTTGGGTCTATTGGCCGGGCAAGGTGGCTCACTCCTGTAATCCCAGCACTTTGGGAGGCCGAGGCAGGTGGATCACCTGAGGTCAGGAGTTCAAGACCAGCCTGGCCAACATGGAGAAACCCCGTCTCTACTAAAAATACAAAATATTAGCCAGGCATGGTAGCAGGCGCCTGTAATCCCAGCTCCTCGGGAGGCTGAGGCAGGAGAGGCGCTTGCACTCAGGAGGCAGAGGTTGCAGTGAGCCAAGATCAGGTCATTGCACTCCAGCCTGGGCAACAAGAGTGAAACTTTGTCTCAAAATTTAAAAAAAAAAAAAAAAAAAAAAAATCTTTAGGTCTATCTCAGAACCTTGAGATCAGAAGTTCGGGAATAGCCTCAGAACCTTTTAACACATCTCAGCACATAGATATGATAATCGCAGAACCCTGAGGTCTATCTCTGAACCCTGAGGTCAATCTCAGAACCCTGAGGTCTATCTCTGAACCCTGTCTATCTCAGAACCCTGAGGTCTATCTCTGAACCCTGATGTCTATCTCAGAACCCTGAGGTCTATCTCTGAACCTTGAGATCACAAGTTCAGGAACACCTCAGAACCTTTTAACACATCTCAGTACACAGATAGGACAATCTCAGAACCCTGAGGTTTATCTCTGACCCTTGAGGTCTATCTCTGAACCCTGAGGTCTATCTCAGAACCTTGAGGTCTATCTCAGAACTCTGAGGTCTATCTCTGACCCTTGAGGTCTATCTCTGAACCCTGAGGTCTATCTCAGGACCTTGAGGTCTATCTCAGAACCCTGAGGTCAATTTCAGAAATTTGAGGTCTATCTCAGAACCCTGAGGTCAATCTCAGAGCCCTGAGGTCTATCTCAGAACCTTGAGGTCTATCTCAGAAAACTGAGGTCAATCTCAGAACCGTGAGGTCTATCTCAGAACACTGAGGTCAATCTCAGAACCCTGAGGTCTATCTCTGAACCTTGAGGTCAATCTCAGAACCCTGAGGTCTATTTCAGAACCCTGAAGTCTGTCTCAGAACCTTGGATCACACTGAGAAGCTCCAGAAGAGGCTCAGAGCCTTACGACACTGGAGTCAATCTCAAAGCCCTGAAGACAGCCACAGAGTTTTGAGGTCTATTTTGGAGTAGTGGGGTCACAGTCTGAACCATGGCATCAAATTCAGGGCCTGGAGAACAATCTTGGAACCTTCCAGCCAATCACACTGAGACCAATCTCAGAAGCTTCAAAGCAGCAACAGAACCTGGGGTCCATCTCAAAACTTCAGACTTTCTGGGTTGAAAGGGACCTCTAAGAGTGGCCATCCAGCTCCCTCCTAGGACAGAAGTCACTTCCACAGCCTCCCTGGCCTGGCTGCCCTGCCTCTGCTATGTGCCCTCCTTGATGGGGATGCCTGGTGGCCCCTGCCCACTGCCTGCATCTCTGCTGGACGCTCCAACTGCTAGATACTGTCTTCAGAAGGTGGGACTCATTTTCCTTCCACGAGGCTGAAATCTGTCTTCCTGGTCCCAGATGGGCCCTCTGTGACCTCTGCGGAGATTTCAGGATGAGACCCGTGTTCCCTAGGTCTGCTCTGGCCCCGGCTGCCCACTCTGGGTCCTTCTCAGGGCTTCCAGACCCCCACCCTCCCTCCTGAACACGCGTAACCCCAACCCAGTTACCTGCTTATGCATTTCAATGTTGAGCCCGTACGACATCTCATAATACTGCAAAGGAAAAACCAAGTAAGAACGTCTAGGGTGGAGATGGGTGCCCTCCTCCAGATAGGTGATGCCAGGGTCTTCCAAGAGTCCCCAGGTTCAGGGGAATCACAGCAGGAAGCAGAGCCCCCCCCAGCTCCACGGGGTCCCAGAGGAGGAAGCGGGGGCTCTGCCTGGAAGGGCCCCCTCTACTCTCCCCAGAGAGGCAGGGCAGGTAGGAAGTGTCCAGAGGCCCTGGCCCGACAGAGACTCCCATCAGGCGAGGGGTCCTCCCTGTCTCCCCATTCCCAGAGCTGGGAGGACCCTCCTAGAGAGCCTGAAATCCCAACCTGCCCAATGTACAGACGGGGAAGACGAGGTTCGGAGTGGGGCAGGGACCTACCCCAGAGTCCACCGTGACTCAAAGCCCTGCCCGCCTCTCCCCTCACCCTGGCATCATAAGTGCCCTCACCATGACATAATGTCGCTGCATTTCCGTCTTCTCGCTGGCCAGCTTCTCACATTCTAGCTTGAGGCTGAGAAGAAGAGAGAGGGCAAGGGGCTCCCACCCGCCCCATGTGGGCCGGCTTCCAAAGTGAGAGGCTGGATCTCCCCCTCCCGACTTCCTTACAGACCTCCCCCCACCTCCTGTCCCAGTCCCTCCCCGCCCCTTCCTGGGCTCCAAATGCCCCAGCTCTGACTGTCCCCAGACCCCTCTGCACCTGCGCTTCCACCTGGAGGCCTTTGTCGCGCCCCCCCTCCAACCGGGAGCCCCTCCTCCCCGCCCTATACCCCGGAGGCCTCGCCCCGCCCCGGCGCCCAGGTGAACTCCCGCGGCCCCTGGGGCGGCCCCCCTCACCTGTGGTATTGAGCCTGAAGAAACTGGAATTCTTCTTTGATGCGGTCGCAGATCTCCAAGATCGAGAACTTGAAGGGCTGGCCGGACTGGAGCGGGGTCTGGGGGGGGTGTGGGGGAAACGTCAGGGTCTGAGTTCCCGGACACTGGGGGCCCCCTCCCCGCAGTCCGCACTCACCGGGTGCCTTCCCTGGGGGTACATCCTGCCGATCCGAAAAGCCCCCCAGGCGCCACCAGAGCTTGATGATATGGAGGCGGCAAGAGTGGGGGAGGCTGAAGTGGGGTGGTGGGGAGGCTGCCCGAAGAAAGAGGGAGGAGGGAGAAGCGGCGCGGGGCAAGGGACCCTGGAGTCCCTGGCGCGCCCCCAAGCGCGCGCGCCCGGGGTCGTGGGAGCCCCTCCCCGGGTTGGGGTGCGCGGGGCGAGCGGGGCGGGCAGGGGCAGCGGCCGGGGCGGGAGCGCGGCGAGGGCGGCCGCGGCAGCCGGCGCAGAAGGTCGGGCGCGCCGCGGCCGGGTTTCGGTGGCGGCGGCGCGGGCGGCGGGCCCCGCGCGGAGCCGCCTCCCTCCGGCGGGGCTCGGCCGGGAGCCGCGGGCTGAGCCGCCTTAAGGTGGCGCCGCCGCCCCCACGCGCCCGCGGCCCGCCCCGCGCCCACCCCCGCGCACCGCCCCTCCCCGCGCCCGCGCCCCCCCCGGCCCCCGGGCACCCGCCCCCTTCCTTCAGTCCCTGGGCCGTTGGGGAAACTGAGGCCGGGTGGGGAGGCGCCCAGTGCCTTAAAACAGGGTCCCCACCCCCTCCCGGAGGGGCGGGAGAAGAAAAACCAGTGAAGAAATTCACACCGTGTTACCCACCGTGGGAGCGGGGGGGGGGGCTTGCGGGGAGCGGGGACCAGTCTGGAGTCGGAAATGGCTTTTCTGAGCAAGTGACATTGGGTTGAGATTGAAGGGTCAGCAGGACGCAGCCTTGCCAAGCGCTGGCAGGGAACCCTGCCAGAAAGGGAATCTCACAGCAAACACTGCTTCCCAGATCATGCCGGGCCCTCGCCCTCTGGGGGCCTCAGTAGTCTCTGCAAAAGGTCAGGGGTGGTGCGCTATCTTTAGGGTTTAATTTTTTGCAGAGATAGGGTCTCCCTGTGTTGCCCAGGCTGGAGTACAGTGGGGCAATCATGGCTCACTGCAGCCTCGAACTCCTGGGCTCAAGCGATCCTTCCCCCTCAGCTTCTCCAGTAGCTGGGACTACAGGTGTGCACCACCACGCCCAGCTAATTTTTTAATTTTTTGCAGAGATGGAGTAGGGGGGCGTCTCACTATGTTGCCCAGGCTGGTCTTGAACTCCTGGACTCAAGCCTCTCTCTTCGGCCTTCCAAAGTGCTGGGATTACGGGCGGGAGCCACCGCACTGGGCACTGCACTTAAATGAGATAGTGCATGAACGCTGTCAGCCTCTCCCTACACAGAGCAAACTTCCACAGATGGGAATTGTGTTCCTACTGCCATCACCAGTGGACTGGGCTGTCTCCCCTCTCAGACTGGGTTTCTTGAAGGCAGGAGCCGTGTCCCACTCAGAACTGGAAGAACCACAGCTCTGCCATCAGACTCAAGTCTCTCCCACGGCAAAGGCTCCAGCCCCGACCAGAGACCACAGACATCCAGCCAGCATCCTTCAGGCCCACCCGGGGAGTGGGAAGTTCTTATTCTCTTTGGAGAAACCTCAGGAGAGGTTTGTGAAGTCAATCAACAAACGTGTACTAAATGCATACTGTGGACCACACACTGCTGTAGACACTGGGGCACAGCTGGGAACAAAACAGAGAAAAATCCATGCCCCTTGATGACACTTGGACTTGTGTCCTTAGGTGATCGAGTACCTAATGGTACCTAAGGGTTAGGGTTACAAAAACCCATTTTGTACCCTTACAAAAGGGCACAAGAGCCCTTATCAATGGGCCAGGGGTGGTGGGTCATGCCTGTAGCTCCAGCACTTTGGGAAGCTGAGGAGGGAGGATCGCTTGAGCCCAGGAGTTCAAGACCAGTGTGGACAACACCGCGACAATACAAAAAAACATTTTTGTGTTTTTTGTATCTCTACAAAAAATACAAAAATAATTAGCCAGGCATGGTGATGCACACCTGTGGTCCCGGCTACTTGGGGGGCTGAGGCGGGAGATACCTGAGCCCCAGAAGGTCAAGGCTGCACTGAGTTGAGATCACATCACTGCACTCCAGCCTGGGTGACAGAGCAGGACCTTGTCTCAAAAAAAAAAAAAAAAAGCCCTTATCAAATTTAAAGCCATCGTTTTCCAGCCCACAGATATTTACAGAGCACCTATGACGTGTCAGGCATCCTTCCAGGCACAGGGATTGTAAGGGTGGATAAGGGAGACAGATCCCTGCCCTCTCTGAGTTTGTGGGATGTGAGTGACAGGCTAGGCAGGTTCACAGCTTGGTAATTATGGGACTATTTGTACAGACAGAGGAAGAGTTTAGAGGGCAGTGATAGAGATGAACAAAAGCAAACCTGCTTATGTGGGGTGTCTGGGAGAGGACCCTTGGGGGAGGGTAGCCTTGGAGATGAGACCTGAACGATGAGGTTGGGCAGCTCTGGGAAGGGAGGAAAAGAGACACAGCCTGGGATAAAGATACAATTGTGTGTGTGTGTGTGTGTGTGTGTGTGTGTGTGTGTGTGTGTGTAGTACTCACTAGCTCCCTATTGCCCTCAAAATAAATCCAAACTCATCTCTCTTCCCACAAGGCTCTTCACAAAACTCTTCCCCTTTTCCCCTTCACCATCTCTTTATGTTTTGTTTATTGTTTATAGAGACAAGGTCTCACTGTGTTGCCCAGGCTGGTCTTGCATTCCTGGGCTCAATCGATCCTCCCACCTCGGCCTCCCAAAGCACTGAGATTACAGGCATGAGCCACTGCACCCGGCCAGCCAGCTTCATGATCTCAACTCCGGTCATTTTCGCCCTCACTCACTCTGCCCAAGTCACACTGGCCTCACACCAGGCACAGTCCAGCCTCAGGGCCATTGCACTTTCTGTTCCCTGTACCTGGAATGCTTTTCCCTTGCTTCTTATCATTCAAGTCTCAGCTCAAAAGCTACCTCCTCAGAACGGCCCCTCCTAGCCACCCATTTCAACAGCTTCTGCCCACCCCGTTATTTTCACACTCTCCATCCTATTCTCCCTCTCTTCCCAGCTCCTACCATAGTGTGTGGCTTTTTGTTTGTTTTTGTTTTTGTTTTTTGAGACGGAGTCTTGCTCTGCTGCCCAGGCTGGAGTGCAGTGGCGCGATCTCGGCTCACTGCTGCAACCTATGCCTCCCGGGTTCAAGCGATTCTCCTGCCTCGGCCTCTGGAGTAGCTGGTATTACAGGCTCCCGCCGCCATGCCCAGCTAATTTTTTTTGTATTATTAGTAGAGACGGATTCACCATGTTGGCCGGGCTGGTCTTGAATTCCTGACCTCAGGTGATCCACCTGCCTCGGCCTCTCAAAGTGCTGGGATTACAGGCGTGAGCTACCATGCCTGGCCTTCGGTTTTTTTGTTTTTGTTTGTTTTGAGACGGAGTCTCATTCTGTCGCTGGAGTGCAGTGGCGTGATCTCGGCTCACTGCTGCAACCTCTGCCTTCTGGGCTCAGGTGATTCTCCTGCCTCAGCCTCCCGAATAGCTGGGATTACAGGTGCCCACCACCACGCCTGGCTAATTTTTATGTTTTTAGTAGAGACCGGCTTTCGCTATGTTGGCCAGGCTGGTCGCAAACTCCTGACCTCAGATGATCCACCCTCCTTGGCCTCCCAAAGTGCTGCGATTACAGGCTTGAGCCACCGTGCCCAGCCCACAGTGTGTTTTGGATGTGAGTATGTTTACTCGGAGGTTGTTCGCGTCCTTGTTTGTCTCCCTCACCACGAAGAAGGCTGTGGAGGGACTGAGCCTGTCTAGGTCTCTGCGGGGCCTGGCACACAGTAAGTGCTCAATAACCAGCCTAAAGCCAGAAACCGCCGGCCACACTCCCTGCTTGGAAATTCTCACAAACAGGGAGCGCCATCATTCTACGCTGTCAAGAGTCCGTGATTCCAGGTTCTTGGGGGTCTGTGAAGTGCTGATTCCAAACCCTTTCCGGCAGGTGTTTCACTGCTCCTGGGAGGCCAACATCTCCCCTGCCTGGACCTTGAGCATACATGGTAGCCTCTGTCCTCATTGTCTGCAACTGTCCACCCCACATCTTCCTTCTTGTTGGTTGTTTTTTTTTTTTGACGGAGTCATGCTCTGTCGTCCAGGCTGGAGTGCAGTGGCACGATCTCGGCTCACTGCAACCTCCGCCTCCCAGTTTCAAGCGATTCTCTTGCCTCAGCCTCTCAAGTAGCTGGGATTACAGATCTCGGCTCACTGCAACCTCCGCCTCCCAGGTTCAAGTGATTCTCCTGCCTCAGCTTCTCGAGCAGCTGGGATTACAGACATACACCAAGCCTGGCTAATTTTTTTTTTTAATGGAGTCTCACTCTGTCGCCCAGGCTGGAGTGCAGTGGTGCCATCTCAGCTCACTGCAAGCTCTGCCTCCCAGGTTCACACCATTCTCCTGCCTCAGCCTCCCAAGTAGCTGGGACTACAGGCGCCCACCACCACGCCCAGCTAATTTTTTGTATTTTTAGTAAAGACAGGGTTTCACCATGTTAGTCAGGATGGTCTCAATCTCCTGACCTCGTGATCCGCCCGCCTCAGCCTCCCAAAGTGCTGGGATTACAGGCGTGAGCCACCGCACCCGGCTAATTTTTGTATTTTTAGTAGAGACATGGTTTCACCATGTTGGCCAGGCTGGTCTTGATCTCCTGGCAGGCGATCTGCCTGCTTCAGCCTCCCAAGTGCTAGGATTACAGGTGTGAGCCACCGCGCCCCTCCAGATCTTCCTTCTTCTGCCTAAGCCCCTGGCTCTGGAAACCCAATGGCTCCTTCTTGACCTCCATTACAATGCTTGCTCAGAGCAGCCTCACCTCCCTCTGCGGGGCTCTCCTGTCCGGGCGGCCCTCTTCCCTCTCTAAGCACAGGTGTGGTGGCTCAAACTTGTAATCCCAGCACTTTGGGAGGCCAAAGAGGCCAGGAGTTTGAGACCAGCCTGGGCAACATAGCGAGACCCAACCCCCACCCCCCATCTCTACAAAAAGTAAAATAACAAACGTAGGTCTCTGTCCTTCCTTAGCCCGGTCACTTGAATGTCAACTTGACTCACACCTCTGGCTTCCAGGGCTCTGAGACACCGCCTCTCCCTCCAGGCTTCAGTGACCGCCTCGTGAGGATGGCTGCAAGCTCTGGCACCACCTCCGGTTCCTACTCTGAGACCCAGCCCTGTGGGTCCAGCCACCAACTGGGCATCTCCCCTAGAGGTCCCCCAGATCTCAGACTCTTACCCCCTGCTCCTATCAGGGTTCCCACACACATCCCCCAGATACTCTAAACCAGAGCATCACCCTAGCCCTCTATTCCCAACACCTGGCCTGCAACCCTCCTCCGTTCTCCCCACCCCAGCAGCCCCCACCCTGACCAGGCCTTTGTCCTCTCTCCCATCTGGACCACAGCCACCTCCTCCCTCTGAGCAGCCTTTGTTTTTGGTGATCTTCAATTGGAGCCTGGCCCTCCTTCCCTCAAACCCTCCCCTGGCTCCCTATTGCCCTAGGGATAAATTTCCAGCTCTTCACCCTAGCACTGGAACCTCTGCAACCCTGCCCCAGCCAGCTTCACCTTCCTCCACCAGATCACACCACACCCCCAACCCCCTCCAGCCACCCTGGCCAGATCACCTAATTTGTGTCCTTTCTTTCCCACCTCTGAGCCTTTCCCTGCTTGTTATCTCTTCCTGGAATTCCCTCCCCCTCCTTTTATGCCTGGAGAAAGTCCATTTTTTTCAAGGCCCAACCCAAAAACTGTCTCCTGCAAAAGCCTTCTCCCCCAGCCTCCTGTCTTCTTCGCCTCCTGTCTTCTCCATACGCGCGTACACACACACACACACATACACACACTGGATATAAACTGCTTGGTGTTGGTGGATAAATGGATGTTTAGTCTACGAACACCTCCACATGCTGCAAGAGGCTGGATTCCTAGAGAAGATCCAGCCCTAGGCCTTCCAGGGAGGGGCTCCCAGAGCATCTGGTGGGGACAGAGGTACAGGGACACGTACCCTCCCAGGGTCACATAGGGTCAGTGTCAGCACAGGAGCGAGCTAAGGATGAAGGCAGAGCCGGGCGAGGAACAGGGGCATTGCCCGGTGAGTGAGCTGAGGCTCCCTAGAGCAGGGGATCTTTACCCAGCAGTCTTCAGATCCCTCTAACAGGCACACTGCACCGGGGAGGGTAAATACAGATTTGTGGATTGCCCGAGAAGCCACAAGACCACACACGCACACAGGAACACACCCCATCCCTTAGTGTGTGATCCGCCAGGAAGGAGGAGTTTTTGCTCTGGGCAGCAACATCCCCAACTTTGGGAGCAGCGGGTGGAATTTGGGGAGACTCTGCTGCCAGCAACTGTGTGCATACTGGGGAACCCTTGGCCGCCTGTGACTCCATAACTCCCCAAAATACCACATCCGGCCAGAGCAGGAAGCAGGGAAGCAACCTGCCAGGCGTGTTCCAACGTGGGTAGAGTCCCCAGCGACTTCATTTGCCACGCGGGACTTCACGGACCCCCTCTTTGCGCCTCAGTTTCCCCAGCTGCACCATCAGGGAAGAAGCTGCCAGAGGGGAAAAGGAGCTCAGCCGCCGATCTCCCCCTTCCCATTACAGAGAGGCTCAGCCCCTGGTTCCTGGCTAGGGTTTTACGTTGTGGATGTGGGTTTACGGAAAAAAAAAAAAGGGAAAAAGCTGAGAAGCTGCGCTGGGACCCCGGATTGCTCAGACCACCTTAAATCAGCCTGGCCGCCCCAGCTACTGTGGAAATTCCTTTCTCCGCGGTGGTTGGCTGGGGGCGCCAGCCAATCCGCTCGCGACGCTCCCACATGGGTCAGTGACGTCACATAGGAAACTGGCCAATGGGGATTAGGAGACCAGCAACCAATGGCAGGAGGCACTGGGATCAGTAGGGCCAATCGGAAGGCAGCTCGGCGCTCCCGGCGGGGTTTGGCGAGTGTGGCCCCCCTCCCTAGGAGAATCTGAGACCCTAGTGGACGCCCGAGCTCGACCGGATTGGAGGAGGGGGGGCTAAGGCTCCATTATTATCCAGAAACAGGGGAAAGCGAGTCACCCCCAAGCCTGGCCTATCTCCCCTTCAAAACAAGGGACCCTCGTGCAATATGCTACCAGCTAGCTGGCGGAGCAGAGGTTGCATCTTTCTCCCTATTTCACAGATAGGTAAACTGAAGCAAAGAGTAGTTAAGTCACGCTGGACGCCCGGCGAAGAGCTGAAGCTCTTACCCGAGCCTGGGGGCTCCAGGAACGGTCTCAGTTTTACCCCCAGGTGGGGGGGATGGGCCTATAGGTAGTCAGGGGTGGAGGGGGGTGGTGCTGGGCCTTGTGCCTCAGTTTCCCCGAGCGTGGAAGCTGGAGGAGAGCACGGGTTTTCAGAAAAAGACTACGATTCCCAGAAGCTCCCGCGCGGCTCCCGCCCAGGCTGTCAATCAAAGTAACGTGGGTACCTCTCCGGCCCGCGCTCTCCCGCCCGTCGCCTCCCTCCCGCCAGCTCCCGCTCCCTCCCTGCCGGCTCCCGGCCCGGCGCGGTATAATTACAGCCCATTGATCCGACCCGGGCCGGGAAAGCGGCTCCCTCGGGGAGGCCAAGCCTTTGGCTTCCGACACCGCCAACCTCTGCCTACCGCCCCCTCCAGCCGAACTGCCGGGCCACCAGCCAGGCCTGTCCCCTCCCGCTGGCCCCGGGCTCGCGGGTGACCTCTGAGCCTCAGCTCCCCGCCACGCTTGGCGGTGTGCCCCCCGGAAAAATCACACACACATTTCCTTCCACCCAGGAACATGAGGAGCCATCTCCCTAGAACCTCCAGGGCCTCTCTTTGAGCCTCAGTTTACCCAGATGCACAGTGAGATTGCTGGACAAAACTTTCATGAAACCCATACTCCGTGCTGTTCTGCCTGGGAGCAGCCAGGGCTGACCTTGGTGGAAACTCAAGGAGGGGCTCCCAAGTTTGGGAGGAGGGGGAGACAGCCCAGCTCTCTCAGAACCCCTGTGGTCGGGGTTGGGGTTAGGGAGGATCAGAGCTGGGGGTGGGAGTGGGGGCAGGCTCAGCCAGGATTTAGCGCCCCCATTGGGAAGTTGGGATAGCTTTCTAGATGTTGGGTGGTAGTATTTAATAGATGTTGGGGCAGGGCGTGGTGGCTCACGCCCGTAATCCCAGCACTTCAGGAGGCCGAGGCAGGCGGATCACCTGAGGCCAGGAGTTCGAGACCAGCCTGGCCAACATAGTGAAACCCGGTCTTTACTAAAAATACAAAAATTAGCCGGACATGGTGGCACGCTCCTGTAGTCCCAGCTACTCAGGAGACTGAGGCAGGAGAATTGCTTGAACCTGGGATGCAGAGGTTGCAGTGAGCCGAGTTCGCGCCACTGCACTCTAGCCTGGACAACAGAGTGAGACTCTGTCTCAAAAACAAAAACAAAAACAAAACAAAACAAAAAGATGTTGGGTTTCGGTATTTAAGCTAGGGTTTTGCAGAATGCATAGGAGTTGCCTCATTTGAGCAGTGCCTTTAGATTACCCTAACCCTAAGTGGACAGAAGAAAGATGGGGCAGCCTTAAGCCCTTTCCTGTGACAGAGTGAGCCTTGGGCTCTGACCCCTAGCTTTGCTGTGTGGATCTGGGAACATCCCCCAGCTGTGAAGTGTCGGGGAGGTAGATACCCCCTAGGGTTAGAAGGCCCCTGTGCCTACTTTCGCATGGGTCCTGAAGTCACAGTGGGTTCTGACCAGCAGGAGTCAGGGCCTGGGAGCCCGTGGTAGGAGGCACTAGGATTGGCTGAGGGGCTCAGGAACTCCAGCCTCTCCCTGAGTAAGAACTGGGCGGCTGGGGGAGAAGTCCCAGAGTGACAACGGCTCAGTGCCAGGCACGTTTACTCTGCTTGGGTTTCCTTGTCTGGAACACAAGATTAATAATAGAATCTTCAAATAAGGCCTATAAAGTACTTACAATAATGCATAGTAGGCCGGGTGCAGTGGCTCACACCTGTGATCCCAGCACTTAGTTGGGCCAAGATGGGTGGATCACCTGAGGTCAGGAGTTCGACACCAGCCTGGTCAACGTGGGGAAACCCCATCTATACTAAAAATAGAAAAATTAGTCGAGCAAGGTGGCACACGCCTGTAATCCCAGCTACTCAGGAGGCTGAGGCAGGAGAATCCTTGGAACCCAGAAGGCGGAGGTTGCAGTGAGCTGAGATCACACCACTGCACTCCAGCCTGGGGGACAGAGCGAGACTCTGTCTCAAAAAAATAATAATAACAATAACAATAATAATAATGCATAGTAAATGCTCCATAAAGGGTAGCTATTTGTACTCCCAACATTTATTTTGTCCTTATTATTATTTGAGACAAGGTCTCACTCTGTCACCCAGTCTGGAGTGCAGTGCCACCGTCATAGCTCACTGCAGCCTTGACCTCGCTGGGCTCAAGCCGTCTTCCTGCCTCAGCCTCCGGAGTAGCTGGAATCACAGGTGTGTACCACCACACTCAGCTAATTTAAAAAAAATTTTTTTGTAGAGACAGGGTCTCACTATGTTGCCCAGACTGGTCTTCAACTCCTGGGCTCAAGCAGTCCTCTTCCCTCAGCTTCACAGAGTGCTGGGATTACAGGTGTGAAACACTGTGTCCAGCCCCCACTATGTCCTAAAGGGTCCTTCTCTCCCACTCTCCCCTCACGCTCCACATCTATGCTATGCATTCTCCATTGCACCCACATCCTTGATGATCCATTGAAATGTGAATCAGGGCTGGGCGTGGTGGCTCACGCCTGTAATCCCAGCACTTTGGGAGGCCAAGATGGAGGGACTACCTGAGGCCAGAGGTTCGAGACCAGCCTGGCCAACATGGTGAAACCCTGTCTCTACTAAAAATACAAAAATTAAGGCCGGGCGCAGTGGCTCATGCCTGTAATCCCAGCACTTTGGAAGGCTGAGGCGGGCGGATCACCTGAGGTCGGGAGTTCAAGACCAGCCTGACCAACATGGAGAAACCCTGTCTCTACTAAAAATACAAAATTAGCCAGGGTGGTGGCGCATGCCTGTAATCCCAGCTACTTGGGAGGCTGAGGCAGGAGAATCGCTTGAACCCGGGAGGCGGAGGTTGCAGTGAGCTGAGATCGCACCATTGCACTCCAGCCTGGGCAACAAGAGCAAAACCACGACTCAAAAAAAAAATAAAAATTAAAAAAAAAAAATTAGCTGGGTGTGGTGGCGGGCACCTGTAGCTGCTTGGGAGGCTGAGACAGAATTGCTTGAACCCGGGAGGCGGAGGTTGCAGTGAGCTGAGACCGTGCCATTGCACTCCAGGCTGGCCAAGAAGAGCAAAACTCTATCCTTTCCCCACTCCAAAAAAAAAAAAAAAAAAAGTGAATCAGAGTCCATCCCTCCCTTGCTCAAGAACCTTCCATAGCTCCCTATTGCCCTCAACATAAAATCCAAACTCCCTACCTCTGTCTATGTGATCTGACTTCCATCGCCTCCCTCCTCTCACCTCCTCCCACTTCTCCCCCTCTGTTCCAGCCACACAGGCCTTCTCCCTCTTCCTCAAACCAGAGTCTAGCCTCAAGACCTCTGCACTGCATTGGTTGTTCCCTCTGCCTGAACCACGGCCAGCCTTTCTCTTCCTTTCAGATCAAACATCACATCCTAGAGAGGCCAGCCTGGCTAGAGTAGCTCCCCTCCTCCTACCTGCTCAGCTTCCCTCAGTCTTCCGAGGCCTCGTGGCTCTGGGAACACATACTATCTGCTCCCTCCTGTGTGTACGGTCTGCCCAGGCCCCAACACACCACCGGCTACACTGTATTTATTGGGAGAGTAAGTGGACAAGCCCATAGAGGGATAGAGCCTCACCAAGGTCACCCAGCATGACGGACGCGATGCCAGGTCCCCTGCTAACCTGCCCAGCGCTAACACAACCTGTAGGGGTCAGCTGAGATCGCAGAGATCACACTACCTCCAGAGGCTGTGAGACCCAGTGTCACTGATGTGCAAGCCTGGGTTCAAACCCCACCTCCGCCACTGCGTCACTGTGATCCTGTACAGTGGGATAATTATAGAAACGTCTCATTGAGTCATCACACGATCAAATAGCTCGATAGATGAAAAGGCCCCGACCGTTATTATTGTGTGGGAGTGTGTGCGGCCCAGCGGGGACAATTTGGGGTGCGGAAGCAGAGCTGGGGCTGGCACCACAGACAAACCCCATTTTTAAGCCCCTAGGGCCTTCTGGTCATTGCAGCAACCCCATCACCCACACCACGTGTAACCCCTCTGTACCCAGTTGGGGGTTCACCCTCCTAGGATCGCCATGGACTCCCGTCTCTATCTCCACCCTCCCTCCTTCCCTGGAGAGCTCATTGCTGGGCCCCAAACTCGCCCAGCCTGGTCCCCCTGGAAGGCACAGCACAGATGGGGGTTGAACAAACCCCTGGCCGCATGGCCCAATCTGAATCTTCTTTTTAACGTTTGTTTGTTTTTTTTTTAAGACAGTCTCGCTCTGTCGACCAGGCTGGAGTGCAGTGGCTCGATTTCTGTTCACTGCAACCTCCACCTCCCGGGTTCAAGTGATTCTCCTGCCTCAGCCTCCCGAGTAGCTGGGACTACAGGTGCACACCACCATGCCCGGCTCATTTTTGTATTTTTAGTAGATGGGGTTTCACCATGTTACCCAGGCTGGTTTCGAACTCCTGGCCTCAAGGGATCCTCCTGCCTCGGCCACCTGAAGTGCTGGGATTACAGGCGTGAGCCATCTCACCCGGCACAGCATTTTGTTTTTTGTTATTGTTTTAAGACAAGGTCTCACTCCGTCGCCCAGGCTGGAGTGCAGTGACATGATCACGGCTCCCTGCAAGCCTCGAGCAAAATCCTCCCACCTCAACCTCCCAAGTAGCTGAGACCACAATCGTGCACCACCACGCCTGGCTCATTTTTTTAGATTTTGTAGAGATGGGGTCTTGCTATATTATCGACCTCAATCTGAATCTTCCTCATCCAGTTTCTGGTTTGCAGTGAGACCTTTTAACCCCTGTGGACCTCCGTTTGCTCATCTGGAAAAGGGGCATGGTACTGTCACCAACCCCAGAGTGGCCCTTGATGACAGCCTCTGCTGCCATTTATATATATATATATATATATATTTTTTTTTTTTTTTTTTTTTTTTTTTTTTTGAGACAGAGTCTTATTCTGTCGCCCAGACTGGAGTACAGTGGCGAGATCTCGGCTTACTGCAACCTCCACCTCCCAGGCTCAAGCCATCCTCCTGCCTCAGCCTCCCGAGTAGCTGGGATTACAGGTGCGTGCCACCACGCCTGGCTAATTTTTGTATTTTTAGTAGAGATGGGGTTTCACCATGTTGGCCAGGCTGGTCTTGAACTCTTGACCTCAAATTATCCACCTGCCTCAGCCTCCCAAAGTGCTGGGATTACAGGAGTGAGCCCCCGCGCCCAGCCTGCCATTGCTATTATCACTGGGCTACCTGGTTGATATACACACCATGGCCCTCCGAATTATGGGCTGAGAGCTTGCCCTGTGATGGGTACAGTGCCGCCTCCAGGCTTCGCCACCGGGATTCCCTCTGCCTGGAGCACCCGCCCCTCCCTGAGAGCCACCTCCCAACATGGGCTCTTGCTGTCAAACCCTCCTCGGCTCAAATGTCACCTCCTCAGAGAGGCCTCCCCTCCTCTCCTGGGCCAAGCAGCCCCGTCTCTCTCTGTCACCAACCCTTGCTAGATTTTTCTTCCTACCACTTGGTGTTCTCTGCAATGGTCTTGACCTATTTTCCAAACCTTCCCCATGACTCTGTGAGCTCCACGAGGGTCGAGAGGCGCTCCGTCTGGGTCCGTGATACCCAAGCCTGGCACACAGTAGGCGCCCAATAAATACAGGAATGAAAGGCCCGCTGCTGCCCCAGGTTGGTTTTTCTTCCCCACCAATCCAGTTGCTGGGAATTGAGGCTTTGGGGGCAGCCAGGCCCAGAGAGGCCTAGGGACCTGCCCACGGTCACACAGCCACGCGCTCCAGCTGGGAGCTCTGTGGCTGCCTTTGCGGGGGGCCCCGAGTCCCAGGGTTGGGCAGGCCTAGGGCAGGGTCGCCCGCCCCCTCCTCCCGCGGTGCTGCGGGGGAACCCACCATTAGCCACGCGGGCCCGGCCCAGCGTGTTCCCCGACAGGCCCGGGCAGGCCCAGCAGGGGAGTGAGGGGATTGCGGGGAGTAGGGGGAGCGCAGGGAGCGTGGGGACCGCCCCTCCCCGGGACCCGAGAAGGGGGTGTAGGAGGGAAGAGGAGGGGGAGGAGGAGAGAATGGAGGAGGAAACGGAGGGACAAAGGGGGAGGCGGCAAAGGGGAGGGGAGGGGAGAGGAGGGGAGAGGAGGAGGCCCCCGGGTGGAGGGGACCCTGTGGAGGGGCAGGGAGGAAGGGGGGGCGGTGAGGTGCGGGGGAGGGGCAGAGGGGCGGAGGTGGCGGGAGAGGGAGGGGGCGGAGGAGGGACGGGCTTTCAGGCCTGGCAGGCTCCCAGCAACTGCGGGAGGGGTAAGGGGGCCTGGGAGGACGGTGGGCCTGGGTGGGTGGGAGAGGTTTGCAGGGGGAGGTCAGCGGCTGGGGGCGGGAGCGGGGACGGGGATGGTAGGGAGGGAGGCGCCAATGAAGAGATCCAGGGAAGGTTAGGGGACCCAAGCTGGAGACTTTGAAGGACAGAGGGAGAAGCCCAGAGATGGCAGAAAGAGGGAGACGAGACCATCAGAGACCCCCGAGACAGAGGGGGCGAGGCGAGGGAGATTGTTGGATAATCTGTTTCAAACCTGAGTTCTATTTGCTTCATATTAGGGGTTTGTCCCTTCTCCCCAAGTCCCCAGAGATCCTATGTAGAAGCTGTTCTCATTAAGCACCAAACAGTTAAGTCCATTCTCCAGTACTAGCTCGGAAGTCGGTTTCATATTCGACTTAACAATTTAAATGAAAGGAAATTTTTTTTAACGGCAGTGGGGACTTGGAGAAGGAGGGGGACAAAGACAGACATTACCCAGGAGAGAAAGTTAGAGGGGAATCCTAGGCCCTCAGAGGGGAAACCAGGCAGGGGCGGTTTCAGCTCCCTTCTCTAGTTTTTAATTAATTTATTTTTTATTTTTTAGAGACAGGGGTCTCACTGTGTGGCCCAGGCTGCTCTCAAGCTCCTGGCCTCAAATGATCCTCCCTCCTCAGCCTCCCAAAGTGCTGGGATTACAGCCATGAGCCATCTTGCCCGGCACAGCTTTTTGTTTTTTGTTATTGCTTTGAGACAAGGTCTCACCGTGTCGCCCAGGCTAGAGTGTGGTGGCAAGATCACGGCTCCCTGCGAGGCTCAAGCAATCCTCCCGCCTCAGCCTCCCAAGTAGCTGAGACCACAATCGTACACTACCATGCCCGGCCTGGCCTCAAGCAATCTTCCAGCCTCGGCCTGCCAAAGTGCTGGGATTATAGGCGTGAGCCATGGCACCCGGCCCCTTCTGCAGCTTTTTTTTTTTTTTTTTTTTTTTGAGATGGTCTCGAACGCCTAACCTCGTGATCCGCCCGCTTCAGCCTCCCAAAGTGCTGGGATTACAGGCGTGAGCCACCGCGCCATGCCTGGCCTCTGCAGCTTTTAATATCAGAAAACATCTACCTGGGACCTGCATCATGGGTCGCACCTGTAATCCCGGCAGTTTGGGAGGCCAAGACGAGCGGATCATTTGAGGTCAGGAGTTTGAGATCAACCTGGCCAACATGGTGAAACCCCGTCTCTACTAAAAATACAAAAAAAAAAAAAAAAATTAGCCAGGCATGGTGGCGGGCGCCTGTAGTCCCAGCTACTGGGGAGGCTGAGGCAGGAGAATGGCGTGAACCCGGGAGGTGGAGCTTGCAGTGAGCCAAGATCGTGCCACTGCACTCCAGCCTGGGTGACAGAGCGAGACTCCATCTCAAAAAAACAAAACAAAACAAAAAAATTAGCCAGGCATGGTGGCGGGGGCCTGTAATCCCAGTTACTCGGGAGGCTGAGGCAGGAGAATTGCTTGAACCCAGGGGGCAGAGGTTGCAGTGAGCCAAGATCGCACCACTGCACTCCAGCCTCGGCGACAGAGCAAGACTCTGTCTCAAAAACAAAAAACAAAACAACAACAACAAAAATACAAAAGGTAGCCAGGCGTGGTGGTGCATCCCTGTAATCGCAGCTGCTTGGGAGGCTGGGGCAGGAGAATGGCTTGAACCCAGGAGACAGAGGTTGCAGTGGGCCGAGACCTTGCCACTGCCCTCCAGCCTGGGCGACAGAGACTCCGTCTCACCAAAAAAAAAAACAAAAACAAACCAAAACACCTAAGTGGCACAGGGGCCTCCTCGTGACTTTCTGCCTCAGTTTCCCCTCCAGCCTGCCCCCCTGGTGTCCCATGGAGGATCTCGATAATCGCACATCTGGGTGTGCCGCCCCTTTGCTGCTCGAACACCATCCATGGCTCCCTATGCCCCAGCTCCTGGCCTGTAGGGCAGGCAGGATTCTACAGGGCTGGCCCACATCCACCCATCTCACTGGCTTCTCTGCCCTTTGCTTTTTAGAGAAGGATTCCCGCTCTGTCGCCCAGGCTGGAGTGCAGTGGCACGATTTCTGCTCACTGCACCCTCCACCTCCCGGGTTCAAGTGATTCTCCTTCCTCAGCTTCCTGAGTTGCTGGGATTACAGGTGTGCGCCACCACGCCCGGCTAATTTTTGTCTTTTTAGTAGAGATGGGGTTTCACCATGTTGCCCAGGCTGGTCTCAAACTCCTGGCCTGACGTGACCCTCCTGCCTCGGCCTCCCGAAGCGCTGGGATTACAGGCGTGAGCCACTGTGCCTGGCCTTCACTGCCATTTTCTCACTTTCTTCCCTAATCGCTACACACCTACTGTGTGCCAGGCATGATTCTAGGCCCCAGGATCTATAGTAGAAACCCAAATCAGACAAACTCTCTTCGCCAAAGTCATATTAGAGTGGAGAAAAGCAGTGGACAAGAGAATATTTGTTGGGATAAATTGTGCGGAGCAAAAAATGCTGTGAAGATAAAGAATGCAGGGAAAGCCGGGCGCGGTGGCTCATGACTGTCATCCCAGCACTTTGGGAGGCCGAGGTGGGTGGATCACTTGAGGTCAGGAGTTTCAGACCAGCCTGGCCAACATGGCAAGACCTTGTCCCTACAAAAAAAAAATTAGCTGGATGTGGTGGTGTGTGCCTGTAGTCTTGGCTACTTAGGAGGCCGACATGGGAGGATCACCTGAGCCCGGGAGGTTGAGGCTGCAGTGAGCTATGATAGCGCCACTGAACTTCAGCCTGGTTGCCCAGGTGAGACCTTGTCTCAAAATAATAAAAATAAAGAATGCAGGAAAAAGTGATTGTGATGGGGATGACTGAAGTAGGAACAGCGTGTTCCAGGCAGAGGGAAAGGCCCTACCTGGGACCATGCGTGAACACCTTCAGCCACAGGGAAGGTGCCAGGAAGGGTCAGACTGAGGCAGTGACTACGGGGCAGGGGTCGTGAGCCTCCAAGGTCAGCCCTGCCTCAGCCAATCCTGCTGCACCCCAACTCTGCCTGGAATCGGTCTTTCAAGTCCTTCCTCCTCCCCCACCAGTCAGTGAGTCCAGAAACTTCTTTCTCTTAAACCAAATGGTTAAGATCCTGGCTGGGTGCAGTGGCTTACACCTGTAATCCCAACACTTTGGGAGGCCAAGGCGGGCGGATCACTTGAGGTCAGGAGTTCGAGACCAGCCTGGCCAACATGGTGAAACCACCCCCCACCCCACCCCGTCTCTACTAAAAATACAAAATTAACCAGGTGTGGTGGCGGGCGCCTGTAATCCCAGCTACTCGCCTGTAATCCTGAAGCAGGAGAATCTTGGGAGGCGGAGGTTGCAGTGAGCCGTGATTGCACCATTGCACTTCAGCCTGGGCAACAAGAGTGAAACTCTGTCTCAAAAAACAACCAATCAAATGGTTAAGATCCTGAATTTCCTGCATTTGAATCCAGATTCCCTGGCTCTGTGACCACTTAGAGCCTCAGTTTCCTTATCTGTAAAACAGACCCTCCTTCAGAGAGAATCCTTTGAGAGATCCAATTTTCACTGTACCACTCAAGCACTGCTGGAGGCGTGATAGATGTTCAGGACAACACAGCCGGTATTACTGTTGTTATCTTTATGATATCTTTGCCTTCCTAATTAGTCTGGTTGCCCCTAGGGGGGCAAAGAGGTCCCTGAGCAGCCAGCAGGAGACTCAGCTACAGCCCTGACTTATTCCTGCCCTTGAGCAATGTTCTGATGTCCGTGGGCCTCAGTTTTCCCATCTGCACCATGGGAAGAGAGCGGGATCATTTCTAGCTCCCTAATTCCACCAGCACTGCAGGTGCAGCTTTTATTTTCTCCCCCAAGACTGCCTGAAGGGCACACAGAGGGACGGAGAAGGCTCAGCTGCAGACAATTCAGCCAGCGCAGGCACCTGGCCGGCCTGACTGTGAATGTCTAATGCGTCCTAGCTTTAGCTCCTATTCCCCGCTCCTTTTCCTCCACCCCTCCCCGCCCCCAACCGGGCTGGGGATGGGGAAGGGGGATTCTGTAAGTGCTCCCACCCTCTGCTGGAGGCCAGAGCCTGGCCCTTTGGGGTGCAGATGGGGGGAAATGGAGGATTTCAGACCCCGGAGTCCCCAGTCCCCTGACAGACACCCCCCCACCCCCCACCCCACCTCCGCTAGAGTCCTGCCACCGGGGCCTGTGGGATTCTCCTCCCTCCACTGAGAACCATTGTGTGGATGGGGGCAATCGAGGCCCAGCGGGCAGGGGATCTCCTCACCTGCTGGAACGTCCCTCAGAATGGGGGAGGGGGGCTGGGAGAATGGTGGGGTCGGAGAAGGGGAGAGCCTTGGAGAAGGGGCTTCCAGAGGAAACAGGGTGTTAGAGCGGGAGAGGTAACCAGAAAGGAATATGGGCCCACCCCAGTCCTCTCTGCTCCCCTCTGGTCCCATCCAAGGAGCTGGGAGCATCGCTGTGCCTCCCCCTCCTCCCTCTCCTCCTCCCCCTCCTCTGCCTCCCCCTCCTCCTCCCTTCCCTCCCTCCTTCTCCCCCACCTTCCTATTCTTCCCTCCCTTCCTGCTATTTTCTCTCCCTCCTCCCTCCCCTCAGTTTTCTCCCCACGCCCCTCCCTCTCCCTCCCCTCCCTCCCCCTCCCTCCACTTCCCTCCTCTCTCTCCTCCCCTCCTCCTTCCCCTCTCCCCCTCCTCTCCCTACCCCCGCCTCCCCGCTGTTCTCTCCCCTCCCCTCCCCCTACCCTCCCCCGTCCTCCGCCTCATTAGGCGCGGCCGCGGCGCGGGGCCCATTAGCCGATCAATTAGCCGAGGTCGCCCGCGGCGCAGTCGTTAAGCGCGGGGCGGCCGCGGCGGGGAGGGGGCTCGGAGCCCGCGCCTCCGCCCGCCCGCCCCGGCTTCCCGGACCCGAGCACGCCCCCCCAGGACGCCTCCTGCCACCCGCCCCCCAGCGGGCCCCGGGACCCTCCCCAAACCCTGCGGGGGCCTGGGAGACCCCCGGATCGCAGGCCAGGCCGTGGCTGAGTAGGCAGGACCCCTTCTTCCGAGAAGACCCCTTGTGGGGGTGTCGGGCTTGTGACCCCCCCCCAGGCATCCTTCTGCTGCCAGCAACATCAATATCAGTAATACTTACTATTGTTATTATTATTATTACTAGCTGACACTCTTGAGCCCTTGCAGAAGTTCTAATTCTCAGTACAATTTTCCAGAAATTGAGATCAGAGCGTGACTTCACTTGCCCCGAATCACCCCTAAGGGTCGGAGATGAGGAGCCCCAAGTAAATATGTTGGCATTCCTGCAGTTCTTTCTATGTGTAGATTTCACACACAAAAACGCAACCCACACTCCCCGTTCCCCGTTCTCCTCCGCCTAGTCTTTCTCTATCGACACACCCGCTGACACGCCGTATATTTTACTTGTTTATCTGTTCACCCCAGCCAGGAGGGCGGGGCTTTCTGTCTTGTTCCCTGCTGGGCCTCTGGGACTCAGGGTAGAGTCTCCACAGACGAATGAATGGGCCGGGCTGCGGTGTCTCTCGCCTGTAATCCTCGCACTTTGGGAGGCCGAGGCGGGCGGATCATCTGAGGTCAGGAGTTCGAGATCAGCCTGGCCAATATGGCGAAACCCCATCTCTACTAAAAATACAAAAAATTAGCCAGGTGTGGTGGCGGGCGCTTGTAGTCCCAGCTACCTCGGGGGCTGAGGCAGGAGAATCACTTGAACCCGGGAGGTGGGGGTTGAAGTGAGTCGAGATCATGCCACTGCATGATCTGGGCGACAGAGCGAGAGTCTGTCTCAAAAAAAAATTAAAAAATGAATGAATGAATGCACCAGCCTCTGCTGTGAGCACTTTCCTTGGATTAAAATGGGGTCTTCCTAACAAGGATCGGTTCTGTGATTATACCCATTTTACAGATAGAGAAACTAAGCCCCAGCGTGGTGAAGCCACTTGCCTGAATCAACCAGCTGTGAGAGGAAGAGCCAGGATTTAAATCCAGGCTGGACACTCCATGCCGAGGAACATCCTAGGACACCTGTGCCACTTCTGTGACAGCTGCTGATGCCTTTTGCACTCAGTTTTTTTTTTTTTTTTTTTTTTTTTGAGACAGAGTTTTGCTCTTGTTGCCCAGGCTGGAGTTCAAGGGCATGATCTCGGCTCACTTCAACCCCCACCTCCCGGGTTCAAGGGATTCTCCTGCCTCAGCGTCCCAAGTAGCTGGGATTACAGGCGCACGCCACCATGCCTGGCTAATTTTGTATTTTTAATAGAGACATGATTTCTCCATGTTGGTCAGGCTGGTCTCGAACTCCCGACCTCAGGTGATCCGTCCGCCTCAGCCTCCCAAAATGCTAGGATTACAGGCTTGAACCACCGCGCCCGGCCTGCTTTTGTTTTTTAATAAAGACAGTGTCTCGTTCTGTAGCCAGGCTGGAGTTCAGTGGCGCGATCATGGCTCCTTGCAGCCTCAAACTCCGGGGCTCAAGCAATCCTCCCGCCTCAGCCTCCAGAGTAGCTGGGACTACAGGCACACAACACCACGCCTGACTATTTTTTGGATTTTTAGTAGAGATAGGGTTGTGCCATCTCAGCCAGGCTGGTCTTGAACTCCTGGCCTCAAGTGATCCTCCCACCTTGGCCTCCCAAAGTGCTCGGATTACAGGCATGAGCCACTGCACTCCGCCTTATTTTTATTTTTTGTAGAGATGATGTCTTCCTATGTTGCCCAGGCTGGTCTTGAACTCCTGGGTTCAAGTGATTCTCCAATCTCAGCCTCCCAAAGTGCTGGGGTTACAGGTGTGTGCCAGCGTGTCTGGCTGGACTCAGGGTCTTTGTGTGGGAACTGGGGTAGGGATGTTGCGAAACCCACCCTGCTTTTGGTGGGTGAGAGTCAGAGGAGGCCTTCAGAAAAGTGACTTCTAGGGAGTCTCAGAGAATTAGAATGCCTGGGAGGGGAAATAAAGAGAACCCTGTTCCAGGCAGAGGGAACAGCATGTGAAAAGGCCTCAAGGCAAGGGACAGCAAGATGTTTCACCTTGGCTGCAGCCTGTTGAGTAGGAGTGAAAGGAGGGATGGGTAGGGTCTCCTGGGCCGAGGTGAAGAATTTCGAATTAATTCCAAGGGCAGTGAGAGCCAAAGATAATCTTTTTTTTTTTTTTTTTTTTTTTGAGACAGAATCTCACTCTGTCAGCCACGCTGGAGTACAGTGGCATGATCATAGTTCACTACAGCCTTGACCTCTAGGGCTCCAGCAATCCTCCTCACTCAGCCTCCCAAGTAGCTGGGACCACAGGTGCACAACACTATGCCCGGCTGATTCTTTTTTTTTTTTTTTGAGACGGAGTCTTGCTCTGTTGCCCAGGCTGGAGTGCAGTGGTGCGATCTCAGCTCACTGCAAGCTCCTCCTCCCGGGTTCACGCCATTCTCCTGCCTCAGCCTCCCGAGTAGCTGGGACCACAGGCGCCTGCCACCACGCCCGGCTAATTTTTTGTATTTTTAGTAGAGACGGGGTTTCACCGTGTTAGCCAGGATGGTCTCGATCTCCTGACCTTGTGATCCACCCGCCTTGGCCTCCCAAAGTGCTGGGATTACAGGCATAAGCCACCGCGCCTGGCCATAATTCTTATATTTTTGTAGAGATAGGGTCTCACTATGTTGCTTAGGCTGGTCTTGAACTCCCAGCCTCAAGCGATCCTCTCACCTTGGCTTCCCAAAGTGCTGAGATTACAGGTGTGAGCCACCAGGAGCAGCCTATCTTTTTTCATGACTGTGTAGTATTCTGCTGTGTGACCATGTCACAATCCATCTATTTGATTGGGGGCAATTATGACAAATTACAGCAGCTCTAAACACTCTTGTTCAGGTCTGTTTTTTTGTTTTGTTTTGTTTTGTTTTGTTTGAGATGGAGTTTCACTCTGTCACCTAGGCTGGAATGCAGTGGCGCAATCTCAGCTCACTGCAACCTCCGCCTCCCGGGTTCAAGCGATTCTCCTGCCTCAGCCTCCTGAGTAGCTGGGACTGCACGGCTGCCACCACACCCGACTAATTTTTGTATTTTTAGTAGAGATGGGGTTTCACTATGTTGGCCAGGCTGGTCTTGAACCCCTGACCTGAGGTGATCCACTCACCTCGGCCTCCCAAAGTGCTGGGATTACAGGCGTGAGCCACCGCGCCTGGCCAATTGTTCGGGTCTTTTTGATGGACTCATATGACATTTCCGTTGGGAGATGGATCCAAGAGGGGAATTGCTGGATTATGTGGTGCCAAGTGGCCTTCTGAAGTAGAGGTAAGAGTTTACCCTTGCTGGCCGGGCGCGGTGGCTCACGCCTGTAATCCCAGCACTTTGGGAGGCCAAGGCGGGTGGATCACGACGTCAGGAGATCGAGACCATCCTGGCTAACATGGTGAAACCCCGTCTCTACTAAAAATACAAAAAAAAATTAGCTGGGCGTGGTGGCGGGCGCCTGTAATCCCAGCTACTTGGGAGGCTGAGGCAGGAGAATGGCGTGAACCCGGGAGGCAGAGCTTGCAGTGAGCCGAGCCGAGATTGTGCCACTGCACTCCAGCCTGGGCGACAGAGCAAGACTCCATCTCAAAAAAGAAAAGGAAATAAGAAGAATTTACCCTTGCCAAGGGGTGTGCCTAGGCGTGTTCAGGTTTCAACAAGGGTAAATGTCAGCAGGGGATGATCCCTTGCAACTGGCATTTTTAGAGGCACTTTGGCTGCAGTGGAGATGGGGTGGGACCTGCCAGGAGGCTGGTGTGATCAGCCAGCCCTGTCCCCTCCACTCCCAGCCCTCTCCTCAGGGACATGAGACATTTTCCCCAATGTCGGCTGTCCATCTCCACCCTTGTCAGCTCCCCTCAGCTCGGACTTCCTCCTGCCGTGAAGTCCCTCCAGAGTAGAAATGGCCATCTCCCATTTGCTGGGTGGGCAGCAACATGTTCCCTTGGCCCAAGTCCCAGAGGAGCCAGGGGCTGAGGCCAAGATGGGAAAACTGGGGGCAATCCCCTTTCCTTCTGGCTTCCCCACGGCTGGTGCAGCTTGGGTGAGGCGGTGGGGGTTGGGGGGCTTCTGGCTGTTCCTTAGAGGATGGAGGCTCAGCTGGGGCGAGTCAGTGTTCTCTCTGAGTATACTGGCCAGGCACGGGGGCTCACGCCTGTAATCCCAGCACTTTGGGAGGCTGAGGCGGGAGGACTGCTTGAGCCCAGGAGTTTGAGACCTGGGTAACATGGTGAAACCTCATTTCTACAAAAAAAAAAAAAAAAAAAATTATATATATATATATATATATATATATATATATATATATATATATATATATATATATATACAAAAGATTAGGCGAGTATGGTGGTGCATGCCCACTGTCCCAGCTCAGGAGGCTGAGGCTGAGGTGGGAGGATCACTTTAGCTCAGGGAAGTTGAGGCTGCAGTGAGCTGTGATCACACCACTGCACTCTAGCCTGGGCAACAGAGTGAGACCCTGTCTCAAAAAAACAAACAAACAAACAAAAAAAACCCACCCAGAACCGAAAAGAAGTGTACCTGTGTGGGCACTGGGGCCTCCTCTTTCTCTAAGGGAAGAGAATGTCCTTTAGGTCTTCAGATCTCGGGTGCAGAAATCAGCTCTGCCACTGACTCACTTATTTTATTATTAAAAAAAAATTTTTTTTTAGGAGATGGGGTCTTGCTATGTTGCTCAGGTTGTCCTTGCACTCCCGGCCTCAGGCAATCCTCCCACCTCAGCCTCCCCACTTACTAGCTTAGGGATCCCTTCGCCTTTTTAAGCCCCCTTAACTGCCTGTCTAAACATCAACCACCTGGGCCATGCTGTGTGACCTGAAGTCTTCAGCTCACCCTCTCTGGGCTAGGCATCAGAGCAGTGTAGGCCAAATGCAGAAGCGTGACCCACCAACTCTTTTTTTTTGAGACAGCGTCTTGTTCTGTCGCCCAGGCTGAAGTGCAGAGGCATCATCTCAGCTCACTGCAACCTCTGCCTCCCGGGTTCAAGCAATTCTTGTGTCCCAGCCTCCTAAGCAGCTGGAATTACAGGTGCACGCCACCATGCCCGGCTACTTTTTGTATTTTTTTTTTTTTTGAGATGGAGTTTTGCTCTTGTTGCCCAGGCTGGAGTGCAGTGGTGCGATCTCAGCTCACCGCAACCTCCTTGAATTCAAGTGATTCTTCTGCCTCAGCCTCTTAAGTAGCTGGGATCACAGTTGCCCACCACCACGCCCAGCTTTTTTGTATTTTTAGTACAGACAGGGTTTCACCATGTTGGCCAGGCTGGTCTCGAACTCCTGGCCTCAAGTGATCTGCCTGCCTCAGCCTCCCAAAGTGTTGGGATGACAGGCGTGAGCCACACCGCACCGGGCCACAGCTAGGAACTCCTGATGTTCTAGGAGGATGTCTCACATTGGAAGGAACCCCGTCCTCCCCCGGGGGCAGCCACAACACAGAGGCAGGGACACAGCACCGAAGCTTCTCACATCTTTATTGGAAAGGCACAGCTAAGCCCACCCTTGATACAGCATTTTCCACTTCTCTCTGTAGAGATCAGACGATTGAACACGAGATAAGCTGACTATATACAGACACAGGTGTGGGTGTTGCTTTTTTTTAAAAACACTTTTGTCTTTTTTTTTTTTTAATATCCCCTTTCTTAAAAGACAAGCTAGTATACTGGAAAAAGAAAAAAATAATAATAAAATAAAAACCAAGACAACTTTAGTACCCTCATCTTTATTTGGGAAGGGGAGGGGGAATCCTGGGTCGCCCACCCTCACCCTGCTCCTCCCAGCTCAGCTAAGCTCGTCCCTCGTGCCCCCCCTTTTGTGGGCGATGGGAGAGGACCAGGTGGGCGTGGAGGTGTCTGGAACTAGCAGAGGTGGTGAGTGGGGCAGGTGGAGGTGGGAGCATACCTGGGACCCGGGGTCGGGGGAGACTCGGGGTGCCCAGGACGGGAAAGGGGCAGCTAGCATTGCGTGCATGCAGTACCAGGGTGAGAGGGCTGTGGCCCAGGCAGACTGTCGGTTACACATGTTCAAAACGGGGGAAGGGCCGGGGCTGCTGCGCTTCGCGAGGTCTTGCTCCCTTGGGACCTGGTCTCCCATCTGACCCTCCAGGCCTTAGCTTGCCTCACATGTCAGGGCAGGTATCCACCTAACCAGGCTGCAGGGGAGGAGGAGGGAAGCCGGGAATGGGGTAGGAAGAAAGCTAGAGGTGGCCTGCAAGCTGGGCTGGGGCCCCCGCCGGCGGCCACCATAAATACTATGGGAGTTTAGCCAATCCCGAGCTCCGCTGTGTCTTGTGCTAAACATTCCTTTCTCTCCGTGCCTCTGTCTCCCCTCTGTCCCCCCTCCCAACCTCCCTGTCCCGGCCCCCTGCTAATCCGACTTCTCGCCATCATCCTCCTGGTGGGTGTCACCATCGTGCCCGTTCTTGTCTTCCTTGGAGAGGTGGGCCTGGGAACCCAGCGCGGACAGCGAGAGGAGGCCGGTGCCTGCGCTGACCGCCGGCAGCGAAGGCGGCTGCAGCCCCACGGGTAGTGGGGTCAAGGGCAGGGCCAGGGCCTGCAGCTGGGACAGCTGGTGGGCTTGGAGCTGCTGCTGCAGGGCGGGGGAGGGGAACATTAGCTGCCTGGGGCCCACCTGTCCCCCGCCCACCCGCCCAGGTCCCCATACATACTCGGATGATAGAGTTCAGCTCGGGAGCGGTGACCTGCTTGGCCCTCTCAATGGCTCCCAAGACCTGCTGCTGGTGCTGGAAGGGGGTCGGGGGAGAGGAGAGGCAGTGATTCCTCCTGATCCTGGGAGAGGAGAGGGGGACGGCCCTGAGGCCAGGAGGAGCCCCACTACCAAGTGGGCCATCATGTCTGCTCCTCCCAGTGGTTTTCAACCCCATCAGAAAGCACCCTCCCTCTCTCCAACTGCTTCCTTTCACCAAGCTCGTCTCTTCGTCTGGCCAACAGAGACAAATGGAAAAGTGCAGAAAACAATTAAAAGGGTTTTGTGCTAAGTAGTTAGGAAACAGCTTTTGAGTGAGCCCGGGAGAAACCCTGGATCCTGACCTATCCTATGTGCACAGCCACCTGCAAAGATGTGAAACATGTGAATGTTTGTGCAGTACACAACCTGCCCAACTGTACAGGGACGTCCTGATCCTAGGAGCTCCAAGACTGTGCCCTGAGTCTGGCCAAATTGAGCCCTTCTCCTACCATGGCTGGGGAGGGCCCAATGAATTCTGGCAGGGCTGGCTGGGGAATGGGCTCAGATTCAGGGCAGTTCCTCCCTGAGCTCTCCCCAAACACCTGACTCTGTGGCCAGCAGATGCTAGAATCTACCAATCTCCCTTTTTGCCTTGGCTACCAGGAAGCCTCTGTTCTGAAGGGCTCCAAGTGCCCTTTTCTCTAGGGCTTTCATTGGGTCCTGCTAAGACTTGTCCCTGGGCAAAGCAGGGCACCCAAAGGATCCTGAGATACCCACAGGGATTGAAGAGGAAGTTACAAACTTTTGACAGTAAACTTGGCAGGGACAGGAGATGGGCCTTACATGGCCCTGGGGAGGGGCGGCCTCGCATCCTGAGCCTCAGAACCCAAGAAAGGAGAAGAGGAGCTGGGCGTCAGGTTCATCTGGGTGTGTGTGTGCATGTGGTAATGTGTGCTCAGGATCACGTGTGCCCACGTGTAGCTGCACATTCCTGCATGCGTGTCCCTGTGCTGTCTGCACACACGTGTATCCGTGTCTGCATCTGTGTATCTCCCGTGTGTTGATGTGCTCGTGCCTATCTGTGTGGCTGTGTCCATGTGTGACCACCCTGTGCTACCCCTTCCCCCACAATCCCCTAACACCCTCTAGTCCTTGGTCCTGTGCAGCCCGCATGGCCTGGAGGAGGATGTCTCAAGAGGGTGAAAGGAGGAAGAGAGATGAGAAAAAAACATTCCTGGTGCAGTTTAGGCCCATCTGACATTTCTACCTATGACATGACTCACTCCAGCTGGGAATTCCAGAGCAGGGTGAGGCCCGCCCCCCACACGCCTGCACCCCTGGAGTGTCTCTGGCCCGGGGATTCTTCTGCACAGGCCGGCTCTGGTGTTCAGAGCCAGGGAGGTCCAGAGAGGGGAGGCGTGTGCCCTGGGGCGCCCAGCACACCACCCAAGATGGCTGCAGTGGACAGGGGCTGGGCAAGTGCGGGGCCCCCTCACAACCCCTCCCCAAGGCCCTGGCTCTTACCTCTTGGGAGAGGTAGGGCAGGACCTGGGCACAAATCCCGTTCAGCCTTTTGACGATCTCAGCCTGGAACACACAGATGAAGCCGGCTTCAGTCCTGGGCGGGTGGCAGGTGCAGGCTAGCCACAGGAGGCCTGCGCGGGGCCCGGCCCAGCCCTGCCACTTGCGGCTTCTAAGAGGGGCTAGGTCTGGCCAGGGTGGGATGAGCAAAGCCGTGTTCGGGCCCGAGGGCAGCCAGTCAGTGGCAAAGGTGGGGCTGGACACCGGCTGTCGCCTGCAGCTTAGAGTGAGGTAAGTGCAGGATGAGGCCAGACTGCACATTCCTCGGGGGTCGGCCACTCAGGCCCCTGGCAGGTAGTAAGCGCTTGTGCGAATGTAGGGAGGGCTGGGGGCCGTAGGCTGTGGGGAAGGTCTCTGCCCCTCCCCACCACCGGGAGAAACACTCCCAGGGAGGCCTGAAAAAGAGGCGGGGCGGGGGGGAGGAGAGCGGGAGCTTGGGGAGGGCTTAGGAGGTAACAGGATAACCGGGCTGGCTTGGTGCCCAGCCGAGGGCCGGCCGCTACCTGCCTGGGGGTGCCCAAGGCGGGGCTGGAGGTGGGGGGAGGAGGGGGAAGGAGGAGGAGGAGGAGGAGGAGGAGGAGATGGGCGTACCTGTTTGTGCATCTCGATGTTCAAGCCGTAGGACATCTCGTAGTACTGTATGGGGGAGAGAGAGGGGGAGCGGGAGATGGGGGTGGGGAAGGATGGGGGGACACGGAGACAAAGAGATAGGGGAGTGGCAGAGACAGACAAAGGGGGGAGACAGCAAGAGACAGCTGAGGGCAGGAAAGAAAGGAGAGGCAGGTGGGAGGGAAAGAGGAGGGAGAGACGCCCACACCCAGCATCCCAGCCCGCCCTGGAGAGGGGCAGGGGGCCGCTGGGGCTGCGGATGGAGACTGGGGGCACTTTAGGTCCCTAGCCCTGGCCTGGCTCCTCCCCCACTCCATGTGCACCGCGAGAACACGCATTCCAGGGCTCCTAATCTTGTATCTTTCTATGTCTTGTCTGCGGGTGGGCCCAGACGCCAGGGAAGTTTGCCTGCCTAGGTATAAACAGTGAGGGGTAAACAAAGCCTGCTGGCTCTGGGGCCAGCAGCTACCCCCACCCCAAGCCCCAGATCTCACCCTGCCCCTCCCCTGCTCTAAACCCTCCCATGGCTCCCTGTCACCCCTGGGGGAAAACCAAGTTCATTCCCAGGCCTTCACGTAGTTTCTCTGTCTCTGTCTGGTGAACTCCTACTCATCCTGCAAGACCCCAGCTGTGTGCCCCATTTCTCCATATAGTCTTCCTCAGGCAGGTCCTAGGTCCCTCTCTCTGACCCCAGCCCTATTCTTCTGGCTGGGAGGGTCAGGGTCTGGCTCTGCCTCCCCCACAGTCTGGGAGATTTGGGTACTGGGCTGAGACCCCAGCATCGCTGCTCGAGGGCCAGGCCAAGGGTGGGTAAGGGAGGGGATTTTTGATGCAGAAATCGTCACCTGGCAGTTACAAAACCGAGCAAGTGGTTCTGGCAGCAGCAATGCAGTGTCACACATCAGCCCCCCGAAATGGGTAGGGCTCAGACCCCCTCCCACAGGCTTCTTCTTTGAGCTCGGGCCCAAAGGGGTTAAGCGTGTGGACGCTGGGACCTTGGCGGTGGGGAGGGACTCGGCTGCTCCCCCACGTCAGTTCCTGGCTGTTGGCTTTCACAGCCGGTGAGCCTCCCTCTCCTCCCTCCTCCGCTGCCAAGGACAGCCGGGGGACCTGGCAGGGCCGGTCTGCAACCCGGCGGTTTGGCACCTCGGCCACTGCCTCGGCCATCTGCCAGGCTAGCGAGGCAGGCTCAGCCCAGCAGGGGCCGGCTGAATGGAGAACAGGCCCCGATCCTCGCGCTTCCCAGGGGAGGTGGCCGGGGTTGAGGGAGCAGCTGCCCGTGGTGGAGGGGATGTGGAGGGCCCTGTCGCCCGCCCCCAACACTGGACCTGGGGGCGGAGTGACGTTACCATCACATAGTGACGCTGCATCTCTGACTTCTCACTGGCCAACTTGTCACATTCGAGCTTGAGGCTGAGGAGGCACAGGGGGGAGATGGGGTGGTTAGTGGCGGCTGGGCGGGAGCCCCCCACCCTCCGTTATCCAGGGGAGGAAACTGAGGCTCCAAGTCCCCTGTAAGGGCAAGATCAGCCAATTCTCAGAGGGTCAAGCAATAATTTTTTTTTTAAATTGAGACGGGGGTCTCCCTATGTTGCCCAGGCTGGTCTCAAAAACTCCTGGGCTCAAGCAATCCTCCTTCCTCGGCCTCCCAAAGTGCTTGGGGTTACAGATATGAGCCACCCACCGTGCCTGGTCAATGAAGCCGTAAACTTTCATAGGGGCTGAGGACATTGAATTGAGGGGCAGGGAAGTTGGTAAGAGTTGAGCTCTCTGTGATGCTGCGGGGAGGGGAGAGCATCAGGGCCCCTGACTGTAAGAAGGGGGTGATGAAACCACCCTTGCAGATCTGGTTGGGGGGAAATAAGCAACATTATAGTAACATTATAGGAACAACAGAAGTTAGAGGGGGCACGGTAACGCTAGCTCTGAGAGTCTCACGAGCCTTCACCTCTCACGGTCCCGACGAGGCCCGCAACGTCATTGTCACGCTCCTTTTATAGATGACACAGTGGACACCCAGAGAGGGTGAGGAACTGGCTCAAGGTCACACAGCCAAGCAGCAGCCCAAGCTCTCAACCACAGGGGAAAATTTTCCAGACCCAAATAGAACGTACAAAGAGGCTGAGAGGGTCTGGGGCTGCAAGGCGGCTCCCGGCTGGACTTCCCAAGGGGACCCTAGCTTCATGGGGGGCCTGGACTTCCCAGGCAGACCCCTCAGCTCCCTCTTAGTCCTTCCTAACAGCCTTTTTTCTTTAGCTGGGACAAAACACACCATTTCTCCCACTCCACCTGGCCAGTCCGGGTGGCTGACACCAGAGCTTCCTACAGGCCCTCCCGGGAAGGATGAGCTGTGGGGCGTTTCTCAAAGCCCCCATGAGGGCGTCATGGCCGGAGGGAAGAGAGCAGGCAGGAGGGCCTCCCAGTCCAGGAAAAGAACTGGTGATGGTGGTGGGGGAGGTGTCCTTTAACCTACTTAAATCCAACCCAGCACAGGGGCCCTGCGGACCTGGCTGTGGCTTACCTGCTTCTGCCATCCCCACCCCCTCTCGGACTGGGTTCAAAGCTCAGCCCTTCGTCTTCCCTGCTGTGTGACTCTAGGCAAACTCCACTACCTCTCTGGGCTTCATTTCCTCCTCTGTGAGGTACCACTAACAACCTCGCAGGGTGGGGTGGAGAAGAGTCAATGAATTCAGACAAGAAAAGTTCTAGAACAGTACCTGGCATACAGTAAGCATCCCATAAATGCACATGGATCTTAGGATACCCCAGGAACCTGGCATTTTGCTCCACCGGAGAAGAGTGTGCCGGGTTAGGGATGCTTTGGCCGCCACCAATTTTTCTCTAGTTTTCTTTTAAAATGTGCATTTGTTGCTACCATTAAAAACAAAAACAAAAACAAAAAAAAACCGGGGCTGGGTGCAGTGGCTCACGCCTGTAATCCCAGCATTTTGGGAGGCCAAGGCGGGTGGATCACTTGAGGTCAGGAGTTTGAGACCAGCCTGGCCAACATAACGAAAGCCCGTCTCTACCGAAAATACAAAAATTAGCCGGGTGTGGTGGTGCACGCCTGTAATCCCAGCTACTTGGGAGGCTGAAACAGAAGAATCGCTTGAATCCCAAAGGTGGAGGTTGCAGTGAGCCGAGATCGCGCCACTGCACTCCAGCCTGGCGACAGAGCAAGACTCCGTCTCAAAAAAATAAAATAAAATAAAAAAGAAGTTTCACTCCAAAGCCTGCATTTCTGGCCTTTCTTGAAAAATAGGATGGTCTGGCCACCCAGGGGCTGTTACGCCTCGAACATCCGGTGTGTGCCTCTGATATGGTAGGGTCCCTCGTTGGACAGCAGGAAGCCCAGGCCCAGCGGATGGAGACCCCAAAGCTCAGAGAGGGCTTCCGGCTTAGCAGAGGTCACACAGCACTGTGACCGCCATCTGATCCCTTCCCTGTGGAATCAGGTCAGCCCCGGGGCTCACCAGGCGGTATCCAACCCTTCATATCGAGGAACCCGCACAAAAGCTTCTGGGGCCTGCATGGAAAGCTGACTCCAGCACCTTCGACTGTCAGTGTCTCAGTTTGCCCAGCTTGAGAATGGGTACGACAGTCGGACGACAGGAAGGATGAAGCACGAGGAGGCACGAACGGTCTTGAGCACACAGGGAGTACCCAAAAAGGTGGGATATTTGCAGCAGCAACAACAAAATCGAGATTCCCCTTTCTACTTGGAGGAAATCCAGGATCCTTCCAGGAACACTTCTGGGGTGGGCACGCTTCAGTTTAGAGAGGGCCCCAAGGCCAAACGGGGGTTTGAGCATAGCCTGACTTTCTCCAGATTCCCAGGCCCGGCGTGCCCCTCCAGAGCAGGGCAGGCGAGAACCTATATCCTTAAACCAGGAGAGAGACCTGGTGCAAACCTCAGCCTTGCCACTTCCTCAATGCTATGGACACCCCCGAGGAAATAACATCATAACATCTCTGGGCTTAAGTTTCTTTTTTTCTTTCTTTTTTTTTTTTTTTTTTTTTTTTGAGACAGAGTCTCCCTGTTACCCAGGCTGGAGAGCAGTGGCTCCATCTCTGCTCACTGCAACCTCCGCCTCACGGGTTCAAGCAAGTTTCCTGCCTCAGCCACCCGAGTAGCTGGGATTACAGGCGCCCGCCACCACACCCAGCTAACTATGTATTTTTGGTAGAGACGGGGTTTCACCATGTTGGCCAGGCTGGTCTCGAACTCCTGACCTCAAGTGATCCACCTTCCTCGGCCTCCCAAAGTGCTGGGATTACAGGCATGAGCCACCACGCCTGGCCTGGGCTTAAGTTTCTTTAAGTGTAAGAGGACTAAATAGTTCCTTCCCCTTAGATACCGCAGCGTGGCAAGCTCTTCAGAAACGCCAGATTTCTGAAAGAAGCAGCACCTTGGAGAATCTGACGGGTGCTGGGAACCCTTTCTCCAAAACTGGGCAAAGAGAGAGATGACCAGGCTGCAGAATGTTTCTGTTTTGGGGGTTGAGGGATGGCGAGTCCGTGCCGTAACTCCAATTGTTGGAAGGTCTTTTATCCAATGGGGGACTTGGGGGTATTGGGGAGGAGGGAGGGGCTCTGAAGCCACACAGCTGAATCTTTGGGCAAATTATTTAACTATTTTTGTGCCTCGGTTTTCTCCTCTACAAAATGGGGCTGTTTAAAATAAATGAATTCAGTATTTGTCAAGTGATTAGGTCAGAGTCTAGCATATATTATTTTCCCAATCTCCAGGCCTCAGCCTTGCCATCTGCGCAGAAGAAATGGGGGGACTCACATTCTCGGGACGCAGGGACCCCCAGTCCCCCAGCTCACCTGTGGTACTGAGCTTGCAGTAGCTGAAATTCGTCTTTGATGCGGTCGCAGGAGTCCGAGGTGGTGAATTTGAGTTGCTGGGGTAGGTGCGAGGAGCCCTGTAGGGATGGGGCGGCCCGGGTCAGGCCCAGGCGTGGGCTGGACCCCCCTCAAGGGCCGGCTAGGAGGGAGCGGCCGCGCAGCTGCGGCGCCCCCCCTCCTGCCCCACTTCCTGGGCCCGTGTTTACGGCCCCTGGCGCGACCCCACCCGCGCTTCCTGCCCCCCGCCTCTCCCGGGGGAAGCCGAGCGGGTGGGTGCGCCCGGAGCCGCCCCGTCCCCCGCCACCCCCAGGCAGTGGGGGTGCGTTTTAAGGCCCGCCCTAGATGGGGGGCAGGGTGCGCCCTCTACCGCCCTCCAAAGCGCCGGGAGGGAGTGCACATCCGAGGGGGGTAGAAACGCGCCCTAGGGAGCCCCCTCCCCAAGTTGGGGGGCAGCGATTCCTCCCTGCAAAGTCCTCTTGGGGGAGGGGTCTCTCTCTCGGTGCTCGAAATCTTCCGGGGGGGCCCAACCCCAGATTCCCAGCGCCCTTCCTCGGGGACACGCTCTTCCGGGAGGGGTGCGCCTCGGATCACCCCCCCCACCACAGGCCCCCAAAGGATCCCCGGGCTAGAGGTGCCTCGCGGGGCTTCCGGAGCGCCCCAGGCCCGAGGCCAAGGCCGTCCGAGGCCCTGACTGTCCCGGCGGGTTGGGGGGGGGGGGCGCCAAGCCGGGAGCTGCGGCGGGGGGGCTCGGGGCCCGGAAGCTGGGGTGGATCGGGAACTGGAGGGGGGGTGTCCGGGGGCCGGCGGCAGGAGGGGAGGGGGGTCGCGCCGGGCTGGGAGCTGGAGAGGGAAGACAGGGCCGGGGAGTTGGGGGGGGCGCCGGGCCGGAGGCACCGGGCCTGGGGGTTGGGGGGCGCGGGGCCGGGAGCCGGGGGTCGGGGGCGTAGGGCCCGGATCCGGGGTGGGGGCGCCGGCCGGACGGGCCCCGCTTACCGAATGCCTGCTTTGTGGAAACATCATGTCAATCGCGGCGGGGGGCGCGGGCTGCGCCCCGGCTGTGCGCCCCGGCTCGGGCTGCTGGGGGCGCCGGGCGGCCGCGCCTTTGTCCCGGCGCCGATCGGCAGCTCCCGGGGCCGCCGCCGCCTCCCGCGCCCGGCCTCGCCCGCTTCCTGCGCCCCCTCCCCGCGCGCCCGGCCCCGGCGCGCCCCGGGCCCCGCTTCCTGCGCGCCCGGCGCCCCTCCCCGCCCCTCCCCGCCGCCCGCCTCCCCGCTCCCCGGCCCCACCGCTATTGTCTAATGGCGGCGACGCCGGCAGTGGCCGCGGCTCGGCTGCTGCGGAGGCTTCGGCTCCACCTGCCGCCGCCCGTGCCCCGTGCGCGCCGCCGAGGGGGGGGACGCGCGCGCCCGGGGAGGCCTGCGGATCCCCACGCCGGCCCGCCTCCCCGTGGCCCGCCCGCCGCGGTGACCTTGGGCCCGGCCCGCCCCCGCCCCGGGCAGCGGCCCCCGCCACCCTCTCCTACCCGGCAGCCGGCCGGGCCTCGGTTTCCCCATCTGTCAAAGAAAAGGGACCCGGCTGCCCGCGTCGAAGCCGCCGGCCCTGCTGTGGCACGACCTGGACGCGTGCCACGGACGTGCTCTGTGACCTTGGCTCTGGCTGGGCGGTGGTTCTTGCTGAGCCTTAGTTTCCTTTTCTGCAGAAAGGCAGCGGTAATGCCGCCTTCCTGAGGGAAGCCATTCTTGTGACACATTTATAGAACGCCTACTGTGTGCCAGGCCCCGCTGCTCCAGGGCCCTGGGGTGGGGCGGGGCGGGGGTGGGTCCCTGCCCTGGTGGTGGTGCCTGGAGACAGACAGAGACAAATTCACAAGCTGAATTCCTGGCAGGTCAGATGGTGGGGACAGTTCTGCAGAAAAACCAGCCGGGAGAATGGCAGGGTAGGAAGGTGCAAAGTTAAAGAGGTGGGAGGGAGGATCAGAGACGGCTTCCTCCACCCCTAAAGCGACCTGAAGAAGGAGGGAGAACAGGGGGATGGGGTACAGAGGTAGTCAGAGGCAGGACCAACAGGTGCAAAGGCCCTGGGGCAGGACTGTGCCTGGCAGCAGAGTGCCCGGGGGGAGGTCAGGAAGGCCGGAGGGAGGCAGGGCCGGGGGCTTCGTGCTTTTGTCCAGGGCCCCCCCACCCCACAGCAGGGCTTGTGCTTGGGTTAATATTTACTGCTGCATTTTGAGATTTCTAATCATTTTTGAACAAGGGGCCTTTGAGTTTTCTTTTGCACTGGGCCCTGCTAACTCTGTAGCTGGTGAAGCAGGCCAGTCCAGCAAGGACTTGTGGGTCTTGGGGAGGACTTGGGATTTTGCTCTGAGTGAGGTAGGAGCCCTGGAAGGCTGTGGGAGGAGGAGGGACGGGACCTGGTGGTTGGTTGGTTTGTTTTTTGAGATGGAGTTTCGCTCTTGTTGCCCAGGCTGGAGTACAATGGCACAATCTCAGCTCACCGCATCCTGGGTTCAAGTGATTCCTGCCTCAGCCTCCCGAGTAGCTGGATTACAGGCACGTGCCACCACGCCCCGCTAATTTTGGAGTTTTAGTAGAGACGGGGTTTCTCCATGTTGGTCAGGCTGGTCTTGAACTCCCGACCTCAGATGATCTGCCCGCCTCGGCCTCCCAAAGTGCTGGGATTACAGGCGTGAGCCACCGTGATCAGCTGTTTGTTTGTTTTTGAGATGGAGTCTCACTCTGTTGCCCAGGCTGGAGTGCAGTGATGTGATGTTGGCTGACTGCAGCCTCTGCCACCCGGATTCAAGTGATTCTCCTGCCTCTGCCTCCTGAGTAGCTGGGATTACAGGTGCGCATCACCACGCCTGGCTAATTTTTGTATATTTAGTAGAGACAGGTTTCACCATATTGGCCAGACTGGTCTTGAAATCCTGACATCAGGTGATCCTCCCGCCTCCACCTCCCAGAGTGCAGGGATTACAGGTGTGAGCCACTGCGCCTGGCCCTGGACTTGGGCTTTTGCTCTGAGTGAGGTGGGAATCCTGGAGAGCCGTGGGAAGAGGAGGGATGGGACCTGGTGGCGGTTATTAAAGGATCCCTCTCTCTGCCACGCAGAGAACAGGTCCCAAAGAGGCTACTGAAATAAGGCTATGACATTAAGGTCCCCCTTTGGCAGGTGCGAAACACAGTCTCTTCATCATCGTCATCCACTAGGCAGCCTGCTCCCTTGAATGAATGCAATTGATTTGGGCCTTGGGTGTTCCCATCTGTAAAATAGACTTGGAACCCCAGGCTCCTTACCTTGGCAGGTAAGGGTGATAGCCTTCAGTGATCAAGATTAATAATCTTTAAAGCAGTGTTTTAATATTTTTATTAAAAAAAAATTTTTTTTTTGAGGTGGAGTCTCACTGTGTGGCCCAGGCTGGAGTGCAGTGGTGCCATCTCGGCTCACTGCAAGCTCCACCTCCCGGGTTTATGCCATTCTCCTGCCTCAGCCTCCCGAGTAGCTGGGGCTACAGGCGCCCACCACCACGCCCGGCTAATTTTTTGTATTTTTAGTAGAGACGGAGTTTCACTGTGTTAGCCAGGATGGTCTCGATCTCCTGACCTCGTGATCTGCCTGCCTCGGCCTCCCAAAGTCCTGGGATTACAGGCGCGAGCCACCACACCCGGCCTAAAAAAATTTTTTCAGACACAGTCCTCTGTTGCATAGGCTAGAGTGCAGTGGTGCAATCATAGCTCACTGCAGCCTCCCACTCCTGGGCTCAAGTGATCCTCCGACCTCAGCATCCTGAGTAGCTGGGACTACAGGAGTGCACCACCATGCCCAGCTAATTTTAACATTTTTTGTAAGCCGGGAGCAGTGGCTCATGCCTGTAGTCCCAGCACTTTGGGAAGCCGAGGCCAGTGGATCACAAGCTCAGGAGTTCGAGACCAGCCTGGCCAACATGGTGAAACCTCGTCACTACTACAAATACAAAAATTACCGGGGTGTTTTGGCGGGCGCCTCTAATTCCAGCTACTTGGAGGCTGAGGCAGGAGAATCGCTGGAAGCTGGGAGGTGGTGGTTGCAGTGAGCCAAGATCGCGCCACTGTACTCCAGCCTGGGTGACAGAGTGAGACTCTGTCTCAAAAAAAAAAAAAAAAAAAAGATGAGGCTAGAAAGGATTAGGATTTTGGATTTTTAAGATTACTACTACTTGGTGGCCGGGTGTGGTGGCTCACACCTGTAATCTCAGCGCTTTGGGAGGCCGAGGCAGGCGGATCACCTGAGGTGAGGAGCTTGAGACCAGCCTGACCAACATGGAGAAACTCCGTCTCTACTAAAAATACAAAATTAGCCTGGCATGGTGGCTCACGCCTGTAATCCTAGCCACTTGGGAGGCTGAGGCAGGAGAATTGCTTGAACCTGGGAGGTGGAGGTTGCGGTGAGCCAAGATTGTGCCACTGCACTCCAGCCTGGGCGACAAGAGCGAAACTCTGTCTCAAAAAAAAAAGAAACAAAGAAACAGAGATTAATACTACTTAGTAACAGCCAAGCCTTCAACCAACCGCAACACCCTTGTTTTTCCTGCAGGGCCCTGAGAGACTGCGTTCCTAGACTGCCCCTGAAGCCAGTCCTGCCGCTAGCACCCCTGCCACCCCACCCCCACTGCCGTGGGGACCAGACACCCCCTCTCCTGGGAGGCCACCTGCCAGTGTTTATTTAGGCAGGCGCCTTCCGGTATCAGTGTGCCCGCCCAGTGACCAAACAGCCCCATTTTCGAAGCCCCCACACTGTCAGGGGAAGCAGAACTGGACACAGATACCTTGAGCACGGTGAGGTGAGGGCTGGGCCACCCACAGGGACCTAGGCCTGTGAAGGAGAGAGTCATTGTGAAATCATCGTTTTTAGAAAATAGGTTTTTTTTCTGCATAGAAGGCAGCCCAGAATGGTGGCCCACACTATAAATAATCAACCAAGCCACACAGGTCTGTATGTTTTTGCTCCGCACCAGGGGCTGCCTTAAGCACTTTAACCTTTAGGTACAGTTGTCACACCCATTTTAGAGATGGGGGGAAAACAGGCCGGCAGGGTGGCTCAGGCCTGTCATCCCAGCACTTTAGGAGGCCGAGGCAAGCAGATCACTTGAGGATCAGGAGTTTGATACTAGCCTGGCCAACATGGCGAAACCCCGTCTCTACTAAAAATACAAAAATTAAGGCGTGGTGGTGGGCGCCTGTAATCCCAGCTACTCTGGAGGCTGAGGCAGGAGAAGCGCTTGAACCCGGAAGGCGGAGGTTTCAGTGAGCCGAGATCGTGCCACTGCACTCCAGCCTGGGCGACAGAATGAGACTCTGTCTCCAAAAATAAAAAATAAAAAAAAAGAAAACGAAAAAAAATGGGGAAAGTGAGTCACAGAGAAGTGAAGTGACTTGGCCAAGTGGGTAGGGGGCAGAACCACGATGTTATCCCAGGCCTTTGATCTTGACCTTGGGCCTTTGAGCACTCTGCAGTGTGGCTTCTGGCCGGGACACGATGGCAGCACGTGCTGCTGGGCTGAGGAGCTGGGATTTTACCTGGAGGGCACTAGGGAGCCACAGGAGGTTTTAGAGCAAGATTCTTCAGTTAGCGCCATCGCATTCCACCCTGGGCGACAGAGGGAGACTCCATCTCAAAAAATAAAAGTAGATTGCATCAAAATAGTGTTTATCCTGATGACTTAGGTATTTGGCATCCCCTTAGCTTTTTTATTTTTTTTTGAGACAGGGTTCTTACTCTGTCACCCACGCTGGAGCGCAGTGGTGTGACTTCGGCTCACTGAAGCCTCGACCTCCCAGGCTCAAGCAATCTGCCCACCTCAGCTTCTCGAGTATCCGGGATGAAAAGCGTGTGCCACCACGCCCGGCTAATTTTTGTTTTTCATAGAGATGGGGTTTCACCATGTTACCCAGACTGGTCTTGAACTTCTGGGCTCCAGCAGTCTGCCCTCCTGGGCCTCCCAAAGTGCTGGGATTACAGGTGTGAGCCACCACGCCTGGCCCCTCTTAAGTTTGACACCTGAAAAAAGGACCTCACTCTCGGCCGGGCGGGCTCACACCTGTAATCCCAGCACTTTGGGAGGCCGAGGCGGGCAGATCATCTGAGGTCGGGAGTTCGCGACCAGCCTGACCAACATGGATAAACCCCGTCTCTACTAAAACTACAAAATTAGCCGGGCGTGGTGGTGGGTGCCTGTAATACCAGCTGCTCAGGAGGCTGAGGCAGGAGAATCGCTTGAACCCAGGAGGCAGAGGTTGCGGTGAGCCGAGATCACACCATTGCACTCCAGCCTGGGCGACAAGAATGAAACTCCATCTCAAAAAAAGAAGAAAAAAAAAAAGGACCTCACTCTCAAGTACACTCATCCTGGTCCTAGCCCTGCCTCAGTCAAATAGCAAAGTCTGCTTTTTGGACATTCTGGCCCAGATCATTCATTCTCTTGGGGGGCAAGGGGCGTCCTGGGCACTGCAGGGTGCTGAGCGGTGTCCCTGGCCTCTACTCACTCCATGCCAGGGGCACCCCCGAGATGTTCCGCCCACAGGTGTCCCCAGACATCACCCAGTGTCCCGTGGGGGGCACAATGACACGAGAATGAGCACCCCTGGCTTAGAGCATGGAAGAAACAGGGCAGCTGGTGGTAGAAGATTCTCCCCGGTAGTGTGATGGGAGGATTAGGCGAGAGATGGGCAGCCTGGGCTGGGCCCATGGCAAAGAGCTTTTTTGGGGAGCATAACAAGAACAGAATGCAGATGGCGGGAGGGTGAGGAAGGGCAGACAGCTTGCCGCAGGAGGGAATGTGTAATTAATTGGCGAGAATTGGGGTTTAAGCACATCACAGTGTCTGGGTGGCTGCCACTGAGCCCCCCTACCCCACACACATAACCCCCCACCCCCGTCCCTGACCCCACGTGTCCGGCTCACGGTCCTTCCTCTCCCTGGGATTCTCAGGGCCACATCTGGGGCCAAGGCGGGGCGGGGATCTGTCTCATGGATCCAATCGTCTGAGACCAGGCTCAAGGCCTGGTTACAAATGAGCGCTGGGCCCCGCGGCCTCCAGGGCAGAGCCTGGCGCTGGCGCGTGATGGATGGGGCCGCATGGCCATTAATCACAGGCCGGGGAGGAAACAGGTGGCCGCCGTGCAGAAGCAGGGACCTCCCTCTGCTGGGCCCGGGTGGAGGTAGGACTCAGCTGTCCAGCCCTGGGGTTGAGCTCCCGGACTGCTGCTACCTGGCCGGGTGACGTGGGGCCATGAGAGCTCACTGCTCAAGACCTTAGGGTCACCCCACTGCTACTCCCAAATGCAGCTTCAGATACTTAGAGAGCAGTTACTGTGTGTCAGGCATGCTTGTAAGTGGAGGTTCTGAGCAGTGACCAAGGAGAGAAATCCCCCCACTCCACCTTTTGGAGCTGATAAGCTTAAAACTTTTATTTATTTATATTTTTGGAGACGGAGTTTAGCTCTTGTTGCCCAGGCTGCAGTGCAGTGGCACGATCTCGGCTCACTGCAACCTCTGCCTCCCAGGTTCAAGCGATTCTCCTGCCTCAGCCTCCCGAATAGCTGGGATTACAGGCGTGAGCCACCACGCCTGGCTAATTGTTTGTATTTTTAGTAGAGATGGTGTTTCTCCATGTTGGCCAGGCTGGTCTTGAACTCCTGACCTCAGGTGATCCACCCGCCTCGGCCCCCCAAAGTGCTGGGATTACAGGCGTGAGCCACTGCACCTGGCCCCATTCTTGATTGAAGTGTCACTCTCTCAATGAAGCTGCCTTCAGCTTCCCTATTTGACTGAGGCAGGGCTAGGACCAGGGTGAATGTACCTGGGAGTGAGGTCCTTTCTTAAGGCATAAAACTTAAGAGAGGCAGGGTGAGGTGGCTCACGCCTGTAATCTCAGCACTTTGGGAGGCCAAGGAGGGCAGATTGCTTGATCCCAGAAGTTCAAGACCAGCCTGGGTAACATGGTGAAACCCCAACTCTACAAAAAACAAACAAACAAAAATTAGCCAGGTGTGGTGGCGTGTGCCTGTTGTCCCAGCCACTCAGGAGGCTGAGGTGGGAGGATTGCTTTAGCCCGGGAGGCTGAGGCTGCAGTGAGCCAAAATCACACCATTGCACTCCAGCGTGGGTGACAGAGTGAGACCCTGTCTCAAAAAAAAGAAAGAAGGCTGGGCGCGGTGGCTCACGCCTGTAATCCCAGCACTTTGGGAGGCCGAGACTGGCGGATCACAAGGCTAGGAGATGGAGACCATCCTGGCGTGCGCGCACACACACACACACACACACACACACACGCCGGGCGTGGTGGCGGGTGCCTGTAGTCCCAGCTACTCGGGAGGCTGAGGCAGGAGAATGGCGTGACCCCGGGAGGTGGAGCTTGCAGTGAGCCGAGATCGCACCACTGCACTCCAGCCTGGGCAACAGAGTGAGACTCCGTCTCAAAAGAAAAAAAAAAAAGAAAGAAAAAAAAAGTTAAGGGGATGCCAAATACCTAAGTCATCAGGATAAACACTGTTTTGATGCAATCTACGTGTTTTTTTGTTTGTTTGTTTTGTTTTTTGAGACAGAGTCTCGCTCTGTCGCCCAGGCTGGAGTGCAGTGGCATGATCTCGGCTCACTGCAAGCTCCGCCTCCCGGGTTCACGCCACTCTGCTGCCTCAGCCTCCCGAGTAGCTGGGACTACAGGCGCACGCCGCCACGCCTGGCTAATTTTGTTTGCATTTTTAGTAGAGACGGGGTTTCACCGTGTTAGCCAGGATGCTCTCAATCTCCTGACCTCGTGATCCACCCCCCTCGGCCTCCCAAAGTGCAGGGATTACAGGCGTGAGCCACCACGACCGGCCCACTTTTTTTTTTTTTTTTTTTTTTTGACGGAGTCTGGCTCTGTCGCCCAGGCTGGAGTGCAATGGCGCAATCTCGGCTCACTGCAACCTCTGTGATCCACTCACCTCCCCTTCCCAAGTGCTGGGATTACCGGCATGAACCACCGCGCCCAGCCAACAATATTTTAACAAATCAAAATTAATGAAAAAAAATCCACAATGAACAAAATATCAAAATGTTAAATAAAAATCTTGCATAACTCACTCAGACTGCCTCCTAGGCCCAGCTCATAGAGGCCTCAACCCATATTCCGCGTGCAGGTCATGAGGTCAGCGTTTTCCCTGCTCCATGGGACACAGCACTGTCTGACGTGTAATGCGGTTTGTGTGTTTACTTTCTTGAATGTAGGCCCCGGGAGGCAGGGGGTTTGGTGAGTCCTGGTCACTTTTGTATCCTCAATACCTAGAACAGGGCCTGGCTCAGTATAAATGCCCAATAGTTACTGAATGAGTGAATGAATAAATGAATGGGTTAAGATGACACACCAGGTTGTTGCAGAATTAAATGAGATAAGACCCTGGAAGTAATTAGCACACAGCACCCAGTTGGCTCCTGACATCCTTAATCTACACCTTATGGCCTGAGTACAATGTTCTGATTGGCCAGCCCTGGGTCACATGACATCCTTGAGACAAATTTTATGGCTCGAGTAGAATGCTCTGATTGGCCAGCCTTGGGTCACATGACTTTTCTTTTTTCTTTTTCTTTTTTTTTTTTTTTTTTTGAGACAGAGTCTTGCTCTCTCGCCCAGGCAGGAGTGCAGTGGCCGGATCTCTGCTCACTGCAAACTCCGCTTCCCGGTTTCACGCCGTTCTCCTGCCTCAGCCTCCTGAGTAGCTGGGACTACAGGCGCCCGCCACCACGCCCGGCTAATTTTTTGTATTTTTAGTAGGGACGGGGTTTCACTGTGTTAGCCAGGATGGTCTTGATCTCCTGACCTCGTGATCCACCCGCCTCAGCCTCCCAAAGTGCTGGGATTACAGGTGTGGGCCAGCAGGCCTGGCCTGGACAATTACTTCCTCTGAGAGGCCTTCTCTAACCAGTCATATGGAAAAAACAAAAAATATTGTTATTATATCACTCTATTTTATTGTTATCTATTTTTATTTATTTATGTTTATTTAACATTTTGATATTTATTTATTTTTGAGACGGAGTCTCGCTCTGTCACCCAGGCTGGAGTGCAGTGGCATGATCTCGGCTCACTGCAACCTCCGACTCCCGGGTTCAAGTGATTCTCCTGCCTCAGCCTCCTTAGTAGCTGAGATTACAGGCATGTGCCACCACGCCCGGCTAATTTTGTAGTTTTAGTAGAGACGGGGTTTCTCCATGTTAGTCAGGCTGGTCTCGAACTCCTGACCTCAGGTGATCCCCCCCGCCTCAGCCTCCCAAAGTGCTGGGATTACAGGCATGAGACACCGCGCCTGGCCCAATTTTTGTATTTTTAGTAGAGATGGGATTTCACCTTGTTGGCCAGGCTGGTCTCCAACTCCTGACCTCAGGTGATCTGCCTGCCTCAGCTTCCCAAAGTGCTGGAATTACAGGTGTGAGCCACTGCACCCTGGCTGGGCTGATTTTTTTTTTTTTCCAAGAGTCAGGGTCTCACTATGTTGCCCAGGCTTGTCTTGAACTCTTGGGGTCAAGCAGTCCTCCCACCTTGGCCTTCCAGAGTGCTGGGATTACAGGCATGAACCATCGTGCCTGGCCTAATTTTATTTTATTTTTTTAGTCAGTGTCTTGGGCTGTCATGCAGGCTGGAGAACAGTGGTGCCATCATAGCTGATTGCAGCCTCGAATTCCTGGCCTCAAGTGACCCTCCCACCTCAGCCCCTCAAAGTGCTGGGACTAGATGCGTGAGCCACCAGGCAGGCCAGCTGTCATCTTTATTATCTGTCACCCTGAAAGATCCATGAGAGTAAGGAGCGGACTGCCTTCTGCACTGCTGTGTCCCAGGGCACAGCTTGGGGTCTGGCAAAGAATTTCTACTCAGTGCAAACATCAGGTCTTAGTGAAATGAAAGAATGAGTTAGTATTTATTTATCTGGAGATGGAGTCTTGCTCTGTCCCCCAGGCTGGAGTGCAGTGGCATGATCTGGATCTCGGCTCACTGCAACCTCTGCCTCTCCTCCCGAGTTCAAGCAATTCTCCTGCCTCAGCCTCCCAAATGGCTGGGATTAAAGATGTGTGCCACCATGCCTGGCTAATTTTTGTGTTTTTTTGTTTGTTTGTTTTTGGAGACGGAGTCTTGCTCTGTTGCCAGACTGGAGTGCAGTGGCGCGATCTTGGCTCACTGCAACCTCCACCTTCTGGGTTCAAGTGATTCCCCTGCCTCAGCCTCCCCAGCAGCTGGGATTACAGGAGTGTGCCGCCATGCCTGGCTAATTTTTTGTATGTTAGTAGATATGGGGTTTCACCATGTTGGCCAGGAGGGTCTCGATTTCCTGACCTTGTGATCCGCCCGCCTCAGCCTCCCAAAGTGCTGGGATTACAGGCGTGAGCCACCGTGCCCTGCCTTAATTTTTTATTCTTAGTAGAGACAGGGTTTTGCCATGTTGACCAGGCTGCTCTCAAACTCTTGACCTCAGGTGATCCACCTGCCTTGGCCTCCCAAAGTACTGGGATTACAGGCGTGAGCCACTGTGCCTGGCTGACAGTAATTATTTATTATCCCCATATTCCAGATGAGGAAACTGTGGCTCACAAAGGGGCGATCATGGATTTTGTCTGCCTTCCTCTCCACCCCCAGAGCTCTGTCACACAACATGGCTTTATTGAACACTTGCACGCCTGGTCTTCGTCTAGATATTAGGGATACAGTGACCCACATAGCTCCAACCTTACAGCCTAGCAGGGGAGCCAGACATTAATAAAATCACTATACAAACATATGTGGTTATAATCCCTCAGCAATCCCATTGGCTCCAGCTTTACCAATATACCCAGAATCCAATCAATTCCCACTAACTATAGGGTTACCATCCTGGCTCATATCCCCATCAACTTGTTCAGTGCAGCAGTCTCTCATCTCACGTCGTATTTTTTGAGTGGATGTGACAACGGAATAACAATAACAAAAAAAAAAAAACGGAATGGCTTAAGTCCATGGAACTGAACATTCATGACATTAGGGCTGACTTCAGGCATGGCTTGATCCAGGGGCTCCAACATTATCGGGATCCTGTGTCACTGTGCATAGCTGGGACAGCTGTCTCCCATGGCAGCAAACAAACACCGTTCCCCAGCAGCTGTAAGCTTTCATCCTCCCAGCTCAGCAACTCCAGCCAATTCCTTCTGCTTAATTACAGCATGTCTCAGGACTCATTCTCATTGGCCAGGCTTAGGTGACATGACATCCCTGATATAATCCCTATGTTCTGGCTGGAATACTCTGATTGGCCAATCTTGGGTCACATGACTTTTCCATTTCAATCTTTTTTTTTTTTTTTTTTTGGAGGGGGGAGATGGAGTCTCATTATGTTGCTCAGGCTGGAGTGCAGTGGCATGATCCTGGCTTACTGCAACCTCCACCTCCCGGGTTCAAGTGATTCTCCTTCCTCAGCATCCAAGTAGCTGGGACTACAGGCGCATGCCACCACACCTGTCTAATTTTTATATTTTTAGTAGAGACAGGGTTTCAGCATGTTGGCCAGGATGGTCTCAATCTCCTGACCTCGTGATCCACCCGCCTCGGCCGCACAAAGTGCTGGGATTACAGGCATGAGCCACTGCGCCTGGCCTAATTTTTGTATTTTTCTAGAGATGGTATTTCACCATGTAGGCCAGGCTGGTCTCGAACTCCTGACCTCGTGATCTGCCCGCCTCAGTTCCCCGAAGTGCAGGGATTACAGGCATGAGACACCACGCCTGGCCTGTTGTGGTTTTGAGATGGGGGTCTTTTTATGTTGCCCAGGCTGGTCTTGAACTCCTAGACTCAAGCCACCCGCCCCCCCTTGGCTGCCCAAAGTGTTGTGATTACAGGCATGAGCCACTGCACTGGGCCAAATGTGTTTTGTTTTTGTGCTTTTCACCGTCCCCAGCGCCCCCAGCTGCCGGCCTTGGGAGCCTGGTGTTGGCAGGACTGTGAGTCACTGTTGGGGTGTTTAAGGGCCTTTAAAAGGTGTTCCCAGCATTTCCCGGGGGCTGTGCACTAATTAGGTGATTAGTAGGCTGACTCCTGCAGATGTCTCCCTGGGGATACCGGGGGACTGTGGGGAGCAGGGAAGTGTGGCTGCCTACTTGGCCTGCCCTCCAGAGGCCCCATTGCCTCCCCATAGACACCCAAGGGGTAAGTGCCAGCCTCAGCTTTACGACAGGTGGGCTCTGTGTCTCTGGACAAGTGGCTGTCCCTCTCTGGTCCCATCTATCTGCTTTCCCATCTATCTAGTGGGCTGTGGGCATATACTATGGTCCTGTAGGAGCCAGAGCCACTATTCTTGCTCTGTTACTCAGATACCTCTAACCTCTCCTCCCAGCAAAATAATCATCCCCTTTATCATAAATGGCTGAGGTTTACCAAATTTTCTCAGAGCCCCAGCACTGATCCAGGCCTTCAAGGTAGGCGCAGTTATTACTACTTTTTTTTTTTTTTTTTTTTTAAATTTCAGAGACAGGGTCTGGCTCTGTCCCCCAGGCTGGAGTGCAGTGCATGATCATAGTTCACTGCGCCTCCACCTCCCAGGCTCAAATGATCCTCCCAGCTCAGCTTCCTGAGTAGCTGGGACTACAGGTGCACACCACCACACCTGGCTAATTTTAAATTTTTTTGTAGAGAAGGGGTCTCCCTATGTTACCCAGACTGGTTTTGAAATACTGGGCTCAATCGATCCACCTGCCTCGGCCTCCCAAATTGTTGGGATCACATTTGTGAGCCACTGTACCTGGCCAAATTTTGTGGGGTTTTTTGTTGTTTGTTTTTTTGAGACAGAGTCTTGCTCTGTTGCCCAGGCTGGAGTGCAGTGGCATGATCTTGGCTCACTGCAACGTCCACCTCCCAGGCTCAAGCAATTCTCCTGCTTCAGCCTCCCGAGTAGCTGGCATTCCAGCTGCCCATGACCACACCCAGCTGATTTTTGTATTTTTAGTAGAGATGGGGTTTCACCAGTTTGGCCAGGCTGGTTTTGAACTCCTGACCTCAAATGATCCGCCCACCTCAGCCTCCCAAAGACCTGGGGTTACAGGCATGAGCCACAAAAATTGAGTCCAATCTCTGCTCACACCAGAGACCAGGATAAACTCCCAATGGGCCAGACAGCGTAAACCAGGGGGCCCCAGCTCCTGGGACTCACCTCCTCTCTCCCTCCCCACTGAGGGTGTGGATTTCAATGTGTACAGCCTCCTAGACCCAGTAGGGCAGATGATCATGGGACACAGAGTCTCTTGGGGGGGTCCGTGGAATCCCATAACCCAGGGGGTCTCAACCAGGGTGATTCTGCTCCCAGGGGGCACTGGGTGATGTCTGGGGACATTTGTGGTTGTCACAATGGTGGGTACTCTTGGCATGGAGTGGGTGGAGGCCACGGATGCTGCTCAGCACCCTGCAGTGCCCAAGACGGCTTCATCCCAGAGAACTATCTGGCTCCAAATGTCCACAGCGGCCAGGGGAGAGACCTCATTCCAGAGCTCGATAGCCACCAACCATGCATGGTTACTTAGGTTTACACTGAGATGGATGGAAACGGGCCAGGCTGTAATTAACCCCAGCGCTTTGGGAGGTCGAGGCGGGAGGATTGATTGAACCCAGGAGGTCGAGGCTGCTGTGAGCTATGATCGCGGCCCTGCATTCCAGCCTAGGTAGCAGTGACAAGCTGTAGATAGATAGATAGATAGATAGATAGATAGATAAAAATGAGATGAAAGATGCATTTCCTCAGTTGCCCTGGCCACGGTTCAGGGGCTCAGCAGCCCACCAGTGACCACCACGTGGGACGCCACGGAGCTAGAATGTAGGCGATGTGGCAGAAAGTCCTAGCGGGCCGCGCAGCGCGGAGACCTCCCCGGGTGCAAACGCTCCCCGCCCCCCACCCACGCGGCGCCCGTGCCGCCGGCCGCTGTTCCACGGATGCCCACACGGGGGCAGTGTGTCATCAGGATCTCGCGCACCTTGGCTCAGGTCGCCTGCACCTGCCCTCTCCCCAGGAGGGTGAGCCAGGCCGCTGGGGGTTTGGAGACAGCAGCCCCTCGGCTTACAAATCCTTTGCGAGCACCTGCTGTGTGCCAGGCTGTGTGCTGGGACAGCTCAGTAAATCAGAGAGTCTTATCCATGCTTTCTCACCGTGGACTTTACGGGAGGGATGGTTCTCTGGGGTGGGGCTGTCCTGGGCACTGCAGGGTGCTGAGCAGCGTCCCTGGCCTCCACTCACTCCATGCCAGGCGCACGCCCCAGTCGTGACAACCACAGATGTCCCCAGACATCACCCAGTGCCCCCTGGGAGCAGAATCATCCTCCAGGTTAGAATCCCTGGGTTAGGGGATTCCGCAGACCCCCAAGAGACTCTGGATCCCATGATCCTCTGCCCTGCTGAGGTCCCAGGTGGCTACACACATTGAAATCCACACCCTGAGTGGGGAGGGAGAGAGGAGGTGAATCCCAAGGGTCCCCATGGTTTGTACCATCTGCCCCATCGGGAGCTTATTCTGCTTTCTGGTGTGAGCAGGGAGCAGACTCAATTTTCCCCCCAAATAATTAACTAAGAGATCCCCATTCTAGACACTGTGGACATTCAAGGCTGGATTGTCCTCTAGGATGAGGCCGCCTTGGGCACTGCAGGGTCCTGAGCGGAGTCCCTGGCATCCACCCACTCCATGCCAGCAGCACCTCCTCCAAGTCCCGACAACCAGAAATGTCCCCAGACACTGCTGTCAATCTCTTGATCAAGGGGTGCAAAATCACCGCCACCTGAGAATTCCTTTCTTTTTTTTTTAATTTTTTTTGAGACAGAGTCTCGCTCTGTCAACCAGGCTGGAGTGCAGTGGCACGATCTCGGTTCACTGCAAGCTCTGCCTCCCAGGTTCATGCCATTCTCCTGCCTCAGCCTCCCGAGTAGCTGGGACTACAGGTGCCCACCACCACATCCAGCTAATTTTTTGTATTTTTAGTAGAGACGGGGTTTCACCATGTTAGCCAGGATGGTCTCGATCTCCTGACCTCGTGGTCCGCCTGCCTCAGCCTCCCAAAGTGCTGGGATTACAGGCGTGAGCCACCGCAGCCGGCCAAAAATTCCTTTCTAGTGAATCAACTCATCACACATATAAATATTTATTTGTTTATTTTATTTTTATTTAGTTTTTTTGAGATGGAGTCTTGCTGTTGTCGCCCAGGCTAGAATGCAATGGCACGATCTCGGCTCACTGCAACCTCCACCTCCCGGGTTCAAGTTATTCTCCTGCCTCAGCCTCCCGGGTAGCTGGGATTACAGGCACCTACCACTGTACCCTGCTAATTTTTGTATTTTTAGTAGAGACGAGGTTTTGCCACATTGGCCAGGCTGGTCTTGAACTCCTGACCTCATGATCCACCCACCTCAGCCTCCCAAAGTGTTGTGATTACAGGTGTAAGCCACCGTGCCCAGCCCACACATAAATATATTTAAATTATGAAATAAGCAGTTATGGCCAGGCGCAGTGTCTCACGCCTGTAATCCCAGCACTTTGGGAGGCCGAGATGGGCGGATCACGAGGTCAGGAGATAAAGACCATCCTGGCTAACACAGTGAAACCCCGTCTCTACTAAAAATACAAAAAAATTAGCCGGGTGTGGTGGCGGGCGCCTGTAGTCCCAGCTACTCGGGAGGCTGAGGCAGGAGAATGGCGCGAACCCAGGAGGTGGAGTTTGCAGTGAGCTGAGATCGCGCCACTGCACTCCAGCCTGGGTGACTAAGTGAGACTCCATTTCAAAAGAAAGAAAGAAAGAAAGAAAGAGAGAGAGAGAGAGAGAGAGAGAGAGAGAAAGAAAGGAAGGAAGGAAGGAAGGAAGGAAGAAAGAAAGGAAGGAAGAAAGAAAGAAAGAAAGGAAGAAAGAAAGAAAGAAGCAGTTATATGAGGTGAGGGAGCTGTAAACTTTTCTTGACCATCACATCTCCACCCAGGTAAAAGTGATTCTCCTGCCTCAGCCTCCTGAGTAGCTGGGACTCCAAGTGCCCGCCACCATGCCTGGCTAATTTTTGTATTTTTTAGTAGAGATGGGGTTTCGCCATATTGGCCAGTCTGGTCTCGAACTCCTGGCCTCAGGTGATCCGCCCGCCTCGGCCTCCCAAACACACATATACACACATGTACTCAGGACAGAGGTTTAAGTACCTGCATAACCCCAATAAAAATTGCACAAGATAACTCTTCGCTCTGCAAAGCACCACGCACTGTGATGTTTCCTATTCTACTTCATTTAAAAAATATATATGGGTCATGATCCACTGAATTGATTTCTCCACCCACAGACTGAAAAAAATAATAATTAAAATAGCGACTGGGAATCACGCACTCCAGAAACATCCCCAGGCCCTTCCACTGTAGAAAAAAATGAATGAGCCAGGCACCAAGGCTCACACCTGTAATCCCAGCACTTTGGGAGGCCTAGGTGGGCAGATGACCTGAGGTCAGGAGTTCAAGACCAGCCTGGCCAACATGGTGAAACACCATCTCTATTAAAAATGCAAAAATTAGCCGGGTGTGGTGGTGGGAGCCTGTAATCCCAGCTACTCAGGAGGCTGAGGCAGGAGAATCGCTTGAACCTGGAAGGCGGAGGTTGCAGTGAGCCGATATCGTGCCATTGCATTCCAGCATGGGTGACAAGAACAAAACTCCATCTCAAAAAAATAAATTAAAAAAAAAATAGTGGTAGCCCGGCACGGTGGCTCACACCTGTAATCTCAGCACTTTGGGAGGCTGAGGTGGGAGGATAGCTTGAGCCCAGGAGGTTGAAGCTGAAGTGAGCCATGATTGCACCACTGCACTCCAGCCTGGGTGACAGAGTGAGACTCTGACTCAAAAGTAAATAAATAAATATAAATGCCTCCTTCTCACTTTATTTATCTGTCTATTTTCCAAATAGATTCATGGATTCTCTCTCTCTCTCTTTTTTTTTTTTTTAGATGGAGTTTCGCTGTCGCCCAGGCTGGAGTGCAGTGGCATGATCTCAGCTCACTGCAACCTCCGCCTCCTGGGTTCAAGCAATTCTTGTGACTCAGCCTCCCTAGTACCTGGAATTGCAGGCATGCATCACCACACCCAGCTAGTTTTTGTATTTTTAGTAGAGACGAGAGTTTGCCATGTTGGCCAGGCTGGTCTCGAACTCCTGATCTCAGGTTATCTCCTTGCCTCTACCTCCCAAAGTGCTGGGATTACTGCAGCCTCCCGAGTAGCTGGGACTACAGGTGTATGCCATCATGCCTGGCAGATTTTATTTTATTTTTTTGTGGAGACAGGTTCTCCCTGACAAGCCCAGGCTGGTCTTGAACGCTTGGCCTCAAGTGATGTGCCTGCCTTGGCCTCCCAAGGTTTTGAGACTACAGGCATGAGACACCTTGCCAGGCCCAGAAGGAGGGGTTTAGAAGGAGTAACAGGGATAGACAAAGTTACATTGTGTAGGGACAGAGCTCACACTGTGGGTAGACAGTTCCAGGCAGAAGGCACAGGCTGTGCAAAGGCCCTGGGGTAGGACTGTGCCTGACTAGTTAGAGGAACACTAAGGAGACCTGTGTGACTGGAGGAAAGGGAGACAGGGAGGAGGGGAGGACGGGGAGGGGCTGGTGCAGGCCCTTGTGGGCCATGGGGCGGACTTGGGCTTTTCCTGAAGGAAGGTGGGAGCCATGGAGGGCTGTGAGCCGAGGAGGGACAGGCCCTGACTCAGATTTGAATTCAGTTATGAAGGCCGAGTGTGGTGGCTCATGCCTGTAATCCCAGCACTTTGGTAGGCTGAGTGGGGAGGATCACTTGAGGTCAGGAGTTCGAGACCAGCCTGGCCAACATGGTGAAACCCCGGCTCTACTAAGATATACAAAAATTAGCCAGACGTGGTGGCACGCACCTGCAGTCCCAGCTACTCAGGAGGCTGAGGCACAAGAATCGCTTGAACCCAGGAGAGGAAGGTTGCAGCGAGCCGAGATTGTGCCACTGTACTCCAGACAGGGCAACAGAATAATGCTCCATCAGAAAAATAAATACATAAATAAAATAACAATAATTCAGTGTGACTTTAACATGAAGAGGCTTCTCCACTAAATCCATGTCTGCAGAAACCGGGCACGAGCTGTCCCTGGCTGTGCGTGGGGATGTCTGTGGATGGTCAGACCTCCCTGGGCTCGGAATGGGCTTGTTTCAAATGCAGCTTCCTGGGGCTGGCTCTCCGCACAGTCTAATTCAGCAAAGGCGGGGCAGAGTCTGAGCTGTGACCCCGTGTCCCGGGTGTTTCCCGAATCATAAGATCAGATGAGCCTGTGGGCAGAAGCTTTGTAGGAGGCCGTGTGCGTGGCCAGAGCCTGCAGCCCTGGGTGCAATCTGTTTTGCCCTTACTTGGGAATAAGAAACTCAACCTGCTCACAGGAGGAAATGGTTTCTAATGTTTGTTTTTTTAAAAGAGAAAGTCTTGGCTCAGTTATTTGCCCGAAGCCAGAATTGGGATAATCAAGGAGCTTAACCAAAACCTTCATTCATTCGTTCGGATTTAGTGCATTTCTTTATTTATATATATAGTTTTTAGAGACAGGGTCTTGCTCTCTCGCCTGGGCTGGAGTGCTGTGGCACGATCATAGCTCACTGCAGCCTCGGCCTCCTGGGCTCAAGTGATCCTCCCTCCTCAGCCTCCTGAGTAGCGGGGATTAAGGTGTGCACTATGGCACCCTGCCAGATTTAATATATATACACACACATATATATATATATTTGAGATGGAGTCTTGCTCTGTGGCCCAGGCTGGAGCTCAGTAGTGTGATCTCGGATCACTGCAACCTCTGCCTCCCGGGTTCAAGTGATTCTCCTGCCTCCTGCCTCAGCTCCCCAGTAGCTGGGACTACAGGCTTGCATCACCATGCCTGGCTAATTTTTGTATTTTTAGTAGAGACGGAGTGATCCTGACCTCAGGTGATCTGCCTGCCTCGGCTTCCCAATTTTTTTTTTTTTTTTTTTTTTTGAGACAGAGTTTCCCTCTTGTTGCCCAGGCTGGAGTGCAATGGCATGATATTGGTTCACTGCAACCTCCGCCTCCCGGGTTCAAGTAATTATCATGCCTCAGCCTCCCGAGTAGCTGGGATTACAGGTCCCACCACCACGCCTGGCTAACTTTTGTATTTTTAGTAGAGACGGGGTTTCACCCTCTTGGCCAGGCTGGTCTCAAACTCCTGACCTCAGGTGATCCATCTGCCTCTGCCTCCCAAAGTGCTGGGATTACAGGTGGGAGCCCGGCCACAGGTAACTCTTATATCCCTGTTTTGCCAAAAGGAAATGGAGGCTAAGGGAGGAGGAGTCCCTGGTTCAAGGTCACAGCTCAAGGTCATGGAGTTGGGAGGGAGAGCAAGGAGGGAGTGTGGGAATTTGAACCCAGGGATTGTGATTGCAGGGTCTGTGTTGTTATCTGCCCCAAAACTTTTCCACATGTGCACAGCCTCCACCTGGACCCAGCCCTATCCTCCCTCAGCTTGACAAGCCAAGTCCTGTCTGCCCTGGTCCCCTCGATGCAGGGCAGGTGAGCCCCAAAATTGGGGCTTAGCCTGGGAGGGTTCTTGGCTTCACCCAGGAAAGATTTCAAGGGCAAGTGGTATTAGAAAGGGAGTTTTTTTTTGTTTTTTTTTTTTTTGAGATGGAGTCTCATTCTGTCACCCAGGCTGGAGTGCAGTGGCAAGATCTTGGCTCACCACAGCCTCTGCCTCTTGGGTTCAAGGGATTCTCCTGCCTCAGCTTCCTGAGTAGCTGGGATTACAGGCACGTGCCACCATACTTGGCTAATTTTTGTATTTTTAGTAGAGTCGGGGTTTTACCATGTTGGCCAGGCTATTCTCGAACTCCTGACCTCAGGTGATCTGCCTGCCTTGGCCTCCCAAAGTGCTGGGATTACAGGTGTGAGCCACGGGGCCAAGCCTGGTTATTTTTTTCAGACAAGGCCTTGCTCTGTTGCCAAGGCTAGAGTGCAGTGGTGCAATCATAGCTTACTACACCCTCAGCCTCCCAGGCTCAAGCAATCCTCTCACCTCAGCCTCCTGAGTAGCTGGGACTACAGGTGCATGCCACCACACGTGGCTACTTTTTAATGTTGTATTTTTAGTAGAGATAGGGTCTCGATATATTGCTCAAGCTATTCTTGGACTCCTGGGCTCAAGCGATTCTCCAGCTTCAGCCTCCCAAAGTGCTGGGATTACAGGTGTGCGGCACTGGGCCTGGCCAAGCAACTTTCCATGTGCCCGTTGGCCTACGGAAATTTTTATCACTACGCTTATTTCACCGATGAAGAGATGGAGATTCAGAGAGGGCAAGTCTCCCCCTGAAAGTCACACAGCTTGGGGAGGGTGTGCTGGATGAGAACCAGAGAGCCGGACTCCCAGCTTCCAGCAGCATAAACCACGGCTGTTGTTAGTATGGAGTGTAGGCGTCTGTACTGACATGTCTTCATTTCTGTTGGCAAAATACCTAGGAATGAAATGGCTGGATCCTGTTTATTTATTCAAAATAAATATAAATAGATACTGTTTATATTATTTATTTATCTATCTATTTATTTATTTAATATTATCTTTTTCAGAAGGAGTCTCACTCTGTTGCCCAGGCTGGAGTGCAGTGGCATGATCTTGGCTCACTGCAACCTCTGCCTCCCTGGTTCAAATGATTCTCCTGCCTCAGCCTCCTGAGCAGCTGGGACTACAGGCGTGTGCCACCATGCCTGGCTAATGTTTGTATTTTTAGTAGAGACGGGGTTTCACTGTGTTAGCCAGGATGGTCTCGATCTCTTGACCTCGTGATTTGCCCACCTCGGCCTCCCAAAGTGCTGGGATTACAGGCGTGAGCCACCGCGCCCAGCCACTTTTGTATTTTTAGTAGAGATGGGGTTTCATCATGTTGGCCAGGCTGGTCTCGAACTCCTGAGCCCAAGTGATCCACCCACCTCGGCCTCCCAAAGTTCTGGATTTACAAGTATGAACCACGGCCAGCCCTAGATCCTGTTTAAATTTTTTTTTTTTTGAGACGGAGTTTTGCTCTTGTTGCCCAGGCTGGAGTGCGATGGTGCAATCTCGACTCACCGCAACCTCCGCCTCCCAGGTTCAAGCGATCCTCCTACCTCAGCCGCCCGAGTAACTGGGATTACAAACATGCGCTACCATGCCCAGCTAATTTTTGTATTTTTTTAGTAGAGACGGGGTTTCTCCATGTCAGTCAGGCTGGTCTCGAACTCCCTACCTCAGGTGATCCACCCACCTCGGCCTCCCAAAGTGCTCGGATTACAGGCGTGAGCCACAGCGCTCAACTGATCTTGTTTAAATTTTGAAGAATCCGGCCGGATGCGGTGGCTCACACCTGTAATCCCAGCACTTTGGGAGGCCGAGGCGGGCGGATCATGAGGTCAGGAGATTGAGACCGTCCTGGCTTACACGGTGAAAGCCCGTCTCTATTAAAAAATGCAAAAAACATTAGCCGGGCGTGGTGGCGGGCGCATGTAGTCCCAGCTACTCAGGAGTCTGAGGCAGGAGAATGGCGTGAACCTGAGAGGCGGAGCTTGCAGTGAGCCGAGATCACGCCCCTGCACTCCAGCCTGGGCAACAGAGCAAGACTCCGTCTCAAAAAAATATTTTTTTAAATAAAGAATCTGCTAGACTTTTTTCCAAAGTAGCCGCACTATTTCACATTCCCACCAGTCATGGAGGAGAATCCCAGTTGCTTCCTTTTTTTTTTTGTTTGGTTTTAGATCAGGGGTTCTCGTTTTGTGTGCCAGGCTGGAGTGCAGTGGTGCGATCATACCTCACTGCAGCCTCAAACTCCTGGGCTCGATCGATCTTCCCACCTCAGTCTCCCAAGAAACTGAGACCACAGGCATGCACCACCATGCCTTACTCATTTATTATTTTTTGTAGAGATGGGGTCTTGCTGTGTTGCCCAGGCTGCTCTTGAACTCCTGAGCTTAAGTGACCCTCATGCCTTGGCCTCCCAAGTAGCTGGGACCAGAGGCATGTGCCACCATGCCCAGCTTGACCATTTTTTAAATTTTTTATTTCTGAGACAGAGTCTTGCTCTGTCCCCCAGGCTAGAGTGCAATGGCGCCATCTCTGCTCGCTGCAACCTCCGTCTCCTGGGTTCAAACAATTCCCCTGCCTCAGCCTCCCGAGTAGCTGAGATGACAGGCACCCGCCACCATGCCTGGCTAATTTTTGTATTTTTAGCAGAGACGGGGTTTCACCTCGTTGGCCAGGCTGGTCTCAGGTGATCCACCCGCCTTGGCCTCCCAAGGTGTTGGGATTACAGGCGTGAGCCACCAAGCCTGGCCTGATGATTTTCTTTTTTCTTTTTCTTTTTTTAATTTTTGAGACAGAGTCTTGCTCTGTCGCCCAGGCTGAAGTGCAGTGGCGTGATCTCGGCTCACTACAACCTCGGCCTGCCGGGTTCACACCATTCTCCCGCCTCAGCCTCCTGAGTAGCTGGGATTACAGGTGCCTGCCAACATGCCTGGCTAATTTTTGTATTTTTAGTAGAGACGGGGTGTCATTATGTTGGCCAGGCTGGTCTTCAACTCCTGACCTCAGGTGATCCACCCGCCTCGGCCTCCCAATGTGCTGGGATGACAGGCGTGAGCCACCACGCCGGCTGATTTTCTTTATGGCAGGCAATGAGTGCTCATTTTCCACCCTGAGGCCTGGAGGGGCTGGTGTTTGGGTGCGGAGGGTCCTGCCCCCTGACTCCGGAGCTGTAGTTCTGGCAATAGGTGCCCTTGCACCCTGCCTGTCCTCAGCCTGGGTCCCCATCACCTTTGTCCTCGCTCGCAGCTCTGTGCCAGGAAATGGCCTTGTTCTCACCCCGGGCCCTCATAAAATCCAGTTCCTCAAGGTCCAGGAGGCCAAGGCCACAAGGAAGGGAGGAGGCCGTGGGGAGCTGAGGAGGGAGGGAGGGGCCGCCAACGCCATGAAGGCACTGCTGTGAGTGTGGACTTTGTCACTCTGAGCCTCTGGGTGGGGACGCTGGAGTCAGTATTCAGCTCCGGGTTGGGGCCCAGGGTCAACTCCCCATCTCTGGATGGGCCTCAGTTTCCCCATCTTCCCCACAGGAGGCTTTCTGTGTCCTGGCCCAGTTCCCGGCACACAGTAGGCACTGAGAACGGAAGACCCCCCATGATGTTGTTGTTTCTTTTCTTTCTTTCTTTCTTTTTTTTTTTTTGAGACGGAGTTTTGCTCTTGTTGCCCAGGCTGGAGTGCAATGGCGCAATCTCAGCTCACTGCAACTTCCACCTCCAGGGTTCAAGCGATTCTCCTGCCTCAGCCTCCCAAGTAGCTGGGATTACAGGCGTACACCACCACGCCCAGCTAATTTTGTGTTTTTAGTAGAGACGGGGTTTCTCCATGTTGAGTCTCGTCTCGAACTCTTGACCTCAGGTGATCCGCCTGCCTCAGCCTCCCAAAGTGCTGGGATTACAGGCGTGAGCCACCACGCCTGGCCTGTTTCTTTTCTTTCTTTCTTTTCCCCCTCCCCTCCCCTCTCCTCTTCTACTTTCCTTTCCTTTTCCTTCTTTTCTTTATTTTTTTGAGAAGGAGTCTCACTCTGTTGCCCAGGCTGGAGTGCAGTGGCGCAATCTCGGCTCACTGCAACCTGTACCTCCCGAGTTCAAGTGATTCTCCTGCCTCAGCCTCCTGAGTAGCTGGGATTACAGGTGCCCACCACCATGCCCAGCTAATTTTTGTATTTTTTGGTAGAGACAGAGTTTTACCATGTTGGCCAGGCTGGCTTCAAACTCCTGACCTCAAGTGATCCGCCCGCCTTGGCCTCCCAAAGTTCCAGGATGACAGGCGAGAGCCAATGCGCCTGGCCTTTTCTTTTCTTTTTCTTTCTGCCAGGGTCTCACTCTGTCACCCAGGCCGGAGTGCAGTGGCACAATCACAGCTCACTGCAGCCTCAAACTCCTGGCCCCAGCAATCCTCCCACCTCAGACTCCCAAAATGCTGGGATTGCAGGCGTGCATCAATACACCCAGCTAATTTTTAAATTTTTTTTCTTTCTTTTTTTTTTTTTTTTTGAGATGGAGTCTCGCTCTTTCACCCAGGCTGGAGTGCAGTGGCGCGATCTCGGCTCACTGCAGGCTCCGCCCCCTGGGGTTCACGCCATTCTCCTGCCTCAGCCTCCCATGTAGCTGGGACTACAGGCGCCCGCCACCTCGCCCGGCTAATTTTTTGTATTTTTAGTAGAGACGGGATTCACCGTGTTAGCCAGGATGGTCTCGATCTCCTGACCTCATGATCCGCCCACCTCGGCCTCCCAAAGTGCTGGGATTACAGGCTTGAGCCACCGCGCCCGGCCTAATTTTTAAATTTTTTTGTAGAGATGGGGTTTTGTGGTGATGTCCAGGCTAGGCTCCAACTCCTGCCCTCTAACTATCCTCCTACCTCAGCCTTTTGAAGTGCTGGGATTACAGGCGTGAGTCGCTGAGCCTGGCCCCAACTGTTGTTCCTGCTCCCCACTGGATCTCCTCCCAACAATGCCCAGGACAGCCCTGCAGCCAGGAGGGGGTTTCCACGGAGTTTCTTTTATTATTATTATTATCTGAGACTGAGTCTCGCTCTGTCGCCCAGGCTGGAGTGCAGTGGCACAATCTCTGCTCACTGCAAGCTCCGCCTCCTGGGTTCATGCCATTCTCCTGCCTCAGCCTCCAAAGTAGCTGGGACCACAGGCACCCGTCACCAGGCCTGGCTAATTTTTTTGAATTTTTTTAGTGGAGACAGGGCTTCACTGTGTTAGCCGGGATGGTCTCGATCTCCTGACCTTGTGATCTGCCTGACTCAGCCTCCCAAAGTGTTGGGATTACAGGCGTTAGCCACTGCGCCCGGTCCACGGAGTTTCTTTAATAAATGCTCAAGGCTGGGCGCGCTGGCTCATGCCTGTAGTCCCAGCACTTTGGGAGGCCGAGGTGGGGAGGTCACGAGGTCAGGAGTTTGAGACCAGCCTGGCCAACATGGTGAAATCCCGGCTCTACTAAAAATACAAAAATGAGCCAGGTATGGTGGCGCATGCCTGTAATCCCCGCTGCTTGGGAGGTTGTGGCAGGAGAATCACTTGAGCCCGGAGGTGGAGGTTGCAGCGAGCCGAGACTGCGCCATTGCACTTCAGCCTGGGCGAGAGAGCAAGACTCCGTCTCAAAAAAAAAAAAAAAAAAAAAAAAAAATTGCTCAAGGCCGGGTGTGGTGGCTCACACCTATAATCCCAGCACTTTGAGAGGCTGAGGCGGGCAGTTCACTTGAGGTCAGCAGTTCGAGAACAGCCTGGCCAACGTGGTGAAACCCATCTCTACTAAAAATACGAAAGTTCGCTGGGCGTGGTGGCGGATGTCTGTAACCCCAGCTACTTGGGAGGCTGAGACATAAGAATCGCTTGAACCCGGGAGGCAGAGGTTGCAGTGAGCCGAGAGCATGCCACTACACTCCGGCCTGGGCCACAGAGTGAGACTCCATTTCAAAAAAATAAAAAAAATAAAAACGTAAGTAAAAATAAAAAAGTAAGTAAATATCCAGTCTAGTACCTGGCCCATAGCAGACGCCCAATCAATAATCATCAATAAATAGATCCCATTTCAAATTGTGACAAAGTATCTGAAAGAAAAGAACAGCGTGTTATGGCAGAGACTGGTTGAGGAGGGAGGATTGCTTGAGCCCAGGAGTTTGAGATCAGCCTGGGCAAGCTAGTGAGATCCCATCTCTACAAAAAATTAAACAAATTTAGCTGAGCGTATTGGTGGGCACCTGTAGTCCCAGCTACTCGGGAGGCTAAGGCGGGAGGATCATTTGAGCCCAGGAAGTCGAGGCTGTAGTGTGCTGAGATCGTGTCACTGCACTGCAGCCTGGGCGACAGATCAAGATCCTATCACAAAAAAAAAAAAAAAAAAGCCGGGCATGGTGGCTCAAGCCCGTAATCCCAGCACTTTGGCTGGCTGAGGTGGGCGGATCACCTGAGGTTGGGAATTCAAGACCAGCCTGACCAACATGGAGAAACCCTGTCTCTACTAAAAACACAAAATTAGCTGGGGTGGTGGTGCCTGCCTGTAATCCCAGCTACTGGAGAGGCTGAGGCAGGAGAATCGCTTGAACCCGGGAGGCGGAGGTTGCTGTGAGCTGAGATAGTGCCACTGCACTCCAGCCTGGGCAACAAGAGTGAAACTCCGTCTTAAAAAAAAAAAAAAAGAAAAGGAAAGAAAGAAAGAAAAAGAAAGAAAGAAAGAAATACACCCTGTATCATGGCAGGAGAGGTAATCAATGAATAAAGAGGTAAATACGATAATTTCAAGCTGCAAAAAGGGCTATGAAGGCAACTCAACAGGACGTGACAGGAGGGAGGGCTTGGAGTGGGGGTGGCATTAGTTATGGATTTTCAGGTAGGACCCATTGGAGGGGGAGGTGTTTTTAGCCGAGGCCTGAGTGACAATATTGGGTTTTTTTTTTCTTAGATGGAGTCGTGCTCTGTCACCCAGGCTGGAGTGCAGTGGTGCGATCTCAGCTCACTGCAAGCTCGGCCTCCCGGGTTGGCACCATTCTCCTGCCTCAGCCTCCCGAGTAGCTGGGACTACAGGCACCTGCCACCATGCCTGGCTAATTTTTTGTATTTTTAGTAGGGATGGGGTTTCACGATGTTAGCCAGGATGGTCTCGATCTCCTGACCTCCTGATCCGCCCACCTCGGCCTCCCAAAGTGCTGGGATTACAGGCATGAGCCACCACGCCCGGCCATATATTGTTGCTTTTAACAGAGACAGGATCTCACTGTATTGTCCAGGCTGGTCTCTAACTCCTGGGCTCAAGCGGTCCTCCTGCCTTGGCCCCCCAAAGTGTTGGCATTACAAGCATGAGCCACTCTGCCTGGCCAAGTGAGTGACAATGTTTTTGGCCACAATTTGCCCTCTGGTTGTAAGTTTCACATGCAATTGGAGCTTTGATCTATTGAGGCGGGAACTCCAGGAGCCCCCTGGCTACGTGCAGCTGAGGTGGGACTGGAACCCCAGAAGATGAGCTTTTCAAGGAGCTAATCTTTTGTCCGGGTGTGGTGGCTCACACCTGTAATCCCAGCACTTTGGGAGGCCGAGGTGGGTGGATCACCTGAGGTCAGGAGTTCAAGACCAGCCTGGCCAACATGGTGAAACCCTGCCTCTACAAAAATACAAAAATTAGCCGGGCATGATGTGGGGGTGCCTGTAGTCCCAGTTACTGGGGAGGCTGAGATGGGAGAATTGCTTGAGCCTGGGAGGTGGAGGTTGCAGTGAGCCGAGATCATGCCATTGATTGCACTCCAGCCTGGGCGACAGAGCAAGACTGTCTCAAAAAAAAAAAGTGAGCTAATCTTCCCACACACCCAAGGAACTGATAAACGGAGACTTTGACCCTCCCTTTGCCCTCTTATCTCAAGACAAGGGAGAAGGGTCTATCAAGGTGTACCTCTGAGGATAAGGGATAGGCTCCTGACATTTGGAAACTGGGAAGGGCCAGGTAGAGGGAGGAGGTGGTGGGGAGGTCAGGCAGTGTCAGGGGCTGGGAGAGGCGTGGCAGTCAGCGAAGTTGTATGCAATGGTGCCTCAGTTTCCTCCTCTTTAAAATGAATTTCCAGCTCCAAGAACAATCTAGGCTCTAGTATTCATTTTTAGTATCTTCCCTTTGTCTTTTTTTTTTTTTTTTTTTTTTTTTTTTTGTAGAGACAGGGTCTCACTATGTTGAGACCCTGGTCTTGAACTCCTGGGCTCAAGTGATCCTCCTGCCTTGGCCTCCCAAAGTCCTGGGATTATAGGCGTGAGCAACTGCACCTGCCTTAATTTCAGTTTTTGAGACAGGGTCTTATTCTGTTACCCAGGCTGGAGTGCAGTGGTGCAATCATGGCTCACTGCAGCATTGACTTCTTGGGCTCAAGTGATCCTCCCACCTTGGCCTCCTGAATAGCTGGGACTACAGGCACACGCTACCATGCCCGGCTAATTTTATTTCATTATTTTATTTTATTTTTTGAGGTGGAGTCTCACTGTGTCGCCCAGGCTGGAGTGCAGTGGTGCGATCTCAGCTCACTGCAACTTCCACCTCCTGGTGTGATCTCGGCTCACTGCAACCTCCACCTCCTGGGTTCAAGCGATTCTCCTGCCTCCGCCTCCGGAGTAGCTGAGAATATAGGTGCAAGCCACCATGCCCGGCTAATTTTTGTATTTTTAGTAGAGACGGGGTTTCACCATGTTGGCCAGGCTGGTCTTGAACTCCTGACCTCAGGTCATCTGCCTGCCTTGGCCTCCCAAAGTGCTGGGATGACAGGCGTGAGCCACCGTGCCCAGCAAATTTTATTTTTACTTTTGTAGGGTGTGTACGTGGGGGTCTTGCTATGCTGCCCAGGCTGGTCTCAAACTCCTGGCCTCAAGCAGTCCTCCTGCCTTGGCCTCCCAAAGTATTGGGATTACAGGCATGAGCCACTCTTCCCAGACCAGGCTTTTTAATTCCTTTCCCATCATTCCAAACACATCGATTGAGCACCTAGTGTGTGTTAGAGCCTCATTCTAGGTCTCTTTCTGTAAGGGACCACATAGGAAATCTTTGAAGAGTTCTTGTAATGCTGCCCTGTGGGGTAAGAGTAGCCACACTCAGTATGGAAATCAATGGATGTGACTGGCTTCCAACAAAATCCTATACATGGACACTGAAATTTGAGTTCCATATAATTTTTATGTCTACCTAAATATTACTTTCTTTTGATTTTTTAAAACCGTTTAAAAATGTAAAAGCCAGGCTGGGCGCGGTGGCTCACGCCTGTAATCCCAACACTTTAGGAGGCCGAGGCAGGCAGATCACGAGGTCAGGGGATTGAGGCCATCCTGGCTAACACGGTGAAACCCCATCTCTACTAAAAAATACAACAAAAAAATTAGCCAGGCGTGGTGGCGGGTGCCGTAGTCCCAGCTACTCGGGAGGCTGAGGCAGTAGAATGGCGTGAACCTGGGAGGCGGAGCTTGTAGTGAGCTGACATCATGCCACTACACTCCAGCCTGGGCGACAGAGCAAGACTCCGTCTCAAAAAAAAAAAAAGTAAAAGCCATTCGAAGCTTATGGACCATAGGGCCGAGGGTTGTGGATTGCCAATCTTTGTTCTAGGTGAACCAGACAGGCTCTGACCTCATGGAGCTGATGGCCAATTTGGGAAACTGAGTCTACAGAGAGGCACCCAGAAGAATATATAATTTCTTTCTTTTTTTTTTTTGGAGATGGAGTTTCACGCTTGTCGCCCAGGCTGGAGTGCAGTGGTGTGGTCTCGGCTCACTGCAACGTCCACCTCCTGGGTTCAAGAGATTCTGCTGCCTCAGCCTCCCGAGTAGCTGGGATTACAGGTGTCCACTAATTTTTTTGTATTTTTAATAGAGACAGGGTTTTGCCATGTTAGCCAGGCTGGTCTCAAACTGCTGACCTCAAGTGATCTGCCTGCCTTGGCCTTCCAAAGTGCTGGGATTACAGGCATGAGCCACCACACCCTGCTTTTTTGTTTTTTTTTTTTTTTGGACGGAGTTTCTCTCTTGTTGCCCAGGCTGGAGTGCAATGGTGCGATCTCAGCTCACTGCAACCTCCGCCTCCCGGGTTCAAGAGGTTCTCCTGCCTCAGTCTCCCAAGTAGCTGGGATTACAGGCATGAGCCACCGTGCCTGGCTAATTCTGTATTTTCAGTAGAGACGGGGTTTCTCCATGGTGGTCAGGCTGGTCTTGAACTCCCGATCTCAGGTGATCTGCCCACCTCGGCCTCCCAAAGTGCTGGGATTACAGGCATAAACCACCACACCCGGCCTTTTTTTTTTTTTTTTTTTGAGACGGAGTCTCGTTCTGTTGCCCTGGCTGGAATGCAGTGGTATGATCCCAGCTCCCTGCAACCTCTGCCTCCCGGGTTCAAGCGATTCTCCTGCCTCAGCAAAAGTAGCTGAGACCACAGGTGCCCGCCACCACGCCCGGGTCATTTTTGTATTTTTAGTAGAGAGGGGGTTTCACCATGTTGGCCACTCTGGTGTTTTGTTTTGTTTTGTTTTGATACAGGGTCTCACTCTTGTGTCCCAGGCTGGAGTGCAGTAGCCCCATCTCCGCTCACTGCAACATCTGCCTCCTGGGCTCAAGTGATCCTCTCAGCCTCCCGAGTAGCTGGGATTACAGGCATGTGCCACCACACCCATCTAATTTTTTGTATTTTTAGTAGAGATGGGGTTTCGCCATGTTATCTAGGCTGGTCTCGAACTCCTGAGCTCAAGCGGTCCACCTGCCTTGGCCTCCCAAGTACTGGGATTACCGGCAGGAGCTGCCGCACCTGGCCAGAACATACAATTTCAAGTTGTGGCTCAAGAGAAGGTACCTGGCTTGGTCTGAGGAGTCAGGAGAAGTCTCCCTGAGGAGCTGACGTCTGAATTGAAACGGAGAGGATGCTCAGGGGTTGGCCAAGGAGGCCAGAGAGGGAAAAGGGTTTTCAGTAGTCAGCAAGGTGGTGGGAACACACGTTTTTATAAATTCTGGTGGCCACTTCCATTTCATCTGCAAAGTAAGGATAAAGATATGGCTGGGTGAGGTGGCTCACATCTATAATCCCAGCGCTTTGGGAGGCCGAGGAGGGCAGATCACTAGAGGCCAGGAGTTTGAGACCAGCCTGGCCAACGTGGCGAAACCCGCTCTCTACTAAAAATACAAAATTAGCCAGGCATGGTGGCGCGCCTGTAATCCCAGCTACTTGGGAGGGTGAGGCAGGAGAATCACTAGAGCCTGTGAGGCAGAGGGTGCAATGAACCTAGATCACGCCCCTGCACTCCAGCCTGGGCGACAGAGCAAGACTCCATCTCAAAAAAAGAAGAAGAAAAAAAAGATATCCCTTGGGTAGGGTTAGCTTAACGGGCTTACAGCAGTGCCTGGTATCCTGTAGGCATTTCATGAATGCGTATACCTGGCCTGGAATGGTGCAGGCACTGCAGTAAGGCCTGATTGACACCTGATGGACAGCAGGCACTCCATTAATCTCTGGTCCGTGCCTGGCATATAGAATGTGTCCCATTAATGCCTGATACACAGTAGGTGTCCCATTAACGCTTTTTAATTTTTTTTTTTGAGACAGAGTCTCGCTCTGTCGCCCAGGCTGGAGTGCAGTGGCATGATCTCAGCTCACTGCAAGTTCCGTCTCCCGGGTTCACGCCATTCTCCTGCCTCAGCCTCCCGAGTAGCTGGGACTACAGGCGCCCGCCACCACGCCCGGCTAATTTTTTGTATTTTTAGTAGAGACGGGGTTTCACCGTGTCAGCCAGGATAGTCTCGATCTCCTGACCTCGTGATCCACCCGCCTCGGCCTCCCAAAGTGCTGGGATTACAGGCGTGAGCCACCGCGCCCGGCCCTCTTTTTTTTTTTTTTTCTTTGGAGACGGAGTTTCGTTCTTGTTGCCCAGGCTGGAGTGCAATGGCGTGATCTCGGCTCACTGCAACCTCCGCCTCCTGGGTTCAAGTGATTCTCCTGCCTCAGCCTCCCGAGTAGCTGGGATTACGGGCGTGCACCACCACGCCGGGCTAATTTTGTAGTTTTAGTAGAGACGGCGTTTCTCCCTGTTGGTCAGGCTGGTCTCGAACTCCAGACCTCAGGTGATCCGCCCGCCTCGGCCTTCCAAAGTGCTGGGATTACAGGCGTGAGCCACCGCGCCCGACCTCCATTAACGCTTTTTAATGGATGAGTGAAGGTTCCTGTCAGGCAATGTCAGGGCGCTTCCCGGGGGCAGCGACTGCTGCCCAGGCACCTGGAGACCCAGAGAGCGCAGCGGCCGCGTGCGCGCCTCCGCCACCGCGCCTGGGCCGAGCCGAGCGGGACCGAGCGGGGCCGAACGGAGCCGAGCGGAGCCGAGCCTGGCCGGGCCGAGTCCGCCACATTCCCACAATCCCGGGCGGCCCCGCCCCGGCTCCCGGCTGCGCGTCCCCCTTCCCACGTCGGCGCAACCAAACCCGCGGGCCCCCCGCCCTCGCCCCGCCCCGCCCCTTTCGCGCCCGCCGACGCCCCGCCCAGGCCGCTAGTCCCGCCCCCATGGTGGGCGCGCTTGGCCGCCGGCCCCTCCCATTGGCCGCACCGTCTGCCCGTCGCGGGCTGCGCTCCCAGCCTGCTAGGTTGTCCGGCGCTGTCGCTCGGTTGCGGCGGCTGCGGTTGGCGGTGGCTGCGGCGGCGGCGCGGGCTGAGTGCGGCCGCGCGGGAGTCCGCGGCTGGCGCGGCCCGAGCGGGGACCCGGCGGCTCGCCAGGCGGCGGCCGAGGCGGGGCGGGCCGGCCCGGGGCCGAGGGCCGGTGGCCGAGGCCGGAGGGCCGCGGCGGGCGGCGGCCGAGGCGGCTCCGGCCAGGGCCGGGCCGGGGGCCGGGGGGCGGCGGCGGGCAGGCGGCCGCGTCGGCCGGGGCCGGGACGATGACTCTGGAGTCCATGATGGCGTGTTGCCTGAGCGATGAGGTGAAGGAGTCCAAGCGGATCAACGCCGAGATCGAGAAGCAGCTGCGGCGGGACAAGCGCGACGCCCGGCGCGAGCTCAAGCTGCTGCTGCTCGGTGAGTGCGGCCCCCGGGCCTGCCGGCTGCGGGCCCTGCCCTGCCTGTGCCTGCCCTGCCTGTCCGGGTCGGGCCGGGACCCTCCGGGGTCAGCCCTGCCTGTGCCGTCCGGGTCGCGAGACCCTCCGGGGTCAGCCCTGCCTGTGCCTTCCCTGCCTGTCCGGGTCGCGGGACCCTCGAGTGTCAGCCCTGCCTGTGCCTTCACTGCCTGTCCGGGTCGGGGCGGGGCCCTCCGGGATCAGCCCTGCCTGTGTCGTCTGGGTCGGCTCGGGACCCTCTGGGGTCAGCCCTGCCTTTGCTGTCTAGGTCGGCACCTGGGACCCTCCGGGGTCAGCTGCGGGCCCCTGATTTCTTTGGGGTCAGCCCCTGCCTTAACTGTTCATGTTGGCACCTGGGACTCTCCGGTGTCAGCCTGTGTCTGTCCTGTCTGGATCAGGCCCCCGATCACTCCTAGGTCAGCTCCCAGCTTCTGCTGTCTACATTGGGCCTCCAGGACTCTTCAGGATTTGCCCTCTGTTCCTTCTCAAGGGACCAGTCCCTCCCTGCACAGGGACCTTCTGACCTTACCCCACCGGAGTACCCACCCCTCGCTACCCCTTCAGGGCCAGACCTTTGGGCTGTAACCCACAGGGCACACTCACCCCTCACTGCTCAGGGCCCCGCGTTGACCCTTCCCTCCAGGCAGAGCCCTGTACACTCCATGCAGGCCCTGTACCCTCCATGCAGGCCCTGTACACCCCCCCATCCCCCCGAAGACTCCTCCGTGTCCCCTATCCCCACATTCCCTTCAGGGCCATTCTCCTGCCTTCCTGTTCCGGGAAACCCCGTACTCCTCTTGGCTGGAATGCACCCTGTGGGAAAAAGACAGTCTTTCCTCTCCTCAGGGTTCCGCTCAGCTGAGGGTGGGGCGGTTGACACCTGAGGGAGCCTTTGCTTGTTGTCCCAAGCAGCTATCTCGGCAGCCTCCCCCGCCCCCTTCCTTAGAGTCCTGGTGGGAGCCACGCTGAGTCCTCGTTGAGAGCAGCCCCCCACCTGCCGGCTCCTCCCCACCGTCCTGGAGAAGGTTTGCTGGTGAACCTCCTTCTCCCCAAGGCACACCTGCTGCAGGGAGCCAGTCGGGCCAGCTGTAAAGTGTTGTCACTCCAAATAAGGGCCCCTTCAGTGGTTTACAAAACAGAAGCTCTTGCCCTGCCCCGCCCCTGCCCTCCCGAGCTCCTAGGTTAGCTCCTGGGCCGGGGGCGGGGCGGTGGGGAAGGTCGGAAATGCGTGAGAGGCAGCGGTGACGGAGGAGGGGGCGTGCTGGTGGCGGTGGCTCTTGGGGAGGAGGCAGGTCGCATGTTGTGTGGGGAACACGTTGCCTCTCCTGCCGTGAGCCTCTTAGGGCCCTCCGTGTCCCGGGTTACAGAGGTGCCTTGGATGAAACGCCTTCCTGATTTTTTTCCCCAAACTTGTGTTTTGATTTACCTAAGGGTTCTAAAATGGGCCATCTTTCCAGGGGGCCGCGGGTAGGCAGAGCCGTGGTCCTCACGTTTGGAGGAAATGTGCAGTGCGGCCCGCGTGGTGGCACTTTGCACAGAGTGGCACTGGCTGGCTTTTGTAGTGGGTCGTGGACTTTGTTTGGATGGAGGGGAGTTAGGAATTACTGGTGTCATAAAGATCTTACCAGATGGCCTTGCCCTGTGGCTCTGTGACCTCCAGAACCCCCGCCGCCATCCCTGCATGCACCCGGTCTTCTGTGCCTGCACTTTGGACTTGAGATTGACACGGGGTTCAAGGACGAAGGTCAGGGGCTCCCGTGTCTGCCGCCTTGGCTGCTTGGAGCAAGTCTGGAAGTGATGCGGCCCTTCCCGCATCCTCTGTCCAGTGCCCGCCTGTGGCCCGGGGGTGTCTGCTGCAGGAGCACCTGTGTCTGCAGTCCCACCCCCTCCCACTCTGTGAGCCTGAAAGTTGACCCCTATCAGCCTGTAAGACGGGAGGTTGCTGTCAGGCTCAGGGCCAGGCGTGGCAGATAGGACAGTGAGGAAGATGTGAGCTCACGTGCGACCCAAGGAGGACTGGTGTCAGTGCCACGCAGAGAGCCGGGGCTGTCAGGGGGTTGGGAGGGCTTCACACCCAAGGTGTTGGAGCCAGGGACCCCTTTGGGAATCTGATGCGACAGACCCTCAGAAAACTTCCCGTCCAAGCAACCTTGCATCCCAGCTGGAGGGCCCCTTGCTGGGAGGACTTTGACCACCTGAGGTCCAGGGGCTGGGGCCTCAGGGTGCAGGGGAGGGGACCTCTGTCAGGCTCCCTGCCTGCTTGTGGGAACTCATTCCACTCTCCCAGTAGGCCAGCCCCGAGCTTGCGATTGCCCCCGTTTTTCAGGGAGCAGCTAGAGGGTGGGGCCGAGGCTCCCCGGAAGGAAGGGGCTGTTGGGCTGCAGCAGGTGGCTATGGCGCCTGCGGCCCACGGAATGTTCAGAGACCTCTGGGTGGAGGTCCTGGCACTCCGCAGGAGGCCCAGCCAAGCTGGGTCTGCCTCTCCCTAGAATTCTTTCCTCCCCTGCCCCTTAGCAGTGGGGGCTCCATCCCTCCTCCCCCATGGCTCCCGTACAGCGTTGTGGAGTGGATGTCGGGGAGGGAGGCAGGGGCCTGCCACCACACCCCTGTGGCATCTGGGGCCCAGGAGGGTCTCGTTTATGTGGGTGGTGCTGGTTTCTTCCAGGCTCTGGGGCAGCAGGGCTCCAGGGCCCTGCCCTGACTCCTGGGTTTGCAACCAGGTGGAGCATGTTCTGGAAGAACGCCGCGTCTGCTCGCTCTCATCCACTGCCTCCCTGGGGCTGCACACGGCCTGTGAGGTCGGTCAGCCTGGCGAGGACATTCCGTGCCCCGTTTTCGGGGTGGGGGGGACCTTACGGAGCCCTAGAGCTGGACGGGGCTCCGGCTGCCGTGCCGCCTCTCCCGCGGCGGCTAAAATGTGCTGTTCACGCCTCAGATGGGCCTCTCCGTTACGTACAACAGGTCTCCCCGGGGCCCTGTGCACATTGGTCCGGGTTGGTCTCTGGGGTGGGGCTGCCCTGGGCACTGCAGGGTGCTGAGCAGTGTCCGAGGCCTCCACCCACTCCATGCCAGGAGCTCCCCCAAGTCGTGATAACCACAGATGTCTCTAGACAGTGCCCATTGTCCCTTGGGGGGCACGTTGCCCCCATTTGAGACCCTTTACTGTGTGGTAGCGTACAACGTAAAATGCTCGTGGCAAAGCTGAGGGATAATGAGTGCAAATTATTTTGTCAGAAGTTTCCATGAGTGCTTATAGAGTATTTTTCTAAGCACCGTCAAAGCCGTGTGTGTGTGAATTCACTACTCAGTGTATGCATGAATGTGAATGCATGTATTGTTTTATACCCGTGGTATTCCAGGTTTGTCCCTATGCACACTTCTGTCGATGCTGGTGACAGCTGTGGATGGGTACAGGAGTGGCAAGCACGTACTGCGCACTTAGTGCACACGCTGCTCCCGCCTCCGTCCGCGCCGCCGCCATCCTGGGGTCCGCCCTGTGGCCTGGAGAGCTCTTGCAGGCCCTGCCAGCAGCTCTTGGATCTGGGTTCCCATTCCCCAGGCCCGCTGGGCTTCTGCCTATCACGGGCAGCCCTCGGCTGTTAGGTTTCCGTCTCACTGGTAAACTGTGGAGGGGACCCCCGTATAGTTCTTTGTGGCAGGTTTGTGGTTGGAAACGTGGGGACTTCCATGGGAATGCCTGTTCCCAGGGCCTGAGGCTGCTAGCGAGGCTGAGCCGGAGTGGCTCCAGGCTTTCTAAATAAAGCAGGATGGTTAGTTCCGGAGGCTTCCTGTCCGGCCTGCGCCAGCCCCCACGGGGCAGTGACAAGGCCCGGGATCCAGCATGGGGTGCGGTGGCCCCACGGGAAGGGCCGGGCCTCTGTTGGCCCAGTGTTGGGAGGCGTGGAGCGTGGCCTCTGGCGCCTGGCAGGGTGGCTGTGCCGTGTCCCAGAAGACTCTGGGAGCAGGAAGCGCCCTTGGATGGCCTCGTCCAACCTTGACTTCCCAAGCCCGAGCCCAGGCCAGGGAGACGTGGGGACTTGGTCCGGGCCTGCTCTCACGTCCTTTGTGTTTACATGTAATCAGTTATGATGATTGTGGCTGAAAGGGTCTGCTTTTCCCGGGCATGGTCCGGGAAGCTCCGTTCCACAGCTGTGAGCTCCGTGGAGCTTCCTCCCGAGCCTCCTGCCCGGCTCTGCCGGTGCTGTAGTGAGAGTGGAGGAAGTGCTTTCCTCCGAGATTTAACCACGAGAGGTTTCACTTTCTGAGTCTTGTGGTGGAGCCTGTCTCTGTCTGGGACCTGGACCCTGGGCAGCACGGGGAGGACGCCGTGGCATCAGGAGGTTGGAGAGGTGTGTGGTGGAGTCGGACGGATCTTAGAGGGGCGCTCGCGGGGCCTGCTCGGCCCTACCCTGTAGACAGCTGGGACCCAGCGCCCCTTCTGGGTCCCCAGCAGGGCTGTGTTCTCCCCACTGGGCACCCCAGCTTGTGCGTGGAGGATGGGAAGCCTTGTATGGCTTGCCCACCTGGGTGACTGAGAGCGGTGGATGCGATTAGGGGCGGCCAGGGGCTCTGGGAAGGCCCACGTGCAGGGTCATTATCTGGCAGAAATTAAGTCCTTTCGCAGAACCGGGATCCTAAGTGCCGGTTTGCTGGCGTGCAGGTGGTTGCAGGTGCATGTAGCTCCTGCCGCCAGGCCCTGTGTGGAGCATCCCGCCCGGGGGGCCTCCCACCATGTCTGTCATCTGTAGGGCACCTGGCAGGTCTTAGAATTGGCTGCCCTGGATCCAGACTCTCGCTGTCATCTGGGCCTGGCCACATCCCTCCCCTGCCATCAAGATGTCTGTGGTCCAGTCTCCCACCCTCCATCCCCACTCCCTGCCTCTGGGTCAGAAGCCTCCGATGGTCTCTGCTGTGGGGGTTCCTGGTCCAGCCTGGCCTCCCGCAGTCTGCCGACAGGCGCTTTCAGGACAGCACTGGTGGGTGGGTCTTCGGGCCACCTGCAGGGCCTGGGAGCAGTGTGGTGTCCGGATCAGGTACGTGGCCTGGGGAGACTCAGGTTCAGAGCCTACCTCTGCCTCTTGTAACTGTGGGACTTCAGGTCTGTGCCTCAGTTTCCTCAGGGGGCGGTGGGGTGAGGACTCGGTGGTGATCCCCATCCTGCCGCACGTGGGGACCCACGGAATGCTGGCTGCTGCTTCCGCTGCCGGTGTGGTGATATCTTGTCGCGTCCACAGCACCTGGCGTGTGTGGCACACATTGGGTGCTCTGAGAAACTGCTCCATGGGGGATCCTGCCCTGGGATCTGGGATCTGGGATCTGCCCACAGACACCTTGATCAGGATTCCCCAGCCTCGGCTCCGTGGGTGTTTTACACTGGATCGTTCTCTGGGGTGGAGCTGTCTTGGGCACTGCAGGGTACTGAGCAGCGTCCCTGGCCTCCACCCACACCAGACCAGGAGCACCCCCAAGTTGTGACAACCACAGAAGTCCCCAGACATCGCCTAGTGTCCCTGGGAGCAGGACCCCTGACCCGTGTGTCTTAGCAGCCCCCTTCCCTTCTCGTCGCCATCGTCAGCTGCGTGTCCTTGGTCCCCTGCTTCCCTGCCCATGTCATTGAGCTGTGCAGGTCTCAGAGATGCTTGGCGAGTGACCGTCATTGGCTGACTGAAGGCAGATCACGCAGGGAAGTGGAGAGGAGTGGCCCGACACCTCCCCAATGCCCTGCAGGCTGGTCTGGTGCACGCCAGGGGTCTCTGCTGGGGCAGGCTCGGTTGCCACCTGCCTGTGGGCCTGTGCACTGGGCAGAAGGGGTCTCCGGGGACAGTGCGCAGCTGGCTCTCAGAAGCTTCTTTCTGAGTCCTGCCTGTGGCCTGGGCTGCCCTGGGCTGGCCAGCACGGGGCAGTGGGGGCACACTCTGGAGGGAGCCAGGGGCGAGTCACTTCCCTCTCCCGGCCTCAGTTTCCCCATCGGTCACGTGGGAAGGCTGTCCCTCCCCCTGTAGGATTGTGGAAGGATTAAATGAGCTGAGGCCAGTGCGGCAGACAGCGGGGAGGGAGCCCTCTTGTCCCCTGTGGCTGCCCTTCCTGCTGGCTGCTTTGCACCGAAAAGCTGCGGAGTAACCCTGGGCGGTGGTGCTCCCTGGATGGCGTCCACATGGGGACCCCAAGGCCTGGGAGGCTCCAGGAGGGACGGTGCTGGCCCAGGTTTCTGTCCCTGTCTGACCTCGGAGTTGGTGTTCTGGGTACCGCACCGTCCGGTGGCCCAGGCTCCGTTTTCTCTTCTGTCAAACTGTGTGGTCACCCTGATGTTTCAGGGGCCCTGCAGGGACGGAGTGGGGTGGGGGGCTGAAGGGTGTGGTCAAACTGGAGGGCGCTGTGTCTGTTGCTATTGTTAACCGTGTCCACACTGATGGGTGCTGGGCCCCGCCACCGAGCGGGACTTGTGCGGCCTGCAGAGATGTGGCTGTTCTGTTGCCTGTCTTAATCCCCAGGGACTGTGGGGCCAGGTCCACACTGTGGGATGAGTGCAGCCCCCACGGCTGTGGTGGGGCTGGGTCCACGCTGTGGGATGAATGCAGCCCCCAGGGACTGTGGGGCCGGGTCCACGCTGTGGGATGAATGAAGCAGCCTTTTCTCCAGCCACACTGGTTTGCTCGGCCTTAGTCCCACTGGATGCGGCGAGGGTTGACCGGTCAGGCCCTTGCTGGTGGCCTGGGTAGATGTCTGGAGAGGGGGCCTGGGCTCCGGACTCCTGCCCTTCCCCCATCAGTGATCCTATCCCACACTCTTTGGCGATGGTCAGTGAGCTGGGCAGGGGCGGGGGTCTGTCCCTGTCCCTCAGGTGGAGATGTCCAGGCCAGTGCCCACAACTGGGTTAGATGGGCTGCACAAGGCTGGGGACCAGTCTCCCAGGCTGTCGGGGGGCTTCAGTAATGGCTGTGGGAAGACCCAGCACGTGAGGAGACGGGAGCTTAGAAATTTTGTATGGCCAGGTGCGGTGGCTCATGCCTGTAATCCAAGTACTTTGAGAGGCCGAGTCAGGCAGATCACTCAAGTCCAGGAGTTCGAGACCAGCCTGGGCAACATGACGAGACCCCTGTCTCTACTAAAAATGCAAAAAATTAGCCAGACTTGGTGATGTGCACCTGTAGTCCCAGCTACCTGGGTGGCTAAGGTGGGAGGATCACTTGAGTCCAGGAGGCAGAGGTTGCAGTGAGCCGAGATTGCACCACTGCACTCCAGCCTGGGCGACCGAGGGAGAGGTTCTGTCTCAAAAACAAACAAACAAACAAAACAAAACAAACAAAAAAAAAACGTAGAAAACATGAGTGAGTGACACCATCCGCTTCCAGTGGAGGGGTGGGGTCACTCCCACTTGGGAGCCAGTCTGCACGGAAGCCTCAGTGGGAACAGAACAAGGTGGCATGGCCCCTGACCGGCGAGGGGCAGTTAGTATCTGCACCTTTGAGGCACCTGGGGACTCTGCTGCTGTGGAGATGGGATTGGGTTCCAGTCCAGAGGCTGTCCTGCCATCGCTGCCCCTGGCTGTCATGCCCCACCTGGGGTAGTGAGTTTCGGGGCAGCTCTTTCTTGAGCCTCAGCAGCGGGGTGAGCCGGGTGCACTTCCTCTCTCAGGGCGCCCCCTTGTCTTCTTGCCTCCCTGCCTGAGGGTGCGTGCTGGAGCAGAAGAGCACGTCCTGGGCTGCCTGCCGGGGATAAGCTGCGGAGCCAGGAGACCGAAGTCTCTTCAGGCCCTGCCATTAGGGGTCGTGTGACTTCAGGGAGGCAGCTTGTCCTCTCCGTGCCTCAGTTTCCCCTCCAGTCAATCAGGCGCTGAGGTGCTGTCTACCTCCTGGGGTTCTGAGACTGAAGCGAAGCAGGCATGAGGCCCCTTGTGAAGCTGGATGAGGGGCGTCCGTCCTCCGCTGCAGGAGGGCTGCCCCTCCTCGGGCCCCTGCGTCAGGTTGGTGCCTGGCTCTGACCCCACACCCACCAGTACAGCTCTTGGTCAGGGTTAGATTTCCTGGCTGTTTCCAAGAGCCAAGATCACAGGCACACGCATGCACACGCGTGGGCTGCCACCACCCGCCTTCTCATGGGTGCTGACAAACGGTCATGTGTATCCCCCAGGTGGGGCCCTGTGGCTCTGGCCTTGCTCCCGGTGTGTGCACTGGCCTGGCCTCCCCGCAGCCTGGTGGGGGCTTCCTGGCTTCTCGGCCCACATCTCACAGTCTTGGGCACTGTGGGGCTCGGCTCAGGCGTCGTAGACGGGAAGCAGCCTGGAACCCTGGAAGTCTGACTCCCAGGTGTCGGCTCCCAGGTCTCAGCCCTGCCACTGGGGTCATGGGTTACTTGAATCTTTATATACTTTTTATTTGTTATTTATTTATTTATTTATTTATTTTTGAGAGAGAGTCTCACTCTGTTGCCCAGGCTGGAGTGCAGTGGTGCAGTCTTGGCTCACTGCAACCTCTGCCTCCTGGTTCAAGTGATTCTCCTGCCTCAGCCTCCCGAGAAGCTGGGATTACAGGCGCATGCCACCACACCCGGCTAATTTTTGTATTTTTAGTGGAGATGTGGTTTCACTATGTTGGCCAGGCTGGTCTCCAACTTCTGACCTCAGGTGATCCGCTTGCCTTGGCCTCCCAAAGTGCTGGGATTACAGGCGTGAGCCACTGCGCCCGGCCTTGAATCTTTTTTTTTTTTTTTTTTTTTTTTTTTTTTTGAGACAAGGTCTCACTTGTCACCCAGGCTGGAGTGCAGTGGTAGAATGTTTGCTCACCTCTGTCTCTTGGGTTCAAGCGTTTCTCCTGCCTCAGCCTCCTGAGTAGCTGGGATTACAAGCGCCCACTGCCACACCCAGCTAATTTTTTTTTTTGTAAATTTTTTTTTTTTGAGACAAGAGTCTTGCTCTGTCGCCTAGGCTGGAGTGCAGTGGCACGATCTCAGCTCACCACAAGCTCCGCCTCCTGATTCACGCCATTCTCCTGCCTCAGCTTTCAGGCGCCTGCCACCATGCCCGGCTAATTTTTTGTAGTTTTAGTGGAGACGCGGTTTCACCGTGTTAGCCAGGATGGTCTCGATCTCCTGACCTCGTGATCCGCCCACCTTGGCCTCCCAAAGTGCCGGGATTACAGGTGTGAGCCACCATGCCTGGCCATTTTTGTAAATTTTTTGGTAGAGACGGGGTTTCACCATGTTGGCTAGGCTGGTCTTGAACTCCTGACCTCAAATGATCCACCTGCCTCGGCCTCAAAGTGCTGGGATTACAGGCGTGAGCCACCGCGCCCGGCTTTGAATCTTGAGCATCGGATGAGCCCCCAGCTCCTGCTGTCAGGGCTGCGCCCTCTTGTGGCGCTTGGAGCCTCCTTTTCTTCCGTTTTCCTTTCCCACCGGGGAAAAGGAAGCTGGGGCACGGACTTCGTTCCTCCTGGTTGGCCTCTCCAGATCTTGGCCAGCGGGTCCAGTCGGGAGGGTGGTTTTCTCCTCTGGAAGCTGGCTCAGTGGGAGCAGTGGGCGGACTCTGGCCCCTCCTAGTGGTGGCGTGCTGAGTGTACCTGAGGATGTACCTCCTGCAGGCTCCCTAGCGTCTGGGGTCCACTGTGGGGCGGCCTGTGGCAGGCCCACCAGGAACCATGCTTGCACAGGCAAAGCACCTTGCTTGTGGTTGTGTGGGGGGCTCCCTCAGGTGTGGGAGATGTGGGCCCCATTCTCCCAGGAGCCATGGCTGGTGACATGCAGTCAGGTCCATCCTGACGGGCACTGGAGTGCGGGGGACCCAATGGGGACATGAGGGATCCAGCACTGTGGACCAGGGCCAGGTTCATTTGGTTCGCTCAGGAAACATGTACACAGCGCCTTCTGCATAGGGGCTAGGGATGCAGGTGGGCAGGGCAGCCACAGCCCCTGCGCTCAGGAAGCTGGCGAGGCAGGCTGCAGACGGGCACTGCCACACCTCACTGAGGAGGGAATGGCAGAGCCACCCTCAAAGGGCCTGTGCTGTGGGGGTGCTGGGCGCTTCCTGAACGCCGGGCTCTTGGATTTCTGCAGTGGGGGTTCTCCGGGCGTTTGGGAAGGGGAAGGACCTGATGGAAGGGGTAGTTTATATTTAACTCTGGTGCTGAAGCAAGGGTCGCACACAGCTGCCAGTGCCCACGACGGCCTCCTGGGAGGCTGAGCTCACCAGCTCCAGACCCAGTCTGAGGCAGGAACCTGGGGGTCTCACAGCGGGACCGGTGGTGGGTGTGGCCTCGTGGCAGGGAGGGAGGGTGGGAGGGGTGCATGTGAAGTTGGGTTTGACTCGTCACCCGTGGAGTGCGTGCTCCCCTGCCACAGGCAGGGGCCAGGCAGCATCTGTCCTGCAGGACCCTCCCAGCTGCCCTTTCATGGCCGGACCCCTGGCTGGATCCCTGGCTTCCTGCAGTGTTCTCTTTTCCTAACATTTTGTCACCGTCTCAGTCAGCTCGGGCTGCTGTGACAATACTGCAGGCACAGTGGCTTGTAAACTACCCGAGTTTGTCTCATGGTTCTGGAGGCTGGACGTCCAAGATCAAGGTTCTGTGGATTTGGGGGGTTGGGGGGAAGGGGGGGTTGTGCTTCCTGGTACATAGACAGCGGCGCTGTGGATTTGGTGTAGGGGGTGGTTGTGTTTCCTGGTTCATAGACAGCGGTGCCTTCTTGCTGTGTCCTCATGCGGACGGGATCCCTCCTGGAACCATCAGTGCCCTCATGAAAGAGCCCCCCAAGAGCTCCGTGGCGGAAGAAGCTGATCCCGCCTCCCAACACCACTGTCTTAGGGGTGAGAATTTTAACATAGGAATTTGGGGGGATCACAGACATTCATTGCTATGGGTGGGACCACTTGGTGCGTTGCCCTTGGGGTGGCGGTGTGGTCAGTGGTCCATTCCTGCCCAGCGCCGAGCAGCGGTCTGTGCGTGGGGTCTTTGCACCCGTGCACCTGCTGAAGGGTCTCTGGAGCTTTGGCTTTTTGGCTTTTACGAGTAAAGCTGCCGTGGTGCTTGGTGTGCGGTGAGGAGTGGACAGAAGGCTCTGTCCTGGCAGGTGCCCTGCAGTGGCCTGAGACCGGGAGATGAGGGCCGGCAAGGGGCTGTGGACGAGTCCAGAGTGAGGCGGCATCTCGGAGGGGCTCACACATTGTCTCAGGAGGAGTGGGCTGGCATTTCTTTCCAGTGGGCAGCTGTTGAAGATTTTGGAGCCAAAAGAGCGTTCCAGCTCAGATGTCTTTCAGGTGGAGTGTGGCTGCAGGTGGGGCAGGCTGGGTCAGGGTGGAGCCATGTGGGCTGAGGCCCGAGTTGGGGCTGTGGCTTTGGGGCCACATGGCTGCCGGTCGGGTGGGAGCGAGTCTCTGCTGACCAGGGCCCTGGATGTTGAGCCCCAGCCGCGGGGTGTGAGGTCTCAGGCAGGACCCAGGCATTCAGACATTGGGTCCACTGTGTGTGGACCCCTGCGTCCCAGCTCCAAGACGCTGTGTGACGGGAGGCGGCAGCAGCTGAGTTGGCGCGGGGAGACAGGGCGATTTGAAAAGCAGGCTGGGACCAAAGCATCTTGAAAACCCAAATGTAGTCACGTTGCCTGGCTTGAGTGCTGTCCAGAGCCTCGCCCTTGGCCTCTGTACGGCAGGGCTTAACAGTGGCCAGCACCTCAGGGCCACCAGAGGCCCGGGGCCACCTGGGCCTGGCTTGGCTTCCGGTGGCCCAGAACTCCTGCTGGGCTCCTGCCTCCCTCTGCAACCTCTCCTGGCTTTGGTGGGTTATGTGGGAGACACGAGTGGCTTCACCCAGCGGGAGTGGTGCACATGGGTTAACATGCCAGCCACCCAGCTGTGTACGGGCTGCATGTGTGTGTACATGTACATGCATGTGTGCGTGCACCATGCACGTGTGTGCTGATGTACATGCATGCATACATGTATGTGTGGGTGTGCACGTGTGCATTGTGTGCATATATGCACGTTAATGCATATGTATGTGTGCATGCCTGGGTGCATAGGTGTGAGCCACCTCCCTCCCCCATCAGTGTATCCATATTGCCTCTGCAGAGCTCCATGGGGGTCCTTGGCGAGCCAGGGCTGTGGTTGTCATTTTTGCCTTCCTTACAAAACGCAAAACAGGCCGGGCGCGGTGGCTCACGCCTGTAATCCCAGCGCTTTGGGAAGCTGAGGCAGGTAGATCACCTGAGGTGAGGAATTTGACACCAGCCTAACCAACATGGAGAAACACCATCTCTACTAAAAATACAAAATTAGCCAGGCGTGGTGGCGCATGCCTGTAGTCCTAGCTACTTGGGAGGCTGAGGCAGGAGAAACACTTGGGCCCGGGAGGCGGAGCTTGCAGTGAGCCAAGATTGCGCCACTGCACTCCAGCCTGGGCAACAGAGCAAGACTCCATCTGAAAAAACAAAACACAACCCCAAACAGTAGTACCGAGCCAGTTCTCATCTGGGCAGTGACCTGTGGCGTTTCAGACTCCTTCTCGGCCGTCTTGGTCTTCCCGGCATCCTCGCTGAGAGCTGAGGCTTGCTTTTCTGTTTCATAGTTGAGATGTTTATGGCCTGAGGGACCTTGTGTCTTGGGTGCAAAGTTACCAAGGGGCGGCGCCTTCTGACCCGAGTGCAGGGCCCTCCTCGCCTCCTGCCTGCAGCATGGGGCCTGTGCTGGGGTGCAGGCTTGCAGTGTGTGCTGGTCTCGTGTCAGGTGTGGCTTTCAGTGTGTGTGAGTGTTTGCTGTTTCCAGGTGAAACACCCTTCCAAACAAACACGGAGCAGCCATCTTTTGTAATAGCATTTTGTTAGACATAGAGTCTCATCTGGGGGCAGTCTTGACCCATGGGACACTGGCACTGTCTGGGGACATCTGTGGTGGTCACAATTCGGGGGGGTGCTCCTGAGATGGAGTGGGTGGGGGCCAGGGTTGCTGCTGAGCACCCCTCAGGGCCCAGGGTTCAGCACCGGTCAGTAGAGCTGAGGCCGAGGATCCCTGGCCTCAGATTGCATCCCCTCCATGCCACCGCCCTTCTCTTCAGGGCGCGGTGAGGGAAGGGCGTGTGGGGGTCCCTCTGGGGAGAAGGTGTTTTCACCTTCACACTCACCCTCACTCCTCCTGTCCTGGAACTTGGGTGGGTTTGACCTTTTGTGGATGAGGTGAGGGCTGAGAGGTGGATTACTACCTGAGACAATCAAAATCAATTTTCTTTCTTCTGAAAAGGACTCAGGGTGTTTGAGAAAAGTACTGGGGAGAGGCAGCTGCCACCGGGGCTCCCCACTCGGGATGTGTTGGGTGTTTTGCGAGACCCCCCACAGGGAGCTCAGGTGCTGTGGGCAGTTCCTGGGCTTTGTCGAGGGCCTCCCGAAGGCAGCACTGTGGCCACCGTGGGACACATGCAGCCTGTCTCATCTCTAGGAGCTGCCAGGTGAGGGGTCCTGCGACAGGCACCTGTGCAAAGATATCTACCATGGGCAGCAAGGAAGGTTCCAGAAAGTACCGGAGGGAGAGTTGTGTTGGGGCTTGGGGGCTTTCTAGAGCAGAGGCTGTGAGAGGAAGTGAGCTGGGTCCCAGCACCAGGCAGCCTTTAGGCAGCTGTGATTGGAACAGCACTGTGGGCAGAGGGCAACAGCGTAGGACGTGTGTGGAAGTGGGGAGGTGCCGGAAGATTCAGAGACACAGGGTGGTGAAGGCGAGCCTGGAGAAGTGGGCTGGGGGCATGCTGGGAGGGGGCGGTGACGCTTGAGTCTCTAGGGCACCGGGGGCCTGAGCAAGGTTAATACCTGAGTAGAGAGTTGAGGCAGTCTCTTTTTAGAAATTAGAAGTTAACTATTGCTGTGTAATGGGGTCACCCCAAAACTTCGCAACTTAAATTAACAAAACTTATTTCAGATAGTTTCTGAGGGTTGGGAATGTGGGAGCACTTTGTTGAGTGATCCTGGCTTGGGGTCTCTCAGAAGTTGTAGTCAGGATACCAGCCAAGCAGGGGCCACATCATTTGAAGGCTGGACTGGAGCTGGAGGAGCCACTCACAAGTTGGCTCCCTCTAGTGGCTGTTGGTGGGAGGCCTCAGTTCCTCACCACGTGGGCCTCTCCGTGAAGCTGCTTGAGGGTCCTCACAGCGTGGCGGCTGCCTACCCCAGAGCCCCTGACCCGAGACTGAGGGCAAGGAGGAAGGCCTGTGCCTTTTGTGAACTGGCCTTGGAGATGGCACACTGTCACTTCCATCACATTCTGTTTGCTAGAAGCAGGTCACTAAGTGTAGCCCATGCTCAAGGGGAGGGGAATTAGGTTCCAGTATGGAAGGGATGAGCATCAGAGATTTGTGGACACACTGGAAAACCCAGCATTGGCATCCCAGCGTGTGAGGGTGAAGAAAAGTGGGGAGACGGAGTCTCTGCCCAGGAGGTGACCAGGTGAGAGGCAGAGGCAGGAGAGGGGCTGGAGTGAGGACCCCCATGTCACCCAGAATGTGTGGGGGGCTCATCTGGAGGCTGGGGTGGAGCGACAGCTGGCCACATGGGCCCCCTTCCCGATAGTTTTTCCAGGCTGACTTGCTAATCCTTTTCATCCTCTGGGGCCCTGGGACCATCAGTGTGCCCATCTCTGAGATGGGGTGGTAGCGTACTCGTCTCTGGAAGCATTGTGGGTATTAGCAAGGTCGTGGCAGGCGTGGAGACGTAAAGGGGTTCAGGGATGTGCTCAGGGCCACCTGTGGCAGGCACAACGGTCCTGGCTGACCCCGCCACAGCACCAAGAGGGAGAGGGGAGAGCCTCGTGGGTGCTTGGTGCGCAGGGGGCAGTGTGGCCGTGGCCGCTGAGCAAAGCTCTGGGGAAGGGGGCGCCCAGCCCTTGGGGTGGTCTGTGCAGAGATGCCGTTGGGGTGAGTCCGTCTGTCAGGGCACCGCCGCCACGTCTGTGTGCTGTCCCTCTGGTGAGCATTGGTCATGAACTGGCGTGACCGTGGTGGAGCTGCACAGTCCCAGCTGCGGGGCCGGTGCCGTGCGACTTGATTTGGCCTGAGACCGTGTGGTCTTTGACGTAAATACCAACAATTGGCCCCCAGGAAAGTGTGTCCTTGCAGAACTTCTGGAAAAGGGGTGGTTCCAGTAAGACCCTGGCTTGGTGGAAGATGGGAAGGGCGCTTTGTAAACTCTTTCCGAGGAGTCAGGAGGCCGTGGCGTCTGGTGGAGAGACGGTCAGCCTCACGTGCCTTGGTTTCCTGTGCTGGGTGCTGCAGCACGGCAGGGTCTGGGTAAGAGGGGGCAGCAGCACGAGAGTCAGGCCCCGGCTGCCGCCCGCCCTCACGTGCCCCGTCCCCCAGGCACGGGCGAGAGCGGGAAGAGCACGTTCATCAAGCAGATGCGCATCATCCACGGCGCCGGCTACTCGGAGGAGGACAAGCGCGGCTTCACCAAGCTCGTCTACCAGAACATCTTCACCGCCATGCAGGCCATGATCCGGGCCATGGAGACGCTCAAGATCCTCTACAAGTACGAGCAGAACAAGGTGAGCCCGCGGGCGCCTGGGGAGGGGAGCGCCTGGGCAGCTGTGGGCTTGGTGGTGAGCATGGTGGCCGCGCTGCCAGGGTGGGGCCATGCCGGGGGTCCCGGCCGGCCCAGGCTACCCCTGGTCATCCATCCGTTCCTGTCATGGACATGGAAACAGCAACCGCTGACTTCCTGGGGGCCAACTGGAGAGTTGTGATGGGCATTGCGTGGCCAAGCCCCACAGCCTCCCTCCCAAGTAGCTGTGGGCGCCCACATCCTGTGGGTGGGGAAGCTGAGGCCCTGGGGAAGCTGAGGCCCTGTGAGGTGAGCCACTCGCCCAGGTCGCCTTGGGAGTAAGCAGCGTGAGCTCCTGGTTCCGGCCCCTTCCCCAGGCTGAGCAGCCTACCAGGCACCTCGTTTCGGCCCTGACACTCACCCATGGGGCTGTACTTCTCACCTTCTCACACTGTTTTTTTGTTTTGTTTTGTTTTGTTTTGTTTTGAAAACAGGGTCTCGCTCTGTCGCCCAGGCTGGAGTGCAGTGGAATGGTCAAGGCTCATCACAGCCTGGACCTTCTGGGCTCAGGTGATCCCACCACAGCCTCCCGGGTAGCTGGGACTGCAGGTGCATCACCACGCCTAGCTAATTTTTGTATTTTTTGTAGAGATGGAATTTCACCATGTTGCCCAGGCTGGTCTTGAACTCCTGGGCTCAAGCAGTCCTCCCGCTTTGGCCTCCCAAAGTGCTGGGATTACAGGTATGAGCCACCATGCCTGGCCTCCGCCCTGGTTTTTTTTCTTTTTTTTTTGATAAAGTAGAGGTCATTTGATGCCCTGTTTTTAAATCACAGCTTTATTGAGTTATAATTCACATTCTATGCACTTCACTTGCTTAAAGTGTATAATTTGGTGGTTTTCGATATGTTTGCATAGTCGTGCAGCCATCACCGCTGTCGGATTCCAGATTTCATTTTCTCAAAGGAAGCCCCTTCCCCATCGGCCGTCACTCCCACCCCCTCCTCCAGCCCCGGCACCCACACATCCCCTTCCTGCCTCTGTGGATCGGTCTGTCCTGAACATTTCATAGAAATGGGATTGCACGCCATGTGGCCTTTTGTGTCCGGCGTCTCTCACTGAGTGTGACGTCCTCAAGGTGCATCCACACAGTGGCCTGTGTCAGAGCCTCGTCCCTGTTCATGGCTGAGTCATGTTCCAGTGCATGGAGGGACCGCGTATTTGCCCATTTATCCCCTGGAGGACATTTGAGTGCCTTCATGTGTGGGCTGTTGGGAACGGAGCTGCCGTGACCGTCTGTGGACGTGTGTTTATGTGGATGATGTGTTCCCTTCCCTCAGTTGCATGCTACGCCTGGGAGCAGAATTGCTGGGTCCCAGGGTGACTCTGGCTTTGCCCTCTGAGAAGCGTCCAGAGAGTTTGCCCCAGTGGCCGCCCTATGGGGCAGGCCCAGCAGCCGTGCAGCCGTGGCTCCTGCCAGTGGCCTCCCTGGGGCCTTTCAGCTGAGGGGCCATTGATCCCGCTTTCGTAGCCCTGCTTTCAGGGGTAGGGCTCTTGCCCTTAGATCTTGGTTTGCCACTTGCCCTGTCTCCCGCTGTGATCTCTTCCAGCTGTGGCCCTCTCTGAGAGTCCATATTCATATTTGGGCTTAGATCTCCATCAGCTTCTGAAACACGCATCTGCAAACTGCAGACTGATTTTGTCGATAAAGTTTTATTGGCACATACCCATTTCTGCCATGTTGCCCATGGTGCTTCAGCAGCAGCAGCAGAGCCGAGTGCTGGAGACAGTCCGTGTGGTCGGGAAGGCTGGGTGTGCTCTCTGGCTCTCTGCAGAAGCAGATTGCTGCTGTCTAATCTGGAAGTTTCCAGGGAGTGGGATTTTTGGGGTTTGTGTCTCTTTTTCCAAGTCCCCCTAGGTGTGCTTATCCCAGCCCAGATTGAGAGGCTGGGGGCAGGGCAAGGGGAGGGCTGAAGTCGGAGTCCGGGGCAGGGAGCGTTGCTCAGAGGGGACAAGCAAGGGCTGAGTCTCCACTCTGGGGGGCCTGGGAGGGCCCCGTGGCTCCCAGAGCCCAGGGCAAGGCTCCCTTCTTTCCCATCTGGGTCCCACCCAGTATGTCCCCTCCCCAGTCCCTCAGCCAAACTGTGGCTGGTCATGTCGGCCTGTGCGCCCCGGGGACGGGGACACAGAGCATCAGGAGGGGAAAGGATGGCCCCCCCACAGTGTCTGCCCCAAAGGGTGTTCACATGTGTGTGCAAGCACGTGTCTGTGCGGTTGGCCTTCCTTTGTGACAGGGCAGCAAGCTGGGGCCTGATGCCACCCGCCGCCCAGGGTTCCGTGAGGGGGAGGCGGCTCGTGTTGGGGCACCATGTAAACTGTTGAGTGCGGCAGCTCGGGGGCCACACGCCGTCCTTAGCACCGGGTGTGGTATCTGCTCTTGATGATGTTTGATAAGCATTTTTCGGACGAAAGAGAGAAGCCGGCGGGGCAGAAACCGAGTCTGGAGCTGCACACTGCAGGCGATGCCGCTGGTTGCAACGTCCTGTGACTGGGCTTCCTGCCTCCCGGTGTGTCTGGAGAATTCGAGGCAGCGAGTGCTGGGGCTGTTGGTTAGTTCTGTCGTCGTGCTTGGTCGTGCTCGGCGCTGCACTGCCCTCCTGTGGGTCCTGGGTTTGAAGTGTGTGTGTTCTACACGTGCTTGTTCCCCACACCGTCCCCTCCCCACCTCTAAGAAGTGAATCGAAGCCCGGCCTCCCCGGCACCCTGCAGACCGCACCGCCGGGAGGCTTTGCTTGTGGGGCCTTGTTCGGAGGAACCACACCGCCAGGCGGCCTCGCGTTTTTCTGACACGTGTTCACACGGAACTGTCAGTGGTCCTGACTGCACAGCCTGCGGAATGCCGCCCGGGCCAGCCGAGGCCTGGAAGAGGGGCCGTCACAAGCTTTCTGGTGGATGTGTGGCCCCAGCGAGCTCTCGACGTCTCCCCTGCCCGCCCTCGCAGGCCAATGCGCTCCTGATCCGGGAGGTGGACGTGGAGAAGGTGACCACCTTCGAGCATCAGTACGTCAGTGCCATCAAGACCCTGTGGGAGGACCCGGGCATCCAGGAATGCTACGACCGCAGGCGCGAGTACCAGCTCTCCGACTCTGCCAAGTAGTAAGTGCGGCCGCACCGCTGGCGGCCTGGGGACGGCAGCTGCGGGCCGGTGCCTGGGACCCTTCGGGAAGGCCTCCGCGGCGTCTGTGGTGCCCCCTGCCTGCTCGCCGGGGGCAGGGATGCGGTGGGCCCGGGCCACCTGGCCGGATGGAGGGACCAGAGCAGATCCCTGGAGGGGCCACGCCTTGGCAGGAGCCGGTGGACTCTGGTGTGACACTGGCCTGCTTGTATGCCTGGCCCTGCCGCTGCCCTCCCTGGGTCAGGAGTGAGCTCCTGGCCACCCTCGGTGCTGGAGCCCGGCCTGTGGCCTGTGGGGGAAACCCAGGGTCTCCTAGGAGGGCCGTGGGATGGGAGGTAGACACAACCTGGGCCGTCTCGCTCCTGCCTGGGACATCGTCCCCAGAGCCACGTCTCCCACTAGTGACTGGCTGTGACCTTGACTGATGTCAGGGTTCTCCCAGTCTCTGGGCCTGGGATAGGGGGTGACTTGTGTGCTGACAGGTGGCCGGGCCATGGCCGCAGGTGGAGGCCCCCGCGTGGCAGGCTGTGCACTGCTGCCCTCCATGCTTGGCAGGCAGAGGCCCCGGCCCTCCCCCAGCACCGGGAGAGACCCTAAGGCGACAGGGACAGGCCTGTCCCCCGCCCCTCCTGCCCGTCCTCTGTGTGTTCCCTGCCTCTGGGAGGTTGTGGGAGGGCCCAGATAACCAAGCACTTGGAACAAAACGCCAGGGCCTCCTCGCGGTGCCGGAAAGGTCTGAGCAGGCACCCGGCCTCTTACAACCCCCACCCCAGGCAGACCACTCGAGGGGCGCCCCACTCAGGACTGCCCAGGGCGTCAAAAACGGGAAACTGTCCCAACCCAGAGGGCTGGGCAGGAAAAGGCATGAGGGGAACCAAGGAAGCCGGAATCAAGCGTGGACTTCAGTAGCTGCGCTGTGTAGACACTGGCTCATTGCTCGTGGTGGGTGCCGCACCCACGTACAGGGAGCAGCAGGGAGACGGGCACGGGGATCTGCTGGGACCTCTGCAGCCTCTGCAGCTGCGACTCTCCTAATGATGCGCTTGTTTGTGAAGCCTCATCCCTGGGGCCAGCCAGGCCTCTCTCGGGAAGTCCCCTGCCCTGGGTCACCGTCTCCCTCCTTGGTGGCCGTCTCTGGACAGCTCTACTACAAACCCCCCGAACCAGCTGGAGTCCTCGTCCTGGGACTTTCTCTTGTGCTGGGTCATTTCTGTCCCCTGAGACCCCAGAGAGGATAGAGGTTGGGAGGCTCGTATCCCGACCCCAGGGTCTCCATTGGCCCGAGCCCTCCGGGCTGCTTCAGACACTGCCGTAGGTGGCGCAGTGCGCGGTCCACCCCCTCCTGGTGGCTTTCCGTCCTCCCGCTGGTTTGGGTGCTGTGTCCCTGTCCTGCCCCCCCACCCCCGGCAGCCGGCCTGAGCACCCACCGCTGTGTTGCAGCTACCTGACCGACGTTGACCGCATCGCCACCTTGGGCTACCTGCCCACCCAGCAGGACGTGCTGCGGGTCCGCGTGCCCACCACCGGCATCATCGAGTACCCTTTCGACCTGGAGAACATCATCTTCCGGTACCGCCCGGGCCACAGCAGGCGGGGAGGGGGCACTGAGAGGCTCATTTGCCCGGTGTGCCGGCTCATGCCTGCGCACCCAGTGCTTTGGGAGGCCAAGGCGGGAGGATCGCCTGAGTCCAGGAGTTTGAGACCACCCTGGGCAACATAGCCAGACCTCATATCTAAAAAAAATTTTAAAAATTAGCTGGGCGTGGTTGTGTGCACCTGTGGTCCCAGCTACTCAGGAGGCTGAGGCAGGAGGATCGCTCAAGCCCAGGAGGTTGAGGCTGAAGTGAGCCATGATGGCACCACTGGACTCCAGCCTGGGCGACAGAGGGAGACCCTGTTTCGTCTTATTAAACAAAAGAAAGCCCATTGGTCTTCATCCTCAGTGTGTGTTTGACCAGGTCAGGGGATAAGATTTATCTCTAAGTATGTGTGAGCCAGGGCCACACAGGGAAGGAGCTGTGGGGGTGTGGGGGGCGTGGCCACATCCATCCAGACCGGCAGCCGAAGAGACCTGGCAGGGAGGACATTTGACAGGGCCTCCAGGACGGGCCGGGGGCCTGGTTGGAGCCAGCATGGGGCTGGGGTCTGGAGTGCTGGCCGGAGCAGGGGGTGCCGCATGGTGCGGGAGGGGTCATAGGGACTGAGGCTGCCAGGGGAGGGGGCTCATGGGGACCGAGGCTGTGAGGGGAGGAGGGGTCATAGGGACCGAGGCTGTGAGGGGAGGGGGGGGGTCACGGGGACCGAGGCTGTGAGTGGAGGAGGGGTCATAGGGACTGAGTGGGGAGGAGGGGTCATAGGGACTGAGGCTGTGAGGGGAGGAGGGGTCATAGGGGCCGAGGCTGTCAGGGAAGAGGGGTCATGGGGACCGAGGCTGTGAGGGGAGGAGGGGTCGTGGGGACCGAGGCTTTGAGGGGAGGAGGGGTCATAGGGACTGAGTGGGGAGGAGGGCTCCAGGCTGGGGTGGAGGAGCTGGGTGGTGTGGGGTGGATTCTGTTCTTCACGGGCTGCCCCTGCGGATCCTGCTGGGCCTCCGGGGCTCCAGGTCCACTGTGGCTGGGGGCCGGCCAGCAGAGCCGGGTTCTCCCTGGGGACCCTCAGTGGGTCCTGTGTCTGGTAGGCTGCTCAGCTGGCTGGACTCTGCTGTCCCTGGGAACGTGGACCCTGCCTGCCTGTCTCCTGGCCCCATATAACATCTCCAGCGCTGAGGTCCCGGCTTTATGCGTGCCTGTCCTGGGCTGCTGGTGTCGGGCGTGAGACTCCCACCGCAGGCCTTATTCCCGCCCAGTGCTGGAGGCCAGAAGGCTGAGATGCAGGTGTGGGCCGGGCCAGGTCCTTCTGAGGCTGAGGGGATCTGCCCAGGCCTCACTCGGCTCCTAGTGGCGGCCGCATCCTTGGCATCCTTGGCATCCTTGGCATCCTTGGCTTGTGGCCGGGTTGCCTCATCCCTGCCCCCATCCTCATGCAGCGTCCTCCCCGCCTGCGCCTTTGCCTCTGTTCTCTTATAACCTGTCCTTGGCCAGGGCCACCCTACCTCTGTGTGACGTTATCCTAACCAGTGACATCCGCACAGACCCTGTTTCCAGATCAGAGCCGTCCCCGGGTTCTGGTGTTCGTGCGTGTGGGGCGCTAGACGGCTCTGTCCTGGAGGGCCTCGCGGTGGCTCCGGTTGCGGGTGCCTTCTCCTGCAGTGCAAGCTCGCCCTGGCACTGGCCCTCATGAGGGAATGACGCCTCCCTGCCAGGGTGTCCCCACCCAGCTGGTGCACTGCCGAGGCCATTGTGAGGGTTCCGGGAAGTCTGTGGGGTTTTCCTCGAGAGCCCTGCCTTGAGACCCACCCCAGGGCTGGGGGTGCCACCCCCTGCCATCTGCCTGTTCTCCCCACCCGTCCTCCCAGCTCGGCCTCCCAGCGCAGGCAGGGAGGATGCGGCGTGAAGATGGAGGCAGGGATGGAGCAATGTGGCCACAAGCCAAGGAATGCCAAGCTCTGGGATGGTTCCCGGGGACCCGAGCAGGCGCTGGGCCCTCAGAAGCTGCGGTGTCCTCTCTGGACATGGGCGATGGTGTATATTGTTACGAGAATTCAAGTTTTTCTTCTTTTTTATTCACACGGGGCCCATGACCCCAGGATACAGCTGAGGCGAGCCAGGCATAGGCCAGGTTGTGGCATGAATGTCCCCTCACAGCCCCACGCTGGCCTCTTAACAGCGCAGGCCTCTGTGTCCTCTGTCAGAAATGTCCTGTCCCCTCCCTGAGCTGAGCTCAGGCTGGGTGTGTCACCCCCTCTCCACCATCTTCCAGGCCCTTCCCAGCTCCAGCTGTGCCCTTTTCTTTTTTTTGAGACGGAGTCTTGCTCTGTCGCCCAGGCTGGAGTGCAGCTGTGCAATCTGGGCTCACTGCAAGCTCCGCCTCCCGGGTTCACGCCATTCTCCTGCCTCAGCCTCCCGAGTAGCTGGGACTATAGACGCCCGCCACCACGCCTGGCTAATTTTTTGTACTTTTTAGTAGAGATGTGGTTTCACCATGTTAGCCAGGATGGTCTCGACCTCCTGACCTCGTGATCCGCCTGCCTCGGCCTCCCAAAGTGCTGGGATTACAGGCGTGAGCCACCGCGCCCGGCCCGGCTGTGCCCTCTGTGCCGGGTGCAGACCCCCGTCCTGAGCCTACTCCTCTGCCACCATTGTTTCTCTGCCAGCCGCCTCTGTCCACCACACGCTGGCAGAGGGCCGGCCAGGTGCTGTGGGATGCAGCTGGAGGCCTTGAAGGCCGGTGGGATCGTCCCAGTGCGTGAGGAGAGGCTCCTGCTCCCTCAGGTGGGGACAAGACACGGGGGGACCCGGATCCCAGCCCTGCCGGCCGCCGCAGGCGTGCAGGAGAGGCCTCGCGCTCCAGACGGGCTGTGGCCTGGTGTCGGCACACCCACTGTCCTCCCGCCTGGCCACAGCTGCTGGTGCGGGCCCTCTTGTCCCTTAGAGTCACCTGGCACATCTGTCATCCACCGGTGCCTGCTGGACTCCCCCGCAGACCAGACCAGGTGGATTTCACCACTCACATGCCCAAAGCAGCCCCGCTCTCCTCGGCAGAGTTGCAGGGACCCCGGCCTTCCCTGGGGCCTGGGGCCAGGGCCTGAGGGGCACTCTCCGCTTCTGCCTTTGTATTCTTTCAAGGAGACCAAAGTGCCTTTTCTCGTTATAGAAAACTTAGAAAAGTCACAAGTAGAAAGAGGCAAACGTCCCGTAAGGAACGCACGCCCGCAGACATCGTCTGAGCTGATTTTCTTTCTCCCGCCTGTGCGTGGCCTGAGAGTGTGAGGTTGAGCTGCTCACCACGCGGGGCAGGGCGCTGCGCCTGCTCTTCTGCCCCAGGAGGATACCGGCAACTCTGCCCTCTGCAGCCGTCACTGGAGGGTCCCTGCAGGGAGCAACTGTGGCATCAGTGTTTACTCCTGCGAGTGACGCTTGGTGAACATCTGTGTCCCTGGCCCAGTGAGGGGAAAGGCTTCTGTGCTCAGGGTGACATCCAGATGCCAGATGTAGGGTCCCTGGGCACCCATCGCAGGTTCCCGCAGCAGCTGGCGCCCAGAATCCTCTGGGTTCTCACACCCCCACACTAGCGCCCGCTTCCCTGGGCCCAGTGGTCTCAGGCCCCTTTGCCAGTGAGGGAAGGGTCTGCGGTGGTCACCCCTGGAGGCGGTGCGGCCGCTCTCTGAGAGCGTCCTTGCCCGTTCTAAGAGTGGGGGCTCTTCCTGCTCCAGCCGATGTCAGTCTGGTGTGGCAGGAGGGGCTTGGGTGGGAGCCGTCCTGGGATTGCAGATTGGGCCTTGGGGCGCCAGGTGGCTGAGTCCTGGCGCTGTGTCCTTTCAGGATGGTGGATGTGGGGGGCCAGCGGTCGGAGCGGAGGAAGTGGATCCACTGCTTTGAGAACGTGACATCCATCATGTTTCTCGTCGCCCTCAGCGAATACGACCAAGTCCTGGTGGAGTCGGACAACGAGGTGGGCCCTGCCCTGAGCAGGGGCAGCGTTGGGGGCCGGGCCTTCCCCACCTGCCAAGCCTGGGTCCCCTCACCTGGGTCCCCCCAGCTGCCCCTTGGGCTGTGTGCAGTGGGGAGGGCCCCTCTGATTCCCTCTGCCTTCGCTCCCGCCAGAACCGGATGGAGGAGAGCAAAGCCCTGTTCCGGACCATCATCACCTACCCCTGGTTCCAGAACTCCTCCGTCATCCTCTTCCTCAACAAGAAGGACCTGCTGGAGGACAAGATCCTGTACTCGCACCTGGTGGACTACTTCCCCGAGTTCGATGGTGCGCCGGGCTGCGGCATGGGGAGGGGCTCGCGGGCAGGGCCTTACTGGGGGGAGGGGGCTGATATGGGAGAGGGGCTCATACAGGCCGGGAGCTCTAAGGGAGGGCGTCTGATGGGAGGTGTCATGTATGGGAGTGGAGTCTCAGGGAAGGGAGATCTCGTATGAGGGGGGCCTGTACGGGAATGAGTTCTCCGACGCGGGTGTCTCATACCCGTGGGAGATCTGTTAATGCAGGGACTCCTTATACAGGAGGGGTCTCGGGTGGGAGGGGTCTCGGGCAGGGGGATCTCGGGTGGGAGGAGTCTTGTACAAGGAGGGCACCATGGGAGGGGGAGTCTTGTATTGGTGGGTCTTGTACGGGAGGGAGTTGTCGTATGGGGGTGTCCTGTATAGGTGATCCCATATGGGAGGGGTCTCACAGGAAGGGTTCACGCACACTGCCAGCGCAGCCCCGTGGGGACCTTGGTGGTAGTCCCTGCATCCTCCTCTGTGCCCTACTGCCCCCACCCTCGGACCCGTCCCTCCCTACGTGGCCCCTGCCCCACGGGGTGTGTCAGGGCAGCTGAGCACTGAGGGTCTTCACATGCCCAGCCCTCTCTGGGCCTGGGGATGGCGGCCAGGGGAGGGTGTTGTGTGCCCTCGTCTGTGTGGTCAGTGGCTGCCGTTAGTGCTGTCACCACTCAGAGCTGTCCCTGCCAGGCACAGTGAGGCCCTGGGCAGCTCTGGCGCCCTCATTTCCACCCCGGATCTGTGCTCCTCCCGTGAGTCTCGGGTGTCATCTTCGGGAGGGCCCCTCAGGGTGCCCTGCCTCTGGATGTGCAGCGAGAGGGAGGGGTCTGGCACACGGTATAGCCTCGGCCGCTGGCTGCAGGCGCAGGGCCCTGCTGTCCCTGGGCAGGGGAGTGGCGGGGGGCGCTGCACCTGCTCCAGCCGCACGTGGCCCCTGCCCAGCAGCCTGTCCTGTGGGCTCAGAGAGCCCTGGTGGGGGGAGGCCAAGGGACTGGGGCATAGACCCCTGTCCCACCAGTCCCCAGAGCAGCCCCTTGAACACCCCCAGGGGCCTTTCCACCGGGGCAGGCAGGAGTTACTGGGCGGGTCGCCTGCATTGTCCAGGGTGGTGGAGGGGCAGGGGTGGCCGGTGGGAAGCAGCGCCCCTGCTGGAGCCCCTGGATGTCTCTGAGGCCTGGCTGCAGCAGGGGCACCGTGGGTGGGTGGGGGCCACTGTTCCTGCTCTGTAGGCTCTGTGCCCAGCCCTGGGGGCCTCTCCTCTCACCCTGGGCCTTCGCAGGGCAGCCATGCCAGAGGCCTGCCCTGGAAGGCTGTGGCTGTGGAGCTGAGTGGATAGAGGCCGGCAGAGGGCTGAGCAGAGGGAGCAGCGGTGGGTGCAGAGCCCCAGGTTGGAGGCCTGGGCCGTGACAGTAGTGCCCTGGGGCTACAGTGGGATTGGCACCGCAGCTCACCTGGGGAGGGAGGGGAGCTGCGGCCCGTCAGGCATGCAGTGGGCTGGGGGTCGAGCTGGGTGGGCCGTGGGCCTTACTCGCTCATCCCCTGGGAGTGACAAAGGGGCCCACGAGTCCCTTGCCCTGGGCCGGGCTGGGGCACAGCCTCACCCTCTGCCCTCCCCCAGGTCCCCAGCGGGACGCCCAGGCGGCGCGGGAGTTCATCCTGAAGATGTTCGTGGACCTGAACCCCGACAGCGACAAGATCATCTACTCACACTTCACGTGTGCCACCGACACGGAGAACATCCGCTTCGTGTTCGCGGCCGTGAAGGACACCATCCTGCAGCTCAACCTCAAGGAGTACAACCTGGTCTGAGCGCCCAGGCCCAGGGAGACGGGATGGAGACACGGGGCAGGACCTTCCTTCCACGGAGCCTGCGGCTGCCGGGCGGGTGGCGCTGCCGAGTCCGGGCCGGGGCCTCTGCCCGCGGGAGGAGATTTTTTTTTTTCATATTTTTAACAAATGGTTTTTATTTCACAGTTATCAGGGGATGTACATCTCTCCCTCCGTACACTTCGCGCACCTTCTCACCTTTTGTCAACGGCAAAGGCAGCCTTTTTCTGGCCTTGACTTATGGCTCGCTTTTTTCTAAAAAAAAAAAAAAAAGAAAGAAAGAAAAAAAGCAACGAAACATAAAACACACAAGCGCCCCGTGCCCCCAGTGACTCTGGGCCTCACAGAGCCCCCGCCAGCCAGCATGGGGCCCCGCCCTGCAGCCAGTCACGCGCCCCCACACCGCAGCCCCCCGTGGCTGTCCTTCCAACCCCACGTGCTTTTTCTTTCTCCTGCCCGCTTCTTTTCTTCATCACAAAAGGCGTGGAGACTCGGAGACGGACGTTTTTCCCCTTTTTTAAGTTATTGACGCCCAGCGCGCCTCGCCTCTTCACCCATCAACGCTGTGCTTTGCCCACTGGACTCCTGAAGAGGGGGTGGGGGGCTCCCTCGGTCGCCCACCCTGGGAAGTGCCTAACCTTTTATTTTATTTTATTTTTTTGAGGAAAAAGAACGCCTGACTCACAGGTTGAAGAAACACCCTGGGCCCTCTCTCATGGCCGGGTTCCCCGTCCCTCTGCAGAGGCTGGGAAGGGTCCCCGGGCTGGAGCCACGGGGGCTTCTCTGGGCTGTGCCTCCGGGGCCAACACTGGCTGCTTGGGGCTGCCCGGGGACTCCAGAGGGCTGCACGGCCACCCTGCCCTGGCTAGAGCGCACCCCACCGGAGCCCACGTGGGCTGGGCGGCTGGAGGGATGGTCCCCCGGTGACACTGGGAGAAAGGCCACTTGGATGGGGGCGTTTCTGTTTTGTTCCGCTTTGTGATGTCACCAATTTGGAAACAGCGAGGGTGGGTGGGGACTTTTACAGAATATTCTCAGGTGTGTACCCGAGAGGCAGAGAGAGGGACGTGGCCGGCAGCTCTGTGCGTGGCCTTGTCCCAAGCACTTGCGCCCGCCCCCGAGCGCCGCCCCCGGGGAGCGGGAAGCCAGCACTCGCACTTTGGCCAGGGGCGCGTGGAAGGTGGTGGCAGGCACCGGCCTGGGCAGCTTCCAGGCCTGGCTGGCCACGACCACGGCCCGAGGGGGAGCCCGCCAGGCCACGCCGCACTGAGCCACAGCCCCGGGGGCCGCCTCCCGGGGCCCCTTGAGGCACTGAGGCACCGAGACTGGTTCTCCCCGAGAGACTCGGAAGGTGGGGAACGAGGGGACTGTGTTTGGGGAGGTGGCTTTTTCGTCTGCTGTTGACTGAACACTACAGCGCCCTGTGGTTCCGGGCTTCGCACAGCTGTCCCAGGGATGGATCGCCTGTGCTGCCTTCGCCCGCCGCCACACCGGGACCCTGCACGGCTGCTTCTGGCCTCGACAGATGACAAAAGAAACAGCCCCAAAATACGACCACTCCAACCAGCAGTTCCCGCCTGCCTGCCCGCCACTGTCAGGCCTGCCCTGGCCTCCTCGTCCGCAGGGCTGTCTGCTGGCTTCTGGGGGCAGAAGAGCGGGGAGCCCCGTGGAAGGGTCAGGGGAGACCAGGTCAGGGCAGCTACATTTCTGGTGATCAGCCCCATGGGGAGACGGGGCTGGCGGGATACCCCCCCCCCGGCTTCCCCACACCACTTCTGTCTCACCCGGAAGCGTCCTTTTTTTGTGCCAGGTGTCTACCTAAGAGGGTTGGTGCCAGAAGCCCCCCATGGCGAGTGCTGGGGCCCGGCGGTGCCCTGGGGGAGCAGATGGGGCCACCCCTGGCAGGGCCGCTACAACCTTTTCCAGCAGCGGAGCCCTCTGGGGGGCCTGTGCTTGTGGCATCTCTGAGGGCCTAGATTGCACAAGGTGACCTGGCCGTGGCCTGAGGGTGGAGTCGCCCAGCACGCAGGCCGGGGCGCTGCGGGGCTAAGTATTAGGCCTTCCCAGGGAGGGGGCGTGCCAAGCATCCCAGAGCCGGGCTGGGACCGCCAAAACGTCGTGGCCTGGATCCTCTGGGTCTGAGTGCCTGATCCCCTGCCCCCCAAAAAAGCAGAGGTAGGTGTTGCAGGCCCAGGGCAGGGGTGCCTGCCCCAGGAGAGTCCCAGGCAGTGGTTCTCGTGCCAGTGGCACCCAGGGGCAAGGACAGCCAACCCCCACCCTTGCCACGTGTGGGGCCACGTGGGCATGTGGGGTGTGTGTTTTTACCTTGGTGAATCTCACCTGCCAACGATTTCTCGTGAGTGCCGACCACCTTCTCCGACCATGTTACGCCCGGGCGGCAGCAGCCCCCGGCCACTGCAAACCCATGCCCTGGGTCCCCCGGCTCCCCCAGGGAGGCATCCCCGTGCCAATGTCCCCCAGTGGTGGCAGCAGATCCTGTGGCCGGCCTGGCGGACGGGACCCAGTGATACTTGTATATTACACAGTCCTGATTTCAGACAATTTCAACCTTAATCTATTTAAAAAAGAATATTCTATACAAGCTGTTTTTAAGCCTTTTACCATTTGAAATGCATGTGTTGTGCGCGTTGGGGATGGGAGGAGGGGCTGAGGAGCGGCTCAGTGTCACCTCCCACAGCCACCGGCCCTGACCCTTAATCCAGACACCGATGGAAGTCGACTTTTCATATCTTTCTCCTGAAATGAACTCTGTTTTAAATTGGAATAAATTTTGTTCCTAAATGCTGGCGGCCCCCTTCTGGTTTATTTCCTGTTGTCCTTCAAAGGGGGCTGGGGGGAAGTGTGCAGAGGCCTGGCCCCCAGGAGCCCTGGAGTTACCTAGGGCATTGCCTGACCTCAGTGGGGCCGCCTGGGTGCCTCCGCACGGTGTCCCGGGGCCCCTCCCCTGTCATCTTGTTTGACCCTTCACTTCAAGTTCATTTCACTAGCACCAGGCCAGAGCAACCTGCTTGGGAAATGCCACCTTGTTTGGGGGCTGGGGACAAGGGAGTGAGACGGGGAGGAGCCCAGGTCCCAGGCCAGCCTGCCCCTCACCTTCCAGGGCACCTGTGGGGACATCATGCCCTCCGGGCCTCCGTTTCTGTAAGCTGCGGATGTGGGACCTCTGCAGCCTTCCTTCAGTTATTTTTTCCTTTTGAAAAAAAATTGTAAAATACAGATAAATTTCTAAGTGCACAGCTCAGCGGCATTAAGTGTATCCACACGGTTGTGCAGCCATCACCACCATCCTCTCCAGAACTTGTATCTCCCCAAATTGAAACTCTGTCCCCATGAAACACTCCCCGTCCCCCTCCCCAGCCCCTGGCACCCCCCATCCTACCTTTTGTCTCCCTGAATCTGACAGCTCTATGGACCTCCTAGGAGTGGAACCATGCGGGGTGTGTCCTTCTGTGTCTCTGGCATCTCTCACTGAGCATGATGTCCTCAAGGTGCATCCACGCTGAAGCCCATGTCCGGATTCCCTTCCTTTTCGTGGTTCAGTAATATTCCACTGTGTGGATGGGCCACGCTGTGTTGATCCATCTATCATCGATGGACGTCTGGGTGGTTTCCACCTTGTGGCTGTTGGCAGTCGTGCCGCTGTGCACCTGCGTGTGCAAGCTTCTGTTTGAGTCCCTCCTGTCTGTCCTCGTGTGTGTGCATCCAGAGGTAGCATTGCTGGGTCCTCTGGTCTTTCTTTTTTTGGATGCACCTTGAGGAGTCTCGCTCTGTCGCCAGGCTGGAATGCAGTGGCGCGATCTCGGCTCACTGCAGCCTCCACCTCCCGGGTTCAACCAATTCTCCTGCCTCAGCCTCCTGAGTAGCTGGGACTACAGGTGCCTGCCATCACGCCCGGCTAATTTTTGTATTTTTAGTAGAGATGGGGTTTCACCATGTTGGCCAGGATGGTCTCCATCTTGACCTCATGATCCTCCCACCTCGGCCTCTCAAAGTGCTGGGATTACAGGCGTGGACCACCGCGCCCGGCCTCTATTTTAATTTTTTGGGGAGCTGCCCGACTTTTCCACAGCAGCTGTGCCATGTCACATCCCGCCAGCTGTGCACAAGGGTGCGATTTCCCCACATCCTCTTTCAGTTTCATTGAGTCCGATAGGCCTGTCCGTCAGGCTTAAGGCCCCTTGCTGTGCCCGATGCTGCCCCAGATACTACAGTGCAGCAGAGAAGGTGGCACTTACCAGCACGACTTCACCTAGGAAGAGAAATGGAGCAGGGAAGTGGGACAGGATGGGGAGATGGTGGCTGTTGCTTTTCTTTTCTTTTTTTTTTTTTTTGAGTTGGGGTCTAGCTCTGTCACCCAGGCTGGAGTGCAGTGGTGCGGTCTCAGCTCACCTCAACCTCTGCCTCCTGGGTTCAAGCGATTCTCCTCCCTCAGCCTCCCGAGTAGCTGGGACTACAGGCGCCCACCACCACACCCGGCTAATTTTTGTACTTTTAGTAGAGACGGGGTTTCACCATGTTGGCCAGGCTTGTCTCAAACTCCTGACCTCTGGTGATCCGCCCGCCTTGGCCTCCCAAAGTGCTGGGATTATAGGCGTGAGCCACAGCGCCCAGCCAATGGTGGCTGATTCTGGTGGGCTGTTCCTGGTGGGCTGTACAGGAAAAGCCTGATAAAGTGGTGCGTGAGTAGCATCCTGGGAGACAGGAAGGGAAGGAGCCATGCTGTGGCCTGAGGGTGAGCCAGGCAGAGGCACAGCTTGTGCAAAGGTCCTGGGGCAGGACCATGCCTGATGTGTTGGAGGAGCAGCGAGGAGGCCCGTGTGGTTGGAGCGGAGGGAGGGGGGGAGGGCAGGGAGGGTTGGTCTTTTACCCTCAGAGGGAGGTGGGAGCCCTGGAGGGACGCAGGCAGAGCAGAGACAGGACCTGACAGGTGCTCACAGGCGGCCTCTGGTGGCTGCTGCTGGGAGGACAGACGGGTGAGGGCGGGAGCCAGGGGACAAGGCTGGTGCAGGTGGCAATGATAGGTGTGGATCAGATGGCAGAAGCAGAGGTGGGTGAGTCAGCTAAGGGGCGTTGAGTGCTGGGGGGAGCTGGGCCCGGCATGGATATCGCAGGTGCATATAGTGCCCCCAGTGGCCAGCAGGAGTCGCCCCAGACAGCTCCTTGCCTGCCCCTAGCCCCCTGCCCATCCTAAAAGGAAAACCGAGGCACAGAGGGTGAGCGTCTTGCCTGAGGCAGCTTGCCCTGACGGCTGGCCAGTCCTTCCTAGGTCCTGACAACAGCCCTAGCCTGTTCAGCTGGGCAGGCAGCTCCAGCACCCCCCGCAGAATCCATAGGACCCGGAGCAAAATGAAAACACAGGGTCCCTGTTTAAAAATTCCGAGGAGGCCGGGTGCAGTGGCTCATGCCTGTTATTCCAGCACTTTGGGAGGCCGAGGCGGGCGGATCGTTTGAGGTCTGGAGTTCAAGACCAGCCTGGCCTACATAGCGAAACCTCGTCTCTACTTAAAATTCAAAAAATTAGCCGGGTGTGGTGGCGCATGCCTGTAGTCCCAGCTACTTGGGAGGCTGAGGCACAATGATCGTTTGAACCTGGGAGGCAAAGGTAGCAGTGAGCCGAGATGATGCCACTGCACTCTAGCCTGGGCGAAGAAGTGAGACTCCTCAAGATAAATAAATAAACAAATAGGCCAGGTGCAGTGGCTCATACCCATCTCTACTAAAAATACAAAAATTAGTCGGGCGTGGTGGCTCACGCCTCTAATCCCAGCATTTTGGGAGGCTGAGGTGGGTGGATCACTTGAGGTCAGGAGTTCGAGACCAGCCTGGTCAACAAGGTGAAACTCCGTCTCTACCAAAAATACAAAAATTAGCTGGGTGTGGTGGCGGGCGCCTGTAGTCCCAGCTACTCAGGAGGTTGAGGCAGGAGAATCGCTTGAACCCGGGAGGCAGAGGTTTCAGTGAGCCAAGATCGTGTCATTGCACTCCAGCCTGGGTGACAGAGTGAAACTTTCTCTAAAAAAAAAGGTGGCTGGGAGTGGTGGCTCACGCCTGTAATCCCAGCACTTTGGGAAGCCGAGGCGGGCGGATCACGAGGTCAGGAGATTGAGACCATCCTGACTAACACTATGAAACCCGGTCTCTGCTAAAAATACAAAAAATTAGCCGGGTGTGGTGGCGGGTGCCTGTAGTCCCAGCTACTTGGGAGGCTGAGGCAGGAGAATGGCATGGACCGGGGAGGCAGAGCTTGCAGTGAGCCAAGATCGCACCACTGCACTCCAGCCTGGGCAACAGGGTGAGACTCTGTGTCAAAAAAAAAAAAAAAAAGCAAAATCTTAGAGTTATTGGAAGTGTAAATTGGTGCATGCACTTTGGCAAAAGATAGTTAATATCTAGGAAATACTTTATAACCCAGCAATTCTACCATTGGGTATTTACCTACAGAAAGCCACACATATAATCACAAAAGACATGTACCAAATGCCCATAGCTGCCCTATTCATTACAGCCCCAAACTAAAATTTAACCAAATGCCCATCAACAGTAGAATGGATGAATAGATTGTAGTTTATTTATCCAGAGGAATAGTCTATGACAATCAGGATTAATGAACCACAACCATGTACACAATATGAGTTAATCACACAAACATCACGTGGAATGATAGAAGCCAGATGTACCTGAACTCATTTTATGTAATTCTGTGTGCATAAAGTTCAAAACTGGCAAAAATTCACCATGATTTTGAGGATTTTTTTTTTTTTTTTTTTTTTGAGATGGAGTCTTGCTCTGTTGCTCAGGCTGGAGTGCAATGGTGCAATCTCGGCTTACTGCAACCTCTGCCTCCCAGGTTCAAGTGATTCTCCTGTCTCAGCCTCCTGAGTAGCTGGAATTACAGGCACCTGCCACCACATCTGGCTAATTTTTGTATTTTAGTAGTGACAGGGTTTCTCCATGTTGTCCAGGCTGGTCTTGAACTCCTGACCTCAGGTGATCCACCTGCCTCAGCTTCCCAAATTTTTGGGATTACAGCTGTGAGCCACTGCGCCTGGCCTGAAAGGTCTAATATTTTAAGCTTCTACTCCCAAGAAATTAGAAAGAGAAGAGCAAACTAAACACAAACTAAAGAGAAAATAATAGAATAGAAATCAATGGAATAAAAAATAGAAAAACAGTATAGAAAAATCAATAAAGCCATAAGCTGGTTCTTTGAAAAAAATTAATGAAATTGATAAACCTTTAGTCTAGATTCACCCTCCAGAGAGAAAAAGAAATTACCAGCAACAGGCACAAAGGAGGGGATATCATTACTCACCCTAAAGAAATTTAAAGGATAATAAGGGAATACTACAAATAAGTGTATGCACATAAATTTGACAACTTAAAGGAAATGGACCAATTTCTCGAGAGACACAAGCTACCAAAACTCACTCAGGAAGAAACAGAAAACCTGAACAGTCCTATACGTATTAAAGAAACAGAATTTGAAGTTAAAGTCTTCTAAAGAATAAAACATTTGGGAGGCTAAGGCGGGTGGATCACGAGGTCAGGAGATCAAGACCATTCCGGCTAACGCGGTGAAACCTCGTCTCTACTAAAAATACGAAAAAATTAGCTGGGCATGGTGGTGGGTGCCTGTAGTCCCAGCTATTTGGGAGGTTGATATAGGAGAATGGCGTGAACCCGGGAGGCAGAGCTTGCAGTGAGCCAAGATCATGCCACTGCACTCCAGCCTGGGTGACAGAGCGAGACTCTGTCTCAAACAACAACAACAATAAAAAATGAAAAATAAAATAAAACTTTAGGCCCAGATGGTTTTAGTGGTGAATCCTATCAAACATTTAAAGAAAAAATAACATCAAATTCTTCACAATCTGTTTCAGAAAATAGAAGAGGATGGAATACTTCCCAACTCATTTTAAGAGGCCAGTATTATCCTGATACCAAAATTAAAGACAGTACAGGGAAATTACAGATCAGTATACTCAAAAACATAGATACTAAAATCCTTAACAAAATATTAGCAAGTGAAATAATGAAATCCAGTGATATACAGAAAGAAAACCACCTCACCACCAGGTGGCATTTATCCCAGGAATACAAGACAAGCTCAACATTGGAAAATCAGTCAATATAACTTGCCATATTAACAGACGAAAGAAAAACTACATGATCATATCAATAGATAAAGAAAATACATTTGATACAATTCAACTTTCATTCATGATAAAAATTCTAAGCAAATTAGGAGTAGAAAGGAACTTCCTCAACCTGATAAAGGGCATCTGTAACAAACCACAGCTAAACAACAACAACAAAAATACTATTGGCCAGGTGTGGTGTCTCATGCCTGTAATCCCAGCACTTTGGGAGGCTGAGGTGGGTGGATCACCTGAGGTCAAGAGTTCAAGACCAGCCTGGCCAACATGGTGAAACCCCCGTCTCTACTAAAACTACAAAAATTAGCTGGGCGTGGTGGCACATGCCTGTAATTCCAGCTACTCGGGAGGCTGAGGCAGGAGAATCACTTGAACATGGAAGGGGGAGGTTGCAATGAGCCAAGATCACGCCATTACACTCTAGCCTGGGCAACAAGAGCAAAACGCTGTCTCAAAAAAAAAAAAAAAGAAAAGAAAAGAAAAAAAAGAAAAAAATATGTACACAAATGTATATAGCAGCTCTGTTCATGATCACCTCAAACTGGAAGCAACCAAATGCCCCTCACGGTTGGATAAAGGGGAATGCATCCACACAGGGAAATACCACTGGACCATCCAAAGCAACGAACTTCTGATACACTCGGCAACACAGAGGAATCGCAAATGCTAACTGAAAGAAGCCAGTCTCAAAAGCTACTTTCTGGACCAGGTGCGGTGGCTCACGCCTGTAATCCCAACGTTTTGAGAGGCTGAGCTGGGAGGCCAGGAGCTCCTGAGCAGCCTAGGCAACACAGAGAAACCCATCTCTACAAAAATAAAAAAATTAGGGCCGGGCGCGGTGGCATCCGCCTGTAATCCCAGCATTTTGGGAGGCTGAGATAGGTGGATCACTTGAGGCCAGGAGTTCAAGACCAGCCTGGCCAACAGGGCGGAAACTTTGTCTCTACTAAAAATACAAAAATTAGGCGGGCACGGCGGCTCGCACCTGTAATCCCAGCTACTCGGGAGGCTGAGGCAGAAGAATTGCTTGAACCTGGGAGGTAGAGCTTGCAGTGAGCTGAGATCGTGCCACTGCACTCTAACCTGGGCGACAGAGTGAGACTCTGTCTCAAAAAAAAAAAAAAAAAAAAACATTAGATGGTGGTGGTGCGCAGTACTCGGAAGGCTAAGGTGGGAAGATCGCTTGAACCCAGGAGGTCAAGGCTGCAGTAAGCCATGATTGCACCACTGCACTCCAGCCTAGGCGAGAGAGAAGGGCCTTGTCTCAAAAAATAAAATAAAAAACATAGCAACAGCTATTTCCCTCGGAGCGAGCGGGGGCGGCGGCCTGTGCAGCAACGGCCAGGATCAAGGCCCAAGACCTTCTCGGGAAGAAGGAGGAGGAGCTGCTGAAACAGCTGGACGACCTAAAGGTGGAGCTGTCCCAGCTGCGCGTCGCCAAAGTGACGGGCGGCGCGGCCTCCAAGCTCCCTAAGATCCGGGCGCGGTGGCTCACGCCTGTAATCCCAGCACTCTAGGGAGGCCGAGGCGGGCGGATCACGAGGTCAGGAGATCGATACCATCCTGGCTAACACAGCGAAACCCCGTCTCTACTAAAAATACAAAAAAATTAGCCGGGCGTGGTGGCGGGCGGCTGTAATCCCAGCTACTCACTCGGGAGGCTGAGGCAGGAGGATGGGGTGAACCCGGGAGGCGGAGCTTGCAGAGAGCCGAGATCTCGCCATTGCGCTTCTGCCTGGGCGACAGAGGGAGACTCTGTCTCAAAAAAAAAAAAAAAAAAAAAAAAAAAAAAAGATCCGAGTCGTCCGCAAATCCATTGCCCGTGTTCTCACGGTTATTAACCAGACTCAGAAAGAAAACCTCGGGAAATTCTACAAGGGCAAGAAGTACAAGCACCTGCACCTGCGGCCTAAGAAGACACGCGCCGTGCGCCGCCCGCTCAGCAAGCACGAGGAGAACCTGACGATCAAGAAGCAGCAGCAGAGCGAGCAGCTGTCCCCAGTGCGGAAGTGCGCGGTCAAGGCCCGAGTGGCGCGTTGTCAATAAAGCACAGCTGGCTGAGAAAAAAAAAAACAAAAAAAAAAACACCAAAACAAACAAACAAACAAAAAACACAGCCACAAAGAGCCAATCCACGGTCAGGAGGGAGTTGTTCCGGTGATGGAACTACATTCTGTATCCTGTTTATAGCAGTAATTTACACGAATCTCTACAGCTGTTAAAACTCATAGAAACCAGGCCGGGCGCGGTGGCTCACGCCTGTAATCCCAGCACTTTGGGAGGCCGAGGCGGGCGGATCACGACGTCAGGAGATCGAGACCAGTCTGGACAACATGGTGAAACCCCGTCTCTACTAAAATACAAAAAAAATTAGCCCGGCGTGGTGGTGGGCACCTGTAGTCCCAGCTATTCGGGAGGCTGAGGCAGCAGAATGGCGTGAACCCGGGAGGCTCAGCTTGCAGTGAGCCGAGATCGTGCCACTGCACTCCAGCCTGGGTGACAGAGACAGACTCCGTCTCAATAAATAAATAAATAAATAAATAAATAAATAAACTCATAGAACCATACACCAAAGAAAGTAAATACAATGCTACATAAATTTAGACAATTAAAAACAAGATCTTTTTTTGGGGGGGACAGACCCTTGCTCTGTCAACCCAGGCTGGAGTGCAGTGGGTCAATCATAGCTCACTGCAGCCTCAACCTCTCTGGCCTAAGCAATCCTCCCACCTTAGCCTCTGGAGTACCTGGGACCACAGGCATGAGCCACCACCCCCGGCTAATTTATTTTATTTTATTTTTTAGAAATGGGGTCTCACTGGGAAGGTGGAGGTTGCAGTGAGCTGAGACCGAGCCATTGCACTCCAGCCTGGGCAACAATAACAAAACACCGTCTCAAAAAAAAAAAAAAAAAAAAAAAAGAAAGAAAGAAAGAAAAAAGAAAAAAAGAGATAGAGTCTCACTATGTTGCCCAGGCTGGTCTTGAACTCCTGGGGTCAAGCAATCCTCCCACTTCAGCCTCCCAAAGTGCTGAGATTATAGGCATGAGCCAACATGCCCAGCTGAAATAGATCTTATTAGCAAAAAATACCCCCCAAACCCGGAAATAAATATTAATACCACAGAAGTCAGAATGATAGTTACTGCTGGGAAGGTAGAGATTACTATGAGGAAAACACTAGGGGTCTTTGTGGGGCTAAGGTCTTTTTTTTTTTTTTTTTGAGACAGAGTCTTGCTTGTCACCCAGGCTGGAGTGCAGTGGCACGATCTCAGCTCACTGCAACCTCCACCTCCCAGGCTCAAGCAATACTCCTCCCCCGGCCTCCCGAGTAGCTGGGATTACAGGTGTGCACCATCACACCTGGCTAACTTTTCTATTTTTAGTAGAGACGGGGTTTCACCATGTTGTCCAGGCTGGTCTTGAACTCCTGACCTCAGGTGATCTGCCCACCTTGGCCTCCCAAAGTGCTGGGATGACAGGCGTGAGACACCGCGCCCGGCCTGAAAATGTCCTTAGTCTTGGCCTCAGTGGATTCTGTGGATACCGGCTTCACAACAATTTATTAGGTAATACATTCAGGTTTTATGTGTTTTCTGAAAGAAATATTTTCTACACACACAAGCTCACCCTGGTGTTCCCAGCTGAGCTAATAATACACGACAAATGCTCAGCATGTGGCAAGGAAGTAGCTCAGCCCGTTTAGGGAACCGCAAGGGAGGTTTGTTCAGCAGCTGGAGAAGTGGGCAGAGCCTGGGCCCTGGATCCAGGGAGCCGGCTCATTAATTCTGAAGCCAGCGGGAGCCACAGAGGGTCTGCCACCCTGGTCCAGGCTGTGAAGATGGCGGGTGCTGGTATCCTGTCCAAAAATGCCGCAGGGAGATGCTAGGAGAGTGGCCCCCTGGGCTCACCCTGTGGGGCCTGTGGCTCAGCCTCGTCTCCCAGTTTTGCTGGTCATTTCTGTTTCAACCATCCTGGAAGATCTGCACGGCCATGACCTATTTCTGCGTTTCTTTGCCTGTCCTGGGTGGGACTGCCCCTCGTTGCTGCTATCCGGTTGGGGGCGGGAAGGTGGGTGGCTGGGTGGGCAGATGGCACCTGCCAGCCCCAGTGACCAGATGGGGGCCCCTATCGTACTTCCCATCTGTCATTCGTTATGAATCAACAGTGGAGAAAACCACACGTTTGTGCTGAGCTGGTGAAGCTGCGTCAACGGCTGTCACCGAGCCCTGGTGTCTGGGAGGAGGTGGGGACGGTGGCTGCCAATGGCTGTGTGGCCCTGGGCACGTAATTCGCCCTCTCTGTGCCTTGCCCTATCTGTAAAGGGACCAGAGGCCCCCGAAGTACAAGAATTACGTGTATCTCTTGGGGAGGAGAGTTTTGATCCAGAACTTTCTAGAATTTTCTACAGCCTGTCAATGGGGGTGGGGAATCTTCACCCAAACACTCTGGCTCTGAGTACCTAGGAAGCAGCAACGTTTCTACCAAGCTGCCAGCCACCAGCCCACCCCTAGGGCCCTGAAGTCCCAGAGGGATCAGGTCAGGGCGGCCTCATGGCACTCATTGGGAAGATCTCCTTGACCAGTGAGGTCCACTCCCAAAGTCCCTCTTACACCCGATCTGCCTGTCTGACTTCTGATCCTGAATATCACTTGTCTGTGCGACCTTTGTTGATCCATTTAGAGCAATGACCTTGAACCTTCCCCAACAACATCTCTGCTTAATTTTTCTGGCAGAATTTTTCACCATCCAACGGGCTCAGGTGTATTAAAAAATATATATATTTTACACGTGTGTGTATATATATACACACATATATATTTTTATGTATAATATACATATATGTATATTAAAATGTATACTTTTATGTGTGTATATATGTATGTGTATATATGTATGTGTGTCTATATATTGTGTATATATATGTATGTGTATATATGTATGTGTATATACATATATGTATGTGTGTCTATATATTGTGTATATATATGTATGTGTATATATATGTATGTGTGTGTGTGTATATATATACATAGAGAGAGAGGGAGAGTTTTGTTTTGTTTGTTTCTGGAGACAGGGTTTCACTATGTTGCCCAGGCTGGAGAGCAGTGTTATGATCTCGGCTCACTGCAGCCTCCATCTTCGGGGTTCAAGTGATTCCCTTGCCTCAGCCTCCCAAGTAGCTGGGACTACTGGTGCGTGCCAACATGCCCAACTAATTTTTGTATTAGTAGAGATGGAGTTTCTCCATGTTGGCCAGGCTGGTCTCAAACTCCTGACTTCAAGTGATCCTCCTGCCTCGGCCTCCCAAAGTACTTTGATTACAGATGTGAGCTCCCGCACTCACCTGGCCAAATTTTTTATTCTTTTATTTTTTATTTTTTTTGAGATGGAGTCTCACTTCGTCGCCAGGCTGGAGTGCAGTGGCACGATCTCAGCTCACTGCCACCTCTGCCTCCCGGGTTCAAGCGATTCTCTTGCCTCAGCCTCCCAAGTAGGTGGGACTACAGGCGTGCACCACCACGCCCGGCTAATTTTTGTATTTTTAGTAGAGACGGGGTTTCGCCGTGTTGGCCAGGCTGGTCTCGATTTCTTGACTTTGTGATCTGCCCGCCTTGGCCTCCCAAAGTATAGGGATTACATGCGTGAGCCACCAGGCCCAGCCTAAAATTTATTTTATTATCTGTTCTTTAACTAGAACCTTAGGTAAGGAGGTCTGGGATCTGTGTCTCTTGGCTACCGTGCCTGGCACACAGTTGGCGCTCCATGAATGCACGCACAATGAAGGGATGGCCCTGCCTGGAATCTGCCTGGTAGGCGTCTAGACTCTGGGGCCCCGCAGGTGAGGGATAGGCTCCCGGCTCTGCCTTGTGCCAGCCCCACCGGTCACTCCCCTGCTCTATGCCTCAACCTCCTCATCAGTCAAACAGGGATGACAGTAGTAACTATACAGGGTGATGTGAGTGTAAAACCAGCTAATGTGAGCCAAAACCCGGCTAATTTTTGTATCTTTAGTAGAGACAGGGTTTCGCCATGTTGGCCAGGCTGGTTTCGAACTCCTGACCTCAGGCAAGCTGCCCACCTCTGCAGGGTGGATCACCTGAGGTCAGGGCAGAGTCGCTGGAAACAGTCCATGACACCTGGCCTGAGCTGTTTCTTAAAAATATATCAGAAGGGCCGAGCGTGGTGGTTTATGCCTGCAATCCCAGCACTTTGGGAGGCCGAGGCGGGTGGATCACCTGAGGTCAGGAGTTTGAGACCAGCCTGGCCAACGTGGTGGAACCCTTTCTCTACTAAAAATCCAAAGTTAGCCCGGCGTGGTGGTGGATGCCTGTAATCCCAGCTACTCGAGAGGCTGAGGCAGGAGAATTGCTTGAACCTGGGAGGCAGATGTTGCAGAGTCAAGATCCTGCCACTGCACTCCAGCCTGGGCAATAAGAGTGAAACTCTGTCTCAAAAAAAAAAAAAAAAATATATATATATATATATATATATATATATATATATATATATATATATACACATATATATATATACACACACATATATATATGATATATATATAATGTATCAGCAGTAGCACGGGTCTGACGGTTCCTGATTGGCTCCGAGGAGGGGGACAGCTCCGGGTGAAGCCTGAGGAGAATCCGCCCCTTCTCCAGAAGGAGGAAGAAGGGCCCTGCTGGTCACACAGGACCCAGTCTGCGGTGGGGGTTTTCCCGCCACCGCCCCGCCCTCCCTGGGGCCCCCACCTCACCCTCTCCTGGCACCCTTCACCGTCAACCTGTCGGGCCGGGTCTGAGCAGGTCTGGAGGTGGGCGGGGAGCCCTGGCCTCCCCACCTCCTCCCGTCCCCACCCTGTTCCCAGCACTCAAGCCTTGCCACCGCCGAGCCGGGCTTCCTGGGTGTTTCAGGCAAGGAAGTCTAGGTCCCTGGGGGGTGACCCCCAAGGAAAAGGCAGCCTCCCTGCGCACCCGGTTGCCCGGAGCCCTCTCCAGGGCCGGCTGGGCTGGGGGTTGCCCTGGCCAGCAGGGGCCCGGGGGCGATGCCACCCGGTGCCGACTGAGGCCACCGCACCATGGCCCGCTCGCTGACCTGGCGCTGCTGCCCCTGGTGCCTGACGGAGGATGAGAAGGCCGCCGCCCGGGTGGACCAGGAGATCAACAGGATCCTCTTGGAGCAGAAGAAGCAGGACCGCGGGGAGCTGAAGCTGCTGCTTTTGGGTGAGTCCAGGGTCGGTGGGCGGTGGGTGGTGGGCAGTGGGCGGTGGCCAGCCGGCAGGGGTGTCGGGGCAAGGAGGCGGATCAGGCTAGGTCAGACATTGGCATCGTGGAGCCGTCGCCTCCTCCCAGGGAATGGGGAGCCTGGAACCCATTTTCCAGATGAGAAAGACTGAGGTTCAGAGAAGCCAAGTTCCTTGTCCAACGTGCGACCAGCGGCCAGGTGCCCAGGCCTGTCCACTGTGTGGGGCATATACAATAGCAGACGTGGCTCTACCGGGCCCCTGCCGGGCAGGCCCAGCACGCCCTACCTGTCTGTGTCATGGCGAGGGAATGATGAGCTCAGGTGTGCAACCCGTTCTGGCCAGCCCACCCGTAAGGGAGGGGCCGGCTCCAGCCTCTCCTTCACCAGGACGCTCCCTCTCGCCTTTACCTCCCTGCCATGGCTGGAGAGGGCTTGTCTAGGGCTCCTTTGGGGGCTAGAAAGGATGGATTGATTGGTTCATTGGTTCATTCATTCATTATTCATTCATTTAAGATTTATTGGGTAGCTCCCAGGAACGAGGCAGCCAAACAGGGGAAGATATTTCTGTCTTCCTGGATCTCATTTCCTGTGAAGGAGCCAAGACATTTAGTCTGTAAACTCATAAGCAGATAAAATAATTCTGGCAACAAGAATTATCTAGGAGAAAACAAAACAGGGTGATGGCTTCCATGCGGAGGCTTCAGATGGGGGAGTCGACGTCAGTAACGGTTCAAGATTCTGAACTCTGGCTGGGTGCAGTGGCTCAAGCCTGTGATTTCAGCACTTTGGGAGGCCCAGGCGGGTGGGATCACTTGAGGTCAGGAGTTCAAGACACAGCCAGGCCAACATGGTGAAGCCCCGTCTCTACTAAAATACCAAAAATTTGCCAGGCATGGTGGCTCATGCCTGTAATCCCAGCACTTTGGGAGGCCGAGGTGGGTGGATCACAAGGTCGGGAGATCGAGACCAGCCTGACCAACACGGTGAAACCCCATCTCTACCAAAATACCAAAAATTAGCCAGATGTGGTGGTGCGTGCCTGTAGTCCCTGCTACTCGGGAGGCTGAGGCAGGGGAATTGCATGAAACCAGGAGGTGGAGACTGCAGTGAGCTGAGATCATGCCACTGCACTCCAGACTGGCGACAGAGTGAGACGCCATCTCAAACAAATAAACAAACAAACAAAACCAAAAATTAGCTGGGCATGGTGGCACACAGCTATAATCCCAGCTACTCGGGAGGCTGAGGCATGAGAATCGCTTGAACCCAGGAGGCAGAGGTTGCAGTGAGCTGAGATCGGGCCACTGCACTCCAGCCTGGATGACAGAGCAAGACTCATTGTCAATAAATAAATAAATATAAATAAAATAAATAAATAAATCATGCCTGTAATCCCAGCACTTTGGGACGCCAAGGCGGGCAGATCACTTGAGGCCAGGAGTTCGAAATCAGCCTGGTCAACGTGGCGAAACCCCGTCTCTACTCAAAATACAAAAAAATTAGCCGGGTGTGGTGGCATGTGCCTGTAATCCCAGCTACTGGGGAGGCTGAGGCAGGAGAATCGCTTGAAACCAGGAGGTGGAGGCTGCAGTGAGCCAGGATTGCACTATTGCACCCCAGCCTGGGCAACAAGAACAAAACTCCGTCTCAAAAAAAAAAAAATTCTGATCTCTGAAACCTCGGGGTCTTCTCATTCCCGTAGCTTGTTTCCCCAATTACCTTTCCCTGATTATGGCCCCGTTGGCCTAAGCCCGGGATGCTAGCCTGGGAGGGTCTTCTGGGATCCCCGAGCTCTGGGTTGGGGGCTGGAGAAGGTCTCAAGTCTTCTGGACTCGCGTTTGTCTGCCCCGGGCAAAGAGCTTGATCATCCCGTGATGGTTGCTATCGTCCTTTCCTCGTTCAGTGGGAAGAGGCCGCCCGAGAGGAAAGAGAGAGAACATCGAGTGGGATGGTGGGGACCCCCAGGAACTGCACCTTCACTGGGGGCCCTTTCTTTCTTTTTTCTTTTCTTATTTTTATTTTTATTTTTTTGAGACGGAGTCTTGCTCTGTCACCCAGGCTGGGGTGCAGTGGTGCGATCTCAACTCACTGCAACCTCCGCCTCCCGGGTTCAAGCAATTCTCCTGTCTCAGCCTCTTGAGTAGCTGGGATTATAGGCACGCGCCACCACGCCCAGTTAATTTTTTTTTTTTTTGTATTTTTAGTAGAGATGGGGTTCCACCATGTTGGCCAGGCTGGTCTCGAACTCCTGACCTGGTGATCAACCCGCCTTGGCCTCCCGAAGTGTTGGGATTACAGGCGTGAGCCACCGCGCCCAGCCTCTTTTTTTTTTTTTTTCTTTTTTTTTAGATTGAGTCTTGCTCTGTCCCCCAGGTTGGAGTGCAGTGGTGAGATCTCAGCTCACTGCAACCTCCGCCTCCTGGGTTCAAGTGATTCTCCTGCCTCAGTCTCCTGAGCAGCTGGGACTACTGGTGCGCACTACCACACCTGGCTAATTTTTGTATTTTTAGTAGAGATGGGGTTTCACCATGTTGGCCAGGCTGGTCTCGAACCCCTGACCTCAGGTGATCCTACCACCTTGGCCTCCCAAAGTGTGGGGATTACAGGCGTGAGCCACTGCACCCAGTCAAGGGCCCTTTCAACTCTAGCCTTGATCCCTCTTACTGAACGAGATAAAAGAATATCTCAGCAGGGCATAGTGGTTCATTCCTGTAATCTTAGCACTTTGGGAGGCCTAGGTGGGAGGATTGCTTGAGCTTAGGAGTTTCAGACCAGCCTGGGCAACTTAGCAAGACCCAGTCTCTAAAAAAAATAAATAAATAAAATAATTAGCCAGGCATGGTGGTGCGCAACTGTAGTTCCAACTACTTGGGAGGCTGAGGTGAGAGGATCACTTGAGCCTGGGAGGTTGAGGCTGCAGTGAGCTATGATCATGCCACTGCACTCCAGCCTGGGTGACAGAGCAAAGCTGACTCTGTCTCAAAAAAAAAAAAAAAAAAATGCCGGGTGCAGTGGCTCATGCCTGTAATCCCAGCACTTTGGGAGGCCGAGGTGGGCAGATCATGAGGTCAGGAGGTTGAGAACATCCTGGCTAACACGATGAAACCCCGTCTCTACTAAAAATATAAAAAATCAGGGCTGGGTGCGGTGGCTCACGCCTGCAATCACAGCACTTTGGGGGGCCGAGGAGGGTGGATCACGAGGTCAGGAGATGGAGACCATCCTGGCTAATGTGGTGAAACCCCATCTCTACTAAAAATACAAAAATTAGCCAGGCGTGGTGGTGCGCACCTGTAGTCCCAGCTACTTGGGAGGGTGAGGCAGGAGAATTGCTCTAACTTGGAGGCAGAGGTTGCAGTGAGCCAAGATCACACCACTGAACTCCAGCCTAGGCAATAAGAGTGAAACTCCATCTCAAAAAAAAAAAATCTATCTATCTATCTATCTATCTATCTATCTATCTATCTATATTTGACATATTAATGTGTCATATTATGTCACATTATGACGTATCATATCGATATGTCTTATTATTTTAAATAAATAGGGCTACTTAGGCTATCTACTTCTTCTTGTGTGGGTTTTGATCATTTGTGTCTTTCAAATAATTTGTCCATTTTGCCTGTGTTATCAAATTTATTGGCATAACATTTATAACGTTCCCTTGTTCTCCTGCTACTGTCTGTAGGATCTGCAGTGATGTCCTCTCTTTTGCTCTTGGTATCGATCATTTCTGCCTTTGCTCATTTTTTTCTTGATCTATCAAGCTAGGGGTTTATCACTTTTAGTGCTCTTTCCTCGAATACCTCAAGGTCATTTATCCCTGACCTTTGCCTGGCTGGCCCTTTCACTCCATGTAGGTCTCAACCCAAGTGTCGCCTCCTCAGAGAAGTCTTCCCTGACTACCCTAGCTATAAAGACAGTCCTATCTTCTCCTTCCCCTTACTCTGTTTGATTTTTCTTCCTGGCCCTCACTATTTGTTCACTTGTTTATTGTTTATCTCTCCAGCTATACAGCAAGCAACAAAAGGGTAGGGACCACATCTGTCTTCTTCATCCCTGTGTCTCCAGCATCTAGCACAGGTGTACAATGAGCCTGCCATATAGTAGATGCTCAAGAAATGCTGAATGAATGAATGAATGAATGAATGAATCATTTTTGGGGAGAACTTCCCCCAGACACTGTATCATATCTTCCTGGAGCTGGGAAAGTCCCTTCCACATACCACTCTGGGCACTACTCAGCCAGCCTCAAAGCAGGAAGCCCCTTCTACTGATGGAGGGCAGGGGATGACATCCATGTCCCCAGGCACTGATGTAGCACTGTGGACTGTGGTTTAAACCACCTCATCCCTGGAGACAGGTCTGAGGGCAACCTCCAGACCTCTGTCCCTTCTTGGAAACAGGAATTGAATCCAAAAGCTGTTTTTTTTTTACCTGGAGGTGGCTGATCCTTTTGAGGAAGATGGCAAAAAGGACCAGGGTGGGGGTGGGTCTGTCCCTGACATGAAGCAACCCTCATATTGGGGAAGGGGGAGAGTCAGAATGAAGCCGTGAGCCGGGTATGGTGGCACATACCTGTAGTCCCAGTTACTCGGGAGGCTAAGGCAGGAGGATTGCTTGAGCCCAGGAGTTCAAGACCAGCCTGGACAACATTGCGAGACCCAGTCTCTAAACAAAAACAAAAAAAGAAAAGAAAAGAAAGTGAACAACAACAAAAACAGGAAAATAAAGCTGTGAAAGGGACCAGTTATGTCCTTAGCACTTTAAACATTTTATTTTTTATTTTTATTTTTGAGACAGAGTCTTACTCTATCACCCCGGTTGGAGTGCAGTGGTGCGATCTCGGCTCACGGCAACCTTTGCCTCCTGGGTTCAAGCAATCCTCTTGCCTCAGCTTCCTGAGTAGCTGGGACTACAAGTGTGCACCATCATGCCCAGCTAATTTTTGTATTTTTAGTAGAGACGGGGTTTCACCATGTTAGCCAGGCTGGTCTCGAACTCCTGACCTCAGGTGATCCATCTGCCTTGGCCTCCCCAAAGTGACGAGATTAGAGATGTGAGCCATTGTGCCCGGCCTGTTCTTAGCACTTTGAGGCAGGCACTCCTAGTTTCCCCCAAAGGATAAACTGAGGCTCAGAGAGGCAGAGCGACTTGCCCAAGGTCACACAGCTGAGACTCGCACCTAGAATTCTGGTTCCAAAGTCCATGCTCCTGACTGCCCTGTTCGCCTGCCTTGGGGGACAGAAACACCACAGAACCCCAGTGCCAGATGGGGAAAATGAGGCCCAAGGAGGCAGCAGGATTGATTGGGGGTCAGCAGCTAGTTTGAGCCAGAGCGGGACTGAGAGGCCGAGCCTCCTGCCCCTGCGGCTGCCTGGCCTGGCTCCCCACTTCCCCAGCAGCTGCGTTTCCTGTGAGGGCCTGGTGCTGGACTCTGTGCACATAGCTGGCTCCAGTTGCCTTGTGATGACTGGGGCTTGGCACGGTTAACCCAGTTCCTTCCTGGCATCTGCCGGTTCCACTTCCTCCTGTCCTCCTCCGTGCCCAGGAGGAAGCAGGAACTTCCCGTCTGGGCCGCATGGCCTTTGGGGGTATCCTAAAACAGATCACTCCCACCATTTCTATCCAGGAGCTGGGGGATGTCTGGGGGTCGGGGGGCAATGGAGAGGTCCCAGAATCCTTTGTGGCTTCAGGACAGCAATGGATTGCAAAGAGGGGGTTCTCACGCAGCTCTTCAGGCTTCGGGTGATGACCCATCCCTGAGTCATCAAATCTGTGTCGCGGGTGGCAACAGGATTATCATTTATTTCCTATAACAAAGCAGAAGAGGAAAAAAAAATCAGTGCATCACAAAATAAAGCCAACTGTTGCTTGCCAAGACTTATGTTTGTTCTCTGCACTTTGGGGCAAACTAAGATCTGAGAGTTGGAAGACAACTGGGGGACAGGAGCCCAAAAGGTCCAGTCCTGGCTGGGCGCGGTGGCTCAGGCCTGTCATCCCAGCACTTTGGGAGGCTGAGGAGGGGTGGATCACTTGAGGCCAGGAGTTCAAGACCAGTCTGGCCAACATGGTGAAACCTCGTCTCTACTAAAAACACAAAAATTAGCCGGGTGTGGTGGTGCACGCCTCTAATCCCAGCTGCCTGGGAGGCTGAGGCAGGAGAATCGCTTGAACCTGGGAGGAGGAGGTTGCGGTGTGCTGAGATCACACCATTGCACTCCAGTCTGTGTGACAGAGCCAGACTCTATATCAAAAAATAAAAATAAAAACAAAAAGTAAAAAAAAGGAAGAAGAAGATCTGAGGGTTGGAAGGCAATTGGGGGACAGGAGCTCAAAAAGTCCAGTCATCGGCAGTTGGGCTCAATGCCACACCCCAAGGAGCTGTCGAGCCTCCCAGACTCTGTAAAAACATTGCTTTAACAGACGTGTTAATGACACCTACCCCAGCTCGACTGGCCGTGTCCCATTTTGTTGGTGAAGGACTCACACGACCCCAAGTTTACTCCCCTGGGGTTCCACTTGCTGTGTGACCCAAATTAAGTCACTAAACCTCTCTGGTCCTCTGTGTCTCATCTGCAAATGGGAAAATCATAGAATCTGTGAGGATTAACTGGGGATCCGTAGAGTCTCTGGGCTCGGGGTTGGGAAGACGGTAAGATTTAAATCATGCTAGCTGTGATTTTTATTATGATTGTTATAATCATTCAGGCAGGGTAAAGGAACCTCCAGGTATAATAATTTAGAAACCCATAAGCTCAAGGTGGCTCATGCCTGTAATCCCAGTACTTTGGGAGGCCAAGGCAAGTGGATCCCTTGAGGCCAGGAGTTCGAGACCAGCCTGGCCAAAATGGCAAAACCCTGTCTCTACTAAAAATACAAAAATTAGCCGGACACGGTGGTGCACACCTGTAATGACAGCTAGTCTGGAGGTTGAGGCAGGAGAATCGCTTGAAACCCATGAGGTGGAGGTTGCAGTGAGCCAATATCAAGCCACTGCACTCTAGCCTGGGTGACAGAGTGAGACCCTGTCTCAAAAATAATAATAATAATAAAAAATAAAAGCCCATAGGCTCTAGACTCAAACAGAACTGAGTTTGAATCCCAGTCTGCCACTCACCAGGACCATTGAAGGAATTGTGCGACCCACAGCAATTCCCTCAACGGCCCCGAGACTGAGTTTCCCCACATGGAAACAGGGCTAAGAGTTGTCCCTCTCTTGGCCAGGCGCAGTGGCTCACGCCTGTAATCCCAGCACTTTGGGAGGACGAGGCGGGTGGATCACAAGGTCAGGAGATCGAGACCATCCTGGCTAACATGGTGAAACCCCGTCTCTACTAAAAAAAAACAAAAAAAATTAGCTGGGCATGGTGGTGGGCGCCTGTCGTCCCAGCTGCTTGGGAGGCTGAGGCAGGAGAATGGCGTGAACCCGGGAGGTGGAGCTTACAGTGAGCCGAGATCGCGACACTGCACTCCAGCCTGGGCGATAGAGCAAGAAAGACTCCCTCTCAAAAAAAAAAAAAAAGAGTTGTCCCCCTCTCGTGGTGAGGCTCAGGACAGATGGTGGGACTCCAGCTCTTAGCTCACCAGGGACACCCAGTCAAGGGCCAGCAAGCTCACAATTCCCTCTGCTACTAGCCCCAAATAGCCAAAGCTCCAAAAACTTGATGGTCCCCCATAGTGTCTCCATGAGAAACTCAAAGAAACGGGTGGGAGGATGTTTGTTTATTGCACTGACTCCCATTCCTACATTCCGCTGCAGGAATATTAGTGAGTTGACATGTCCCCATCCTAACATGCAATAAATTCTGGAATCTGAAGCTCTCACAGCTCTGCATCAGAGAATTTCAGATTGTGGACCTGGGGGATGTTGTCGTTTGAGTAGTTTGTTTGTTTATTTATTTATTTATATTTTATTTATTTTTTTTTGAGTCGGAGTCTCGCTCTGTCACCCAGGCTGGAGTGCAGTGGCATGATCTCGGCTCATTGCAAGCTCCGCCTCCCCGGTTCACGCCATTCTCCTGCCTCAGCCTCCCAAGTAGCTGGAACTACAGGCGCCCGCCACCATGCCCGGTTAATTTTTTGTATTTTTAGTAGAGACGGGGTTTCACCGTGTTAGCCAGGATGGTCTCGATCTCCTGACCTCGTGATCCGCCCGCCTTGGCCTCCCATAGTGCTGAGATTACAGGCGTGAGCCACCGGGCCCGGCCCTTTATTTTTATTTTTTTTGAGACAGAGTCTGGCTCTGTCACCCAGGTTGGAGTGCAGTGGCATGATCTCGGCTCACTGCAGCCTCCGCCTCCCAGGTTCAAGCAATTCTCCTGCCTCAGCCTCCTGTGTAGCTGGGATTACAGGTGCGCGCCACCATGCCCAGCTAATTTTTGTATTTTTAGTAGAGACAGGGTTTTTGTATTTTTAGTAGAGACAGGGTTTCACCATGTTGGTCAGGCTGGTCTCGAACTCCTGACCTGGTGATCTGCCTGCCTCAGCTTCCCAAAGTGCTGGGATTACAGGCATGAGCCACTGCGCCCAGCCCTAGTTTTTAATTTTTTTTGGAAACTTTTTTTTTTGAGACAAGGTCTTGTTCTGTCACCCAGGCTGGAGTGCAGTGGTGTGATCATGGCTCACTGCAGCCTCAACCTCCTGGGCTCAAATGATCCTCCTACCTCAGCTTCATGAGTAGCTGTAACTACCAGTGTGCACCACTACGTCTGACTAAATATATATATATATATATATATATTTTTTTTTTTTTGTAGAGATGGGGTCTCACTATGTTGCCCAGGGTGGTCTTGAACTCCTTGGCCCAAGCCGCCCCCCTCCCTTAGCTTCCCAAAGCACTGGATTTATAGGCATGAGCCGCTACACCATGCCCAAGCATATACACTGTTTTCTGAACCATTTTTGACTAAGTTGCAGACCTGGTACCTTTTTTTATTTTTTTATTTTTGAGATAGAGTCTCACTCTGTCACCCAGGCTGGAGTGTAGTGGCACGATCTCAGCTCACTGCAACCTCTGCCTCGAGTTCAAGCAATTCTTCTGCCTCAGCCTCCCGAATAGCTGGGATTACAGGCGCCCACCAGCATGCCCCGCTAATTTTTGTATATTTAGTAGAGACAGAGTTTCACCGTGTTGGCCAGGCTGGTCTCGAACTCCTGACCTCAAGTGATCTGGCCACCTCAGCCTCCCAAAGTGCGGAGATTATAGGCGTGAGCCACTGTGCCCAGCCGAGAAAAGCCTGTTTCTTGACTTTGAGCCAAATAGACATGACCCCTGGAGAAACTGAGGACTGGAGAGTCGAGGCGGCCACCCCCGACCTGCCCCCATGGCTCTCCAGTGTGCAGGTGGCACCTGCTAGGTGGAGTTGGAGGCGTTGGAGACAGCCCTTTGGGGAGATGGGAGGTGACACCCCCGCCCCTTCTCCGTGCTCCGGCCTTCTCCTCTGCTCCCATTTCCTCTTTCTGGGCCCCAACCAAGCCACTCCTTCCCTTTTTGCTGCCGCTTGCTCGATCAAGTCCTGCCTGCACCGACCCCTACCCCCGCCCTCTGCACGCCAACCCTGGAGGCAGAAGCAGTCCCATCCCCTCTCCCATCGCTGGTTGGGGCCCATGCTGGTGCCCCCAGGAGCCAGACGAGATGCTGGGCAAGCCTCCAGCCCCCACCTCCCACCTGGTGGATCATACCCATTTTACAGATGAGAAAATTGAGACACAGAGAGGGGGAAGGGCAGCCTTGGGATGTCAGAGCTTAGCGGGGGGCTGAGCTGGTGTCTTTGAACCTCTAGTCCCAGGCTCTTGAAGACTCCAGCATCAGTATCCCGGACCCAGGGCCGGTTTGGCAGGTGCGCGAACTGGGCTGTCCCAGAGGGTTCCAGGCTCAGAAGAGCCTGAAGTTTCAGCTTGCACCCAGCCCCAGAAAATCTGTGGCTGGCCCTGCAAGGACCCTGCCAGATTTTGTACCATCTGTCAGCAAGGTCAGGTCGATTCTGTCTCCCCAGTGTCTCTCAAATATGTCCTCTCCTCTCCAGCTCCATGACAGCCACATTGGTCCAGCCCCACGGTTGCTCACCTGAACCAACGCAGTCCCCACTGCCCTGGTCCGGGCTCCCCCAGACCACCCCCCACAGCCTGTCCTCCCTGCAGCAGCCACCAGAGGGCGCCTGTGAGCACCTGAGTCAGGGCCAGTCCCTCCTCTGCCCACAGCCCTCCATGGCTCCCAAGTCCCTCAGGGTCAAAGCCCAAGACTTCCCTGCAACCCACAAGGCCCAGCACAACCCACCCTCCCCTCCTTCCTCTCTCCCCCTCCTCACTCTGCTCCAGCCACAAGGGCCTCCTCACTGTTCCTCCAATATGCCAGGTGCGGCCCTGCCCCAGGGCCTTTGCACAAGCTGTTACTGTCACCTGGTGTGCCCTCTAAGATTTTGACAGCCACCTTCCGGCCTTCACAAATCACTTTCACTGAGAGGCCTTCCTTGACTGCTCACAAATCACTTCCACTGAGAGGCCTTCCTTGACTGCGTGGCTATCGTAGTCACCTAATTACTCCTTGCCCTATTTATCCTATGTTATTTCTTTCGTAAAAGTTTCTCTACCTGAAATTATTGTAGCAAATAATAATACATATTAGTATTGTTATGATAAATAATAAAAATAGGCCAGGCACGGTGGCTCACGCCTGTAATCCCAGCACTTTGGGAGGCCGAGGCAGACGGATCACTTGAGCCCAGGAATTTGAGACCAGCCTGGCTAACATGGTGAAACCACAGCTGTACTAAAAATACAAAAATTAACTAGGCGTGGTGGCACGCGCCTGTTACCCCAGCTACTTGGGAGGCTGAGGGAGGAGAATCACTTGAACCTGGGAGCCAGAGGTTGCAGTGAGCTGAGATTGCGCCATTGCACTCCAGCCTGGGCAACAGAGAATCTGTCTAAAAAAAAAGAAAAAAAGAAAAAAGAAAAAAACCCATAAGAACCATAACCATAAAAAGTATTAAAAACACAAAAACTGGCCAGGCGCGGTGGCTCACGCTTGTAATCCCAGCACTTTGGGAGGCCGAGGCGGGTGGATCACGAGGTCAAGACCACGGTGAAACCCCGTCTCTACTAAAAATACAAAAAAATTAGCCGGGCGTGGTGGCGGGTGCCTGTAGTCCCAGCTACTCAGAGAGGCTGAGGCAGGAGAATGGTGTGAACCCGGGAGACGGAGCTTGCAGTGAGCCGAGGTCGCGCCACTGCACTCCAGCCTGGGTGACAGAGCAAGACTCCATCTCAAAAAAAAAAAAAAAAAGAAGAGAAAAAGAAAACAAAAACAAACAAAAACTTTCTGGCCACACAAAGATAACTGGATCTGGCCCTCAAGCAGCCGGAGTTTGCGACCCTTACCGTGAGCATTTTATAATCAATTCATTTGGCCCTCAGTTTGATGCAGCAGGCATGGTCTGTTGAGGTCCATGTTTTGTTTTTTTTGTTTGTTTGTTTTGTTTTTTTTTGAGACAGAATCTCGCCCTGTCGCTCAGGCTGGAGTACAATGGTGTGATCTCAGCTCACTGCAATCTCTGCCTCCCAGGTTCAAGCGATTCTCCTGCCTCAGCCTCCTGCGTAGCTGGGATTACAGGCGTGAGCCACCACACCCGGCTAATTTTGTATTTTTAATAGAGATGGGGTTTCGCCATGTTTACCAGGTTGGTCTCTAACTCCTGACCTCAGGTGATCCGCCTGCCTCAGCCTCCCAAAGTGCTGGGACTACAGGCATGAGCCACCGTGCCCAGCCTGAGGTTCATGTTTTACAGATGGGGAAACCAAGGCACAGAGCGGCAAAGCCGCTAGCCTAGGGTCACTGAGTGAGGTCCCGGCTGCACCGGGGTTTGAACCCAGGAGGCCTGGCGTGGAGTTGGGGGTGTCTGACGTGGGGTTGGGGGTGTCGGGGGTGGGAGTCCCGTGGAGGGCTGAGCGGTTCTGCTGCTCCATCCCCAGGCCCAGGCGAGAGCGGGAAGAGCACCTTCATCAAGCAGATGCGGATCATCCACGGCGCCGGCTACTCGGAGGAGGAGCGCAAGGGCTTCCGGCCCCTGGTCTACCAGAACATCTTCGTGTCCATGCGGGCCATGATCGAGGCCATGGAGCGGCTGCAGATTCCATTCAGCAGGCCCGAGAGCAAGGTGAGCCGCCAGGGCAGGCAGGGGCCCAGGGCAGGCAGGGGCCCAGGGCAGGGTTCCCCAGACCCCGGAGCAGGGCCAAGTTCCCCAGACTTCAGGGCAGGGCAGGGCAGGGCAGGGCAGGCAGGGAAGGGTCCCCAGACCCTGGGGCAAGGCCATGTCCTCCAGACATATGTGCATACATACAAGTGCACACACAAGTATACACGCATAAATGCACACACGCACATGTATGCACACGCACAGACATGCACACAAGGACACACACGTACATGCTCACAAAGATACACACGCATGCCCACATGCACACACCCACACACATACACAAATGAATGCACACACGTGCACACGTGTGCACACACACAAATGCACACAAGGATCCATGCAGATGCCCCCACACAGATGCACACAAATAAGTGCACACACAAATGTACACACTCAAACACGCCCATGCACGTGTACACACTCACAAACACACACAAGAATGCATGCAAATTCCCACATGCACACACACACATGCACATACACAAACACACACAAGCATGCATGCAAATTCCCACATGCACACACACACATGCACATACACAAACACACAAGGATACACACATGCCTGCATGCAATCCCCCCATGCACATGCACGCACATGTGTGCACACATACAAATGCACACACAAGCACACCTATGCACGCACCCACAAATGCAGCCAAGGATACATGCGCGTGCCCCACACACAAATATGCAAACAAATCACACACCCAGACACACCCATGTACATGTGTACATCTATACACACACACACACGAGCACGCTTGTACATGAACAAACACAGAGAAATGCACACACAACACTCAGAGTCCATCACAAAGGTCTGAGCAACGCGAGTGCCTGGGGGGAGCTAGGGCTGTTTGGGGAAAAGAAGGGGAAACCCAGAGTCTGGGGGGCAGCTCAGGGTTCACGCGCCTCTGGGGGACTTCTGAGGGGCAGATTGCTTCAGTGCTCTGTGTCTTAGTCGCTTCATCTGTGGAAGGGGGGACTGTGAGTGCCGTGCTTCCTGGGAGCCAGCTAGTGTAAAGAGCGGGGCTGGGTGCCATGCTCCCCCTGAGCCTGGGCTCGCCCGAGCACATGTGCCCTCTGCAGCCCCTCATGTGGTGGTCTGTGCTTTTCCCTCTGGGGATCCATGCAAGAACAGACGGAGGACAAATCAGAAGTGTGCGGGGGGGTCGGGAGCTCTGGGGAAGAAGGAGAGCAGTGGGAAGAGAGCGTGTTTCAGGGAGGGACGTGGGGGCTTGCAGAGATGCCTGCGGAGGGCAGCCCCACTCAGAAAGGCTACCCTAACTGCCCCCGTCCTCCCTCCCCAGCACCACGCTAGCCTGGTCATGAGCCAGGACCCCTATAAAGTGACCACGTTTGAGAAGCGCTACGCTGCGGCCATGCAGTGGCTGTGGAGGGATGCCGGCATCCGGGCCTGCTATGAGCGTCGGCGGGAATTCCACCTGCTCGATTCAGCCGTGTAGTGAGTCTGGGGTCTGCGGGGGATGGGCGCGTGGGGAGGGGCTGAGGGCAGGGGCCAGGCTGGCTGGCTTCCTGCAGCAGGAGATATTGTGGGCGCAGATGGGCTGTGAGGTGGTCCTGCTCCAGGATGAGGTCCTTCCAGGGGGACCCTAATTCCCGGGGGACCCTGTTCTGGGGGTGACCCTTTTCCTGGGGGAACTCCCTTCATGGAATGACCTTGTTCCTGGGTGGACCCTGTTCCTTGGGACTCTGTTCTGGCGGTGATCTTGTTCTTGGAATGACCCTATTCATAGGGGGACTCTGTTCTAGGAGTGACTCTGTTCCTGAGGGAATCCAGTTCCTTGGGGAGACCCTGTTCTAGGGGGTATCCTGTTCCTAGAGTGACCCTGTGCCTGGGGTTCCCTGTTCCTGCGAGGACCCTGTTTCAGGGGTGACCCTGTTCCTGGGGGAACCGTATTCCTAGAGTGACCCTGTTCTTGGGGGGAACCCTGATCCTGGGGGGAACCCTATTCCTGGAGAACCCTGTTCCTGGAGTGACCCTGGGCCTTGGAGTCCCTGTTCCCGTGAGGACCCTGTTTCAGGGGTGACCCTGTTTCTGGGGGGACCCTGTTCCCGGGGGTGACTCTGTTCCCAGGGAGACCCTATTTCCTGGGGGATCCTGTTCTGGCGTTGATCCTTTTCCTGGAGTGACCCTGTTCCTAGGGGTGATCCTGTTCCTGGGGGGACTGTATTCCTAGAGTGACCCTGTTCTTGGAGGGACCCTGTTCCTGGGGGGACCTTGTTCCTGGGGGAACCCTATTCCTAGAGAACCCTGTTCCCGGAGTGACCCTATTCCTGGCGGGAACCTGTTCCTAGAGTGCCCCTGTTTTAGAAGGGACCCTTTTCTGGGAGTGACCCTGTTTCTGAGGGGACCCTATTCTGGGGGGACCCTGTTCCTGGAGTGACCCTGTTCCTGGGGGGACCCTGTTCCTAAAGTGACCCTGTTTTAGGGGGGACTCTGTTCCAGGGGAGACCCTGTTCTGGGGGTGACCCTATTCCTAGTGGGATCCTGTACTAGGTGTGATGGTGGATGTCCAAGGTGGCTTGATGTCTGGGAAGACTGTTCCCAGGCTACCAGCATTCTTGGGGTAGCGCCACCCCTGCCATAGCAGCTCTCCCGGGGGACACCACTCCTCGATGAGGCCATTCCTCATGTCACGCCATCCCTCGGGTCACCCTGCTCTGCGTGTGAAGCTGCTTTTCCTTGGGGCTCCATTGCCTCAGGTGGGGGACGCTCCTGGGCCATCTGCCAACTCCAGGGACCCCACCTCCACCCAGGGAGCTCTCCTCCCCCAGCAGGGTCCTTGCTGGGCCTTTCGTAGGGCCTGGGAAGCAAAGGGAGGCTGGCTGCAAGGCTGGGCCTCAGGACTCCTTGCTCTGCAGCTACCTGTCCCACCTGGAGCGCATCACCGAGGAGGGCTACGTCCCCACAGCTCAGGACGTGCTCCGCAGCCGCATGCCCACCACTGGCATCAACGAGTACTGCTTCTCCGTGCAGAAAACCAACCTGCGGTGAGCGCTCCACCTAGGCCCAGCCTAGGGGGCAGGGAAGGCTTCCTGTAGGAAGGGCAAAGGAGCTGGGGCCCTGAGGGATGAGTAGGAGTTTCTTAGGCCCAGCCTTCAAGGAGCTGCCAAGCTAGGGGAAGCAAAGCTCCATGTAGACACCTCCAGGCCCCCAGGTAGTCAGGACTGGGACCTGTAGGAGCCCAGGCTGAGGCATCAGAGATCCAGGAGGGAATATCTTCTTGGAGGAGGGAATATTAATGGGGTTTTGAAAGACGAATAGGAGTTCAGTAGTCCTAACCCTGAAGGGGCTGCTGGGGAGGAGGAAATAGAGACTATACAGTCAGGACCAGGTCTGGGGAGGCCTGGTCTGGGGAGCTCAGAGGTGATCCCTGTAGTCATCAACACTGGGGGATGGACTAGAGTGTGAGGCTGGAAGTCAGGAAACTCAGAAAAAGGAGGAGCCAGGACAGCGGGCGTGGGGATGGAAAGGAAGGGATGGGCAAGAGTTGTTTCTGATGTGGAATGGGCAGGACTGGATGAGTGTGGGAATTAGAACAGGAAGTCAAAAATGACACCTGAGTTTTTTGTCAAGGTGATGGGGGTAGACAGTGGAGCCGGTGGGCTAGAGGATGAAAAGGTGGTGATGGAGTCCTTTGGGACAGGTTGAGTCTGAGGGGCCTAGGGGGACTCCACCTTAGCTGGCAGACAGAGGTGGGAATGGCCAGTGCAGCACCCTAACCCTAACCCTAACCCAGCAGAGCAATGGCCAATGTCAAAGGTCAGGAAAGGAAAGGTCAAGAATACAGTGAGAAGAATGACTCTGGGATTGGCAGTTAGAGGGTCACTGGTGACCTTAGCAAGATCTGTTTCCATGGGCTGATGGCGGGGAGCTGAGCAGGGGTGCAAAGTCATGCCCAGAGACAGCGATTGTGTTTGACCTACCCCTATTTGGCCTTCCTTTCCCTAAATCCCCCAAACCTATTGTTTTGGCCTCTTCAATAGTCCTTACTAGGAAGGTTCATAATTTATCTGTTTTCTGTGGGTCTCCTCTACAAGATGGAGAGCCTCACAAGGTTAGGGGCTGAGTTTGATTCTTCTGCTTCTTTAGTGAATAGCTAAAGGTCAGAGTAGAAGTTGGTAAATGTGGGTGGATGGTTGGAAAGATGGAATGGGGGCAACCCGCTCGGGTCCCCTTCCACGCTGTGGAAGCTTTGTTCTTTCGCTCTTCACAATAAATCTTGCTGCTGCTCACTCTTTGGGTCCACACCACCTTTAAGAGCTGTAACACTTACTGCGAAGGTCTGCGGCTTCATTCTTGAAGTCAGCGAGACCGAGAACCCACGAGAAGGAACCAGCTCTGGGACACAATAGTAGTGTTAGTACCCAAGGATGACTTCTATGGGAGAGATACTTGGTCTGGGAATCTTTAAAAAAAAAAAAAAAGGAAAGATGGAAGGGAATGGATGGGTGGATGAATGGGTGGATGGATAGATGAATAGATGGATGGATAAGTTGAGGGATAGATGAGTGGATGGATGGAGTGGCAGGATGGATGAGTGGATGAATCAATGGATAGATGGATGAGTGGGTGGATGGATGAATGGATGGATAGATGGATGGATTGAAAGAGGGATGAGTGGATGGATGGATGGATGGATGGTTAGATGGGTGGATGGGTGATACATGAATGGATGAGTGGGTGGATGAGTGGATAGATGGATAGATGGGTGGATGAATGGGTGGATGGATGGGTGAATGAGTGGATGGATGAATTAATGGGTAGATGGGTGGAAGGGTGATGGGTGAATGGATGGGTGGGTGGATTGGTGAGTGAAGGATGGATGGATGAGTGGATAGATGGATGGGTGGGTGGGATGGATGAATGGATGGATGAATGGGTGGGTGAATGCATGGATGGATGGGTGGATGAGTGGATGGATGGATGAATGAATGGGTAGATGGGTGGCAGGTGATGGATGAATGAATGAATAAATGGGTGAATGGGTGAGTGAAGGATGGATGGATGAGTGGGTGAATGGATGGATGAATGGATGAGTGGATGGGGGTGTGGGTGGGTGGATGGGTAGATGGGTGGACGAGTGAGTGGATAGATGGGTAGATGGATGTATGAGTAGATGGATAATGGGTGAACAGATGGGTGGATGGATAGATGAGTAGATGAAGCGATGGATGGATGGGTGGATTGAGTAAATGGGTGGACAGGCAGGTGGATGATGGATGGATGAATAGATGGGTAGATGGATAGACGGATAGATGGATGGATGAGTGAATGAATAGATGGATGGGTGGATGGATAGATGGATGGATGGGTGGGATGGATGGATGGATGGATGGATGAATGGGTGGATGGATGGGTGGATGAGTGGATGGATGGATGAATGAATGGGTAGATGGGTGGTGGGTGATGGATGGATGGATGAATGGGTGGATGGATGGGTGGATGAGTGGATGGATGGATGAATGAATGGGTAGATGGGTGGTGGGTGACGGATGAATGGATGAATGGGTGGATGGGTGAGTGGATGAATGGATGAGTGGATGGGTGGGAGGGTGGGTGGATGGGTACATGGGTGGATGAGTGAGTGGATAGATGGGTAGATGGATGGATGGGTAGCTGGGTAATGGGTGGACAGATGGGTGGATGGATGGATGGATGAGTAAATGGAGAGATGGATGGGTGGGTCGGTGGGTGGATTTCGTAAATGGGTGGACAGGTGGATGGATGATGGATGGATGGATAGATGGGTAGATGGATAGATGGATGGATGAGTGAATGGCTGGATGGGTGGATGGATGGGTGGGTGGATGGATGATGGATGGATGGATAGATGGGTAGATGGATAGATGGATGGATGAGTGAATGGCTGGATGGGTGGATGGATGAGTGGGTGGGTGGATGGGTGGATGGATGAGTGAATAAATCGATGAATGGGGTGGGTGGGTGGATAAAAGTTTAGGAGTGAAGGTAGAGGCTGGGAAATCATGGGGAAGTCTGGGCCAAGGAAGTGATTTTTAGGTGTGGCCCAGGAGTGAGACGAATGAATGGAGTGAGGGCTCAGAGGACACTGAGACCCGAGATGAGAGGTGATGCCCACAGTTCCCAACTGGTCAGTTGCTGATCCCACTCCCGTCTCAGTCTCCAGAGCCCCCTCTCGACGGCTGCTTACCCTGTCTGGCTCTGGATGTGGGGTTTGAGGGACTCTGAGGATGCATGGGAGGAGTGGGTCTCAGGGATCAGGAGACACATCCAGCAGCTGCAGCCTAACTGCTTCATCATCAGTCCCGGTTTCCCCTCCTGTGCAATGGGGCAAGTCCCTTCTTGCTTGAGGCCCTGGGCCGGGCCCGTCCAAAGCCTCTGTTCTGGGACTTCCTGAGTAACGGTTGCATCCCCAGGGAAATGACGCACAGATGGTTATCAGCGACCCACATTTCTCAGAAGAGAGAGAACAGGAAGGTGGGGGCAGGGTTCAGGCTTTTGTTACGGTGCGTGGGGCTGAGTCACAGATGGAGGGGAGGACGTGTGCTCTGGGAACAGCCCTCATTCCCATCTGTGTGGCCACTGGACATGCCCATGGCCAGCCAGAGCACAGGAGCCCCATAGCACAGATGGGAAAACTGAGTTTTGGAGATGTTTGGCAATTTCCTCCGCCGGGTCGCCCAGCCAGCACCAGGGCACATCTCAGATCTGTCCAACCTGCTCCCCTCTAATATGGGGGTAGAAAGCAGGCAGCCCAGCACAGTAGAAGCTTGGGAAAGTCCCCGCTCCTCCCTGGATCTCAGGCTTCTCATCTGTAAAATGGGCGTAAGACTCATCCTTGCCTCGCGGGAATGACATGGCAAATCCACGAGAGGCTAGCACCTATTCTTGCTGTCGCTATTATGGATCTTGGCATATCCCAGACGTGATGGGGGTTGGGGGTGTCACGGAGCAGGCTCCTGAGCTCTGAAAGGGGGCACCTCGGTTCCCTGTAGGATCGTGGACGTCGGGGGCCAGAAGTCAGAGCGTAAGAAATGGATCCATTGTTTCGAGAACGTGATCGCCCTCATCTACCTGGCCTCACTGAGTGAATACGACCAGTGCCTGGAGGAGAACAACCAGGAGGTGCGCCACCGCCTCCCTCGCCCTGCCCACTTGTTGGCCCAGGGACCCTCACCTGAGCAGGAAGCTCTGGTGCAGAAAGGGAGGGATCCCTGCTCTTGAACGGGCCTGTGTGTGCCCAGCATGGCTATGAACTTGACCCTTCAGCCTTTTGTGGTCAGATTGCAGCAACCCAAGACACAGACCTACAGCATTTGTTTGGTCAGGACCCCAGACACACACACACACACACACACACACACACACACACACACTACAGTGCACACACGCACATACACAATGCATGCACACAAACACGCACAGACACGTGCATAATACATGCACATACACACGTGCACACACGGGACACATGTACACACGCAGTGCACATGCACAACACATGCACACGAACACACATGCACCACACACATGCACACTTGCATGCACTCACGTGCACAATACACGCATATGTACACATGCGCACACACATGAACACACACATGCACACACACAGTACACACATGCACACGCACACACAGGCACACACACGCACACACAGGCACACAGGCACACACATGCGTGCACACACACATGCACGCACACGCACAGGCTGGAGTGCAGTGGCGCGATCTCGGCTCACTGGAAACTCCGCCTCCCGGGTTCACACCATTCTCCTGCCTCAGCCTCCGGAGTAGGTGGGATTACAGGCACCCGCCACCACGCTCGGCTAATTTTTTTTTTGTATTCTTAGAAGAGAGGGGGTTTCACCATGTTAGCCAGGATGGTCTCAATCTCCTGACCTCGTGATCCGCCCGCCTCGGCCTCCCAAAGTGCTGGGATTACAGGCGTGAGCCACTGTGCCCAGCCAATAGCCTCTTTTAATAAGTACACCAGTCGTCTAGGATCAGGGCCCACCCTACTCCAGTACGACCTCATCTGGGTTAATTCCTCGTGTGATGGCCCTGTTTCCAAAGAAGGTCACAAACTGAGGTTCTAGGGGGTTAGGTCTTGAACGTATGAATTTTGGGGAAATATGATGTACCCCATAACACAAGGCATTTGAGACCTTATTGTACTTTTTTTTTTGAGATGGAGTCTCGCTTTTGTCGCCCAGGTTAGAGTGCAGTGGCGCGATCTCAGCTCACTGCAACCTCCGCCTCCCGGGTTCAAGCGATTTTCCTGCCTCAGCCTCCCGAGTAGCTGGGTTTACAGGCACCTGCCATCATGCCCGGCTAATTTTTTGTATTTTTAGTAGAAACGGGGTTTCACCATGTTAGCCAGGCTGGTCTCCAACTCCTGGCCTCAGGTGATCTGCCCGCCTTGGCCTCCCAAAGTGCTAGGATTACAGCCGTGAGCTGCCGCGCCCGGCCAGGTCTCCCTCTTCTTATGAGGACAGCAGTCACGGACTTGAGGGCCACCGTATTCTAGTATTGCCTCACCTTAACGACCTCTTCAAAGACCCTATCTCCAGGCCAGGTGCAGTGGTTCATGCCTATAACCCCAGCACGCTGGGAGGCCAGGAGTTCAAGAATCTCTCTCCAGATAAGGTCACACTCTGAAGCTCTGGGGGGACATGAATTTCGGGAGGACACACTTCCAACCAGCACAGGCACAAAACCATGTCAGGCACACCCAGGCAGCTGTCCATATGGAAACACGGGCACACCCGCCTCAGCCCCAGCCAGGCAGATAGGGGTGAGCCCATGCCCCTGGAGCCAACAGCCCCGTCTCCGCGATGGGAGGGTTTCCTGTCCCACCTGGCTGGTTGAAGCACTAACCTGCTTCTGCCCCCAACACAGAACCGCATGAAGGAGAGCCTCGCATTGTTTGGGACTATCCTGGAACTACCCTGGTTCAAAAGCACATCCGTCATCCTCTTTCTCAACAAAACCGACATCCTGGAGGAGAAAATCCCCACCTCCCACCTGGCTACCTATTTCCCCAGTTTCCAGGGTAAGTAATTCTAGAACTTTCTATACCCTTCAACTCCCAAAAGCAGCTCCGAAGAGAGATGCTAATCCAGACTCTACTTCAGCCTGGAGTCACCGGAACTTTCACATAGGATCAGACCCGCGTTCTAGACTCAGCTCCATCCACTGCCCGACCTCATTGAATCTGTTTTCCCTTCTGTGGAATGGAATAAAATAGCAGAGGCCCTTGGAACTGAGTAAAGTGAGGAATTCTAAAAACACGTAGCATATCACGTACACCTTAAACATTTTATTTATTTATTTATTTTTGAGACAGAGTCTTGCTCTGTCACCAGGCTGGAGTGCAGTGGCGTGATCTCGGCTCACTGCAACCTTTCCCTCCAGAGTTCAAGCGATTCTCCTACCTCAGCCTCCCTAGTAGCTGGAACTACAGGTGCGCGCCACCACGCCCAGCTAATTTTTGTGTTTTTAGTACGAAAAGACGGGATTTCACCATGTTGACCAGGATAGTCTCGATCACTTGACCTCCTGATCCACCCGCCTCAGCCTCCCAAAGTGCTAGGATTATAGACAGGAGCCACCATGCCCGGCCAAACATTTTATTTTATGCTTGTTGGCCAACATTTGGGGTTTGAGCCAAGATCCTTCAAGCATGGGTTTGCTATGTAGAGGTCACTGTTGTAAAGCACTTCTGGAAAGATTGTCTACTATTTCCAGAATCTGCCTAGGTTTTAAGAATGATTCTTTTTCTTTTCTTTCTTTCTTCTATTTTTTCTTTTTGAGACAGAGTCTCACTCTGTCACCCAGGCTGGAGTACAGTGGTGCGATCTTGGCTCATGGCAACCTCCAACTCCCCGGTTCAAGTGATTCTCCTGCCTTAGCCTCCCAAGTAGCTGTGATTACAGGCACGTGCCACCAAGCCTGGCTAATTTTTAGTAGTTTCCTGTCCTATTTTTAGTAGAGATGGGGTTTCACCATGTTGGTCAGGCTGGTCTCGAACTGACCTCAAGTGATCCACCTACCTCAGCCTCCCAAAGTGCTGGGATTACGGGCGTGAGCCACCGCATCTGGCCATAACGTTTCTTTTTCTAATCTTTCATAGTGATCTCATCTATCCCTAATTGGATAGCAATTTCTTTTTCTTTAATCCATTTTTTCTTTAATTTTTTTTTGTTTGTTTTTTGAGACGGAGTCTCGCTCTGCTGCCCAGGCTGGAGTGCAGTGGCGCAATCTCAGCTCACTGCAAGCTCTGCCTCCTGGGTTCACACCATTCTGCTGCCTCAGCCTCCCGAGTAGCTGGGATTACAGGTGCCCGCCAGAACGTCTGGCTAGTTTTTTGTATTTTTGGTCGAGATGGGGTTTCATCATGTTACCCAGGTTGGTCTCAATCTCCTGACCTCATGATCCACCTGTCTCGGCCTCCCAAAGTGCTGGGATTACAGGCGTGAGCCATCGTGCCCAGTCTATTTTTTCTTTAATTTCTTTTCTTTTTTTTTTTTTTTTTGAGATGGAGTTTTGCTCTTTTTGCCCAGGCTGGAGTGCAATGGCACAATCTCGGCTCACCGCAACCTCCGCCTCCCGGGTTCAAGGGATTCTCCTGCCTCAGCCTCCCGAGTAGCTGGGATTGCAGGCATGAGCCACCACCCCGGCTAATTTTGTGTTTTTAGTAGAGACGGGGTTTCTCCATGTTGGTCAGGCTGGACTTGAACTCCCGACCTCAGGTGATCCACCCGCCTCGGCCTCAAAGTGCTGGGATTACAGGCGTGAGCCACCACACCTGGCCTTTCTCTTTAATTTTTAAAGCAGAGCTTTGAACAATGTTTCCAAAGCACACAGCTTAGTTTTGTAATACAATGACCTTCTTTCATGCGGCACTTGTAGCTACAGATTTGCATAACGTTTCTTTTAATTACATATGAATCAAGACACGTACAATGGGCAAAAACAGGTTTGGGAACAAACTCTCAGTCCATCCAGAGGGTGAAAGGGCCACAGGGCAACTACAGAGAAACACCATCTAGTGTTGGGCACCACTTAGTATATTTTACAAAGGGGAGGCAGAGTTGTGGTTAATCCAGGGACCAACGTGGGGAAGGTACATATTCACTAGCACTTTCCCCAGAACACCACTGTGAGGATAAAGTGTGGTGGCGGGTGTCCTGCTTAGCTACTGCCGAGTAACAAACCATCCCCAAACTTAGTGACTTAAACTGGTCATTTTCCTTTGCTTATGATTTTGTGGGTCAGGAATTTGGGAAAGGTTGAGCTGGGTAAGTTCATCTCTGATCCATGTGACATCAGCTGGGCTCTATGGGATTGGAGATAAACTTCCAAGATGGCTTCTTCCCCCATATGTCTGGTGCCTTGGTGCTCTTGGCACTCTTGGCCTCTCTCTCTGTGTCTCTCCCTGCCTCCCTCTCCCATCTCATCTCTCTCTCCTCCCCTTTCTCCTAGTCTGTCTCTCCTTTTCCACCTCCCCTGTTCTCTCTGTCTCCATCTGGGGCCTCATGATCCACAGCCTCTTCACATGGTTTGAGCTTACTCACAATATGGCTGCCTCAGGGTAGACAGACTTCAGCCCAGGTGGAAGCTGCTTCTCATGATAGCCTCAGAAATGTCAGACGTTACTCTGCCACATTCTATTTGTCAAGCACATCACTCATATCAGCCCGGATTCAAAAGAAAGAGACTCCATCTCTTGAAGGCAGCATGACACATGCATACAGGGAGGGAAGGAAGTGACGGCAGCCATCTTGGAGATAACTTGCCTTCATGTCCTGGGGATGCCGTAACAAAGTACCACAAACTGGGTGGCTTAAAACAACAGGAAACAACAGAAGTCCAAAGTTAAGGTATTGGCAAGGTTGGTTCCTTTTGGAGGCTCTAAGGGAAAATCCATTCCATGCTTCTCTCTCAGCTTCTGGTGGTGGCCTACAATCCTTAGCTTGTAGACATATCACTGCAATCTCTGCCTCCATGTTCACATGGCTGTCTTCTCACCATGCCTTTATGTGTCCTCTCCTGTTGTTATAAGGCCACCAGTCATTGGATTTAGGGCCCATACTTTGGTATGACCACTTTTTTTTTTTTTTTTTTTTTTTGAGACAAGGTCTTGCTCTGTTGCCCAGGCTAGAGTCCAGTGGTGTGATCACAGTTCACTGCAGCCTCAACCTCCTGGGCACAGGTGATCCTCCCACCTCAGCCTCTTGAGTTGCTGGGACTACAGGCGCACACCACCACACCTGGGTAATTTTTGTATATTTCTGTAGAGACAGGGTTTCGCCATGTTGCCCAGGCTGATCTGGAACTCCTGGGCCCAACCACACATCTGTCATCCACCTGCCTTGGCCTTCCAAAGTGCTAGGATTACAGGCGTGAGCCCTCATGCCTGGCCATGACCTAATTTAACTTAACTAATTACATCTGCAAATATCCGATTTCTAAAAGTCATATTCTGAAGTTCCAGGTGGACATGAATTTTGGGGGACACTGTTCACCTCAATATACAAGCAACCATAGTAGATGAGTCCTTAGTACATGCTTGACACCAGGTCCACAATCAGTAAACATAAACTTTGGTGAAGTCACCAGGTTTTGATCCCTGGTCTTGTCATGTCTCAGAGCCCATGAGGCCAATTTTAGCCAATTATACCCACAAGATTCAGGGTCTGGGAGATAGACGTCAAGTTGTTCCAGGATGGTGGCCTGGATAGCCCCTCTTCCTTGCCAAGCAGCCCTGGGAATCAGCTCATAGTTTAGAGAATTTGGGAACAGGATAAGGTAGATATTTTTTTCATTCAGGTCAAAGGGAACCACCCATGACTCATCCTTGTCTCCCAGCACAAGTGACTGGTGCACTCTTTGCTGACTCCCAGCCCTACCCTCCACTGTGCTAAATAATATTTGTGATAATAATAAGAAACCACACTTTGGGAGGCTGAGGCGCGCAGATCGCTTTAGGTCAGGAGTTTGAGACCAGCCTGGCCAACATGGCAAAGCCCCATCTCTGTTAAAAATACAAAAATTAGCTGGGTGTGGTGGCGGGGGCCTGTCATCCCAGTTACTCGGGAGGCTGAGGCAGGAGAATCGCTTGAACCCAGGAGGTGGAGGTTGCAGTGAGCTGAGATCATGCCACTTCACTCCAACCTGGGTGACAGAGTGAGACTCTGTCTCAAAATAATAATAATAATAATAATGATAATAATAATAAAATTGATAACAGCAGCTAACACATCTACCGCACTGGTGGAAGCACTCTACAAAGCTTCTTTAATCTTCATGTTAAAACCCTATGCAGGGCTGGGCACAGTGGCTCACGCCTGTAATCCCAGCGCTTTGGGGGGGTCAAGGCGGGCTGATCATTTGAGGTCAGGAGTTCGAGACCAGCCTGGCCAACATGGCAAAACCCCATCTCTACTAAAAATACAAAAATTACCTGGGCATGGTGGCAGGCGCCTGTAATCCCAGCTACTGCCAAGATTGCACCATTGCACTCCAGCCTGGGCGACAGAGCGAGGCCCCATCTCAAGAAAAAAAAAAAGAGGACTCTCTTCCCCTCGTTTGGCCTTGATGCCGCCATCTTCACAGTCCTGGGATATTTGTCTATGCGATTCCAGTCTTCCAACTGCACTGGCTGTAAGCGAGGCCAAGAGAGTGTCTCTCTTTAACACAGTTCTGCCCGAAGTCCCAGAGCTGGGTCTCATTGGTCCATTTCAGGTCACATGACTCGTGTGAGACAATCTCCTGTGTTCCCATTGGCTGGGCCGGAGTCGTGTGACCAGCTATGACTACAAAAGATGGAGTCAACGCACAGAAAAATGACAGGCGCGATCCCTGGGTCCCTTCAGTGCTGGTTACAGGGAAGAGGGTCTCCAGAGGCCCCCTGGGTCCAAAGAGGGAGGGTCCTCACCCCCTTCCCACACTGTTTCCCCAGGCCCTAAGCAGGATGCTGAGGCAGCCAAGAGGTTCATCCTGGACATGTACACGAGGATGTACACCGGGTGCGTGGACGGCCCCGAGGGCAGCAAGAAGGGCGCACGATCCCGACGCCTCTTCAGCCACTACACATGTGCCACAGACACACAGAACATCCGCAAGGTCTTCAAGGACGTGCGGGACTCGGTGCTCGCCCGCTACCTGGACGAGATCAACCTGCTGTGACCCAGGCCCCACCTGGGGCAGGCGGCACCGGCGGGCGGGTGGGAGGTGGGAGTGGCTGCAGGGACCCCTAGTGTCCCTGGTCTATCTCTCCAGCCTCGGCCCACACGCAAGGGAGTCGGGGGACGGACGGCCCGCTGCTGGCCGCTCTCTTCTCTGCCTCTCACCAGGACAGCCGCCCCCCAGGGTACTCCTGCCCTTGCTTGACTCAGTTTCCCTCCTTTGAAAGGGAAGGAGCAAAACGGCCATTTGGGATGCCAGGGTGGATGAAAAGGTGAAGAAATCAGGGGATTGAGGACTTGGGTGGGTGGGCATCTCTCAGGAGCCCCATCTCCGGGCGTGTCACCTCCTGGGCAGGGTTCTGGGACCCTCTGTGGGTGACGCACACCCTGGGATGGGGCTAGTAGAGCCTTCAGGCGCCTTCGGGCGTGGACTCTGGCGCACTCTAGTGGACAGGAGAAGGAACGCCTTCCAGGAACCTGTGGACTAGGGGTGCAGGGACTTCCCTTTGCAAGGGGTAACAGACCGCTGGAAAACACTGTCACTTTCAGAGCTCGGTGGCTCACAGCGTGTCCTGCCCCGGTTTGCGGACGAGAGAAATCGCGGCCCACAAGCATCCCCCCATCCCTTGCAGGCTGGGGGCTGGGCATGCTGCATCTTAACCTTTTGTATTTATTCCCTCACCTTCTGCAGGGCTCCGTGCGGGCTGAAATTAAAGATTTCTTAGAGGCTGCGTCGCCAGCGTCCTGTTTATCCCCTCTGCATTCCTTTCTCGGCTTACGTGTCCCGGGGGCAGTGCTTACAGTGCGGGGAGCAACGTGGAGTAGGAAGGAAAAAAGTTATACTTCTTGTCTACCCACCTGTCCTGGCCATGGTACCCAGAACTGTGGAGGCTGTGAGTCCCGCAAGCCGGGACGTGGAGTCCAACCTCCCTCCCAGGCTGGGGGGGACATTGAAGCAGACTCCTCCGTGGCTACTGACCTGAAATTCCAGTAGCAGCCCCCACCCAGCTTTGAGAAGGCCTCTTACTATCCTCAGGGCAGTGTTCTGGGGTGCAAGCCGTAGCACCCCACTTTACAGGTGAGGAAACCGGGGCGCAGAGAAGTGGAGTAATTTGACTAAGCTCACACACCTGGAATTGACAGAGGCAGGAGCCTGTTCCTACGTTGAACACATTTGTGGTTTTTTATTTGTTTGTTTTTTGAGACAATCTCACTTGGTTGCCCAGGCTGGAGTGCAGTGGTGCGATCTCGGTTCACTGCAGCCTCTGCCTCCTGGGTTCAAGTGATTCTCATGCCTCAGCCTCTGCAGTAGCTGAGATTACAGGCACCCGCCACCACACCTGGCTACTTTTTTTTTTTTTGATGGAGTCCCGCTCTGTGGCCCAGGCTGGAGTGCAGTGGCGCAATCTCGTCTCACTGCAACCTCCACCTCCCAGGTTCAAGTGATTCTCCTGCCTCAGCCTCCTGAGTAGCTTGGACTACAGTTGTGTGCCATCACACCTGGCCATATTTTTGTATTTTTAGTAGAGACAGGGTTTCACCATGTTGGCCAAACTGGTCTCAAACTCCTGACCTCAAGTGATCCGCCTCCCTCGACCTCCCAAAGTGCTGGGATTACAGGCATGAGCCACCACACCTGGCCTAATTTTTCTTCTTATAAAAACACTAGTCACACTGGATCAGGGTCCAGCCTGTCATCCCCATCTTAACTTGATTACATCGGCAAAGACCGTATTTCTAAATAAGGTCCCATTCACAGATACCGGGGGTTATGACTTCATCATATCTTTGTAGGGGAGCCACATTTGAACCTATAAAAGGTATTTTGTAATACAAAAAGGAGCCGGGCGTGGTGGTGCATGCTTGCAATCCCAGCTAATTGGGAGGCTGAAGCATGAGAGTTGCTTGAACCCGGGAGGCGGAGGTTGCGGTGAGCCAAGATCCTGCCACTGCACTCTAGCCTGAGCGACAGAGTGAGACCTTGTCTCAAATAATAAATAAATAAATACATAAATAAATAAATAAATATAAAAGTATGTTATAGAAACCCTCTCCACTGAGTTTGGTCTGACATTTTGCTGCTGGTCAGACTGGGGTGATGGGTTTCAGGGAGGAAGACCTCAGTGGTGACAGCCCTTCTCACCACATCCTATCTTTCTGTTTTTTTTTTGAGACGGAGTCTCACTCTGTCACCCAGGCTGGAAGTGCAGTGGTGTGATCTCGGCTCACTGCAAGCTCCGCCTCCCAGGTTCACACCATTCTCCTGCCTCAGCCTCCCGAGTAGCTGGGATTACAGGCGCCCGCCACCACGCCTGGCTAATTTTTTGTATTTTTAGTAGAGACGGGCTTTCACCGTGTTAGCCAGGATGGTCTCAATCTCCTGACCTTGTGATCCGCCCGCCTCGGCCTCCCGAAGTGCTGGGATTACAGGTGTGAGCCACCGCGCTCTGCCTCTTGTTGTTGTTTTGTAAGAATTTTAGACTCACAGAAAAGTTGCAGAAGTTGTACACAGTTCCCAAATGCCCTCCACCCAGCTTCCTCTTACCTCTTACGTAACCCTAGTACAACCCAGGAAATTCACATCAGCGAGCGTCCTATGAACGAACCTGTGTGTAGACCTTACTAGAATGTGGCGGGTTCTCGCTCCCGTCCTCCTTTCCTGGACCAGGATCCAATCCCGGATCCCACATCGCCATGAGCTGCCTCCCTCTCCTCATTCTGGGGCAGTGCCTCAGTTTCCTTTGTGACACGTCGGAGGAGTTTTGCTTGGTTGTTTCTTGAGCCGTTCCTCAGGTTGGGTTGGTGTGAGGTTTGCTGGTGACAGAAAGGGATGTCAGAGCCACTCAGGGCATCACCTGACTGGGTTCATCATGACAAAGTGGCTCATCCCTGGCGATCATACGTTGCGGATGTCTTTTCACCATTGGTTGGTCGGAGTCAGGACCCAAACAAAGCCCGTGCGTGGCGCTTGGGTGCTGTGTCTCTTAAGTCTCTTTCCTCTTTTTTTTTTTTTGAGACGGAGTCTTGCTCTGTCACCCAGGCTGGAGTGCAGTGATGCGATCTCGGCTCACTACAAGCTCTGCCTCCCGGGTTCATGCCATTCTCCTGCCTCAGCCTCCTGAGTAGCTGGGACTACAAGTACCCGCCACCACGCCCGGGTAATTTTTTGTATTTTTTAGTAGAGACGGGGTTTCACTGTATTAGCCAGGATGGTCGCGATCTCCTGAACTCGTGATCCAACCGCCTTGGCCTCCCAGAGTGCTGGAATTACAGGCGTCAGCCACCGCGCCCAGCCTCCTCTTTTTTTTTTTTTTTTTTGAGACAGAGTTTTACTCTTGTCACCCAGGCTGGAGTGCAGTGGTGTGATCTCAGCTCACTGCAACCTGCACCTCCTGGGTTCAAGCGATTCTCTTGCCTCAGCCTCCTGAGTAGCTGAGATTACAGGCATGCGCTACCACACCTAGGTAATTTTTATATTTTTAGTAGAGACGGAGTTTTGCCATGTTGGCCAGGCTGGTATCGAACTCCTGACCTCAGGTGATCCTCCCGCCTCGACCTCCCAAAGTGCTGGGATTACAGGCGTGAGCCACTGTGCCCAGCCATGACCCAGTGGGTCTTAAGAGTTTTTTGACTGGGCACAGCGAGATGCTTTTAACTCATCCTTTACTTTGTCAGCTTCAGATCTGCACTGGATCGTTTCTCCAAGGAGCCCTCTTTCCTTTGAATGGGAGATGATATTTAGAGACCACAATCTGAGCACCAAGTGAGGAAACACATCTTGTCTTTTTTTTTATTATTATACTTTAAGTTCTAGGGTACATGTGCACAACTGTGCTGGTTTATTACATAGGTATACATGTGCTGTGTTGGTTTACTGCACCCATTAACTCGTCATTTACATTAGGTATTTCTCCTAATGCTATCCCTCCCCCCTCCCCTCACCCCACGACAGGCCCCGGTGTGTGATGTTCCCCACCCTGTGTCCACGTGTTCTCATTGTTCAGTTCCCACCTATGAGTGAGAACATGCGGTGTTTGGTTTGCTGTCCTTGTGATGGTTTGCTCAGAATGATGGTTTCCAGCTTCATCCATGTCACTACAAAGGACATGAACTCATCCTTTTTTATGGCTGCATAGTATTCTGTGGTGTATATGTGCCATATTTTCTTTTTCTTTTTTTTTGAGACGGAGTCTCACTCTGTCACCCAGGCTGGAGTGCAGTGGTGCAATCTGGGCTCACTGCAAGCTCCGCCTCCCGGATTCATGCCATTCTCCTGCCTCAGCCTCCTGAGTAGCTGGGATTACAGGCGCCCACCAGCAAGCCCGGCTAATTTTTTGTATTTTTAGTAGAGACGGGGTTTCACCGTGTCAGCCAGGATGGTCTCGATCTCCTGACCTTGTGATCTGCCCGCCTCAGCCTCCCAAAGTGCTGGGATTACAGGCGTGAGCCATCACGCCCGGCCTGTGCCACATTTTCTTAATCCAGTCTATCATTGATGGACATTTGGGTTGGTTCCAAGTCTTTGCGGAAACACATCTTTTGTTCGCTTATTTTTAGTGCAAAAATATTTGAAACCTACAGAAGTTACAAAACCATTACAATGTATTCCCCTGTATTTTTCATCCAGGTCAGGAGCCGGCAAACTGCTACCCACAGGCCAAATACTACTTCAATTGCTTTTGTAAAGTTTTATTGAAACACGGTCATGTCCATTCATGTACCTGTGTCTACGCAGGCTGTTCCTGCATCCATGGAATTGAGTAACTGCCACTGATACTGTCTGGCCCCAAAAGCCAAAAATATTTACTATTTGGCCTTTTTGTTTTGTTTTGTTTGTTTTTTACTCCCCTTAAAGACAAGGTCTTGCTCCGTCACCCAGGCTGGTGTGCAGTGGTGCAACCTCAGCTCACTGCTGCCTCCAACTCCTGGGCTGAAGGGTTCCTCCTGCCTCAGCCTCCCCGGGGATTCCAGGCATAAGCCCCTGTGTCCGGCCAGGTGTGAGTTTTCGAGTGGACATGCTTGCATTCCTCTTGAGTGTGACCCTAGCGACAGAATTGCTGGGTCATGTGCTGAGGTCATCCATCCATTTCTAACCCAGGGTTGGCCGGCAGCAGCCCCTCCGAGCTGGCTCCTGTGTTCTTTGCCAGGTCCTCCTCCCTCTGTGATCACGCCCTCCCTCTCTGGCACACTGAGATGTTCCAGGCTCATCTCCTGCCCTACTCTTGGAATCAACCCTTCCTCCCAGGTTCCCTGGATCCTTTCAGCAAGGGGCTGTAGGGGGAGGGAGGTGATCTTTAGAAGCCACGATCTGGGCACTAGGTGCTCCTTGCTCTGGGATTGTCTCAGTGGAAAGTTAGGACAGGGTTTTTTTATGTTTTTTGCATAAATCATGAGATCCTGAATTCACACTGATATTTGCAATCCTTTCTTTTTTTTTTTTTTTGAGACAGAGTCTTGCTCTGTCACTGAGGCTAGAGTGCAGCAGCACGATCTCGACTCACTGCAACCTCCACCTCCTCGGTTCAAGCGATTCTCCTGCCTCAGCCTCCCAAGTAGCTGGGATTACAGGTAGTCACCACCGTGCCTGGCTAATTTTTGTATTTATTTATTTATTTATTATTTTTTTTTTCTGAGACAGAGTCTCGCTCTGTCACCCAGGCTGGAGTGCAGTGCCACAATCTCGGCTCACTGCAACCTCCACCTCCCGGGTTCAAGCAATTCTCCTGCCTCAGCCTCCTGAGTATCTGGGATTACAGCAGTGCACCACCACGCCCAGCTAATTTTTTGTATTTTTAGTAGAGACGGAGTTTCACTGTAGTGGCCAGGATGGTCTTGATCTCCGGACCTCGTGATCTGCCCACCTCGGCCTCCCAAAGTGCTGGGATTACAGGCATGAGCCACCGTCCCCGGTCTAATTTTTGTATTTTTAGTAGAGAAAGGGTTTCACCATCCTGGCCAGGCTAGTCTTGAAATCCTGACCTCGTGATCCACCCGCCTTGGCCTCCCAAAGTGCTGGGGTTACAGGCGTCAGCCACCGTGCCCGGTCCAATTTTTGTATTTTTAGTAGAGACAGGGTTTCACCATCTTGGCCAGGCTAGTCTCGAAATCCTGACCTCATGATCCACCCGCCTTGGCCTCCCAAAGTGCTGGGGTTACAGGCATGAGCCACCATGCCAGGCCTTTTTTTTTTTTTTTTTAAGAGACGGGATCTCTCTCCATCACCCAGGCTGGAGTGCAGAGGAGCAATGATGGCTTACCACGGCCTCAACCTTTCAGGCTCAAGCAATCCTCCCATGTCAGCCTCCTAAGTAGCTAGGACCACAGGTGCATGCCATCACACCCATGTTATTTCATTTTTATTTTTTGTAGAAATGGGGTCTTGCCGTGTTGCACAGGCTGGGAAACTTGAAGTCCTATTTAACCCTGCAAGGGTTCTTTCTTGCTTTCTCCCAGGTCATATTTACATCTTTCTCTCCCAGCAAAGACCCTAGTTCCTAATAATATCTTTGTATTTGCTACTTTGCTCAGTCCTGTAAAACACATGATAGTTTCAAAATTGCTCCACCCATACGTTCCCCAATGACAAATCCGCTAAATAAAGGTCAAAGTTTCTTTGCAATTATTTTTGTCTCTCTTCTTCTTCTTTTTTTTTTTTTTTTTTTTTTTTTTGAGACAGAGCCTCACTCTGTCACCCAGACTGGAGTGCAATGGCACAATCTCGGCTTACGGCAACCTCCGCGTCCCAGGGTCAAGCAATTCTCTGCCTCAGCCTCCTAAGTAGCTGGGATTACAGGCACCCACCACCACGCCTGGCTAACTTTTTTCTTTTTTTTTTTTTTTGAGACAGAGTCTCCCACTGTCACCCAGACTGGAGTACAGTGGCGCAATCTCGGCTCACTGCAACCTCTGCCTCCCGGGTTCAAGCGATTCTCCTGCCTCAGCCTCCCGAGTAGCTGGGATTACAGATGCCCGCCACCACGCCCGGCTAATTTTTGTATTTTTAGTAGAGATGGGGTTTCGCCATGTTGGCCAGGCTGGTGCTGAACTCCTGACCTCGTGATCCACCCGCCTTGGCCTCCCACAGTGCTGGGATCACAGGCGTGAGCCACCGTGCCCAGCCTCTTTTTGTCTTTAGAGTGAGTACTGTGTATACAAGTTCCGCGGGCTGATTCTTTTCTATCTCTATGTGGTTACGTTTTTCATTTGAAATACAGTTTGGTTCATTTGTTTTCTACTGTTATTCCATCTTAAAGCTTTTCCCTCCATCCTTGTTGATCAATTTTATCTTTCAATATAGAAAGCACGAATAGGGCTTAAAACTACACAAAAGGCCAGGCATGGTGGCTCACGTCTGTAATCCCAGCACTTTGGGAGGCTGTAGCGGGCAGATTGCTTGAGCCCAGCGGTTCAAGACTAGCCTGGGCAATATAGCAAGACCTCATCTATACAACAAAACAAAACAAAACAAAACAAAACGCCTGTAATCCCAGTACTTTGGGAGGCCAAGGCAGGTGGATTGCCTGAGGTCAGGAGTTCAAGACCAGCCTGACTAACATGGTGAAACCCCATCTCTACCAAAAATGCAAAAAAAAAAAAAGCTGCATGTGGTGCCAGGTGCCTGTAATCCCAGCTACTCAGGAGGCTGAGGCAGGGGAGTCGCTTGAACTCAGGAGGCAGAGGTTGCAGTGAGCTGAGTTTGTGCTACTGCACTCCAGCCTGGGCGACAGAGCAAGACTCCGTCTCAAAAAAAAAAAAAAAAATTAGCTGGGCGAGGTGGAGTGCACCTGTAGTCCCAGCTACTAGAGAGGCTGAGGTGGGAGGATCGCTTGAACCCAGGAGGCGGAGGTTGCAGTGAGCTGAGATCGTGCCACTGCACTCCAGCCTGGGCAACAGAGCGAGACTCCATCTCTAAATAAATAAATAAATAAATAAATAAAATAAAAATTGTAAAATCCCAACATGTCCCGGCAAGCGCTGCGTTCCATTCATGGAGCTCGTTCTTGTTCTTTTGCACAGCTGCAGAGCCCTCCTTTCTGGACTGTGGCATAGTTCATTCATTCACCTCTGTCCTGTGTGTGCACATTCGGGTTGAAACCAGCGTTGTGCATTCACAAACAGCAGTTTAGGCGATGACCTTTTGCACATATACTCGGTCTCGTTAGAGCCCTGTCTTCAGGGTGAATTTCTAGAAGAGGGGCCTGCCCTTCTGCAGTGTGGGGATAATGGTTAGATTAAGTTTTGTTTTGTTTTGAAATGGAGTTTCACTCTTGTCTCCCAGGCTGGAGTGCTGTGGCTCGATCAGCTCACTGCAACCTCTGCCTCCTGGGTTCCAGCGATTCTCCTGCCTCAGCCTTTCGAATAGCACCCGCCACCACACCCGGCTAACTTTTGTATTTTTAGTAGAGACAGGGTTTCCTCATGTTGGCCAGGATGTTCTCCAGCTCCTGACCTCAAATTACCTGCCCGTCTCAGCCTCCCAAAGTGCTGGGATTACAGGTGTGAACCACTGTGCCCGGTCCAGTCCAGGAGCAAGTTCTAACCAGGATCAAGGGTCAAGGTCTGGGTTTGTCCATTATCATAGGCTAAGTCAGGGTCAGGGTTCAGCCAGGGATCAGGGCTCAGTTCAGGATTGGGGCTCAGCCAGGGTCAGGGCTCATCTTGGAGTCAGAGCTGAGCCTGGGGTCAGGCATCAGTCTAGGTTGGAGGTTGGGATTGGGACCTGGGGGTCTTGGTCCAGGATTGGAGGCTGTGTCTGGGATTAGGGTTCAGTCTAGGATGTGGACCAAGCCTGGGATCAGCATTCAGTCCAGGGTAGGGGGCTGAGCCTGGGATTAGGGCTTAGTCTTGGATGTGGACTGAGCCTGGGATGAGAGCTCAGTCCAGGGATTAGGGCTCAGTCTAGGATGGGGACTGGGCTTGGGATGCAGGCTCAGTACAGAGTGGGGGGCTGGTCCTGGGATCAAGGCTCAGTCTAGGACGGGGGCTGGGCCTGGGACTCAGCAATCAGGACTCAGTCTAGGATGAGGGACTAAGCCTTGGATCAGTGTTCAGTGCAGAGTGGGGGGCTGGGCCTAGGAGCAGGGCTCAGTCAAGCATAGGGGGCTTAGCCTGGGATCAGGGCTTAGTCCATCATGAGGCACTCAACCTCAGAACACACAATGTCTCTCTGTGTAGGTGCCTGAGTCATGTGAGGCTGGACTGAGGCTCACTTGTCTACTCACTGGGCAGGGCAGTGCCTGGGCAAGACCTGGCTGTTTGTTTCCCTCCTGGCCTCACCTCCCAGCTGCCGGCCCCTCCTCCCCGAGCCCCACATCCCTCTCCAGATCCCCTTTCTGCTTGGTGACCTCCAGTGACAAAAGGCAGCTGCCTCCCCAGTCAGTTCCTCGCATGGAGCCTCCCGACACTGTCCTGCTTCAGAACTGAACCGTAAGCAAAGGGAGGGGCCATGGGGCCCCAGCATGTGCTGCGATCAGCCCCCGTCTCCTGCCAGCCCTGCCCTCCCTGGGGTGCCCCCGCTTCTCAGGGCCGATACTGTGCCGCTCATGGGACGCCTGTGTTCTCATGGGACGTCTGTGCCCTCATGGGACACCTGTGCCCCTCATGGGAGGCCTGTGTTCTCATGGGACGCCTGTACCCCTCATGGGACGCCTGTACCCCTCATGGGACGTCTGTGTTCTCATGGGATGCCTGTGCCCTCATGGGATGGCTGTGTTCTCATGGGACGCCTGTACCCTCATGGGACGCCTGTGCCCCTCATGGGACGCCTGTGTTCTCATGGGATGCCTGTACCCTCATGGGACGCCTGTGCCCCTCATGGGACACCTGTGTTCTCATGGGACACCTGTGCCCCTCATGGGATGCCTGTACCCTCATGGGATGCCTGTGCCCCGCATGGGATGCCTGCATTCTCATGGGACACCTGTGCCCTCATGGGACACCTGTGTTCTCATGGGACACCTGTGTTCTCATGGGACACCTGTGCCCTCATGGGACGCCTGTGCCCTCATGGGACAACTGTGTTCTCATGGGACGCCTGTGTTCTCATGGGACGCCTGTGCCCTCATGGGATGCCTGTGTTCTCATGGGACGCCTGTGCCCCTCATGGGATGCCTGTGCCCTCATGGGACGCCTGTGTTCTCATGGGATGCCTGTGCCCCTCATGGGATGCCTGTGTTCTCATGGGACGCCTGTGCCCCTCATGGGATGCCTGTGTTCTCATGGGATGCCTGTGCCCCTCATGGGATGCCTGTGCCCTCATGGGACACCTGTGTTCTCATGGGACACCTGTGCCCTCATGGGACGCCTGTGTTCTCATGGGACGCCTGTGCCCTCATGGGATGCCTGTGCCCTCATGGGACGCCTGTGACCTCATGGGATGCCTGTGTTCTCATGGGACGCCTGTGTTCTCATGGGACGCCTGTGCCCTCATGGGACGCCTGTGTTCTCATGGGACGCCTGTGCCCTCATGGGATGCCTGTGCCCTCATGGGATGCCTGTGCCCTCATGGGACGCCTGTGTTCTCATGGGACGCCTGTGCCCCTCATGGGACGCCTGTGCCCTCATGGGACGCCTGTGCCCTCATGGGACGCCTGTGTTCTCATGGGACGCCTGTGCCCCTCATGGGACGCCTGTGCCCTCATGGGACGCCTGTGCCCTCATGGGACGCCTGTGTTCTCATGGGACGCCTGTGCCCCTCATGGGACGCCTGTGTTCTCATGGGACTCCTGTGCCCTCATGGGACGCCTGTGTTCTCATGGGACGCCTGTGCCCCTCATGGGACGCCTGTGTTCTCATGGGACGCCTGTGCCCTCATGGGACGCCTGTGTTCTCATGGGACGCCTGTGCCCCTCATGGGACACCTGTGTTCTCATGGGACGCCTGTGCCCTCATGGGACGCCTGTGTTCTCATGGGACGCCTGTGCCTCTCATGGGACACCTGTGTTCTCATGGGACGCCTGTGCCCTCATGGGACGCCTGTGCCCTCATGGGACACCTGTGTTCTCATGGGACGCCTGCATTCTCATGGGACGCCTGTGCCCTCATGGGACACCTGTGTTCTCATGGGACACCTGTGTTCTCATGGGATGCCTGTGCCCTCATGGGATGCCTGTACCCCTCATGGGACGCCTGTGTTCTCATGGGATGCCTGTACCCTCATGGGACGCCTGTACCCCTCATGGGACATCTGTGCCCTCATGGGATGCCTGTGCCCCTCATGGGATGCCTGTGCCCTCATGGGACGCCTGTGTTCTCATGGGATGCCTGTACCCTCATGGGACGCCTGTGCCCCTCATGGGATGCCTGTGTTCTCATGGGATGCCCGTGCCCCGCATGGGACGCCTGAATTCTCATGGGACACCTGTGCCCTCATGGGACACCTGTGTTCTCATGGGACGCCTGTGTTCTCATGGGACACCTGTGCCCTCATGGGACGCCTGTGTTCTCATGGGACGCCTGTGCCCTCATGGGACGCCTGTGTTCTCATGGGACGCCTGTGCCCTCATGGGACGCCTGTGCCCTCATGGGACGCCTGTGTTCTCATGGGACGCCTGTGCCCCTCATGGGACGCCTGTGCCCTCATGGGACGCCTGTGTTCTCATGGGACGCCTGTGCCCCTCATGGGACGCCTGTGTTCTCATGGGACGCCTGTGCCCTCATGGGACGCCTGTGCCCTCATGGGACGCCTGTGCCCTCATGGGACGCCTGTGTTCTCATGGGACGCCTGTGCCCTCATGGGACGCCTGTGCCCTCATGGGACGCCTGTGTTCTCATGGGACGCCTGTGCCCTCATGGGACGCCTGTGCCCTCATGGGACGCCTGTGTTCTCATGGGACGCCTGTGTTCTCATGGGACGCCTGTGCCCCTCATGGGACGCCTGTGTTCTCATGGGACGCCTGTGCCCTCATGGGACGCCTGTGTTCTCATGGGACGCCTGTGCCCCTCATGGGACGCCTGTGTTCTCATGGGACGCCTGTGCCCCTCATGGGACACCTGTGCCCTCATGGGACGCCTGTGCCCTCATGGGACGCCTGTGTTCTCATGGGACGCCTGTGCCCCTCATGGGACGCCTGTGCCCTCATGGGACGCCTGTGTTCTCATGGGACGCCTGTGCCCCTCATGGGACACCTGTGTTCTCATGGGACGCCTGTGCCCTCATGGGACGCCTGTGTTCTCATGGGACGCCTGTGCCCCTCATGGGACACCTGTGTTCTCATGGGACGCCTGTGCCCTCATGGGACGCCTGTGTTCTCATGGGACGCCTGTGCCCCTCATGGGACACCTGTGTTCTCACGGGACGCCTGTGCCCTCATGGGACGCCTGTGTTCTCATGGGACGCCTGTGCCCCTCATGGGACGCCTGTGTTCTCATGGGACGCCTGTGCCCCTCATGGGACACCTGTGCCCTCATGGGACGCCTGTGCCCTCATGGGACGCCTGCGTTCTCATGGGACGCCTGCATTCTCATGGGACGCCTGTGCCCTCATGGGACACCTGTGTTCTCATGGGACACCTGTGTTCTCATGGGATGCCTGTGCCCTCATGGGATGCCTGTACCCCTCATGGGACGCCTGTGTTCTCATGGGATGCCTGTACCCTCATGGGACGCCTGTACCCCTCATGGGACATCTGTGCTCTCATGGGATGCCTGTGCCCCTCATGGGATGCCTGTGCCCTCATGGGACGCCTGCATTCTCATGGGACACCTGTGCCCTCATGGGATGCCTGTACCCTCATGGGACGCCTGTGCCCCTCATGGGATGCCTGTGTTCTCATGGGATGCCTGTGCCCCTCATGGGACGCCTGCATTCTCATGGGACACCTGTGCCCTCATGGGATGCCTGTACCCTTCATGGGACGCCTGTGTGTGGTTGCCATGATTACTACCTGAGACTGTCACTACGACAGTTACTATTGTTACTACTTGAGACCATCATTACAAGACTGAACGAAGGGACGAATGTAGAAATGAAAACTTAAGACAGAAGAAACTGTTTTAAAGGAAGGGACCAGGGGAAGAAAAAGAGAGCTCCCTGCTTCTAGTGAGCAAAGGCAGCCCCCCAAGCTTCTACAGCCCTTCGTACTTATTGGGTAGAAAGCAGGGGGAGGAAACGATTGGCCAGCTGCTTGATTGTTCACACGTTCACGTTATTGCTAACAGGTTTCAGATTTGCCTACTTGCAAGAAACACTTGTGCCTGGGGCGTGACTGCCCTCAGCATTCCTTCTGGGCGGCAGACGCAGTTTGTCAGTTTGCCAACAGCCTGCTTTCATGAGAACAGTTTGCTGTTTACTCACGTAGCCTCCAGTGGTATACTGAGTTGATCACAACCCTCATTCTTTCGGCCTTCAACACCTGAGCCCTCACGGGACATCTGTGCCCCTCATGGGACACCTGTGTCCTCGCAGTACACTTGTGACCCTTCCAGGACACCTTACTGGTAGAATTAGTGTAGCTGCCCCCACCCTGAGGCCAAGGACACCATTGTCTCAGGAAGGCTGAAGACCACAGGCTCCTGGGGGGACAGAGGGCAGGTGGGGCCCCTCAGGACCCTCCTTGGTGGTAAGTGGGCCTGGCCTGGGGGTGATTGCAGGCGGGAGGAGGCTCCCAGCAGGGACTTATCCTGGGTCCTACTCACACTTCTGGGGCCTGCATTATTTCCCAAATCACCCCACACCCCAAGGCCTTCTGGATGGGGACGAGTGGGGGGTCACAGACACTGGGGGAGCTGGAGAGCAGAGACCTCACACTCCATCCGTGACAGATGATGTCCAAGCCCCTACATGCCCCAGACCCCAGGGCAAGGCTGAGCCTCCCTCCTCAGACCCCAGGGCAAGGCTGAGCATCCCCACTCAGACCTCAGGGTAGGGCCTCGCCTCCTCCCTTGGACCCCAGGACAGGGCCTCACCTCTCCCCTCAGACCCCAAGGCAGGGCCTCGCCTCCCCCCTCAGACTCAGGACAGGGCCATGCCTCCCCACTCAGACCCCAAGGCAAGGCCAACCCTCACCCCTAGACCCCAGGCAGGTTCAAGCCTCCCCGCTCAAACCTCAGGGCAGGGCATACCTCCCTCCTCAGACCCAGGGCAGGGTGTGTCTCCCCTCTCAGACCACAGCACAGGGCCTCGCATCCCTCCTCAGACCCCAGGACAAGGCTGAGCCTCTCCGCTCAGACCCCAGGGTAAGGTCATGCCTCCCCTCTCAGAACCTAGGGCAAGGCCAACCCTCCCCCCTCAGACCCCAGGCAGGTCCAAGCTTCCCCCTCAGACGCCAGGGCAGAGCCTGCCTCCCTCCTCAGACGCCAGAGCAGGGTGTGTCTCCCACTTAGACCCACAGCCACCTCACCTCAGGCTGAGTCACCGTGAGCCGTTGTCAGCAGGGCCATGGGGATGGGGTGAGCAAGTCCCTACTTTTCCTATGCACCTCAATCCCAGTGGGGGGCTGCCCCAGGGGGCCAGCAGCTCTGCTCCCAGCAGGGTGAGCTCAGGGGCAGGAGAGGCAACCATGAATCCCAAAATGGGCGCCTGGCCCCGAGACCCTACCAGCTTGTCCCTGGGGGTCTCTCTCCCTGGACCTGTGTGTCCTCCCATGGGCAGAAAGTTGGCCTCAGGCCGCCTTTGTGGGCCTCAGTTTTCCCTTCTGTAACGCATCAGGCTCTCTGGGCCTCAGTTTCCCCTTCTGCAACGCATCGGGCTCTCTGGGCCTCAGTTTCCCCTTCTGCAACGCATCGGGCTCTCTGGGCCTCAGTTTCCCCTTCTGCAACGCATCGGGCTCTCTGGGCCTCAGTTTCCCCTTCTGCAACGCCTCGGGCTCTCTGGGCCTCAGTTTCCCCTTCTGCAACGCATCGGGCTCTCTGGGCCTCAGTTTCCCCTTCTGCAACGCCTCGGGCTCTCTGGGCCTCAGTTTCCCCTTCTGCAACGCCTCGGGCTCTCTGGGCCTCAGTTTCCCCTTCTGCAACGCATCGGGCTCTCTGGGCCTCAGTTTCCCCTTCTGCAACGCATCGGGCTCTCTGGGCCTCAGTTTCCCCTTCTGCAACGCATCGGGCTCTCTGGGCCTCAGTTTCCCCTTCTGCAACGCCTCGGGCTCTCTGGGCCTCAGTTTCCCCTTCTGCAACGCCTCGGGCTCTCTGGGCCTCAGTTTCCCCTTCTGCAACGCATCGGGCTCTCTGGGCCTCAGTTTCCCCTTCTGCAACGCATCGGGCTCTCTGGGCCTCAGTTTCCCCTTCTGCAACGCACCGGGCTCTCTGGGCCTCAGTTTCCTCTTCTGTAACGCATCAGGCCCTGTTTCGGGGATCAAGTCGGATGAGTCAGTGCTCAAGGGCATGCAGGCACTTGACATTTATTAGGCACCTGCTGTGTGCTGAGCGCCGGTGGAGCATGTGGGGAGACCTCAGTGGAGCCGACGGGTGCTTCGGGGGTGATCAGGGCTGGTGGGGAGGAGTCGTCCGGCTGGAAAGGGGTGGCCCATCCCGAGTGGGGACTCATTTCCCCTCCGTGACTGACGGCTCCGGGGCTCCCTGCGGGTCTCCGGCTTTCGAGGACAGGAAGAAGGCAGCCAGGGCAGGGGTGGGGGTCCTCACAGCCAGGGCAGCCCCAGCGCGTTGGCTCCAGGAGCCCGGGTGGGGGCCGACCGTTGGGGTGCCCCTCCCTGTCCTCGGCCTTACCTCCACCCTGGAGGGCACCTTGAACATAACAGGAAATTTCAAATAACAGGAAACCAAGACCAGCAAGGCGGGTGGCTCCACCCTGCGTCGGGCCTCAGTCAGCCCCCGGGGGAGGCCATGAACGCCACGGGGACCCCGGTGGCCCCCGAGTCCTGCCAACAGCTGGCGGCCGGCGGGCACAGCCGGCTCATTGTTCTGCACTACAACCACTCGGGCCGGCTGGCCGGGCGCGGGGGGCCGGAGGATGGCGGCCTGGGGGCCCTGCGGGGGCTGTCGGTGGCCGCCAGCTGCCTGGTGGTGCTGGAGAACTTGCTGGTGCTGGCGGCCATCACCAGCCACATGCGGTCGCGACGCTGGGTCTACTATTGCCTGGTGAACATCACGCTGAGTGACCTGCTCACGGGCGCGGCCTACCTGGCCAACGTGCTGCTGTCGGGGGCCCGCACCTTCCGTCTGGCGCCCGCCCAGTGGTTCCTACGGGAGGGCCTGCTCTTCACCGCCCTGGCCGCCTCCACCTTCAGCCTGCTCTTCACTGCAGGGGAGCGCTTTGCCACCATGGTGCGGCCGGTGGCCGAGAGCGGGGCCACCAAGACCAGCCGCGTCTACGGCTTCATCGGCCTCTGCTGGCTGCTGGCCGCGCTGCTGGGGATGCTGCCTTTGCTGGGCTGGAACTGCCTGTGCGCCTTTGACCGCTGCTCCAGCCTTCTGCCCCTCTACTCCAAGCGCTACATCCTCTTCTGCCTGGTGATCTTCGCCGGCGTCCTGGCCACCATCATGGGCCTCTATGGGGCCATCTTCCGCCTGGTGCAGGCCAGCGGGCAGAAGGCCCCACGCCCAGCGGCCCGCCGCAAGGCCCGCCGCCTGCTGAAGACGGTGCTGATGATCCTGCTGGCCTTCCTGGTGTGCTGGGGCCCACTCTTCGGGCTGCTGCTGGCCGACGTCTTTGGCTCCAACCTCTGGGCCCAGGAGTACCTGCGGGGCATGGACTGGATCCTGGCCCTGGCCGTCCTCAACTCGGCGGTCAACCCCATCATCTACTCCTTCCGCAGCAGGGAGGTGTGCAGAGCCGTGCTCAGCTTCCTCTGCTGCGGGTGTCTCCGGCTGGGCATGCGAGGGCCCGGGGACTGCCTGGCCCGGGCCGTCGAGGCTCACTCCGGAGCTTCCACCACCGACAGCTCTCTGAGGCCAAGGGACAGCTTTCGCGGCTCCCGCTCGCTCAGCTTTCGGATGCGGGAGCCCCTGTCCAGCATCTCCAGCGTGCGGAGCATCTGAAGTTGCAGTCTTGCGTGTGGATGGTGCAGCCACCGGGTGCGTGCCAGGCAGGCCCTCCTGGGGTACAGGAAGCTGTGTGCACGCAGCCTCGCCTGTATGGGGAGCAGGGAACGGGACAGGCCCCCATGGTCTTCCCGGTGGCCTCTCGGGGCTTCTGACGCCAAATGGGCTTCCCATGGTCACCCTGGACAAGGAGGCAACCACCCCACCTCCCCGTAGGAGCAGAGAGCACCCTGGTGTGGGGGCGAGTGGGTTCCCCACAACCCCGCTTCTGTGTGATTCTGGGGAAGTCCCGGCCCCTCTCTGGGCCTCAGTAGGGCTCCCAGGCTGCAAGGGGTGGACTGTGGGATGCATGCCCTGGCAACATTGAAGTTCGATCATGGTACGTGATGTTGCGGCCTCTTATTCCCTGGTGCGTGCATGCGTGGGGGCCGTGGCTCAGGGGGGCTGTGGATCTAGGGGCAGCCGGGTGTGTCTTTGCTAGAGAGGGCCACGGGCCAGTGCCCTGTGAGGGTGGAGTGTGTGTGTGTGTGTGTGTGTGTGTGTGTGTGTGTGGACAACCTCTGGGCGTTGCGGGAAGTGGGGGTGACAATGACAGTTAATGCCGCCTCTTCTTGTTCACTTCCCCTTTAGAAATGGCAGGGCCCATGCCCCATCTCTGGCCTCTGCATCTTTTGGGGACCCACTCTCTGGGGCTGGCAGAGGCACCACCTTGGCTTCCTGGGCTGGGGGAATCTTCCCTCACATCCCCTTCAGCATGAACGGCCTCGGCTTTCCCGGTGGGTAAAACAGTTTAATCACTGAAGCCGAAGCACAGGGTTGATTGTACACGCTCCCCGCCAGCCACAGGGGCTGACAACTGCCTGCCCCGTGAAACTCCAGTGGAGACGTTTCAGCTCCACACCATTCAGTATGGGAGACGCCAGCCCCACGGGGCTACGGTGCAAGCAGATAACTGAATTTCGAAGTGTAGGTTGTGTTTAATTTGAATCTGTTTATATTTCGGTAGCCCCATGGGGCGGGTGGCCACAGTTTCAGTGCAGATGTAAATCCGGAAGCCTCCAGCACCTGCAGCTCATAGACAGCTCTCGCCCACCTTCTCCCAGGACCAAGCCAGTCCCGTCCAGTCCAGTGTCTGAGCAGAGTCAGAATCCACACCACCCGCCGCCTGGGCTCAGAAAGTTCTGCTTTAAGTCATTATTTCTCCACTGTACGATGGGGAATGCGGTGTGTGGGGGCCATTTACCCACCAACACAGCAGCTGTGAGGCACACACGGCTATTGAAAATTCATGGAAATTGCTGGGTGTGGTGGCTCATGCCTGTAATCCCAGCACTTTGGGAGGCCGAGGCAGGAGGATTGCTTGAGTGCAGGAGTTCCAGACCAGCCTGGGCAACATAGCGAAACCACATCTCTACAAAAAAATCCTCCAAAATTAAAAAAATTAGCCCGAGCATGTTGTTGCATGCCTGTGGTTCCAGCTACTCGAGAGGCTGAGGTGGGAGGATCACTTGAGCCCGGGAGGTCGAGGCTGCAGGGAGCGGTGATCGTGCCAGCCTGGGTGACAGAGTGAGACCCTGTCTCTAAAAAAAAATTAAAAAAAAAAAAAAAAGAAAATTCATTGAAATTAAATGAAAGTTAGGCCAGGTGCATTGGTTCATGCCTGTAATCGCAGCACTTTGGGGGGCCGAGGTGGGTGGATCATGAGGTCAGGAGTTCAAGACCAGCCTGGCTAAGATGGTGAAACCCTGTCTCTACTAAAAATACAAAAAATAAGCTGGGTGCGGTGGCAGGCGCCTGTAATCCCAGCTACTCGGGAGGCTGAGGCAGGAGAATCGCTTGAACTCGGAGGGTGGAGGTTGCAGTGAGCTGGGATTGCTCCACTGCACTCCAGTCTGGGCGATAGAGTGAGACTCCGTCTCAAAAAACAAAACAAAAACAACAACAAAAAAGAAATTAAATGAAAGTTAAAAATTTAGTCTCTCAGTGTATTGATTTGCTAGGGCAGCCATGACAGTCTCACAGATGGAGAGGCTTGAAAACAGACATTTATGCTGCCATAATTCTGGAAGCCAGAAGTCTGAGATGAAGGTGTGAGTAGGGCTGGGTCCTCCTGAGGCTGACGGGGATCTGCCCAGGCCTCTCCCAGTTCCTGCTGGTGGCCGGCGTCCTTGATGTTCCTTGGCTTGGAGAAGCGTCAGCCGCATCTCTGCCTCCATCTCCACAAGGCGCCCTCCCTGGGTCTGTATCCAAACTCCCCCAACTCCTTCAACCTTTTTTATTTTAAGAGATGAGGGGCCGGGCGCCGTGGCTCACGCCTGTAATCCCAGCACTTTGGGAGGCCGAGGTGGGCGGATCACGAGGTCAGGAGATAGAGACCATCCTGGCTAACACGGTGAAGCCCCATCTTTACTAAAAATACAAAGAATTAGCCAGGCGTGGTGGCGGGTGCCTGTAGTCCCAGCTACTCTGGAGGCTGAGTCAGGAGAATGGCGTGAACCCGGGAGGCAGAACTTGCAGTGAGCGGAGATCAGGCCACTGCACTCCACCCTGGGTGACAGAGAGAGACTCCGTCTCAAAAAAAAAAAAAAAAAAAAAAAAAAAAGAGATGAGGGTCTCATTAAGTTGCCCAGGCTGGTCTCAAACTCCTGGGCTCAAGTGATCCTCCCACCTCAGCCTTCTGAATAGCTGAGACTACAGGAGTGCACCACCAAGCCTGGCTCATTTTCCTATTTTTACATTTATTATTATTATTGTTATTATTATTTTTTTGAGAAGGACTCTCGCTCTGTCGTCCAGGCTGGAGCGCAGTGGCGCGATCTCAGCTCACCACAACCTCCACCTCCTGGGTTCAAGCGATTCTCCTGCCTCAGCCTCCCGACTGGGACTACAGGCACGCACCATCATATCTGGCTAGTTTTTGTATTTTTAGTAGAGACGGGATTTTGCCATGTTGGCCAGGCTGGTCTCGAACTCCTGACTCAGGTGATCCATCTGCCTCCCAAAGTGCTGGGATTACAGGCGTGAGCCACCGTGCCCGGCCGATTTCCCCATTTTTATAAGGCCACCAGTCACATGGGATTAAGGGCCCACCCTGCTCCAGTATGACCTCATCTTAACTAATGCCATCTGCCACAACCATTTTCCAAATAACATCCTATGCTGAGGTCCTGGGGGTTAGGATGTGATCATGTAGATTTTGATGGGACAGTTCTTTATTTTCTTTTATATTTTAGAGACAGGGTCTTGCTCTGTCACCCAGGCTGGAGTGCAGTGGTGTGATCATAGCTCACTGCAGCCTCGATCTCTTGGGCTCAAGTGATCCTTCTGCCTTGGGTTTCCGAGTAGCTGCAATTACAGGTGCACACCACCACACCTGGCTAATTTTTATATTTTTTGTAGAGACGGGGCTGGGTGCTGTGGCTCACCCCTGTAATTCCAGCACTTTGGGAGGCCGAGGCAGGTGGATCACCTTAGGTCAGGAGTTTGAGACCAGCCTGGCCAACATGGAGAAACCCCGTCTCTACTAAAAATACAAAATTAGCCAGGCGTAGTGGTGCATGCCTGTAATCCCAGCTACTTGGGAGGCTGAGGCAGGAGAATTGCTTGAACCCGGGAGGCCGAGGTTGCAGTGGACTGAGTTCGTGCCACTGCACTCCAATCTGGGTGACAGAGCAAGACTCCGTCTCAAAAAAAAAAAAAAAAAAAAAAGAGAGAGAGAGAGAGAGACAGGGTCTTGCTATGTTTCCCAGGCTGGTCTCAATCTCCTGGGCTCAAGTGATCCTCCTGCCTCAGCCTCCCAAAGTGTTGGGACTACAGGCATGAGCTACTGTGGCTGGCCAATTGCAGACAGATGGAACTGTGGCCAGCCACTTCACCAGTGAAGTCCCAAACACCCCTCTGCAGGCATGATAAGCTAGGGTAGTTCTTATCTTTTCCTGATTCCTGTTCTCTGTGTGTTTAGTGGGGACCACAGCAGGCAGGGTGGGGTGTTGGTGGAATTTGGGATAAGTGGAGTCTGGGCAGGCCTGGAGCTCTCTGTCTGCCTTCTGGGCCCGTGTTGGCTGACCCTGTTGCCCCCTCTGCCCTGCTTTGGCTGAGCTGAATTATTTCTTGGTCCTTCCCTTCTGGGGGCTTCTCGCTTAACCTCCTTTGTTGTCCCTGATAAAGGGGCCTTGTTAGCCCGCACCTTCCCTCCTTCGTCACTTGACTTCTGCCTGCTCATTCTTTGTACCTTAGTTTTAGCGTCACCTCCTCCAGGAAGTCTTCTTTGATTTCTCCTCCTCCCTAGGTCTCCTCTAGGCTCCCACAGCTGCCTGTGTTCCCTGCATGACAGCTCTGCTTTATACTGGGCACAACTTTCCCTCTTTCTTCACTCATCTGCTCTGGCTCATCTTTTGAGTTTCAGCTTAAGTGTCACCTCCTCCAGGAAGCCTCCTCTGATTTCCTCTCCTCCCTAGGCCTCCTCTGGGCTTCTCCCAGCTGCCTTTGTGTCCTCTATCCCAGCTCCCATCACCCCTGGTCACACAATCCACCTCCTCCTTTGGACTTCGAGCTCCGTGTCGGTGGATAGTGTGGCTTTGCTGGGGTCCCGGCTGTGTCCCCAGCACCCACCACACGGCTGGCACACAGTAGGTGCTCAGTGACCCAGCAGCACACTCAGAAACTCCCTTTCTAGCCGGGCGCGGTAGCTCACGCCTGTAATTTACAGCTACTCAGGAGGCTGAGACACAGGAATTGCTTGAACCCAGGAGGTGGAGGTTGCGGTGAGCTGAGATCAAGCCACTGCACTCCAGCCTAGGTGACAGAGACTACATCTCAAAAACAAACAAACAAACAAACAAACAAACAGAATTCTCACATGCTGCTGGCAGGGAGAGTGCTTGATTCTTTATCATTATATCTGAGGAAACTGAGACTCTGAGAGGTGAAGCGACTTGCCCAAAGCCACACAGCTGGGAAATGGAGGAGTTGGGATTTGAGCCCAGGCTCTTAATCGGCACCAATGCCACTTCTCACTTGGGACAGAAAGGAAGCCCTGACTCCTTAGGCAGCTGTACGGAGCCTGGGATGATAACGTGCTGAGAGCCAGGGCTACTGTCTGCTGCACCCTGGGGCTCAGTCTCCCCATCTGTACAAAGGGACGTTCCTTAGGTACCTCCAGCCCTGAGACACTGGGTTTTAACTTTAAATTTCTGATGAACAACAAATACTTTTTTAGTATAAGTATGCCCCAAATATGAATAAAGATAAATATAAATACCTGCCACCGACCCCTGCACAAACCGCAGGTTCCAGACTACAAGTCCCACAACCCACTGCGGCCTCCCTTAGGAACTGACTATCATGACTTTCTATTTTTCATTCATTCATTCAAAAATGGTATAGGCCACCCGCCGTGCGCCAGGTCTTGTGCTAGATGCCGGGGATACATCATATGCACAAAACAGACAAAAGTTTTTGCCTTCGTGGAGTTTGACATCTACATCCTCGGGAGTTTTAAGTGATTTTTGTTTTTCTCAGCAATTTCTGCCAGGACGACTACAGTTCCCGTGACCCTTTGTGTGTTTGACGGGACTACAACTCCCAGAAGACCTAGCGCGCCAGGCAGGCACTTCCTTTTCTCTTTATCCCCAACTTCCTTCCAGGTCGCAAGGTCACGTCCTGTCCCCACCTTTCGCCCCTCACCCTAGCTCCCCCAACGCCAAAGACAAGGTTAAGAAAGTGATATCGCGAAATAGTTTTTTAAAGCATTTTATTGCATTTTATGACTTGGAGTTTATGTGAAACCTCAACGGTATTAGCCGAACAGCCTGCCGCACCTTCCGGGAGTTCCAGAGTGGGCCTACAACTCCCACAGGGCTCCGCGAGCGCCGGACGGACGGACTACAATTCCCGACAGGCAGCGCGGCTGGCGGGGCGGTTCGCCGCGGTGCCCACAGGACCTCAGGGCGAGTGCGGGCTGCCCCGCGCGGCGCCCGCAGGACCCCGGCGGCTACCCATGCCGAGGTGAGTCCGCGGGAGCCGCCGCCGCCGCCGTCCCGTCCCAGCTGCCGCCCCGCGCGGCCCCGCCGCCGGCCAGGATGCTGGAGGAAGCGGGCGAGGTGCTGGAGAACATGCTGAAGGCGTCTTGTCTGCCGCTCGGCTTCATCGTCTTCCTGCCCGCTGTGCTGCTGCTGGTGGCGCCGCCGCTGCCTGCCGCCGACGCCGCGCACGAGTTCACCGTGTACCGCATGCAGCAGTACGACCTGCAGGGCCAGCCCTACGGTGCGTGTCCCCGGCCCACCCTCGGGGCTCCCCGGGCTCCCCGGCCACGCCACTCCGGCCCGGCGATCCCCAGGCCGATCCCTAGCTCCGGCCTGGGCTGCCCGACCCATGCTCAGGCCCCAGGCGAGGCAGAGCCCTGCCGCCCTGGACCCCCGGGCGCCCTGGAATCCCTGCTCTCCTTGCCTAGCGCCCAGGGACCCCCCGCGCTCGCTCCCACAGCCCCCGGCCCCTGCCTAGGTCTCCCTGCCCCGGAACCCATGGCCGGGCCAAGCGTCCCGCGTCCCTGGAGCCCTAAGTCCCCTCTCTCCTGTCCCCAGCTGGGCCGGCGTCTGCCTGCCTTGCCGAGTTTCTCCCTCCTGGGCCCCCTCCGCCCCTTAGGCTTCCTGGTCCGGGCTCACTTGAGCAGACGCTCCCGTCCTGACCTCCAGCTCCCAGGGTCCTGTTCTGGAGACCATCTGGTTGGTCTCTGGATTCACTGGGTCACGTCCGTGTTCCCAGGCCTCTCGCCTTTAGCTGACTGCGTTTGGAGTTAAAGGTCCCTGCACTGATTTCTGCCAGGCTGAGCCACCCGACGCGGTGGTCCAGCATTCCCCACCCCCTCCCACGGCCCTGGGTGCCAAGTGCATTTTGTCCAGTGCCCAAATTCAACTCCCCTGAATTTTCTCGCTCTAGTCACCGGCCCCCACGTCAAGGGCACATTTGTCCCCAGACCCCTGACGCTCTCTGGTCCCAGTTCGTGAGTCATGTTTCAGAATCTGCTAGCCCAGCTTCCCTGGTCTCCTCCCACGTCCCCAGTTCAGTCCACTCGCCTGGGGTTCCCTTTGACCCCCTTTCTGTCCCGCCTTTGATGCATACCCACGCCCTCAGCTCAGCCTCCTCACACCCACTTCCCAGAACCCCACTTGTTCCATCTTTCCAGGATTTCCTCTTCCCTTTCCAAATTCGCACCCCCTTGCCCTTGCATTCTGCAAGTCTCCCACTCAACAGCCTCGCCCCCTCCCGTCGTGGCCCTGACCCCAGTGTCTAGACCATTCCACATCCCCTTGTCTTTGCCTGGCTATAGCTGTCCCTGACATTCCAGAACCTGGTCCCTGGTTTTTCTTCTTTTCAGCCTGGCCCCTCAGGTCCCTGGAAGTCAAGGCCTGGCCTTCCCTGTGAAGGAGTCCCGTCCGCTTGTTCTCCTGGCCCCCTTAGTTCCCAGCCCGGATTCTCTTGGATTGGTCCCTCTCGTCACATCTCAGGCTCAACCTGAGGCGCGGGGACCCCCAGCTTCTGCCAGCCCTTGGGGAGCCCATCTCTGGAGATGGAACCAGACTTTGGCCTCAGGTCCCATTTTGCCCCAGAGTTACGATTTTTTTACTTAGAGCCATTGTTGTCAACCGAGGGGACGCTGGGTGATGTCTGGGGACATCTGTGGTTGTCACGACCACGGGTGCTCCTGGCATGGAGTGGGTGGAGGCCAGGGACGCTGCTCAATTCCCTGTAGTGCCCAGGACGGCCCCACCCCAGAGAACGATCCGGCCCTAATGTCCACAGTGTCCAGGGGAAGCGCCCTGGGGCCACAGTGGTGGTGTATAAACCCAAGGCCCAGGCTCTGGAGGGTGGGAGTGGAAGGCCAGAGGCTCCTCATGCAGTGACCGCGTTTTCCGTGCTGCTTGGGATTTTCCCGGGGGAAGGGTCCTGACGGGCACCATCCTGTAGAATCGCCTCCATCTTTGCTGCCTGGCACAGGAGCCAGCAGCCACAGGAGGCTGCCGAGCCCCCAAAGCGTGGCCTGTGCAACCGGGGGGCAGGATTTTCAGCGCTGCTTGAGGGTAATAAACGCAAGTAGCCACGCGTGCCTGCGGCTCTCATAGCGGCTTCCGTGGGGTTTCCAGGGCAGTCTGCACCCCAAAGACCCCACTCCTAGAGCTCGAGATACCCTGTTCACACTCTTGGCATCTCCTGCCTGGTCCTCCAGCTCACCCGGCCTCCCTCCAGCCCCCCGGGCAGGTGTGATCTGGTGGCTGCTACACTGTCCCTGGGCAGGTGTGGGCCCCCTTTCTCTCCCCAAGAACCCACCCAGGGAATGCATGTTGGCGGCTCCCTACACTGTCCCTGGGCAGATGTGGGCCCCCTTTCTCTCCCCGCAAGTCCGCCCAGGGAATGCATGTTGTCTATCGAGTGAGCAGATGTCTCCCCGTTCCACGGCCAGACGGACGCCCTCTCCAGCCTCCTAGAGTCCCTCCCAGTTTCCTTGTGTGGCCTCTTGTTCTTCGCAGCCTCCTGACGTTCACCCCGTTTTCCTTCCCCGATTCCCTCGGCCCCTTTTTGGTGGCGCCTCCCTCCCTTTCCCCTGCAGTCCTTTCTCTCTTTCCTCGCTTCTCTGGGGCCTTTGCCCACAATCCTGGGTTTTCTTCTGAGTCTTCTTTTCACTGGCCTCCTCCCCTGTACCCTCCTCCCTGGACCCCAGCTTTTCTTTCTCCTAGTGAGGAAGCTGGACGCAGCTTTCCCTGTATGTGGCATTCGCCCAGCTGGTCCGTGGGCTCCCGGGGTGAGCGGAGGAGCCCATGGGGCAGCCGCCCTGCCTCAGCCTCCATGCTCCTCATCTGCGCCCTGGGAAGCACAGTCCAGCTCTCGCAGGGTAGGCGAGGCCCAGCCAGCACACCCCTCTGTGTCACTCTGGCCGCCCCTGAGAGACTGGGGGTGGTTTGGGCCAGAGCCCTGCCGAGGACAGGCCCTTGAGAAGCCCCAGCGTGCTGCCTTTGAGGCCACCCTCCACCACCATCTTCCCGGTGTGCTTTCACCCCCGGGCCCACTACCCGGAGGAGCTGCAACCCTTACTCGCTGGGGAGTCCTTTCCCAACTTCCTTCCTGCTGCTGTTGAGAGGCACAGGGCGGGGCGGTGCCCTTTGTGTTTGGGTGTGATCTGGGTCTCACTGGCCAGGTGCACAGCACCCCTCTCCTGGGAGTGGACTCTGGCCCTGCCGGGTGAAGGCTTTCTCGGCTCGGTGGCCGTTCACAGCAGGTGGGGCTCGTTGAGCTTATGGCCCATGTGAGGTGGGAACCTTAGCACCCCTTGGAGCGCCCAGCTCCCAGGACCCGTCAAGTCCATCAGACTTGCCAAAACTCCTTCATCTGGGATACAGCTAACTGCAGCCTGTAGGTCACGTCTGGCTCTCTGCCTGTTGTTGTTAATAAAGTTTTATCGGCACGCGGTCATGCCCATCCATTGGCATCTTGTCGCTGGCTGCTTCCACGCAGAAACAGCTGAGCCCAGTGATTGTGCCAGAGCCCTATGGCCCGAGAGGGGAAAGGTTGGCCGTCTGGCCCCCGATAGATAGACAGGTGCCCAGGCCACTGTTCAGGTCCAGTCCTGTCACGCCAACTGGTGACTTCTCTCAGGATGCCCGGTGCCCTCCATGGCGTCCACCACAAGTGGTCTCAGCCCATTCAGACGCGGGTCTGAGGGAGTTGGTGCTGGTTTCGCCTCCGCAGAGGGCCGTGTCCACACTAGCTTGTGGCCACCCGGCCCGACCCTGGCCCTCGAGGGAGGCTGGGGCCACCCAAGGCCATCTGTTCTCCTGGGGAGATGGGCCTTGGCCACAGAGAGCCCTTGCCATTGGGCCCCGAGCGAGCGGGGGCTGGGATCCAGAGGGCAGTGTGGCCTTGGCTGGTGCTGACGCGAGGCGGGGCTCCGATGGGCGGGGCTTCGGAATGGGAGGCCGTGGCCTTCAGGGAGCTCTGGGTGCTGGTGTCCCCCTCCGTTCCTCTGACTTGCTGCTGCTCCTTCCCTTCTCCCTCCTCGCTCACTCCCTATCCCGCCTGCGGGAGCTCGAGGCCCGGAGAACGGGGGTGCCTGCCAGTTGGCCTCATCTCCCGGCCCCAAAGGGGTGACATTCGAGTCACCCCTGGGAGGCCAGGGCATGTGGGGACAGGTGGGGTGCAGGGGAGGGGTGCTCCCAGCACTGCAGGAGCCCCAAGGACTCCCTCGAGGTCTTTGCTGCCATGTCCCTGAGGGGCCTCCCAAGGGCAGAGGAAAGGCTCCCAGCAGGCCTGGTGATGTCAGGCTCTGAGAGGGGAGCAGGGGTGAGGCTGCTGGGCCTGGGGTGCGTGGGCCCCTGTGGCTCCTCCATCCCAGGCCTCAGAGCTGGTTCTCTGTGCCCACCTCCTTGTGCTGCACCCGAGACCCCGCCCATTCCCACCTGAGACCTGTGTCCCGCCTGTCCCCCCATGCACCCAGCTCAGCCCATCAGACACCCCGTTGGAGCAGGCTGCTTCCCTCCCACCGCTTCCCAGACAGCACATTGCTGGACACAGAGCTGGGGACTCATGCACGCCCCTGGCCCCAAGCCCGAGGCTCAGCGCAGGCCCCGGGAAGAGCTGCGTCTGTGGGGAGATGAGAGAATGAGGGTCCCCAGCATCCAGCATCCACCTTCAGAGCGAGGCTGGCTCCCACGGGGACGCTGGAGTCGGTCCTGGGCATCGTGATTTTGAGTGCTTCCTGCACGGGTCTCACACGGGAGGCTCCGGGGCCCGCCCCCGGCCCCCCTGCGTCAGGCCTGTACCCGGCCCCCCTGCGTCAGGTCTGCTTGCGGGCTTTGCGTGGCATTCTGTTGGCTTGTGCAGCGCTGAGATGTTTTAGAGCGTTGCTTGTCTTTTAACATTTGGGTGATGTGACGTAAGAATTGGGATTTCCGGCTTCTGGGGTGGTCCACTGAGGTCCGTGTCCCCAGCTGAACGTGGGTGGCCCTTTTAGAGGGGCCGGTGCTCTCCAGGGTCTTTCCAGGGCAACTCAGGTGGCCATCGCGGTGTGTGGCGGGCAGCAGGGAGATCGTCGTGGTGCGTGGCGGGCAGCAGGGAGATCGTCGCGGTGTGTGGCGGGCAGCAGGGAGATCGTCGCGGTGCGTGGCGGGCAGCAGGGAGATCGTCGCGGTGCTGAGACTTGCAGGGGTGAAGTGGCAGCAAGTGGGGGGTCCGTGTGCAGCTCAGGTGTGCGGAGCAGGGACCCCTGAGCTGCGTCTTGTTGGGTGGAGGACGTTTTGCTGAGAGAGGAGGGAAGAGCAGTCCCAGGAAGCAAAAGGCAGCGGCGAAACCAGAAGCCCTGGCGAGTTTCCAGAGCGGTGACCGTGGGGAGCGCCACCGCAGAAGTGAATAAGCCCGTGATGGAGCGACAGCCCCAGGCTCTCAGCGACGGCCGTGGCCTTCCAGGGAAGACCCCGCCTCGCCCCAGAGACACCATAGCCCAAGCTGCTGAGCCTTCTGCCACCCCAGCCCCTGGATTTCTAGAAAGCTTACGTGTCCAAGGCGCAGTAGGGTGGTCCTAGAGCAGGCGAGCCCGAGGGGCGCTCCATGCTGGTCTTGTGGCTCAACACAGGGGTTTAACCTGGGGCCCATCAACAGGCTTCAGGGAAGGGCCGTCCCCATCTGGGACCCCCTGTAACAGGAGTTGAATCCAGCCTGCCCTTGGCCTATTTAAGAGTTTTGTTGGCACACAGTCCCACTTGTTGGCTTACCTGTTGTATATGGCTGCACTCACCCTGCCTGCAGTTTTACAGCTGAGTGGTTGAGACACAGACCGGAAATACTCACTCTCTGGCCTGTTGTAGAAGAGGTTTGCCGAGCCCTGGTCTAGGATCCTGTGTAGACTTCGGTGTGGGGTGGGAAGTGTGGGTTTCTCCCAGGAGAAGGGGCTCTGCTGTCATTAGAAAGGGGCCGGGCACGGTGGCTCACGCCTGAAATCCCTGAACTTTGGGAGGCCAAGGTGCGAGTATCACCTGGGGTCGGGAGTTTGAGACCAGCCTGGCCAACAGGCAAAACCCCGTCTCTACTAAAAATACAAAAATTAGCCGGGCATGGTGGTGGGTGCCGGTAATCCCAGCTACTCGGGAGGCTGCGGCAGGAGAATAGATTGAACCCGGGAGGTGGAGGCTGCAGTGAGCCGAGATTGTGCTGCTGCACTCCGGCCTGGGCAACAGAGTGAGACCCTGTCTCAAAAACAAAACCAAAAAACAAAGATTCTCAGGAGGTCTGAGACCCAGGGTTCGCGTGGCACTGAGCCTGTGGGCATGGACCCGGCACGCGTTCATGGCCCCTGTGACCCGTTATGTCGGGGGCAGGCTGGGGGGACCCTGGGAGCTTCTCGAATCGGTGGTCTTCCAGGTTGTGGGCTGGGGCTGGGGCTGGGGCTGCTGAGTGGGTCCCTGGCCTGGATCTGTCCCCTCCCGTCGGCCTGGCCACCCGCCGAGGCTCACGACCCCGCCCCTGTGCCCACAGGCACACGGAATGCAGTGCTGAACACGGAGGCGCGCACGATGGCGGCGGAGGTGCTGAGCCGCCGCTGCGTGCTCATGCGGCTACTGGACTTCTCCTACGAGCAGTACCAGAAGGCCCTGCGGCAGTCGGCGGGCGCCGTGGTCATCATCCTGCCCAGGGCCATGGCCGCCGTGCCCCAGGACGTCGTCCGGGTGAGCGTCTGCCCTGCCCCGCCCGGCTCAGGTCCAGAGCTGCGGCGGGAGTTGGAGGCAACTGTGTGACCCTAGGCGGGTCACTTCGCCTCTCTGAGCCCTTTGGAAAGTAGGATGGACTGTTCCCCTGCTCCATTGATCTCCAAGGGGTGATTCTGTCTTCAGAGGACGCTGGGTGATGACCGGAGGTGTTCAGGGAGGGCCGCTCCGGGCGTGGAGTGGATGGAGGCCAGGGATACTGCTCAGCACCCTGCAGTGCCCAGGACGGCCCCGCCCCAGACAGTGATCTGGCCCCAGGGTCCACAGGGCTGCGCAGGAGAACCTGCCTAGAGTGAACAAGACCTGGTAGAATCCAGCAGACGCCCTGGGTGAAGATACTTTTGCAGATGAGAAGGGGTGGGTGGGTTGGGGGAAGCCCTGGTTTTCTGTGAGTGCCTCATGGTTCATGCCGCCCTCTGAGGGCCTGCCTGCCCTCCAGGGACAGTCACTGGGCCCCCTGCTACCCCCTCCAGGGACAGTCACTGGGCCCCCTGCTACCCCCACCAGGGACAGTCACTGGGCCCCCTGCTACCTTGCCACCCCCACCAGGCCAGCAGCCCCCTAAGTGTGTGTCTGCTCCACAGCAATTCATGGAGATCGAGCCGGAGATGCTGGCCATGGAGACCGCCGTCCCCGTGTACTTTGCCGTGGAGGACGAGGCCCTGCTGTCTATCTACAAGCAGACCCAGGCTGCCTCCGCCTCCCAGGGCTCCGCCTCTGCTGCTGAAGGTGTGCTCTGGGCTGCAGGGACGGGGCCCGTGGGCGTGGGTGTGGGGAGGCGTCCCCATCCCAAGGGCTGCGGTCACCCTGGGCTGTTTCTGCTCTCAGCGTGTGGCATCCCTTCGCCGGGGTTAACAGTGGGGGTTCCTGGGCCCCGTGTGGACCTGCTACATCACCACCTCCGGGCTGGGACCTGGGACTCTGCATTTTTGCAGCCGCCTGTCCCCCCTCCCAGCTGCTGGCTCTGTGCACACGAAAGACCAGAACCACGGACTCAGGAGGAGCCTTTCCGATCCTCAGGGGCTCGGGGTTTATGAAACACACGGGCATCTGTTCAGTTCTCTACCTGCCAAGGACATTCTCAGCATCACATCTCGAGTGGGCGGCGTGGGTGCGTCGGCGGTGTCCTTACGGAGAAGGGGCACACGCCTTTCCTCCAGCCCCGTGAACGGGGGCCCTGGCAGCGAACTCAGAGCAGGAACCCGGAGCTCTGTGGTGGGACCTGTGGTGGGGAAAGATGGGAGTTGCCGCTGTGGAGAGTGAGGAGAAAGAGGAACTGGAGAAGCCAGCTGAGGGGCTTGCCCGGGGCTGTCATCAGCTACTGGGGGAGCAGGGCTGAGAAGGGAGGCCAGAGCCCAGGGCCGCAGAGAACAGGCAGGTGTGTCCTGGCCCAGCCCCAACAAAAACAGTTTGGTGCTGTGGTTTCAAGCTATAGTAAAGGAGGCTGAGGCGGGTGGGTCCCCTGAGGTCAGGAGTTCGAGACCAGCCTGGCCAACCTGGCGAAAGCCTGTCTTTACTAAAAAAATAGAAAAAGTTAGCCGGGCGCGGTGGCAGGTGCCTGTAATTCCAGCAACTTGGGAGGCTGAGGCAGGAGAATCACTTGAACCCGGAAGGCGGAGGTTGTGGTGAGCTGAGGTCACACCATTGCACTCCAGCCTGGGCAACAAGAGCAAATGTCCATCTCAAAAAAAAAAAGTTTCATCCTACACAGCCAGATCAGTGGAATTCCAGATGCAGAGTTGGCTAACACTGGCCAGGGGCCACCTGTTTTTGTTGATAAAGTTTTATTGGCACTGGGCCACATTCATTTATGCACAGTCCACGGTGGCTTTCCCAGCAGCAGAACTGAATTGCCGTGGCTGCGGCAGAGACCATCCAGCCTGCAAAGCCGAAAGTGTTATCTGATCCTTTGCAGAAAACGTTCCCAACCCCTGGTTTAGATTAAAAGTCTTGACAGTGGCCATTTTTGTTGTGGTAATAGAAGAGTATAGTTCTGCAGATACCTAAGTATCCTGTTAGAGAAGAAGGAAAGAGGAGTCGTCTTCTTTTTTTTTTTTTTTTTCTTTTATGAGACAGAGTCTCACTCTGTTGCCCAGGCTGGAGTGCAGTGGCACAATCTTAGCTCACTGCAACCTGAAGGAGGAATCTTCTACTTGGTGGAGTATTATGCAGCTGGTAAAAATGATGTTGAGGGCCAGGCAAGGTGGCTCACGCCTGTTGTCCCAGCACTTACGGAGGCTGAGGCAGGAGGATCGATTGAGGGCCTGGAGTCCAAGATTAGCCTGGGCAATATAGCAAGACCCTTGTCTCTACAGAAAATTTAAAAAAGCCAGGTGTGGTGGTGCATGCCTGTAGTCCCAGCTGCTCAGGAGGCTGAGGTGGGAAGATCACTTGAACCCTTGAACCTGGGAGGCAGAGGTTGCAGTGAGCTGAGATCTTGCCATTGCACTCCAGCCCGGGTGACAGTACGATACTCCGACTTGAAAAAAAAAAAAATTACAGAGAGTTCCCAGGAGCATGCTTCCCCCAGTGATCATATCTTTTTGTTTTGTTTTGTTTTGTTTTTTTGAGACGGAGTCTCGTTCTGTCACCCAGACTGGAGTGCAGTGGCACAATCTCGGCTCACTGCAAGCTCCACCTCCCGGGTTCGCGCCATTCTCCTGCCTCAGCCTCCAGAGTAGCTGGGACTACAGGTGCCCACCACCACGCCCAGCTAATTTTTTGTATTTTTAGTAGAGACGGGGTTTCACCGTGTTAGCCAGGAGGGTCTCGATCTCCTGACGTCGTGATTCGCCCGCCTCGGCCTCCCAAAGTGCTGGTATTCCAGGTGTGAGCCACCGCGCCCGGCCGATCATATCTTACATACCTATGATGATTGTGTTTTCATTTTTATTTTATTCTTTCTTATTATCTTTTATTTTATTTCAAAAGATTGTATTTTTAGGCCAGGCACAGTGGCTCATTGCCTGTAATCTTAGCACTTTGGGAGGGTGAGACAGGAGGATCGCTTGATCCTGGGAGGTAGAGGCTGCAGTGAGCCATGTTTGCGTCACTGTACTCCAGCCTGGGTGACAGCATGAGACCCTGTCTCAAATTAAAAAAAAAGTTGTGTTTTTAAAATGCTTTAAAGCACAGAAGTGCGGACTCAAAGTTGTGTGAACTCACAGGCATTTTCGGGCAGGTCCTGGCCCTAAGTCCCTAAGTGAACAGCTGTTATTGAGGGCCCGGGAGGAAAGGATCAGAATGGCATGGAGGAGAAATTCCCCAGCAGAACGTTCCAGAAAGGAGATGTGAATAATTTCGAGAGAAGGTTGTCCTAGGGGGAGCACGGGCATCCTGTGGTATCGAAATCTGCTGGTCACGTCCCCACACCCGGCTGGTTGGCTCTGCCCGAGCCCCCAACCTGGGGTGTCAGTGCTGGGGATGCCCCCTGGCTGGGGCCCTGGCTGGGCCAAGGCTGATGCGCCCTCTCCCTCTCCCTAGTACTGCTGCGCACGGCCACTGCCAACGGCTTCCAGATGGTCACCAGCGGGGTACAGAGCAAGGCCGTGAGTGACTGGCTGATTGCCAGCGTGGAGGTGAGTGCCGCCTGCCCCGGAGCCAGCCCCACGTCCCCAGGGGTTCCTGCCATCCGCCTGGCTCCCCGGCTCGGCCGTACTAGAGGGGAGCCGCTGATGGGAAACTGGAGTCGGATCGCCCCCCTGCCTGGCTGAAAACCTCCTGTGGCTCCGCTGGCAGCTGCAGGAACCCAAACTCCTCACATGGCCGGGGAGTCGCTCTGTGGAGTGCCCAGGCCCCTGCCAGCCCCCGGCCCATCTCCTTCCTTCCATCATGGACCCCCACACACCAAGCCGCTGCCTCCCACCCCAGGGCCTTTGCACCGGCTGCCCCTCCCAGGAAGCCCCCTCCAGGCTGCAGTGTCGCCAGCCCCCTCTCATCACATAACCTCACCCGTCAGCCCAGACGCTGCGTCCTCACAGACCCTTCCGAGCACCCCGGGATATCAGCAGAGTCAAGAGAGGGTGGGGAGCTGCCGGTGCGGAAGTAGCCTCTCGGATCATCAGGGCAGATCCAGAGGGTGAAGCCTGTGTCGCTGCTGCTGCAGCACTGGCAGGGGCCTTAAAACCCGAGGAAGCACCCACCGACTCCTCTAGCATTTCCCTGCGGGACGGCGCCGGTGAGGGGTGCAGATGAGTCCACACAGATGAGGGGTTGCCTCACTGTCGGGGGAGCCCTGAACAAGACGTGCTTGCTGTTTTGGGGACCCAGGCCTTGTTGGGGGGTGCCCGAGTGGAAAAGCAGCGGCTTAGGCCGGGGTGGGGAAAGTGTCCTGGAGGCCCCGGCTCCCCATAGACAGGCCTTGGCGGAGGAGCCCTGGGGTTTGTCGATGGCGGCTGTTCTGTTTGTTCCTGTTGGATTGTACTGTGGGCCCGGGAGGCGCGTCCTATTCCCAGCGCCAGTTAGTGTGCAGTGAGACCCGGTAGCCTGGCCTGCGTCACTCCACAGTGGCACAGGCGCTGGGCTCCGCATCCCATGGGGCCATGTCGATTCCCTTTCCCCTGGCTGTGCCCTTTCTCCTGTGAGCAGAGCCCTCTTGGCAGCTGGGCTTTGAGTTCAGCCGTTGAAGGATCTCCAAGTGGAAAAGCATGTTGCAAAAACAGCAAGTAGACTCCCACAGCCAGACGGGGAGTCCCCAGGCCACAGCCGGCCCTCTACCTGCTTTTGTAAATAAAGTTTTTGCTTGTTTGTTTTTGTTTTTTGAGACAGAGTCTCTCTCTGTCACCCAGGCTGGAGTGCAGTGGCGCGATCTCTGCTAACTGCAACCTCCGCCTCCCAGGTTCAGGCGATTGTCTTGCCTCGGCCTCCCGAGTAGCTGGGATTACTGTCATGTGCCACCACGCCCAGCTAATCTTTTGTAATTCTTTTTTTTTTTTTTTTGAGATGGAGTTTCGCTCCTGTTGCCTAGGCTGGAGTGCAATGGTGCGATCTCAGCTCACTGCAACCTCCGCCTCCTAGGTTCAAGCGATTCTCCTGCCTCAGCCTCCTAAGTAGCTGGGATTACAGGTGCCCGCCACCACGGCCAGCTAATTTTTGTATTTTTGGTAGAGACGGGGTTTCACCATGCTGGCCAGGCTGGTCTGGAACTCCTGACCTCAGGTGATCTACCCGCCTTGGCCTCCCAAAGTGCTGGGATTACAGGCGTGAGCCACCGTGCCGGGCTGTGTAAATAAAGTTTTATGGCACACAGCCATGCTGATGCATGTGCAAGCCGTCCATGGCAGTTTCTTAGTTGTAACAGACACCATCTGGTCCCCAAGGCTGAAAATATCCCCTCTGGCCCTTTATGAAAGTCTGCTGGCCCCCGGGCTAGAGCAGAATCCGACTTTGGTGGGGTAAGAGGCAGGGAGGGGTGCACACAGACCCTGAAGGAACCCGAATGCCTGGCTGAGGGGCTCAGCCCCGTTCCCACAAACAGTTATCCTCCTGAGGGGCTCAGCCCCGTTCCTATAAAAACTTAACCTCCTGGCCGGGCGCGGTGGCTCACACCTGTAATCCCAGCACTTTGGGAGGCCGAGGTGGGCGGATCATGAGATCAGGAGATCAAGACCATCCTGGCTAACATGATGAAACCCCGTCTCTACTAAAAAGTACAAAAAATTAGCCGGATGTGGTGGCGGGTGCCTGTAGTCCCAACTACTCTGGAGGCCGAGGCAGGAGAATGGCGTGAACCCGGGAGGTGGAGCTTGCAGTGAGCCGAGATCGTACCACTGCACTCCAGCCTGGGCGACAGAGTGAGATTCCGTCTCAAAAAAAAAAAAAAAAACACAAACAAAAAAAAAAAACTTATTCTCCTGCTCTCCCCGATTTTTAAAGATTTCGACCTGAGGGCCAGAGCAGGAGTGGGTCCCTGTTCCCGGCTCTACCTCCTCCCTGGAGGAGCTCCCTGGGGCTCCCAGAGTCAGAGGCTGGCACCTCCTGTGGTCCTCAGTGCTGAGGCCGATGCTGGCACCCAGCGGACGGGCCCCACGTGGCCCAGAGGGGAGGGGTCTCCAAGCCCCACACACGGGTCACCTGCCCCAGGAACAGCCAGGCCATTCCCCTGCTCTCTATCCACAGGGGCGGCTGACGGGGCTGGGCGGAGAGGACCTTCCCACCATCGTCATCGTGGCCCACTACGACGCCTTTGGAGTGGCCCCCGTACGTATGTGTGTCCCCATTCCCCCCACCCCACAGGGCTTGGATTCTGGCTCCAGTCCAGTGCCGAGGCAAAGCGCCTGTAGGGGATGGCGGCCAGGGTCAGCGGCTCTCCCTGTGACGGCCTTTGCCCGTCATCCTGGTCCCCGCGAGGGCCTCAGGGTGGGTGTCGTGGGGCTGAAACAGGCCCGGCTCTTGCCCCGGGGTCGCAGGTTCCAGGGCACGGCGGTGTCTGTGTCAGAGGCTGAGCCCAGGGAGTCTGAGTCAGGGTTCCCCGGGCCAGCGCTGGGTGCCGTGGCTCCACACGAGGCCTCCTCGAGGCTGTGGTTTGTCCCAGCGAGCGGTCATGGAGCACGTAGCAGAGTCCGCGAAGGGAAAGGCGCGTGCGGTGAGTTGGGGAGGCCAGTCCTGGCTTCCAGGCCCTCTCCCTGTGTGTCACGTGGAACACGCCTCATTGTCAGCAGTGAGCTGGGACGACAGCCCAAAGCACTGTCACCAGCGAGACTTCCAGAGACCCAGCGCCCGGTTCCTATGGGAGCTGGTTCTACAGCCCCTGCTGCCTGGCCCATGCCGGGATTCCAGACTCCGGAGGGAAGCAGGGCCCGTGTGTAAACCATGGTGTTTGCAGGAACAGCTTTGGACCCAGAGCCTGTCCTGTCAGCGAGGGTCGGGGGCCCTGCTGCAGGTTCCTGGTCTCAGGCCTGCGGCACAAGCTTGGTTCTGCTCAGCGTGGGTTGAGCGGGAGTGGGGTGGGGGGGCATGTACCACGGTGTCAACCAGCACCCTGCCTCCTCCTTTTTTTTTTTTTTTTTTTTTTTTTTTAATTGAGACAGTCTTGCTCTGTCCCCCAGGCTGGAGTGCAGTGGCACAATCTCGGCTCACTGCAACCTCTGCCTCCTGGGTTTAAGCGATTCTCCTGCCTCAGTCTCCCGAGTAGCTGGGACCACAGGCACCCGCCACCACACCTGGCTAATTTTTTTTATTTTTAGTAGAGACGGGGTTTCACCACGTTAGCCAGGATGGTCTCGATCTCCTGACCTCATGATTTGCCCTCCTCAGCCTCCCAAAGTGCTCGGATTACAGGCCTGAGCCACCGCACCCAGTCCTGCCTCCTTTGAACACAAATCAGCTGAACCAGGCAGAGTGCGGAGGGTCTGGGCAGATCTGCTGCCTGGCTGAGTGCCCGACCCCTTGGAGGGCCAGGCCCCCAGCCTTGAGAATGCCTGGTCCCGCTGGGCCCACACAAACTCAAGCTGCTCAGAGCAATGCCTCTTGAACTCCTGACCTCAGGCAATCCACCCGCCTCGGCCTCCTAACCTGCTGGGATTACAGGCATGAGCCACCGCGCCCACTGCCTTTCTCTGTCCTCATTGTCCCCTATGAAGCTTTTTTTGTTTTAAATTTATTTTATTTATGTATTTTTTTTTTTTTTTTTGAGACGGAGTCTCGCTCTGTCACCAGGCTGGAGTGTAGTGGCGAGATCTGGGCTCACTGCAACCTTCGCCTCCCGGGTTCAAGCGATTTTCCTGCCTCAACCTCCGGAGTAGCTGGGACTACAGGCGCGTGCCACCACACCTGGCTCATTTTTTGTATTTTTAGTAGAGATAGGGTTTCACCATGTTGGCCAGGATGGTCTTGAACTCCAGACCTTGTAATCTGCCCATCTTGGCCTCCCAAAGTGCTGGGATTACAGGCGTGAGCCACCGAGCCCAGGCAAATTTATTTTTTGAGATAATGATAGAACATAAAGTTCACCATTTTAGAGCGTACGAGTGGGTTTTAGTACATCCAAAGTTGTACGGTCTCCACCTCTAATTCCAGAACATTCCATCACCCCAAAAAGCAGCCCCTCCCCATCAGCAGTCACTCCTGGTCCCCTCCCCAGCCCCAGAACCCCAGCATGTGCGCATCCGTCCCAGTGCCTGTGGACTGGCCTGTTGGACGGGTCCTATGAACAGATCCTACACTGTGGACAAAGTCTTTTGGATCTGGCTTCTCTCACTGAGGAGGGTGTTTATTGTCCCCCTGAATTCAGTGCCACCGAGGTCCCCTTTATATGCTGTGGCCTTGGGACGGTCCCAAGCCATTGCAATGTCCAAGAAACAGTGTGGCCTTATTGAGAATGCTGCTTTAGATCACAAAGGTGCATCCAAGGGCGGGAAGGGCATGTGGTCGGGCTGTGCAGGTCTCTCCACAGCCGGGGCTCGAGGGTGGAAGGGTGGGTCCCACAGAGGGGACCCCGCACAGAGACCAGGGCTGGACAGATGCTGCCCTCTGTGAGCGAATCTGGCCTGGCCCTGGGCTCCAAATTCTGCATGTAGCTTCTCCCGGGCGCGGGCCGAGCCGAGGTGGATGAGGAGAGTCCTGGGCTTGGCGGGGCCCCGCAGACCCCAGGCCATCAGTCGGGGATTGAATACAGGAGGGGAGCGACCACAGCTGCCCACTGGACGTGGCAGAGGGGCTGGGGGACAGCACAGAGATGACCGTGGCTGCTGTGGGCAGAGGTCATGGGGCTACGGGAGTAGGGTGGGGGTGACGGAGAGATGACTGTGGCTGCTGTGGGCGGAGGTCATGGGGTGCGGGAGCCGGGCGGGGGTGACTGTGGCCTTGCCTCTCCCGTCCCTGTAGTGGCTGTCGCTGGGCGCGGACTCCAACGGGAGCGGCGTCTCTGTGCTGCTGGAGCTGGCACGCCTCTTCTCCCGGCTCTACACCTACAAGCGCACGCACGCCGCGTGAGTGCCGGGGTGGGCAGGGGGATGGGGGTGCGGGGGCCACACTGCCGGACAGCGCTGCCCACCAGGCACCTCTGCAGATGTTTCTCTGGAGCCTCCTGGCCCCAAAGTGGGCCTGAGCCCAGGAATTGGGGCGCCTTATTTATCGAGGGCTAAGCTGAGCCCTCGCAGGCTCTGTCTCTTGGAGTCCCACAGGGCCCAGCTGCTGCTCACCCCAGGAACCTGCTGGGAATGCTGTCAGCTGCAAGTGTTAGAGACGCCCGGTTAAGGGCCCTGGAACTAGGGGATCCCCTCAGCCCTGTGTGGTCGGGGCCGGATTTTTCGCTGGGGGTGGGGGCCGTCCTGGGCACTGCAGGGCGCTGAGCAGCATCCCTGCCCCACTCACTCCATGCCAGGAACACGCCATAGTCATGATAGCCACAGGTGCCCTCCGACATCACCCACTGTCCGCTGGGGGCAGAAGCACCCCTGGTTGAGACCCCCCTGGGTTAGGGAATTCCACGGGCCCCCGAGAGACTATGTCCCGTGATCATCTGCCCCGCTGAGGTCCCAGGAGGCTGCACACATTGAAATCCACACCCTGAGTAGGAAGGGAGAGAGGAGGTGAATCCCAGGAGCTGGGGTCCCCCTGGTTTATCCCGTCTACCCCGTTGGGAGTTTATCCTGGTGTCTGGTGTGAGCAGGGGGCAGACTTGATTTTTCCCCAGATAATGAATGCAGGCTTCGTCCCCGTGGCCCTGTGGATGTCTTCTGTGCATGACTCTCTCCTGGGTGCCACCCACTCCATCCCAGGAGCACCCCCAGACGTAGCAACCACAGATGTCTCCAGACATGACTGTGTCTCCTGTGCGGGGTGGGGTAGAATCACCTCCGGGTGAGACCCCGGCCCAGTCACCTGCTCCCGAGATGGTACTGCTGCAGTCATTGTGTCAGCAGCTCAGAGAGGCCAGGGCCACTGTGGCTGAGACGTTTCTCAGCCTTCTCACAGTCACAAGGCGCCGGGAGTCATGTCCTGGTTCAGGCAGGAACTTGGACTCGAACTCCTGGCCTCAAGCGATCCTCCTGCCTCAGCCTCCTAAAGCACTAGGATTACAGGTGTGAGCCACCATGTCCAGCCAAAACTTGTTTTTTTTTTTTTAAGCTGCAGAACCTCTTCCCCCAGCCCCCCACTGATGCCTTTTGAGAAGCTCATGCTGTCAAAAACGTGTGAACGGGGCTGGTTTCTGCCAGGCCTGGGGGCTTCTTGGCAGCTGGGGAGAGGTTGGGTTTCTGGGGCAGAGGGAAACTGGGTTGGAGAGAGTCCGGGGCAGATGTGGGAAGATGGGGGTAGGGGGCGTGCTGAGCAGTTTCCTTCTCTGACTCTGGTGACCCTTCTAATAGCCAAGGCTGTGTTCCATTAGAATTTTTGGCCTGCCTGGGTGGCTTATGCCTATAATCCCAGCACTTTGGAAGCCTGCGGCAGGTGGATCACCTGTCAGGAGTTCGAGACCTGCCTAACGTGTTGAAACCCTGTCTCTACTAAAAATACAAAATTAGCCAGGTGTGGTGCTGCATGCCTGTAATCCCAGCTACTTGGGAGGCTCAGGCAGGATAATTGCTTGAACCCGGGAGGCAGAGGTTGCAGTGAGCCGAGACTGCACCATTGCACTCCAGCCTGGGCAGAAAGAGCGAAACTCCGTCCCAAAAGAAAAAAAAAAAAGAATTCTTCTTCTTTAAGTGAATAGACTTTATTTTTTTGATCTCCTCGTGTCTGTTGCCTGGTCGGTCACCCCGGTTCCTCCTGGGCTCAGAGAAGCCTCTAGAGCTGGGGTCTAACGTGGGGTGGCCCTGCTGCCTGGAGACACTGAGTGATTTGCAGTTGTCATTGGGGGAAGCTCCCGGTATGGGGTGGGTGAGGCCAGGGATGCCACTCAGCACCCTGAAGTGCCCAGGACAGCCTCACCTCAGAGAACCATCCAGCCCCAGTGTCCACAGGGCCGAGGGGTCATGCCCCGCCCTAAGGGGCTGGTCAGGATTTCCTGCTTTGGGGAGACCTTCATACCCTTCCTGGGGGACCTGTGACCTGGCCTGGTCCCTCCTCCACCCCAGGCGCTTGCCCGTCAAAGCTAACACTGGGTCTTCCCTCCCAGCTACAACCTCCTGTTCTTTGCGTCTGGAGGAGGCAAGTTTAACTACCAGGGAACCAAGCGCTGGCTGGAAGACAACCTGGACCACACAGGTGAGCGGCCCCGGGTGGGGGTGGGGGTGCCGCGGTGGTGGTGCCGTGGGGAGGCACGGAGGCCCAGGGGTTGCCATGGGGGCAGCCAGGAGGCACAGAGGGAGGGCCGGGGGCCACTTCCTGGTCCCCACCCACCCCGCCAGCTCTCGGTGTCCTGCAGACTCCAGCCTGCTTCAGGACAATGTGGCCTTCGTGCTGTGCCTGGACACCGTGGGCCGGGGCAGCAGCCTGCACCTGCACGTGTCCAAGCCGCCTCGGGAGGGCACCCTGCAGCACGCCTTCCTGCGGGAGCTGGAGACGGTGGGTGCCCCTTTCATGGATGGGTCCGGAGCTCTGCGGAGCACACACATCGGGGCCGGGTTGGGGCATCCTGTCCCAGGGTGTCCTTGCTGTCCGCCCCTCAGGCTCTGAGGGCCACACTGTGTCGGGGTCGGGCTGGGGTGTTCTGTCCTGGGGTGTCCTTGCTGTCCAACCCCGGGGCTCTGAGGGGCACACTGCGTCAGGGCCGGGCTGGGGTGTCCTGTCCCAGAGTGTCCCCTTGTCCCTCCTTACCCACTGCTCATTGCCCGCCGGGGCTCCAGCAGGCCTTAGGGGGACCCCGGGGGCAGGTGGATTTCTCCTCATTTTGCACCCTCGGGGGTTCTGGGAGGCCCCTGGAGCATTTGGGGAATGGGCTGGGGTGGCCGCCATCCCCGCCTGCCCTCTGCTAATGGCGCCTCCGGCTGCAGGTGGCCGCGCACCAGTTCCCTGAGGTACGGTTCTCCATGGTGCACAAGCGGATCAACCTGGCGGAGGACGTGCTGGCCTGGGAGCACGAGCGCTTCGCCATCCGCCGACTGCCCGCCTTCACGCTGTCCCACCTGGAGAGCCACCGTGACGGCCAGCGCAGCAGCATCATGGACGTGCGGTGAGCGCGGCAGCACCTGCCCGGCCCCTCCTAGGGCTTTCCTGGGGGCTGAGCCACTGGTCGCAACTGCAGAGGCCATGAGAGCCTGGAGGGAGCGGCCCCCACACACAGGCTGCGAGGAAGGGGCCGGTGCGTGGCCAAGGCCGGCTGCACGGTCAGGCCGTTCGCAAGCTCTTCCTTACTGGGGCTAGGGAGGGCGAGGCCAGCAGCCTGAGGTCGTGGCCCCATATAGGACCCCCAGACCCCGTCACCTGTTGAGTTAGGAGCAAGCAGCTCCTGCCTCTGGGCCTCTTCAGGGCCCTGCCACAGCCCGAAAGTCCTGCCTGGCCCCGGCCACCGTCTTGGGGAGCCTGGCCCGCCACCACACCCCGGCCCTTCCTCGCCCCGCCTCCCTCTGGGCACTGTGTCTCTGGCTTCTTATGTCCTCTGACCCTGTGTCCTGCCCGTCTCTCTGCCATCATGTGAGCCCCTGGGCAGGCTTTTGTGGAGCCTGGAACTGTCTGGCCACCCCAGGCACACTCCTGGCCAGTCCTGGCACCAGCAGGTGGGCGCCGTCTCCTCCCCCAGCGCCCGCAGTCCCGGCATAGATCCTTCCCGTTCATCCACTCTGCTCTGCGGTCACTGGGCCCTCAGGAGTGGTTTGAGCTCAGCCATCGGAGGCCTGCAGAAGCCAGTGGCGGGAGGGAGGGGCACATCCCTGGGTAATCGCAGTCCTGGAAAGGATGGAGGTGGCGGTCGCCCACCAGCCAGGAAAGATTGCCAGGAAATGAGGGTGGGTGCACGGCTGTCCCAGCTGTGCTGAGCTCTCTCAAGACCACCAGGGGTCAGCCCAGGAGGGCCACCTGGGATTTGCAGAGGGTCCCAGAATGGATTCTTCCACCAGGACGGAATAGTCCAGTTTAAATTCTGGAAGAGCAGAAAACCGAGTCAGAAGGAACCAAGGCCTCAGGGCGTGAGCCTTACCTGCGCACAGGGACGGGTCAGGGCAAGGGGCCTGGAGGTGTGGGGCCCCCAGTGAATCTGCATCTACATGTTAGCCAAGTAGTTAAAGCTAAGCTTAATTTTTTTTTTTTTTTAAAGACAGAGTCTCACGGTCTCCTAGGCTGGAGTGCTGGGATTACAAGTGTGAGAGCTACCTTGCCTGGCCCAAAGTCCACATTTTAAAACATTGTTTTTGAATCGTGAAGGTCCCGGGTGGATTCTAAGACCCTGACCCGTAACACGAGGATCATTGCAGAGGCCCTGACTCGAGTCATCTACAACCTGACAGAGAAGGTGAGCCCTGAGCCCTCTGTGCCGCCAGACCCAGCCCCAGCCCTGCCCCCGGCCCCGGCCCCACCCCTGGCCCCAGCCCCACTGCAGGGGCCTGGACTCAGGGCCATCCCCTCCTCTCTCCGCAGGGGACACCCCCAGACATGCCGGTGTTCACAGAGCAGATGGTAAGGGGGCCAGGCCAGTGGGTGGGTGGGTGGGCGGGGCCAGGCCATGACTACCACCACCGTCCCTACAGCAGATCCAGCAGGAGCAGCTGGACTCGGTGATGGACTGGCTCACCAACCAGCCGCGGGCCGCGCAGCTGGTGGACAAGGACAGCACCTTCCTCAGCACGCTGGAGCACCACCTGAGCCGCTACCTGAAGGACGTGAAGCAGCACCACGTCAAGGCTGACAAGCGGTGAGGCTGGGGCTCCGCGCTGGCCCCGTTCAGCCTGGGGCCGAGGGGGACCTCCCCCTACTGCATCTCCCACCCCCTCACCCCTGGGGGATGCCAGGTGGAGCAAATACAAAGAGAGGGTGGGATGAGGGCCGGACACGGCGGCTGTGCCTGCAATCCCAGTACTTTGGGAATCCGAGGCAGGTGGATCACTTGAGGTCAGGAGTTCAAGACCAGACTGGCCAACATAGTGAAACCTCATCCCTACTAAAAATACAAAAATTAGGCGGATGTGGCAGTGGGCACCTGTAATCCCAGCTACTTAGGAGGCCGGGACGGAAGAATCGCTTGAACCCAGGAGTTGGAGACCAACCTGGGCAACATAGCAAGACCCCATCTCTACAAACTTTTTAAAGTTTTTATTTATTTGTCTTTGAGATGGAGTCTTCCTCTGTCACCCAGGCTGGAGTGCAGTGGCGTGATCTTGTCTCACTACAGCCTCCATCTCCCGGCTTCAAGTGATTCTCGGACCTCGGTCTCCTGAGTAGCTGGGATTACAGGCACCCGCCACCATGCCCGGCTAATTTTTTTTAATTTTTAGTAGAGATGGGGTTTCACCGTGTTGGCCAGGTTGGTCTTGAACTCTTGACTTCAAGTGATCCGCCTGCCTCAACCTCCCAAAGTGCTGGGATTGCAGGTGTGAGCCATCGTGCCCAGTCTCCATCTCTACAAACCCTTTTTTAAGAATTAGCTGGGCGCAGTGGTGCCCCCTGAGAAAGTGCTCTCTCCCCAGGGACCCAGAGTTTGTCTTCTACGACCAGCTGAAGCAAGTGATGAATGCGTACAGGTGAGTGGTGGCCAGCGGGACCTGGAGCCCTTCACCCCCTACGGGTTACAGCCGAGGGGACTGCGGCCCACGGGGGTCTAGGGGTTCATGTTACTGCCGCGCACCATCCTCGACCTCAGGGACCCTGCTTTCTCCACAGAGTCAAGCCGGCCGTCTTTGACCTGCTCCTGGCTGTTGGCATTGCTGCCTACCTCGGCATGGCCTACGTGGCTGTCCAGGTGAGCAGTGCCCAGGCTCAGGTGGGGCAGGGGCCGCCCGCCGGGAGGAGCTGGGCTGGGCGTCTCCAAGTGCATCCTGGCCCCTGGCTCAGCCTAGAGTCACATGACCTGGGGCTCTGGCCCCGCCCACATCCTCACTCCCTCCTGCTGTGTCCCCAGCACTTCAGCCTCCTCTACAAGACCGTCCAGAGGCTGCTCGTGAAGGCCAAGACACAGTGACACAGCCACCCCCACAGCCGGAGCCCCCGCCGCTCCACAGTCCCTGGGGCCGAGCACGAGTGAGTGGACACTGCCCCGCCGCGGGCGGCCCTGCAGGGACAGGGGCCCTCTCCCTCCCCGGCGGTGGTTGGAACACTGAATTACAGAGCTTTTTTCTGTTGCTCTCCGAGACTGGGGGGGGATTGTTTCTTCTTTTCCTTGTCTTTGAACTTCCTTGGAGGAGAGCTTGGGAGACGTCCCGGGGCCAGGCTACGGACTTGCGGACGAGCCCCCCAGTCCTGGGAGCCGGCCGCCCTCGGTCTGGTGTAAGCACACATGCACGATTAAAGAGGAGACGCCGGGACCCCCTGCCCGATCGCGCGCGGCCTCCGCCCACCGCCTCCTGCCGCAAGGGGCCTGGACTGCAGGCCTGACCTGCTCCCTGCTCCGTGTCTGTCCTAGGACGTCCCCTCCCGCTCCCCGATGGTGGCGTGGACATGGTTATTTATCTCTGCTCCTTCTTGCCTGGAGGAGGGCAGTGCCAGCCCTGGGGTTCTGGGATTCCAGCCCTCCTGGAGCCTTTTGTTCCCCATGTGGTCTCAGTGACCCGTCCCCCTGACAGTGGGCTCGGGGAGCTGCATCACCCAGCCTTCCCCTTCTCCGACTGCAGGGTCTGATGTCATCATTGACAGCCTTTGCTTCGTGGGGGCCTGGCAGGGCCCCTGCCTCCCCGACCCCCGACCCACTGCAAATCCCCGTTCCCCTGCACTCCTCTTCTCCCAGCCCATCCCTCCGGCCCCTGTGCCTCTGCGGCCCCAGCCCAGCTCCCAGGGCCGTCACCTGCTTGGCCCTGGCCCAGCTCCCTGCCCTGAGTCCTGAGCCAGTGCCTGGTGTTTCCTGGGCTCGGTACTGGGCCCCCAGGCCATCCAGGCTTTGCCACGGCCAGTTGGTCCTCCCTGGGGAACTGGGTGCGGGTGGAGTACTGGGAGGCAGGAGGTGGCCCGGGGAGGCCTTGTGGCTCCTCCCCTCGCTCCTCGCCCTGGGCCTCAGCTTCCTCATCAATAGAAAGGATGTGTTCGGGGTGGGGGCGTCAGGTGAGAACGTTTGCTGGGAAGGAGAGGACTTGGGGCATGGCCTCTGGGGCCACCCTTCCTGGAACTCAGAGAGGAAGGTCCGGGCCCTCGGGAAGCCTTGGACAGAACCCTCCACCCCGCAGACCAGGCGTCGTGTGTGTGTGGGAGAGAAGGAGGCCCGTGTTGAGCTCAGGGAGACCCCGGTGTGTCCGTTCTTTAGCAATATAACCTACCCAGTGCGTGCCGAGCAGGCTTGGTGGGGAAGGGACTTGAGCTGGGCAAGTCCTGGCCTGGCACCCGCAGCCGTCTCCCTTCCGTGGCCCAGGGAGGTGTTTGCTGTCCGAAGGACCTGGGCCGGCCCATGGGAGCCTGGGGTTCTGTCCAGATAGGACCAGGGGGTCTCACTTTGGCCACCAGTTCTTCGGCCAGCACCTCTGCCCTCCAGAACCTGCAGCCTGGAGGGGTGAGGGGACAACCACCCCTCTTTCCTCCAGGTTGGCAGGGGACCCTCTTCTCCCGTCTGCCCTGCGGGTTGCCCGCCTCCTCCAGAGACTTGCCCAAGGGCCCATCACCACTGGCCTCTGGGCACTTGTGCTGAGACTCTGGGACCCAGGCAGCTGCCACCTTGTCACCATGAGAGAATTTGGGGAGTGCTTGCATGCTAGCCAGCAGGCTCCTGTCTGGGTGCCACGGGGCCAGCATTTTGGAGGGAGCTTCCTTCCTTCCTTCCTGGACAGGTCGTCATGATGGATGCACTGACTGACCGTCTGGGGCTCAGGCTGGTGTGGGATGCAGCCGGCCGATGAGAAAATAAAGCCATATTGAATGATCGCCACCAGTGTTTGGTCTGGGGGCTGTGAGAATTGGATTGTGACAACTGTTGGGGGTTCATGTTCCTCCAGGGGGTGACAGTAGGGGCAGGGCTGTGTGGAGAGTACGTCACTGACTTGCCCTCTGCTGGAGTGAGGCTCCAGCCTATCGTGGGCCAGGCCTGTGCCCAAGGCTGCTGGGCCGTGCAGGAGAGGAGGGCCTGTGTACAGGGTCTTGTAGGTGATGGATGGACCTGTTTCCTGGGCCACCATCACAAAGCACCACCAACTATGGGGCTCAGAACACCAGAAATCCACCCTTAGTGTCTCCGAAGCCCCAAGTCCAAAGTCAGGGTGTTGGCAGGGCCCCCAGGGCGGGTCCTTCCTGCCTCTCCTCCCAGCTTCTAGGGCTCCCAGCATCCTCGGCTTGTGGCCGCGTCATTCCAGCCCCCACCTTGTCCCTGTCTTCCAAGGACCTCCGTCACATTGGATCAGGGCCCATCTTGCTCCAGGAAGATGTTCCCCCTAACTAATGACCTCTGCCAAGATCCCATTTCCAGTTGAGGCTAAAGGCTGAGGTTGTTTTGGACATGAATCTGGGAGGACTCTGCAACCCTGGATGGCGGGCAGTGGGCTGTGTGAAGTCGGCTTCCAACCCCAGCCCCAGGTTCAGAGAGGTCCCAGCAGGGCACCATACTCGGCTAGCTTTGGTTTACTGAGAACCTACACAGCAGGTGCAGAACTAGGGTTGGTCCCTCCTGGTCAGAAGCCCCGGGGACCCTCCCAGGTTCTGCCCGGTGCCCAGGCCCCCTTCCTGGCCTGCCCAGCTGTCGGGCTCAGTAAATGCTGGTGGAGCTGCCATGTGTCCCTGGCCTGAGATCCGTGCTCTCGGGGAAGGAGGAGAGGCAGAGATGTGCCGGTGAGAAGAAGCAGGGAGAGGTGGGGGCGTGGGGAGGCCAGGGCAGCTGAGGAAGCTGCCCTGAGGGAGGCAGTGTCCTGCAGACTGGCTGGAAGGGAGGGTGTCTGAGCTGCGACCTGAATGATGAGGCAGCCGGGGTGAAACCTGGAGGAGAAGATTGCAAGCAGAGGCACAGCCCACCTGTGCAAAGGCCCTGGTGCAGGACGGCACCGGGCGTGTTGGAGGAACAGCAGGAAGGCCTGTGTGGCTCGAGCAGAGGGAGTGAGGGTGGGGAAGGGACAGGGCAGGTTGTGCAGGGCCTGGTGGGCCACGGGGAGGACTTGGGCTTTGACCCCAGGGCAGCTGGGAGCCATGGAGGGCTGTGGGTAGAAGAGCGACAGGCCCTGACTCAGGTGCTCCCAGGCGCCCTCTGACGGCTACCGCAGGGAGGACAGACGGGAGTGGCGAGGGTTTAGCCTAGGACCGGGTAGAGGTGACTGGGCTGGCACAAGTGGAGGCAGAGAAGGATGGGCTCATCCTGTTCCCCCTCCACCGCTGTGTTCCTGGAGTGCAGAGGAGGGGCTACAGAGATGCTTCCAGAACCAGTGTGTGGCCTGGACCAAGACCTGGACTGCTGGGGGCTTCCTGAGCAAGACCCACATCCCTGCAGTCAAAGCTGCCTCTTCTCAGACCAGGGAACTTCAGAAACAGGCAGGGAACCCACCCCCCCACCAGGGTCCCCTAGGAATCGGCAACAGAGCCTCAAACCCAGCACGGGGTCTCTGCCTCCCCAAAACATGTGGCAGGAGAAGCTTGTTCAGGAGGGAGAGGAGGGAGGGGATGGACCCAGAGCGAAAGGCAGGCAGGGCAGGGTTGCAGGAAAAGAAAGAGGCTCACCTGACTCCGGAGCATGGGGCCGCTGGCCACTGGGGATGGAATGGCGGGGGCAGTGCTTACCTGACCCCGGAGCATGGGGCCGCTGGCCACTGGGGATGGAATGGTGGGGGCAGTGCTTGGGCTTCCCTGGGCGGCGAGCAGAGGCCAGGTTCGGCCCCCACGTGCTGTGTGGCCCTGGGGCATGGGGGCTGTGCCTCCCTGGACCAAATTTTACCAGTTCAGGGGGCTCTAGGGTCCAGGGGTTTGACCTTCTTGGGGTCCTGCGTGATTCTCCAGGAGCTTAGCAGGGCCAAGAGTGGACAGTGGCTGCCCACCTCTGTGCAGGCAGAAGGTGGCTTTGGCCCCATCGTGGACCCAGGCAAACCCCATTTTAGAGGAAAAGCCAGCCCATCATCTTCCCTGCTAACATACACAGGTAATTTTTCCTTTTTTTTTTTTTTTTTAGAGACAGGGTCTCACACCCGGCATGGTGGCTTCACGTCTGTAATCCCAGCACTCTGGGAGTCAGAGGCAGGAGGATCACTTGAGGTCAGAGTTTGAGACCAGCCTGGCCAACATGATGAAAACCCGTCTCTGCTAAAAATATAAAAATTAGCCGGGGGTGGTGGTACACATCTGTAGTCCCAGCTACTCGGGAGGCCGAGGCAGAAGAATCCATTGAACCTGGGAAGCGGAGGTTGCAGTGAGCCAAGATCATGCCACTGCACTGCAGCCTGGGCGACAGAGCGAGACTTTGACTCAAAAAACATAAAATAGGGTCTTGCTCTGTCACCCAGGCTGGAGTGCAGTGGTGCAATCATAGCTCACTGCAGCCTTGACCTGGGCTCAAGTGATCCTCCTGCCACAGCCTCCCAAGTAGCTGGGACTGCAGGCAAATGCCACCATGCCCGGCTACATTTTGTAAATATTTTTGTAGAGATTGGATCTTGCCATGTTGCCCAGGCTGGTCTTGAACTCCTGGCCTCAAGCAATCCTCTCACTTCAGCCTCTGAACGCACTAGGAATACAGGCATGAACCACTGTGCCCGGCCGGATTAGTTTCATTCAACTATCGATTCAGCGAACACTTGAACTCTGCTCTGCCAGGTCCTGTGCCAGGCTCAGGGATACAGGCGTGTGCAAGAGACGCTGGCCTGGACGCCATGGGGCTCGCAGTCCACTGTGGGAGTTGGATAATAAGTGGTCAAGTAGGTGGGCTGCCTTCAGATGGTGATCAATGGCTGGGTGCTGTTTTACAATTGAGTCCACACTGGAGGCTCCCTGAGGAGGGACTTTGAGGTTTTGTTTTGTTTGCTTGTTTGTTTTTTTGAGACAGTCTTGCTCTGTCACCCAGGCTGGAGTGTAGAGGCCCTATCTTGACTCACGGCAACCTTCGTCTCCTGGGTCCAAGCGATTCTCCTGCTGCAGCCTCCCTGAGTAGCTGGGACTAGAGAGGTATGCCACCAAATTTTGTATTTTTAGTAGAAATCAGGTTTTGGCATATTGGCCAGGCTGACCTTGAACTCCTAACCTCAGGAGATCTGCCCGCCTCGGCCTCCCGAAGTGCCGGGACTACAGGTGTGACACCACGCCCGGCCTGTTTGAGTTTGACTCTGTCACCCGGGCTGGAGTGCAGTGATGTGTTCTCGGCTCACTGCAACTTCCTTCTCCTGGGTTCAAGCAATTCTCATGCCTCAGCCTCCTGAGTAACTGGGACTACAGGCACCTGGCTAAATTTTTTTATTTTTAGTAGAGACAGGGTTTCACCATGTTGGCCAGGCTTGCCTCAAACTCCTGACCTCCGGTGATTCCCCGTCGCAGCCTCCCAAAGTGTTGGGTTTATGGGCGTGAGCCACTGCGCCCGGCCTGGAGGGGGCTTTTGAGTGAAATTGGAATGACAAGGATTATTACATCATGTGGAAATGTGGGGACAGTGGTTAAGGCAGTGAGCACAGCCGGTGCAAAGGCCCTGGGGCAGGATCGCGCCTGGTGTGTTGGAGGAACAGTGAGGAGGCCCATGTGGCTGGAGCAGAGTGAGCTGGGGGAGAGAGTGAGGCAGGAGAGAGAGGGAGGAGGGGGAGAAAGGAAGGGGAGAGGGAGGAGGGAGAGGGAGGAAGCAGGGAGGTTTCAGGCCATGCAGGGCCTCCTGGGGGAAGGGGAGGGTAAGGAGAGCAGAAATGGTGTCTGACCTTCACTGAATCTGGAAAGGTCACCGGCAGCCAGAGGACAGTTATGAAAATGAAACGAGGCCGGGCGCTGGGGCTCACACCTGTAATCCCAGCACTTTGGGAAGCCAAGGCAGGCGGATCACAAGGTCAAGAGATGGAGACCAACCTGGCCAACATGGTGAAGCCCCGTCTCTACTAAAAATACAAAAATTAGCCGGGCGTGGTAGCACGCACCTGTAGTCCCAGCTACTCGGGAGGCTGAGGCAGGAGAATCCTGTGAACCCAGGAGGCGGAGGTTGCAGTGAGCTTAGATCGTGCCGTTGCACCCCAGCCTGGGCGACAGAGCATGACTCTGTCTCAAAAAAAAAAAAAGAAAGGAAATGACATCGAGCTGCCCGTGTTGGGCACATGTGAGGCCTCTTTCCGGGGCTCCCTCGGTGCCCTCAGGCCTCACCTTAGCCCCGGTCAACCCTGGGCAGCAGTGAACGAGGAAGACAAAGACGTCCCCCCAGCAAGGGTATTGTACTACCTCCCAGAGGCCAGGTCCAGGGGCCATGATCTCTTCCTGGAGGCCTTTTAAGTTGATAAAACATCAGCTAATGTCCCTTGAAACCAGCACAGTTTCTCTCCAGAGGTGCTGTCCACTCTATGCATCTTTCTCATTTTTTATATTTTTTGTAGAGATGGAGTCTTGCTATTTGCACAGGCTGGCCTCTGTCTCCTGGCCTCAAGTGATGCTCCCGCCTCAGCCTCTCAAAGCTGTGGGAATACAGGTGTGAGCCACCGCGCCTGGGCCCCTGGGTAGATGCTTTTTTTTTTTTTTTTTGCTTTTTTTTTTGAGACGGAGTTTCGCTTTTGCTGCCCAGGCTGGAGTGCAGTGGCACGATCTCAGCTCACTGCAACCTCCACCTCCCAGGTTCAAGTGATTTTCCTGCCTCAGCCTCCCGAGTAGCTGGGATTACAGGCACCCGCCACCATGCCTGGCTAATTTTTTTATTTTTATTTATTTGTTTATTTATTGAGATGGAGTCTTGCTGTGTCACCCAGGCTGGCATGCAGTGGCACAATCTCGGCTCACTGCAACCTCTGCCTCCTGGGTTCAAGTGTTTCTCCGGCCTCAGCCTCCTGAGTAGCTGGGATTACAGGTGCGTGCCACCACACCCAGCTAATTTTTGTATTTGTAGTAGAGACAGGGTTTCACCGTGTTGGTCAGGCTGGTCTTGAACTCCTGACCCCGTGATCCACCTGCCTCAGCCTCCCAACGTGCTGGGATTACAGGCGTGAGCCACTGAACCTGGCCAATTTTTGTTATTTTTAGTAGAGATGGGGTTTCGCCATGTTGGCCAGGCTGGTCTCAAACTCCTGACCTCAGGTGATCCACCTGCTTCGGCCTCCCAAAGTGCCGGGATTACCTGTGTGAGCCACCGCGCCCAGACTTGGGTAATTGCTTTTCAGATGCTCATGTTACAGATGGTAACATGGAGGCCGAGCACAAGGGGTTCAGACGTGGATTGGACGAATCTGAGGGCCACGCCATTAGCCACATACTGAGTGGAGTGGGCGAAAAGGGCCCAGGTTTAGGTCACCGGGATAACCAGTGTCCAGAGATGGACGGCACTTACCTGAGGCCACAGAGCAGGTGAGGATGAGCCCCAGCGGGAGCGAGTAGCCAGGGAGCCGGCCTGCCTCCTGGGCTGGGGAGAAGACACTGGAAGAGCCTGGAGACCGCCCAGCCTCCCTGATTCCACGCTAGACATTTAATTCTTTCTTTTTCTTTTGAGACAGAGTCTCGCCCTGTCACGCAGGCTGGAATGCAGTGGCGTGATCTTGGCTCACTGCAGCCACCGCCTCCTGGGTTCAAGTGATTCTCCTGCCTCAACCTCCCGAGTAGCTGGAATTTGCAGGTGCCCGCCACCATGCTTGGCTAATTTTTTTTTTTTTTCAGCCAGTGGTGTAAATTTTCCTTTAAGAGATAGTAAGGTGTTTTCTGTCACCCAGGCCGGTGTATAGTGGCGCAATCATGGCTCACTGCAACCTAGACCTCCCAGGCTCAAGCGACCCTCCCACCTCGGCCTCCCAAGTAGCTGGGACTGCTGGTATGTGCCACCGCGCCCGGCTTATTTTTGTATTTTTGTAATTTTGTAGAGATAGGGTTTCTCTTTGTTGCGCAGGCTGGTCTGGAACTCGTGGGCTCCAGCGATTCTCCTGCCTTGGTCTCCCAAAGTAGTGGGATTACAGGCGTGAGCCACCACGCCAGCCACCTGGTCAAATGAAGCTTTTTTTTTTTTTTTCTGAGACGGAGTCTGGCTCTGTCGCCCAGGTTGGAGTGCAGTGGCACGATCTCGGCTCACTGCAAGCTCCGCCTCCCGGGTTCACGCCACTCTGCTGCCTCAGCCTCCCGAGTAGCTGGGACTACAGGTGCCCGCCACCACGCCTGGCTAATTTTTTGTACTTTTAGTAGAGATGGGGTTTCACCGTGTTAGCCAGGATGGTCTCCATCTCCTGACCTCGTGATCCGCCCGCCTCGGCCTCCCAAAGTGCTGGGATTACAGGCGTGAGCCACCGCGCCCGGCCGCAAATTAAGCATTTTTAAAAGAGCTGATTGATATCAAGGAAAACATCAAATAGTACTGGTGCCCCTCACACCCATTAGGATGGCTACCATTAAAAAAAAAAAAGCGTGTTTTCCCAGCACTTTGGGAGGCCGAGGCAGGTGAATCACTTGAGGTCAGGAGTTCAAGACCAGCCTGACCAACATGGTGAAACCCCATCTCTGCTAAAAATACAAAAATTAGCCAGGCGTGGCCGGGCGCGGTGGCTCACACCTGTAATCCCAGCGCTTTGAGAGGCTGAGGCGAGCGGATCACGAGGTCAGGAGATCGAGACCATCCTGGCTAACACAGTGAAACCCCGTCTCTACTAAAAATACAAAAAATTAGCCCAGCGTGGTGGCAGGTGCCTGTAGTCCCAGCTACTCGGGAGGCTGAGGCAGGAGAATGGCGTGAACTCGGGAAGCAGAGCTTGCAGTGAGCCAAGATCGCTGCAACTGCACTCCAGGCTGGGTGACAGAGTGAGACTCCGTCTCTCTAAAAAAAAAAAAAAAAAAAAAAAAAGCCAGGTGTGGTAGTATGCACCTATAATTCCAGTTACTCGAGAGGCTGAGGCAGGAAAATCACTTGAACCCAGGAGGTGGAGGTTGCAGTGAGCCAAGATCGTGACACTATACTCCAGCCTGGGTGACAGAGCAAGTCTCTATCTCAAAAAAAAAAAAAAGAAATTTAAAAATAGAATTGCCATAAGAGCCAGCATTCCCACTCCTGGGTATATTCCCAGCAAAACGGAAGGCATGAGCTGCATCCTGCAAAATTCCAGGTGCCTTGACTTGCCCCCTCAGAGAAATGGGGATGAGAGTTCCTGCTGGGTGTATGGCAGACACCGTGAACAGTGTCACCGTGAACAGGGACACAGAGATATTTGTACACCCATGTTCACAGCAGCACAATTCACAATAACCCCAAAGGTGGAAACAACCCAAGGGGTGGTGGACAGAAAAATGGATCAACACACTGTGGTCCATCCACACAGTGGAATATTACTCAGCCATGAAAAGGAAGGGAATCCTGACGCAGGCTACAGTGCGGAGGCATCTTGAGGACCTCAGGCTCAGTGAGAGAAGCCAGACACAGAGGGACAAATGCCGTGTGATTCCACTCCTAGGAAGTCCCTGGAGTCATCAAATTCACAGAGACAGAAAGTAGGATGGGGATGCCAGGGGCTGGGGAGGGAGATGGGGAGTGAGTGTTTCATAGACTCAAAGAGTTTCAGTTTGGGAAGATAAAGTTCTGGAGAGGGTGGAGGTGATGGTTGCACAGCCACGTGAATGTGTTTTTAACGCTGCTGAACTGTGCACTTAGAAGTAGGTCACGCTGGGCACAGTGACTCACGCCTGTAATCCCAGCACTTCGGGAGGCCAAGACGGGTGGATCACCTGAGGTCAGGAGTTCGAGACCAGCCTGGCCGACATGGCGAAACCCCGTCTCTACTAAGAACACAAAAATTAGCCAGGCATGGTGGCGGGCACCTGTAATCCCAGCTACTTGGGAGGCTGAGGCAAGAATTGCTTGAACCTGGGAGGTGGAGGTTGCGGTGAGCTGAGATCACGCCACTGCACTCCAACCTGGGTGACAGAGCGAGACTGTCTCAAAAAAAAAAAAGAAAAAAAAAAAAGAAACCGGGTGCAGTGGCTTATCCTTGTAATCCCGGCACTTTGGGAGGCTGAGGCAGGCAGACTGCTTGAGTTCAGGAGTTCAAAACCAGCCTAAGCAACATAGCAAGACCCCATCTCTACAAAAAATAAAAGAATTCGCTGGCATTGTGGCTCGAGCCTGTGTCCCAGCTACTCGGGAGGCTGAGGTGGGAGGATCACTTGAGCCCGGGAAGTTGAGATTTCAGTGAGCTATGATTGAACCACTGCACTCCAGCCTGGGCAACAAAGCGAGACCTTGTCTCAAAAGAATAAAATACAAAATGGTTAAGTGTATTATTTTGTTATGTGTATTTTATCACTGTTTAAAAAAAAAAAAAAAAATAAGCCAGGCGTGGTGGCTTACGCCTGTTATCCCATTACTTTGGGAGGCTGAAGTGGGTGATTATCTGAGGTCAGGAGTTTGAGATCAGCCTGGCCAATGTGGTGAAACCTCGTCTCTACTAAAAATACAAAAATTAGCCAGTCATGGTGACGCACGCCTGTTGTCCCAACTACTGAGGAGGCTGAAGCGGGAGAATCGCTTGAATCCAGGAGGCGGAGGTTGCAGTGAGCCGAGATCGCACTGCTGCACTCCAGCCTGAGTGACACAGCGGGACTCCGTCTCAAAAAGAAATAGATAAATAGCCCCTGGAGCCCACAGCTCTGGCAAAATCCATGAAGGTGGAAAACATGAGCTGCATCCTGTGAAGTTCTGGGTGCCTCGACTTGCCCCTCTGAGAAATGGGGATGACAGGTCCTGCTGTGTGCACGGAGGACACCGTGCCTGGTACGTGGCAGATAAATAGTCAGTGTCACCCTGAGCTGGACGGGCCTGGGGGCCTGGGAGGGGGTCCGTGTGCTGGCCGGCAAGGCAGAGACGCCTTGACGCCGCATGGCGTGGGTTTGAGACCAGGCAGCCGGTGAGCCCAGTTGGCTTTGGGAAGCTCTGAATTCCTTTGAGCACCGAAGAGAAAAGAATAAGCTGTGTTGGCTTCGATACCCAAATCCTCCATCTGACAGCCGTGACTGCTAAATCGGCTCTGCTTCCCTTCCTGTTTTCAAGTTTTAGACTTTCTCGATTCCAAAGTGATTCACGGTCGTCGTGGGAAGACGAGAAAAATTCAAAAGAAGAAGAAAGAAAGACCGGGCGCGGCGGCTCACGCCTGTAATCCCAGCACTTTGGGAGGCCGAGGCGGGTGGATCACGAGGTCAGGAGATCGAGACCATCCTGGCTGACACGGTGAAACCCCGTCTCTACTAAAAATACAAAAAATTAGCCGGGCGTGGTGGCGGGCGCCTGTAGTCCCAGCTACTCGGGAGGCTGAGGCAGGAGCATGGCGTGAACCCCGGAGGCGGAGGTTGCAGTGAGCCGAGATTGTGCCACTGCACTCCAGCCTGGGCAACAGAGCGAGACTCCGTCTCAAAAAAAGAAAAAAAAAAAAGAAAAACCTAAGGAGGCCAAGGAGGAGGAAGAAGAACAAAAGGCTTGCAGATTCCTTTTTTTTGTTTGTTTGTTTTTTGTTTTGAGACGGAGTCTCGCTCTGTGGCCCAGGCTGGAGTGCGGTGGCTCCATCTCAGCTCACTGCAAGCTCCGCCTCCCAGTTCAAGCGATTCTCCTGCCTCAGCCTCCTGAGTAGCTGGGATCACAGGCACCCGCCACCACGCCCAGCTAATTTTTGTATTTTTAGTGGAGACAGGGTTTTACCATGTTGGCCAGGCTCATCTCAAACTCCCGACCTCAGGTGATCTGCCCGCCTCGGCCTCCCAAAGTGCTGGGATTACAGGTGTGAGTCGCCGCGCCCTGCCACTCCCACGCGCTTTACTTCCTCAGTAACATCCATGGCACGGGCATCCTGCAGTGACCGATGCCCACCAGACTGCATCCGCTAACAAGACAGGGAGACCGGCCTGTGGTACCCAGATGTGCCCAAGCTCACAGCCTCACTATTCTCCGTGCTCACAGCCTCGCTATTCTCCAGGCTCACAGCCTCGCTATTCTCCAGGCTCACAGCCTCGCTATTCTCCGTGCTCACCCACCCCCTTAGCTGTGCCACGGATGAAATTCAGGAGGCAGAATGCTGGGTTTAAGTGCTCAGAAGTCAGACCCGAATTCGGTTGGGCTCTTGTTTTGGGTGGAAGAAAGAGGAGGAAGAGGCTGAAAAAAGTGCATCTTTGGCTCATAGGAGTTTGTGAGTTTCTCTTTTGATTTTGTTTTCTTTTGAGACAGAGTTTTGCTCTTGTTGCCCAGGGTGGAGTGCGATGGTACAGTCTTGGCTTACTGTAGCCTGGACCTCCCTGGGCTGAAGCGATCCTCCCACCTCAGCCTCCCAAGTAGCTGGAACCACAGGTGCCTGCCACCACACCCGGCTAATTTTTGTATTTTTTGTAGAGATGGAGTCTTGCTATGTTACAGCTCAGGCTAGTGTGGAACTCCCGGGCTCAAGCAGTCCTCCCAGCTCGGCCTCCCAAAGTGCTGGGATTACAGGCATGATTTTTCTTTTTTTTTTGAGACGGAGTCTCGCTCTGTTGCCCAGGCTGGAGTGCGGTGGCGCGATCTTGGCTCACTGCAAACTCCGCCTCCCGGGTTCAAGCAATTCTCCTGCCTCAGCCTCCTGAGTAGCTGGGACTACTGGCACACACCACCACGCCCAACTTTTTGTAATTTCAGTAGGGATGGGGTTTTGCCATGTTGGCCAAGATGGTCTCAATCTCTTGCCCTCATGATGTGCCTGCCTCGGCCTCCCAAGGTGCTAGGATTACAGGTATGAGCCACCACACCCGGCCAAATTTTAGACACGGGGTTTCACCATGTTGGCCAGGCTGGTCTCGAACTCCTGACCTCAAGTGATCCACTTGCCTTGGCTTCCCAAAGTGCTGGGATTACAGGCGTGAGCCACTGCGCCCGGCCAGGCGTGATTTTTAAAATTCTTATTAAGGACTCTCCCAGAACACCAGAGGCTCACGGGGCTCTGAGCATCCTGCTTGAGTCTCCATGGAGACGAAGCCTATGTCTCCTGGCCGACTCCACCAGCCCCAGTGCCACGCTGTGCCCGGCCAAGCCTCAGCTGAGTCTAAGCACCTGCGTCTGTGCTGGGCCGAGTGGCAGGATGTTGTGGGAGAACCCCTGACCCCTTGCCCAGCTCTGCTCGTCACCCAGTTCTGATGTTCTGTTCCATCTGGGGGTGGCCAGGAGGCTGCCAGTAACAGCAATGATGAATAGCCATTCACTGAGCTAAGCTCCCAGACACTCTGCTAAGCCCACATTTTAGTTCATGAGTCCACACCAGACCAGGGCCTTCACCATATCCTCTTTTTCTTTTTCTTTTTTTTTTTTTGAGATGGCGTCTCACTTGGTCGTTCAGGCTGGCGTGCAGTGGTGCGATCTCGGCTCACTGCAACCTCCACCTCCCAGGTTCAGGCGATTCTGCCTCAGCCTCCCAAGTAGCTGGGATTACAGGTGCATGCCACCACGCCCGGCTAATTGTGTATTTTTAGTAGAGATGGGGTTTTGCCACGCTGGCCAGGATGGTCTCGAACTCCTGACCTCAGATCATCTGCCAGCCTTGGCCTCCCCAAGTGCTGGGATTACAGGTGTGAGTCACCGTGCCCGGTCCCTCTCCTCTCTCTTTAGTCCTGCTTGGCAAATAAGGAAACTGGGGCTCAGCTGCCTGATGTGTGGGGAGATGGTATGGGATGGTGGGAAGTGTGTGTGCTCCAGAGTCTGGCTTCCTGGGTTTACATCCCAGCTCTCTTACCGTGTGGTCTTGCACCAGCCACTGGAGCTCTCTGGGCCTCAGTTCCCCCTCTAACGCGGGTGGACATTTCATACAAATGGCGTCACACGCTGTGTGGTCTTCTGTGTTTGACATCTTTCACCAAGCATGATGTGCTCAAGGTATGGCTTGGGTCAGAGCCTCATTTTTTTTTTCATGGCTGAGTCGTGTTCCATTGGCTGGATGGAGCACAAAATGTCCTCTAAAGCCAGGCATGGTGGCTCACACTTGTCATCCCAGCACTTTGAGAGGCTGAGGCGGGAGGATTGCTTGAGCCCAGAAGTTTGCGTACAGCCTGGACAACATAGCAAGACTCCATTTCTACAAAAAATTTAAAAATTAGCCAGGCATGGTGGCATGGACATCTGTGGTCCCAGCTACTCTGGAGGCTGAGGCAGGAGGATCGCTTGAGCCCAAGAGGTCAAGGCTGCAGCAAGCTATGATCATGCCACTGCACTCCAGCCTGGGTGACAGAGCGATACCCTGCCTTATAAATAAATAAATAAATAAAATTGTAAATTAGCCAGGTGTGGTGGTGGGAGCCTGTAATCCCAGCTACTCAGGAGGCTGAGGCATGAGAATCACTTGAACCCAGGAGGTGGAAGTTGCAGTGAGCCGAGATTGCACCACTGCACTCCAGCCTGGGCGACAGCAAGAGCCTGTCTCAAAAAATAAATAAAATAAGAATTAAAAATTAAATTTTAGGCTGGGCGCAGTAGCTCATGCCTGTAATCCCAGCACTTTGGGAGGCTGAGGTGGGCAGATCACCTAAGGTCAGGAGTTCGACACCAGCCTGGCCAACATGGTGAAACCCATCTCTACTAAAAATACAAAAATTAGCCAGGTGTGGTGGCACATGCCTGTAATCCCAGCTACACTGGAGACTGAGACAGGAGAATTGCTTGAACCCGGGAGGCAGAGGTTGCAGTGAGCCGAGATAATGCCACTGCACTCCAGCCTGGGTGACACAGCGAGACTCTGTCTCAATAATAAATAAATAAATAAATAAGTACGTTAATAAAATTTTACACTATTTGGGTGTGGTGGGGTGCAACTGTAATCCCAGCTACTCAGGTGGCTGAGGCAGGAGAATCATTTGAACCTGGTAGGTGGAGGTTGCAGTAAGCCAAGATCACACCATTGCACTTCAGCCTGGGCGACAGAGAGAGACTCCATCTCGAAAAAAATAAAAATAAAAATGAAAATAAAATTTTAAATGGGTGTAACTCTGTGGAGGGAAAAAGAAGGCTGAGAAAGGAGATAATGGTGACTGAGCGGTTTTAGATAAGGTAGATGGGGAAAGTGATGGGGAATTAAGGAATGAGCCACACATCATCTGGGGAGAGCACATCCCAGACAAAGGGTACAGCCCGTGCAAAGGCCCTGAGGCAGGACCGCACCTGACAAGTGAGAGGAACAGCGAGGAGGCCTGTGTAGCTGCAGCAGTGAGGAGGGGGAGAGAGGGAGCAGGGGAAGGTGGGGACAAGGCAGAACAGGACACGCAGAGCCTTGTGGGCCTCAAGAAGGACTTGGGCTTTAATTATGGGACATCTTTGGGAAGTGTTTTTTTTTTTTTTTTTTTTGAGACAAGATTTCATTCTGTCGCCTAGACCAGAGGCAGTGGTGCGATCCTGGTTCACTGCAGCTTTAATATCCCAGGGATCAACCGATGCTCCCACCGCAGCCTCCGAGTAGCTGGGACCAACGGTGCACACCAACCACTCCTGGCTGATTTTTTTTTTTTTTTTTCTCAAACAGAGTTTCACTCTTGTTGCCCAGGCTGGAGTGCAATGGCGCAATCTCGGCTCACTGCAATCTCCGCCTCCCGGGTTCAAGCGATTTTCCTGCCTCAGCCTCCTGAGTAGCTGGGATTACAGGCATGCACAACCATGCCTGGCTAATTTTTGTGTTTTTAGTAGAGACAGAGTTTTCTCCATGTTGATCAGGCTGGTCTCGAACTCCTGATCTCAGGTGATCCACCTGCCTCAGCCTCCCAAAGTGCTGGGATTACAGGTGTGAGCCATCGTGCCTGGCCTGTTTTCTTATTTTTTACAGCAATGGCGTCTCACTATGTTGCTCAGGCTGGTCTCCAACTCCTGGGCTCAAGTGGTCCTCCTGACTCTGCTTCTCAAAGTGCTGGGATTACAGGTGTGAGCCACCACGGCCAGCACGTATTATTATTTTTATTAATATTATTGATGAGTTTCATACGTAAAGGATCACGGGCACTTTAGAGCTGGGAGATACTTCAGTATTTCTCCTATCCTGTCATTATCAGTGCGAGCCAGTCTCCCTCCTTGTTGATGACATTATTGATGAGTTACATACTTAAAGGGCCAAGGACACTTTCTATGTGTAAGCACCCTATAGAACTGGAAGATACTTTTACCATTTCTCCTGTGCTGTCGTGATTAGTGGGAGCACTTTGTCTTGCTCTTGATTAATTATTATTAGTGTTGTTATTATTAGGTGTTTTTTTTTTTTTTTTTTACCAAGACGGAGTTTTGCTCTTGTTGCCCAGGCTGGAGTACAATGGCACAATCTTGGCTCACTGCAACCTCCGCCTCCTGGGTTCAAGTGATTATCCTGCCTCAGCCTCCCGAGTAGCTGGGATTACAGGCACCCCCCGCCACCGAGCCCAGCTAATTTTTGTATTCTTTAGTAGAGACGGGGTTTCACCGTGTTAGCCAGTCTGGTCTCGAACTCCTGACCTCAAGTGATCCACCCACCTCGGCCTCCCAAAGTGCTGAGATGACAGGCGTGAGCCACCGCGCCCAGCCATATTATTAGTGTTATTAATATTATTGATGAGTTACCTACTTTAAGGATCACGGGCGCTTTCAACGACAAGCCCCCTACATTATCCCAGCAACTTTTGACATTCTTCCGGCCGATGCCCTCCGCGGGAGCCGGCGGGGACCCCTGGGAAGCCGGCTAAGGCCCGTCCCGCCCGCAGCTCCGCCCTCGCCCACCCGTAGGCGGGGCCCGGGGCCTTCCGGCCTCAGTTTCCCCCCGCGGCCCGGGGATGCGGGGAGGCGCCGGCTGCCCCGCGCGGCGCGGCCGCCAGGGGCCGCTGCGGAGCCGCCTTTGTGGTCCCGATGCCGGGGCGGGCGCGGGCGGGAGGAGGGCGCGGGGGCCCGGGAGGGAGGCGGGAGGCGCGGCCGCCGCTCCAGCTGCGAGTCCGCCCGCCGCCCGCCGCCGCCGCCGCCGGCTCGGTCCCGCGCCCGCCATGGCCCGCCTGACGGAGAGCGAGGCGCGCCGGCAGCAGCAGCAGCTCCTGCAGCCGCGGCCCTCGCCCGTGGGCAGCAGCGGGCCCGAGCCCCCCGGGGGGCAGCCCGACGGCATGAAGGACCTGGACGCCATCAAACTCTTCGTGGGCCAGATCCCGCGGCACCTGGACGAGAAGGACCTCAAGCCGCTCTTCGAGCAGTTCGGCCGCATCTACGAGCTCACGGTGCTCAAAGACCCCTACACGGGGATGCACAAAGGTGGGCGCCCGGCCCCCTCCCCCCTCTCCCCCTCCCTCCGCCTCCCACCCCACCTTCCGGCATCTTCTCTCCCCCATCACCATCCCTCCTCTGCTCACCTCCCTCCTCTGCCTGCCTCTGCCGGAGCATCGGTTCTTACCCCCTCCCTCCCACCCACCCCTCCTCCCCTCTCTGGGGGTGCAGCTGACAGATCCGAGCGGGCCCCCTCCCCTCCTCCGCCCCCTCTCCCTCCCTCCCCACCTTCCGGCATCTCCTCTCTCTCTCCCTCTCTCTCTCCCTCTCTCTCTCCCTTTCTCTTCTCTCCCATCTCCCTCGACCTCTCATCCTTCCCCCCACAGCACCCTCTCTCTCCCTCCCTCCCTCCCTCACCCTTCCATCCCCCAGACCCCCACCCCTTCCTCCCTCCCTCACCCCACTCTTTCCTGCCCGTTTGCCAGGGGAGCCTCGGGAACGCCGGCACCCCTCCCTGCCCCCCCACCCCCATTCATTCAGCCTCCCCAGGCCCCGTCGGGGAAGTTTGCACCTGCGGACTCCATTGCTTTGGTTATTTTCACAAAGCCAGGCCGGCGGGGCAGGTCCGGCCGCGGGGGACACGGATGCCCAGGACCCCAGGCTAATCGGTAACTACAAAGGAAGACGGGTTGGGGGCGCCCGGCTCGGGGGGACGCGCCCGCCTCGCCTGCCTCGGGTGGCGGAGAGGCTCCCGTCGCTGCCCACCCCCTGGCCCCACCACCTCCGCGTGGATCAGCATTCTCTCCTCCATTTCTCTGCCCTCCCCCTCCCCCGCCTCCACCTTGGGCTCAAGTTGAAACTGGCCGAGCCTCTTAGCAATGTGTTGGGGTCTCAGGCCCAAGACAATGAGCTTGGACGTGTCCATCTGGGCAGAGCCCAAATTCTGGGGTGGACAGGGAGGAGGAGGGAGGCGTGGGCGGCCTCAGGCCTGTCTGCCTCCCTCCCACTGGATTCTCCCTCCGATGGCATCCCGGGTGGGGGTGTCCGGCAATTGTATCCCCAGCCCTTGGTTCCCATCATGGGCCCAGCGTCTGAATTGGGGTGGCTTTGACAGCCTTCCGGTCAGGTGTTGGGGACTGGGGGTGCCACTTCAAAGGCCTTGTGCTGGACACCCCCGGCCCTCCCCCTCCCATCCTCCAGGAAGACCCTGGAGAGGCCTTGGGGAAGGACCGGGGCCCATGACCTATTTTACACCCACTTTTTCCCCAGCGCTGCGTGCCCGGTAAGCATGAATGCATGTTTATTGAATGAATGAATTGAATGAATGAATGAATGAATGAATGAATGAATGAAGGGGTTCAAGAAGGCCCTAGGGAGGGTCTGGTGAGATGGGGCCCAGGCCTGTCACTTCAGCTAGACCCTCCAGCTGGTTATCTTGAGGGAGGAAAGAAACCCCTCCCCATTCCCCATCTCTTTTCAAAACCAACCATCACACACACACACACACACACACACACACACACACAAAATTGGGCCTGAAAAATCTAACTCCTCCATGTGGCCTAGGAGGGCAGAGGGGCTCCCATGCGGCCCCCATAAGTCAATATCTGGAGTCCAGAGGTGATAGGTGGGCTTTTCCCACACGCCCCCACCCCTGGGTACACCCAAAGCACCCATTTCTAGAAAGATTCCCGTGGGAATGGGGGAGTCCACATGGCCCCCCAAACGGTTGCATTGAAAGGCCGCTGGTTGAGCTCTAGGTCGGAGAGACAGGTGGGGGTGCAGGGACTGGAGCATCCTGGTGACTCTTCTTCATCTTTTTTTTTTTTTCCTTCTTATTTTTAAATCTCTGGGAAACCTGGGCACGGGAGAAGTGAGGGGTGAAGGAGGGGCTGGGGCTGGGTTTTCACCTGGCCCTGAGCCTCAGTTTCCCTGCTGTCAACAGAGCAGGACCATGACGCATCCCCAGTTCTTTTTTTACAGGTTGGAGAATGTTGGGGTCCCTGGGGTACCTCGGGGGTATTTCCCATTTGCGGGCTTTCCTTGGAGGGTGAGAATTGAGAAGCCGTGTGCACGACAGCCGGCAATCACCCTCCACTTTTTAGGGGTCCCAGGTCCGTCTGTGTGTGAGATACAGGGGCTTCACCTCGTGTCGAAAATGGGTCCAGTACCCTCGGGGAAGTGAATCCCCACCTGCGTGGGGCCTGGCTGGACTTCACCTGGTCTTTGCCTGCAGGTGCTTGGCACGAAGGGGTGGGGGGGTGTCTTCAGAATCAGCATCTGTGATCCAGGTTTGCGTTTGGGGCTCAGCTGTGTGACTTCTGGCTAGTGACTGCCCCTCTCTGGGCCCTCTCTGGGCCTTGGCTGAAGGGAGGTGGAATGGTGAATGGGAAGTCAGGATTTTTGGGGAGAGGAGTGAGTTCAGACACCTGCCACCAACATGACCTTATTAGGGCTGTTTCTGGGAGCCCTGGCGTGGTTTAGTGTGCCTGTTCAGAGTGGCAGGGCCTTGGGGATATGGACCCCAGGCCTGGAGAGAAATCCCTTTCCCTGGATGCCCGGCGGGGCCCATGAGACTGGGCACAGGAGATCTGTAAGGAGTAGAGTGGGGTGGGATGAGAACACCCTGGAGGTGCACCCGGCTCCTGGTACAAGCCCGGAGGGGGTCAGCTGGTACCACCTCTAGCCCTTCCTTGGTGTCCAGGCTGCAGGGACTTGTTTGATTTCCCCATGGAACCCATCGCCATGGAGGTGGGCTCCGAGTGACAGCGCATTTCTGGGAAACTGAGGGCTTGAGAGACATACCCTGGGTCCCACATTTACCGGAGCTAGGCCCCCATTACCCCCCCTGCCTTCCTCCCAGGCCAGGAGAAGCAGCTGTGCCTGTATCTGTGTGACATAGGGGTGACAGGTTCCCCAAAGCCAAGAGTGAGGCCCCCAGAGATGGTGCTGGGGATGGAGGGGCCCGTGACACCTGACAGCCACAGCTGGCCTGGCCGAAGGTGGCGTGGGGGCAGCCAGATTCCTAGAGGCCGTGCTGAGACTCAGAGAAAGGCAGGAGGCCTCATCCAGGAGCGGGGCAGGGGTAGGGGGAGAGGGATGCGTCGAGGTGGTCTTCCGAAAGAGGGCAGGCCCTGGGGCGCTGGGTTTGTTTTTAAGAGAGAGAGAGAGAGAGAGATGAGGACACAGAGAGAGAGAGAGAGACACGCAGGGAAAGAGAGACAGAGAGACCCACAGAGAGACAGAGACAGAGAAACACAGACAGGGAGGGGGCTGCAGAGAGATGCAGGCCCACAGGAAGACCACAAGCCTGCTCCTGCCAGAACTCCGCATCCAGAGAGCGGGGACCTCCCCCAGGAAGGACCCCCACCCCAGGCCAGGGGCTCAGGCCAAGAACTGGAGGCTGGGATTGGGGCTCCCGCTGGCCCCCCTGCAGTTCCTGCCCCGGGGACCCTCCCTCCAAGGCAGGCACCTCTGGAGCTGTGGCTGCCCCTGTCTATGGATGGTGGCTGCCTGGGTGCCCACCCTGCCAGGGGAAGGTGCCCACGGTGGTACTGGTCCGCCGCTGCCACTGGGCCCCCCGTTTATGGTAATCGCATATACATTTGCATGTTAATGACAATATTTGTCTTAAAGCGGAGGTTGCGCTGGGGGACGGTGCAGGTGGGGGGGGGGCCCGGCGGGGGCCCGGGTGGGGGCCCGCGGTTTCCATGGGAGCACCAGCTGCCGGCTCGACTCGGGAGGGGGGGAGGAGGAGGCTGTAGCAGGCTGAGCTCTGAGGCGTGAGATTCCGCGTGTGACGCACCAGCTCCAGGGAGAAGGCGGGCTGGGCGGCCTGGCGGGGGGACCGCGGGAGCAGTTGGCACCCCTGGTGGTGGCGGGGACAGCGGCAGGGGGCTGGGGGTGGCTGGCAGGGTTGGCCGGCGTGTGTGTGTGTGTGTGTGTGTGTGTGTGTGTGTGTGTGTACGCGGGCGCGCGCCTGGGAAGGACTCCTGCCGGGGTGCTGTGTGGCTTCAAGCTGAGCGCGCCCCTCTCTGTGCCTCGTTTTCCCCTGCTGCATATTCTCTCCTTTATTTAACAGACTTTCATAAGGCCCCGGAGCCTCACACCTGTGACTGTGACATCGTTTCTGCACCTCCCTCCCCCCGCCCCCCGCTTCAGGCAAAGAGCATTTATTGAACGCCTACTGTTTTCCAGCATTTATGCAGAGCTGGGCATTTGGTGTGAACAGAATTCCTTGTAGGATTCATGATGGAGTGGGCTAGATGTTAATCCGTCCACCTGTATGACCAACATTTATTGAGAGCTTGCTGTGTACCAGGCCCTGTTCTAGACCCTGGGCTACTGGGTTGGGCAAAACAAATAAAATCTGCCATCCCTACCCCCCATCCAGACCTCCCCTCCCACCAGATTCCAGTTTAGGGGACGGAGACAGCTGGGGAACTGGGCTTACAAGGCACCGAGCTCAGGAATATGATGGCAAAACACACACCAGCAGTGACAGCCCAGAGGGGGGCCCTGCCCCCGCAGGAGTGGAGGCCAGGAGGGCCGCCTGGAGGAGGCAGTTAGTGTAGGAGAGTCGTTGAGAGCTTGGAGATGAGATGAGTCTGGTTTCCCTGCGTCTTGTGGCCTTGGGCAGATGTCTTCATCCCTCCAGGCTGCAGTGGGTCTTCCCGTTTCAGAGGAAATGAGGGAGGTGAGAGCAGAAGTGGCAGGGAGAGCAGAGAACAGAAGAGGCTGTTGGCATGGGGCCGGGCACAGAGTATGTGCTTGGTCAGTGGGAGCGGGCTTGTTACATGACTACGCTGAGGCCCGAAGCGTGAGGAGGATGCACTGACGGGGAAAGGTGTTCCTGACAATGTGCGAGGGCCCAGAGGGGCGCTAACTCCAGGGAAGCTCAGGTGCAGGGAGGATGGAGTTTTTGCCCTGGTAGGAAAGGAGCAGAGGGGCTTGGGAGCTCAGGGTCCCCTTCTTCTATGGGGCTCACCTGTTGAGGCTCTTCCGAGGGGTCTTAGCTTGGGGCTGGACCCGGGAGGTTATCTCTGAAGTGGGCTTGTGTCTCTCTCTTTCACCCCTCAAATTGGCAAGTGAGGCCTTGGCCATTGGAAACACCTGGTAGGACCACACTCATTCATTCATTCATTCATTCATTCATTCATTCATTCACACAACACTTCTTGAAAACCTTCTGTGGCCTTACCTCGTACTGAGCAAGAGGGGTCTGAGGCCAGAGCTAGACATTGGCACCTATAGTCCAGTGGTCTGGCTTGGGTCAGAGGGAGGGGTGCAGGGTTGAGGGAACTGGATAATGAAGCAGGAGCTCTGCCTGGAGGAGGGGCATTAGAAATGGGGCTTTGAAGGATCGACAGGAGCTTTCCAGGTGGAGAAAGCATTTTATTTATGCATTCACAGAAACACTTACTGTGTTCCAGGCCCTATGATGGGCATGAAACACAGCAGTGAACAAGATAGGTACATGTCTTGACTTCCTGGATATAGGGAGAGGGAACTGGATCTATGAAGGCCTGGAGGCATGAAGAATTTGCACAGCTAGGGTAGAGGACGGATTAGGTGAGGCGTGGGAGATGAGGCTGGAGAGTCAGCATGGGCTGGACCAGGAAAGCCTCTGATGCTGGACTGAGCTTGGACTCTTTCCTGAGGGCACTGGGGAGCCATGGAAGAGTTTAGAGCAGGGAGGAACTCAGGCAGACCTGCATGGGAAGCGGGCTTCACATCCTGTTAACTCCCATTGCCACCACCAGCCTCTTCCCAGCCTCCCAGCCTTGCTCAAAATATGCTCGTTTCCTTCACACCTGGATGGACAAAATAGAAGCTTCCAGTTGGGGTGAGGCCCACAGTGTGGGAAGAGAGAAATACAAAGAAGCAGATGTGTGTTCCGATTACATTGGCTCTTAGAGAACCAAGTTCCCCTCCTCCATGTGAAGCACAGGAGGAGATCGGAGCCCAGAGAGGGGCAACACCCAGCCCAAGTCATACAGCAGTACAGCTGGGCTTCACGCCTCCCAGCCTGAGCTTTGACCCGCTCTGGAAGGATAAAAAGAAACATGATTTTGGAAACATAGACCAGGGTCAGAGCCATCCAGGGAGGCTGGCTGTCCTTGAACTTAAGATGATCAGGGCCAAAGGGAAGGGCTGTTAGGTTTGGAAGACACTGGCCTAGCAGGAGTCCAGTTGGTCTGGAGTCATAGTCAACATCAGTGATATGTAAGCTCTAGGAGGGCAGAAATTGTGTCTTGTTTGCCATTTGGAAGTGAGCTTGTGGATGAACAAGGGCATGAGGAAATGAGACGATCTGGGGATTGGAGAATGGATGGGCTGGCTAACAGATGGATGGAGAGATAGATATGTGAATCAATGGATACAGACATGGATGGATGGATGAATGGGTGACAGTGACTCTAGATATGAGTGGATTTGATGGATAGAAAAGTGGGTAGATCAGTGGAAGGTTTGAATGGATTGATGGATGGGTGAACGGATGGATGGATGGATGGATGGATGGATGGATGGATGGATGGATGGGTGGATGAATGGATTTATGGATGGATGGGTGGATGAGTAGTGGATGGATGGATTTGTAGATGGGTGGGTGGATGGATGGATGGATTTGTAGATGGGTGGGTGGATGGATGGATGGATGGATAGATGGATGGATGGTAGATGGGTGGATGGATGGATGGATGGATTGGTGGGTGAATGGATGAGCAGGTGGGTGGATGGATGGATGGATGGGCGGATGAATAGATTGGTGGATGATGGGGGAGCGATGGATGGGCATATGGATGGGTGGGTGGGTGGGTTGGTGGGTCAATGAGTGCATGGATGGATGGATGGGTAGGTGGGTGGATAGATGAGTGGATGGATGGATGGATGGATGCATGAATGAATGAGTGAATGAGTGAATGAATAGATGGATGGATGATGGGTAGATGGAGAAATTAATGGTTGGATGGATGGATGAAAAGATGGATGGGTAATTGGTGGATGGAATACTAGATAGATGGGTGGGTGCATGGATGAATGGATGGATGGATGATGGATAGAAGATGGGATAGACTGAAGGATGGAAGGATGCTTCCTCAACCTTTACTACCTTCCTCCTCACCTGGTGAATACGAATGTTCAGAACCTTTGCTCTCAGACAGGCTTGGTTCCAATCCTGGCTCCATTTTTAAATTTCTGTGTAATCCTGAAAAAGTCACCTCATCTTTTCTGAACCTTAGCTACTTTGTAAAAGAGAAGTAATACAGGTAGCTAGTTCACAGAGCAGTTGTCAAAATTGGAACTAATTTATATGATGTGGCCAGGCGTGGTAGCTCACACCTGTAATCCCATTGCTTTGGGAGGTTGAGGTGGGAGGATCCCTTGAGCCCAGGAGTTCAAGACCAGCCTGAGCAACACAGCTCTACAAAAAATAAAAACCATATCCAGGTGTGGTGGTGTGCAACTGTAGTCCCAGCCACTCAGGAGGCTGAGGAGGGAGGATTGCTTGATCACAGGAGTTAGAGATTACAGTGAACTATGATCGCACCACTGCATCCCAGCCTGCGTGATAGAGTGAGGCCCTTTACAGAGTGAGTCTGTAAAGAAAAAAAAAAATGTGGTGTGATTCATGTAATTAACCTGAATAATGACTTGCATATTGTAGGTGTTCTCCATAAATGGTCAGGCAGTCAAAATAGTCAACAGGCTGGCTGCAGTGCATCACGCCTGTAATCCCAGCACTTTGGGAGGCTGAGGTGGGAGGATTGCTTGAGCCCAGGAGTTCCAGACCAGCCTGGGCAACATAGCAAGACCCCTTCTCTACAAAAAATAAATTTAGGCTGGGCGTGGTGGCTCACGCCTATAATCCCAGCACTTTGGGAGGCCGAGGTGGGTGGATCACCAGAGGTCGGGAGTTCGAGACCAGCCTGACCAACATGGAGAAACCCCATCTCTGCTAAAAATACAAAATTAGCCGGGTGTGGTGGTGCATGTCTGTAATCCCAGCTACTCGGGAGGCTGAGGCAAGAGAATCGCTTGAACCCGGGAGGCAGAGGTTGTGGTGAGCTGAGATCATGCCATTGCACTCCAGCCTGGGCAACAAGAGTGAAACTCCGTCTCAAAAAAAATAAAAATTAAAATTAAAAATAAATAAATAAATAAATAAATAAATAAGTTTTTAAAAAAGCTGCACGTGGTGGCATGTGCCTAGAGCCCTAGCTGCTTGGGAGGCTGAGGTGCGAGGATGGCTTGAGCCTGGGGAGGTGGAGGCTACAGTGAGCCATGATTATGCCACTGCACTCCAATCTGGAAAACAGATCTAAACCCTGTCTCAAAATTCAAAAGGCAACAACTTTATTAAGTCTGTATTGTGTGCCAGCCATTGAGCGAGGCTTGAGGACATAAAGCAATTCAGGGGGTAGGAGAGACTGACGATAAACTAGGAAACAAATAAAGTTGAGATAGGTGTGAGGTGAGCTGCTGTGAACAAACAAACTAAAGATGTGTGTTGGGAGATGACAGCTTTCCTTGGGGGCCAGAGATGGCCTTTCTAGGAGGTGACGTTTGAGACGAGACCTGAATGACAGATGGGAAGGCTGTTATGCTACAACCAAGGGAAAGGCGTTCCAGGAAGAGTGCAGAGGCCCTGAGGCAGGACCACCACATCTGGTGTGTTGGAGGAACAGCAAGGAGGCCCTTGTGGCTGGAGCAGAGTGAGGAGGGGGAGAGAGGGAGGAGAAGAGGGCAGAGAGGGAGTCGCGCAGGTTGTTGAGCGGGTTCTGTGTGTCTTGGAAGGACTTTGGTTTTTACCCCAAGAGAGGTGGAGCCATGGAGACCTGTGGCAGGGGAGGGACAGGGTCTCTCAGGGGAATATGGACAATGTGGATTCTGGGTCCTCCATTTTTTAGATGGGGAAACTAAGGCACAGAAGGCCCTAGAATGTGTCAGGAAGTTCTGCCACTAGGCTTATGCCTGGCTCTTCTGAGGAGCTCCTGAAGACGGCGGCGCCTGGAGGTAGCTGGAAGACAGAGTGGAGCAGGCCCCTCAGTGCCCTCCCATTCTCCCAGCAGCCTTTGAGGGTGGGGTCTTTATATCCAAGAGGATTTGCATTCTTGTCCCTGACCCTCCACTAGGGGGAAGGACCAGAGGGCATGCCTCTAGCAGAGCTAGGAGCCACCAGAAGAACTTTGTACACATAGGGAAATGGAGGCCCAGGTAGAGGAGGGGAGGTCAATTCACCAGCTCTTGGCAAGGGAGGCGAGGAAGAGGAAGGGATCTAGTGATGTGGTTCGTTCTCTCTCTCTCTCTCTCTCCCTCCCTCTTTCAAGAGATTGGCATCTCACTATGTTGCTAAGGCTGGTCTCAAACTCCTGGGCTCAAGCAATCTTCCCGCCTTGGCCTCCCAAAGCATTGAGATCGTAGGTGTGAGCCACCGCGCCCAGCCATGATGTGGTTCTCAATGGGAGTTATTCTAGGACACTTGGCAATGTCTGGAGACATTTGTGGTTGTCATGATTTGGGGGTGCTTCTGGCTGCGAGTGGTGTCGAGTGGGTGGAGGCCAGGAATGCTGCTCAATACCCCACAGCGCCCAGGGTGACAGATGATCCGGCCCCAAGCATCCACGGTGCAGAAGCTGAGAAACCCTGGTCCAGGGTACACCAGTGACCTGGCTTGGGCAGTTGGCACACAGTGCAGTGTCCTGGGGATGAGGCCTGAAGGTACCTAGGACAAAACCTGGGAATGCCCTTGACTTCCCTCTCTCACAACAACAACCGCACCTCCTATCCCTCCATCAGCAGATTCTGATGGCTCTGCCTTCAAAACCTCTCCAGAATCTGCCCACTTCTCTCTCCTCTGCCTTCACCTGGTCCAGCCCCCTCATCCCTCACCTGGACCAGTGCAGTCCCTGTGCCCTTGTCCCTGGCTCCCACCTTCGCGCCCCACAGTCTGTCCTCCCCGCAGCAGCCACCAGAGAGCGCCTGTGAGCACCTGAGTCAGGACCCGTCCCTCCTCTGCCTGCAGCCCTCCGTGGCTCCCACCTCCCTTAGAGTCAAAGCTGAAGTCCTCCCGTGACCTGCCTCATCCCCTTCATACCATCCCCTGCCCCCTCTCTCCTCCTCGCTCCCTCTGTTCCAGCCACACTGGCCTCCTTGCTGTTTCTGCAACAGGCAAGGCGTGGTCCTACTCCAGGACCTTTGCATGGGCTGTGCCCTCTGCATAAATGTTCTTCCCCCAGATACTCACATAGCTCCTTCCTTTCTCTTCTGTAAGCTTCACCTTTTTTTGTGAAACCCCTGTGATGGCAGGATTTGTAATCTAGTCACTCCCAGAACTCCAAGTTCCTTTTTCCTCCTTTCCTTTTTTTTTTCCTGTGCAAATGAAGACCTCTAACATACTATATATATCGCTTTTAATTTTATTTGCTTTTTCTCCTTCCTAATAGACTGTAAGCCTCATTAGCACAGAGATTTTCACCTTTGTGTGTACTGCTGTGTCACCAGTGCCTAAAAGAGTGCTTTGAACATCACGCGAGGATAGATGGGTGGGTGGGTGGATGGATGGATGGATGAATAGGTGGGTGGGTGGATGGGTGGATGAGTGGATGGGTGGATGGATGTGTGGATGGGTGGGTGGATGGATGAATGAATGGATGGGTGGATGAATAGGTGGGTGGGTGGATGGGTGGATGAGTGGATGGATGGATGGATGGATGGATGGATGGATGTGTGGATGGGTGGATGGATGGATGGATGGATGGATGTGTGGATGGGTGGATGGATGGATGGATGGATGGATGGATGTGTGGATGGGTGGATAGATGGATGGATGGATGAATGGATGGATGGATGGATGGATGGATGTGTGGATGGATGGATGGATGGATGAATGAATGGATGGATGGATGAATAGGTGGGAGGATGGTTGATTGGATGATGGACAAGTGGATGGGTGGACAGTTGGGTGGGTGTATGGATGGGGAAATTTCTGGTGTAGTGATGGGGACTGAAGCCGTAGGAGTCAAGATGCCTGGGCGAGAGATCTGGGGTCTAGAATGAGCCTCAAGGAACCCCCATATGTCAGGCTGTGGAGAGGAGCAGGCAGCATGGAGGCTGAGGAGCCACAGCCAGCAGGGCTGGACCTCATTTGGAGGCAGCATGGTTGACATAGGGTCCAGGAGGAGGACACCAGGGCCTCAGCACAGGAATCAAGGCATTTATGCGTGCATTGAGGGACAGTAAAAAGGGGGCAGAGAGCCCGTCTGTCTCGGTTTTCCTAGTGAAGTTGGGGAGAACTTTGGGCTAGGAAGGTGGAGGAGGAAGTGGAGAGGATGAGCAGCAAAGCTGAGTAGGTGGAGAAGGGAGGGTCCTGTGTCCTTTTCAGTGCATGTGTGGCCTCGTGGTTCCCATTTGGTGGATGAGACTGTGAAGGCTCAGAGAGGTTAAGTGGCTGGCCCAAGAGCACACAGCAGAAAGGTACTGAGCTGGCTTTGATCCTTATCTCCAATCACTAGATTACAGAACTGAGTTAAAGACTAAGAACTTGGAGACCCCTGCCATGCAGGGGGTTCGGGATCAAAGGGGTTGAGATGGGAGGGGGGTTCCTGGCTGGGGAGAGAAGAAGAGGATGAACAGCAATGTATTCCCTGTCTCTGTTTCCCCACCACCATCGGTGCATCGTAGGTGCTCAGGAATATTGAATGACTCTGAGCTAGGCATGGCAGGGAGGGGAAGGACAAAAATGAATCTAGGCCAGGCGCGATGGCTCACGCCTACAATCCCAGCACTTTGGGAGGCCGAGGTGGGTGATCACCTGAGGCCAGGAGTTTGAGACCAGCCTGGCCAACATGGTGAAACCCCATCTCTACTAAAAATACAAAAAACTAGCTGGGTGTGGTGGCGGGCCTGCACCTGTAATACCAGCTACTTGGGAGGCCGAAGTGGAAGAATCGCTTGAACCCGGGAGGCGGAGATTGCAGTGAGCTGAGATCGCGCCACTGCACTCCAGCCTGGACGACAGAGCAAGACTCCATCTCAAAAAAAAAAAAAAAAGTAAAGTAATAAAGAATGGCTACTCCGGCCAGGCGTGGTGGCTCACGCCTGTAATCCCAGCACTTTGGGAGGCCGAGACGGGTGGATCACGAGGTCAGGAGATCGAGACCATCCTGGCTAACACGGTGAAACCCCATCTCTACTAAAAATACAAAAAATTAGCCGGGCATGGTGGCAGGAACCTGTAGTCCCAGCTACTCGGGAGGCTGAGGCAGGAGAATGGCGTGAACCTGGGAGGTGGAGCTTGCAGTGAGCCGAGATCACGCCACTGCACTCCAGCCTGAGTGACAGAGCACGACTCCGTCTCAAAAAAAAAAAAAAAAAAAAAAAAAGGAAAGTAATAAAGAATAGCTACTGCATAGAGCAGCCGCCTGGGCTGCTTGTTGGCAGTTTTTATGGTTACTCCTTGACCATATGCTAAACAAGAGGTGGATTATTCATGAGTTTCCCGGGAAAGGGGTGGGCAGTTCCTGGAGCTGAAGGGTCCTCCACTTTTAGGATAATTTGCAGACGTTGCCATGGCGTTTGTAAACTGTCGTGGCGCGGGTGGGAGTGTCTCTTAGCATGCTAATGCATTATAATTAGCATGTAATGAGCAGTGAGGATGACCAGAGGTCACTTTCACCCCCATCTTGGTTTGAGTGGGTTTTGGCAGCTTATTTACCACATCCTGTTTTATAAGCAGGGTCTTTATGACCTGTATCTTTTGATACCGTTCTGCCAACCTCCTATCTCATCTCGTGATTAAGAATATCTAACTTGAGGCCGGACGCGGTGGCTCACGCCTGTAATCCCAGCACTTTGGGAGGCCGAGGCGGGTGGATCACGAGGTCAGGAGATCGAGACCATCCTGGCTAATACAGTGAAACCCCGTCTCTACTAAAAAATACAAAAATTAGCCGGGCCTGGTGGCGGGCGCCTATAGTCCCAGCTACTCGGGAGGCTGAGGCAGGAGAATGGCGTGAACCCAGGAGGCGGAGCTTGCAGTGAGCCGAGATCACGCCACTGCACTCCAGCCTGGGTGAAAGAGAGAGGCTCTGTCTCAAAAAAAAGAGAATATCTAACTTGGCCGGGCGCCATGGGTCACGCCTGTAATCCCAGCACTTTGGGAGGCCAAGGCAGATGGATCATTTGAGGTCAGGAGTTCAAGACCCAGCCTGGCCAACATGGCGAAACCCCCTCTCTACTAAAAATAAAAAATTAGCTGGGCAGTAGTGGCAAGAGTTGTAATCCCAGTTACCAAGCTCCTATTCAAGATGGAGTTGCTCTGGTTCAAACGCTTCTGACAGTACTTCCCTCTGATATCCCCCAAACCCTGAGATCCCGCAGGGCCCAAACCAGGGTTCATGTCTTTCTTCCAAAGTGCACCTCCTCCTGGGTTCCTACCTGGGTTTGTTGTCCCAGGGCTTTTGTAACAAATGACCACAAACTGGGGGGCTTGGAACAGCCTCTCCCAGTCCTGGAGGCCAGAAATCAGCTATCAAGGTGTGGGTAGGGCCTCACTTTCTCCAAGGGGAGGGTCCTTCCTGCCTCTTCAGCTTCTGGGGACTCCGGGTGTCCTTGGCTGATGGATGCATCACTGTGGTCTCTGCTCCATCATCTGTGCGTCTGCGTCTCCTCTCCTCTGTGTTATAAGGACACTTGAGGCCGGGTGTGGTGGCTCACGCCTGTAATCCCAGCACTTTGGGAGACCGAGGCAGGTGGTTCACTTGAGGTCAGGAGTTCGAGACCAACCTGGCCAACATGACGAAACCCTGTCTCTACTAAAAATACAAAATTAGCAGGGTGTGGCGGCGGGTGCCTGTAATCCCAGTACTCAGGAGGCTGAAGCAGAATTGCTTGAACACAGTAGGTGGAGGTTGCAGTGAGCCAAGATCACACCATTGCACTCTAGCCTGGGCAACAAAGCGAGACTCCATCTCAAAATAAAAATAAAAAATAAAAATTAAGGATGCTTGTCCTTGTGTTTGGGGCCTGCCTTCATCTAGCTTGACTTCATCCCAAATTCCTTATTGAAATCTGCAAAGTCTCTTTTTCCAAATCAGGTCACATTTCAGGTTCCAGAGTGGCTATATCTTTTTTAAAATTTTATAAAATTAATTTTAATTTTTTTGAGACAGGGTCTCACTTTGTCACCCAGACTGGAGTGCAGTGGTATGATCATAGCTTGCTGCAGCCTCGACCTCCCAGGCTCAAGGGATCCTCCCGCCTCAGCCCGTTTAGTAGCTGGAACTACAGGTGTGAACCACCACACCCAGCTGTTTGTTTTTTTTTTATTAGAGACAAAGTCTCACTACATTGCCCAGGCTGGTGCAAACTCCTGAGCTCAAGCAATCCTCCCGCCTCAGCCTCCCAAGTAGCTGGGACTGCAAGTGTGTGCCACCATGCCCGGCTAATTGTTTTTAATTTTTACTGGAGATGGGGTCTCACTGTGTTGCCCAGGCTCGTCTCAAACTCCTGGGCTCAAGCCATCCTCCCACTTCAGCCTCCCGAGTACCTGGGACTACAGATGTGAGCCATCATGCCCGGCTAACTTTTTTTTTTTTTCAGTAGAGTTGGGGTCTCACTATGTTGCCCAGGCTCAGGATGGATGTAGCTCTTTTTCAGGGAGCCACCATTCAACCCATTACATCCTCACACCCTACCATCCAAGTGCATCCCAGCCATCCTTGCCTCCTCCCTCCCCTCCCCTCGTCCCCCACCAAAGCCCTACCTTAGATTTTCCTGTCTTTGTCCCCATGGCCCTCTGGGGTAGTCTTCACCTTCTCCCATACTGACCTTGACTCTGCCCCCTCACTGGCCTCCAGTCTTCTGTCCTGCACTCCAGTCCCTTCTTCGTGCTGGCCCCAGGAGGCTCTTTCCCGCACACACCTCTGACTATGCCCAACCCCTGCTCAAACACCTTCCATGGCTCCCCACTGCCCTTGACATCAGTCCAGCAGTTCTTTGCCTGTTTCACCCTCATCTGTCCCCTCCAATGGCATCCCCCATCTCCTGCAACACACTTTTTTTTTTTTTTTTGAGGCAAGAGTTTTGCTCTGTTGCTCAGGCTGGAGCGCAGTGGCGAGATCTCGGCTCACTGCAAACTTTACCTCCCAAGTTCAAGTGATTCTCCTGCCTCAGCCTCCTGAGTAGCTGAGTAGCTGGAATTATAGGTGCACGCCACCACACCTAGCCAATTTTTGTATTTTTAGTAGAGACGGGGTTTCATCATGTTGGCCAGACTGGTCTTGAACTCCTTACCTCAAATGATCCGCCTGCCTCTGCCTCCCAAAGTGCTGGTATTACAGGCATGAGCCACTGCACCTGGCCCTTCTTTTTCTTTCTTTCTTTTTTTTTGAGATGGGGTCTCACTCTGTCATCCAGGCTGGAATGCAGTGGCATAATCTCAACTCACTGCAACCTCTGCCTCCCGGGTTCAAGAGTCATTCTTGTGCCTCAGCCTCCTACGTAGCTGGGACTACAAGCATGAACCACCACACCCAGCTAGTTTTTGTATTTTTAGTAGAGAGGGGGTTTCACCGTGTTGGCCAGGCTGGTCTTGAACTCCTGACCTTAGGTGAGCCACCTGCCTCGGCCTCCCAGAGTGCTGGGATTACAGACGTGAGCCACTGCGCCCGGCCCTACCACACACTTCTGAAAGCCTATGTTCCACACACCAGGCAGGCTCTTGTTCTATGGCCCCAGCTCCAAGAATCATCCTTCAGGAAGCCGTCTCCAAGCAGAACCAGGTTGCCTTCAGAGCGTCCCCAGCCCTGCCTTTCTCTTGGCCCGGGCTGACCACACAGGGTGTGGAGGGGACAGGAGTGTCAGGCTCTGCCTCCTCCTAGCAGGAGGATCACAGAGAATCACTTCCCAAAAAAGAGCATTTTCCTGGGCTGGAGACTGGAGTGTCCTTTTGGGCTGAGGTCCCCAGCTGCCCGGGCTGGAGAAACTTATCCATTGAGCAGATCTCATGTTCCCCAAGGATCCCCCACCTTGATCCCCAATGTACCCTTGGTACCCTTGGGTCTCGAGAGATTTGTGTGCAGTGCATTGTCTATGAACTTGAAGATCAGTTCTTTTTTTTTTTTTTTGAGGCGGAGTCTTGCTCTGTCACCAGGCTGGAGCGCAGTGGCACCATCTTGGCTCACTGCACCCACCAACTCCCTGGTTCAAGCAGTTCTTCTGCCTCAGGCTCCCAAGTAGCTGGGATTACAGGCACGAACCACCACGCACAAGCCACCGCGCCCAGCTAATTTTTTTTTTTTGTATTTTTACTAGAGATGGGGTTTCACCATGTTGGCCAGCATAGTCTCTATCTCCTGACCTTGTGATCCACCCGCCTCTGCCTCCCAAAGTGCTGGGATTACAGGTGTGAGCCACCGCGCCCGGCCTAAAGATCAGTTCTTGTCCAGGCTTTGAAAATAGGGTGGGTGCAGATTGCCAATCACTGAGCATTCTGAACCATTGATCCCAGGTGGGACTTCCCTGTCTACCCCCTCCAGAACCCCAAGGCTCTCCAGGTGTGCAGCAAGGCTGCACACCTGCCTCTGGTGCCCTTGCCATCTGGGGCAGGTGTGTGGGGTGGGAGTGGCTGGGGCTGGGACACGGTGAGAGGCTCACCTGGCGTGGGTGGGGGATAAGCTGTGGCTCAGGCTGAGGCTTCCTTCAGGGGATCCCTCTGGGTCTAGGATGCAACCAACCAGAGCTCTCACAGTTGAAATGGGATCCACAGGGCCCTCAGCATTTGATCCAGCCCCGTGTTTCTGACAAAGGTGGCACTAGTTTGTTGTTGTTGTGTGTTTGTTTGAGACAGAGTCTCCCTCTTGCCCAGGCTGGAGTGCAGTGGCGCGACCTCGGCTCACTGCAACCTTATCTCCCGGGTTCGAGCAATTCTCCTGCCTCAACCTCCCGTGTAGCTGGGACCAGAGGCGCGCGCCGCCACGCCCAGCTAATTTTTGTGTTTTTAGTAGAGATGGGGTTTCACCGTGTTGGGCAGGCTGGTCTCAAACTCCTGACCTCAGGTTATCCACCTGCCTTGGCCTCGCAAAATGCTAGGATTACAGGCATGAACCACCATGCCCGGCCCAAGGTGGCACTATTTTAAGGTTATTTCTAGGGAAGCAGGTACGGCAAGAGGCTGTGTTCTTCCTCATATTCCTTGGGGGAGAATTTTGGAAAAGATGCGAAAGCCAGGCAGTGGATCTCAGCTGTTAGTGCATGGTCTGCAGAGCTAGACTACCTAGATTTAAGCCCTCGACATTTGGCCGGGCACGATGGCTCGCACCTGTAATCCCAGTGCTTTGGGAGGCTGAGGCGGGCAGATTACTTGAGGTCAGGAGTTCAAGACTAGCCCGGCCAACATGGTGAGACCCCGTCTCTACTAAAAAATACAAAAAATTGGCTGGGTGCAGTGACTCATGCCTGTAATCCCAGTACTTTGGGAGGCTGAGGTGGGCGGATCACTTGAGGTCAGCAGTTCAAGACCAGCCTGGCCAACATGGTGAAACCCTGTCTCTACTAAAAATACAAAAAAATGGCCGGGCGCAGTGACTCACACCTGCAATCCCAGCACTTTGGGAGGCTGAGGTGGGTGGATCATAAGGTCGGGAGTTCAAGATCAGCCTGGCCGAGATGGTGAAAATCCTGTCTCTACTAAAAATACAAAAATTAGACAGTCATAGTGGCAGGCGCCTGTAATCCCAGCTACTTGGGAGGCTGAGGCAGGAGAATCGCTTGAACTTGGGAGGCAGAGGTTACAGTGAGCCGAGATTGTGCCATTGCACTCCAGCCTGGGCAACAGAGCAAGACTCTATCTAAAAAAAAAATTAGCTGGGCTTGGTGGCAGGTACCTGTAATCCCAGCTACTCAGGAGGCTGATGAAAGAGAGTCATTTGAACCTGGGAGGTGGAGGTTGCAGTGAGGTGAGATGGTGCTGCTGCACTTCAGCCTGAGCAACAGAGCGAGACTCCATCTCAAATAATAATAATAATAATAATAATAAAGCCTGGACATTCTACTTACCACCTGTGTGACCTTGGGCAAGCCACTTCCCCTCTCTGTGCCCCCATCTCTCATCTGTAAAATGGGAACAATGCCAGCAGCTACTGCATAGGGGCTACTATGAGTATTAAATGATTCAGTATAGAGTATAAGCTTATTCTTTTCTTTTTCAGTTTTTTCTTTTTTTCTTTGGTTTTTAATTTTTTTGTTTTGGGGTATTTGTGTATGTGTGTGTTTTTTAATTTTTTTCTGAGTATAAGCTTATTAACATTAAATATCAATGGAGTTTTTTTGAGACAAGGTTTTGCTATGTCGCAAAACCTTGGCTGGAGCCAGGCTGGAACACAGTGGCACAATCATGCCTCACTGCAGCATCGACGGCCCAGGCTCAAGCGATTCTCCTGTCTTGACCTCCTGAGTAGCTGGGACCACAGGCACATGCCACAACACCCAGCTAATTTTTAAAATTATTTGCAGAGATGGAATTTGACTACGTTGCCTAGGCTGGTCTCGAACTCCTGGGCTCAAGCAATCCTTCTGCCTCGGCCTCTGAAGGTGCCGGGATTCCAGGTGTATGCCACCACACCTGGCCCAGTGGACTTTATTAACATCACTGCACGTCTGTGCTGATGGGGAACTGTACGAGTTTGCAGGCGCTGCCGTAACCACACACCACAGACACGGTGGCTTAAACAACAGAAATTTATTTTTGCTCAGTTCTGGAGGCCAGAAGTTCGAAATCAAGGTGTTGGCAGGGCTGGTTCCTTCTGAGGCTGTGAGGGAGCGTTTATTCCAGGCCGTTCCCCTGTAGCGTTCCTTGTCTTGTAAAGGCATCGTCCCATCTCCGCCTGCATCTTCACGTCCCCCTGCCTGTGCGTGTCTCTGTGTCTATTTTTCCATTTTTTATAAGGGCACCAGTCTTATTGGATCAGGGCCCACCCTGATGACCTCATGTTGACTAATTCCATCTGCAATGACCCCGTTTCCAAATAAAGTCACATTCGGAGGTCCTGGGGATTAGGACTGCAAATGATGAATTTGGAGAGGGGGAGAAGCACATTCAGCCCATAACAGGAACTGTGAATCAAAGCTCTATTTATCCAGGGGTGGGTAAACATTACGCATTTTCACCAGCTAGAAACGACAAGCAAAGAGGCCAAGAAGAGGTTGGGCCAAGAGATCACGGAAGCCATAAGGAAGATTTTCAGCACCAGGGACAGCGTCAGGGCGGGCTTTTGTGAGCATGCGTCTGTGTGTGGCGTGTGCATGGGCCTGTGCGTGCGAGTGTGTGTGTGTATGGTATGCATGCAGTATGTGTGTGTGCGTAGTGTATATGGTGTGCATGCATTATTGCATTGTGTGTGTAGTGTGTGGTGTGTGCATCTGTATGTGTGTAGTGTGTGTGGTGTGCATGCATTGTGTGTATGTGTGTGTAGTGTGTGGTGTGTGCATGCATCTCTGTGTGTAGTGTGTGGTGTGTGCATGCATCTGTGTGTGCGGTGTGCATGCATCTGTGTGGTGTGCATGCGTCTTGTCTGCGTGTGTGTGTAGTGTGTTTTGCATGCATTGCGTGTGATGTGTGTGGTATGTGCATGCATCTATGTGTGGTGCACATGTGTCTTGTCTGCGTGTGTGTGCGTGTGTGGTGTGTGTATGTATCTGTGTGCATAGTGTGTGTTGTGCATGCATCGTGTGTGTAGTGTGTGGTGTGTATGCATCTGTGCATGTGTGTGTGGTGTGTTGTGCGTGCCTTGTGTGTAGTGTGTGGTGTGTGCATGCATCTATGCGTGTGTGTATGGTATTTGCATGCGTCTTGTCTGGTATATGTGTGCGTATGTGGTGTGTGTATGCATCTGTGCATGTGTGTGTGTAGTGTGTGGTGTGTGTATGTGTCTTGTCTGCATATATGTGTGTGTGGTGTGTGCATACATCTGTACGTGTGTGTGTGGTGTGTGGTGTGTGCATGCATCTTGTCTGCGTGTGTGTGTGCATGTGTGGTGTGTATATGCATCTGTGCGTGTGTGTGTAGTGTGTGGTGTGTGCATGCATCTTGTCCACGTGTGCGTATGTGTTGTGTGTGTATGCATCTGTGTGTGTGTAGCGTTTGGTGTGTGCATGCACCTGTGCATGTGTGTGTGTAGTGTGTGGTGTGTGCGTGCATCTCTGTGTGTGTTGTGCATGTGTCTTTGCGTGTGTGTGTGGTGTGTGTTTGCATCTGTGCATGTGTGGGTGTGTGATGTGTATATGCATCTGTGCGTGTGTATGTGGTGTGTGTATGCATCTCTGTGTGTGTGCGTGTGTGTTTGCATCTGTGTGTGTGTGGTGTGTGTATGCATCTGTGTGTGTGCGTGTGTTTGTGTGCATGCATCTGTGTGTGTGTGCGTGTGTGTGTATGCATCTGTGTGTGTGTGCGTGTGTGTGTGGTGTGTGGTGTGTGTGTGTGTGGTGTTTCTTTCCCTTTCACTGCAGAGCTCCCAGACCCTGGGGCTGATGGCCTTAAATGTTGCTCAGGGCACCTACCCACTCCCTAGCCTCCTAGGGCCACCACCCTCCAAACCCTGCAGACAAGGAGTCCACAGGCAAAAAAAAAAAAAAGGAACCTAGGAAGAAGGTTTTTTACCCTTATTTTACATCTGCCTGCAGCCCAATTTCTTGCCGATCAAACCTGATTTCTCTCAGGCCTTAGGGCTCGTTGTCTTAGTGTAGTTCTTTTGAAGAGCTTGGGGAATAAAATTCGGAAAACAAACATCAAGAATAGACCATCACATACAACAACGGCAACAGGAAAGATGAGCACATAGACTCTGTGAAGAGCTCCCCCAAAGTGACAAGGTGCCCAGCTTCATTAATAGTTCTTGGAAGGTGCATTAAAATCTCAATGAAATACAACTGCACGCCCACCTTAATGACTAACATTTAAAAGGTTGGCAAAAACCAAGCATTAGTGAAGATGAAGCACTAATAGAGCCCGACATAGGCACAACCCACTTCAGAAAACGATTTGAAGGAATCGATGAAAGTTAAACACACGCCTGTCTTATGCCCAGCACGTCCCTCCTGGGTATGCTTTTTGCATTAAAATATACGGACAAGGCCGGGTGCGGTGGCTTACGCCTATAATCCCAGCAATTTGGGAGGCCACGGCGGGTGGATCACTTGAGATCAGGAGATTGAGACCAGCCTGGCCAACATGGTGAAACCCTGTCTCTATTAAAAATACAAAAGTTAGCCGGGCATGGTGGCGGACACCTGTAATCCCAGCTACTTGGGAGGCTGAGACAGGAGAATCGCTTGAACCCAGGAGGGGAAGGTTGCAGTGAGCTGAGATTGCGCCACTGCACTCCAGCCTGGGCGATAGATTGAGACTCAGTCTCTCTCTCTCTCTCTCTCTGGCTCTCTCTCTCTCTCATATGTATATATATATATGGACAAGGCTGGGTGCAGTGGCTTATGCCTATAATCCCAGCACTTTGGGAAGCCAAGGCAGGAGGATCACTTGAGCCCAAGAGTTCAGGACCAGCCTGAGCAACATAGCAAGACCCCATCTCTAATAATAATAGTAATAATAATAATAACAGCTGGGTGTGGTGGCATGCAACTGTGGTCCCAGCTACTTGGGAGGCTGAGGCCAGAGGATCACTTGAGCCTGAGAGGTGGAAGCTGCAGTGAGCTGTGATCACACCACTGCACTCCAGCCTGGGCAACAGAGCAAGACCCTGTCTCAAAAAAACAAAAATTGGACAAGACTGTTGCAGAGCAACTTTATTCATAATTGCCCCAAATAGCAAACATCCCAATGCCCACCCATGGGAGAATGGATAAGCAATTTTTAGTGTATTCATAGGACACAATACTACCCAGAAACAAAAAGGAACTCCCCCATGATGCACACAACCACATGCTGTTGACTATATATTGAATGAAAGAAGCCAGACACAAGGGCGGACCTATGCTATGATTTCGTTTATATAAGTCCAAAAACAGGAAGCACTCAATCACATTGATACGTGATGCGCACATGGTGGGGACACCATCGTGAAGGCATACACGAGAGCTGGGGTGGTTACCCCTGCAGGATGGAGGGGGTTGTGCTGGGGTGGGGGACACTAGGACTTCTGGTGGCTTCATGGTGGCTGCCACTTTTTACTTTTGTTGTTGAGACAGTCTGACTGTGTCACCCAGGCTGGAGTGCAGTGGCACAATCACAGCTCACTGCAACCTCCACACCCTGGGCTCAAGCGATCCTCCTGCCTTGGCCTCCCGAGTAGCTGGGACTACAGGCCCCTGCCACCACGCCCGACTAATTTTTTGTATTTTTAGTAGAGATAGGGTTTCACCGTGTTAGCCAGGATGGTCTCGATCTCCTGACCTCGTGATCCACCTGCCTTGGCCTCCCAAAGTGCTGGGATTACAGGCGTGAGCCATCACGCCCGGCCTAATTTTTGTATTTTTTATAGAGATGGGTTTTCGCCATGTTGCCCAGGCTGGTCTTGAAATTGTGAACTCAAGTGATCCTCCCGCCTCAGCCTCCCAAAGTGCTGGGATTACAGGCATGAGCCACTGCGCCCGGTCTCTCTTTCTATGTCTCGACCCAAGACATAGTGTGACATAGTTGTCTTGGGTCGAGACATAGAGATGGTTGTATGGATTTATAATCATTTGTTACATTGCACGCTTACGTGTTCTGCACTTTTCAGAGGGGTACATTGGTAATATATCCCAATTACAATGTTTATTGTGGTGATATATGCATAATATGAAATGTACCGTTAAAAAATTTTTTTTTAATTGAGAAAGCACTTTGCTCTGTTGCCCAGGCTGGAGTGCAGTGGCGTGATCTTGGCTCATTGCAAACTCTGCCGCCCGGGTTCAAACGATTCTCATGACTCAGCCTCCCGAGTAGCTAGAATAGCAGGTTCCCACCACCACACCTGGCTAATTTTTTTTGTATTTTTAGTAAAGATGGAGTTTCGCCTTTTGGGCCAGGCTGGTCTTGAACTCCTGACCTCAGATGATCCACCGGCCTCTGCCTCCCAAAGTGCTGGGATTACAGGTGTGCACCACCGCACCCGGCCCATCTTAACCATTTTTAAGCATAGAGTTCAGTGGCATTAAGTACATTCATATTGTTCTGCAATCATCACCACTATCTGATCTTCAGAACTTTTATTTTACTTTATTTTAGAGACAGGGTCTCACTCTGTTGCCTAGGCTGGATTGCAGTGGTGCTATCATAGCTCACTGCAGCCTCCAGCTCCTGGGCTCAAGTGATCCTCCCACCTTGGCCTCCTAAAGTGCTGGGATGACAGGCGAGAGTCACCTTGCCTGGCCTCCAGAACGTTCTCATCTTCCCAAACTGAAACTGTATCCCTGTGAAACACTCACTCCCCATCCCCCTCCCCAGCCCCTGGCACCCCCCATCCTGATTTCCATCTCTGTGAATCTGATGGCTCTGTGGTCCTCCTATGAAACCTCTGTCTGTCGTTTTGTGTCTGGCTTATTTCACCGAGCATGGTGTTCTCAAGGTTCACCCACGTTGTGTCAGGTATCAGAATTTCCTTCCTTTTTGTGGCTGGATAATATTCCACTGTGTGGGTCGACCGTATTGTATCGATCCCTTCATCTGTGAATGGACGCCTGGGTTGCTTCCGCCTTCCGGCCACTGTGAATCTTACTGCTGTCAACATTGTTATACAAATATCTCTGTTCGAGTCCCTGCTTTCAATTCTTCTGAATATACACCCAGACGTGGAATTGCTGGCTTCCGTGGTAATTTTGTGTTTCGTTTCTGGAGGAACTGTCAAACTGTTTTCTGCAGCAGCCGTACCATTTTACATTCCTACTACAAACTTTTTTCTTTCTTTCTTCCTTCCTTCCTTCCTTCCTTCCTTCCTTCCTTCCTTCCTTCCTTCCTTCCTTTCTTTCTTTCTTTCTTTCTTTTCTTTTCTTTTCTTTTCTTTCTTTTCTTAATGCTGGAAACTGTTGTCAGCTCTGCCTGGTACCCCCAGGGTTCCAGGGGGCTTTTTGGACCTGGGGTGGGTTCCCTCGGATTCCCTACCCCCTCCCCACCACACAGCCCAGCTGGCGGGAGCGACCAGCAGGTGGCCACTTTAATTAGCTCCTGCCTGGAGAAGTGGACACCGTGGAGCTCCGTACAGCGTGTCCCTGGGAGACCAGGGACCATAGGGGGCGGGGTTTGAGGGGGAACCGAGGGTTTGACAACATCGGAGCAGCCCACGATGGTCTCATTTCACAGGTCCCCAGACAGGACCACTCAGTCCCCTGTATCCATCCCAGGACCCCTGACCTCCTGTGTGCAATCCCTACCCCACCTTGGGGAAACGTCTTTCAAAATACTTTTGATCTAATTAGGCTTTCAGGGCGAGGGCGGGTTCTCTTGACTTGCTTGTCTCCTGTCTCTGTCTCTGTCAACGTCTCTGGTCTCCCACCCCTAACGTCGCCCAATCACAGCCTCACTCTGGGCCACCAGAGGGCTGGCCCCGCCCCTCGCTTCCCACCCTCCGATCCCTAATGTTGCCCAATCACAGCCTCACTCTGGGCCACTCTATGGGCTGGCCCCGCCCCTTGCCTCCCATCCCTAATGTCATCCAATCCCAGCCTCACTCTGGGCCACTCCGGGGCTGGCCCCGCCCCTCACCTCTCCTGATTGGTCCTGATTTCTGCCACCATGCCACACCCTCTCAAGCTCCACCCCCATCCATTGGCTGGTCCAACTTGTGGTCCTCTCAGACCATCCCCTCTCCCTCTGATAGGGGAAGGTGAGGCCCAGAGAGGGGGAGCGCATGATCCAAGGCTACACTGCTGGTCAGTGGCAGAGCCCACTGCTCCCTATCCCAGGGCCAGGCCTTCTTCCATCTTTCTGGGACCACTAGTGCCCTCCCCATCCTCCCCGCTGGGCAGCCCCTCTGCCCACTCCCCTCACCCCACCTTGTCCAGGGCTCTCAGCATCTCTTTTCTGAGCTCAGCCACTGACTTTGTTAATGGCTGGACCTCCTCTCCCTCTTCCTGGTCTCACCCTTTGCGGGGGTGTATGTGTGTGCAGGGGTGGAACGGGTGGAAAACACTGAGCCACTTCGACTGTCCCCTCCCAAAACATGGTGGCTTCAGCATCCTCTTCTCTTTTTATTTTTTGAGATTGTAATAAGATATACACAACTTCAAATGTACCGTCTTAACCATTTTAAATGCATGGTTCAGGCCGGGTGCGGTGGCTCACGCCTGTAATCCCAGCACTTCGGGAGGCCGAGGCGGGCAGATCACGAGGTCAGGAGATCGAGACCATCCTGGCTAACACGGTGAAACCCCGCCTCTACTAAAAATACAAAAAAATTAGCCAAGCATGGTGGCGGGCGCCTGTAGTCCCAGCTACTCGGGAGGCTGAGGCAGGAGAATGACGTGAACCCGGGAGGCAGAGCTTGCAGTGAGCCGAGATCGCGCCACTGCACTCCAGCCTGGGTGACAGAGCCAGACTCCGTCTCAAAATAAATAAATAAAAATAAAAATTGCACAGCTCAGTGGTATTAAGCATATTCACACGGTTGTGCAACCATCACCACCATCATCTCCAGAACTTTCTCATCTTCCCAAACTGAAACTCTGTCCCCATGATACACTCAGTCCTCATTCCCCTCCCCAGCCCCTGGCACCTCCCCATTTTACTTTCTGTCTGTGTGAATCTGATGACTCTAGGGACCTCCTAGGAGTGGAATCACACAGGATTTGTCCTTCTGTGTCTGGCTTATTTCACTGAGAGTGACATTCTCAAGGTGCATCCATGTTGCAGCCTGTGTCAGAATTTCCTTCCTTTTCTTGGCTGAATAATATTCCGTTGCGTGGATGCACCAGGTTGTGTAGATCTATGCATCTGTGGATGGAAGCTTGGGTTGCTTCCACCTAGTGGCCACTGTGGGTGGTGCTGCTGTGACCATGGGTGTGCCCGTGCTCTCTTAACACCCCCGTTTCTCTCCCTTCCAGGCTGTGCCTTCCTCACCTACTGTGCCAGGGATTCCGCCATCAAAGCTCAGACTGCCCTGCACGAGCAGAAGACCTTGCCCGGAGTGAGTCCTGTGTGGTGTCTGGGGAGGAGGGGACAGGGGATGGCTCTCAGCCTGGGGTGGGAGCCAAGGCTCTTCCTGAGATTGGCTGTGAATTCTGTGTGTCTCGGGACTCAGAAAGAGGTATGAGGAGCAGAGGTATAGAAATCATCATAATAGTGTGCATTTATTGAGTGCCTACTGTGTGCCGTGCTCTATATTTCATACCAGAGTGGTTGTGTGTGGTTGTGCAGGTTGTATACTGCACAAGGGCACCTGGCCCAGTGTGTCGTTGTCTTTGGGTTGAGACCTGAAGGATAAGGAAGCATTAGCAGGCAGAGGGCACAGCATGTGCCAAGGCCCGGGGGAGGACCATGCCTGACGTGTTGGAGGAACAGGGAGGAGGCCCGTGTGGCTGGAACAGAGTGAGGAGGTGGAGAAAGAAAGGCGGGAAGGGCAGGGGAGGTGACAGGGCTGGTTGCTGAAGGCTGTGTGGACCATGGGGAGAAGCATAGACCATGCTTGCTTCTCACTATAAAAAGGAAAATGATTTTCCTCGCTTGTCTTTATGGTGCAAACGGAGCCACAGTTCCTTAACACAAGGGCTTCTTTTTTTTTTTTTTTTTTTTTTGTTGTTGTTGTTGTTGTTGAGATGGAGTCTCGCTTTGTCACCCACGCTGGAGTGCAGTGTCATGATCTCGGTTCACTGCAACCTCCGCCTCCCAGGTTCAAGTGATTCTCCTGCCTCAGCCTCCCAAGTAGCTGGGATTACAGGCGTGCACCACCATGCCTGGCTAATTTTTGTATTTTTAGTAGAGACGGGGTTTTGCCATATTGGCCAGGCTGGTCTCAAACTCTTGACCTCAAGTGATCTGCACACCTCGGCCTCCCAAAGTGCTGGGATTATAGGTGCGAGCCACCAGGCCCGGCCAACACAGGGGCTTCTTCATCACAATTTCTGTCTGCAGAGGAGGCTGGCCTGGGTGCTGTCTCTGATGAGTCTCTCCTTATTTTTATTTTTTGAGACAGGGTCTTGCTCTGTTACCCAGGCTGGAGTACAATGGCTCACTGCAGCCTCCACCTCCTGGGGTCAAGTGATCCTCCTACCTCGGCCTCCTGAGTAGCTGGGACTATAGGTGCATGCCATCACACGTGGCTAATTTTTTAATTTTTGTAGAGACGGGGTCTCATTATATTGCCCGGGCTGATCCTGAACTCCTGGCTCAAGCGTTCCTCCTGCTTCGGCCTCCCAAAGTGCTGGGATTACAGGTGTGAGCCAGCACACCCAGCCTGATGAGTCTCTCCTGGTCAGCTTTGTCCTCTTTGGGTGGGCAGGAGGCCCCTGCCCCCAGTGAAGGATGAGTGGTCTCCCTGAGCCAGTCAATCCGGGTCCCCAGGCCATGCCTCTTGATGGAGACTGAAGGAACCACAGTGAGCCACGGCGCCCCACCTTGTGAGCTCTGGGGCAGGGAGCTCACCCTTCCCTCCGGAATTCTCAGGGACCTTTCAGCCTCCAGGGACATCAGGGCATTCGTAGCCTTCGTGCTTGGCTGACTGTAGGAAATCTGACGTGCGCCTTCCAGGGACCCGAGGTCATGGCATGAGTTTGACTTGATTCTCCATGAGCATTGGAAGGTTCTGGGCCTGGGGGTGGCCTCTGCTTGGTCTTGAAGAATAGAGAGCCCCTCTTTTGGGTGTGATGTGATGCAAGTTAGAGTGTGGGGTCTGGCAGCCACATCTGTGGGCTCGTTGCTCAGCTCCATCCTTGCTGTGTGACAGTAAGCCAGTGACTTAACCTCTCTGATCTTCAGCACTGGAAGAGAATAACAGGGCAGGGTGGGCTAGCAATCTATAGAGAAGGTGCTCAGTGGAGGGCTTCACTGAGGATGTGACATTTGAGAAAAAACCTGAAAGATGGCATGGAAGGGCACTCCAGGCAGAAGGAACAGCATGTGCAAAAGTGATCTAGAGTCTGCGGTAAATTCCCTGAATTCACTGTTCATCTTGGACCTTCTGCTGGTGCCTACCCAAACCAACCAGAAGCTAAAAAAGTACATTAAAAAAAAAAAGAAAGAAAGAAATCCCACAACCGAACAAAAAATCAAACCAACCAGAAGCTGGAGGGCAGGTCAGTCCATACAGATTAGTGCCCAGGGGCACAGCAGAGTTCTAGGGACCATATTAGTTATTTATTGCTGCATAACAAATTATCCCCAAAATAAAGACTTCAAACAATAAGCACTTGTTATTTCACAGCTACCAGGGGTCAGGAATTTGGGACTGAGTTTGCTGCATGATCCTGGCTCAGGGAGGTTACAGTCAAGATATCAGCAGGAGTTTGTGGTTGAGGAATCTGCTTCCAAGCTGGCTCCCTCTAGTGACTGTTCAGGAGGCCTCAGTTTCTCACCACGTGGGCTTCTCCACAGTGCTGCTTGAGCTTCCTTACAACATGGCATCTTCCCCCAGCACACGTAACCAAAGAGTGATCAAGGAGGAAGCCACAGTCCCCTTTAAGCCCTAGCCTCGGAATTACACACCATCATTTCCACCACATTCTAGCACCAGAAGCCCAGGGGTGCAGAGCAGGGGGGGCAAAGGTGGAGGGAGGAACTCAAGGAACAAACCAGCTCAATACTGGACTTGTCCAAGGTTAGGCAGCCTGCAAGCTGCAGAGTGGGGATTTGGACCTTCATAGTCTGACTCCAGACCCTGTGCTGTTGCCTAATTCATCTAAGTTTAGTGAACCATGTTTTTGCTTGGCATCAGGTCCTGGGGGAAGCTCTGGTCCTTCTGTCCAGAGAAATCTGTACATAGATGGAGATTTACCAACACTTCTAAGGAGTCCTCCCAGCTAAGCACTTCTCCCCCATTCCTTTGTCCTCATTTCCCTGATGAAGGTAACTGAGACACAAACCCAGTCTCTATTCCACTGTCTGAGGCCTTAGGGACCTTGGAACTGGTTCTTTTCCTGTTGGGGGCCAAAACTGAGCTCTGCACTCTGTTGGCAGCCAGGAGGGAAGATGGAAGAGGGTGGAAGGACCAAGAGCCACGAAACCTCATGCCCTTCTTGCCAGGCTGGTGTCCTGGATCTGAGTCCACTTTGAGATGAAGAGATGCCGCAATCACCAGCAGCTCCTTCTCTGCATCCATCTTGAGGGGACTCTGTCCTTCTCTCCATGCCTACTCTCCCTGGGTCAGCCCATAAATTCATAGCTTCCATCCATCCATGCACCTTTCCATCCACCCATCACCCATCTGCCCATGTGTCTACATGCCTGCCTACCTGTCACCCATCTACCTGCCTATCCATTCATTCATTCATCCATCTACTCATCCACCTACCCACCCACACATCCATCATCCACCCATCCTCTCATCCAGCCACACGTCCATCCATCTACGCATCCATCCATCCATCCATCTATCCATCCACCCACCCATCTATCCATCCATCCACTGATTTACCCTTTCATCCATCCATTCACACACTGATCCATGTTTCTATCCATTCATCCACCCATCCACCCATCAATTCATCCATCCATCCATCCATCCATGCATTCATTCACCCATCTACTCATTACCTACCCACCCACCCACACATCTATTATGCATCCCTCCATTCTCCCATCCAGCCACACACCCATCCATTCACCCACACATCCATCCATCTACCATTCATCCATTGAGTCACTCACTCATCTATCCACCCACTCATCTATCCATCCATCTGTTCACCCATTTGCCCTTTTATCCATCCATCCATCCACCCATCCATCCATCCATTCATCCATCCATCTATCCATTACTCATCCACCCACTTGTCTATCCATTCATCTGTCCATCCATCTACCCTTCCATCCATCCATTCATTCATCACTCACTCTTCCACCCATCCATCTATTAATTCATGTATACATCCATCCACCTATCTATCCTCCCATCCACCCACACATCCATTCACCCATCTACACTTCTTTCCATCTATCCACCAAATTTTTATCAAGCACCTACTATTTACCCCACGCTATGCTAAACTCCCATCATCAGTTCTGTGACTGGTCACCTCCTGAGTGACTCCTGTGGCCGTCCCCCAGTCCCCATCCCCCTAGACCCAATGGGGCTCAAACTGGCTATGGCACACCCCCCAATTTTTTTTGAGACAGAGTCTCACTCTGTCACCCAGGCTGGAGTGCAGTGGCTTGATCTCAGCTCACTGCAACTTCTGCCTCGCGGGTTCAAGTGATTCTCCTGCCTCAGCCTCCTGAGTAGCTGGGATTACAGGCATGAGCCACCACGCTGGCTAATTTTTATATTTTTAGTAGAGTCGGGGTTTCACCATATTGACTAGGCTGGTTTTGAACTCCTGACCTCAAGTGATCCACCTGCCTCGGCCTCCCAAAGTGCTAGGATTACAGGCGTAAGCCATTGAGCCTACTGCCCCCGACTGCTTTTTTTGAACCAGTTTCTCTCCCTCAGTCCCTGGGCATCAGCCTCTTCTCCTCCCTCCTCCTCGCCCCCAGAGCTCATGGCCCCCACATCCTGCCCTCTCATTTGTTGCCTTCTCTCTGCTTCCACCTCTGTGTTCTCCTGAGTTCAAACCTTAGCTTCCCCTCTCCCAAGCTGTGTAATCTTCAACAAGCATCTTTCCCCTCAAACCTCAGTTTTCTTTATCTCCAATATGGGTAACACTTTCTCCACCTAACAGGCTGCAGAGAAGATTTAAAGACGTGAAGGTGGGTCAGGCGCGGTGGCTCATGCCTGTAATCCCAGCACTTTGGGAGGCCGAGGCGAGCAGATCATCTGAGGTCAGGAGTTCGAGACCAGCCTGGCCAACATGGTGAAACCCCATCTCTGCTCAAAGTACAAAAATTAGCTGGGCGTGGTGGCAGGGGTCTGTAATCCCAGCTACTCGGGAGGCTGAGGCAGGAGAATCACTTGAACCCAGGAGGCAGAGGTTGCAGTGAGCCAAGATCACGCCTCTGTACTGCAGCCTGGGTGACAGAACAAGACCCTGTCTCAAAAAAAAAGGAAAGGTGCGAAGTGGATACTATTTTTGGAGGTGTTAAGCCTTTATATTCTGGTCCTTGGCCATCTTTAGTTTCTAAAAATTTCTCACTCCCCAGACACTGACGACCCAGCCAGGGTTCCCACCCCTAAAGTATTCGTGGGTAACTGCCTCTCCCGCCTGGAGAATTTCTACCTTACTTTCAAGGTAACAGCTGGCCGTCTCCTCCTTCTGCTCATCCCTGACCTCTCAGGGCTGGGGGTGTCTGTGTCTGGCTCTGACTCCCCCAGATTGGGAGCCCCTCAAGGGCAGTCCCTGGGCTGAGTCCTCCAAACCCCTTTGTTCATTCAGCATTTACTGAGCATCTGACTTATGACAGAATGAGGATACAGTACAAACAGAAAATAAGCAAGCCAGTGAGAACAACATTGAGACAAGAAATGGGGTGACTTTCAGAGCAATGACTCAGGACGGAGGTTTCATTTATTATTATTATTATTATTATTATTATTATTATTATTATTAATTTTTTTTTGAGACGGAGCCTAACTCTGTCGCCCAGGCTGGAGTGCAGTGGCGCGATCTCGGCTCACTGCAACCTCCGCCTCCTGGGTTCAAGCGATTCTCCTGCCTCAGCCTCCCGAGTAGCTGGATTACAGGCATGTGCCACCGTGCCATGCTAGTTTCTGTATTTTTAGTAGAGATGGGGTTTCACCATGTTGACCAGGCTGGTCTCAAACTCCTGACCTCAAGTGATCCACCAGCCTCGGCCTCCTAAAGTGCTGGGATTACAGGCGTCAGCCACTGCACCTGGCCTTATTATTTTTTTTCTGAGACAAAGTTTTGCTGTGTCGCCCAGGTTGGAGTGCAGTGGCACAATCATAGCTCATAGCACGATCATAGCTCATGGTACGTCCCACTAATTTTTAAACTTTTTGCAGAGATGGGGGTCTCACTATGTAGCCCAGGCCCGTCCCGAACTCCTGGGATCAAGCGAGCCTCCCACCTCAGCCTCCCAAAGTGCTGGGATTACAAGCGTGAGCTACCAGATTGTGCCTGGCTGGGAGTTCCATTTAGACAGGGTGGTCAGGGAAGGCCTCTCTGAGGAGATGGCCTGGAGAGGAGGAAGCCGTGCACTCTCTGCAGGAAGGGCGTTTCTGGCAGAGGGAACGGCCAGTGCAAAGGCCCTGAGGCTGGACCATGCCCGAAGCATGTGAGGACCACTGAGGTCAGAGGAGTGAAGAAGAGTGAGTGACGGGGAGTGAGGGGGAGAGTAGGTGGAGGAGAGGGGGAAGAGGAAGCAGAGACAGGACCGCCACAGTGAGCAGCTTGAATTTTGTTCCAAGGGTGACTGGGACCAGGGGACAGTAGCAACCAGAGGAACGATCTGGTTTGTTTGTTTCCACTTTTATTATTATTATTTATTATTATTATTTTTTTTGAGACCGAGTTTCACTCTTGTTGCCCAGGCTGGAGTGCAGTGGTGCAATCTCGGCTCACTGCAACCTCTGCCTCCCGGGTTCAAGCGATTCTCCTGCCTCAGCCTCCCGAGTAGCTGGGATTACAGGCATGCACCACCATGCCCGGCTAATTTTTGTATTTTTAGTAGAGACGGGGTTTCCCCATGTTGGTCAGGCTGGTCTCGAACTCCCGAGCTCAGATGATCCGCCTGCCTCGGACTCCCAAAGTGCTGGGATTACAGGCATGAGCCACCATGCCCAGCCTCCATTTTTTTTTATTTATTTATTTATTTATTTATTTATTTATTTATTTATTTATTTATTTGAGACAGAATCTCACTCTGTTGCCCAGGCTGGAATGCAGTGGTGCGATCATAGCTCACTGCAGCTTTGACCTCCCACCTCAGCCTCCCAGGTAGCTAGGACCACAGGTGCACACCACCATACCTGGCTGATTTTTTTTTTTTTGACAGAGTTTTGCTCTTGTTTTCCATGCTGGAGTGCAATGGCACGATCTGTGCTCACTGTGGCCTCCACCTCCCGGGTTCAAGCAATTCTCCTGACTCGGCCTCCCAACCTGGAATTACAGGTGCCTGCCACCAAGCCAGGATAATTTTTGTATTTTTAGTAGAGATGGCGTTTCACCATGTTGGCCAGACTGGTCTCCAACTCCTGACCTCAGGTGATCCTCCCACCTTGGCCTCCCAATATGCTGGGATTACAGGCATGAGCCACCACGCCCAGCCCTGTGATTTTTAAATTTTAAATTTTTGATTTAATTTTTTTTTTTGTAGAGACAGTGGTTTTCCTATGTTGCCCAGGTTGGTCTCGAACTCCTGACCTCAAGCAATCCTCCCGCCTTGGCCTCCCAAAGTGCTGGGATTACAGGCATGAGCCACTGCGCCCGGCCTGTGTCTGTGTCCCTTTGCTTTTCTCTTAGAAGGACACTTCTCATTGGATTTAGGGCTCAGCCTACATCCAGGATAATTTTATCTCAAGATCCTTCATTTAATTACATCTGCAAAAGACCTCTTTTCTAAATAAGGGCATATCCACAGATCCCCAGGGCTAGGATTTGGGGATATATATATATACATATTTTTTATTTTTATTTTTTAGAGACAGGGTCTTGCTCTGTCGCCCAGGCTGGAGTGCAGTGTTGCAATCATAGCTTTTTACAGCCTTGACCTCCTAGGCTGAAGCAATCCTCCTGCCTCAGCCTCCTGAGTAGCTGGGACTACAGGCACATGCCACCACGCCTGGCTAGTTTTTTATTTTTTGCAGAGATGGAGTCTTGCTATGTTGCCCAGACTGGTCTTGAACTCCTGGGCTCAAGCGATCCTCCCGCCTCGGCCTCCCAAAGCGCTGAGATTACAGACGTGAGCCACTGTGCTTAGCCTGGATTTATCTTTTGGGGAGCCACCATCTAACTCACTCCAGGGGTGACCACAGAACCAATGACCAAATGTCAGGGTGACCCAGGGACAGCACCCTGAGGGAGAAGCAGGCAGCCTGCGTGGACGATTTAGTGAAGGGTGGACAGGGTGGCTTCTTGAAGGAGGGAATGTTTGGGATGAGTCGAGAGATGGAAGGATTTTCACAGATGGAGGTGGAGATGGGGGTGAGTGGGGACAAAACTTACCAAGATTTGGAGGCCAGAACATGCCCAGTGTGCTGTTGAGTGGCAGCTCATGGGAGCCTCTGTCAGCTAATGAAGGGGGTCAGGTTAGGTAAGGAGGGGTCTCAACCAGGGTGATCCTGCCCCCGCCCCAGGACACTGGCTGCTGTCTGTGGACATTTGTGGTTGTCACGACTTGGGGAGGAGATGCACCTGGCATGGAGTAGGTGGAGGCCAGGGACGCTACTCAGCACCCTGCAGTGCCCAGGACGGCCCCACCCCAGAAAGCAATTCAACCCCAATGTCCACAGTGCCCGGGGGAGAGATCCTGTGTTCATTACTTTGGGGAAAAAGTTGAATCCTCTCCCTGCTCACATCAGACACCAGAATAAGCTCCCGATGGGGTAGACAGTAGAAACCAGGAGGACCCCAGCTCCTGGGACTCACCTCCTGTCTCCCTCCCCACTCAGGGTGCGGATTTTAATGTGTGCAGCCTCCTGGGACCTCAGCAGGGAAGCGGGTCATGGGACATAGTCTCTTGGGGGTCTGTGGAATCCCCTAACCTGGGGAGGGGGTCTCAATCAGGGGTGATCCAGCCCCCAGGAGACACTGAGCAATGTCTGGGAACATTTACGGTTGTCACGACGTGGGGGTGCTGCTGGCATGGAGTGGGTGGAGGCCAGGGACGCTACTCAGCACCCTGCAGTGCCCAGGATGGCCCGACTCCAGAGAACGATCCGGCCCCAATGTCCACAGTGCCCGGGTGGGAGAGACCTTGCCTAGGAAGATAAGGAGCAAGTAATGTTCTGGAAGAGTGTTATCTAATAGAAAGAGAATGTGAGCCACATATATAATTTAACATGTTCCAGGAGCAATATTTAAAAAGTAAAAAAGAAACAGGTGACATTAATTTTAATAATATATTTCATTTGAACCCAATATATCCCAATTCTTACCATTTTAACATGCAGTCTATGTATTTCTATTTTTCTTTTTTTATTTATTGAGACAGAGTCTGTCTCCATCACCCAGGCCGGAGTGCAGGGGCGTGATCTTGGCTCACTGCAACCTCCACGTCCCGGGTTCAAGCAATTCTCTTGCCTCAGCCTCCCAAGTAGCTGGGATCATGGGCACCCACCACCACGCCCAGCTAATTTTTGTGTTTTTAGTAGAGATGGGGTTTCGCCATGTTGGCCAGGCTGGTCTCGAATTCCTGACCTCAGGTGATCCTCCCTACCTCAAATGATCCCCCTGCCTCAGCCTCCCAAAATGCTGGGATTACAGGCGTAAGCCACCGAAGACTGGCTAAATATATGTATGTATTTTATTTTATTTTATTTTTAGACATAGGGTCTTGCTCTGTTGCCCAGGCTGGAGTGCAGTGGCAAGATCATGGCTCACTGCAACCTTCACCTCCCAGGTTCAAGCAATTCTCCTGCCTCAGCTTCTGAAGAAGCTGGGACCACAGGTGTGTGCCACCACACCTGGCTAATTTTTTTTTTTTTTTTTTTGAGACAGAGTCTCACGCTGTCGCCCAGGCTGGAGTGCAGTGGCGTGATCTTGGCTCACTGCAAGCTCCGCCTCCCAGGTTCACGCCATTCTCCTGCCTCAGCCTCCCTAGTAGCTGGGACTACAGGCGCCCGCCACCATGACCGGCTAATTTTTTGTATTTTTAGTACAGACGGGGTTTCACCGTGTTAGTCAGGATGGTCTCGATCTCCTGACCTCGTGATCTGCCCGCCTCGGCCTCCCAAAGTGCTGGGATTACAGGTGTGAGCCACTGCGCCTGGCCACCTGGCTAATTTTTAATTTTTTTGTAGAGATAAGGTCTTGCTACATTGCCCAGGCTGGTCTCAAATTCTGGGGCTCAAGCAATCCTCCTGCCTCAGCCTCCCAAGTGTTGGGACTACAGGTGTGAGTCACTGTGCCTGGCCATGACTCTACTTTTTCATCAGTTTTACAAAATGCACCTACAGATCAAGGGTTGCTGATAGAAATTAAATGTCCAGGTCGGGTGCAGTGGTTCATGCCTGTAATCCTAGCACTTTAGAAGGCCGAGGCAGGGGGATCATGAGGTCAGGAGTTCAAGACCAGTCTGGCCAACATAATGAAACCCCTTGTCTACTAAAAATACAAAAATTAGCTGGGCATGGTGGTGCATGCCTGTAATCCCAGCTATTCAGGAGGCTGAGGCAGGAGAATTGCTTGAACCTGGGAGGTGAAGGTTGCAGTGAGCCGAGATTGCACCACTGTACTCCAGCATGGGCGACAGAGCAAGACTCCATCTCAGAAAAAAAAAAAGAAATTAAATGTCCAAATCTGTGAGAGAACAATATACACCAGATTTTGAACATTTAGTATGGAAAAATTGGATTGGATGTGAAATAGCTCATTAATAATTTTCAAGACCAGGCCTGGTGGTTCTCACACCTGTAATCCCAGTGTTTTGGGAGGCTGAGGTAGGAGGATTGCTTGAGCCCAGGAGTTTGAGACCCACTTGGGCAACATAGAGAGATCCCATCTCTACAAAAAATTTTAAAAACTACCTGGGCATGGTGGCATGTACCTGTAGTCCCAACCACCTGGGAGGCTGAGACAGGAGGATCACTTGAGCCCAGGAGGTTGAGGCTATAGTGAGCTAGGATTGCACCACTGTACTCCAGCCTGGGCAGTGGAGTTTTATTTTTGTTTCAGACAAAAATAAAAACAAAAACAGGAGGGGCCCAGAATGGACTGAAGTTTGCTGAAGCCTGTTCTAGGCCAACACTATCCATGGAACATTTGCAGTGGTGGATAAGTTCTCTGCCTGTGCTGTGCAGTGTGCTGATCACTAGCTCCGTGAGGCTGTTGAGCCTTTGAATTGGGACGAGTGTACTCAGAAACTGATTTTTAAAATTCATTTATTTTATTATTTTATTTTTTTGAGACGGAGTCTTTCTCTGTACCCCAGGCTGGCGTGCAGTGGCGTGATCTCGGCTCACTGCAACCTCCGCCTCCTTGGTTCAAGCCATTCTCCTGCCTCAGTCTCCCGAGTAGCTGGGATTACAGGCACGCACGCCCAGCTAATTTTTGTATTTTTAATAGAGATGGCATTTCTCCATGTTGGCCAGGCTGGTCTCAAACTCCTGACCTCAGGGGATCCGCCCATCTTGGCCTCCCAAAGTGCTGGGATTACAGGCATGAGCCACCGCGCCCGGCCAAGAAACTGATTTTTAATGTTACTTAGTTTTAGTAATTTGAAATTTAAACTTAAACCACCACATGTGGCTAATGGCTACAATATCGGACAGTGCAATCCAGCATGTTCTAGACCGGGGGCAGCTGCTGGGTTACAGAGCACAGATCCAGAGTGTTCTAGACTGGAGCCCAGCTACCATATGGGACGTAGACTGTTCTAGACCAGAGAGGTCAATTACTGTATCATGGACAGCATAGGTCTAGAATATTCTAGACCCAGGGTCTGGATCATATCGGACAGCACAAATCTAGAGTCTAGAATCTAAAGCAAGAGAAAGGCAAGATTTAAATTTACACTTAAGGGCCGGGCGCAGTGGCTCACTCCTGTAATCCCAGCACTTTGGGAGGCCGAGGGGGGTGGATCACCCAAGGTCAGGAGCCTGGCCAACATGATGAAATCCATCTCTACTAAAAATACAAAAATTAGCCGGGCATGGTGGCACATGCCTGTCATCCCAGCTACTTGGGAGGCTGAGACAGGAGAATCACTTGAACTCAGGAGGTGGAGGTTGCAGTGAGTGGAGATCACGCCATTGCACTCCAGACTGGGCGATAGAGTGAGACTCTGTCTCAAAAAATTTTTAAAAATTAAAAAAATAGATAAATTTGTGGCTCACGCCTGTGGTCCCAGCACTTTGGGAGACCGAGGTGGGCAGATCACCTGAGGTCAGGAGTTCGAGACCAGTCTGGCCAACATGGTGAAACTCCGTCTCTACTAAACATACAAAAAATTAGCTGGGCATGGTGGCAGGCGCCTATAATCCTAGCTACTCAGGAGGCTGAGGCATGAGATTGGCTTGGATTCAGGAGGTGAAGTTTGCGGTGAGCCGAGATCACGCCATTGCACTCCAGCCTGGGCAACAGAGCGAGATTCTGTCTCAAAAAAAAAAAAAAAAAAAAGGGAGGGGAGACCAGGCTGGGTGCTGTGGCTCATGCCTGTAATCCCAGCACTTTGGGAGGCAGAGGTGGGATTACCTAAGGTCAGGAGATCGAGACCAGGCTGATTAACATGGTGAAACTCCGTCTCTACTCAAAATACAAAAAATTAGCCAGGCATGGTGTCGCGTGCCTGTAATCACAGCTACTCAGGAGGCTGAGGCACACGAATCGCTTGAACCCGGGAGACGGAGGTTGCAGTGAGCCGAGATTGTGCCACTGCACTCCAGCCTGGGCGACAGAACAAGACACTGTTTCTAGAAACAAAGAAACAAACAAACAAACAAATATTTCTTAAACTATTTAAAAGTACTACACACGGCCGGGCACGGTGGCTCACGCCTGTAATCCCCGCACTTTGGGAGGCTGAGGCGGGTGGATCACCTGAGGTCAGGAGTTCAAGACCAGCCTGGCCAACATAGTGAAACCCCGTCTCTACTAAAAATACAAAAATGAGCCGGGCGTGGTGGTGGGCACCTGTGATTCCAGCTACTCAGGAGGCTGAAGAAGGAGAATCGCTTGAAACTGGGATATGGAGGCTGCAGTGAGCCGAGATTGCACCACTGCACTCCAGGCTGGGCGATACAGTGAGACTCAGTCTCGAAAATAAATAAATAAATAATAAATAAGTAAAAGTAGTACACACACTTACAGAAAAGTGCATGAAACATAAATACTTACAAAACAAACATCCTGATGACCACTACCCAGCCGGTCCTCTGGAATCCACCCCATGCCGTATTACTAAGCCCAACTCTTTTCTTTCTGCTGAAGGAGCCACTATCTGGTTGTCGGTAACACGCCTTTGCTTTTCTTCGTGGTTTTACTGGATACAGTGGTGTGCCCTTGGAATTCCAGCTACTCAGTAGGCTGAGGCAGGAGGATCGCTTGAGCCCAGGAGCTTGCGACCAGCCTGGGCAACATAGTGACACCCCATCTGAAAAAAAACAAAATTCTCTATGGTTTTGCCATTTATAAATATGTCCCTAAAGCACTAGGTGTTTTTTTTTTTTTGCCTGTTTTCCTTTTAACCTAACATAAATGGGATAATAGTCTGTCATCTTTTATGTGTGCCTTCTTGTTTCACTGTTTTTTCTTTTTCTTTTTCTTTTCTTTCTTTTTTTTTTTTAAGAGACGGAGTCTTGCTGTGTCACCCAGGCTGGAGTGCAGTAGCGCAATCTCGGCTCACTGCAAGCTTGGCCTCCCGGGTTCACGCTATTCTCCTGCCTCAGCCTCCCGAGTAGCTGGGACTACAGGCACCCGCCACCACGCCCGGCTAATGTTTTTGTATTTTTAGTAGAGATGGGGTTTCACCATGTTAGCCAGGATGGTCTCGAGCTCCTGACCTGGTGATCCACCCATCTCGGCCTCTCAAAGTGCTGGGATTACAGGCGTGAGCCACCACACCCGGCCTTTTTTTTTTTTCTTTTTTGAGACAGACTCTTACTCTGTCACCCAGGCCAGAGTGCAGTAGCGTGATCTTGGCTCACTGCAACCTCTGCCTCCCTGATTCAAAATCTTGTGCCTGAGCCTCCCAAGTAGCTGGGATTATAGGCGTCTGCCACCACACCCAGCTAATTTTTTGTATTTTTAATAGAGATAGGGTTTCATCATGTTAGCCAGGTTGGTCTCAAACTCTGACCTCAAGTGATCTGCCTGCCTCCGCCTCCCAAAGTGCTGGGATTACAGGCACGAGCCACTGGGCCTGGCCTGTTTTACTTAATTTAATGATGACGAGATTTATCTATGGAAGGCCGGGCGCAGTGGCTCACACCTGTAATCCCGGTGCTTTGGGAGGCCAAGACCAGAGGATTGCTTGAGCCCAGGAGTTCCAGACCAGCCTGGGCAACATAGCAAGACCCCATCTCTACAAAAAAATAAGAAAACTAGCCAGGTGTGGTGGCTTGTGCCTGGCGTCCTAGCTATTGAGGAGGCTGAGGTGGGAGGAGCATTTGAGCCCAGGAGATTGAGGATGCAGTGAGCTATTGATGCAAAGCAGACAAGGGCTTAGCCTGGGAGGGTTCTTGGCTTCACCTGGGAAAGAATTCAAGGGTGAGCTGGTGATGTTAGCAGCTTTTATTGCAACAGCAGTGTAAACGGCAGTGGAGGTCCTGCTCTCTGCAGAGCAGGGCCACCCCATGGGCAGTGAGCCCCGAGCAGAAGTTCAGAGGCAGTTCTGCAGGTATATTTGTACCCACTTGGTTTTGTTTTTTGTTTATTTTTTGAGACAGAGTCTCGCTGTTTTTTGAGGCAGTATCTTGAGACACTCCCACCCACGCCATGACAGTTTACAAACGCCATGGCAATGTCAGGAAATTATCCTAAAAGTGGAGGACCCTTCAGCTCCAGGAACTGCCCACCCCTTTCCCAGAAAGCTCGTGAATCATCCATCCCTTGTTTAGCATGTGATCAAGGAGTAACCATAAAAATAGCCAACAAGCAGCCCAGGCGGCTGCTCTATGCAGTAGCCATTCTTGATTACTTTCTTTTCTTTTCTTTTTCTTTTTTTCTTTCTTTTTTTTGAGATGGAGTCTCACTCTGTCATCCAGGCCAGAGTGTGATGGCGTGATCTCAGCTCACTGCAACCTCTGTCTCCCGGGTTCAAGTGATTCTCTTGCCTCAGCCTCCCGAGTAGCTGGGATTACAGGTGCCCACCACCACGCCCAGCCAATTTTTGTATTTTTAGTAGAGACGAGGTTTCACTATGTTGGTAAGGCTGGTCTCGAACTCCTGACCTCAGGTGATCTGCCCATCTTGACCTCTGAAAGTGCTGGAATTACAGGCGTGAGCGCACCACGCCCGACCCCCACTTTTAATTACATTTAAATTAAGGGACAGATTATGCAGAAATTTCTAAGAAAAGAGTGGGACGTTTCGGGTCATTGGGTCATTGCCATGGAAAGGCGGTAACTTCTAGGTGTTGCTGTGGCAACGGTAAACGGACATGGCACCCCGGTGGGCATGTCTCAGGGAGAGCTGCTTCGACTCCATCCCTGTTTTAGCTAGTCTTCAGTTTGGTCCCGTATCTCAGCCCCGCCTCCTGAGTCGAGTCTCACCTCCTACCTCACTATGATCGCACCACTGCACTGCAGCCTGGGTGACAGAGTGAGACCCAGTACAAACAAAAAAAAAAAAAGAAGAAGAAGAGGAAAGAAAGAATCACGTGTGTTGCTGTGTGTATCAGCGTCTTGGGCGTTTTCACTGCTGTCTAGTATTCCAGGATGCAAATACGTCATTTACTCATCCATTCCCCTGTTGGGGGACACTTGGGTTGTTTCACATGTCTGTTGAGACAAATAGAGATCCTCAAGGGTGTTCTTTGGTGGACACACGTCACACTTCTCTCAAGTGTATCCCCAGGATCATCAGCCTCTGTGGCTAACACCCACCTGCTTGGCAAAGGTGAGACCTGTGGCGTGTGCCACCTTTTCCCAGGAATGCCTGCAGAAATGGAGCCAGCCTTTTGGAGTGAGAATGGGAGGCTGGTGAGGGGCGGATGGGGGCTGCTGGGGAGGAAGACCCCCCGGCCTGCCAGCCACGTCTGAGCACGCTCGCTCATCTGAGCTCCTGCTGACAGCTCCTCTGCAGGGAGCTGAAGCACGAGGTTCGCCCTGTGCTGGAAAAGCCCACCCAGGCGGCTCACGTGCCTGCACACGCCCGCACGAGCACAGCCTGGGAGTCGGGGAGGAGCTGGGTCACGTGAGACACCGAGACAGCCACCATCTCTCCTGTGCCCTGCTTCCCCCACCCAAGAAAACACCTCTGTGTGTGCGTGTGCGTGTGTGCATGTGTGTGTGTGTGTGTGCGTGTGCGTGTGTGTTGGGGGACAGTACGAGTGGACCCTTCTGTCTCTTTATAAGCCAGGAGGGGAGTGATCCAGGTCATTTGCTTGACTTTCCACTTCTACCCCCTCATCCTGGCACAGGGGAGCCCCCCCCACCAACCGCCCGGCCCAATACTGCTGCTTTCTGAAGAGAGGGCAACCCCCCCGTTTCCGGTTCCCGCACAAGTGTGACAGCAGTGTCCATGGGGGACGTAGTTTAATCAACTCTCAGCATTCTGGAATAGGATCCGAAATTGAATAACAGAATCCCAGAATAGATCCTGGAATGGACCGTGGGACCCTGGAATTGAGGCTCAGATTCCAGGGGAAGCTGCTGGCTGGGCCGTCACAGCCCCGGACACCACTTCCCATCCCCAAAGCCAGAGCCTGGGGTTCCTGGAGACAGAGAGCCCCCCAACACTGGGACAGTGCGGGGAGGGGCAGAGGGTCCAGCTTCTGTCCCTTGGCCAGTGAGGGAGGGGCCAGGACCTTTGGGACTTTGCTGTCTCTTTCTTTACAAGAGTCTTGGGGGCTGAGGTACATCCCAGCACCCTCAGCCACCCTGCTGCTCATCTGATTGCCCTGGAAAAAGATGAATTTGTGTGTCTGCGTGTCCTTCCCTGCTCAGACGTGGCAGCTGCCTTGAGTAATGCTGCCCTCCTGAAACCCCTCTCTGTGCAGGGTCACAGAGGTGGTCCCCTGGCAGGACCCCTACCTCCCCTGCTTACCTCCATGCTGCAGGACTTGGCCCAGAGTGAAACCAAACCTGAGAATGGGCAAGGGGCCTTAAGACGCCCAGTGTGACAGTTTCACCTCCCCAGACCTCAGTTTTGTCATCTATAAAATGGGGCCCTAGAAGTAGATTTTTGTTTTGTTTTGTTTTGCTTTTTTGAGATGGAGTCTCGCTCTGTCGCCCAGGCTGGAGTGCAGTGATTTGATCTCAGCTCACTGCAACCTCGGCCTCCTGGGTTCAAGCAATTCTTCTGCCTCAGCCTCCCGAGTAGCTGGGATTACAGGTGCCCGCCACCACGCCCAGCTACTTTTTGTATTTTTAGTAGAGATGCGGTTTTACCGTGTTGGCCAGGCTGGTCTCGAACTCCTGACCTCAGGTGATCCGCCCGCCTCAGCCTCCCAAAGTGCTAAAGTGCTGGGGTTACAGGTGTGAGCCACCACACCCGGCACCTAGAAGTGTTTGGAGGACTCTGTAAGGTGAGGCCTGTCAGGTGCTGAACGCAGAACCCGAGCTCGGCACACAGGCACAGAATAAATGAATGAATAATGAATAAATGAATGAACCATCCTGGGCACGTCAAGCTGCGAGACTCGGGGCGTCGTGTCATCTTTCTGGGCCTGTGCAGACACCAAATTGTAAGACACTGCCTGGCACCAGCTCTTGGGTGACTTCCCGTGCCAGGCACTGTGCCCGGCATGCTCTTGGCTGATGGGGATGGAGCCTGGGTTTTGCTTTCCGAGGAGTCTACAAACCCGTGTATCATTTCCGCTGTCATTTGTGGACCCTGGGCTAAGGGTCTTGGTGGGGAACGGAGGGTCACAAAGCCCAGTGCCCTTGTGCCCCTGCCTCCCACCGGAGCTACCCCAAGTGAGGGGCAGTGTGTGTGTTTAGTGGGGAGGGGTCGTAATCAAGGTAATGCCTGGGCAAGACAATGGAAGCAGATGGAGAGAGAGCACGGAAGACTTCAGGGAGGAGGTGGCGTTTGAGGGGTAAGGATGGGGTGCAGCGGGGGGGCATTCTGTCACCAGCCACGTTCAGGGGGCCATGGCAGGAGGAGCGGGGAGGAATGACTGGGGCTGAGCAGCAAAGGGCCCTCAAATGCCAGGATCAAGGGCTGAGCCTCTACCCAGAGAGCAATAGGGAGCCACAGCAGCGTTTAGAGCAGGGGAGGGGCTTGGCCTGGGTGTTTCAGAGAGGCTGGACTGGGGCCTAGGTGGGAGGGGAGGAAGGTCAATGGGTGTCTGGGGCAGCCCAGATAAGGGGTCCACCTTCCTTCCTTCTCTCCACACCACTTGGAAATAACCCATCTGGGGCTTCCACTAAATCTCTTTTTTGAGACGGAGTATCACTCTTATTGCCCTGGCTGGAGTGCAATGGCACAATCTTGGCTCACTGCACCCTCTGCCTCCCGGGTTCAAGTGATTCTCCTGTCTCAGCCTCCCGAGTAGCTGGGATTACAGGCGTGCACTACCGCACCTAGCTAATTTTTTTGTATTTTTAGTAGAGTCAGGGTTTCACCATGTTGGCCAGGGTGATCTCAAACTCCTGACCTCAGGTGATCCACCTGCCTCGACCTCTCAAACTGCTGGGGTTACAGGCGTGAGCCACCGCGCCCGGCCCCTCCTCTGAACCTCTACTCTTCCAAAGGCACAACTTTGCAGATCCCAGAGACTCCTTGGCTGCCCCAGCCTCACTGCAAGACACTCCTCCTGCAGTCGTTCCCATTCCCCACCCCCCAAGGGGCCTCAGTTTCCCCATCTCTAGCATACACAGGTCAGACAGAAAGGACTGTTTCTCGGCCAGCCAGTGCAAGCCCACCCATGCCCACAGTGCCAAAACGCTCCCCAGCCCACAGGACCCCTTGGTTGGAGGGATGTCTAGGTCCTTAGGACACCTCTCCCTTCCCCCTCTCCCTTTTTTGGAGATAGGGTCTGGCTCTGTCGTCCACGCCGGAGTGCAGTGGAAGCGATCATAGCTCACTGTGGCCTCAAACTCCTTGGGTTCAAACGATCCTCCCTCCTTGGCCTCCCGACCTCTCCCTTCTTTCTGGTCTTGGTTTGCCCATCTGTAAAATGGAAATGCATGTTTTCATCTCATTAAGTTGTCTTAAGACTAAACGGGTCAGCAGATGTGGGTGTTGCTCCAACATGAAAAATTGTTTCCAATCGTTCCAAACTCCGACTCCTACTCCAAAATTCACAGTGAATTTTCCATCTTCAGTGCAGGCCCAGGACAGCCTTTGGCTCTTCACTCTCCTCTACCCTCAGCTCTCCCAGCTCCAACCCTGACCCCATGGGAGAGTTTGTGTCTGGCTCTGTCTCCCGCTCCGCCAGGCTGGTGAAGGGTCCTTCCTGGAGTTCCAAAATTGAACTCAGCCTTGGGGGCCCCAGAACCAGAGAGTCATGGGGCACAGCAGGAATACTGCTGAAGAAACGGAGAGGAAGGGAAGGGTCAGGGAAGGGACGCAGCCATGGGGAGCCAGAGAAGGTGGAGGAGGGAGGGAGTGCACTCGGCAGAGACCTCGGTGGGACAGATGGAGAGAGGGAGCCGGGAGGAGGTGGGCAGAGCCAGATGGACGGGCAGGGGCGACAGGAGGGGTGGGGTGTGGGGAGACCCAGATCCCCGCCTGGCACGCCTCCTCCCGGCTCGGGCGGGCAGCGCGGGCAGGGCCCGCCTGGGCGTCGGGCGCAGGGCGCGCGGCGCGGGGCCCGAGCGTGCAGTGCGGCGGGTGCGCGCCTGTGCGCCCGGGGCGGCCGGGCGGGCGGGCGGCGGCACGTGGATGCCAGCCTGGCGCGCGTCTCCAGGCCGGTGGGTAAGGCGGGCGCCGGGCCGCGGGGTGGGGACGGCCGGGCCGCGGAGCTCGGCTTTAGAGTGGAGGCCTGGAGAGGAGGGGGCTACCCAACTGGCTTCACTGGACCAGACCAGGACCCCCTCTCCCCGGCCGACCCTCTCCCCGAGCTGACCCAGCGGTGGGGGGAAGGGACCTCCCAGTAGGAGGCGGAAGGTCCCAGGCTCTGTGGCGGGTGGGGAGATGGGGAGCAGGTACACCAGCCCCCCAACCCCAGAACAAGGTGGGGGTGGAGGGTTCGGTGATGGGGGCAGCTTCTCTCCCCGCGGCCGCCCCTCCCTCCCTCCCTCGTCCATCTCCAGAAGATTATATTTAAATATCTCTTTTGTGCAAGGCAGGAGCTGGGCTCGCCCCTAAGAGGCGGTTTCCATGGCAACAACAATTGCCAGCTTCCGTGTGGTGAATCAGCGTTGCCATGGCAACCCCATCCTCATCTGCCCAAGGTGCTGGGAGGGGGGAGGAGGTGAGGGCCAACGGAGGTGGGGTGGGAGGGGTGGGGGGAGCAGGAGTCTGGAGCTCCTGCAGGTGCCCCCCCATCTCTCCCCACCTCCCCTGGCACCCCCCCGCTTCCAGCCCAGAAGCTGGTCCCATCTGGTTGAAACCATCTCCCCTCCTGCCTCCAGCCTAGCAGGGTGTGGTACCCAGGTGGAAAGGGCCCCGGTGTGTATGCATGGGTGATGTGGGGTGGGAAAGGGGTCCAGCTGGCTGGGTGGGGGAAGAGCATGGAGGTTTTCCTCTCCTAGGTGATCAGGGTCCCTCTGAGGGTGCGGCTGGGCGGCAGGAAGGTTGGGCTGGGAGGATTGGGGGCACAGGATCAGGGAGGCAGGGGCCTCTTGGTTTCTGGGGCCCCAAAGACTGAGTTCAAATTGAGGAAAGCATATGTGCCCGGGACATACACTCAGGAAGGAGGGTGTCAGAATGGGAGAGGGTCTTAGAGAGGGGAGGGGACCCAGAGATGAGGAAGGGCCTCTGAAGCAGGAGAGGCTCAGCGAGAGGAGGGAAGCTGAGGGGGTGGGAGGTGGAAATCCAGAGGGGTCTCTGAGGAGGGGAGTGCAAAATAAGGGGTTGCTGAGGGTGGAAGAGTGGGCACGGAGCTGGAACGGGTCTTAGAGAAGGTGTCAGATCACGAGGGACAGAGCTCAGTGGGGAGACTTTGGGGGTCCCAAAATGGGGAGGAGGCATTATTTATGGCAGTGGGTGGACAGATCACTGAATCTGGAGTCCAGAAACTCTTCACTCACCATGGCCTTACACAAATAACTTCTCTCTTAGACAAATAACAGAAATCTCAATGTTGACATCTGTAGAAAGGGGTGAAAATTGCACCTCTCTCTGAAGCTTGTTGGGCAGCTATGCTGTGATTAGAAAACCTGGCATTTGGCCGGGTGCAGGGGCTCACGCCTGTAATCCCAGCAATTTGGGAGGCTGAGGTGGGCGGATCACGAACTCAGCAGATCGAGACCATCCTGGCCAACATGGTGAAACCCCATCTCTACTAAAAATACAAAAAAAATTAGCTGGGCGTATTGGTGCGTGCCTGTAGTCCCAGCTGCTTGGGAGGCTGAGGCTGGAGAATTGCTTGAACCCAGGAGGTGGAGGCTGCAGTAAGCCGAGATCACGTCACTGCATTCCAGCCTGGCAACAGAGTGAGAGTCCGTCCCAAGAAAAAAAAAGAAAAAAAGAAAAGAAAAAAAAGAAAACCTGGCACTTTTTCAAGCGTATTCTCTGCTGAAACTCAAAAGTCAGAAGATCAGAAAGAGCACTTTGGAACCCATAGGACTCAGGGGATGTGGGAATCTATTTCAAGTTTGTCTGACTTGGAAAAAGGTCTGAGAGTAGCACTCATTCCCATTCCAGACGCCTTTCTGTGTTGGTGGAAGTTGGCCACTTCCTTCTGGCCCATTCTGTTCAGCAGGTTTCTCCAATTCCTCCATGTGTCCTTCCCCATGTGGGGAGATGCCGTGGTTCCCTGTCTGGAGAGAGACAGAGCAAGACATAGACACTTACAGCCTGAGGGAGGGGGAGGAAGGAGCCCAGAAGAGTGGGAAGAGTCCCTGCATGGGGGCTTTTAAGTTGGGTTTTGAAGGTTGAGTGGGAGTTTGCCACAGACATCAGGTTGGGAGAAGGATTGTGTCCCAGGACCAGTGGAGATGCAAATGCCTCCCCAACTCTCACATCCCTGGAGCCTGTTCTCAACGATCCAAAATAGCTCATACCTAGGACTTGGTATGTTGTGAGAGTTGGTGCCAGTGAGAATTTTTTTTTCATTAAATATCATTTTCAATGCCTGGGGTGGGGGACAAAAGTGTCTAGAACAATGAATCCAGATGGCAGGCTGGTCCACTCAGGTATGTCCCCACCCAAAGCTCCTGGCATGACTCCACCCAAAGCTCCTGGGAGATGTGGCTAAATGTAGCTACTTTGGTGTATCAGTCAGCACTGCTGAGTAACAAACTACTCCAGTCATTGTATTTGTTCTCGATTCTGCAAAGCTTGGTCTGGGCTCAGCTGGACGGCTCTTCTGTTGGGCTCTCCTGGGGTCGCTCAAGCAGCTGCAGTCAGCTGAGACTTGACTGGGCTTAGCTGGGTCAGGGTGGCCTCACTCCCCTGAGGTGGCTGTCAGAGAGGCCTCTGTCTCCATGAGGCCCCTCCTCCTCCCCTACTGAGGAGGAGGGGCCTCCTCCTGGGCCTATCCACCTGGCAGTCTCAGAGTTCCAAGAGTGGAAGCCACAAGGTCTCTTGAGGCTTAGGCTCAGAACTCCCGCAACTTAACTTCCACCACATTCTATGGGTCACAGCAAGTCACTTGGCCAAGTTCAGGTGCCAGGAGTGGGAAAATAGACTCTAGTTCTTGATGGTAGGAACTGCAAAGTCACATCGCATAAAGGGACTGGAGGAATTGGGCCTATCACATTTGGGGAAGCAAGGAGGCTTCCTGGAGGAAGGGATATTGTTGGGTTTTGAGAGCTAAGAGTTCGCCACACAGTTTCCGCTGTAGGTGGGACAGTGTGTAATTTCTTTGACTGGGGTGTTAGTTGGGTGGTGGGGTGCTGAGGGCTGGTGGTGGGAGGTGGGCAGGGCTGGCCTGCAGAGCTCAGGCAAAACCCCCCGCCTGCCACACCCCCACTGCTAAGCTTGACTTTTCCCTTCCCCCTCTCTCTGCAGATGGCGCGGCCAATCCAGGTGAAGCCTGCGGACAGTGAAAGCCGCGGAGGTAGTTGTCATCTCTCCGTGGCTGCCAGGCTGGGGGTTGGCGGAGGAATGGGAGAAGAAGGAAAATCTCTTCCTTCCTCTCTCCTGCAAAAGGGGCAGTGGCCGAGGCCTGTGGATCTGGAACTGGCCTCCCTGCCCCAAAGCATGCAGTAGTCGCATGCCTGCTCACACACCTTTTGGTGGGGGGAGAAGCAGGTTCCAGAGAGCAGAAGGGGCTATGTCCATAGGCCCCAAGGGAGGATGGGGGGTCTAGCCAGGTCCAGCTGCCTTCTCCTGAGTTTGAAATACTCCACTCCCTTCAGGGTGCAATAACTGGGGGGCTTCAGACACAGACAATGGGGGCCTGAAGGGCTGTGGATTGCTCTCTGGGGTCTCCGTGTGGAAATGTGTGTGTTTATGTGTGCATGCTTAAATGTGTGTGTATATGACTGTGCACACCTGGCATGCCTGTGTGCAGATGTGTGTGAGTACGTGCACATGTGCATTTGTGTTTCTGCAGCTGGTGCACATAAGCGCACATGTGTGGTATGCAGTGGGGATGCCTTCCTGCCTGTGTGCATGTGCGTGTGCCCAGCCCGCGCATGGGTGTGTGTGTTTGCACATGTGTGCCTGACTGTTGGAGGCTGGGCATGTGGGCAGACATGCAGGCTGGGGCCAGTGTTGTCTGTGTGGGGCTGGACCTTGGTGTCAGGGTGTGCCCATGGTGGGGGCATACTCAGCTGTTCCCATGGGACCCAAATCTAGTCATTCTTGGAAATTTGTATATTTCCTCTCCATCTCAAGTGGAGACTGAAGGAGGGCAGCCAGATTTGGTTGAGTGGAGGCATGGAGCAGGAGTGTTAGGATACCTAGGTATATGTAGGAGTCCGGTAAAGGCCCTCTGGGATGGGAGCCCCTTTCACACTCTCCACCCTGGCTGCCAGCGTGGGACAGGGAGTAGCGAGGTGGGGTCTGTATGTCTCCATTTTTGTCTCTATTTCTCTGTCTCTCTCTCCATCTCCCTCTGTATCTCCTTCTCCTTTTTCTCTTCTCTTGTCTCTTCATCCCTCTTATTCTCTCTGTCTCTCACAGTCTCTTTCGCGCGCACTCTCTCTCTGATCTGTCTCTCTCTCTCCCTGATTCTCAGTCTCTCTGCTGGTTTCTCTCTCTCCCTCCCACCCCCATGAGTGACAGCTGCCGAGAGCGGTTTCCATAGTAACCCAGCTCACCGTCCCTAGGAGATGAAGCCACCACGTTCCCCATTACCAGGGAGCATGCAGTTACCCAAGGGGGCAGAGCTCACACAGGAGAGGCTGGCCCAGCTCCGGCCTCAGACCAGGTTCCAGCCCAGCCCCACCCAGCAGGGGGTCCAGCCTGCCAAGGCCCCTGGTCCACTGAGCACGTGAACCCTCACTCCACTCCACAGATGGTGACTGCCTGGCCCCTCTTGATCCCGACAAAGTTGGGCAGGGGCCTCTGCTGGGCACCGTGAAAGTGCGGGGACCATCAGTGCCCACCTCCGCCTGGCAGGTCCGGGGAGCAGACAGAAAGACAGACAGACAGACAGACAGGGACCCAGGCCCGGCGAGGCAGCTCCTAGCCCTAGTACTCGGTGCGGGCTCTCTGAGTGCACCAGAGGGAAAGGTCATCTCCGCCTGGAGGGGGAGCAGTGGAGCAGAGACCCCAAAAGACTGCAGGGAGGGCATTCCAGGCGGGGGCGCCACCTGGGCAAAGGCCGGGAGATGGGAGCGTGCAGGGCCCGTGGGAGGGTGGAGAGATCCGGGGCAGGGAAAGGGCGCGGCTGGGTCCTCCCTCGCACGCGCAGAACCGGAGCCGGCAGGGCCCGGGCGCCGCGTCTTCCTGCCCTGCCGCCTCCACTCTGCTGGAGGGAGGGAGGAATCCCGGAGGCCCTCCCGGAGGCCGGGGACTCGGCTGAGGTGGGTGTCGCCGCCCACAGGGGACCGGAAGCTGTTCGTGGGGATGCTGAACAAGCAGCAGTCGGAGGAGGACGTGCTGCGGCTGTTCCAGCCCTTCGGGGTCATTGACGAGTGCACCGTGCTCCGGGGGCCTGACGGCAGCAGCAAAGGTGACTGGCGGGGGCCGGGGCGGGACTGCGAGAGGGGCCGGGCTAGCTCTGGGGGCGGGGCCTGTGGGGAGGGTGGGGCCTGCAGCATGGGGAGGAGCTGGCTCTGGGGTGGGACCCTGGGGAGGGGCGGGGCTTCTCCAGGGGTGGAGTCTGTGGGTGAGGCTGCAGGGGCGGGGCCTTGGAGAGGGGCGGAATTGCAGGGGCGGGGCCTGGGGAGGGGATGGGGCTGCAGGGTGGGGAGGAGCTGCCTCTGAGGGCGGGGCCTGTGGGGCAGGGCCCTGGGGAGGGGTGGGGCTTCTCCAAAGGTGGGCCCTTGGGGAGAGGTGTGGCTGCAGGGGTGGGGAGGAGCTGGCTCTGAGGATGTAGCCCTGGAGAGGCCCGAGGCTTCTCCAGAGCTGAAGTCTGTGGGTGAGGCTGCAAGGGTGGGGTCTTGGGTAGGGGAGGTACTGCAGGGAGGGGTGAAATACGTAGAGTTAGGAGGGACTGGCTCCAGGGGGAGAGGCCCTGGGAAGGGTCGGGGCTGAGCATATAGGGGGTGGGGCTGGCCAGGTGGGGCGGGGCCAGGCCAATAGGAGGCTGGGGCTGGCTGGGAGAAGCTGGTTCACAGGGGTTGGGTGGAGCAGAGACTGGTCCCGCTTGATCCTACCTGCATGCTCTCTCTGCATGCTGGCTGTGGGGACGGGCCCTGAAGAGGGGCGGGGCTGCGGTGGGGTGGGCGGAGATGCAGAGGCGTGGCCTTGGGGAAGGGCAAGGCTTCTCCAGGGGCTGCTTATGGATGGGGATGCAGGGGCAGTACCTTGGGATGAGGCGGTGTCTGGTGGGAGGCGGGGGGGCTTCTCCAGGTGCTGCCTGTGAGTAGGGATGCAGGGGCGTGGCTTGTGATGGGGCGGGGTCTGGGGAGGGGCGGGGCTTCTCCACGGACAGAGTTACCTGTGCCCTGTGGTCTCAGATTCCTCCACCTGACTATTCGTAAAACTGTTTCCTCCTGGTTCTGTCTATGTGATTTGTCCATATGACTGACTGGTGGTCTCTGGTTGTGTCTGTCTGTCTATCTTCCTGCCTGAGAGTCCAAATGACGGTGTCTGGCGGTCTCTGTCCACAGAGCTCATCATGTGGGACCGACTCCACTCTGGTCTTTCTTACCTTACTAGAACTGAATGTGTCTGACGGTTTCAGACCATTACCTGGTTCTTCCTTTTTAAAATTGAGGGCTGGGCGTGGTGGCTCACGCCTGTAATCCCAGCACTTTGGGAGGCTGAGGCAGGTGGATCACGAGATCAGGAGTTCAAGACCAGCCTGGCCAAGATGGTGAAACCCGTCTCTACAAAAAATACAAAAATTAGCTGGGCGTGGTGGCAGGCGCCTGTAATCCCAACTACTCGGGAGGTTGAGGAAGAGCATTGCTTGAACCCGGGAGGCAGATGTTGCAGTGAGCCGAGATCACGCCACTGCACTCTAGCCTGGGTGACGGAGCAAGACTCTGACTCAAAAAAAGAAAAAAATTGAGATGTCTTCCACATCCTACCAAATTCACCCTTTAAAAATGTACAATGAAGTGCTTTTTTTTTCTATTCATAAAACCGTGCAACCATCACCACTATGTAATTCCAGAACATTCCACCCCCTCCCTCCACAATATGGCTGGCCCTTCCATAGTACTCTACCAGTCTGGAGCCAGGTGCAGTGGCCTCTGTATGTTCTATGGACTTTGTCGGTGGGACTGTGTTTCCATTCACCTGTGTCTGGTGGTCTCTGTGTGTGTGGCTGTCTGTCTGCATTAGCCTGGCTGGCTGTGTGGGTGACCAGGTCTTTGTCTAACTGTGGCTGTCTGTCTGTGTGATTCTCCTCCATTCTGACCCTTGATCTGGCTGATTGTCCAGCTGTCCGTCTGAGCAAACGGCTGGCTGTCTTTCTGTTATCAGTTCTCTCTGGCTGCATGTGTCTGACACTGGCCATGTAGGTCTCTGTGTCCCCTCTCCTGTGGCCCCCGCTCAGCCAGTCCTGTGACCCCATCACCCTCTACCTCTTCTTCTTCTCTTGGAGCAGGCTGTGCTTTCGTGAAGTTCTCCTCCCACACGGAGGCGCAGGCGGCCATCCACGCCTTGCATGGGAGCCAGACCATGCCGGTGAGTTGGAGCTGCCCTTGGCCGTGGGGGTGGGGGTGGGAAAGGGGTGAGGGGGACAGGGATGAAACAGGCCATATTCCTACCGTCGCTGTCATCCGGTAGCCCCTGGCTGTCCTTCAGAGGGGGCACAGGTGGAGAAAGAGGCGCAGTCCCTGGCTGTGGTCCCTGGAGTGGGTATACACGTGTGAGTGTGTGCAGATGTGGAGGTGAGTAGGCAAGCGAAGTGTATGTGTGTGCATGGATGTATTACAAGTGTGTGCGTGTGGGTGAGTGTGCATGTCTGGGTGTGAGTGTGCCCGAGACTGCATGCATGTGTGTGTGTGAGTGCGTGTTTGAGTGTGTCATTACTAGTAGGCGAGTGTTATGTGAGTGCTGTGTGCACGAGGGGTGTGCGTAAATATGTATGGATAAGTGTGCCATTGTGTGCTAGTGTAGAGATACTAGTGCGTGTGCGTGTATGAGAGTGTACATGTGTGTTTCTATGTGTGTGAGCGTGTGTGTGAGTATGCCTGGGCCACGGGGGAGGAAGCACATGTGTGTGCATCTGCAGGTGCATTTGTGGGCAGGTTTGTGTGTGTGTGTGTGTGTGTTTGTGTGTGTGCATGACTGTGAGTGTGTCAGTATTGTGGGTGATTGTGTACACGTTTGTGAGTATATGCAGGTCTGTGTGAGTATAGGTTGTGAGTGGGTGAGTGTGTATGTGTGTACATGTAAGGGTATCCTAAGGGGATGACACCTGGGTTGGATTTGCTGAGGCCAGGAGAGGCCCTGACAAAAAGAAAGGCTGGGAGGTGGCAACAGGTAGCCCAGAGGAGCCATAGAAGATGGGGCCGCAATGCGAGGCTGAGAAGCCTGGACTTTCTCCTAGGGCAGTGGGGAGCCACAGACGGTTTAGAGCAAGGGAGGAGACAGGCCAGGTCGGTTGCAAATATCCCTTTGGGGCTAATGTAGAGGATGGGCAGGGTGCAAGACTAGAGGCTGGGAGGCCAAAGAGGAGGCTAGGCCAAGGTCCAGCTGAGGTAGGAGGAGGCCTGAGCTGGGGCCAGGTGGACAGGGAGGAGGGCTGATCAGAAAACAGACATTAGGGTGAGAATGGATGGGGGGCCTGTTGACTCACTGGTTGAGGGAGGGGTGGGGATTGGGGACAGGTCCCAGAGTCTGCAGCAGTGAGAGGCTGGGGAGGACCAAGGAGGCACTGGGGACTGCCCTTCCCCCGAGGAAGGAGTCCCCAGAAGCCATTGTTCCTGCACCCACATCTCCGAATCTGCTACAAGGAAGATGGGACCTGAGAGGAACAAGCCACCTCTCTCAGCTCTTAAAACCCAGGGGAGGGGCTTAGTTCAGCACAAGGGCAAGTGTTCCCAAGCTCAGAGATGTCCCAGGACAGGGCTGGTAGGCGTCTGGAGGAGTGAGTTCTCTATCGGAGGAGGCATGTCAGCGAAGACAGGGAGGCAACAGGGTGCATCCTGTGGGAGCCAGCTCACCAGGGAGGAGCTGGTCGAAGGGGAAGATATTTTCCTTCTTGAGCCCCAGAGTCGGGGTGTGGGCTGGTTTGTGAGGGGTGGGAATGGCCTCCTGGCCCCTGCCTCAGGCCTCTCTTTTATTTTTTTGAGACAGAGTCTCGCTCTGTCGCCCAGGTTGGAGTGCAATGGGGCAATCTCAGCTCACTGCAATCTCCACCTCTCGAGTTCAAGCGATTCTTCTGCCTCAGACTCCCAAGTAGCTGGGATTACAGGCACGCGCCACCACACCTGGCTAAATTTTGTATTTGTAGTAGAGACGGGGTTTCACCATGTTGGTCAGGCTGATCTCGAACTCCTGACCTCAGGTGATCTGCCCACCTTGGCCTCCCAAAGTGCTGGGATTACAGGCATGAGCCACTGTGCCCGGCCACCAGGCTTCTCTTGTTACCGATATCAGGACCTGTTGCAGCATCCTGACTGCACAGACAGACACTCCCTGGCTCACCGCTGCTTCGACTGCCCAGGGCTGCCTGTTGGTGGATTTCAGCCCAGCCCTGTGGCACCTGGACAGCCATGGAGTGGGATGGCAGTCACATGGGTTTCTGTCTGTGCCCCAGCAAAGCAGGGCCCCCAGTCCCCACCAGTGGCTACTGTCCGCTGTCCACTGGGTGGATGGGCCACAGGTTCATCTGCCTGCAAAGGGCACAAAAATCTGGGGCTGGGGCTGGGCGTGGTGGCTGTAATCCCAGCACTTTGGGAGGTCGAGGCGGGCGGATCACTTGAGGTCAGGAGTTAGAGACCAGCCTGGCCAACATAGTGAAACCCCGTCTCTACTAAAAATAAAAAAAAAAATTAGCTGGGCGTGATGGCGGGCACCTGTAATCCCAGCTACTCAAGAGGCTGAGGCAGGAGAATCACTTGAACCTGGAAGGCAGAGGTTGCAGTGAGCCGAGATCGCGCCATTGCACTCCAGCCTGGGCAACAAGAGCGAAACTCCGTCTCAAAACAAAACAAAAAAAATCCGGGTCCGAACTGCCTGCTAGCTCCAGGGCATGGAGGACAGAGTCAGGATCATCTACTTGTCCCGCCTTGTTCCTCTCCTGTGGCTGGAGTCTCACCTGTTCTCAGGTGTGGGTGAGAATTGGAGGCTCACCCATCTGTGCCCCAGTTGTTCCTCTCTGGAGACTGGAGTTTCAGGTGTGGGGTGACAATGGCAGGTTCGTCCACCTGAGCCCACTGTTTTCCTTCGGAAGCTGGTTTCTCACCTGTTCTCAGGTGAGCGGAAGTCATAGGTGCCTCCAGCTGTGCCTCCCTGTTCTCCAGCGGCGGGATTCTCCATCTGTTTTGAGTGTGTGGCTGACAGTCAGGGCCCCCACCTGTGCCCCATCACAGCCTCCTAGGCCTGGGCGCTGCACCTGTGCAGATGCTGCTGGGCCCAGGATGCTGATCTCCACGCGGTCCTCGCTGTGGCCCTGGCTCCTGGGGTGGGGGCCCGTGGACATGGCTGACAGCCACTGGCATTACACCCCTCACCCAGGAGGCCTGAGCTAACATGAATCCAGGGACCCCAGAGTCCTGGCTACCTCCCAGCCCGTTTCCCTCCCTGCTCGCCGCTGCCCCTGCAGGGAGCCTCCTCCAGCCTGGTGGTCAAGTTCGCCGACACGGACAAGGAGCGGACGCTCCGGCGCATGCAGCAGATGGTGGGCCAGCTGGGCATCCTGACGCCGTCCCTCACATTGCCCTTCAGCCCCTACAGTGCCTACGCCCAGGCTGTGAGTGACCCAGTGACAGCTTCGGGGCTCCGGCTCCGTCTCTCTCAGTCTCTGTCTACTCTCTGTCGGGCTCCTGCCTCTCCCTCCATCTCCCTGACTCAGGGTCCTCTCCTGGCGTGGCTGAACCCCAACTCCAAATTGAGACCAAGCTCAGACCGAGCCCCTAAATCCAGAAGACTGAGCCCTAATCTCACAGTAACACCCAATCTTGGACCGAGCCCCAGAACCTGGCTATGCTCCACGTCTAAATTAGGCCCAATTCTGGCTGAACCTCCAAATCCAGACTGATCCCAAACTGAGACCTGACCTGATCAAGCTCCACCCTGGCTGAGACCTGATCCCAAGTTGAGCCCCAGCTCCTGACTGAACCCTGATCCCAGGCTGAGCCTCAATTTCTAACTAAACCCTCATCCTAGATGGAGCCTTGATCTCAGTCTGAGCCTCACTTCCTAACCGAGCCTTGATCCTAGATTGAGCCTTAGTCCCAGGCTGAGCCTCGCTTTTCTAACTGAGCCCTGATCCTAGGCTGAGCCTTGATCCCAGGCTGAGCCCCAATTCCTGACTAGATTGAGCCCTGATCTCAGCCTGAGCCTCACTTCCGAACCGATCTCTGCTCCCAGGCTGAGCCTTGATCCCAGTCTGAGCTCCAATTCTGATCTCAGCCTGAGCCAAGATACCCAGCCTGACCTCCTCACTAGTAACTGGGGTACCAAGCCTCCCCTCATAAGCCATGATCTCAGGGCAGATATCACCCCAACTGTGACATGTCTTCACCCCCAGCTCATGCAACAGCAGACAACAGTCCTGTCCACCTCGGGCAGCTACCTGAGTCCCGGCGTGGCCTTCTCACCCTGTCACATCCAGCAGATAGGCGCCGTCAGCCTCAACGGGCTGCCTGCCACACCCATCGCTCCTGCCTCTGGTGAGCCTCCTCCAGGCACCCAAGGATGGGTGGGCAGGGCTGGAGCCAGAACTGGCCTCCCCATGACCCTCTTCCGCTCTGCAGGGCTGCACTCACCCCCGCTGCTGGGCACCACCGCTGTGCCTGGCCTCGTGGCTCCCATCACCAATGGCTTTGCAGGTGTCGTGCCCTTTCCAGGTGGGCACCCTGCCCTGGAAACCGTCTATGCCAATGGCCTTGTGCCCTACCCAGGTAAATTGGGGTCGTCCTCTGGGGCCTAGGAGAGTGGTGGGGAATAAAGATGGTGTTTCTGGAACAAGTATGAGTCCCTACATCACAGTGCCCAGGGAACAGAAGGGCAGGAAAAAGGGTGTCTCCGCTGAGCAGATAAGAGCTGTGGACACAGGAAGGGAGGCCGTGGCAGGGTAATAACACATTAAAACGGTGCATCTGGATGTTTCTGAGCTTAAATTCCAGTTCAGTGACCCTGGATGGGCTCTTTACGTCCCTGAGCCTCAGTTTGCTCATCTGGAAAATGGGGCAGATAACATCAGTAGCCTCAGAGGGTTGCATTGACAATTTAATCTGTGTGCAAAAGGCTTCACACAGGGTCTCACTCTGTCGCCCAGGCTGCATTGCAGTGGCACAATCTTGGCTGACTGTAACCTCCGCTTCCCAGGTTCAAGTGATTCTCCTGCCTCAGCCTCCCAAGTAGCTGGGATTACAGGCGCATGCCACCATGCCCGGCTAATTTTTGTAGTTTTAGTAGAGATGGGGTTTCACCATGTTGGCCAGGCTGGTCTCGAACTCCTGACCTCAGGTGATTCACCTACTGCGCCCAGCCCATAAATCTTAATTATTCATCTGTGTCATTTGGGGAGATATCAATGCCTGGATTCATTCATTTATCCATTCAACACAGAATGAATGACCCACTGATTTAGGCTGCACCTGCTTTCATGAAGCAGAGGTCCTTCCTTTCTCTATGCTACACCTACAATTTTAGGGCAAACATCTTCCAACATCTAATTTATGTGAAGTAAGTTATCTGTCTTTCCACCATGTAGGAGAATTTGTTTCTAACTTTTTATTTTTTTAATTATTTTTATTTATTTAGTTTTAGAGACAGTGTCTCACTGTGTCACTCAGGCTGGAGTGCAGTGGTGTCGTCGCAGCTCACTGCCGCCTCCATCTCTGGGGCTTAAGCAATCCTCCCACCTCAGCCTTCCTTGTAGCTGGGACTACAAGCATGTGCCATCACGCCCGGCTAATTTTTAAATTTTTGTACAGACGGGATCTTGCTGTGTTGCCCAGGCTGGCCTCAAATTCCTGGGCTCAAGCAGGCCTCCCAAAGTGCCGGGATTATAGGTGTGAGCCACTGTGACTGGCCTTAACATTTTATTTTGAAATGATTGGAGGTTCACAGGGAGTTACCAAAATACCACAGAGCAGTCCCAGGTACCCTTCACACAGCTTCCCTGATGCCAGCAGCTTATCTAATCATAGGTCACTGTCAAACCCAGGAAACTAACACTGGCACCATACAATTAATTCAACTCCAGACGGTATTCAAATTTCACCATTTATTTATTTAGCGACAGAGTCTCACTCTGTCGCCCAGGCTGGAGTGCAGTGGCGTGATCATAGCTCGCTGCAGCCTTGAACTCTCGAACTCCTGGGCTGAAGCGATCCTCTCACCTCTCACCTCAGCCTCCCAAGTCACTGGGACTACAGGCACGTGCCATTATGCTTGGCTAATTTTCGATTTTATTTTATTTTTTAAGAAATGAGGGTCTTGCTATGTTGCCCAAGCTGGTCTCGAAACTCCTGGGCTCAAGCGATCCTCCTTCCTCGGCCTCCCAAAGTGTTGGGATCACAAGTGTGAGCCACCACACCCAGCTGATTTCACGAGTTTTTGTATGCACTCTGTGCACGTGTGTGTGTGTGTGTGCAGGGGCGGTTAATTGCCATTTTGTCACAGATGCAGACTTGTGGATCTCCCACAGTGAAGATACAGAACTGCTTCTTGCCCACAAAGTGAACTCCTTCCTGCCACCCCTTTGAAGTCACAGTCACCACCACTATCCCCTGCCCTCCAGCACACTCTCCATTCGGGCAGAATTGTTTGGCTGAATTTTTCCCCAGAATCATCAGCTTTGGTGGCCTGGACAACTTCTTCCCTCCCCTACCCCTTTCCCTAGCGGTAGCAGGAAGGCTACAGCTAGATGGGGGAGCTACAGGGTGTCTGATGAGGAAACTCATGTGGAGAGGGAGACGGGGCAGGGGATGGGGGCAGGTGGTGATTTGAGGTGGAGGCTGAAGTCCTGGTGAATCCAGGGAGTAGAGAGGAGTGAAGGGTCCCCCTTGGGAGGCAACCGGGTCGGGATAGGGAGAGGGAGATGGGGACGATGGTGATCTCTCTCTGGAGTCCGAGAAACCCGGATTCCAGTTCAGCTTCTGCCATTTGCTATCTGAGTGGCCCTGTGCAAGTGGCTTCACCTTCCTCGGCCTCAGCTTCCTGGTCCTACAGAGGGTTTAGCACAGAGGAGAAGCTGGGCGGGGTGTTTGTTGCTGTCCTTGCGGCTCTTAAGGATCGGGGGTGGATGGAAGACTTCTGCTGCTCCCGCCCCACTCAGCCCCTCTGTCTGCCCGCAGCTCAGAGCCCGACTGTGGCCGAGACACTGCATCCTGCCTTCTCCGGAGTCCAGCAGTACACAGGTAGGAGGCAGCCCGCGTGCCCGCGCTGGGCCCTGGCCCCGCCCCCGCCTAGGGCCCCGCCCCCAGGGCCCGCCCCGGACGTGTCGTTCTTCTGTGCCTAGCCGCGCCTCCTACCTCTGGCCCCGCCCCTCAGGGCCCACCCTTAGCCCCTTGTCCTGTATTCAACCCCGGGCCCTGTTACTGGTCCCACCCCACCACCACCTATACCCGCAAACAGGACCTTCCCTTGTCCTTTAAGGACAGCGCTTACCCATGGCCTTACCCTCTCATGTTCTGTGTTGGGGAGAGGGAATTCCCCTTGACCACGTCTCTAGCTCTGACCCAACCCCAGCTCTCGGCCCTGCCCCTTACCCTCCCTCCTGCAGCTCCTAGCCCCGCCCCTCACTTCCTGCCTTTACTCTGACCACGCCTCTCTGATAAAGCCCCGCCCCTACCTCTGGCTCTACTTCTTAAGGCCTGGCTGTGACCCCGCCCTCTGCTGCGGCCCCGCCCCTTAACTCATGGTCCTGCCCACATAGCCCTCCATCAAGTCACGGCCCCGCCCCACTCATGCCCTTCATCCCAGTCTTGCCCCCGCCCTCCACTGTGACCCCACCCCTCAAGCAATGGTCCCGCCCACTCTGGACTGTCCTGTAGCCTTGGCCCCGCCCTCTACTGTGGCCCAACCCCTATACCCCTCCCCTCACGCCATGGGGTCCGCCCCCACCCCCCCTTCCCCGCCCCGTCTCGGTATTGGCCCTGCCCTCCACCATGGCCCCGCCCCTCAGGCAATAGCCCCTCCCCGTTTCGTCTGTGATCTTGGCCCCGCCCTCTGGCCTGGCCCCGCCCCCAAACCCTCCCCACAAAGGCCATGATCACACCCACTCCTGCCTTGGCCCCACCCTCTTATGGCCCCGCCCCCTCCCCGCCCAGCGGCCCAGGCCGCCCACGTGGCCTCACGCCCCTCCTCGCCCTGTGTCTCGCTCCGGTCTCCGCAGCCATGTACCCCACCGCGGCCATCACGCCCATCGCGCACAGCGTCCCCCAGCCGCCGCCCCTCCTGCAGCAGCAGCAGCGAGAAGGTGAGGCGGCCGCAACCTCCCCTGGGCGCCAGCCCCGCCCTCTGCCCGCCCTGTCCACCTGCAGGCTCCGTGTCTGGCCCGGGCCTCTGGGACCCGCGGGGCTGAGAGTGCGGCCTGGGGGCTGGACAGGCCAGAGTTGAGTCCCGGTGCAGCCGCTGACCCCTGGGAATCTCCCTCTCTGTTTCCTCCTCCGAAAAGAGAACCATGCTCGCCCCGACCCCGTAGGAATAGCAGTGACTTCCTACCAGCCCTCTCCAGAACCAAGAGTGATTCTCTGGATTTTTTGGAAAGGAAACCCTTTTTGAGGCTGGGGCATGGCACGATGAGGTATCAGGTAATGAGGCCTCCCCAGTAAAGCCAAGGCTGTCGAAGGAGGGAGGGATTCGATTCTGGAGTCTGACAGTCAGGGTTCAAATCCATACAGTTCTTGCCATGTGCGGTAGATCCCGCCTGTAATTACATAGCGTTTTGGGGGCCGAGGTGGGAGGATCACTTGAGCCCAGGAGTCCAAGACCAGCCTGGCTTAGCAAGACCCCATGTCTACAAAAAAATTAAAAATTGGCCAGGTGTAGTGGTGTGCACCTGTAGTCCCAGCTACTCAGGAGGCTGGAGCAGGAGGATCACTGAGCCCAGGAGGTCAAGGCTTCAGTGAGCTACTATCTCCCCACTGGACTCCAGCCTGGGTGAGAGAGCAAGACTCCATCTCAAAAAAAAAAAAAAAAAAAAAGGCCGGGCACGGTGGCTCACGCCTGTAATCCCAGCACTTTGGGAGGCCGAGGCGGGCGGATCACAAGGTCAGGAGATCGAGACCATCCTGGCTAACACGGGGAAACCCTGTCTCTACTAAAAAATAGAAAAAATTAGCTGGGTGTGGTGGCGGGCGCCTGTGGTCCCAGCTACTCGGGAGGCTGAGGCAGGAGAATGGCATGAACCCAGGAGGCGGAGCTTGCAGTGAGCCGAGATCGCACCACTGCACTCCAGCCTGGGCGACAGAGCAAGACTCCGTCTCAAAAAAAAAAAAAAAAAAAGAAAAGAAAAGAAAAAAATCCCAAGCTGGTAACAACCCAAGTGTTCATCAGCAGGTAAATGGATAAATAAATTAGGATGGAGCTGCACGATGGAACACTATACAGCAGTGAAAAAGGATAAGTAGCCAATACTCACAACAACATGGAATAACTTCACAGGCAGAATATTGAGTGAAAGAAGCCAGATAAAAAAGACTTCACTTAAATGAAGTTTTAAAACAGTAGGCCAATCGAGGTGGCTCATGCCTGTAATCCTAGCATTTTGGGAGGCTAAGGCAGGTGAATTGCCTGAGCTCAGGAGTTCAAGACCAGCCTGGCCAACATGGTGAAACCCCATCTCTACTAAAAATACAACAATTAGCCGAGCGTGGTGGCGTGTGTCTGTAATCCCAGCTATTGGGGAGGCTGAGGCAGAAGAATCTCTTGAACCAGGAGGCGGAGGTTGCAGTGAGCCAAGATTGCGCCACTGCACTTCAGCCTGGGCAACAGAGCGAGACTCCATCTCAAAAATAAATAAGTAAATTAAATTAAAAAAATAAAAACGAGGAAAGCTGGCTGGGTGCGGTGGCTCACGCCTGTAATCCAACACTTTGGGAGGCCACGGCAGGAGGGTCACTTGAGCCCAGGAGGTCAAGGCTGCACTGAGCCAAGATCATGCCACTGCACTGCAGCCTGGGCAACAGAGGGAGACCCTGTCTCAAAACAACAAAACAACAACAAAATCAAAAATCTTTATCAGTGACACGTTAAGAGAAAAGAAAGATGGGAACGTAGTAGAAATGGTAGCACTGTTTTCTCCATGTTATGTGGTTTAGAAATGCATGAGACTACAATAAATACCGTGCTTGGCCTTGGAGAAGACCTAGAATGTGCACGTGGAAACGGCATCGAAAGGGTTGTTGCATGTGACTGTGAAACGGTGGAGGGAGGGTTGTCTGAAATCAGACAGATAGCATGACCCCGGATGGGGAAGGTGCAGCTCACAGCACACTGGGGGAGCTGTGGGAGGGTGTGTGGCATGCAGCGTGTATTTTCTTCTGAAGGTCAGTGCAGCTGGATGTGTTTTTCAGCGGTCGCCCACAGTTTTGGTGGGGATGAAGCAGTGCACGAACAAATGCAAAATTCAGGTTATGCTCAAAATTGTTCAGTTACATTGGAACAGACTTACATTTCAAGAACAAGCATTGGCTGGGTGCAGTGGCTGACACCTGTAATCCCAGCACTTTGGGAGGCTGAGGTGGGCAGATTGCCTGAGGTTGGGAGTTCGAGACCAGCCTGGACAACATGGCGAAACCCTGTCTCTACTAAAAATACAAAAATTAGCCGGGCGTGGTGACGCATGCCTGTAATCCCAGCTACTCAGGAGGCTGAGGCAGGAGAATCTCTTGAACCTGGGAAGCAGAGGTTGCGATGAGCCAAGATCACGCCATTGCACTCCAGCCTGGGCAACAAAAGCAAAACTCCATCTCAAAACAAACAAACAAACAAACAAAACAAAAGAAAACAAGCTTTGGCCAGGTGCAGTGGCTGACACCTGTAATCCCAGCACTTTGGCAGGGCAAGGCAGAAGGATCGCTTGAGGCCAGGAGTTCAAGACCAGCCTGGGCAACATAGTGAGACCCCATCTCTACAAAAAAATTAAAAGTTAGCCAGGCATGGTGGTGCGTGCCTGTGGTCCCAGCTACTCGGGAGGCCAAAGTGGGGGGATTGCTTGAATCTAGGAGTTAGAGGCTGCAGTGAGCTATGATTGTGCCACTGCAATCCAGCCTGGGTAACAAAGAGACCCTGTCCCTTTAAAAAAAAATCCATTGCTGGCAAGCGCAGGGATTCCTCTTGTTGTGGGGTGGGAATGGAAGAAGGTCATTTTTAGGTTTGGGATTAGCAGCAGACTTGAGGGACTGTTTAAGGCTTCAGATGAACAAGGTTTTAAAGGCTATTGTTATTTATAGTTTTTATATTAGCCATCCATCAGGGATTTGGAGAGGGGACAATTTAGAGGATTATTTGTAACTTAAAAATAATTATTTATGGTTGGTATATTATGTTGTAGTTTAATTATCTGTAGTTTTAGGATATCTGGGACTGGGGACCAGAGAATTATCTTTTTATTTCACCTGATTTTGTTTCTGCATCATCTGAGTTTTGAAAATTATCCAAGGTCTGGGGAGTTATCCCTAGCTGGGGTTTGAGAAAGGGAAATAATAAAAAAAATTTTTTTTTGGCTAGACGCAGTGGCTCACCCCTGTAATCCCATCACCTTGGGAGTCTGAGGAAGGAGGATCGGTTGAGCCCAGGAGTTCCAGATTAGCCTGGGCAACATAGCGAAACCTCTACAAAAATTAGCCAGGCTGGGTGCAATGGCTCACGCCTGTAATCCCAGCACTTTGGGAGGCCAAGGCGGGCAGATCACTTGAGGTCAGGAGTTTGAGCCCAGCCTGGCCAACATGGTGAAACCCCATCTGTACTAAAAATACAAAAATTATCCGGGCTTGGTGGTGGGCACCTGTAGTCCCAGCTACTTGGGAGGCTGAGGCAGGAGAATTGCTTGAATCCAGGAGGCAGAGGTTGCAGTGAGCCGAGATCGCACCACTGCACTCCAGCCTGGGCGACAGAGCGAGACTCCATCTCAAAAAAAAAAAAAAAAAAAAAAAAAAAAAAAAAATTAGCAACGCATGGTGGCTGAACACCAGAGTTTTACAAATGAGTTTTATTTTAGAGACATTATTATTATTATTATTGCAAAGATATTACCAAGTTTCCTTATTCTCCACACCCAGCTCATCTGACTTTTGTAAATGATCCAGAGTTTGAAGTTTAGGGAGGGATTTTCTGGAGGGTGGCCTTCCTCGGGGTTTTCAGGTATCTGGGGTCAGAGATTGAGGGTTGATCTGGGCTTTGGGGAGCAGGGGATCCCCTGGGTCTTGTCAGTTATCTGGAGTCTGAGGACCATTTTGGTGCGGAGTAGCCCCGTGTGAGATCGTACAGTGCAGGCAAGGGGTGGGTGTGTCCCGTCTCCCTCCCCAGCCCGTGGCCAGGCCCCTTCTTTCTGGGTGTCTGAGGCACCCCTCTCCCGACAGCTGGAGAAGCCAGATGCGGGCTCCAGACCTGTGCCCCTCCCCCGGGGGGGTTCGCCTCCTCTCCTTGGGGGCTTTATGTCTTTCTCTCCCCCACCTGCAGGTCCCGAGGGCTGTAACCTGTTTATCTACCACCTCCCCCAGGAGTTTGGAGACACGGAGCTGACGCAGATGTTCCTACCCTTCGGCAATATCATTTCCTCCAAGGTGTTTATGGATCGAGCTACCAACCAGAGCAAGTGTTTCGGTGAGTGGCCGCCGACGCCACCCCTCCCCATCCACCTCCCTCGCCTGCCCCCTGACAGGGAATGGGAGGGTTTTGGTCGGCCTCGGGACAGGGCTGTGCTGAAATAATCACAATCAGAACCAGCCTGTGGCCGGGCACAGTGGATCACGCCTGTGATCCCAGCACTTTGTTTGTTTTGGTTTGGGTTTCTTTTTTTTTTTTTTTTTTGAGACAGAGTCTCGCTCTGTCGCCCAGGCTGGAGTGCAGTGGTGCAATCTCGGCTCACTGCAAGCTCTGCGTCCCGGGTTCACGCCATTCTCCTGCCTCAGCCTCCTAAGTAGCTGGGACTACAGGCGCCCGCCACCACACCCAGCTAATTTTTTTTTTTTTTTTAAGTAGAGACGGGGTTTCACAGTGTTAGCCAGGAAGGTCTCCATCTCCTGACCTCGTGATCTGCCCGCCTCGGCCTCCCAAAGTGCTGGGATTACAGGCATGATCCACTGCGCCTGGCCAATCCCAGCACTTTGAGAGGCTGAGGTGGGCGGATTGCTTGAGTCCAGGAGTTCAAGACCAGCCTGGGTAACATAATGAGACCCCGTGTTTACAAAAGACAACCTTTTTAATTAGCTGAGCTTAGTGGCGTGTGCCTGTAGTCCCAACTACTCAGGAGGCTGAGGTGTGAGGACCCCTTGAACCCAGGAGTTCAAGACCAGCCTGGGCAACATAGCAAGACCCCATTTCTACAAAAAATACAAAAAAAAAATTAGCCAGGCTTGGTGGTGCACACTGGTAGTCTCAGCTACTTGGGAGATGGAGGTGGGACGATCCCTTGAGTCCGTGAGGTCGAGGCTGCAGTGAGCTATGATCACACCACTGCATTCCAGCCCAGACAACACAGCAAGACCCTGTCTCATACAAAAAAACAAAAATGGCCAGGCGCAGTGGCTCACACCTGTAGTCCCAGACCTTTGGGAGGCTGAGGTGGGTGGTTCACGAGGTCAGAAGATCGAGACATCCTGGCTAACACAGTGAAACCCCCATCTCTACTAAAAATACAAAAAAATTAGCCGGGCATGGTGGTGGGTGCCTGTAATCCCAGCTACTTAGGAGATTGCAGCAGGAGAATCACTAGAACCCAGGAGGTGGAGGTGGAGGTTGCAGTGAGCCGAGATCGTGCCATTGTACTCCAGCCTGGGCAATAAAGCAAGACTCCGACTCAAAAAAAAAAAAAAAAAAGAACTGAGGCCTGAATGAGGAGCACCAGGCATGGGAAATCTGGGGGAAGAGTGTCCCAGGCAGAGGGAACAGCCCATGCAAAGACCCCGAGGCAGGACGGCGCCTGACATGTTGGAGGAGCAGTGAGGAGGCCCATGTGGCTGGAGCAGAGTGAGGAGGGGGAGAGAGGGAGGAGGGGGAACATGGAGAGGGGACAGGGGAGGGTGACCAGGGCCTTGTGAGCCTCAGGGAGGACTTCCTTGTACCCAAAGACAGAGGACATTAAGGCTCTGAAAAGGGCTGCAATTTGTCCAAAGTCACACAGCAGGAAAGAGGTAGAAGAACCTGGAGTAGAACCAGACTCTTTTTTTTTGTTTTGTTTTTTGGCTTTTTTTGAGGCAGAGCTTCACTCTTGTTGCCCAGGCTGGAGTGCAATTGCACGATCTCAGCTCACCGCAATCTCTGCCTCTTGGGTTCAAGTGATTCTCCTGACTCAGCATCCCGAGTAGCTGGGATTACAGGCACCCGCCATCACGTCTGGCTAATTTTTGTATTTTTAGTAGAAATGGGGTTTCACCATGTTGGCCAGGCTGGTCCCAAACTCCCGACCTCAGGTGATCCACCCGCCTCGGCCTCCCAAAGTGCTGGAATTACAGACGTGAACCACCACACCCGGCCAAAGACCAGACTGTTAACCTCACACTGTCCTGTTTAAAGGGTCAGCCCTTGACTTTGTTTTTTTTTTTTTTTTTGAAATGGAGTCTTGTGCCATCAGTGCGATCTCGGCTCACTGCAAGCTCCATCTCCCAGGCTCAAGCGATTCTCCTGCCTCAGCCTCCTGAGTAGCTGGGATTACGGGTGGACACTACCATGCGTAGCTAATTTTTGTATTTTTAGTAGAGACGGGGTTTGACCATGTTGGCCAGGCTGGTCTCAAACTCCTGACCTCAGGTGATCTGCCCGTCTTGGCCTCCCAAGGTGCTGGGATTACAGGCGTGAGCCACCACGCCTGGCCATGGGGTGGAGTATTTCTGATGGCCTCTGGACAGAGACTGGAGCAGAGGTACTGACAGAGATGGAGAGAAAGAGACAGAGATGAGACAGAAGGAGAGGGAGAGGAAGAAAAGACTCAAGCTAGAGAACGAGAGAAAGAGGGGAGGGGAGAGAAACAGAGACAGTTAGCTGGGCATGGTGGTATGGGCCTGTGGTCCCAGCTACTCAGGAGGCTGAGGCAGGAGCATCTCTTGAGCCAAGGAGGTCGAGGCTGCAGTGAGCTGAGATTGCGCCACTGCACTCCAGCCTGGGTGACAGAGTGAGATCCTGTCCCCACTCCCTTCTGCAAAAAAAAGAGAGAGACAAAGTTGTGGACACACAGTCAGCTGGAGACACAGATCCTGGCTGGACAGAGGGCTTGGAAGGAGGCAGGCATCCTCCTGAGGGAAGGTGGGGAAAAGGTGGCCCTCCAGGACCCTCGGAAGCCCCACCTGGCCCCTATACCAGCTGGGAAGTCTCAGCACAGCCGACCCCAAGATAAGGAGTGAGTGCCCCATCCTCAGAGGTATACAAGTCCAGAGGTGTCAGAACAAAGCCAGGGCTGCTGTGTGTCCTCCACCACAAACACCCTGGCCTGTGCAGGTGTGCACGCAGGCCTGCTCAGGACCCCGTGAGCCGGGAAGCCAGGGCCACAGCATAGGAACAAGCCGAGGACACCCGCAGCGCCAACCACGGAGGTCCACCCTGGTTTCTGCAGGCTTCGTGAGCTTTGATAACCCGGCCAGCGCCCAGGCAGCCATCCAGGCCATGAACGGCTTCCAGATCGGCATGAAGAGGCTCAAAGTCCAGCTGAAGCGGCCCAAAGACCCGGGACACCCCTACTGACCGCGCCCACAGCCGCCCTGAGGCTGTAGGCATGGCCCAGGTGAGCCGCCAGGCGGCCCCACCCCCGCCCAAGCCCCCCGTCTTGTCTGAAACCCCCTCCCGCGGCCCACTTCATGCTCCAAACCCTCCCCAGGTGGGGTGATGCTTCAAGAGGCTACAAGAAACCTCCGGGTTGGGTTGGCGGGGACAGAGCTGGATGTAGACACCCCCGATCCCCCTGTGGTTGGGGCTGGAGCAGAGGGTGGGAATGGGGTAGGGACTGAGGTGAGCCAGGGCCCAGTGAGGTCGGTTAGGGAATCCTTCCCGGAGAAGGCTTTGAGGGCTGAATAGAAGTTCACCTGAGAGGCCAGGTTTGCTCTGGGGGTGGGGGTGCGGTGGGGAGGGGGTTCTGTCCTGTCCTATGAGTCTGTTTTCCCTGCTGAAAACCCAACACCAGACGGAAATGCCAAGTGCCCACCCCAGACCCCAAACCCTAAGGTTGGACCCCAACTCGGAACCAGGAGTGGAGCGTGGAAGGTGGGGACAGTGCTCAGGGCCCAGTCCAGTTGGCACTGACAGCTTCCAGTGTCCCCGCTCCATTTCCACTAGTTCCCCTGGGACAAGCGGCCCCTCACTGGGTGTCATTCCTACCCAATGAGTTGATGGAAAAGTGGGATTCGTGCCCCACCCACCATCATGCAAGAAAAACAAGCAAAACGAAACCCAGACTGTAGTTTGCCATCAGGGCAAACCACTTTCTCAACATTTTTTTGTGGGGGGATGAACAGTAAACCTTGTGGGGCCACTGTGGAAACTTAACCGTGGGTCTCAAACCTTGATGAGCCTCATCTGTAAAATGGGTTCAAGAAAGTCATCTCCCCAGAGACGGCGGAAACGGTCCACCTAGGGAACAGAGTGGGGCATCTTTTCGCAGCCGAGCCCAGAACCCATCACCTAAAGAGTTCTGGATGATTCGTTTTGATTTTTTTTTTTTTTAAATCACCATCGCTGTCGTCATCAGAGTCTCGCCTAGGGCCTGGCACAGAGTAGACGCTCAGTTAGAAGCTGTCTGGCCTTTTCACCTTCTCCCGGGTCAGCACACACAGATTTGGGAGTATTTACCTGCACAGAACGCACCTTCAGGAACTGCCAACCAGAAGCAAAATCCAAAGCTGCTCTCTGCGATCCCTTCACTTTTAACTCTCAGTCTGCACTTTTTTTTTTTAACTGAGCATCTATTATGTGCTAGGCACTGTTCCAGTGCTCGGGGACGCAGCTGTGAATGAACAGAAACGGGGGATGGAGGACAGGGGAGAAACCCCCTTCACGGGCCTTAGATGGCAGGGGGTAGGGAAGGAGAGACAGAAAATAAACAGAAATATCTGTCCCCAGCTGCCAGAGGAGGAGGAAATGGGCTTGGTGATGGTGACATTAAGTTCTTTGAAAGCTGGGTTTGTTGGCCTCTGAACTCTGGCCTTTGTGGGATCTGTTCTTTTGGAAAAGATGGGAGCCCCTGTGTTCCTAGATCCCAGCCTGGCCGGGTGGAGTAGGGTGGGGAGGTGGTGTCCACCTGTGTGGCCCCGTTCTCACTCCCTAACGCCCGTCCCTTCTCCCCCAGGTGAGGGGCCTTCCCATCCCAGGAGGGTTTTCTGCTTCCAACCGATCCAGGACTTACCCATAAATTCCAACCGTTCTTTGGACACCAGCCCTTTCCTCCCCTCTTCTCCCCTTGCCCTGCCCCTCTACTGGAGGCCACCTGGAGTGGCGAGGGGCCTTTGGGGTCTGTCCTGGGGCAGGGGCGGGGGTGGGGGAGGCTCCTGAATCGTGGGCAGAAGTGTTCACACGCCCCCCCTGCTTTGGGAAACGCTCTCGCTTCTTCCCCACAAAACTTGGTGACTTCCCCAAACTAAATCACACCTTTTCCTATATATATATATATGCATATATATATAGATCTATAGACAGTATATATATATTTTGAGTACGGATCATGGGACCAAACTTTTCCGACTTCCTTCCATCCGAGTAGAGTGACCCTGGGCCGGTCACTCAGCGGGGGACACAGGAAGGGCTGAGGTTGGCGGGACCCCGCGCAACACATACCAGGTGCCCCACCCCCACCCCCACCACCTCCTGGCTGGCACATCCCACCAGGAACCCGCCAACACAACATACCTCCAGGACTTTTGGCACCCCCCACCACCAATTCTCCAGGGCCGTTGGGCTCTGCCAGCTTCAGTGTCCCTGGTCCCAGCTGCAGCCTCCAGACCCCACCTCGCCCCTTCGTCCCAGAGCCCTGCCCTCCGGGATGGATATAGGTACAACAGAGACGCTCTGGCCTGCCTCAGCCCTTCTCTGCTCCCCTGCCCGAGTCATAGCCTTACTCATGTGACCAATAGCCCTTAGCTTTCCGTCGGAGGGGGGGGGCGGACAGGGTTGGGGGGAGCCCCCCTGCCCCTCACCACCCCCTCCCAAGGCCAGGCAGCCATTGTCCCTGCCTTCGAATCACCAGCCTCGAATTTAAGGTCTTGTAACCAGGATTGCCAAGCGTAGCGGAAGACCCTACCCGGACCGGCCAAGCACCCCTTTAACTGGAGACGAACTTGATAATGACCTTCATACCTCTACAGAGATTTTTTTTTTTTTCCGGTCTTTCTGAGCAGGTACAAAGAAGAAAAGAGAAGAAAAAGATGGGGGGAAAAAATCAAACCACAATGGATTTTTGTTTCCTAGTTGGGAGTGGGGTGGGGTGGGGTGTCTTTGTGAGGGTGCCTCTGTACAGCTGCCCAATCCGCGACACCCACGTCAAAGCACAGCATCAAGTTCGTTTGGACATCCGGCAAGGCCTCTTACCAAATGAGGCGCCAGATAACTTAATAAGCTCAAAAGAAAAAAACATTTAAAAAGAAAGAAAAAAAAAAAAAAAAAAACCAAGCATTTCCTTTTCTTTCTACCAAAATGTGTTGACTGACCCGGAGGGGGGGCGGTAGGGTGGGGGAAACCACACAGAAAAAAAAAAAAAAAAAAAAAAGAAAAGAAAAAAGAAAAAAAAATAGAAAAGAAAAAAAAAAATCTTCTGAACCAACTTGTTTCGATATTCCAGAGTTTGATAATTGTTTCGAGACTCTCCTCTAGCGTGCCTGTGTTCCGTGTGTCCCCGTGTGCAAGCGTGTGCCATGCCAATCTGCCTCGAGGGGGCCTCACCCGTGTCCGCGGCGCCCGCCGAGGCCCCCGAGGGCCTGCTTGGGAGTGTGTGCCGGTGTGCAGTTGTACGTGTCTTTCTGGTCCATGTTTACTGGCTGTAAATACCATTTTTATACTCCACATCGCAGACCTGCGTGATTTGTACAATGTACTTTATTTCTGCTACGAGTAATTTCATGAAGTTTCAACTTGCAAACTGACTTTTGGGACAAACCAACACACACACAGAAGAGAAAGCAAAGAACTTGGAACTTTGGGTTGACTCGGTTTGAGTTTTGTGTCAAAGAAGATTTCCCGCGGCTGAAGAGGTTGGTGTTCCTGTTACGTGTTTCAGGTGAGAAGCAGCAAAGCGTCTTAATGTTCAAAACGCCTCTCTTTGGTCTGGAGAAAAAAAAAAAAAAAAAAAAACAACTAAAAATTTATTTAATAAAAGTTTTACTTGCTAAAGGGCTGACTCTTCTCTTTCTTTCCTCTCTCTGTCATCCACACAGACCAAGTGTATCTGGCCCCATCCAGCACCTGGGCTGGAGAGAAATGCAGGTTTAGGGTGAGGGGTTGAAGGAGGGGATATTCAGAGAAACCAAATGTAGATATAGATACCAGGGGCCAGGCGTGGTGGCTCAAACCTGTAATCCTAGCACTTTGGGAGGCCGAGGCAGGTGGATCGCCTGAGGTTGAGAGTTCGAGACCAGCCTGGCCAACATGGTGAAACCCCACCTCTACTAAAAATACAAAAAAAAAAAATAACAAAAAAATTAGCCAGGCTTGGTGGCACACACCTGTAATCCCAGCTACTCGGGAGGCTGATGTATGAGAATCACTTGAACCCAGGAGTTAGAGTTTGCAGTGAGCTGACATCGCATCCCTGCACTCCAGCCTGGGTGACAGAGTGAGACTCTGTCTCAAAAAAAAAAAAAAAAAAAAGTTACCAGCTCTAATGATCGGGTATCTGGGATCTGTCTGCTGAAGCCAGATGCATTTCTTGATCATATTACAGCTGTTTGTTTGTTTGTTTGTTTGAGATGGAGTCTTGCTCTGTCGCCCAGGCTGGAGTGCAGTGGCATGATCTCAGCTCACTGCAGCCTTAACCTCCTGGGCTCAAGCAATTCTCCTGTCTCAGCCTGAGTAGCTGGGACTACAGGCACATACCACCACAGCCGGCTAATTTTTATATTTTTTGTAGAGATGGAGTCTCACTATGGTGCCCAAGCTGGTCTCGAACTTCTGGGCTCAAGTGATCTGGCCTCTGCCTCCCAAAGCACTGGAATTACAGATGTGAACCGCCGCCCACAGCCAGCAGTTGTTTAACTAAGATCGCTCTGGTCTCTGTCCTCATGGAGATAGTCCAGTGGGGCAGAGAGATACTATAGAATAAACTATACAATTTTGAAAAAATGCAGGTAAAGTTCACATAACAGAATTTACCATTTTATTTATTGTTTTGTTTTGTTTAAACAGGGTCTCACTCTGTTGCCCGGGCTGGAGTGCAGTGGTACGATCTTGGCTAACTGCAATCTCCACCTCCTGGGTTCAAACGATTCTCCTACATCAGCCTCCCGAGTAGCTGGGATTACAGGTGAGCGCCACCACACCTGGCTAATTTTTGTATTTTTAGTAGACATGGGGTTTCGCCATGTTGGCCAGGCTGGTCTTGAACTCCTGGCCTCAAGTGATCCACCCACCTCGGCCTCCCAAAGTGCTGAGGTTACAGGCTTGAGCCACTGTGCCCAGCCAGCATTTACCATTTTACCCATTTAAAAGTGTGCACTTCAGTGGTTTGTAGTGCATTCACGGTGTGTTGCCACTACCACCTCTAATTCCAGAACAGCCTATCACCCCAAAAGACATCCTGTCCCCATCAGCCATCACTCCCTACCCCCTTCCCCACCCCCCAGCACCCACGCATCCCCTTCCTGTCTCTGTGGGTCCACCTGTCCTGGACATTTCATAGAAATGGGATCACACGGCTGGGTGTGGTACCTCACGCCTGTAACCTCAGCACTTTGGGAGGCTGAGGCGGGTGGATCACCTGAGGTCAGGAGTTCAAGACCAGCCTGACCAACATGGAGAAATCCCGCCTCTACTAAAAATATAAAATTAGCCGGGCGTGGTGGTGCATGCCTGTAATGTCAGCTACTTGGGAGGCTGAGGCAGGAGAATCACTTGAACCTGGGAGGTGGCGGTTGCAGTGAGCCGAGATCATGCCATTGCACTCCAGCCTGGGCAAGAAGAGCGAAACTGTGTAACTCCATCTCAAAAAGAAAGAAAGAGAGAAAGAAAGAAATAGAGAGAGAAGGAAGGAAGGAAAGGAAGGAAAGGAAAGGAAAGGAAAGAAAGAAAGAGAGAGAAGGAAGGAAGGAAAGGAAGGAAAGGAAAGGAAGAAAGGAAAGAAAGAAATAGAAGGAAGGAAGGAAAGGAAGAAAGGAAAGAAAGAGAAAGAAGAAAGAGAGAAAAAGAAAGGAAAGAAAGAGGAAGAAAGAAGGAAAGAAAAAGAAAAGAAAGAGAAATAAGAAAGAAAGATGGGCTCACACACTGCGTGGCCTTTCGTGTCTGGCTTCTCTCACTGAGCACGAGGTCCTCACAGTTCATCCACGCTGTGGCCTGGGTCAGAGGCTCCTTCCTTTTCATGGCTAAGTAATATTCCAGTGTGTGGATGGACCATGCTGTCCTGATCCATCCTTCAGTAGATACCTGGGTTGCCTCCATGTCTTGGCTATTATGAGCCTGCTGCTCTGAGCTTCATGGACAGGTCCCTGCATGGATGTGTGTGTTTTTAGTTCTCCTGGGTAGACACTTAGGCGTGGAATTCCTGGGTCAAATGGTGGCTCCATGTTTGACCTTTGTGAGAAATTGCCAAATAATTCTTCCTCCTCTTCTTCCTCCTCCTCTTCTTCTTCTTCTTCTTCTTCTTCTTCTTCTTCTTCTTCTTCTTCTTCTTCTTCTTCTTCTTTCTTCTTCTTCTTCTTCCTCTTCCTCTTCTTTTTCTTCTTCTTCTTCTTCTTCTTTCTCCTCCTCCTTCTCCTTCTCCTTCTCCTTCCCCTTCCCTTCCCCTTCTCCTTCTCCTTTTCTTCTTCTTTCTTCTTCCTCTTCTTTTTTTTGAGATGGAGTCTTGCTCTGTCGCCCAGGCTTGAGTCCAGGGGCACAATCTCAGCTCATGGCAACCTCCGCCTCCCGGGTTCAAGCGATTCTCCTGCCTCAGCCTCCCGAGTAGCTGGGATTACACGCACACGCCACCACACCCAGCTAATTTTTGTATTTAGTAGAGACTGGGTTTTGCCATGTTGGCCAGGCTGGTCTTGAACTCCTGACCTCAGGTGATCTGCCCACCTTGGCCTCCCAAATTGCTGGGATTACAGGTGTGAGCCACCACGCCCAGCCGCCGAACTGTTTTTCACAGCGGCATTTTCACCATTTTACATTCCCACGCACTGTTCATGAGGGTTCCGATTGGTCCACACCTTCACCCACAGTTGCTACACAATAGATTGATTGATTGATTGATTGATTGATTGATTAGAGACAGGGTCTTGCTCTACTGCCCAGGCTGGAGTGCAGTGGCACAATCATAGCTCTCTGCAGTCTCGAACTCCTAGGGCTTAAGTGATCTCCCTGCCTCAGTCTCCCGAGTAGCTGGGACTACAGGCATGCGCCACCATCCTCCACAAAATTTTTTACATTTTTTTTGTAAAGACGGGGTCTTGCTGTGTTGCATGTTGAACCAGGCTGGGCACCGAAGCTCATGCGTGTAATCTCAGCCCTTTGGGAGGCTGAGGCGGGAGGATTGCCTGAACCCAGGAGTTTAAGACCATATGGGCAACAAAGAGAGACCCTGTCTCTACAAAAAAAAATCAAACAGACTGGGCGCAGTGGCTCACGCCTGTAATCCCGCAGTTTGGGAGGCTGAGGTGGGCAGATCATGAGGTAAGGAGTTTGAGACCAGCCTGGCCAACATGATGAAACCCTGTCTCTACTAAAAAAATACAAAAATTAGCTGGGCATTGTGTCAGGAGCCTGTAATCCCAGCTACCTGGGAGGCCGAGGCAGGAAAATCGTTTGAACCCGGGAGGCGGAGGTTGCAGTGAGCCGAGATTGCATCATAGCACTCCAGCCTGGGCCACAGGGCAAGGCTCCAACTCGAAAAAAAAAAAAAATCAAACAATTAGCCAGGTGTGGTGGTGCATGCCTATGGTCCCAGCTTTTCAGAAGGTTGAGACATGAGGATCGCTTGAGCCCAGGAGGTCAAGGCTGCAGTGAGCTATGATCACGCCACTGCACTCCAGCCTGGGCAACAGAGCAAGATCCTGTCAAAAAAAAAAAAAAAAAAAAAGAATGTTCAATCATATAACACTGGTTTAAGCATTTTATGTTTTATTTTTTGGGTTTTTTTTTTTTTTTTTTTTTGAGATGGAGTCTCGCTCTGTCACCCAGGCTGGAGTGCAGTGACGTGATCTCAGCTCACTGCAAGCTCCGTTTCCCAGGTTCACGCCATTCTCCTGCCTCAGCCTCCCGAGTAGCTGGGACTACAGGTGCCCACGACCATGCCCGGCTAATTTTTTTGTATTTTTAGTAGAGATGGGGTTTCACCATGTTGGCCAGGATGGTCTCCATCTCCTGACCTCGTGATCCACTCGCCTTGGCCTCCCAAAGTGCTGGGATTATGGGCGTGAGCCACCGCACCCGGCAGGGGTTTTTTTCTGTTTTTTTTTTTTTTTTTTTTTTTTTTTTTTTTTTTTTTTTTAAGACAGAGTCTCGCTCTGTCACCCAGGCTAGAGTGCAGTGACACAATCTTGGCTCACTGCAACCTCCAACTCCCTGCAACCTCTGCCTCCCGGGTTCAAGCAACCCTCCTGCCTCAGCCTCCTGAGTAGCTGGAATTACAGGCGCCTGCCACTGCACCCAGCTAATTTTTGTATTTTTAGTAGAGACGGGGTTTCATCATGTTGGCTAGGCTAGTCTCAAACTCCTGACCTCAGATGATCCATTGGCCTTGGTGTCTCAAAGTGCTGGGATTACAGGCATGAGCCACCACACTCAGCCTGGTTTAAGCATTTTATATGACTCAACTCATTTAACCCGCCCCAACTCCCTGAGGTATGTTCTGTTAATAGTATCCCCACTTTACAAGTTAATTAAAGCCCAGAAAGGTTAAGGGACCTGCCTGAGGCTGCACAGCAGTACTTGAACCCTGGCTCTCTGGCATTCTCTTAGCTGCTGTGTAGTGGCCCAAAATCAAATGTATTAGATTAGAATTCAGGTTATTGTTTGAAATAGGCCAATTTAAGCTTTTAAAATTTAACCCAATGTTGTTAAACATTTAGAATGTGCACCCTTAAAAATACACCAATTCTGGGCACAGTGGCTCACGCCTGTAATCCCAGCACTTTGGGAGGCCAAGGCAGGCAGATCACTTGAGGTCAGGAGGTTCGAGACCAGTCTGGCCAAACATGGTGAAACCCCATCTCTATTAAAAATATAAAAATTAGCTGGGCACGGTGGCTCACACCTGTAATCCCAGCACTTTGGGAGGCTGACACGGGTGGATCATGAGGTCAGGAGATCGCGACCATCCTGGCTAACACGGTGAAACCCTGTCTCTACCAAAAATACAAAAATTGGCCGGGCGTGGTGGCAGGTGACTGTAGTCCCAGCTACTCGGGAGGCTGAGGCAGGAGAATGGCGTGAACCTGGGAGGCGGAGCTTGCAGTGAGCTGAGATCATGCCACTGCACTTCAGCCTGGGTGACACAGCAAGACTCCATCTCAAAAAATAAATAAATAAGTAAGCCAGGCATGGTGGTGGGCACCTGTAATCCCAGCTACTTGGGAGGCTGAGGCAGGAGAATCTCTTGCACCTGTGAGGTGGAGTTTGCATTGAGCCAAGATTGTGCCATTGCACTCCAGCCTGGACAACAGAGCAAGACTCCATCTCAAATAAATAAATAAATATTAAAAAATAAAAATAAAATACACCAATTCCGCCACTGAGTGTCTCCTTAAGAATGAGCAAGGATGTGCTTAGGACAGAGGAACACTAGCTATGCTATAAGTGCTCATCTGAGGCATAGGCTAAGTGACATGCAGGGTGCATTAGTTAGGTGTTGCTGCATAACAATTTACCCATCCCCCAGTCTGTCAGCTTAAAACATACATTATTATCTGACCTACACCATTTCTGTTGATCAGGAGTCCAGGACTGATTTAGCTGGGTGGTTCTGGCTCAGGGTCTCATGAGATTGCAAACTGTCAGCAGCCAAGTCTGTCACATCTGAAGGTTCGACTGGGGCTGGAGGAGCCACTCCTACTCTGGCTCCCTCATGTGGCTGTTGGTGGGAGGCCTCAGCTCTTTGCCACGTGTGAATCTCCATAGTGCTACTTGAGCATCCTTACAACATGGTGGCTGGTTTTTCCTGGAGTGTGATCCAAAAGAGAGAGACAGAGAGAGAGAGACTGCACTGACTTTTTGTTTGTTTGTTTTGAGACAGGGTCTCGCTCTGTTGCCCAGGCTGAAGTGCAGTGGCACCATCCTAGCTCAGTCCAGTCTTGAAATCCTGGGCTCAAGAGATCCCTCTGAGTAGCTGGGTCTACAAATGTGTGCGTCACCATGCCCAGTTTATTATTTTACTTTTTGGAGTGGCGGGGTCTCACTCTATTGCCCAGGCTGGTCTCGAACTCCTGGGCTCAAGCAAGCCTCCCCGCTGGGCCTCCCAAAGTGCTGGGATTACAGGCGTGAGCCACTGTGCCCACTGCAAACATTTACTCTTCACAACTCTGGTAGCTTCCTTTTCCCCAGAGCATGCTACAGCCACACAGTAAAGCCTTACGTCTATTGAGCACCTGCTATGTGCAGCTTGTGATCAACTCTTTTTGTCCTCACCACAACCAACCAACAACGTAGGTTTCTATTATAATTCTCACTTTGCCGATGAGAAAACGGAGGGGCAGGTTTGTGGAGAGGAAAACCCAAGGCCACACAGTTGGTATGTGGTGGAGCCAGGATTTGAAACTGCGACCCGTTAACTCCTGCCTCGGTTCCCCTCCCTTCTCATTCACTGCAGGGATCACAGTTATAACCCCCTGCTTATGTATGCGCTGGCTTGTTTGATGTCTGTCTACCCAACATAACCTGGCGGGTTTCATGACAGGATGGTATGAGTGCACAGTAAGTGTGTTTGGCTTTGTTTTAATGTTATGGGGTTTTTTTTTTTTAATTATTTACTTATTTTGAAAGAGAGTCTCACTCTGTCACCCAGGCTGGAGTGCAGTGGTGCGGTATCAGTTCACTGCCACCTCCACCTGTTGGGTTCAAGCAATTCTGCTGCCTAAGCCTCCCGAGTAGCTGAAAATACAGGCATGGGTCACCATGCCCAGCTAATTTTTGTGTGTGTATGTGTGTGTGTGTGTGTGTGTGTGTGTGTGTGTGTGTATTTTTAGTAGAGATGGAGTTTCCCCATGTTGGCCAGATTGGTCTCGAACCCCTGACCTCAGCTGATCCACCCGCCTCAGCCTCCCAAATGCTGGAATTACAGGCTTGAGCCGCCACGCCCAGCCTGTTTTTATGTTGAGACAGGGTCTCCCTCTGTCACTCAGGCTGGAATGCAGTGGCACAATCATAGCTCACTGAAGTCTCCAACTCCGGGGCTCAAGCAATCTTCCTGCTTCAGCCTCCCAAGTACCTGGGACTACAGATGCATACCATCACACCTGGCTAATTTTTTTCAGTATTTTTTGTAGAGACGGGGACTAGTTATGTTGCCCAGGCTGGTCTCAAACTCCTGGGCTCAAGCGATCCTCCTGCCTTGGCCTCCCAAAGTGCTGGGATTACAGGCATGAGCCCTTACACCTGGCTGAATTTTGTTTTTCTGTTCCCTGTTGCCTAGCACATGATACCTGCTTACCATTAATAAATGCACTAAAAACACAATGGTTGAGTTTAGAACCAGACTGTCCCAGGTTTGAAACCGGTTTATAACATTGAATGGCTGTGTGTCCTTGAGCCAGCAGCTGAATCCTCTGGGGACCAGTTTTTCTCTCTCTCTCTGGAAAACGAGGCCAATCCAGCTCACAAAGCGTTAATATGTATAAAGTCCTTCCTGGCCCGGAGAAAGCACTGCAGAAGCTTTAAAATAAATCAGCCCTTAAAAATTCACTTTCCGGCTGGGTGCGGTGGCTCACGCCTGTAATCCCAGCACTTTGGGAGGCCAAAGCGGGCGGATCACTTGAGATCAGGAGTTCGAGACCAGCCTGGACAAAATGGCAACCCCCCCCTCCAACTCTACTAAAAATGCAAAAATTAGCCGGGTGTGGTGGTGCGCACCTGTAATCTCAGCTACTCGAGAGGCTGAGGCAGGAGAATCGCTTGAACCCGGGAGGCGGCGGTTGCAGTGAGCCGAGTTCCCGCCACTGCACTCCAGCTTGGGCGACAGAATGAGACTTTTTTTTAAAATTACTTTCCGGATGCTTTCGCTCCAGCGACCAGCAGGGGGCAGCAAAAACCCATGCCTTCTTTCAGGCTCTGTGCCTTGGCTTGAAATGTGCAAGATTTATTGAGCTCGGAGGGAGACTGTGAGGGGACTCCCTGGCTTCTCTCCTGGGACGCAAAAGTTGCCCCGTGCAAACTTTCTAGCCTGCAAGGTCGGCCCCGCTCCTCCTCCCCTTTTCTCTCCAGTAACTGAATGTGGTTTGGCTGCCAGGCCTTTGCACGTGCGGTTTCCCTAGCCTGGAACACTCTGTTCCCACCCTGGAGGTCGGAGATGCTGGGTTGGGATGGAGACACCCGTGACCTGCTAGGCCCAGGGCATGGCGTTAGCAAAGGTGGGGGTAGAAGTAGGAATTACTGGCCGGGCGCGGTGGCTCACGCCTGTAATCCCAGCACTTCGGGAGGCCGAGGTGAGTGGATCACCTGAGGACGGGAGTTCGAGACTAGCCAGACCAACATGGAGAAACCCCGTCTCTACTGAAAATACAAAATTAGTCGGGTGTGGTGGTGCATGCCTGTAATCCCAGCTACTAAGGAGGCTGAGGCCGGAGAATCGCTTGAACCTGGGAGGCGGAGGTTGCGGTGAGCCGAGATTGCGCCACTGCACTCCAGCCTGGGCGACAAGAGTGAAACGCCGTCTAAAAAAAAAAAAAAAAAAAAAAAAAAAAAGTAGGAATTACCTAGGTCCGAGTTAGAAAACAGAGAGCCCCTCAACTGTGGCCTCGAAACCACACAGAGGACTGAAGCAGGATGTGTGGGGGTAAAACTGAGGGCCAAATAGGAGCTGAGTCCCGACCAAGGGAGCTGGAGTTCCTCACCTCTGGGTCCTCAATATTTGCTGATTGACTTAAGACATGCATGCCCTTAAGCCTTGCATTCTCTCTCCAAGCTTCAGTTTCCTCATCTGTAAGACGGGGCTCATGAGATATATATATATATATGTGTGTGTGTGTGTGTGTGTGTATATATATATATACACATACATATGTGTGTATATACATATAATGTATATGTGTGTATATATGTATATATACGTGTGTATGTGTGTGTGTGTGTGTATACACATAATTTTTGGTTGGTTGTTTGAGACGGAGTCTCACTCTGTCACCCAGGCTGGAGTGCAGTGGCGCGATCTCAGTTCACTGCAACCTCCGCCTCCCAGGTTCAAGAGATTCTGCTGCCTCAGCCTCCCGAGTAGCTGGGATTACAGGTGCGCGCCACCACACCCGGCTAATTTTTGTATTTTTAATAGAGACAGGGTTTCACCATATTGGTCAGGCTGGTCTCGAATCCCTGACCTCTTGATCCGCCCGCCTCGGCCTTCCTGATCCAACCGCCTCGGCCTCCCAAAGTGCTGGGATTACAGGCGTGAGCCACCACGCCCGGCCTGGGCTCAGGTTATTATGCAAACATCCAGAACTGGGCAGATCAAGATGAATGATACCAATGATACTATCACATTATAGGCAAAATAGGACCTTCTCCCCGGTCAGAAAAGTGAACTCTCAGGCATCACTCCTACTGGAATCCAGAGTCAATAAACATTTATGAAGCACCTACTGGGTACTAGGAGCTGTTGTAGAAAGGTACTGGGGAGAAGGCAGGGAACGAAATGTACAAAAATTCTGACCACGTCCATAGTCCCTGGCCCCGCCCCACTACTTGCCCCAACCCTCACAGGAACAGTTTCCAGCCCCGCCCCCAGCCCCGCCTCCTCTCCACCCCCTCACTTTTCTGAACCTACCAGAGCGAGGTGAAGGGTGAGAGTAATCTACATATTCATGAGGGATCAGCCAATCCACAGCCTGAACTCGGATTTGTCTTCAGAGCCTAGCTGATTGTGACGTCAAGAGTGATGCATTACGTAGCCGGGCGCCGTGGCTCATGCCTGTAATCCCAGCACTTTGGGAAGCCGCGGAGGGCAGATCACCCGAGGTCAGGAGTTCAAGATCAGCCTGGCCAATATGGTGAAACCCCGTCTCTACTAAAAATACAAAAATTAGCCGGGTGTGGTGGCGAGTGCCTGTAATCCCAACTACTCAGGAGGCTGAGGCAGGAGGATCGCTTGAATCCAGAAGGCGGAGGTGGCAGTGAGTGGAGATCGTGCCACTGCACTCCAGCCTGGGCCACAGAGCCAGACTCCGTCTCAAAAAAAATAATAATAATAATAAAGTGATGCATTGCGTGATTTTTAAAGGTGCAGCAACCTCTCATGGTCTCAGTTTGCATATCCGTAAAGTACAGGTTGGGGCGTGCGGGACATAGAAACCAGCGCAGTACGATGACGCTGAAATCGCTTTGCCACCTTGGGTGAAATTCAGGGATACGTTTTGAGCGTTCACTACATGTCAGACACTTTACTCCAGCGGGGGCTCCGGAGTTCCTGCTTAGAATGGGAGCTTCAGCACCGGGGGTCGCGGACAGCTCCCGGCTCTGGTCGCAGGGGCTCCCATGCAGGATGACTGGGGACAAGGGTCTGAGCTTTCTCTGCCTGTCTGTCCTCCATCAAAGCCTCAAATGAACTCAGCCCTAATCTCTGACAGCTAAGGGGTTGCTAGTCAGGACAACACTCTGTCCTTGGTCCCCAATCCTGCTCCTCCCTCGTCGTCTGCATCTCAGCTGATGGCAGTTCCATTCTTTTTTTTTTTTTTTTTGAGACGGAGTCTCGCTCTGTCGCCCAGGCTAGAGTGCAGTGGCGCGATCTCGGCTCACTGCAAGCTCCGCCTCCCGGGTTCACACCATTCTCCTGCCTCAGCCTCCCGAGTAGCTGGGACTACAGGTGCCTGCCACCACGCCTGGCTAATTTTTTGTATTTTTAGTAGAGACGGGGTTTCACCGTGTTAGCCAGGATGGTCTCGATCTCCTGACCTCGTGATCCGCCTGCCTCGGCCGCCCAAAGTGCTGGGATTATAGGCGTGAGCCACCGCGCCCGGCCCGGCAGTTCCATTCTTCCGGGTGCTGGAGCCGAATATCAACGCTATCCTGGATCTTTTGTTTCTTGCTCAACTCCAATCTATCAGCAGGTCCTGTCGCCCCTGCCCTCACTATTCCATCCTCAAACGCTCACTTCTTCCTGTTCCTCTGCCTGGGTCCAGCCCCATCGTTGCCCACCTGGACCTGGCGCAGTTGCCTCTGCCTTGGTCCTAGGCTCCACCCTCTGCCACACAGTCTGTCCTCCCTGCAGCAGCCACCAGAGGGGGGCTGTGAGCACCCGAGTTAGGGCCTGTCCCTCCTCTGCCTACAGCACTCCAAGGCTCCCACCTTCCTCTGGGTCAAAGCCTCCCTGTGACCTATAAGGCTGGCAAGACCTTCCCTGTGTTAGCCAGGATGGTCTCGATCTCCTAACCTCGTGATCTGCCTGCCTCAGCCTCCCAAAGTGCTGGGATTACAGGCGTGAGCCACCACGCCCAGCCAATTTTCTGCATTTTGAATATATGTCTGGGTATGTCTCTTAGAGGATATTTATTCTGTTTGGTGTTTTCTGAGCCTCATGGATCTGTGAAAATTATTGGCTATTCTCTGAAAACAATCAGCTGCCCTAGTCTTCCTTCTCCTGTGGGATTCCAATTACACCTGTGTTAGATCACTTGCTCTTCACCTGCAGCTCTTGGATGCTCTTAACCTGTCTTTAACACCTCTCTAATTCTTGCTTTTCTTTTTTTACAAACAGAGCAGGCTTCAGGCTTGATGTTTGGTTAGACTATGATAAGGTTGAGGAGGTTTTTGTTGCATTTATCTTTGGACCTGCCCTCAATTCACGGCAGACTGTAGTGCGGGGGAGGCGTTATTCTTTTCTCTTTAAATATATCTAAGTCTTTTAAAACAAACAGTTTGATCCAAAGAAAAATCTTCACTAATACTTGGACACAGATAAAACGAGAAGGGTGGTCTGTGAGTGACAGCATTGAGAGGCTGCCCTAATCTGGCTTGTTGGTTTTTCAGCTAGGGAAACTGAGGCATGGAGTGGGTAAAGACTTGTAGACCAGGCCGGGTGTGGTGGCTCACACCTGTAATCCCAGCACTCTGGGAGGCCGAGGCAAGTGGATCACCTGAGGTCAGGAGTTTGAGACCAGCCTGGCCAACATGGCGAAACCCCATCTCTACTGAAAATACAAAATTAGCCGGGCGTGGCAGCAGGTGCCTGTAATCCCAGCTACTTGGGAGGCTGAGGCAGGAGAATTGTTTGAACCTGGGAGGTGGAGGGTGCGGTGAGCTGAGATCGCACCATTGCACTCCAGCCTAGGCATCAAGAGTGAAACTCCATCTAAAAAACAAAAAAAGACGTGTAGACCTGGGCCTTCTGTCCTTGGTACGGGGGGACAGGAACCGGGGTTGGGGGTGTGGTGCAGATGGAGGATCCTCACGAAGATCCAGGTGCTGGCCCAGCGCAGCAGCTGCTGCAGTTTTGATCACTGGGCTGACCCTCTTGGGCCTCAGTTCTCAGAGTGGAAAATGTGGCTGGTCAATCGGGTGTCTCTGGTGGGGGCATAGGCTGTGCTACACAGTGGACGGTCCACAGCCCACCCCGTTGACTGTGCACGGCTGGGTGGCTTGTCTTTCCCATCTGTCTTTCTCACTGTCTCTCTCTCTCCCTAACTCTCTCCCTCTCTGTCTCATTATCTCTGTATCTCTGTCTTTCTCTATCACTGTTTCCCTCTAAATCTTGCTGTCTCTCCTTGTCTCTGTATCTTTGTCTCTGTCTCTCTCCCCTCTATCTCTCTCTTTCACTCTTTCTGCATGTCTTTGTGTGTCTCTGTCTTTCCCTGCCTCTCTGTTCATGTCTGTTTCTCTGCCTCTCATCTCTGTCTTTTTCCGTGATGTCTCTCTGTTTCTTTCTCTTCCTCCCTCTCTCTCCCTTTCTGTCTCTTCTCTCTATCCCTCTCTCTCTCTTCCTCCCTCTCTCCCTTTCTCCCTCTCCCTCTTTCCTTCTTCCCCCTCCCTCCCTCCATCCCTCTCTCCCTCCCTCCATCTCTCTCTCCTCCCTTCTCTCTCTCCCTCCCTCCATCCCTCTCTCCCTCCCTCCATCTCTCTCTCTCCCTCCCTCCCTCCCTGTCTCCATGTCTCTTCCTCTCTCTCCATCTCTCATTCTCTCTCCCCTTCTCCCTCCCTCCTTTCATCTCTCTCTCCCCTTCCCTCCCTCCCTCTCTCTCCCCCTCCCTCTCTTTATCTCTCTCTCCCTCTCTCCATCTCCCTCTCTTTCTCTCTCCCTCCCTCCCTCCATCTCTCTCTCCCTCTTTCCATCTCTCTCTCCATCTCTGTCTCATCTCTCTCCATCTCTCCATCTCTCCATTTCTCCATCTATCTCTCCATCTCTCTATCTCCATCTCTCTCTTCATCTCTCTCTCCATCTCTCTATCTGCCTCTGCATCTCTCCATCTATCTCCATCTCTCTCTTCTTCTCTCTCTCCATCTCTCCATCTCTCTCTCCATCTCTCCATCTCTCTATCTCCGTCTCTGTCTTCATCTCTCCATCTCTCTCCATCTCTGTCAATCTCTCTCTCCATCTCTCTCCATCTCTCTCTCATTCTCTTTCCCCCTTCTCCCTCCCTCCTTTCATCTCTCTCTCCCCTTCCCTCCCTCCCTCTCTCTTCCCCTCCCTCCCTTTATCTCTCTCTCCCTCTCTCCATCTCTCTGTCTCTCATTCTGTCTCCCTCCCTCCCTCCATCTCTCCCTCCCTCCCTCTCTCCCTCCCTCTCTCCATCTCTCCTTCCCTCTCTCCCTCCCTCTCTCCATCTCTCTCTCCCTCTTTCCATCTCTCTTTCCATCTCTCTCTCTCCATTTCTCCATCTCTCTCTCCATCACTCTCTCTCCATTTCTCCATCTCTCTCTCCATCACTCTCTCATTCTCTCTCCCCCTTCTCCCTCCCTCCTTTCATCTCTCTCTCCCCTTCCCTCCCTCCCTCTCTCCCCCTCCCTCCCTTTATCTCTGTCTCTCCCTCTCTGTCATTCTCTCTCCCTCCCTCTCTCCATCTCTCTCTCTCCCTCTCTCCATCTCTCTCTCCATCTCTCCATCTCTCCCTCTATCTCCCTGTCTCCATCTCTCCATCTCCCTCTCCATATCTCTCTCTCTCTCTCTCTCTCTCTCTCTCTCTCTCTCTCTCTCCCTCTCTCCATCTCTCTCTCCATCTCTCCATCTCTCCCTCTATCTCCCTGTCTCCATCTCTCCATCTCCCTCTCCATATCTCTCTCTCTCTCTCTCTCTCTCTCTCTCTCTCTCTCTCTCTCTCCCTTCCCGTTTGAAGGTTGCCTCCCACATCTGCCTTCCGCCAAGGCCCGGGCTCTGACCCGCCGTCTGAATGCCTGACTCCAACCGCACATCTGTGGGGTAATTGTCTCCTACGACCACAAGGTACTGAGGCAAATTATAGTTACGGGGCGGGGGCCTCCATGTGGGCGAACTGCGTCCGCTGGGCCGGGCTCTGCCGGCCTCAGCTGGGCAGGATGACCGAGGCATGGCCCCACTAGGGTCAGGAAAGCTCACGCCCAGCCCTTCCCCTCGCCCCTCCCCACACACCAGCCAGTCCTTTGCCAGGCCTCCATCTTTAGTGCCAGGATGAAAATGCCTTTTGCAAAAATCAGCAGGAAACTCCAATATTTGCAAAACCCTGACTTTCTATTCATGCATACATTCCTGCATTCAACAGATCTGTTACGGAGCGCCTACTCTGAGCCAGGCACTGTTCCAGGCACTGAGGCCAAAGCAGTGAATGAGACCAACACAATTCTCGGCCCTCCTGAAATCAACACCCCACTGGGGGAGACAGGCAAGAAATAGGGAATAGTCATCAGTGCTTTGAAGAAAAAGCAGGAAAGTGATCTTGGGGGCCCAGGGGAGTTATTTTATTTTATTTTATTTTATTTATTTTATTTTATTTATTTGAGACGGAGTCTCACTCTGTCGCTAGGCTGGAGTGCAATGGCGCGATCTCGGGTCCCTGCAACCTCCGCCTCCTGGGTTCAAGTGATTCTCCTGCCTCAGCCTCCTGAGTAGCTGGGATTACAGATGCATGCCACCACACCCAGCCAAGTTTTGTATTATTAGTAGACACGGGTTTCACCATATTGGCCAGGTTGGTCTCTGTCTCTTGACCTCGTGATCCGCCTGTCTTGGCCTCCCAAAGTACTGGGATTACAGGCTTGAGTTACCACGCCCAGCTATTTTATTTTATTTTTATTTTGAGACAGAGTCTCGCTCTGTCACCCAGGGTGGAGTGCAGTGGCACGATCTTGGCTCACTGCAACCTCTGCCTCCTGGATTCAAACAATCCTCCTGCCTCAGCCTCCCGACTAGCTGGGATTACAGGCGTGCACCACCACGTCCGGCTAATTTTTGTATTTTTAGTAGAGATGGGGTTTTGCCATGTTGGCCAGGCTGGTCTCGAACTCCTGGCCTCAAAGGACCCACCCGCCTCGGCCTCCCAAAGTGCTGGGATTACAGGTGTGAGCCACTGCACCCGGCCAAGCCATTGCTATTAATATCGATGATTCAAATGATAGGGTCTCTCCCATACACCTGCCCTGTCAAGCATCATAGGTGCTTACTGTGTGCACAGCTGAGTCCCAGGGGATGCCGGGGTCCCGGTGAGGGTTCAGACCCGGGCCCTGCCCTCCAGGAGCCCCCCAGGCTGGGGGAGGCTGTACTGGATGCAGACAATCTCAATCCCTTGGGGTTAAGGCTGGGTCTTGTGGGAACCTTCCTATCGAGCAGAATGTGGCTGCTAATCCAGGCTTTTCAGGGTGGAAACTCAGAGCCTGTGGTCCAGACAGTGGGCGTGGCGTGGCTGGGTGTCTCGCCTTCCTCTCTCTGTCTCTCTCCAACCTTCTCCCCATCTCTGTCCCTCCATTTGTCTCTGTGTCTGTTTGCCTTTGTCTCTGTCCTCAAGGGTTGGGGCAATGTCTGGGCTGGGTTTTGACAGATGCATAGGAGTTGCTCAGCGGTGCAAAGAGGAAAGGCATCCCAGGCAGAAGCAAAGGCCCGGAGCTGTAGAAGAACGTGGTGTCATCAGGAAGTGGGACGGTGACATGCATTAGTGAGAGAAGGGGGATGAGTGGGAAGCCGGGTCCAGTCGCCGTCGGGTTCTTATGTTGGAGACCATGAAGGGAGGCCAAGAGAGGAGGGAACCAGCCACAGCTGCACTTTAGGAAGATTCCTCCACGGTGCCGGGGACTGAGCAGAGGAGACGAGACTGGGGTGGCCACGTTCCCCAGCACGCCACCCCGTCCTCAGCCCCAATGACACAGCGAGGCGCCTGGTCCCCATTCATGTCCTGCGCCAGCTGCTCAGCCTCCACTTCCCTCCGAGCACTCGGAGAGGACACAGAAAAGCAGAGGCCAGAGGAGTTCCGGGTGGGCCCTGTCATTGCCATGTCAGAGCTAAGGGGCAGTCCCTCCCCAGGGAAGTTCTTCCTGCAGTCTATCTGCAGTCCCTCCTGCTACCTGCGGGCCAGGACATCCAGCCCCCACATACACACCAGTGACCAGCCCCTTCTCGCCTCACCCGGGCATACACTTCATGCTCCATAAATGCACAGCGACTGTTACATTATGAAACAAAAGGAACCCCCCCACCCCCTACCACCCAAACCCCCCAACTTGTCTCTGCTTGGAGGCCAGGAGAAGGAAGGAGAAGATAAAATAGTGACAGTCACGCCGGGAGCAGTGGCTCGCGCCTGTAGTCCCAGCACTTTGGGAGGCCGAGGCGGGCAGATCACCTGAGGTCAGGAGTTTGAGACCAGCCTGGCCAACATGGCAAAACTCCATCTCTACTAAAAATACAAAAATTAGCCAGGTGTGGTGGCCAGGTGCCTGTAATCCCAGCTACCCGGGAGGCTGTGGCAGGAGAATTGCTTGAACCTGAGAGGCGGAGGTTGCAGTGAGCCGAGATTGCGCCACTGCACTCCAGCCTGGGCAACAAGAGTGAAACTCTGTCTCAAAAAAAAAAAAAAAAGACTTACCCCTCCAGGGTCCCATGAAGACAGCCGAGCCCTGCCCGGAGCTAACGGAGGCCTTGGAGCACGCTCACAGGGGCACCCTCCCGGCTGGCATCTGGGAAGCGGAGGTGGGTGGGTGTTGCGGGGGGGGGGGTCGGTGGGGGGGGGCGTTCCCCCTCCCGCCCCAGGCTGCCGGGTCCTGCGCATCCGTCTGTCCCTGATGGAGGTGGTGGGCAGGCGGGAGAAGCCACGCTCCTTCCGGGGGGCGGGAGGGGGGATTTTCCAATCAGAGTTTGAGCTTCATTCACAAATCCATGGCCCCGTCTGATTGCACCAACGGCTGCTGCACACACACACACACACACACACACACACACACACACACGGCCTGTGACAGCCTCGCCGGGCTGTGGGTGGTCACTTAGTTGAGAGTGGCCTGGTGTGTCTCACATTAACGCATCCCAAGCCCTCCTGCCTCTCTCTCTTCTCTCTTCTCTCCTCTCTCTCTGTCTCTCTTTCTCTCTCTCTCTCTCTCTCTCACTCTCTCGTCTATGCTCTCCAGCTCCCAGTGTCCCCGGCACCCTCCTCCGACTCCCCAGAGAAAAGCTGCTTGTGTGACGGCATCATGGAAGCCGGGTGCCCGGACCTGCCTCCCAGGCGGCCGGCCCAGCCCGCACTCCGGTCCCCATAAGGCGATTCGGGGCCGCCCTCGCCGTCCGCCCCAGCATGGAGGTGCCCGGGCCCCCCGTGTCCAGCAAGCCGGGAGAGACCTCGGTCAAATGGCAACTGTGCTACGACACGACGGCTAAAATGTGGTGGATGGTGAGTGGAGCGGGGCCCGCCGTGGCCCGGGGCCGGGGGCAGGAGGGGGCGGCCGGCCGAGGAGGCTTCTCCAGCCAGGCGTGGTTGGGGGGCGGCGGTGACCCCCCCACTGGGGAGCTGTGAAGTCGGGGAAGGTGGTCAGAGGTGGTGAAACCGAGCCCAGATCATGGAGAGCAGAATAATTCTTGCATCTTCCACCTGGAGACGAGTCCGCGGCTGCCCAGGCACCGCTAAGGGCCCGAAAGTGCCTGTTTCTGTGGCCCACGAGGGCACCAGGGTGGCCGTTCCCTTGGACGGTTTTGCAGAGGATCAGTGGTCCTGGAGATGCTTGTGCTGGGCCCAGGGCCTGTGATGGGATGTTCTGAGGGTGGGGAGGTCTCAGCGGGCTGGGGAGCGTGAGGCCCAGGGACTGGGCTGCTGTGTGACCCCGGCCAAGCCCTCGCCTGCCTCTGTGCCCTGTGGTCCCAGAAAACGGGGTGGACACCCTCCTCGCTCTGGCTGGATGATGGCCAAGGGCCGAGGGAAGGTGGGGTGGGGCTGTCGCCTGCTTTGGCCCAGAGGAGGACTATGGCATCACCCCTAAGATTGGGCACCCTTCCGGAAGCTTCCAGTGGTGGTGGTGGGGGGTGGTTAAGGCCACGTCCCTTGAAACTGGGACCCACCGGATGGGGTAAGAAGCAATTCCGGGGCAGCTCTGTGTGTAAGACAGGGCACAGTTATGGAGCCTGGCTGGGGGCCAGTGTCCACGGCCCTTGGGGTCCGCGCGAGACCGTCACACTGTCCGCCTCTCAGTCCGTCGGTCCATCCAGCTGTCTGGGAGCTGGCCGGTGATCCATGGGGAACTTGAAAACCCGTCAACACAGGTCTGCATCATGCAGATGTGTGTTTCAACCTGGGCTTACTGTGTGACCTTGGGACAGTGGCTCACCCTCTCTGGCCCGCAGGTTCTCCCATCAGGGAAATGATGAGCGGCCTAGACTTCTCGGGTTTCATGGCAGGTGCTCTGTGGGTCGCCAAGGAAAGTTGGGCCTCGAGGTGGGACATGGCACCTCATGACCTGCTGTGACCTCTCATAGCTGCTGTCTCTGGGGTGTGTCTGCTTCAGGTGGGGTCAGAGCCTCTGGGGTCATTTCCTTAGTCTCTGAGCACCAAAGTCTTGGGGTTTACAAGGACAGAGAGACCTTTCCCACAGCCCTGGGGAGTGTCCTGCATTGGTTTCACTTTTCATTCTTCATACAACCAACATTTGAGTACTCGCTGTACCCCAGGCCCCATTTCTCCATACGGGGGACACAGCAGTGACCCAGACAGGAAAAAAAAAGTCCCTGCCTTCTTGGGGCAAATGTCCCAGAGCGGGAGACAGAGGATAAAAATATCTGTGCACAAAGTAGGAGTGAACTACGATTGTAGGAGGAAGCAGTGAGAAGGCGCTGGGGGCCTGAGTGAGCCCAGGCAATCTGGGAGGGCTTTCCTGAGGAGGTGACATCTGACCTGAGACCTGGTGGATGACAGAATTCATTCAGATAAGAGAAATGGGAATAGAGTTCCAGGCATGGGTCGTGGCATGTGGAAAGGCCCTGGGGCAGGACCACATCTGGCCTGTTGGAGGAACAGCGAGGAGGCCTGTGTGGCTGGACCAGAGTGAGGAGGGGGAGAAAGGGAGGAGGAGAGGGCAGGGAAGGGACGGGGCAGGTCACGCAGACCTGATGGCCTCTGGGAGGACTTGGGCTGTGACACCGAGGAAGGTGGGAGCCATGGAGGGCTGCGGGCAGAGGAGGGACGGGACCTATTTTATATTTTTAAAGCTTCCTTGGGCTTCTGTGGGGAGAAAGGGTGGCTGGGGCTGATGTGGCAGCCAGAGACCAGGGGAGGCTGAGGCGGCTTCTAGGCGAGGGATGATGGGGACTTGGAGGTGCAGGGAAGGGAGCAGGTTTCAGATGAAAAAAGGCTGGGACTTGGCAATTAAACTGAAGGCCCAGAGAAGCTGAGTGATTTGCTCAAAGTCACCCAGCAAGTGAAGAACAGAGCTGGGAGTGGGAGAAGGGCCTGAGGTCAGAGGTCAGAGGTGGGGGAGGTGGGGAGCCCTTCCTCATCTCCATCTCCTGGGTCCTTAGCGAGCCAAGCAGAACTGGCAGTTTGAGAAAAGGAGAACATTTCAGTGCAAACTTGAGGTCTTATCAATAGAGGTAGAAGCCCCAGTATAGGGGAGGTTATGGACCCACTCATTAGTCAAGGGGAGGTATCAAACCGGAGTATGTCCAGACAGGGAAAGCGGATAGGGCAGCCTTCAGGGAAAGACTGAGAGACTCAGGGCTTTAGCCCAAGAAAAGAAGATGCCTAGGGGTGGAATTCAGTTCAGCTCTCCAAGCTCTCCCTGACATTTCTCTGGCATTGGCTCAGAGCTGGGTCACCTGCGCCCTCCCACAGGATCAACCACACATTCAGGGGGTTCCCAAACACAAGAGCTGAAGCAGCAGGACCCAAGATTCAGGACTCAAAATCTCCCTAGGCGGGGCTTCCCTAGGGCAGAAGAAGCTAAAGAGGGCAGAGGGCAGAGCCTGGCCTCTGCAGGGATCAGCTTGACCTCTGTAAGTGCTTTCTCCTGAGTGTGTGAAAGGTAATGAGGCATCCGTCACAGGAGGCATGCAAGCCTCTGTTGGTGGAAATTCCATTCTTTTTTTTTTCTTTTTGAGATGAAGTATCACTCTGTTGCCCAGGCTGTAATGCAGTGGCGCGATCTCGGCCCACTGCAACCTCCGCCTCCTGGGTTCAAGCGATTCTCCTGCCTCAGCCTCCCAAGTAGCTGGGATTACAGGCATGCACCACCATGCCTGGTGAATTTTTGTATTTTTAGTAGAGACGAGGTTTCACCATGTTGACCAGGCTGGTCTTGAACTCCTGGCCTCAGGTGATCTGCCCCCTTGGCCTCCCAAAGTGCCGGTATTGCAGGCGTGAGTCACTGTACCCAGCCTCCATTCTTTTTTTTTTTTTTTTTTTTTTTGAGACGGAGTTTTGCTCTTTTCATCCAAGCTGGAGTGCAATGGCACAATCTCGGCTCACCGCAAGCTCCGCCTCCCGGGTTCAAGCAATTCTCCTGCCTCAGCCTCCCAAGTAGCTGGGATTACAGGTGCACGCCATCACGCCCGGCTAATTTTTTGTATTTTTAGTAGAAACAGGGTTTCACCATGTTAGCCAGCACACCACAGGCTGGTGTCGAACTCCTGACCTGGTGGGCTGAGATGATCGCCCACCTCAGCCTCCCAAAGTACTGGGATTACAGGCGTGAGTCACTGCACCCAGCCCCAGCCTCCATTCTTTTAAATAGAGTGGACCAGGTGATTTTCAAAAGATGCTTTTACACTCAGAGCAGCCAGGCTCCCAAGGCGAATGAAGGATCCACGAAGGATTCAAAATGTGGGGCTGGATGGAGAGAGAGGATACTGGGCGGGCGTTCAACCTTAGCCTCTAAATCCCAAGGCAGAGTTAACATCTCCCAGAGCTACAGGAGGCACAGCACAGGGCTCCTGAGACCTTTAGGGCTCATGGAAATATTTCCATTTTAATGTATCGTATAACTATGATAATAATGAATACATGGTTATGCATCCCGTCTGGATTCTATTCATCTGTGTGCCCATGCAGCCATAAAAGATAAATTTGTTTGTTTCTTTCTGAGACAGAGTCTCGCTCTGTCACCCAGGCTGGAGTGCAGTGGCACGATCTTGGCCCACTGTAATCTCTGTCTCCCAAGTTCAAGCGATTCTCCTGCCTCAGCCTCCCGAGTAGCTGGGATTACGGGCGCCCGCCACCACGCCTGGGTAAATTTTGTATTTTTAGTAGAGATGGGTTCTCGCCATGTTGGCCAGGCTGGTCTTGAACTCCTGACCTCAGGTGATCCACCCGCCTCAGTCTCCCAAAGTGCTGGGATTACAGGCATGAGCCACTGCACCCAGCCCATAAAAGATCATTTTAAACAATTCTATTTTTTGTGAAGGAAAGAGCCCACAAAAACAAAAGTTCCCCTGGCCTGGGAAAATCATAAGGTAGCTAAGTTCATCCATTTATCTGTTCATTCATTCCAAGAACAAGTCATGGCAGGGCAGTCGCTCACAACTTTAATCCTAACACTTTGGAAGGCTGAGATGGGAGGATCCTTTGAGCCCAGGAGTTCAAGACCAGCCGGGGCAACATGACGAAACCCCATCTCTACAAAAAAATATGAAAATTAGTCAGGCGTGATGGTGCATGCATGTAATCCCAGCTACTCAGGAGGCTGAGGTGGGAGGATCGCCTGAACCCAGGAGGTTGAGGCCATGGTGAGCCATGATTGTGCCACTGCACTCCAGCCTGGGCAACGGAGTGAAACCCTGTCTCTAGAAACAAACAGACAAACACACACACACACACACACACACACACAGAGACCAGGCACGGTGGCTCATGCCTGTAATCCTAGCACTTTCAGAGGCTGAGGCAGGTGAATCATGAGGTCAGGAGTTCAAGACCAGCCTGGCCAACATGGCGAAACCCCGTCGCTACTAAAAATACAAAAATTAGCCGGGGGTGGTGGTGGGTGCCTGTAGTCCCAGCTACTCAGGAGGCTGAGGCAGGAGACTCGCTTGAACCCAGGAGGCGGAGGTTGCAGTGAGCCGAGATCCCACCACTGCACTCCAGCCTGGGTGACAGAGCGAGGCTCCATCTCAAAAAAGAAGAAAAAAAAAAACAGAAAAAGAACAAGTCACGTCAGCTCTCTGTGCCTCAGTTTCCTCATCTGTAAAGCAGGCGGAGGTATGCACAGCAGAGCCCCCCTTCCCCCCAGTAGGGTCTTTGTGGGAAATCCAATATGCTGATGACCACGGAGGTATCTTGCAAACTGTTAAGGGCCCTGCCCAGGTCAGGAACTGAGTAATAGTCACAAAGATAAAGCGAGAGAGATTGTGGTTAGATTCCAGAAGGACTTCCGTGGTGGCTCCACATGCGCCATGAGTGCCTATTACGAGTCCGCGGTGAACCAGAGAGACCCAGCCCTGCCCTTCCTGGGCTCCTGGCCCGGCATGGAGAACAGTAAAAGAGAAAATGAATAATGCATGAGATAATTTTAAATTGAGAGGAGGACGGTGAAGAAATTAGAAGAGGCAGCCAGTGGGCCGGGAAGGTGACGTTGCGGCCTGAGCCATCTCAAGGGACCTAAAGTCTTGGTGGGGGCAGAGGGCATGGCCCGTGCAAAGGCCCCGAGGCAGGACTGGGCTGGTGCGTTAGAGGAATGGCCAGGAGGCCCATGTGGCTGGAGCAGAGTGAGGAGGGAGAGAGAGGGAGAAGGGGAGGGTAGGGAGGGGATGGGCAGGTTGTGCAGGGCACTGTGGCCTCCGGGGTGGATGTGGTGTTTGGGACCAGAAACCCTAGGGAGCCATGGAGGGTTGTGGGCAGAGAGGGCCTCCCCCATCCACTGAGTGGTTCCCTGTGCCCATCCGTGAGTGCCACCCGCCACCTCCCCCTCTGTGTGCCCGGCGCTGGTGGGGGGCCTCGAGATGCTTCGTCTCCCCAGCCCCCTGGCCCGCGCCCGCCCGGCCGCCGCCCACTCTGCCCACATCTGAGGCGCCTAGGAGCCGGACAGTCTGCCGCAAACCACGGAATGTTTCCCGGAGCGCCGGGCCGGGAATGTCGGCGGTGAGGAGGGGAAGGGTGGGGAGACCCAGAGAGATGGGCCGGGGCGGTGGGCACCGCCACGCGAGGGACGCAGAATCATTGTCACCCTCAACCCCAGAGAGGGGCCACCACGATGCCGCCGCTTTACAGATGGGGAAACTGAGGCACGGAGTGGCGAAGCGACTTTCTATGTCCACAGGGCTTGGGAGAGGCAGCGCTGGGATTCGAACCCAGACTTCCTGGCCACAGACCTCAGGGGCTTGCCCACTAACCCACAGCAAAGAGGTCAGCGGGAACTCAGTGAATGAATAAATGAATGAATGAATGGGTTTTGTAAGTGAGTGAATGAAGGCTCATTCACTCCGCCCAGCCAGGCCTCCCACCCCAGCCACAGACCAAGCAGAACATGCTGAAACACACCAGCCCCCATCCTCCAGTTCCCACCACTCCCACTACCATCTGGAAGTCCCTCCTTGTATCCGACCTAGGTCTTTCCTCACTCTTTTCTTCTCCAGGGCAGATAAATGGCAAGGCGTTCACACCCTCCCCTGCAAGCCGCTGAGTCTGTCCCTCCAGGAGAAGGGCAGAGCCCAGCCACTGCTCACCCTGGAAGTCACTGGGGAAGGGACAGTTGAGGCTCAGAGAGGGGCAGTACTTTCCCCAAGGTCACACAGCAAATTCTTGTAACGTCAGAGCCCTGAACGATTCCTGAGATGACGCCCAATTAGAGTCATGGCCGGCTGAGCCTCCCATGTTGTATCTCCTTCAATCCTCCCAACAAGTCGATAGGGAAGGAACCATTATTATCACCATTTTATAGATGGGGAAACTGAGGCTTGGCAAGGGGCAGCCGCTGCAGGAGGTGGCCGGGAAGCGACCAGGGTAATGTGGCCACTCTCTGGATCAGCTGAGCAGAGGGACCAACTTGTTACTCTGCCACCTGTGATGGGGGTGATATGAAGCCATGGCTGCCAGGGGTCATATCACCCAGGTGTCGTGTGTCTACCCCAGCCACACGCTAAGTCCTCATAGCTGCCTGGCCACGTGGTTTCGCCCACCTTTGCAGCTGGTGGCTTTGCAAGGTTCCATGAAACCCCTAGCAGGGCGGAGGCACCTTGTCCTTTGATAGAAACCCACTGGGCAGGGAGAAGCCACTGGCTAGGGGCTCCCTGGAGATGGTGACATTTGAGCCAGGCCCAGAGGGATGCTAAAGCTTTCAACACAAGAAGGTAGCAGGGAGGGCATTCCTGGCAGAAGGAACTGCTCAGACAAAGGTGTGGTGGTGCGAATGTGCCCCCGTGTGACAGAGCTAAAATGGGGCCTGAGGCGGGGGCAGGTAAGAGAGACATGTAAAGCCAGGCTGTGATGGGTGGGTCTCAAATGCGAGGCTGCGGAGGTGGGGCTTTCTCTCCAGGGTAATGGGGAGCCATGGGAGGTGTCTGAGCGAACAGGACCAGAGGGACAGATGGGAGAGAGGATCTAAGGGGAGAGTGAGCAGATGTTGGGATGGACAGACTATGGGGAGCCAGGAGGAGGGAGAAGATGGGGCTGATGCCAGAGATCCCTACCTCAGGGATGGGGAGTGATGGTGGAATTGTCCCTGACATGGGGACATGGAAGGAGGAGGGGGTTTGAGGAAGACGCTGAGTCTGGAGACCTTGAGGAAAGTCCTGGAAGAAGCTGAATAAGGGAGAGAGATCGCTGGAGTCTAAGATAATGACTAGAACATCTGTGATCAGTAACTGCTTGTGAATTGGATGGAGGGAGGGAGGGAGGAGTCGATAGGTGGGTGGGTTGATGGGTGGACAGATGGATGAGTGGATGGCTAGATGAGGGGATAGATGGGTGGGCAGGTGGGTGGGTGGATGGATAGATGAGTAGAGTGATGGATGGATGGATGGATGGATGGATGGGAGGGAGGTGGATGGATGGATGGATTGATAAGTGGTTGGATGGTTGGATGGATGGATGAGTGGATGGATGGATGAGTGGATGAGTGGATGGATGAGTGGAGAGATGAATCAATGGCTGGATGGATGGACGGATGGATGGATGAATGGGCAAACGGATGGGTAGGTGGATGGTTGCATGGATGAATGGATGGATGAATGCATGGATGGATGGGTGGGTGGATGGATGGATGGATGGATGGATGGATGGATGGGTGGATGAATGGAAGGATGGTTGAGTGTATGGCTGAGTGAGTGAATGGATGAGTGGAGAGATGAATGGATGGGCTGATGGATGGATGCAGGCATGGGTGGATGGACAGACGAATGGGCAAATGGATGGGTACATGGATGCATGGATGAACGAATGCATGGATGGATGGGTGGATGGATGGATGAGTAGAGGGATGGATGGGTGGATGGGTGAATGGATGGGAAGGTGGATGGATAGATGGATAAAGGGATGAAGGGAGTGGTGGATAGATGGATGGATGGATGGATGGATGAATAGAGGGAAGGATGGGTGAATGGATGGGAAGGTGGATGGATAGATGGACAAAGGGATGAAGGGAGTGGTGGACAGATGGATGGATGGATGGATAGAGGGATGGATGGGTGGATGGGTGAATGGATGGGAAGGTGGATAGATAGATGGATAAAGGGCTGAAGGGAGTGGTTGATAGATGGATGGATGGTTGGTTGGCTGCATGTGTGGGTGGATCAATGGGTAGGTGGAGCCTGAAGACAGAAGTGGCTGCCCTGAGTGTGAAGGCAAAGGCACAGCCCTGGGAAGCCCCCACATCAGGGCCAGGAAGAGGAGATTTGGGGAGGAAGCAGGAACTGTGCCAGTTGCCCCTGTAACTGCCTCTCTGTGAGGCCTCCCCACCCAAGTCCTTTCCTCTACCCCTCTTCCCCAGAAATGGCTTTGGGACTTGAAATCCCCGCCCCCCGCCCCACACCCCACCACACACACACACATGGCTCAGCTCTGGGGGGCCTACCGCAGACAAATCAGTGGAAAATTAAAATAGTGCCTGTGCACTGGTGATCGGCGGCTTCAGCCGGGCACTTAATGATCCCTTTCTGGGGATTGTTACCAGCTGGAGGTGGCGGGGGGGTGGGGGGTCTTCACCAGCCACCCAATCTGAGCAGTAGGGGGTGGTCCCTGGGAGAGGGGGTGCAGCCCACAAAGCCAGAAGTTGGCAGTGATGGCAAAGCTGGGAAGGGCTTAGGCAGGGAAAGGGATGACCTTGAGCTCCGGGGATGAACCCACTTGGACCCCTGCACCCCTGTGGCCCCTGCTGGGACGTCCTTTCTCTCTCAGTTTGGCTAGATGGCTCCAGCTCATCTTGTAGTTCTCAGGTCCAATGTCACCACCTCCAGGAAGCCCTCCTGGACTAGGTCAAATCCCCTCAGAAGTATCTAACCATCCTTATCTATAATCCTATTTGCCTGGAGGCCTTGAGAGCAAAACCTCACTTTGCCACATTAGCTGTGTGTCCTTGGGGAAGTCACTTTCCCCCTCTGTGGCTTGTTTTCCTCATTTGTAAAATAAGGCTGTTAGGAGAATTTTTTTTCTTTTTTAGAGACAGGATGTGACTCTGTCATCCAGGCTGGAGTGCGGTGGCACGATCACAGTTCACTGCAGCCTCAAATTCCCTGGGTTCAAGCGATCCTCCCACCTCAGCCTCCCAAGTAGCTGAGACTACAAGTGTATGCCACCATGCTTGGCTAATTTTTTAGTAGAGATGGGAGGTCTCAGTATGTTGCCCAGGCTGGTCTCGAACTCCTGACCTCAAGTGATCCTCCCGCCTCGGCCTCCCAAAGGGCGGAATTACAGGCATGAGCCATCTCGCTGGGCCCCTGTTGGGAGGATTAAATGAACAATTGTGGGTAAACTGGTATTTACTGAGCCTTTATTATGTACTGGGCACAGGGTTGAATCTGGTCCTCAAATTCTCAAAATAAGCCAATCAATGCCAGCAAGATGTTCATCCCCATTTTAGGGAGAGAGTCACTGAGGCCCCTAGGAATGAGATAAATTCACTTAATACCGTCACTGTGTGCCCGGACCAGTTCAGTTCCCTCTGCTCTCACCCCTCACAGTCTGTCCTCCCCACAGCAGCCACCAGAGGGCGCCTGTGAGCACCTGGATCAGGTCCTGTCCCTCCTCTACCTACAACCCTCCATGGCTCCTACCTCCCTCAGGGTCAAAGCCCAAGTCCTCCCCATGGTCCACATGACCTGCCCCATCCTCTCCCTGCCCTCCCTTCTTCCCTCTCTTCCCACTAACTCTCTCTGCTGCAGCCACACGGGCCTCCTTGCTGTTCCTCCAACATGCCAGGCGTGGTCCTGCCCCAGGGCCTTTGCACAGGCTGTGCCTTCTGCTCAAGATGCCCTTCCACCTCCCCTTAGACAAACTGGCTGTGCCTCCTCCATCTGGCCTCAACTCAAATGGCATCCAGAACACCCCTCCCCCAACTAAAGGAGGTCCTCCTGCTGTAGTGTCTGACCCAGCCCCATTCTTGTGAATGTAACAGACACACACACACACACACACACACACACACACACACACACACACACACACACTGCAGTCATGCTGTATGTGACTTGGCAGGCGTCTCTGTTCCTCACTCAACTGCAGGGAGGGAGATACTTCTGTCCTAGCCTTCTCAGGGCCTCTAGCACCCCACATCAGAGAGCATGGCTCATAATTGGCACTGAAGGACCAGGCGCAGTAGCTCACACCTGTAGTCCCAGCAGTTTGGGAGGCCGAGGCAGGTGGATCACCTGAGGTCAGGAGTTTGAGAGCAGCCTGACCAACATGGTGAAACCCCATCTCTACTAAAAATACAAAAATTAGCTTAAAAATACAAAAATTAGCTGGGTGTGGTGGCAGGCAAGTGTAATCCCATCTACTTGGGGGGCTGAAGCAGGAGAATCACTTGAACCTGGGAGGTGAAAGTTGTAGTGAGCCGAGATCGTGCTGCTGCACTCTAGCCTGGGTGACAAGAGTGAGACTCCCATCTAAAAAAAAAAAATCTCTATCAGTATGGATTTGTACAGATTAATGTTATACTTTGGTTTCTAATCCAATTATGTGTACACACACACACATTATATATATATCCTCAACAACAGCAAACATTATAGAAATATTTGCAATGTACTTGCAAAAGAATTTTACTGGGCAACAAATATGTAAAGAGTTCCTACAAATCAATAAGAAAAGATCAACTGAAAAAATATGCAAAGGATATGAACACATCACCACAGAAAATACCTAAAAGTAATAAAAATGGACTTTAAATCTGTGAGAAAATGGCTGGGCACAGTGCCTCACACCTGTAATCCCAGGACTTTGGGTGGCCGAGTTGGGAGGATTCCTTGAGCTCAGGAGTTTGAGACCAGCCTGGGAAACATGGTGAAACCCTGTCTCCACAAAAAATACAGAGATTAGCCAGGTATAGTGGCTCATGACTGTAGTCCCAGCTGCTCAGGAGGCTGACGCAGGAGAATCACTTAAACCCGGGAGGCGGAGGTTACAGTAAGTCGAGATCACGCTATTACACTCCAGTGTTGGGCAACAGAGAGAGACCCTGTCTCAAAAATAAATAATAAAAAATAGATAAATAAATTAATTAAAATATATGAGAAAATGTTCACCCTGATTCATAGGAAGGTAGATTCAAGTTAAAACTACAATAAGGCTAGGTGTAGTGGCTCACACCGATAATCCCAACACTTTGGAAGACTGACACAGGAAGACTGCTTGAGGCGAGGAGCTCAAGACCAGCCGGGGCAACATAGGGAGATCGTGGCTCTATAAATATGGGGTGCGGTTGCTCATGCCTGTAATCTCAGCATTTTGGGAGGCCGAGGTGGGTGGATCACCTGAGGTCAGGAGTTCGAGACCAGCCTGGTCAACATGGTGAAACCCTGTCTCTACTAAAGATACAAAAATTAGCTGGGCATAGTGGTGGGCACCTGTAATCCCAACTACTCGGGAGGCTGAGGCAGGAGAATCACTTGAACCTGGGAGGCAGAAGTTGCAGTGAGCCACGATTATGCCATTGAACTCCAGCCTGGGCAACAAGAGTGACACTCTGTCTCAAAATAAAATAAATAAATAAATATATATATGTATATGTATATGTGTGTGTGTGTGTGTGTGTGTGTGTGTGTGTGTGTGTATATTAAGACTGAGTGCTGTGGCTCACACCTGTAATCCCAGCACTTTGGGAGGCCAAGGTGGGCGGATCACCTGAGGCCAGGAATTTGAGACCGGCCTGGCCAACATGGCGAAATCCCATCTCCACTAAAAACACAAAAATTATCTGGGTGTGGTGGCAGGCGACTGTAATCCCAGCTACTCGGGAGGCTGAGGCAGGAGAATCGCTAGAACCTGGGAGGTGGAGGTTGCAGTGAGCCGGGATGGCACCACTGCACTCCACCCAGCCTGGGCAGAGCCAGGCTCCATCAAAAAAAAAGAAAAAAGAATATTCAGTGCCACCTAGTTTGTGGCGGGAAAAGACTGGAAATAAACAGAATAAGCATTGAGAGGCACTTTTCTTTTTTTTTGTAAGCGATGCATCCGTGCAATAAATCGCTGCAGCATTATTAGCCATTCTGATGGGCAGCCCTCTGAAATTTAAGTGATGAACGGCCGCGATGCTTGTGGTTGTCACTAGAGGGAAGCACATGACCATGAAAGCTTCTTCTATGACCGTCTCAAATTATTGAAGGGTTTATCCTGTGATTTTCATTCTTCGGTTCCTTTCTTTTCCCTTTTATTTACCCCATGCATTTCTATCCGTTTTCTTCTTTTTCTTTTTCTCTTTCTTTCTTTTCCTTCCTTCTTTCTTTTTTCTTTCTCTCTCTCTCTTTCTTTCTTTCTTTTTAAATTTTTTTATTTTTTGAGACGGAGTCTCACTCTGTCTCCCAGGCTGGAGTGCAATGGTGCAATCTTGGCTCATTGCAACCCCCACCTCCTGGGTTCAAACGATTCTCCTGCCTCAGCCTCTGGAGTAGGTGGGATTACAGGTGCCTGCCACCACGCCCGGCTAATTTTTTTTGTTTGTTTTTGTTTTTTTTTTTAGACGGAGTCTCCCTCTGTCGCCCAGGCTGGAGTGCAGTGGCACGATCTCGGCTCACTGCAAGCTCCGCCTCCTGGGTTCACGCCATTCTCCTGCCTCAGCCTCCCGAGTAGCTGGGACCACAGGCGCCCGCCACCACGCCCAGCTAATTTTTTGTATATTTAGTAGAGACGGGGTTTCACCGTGTTAGCCAGGATGGTCTCGATCTCCTGACCTCGTGATCCGCATGCCTCGGCCTCCCAAAGTGCTGGGATTACAGGTGTGAGCCACCGCGCCCGGCCTAGATACAGGATTTTGCCATGTTGTCCAGGCTGGTCTCAAACTCCTGACCTCAAGTGATCCCCCAGCCTCAGCCTCCCAAAGTGCTGGCATTACAGGTATGAGCTACCGTGCCCATATTAACTGTTTTTTGTTTTTTGTTTTTTGTTTTTAAGATGGAGTCTGGCTCTGTCACCCAGGCTGGAGTATGGTGGTGCAATCTCGGCTCACTGAAACTTCCGTCTCCCAGGTTCAAGCAATTCTTGTGCCTCAGCCTCCCAAGTAGCTGGGACTACATGCGCACACCACCATGCCTGGCTAATTTTTATATTTTTTAGTACAGATGGGGTTTCACCATGTTTCCCAGGCTGTTCTCGAACTCCTGACCTCAAGTGATCCACCCGCCTTGGCTTCCCAAAGTGCTGGGATTACAGGTGTGAGCCACCACACCCGGCCCTGTATTAACTTTTGATAGATATTCAACCTACAAATAGGAAAGTATATCTAGTATAAAGGTACAGCTCAAAAATTGTCCCAAACCAAACACATTTATGATTTGTGTAATCAGGTCCCTGAACTCATCAAGAAAAATAATATTTCTGCTTCCCCCACCACCCACAAAGTCACCCTGATCCTCCCCCTTGGTCTCTAACTTTCCCATGGTTAAGCACTGGCCCGATTTCTGTCTTCATAAATTAGTACAGGGCACAGTGGCTGACATCTGTAACCCCAGCACTTTCGGAGGCTGAAGCAGAAGGATCACTTGAGGCCAGGAGTTAAAGATCCGCCTGGGCAACACAGTGAGACCCAAAACGTGAACATATGTTTATCTCAAACATAAATAACAAAGTAAATTAATCAATCAGTACTGCCCACTGTGAACTACATTACACTAAATCCCATAATGACAGGCTTTTTGTCCTCAACGTAAAGCTTGTAAGATTCATCTGTGTTGTTAAATGTTTTTGTAGGTTGAATATCAGCAAATTTTTTCTTGTAAAAGGCCGTATCGTAAATATTTTAGGCTTTGTGGACCAGGCAGTCCCCATTGCAGCTACTCACCTCTGTCCCTGTAGTCAATAGGCAGCCACAGACAATATGTAAGTGAGTGGGTGTGGGTGTGTATACCAATAAAACTTTATTTATAAAAATAAGTGATGGGCTGTGTGTTAGTCAGGGTTCTCAAACAGAACCAATGGGGAGTGTTTGTGTGTGTGAGAGACAGAGAGACAGAGAGAGAGTGATTTTAAGGAATTGTGGAGTGCAGTGGCTCACGCCTATAATCCCAGCACTTTGGGAGGCTGGGGCAGGAGGATCTCTTGAGCCCAAGAGTTTGAGACCACCCTGGGCAGCATGGTATCCTCATCTCTAAAAACAAACAAACAAACAAATTAATAAATAAATAAAATACATTTGCCAGGTGTGGTGGTACACACCTGTAGTCCCAGCTAGTTGGGAAGCTGAGGCAGAGTTGAACCCAGGAACTCAAGGCTGCAGTGAGCTGTGATCACACCACTGCACTCAAGCCTGGGTGACAGCACAAGATCCCGTCTAAAAAAAAAAAAAGAAAGAAAAGAAAAGAAAAAGAAAAAAAATTGATTTGCTTGATATGGGGGCTAGCCAGTCTAAAATTTATAGAACAGGGCAGCAGGCTAGACATTCAGGTAAGAGTCAATGTTGCAGGCCGGGCGCGGTGGCCCACGCCTGTAATCCCAGCACTTTGGGAGGCCAAGGCGGGCAGATCACGAGGTCAGGAGTTCAAGACCAGCCTGGTCAACATGGCGAAACCCTGTCTCTACTAAAAATACAAAAATTAACCGGGCAGCCAAGGCACAAGAATTGTTTGAAACCCAGGAGGCAGAGGTTGCAGTGAGCCGAGATTGCACCACTGAACTCCACCTTGGGCAACAGAATGAGTCCCCGTCTCCAAAAAAAAAAGAAAACCAAAAACAAAAACAAAAAAAAAAACAGAAATAGAGTCAGTGTTGCAGTGTTGGGTCCAAAAACTGTAGGGCAGTCCCCACAGTCTGGAAACGAGGACTTTTTTTTTTTCTTTTTTTTTTTTTATGGAGTCTCGCTGTGTTACCCAGCCTGGAGTGCAGTGGCGCGATCTCTGCTCACTGCAAGCTCCACCTCCCGGGTTCAAGCGATTCTCCAGCTTAGCCTCCCGAGTAGCTGGGACTACAGGCACACGCCGCCACGCCCGGCTAATTTTTTTGTATTTCAGGAAAGACGGGGTTTCACTGTGTTGCCCAGGCTGGTCTCGAACTCCTGAGCTCAGGCAATCATCTGCCTCGGCTTCCCAAAGTGCTGGGATTACAGGCATGAGCCACCGTGCCTGAAGAAATGAGGATTTTTATGTCCCAGTCTTGAGGCAGAATTCCTTCTTCTCTGGGAAAACCCGAATTTTGCTCTTACATCCTTCAACTGATTGGACGAGGCCCACTCACATTACAGAGGGTCGTTTCCTTCACTTAAAGGCAGCTGACTCTAGACATTCAGCACATCTGCAGAATACCTTCAGAGCAAAACATGCAGATGCCTGTTGGAGCAAACAACCGGGCAGCATGGTCTCGCCCCATGGCCCCATGCAATCAAACATCACAGTCTGGATTTGATCCGGGGCCATGGTTTGACAGCTCCAGTGTTGTTCACGTGTTCCTGGGCTTAGGATGGGACCATGTCCTGATAAACTCTTCATAAGTTAAAAATATCATAAGTCGGCCGGGTGCGGTGGCTCATGCCTGTAATCTCAGCACTCTGGGAGGCTTAGACGGGTGGATCACCTGAGCTCAGGAGTTCGAGACCATCCCAATCAACATGGTGAAACCCTGCCTCTACTAAAATACAAAAAATTAGCCGGGCGTGGTGGTGTGTGCCTATAGTCCCAGCTACTCAGGAGGCTGAAGTGGGAGAATCACTTGAACCTGGGAGGCAGAGGTTACAGTGAGCCGAGATTGTGCCACTGCACTCCAGCCCAGGTGACAGAGCGAGACTCCATCTCAAAAAAATAAAATCATAACTCAAAAATGCATTTAAGCTGGGTGCAGTGGCTCATACCTATATTCCCAGCATTTTGGGAAGCTGAGGTGGGAGGATCACTTGAGGCCAGGAGTTCAAGAGCAACCTGAATAACATCATAAAACCCCATCTTGGCCGGGCACAGTGGCTCATGTCTGTAATTGCAGCACTTTGGGAGGCCAAGGCAGGTGAATCACCTGAGGTCAGGAGTTTGAGACCAGCCTGGCCAACATGATGAAACCCCGACTCTACTAAAAATACAAAAATTAGCCAGGTGTGGTGGTGCACACCTGTTATCCTGGCTACTCAGGAGGCTGAAGCAGGAGAATCACTTGAACCCCAGAGGCAGAAGCTGCAGTGAGCCAGGATCACCCTGCTGCACTCCAGCCTGGGCAACTGAGTGAGACTCTATCTTTAAAAAAAAGAAAAAGAAAAAAACGTATGTTGGAATCATCTGTCTTCGTTTCCTGGGCCTTCCTTAACAAAGTAGCACAGCTTGAGTGGCTCAAACAACAGAAATGTATTTCCTGACGGTTCTGGGGGCTGGAAGTTCAAATTCAAGGTGTTGGCAGGGTTGATTCCTCCTGAGGGCTGGCAGGGAGAGTCTGTCCCACCCTTCTCTGTCCTTGACCTGTAAGATGACGCCTTCATGTACACGTGACGGTGTCCCTAAGTGCATGTCTGTGTCCAAATTTTCCCCCTTTTTATAAGGACACCAATCAGTTTGGATTAGGATCTGGACTAATGGCCTCATTTTTTTTCTTTTTTTTTTAGACGGGGTCTCGCTCTGTCACCCAGGCTGGAGTGCAGTGGCGTGATCTCGGCTCACTACAAGCTCTGCCTCCCGGGTTCACACCATTCTCCTGCCTCAGCCTCCCGAGTAGCTGGGACTACAGGCGCCCGCCTCCATGCCCGGCTAATTTTTTGTATTTTTAGTAGAGACGGGGTTTCACCGTGTTAGCCAGGATGGTCTCGATCTCCTGACCTCGTGATCCACCCGCCTCGGCCGCCCAAAGTGCTGGGATTACAGGCGTGAGCCATCGTGCCTGGCCTCTAATGGCCTCATTTTATTTTGATTACCTCTGTAAAGACCCTGCATCCTAATAAAGTCACCTTCTGAGGTCCTGGGGTTAGAACTTCAACATATGAATTTGGGGGGCAGCACAATTCAATGCATAATCACCCTGTTGTCCATGTAGGTTTTCTTTTTTTTCATTCCTGTTTCCACCCATTCTAGTGTGGATGTTCATTTCAATTAGTTCCAGTTCTGGGCTCTTACAAATAAAACCGATATGAACATTTCCATGCATGTCTTTCAGTATATACATGTGCCCTTCCTTCCTTCCTTCCCTCCTTCCTTCTTTCCTTCCCGTCCTTCCTTCTTTCCTTCTTTCCTTCCTTGCTTCCTACCTTCTTTCCTTCCTTCCTTCCCTCCTTCTTTCCTTCCTTGCTTCCTTCCTCCTTTCCTTCCTTCCTTCTTTCCTTCCTTCCTTCCCTCCTTCCTTCCTTCCTTTTTTCCTTCCTTGCTTCCTTCCTCCTTTCCTTCCTTCCTTCTTTCCTTCCTTCCTTCCCTCCTTCCTTCCCTTCCTTCCCTCCTTCCTTCCTTTCCTTCCTTCCCTCCCTCCTTCCTTCCCTCCTTCCTTCCTTTCCTTCCTTCCTTCCCTCCTTCCTTCCTTCCCTCCTTCCTTCCTTCCCTCCGTCCCTCCTTCCTTCCTTCCCTCCTTCCTTCCTTCCCTCCCTCCTTCCTTCCCTCCTTCCTTCCCTCCTTCCTTCCCTCCTTCCTTCCTTCCCTCCATCCTTCCTTCCCTACTTCCTTCCTTTCCTTCCTTCCTTCCCTCCTTCCTTCCTTCCCTCCGTCCCTCCTTCCTTCCTTCCCTCCTTCCTTCCTTCCCTCCTTCCTTCCCTTCCTTCCCTCCTTCCTTCCTTCCCTCCGTCCCTCCTTCCTTCCTTCCCTCCTTCCTTCCTTCCCTCCTTCCTTCCCTTCCTTCCCTTCCTTCCTTCCTTTCTTCTTTCCTTCCTTTCCTTCCTTCCTTCTTTCGTTCCTTCCTTCTTTTCTTCCTTCCTTTCCTTCCTTCCTTCCTTCCTTCCATCTGTCCTTTCTTCCTCCCTTCCTCCCTTCTTCCCTCCCTCCCTCCCTCCTTCCTTCCTTCTTTCCTTCCTTTTTTCTTTTTAATCAGATGGAGTCTTGGTCTGTCTCCACCCTGGAGTGCAATGGCACAATCTCAGCTCGCTGCAACCTCCGCCTCCCGGATTTAAGCCATTCTCCTGCCTCAACCTCCCAAGTAGCTGGGACTACAGGCACATGCCCAGCTAATTTTTGTATTTTTAATAGAGATGGTGTTTCACCTTGTTGGCCAGGCTGGTCTGGAACGCTGGACCTCAAGTGATCCTCCCACCTTGGCCTGCCAAAGTGCTGGGATTACAGGTGTGAACCATCATGCCAGCTGGCTTGCTTTCTTTTCTTTCTCTTTCTCTTTCTTTCTTTTTTCTTTTTCTTTCTTTCTCTTTTTTTCTCTCCTTCTCTCCCTTTCTTCCCTCCCTCTCTCCTTCCTTCCTTCCTCCCTTCCTTCCTTCTCTCTCTCTGTCTCTTTCTTCTTTTTGAAATAGGGTCTTGCTCTGTTGTCCAGACTGGGGTACAGTGGCATGACCATGGTTCATTGTAGCCTCAAACCCTGGGGTTCAAGTGATCCTCCCTCCTCAGCCTCCCCTCAGCCTTCCAAGTAGCTGAGACCACAGGCATGTGCCACCATGCCCAGCTAATTTTTTTTCTTTTTTTTGTAGAGTCGGGGTCTCACTCGTTATGTTGCCCGGGCTGCTCTGGGACCCCTGGGCTCAAGGAGTACCCCTCATTGGGCTCAGCCTCCGAAAGTGCTAGGATTATAGGCGTGAGCCACTGTACCCAGCCAAATGTCCCCTTTTCATTAGGACACTGGTTTTTGGACCAGGGTCCCACCCTACTCGGGGATGATGTCATCTTAACTAACTCCTTCTGCAAAGACATTACTTCCAAATAAGGTCACCTTCTGAGGTCCTGGGTGTTAGGACTTCACCATATGAATTTAGGGAGGCGCAGTCCAACTCATAACCACCCTGTTGTCAATGTAGGGGGTTCTTTTTCTTTTTCTTTCTTTTTTTTTTTGTTTTTGAGATGGATTCTCGCTCTGTCGCCCAGGCTGGAGGGCAGTGGCGTGATCTCAGCTCACTGCAACCTCTGCCCACCCGGTTCAAGCAATTCTCCTGCCTCAGCCTCCTGAGTAGCTGGGATTACAGGCGCCCACCACCACGCCCGGCTAATTTTTGTATTTTTAGTAGAGATGGGGTTTCATCATGTTGGCCAGGCTGGTCTCAAACTCCTGACCTTGTGATCCGCCCACCTCGGCCTCCCAAAGTGCTGGTATTACGGGCGTGAACCCAGCCGGGGGGTTATTTTTCATTGCATCCATTCTCGTGTGGATCTTCATTAGGTTGGTTCCAATCTGGGGCTTTTATGAGTAAAGTGACTATGAACATTCCCATGCATATCTTTTGCTATATAGATGTACCCTTCCTTCTTTTTTTTTTTTTTTTTTTTTTTTTTTTGAGACAGGGTCCGATCTGTCACCCAGGCTGGAGTGCAGTGGCTCAATCACAGCTCACTGCAGCCTCAACCCCCCAGGCTCAAGCAATCCTCCCACCCCAGCCTCCAGCCTCCTGAGTAGCTGGGACTACAGACACTTGCCATGCGTGGCCAATTTTTTCTCTTCTCTTCTTTCTCTTCTCTTCTCTTCTTTCTCCTCTCTTCTATTCTTTCTCTTTTCTTTTCTTTTTTTAGACATGGGGTCTCCCTATGTTGCCCCGGCTGGTCTCGAACTCCTGGGCTCAAGTGATCCTCCAGCTTTGGCCTCCCAAAGTGCTGGGGTTACAGGCGTGAGCTACTGCACCCAGCTCAAGCATTGTTAATAGGGATACATATAACATAGGTGAAGTTCCTGCACACAGTGGGACCACAGAGATGCTGTCATCATTTGTGATTGGCTCAGGGAATCAGGCAATGAATTGCCCATTGGAGAAGACAAGGAATAGAACAGAGGGAAGAGAGAGATTAAAGGTTAAAAGCACTGGGCGCTGTGGCTTACATCTGTAATCCCAGCACTTTGGGATGCCAAGGCGGGCAGATCACCTGAGGTCAGGAGTTGAAGACCAGCCTGGCTAATATGGTGAAACCCTGTCTATACTAAAAATACAACAATTAGCCAGGCGTGGTGGTGCGTACCTGTAGTCCCAGCTACTCAGGAGTCTGAGGCAGGACAATCGCTTGAACCCAGGAGGTGGAGGCTGCAGTGAGCCAAGATTGTACCACTGCACTCCAGCCTGGGTGACAGAATGAGACTCTATCTAAAAAAAAAAAAAAAAAAAAAAAAAAAAAAAGGCTGGAGGGAGTTGTGTGTTGCCTGGCAGGTCCACGGGGGACAGAGATCCCTCCTACCCACCTGTTTCCCCCCAGTTCTGTGCCAGTGGGGTCAGCGGGGAGATCAGGAGAAGGAGCTGCTGGTGGGTTCAGTTGCTTTCGAGGTGCTGGGGACAGGTGGCTGCAGGGAGAGTGAGTGAACTGTGGGGTGGACCAATACAAGGGCCACCCTGTGGGGTAGTTTGGGGGGCTATCTGGGTTCAGGGAACCTCCACAGCCCCGTCCCTGCCTCCCAGAGCAGCAGGTACCTGCCTGGGGACAGCAGGCAGCCAGGCTGGGAGCTGGGGGGTTGGGGAATCTAGCTACTCTCTCATCCAGTCCCAGCTACTGCTGCTGGCCAAGGCTGTGACCTTTCTCCCAGATCCTGGAGCTGAGTAACAGTTACTGGAAAAATAAGTTGGCCATCTGGGGGTGGCCACAGCCCCATCCTCTTGGGTCCCCAGCCTGGCTGCTAGAAGTGAGGGTACCAGGGCTGGGCTGTCTGTCCCATACAACAGTACCATAGCCACCGGTGTGACCAGACCAGGTACCTCCTCCCCGTCACACTCTATCCCCACCATGCCACACTTCCCCCACTGCAGGGGCCTGAAATGACAGCCCCACTCCCATACCCGGACACCAAGGAAGGCGTGATGGGTGGGTGGAGAAAGAGTCCCGGGCATCCCTGGCAGCCCTGAATGTTTCCTCTGGCCCCAGTCTCAGAGACGCCCATGCCTGGGAAGAGCAAGTCAGCAACTTGGCCCAGAAGGAGACTTTGACAGCGAGGAGGGCTGCATTTGAATTTCAGCTCTGTCACTTTTTTTGCAGGTGACTGAGCAGGTCACTCCTTTTCTCTGGGCCTCAGTTTCCCCCTCTGGAAAAATGGGAATAATGAAGCACCCTCCTGGCCGGTTTCGCAATGCTCAAATGCAATATGGTTGTGCTGAGTGCAAAGCGTGGTCCTGAGAGGGCACTCAATACACATGAACGATTCAGCCCTAAGTTCTCGAAATATGTTCAAGGTACCCGCTGCGGGTCTAGCTCTGTCCTAGACACAGGAGATCCAGCAGCAAACAAAAGTGACACTGACACCTGTCCTTCTCGAGGGTTTGGGACTCCAGGGAGAGACACAAACCGTGAATTAAAATGTTAACGTTCAAGAAGGATGAATGCTATAAAGAGAAATGAAACTATCGTTAGATCTTATTATTGTTGTGACTGTTACTGTTGATACCCAATTGATCGTGATTATAGCCCTGATTCCAGCTTCCACAGTTATTGGAGGTATGCAATTATTTAGCACCAACTGTGTACCAGGCTCCAAATACCTATAGCCCCACAAAATCATTTCCCAGAAGAGAAACCAAGGTCTCAGGTCTGTCCAAGATTGTGAGCTGGTTGTGCAGGGCAGGCCTGGGAGTGGATCTGCCAGATGGCACGATTCCCGGACCTGCCCCCACCTCCCAGGGGGAGCTGGCATCCTCCCAGCTGGACCTGGCCCCCCCTTGGAGCTTCCCCAACCTGGGGATACAGAAGGGCCCCCACGGGGAGGGAGGCAGCCAGGGCAGGCAGTGGCACAGAGCAAGGAGGGAGCAGGGCGTCTGCCACCCGCCCCCACGGCTGCCTGGGAAACGCCACGGCCTAATCCTGGCTCAAGAGGACACGTTGTACCAGAGATTATATAAACCGACCTCTCCCTTTGTTTGTTTAATTCTTTCAGGCTTTTTCCCTCATCCTTCTCTCTTTAATCGCTCTGCCAACAGGGCTGGGGGTGGGGTGCTCCGGGCTAGGCCTCTTCCAGGAGGGAGGGGGCTGCATACCCAGCACCCCCCACTCTGGTCATACCCCTACCTGGTTTCCCAGCCACCCAGGCCCGCTCCTCCCCCAGTCACACACACCAAGTCCTGCCGGTGGCAGGGGTGTGGGGCTGGACAGGCTTGGCCAGTGGAGTGAGTCTGAGAGGCCAAGGCCAAGGGCACTGAGTCAGGCTCGGACTCTGCTGGGCCCCTAGGATGTGGCCTCTCCACTTGGCACTCAGCTTCCTCTTCCAAAAAAATGGGATCCCTGTGGTCCCAACCCCCAGGTTGTTGAGAACACGCCCATGCAAGGAGTGAGCATGGCCCATGGTGGATGCCGGGTGAGAGCCGCTGCCTGCTCCCAGCCCACACTACAGACACCCAGGGAACAGTTTCGCCCTCAGACTGGCCCTGGAGCACCGTGACTGTGGTGGCCAATTGGGCCTCCGAGATGTCCACGATGCCTGGTGGGTGCTCTGATGTGGAACACTGGGCACCATCACCCAGAGAGGGCAACCAGGGGTGTCTGGCTTTGTGCTCACCCACCGCTGACCCCGAGCCTGGCCCTGGCCCTCACCAAGACCCAGTATTTCCATCTGTGTCCTGGGGAGGCCAACACGAACCTCCCCACCATCAGGGCAGTCCACCCACAGAGGGGCCTGGGTTCCCATCCTGACCCCCTCCTTTACCACCTCTGCCACCCTGTGCTGCTTGGTTGCTCTGTGCCTCAGTTTCTCCATCTGTAAAGTGGGGATCATCATAGCAGTCAGACCCCCCAAGAGGATTAATCGTGTTAATCCTTATAATGCATTTATTCTTAATTTATATTACTTTTTTTTTGTAGAGATGGGCTTTTCCCATATTGCCCAAGCTGGTCTGGAACTCCTGGGCTCACGTGATCCACCTGCCTCGGCCTCCCAAAGTGCTGTGATTACAGGCATGAGCCACCACATCTAGCTATGCATTTTAGAACGGGCCCTCACGTATATTAACATGAAAGTATCTGCTAACTAAAAGAAAATAACAGCAACAGAAATAAGTAAAGAAATGGCCAGTTGCAGTGGCTCACGCCTGTAATCCCAGCACTTTGGGAGGCCGAGGCAGGTGGATCACCTAAGGTCAGGAGTTCGAGACCAGCCTGACCACTATGGTGAAACCCCGTCTCTACTAAAAATACAAAAATTAGCTGGGTGTGGTGGCGTGCACCTGTAGTCCCAGCTACTCGGGAGGCTGAGACAGGAGAATTGCTTGAACCCGGGAGGCAGAGGTTGCAGTGAGCTGACATCGCACCACTGCACTCCAGCCTGGGCGACAAAGTGAGACTCAGTCTCAAAAAAAAAAAAAAAATTAAAATTAAAAAAAAAAGTAAAGAAAGAATCCAGGCCCATTGCACACATGGGAAACTGAAGTTGATGTTCCCAAAGCAAGTCAGAGGCAGGGCTGGGAGCTGAGAAATCAGCTGGGAACCTCTCACCCTACACCTCCCTGGAGCCCAGTGGAGGGAGGCTGGGGGCAGGGGACAGAGAACTGAGGTCATGGTGCCAGGTCCCAAGGGGCCCAGGCTCACGTTCCTGCCTGATGGCTGCAAGCTCCCAAACATCCCACTCTGAGCCTCTCCTTCCCTTCTCTGTACGACAAGCCCCAGGGTGGCACAGGGTGGGCGGGGTGTTGGGGTGCCCGGCCACTCCCAGCCCTTTACATAACCTGCGGCACAGCAGGAAATCAAAGTGCCAACAACTGCCTCCTCAGTAACCGACTTCCTGTCGTTACCCACCCACCTTGGGCACCAGCTGCCTGCTCCCTACCTCCAGTGGCAGAGGGGTCCCATCCCTGACCCCAGGGTTTCCTCCCCAAGGAAGGGCCCCCGTACCCTAGGCTGCTCCATCATGCGACCCTGAGCCAGTGTCCAGCCAGCTCTGGCCTCAGTTCCTCCATCCAGATGTGTCCCTGGGCTGCCAGGACCGTCACCCTGCTCCTTTCGGCCACTGGCTGGGAGACTGCATACTGGCTGCCCCAGACCTGAGGCTGGAGGTCAGAGGGCAAAGGGCAAAGGCCAAGGAATTCCCTTTTTTTTTTTTTTTCTGTGACAGAGTCTCGCTCTGTTGTCCAGGCTGGAGTGCAGTGGCACTATCTTGGCTCACTGCAACCTCAGCTCCCAGGTTCAAGCAATTCTCCTGCCTCAGCCTCCCTAGTAGCTGGGATTACAGGCATGTGCCACCATCCCTGGCTAATTTTTTTTTTTTTTTTTTTGTATTTTTAGTAGAGACGGGGTTTCACCATGTTGGCCAGGCTGGTCTTGAACTCCCGACCTCAACTGATTTACCTACCTTGGCCTCCCAAAGTCTTAGGATTACAGGTGTGAGCCACCACACCTGGCTGGAATTCCTTTTTTTAATTTATTTATTTTATTAATTTATTTATTTATTTATTTTGAGACAGAGTATCACTCTGTTGCCCAGGCTGGAGTGCAGTGGCGTGATCTCGGCTCATTGCAACCTCTGTCCCCCAGGTTCAAGCGATTCTCCTGCCCCAGCCTCCCGAGTAACTGAGATTGCAAGTGCACGCCACCATGCCCGGCTAACTTTTGTATTTTTAGTAGAGACGGGGTTTCACCATGTTGGCCAGGCTGGTCTCGAACTCCTGGCCTCAGGTGATCCACCCACCTTGGCCTCCCAAAGTGCTGGGATTACAGGCATGAGCCACCGCACCGGCCCAGAATTTCCTTTTTAGAGCGAGAGAAGCAGGAGTTGCCTCTCCCATTGAGGGAGGGAGACTCTGGTTCTTCAGGGCTTTTCAAAGCTGTGGGTAGGCGGTAGAGGGCGCCCCCCACCCAGTGGTGCAAAGAGGAGACCCCAGCCCTGCTCTGGAAGGGAGTGAGGGATTGGGGGGAAGGTCTCTGGGGCAAACAGCACTTAGTGACAGCCACAGTCATATGACTGTCCGCATTTTACAGATAGGGAAACTGAGGCATGAAGCAAGGCCGCCATCTGCCCAAGGTCCCGTGGTCTGTAAGTGGTAGAGCCAAGATTTGAACCTCTGAAGACAGGGGTGTTGGTGGAGGTGTCAGGGAATGGGACCTCCGTGGGCTCTGTGGGGCTGGAAATCACAATATCTCTGCATAGACATGGGTGACGTTCCCTTCCGTGCCGTGACCCCTGCCAGGCATGTTAGCGGGTTCCTCTTAGACAGATGGAGAAACTGAGGCCCAGAAAACAGAAGCAGCTTGGGCAAGTTCATTCATGGGATATGGTGAGAGAGGCTCGGCCAGGGAAATACCCTCAGCTGGGAGGACTCCAGGACCTGCAGGCAGCATCGCCACCCTTCATATCGCCCACCTTGTGAGGTCCTAGTACCCCAGGCCTCAGTTTCTCCATCTGTGAAGGGATAGATGCCAGCAGTCTGTGACTGCGACCTCGGAGGCTGGCTCCCTGGGGCTCCGCCTGGCTGGGCATGAGGGCCTGGAGTGTGTGGGCAGGCTCTGGAGAGCCAGGTGATGCCTGTGCCTACACCCACGGTGCCAGCCCTATGGGACAGAGGGGCTGGGGTTGACTCTTCTGCCACGCTCTGTGCTCTCCTTTCCCTACTGCGCAGGGCCAAGCTTGGTTCCACGTCTTCATCCAAAGCTGCACAGCACGTGAGCGGGAAAAGCAGGGCCAGCTCAGCCAGCTCCAAAGCCCAGCTCTTTCCACGGTGTCCGGAAGGTTTCAGAGAACTCAGGACACTAGCTCCCTGGCCTGGAGCCCCAGGGCCCATGGGCAAAAGACTGCATTTTCCTGAGCCTCAGTTTCCCCGTCTACCCCACAAGGGCCATCATCCACCTGCTCATTGCTCTGTGTCTTTTTTTTTTTTGAGAGGGAGTCTCACTCTGTCGCCCAGGCTGGAGTGAAATGGCGTGATCTTGGCTCACTGCAAGCTCCGCCTCCCGGGTTCATGCCATTCTCCTGCCTCAGCCTCCCAGGTAGCTGGGATTATAGGCGCCCGCCACCACGCCCGGATAATTTTTGTATTTTTAGTACAGACAGGGTTTTGCCATGTTGGCCAGGCTGGTCTCAAACTCTTCACCTCAGGTGATCTGCCCGCCTCGGCCTCCCAAAGTGCTTCACTTTTTTTTTTTTTTTTAAGATGGAGTCTCGCTCTGTCGCCCAAGCTGGAGTGCGGTGGCGCGATCTCGGCTCACTGCAAGCTCCACCTCCTGGGTTCAAGCAATTCTCTGCCTCAGCCTCCCGAGTAGCTGGGACTACAGGCGCCCGCCACCACGCCCAGCTAATTTTTTGTATTTTTAGTAGAGACGGGGTTTCACCGTCTTAGCCAGGATGGTCTCGATCTCCTGACCTCGTGATCCACCCACCTCGGCCTCCCAAAGTGCTGGGATTATAGGCGTGAGCCACCGCGCCCGGCCCCAAAGTGCTTCACTTTGAAGAACAAGTAATGTGTCCAGTGAGGGAGAAACACTGGGTAGATGTCCTGCTCCATGGATCGCCAAACACAGGAAGTGCTACCAGCTGTCTATCCCTCATCCCTGTTGCTGCTGGGCTTCTCCTCCCCAACCGTGTGGAAGATTGGGAGGGAGGGTTCTAGGGCTGAGCCCAAACAGACCCTGAACCACATCCTGAGCAAGCCTCACCTCTTGGGAGGGCTGCAGGAGGGGTTGGGGCCTTGACTCAGCAGAAACACAAGCAGCGGCCTCCACGCTTGGGATCTGAGTCCCACCATGTTGCCCTGCACGGCCTGGGTGCGACCGTGAGGGGACCTAGGAGCCTAAGTGTTGCATGTGGCCATGGATCCCTGGGACAGACCCCTTCCTCTCTCAGCCTCAGTTTTCCCATCTGTAAAATGGGACAGGCCAGGCGCGGTGGCTCACGTCTGTCATCTCAGCACTTTTGGAGGCCGAGGCGGGTGGATCACCTGAGGTCAGGAGTTCGAGACCAGCCTGGCCAAAGTGGCGAAATCCCGTCTCTACTAAAAATACAAAAATGAGCCAGGCGTGGTGGTGCATGCCTGTAATCCCAGCTACTCGGGAGGCTGAGGCAGGAGAATCGGTTGAACCTGGGAGGCAGAGATTGCAGTGAGCCGAGATTGCACCACTGTACTCCAGCCTGGGCGACAGAGCGAGACTCCATCTCAAAAAAAAAAAAGAATAACACTGGCTTTGGGAGCTGTGTGCGAAGAGGTGACAATGACAATCAATCCCAGGCGAGCCATGGGGGGCTGAACCAAGGAGGCTCCCCCTGCATCCAACCCAGACGCATTGATCACGCGCCTACCATGCCCTCTTGTCGAACCCAGGGCAGCCTGGAGAGGTGGGTACAGGGGTCACCAGGCAGAGGACAGAGAGCCCAGGGGCAGGACAGAGACACTGAAGCAGAGGGAGCCTGAGTTGGCCTCGGACTCAATGTGTGACCGTGAGCTGGTGCCTCAGTTTACATATCTGTAAAATGGGGTGAGAAGTGGCTATGTCAGGAGTCATAAGATGGGACTCATCTGTAAAAGTACCTGGCACATGGTACATGCACAATAAACCTGTCATTGTCCTCATCTGCCAACACTGTAACGAGGATATTTATTTATTTATTATTTATTTATTTATTTTCGAGACAAGAGTCTCACTCTGTTGCCCAGGCTGGAGTGCAGTGGCGCAATCTTGGCTCACTGCAATCTCTGCCTCCCGGGTTCAAGCCATTTTCCTGCCTCAGCCTCCCAAGTAGCTGGTACTACAGGCGCATGCCACCGCGCCCAGCTAATTTTTGTATTTTTAGTAGAGACGGGGTTTCACCATGTTGGCCAGGCTGGTTTCGAACTCCTGACATCAGGTGATCCACCTGCCTCAGCTTCCCAAAGTGCTAGGATTACTGGCATGGCCACCACACCCGGCCATGAGGATAAATGAAGCCCGCCCTATACTCAGGAGACTGAGGTGGGAGGATCACTTGAGCCCATGAATTCCAGGCTGCAGTGAGCTATGATTGCACCCGTATGATCCAGCCCAGGCGACAGAGCAAGACCCTGTCTCTACAAAAATTAAAAAATTAGCCAGGCATGGTGGTGCATTCCTGCACTCCTAGCTACTTGGGAGGCTGAGTCGGGAGGATCTCTTGAACCCAGGAGTTCAAGGCTGCAGTGAGCCGTGACTGCACCAGTGCACTCCAGCCTGGGCAACAGAGTGAAACCCTGTCTCTAAAAAAGGCCAGGCGCGGTGGCTCACGCCTGTAATCCCAGCAGTTTGGGAGGCAGAGGCGAGGGGATCACCTGAGGTCAGGAGTTCAAGACAGCCTGGCCAACATGGCGAAACCTCATCTCTACTAAAAAGACAAAAATTAGCCAGGTGTGCTGGCGGCCGCCTGTAATCCCAGCTACTCGGGAGGCTGAGGTAGGAGGATTGTTTGAACCCAGGAGGCAGAGGTTGCAGCGAGCCGAGATCACGCCACTGCACTCCAGCCTGGGCGACAGAGTGAGGCTCTGTCTCAAATAAATAAATATTAAAATTAAAACATGTTAAAAATGTAATAAAAAGCCAGCCCTCTGAAGGACTGGCCCATCGTAGCAAGTCAATAAATGTTTGTTGAGTAAATAACAAAAATAATGACGCAGCTCCTTCCTTGGGCATGATGTCTTCCCGTTTCCAAAACTGCTAGATTTCTGCAGCTGGCTTCTCAGCACTGTGGACATCCGGGCCAGATCGGCATGTGTGTGTTGGGGAATGTGCTGTGCATGGCGGGAGGTTTCGCAACATCCCTGCCTCCACCTACTGCATGCTAGCAGCAACTCCCCCCACCCACCCACCCACCCCTGTCCCAGTCATAACAACCAAAAATGTCCCCAGACATTGCCAAGTGTCCCCTGGGGGGCAGAATTACCCCGTTGAGAACCACTGCCCGGCATCGCGGTTACTGTTCAAAGTTCCCTTTTAGCAGAAGAGAATAAAGGCTCAGAGAGGGGCAGGTCTAGCGCAGGGTCACACAGCACAGTGGGGTGGAGCCACCTTCTGTGCTGGGCATGACTCCGGGCACAGCCGAGCCGAGGTGGGGGCCAACAACCCCTACCATGCCAGGGTTCCAGGAACTGCCAGCAGGGGCCCAGGCCATGCCACTGTTGCAAAATCTGAGGGCGGCATACCGGCAAGCCTGAGCAGTTGCCACGGCCTCAGCCCCACGGGCACCGCCAGGAAAGAAAAATGCAACTTACTCCTGGGCACCGGGACAACCGGTGGAACCTCAGGCGTGGGACGGCTGCCGGAAAGCAGGGCCCAATCAGAGACAGCTGCCTTGCTGTGTGGCCTATCAGAAGATGGCTGCATATGTCCTGGCCAATGAGAATGCCCCAGTGAGGAAGGCCACGCCCCCCCAAGTGAAGCCCATTGGCCCCATGAAAGGGCTTGAGGTGGGTCCCTTTGGTCCTAAAATTTCTTCTTCACTCTGTTGGTTGCAGACGCAGGTCAGCTGAGGCTTCCTGATGTGTGGGCACTGAGGGTCGATCTGGGAGAGCAACCTTCTCAGAGGTGTAACCCCCAGACTGTTACCACTTAACCAGAGCCAGGATTCTCCTTAACATTTCAATGTCACTTATTAAACCTTTATACATTTATTTATTAAATAGAGACAGGGGTCTCGCTATGTTGCCCAGGCTGGCCTCGAACTCCTGGCCTCAGGTGGAATTCCCACCTTGGCCTCAAATTCCCAAAGTGCTGGAATTATGGGTGCGAGCCACCACGACCGGCCTCATTAAACATTTATTGAGCACCTGCTATGTGCTGGTCACTGAGGATGTGAAGATGAACAAGGTGGCTGTAGAGAAACAGCCACATTGGAGGAAGGGCATTCCAAGCAGAGGGAACAGCCCATGCAAACAGCCTGGGGCAGGACGGCACCTGATGTGGAGGAACAGCGAGGAGGCCCGTGTGGCTGCAGCGGAGGGAGGAGAGGGAGAGAGGGAGGAGGCGAGGGCAGGGAGGGACAGGGTGGGTCAGGCAGGGCTTTGTAGCCCTCGGGGAGGACTCTGTCGCCTGGAGGGCAGTGAGGAGCCATGGAGGGCTTTAGGCAGTGGAGAGATGTGATGTGGGACTAGAGCCAGGTCCTTTCCCTCTCTGAGCCTCAGTCTCCTCATCCGTCAAATGGGGGAATGAGAATGCCTACCTGGGGGCCGGATGCAGGGGGGAGGGAAGGACCCTGCACAGTGGCCGGCACATGGCAGGTACACAGCTCCCACCAAGGTCCAGCCCTGTCATAGCCCGCCTGGACCTGTGCCGTCCCCTCCGCCTGGATGCTCCCACTCCCACCCTCGCCCCTCCACGGCCTGTCCTCCCTGAAGCAGCCAGAGGGTGCCTGTGAGCACCCAAGTCAGGGCCCATCCCTCCTCTGCCCGCAGCCTTCCATGGCTCCCACCTCCCTCAGGATCAAAGCCCAAGTCCTCCTTGCAGCCTACGAGGCCCTGCACAACCTGTTCTGTCCCCTCCCTGCCCTCCCCTCCCCGCTTACTCCTTGTCGCTCACTCTGCTCCAGCCACACAGGCCTCCTTGCTGTTCCTCCAACACGCCAGGTGCCATCCTGCCCCAGGGCCTTTGCACAGACCTGAAACGCTCTTCCCCCCCCCCCGCCCCCCCCTCCCGCCGCCCGGCTCCCCATGGCTCCTCCCTTGCCTCCTTCAATTCTCAGCTTCTTAAAATTGCACCCTTGGCCAGGCGTAGTAGCTCACGCCTGTAATCTCAACAGTTTGGGAGGCCAAGGGGGACGGATCACCTGAGGTCAGGAGTTCGAGGCCAGCCTGGCCAACATGGCGAAACCCCATGTCTACTAAAAATACAAAAAATTAGCTGGGCATGGTGGTGGGCGCCTAAAATCCAGCTACTGGGAAGCTGAGGCAGAATTGCTTGAACCCAGGAGGCGGAGGTTGCAGTGAACTGACATTGTACCATTGCACTCCAGCCTGGGTGACAGTACGAGACTCTGTCTCAAAAAAAAGAACAGGGCCTGGCACACAGCAGGTGCTCAATAAATGCGGGTGCATGAATTGCTGAAAGGCGGCTGCCATTATCCTTACCCCTCCATGTTCCAGATCAGTCCCTGTCCCCCTTTTTGCCCTCCTTCTCCCACTCCAGCCACCCTCCCCAGCCCTGGGGGAACCCCAGACGTCCTTTGGGTGGGAGAGGGAGGAGCAGGTAGGACCAGCCACCTCCAGCAGCCTTCAGCCCCTCGTCACACCGACGGCCAAGCAGGAGTCCTGGTGCTTTTCTTCTTGAATCAGAGGAGGGGGTATAAGCCCGGCAGTGGCCACGCTTGTGTAGGGGGAACTTCATGCCACACGGTTGCCTGAGCTCAGTTCTGGCCAGGGGCTGTCCTGTGGGATGGCTTCCCTGGAGGTGGTGGGGATGGTTCTACGTGGGTGGGTGCAGAAATGCCGTGGGGTCCCGACCCCACACTCAACCTGTAAGCCCAGCTCAGACCATCTTGGTGGGGGTGGTAGGCAAGGCCCTGGCGAGCCCCCTCTTTCCCTATTTCTGGCCCAGGGTCCCCGCCTTTAGCTCTGGACTCCACCAGCAAAACCCCAACGCCACGAGGTTTTCAACGATGAACAGATGGTCACAGGCGGTGGGGGTGGGGGCTGAGCTGAGTCTGAGGGGACCCAGGGTCTCTGGAGCAGTCCTGCTGCCCTCCCAGTGGGGAAACTGAGACAGGGAGCCCCCTCCGTGCCCCTGTGCCTGGGGCTGGGAAACCGGTGCCATCCTCGGAAGATCCCCAGAGCGGCCACGTCATAGTTGGCGAGGGCAGCTCCGGGGAGGGCGAGGACCGGGCCCACTGCCATGTCAAATTCCTCCCGGGAGCGGTGGGGGAAGGAGAGGCAGTGCTTTTTTTTGTCTCCCCTGCATCCTCACCCCCACCAACTCCGCGACAGAATCAAAAAGAGGAGAGAGAGAGCTGTTGGCAGGAAGAAGGAATTGGAGCCAAGCCGAGGCTGGGCTCACCCTGAAAAATCACACTCTGGGCGGGAAGAGAGGACAGAGGCTCTTCCACCCCCTTTCCAGCATTTTGCAAAGGCGGAAAGGGGGTGGCCCACTCAAAGGGCATCAGACGTGGCCTTCACGGCCCGCAGCTGGCAGCTGCCACCTCTCCCACGAGTGGCTTGACAGGCTTTCTACCTCCAGACCTCAGCTTGGGCCGTCCTCTCCTCCTGGAATGCCTTCCTCATCCACCTCAGTCTCCTCCCAGGCACCACCTGGGATCTGGACTTCAAGTCCCATGGACCTACAAGGCCAAGAAGGGTCGCGTTGCATCCTAAGGCCAAAATAAACCCCAAAAGCAGTAATATGTAATCGATCTTTATTTAAATATTGGTACTTCATTCATTCTGGATCTTCTGCAATCACTTTTATTCTTAGAAAGTTTGTGTTAAAACATGAGTTATCAGTTGGGTACGGTGGCCCCACCCACCCAGCACCCAGTGTCAACCCAGCACTTTGGGAGGCCAAGGCAGGAGGATCACTTGAGGCCAGGAGTTCAAGACTAGCCTGGGAAACATAGCAAGACCCCATCTCTACAAAAATTTAAAAATTAGGCAGGGCGCAGTGACTCATGACTGTAATCCCACCATTTTGGGAGGCCGAGGCAGGCGGATCACTTGAGTTCAGGAGTTCGAGACCAGCCTGGCCAACATGGCGAAACCCCGTCTCTACTAAAAATACAAAAATTAACCGGGTGTGGTGGCGGGCGCCTGTAATCCCAGCTACTCAGGGGGCAGGAGAATAGCTTGAACCCAGAGGCGGAGGTTGCAGTGAGCCAAGATCGCACCACTGCATTCCAGCCTGGGAGACAGAGCTAGACTCCATCTCAAAAAAACAACAAAACAAAAAAAGAGAGAGAGAAAATAAAATAAAATAACTCCAGGGAGGGGCAAGGGCTATGCGTATCTGAACTCTGTCCCAGCCCATGGAGCTGCGCAGGGACGGAGGGGCCCCAGGCACAGTGGGGCCGGCTGCACTAACCTGGTCATCAGTCTTTGCTCCGGGAGCTTCAGCACTGAGTTTTCAGGGAAGGCATGGCTGCCTGGGTTCCTTCCTAGTGCCGGAGCCCGCTCTCAGGGGCATGACCCCAGCAGATCCAGCCACGCCAGCGGTCCCATTGTGTGACCTTGGATAACCCCTTTCCTTCATCTGACGCCTCCTCTATCAAACGAGGTAATAAGGGCTCCCCTGCCTGGCCTGGGGCTGTCTGTGCATGAAATGGGATAATTGCCGGAACCCGGCCTGGCTACCGGAGCTGTTATTAAGGCTGCAGAGCTACCTGTGGGCCTCAATTTCCTCATCTATAAAATGGGCTTAATCATACCTGCTGCTGTTAACCTCTCAGGGCTCTGGAGGATCAAGGGGCACTGAGGATGCCTTGCAGAGGAAACGTCTGAAGGCCGAGCAAATTCTGCAAAAGTGGCCTCAGTGGCTTTTCTTGTGAGGTTGCCTGCCCCCCACCCTCAATTTGTATAACGTCCCCTGCAGAAGTGTGGAGAAAGAGGAAAAAATATAACAAACAAACAGGCAAGAAACAGCCAACACAGCCACATCCATTGTTGCTTTTTTTTTTTTTTTTTTGAGACAGAGTCTTGCTGTGTTGCCCAGGCTGGAGTGTAGTGGTGAGATCTCGGCTCACTGCAAGCTCCAACTCCCGGGTTCAAGCGATTCTTTTGCCTCAGCCTCCCGAGTAGCTGGGATTACAAGTGCGTGCCACCACGCCCGGCTAATTTTCGTGTGTTTTTTTTTAGTAGAGAGAGGGTTTCACCATGTTGGCCAGGCTGGTCTCGAATTCCTGACCTCAGGTGGTCCAACTGCCTCGGCTTCCCAAAGTGCTGGGATTACAGGCGTGAGCCACCATGCCCAGCCCATTGTTGCAATTTTAACCTCTTTTCTCCTGTCCCCGAAGCTTACCCCTCAGTTTCTTTTTTTGTTTCTTTTTTTTTTTTTTTTTTTGAGATGGACTTTTGCTCTGTCGCCCAGGCTGGAGTGCAATGGCATGATCTCGGCTCACTGCAACCTCCACCTCCTGGGTTTAAGCGATTCTCCTGCCTCAGCCTCCCGAGTAGCTGGGATTACAGGTGCACGCCACCACACCCAGCTAATTTTTGTATTTTTAGTAGAGACGGGGTTTCACCATATTGGCCAGGATGGTCTCGATCTCTTCACCTTGTGATCTGCCCACCTTGGCCTCCCAAACTGCTGGGATTACAGACATGAGCCACTGTGCCTGGCCATCCCTCACTTTCTTTTCCTGCTCTTTTTTGCTGCTAAGATATAGAAGGTAGAGCCATTGGGGCTTAAGGAGATGGGCTTTATGAGTCAACTTGCCCAAATTCAAATCCCAGACTTAACACTGGCTGTGTGGCATTGAGGAAGTGCCTCAAGTTCTCTGTGCCTCAGCTTCCTCATCTGTAGACTGGGAATGATACTGTTAGGTTGGTGCCAAAGTAATTGCAGTTTTTGGTCAGGCACGGTGGCTCACGCCTGTAATCCCAGCACTTTGAGAGGCCGAGGTGGTGAATCACAAGGTCAGGAGTTCAAGACCAGCCAGACCAACATGGTGAAATCCCGTCTCTACTAAAAATACAAAAATGAGCCCAGCGTGGTGGCACGTGCCTATAATCCCAGCTACTTGGGAGGCTGAGGCAGGAGAATCGCTTGAGCCCTGGAGGCGGAGGTTGTAGGGAGCCAAGCTCATGCCACTGCACTCCAGGCTGGGCAACAGAGTGAGACTCCATCTCAAAAAAATAAATAAATAATTATTATTTGGTAGAGATGGGGTTTTCCCATGTTGGCCAGGCTGGTCTCAAACTCCTGGCCTCAAGTCATCTGAACGCCTTGGCCTAGTTTTGGTATTTTTATTAGAGACGAGGTTTCACCATGTTGGCCAGGCTGGTCGCGAACTCCTGACCTCAAGTGATCTGCCCGCCTTGGCCTCTTAAAATTTTTACTTTTTTTTAGTGATGAGGTCTGCCTCTGTTGCCCAGGCTGGAGTGCAGTGGTGTCATCAGCTCACTGGAGGCTCAGCCTCCCTGGGCTCAAGTGATCCTCCCTCCTCAGCCTTCTGAGTAGCTGGGACTAGGGGTGCGCTCCACACACACAGCTAATTTTGAAATTTTTTGTAAAGATGGGATCTCTCTAGGTTGCCCAGGCTGATCTCAAACTCCTGGGCTCTAGCGATCCTCCTGCTTCAGCCTCCCAAAGTGCTAAAATTACAACTATGAGCCACCCTGCTCGGTTTTGTTTTTTTACATTGTTTAGTGGTAGAAAGAAGTCAAAAGAATACTTTGTGACACGTGAAAAGTACATGTGATTCACATTTCAGTGTGTGTAAAGTTTGATTGGCACACAGCCACGTTTATTCATGACCATGCCGTCTATGGCAGCTTTTGTGCACTAGGGCACAGCCAAGCAGGTGCAATGGGGATGATATGTCCTGCAAAGATGAAAATATTTACTCTCTGGCTCTTTACAGAAAAAGTTTGCCCACCCCTGAGTTAATGTATCATGAGCACTTTGAACAATGCTGGGCACAAAATGTGCTTGGGATTGTTATTCAAAATGTGTTTCAGGTCGGGCGTGGTGGTTCACGCCTGTAATCCCAGCACTTTGGGAGACTGAAGAGGGCAGATCACCTGAGGTCAGGAGTTCAAGACCAGCCTGGCTGACACGGTGAAACCCATTTTAATCTCTACTAAAAATACAAAAATTAGCCAGGTGTGGTGGTGCGTGCCTGTAATCCCAGCTACTCAGGAGGCTGAGGCAGGAGAATCACTTGAACCCATGAGGCAGAGGTTGCAGTGAGCCGAGATCGTGCCGCTGCACTCCAGCCTGGGCGACAGAGCGAAACTCCATCTCAAAAAAAAAAAAAAAATGTGTTTCAGGCTGGGCGAGGTGGCTCATGACTGTAAACCCAACACTTTGGGAAGCCAAGATGAGAGGATCGTTTGAGCCCTGGAGTTCAAGACCACCTTGGGCCACAGAGCAGATACCACCTCCACAAAAAAATTTTAAAAAATTAGCCAGTTGTGGTGGTGCACTCCTGTGTAGCCCCAGCTGCTCAGGAGGCTGAGGTAGGAGATCCCTTGAGCCCAGGAGGACAAGGCTGCAGTGAACTATTATTGCACCACTGCACTCCAGCCTGGGTGACAGAGCAAGACCCTGTGTCAAAAAAGAAATGTACAAAGGTTAAAAAAATATATATGGTTGGCCGGGCGCGGTGGCTCACGCCTATAATCCCAACACTTTGGGAGGCCGAGGCAGGCGGATAATGAGATCAGGAGATCGAGACCATCCTGGCTAACACGGTGAAACCCCATTTCTACTAAAAATACAAAAACAAAATTAGCCAGGCGTGGTGGCGGGCGCCTGTAGTCTCAGCTACTTGGGAGGCTGAGTCAGGAGAATGGTGTGAACCCAGGAGGCGGAGCTTGCAGTGAGCCGAGATCGTGCCACTGCACTCCAGCCTGGGCTACAGAGCTAGACTCTGTCTCCAAAAAAAAAAAAATATATATGGTTCACACAAAAATTATATCCTATGTTGTTCTCTATAAACATCCCATCATATTATGTCTCCCAGACCACTGACAATTTTTGGAAGCCTCACTCTGCCATCTCGTGAAATGTCCTCCACAGTCCCCTACTGTTGGACACTTAAGCTGTTCCCAGTTGCTAAGACGGAGCTGCAGGGACAGCCTCGCGTTTTAAGCTAGATTTGCTTTTATGTAACAATTACTTCTACATCATTCACTATGTGTTAAGTCCTATCTCTGGGCACTTTGCAAATATCAACTTATTTCATGCTCACTCCAACTCCCATAAACTCCCCATTTTGCAGATGGGAAAACGGAGGTTCTGTAGGTTGAAGTGACTTGCCCAGGGTCACACTACCAGGATATGAACTCAGGCTGGACAGGTCCTGTCAGTGCCCTGAGACGCCCTTTTCCTTCCCTACGGTAGAGACCCAGGAGCTAAATCACTCTGTCAAAGGGGAACAAAAATTCTTGCCAGACATGGTGGCTCACACCTGTCATCCCAGCACTTTGGGAGGCCAAGACGGGTGAGTTATGTGAGCCCAGGAGTTTGAGACCAGACTGGGCAACATGGTGAAACCCCATCTCTACTAAAAATACAAATATTAGCTGGGCATGGTGGTACATGCCTGTAGTCCCAGCTGCTCAGGAGGCTGAGGTGGGAGGACTGCTTGAGCCCAGGAGTTGGAGGCTGCGGTGAGCCATGATGAGGCCACTGCACTGTGGCCTGGGCAACACAGTGAGACCCTGTAGAAAAAGGAAAGAAAGGAAAGAAAAGAAAGGGAAGGAAAAGAAAGAAAGCAAATGACCATGCAATGAATTTTACAGAAATGCACTTGGTAGGGGACCCATCCCATTCCTCAGCCTTTGACCAAGAAACATATGTTTTTATTTTATTTTAATTAATTAGTTAATTAATTTTTTGAGACAGAGTTTTGCCTCGTCGCCCAGGCTAGAGCGCAATGGCATGATCTCGGCTCACTGAAACCTCTGCCTCCCAGGTTCAAGCGATTCTCCTGTCTCAGCCCCCTGAGTAGCTGGGATTACAGGCATGTGCCACCACCCCCGGCTAATTTTTGCCTTGTTAGTAGACACAGGGTTTCATCATGTCTGCCAGGCTGGTCTCGAACTCCTGACCTCAGGTGATCTGCCTGCCTCAGCCTCCCAAAGTGCTGGGATTACAGGCGTGAGCCACCACACCCAGCCTATTTTATTTATTTTTGAGACAGGGTCTCACTCTGTTGCCCAGCCTAGAGTGCAACGGCACGATCATAGCTCGCTGCAACCTCTGCCTTCAGGGCTCAAGCCATCCTCCCACTTCAGCCTCTGGAGTAGCTGGGACCACAGGTGTGCACCACCATGCCCAGCTAAATGTTTGTATTTTGTGTATAGACGTGGTCTTGTGTCTTGTCATGTTACCCCAGCTGGTCTTGAACTCCTGGCCTCAAGCAATCCTCATGCCTTGGCCTCCCAAAGTGCTGGGATGACAGGCATGAGCTACCACGCCTAGCCAGAAGCAAATATTCATATAAAAGTTCCTCCATGAGGCCGGATGTGGTGGCTCACACCTGTGATCCCAGCACTTTGGGAGGCTGAGGCGGGCAGATCACCTGAGGTCAGGAGTTTGAAACCAGCTTGACCAACATGGCGAAATCCCATCTCGACTAAAAATACAAAAATTAGCCGGGTGTGATGGCGGGTGCCTGTAATCCCAGCTACTCAGGACGCTGAGGCAGGAGAATCGCTTGAACCTGGGAGGCAGAGGTTGCAGTGAGCCTAGATCGGGCCATTGCACTCCAGCCTGGGCGACAGAGTGAGACTCTGTCCCAAAAAAATACATAAAAGCTCCTCCAGGAAGGTTCCCAGCAACTTTGTGAGAGTCCAGGACAGCATAACACCCCCTCTGCCATATCTAATCGTAGGTCAATGGGCAAGCAAAGCATCATACATCCATACAGTTCAATCCCCATCCCCAGTAAAAGAATGCACAGTCATACACAGAATCACATGAACAAATCTCAGATAATGATGCCGAGTGAAAGACACCGGACACTAAGAATGCTGCTGGCCCCAGCTATGCTCATCTGCTTCCTTATTGCCTGTGGCTGCTTTTGAGCTGCAGTGGCAGAGTTGACGAGTGAGTTGCTTTGGATAGTTAGTAACTCTCCAGGCCTCAGTTTCTGCATCTGCAAAATGGGGGTGACTGCTGGGCATGGTAGCTCATGCCTGTGTTTCCAGTGCTTTGGGAAGCTGAGGCAGGAGGGTCGCTGGAGCCCAGGAGTTCTTTTGAGGCCATCCTGGGCAACACAGGGAGACCCTATGTCTACAATTTTTTCGAGACAGAGTCTTGCTCTGTTGCCCAGGCTGGAGTGTAGTGGGGTGATCTCAGCTCTCTGTAACCTCCGCCTCCTGGGTTCAAGCAATTCTCCTGCCTTAGCCTCCCAAGTAGCTGTGATTACAGGCGCCTGCCACCACCACCACGCCTGGCTAATTTTTGTATTTTTAGTAGAGATGGGGTTTCACCATGTTGGCCAGGCTGGTCTTGAACTCCTGACCTCAGGTGATCCACCTGCCTCAGCCTCCCAAAGTACTGAGATTACAGGTGTGAGCCACCATGCCTGGCCTACAAATCTTTTTTTTTTTTTTTTTTTTTTTTTTTTAGCCAGGAGTGGTGACACACCTGTGGTCCCAATGGCTCAGGAGTCTGAAGTGGGAGGATCACTTTAGCCTGGGAGGTCGAGGCTGCAGTGAGCCATGATCATGCCATTGCACACCAGCCTGGGAGACAGAATAAGACCCTATCTCAAAAAGTAATAATAATAATTATTATATATGTACATATAATATATAATACATATATGAGATTTTTGAAAATTATGTTGTTTTAGAGATGGAGTCTCACTGAGTTGCCTAGGCTGGAGTGCAGTAGCATTCATAGCCATGATCACAGCACACTACAGCCTGGAACTCCCGGGCTCAGGTGATCCTCCTGCCTCAGCCTCCTGAATAGCTGGGACTACAGGCCTCGCCGCTGAACTAGGTCTTTTATTTATTTATTTATTTATTTGAGACAGAGTCTCACTCTGTCGCCCAGGGCAGAGTGCAGTGGCGTGATCTCGGCTCACTGCAATCTCCGCCTCCCGGGTTTAAGAGGTTCTCCTGCCTCAGCTTTCCAAGTAGCTGGGATTACTTCGAACTCCTGACCTCAAGTGATCTGCCCGCCTCAGCCTCCCAAGGTGCTAGTATTATAGGCATGAGCCACTGTGCCCGGCCGTTTTTGCCTTTTGCATAGCACAGTCATAAATATCCTGGGTCATGTTTCCTGTGGATATTTATCTAGGAGAGCAAAGGCTATGTTACTTGGTGCATGCATGTTCAGCGTTGTGGCTGATGTCAGTCTGTCTTCCAGAGAGACTGCAGTGTGGAAGAGCTTTGTGTATCCATGGCTTCTGACACTTGCTATTATTGGACATTTTAAACTAGGGGGCAGTGAAAGGGGAGTAAAAAGGGGCCTGTGACTTTATCATACATGTCCTGGATTCCTAACAACGTTGGACATCTCTTCATCTATTTGTCGGATGCTCGTGTTTCCTGTTTTGTAATATGCCTTCTCAGGCTTTGCACTTATTATTATTTTTTTTTGAGATGGAGTCTCGCTCTGTCACCCAGGCTAGAGTGCAGTGGCGCGATCTCAGCTCACTGCAAGCTCCACCTCCTGGGTTCATGCCATTTTCCTGCCTCAGCCTCCCGAGTAGCTGGGACTACAGGCTCCTGCCACCACGCCTGGCTAATTTTTTGTATTTTTTAGTAGAGATGGGGTTTCACCACGTTAGCCAGGATGGTCTTGACCTTCTGACCTCATGATCCGCCTGCCTCGGCCTCCCAAAGTGCTGGGATTACAGGCCTGAGCCACTGCACCTGGCCTGCACATTTTTCTTTTGAGTGGTTGTCATTTTCTTATTGGAACTTCATTCTATTTTTTTTTTAAGAAATGGGGGGGCGGTCTCACTATATTGCCCAGGCTGGTTTCGAACTGCTGGCCTCAAATGATCCTCTTGCCTCACCCTTCTGAGTAAGGAACTTGATTCTTCTTAAAAGACTGTATGAGATTCCATTGGAAGGTTTTCCTATTCTTTACGGCATGCATTCTCAACAAGGACAAAAATTGGTTTGTGGCAGGGGGAGGGGTGAAAAAAATCTTACTCTTTTAATGTAAAAAACACAGCAGAACACTGATATACATATAGTATATAAGCAAATATACAGGACATCTATGTTACTAAATTTTCATGTGGGGTGATTAGGAAAAAAATGTCTAAAAAGATCTGTGGGGTGATAATGACAAACAAGGTTTTTTTGTTGTTTGTTTTTTGTTTTTTGTTTTTTTCTGAGACAGAGTCTCGCTCTGTCGCCCAGGCTGGAGTGCAGTGGCGCGATCTTGGCTCACTGCAAGCTCCGCCTCCCGGGTTCACGCCATTCTCCTGCCTCAGCCTCCCAAGCAGCTGGGACTACAGGCACCCACCACCACGCCTGGCTAAATTTTTTGTATTTTTAGTAGAGACGGGGTTTCACCGTGTTAGCCGGGATGGTCTCAATCTCCTGGCCTCATGATCTGCCTGCCTCGGCCTCCCAAAGTGCTGGGATTACAGGCATGAGCCACTGCTCCTGGCCCCTTATTTCTTCATTTTGAGACACAGTCTCACTCTGTTGCCCAGGCTAGAGTGCAGTGGTGTGATCTCAGCTCACTGCAACCTCTGCCTCCTGGATTCAAGCGATTCTCCTGCCTCAGCCTCCCGAGTAGCTGGGACTGCAGGCACCCACCACTACGCCCGTCTAATTTTTGCATTTTTTGTAGCGATGGGGTTTAGCCATGTTGGCCAGCCTGGTCTTGAACTCCTGACCTCAAGTGATCCACCAGCCTCGGCCTCCCAAAGTGCTGGGATTACAGGCGTGAGCCACCACACCGGGCCTCTGTTGGTTTTTTGAGACAGGATCTCACTCTGGAGTGATCTGCCCAGGCTGGAGTACAGTGTCGTGATCACAGCTCACTGCAGCTTCAATCTCAAGGCTCAAGCAATCCACCCACCTCAGTCTCCCACCTAACTGGGACTACAGGTGTGTGCCACCATGCCCAGCTAATTTAAAAAATTTTTTTGTAGAGGTGAGTTCTCACTCTGTTGCCCAGGCTGGTCTCAAACTCCTGGCCTCAAGCAACCCTCCCACCTCTGCCTTCCAAAGCACTGGGATTACAGGTGAGCCACTGAGCCTGGCCCCATATATATATGTTTTCTCAAGTTTAGAATAAGCTCCCAAAATTTAGACCATAAAATCTGAGCCTGTCTTAGGCCTGTGCCACACAAGCCAAACTGCTTTTACAATTCATACACCCATTCAAGCAATGATGAAAATGCCTGTTTCACTACATCCTCACCAGTACCGGGTTTTATCCATTTACAAATCTGCAGTGACTTCGAGGAGTGCCAAACCATGGCAGATTCTTATTGTTTTTCCACCTTTCTTTGGTCTCTGTAAGGCTGAACCTTTTAAATATGTTTGCTCATCAGGCTGTCCCTGGGGAATGTTCTAGAGCAGAACATCAAGTTGACCCCTATGGAAAAAGGGGTCCCTTCATGTAGAGGGGCAGAAATTTAGTTGTGTTGTAGCCTACAGTTATGCAGAAAGCAGAATTTGCAAGCAGTGCACTTGGATATGTAGCCTAGGGGAATTTCCAGCAAAGTGTTGAAAGCGCAGCCTGGTTTCTTCTCTCTGCTTGTTATAAAATGTGAGAGGAAATAGACAGATTGAGGGAAGAAGTGTGAAGTAAAAAGGAACCAGGACTTGATGATCTGGGAAATTCTAAGCCCATTCAGATCACAAAAGATGCTAAAATTAGATGCTCCCGACCATCACCACTTCTCAGCTCCGTGACCTCAGGCAAGTGTCTAAACCTCTCTGAGATTCAGTTTCCTCATCTGTGAAATGGGCTCGATGGTAATAGCAGCCACTTCAGAGGGCTGCGGTGAGGGGTGAGTAGCTTCATGTCAAGCACTTCACGCAATGCCAGGCAGTTGCAGGGTTCGTAGGGAAAGTAATGGGTGAGAGGCGCTACACCAGTGCTCCACTGTCTCTACGCCCCTCATTACTTCCTGGCTGCTATCAACCCATCCCTCCCCTCCCCTCCTCACCCCCAGGTACCTAATTCCCAGAGGCAGGGGAGCGGGTGAGGATTCAAGCTGCGGATTAGCAGAGGCCGATTAGAGACGGGTGGGAGGGGGGAGGGAGGGGGGGGGTCTCTAACCCACTAACCCTTCCCTTGCCGGTCCTGCCTCAGGTTTGCGGGAGGGGTGGGGGCCTGCAAAACCTCGGTGCCTGCCACACCCTTGGAGAAAGCATTAGTGTCCCTGCTGGTTGACCCCAGGTTGACCCCTCTCTGGGCCTCATTGGTTCCTTCTGAACTATGGGGCGAAGACTGCAGAAATGAAATGGGAAAGCCTCAGCGTCTGAAGATGAGGGCACAGGGTAAATGCCTCAGGGCTGGCTGAGACATCCTTCGCGTAGACAACACTTACTGAGCACCTACCATGTGGGCAGAGCTGCTGGCATCAACGTCGCCTAGAACTGCTCAGCTCCCAGAGTGCCAGACTCAACTTCCAGAACCCCCAGACTCAGCCATCGCTCCGAAGGGGCGCTCCGGGAACTGATTCTCCTCCCGGGGTGCCACCTGCTCTCACCCTCACCCTGGCGTCCTCCCTGGGGGAGCAGGGAACCACTCCTCCAAAGGGGTCCCTGAAATCCTGGATCCTCAGTGTGTGTGGAGGGGGGTGGAACTGGGGAAAGACAGAAGGACCATAGCAGAACCCCTTTCACCCGTCAGGTCGGAGCAACACTCCCCCCACACCCCCTGCAACCTCCCCCAGCTGCGCCAGACGCAGAGCCGGTGGGGGCGAGGGGGCGGCGCCTACTCTGCGGCTGTCAGAGGAGGGGGACTGCGGGAGAGCGCTTGGGGGGGCGCTGCGGCAGCCGGTCCCAACCCGCAGCGGCTCGCGCGGCAGGGGCGGGGGCGCTGACCCACCTCGGCCCGGCCCCTCCTCCGCTGCGGAGGCCTCGCCATTAATCCTGACCGGGGGAGGGGGCGCCCGCTGCCCCCCACTTCCTACGGGGGCCGCTGCGAGCGCTCCCCTGCCGCCCCCTGCCTGGAGCCCCTGCGGGACCCCCAGGGGACCCCCGCCCCAGGTCTGTCGCCCTCGGTGTCGGAGTCTCTGTCTGTGTCCCCGTCTGTCCCGTCTCCCTGCTGTGCGTGTGTGTAGCCGCGTGTCCCCCGGACACCTGCAGTCACCGGCCAGGGCTGCTCGGGGAGGGGTCCCGGGGGTCGGCGCGTGAGTCCCTCTGAGGTCTGGGTGTCTTTCTGGGACTGTGCGTCTGTGAGATCTCGGGGTGCCAGCCCCACAGGCTGCGAGTGTGCGTCTGTGTTGACCTCCTGCAGAAGGTGTGTGTCCCAGATGCCCCACCGGCTTCGAGCATGGGTCCCCGTGTGCCCGGCGGACACCCACGGGCCGTGTGTCCGTCACACGCTGTAGGCGCCGCGCGTGGGGATCTCTGCGCGTGTCCGTGTGCGGTGTGTGTGTGTCCGTGGCTGAGTCGAGGAGGCCCGGCCCGCCGGTGTCCCCGAGTCGCCTGCGCGTGAGTGTGTGTGTGCGCGTGTGTGTGCGCGCGCGCCGCGGCGAAGGTGGATCCGCTCGCTCCGCAGCGAGCCCAGCCGGGGCCCCGCGACCTGCAGCCGCCGCCGCCACCGCCTCCGCCGCTCCCCGGGCCTCCCCTTGCGCGGGCCGGGCCGGGGATGGAGCCGCAGCCGGAGCCGCCGCAGCCGGGGCCGCGGCGCGGAGCAGCCTGAGGCGCGGGCGGTGCGCGGGACCGGGGGGAGGGCGGGCCGAGGGGAGGGTCCTGCGGGCCGGGGGGGCGGGCGCGGCGCGCCCCCTCCCTGGCGCGCTCGCTCCCTCCCCCGCGCGCCCTCCCTCGCCGCCTCCTCCCGCCGCCTGCGGCCCCCCCCTCGCCGGGGACCGAGCGCGCTCGCTCCGGCGCCGGCCTCGCCTCCTCGCAGCAGCGCCATGGTACGTCGCCGCACCCACTTTCGTTTTCGCCCGGGGACTTTTTGGGGTGGTGCGTGGGCTCCGGGCGAAAGTTGCAAGATCTGGGGGGACAGGGGGCGGGGGCCGCCCGGAGGAGGGGCTCGAGGCGGGGACCCCCACTCGCCAGTCGCCACGGGACCCCTACCCACGATCCCCCCCCGCACCCCGGCTGGGGGCGGAGCTGGCGCGCGGGGCGCCGCGGGAGACCCCAAGTGGGGGGCCCCTCGCGGGCGCCGCGAGTTGGCGAGGAGGGCGGGGCTCCCCGGAGAAGGCCCCCGCAACCCCAGGCCGGGCCCCCGCCCCCTCCCCGGGCCAGACCCCAGGCGGGAGGGCGCGGCCCTGGGCGCACGACCCCCGAGCGCGCAGTCCGTGGGGGAGCCCGGGCCAGGGAGGGGGCGCACGGCGGGACGGCGCGTGGGGCGGGGGTCGCGGCGGCCCCCGCGGGGTGCCCCGGCCCGGGCGAGCGCGGCGCGCCAGCTAGCGGAAAATGGCCGCTGCGGAGAGGGGCGGAGAGCGCGCCGCGGCCGCCGCCGGGCGCCTTGAACTTGGAGCCGGGCGGGCGGCCGCGCTCGGCGCCGCGCAGGAGCAGCCGCCCCGCCTGCCCTCGCACCGCCCCCGCCCCGCCCCTCGGCAGACCCCCGGCCCCGCTGCCGCGCGCGCGGGGTCCCCAGCTGGGAGGGACCCCCGGGTCTCGGCCCGGCGCGCCCCAGGCCCTGGAGCGGCGGTGGCTGCACTTGGGGTTCCGGTGTCCGGTCGACTGGCGTCGGTGTCGTGCGCACCTCGAGGGGTGCGTGGGAGCCCCTGCGCTCCGTAACGGGCCGGCATTGGCATCTGGGGGAGCGTCTGGGGTGTGCGCGGCGGGGTGGTAGTGTACCTGCCTTGGGGCCGCGGGTCCCGGCGCGTCGGCTCCGCCGCTTTCTGTGTCCGCGTGTGTCTGCACATCCACGTGCTGGCGCGTGTTGTGTTGTGAGCGCCGCCCGCATTGTGCGGCTGCGGGACACTTGTGTCTTTGGATAACTGGGCGACTGTGCGCGCGTCCCTGCGGGACGGTGTTGTGAAACTATGGCTGGGCTGCGTGTCCGCGGAGCCGCGTGTCCCTGGGTGACCGTGGGGTGTCCCCGTGTGGGTGTGTGGCGGTTGGGGGGGGTCGCCAGGGAGTGGAGAACTGTCGAGTGGCCGCGTTCCAGGGGACAGTTGGGTGCCGCTTGCTGTGTGCGAGTGACTGGCGCTGAGCCTCCCCCTAGGGAAGGGTCTGCCTTCCACTCCCGGCCTCGCCTCCCCCAGTTCCTTTTTTCCTGTAACTGGGGACTGCCTGGGCGGCGGAGGAAGAGCGCTCCCTCCACCTTTTCAAAACTCTGTCCCTTTATCTTTCCCCTACGTCCCCTCCACTTCCCCCAGCCTTCGGGGTCCCCCATCCGCTTGGCCCGAGGGGGTCCTGGCTGGAGGTTCGGGCGCGAGGTGGCGCCGGGACGCGATCACTCGGCACGCAGACGTCGCTCGCCAGGGGTTGCGCTTGCGCGGGGACCTGCCCCGAGAGGGGCGGGGCGGCAGGGGTTCCCCCTCCCTGAGAGGCCGTGGAAGTCCCGAGGGGTGGGTGGTTACAGCAGCACAGGGGTTAGGACGGGCCCGGGAGGTGGCTAAGGAGACCCCTATTATCCTATGCTGGGGAGAGCGTAGGGGCACCGGGACTGGTCCCGCAGTCCCGCCTCCAGCACTTGCCCCCAATGGACCAGAGGCCGTGGGCACAGAGAGCTGTTTTGTCACCTCCAGGGAAATCCCCGCCGCTCTCCACCCCCACCCCACCCCCAGTGCGTTTGATATAATTTTCTAAATATAAAAAGCCCAAGGCCAGGCTGGTCTCTCTCGCTTTCTTCTTGACATCCCATCATGGGGGGCTGTTTGGGATGTCAAGAAGGAGAGAAAACCCTCCCACAATGACACAGAGGCCTCCCCCAACAACACTCAAGGTCATTCTCGGGTTGTCACCATCCCTCACACCCACTCCCAGCCTCAGACTCACAGCTATCTCCCTCCGCACTCCCGGAGGGACGGTTGGATGCCCTGGCCTTCAGCACACGGCATGGCCCTCTGTCCCCATTTTGGGTTCTGTGCACAGTGGGACACACGTGCATGCAGTCATAGTTACACACACACACACACGACACTCCCTCACGGTGCCTGTGTCTGCATGACTCTGCACACACAACCACACAGAGACTCACATAGACACACACAGGCCTGTCTAGAGACAGACGTCACACACACAGGCGTGCACAGACACACATGGGCAGACACACTCACGGACACAAACACCGCACTTGCGGGGGGATAGACAACCACATCTCACCCTCCTGCCCTTCCCTGTCCCCACCGCGTTTCTGCAGGGCCGAGAGCCCAGCTCCAGGCAGAGCTGGTGCAGGAGGAGCAGGGAGGTGGCGTGCTGTGTGTCATTGTGATGGTGCGTATGTGACTCTGTGTGTGCCTGTATGGGAATACCGGGGGGTTCCACTTGTGGGTGTGTGTGTGCTTGTAAGAGTGTGTGCTTTTGTGTGGAGTGTGTCTGTGATTGTGGACAAGTGCCCATGTGTTTGTGGTTGTGTCTGCACTTGTGTGGGGGCAGCTATATCCATGCGTTGTGCTTGTCAAGAAGCGTCCTGTGGGGAGTTGGGAGGGTGTGTTTGTGGCTGTGTGTGTGCCATGTGGGTCTGTGTGTGTGTGTGTGTGTCTCTGCTCGCCCCTCTTTGAGGAGGTATCTGAGGTCAGGTGTGGGGGGAAGGCTGTGATGATATATGGGTCTGTTTTTATGTGAGTCTGTGCGTGTATTTGTGTCTTTGTGTATGTAGCTGTGTGTCGTGTGGAGTCTGTGTCTGCAGCTGCTTGAGTCTGCACGATGTGTGTCTGTGTGTCTCTGTAGGTCGTAGTGTGTGGTGTGTGTGTCTATCTGTACCAGCCTCAACGGCCTATCTGACCTTTAACTCACTTGACTTTAACATCCCTTCTTACAGCCTCAGTTTCTCATCTGTAAAATGGGACCACATGGGACCCTTGCAAGGTTCCTGGGGAGCTGACATTGTGAGCCCCTTGCTGAGCAGGTGCGGGGCTAGGGGAGGCTGACTGCACACTGCACTGCTGTGTAATCATTTGCCTGCAAGATTATGTCCTTTATTCTCTGGGTGTGGTGGCTGTGGGGTTACCATGGGGGGCTGGGGGTTCCTGTCTACCCTGCCTGAGCTGCTCTGTGAATTGCATTCAACTTTTTAAGTTTTCCTTTAATTACTGAAGCCATTAGTGATCATATGAAGAGGATACAACTGTATCCAGAGGAAAAAAAATCCAATCTTTCTGATCACCCCCATTCCTGGGTGGAACCCCGCTCCAGAATGTTACCATCTATAGTTGGAGCATTTGCAGGACTGAGAAATACACACTTATAGAGGATACATGTGCATATGTGTATATTTCCATAAAGGATGTACTTGTGGAAATACTCGTGTATTTCCATAAAGGAGACATATGTATATGTATGTGTATGTGTGTGTATATATATATATATATATATATATATATTTTTTTTTTTTTTTTTTTTGAGATGGAGTTTCGCTCTGTTGCCCAGGCTGGAGTGCAATGGCATGATCCTGGCTCACTGCAACCTCCACCTCCCGAGTTCAAGCGAACCTCCAGCCTCAGCCTCCCGAGTAGCTGACATTACAGGCACCCTCGCCCATGCCCGGCTAATTTTTGTAATTTTAGTAGAGACGGGGTTTCGCCATGTTGGCCAGGCTGATTTTAAACTCCTGACCTCAAGTGATCTGCCTGCCTCGGCCTCCCAAAGTGTTGGGATTACAGGCGTGAGCCACTACAACCGGCCAAAGGAGATATGTGTGTGTGTGGGTGTGTGTGCATGTGTGTGTATGTAAAGGATACTATGTATATTTGTATAAATACATGTGTACTCTTTAAAACCCTAAATGAGATCTTGAATTTCCTTGCTGGGTCTACAGCAGTGGGGTCTCAGCCAGGGTTGATTCTGTTCCCATGGGACACTTAGCCATGTCTAAGGACATTTGTGGTTGTCACGACTGGGGGGTGCCCCTGGCATGGAGTGGGTGGAGGCCATGGACTCTGCTCAGCACCCTGCAGGGCCCAGGACGGCCCCAACCCAGAGAGCGATCCAGCCCCAGTGTCCACAGTGCCAAGGGGGAGAGCTCTCCAGCTTTCTGTCCCCCCACTTGTCTCTTGGGGACATAACCAGTTGGGAGCCACTGGTTTTACTCAGCTGCATAGTGTCCCAGCCTGTGTTGGGATTACTAAACCGGTCCCCCACAGATGGACAGCATGGCTGCCTCCAAATTGTGGGCATTAGTTTTATAGGTGGCAGTCAACTCTTTTGTGCTCCTGTATCTGGGACAGTTACAGAGATGCCGAAGAGTGAAATAACTGTAGAGAGAGTGCTTTGAAAAAAAAAAAAAATGAGCCAGATTGTGCTCGAAAGTGCCAGGAGCTAAATCATGCACCCATCTTCCGGGCCCTCCACATGCAGGTCCCAATCTACCAATTGCCTTTTTAAAGAAACTATGACGTACAGTTCCCTGTTGTAACCACGGGCAGGTATTTGCTGACTTGCCTACAACCTGGAGGGTTATGAGCTGGCGTCGCCCCATTTCACAGAGGGAGAGCCGAGGTGCAGAGAGACGAAGCTGCTGACTGGAGGAGACATAGACCCAAGCAGCGAGCCCACGCGGCAATTTAGGGAACCAACTGTGTGTGCTGCGGGGGTCCCTTGCCACCCAAACTGGGATATAGGCTGCTGTTCGTACACTTGCAGAAGTTTCTCCCTGCAGCTACCGCCACCAATAATATTCACACAGCCTTCCCACATGCTATGTAAAGACTCCAACCTTCCCCACCTCCCAAGATGCATCCTGTTACTATAGCCATTTTACAGATGAGGAAACCGAGGTTCCAAGAGGGGCAGTCTCTGCTCTCTAAACTTCACCTTCCAAAGGATTCTAAGCTGCTGAATGAAGGCTGCAGGCAGGGTGGTCTGTACAGGGGAGGGAGGGTGGAAGGCACGGGGTCTGGAAGTCTAGGAGGAGTGTCTGAAGTCAACTGCAACTTTTAAATATCTGTGAATTTTAGATTTCACCCTGTATGTGTCCCTAGCGTGTTTTAATAAAATAAATTGCTTCACGTTATATTGGTATGTGGATTTCCAGATACACTTCTCACCATTTAATTCAAATGCTCCCCACAGCTGCACAGTGGGTTTAAAATACACAGACACACACATTTATGGACCGTTCGTGATGTACTAAGCACTGTTTGAATAATGTCACCGTCATGCAGAGGGGAGCCTGTGGGGGGCCTAGGGAACCTACGCTGCAGGAATTCTGCTCCCTCCTAGTTTACCTGTCAGACCCTGGGCAAGTGGCTTCCGTTCTCTGGGCCTCAGTTTCCTCTCCTGTAATGCCTGAGGATAATGGGTGCTGGTATCTTCTGCGCCCCTGGGCCTGGGGCACCTGCCCCAGCTTGGTGAGAGGGTATCATTTGTCCTTGGGAAGCTCAGAGAGATGAGGTGAAATGGCCAAGCTTTCTAAGAATGTGTCTTTAGTGAACATTTGACCCAAGGTCAAGGCTCTGCTAAGGTCATTGTCCTTATCCCCAGCAATCCCACAGGATGGGCATCTTTAAGCCACTTTATAGGGGAGAACCCTTGGGATGGGAATGAGAGACACAGCAGCCTCTGAGCTAGCCTGGGAGGATCCAGGGAGTGAACCGGGGGAGGGTTGGGGCCCTGTCATCAGATGCCCTGGGGGCTCAGACGGAGGCAGGCCAGGTCTCTGCCCTGTTACGTCTAGAAGGAGAACAGAATGTGGGCTCCAGGTCCAGATGGCCTGGCTCCAAGCCACACTTGCCATACCTCAGTCTTGAGATCTGTGAAAAGGGCACACCCCTGAGGCAGGTGGAAATTATTGGATACCCAGGGGGAGGCTGCAAGGGTTTATCTGGCCAGCTGGAGATCCCGCCTGGACACCGTCCTCCTGGGGTGCTGGAGAGACACACAGGCGAGGCCACCCCTCCCCTGCCCCTTGGGTGCTGGGTGAAGAGAGCAAATTCTGGAGCCTCCCGTGTTAGCCTGGGCCCTTCTGGCCAAGGAAGGGACAGCTGCACACAAGCCCCTCTAGCTGGGGACCCGCAGCCCCTGCCTGGCTCTGGGGGGAGAAGGGAGCCAGGGTGCTGTGGGACCAGCTCACCGTGCACCCAGGGTCGTACATCTTTAAGGGGAAAGAGGCGCGCTGGCCGGCCTCTGCGCACGTCACTTCTTCATTCCTTCCCTCCCCCCTGGCTCTTTCCTCCAACTTCCCGGCCAGCTCGGGGGTGATGGGGGGGTGGGGAGGGGGGGCCTTAAAAATCCACCCCTGGCCCCTCAATGTCCAGAAACAACCCTGTCCCCCCTCTCCGCTTGATCCGAATTGGGGTCGCCCTGCAGTCCTGGGGTCCTGGTCTAGTGCCCTGGGGCATTGCGTAAATACGGGAGGAGCGGGGGGGTCCTGAGACGTCGGGGGAGGCTCTCCTTTCTCGCTCGCGCCCTTTTTTCCCTCGTTTCTTTGAAAGTTGGGTGTTGAGAAGTGGGAGGTTCGGGGTGGGAGGGGGAGGGTGTCAGAGGGTAGAGAGAGAGACAGAGAGACAGAGACGGGGGAGAGAGGAAGAGAGAGACGGAGGGAGAGAGGGACAGAGAGCGAGGCGGGCGGCGCGAGAGAGGGAGAGCAGGAGGGAGGAGGAGGGAGACCGAGGGAGGAGGCGGCGAGGAGAGCGCGCCGGCCGCGGGGCGGGGGGGGGGGTTGGGGGGGGCGGGGGGGTGGTTTGGAAAAATGACTCAGTAAGTTCAGCGCGCCCGCTCCGGCCGGCCCTGCGCCTCCCGCCGCGCCCGGGATGTATTCGTCCCCGCTCTGCCTCACCCAGGTACGGTCCTCGCCCGGCCCCCCGCCGGCGCCCCCGCGCCCCCCGCATCCCAGCCCCGGAGTTTTGAAGCAGGAGGAGGCGGGACGAAAAAGGCGCGCGTCCCTCCCGCCATCCCTGCCCGGGATGCCCCCCGCGCCGAGGGCTGGGGTCCGGTGGGGGGATGGGTCAGGCTGGGGTACCCCCCCCACACCCTTACCTACCGCGGACCCCCTACGCGGGACTCCCGCCCAGCACCCCCAACCCCGACTCTCGGGACCTCTCCCGGATGTGGGGCTTGGTCTGCAGATTTGCGTCCCCCCCCCACACACCGACGCACTCCGCACCCCCGCCCCGACACTCGGAAAGGTCGGGGTGGGGGCTGGCCCCCCTCCAGCAAGGGCTCTGCGGGAAGCCCCCCGCCTGCCTCTGAGAGGAATCTAGGGGGTCGTGATTGGACCCTGGGTCTCCCCAGCTGGAGAGAAAGGGACCTCTCATGTGTTTTCCCCGTGTCCCCCCACCAAGGTTGTGCGGGCCGCCCTGGCCCTCGGTCGCCTTTCCCTCGTTATTGGCCCACGTGTGCATGGAGGGGGAGGGGGCAGGAGAAGTTGGAGGCCCAGGAGGGGGAAGGGTGCTCCGGCGGCCCGGCTGGGTCCCCCCTCCTTTGCAAGCCCCCCAGCACCGTCCCGGTATTTTCGCTGCATCGATTCTGGATTCTGGATTCTGGATTCTGGAGCCGCCGCCGGGAGGAGCGGGAGGCCCGGCGCTCCGGGTCTGGCCCGGGCACTGCGGCGCTGCGGACGCCCTCGCCAGCCCGGCACCTGCCCCGTCCCCTCCCCCTCCCCCTCCCCCTCCCGTAGCCTCTCACCCCTGGCCGCACTCCCAGACTGCCCCGGGGCCGAGCCTTGTGCAATGGCCGAGGGGGTGTGTGGGGAGGGGGCGGCTCCCCCCGGGGACTCCTTCCAGCCCAGGCTCCCGGGGACCCCGAGGTCTGCAAGTTCCGTTTTCTAGACCGCTGCTTTCCTCCTTACGCAGTGTGTCTTTAGGCTGGAGAGGTTCTGGCCTCAGTTTCCCCTGAAGTGAGGTGCGGCTAAGGCCGGTTCTGGAGAGGGGACAGTATGGCGGGCAAACTGTAAAGTCCCGGCACGTGGGGGGTGCGATTCCAGCGAGGGCCAGGCCCGTCTTAAGAAGCACTGTGTGGGGAGTATATGAGTCCCCGGCTTCCGCTCCAGGGCATGGTGCAGTGAGGGACCCCCCACGCCAGGCATGCTCCTTGGTAGGGTCTTTCTCACCGGCCCCCTGCAGCCGACAGGGAATGTGGGAGCTGGTGCTGAGGGGGTCTGAGGTCTGTCCTACCTGTGATCCCCTGAGTGACCTTGGGTAAGTCCCTGTCCCAGCCTCAGTTTCCCTTTCTGAGCAGCTTTGGGGGGGGGGTTCCCGAAGAAGGCATCTCTTTGAAGTTCTCCAAGAACAACTAGGGTTCGAGTGGGCACGCTGTGTGACCTCGGGCAGCCTTTGAAGTCTCTGGGCTTGTGGGGTGACTGAGGTGTCCCCGCTCTGTCCTCACCAGCTGGAAGGAGCCATTTGGGAGGGCTGAGCGGAGGGGAGGCTGTTCCAGGCTGGGGAGGTTGGAAGGCTGCCTGTGCACCCTGGAATTCCCCCATCAGGGCTGGTTGGGAGACATCCTGGTTGCTGGGGTGGGTTGGGGGTTAGTAAGAACCCCAGTCCAGGCTTTGCCTCAGAGAATTGCTAACTCGGCCTCAGTTTCTCCAGGAACAGGGCAAGGACCAGCCAGGAGGGCTGTCTGTGGAAACCAAAAAACGGAGAGGCTAAAAACTAAAAACTATCCAGGGGTGCTGCGTGCAAGAGACAGAGATGAGAAGACAGAGACAGGCAGAGAGACAGAGGCAGAGAGCTCCCAGGCCAGAGTGGGGACAGCGAGTCCCAAGTGCAGGGGGCTCCCTCCTCCCCTGCGATTCTCCTCTCTGCCCCGCCCTCCACCCCAGCCCTGTAGTGGAGCTGGGGACCCCCTTTCCAGTTTGTCTTCAGCCTGAATGTAATCCCCACTGTTCCCCCAAGGCCCAGCCTGGTCTGGGGTAGCCAGTGGGGTGGGCTGGGGGACTCAGAAGGACCCTGAGTGCCCCATGCAGGAGCCTCCCACCCAAGTCCTGGCTGCCTGACTCAGTTTCCCGAATCACGTCCCCTCCGTTTCTCTCATCTTGGTCTCTTTTTGTCTGTCTTTCTCTCTTTCTCTCTGTCTTGCTCTGACTCTGTGTGTGTGTGTGTGTGTGTGTGTGTGTGTGTGTCTGTTTCTCCCTGTCTCTCCATCTCTGTCTCTCCCCGCCTCTGTTTCACTCCCAGTCACTGTTGGTCTCTTTGTGTCTCTCTTTCTCATCCTCTGTCTCTCTGATGTCTCAGTCTCTCCCACTGTCTCTGTCTCTTCATGTCTATCTCACCATCCCTTTCTCCTCTTTGTCTCTGCATGTCTCTTTGATGTGTCTCTGTCTCTCTGTCTCTCCCTCCCTTTGCCTTCTTTGTGTGTCTGTCCGATGTGTCTCTGTCTGTTTCTCTGTCTCTGTCTCTCTGCCCCCTTCCTCTCTGTCTCTGTTTCTCTCCAATATGTCTGTCTGTCTCTTCATCTCTGTCTCACCTTCCCTTTCTCCTCTGTCTCTGCGTGTCTCCCCTTGCCCCCTCTCTCCCTGTCTCTCTCTATCTCTGCATGTGTCTCCTTACTCCTCTCTCTCTGTCTCTCTCTGTCTCTGGGCCTCCCTCTCCCCCTTTTCCCAGCTAATTTTACAACCTGAGCCCAACCGAAAATAGCTCCCTTTTAGCTGATCCGACCCGGATCCTTCTCGGGAGCCGAGGCTGGCGGGGGGTGGGGGGCATCTCGGTGCCAGCCCGCTCTGTGCCACCCGGGCCCGGCCCGCCGAGTGGGGAGTGGGTGCTGGCGGCCCTGGGGCATTCTGGGAGCCCCGGGCCGGGCTCAGCGGTGACTCAAGCGCTTTTTCACTTTTACTCTTAAGAGGAACTGTGTGGAGCCCATGGCTCCCATAAATCCTGCCGGCGGGAAGGCCGGCCTCCCCGCGCCTGCTCTGGGCCTCCCTCCCTGCCTCCCTCCCGCTGGCGCCACCGCCACGTTAGTTATTCCGGGTTTGGGGCCAAGTCCCTCTTGGCCGCAGCGTGGCGGATTCCCCGAGCCACCTCCATCCCGCCACCGGGTCCCTGTCTCATTCGTTCGTTGTTTCCTTCATTCGTTCGTCCCATGCCCTCTCGGAGCACAATGTGCTTTGCTGCCATTTCTCCAGCAGGGTAACCGAGGCTGGGAGAGGCTGTCCTCCCACCCCAGACCCCCGACCTTTGTTGGATTTTCTAGATCTTCCTTAAGCATCTCCTGGGCCCTGGGGATAGGTGGGGGTGGGGGAGGCAGCAGGGCCCAGGCCCAGTGTAGGTTCTTAGAGGGAGCTTGGGGGGTGCCTACCAGGAGCAGGGGGCCTGCAGCCCCTCAGTGCCGGGAGAGGGGCTAAGAGTCAGAGAGGGCCAGGGCCTGCCCGAGGTGGCACAGTGGGGCTGGCAGAGCTGGGGTTCAGGCCATTTTCCATCTGGCGGCTTGGGCAGGTGGGCGCTCTCTCCCCGTGTGCCCCCCACCCGGGGCCTGGTGGCCTCTGATTCACTCTCTACAAGGCTCCACCACTCTCCCGCTGTATCTCCCTCTGGGTCTCTCTGTGCATCTCTCTCTGTTTCTCCCCCTCCCCTCTCTGCGGCGGAGGTGCCTCTGCGCGCCAGGGCCAAGCGCCCTGTAAATCACCAAAGCTGGGATTCTGGCAGAGTCAGCGTTCTCCTCTCTCTCTCTCTCTCTCTCTGTCTCCCTCCCTTTCTCCCCCCATCTCGCTCTCTCCTCCTCTCTCCCTCTCTCCTTCTCTGTCTCCCTTTCCGTCTTTCCCTCTTCCTTTCTCTCTCTCTCCCCGTCTCCCTTCTCTCCCTCTCTCCTTCTCTCTTCTCTCTCTCTTTCTCCCTCCCTACCTCCCTCTCTGTTCCTCTTCTTTCTCTCTGTCTGTCTCTTTCTTTCTCCCTCCCTTCCTCTCTCTCTGTTCCTCCTCTTCTTTCTCTCTCTCTGTCTCTCTGAGCTGGCCTCCCTCCCTGTCTCACACCAAATGGATGGGAAATGCTGCCTGGGCCTCCTGCCCCGGACACGGCCCGCCCCCCACTCTCCTGCCTGTGTCCACGCCGACCTCACCTGGGTGCCCATCTGCCCTGAGCACACAGCGTGCGGGCACCCAAGTCCTGACCAGTTCACATCCATGAGCACACGCTGGGCGCACACGCGTGCACACTCCCTGACACCCATACGGACGAGGACACAGCTCTGCCTGCCTCGGATCTGCCTTGATGGGGGTCACCAACACACAGACCTAGAGTGCCCCTCACATCTGCCTGAAAATCTTGCTCAGGAGGTGCCAAACCCAATATAGTACCTGGTATAGAGAAGGTGCCAAATAACTGCTATAGAGTGGTGCCAAATAAGTGTTGCTGTGCTTGTGATTGTTGCTAAACTAATTCTCCTCTTTCCTGACTCTGGTGGGTGACCTGCCCCCACCCCCGGACCGTTTCTTGCCCTGAAATGAAGTCAGCAGAAACCCCCACTTCCTCAGGGCTGCTGCAGATTCAGGGAGGCAGCACAATTTTTTTTTTTTTTTTTTTTTGAGGTAGAGTCTCGCTCTGTCGCCCAGGCTGGAGTGCAGCGGTGCGATCTTGGCTCACTGCAGCCTCCGGGGAGGCAGGACATTTCTGAGGTCCACAGTGCAGGGCTTGGTACTCAGTAGGTGCCCAATAAATACCTGTTGCACGAATGAATGAATGAATGAATGAATGAATGAATGTTTTTGGTTGAGAGGCGGGACTTTGGTCTTCCCGAGCCTCCATTTCTCCGCCAACATAAAATAAAAAACATAATGGCACTTTCCTCAGAGACATCGATGTACCTTAGTCCGACACCTGGTATACAGTAGGTGCCAAATAAGTGCTGCTGTGCTTATGGTTGTTGCTAAACTAGTAATTGCATTGAACACCCCAGAGGCATTTTCCAGTTTCCCTCCCTTCCCTCTGTGTGTATTTGCGCAGCGTAAGCCCAGCTTTGGGCTGGGTGACAAGGACAGTGGTGACCTGGAAAGGCCCAGGCTCAGACCCCTCTCTACTGTGGCATTTCTGTTAGTTTTTCTTTTCTTTCTTTTTTCTTTCTCTCTCCTTCCTTCCTTCCTTCCTTCCTTCCTTCCTTCCTTCCTTCCTTCCTTCCTTCCTTCCCTCCCTCCCTCCCTCCTTCCTTCTTTCCTTCTCTTTCTCTCTCTCTCCCTCTCTCTCCCTCTCTCTCTCTCTCTCTCTCTCTCTCTCTCTCTCTCTCTCTCTCGGAGTCTTGCACTGTCGCCCAGGCTGGAGTGCAGTGGCGTGATCTCAGCTCACTGCAACCTCCGCCTCCTGGGTTCACGCGATTCTCCTACCTCAGCCTCCCAAGTAGCTGGAATTACAGGCACGTGCCACCACGCCTGGCTAACTTTTGTATTTTTAGTAGAGACGGGGTTTCACCATGTTGGCCAGGCTGGTCTCAAACTCCTGACCTCAGGTGATCCACCTGCCTCGGCCTCCCAAAGTGCTGGGATTACAGGCATGAGCCACCGTGCCCGGCCTCTGTTAGTCTTTTCTCCCTGCCCAGCCCTGTCCAGGGTCTCCCTGAGTTTGACCAGCCCTGTGTGGGTACCAGCCTTCCTTACACATGGGGGTGCATGGATAAGGGGGGTCCCAGAGGCAGAAGATGGGAGCATTGCTTCAGTGGTCTGGATGCTGGAGATGCTAACAGATCAAAGCTGTGCCCTTGTGGGACCGACAGTCTAGGCCGGGTCGGGGACGGGCAGGAAACGAGGTGACCAGGACTCCTTGAGGATGTGGTGTGCGACCGACCTCGGGGATCAAACAAGGGGAAGGGAACCACGTGGGACTCGGAGAGTGTGCACGGTGCAGACCAGGTGTCACTGGACGCTCTGGCCCGAGACTGTTTGCTCAAGGGGCCCAGGAGTGGGGTGGGGGGGTGCCAGGAGGCCCAGGGACCAGTCCCAGCTCAGTTCCTCCCTGACTGTGTGACTTTGGTGGAAGATTTCATGCCTCAGTCTCCTCCTCGAGGTAGTGGGTGCAATGATAGTCCCCACTTTCATAGTAGACTTTTTTTTTTTTTGAAACAGAGTCTCGCTCTGTCGCCCAGACTAGAGTGCAGTAGCACAATCTGGGCTCACTGCAACCTCCGCCTCCCGGGTTCAAGCGATTTTCCCGCCTCAGCTTCCCAAGTAGATGGGATTGCAGGTGTGTGTCACCGCACCTGGCTAATTTTGGTGTTTTTAGTAGAGATGGGGTTTCACCATGTTGGCCAGGCTGGTCTTGAACTCCTGACCTCAGGTGATCCGCCCGCCTCGGCCTCCCAAAGTGCTGGGATTACAGGTGTGAGCCACCGCGCCCGGCCCCTATTTCGTAGTAGACGTGATAGCTCAGCAAACGCTCAGCCTGTAAGAGGCACAGCCTCGCTCCCTGCCTCTCTCCTCCACCTCCTGGCCCCTCTGGCTCAGCCCTCATTGTCCTCCCAGAACATCAAGGCACAGAGGGAAGTAGGGGACCCAGGGTTCATTTTGCTGACTCACTGCCTTGGCAGAGAGTTTGAACCCTGTGGACTCAGTTTACCCAAATTCCTCACTGTGGCCCACAAGGCCCTGCCCAGCCTGTCCTTGTCCCCTCCTCAACCCTCCCCTCCTCTCTCTTTCCCCCTTGCTCATTCTGCTCCAGCCACATGGGCCTCCTCGCTGTTCCTCTAACACGCCAGGTGCGGTCCTGCCCCAGGGCCTTTGCATGACCCATTTCTCCATCAGAAAGCTCCTGGCCTGGAGTGCCATCTCTCAAGACTTTGTTCAGGTGTCTCCTCCTGCAAGAGACCTTCCTGGACCCCCCCCCCAAGCTAAAAAACACCCCCCACCCCAGAGATTCTCTGGTCCCTCAAACTCTTAAATTTCTTCAGAGCACTTTGCCCAACTTGACGTTTTATTACATATTTTGCTGATTTTAACCATCCGTCCCTGCCCCAGATCTGGATCCAGGTGAGGGCCGAGCCCAGGTCCCTGCCAAGTCCTCGGCACCCTACCTGGGACCGGCATGCAGCAGGCACTCACTAAATGTTTGCTGAGCAACAGAATGAATCTTCCCTCTCTGGGAGCCGTTCACATGTCCACAGGCTGTGATTTTCTGAGCCAGGGGAAGGAGCGGCCCAAGGTTAGAGCCTGACGCTGGTGCCGGATGGGCCTGGGGTTGTCCGTGGGACCATGGACAAGTCATCCGACCCGGAGAAGAAGGCATTAGAACTAAGGCTTTGAAGGATGCGTAGGAATTTGGGATAAGTGCTAAGTAGGTAATGAGCTAGATTCTCATGAAGGATTGTTGAGTCACTTTTACCTGGAAACTTTTGGTTTGGAAATTGGAGTTTCTTGTCCTGGTTTGCTGGCCTGGACTTTCAGGGTGGGAGGAGCACAGGGAGGTGAGTGAGGGCATCACCCAGTGCATGGCGTGGTCGTTCAGCAAGGTCTTGGGTCCAGATGTCTCTCCCAGCTGCTGCTGCTCTCTTTGGCCAGGAAGTCCCAGTGGGCTAAGCTGGGGTTTCCAGGAAAGACCTAGCCTTGTTCCCCTTCTCCCCATCACCTTGCAAGGAACAAGGTCACCAGGCAAGCTCCCCTGTCTCCAGCAGGCTGCAATATTCCTTTCTGCCCATTGTACAGAATGAGAGACTGAGGCTTATCTGAGGTGATCTGTTCCCCAGCCATTCAGATGGTGAAAATAGACCTTACTGTCACCCAGCCACCTTCTCCGACAGTGGGTGCCTCAACTCTGGGCCTCAGGATTGGAGAGGGAGAGGTGATAGAACTGGATGGTCCTGGCTAGATCTGGGAAACCCTGGGTTGAGGAGGAAAGGCTGCTTGAAGGAGGGGACACTAGAGATAGGGCGTTGAGGGATGTGTAGGAGTTTGGGAGGATTTTCAGCATCTAGCTTGTCTTGGTTATCTCTTTTGCCGGTTGGGCCTCTGAGGGCAGTAGGAGGTCCCTGGGGAAGAGGCCCTGGTTATTGCAGGTCATGTGGGAGAAACAGAGTGACAACCGGCCAACCAGGCCCTGCCTCTCACGTGGTCTGATCCCCTGGGGAGGACAAGGGAGGATGGGGCAGCAGGTCCATGACCCAGTTACAAGCTGTTTGTCTTCCTGCCTCTGTAACTAGCCGGGGTCACCACTGACGTGGGCCCCCACCCCTGCCCGCCTCCCTGGCACCTGTCCCCGGAAAGGGCACAGAGAAGGGGAGGAACATAGAGAAGGGAGGGACAGTTAGGGAGGAGGAAGGGAACTCAGATCTACGAGGGGCCAGATGAGAAAAGGAATTAAGAGGAGAGGGGAAGTGGGGAGGGGGAATTCAGAGAGAGAGGGGGGTTGGGGAGAGAAGGAGTTGGGGGGACAGTGATCCCTGCCCCCATCATGGATGCCTCCCCTGTCCCTTCCAGCAGCCTCTTATCACAGCCCCAGTAAGCGCCAGAGCTTGGGTGGCAGCCACGGCCCCAGCTGGACAACATTGTCCGGGCCTCCTGCCCGCCTGGCATCTCCTCCACAGGCAGGTCCTGCGCCTCTATGGGTCCTCTCTGCCGCGTCCCACTGTGCCCCCCACCACCCCCACTGCCCGGCTTCCCTGGCCAGACCATCTGGGCTCTGGTCCCAGCTCTGCTGACCGGCTGTGTGACCCTGGACAAACCACTCCCCATCTCTGGGTCTCATCCAGTCAGGGGCAGGGACGAGATTGGACAGGGCCTGGGCCGGGCCCCCTCCACCTCCCCTTTGCCTTAGCAGGTTGGCTGGGGAAGCGGGGGCAGCGGAAAAGGGCCCTGAGGTCCGGTCCCCGCCGCAGCTGTTACGGTGACTCACGCTTTGGGGGACATTGGGGTGGGGGAGCTTCGCTGGTACAAGCTGACTCTGGTCTCACTGGGTGGGGAGGCTATTTTCAGAGCCTCAGTAATAGGTGAAATCTGATGTCCTGCCCCTCCCCCCGAAGCACCCCACGGCCGGAGGTGGCCCAAGGGGACGTGGAGCACAGAGCAGGGAGGGTGATCTGGCAGCAGCTGCTCTGCCCATCCCGGCCTGGAAATGGGACCGAGTCCAGCCACATCCGCTGGCACACACAGTGGGAGTCCAGGGTCAACGTCTCCCTACCTTCCTGAGACCCCAATCTTACAGAGAACAGGCTGTTCTGAGAAAGGGACCCGTGGCCTTCCAGGGGGTCAGGGCCCTGATTCTTATCCTCACACCGGCCCTGAGACCCTGTGGGACCTCAGCCAGGTCTCCGCCCCTCTCTGAGCCTTAGTTTCCATGCCACAGAACACGGAGCGGGGCCTCAGGCTGTTCCCTGCTTCCTGGAAGATTGTCTGCAATCAAAATGATCATCGCAGCAATCGCGTCCATAGTAATGAAAATACCCCAGCATCTTAGAGGGGCCGAGGCGGGAGGATCGCTTGAGCCCAGGAATTCGAGACCAGCCTGGGCAACATAGCAAGACCCCCATCTCTACTAAAAGTACAAAAATTAGCTGGGCATGGTGGCGCACCTGGAATCCCAGCTACTCGGGAGGCTGAGACATGAGAATCGCCTGAACCCAGGAGGCGGAGGTTGCAGTGAGCTGAGATCATGCCACCGCCCTCCAGCCTGGGCAACAGTGTGAGACACTGTCTCAAAAAAAAAAAAAAAAAAAAAAAAAAAAAAAGGAAAGAAAATAGAAAATATCCCAGTGCCTTAGGAGGCCGAGGTGGGAGGATCACTTGAGCCCAGGAGTTTGAGACCGGCCAAGGCAACACAGTGAGTGAGACTCCATCTCTGCAAAAATAAAAATTAGCCAGACATGGTGGTTTGCACCTGTAGTCCCAGCTACTCAGGAAGCTGACGTGGGAGAATCGCTTGAGTCTGGGAGTTCAGGGCCCAAGTGACCTAAGATCGTGCCACTGCACTCCAGTGAGACGCCTGTCTTTTTTATTTATTTATTTATTTATTTTGAGACGGAGTCTCGCTCTTGTTGCCCAGGCTGGAGTGCAATGGCGCGACCTTGGCTCACTGCAACCTCTGCCTCCCGGGTTCAAGTGATTCTCCTGCCTTAGCCTCCCGAGTAGCTGGGATTACAGGCGCCTGTCACCATACCTGGCTAATTTTTTGTGTTTTTAGTAGAGATGGGGTTTCGCCATGTTGGCCAGGCTGATCTCAAACTCCTGACCTCAGATGATCCACCCACCTCGGCCTCCCAAAGTGCTGGGATTACAGGCGTGAGCCACCACACCAGGCTGAGACCCCCATCTCTTAAAAAAAAAAGTAATAAAAATCACAGTAGCCCCAGCACTTTGGGAGGCCGAGGCAGGCGGATCACGAGGTCAGGACATTGAGACCATCCTGGCTAACACAGTGAACCCCCGTCTCTACTAAAAAAAAAAATACAAAAAATTAGTTGGGCATGGTGGCGGGTGCCTGTAGTCCCAGCTATTCAGGAGGCTGAGGCAGGAGAATGGCGTGAACCCGGGAGGTAGAGTTTGCAGTGAGCTGAGATCGCATCACTGCACTCTAGCCTGGGTGACAGAGCGAGACTCTGTCTCAAAAAAAAAAAAAAAAAAAAAAAATCCAATAGCAATATAAGTTGTAATGATAACAATCATCGCATCATTAATAACAATGTAGTCCTTTGAGAGCTGGGGGGAGGAAAACAGCTTTCTGTGCTAGGAAGGGATCACCCCTGTCCGAAATGCCCAGCCCAGCCTGGTCAAGGCAGGGAGATGGAAAGGCAGTTTTGCTTCTCTTTCTCTTCTTGTTCCTTGTATTTATTCCACCTTGAGGCTGAGAAACTAGGTCCCAGATGTTTTTAATTTGTTTTATTTTATTTTTTATTTTTTTAGAGACAGGGTCTTACTCTATCCCCCAGGCTGGAGTGCAGTGGCACAATCACAGCTCACTGCAGCCTCGACCTCTGAGGCTCAAGTGATCCTCCCACCTCAGCCTCCTAAGTAGCTAGGACTACAGGTGTGCGCCACAGCAACTATGCCCAACTAATTATTTTTGTAATTTTTAGTAGAGACGGGGTTTCGACATGTTGGTCAGGCTGCTCTCAAACACTTGGGCTCAAGTGATCTCTCCACCTCGGCCTCCCAAGTAGCTGGGACTACAGACGCGCACCACAAAAATTATGCCCAGCTAATTTTTGTAATTTTCGTAAAGATAGGGTTTTGCCTGCCGGCCACAGTGGCTCACACCTGTAATCCCAGCACTTTGGGAGGCAGAGGCAGGTGGACCACCTGAGGTCAGGAGTTCAAGACCAGCCTGGCCAACATGGTGAAACCCCATCTCTACTAAAAATACAAAAATTAGCTGGGCATGATAGTGTGTGGCTGTAATAGTGTGTGCCTGTAATCCCAGCTACTCGGGAGGCTGAGGCAGGAGAATCTCTTGAACCTGGGAGGCGGAGGTTGCAGTGAGCCGAGATTGTGCCACTGCACTCCAGCCTGGGTGACAAGAGTGAAACTCTGTCTCAAAAAAAAAAAAAAAAAAAAGGAGATGGGGTTTCGCCATGTTGCCCAGGCTGGGATTGAACTGGGCTCAAGTGATCCACCCACCTCAGCCTCCCAAAGTTCTGGGATTACAGGCGTTAGCCATAGTCCCCAGCTGAGATCCCAAATGCTATGCAGACTCAGTTTCCCTTGCTGGAAAATGGGAAGAATGGGAGGGGCCTCCCCACACCCAGACAGGGAGCTGGGGGCCTCCCACTGCCCCACATTTCTCTTCAAGGGGCTGCTGTTATTTTCGTGGGGAAGTCAGATGAGTGCAGGTTCCAGTCCACCTCTGTCCCCCATGGCCGGGTTCCCCCTCAAGGCCTCAGTTTCCTCATCTGTAGCATGGGTGTTGTGACTGCCCTCAGACACCAATTTGTCATGATTTGGGAGTAGGTTGAAGTCCCAGCTCTGGCCCAGTCTCAGCGCCTTCCCAGCCCTCGGATTTTCCATCTCCAGGGTGGGTCTGCAGGGAACGGGGTGGCCCCTCTCCCCAGTTCTGAACCTTTGTGGCTGAGCGTCTGCTTCTCTGGTCTGTTTCTGTATCAGCACAGTGGGTTCATGGAAAGGGGAAAGGAGGGAGAGGACTCCACCCGGGATTTCTCCTCCCTCTGATTAATCCTGGTGCACTTGAATCTCTTATCTTTTGATGCAGAAATCCCCCCACCCTTCCAGCAGCCCTCAACCTCCAGGCGGGCCTAGTGTCTGCCTGTGGATCTCAGCCAGGCCTGTCTGTACATATGCTCTGTAGGAACAAGCTTTCGTAGTCATTTTTTGTTTTTTTGTTTTTTGTTTTCCCAAGATGGAGTCTCGCCCTGTCACCCAGGCTGGAGTACAGTGGAGTGACCTTGGCTCACTGCAACCTCCACCTCCCAGGTTCAAGCAATTCTCCTGCCTCAGCCTCCCAAGTAGCTGGGATTACAGTCATGCGCCACCACGCCTGGCTAATTTTTGTATTTTTAGTAGAGACAGAGTTTCACCATGTTAGCCAGGCTGGTCTTGAACTCCTGACTTCTTGATCTGCCCGCCTCGGTCTCCCAAAGTGCTAGGATTACAGGCATGAACCACCGCGCCCAGCCGGGTTTTTTTTTTTTGAGACGGAGTCTCACTCTGTCGCCCAGGCTGGAATGTAGTGGCGAGCTCTCGGCTCACTGCAACCTCTGCCTCCTGGGTTCTCCTGCCTCAGCCTCCTGAGTAGCCGGGACTACAGGCGTGTGCCACCATGCCCAGCTAATTTTTGTATTTTTAGTAAAGATGGGGTTTCACTATGTTGGCCAGGCTGGTGTCAAGCTCTTGACCTCAAGCGATCCACCTGCCTCAGCCTCCCAAAGTGCTGGGATTACAGGCGTGAGCCACTGCGCCCAGCCTCATTTTTCATTTTTTTTTATTTCTTTCTTTTTTTTTTTTTTTTTTTTTTTGAGTCAGGAGTCAGGGGTCTCACTACGTTGTCACCCGGGCTGGAGATCAATGGCGCAACCTTGGCTCACTGCAGCCTTGACCTCCTGGGCTCAATTGATCTTCCCACCTCAGCCTCCCAAGTAGTTGGGACTGCAGGTATGCATCACCTAGCTAAGTTTTGATTTTGTAGAAACGGGGCCTCGCTATGTCATCCAGGCTGGTCTTGAACTCCTGGGCTCAAGCAGTCCACCCACTGTGGCCTCCCAAAGTGCTGGGATTACAGGTGTGAGCCACCATGCTTGGCCGCCGACCCTAGTTTTTTTTTGTTTTGTTTTGTTTTTTGAGATGGAGTCTTGCTCTGTCGCCCAGGCTGGAGTGCAGTGGCGCAATCTCGGCTCACTGCAAGCTCCGCCTCCCGGGTTCATGCCAATCTCCTGCCTCAGCCTCCTGAGTAGCTGGGACTACAGGCGCCCGACACCACGCCCGGCTAATTTTTTTGTTTTTTTTTCAGTAGAGACGGGGTTTCACTGTGTTAGCCAGGATGGTCTCAATCTCCTGACCTCGTGATCTGCCCGCCTTGGCCTCCCAAAGTGCTGGGATTACAAGCGTGAGCCACCGTGCCCAGCCTTGTTCTTTTTTTTTTTTTTTTTTTTTTTTTGAGACAGTGTTTCACTCTTGGCACCCAGGCTCCCAGGCTGGAGTGCAGTGGCACAATCTGAGCTCACTGCAACCTCTGCCTCCCAGGTTCAAGCGATTCTCCTGTCTCAGCCTCCTGAGTAGCTGGGATTACAGGTGTGCTCCAATATGCCTGGCTACATTTTTTTGTATTTTTAGTAGGGACGGGGTTTTGCCATGTTGGCCGGGCTGGTCTCAAGCTCCTAACCTCAGGTGATCCACCTGCTTCGGTCTCCCAAAGTGCTGGGATTACAGGTGTGAGCCACTGCGCCCAGGCTTTTTTTTTTTTTTTTTTTTTTTGTGACAGTCTTGCTCTGTCGCCCAGGCTGGAGTGCAGTGGCACCATCACAGCTCACTGCAGCATTAAACTCCTGGGCTCAAATGATCCTCCCACCCCAGCCTCCCAACTAGCTGGGACTACAGTTGCAAACCACCATACCTGGCTAATTTTTGTTTTTTTGATTTTGTTTGTTCATTTGTTTTGTAGCGATGGGGTTTTACCATATGGCTCAGACTGGTCTCAAACTTCTGGGCTCAAGCAGTCCTCCCTCCTCGGCCTCCCGAAGCGCTGGGATTACAAGTGTGAGCCATTACACCCAGCCCAACCCTAGCTGCAATAGGCAGAGAATAGGTCCCTGACATCTTTGTTCTCCCAACCTCAGTTTTACCCGTCTGTACAATGGGTTGTCCATGAGCCTCCACCTGGCCCCCTTAGCTTGCTCCATCTGCATGCTGGGGTTCAACATAGGTCCTCCACGGCTGGGCATGGTGGCTCACACCTGTCATCCCAGCACTTGGGGAGGCCGAGAGCCGAGGCGGGCGGATCAGAGGTCAGGAGATCGAGACCATCCTGGCCAACATGGTGAAACCCCATCTTTCCTAAAAATACAAAAATTAGCTGGGCGTGGTGGTGGGCATCTGTAATCCTAGCTACTCGGGAGGCTGAGGCAGGAGAATCGCTTGAACCCGGGAGGTGGAGGTTGCAGTGGGCCGAGATTGCGCCACTGCACTCCAGCCTTAGCGTTAAGAGCAAGACTCCGTCTCAAAAAAAAAAAAAAAAAAAATGATCCTCCACAAACTTCCGCCTTGATTTGTGCCTCTCACATAGTCCAAGTCTGTTTGCTCATCTGGGCGATGGGTTCTTGCAGGTCCCTGATAAACTTCTCCTGGGTCCCCCGGGCCTTTTGCGTGCCTCCGGCGGCGTGCACGGGTCCGCAGCGACCCCCTGCCCACCTCTGCCCAGCCCCTCCCACTCTGCGGGTCTGTTCAGGGCCCCTCCGACCTCAGCCTTCGGGGCCGGGCAGTGGGTCCGCCCTCTGCGTCCCTGGCGCTCCTGACCTCTCGCCTCTCCGGCCTGCAGGATGAGTTCCACCCGTTCATCGAGGCCCTGCTGCCTCACGTCCGCGCCTTCGCCTACACCTGGTTCAACCTGCAGGCGCGGAAGCGCAAGTACTTCAAGAAGCACGAGAAGCGGATGTCGAAGGACGAGGAGCGTGCGGTCAAGGACGAGCTGCTGGGCGAGAAGCCCGAGGTCAAGCAGAAGTGGGCGTCGCGGCTGCTGGCCAAGCTGCGCAAGGACATCCGGCCCGAGTGCCGCGAGGACTTCGTGCTGAGCATCACCGGCAAGAAGGCGCCGGGCTGCGTGCTCTCCAACCCCGACCAGAAGGGCAAGATGCGGCGCATCGACTGTCTCCGGCAGGCGGACAAGGTGTGGCGGCTGGACCTGGTCATGGTCATCCTGTTCAAGGGCATCCCGCTGGAGAGCACCGACGGCGAGCGCCTGGTCAAGGCTGCGCAGTGCGGTCACCCGGTCCTGTGCGTGCAGCCGCACCACATTGGCGTGGCCGTCAAGGAGCTGGACCTCTACCTGGCCTACTTCGTGCGTGAGCGAGGTGAGGTGTGGTGGCCTGAGCGGAGCGGCCAGCGGGGAGGGTGTCTGATGGTGGTGACACGGGGCCAGGAGGGCCTGAGGGAGGAGGCCAGTGCGTGTGGGTATGATGTGGTGGTCTGAGAGGGGAAGTGGGCCTTGGAGAGTGCCCAATGGGGGCGACACGGGGCACGGAGCATCTGAGGGAGGAGGCTGGTGGGTATAGATGTGATGTGGTGGTCTGAGAGGGGAGGCGAGTCTAGGAGAATATGTAAAGTAGGTGATATGGCACAAGGAGAGTCTGAGAGAGGAGGCCAGTGCATATAGATGTGATGTGGTGGTCCAGGCAGGGCAGCAGGCCTGGGAGAGCATCTGATGGGGGTGACATGGTGCAAGGAGGGTCTGAGGGAGGAGGCTGGTGCGTGTAGATGTGATGTGGTGGTCCAAGCGGGGAGGCGGGCCTGGGAGAGCGTCTGACGCCGGGTGACACGGGGCAAGGAGGGTCTGAGGGAAGAAGCCAGCATGTGTAGATGTGATGTGGTGGTCTGAGGGGGGAGGCAGGCCTAGGAGAGCGTCTAATGCAAGTGATATGGTGCAAGGAGCGTCTGAGGGAGGAGGCCAGTGCATGCAGGGCCCAGGGTGGCTGCTGATGGGATGTGGAGGTCAGATGGAGGAGGCAGGCCTAGCAGAGGTCTCAAGTGAGAGATGGTACAAGGAGGTTTTTTTGACAGAGGAGGCAGGTGGGCTGTGGCGCTCCAATGGTAGAGGCAGGATCTCACCCTCACGTCTGAGGGAGGAGGCAGGAAGGCCCTTGAGGTCTCAGGGGGATGAGAATGTCCTAGATGGTCTTGGGCACAACGGACGGCCTTGCTGGGAGCAGGGGTGAGGAGAGGAGAGGGACAGGCCATCCCAGCCCTCCGAGGAGAGCCAAGAGAGTCCTGGCACCGCTTTCTGTGAATGCTTGTTGGTTGATTGACTCTCAGACCATGCCAGCAGAGGCCTGATGAGCCTGGCCCTGCCAGAGGGGTGTTTGCCGGTGGTCAAATGCCTGATGTTGAGACCAGCTAGCTCTGTGGGGTTGAGGAAATCCAAGGCGGCTTCCCAGAGGAGGAGGTGCAGCTGAGCTCAGCTCTGCAGGATGGCCAGGCCACAGTGAACAAGGAGATGCCCCAGGGGTCCTGGCAGGAGCGTGGAGATGAGAGGCCTGATGCCTGTGCCTCTGGTCCCGGTGCTAAGAGCAGGGTTGGTCCTGCAGCTTCTTGGCTGCGTGGCCCTCTTGGACTTCAGTTTCTCTTGCCTGCCAAATGGTGGAGATGATCAGTCTGTAGCTGGATGGGGCTATGGGAGGTTCCAGAAGATCATGCGTGTAGCCACGTGCGAGGTGTCAGCTGCATCCCAAGACCTGAGTGGGTGCACAGCACACCCCTGCCATGCCCATCCAGGCCGTGTCTGGAGCACGCGTGAACCCCCACACACCCAGGGGCTGCCAGAGCATGTGGGATGGGTGTACGCCAGACGCAGACCCACACAGGTCACCAGCCCAGCCCCAGCCCAGGCAGCACTCTATAGAAACAGGCAGTTGCACAGCCTGAGAGGGAGGGGCATTTGCCCGAACAGGAGGACCCTGGGGCCAGACTGCCCATGCTCCAGACACAGCCCTTCTTTTCCCCAGCTGTATGGACACATCCCTTTTCTGTGCCTCAGTTTCCTCCTTGGTGCAATGGGAGTAACAGCCATGCCACCTTCTAGAGCTGGTGCAAGGGTGAGACAGGGTCACGGGCTCCCAGGCTCTAGGGTGTGTGGAAAGACAGCAGGGCAGAGTTACCCAGTGTTTTTTTTTTTTTTTTTTTCCTGGAGACAGGGTCTCGCTCTGTCACCCACGCTGGAGTGCAGTGGTGCAATCTCGGCTCACTGTAGCCTCGACCTCCCAGGCTCAAGCAATCCTCCTGCCTCACCCTCCCAAGTAGCTGGGACTATAGGCGCACACCACCACACCCAGCTAATATTTTATATATATATATATTTTTTTGTAGAGACAGGGTCTTGCTATGTTGCCCAGGTTGGCCTCAAACTCCTGGGCTCAAGCCATCCTCCCACCTTGGCCTCCCAAAGTGTTAGAAGTACAGCAGGCAAGAGCCACTGCACCACACCAGTTACCCAGTCTTTTTTTTTTTTCTTTCTTTTTTTGGAGATGGAGTTTCGCCCTGTTCCCCGGGCTGGAGTCCAGTGACGCAATCTCGGCTCACTGCAATCTCCACCTCCCAGGTTCAAGCGATTCTCCTGCCTTTGCCTCCCCAGTAGCTGGGCTTACAGGTGACTGCCACCACGCCTGGCTAATTTTTGTATTTTTAGTAGAGACGGGGTTTCACCATGTTGGCCAGGCTGGTCTTGAACTCCTGAACTCAAACGATCCACTGGCCTCAGCCTCCCCAAGTGCGGGGATTACAGGCGTGAGCCACCGCGCCCGGCAGTTACCCAGTCTTGATCTTGATTCTTTGACCTTGACCTTAGCATCTTTCTCCTCCCCCACCCCCACTGATGAGCAACAAACCTGCTGGGGTTGGCTGTGAGGGGGCACTGGGGACGGTGGGGGCAGAGAGGTGGGCCGGGTGACTGCCTGTTGGGAGCAGGGGCCACCGTGGGGACGGAGGTTCTCATCGTCACACAGGGCCAGACCTCTCTGCCACCACACATCTTCCTCGCCCGGGGCCCCGCCCCCACCTCCTCCGTGCTGAGCTGATACAATTTTGAAGCGAGCTTTTCTGCTGCAGTCAGCACAACCTCTGGGCGCCTCCCCACCCCCACCCTGCCCCTCCCGCCTCTGCTCAGCAGGCAGGCCTGTGCCCCAGGTCAGGTTGGCCTCTCTGAGTGAAGGCTGCACCCTCCCTTGCCCCCAGCCTGCCCCCTTCATCCCCAAGGGAATCCCTGCTTCAATTGGCCCCAGCAGGCCACACCCTCCCCCAATTGGCCCCAGCAGGGCACACCCCCCCCCAACCCTCCCACCTGCCCACTGCGGGTGCTCCAGCTCCTCATGGGGGTAAGAGCTGGGCCTGGACTCCAACCCCAGCTCAGCTGCCCACTGGCTGGGTGATGTGGGGCCAGTCACTCACCCTCTCTGTGCTTCATTTCCTTGTCTATAAACTGGGGGGCTCAAAACTGGTTGCCTTGTGGGAAATGTCAAGTGCCCAGGGTGAGAGCTCAGTAAACCACCCACAAGGCATCGTGAAGACCAGGCACTAGGCAGGGGGCTAGGGCCCTTGGTGGTTATCGTTACTAACATTATCCTCTTCGGGATTGGTTTGTTTGTTTGTTATTATTGGTTTGGGTTTTTTGGGGGTTTTTTTGGTTGTTGTTGTTTTTTTTTTTTTTTTTGAGACAGACTCTTGCTCTGTCTCCCAGGCTGGAGTGCAATGACGCAATCTTGGCTCACTGCAACCTCTGCCTCCCGGGTTCAAGCAATTCTCCTGCCTCAGTCTCCCGAGTAGCTGGGACTACACATGCCCACCACCACACCCGGCTAATTTTTGTATTTTTAATACGGACGGGGTTTTGCATGTTGGCCAGGCTGGTCTCCAGCTCCTAACTTCAGGTGATCCACCCGCCTCGGCCTCCCAAAGTGCTGGGATTACAGGCGTGAGCCACTGCAACTGGCCTTGTTTTTTGTTTTTTGCAGAGATGGGGTATCACTATGTTGCCCAGGCTACTCTCGAACTCCTGGGCTCAAGTGATCCTCCCGCCTTGGCCTCCCAAAGTGCCAGGATTACAGGCGTGACCCCCTGCGCCCGGCCCATCCTCCTCATTCTGATTATAATCTCCCACTGCCAGACCTTTCCTTATGCATTCCCTGGACATAGAATGTCTTTCCCATATGGAAAACCCCAACTCCGGCTGGGTGTGGTGGCTCATGCCTGTAATCCCAGCACTTTGGGAGGCCAAGGCAGGTGACTCTCCTGAGCTCAGGCATTCGAGACCAGCCTGGGCAAAATGGCAAAACCCCATCTCTACCAAATATACAAAAAATTAGCCACCTGCCTGGCTGAAAATTCTTTCCCATTCTCACAGCTGCCCTGTGAGGCAAGGATCATTGCTGTATGCCTTTTTTTTTTTTTTTTTTTTTTTTTTGAGATAGGGTCTCACTCTGTCACCCAGGCTGGAGTGCAGTGGCGCGATCTTGGCTTACTGCAACCTCTACTTCCTGGGTTCAAGCGATTCTCATGCCTCAGCCTCCCGAGTAGCTGAGATTACAGGCGAGCGCCACCACACCTGGCCAATTTTTGTATTTTTAGTAGAGACGGGCTTTCACCATGTTGGCCAGGGTGGTCTGGAACTCATGGCCTCAAGTGATCCGCCCTCCTCGGCCTCCCAAAGTGCTGGGATGACAGGCGTGAGCCACCGCGCCCGGCCTGTTGTACGCATTTTACAGAGGAGGAAACAGAGGCTCAGAGGAGGGATTTGACCTGCCGTGGTCACACAGCCGAGACTGGGCCAGGTGGGATTTGGACCCACAAGCAGCTTCTGCCTCTGCCCTGTCCTTGACACCTGCCTCATCCTCCATTATTGTCAGAAGGGGATGGGCGGAAGTTGTGGTGCGTGAGGGGGCAGTCTGCTGGCACGGTGTGGTCACCTTCTGGCAGGGTTGTGTGAGGGCCCCACAGGCTGAGGTCTTATGTAGGGTCCCCAGGCTGTGGCTGGCCTCCAGGCCTCAGCGCTGATCCCAGTGGTTGTCACCCTGACAGCAGGAAGACTGGCCACCGGCTTCCTTTTCCGAACCGAGAGTCCCCTTGGCTGTGGAGCGTCCTGGCCCAGCCAGAGTGCAGTGTCTGGCTTTCATCAGCCCTGCTGGGCAGCTGAGGCCCTGGGATAGAGGGAGAGGGAGGGACGGGCATCAGGCATAGGGCCTTGGCTGGCCTCTTGGAGGGGTGCAGGGTGGATGGCGGTGGAGGGGCACCTGCCATGGGGCTGAAAGGAGCCACCACTTGCAACGTCACAAGTGAGAGAGGAGGCCGGGCACAGTGGCTCATACCTGCAATCCCAGCACTTCGGGAGGCCGAGGCAGGCGGATCACCTGAGGTCAGGAGTTTGAGGCCAGCCTGGCCAACATGGTGAAACCCCATCTCTACTAAAAATACAAAAATTAGCCGGGCGTGGTGGCGGGCGTCTGTAGTACCAGCTACTCGGGAGGCTGAGGCAGGAGAATCGCTGGAACCCGGGAGGTTGCAGTGAGCCAAGATCGCGACACTGCACTCCAGCCTGAGCGACAGAGTGAGACTCTGTCTCAAAAAATAAAAATTAAAATTAATAAGAAGAGGGTGTCAGGGAACTGCAGGAAAATAAAGCAGGGAGGGACATGGAGGGGGGCTGGGGGCCACTCTGGATGGGGAGGGCTTCTCTGAGGAGGCGTCTTTGAGGTGAGGCTTGAAGGGGGTGAGGGAGTCTGGAGAGGCTGGGTGGAGGGAGCAGTGAGGGGGTTATAGCCAGTGCGAAGGCCTGGAGCCCAGGAGCAGCACATGGAGCTGGCTGGGATGTTCAGGGGGTAGTGAGTGGCGAGGGCCGTCCTGTGGCCTTCCAGTGAGGGTGACCAGCCGGGGGTGGGGCGGGAGAGGGTGACCCGGGTGCTCTCCGACCTGCCACGTGCTGGGGAAGGAGCCTGCAGGAACCAGGGCCCAGAGAGGGAAGCTGTCTGCCCGCCCAGGGCCTAAACCCAGCCAGGCCTCCCCGCCCCCTCTGGCAGCCCAAGAAATCTGAGGCGCGGGCGGGCACCGTGCCAGGGCTGGGCGGGGGAGGGGCTGCCAGGCCCGCCCGTCCCAGCAGCTGCCAGCCCGCCCCGAGCCGCCAGCCCAGATGGTGCCCATCTGCTGACGCCGCCATGGGCCAGCCTCCTGTTCCCGCCTTGCGTCGTGCCAAGCTCCTGCAGTCCAGCGCCGGGAATGGCGCGGTGGGCAGAGCCCGGCCCGGGAAGCTCATAGCACGCCAGAGAGGCTGCCCCGGGTGCCCTGGAGAGGGTGGCAGGAGAAACATGGGAGGGGGAGTTCCCCAGCGCTTCCTGGATGGAATTGGGGAGCAAGGACCCCAACAGCGATAATGATGGCGGCAAACACACATGGCGTGCCCTCTGTGTGCCAGGCTCCGAGGCCACCGCTCACCCTAACTGGTTTAATTCTCTCCCCCATCCAAGCAGGAAGGGACTTTGGCCTTCTCTCGTGTTCTAGTGGAGGAAGCAGAGACCCAGAGGTTTGGACAAGAGTCACTTGTCCAAGGTCACAAAGCTCCTCAGGGGCAGAGCCGGAATGAGAATCCAGAACCCCTTTGAAAAAGGGATTGAGGCCAGGCGAGGTGGCTCCTGCCTGTAATCCCAACACTTTGGGAGGCTGAGGCAGGAGGATCACTTGAGGCCAGGAGTTCGAGACCAGCCTGGGCAACATAGCACGACCATGCCCCCCCCCAACAAAATTTTTAAAAATGAGCCAGGTGTGGTGGTGTGTACCTGTAGTCCCAGCTACTCGGGAGGCTGAGGCAGGAGGATGGCTTGAGCCCAGGAGTTGGAGGTTGCAGTGAGCTGTGATCCCACCACTGCACTCCAGCCTGGGTGACAAGGCAAGACCTTATCTCTAAAAACCGTTTTTTTTAAGGGGTGATTGAGGCCAGGTGTGGTGGCTCACACATGTAATCCCAGCTACACAGGAGGCTGAGGCAGGAGAGTCGCTTGAACCTAGGAGGCGGAGGTTGCAGCGAGCTGAGCTCATGCCACTGCACTCCAGCCTGGGCGACAGAGTGAGACCCTGTCTCCAATAAAAGGGAGGTGGTATTGAAACCCCTTAAACCTCTTTTCAAAAACAAACTAAAAGTGCCCTTTGAGGTTATCTAGTGGAAGCCACACCCTCTGAGTCATACAGATCATACAGTGCAGGCCGTGCACACTCAGGGAGTAAATGAATGAATGAATGAATGAATGAGGTGAACCCTATGGAAGGGGACCAAGCCTGGGGCCAGGGTGTCCATAAAGCTCACCCTGAGCTTGATGGCAGGAGAAAGGGTCTCAACCTGGGAGTGAGGGACCTGGGTCAGCCACAGTGCTGCCCTGGCTTGCTGTGTGGCTTTGAGAAAAGTCCTGCCCTCTCTGGTCTGGGGTTGAGGGGAGTGGAGGGTGGGAAGGGGCGGCCTTGTGGGCCACAGACAGGAGCAAGGCGGGTCTTCACTGAAAGCCTCCCGTCCTCTTCTGCCTTTATTGATCTTCATCCCGGTTGTGGGTGCTGCACTGGGGAGACAGGCCATGAGCTCGGGTGACGGTGCCTGTTTATTTGTATGGTGGACAGAATTTGTGTTCCTGTGTGCTCCAGGCAGTGTGGGGCGCATTCTTCTCTTTGAGCCTTAGTTTTTGCCTCTGTAGAATGGGGAGAATCAGAGCTGTGCCCATTGCATTAAAGATTGGAGTCAGTGGTCTCTGAGAAGCATACAGGAGGCACTCAATAAATGCTCACTTCCGGCCGGGCGCAGTGGCTCACACCTGTAATCCCAGCACTCTGGGAGGCCCAGGCGGGTGGATCACCTGAGGTCGGGAGTTCGAGACCAGCCTGACCAACATGGAGAAACCCCATCTCTACTAAAAATACCAAAAATTAGCCAGGCGTGGTGGTGCATGCCTGTAATCCCAGCTAGTCAGGAGGCTAAGGCAGGAGAATTGCTTGAGCCCGGGAGAAGGAGGTTGCGGTGAACCGAGATTGCGCCATTGCGCTCCAGCCTGGGCAACAAGAGTGAAACTCTGTCCCAAAAACAAAACAAACAAACAAAAAGAATGCTCATTTCCTCCCTGGATTCTCTCCCCAACCCCAGGAGGGAAGGAGGGAGGTCCCAGTGCCGCCGTGAAACCCTACACCTCCTTTTCCCAACCCAGTGAGCCAGTGGGGGCACCGTGACCCAGGAGTGGCTGTCACCAGAAGCTGGACCAAGTCACCCTTTCCAGGTGTCTGGACAGCAGAGGGGTGAGGGGTTCCTGGCAGCAGCAGCCTGTTATCCCCCAGGGCTGGGCAGCCAGGTGTGCCAGCCGTCTGTCTGTGCAGAGAAGGTGGCTGCCGGGCGTGAGTCGCAGACGCCAGCTGATGGTGTATTTATAGCAACGGCAGGAGTCCGCGGGGCATACGTCAGTGGTAAAGAGGGACGGGCAGGTGGGGGTCCAGCTCCCACAGCAGACAAGAGCCCACCAGGACTGGCCAGGGAGCTGAACAGAGTGTCAGGGAGAATGAGGGGCATGTTGTGCAGCCGGGAGGCCCAGGATCACACCCCTCTGCTCTGGAACTGCGTGATGTTTGACAAGTGACATTGCAGCTGTGGGCCTCAGTTTCCTCCCCCATCAAATGGGGATGATAATAATCCTGCCCACCTAATAGGGCTGCATAGGATCCAATTAGTGCATGAAAAGCATGAGGACAGGGCCTGGTATACAGTAAGCACTCAAAAGTGATTTGTTGCCTAAAAAAGGGAGGGAATCCCAACATGGGCCACAATGTGGATGCATCTTGAGGATGTCACACTCAGTAAAATAAGCCAGACACAGAAGGACAAATCCTGTGTGATTCCACTCCTAGGAGGTCCATAGAGTCGCCAGATTCACAGAGACAGAAAGTAGGATGGGGGGTGCCAGGGGCTGGGGAGGGGGCTGGGGAGAGAATGTTTCATGGGGACGGGGTTTCAGTTTGGGAAGATGAGAAGGTTCTGGAGAGGATGGTGGTAATGGTTGTACAACCCTATGAATACGCTTAATGCTGGGTTAATGCCACTGAACTTAGAAATGGTTAAAAGAGAGGCAGGAGGATTGCTTAAGGCCAGGAGTTCGAGACCAGCCTGGGCAACACAGCGAGACCTCATCTGTACAAAAAATTTAAAAATTATCTGGGTGTGGTTGCACGCACTTGTGTTCCCATCTACTCAGGAGGCTGAGGCAGGAGGATCGCTTGAGCCCAGGAGTTTGAGGCTGCAATGAGCTATGATCACACCACTGCACTCCAGCCTGGGCGACAGAGCAAGACTTGTCTCAAAACCAGAACCACCCCCACCAAAAAATGGTAAATTTATGTTATCTAGATTTTACCACAATCTAAAAATGTAGTTCTGGTTGTGAATAATGATAATAACAAGTAATAATATTATATCTATGGCCGGCTGTGGTGGCTTACGCCTGTAATCTCAGCACTTTGGGAGGCTGAGGCGGGAAGATGACTTGAGGTCAAGAATTCGAGACCAGCCCAGCCAACATGGTAAAACCCTGTCTCTAATAAAAATACAAAAATTAGCCAGTCGTAGGCCAGGCGCGGTGGCTCACACCTGTAATCCCAGCACTTTGGGAGGCCGAGGCAGGCAGACCACTTGAGGTCAAGAGTTTGAGACCAGCCTGGCCAATATGGCAAAACCCCGTCTCTACTAAAAATACAAAAATTAGCCAGGCATGGTGGCGCGTGCCTGTAATCCCAGCTACTTGGGAGGCTGAGGCAGGAGAATCACTTGAACCCGGGAGGCGGAGGTTGCGGTGAGCTGAGATTGCACCACTGCCCTCCAGCCTGGGCAACAGAGTGAGACTCCGTTTCAAAAAAAAATGTTATATATGTAACAATGTAATAATTAGTAATATGTCATATATAATCATGGAACAATAAATAAGAAAAATAGTGTCTGCGGTGACAGCACAGTAGTTATTATTGTCGTTATCATGATCGTCATCACTGTGGTTCTCGTCCAGCTCTGCCCTGCAGACAGCTGTGTAACCCTGGGTGAGTTTCTTGCCAGCTCTGTGCTTTACTGCCTCATCTGTGAATTGAGCATAGGGGGTGCCTAGCAATTTAAATGAGATAATAGCTCTTTTTTTTTTTTTTTTTTTTTTGAGATGGAGTCTTGCTCTGTCTCCCAGGCAGGAGTGCAGTGGTGTGATCGTGGCTCACTGCAACCTCCACCTCCCGGGTTCAAGTGATTCTCCTGCCTCAACCTCCCGAATAGCTGGGATTACAAGCTCATGTCACCACACCCGGCTAATTGTGGTATTTTTAGTAGAGCGGGGGTTTCACTATGTTGGCCAGGCTGGTCTCGAACTTCTGACCTCAGGTGATCTACCTGCCTTGGCCTCCCAAAGTGCTGGGACTACAGGCGTGAGCCACCGCACCCGGCCTAAATGAGATAATATCTATGAAAAAACTAACCCTTTGCATGTGATGAGTGCTGGGAACTGGTAGGCTCTTTGAGGAGTAGGTCCTCCCACCACCCCGCAGACGCCCCTACCCAGCAGAATGCTGGTTTCTGCATGAATGCATTTGTGTGGGGACTCCCGAGACAGCCCCTGAGGGAGCCCTCATTCACCCGGGTGGGGCCCGGCCCTCCCAGAGCCAGTGGGAGGGGGAGGCGCCTTGTTGCACCTGTGATGCCCCCCGTTATGGCTGGGCTGCAGTTGTCACCCTGGCCCTGTGCCTGGGAAGCCAAGGGGAGGCTGAGGGCAGCTAGGGACAGCTCTGTGCCCACGGCCCCCTCCAGCCAGCTGCCAGGCCAGCCCCCTCCCTCCAGCTGGGCGAGGGCAGGAAGTCACAGATGGTCAGGGTTGGTGAGGGGTGAAGCAGAGGGCATTTGGGGACACCGGATGTCTCGTCCAGATGGGGAAACTGAGGCCCGGAGAGGGGCGAGGCATTGCCCCGAGTTGCCCAGGAAGGGCCTTGGCTCTTGTCCCTTCTAAGTCCCATCTTTATTTTTATTTTTTATTTTTTGGAGACGGAGTTTTGCCCTGTCGCCCAGGCTGGAGTACAGTGGCGCGATCTCGGCTCGCTGCAACCTCCGCCTCCTGAGTTCAAGCAATTCTCCCGCCTCAGCCTCCCGAGTAGCTGGGATTACAGGTGCCCGCCACCACACCCAGCTAATTTTTGTATTTTTAGTAGAGATGGAGTTTTACCATGTTGGCCAGGCTGACCTCGTGATCCACCCACCTCGGCCTCCCGAATTGCTGGGATTACAGGTGTGAGCCACCGCGCCCAGACTAAGTCCCATCTTTAGGTCCGCTTGGCTGTTCCACGGCCACCTGGAGGGGAGGTAGGGCCAGCAAGGAGGGACCCTAGGGTCTCAGGGCAGAAGATCTGCCGGAGGAGAGGGAGAAGGGGGTTCTGAGGGGAGGAAGACGCGAGAATCTCAACGCTGAAGTGGTTTCTAGATTCTCCAGGGCATGAGTCCTGAAATCCCCAAGGCCTGAGTTCTAGAATTTCTTCCACTGGGGCCCTGACCACACAGGTGATTCTAGAATTCTCCTAGGTGAGTTCCAGACCCAGGGGTCCAGGAGAAATAGAATGTTGGCTGGGCGTGGTGGCTCACACCTGTAATCCCAGCACTTTGGGAGACCGAGGAGGGCAGATCACTTGAGGTCAGGATTTCAAGACCAGCCTGACCAACATGATGAAACCCGGTCTCTACTAAAAATACAAAAATGAGCCGGGCGTGGTGGCGCGAACCTGTAATCCCAGCTACTCTCAGGAGGCTGAGACAGGAGAATCGCTTAAACCCAGGAGGCAGAGGCTACAGTGAGCTGGGATCGTGCCACTGCACTCCAGCCTGGGCAACAGAGTGAGACTCTGTCTCAAAAAAAAAAAAAAAAAAAAAGAGTTCCAACCACACATATAATTTAACATTTTTCTGGTCCTCACACTTAAGAATGTAAATTTAAGTATACTGGGGAAATTAATTTTAACATTATTTTAAGTAATGTTAATTTTTTTTTTCCTTGAGACAGAGTCTCGCTCTGTCGCCCAGGCTGGAGTGCAGCGGTGCAATCTCGGCTCACTGCAACCTCCACCTCCTGGGTTCAAGCAGTTCTCCTGCCTCAGCCTCCCGAGTAGCTGCCTCAGCTTCCCGAGTAGTAACATTAAAATGTTTAATTTTAACATTACTTTATTTAACCCAGGGCATCTGGAATGATACTATTGCAATCCATAAACAACAGGAAAAATTATTGGTCTATTGGTCGGGTGCAGTGGCTCACGCCTGGAATCCCAGCCCTTTGGGAGGCTGAGGTGGGAGGATCACTTGAGGTCAGGAGTTTGAGACCAGCCTGGCCAACATACTAAGACCTTGTCTCTACAAAAAAATTAAAAAATTAGCCAGGCGTGGTGGCGTGAACCTGCGGTCCCAGCTACTCAGGAGGCTGAGGTGGGAAGATCGCTTGAGCCCAGGAATGTGGGGCTCCAGCGAGCTGTGATTGTGTCACTGCATTCCAGCCTGGGTGACAGAGCAAGACTTCAACTCAAAAAAAAAGTTATCGAGGTATTTTATGATCTTTTCCCCACCCACCCCCCACCCGCTTACACTAAGTCTGAAATTTGGACAGACCACATTTCAAGCACTGGATGTCACACGTGGCCAGGGGCTGCTGTATTGGGCAGGCCGTGCTAAGACATCTGAGTTCCAGAGCAGGGGTTCCCGACCCCCGGGCCACAGACGGGTTCCGTGCCTGGGAGGAACCTGGCCACTCAGCAGGAGTTGAGCTTAGGGCAAGTGACCATTCTCACCTGAGCTCCACCTCCCGTCAGATCAGCGGGCGGCTCTGGGTGCCCCTACGAGCATGAACCCCATGGTGAACTGAACATAGGAGGGATCCAGGTTGCGTGCTCCTTAGGAGAATCTGACTAATGTCTAATGTCTAGTTTCATCCCAGAACCATCTCCCCACTCACCCCGTCCCTGGAAAAATTGTCTTCCATGAAATCGGTCCCTGGGGCCAAGAAGGTTGGAGGCTGCTGTTCCAGAGAATTCGGAAGCAGATCTCCAGTCTCCCAAGTTGGGTTCTCGAAAACGTGAGGGCAGGTTCTAGACCTTCCAAACTGGTTGCTTGAAAATCCAAGGAGGCTGGGCGCGGTGGCTCACACCTGTCATCCCAGCACTTTGGGAAGCCGAGACGGGCGGATCTCCCGAGGTCAGGAGTTCGAGACCAGCCTGGCCAACGTGGTGAAACCCCATCTCTACTAAAAATACAAAAATCAGCCAGGTGTGGTGGTGCACACCTGTAATCCCAGCTACTGGGGAGGCTGAGGCAGGAGAATCACTTCAATCCGGGAGGCAGAGGCTGCAGTCAGCAGAGATCGCACCACTGTACTCCAGCCTGGGCAACAGAGTGAGAATCTAACTCTTTTGCCCAGACTGGAGTTCAGTGGTGCAATCACAGCTCACTGCAGCCTTCAACTCCCAGGTTCAAGTGATCCTCCCACCTTAGCCTCCTAAGTCGCTGGGGCTGGGATTACAGGCGCATACCACCATGGTTGATTTTTTTTTTTTTTTTTTAGTAGAGATGAGGTCTCACTATGTTGCCCAGGCTGGAGTGCTGTGGTGGACTCATAGCTCACTGCAGCCTCAATCTCTCAGGCTCAAGGGATCCTCCTGCTTCAGCCTCCCAGGTAGCTGGCAGTATAGGCGTGCACCACTACGCCTGGCTGATTTTTTATTTTTATTTATTTATTTATTTACTTTTTGAGACGGAGTCTTGCTTTGTCACCCAGGCTGGAGTGCAGTGGCGCAATCTTGGCTCACTGCAACCTCCACCTCCCGGGTTCAAGCGATTCTCCTGCCTCAGCCTCCCGAGTACCTGGGATTACAGGCGCGTGCCACCACACCGGCTAATTTTTGTATTTTTAGTAGAGATGGGATTTCTCCATGTTGGCCAGGCTGGTCTTGAACTCCTGACCTCGGGTCCCAAAGTGCTGGGATGACAGGCATGAACTACCATGCCCGGCCTTATTTTTATTTTTCGTAGACAGGAGGTCTCACTATGTGGCCCATGCTGGGATTTCAGGCTCTTTGAGCTTTCTTCCATATTGGTTAGGGCTGGAGCAGGACTCCACTGTGGCGGGAGGTATTTGGGCGCAAGGAGAGCAGTTGTGAGGACTGGTGGTGACCCCCAGTTACTGTCTGTTGTGCTTTGGATGCTGGGCACGGGAAGCCTGGCTGTAAGTGTGTGTTTCCGGGCCGGGCGCGGCGGCTCACGCCTATAATCCCAGCACTTTGGGAGGCTGAGGTATGCGGATCACGAGGTGAGGAGATCCAGACCATCCTGGCTAACGTGGTGAAACCCCGTCTCTACTAAAAATATGAAAATATTAGCCAGGCGTGGTGGTGGGCGCCTGTAGTCCCAGCTACTCGGGAGGCTGAGAGAGGAGAATGGTGTGGACCTGGGAGGCGGAGCTTGCAGTGAGCTGAGATCGTGCCACTGCACTCCAGCCGGGGCAACAGAGTGAGACTCCGTCTCAAAAAAAAAAAAAAAAAAAAGTGTGTGTTTCCAAGAGGCTGTTATGGGGCCTCGGGCACACCCTCACTGGGTCTGGATCCCAGCCTGTCTACCACCAGGCGTCCCTTCTGGTGAACAGAGCTATGTGAGAACTTCCAACAGGGACACCACGGCCGCTCGTAGCCCAGAGCTTGCAGAGCTTTGTTCAAAGGCAATGGCCCAGGGCCGAGCACGGCGGCTCACACCTGTAATCCCAGCACTTGCAGAGGCCAAGGTGGGTGGATCACCTGAGATCAGGAGTTCGAGACCAGTCTGGCCAACATGGCAAAACCCTATCTCTACTAAACCTACAAAAATTAGCTGGGTGTGGTGGCACATGCTTGTAGTCTCAGCTACTCGGGAGGCTGAGGCAGGAGAATCGCTTGAACCCAGGAGGCAGAGGTTGCGGTGAGCTGAGATCGCGCCATTGCACTCCAGCCTGGTGACAGAGTGAGACTCCATCTCAAACAAACAAACAAACAAAAAAGCAGTGGCCATCATGATCGGTTGTGTCATCTAGTGGGAGGCAGGGGTGTGTCTGCATGCGTGTCTGGGGTGCATTGTGGGGGGATTGCAGGCGTATTGAGGGCTTACCAAGTGCCTGGCTCATCTGAGCCCTCAGGAAACCACATTGTTGGCAGCTACCTCACCGTCTCACAACCACCCGCTGAGGTTGGAATGATCATTAACAGCATTTAACAGATGGGGAAACTGAGGCCTAGAGAGGCAAAGTCACTGGCCTAAGGTCACATAGCTAAGGAGCACAGTCAGGATTTAAATCCAAGCCTGGGAGATCCCAGGACCCACAGTGGGCACCACATAAAGGGGCTGTTTGGGGTATGGCAGGGACTGCCCTGGAACGTTCCGGATCCTGCCTTTGGGCCTACAGGGCTTTGGTGCCGGTGAGCAGGCCGCAGGTTCAGCTGGCTCAAGGAGCAGCTTCAGGGCTGCAGCCAGGCTGGGGGCTGGGCAGGTCTCAAACCCCTGGACCTGGGGAATCAGGGAGGTGTGAGCTGCATCTGAGGTCGGGTGTCTCTGTGACTCTGTCTCTGTCTCTCTACCTCTGATTCTCCCCAGGCTGCCTTGTCTCAGTCCCTGTCTATTCCCACCCCACCTCGCTCTCTCTCCCGGCCTTGCGAGTCTCCTCCCAGCCCCCCATCCCACCCAGTGGGCTGCCCGGAGGTGGCGGCAACGGGGCAGCTGAATGGGCCTCTTGTTCCTGGCCACACCCGCCCCTTGGGGTCACCCTGGGACATGCCCAGGCAGCGTGGCTACCTTAAAGGGCCAGTGCTCAGAAAGAATGTGAGCGGGGGAGGCTGCGTCCACTCCCAAATCCCACACCCTCCCCAAGGTGGACCACTCATGTGTCTGACGGGGGTGGGGAGCTGTGTACCTACACACCCTCGTGGCTTGGGGGAGGCCTGTCTGGAGCAGGAGATGTGATAGGGTTTGGGTTTGACCTTGGATAAATCCCTTCATCTCTCTGTGCCTCAGTTTCCCCATCTAGATCAGGGGGCTCCTTGGTGCCACCCCTGTGGGTTGCTGGGCAGATGGCATATTATCCAGGATTTTGCACACAGTTGACACTCTTCCGGCGCCCACTGTGCATTGATAGAGCACCTGCTGTTTCAGCCCAGCATTCATCCGCCGTGCAGACTTGGCAATTCCTTCTTCACCTTGCTCCGTGCCTCAGTTTCCCCAAATGCAGAATGAGGCGATGGCTGTCTTAGCTTCACAGAGAGCTACGCAAGGATTGAGTCGGTTCGTGGAATTAGAGGGTATTAGGGAGAAGGGCCTGAAACACTGCCAAGTGTCACCTCCACTGGCGCACTTATTGAGCGCCAGCTGCATACCAGGCCTTGCTGAGGAAGCCTCACTGCAGAGGTTGCAGTGAGCTGAGAGGCAAAGGCCACCCAGCCTGGATCTCACTCTGGTGTCATCGCCTCCTCCCTCTGCTCAGGGTTGTGCAGCTTCAGGCTGCTCCCCTGCCCTCTCTGGGCCTCAGTTTCACCTTCAGAGCAACGGGAACAGCCCCATCCTTTCACACACTGGAAACCATCACCTTCTTCTGCCTGGGAGGGGGTTGTGCTGTCTCTGGGAATCCCAGGCATCCCCCAGGCAGGAGTCAACCCAGAGGCCCTCGGACCCGGGCTGTACCCTGTGACAGCTCCGGGTGGCTACGACGCTCCCGTGCTCCAGGCCAGCCCCACAGACAGCCCGGGACAGGTTGCTGCCGGATGGACAAGCCTGTGCCTCGCTGCCTTATGTAACCAGTTTATGCAAGGGCAGCCGGCCCGCTTACATAAGGGGAGGCCGGGCCAGCGCCCAGCTGGGGAGGGGGAGGCTCTTAAAGGGACCGGCGTCCCCCGCGGCTCCCTCCACGGGCACTGGTGCGAATTCATAGGCGAGCTGCGGACTCCGCCCTCAGCAAGGCCGCCATTAATGTCGTTATGATTATTTTTGTGGATGTTGTTTATCATCACTATATTCTTTCCCCAGGGCGGGGGTTCAGCTGAGCGGAGGACCACGCCCAGTGCTTGGGCAGAGGCTTGGGCTGTGACGCTGGCTCTGGGTGTCACCTGGTTAAGTCCCTGTCTCTGAGCCTCAGCCTCCCCTTCTGCACAGTGGGGCAATGCAGGAAGACGTGAGGTCCTGGAGGGTCCTGGCCCTGCTGCCTGTTCACTGTGTGGCCTCAGGCAGGTGGCATCCCCTCTCTGGGCCTCAGTTTCCCCATCTATAAAATAGCGCCTGCTCTGTGGGGTTGCTGAGGGAGAGTCAATAAGACATATTAAGAGTTTACATGCCCGCCAGGCATGGTGGCTCACACCTGTAATCCCAGCGCTTTGAGAGGCTGAGACGGGAGGATCACTTGAGGCCAGGAGTTCAAGACCAGCCTGGGCAACATAGTGAGATGCCCATCTCTACAAAAAATAAAACTTAGCCAGGCATGGTGATGTGTGCCTGTAGCCCCAGCCACTCGAGAGGTCGCGGCAGGAGGATTGCTCAAGTCTGGGAGGTTGAGGCTGCAGTGAGCTGTGATTGGGCCACTGCACTCCAGCCTGGGTGACAGAGCAACACCCTGTCTCAAAAAATAAAAATAGGCCAGGCATGGTGGCTCATGCCTATAATCCCAGCACTTTGGGAAGCCGAGGAAGACAGATCACTTGAGATCAAGAGTTCCAGACCAGCCTGGCCAACAAGGGGAAACCCCGTCTCTACTAAAAATACAAAAATTAGCTGGGCGTGTGGTGGGAGCCTGTAATCCCAGCTACTGGGGAGGCTGAGGCAGAAGAATCACTTGAACCTGGGAGGCGGAGATTGTAGTGAGCCGAGATCGTGCCACTGCACTCTAGCCTGGGTGACAGAGCAAGACTCCATCTCAAAAAATAAATAAGTAAATAAAAATAAAAATAGGCTGGGCACAGTGACTCACACCTCTAATCCCAGCCCTTTGGGAGGCTGAGGCGGGAGGATCGCTTGAGCCCAGGAGTTTGAGACCAGCCTGGGCAACATAGCAAATCTCTGTCTCAAAAATTTTTGAAAACAAAAGAGTTTAGGACAGCACGGAGCACAGACACTGTCAGCACTCATCCAGTGGAACCACTTTGCAGCCAATAAATATTTAGTAAGCTCCTACTGTATGCCAGGCACTGCTCCAGGCGCTGGGATACTGCAGTGAACAGGACAGATAAAAATTCGGCCCTGGCCAGGCACGGTGGCTCACACCTGTAATCCCAGCACTTTGGGAGGCTGAGGTGGGCGGATCATGAGGTCAGGAGATCGAGACCATCCTGGCTAACATGGTGAAACCCCGTCTCTACTAAAAATACAAAAAAAATTAGCCAGGCGTGATGGCAGGTGCCTGTTGTCCCAGATCCTCAGGAGGCTGAGGCAGGAGAATGGTGTGAACCTGGGAGGCGGAGCTTGCAGTGAGCCGAGATCACGCCACTGCACTCCAGCCTGGGTGACAGAGTGAGACTCTGTCTCAGAAAAAAAAAAATTCTGCCCTCGTGGAACTCACAGTTTGGTTCAGGCGATGGGCAAAGAACAAGAAATAAATGTCAGTTTAGGCTTAGTGCGGTGGCTCACGCCTGTCATCCCAGCACTGTGGGGGGCCGAGGCGGGCAGATCACCTGAGGTCAGGAGTTCAAGACCAGCCTGGCCAACATGGTGAAACCCCGTTCCTACTAAAAATACAAAACATTAGCCAGGCATAGCGGTATGCGCCTGTAATCCAGCCACTGGCAGGGGCTGAGGCAGGAGAATCGCTTGAACCCGGAAGGCGGAGGTTGCAGTGAGCCGAGATTGTACCACTACACTCCAGCTGGGGCCACAGAGCGAGACTCCGTCTCAAAAAATAATAATAATAAAAATAAAAAGAAATAAATGTCAGTTTAGCGATAAGGACTATCAAGAAAAATAAAGAAGGCCAAAGGAAAAGAGGCTGATGGGCTGTGCTGGGGAGGTCCCTGAAAGGCTGTCTGAGGACCTGACATTTGAGCTGAGACCTGAGAAGTGAGGAGGAACCAGTTATATGAAGAACTGGGGGAAGGCGTTCCAGGCAGAGGGCACAGCCCGTGCAAAGGCCCTGCGGCAGGACACACCTGGCACTTTGGAGGAACAGTGAGGAGGCCTGTGTGGCTGCAGCAGAGTGAGGAGAGGAAGAGAAGGAGGAGGGGAGGGCAGTTTGTGCAAGGCCTGGTGGGCAGTAGGAAGGACTTGGGCTTTGACCCCAAGGCAGGTGGGAGCCATAGAGGGCTATGGGCAGAGGAGGGACCAGCCCTGACTCAGGTGCTCACAGGCACCCTCTGCCTGCTGCAGGGAGGACAGACTGTGGGGGGTGAGGGCAGGAGCTGGGGACCAGGGCAGAGTGGACCGCCCTGGTGCAAGCAGGCGGTAGCAGGGACAGAGGCAGAGGAGGGGGCAGAATCCAGGTCAACTCCGACGGTGTGAGGATTCAGTTGCTCACCTGGGTCGTTTATACCTTATCTGAGGCTGGCCCTTGCTCTCCTTGCCCCGTCTCCTGCCTGCAAGCCGCACCTGCCTGGGCACATGCAGGGAAGGGAGCGGCGCAGCACTGGGCACGCCTGGGAGCTCTCCTGCAATCAGGACTTTGTTAGCGGGCAAGCTGGGATATGGGTCCTGGTGCCCGGGAGGCCCGTGGGGCTCTGGGCTCCTGCCAGGGTCCCAGCCCTAACCCAGGTACGCCACCCACATGGCAGGGTTATTCTCTTTTTTTTTCTCTTTTTTTAGACAGAGTCTCGCTCTGTCACCCAGGCTGGAGTGCAGTGGTGCGATCTCAGCTCACTACAACCTCTGCCTCACAGGTTTAAGAGATTCTCCTGCCTCAGCCTCCTGAGTAGCTGGGACTACAAGTGTGCACCACCTCACCCAGCTAATTTTTGTGTTTTTAGTAGAGACGGAGTTGCACCATGTTGGCCAGGCTGGTCTCAAACTCCTGAACTCAATTGATCCAACCGCCTCGACCTCCCAAAGTTCTAGGATTACAGGTGTGAACCACCGTACCCAGCCTATTCTCATTTATTTTCTTTCTTATTTTTTTTTCTTTTTTTTGAGACGAAGTCTCACTCTGTCACCCAGGCTGAAGTGCAGTGGCACGATCTCAGCTGACTGCAACCTCCGCCTCCAGGGTTCAAGCAATTCTCCTGCCTCAGCCTCCCAAGTAGCTGGGACTACAGGCATGTGCCACTATAGCCAGCTAATTTTTGTATTTTTAGTAGAGATGGGGCTTTGTCATGTTGACGACCAGGCAAGTCTCGAATGCCTGACCTCAGGTGATCCACCCAGCCTCAGCCTCCCACAGTGCTGGGATTACAGGCTGGAGCCACTGCGCCCAGACGGTCCTTCCTTTTCATGCCTCCTCCTTCCACTCCCCCATGTACCATGTCTCCTTGTCTCTCTTTTTCTCTCTGCTCATCCCTCCCTCTCAACTTTCTTTCTACAAATATTTATTGAGCACCTAGTCTGTATCAGGCCTTATTCTAGCCACTGAGGGCACAACAGAGATCTAGACAGACAAAGCCTCTGCCCTCAAGGAGGTGACATTCCACTGGGGAGATGAGCAAACACCCGTGCAGTCACTAAGCAACTAAGCAAATCCATAGGCAATCACTAACTTCCTCTGAAGGAAAGAAAACAGAAGGCTGAGATTGAGGGTAGCCAGAGGCTGCTTGAGGTGAAGGGGCTCAGCGTAGACCTCTCTGAGAAGGGAGCATTTGAGCTGAGACCAGGAGAGATCTCAAGAGAGAGCAAGCAGTTAGCTGTTTAGACAGAGGGAACAGAATGTGCAAAGGCCCTGAGGCAGGACTGGGCCAGGTGCATTGGAGGAACAGCGAGGAGGCCCCTGTGGCTGGAGCAGAGTGAGTGAGGGGGAGAGAGGGAAGAGGGGAGGGCAGAAAGCGGACAGGACAGGTTGTGCAGGGCCTGTGGTCCTAGTCCTCCACTTTGACTACTCCCCCAAATCTCTTAATGTTCCTCACATTCCTTTCCCTGACAAGCATTTATTTTGCACCTGCTGTATACCAGATCCTATCAGGAGAATCCCAAATATTCATGCAACAAGTTCATATTGGGTGCCTACTGTGTGCCAGGCTCTGCTGGAATAATCACACTCATTTGGCTGCAGGCATTTATTGAGTGCCAGCTGTGTAAAAGCATTTATCGAGCACCACCTGTGTAGCAGGCTCTGGGGAGAGAGGCCACATGAAAGCTTGGGAAGGAGAAAGTTTCCTTCTACCCCCTTTCAGGTTTGTGCCCTCTGGTTTCCAGCCCCCTCCCACATTCAAGGCAACATTTAAACCTCTGGGTTCAAGTTCCGTTGTCCAACTGCGTGGCCGTGAGATCTGCGGCAAGCCCCTTCCTCTCTCGGATCTTCCGTTTCCCCCTTTGTAAAGCAGAACACTCCACAATCTGATGTGTTTACAACTTGACATCTACTTTTTGCAGCAAGGGAAACTGAGGCACAGAGCAGGGCGGAGATGTGTCTACCTCTCCCTCCCCAAGCAAGACTGGCATGGAGTCTATTCTCCTGACCCCACGCCAAAGCCAGGGCGTTTGGTATTTTGTTTTTTCTTGGAGGCCCAGAGAGGGGCAGGGCTTGCCTGAAGCCACACAGCACCGGGCAGGCCTCGGAATTGCGGAGAGCCCTCCCCTGGGCGCCTGCCCGGGCTCCCGCGCCTTCCTCCTGCCTCCTTTGGCTGGGCCGCCAGCCTTGCCTCCCGTCCTCCGGACTCCCCGCGGGCTGCCCAGTTGGAGACGCGCCCCAAGAAATATCAGAAGGAAGGGGAAGCCGGGAGGGGCCTCCGCCTCCTCCCGCCACCCCCCGCCGCGCCCGGCTGCCCCCACCCGGTGCCCGACATTGGCAGAGAGTGTCCTCGGGCGCTTCCGACTGGCCCTGCCTGCTTCGTGTGGCCACTGATCCCTTCCGGAGCCTCTCCATGGGGACGCCCGTGTGTGCGCTCAGCCAGTGGCACATGTGGCTCCCGGGGCTCCCTTCTCCACCCCCCCAGCCCCTGGCCTGCCCCTTTCCCCCCATCCCTTCCCGAACCTCTCCATGGGGACGCGTGCGTGTGCGTTCAGCCCGTGGGCACATGTGGCTCCCAGGGCTCCCCCCGAGGCCTGCCCTTCTCCCCCCCCCGTCACAGCCGCCGAGTCAGGCCTGCCAGGAAGGTGTTGGGGGTGGGGGTGTGGGGAGGCCTCAGCTTGGCTGCTGGGAAGCCAAGAATTTGCTCCAAATGTAAACAGCGAGTTATTTTCAGTCCACTCCCCCCCACCCCGGGTGGCGTTGACACATTTGACATTGGCGGGACCGGGAGGGGGTGGGGGTGAGGGTGTGCGTGCGGGTATTTTTAACCTTGCTCCTCACATCCCTGGAGTGGCTGGTGCCGAGTGGCAGATAATGGGGAGGGGGCGCGGAGGCGTGGGGAGCCCTGGGTGGCCGTGCGCGGGTGGGCGCTTGGCAAGGCCGCCCTGCTGTTGGCACCACGTGTTTAACCCCTCAGAGGCTGCAGAGGGGCTGGGGGAGGCGGCCCAGGGCCCAGTGGTGCCCCAGAGGCTCCCTTGTCACCTTCTCCTGGTGTCCCCCCACCCCCACCCCACCCAGGAGGGCAGGGCCGGGTGCCCGAGGCCGGTGCCAGCCTGCGCCGCCCAGACCTACAAAATGGCCGCCAAGGCCGGAGAAACATCTGGAACAGGGGAAGGGAGAGGCGAGAAAATGGCCGCCAGAGGGATGATGTCATGGGCGGCGTGGCCTCCCAGAGCGTCCCCAGCACGGGGCGAGTCCCTACGCGCAGGCCTCCGAGCAGGGGCCCTGCGGCCTCCAGGGACCTCCAGACCCGCTGCCCAGGCCGGACACCCACAAAGAGTGACACCGGGGTCCCCAGGGGTCCCCAGAGGCGGGCCCGAGACCTGGGGGAGGGCGAGGCCAGCACTGGGCCTCCAGTCCCAACAGCCCGATGCTGGGGACGGTTCCGGGGCGGTGGTGGCCGCTGACCTGACCCGCAGGACACCGAGGCGTCCACCAGCGCCCGGGAGGGCCCGGAGCCAGGCCATGGAGCCGGCGGGGGCCGGGTGGAAAGAAAAAAGAAACTTTTCTTTGAAAGTGATTCCGAAGCAGGTTGGCTCCGGCCCAGGCGGCCCGGCGGCAGGGGAGAGGGAGATGGAAAGTATGGGCCAGACTTAAGGAACGCAGGAAGGACGAGGCCGGGGAGGCCCGGGATGGAGGCCAGCGTCCTGGAGGTCACCCCGTCCACGCCTCTGCCTCTCGGGCCCCCCCAGGTCACATCCAGATTTTCCTCCCTGTCCCTGGGGCGGGCGGGGAGTGCGGAGAACATCTATGGGCTTGTGTTTTTTCCTCTTTTGATTTGTCCAGACAGGCGATGGACAAGGGCTGGGCAGGGGTTTTAGGTCATCTGCACTGTCAGGATGTGGAGGCTCAGAGAGGGAGAGTGCTTTTAGTGAGGTCACACAGCACTGGCAAAACTGACAGCTGCTTCCCTCCTTAGAGCATCTTGGGGAGGAGGAAGTTCTCTATGGAGGATCAGGGTCCGTACTGGAATTCCTTTCTATTTTTATTTAATTTAATTTATTTATTTATTTATTTATTTTTGAGATGGAGTTTCACTCTTGTTGCCTAGGCTGGAGTGCAATGGCACGATCTCGGCTCACTGCAACCTCCACCTCCTGAGTTCAAGCGATTCTCCTGTCTCAGCCTCTTGAGTAACTGGGATTACAGGTGCCTGCCACTACACCCAGCTAATTTTTTTGTATTTTTAGTAGAGACAGGGGTCTCACCATGTTGGCCAGGCTGGTCTCGAACTCCTGACCTCAGGTGATCTGCCTGCCTTGGCCTCCCAAAGTGCTGGGATTATACGTGTGAGCCACCGCGCCCGGCCCCTTTTTCTTTTTCTTTCTTCCTTTCTTTTTTTGAAACAGAGTCCTCCTGCTCTGTCACCCAGGCTGGAGTGCAGTGACTTGATCATGGCTTACTGTAGCCTCAACCTTCTGGGCTCAAGCAATCCTCTCACTTCAGCCTCCTGAGTAGCTGGGACCACAGGCATGTACCACCATGCCCAGCTAAATTTGGGTTTTGTTTGTTTGTTTGAGACAGAGTCTCACTCTGTTGCCCAGGCTGGAGTGCAATGGCACGATTTTGGCTCACTGCAACCTCCACCTCCCAGGTTCAAGCGATTCTCCTGCCTCAGCCTTCCAAGTAGCTGGGATTACAGGCACCCGCCACGATGCCCTGCTAATTTTTTGTGTTTTTAGTAGAGATGGGGTTTTGCCATGTTGCCCAGGCTGGTCTCGAACTTCTGACCTCAAGTGATCCGCCTGCCTTGGCCTCCCATAGTGCTGGGATTACAGGCATGAGCCACCGTGCCCTGCCTATTTTTTTTTTTTTGTAGAAATAGGGTCTCACTATGTTGCTCAAGCTGGTCTCGAACTTCTGACCTCAAGTGATCCTCTTGCCTTGGCTTCCCAAAGTGTTGGGATTACAGCGTGAGCCACTGTGTCCAGCCAATGTCTGTGTGTTTTTCACTGCTCTGTCCCCAGTACCTAGGACAGGGCATGGTACACAGTAGGCGCTCAAGACGTGTGTTGGATAAAAGCATCACAGTTTTCTCCTGAGGCTGGGGTTGGCACAGATGCTGGCACAGGAAGGGGGCAGAGGCTCAGGAAATGCAAAGTAGGTTGCAACGTAACTGGACACACACGGGAACCCTGTGGTCACATTTTTCAGGAGGGATGTGAGGAGGCGAAAACTCAAACTTCCCTCACTTCAAGTGCAGATTCTGTGCCGGGAGCTGTGGACGATAAACCACATTTGAACAGAAGCCTGAATAAAGCGAGAGAGTGAGCCAGGCAGGCATTTGCAGGGACGGTGTTCCAAGCAGTGTGCACAGCCCGTGCAAAGGCCCTGAGGCAGGACCGTGCCTGGTGCATTGGTGGAACAGCCAGGAGGCCTGTGTGGCTGGAGCAGAGTGAGCGAGGGGGAGAGAGGGACGAGGGGAGGAGGGGAGGGAGGGGGCAGAGGCGGGCTGTGCAGGGCCTTGAGCGCCATGGGGAGATGGGGAGAACTTGGACTTTTAGATATTTGGTTTTCTGTTTTTTGTTTTTTGTTTTTGAGGTGGAGTCTCGCTCTGTCGCCCAGGCTGGAGTGCAGTGGTGCGATCTCGGCTCACTGCAAGCTCTGCCTCCCGGGTTCACGCCATTCTCCTGCCTCAGCCTCCCGAGTAGCTGGGACTACAGGCGCCCGCCACCACGCCCGGCTATAGTTTTGTATTTTTAGTAGAGACGGGGTTTCACTGTGTTAGCCAGGATGGTCTCGATCTCCTGACCTCGTGATCCACCCGCCTCGGCCTCCCAAAGTGCTGGGATTACAGGCGTGAGCCACCGCGCCCGGCCCAATTGTTTGGTTTTGTTTTTGCTTTGTTGTTGTTGTTTTTGAGATGGAGTCTCGCTCTGTCACCCAGGCTGGAGTCACTGGTGCAATCTTGGTTCACCGTGCCCTCTGCCTCCCGGGTTCGAGCAATTCTCCTGCCTCAGCCTCCTGAGCATCTGGGATTACAGGCATGCACCACCACGCCTGGCTAATTTTTGTGTTTTTAGCAGAGACGAGGTTTCCGCCATGTTGGTCAGGCTGAGCTGGAACTCCTGACCTTGTGATCTGCTCGCCTTGGCCTCCCAAAGTGCTGGGATTACAGACGTGAGCCACCGCGCCCGGGTGAACTTTCACATATTTGTAGACCCAGACACAGTCCAGGGTGCTGGGGACTAGAACAAACGTTTGCAGAAAGGGCTGGGGAGGGTGTTCCAGAGAAGGAGATGTCAGAGCTGGGCTGCAAAGTATGGCTGGAGGTTTCCTAGGAGGGAGAGGGGCAGGGAAGACGGCACAGCAGGAGCTCAGAGGACTCAGGCCCAGGTCACTCGTATATTCCATTGCCTTCCAGGACAGAGAAAGTTGAACCTTCGCCGGGTAATGTTTAAAAATGGCCGGTGACACCCAGTAGCTGGGAATTCCAGGGCCTGGCTTTGGTTCTCTCTTTAGCTGGCTGAGGTTGGGAGGCGGACGTGGCAGCCGGCAGAGCCAGCAACATTTGGAAGCCGGCTAACGTTGGAAAATCAACCAGGCGAGCTCACGGTGGCGGCCGATGCTGGAAACCTGGGCTCCGTGAGGTCCAGCAGATGCCCTGCTGGGGCCCAAGTGGACATTCTAGGCCTTCTGACAGCCCGCCGGGTTTTTAAATAAGTGTGATTATGGTTTCAGCAAGTCCTGTCCTTCCTACAGCCAAAAGATCAATTCAATATGGCCACTCCGTGCAATGCTGGGCCACCCCTGCTGGGCCAGGGTGTTGTGTTGAAGCCAAGATTCCCAACACCTGAGAGTCCAGAAGTTTCTTTAAAAATTGCTTTAACTGTGGTGAGACACACATCACACACTTTTTTTTTCTTGAGACAGGGTTTCACTCTGTCACCCAGGCTGGAGTGCAGTGGCACTGTCATAGCTCATCGCAGCCTCAAACTCCCAGGCTCAAGCAATCCTCGCACCTCAGCCTCCTGAGCATCTGGGACCACACATGCAGCACGCACCACCACACCCAGCTAATTTTTATTTTATTTTATTTTATTTTTGAGACGGAGTCTCACTCTGTCGCGCCAACTCGGCTCACTACAACCTCCGCCTCCTGGGTTCAAGCAGTTCTCCTGCCTCAGCCTCCCGAGTAGCTGGGACTATAGGCGACCGCCACCACACCTGGCTAATTTTTGTATTTTTAGTAGAGACAAGGTTTCACCATGTTGACCAGGTTGGTCTCGAACTCCTGACCTTGTGATCCCAAAGTGCTGGGATTATAGGCGTGAGCCACCGCCCCTGGCTGACACCCGGCTAATTTTTAAAAATATTTTGTAGAGATGGGGTCTTGCTATGTGGTCCAGGCTGGTCTCGAACTCCTTGCCTCAAGTGATCCTCCCACTTCAGCCTCCCAAAGTGCTGGAATTACAGGTGTGAGCCACTGTGCCCGGCCCAGAGACTTTTGAAAGTCTAAAATGGATTGTATCATAGCTCACATCACTCCTCTTCCCACTGCAGGATAAAACCCAGGCCTCTCACTGCAACACACAAGGCCCCGAATGGTCCCGCTCCCCTCTCCGTTCGTTCCTCTTTCTCTTGCCCACCACGCTGCAGCCTGGGGTCTGTCTCTGCCTTTCACACATCCAACTTCATTCCTGCCCCGTGGACCTTGCCCTTGTCACCGAACCTTTGTGGAACGCTTTCACCCCAGCTCTCCACATGGCTGGGCTCCTTCTCCCGCTGGAGAGCCACCGTCACATCCTCAGAGAGGTTCTGCCTGAGTCCTCCCTCCAACGCCGCCCCCAAAGCCATTCTGCCTTCCGCCAGTTTCATTGCCTCCGTAGAACCTAGAACCGTGTGAAATGATCTGAGGCTTCCTCCATGCACTGGTTCTGCCCGTCTCCCTCCCCACTTCCTTCTCTGCCATCCCCCCAAGGCCTGGCGAGTAGTAGGTGGTCAGTAAACACCTGTTCCGTGAGTGCCGGGTGTGCGTTGACCTCCCAGTCACCAACGGCGGAAGCTTCAGCCAGCGGACGCAGGGAGTTGTCCCTTGCAAAGGGGGTGGGTGCTCCCGGGCGGGAAGGGTGGGGCCAGAGCCCACGGCGATGCCTTTGTCATGAGCTAGGATGGACTGAATTTGGGCTCACAGCCACGGACAGGAGAGAACAGTGTGTCCGCCCCGTCAGTGCCATCCAGCGTGCGTGGCTGTTGTGCATCATTTGTTTGCTTGAGCAAAGGCTACAGGGTCCAGTGACATTCTTGGCAGTCCATGACACCTCACAGACCTGGGAAGTCAAGAGACCTGGCTCCCGGCCAGATGAGGGTATCATTTGAAATACAATTTGCTGGCCGGCTGCGGTGGCTCGCACCTGTGTTTCCCCTACTTTGGGAGACAGAGGTGGGAGGATTGCTTGAGCCCAGGAGTTTGAGTCCAGCCTGGGCAACATAGCGAGACTGCGTCTCTACTTTTTTTTTTTCCTGAGACGGAGTCTCGCTCCTTTGCACAGGCTGGAGTGCAGTGGTTCGATCTCGGCTCACTGCAAGCTCCGCCTCCCGGGTTCACGCCATTCTCCTGCCTCAGCCTCCCGAGTAGCTGGGACTACAGGCGCCTGCCACCACGCCCGGCTTTTTTTTTGTATTTTTAATAGAGACGGGGTTTTACCGTGTTAGCTAGGAGAACAACAATTTGCTTTCCAGAACCAGAGCCTCTCAACACTAGCATGTGTGTGGTCATCCATGCTAAATGGTGCTGAAAGAGGCATTTGTGTCTCTCTGAGAAGGAGCTATTTGAGGAAAGTCCTGAATGAGGGGAGAGAATGAGCCATGTAGATAGCTGAGGGAACAGTGTTCCAGGCAGAGGCGCAGCCCGTGCAAAGGCCCTGAGGCAGGACCATGCCTGGTGTGTTGGAGGAACAGCGAGGAGGCCCCCGTGGCTAGAGCAGAGTGAGGAAGGGGAGACAGGAAGGAGGGGAGGGCAGGGAGGGGACTGATCGGGCCATGCAGGGCCTTGTGGGCCACGGGAAGAAGGTGGGCTTTTCCCCGCAAAGAAGGTGGGAGCTATGGAGGGCTGCGGGCAGAGGAGGGGTAATGTTCATTTAACTCCTGGAGTTTGACAAAATGCTATCATCAAAACAGACTTTATCACAGAACCTCTAGCTATCCCCGTCCCCTCCGTAAGCTCCTCTGAGCATAGCAACAGAACGGGAAGGTAAGGCAGCGATTGGAAACGCCCGCGTTATAGATGAGCGGAGAGCCGCTGGAGGTTGGAGGCTCCGACAGAGGAGGTGACTGGTCCAGAGCCACATGGCCAGGTTGTGCTGGGGCTGGAACTCCATCGAACGCAGGTTTCAGGGTGCAGCCCTTGTTTCCATAAGATACCCCAAAATCAGACAAGCCTGGGACTTGCCACCTCTTCTTTAAAAACCCCAGTGCTGTTTTTGTTGTTTTTTTTGAGATAGGGTCTCCCTCTGTTGCCCAGGCTGGAGTGCAGTGGCTCAATCATAGCTCACCCACTGCAGCCTTGACCTCCTGGGCTCAAGCAGTCCTCCTGCCTCAGCCTCTTGAGTAGCTGATACTACAGGTGTGCATCACCACAGCCAGGTAACTTTTTTTTTTAAAGTAGAGATGGGGTGGGGTATCCTGTATTGCCCAGGCTTGTCTCAAACTCCTGAGCTCAAGTAATCCTCCCTCCTTGACCTTCCAAAGTGCAGGAATTATAGGTGTGAGCCACCATGCCCAGCCCTCCAGTGCTTTTTTTTTTTTTTTTTGAGACGGAGTCTTGCTCTGTTGCCCAGGCTAGAGTGCAGTGGCACGATCTCGGTTCACTGCAACCTCTGTCTCCCGGGTTCAAGCAATTCTCCTTCCTCAGCCTACCGAGTAGCTGGGACTACAGGCACACACCACCATGCCCGGCTAATTTTTGTATTTTTAGTAGAGACCAGGTTTCACCGTGTCGGTCAGGCTGGTCTCGAACTCCTGACCTCCAGTGATCTGCCCTCCTTGGCCTCTGGGGATTACAGGTGTGAGCCACCACTCCCGGCCCTCCAGTGCATTTTAAAGGCTCTGAAAAGTCCTACGTTGTCCTGAAAACTCCTCAGTGATGCTGAACCTTTTTGACCTGTGAACCCCAGGTTTGGGTAAAGTCTGCTCACATCCGGCGGCACACCCATAGGAAACCCCCAGCCCGGCTGTGAGGAGTGTGAACTTTGATTCACCAGGTCCTTGGCCCAGCTTTAGTTTCTCCCGTGTCCGTGTTTGCTTGTGCAATCATGAATATATATTGACCAGCACCAGGTGCCACATTGAACAGTTTGTCCGCGCCGTCAGTGCCATCCGGCATGCACGGCTGTTGTACATCATGTCTTTGCACTGGACTGAGCTCAGCTGCAGAAAGCAGCACATTTCAGAGGGTGTCTACCGGGCCAGGAGAAAACACACAAACCGCCAACATTTTAAAGCCTGTAATCGACATCGTATACAATTGGAAAAGATGTTCATTTATATGTTTTGTTTTTGTTTTCTTAAGACAGGGTCTCAGTCTGTCACCCAGGCTGGAATGCAGTGGTGCGATCATAGCTCACTGCAGCCTGGAGCTCCTGGGCTCAGACGATCCACCCACCTCAGCCCCCAGAGTAGCTGGGACTGCAGGCACAGGCCACCACGCTGGGCTAATTTTTAGATTTTTGTAGAGATGGGGTCTTGCTCTGTTGCCCAGGCTGGAGTGCAGTGGTGTGATCTTAGCTCACTGCAGACTCAAACTCCTGGATTCAAGCCATCCCCACCTCAGCCTCCCAAGTAGCTGCGACTACAGGATGTGCCACCATGCCCAGCTAATTTATTTTTATTTTTATTTTTGCTAGAGAGAGTGTCTCCTTATGTTGACCAGGCTGGTCTTGAACTCCTGACCTCAAGCAATCCTCCTGCCAAGGCAATCCTCTCAAAATGCAGGGATTACAGGTGTGAGCCACTGTGCCCAGCCTGTTCATACGTTTTAAAGAGAGGTGCAGACAAAACTGGGTTGGTGCATCCACATCCCTCTCTGTGTGATGCTGGGTAATTTGCTTACCCTCTCTGGGTATCCTGGAGATTGTCAGCCCCAGCCAAGGATGGTTAAAAGGCATTAAACAATACCTAGGACAGAGCCTGACATCTGGAGCTCATTAAACCATCCGTACATGCAGATGTCGTTATAATTATTATCAATGCTATTCTGTCACTCCACACCCTGACTCCCACCTCAGTGGCCCCAGGTGGGGGTGCTCTGAAATTTCTCTGGCCTGGCTGAGCGGGAGGGGCCGGGGTTCTGCTGGAATAAAGAACAGAGGAGGAAGCCTTGAAGGATTTGTTCTGTCCCAGCTGTCCCCAGTATCACAGTTAGCCACACGGATGGCAGAAGGGACCTTTGACAGTGGACACAGGGGCTGGAAGGGCCCAGCCTGGGGCTCACTGCAATCTCCGCCTTCCAGATTCAAATGATCCTCCTACCTCAGCCTTCCGAGTAGCTGGGATTACAGGTGTGTGCCACCACACCCGGCTAATTTTTGTATTTTTAGTAGAGATGGGGTTTCACCGTGTTAGCCAGGCTGGTCTTGAACTCCCGACCTCAGGTGATCTACTCACCTCAGCCTCCTAAAGTGCTGGAATTACAGGCATGAGTCACCGTGCCTGGCCTTGGGGCTTTATCTGACTGGCTAGAGAATGGGATTCAAACACCAGGAATCATCCCAAACCGCCAATGAGAAGGAGCCCTGGAGTGAGGGGAACCGAGACCCCTCCTAAAAGGATTTACAGGGTGTCACAGAATCAAAATTACAGCAAAGGCTCAACTGTGAGATGCCAGGGTGGCTGATCATTGATTCTAGACCCATCACTACCAGCTGGTGTTCTGTGAGTTTGAAGCCATTGCTGTCTAGCTTTGTGCCTCAGTTTCCCCAGCTGGCGATTACCGTCCCCCATATGGGGACGGTAATCACGTGTCTGCTGCAGAGGAGTTACAAAGATTTGTGAGGCAATGGAGGCAACATTTGCAGCCGAACCTAGTCAAAGGAATTACTCACTGCGCATTAATTTGTTGTTTTTTGAGATGGAGTCTCGCTCTGTCTCCCAGGCTGGAGTACAATGGCGCGATCTTGGCTCACTGCAGCCATCCCCCGGGTTCAAGCAATTCTCCCGTCTCAGCCTCCGGAGCAGCTGGGATTACAGGCACGCACCACCACGCCAGGCTAGTTTTTGTATTTTTAGTAGAGACAGGGTTTCGCTATGTTGGCCAGGCTGGTCTCAAACTCCAGGCCTCAGGTGATCCTCCCACCTCAGCCTCCCAACCTCCCTAGCATTTCAACGACCTGAAGTGACCCTCTTGATTTATTTTCTGACTTGTTCATTTCCTGTCACGTTCCCATTAGAACATCAGTGCCTCGAGAGGAGGGATTCTTGTCTGTCTCTGTTGCCGCTGTGTCCCTTGGGCGTCTGGCATCCGGGTGGCTCTCTGCAATCTGTTTGCTGAGTGATCAAAGGAAAGAACTAATGGCAACATAGTGCAGCTCCAATGTACAGATGAAGAAATCCAGGCTCAGAGATGTGGAAGTACTTGCCCAGGGCCACACAGCCGGAAGCCCGCCAACTCTTTTAGTAAAGGGCCAGTGACACTGTAAACATTTTAGGCTTTTAGGCAGGTCACATGCAGTCTCTGTTGCCTATTTTTTCTTTTGTTTACGACCCTTTAAAAATGGAAAAGACAGGCCGGGCGCGGTGGCTCACGATTGTAATCCCAGCACTTTGGGAGTCCGAGGCGGACGGATCACGAGGTCAAGAGTTCGAGACCAGCCTGACCAACATGGCAAAACCCTGTCTCTACTAAAAATACAAAAATTAGCTGGGCGTGGTGGCACGTGCCTGTAGTCCCAGCTACTCTGGAGGCTGAGGCAGGAGAATCACTTGAACCCGGGAGGTGGAGGTTGCAGTGAGCCGAGATCACGTCACCGCACTCCAGTCTGGGAGACGGGGCGAGACTGCATCTAAAATAAAATAAAATAAAATAAAATAAAATAAAATAAAATAAAATAAAATAAAATAAGGAAAAGACCATACTTAGCTGACTGTGCAAGAATAGGCAACCCCTTCTAGTTTGCTCATCTAATGTCAGAACCCACGAACTGATTCCAAAACCCTCCACAGAGAATCTAAAATGCTGCAAACCCCGACTCTGTGATGCTGGGGATCTAAAGTGCTTAGTTTGTTTTTTTGTTTTTTTGTTTTTTGTTTTTTTGTTTTTGTGTTTTTTGAGACAGAGGCTCGCTCTGTGGCCCAGGCTGGAGTGCAATGGCATGATCTCGGCTCACTGTAACCTCTGCCTCCTGGGTTCAAGCGATTCTCCTGCCTCAACCTCCCAAGTAGCTGGGATTACAGGTGCCTGCCGCCACACCCGGCTAATTTTTGTATTTTTGGTAGAGACGGGGTTTCTCCATGTTGGCCAGGCTGGTCTGGAAATGCTGATCTCATGTGATCCAACCGCCTCAGGCTCCCAAAGTGCTAGGATTACAGGTGTGAGCCACCGTGCCCTGCCAAGTGCTTGGTTCTTTAGTCTGGAGTGCAGTGGTACGATCTCGGCTCACTGCAGCCTCCACCTGCCAGGTTCAAACAATTCTCCTGCCTCAGCCTCCTGAGTAGCTAGGACTATGGGTGCATGCCAGCACACCCAGCTAATTTTTTTTTTTTGGTACTTTTAGTAGAGATGGGGTTTCACCATATTGTCCAGGCTGGTCCCAAACCCCTGACCTCAAGTAATCCTCCTGCCTCGGCCTCCCAGAGTGCTAGGATTACAGGTGTGAGCTCTACTGCGCCCGGCCAAGTGCTTGGTTCTTTCTCGACTCAATCCTATTTTGTTCTACACAGGTCAGGTCTGCCTCCACTCCCCCAACCCCATGCCCCATTTCACCCATTGGCCTCTGAAGCCCAGAGATGGGCAGGGGTTTGTCTGAGACCACACAGCAAGAGGGGCAGCAGAGGAGGATGGGAACCCAGATCTGCTTCCCTCCCAGGCTACACCCCTGTAGCCCCCCAACCCCTGCAAACTTGTTATTTAAGCCTCCTCATTACAGGGGTTTGGAGCCGAGGAAGCCCTGCTGCCTTTTCGTAAATGCTCTCCCTAGACAGCAATCTTTGATGGAGGCTCTGGGAGAAGTTGTTCAGTGATGTGCATTTGTCGAGCACCTACTGTATACCTGGTGCCAGTATAGGGTTGGGTGGAAGGGTCTTGTCCACTCAACACCCCTTTTTCTGCCCTATTATTGCCTTCCCTGGCCAGGCGAGGTGACTGACACCTGTAATCCCAGCACTTTGGATGGCTGAGGCAGGAGGAGCGCTTCAGCCCTGGAGTTTGAGTTCAGCCTGGCCAACATAGTGAGACCTCATCTCTACAAAAAAATGTTTGTTAAAAATTAGCCAGATGTAGGGCCACAAGCCTGTAGCCCCGGCTACTTGGGAAAAGAAGGCAAGAGAATCACTTGAGCCCAGGAGGTCGAGCCTGCAGTGAGCTATGATGACACCACTGTCCTCCATCCCGGGCCACAGAGTGAGGCCCTGTCTCAAAAAAAAAAAAAAAATCAAGACCATGATTGCCCCCCCATAAAGAGCCCTTTTAAACATTTTTTCCCTAATCACTCTCCTGTGAAATTTTAATAGCATAGGTATATTTTATATACCTATATATATTAAAAATGTACCTGTGCCATCAAATATATATAATATATATTATACATAGGTATATAAAGTATAACTATATGTCATATAGATAGGTATATAAAATGTACCTATATGGCCTGTAGGTATATAAAATATGCCATATAGGTATATAAAATATACTTACGCCATTAAATATATATTTAATATACAAATATATTTGTTTTTTTCTATACTGTAACAACATATGTCTGTACATTATTATTATTATTATTATTATTTTTGAGACAGAGTTTCACTCTTGTTGCCCAGGCTAGAATGCAATGGCGTGATCTCGGCTCACTGCAACCTCCGCCTCCCGGGTTCAAGAAGCAATTTTCCTGCGTCAGCCTCCTGAGTAGCTGGGATTACAGGCATGTGCCACCGTGCCCGGCTAATTTTGTATTTTTAGTAGAGACGGGGTTTCTCCATGTTGGTCAGGCTGCTCTCGAACTCCTGACCTCAGGTGATCCACCGCCTCGGCCTCCCAAAGCACTGGGATTACAGGCGTGAGCCACCGTGCCCATCCTACATTTTTTTAAAAACACAAAATTCTGGCCAGACATGGTGGCTCACGCCTGTAATCCCAGTGCTTTTTTTTTTTTTTTGAGATGGAGTCTCGCTCCGTCGCCCAGGCTGGAGTGCAGTGGCGCGATCTCGGCTCACTGCAAGCTCCGCCTGCCGGGTTCACGCCATTCTCCTGCCTCAGCCTCCGGAGCAGCTGGGACTACAGGCGCCCGCCACCAGGCCCAGCTAATTTTTTTTGTATTTTTAGTAGAGATGGGGTTTCACCATGTTAGCCAGGATGGTCTCGATCTCCTGACCTCGTGATCCGCCCGCCTTGGCCTCCCAAAGTGCTGGGATTACAGGCGTGTGCCACCACGCCTGGCCTAATCCCAGTGCTTTTGGAGGCCTAGGCAGGAGGGTCACTTGAGCCCAGGAGTTAGAGACCGGCCTGGGCAATATAGTGAGACCCCCATCTCAAAGCAGAACAACAGCAGAACTTCTGAGCTAGACAGACAACTTTGCTTTGAATCTGACACCAGCTTTGGGAAATACGCTGTGCGCACTGGGCCTTGGTTGACCAACCTTACAAATTGAGCAGATTTAATCAGATGGGGTCAGGAAGTGCTAATTCAGCACAGTAAAAACTCAGCAGATGGAAGCTGCCCACTGGGGTCTGGGGAATCTTGGGGCTGTGGAAGTTAGCCAGCCTTCGACATTATGCACTTTGTACACATCTGCTCAGACCGAAAGAAGGTCCATTTTAAGGCTGGGTGTGTACTAAGTAGGTGGAGGAGGAGGAATTATCTGTGCCTCTTTTTCTTTTCTTTTTTTTTTTTTTTTTTTGAGATGGAGTCTCGCTCTGTCGCCCAGGCTGGAGTGCAGTGGCGCAATCTCGGCTCACTGCAACCTCTGCCTCCCGGGTTCACGCCATTCTCCTGCCTCAGCCTCCCGAGTAGCTGGGACTACAGGCGCCCGTCACCACGCCCGGCTAATTTTTTTTTTTTTTTGTATTTTTTTTTAGTAGAGATGGGGTTTCACCATGTTAGCCAGGATGGTCTCGATCTCCTGACCTCATGATCCGCCCGCCTCGGCCTGTCAGAGTGCTGGGATTACAGGCGTGATCCACCGTGCCCGGCCACCTCTGGAAGCAGCCAGGGCCACACAGTGCACTAGAATATTCCTCGCTGATGGCAGAATATTCTGTGCTGTCCAACTTGGTCACCACCAGCCACGTGTGGCTCTTTGGTGCTTGAAATGTGATTTGTTCAACTGAGCAACTTAAAATTTAATTTTCTTTTCTTTTTTTTTTTTTTTTTGAGACATAGTCTCGCTCTGTCACCCAAGCTGGAGTGCGGTGACTCCATCATAACTCACTGCAACCTCCACCTCCCAGGCTTAAGCAGTCCTCCCACCTCAGCTCCCCGAGTAGCTGGAACTACAGGCATGCCACTACACCCAGCTAACTTTTGTATTTTTTGTAGAGACGGGGTCTCGCCATGGTGCCCAGTCTGGTCTGGAACTCCTGGGCTCAAGTGATCCTCCTGCCTTGGCTTTCCAAAGTACCGAGATTACAGGCATGTGCCACCACGCCCCGCCTAATTTTATTTCAGCGTAGCTAACTTAAATGTAAAAAGTCATATGTGGCTGTGACCCTTGTACTGATGGCTGTAGAACGTGAGGAGTTTTCAGGAGCCAAATGATGGAAGAATGGTCAGCAGGTGGTTGAGAACTATTCCCAGGTTTTAGAGATGATTTAAAATGAGACGGCTGGCCGGGCGTGGTGGCTCACACCTGTAATCCCAGCACTTTGGGAGGCCGAGGCAGGAGGATCACTTGACGTCAGGAATTCAAGACCGGCCTGGCTAACATGGCAAAATCCTGTCTCTACTAAAAATGCAAAAATTAGCCAGGTGTGGTGGCAGGAGCCTGTAGTCCCAGCTACTCAGGAGGCTGAGGCAGAAGATTTGGTTGAAACCAAGAGACGGAAGTTGCAGTGAGCCGAGATTGTGCCACTGCACTCCAGCCTGGGCAACACGGCAAGATTCCATCTAAATAAATAAATACATAAATACATAAGATGAGGCAGCCAAATAAAAAGGAAGGAGATTCTGACCAGGCTACTCACATGGGTGAACCTTAAGGACATTAAGCTCAATTGAGAAAAGCCGGACACAGAAGGACAAATACTGCAAGTCCACTCCTAGGAGGTCCCTAGAGTCGTCAGATTCATAGAGACAGAAAGTAGGTTGGCGGGGTCAGGGGGTGTCGGAGGCTGGGGAGGGGACGGGGAGTGAGTGTTTCATGGGGACAGAGTTTCAGTTTGGGAAGAGTAGAAAGTTCTGGAGAGGATGGTGGCGATGGCTGCATGGCCATTGGAATGTATTTAATGTCCCTAAAGCTGTGCATGGAAAGTTGGTTCAAATGGTAAATATTATGCATATTTTACCACAATAAGAAATTAAATTAAAAATTAAAATGAGATGGCATAGATTTATAGCATATTATTTTTAAAACTAAACTAATTTTGGCCAGGCATGGTGGTGCTCACCCATGGTTCCAATTACTCGACAGTCTGAGGTGGGGGGATTGCTGGAGCCCAGGAGGTCCAGGCTGCAGTGAGCCATGATTGTGCCACTGCACTGCAGCCTGGGTGACAGAGCAAGACCCTGTCTCAAAAACAAAATTAGGCCGAGCACAGTGGCTCACACCTGTAATCCCAGCACTTTGGGAGGCTGAGGCACGCGGATCACTTGAGGTCAGAAGTTTGAGACCAGCCTGGCCAACTTGGTGAAACCCCATCTCTACTAAAAATACAAAAATTAGCTGGGCTAATTAAAATTAGATTAGAAAATTAGATTACAGGTGGCACACACCTGTAATCTCAGCTACTTAGGAGGCTCAGGCAGGAGAATCACTTGAACCCGGGAGGCAGAGGCTGCAGTGAGCTGAGATCGCACCATTGCACTCCAGCCTGGGCGACACAGCGATACTCTGTTCCAAAAAAAAAAAAAAATTTAATTTAATTAAAAAACACATAAATTCCTAGGACTATAGGAAAAGAAGAAAACTTCCTTAACCCAAGAAAGGGAACTACAAAACCCCACAGCTAACCCCGTACTTAGTGGTGAGAGGCTGGATGTTTTCTCCCGAGATCAGGAACAAGACAAGGACACCACTTTCCCCATTTCTATTGAACATTGTACTGGAAGTTCTGCCAGACCAATAAGGCAAGAAAAGAGGCTGGACGTGGTAGCTCACACCTGTAATCCCAGCACTTTGAGAGACCAAAGAGAGTGGATCGCTTGAGCCCAGGAGTTCCAGACCAGCTAGGGCAGCATCGCGAAAACCCGTATCTACAAATAATACAAAAATTAGCCAGATGTGGTGGCGTGTACCTGGGGCCCCAGCTACTTGGGAAGCTCAGATAGGAGGATGGCTTGAGCTCAGGAGTTCAAGACTGCAGTGAGCCGTGATTGTGCCACCTTACTCCAGCCTAGGTGACAGAGCAAGATCCTGTCTCAAAAACGAAGAAGAGAAAGAGATCAGCCTGGCTATCATGGTGAAACCCTATCTCTACTAAAAATACAACAAAAATTAGCTGGGCGTGTGGGCGTGGTGGCACGTGCCTGTAATCCCAGCTACTTGGGAGGCTGGGAATTGCTTGAGCCCGGGAGGCGGAGATTGCAATGAGCTGGATCGTGCCACCGCACTCCAGTCCTGGCAACAAGAGAACAAGAGCGAGATTCCATCTCAAAAAAATAAATAAATAAATAAATAAATAAATAAAAGATACAAAATAACACCATCAAAGACAGTACCAATAGCGATATTAATCAAATAGCAATAGTAGTGAAGCTGCCCTCTGCCTGGTGAAGCACTCACTATGGCAGCCATGGTTCTGGGAGTTTTATTAATAATTCATTCATCACCTTTTTTTTTTTGAGATGGAGTCACTCTGTCGCCCAGACTAGAGTGCAATTGGCCCGATCTGGGCTCACTGCAAAATCCGCCTCCCGAGTTCAAGAGATTCTCCTGCCTCAGCCTCCCAAGTAGCTGGGATTACAGGTGCCCACCACCACGCCCAGCTAATTTTTGTATTTTTAGTGGAGACGGGGTTTCACCATGTGGGGCAGAATGGTCTTGAACTCCTGACCTTAGGTGATCCACCCACGTTGGCCTCCCATAGTGCTGGGAATACAGGCGTGAGCCACCGCGCCCAGCCAATGTTTCATTCATTACCATCTTGTCCCTCATAAACAGCTTCCAAGAGGGGGTGCTATAGTTGTGTCCATTTCACAGATGAGAAGAGTGAGGCGCGGATGCATCCGAGGCCCCGCTCCCTGGCTGCCCGATTCGCAAGCTCATGCTGGGAGCCACCGTGGGGCCTGACACTTAGTAGGTGCCCAAGAAACATTCTCCCTTCCCAGGGAAACACCCGGATGCCAGCTGGGCACTGCGGCCTGCTGAGACGCCAGCTGGGCACTGCAGCCTGCTGAGTCTGTGTGGGCTCTGGTTCCGGAAGAGGGTCCTGTGCCCACGGCCTGGCGCCCGGACGGCCGGCTGCCCAGGCTGGGTCCTTCCCAACGTCATGGCCACCGGTGCCCAGCCTTGAGACAGTCCAAAGGGAACTGGCCAGCTCCGAGGGGCCGCTGGCAGCCCCAGCCTGGGATCGGCTGCAGGGCTTGGGGCCGAGCTGGGCACACTCCCCTCGGCTGCTGTCCAGCCCAGATGGCCACGGCCGGGGCAGCCTAGCTGGAGGAAGGGCTTCTCTCGTCTGCTCCTCTGTTTCCTGACGAGGAAACTGAGGCACCGGGCCCTGCTCCTGTGCTGTTCATGGCATCCTTGGTCTTGGCAATCAGTGGGTGCTGGACACACGGTGTGTGCATAGCCATTAGCACGGCGCCAGGCTAACTCCAGAGGCTCCGTGCGCTAGGAAATATCATTGCTTTGATCATTCTCACAGCAACCCTGAGAATGGTCTCCATTTATTTTTTTAAAACAAGGTCTTGCTCTGTCACTCAGGCTGGAGTGCAGTGGCATGATCACAGCTCACTGCACCCTTGACCTCCCAGGCTCAAGTGATCCTCCTGAGTAGCTGGGACTACAGGTGCCTGCTACCATGCCTGGCTAATTTTTTTTTCTTTTTTGTTGAGATGGAGTTTTGCTCTTGTTGCCCAGGCTGGAGTGCAATAATGGCGCGATCTTGGCTCACCGCAACCTCCGCCTCCGGGGTTCGAGCGATTCTCCTGCCTCAGCCTCCCGAGTAGCTGGGATTACAGGCATGCACCACCATGCCCGGCTAATTTTGTATTTTTGGTAGAGATGGGGTTTCACCATGTTGATCAGGCTGGTCTCAAACTCCTGAGCTCAAAGTGATCTGCCCGCCTCGGCCTCCCAAAGTGCTGGGATTACAGGAGTGAGCCACTGCACCTGGACTGTTTTTTTGTATTTTTTGTAAAAACGGGGTCTCACTATGTTGCCCTGGCTGGTCTCGAACTCCTGGCCTCAAGCGATCCTCCCGCTTCGGCCTCCCAAAGTGCTGAGATTACAGGCGTGAGCCACTGTGCCACTGCCCCTGGCTTAATCATCATCTCATTTTGCGGATGAAGAAACTCAGGCCTTGAAAGGAAAGTGAGGCCGGGCGCGGTGGCTCACGCCTGTAATCCCAGCACTTTGGGAGGCCGAGGCGGGCGGATCACCAGGTCAGGAGATCGAGACCATCCTGGCTAACACGGTGAAACCCCGTCTCTATTAAAAATTCAAAAAATTAGCCGGGCGTGGTGGCGGGTGCCTGTAGTCCCAGCTACTCAGGAGACTGAGGCAGGAGAATGGCGTGAACCCAGGAGACGGAGCTTGCAGTGAGCCGAGATCATGCCACTGCACTCCAGCCTGGGCGACAGAGCGAGACTCTGTCTCAAAAAAAAAAGGAAAGTGACCTTCTCAGGAGCACAAAGACCCGGGGGGTCTTGGAGACAGTACTTGGCTCAGGTGTCTGATCCCAGCACAAAACTGTAGATAAAATAACCCTGGTGAAAAAGCCCATCACAGGGCCTGGGAGGGAGAACATTGCTCGTGGTTCTGACCCGCAGCTTTCCTTGTTTATGAAATGGATACAGCCAGGCATGGTGGCTCACGCTTGGCATCCCAGCACTTTGGGAGGCCGAGGCGGGCGGATCACCTGAGGTCAGGAGTTCGAGACCAGCCTGACCAACATGGTGAAACTCCCGTCTCTACTAAAAATACAAAAATTAGCCAGGCGTGATGACGCGCGCCTGTAATCTCAGCTACTCTGGAGGCTGAAGCGGGAGAATCACTTGAACCCGAGAGGTGGAGGTTACAGCAAGCCGCGATCGCACCACTGCATTCCAGCCTGGGAGACAGAGTGAGACCCTGTCTCAAAAAAATAAAAATAAATAAATAAAATAGAAGAAAGTAATAATGGGGCGGACTCTCGTGATTGAGGTCTCCAAATGCCCTCAAGTGCTTCAGGAGTATCCTCTCCTCACTGCCTCCCAGCTCTGCTAAGGCCTGGGCAGTGTTTGTGCCCACGTGGAAGATGAGAAACAGGCTCAGGACAGTTAGGCGACTTGCCTGAGGTCACACAGCGATCGCGTCCTGGCCTTGGGGTCTGGCGGGTGGGCAGGAGGGGCGTGATTCTCTTCCTGCGGCTTTCGACGTTGGTTGCTGCCACCTTCGTCTTTGACCTGGGTGATCCATGGGTGGGGCTGGGGAGGGGCGTCTGCCTGGCTGGGCTTGTCCACCTGCCCCCCAACTTCAGCCCTCCGTGGAGGGGTCAGGGCTCCAGAGGGGGCGGATGTGACTCGTCCTGCATCCAGGCTGCCAGAGCCGATAACGCTGAGCTCAGCGTCTGTCTGCCTGCGCGTCTGCCAAGGAACCTAATTATTTTTAGATAAGATGGAGGGGCGGGCGCCGGGGCAGAGGGAGCACCCAAGCTGGGCGGGCAGTGGGGTCGTCGCCATCAGAGAGACCACCCCTCAGCCTCCTCTCTCTGGGGTCCCTGAACGGCAACCCAGGACTAACAGCCGGGTCCCTGGGACTACAGGGGCAGAGGCTGAGGCTAAGGGACGTGACGTCTCCAGGACTCACCTCTCTGGTCCTCAGTTTCCCCATCTGTAAAACGGACATAGTGATAGACCTCCTGCATAGGGCTAAGGCGGGGCTGAATGACTGAACCTCATTTTATTTTATTTATTTTGTTTTATTTATTTTATTTTATTTATTTTGAGACGGAGCCTTGCTCTTGTCGCCCAGACTGGAGTGCAGAGGCATGATCTCCACTTGCTGCAACCTCTGCCTCCCGGGTTCAAGCGATTCTCCTGACTCAGCCTCCTGAGTAGCTGGGATTCCAGGAGCGTGCCACCATGCCCGGCTAATTTTTATATTTTTAGTAGAGACGGGGTTTTGCCATGTTAGCCAGGCTGGTCTTCAACTCCTGACCTCAAGTGATTTTCCTGCCTTGGCCTCCCAAAGTGCTGGGATTACAGGTGTGAGCCACCGTGCCTGGCCGTTTTGTTTTATTTTTTTGTTGTTGCTTAATTTCATTTTCTGAGATGGGGACTTGCTATGTTGCTCAGGCTGGCCTCCAACTCCAGTCGCCCAGACTGGACTGCAGTGGTGCAATCCTGGCTCACTGCAACCTCCGCCTCCGAGGCTAAAGCGATTCTCCTGTCTCAGTCTCCCAAGTAGCTGGGATTACAGGTACGCATCACCACACCTGGCTAGTTTTTGTACTTTTAGTAGAGATGGGGTTTCACCATGTTGGCCAGTCTGGTCTCAAACTCCTGACCCTGACCTCAGGTGATCTGCCTCCCTTGGCCTCCCAAAGTGCTAGGATTACAGGCGTGAGCCACCGTGCCCGGCCTGAACTTCATTTTACAGATGAGGCTCAGAGAAGGCAAGCGACTTGCTCAGGGTCGCACAGCAAGAAAGCGGCACAGCTGGGATTTGAACATCAGTCTGTTAAGATTCCAGGTGTCTAAGTTCTTACCCACGACTGAGCCGCCCCTGCAGAAGCGGAGGGCTTACCCAACATACGGGTACACTGGCGCTCACAGGGCCTAGCTGGTGTCTGCAGGGTGCCTGGCCAGATGTCTGTGACCCTCTAGGGCAGCAGCCAAGGGAAGGGCCCAAAGAGAGACCCCAGGGCCTGGGTGTGTTTTGGGGCCACTGTTTGTCTCCATAGCACTGGCCCAGCCCAGGACTGGGGCCACCAGCATCGACACTTCATCTGCTCCTGGGGTGGGGTCTCTGTGATGCCACCAGTGTTTCTTCCCTCTCTTTGCAGATGCAGAGCAAAGCGGCAGTCCCCGGACAGGGATGGGCTCTGACCAGGAGGACAGCAAGCCCATCACGCTGGGTGAGTCTGGGGGCAGCGTGGCGGTGAAGGGCGGAGGGCGCAGCCCTGTCCTCGTCTTTTATTTGGGAATCATTTGCTTGGCACCACTCGTTTTACAGATGAGCAGACTGAGGCTCGGAGAGGTTAAGGGGCCTGTCCAGGGGCTACCAGGGAGCTGGGTTGGAACCCACGACTCTGAGCTCCCAGCTTCTGGGCTCTGAGGTGCTCACCCCATGGGAGACCCCAGAGGGTTCTACGGTCCCATGGGACGTTTGAGGGTTTTTGTTTGTTTTGTTTTGTTTTCATTCATTTATTTATTTTGAGATGGAGTCTCGCTCTGTCATCCAGGCTGGAGTGCAGTGGCACAATCTCAGCTCACTGCAAGCTCCGCTTCCCGGGTTCAAGTGATTCTCCTGCCTCAGTCTCCCAAGTAGCTGGGATTACAGGTACCTGCCACCACACCCGGCTAATTTTTGTATTTTTAGTAGAGACGGGGTTTCACCATGTTGGCCAGGTCGGTCTTGAACTCCTGACCTCAGGTGATCCGCCTACCTCGGCCTCCCAAAGTGCTGGGATTACAGGCATGAGCCACCGTGCCCGGCCTGTTTGTTTGTCTTAGAAACGGTCTCACGCTGCTGCCCAGGCTGGAGTGCAGTGACACCATCCTAGCTCACTGCAGCCTGGACCAGCTAGGCTCAAGCGATCCTCCTGCCTTAGCCTCTCAAGTAGCTGGGACTACAGGTGTGCACCACCATGCCTGGCTTTTTTTTTTTTTTTTTTTTTTTTTTTTTTTTTTGAGATGGAGTATCACTCTGTCGCCCAGGCTAGAGTGCAGTGGCGCGATCTCGGCTCACTGCATCCTCCATCTCCTGGGTTCAAGCAACTCTCCTGCCTCAGCCTCCTGAGTAGCTGGGATTACAGGTGTGTGCCACCACGGCTGGCTAATTTTTGTATTTTTAGTAGAGATGGGGTTTCACCATGTTGGCCAGGCTGGTCTCAAACTCCTGACCTCGTGATCCACCCACCTCGGCCTCCCGAAGTACTGGGATTACAGGCATGAGCCACCGCGCCTGGCTTTTTTTTTTAATTTTTTAAATATTTTTGTAGAGACAGAGTCTCACTATGTTGCTCAGACTGGTCTCAAACTCCTGAGCTCAAGTGATCCTCCTGTCTTGGCTTCCCAAAGCGCTGGGATCATAGGTGTGAGCCACCACACCCAGCCCTCATGGGGCGTCTAATAGATGGGTAGGACAGTGTAATTCTATGTTGTAGGGATAGGAAGTGGGAAAATTAACCTCACTTAGACCAGAGCAGTCACTTCCATCCTAGCCCCCAGCTCCTGCCCTTGGCCCCCACCATTTGTCCTTCTCACTATGGCCAGAGGACACCTGTGAGCCCCCAAGTCAGGGCCCGTCCCTCCTCTGCGCACAGCCATCCACGGCTCCCACCTCTCTTGGGGTAAAAGCCCAGGTCCTCCCTGTGGCCCACAAGGCCCTGCACAACCTGTCCCATCCCTGCCCTGTCCTCCCCTCCTCCCTCTCTCCCCGTCGTCCACTCCCAGCCACACAGACCTCCTCGCCGTTCCTCCAGTGCACCAGACCCAGTCCTGCCTCAGGGCCGCTGCACATTCTGTTACCTCTGTCTAAACAGCCAACTAACTGCTCGCTTGTTCTCTCCAGATCTCCCCTGGTCTCAGCTCAAATGCCCCCTTCTCAGAGAGGTCTACCCTAAACCCCTTCAGCATAAGCAGCCTCTGGCTACCCTCAATCTTTTTTTTTTTTTTTTTTTGAGACAGAGTCAGGCTCTGTCGCCCAGGCTAGAGTGCAATGGCGCAATCTCGGCTCACTGCCATCCCCGCCTCCTAGGTTCACGCCATTCTCCTGCCTCAGCCTCCCGAGTAGCTGGGACTACAGGCGCCCACCACCACACCCGGGTAATTTTTTGTACTTTTAGTAGAGATGGGGTTTCACCGTGGTAGCCAGGATGGTCTCGATCTCCTGACCCTGTGATGCACCCGCCTCGGCCTCCCAAAGTGCTGGGATTACAGGCATGAGCCACCGCGCCCAGCCTGGCTACCCTCAGTCTCAGCCCTCTGTTTTCTTTCCTTCAGAGGAAGTTAGTGATTGCCTATGGATTTGCTTAGTTGTTTAGTGACTGCACGGGTGTCTGCTCATCTCCCCAGTGGAATGTCACCTCCTCCAGGGCAGAGGCTTTGTCTGTCTACATCTCTGTTGTGCCCTCAGGGCTTAGAATGGGGCCTGATGCAGAGTGGGTGCTCAATAAATACTTGTAGAAAGAAAAGAAGGAGAGAGGGAGGGATGAAGCAGAGAGAAGAAGACAAGAGAGGATATATGGGGAGAGGAAGGAGGAGAGATGAAAAAGAAGGAAGGGGCCAAGTGCGGTGGCTCACGCCTGTAATCCCAGCACTTTGGGAGGCCAAGGCAGGTGGATCACCTGAGGTCAGGAGTTCGAGACCAGCCTGACCAACATGGTGAAACCGTCTCTACTAAAAATACAAAAATTAGTCGGGCATGTTGGCACACACCTATAATCCCAGCTAGTCGGGAGGCTGAGGCAGGAGAATCGCTTGAACCCAGGAGGCAGAGGTTGTGGTGAGCCGAGATTGTGCACCCTGGGCGACACAGCGAGACTCTGTCAAAAAAAAAAAAAAAAAAGAAGAAGAAGAAAGAAGGAAAGAAAGAAAGAAAAGAAAGAGAGAGAGAAAAAGAAGGGCCGGGTGCGGGGGCTTACGCCTGTAATCCCAGCACTTTGGGGGACTGAGGTGGGTGGATCACCTGAGGTCAGGAGTTTGAGACTAGCCTGATCAACATGGAGAAACCCTGTCTCTACTGAATATACAAAAATTAGCCAGGCGTGGAGGCACATGCCTGTAATCCCAGCTACCCGAGAGGCTGAGGCAGGAGAATTGCTTGAACCCGGGAGACAGAGGTTGCAGTGAGCTGAGATCGCGCCATTGCACTCTAGCCTGGGCAACAAGAGTAAAAACTCCGTCTCAAAAAAAAAAAAAAGAAAAGAAAAGAAAAAGAAGGAAGGGGCCAGGGCGCAGTGGCTTACACCTGTAATCCCAGTACTTTGGGAGGCCGAGTCAGGTGGATGACCTGAGGTCAGGAGTTCAAGACCAGCCTGGCCAACATGGCGAAACCCCATCTGTACTAGGAGGACACGGGAGGCTGACGCAGGAGAATTGCTTGAACCCAGGAGGAGGCGGAGGTTGCAGTGAGCCGAGATCACGCCACTGCACTCCAGCCTGGGGGATAGAGTGAGACTGTCTCAAAAAAAAAAAAGGAAAGGAAAAGAAGGAAGGAAGAGAAAGCGAGTGGGTGAGGCGTCCTTCTTGGAAGGACCGGAACAGGCATGCACAGGGAGGCTGGAAGGTTCTCGGAGGTTCACAGGCCTGAGGCCACTCCTCACTGGCCCCCGGTGACTCCTCCGTCTGTGACCCGGGTCCTCCGCGGCCTCCTGTGATCCCCAGACGCCTCTCTCCAAGCCAGATGTTGGAGGGAGGTGGGGGCAGCGGCGCTTGGCCTGGTCCCCTGGGGAGCTTGGGCGTCTGGTAGAGGAAATCACGTCCTCCCAGCTCGCCAGGGAGTCCCCCAGAGATGGAGCTGAGCAGGCGCTGCACAAACAGGAAACCCCGGTCGGGGGAGGCGGAGGGGGCGTGCTGACACCAGCTGGCCAGCTGGGTCAGCAGGAAACGGCTCTGGCCACTTCTCCTGGACACTCGGGGGCCACCGCTCTGTCCTCTTCAGAATGCGTGGCCCTGAACCTCCCAGCGCGGGGCAGGGTTGGTTCATTGCCTTCACTCAGCAAATGACTGTAACAGGGGGCCGGGTGCGGTGGCTCACGCCTGCAATCCCAGCACTTTGGGAGGCTGAAGCGGGAGGATCGCTTGAGCCCAGGAGTTCAAGACCAGCCTGGGTAATATAGCAAGACCCTATCTCTACCCAAAAAAAAAATATACACACACACACACACACACACACACACACACACACACTAGCCCCAGGAGTTCAAGACCAGCCTGGGTAATATAGCAAGACCCTATCTCTACCCCAAAAAAAAAAAAAAAAATATATACACACACACACACACACACACACACACACACACACACACACTAGCCAAACACGGAGGTGCATGCCTGTAATCCCAGCTACTTGGGAGGCTGAGGTGGGAGGATCGCCTGAGCCCAGGAGTTTGAGACCAGCCTGGGTAACATAGCAAGACCCTATCTCTACAAAAAGTAATAATAATAATACAAAAATTAGCCAAGGGTGGTGATGCGTGCCTGTAGTCCCAGCTACTTGGGAGGCTGAGGCAGGAGCATCACTTCAGCCCAGGAGTTCGAGGCTGCAGTGAGCTATGATTGCACCGCTGCACTCGAGCCTGGGCAACAGAGCAAAATTCTGTCTCTAAAAAAGAAAGATTGTAACAGGGGGACTGGCGGGGGTTTGGGTCTGCAGAACTGGACACAGCCCTGAGCTCCCTGCAGTCCGTGCTGCCCCCTGGGGGCCGGGAGAGGAACTGCTCCCACCGCCACCCAAAAGCCAAGAGCCTGTCCCACCTCCAAACCTACCAGGCTCCCTGGCTCTTTCCACTCCAACCCTGCTGGCCTGCAACTTGCCAAGTGCATTTCTACCCGGAGGCCTTTGCACGGGCTGTTCCCAGTGCCGGGAACATCGTGGCCCTCAGGGAGGTGATGAAACATCATCCCCATCGGAGAAGCCAACAGTCACGGGGCGGTTGCCAGGCGCTGTTCTCGGAGCTTTGCAGATTTTAACAAGTTCCTTCCTCTTATCCAGTCTCATCTTGAGGTCTGTAAAATGCCACCATCTCGGTCAGGCTTTCTCTGAGCCCTGGGTGTAAAATAGCCTCCCTCCCCACCCTAGCTAGTTCCCCACCAGCCGCCTGCCTTACCACAGGCTGATGCACCTCGCATTTGACTTAATGAGCTTTTAATTTGTAGTAAAATGTGCATGATGTACAATGCATCATTTTAGCCATTTTTAAGTGTCCAAGTCAAAGTGCACTAAGTACATTCACCTCTATCTAATTCCAGAACCTTTCTTTTTTTTTTTTTTTACCCCCAGGCTGGAGTGCAGTGGCGCAATCTCGGCTCACTGCAACCTCCACCTTCCTGGTTCAAGCAATTCTCATGGCTCAGCCTCCCAAGTAGCTGGGATCATAGGCACATGCCACCACACCCGGCTAATTTTTTGTATTTTCAGTAGAGATGGAGTTTCACCATGTTGGCCAGGCTGGTCTCGAACTCTTGACCTTAAGTGATTCTCTTGCCTCAGCCTTCCAAAGTGCTGGGATTACAGATGTGAGCCGCCGAGCCTGGCCTAATTCCAGAACATTTCATCCCCCCTAAAAGAAACCCCATCCCCATCAGCCACCACTCCCTGTCTCCTCTCCCAGCCCTGGTGCCCACGCATCCCCTTCTTGTCTCTGTGGCTTGGCCTGTCCTGGACATTTCAGTGAAATGGCTCATGCCTGTAATCCCAGCACTTTGGGAGGCCAAGGTGGGTGGATCATGTGGTCAGGAGTTCGAGACCAGCCGGACCAAGATGGTGAAACCCCGTCTCTATTAAAAATCCAAAATTTAGACAGGCACTGTGGCAGGTACTTGTAATCCCAGCTACTTGGGAGGCTGAGACAGGAGAATCGCTTGAACCTGGGAGGCATAGGTTGCAGTGAGCCAAGATTGCGCCACTGCACTCCAGCCTGGGCGACAGAGTGAGACTCCGTCTCAAAAAAAAAAAAAAAGAAAAGAAAAAGAAAGAAAGAAATGGCATCACACACTGTGTGGCCTTTTGTCTCTGGTGTCCCTCACTGAATGATGTCCTCAAGGTGCATCCATGTTGTAGCCTGTGTCAGAGCCTCGTTCTTTTATTTTTATTTATTTACTGGTTTTGAGATGAAGTCTCACTCTGATGCCCAGGCTGGAGTGCAATGTCGCGATCTCGGCCTGTAGCTGGGACTACAGGTGCCCGCCACCATGCCCGGCTAATTTTTGTATTTTTAGTAGAGATGGGGTTTCACCATGTTGGCCAGGCTGGTCTTGAACCCCTGAGCTCAGGTGATCCACCTGCCTCAGCCTCCCAAAGTGCTGGGATTACAGGTGTGAGCTACCACTACTGCGCCCAGCCCAAGGCCTCATTCTTTTTCTTTTCCTTCTTCTTTTTTTTTTTTTTTTTTTTTTTTTTGAGACAGGGTCTTGCTCTGTCCCCGAGGCTGGAGTGCAGTGGTGCAATCATAGCTCACTGCAGCCTCAACCTCCAGGGCTCGAGCTATCCTCCCGCCTCGGCCTCCCAAGTAGCTGGGACTACAGGTGTGCACCACCACGCCCAGCTAATTTTTGTACTTTTTGTAGGGATGGGGTTTCGCCATGTTGCCCAGTCCCGTCTCAAACTCTGGGGCTCAAGTGATCCACCTGCCTCAGCTTCCCAAAGTGCTGGGACTATAGGCACAAGCCACCATACCCAGCTAATTTTCGTATTTTTTGTAGACACAGGGTTTCGCCATGTTGCCCGGGCTGATCTCAAACTCCTGAGCTCACGAGATCCACCCACCTCAGCTTCCCAAAGTGCCGGGATTACAGGCATGAGCCACCACGCCCGGCATCCTTTTCACGGCTGAGTCCTATTCCAGTGTGTGGCTAGACCACGCTGTGTTTATCTCTTCATCTTTTGAAGGGACATTTGGGTGGCTTTCCAGTTTGAGCTGTGGTGAACAGTGCTGCTAGGAACATTCGTGGACTTTTGCTGACCTATTAATCTTGGCTGCTGTCTGTCGCTCACACTGGACTTTGAGTCTCACAGGGGCAACTGCTTCAGCCTGTATCATCTCCTGCTGTGCCGGGGCCCAGCTCAGAATCAGACACTGTGGATGCTTAGTAAACGCCTGTTGAGTCCATGAATCCCTCCTACAAGGGCGTCCGAGGGCAGGACAGGGCTGTCCCCAAGCTGTCTGAGGTTGGCCAAGGCTCCCGACCTCTCGGGGACAACTTCGATTTCCAAATCTGTGAAATGGGTCCAAACCACTCCAGTCGAGAGGACAGTCTCCCTTCCTTTAATATTAGGTAGGAGCAATGCTGGGGACACTGAGGGTTTTAACTGCGGCTTGTGGGCCTCCCATTCAACCCCCCATTTTAACTGACCCATTGCTGGGTGCCAAGCTCTGGTCTAGGCACGAAGGACACTGCAGGGTCGGGGCAGACAGACATCCCTGCCCACACGGACCTCCCAGTCTGAAGGGGAGAAGAACAAGAAGCCAGAGTATCTCGAAGGGTGACAGTGTGTAAAGCAAGCCAGCTGCCCCTCCCAGGCAGTTGGATACAGATCTCACGACAACCCCGATGATGGGATTGATGGTTTCACTTTTGCAATTAGGGAAACTTGGAGGCTGAGAGAGGGAAAGTGACCTGCCCCAGATCACACACCGAGGCAGGTGATGGAGCCGATGTGAGCCCAGGCCTCCGCTTTCCGCTCTTTTTTTTTTTTTTTTTTGAGATGGAGTCTTGCTCTGTTGCCCAGGCTGGATGGAGTGCAGTGGCGCAATCTCGGCTCACTGCAAGCTCCACCTCTCGGGTTCACACCATTCTCCTGCCTCAGCCTCCCAGGTAGCTGGGACTACAGGCGCCTGCCACCACGCCCGGCTAATTTTTGTATTTTTAGGAGACAGGGTTTCACTGTGTTAGCCAGGATGGTCTCCATCTCCTGACCTGTGATCCTCCCGCCTCGGCCTCCCAAAGTGCTGGGATTACAGACGTGAGCCACCGCACCCGGCTCCACTCGTTTTTTAAGAGAGGGTGTCGCCCTGTTTCCCAGGCTGGAGTGCAGTGGCACAACAATGGTTCATTGCGGCCTCCACCTCCCAGGCTCAAGTGATCCTCCAGCCTCAGCCTCCTGAGTAGCTGGGACTACAGGCACGGACCACAACACCTGGCTAATTTTAACACTTTTTGTAGAGATGGGGTCTCGCTGTGTTCCCCAGGCTGGTCTTGAAGTCCTGAGCTCAAGCGTTCCTCCTGCCTCGGCCTCCCACAGTGCTGGGATTACAGGCATGAGCCACTGCGCCCGGCCTGCTGTTCACTTGAATGCAGCATTCCACAGCATGGGGGAACCCGGATGAAGGCTGTGTGAAGGCCCACACTGGACAAGGACCCCCCACGGGGCCTTCCCCATCAGACTGGAGCTGTCATTCCCCCACAGCACAGGATGGACAGGGGGAACGTCCAGGCTCGGGCCAGCCCCCAGGAGTCCAGGCAGCCCTGGAGTGTGGGGAAGGGAAACAGGCCCAGCTCAGCCTACTGACCCCGCTGTCTTCCTGTTCCAGACACGACCGACTTCCAGGAGAGCTTTGTCACCTCCGGCGTGTTCAGCGTCACTGAGCTCATCCAAGTGTCCCGGAGTGAGTGTTCCCGTCAGCCCTGAGCTGGGTCTTGGAGAGGGGAGGGGGCCGCAGGGAGGAAGGAGCCCACCCCCCTCACCCTACTCCTTGTCCTTTCCAGACAACCCCCTGTGTCACTAAGCCAAGGTTCCTAGAAAGGGAGGTGGCCAGGCCCTTCCCAGAGCCCAAGGTCAGGGCTCCCTCCCACCTCTCCAGGAAACAGAATCTAAATGCTGGATGGCAACTAAGGAAACTTCTGCCCCAGCATCCCTCCTCCTCCCTGGGGCCTCCACTGTCCTGTCCCAGGAGACCCCAAAGGACCCCGCCCCTCCTGTCCCCTTGCTTTCTCTGCTGACCTGCTGGGGACCCAGCACATTCCGTCACACACTGTCTGAATCCCACCCCAGCGAGTCCTGGGCGCTGTCCTTCTTTAGCCCTGACTGACACCTTCCCTGTCCAGATCAGCAGAGCCTGGCCTCCAGCTTTGGCTACACCTCTGCCTCACAGTGTGCTCTTGGCCTCTCCCCATGGCCTTGGTCCTCTGATCCATAGAATAAAACTGGTTTCAGCCACCCTAGGAACCGGGCCAATATGGGAAGGGGGTCCCCCTTTGGACTGCACCCAGTGGCTTTCCCTACCTCTCTAAAGCAAACCGCAGCACTGGGCACTGCTTCCTGCCTCACTCTCCTCTGTCACCCTCTGCAGCACCCGTGGTGACTGGAACAGGACCCAACTTCTCCCTGGGGGAGCTGCAGGGGCACCTGGCATACGACCTGAACCCAGCCAGCACTGGCCTCAGAAGAACGCTGCCCAGCACCTCCTCCAGTGGGTAAGTACCCAGGTCCCCACCTCTGGGCATTTCATGACCCCATTCATCAACCCATCCCCTCTGGCCCGAGCTGACTCATTCCTCTCCCTGGAATACCTCTTTTCACGATTCACCTGGCCTGAGAAACTCCTACTCATCTCATCCTTCAAAACCCAGCCAGCCCCACGTGCCTCTTCCCCTAGCCCTGACAGCCCACCGTGGGCTCCCCCAGCCTCAAGTCCTGCCGGCTCAGCCAGCCCTTAGGACCCTCCCCACCCAGAAGAATGCAGACACAGGTTGTTGCTGAGATATGCTTTGTGACCTCGAGCAGGTCACACTGTGTGTGCCCCAGTTTCCCCATCCATAAAATGGGATCATACCCCTAACAGGCAGTTCTGAGGACTACAGGTGGCCAGGAGATTAGCCAGGCTGCCTGGGTTTTGGTCTCCACCATGCTAGCTTGGTGTCCGACCTGTGTTGAGACCCTCCCTGCCTCTGGCCCGGGTGTCCCATCCAAGCAATGGACAGGTTGGAACAGGCGTTCGTAGGGAACGGGCTGAACGCCCGCGGCTCCCGCGATGTCTCGCGATACTACCTCCCTCGCCCCCGCTCACTTAAGGACCGGAAGTAGCAAAGCCCGCCGTCGCGCCCCCCGCCCCGCGTCTCCCTGGTAACCAGCCTCTCCCCTTCCCTCGCCCATAAGGAGCAAGCGGCACAAATCGGGCTCGATGGAGGAAGACGTGGACACGAGCCCTGGCGGCGATTACTACACTTCGCCCAGCTCGCCCACGAGTAGCAGCCGCAACTGGACGGAGGACATGGAAGGAGGTAGGGCTGGTGGCGGGGGCGGAGCCGGCCTTCCGGTCTGAGTCACCGTGGCGGGAACTACGTCTTCCGGCAGCCACTGCGCGGGCGCCGCGGGGCAGGAAGCCGGCCTGGAGCCGCGGGGCCTCCTGGGAATTGTAGTCGTCCCGAGCTGCGCTTGGCTGGAAGTACGGTCCGGGTTCGCGTTCTCGGATCTCTTTGGTTCCGCTGCGGCGAAGGAGGGCAGAGACTGTCCCCTGCCTGACTCTCCTGCCCTCCGGCCGTGAATGCCACATCTCTGTGGGGTCCCCGAGCTGCAGGATGGACTCAGTAGTGACTCTGATCAACAGGGCGCCTCTTCCTGGGATCTGTCATAGAATCCCTCGTCTGTAGGGACCCTGTTTGTCCTCTTCCCCTCTAGAAGGTCCTGAGATGCCGGATCCCTTCTCATTGGGGTCCTTCTTGAGGTTACTTTTTTTTTTAACCAGGTTCCCATCTCCATGGGATCTTCTGGTTCTGCAGGAGACTCGTCTCCTTTCTGTAGGGTCTCCATTCCCATGGCGTCGTTTTCTAGGAAGATTTTATCCTCTTGCTTTTCTGTCTTCAGAAGGGTCCTCTCTGGGGTGTCTTTCTTTCTTTCTTTCTTTCTTTCTTTTTTTTGAGATGGAGTTTCGCTCTTGTTGCCCAGGCTGGAGTGCAATGGCGCGATCTCCGCTCACTGCAGCCTCCACCTCCCTGGTTCAAGCAATTGTCCTACCTCAGCCTCCCAAGTAACTGGGATTACAGGCATGCACCACCATGCCCGGCTAATTTTTTCTATTTTTAGTACAGACGGGGTTTCACCATGTTGGTCAGGCTGGTCTCAAACTCCCGACCTCAGGTGATTCGCCCGCCTCGGCCTCCCAAAGTTCTGGGATTACAGGCGTGAGCCACCACGCCCGGCCTCTGTTTTTGTTTGTTTGTTTGTTTGTTTGTTTTTGAAACGGAGTCTCGGTCTGCTGCCCAGGCTGGAGTGCCGGGGTGCAATCTTGGCTCACTGCAGCCTCGACCTCCCAGGTTCAAGTGATCCTCCTGCCTCAGCCTCCCAAGTATCGGACTGCAGGTGCATACTGCCATGCGCCGTTAATTTTTTTTTTTTTTTTTTTTTTTTTTTTGGTAGAGATGGGGTCTCACTATGTTGCCTAAGCTGGTCTTGAACTCCTGAGTTCAAGTGTGATCTTTCCTCCTGCCTCGTCCTCCCAAAGTGCTGGGATTCCAGGTGTGAGCCACCATGCCGGGCCCCTCTTATTTTTTTTTAATTTTTGTTTTTTGAGATGGAGTCTTGCTCTGTCACCCAGGCTGGAGTGCAGTGGCGAGATCTTGGCTCACTGCAACCCTTCCTCCTGAGTTCAAGCAATTCTCCTGCCTCAGCCTCCCAAGTAGCTGGGATTACAGGCACCCACCACCACACCCGGCTAATCTTTATATTTTTAGTAGAGACAGTGTTTCACCATGTTGGCCAGTCTGGTCTCAAACTCCTGACCTCAGGTGATCCACCCACCTCGGCCTCCCAAAGTGCTGGGATGACAGGTGTGAGCCACTGCTCCCGGCCACCTGTAGGATTTTTAGAAGCAGTATAACATTAGGATTAAGAGGTCAGATTCAGGCATTGGAGAGACCTGGGTTCAGATCCCAGCCCTGCCCGTGTCTAGCTCTGTGTGCTGTGTAACCTGGGGCACATCACTTAACTTCTCTAAGCCTCAGTTTCTTCATCTCCACAATGGGGGTGATGTGAATAATGTTCTTTGGGAGCTACAGGAGGAGGAAGGGTAGGATGTGCGTGAAGCAACCGTCTGGCCCATGCGACATACCCGGGAAACGGGAGGTCACTGTCATCCACGTCTTTATAACATTCCTGTCTCTGACCAGGCTCGGTGGCTCACGCCTGTAATCCCAGCACTTTGGGAGGCCGAGGCAGGCGGATCACGAGGTCAGGAGATCGAGACCATCCCGGCTAACACAGTGAAACCCCGTCTCTACTAAAAATACAAAAAAAATAGCCGGGCGTGGCGGCGGGTGCCTGTAGTCCCAGCTACTCAGGAGGCTGAGGCAGGAGAATGGCATGAACCCGGGAGGCGGAGCTTGCAGTGAGCTGAGATGGCGCCACTGCACTCCAGCCTGGGTGACAGAGCGAGACTCCGTCTCAAAAAAAAAAAAAAATTCCTGTCTCTTTCCGGCACTCGGACGCATCTAGTTGTGACATTTCAGGTGCCAAGGCCCCTCCCTTCCACAGTGTGGGCTCCCAGAGCAGGAACATTCCTAAAGGGTCTCCATCCCTCAGGGGACCTGTCTCAGTATTTATGAGGTTCTTTTTTTGTTTGTTTGTTGTTTTTGTTTTGAGATGGAGTCTTGCTTGTTTTGAGAGATCACGCCAGTGCACGCCAGCCTGGGCAACAGAACGAGACTATGTCTCAAAAAAAAAAAAAGAAAAAAAAAGTCACTTCTGTTTCGTTTTTTTTGTTTTTTGTTTTTTGTTTTTTTTTTGAGACGGAGTTTCGCTCTTATCACCCAGGCTGGAGTGCAGTGGTGCAATCTCGGCTCCACCTCCTGGGTTCAAGTGATTCTCCTGCCTCAGCCTCCCGAGTAGCTGGGACTACAGGCGGGCACCACCACAACCAGCTAATTTTTGTATTTTTAGTAGAGACGGTTTTTACTATGTTGGCCAGGCTGGTCTTGAACTCCTGACCTCAAGTGATCCGCCAACCTCAAGTGATCCGCCCATCTCAGCCTCCCAAAGTGCTGGCATTACAGGTGTGAGCCACCGCACCCAGCCGTGACTTCTCATTAACTCTGTAATTGATGAGGCTGTCAGAATGTAAACTGCACGCTAATTAAAGTGAAAGACCACCTTTGCGATGAGCCAAAGCAACCCTGAGAGGAAAAATTGTAGCTTTAAGTCTATTTATTAGGAGAGGAGAAAGGTGGAAAATAAAGAATCTAGCTTTCAACAGAGAAAACTCAAAAAGAAAACATTTTAAGCTCTGGAGCTCAGTCTGACTTTTCTGCCCGGCTGCTCACTGGCAACCCCTTCCACTGGGGAAGGAGGTGGTAGCAATGGGGGGAGGACAAAGAGGAAGCCCCCACCAGCTTCTGCTCTGTGATTGGGAATCGCAGAGCTAGCAGGGAATGTCAGAGGAGGTCTGTGCTCCTGCAGCTTCCACTTGATTACCTCAGGGGATGGCAAACTCACTCCCTCCTGAGGGTTTCTTTTTTTTTTTTTTTTTTTTCTTTTTGAGACAGAGTCTCGCTCTGTCGCCCAGGCTGGAGTGCAGTGGCGCCATCTCAGCTCACTGCAAGCTCCGCTTCCCGGGTTCACGCCATTCTCCTGCCTCAGCCTCCCGAGTAGCTGGGACTACAGGCACCCACTACCACGCCCGGCTAATTTTTTCTATTTTCAGTAGAGACGGGGTTTCACCGTGTTAGCCAGGATGGTCTCGATCTCCTGACCTCGTGATCCGCCCATCTCGGCCTCCCAAAGTGCTGGGATTACAGGCGTGAGCCACCGCACCCGGCCTCCTCCTGAGGGTTTCATCCTCAGTGTAAAGCCCTCCTGTGTGCTGGCCCTACCTGAGGCCCTGGGGACACAGAGATGATCCAACCCACTCTTGTCCCTACCTTCCAGGGGCTAACAGCCTAGTGAGGGAGATGGGTTTTTATCCAGGTGACTACAGCCCAGAGGAGGAGGCACAGAAGACAGTCAGGGGGAACAAGAGGACCCTGATAGAACTTGGAAGAAAAGGGAGGACCTCCCCGAGGAGGAGAATCAGGCTGACAGAGCAGTGAGGAGCTCGGGCAACTGGCTTCTCTGCTTCTCCAGCTGTGTGACATTTGGCAGGTTCCTTAACCTCTCTGCCCCTCAATTTCCTCTGCTATACGATCAGGTTGCTGGCCGGGTGCAGTGGCTTACAACTGTAATCCTAGCAATATGGCAAGACCCCATCTCTACTTAAAAAAAAAAAAAAAATAGCATCACATAGTGGTGTACACCTGTAGTCCCAGCTCCTTGGGAGGCTGAGGTGAGAGGATTGCTTAAGACGGGAGGTCAAAGCTGCCCTGAGCTATGATCATACCACTGCACTCCATCCGGGGCAACAGAGAAAGACCCTGTCTCAAAAAAAAAAAAAAAAAAAAAAAAAAAAAAAAAAAAAAAAAAGGCTCACCTGTAATCCCAGCACTTTGGGAGGCCGAGGCAGGCGGATCACCTGAGGTCAGGAGTTCGAGACCAGCCTGGCCAACAGGGTGAAACCCCATCATTACTAAAAACACAAAATTAGCCGGGTGTGGTGGTGGGCACCTGTAATCCCAGCTACTCGGGAGGCTGAGGCAGGAGAATCACTTGAACCTGGGAGGCGGAGGGTGCAGTGAGCCGAGATTGTGCCATTACACTCCAGCCTGGGCAACAAGAGCGAAACTCCATCTCAAAAAACTCTGCCTTGATATCCCAGTGAAGAGAAAACACTGGAAGAATTTTTTTTTTTTTTTTTTTGTCAGAGTCTTGCTCTGTCGCCCAGGCTGGAGTGCAGTGGTGTGATCTCGGCTCACTGCAAGCTCCGCCTCCCGGGTTCATGCCATTCTCCTGCCTCAGCCTCCCGAATAGCTGGGACTACAGGCACCCACCACCATGCCCGGCTAATTTTTTGTATTTTTAGTAGAGACGGGGTTTCACCGTGTTAGCCAGGATGGTCTCGATCTCCTGACTTCGTGATCTGCCCGCCTCGGCCTCCCAAAGTGCTGGGATTACAGGCGTGAGCCACCGCGCCCGGCCAAACACTGGAAGAATTTTAACACCCGTGGCCCAGGGCTGGACTTTACGTAAAGCACGCACCTGGGGCGTGAGAGCCGGGTTTATTATTAATTCGCGGCTAAGCTACAACCGGGATGATTTAAGTGGATTTATCCGCAGGGAAGATGATGGGAGGGCATTCCCAGCAGGGAGAATCGTGGTTTGAGGAGTTGCACTGTGGATGTTTGGGGCCAGACCATCCTCTGGGGCGGGGCTGTCTTGGGCACTGTTGGGTGCTGTGCAGAGTTCATGGCCTCCACCCACTCCGTGTCAGGAGCACCCCCCAGTGGTGACAACCGTAAATGTCCCCAGACCTGGCCAAATGTCTCTTGCGGGCAGAATCTCCCCTATAATATAGCCAGAGGCATATGCAAAGCACCTAAACGGAGTGGGGAGAAGGTGCGTGACCCCTGGTCTGGGCCACTCTTTTTTTTTTTTTTGAGACGGAATCTCTCTCTGTCGCTCGCCCAGGCTGGGGTGCAATGCGCGATCTTGACTCACTGCAAGCTCTGCCTCCCAGGTTCAAGCGATTCTCGTGCCTCAGCCTCCCGAATAGCTAGGATTACAGGTGCCCGCCACCACGGCTGGCTAATTTTTGTATTTTTAGCGGAGGCGGGTTTTCACCATGTTGGCCAGTCTGGTCTGGAACTCCTGACCTCAGGAGTTCCACCACACCCGGCTAATTTTGTGTTTTTAGTAATGATGGGGTTTCACCCTGTTGGCCAGGCTGCTCTCGAACTCCTGACCTCAGGTGATCCGCCCGCCTCGGCCTCCCAAAGTGCTGGGATTACAGGCGTGAGCCACTGCGCCTGGCCTTTTTTGTTTTGTTTTGTTTTGTTTTTCCCAAATAGTGACTTGCTCTGTCGCCCAGGATGGAGTGCAGTGGTGCGATCAGCGCCCACTGGGCTCATGCCATCCTCCTTCCTCAGCCTCCCAAGTAGCTGGGACTATGGGCACTTGCCAACACACCTGGCTATTTTTTGTACTTTTTGTAGAGACAGAGTTCCCTGTGTTGCCCAGGCTGGTCTTAAACTCCTGGGCTCATCCTCCTGCCTCTGCTTCCCACAGTGTTGGGATGGCAGGTGTGAGCCACCACACCCGGCTGGCCGCTTTTTCTCTATGTCCCTTCCCAACATTTTAGTCCCAGACAGCCCTGCGGAGGTGCCTGGCAGGCACCTCATTTTGCAGAGGGAAACCCTGAGGCTCAAAGAGGTGACATCACCTGCTCCAGGTCACCCCAGCGGCAAGCGGGTGCACAGGGACACGGAACCACGTGGCCGTTCCCAGCGGCCCCACTCAGGGTACCTCGCTCTCTTTGTTTTATGGGGCATCTGTGATGTCCTAAGCCGGGTTATTTCCCCTCCCGGCAACACTCTGTGAGATCAGGGCTGCCCCTGGCCATCAGTTGACAAGTGGGGAAACTGAGGCCCAAAGGTCCCACAGCAAAGAAGGGGCAGAGCCCCGAGCTTATGCCCAGTGCTTCCTGGGCCTCTCCCCATCGCTGTGGCCTGCATCGGTAAACATTTCGCAGCCTCTGAAGTCCCAAGGGGGACGCCTCAGAACAGGCCTGGCCCCTGGGCTGGAGCAGGGTTCCTGAGGTTCCCAGTGGGGCCCAGCTGTAACCTCATTGGTGGACCGAGGCAAGGGCCAGAGGGGCCCAAGGGAAGGGCCAGAGGGGCCGGGGGCACAGGAAGGGCCGGAGGGGCTGGGGGCACGGGGAGGGCCAGGCTTATTGTTGCAGCCTGCAAGGCTGTCCCAAGCCGGGTGCCTCCGCAGAGGGAGGACACAAAACAGGAACCCAGGCAGGCAGGGTCTCTCCCGAAGGTGCCCTTGGCCCCTGGCCACCACCCTGGGATGCTCCTCCTCCTCCTCGGCATCCTCCCCCCACCCTTCCCTGCCCTTTCCAGCTTCCTGTCTAGACAGCCCCCAATTAGCCACTCATTAAGGGGGTTAAGCTGATTAGAGCAGCTCTCCCTTCCTCTGGCGGACTCGGGGCCTTTTCTCCCGGGCAGTGCTCAGCCAGTCCCCAACCCTGAGGCTCACAGAGGCCTGGGGGGATCATGCCAGCCCGATGCCAGGCAAGACCCCCACCCCACACCTCCAGGCCCCACATTCCAGCCTCTAGGCTTTGCCCGCTTGGGGCCTGGGCCAGGCCCTTTCTCCTGGCCGCCTCCACCCGAGGCCTCCCTGCTTACGCGGCTGCGTGGGGTGGAGGGAAGGTGCCTTGGAGCAGCCCCCACTGTGCTTTGTTTTTGCTGCTTGTGTAGCTCCCCCTTGAAGGCGACAAAGGTCCCGTCCACAGGCGGTTATTACACAGGGCGGGGCAGGCAGCCCCCATCCATTCCTCTCCTCTGTCACCCCAGGCTTCCCATCCCTTTTTTTTTTTTTTTTTTGAGTCAGAATCTCACTCTGTTGCCCAGGCTGGAGTGCAGTGGCATGATCTCGGCTCACTGCAGCCTCTGCCTTCCAGATTCAAGCAATTCTTCTGCTTCAGCCTCGCAAATAGCTGGGACTGGGACTACAGGCGCCTGCCACCATGACCAGCTAATTTGTGTATTTTTAGTAGAGATGGAGTTTCACCATGTTGGCCAGGCTGGTCTCAAACTCCTGACCTCAAGTGATCCGCCCGCCTCGGCCTCCCACAGTGCTAGGATGACAGGTGTGAGCCACCGAGCCCAGCCCGCCCATCCCTTTTTTTAACCCCAGGGTGGAGGCTAGTGCAACGTGGCCTGGGGAGGGACAGAGTTGGGTTCCAACTCCACCTCCACCCCCCCTTGGCTCTATGGCCTTAGGCGAGTGACGTCCCCCATCAGGCCTCAGCCTCCACATCTGTGAAATGGGCGCAGCTCCTGTAAGCTCTGCACGGGGCAGCTGTGAGGACCACATTAAGAGAGGAGGCTAGTGCCTTCACAGAAGGTCCTCACCCAGGGCGATGCTGCCCCACCCCCAGGGACACTGGCCGGTGTCTAGGGACATCTGTGGTTGTCACAACTGGGAGAGCTCTTGACATGGAGTGGGTCGAGGCCAGGGATGCTGCTTAGCACCCTGCAGTGCCCAGGACAGCCCCTCCCCAGGGAACGAGCCAGCCCCAATGTCTACAGTGCTGAGGCTGAGAAACCTGTATTAATTATGTAGAAAAAAATTGAGGCTGAGTGTGGTGGCTCACACCTGTAATCCCAGCACTTTGGGAGGCCAAGGCTGGAGGATCGCTTGAGCCTAGTAGTTTGATAACATAGGGAAACCCTGTCTCTACAAAAAAATACCAAATTAGCTGCATGTGGTGGCGTGTGCCTGTAGTCCCAGCTACTCGAGAGGCTGAGGTTGGGAGGATCGCTTGAGCCCAGGAGGTCAAGGCTGCAGTAAGCTATGATTGCACCAGTGCACTCCAGTCTGGGCAACAGCGTGAGACCCTATCTCAAAAAAAAAAAAAGAAAAAGAAAAAAGTCTGCCCCCTGCTCACAACGGAATAAACTCCTAGTGTGGCAGACGGTGTGTAAACCAGGGGGACCCCCAGCTCCTGGGACTCACCTCCTCTCTCCCTCCCCACTCAAGGTGTGGATTTCAATGTGTGCAGCCTCCTGGGACCTCTGCAGGGCAGAGGATCATGGGACGCAGAGGATCATGGGACGCAGAGTCTCTTGGGGGTCCATGGAATCCTCTAAGACAGAGGATTTTACCTATGGGTGATCCTGACCCCAGAGGACACTGGGTGACATCTGGGGACCTGTGTGGTTGTCACGACTGCAGGGTGGTCCTGGCATGGATTGGGTCCAGGGACACCGCTTAGCACCCTGCAGTGCTCAGGATGGCCCCACCCTAGAGAATGATCCGGTCCCAAATGTCCACAGGGCCCAGAGGAGACCTTGGTGCACTGTCAACGCCCCGTGGTCACTGCTGTCCTCATCAGATTCATGCCCTGCATCGGGGCCTCTGTCCACTCCACACACTCTGTGTAGGGCCCCTCCTGACCCCGGACCCTAGAGACCCAGCCAGAGTGGGCCTTGGCCCCCTGGGGGAGCCGGCATTTCAGTGGGAGATGGGCTTGTTTGTTGAGCAAACAAATGGCTGCTCCGACGGGGTGATGAGGGCCTTTTGTCAAATACAAAGAGGAGGTCAGATGGGCGTGTGTGACAAATGGCTGCTCCGACGGGGTGATGAGGGCCTTTTGTCAAATAGAGGAGGTCAGATGGGCGTGTGTGACAAATGGCTGCTCCGTCGGGGTGATGAGGGCCTTTTGTCAAATACAGAGAGGAGGTCAGATGGGCGTGTGTGTTAAACAGACAGGAAGAAGCTCTGATGGGGGAGCCCTCGGGCCTGCGTCCTCCTCACAGTCAATATTCTCAGATGGGGCATTCAGGATGCCGGGAGGGGCGTATGGATGTGTTCCCTGAGAGGAAAGATGGCCACTGAGATGGGCGGGGGACGCACATGCCCGCTGGCTGAACAGGGAGGTCCCACAGGGGTCCCAGGCATGCCTGCTGAACAGACAGAGGATGCTTGGAGGCGGGGTGCAGAGTCAGTGTCCGTAGAGCCTGCCGGGAGCGTGCCGGCTTATTCTTTCTCGCGGTGCCTGAGCTGCGCTCCCCCCTCCTTCCTGCCCTGCCCTGGCTGCCGCTGGCCCCATCTCAGGAAGCTCTAGCGGTGCCTGCAGGGATGTGGCGGCCGGGGGTGGAGTCTGAGCCAGACTATTTCCATCCAGGACAAGCGGTTCTAGGAAATCCTCCTAAATGAGCGTCTGACAACCCTAACCTCGTTCCCGCCGTGGCCCTGCGCTTGCAGGGAGCTGCCAGCCCCTGCACACACACACACACGCTTGCACACACGCATGCATGCTCATACATATATGCACGCACGTGCACAGGCGTGCACACATGTATGCATGCATGCTTGCAGACCTGTACGTGTGCGTGCAAGCACACATACATAGACATGAACATGCATGTGCAGGCATACACATACATGCATATATTCACGTGCACACGCATGTGCGCATTCACACACATAGACACGTGCACAGGCATACACATACACAGATATGAACGTGCATGTACAGGCATACATATGCAGGCGTGCACACGTCCACATATGCTCACATGCGTACACACACATGCACAGACATGCACACATGCATGCAGCTGTGCACATGCGTGCAGGCATACACACATACATGCACGCACACACATGCATGTATTCACATGCACACACACACGTGCACAGGCATACACATGCACACACACGTGCCGACAAGACCAGCCTGGCCTCCCCGGCTCCAGGCCACCCTCATTCCTGCCACATCCTCCTGCCCTGGAAAAGCCCGGGCCTGGCTGCTGGGGCCCAGCTTGGTCACAGACTTCATGGCATCCCACTGGGCAGTGGGGCCTCTCTGGGTGGCTCAGCCTCGATGTCCGAGGCCTCAGGAGTGTTCCCCCTTGAGTGTTCACAGGCTGGGCATGAGTGGAGGTGTCATCCTTCCTGCCCCCCATGTGGGTGTCCTGGGTGCCCGCCTCCTCCAGAGCCGGGTGTTCCCGGGTCCCTGGGAACTGCTGACCTGCTTCTGGGGTGTGTCCCAGTGACACCTTCACTCCTCACAGCATGGTGTGTGCAGGGCCATGGGGACAGCTGGTTCCATAACCACAAAAGCAGATGAAGAGCTGCATGTCCCCCCACAGCTGGGTCCTGGATCTGGGCTCCCCCTGGGCTGCAGCCATCAGAGAGGACGGAAGTTCCCTGAGTGGTAACCCCGTTCAGGGAAGGATGCAGCGATGCTGGGAGGATGGAGGAGGTGGGGACAGGACTGGGGAGGGCCTGTACCACACAGATGCCTGCAGGTGCCTATGGAACCACCAGCAGGAGACCCAAGACACGGTGACATCCTCACCGTTTCTCATCAGGGCATCACCCGGGGACAGCAGGTCACATCTGGGGACATCCGTGGTTGTCCCCACTGAGGGGCGCTCTTGGCACGGAGTGGGTGGAGGCCAGGGGTGCTGCTCAGCGCCCTGCAGTGCCCAGGACAGCTCCCTACAGAGACCGATCTGGCCCCCACATCAGCAGTGCTGAGACTGAGAAATCCTGCGTGAATTATTTGGAAAATATTGAGTTACGTCACTGCTCACACCAGACACCAGAAGAAGCTCCTGACAGGGCAGACGGTAGAAACCAGGGGGACCCCAGCTCCTGGGATTCACCTCCTCTCTCCCTCCTCACTCCGTGTGGATTTCAGTGTGTGCAGCCTCCTGGGACCACAGCAGGGCAGAGGATCATGGGACATAGTCTCGTGGAGGGTCCATGGGATCCCCTAACCCAGAGGGTCTCACCCACACGTGATTCTTGCCCAGGGTACTTTTGGTGATGTCTGGGGACATCTGTGGTTGTTACAACCGGGGGTGCTCCTGGCATGAAGTGGGTGGTGGCCAGGGACTCTGCTCAGCACCCTGCAGTGCCCAGGAGGGCCCCACCCCAGAGAATGATCCAGCCCCAGTGTCCACAGTGCCTGTCTGAGAGACCCTGGAGGTAAGGAACTCCAAGGGCCAGGTCGAAGGGAAGCTAAACTCATCACCCTGTTTGGATGGTCTCAGTAGATATGTTTTACCTTAAAAGAAATGTAAAAATCCTTTCTAAAAATTCGGCTCCCCAGGGCACGCCTCCCTGAGATTCCATTTCCAGGGATAGGGTAGGGCCCAGGACACTGCATTTCTCAGGCAAGATGTGATCCTTAGCCCTCACTTGAAAAAGCTTCTCTGGGGCCAGGCACTGTGGCTCACGCCTGTAATCCCAGCACTTTGAGAGACCAAGGCAAGAGGATCCCTTGAGCCCAGGAGTTTGAGACCAGCCTGGGCAACATAGCAAGACCCCATCTCTAAAAAAAAAATTGCCTGGACATGATGGTGCATGCCTGTGGTCCCACCTACCTGGGAGGCTGAGGTGGGAGGATCACTTAAGCCCAGGAGGTTGAGGCTGCAGTGAGCCATGATCGTGCCTCTGCACTCTAGCCTGGGTGACAAATAACTCGGCTGGGTGCAGTGGCTCACGCCTATAATCCCAGCACTTTGGGAGGCCGAGGTGGGTGGATCACCTGAGGCCAGGAGTTTGAGACCAGCCTGGCCAACATGGTGAAACCCCATCTCTACTAAAAATACAAAAATGACCCGGGCGTGGTGGTGGGCGCCTGTAATCCCAGCTACTCGGGAGGCTGAGGCAGTAGAATCGCTTGAACCTGGGAGGCGGAGGTTGCAGCGAGCCGAGATCACGCCATTGCACTCCAGCCAGGGCGACAGAGGGAGACTCTATCTCAAAAAAAAAAAAAAAAAAAAGACACAGCCCCAGAAGGCCAGGCATTTCGGCTCCAGAGCTGGGACTCCACCCCAGCCTCCTGGAAATACCCAAAATGGCCCTCTTTGGGGCTCTGTGTTCCCACTTCATTTTGAAGACAGGGTGAAAGTGTCAAGGGGCACCGTGTCATCTCCCCACTCACCCCAAATAGCAGCAGCAGCGGCTCCTGCAGTAGCTAACATTCTTCCAGCTGGGTGGCTGACGTTCCCTCGGAAAGCAGGGCTGAAGGCATCCTCAGAGAATGCCCCGATGCCCAGGGATCTGGGACGGCCATGGGCTTCACCTGCACAGGCACCCCTGGCCCAATCCTCACAGCTGCCACTCCCACACTGCTCCCGATGGAAATTCCAGAGCTTTACAGAATCCCCTGTTTTATGAAAAGGGGTAGACGTGGCAGCTCACCCCAGGTCGCACAGCCTCATGGCCAGCCGGGGTTTGAACCCTGGACCACCTGCTTCCCCCACACCCAGGGGCTTTCCAGGGGGTGCCTGGAGGGGGAGGGAAGCCGATGTTTGGTGGGTGAGCCTCCCTGAGTCCATCCGTTTTTTGTTTGTTTGTTTACTTGCTTGTTTGTTTTTGAGACAGTTTCACAGTTTCATTCTTGTTGCCTGGGCTGGAGTGCAATGGCGTGATCTCGGCCCACTGCAACCTCTGCCGCCTGGGTTCAAGCGATTCTCCTGCCTCAGCCTCCCAAGTAGCTGGGATTACAGGCGTGAGCCCCTGCACCCGACTATCCATCTGTTTTTTGTGTTTGTGATGGAGTCTTGCTCTGTAGCCCTGGCTGGAGTGTAGTGGCGTGATCTCAGCTCACTGCAACCTCTGCCTCCTGGGTTCAAGCGATTCTCCTGCCTCAGCCTCCCAAGTAGCTGGGATTACAGGCACCCGCCACCACACCCACCTAATTTTTGTATTTTTAGTGGAGACAGGGTTTCACCATGTTGGCCAGGCTGGTCTTGAACTCCTGGCCTCAAGTGATCTGCCCACCTCAGCCTCCCAAAGCACTGGGATTACAGGCATGAGCCACTGTGCCTGGCCTCTGTTTCTTCATTCATTGATTCACTGAGGAAGGTGTGAGGGGCTGAGCTGCTGAGTTGGGGGCTGTGGGGGCTTTTGTCCCAGGCAGCCTGGGAGGTAGTGAGGCCCCTGTCTGCAGAGTGATGCCAGCAAGTCACTGCAGAGGGGGGATGCACCTCATTTCAGCCCCAGGGAGGCTCCGTTCCTTCCTCCCGCGTGGACGAGGGAAGGCAGAGCTGAGCTGGGGCTTGTCTGTGCGCCCTTAGCCAGTCAGGGTCTAACTGGACTTCGGATCTGACTGTCTCTGCCCTCCCTGCCACCTTCTCTAGGGCTCGGGTGACTCCCAGGTGATGGGGCAGCCCTGAGCCTTCCCATTTCTCTGGAAGGAGAGTAGGCAAGGGCCAGGAGCGAGGCCCAGGGGCACGTGTTGATACCCAGCTCTCCATCCCCCGGCTGTGCCGCCCTGGCTAGCCCCTTCTCTGCTCTGAGCCTTCGTTTACTCCTCTGTGTAATGGGCTCACAGCCTCTCCCCCTCAGGATTCTGGGGTAAGAGGAGGCGGGGTGATGAGGCTTCCTATCCCTTCGGAGGCTGGCTTTGGGGAAGGTCCAGGGCTCATGGGGTGTGACCAGCCTGTGACTCTCTCGTCCCATCCCCTCCACAGGCATCTCGTCCCCGGTGAAGAAGACAGAGATGGACAAGTCACCATTCAACAGCCCGTCCCCCCAGGACTCTCCCCGCCTCTCCAGCTTCACCCAGCACCACCGGCCCGTCATCGCCGTGCACAGCGGTAAGCGCCACGGGCCCCTGGCGGGGAGGGGCGGCGGGCCCTCCTATCAGGCCTCTCACAGCCGGGGAAGTCCCACTGGATGTCTGACCATGAGTCCTATTGCTGTAGCCTTCTAGGTGGGCAAAAAACCATAGAGGTGCCGTAGTGGAGAGCGCCCAGGGCCTTGTTCCAGCCCGGCTGAGAGGTTGGACTCAGTCCCTTTGGGCCTCAGTTTCCCCCCTGTATAACAAAAGGCTGCAACCTAACTTCACCTCACTCCCCTCACCCCCGTCTCAATCTAATCCCCCCATTCCAACCCCAGACACTGATGGACAGGCAGGATCAGAAGCTGCCAATGAGGCCAGGCACAGTGGCTCACACCTGTAATCCCGGCACTTTGGGAGGCTGAGGCGGGTGGATCATCTGAGGTCAGGAGTTTGAGACCAGCCTGGCCAACATGGTGAAACCCCATCTCTACTAAAAATACAAAAATTAGCCAGGCGTGGTGGCACGCACCTGTAGTCCCAGCTACTGGGGAGGCTGAGGCAGGAGAATTGCTTGAACCCGGGAGGTAGAAGTTGCAGTGAGCAGAGATCACACCACTGCACTCCAGCCTGGGCAACAGAGTAAGATTCCATCTCAAAAAAAAAAAAAAAAGCTAGGCTTGGTGGCTCATGCCTGTAATTCTAGCACTTTGAGAGGCCGAGGCAGGCAGATCACAAGGTCAGGAGTTCAAGACCAGCCTGGCCAACATGGTGAAACCCCTTGTCTACTAAAAATACAAAAATTAGCCGAGTGTGGTGGTATGCGCCTGTAGTCCCAGCTACTTGGGAGGCTGAGGCAGGAGAATCGCTTGAACCCAGGAGGCAGAGGTTGCGGTGAGGCGAGTTCACGCCATTGCACTCCAACCTGGGCGACAGAGCAAGACCCTGTCTCCAAAAAAAGGCTAAGTGCAAGTGGCTCACGCCTGTAATCCCAGCACTTTGGGATTTCAAGGCGGGCGGATTACGAGGTCAGGAGATTGAGACCATCCTGGCTAACATGGTGAAACCCCGTCTCTACTAAAAATACAAAAAATTATCCGGGCGTGGTGGCAGGCGCCTGTAGTCCCAGCTACTTGGGAGGCTGAGGCAGGAGAATGGCGTGAACCCGGGAGGCGGAGCTTGCAGTGAGCCAAGATCGTGCCAGTGCACTCCAGCCTGGGTGACAGAGCGAGACTCCATCTCAAAAAAAAAAAAAGAGACATCTCCATCTCGGCCAGGCACAGTGGTTCACACCTGTAATCCCAGCACTTTGGGAGGCCGAGGCAGGCGGATCACCTGAGGTCAGGAGTTCAAGACCAGCCTGGACAACATGGTGAAATCTCGTTTCTACTAAAATACAAAAATTAGCTCGGTGTGGTGATGCATGCCTGTGATCCCAGCTACTCAGGAGGCTGAGGCACAAGAATTTCTTGAACCCGGGAGGCGGAGGCTGCAGTGAGCCAAGATTGTGCCATTGCACTCCAGCCTGGGCAACAGAGCAAGACTCCATCTCAAAAAAAAACAAAACAGAACAAACAAAAAATCACCTTCCATGGTTGCCATTGGGATTAAGGGGGGTGAATTGTAGGAAGCCTCAAATATTGCTTACCACCCCATGTTCTAGTGATCAACTATTTAGTTCTTTACACAGTCATGCACACAGAGAGGCAGTCCCAAATCAAAGCAGCCATTTGGGCCAGGGGTCAGCAAACGCTGGCCCCCTGGTTGCCTGTTCTTACGAATAAAGTTTTATTGGCAAACAGCCACGACCACGTCTTTGTATATGTCCTGTGGCAGCTCTCACCCTGTCTTGGCAGGGCTGAGTAATTACAGCAGAGACCACGTGGCCAAAAGCCAAAAATATTTACTATCTGGCCAGAGGCTGTGGAGATGAGGGAGTGACTGCTATAAATAGTGAAAATACTAAAAATCACTGAACTGTTTAGAAAGAGGAAAAGGCAGGCACCACAATAGAATATGACTCAGCCATGAAAACGCACGAGGCTCTGACGCAGGCCACCTTGAGGACGTCATGCTCAGTAAGAGAAGCCAGACAAAAAGGCCACACAGCATGTGATCTCATTTCTATGAAATGTCCAGGACAGGGCCAGCCACAGAGGCAGGAAGGGGATGTATGGGTGCTGGGGCTGGGGGAGGAGGTGAGGAGTGACGGCTGATGGAGACGGAATTTCTTTATGTGCTGGAATTAGGCCGGGCACAGTGGCTCATGCCTGCAATCCCAGCACTTTGGGAGGCTGAGGTGGGTGGATTGCTTGAGTCCAGGAGTTTGAGACCAGCTTGGGCAACATGATGAAACCCCATCTCTACTAAAAATACAAAAAATTAACCAGGCGTGGTGGCACACGCCGGCAGTCCGTGCTACTCAGGCCGAGGCAGGAGGATCACCTGAGGTCAGGAGGTCAAGGCTGTAGTGAGCCATGATCATGCCCCTGCACTCCAGCCTGGGTGACAAAGCGAGATTCTATCTCTTAAAAAAAAAAAAAAAAGATCACTATTCAGCCATTTGCAGAAAGAGCTTGCCAACCCTAGATTTATAGTGTAGACTGTGGGGCCAGATGGGCTGGGTTCAAATTCCCGGTCTGCCATCTGATGCCGTGTGGCCCCAGGCAGGTGACACATCCCCTGAAGGCCACCCTGTCATCCTCTGTTTAAAAAAAAAAAAAAAAAGACGGGGCCAGGTGCAGTGGCTCACGCCTGCAATCCCAGCTCTTTGGGAGGCCAAAGTGGGCGGATCACCTGAGGTCAGGAGTTCAAGACCAGCCTGGCCAACATGGCGAAACCCCATCTCTACTAAAAATACAAAAGTTAGCCAGGCATGGCGGCGTGCACTTGTAATCCCAGCTACTCGGGAGGCTGAGGCAGAATTGCTTGAACCCAGGAGGTGGAGGTTGCAGTGAGCTGAGGTCATACCACTGCACTCCAGCCTGGGTGACTGTCTCAAAAAAAAAAAAAAAAAAAAAAGACCAGGCTCAGTGGGTTACACCTGTAATCCCCGCACTTTGGGAGGCCTAGGAGGGAGGATCGCTTGAGCCCAGGAGTTCGAGACCTGCCTGGGCAACATAGCAAGACCCCCACCTCTACAAAACTAAAAAATTAAATTAAAACACAAGGATAATATCACAGCCCCAGTGGGGTTGCCGTGGGAGTCGGGGAATTTGGGTGTCAATGTGGTCAGTGCTGCTGGGTTTTTTTGGTGGTTATTGTTACTAAACGCACTGAGATGCCGGCAGGAATGACACCCACAGACACACAGTCACACGGTCACAGAGCAGACCGGCTGGAGCCCCCAAGTAACCCCCGCTTCCCACTGTCTCCGCAGGGATCGCCCGGAGCCCACACCCGTCCTCCGCTCTGCATTTCCCTACGACGTCCATCCTACCCCAGACGGCCTCCACCTACTTCCCCCACACGGCCATCCGCTACCCACCTCATCTCAACCCCCAGGACCCGCTCAAAGATCTTGTCTCGCTGGCCTGCGACCCAGCCAGCCAGCAACCTGGACCGGTGAGTTGGGCGGGGCGCATTCGGGCCTCTCCTGGCGGCTCCAGGTGACCTCCCGGGGGCCACGTGCTCACACGAAGGCACAACCTCTGCTTAAAAGGGTCTTGAGGACTTGGCTCTGAAGTCCCCTCCTCTGTCGTGCTGGGAGGCAGCTGGATTGGGTCAGAATTGAGATGCTTTCGGATGTCAGGGTTTCGGGCGCATCATGTCGCACCCTGTGGGGTCTGGGTAGCACCCGTAGGTCCCAGCAACTGCGTGAGTCGTACTCATGTTAACACAAGGCAGGGAGGGACTGGGCATAGCGGCTCATGCCTGTGATCCCAGCGCTTTCGGAGGCCAAGGCGGGAGGATTGCATAAGCCCAGAGTTCAAGACCAACCTGGGCAGCATAGCGTGACCCAGTTTCTACAAAAAAAATACTTAAAAATGAGCCACGCATGGTGGCGGGCGCCTGTAGTCCCAGCTACTCAGGAGGCTGAGGTGGGAGGATCGCTTGAACCTGGGAGGTCGAGGCTGCTGTGAGCTGTGATTGTGCCACTGCACCCCAGCCTGGGTGACAGAACGAGACCCTGTCTCAAAAAGAAAAAAAAGGTTGGGGGGCGGGGGGCAGGAAGACATTGATTACAAAAAAACCACCAAACTCAGTTCGAGCAAGACAGCGTTTGCCAGACTCCACAGGAAGCTTTGGATGTTCAGAGCTTTTCGGACTTTGGAACCACGGGCCAGGCCGTGGATGATGGTGGATGATGGCGTGCTCGCAGTGAATTAGGAAAAACGCGGAGAACCTGCTGTTAGGAGGCGGTGGCACTGTTTGGAAGGAAATCAGTCGAGTTGGCGTGCAGGGGGTTTACAGAGGAGATGCAGTGAGCGTGGCCCCAGTAGTGCCGGGCTTTGAGTGACACCAGCAAGCGGGTGTCCCCAGGCCCCTCCACCTCCGGCCGTCCTCAGACCCACCAAACCCGCCATGGTCACACCCGCGCCCTGGCCCCCCAGCCTGCCACCCCGTCCGGGCCGTGCACAGAGCCGGGGGCGGCCGGCGCCAGCAGCCCGAGGTAGAGGGGGAGCCCACCCCTTAACCACGTGTCTCTCTGTTCCCCCAGTTAAATGGAAGTGGTCAGCTCAAAATGCCCAGCCACTGCCTTTCTGCTCAGATGCTGGCACCTCCGCCCCCGGGGCTGCCACGGCTGGCGCTCCCCCCTGCCACCAAACCCGCCACCACCTCCGAGGGAGGAGCCACGTCGCCGACCTCGCCTTGTAAGCACGCGGGAAGCGGTGCCCTGGTGGGGCGGATGTCCGCAGGGGGGCCTGTCCCCTCCCCAGCCCCACTGCCAGGTCAGAGGTCAGGCCCGACCCTGCAGGGCCTGGCGAGTTTGGTGGGTCTCCGGAAAACAGCCCAGTGGCCACGTGGTTGGGCCCATGTAGGGCTGAGGCAGCCTTAGGGGCTGGCCGGACCAAGCCTCGGGCCAGGGTGAGAGTCCAGGGTCTGTCCCCTTCGCCGAGTCACCTGGGGGACCCCGGTGCCCGCCGTGGGCCGTCAGAAACCCTCCCTGGTATGTCAGGCAGCTGACAGTGGACACGGATCTCACAGTGGCGGCCCGAGGGCCAGACTCGACCCCCAGACTGGTCTTTTGTTTGTGGAGAAAGAGAATCGGTTGTTATCATTTTAAAATCAGGACGTTTTACATAAACATTTCCAGAGTTCTGGCTTCTTGGGGAGAAAGGAGCTACACCAGGCCCAGTTCCTTTGGGTGACCTGGGCTGGACCACACCTTTAGATGGGACTCTCTTCGCCTGTCCACCTGACCTGGAAGCCCCTGGGTTGGCGGCTGCTGCACCTTCTAGATTTTTCTGCTCTCTGGATGTGGTTCTGGGTGGCTGCTGGATGGCCCCTCGGTCCTGGCATCCCTGTCCTGAGGTCCACCCCATTCGTCCGCAGTGGCTCTACCCCCAGACTCTCCCCACGACCCCCATGCAGGCTTGGGTGGGTCACCCACCCTCACAGGGCGCCAGACATCTCTGAACCCAGAGACCTCTCCCCATGGACTCCATCTGCCCCTCACCCCCCTTTTTGAGCATCTCTGTCCCTCACTCTCCAAATGAGACCCCCCACCCCACCCAAGCAGTTGGTGGCCACGGTTCCTTCTAGGTGCCCTCAGCTCCTCTTCTCCCTGCCCCGGCGTTCCTGTCCCCGTCCCCACTGCGTGCCAGAACCCAGGCTGCCTGCCCATAAAAACCGGCTTCTGATCACTGGCTGGAGGAGATCAGCCCCAAATCCACCCTGGGCTGGAATCCCACCTCTGCAGCTCTCTCACTGTGTGACCTCAGGCAGGTGTCTTCCCCTCTCTGAGCCTCAGTTTTCTCAGCTGCAAAGTGGGTTTGCCTTGGTGCCCAATTCACAGGGCAGTGGGGGACAAGCCGGTGACATGGGTCAGGGAGGCAGAGAGGACATTCCATGTGGCGCCTGATGCTGCGTGGTGTCAGGCAGCTGTGGTCATTCTTGCCGGCTGTCCCTGCCTGCTCATCTGTGAAATGGGAGCGTTGACTGCATAGGATCCAGTCAGGGCTCAGTGGGATCATGCCCAGAGCCTGGTATTCAGTAGACACTTAATAAATGCAGGATACTGCGTGGGATCCACTCAGGGCTCGATGGGATTATGCCCAGAGCCTGGCATACAGTAGACACTTAATAGATGCAGGATACTGTGTAGGATCCACTCAGGGCTCGGTGGGATTATGCCCAGTGCCTGGCATACAGTAGACACTTAATAGATGCAGGATACTGCGTAGGATCCACTCAGGGCTCGGTGGGATTATGCCCAGAGCCTGGCATACAGTAGACACTTAATAGGTGCAGGATACTGTGTAGGATCCACTCAGGGCTCAGTGGGATTATGCCCAGAGCCTGGTATACAATAGACACTTAATAGATGCAGGATACTGCTTAGGATCCACTCAGGGCTCGATGAGATTATGCCCAGAGCCTGGTTTACAGTAGACACTTAATAGATGCAGGATGCTGCTTAGGATCCACTCAGGGCTCGGTGGGATTATGCCCAGAGCCTGGTATACAGTAGACACTTAATAGATGCAGGATGCTGCTTAGTATCCACTCAGGGCTCAACGGGATTATGCCCAGTGCCTGGCATACAGTACACACTTAATAAATGCAGGATAGGCATGGATTCCACCCCCCTTTCCCTGCACCGGGGCTCTTAACTGCAAATCTACTCCTACTTCTCCCCATAAGCCTCGCTGCCTCCAGCTCCCCCCAACCCCAGCCAGGACAACTTGGGGACCCTGCCTGTTGCAGCTTCTTCTCCCCCTACCTGGGTCCCGGCCTGTCTGAGGCCCCCATCCCTGCTGTAGCCCCAGGCCGTGAGTTACTCACACGCCGACAAAATATAATCGCTGAGGCTGAAATATAAATACGCACATCTGTATGTATGCACACACCCAGCCCTCCCTCTGCCCTCTCCGGGAGGAAGATTAATAAATAAAACGCCCTCAATAATTCATGCACCCCGCGCGGAGGCAGCCCTCAGTGGCAGGACCGGGCGGGCGCTGCCCACCCTGAATAATTCACGGGCGGTTTTGTGAATTACAGAGCCATCCTGCCTTCCCTCTCAGCAGACACCCCGCCCACCTGGGCGATCTCAGCCGTGACCCCCGGGCCCCTCGAGTCAGGATCCCCGCCTCCCAAGGACCTTGGGCCTTTCAGGGGGGCCCGGTTCAACTGGGGGTAGGGCGGCAGGCTCGGAGGCCCCAGGCACTGGGTGCAGAGGCCCGGCTGTGTGACGCCTGGCGGTGGCCACCCTCTCTGGGGCCAGGGCCGCCCCGGCTCCCACAACCCCTCGCTAACGGGCTCTCGGTCTCTCTCCTCCCTGCAGCCTACTCTCCGCCCGACACGTCCCCTGCAAACCGTTCCTTTGTGGGATTAGGACCAAGGGATCCTGCGGGCATTTATCAGGCACAGGTAGGGGCCGAGAGGCCGGCTGGTGGGGTGGGAGGGGCAGGGCAGAGGGGCCGGCCCGGGGGGCTCAGGGCGAAGAGGGCCTGCTGGGTCCCACGCCACACCCCTGGCACAGGGGCGCCAGCCTCCCACACCCCACCTGGGCCTCGAGCCCCCACCTGGCCTCTCCCTGAGGCCAAATTTCCCTCCACCTTGGTCCTGGGGGGATGGGGTGTGGCCCCAGACTCAGCCTGTGGGGTCCCCAGGAGCGTCTCTGGAGACCATCGTGGTACAGCTATGGGACCAGTGTCATTACCACCTGCTTCCCATGGTATAGATGGGAAAACTGAGGCCCAGAGAGACAAGGGGGTCTGCCCAGGGTCACACAGTGCATCACCCTCCCTCCTCCAGCCTCCATCCCCCATCCACGCCGAGGCCTAGAGGGACCGCGGGGTGGCCGGGGGAAACTGAGGCAGCCCATGGCGGGGCGTGGGGCCTCCCAGGACAGCATCCAAGCCCCCACCCCAGGCTTCAGCCCACATCTAAGCCAGTGTGAGGAGTCAGGGCGGAGAGGCTTCGTCAGCAGGACAGACAGGATGGGGCAGGGGCCAGCGTTCATGTTCACGTTGATGTTCATAGTCACGTACATGTTCAGACGGCTGCAGCTGAGTGAGCATGGCCGGGGTCCCACCACCCCTAGAAGGCAGGCAGGCAGGCAGGAGGTTGACAGAGGAGGCTCAGAGAGGGGAAGTCAATTGCCTGAGGCTGCACAGTAGTCTAGGGAGTGGGGGCGTGGGAGGGCAGCCTTAGCCCCAGGCCCAGGTGTCCCTCACCCCCCACCCCCATAAGGGGCTCTGTGTAGGCCAGGAGTGTGTGAGCGCGTCTTCGGGTTATGGGTAAGCAGCTGGACCTTTGAGCCTCTGCTCTCTCCCCGGTTTGTGTTGGGGAGAGGGTTGGAGGATGTAGGAGTGGCTGCCACAGGCCCGGGAGGTCCAGACTCAGAGAGAAACGAGCTCTGGGCTACCCAGCGGCCACGGAACTGCAGAGCGTGGAGATGTATGGGGTCCCCAGGGGCCGTGTTCAAATCTTCCAGCCACTGAGGGAGGTTTCCTGCTGCAGAGCCCACGGGCAAGGGTCACGGGGCCTCCCCGGGACCCTGCGGGGCTGTCCTGGCTGAGCGGATGGGGGCGGGGAGGGGACATGGCATTCCCCCTCCCTCCCTGTGCTGGGTGCCCAGGATGCCTGTAAGCGGCCCCTCCCTCTCTTCCCAGGCTCCGCAAAACCAGCCGGAGGAGGAAGCAGGGATGGAGGCTGCTTCTCCTGAGTTCAGAGGAGATCCATGTGCTATGGGTGGAGGGAATCCTGGGTCAGGGGCCAGGGCTCCAGCCCAGTGCTGGCTCACCCACTCTGAACCTCTGTCTCTTCCTCTGGCCTTGGGCACCCGCACCAAGAGCCTTTGAAGGGCACTGGGGGACAGAAAGGGCACTGAAAGGTTCAGGCTTCCCCACACCCCGTAAATATTAAGTACCCTGCCTTGCACCCATAGAGCCCCGGAGAGGGAGTAACTTGGTCAGGGTCCCCCAGCGAGCAGACGTCCAGGACTCCTCGCTTTGGGATTTGGGCCCCCTATGGCCAACCTCTCCCCCGCCTGGTGCTGATGGAGCCCGGCATTACCTCTGCCACCCCCACCCCACATCGCTCCCTGCCCCTGCGGGAGGCTGGGAACGTCTTAAGTGGTTCAGAAACCAAAGCTAATAAAAGCTGCGGTGGGAGGAGGCCCAGCCCGCTTAACCCTTCCCCAGCCTCTGCCTTGGACCAAACTCTCTGACCAGGCCCTCCCGCCAGGGCCCGGGACCCTTCTCTCAGACTGTGCTGGCTCCAGCCCCACCCCACCCAAGCCTGGGAGGGAAGGGAAACTGAGGCAGGCAAGGGTGGCACCTTTCTCAGCATCCCTATCTTGACTGGCTGGACTCCTCTGGGGACCCAGAAAGGGTGGGACCAGGGCTGGCAGAATGGGGTGTGGGGGGGCACTGGCAAGGGGCTCAGCATAGGCAATGGTGTGGGTCGGGGGAGGGGGAGCTGGCTGGAATGTGAGAGATCTCCGGTGGCAGGGGCCAGACAGATGATGCGGGCTTTGCTCTGGGGTAGTGGGGAGCCATAGAAGGGTTTAGAGGGAGGGAGTGGACACCCACCAGGCCTGGGAGTCAGAACTTTCTGGAGCACAGAAAGGAGGTGACACATTGTCAAGAGGCTCTCAGGGGAGCATGGGTTAGGGGGAAGGCGAGGTCCCCAAACTGGGCATCCAGGGAGCACAGGTCTGGGGAGGACCCCATTGCTGCTGCCCTGACTGGACTAAGAGCACCTGGGTTGAGGCCGGGCGCCGCCACCTCCCTGCAGACCCCGGAGAGAGGGAGGGAAGAAGCAGTGAGATCCCGCTCTCCCCTCTCCCAGCTCCCGCTCAAAGGGCCCTGAGCTTGGAGGCCTCTCATTTCCGATTCTGGCCAGTCAGCACTTCTGCCTCCGCCTCCTCTATTCCTGGCGGATTCGCTTCCCTCTGCCCCCTCCTCCCCCAAAGCCTGGGTGGGCGCGCCTTTCCCTCTGCCTCTCCGGCTCCCGACACCCCCCAGTCCATGGACTCTCCCCCCATCAATATCCCTCCCCGTGATCTATGCTAATTGATCTCGCCCTGGTCAGTTACCCACCCATCGCCCCATGTCCGTCCCTATCAATCCCCCCACTGTGAGGCTGGGTGGCTCTGACGCCCTGGCCCCTCCCCTCTGTGATGTCCTTCACGCCCCTACATTTCTCCTGCACGGGAACCCACGTAAGCAGCTGGGTAAACCGAGGGTGGGGGGCAAGGCGGGCATTGAGCCACATGCCGGGAGCCACACAGGCGGCTGCAGCCAGGCCAGCAGGATACCAGAGCCCAAACCTCCCCCTTCACACCTACTGCCTCAGTCTCCCCTCAGCTGAGTGGGAGGATGTGGAGTTGAGGGTGCCCCCACCCCACCCCCGCCCCATTGCTGGGGCCACAGCCAGGCAGGAAGGGGAGGGGAGGGAAGGGAGGAGGGAGGAAGGGCTGAGGGGAGGCTGGTCCACCACGGGGAGGGTCACGCCCAGAGTCTGTCGGTTGCCAACAGAAACCAGACATGAGGTAATGGCCAAGATGAACTTGAACTTGGCTGGAGGTGGGGCGCTGGGAACCACTGTGGCGCCAGTTCCATGGGCTGGCCCAGTGGCTGCCTGGTTGGAGGGGCTCTGTTGAATGATTTGCTGCAGCGGTGGGGGGCGGCCCCACCTCTAACCTCAGTTGGGGAGTGGAGGGGTCTCCCCAGTTCCAGAGGCACAGCCCTCCCCTCACAGTCCACCCTGGATGCTCCATCTGGGGTTGGAGTTTGCGTTTCCAGGGCAGGGGTCTGGACAGCAGCTTCTCTGCAGAGACTGAGGCCGGAGCTGTCCCCAAATGACGTGACCTTGGGTACAGCCCCATGCAGAACTCCCCTCCCTTAGCCTCGGTCTCCCGCCTCTGGGAGGTTGAGAGTCATCCTCAGCCCCCCTGTGCTTAGTGAGCTTCTGTGGAGCAAGAGGGGGCCATCCGGGGGACCTGTGACAGGATGGGCCCTGGACGCCCAGGACAGTGCTCAGAAGATGCCAAGGGGATTCCTGAGAGGCAGGCGAGGGGGTTGGCCCTGGGCAGGAGCAGAAATGAGAGCCAGAGCCAGACAGGCCTGAGTTCAAGTTCCACCTCTGCCGCTTCCATGCTGGTGACCTCGGGCAAGTTCCTTGACTTCTCTGGGCCTCACTTTCTTCACACAAAACAGCGGTGGAGGGAGACCTACCCCCTCCTTCACGGGGATACCGGGGACATCATTAAAGAGGAGAATTTTTTTTTGTTTTTTTTTGGTTTTTTTGGTTTTTGTTTTGAGACGGAGTCTTATGCTGCCCAGGCTGGAGTGCAATGGCACGATCTTGGCTGACTACAACCTCCGCCCCCTGGATTCAGACGATTCTGCTGCCTCAGCCTCCCGAGTAGCTGGGATTACAGGCACGTGCCACCACGCCTGGCTAATTTTTGTATTTTTAGTAGAGACAGGGTTTCACCATGTTGGCCAGGCTGGTCTCGAACCCCTGACCTCAGGTGATCCACCCACCTTGGTCTCCCAAAGTACTGGGATTACAGGCATGAGCCACCGAGCCCAGCCTCTTGTTTACTTTTTAAAAACATTCTCAAGGCCATGTGCAGTGGCTCATGCCTATAATCCCAGCACTTTGGGAGGCCAAAGCAAACGAATAAGCTGAGGTCAGGAGTTTGAGACCAGCCTGGCCAACATGGAGAAACCCCGTTTCTACCAAAAATACAAAAATTAGCTGGGTGTGATGGCGCATGCGTGTAATCCTAGCTACTCGGGAGGCTGAGGCAAGAAAATCACTTGAACCCGGGAGGCAGAGGTTGCAGTGAGCCAAGATCGTGCCACTGCACTCCAGCCTGGTGACAAGAGCGTGACGCTGTCTCAAAAAATCAACAAAAAACCTCTTTATAAAGTGAACAAGGCAGCTGATGTGGTGGCTCATGTCTGTAATCCTAGCACTTTGGGAGGAAGGAGTTCAAGGCCAGCCTGGTCTACATGGCGAAACCCCACCTCTACAAAAAAAAAAAAAAAACTAGTCAGATGTGGTGGAACATACCTGTGGTCCCAGCTACTCGGGAGGCTGAGGTGGGAGGATCACTTGAGCCCAGGAGATGGAGGCTGCAGTGAGCTATGATGGCACCACTGCACTCCAGCCTGGGCAACGGAGCAAGACCCTGTCTCAAAATAAAATAATAAATTGGCTGGCCACAGTGGCTCACGCCTGTAATCCCAGCACTTTGGGAGGCCAAGGTGGGCGGATCACTTGAGGCCAGGAATTCAAGACCAGCCCGGCCAACATGGCGAAACCCGGTCTCTACTAAGAATACAAAAATTAGCTGGGTGTGGTGGGGCGGGCCTGTAATCCCAGCTACTTGGGAGGCTAAGGCACAAGGATCACTTGAACCCAGGAAGCGGAGGTTGTAGAGAGCCAAGATCACACCACTGCATTCCAGCCTGGGCAACAGAGCAAGACTCTGTCTCATAAATAAATAATAAATAGAGAAGAAAATAATTTTTAAAATATAAAATAAAGGCCAGGCAGAGTGGCTCACGCCTGTAATCCCAGCACTTTGGGAGGCCGAGGCGGGCGGATCACGAGGTCAAGAGAGTGAGACCATCCTGGCCAACATGGTGAAACCCTGTCTCTACTAAAAATATAAAAATTAGCTGAGTGTGGTGGCATGCGCCTGTAATCCCAGCTACTCGGGAGGCTGAGGCAGGAGAATCACTTGAACCTGGGAGGCAGAGGTTGCAATGAGCCGAGATCATGCCACTGCACTCCAGCCTGGCAACAGAGCGAGACTCTGTCTCAATAAATAAATAAATAATATAATATAATAAAGTAAGATTGAGTTCCAGACTGGGAGTGCTGGCTCACACCTGTAATTCCAGCACTTTGGGAGGCCGAGGAAGGTGGATCACTTGAGGTCAGGCGTTTGAGACCAGCCTGGCCAACATGGTGAAACCCCATCTCTACTAAAAATACAAAAATTATCCAGGTGTGGCGGTGGACGCCTGTAATCCCAGCTACTCGGGAGGCTGAGGTAGGAGAATTGCTTGAACCCAGGAGGCAGAGGTTGTAGTGAGCCAATATCACGCCATTGCACTCCAGCCTGGGCAACAAGAGCGAAACTCCATCTCAAAAAATAAAATAATAAATAAAATATAAAATACAGTTCCAGATAAATGGATCTTTTGTGTGTGGTGTGTAAGTATATCCCCAATGTTGCGTGGGCTAGACTTATACTAAAAGAATTCTGTGTTAACCAGAACTCCAGTTTCACTGGGCATCCTGTACTGTGTCTGGAAGCCTCCCTCAGAGACAAAGTCACTTGCCATGGGTCACCCAGCAGGTTGTTAGAGCCTGGGATGGGGAAACTGAGGTCACAGGGTTGCAGGAGGTGGGGGGTGAGCGTGGGAAGAGGTAAACCATGTCTGCAGCAGAGTCTGACCCCTCGACTTCTCTCCCTTTTTCTCTCTCCCTCTTTCTGTCGCCACTGGGCCACTCAGTCCTGGTATCTGGGATAGCAAAGGTCTTCTTCCCTCGCCCCTTCTCCATCGTCCCAGGAATCCCAGGGGGCAGCACAGCCGGCCCCCGGCCCACGTTTTCGGTGGAAAATTAGAGTGAACAAGAACACCCCTGCCGACTCCCAGCCCGGCCAAAAAGACAAAACACATAGACGCACACACTCAGGAGGAAAAGAAAAAACAAAGGCAGAAGAAGAAGAAGAAGAAATAAAAACCCACCCAAGCAAGAAGACAAAAGGTAAAGACGCAACGTTTCCAACTCTCGGGACGCCAAGGCCGCAGGACTGGAGGGCCAGGCCCCGCCACCCCCACGGGAGACCCGGGACAGGGCGTCTTCCTAAGTTATTCATCTCCTCTCCGCCTGCTGCTCGGGAAGGACAGACGCCGGCCGCCCGCCCGCGCCCCGGAGGCCCTGGCTCTGTCCGGAGACCAGGTGAGCACAGCCTGGAGCCTGTGCCCAGGGCCGACAGGCGCGACACCCAGCAAGGCCACCTCTCCCCGGGCCCCCGCGCCTCTGCCGGACACGGACCGGCCCCTCAGCCCCCACCGAGGACGCAGCCACTGGGGGGAAAGGGAGACACAGCGGACCCCGGCCGGGCAGCGGAGACCGCAGAGGCGGGCAGGGTGGGGCAGGCGAGTGGTGTCGCGGGGGTGCGTGGCGCTTGCGAGCCCTGGCCAGGGGAGGAAGTGAGGCCCAGGCACCTGCTGCCCCTCGAGGGGGCCCTGCCTGCCGCGGGGCCTCCCCACAAGCCCCTCCCAAAGCGCCGGCCGACTCGCTGTCTCGCTGGGGACTCTTTCAGCCCTCGCGCCCGCCCGTTTGGGAGGAGAAGTCTCTATGCAATTGGCCCCGGCCCCTCCACCCCCCACCCCCGGCATAGGAGGCCCCCCCACCTCGCCCGGCTCACACCCCCAAAGGGAGGGACCCACATTGCACACACTGTAAGAAATGCACTTTCCGAGGAAGGGGATGGGGGAGCCCGGACACCCAGAGCTCCCCGAGTTGGGGGTGCCCGTCTGGAGCGCCCCCGTCAGCCCCTGGCGGTGGGAGGTGAGAGCGAGTGGTTTAAGTGCCTGATTACCACCACCCGCCCCCCCCTTTGTCCAGCTGGGACACGGAATGGCCGCGGGCCTCCTCCCCCTCCCCTCCAGCCTCTCCACCAGCCCCTCCAGTCAACCCTCATCGCCGTGCCCCCCCAGAGCTAGAGAGATGGGGCCCCTGCGTGGCCCGAGGGGCAGAGCTGGGCGTCACTTCGCAAGCGTCCTGCCCTGCCGGGGCGCGGGGGTGGGCTCTGGGGAAGCCGGTGCGCCCCCCACGCCTCCGCTGCCAGTGCCTTACATTCTGGAGCGACCCCCCTCCCTGGTGCCTCCCAGCGAAGGGGGACCGCCGTTTGCACTTTCATCGCCTACCCCGACGCGGGGCCCAGCTGCGGGACGTGCATCACGGCTGGGCCCCCAGAGGAGAGAGGAGGCCGACGCCAGCGGTCCCCGCTCGGAACGGGGAGGGTTTTCGGGGGGTTCGGCGTCGCACCTTGGGGCCCCCCGCAGCCGTGTAGGGGGCCTCCCATCTGCTAAGCGTTTTTCCGTTGAGCCGCTCCAAAAACACTAAGCTGGGGACGCCAGGTGCCCCCCCACCCCGGCTCCCTGGCCCTATCCACACCTCCACCCCCACCCCAGGATCGCCATCTTTAGGGGAGGCCTGGGAGGGGGTGTTAGGTGTTTTAGGGCCACCGAGCTCAAACACAAGGACCCCTCCCCGGCCCACCCAGCCCAGCCCCAACTGACCTCCATGCCTAGGGAAAAACTCCCCCCACCACTGCCCCCTCCCCCGACCCAGGCCAAAGCCAGGGCAGGTCTCCGGGTCTCACCTGCTCCTAGCCTCACCCCCCTGCCCCCGAAAACCAGACTCTCCTCCCAAACTAGCCTCAGGAGCTTGGCGAACCCGCTCGCTCCTAAAGAGAAAGACCCAGGACCCTCCCCCATCACCCCCAAGAGAGGTTCGCCATCCTCTGGCCTCGAGCCCTTGGTCCCTCCGTCCGTCTGTCCTCGGGGCCCGCTCCCCCGGTGGCCCTTGGGGATCAAAGCGTGGGCCGCTCTCCGGGAGGGCGGGCGGGGGAGGGGGTGGTCGGGTTGTGCCATTGGGGTGTCCGGAAGCTTCTCAGCCAGGGTGGGGGTCGTGGAGTGGGGGAGGGAGGCCAGCCGGGCTCCAGAGGGGTCAGGGCGCGACGAGAACCAACTCTTTACCTAACTTTGCATGGTGCTTAGTCAAGGACTCCTGCGACCTGGCTCCCGAGGTCAGCTGGCGGCGCTGACACACATGCATGGCAGACTATCCCTGGCTCTATCTCCCTGTTCCTCGCCCCCTCCACCCCCCACTTCCTCTTTAAAAAAAAAAAAAAAAAAAAAAAGATACAAGAAAAACCTTTAAAAAAATTCCATGTTTCCTAATTTGCACGAAATTTTCTACCACAAGATGTGCCTTGCCTTCCGAGAATAAGTATTACCTTTAAACAATATCAGCGCACACACATAGCTGCATGTTCTGCTCGTGTAGTTTAAAAAAAAAAAGACAAAACAGTGACATGAAATAAAAAATAAAAATTGAAAAGGGATGTATTTCTATTTGTAAAAAAAATAAAATAAAAAATAAGAAAGTGAGAATCTAAAAAAAAAAAAAAAAAAAAAAAAGGAAGAAAAACCACGCTAAAAATCAAGCCACTGAAAACAATTGCCCCCAGGTCTACCCAGCCCCTGGCTGTCCTTGGTCCTGTCTCCCCTCCTGCTGTATTCAGGGGTGCCCCCTGGTGCTCAGCCTCTACCACCCCCAACCCTGCTCTTGGGTACCCAGAGGGGTCATTTCTGAATCCCTTGCCCAGAGGACAGACCTCCGGGGCCCATCTTGGCCCTGGGAAAGGGCTCTCCTCTCTGATTGGTCCCTAGGCCACGGGCCGGCCCCCAGACACCATTCACCGACCCACTGCAGGCTGTCCTCCAACCATGGGGTGGCCACTCCACCCGCAGCCAGACTCCCCGCTCCCCACTTTTCATGCAGGCTGGCATACCCCTGGCTCAGGGTCAAATGCTGTTCCACACCCACCTCAGAGGCACCCCCTCTCCCCTGCCCCGTGCATCCCCACCCTTCTTGCCAAAGGACCTCTTTTCCCCTATCCAGAGACCACCCCAGGTGGCATTCTCTCCCACCTTCTCCTTTGTCCCCCATCCCCTGTCTCTGTCTTCCAGCTGTGAATATGAAGGGTATCCTGTATGAAACAAAAACAAAACCTGATATATGCAATATCTGTCTGTCTGTCTGTACCCATGGGCCTGGCTCAGCCATTGGAGGCCCAGCCGAGGGTCCGGCAGGGCACAGGGACAGCCAGGTGGCACCGAGTCACAGGCTGTGGTCCGGTGGCTGAGCATGCTGTTGTCTTGTCCTTGATTTTATTTTCTTTTGTTCTTTTTTTTTTTCTTTTCTTTTTGTTTTTAACTCCAGCTTCCTTTGCTTTTTACTTGACCAAAGCTAAGACAATAGCCAGATGGTTAGTGGGGCAGCCAGGCAGGGAGGACCCAGGGCTGGGATTCTCCAACCTTAGGCCATTCCTGCAGCCCTCACCACCTCCAGCCCCTCCAAGCATCTCGTGTAGGGACCCACGCAGATGGTCCCATTCATTCACTATTGCCCCCAACCCCGGGATTTTGGGTGGTCTCCACAGCCACCATCATACACTCATCCCGTGTTTTCTTCCAAAAAGTCACCTCAGCAGCCTCCCCAGGCGATACAGAGGGAGAGCCCAGACCACCACAGCTGGCCACGACATTGCCCTTAAGTAATATGCATTGGCCAGAGAGCCCGGGCTGGCTGTGCACAGCATTCATGTAGCTGATTTCTAGCTTTTTTTTTTTTTCTGCCCCACTCCTGAGCAAATCTGTCTTGCCAAGGAACTAGGAGCAACCGGAGGCAAAGGGAGTGGGTGGCCCCATCACTATTGGGACCATCGCGTCCCTGCACAGCCCACACCCGGGGGCCCAGAGTCCTGGGCTGGACGCCACCCTTCTCACCCCGAGCTTGCCTCCTTGGCTCACTTGGCACCTTGGCTGAGTACAGCAGGCAAAAGCCCATACCAGGCAGCATGTTGTGGATGGTTTAGTTCTCCCCGCCTCCCTGTTTCTTGGAAAAGCTACAGGGTCCCTGTAGGGCAAAATTCCCAGGCGCCTTGCTGCAGACAGAGTAAGACAAAAACACCAGGAAGCAGGATTCCGTGCCCATCTCTGCAGTTTGGGTTCACAAAAGGGGGTGCCGTCATCCCTGGGTGGAGGAGGGAGTGTTGGTTTTTTGTTTTTGTTTTTTTAACATGTATGAAACTGACATCTTCTCAAATCTTGTTCCACCCCCCTCTGGAAGCCCCCATCACCCACCCCTGCTATGGACACCACACCTATGCCAGGCCCCCCCCCCCACCCCAGTCTCATTCTGGGGTCTGCCCATGCTGTGGGAAAGAATAGGGAGGCCTCCCAAATATATGCAAATTGTCCCCATTCCGTGGGGGCACCTGACAATGACCCGGGTGGAGATGGGGCATGGAGGAGTAGGAAGACCCAGCCCTATTTGACTGGGGAGAGGAGGATCTGGAGTCCTTCATGCCCAGGTCTGGAACCCAGGTTCTGACCCCAGGGCCCCACCCTGGGCTGGACAATCAGATCCCAAAGGAATGCCAAAGGGGACTCGGTTGGGAGAGCCGCTTAGGGGCCAGACCTGGGTCCCCCTGCAGGTCCCCAGGCAGCAGACAATTCCACCTTCCCTGCCCCAGGACCTTGAGAGACAGCAGCATTCCAGGCACAGACAGACTTGGCTGCACCCCACTGTCCCTTGCAAGACAGGTTCTGGAGCCAGGAGCAACTGTCCAGCCCTCCAGAAGAGACAGCAAGCAGCCCCCCTACCCACTCTGGCCTCCCCAATGGTACTTTGACCTCCAGTGTAGGGCTATACTATACATATATATATATATATATATATATATATATAATTTTGGAATTTGTTTCTCATAATACAGAATATATAGTGGCTACCTTGTATCTTGGTCTGGATTCTCTCTCTGAGACCCCGGATTTTACTTTCTCTTTGGAGGGCGCTGGGACATACATCTCTCAATCCAGCTTCCTCCGCATCCTCCCATCTTGCCCCATTTCTGCCACGTCAGACACTTCCTGAGAGTCTCACCTTCAAAATGACACCGCTGCCCATCCATTGCTCAATGGTACAGAGTGTGGGGTCAGTCCACCACCCTTGACCTCCCGGCAGGGCAAGGTGAGGAGGCGGACCCAAAGCAGTACCAGCAGGACTTGTTGCCAGTGATACCAAAACAGACTTTTCCCAAGCAGTGCCTCACATGTCTGCTGGTGTGGCTTTGGGATTCTCCTGCCCCACCCCCCCGTCCATGGCAGCCCCCTCCCCAAGGCTTTGCTCACACCTGAGACAGGAAGGAGGAAGGGGATCCAATAGGAATATGGGCCCCGGAGGGGAAGTCATGCACCCCCAAGCCACCACCCCCCAGCCTTCCACGCACATCTCCTGGCTGGAAGAGAGCCCTCCAAAAAGGGGACACAGGCTGCCCCGGCCCCTCAACTGCATCCACACCCCATCCTCTCATCTTGGGTCCCAGCCAGGCCCCCCCAAAACCAAAGCCCCCTCAAGTCCTGGGGTCCCAGCCTGTGCCCCCAGCTTCCTGCCCACCCAGCCCTGAGCATTCTCACACAGAGAAAGAACAAGCAAGGGCTCCAGGGGGACAGGATGGGGCAGGGCATACAGTGGGGGGTGGGGGGGCAGCTGGGAGGAGGGAGGGACAAAACAAAACATTTTCCTTTGGGTTTTTTTTTTCTTTCTTTTTTCTCCCCTTTACTCTTTGGGTGGTGTTGCTTTTCCTTTCCTTTTCCCTTTGAGATTTTTTTGTTGTTGTTTCCTTTTTGTATTTTACTGATATCACCAGGATAGTTTACTCTCCTTCTAGCTTTCTGCTTACCGCACACTGGATAACACACACATACACACCCACAAAAATGCTCATGAACCCAATCCGGAGAAGGTTCCAGCAGGTCCCCCACCCTCCCCTCCTCCTCCTACTTCTCCTCTTGACAGCGAGGACAGGAGGGGGACAAGGGGACACCTGGGCAGACCCGCCGGCTCTCCCCCCACCCCACCCCGCCCCTCACATCATACTCCAATCATAACCTTGTATATTACGCAGTCATTTTGGTTTTCGCGGACGCGCCTACCTAAGTACCATTTACAGAAAGTGACTCTGGCTGTCATTATTTTGTTTATTTGTTCCCTATGCAAAAAAAAAATGAAAATGAAAAAAGGGGGATTCCATAAAAGATTCAATAAAAGACAAACAAAAAAAAAAGAAAAAAGAAAAAAATGTATAAAAATTAAACAAGCTATGCTTCGACTCTTTCTGGCTGTCCCGGGTCCTCTTTTCCATGTCCCATGTGGGTTGCTCTGTGTCCTTTGGAAAAGTGAGGGGCAGAGGCTGCAGGGAGCTGGGGGGAACCCCCAAGCCCCGTGGATGGGCAGGCTGGGATTCTGAAAGCTTCAGATCAAGTGTCCCCTGGGGGCATTAGACAATATCTGGGGACATTTGTGGTTGCCACGACTGGGGGATGCTCCTGGCGTGGAGTGGGTGGAAGCCAGAGACACTGCTCAGCATTCTGCAGTGCCCAGAACCAAGATTCATCCACACAAGACATCCACAGTGCCTGGCACGGAGAGACCTGCTTTGATTGTTTGGAGGGGAAAAAAATCAGATTTGCTCCCTGCTCACAGTAGACACCAGGGTAAGCTCCCGATGGGGTGGATGACAGAAACCAGGGAGACCTGCAGCTCCTAGGATTCTCCTCCTCGCCCCCTCCCCACTCAGGGTGGGATTCCAATGTGTGCAGCCTCCTAGGACCTCAGCAGGGTGGAGGATCATGGGACGCAGTCTACTGGGGGGTCCATGAAATCCCCTAACCCAGGGAGTCTCACCCAAGGGCGATCCTGCCCCCCAGAGGACACTGGGTGATGTCTCAGACATCCGCGGTTGTCACGACTGGGAAGTGCTCCTGGCATGGAGTGGGTAGAGGCCAGGGACGCCGCTCAGCACCCTGCAGTGCCCAGGACGGCCCCACCCCAGAGACTGATCCACAGTGCCTGGGGGTGGGGGAGACCCACTTTAGATGGTGGCTTTGAATGAGCTTCTGAGGCCAGACCTGTCCCAGCAACGCTCCTGGAGGCTGTAACCTCTTCCCCTTTGTAGGATGGGCTGTTTCACACCCCTTAGCCTTTGCTCATTCCTGCCTCCCCATCTGTGCAGACCTTTCACACTGGTGTCCTCTTCCACCAGGAAGTCTTCCCACCTTTCTCCAGCCTGGTTCCCTCCCCCAGCAGTCTCAGAGCTATCGGTGAATTCCATGAGGCATCTACGGAGCACCCACTCTGTGCCAGGCACAGGGGATTCCATCCCTTCCCTTGTGCCTTGGAGGAATCCAAGCCTGGCACACAGTCGGTGCTCAATAAATGCACAAAATAGCTTCTCTTGCTACCTGGCAAACTCCCAGTCATTGAGCAAAGACTTCCTGAGCATCTCCTGAGTACCAAGCCCCAGGACCCAGCAGTGAACAAAACACTCAAATTCAGATCCCGTCTTGGAGCCTACAGCTTCCTCCAGGTCAGGAAGAACAGTGAACAACAAGTAGAAGTGGCCGGGTGCAGCGACTCACACCTGTAATCCCAGCAATTTGGGAGGCCAAGGCAGGAGGATCGCTTGAGTCAAAGAGTTCAGGACCAGCCTGGGCAACATAGAACCCATCTCTACAGATACACTTAAAAAGTTAGCTGCGCGTGGTGACACACCTGTAGTCTCAGGAGGCTGAGATAGGAGGATTGTTTGATCCCTGGAGGTTGAGGCTGCAGTGAGCTGTGATTGCACCATTGCTGTCCAGCCTGGAGTGCAACAGAGCAAGACCCTGTCTCCAATCAATCAGTCGATAAAATAGAAGTAAAAGATGTCAGAGGAGGTAAGTGATGAGTAGGGCAATGAACAGAGGAAGGGCGGGGAGTGGTCCCATCTAGACAGATCTGGAGGGAGGGAGGGAAGGAGCGTCCTGAAATTCTGGCAGAAGTCACAGCTCCTGCAAAGGCCCGAGGGCGGGACCATGCCTGCTTCATTGGAGGAACAGTGAGGAGGCCTGTGTGGCTGGAGCAGAGTGAGGAGAGGGATGGAGGGAGGACTGGAGGGCAGGGAAGGGACGGGGCAGGTCATTCAGGGCCTTGTGGGCCACAGGGAAAATGTTGACTTTTCCCCTGAAGGAGGTGGGAGCCATGGAGGGCTGGGGGCAGAAGGATGGGCCCCAACATGGTTTCAATACACCCTCGGCCAGGAAGCCTTCCTCACCTGCCCCAGCAGAGCTTCTGCCCCCAATCACTCCTGACCCAGCCCTGACCATTCAGGGGCATGACCGTGTCCAGCTCTGTCCCCTCCAGACTGGGGGCCCCTCCCACACTGAGGTCAGAGGGGAGGGAGGCTGGGGCCCGGGAGAATCAGGAGTGTGAAAGGGGCTGGGTGCAGTGGCTCATGCCTGCAGTCCCAGCACTTTGAGAGGTGGGAGGATCACTTGAGGTCAGGAGTTTGAGACCAGCCTGGACAACATGGTGAAACCCTGTCTCTACTAAAAATACAAAAATTAGCCGGGTGTGGTGGTGCGCCCCTGTAATCCCAGCTACTCAGGAAGCTGAGGTGGGAGAATTGCTTGAACCCGGGAGGTAAAGACCGCACCACTGCACTCCAGCCTGGGCAATGGAGCAAGACCCTATCTCAAAAAAAAAAAAAAAAAAATAGCCAGGCATGGTAGTGCATTCCTGTAGTCCTAGCTACTTGGGAGGCAGAGGTGGGAAGATCCCTCGAGCCTGATAGGTAGAGGCTGCAGTGAGCCAAGATCACGCCACTGCACTCCAGCCTGGGCGACAGAGCAAGACCCTGTCTCAAAAAAACAAAAACAAAAAAAGAGTAAGGCTAGTTCTTGGGGGGGCTGAGATGGGGCCCTCCATCCTGTCCCCAACTCCAAAACCCCAAAAGACCCCAGGTTGGGCCAGAAAAACTCTCTTTGCACCATGGGCTCCTTCCATCCTACCCACAAGACCACAAGGCGGGGACGATCCTTTTTTGCAAATGGGGAAACTGAGGCACAAAGAAGCGAGGTAAGGTGCATTGACAGGGCAGCAGGCACAGTGCGTCCTCGCTGACACGACCCCACGCTGCTTCCTGGTGACAGGCACCGAGGACACCGAGGATGGGGGGGTCCGAGGCCCCTTCCCACGTCCCACTCCCAACTTGGGTCGCCCCCACTCACCCTCAGCAGCGAGATTTTGGCGCCCCCTTGTGGGCAGGCCGGGGACACCCCCCCAACCTCCCCCATCCCAGTTCCTCTCTGCAGCGGGAAACGGGGGCTCCAGTCAGGCCAGAGGAGGCTTCTTGTAGAGCAGGGGTTGAGCCAAGGTCAGGGGGTCTCAGCTGGAGTCAGGGGATCAGCCAGGGCTGGGGTGGAAACTCAGCGGTGGAAACTTAGCCTCCCCTTGGATCTTACGGAAAGCCTCGGTCGTGTCCAGCCCTTGGCCCCTGGGTGATGAGATTCCTGGCTGGGAGGGGAGGGCTGTCCCAGTAATGCAGGCTGTTGGGTTGGTCACCCCTGACTCCCCACCCTAAAACGGGGGAAGGCTTGTGACAACCCAAAATGCCCCCGCAAAAAAATTCCAAATGCGGCCGAGTGCAGTGGCTCATGCCTGTAATCCCAGCAATTTGGGATACCAGAGATGGGAGGATTGCTTGAGGTCAGGAGTTAGAGACCAGCCTGGGTAATACAGCGAGACCCTAGCTCTATCAAAAAATAAACATAAAATTAGCTGGGCACGGTGGCTCACAACTCTAATCCCAGCACTTTTGGAGGCCAAGGAGGGTGGATTGCTTGAGCCTGGGAGTTCGAGACCAGCCTGGGCAACACGGCGAAACCCCGTCTCTACTAAGAACGTATAAATTAGCCAGGTGTGGTGGCAGGCGCCTGTAATCCCAGCTACTCAGGAGGCTGAGGCATGAGAATTGCTTGAACCTGGGAGGTGGAGATTGCAGTCAGGTGGGATCGTGCCACTGCACTCCAGCCTGGGCGACAGAGGGAGACTCCACCTCAAAAATAAAATTTTAAAAATAGCTGAGTGTGGTGATATGTGCCTGTGGTCCCAGCTGCTCAGGAGGCTGAGGCAGCAGGACCGCTTGAGCCCGGGAGGTCAAGGCTGCAATGAGCTATGATGGAATCACTGCACTCCAGCCTGGGCAATAGAGCAAGACCCTGTCTCTACAAAATATTTAATTTTTTTTTAGATTTCCAAACGCCCCCTAGTGGAGAAGTCCTGCCCCCTGCACTCCAGCCTGGGAAACAGAGTGAGACCTTGTCTCAAAAAATAATAACCATCCTGGCTAATACGGTGAAACGCCATCTCTACTAAAAAATACCCAAAAAATTAGCCGGAAGTGGTGGTGGGTGCCTGTAATCCCAGCTACTCGGGAGGCTGAGGCAGGAGAATCGCTTGAACTGGAAGGTGGAGGTTGCGGTGAGCCAATATCGGGCCCTTGCACTCCAGCCTGGGCAACAAGAGCAAAACTCCATCTCAAAAAAAAAAAAAAAGAAAAAAGAAAAAAAGAGAAAGAAAGAAAGAAAGAAAAGAAGAAAAGAAAAGGGCCAGGAGCAGGGACTCACACCTGTAATCCCAGCACTTTGGGAGGCCTAGGCAGGCGGATCAACTGAGGTCAGGAGTTCGAGACCAGCCTGGCCAACATGGTGAAACCCCGTCTCTACTAAAAATGCAAAAATTAGCCAGGCATGGTGGTGCATGCCTGTAATCCCAGCTACTCGGGAGGCTGAGGCAGGAGAATCACTTGAACCCAGGAGGCAGAGATTGCACCACTGCACTCCAGCCTGGGTGACAGAGTGATTGCACCACTGCACTCCAGCCTGGGCGACAGAGTGAGACTTTGTCTAAAGAAAAAAAAAGAAAAGAAAAAGGTCCTCATTAAGAAATGGTCATTGTGGCCAGGCTGAGGCTGGAGAACTGATTGAACCTGGAAGGCAGAGGCTGCAGTGAACCAAGATCACAGCATTGCATTCCAGCCTGGGTGACAGAGCGAGACTCCATCTCAAATAAAAGAGAAATGGTCATTGTTCAGGGTAAGGTCCAGGGCCTGGAGAAGGTGAGGGGAAGCAGGAGAACAGAAACTGGGAAAAGGAAGTGCTAGTCCCTTTCCAAGATATTGCAGGGCCCTGGGGCACCCCCACCCTCCAAGATACAGCTCCCAGGAAAAAAGTCACGTGCCCCAAAACAAAGTGAGGTGGGGGAAGGAGCAAAGATTTGCTTGGAGACGGCGCTCAGGGCTCAAAGTCCAGGGCTCAGGACAGCAAAAAACCAGATTGCCGGGGGAGTGTTTAATCTGCTCAGGGCGTCTGGGCACCTGTGCACCCTGAGCCTCCATATCATCCGCCCAGCCATCGCCCGCAGCCCCAAAAGCAGCCTCCTTCCCCAGAGGTAAACTGAGTCCCAAGAGATGACAGGAGCCCTTCCAAAGGGCTGTTACGAATGCTTTAATGCAGGCCATTGGGAAGCAGCTCTCAGCTGGCAGTGGGTGCATGGGAGAGGGGAAGTTCTGTTCAGTAGACATCAGGCAGAGAGAAAAGAAATCAGGCAGTGGGGAGAAGCAGGTGGAGCCATGAGATCGTGGAGGATTGCGGGTGTCTCCTCAACCAGGGATGCTCTCCGAGTATAAGAAGAATCACCAGGCAGGGACCAAGCTCAGGAAGAGGGGTGCATGAAAACCATGTTTGCCCAGAGAGCCCCCAATGAGGGAGGTGGGGTGGGTTCCAAGCCTTCTTCACTTGAGAACACTGTATTCTGAATCCCAGATGGAGTCATTTCACGGGCTTCAAGTCCAGGGCACTGCTTTTAGGGGGCAGAAGAGGCATCTCTGGGGGACTGCCTGGAAGAGGCAGCCAGGAATCTTCACATGACTGTGCTCTTTGCTCTCTCATGGTCTCCGGGCTCTTTTTCCTCCAGATCCAGTCCCAAGTTGCTCTCTCCTTCCTTTGCTGTCTTTTTCTCCTTCTTCCTCTTCTCTTCTTTCTCCTTGGCCTCTTTCTTCTCTCTCTTGTCTTCACTGTAGGGATACAAAGGCCCCAAACCATAATAAGAAACAGAGACACTCCTATTTAATGGCCACTCACTTGAGCCAGCCCATGTGATGAGTATTTTACAAGCGGTATCTCAGTGAATCTTCAAAATAACCCTAACTACGCGGCCTCACGATTTCCATTTCACAAAGACAGCAACTAAGACTCAATTGCTCCATGGAGGGATGGATGGGTGGATGGATGGATGGACATAAGCCAAAGGCTCCCTGTTGCCTCTTGGGACTCAGTTTACTCCTGGCAAAGGAGGCTGCTTTTGAGGCTGGGTGCAGTGGCTGGACAGATGATATGGAGGTTCACACTGCATATCATCATTGCAACTAAGACTCAACTGCTCCATGGATGGATGGATAGGTGGGTAGGTGTGTAAAGAAGTTAGGGAATAGATGGGTAGATGAGTGGACAGGTGGGTGGATAGTGGGTGGGTGGATGGATGATGGATGGGGGTATGGATGACTGGATGAACGGGTGGATGGCTAGGTGGGTGAGTGGTTGGAAGGATGGATGGATGGGTGGGTGGGTGGATAGATGGATGATGAATGGATGAGTAGACAGATGAATGGGTGGGTGGGTGGATGGGTGAGTGGATAGTTGAGTGGGTGGACGGATGGTAGGTGGATAGGTGATGGATGGATGGTGGGTGAATTGATGGGTGGGTGGGTGGATAAGTGAATGGGTGGATGAATGGATGGATGAGTGGGTGGATGAATTAATGAATGGGTGGGTGAACAGATGGGTGACTGAGTTGGCGAATGAATGGATGAGTGAGTGTGTGGGTGGGCGGATGATGGCTGGGTGATTGATGGATGGTGGATGGAAGGATGATAGATGGATGGGTGGATGGATGAATGAATGGGTTGGTGGATGAATGGATGGATGGGTGGGTGGATGGATGAGTAGATAAGTAGTTACATGAATGGACTGCTGCATGGAGGTTGAATAAATGAATTGGAAGATAAATGAATACATTGCAGGAAGGAGAGACTGATGGATCAGTGGATGGGGGTATGCAGAATGGAGAATGGGTGGATGGGAGTATAGATGGATGTATAGATCAATGAATGAATGTATAGGTGGATGGATGGATGAGTAGATAAGCAGTTGGGTGAATTGATGGTTGCATGGAGGGAGGGACAGATTAATAAGTAGATGAATGGATGAATTGGAGGAAGAAGAGAATGACATACCAATGGATAGGTAGATGGAGGATGAATGAGACTGTAGGTGGGTGGATGGATCAATGAGCTAATGGATAGATAGACTGATGGATGGACAGTTGGAGAGTGAAGACTGCATAGTTCGATGGACGCATAGGTGGGTGGGTGCGTGTATCAGTGAGTGGACAGATCAATGGGCTAATGGGTAGGTGGACTGATGGATGGGTGGTTGGAGGGTGAGGACTGCACGGGCAGACTGATAGATGGATGTACAAGTGGATGGTTGGGTGGATGGATGGAGGATTGAACAAGGCAGAAAGGAAGCTACAGGTACAGGTGCACAGGTGGGATCCAGATCCCCCAGTACATCCTGGGAGTAGGAATCATATTTTACTGGGGCTGAGCCAGGTCTTAGACAAAGCCACCACTCAGGTCCTCTCCCTCAGGCACATCTTGGACTCAGCTGAGACTCTCCCAGCCAGGCTGGTCACCTCCCAGCTCCCACTCTCCTACTCCTGTCCCCAAGCCTTTGCCCAAGACAGAGCCCCCAGCCCTGGATGGATGGATGGATGGATGGATGGAAGGATGGATGGATGGATAAATGGGTAGGTGGATGGATGGCTGTGTGGGTGGATGAATGAGTGAATAGATGGGTGATGGATGGATAGGTGATGGATGGATGGATGGATGGATGGATGGGTGGATGGGTGGGTGGGTGGATGGATGATGGATTGATGGGTGGATGAATAGATGGGTGGGTGGATGGATGGTGAATGGATGGCTGATGGATAGATGGGTGGGTAGATGGATGGGTGTGTGAACAGATGAGTGGGTGGGTGGATGGGTGAGTGGGTGGATGGATTGGTGAATGGATAGGTCGGGGGGTGGGTGAGTGAATAGATGGGTGATGGATGGATGGATGGATGGATGGATGGATGGATCATGGATGGTCGGTGGATGGATGGTGGGTGGGTGGATGGGTAGGTGATGAATGGATGGGGGTGGGTGATGGATGGATGAGTGATGAATGGATGGGTGAGTGGGTGGACGGGTTGGTGAATGGATGGGTTGGGGGATGGGTGAGTGGATGGATGGATGGATGGATGGATGGATGGATGGATGATAGACAGATGGTGGGTGGATGGATGGTGGGTGGGTGGATGGGTAGGTGATGGGTGGATGGGTGATGAATGGATGGGGGGTGATGAATGGATGGGTGAGTGGGTGGATAAGTGGTAGGTGAATAGATGGGTGGGTGGGCAGCTGGGTGAGTGAACAGATGGGTGATGAATGGATGATGGATGGATGGATGATGGATGGATGGATGGTGGGTGATGGATGGATGGGTGAGTGGGTAGATGGGTGAGTGGGTGGATGGGTGAGTGGGTGAATGGGTGATGGATGGGTGAGTGGGTGGATGGGTGAGTGGGTGGATAGGTGAGTGGGTGAATGGGTGAGTGGGTGGATGGGTGAGTGGGTGGATGGGTGGGTGATGGATGGATGGATGGTGGGTGATGGATGGATGGTGGGTGATGGATGGATGGGTGAGTGGGTGAATGGGTGAGTGGGTGGATGGGTGAGTGGGTGAATGGGTGAGTGGGTGGATGAGTGGATGATGGATGGATGGATGGTGGGTGAGTGGGTGAATGGGTGAGTGGATGAATGGGTGAGTGGGTGGATGAGTGGGTGATGGGTGGATGGAAGATGGAGGTCTGCATCCCTGAGTCCTCTGTGGGAATCCTCAGGTTGGGAGGCAGTCAGAGCCATAGGAGGCACTGAGTCCAGGTGGGTCGCCCATACCTAGGCCTTGTACAGACACCTACACAATCCTACACCACAGTCTTCTTCAACAGGTATTTATTAAGCACCTCCTGTGTTCCAGGCCCAATGCTGGGTATGAGGACACAGCCAGGACAAAAGCTAAGTTGCCTACACAACTGGAAGGCACCACGTAATGTCTCAAAATTAGTGAACAACTAAGACAGCTCCACTGGTGATAAGCATGAATCAGACTTGGGGCTGGGGACAGTGTCAGGAAGGCTGGTGGCCAGGCTGGAAACCCCTGACTAGGGACTGGAGGAGGAGAAGGAGCTGCCAGAAGATACAGGAAAGGTGAAGATCCCAGGGCAGGAATGTGTTTGAAGGATTCAGGACAGCAAGGTCATCTGCGCACACCCATTCCCCCACCCCGAGGAGGGGTTCACACAGACCCCCAGCATCCGCACGCATAGTACCTCTGGTCCTGGTATAGGTTGGACTCCATTCTGAACGTGGTCTCCTCCTCGTCCTCAGCCCTGCAGAGATAAAGGGAAAGGTGGAAGGGGGCGGGAGAGGAGAAAGGGGGCGGTAAAGGGAAGGAAGCGGTGTGACAGCCTCAGCCTCTGTCCCAACCTCCCAGCCGGGGCTCATGAACCCCAGGACGCAAGGAAGGGCTGGGCTGCCTGGCTCGTTGTCTTGGGGAGACGGGCGGGTGCAAGCCCGGGATCTGGGCTCTGAGAGTAGAGGTTGGAGGAGCAGCAGGGAAATGGGAGACCTTCGGACTTTGAGGCTGGTGATGGGGGTACCAGAGAGGGTTGGGAAGCTGGGGGTGGGGGCAGGGCTGTGGGGGCAGCGGGGTGGGGGCGGGCACCCACCTGGCCTTGGAACACCAGAGGCGGTTGGCCAGCAAGACCAAATAGACGATGAACAGGAAGCCGACTACCGCAGCCAGGCCCACCAGCCACGGCTTCAGGCGATGCTCCGTGGCTGCAGGAAGTTGGGGAGGTTCGACTCAGAGGAAGAAAAGGTCAGAAGACCCCCTTCCCCCACCACCCTAGCAAGGAGAGAGAGAAGGTCACTGGGGGTGCTCCGACAGAGGGGGTATTGGAAAGGGACGGAGCTTCAGAGACCTGGATGGCGTAGGGGGGTCGGGAGGGTTTAGAGAGGGGGAGGGTACCTTACCAGAGTGGGAGGGAGCCTGGGGGCCCAGAGAGGGGAGGGGCTTATAAAAGAAGGGGGGCTTAGAGGGGACGGAGTTTACAAATCAGGAGGGCTCAGAAGGGGCGGGGCTTATAATGCAGGCAGAGGCTCAGGGGGAGGGGCTTATAAAGGCGGACCTCAGAAGGGCGGGGCTTATGACAAAGGAGTGGCTCAGGGGTGGGGTTTATAAAGGAGAACAAGCTCAGGGGAGGGGCTTATGAAGGAGGAGGTGGCTCAGATGGGGAGGGCTTATAAAGAAGAGTCTGGGGGGTTGGGGCTTACAACAGAGGAGCTGTTGGGGGGAGCTTATAAAAGGAGGCAGAGGCTTAGAGGGAGGGGCTTATAAAGGAGGAGCTCAGAGGGGAGGTGCTTATAAGGGGAGAGGGTCTCAGAGTGGGAGGGGCTTATAAAGGCGGCAGAGGCTCAGGAGGAGGGGCTTATAAAGAAGGAGGAGCTCAGAGGGGAGGGGCTTACAACAGACGAGGGGCTCAGGGAGGGGTCTATAAAGGATGAGTGAGAAGGAGGGGCTTACAGAGGAGGAAGAGGCTCAGATGGGGAGGGGCTTGTGAACTAGGGGGCTCAGAGTGGGAGGGGCTTGTAGAGGAGGCAGAGGCTCAGGGGGAGGGGCTTATAAAGAAGGAGGAGCTCAGAGGGGAGGGGCTTACAGAGGAGGAGGGACTCGGGGAGGGGTTTATAAAGGAGGGAGAGTGAGAAGGAGGTGCTTACAAAGGAGGAAGGGGCTCGGATGGGGAGAGGCTTGTGAACTAGGGGGCTCAGAGGGAGAGGGGCTTATAGAGGAGGCAGAGGCTCAGGGGGAGGGGCTTATAAAGAAGGAGGAGCCCAGAGGGGAGGGGCTTACAGAGGAGGAGGGGCTCGGGGAGGGGTTTATAAAGGAGGAGGAGTGAGAAGGAGCGGTTCACAAAAGAGGCGGGGACTCAGATGGGGAGGGGCTTGTAAAGGAGGCCCGAGCTCAGAGTGGGGCCGAGCTCAAGGCGGGGGGTTCAGCCAGGTGTGCTCAGAAGGGCTGGAGAGGGGAAAGGCTCGGGTGGGCGGTGGGGGGTCCCTTACAGAGGAGGGCAGAGCCCAGCGAGAGGGAGGCCGGGCGGTACTGCGGGGGTTGAGAAGGGCCTCCAAGCCACTCTTCCTTTTCTTCCTGCCCCCTCTCCTTTTTCTCGCCATGGAAAATTGGGAGATGGTGATCACCTGACCAACTCCCCTATCCCGCGACGCCCCCTCCCGCCCCCCTGCACCTACCCTGCTGGGCCTCCACCGGGGAGAGGAGCAGAAACTCCAGCACCAGAAGGGCCCCCAGGGTCTCCATGACGGTCGAGTGAGCCAGCAGCCAGCCAGCGGCGGTCCCGGGTCGGCGTCCACAGGTTTGGTGTGGGCGAGGCCCTGCCTCCCCGTGATAAGGCACAGGCGGTCCCCGGGCGGGGGATGCCTGAGACCTGGGAGCGGGGCCCGCCCCTGGCACCACCTGATTGGGCATCCTGCCCCTCCCCTGCCAGCTCCTGCCCCATCGCTCTCCCTCCGGGAGGCCAGACTCTGGACCTGTGTAACAATTAACTGAGGGAGTCCCTCCTCCCTGCACCCTGCCCTGGGGACCATCAGCCTCAGGGCCACCCCTTTGTGATCCCTGCTGCAGGGGCTGAGCTGAGATGGCTGCGACCTCCCGTCCCGGCCCAGGCCCCGTGCCACTCTGGACACAGGGGGAACTCACAAATACAACTGGAATATCTTAAGAAGGGTGCGCCCACCCAGTGCCTCACACCTGTAATCCCACTACATTGAGAGGCCAACGCGGGCAGATCCTTGAGCCTAACCTGGGCAACTTAGTCAAGCCCTACCTCTACAAAAATAGAAAAATTAGCCAGGCGCGGCGGGCACCTGCAGGCCCAGCTACTAGGGTGTGCTGAAGTGGGAGGATCACTTGAGCCCAGGAGTTTGAGGCTGCAGCCAGTTATGGCCGCACCACCGCACTCCAGCCTGGGTGACAGAGGAAGACCCTGTCTCAAAGGAAATAAAAAAAATTAGAAATACAAAGAGTTACCAAGGCTGGGTACAGTGTCTCACGCCTGTAATCCCAGCACTCTGGGAGGCTAAGGCGGGAGAATCGCTTGAGGCCAGGAGTTCCAGACCAACCTCCTCCCGTCTCTAAAATAAAAAATGTAAAACTTAGCTGAGCATGGTGGCCTGCACCTGTAGTCTCAGCTACTCAAAGAGACTGAGGTGAGAGGATCGCTTGAGCCCAGGAGTTCGAGGCTGCAGCGAGCTACGACTGCACCACTGCATGCACCACCGCACTCCAGCCTGGGCAACAGAACAAGACCTTGTCTCTCAAAGCAAATTTGAGAGTCACCTTTTGTGCTCTCAGAGTACACATGAGGCTCCGTGCTCGGCAATTTCACAGATCGCATTTCCTTTTCTTAACACCCCGTGAAATGGTGCCGGTCTCATTGTGCCCAGGAAAGTCAAGGTCACGCAGCAGGTCTGACCTGGGATTTGAAGCCGGGTCTGCCTCGCCCCCAGCTTATCCTGCCTCGCCCAGGCTCTTGGCCCCTGAGGACCCACAAGCAGCCATGGGAGCACACAGGGACAGGGAAGGTGTGCAGAGGCCACATGCCCGTGGTCCACCTGCAAACCGGGACGCTCTCACGTGGGGATGCCCGGGAGCGTTGATGACTCAGGCTCCAGGCTCTCCTGTCCTCAACCTTGGTCCCTCGGCTGATTAGATAGTGGGCCCTGCCCGGGCGAAGGGGGACCCCGCCCCAGCTGACACGGGAGCAGCCATGGCCCAGACGAGTGGTAGGAAGGCCCGGCGTCATCGCACAGGTGTTTATGGAGCGCCTGCTGAGTCGCTGTCACTTCCTCTCTTCCGGAGGTCTGCGGATGACCGCTGAGCAGACCGGCCACTCAGCAGGATGGGGCTCACACATCCCAGCCCCAGGATGGCCACAGGTCTGCTTGAACCAGCCAGGCAGGCATCTATTAAACTCTGACTGTGTATCCCGTCTTGTGCAGGGCTTGGAAGAGAAGGAGGCCTTGGTGCTGTCTGGGAGCTCTCGATCTGATTAGGAAGTCAGGACCACCCCCCAGAGACAAGCAAACCCAGCAGCCGAGGCGGGGGCTGGAGAAGATTTGGAGGTAGGGGAGCCCAGCAGAGGGGGTGGGGGCAGGACCCGCCTTGGAGATCCTGCCCTCCAAAGTCAGTCAGTTGTCTGGGCTTTTTCTGAGAAAAGCACTCTGTGCTCTGAGACCTTGGCGAAGCCACTTCATCACTGCGTGCCTCGGTTTCCCCATCTGTTAAGTGGGGGCGATCAGTCCTACCTCGGAGGATTAAATGAGATACTGCATAGAAAAAGCCTGCTCTGCACAGCAGCAGGTACACGCTAAGCACTCGGTAAGGTTGGCCGATAATATTACAACGTTTTAAATCGCCCTAGTGTTTCTAATTCACAGTTTGCTGACGGCTTGGCTGAGGCTGAGCCGGGCAGGCTCTGCGTATGTGAAAGTCGCCAGCGTCCAACCCCCGGAACCTGCCGGCTGGGAAGGAGAAAGCCGTCCGCTGCGACCGGGCAGCTCAGGGTTTGCAGAAAGGGCTCCGGCGCGCGTAAGTTCTGTCTACACGACCGCCAAAGCGTCCGGAACCCGGATTCAGGATTCAAGTTGCCATCAGCTTCCAGAAGGAGCTTCGGGATGGGGGGTCCTTGAAGGCAATGGAGGGGCGGCGGGGCTCCGGGGGAGGCGGGGGTTCAGAGGGGGCTCCCTCCCCACCCCCGCCGGCGTCCTCCTCGCCCTGCCAGGCCAGGGCCAGCTGCAGGTCCAGCCCCTCCAAGTCCTCGCCGGTCAGGCTGGGGCGCAGCTCCCGGGGTGCGGCCTCCTGGTCTGGCTTCGGGCCAAACGCCCAGTCTGCGGCAAGGGAGCTGGTGAGGCAACTCCCCGGCCCCGGCCACCCTCCTCTGTCCCCTCCTCAGCTAGGAGAAGCACTAGGATCCCCTGACCACCCACCCAGGGTGACCCAGCATCGGCCCCAGCTGGGTTTCGGTGGGGGCAGCTCACCGGCCAGGTCGTGGGCGAGGTCTTTGATGAGGTGCCCGACGATGGCGTAGGCGACGGCCACCACCACCAGCGCGGCCAGCAGCAGGTACAGCACGTACCTGGGCAGGCGGATGCTGTCCAGGGGCGGCGGCCGGTACTCCTCGTACAGCGGCGGGGACGGGCTCCAGCCCTCGGCCTCCCCCTCGGCCGCCAGCCCCGGCATGGTGTCCGCCCGGCACAGGGGAGGCCCGGAGGTGACCCACACAGCGGAAGTATTAAGGGGCTTTGAGCTAAGAGGATTGGGCGGCTGCCCCACGGCCACCATCTGCCTGGGTTAATCACATTGTAAATCACTTCCGCCCACCCGCAACCTACCTGCTCAGCTCCAGCCACGACTCTGCCCAGCCGTCCCCACCTCGGGGCCTCCGCACCTGCGCTTCCTTCTCCCAGGAACGCCCTGCCCAGATTTCCTCATGGCCGGCTCACTCTCTTCATTCATTCATCTTTTTAATTCTTATTATTTTATTTTATTTATTTAATTTTTCTTGAGACGGAGTTTCACTCTTGTCACCCAGGCTGGAGTGCAAAGGCGAGATCTCAGCTCACTGCAACCTCTGCCTCCCGGGTGCAAGTGATTCTCCCACCTCAGCCTCCGGAGTAGCTGGGATTACAGGTGCCCGCCACTATGCCTGGCTAATATTATTATTATTTTTGAGACAGGGTCTCGCTCTGTCGCCCTGAGTGCTGGAGTGCAGTGACGCGATCATAGCTCACTGCACCCTCAACCTCCTGGGCTCAAGCGATCCCCCCGCCTCAGTCTCCCAAGTAGCAGGAACTACAGGTCCTCGCCACCGTGCCTGGCTCTTCATTCATTCATCGAATATGTATTGAGCAGCGACTATGGCTGGGCACTCTCTTAGGTGCTGGGACACAGCTATGAGTAAGAAAGACCAGGCCGGGCGCAGGAGCTCACGCCTGTAATCCCAGCACTTTGGAAGGCCGAGGTGGGCGGATCACTTGAGACAGGAGTTTGAGACCAGCCCGGCCAACATGGTGAAACCCTGTCTCTACTAAAAATGCAAAACCTAGCTGGGCGTGGTGGCGGGCGCCTGTAGTCCCAGCTACTCGGGAGGCTGAGTCAGGAGAATCGCTTGAACCTGGGAGGTGGAGGTTGCAGTGAGCCGAGATCATCCCACTGCACTCCAGCCTGGGCAACATAGCGAAACTCCGTAACAAAAAAAAAAAAAAAAAAGAAAGACCAAAACCTGACATTCCAGGGAGGGAGATGGATGCTAAGAAAGAAACATAACCTTAGAGTAAATGATATATTAGGTTAGAAAGGGAGGTGTGGCTGGGCGCCGTGGCTCACGCCTATAGTCCCAGCACTTTGGGAGGCTGAGGCAAGAGGATCACTTGATCCAGAAGTTCAAGATCTCTCTGGGCAACATAGCAAGACTGCATCTCTACAAAAACTTTAAAAACTAGCCAGGCGTGGTGAGTGCCTGTAGTCCCAGCTACTCAGGAGGCTGAGGTGGGAGGATTGCTTGAGCCCAGGAGTTCAAGGCTGCAGTGAGCTATGATTGCACCCCTGTACTACAACCTGGGTGACAGAGTGAGACTATCTCAAGAAAAAAAAAAAATTGGGCTGCCAAGGCATCACTGAGGAGGTGACATTTGAGCAAAGACCTGGAGGAAAAAGGGAACCAGCCATGGGAGATCCAGGGGAAAGAGAGTTCCAAGCAGAGGGCACAGCCCCTGCAAAGGCCCTGGGGCAGGACTGTGCCTGGCGTGTTGGAGGAACAGTGAGGAGGCCAGTGTGGCTGGAGCAGAGTGAGCCGGGGGAGTGGGGGGGAGGGGAGGATGGGGAGCTGTCAGGGCAGGTCCTGCAGGGCCGTGTAGACTGTGAGGAAGACTTCGGCCTAGACCCTGAGGAATGTGGGAGCCATGGAGGGCTGTGGGCAGAGGAGGGATGGGTCCGGACCCAGGTGCTCACAGGTGCCCCCTGGTGGCTGCTTTGGGGAGAACGGACTATGGGGGCCAGAGGAGGAGCCAGGAGGGGACTGAGCTGGTCCTAGTGGAAGGAAAGTAGGCAGATTTGAGATGGACATTTTTTTTTTTTTTTTTTTTTTTTGAGACAGGGCCTTGCTCTGTCACCCAAGCTGGAGTGCAGTGGTGCAGTGGTGGGATCTTGGCTCACTGCAGCCTTGACTGCCCAGGCTCAAGCGATCCTCCTGCCTCAGCCTCCTGAGTAGCTGGGACTACAGGTCTGTGCCCCCACACCTACCTAATTTTCTGTATTTTTTTTTATAGGAACAGGGTCTCACTATGTTGCCCAGGCTGCTCTTTAACTCCTGGGCTCAAGCGATCCTCCTGCCTCAGCCTCACAAAGTGCTGGGATTACAGGCATGTGCCACCGCACCCAGCCTTGGGATCGATTTTTCATTAAAAAAATCTGTTTTTAGACTAAATGCCTGCAATGATGGTGTTGCCATTTCCTGAGTTAGGAACATTGCAGAGGAGAAACCTGGGGAGAAACACAAGGAATTCCAAGTAGCCAGGGGCCAGGGAAGCCAGGACAAGGCAGTAGGAGGTGGTGGTGAGGAAGACCTGGGTTCAAATCCCAGCTCTGCCCGTCACAGCATGACCTTGGCTCTCCAGGGTTCCCTGGCTTCTCTCTACAATGGGGTGGGTAAAGTTTCCTGGGGTGTTGGGAGGAGGAAATTCAACAATGTGTAGAAGTGTGAGCCTTCCCGGGCGGGCGTGGTGGCTCACGCCTGTAATCCCAGCACTTTGGGAGGCTGAGGAACGCTGATCATGAGGTCAGGAGTTCAAGACCAGCCTGACCAACATGGTGAAACCCCATCTCTACTAAAAATACAAAAATTAGCCAGGCGTGGTGACATGTGCCTATAATCCCAGCTACTCGGGAGGCTAAGGCAGGAGAATCGCTTGAACCCGGGAGGCGGAGGTTGCAGTGAGCCGAGATCCCGCCACTACACTCCAGCCTGGGCAACAGAGCGAAACTCCATCTCAAAAACAAACAAACAAAAAAAAGTGTGACCCTTGCCAGGTGGTGGCTCATGTCTGTAGTCCCAGGGACTTGAGAGGCTGAGGCAGGAAGATTGCTTAAGCCCAGGAGCTGGAGGCTGGAGTGAGCTAAGATTGTGCCACTGTACTCCAGCCTAGGTGACACAGCTAGATCTTGTCTCTACAAAAAAGGGGGTGGCTTTTTATTTTATTTTATTTATGATTTTATTTTATTTTGAGACAGAGTCTCTCTCTGTCGCCCAGACTGGAGTGCAGTGGCGCGATCTCAGCTCACTGCAAGCTCTGCCTTCCGGGTTCACGCCATTCTCCTGCTTCAGCTTCCCAAGTAGCTGGGACTACAGGCGCCCGCCACCACGCCCGGCTAATTTTTTTTTTTGTACTTTTAGTAGAGACGGGGTTTCACTGTGTTAGCCAGGATGGTCTCGATCTCCTGACCTCTTGATCCACCCACCGCAGCCTCCCAAAGTGCTGGGATTATAGGCGTGAGCCACTGCGCCCGGTGAGGGTGGCTTTTTATATTTTTGTTTGTTTTTGAGACAGAGTCTCGCTGTGTCACCCAGACTGGAGTGCAGTGGTATGATCTCCTCACTGCAACCTCTGCCTCCCGGGTTCAAGTGGTTCTCCTGCTTCAGCCTCCCAAATAGCTGGGACTACTTTCCAGGGTTTTGTTTTGTTGGTGGTGGTGGTGTTCTTTTAAGACTCCCTCTCCCTCTGTTGCCCAGGCTGGAGTGCAGTGGGGCCATCTCGGCTCATTGCAACCTCCACTTCCCAGGTTTAAGCAATTCTCATACCTCAGCCTTCCAGGTAGCTGGGACTACAAGCATGTGCCACCATGCCCAGTTAATGTCTGTATTTTTAGCAGAGACAGGATTTCACCATGTTGGACAGGCTGGTCTCCAACTCCTGACCTCAAGTGACCTACCTGCCTCAGCCTCACAAAATGCCGGGATTACAGGTGTGAGCCACTGTGCCCAGCTTTTTCTTGTTGTTTTAAAAACATTGCAGCTGGTCTGTGTTGATGGGTAAAGAGAGGAAACCAAGGAGGCAGGAGAGAAAAGGGGGAAGGGCTGAAGTAATGGCTGTGAGTTGATGAGAAGGACGAGGAGTTGGTGAGGAAAAGAGGTGGCTCAGGCAGCCAATGTCACATTGGAAGGTGCCACCTTGGAAGTGGCTCCTTCGGCCCCAGTTGAGCCTTCAGATGAGGCAGCCCTGGCCGACAGCTTGATTGCAACTTCATGAAACACCCAAAGCCAGAAACATCCAGATACGCTTGCTGCTCCCAGACTCGTGACCCACAGGAAAGGTATCTGTCTTCTTTCCTCTGTCTCTGGGGGTTTTCTTGTCTTCTTTATTTAAGATGGAGTCTTGCTCTTGTCACCCAGGCTGGAGCGCAATGGCACACGATTTCGGCTCACTGCAACCTCTGCCTCTTGGGTTCAAGTGATTCTCCTGCCTCAGCCTCCTGAGTAGCTGGGATTACAGGCATGCACCACCACACCCAGCTAATTTTTGTATTTTCAGTAGAGATGGGGTTTCACCATGTTGTCCAGGCTGGTCTCGAACTCCTGACCTCAGGTGATCCACCTGCCTTGACTTCCCAAAGTGCTGGGATTACAGGTGTGAGCCACCGCATCCGGCCTTGTCTTTTTTTTTTTTTTTTTAATTAAAGAGATGGGGGTCTCACTATGGTGCCCAGGCTGGTCTTGAACTCCTGGGCATAAGCGATCCTGCCTTGGCCTCTAGAGTAGCTGGGACTATAGGCATGTGCCTCTGTGCTCAGGTCCACTTTTCTGTCTCTGTAAGGACACTGGTCATTGGATGTAGGGTCTACCCTAAATCCAGGATGATCTCATGCTGAGATCCTTAACAACACCTGCAAAGACTCTATTTCCAAATCAGGTCACATTCATGGGTACCAGGGGTTACCACCTGGACAAGCCTTTTCGGGGGACACGATTTGACCCAAGTCCAGCTGTTTGAAGCTGCTAAGTTTGGAGTAATCTGTTGCACAGCCACAAGGATCTTAGGTAAGTCTTGGCTAGCAGAACCAACAGTTCATCAGCCAGCGTTAGCAGGCAGGAGGGGAGGCAGCATGCACGGCACAGGGACAGGCAGGCGGGCACAGCTGTTGGTGGGGTGTGCGGAAGGTCTGCTTGATTTTTTCACTGAAGCCGAAAGCAAGGTCATCAGCTGAGTGAGGATGAGGGAGGTTGGAGGCCAACAAGAAAGTGACAGAACAGATCGCAAGAGAGAGAGCCCCACGGAACCATAGTAGAATGGATGTTGGCTGCTCAGGAGGCTGAGGTGGGAGGATCACTTGAGCCTGGGAGACAGAAGTTGCAGCGAGCTTAGATCGAGCCACTGCTCTCCAGCCTGGGCAATAGAGCAACACTCTGTCTCTAAAACATAAACAAGATGGCCAGGCACGTGGCTCATATCTATAATCCCAGCACTTTGGGAGGCTGAGGAGGGCAGATCATTTGAGGCCAGGAGTTCAAGACCAGCCAGGCCAACATGGTGAAACCCTGTCTCTACTAAAAATACAAAAATCAGCCAGGCATAGAGGCATGTGCCTGTAGTCCCAGCTACTCAGCAGGCTGAGGCACAAGAATTGCTTAAACCTGGGAGGCAGAGGTTGCAATGAGCTGAGATTGCACCACCGCACTCCAGCCTGGGCAACAGAGTGAGACCCTGTCTCAACACAGAACAAAACATACTGAGACCCCGTCTCTACAAAAAAATACAAATATTACTCAGGCACAGTGGGGCAAACCTGAGGTCCCAACTGCTTGGGAGGCCAAGATAGGAGGATCGCTTGAGCCCAGGAGGTTGAGGCTGCAGTAAGCTGCAGTGATCAGCCACTGCACTACAGCCTGGGAGACAGAGGGAGACCCTCTCCATTTAAAAAAAAAAAAAGTGAGCCAAGCGCAGTGGCTCACGTCTGTAATCTCAGCACTTTGGGAGGCCAAGGCGGGCTGATCACAAGGTCAAGAGTTCAAGACCAGCCTGGCCAACATGGTGAAACCCCATCTCTACTAAGAATACAAAAATTAGCTGGGCGTGCATGGTGGCACGTGCCTGTAATCCCAGCTACTTGGGAGGCTGAGGCAAGAGAATCACTTGAACCCGGGAGGCAGAGGTTGCAGTGAGCTGAGATCACGCCAATGCACTCCAGCCTGGGTGACAGAGCAAGACTCCATCTCGGGGGGAGGCAAAAAAAAGGCTGGGTGTGGTGGCTCATGCCTGTAATCTCAGCACTTTGGGAAGCCGAGGCGGGTGGATCACCTGAGGTCAGGAATTTGAGACCAGCCTGACCAACATGGTGAAAGCCTGTCTCTACTAAAAAATACAAACAGGCCAGGTACGGTGGCTCACACCTGTAAGCCCAGCACTTTGGGAGGCCGAGGCAGGAGATCGAGACCATCCACCATCCTGGCTAACACAGTGAAACCCCGTTTCTACTAAAAATACAAAAAATTAGCCGGGCGTGGCAGCGTGCGCCTGTAGTCCCAGCTACTCGGGAGGCTGAGGCAGGAGAATGGCGTGAACCCGGGAGGCGGAGCTTGCAGTGAGTGGAGATCGTGCCACTGCACTCCAGCCTGGGCAACAGAGCGAGACTCCATCTCGAAAAAAAAAAAAAAACAAAAAAAAAATTTAGCTGGGCATGATGGTGCATGCCTGTAATCCCAGTTACTTGTTAAGCTGAGGCAGGAGAAGTGCTTGAGCCTGGCAGGCAGAGGTTGCAGTGAGCCGAGATCACGCCATTGCACTCCAGCCTGGGTAATAAGAGTGAAATTCCATCTCAACAAAAATAATAAAATAAATTAAAATTAAAAACCTATAATCAAACATGTGACTTCCAGGCAGGTTTCTCAACCTCTGCACTCATTTGGGGCCGGATCATTCTCTGTTGTGGGGACCGAGTGCTGGAGGTTATCTTCCAGCATCCCTGGCCTCCCCCGACTACCTGACTAGATGCCAGCTGCACACCCCCACCCCCCACCCCATGACAAGCTAAACTGATGCCCCGGGGCAGGATCCAGCACTCCGGTGGAGAACATGGCTCAGTGGATAGTCGGTTCCCGTTGCGTTTTGCCTCCTGTCTTCTGGTTTTGGCCTCTCTGGCTGCAGACCAGGAGCTCTGCACCTGAGATTCTACCGCTATGCCTATTTTACAGAGAGGTAAGTGGGCTGTCCCCAGCCACACATGGAAGGGCTGCGGGAGCCGGCGGAGGAAGCCATGTCTGGGCTCTCAGCTGGACCACAGAACCCCTTCCACTGCACCCACAACAGGAGCTGGGGGAAGACGGGGGTCCGGGAAGGGCCAGGCTGGAGGGCTGTTTCCCCAGAGCCCACTTGGAGGGAGCTGGCTGGGCAGATCTGACCAGGTAACCGCACATAAAACAGGTGCAGGCCTGCCTGTCGCTGGTGGTGGCTCAGTGTCAGCAGCAGGACAGATCCTAGAGCCAATGGCTGCGGATACAACCGTCTCCCCGCCCAGACGCCACACACTCTCGGGGAACGTTCCCTGAAAGCCCCCACCCCTCCCTCCCTCCCACGCTCCCCTCACCCAACACACTCAGAGGAGTCAGTGCTTGGCAAAAATAATTTAATATTCCATCTGGGCAGCGCTCTGAGGTCTGCTTGTCCCTCCCTGGCCCCTGTGCCCTACCTGACCCACTCAGGGACCACCACCCTGTCCCTACCCAGGCCTCGGGGTGGGGGAGTCAGAGGCCCCCAGACCCTGTGTCCCATTCCTAGTGAAGCTGAAGCCACCATAACGTCAGCCTCTTCCCAGAGCCCCAGCTCTGCCCCTGGCTTCCCTCGCGATCCTCCCCTGGCTCCCCTCGCGATCCTCCCTTGGCTTCCCTCGCGATCCTCCCCTGGCTTCCCTCGCGATCCTCCCCTGGCTTCCCTCGCGATCCTCCCCTGGCTTCCCTCGCGATCCTCCCCTGGCTTCCCTCGCAATCCTCCCCTGTCCTGAGCCGGGCATCCCAGAGCCTCCCGCAGAGTCCCACCCCAAGCCTGGAAACTTCCACGCTACAGCCCTGCGCCAGGCCCCGAGGAGCAGTCAGGGGACTCAGGGAGTCACAGCACAACGGCAGCTCCTCGGTCCCAGACGGAGGAGGGGGACAGCAACCATGCGCCCAGCAAGACACAAGCGATGACACCGATTTACACACACCCGGTTTAGACGCCAAAGCTCTGCGGGGGAGGAGCGGCCCTCAAGAGTCCTCCGGGAGCTCCGGGTGAGGGTGGGGCCCTAGGAGGGGGCCCCGCGCAGCTGCTCCAGGCCGTCCGCGTACTGGAAGGCCCGCCCGGTCTCGTGCTCATACATGTCCAGAGCCACCTCGCAGCTCTCACGCACCACGCGCTCTGGGTCGTCCGCGTGAGCCTGCAGCGCGGCCAGGCAGGCGGGCCGGGCAATGGCGCCCAGGGCCTCCGCGCACTCGTGCCGCACCATGGGGTTCTCGGTGCATCGGGCCAGGGCGGCCGCCAGCTGGGGCACCGCCGCCTCGTGCTGCAGCTGTCCCAGGACGTAGCCGACCTCGTGGCGGAAGAGGGCGCTCCCACAGTGCAGACCTGCAGGGGAGAGGGACACTCGCTGGGGCCAGGAGGGGTGGGAAGGGGAGCTCTGTCTTTTCGAAGACATGGGGTCTTGCTATCTTGCCCAGGCAGGTCACAAAGTCCTGGCGATCTTCCCATCCCGGCCTCCCAAAGTGCTGGGACGACAGGCGTGAGCCACCACGCCCAACCTGGGGTGTTCTACCTTGAAGACACCCCTGCCCCCAGCCCCAGTGATTAGGGATGCCCGGGGGAACTGACCGCAGCTATGGGGGCGGGAAAAGCTGGGAGCTATGGGGACCAAGAGGGACGCTTGCACGGGTTCTTAAGAGGCCCCATGGGAAATGCTTGGGGCCAGGCCCGGGATGCCGTTCCCGGGGGCAGGCCGCGGCCCCACTGCACAGATGCCATCACTGAACCTCACAGCGAGGCACTGCCCAGGACCCCACCCCAGAAGCCCCTCCTCACCCTCGGCCAGCGCCAGGGCGGCCTCCTCGCCTCCCGCGTTGCGCAGGGCGAACATGGCGCGGTATCGCTCGAAGAGCGGCCGGGACTCATCCAGCAGCGCCTCCCGCAGGCGCCCCACGTCACGCTCCTCAGCCGGCGGGGCAGGGTCCACGGAGAGGTAGGGTCCCGCCGCCGGCTCCCCGCCGTGCTGCTGCAGCCACTCCAGCCTGCGCACGGCCAGCTGGCAGGTCTCGGCCACCTGCGGGGAGGGGGTATCAGGCAGCGGGTTGGCCCTGGGGGGTCGCAGGGGCCCTTCCCCACCCCCCGGGATGGCAGCTTAGCAGGGGAGAGAGACACTGGCAGGGTGACTAACCCATCATTCCAGGCAGGAAGTAAGCCAGCAGGGGTGGCTGACTTGTGAGTGACCGGGGGACTGGAGGGCTGGGGAGGGCCTCAGGGAGGAGGTGATGTGGAGGCAGAGACCTAAGCCAGCTTAGGGAGGGAATCAGGTGGAGACCCGGGGATGGGGAAGCAGCGGTGGAAAGGCCCTGAGGCAGGACCCTGCGGGAGGGGTGAGGGCCAAAGGAACATGTGCGGCCCCACCTGACCAGGTAAGGCCTGCGGGCCACTGTAAGGGCTTGGGATTTTGTCCTAAAGGTGATGAGATATCGTGAGAGCTTTAAGCATGGAACAGAACAGCAGAATTGAGTGTCACACGTACCCCCGGCTGCCCCGGAGGAGGAGAGACTGAGGGTCGGGGTGGGATGTGGACAAGAAGTGGCAGGGGAGAAAGGAACATGCATGTCCGTGGCGGCATAACTCATAACAGCTAAAAAGCAGAGACAATTCAAGCATCCAGCCACAGTGAGTGGACACAGCATGGGCCGTCCACACCACGGAACGTGACTCAGCCACAAAAAGGAATGACGGGCCGGCCGAAGCGGCTCATGCCCCTAATCCCAGCAGTTAGGGAGACCAAGGCAGGAGGATCGCTTGAGCCCAGGAGTTCAACACCAGCCTGGGCGACAGAGCGGGACTTCATCTCTATAAAGAAAAAACTAATAAAATAAAAATTTGTTTCATTTTTGGGCCAGGCGCGGTGGCTCACGCCTGTAATCCCAGCACTTTGGAGGCCAAGGCGGGTGGATCACGAGGTCAGGAGATCGAGACCATCCTGGCTAACATGGTGAAACCCCGTCTCTACTAAAAATACGAAAAGATTTGCTGAGCGTGGTGGCAGGCGCCTGTAGTCCCAGCTACTCTGGAGGCTGAGGCAGGAGAATAGCATGAACCTGGGAAGCAGAGCTTGCAGTGAGCCGAGATCGCGCCCACTGCACTCCAGCCTGGGCGACAGAGCGAGACACCGTCTCAAAAAAAAAAAAGAAGAAATGTTGGAAGGTAGCAGGAGATCTCTGAAGAGGTCTGGTGGGCCAGGACAAGGTATCAGAGGTAGAGGGCACTGGGTGGGTTCAGAGGGGTCTTGGCAGAGGGACTGGACGTGGGGGTTCAGAGAAAGGGGGTCAGGCCGGCTCAGGGGCTCAAGGCCCGGGATGGAAGCGGGTGAGCAAAGCTGGTTGTCGCCGTTTTGCCAAATGGGGCGCAGCAAGTGTCTGTCCAGATTGTCGCCCTCGCCTTCCTCATCCCTGGGGCATCCTTGGCCAAGTGGTCGCCCTGGCAACCAGAGATGGGGAGGGTCTGAGGCTGCTCCAGGTCAGGGCTGGGGCAGGGCTGGGCAGGGCTTCCCAGGGACCCGAGACTGGCAGGGAGACAAGCAGGGGCCTGGTTACCTCGATGACGGGGTCCGAGGAATACTGCTTCAGGATCTCCAGAACTTCCGGGTCCCCGATGGCCCCCAGGGCCTCCCCTGGGAAGAAGCAGCCGGAGAGCTCATGTTGGTGGGGTGGATGTGTGGAAAATGCCCGGCTACCTCTGGGACCGGAGGACACCCCTCCCAGGGCTCTGCCACTGTGGGGAAGCCCCGCCTCTGTCCACGGCTGATTGGAGCAGCAGTCGGTACAGGCTCCCCGCTGGACCAATCAGCATCCCCTCCCCAGAGCAAGGCACTGCCTGGAACCGCACCTGGCTGCCGCTCAGAGCAAAATGGACCCCATCCCGGCCCGTACCATGAGACAGGGAGACAAGTATATCCCTACAACTCGGGATCACAGCTGACAAGCAGCTCCAAGAACCCAGGAGGTCGGGGGTGCAGTGAGCTATGATCACACCACTGTACTCCAGCATGGGCGACAGAGTGAGACCCTGTCTCAAAAAAACAAACAAAAAAAATTCCCAAAACAGGCCGGGCCTGCCGGCTGGAGACTCCAGAATTTGGGGCCACTGGGGCTACACTTAGGTGGGTTCGGGTACAGGCGCAAGTGCAGGCGTCGCAAGCCCAGGTCGGAGCAAGGCTGGCGGCGGCTCCCCGTAGAGCCCTGGGTGCAGATGTTCCTTGAATTTTCTCAGAATCGAGCTCAAGGGCCCTGCCTGTGAGGCAGCTGAGCTGGTGGCTTTTGCCTTTCCTGAAGGTTGCGGTTTGCGTTTGTGCACCTGCCTGGCAGGCTCCCTCTGCCGGGAAAAGTCCCGTATGCGCCAACACAGGCTCTGTGTCAGGCACCTCCCACGCGCTAATTGCAAATGAGCTCACTGGTTACAGAAACACAGTCCCAGTGGCACAGACGCACCAACTACCTGCCTCACTGGTCTCCTTCGCTGTCTAGGTCCCTCGCTACAACAGTCCATTTTTTTTTTTTTTTTAGAGCTTCGCTCTTGTGACCCAGGCTAGAGTACAATGGCGCGATCTCCACTCACTGAAAACTCCGCCTCCTGGGTTCAAGTGATTCTCCTGCCTCAGCCTCCCAAAGTAGCTGGGATTACAGGCGCCGGCCACCACGCCCAGCTACTTTTTTTTGTATTTTTAGTTGAGACGGGGTTTCACCATGTTGGCCAGGCTAGTCTTGAACTCCTGACCTCAGGTGATCCACCCGCCTCAGCCTCCCAAAGTGCTGGGATTACAGGCGTGAGCCAATGCACCCGACCTGAACAGTCCATTTTTTTGAGACAGGGTCTCACTCTGTTGCCCAAGCTGGAGTGCAGTGGCATGATCATGGCTAACTGCAGCCTCAACCTCCCTGGCTCAAGTAATCCTCCTGCCTCAGCCTCCTGAGTAGTTGGGACCACACGCGTGAGCCACGATGCCCGGCTTGTATCTGTATTGTCACTGTTTTGTCTCTTACTACATGACAGAGCCTGGCATACAGTAGGTGCTCACTAAATGTGTGTCCAATGAGTGGAGTAAATCTAATATACATTAGGGATTGGGGATCTATGGCTTGTCGCTTGTTTTTATACGAGCAAAGAATGGTTTTTAAAACACTTTTAAGGGTTTAAGGCGGGGTGCGATGGCTCATGCCTGTAATCCCAGCACTTTGGGAGGCCGAGGCAGGTGGATCACTTGAGGCCAGGAGTTCAAGGCCAGCCTGGCCAACATGGCAAAACCCATCTCTACTAAAAATACAAAAATTACCCAGGCGTGGTGGCACACACCTGTAACGCTATCTACTTGGGAGGCTAAGGCAGGAGAATCACTTGAACCCGGGAGGCAGAGGTTGCAGTGAGCCAAGACGGCACCACAGTACCCCAGCCTGGGCGACAGAGTGAGACTCTGACTCAAAACAAACAAATAAATGGTTTAAAACAAAAAATCAAAGGGATAGTACTTCCTGATGGGTGGAATTTATATGAAATTCAAATCTCAGCATTTACAAATGAAGTTTGTTTTTTGTTTTTTCACAGACAGGATCTCACTCTGTTGCCCAGGCTGGAGTGCGGTGGCACGATCATGGCTCACTGCAACCTTGACTTCCCGGGCTCCAGCGATTCTCCCGCCTCAGCCTCCCAAGTGGCTGCGACTACAGGTGCATGCCACCATGCCTGGCTAATTTTTGTATTTTTTCTAGAGACAGGGTTTTGCCATGTTGCCCAGGATGGTCTTGAACTCCTGAGTTCAAACGATCCACCTTCCTGGGCCTCCCAAAGTGCTAAGATTACAGGCCTGAGCCACCGCCCCCTGCCCAGTTGAGGTTGTCTGGGCACACAGCCTTAGCCATTTGGTGACAGATGACCTGCGCTGGCTTTATTGAGTCGCTGTCTGGCTGCAGAGCTGCAGGTATTTACTATCTGGTGCTCTATGGGGCAGTTGACCACTCTGATATTTATCACCTGAGTGAGGAAGGGGACACGTGGGGTCATGAAGAAGTGAGGCAGGAGGGAGCAGGTGCCCGGGACACAGACAGGTGCTCACCTGCCTCATGGCGCACCATGGGCTCCTGACGGGTGTCTTGCAGCACGTCCACCAGCATGGGGATGGCGCGGGCATCCTGCATCTGGCCCAGGCAGTAGGCCAGCTCGTGCTTGAGCAGGGCGGAATCGTCATCGAAGGCCTGGCTGATCCATGCAATGGCGCCTGGGCCGCCGAGCCCACGCAGCGTGAACAGCGCCCGGAAGCGGGCCTGCAGGGGCTGCTTGGGGTCCACCAGCGTCTGCCCGATGGCATCCACCTCCTGCTCCGTCACCATCGTGCTGTCAATGGGTCCCGGCCTTCCACAACCCTGCTCAGGCTAAACCTGGGGACGCGGGGATGTAAGAACCTGTGGCAGAAAAATGAGAGCCCAGGTTAGAAGCCCCCTTCACCAGTGCGTTGTCTGTTCCTAGGACCTGGGTGGGGCAAATTCCTACCCACTGACCAACCTGAGCATCTACGCTGAAAGCTCAGCTCCAACCTCCCTACTAGCTGTGCAGCCTTCCGTAAGTTGCTTTCCCTCTCTGGGCCTCAGTCTCTGCACTGCCTCTCGCCTATAGGCCTATCAGAAATGACCTCCACTGTCTGCTCTCCACACAGCAGCCAGAGGGACAGCTGACCCCCAAAATGGCCCTAGCGATCCCCACCCAATATTCAAGGCTTTATATAGCGATCCCCACCCAATATTCAAGGCTTTATATAGTCCTCTCCCACTCTGAACAGGGCTGACCCATGTGAATGCCAAGAAGATGGAACAGAGCAAGACTTCCAAGGTTAGGGCATAAAAAGCACAACAGTCTCATCCTTGTTCTCTCTCTAGGGGAAGCCAGTGACCATGTTGTGAGGATGCTCAAGCAGTCTTTTGTAGGGGCCCACGTGGCAAAAAACTGAGCCCTCCCACCAACAGCCATGTGAGAGAAGTGGGCTGGCAGCAGCTCGTCCAGCCCCAAGCGAACCTTCAGATGATGCAGCCCCAGAGCGTCTCCACTGAGGCCTTACCAGAGGCCAGACCCAGAGCCAGCCAGCTAAGCCAGGCCCAGAGCAACTGTGTGCGACACTGTTTACTGTTGTTGAAGGTAACCAAGTATGTTTTTTTGTTTGTTTTTGAGACAGGATCTTGTTCTGTCGCCAGGCTGGAGTACGGCAGCATGATCACGGCTCACTGTAGCCTCGAACTCCCAGTCTCAAGTGATCCTCCTGCCTCAGACTTCCTAGTGGCTGTGTCTACAGGCACACACCAGCATGCCCAGCTAATTTTTTTTTTATTATTTGTAGAGATGGGGTCTCACTTCTATGTTGCCCAGGCTGGTCTCCAACTCCCAAGCTCAAGTGATCATCCTGCCTCAGCCTCCCAAAGCATTAGGATTACAGGCATCAGCCACTACCCCCAGCCATTATGGGGATTTTTGTTACACAGCTTAGATAACAGATTCAGAAGTACTTTCAATATGTAAACTGGACCATATCACTCCCTTGCTTAAAATCCTCCTATGCCTCCTCACTCAACTACTTGACAGTCCCAAAGGCCCTTCATGACCATCTCCCATCACCTCTTCCCTCTCTAGCTCCACTCCAGCCACACAGGCCTCCTCGCTGTTCCTCCAACACGCCAGGCCCAGTGCAGCCCTAGGGCCTTTGCATTTGCTGTGATCTCCATGAGGAACATTCTTCCCTAGATGTCCCCACGTAGCAGGCCAGGCCTCACTAACACAGGCCTCCATAACTGTTTCAGCACTGACTGAGTGGTTAAGTTAAACATTAAAAGCTAAAAGAGCCAGTGCCCTCATACAAAGGCTGGAATGTAACAAAAGCCCATGAAGAGTTTTGCCCAGGCCTTTCCTGGGCCTTAAGGCATGACAAGATAATGAAGGAATTTTTTTTTTTTTGAGACAGAGTTTCGCTCTTTTGCCCAGGCTGGAGTGTAGTGGCATTATCTCGGCTCACCACAACCTATGCTTCCAGGGTTCAAGTGATTCTCCTGCCTCAGCCTCCCGAGTATCTGGGATTATAGGCATGCACCACCATGCCCGGCTAATTTTGTATTTTTAGTAGAGACAGGGTTTCTCCATGTTGGTCAGGCTGGTCTCGAACTCCCAACCTCAGGTGATCCACCCGCCTCAGCCTCCCAAACTGCTGGAATTACAGGCTTGAGCCACCACACCCAGCCAATAACGAAGGAATTCTTAATGTGACCCGTTTAGGATGAAACAAGTTTTACTGGGTGTCTGAAGAACTCCCCAAACCTCCATGATTTAGCAGGAGACAAGATAAGGATGATCACCCCAGCACCTGGACCCACTGGAGATGAGATAAGGGTGATCACCCCAGCACCTGGACCCATTTAGATTAAGTAAATTTACTGAGGTTCCAAAGGAAAGTCTTCAGGATTCAGATCTTAGTTATAGATTAAAAGAAGTTAGTCACTTTAAGTCTTTAGATGGATGCTCAGTTACATGTAGATGGAGAGCTTAGAGGGTATATAAGCTCTGGAAAACTTTGTCATTTTGAGTTGGTCTGGCGATATTTTCCAGGCCTTCTCCCTGTAACCGGTTACAGAAATAAAAACTCTCTTCCTCCCCAGTTAATCTGCATCTCGTTATTGGACCATGAGAAATAGCAGCCCGACCCTCAGTTTGGTCCAGGAACACCCGTGCTCATCCTCTTGCTTTCCTGGGTCTCCAACATCACTTCCTCATGGAAGCCTTCCCTGATCACAATGGACAATGTTACTCTTCCATCTCTTTTCACTTATTCAGCTTTATTTTTCTCCACGGCGCCTAAGACTCCTAGATATCATATTGGAAAGTATTGGTTTAGTTGCTTGTGATTGGTCTTATCCCTCATTAGAATAGAACTCTGAAGGCTGGGACTGAGTCTATCTTGGTCACTGTTGTATTCCCAGCACTTAGTGCAATGACCTGCACGCAGTAGGGCCTCAATAAAAACAATAACCGGCTGGGCGCGGTGGCTCACGCCTGTAATCCCAGCGCTTTGGGAGGCCGAGGTGGACAGACCATCTGAGTTCAGGAGTTCGAGACCAGCTGACCAACATGGTGAAACCCCATCTCTACTAAAAATACAAAAATTAGCTGGGCGTGGTGGTGGGCGCCTGTAATCCCAGCTACTCGGGAGGCTGAGGTAGGAGAATCGCCTGAACTCGAGAGGCGGAGGTTGCAGTGAGCCGAGATCGTGCCATTGCATTCCAGACTGAGCTACAAAGCAAGACCCTGTCTCAAAATAAATAAATAAAATAAAAACGACAACCGTGACAATAGCAGCTGACACTTATGTAGCATTTGCTACGCGCCAGGCACTCCATGCTCTTTACATTCATTAATTCATTCGATCTACATCACTACCCTGTGAGGTAGTTACTAAGATTGTCCCCATTTTACAGGTGAGGAAACTGAGGCACAGTTTGGGACTGTGCTTGGGAACTTGCTTGGGAGCAGCGTGAAGAGTTAGGAATCCAGGAAGTCTGGCTCCAGAGTCGGGCTCTAAACCACCAACGCTTTGTTGAATGACTTAGGATAAAAGAACACAGCCAAGGGGAGAAGGGACCCCTCTCTTTCCAGATCGGCTGAGAACCTGGCGGATGCTTCATCTCAAGACAGGCTGGCTATGGCATGCTGGCAGCCCTCTCTGGTGAACAGTGGCGTCAGCAAGGCTGCCTGGGCTTGACGAGGGCAGTGTAGCCACCTAAGCACAGGTGACCATCAAAGGAGAGTGACACCTTTAAAGAGGGGTCATCAGAAACCAGAGGGCAGGCCTGTGCGAGCTGGCAGGGCACTGGGGACCATTGAGACCCAACCGTACGACATAGGAGCTTCAGGACGTGAGGTGGGCACTCTTTCATGTAAAAAATCCCAGAGGAAAGAGATCGCCGGGACTCGAGACCCCTTAACCCGCCCCATCCACAGTCAACGAATCCCTGAGACCGGATTCCCTAACGAGGCGCTCCCGGTGCCACCGCCCGCCAGACCCGGGCCCCACACCGTGATCGCCGCCTCCGGGACGCCTCACCGAGCTCTGGAGACTCAGGACCCGTCGGCCCGGCCAGTAACCGCAGGCGCCTCTGCCACCACCGCTTCACCTGCCGCGACGCCCGCAGTGCGGTCTGGGGGCCGCCATTTTCTCGCCCACGTGACCGTGCCGGACGGCACCAACGCAGCCGCGGGTGAGACCTAGTGAGAGGCTCCGTGCATGAGGGAGGCCCGGAAGGCTGAGTCGGTGCTGGTGCCACAGCTCATGCAAACGCAGGAACAGTATTCCTAGTGCGTTCTTCGGGGAAGGGGACGGGCAACGTATGCCCTTTCATGGGAAAAAATTCTCTCCAACCTCCCCACTGCGGTACAAGAAGTGAGACTGGTTTGTGCCGATTCAGCGCCCTGCCTGGGCTGGCTAGCAACGGAGCATGCGCAGTGTTTCTAGGCGTGGTCAGACTCCAGAGGTGTTGGCCAATGGGCTCAGGGAGCTCGAACCTTAAGTAGGTGAGGAATAAAAAAAGGAAGAAATGCAGTCGTTCATTCATTCATGTATGTAATAAATAGTACATGGCCTTGAGGACAAGAGAGCCTTCAGCCCTTACCCTCGTACGCCTCCCAGTGTTGTTATAGAGACAGAAAATAACACGATAAGTAAATGCAATACCTATTAGATGGTGAAAAAGGCTAACGAGAAAAAATTCGGTAGCCAAGGGCGGTGTATGTATAGGGTGTGCAGTTTCAGGAAGGGTGGCCAGAATCTGAGGTGGTGACATCTGAAGAAAGACCTGAAAGAGGCCGGGTACGGTGGCTCACACCGGTAATCCCAACACTTTGGGAGGCCGAGGTGGGTGTTATCACTTGAGGTCAGGAGTTCGAGACCAGCCTGGCCAACATGGTGAAACCCCCATCTCTACTAAAAATACAAAAAGGCTTCAGCTTCCCGAGTAGCTGGGATTACAGGCATGCAACACCACACCAGCTAACTTTTTGTATTTTTAGTAGAGACAGGGTTTCACTATGTTGGCCAGGCTGGTCTCAAACTCCTGACCTCAGGTGATCCACCTGCCTTGGCCTCCCAAAGTGCTGGGATTACAGGCGTGAGCTACTGTGCCCTGCTTGCAATCTCTTATTTTTAAAATGTGGGTGACTGCCAGGAGTGGTGGCTCATACCTGTAATCCTGGCACTTTGGGAGGCTGTGGGGTGAGAGGATGATCGATTGAGCCCAAGATTCCAAGACCAGCCTGGGCAATGTGGTAAGCCCCCGTCTCAACAGAAAAAAAATTTTTTTTAATTTGGCTGGGCGCAGTGGCTCAGCCTGTAATCCCAGCTACTTGGGTGGCTGAGGCAGGAGAATCGCTTGAGCCTGGGAGACACAGGTTACAGTGAGTTGAGATCCTGTCACTGCACTCCAGCCTGGGCAACAGAGCAAGACTCCATTTCCAAAAAAAAAAAAAAAAAATCAACTGTGCCTGGTGGCTCATGCCTGTAGGCCCAGCTACTCAGGTGGCTTGATAGCTTGAGTCCAGGAGTTCAAGGATCCAGTGAGCTGTAATCACACCACTGGATTCCAGCCTGGGTGACAGAGCAAGACCCCATCTCAAAAAAAAAAAAAAAATGAGCAATTAATAAAAAAACATGGCTGGGCATTGTAGCTCACGCCTGTAATTCCAGCACTTTGGGAGGCCAAGGCAGGTGGATCACTTGTGGTCAGGAGTTCAAGACCAGCATGGCCAACATGCTGAAACCCCATCTCTACTAAAAATACTAAAATTAGCTTGGCCTAGTGGCGGGTGCCTGTAATTCCAGCTACTCAGGAGTCTGAGGCAGGAGCATCACTTGAACCCAGGAGACGGAAGTTGCAGTGAGCCAAGATCGCGTCACTGCACTCCAGCTTGGGTGACAGAGTGAGACTCCATCTCAAAAAAATAATTAAATAAAAATTAATGAAAAAACATAAAATGCTGTGCATAGCAAAGAAATCCTTTTGGAAGGCCAACTTCTATTTTAAGACAACATTCACAAATACTTATTGAGCAACTACTGTGTGCTGGACAGTGTCCTGAGCACAGAGGATAGTGTCCTGGGCACAGAGGACACAGGACAAAACAGACACAGTGTCTGGCCTCATGGAGCTGACACCCCCACTTTTATTTTTTTGAGACAGAGTCTCGCTCTGTCACCCAGGCTGGAGTGCAATGGGGCGATCTCAGCTCACTGCAAGCTCCGCCTCCTGGGTTCACGCCATTCTCCTGCCTCAGCCTCCCAAGTAGCTGGGACGACAGGTGCCCACCACCAAGCCCAGCTAATTTTTTTGTATTTTTAGTAGAGACGGGGTTTCACCGTGTTAGCCAGGATGGTCTCGATCTCCTGACCTCGTGATCCGCCCGCCTCGGCCTCCCAAAGTGCTGGGATTACAGGCGTGAGCCACCGTGCACGGCCCACCCCCCCTTTTTTTTTTTAAATTATTGTATTGCCTTCCTATGTGTTGGAAAACTGACTGCAGATAACAGGCATCACTGCAGCCCTCAGCTGCCTTGCGAGGACGTCATCTCAACATGTTTGTGGCTCAGGCTGTTTACGGAGGACTTCCCGTGGACCAGGAGCTGTGCTGACTCAGGAAGGCTACGAGGGCAGGGTGCCAGGTGTGACTGGCCCCAAGGATGCTCCCCAGGAGGAGATAATCCCAGGGTGCAGGACGCAGATATCGAAGCCTCAGCCAAAAGCAAGGCCTGTGTAAGTCAGAGAACTTGGCATCTGGCCTCTGTAGACCTTCGAGAAACTGATAGCACAGAAGAACCAAGTCTGCGTCTTCTGTTCGGTGGGTCCTCTGGGATTGAGCAAGTCCCTGGGGGGCGGAAGTCTGGAATCCAGGTATCTGCAGATCTGTGGCCTCTCTGGAGGCTCCAGGGGAGGATCCTTCCTGCCTCTTCCAGCTTCTGGGGGTGGCCGCCAGTCCTTGGTGTTTCTCAGCTTGTGGCTTCGTCACTCCAATCTCTGCCACTGTCATCACCTGGCCTTGACCCCTGTGTGTCTGTCTCTGTGTTTCTGTGTTAGAATCTCCCTCTCCTCTCCTTTTATTTTATTCTTCTGAGACAGAGTCTTGCTGTGTTGCCCAGGCTGGAGTGCAGTGGCGCGATCTCAGCTCACCGCAACCTCTGCCTCCCGGGTTCCAACGATTCTCCTCCCTCAGCCTCCCGAGTAGCTGGGAATACAGGGGCCTGCTACCATGCCCGGCTAATTTTTGTATTTTTAGTAGAGATGAGGTTTCACCATGTTGGCCAGGCTGGTCTTGAAGGCCTGACCTCAAGTAATCTGCCCACCTCGGCCTACCAAAGTGCCGGGATTACAGCCGTTAGTCACTGCGCCCAGCTCCTCTTTCAGATCTTTATTAAAACATCATCTTTGCAATAAGAGCATCCCCGAGCACTGCATCTGAAACTGTAACCTCTTGCCTCCTCCTTTTCCCTGTTCTCTTTTCTCCTTAACTCAGCTCCAAAGGGGATTTTTTTTTTTTTTTCTGGAGTGCAGTGGTGCAATCTCGGTTCACTTCAACCACCGCCTCCCGGGTTCAAGGGATTCTCCTGCCTCAGCCTCCCGAGAAGCTGGGATTACAGGCGCGTGCTACCACGCTCAGCTAATTTTTGTATTTTTAGTAGAGATGAGGTTTCGCCATGTTGACCAGGATGGTCTCGATCTCTTGACTTCATAATCCGCCCTCCTTGGCCTCCCAAAGCACTGGGATTATAGGCGCAAGCCACTGCGCCGGGCAAGAACTTTTTAAATAACAGCTGTATTGAGATATAGTTTACATACTGTACAATTCATCTGTGTAAAGTGATAATTCAGTGGTGTTTAGTATATTCAGAGTCGGGCAGCCATCATCACATAAATTTTTTTTTTTTTTTTCCGAGACGGAGTCTTGCTTTGACACCCAAGGTGGAGTGTGGTGGCATGATCTGGGCTCACTGCAACCTACACTTCCCGGGTTCAAGTGATTCCCCTGCTTCAGCCTCCCGAGTAGCTGGGACTACAGGTGCGCGCCAGCACACCCGGCTCATTTTTGTATTTTTAGTAGAGATGGGGTTTCACCAGATTGGCCAGGCTGATCTTGAACTCCTGACCTCAAGTGATCTGCCCGCCTCAGCCTCCCAAAGTGCTGGGATTACAGGTGTGAGCCACAGCTCACGGCCATCACATCAATTTTAGAACATATCCATCAACCCCCCAAAATAAAGTCCATTCCAGTCACTCCTGATCCCCCTCTCCCAGCCCTTGGCAACCACTAATCCACTTCCTGTCTCTATGGATTTGCTTATCTGGACATTTCGTATCAATGGAATCACTCACTATGTGGTCTTTTGTATCTGGCTTCTTTCACTGGGCATGATGCTTTCGAGGTTCATCCAATCTGTAGCCTGTGTCCGAGCCTCATTGCCTCATATTGCAAAACACCGTGTCATTGTATGAATGGAGCATTTTCCCTTCATCTGTGGATGTACATTTGGGTTGTGTGCACTTTGTGGATGTTATGAATAAAGCTGCTATGCACATAGGTGTGTGAGTTTTTGCGTGGATGTTACATGTTTGTTTCTCTTGGGTAGATACCTAGGAGTGTTACTGCTGTGTCATGTGGCAATTCTATGTTTAACCTTTTTTTTTTTTTTTTTTTTTTTGAGACTGAGTCTTGCCCTGTTGCCTAGGCTGGAGTACAATGGTGCGATCTTGGCTCACTGCAACCTTTGCCTCCCGGGTTCAAGCAATTCTCCTGCCTCAGTCTCCCCAGTAGCTGGGATTACAGGCGCCTGCCACGATGCTTGGCTAATTTTTCGTATTTTTAGTAGAGACGGGGTTTCACTATGTTGGCCAGGCTGGTCTCGAACTCCTGACCTCAGGTGATCCACCCACCTCCACCTCCCAAAGTGCTGTGATTACAGGCGTGAGCCACCGCGCCCGGCCCATAATTTTTTTAAAAACCTGTTTTTTGTTTTTTTTTTCAAGACGTAGTGTTGCTCTGTCACCCTGGCTGAAGTGCAGTGGCGCAATCTCGGCTCATTGCAACCTCTGCCTCCTGGGTTCAAGGGATTCTTCTGCCTCAACCTCCCGAGTAGCTGGGATTAACTCCGTACCTCAGGTGATCCGCCCGCCTCGGCCTCCCAAAGTGCCGGGATTACAGGCTTGAGCCACCGCACCTGGCCTAAAAACCTGTTTTGTTCCCTGCTGTCTCACTGGGGCCTGGAGGAGCAGCACTTAGGAGCGCAATGCAGGTTTGTTGAATAAATTAATGACTCTCAGCAGTGACGTTTGTACGTTCGGGACACGCACCTGGTGTTGGGTCCCATCTGCGCTCATTAGGCGCGACGTCAATGCCGCACTGAGGTGTGCCTGGCTTCGATCTACCCTAGGAAGGGTCTGCCCTGGGGCGCCCCATTCCGCGACTGTCCCCAGTGGGAACCACGCCCTCCATCTACCAGAGCCATTTCTGCAACGTCTAGCACCCCGCGGGTCCTCTTCCGGCCGCGGTTGCCCTGGGCAACGCGTGGAGCCGCGCTTCCTGTATTGATTTGAATCGCGGGAGACGTCACGTCCTCCCGAGATGCCCAACGCGCGCAGGCGCAGCCACTCGGAGTGGGCAGGGCCTGGCTGGGTGTTGGGCAGGGCCTGGCGGTGTGTGGGGTAGGCGGGGGGCGTGGCCGCGATTAGCCGCGCGCGGCGTGGGGGCGTGGTCGGGTTGCGGGGGTGCGCGCGGCCGGCCGGGCGCGCGCGGCGGAGGGAGGGAGCCGGGAGGCAGCGGAGGAGCGACCGCCGCCATATTAGGGACCGCGGAGCCCGGGATCCCGTCAGCGGCGGCCGCGGCCGGGCCTGCGGGAGCTGCGGAGGCCGGAGGCGGGCGCTGTGCGGTGCCAGGAGAGGCGGGGTCGGCGGGAGCCAGCGAGCCACGGGAGCGAGCCAGGTGAGGCGGCCGGGGTCGGGGACCCGCCCCCCGGGCCCTAGGCGGCGGAGCTTGACTGCGACCCCCCAAAACCGGGACGGCGGGGCGGGCTGCGACCCCCACCCCAGCTCAGGCCCCTCCAGGAGCCCCCAGTCCCCTCGAATGCCGCCTCCCAGGCCGAACTAGGCCCGGGTGACCTCAGCATCCGCGTCTCCCGAGTTAACACCCAAATCCCAGCGTCCCCCCCACGTCGGGGCCTGCCGTGACCCCCACCCCGAGCCACCTGTAAGTCGTGACCTCCCCGCAGCCGCCGTCAGCGTCCACCATTCTTTTTAAAATAGGCTGAGCCCTGCACCCCCAACCAGGGGACCCCACTGCGCACCCCTAGAACAGCAGACCCCGCCTCCTAACCCGGGTGATTTCTCCCTGGCCTGTCATCCCCGGGACTTCCCAGTTCAGACCCTCCCAGCTTGGGTCCTGCCCACACGAAGCCGCCCCCCATCGCTGAGCCTGTGGTGTGCGATGGCTCGCCCAGGCCGCAACCAGCCCCTCGCCCCAGTAAAATGCAGTCCCAGCCCGGGACACCCGGAAACCTGTGTCTGTGGTCACTGTTGTGTCCACCAGTCCCCGCAGGCACGGGTTGAGTGCATGGATGTCCCCGTCTCACCTCATCTCGCTGATTTCTGCTCCCCCACCCTCCCAGCGTGCCCCCTACCAGCCCCCATTCCCCCGAAATCCAGCTCTCCCACCAAAGCCTCAGACGAGCTATCCGTGCACAAGCCCCTCCCTCCTCCGAACTGAACCTCCGTCCTGCGTCCTGCCCCGTGTCTTCTCCAAACGCAAGCCTGGCCATCTCGGATCCCCAGAATATGGAGTGTGCCCCCCATTCAGAGCCGTTTTACCCCTACTCAAACCTGTGACACCCCCTCCCCCTCTTCCACCGTCCAGACCTGTCTCCACCCCACGTCCTGAGACCCCCGATATGCAGATGTTCAGCCTAAATCTGTTTTGTCTTTTCCCCTGTTTTCTCCACCCCAAACTCATCCTCTGGTTCAGGGCGTCTCTCTGGTTCCGATTCCCCCGCCCCGCCCCAGTCTACCGGGCGATGACCTCATGCCTCTCCGTGGTGAGGCCCCCACCCCAACCTATGTGCTTTGAAGGAGGGTGATTTACCTAAGGGAAAACCATCCACCAAGGACACACACCACCAGCATGAGGGCAGCCTGCGGGGACTTTGAAGTGAAGGCGGAGTGGTCTCTCTCGGGGTGGGGGTGGGGATAGAAGCTGACGGCATCACCTAGGTTTGGTCCCCGGAGTGGATGTGTCGGGGGCCGTCTGTCATGCGGAATTCCGCGTGGGCCTCCTCCTGTGTCAGGGGCCCGTGTGTTTTGGCGACACCCGATTGTCATTTCCTTCGGAATCCCAAGTGGAGGCAGGTGTGCTGGCCACTGGCCGCTGCCCGGCGCCTTGAGCAGCGAGCGGAGTTGGGTTGCAGAGGGTTTTGCTAAGGGAGCAGACACTTACTCAAAGGCAAGCCCGGTGCTTTACTGGGGAGGGGTATCTTGGCAAGGTGGTACCCGCCAGTTTGCCCCTGTGACTTGCTTCCCAGGTCAAATTTCAGAACCTGTGCCCTGGCTGCAGGCAGTGGTGGGGGTAGGGGTTGGGGTGGGGCTTTGGGGTTTGGAGGAGGAGTTTCTAGAAACAGACAAGCCGGATTGGTCTTCAAGGTGGGGCTACATTGATTTTCTTTTTTTTTTTTTTTTTTTTTGAGATGGAGTTTCGCTCTGGGCTGAAGTCCAGTGGCGCGATCTCGGCTCACCGCAACCTCTGCCTCCCAGGTTCAAGTGATTCTCCTGCCTCAGCCTCCTGAGTAGCTGGGATTACAGGTGTGCGCACCACGCCCGGCTATTTTTGTATTTTAAGTAGAGACAGGTTTTCACCATGTTGGCCAGGCTGGTCTCCAACTCCTGACCTCAGGCGATCTGCCCGCCTCGAGGCCTCCCAAAGTGCTGTGATTACAGGCGTGCGCCACCGCGCTCGGCCTTACGTTGATTTTCAAACCACTTACTGTTTAATGGGGTTTCTGGTAGAGGGGTTTTGTAGACTGAGAACTTCTGGGTTTGGGAGTCCCAGAATGGAATTGGTTCTGAGGACCTTTTGCTTGGTGTCATTTAGAGGGGAGAGGATGGAAAGTCTGTGTGTGTAGGGCCGCTCCCGGGGACTCCAGGCAGAGGTGAAGATCCAGGGGCTTGGTCTTCTAGGAACTCAGCGCTGTCACTCCTTTCTCCTGGCGCAAAGCTCTCCACTGCCCAATTCTGTCCCCAGGGGACATTTGGCAGTATTTGAGCCAGGCATGCTGCTCAGTGCCCCCACTGTGCCCAGAACGGCCCAGTACAGAAAGCAGCCTGTCCCCAATGTCTGGACTGTGAGCCCCGTGAGGGCAGTGAGTGTGCCTGCCTGGTCCCCGCTCCGCCTCCGGCCTGCTCAGTGCCCTGGGCTGTGTGCTTGCCCACAGCGGGCCCCCTGTTGGCACTGCCACAGGGACCTGGGCACCTACCAGCAGGAAAGGGAGTGTTTGACCTCATCTCTCTTCTGCCCCCGACACCTCCCTGTGGTCACCAGTGACCTGCTCGTCAACTCCGCTTGTCACTGCCTTGCCCACATGTCACTGTTCTTCCCAGCCACTGGACTCAGCACAGAGCCAGAGCCCCTTCCTGGGCCACTTATGTTCTCGTCCAGGGACGTTCATGTCCCCAGTGGCCCCAGGTCCCTGTGTGCGTTGGCAGGTGACTGCCTTCCTCTGCCTCAGTGTCCTCATTCATGGATGGGATGAGGGGCACACAAGCAGCCTGCCTGGCCGCGCCTCATTCAGTCACTCAGCCGCCACTGACCACGAATGACACACCGCCCCCACAACGGTGAACACCCCCACTCTCTCTTGGCTTCCTACTCCGTCTGGTTCTTCCTTCAGGCTTCTTCACTGGCCCTTCTTTCTTTATTTAATTTTTGCTCGTAGTAGCTTTATTTGGATACACTTCTCCTGCCGCACGATTCACTGCTTTAGAGCGTGCAGTTCCCTGGTTTTTATATGTTCACAGGCTCGGGCCGCCATCACCTCTGCCCAATTCTGGAGCATTCTCATTCCCTCAGGAAGAAACCAGCCTTGACCCCATCAGCCGCCACCACCTGTCTCCCCTGCCTCTGTGGCTGGGCCTGTCCCGGACATTTCATAGAAATGGAATCCCACATTGTGTGGCCTTTTGTGTCTGGCATCTCTCACTGAGTGTGATGTCCTCAAGGTGCGTCTAGGCTGTGGCCTGAGTCAGAGCCCTGCTCTTTGTCGTGGCTGAGTCATGTTCCGTGATGTGGAGGCACCGGGTTTTGTGCGTCTCCTTATTCAGTGGACGTTGGTGCTGTTTCCAGTGTCTGCCTGTTGTGAGTTGAGCTGCTGCGAAGAGGCAGGCGCTGGTGGTTGTGTGGCGACCGTCCTTGTTGCTCTGTGACTGAGGCGCTGGTGCCTCCACTCGCCGGCTGATCGTGTCTGATGGTGTCAACCCCATGCAACCACCGTGAGCCCAGCTCTAGAGACCTGCCTTCCAACCTTTCCACCTTGTCCTCCTGCCCCCAGCATGTCCCTTCCACCCCAGCCTTCCCAAATTGCTGCACGGTTCTGATTTTTTTCTTTTTTCTTTTTCCTTTTTGAGATGGAGTCTCACTTTGTTACCTAGGCTGGAGTGCAGTGGCGCAATCACAACTCACTGCAGCCTCGACCTTCCAGCCTCAGGTAATCTGCCCACCTCAGTCTCCCGAGTAGCTGGGACTCCAGGCGCGCCACCATACCTGGCTAATGTTTGTATTTTCTGTAGAGACGGGGTTTTACCATGTTGCTCAGGCTGGCCTTGAAGTCCTGGGCTCAAGTGATCCTCCTGCCCTGGCCTCCCAAAGCTCTGGGATTACTGGCGGAGCCAGCATGCCCGGCCACACTGCTGGGTTCTGGAGAGCGGCAGGCCGTTCAGATTCCTGTGCTGTTTTGCACACATTCCCTTCTGTTGTGAATCTTCCTCTCTCCCAGATCAGATTTGGCCTGGGAACCTCTATATTCTCATCCCCACCAGCCTGCAGGCCACTGGGTCGGTGGTGGAAGGATGATGGGAGCAGAGAGAGGGTGGGCAGTGGGCATCTGTCTGCTTTCACCGGAGGGCTGAGGAGTGTGGGAGGCCAGTGCTGGTCTGTTTGCCCTGGAGAGCAACTCTTCCACTTAAGGATCCCCCTCAGGATCCCCCTCATCCATGCATTCCCCACCTGGGTGACTCCGCCCCCACAGGCACTGGGCAACACCTCGGGACATCTGTGCATTGTCACAACTGGGGGGCGCTCCTGGCATGGAGTGAGTGGAGGCCAGTGATGCTGCTCAGCGCCCCGCAGAGCCCAGGACTCCCCGCCATAGACAGCGTTCCGGCCCAAATGTCCGCAGCGCTGAGGTTGGGGCCCTCGCCATGAACTCCCCGGACTGGGTTTCTATTGCTACCGCCTCACCTCGCCTGGGACCCGTGGGTGGGAGCTGCATGACACAGACAGAGATGCAGAGATGTGCGGGCCTCGGGAACCTGATGGCGCTCCATCCGATCCTGAGAGACCACAGGCGTGGTGCCACGCTGCCTTCCTCCTCACGTGGGGCACTGCAGCCTTTTGTGCTGCCGCAGACCCAGGTGTCTTTTAGGTCTGAAGGTGTCATCAAGTCAGACAGGGCTGTGGGTACTCGGTGGTACCAGGAGGCTGGAGATGAGCAACCTCGGGTCTTTTATCTGCAGGCACCATTTGGAAGTGTGGAGAGCAGTTCTCACGGGAGTGGGCTGGAGGTGGGAGCTGCCCCCCACACAGGGAAGAGGGTGAGAGCTGCTGGCCGAGTAGACCCTGGGGATGCTTCTCATCCACTCTAGACTGCTATTCACTCTAGACTGCCTGCCGGCTGGGTACAGAGGCTCACGCCTGGAATCGCAGCACTTTGGGAGGCCTCAGCAGGAGGATTGCTTGAGCCCAGGAGTTTGAAACCAGCCCGGGCAACATAGGGAGACCCTGACCCCCATCTCTATATTTTAAAAACAAGAAGAGAAAAATAGGCTGCACACCCAGTGGGGGCAGCAGCTTGGCTCTGCTTTGCGGCGCCTGGGTCAGCACCTAGAACCCACATGGCACATGGCTGGTTGGTGGGGAGGCGTCGGCTGGCAGGTGGCGGCGTGAGTAAATGAATGAATGACGTGCACGGGGTGTATTCCCGGGGCCCAGGCACCGGCCTCCAACAGTAACTCGCCTCGCCATGGCTCACACGGGCACCCTGGAAGGCACGCTGTCCCCTGCCAAGGGTCTGGGCCCCACCCTTTTTTACTTGGCTACTCTTGGCTGTGTCTTTGCGTTTGTAGAGGTCAGAGGCCGCCAGCTCAGCTTGTTCTTCTGCAGGTGGGGGTTGCTCCCTGCAGAGATCTCTGTGCCTCAGTGGTCTCTCCGCTAGGCCCCGGCTCTGGTTCTGGTCCAGAGTCCACCTCTCCCCTGTGTCAGTCCACCCCTGCAACCACGGCCACCTGCCCCGGGAGCCCCATTTCTCTGACGTCCTCCCTCCTCTCTGAGACTGATGGGGGCAGCATGGGAGGAGATAAGTGTCATGGTCTGTGGACAGGAGGTCACTGGGGCAGCATCCTGGCTGCCAAGGCACCGCCATGCCCAAGGACGAAGGAGCAGGGAGCAGTCTGGGGACCTGCGTACCCCTGTCATGAGTCCCGGGCCCAGCCAGCATCCACTGAGCACCTCTGGGGCCGTGTGTGCACCTGTCATGAGTCCTGGGCCCAGCCAGCTCTCACCAAGCATCTTCTCTGGGTCATGCCGGGTGCCTGCTGCCTCGTAGACCTCATGCCTGATTTCACAGCTTCCTAGGCAGGCAGTGTTGTCCCTGCTTAACTGATGAAGAAACTGATGTCCCAAGAGGTGAAGCTGCCCAAAGCTTCGTGGCCAGGAAGGGTTGAAGCTGGGACTCAGCCTGGGCTGATCCCGTCGAAAGCCCACACTCTTTCTGATGGACCCTGCTAGAACCTTTTCATGGGACTTGGTTTACTTTCATGGGAGGGCACAAGGAGGGTTAGCGATAAGGGTGTCTGGGTGCTTCGCCCGCCTTGGGTCCCTGGAGCTGCAGGGCTGAGGGCCGCGTGTGCTGGGTGGGGTGGTGCTGGTGGGGGGCTCACGTGCTCTGACAAGGCCATCTATGCAGCTGGCACGGCTGCCCCCTTAATCACATCATGACACCGAGGACATCCAAATGTGACCCGAGAGAGCCATCTAGAGTCCTCCTCTGAGGAGTGGCTGGGAATGAGATTAGTGGGATGAGGTGACGCTTGTGAAGCCGTGCTTCATAAATGACACTCCTGGGCGCAGGGCAGGAGGCAAACCTCCCCAGAAACTCCCAGATCCAGTGAGAGCAGACAGCGGATAGCTGGGTGACCCCCCATTTTTTTGTGGGGGGTCTTTCTTATCTGGTGCTTCTCCCTAGCCCCGCAGAGGATGGCTGGACATCACGCCCAGGCACCCAGCGCAGTCCCTTGCCTTTCACATGAGGAGGGGGCTCTCTGGGAGGGCACCTGGGCCAGGGCCTCACAGGTGGTCTGGGGACACCTGGGACCCCTCAGGCAGGAGCACTTTGCAACTTTGCAGGGGTTGGGACCTGTGAGGGCTGTTAGCCAGCCCACCCCCTGGCTCTGTCACCGCCATCCAGCAACTTTGCAGGGGTCGGGACCTGTGAGGGGCTGTGTCCCGGCCCACCCCCGAGCTCTGTCACCACCATCCAGTGATCCTTAGTCGGAGGCCTCCTGCTGGAACCACTCTGCGGAGACTCCAGCAGGAGGCAGTGCCTTGCAGCTTCCCCGTGGGCAGGGCTGGGCCGAGTGCTGAGTCTAGGACACTTCGCCTCCTGGGGCAAGGGCCAGGGAGTGGGCACAGAGCCAGACCCAGACTGGCTGGATTCACGTCCCAGCTCTACCCTCACCAACTGCATGGGGACCTTGAGCAGAGGGTGCTGTCCCAGGCCCCAAGATGCAATGGCGCCTGCCCACCTGCTGTCCCAAGGACATTCAGTCAAGCACACTGAGTGCTTCCAGCTGTGCCAGCTGGTAGGCACGGGCAAGGTTTGCCTCTGTCCTAGCCCCATGTGTGTTCTGATGCTCTGCCCCTGGGCCAGGAGCCCGCACGGGATGTGGCGGCACCCATGAGGCTCTGGTCGGTGTTCCCTCCTCCCTTACCTGCTCCACGTCCCCTGTGGGTAGCAAGTGCCGCCTCACCTGCAGGCTGGAGTTACCCTTACCCAAGGCGGTCCTGCCCCAGTGTCCACTGGGCCAGGGTGGGGGGATGCCCTGGTGTATACCATAGGTGGCACATCCAGACCATAGTCAGCCTCAACACATGAGTCATAAAAGATCCGTCATTGGGATGTTTCAATTCCTTTTGTCCGTTAAAGAGCCTGAAAAAAATATGAAAACAGTGGGGACCAGTTTTCCCAGCCAAGCAAGGCGTTGCAGGAGTAGGAGCTTGGCTGAGCCTCCAGGAACCAGAGTGCTGTGTTCCTGAGGAAGATCCCGCACCAGGGGAGACCTTGGGGGCTTTGCATTGGTGCTGTTCCCAGGCCCTGTCTACACGGCAGACAGCCCCTCACGCTTTGCGTCCCCACTCAGGGACACCTCAAAGTCGAGCCTGGAGACAAATCGTGCCGTGCCATTGGCCCCCACAAACAGTGCCTCATCGGCTCCCTTTCCTCCTCTCCCCACTGGTGCAGTGGGGATGGGGCTGGGGATGCCTGGCCACACTCTGCAGGTCTCGCTCATTCAAGTCACTTCCCTGGTTTTGCCCGAGAGCAGGGTCTCTGCCCTTGCACCCTGTGGACATTGGGGCCGGATCGTTCTCTGGGGTGCGGCCGTCCTGGGCACTACAGGGTGCTGAGCAGCGTCCCTGGCCTCCACCCACTCCACGCCAGGGGCACCCCCAGTCATGACAACCACAGATGTCCCCAGACATCACCATATATCATACCCTGGGGGCAGAATCACCCTGGTTAAGACCCCCTGGGTTATGGGATTCCATGGACCCCCAAGAGACTCTGCGTCCCATGATCCTCTGCCCTGCTGAGGTCCCAGGAGGCTGCACACATTGAAATCCATACCCTGAGTGGGAGGGAGAGAGGAGGTGAATCTCAGGAGCTGGAGTCCCCCTGGTTTGTGCTGTCTGCCCCATCGGAGGCTTATTCTGGTGTCTGGTGTGAGCAGGGGCCGACTCCATTTTTTTCCACATATTTATCCCAGGGCGTCTCCCTCTGTACGGGGGCCCTGTCACTGTTTTGTCAGGTGACTGGGTCATGCCCATTTCCCAGGGGAACAGGAAGAAGCTCGAGACTGAAGGCTTGCCCGGGGCAGTGGCAGAAGGAGGCCTCCTGGCTCTTCATTCTGGGGCCCAGGGGGTGAAAGGTGGACCTTCCCTATGAGCTGGCCCAGGGGGTTTGCAGGACCCACAGGGCAGTGCCCTGCCAAGGGGATGGGGCAGCAGGAAGCCCGGTGGCCCAGGGCCCGGGTCCACCACCCAGACCAGGGCAACCAAGCTGCAGGTGTCGGCCACACAGGCAGAGCCACAGCAGCATCCCCACTAGGCACCCCCGGGCCAGGGACAAGAACCTCTGCAGGGCCTGGCGGAGCACGAGTCACTCACTGATTCACTGCTGATGTGCAGCGAGGGTCCGGGTTGCTGCTAAACTCCCTCGACCCGGTCTGAGCCTTTCCACACGGCCACACACGTTGTCTGTGCTCAGGAATTACTTAACAGCAGCTTAAGATCCTGATTTCTCTCTACTCTAACCTTTTACGATGAAACCTTCCGAGCATCCAGCAAAGGAGGGAGAATGCGGTGGTGCCCGGTCTCATCCGGAGCCTGCCTGGCCCATCTCTGACCGTGGTTTGTTTTTTTGAATACCTCACAGTTCACGTGATACAGAATTCTAGAAGTACAGGCCGGGCGCGGTGGCTCACGCTTGTAATCCCAGCACTTTGGGAGGCCGAGGCGGGCGGATCACAAGGTCAGGAGATCGAAACCATCCTGGCTAATACTGTGAAACCCCGTCTCTACTAAAAATACAAAAAATTAGGCACTACAGTGGCGGGCCCCTGTAGTCCCAGCTACTCGGGAGGCTGAGGCAGGAGAATGGTGTGAACCAGGAGGCGGAGCTTGCAGTGAGCAGAGATCGCACCACTGCAGTCCAGCCTGGGTGACAGAGCCAGACTCCGTCTCTAAAAAAAAAAAAAAAAGGAATTCAAGAAGTACAAAACGAGGTGCCAGGAGAAATAAGGCTTCTTTCCTCCCCAATCCTCGTCCTCTCCTTCCTCTCCCCACCCACCCCATGACCAGCCGCTTTTCGAACCTTCTGGGAGCAGTGTGCTCTGCATGGCCATTTTTCTGTGCAGTGGGTCTCACAGCCTCTTCCGCTCCCTGTCTGATGGCCTCTTGCGTCTTCCACTCTGACTAGCTGCCGCAGTGACTCCATCTCTGCACACATGCATGCTGAGTTTCTAAGGATAAATTCTTAGAAGTAGAAATACCGCATCACAGAGGATGTGCATTTTTTAAATTTTGGAAGCAGTTGCCAAATTGCCTTCCTTTGAAGCCGTAGCAGTTTGCAGCTTCTGCCAACCATGAGTGCGTGTGGCTGTCTCTCCCCACGCCTGGGATGGTGAGGCCGAGTCCCCCAGCCCACAGCCTCCCCCACCGTCTGACGGGCGGGAGGGTGGTGTCCTCGGTTGGATTGGCAGCTCCTGACTGCGAGGGAGGACTGGTCCTTTCCCAGTGCGGTTTGTTGGTGTCCTTTGCTACTTTGGGCTCTCCTGTGGGTGGCAGGTGCTTCCCTCAGTTTGTCATCTGTTTTTTAACTGTGTTGGTGGTGTGTCTGCCCTGCGGACTCCCAATTTTCCCGGTGTTGAATTCCACAGCCATGCCTCTTATGGCTCCTGGATTTTGTTCTTCCTGCAGCGCAGCTGAGCGAGGGGCTTAGAGGGGTCGCTGGGGGTCCCGGAGCTGAGCTGAGCACCGCTAGCAGCACCGGGCAAGTGTCCAGGTGAGGTGCCCCGGGAGGCCCCAGGCCCGGGATACAGGACCCTCCAGATCTCGGAGGTGGGAAGACAGTCTGCACACCCGTCTTGTGCACCCCTGCCCTCACTGCAGGGACAGACAGGAGCTGGGTCTCAGGCTGCTGGGCAGGCCTGGGCCCTGTGGTTTTGCCCACCAGCCTTGGGCAGCGTTGAGTGAGTTGTGTGGCCAGTAGACTGACAGCTGCTGCCCACCTGGCAACGTTTGGGCCATTGGCTCACGGCGTCTCTGTTGCCCCGGAGGGCTTGTCAGGTGCAGCCATGTGCTGCTGGGCAGCGATGTGTGCCAGGGGCCGTGTGCAGCTGCAGCTGGCGCCCGGTGTATTTGCTTTCAGTGCTGACTTCAGGGCAGCATCAGTGTTCTGGGGAAGTGGGGGATGATATTTTAGCCAATCACAACCAGACTCTGCCAGCAAGTGCCTCAGTGCACGCGGTTACCACCGCTGCTGCCAGTGACACTTGTTTACATTCTCTCATTCTGGAAAAATGCCAGCTGGGCGCGGTGGCTCACACCTGTAACCCCAGCACTCTGGGAGGCAGAGGCAGGCAGATTGCTTGAGCCCAGAAGTTCGAGACCAGCCTGGGCAACATGGGAAGCCTCCATCTCTACAAAAAATACAAAAAGTGGCTGGGTCTGGTGGAGTACACCTGTGGTCGCAGCTCCTCCAGAGGCTGAGGCAGGAGGATCACTTGAGTCTAGGAGGCAAAGGCTGCAGTAAGCCATAATTGCACCACTGCTCTCCAGCCTAGGTGACAGAGTGAGACCCGGTCTCAAAAATAAAAATCCTGGCTGGGCGCTGTGGCTCACACCTGTAATCCCAGCACTTTGGGAAGCTGAGGCGTGTGGATCACCTGAGGTCAGGAGTTCAAGACTAGCCTGACCAACATGATGAAACCCCCTCTCTACTAAAAATACAAAAAAATAGCTGGGTGTGGTGGTGAGTGCCTGTAATCCCAGCTACTTGAGAAGCTGAGGCAGGAGAATTGCTTGAACCCGGGAGGCAGAGGTTGCAGTGTGCCGAGATTGCACCACTGCACTCCAGCCTGGGCAAAAAGAGTGAGACTCTATCTCAGAAAAATAAATGAATAAAAATTTTAAAAAGATAAAAACTCCAGGGCGCTCCTGTTTGTCCACACTTAGGTCTCTGGAAATGAATTGCATCACCAAGGTCTCTGTGTGAAACAAGATAAACAAAAAAGGGTCATCTGAAATGCTGTGATTTGTAACTAAACAAAGTTCTTTTTTTTTTTTTTTCCTTCCTGAGACAGTGTCTTGCACTGTTGCCCAGGCTGGAGTGCAGTGGTGCGATCTCAGCTCACTGCAGCCTCCACCTCAGCCTCCTGAGTCCTGGGACTACAGATGTATGCCACCACACCCAGCTAACTGTTTCTTTCTTTTTTTTTTTTTTTTTTTTTGAGACAGAGTCTCACTGTGTCACCCAGGCTGGAGTGCAGTGGCACGATCTCTGCTCACTGCAACCTCCGCCTTCCAGGTTCAAGTGATTCACCTGCCTCAGCCTCCCTAGTAGCTAGGATTACAAGCATATGCCACCATGCCCAGCTAATTTTTATTTTTTAGTAGAGACGAGGTTTCACCATGTTGGCCAGGCTGGTGTCGAACTCCTGAGCTCAGGTGATCTGTCCACCTCAGCCCCCCACAGTGCCTCTGTTTGTATTTTTTGTAGAAACGGGGTCTCGCCATGTTGGCTGATCTCAAACTCCTGGTATCCTCCTGCTGTACCTGGCAGCTAAGTTCTTTAACGAGTAAGATTTGCATTACAAAGTTTTTCCATTGTTGGAGAAGGCCTAGCCAAGGGTGCTGAAAGTACAGAAGCCACAAAGGCTCCCACCAGGACACGGGAAGGGCTGGGCCCCACCTGCAAAGTCAGATCTGGAGCAGGGGCAGTGCTGGCATGGAATACAGTCCTGGAGCCGTTCCGCTTGTGCCCGCGCTCCTGTGCCCATGGGTCCCTCTGCGAGGTGCCAGGTCTTGGGGAGACTGTCCTGTGCTGGGATTTGAAGTCTGCTGGTGCCGTTGTCCATCTTGCTTTTACTTTGGCAGCTAGTTGTTGGGGGCCACTTTTACAAATGTACTTCCTTTAGCAGGCATGGTGGTGCATGTCTCTGGTCCTAGCTACTCAGAAGGCTGAGGTAGGAAGATAGCTGGAGCCCAGGAGGTGGAGGCTGCAGTGAACCATGATCAAACTACTGCATTCCAGCCTGGGCGACAGAGCGAGAGACCCTGTCTCCATAAAAAAAAGTGTTTCCTGGCAGCACATGCCACCACCTGGAATGCTTCTCCACCAGCTTGATTTTCTCCCACTACCTCCTCTGGTAGGGAGCTCACTCCAGTGGGTGGGTGGGGCTGTGGCCCTGTCATTGGGAGGGCTCTGTTCATGTGTGTTGGTCAATGAATGACCCTCCCCACCACATCCAACACAGGATGGGGCTGTCAGAAGTCAGGGGCCGTGGGGGCACAGAGAGGAAAGAGAGAGGGCAGGGCCCCCCATGCGAGGCTGGGCAGAGAGAGGGCCTCCAGGACCGTGGGGAGCATAAGTGTCTGGGGAAGCCCCGTCCACACCTGCCACCCTCTGAAACATTCAGTCACACCTGCAGAGTCCCTGCTGCCCTGCAAGGTGGCCTAGGCACAGGTCCTGGGGTCAGGACCCTACGCCCCTGGCAGTCCGGATCGTCTCTGCCCTGCGGCAGCCGCGTCTACGTGGTGAGTCGCCTGCTGGCTGCATGGGGCTTGTGAAGCCGCCAGTGCTGGGCGACCTGCATGGAGCCGACGGTGGTGGCTGATCTACCCCAAGGAGGGCGGAGGGCTGGCCTCCCTCTGGTCTCAGATTTGCTGGACTTGAACAAGTTCCTCGCCGCTTGGCTCTGGGACTCTTGGAGTCTGAGCAGGGGCTCCCTCACCCCTGCTCTGAAGCTCAGTGTTCGGGTCCTGCCTGGTTTTTGGTGTGCCAAGGGGTACAAGCTACTGTCTGGGCAATGCTGCCTGTGAAGCCGATGTTTCCAGCTGTCCTCCCCAACCATGGCCACAGCTGACGTCCTCTGTGGCTGCACGCACCACCTCTGCACAGCCTGGACTGAGCACTGCACTTCCGACGGAGACTCCCCCAGGAGCCCCTGCCCCCAGGGTGGGGTTTTCATGCCACAGTACTGCCTTTGCAAGTGGTCTCTGCTCCGCGGTTTCCTTTCTGTAAGTGCTGGAGGATCTGTGTAGATCCCCCTTCATCTGTGAATCGGTCCCGGGGGGCCCCACACCCACAGCTCTCCTGGGGCTCAGGATCTGCATAGATTCCCTGTTCATCTGCAGATCAGTCCCGGGGGGCCCCACACCCACAGCTCTCGTGGGGCTCAGGATCTGCGTAGATTCCCTGTTCATCTGCAAATCAGTCCCGGGGGGCCCCACACCCACACCTTTCCTGGGGCTCAGGTCTCTATAGACCCTCTGGCTCCAGGCTCGGGAAATTGTCCCCCAGAGGCTGTCTTCACTGGGGACAGATGCTTAGGCCTCTCCTCGTCCTGGGATGGCCAGTGCTGGCCCAGGAGTGGTCGGGTGTGGTGGGGACACATGGGCCTTTGGGGCTGCGGGAGGCAGCTGTGCCCTGTGGAGAACCGGTGGGGACTGTGGGTGGGGAGAGGCCATTCTGGGCGAGGGAGAAGGGGATGGGGAGGAGGCTGGTGACATGACCTGGCCCCAGTAGGGGGCAGGCTGGAAGGAGGGAGAGCTGCTGGCCATTGCTCTGTGGCCGCGTGGGCCACCCTTTGGGCCCATGTGCTTTGGGCTGAGCCATGTAGAGAACCCTGGGCCTTCTATGTGGTCGTGGGCATTGCTGCCCTGCACTCTGCCTTCGTGTCCTCATCTGCACAGGCGGTGGGCGCTGGCACCCGTCCATGAGGCCTTGCAGAGGGGACACGAGATAAGCCACGAAAACCCACTACCACAGGACTGTGGGCTGCATGCTCTTGTCCCTCAGAGCCTGACTGGCCCCATGTGGCCGAGCCAGGGACCACATGCGTCCCTTGACTGCGGGCCCAGTCAGCGCTGCCTGCGGGCTCTTGCAGAAGAAACAGCCCTGCGGTTGATCCTATCTCCAACCCCAGGCCGGGAGCTCGTCAGAGGCCACCTGGAGCTGTGGAGGTGGCAATCAGGCCAACCGCCTCAGTATCTCAGGACAGAGTGGTGCTCGGGATGACAGGAGCAGCACCAAACCCGCATGGGTCTGTCCCTACCTGGTGACGCAAGCCAGTGCATGCCTCAGGTGTCTGTTTCCTAAAAAGGCAGGTGTCGCCTCGGCCCTTCTGGTCTCCGTGAGTCAGCCTCCTCCAGGGCCCTCCCAGGTCTTTTGTGTCTGGTGTCTCTCACAGGGTGCAACGTCCTCAGGGCGTGTCCGCGCTGTGGCCTGGGTAGAGCCTTGCTCCTTTCATGGCTGGGTCGTGTTCTGGCGTGTGGAGGGCCGCGCTGGTTCGTCCCTCACCTGTTGATGCGTATGTAGGATTTTGCCGTCTTTTGGCTGTTGTGAATTGTGCGTCTGTGAGCATTTGTGTACCAGTTCCTGTGCCTTTCCCATTCTCCTGGGTGTGTATCTAGGAAGTGCTGGGTCATGTGGTGACTGTGGGTTTCTCTTGCGTAGACATAACTTTATCATCACTTAACATTAGTAGCAGAACGGGACTAAGCTTTCATCACTGACAGACTCTGTGTTTAACGATTGAGGAACTTACCTGCCAAAGAAGTCACCAGGGACTGGGGAGAGGGATGGGGAGTGAGTGTTCCATGGCGACAGAGTTTCAGTTTGGGAAGATGAGAAAGTTCTAGAGATGACCGTGGTGGTGGCTACACAACCACGGGAATGTGATTAACACCACTGAACTGTACGCTTTTTTTTTTTTTGAGACAGAGTCCCGCTCTGTCACCCAGGCAGGAGTGCAGCGGCACGATCTCAGCTCACTGCAGCCTTCACCTCCCGGGTTCAAGCGCTCCTCCTGCCTCAGCCTCCTGAGTAGCTGGGATTACAGGCATGTGCCATCACACCCAGCTAATTTTTGTATTTTTAGTAGAGACGGGGTTTCACCACGTTGGCCAGGCTGGTCTCAAATTCCTGACCTCGTGATCCACCCGCCTCGGCCTCCCGAACTGTTGGGATTACAGGCGTGAGCCACCGTGCCTGGCCAGAACTGCACACTTAAACGTGTTCGAGATGGTAAACTTTAGGTAAATTTTTTCACTTTTTTTTTTTTTTTTTCTTGAGACAGAGTCTTGCTCTGTCACCCAGGCTGGAGTGTAGTGGCATGATCATAGCTTACTGCAGCCTCAAACTCCCAGCCTCAGGCGATCCTCCCACCTCAGCCTCCCAAGTAGCTGGGACCACAGGTGCGCGCCACCACACTTGAGCCCAGGAGGTTGAGGCTGCAGTGATCCGTGATTGTGCCATGGCACTACAGCCTGGGTGACACAGGGAGACCTGTCTACAAAAAGAACCGCTGTATTTACAGACCGGCAGCCTGTACATGGCCTTGGGCTGTGGTTTGCTGGCCCTGGTGGGAAGAGCGTTTTTCCTAGGCTACCTTCTGTCTCCATGGCCTGCACGGACCTTCACTTTATTCTTGTACAAACCCCCTTCCTGCCTCGGGCTGTGCATCTCTCTCTGGAACGTTCTTTGCGGTCTCCTCACCGCCACTTTTCTTCACACCTCAACATAAATGCCACCCCCTTGGAGGGGCCTTCCTGGTTTGGCTGAGCCTGGTCCCATGTGGGCTCTGCATGGGCCCCTGGATGTTACCTTGGTTGTAGCTGAGTGCGGATGTGGCTTGTCCACAGGAGGCTGATGTCCCTGGAGCTGTGACTTGGTCTACCTGGGCCTGGACCCACGTGGCCGGCCCGGGGCCTGTGCGTGGCCAGCTCTTGCACACTGCCTTAGAGCTGGTGTGGCTTGTTGAACCCCGTTGCAGACGCACACGCACGTGGGTCCCCATGGCTCCTCGGGACATGGAGGCTGCCCACGCTCAGGGAAGAGTCCTTGTCGGGACCTCCAGGACTCTTCCCAGCCCCCGCCTCCCTCCTGGGGCCTCCAGGGCAGAAAGCCCCTTTCCCGGGCAGGAGGACAGGGTGTGGATATACAGGCTGGGAGGGTCTGTGGGCAGCAGCCGAGGCCCAGGTTGGGGGAGCCTCACCTAGGATGAGGCTAGGGCTGGCAGAAGATCCCCACAGAGGAGCCAGGAGGACCCCACAGTCACTCTAGCTCCCAGGGCCTGGAGGTGCAGGCGAGCCCCGTGGTCTCCGGGCAGCCGGCCCTGCCCCACTCACCTCTCCTGCCCTTCCCGCTGCAGGCTAACCTTGCCGCGGGCCGAGCCCTGCCTCGCCATGGACCAGGACTATGAGCGGCGCCTGCTTCGCCAGATCGTCATCCAGAATGAGAACACGATGCCACGCGTGAGTGCCCCCGCCCTGCCCACCACTGTGGCTCCCCCTCCCCCAGCTGCCTCTGCCCTGGCCAGCAGCCTCAGGTGTCCCCACTGTCACTAAAGCCCCACGGACCACTCAGGTCCCAGTCCCCCAGGTCACACGGGGCCTCCGCCTCCTGGGCTGTCAGGGTTGCCGCCACCCCCAGGGCCATAGTCAGAGCCCAGCGGGGCTTGGATGGATGAGGAGGCAAAAGGCCCAGAGTGGTGGAGCTGGGGCGGCCGCATGGGCAGAGGCACAGGGTGGCCTGCAGAGCCTTTAGGGAGACCCGTTCCTGTCTCCAAGCCCCAGGCACATCTGGAACCCTGTGGGATTTGGGGGGCCCTGGCTTTGTCCTTCCTTGCGCTCCACCCTGCCTCCCCAGCCCAGCCGTGTTTGCCTTGCCCTGGGCTCCAGGCAGGCCACTGGCCACACAGGGTCTCGGGGCTGGTGGCTGCTGTGTGACAGCCACATCCCTCACCTGCTTCCCCACCCGACTCCTGCGGGGGGCTGAGGGGCCAAACTCCTGTTGCTGTCTACACAACATGAAGCCTGGGTCGGAATAGCATCAGGCTTAGCCTGGACGGCCACCAGTCCCTGCCCTGTGATAGACGCCCAAGCCATCATTCTCGAAGACGAAGTTGCCATTGTCCCGAGTCCCTCCCCCATGGGCTGGCCTGCATAGACGGGTCTGAGGGGCATGGGCCTTTGGGGAGGGGCTGTCCCATCGCAGCTCCCTCAGTGCCAGCAACCTCTGTGCCCAGGCATTGGGCTAGGCCTGGGGCAGGCTCACCTTCAAGGCTTTGTTCAGCTTCAGACCCCAAAGCCTGGGTCCCGGGACCTGCGGGAGCCCACCACAGCCGCCTTCTCCCCCTGTGCGGTGCGGCCCCCACAGGGCAGAGCCAGGGAGGCAGATCCAGGATCGTGCGTGATGTAGCAGGGTCCCCATTGGTAAAGGGACAGGGCCACTGCAGAAGAAAAGTGGCGTAGAATTAGAGGTGTCTTTGCAATCTCAGGGATTTCAGAGAGAGAGAGGCATAAATACAGGGGCATCTGTGTGCACAGAGAGGATCTGGGCACCACGGCGCCCAGCAGCAGGAGCAGCCCTAGTGCCGACCCTCGGTCTCCAGAGCACTCTCGGGGCTGCCAGGAGGACAGTGGGAGCCTGCAGGCCCAGCAGTGCGTGGGAGGGCGGGGCGCAGTGCGAGGATCCAGCACCCTCCATCCAGTGCACTTCGAAGTCTCCCGGATGCAGCCAGGCCGGGGTGTGAACGGGAGATGGGGGAGGAGCGGGCATTGGCAGTTTTGGGAGAGCTCCCCACATACCCGTCCTGCCCCGCAGTCACCCAGCACAGCCTGGACTTTATGACACAGAACCACCTTCAGACCCAGACGGAGCGCCAGGCTGTGGAGAGACAGCCCTGGAACCCTCCAAAGTGTCAAGGCCATGACTGCGTCACAGGCTGGGGGCAGGGAGATGTGACAGCAGACGGAATATGACCCTACGCAAGCCTGTGTTTCCTGGGGCTCCACCAGAGAGGCCGCAGACGGGGCCCACGCAGCACTCGCAGAACCTCTCCCAGTCCTGGGGGTCCGGAGTCGGAGGTCACGGTGTGGGCAGGGCCACGCTTCCTCTCGAGGCTCCAGGGGAGGACCCTTCCTGCCTCTCCCAGCTTCTGGGGGCTCCTGCTATCCGTGGCTGTGACCACGTCCCTCTGGCCTCTGCATCTGTCCTGGAACCATCTGCTTGTGTCTCTGTGTCCGTGTTTTCCTCTTCTTATGAGGATGCTTGTCATCAAATCAGGGCTCACCCTAATGGCTTCCTCTTGAGTATAATCACATCTGCAAGAAACTCGTGTCCAATCAGAGTCCCATTCCCAGGTTGCGGGGCTCAGGACTTCACAGTATCCTTTTAGGGACACCGGTCAGCTGATAACAGACCCCTCATAGAAAAAAGACGGCGCGGGGACAGTCAGATGGGGTTGGAGGGTTAGACGGGTGTTGTGGGCAGCAGGAGATGGGGATGAGGGCCACACTCCCAGGTGGCTCTGGGTACAGCTGTTGCGTGTCTTGTGCCGTCAAGGCCTGCGTCTGTGATCATCTAGAGACGGTGAATGCATGGCACCTGCGCAGCGTTGGGAGGGCAGTTGGGGTCTTGTGCTCCCTGGCTCTGTCCCCTCCGCCATGGCCCCCATTCCTGCCACTCCACCCCGTCCCGTGGCCCTGCCCTCACCACCCTCCTGCCTGGCAGCGTTGGGAGGCTGAGCCTGCCCGTGGGCCTGGCATCTCCCGGAGGCTTCTGGCACAGAAATCCCTGACCATGAGTGACCACGAGTGACTGTGTGGCTCCCCTCCTTGGGTTTTCTTTTTTTTTTTTTTTTTTTTTTTTTTTTGAGACGGAGTCTCGCTCTGTCGCCCAGGCTGGAGTGCAGTGGCACAATCTTGGCTCACTGCAAGCTCCGCCTCCCAGGTTCATGCCATTCTCCTGCCTCAGCCTCCCGAGTAGCTGGGACTACAGGCGCCTGCCACCACGCCCGGCTGATTTTTTGTATTTTTAGTAGAGACGAGGTTTCACAGTGTTAGCCAGGATGGTCTTGATCTCCTGACCTCGTGATCCGCCCGCCTCGGCCTCCCAAAGTGCTGGGATTACGGGCGTGAGCCACCGCGCCTGGCCCACCCCTTGGGTTTTCAAGATCAAAGCCCCCTTTGCTCAGTGGCCAGAGGCTGAGAGAGGCTGGCCTGGGGGCACTCTCGGGGGGCTCTCGGTGCTGAGAGCAAGCCCTCTGCTGATGCCCTTCAGGTCACAGAGATGCGGCGGACCCTGACGCCTGCCAGCTCCCCAGTGTCCTCGCCCAGCAAGCACGGAGACCGCTTCATCCCCTCCAGAGCCGGAGCCAACTGGAGCGTGAACTTCCACAGGATTAACGTGAGGGGCTGGCTGGGCAGGAGATGGGACCCCCCGGGAAGCCCAGGGCCCCTCCCAGCCTCCTTGCTCTAGGGCCGGGAACAAGCGGGCTCCTCGACCCCTCCCTCTCTGCTCTCCTGCCTGCAGGAGAATGAGAAGTCTCCCAGTCAGAACCGGAAAGCCAAGGACGCCACCTCAGACAACGGCAAAGGTTAGGGTCCCAGCCCATCCGCCCTGCAGGCCCCCACCCTGCCTTGCCCCGCCTCACTGTGCTTGGTGCCCGCAGACGGCCTGGCCTACTCTGCCCTGCTCAAGAATGAGCTGCTGGGTGCCGGCATCGAGAAGGTGCAGGACCCGCAGACTGAGGACCGCAGGCTGCAGCCCTCCACGCCTGAGAAGAAGGGTCTGTTCACGGTAAGCCTGCGGCACCCCCCACCCGGGAGCTGGCTCCCAGTGCAGCCTCCCCGGCCCCCCACCTCCCAGGCACCAGCTCTGCCTCCCCGAGCCCGGTTCTCGGGCCCAGCCACGGCTCAGCACCCCCGCCCTGACCCTGTTCCTTAGCCAGGTCAGGGGCCCTGGGATCTGAGGCTGGAGGTCTAGCAGGTAAACTGGGATGTGGGGGTGCGGGAGGAATCCAGGCTCAGCCTGTTGGGCTTTTTCTCCCCACACCAATGCTACCTGGGGTCCCGAACACCCAAGCCGGTGGGGGTCCTGCCCGTAGGGGGCAGTACTGGGTCCTCCCACAGGGCCCCACTCTGTCCACATGATCCGGGAGCTCAAAGGCAGGATCACACGGAGCCTGGCTTGGGTCCCTCGAGAGAGGGCGGGAGGGGTGGGGGGTCCGCAGTCCCCGCCAGGAAGGCGCCTGCCTTTTTACAGCTGCTCCACACAGGGTCTCAGCACCTGCCTTAGGGCTATGAGCTGTACCGGGAGCGTGGGCTGCTGGGGGGCTCTGAGGGTCCTGCGGCCTGGGCGTGCGCTCAGCTGGCATGTCCCCCGCTCCACAGTATTCCCTTAGCACCAAGCGCTCCAGCCCCGATGACGGCAACGATGTGTCTCCCTACTCCCTGTCTCCCGTCAGCAACAAGAGGTGGGTCCCAGCTTCCTCCGCAGCCCTCCCTACTCCCTGTCTCCCGTCAGCAGCAAGAGGTGGGTCCCAGCTTCCTCCGCAGCCCTGTCCCTGCGGGTCCTGGTGGGCGAGGCTGAAGGGGGCTTCCCAGGGCATAGTGGCCTGGAGCTGTGACTGTGTCCTCCCCCAGAGTCCTTAGAGTGGAGGGGCCCCAGCCCCCCATGAGGCCATGGTCAGTAATAGAAGTGTAGTCCAGGCCTAGAGCAGCCCAGAGATCCCCTTGCTGAGGGCACACCATGGCCTGGCAGTGTTGGCCTCAGACAAGGGGCAGGGTAGTCAGGAAGGGCTGCCTGGAGGAGGTGTGGGGAGCAGAGCCAGCACAGCTGTGGAAGGGAGGCCAGGGCAGCCAGACACCCGAGGGTGAAGGCCTGTGGGGCTGTCCCTGGGTTTAGGATCACATGGTGGCGGTGGTGATTGGAGGGGCCGGACTGGGCTCCTGGGGCTGGCAGGGAAGGAGACACTTCCCAAGCGTTTGCAAGAGGTGACCCAAGTGCCGTGGCTCACGGATGCCACGTGGCCGCCTCTGCAGCCAGAAGCTGCTCCGGTCCCCCCGGAAACCCACCCGCAAGATCTCCAAGATCCCCTTCAAGGTGCTGGACGCGCCCGAGCTGCAGGACGACTTCTACCTCAATCTGGTGGACTGGTCGTCCCTCAATGTGCTCAGCGTGGGGCTAGGCACCTGCGTGTACCTGTGGAGTGCCTGTACCAGCCAGGTGGGTGCTGCGTGGGGTGTGCATGTGCATGGGGGCCTCCCCAGCTCCCAGCAGACCTCAATGTACCCACCGGGATCCAGGGAGCATCAGTACGAGCCAGGCGCCTGCCATGGCCCTCCTAGCTGGGGCCTCCCAGCCTCCCAGCCACAGCCCTCCCAGCCACTACCCTCCCAGCCCTCCCAGCCATGGCCCTCCCAGTCAGGGCCTCCCAGCCACGGCCCTCCCAACCCTCCCAGCCATGGCCCTCCCAGCCACTGCCCTCCCAGCCAGCAGTGGCATCTGCGGCAGCATGGGGTCCCCACTGGAGCCACAATCTCTGTTCAGCTCTATAGAGAAGAAGAGACAGGTGTCCCAGCCTGGCTGAGCCCAGGGGCCACTATGACCACCGAGTGGCCGCTGTCCTGGAGTGGCCTCTGGGCGCATGGAGCCTGCTAGTCCCTACAGGGAGACTGGGTTGCTGGTGCAGGGCAGCAGCAGACACTGCCCGCTGGGGTGGGGGTTTCAGGGATAACGCCATGCGAGTAGTTTCGGGAGAGCGAGGGTTGGCGCCCTCCCTGCAGCCTATGAGCTGCTCCCGCTGGCAGTGTCCCACACCCTTCTAGGCCCTGCCCTCACCATTTGAGCGTCCTCTCCCGGCAGCAGGAGCCGTGTAGCTCTGGGCAGCTTCCTCCCATCCTCTGCTCGTCCCATGCAGGCTCTCCCCTGTGTGTGTGTGTCTCCCCTGTATGTGTGTGGCAGGCTTGAGCTTGCCAGGTCCCAGCAGTGACCAACCCAGCGACCCCATGGGCCTGGAGTGATGAGAGAGTGAATGAGTGGATGGGAGAGTGGATGGGAGAGTGGATGGGAGAATGGATGAGAGAGTGGATGGGTGAGCGGATGAGAGAGTGGATGGGTGAGCAGATTAGGGAGTGGATGGGTGAGTGGATGGGAGAGTGGGTGGGTGTGTGGATGGGTGCGTGGATGGGTGCGTGGATGGGAGAGTGGATGGGTACGTGGATGGGTGAGTGGATGGGAGAATGGATGAGAGAGTGGATGGGTGAGTGGATGAGAGAGTGGATGGGAAAGTGGATGAGAGTGGTTGAGGGGAGTGGATGTTTGAGTGGATGGGAGAGTGTATGGGAGTGGATGGGAGAGCGGATGGGTGAGTGGATGGGAGAGCAGATGGTTGAGCGGATGGATGAGCAGATGGGAGAGTGGATGAGAGTAGTTGAGGAAGTGGATGGGTGAGAGGATGGGAGTGCGGATGCTTGAGCGGATGGGAGAGCGGATGGGAGAGCAGACGGTTGAGCGGATGGGAGAGCGGATGGGAGAGCGGATGGGAGAGCGGATGGGAGAGCGGATGGGAGAGCGGTTGGGAGAGCGGTTGGGAGAGCGGATGGGAGAGCGGATGAGAGAGTGGATGGTTGAGCGGATGGGAGAGCGGATGAGAGTGGTTGAGGGAGTGGATGGGAGAGTGGATGAGAGTGGTTGAGGAAGTGGATGGTTGAGTGGATGGGAGAGCGGATGGGAGAGTGGATGAGAGTGGTTGAGGGAGTGGATGGGAGAGCGGATGGGAGAGCAGATGGGAGAGCAGATGGGTGAGCGGATGGGAGAGCAGATGGGAGAGTGGATGAGAGTGGTTGAGGGAGTGGCTGGTTGAGTGGATGGGAGAGCAGATGGGAGAGCAGATGGGAGAGCAGATGGGTGAGCGGATGGGAGAGCAGATGGGAGAGTGGATGAGAGTGGTTGAGGGAGTGGCTGGTTGAGTGGATGGGAGAGCGGATGGGTGAGTGGATGAGAGTGGTTGAGGGAGTGGATGGTTGAGCAGATGGGAGAGCGGATGGGTGAGCAGATGGGAGAGCGGATGGGTGAGTGGATGAGAGTGGTTGAGGGAGTGGATGGTTGAGCGGATGGGAGAGCGGATGGGAGAGTGGATGGGAGAGTGGATGGGTGAGCGCATGGGAGCGCATGGGTGAGCGGATGCGAGAGTGGATGAGAGTGGTTGAGGGAGTGGATGGTTGAGTGGATGGGTGAGCGGATGGGTGAGCGGGTGGGTGAGCGGGTGGGTGAGCGGGTGGGTGAGCGGGTGGGAGAGCGGATGGGAGAGTGGTTGAGGGAGCGGATGGGTGAGCGGATGGGAGAGCGCATGGGTGAGCAGATGCAAGAGTGGATGAGAGTGGTTGAGGGAGTGGATGGTTGAGTGGATGGGAGAGCAGATGGGTGAGTGGATGGGAGAGTGGATGGGTGAGCGGATGGGAGAGCAGATGGGTGAGCGGATGGGAGAGCGGATGGGAGAGTGGATGAGAGTGGTTGAGGGAGCGGATGGGTGAGCGGATGGGAGAGCGCATGGGTGAGCAGATGCAAGAGTGGATGAGAGTGGTTGAGGGAGTGGATGGTTGAGCGGATGGGAGAGCAGATGGGAGAGTGGATGGGTGAGCGGATGGGAGAGCAGATGGGTGAGCGGATGGGAGAGCGGATGGGAGAGCGGATGGGAGAGCGCAGGGGAGAGCGGAGGAGAGAGCGGAGGAGAGTGGTTGAGGGAGTGGATGGTTGAGCAGAAGGGAGAGCGGATGGGAGAGCGGATGGGTGAGCAGATGGGTGAGCGGATGGGAGAGCGCATGGGAGAGCGCATGGGAGAGCGGATGGGAGAGCGCATGGGAGAGCGCATGGATGAGCGCATGGGAGAGCGCATGGGTGAGCGGATGCAAGAGTGGATGAGAGTGGTTGAGGGAGTGGATGGTTGAGTAGATGGGAGAGCAGATGGGAGAGTGGATGAGAGTGGATGGGAAAGCGGATGAGAGTGGTTGAGGGAGTGGATGGGAGAGCAGATGGGTGAGTGGATGGAAAAGTGGATGGGACTGTGGATGGGAGAGTGGATGAGATTGGATGGGAGAGTGGATGAGAGTGGATGGGTGAGACAGTGGAGGGATGAATGTACCCATGGATAGACTGGGGCTTCGAGACCAGCGGCAAAGCTCACACTGACCTCTGCCTCCAGGTGACGCGGCTCTGTGACCTCTCAGTGGAAGGGGACTCAGTGACCTCCGTGGGCTGGTCTGAGCGGGTGAGTGCAGAGGGCTTGGCCCCCACCTGGGAGATCTGATGGGGCTCTTGACAGTGTTGGGGGCCTTGAAGACCCAGAGGGTCTAGTGCGTGGCCTGAGGTCGCCTGTGTCCAAGCATAGGTCTGTGTCCCCCACTGTCCCCGGCCTTAGTGTGGTCCTGGTAGAGGGAGTAACAGGGATGAGCAGGCACCCACCAGGCCCCTAGAAAGGATGGCAGGTCCAGTGGGGAAATAACGCCCCAGTTCCTTCCATGGGACCTGCCCACCTGGGACTCGCTCCCCTGGAGTTCCATTTTCCACTCAGGGTCGAGTGGGCTTTAGTTCCATTTTAGATTATGATGAAAACATCTCAGCAGCAGCTTTGAAGCATATCATGGGGAGGGTCTGTGCCCCTCACCCAGAGCTGCCCAGGGCTGCCCCTAGCACTCGTAACCGCTCACTGTGTCCAGGCGTGTGCGCTCACCCTCCCTCCATCCATCTTAGGTTTTCATGTGCCTCAAAGTCAGTTGCAGACAGCAACGCATGTTGCCCAGCTCCTGGGCCTGTGTGGAACCTGGAGCTCAGTGTCTGCAGTTTCTCCTTCCCTCTGTGTGAAATGTCCATGTGGGAAGGTCCACGTACCGAGTCTTGGCTGGACTCTGAGAAACCCAGGCGCAGTGTGTGCGGGGTGTGCCCGCCACCCCAGCATGCACTGAGGGGGGTTTATGCTTCTTCCGAAGGGACGTGCATTCGAGAGTCGTTAGGGAAACCGTCCCAGAGCCCTGGTGAGGAGAGAGCCTGGCGCGACCAACGCCAGGACGGGCACAGTCCCCGGGCCAGACCTGACACCGGTGCTCTGCCCATGCCTTCCATCCTAGGGGAACCTGGTGGCGGTGGGCACACACAAGGGCTTCGTGCAGATCTGGGACGCAGCCGCAGGGAAGAAGCTGTCCATGTTGGAGGGCCACACGGCACGCGTCGGTGAGGAGCCCGGGTCCCATGGCTGGTGAGCTCCCTGAGGCCCCAGCTCCGCGAGGGCAGGAGAGGCTCACCCCCGCTTCCACCTGGCCTCCAGGGGCGCTGGCCTGGAATGCTGAGCAGCTGTCGTCCGGGAGCCGCGACCGCATGATCCTGCAGAGGGACATCCGCACCCCGCCACTGCAGTCGGAGCGGCGGCTGCAGGGCCACCGGCAGGAGGTGTGCGGGCTCAAGTGGTCCACAGACCACCAGCTCCTCGCCTCGGGGGGCAACGACAACAAGGTACCCCCGCCCAGAGCCTGGGCTTCCCCTTCACCAGAAGCCGCACCCCTCACACTGGCAGGAACGGAAGAGCCTGGGCTGGGGCGGGCGCGGGCGCGGGGCCCACTCCACAGCCATCAGCAGGGCACCAGGCTTGTCCTTCCTGCTCAGCCAGTCCTGCCCTGTGGCACAGGGTGACGAGTGTGTGCCCCCAGGGGTCCTTGAGGGAGCAGCAGGAGGAGTGTGGGGTGGGGTGCCAGGGCAGGTCGTCACACCTGTGAGGACCGGCCTATGGGACCACAGGGCTGGGACAGCCCCGGCCTCACAGCCCCTGTCCCCCAGCTGCTGGTCTGGAATCACTCGAGCCTGAGCCCCGTGCAGCAGTACACGGAGCACCTGGCGGCCGTGAAGGCCATCGCCTGGTCCCCACATCAGCACGGGCTGCTGGCCTCGGGGGGCGGCACAGCTGACCGCTGTATCCGCTTCTGGAACACGCTGACAGGACAACCACTGCAGTGTATCGACACGGGCTCCCAAGTGTGCAATCTGGCCTGGTCCAAGCACGCCAACGAGCTGGTGAGCACGGGCGGCCCGGCCTCCCACCAGGCCTCAGGATGTGCGTCCTGCTGGCCCCTTACCTGCCACCTGAGAGCAGCCTGTGGGGAGATGGGTCAGAGTCGCTCTGAAGGGAGATGGGCGAGGGAGGCCGAGCGGGGAGGCAGGGAGTTGTGGGGGGCAAGGCCCCTGGGCCTCATCAGGGCCTCACCTGGGGCAAGACTTGGGGCCTCTGGGCCCCCATCGCAGCCACACCTGGCGGCTCTGTGAGGAGCCGGGGAGCTCCTATGGCTGCCTCTGCTTAGAGGGGAGGCCCAGGATGAAGCGGGCTCCACTGAGCACCCTGGCCTGCTCCAGCCACTCCGGGCGTGTCACCAGGACAGTCTCGGGGGTGACTTGCAGGTGGGGCAGAGGGGCTGTGGGCCCCGTTTGGGTCCTTGTTGGGCTCCAGCCTTTGGCGGTGGGTGGAGGGGTCCACCTGTGGCCTCCACACCTCCTAGACAGACTCAGGTGGCAGAGCCACATCCCAGCATCCCCTGCTCCTCCTGGGCTGGCTGGCGGCTCTGAGCTCTCACATGGGCTCAGGCGGGTGCATGTGAGGCAGCAGGCATAGCACCCGGCCTCGTTGCCCCTCACCGACCGCAGCGCCCCCTCCGCCCTCCAGGTGAGCACGCACGGCTACTCACAGAACCAGATCCTTGTCTGGAAGTACCCCTCCCTGACCCAGGTGGCCAAGCTGACCGGGCACTCCTACCGCGTGCTGTACCTGGTGAGTTCACGCCAGGCACTTCAAGGTGCCCCGGGATTCTGGACAAACTGCCATGGCCACCCCAGAGCACCCTGTCCTGTGTTCTTAGGGAGGATGGTGTGCAGATCTAAAACCCCGTGGGACCCAGCAGCAGGGGCCGGCAGGGCATCTGGTGCTGGTTGTGTTGCCAGCGTTGGAATGGGCTCTACCGAACTCCCCAGCCCTGCAGGTGCAGGCCCTGTCCTCCTGGAGGACCTTAGCTTCTTCATTTGTTTATTTTCCCCATAAAGAGGGGTGAAGAGGAAAGCCAAAACCAACTCACAGCTGACCACTCAGATGACCCTGTGAACGTCCTACACAGTAACTGTATGCACGTGGCTGGATGGGGGCCAGGAGGCGTCCTTGGCCCCACGTGCCCTCACTTGCCAAGATTTTGTTTCTTCCCTGAAAAACATGTTCTGTGCTTTCATCCGCGCATCTGACAGTCCCTCATCTGTGCAGAGTTGATGAGCCCCTCTTGCAAGGGGGCGTCCTTTGTGTTTTTGCAAAAATGCTCCAACCTTGGCTAGGTGCGGTGGCTCACGCCTGTAATCCCTGCACTTCAGGAAGCCAGGGTGGGAGGATCGCTTGAGCCCAGGAGTTCAAGACCAGCCTGGGCAACATAGCAAGACCCCATCTCTACAAAACTTTTTTTAAATGAGGTGTGGTGGTGTGCACCTGTAGTCCCAGCTACTCAGGAGGCTGAGATGGGAGGATCACCTGAGCCCAGGAGGTCAAGGCTGCAGTAAGCCAGGATTGCCCCACTGCACACTCCAGCCTGGGTGACAGAGCCAGACCCCGTCTTAAAATTAAAAAAAAAAAAAAAAAAAAGGCTCCAACCTTGGTTTCTGCTTGTGGTGGCCCCAGCCTGCCCCTCCCTCCTGGCTCCAGAGTCTGGGGGGCCCAGCCACCCGACACCTTGCTCCCCTCTCCTTCAGTCCCCCAGCACTGTCCCGAGGCACCTAGAGGCCCAGAGACATGGGGTGCTTCCCTCCTGTCCACAGGCAATGTCCCCTGATGGGGAGGCCATCGTCACTGGTGCTGGAGACGAGACCCTGAGGTTCTGGAACGTCTTTAGCAAAACCCGTTCGACAAAGGTAAAGTGGGTCGGTATCAGCGCCACTCGCCCCCGCCCCAGCCTGTCCCAGGGTCGTCCCTGTCCCCACTGTCCTCGGGCGTACCCTCCTCTGGGTTCCCCCACTTCCGAGCTTCCCTCACCTCAAATTCTGGGTCATGTGTCGGGGCAGTGTGGCAGGCCGAGGCTGAACTGGCACCTCCCAGCCCCTCAGGACCAAGCCCCAAAGCCTTGGGGACCCTCCAGGCAGCTTCCTCCCTGGGCCTGCGGCTCAGCGCATCTGCCATCCCCATGTGTCTGCAGGAGTCTGTGTCTGTGCTCAACCTCTTCACCAGGATCCGGTAAACCTGCCGGGCAGGACCGTGCCACACCAGCTGTCCAGAGTCGGAGGACCCCAGCTCCTCAGCTTGCATGGACTCTGCCTTCCCAGCGCTTGTCCCCCGAGGAAGGCGGCTGGGCGGGCGGGGAGCTGGGCCTGGAGGATCCTGGAGTCTCATTAAATGCCTGATTGTGAACCATGTCCACCAGTATCTGGGGTGGGCACGTGGTCGGGGACCCTCAGCAGCAGGGGCTCTGTCTCCCTTCCCAAAGGGCGAGAACCACATTGGACGGTCCCGGCTCAGACCGTCTGTACTCAGAGCGACGGATGCCCCCTGGGACCCTCACTGCCTCCGTCTGTTCATCACCTGCCCACCGGAGCCGCATGCTCTTCCTGGAACTGCCCACGTCTGCACAGAACAGACCACCAGACGCCAGGGCTGATTGGTGGGGGCCTGAGACCCCGGTTGCCCATTCATGGCTGCACCCCACCATGTCAAACCCAAGACCAGCCCCAAGGCCAGACCAAGGCATGTAGGCCTGGGCAGGTGGCTCGGGGCCACTGGCGGAGCCAGCCTGTGGATCCAAGAGACAGTCCCCACCTGGGCTTCACGGCATCCTTGCAGCCACCTCTGCTGTCACTGCTCGAAGCAGCAGTCTCTCTGGAAGCATCTGTGTCATGGCCATCGCCCGGCGGTCAGTGGGCTTCAGATGGGCCTGTGCATCCTGGCCAAGCGTCACCCTCACACTGGAGGAGGATGTCTGCTCTGGACTTATCACCCCAGGAGAACTGAACCCGGACCTGCTCACTGCCCTGGCTGGAGAGGAGCACAACAGATGCCACGTCTTCGTGCATTCGCCAACACGTGCCCTCACAGGGCCAGCGTCCTCCTTCCCTGCGCAAGACTTGCGTCCCCCATGCCTGCTGGGTGGCTGGGTCCTGTGGAGGCCAGCAGCGGTGTGGCCCCCGCCCCCAGGCTGCCTGTGTCTTCACCTGTCCTGTCCACCAGCGCCAACAGCCGTGGGGAAGCCAAGGAGACCCAAGGGGTCCAGGAGGTGGGCGCCCTCCATCCTTCGAGAAGCTTCCCAGGCTCCTCTGCTTCTCTGTCTCATGCTCCCAGGCTGCACAGCAGGCAGGGAGGGAGGCAAGGCAGGGGAGTGGGGCCTGAGCTGAGCACTGCCCCCTCACCCCCCCACCACCCCTTCCCATTTCATCGGTGGGGACGTGGAGAGGGTGGGGCGGGCTGGGGTTGGAGGGTCCCACCCACCACCCTGCTGTGCTTGGGAACCCCCACTCCCCACTCCCCACATCCCAACATCCTGGTGTCTGTCCCCAGTGGGGTTGGCGTGCATGTGTACATATGTATTTGTGACTTTTCTTTGGATTTGTTTTGTGTTTTTGTTGACTAGTCCTGGAAATGTTTGAGGCTAGACGGGGAGGGGCCAGGACCCACCCACTGCTCCTGGGGGATGAGGTCCTGGTTTTAAAGCCCCGTCATTTCAAGCGGGTCGATCTTCCACATTCACTGGAGAGACTCTCCCCACCTCTGTCTGGGTGGGGCGCGGACCCCTCACTGTGCGCCTGTGCAGGGGGTGCTGGTGCACGTGGCAGTGTGGATTTCCAGTGGTCACGGTCTTACTGTTTCAAGGTTTTTAAATAAGAAAACCAACCCTGCCTTCGCCCATGCCCGCCCCTGCCCGCAGTTGCCAAAGAGCCGCCTTGTCGCTGTGGGCGTCAGGGCTTGGCTGGCTCAGTGCACAACCCACAGTGGCCTTCAGAGGCTCCTCCTGGGACTGGGAACCGCCGCAGGGCCAGGCGGACGGCGTGAGGTTTGTGTTGGGGCTGGTTCTGCCCATGCTAGGGGGTGGGGGAGCTCCCAGGACAGACCAGCCTTGTTTCTCATGTAATGCAGTGACGCTGTCATTAAACACGTGGATTCATGTGTGGCCGGGACTGGCTGGCTCTAGGTCCCCGGCTCGGGTGGGGTCACACGGTCCTGCCCTAGAGTCCCCATCTGGCCCTGGAGCTGCAGAAGCAGCTTCTGAGGGGCTTCCCAGGCCTGCATTTCACAGATGGGGAGCTCAGCCCTCGAAGGCCGCAGAGACGCCTCCCAGGCCCGTCTGCCAGGGCGCCGGCCACAATCCTGCAGGGCCAAGGACTGGACTCCAGGCAAGTCCCTGCGCTCCAGCTGGACGGCCCTGTTCCAGGGAGGAGGTGCTCGGTTGACACCATCAGGGAGGGAGGGTGGGCACTGCTGGGCTGAGTTCACCCCCAGGGCTGGCCAGATGGGGCCAGGAGGGACAGAGCAAGGGGGGTGAAGGCCGTGGTGGGAGGGTCCCATGATGATGGGCCAGGGCTCGTGTAGAAATGGGGGAATTGGTTCCCCATGGCCCAGGACAGCTGAGAGGAGGTGGAGGGGCCCCAGGGGAGTGTACGTCAGGCTTTGCGGGGCACGGGGGCCACTCAGCAGCGCTGGGGCAGGTGCCTCTGCTGTCAGCTCCACCCGACAGGCAGACGAAGGCCAGTGGGGCCATCGCTTCCTGGGGCGACCCTGGCAGTGGTTGGGAGACGCCCAGATGGAGGGGGAGGCTGACCAAGGGCCCCGCAGGGCGGGCTGCAACTTTTCTGTTGATCCTGGAATGTAGCTGGTGCAGTGAGAGGGAAAGAGAATTGAAAAACTCAGGCTGCCATAGGTTCTGCGATGAGAGGTGCAGGAGGCAGGAGCCTGGCCCAGGGGGTGCTGGTGCCTCCCCGGGGTCTGGGCGGAGAGAACAGGAGGAATGGCTGGGAAGTGGCTGAGGGAGCCAGGAGGCCGGGGGGCCGGGGGCTGCAGGGGAGGCTGTGGGGGTCCTGGCAGCCAGGAGGCCCCAGGTGGTTTTGAGGCTCGCTCTTGCGCGGTGCCTGAGAAGAGGGTGAAGGAGCTGGGGCAGGCCCCATCCTGGGCATTGGAGATGATGAAACCGAGCAGACCTGGCCCATGTGGAGCTGGCATGGGGGACACAGCCCAGAGACAGAGAAGCTTATGAGGAAGTGAGGAGGTGGCGTCACAAGGGTGGGGAGGGGGCCTTGGGGAAGGGCGGCCTTGGATCAGAGGCTCACCACAAGCCTGGCATTTCAGCCAGGGCTGGAGAAGGCAGGGACGCCTGGGTGAGAGGCAAAGGGCACAGCCATGCAAAGGCCCTGGGGCAGGACGGCACCTGGTATGCGGGAGGAACAGAGTGAGGAGAGGAGGGCAGGGCGTGCAGGGCCTTGTGGGCCTCAGGGAGGACTTGGGCACCTACGCCGAGGGAGTGGAGCTCCTGGGTGCGTGTCCAGATGGGAAAGGCAGGGTCGTATCTGTGGGGACCTGACAAGGGCAGGGGAAGCGGAGACCAGGGTGCAGGCTCCGCCCCCACCCAAGGCCGGGCCCAGCCAGAGGAGGGGCAGGGCAGGGCAGGAGGTTTCTGGATGTTTGTTGGGTTTGGTTTGGTTTTGTTTTGTTTTGTTTATTGTGGTAAAATACAAAATCTACCGTCTTACAGTGAGGTGGCGTTCAGTACCTTCACCACGCCGTGCAGCCATCCCATCTGATTCCAGAACATTCTCATCACCCAGAAGGCAGCCCTGTCCCCATTATGTCACCTAGTCACCCCCAGGTCCCCCTCCCCAGTCCCGGCACCCACGAATCCTCTCCCTGATTCTGTGGATTGGTCTGTCCTGGACATTTCATAGAAGTGGGATCACAGCGTACCCTTCTGTGTCTGGTGTCTCTCACTGAGCGTGACATCCTCAAGGTGCATCCGCACTGTGGCCTGGGTCAGAGCTTCGCACCTCCTTGTGGCTGAGTCTCGTTCCAGCACGGTGGCGGCGCCGTGCTGATCCCCTCACCTTCACTGGGTGTTCGGTGTTCTCCGCCTCGGGCTGTCACAAATCGTGCTGCTGTGAGCCACTGCGTGCAGGTCTCATCCTGGGTGTATTTTACAAACGGACTGGATGTGAGTGGGTGAGGAGTGAGGAGCTGGGGTGACAGGTGCCTGCGACCCCGGCCAGGCACTGCCTCCTGCGATCGAAGGGGCAGGGGGAGACAGAAGCCCCTCAAGGGGGTGTGGAGATGGAGAAGCCAGACCCCAGGTGGGGGGTGCATAGAGCTGGGGGCTCAGGGCCACGGACCCCACCTGGCAGTGGCCCTGGCCTTGCCCACCCACACTGTGTCACCCCCAGTTGTTAAATACTCAGAACGACTCTCCAGCCCTTCCCTCGAGGCCACCTCACCCCGCAGCTGGGAGGAGGGAGTGGTCAGCGTGGTTGCCGAGACACTGGGTGGCCTTTATGCTGTCAACGGTGGCCTCAGAGGCCTTCTGGCAGGAGCCCGGGGGATCCAGGCAGACATGCAAACCCTCAGGCAAGAGGCTGCACGGCCCTGTATCCCCTCGGGGACCCTCGAGGCCAGCTTCCCAGCACCGCTGTACAGGTGAGCCCCTCCCTACAGGTGAGCCCCTCCCAGCCCCTCCCTCCCTCCCTCCCTGGGTGTCAGGTTACATGGTGTTTGGTTTGGGGTCTTGCACGTGTCACTCGTTATTCCTAAAAGGCTCATGTGTGTGACGTCCCCTCCAGCTCTTCCTGTTCCCCTCCGGCCAGTGGCCGCTCACTGTGGGGGCTACAGACCTGGAGACAGGCCAAGAACAAATGTGTCTGCGGCCGTCTCCAAGGACTGCAAACGCACTGGGAGCTTCGGCCACAGAAATGTTCGCCCTCTGAAATCCAGGCCTGTGCGGGGCTGGGCCCTTCTGTGGCTGAGAGAGTCTGTCCCACACCTCTTGCAGCCCGTGGTGGCTCTGGGCAACCCCAGGCACTCCTTGGCCCCCGGTCTCTGCTTCTGTCTTCACCCGGCCTTCCTGTCTGCGTCCAAGTTTCCCTCTCCTTATAAGGGTGCCAGGCACTGGATTCGGGGCCATCCTAACACGGGGTGACCTCATCTTAGCTGCATCTGCTAAAACCATTTCCAAACAAGGCCATGTCCTGAGGCTCTGGGCAGATGTGATTTTGGGGGTATACCAGTCACCCCGATACAGTGTCTATTATCAATTGTTTAAACAATTATGGAATACTATGCAGCCATGAAAAAGAAGAGTGAAAGCCCTTTGCTCCATTTCCAAGGAAAGAAATTAAACCAAGATGGTGGCTGGGCATGGTGGCCCACACCTGTAATCCCAGCACTTTGGAAGGCTAAGACAGGAGGATCACTTGAGCCCAGGAGTTCAAGACCAGCCTGAGCAACATAGTGAGACCCATCTCTTTTCTTTTTTTTTTTTTTTTTTTTTTTTGAGACAGTCTCATACTGTTGCCCAGGCTAGGGTGCAGTGGCGCAATCTTGGCTCACTGCAACTTCTGCCTCCCAGGTTCTAGGATTCTTCCATCTCAAGCCTTCTGAGTAGCTAGGACTACAGGTTTGTGCCACATGCCCAGCTAATTTTTGTTTTTTTTTTTGGACGGAGTCTCACTCTTGTCGCAAGACTGGAACGCAATGGTGCAATCTTGGCTCACTGCAACCTCCAACTCCCTGGTTCGAGCGATTCTCCTGCCTCAGCCTCCCAAGTAGCTGGGATTACAGGCATGCGCTACCATGCCCAGCTAATTTTTGTATTTTTAGTAGAGACGGGGTTTCACCATGTTGGCCAGGATGGTCTCGATCTCCTGACCTCATGATCTGCCCTCCTTGGCCTCCCAAAGTGCTGGGATTACAGGCGTGAGGCACCGCGCCTAGCTGTGAGACCCCATCTCTATAAAAAATTTAAAAATCAGCCAGGCAGCCAGGCGCAGTGGCTCACGCCTGTAATTCCAGCACTTTCGGAGGCCGAGGCAGGCGGATCACCTGAAGTCAGGAGTTCGAGACCAGCCTGACCAACATGGTGAAACCCCGTCTCTACTAAAAATACAAAATTAGCCGGGAATGGTGGCTCATGCCTGTAATCCCAGCTACTTGGGAGGCTGAGGCAGGAGAATCACTTGAACCTCGGAGGCAGAGGTTGCAGTGAGCCGAGATCGTGCCACTGGACTTCAGCCCAGAGCGAAACTCCATCTCAAAAAAAAAAAAAAAAAATCCAGGCGCAGTGGCTCACGCCTGTAATCCCCACATTTTGGGAGGCCGAGGCGGGTGGATCACGAGGTCAGGAGATCAAGACCAACCTGGCCAAGGTAGTGAAACCCCATCTGTACTAAAAGTACAAAAATTAGCTGGTTGTGGTGGCGGGCGCCTGCAATCCCAGCTACTCGGGAGGCTGAGGCAGGAGAATCGCTTGAACCTGGGAGGCAGAGGTTGCAGTGAGCCGAGATCAGGCCACTGCACTCCAGCCTGGGTGACAGAGCAAGACTCTGTCTCAAAAAAAAAAAAAAAAAATCAACCAGGCATGGCGGCACGTGCCTGTAATGCCAGCTACTTGGGAGGCTGAGGTAGGAGGATCGCTTGAGCCTAGGAGGTCAAGGCTGCAGTGAGCCGAAATCGTGCCACTGCATTCCAGCCTAGGTGACAAAGCAAGACTGTCTCAAAAAAAAAAAGAGGGTCTCGCTCGGTTGCCCAGGCTGGAGTGCAGTGGAATGATCTCAGCTCACTGCAACCTCTGCCTCCTGGGTTCTAGCGATTCTCCTGCCTCAGCCTCCTGAGTAGCTGGGATTACAGGCACCCACCACCACGCCCGGCTAATTTTTGTATTTTTAGTAGAGACAGTGTTTCACCATGTTGGCCAGGCTGGTCTCAAACTCCTGACCTCATGATCCGCCTGCCTCGGCCTCCCACAGTGCTGGGATTACAGGCATGAGCCACCGCACCCAGTGCAAGACCCTATTTCTATTTTTTAAAAAAATGGAGATGCAGTGAATGGGCTCCCGCAAGTGTGTAATAACGGGGGTGAGTGCATGTACCACCTGCTCCTGGGAGGAAACACCAGAAAGTAGTGAGTGGCAGGTGGGTACGGGGCCGACAGCAGGGGTGAGGGGCTCATTTCTCATTGAATATTATTCTGTGCTGTTTTGTTTGTGTTGAGACAGAGTCTCGCTCTCTCACCCAGGCTGGAGTGCAGTGACGCAATCTCGGCTCACTGCAACCTCCGCCTCCCGGGTTCAAGCTAATTCTCCTGCCTCAGCTTCCCGAGTAGCTGGGACCACAGGTGTCCATCACCACACCTGACTAATTTTTGTATTTTTAGTAGAGACGGGGTTTCACCATGTTGGTCAGGCTGGTCTCGAACTCCTGACCTCAGGTGATCTACCCACCTTGGCCTCCCAAAGTGCTGGGATTACAGGCATGAGCCACTGCGCCCAGACAATTTTGTGCTGTTTTAATTGTGTTTTAAAAGCTACATGTGTCTTGCAATTCATTTCAAAAGGGTGAGGTTCTCCTGATCTTGAAATTGCCTTTCTAGTGGAAAAGCCGAGTCTATGTGGGGTCCCTCAAACAGGCTCTGTAACTGACCAGGCTACTCCCATGTTCTGTGGGCACCTGGGAGTCTAGTCAGGATTTAAGCAGAGTTCCTGCCATGAGAGCTGGAACCGGGCTTTCCGTGCAGGGCAGATGAGATTGTTTTGAACCCTGCTAGACTGTCTTGGGGCCAGCAACCTTGTTTTCTGGGATGACTTCCTTGGGACATATTCCCAAGAGCAAGGTCAAAGCATAAAACATCTTTGAGTCTCTTGTCTTTTTGTTTTTGAGACAGAGTCTCACTCTGTTGCCCAGGCTGGAGTGCAAGGGCACGATCTCAGCTTACTGCAAACTCCACTTCCTGGGTTCAAGCGATTCTCCTGCCTCAGCCTCCTGAGTAGCTGGGATTACAGGTGCCCCCCGCCCCCACACCATGCCTGGCTTAATTTTCGTATTTTTAGTAGAGATGGGGTTTTACCATGCTGGCCAGGCTGGTCTCGAACTCCTGACCTCAAGTGATCCACCTGCCTCAGCCTCCCAAAGTGCTGGGTTTACAAGCGTGAGCCACACACCTGGCCTAGTGGGTCCCCCAGTCTTCCCTGGGCCATGGCTTAGTGCCAGCCCCAGACCACTTCTTCCTGGTGCACCTCCAGGCCAGGGGGGCTTCCCAGAGGAAGGGACTTGTGGGTCTTGGAGGCTGGACAAGGACTGTAGGAATCCAGGAGTAGCCAGGGCCCTTGTCCTCTCCCCTCCCTCTTCTCCAGGCAAGAAAAGCTGAGAACAGAAAGGTTTAGTGCTGACTTGGGTGCTTGGGGTGCGATGTGTGGGGAGAGGGGGAGTCAGCCTCTCTCCTCAAGCACCCACTCTGGGGTGAGGGGTACAGGGCTGAAGGACAGACTCCAAGTGGCGAGGGAGGGAGACCCCACGCCGTGGGCCAGGCCTCTACATCATCCACCCTGGCAGACATCGCAAAGGGGTCAAAGCACTCGCTGTAGACATGGGCTCAGTCTCTGCCCCCTGCCCACCCTCAGCGATGACTACCTGTCCCTGGAGGGTTCCCGCTGGCCACCAGCCATCAGGCAGGCCACACGCTGGAAGTACACGCCCATGGGACGGGACGCAGCCGGCCAGCTGTGGTACACAGGCCTGACCAACTCGGACGCCTGGGAAGCCTGGTACAACCTGCCACGGGCCCCGGCCAGCCCCTTCCGCGAGGCCTACAACCGCTGGCACAGCTGCTACCAACACCGTGAGTGCAGCATGCCATCGGGTGAGTGCCCCCCCCCCCGCCCTGGGCAGCGGGCCTGCCAGAGGGGGACAGGAATGACCGCCAGCCCCCGCCCCACCGCAGCCTACACCCAGCACCTGCGGGAGACCGCCTGGCATGACCCCATCGTCCCTGCCCAGTACCAGGCCCCCAGCACCCGGTGGGGGAGCGCGCTGTGGAAAGACAGGCCAATCCGGGGCAAGGAATACGGTGAGGCTAGGTGCAGGGTGGGTCCTTGGGAGGCCAGGGGGACAAGGCCACCTAGGCCAGGGTGAAACTGCCCGGGGCGATCCAGGAGCCCCTTGCTGGCCAACGGCGAGGAGGTGGGGGCACATGGTGACCCGAGTCCCACCTACAGTGCTCAACAGGAACCGGTACGGGGTGGAGCCACTGTGGAGGGCATCAGACTACGTGCCCTCCCTGTCGGCACCCCAGCGCCCGCCCGGCACCACCCAGAACTACCGGGAGTGGGTCCTGGAACCATACTGCCCCTCCACCTGCCAGCGGTCCCCGCCTTCCCTCACACCCACTCCCCGATAAAGGCATGCTACCAGGATGCACCCACTGTCTCTGCACCCAGATGAGGGGGCACTAACCTAGTCCCAGGGGACCAGAGGCTCGGGACAGAGGCAGACACTGGGCTCGCTGGCCGCCCACAACCAGGGCAGGGCTGAGATGCCCAGGCTACCCCTGCCCAGAGCCCCCCCGCAGGCAGACAGGAGCCAGGCTGCCGTCATCTCTTTATTTGCTGCCAGCAGAGTCCACCAAGCCTGCCGGGCAGCCCTGCTGCCCACCACGGTGGGGTCCAGGCCCAGCCCACCACCCCGTGGCTGTCTCCTCCAGGCTCCAGCCGTCCTGAGGGGGCCCTGGCAGTGTCTGGAGACCCCCAGGCTGGAGGTGAGGGGTGAACTGGACTGAGCTCAGGGTTAGGGTTCCCCCAGACCCTTCTGGGATTCCTACTTCCTGTTCCCTGCCGAGAGGGGCACCCCAAATCCTCCAGAGGGCTGGGATGGATTAGAGTTGAGAATGGGACACCCTCAAAACCCAGGGGGTCCTTGCAAGTCCCTGGCGGGCATCCCTGCTGCCCTCACCCGACCCCACCCCCGGGAGCTGGGTGAGGATGGAGGGTGGGGGTCCAGAGAAGAGTGAGGGGCAGTGGGGGCTTTTCCCCAAGGCCCTGGGGGGCATCCTCGTGCGTCCCCACAGTTCCCTTGCACAGGTGCAGGAGGCTGTCAGGAGTCAGGGCCGGGCATCACGGTCCCCTGCAAGGGAGGGGTGGAAATGGCATTAGAGAGTGTGGGTCAGTGTCTGGGGAGGGAGGGGTGGGCCAGGACTCACAGCGTCGCAGGCGGGTCGGCCACAGCAGGAGGCTACAGAGACACAGGGCAGCGGCCACGCCCACGCCGCCCGTCACAGCCACCATCGCCCAGTGGTAAAAGCTCACGCAGGCCCTGCAGCAGAGCTCTGAGCTGTGGGAGGAGGCGGGGGATGAGTAGGCACCGCGGGTACCACCCCCCCGCCACCCAAGCTGAACCTGTGCCTCCCCTCACCCCCGACAGCGGCTCCGTCCTGTCCAATCCAGGAGCTGGGGGCCCTGCCACTCCCTCCCTCCTGTCCCACACCCAACAGCTCGGCCAGTCCTGTGGGCCCTGCTTCCAGCATCCATGCCAAATCCACCATGTCTCCCCTTCCCTGTCTCCTCATGGTCCAGCCCCAGCATGGCCCGCCTGCACCCGCCCCGGTCCCAGGCTGCAACTTCTCCCCCAGCAGCTGTCCTCCCGGCAGCAACCACCAGAGGGCGTCTGTGAGCGCCTGGGTCAGGGCCTGTCCCTCTTCTGCCCACAGCTCTCTGTGAGTCCCACTGTCCTCAGGGTCAAATCCCCTAAGTCCTCCCCATGGCCCACCAGGCCCTGCACGACCTGCCCTCCCCTCCTCCCTCTACTCCAGCCACACAGGCCTCCTCCCTGTTCTTCCAACACAACATGCCAGGTGTGGTCCTGCCCCAGGGCTTTGGCACTACTTGTCCCTCCCCATTGGCCTGGAATGCTCTGACATCCTGCAGGTGTCAGGGCCACGTCACCTCCTCCAAGAAGCCCTCCCTGGCTTCCTGCCCTGGCTGTCCAGGTTTCTCTGAGCGTTCACCTTTACACACCACCCACGCCGGTACCAACCACATGTTCACCTCTGTGACTATTAACACGGCTGGCTCTGCCCCAGGCCCAGACCGGCTGTGGTTTCCAGGCCCTGGGCCTCTACAGGCGTGAATGCTGTGATGCTGTGGTCTAGAACCATCCATGTCTGAACCCTGAGTTCTGTGGGTCTGGGTTACACGGACTCGGGGCTCCCTTCCAGCTGGGCCCACCCCCGATATATTTCTGTACGGTGTCTTCAGCACTGCACACATGGACCCAACGTTTGTTGAGTGAATAAACGAAGTGCTCAGTGGAAGAAAGGAAAGGTCTCCCCTGCCTATGACTCCCATTGGGGCAGGTGTCTTTGGTCCACAGCTGGATGCCCAGACCCAGAACACTGCTGGACACACAGCAGGCGCTTAATCCCCTCTTACTGAACAAAAGAATGAATGAACGAACAGCGGCACTCACGGGCAAGGGTGCAGGCTCTGGATGGCCATGACTGCCAGCCCATTGGCCACCTTATCCAAGAAGCTCATGGAGCCGTACACGAACGCTCCGCTGTTCTGTGGAGACACAGGCGAGGTGGTCAGCGTGCACCCCGAGATCTAGGACCCGGCCTCCCCCACCCCAGCCTGGCTACCAGCCCTACCGTGTGGGGACCGATGAGGTCGGCCGTCATGGCCAGCGAGGTGACGAGGATGGTGGCACAGCCAGCACCCAGCAGCACAGCCGCTGCGTACACGGCCACACCCAGTCCCTCCGCCAGCGCCACCCAGGCGGCAAAGGCCAGGATCACCAGGAGGCCTGAGAAGTAGGTCATCTGCAGGGACAGCCCCGGGGTCAGGCCCACACCACTGGGTGCCCCCAAGCCTGGCGCTTCAATCCGCCACCCCTACCCCCAACCCCAGCAAACAAGGCATGAGCTGGATGGTCCCTAAGGAGCCCTGGCTCTGGCCCTGGACACAACACCGAGGCTCTGCAGATCCTCCATGCCAGAGCTGTGCTCTCTGTCCACGCCGTAGCGGCTGGAGACGTGTGGCTATTCTGCCTGAGCGCAGGTCAGTTACAACGAAAGCAAACGACGGACTCGGCTCAGTCCCCACGGCCACATTTCAAGCCCTCAGTAGCTGCACAGGGTGGACAGAAAGCGCCAGAGCTCCATGGCTGCGAGTGTATAAACTCGAGACACAGAGAAGCCAGGATCCTAGAATTCCTTGTTCCCAGATCTGGGGCTTTTTTTTTCTGGAGACAAGAGTCTCGCTGTGTCGCCCAGGCTGGAGTGCAGTGGTGTGATCTCATCTCACTGCAAGCTCCGCCTCCCGGGTTCACGCCATTCTCCTGCCTCAGCCTCCCGAATAGCTGGGACTACAGGCACCCGCCACCAACGCCCGGCTAATTTTGTTTTTGTATCTTTAGTAGAGACGGGGTTTCACCGTGTTAGCCAGGATGGTCTCGATCTCCTGACCTCGTGATCCGCCCGCCTCGGCCTCCCAAAGTGCTGGGATTACAGGCGTGAGCCACCGTGCCCGGCCTAGATCTGGGGCTTCTACAAGGCGGGAACTCGGAGGCCTGAGAGCATCCGAGGATGGAACCCGGAGCGGGTGGGATCTCGGCTGCAGGGCACCCCATCCTCCGCCCCAGCTGTCCCCGGTCCCCGCCCACTCACGTTCCTCCCAATGCACTTGTTGATGGGCTTCATGAGGAAGGAGGACAAGAAGCCGCTGAGGTACATCACCAGGGGAATGGTCGCGATGAACTTCTGCGGAGGCAGAGCCAGGCATGCCGTGTCAGTCATGGCTCGCCAGGCTGGGGCCGTCCCATCCCAGCGTCCCCGCCCCAATCTGCTCACCTTGGGCAGGTGGAGCGAGTAGGTGAGGTACATGGCCATGTAGGTCTGGGACAGGTTCACGATGAGCCTGGTGGTCATGTACAGTATGCCCACCTGTGGGCAGACCGACAGAGGGACTGGCAGGGGTCAGGAGGGCCTTCTCCACTCCCACCAGCAGGGGGCACCGGGGCCAGGGTGGGCGCCCTGCAGCTGGCATTTGATCCATTGGTAGTGACTGCCCAGTGGGGTGGGCCAGGAAGAGGAGAGCAGCACTTGATGAGTGACGTTTGCCCTGGGTGTGGGCTGCACCAGGGGCCACGTGTGCTCTGCGTCTGGACGCAGCTGCCCCACAGAGCAAAGGCCCTGTGGGTGGGAGAGAAGGCCCACGCCAGCCCCACCGTCCCCAGCACGCACCTGGTAGAAAGCCGGCTCCCGGAGCCAGTGCTTCCAGAGCAGCAGGGGCTGGGCCGTGGCAGGGGCCAACAGGGGGGTGTGCTCGCCTGGCTCCTCCGCATGCGGCCGGCGCCTCTCCCGGGTGCCCAGGTGGAATAGCAGTGAGAACACGGCGCCGACACCCACCACCAGCAGGGACAGGTTCTGGGGATGCAGCAGAAGCAGTCAGTGGTGGCGGGCCCAGCCCCCGCCCCTGGCTCGAGGACTTCAGGCGACCCACCCGGACTCCAGCTCACCCGGAACACGGGCACGTCCTGGCCCCCCAGCTGGTCGCTGATGCTGATGTCTTGGGTGGGCTCCACCCGCGACGAGCCCTGCAGGTGCAGCAGGAGCCAGGCGGCGCCGTAGACGGTGATGTTGGCCACCACGGTGAACGCATACCTGGCGGGCAGGCGGGCAGGGACTCAACAAGACGCCAGGAACCTGGGTCACTTCCTCCCCACGTGGCTACGCCGTCAGAGAGGCCTGGGGAACCCCTGACTGACAGGTGATTCCAACCACTGCCACACTGGGTGGCCTCCAGGAAGCCCGTGCTGGCCTCAGTTTCCCCAGCCCGCACATTACCTAACGCGGGAAAGCTGTGACCTGCAGCTCCACCCTTCGTGCCCAGGACCAGGGTACAGTGACTCGGCCAAGCGGAGTCCAGGCTACAACCCAAAAGTCTGAGAACCCAGAGACTCAGAAGCCAGAATTCGAGAATTCTTCTTCCCCAGATGCTGGGCGGCTAAAGGGCGAGGGCTCCCTGGTCTAGAACCATCCAGGCCAGCCCCTGCCCACAGCCCGGCCAGGCACAGAGTCCCCCGGGGGGCCTCAGAATCCTACCATGAATCAGTCTCTCTTTCTGAAAGCGGGAACCATGCCACCTCCAGAGGCCACGTGAGCACAGCAGGAGGTCAGCTGGCAAAGCAATGGCACGTAGGAAGTGCCTGGGGTCTGGCCCCGGTCAGATGGGGCCCTCAGGGGCCCTGGGCATTGGGCAACCTGTGTCGTTAGCGCCTGCACCTCTGTCACATGGCCATAATGGGGAACTCAAATCTGGGGGTGGGGAGGAGCTGGTGATACACAGGCAGATGTGGAGACAGCGGACTCCCCCGACACGAAGGCGCTGTGAGGACCCTGGCTTTGGGCACCAGCTGGGGCCGAGTCCTCCTCTGAAATACGCGGGAGAGAAGAGTTCCCACCTCCCAGCTCACGGGGAGGATTAAAGAAGCTGAGATTCATGTTAAGGGCCTATAACTATGCCAGGCACACGGCAGGTGCTCAATGCATCATCCTCGTAACCAGAAGAACCTCTTCCAGCGCCTCTAGCAAGTTAGTGGATAAGCCGGGCACCCGCTGTACCCAGGTGTAATAGAAAGAATTCTAAGGCAGCCCCAGAGAGGCCTGCCCATCCCATCCCCTCCCCGTGGCAGCAGCAGCTGTAAGTCCACCATGGATGTTACTCCCAGGATGTAGCCAGGGCTAAGTGGCATTCTATAGCAGAGGGAAAGGGACTTCGCAGTGTGTTATAACCAAGGACCTTGGTCAGCTCGGGTGTGTCCACAGGGAGATTACTGGCCAGGCGCGGTGGCTCACGCCTGTAATCTCAGCACTTTGGGAGGCTGAGGCAGGCAGATCACTGAGGTCAGGAGTTCGAGACCAGCCTGGCCAAGACGGTGAAATCCCATCTCTACTAAAAATACAAAAATTAGCCGGGGGTGGTGGCGGGTGCCTGTAGTCCCAGCTACTCGGGAGGCTGAGGCAGGAGAACCGCTTGAACCCAGGAGGCAGAGGTTGCAGTGAGCCGAGATGGCGCCACTGCACTCCAGCCTGGGTGACAGAGTGAGACTCTTGTCTCAAAAAAAAAAAAAAAAAAAGCCAGGCACAGTGGCTCACGCCTGTAATCCCAGCACTTTGGGAGGCCAAGGCGGGCAGATCACCTGAGGTCAGGCGTTCAAGACCAGCCTGGCCAACATGGTACATGGTGAAACCCCGTGTCTACTAAAAATACAAAAAAAAAATTAGCCGAGATCGTGCCACTGCACTCCAGCCTGGCTGACAGAGCGAGATCCTGTCAAGGGAGACTACGGTGTGTGAGCCTGGCCAAGTCAGGCAATCCTTTGGGAGAGAGGGCTTAGGGCTTCCTGGGATCAGAGATTCTCCCTGCTGGCCTCAGAAGCAGCAGCCACCGTGATCTCCACAGGTGCAAGACTACAACTTCTGCCACCAACCACGTGAGCATAGAGGAGGGACCGCCCCCAGCCTTCCATAAGACGCTAGCCCTGGGCAACCCCTTGAATGCAGGCTCAAGACAGACCCTGAAGCCCAACAGCCCTCTCCCCCTAGCTCAGCCATGCTGGACTCCTGACCCCCAGAAACTGTGAGAGGAGAAATGTGTGATGGCTGAGTGTGGTGGCTCATGCCTGTAATCGCAGCACTTTGGGAGGCCAAGGCAGGAGGATCGCTTGAGCCCAAGAGTTCCAGACCAGCCTGGGCAATATAGTGAGACCCTGTCTCTACAAAAACTTTTTGTTTTTTTTTTTTGAGACGGAATCTCGCTCTGTCGCCCAGGCTGGAGTGCAGTGGCGCTATCTTGGCTCACTGCAAGCTCCACCTCCCGGGTTCACACCATTCTCCTGCCTCAGCCTCCCGAGTAGCTGGGACTACAGGCGCCCACCACCGCGCCCGGCTAATTTTTTGTATTTTTAGTAGAGACGAGGTTTCACGTGTTAGCGAGGATGGTCTCGATCTCCTGACCTCGTGATCTGCCCACCTCGGCCTCCCAAAGTGCTGGGATTACAGGTGTGAGCCATGCCCAGCCTACAAAAACTTTAAAAAACAGCTGGGTGTAGTGACATACTCCTGTAGTCCCAGCTACTCAGGAGGCTGAGGCAAGAGTATCACTTGAGCCCAGGAGGTTGAGGCTGCAGTCAGCCGAGATCACCCCACTGCACTCCAGCCTGGGCAACAGAGTGAGACCCCCTTTCAAAAAAATAAACATGAAAGACTGCCTGGTCTCGAGCTGCCGAGTCTGTGGCCGCTCATTATGCAGTGCCACTGACTGATACACCGAGCCGGGGCCCACCCTGCCCGTGGGGGAGGGTGCCCAGGCTCCCACCTGAGTGCCGTGAGCTCCACCTTCTCATGGTCGTTGGTGACGAGCTCCGGGATGAGGCTGAGGTGGGAGATCTGTGTGGAGGCCCAGCCAAACTGGAAGATCACGATGAACGGGCCGTAGTAGAGGAGGGCAGCCCACTCGGGCGTGGCCGCCCCACAGCCCAGGCAGGGGCTGAAGATGAAGGGGAAGGACAGCAGGACGCAGACGGTGCCTGTGGAAGGCAGAGTGGTCAGTCGCGGGGCTGTCCCGCACCAGCCAGGGCTCCCAGGGTGAGGACATGGAGGGAGGAGAGAGGGAAACTGAGGCACAGATGGAGACGCCCCCCGCATGCACACAGTCACGCAGGAGCGAGGGTCTGCAGTCGGGGTCCCCCAGGCTTATGGCCCCTGGTGACAAAAGGGGAATCTGACACCAGGTGCCTGGGCTCAGCCTGCAAGTCAGAAGAAGCCAGGCGCAGGGGGTCCCCCGGAAACCTGCCCCCCACAGGTGCCCCGGTTACAGCCGCAGCCTCCCCCAGCTCCTCCCCCTCGGCCACTATCAAGCCTCCCATAGGGCCTCGGGGAGCGGGAGGCCCAGGTGGGCCTGGGCTGGACCCCTCCTTAAGCTCCGCCATCCTCATCAGCTCCTAAGGTGACCACTCCCTGGAATGCTGGGGCGTCCTGGCCTCCAGGGACAGTCAGGAAATAGCACCCGCCCCCACCTGAGATCTGCGGTGGCAAGGCCTGGCTCTTCACATCCTCAGAAGAAAACCCCTAAGATACCCTGGAACAAATGTAAGATCCTCCCCGCAGCCCACGGAGCCCTTTGCGACCTGCCCTGTCCCCTCCGTGCCCTGCCCTGCCCTTCCCTCTCTCCCCCTTCTCTCTCTGCTCCAGCCATGCAGGTCTCCTCACTGCAGGACCTCTTCAACATGCCAGGCGGTCCTGCCCCCGGGCCTTTGCATGGGCGTGCCTCTGCCTAGAGCTCTCTCTCACATCTTAGCAAGACTGGCTCCTTTTCACCTCTGGGCTCAACGGGAATGTCACCTCCTCGAACACCTCTCTCCTGGCCCCTGCTGCCTCTACCTCACCCTTCGGAGCACCCGGGAATTCTCTGTCTGCCGGCTTCCTGCCGGCTTTCCTCTGCAGACAGCAGCCTCCAAGGGGCCTGGGGAGACCCAGCATGGAACTCGGGCATTTCAATATCTATTTTTTTTTTTTTTTTAGACAGAGTCTTGCTCTGTCGCCCAGGCTGGAGTGCAGTGGCGAGATCTCGGCTCGCTGCAACCTCCGCCCCCTGGATTCAAGCCATTCTCCTGCCTCAGCCTCCCGAGTAGCTGGGACTACAGGCCCATGCCACCATACCCAGCTAATTTTTGTATTTTTAGTAGAGACAGGGTTTCACCACGTTGGCCAGGCTGGTCTCCAATGCCTGACCTCAGGTGATCCACCCGCCTCGGCCTCTCAAAGTGCTGGGATTACAGGCGTGAGCCACCGCGCCCCGCCTTTTTTTTTTTTTTTTTTTTTTTTTGAGACAGAGTCTCGCTCTGTTGCCCAGGCTGGAGTGCAGTGGTGCGATCTCAGCTCATTGCAGCCTCTGCCTCCCTAGCTCAAGCCATTCTCCCACCTCAGCCTCCCGTGTAGCTGGGATTACAGGTACCTGCCGCCACATCCCACCACATCCAGCTAATGTTTGTATTTTTGGTAGGGATGGGGTTTCACCACGTTGGCCAGGCTGAAGTCGAACTCCTAGCCTCAAGTGATCCTCCTGCCTCGGCCTCCCAAAGTGCTCGGATTACAGACTTGAGCCACCATACCGGCTGTTACTTCAGTATCTTCTGAGTGAGTAACAATAGTGGCCCTGACACAGCCTGTAAGCGTGGGTGTCATTATCCTCATTTTCCAGATGGGAAAATTGAGGCCCCTAGAGTGAGTCGGAGCCAGGCTCCTTCCCTGCAGCCCTGCACTCCTCTCCTCCCAGCCTGGGGCACCTGGAAGGGCCCCTGTACCAAGCCTGGTGGCTGGACCTCCTTCCTCCCTCCGGAGGTGACCTCATCCCCAGACCCTGGGCCCGCCCCCAGAGAACTGGAATTGGGAAGTGAAACCAAAACCAGCCTCTCCTGCTGGTTTCTCTGGAACTAGGGCCTGGGAGGGTTTGCGCAGATTCCTGGGGTCCTTGGGGAGGTCATCCGGGGGCAGAGCATGAACTGTGGACTCCAGTGAGAAGGTCCCTTCCTGGCTGGACTCCCTGTTCCTGCTGGCCAGTCTGGGTTAACCATTGTTGGGGCCAGGCTGCCTGGCCTGGGGACCTCGGGCAAGTGACTGTGCCTCTCTAGGCCTCAGTTTTCAGAAAACAGGGATAGTGGCCAGGAGTGGTGGATCATGTAATCAATCCCAGCACTTTGGGAGGCTGAGGTGGGAGGACTGCTTGAACCCAGGAGGTCGAGGCTGCAGTGAGTCGTGATCGTGCCACTGCGCTCCAGCCTGGGCGACAGAGCGAGACCCTGTCAAGAAAAAAAAAAAAAGGCCGGGCGCGGTGGCTCACGCCTGTAATCCCAGCACTTTGGGAGACCGAGGCGGGTGGATCATGAGGTCAGGAGATCGAGACCATCCTGGCTAACATGATGAAACCCTGTCTCTACTAAAAATGCAAAAAAAATTAGCCGGGCGTGGCGGCGGGCGCCTGTAGTCCCAGCTACTCGAGAGGCTGAGGCAGGAGAATGGTGTGAATCCGGGAGGCAGAGCTTGCAGTGAGACTCCATCTCTCAAAAAAAAAAAAAAAAAAAAAAAAACAATGAAAAGAAATGAAACAGAGAAAGAAAGGAAAAGAAAAGAAGAGGCTGGGTGCGGTGGCTCATGCTTGTAATCCCAGCACTTTGGGAGGCTGCAGCGGATGGATCACCTGAGGTCAGGAGTTCGAGACCAGCCTGACCAACATGGTGAAACCCTGTCTCTACTAAAAATACAAAAATTAGCCGGGCATGGTGGCACGAGCCTGTAGTCCCAGCTACTCGGGAGGCTGAGGCAGGAGAATCACTTAAACCCAGGAGGTTGAGGTTGCAGTGAGCTGAGATCACGCCACTGCCTTCCAGCCCGGGTGACAAAGCAAGACTCCGTCTCAAAAATAAAAAATAAAAATAAATAAAAAATTAAAAAAAGAAGAGAAAGAAGGGTAGTGAAAGTTCCTGCCCATGGCCAGGCGTGGTTGCTCACACCTGTAATCCCAGCACTGTGGGGGGCTGAGACAGGCAGATCACTTGAGGTCAGCGGTTCAAGCCCAGCCTGGACAATATGGTGAAACCTTGCCTCTACTAAAAATTTAAAAATTAGCCGGCTTTGGTGGCACGTGCCTGTAATCCCAGCTACTCAGGAGGCTGACGCACGAGAATCCTTTGAACTCAGGAGGCGAAGGTTGCAGTGAGCCGAGATCCCGCTACTGCACTCCAGCCTGAGCGACAGAGTGAGACTCTGTCTCAACAACAACAAAACAAAAAAAAAAAAAAAAGAAAGAAAGTTCCTGCCTCACAGGCTGCTGTGAGGATAGAGTTCATGTGTGGCACCAGCAAAAGCTCCGTCTATTCTGAACCACTTCCTGCTTCCGCAGCTTCAAAGTGAGGACTGTTCCTACCTTTTCCACAGCTGTTTCTGCTACTTGGAATGCGCCCCTCCACACACTGCTACCCATCCGTCAAAACCTCAAAGTTAATGTCCTTCCTTCTGAAGCCCATTTGTGCCATCTGCCCACTCACAGGAGTGTTTGTGTCTGATTCTGAGGGTCGTCTCGGGATTGTGGGGGAGCTCCCCAGGACTTGTTAAAGGGCAAAGTGAGTCCTTAGCCACCAGCCCCAGACTTGGGGGTGAAATACAGAAGTGGGTGCCATTGCCAGGGTAACCTTCACTCAAGTCACCTGCTCAGGCATCAAGAGCGGCTGCCTGGGCTTCTGCTCCCAACAGACCCTCCTGACCCTCCAGGCCCACCCAGGTGGCCCCCACCTCTCAGCTCCCAGGGCAGGTGCCCTCCCCGAGGCGGGGAAGAGGGGTGACGGTGGACGCCTTGGTGTCCGGTTGGACCACCTGGTTCCCTGAGGTCTGCTTTGGAAAAACATAAAGCCTTCGGTTGCTGTTTCTGTTTGTTTTCTTGTTTTGGTTTGTTGTTGTTGTTTTTTGTTTTTTTAGACAGACTCTCGCTGTGTCTGGAGTGCAGTGGCGCGATCTTGGCTGACTACAGCCTCTGCCTCCCGGGTTCAAACGATTCTCCCACCTCAGCCTCCCAAGTAGCTGGGATTACAGGCGTGCGCCACCACGCTCGGCTAATTTTTGTACTTTAGTAGAGACGGGGTTTTGCCATGTTGGCCAGGTTGGTCTCAAACTCCTGACCTCAGGTGAGGAGGCCTCCCAAAGTGCTGGGATGACAGGGGTGAGCCACCGTGCCCGGCCCGCCCAGAAATTATCTTACGCGACTGTCAAAGAGCTTATCCAACTATTATGATCAAAGAGGCATTTGGGGCCCTGGGCTCCGCTCAGCAACCAATCCCAACGTAACCACAAAGGAAGGGACAGCCGGTCCCCTCCCTGTCTGCCGCCGCCTCAGGTACCCCAGGAATAGCCTGGACATAGGAAACATGAAACTCCAGTCCCCAAGCTGTGCCTGCTGCGGAGCCTGCCACCCTCAGACCACTGGAGATCCACTGCCTCTTGCAAAAAATGTCATCACCCAGATCCTGGGTCCAACCACCCATCCCAGTCATTGTTCCCAAGGGTGAGGAGGCACCCGCCTGCCCCTCCTGCCACCTGGAATTCCAAGAACTGAGCAGGATTCCTGGCCCTGCCTGCTGAAATGCCACATGTGTCCCAAATGCCAGGACGCAGCCGGCACTTCTGTGAGGGCAAGAAGAGCAGGGAAGGAGGCCGGCTAATCTTCAGGCCCAGGGTCCGGGAGGGGAGAGGAGGGCCGCTGGGAGGCAGCCCTGCAGTCTTATCGATGGGCACTGGGGCAGGGTGACCCAGCCCATGACGCCAGCCTCCTGCCCTCCCAACAGCCCTCTCTAATCAGGGCAGCTCCCCCAGACCTAGGGGGTCCCTGACCCTGGCCAGACAGATAGAGGCAATGCAAGAACAGGGCAGAGACCCCTGACCCTCCAGTCCCACCCAGGCGGCTCCCAACTCTCAACTCCCGGAGCAGCACCCTCAAACTGCTGACGCACCAGGTTGCCCTGGCAGAACACACAGAGAGAGAGGAGGCTCTAGGGGGCCTGACTGTCCCTCAGCCATAGCTGTCCCAGTTGGTCACCCTAATAGACGAGCTCAGGCTAGACAGACTGACAAAGGAGGCGCTGAGCAGTCACCACCAACCCTCCAGAGGGTTCAGGGTGGCCCGGGGGCTCAGACAAACAAAGGCATTCCCACTAGAAAGTCATGTAGTCAGATGGTGAGGGCCCCGCAGGTCAGACAGCAGCTCTGAGGCAGACAGGGGAGGCTGGACCAAGGGACAGACAGAGGGGATACGGGGCAGTTAAACAGACAGATGGGGGAGGCTCATGGCTCAGGCAGATAGAGAAGCCCTGCACAGTTGGACAGATGGGGGAGGCACTGCACAGTCAGACAGATGGGGGAGGCACAGCACAGTCAGACGGGGGAGGCTCAGGCCATGGGGCAGAAAGACGGGGGATGCTGGATGGTGGGACAGGCAGGGGAGGCTCAGGAGTGACACCACAGAGGGGCCACTGGGTAGTCAGACAGACGGGGGAGGCTCAGGCCACGGAACAGCCAGAGGGGTGAAAACTCAGCTCATGGGGCAGACAAACAGGGGAGACTTAGGTCCCAGGCAGGCAGAGAGAGGGGGCTGGGTGGTGGGACTGATGGAGGAAGCTCAGGCCATGGGCACAGACAGACAGACAGGGGAGGTTCGGGCCAGGGGACAGACAGAGGGGTGAAAACTCAGCTCATAGGGCAGACAGATACATAGGGGAGGTTAAGGCCGTGGACAGACAGTGCAGGGAAGCTCGGGCCACGGGACAGACAGACCGAGGGGAGACTCCGATCCTGAGGCAGGCAGACGGCGGGTGGTGAGTCAGAGGGAGGAGGCGCCCGGGTCGCGGAGTCTCGGAGGGGCTGCCCGACAGGTGGCGGGGCCGGGACGCTTACCGACCAGGTGCCAGGCCTTGCGCGGGCCGTAGCGGGCGCAGCAGCTGGCGGCGCGGTCGGCCTCGTAGCCCACGAGCGGTGTGCACAGCCCGTCGGCCACCTGGCCCAGCAGCAGCAGCAGCCCCGCGCCGCGGGAGCTGTAGGCGCGCACCGAGTGCAGGTAGAGCAGCAGGTAGGTGAACCACATGGACGCGCACAGGTCGTTGAGGAAGTGGCCCACGGCGTAGCTCAGCCGCGCCACCAGGGACAGCGGCCGCGGGGACGGCGCCGCTCCGGCCGCTGGGGGTCCCGGGCCCATCGCGGCGCCGGGCCCGCGCCCCCCACCCCCGGGCTCCGCGGAGGGTACCCTGGCCAGGCCTTCTTGGGTGCCGTGGGGGCAGGCGCCGGGGACCCCCACCACGCGCCGGGCACCCCGCGTCCCGCTCTCTTACGGCCGCGCCCTCACCCACGTCCGCCGCGTCCGCCCCACGCTCGACTCTGCAGCCGCCGGGCCCCAGAGCCGGGCGACTGCGCCGGGCGGGGCAGGGCGGGGAGGTTCCGGTGCCTGAGCCAATCGGAGCCGCGCCCCGGGGAACCGCAGCCAATCGCCAAGGAGAGAGGAGAGGGGCGTGGCCGCAGGGCTCGTTCCGCCTCTACGACGGGCGCCCACGCGGTCCTAGCGCCCGCCGGGTATGAGGGCGAACCCCGAGCGCGCCGCAGGAGTGGCCGGCACCCCCATAGACTGGGGAAGGAAATGGACCAGAGGGCACCGCCGGCTCCCACCCAGACCCGGCCTCCAGGCCCGCACCACCCCAGTCCACCCGGAGCTGGACAGCCCACTGCGGGCCGGGGTGGAGCGAGTGGGACGGGCTCTGGATTTGGGGTTGGGGGGAGGTCTGAGCCCGAGCTGGCCTCGGGGTCCGCTGACTCCCCGGCCTAGAGAGACGCGATCGGGCGCGGAGAGGACGCAACAACACTAATTAATTGGTTACTAACGGTAATGATGGGGGTAATCAACATAATAGTACCAGCTGGCCTTTAACGAGCGTTGCCTGCAAAGAGCCCCACGTGGTGACGCAAATTTCACTCTCATTTTACAGGCGAGGAACAGAGTTGCCCGAGGCTCGCAGTGAGTCAGGCGTCTGTGACTCCCAGGCCTGTGCGCGCGACCCTCCCCGTCCAACCAACGTCCTCCCACAAACGGGTCACCGGACTGAGGGTTTCAAGTTCCTCCAGGGGGTGTGTGCGGTTCCCCCTAACTCAGGCCCTACTCCTTCCAGCAGCATTTTCTCTTCTTTCCTCTTTTTATTTATTTCAGAAACAGGGTCTTGAGACGGGCGCGGTGACTCACGCCTGTAATCCCAGCACTTTGGGAGGCCGAGGCGGGCGGATCACCTGAGGTCAGGAGTTTGAGACCAGCCTGGCCAACAAGGTGAAACCCGTCTCTATTAAAAATACAAAAATTAGCCGAGCGTGGTGACAGGTGCCTGTAATCCCAGCTACTTTGGAGGCTGAGGCAGGAGAATCGCTTGACCCAGGAGGCAGAGGTTGCAGTGAGCCAAGACCGCGCCATTGCACTCCAGCCTGGATAACAAGAGTGAAACGCCGCCTCAAAAAAGAAAGAAAGAAAGAAAGAAACGGTCTTGCTCTGTGGCCCAGGCTGCAGTGCATTGGTGCAATCATGGCTCACTACAGCCTCAATCTTCAGGGCTCAAGTAATCCTCCTGTCTCAGCCTCCCAGGTAGCTGGGACTACAGGCACGCATCACCACATGTGGCTAACTTTTGTATTTTTAATTTTGGAGAGACAGGGTCTCACTATGATGCTTAGGTTGACCTCAAACTCCTGGTCTCAAGCAAGCCTCCCACCCTGGCCTCCAGAAGCTCTGGGATTACAAACATGAGCCTCTGCATCGGGCGGGTCTCCAGCAGTTTTCTTTCTTTCTTTCTCTCTCTCTCTCTCTTTTTGAGATGGAGTCTCCGTCTGTCACCCAGGCTGGAGTGCTGTGTTGCAATCTCAGCTCACTGCAGCCTCTGCCTCCCGAGTTCCAGCGATTCTCCTGCCTCAGCCTCCCGAGTAGCTGGGACTACGAGCACCCACCACCACGCCCAGCTAATTTTTGTATTTTTAGTAGAGACGGGGTTTCCCCATATTGGCCAGGCTGGTCTCAAACTCCTGAACTGAAGTGACCCACCCGCCTTGGCCTCCCAAAGTGTTGGGATTACAGTCACGAGCCACCGCGCCCGGCCTACAGCAGTATATTTGGCCTTGCAGTCTGCAGTGAGGTATGATTGCACCACTGCACTCCAACCTGGGCAACAGCAAGACCCCAGCTCTAAAACAAAACAAAACAAAACAAAAGGTCCTTGCAGTATGGAAGGAGAATCGTTGGATCCAGACTTGGTTCCACTGATTCTCTGCTGCTCCACTTGGGACAAGTCTTTTTTTTTTTGAGACGGAGTCTGGCTCTGTCGCCCAGGCTGGAGTGCGGTGGCACGATCTCAGAACACTGCAACCTCCGCCTCCTGGGTTCAAGAGATTCTCCTTCCTCAGCCTGCTGAGTAGCTGGGATTACAGGTGCCCGCCAACACGCCCGGCTAATTTTTGTAATTTTATTTTTATTTTATTTTTTTTTTTTTTTGAGACGGAGTCTGGCTCTCTCGCCCAGGCTGGAGTGCCCTGGCGCGATCTCAACTCACTGCAAGCTCCACCTCCCGGGTTCACGCCATTCTCCTGCCTCAGCCTCCGGAGCAGTTGGGACTACAGGCGCCCGCCATCGTGCCCGGCTAATTTTTTGTATTCTTAGTAGAGACGGGGGTTTCACCGTGTGAGCCAGGATGGTCTCGATCTCCTGACCTTGTGATCTGCCCGCCTCGGCCTCCCAAAGTGCCGGGATTACAGGCGTGAGCCACTGCGCCCAGCCTGGGACAAGTCTTTTAACCTCTTGGAGCTTGGGTCTCCCCTGATCTAGAACGGGTACAGGAGTTATATAATTGGCCTGCCATGGTGGCTCATGCCTGTAATCCCAGCACTTTGGGAGGCCGAGGTGAGAGGATTGTTTGATCCCAGGAGTCCAAGACCAGCCTGGGCAATGTGCTGAAACCCTATCTCTATAAAAAATTTTAAAAATTAGGCCAGGTGCGGTGGCTCAAGCCTGTAATCCCAACATTTTAGGAGGCCAAGGTGGGCAGATCACTTGAGCTCAGGAGTTCGAGACCAGCCTGCCCAACATGGTGAAAACCCATCTCTACTAAAAATACAAAAATAGCTGGGCGTGGTGGCTGTGCCTGTAATCCCAGCTACTTGGGAGGCTGAGGCAGGAGAATCTCTTGAACCTGGGAGGGCTGAGGTTGCAGTGAGCTGAGATCGCACCACTGCACTCCAGCCTGGGCGACAGAGCGAAGATCCGTCTCAAAAACCAGAACAAAACAAAACCCAAGGCTCAAACAGCCAAGGGGTCCACGGCCCCGGCTGCCCACGGTGATGCAGGTCACACACTGTTTTATGAAAACTAGACTGAAAATGGGCGGGAGGGGTAAAAGAGGTCAAGACACAGAACCTAGAAAGGAAGGAGGAGAGATAAGGGGCAGACGACTCGGGGAGATAAAGGGTTGAGGAGAGATAAGAACCTCAATTCCTTCCTCTCTGTTTGGCACGTTCCCACTTAGAGTCCTCCTGGCACGTTCCCCTTTAGAGTCCTCTGAGGGAAATGAAAGATGACTTTTTGAAATATTAGCCTAGGGACCAGGGATCCTGGCTCCCGCCTGTAATCCCAGCACTTTGGGAGGCCAAGGTGAAGGGGTCACTTGAGGTCAGCAGTTCGAGACCAGCCTGGCCAACATGGTGAGACCCCCGTCTCTACTAAAAATACAAAAATTGGGCCAGGCGCGGTGGCTCACGCCTGTAATCCCAGCGCTTTGGGAGGCCAAGGCGGGTGGATCACGAGGTCAGGAGTTCGAAACCAGCCTGGCCACGATGGTGAAACCCTGTCTCTACTAAAAATACAAAAATTAGCTGGGCGTGGTGGCGGGCGCAGATAATCCCAGCTACTCGGGAGGCTGAGGCAGGAGAACGGCTTGAATCCGGGAGGTGGAGGTTGCAGTGAGCTGAGATCGTGCCGCTGCACTCTAGCCTGGGGGACAGACCAAGACCCCATCTCAAAAAAAAAAAAAAATTACAGTAATTAGCCAGGCGTGGTGGTGGGTGCCTGTAACCCAGCTACTCCGGAGGCTGAGGCAGGAGAATCGCTTGAACCCAGAAAGTGGAGGTTGCAGTGAGCCAAGATCGCGCCACTGCACTCCAGCCTGGGCGACGGAGGAAGACCCTGTCTCAACAACAACAACAAAATTAGCCAGGTGTGGTGGTGCACACCTGGAGTCCTGGCTACTCCGGAGGTTGCTGTGGGAGGATCACTGAAGCCCAGGAAACGAAGGCTGCAGTGAGCTATGATCGCACCACTGTGCTCCAGCCTGGGTGACACAGTGAGACTCAGTCTCAAAACAAAAACAAAAAAACTAATGTTTTTCCCATTCCTCATCTCCTTTCATCCCACAAGATCCCTAGGAGGTCTTACACCACTTCATGCTCTATTATTTTATTTTATTATTAATTTTTATTTTTAGAGACAGGGTCTTGCTCTGTCACCTAGGCTGGAGTGCAGTGGTGTGACCACAGCTCACTGTAGCCTTGGCCTCCCGGGCTGAAGAGATCCTCCTGCCTCAGCCTCTTGAGTAGCTGGGACTACAGGTGCCTGCCACCACACCTGGCTAATTTTTTCAGAGATGGAAGTCTTGCTATGTTGCCCTGACTGGTCCCAAAGAGATGGGATTACAGACGTGAGGCACAGTGTGCAGCCTTCATGACCCCCTCCACTGCCTTTTCTTGTTTTTTTTGAGATGGAGTCTCACTTTGTCGCCAGGCTGGCGTGCAATGGTACGATCTCGGCTCACTGCAACCTCCACCTCCCGGGTTCAAGCGATTCTCCTGCCTCAGCCTCCCGAGTAGCTGGGATTACAGGCGCCCGCCACCACGCCCAGCTTATTTTTGTATTTGTAGTAGAGACGGGATTTCACCATCTTGGCCAGGCTGGTCTCAAACTCCTGACTTCAGGTGACCCGCCCGCCTCGGCCTCCCAAAGTGCTGGGATTACAGGTGCGAGCCACTGCGCCCAGCCCTTCATGCCTCTTTTACAGATAAGGAAACTGAGTTTCACAAAGACGGGCATGGGCATGGGACTGTGGCGGGCATGGGACTAACAAGAGGCAGATGTGGGATTTGAACTCAGCTCCACGTGACCTCTTTATGTGCTGGCTGCGGAATGCCACCTGAGTGTGGAGGAACAGGTGCCTCACTGTCCACTGCTTTTTCAGCCTCCTTTGTAGGTCGAGAATCAGGCACAATCCCGCCTCCCTTTGGAGAAGATCCAGCGGAGGAGGCAGGGTGTGGTTAAAGCGCCAACACATCTCTGCATTCTTGTCCTTTTGCTGTTGTGGTGGTTGTTGTTTGAGACTGAGTCTTGCTCTGTCGCCCAGGCTGGGGTGGAGTAGCACGATCTCGGCTCACCGCAACCTCCACCTCCCGGGTTCAAGCGATTCTCCTGCCTCAGCCTCCCAAGTAACTGGGCTTACAGGCACCTGCCACCACGCTCGGCTAATTTTTTGTATTTTTTAGTAGAGACGGGGTTTCGCCATGTTGCTGTTTCGCCATGTTGTGGGTCGGTTCTCGAAATTCCTGACCTCCCAAAGTGCTGAGATCACAGGCATGAATCACCATACCCAACGTAGTTTTTTTGTTTTTGTTTTTGAAGACAGAGTCTTGCTTTGTCACCTAGGCTGGAGTGCAATGGCGCAGTCTCCGCTCACTGCAACCTCTGCCTCCTGGGTTCAAGCAGTTCTGTATCAGCCTCCCGAGTAGCTGGGACTACAGGCGAGCGCCACCACCCCCAGATAATTTTTGTATATTTAGTAGAGATGGTTTTCACCATGTTGGCCAGGCTGCTTTCGAACTCCTGACCTCAAGTGATCCGCCTGCCACAGCCTCCCAAAGTGCTGGGATTACAGGCGTGAGCCACCGCGCCTGGCCACCCAAAGTATTTTTGTTTGTTTGTTTGTGACGGAGTCTCGCCTGTCGCCCAGGCTGGAGTGCAGTGGCGCCATCTCCACTCACTGCAAGCTCCACCTCCCAGGTTCACGCCATTCTCCTGCCTCAGCCTCCTGAGTAGCTGGGACTACGGGCGCCCACGACCACGCCCGGCTAATTTTTTGTATTTTTAGTAGAGATGGGGTTTCACTGTGTTAGCCAGGAGGGTCTCGATCTCCTGACCTCATGATCCCCCTGCCTCGGCCTCCCAAAGTGCTGGGATTACAGGTGTGAGGCACTGCGCCTGGCCACCCAAAGTATTTTTAAATTTTTTGTAGAGATGAGGCCTCATCATTTTGCCTAGGCTGGTCCCGACCACCTGGCTTCAAGTGGTCCTCCCGGCTCAGCCTCCCAGAGTGTTGGGATTATAGGCATGAGCCTCGGCACCTGGCCTCTGTTTTTGTCCCTTTGAAGCCAGCTAATATTTCCTAGCCCTGACTTTGTGGGGTGAGCAGGAACTAGGTCTGACCTCTTGCTGAGGAGCCCCAAAGATTCTGAAGCCCCTGCTTTTGAGGGGAGACAGGGATGACCCCTCCCAGTTCCCCTCATCAGGGACAGGACTGGAGGAGTCAGACCAAGAAGGGCGGTTACAAGGTAGGTGAGGAGTTGGGACATTACCCTGAGGTCACTAGGGAGCCATGGTAGGGGTTAGAGGGAGGGTGGGACTGAGTCAGATTAAAAAGTCCAGTGGGAGATGAGGAAGGGCTTCTTCCAAATGAAGGCCTCAGCTGCGTGCGTGGGGAAGCCACAGGAGAGGACATGTGCCCCAACAAGAGTGGGGGTTGGACGTGAGGGTAAAGATCAGAGAAGGCCCTGTCTAGAGATGTCAGGAAGGCATGATGAAAGCTCAGGCCCTCGGGGTAGGACAGAGGAGTCAGGAGAGATCCTCACAGTCTGATGTCCCCAGCCCATCACCAGCAGCCCCCTGACGCCAAGCCTGCGTTCCCCCTCCCCTGGCCGGACATCGGATGTCCTGATGGCCGCAGTCCAGCCTCGGGGTGGGGTGGGGAATGTCAAGTACTAGAGGCTTCCTTGATCTTCTGTGACCCAGGCCTGGGGTGACAGAGGTGGGGGGGTGGGCAGTGAGGGTTCCTGAGGCTGCACTGAAACTTCCTTATATCTGAGGGTGGCCACGGTGGAGGCGGGGGAGCAGGGGAGCAAAGCCAGGATCAAATCTGGGCAGTCCCTGACAAGCCACCAAGCTTCAGTTGCCCTCTCTGTAAAATGGGGGTGAGGTGAGAGTAACCGAACCAAACAGAATACCAGGAGGCTTCAACCACACAACTTGGCCGGGCGCGGTGGCTCACACCTGTAATCCCAGCACTTAGGGAGGCCGAGGCAGGTGGGTCACCTGAGATGAGGAGTCTGAGACCATCCTCGCCAATATGGTGAAACCTCATCTCTACTAAAAATACAAAAAATTATCTAGGCCTGGTGGTGCATGCCTGTAATCCCAGCTACTCGGGAGGCTGAGGCAGGAGAATCACTTGAGCCCGGGAGGCAGAGGTTGCAGTGAGCCGAGGTCTGGCCATTGCACTCCAGCCTCGGCGACAGAGTGAGACTCCATCTCAAAAAAAACATTAGCTGGGCATGGTGGTGGCCACCTATAATCCCAGCTACTCGGGAGGCTGAGGCAGGAGAATTGCTTGAACCTGGGAGGCAGAGGTTGTGGTGACCTGAGATCGCGCCATTGCACTCCAGCCTGGGCGACAGAGTGAGACCCAGTCTCAAAAAAAAAAAAAAAAAAAGGATGGGGAGGGAGGGAAGGAAGGACGAACTCTTTTTTTTTTTTTTTTTTTTTTTGAGACGGAGTCTTGCTCTATTGCCCAGGATGGAATGCAGTGGCACGATCTCAGCTCACCACAACCTCCTCCTCCCAGGTTCAAGCGATTCTCCTGTCTCAGCCTCCTGAGTAGCTGGGATTACAGGTGCCTGCCACCACGCCTGGCTAAGTTTTTGTATTTTTAGTAGAGACGGGGGTTTCTCCACGTTGGTCAGGCTGCTCTCTAACTCCTGACCTCATGATCTGCCCGCCTCGGGCTCCCAAAGTGCTGGGATGACAGGCGTGAGTCACTGCGCCCGGCCTCTTCAGTCAGTCTTTGCGTGACTCAGTCTTTGCCAGGACCCTCCTGGCCTCAGGTCCTGTTCAGTATCTGGTCTACCATTGCCAGAAGGAGCGCATTCTGTGAGTCTTGTGATTTACGTTTTAACGTTGATGCTGGTCAGTCCTTGCGCTGAGAGCAAAACGGGGAGGAGCTGTAACGAAGCGCGGTGACCTCCTGGCACGGCAGGGCCTGGAACTCGGAGCTTTTTGTTGTTGTGTTGTGTTTTGAGACGGAGAGTCGCTCTGTCGCCCAGGCAGGAGTGCACCGGTGCGATCTCAGCTCACTGCAACCTCCGCCTCCTGGGTTCAAGCAGTTCTCCTGCCTCAGCCTCCCGAGTAGCTGGGAGTATAGGCGTGTGCCACCACATCCGGCTAAGTTTTTTGTCTTTTTAGTGGAGATGGGGTTTCGCCATGTTGGCCAGGCTGGTCTCGAACCCCTGACCTCAGGTGATCCGCCCGCCTCGGCCTCCCGAAGTGCTGGGATTCCAGGCGTAAGCCACTGTGCCTGACCAACCTCGGTACTCCTGACGTTTGGGACATCATTTTTTGTGGTGGGGGCCGTGTAGGATCTCTGGCCTCAACCGTGTAGATGCCAGTAGCACCCCCCTAGTCCGACAATGAAAAATCTCTCTAGACATTACTAGGTATTTCCTGGCGTGACAGAGTTGGCCCCGGATGAGAACCACTGAGCTAGAGCGTTTTCTGTAACAGGTGTTTGATTCTCCCTGGACAATCCCAGCCAGCAACGTCATAAAGGTAGACAAAGCAATTATCCCACTTAACAGATGGAGAAACTGAGGCACAGAAGTTGAGTAAATTGCCCAAGTCCCACAGTTGAGGCTCAGATTGCTTCCCTGAGTTCCTGAGGGCCCAGCAGCAGTGGGGTGCCCCTCCTCAGAGGCCTGAGATCCCTGTCCCACCAGCCCTGTGTTCTGCCAGCCCCGGGGCCAGGGGATGCTAGGGGCAGTAGCTCTCTTTCCGCTTCCCTGTCGCCTTCTCAGCTCTCCAGCATCTGTTTAAGCAATGCCTGTATGAAGTTGCCTCTATAAAAAGCCCCAGGAGGCTTGAGATTGTCCGTGGCCTGGGAGAACCAACCACACCCTGACTCTCCCTGGGTGGTGGAGAAAAGTCCACACATCCATGTTGATTAATATCTATTAAAAATTTAAGGTCAGGCGCGGTGGCTCATGCCTGTAATCCCAGCACTTTGGGAGGCCGAGGCGGGCGGATCGCGAGGTCAGGAGATTGAGACCATCCTGGCTAACACAGTGAAACCCCGTCTCTACTAAAAATACAAAAACTTAGCCGGGTGTGGTGGCGGGCGCCTGTAGTCCCAGCTACCCGGGAGGCTGAGGCAGGAGAATGGCATGAACCCGGGAGACGGAGCTTGCAGTGAGCAGAGATGGCGCCACTGCACTCCAGCCTGGGCGACAGAGAGAGACTCCATCTCAAAAAAAAAAAAAAAAAATTAATGGGGGCATGTAATCCCAGTACTGTGGTACTGTGGTACTGTGGGAGGCTGAGGCAGGAGGATCACGAGGCCAGGAGTTTGAGACCAGCCTGGCCAACATGGCAAAACCTCATCTCCACTAAAAGTACAAAAATTAGTCTCGCATGGCGATGTGTGCCTGTAACCCTGGCTACTCTGAAGGCTGAGGCACGTGAATCACTTGAACACGGGAGGTGGAGGTTGCAGGGAGGTGGAGGTTGCAGGGAGCTGAGACTGAGCCACTGCACTCTAGCCTGGGAGCTGGGCAACAAAGCAAGACCCCATCTGTACGAAAATTAAAATAATCAGCCAGATGTGGTGGTGCATACCTGTGGTCCCAACTGCTCGAGAGGCTGAAGCAGGAGAATCACTTGAGCCCAGGAGTTCGAGGTTGCAGTGAGCTGAGATCCGATGACTACACTCCAGCCTGGGTGACACAGCGAGACACCATGTCTCAAAAAATAATAATAGTAAAAAATACCCTTTATCTGAGCGATATTATTGAGTAAACAGAACTGGTTGCAGTTGAAGCTTACAGCATGAAGGCACTGGTATAATACACAGCAGAATAGGACCTCACATTTGTTTGCTTACTTTTATTATTATTTTTTTTTGTAGAGACAGGGTCTCACTATGTTGTCCAGGCTGGCCTCAAATTCCTGGGTTCAAGCAATCCTCCTGCCTCAGCCTCCCATAGTGCTGGGATTACAGGTGTGAGCTACTGCACCTGGCCAGGACCTCACTTTATTTATTTATTTATTTTTTTGAGACAAAGTCTCGCCATGTCGCCCAGGCTGGAGTGTAGTGGCTCGATCTTGACTCACTGAAACCTCTGCCTCCCAGGTTCAAGCAATTCTTGTGCCGCAGCTTCCTGAGTAGCTGGAGCTACAGGTGTGCACCACCATGCGTGGCTACTTTTTGTATTTTTAGTACAGACAGGGTTTTGCCATGTTGGCCAGGCTGTTCTTGAAATCCTGACCTCAGGTGATCGGCCCACTTTGGCTTCTCAAAGTGCTGAGATTACAGGCGGGAGCCACCACGCCCAGCCTATATTTTTATTTATTTATTTACTATTTTTTGAGAGGGAGTCTCGCTCTGTCACCCAGGCTGGAGTGCAGTGGCACGATCTCAGCTCACTGCAACCTCCGCCTCTAGGTTCAAGTGATTCTCCTGCCTCAGCCTTCTGAGTAGCTGGGACTACAGGCGTGCACCCCCATGCCCAGCTAATTTTTGTGGTTTTACTTTTTTGTAGAATTTTTTTTTTAACTGTGAATACACATTTTTTATTTGGTCATTTTTGCTTACAATTGAAACTCTGGGAATTCAAAATTAACATCCTTGCCCATGAGCTTCTTATAGACACCAGAAAAAGTTTCAACCTTGTGTTCCATATTGTTCTGCTGTGCCTTGTCCAAATGAACCTTTATGAGCCGGCTGCCATCTAGTTTCACGCAGATTCTCTAGAGTTTCAACTGTAAGCAAAAATGACTAAATAAAAAATATATATTCACGTTAAAAAAATTTTTTTTTTTTTTTTGAGACGGAGTCTCGCTCTGTCCCAGGCTGGAGTGCCGTGGCGGGATCTCCGCTCACTGCAACCTTTGCCTCCCGTGTTCAAGCTATTCTCCTACCTCAGCCTCCCAAGTAGCTGGGATTACAGGTGCCCGCCACCACGCCCGGCTAATTTTTGTATTTTTAGTAGAGATGGGGTTTCACCATGTTGACCAGGCTGGTCTCGAACTGTGGACCTCGTGATCCTCCCACCTCAGCCTCCCAAAGTGCTGGGATTACAGGTGTGAGCCACCGTGCCTGGCAATTTTTGTGTTTTTAGTAGGGACAGGGTTTCTCCATGTTGGCCAGGCTGGTGTCAAATTCCTGACCTCCAGCGATCCACCCACCTCGGCCTCCCACAGTGCTGGCATTACAGGCGTGAGCCACCGCGCCCAGCCCACGTCTTTATTAGGAATACGCACATGTGTACGTGTGTAGGCATGTGCTGTGGGTGGAGTCATGTCCCCACAGAATGCACAGGTTCCTGTCCTAATCCCCAAGGCCTCAGAATGTGACCGTATTTGGAAAAAGGTCATTGCAGATATAATGAGTTAAGATGACATCATTAGGGTGGGCCGTGACGCAGTATGACTGCTGTCCTTATCAAAAGAGGAAATTTGGGTGCAGACACGCACATAGGGAGAACCCCACATGAAGATGCAGGCAGACATCGGGGTGTCACTCCTACAAGACAAGAAAAGCCCAGGATTGCTGGCCAATGCCAGAAACTGGGAGACGCCAGGGACAGATTCTCTCCCCGCCCTCAGAAGGCCCCAGCCCTACCCACACCTTCCTCTTGGACTTCTGGCCTCCAGAACTGTGAAACAATAAATTTCTCTTGTTTAAGCCCCTCAGTTTGTCGTAATTATTACCTAGCAAACCAATGCAGTGTGGTGTGCGTGTGTGTGTGTGTGTGTGTGTGTGTGTGTGTGAGTGTGGCTAGGAAAAATTTTAAAAAGAGATGCGGCCGGGTACAGTGGCTCACGCCTGTAATCTCAGCACTTTGGGAGGCCAAGGTGGGCGGATCATCTGAGGTCAGGAGTTCAAGACCTGCCTGGCCAACATGGCAAAACCCCGTCTCTACTAAAAATACAAACATTAGCTGGGTTTGGTGGCACGTGCCTGTAATCCCGGCTACTCAGGAGGCTGAGGCAGGAGAATCACTTGAACCTGGGAGGCGGAGGTTGCAGTGAGCAAAGATCACGCCACTGCACTCCAGCCTGGGCGAATGAAACTCTATCTCAAAAAAAAAAAAAAGAAAAAAAAAAGGCCTGGCACAGTGGCTCACGACTGTAATCCCAGCACTTTGGGAGGCCAAGGCGGGTGGATCACAATGTCAGGAGATCGAGACCATCCTGGCTAACACGGTGAAACCCCATCTCTACTAAAAAATACAAAAAAATTAGCCGGGCGTGGCAGCGTGTACCTGTAGTCCCAGCTACTTGGGAGGCTGAGGCAGGAGAATGGTGTAAACCCGGGAGGTGAAGCTTGCAGTGAGCCGAGATCGCGCCACTGCACACTAGCCTGGACGACAGAGCGAGACTCTGTCTCAAAAAAAAAAAAAAAAAAAAAAAAAAAGCAATAAGCTGACGATAGGAAATGTAATGAAATTAAAGAGGTCTGAGCTGCACTTCCTTAATTCTGTACAAGTGAAATGGATGTGAACATGATTTGCATAATAAAAATTAATTAGAAAACCAAAGAATTATAAGGCAAGTCATCCTTAATGGAGAGCTTCCACCTCTAGGATTATAAATTGGTATACTGTTCCTGGCTTCATGCTATAAAAACTGGCAAATAAATCATAGTAATAAATGACAAAAAACAAACAAAAAGGCCGGGCGCAGTGGCCCACCCCTGCAATCTAGCACCTTGGGAGGCCGAGACGGGCGGCCACCTGAGGTCAGGAGTTCAAGACCAGCCTAGCCAACATGGTGAAACCCTGTCTCTACTAAAAAAAAAAAAAAAAAAAAAATTAGCCGAGCGTGGTGGCGGATGTCTGTAATCCTAGCTACTTGGGAGGCTGAGGCAGGAGAATCGTTTGAACCCGGGAAGCAGAGGTTGCAGTGAGCCGAGATGGTGCCACTGCACTCCAGCCTGGGCGGCAGAGCAAGACTCCATCTCAAAAAAATAAAATAAAATAAAATAAAATAAATAAACAAAATAAAATAAATGTTCAATTAAATTGTTATTGACTATGGCCGGGAGGGGTGGCTCCACACCCAGCCTCACCTAGACTATTTTTAAGTGAGCAGAGAGACACAGGGGAGGCCTGGGAGGTCAGAGAGCTGATTAAGCAACAGAGCCAGGTCTGGCGTGTGGAACCGTCCAGATTCCAGGGCCAGCTCCTCTTCCTCAGCCCCGGGCTGCATCTTAGGACAATGGGCTTATTGAGACTTAACTCACATATAATGCACCCATTTAGAGCATACAATTCCATGGTTTGTAATATATTTCCAGAGTCACGCAGCCATCACTGAAATCAAATTGTAAAATACTTTCATCACCCAAATGAAAACCGCATCCCTCTCAGTGGTCATTCCCCACCCACTGGCACCCACACGTCCCCCTCCTGTCTCTGTGGATGGGCCTTTCCTGAACATTCTGATCACACACTGTGTGACCTTTGTGTCTGGCGTCTCTCACTGAGTGTGATGTCTTCTAGGTACATCCATGCTGTGACTTGTGTCAGAGACTCGCTCCTTTTTTTTATGGCTGATAATATTCTTTTTTTTTTTTTTTGAGACGTAGTCTTGCTCTGTTGCCCAGGCTGGAGTGCAGTGGCACAATCTTGGCTCACTGCAACCTCTGCCTCCCAGTTCATGGGATCCTCCTGCCTCAGCCTCCCATGTAGCTGGGATTACAGGCGTGCACCACCACGCCTGGCTAGTTTTTGTATTTTTAATAGAACTGGAGTTTCACCATGTTGGCCAGGCTGGTCTCGAACTCCTGACCTCAAGTGATCCGCCTGCCTCCCAAAGTGCTGGGATTACAGGCGTGAGCCACTGCGCCCGGCCCATGGCGGATAATATTCTGTTGTAAGGATATATCCCGTCATCGATCCATGCATCATTAGCAGACGTTTGAGTTGTTTTCACTTTTTGGCTATTATGAATCACGCTGCTACCGACGCTTGTGTACACGCTTTTGTTTGAACACCTGTTTTCAGTTGTCTGGAGTATATTCCTAGGAGTGAACTGCTGAATTGCATGGTGATTCCACATTTATTTAACCCTTTGAGGAAATGCCAGTCTGTTTTCCAAAGCAGCTGCATCTGCCTCCTAGACATCTGAAGGATTCAATGAATGTGTATTGAGCATCCACCATGGGCAATGCTGTGAACCAAACAGGCAGGCCACAGGGAGAAGCCGACTTATGGAGGCAAAAAAAAAATCAGAGAAGGCCTGGCTGAGCAAGTGACATTTAAGCGGACTTGAGGAAGAGGAAGTGGGCCGGGCGTGGGGGCTCACGTCTGTAATCCCACCACTTTGGGAGGCCGAGGCGGGTGGATCACGAGGTCAGGAGTTCAAGACCAGCCTGGCCAAGATGGTGAAACCCTGTCTCTACTAAAAATACAAAAATTAGCCGGGCGTGGTGGCAGGCGCGTGTAATCCCAGCTACTCGGGAGGGTGAGGCAGAGAATTGCTTGAACCCGGGAGGCAGAGGTTGCAGTGAGCCGAGATCCAGCCACTGCACTCCACCCTGGACGACAGGGTGAGACTCCGTCTCAAAAACAAAAGAGGAGGTGAGCAGCCCCAACTTGGGCCAGAAGCCTAGACTGCTGCTGGGAGGTCCCTGATCCACCAGAGCGGAGCCTCCTGACCCATCCTCACGAAGTCCTTGCCATCTCCCTTCACCACCATCTTTCCCCAAACACTTCCAGCCCAGCTCCCAACCCCACCCCCTGCCTGACCCACACCCAGTTCTCAGCTTCCCAGCATCCCAGTCTCTCTGTCCTGGATATCGTGTGATGTCCCCGTTGCACAGGGGGGAAAGCCGAGACCCCAGAGGGAGAGCAGCCCCTATGGCCAGAAGCCCTCGGATCCGGACGTCGGGGGCTCTAAACTGAGTAAATACATAGGAAACTTCTCCGCTAGGTTTTGCAGGATGTTAAGAACAGGTCCCACCTTGCCTAGGGCTGGGGACTGCCTCGCAGGACCTTAACCCTAGCAACCCACCTCCGTCCCCATGGCAACCGGGGCGGGGCCCGACCCGGATCCGCCGGTCGCCCCATCCGGCAGCGGCTGGGAGTCTTGCCTTCAGAGAGGGAGGAGGAGTCCGCGCCTCTCCTACTGGCCCTTTAAGAGGCTCCGCCCGGCAAGTCCGCCACTCGCTCCCGATTGGTCCCGAGCGCGGCCGAGCGCAGCCGAACTTGACGCACCGCCCGCAGCCTTCCTTACCAACCTCCCACGCGACTCAGCAACCTCCCCAACCAATCGCCGGCCGGCGCGCCGATCGGTATCTGCATGGGCTCGCCCGGGGGGAAGGTCTCACCCAATGGGACCGTTCGCCGAGGCCTTCATTAGCATGCCGGGGGCGGGGAGGGGCGGGGCGGCCGACGGGGGCGGGCTGCGGGCGGTTGGTTGGAGCGTCGCGCAGTCGGGAGGTCCGGGAAAGTTTCTTTGGAGGTGAAAACAGCCGCGGAACTCCGGGCCCTGAGAGGGGGCGGGGGTGCAGGGGTCCCAGGGCCGGGCCGGGGTCTTTCCTGGCCCGGGGGAAACCGGCCCAGGCCTCCCGGGGGGGGCAATCGCCCAACAAAGGATTCTTGGGGCGCCCGCCCTCGAGGACTTCCCTGCCCCTGGATCCGGCCCCCCCAGCGCTCCGGGCCCGGCATCCCGGGGCTCTCCATCGCGGGGTACCCCAGTTCGCGGTCTGCCATCGGGCAGCCCGGGCGCTACTCACCTCCGCCCGCGTCCGTGTTCCAGGTCCGGCCCGGAGCGGCCATGTCCCACGGCCCCAAGCAGCCCGGCGCGGCCGCCGCGTGAGTGCACTGATCCCCTCCCCACGCCCTCGCTACTTTCCCGGCTGCAGCCCTAGCTCCTGAACCCCTGACCCAGTCCCTCCCGCCGGAGTCTTGACTCCCCCACCTGGGTCAGGGGGCTTCTCCCTCCACCCAATTCTGCACCCCCCACCTCGGCCTCCAGTCCCTCCCAGGAGCCCCGCTTGTCCCACCTTCCCCGGATACTGACCCCATCAGACCCTGCCTCCTCGGGCTCATGCACTCTCGCTGCAGCCCCGCCGTCGGGGGTCAAAACGCCCTGGGGTGGGCTTTTGGGGGAGGGGAGATTCTTGGGACGGGGCTGACCGCGGTATCCTTGGCTCCAGGCCGGCGGGCGGCAAGGCTCCGGGCCAGCATGGGGGCTTCGTGGTGACTGTCAAGCAAGAGCGCGGCGAGGGTCCACGCGCGGGCGAGAAGGGGTCCCACGAGGAGGAGGTGAGAGTCCCTGCGCTGAGCTGGGGGAGGCCCCGGGCTCCCGCCCCAGCCTCGAAGCCCCGCCCCAGGCTGGATTTGAATTGCTTGTGGCTCCGCCCACAGCCCATTTTCCTCTGGAAGCTGAGACCCCGCCCCGTGCCAGCTGCCACGCCCCTGACAGGTCCTCTGCCACTCTAAGTCCAGGCCCCGCCCACCGCACAATGCCAGCTCTGCCCACTCTAAGGTCCCGCCCACTTCCACTCCTTGGGGGCGGCACCCTCCCCTTGGTCCTGTGGGCCCGTTCTCCAGCAGAAAACCACGCCCACCAAGCAGAGGCCACGCCCACAACCGAAGTCAACGCCAACCCTGTACTCAAACCTCGGCCCATAGTTCCTCAGATCCCCTCACCCCTGGCCAGGGATCCCTCTAACCCACCGTGTCCCGACTGCTGACCGGGCCCTACCTCCATCTTTTCCGGGTTCTTCCTCCCAGCTAGGCCCCGCCCCCATCCCCGCCCATACGCGTTAGGCCCCGCCCATGCCCCTCTGAGCCCTGCCCCAGTACGCCAGGCCCCCCTCCCAACGACGCAGCCCGGTTCTGCAGCCGGTGAAGAAACGCGGCTGGCCCAAGGGCAAGAAGCGGAAGAAGATTCTGCCGAATGGGCCCAAGGCACCGGTCACGGGCTACGTGCGCTTCCTGAACGAGCGGCGCGAGCAGATCCGCACGCGCCACCCGGATCTGCCCTTTCCCGAGATCACCAAGATGCTGGGCGCCGAGTGGAGCAAGCTGCAGCCAACGGAAAAGCAGGTGGGCGGGGCGGGGCGCCGAGCAGGGCTGGCGGGGTCCACGGACTACCCCCCAGTAGCCCCGACCCCCAAAGGATTCCACGTGCAGGGTTTTTCCTTCTTCCTGGAGAAATGCCCACCCATAACCAACTTTTTTTTTTTTTTTTTTTGTGAGATGGAGTCTTGCTCTGTTGCCCAGGCTGGAGTGCAGTGGCGTGATCTCAGCTCACTGCAACCTCCGCCTCCCGGCTTCAAGCAATTCTCCTGTCTCAGCCTCTCAGGTAGCTGGGATTACAGGCGCGTGCTACCATGCCCTGCTAATTTTTGTATTTTTAGTAGAAATGGGGTTTCGCCATGTTGGCCAGGCTGGTCTCGAACTCTTGACCTCAAATGATCCGCCCACCTCAGCCTCCCAAAGTATTGATATTAAAGGCGTTAGCCACCGTGGCCAGCCCATGACCAGCTTTTGGGGGCGCGGCTAGCAAGAGGCAAGACAGATTGAAAACTGGATGACCAACAAAGATATGTCTAAGAAGTCAGGATGGGGCCTGGATTTTTTGCGAAACCCGATTTTCATATCCTGTTAGTTTAAAAATTGCAAAAACATCACGGAAATGTAACAAAAGCCATCACTGCTTTGCATCCCTGTAAGTGAGATTTCAAAGAGAGAAACGGGTGCGGGAGGGAGTCCAGGCATCCGCATACGCTGGAGGTTGGGTTCCTGCCCATGACTCTGGCGTCCGGGAGTGGTTTGTCAGGGCTGGAGGTGGGGAAGAGTCCGGGGCATGGGAAGTGAGGTGGGAGCTCGGAGGTCCCTGAGCAACAGGCTGAGGAGCCGGTTCTGTCTGCCTGGAGGGAATAGGGAGCTATAGAAGGTTCAGGAGAGGGGAGGGTGCTGTGAAAGCAGAGTGATAAAGACTGGATCCTGGCGTTGGAGGCTTCCCCTGCTTCAAGCCTTCTGGTGCTGCCCCCCAGCGGTACCTGGATGAGGCCGAGAGAGAGAAGCAGCAGTACATGAAGGAGCTGCGGGCGTACCAGCAGTCTGAAGCCTATAAGATGTGCACGGAGAAGATCCAGGAGAAGAAGATCAAGAAAGGTGGGAGGGGTCGGGCGCGGTGGCTCACGCCTGTCATCCCAGCACTTTGGGAGGCCGAGGCGGGTGTATCACCTGAGGTCAGACCAGCCTGGCCAACATAGTGAAACCCTCCCCCTCTACTAAAAATACAAAAATTACCTGGGCGTGGTGGCGGGTGCCTGTAATCCCAGCTACTCGGGAGGCTGAGGCAGGAGAATTGCTTGAACCCGGGAGGTGGAGGTTGCAGTGAGCCAAGATTGCGCCATTGCACTCTAGCCAGGGCGACAGGGCGAGACTCCGTCTCAAAAAAAAAAAAAAAAGAAAAAGAAAAATGAAAGGTGGGAGGGGCCGGTGCGAGCAGTTGGGGTCCTGCTCTGTGGGGTGCGACCTCAGCCCAGGCAGGGCCTCCCTCCGTGGGGCACAGTCCCGTGGGTTGGGCGGGGGAAAGATACATAGCCAGACAGGAGTGAAGGGGGCTCACTCGGTACAGCGATGGGGGATGCCCAGACGCGGGGCACTCAAGTGGGGAGCTGGAGCCGGCTGAGCAGCGCTGACCTAGGGTGCAGGGCGTGGTCCCTGGAGGCCTGGGAGGCTGACCCTGCCCTTCCCCTCCCCCGCCAGAAGACTCGAGCTCTGGGCTCATGAACACTCTCCTGAATGGACACAAGGTAAGCGACCTTCTTCCTCTCAAAGCACCTGGGGGAGAAAGGTCTGGAGGCTTCTAGAACCCTGAGTCAGAGCCAGTGCTCGCCCAGATGTGTGCAAGCAGGGGCGGTGCCACTGCACCGTGGGATCGCTGTTGATTGTACTCCCACCGGGGTGTCCCAGGAGACCCTCCTAGGCTTGGGGCACACCCAGAGAGCGTGGCTGCCTCCTACCACCAGTAAATTGCCACCTTGTCCCTTCGTCTTAGGGTGGGGACTGCGATGGCTTCTCCACCTTCGATGTTCCCATCTTCACTGAAGAGTTCTTGGACCAAAACAAAGGTGAGCGGTAACTGCGCTCCTGATGCGAACTCCGTGAAACTGGGTGGTAGAGGGGGGCGTGGGCCAGGAGGGCCCCAAGACTGCAGGAGGCGGATCGGGAGGTTCCCTATGAGCGTCCAGGCGCACGCTGTCGCTCCAGAGGCTGATGTGGAGCAGGAGGCAGAGGGCGCAGTGAGGGAAACCTGGGCAGGGGCACGTCCCGGGCAAAAGCCCGGAGGTAGGGGAAAGGGGAGGCGCAGGCTTTGACCCCGCTCCCCCCGGCGCAGCGCGTGAGGCGGAGCTTCGGCGCTTGCGGAAGATGAATGTGGCCTTCGAGGAGCAGAACGCGGTACTGCAGAGGCACACGCAGAGCATGAGCAGCGCGCGCGAGCGTCTGGAGCAGGAGCTGGCGCTGGAGGAGCGGAGGACGCTGGCGCTGCAGCAGCAGCTCCAGGCCGTGCGCCAGGCGCTCACCGCCAGCTTCGCCTCACTGCCGGTGCCGGGTGCGGGCCACGCCCATCTCCCAGTCCCGCCCCGGTCACCCGGCCCCGCCCGCCTCCCCCCCCCTCCTCCCTTCCCCCCTTCCCCTGTCGCCCGGCGCCGCCCATCGCCCCGTCCCCTCTTCCCCAGTCACCCGGCCCCGCCTATCGCCCCGCCCTCATCACCCCCAGCTCCGCCTCCTCCCCGACCCCCGCACCCCTACCCCATAGCTCCGTCTGGTTCTTCCCAGACCACACCCGAGCTCCGCTCCGCGCCCCGTTACTCGGCCGGCTCCCTGACCTCGCCCCCACCGACCGCGCCTCCCGGCCACGACCTCTCCCGACGCGTCCCCGCTTACTCGCTTCCTCCCGCAGCCCCTTTGTGCCCCCACCCTTCGCGCCCCCACCGCTCCCTACCGGCCCCACCGTCGCTGGCCCCTCTCCCTCGCCAGCCCCCGACCAGCCTGAGCACTGACCCAGCCTCCCCGCTCGCCACGCCACGTTCCCATTCACCCCACCTCCCCACGCCCCCGTCACCCATCCCTCCCCACGCCCCGCTGACGCCTGAGCCCCCTCCACCACCCCAGTCACGTCCCACGCGACCCCAGCCCCCCGGTGTCATCCCCACCTCCCCGACCTCGTTCCCTCCGTCCGTGACTGTCCTCAGCGGACCCTGGACGCCCGCCGCTCTAGCCCCGCGTCCCCACCCTGTCCCCGTCCTCGCCATCCTCCTGCCCCGGCTTACCTTAGCCCACCCTGCGCCGCTCCTGCGCTGGCGGTGTCCGGACCTCTGAGCGCCCGCGCGACCCGCCCTGAGTCACCCCCTACCGCTGCCCCTGGAGCCCCCGCCCCGCGACTCCCCGGCACCCTCGCCTGACCTTCCCGCCTGTCCCCCAGGCACGGGCGAAACGCCCACGCTGGGCACTCTGGACTTCTACATGGCCCGGCTTCACGGAGCCATCGAGCGCGACCCCGCCCAGCACGAGAAGCTCATCGTCCGCATCAAGGAAATCCTGGCCCAGGTCGCCAGGTGTGTGCCGGGCGAGGCGGGGCGGGGCCGGGGTTCAAGGCCCGGATGTGCCCGCCCTGGGGTTCCCCAGGTCCGCGAGGGCTGCTGGGTGGGACTCCGCAGCTTACTAGAGATCACCTCCCGGAGGGGCCTACCTGCGGTCGCCCCTGATGCACCAGTGCTAGGATGGCCATGGAGAACCCCGGGCCGGCGGGACCCACTCGGGGGCACCAGAACTTCCCTAAAGCTTCTCAGGGTGGATCCCAGCGCCCGGGTTAGATAGGTTCAACGCCTGTCCCCCAACCCTGGCATCTGTTGGAGCAGCTGATGGGCCATGGTCTCTGGGGTTCCCCAGGGCCGGGGTGGGGGCCAGAGATGATGAGGGCCTCATCCCGGGCCCTCCTCTCTCGTTTCAGCGAGCACCTGTGAGGAGTGGGCGGGCCCACGATGCAGAGGAGAAGCTGTGGGCGCGGCCCTGCCACACCCCACCCCGTGGACGAGAGGCTGGGGGTCCACCCTTTGGGGCCTGGTCCCATCCTGCACCTTGGGGGCTCCAGCCCCCCTAAAATTAAATTTCTGCAGCATCCCTTTAGCTTTCAATCTCCCCAGCCCCCTGAACCCGGAAAAAGCACTCGCTGCGCGATACACCCAGAAGAACCTCACAGCCGAGGGTGCCCCTCCTCGGAGGACAGCCACGCGCTACACTGGCTCTCCGGGCCACCCCCAGGACACAGGGCAGACGAAACCCACCCCCAGCACACGGCAGGACCCCCCAAATTACTCACTACGGGGGGCTGTGCCATAGGCCACACAGGAAGCTGCCTTGTGGGGACTTACCTGGGGTGTCCCCCGCATGCCTGTACCCCAGATGGGTGGGGGCCGGCTTTGCCCATCCTGCTCTCCTCCAGCCGAGGGACCCTGGTGGGGGTGGCTCCTTCTCACTGCTGGATCCGGACTTTTTAAATAAAAACAAGTAAAATTTGTGTTTTAAGCTTGTGAGTGTGTAAGCTTGTTTGGGGTGGTGTGGAGGGTTCAGAAGGTGCAGCCTGGGCCCCCCATGACATTCCCTGCTGGGGGCGCCAGGCCTGCTCTCTTTACCTCTAGCAGAGCCTCAGAGTTTCTCAGATAGGGAGACGGGAGCCCAAACTTGCCGGGGTTCACAGAGCAAGTCAATGGCTGGGCAGGTGTCTCCATCCCTCCCCTACCTAAAGTTGGGCATTGTGGGCTCAGCACACGTGGGGGACTTGAAGCACAGGGGACAGTCACGGCTGCTCAGTTCATCCTTCAACTTGTGTCCGCACGGGGGTTCAAGTCCACTTTGTAGCACAGTGACTTTGGGTGGGCCACGGTTTTGTTTATTGTGTAAAATACGCAACATGAACCTTACCATCATAGCCATTTTGTTTATTTATTGGAGACGCGGTCTCACTCTGCCACCCAGGCTGGAGCGCAGTGGCCCGATCATAGCTCACTGCAGCCTTGAACTCCTGGGCTCAAGCAATCCTCCTGCTTCAGCCTCCCAAACCCTGGGATTACAGGCGTGAGCCACCGCGCCTGGCCATTTTAGCCATTTTAAAATGCACAATTCAGTGGCATTTAGTACATCACAATTTTGTGCAGTCATCACCTTTATCTAATCTCAACGCATTCTCATCACCCCCAGAGGAAGTCCTGTCCTCATCAACAGTCACTCTCATCCCCTCCCCAGCTCCTGGCACCCACAAATCCCCTTCCTGCCTCTGTGGATTGACGTGTCCTGGATATGGGACCACACACTGTGTGGCCTTTTTTTTTTTTTTTTTTTTGAGACAGAGTCTTGCTCCGTCACCCAGGCTGGAGTGCAGTGGCACGATCTCGGCTCAATGCAACCTCCGCCTCCCTGGCTCGAGTGATTCTCCTGCCTCAACCTCCTGAGTAGCTAGGACTACAGGCGTGTACCACCACACTCAGCTAATTTTTTGTATTTTTAGTAGAGATGGGGTTTCACCGTGTTAGCCAGGCTGGTTTCGAACTCCTGACCTAGGTGATCTGCCCGCCTCCGCCTCCCAAAGTGCTGGGATTACAGGTATGAGCCACCGCACCCGGACTATATGTCCTTTTGTATCTGGCTTCTCTCACTGAGTGTGATTGTCCTCCAGATTTATCCACGCTGTGGCCTGTGTCAGAGCCTCATTCCTTTTGGTGGCTGAGTCATTGTCCAGTGTGTGGATGAATCCGCTGTATTGACCCCATCTATCTGTCAAAGGACACTTGGCTATTTCTACCACTTGTGAGTCATGCTGCTGTGAACATTCATGTACATGTTTTTGTTAGAATGCACATTTTCCATTCTTTTGGAGATACAGATTGCTGGGAGTTCTGCATTTGGCTTGTTTTGTGTACGTGTGTGTGTGTGTGTGTGTTGCTTATTGAGAAACCTTTCCAGGGACTTCTGCGTTTAATGGCATACATAAGACATCCTAAAAAATTCGGAGAATAATCTGAACCCCAGAACCTCTGAACGTGACCTTATTTGGAAATAGGGTCACTGCAGATATAATTAGTTAAGATTAAGTCATTACTGGAGTAGCATAGGCCCTAAGTCCAAGATGACTGCTCTCCTTATAAGAAGATAAAATCTGGACACAGACACAGAGAAGAGACAGCCAAGTGACAACAGAGGCCGAGACTGGAGTGATGTATCTAGAAGCCAAGAAACGTTAAGGAAGGCCACCCACAGCCAGAAGCTGTGGATGCCAGGAAGGATTCTTCCCAGGGGCTCCGAGGGCCCTGCCAACACCTTCATTGTGGGATTCTGGCCTCTGGAGCTGTGAGAGGATAAGTTTCTGCTGTGTTATGTCTCCCTGTTTGTGATGCTTTGTTTTTGTTTATTTTTTATTTTTTAGGGGTTGGGGGGGGGTCTCACTATGTTGCCCAGGATGATCTTGAACTCCTGGCTCAAGTGTCCTGCTGCCTGGGCCTCCCAAAGTGCTGGGATTACAGGCGTGAGCCATTGTGCCCGCCCACCTCCATCCCACACTGCTTCTTCTTCTTCTTTTTCTTTTTTTTTTCAGACAGAGTTTCACTCATGTCACCCAGGCCGGAGTGCAATGGCACGATCTCGGCTCACTGCAACCTCCACCATCCAGGTTCAAGCGATTCTCCTGCCCCAGCCTCCTGAGTAGCTGGGATTACAGGCGCCCACCACCATGTCTGGCTAATTTTTTATATTTTAGTAGAGATGTGATTTCACCATGTCAGCCAGGATGGTCTCGAACTCCTGACCTCAGGTGATCCACCTGCCCCAGCCTCCCAAAGGGCTGGGATTACAGGCGTGAGCCACCGTGCCCGACAGCTTTTTTTTTTTTTTTGAGACAGGGTCCCACTATGTTACCTAGGCTGGAGTGCAGTGTCGCAATCATAGCTCACTGCAGCCTCGACCTCCTGGGCTCAGGTGATCCTCCCACCTGGTTCTCGTGAGTAGCTGGGACCACAGGTGCCTGCCATCACTCCTGCCTAATTATTTATTTAATTTATTTATTTATTTATTTTTCTGTGAGACAGAGTCTCGCTCTATTGCCTAGGCTGGAGTGCAATGGCTGGATCTCAGGTCACTGCAACCTCCACCTCCCGGGTTGAAGCGATTCTCCCACGTAGCTGGGATTACAGGCACTCACCATCAAGCCTGGCTAATTTTTGTATTTTGAGTAGAGATGGGGCTTCACCATGTTGCCCAGGCTGATCTCAAACTCCTGACCTCAAGTGATCAACCCACCTCAGCCTCCCAAAGTGCTGGAATTACAGGCATGAGCCACCATACCCAGTCAATTTATTGGTATTTGTGAGATGGGGTCTCACTATGTTGCCCAGACTGGTCTTGAACTACCGGGTTCAAGCGATCCATCTGGGCCAGCCTCTCAAAACGCTAGGATTACAGGCATAAGCCACTGCACCCAGCTGTTTCTTTGTGGTTGAGACAGGATCTTGCTCTGTCACCCAGGCTGAAGTGCAGAGATGCCATCACAGCTCACTGCAGCCTATACCTCCTGGGTTCAAGCAATCTTCCCATCTCAGCTTCCCAAGTAGCTGGGACTACAGGTGTGTGCCACCACACCCCGCTAATTTTGTATTTTTTGTAGAGATGGGGTCTCACCTTATTCCTCAGGCTGGTCTCAAACTCCTGGGCTCAAGTGATCCTCCCGCCTCGGCCTCCCAAAGTGCTGGGATCACAGTCAAGAGCCACCTCACCACACCCAGTTTTTGGTGCTTTGTTACAGCCATCATGGGCGAGTCAGACAACCTGATACTGCCAACCCCCCTCACTCCCCACCCCAGTTTCACCCTGTCCTGGCACAGGTACCACCACCTTAAATTTAGAGTTTCTCATTTCTAGGCAGGCCTGGAAAATAGCATTTTGCAGCAGTTTTTTATTAAAAAAAATTTCAGTATACAATTCAGTAGGTTTTGGTACATTCAAAAAGCTGTGTGGGCTGGGCACAGTGGCTCACGCCTGTAATTCCAGCAGTTTGGGAGACCGAGGCAGGCAGATCACTTGAGACCAAGAGTTCCAGACCAGCCTGGCCAACATAGTGAAACCCGGTCTCTACTAAAAATACAAAAATAGCCAGGGATGGTGGTGCATGCCTGTAATTCCAGCTACTTGGGAGACTGAGGCAGGTGAATCCCTCTCTCTCTCTCTTTTTTTTTTTTTGAGGCGGAGTCACGCTCTTGTCTGTCCCAGGCTGGAGTGCAGTGGCGCGATCTTGGCTCACTGCAACCTCCGCCTCCCGGGTTCAAGTGATTCTCCTGTCTCAGCCTTCCAAGTAGCTGGGATTACAGGCACATGACACCATACTCAGCTAATTTAATTTTTGTATTTTTAGTAGAGATGGGGTTTCATCATGTTGGCCAGGATGGTCTTGATCTCTTGACCTTGTGATCTGCCTTCCTTGGCCTCCCCAAGTGCTGGGATTACAGGGGTGAGCCACCAGACCTGGCCTTTTTTTTTTTTTTTTTTTTTTGAGACAGTCTCACTCTGTTGTCCAGGCTGGAGTGCAGTGGCATGATCTTGGCTCACTGCAACCTCCGCCTCCCAGGTTGGAGCAATTCTGCCTCAGCCTCCCGAGTAACTGGGACTACAGGTGTGCGCCACCACACCTGGCTAATTTTTGTGTTTTTAGTAGAGATGGGGTTTCACTGCGTTGTCCAGGCTGGTCTCGAACTCCTGACCTCAAGCAATCCGCCTGCCTCAGCCTCCCAAAGTGCTGGATTACAGGCATGAGCCACCGTGCCCGGCCTTACATAAAATTTCTTACCTCGTCCAAACCCTCCTGCCACTTTCTTTTCTCTCCCCATGTTCAGTTTGTGAGGCTCCTCCTGGGCGGAGGCTGTGACTGGCTCTGCTGTAGGGCCCGCCACTGCAGGCAGGATGGCTGTTTATTGAGCCGACATTCCTGGGTAGGAATCTGATGGATACGTAGGTGTTTCTGACATTGCACTCCAGCGGATTTTTACCAACGCCTCCTGGTGCCTGGGGTCTCCTCCTTCATCTGTGACCTGGACATCCGTTCATTCCTCACCAAAGATCACTGGGCACCTGCTGTATGCCAGGCACTGTGCCCTGGACACTGGGCATGGGGACAGAGCAGGGGAACAGCCCCCACCCTCCTGGAGCTGACATTCCTCCAGTCCTGGGGACAAACAGGACAAAAGATGAAATGAAATATCAGCAGGGGGCTGGGGCTCAAGCCTGTAATCCCAACATTTTGGGAGGCTGAGGCGGGAGGATTCCTTGAGGTCAGGAGTTCGAGACCATCCTGGCCAACATGGTGAAACCCCCGTCTCTACTAAAAATACAAAAAAAATTAGCTGGGCATGGTGGCAGGTGCCTGTAATCCCAACTAATCAGGAGGCTGAGGCAGAAGAATCGCTTGAACCCGGGAGGCAGAGGTTGCAGTGAGCCGAGATCGTGCCACTGCACTCCAGCCTTGGCAAGAGAGAGAGACTCCGTCTCAAAAAATAAAATAAAATAAAATATCTGATATGTCAGATGGTAGCTTTAAATGCTGAAGAGAAGCTGGGCACAGTGGCTCACATCTGTAATCCTAGCACTTTGGGAGGCCAAGGCTGAAGGATGGCCTGAACCTCCTGGTCTTGAGTTTGAGACCAGCCTGGGCAACACAGTGAGATCCCAACTGTACAAAAAATTAATCATGTTTCTAAATTAAATTTTAAAAAACTGAATGCGGCCGGGTGCGGTGGTTCACGCCTGTAATCCCAGCACTTTGGGAGGCCAAGGCAGGTGGATCACCTGAGGTCAGGGGTTCGAGACAAGCCTGACCAACATGGTGAAACCCTGTCTCTACTAAAAAATACAAAAATTAGCCAGGCATGGTGGTGTGCGCCTATAATCCCAGCTACTAGGGGGGCTGAGGCAGGAGAATCGCTTGAACCCAGGAGGTGGAGGTTGCAGTGAGCCGAGATCACGCCATTGCACTCCAGCCTGGGCGACAGAGCTAGACTCCGTCTCCAAAATCAAACAAACAAACCAAAGGCTGGGCGTGGTGGCTCATGCCTGTAATCCCAGCTTTTTTGGAGGCTAAGGTGGGTGGATTCCTGAGGTCAGGAGTTCAAGACCATCCTGGCCAACATGGTGAAACCTCATCTCTATTAAAAATACAAAAAAATTAGCCGGGCATGGTGGTATATGCCTGTAATCCCAGCTACTGGGGAGGCCGAGGCATGAGAATTGCTTGAACCTGGTGGGCAGAGGTTGCAGTGAGCTGAGATCGTGCCACTGAACTCCAAACTGGGTGACAGAGCGAGACTCCAGCTCAAAATAAATAAATAAATAAAAATAATAAAATAAAATAAAACAATGACCTCGCCTAGCAGAGGGTGAGTGCTCCAGCACCCTCAGCTGTCCCTGTCCTTTTTTTTTTTTTTTTTTTTTTTTTTGCGACGGAGTCTCGCTTTGTTGCCCAGGCTGGAGTGTAATGGCGCCATCTCAGCTCACTGCCACCTCCGCCTCCCGGGTTCAAGAGATCTCAGCCTCCCGAGTAGCTGGGATTACAGGCGCCCGCCACCACGTCCGGCTGATTTTTGTATTTTTGGTAGAGACGGGGTTTCACCATGTTGGCCAGGCTAGTCTTGAACTCCTGACCTCAGGTCATCTGCCCGCTTCGGCCTCCCAAAGTGCTGGAATTACAGACGTGAGCCACCGCTCCAGGCCTGTCCCTGTCCTTATTTGTGGTCCCTGTTCTTCCAGGGTCCTGAGCTCAGGCCCCCCCGGACTGCGGGTATCCCCGGGGAGGGCACAGCTGGCCCTGGCAGGGCCCGGACACCTGGGGCCCGACCCACCCCTGCGCACCCCGCGGTGTCGCCTTCCCGGGAGGCTCGGGTTCCCAGATCCCCTTACCCGGGCGTCTCGGCTGTCGCGCCCTGGGCCGGGGGAGGGGAGGCTGCAGGAAGCGGCGGATCCGGCGGCGGCGGCGAGGGCCCGGGTGGGTGGCCGAACTTCTCCCGCCATGGAGGGAGCAGCGGCCCGGGAGGCCCGGGGGACCGAGACCCCGCGCGCGTCTGCGCCCCCGCCCGCGCCCTCGGAGCCCCCGGCCGCGCCCCGCGCCCGCCCGCGCCTCGTCTTCCGCACGCAGCTGGCGCACGGGAGCCCCACGGGCAAGATCGAGGGCTTCACCAACGTCCGCGAGCTGTACGCCAAGATCGCCGAAGCCTTCGGGATCGCGCCCACCGAGGTAAGGAGCCCGGACACCGGCGCCCAAGACCACCCGCCTGATGGGGTGAGGGGTAGGGAGCTTGGACCCTGGACGGGAGACCCCAGATCCCCGGATCCCAGACGTCGGGGTGGCCGCCTAATCGCCGGATCTCAGAGACCCAGCCCTCAGATCCCGGGGTGCCACACTCCCAGGGGCCCCCTTTGCACGCTCTGCGCAAAAGATGGGCAGGTCTTAGGACTAGCGGACCCCTAGATATTCCAGAAAATCCTCTGCGCAGACCTAGCTTGGAGCGGACCCCAGCCCTCGGGGAAGCGCCTCTGTGCTTCCTGGGCGTAGCTGGGGTCTGGGGTTCCAGATGGCCCCCTTAGGGATGGGAAGTTTGAGGCCGCCGTGGGGTTGGGGGGTTCCTGGGCGTTTTTCCAATCCGGGTTCGTTTGGTTTGCAGCCCCCAGGGGGCGCCAGCAGATTAAACCTGGAGGTCTGGGGGCTGGAGGTCCCGGGGTATGGAGAGGGGTCTCCACCTGCTGGAAGTCTCCTTCTCCCTCCTCTCTCTGTTCTGGGGGTCCCACGCCCTGCCCTTTCCCATGGGCTGGGATCCTGGTCGCTGGGGGCAGGGGCCTGCGCAGACAGGGTGGCTGCGTGGGGGGATGCATGCCCTGGCTAACTCTAGGCTCCTTCTCCCCCGGGAAGATTTTATTCTGCACCCTCAACAGCCACAAAGTGGACATGCAGAAGCTCCTGGGGGGTCAGATAGGCCTGGAGGACTTCATCTTTGCCCACGTGCGAGGCGAGACCAAGGAGGTGGAGGTCACTAAGACAGAGGATGCTCTGGGGCTGACCATCACGGACAACGGGGCTGGCTACGCCTTCATCAAGGTGCCCGGGAGGGGGTGGGCGGGTGGCTTCCTGGGGTCCAGCAACTGCCCCCCCCACTCTGGGTCGACGTGGGTTCTGCGGATTGGAGGCGGGTGGCTGGGGTTGCCCTGCCAGCGACGCTGGATCCCTGCAGAGAATCAAGGAAGGCAGTATCATCAACCGGATCGAGGCAGTGTGCGTGGGTGACAGCATCGAAGCCATCAACGACCACTCCATTGTGGGCTGCCGCCACTACGAGGTGGCCAAGATGCTCCGGGAGCTGCCCAAGTCCCAGCCCTTCACCCTGCGCCTGGTGCAGCCCAAGAGGGCCTTCGGTGAGGCGGGTGGGCTGGCGGGAGCTCTTCCCGAAGTGCGTTCTACGGATGCCTGGGGTGGAGGAGGGTCGGGGATGGGACGGGCTGGAAGGTTCTAGGTGCACCCGCTGCGTGCCAAGGAGCTCCTGGCAGGGTATCAGAAACTCGTAGGTAGTTTCTATTAATAGATTGTTATGGAGTCAGCCTGTGGGGGAGGGGTGGGGGAGAGACTGGGTAAAGTGGAGTTGGAGGAGGACGCGTCCAGAACCACTTTGGAGCCAGGCTGGGAGACTTGTTTTTGTTTGTTTGTTTGTTTGTTTGTTTTTGAGACGGAGTCTCACTCTGTTGCCTGGGCTGGAGTGCAATGGCGCGATCTCAGCTCACTGCAATCTCCACCTCCCGGGTTCAAGCGATTCTCCTGCCTCAGCCTCCCGAGTAGCTGGGACTACAGGCACCCACCATTGCGCCTGGCTAATTTTTGTATTTTTAGTAGAGACGGGGTTTCACCATCTTGACCAGTCTGGTCTCGAACTTCTGACCTCAAGTGCTCCACCCGCCTCAGTCTCCCAAAATGCTAGGATTATAGGCGTGAGCCACCGCGCGCAGCCTGGGAACTTTTAAAGCAGTGCTTTGAGGTCATGGTGGATTGTAGAGAATGAGAATATGAGAAAAAAGTTTTCTTTCTTTTCTTTTTTTTTTCCTTTCTTTTTTCTTTTCTTTTCTTTTTTTTTTTTTGAGACGGAGTCTAGCTCTGTCGCCCAGACTGCAGTGCAGTGGCTAGATTTCAGCTCACTGCAAGCTCCGCCTCCCGGGTTCACACCATTCTCCTGCCTCAGCCTCCCGAGTAGCTGGGACTACAGGCGCCCGCCACCACACCCGGCTAATTTTTTGTATTTTAGTAGAGATGAGGTTTTACCGTGTTAGCCAGGACGGTCTCGATCTCCTGACCTCGTGATCCGCCCACCTCGGCCTCCCAAAGTGCTGCGATTACAGGTGTGAGCCACCGCGCCTGGCCGTGCCAGCTAATTTTTAATTTTTTTCTTTTTTTGAGACGGAGTTTTGCTCTTGTTGCCCAGGCTGGAGTGCAATGGTGTGATCTCGGCTCACCACAACCTCTGCCTCCCAGGTTCAAGTGATTCTCCTGCCTCAGCCTCCCAACTAGCTGGGATTACAGGCATGTGCCACCATGCCTGGCTAATTTTGTATTTTTAGTAGAGATGGGGTTTCTCCATGTTGGCAGGCTGGTCTCGAACTCCCGACCTCAGGTGATCTGCCCGCCTCGGCCTCCGAAAGTGCTGGAATTACAGGCATGAGCCACTGCACCCTGCCCATTTTTTTTCATAACTAGACTTTCTCAATGAAGAAAACAGTGTATTGATTTACACACTAGCACATTCTCCTCATGTAGCCATGGGTTGGCCCTTTGGATAGCGTTGTTCTATAGAACAGAGACAGAGATTCTAGAAGTGCCCCAGCACACATGGAGAGACGTCCCAGGGAGAGTGAGCTGTATGGGGTTCTAGAATCTGCCCTGCCGTGGCTGTGAACTCCAAAAGCCATGCCTAAAAATAGAGTTTAGGCCGGGCGTGGTGGCTCACACCTGTAATCCCAGCACTTTGAGAGGCCAAGGCAGGTGGATCACCTGAGGTCAGGTGATCCATCGTATCAAAAAAAAAAAAAAAAAAACCTGGCTGGGTGCAGTGGCTCAAGCCTGTAATCCCAGTACTTTGGAAGGCCAAGGCGGGTGCATCACGAGGTCAGGAGTTCGAGACCAGCCTGGCCAATATGGTGAAACCCTGTCTCTACTAAAAATACAAAAAATTAGCTGGGCATGGTGGCAGGTGCCTGTAATCCCAGCTACTCGAGAGGCTGAGGCAGGAGAATCGCTTGAACCTGGGAGGTGGAGGCTGCAGTAAGCCGAGATCGTGCCATTGCACTCTAGCCTGGGTGACAGAGCAAGACAACATCTCAAAAAAAAAAAAAAAAATCAAGCTTAGTCTGAGACTAAACCCAGCTCTAGAGCCCAGGCCAGCTCTCAGACCAAGCCCTGCTCTTAAGCCCAGGCCAGCTCTGAGACTAAGTGTGTTTCTAGCACCTCAGTCCTGACACTAAGCCGGGTTCTGGAACCCAGACAAGAACATATCTAGATTGAGGATCCTACCACAAGGAGGGTCCCAAGCAGTCCCTTCTAGAGAAAGTCGCTAGAAGAGGGAGAGTGAGGGCATGGAACTGGGATGTTAGTTCTAAACCTGCTCCATTACAACACCTCATTCTGGACTTGTGATTTAGTTTGCTGGGGATGCGAAGTGTGGAATCTCGAATAGGTCTCTGGAGACTTGCCGTACAGATGTAAGGAGGACTTTGAAGGGGAGGAAGATTCTAGAAAGGCTCGGCTGTTGGCCTCCCAGGGTTTACAAAGATGTGGCTCCACCCAGAACCCATGGCCATCCCTCACTCTGTTCCCTCCAGATATGATTGGCCAGAGAAGTCGGTCCAGCAAATGTCCAGTAGAGGCGAAAGTGACCAGCGGGAGGGAGACCCTGCGGCTTCGTTCTGGGGGGGCTGCCACAGTGGAGGAAGCGGTGAGTGAAGGGGAGGGGCTCTCCCCAGGCTTCTGCACCTTCAGCTCCTCCACTGAGTCAGTGCGGTCTTGGGTAAGAACTTCTCCTCGGAGCCTCAGTTTCTCTGCCTGCAAAATGGGTCCTCATTGAAAAGTGGGGCAATGATGTTGGTACCAGCACTACTGACTCGTGTGAGGGTCCAGTCTACTCTTCCCTTAGGGGTGGGGGTCGGGAGGGGGCTGGGCTGGAGGGCTCCAAAGCTTTTCACCCCTGACTTCCCTCCCGTGTGCCCCCAGCCCAGTGAGTTTGAGGAGGAGGCATCTCGGAAGGTTGATGACCTGCTGGAAAGCTACATGGGCATTCGGGACCCCGAGCTGGGTAAGGGGCCAGGGTAAGCCAGGGGGCCCTGGGGGGAGGGAAGCCTACGGGAGGAGGCAGGGGTCCCAGCGGGAAGTTGGGCGCGGGGAGTGCCCTCACTGACATCCCCTCTGGCACGGCCCGCAGCGTCCACCATGGTGGAGACGTCCAAGAAGACAGCGAGCGCCCAGGAGTTTGCACGCTGTTTAGACTCCGTCTTGGGCGAGTTCGCCTTCCCCGACGAGTTTGTGGTGGAAGTGTGGGCCGCCATCGGCGAGGCCAGAGAGGCCTGTGGCTAGTTTGCCCTGGGGGGGCCCAGCACAGCCCCAGCCCGGAGCCCAGCCCCCTGCCCCGGCCCTGCTCCAGAACCCAGCCCAGATCGGAGGACAAGTTCCTCTCTAGAACCCAATCCAATTTGGAGCCCCAGCCCAACTCCAGAACCCAACCCTTCTCTAGAATCCAGCCCAGATCTGAGGCCAAGCTATGTGCTAGAGCCCAGGCCAGCTCTGAGACCAAGCCCAGCATTGAGAATAAGCTCTGTTCTAAAACTCAGGCCAGCCCTGAGACCAAGCCCAGCTCTAGAACTCAGATGAGCTTTGAGACCATGCCCAGCACTGAGACCAAGCCCTGTTCTAGAACTCAGGCCTGCTCTGAGGCCAAGCCCAGCTCTAGAACCCAGATGAGCTCTGAGACCATGCCCAGCTCTAGAACTCAGATGGGCTCTGAGACCATGCCCAGCTCTAGAACTCAGATGGGCTCTGAGACCGAGCCCAGCTCTAGAACTCAGATGGGCTCTGAGACCGAGCCCAGCTCTAAAACTCAGATGGGCTCTGAGACCATGCCCAGCTCTAGAACTCAGATGGGCTCTGAGACCGAGCCCAGCTCTAGAACTCAGATGGGCTCTGAGACCGAGCCCAGCTCTAGAACTCAGATGGGCTCTGAGACCATGCCCAGCTCTAGAACTCAGATGGGCTCCGAGACCAAGCCCAGCTCTAGAACCCAGATGAGCTCTGAGACCATGCCCAGCTCTAGAACTCAGATGAGCTCTGAGACAGAGCCCAGTATTGAGACCAAGCCCTGTTCTAGAGTCCAGGCCAGCTCCGAGACCAAGCCCAGCTCTAGAACCCAGATAAGCTCTGAAACCAAGCCCAGCATAGAGACCAAGCCGTGTTCTAGAATTCAGGCCACATCTGAAGCCAAGCCCAGCTCTAGAACTCAGGTCAGCCCTGAGACCAAGCCCAGCTCTAGAACCCAGATAAGCTCTGAAACCAATCCCAGCATTGAGACCAAGCCCTGTTCTAGAACTCAGGCCACCTCTGAGGCCAAACCCAGCTCTAGAACCCAGATAAGATCTGAGACCAAGCCCTGCTCTGAAGCCCAGGCCAGCTCTGAGACGAAGCACATCTCTAGAATCCAGCTGAGCCCTGACAACAAGCCAAACTCTGGAACCCAGACACATTTTAAGACCCAGACCAGCTTGGAGACCAATCCCAGTTCCAGAATCCAGGCTAGCTCGGAGACCAAGCCCTGCTGGAAAACTCAAGCTGACTCTGGAACTCTGGACAGCTCCACGATGCAGCCACACCTGGACACTCGGTCTAGCTCCGGAACCCCAGTTAATTTTGGAACCCATGTGAGATTCATGAAGCAGCCCAGCTCTGGAACCCCAGTCAGCTCAGGATTCAGAGACAGCTCCCAAATCAAATCCTATTCAAGAACTCAGACCAGCTCAGAAACCCAGGTCCACACGGCTGCCCAGTCCAGATCCCAACCCCAGTTGCATCCAAGTGCCCATCCCCATCCTGCAGCCCAGTCCAGCTCCAGTGATGATTCCAGCTCTGAGACTGAGCCCAGCTCTAGAACCTCGCCTAGTGCTACAACCAGGCCCAACTCCAGGATTCAGACCAGCTCTGGAACCCCATCCATCTTGGAAGCAAGACCCAGCTCCAGCACACAGCTTGGTGCCAAGCCCCACTCTCCTTGCACAATGCAGCTCAGCTCTAGAATGCAGTTTACTTCCAGGACCCAGACCAATTTCAAGGCCTGGCCAAGCTCCAGAGCTCAATCCAGCCCAAGCACCGCACCCAGCTCTGGAACTCAGCTCAGTTCTGGAGCACAGGCTGGTTCTGAAATCCCAGCCAGCTCCAAAACACAGACAGCAGCTGAGACCCAGCCAAGTTCCAGAATCCAGCTAAGCTCTGGAGTCCAATCTAGTCCTGGGACCCAGGCCATCGCAGCAATAGAATTAAGCTCCACAGCCCTGTCTAGTTCCGACAGCAGGTCCAGCTCCAGGACCCAGCGCTGCCCAGGAGCTCGACCAGCCTCTGGGACTCAATTCGCCTCTAAAACCCTGCCAGGTTCTAGATACCAGCTCCAGACCACAGCCCCAGACAGCTCTGGTATTCAACTGGACTTTGGGAAGCAGAGCAGTTCTGAAAGTCAGCTTAGCTTTGGAACTCAGCCCAGCTCTGGGACCCAGATAAGCTCAAGAATTCAAGCCAGCTCTGGAAGTCAGCTTAGTTCGGGAACCCAGCTGATTTCCGGAGCCCAACCCAGCTCCAGAACTCAGACTAGTTCTGGAAACCAGCTCAGCTCCGGGACCCAGACCACTGCAAGAATTCAGCTCAGCCCTGGAGCTCATCTTAGCTCCAGAACCCAGTCCAGTCCTGAGACCAGGCTCAGCTCTGAGGCTCAGTCCAGCTCTGGAACCCAGTTCAGTTCTGGGATTCAGTTTGGCTCTGAAACCCAGACCGGCTCAAGAATTCAGCCCGACTCTGGAGCCCAACTTAGTTCCAGAACCCAGTCCAGCTCTGAGACCGGGCTCAGCTCTGAAACCCAGACCGGCTCAAGAATTCAGCCCAGCCCTGGAGCCCACCTTAGTTCTGGAACCCAGCCTGTTTCTGGAACCCAATCCAGTTCCAGAACTCACACCAGTTCAAGAATCTGGCTGAGCCCTGGAAATGGAATCTGCCCACAGACCCCTGGCCTTGACCCTAGAATCCAGCTTGAGGCCCCTGCCCCAGCCCAACCTCAGCCCCCAGGCCCATCCCCCAGAGACCCCACCCCAGCCCCTAGCAAAGACCCCCAGCCTCTGCCTCAGCCCCATGATCAGGTATGTGGCATCCAGGCCAGCCTTGGCCCCATCCCAGGCTTACCCCAAGCCTCCTACCTGGCCCCACAGTCACAGGTCTCCTCAACCCCCCAGAAGCCAGCCGTCTCTCCCAAGCCCCGGGTGGGACCCCAGAAGTCCACCCCACCCACCATATCTGTCACTCCTAGTCCTGCCCCTAGGGCAGCCCTCCTGAGTTCCCAGCTGTCTGAGTCCCCAGCTTTGGCGCCAGCCCTTTGCCCCACTCTGGGGGAGCCAGGAGCCCGCCCTTACCGCGGGGGGCCGTAGCTTGGCTGTGACTTAGCCCTGGTTCATGTGGTTCTCGTCCTCTCCTGTCCCTTCCAGCCTGGGGCCCCCAGAAGCAGCAAGTGACCTTATTTCTCCAGCAGGCGGTGGTAGGGAGTGTGCGGTGGTGAAAACAGGGGCTTCACCGGTCCTGGCTCAGATCCAGGTCCTTGGAGGGAAAAGGAGGGCAGGAGACGGGTTGCACCGCATGTACCCTGAGGGCTCATGGTGAATAAAGGCACCTTCCATCTCTGCAGCCTGGTGTGTCATTTTGGGGGAAGTTTGGGGGAATGCAGAGATGTGGGGCTGGGGGGCTGGCTGAAACTGTGGCAACACTGAATACCTCTTGAGCACCTACTGTGTACCAGGCACTTCATTAAGCACCGCACAGGCATGAGCTTACGTGCCTGCAGGCGACAGGTGCTCCACGAAGACCCAGCCACTGGTCCTTTCTACCAATATTTATTGAGCACGTACTATGTGCAAGGTGCTGTACAGAACACTGTGGTGTTTGAAAGGTTGCTGGGTGAACAAGTGAACAGTGGAGGAAACGGGCATCACTCCACGCTTTTGCATCTCTCTCTCTCTTTCTCTGTTTTATTTATTTACTTATTTACAGATGGAGTCTTACTCTGTCGCCCAGGCTGGAGTGCAGTGGCATGATCTCGGCTCACTGCAACCTCTGCCTCCTGGGTTCAACCAATTCTCCTGCCTCAGCCTTCTGAGTAGCTGGCATTACAGGCGCCCGCCACCATGCCTGGCTAATTTTTTGTTTGTTTGTTTGTTTGTTTGTTTGTTTTTTGAGACAGAGTTTTGCTCTTGTTGCCCAGGCTGGAGTGCAATGACGTGATCTCGGCTCACTGCAACCTCCACCTCCCGGGTTCAAGCTATTCTCTTGCTTCAGCCTCCCGCGTAGCTGGGATTACAGACATGCGCCACCACGCCCGGCTAATTTTTTTGTGTATTTTTAGTAGAGACGGGGTTTCTCCATGTTGGTCAGGCTGGTCTCTAACTCCCGACCTCAGGTGATCTGCCCGTCTCGACCTCCCAAAGTGCTGAGACTACAGGCGTGAGCCACCGCGCCCTGCAATTTTTGTATTTTTAGTAGAGACAGGGGTTCACCATGTTGGCCAGGCTGGTCTCGAACTTCTGGCCTCAAGTGACCCTCCCGCTTCGGCCTCCCAAAATGCTGGGATTACAGGCATGAACAATCGCGCCCGGCCCATTTATATCTACTTTTAATGACACACAGATTCAAAGGTGGTTTGATTGCAGGTTCCAGGGCTAACCTGTAGCCCTCCCATTACAGGCTGCTGGAAGAATTCTAGGTGGTACCACCCATCAAGTGATTAGGAAACACTCAAGAAACAAGGTGGGGGAGGAACCGAATCCTCTATGTCCCTCCCCATCCTTCCCAGCCCTGCCCTCGTCTGCTCCGGGTGAGGCCCAATGCACAAACTCCAGAGATTGAAAACTTCTGGACCCAAAGGAAAATAAAACCAAAGGCAGAGATATATTTTGGCAAGAAAAGGGGGTGCCCCCGTTCACATTCAATCCTTTCTGGACAGAGCCTTCCCTGTTGGAGGTTCAAAAGGAAGCAACTGTACCCCAGCAAGTAGGTCAAATTCAGGGTCAAAGAGCATGCAAGGCCGGGCGCAGTGGCTTACGCCTGTAATCCCAGCTGCTCGGGAGGCTGAGGCACGAGAATCGCTTGAACCCGGGAGGCGGAGGTTGCAGTGAGCCGAGATCGTGCCACTGTACTCCAGGCTGGGCCACAGAGTGAGACTCCGTCTAAAAAAAAAAAAAAAAATGGCCAGGTGTGGTGGTTCATGCCTGTGATCCCAGCACTTTGGGAGGCTGAGGCTGGTGAATCACCTGAGGTCAGGAGTTCAAGACCAGCCTGGCCAACACGGTGAAACCCCGTCTCTACTAAAAATACAAAAATTAGCCGGGCGTGGTGGCGCGCGCCTATAGTCCCAGCTACTCAGGAGGCTGAGGCAGGAGAATCGCTTGAACCCGGGAGGTGGAGGTTGCAGTGAGCTGAGATTGCGCCACTGCACTCCAGCCTGGGGGACAGAGCAAGACTCCGTCTAAAAAAAAAAATAGCAATGCAAGACCCTCTTCCAATGTCTGCATGCCCTTCCTGGGGTTGGGAGGGACGCAGAGAAGGGGTGGGAGCTCTGGATGGGAAAAAGGGGCCGAGGAAGGGAGAGTGCTTGGTAAAAGGATCAGGGAGGAGTTGGGGGTCCCCGGGTTGGATTGGGGTCAACCCAAAACCCTGCTGCTGATGCCCACTGTCCATCCAGCACCCCCAGCCCCTGAATCCTCAGAACAGGCAGATGGGCTGTCCGAGGGGCCAAGGGCTCCGCGGAAAGGCGCGGGAGGGGCGCTCTGTCCACTTCCTACTGCAGCCCGGAGCGCTGCGTGAGCTGGGGCTGGAGGGACAGCGACCTGGGCCGGGTGCTGAGGCGAGGCTGGAGACGCCGGAGCACGGCGCGGCGGAACAGGATATACACCCAGGGGTCCAGGATCTGGTTCCAGGTGGCCACGCGCAAGTAGATGAGCAGCTCCTTCTCCGTGGTGCGGGACAGCTGCCCGGCGGGGCTCATGGCAGGCGGGTTTCGCAGCACTGTCTGGGCGATGAAGACCTGCAAAGGGGAGAGCTGTCAGCCTGGGCCCCCGCCTCCAGCCCCGCCCGCCCCGGTCCCTGCCCGGGGTCCCTTGAGATCCAGGGTCCACTCCGTTTTTTAATTTTATTTTTGAGACAGGGTCTCACTCTGTCGTCCAGGCTGGAGTGCAGTGGTGCGATCTCAGCTCATTGCAACCTCTGCCTCCCGGGTTCAAGCAATTCTCCTCCCTCAGCCTTCCAAGTAGCTGGGATTACAGGTGGCTGCCACCACACCTGGCTAATTTTTGTATTTTTCGTAGAGATGGGGGTTTCACCATGTTGGCCAGGCTGGTCTCGAACTCCTGACCTCAGGTGATCCACCAGCCTCAGCCTCCCAGAGTGCTGGAATTACAGGAGTGAGCCACTGCGCCCGGCCAGTGTCCACTCTGTTACTGCATTGCTGGGTGACCTCAGGAGAGTTGACTAACCGCTCTGAGCTCCTTTTGATGGGTTCATAAATTAGCGCACTCTTAGCCAGGCAGTGGCTCACGCCTGTGATCTCAGCACTTTGGGAGGTAAATAGGAGAGAATCACTTGAGCCCAGGAGTTCAAGACCAGCCTGGGGAACATAGTGAGACCTCATGTCTACAAAAAGTTAAAATAAATAGAAAAGTTACCCAGGCATGGTTGCACTCCAGCCTGGGTGACAGAGCAAGATCCTGTCTCAAAATAAATAAATAAATACCTTTTTTTTTTTTTTGAGACGGAGTCTCCGCCTCCTGGGTTTACGCCATTCTCCTGCCTCAGCCTCCCGAGTAGCTGGGACTACAGGCGCCCACCACCACATCCGGCTAATTTTTTGTATTTTTAGTAGAGACAGGGTTTCACTGTGTCAGCCAGGATGGTCTCGATCTCCTGACCTTGTGATCTGCCCTCCTCGGCCTCCCAAAGTGCTGGGATTACAGGTGTGAGCCACCACACCTGGCCATAAATAAAATATTTAAATAATAAAAATTATATTTATCTATAGGTCAGGATTGATGGGAAATTTTTTTTTTTTTTTGAGACGGAGTTTCACTCTTGTTGCCCAGGCTGGAGTGAAATGGCAGGTTCTCGGCTTACCACAACCTCCGCCTCCTGGGTTCAAGCGATTCTCCTGCCTCAGCCTCCCGAGTAGCTGGGATTACAGGCATGCACCACCACATCTGGCTGATTTTTTTGTATTTTTAGTAGAGACGGGGTTTCTCCATGTTGGTCAGGCTAGCCTTGAACTCCCGACCTGAGGTGATCCACCCGCCTTAGCTTCCCAAAGTGCTGGGATTACAGGCATGAGCCACCGCGCCTGGCAGGAAATTTTTAAACTATATTTAAAAATATTTAAAATAAGAATGTTATCTACAAATTAGTATATAATATATAATAATCAATTATATGATAATTATTCATAATTATAATGTGGCCTATAATTGATATATATCATATATCATACAATTATATTATAATTAAATGTTACATTATATTAAAATACTTTGTTTGAGATCAGCCTGACCAACATGGTCAAACACCATCTCTACTAAAACATACAAAATTAGCCGGGTGTGGTGGTGCACACCTGTAGTCCCAGCTACTCCGGAGGCTGAAGTGGGAGGATCCCTTGAACCCAGGAGGCAGAGGTTGCAGTGAGCTAAAATTGTGCCACTGCACTCCAGCCTGGGTGACACATCGAAACTCCATCTTAAAATAAAATAAAATAATTTGGCCGGGTGCGGTGGCTCACACCTATACTCCCAGCACTTTGGGAGGCTGAAGCGGGCAGATCACGAGGTCAGGAGATTGAGACCATCCTGGCTAACACGATGAAACCCCGTCTCTACTAAAAATACAAAAAAAATTAGCCGGGCATGGTGGCGGGCGCCTGTAATCCCAGCTACTCGGGAGGCTGAGGCAGGTGAATCGCTTGAACCTGGGAGGCGGAGCTTGCAGTGAGCTGAGATCGCACCACTGCACTCCAGCCCGGGCAACAGTGCGAGACTCCATCTCTAAATAAATTAAATCAATCAATCAATCAAATCATTTCCTGAGCAGTAGGTCCTGTAGGCTGAATGAAGCAGCAACAGCAGCTGAGGAACTCCCAGGGCGCACCCTCATAGGCTCACAGTCCAGTCGGGAGACGGAAACTGGGTCCGGGGAGTTACAGCATGGGGTGGGCAAAGCTGTGAGGAGGAAGCAATGTCAGAGCCCAGAAGAGGTGCCTGACCTGGCCTAGGGAAGTCACTGAAGGGCAAATGGGAGTGGGCAAGGTGCGTCTGCAGGAAGTGCCTGTGAGAACTTTCTTCTGAGGGCAACAGGGAGCCATGGGAGGGTTTAGAGCAAGGGTTGACCCATGGGCCAAATCTGGCCTGCCACTTGCTTTGGGTTTTTTTTCTTTTCTTTTCTTTCTTTCTTTCTTTTCTTTTCTTTTTTTTTTTTTTTTTTGAGACAGAGTCTTGCTCTGTCACCCAGGCTGGAGTGCAGTGGCACAATCTTGGCTCACTGCAACCTCCACCTCCTGGGCTCAAGCAATTCTCATGCCTCAGCCTCCTGAGTAGCTGGGACTACAGGAGTGTGCCATCATGGTTAGTTAATTTTTTTTAGTTTTAGTAGAGATGGGGTTTCAACATGTAGGCCAGGCTGGTCTTGAACTCCTGACCTCAGGTGATCCGCCTGTCTCGGCCTCTCAAAGCGCTGGGATTACAGACATGAGCCACCGTGGCTGGCCTGTTTTTGTTTGTTTGTTTGTTTTTGTTTTTGTTTGAGGCGGAGTCTCGCTCTGTCACCCAGGCTGGAGTGCAGTGACGTGATCTCGGCTCACTGCAACTTCCGCCTCCTGGGTTCAAGCGATTCTCTTGCCTCAGCCTCCCAAGTAGCTGGGACTACAGGCGTGCGCCACCACGCCCGGCTAATTTTTTGTATTTTTAGTAGAGACGGGGTTTCACCATGTTGGCCAGCATGGTCTCCATCTCTTGACCTCATGATCTGCCCGCCTCTGCCTCACAAAGTGCTGGGATTTCAGGCATGAGCCACTACGCCCGGCCTGTTTTGTTTTTTACTAAGAATTTCTTTCCATGTTTAAATGGTTAGAGGAAAACAAAATAGAGGCAAAAATTGAGTGACATAAAAATGACATGAAATTCAAATTTCATCATCTATCCATCAGTAGTTTTATTGGCCACAGCCACGCCTACTCATTTATGTGTTTTCTACGGCTGCTTTCTATTTTTTTTCTTTTTTTTTAATTTGGAGGCAGGGTCTCACTCTGTCACCTAGGCTGGAGTGCAGTGGTGCAATCATAGCTCACTGCAGCCTCAACCTCCCAGGCTCCAGCAATCCTCCTGCCTTGACCTCTCAAAGTGCTGGGATTGCAGGCACATGCCACCATGTCTGGCTAATTTTTTTATTTTTTATTTTTTTTTTTGAGACGGAGTCTCGCTCTGTCGCCCAGGCTGGAGTGCAGTGGCGCAATCTCTGCTCACTGCAAGCTCCGCCTCCTGGGTTCATGCCATTCTCCTGCCTCAGCCTCCAGAGTAGCTGGGACTACAGGTGCCTGCCACCACGCCTGGCTAATTTTTTTGCATTTTTAGTAGAGACAGTGTTTCACCGTGTTGGCCAGAATGGTCTCGATCTCCTGACCTCATGATCCGCCCGCCTCGGCCTCCCAAAGTGCTGGGATTACAGGCGTGAGCCACCACGCCTGGCCTTAATTTTTGTATTTTTAGTAGAGACAGGGTTTCACCATGTTGGCCAGGCTGGTCTCGGACTCCTGGCCTCAAGCGATCCTCCCGCCTCAGCCTCCCAGAGTTCTGGGATTACCGGCGTGAGCCACCGCGCCCGGTCCCACCATCAGGATCTAAATCCACCCTGGGTGACCAGAGGTCCAGTCAGGAGGGTAGCAGGACCCCGCAGAGCCCCTACTCACCAGAAGGGGCAGCCAACACACGCTGGCCACCACCATGATCCCCAGGAGCTGAGCCATCATCTCCACCTCGGAGTCCCGGGGACGCTGCTGGGCCGCCTCCTGCCCGTGGTAGACGTGGCACAGGGTGGCCACGCTGACCGTGTTCAGCAGGAAGGACAGCCCGACCGAGAGGCCGCCCAGCATGGAGAAGAGCAGCCCGAAGGCCACGTCCCCGGACTCGGCGCCCAGCGTCAGGAAGCACCAGGACCCCGGGTATTGCACGGTGTAGCGACCCACGCCCAGCAGGGGCAGCAGGCCCAGCGCCAGCGCGGCCGCCCACACCAGCCCCACGGTGGCCCAGGCGCGGCGCTGCGAGGCGACCGCCGGGCGCGAGAAGGGCCGGGTGATACCCAGGTAGCGCTCTGAGGCCATGGCGGCCCCCAGCAGCAGCGGGGACAGGCCGAAGAAGATCATGACGACGCCCATGAAGCGACAGAGACGGCAGCCAGGGTCCACGGCGTGCCACTCGAAGAGCGCGGCGTGCTGGGACACCACGATGGTACCGGTCACCAGCAGCCCCAGGAAGTCGGTGAGGACGAGGCCGCAGAGGAAGGTGAGGAAGGAGGAGCGCGTGTGCGAACCCCCCTGCCGCGCGCCCGCCAGCACGCTCAGGGCCAGCAGGTTGGAGGCCAGGCCCACCACGCAGAAGGAGGCGGCGAACCAGGGCGAGGCGATCAGCCGTCTCTCCTCCAGGGTAATGTTTGTGGGCCGGAAACAGGGCCCCAGGGAACTGCCGTTGGGCCACATGGCTCCGGAGCCCTGAGGGATCAGTCACCACCCCATCAGGCCGATGCTGCAGACAGGGCAGGCTGGCACTGGTTCAGGCACACCTGGGAGGCGAGAGAAGATTTGCTTGTGATTAATTCTGCATTTCAGTGTAAGTAGCTCTGGTGAACTCCTACACAACCTTCAATGCCCCAGCTCAAATATCCTCTCCGGTTTTTTTTTTTTTTTTTTTTGAGACAGAGTCTTGCTCTGTCACCCAGGCTGGAGTGCAGTGATGCAATCAAGGCTCACTGCAGCCTCGACCTTCTGGACCCAAGTGATCCCCCCATCTCAGCCTCCCAAATAGCTGGGACTACAGGCACATACCCTGTAGTAAGTAGTCCTCCCGCCTCGGCCTCCCAAAGTGCTGGGATTACAGGCGTGAGCCACCGTGCCCGGCCTTTTCCTCCATTTTCATGGTGTCGGTTTTATAATAAGAAATAAACCCTGAAATCCAGTTCTATTTTGGGAACAAAAAACACTTCTTCGGAATGGCAGGTTCCCCAGGGATGGTTGGTAGAGAGCAGCAGGCGGGGACCTGTTACTCTGTGTGGGGCTAACGCTCAGCCACAATGCACAACAAAATCGGAGCCAAGCCAGGCGCAGTGGCTCACGCCTCTTATCCCAGCACTTTGGGAGGCCAAAGTGGGCGGATCACTTGAGGTCAGGAGTTCAAGACCATCCTGGCCAACATAGCGAGACCCTATCTCTTAAAATATATATATATCTGGGTGTAGTGGTATGCACCTGTAATCCCTGCTACTTGGGAGGCTGAGGTTGGAGGATTGCTTGAGCCCCAGATGTTGAGGCTGCAGTGAGCTACAATTGTGCCACTGCACTCCGGCCTGGGCAACAGTGAGACCCTGTCTCAAAAAAAAAAAAACCAACCAACCAACAAACAAAAACGCTAAAAACCCCAAAAAACAAAAAAATGGGGCCAGGTGTGATGAGTGAAGTAAAAATAAAATGAGATGGTTCAAAAACCAGCTTCTGGCTGGGTGCAGTGGCTAATGCCTGTAATCCCAGCACTTTGGGAGGTTGAGGTGGGTGGATCATCTGAGGTCAGGAGTTCGAAACCAGCCTAGCCAACATGGTGAAACCCCATCTTCACTAAAAATACAAAAAGTAGCCAGGCATGGTGGCGGGCGCCTGTAATCCCAGCTACTCAAGAGACTGAGGCAGAAGAAATGCTTGAACCCGGGAGGCAGAGGTTGCAGTGAGCCGAGATCGCACTACTGCACTCCAGCCTGGACAACAGAGCGAGACTCCATCTCAAGAAAACAAAACGGCCAGGTGCGGTGGCTCACGCCTGTAATCCCAGCACTTTGGGAGGCCGAGGCGGGCGGATCACGAGGTCAGGAGATCGAGACCATCCTGGCTAACACAGTGAAACCCTGTCTCTACTAAAAATACAAAAAATTAGCCGGGCGTGGTGGCGGGAGCCTGTAGTCCCAGCTACTCGGGAGGCTGAGGCAGGAGAATAGCGTGAACCTGGGAGGAGGAGCTTGCAGTGAGCTGAGATCGTGCCACTGCACTGCAGCCTGGGTGACAGAGCGAGACTCCGTCTAAAAAACAAAACAAAACAAAACCAGCTCCCCATACCCCATGGGTCATGTCAAAGTCCAGAGGGTTGTGGCTGGTTGTAAAGTCACCCAGGAGGCTAGGATGGAACCCGGGTCTCCTGCCTCTTGCCCTGACACACCCCCAAGTCACCTGGAGGGACTGGGTGGGCAAAGGTGGGCGAATGGGACTGTGTGCGAGATGGAGGTGCCAGGCAGTTAAGGCTCAAAAGGTCCTATTACGGTCAGGCGTGGTGGCTCACGCCTGTAATCCCAGCACTTTGGGAAGCCAAGGAGGGCGGATCACCTGAAGTCAGGAGTTTGAGACCAGCCGGACCAACATGGTGAAACCGCATCTCAACTAATAAAAATACAAAAATTAGCCGGGTGTGGTGGTGCATACCTGTAATCCCAGCTACTCGGGAGGCTGAGGCAGGAGAATCGCTTGAACCCGACAGGGGAAGTGATGTTTGTGGGCCGGAAACAGGGCCCCAGAGCCAAGATCGTGCCACTGAACCAACCTGAGCAACAAGAGCAAAACTCCGTCTCAAAAAAAAAAAAAAAAGAAAAAGAAAAGAAAAGAGGGAGGCCCAGGTGGGCGGATCACGAGGTCAGGAGATCGAGACCATCCTGGCTAACACGGTGAAACCCCGTCTCTACTAAAAATACAAAAAATTAGCCAGGCGTGGTGGCGGGCGCCCGTAGTCCCAGCTACTTGGGAGGCTGAGGCAGGAGAATGGTGTGAACCCGGGAGGTGGAGCTTGCAGTGAGCTGAGATCGCGCCACTGCCCTCCAGCCTGGGCGACAGAGCGAGACTCCATCTCAAAAAAAAAAAAAAAGTCGGGGTTGCTGATGACGGGAGTGAAGGGATCCACGCGCAGCACTCAGCACAGCACAGCGGGCACTCAATGCATGCTGGCCCTGAGGCAGGGCCTGGGCTGTGGGGTCGCAGCAGCTAACGCATTCCAGGGCGGTCAAATGGGTGACTGTGGCCCTCACTCCCCATCTCACTTGTGACGCTTTGGCCTGGCTTCTGGCCTTGGCTACGCTGTATCCAGCCTCATAAATTATCCAGCTCCTGACAGCGGCACTGAACTCCCTTCCTGGGAAGACAGCTAAGGCCACTGCCACCGTGGTGGGAGGCAGGGCTTCCAGAGGAGAAACTGAGGCCTGGAGAGCAGATGCGGTGGGGGGTTCCTCGCGGCCTCTGGCGATCGTTGCCCTCCACTCCGGGCTGCTTTGGCGCCTGGGGTTTGGATTCCTGCACTGGGATTTCCCCTGGGACAAGGCGTTCCTCCCTCGAGAGCTGGTATGTGCTGTTTCTGGACATTCCTTGGGACTCGGCTGTCCCTGCGGCCACTGACCCGACCTCTGCCTGGAGCAACTTCCAGTCCCTCCTGGGTCTCAGGGTCTCCTCGACCACACTCCACTCCACTCACCGGGGGTCACACACCCGGAACTCCCTCACACCTCCGGTGGCTGGGAGCAAATGCATGGCCCAGAGCCCTTGGCCCAGGGGAGCCTGGAAACTGGCACTGAGTCCTTCTGGCCACAGCTGGCTGTTTCCAATCCCCCCACCTCCACTCCCCACCCTGGCTTCAGGCGATGGCAGCCATCTCAAGTTCTCCAGGCAAGGATGCCAATGGGGGGACCGGGCAGGGCCTCCCTTCCCTCCTGCATTGGCCAGGAGGGGTAGCAGGGGCCCCCACGCGGTGGGGCAGTAGAGCAGCACTGCGGCTCTTGGGAAAATTACTGTCCCTCCCTGTGTCTGGGGAGAGGTGTGGACCCAAGATCGCTTTTCGATGTTGAATAACTCCAGAATTTTGCAGTCTGAGAGCAGACGTTTGCCCTCAGCGGGTTCAGGGTTGTGGAATTCTAACACGCTTCCAGTCCTGGGACGCAGAAGGCCTCACAATTCTAGAATCCCAAGAGGCTGAGGTCCTGCAACTCCCAAGAGGCTGAGGTCCTGCAACTTTGATGGGAATCTGCCTGGGTCCCGGGTTCCAGAAATCTCTGTCTTAATTCCTGGCTTCTTTCTGGAAGGCGGACAGTGAGTTCTCCCTCATCCGATGCCACCCCTGACAGGGTATCCGGCTTGCAGGTCGTGTGACTCGGAGGGCTCTGTCCGGCGCTGTTTCCAGAGGCCCGGGCGCTGGGCTGGGCGTGGGCACCAGGCCTGGCTGCCCCAAGCCTGGTTGCCAGTGGAATGTGATCCTTGGTTCCCAAACAGCAGGCCTCTCCTCCGCCCCATGTTCCATCCTCGTGCCCCCTCCCCCACTCCCTGGAGCACGTCACCTCATCATCCATCCATTTCTCAACAAGTCCCCTCTCCTCAGCACCCCACCCTGCCCGCCCCGCCTGCCTGTCACGGCCTGAGCCCACCCCACCTCCCCCAGACAGGCTTGGAGGCTCTAGTCCCTGATCTGCCGTGGCCAGGCTGGGGCTCCACCTTGCCGAGCCTCAGTTTCCCCGCTCTGTGCAATGGGGGTGAGCTTCTGATCTCCATGCCTGCGGGTGCTAAGCTCAGGCCTCCCTGGCTCTCACCTCTGCAGGGCTCCTGGCTGTACTCACAGCTCAACTCCCTACAAGGTGCCCGGGCAGCCAGCAGGGAGCCCTGAGGCTCCGTGTCACCCCTGTCGGCCTTGGACCTTGGACCCACAGGGCCCTTTTGGGACTGAAACTTCAGGGACCGGCCAGACCCTCCCATGCCTGCTGTAGATCTGAACGCTCATGGGCGTGGACCCCCACATGGTAGCGGAGGCAGACACACTCCACACCCTGATGGGCCCACCTCCCCTCATCGCAAAGCTCCATTTCCGAGAACATTTCCTGTTTGTGACACCAACAGGGTCCCCAGCCCACACAGTGCAGGGCGGGGACTCCCCCAGCCAGCCAGACTCCGGCCAGCCTTGTTGGGGCCCTAAGTCACATGGCCCCCTGTGAGCCTCGCTTTCCCCATCTCTCTAGTGGGGGCTCCCCAGGGAGCATGTACGGAGCTCCGTCACACAGGGGCCAGCAGGGACCAGGGGGCGGGACCCGGGAGGTGCAGCTGGTGGTTAATGGTGGACCACAAGTTACAGTGATTCCACCAACATGCACCTCAGGCCACCACCGTGTGTGCACACTCGAGACACACAGACACAGCCAGACACACACAGGCAGAAACACAGCAGACACACAGGCAGAAATGTGACAGACAGAAACACAGCAGGCAGACGCACAGACGTGCACAGACACACACACAGAAACATGGCAGACACACAGACACACACACAGATAGAAACATGACAGACACACAGGCAGAAATGTGACAGAAACACAGCAGACAGATGCACAGACATGCACAGACACACATACAGAAACATGGCAGATACACAGACACACACAGATAGACACACACAGAAACACCACAGACACACCCAGACAGAAACATGACAGACACACAGGCAGAAATGTGACAGACAGAAACACAGTAGACAGACGCACAGGCATGCACAGACACACATACAGAAACATGGCAAATACATAGACACATACAGATAGACACACACAGATGGAAACATGACAGACACAGACACACACAAGCAGAAACACAACAGACACACAGACACACGCAGATAGACACACACAAGCAGAAACACAACAGACACACAGCCACACACAGACACATACAGGCAGAAACACGACAGACATAGACACACACAGATACACACATAGGCACACAGGCAGAAATGTGACAGACACAGACAGAAAAACACAGACACACAGGCAGAAACACAACAGGTACATAGATACAGACAGACACAGAAAGACACACAGAAGAACACACAGTATTTAACAGTCACAGACTCTCGGCAGAAACAAACACACGGTCACACACACAAAACCACCACACACGCACAGACACAGACACACAACCAGGGCCATGCATGGTTCACTCCCAGAGACAAGATCACACACACAGCCGCACAACCACACTCGATCCCTGCCACACCCAGGGCCTGGGCCCCCTCCCCGGCTGCAGCCCCCTGAGTCTGGGACCCCCATTCACAGCCATGTGGCCCCACAGAGACCAGAGAGCCCCCCGGACAGAATCAGCCTGGGCCGCACCCAGACCCAGCCGCCTGGGCGCCCAGGGCAGGCCTCAGGGCACCATGCCACCCGCCGGGCCACACAGGGGACACCTGGCACCTGGCCGCTGTCACCGCGGGCTTTGCGACACACCCACAGCAGGGCAGGGCCAGCGCCGGATGCGCCCAGCAGCCCGGGCTCACACCAGAGCAGTGCATCCCGCCCTAAGCCAGCGGGGCGACCTCACCTTCAGAGACCTCATCTGCGGGGCTCCCACCTGGCTGGATCCCGCGCCCGGGGGTCCGGGCGCCGTCTGGAGCTGAGCAGGCAGATGTGCGGGCGCCGAGGGTGGGGCGAGGGCTGGGGGCGGGCAGAGGGAGGGGAAGGACGGGCTCGAGCGGGACCTCCCAGGGAAACTGAGTCAGTCTGGCTGTGACCAGGGGCGGGCCCAGCAGAGGACCCACACAGATGGAGGGCGTGGCGGCACAGGACGCCCTGGGGTCGCGGCCTGGAGGGGTCCGCGGGGGCTAAGCCGAGCTGGGACGGGTGGGGGCCGCTGGCAGCCCGCGGCTCGCTCTCTCCGTCCAGTCTCTGTCTCCCGCTGTCTCTCATCAGCCCCGCCCACCCTGCGCTGGCCACGCCCCTCGGGCCCGGGCCTGGCTGACTTGGAGTCAGTGGGTGCCCCCCGCACGCCGGGACACCCTACAGCCTTCTGGGGAAGGCGGCGCCCTTGGGACCCCCAGGCCACCGGTGGCAGGGATGCAATGGCCCGCGTAGGGGTGGCAGGGGCGCTTCCTCGGGAGCCTCAGCCCCTCCAGCCGCCCAGCGCCCTGCCAGGCCTCTTCCCGGCGCTCCCGCCGCCAGGCCCGCATTATTCACCATCTGGGCAGCACCCAAGGCCTGGAGGGGGCGGGGCAGGTCCAGGCGGATCGGCTCCCGGGGGTCGCCCAGACTCCAGGGCTCCAAATTCACTGGGTGCGCTGGAACGCGGCACACAGTAGTAGTATGCCCTGCTTAATACATACAGGACATATTTGAGGCCCCTTCCAGGGGTGGGGTGGGAGGACAGAGGGATGGGGGGTGCACCAGACGACACAGCCAGACTGAGAAAGGTGGTCCCAGAGCAGGTGAGCCGGGAGGGCTGGGGTGATGGCATCGCATGGGAGGGTCTCTTGAGGAGGCTCGGAGGTGGCTTTGGAGCCAGAGGAGGAACAGTCTGGAGCCGGGAGGCTGCAGTGGGGGATGGGCACTCTTTCCTGGCCACCCCCCAGCTCGGGCTGGGGAAGGAGGGATGGAGCCCAACAGGAATGGCTGAGAAGGTGCCGGACGCAGGGACTGGGACCGTCTCTTTGCAGAGGGGGGACCTTGGGCTTCCTTGGCCTTGTTTGTACACCCGAGCCGGACAGAACCTTGAGTTAGGGACCTGGAGTGGGACCGGACAAGCTGACCTTGCCCTGACTGCACCCCACCCCGTCCCCTGGGCCCGGGAGGGCTGCTAGTCCAGGCTGTGAGTGAGGGGTATTCCCAGCCTGGCCCGGCCCTCTCGTCAGCCCAGTCCGGAAGCCCCTTCCCCGGCTACCCCGCCCACTATCCTTCCTCCTCCTGGCCTTCGGCCACACCCAACCTCCCTCCCAAAGCTCTATCCCATTAAGTCACCAGCCATTTAACACAACTTCTCTCTTTCCTGGCAAGGAGGCTATCCAACTCCTATGGATGTGGCAAAACCCTGGCTCCAAGGCTGCTTTCCCGTGAAGCCGACCTAATCTCCAAGTCTTACTCTCCCCAACCCCTCTCTGTGTTCAGCTTATACAGTGGGACAATTATGAGCTCCAAGTGAGACCTGAAACCAGGCCTGCCCTTCAGGATGCCCTAGGCTGGAGAATGAACTGGACACAGGCTGTTCCAGCCCCCTGGGGTCAGGGCTGGGCCAAAGGAAGAGACAGGGCCTAGGGAAGCCCAGAGGTGAGCTAGGAAGACATCTTGTGAGGAGAGGGCATGGGAAGTGGGGTTTTGTAGGATGAATAGGAGCTCCCCAGGTCTGGGCTACGTGGCAGTGACAGGAATTGCATGTATAAAGCTTTGGAGGCAAGAGAGAGCATGAGGCCCTTGCTACACTAACTGCAAGGAGGGCAGATGTTGGGGGAGGAGGATGTGGGGCTGGGGCTCCAGATGAGGGGGCAGTGAGAGACGGAGGAAGGCTGTCCTGTCCCCACTTCCTCTGTCCTCGGCCCTGAGATAACAAGGACAATGACTCTTCTGGGAAACAGCCTGGGCAGAGTTCAGAGAAGGACACTTGCATTTAGCTTAAGCCTCACCACATCTCTGCAAGGCAGGGGGTAAAGATACTCTTAAATTTTAGAGATGGGGAAACTGAGGCACAAAGGGGGAACAATGCCACGCCCATGTGTGGGATTGGAACATGAGCACTGGGCTTCCCTGTCATCTGGGGCTGGTTGCTGGTCTCCCGGTCTTGGCCCGCCCCCCGCCCCCCACCCCCCGCCAGCACTTCGGGTTCAATGGGAGCACAGGAGGCTCTGGTGGGAGGAGTTGTGAGGGGCTGGGGGGCAGATGGTGGGAACAGAGGCCAGGCTCAGGATGTACCCCCGTGGCTGCGGTTTCCGGCGGGGGCCGGGCAGGGAGCGTCTATTCTTAGCTCTGGACACAGCCAAAGTCAGGAAGCTGGGTGGGGGCGGGGGCAGCTTCCAGGACACCAGGTGGACCTCGGGCCATGGTGGAGAGTCATGGGGTAGATGGGGGGGTGGTGTGCAGAGCCTACCCCTGGCCCCCACCTCCAGTCTGCCTGCAGGGTCTCGACACCCAGCTCGGAGGCCCTCCCCAGCTCACGCGCCCTCCGTAGCTCCCTGGTGCCCAGCTCCCCTAGGATCTGGCTCCTTAGCTTGGCCTGAGCCCTGTGTGCCCCCTGCCCTGGGCACACCTGCTGCCCTGTCCTCTGCAAGGCAGCCGTCACCCTTCTCGGCCAGCAGCCCGTCTTCCCAGGCTCAGTGCCCGTGACCCTTCAGGGGTCCCAGGGCCCCAGCTCTGCTCCCTCCAGACTGGGGCCCCTGGCAAACCATGTGTCTTGCCAGTTGGAGGACAGCCATCTCCCTTGGGGTGCAAAAGGAACGTGAGGAGGAGGAAGCAGGATGCTGGGGCTGGGGGAATCTCTGCAGGGGCAGGTGGGGAAACTGAGGCAGGGACGGGGTGGTGGTCTGGGATTGGGATTCTCCAGGGTAGAGAAACCCAGCTTCTAATACTGGCCCTGCCACTTTCTGGGCTCAACAACGTGGGCTTTTGTGAGCCTCAGTTTCCCGAGCAGCCAAATGGAAGTAAATACTGTCACATAGAGCTGGTGGGAGGTCTGGGTTAGGCCCAGTACAGGCTGGGCTGCGCCAGCCACGCACACACAACCTGGGCTGTGACTACAGAACCCGGCCTGTCCCAAACACCACTCTGGGCTCAAAAGTGCCTTCTGGTGTTGAGGATGTAGAAAGCTGTGATCACGCCCACTGCACTCCAGCCTGTCTCAAAAAAATAAAAAGTGCCCCCCGAGTCCAGCCCGGACTCAGCCCTGCCCCAGCAGCCTGTCCTGATCGGCGGTGGAGCTGGCCAGGAACCCAGGCAAGAGGCTGCCCAGAGGATTCTAAGATGGCTCTGGCCATCTGCCATCAACTTGTGATGTCTGCTGAAGGCTGGGCTGGGGATGGCAGTGTTGTGTGTGCTGCAATGCGATTTGGGATTCTGGAGTAGGCTGGTCAGGGTGGGCCAGGGTCTGCGGTGTGGAGAGCGGACGCTGATCAGATGCACTTCCCTGGCCAGTTCCCAAGCCCTGTGCCACAGACTTCCGGGATCCTGTTAGAGGTGGGGGCTGGGAGGTGACCAGTGCCCCAGGGGAGTGCAGGATCTGCCTTGCACCTCTGCCTACTGCAGTGAGGACATTTGGGGAGGCTCATCCTGGGCACTGAAGCACATTGGGCAGCATCCCTGGCCTCCACTCACTCCACGCCAGGAGCAGCCCCAAGGTGGGACCACCACGAATGCCCCCAGGCATGGCCAAGCGCTGCCCCCATGAGAGCCTGGGCCCAGGCCAGCAGCTGTGTCCACCCTTGTACCCTCCCTCCTGTCGTCTGGGAAATGGACTGTCACCCCCACTGTGGGAGGCAAGGCAGAGGGGTGGGGGGCAAAGACAGATCCGGGCACTAACACAGCTCCCAAGGGACCACCGGGCCCCAGTTGGGTGCCGTGTTGTTTCCCAGGCTCTTCCCTTGGGACAAATGCGCTGTGTCACAAATGCCAGCAGCAACTAGGGCAGCGGGTGTGGGGCGTCGGACACGTTACACTCTCTGCATTTCTGCAAACCTAAGATTATTCTAAAATACAACGTTTATTAAAAAAACATGCGATCTTGCCAATAGGCCAATTCCATGAGAACAAAAGATTTTTTTTCCCACCTACAAGTCTTTTTAGAGAAACAAACGGAACTATTTCCAGATGAGGCGGGGTGTCTGGGAGGGGCTGTGGGTGGTCTGGGGCTGGTGACTGGTGAGGTTGGGTGGCCCTCTGGGGGTCCGGGAGGCACTTTCCGTTTTGCTTCTGTTGGAGATGTTCCCGTCGGATGCTGAAGAACAAGCCTGCCGGCTGGGCCACTCCGACCTGGGCTGTGGCACCCGTGTGGCCCTCGGCCCTCCTGGCCTGAGAAAGGGGAGTGAGAAGGAGCCACTGTCCTGATATGGGCAAAACTCGGGGTCACTGGTCTCATGCTCCAAGGCCCCGTGAGCAGGCCAGGTGGGGGGATCCCTGGGGGAAGCCCCTCACCCTTCTCCAACCCCCAGCCTTCGGGGAGCCCCTGCCCTCCAGGCCCTGTGCTCAGAGGTGGGGGGAGGACGGCTCAGTGACTTTTGGTTCCCACGACCTTGACAGAGACAGGGACCTCGACGCATCCTCCATACCCGCTGCGGGGAAATGGACCCCACCAGCCAGCACGGGGTGAGTTGGGGGCCAGTCCCTGCAGAGTGTGGGTGTCCACAGAGGGTCTCTTCTGCAGTGGCGGATCGGGCGCCAGCAGGGTCCCGGCCTCAGTGCTGCCTGTGCGGGCGAGGGTGGCCTGTGGGCAGGGCTGGAGCTGCCCCACAGCCGCGGGCTCTGCCTCACGCCCAGTGGGTGCCCCGTGATGTGGCAGGGCTGGCCTTGAGTTTCCTGCTTCTCACGAGCCTGGCACCGCCAAGCCCAGGCCCCTCTGGCCCATCTCCACAACACCCTGTGTGGCCGCCACTTGGGGCAGGCCCTGTGGGCCCCACCCAGCCTGGCTGAGGGGCGGTGGAGAGTGTCCGCCTGGACGGTGAGGTCAGCTGGCGGCTGCTGGCCACCCTCGTGCTCGAAAGATGCCCCTAGCGCCCCCTCCGTTGCATCAGGACCCTAGGCCAGCCTGTCCCAGTGTCTCCTCAGCTCACCATGGCAGGCTCAATGGTGACCCCCCTTTTATATAGGAGGAAACTGAGGCCTGGCGAAAGAAAGATGCGGCCTGAGGTGGGACGTGAACCCGCGGCCCTGCAGCCCAGACAGCGGCCCCGGAGTGACCACCAGCTTCACCGAAGCCCCTTTACTGTGCCCCCGAGGACACCTGCCTGCCGTTCCCCAGGGCCGTCACCGCCGATAGCGGTAGCGCTTGAAGTGAAACCACAGCTGGAAGATGCCGTTGGCAAACTGGCAGCGGAAGCCGTGGCGGTGCGAGTATTCCCACTCGCGGTTGACGATCTTGAAAGCGATGTCCTCGTAGGGCGGCCCCGCGTGGAAGCGCAGGATGGCGAAATCCTTGTTGTCGGCGCAGGCCTCCAGGAAGTACTCGGGCGTGGAGCGCTTGTCGATGAGGTCGGGGTAGAAGATGTTGAACTTGTATCCCTGCACGATCTTGGGCGGTGGGTTGTCAAAGTCGTAGTGCGTCTGGTTGTACTTGTTCCACTCGAAGCCCGTGTGCACGCGGTTGAAGAAGCGCGGCTTGCGTGGCCGGTACTTGTCGGCCCACAGGTAGGCCTTGCCGGTGAGTGGCATCTCCACGCTGAACTGCGCCTCGTCCTGGCCCATGCCCTCCTTGGCCCGCCGGAAGAAGATGTCCTCGGCGCTCTCGCTGGCGTCTCCTGCGGGCGGGACGGCGTTCACCCGGGCCTCGGCCTCCCCCTGGGTCCTGGCCTCCCTCCTAGCCTCTCTGGCAGGGGCGGCCGCTGGTGCCTCCCGCAAAAGGAAAACAGGCTGGGGCGAGCTAAGGCACATGGGGAGGGGACAGGGCCTGGGCGACCCGGAGACCCACACCATCCGCCCCGAGCCCCGGACCTTGGTCTTCATGTCTATCGTCCTCCTGGGTGGGGACCAAGCGCAGCGCGCTTCCCCGCCGAGCGACAGGAGAACCTGGTGGTTAGGGCCTGGCTGCGGGATCCAGCCCCACGCATGACCCCCGAGGGGGTCCTGGCCCAGGGGTTTTCTGAAGCCAGTATTTTCTCCTCTGTCTTAGGACGGAGGCTGCCCAGGGAGTGCTCGGACAGCGGCCGGTAAAAGCTTCCACCACCTGTGGCCCCAAGGCCAGTGGGCCAGCAAGCCCAGGATGAATGAAGGAACGCCCCAGTGCGCGTGCAGGTGACGGAATGCACGCTCAGAGACCCGGGGGAGAAGCAGCAAGCAGCTCCCCACTGACGCCAGCGGCTTCGGCCGGGAAATGAGGCTGGAGAAGCCCCGCCCCCAGCTCGCCCCACTGGCCCCACCCCCTGGCCTCCAGCCCCGCCCTTACCCGTGACCTGGAGCTGCTGGCGCGAGAGCTGCAGGCGCTGCAGGTCCTCATCCGGTTCCAGCACGTGCGCGTCCAGTGGCAGCTCGTGCGCCGTGAGCAGCCGCGGGCTGTACCTGCCGGCGTCGTAGTCGTCCAGGCTCTGCTGGATCAGGTCCTCCTCCATGAGCACCGCCTCGCCCTCGCCCTCGCCCTCACCGTCCCCGTCGCCGTCGCCCTCTGTCGGGGTCGCGCCGTCCACCTCGGCCTCCGCGGGGCCGCCCTCCGAGGAGGGCCCGGGCGGGGTGGGCGCCGCGTCCTCAGGCTCCAGGCTGGGAGGAGAGAGCGTTGGAGGCGCGGAGGCTGCCCACGGCCCCTCCATCCTGCTCCGCGTCTGCATCGGCGTCCCCGGGGTGCCGGCCGGGCCTACCTGCGGCTGGGGGACTGGGGCTCCTGCTTGAGGATGGGGAACAGCGGCTCGCTCTCCACGCCCTGCTCCTGCTTCAGTTTGTACAGCTTCTGCCGCAGCACGTCCTGGTGGCGCTCACGCAGCCTGGGACGCAGAGCCGGGGTCACCCGCATGGAGGCGAAGGGGCTCCGCGCCCCACCCCCACCGAGATTCTCACGCCCCTTATTGCTGCAAGGACCCTGAGAAGGTGGCGAGCAGCCACGGCTCTGGCTGGGACCTTTGCCCAGGCTTGGTCAGTTCAGGGTCAAGGCTTATGGGAGAGAGGACGAGAGGACGCAGGTACCCTGGTGAACCATCCCATGGCAGGGAGAGGTGGGTCTCTGTCTCACGCTGCAGTCTCAGTGTCTTGTGGCTGGGGCTGGCCAGGAGAAGGGGCCCAGCAGGACACCAGCCAACAAGCATGATAAATTTAGAGACATTTACAAATTAGCAGAGGAGACATGTATTTACACAGCGGTGCCAAAAACACTCCAGAAATCTGTACACAGCCAGAGGCCGGGAGGCAGCAGCGCTGGGAGGGCGCAGGCCTGGGCGCAAGGCAGTGGGGACAGGCAGGCCGCCTGGGGGCTTCCTGTGATGCCATGGCTGCTGGAGCGCGCCAGGTACTCGTTAAAGGGCGGAAGCTCCTGGGGAGCCCTGTGAGACCAACAGGGCTGACTCCAGGTGAGGGCACTGGAGCATCCTGGGGCCTTCCCGCTAGGGCACGGGACTACGCGCCCCCCGGCCCCCCTTCGTCACTCACAGGCTGGCCCCGGCCAGTCGGCACTTTCCTGCCCCTCTCCACCCCACATGGTCCCAGGAGGAGGCGAGACCCACCCCACCCAGGACTCAGGAGGGGGCGAAACCCATCCCACCCGGACGGCACCAACCCTGGTACCCGCACCTAGTGCTCACCGGGCCCGTGCCATGTGGGCACGAAGCTGCTGCAGGAGGCTCTCCCAGTAGCCCATGTCCAGGTTGGGGCCACCAGCGCGGATTTTGCCCTCGATGCCCTGGAAGATGACCTGCAGCTGGTTGTATGTCTTCCCCTTGAACACCGACTGCACATCAGAGCTGACGGAGGCGTTGACCCCCTCGCGGCGCTCACCTGCAGCGGGGTGGGGGCATGGGGGGGCGGTTCCACATTTCCTACGTGCTCCTCCACCCCATCAGGGCCTCCTCCCCTGCCATGGGGGGGTCCCCCTCCCCTCCTCTTCCCCCACAGGGGTCCCATCCAGTCCCGCCACCTCCCTGGTCTCAGGTTGTCCCCACCCTGGCCACAGCGGAGGGGAGGGGGTGGGCGGAGGTTGGGAGCCACGTTAAGATGCAGTTGCTGAGGCCTTGACCTGGAGGCCCAGGCCCCCAGCGTGGGGGAGGCCAGGACTGGCCCTGAGAATGCCCCTCCCCAGGTGAGTCTGATATGTGGGTCTGGGAACCCTAGTTGTGGGCCCGGCCCACCAACCTGGCCCAACTCTGCCCTGGCCTTGGGCAGTCCATGAGGGGGTTGGGGGGTGTGCTCGGTAGCCAGGCTCTCTGGAATTCAGATCTTCTCTGCCAGCCTGGGCTGTGTGACTGTGGGCAAGTGGCCTGCCCTTTCTGGGCCTTAGTTTCCCTCTGTGAAGCCTAGCAAAGAAGGCCACCCTGCTGGCCCCTGGGGAAGTCCTGGGCCCGCCCCAGGACAAACAGCTCCCCACCGCCGCCCCCCATCCTACATGGAGTCTGTCTGGCATCTACCACTGGCCCAGGGGCCCGAGGCTCAAGTCCCTCCTCGATAGACGGGGAGGCTGCTGAGGGCGGGAGTGGGGTGCTGGGAGGCTGGAGCCTAGCCTGACTCCGCGTGCTCTGCCCCACACCACGTGGCATCCCGGCGGCCTCAGTGCTGCTCTCAGGCCACTTCCACCCACCCCGCTGGGTCTGGCCTCACCTCGCAACCCTGCCCCTTGCTGCCCATGCCGAACCCCTGCCACCTCTGGGCCTTTGCACGCACTGTGCTTCCTGCCAGCTACCCATCCTTCTCTGTCCCATTCGCTTCCTGAATTCCTCGCATCCTCCATGCTCAGTGAGAACATCCCTTCCGCCAGGAAGCCCTCCCTGACCATCCAGCGATGGCAGCTTCCCGAGGCGGGCAATGGGGCTGGCTGCTGCTGTTCCCTGTGCCATGCTGGGCCCACAGGGAGCTTGGTGCATAGCTGCTGGTGACACACTGGGCGGGGGTGACCAGTGCAGGCACCCTGCTCGAGACCTGCCTTCTCCAGTCCCCGCTGGCGGACAGAGGGTCAAGAGGCCCACACCTACACCACAGGGGACTGGATAGAGTCTAGACGGACCCGAGTCCCCTCCAGCCAATCACCTGGGACCCTGGAATCGGCACCCAGAGCTGCAGCCCCTTTGCTGGGCGCTAAGTGGCACTGGAATCCGTGGCAGCCCCAGCCAAGCACAGCGCGGCCGTGCCCAGACAGGCGGGGCTACCACGAACACTGAAACCCAAGCAGAAGAGCCCAGCCGCGAGGCTCCCAGGAAGCCAGGCCAGGTGCCGCCAGGTCAGCGTCTATAGAAAGCCGGGTCTGGACATGCTGCTGCATGTCTGGATGCCTCCCGAATGCCCACAAGGGGGCCCGGGGGTTTAGGGGGTCCCAGCAGCTGCTAGAGGCTGGGGGTGCAGGCCAAGGGCCCTGGGGCTGCGTGGGGGAAAGGCCAGGCCCTACACAGGGTGGGAGGCTAATGAAGCTGAGCTGGGATGACACCCGTTTTCTACTGCACAACCTCCTGTAGGGTTAGAACTTCCTAGAAAAAGCTAGGTGCACCAAAATCTCACAAGTCACCACTAAAGAACTTATTCATGTAAACGGCCGGGCACGATGGCTCACGCCTGTAATCCCAGCACTTTTGGAGGCTGAGGTGGGTGGATCACGAGGTCAGGAGATCAAGACCATCTTGGCCAACATCGTGAAACCCTGTCTCTACTAAAATACAAAAAATTAGCCAGGTGTGGTGGTAGGTGCCTGTAATCCCAGCTACTTGGGAGGCTGAGGCAGGGGAATTGCTTGAACCCAGGAGGCAGAGGTTGCAGTGACCTGAGAACACACCACTGCACTCCAGCCTGGCAAGAGAGCAAGACACCGTCTCAAAAAACAAAAAAACTTATTCATGTAACCAAACACCACCTGTTCCCCAATAACCTACAGAAATAATAAAAAAACTTTAATTTTGTAAAAATTAAAAAGAAAAAGCATGCAGTCACTCATGCCTTTAATCCTAGCCCTTCTGGAGGTGAGGCAGGAGGATTGCTTGAGGCCAGGAGTTCAAGACTAGCCTGGGCAACACAGTGAGACCCCATCTCTACAAAAAATTTTCAGAAGTGGCTGGGCACAGTGGCTCACTTCTGTAATCCCAGCACTTTGGGAGGCTGAGGTGGGAGGATCATGAGGTCAAGAGATTGAGACCATCCTGGCCAACATGGTGAAACCCTGTCTCCTTAAAAATACAAAAATTAGCTGGGCGTGATGGCGCGCGTCTGTAATCCCAGCTACTTGGGCAGCTGAGGCAGGAGAATCGCTTGAATCTGGGAGGCAGAGGTCACAGTGAGCAGAGATCGCACCACTGCACTCCAGCCTGGTGACAGAGTGAGACTCCTTCTCAAAAAATAAAATAGCTGGGTGTGATGGTGAGCGCCTGTAGTCCCAGCTTCTAGGGAGGCTGAGGTGGGAGGATCACCTGAACCCAGGAAGTCGAGGCTACAGTGAGCCTTGATCGCGCCACTCAACTCTCGCCTGGGCGACAGAGCGAGACCTTGTCTCTGAAAAATGAAAAGTAAAAGGAAAACCCCAATTAATTTAAGAAGATCCAGGACAGGGGCTCTGTGGGTCTCCAGGGGGACAGCAAAGTCAAGACCCCTCGGTTCCCTACTCCTGGAAACCATGTTGAAAGGAGAATCAGAAACAAACTCCCTCGGAAGACACCAAAGCCACCTGGGGTCCCCAACTGTAACGCGTGAGGGGAAAGGAGGGCTGAGCGACGTGGTGGAGGCAGAAGGCCATGGAAGGGATGGGAGAGGCCGGGGCCTAGGGCAGTGGGGCACGCTGGAAACGCCTCCCAGGCTTATAGGAGAGGCCGGGCCCAGGGCAACGCTGGAAACGCCTCCCAGTCTTACAGGAGAGGGCGGGGCCTAGGGCAACGCTGGAAACGCCTCCCAGGCTTCCTGCAGCCGGTGGGTAGGGTCTGCGGCTTCTGAAGGAAAATGTACTGCACCCAGAAGTCTTTGCCCAGCCCCGCTGCCACCAGCAGGAGCACACCAAGACCCTTAACGGACACACCTCTGATGCTGGAGAACTGCCCTGCCTCTCTGAGGTTACGGGAGAATGTGCCCCACGGAGGAGACCACTGGAGGGACAGGATGGCTGAGTGAACTCCACCTCCGGGGAACACAAAGCTCCACTGAAAAAGAGGAAAGCCACAGGCTCTTTCCTAGGAAGGACCTGCCACAGACCACGCTGAGGGCTGCAAATGACACTGACCCAGCCTCCTGGGATCCTCGGCCACCATGATGGCACCCAAGGCCTGAGAGGGAGGGCAGGGGAAGGACCGGGTCTATCGACAGGGATGCGTGGCCCATGAGAGCCAGGCACTGTTACAGCAGCCGCTGGGGCGTGGATTTTGGCGGGGAGGGGGCAGGGCTGCTGTGGTTGGCTTTTAGACCGGGGGGGGGGGGGGTCTCATCTAGGGCAATTCTGCCCCCAGGGGACTCTGGGCAACGTCTGGGGACATCTGCGGTTGTCAGGACTAGGGGTGCTCCTGACCCTGGGTGGAGGCCAGGGACGTTGCTCAGCACCCAGCAGTGTCCAGGACGGCCCCACCCTAGGGAACGGCCCAGCCCGCATGTCCGCAGTGCTCAGGGTAGACGCTTTAGAGCATCCCCGGTGACCATGTGTGTGCAACCACACGGAGGGGGGGGAAACGTGATTTTAAAAGCCCATCAGGTTGGAGGGGCACGAACTGACGCACGGGACAGGTAGCGCCCTGAAGCTGGGCTGCACGGCCTTCAGGCCAGGTGGAGCGAGACTTGCTGTCAAACAGGCAGAGCCACTGAGAGCACTGAAACCTGAGCGGAAAGCCCCGTGGCTCCCATAAGGCCGGCACCGCCGAGTCAGCGTTAACGGGACGCTGGGTCTGGACGCTGCTGGCCCTGCACCCCAGACAGAGGCCCGCCCCACTCATCCCTCCCAGGGCCTACTGCCCGCTGCTGCCCCCTGGTGGCTCGGCCCAGAAGGGGAGGCCCCAGTTGGGGAAACCGAGGCCTGCAGAGAGCACCAGGCCCCACAGCAAGTCTGAGGCTTCTGGGTGAACACTGTAGCCCCCGCAGCTCCCCTGGAGCCCAGGCCCATGCCCGCCGTTACCTGGCCCCTTGCCCGAGGCCTCCAGCTTGCGGAGCTTGGAGATCTCGTCCTCGGTGATGGTGGTCATGTCCCGCCAGAAGTCGGCGTTCTTGCCCTGCTCCAGCTCCATGTAGACCTGGGGGCAGGGGGCAGGGGTCAGGACACGGGTGTGGCTGGGGTGGGGGTGAGGGTGCAGGTCAGAGGAGCATCGGGTGGGGCTGGGTACCTGGATATCCTCCAGCAGGTCCTCCATGTCGGCCACGGTGAGGCCGTTGAGGAACGTGTAGGGCTCATGCATCTCCACGGCCAGATCGTCATCCTCAGCGCTGATGTACTTGGCCAGCAGGTCGATGGGCTTGGCCCGCCCGTCCCGGATGCGGATCTTGGAACTGTGGGGAGCAGGGGAAGGTGGCATCAGAGCCTGGGCTGTGCCCTCCATGCTAAAGACCCTGCCCTTGGGGTGACCACACCAGTGGGAGCCGAGGAGGGGCCTGACCCGTTGGGGGTGGTCAGGGAAGGCTTCCTGGAGGAGGAGGAGGAGGAGGCATAAGGTAGAGTGAGCCGGGTCAGCCAAAGGGCGCAGGCCAGCAGTGCAGACAAAGTGCAAGCAGCGTGGACCCGGAGGTGGGCCAGGTGGGAGGGGCTTCCTGGAGGGCCTCTGGGATGTGCCCAGGATGGCGGCTTCTATGTGGGCTGTGATGGGGAAGAGTGGAGGAGCTGAAGCAGAGGCAGGCTGGGGGACCAGAGTAGTCACTGCCTTGCAACCACCTCCTCCCCCAGGCAGACCACTCGGGGCAGAGAGCCGGGTTTCTGTTCTGGGCCTGCAGGGGGGTACGCGTTGCAGGCGGGCCCTGGTCCAACCCAAGGGAACCCGTCACCAGGGAGGCCCGAGCTGGGAGGAGCCTGATGTCACCCGCCACGGGGCCCAAGGCAAGCAGGGACACCCCGGAGCCTCAGCTTGTCTGTAAACCAGGCGGATGGGGGTGCCACCCTCCTGGGTGGAGTGTGGGAGGGACAACTGCAGTCAGTGCAGGACTGGCGTCCAGCATGCGTGGGGTGCCGTTCACCTGGGCCCGTCTCCTCTGCACCCTGCCCAGCAGGGGAGGGCAGGAGACAGAAGCCTTGCCGCCCGGGAAGGGGTCAGGAAGGGAAGGTCCCAGGAAGTGCCGTGTGGGACCCTGAAGGGTGGGAGAGCAGTGGCTTCCAGAGTGACAGCCAGTGCCCGGCCCTGGCTCCAAGTCTGGGTCGGAGGGAGGGGGAGGCCCCAGCGCACCGCAGCTTGGCCTGCTGGAGGTGGAAGTTGTCCTCCTGCTCCTCCCATGTCTTGAAGTGCTCTGCCTCCTTCTCGCGCTGCAGCATCTCCAGCTCCTGCTCGCGCATGGCCTTCTCCCGCTCCCGCTCCAGCCGCAGCTGCTTCACCTGCAGGCACAGGAGGCTGAGGGCAGCGGGGACCGTGCGGTCTGCAGGGCTGCGGGGGGAGGGGCTGTGATGATGGGGGCCCAGCCTTCACCCAGCTGCCCTGGGCACAGGGATTGGTCCGGAGATGCCTGGGCTGGTGGACAGACCTTGGGAAGGGAGAGGGCCCTCCTGCCCGAGACTCAGCAGCTCAGATCAGCTGGGGCCCTCTCGGCCACCCTGAAGGGAGCATGTGGGAGTGAAGGCCCGAGGCCAGCAGAGCCGAGAGGTGGAGGGAAACAGTTTCCTGGGGCCATGGTCTGAGCCCCTGGATCCAGCCTTACCTGAAGCCAGCCCCCAGGACTTCCCACTTAAGCCCCTCAAGTCCTGCCAAAGGGGGCGGGCCTCCAGGCCCTGGAAAGGGAGGGCCCTGCCCAGTGGGCTGGCAGGGTGCCTACCTTCTGCAGCTCCAGCCGGTTGTCCTCCTGGATCCTCTTGTTCCGCTCCTTCAGCTCCTTCTCCTCCAGGTGGCTGATCCCCTTCTTCTCCAGGGCCTGGAAGCACCAGGCACACCTGCCCTGAGCACAGACCCGCCCCCTCGCCCCCCTCCTCAGCTCCTTCGTCCAAGAGATTGACCAGGGCCCTTGTTTTGCAGAGAGAGGTGACCTGCCAGCACTGCACGTCTTCCACCCCCTCCTTAACACTCCTGAAACCCAGTGCATCCAATTCAGTGCAGACATGGAGCCCCCACTGGGAGTGAGATGTATGCAAAGGGTAAGAAGGGGCTACCCCAACTCTCAACAGGAGGGCCTCACTCGGGGCCGCCCCAACTCCCAACAGGAGGGCCTTGCTCGGGGCCACCCCAGCCCCCAACAGAAGAGCCTTGCTCGGGGCCTGCTGACTCGCTTTACCCGGGAGTCTGAGTGCTTCGGACGTGAAGGCCACGCCCTCAGCAAGTCAGGGTCCCCCACTGCACGTGGGACAGGGCAGGAACAGTGAGTGGGGGCAGCAGCAGCTCTGAAAGCAAACCTGTGGGGTCATGGGGCCCCGCCCACACAGCGGGGCACAGGGGTGGCCACTGATGGGCTTGTCCCAGCCTGGAGACCCTCAAAGCTGGCTTCTTCCAGCAGCTGTCTGAGAGCCTGGCGCGGAGCCCCCACTTCCCGACCACCTTCCTCAGGCTCCCGGTGCCCCGTCGCCATGAGGGGGTTCCAGGAACCCCTGCCGCCCAGAACTTGCCTCCAGGGACACAGGCTGCCTGGCTGGGGACCACCCCCAGACACCCGGGCCACTCTGTGGTCTATCCAACCCAGCCTGGGGCCGCTTCCACAGGCGTCAACGATGACCACATCTTCCTCCTCCATGGCTGCCCGCCCAGAGCTCACGGTGGTGCCCAGCACACCGCAGGTGCACAGCACATGGTGGCGATGAAGTGCCAGGCAGCAGTGTGTGCCTCAATAAAGAACTCTGGGGGGTCTGGGGAGCAAGGGGCCAGGAAGGGGTCTCTCAAGAGGGGATGTGTCAGTTGAGGCCTGACGGAAGAGAACAGCCGGGGAAGGGGCAGAGCATGTCCAGGCAGGGGCGCGGCAGTGTGAGGGCCCCGAGGCGGAAGGAGCTCGTTGTGTTCTCAGACGACATCGGGCAGAAGCCACCTGGAGACCCCACAGCTCCCAACTGCGCAACCGGCGAGCAGGTGCAGTCGGCCCAGCCCACACGTTGCCTGCTCCACCCCCTCCACAAGTGGATGCTGCTTCAGATGAGCTGTGTCCCCCACAGGCACATCCCCGTCTGAACCCCTGCAGCTGTAATCATGACCCCATGTGAAATGAGGTCTTGGCCAGGTATGGTGGCTGACACCTGTAATCCCAGCATATTGGGAGGCCAAGGCGGGCAGATCACTTGAGGTCAGGAGTTCGAGACCAGCCTGACCAACATGGTTAAACTCTGTCTACTAAAAATACAAAAATTAGCTGAGTGTGGTGGCACCCGCCTGTAATTCCAGCTACTTGGGAGGCTGGGGCAGGGGAATCACTTGAACCCAGGAAGCGGAGGTTGCAGTGAGCCGAGATTGCGCCTTTGCATTCTAGTCTGGGCAACAGAGTGAGACTCCATCTCAAAAAAAAAAAAAAAAAAAAAGTGATGAGGTCTTGCAGACGTAGGTAAGATGAGGTCATCCTGGAGGTGGCGGGCCCTCATCCAATGCCTGGTGTCCTCATGGGAAGAGGAACATTTACACACAGACACACAGAGCAGAAGGCCGTATGGAGACAGAGACGGGAAGGCAGACCGCCACACAACACAGGAACAGGCCGGGTTCTGCGGCTGCAAGCCAGGGAGGGCCCAGGAATCACCGGCCATGACTGGAGCTGGGAGAGGCAGGAGGGGCCTCCCCTCGGCCCCCAGAGGGAGTGGGGTCCTGCCCACACCTGCCCACGCCTTGATTTTGGACTTCTGGACTCCAGAACGAAGAGATGATAAGTTCTGTTGTCTTATGCCACTGGTGTGACTGGTGGCTAAATGGCAGGCGCAGAACGAAAGAACCAGCTCAGACGACAGAGCGCCTGGAACTGTGGAACCCTGTCCTGGGTACATGATGCCAAGAGCTGGCTCTCTAGATAGGTTTCAGGTTGGGCTGGTGTTCGGGGCAAAGAATGGCTGAAGCTTACACCGCAAGAGACACAGTTAATGGCAAGAAAATGACGGTGGGCTGGGCGCAGTGGCTCATGCCTGTAATCCCAGAACTCTGGGAGGCCGAGGTGGGAAAATCACTTGAGCTTAGGAGTTCGAGACCAGCCTGGCCAACATAGTGAGACTCCATCTTTACAAAAAAATAAAAAATTAGCCGGGCATGGTGGTGGTGCCTGTAGTCCCAGCAAGTCAAAACGCTGAGGTAGGAGGATCGCTTGAGGCCAGGAGGTCAAGGCTGCAGTTAGCCACGATCACGCCACTGCACTCCAGCCTGGGTGACAGAGCGAGACCCTGAGTCAAAAAAGAAAGCTGGCCGGGCGTGGTGGCTCACGCCTGTAATCCCAGCACTTTGGGAGGCCAAGGCGGGTGGATCACAAGGTCAGGAGATCGAGACCATCCTGGCTAACATGGTGAAACCCTGTCTCTACTAAAAATACAAAAAATTAGCCGGGCGTGGTAGCGGGCGCCTGTAGCCCCAGCTACTCAGGAGGCTGAGGCAGGAGAATGGCATGAACCCGGGAGGTGGAGCTTGCAGTGAGCCGAGATCACACCACTTCACTCCAGCCTGGGCGACAGAGCGAGACCCTGTGTCAAAAAAGAAAGCTGATAGCGGCAGAAGCTTGCTTATGCGTGTGTGTGTAAAACCAACTCTTGCACGATCAAGGGCAGGCTGGGAGTGTCTCAAGTGTTGGGGTCTCCAGAAACAGTGGAAATGCTACAGGGACAGAGGCCACCACCCGGCGGGGCCCACCTTATTCCAGATGAAGGTGCCCAGCAGGTTGTTGTCTCCGAAGGGGTTGTCGGTGTTGGTGTAGCCCATGTACTCCTCACCCCAGCCCATCTTCTCCCGCTTCTTGCGCTCCTTGGCCTCCTTCTTGGCCAGCCGCCGTGCGCGCTTCTCCTCGGGCGTCTCGAAGGCCTTCATCAGCTCCTCCTGCTGCTTCCGCTCCTCCCGCAGCCGCAGCCGCTCCTGCAGGCTCTGCTGCTGGCTCAGGGCAGCCGCGGCCGCCCGGGGGCTCTGGGATCGCCCTGGAGACGCGGAGCTGGATGCTGAGGAGCTAGGAGACCACGAGCGTGCGCGCCGTCGCCGGCGAGCCCACTGGCCCCGTGACTGCTCCTCTCCTGAGTCCGACTGAGAGGACCCATCTCTTGAGTGCCACTTGGGCCGCGGGGGGCTCCGGCTTCGCATCCCTGAGCGCTGCCACCGCTCTTCCTCTGAATCTGACCTGCGGAGAGGACCATGGATGCCTGCTCAGTGCCTGCAGCTGTCATCTGCTCCACAGATGCTTACTGGGTGCCCGTGGGGGAGCAGGCACTGTTCTAGGTTCTGGGGACACAGCAGTGACCCAAATACCGATGGCTTCTGCCTTCCTGGGCTCACCCTCTGGTGGGCCCCAACAAGGAAGACATCAACAAATAAACACACCACGCAACACTAGGCAGAGGCAGAAGCCACAAAGAGTAGCAATGCCGAGCACAGGGGCTGGGGCTGCAGGGCCGAGGTCAGAGAGGGGCTCTCTCAGGAGCTGACACTGAGCCAAGGTCTGGAGGGAGTGGGGAGGCAGCGATGGGTGGATTCGGAGGGAGAGTGCTCGAGGCAGAGCAAGAGCGAGGGCCTAGAGGCAGGCACTGACCTGCCACATTCTAAGAACAACAAGGAGGCTGTATGGCTGAGACAGAGTGTGGGGGAGAGGGAGGAGGCGCGGGCAGGGAGGTGGCTGGGGCTGGTGGCGCAGGAATTATAAGGGTACGAACCAGGGGACCCGAACACATTTAGGCTGTCAAGGGAGGGCTTCCTAGATGGAAGTGGTATTTGAACTAGTCCCACAGGATGGACAGGAGTTAACAGAGTAGAGCGCAGGGAATGGAAGATGCACAACCTCAGGGGTGGTTCAGGGGCCTTTAATTTTATTTATTAGAGACAAGGTCTACTAGACACAGAGTCTACTAGAGACAAGGTCTATATTTTTATTTATTAGAGACAGAGTCTCCCTCTGTCACACAGGCTGGAGTGCATGATCAGAGCTCACTGCAGCCTTGACCTCCTGGGCTCAAGCCATCCTCTCGCCTCAGCCTCCTGAGTAGCGGGGACTACAGGCACACACCACCACGCCCAGGTAACTCTTTACATTTTTTTGTACAGAGGGGTCTTGCTATGTTGCCCAGGCTGGTCTTGAACTCCTGGGCTCAGGCAAGCCTCCTGTCTCAGCCTCCCAAAGTGTTGGGATTACAGATGTGAGCCACTGCGCTCAGTCACGTTTAGGGGTCTTTGTACACAGAGAACTGCCAAATATTTTGTTAAATGCTCTACCCATTAAGCTCATGTCAAAAAAATCTAAACTATGTTGAAACCAATCATTGCAGAGCCCTTAAATATTGGCCACAAGTTCAACTGAATTTTCGTGAACATTAATTCTAATTACATATCTAGAGTGGCAAATTATTGTGAATAATTCCAATACCAGAAAATGGTAGGCGAAAAAACACAAAGATGACATTAACAAGACTTATGGGCAGGCGCGGTGGCTCACGCCTGTAATCCCAGCACTTTGGGAGGCCGAGGCGGGCAGATCACTTGAGGCCAGGAGTTCAAGACCTGCCTGGCCAATATGGAGAAATCCCAGCTCTACGAAAAAATTCAAAAATTAGCTGGGTGTGGCAACAAGCACCTGTAACCCCAGCTACCGGGGAGGCTGAGGCTGAAGAATCGCTTGAACCCAGGAGGCAGAGGTAACAGCCGAGATCGTGCCACTGCACCCCAGCCTGGGCGACAGAGCAAGACTCCGTCTCAAAAACAAACAAACAAAAAAACCAACAACCGATGAGTGAACTTGGCCCAGAGCGGGGCAAGACTGGCCTGAGTGTCAGCCACGAAGGGGCTGAGCCAGCACTGGGGCCCCGGTCTGGGAATCAGTCCCTGTCCCCATTTTGGTTTCTCTGTACTGGAGCCGGCTCAAGGCAAATCCGACCAAGTGCCCCATCTCCAGAAGAAAAGGACCATGGGGAAGCTGAGATTCAGGCACTAGGAATCAGCTGTGAGTCCTGCCAGCTGACACCGAGTCTTTTTCCCTCCCACAGCCCACCTCCATTAGCAAATGTTGTCTCCTCTACTTCCAGAATCCCTCTGAAATCTACGCACTTTGCCCGCTGTGGTTGACTACAGCCTCCCTCCCATCGAGACTGCCATCATCTACTGTCTGGACAATTGTGCCGTCCTACTCTGATGCCGCTCCTGCCTACCCCGCTCCATCCCTTCTCCACCTCAAAGCCAGAAAGTATGCAGAGTTAAGTCAGTCCACGTCACTCCCCTACCCAAACTCCTCTCAAGACTCTCCATTTCCCTCCGACTAATAGCCAAGATCTAATGTGCTGAGCACACAGGGCTCGATATGATATGATCTGATCTCTCGTTACCTCCCCGCCGCCTCGCTCACCCGGCTCCGGGCTGTCCCTCCAACCGCCCGGTCCCCTGCCTGGAACGCCTCTCGCCTTCCTTCCGCTGCCAGGTTAATTCCAACCGGTGGTCAATTGTCCCCTTCTCTAGGAAGCCCTCCCCGAGTAAGTCGGGGGTTTCCCGGTTCCCCGGGATCTCCAACCCTCGGTCGGGCGCTCCTGAGGTAGGAGCCGGATCCCCAGCGCTGCTCCCGCAGCGACCCCACCTGCGCTCCCGGCTCCGCCGCCTCCGTCTGCGCCGTCCCTCGTCCTCCCGGCGCCGTCGGTTTCGCCGCCCATGGCTCCTGCTCCGACTTCGGCTCCCGCTCTGACTCTGCCGCCTTCGGCCCCGGCGACCCGCGGACCGCGAGCGCGAGCGTGTGTCCCGACCCATCGGCTGGGCCAGTGGCCGCGGCACCAACACCAATAGCCGAAGCCTGCGCTGGGGGCCTTCCTCGCCCACGGCGCTCTCCAGGCTGCCCCGTTTGCGCCTGAGCCGGGAAAGAGCAACCCATCCCGTCGCCCCAGCCCGCAAGGACTCCGACACCCCAGACTTTCCACTACGTCTGCAAATGTGGACCGCGTGATTGACTCCAGTGGGATTGTTGCCTCCAGGGTGGCGGAGTCTCCTTTCAGGCAGTGCTGGAGGCAGCCCTAGGCGGGTCCCCACGCCTCAGGGGGCCTGAGAAACTGTGGGCGGGGCAAGGGCAAACTAGGAACCTTGTGCAGGGAGGGGCCTGCCGAGGCGAGACCAATAAGAAGCGGGTCTAGGTCGGAAGTAGCGCTTCATTGGCGTGGCCAGGGGCGTGGCCGAGGAGAGGCGTGTCCGGGGAGCGAGGTCCCCGAAAGGCGAGGAACCGGGAAGGTGTTAGGTGCCAGGCAGCTCCAGAGGGCAGAGGGCGGGCGCGGGGACAGAAACTGAAAAGCCTTCTTATGAGAGTCATCGTTATGCTCCACCACCTGCCAATGAACACCTATGTATTTTGGGAGTTAAGCTTTAAAAAAAAACAAAAACTTTGATAACTCCCTGTATTCCCCCATCAACCCATTTTAGAGACGGGGAAACTGAGGCTCAGAGAGGGAAAGTCACTCTTAACACTTGCCTTCTCAACCCAGGCTGCCCAGCTTTGTGGTGTGGGTGCTGGGGACCCGTGGGAGGGTTGTGAGCAGGGTTTGGGGGACTTGCTGTTGAAACAAGTTTGGCGTGGGAGGACGGACTTCAGGGGCAAGGCTGGAGGCCAGAGACCTAGAAGACGCTGATGTCCCATCCTGAGCTCCCCTAGCCCATGGTGGCTGCTACCACCACCCCGTGCAGTTCTAACCACTCGGGGCTGGGAAGGCCTGTTTATGGAGGATGATAGTAATTTAAGCTAACTTTTAAAATATTTATCTTGGCCGGGCACGGTGGCTCACGCCTGTAACCCCAGCACTTTGAGAGGCCGAGGCGGGCGGATCACCTGAGGTCGGGAGTTCAAGACCAGCCTGGCCAATATGGTGAAACCCTATCTCTACTAAATAATACAAAAATTAGCCGGGTGTGGTGGCATGCACCTGTGATCCCAGCTACTTGGGAGGTTGAGGCAGGGAGAATTGCTTGAACCTGGGAGGCGGAGGTCGCAGTGAGCCGAGATCGTGCCACTGCGCTATGGCCTCGGCGATAGAGCAAGACTCCGTCTCAAAAAAAAAAAGAAAATTAAAATGTTTATCTTGAGTGGGGTGCAGTGGCTCATGCCTGTAATCCCAACACTTTGGGAGGCCGTGGCAGGTGGATCTTGAGGTCAGGAGTTCGAGACCAGCCTGTCCAACATGGCGAAACCCCGTCTCTACTAAAAATACAAAAATTAGCTGGGCATGGTGGCATGCTTGTAATTCCAGCTACTCGGGAGGCTGAGGCAGAAGAATCGCTTGAACCCAGGAGGCAGAGGTTCCTGTGAGTTGAGATCGCATCATTGCACTCCAACCTGGGCGACAGAGCAAGTCCCCGTCTCAAATAAATAAATAAATAAATAAATAAATAAATAAAACGTTTATCTTGGAATACAACTTCATAACATCCCCGTAAACGCTGGCTTTGTATGCTTTGCTTGGTGTTAAGGCAAGGATGGAACCTTACAGAGGAAGAAGAGACCATCTCCTGCCGCTCTAGATGATGACCTTGCCGGTCCTGAGATGTGGGTTGTCATGCTGATGGGATGGCCCAAAACAAAGCGAAGGCCTGACCCTGTGCTTCCCAAAATTCAGATGCATCCTTGCAGCACATTAAGAGATCACTTGCATGGGCCGGGCGCGGTGGCTCAGTCCTGTAATCCCAGCACTTTGAGAGGCCAAGGTGGGTGGATCACCTGAGTTCAGGAGTTCGAGACCAGCCTTGTCAACATGGTGAAACCCCACCTCTACTAAAAATACAAAATTTAGCCGGGTGTAGTGCCAGGCACCTGTAGTCCCAGCTACTCAGGAGGCCGAGGAAGAATTGCTTGAACCTGGGAGGCGGAGGTTGCAGTGAGCTGAGATCGTACCATTGCATTCCAGCCTGGGTGACAGAGCGAGACTCCATCTCAAAAAAAAAAAACAAAAAAACAAAAAACAAACTTAAAACAACGAGATCACCTCCATGTTCAGTTTATAAAACAGCTGTGCTGAAACGTTCCAACGGCTCCCTTACAGACAGGATCTTACTTTTTTTTTTTTTTTTTTTTTGAGACATTTTCTTGCTCTGTCGCCCAGGCTGGAGTGCAGGGGCATGATCTCAGCTCACTGCAAACTCTGCCTCCCAGGTTGGAGCAATTCTCTGGCCTCAGCCTCCCGAGTAGCTGGGATTACAGGTGTGAGCCATCACGCCTGGCCAGGATCTTGTTTTCAATGTAGTTTCTCAACCTGGGAGTCCAAGATAAATGTGTTCCCTTCAAGGGGTCCAAACGTGACTGAATTGGAACCGCTCTAGCAGAACAAATACAAACTTTGGGGGGCTGCAAAGATGTTGGAAACAATAAAATGTTTTCTGAGCTGAACTGGGACCTGAAGAAGGTTCACAGCTGGTAAGGTGTTTGGGTCCTATTACTGGTATCAGCATCAATCTCACAAAGGTTTCTCTCTTCTCTAAGATTCAAAGTCAGTCCTCAGGCCAGGCACGGTGGCTTACGCCTGTAATCTCAGCACTTTGGGATGAGGCGGGTGGGTCCTTTGAGGTCAGGAGTTTGAGACCAGCCTGGCCAATGTGGTGAAACCCCGTCTCTACTAAAAATACAAAAAAATTAGCCAGGTGTGGTGGCGGGCGCCTGTGGTCCCAGCTACTCGGGAGGCTGAGGCAGGAGAATGGCTTGAACCCGGGAGGCAGAGGTTGCAGTGAGCTGAGATCACTCCACTGCGCTCCAGCCTGGGCAACAGAACGAGACTCCATCTCAAAAAAAAAAAAAACAAAACACAGGCTGGGTGCGGTGGCTCACACCTGTAATCCCAGCACTTTGGGAGGCCGAGGTGGGCGGATCACGAGGTCAGGAGATCGAGACCATCCTGGCTAACATGGTGAAACCCTGCCTCTACTAAAAATAAAAAATTAGCTGGGCGTGGTGGCGGGCGCCTGTAGTCCCAGCTACTCAGGAGGCTGAGGCAGGAGAATGGTGTGAACCCAGGAGACGGAGCTTGCAGTGAGCTGAGATTGCGCCACTGCACTCCAGCCTGGGTGGAGAGCGAGACTCCATCTCTTAAAAAGAAAACAAACAAACAAACAAAAACAGAAAACAAAAAACACAGAACAAAGTCACTCCTCAGACTCCCAACCAGACCTCCGGAACCCACAGAAAGGCAAACAGGCGGATGCTTATTACCCGATTTATTAGAGAGATCTCTAAAAAGACGGGGTGTGGCGGGGGTAGGTGGGCGAGGAACCTGGGATGCAAACCAGTGTTTGGGGCCAGGAGTGGCTGTATGGTTTCAGAGGCGCCCACCACTCTGGGTTTGAGGGACACAGCACCCTCGTCTCGGCGCTTTGGATTGTCACGCACCAGACCACGGGGCGGAGGAATGGAGTGGCATCCCTGGGGGGAGTTAAGACACACGAGGTTTGCAGTTTCATTTTGTTTCAGAATCAGTTTGGCCATAAAAATGGGACTGGGTTGGGGACAGGCGGAGCGATTGAACCACCGGAGATGAGGAGGAGGTGGCAGGCGCCTCTCCTGGGGTGGGGACTGAGGGCTGTGGAGACAGTACCATGGTGAAGGACCCCATGGCAATGGGAGTATTGCACTGAGCCAGGTTTCGGGGGAACGGGGACGTGTCGGGATGGCGTAGGGGGACAGAGCCTGGCAGGAGACACATGGAAGTTTCCGCCTTGTCAGTCTCAGAGCAAACGCCTTTTAGTCTTTACAGTACAGGAATTTGGACACTGCCCACGTTCTCAGTGGACAGCAGCCATCAGAGGTGACCCAGGAGGGGAAGTGGGCATTGGTCACCAAGGTATTTACAGACTTCTATCATGGGGGACAGCGGGGTGGGTCCAGCAGCCTCCCTCGCGGGGGATCTGAGGGAGACCGAGTTCGCTAAATATTATAAATAGGTCTTGCCGTCCTCCTGCCCCCGCCCCTCGGCACAGTCAGTGGAGCACGTCAGCCTCGGTTTACAGTTCTCTGAAAAGGAACCAAAAAACACAACCAACACCAAGTATATCTCCAAAAGGGCCTTGGAGACAACACAAGAATGGAAATGAAATGGTATCCACAGAGGTTTGCACATTTCTCCTGCAAAGGCGCGTCGGCCGGGCACTGGTGTCCCGTGTCACTCAGCGGAGGGAGGCTGCCCTGGACGCGGTGCCGCCCGCCCGGGGCCACACCTGCTGCTCCGAGTCACCCCACAGGCTCTTGGCGTCTCTGGTGCCAGGGCTCTGGGCAGGGCGACTCGAGGACTCCCTGGGAGGACTGGTGTGGCCTCTGGGGGTTGGGCCTTTGAGATGACAATGCCCCTGTCCCTGCTGGCCATCCAGGTCCCAGACACCCCTTCTGACCTCTGCCCCTGCCTCCCCGGGGGGTGCCTGCTGGGTGTCCTTCGGAGGGACAGGGCGGGGGCTGATGGGTGGATGCCCGGTGCCAGCAGATGAGCACCAGGCTGTGAACTGAGGCCAAGGTCGCTTCCCAGGGCTGGACAGACCCTCTGAGCACGCAGGGAGGACCCCACGTGGGCTTGTCCTGATGGATGCTGGGAGCCACGCGGCTGGCCGGTTCCCGAGGAGGGTCGGCCCCTCTCCTGGGCAGAGTGGAGGGGCTGCTCTCGTGGAGTGTGTGTCCTCGCTGGGGACCTCGGGGATGGGTCCGGCTTCTCCACAGCAGGGGCCTTCCGGGCGCAGCGTGTGGGCTGTGCAGGAGGCCGACGGGACGTGAACAGCGGGTGGCGTGGCGTCATACGGAGGTTGTAACAGACAAAACACAGAGCCCTGCCTGGGAGGTTCTCCGGCCGTCTCAGACCCCACACCAGGCTCTGCCAGGTCTGGAGAGGAATTCTTCCCAAAGGTGCAGCTTCCACTCCAGCTCCTCACATCCTGGGCACATCTTGGAAGTGGGGGATTCCCACAGCCATCACCAATAAGCCCCTCTCAGGGGTCCTGGGGAAGGGCAGGGTGGGTGACTCTGCCGAGCTCTGGCCTCCAACCAGCACCCTCTGAGCGCAGCGGGCCCAGGAAGCTGCCCCAGGGCAGTCTGGGCTGAGTCCCACCACTGGGAGCGCTGCCCTCTTGGAGGGTGATGAGTCGGAAACAAAGTCTTCTCTCCCCTCCTCGGAGACATCACATCACTTAAACAAGAAAGAGGCGGCGGACATCCACACCAGTCCTGAAGGAGACTCCTGTGGAGCCGGGCCTGGCCCCCTAGGCCATGTCTCCACGTGGAGGGGGCGGGGAGCCTGACCTTCCGCCCTGAGCTGGTCTCCTGTGGCCCAAGGCCCGGCCTCCCGCTCTGTCCTGCCATGGAGAAAACGTCTCCGTTGCCTGGGCCCTCCATGCCAGTTGCTGAGTGGCCTACGTTGGAAGAGAAGGACAAGTCCCCAGCCCTGAGCTCCGCCAGCGTGGGTGGCAGCCTGGGGAAGAGGAGGCCTGGCCCTCCAGCTGTGGTGGGTCTGGATTGGAGGCGCCAGAGGTTTTTGCTCGAGGGGCACCTGGGAGGTGGGCGTCAGGGCCCCACTGCGGCGGGAACATAGCTGCTGAGTGGCCGCAGTGCTTGGCAGGGCGAGGGCTGTCCCCACAGTCGATGTTCAGGCCAGATGTCCTGCACTGAGGCCCCCAAACCCAAGCTGAGGGCAGGAGGGTCCGCTTCCCACGTGGATGGAGGCAGAGTTGCTCGGGACCCCAGCCGTCCCCTCTGCAGGCCGATGGGGCCCCCGGGGCTCAGGTCCCCAGAGGCCACCGCGAACAGCCTGGCTTCTTCCTCAGGACACAGGCAGGCACAGCAGAGAACCAAAGAGTGCAGTGGGCAGGGGCTCTTCTCCCTCTGGTTGGTTTGTTTGTGTCTTTTTTGTTCTTTTCCTAAAACGGCACACACGTGCTTCCGTCTCTGTGCCAAATAAGGACTCAAATGCGATTGGCCGCTCGGGAGGGTGGGTCTCACAGGGGCAGGCTGCCGACCGGGGTGCCGGGGCCCTGGGAGGCTTGTCGGGGAGGGGCCCGGCCGTCGGCATCCGTGCAGGGGGAGGACGAGGTCCGGTGGGGCGGCGAGGCGGGCATCTCCCGAGCTCTGGGCCTCAGCGGGGTGGGCAGCGCCTTCGGGGGCAGCCGGAGCAGAAGTGGAGCTCGGCTCTGGGTCGGGGGCTGCATAGAAATTACTGCAAGAGCAAGAGGACAGGTGAAGGTGGGCGGGGCGAGGGCCCACCCCAGGCCCCCTGCCAGGGACTGGCTTCCTTGGGCCAACACAGGCCCTGAGACACTTAGCCCACGGCCACCTCAGAGCCAGAGAGCCCAGGGTGGAGCTCTGGGCCACCTGTGCCCTCCCGCCCCGGGCCTCAGTCCCTGCCTATCCCAGTAGCTGGGGACCACGCTCAGTAGAACCTTGGAGCCCACGGGACCGGCGGGTGCACCTGGGCTGCACTTACTGTGTCGCTCTCGCCGTCGGAGGCCGGGGGGGCCTGGGCGCTATAGTGGAGCGGGGAGTACACCCAGCTCCTCTCATCGGTGGGCTGGCAGGTGGGCGCGCGTGCAGGAGGGCGCGGAAGAGCAGGGTGCGAGGAGGTGCAAGAGAGGCAGAGGGAGGAAGGAAGAGACAGGAGAACATAAAAGAGGCGAATCCCCCATGGAAGACGAGGGGTGGCTCAGCCCAGCTGCCCTCTCTGACCCGGTGGACTTGCTCCCAACCTGGACGGGCCTGGGGCCTCAGCTCAGCTTGGCGGGGCGGGGCACGGCGGGCGGCAGAAAGCAGTTAGTTCAGTCGAGGCAGGGCCTGAGATAGCAGGTGACAGAGCCGGCGGAAGCGGGTGGGGGTCGCGACCTGGAGCACCGAGTGTTCCTCCTCCTCCTCCTCCTCCACAGCCCGGCCCCACCACAGCCCCCAATCCTGCCTGTGCCACGGGCACCAGCGCACAGGCTCCTGGAAGCTCTCTATGGGGGTCCTGGGAGGTCGGGGTGCCGGACCTACTTCCCAACCCAGAAGCCTTTTGGGACCTGAATATATGGCTGCCTGCGGGCAGGGCCAGTCCCCTCTGCCAGCACAGACGTGCTAGGAGAGACTGAGGCTCGGACCACCCACCCTGCAAGAGCCAGGAGACGCCTTCCTGAGCAGCAGGGCAGAGTGAGGGCCAAGTTCAGGGCTAGGCACAGGCAGGGCCGTGTGCAGGGACACGGACAGCTCTTCCCAGCTGTGCCTGCGTGAGGGGTCCCAGGTCTGGGTGGGATCTGGGGAGGGAGGGAGGGTGCGTTCCTCCAACACCTCCGTCCCGCCTCCTGAGGAGCCCCCACCCCCTCAAGCTCCCCCTGCTTCTCCTGCCCCTAGGCTGCTCTGCTTTCTCAGGGCTCCAGCCTGGCCGCCCTGTCTTCCTTGTTGTGTCCTCCTCTCTCTCGGGCCTCTGTCACCAACCCAGCCTTCAACGCCCCTCCCGGCACAGATGACCTGCGAATTTCCACCAGGCCTGGCCTCGGCCTGAAGTGCCAGGCCTGAATACACACCTGCCTGGCCACGTCCACCTGGCGGCCCTCGGCCCCTAAACTCGCCACAGTCACAACCCAGTCCATCACCCCAAGACCCACTGCTCGTCCTTCCAGTCAGGATGACGCTGCCCACCTGCTGCCCAGGCCAACCCATGCCTCTGCCAGCTCCCAGTTGCCCAGCCTGGGCCAGCAGGGGCCTCCCTTGTGCTCCAGGTGAGCCCAGACCTCACCTGCAGGAGCACTGCCTCTCCCTGCCTCGGGCTCTGCCTCCATGCTCCCTCTAAAGGGCCCACCTCTGTGCTCACTCCACCCTGCCCGATCCTACAGCTTCCACAAGACCCCTGTTCCCGGGCCCTGGGCACCGAGGGCAGCGCACTCCTGCCCTGCGAGGCCGCATCGCGGAGGACTGACTCCTGCACTGAGGGGCCAGGACCCCAGCGCAGGCCTTGCCTGTTCCTCCAGGGTAGCAAATGCAGCCTGGAATCCCTGACGTGGGAATGGCAGGTCAGGTCCACCCAACGTCCCTTGAGAGCCCGGCATGGGGAGCCTATGTGGGTGCTCAGTACTGATTTGGTGGCTGCACTGATGGATCCCATGGGGACTTGAAAATGTGGGGCCAAAACAGGGTCCCCACCTGAGCCCTGAAAGAACTGGCCCGCAGGGAGGAGGGTGGCAGCAGCCACCTCAGAGCCGCTCTCTGGGAGGGGCATCCCGGGCACACACAGCACGTGGGCAGGGATGACAGTATCCTTCTGCTACAGCATTAGAAACGGGGATACAGGCCAGGTGCAGGAGCTCACGCCTGTCATCCCAGCACTTTGGGAGGCCAAGGCAGGTGGATCACTTGAGGTCAGGAGTTCAAGACCAGCCTGGCCAATATGGCGAAACCCTATCTCTACTAAAAATACAAAGATTAAGGCCGGGCGTGGTGGCTCACGCCTGTAATCCCAGAACTTTGGGAGGCCGAGGTGGGCAGATACCTGAGGTCAGGAGTTCGAGACCAGCCTGGCCAACATGGTAAAACCCCATCTCTTACTAAAAATACAAAAAATTATTGGGGCATGGTGGCAGGAGCCTGTAATCCCAGCAACTCGGGAGGCTGAGGCAGAAGAATCGCTTGAACCCAGGCCAGAGGTTGCAGTGAGCTGAAATTGAGCCACTGCATTCCAGCCTGGGTGACAGAGTGAGACTCCATCTCAAAAAAAACAAACAAGGCTGGGCGCGGTGGCTTACGCCTGTAATCCCAGCACTTTGGGAGGCTGAGGCGGGCAGATCACGAGGTCAGGAGATTGAGACCATCCTGGTGAACACGGTGAAACCTCGTCTCTACTAAAAATACAAAAAAATTAGCCAGGCATGATGGCGGGCGCCTGTAGTCCCAGCTACTCGGGAGGCTGAGGCAGGAGAATGGCGTGAACCCGGGAGGCGGAACTTGCAGCGAGCCGAGATTGTGCCACTGCACTCCAGCCTGGGCGACAGAACGAGACTCTGTCTCAAAAAACAAACAAACAAAAAACTCAAAATTAGCCAGGCATGGTGGCAGGCGCCTGTAATCTCAGCTACTCAGGAGGCTGAGGCAGGATAATTGCTTGTACCTGGGGGGTGGAGGTTGCAGTGAGCTGAGATCATGCCATTGCACTCCAGCCTGGGCGACAGAGCAAGACTCCGTCTCAAAAAATGAAAAAAAAGAAAGGGCAGGACAGGTGGCTTCCTTGTCCTGCAGGAGTTGGGGGGACAGAGAGGGACACCCTCAGCCAGCAGCTGGGCAGACAGGGGAAGTGGGGGGCAGTAGCAGCTGGGACCCAGAACCGGGTGACCCCAGGAAGACCAGAACCAAGGGCACAGCCTCTTCAGCACTCAGGCCTTGGGGTGCTTTCAATGGCTGCCCTGCCTCCCTTCTGGCCCCCACACTTCCGCTTCTGCTGTGCCTGCTGCCGAGACCACCCTCCCCACGTCTGCCCCTTCAAGTCAGGTGTTTTTCAAAGTCCAAGCACCCCCCTCCGTAGGCGGCCTCTGCGAACTGCTCCCTGCCTATGGTGGGGTGGCCAGCAGGGCCGCTGGGTCTCTCCAGTGCTCCTCCTCCCAGCAGGCCCCTCTGGGCAGCTCCTGGACGATCTCCGGGGCACGGCTTCGCGGTGGCTGGCTTCCCGCTGGCTCCGTGGGACGGAGCTGCCTAGAGCAGCCGGGGAAGTGGTCTCCACCTCTTGGGGTCACTCCACAGTGCCTGGCACACAGAGGTGCTCGGAGAGGTTTGCTGATGGGCGGGGAGTCACGGCGGCCTCGGCGGAGGCTTTGTCTCGAGGGGACACTCCTGCTTTGGGTCTGCGCCCCGTTCTGGCTGTGCGGTGCTGGGCAGGTCTCTTAGGCTCTCTGGGCCCCTTGCTTATTGGTCATAATGACAACAGCAGGCCCTGAGGATCTCACAGCTACGTGGGGCCCATGTGGCGTCCCAGGGGGACCTCCTTGAGAGCTTGGGGATCTGGATTTTGACTAAACCGTGTGGTCTCCCAGGCTCCCAGGGGAGCCGAGGCCTCAGCGCCTCCATCTGTGAGGTGGGTGTGGAGAGACCATCTCCTCCCCGTCTCCATGGCCCTGCGGTTCAGAGCCCGGCCCTGCAGCCACTCTGCTGACCTGTGCAACCTCCCCTGTGCAGCCAGCGGGGCCACGGGCAGCCAGGTCTGCACGAGTGAGAAGCGTCCACCCAAGACACCCTGACACGAGAGGGCTGGGTCCAGGGGCAGAGAGGGGCTCGCTGGGGTCTGGCCGGGGTCCGAAGCAGACCCTGGGCCTCAGCTGTGCACCTGGTGATGGTGCTGCCCTATGGAGCGCCCGGTTCGACGTGGGACCGAATGACATTCCCAGTGACGCATGCAGCCCAGCGCCTGGTCCGGGGCCAGCGTGGCTGACCTCAATTGCAGCCGTGATTTACCCAAAGCCCTTCTGGAAAACAACTGACGTCAGACACTGAGCTTCCGGCCGGGGACCTGCGGCTCCCTGCTGCCCGAGGGGCACTGCCCCTTCTCCCCAGGGTGGCCGGCTGCGGTCACTTACAGTCCCCGAGGCGCTCAGCGTCACGGCCCGCAGTCGGCGATGGCGGGGAGAGTAAATCCAGTACCTCCCATCCGTGAACTGGACGGGGCGGGCCGGGTGGGCCGGAGGAGGAAGGAAAACAGAGGACAGCGGATGAGGCGGCCACCCCCGTGGTCGGGTGGGAGAGGCGGAGGGAGGTGGCGGGGAGCAGGTGGGGACAGCTGACTGCCAAGCAGAAGGTGGGGGGTGCCGGGGCAGGGGCAGGACCGAGGACCCTTCTCCCTTCTCTGCTGCCCACCTGGCAGGGCATCAGGACACAGACACACAGCACGACATGGCCCCCAGGCCCCCCGTACCATCCGGAGACCAGGACGCGCACAAACCAGTCCCAGGAAAAGGGGTGACGACGTGCGGTGGGTAGGGGCACAGGCACGCGGCCCGTCCCTCCCTTCTCCAGGGCCAGGTGGGTGCATGGGGACCCCAGAGGCGCCACTGGAGACAGAGCAGGGGAGTTAGTTATGAAGCAGCGAGGAGGTGCCCCCACAACAGGCCCTAAGGCCTGGTGCCCGTGCCCAGCCCTCCTTCCCAGGGGGTGCAGGGTGAGAACAAACCATCTGGGAAGTGGGCTGCAGCCTCCGGCCCTCCCTGTGACCTGGGGCTGCCTGATCTGAGTGGGACCACTGGGGAGTGGAGACGCTGCCTGGACATTCCAGGCCTCGCTGGCCGCCCGGCAGCCACCTCACCCAGACCCTGGCAAGGGAGAGCAGGGATCCCAGGTCCCCAGGGCCGGGCAGACCCTGCCCTGCCCAGTAGCAGCCACGAGTCCCCAGCCCACGGCGTGGGAGCGTGAAGCCCTCCTGCCACTGCCCGGTCCCCCGGCCCTCCTCAAGGATAAGCCCACCTGGCCACGCCCACGGCAACAGGGAGAAGGTCCTGCCGCCACAGCCCTGTCTGGACGTCTAGGCTGTCAAGGACACAGGACCTCAGCCTGTGCCAGGGCCTCCCGAGGGGCCAAGAGTCTGAGGACTCCGGACGACTTCCAGGGAGACGGGTGGCACAGAAGGTGCCGTGGGCACAAGGCCGGGGAAGGGGACAGGGGTGGCTCTGGGGCCTCAGAAAGGCCTGGTTTGGAGGAGCTTCCCACCCCATGGGGTTAGACCAGGAAGAGAAGGTGGGTGTGAACGTGGCTGGTGGGTGCGTGTGGGCGTGTCGTGAGAGTGCTGGCTGGTGAGAGAGCATGTGGGTGGGTCGACAGGGCACACTCACGTGCCTGTGTGCAGGTGTGTGTATGCGGTGTGCACACGGTGGAGCGTGTGTGAGAGAGAGTCCGGTTGACGAGCCGGCGGCAGGAGGAGCCCGGGGCACTTACAAAGTAGATGTCGGTGGCGGGCGCGTCCTCCTCGTCCGAGGCCTGGCTGGCAGGTGCGCCCTCCTCGTCTGAGGCCTGGCTGGCAGTTTCTACTTCAACAGCAGCAGAGGCACCGGCCGGGGAAGCCTCCACCCTGGGGACAGGAGTAGACAGAGGGTCTTGACCCTCAGGCCCCACACGGAGACTCCCCGCGCCCCCACTCAGGACCCAGGCAGGGGCTTCATACGGTCATCACGGAGATGAAAAGCCAGGCAGCTGACCACAGGCCGCGCGCTCCTGCGCTGCCATTTATCGCAAATCAGAACAAACCTCCCCAAGAAGCCCCTCATGCTGGCCCCAGGAGTGACCTGGAGTGACCCGCCAGCCCGCTGACAGCTCGGCCCTGCCACTCCCAGCTCAGACACACACACCTGTGGGCACGTGCTGGCCTCACCCTCACCGGCTGTGCCACCCTGGGAGGGCCTGTTCCTCCTCTGAGCCTCAGTTTCCTCATCTGTCAAGTGGGGAGAGATGGCACCTAGCCGCTGGGATCAGAGCTTCTTCCTTCTTTCATTGATTTGTTTTTTCAGACAGGCCCTGGCTCCATCAGCCAGGCTGGCGTGCAGTGCTGTCATCACGGCTCACTACAGCCTCCACCGCCCGGGCTCAAGCGATCCTCCAACCTTGGCCTCCCAAGTAGCTGAGACTATAGGTGTGCACTGCTACACCCAACTAATTTTTTTTTTTTTTTTAGAGATGGGGTCTCACTATGTTGCCCAGGCTGGTCTCCAACTCATGGGGTCAAGCGATCCTCCTGCCTCAGCCTCCTTTAGGAGGGATCACAGACGGAAGCCTCCGAGCCCAGCCTCTTTGTTCTTTTCACTGAGCACTTACTACATGCCAGGGCTGGCTCCCGTGATTAACCCACTGAGTCTATCATGGGGGATGGAGAGGGTGCGGCTACTGCCCCTGTGTTGCATTTGCGGAAACGGAGGCACGGAGAGGAGGTGAGGAACGGCCTTGGCCTTGGCTATGGCCACACGGTGCATCGTGTTCATCCCAGGAATGAGGCTAAACATGCCCTCCTGCCATGTCGGAGGTACAGTTCCTTTCAGCAAAACCTGAAATTTCACGGTGCAAGGTTTGGCAATGGCAAAGAGTTGACAGTGGCAGGAGCACTGGGTGGAAGATAAACCCCCAGGGCTTTAGTTTTGGGTCTACGCTGCTGTGAGCGCTAAAAAAGCTCTCTTGGAACAAAAATACAAAAGCATCTCAGGCAAAAATCATTACAAAGGCAAGAAGAATTTGGTAACAGTGCAAGCATGGGATTATACACACCAGACAGATGACAGAAAAGTAAAAACATACAGGGGCCGCCACGGGGCTCACGCCTGTCATCCTAGCACTGTGGGAGGCCGAGGCGGGAGGATCACCTGAGGTCAGGAGTTCGAGACCAGCCTGGTCAACATGGTGAAACCCCATCTCTACTAAAAATACAAAAAAATTAGCCGGGCGTGGTGGTGCATGCCTGTAATCCCAGCTACTCGGGAGGCTGAGGCAAGAGAATCACTTGAACCCAGGAGGTGGAGGTTGCAGTGAGCCGAAATCGTGCCACTGCACTCCAGCCTGGGCAACAGAGCGAGATTCTGTCTCAAAGAAAATAATAATAACAGCAGCTGACACCATATCCCCAAAAGGGCCAGAACTATTGTGTCCTGTGTTTTTTAAAAAAACAGATATTTCTTTTAAGCCTTTTTCTTCAATACAAAAATCAATAAAATTAATCCCAGTACTTTGGGAGGCCAAGGTGGGCAGATCACTCGAGGTCAGTTTTTTTTTTTTTAGGTGGAGTCTTGCTCTGTCGCTTAGGATGGAGTGCAGTGGTGCGATCTCAGCTCACTGCAAACTCTGCCTCCCGGGTTCACGCCATTCTCCTGCCTCAGCCTCCTAAGTAGCTGGGCCGACAGGTGTCCACCACCACGCCCGGCTAATTTTTGCTATTTTTTAGTAGAGATGGGGTTTCACCATGTTAGCCAGGATGGTCTCGATCTCCTGACCTCGTGATCCGCCTGCCTCAGCCTCCCAAAGTGCTGGGATTACAGGCATGAGCCACCGTGCCTGGCCAAGGTCAGGAGTTTGAGACCAAGCCTGCCCAGCTGGCTGATGGGAGAAACCCTGTCTTTACTGAAAACACACACAAAAATTAGCCATGCGTGGTGGTGGGTGCCTGTAGTCCCAGCTACTCAGGAGGCTGAGGCAGGAGAATCACTTGAACCTGGGAGACGGAGGCTGCAGTGAGCCAAGATTGAGCCACTGCTCTCCAGCCTGGGCAAGAGAGCAATATCCTGTCTCACAAAAAAAATTTAAAAAATTAAAAATAAAATAAAATTAAATTAATAAATACTAAAAAGGTTAAAAAAAAATTAGTTAAATACTTGGAAGTTCAGAGATGCTCTTACACAACCCTTAGCCCAGGGTCTCTTGCCTGGGCCCTGTGGACACTGGAACCAGGTCCTTCTCTGGGGTGGGGCCATCCCGGGCACTGCAGGCTGATGCTGAGCAGCGTCCCTGGCCTCCACCCACTCCATGCCAGGAGCACCCCCCAGTTCTAACAGTCACAAATGTCCCCAGGCATCGCCCAGTGTCCCCTGGGGGCTAGGATCACCCCGGCTAGTCGAGAACCACTCCCTTCAATCAAAAAATAAACTTATGGGAAAATCCACCATCTGTGAATACAACCTAGTAAGAAAGAACTGCTTCATGATGAAACCTCGGGGTGCTCTTGGCTCCTCTGGGCCCGCAGCAGGTGGGCGCCCCGACCTCCCGCCGAGGCCGTGCTCACCCTGCGTCCTCCTCTTTGGGGACCACAATCTCCACGCTGCACGCAGGCTCCACCTGCACTGTAATCTGCTGCAGATCCTCTTCCGCGGGTGGCTCCTCCTGCGGCCTGCAGGCAATGGGAGGTTGTGCCTCGGTTTCCCTCCTCACTTCCCCCATCCTACCCCCAGGAGTGCCCAGTGAACTCCAGGGCCAGTCCCAGAGGGGAGTTGGGAGCCTCCTGATTGGGTCTGTTCTTTCTGGCTGTCACTCCCAGCCCGGGGACTGTCCACCTGGGTCCCTTGGTGACTGTGGTGCCAGCAGGGCCTGGGGTGTAGCGGGCTCTGGGGGCATATGAGCAAATGGCAGCCCCGACCGGTGTGGGTGCCACAGACCCTGCCCACCCTCCAGGCAGTGCCTGCACCTGGCAGCCGAGGCCCTGACACAAGTGACTCAGTGTCCCGGCCGCCGGGCCTGGCCATGTAACATGTCTCTCCAAATGGCACGCTAGACTGCAGGGAGGGTCACATCCCACCCAGGGCACCAAGGGGTTTCTTTCACCAGGCGGCAGCGATTAAAACACGGTTAAGAAAAGCAACACCGCGCCACTGCCCCAGTGTTCACAAGAGTGAGACCCCAGGGACCTCGCAAATGTCCCCGAGGGCTGGGCACTTAAAGCCAGGTGCAGTCCATGGGATGGAAGGACGGCACGCAGGCGTGACAGGAACGGCGCGCACCCACCCCTGAGATCCCCGTCAGTCGAGTGACAACAGCAAGGTGTGGGCGGCGTGCACGGGTGTGCCCATTTGTGTCAAAATAAAAGGGAACCACAAGCCTGGTGCACGTCTGCTGTGTTCCCAGAAAGTATCTTCCAAGAGACAAAACCCACAGTCCCAGTGGTTGCTCCTGGGGAGGGGACAGGCCGTGGGCAGGAGGGGGCGCATTTCACGATATTCCCTCTTGTATCTTGTTTTAAGTTAAAAAAAAAACTTAATAGAAGAAGAAATAAGGAAGGATCCACAGACCAGAGCTGCCCTGGCTCTGGCTGTAAGAAAAACAAAGTGGCTGGAAGATTGTGTGCGGTGCTAGGGCCGAGTGCTACAATCTTAAATCTGTCCCCAGGAGAGAATGGGCAGAGAGCAGAGGGGCTGGGGGGCGGGAAACGGAGCTGGGAGCTGTGCAGGAGGAGCTGGTGAGACCCAGGGAAGGAAGGGGGTTGGGTCTCACCTGCCATCCTGTCCAGACGACTGTGTGCGCCGCCTGCAGAGATACAGCAAACACGTGACACCCAGAAAGAGAGTGGCCCGCCTGCTCAGTCTACCTGCCTTGCCTACCCGCCTGCCTACCTGCCCCCTGGCAGCCCTGCCCACCTGTACATATGCTCCTCCCTCCCACACATTGGATGCTCCGCCCCCGCGCACCCACATGCAGTGTATGTACATCCACCGTACATACGATGCTCCACCCACATGCACAGCGGATGCCCCGCCCACATGCAGTGAATGCCCCGCCCCCACGCACAGCGGATGCCCCGCCCACATGCACTGCGGATGCCTCGCCCACCTGTACCGCGGCTGCTCCGACGTCTCCGAGGGGGACCGCTCAGGAATGGAGAGGGATGTGGATGACAGAGTCGTGGCAATGGAGGCTGTAGTGGCTTCTTCGAAAGAAGGTGGCGTGCAGGGCAGGAGGTCGGGCCGGCCTGAGGGGAGAGGACTGTGGGCACCTTGCGGAGCCTCCGAGCCCCCAAACACACAGTCGATTCTCCCTGAGGCTTGGCTCACCCTGGGAACCCACAGCCCAGTGCCCGCCCGCCTCCCAGACACTCCCACCTCCCCACACGGCAGGGAAGGACGACGTTCCCCCTCACACAAAGGCTTCTGACCGCTCTCAAAATAGAATCCAGACAGCCCAGAGGGCCCTGTGCAGCCTGGCCCCGTCCCCTCTCCACTCTCCCTCCCCGCTGTCTTCCCCTCCACTGCTCTCTTCCCCTCCCCACCCCCCCTCCCTTCCCCTCCGCGCTGCTTGGCCACACGGGCTCCTTGCTGTTCCCTCAGCAGGTGTGGTCCTGCCCCAGGGCCCTTGCATGGCTATGTCCCTTCCTTCATTCCCTAGCCTGGGGGCTGCATGCCTTCGATGGCATCCTGGTGCACCTCAGATGACAGTGGCCGTGAGAGAAGGCGGGAGCTGTCACCACCCCACCTGGTGGAGCCTTCTATACTCAGCTCCCCCTGGGCTCTTCCCTGGGGCGGTCCCAGCAGCCCCCACTCCCTGGGCAGGCGGCCCTGCAGATCCGGAGGGGGTGGCTGAGCGATGGGCACTCAGGATGAGGCGGCACCCCACCCACGGGGCTGCTGCTGGCACCCCCTGTAGCGCCCACAAGCGCACTCTGCCCTCTGCCCCTCACCTTCGTCCTCCAGCGTGGGGTAGCTGCGGGCCCCCCGCAGGTCGTACTGGGCCTCCTCCCGCTCGCTAGGGATCTGGCTGGCCGAGAAGGCAGCGGTGGGCCCCAGCGGTTTCACAGCTAGCAAGGCTCCGCCGCGCCCCTTCTTGGAGGGCGAGGACTTCAGGGCTGCAGGGAAGGGTGGGGGTTGGTGCTTGGGGTTGCTGGGGGCTCATAGCAAAGCCCAGACAGGGCCGCCGCCCACATATACCCCACGTCCCTGTGGCCCACCAGACCCCTACCGGTCCCTGAGGCCAGGAAGCACCACAACCTCTTGGTGGAAAACCGGGGTCTGCCTGGGGAGGGACTGCGAGCCCGAGTTCCCTGTCCTGCCCACCCGACTGTCTCTATGAGACACACTGGGACCTGGCACAGTGCCTGCCCCTCCTGGGATCCTGCAGACCAGTGACTCCCATCTAATGAGCTGGCCAGGGATGCCTGCAGGCTTCAACCCCTTCTATGTGCGGCCCAGCCCGGGCAGGGCCCCCACTTTCAGATGGACACTGACAGCCTTGGGGAGCACCAGGTGTTGTGGTTAGAGAAGCCTGTGGCTCAGCATGTAGGGCCTGAGCGCAGATCCAGGCTCACCCGCTGGCTGTGCGGCTCGGTCTCTCTGGGCCCTGGGGGCCGACCTTAGCGGTGGGGTGAGGTGGGGCAGGTGATGTCCCGCACAGGGCCAGGCCTGTCCTCAGTGCTGTGTGAGCTCTGCCTCCTCACCAAGCTCTTGTGACCTCTGCCCCCAGAATGACCCACACAGCTCCTGGTAAACAGTAGGTGCTCAGTTTGCCTTGTGCAGCTTCCTACAATCACCAAAGGCTGGCAAACAGCCCTGGATGACGGAATGATCCTGTGGCATCGGTCCCAGAGAGTGGGGTGTGGGGACAGGCTCAACGGCTGGCTCTCTGGAGACAGATCCTGACACGTGGTGTCTGCCAATTCCCACGGTGTTGATGAGAGGGGGTCCCTGACCTCGAGGCCGTGAGCAAGTGTGCAGGCCGGGAAGAGCAGCCTGCCTGCAAGCGCTGGGCACTGGCGTGCCTGTCCCTGCCACCTCCCTGCAACCCCCGTGGGTGCGGACCCGCAGATCATTCATGCCCCCCACCAGACACTTCCCAAGCATCTCTGTGGGCCAGGCCTGTGCAGGATGCTGGGGAGCCCGGGAGCCTTCTGGTGGGGAGGGTGGCTGAGAAACAGACCCCAGGGGGGAATCCATCTGGCAGCAGGTTGGCCACGGGCTGAGGTCTGCACAGGGGCCTGGAACCCAGAGTCTGCGTCCAGATGCTACAGTGGCCCATGAGGGGAAGCTGAGCCCTGAGAGATGGGGACCTCCCCCGGGCACCCTGTGGGTGAATCCCGAGTCCCCACCTTCCCCACCACTGTTTGCCCTGGGACCTTCCCGACCATGCCCTGCTGGGCTAGCCTCCTGCGTTCCCCTGCCCGGGGTGCGTTTCCTTGGCGATGGTGATGCTGTGGGCAGCCCCACACACTGTGAGCTATCTGCTGAGTCAGGCCCACCCATCCCATATATAAACACTGTACCCTCACAGTGCTGTGCCAATGGGGAAACCAAGGCACAGAGGCAGGTGCCTGCTCAAGGCCACATGGGCAGGACGAGGCCAGGCTAGGATTCAGGCTCTGGCGGTGGCTCCAGACCCGTGCTCTACCGCTGTGCAGAGCAAATATCCCGACTACCCTACCTCCGGATGAGGCCCGGTCTGAGGGGGGCACAGGGGCTCTGAGTTTACTGCCCTGCCCAGGGGGCTCTCGGCCTCCCGCAGAGTCCCTCCTGCCCCACGGCGCTCTGGGCCTTCCCCAGGGTCCCTCCCGCCTTGCGGGGCTCAGGTGGCTTACAGGAGTTCTTCCGAAAGACCGTGTTGCTCATGAACTTGAAAAAGCGCTCGGCATAGAAGCTGGGGCGGTGGACGGACACCGTGTCCTGGAAGAGAGTTGGGGGGGGTGCCCGGGGGCAGAGGGTGCATCAATCAACAGCTGGGGACAGCCCCAGACAGACGCTGTATGTGTGTGGGGGGCACCTTCTGTGTGAAAAGGCTCGAGATGGGTCCATGGCGCCATGGCTTCCTGGGAGGGGCTCACGGAACAGGGAACAGTGGCTCCCTCTGGGGAGGGAGACTGGGTGCCAGGGAATGGGTGGAGGCTTTTCCACTAGAGACCTGTTAGCATTTTTGACTTTTTAAACCAGCTGAATAAAGTATTCCGGCCAGGCACAGTGGCCCACGTGGACTTGTAGGGGAGGCTGAGGCAGGATGGCCTGGCTGGGGCCCTGCTGGGATGTGATCTCGGCCTCCCAGAATGCAACCTCCTTTCCCAGCCTCCTTGGGTGAGGAGTGGCCACGTACCAGGACTGTGAACGACTCCACCCCCGCAGGCTGCAGTGGGAGGTGGTGCCCGGCCACTCTGGGCCAGGGGACAAGGACAACCCCAGGGACATGCGGCGGCAGCACAGGACACCCTGGCCAGCCTCGTCAGAGCCGAGACAGCGCTCCTATCTGCCCTGGGCAGCAGGTTCCGGGCCTTGGCAAGGTTTAAGACATCCCCAGAGGCCTCTGCCAGCTGCCATCCTGACCCGCTCAAGGCTTATTCTGGAAGCTCCTGCCTGGACCTTCTACACGCTCTTTTGAAAAATGGGGGTGCCTGTTGGGATCTTGGATTCTACAGGCTGTGGTCACACAGACGTTAGTCCTCAGTGCCTGGCCCCAGGCGGTACTCTGCGTTTGTGGAGTGACGGATGGGAGGAAGGCTGGGACGACAGACAGGAGGACAGAGGGAGGAAGGATGGGAGGAGGGGTGCAGGCACTCACAGAGGGAGGAGGGATGGGAGGAGGGGTGCAGGCGCTCACAGGGAGGAAGGATGGGAGGAGGGTGCAGGCGCTCACAGAGGGAGGAGGGATGGGAGGAGGGGTGCAGGTGCTCACAGAGGGAGGAGGGATGGGAGGAGGGTGCAGGCGCTCACAGAGGGAGGAGGGATGGGGGGAGGGTGCAGGCACTCACAGAGGAGGGATGGGAGGAGGGTGCAGGCACTCACAGAGGAGGGATGGGAGGAGGGTGCAGGCACTCACAGGAGGAGGAGGGATGGGAGGAGGGATGGGAGGAGGGTGCAGGCACTCACAGAGGGAGGAGGGATGGGAGGAGGGTGCAGGCACTCACAGGAGGAGGAGGGATGGGAGGAGGAATGGGAGGAGGGTGCAGGCGCTCACCCCATCGTGGACGAGGGCCTTCCAGGTGTGCTCCAGTTTCTTGATGAACCTGTGGAGAGAGCACCCGGAGTGGCAGCTGACATCAGCCAAGCCCATGCCAGGCCACCTCACTCAGGGGCCACTGTGCACCCCCCAGGACACTGGGCCATGGCCTCAAGCAGTCGTGGCTGTCAAAACTCAGGGTGGCAGGTGCTCCTGGCAGGGAGTGGGTGGAGGCTCTCTGCTCAGTACCCTGCAGGGCCCAGGACGGCCCCACCCCAGAGAACCATCTGGTCCCAATGTCCATAGTACCGAGGGGGTGACTGTTTTTAAACATTCTAGAGCCCCAGCTGAGCACGGTGGCTCACACCTGTAATCCCAGCACTTTGGGAGGCCAAGGCAGGCAGATCACCTGAGATCAGGAGTTCAAGACCAGCCTGGCCAACATGGTGAAACCCCATCTCTACTAAAAATACAAAAATTAGCCGGGCGTGCTGGCGCGTGCCAGTAATCCCAGCTACTGGGGAGGCTGGGGCAGGAGAATAGGGTCGACTCAGAAGGCAGAGGTTGCAGTGAGCCAAGATCGCACCAATGCTCTTCGGCCTGAGTGACAGAGCGAGACTTTGTCTTAAAACAAACAAATGAAAAACCAAAAAACAAATATTCGAGCCCCAAAGTGAGGCCTCAAACCCACTCCTTGGATTTTCTTTTTTCTTTTTTTTTGGGACAGGGTCTTGCTCTGTCACCCAGCCTGGGGTGCAGTACGGCCATCATAGCTCACTGCTGCAGCCCCAGACTCCTGGGCCCAAGGAATCCTCCTGCCTCGGCCTCCCAAGTAGCTGGGACTGCAGGAGCACCACCACGCTCAGCTAATTTTTTGATATTTTGTAGAGATGGGGTCTTGCTATGTTGCCCAGGCTGGTCTCAAACTCCTGGGCTCAAGCAATCCTCCCGCCTCGGCCTCCCACAGTGCTAGATTACAGGTGTGGACCACTACGCCCAACTCACTCTAGATTTTCAAGGCGACCAAACACCTTCCCTTTAGGGCTCAAGAAGGGGCAGCCAAGCAAGAGCTTTCCAGGTTGAGGAAGCCCCGAGAGCTGCTGGTGCGGCTGTTTCCACGGGCAAGCGCCTCTGTGCATGGGTGTCCTGGGGGCGCCCATCCACCTGTGGGACTGCAGACCCAGGCGCCCACCTGTGGGGCTGCAGACCCGGGCGCCCACCTGTGGGGCTGCAGACCCGGGCGCCCACCTGTGGGACTGCAGACCCGGGGCGTCCACCTGTAGGACTGCAGACCCGGGCACCCACCTGTAGGACTGCAGGATGTCGATGATGCCAATGTGCAGCAGCAGCCGCTCCCCGCGGCCGTTCACAGCGGGGATCCCGCCCATCCTGGGGAGAGAGGCCGAGGGTACCATCAGCATCCCGCAGAGCTGGGACTCGGGGCAGGCGGGGCTGGGGACTCCAGGGCTAGGGAGTCCATCTGCTCCTGTGGGTGGCAACTTGGCCAAGCTCTCGGAGTGGGGCCTGGCACCCGGGAACCTCTGTCCTGACATCCCTCCATCACCCCCAGCCTCAAACCCAGGCCCAGGCACTGCTGAGGAGTCCCAGCTAGGAGGCCTGGGCACATACCCCCTACACACACGTGTGCCTGGACACACACATGCACACACACGCACACTGCATGCCCAGGTAGGGCCACGGGGTCTCAGGTACAGACTGGGGAGTTAATTGTCACCCGGCACCATGCCCACACGTCCCCTGCCCAGCGCGGGAGTTAACTGTCACCCGGCACCATGCCCACACGTCCCCTGCCCAGCGCGGGAGTTAACTGTCACCCGGCACCATGCCCACACGTCCCCTGCCCAGCGCGGGAGTTAACTGTCACCCGGCACCATGCCCACACGTCCCCTGCCCAGCGCGGGAGTTAACTGTCACCCGGCACCATGCCCACACGTCCCCTGCCCAGCGCGGGAGTTAACTGTCACCCGGCACCGTGCCCACACGTCCCCTGCCCAGCGCGGGAGTTAACTGTCACCCGGCACCGTGCCCACACGTCCCCTGCCCAGCGCGGGAGTTAACTGTCACCCGGCACCGTGCCCACACGTCCCCTGCCCAGCGCGGGAGTTAACTGTCACCCGGCACCGTGCCCACACGTCCCCTGCCCAGCGCGGGAGTTAACTGTCACCCGGCACCATGCCCACACGTCCCCTGCCCAGCGCGGGAGTTAACTGTCACCCGGCACCGTGCCCACACGTCCCCTGCCCAGCGCGGGAGTTAACTGTCACCCGGCACCGTGCCCACACGTCCCCTGCCCAGCGCGGGAGTTAACTGTCACCCGGCACCGTGCCCACACGTCCCCTGCCCAGCGCGGGAGTTAACTGTCACCCGGCACCGTGCCCACACGTCCCCTGCCCAGCGCGGGAGTTAACTGTCACCCGGCACCGTGCCCACACGTCCCCTGCCCAGCGCGGGAGTTAACTGTCACCCGGCACCGTGCCCACACGTCCCCTGCCCAGCGCGGGAGTTAACTGTCACCCGGCACCGTGCCCACACGTCCCCTGCCCAGCGCGGTTAGTGAGGCCACACGTGCAGCAGTCATCCTGAAGCCACTGGGACCCAGACCCGCTGGGCTGGCGCCCTGCACGCTCTGCTCACGCCACAGGCTGGTACGCTCACCTGCTCCCCCGCCAGGCCAGCGAAGACCCTACAAACGCCAGGATGGTCTGAGGGGGAGCTGTGCCTGGCCTTGGCTCCCGCACCCCCCCGCAGCTACACCCTGGTTGGGGCCCCGGCTCCTCCTCTGCCATCCATGGGAAATACCACCACCGCTGCAAACCAAAGCCCAGCTGGTGGCCTAGTGCCAGCCAGTGCCAGCCAGCACCGTCCCTGGGGCCAGGCCAGGTGGAACTTGGCTCCACACCTTCGTGGCTGCACTGGGGAAGGCTGCCCCCCAACCTAGGAGCCTATTTCCTCAGCTGGAAACAGGGGAAGCCCACCTCCCTCCTCCAAGGCCGCTGTGAAGACTGAACAGGTACCAAAGTGAAGGCTCGGGCCTGCCCCCACTGTCAGGGTGCTGCTGTGACCAGGGCACAATCTCAGCACTGCTATACGACACCTGTCTATCCCGCATCCGGGGCCATGTCTGGGGACATCTGTGGTTGTCACAACTGGGGGGTGCTCCTGGCCCGGAGTGGGTGGAGGCCCGGGACGCTGCTCAGCACCCTGCAGTGCCCAGGACAGCCCCACCCCAGAGAATGACCCAGCCCTCACATCCAGTGTCCCAGGAGAGCTCTGTGAGTATCTCCCCAGCCAAACCCTGAGCCCTGTGAGGGCAGGGCCTGCCTGGTCCCTCTGCCCCTGGTGTCCAGCAGACATGACTGCAGGCCACTGAGATGTGGCCTCCTCTCTCCACCACCGTTCCTATCTTCTGTGGCAGCCACTTTTTTTTTCTTTTTGGACAGAGTTTAGCTCTTGTTGCCCAGGCTGGAGTGCAATAGCTCAATCTCAGCTCACTGCAACCTCCACCTCCTGGGTTCAAGCGATTCTCCTGCCTCAGCCTCCCAAGTAGCTGGGATTACAGGCGTGCACCACCACGCCCAGCTAATATTTTGTATTAAGCAGAGATGGGGTTTCACCATGTTGGCCAGGCTGGTCTGGAACTCCTGACCTCAGATGATCCACCTGCCTCAGCCTCCCAAAGTGCTGGGATTACAGGTGTGAGCCACCGCGCCCAGCGTTTTTTTTTTTTTTTTTAAGACAGGGTCTCACTCTGTTGCCCAAGCTGGAGTGCAGTGGTGTGATCTTGGCTCACTGCAACCTCCGCCTGCCACGCTCACGCCTGCCACGCCTTCAGCCTCCCAAGTAGTTGGGACTACAGGTGCACGTGCCACCACGTCCAGCTACATTTTATATTTTTTGTAGAGATGGGGTCTTGCCATGTTGCCCAGGCTGGTACTGAACTCCGGGGCTGAGGCAATCCTCCCACCTTGGTCTCCCAAGGTGCTGGGAGTACAGGCATGAGACACTGCGCCCAGCCAGCAGCTGCTTTGATCTGTGTGGAATCGGATTTTGCAGTCCCTCTGCTTCGTGGGCTGTGTCCTGCTGTGAGCCCTGCCTCGCCCGATCCCTCTGGCCTCCCATGCGCCTTCCACACCTTTGTGGCCCCTCTCTGCACGGGTGGCGTGTAGACCCCTCTGAGTGCCACCGGGAAACGCTATCTCTCTCTCATTCCTGTGGATGGCCAGTGGCCTCGGCCCAGTCACGGGTGAATGGGAAACGCCCCCACCATTGCAAGCCAAGGCCCGGAACCCTGCACTCAGCCTGCGGCCCGCACTACGGCCTGGCTTCGCTCTGAGGCGCTGGCACAAGGCTCCCAGACTCTGTCTGTCACCCACGCATGCCCTCGCCAGCCCTCCCTGCCTGTTTTCACACTTGGGACGGGGATGGGGAACTGGAGCCTGTGGGGAAGGGAAGCGGGACGGGTCCGGCGGCCCCCCGCCCACCTACGTGTCATCCGATTCGATGGCCTCCCCGCGCGCGGCGCCACCCTGGATGGACTCCATGGCCGTGGAGTAGAGCGCCTTCTGGCCCACAGGCCGCTTCTCATCTGAGGTGCTCTGGGCGCCCTGCGCCTGCCGCTCGCGCTCGTGCTGGTCGATGTTGTGCACGCCCAGCAGCAGGCTGTAGTCCATGATCTTGAAACTTTCCAGGACCTGGCGGGATCGGGCAGGAACACGCCACGCCGTCAGCCGTCTCTATCCCCCACAACGGCTCCCGGACCCTATGGGGTTCCCAGCACGGATGGCCCCGTGGGCTCGGGTGTGAGAGATGGAGTCCCACGGCCAGGCAGGAGTGGGGGTTCTAGTGTTATCCTGAGGAACAGAGGGGCTGCGGTCACACAGCGGCATCAGAGCAGGCCAGAGAATGGGGGCTTCCAGCCTCACAGCAGGCTGCCCCGGGCACTGAGACAGGGACTTCCCTTCCTGGCTTTACTCCTTCCTGAGAGACAGGGAGCCGGGCCTATGCTCTGACCAGCCCAGGCCCATGGGCAAGGACGTGCCCGGCCTGACAGGTGACACCCAGGTGGGTGGATGCCCAGGGTAGCCTCAAGGCCCCTGAGTGGTCTGGGCGGTTTTCTGGGGGTATGGGTCAAGTTCTCAAAGGGGTCGGGGAGCTGGGGATGGTCAGCAGCGGGGCCTGGGTGGAGTTGGGGAGCTGGGAGGTCCCAGGCTCTGCTCCTGACAGGCTGGGGCCTCCCCTCCTTGGCTCCATGCCTCGAAGCTGCCGGGGTGGGACGGGGACGACGGAGCTAACCCAGGCAGAGGAAGAGCCGTGCATATCATTCTTTCGCTAACACGGAGCCAACGCAGGCTCCACGGGGACAGGAGCCAGACCCTCACTGGACGCACATGGGCCCTCACTGTGGCCTGCAGAGCAAGCAGTCATCCCATTTGATGGGTGAGGAAACTGAGGCACAGCAAGCTCTCATGGCTGGCTGGGAGCTCTGGGCTTGTGACCACAGCATCTGAAGGCTGGGCTCTTCTCTGGGGGGTGGGGGGACTCTACCACTGTCATCGTGTAACCTCCAGAGGAACCACTTCTCAGCAGTGCAGACACTCCCGACCCCCAAGGGCTGGGTCTGGGGACATGTTATAAGTGTTTTGTTTTCTTTGTGAGATGGGGTCTCACAATGTTGCCCCTGCTGGTCTTGAAACCCTGGGCTCAAGCCATCTGCCTGCCTCCCAAAGAGCTGGGATCCCAGGCGTGAGCCACTGTGTCCGGCCACATTTTAGGTTAAGGCCATAAAAGCTTGAGCGCTTCTGGATCCCACACTGGGGTGGGGCCTGCTGTAGGCTGCAGGGCAGGTGGGCCTCGGCCTGGCACCCTCCCTGGCCCTGCCTGCCCAGGCCGAGCCCTCACCACGCAGTCCCACCTGCCACCCTCCCTCCCCGGCCGGGGCCGAGCCCTCACCAGGCAGTCCCGCTGCAGCGTCTTGACCAGGGCGCTGAAGGTGTCGGCGTCCAGCAGGAGCCCCTCGGGCATGTCCTGCATGAAGTCCAGGTCCTTGTAGGTGGGGAAGCTCTTCTCCTTCTCCTTCTTGCTGGCGCGCCGCTTGTAGGTGGAGCCCTTGAGGTCGAACTTGAGGTGCATCTTGACCACGCGGGGCAGGATGTTGTTCATGACCACGACGCGGATGTTCTTGCCCCCCGACTGCACGCAGTACAGCCCATAGAACTTGGGCAGCAGCGTCCGCGGGTTCTGGTTGAGGTTCTGCCGGGGGAAGAGGGCAAGTCGTGGAGGGCGGCTGGGCCACAGACTCACGGGGGCGGGCAAAGCAGGCCTCTGCCTCAGGGGGCTCATGGATGCCCCTGGCCAGCCCCCCTCTCTCCCCAGAAGCCCTCGGGGACCCCGTTCCTATGCAGGCACCCAGCTGGCCTTCCCACGGCACCCTGACTCTCATGGGCCACAACTGTGAGCTCCAGGAGGGTCTGTTTCTACAGAGCCAGGCCCCAAGGCAGGCGCTTCTGTTCCAGCAGAAGCTTCCACACTCCCTGCCTGCCCACAGACATCGCCCTGGCTGGGCTCGCCTGTTGGGAGGTCTGGAGGCCGGAAACGCAATGCTGTATCCTAAAATACATACATGTATGTATATGCACACACAAACACATACACACACACGCACACACACATGTATTTTCTTGAGACAGGGTCTCGCTCTGTCGCCCAGGCTGGAGTGCAACGGTGCGATCACAGCTCACTGCAGCCTCCACCTCCAGGGCTCAAACCATCCTCCCACCTCAGCCTCCGAAAGTGCCAGGACTCCAGGCGTGAGCCCAGCCTCTATGTTGGTTATGCTTTGCCTGTGTTGAACTGATCAACTCAGACTTTCACTCCAAATCTGGGTCCCCAGGCGCAGTGACGAGTCTGGGTCCTGCTGTACCCTGTAGACCCCAAGCAGGCACTGGGTGACTCAGGGGCACCCAAGTGAAGCAACAGCGCCCCCTGCCCAGAGCCTCTCAATGACGAACCCAGTGGGAAGCTGCCCAGGTGTCGGGGCTGAGACAGACCCACAGGGAGAGGAGTGAGGGGCGCGGACTCAGGCACCAGCCTGGGCAGGCTAGGTGAACTCCAGCCCCTGGGCCGAATCCGGCCACCACCTATTTTTGTAGGGCTGTGAGCTAAGAATGGTTTTTCCATTTTTAAAAAGTGGAAAGGGCCCAGTGCGATGGCTCATGCCTGTAATCCTAGCACTGTGGGAGGCCGAGGCGGGCGGATCACCTGAGGTCAGGAGTTTGAGACCAGCCTGGCCAACATGGTGAAACCCCGTCTCTATTAAAAATAAAAATTAGCTGGGAGTGGTGGCGCATGCCTGTAATCCCAGCTGCTTGGGAGGCTGAGGCAGGAGAATCACTTGAACCTAGGAGATGGAGGTTGCAGTGAGCCGAGATTGTGCCATTGCATTCCAGCCTGGGCAACAGAGCCAGACTCCATCTCAAAAGAAAAAAAAAAAAAAAGGCCAAGCACAGTGGCTCACATCTATAATCCTAGCACTTTGGGAGGCCAAGGCAGGCAGATCATGAAGTCAGGAGACCAGCTTGACCAACACGGTGAAACCCCATCTCTACTAAAAATACAAAAATTAGCCAGGCGTGGTGGTAGGTGCCTGGAATCACAACTACTCAGGAGGCTGAGGCAGCAGAATCGCTTGAACCCAGGAGGCGGAGCTTGCAGTAAGCCAAGATCACGCCAATGCACTCCAGCCTGGGTGACAGAGCGAGACTCCATCTCAAAAAAAAAAAAAAAAAAAAAAATGAAGAGGCCAGGCGCGGTGGCTCACGCCTATAATTCCAACACTCCAGGAGGCCGAGACAGGCAGATCACGACATCAGGAAATCGAGACCATCCTGGCTAACACGGTGAAACCATGTCTCTACTAAAAATATAAAAAAATAGCCAGGCGTGGTGGCGGGCGCCTGTAGTCCCAGCTACTCGGGAGGCTGAGGCAGGAGAATGGCTTGAACCCAGGAGGGGGAGGCTGCAGTGAGCCAAGATGGCACCACTGCACTCCAGCCTGGGTGACAGAGCGAGACTCCGTCTCAAAACATAAATAAATAAATAAAAAAGTGGAGAAATAGAAAATAGTCTTTGATGACACGTGAAAGTGATATGGAATTCGCATTTCTTGGTCCATAAATAATGCGTATGGGCACATGGCCGCGCCCATCCATTCTCATGTGGTCACAGCAGCTCGCTGCCATCCAGGCAGAGCTCAGTCCTGGAGACACAGCACACTGGCTCGCAGAGCCAAAAACACTCTCTCTGGGCCTTTAAAGACTGAGTTTGCTGAGCCTGATCTAAGGAGCCCGGGCCCCTCGCTAAGCATCACAGAGAGTGGATGGAGGAGGCCTCAAGGGAAACTGAGTCACAGGCTGTGCTGTGCTGCCCAGGGCCGGGCAGCAGCTTGGGCCTGGCAACATGGAAGGCGCCCACCTCGTCTGGGCGAGTACCGGAATCCCAGGCCCAGGAACACTGTGGCAGCCGCCGGCTCCTACTCCTACTCCCCCCTCCCGGGGCCTGACGCACCCTTTCTGTGAGTCATGCGGGATGAGGGGTGGGCCGGATGGAGCTGCCTCACGCCTGCCTGAGCAGCTGGTCTTTTGTGGGGTACCATCTGGTGGCCCATCCCCCTCCTCTCTGGAACCCTCTGAGTCACCCTTGGGCCCCTTGGGCCTCCGTGGCAGCTGACAGACGCTGCCCGCAGGCTGCTGGTTCTGGGGCCCACGGCTCATAGGGGGTGTTGGCAAGGTGGGGATGGGGAGCCAGGCAGGGGCCGGTGCCCACCCAGCCCTGCCCGGGGACGGCCCCCAAGGCGTGTGGCCACAGGAGGAAGAGAGGGCGGCTCCTGAACACTGGTGCTGGTGAAGCCTGACGGGGGACCCCCGAGGGTGAGTCCCCGGGACCCAAGATGCCTCTCACCACGCCCCAAGGATGCCTGCTTGCCCAAGCCTTGCAGACATCTGCTCCCGCCAGCCGGGAGAAGGGGGTTGACCGAGGAGCCATCTGCCCCGCAGGGCGGGCCACGCACCATGTAGTAGCCAGGGAGCAGCTTCTGCAGGAACTCGGCCTCCTTGTGCATGACGGTCTTGATGATGAACTCGTCGTCGCTGGTGACGTAGAAGAGGGAGCCACTGGCGCCCGGGTTGGACAGCTCGATCAGCGGCTCATTGCACAGGGAGTACTGGAAGCAGAGGAGGCGGGTCAGCGGGCCCCAAGCTGCCGGACACACAGACAGCACTGGCTTCCGGTCTGCCCAACAGCCCCAGGAACTGATGACGGGTCGCTGCATTTTACAGATGCGGAAAGAGAGGCTCAGAGAGGGCGAGAGACTTGCCTGAGGCTAGCCAGCAAGGACTGGAGCCTGAGGCCGAGCTGACTCTGCAGCCCGAGGGCTGGTCTGCTAGGGCGCACTCCCCAGGCTGCCTGCTGCTCTCCTTAGGAGCGGACACCTGATCGCACCGGGGTGCTGACGCGCGTGGCTAAAAGGTGCTCCCAGCACCCCTGAAGCTGGGTGGGGCCACAACGCCAGCTCTGCCCCATGAGTCATAAGCAGAAGCTGTCAGGTGGAACTCAGGGAAGGCTCCACAGATGGGCGACAGGCAGCTGGCATACCTGCGTATTTGCCCTTCTCTCCTTCCCACCTATTTCCCTCCTGAGATGCTGATGTGATGGCTGGAACCTCAGCAGCCACACTGGACTAGAAGGTAAGCTCTGGGATGGAAGCTGCATCTCTGATGGGCAGGCCCCACTCTGGCCCCTGGCACCCCACAGTCCAAGCCCTTCCTCCCCACTTCTCTGCCCCTTTTTCTCAGCCCCTGCTGTTTGTTTCATGATGTGCTCGCTGTCTCTCTGCCCCCACGCCCTCTCCTGGACATTAGGCAGAAGGTCCGTGCAGGTGGAAGTTTTTTTGTGTCACTGACTCGACAGGTGCTCGATTTGCTAAGGACTAGAATGAAGATGAGACCCACGGGTGCTACCCTGCGTCTTCCGGGTATGGAACCAATGAAGTGTGCATGGGGCTAAGGCCATCTGTGTCACGCCCTTTAAAATCCTAACTGGTCGCCATTGGTGTACACGGATGAGGTCAGAGCCAGCTCCCCATCAGCGGAGCAAGCCAGGCCCCCCAGGGTCAACGCTGGGTCCGTATCTGCTGGACGACAGAAGGGTGGTCTCCGAGTGCTGCGTGCCGCCTCCAATGCTGCTGTGATAAACAGGTGGGGGGTGTCCACGAGAGTCAGGAGTGGTGGCGAGCAGAAGCGAGGGGAGGCCAGGCACGGCGGCTCACCCAGCACTCTGTAATCCCAACACCTTGGGAGGCTGAGGAGGATCATTTGAGCCCAGGAGTTCAAGACCAGCCTGGGCAACAGAGCGAGGCCTCATCTGTACTAAAAAAAAAAAAGAAAGAAAACAAAAACAGGCATGGTGATGCCCATCTGTGGTCCCAGCTACTTGGGAGGCTGAGGTGGGAGGATCACTTGAGCCCAGGAGGTCAAGGCTGCTGTGAGCTGTGACAGCGCCACTGCCCTCCAACCTGGGCAACAGAGCAAGAGTGTTTAAAAAAACACCCCAACAAGTGAGGGGAACCACCTTTGGAAAATGCTGGAAGAGCCAGGGGCTTGAGGCGTGAGTTGGGTCCCCAGCGCCACACACACTCTGATCTGTGAATATGTTTGGGGACCAGAGGACGCCGGAAACATGAGGTCACATCAGGCCCAGGGCCTGGGAATGCCCCAGTCCCTCCTTGGGCTCAAGTCACCACCCCCGCCCTGCACTGCCCGAGGTGCTCTCGGGCCAGGGAACGGCGCCATCAGTTATCACACGTCGGTCAACACAGGCTGGATTTTGCGGAGTCAGCAACAGCCCTGCCAACCTTGGCAGCTCAGAACAGCGAGGGTCCTTCCTCCTGCATGCGCTGCTTCTGCCATGGCCTGGCTGGGAGTGATGGTGCAGGGTGAGAGAGCCGTGTGGGGTGGACTCTGAGGCTGGAGGGAGATCTGTCCAGGCCACTGCTGTCGCCCAGCCCAGCCATCTGCCTGCCTTTTTCTGCCCACAGCCACGAGCCACAAATATCCACAGGAAACACAGAGCCCACGCGGCTCCTCCGCCTTCCCCGCCACGGCAGGACGCCCTCCAGCCTCCCAGACACAGGCGCAGCAGCGCAGAGCGAAGGCGGGTCTCTCCTGGGGCTGGCGCCCTCCCTGGGAGGCCAGGGGACCCCGCCAAGCCCTGGGCCGCTGTCCTCAGGTCACCCGGAGCAGGGGACACCCCAAGCAGCCGGAGTGTCCCTCCGAGACACAAATCACTGCTGCCTGTCCACGGTGGCAGGAGGGGGAGGCCGATCTCACCTGCAGAGCGGAAAACACTGTGGAAAGGGCACGTTCGGCTTTGTACAAAGAACACCGATGACAGGGAAATTCTGAAGCCACATGACTAATGGCAGTTGCAGGGCTATGGCCTCCATGGGCCTCAGCTGCTACGGGGAAGCAGGCCCCATGCGTGGATTTCTGAGCCAGGCAGTGCCAGGACAACCCCCCACAGCCTCCTTCGTCGGTGCTGGGGCTCTCGGCAGCTGCGCCGCTGACCTTGGCCTCCTCTCCACCCTCTGCTGACCACTGGGCAGGGCTGAGCCCCACCCTGCATCCCACCTCCGCCTTCTCCTTCCTGGCTGTCCTGAGCTGTGGGCCTTCCTGGAGCTACCCCCCTTACCAGGGGGGACTGTGACCTCAGCTGTCCAATCAGAGAAGCACCGGCAACCTCGAGTCCCCTCCGAACCCTACCTGTCCCCACTCAAGCTCAGGGGCCCTGTGGACAGCAACACGCACACTAGCCCGTCCTCCCGCTGTGGCACACGGCCACACTCACACCACAGCCTGGACAGAGGCTAGGGGGCTGCCGCCTGCTCAGCACCGGAGGCCCCCAAGAGAATTCTCACACTCCTGAGATGAGCAGAAGGATTCGGGGGTCACCAACACCGGGCTGGCTCCCCAGATGCTGTGGGTGCACACCTGGCCTAAGGCCCTGGAATGCGATCTTATCGGGTTCTAGGTGAGACCCAGATGGCCCCAGATCGGCTTTTATCCGTCCACTCCTGCTAATGGACACGGGTGCTGTCTCTCTGCTACGAGCCAGGCTGCTGCCTTCTGTTCCTGGCCGCCTCACACGGTAGCGTCCAGGTCACCCGAGGGCCATTTCTAGGCAAAAACCCCAGCTGTGTTTTCACTCCCCACTGCCCTGCCAAGCTCAGGCAAACGCTGGGACACTGAAGTCCGGAGGCTGGGCCTTGGCGACACGACCCGGAGCATGGTGACTCCCGGGCACCTGAACAGGCTGGAGTTCTCGGGGCGGGGGAGGGGGGGGTGTCACACGTACCCCTGGCTGGAGCACATGCTAGTTCTCCCTGGAAGAGCGCAGCCTCGGGCGCTTCCTACAGACTGAGATAAACCAAACGCACGCACAGTCAGCAACCACCAAAGAAAGGCACAAGGAACCGACCACCGCGGGTGAGGGCAGGATCGGAGAACCACAGGCTCCCGGCCCCGGGGACCGTGCTGTCGTGACAACCAGAACGCCAACCGCACTTGTCTACAGAGTTCCAGTCTTCCCTGATACAAAGTTCTCGGGATGACCAGGCAGGCTTGGGAAAAGGCCACCCGGAGCTTTTAGAAGTGGTGATGGCGCAGGTTGGATGCCGGGGCTCACGCCTGGAATCCCAGCACTTCGGGAGGCTGAGGCGGTAGCTCACGCCTCTAATCCCAGCACTACGGGAGGCTGAGACAGGCAGATCACGAGGTCAGGAGATCGAGACCATCCTGGCTGACACGGTGAAACCCCGTCTCTACTAAAAATACAAAAAATTAGCCGGGCGTGGTGGCAGGCACCTGTAGTCCCAGCTACTCGGGAAGCTGAGGCAGGAGAATGGCGTGAACCCAGGAGGCGGAGCTTACAGTGAGCCGAGATCGCACCACTGCACTCCAGCCTGGGCGACAGAGCGAGACTCTGTCTCGAAAAAAAAAAAAGGGGGTGCTGGCGCTGATGAGCTCCAGGGCCACTGTGGGGAGCACCACCCTCCAAACACCTCTTTTAGGAGCCCGGATAATGGGCTGCTAGGTCAAAGGGGTTGGCCTAGATTTTGACTTTGCTAACCTGAAACAATAAAGCCATGGCTAGAGCTAGGAGGTCCGACTCTACGCTGGTCCCCAGTGGCACCCACGTCCCAGTGCCTTGTTCTAACCCTTAAGTCTGAAAATGGGTCAGTCACTTTGGCACCAGGCTGCAGAAGACTATACCAACTGTTTGGTGAGTGGACACCCTCGCCTGCTCTGATGACAAGGCCCACATGGTGAGGAATGGAGGCTCCCAGCCAACGCCAGCCAGGACGGAGTCCTGCAGCTGCCAGTGATGTGAGCTTGGAGGCCGATCTCTCCTGCTTTCCCGGTGAGTCTCACAGGAGACTCCGGCCCTGAACCTGACCATAACCCTACACGAGGAACCCAGGGAGGCTGCCCCCAAATGCCTGACCCACAGACCCTCCGAGACCCTGAACATGTTCTGTTTCAAGCCTGGAAGCCCGTAACAGCAAATATGCTTACCAAGTAATCATCTGGCCGGATCCCAAAGAGCTCCCGGAAGTAGCGGAAGGCGACAGGTGCATAGGTCTTGAAGCGGAAGTCCTGGAAGTGGTGGGCGGGGGTGAGGTTGCTGCCTTCGCTGTGGAGGAAGGACGGGAGGAAACCTGTGAGGGGTGGTGGGCACCTCTCCCCCACCCCCGCCATGGTCCCTCCTAGTGCCTCTAGCAGCTGAGCCTCTAGCGGCTCAGCTCCAAGACTTCCTTGAAACGGCCCAATCCCACAAGCAACAGGGGGCTCCCGATGGGACTGTCCCCCAGTAACCACCCTCTCTTCTTTCATTAACAACGGGGCCCACAGTGTTGGCCAGGCACATGGCCGCCAAGAACAGGACCATGCCGCCCCAGCCTCTTGCAGCTAGGTGTGCTCACGTGACTGCACTCAGCCAATGACACGAGTGGAGCAGAAACACTGGTCATGTCCGAAAGGGAAGGGCTGTTGTTCTCCTTCTGTTGCCTCCTGTGGCTGGAATGCAGCCGTGATGGCAGGAGCTTTGGCAGCCACCTGGGACCACTGGTCACAGAGCTGTATATTGAGGATGGCGGTGTGGGGTGACCAGAAGGATCCCAGGACCCCAACACCATGGAACCTCCTGACCAGCCCTGCACTGCCCACTGGTTATTTGTAGATTAGAAAAGAGCTAACTTCTATCTTTTCTTTTTCCTGTTCTTAAACTGCCTTTACATTGGGTCTCTGATTCAGCAGCAAACAAACGTCCTGACGGACAGAGGGCCAGAGCTCAAGGCCAAGGAGGCGCCAGGAGGGGCCAGGTGCTGCTTTCAGCAGAGAAGGGCGCTCAGGACAGGCCACTCCGCCTCAGAGCCACGTGTGTGCTGGGTGAGCCCTGAGGCTCCGGGGGCCCGGCCCACCTGGGGAAGAAGATGCTCTCCACCACGTAGAAGTCCTGCATGAGCACGTCGCGTTCGGGCTTGGAGCTCAGGTGGCCCACGGTGTAGCCGATGCCCAGCTGGATGGCACCCTTCAGGGTGGAGGAGGTGGTCTGCAGGGAGACCAGAGTGTCAGGGCCCCCGGCTGCTCCCCACGCTGCCCTGCACCCCCTGTGTGCACCGGGGGGTGGAGATCGTGACCAGCTGCAGCTTGGGACCCGGCACCTGCCAACCCCCTCCTGGTGGTCCCCGGGGCTGCCTGTCCTGCGGCTGCTGAGCTGTCGACATCAGGCCGGGGGATGAAGCCACCCTCCCTCGGGCCACACAGCCAGGACAGGGCTCGGCTGCAACTGCCGCACCACGTCACTCAGCCCTCCCAGTCCTGTTGGCTAGCTAGGTTCTAAAGGTTCTCCCATTTTGAAACAGCTCCAACTTAGCAAAAGGGTCGATTCACTGTCAAGAGTTTGTTTTTAGGGGGTACCATTTACAGCGAGATGCCCAGATCACTTTCACATCTGCAGACGCAGGTTCCCGTTAGCTGCTTTCTATGTAACGCACGTGGTCACACTGGGCAACCCACATGGCCGCTATGTGCCTCAGTTTCCCTGCCTGTAGACAGGGATGGGCACAATGGTTCTGGCCCTCTTGCGGACGTGGTGTCAGCTGCTGTTATTATTTTTATTTGTTTATTTTTTGAGACAGAGTCTTGCTCTGTCGCCCAGGCTGGAGTGCAGTGGCGCAATCTCAGCTCACTGCAACCTCCACCTCCCAGGTTCAAGTGATTCTCCTGCCTCAGCTTCCTGAGTAGCTGGGATTATAGGTGCGCGCCGTCACGCCTGGCTAATTTTTGTATTTTTAGTAGAGACGGGGTTTCACCATGTTGGCCAGGCTGGTCTCGAACTCCTGACCTCAGCTAATCCACCTGCCTGGGCCTCCCAAAATGCTGCGATTGCACGTGTGAGCCAGCACGCCGGCCCCGTTATTATTTTTTGAGACAGAGTCTTGCTCTACTGCCCAGGCTGGAATGCAGTGGTGCGATCTTGGATCACTGCAACCTCCGCCTCCTGGGTTCAAGCTATTCTCCCGCCTCAGCCTCCCAAGAGCTGGGATTACAGGCACGCACCAGCACACCCGGCTAATTATTTTTTTGTATTTTTAGTACAGACAAGGTTGCGCCATGTTGCCCAGGCTGGTCTCCAACTCCTGACCTCTGGTGATCCTCCCGCCTCGGCCTCCCAAAGTGCTAGGATTCCAGGAGTGAGCCTCCGCGCCCGGCCGGCTGCTGTTATTTTTGCCATTGGCATCGTTTGCATTATTCTCACTGTGTGCTCTCGCGCCATGTTCACTTTAGCCCTGGGAAGCCGGCTCATACCTCCGCTCTCTAATTCCGGTCTCCAGTGCTCCTGTCGCAGGTGCGAGGTGGCAGGGAGGGAGGTCGGGAGTTGGGAGTTGGTTTCTGCCACTGCCCAGTTTCGGCCTGTCTCCCTCCTAAGCCACACTCTGGGTGGTGGGGGGTCTGGCCTGTATGTTCACCTCCCCGAGATGCCACGGACAGAACAGACATGTGCCCAAAGATAACATACAAACGGCCCTGAAGCCCGCAAAGACGCTCCATGCCACTGGGCACCAAGGGAAAGCACATCAAACCACAGGGGGGCCACGCACCTGGAATCCCGGCCAGTCGGGAGGCCGGGGTGGGAGGATCCCCTGAGCCTGGGAGTTCAAGACCAGCCTGGGCAACATGGTGAAACCCCTGTCTCTACCAAAACAAACAAAAAGACACCTCGAAGAGACACCACCTCACACCCATGAGGACGCCAGAATCAGAGACAACAATCACGAGTGCTGGTGAGGACACGGGGACGCTGGGCCTCATTCACTGTTGCTGGGTGTGAAAACGGTACCGCTGCTATGGAGAACAGTTTGCGAGTTTCTCAAAAGATGACACCGAGTTACACGTGACTTGGCAATTCCACTCCTGGGTGTCTGCCCGAGACAAACGAACACATGTATCCACACAGACTCACACACACGTGTCCTCAGCAGCACAATTCACAATGGCCAGGAGTGTGAAGCACCCGAGCGTCCATGACGCAGCAAAGGACAAGTGCAGCACGGGCGCCCCACGCACCAGAACACGACTCAGCCATGAACAGGAGCAAGGCTCTGACACGGGCCCCAGTGCGAATGAACCCTGAGGACGCTACACTCAGTGAGAGACGCCAGACACAGAAAGCCACACAGTGTGTGATTCCACTTCTATGACACGTCCAGGACAGGCTGATCCACAGACGCAGGAAAGGGATGTGGGTGCCAGGGCTGGGAGTCGGGATGGGGGTGACTGCTAACAGGGACAGAGTTGCTATTTGAGCTGATGCAATGTTCTGGAATTAGAGGTGACGGCTGCACAACTCTGCATATGTACTAAAAGTCATTTACTGCACACTTTAAAGGCTGAATTGTACAGTATATGAATCACATCTCAGTAAAACGGTTACTTTTGAAAAAACAGGCCCTAGGTGGGGGTGGGAACAGAGTGGGGGTCAGGCTTCCTACCAACACGGTGTGAGCCAGGCCAGCCTCAGAGTGTCCCATCCACTGCCCGAGGTGGTGGTGGGGTCCATAACCCCTCTCCCTCACCAGGGCCGAGAGCCCAGGCTCTGCCCGAGGTTTCAGGGACTCAGAGCCGGGCAGGCGTTGCAGCCAGGCTGAGCCACAGAACATGCTGCCCGGCCGCCCGGCAAGGACAGCAAACAGTGGGGCCTCATGCAGGACTGAGGACTCCAGCCTCTGCCTCCACACAGCCCACACCTGTCCCTGGGCAGACCCTGGTTTGTGTCGGGGGCGATAGGCCCCATCCATGCTACCAGTGGGATCCCCCTCCCCTCTGCTCTGTCCCGCTCCCTCCAGCCAGCTAAGGGGAGCCGAGGAACCTTCTTGTAGGTGGTTTCGCCGGATGCGTCCACACCTCGATGGCCCAACTTCTTCCCATGGCCAGGGCCCGGCTGTGCCGTCATGGACAGAACCTGGGAAGAGGAAGCAGGAAGCGTTAACTCCCTAAGGAGCACGCCCACCGGGACAGGGCACGCTCTGAAACCCTGGGAAGAAAGGTTTAGTCGTTGGGCCCAGCAGGGGTGCACAGGGCAGGGGGCAGGTCCAGGCGACTCCGGGGTGCAGCAGGAGGCCCCTCACCCGTGGGCGCCTGGCGGGCTGGCTGGGGCCCCTCAGTGTCCCACACTGGACACCCAGAAGCGCTCACTCCAAGGTGGAGACCTCTGCCTCCTCAGGAAGGGCAAGAGGATTGGGCAGCTCCAGCCCTCTAATTCCAGGGTCTCCCCCAGGTGCTGTGGACACTGGGGCTGGACCGTTCTTTGGGGTGGGGCCACCCTGGGCACAGCAGGGTGCTGAGCAGCATTCCTGGCCTCCACCCACTCCATGCCAGGAGCACCTCCCAGTTGTGGCAACCACAGATGTCCCCACACAACTCTGCAAATGTACTAAAAGTCACTCACTGCACACTTCAGAGAGTACAGTATGCAAATCACATCTCAGTAAAGTGGGTATTTTTTAAAAAAACAGGACTGAGGTGGGGGTGGGAACAGAGCGGGGGTCAGGCTTCCTGCCAACACGGTGTGAGCCAGGCCAGCCTCAGAGCATCTCACCCACCGCCTGAGGTGGTGGTGGGAGTCGTAACTCCTCTCCCTCACCAGGGCCCCTAACTGTGAGACCGCTGGGATGGAAGGATTGAAAAGACCACCTTGTCCCTGAGGGAGATGGTCTCACTGGCCAGGGTCAGGCCCGGCTCCTGCAAGCTGTCGGGCAGCGCGGGTGTCCCAGCAGATGGGACCGCCGACCCCAGGGGGCCTCAGCTTGTTGCCCTCGAGGGAGGATGTGAGGAGGGGCCTTGGGAGCCTGAAGGGACACAGAGGCCAACCAAGGAGAACAGCCCCGCCTGGCACCGTCATTTAAGGAGCGCCACTGCGTTTGCTAGGAGACCCCATGGACCCTCCACTGGCCAGACCCCATCCCACCGCTATCAGCCCCAGGGACACGCCTGCAGCCCTGACCCCTGCCCCTGCCCTCCCTCCACAGCCGACGCTGCTCAGCCATGTTCCCTGCATTCTCCCAGGTGGCCGCCAGGGGGCAGGCTCTCCCCAGGAATTCACCCCGCCACCCGGGCCACCCTCCACCCGCGCCACCCTCCACACTGCCCCCACGCCGGGGGACTCTGAGGAAGGATCCCAGGGTCCCAGGCCTGGTGGACAAAGCCCTCCAAGCTCTGGCTACGGACGCAGGGCCAAGGGTGGCCCAGGTGGGACAGGTGCCTTGGGGACTGCTCCTGTGAATGGGGCTCATGGACAGGTGCCCTGAGGACTGCATGCGGGAAGACGGGAGATGCAGCAGCTCGGGTGCCCTCAGAGGACGGCCCACCCCACTGCGCCCACTGGGGCTGGGAAGAAGGCCACTCGGCGCCACGGGGCTGGCAGAAGCTGCAAAGGCAGGGCCAACGTGCAGAGAAAGCTCTCGGGAGGAGACGGGCAGCAATGACAGGACCCATGTACATGCAGATGTGCACACACACAGACAAATATGCACACAGGCAAACACACGTGCAGACGTGCACACAGGCAAACGTGTACATACGCACGCAGGCAAACAGGCACACAGGCAAACACACATGCACTCAGGCAAACATGAACACAGGCAAACACGTGCACACACGCACGTAGGCAAATGAACACAGGCAAACACGTGCACACATGCACGCAAACATGCACACACACAAACGTGCACACACACAGGCAAACATCCACACAAGCAAAAATAGATGCACACACGCACGCAGGCAAACATGCACACACACAAACGTGCACACACGCACGCAGGCAAACATGCACACACACAAACGTGCACACACGCACGCAGGCAAACATGCACACATAGGCTGCACACAGCCTCACTGTGCACTACGCCTGTGTGGCTCACAGACACTGAGGGCGTGGGTGCAGCTGGTAGCCTCGGGCATCGCCCTCTGGGCAGCGTCTAACCCTCCAGCCAGGTCTTCCATTCCTGCCCCCAGTCCCCCGGCGAGAGCTGCTCTCTCCCCACCGCCCACCCCCCAGAATCCAGGCTCCACGTGGCCTGGAACCCAGAGAAGCCCTTCCTGCCCCTGCAGCCCTGACCAGGCACCCCTGCCACTGAGGGTGTGGCCCCTCAGATGCAGGGCCCCCTCCTCCATCACGGAATTTCACCCCGACCTCTCAAGACGCAGTTGGTGTAGACCTCACGTTCATCCTGCTTGTGGACACTGGACGGCATTTGGGGCCCAGAGAGGTGTAGTGAGCTGCCCCAGGCCACACAGCTTCTCCGCGAGTAGGGAGGCAGCAGGTCAGGGTGGGGACCCCAGGCCCTTCGTCCGCTCCAGACACTCACCTCTGTTGGGGCCGCCTTCTTCTGAGCCAAACCTGCAGAAGAGACAAGCTGGGTATCAGACAGGAAACCGGTGACCTCTGGGAGTCCTGGGCCCAGCCCCCGGCCCACCTTCTGGCGCCCCAGGCCTGGCGTGTGTAACTCCGCGTGGGGCTGGTCTCAAGGCTACACACAAGTGAAGACATGGACTGAGTGCGCTGGGAGGATGTGATGAGGGTGGGGGCCACTGGGGCCTGCCATGGTCACCCTGGTTGGCAGCCACTGGGGCCTAGAGCAGGGGAGAGGCTTTGCAGCCTCAGGGAGATGGGCAGCTGGTGACGCCTAGGCTTGGCACCCACCACGGAGGGCCTGGGGCTTGGACCTGCCTGGAGGAGGGGAGGGGAAATAGGGAGCAAACCTCCCCCGGCTCTGACCCCCTTCACACCCAGACATGAGGTTCTGGGCAGTCAACAACTGAGCAGGTCTGAACTGACCAAGCCCCGCTTCCTCGGAGGCAGGCGCCAGGAGAGGCTCGGGCATGGGGAAATCAGGTGCCAGCGTGGGGAGTGAGGGGGGGCAGGCCCCCGCTGGGGCGAGGGCAGGCTGGAGTTGCAGGGAGCGCCCAGCACCTGGGCAGCTGCGGTCAGTGGGAACTGGCCAGGGGTCCCCAGGGCTGCCGCCCTCCCTGCCCCTCTCCAGAGTGAGGTTTGTGGAAGGGTAAGAGAGGCTGCGAGGGGACCCCCAGCCCTGCCCTGGCTCCTGGGCCCGCAGCCTCCGGTCAGCGCAGCAGGGCCTGGGCCGCAGCTCCAGAGAGGACAACAGAGGCCTGCAGGATTGAGCCAACGAGCCCAGGCCTGGGCTGAGCCGGGAGCACCTTCCTCCATGCAAGGAGGCTGGGACGAGGGGAGCAGGCGAGACTCAGCTCCTAGGACCCAGGACCACATCCCCAGCCCTGGCTCCCAGCAGCAGGGCCCTGGGGTCCTCATCTGGAGAACGGGAACAGACTCTACAGCTGTGATTACAGGCCCTGAGACCGACGGGAGATGATCCTGGGGGACCTGGGAGCCCGATGTCCTCACAGGGTCCTCACGAGCGGGGGCGAGAGGGTGAGTCAGACAGAGACTGGAAGAGGCTGCGCTGTGGCTGTGAAGAGGGAGGAAGGGACCTGAGCCGACAGATGCGGGCGCCTCTAGATGCTGGGAAAAGGGGGAAACGGATTCTCCTCTGCAGCTTGTGCTGGGCCCAGCCCTGCCCACAGCTTGACTTTAGCCTGGTGAGGCCCCGTTCTGGGGCTGGACTCCTGGCCTCGGAGCCCTGAGGTGGGAAGCGATGTCAGCGACTGCAGGGATCGCACGTGCTGGCGTCCACCATGCAGGCCTGGGGAAGACCTGGTCTCGCCCTCAAGGGGCTCACGGTCAACAGGGGTGGGCGCAGGGCTGGGTGTTTGATGTGGGGTGACAGGCGGGGTGCGGATCAGCAAGGGGGGGCTTCCCTGGGCTGGTCCTGTCTGAGCTCAGTGCCGAACAAGGATGCCGTGGGAGCCGGAGGGAGTTCCAGGCGGAGGGAACGGCAGCACAAAGGTCACAAGGTGGCTGAGGCAGCCACGCTGCACGGATAACAGCAGCGTCCTCCAGGCTCATGCAGAGGCGGGTACCGAAGGGGAGTGCCTCCCTGTTGGATTCCGATGCTGGCACCACCCAGGGCCCAGGGGCATGGAGACAAATGCTTCTTTTCAATCACAGGGGCTGTGGGTCAGGGCTGACTCCACCCCAGCTCTGCCAGCATCTTCTCACTCCATTCCCCCTTCCTAGAGGAAGAGGCTGAGGGTTGGGGAAGGGAGGGCTGGCTGAGGTCTGGCAGCTGGGGGTGCTGGGGCAGGCCCTCAAAGGGGATTATTATGAGCCCGTGGAGACACTCAGGCTGCGCCGGAGTGTGTGCAGGAGGGTGCGGCAGGTGCCCTGCTCCGTAGGGCTCGGCCCTCTGGCTGCCTCCCTGCTCTGGGCTGGGCAGCAGTGCGTTGGAACTGGTCTGGCCCTGGCTTCCAGGCCGGCTGAGGTGAGCAGGGGAGGCCAGGACATGTGAGGGGCCAACTGGGCGAGGTTCAGGGAGGTGCAGACAGGTGAGGAGGTGGGTGCGGAGTCCGCGGTGCAGACGGGGGCCGTCAGGGGTGGGGACCCGGCTGGGTGTGGACTCGGGAGAGGGGACAGAGGAGAATTTCCCCGAGAGACAAAAAGTCTTTCTGGACCAAGGCCTTACAAAGCCAGCAAAGAGTGCAGAGAAGGCGGGAGCCCTTCTGTTTTATGACGCGGAAAGAGATGCTCAGAGGGAGGGGTGAACCCACCCGAGGTCACACAGAAGGAGAAGGAAAGTCAAACCTGGGCCTGGGTCGGCGATGCCCCACCCTATCAGCCCTGCCAGCGCCCCTCGGCCCCCATGGGCACTGTGCTGCTCTCGGTGGGTGCACGGGAGACCCACGTGTGTCCCATCCAGAGGCTGCACCCCGGTGACCGCCCTGCCGTCTGAAAACACGTCCACCGCGGGCACTGAAGGCAACTGAATGCGACTTGGTGGAGCAGCCCATAGCTTTGCTCTGCTGCCGGGTCAGAACTGCCGGAGACAAGACGAAGGCACGAGGTGGAAAACTTTGCTGGGGTCAGGAGCCTCGGGGCAGGGGCAGGCCGGGGAGGGGCCTGGGGTCAGGAGCCTCGGGGCAGGCAGCAGGTATGGAGGGGGCTGGGGCCAGAAGCCTCTGCAGGCGGCAGGTGGGGAGGGGACTGCGGTCAGGAACCTGGGGCAGGCGGCAGGTGGGGAGGGGGCTGGGGTCAGGAGCCTCTGCAGGCGGCAGGTGGGGAGGGGGCCGCATTCGAGACGCTGGTGGGCCCCTGCAGTCGTGGTCAGTCCCCACGCCTGCCTGAGGGTGCGGGGTTGGACGGTGTCCCTCCGACATTCACGTCCTTCCAAGAACCTCAGCCTGCAACCGTATTTGGAAAGAGAGTCTTTGCTGATGTCATTGGGTAAGATGAGGTCATGCCGGAGTGGGGTGGGCCCTGGATCCACCGCTGTCCTTATAAGAGAAGCCGCTCAGGGAGGCCAAGATGCCGTGTGGGGTGGAGGCGGGGAGGGCACCACTCCTCCAGGCCCTGAAACGCCAAGGATGCCCGGAGGCACCAGGAGCAGAGGGGTGTGGAGCTTCTCCGAGGTCGGTCGGGAGGGCAGAGCCCTGCCCACTCCTGGACCTCAGGCTCCTGGCCTCCAGAGCTGAGCCAGAACAAACGCCTGTTCAAGGCCTGCTGCTCCAAGCCCCCCAGTCCCGGGGACTTTGTCTGGGCAGCCCAGGACCTCACACGGAGCCCTCCAGTGAGGACCCCAGCCCTGGGTGGGAGGGGGCGTACTTCTCAAGGCAGCAAGAACAGCTGAAGGGTCCTCCCCTCGGGCCACCTGGATGCCCTGCAGGGCTGGGTGGGCAGCGGGTGGGCCCTGGAGGGATCTGGGGGACAGACCCATGGTGCTCACTGCAGGGGCGGGGACGGGGACGGAGGGAGTGGGGTGACTCAGGATTCCGGCTGCCACGGTGAAGGGAAAGACGGGCTGCTTCTCTGTCCTTCCAGAGGACAGGGCCAGTCGCCCCCAGGTCTCTGACAGGCCACAAAGGGCCTGCTCTGGGCCGCGGCGGGGCGGAAGGTGCTGGACGCTGACGTGATGTTTGGGTTGGCGGCCCGGGAGCAGAACAATTCACGGTTTTACGTCCAGGGTGTGGGGGAAGGAAAAGAAGAGAGGGCAGGAAGCCAGCGGTGGGCCGGGGCGGGACGTTCCAGACCTCATCGGGGGCCCGGGCGTCCCCCTGCTCGGCCTGTCTGGGGCCTCCCTGCCCACAGTCCTGACTCTACTCGCGAAACCACCCCTCTGGGGCCCCCCCACACCCACTTGGGTGACTCAGCTGTTTTCCTCAGTGGCCCCGATGCTGAGAGGTCACAGCGCTTGGGTCCACCCCTGCCCGGACTCTCCCAGGCTCCCTACGGCCCCGGGACCCAGTGGATGCAGTGAGGCCCTCCAGACCCAGCTCTGCTGACCTCACCAGGCACCTCGGGGTCACCCGTGTTGGGTGTAGGCCCCCTGCCTCAGTTTCCCTCTGTGGTTCCACGTCTTCACCTGCCCGACTCACCTGAGCTGGCTAACGGGGAGAGGAGAGGAGAGGGGCAGGCGGCTCGGGCCCTGCTGGGAACGTCCCTGCACTGGGGGCCTGTAGGGTTAAGGGACTGGCCGGGGCCGAAGCACTGAGGTGGAGGTGGAGCAGGACGGAGAGGGGAGGCACTCGGTTGGGGGACCCCAGGGAAAATGTGGGGCTCCCAGGGCAGGCAGGAACGGGCAGCAAGGGGAGACCAGAGCCGAGTGTCCTGTGGAGGAGAGGGGACGGGGAGAAAGCACAGCCTTGCTGCCACCGCCTGCCCAGGGGGTGGGGGCAGGTGAGCGCCATCTTCACTCAATCCTCGCTCCCCATGAGGCCCGCTCAGGGCACAGAGCCTGCCGTGACCCCCATAGGGGGCTGTCATGACGGTGAGCTCTGCTCAGCCTGAGACGTGACTAATTATCTGCTGAATGAGCCACCCCGTTTTCGAGGAAATTAGGTTTTAAAAATAGTCGGGGGAGGAAAGGCGAGCCGCGCTGCGGAGCCGGGAGGTGGCCCCTCTGAGCAGTTTCCGCTGGCCAGGCCCGAGGCGGGGGCTCTGCCGCTGGGGCCCCTCTCTCCTGGCCCCATCACAGGACGTGGTGGCGACCCGGGCCTGCGGTGCACGGCTCTGATCGCTGGCTGCACGGTGACCTCATCGGCCACCCCACCTCCCTGTGTGCCCAGGGCTTCTCTCTGAGCCTCAGTCTCTCTCTATAAAGTGCGGCTGAAGCCAGCTCGAGCCCTAGAGGCACTGCCATTCTCCACGGGGCCACATGGCCGCCTCTGCACCCAGCTGTTCCCTGGCCTGCGCCTGGTCTCCGCCCTGGCCCTGCCAGTGCTCCCTGGACACTGTGTCCCACACCAGCCACCTTTGCCACCCCACTGACACCGCCCCATCCTGCAGACCAGCCTGGTCCCTCCTGCTGAGCCTGGGGGCTCCCTCAGGACGGGGCCTGCCCTGGGCTGACAGCATGGGCGTGTTTGTTGACTGACCCATGGACTGACAGATACCCGTTCCTCTTTTCTCTGCACAACAGGCCTCCGCCAGAGCTTCCTCTCCACATCTGTCTGACATGGACACTGAGGCAGGGAATGACTAAACTGGGGGAGGAGGCAGATTGTCAGGCTGGCTCTGCAGTGAGACCCAAAGTAAGAATGGGGACGGAGAGGTCTGGACAGGTGGCCAGAGGGAGGGAGGCATCACAGTGAGAGGAAACAGGGCACATTCTGGGCTCACCGACAGGGCGCCGTGGGGCAGAGGGCCCAGCGAGGCAAGCTCGAGGGTGGGTGGAAGGTGCCTCAGCCCCTGTGGGCACCTGCAGGGCACTGTGACAGCAGGCAGGACAGGAACAGTGGTGGCCTCATCCCTGTAGAACCAAGGTCCAGACCCCCATGGCTGGGAGGAGAAAGCCCCAGCCCTGGAGGCGGTGGGGGCGGGGGGAGAGTGGGCAGGGCCCTGGAAGGCCCAGGATGATGAAGCTGGGGACTGGGGGGCTGGGGACTGGGGGGCCGGGGAGAGCCCACGGCAGGGGAGGGATTCTGCGAAAGGGGGCCCACCCACCCCGCCCCCACCGCAGACAAGGGTCTCCCCAGGCCTCACTGCAACCCTGCAGGGTGAAGACCAGGCCCTGTCACCCCACCAGACCCTGTGTGGCCCCCTCCCTGCCCTCTGCTCCTCCCTCTGCTCCAGCCACACGGGCCCTCGCTGTCCCTCCAGCACGCCAGCGCCACCCTGTGTCATGGCCTTTGCACGAGCGGTGCCTCTGCCTGGCCTGCCAGTCCCAAGATTCCCTCACGGTTTGTTCCTGTTTCACCCCAGACCTGGCTTGAACATCACCCCTCAGAGGCCTCCTCCAGCCAACCTGCACCAAACGATCCCCTCCTCACTGCCCGGCACACGGCACCACCTGATACATGGCTGTTGTCATCCCCACAACAGGGGTCCCAGGCCTGCTCTGTCACCTGCTCACAGACTCTGGCAAAGCTCTGAGGGCAGCAAGGGAAGGCCAGTGAGAAAGGGGCGGCAGTGGGACCCAGGTGTGTCAGAGTAGCACAGGGGGCCTGCACCCCTGGGTGGGGCCGCTGCCCAGAGGGCAACTGCTGGGCACCCCAGGACAGGTGCAGGCTCGCCGTGACACAGCAACCCGGGTGTGTGAGGACGGCCCAGGCACGGGGTCCTGCGATCCCACAAGCAGGAAGCAACCCCGGGCCAGAGCTCACGGTCACCTCCCTCATTCGCTGGAACAACCCATCCTCTGGCCTCCCGCCGTGCAGGCCTCCGACCATGGGGACCACAGGCCCCTCTGAGGACCTGCCAGGACGGCCAGGCTGGGCAGCGGCACTCCACGACACAGGCTGGGGTGGGGACCCGGAGGCGGCAGGGCCGACCCTCAGCTCTGGTGAGGCTCAGACCAGGACCCGGCGGACAAGGGTAGGCCGTGCAAGAATCTTCTCCTGCTAAACTGCAGAAAGGCCTTCTGTGGCTGTCCACAGATGGCTGCGACGCTTGGCAGTAGTGTGACTTGCTCTGACCAACAGAATGTGATGCAAGGGATGGTGTGGGCGTGAGGAAGGCTGGCACTTCTCACTGTGCCTCTGGGAACCTGGGCCACGACACTCAGAGGCCAGCTCCCTGCAAAAAGACCGGGCGGCCCCAGCTGTTCCTGCCATCCTGGCTGAGGGTTGGACAGGCAAGTGTAGGACGAGCTTGAATTTCCTGCCACTGCCGACCACAGCCATGGAACTAACCCCAGGTATGACCTACAGAAGAACCACCCAACTGAACCCAACCCAAATAACAGAATCGCAAGCAAATACACAGTTGTTTGAAGCTTCTGTCTGGGGGTGGTTTGTTATACAATAGCTGACTGAAACAGATCTCGGCTCACTACAACCTCTGCCTCTTGGGTTTAAGTGATTCTCCTGTCTCAGCCTCCCCCGAGTAGCTGCAGATCTTGGCTCACTACAGCCTCCGCCACTCGGGTTCAAGCGATTCTCCTGCCTCAGCCTCCCCCGAGTAGCTGCAGATCTCGGCTCACTACAGCCTCCGCCTCCCGGGTTCAAGCGATTCTCCTGCCTCAGCCTCCCCCGAGTAGCTGCAGATCTCGGCTCACTACAGCCTCCGCCTCCCGGGTTCAAGCGATTCTCCTGCCTCAGCCTCCCCCGAGTAGCTGGGACTACAGGCACGCACCACCATGCCCAGCTTTTTTGTATTTTTAGTAGAGATGGGGTTTCACCGTGTTACCCAGGATGGTCTCAATCTCTTGACCTCGTGATCTGCCCGCCTTGGCCTCCCAGCGTGCTGCGATGACAGACATGAGCCACCGTGCCCGGCCTATCTGTGGACTTCTTTGGAACAGGAGGAGTTACAGTTTTTAATTCCTTTGTCTTACTTGGACTTCTTACATTCAAAGAAGCATTAATAATCTGTACATGGATTATTCAGCCATGAAAAGGAGTGAGGCTCTGACGCAGGCCACAGCACGGATGCACCTTGAAGACGTCACACTCAGTGAGAGATACCAGACACAAGAGGCCATGCAGTGTGTGACCCCATTTCTATGAAATGTCCAGGACAGGCTGATCCAGAGAGACAGGGAGGGGATGCATGGGTGCTGGGGCTGGGGAGGGATGGAGAGTGACAGCCGCCAGGCGCAGGGTTTGCTTTCGGGGTGATGGAAATGTACTAGAATTAGTGGCAGTGACTGAACAACTCTGTGAATACGCCGAGAAGAATTTACTCAGTTGCAATAAGTAAGCAGTAAGACACTTTCAAAGAGTGAATTTTGTGTCCCAGAAAAGCAAAATGAAGATGCAGATCCCTTTAGTTGCAAAAGCATTGCCCAGTGACATACACCATCTGGAACCTTCTCCAAACTCGGTCATCCCCCAGGGCCTCAGTTTGCTTGTCTCTAAAGGAGGTTGGGGGACTTGGTCAAGGCTTGACCAGAAGGGCAGCCAGTCTGCTGCAGGCTGGAGCTTCTCACACTGTCTGTGCTGTAGAACTGAGTTCAACCTTTCTTTTCTCTCCATCATGGACCAAGGCTTTTGTGAAACGCAGTAAACAGCAACTACCGAGGTCTGAAAGGCTGGTGCCGACCCTCAGCTTCTGCTCCTCTCTGGTATGGACCGGGATGGACAGTCTCGTCCATGGTGACATCAAACGGCCCTGCCTCAGGCCTCTTCTCTCTTGATATGAGTGTACCCACATGCAAACGGCTTGGGGGCCTCCAGGCACCCCCCAAAGCCCATGCAAACCAGGATCTCCCCCCTCAGCACTTAGGGCTGGATTGTTCTCTGGGCTGGTCACTGGGGCCGTCCTGGGCACTGCAGGGTGCCGAGCAGCATCCCTGGCCTCCACCCACTCCATGCCAGGGGCACCCCCCAGCTGTAACAACCACAGATGTCTCCAGACATGGCCCCGTGTCCCCAGGGGGGCAGGATGACCCCAGGTGATGCCCCGCTTCAGTAGCCCCTGAGGTTAAACCCTTGGGTGAGATGTTCAACACGGCTGCAACAGCAAATATCTGCACCAGGTGCCGACCAAGCTCTCCCCACACAGGATCCCACCCAGCCTGACCAGGCAGCCACTCCTCACGGCTTCATTTGACACATGGGGAAACCGAGGCTGGGAGAGGTGGAAGGATTCTGACACCGCTGGGGAGAACCCATGTGGCCAGGCCTCCCGCGTGACCGTCTCTAACCCATACAGGCCTGGCATGGTAGGCAATGGGGTCCCTGTTTGGGGACAGGCAGCACCCGACTGATGGTCCCCACCGGGAAGTGATGAGAGATGTGAACTCAGGTACCTGCCCGGCCCTGCAGCCCCAAGCCCAGCGAGTCGCCGTAAACTGTCACCCGGTACATCCGCGGTCCCCGGCACCCACCACTCCCAGCACACCCTGGTGAGTGGCCCGCCCGGGCTTGGTTCTGAGCCCTGCGGTGTTTGGGTTCGGTCAACTCTAGAAATCACAATGTTTTGGAGAAAAACCTGGGTTTCTCGAAAAACAGGCAGATCTAGAAATAAAAGGCTGCACCATCACTCGGCCCCCCGCCTGGCACACTCGCCTCTGCCTTCGCCCCCCACGGCCCACTCCCCGACGGCGCGTGGCCAGGAGGCGCCTGTGAGCACCTGATCCAGCTGCCACCTAATTCATGATCACCGTTTGACAGGCCGGGAAATGGGGATTTGGGGAAATTTAGGAAGTTACCCAAAGTCAACGGTGAAAAACGCTGTGATCCCATCTCCGAATCCAGAAAAACCTTCAACGAAATTCAACATGAATTTCACGTCCCCCCAAAATACTACCAAGAAAGAAAAAAAGGAGAGAAAGGGAGACTGCTTTTACTTTAAAAAGAAATATAAGACCAGGCGAGGTGGCTCTAGCACTTTGGGAGGCTGAGGCAGGAGGACGGCTTGAGCCCAGAAGTTTGAGACTTGCCTGGGCAACATCGTGAGACCCCCATCTCTACAAAAAAATTTAAATATTAGCCAGGAGTGGTGGTGCACACCTGTATTTCTAGCTACTTGGGAGGCTGAGGCGGGAGGATCACTTGAACCCAGAAGTTTGAGGCTGCAGTGAGCTATGACTGCACCACTGCACTCTAGCCTGGGCAACAGAGCAAGATCCTGTCTTAAAATTAAAATAAAATAAAATAAAATATAAAATGAAAGAAGTATAAAGCAAAAAGTTATGGGAAATGCCTTAATGTCAACCACAAGACCAGGGGTGTGGCTGTGAGAGCCGCCACTGCAGCGGAAGTGCTGGCTGGAGCAATAAGACTAGAAAAAGAGAAAGGAATGAAGACTGAAAAGAAAAAGAGAAAGTTTTAGGCCAGGCTTTACGGTGGCTCACGCCTGTCATCCCAGCACTTTGGGAGGCCGAGGCAGGCGGGTCACTTGAGCCCAGGAGTTAGAGACCAGCCTGGCCAACATGGTGAAACCCCGTCTCTACTGAAAATACAAAAATTAGGCGGGTGTGGTGGCCAGTGCCTGTAATCCCAGCTACTTGGGAGGCGGAGGCAGGAGAATCGCTTAAACCTGGGAGGCGGAGGTTGCAGTGAGCCAAGATCATGCCACTGCACTCCAGCCTGGGCAACAGAGTGAGACTCCCTCTCAAAAAAAAAGAGACAGTGAGTCCAGTTCAAGATGCTGAATCGTGTTAAGTGTTGACAGGTGGGGGTGCTGAGGTCTGCAACTTTGAAAGGCTTCCAAAAAACAAGCTGAGAGGGATGGCGGAATGGAGGGATGGTGGGATGGAGGGATGGAAGGATGGTGGGATGGAGGGAGGGATGGAGGATGGAGGATGGAGGGATGGAGGGAGGGATGCAGGGAGGGAGGGAGGGATAGATGGAGGGATGGAGGGAGGGAGGGATGGAGGGGTGGGAGAGGGATAGAGAGAGGGAGGGAGGGAGGGGAGGGAGGGAGGGATGGAGGAGGGATGGAGGGATAAAGGGAGGGATGGAGAATGGAGGGATGGAGGGAGGGATGGATGGATGGAGGATGGAGGAATAGAGGGAAGGAGGATGGAGGGATGGACAGATGGAGGGATGGAGAGACGGAGGGATGGAGAATGGAGGGATGGAGAATGGAGGGATGGAGAGATGGAAGGAGAATGGAGGATGGAGGAGGGAGGGAGAATGGAGGGATGGAGAGATGGAGGGATGGAGAGATGGCAGGATAGAAAATGGAGGGATGGAGAGATGGAGGGATGGAGGATGGAGAATGGAGGATGAAGGGATGGAGAGATGGAGGGACGGAGGGATGGAGGATGGAGGAATGGAGAATGGAGGGGTGGAGGAATGGAGAATGGAGGGGTGGAGGGATGGAGGGATGGAGGGACGGAGGGATGGAGGGACGGAGGGATGCAGGGACAGAGGCATGGAGGGATGGAGGAATGGAGGATGGAGGGATGGAGAATAGATGGATGGAGGGATAGAGATGGAGTGATGAAGGATGGAGGGATGGAGGATGGAGAGATGGAGGATGGAGGGATGGAGGATGGAGGGATGGAGGAGGGATGGAGGCAAGGAGGATGGAAGGATGGTGGGATGGAGGGAGGGATGGATGGAGGGAGGGATGGAGAGATGGAAGGAGGGATGGAGGGAGGGATGGAGGGATAAAGGGATGGAGGGATGGAGGGGTGGAAGGAGGGATGGAGAGATGGAAGGATGGAGGGAGAGATGGAGAGATGGCGAGATGGAGGGATGGCGAGATGGAGGGATGGCGAGATGGAGGGCGGGAGGGATGGAGGGATGGCGGGATGGCAGGATGGAGGGAGGGACAGAGGGATGGCGGGATGGCAGGACGGAGGGAGGGATGGAGGGAGGGATGGAGAATGGAGGGATGGAGGATGAAGGGATGGCAAGATGGATGGAGGGAGGGATGGAGGGATGGCGGGATGGCAGGATGGAGGGAGGGATGGCGGGATGGCAGGACGGAGGAAGGGATGGAGGGATGGAGGAGTGGAGGGAGGGATGGAGAATGGAGGGATGGAGGATGAAGGGATGGCAAGATGGAGGGAGGGATGGAGGGATGGTGGGATGGAGGGATGGCGTGAACACAGCCAACTGCCAATTGCAAGACCCAGGCGGTAAGTCGTGGGTCTACTGCCCAATTCTTTCAACTTTTCAGCACTTTTGAAAATTCTCTTTAAAAATCCCTTTCCCCCAGGGGAAAGGTGAGTCTTTACCTTGGACACAGGTGTTTTCAAGCTCTGAAGAAACACGGTTTTTGAGGGAACTCTGCTTGAGGAACCTGAGTGGGGACACGGGTCACAGAGGATGCCCCCAAGCTCCAGTGGGCCGGGCCCTGTGCCCAGGCTCCCCACCCAGCACCACACCTTTGAGGGGCATGTTCCTGCCTCAGGGGCCTTGCGCGTGCTGCGCCTGTGTCCCTGCTTGGCCGGCTCCTGTCCTCCCGTTTGGGTCTCAGCCTCTCACCTCCCCAGGGAGACCGTCCTCACAGCCACCTTCCTACCCGCCTTGCATCCCATTCTATTTCCTCACACTGCACATCAGTTGGGACTGATCTTGCTCCTTCCTGTGGGAGCACAGACCTGGCGTCTCGTTCACGGTTGCTCTCCCAGACCTACTCGCTACTCAGTAGGGGCGCAGCAGCACCGGTGAATGGAGCTGGGGCAGGCGGGCTGGGCTGGATCTGGGAGATCCAGAGGGGTCCTCAGCTGTGGAGGGGGAGCACTGGAGAGGACGTGACCTGGGACCTGGGCTCAGGCACACAGTGAGTTGGCTACCAAGATGGGGCATCAGGAAGAAGCACAGGCTTGGGTCAGATGTGCTGAGCAGTCAGGACCTGCAGGGTTGGAGGGGCCCAAGGGGCGCCCTGGATGTGGCTTGACGTGCTGCGCTGGGCACGCATGGTGGACGGAGTGGTGGAGCAGGCAACTGGAGCCTAGAACGTGCCCGGCATGTTGCAGACGCTCAAGAAACTTTCTGCAGCAAACGAAGAGGCAGATGCTGTGGGAGACACTGCCCGGGCTATGGTGGGGTTTGGGGGATCCCAGCTCCTGCCCTCTGGCCCTGTGAGAACACCCTGGCTACAGCCCCCTCGGGGGGACGTGGCAAAGGCCTGAAGCCCCACAATCAAGCCTGGAACAATGGCCCTGAAGTGACTACAGGCTAGTTCTTACCCTGAAGATGCACTCTCTTCTGATTCTGAGACTCCCAGCGTGGTGAATGGTGTCAGGTGATTGTCTGTTGGCTCGTTCATCCGTTCATCCATCCATCCATCCATCCATCCAAACCAAAATCAGCAAGCATCTCTTGGGTTTGGGGGATGACACACCACTGAGGCGGCCGGCTCTCTGTCTAAATGCAACTGTCTTTTCTTTTTTCTTTTGAGACGGAGTCCTGCTCTGTCGCCCAGGCTGGAGTGCAACGGCACCATCCTGACTCACTGCAACCTCCGCCTCCCAGGTTCATACGATTCTCCCGTCTCAGCCTCCCGAGTAGCTGGGATTAAAGGGATCCGCCACTATTCTCAGCTAATTTTTCTATTTTTATAGAGATGGCGTTTCACCATGTTGGCCAGGCTGGTCTCGCTCCTGACCTCAGGTGATCCACTCACTTTGGCCTCCCAAAGTGCTGGGATGACAGGCGTGAGCCACCGCGCCCGGACTGTCTAAATACAATGTCTAATAAGAAAAGGTTTTAAGCACCTGGAAAGCACAGAATCACATAAAAGACACCCATCTATTACTACATAGGTCAAAAAACATCTTTTCTGTTTATCCCTTAAGTCAGGGGTCAGCAAACTTTTGTAAAGGGTCAGAGGAGATCAGGCGGAGGCCAGGATCTCCTCTGGGACAGGCTTTGAGCGTGGCCCTGGGGGTGGAGGGAGTGACCGAAATGGAGGTCTCACCAGGGGAGACTCTGCCCTCCAGGGCACACTGGTTGATGTCTGGGGCCATTTGTGATTGTCATGACTAAGGGTGCTCCTGGCATAAAGTAGGCGGAGGCCAGCGACACTGCTCAGCCCCCTGCAGTGCCCAGGATGGCCCTACCCCAGAGAAAGATCAGGTCCCACAGGTCGGCAGTGCTGAGAGGCAGAGACCCTGTTTTAGAGACTGGGATGGTAGAATCTCGCCCCTGTTCGCCCCCCGCATCTGCACACACAAGAACCCGGAGTCAACACAGTATGGAGGTATGTGGGATGGGAGTGGGGGCGGGCAGGGTGTTCCTGACACTATTCTCCGGGTGTGTACAATGTTTCAGGAAAAGAACACCCGTACCTGTACCACCCTGTCCACTTTTTTTTTTTTTTTTGAGATAGAGTCTCGTTCTGTCGCCCAGGCTGGAGTGCAGTGGCATGATTTTGGCTCACTGCAACCTCTGCCTCCTGGGTTCAAGCGATTCTCCTGCCTCAGTCTCCCAAGTAGCTGGGATTACAGGCGTTCACCACTACCACCTGGCTAATTTTTGTATTTCTAGTAGCGACGGAATTTTGCCATGTTGGCCAGGCTGATCTCGAACTCCTGACCTCAGGTGATCCACCCACCTCGGCCTCCCAAAGTGCTGGGATTACAGGCATGAGCCACCGCGCCTGGCCCACTTTTGTCTTTTGTTTGAAGTTCCCTGTAATAAAAGCTGCAGCTCGTACACACATCCCCCCGCGGGCTGGTGCTCTGCAAGCTGCGTCTCTGACCCTCTCAATGCTCCATGAGGTGACTGGCATTGGACCTATTTTACAGCTATGTAAACTGAGGCTCAGAGGTCTCTGCTAGTCAAAGGCAGCAACATTCGCTCCAGCCTGGACTTGAAGGGCAAACGGCAGCCCCAGGGCAGCCCCTGGGGGAGGGCAAACAGCAGCCCCAGGGCAGCCCCTGGGGGAGGAGCAAACTTAAGGCACATTCTTCAGATAAACTCCAGGGGGTCACTTAGCCAAACGAGCCCTGGGGCCTGCGTTTGGTCCTCTGGCCCCTCAGGCCCACCAGGATCCAAAGCGAACTCCTTCCCCGTCAGCCTGGCGTGTAGGAATATGCTTCCACGAGCCCAGATTGCAGAGCCTGCTGCACGCTGCATGCTGGTCTGACCCCGTCACCACCCCCACCAATAGCACAGAGGGAGACAAAGAGAAGGTGCCTAACATTTCTTAGAAAAGGCATCGTGGGCCAGGCACAGTGGCTCACTCTTATAAACCCAGCACTTTGGGAGGCTGAGGCGGGTGGATCACCTGAGATCAGGAGTTTGAGACCAGTCTGGCCAACATGGTGAGGCCCCGTCTCTACTAAAAATACAAACATTAGCCAGGCATGGGGGTGCGCGCCTGTAATCCCGGCTACTCAGGAGGCTGAGGCAGGAGAATCGCTCAAACCCAGGAGGCAGAGGTTGCAGTGAGCTGAGATCGCACCACTGCATTCCAGCCTGGACAACAGAGCAAGACTCCATCTAAAAAAAAAAAAAAAAAGGCATTGTGGGCCAGGCGCAGTTCTCATACCTGTCATCCCAGCACACTTGGAGGCCGAGGTGGGAGGATTGCTTGAGCCCAGGAATTCCAGACCAGACCGAGCAACATAGCAAGACATAGCAAGACCCCACCTCTTCAAAAAACAAAAAAATTATCTGGCGTGGTGACGTGTGCCTGTAGTCCCGGCTACTCGGGAGGCTGCGGTGGGAAGACTGCTTGAGCCCCAGAGTTGGAGGCTGCAGTGAGCTATGATGGTGACACTCCATTTCAGCCTGGGTGACAGAGCAAGACTGTCCCTATAAAAAAATTAAAAAAATAAAAAATAAAGAGCAGAAGCTCTCTTGGAAGCGGCTCCTCCAGCCCCAGTTGAGCCTTCAGAGGAGGCAGTCCCGGCTGACAGCTTCACCACAGCCTCATGAGAGACCCCGAGCCAGGACCACCCAGCTACGCCGCTCCCAGACTCCTGACTCAGAAACTGTGTGAGGTCACAGATGTTGCCTCAATGAACGTTTGCTGGACAGAGGCCCAGATGGAGAACACCTCCCCTCCTCCCCCTCCCCTCCCCTCCTGTCCTTCCCCTCCCTCCTCTCCTCCCCCTCCCTCCCCACACCAGGCTTGGTCCTGCCCTAGGGCCTCCGCACAGGCTGCGCCTCTGCCTGGAACTCTCTCTCCCACCCAACCTTGTTCAGGTCTAGATCAAATGTCACCTCCTCAGAGAGTCCCCTCCCTGGTCACCCTGCCCCCGCTGGGTTTACTTCTCTCTACTCCTTGGATCCTCCACATTTGTTCCCTCTGAGGCCATGAGCCCGGCCAGGGCAGCGACTTCATCTTTCCCCTCTGCAACAGTGCAGACAGCACGAGCCTGGCACGTGGGTAAGGCTGCCTGCGACAGTGTCCTCCTCCCAGGAGTTCCACGGAGATCTGGGTCCAGGGCACAGTGGGCTTGGCTCAGGAGGGAAACGGGGTTGGATGGGGTCAAGAGCCCAGGGGCGCAGGCTGCTTCCCGTCTCTAACCACTGAGCCACCCTGGAACAGCTGGAGCGCAGGCAGGAGCTGGCCAGAGACGAGCTAGCCCACCTTCGCCGTGTGTGTGGCGGGGCCCGCACCATATGAGAACCCCATGGCTTAGTCACGCAATTGTCCCAACAACCCTGTGACGTAGGCACTATTACTGCTCCCATTATGCAGAGGCGGAAACTGAGGCTCAGAGAGGTCAGATCGCTTGCCTGATCATGCAGCAAAAATGTAGGGGTGGACGCACCTGATTCCAGGATGTCAGGCCCCAGTCTGCGTCACCACAGCAGGGACGGGAGGAGAGTGAGGAGGAGCCAGGCGGGGGAAGGGCAGAGGGGCCTCCCAGGCAGAGGCACAGCCAGTACGGAGGCCCCGGGGCAGGACCGTGTCTGGAGAGCTGGGATCAGCCCGGGCACAGCAGGAACATCCTGTGCAGAGCACAGCCAGCCCCCGCTTCCCCTCCCGGGCAGTCCCACACCTCCCCCACACTGGAGCCCCTGCTTCCCCTCCCGGGCAGTCCCACACCCCCCCCACGCTGGAGCCCCCGCTTCCTCTCCCGGGCAGTCCCACACCTCCCCCATGTTGGAGCCCCCACCACCCCGACCAGTGCTGACTCTGTCTCTGCAGCAGGCCCGGCCCCCAGCACAGGAGAGGCAGAGCAGATGCTTCGGTGCCTGGAGCAGCACCCACAGCCTCCTGGCTGGGAAGTGGCCTCTGTGTCACCCACTGGACCTCAGGATTCCTCAAAATAAAGACGGAACGATAAGAAGAGCCTCCCGCTCACAGCGCTGCAGTGGTAACCACACCAGTCACGCATGAGCATTTCTTTGCCTTATAATTAGAGGCATCAAGATGAGCTCATTGCCGCCCCCTCACCCCACACACATCATCCAGCGCACAATCTCACAGCACTCACACACAGATGGGGACACCTGCTGCCTGCCAGGGTCCCTTCCATCCCGGGGACAGGGCCGAATTCCTTCCCCTTGAAAGTGGGCGGGTCTCAAGCCCTGCTTTGGCCAATCACATGATGCAGAAGTGACATGGGGGGAATTCTTCCATCAGCCTCTGCTCTCTTGGAATCCCTCCAGTACGATGCTGGGGCCAGGCTGGAGGGTGGCAGCAATGCGGAGAGAGGCCTGGGACAGGAGGCCACCAGGGTGTGCTGGCACAAGCCAGATGCCGCAGCAGAACCGACCTGCTGAGCCCAGCCAAGCCCAGCCAATACTGGGAAACTGACAGCAAAAGCACTGCAGCGTGAAGCCTCTCAGTGTGGCAGTGGTTTGTTGCATAATCCACGAATCCCACCACAGACGCACCCAGAGCGGGACCACCACCTGCTGAAGGTCACCCGGCACGTAGGGCCCAGGCAGCAAAGCCCCGGGCGGCTCTCTCCCTCTGAGCACCAGGATCTGGTTCCCTGTGACCCACCAGGAGAACTCAAGCTCTTAGTGCCACATGGCTTCCACCACTGTAGACACGTCACTCAGCAGTCAGGGCCAGACACGTGAATCTTAGAAGGTTCCAAGTTATTTCTGGGTGTGGGATGGGGGAGGGTCTCTTAATTTGCAACTTCCATCCTTTGGTGCCGTCTGAAATACATATTTTGTCATTTTTATTTATAGAAATGAGGCTTTTCTCAAAGCATTAACTCACTCAACTTGTAAAACAGGCAGAGGAAAAGAAAACAAACAGTGTGAACATCTGAAAAAGACGCCCAGACCCCTCTAATGATAAAAGACATGATATGAAACCAGCCTGCCAGCAATGGGTTGGGGACTCAGGGGGTCCTCACACGGCTGGGGGTGATGCCCGTGTCAATAGATTCTCCCCTAGGGGGCAGCCTGGCAGCATTTCTAATGTGTGTGCCCTTGGCAGCAACTTCAATTCTAGAACTTTCTCCTAGACAACTTCGGCACAGGTAAAAAGACAGGAGTCTCGCTGATTATATGGAACTCATAAGGTCCTACAAAGACTGTCTAAAGCAGGGGCTGGTATACCACAGTCCAGGGGCCGAACACAGCCCACTAAAGAAAGTTTTATTGGGCCAGGCACGGTGGCTCATGCCTGTAATCCCAGCACTTTGGGAGGCCGAGGCGGGCGGATCACGAGGTCAGGAGATCGAGACCATCCTGGCTAACACGGTGAAACCCCGTCTCTACTAAAAATACAAAAAATTAGCCGGGTGTGGTGGCGGGCGCCTGTAGTCCCAGCTACTCGGGAGGCTGAGGCAGGAGAATGGCGTGAACCCGGGAGGCGGAGCTTGCAGTGAGCTGAGATCATGCCACTGCACTCCAGCCTGGGTGACAGAGCGAGACTCCGTCTCAAAAAAAAAAAAAAAGTTTTATTGGAACATGGCCACACCCATGTGTTCACGAATTGTCTGGCTCCTTAAGTGCTACAACCGCAGTGTGGAGGAGTTGTGACAGAGACCATCTGGACCACAAACCCTAAAATGTTCATCTTGATTTTTTTGTAGAGACGGGGTCTTGCACTGTCACCCAGGCTGGAACACAGTGGTGCCACCATAGCTCTGCAGCCTCCAACTCCTGGGCTCAAGCGACCGTCCTGCCTCAGCCTCCTGAGTAGCTGGGACTACAGGCGCCACCACACCTGGCTAATTCTTTTTTCAGAAACGGGGGTCTCGCGTTGTTGCCGAGGCTGGTCTCAAACTCCTGGGCTCAACTGATCCTCCTACCCTGGCCTCCCGAAGCACTGGGATTACAGGCGTGAGCCACCGTACTTAGACTAAAAGCTAAAAAATTTACTACTCAGCCCTTTACAGAGTTTCCTAGCCAGGCACAGTGACTGACACCGGTAATCCTAGCACTTTGGGAGGCCGATCCTCCCAAATACAAATACAAAAATTAGCCGGGCGTGGTGGCGGGCGCCTGTAGTCCCAGCTACTCAGGAGGCTGAGGCAGGAGAATGGCATGAACCAGGGAGGCAGAGCTTGCAGTGAGCTGAGATCACGCCACTGCACTCCAGCCTGGGCGACAGAGTGAGACTCTGTCTCAAAAAAATAAAAATAAAGGCTGGGTGCAGTGGCTCACGTGTGTAATCCTAGCACTCTGGGAGGCCAAGGCGGGCAGATCACCTGAGGTCGGGAGTTTGAGACCAGTCTGACCAACATGGAGAAACCCCGTCTCTACTAAAAATACAAAATTAGCCAGACGTGATGGCGGGCGCCTGTAATCCCAGCTACTCAGGAGGCTGAGGCAGGAGAATCACTTGAACCCAGGAGGTGGAGCTTGTGGTGAACCGAGATCGCACCATTGCACTCCAGCCTGGGCAACAGGAGCGAAACTCCGTCTCAAAATAAATAAATAAATAAAATAAAATAAAATAAAATAAAATAAAATAATTACAAACTGGAATGAATGTAATAGCTAAAACTATAAAACTACTTAAGAAAATGGGGTAATAAATCTTTGTGACCTTGGATTAGGCAACAATTTCTTAAATAAACACCAAAAGCATAAGCAAGCAAAGAAAAAAACAGATCAAGGCCAGGTGCAGTGGCTCACACCGGTAATCCCAGCACTTTGGGAGGCCGAGGCAGGTGGATAGCCTAAGGTCGGCAGTTCGAGAGCAGCCTGGCCAACATGGTAAAACCCTGTCCCTACTAAAAACACAAAAATTAGCCGGGCATAGTGGTGCACACCTATAATCCCAGCTACTCTGGAAGCTGAAGAAGAAGATTGGCTTGAACCCGGGAGGCAGACGTTGCAGTGGGCTGAGATCATGCCACTGCACTCCAGCCTGGGTGAAAAGAGTGAGACTCCGACTCAAAACAAAAACAAAAAAAATTAGCCAGGCATGGTGGCACATGCCTGTAGTCCCAGCTACTCAGGAGGCTGAGATAGGAGAATTGCTTGAACCTGGGAGGCGGAGGTTGCAGTGAGCCGAGACTGCGCCACTGCACTCCAGCCTGGGTGGCAGACTGAGACTCAGTCTCAAAAAGAAAAGAATTTAAGAAAGAAGTCCAAGTGTGCAATAAGGAATATGTCCCAACAGGGCAGGAAAGGAAGAAAGGACCCACAGGTGCAGGGAGCGGTGAGGGCCTGTGGGAAGGGGACACAGACGCACATACACGCACACATGCACATACATGCACACATGCACACGCACACACATACATGCACACATGCACACGCACACACATGCACACGCACACACATGCAGATACACACATGCATACACGCACACACACGCACAGGCCCTCAGAGGACACCACAGAACACCTGCGGGACACAGCAAGGAAGGGGTGAGGTGGCTGGAGGGGAGGGTACACCTGGGGGACCCCAGCACGGTGGAGGGACAGCCTGGGGTCCACCCGAGTAGTAGGCCGCCCCTCTTCCTTGCCCCTTCTCCCTTCTCCCTGCCGGGTGCTCCCCGCAGGGCATAGAGTGATCGCTTTCCCCGCAGCAGGTGGGCGGGCAGGAGCCAGGCCGGTAAACAGGAAGCTCTGCGCAGGCGGGCGGAGCATCCAGAACTCCGCAGGCCCTGAGGTGTTGGGTCGTTTCCCAGGGCCCCAATGTCCAGGGAGAAAGAGGCTCCACTCTCAGCACCAAGCTCCCGGGCGGGCCGGGGCAGGAGGCTGTGGGGCGTGGCCAGCCCGCAGGTGGCGGGGCCGACGGGATGGGTCAGGGTGCACAGAGCACACGCCAGCCCCTGGGGGAAGCCCGGCCCGTGCGGGCTGCGGGAGATCCTGATGGGCCCCGAGCTGAGGCTCCCGCAGCCAGGGTCTGCGCGTGGTCCCCACCTCCTTGCGCGCTCCGTCTCCAGCACAGCAGAGGTGGACGCCCCTCGCGGCTGGCTCCCCAGCGTCCCTGTCCTCCAGGGGCGCAGCGTCCCTCCGGGGAGTACAGTGTCCCTGAAGGGAATTCCTTCCAGAGCCTGAGGTTAGGCCGTGGTGGGAAACAGAGCGGGGTGCCGCAGGGGAGCCCGCAGGAGCTCCTGTTCCTCACCTGCGAGGGGGGGACGGCCTCTGGCCCCCTGCTGTGGGCGGGGAGGGATCTAGAAGACCGGAAGGCTATTTCCAGGGCAGCACCCCCAGGACTCTGGGGCACACACGTCCCCAGGCAGCTCCGGTGAGGCCACCCTCGCCCCCTGGTTTCAACTCCTGCTGTGAGCACCTGGCCTTTCCCTGGTCCACTGAGAGCCGCGTGTGTTTTTTGCGGTTTTGCTGGTGATTCTGCTGCTGAAATTGCCCCCCCAGGCATTGTCCTCAGGTGGTTTCGTGTCCCTCAGGGCTAGAGACCCGGATGAGCCCCATGGAGAAACCCGTAGTGAGAGAAGCTTTGCTCAAACAGGACTGAGAGCGGAAAGAGAGAGAGAGAGAGGAGAGTGGGGGGAGAACGAGAGCGAGAGACACACCGAGCTGGTGGGCCGGGGGAGGGGGACCCACACCCACGTCGCCATGGCCCCCCACCCCGTTTTTGAGCCCCCACACAGCCGAATACATGCCCCCGGTCCCCCTTCCAGCCTTGTCCCCAACACAGCCTGCAAATGGGCGGGGGCCTGGGAGAGTGCCCGGGATGGGGCTGGGGGGTGGGGGGGGCTTGGCGCACGCGGCCTATGGTCTGTGAGCTCCCTGTGGATAAATCAACAACACGGGTGTCTTTAAAATTTTCTTAGGATCTCACTCTGTCGCCCAGGCTGGAGTGCAGTGGTGCAATCACGGCTCACTGCAGCCTCAAACTCCTGGGCTCAGTAATCCAGTTATTCTCCCACCTCAGCCTCCCAAAGTGCTGGGATTACAGGTGTGAGCCACCGCACCCAGCCCTAAAATAACACGCCTTGAAATAAAAACGAACATACAACAAGGTCACGTATCGACTGGCTGATGGAAACATCATGCCCAGAGGCTCACAGGAACCCGACCTTGGGTTTCCCCTGGAGCCAGGGCTCAGTGTGCGCCTGAAGTGTCTGCAGCAGCTTCACAAAGGAACTACCACAAACAGGCCTGGCGCAGTGGCTCATGCCTGTAACCCCAGCACTTTGGGAGGCTGAGGTGGCTGGATCACAAGGTCAGGAGTTCGAGACCCACCTGGCCAACATGGTGAAACCCTGTCTCTACTAAAAATACAAAAATTAGCCGGGTGTGGTGGCGGGCGCCTGTAATCCCAGCTACTTGGGAGGCTGAGGCAGCAGAATTGCTTGAAACCGGAAGACAGAGGTTTCGGTGAGCTGAGATCGCGCCACTGCACTCCAGCCTGGACGAGAGGGCAAAACTCCGTCTCAAAAAAATAAAATAATTAAAATAAAATAAAGAACTACCACAAATAATGGAACTGGCTGCTTCAGGCAGAGAGGTACCATGCCAGCAATCAACACGCAAATGGCCTGACATAATCACACACGCACACGCTAACACACACACACTAACTCACATGCACTCTCACACACACAAACTTGCACACACTAACGTACACTCCCCCCCCACACACAGAATGATAAAGACATGGCAAAACGTTAGCAGCTGGTGGATCTCTGTGCGGGCTGTACAGGTCTTCACTGTAGCATTCTTGCCCCTTCTATAGGCTGGAAAGCTTTCCAAATAAACTATTTTTAATAGCCTAATATAATCTGAGCCCCAAGTGTATGGGCCAGAGAAACACCTGGGGTGACAGTCATTATCTCCACAGAGATGGAGAGGGTGAGGTGGGACTCACTTTTTACTCACTGCAAGTCTGATTACTTTTTTTTTTTTTAACTGTGAACATGTTATCATTTGTTCAAGACGAGACATGGCTGTAGCATGAAGGTAAAGGCAGAGGAGTGGAGCAGAATAAAAAGTCCAGAAATAGGCTGGGCGCACTGGCTCACACCTGTAACCCCAGCACATCGAGAAGCCAAGGCAAGAGGATCACTTGAGGCCAGGAGCTCGAGACCAGCCCAGGCAACATGGGAAGACCCTGTCTCCATAAAAGATGAAAAATTAGCTATGCATGGTGGCGCACACCTGCAGTCCCAGCTAGTTGGGAGGCTGGTTTGAACCCAGGAGGTCGAGGCTGCGGTGAGCTACAATCGTGTCACTGAACTCTAGCCTGGGTGATACAGCGAGACCCTGTCTTAAAAAAAAAAAAAAAGAATTGAAATGTGAACAAAAAAGAAGCTAAGTTATAAAAGTCTTAGCAGAATTTAATCATAACCTCAGAACAGGAAGACTTTCCCATTCATGACACCAAACTAGGAAACCAGAAAAGGAAAGAGTGATAAGTTTGACCACATAAACCCCAAAATACCTGCCAGACGTTAACAATCATCGTAGGAGAAGATGGGCAAAGAAGTACCTGCACTTGTGTCACCAATAAATGAGTAGCTGCCATAACAAATAAAGAGCTCCTACGAATCAACAAAATGGTGACAGATAACTGTAGACTGGGAAAGACACAATCATACAGGTCCCAGAAAATGAGGTCAGAGTTCAACCTGACGTGTGTGCTTACAAGAAGGAACTGTGCAAGGAAAATGGGCCGGGGAGGGTGGAGGTCGGGGCCACGGAGCTTGCAGGAGCTGAGGCAGCTCAGAGCCAGCCTCGGTGGTGACCCCGTCTCCCTGGTGGGGACACTCCATTTTCCAGCTCTTGATAGAAACACAGGTGACCGTCGGGAGGAGTGGGAGGGAGCTCCTGTGTGGCGAGTCCCTTCGCCTCTAGTGGTCTCTGCTCCCCTTGTGGAAACGCAGTTCCAAGAAAACAAAGAGGAAATGCTGCGAAGAGCCACAAGGACTTTTTCTCTGAGTCACAAGAAGACGAATATACGCTGCAATGACGCAGTGAGGGAAGAAGTCGCCTTGCACCCATATGGCTGCTGAGGATGGGAGAGATGGACGCGTCCTCCGCTGCCGGAACACGGAGCGCCCGGTCTGGTACAGTGCTGATGCTGCGTTTTGTTTTCTGGATTTTACGACATCTTGGGGGCCTCGCTAATCTGGGGATGACGGCCCCTTCCAGGGTAAGCGGATTCCTAAACGTTGCAAACGGCCCGCCTGCGAGCACACTGTGACGTGCAGAGCAACCAACCGCGAGCCCACGCACCTGATCAAACTCTCACGCGCCACGCCCAGGTTCCCTGCCCTGAATCACCCCAGGGCCAGCTCCCAGAACAGGGACCACCCCAACAGCCAAGAGCCGCAAACAGTCGGGAGTCAAACCAGCCCATCCTAGGCACACCCAGCCCATCTACCCCGCCTGGCCCGTCCCTTCCAACCAAAGCCTCGGGAACTGTAACACAAGAGCTTTTCAATAGCAGTCACCTCCTGCTCTCTTGGCCTCACCAGGCCTGATTTAAACCAATCAGAGTGCATCTGAATACACGTACCACCTTTCTGGGTTACAGAAGCATAGAGCCTTTACTGCACTGGGGGTGACAGCACCTCCGTCAACCTGGGATCTGAGAGATCGGGGAGCAAAACCACCAAAGCCCCCAACACAAGCGAGAAATGAGCCTCTGGGATGGCCGGGAGAGTGGGGATGTTTGTTTTAGCAGCAGACGCCAAGCCAGGCTGGCTCATACGCGCCCACAGGCACAGGCCCCGAGGCAGCTGCTCCCACCCCAGGCTCTTTTCCCTGCCCCAGCAGCCCCGCCCATGTCAGCGCATGCACCGTGGCCAGTCCAAGCACCGCACGGGAAGGGTGCACAGTGGGAGCTGCCCGCTCACGTCCCTGTCCCCACTCCCTGGGCGCCCACCATGGGCAGGGCCGGCTCTGAGCCTTTTGTGTGCATTGACTCATCTAATCCTCAAGGGACATTGCTTTCCAAATGAGGAAACTGAGGCACGGAGCGGCTGGGCAACCGAACCCAATCATCTCAGCTGTCCTCCTGCCAACAGCACAATGGAACAGAGACACCGTCCACTGAGCACAGCCACCACCAGGGTCCCGACGGCCCCACCCAGTCCCACTGCCGGCTCCCACCACGGCCCCCAACGCTCCCTACAGGGGCTCCTGGGGCCTCCCTCGCAGCTCGGCCATGCTGGGCCCCGGCGGCCCCCATGCTGCCCTTCCTGCATCCATCTTGGCTGAGGGCAGCTCTGTCCTTCCAGGGCTCAGGCTAAAATCTTGATTTCAAACTCAATCCCCCCTCAGCCCCACACTCAACCTTCAAAAGGTCCTGCTGGCTCTGCTTCCAAAATCCATCCCAGATGGCGCACTGCTCATGGTCCCCACCTGGCCCAGCCCCAGCTTCGCCCACCTGGGCCAGTGCAGTCCCCTCTGCCCTGGTTCCCCTAGCCCACGTCCCGCCCTCACCCCATCTGTCCTCCCCACAGCAGCCACCAGGGGGTGCCTGTGAGCTCCTGAGTCTCGCCCATCCCTCCTCTGCCCGCAGCCCTCCATGGCTCCCACCTCCCTTGGGGTCAAAGCCCAAGTCCTCCCTGCAGCCCACAAGGCCCTGCACACCCTGCCCCGTCCCCTCCCTGCCCTCCCCTCCTCACTGTTCCTCTAAAACACCAGGCGTGGTCCTGCCCCAGAGCCTTTGCACAGTGCCTCTGCCAGACAGCTCCCTCCACACTTCCACAACCCCCTCACTTCCCCTGGATCTCTGTTCAAGTGTGGCCCCCGAGTCCCCAGCCTTGAGGGCACCTCCGCCGCCACTCTCTCCCCTCCTCTGCTCGGCTCTTCTCCGTGGCACTTGTCCACTGCGTTGCGTGTTTTGCTTTTCTTTGCTGTCTGTATGTCCTGGCCCCACTCCCAGAGTTCCTTAGGGGGCCTGGCCCTCTCGTTCCCCCAGGCTCCCAGCACCCGGCCACAGCACACGCAGGAAAGCACACGTAGACGATGCCCGAACCACACCCCACTCCCGGAAACCTTCAGCAGCAGCCCTGCCTGCAAAGTGGAGGCATGAGGCATTTCAGTGGAGGAGAGCGGCCGGGCAGGGTGCTGGGGTCCTCTCTTCACTCAGCCAGAGGCCGGGTCCCCTCGCACCCCCATGCCAGCTCAGGCACCTGGGGGCCCTCATGCTCGACTCCAGCCCCTCCCAAGCTGGCCTCTCAGGGTGGCGGGGAGGCAGGTGCAGGGGCTCCGAGCTAATCCCCTCAGGCTGTAATCCCCATGAGTACTGGCACCACCACGGGCCCCGTCCAGCTGGCGCCTGCTGGCAAATCCTTGCAGGGTCTTGACCGGCCTGGTCCTGCGTGAAGGGACATGCTGCCGGGGCCAGGCGGCAGGCGGCAGGCGGCAGGGAGGCCTGGGCCCCGCTCCTCGTTCACAGCCCCACCCTGTGTGGACTCTCCAGCCCTCCTGGAGCCTCGGTTTCCCCATCTGTAAACAAAGACCCAGGTCGTGCAGCTTCCCAGGGGCTAGGGCCTCACCCATCCCTGTCCTGCCAGGCACTCAGGACACCCGCAGCTCTTGTTCCAAAAGGGAAAGAAGGGGCCACCATGGGGGCGCATGCCTGTAACCCCAGCACTTTGGGAGGTGGAGGCAGGAGGGCTGCTTGGGACCAAGGGTTCGAGACCCTCGCACCCTGGACAACATAGTGAGACCTCACCTCTACAAAAAAGTTTTAAAAATTTAAAAGAGGCTGGGCGCGGTGGCTCACACCTGTAATCCCAGCACTTTGGGAGGCTGAGGCGGGCGGATCACCAGGTCAGGAGATCAACACCCTCCTGGCTAACACGGTGAAACCCTGTCTCTACTAAAAATACAAAACATTAGCCGGGCGTAGTGGCGGACGCCTGTAGTCCCAGCTACTCAGGAGGCTGAGGCAGGAGAATGGCGTGAACCCGGGAGGTGGAGCTTGCAGTGAGCCGAGAACGCGCCACTGCACTCCAGCCCGGGCGAGACAGCGAGACTCCATCTCAAAAAAAAAAAAAAAAAAAAATTTAAAACAAAGGGAAGTCACTTGCTCAGAGGCACACGGGTCTAAGCGGCCAAGGCAGGCTCAGCCCACACCAGGCCCTGGGACCACCCTGCCCAGGCTCCCGGAGCCTCCACCTGCTTTGGGGGTCCCCACTGCCTGCTCACCCCACATCGGCACACACCTGCCACAGTGCCTGGGCTCCCAGTCCTGCTCTGTCCTCAGTCCTCGCCACCCCAGCCACCAGCTCCAGGGCCCAGGCCAAAATCCTTCCAGGCCCCTCGTCTGCCTCCAGGCACCGGTGGCACTCACCTGGACACCTGCCCCAACCCCACAGAGCACTGCCCACGGACCATCCCCCACCAGGCGCTGTGAATCGGGCTCGCCGCCCCACTCAGATGCCCGTGCCACCCGCTGTCCTCAGGTCCGACCCCACGCGACCCTCTCCCACCACGTTGACTTCACTTCTGCGGCTCAAGTGGGTGCAGCAAGTTCCCACCCCACGGCCTCGGCGCGACTATTCCGCTGCCTACATCGCCTGAGCCACAGCCCACCCTTATTCAGCTCGTGGGGACAGTCACCTCCCTCCGAGTCCTCAGCTGCCGCAGGCCTGGCCACTTGACCTCCCAGGTGCCCTCACCACACTCATCACCGCCCAACGCAGCCCGGCTCTGGGCTGGGCAAACATCTTCCGTAAAGGACCGGGCAGCAAGTGTTTTCGGCTTCGTGGGACACGTAGCCCCAAGCATGGCCACTCAGCTCCCAGCTCTGCCGCTGCAGCGTGGGGGCCACCAAGGCCGGCAACGGAACAAATGGTGTGGCCGTTGCCAATAAAACTTTGTTGACAAGAAGCGGCATGGACAGATTCGGGTGGGGTCTCACGTGGCCACTTGTTCCCATCTGCAGCCTGACGCCCAGCAACCTGAGGGCTCCAAGGGGTCAGCGAGGCAGTCCCGTTAGCACCAGAAGACTGGGCACCCTGAGCCCCACCTGGCCCACACGAGGTGCTCAACAAAGGTCTGGAGCCCAGGAGTGGAACTCACACTTTCACGAGCCGACTCCCATGGCGGACCCCAGCGCCCAGGTGAGCTCGCTTGGCACCTGGGCCCCGGAAGCAGCACACGAAGGGGACTCCCTCTCCTCCAACAGCAACCTGGGACGGAGGGGGCACCCAGCTTTCTCACGGGGCCGGCTGCCTGTCCCGTGCCTTCTAAGGGCTTTACCCCATGATTCTCCATGCAGCCCAGGAGAAAGGCAGCCATCACGCCCACTTTACAGACAGGTACACCGAGGCTGCACATCCCCGGCTGGCATGCAATGGCGCTGGGTGTGAACCCAGGAGGGCCGGCCCCCGAGGCCTCTCCACTGGGACACCCAGGCTGTGGTGGTCACAGTGCCTGACCTGCATCCCGGGAGGCGGCCAGGGCGGGAGAGAATGGGGAACTTTCCGTCCCCAGTGTCCTCAGCCTCCGCCTGGGCCCTGCTGACTTGCAACAAGAGACACCACAATCCCACTGACCCTTTTTTTTTTTTTTTTTTGAGATACGATTCTGCTGTCACCCAGGCATGCAGTGGCACGATCACAGCTCAGTGCAGCCTCAGCCTCCCAGGCTCAGGTGATCCTCCTGCCTCAGCCTCCTGAGTAGCTGGAACTACAGGTACATACCATTACGTCTAGCTACTTCTTTTAATTTTTTTTTAGTAGAGACAGGGGTCTTGCTATGTTGCTCCAGGCTGGTCTCAAACTCCTGAGATCAAGTGATCCTCCTGCTTCAGCCTCCCAAAATGCTGGGATTACAGGTGTGAGCCACCGTGCCCGGCCTCCCTGACCTTTTTACACAGACCACCACAGCTACAGGGAGGCCCTGGTGGCGGTGCTGACTCCCTGCCCGGCCGCCCTGTGACCACACTACACTGTGCTCCAGGCAGGCGGGGCCTCTGCTGGGGCCATGCCCTCTTCCTGCCCAATGCCCACAGGTCTCCCTCGGATGCCACCTTCTTGGCAAGGCCTTCCCAGCCACCCCATTCTACCTTACCCTTCCTCCCTGGCACTGCTGGCCTCATGCACCTGATGTTCACCAGGATCTGCACTGTGCTGAGCTCTTCCGGGCGCAGGGGATGCCGCAGGAGTGGCACAGACGGTCTTGGCCCTCGTGGAGCTCTCGCTCAGGAGGAGATGGTCAGAAAACACGTCAGCAGAGCCATATGTTTCAGGTGGTGACAAACGCTATGGTGGCACAATCAGGGAAGAGGAACCGGGAGGGCAGGGGACGGAGAAGGGGAGACCGCTGTGTGGTGACAGCAGGGCAGGGAGGCCTCACGGAGAGGAGATGCTCCCACAAAACCTGGAAAGCGCTAAGGGAGCAAAGGACACAGATGGGAGGAGGGGCATTCCGGGGTGGGGGTGGGGGGCAGCCGTGCAAAGGCCCCGGGGCAGGACCATGCCCTGCATGCTGGAGGAACAGCAAGGGGCCCATGGGCCTACAGCAGAGTGCAGACGGGAGGGCAGGGAGGGCAGAGTGCGGAGGGGAGGGCAGGGAGGGCAGGGAGGGCCCGGGGCAGGCTGTGCAGGGCCTGATGGGCTTCAAAGAGGACTATGTCTTTGACCCCAAGGGAGGTGGGAGCCATGGAGGGCTGCGAGCAGAGGAGGGTCGGGACTCGGGCCGCTGGTTTTTAATGGGGTCCTCCTGGAATGTGGGACAGGGAGCAGAGGAAGAGCAGGGGCGCCAGGCCTGGCTCAGGGGGCAAAGGAGGACTGAGCTGGACCGAGGAGGACTGAGCTGGACGGAGGAGGATCGAGCTGGACCGAGGAGGACCGAGCTGGACAAAGGAGGACTGAGCTGGACCGGGGAGGACCGAGCTGGACCAAGGAGGACCGAGCTGGACCGAGGAGGACCAAGGAGGACCGAGCCAGACGAAGGAGGACTGAGCCGGACGAAGGAGAACCGAGCCGGACAGAGGAGGACCAAGCTGGACTGGGGAGGACTGAGCCGGATGGAGGAGGACTAAGCTGGACCGGGGAGGACCGAGCTGGACCCGGGAGGACCGAGCCAGATGGAGGAGGACCAAGCCGGATAGAGGACCGAGCCGGATGGAGGAGGACTGGGCCGGACGGAGGAGGACCGAGCTGGACCGGGGAGGACCGAGCCAGACAGAGGAGGACTGAGCCAGACGGAGGAGGACTGAGCTGGACCGGGGAGTACTCAGCCAGACGGAGGAGGACCGAGCTGTACGGAGGAGGACCGAGCTGGACCGAGGAGGACCGAGCTGGACCGGGGAGGACCGAGCTGGACCAGGGAGGACCAAGCTGGACCCGGGAGGACCAAGCTGGACCCGGGAGAGGCAGAGGACAGGGAAGGAGTCAGTGGGTTCTGGGCCAGTTCTGAAGGTGAAGCTGCCATCATTTGCTGCCAGATCAGCCGTGGAAGTGGGGCAGGGGCAGGGATGCAGCTGACCTTTCCAGGGCATCACAGAGACAGATCAGCCGTGGGAGTGGGGCAGGGGCAGGGATGGAGCTGACCGTTCTGGGGCATCACAGAGACAGGACAGCCTGGGAGAGGCTCAGACACGCCCAGGCCACAGCTCAGACCAAACTCCACCACAGGCCATCGGCCCACACAGTGGGCACAGCCGCATCCCAAGCCCCGGCCTTCCCGAGACCGCCCCCACGTGCCCCACGGCCACGGCCCATGGAGACGCCATTCAGGCCACGCCTCGGGAGCCAGGAGCCCAGGCAATTAGAGGAACCAAATTCTAAACACCAACGAGACATTGCTTTGCCTCCCATCGGATCAGCCGAAATCGCCAAGGACGATGACACTGGGAGCTGGCAGTGCCGTGGGAAACGGGCAGCCTCCCTCGGCCCCTGTCGGACAAGGCTCCCGCTGTAGCTGAGCTTTCTGGAAGGTGTCGCCATCGCTTCTAACAGTGAGCGGTGACTCCAGAAACCACGGGCATGGGCCTCAGCAGGGGCCTGGAGGCACCGATGGTGGAGAGGCCGGAAAGGGGTGGCCAACCGGCACGACAATCACCAAGCACGAGCGCCAACTCATCCCAGGCTCAGCCCCTAGCACACACGGTCATCACCCCACTTCACAGACGGGACGCTGAAGCCCGGGGAAGTGACGGCCACACAGCACCTGAAGCGCGGAGCTGGGAGGGGGACATCGGCGGGACCAACTCTGGGGCTCCCCCTTAACCACTGCCTGGCGCTCGCCCTCTCTACAAACCGATACCAACATAGGGTGGGGAGACTCCAGATGACCAGAGATAAAAAGCAAGCAGTTCACAGAGTCATAAACGTGTGGCATTTCTCACCAGGGCCGTCCTGCCCCCAGGGGACACTGAACGGTGTCTGGGTCACTTGTGGCTGTCACAACTGGCAGGTGCTCCTGGCATGGAGTGGGCAGAAGCCAGGGGCGTTGCTCAGCACCCCTAATTTCCTGACTCAAAATACCTCTGCCAAGGCACAGAAGCCCCAGTGAGGCATGAAACCATCTCGGTGAAGAACAAGCAGGCCCCTTTATGTGCTCACGTCTCTGTGGCCCAGCCAGGCACAACCTAAACTCACCAGCGCTAACATCAGGAGGGATGGCGTTGGAGGAGTGAGGCAACTCTGAATTTTAAACATTCAGAAGCAGTATATGGCCAGCTGGGGTCAGATTTCTGTGGATTTCAGGGATGGGCAGAGATGCCAGACCCTGACCTTCCAGCCCTCCCCGGCCCCCCACCCCCACCCCCCCACTCCCCCGCTCTCCCACCCCACCACCATGCTCAGTCTGGAGCTGGCAACTTTATCTGTCCCCGGTGCTCCCAGAGCCCCTGATAAGATGAATGGTCGCGGTGTGGTTTTCTTTTGGTCAGCGAGTCCTGGGCTACTTTGTCTCTGACCAGCTGGGGTCAGAGGGCTGACAGCGGAAGTTGGGGGGCCCAAGAAAGGAACCCGGGCTGGGGCCTGGTGCCCTGCCTGGGTTCCTCCACCATGTCTCTTGCTGGCCAGGCCAGGACACCGGCTGCCCGCAAAGAAAGGGGCGAGGCCACTGGCTCTGGGGAAGGAACCGGGTCACCTACCAAGCGGTTCCAGATGGCCGCCGGGAGGGAAGCCACGAGTGTCTTTCAAGGCGGGGGGTGGGGGGGGGACTTGATGACTTCCACACTCTCTCTCTCTCCAGACATCTCCCCAACTCCCAGGCAGCACGCATCGCCCGCCCGCCCGCTTGCCCGCCTGCCAACCAAGGAAGCTTCGGGAGGCCTGGGGGGAGAAGGAGGACGGATGCCCGTGTGGGTGTCTACAGAGACGCTGCTGCTGGCTGCCTGGGAGGAGCAGAGGATTTTGTGAATCCGGAAACTTCCGATTTGGGAGCTTGTGACCTCGACTGAGAAGGAACTGTTCCCTTCCTCTGGGCTCTGCACACCGTCCCCACAGAAGGGAAGGCCCAGCTGCCGCCACCTACCCGGCTGGAGGTCCAGGAAGCAGCTAAAGGGGGCATGAGACAGCCGTGCCCCCCGCCCAGCCCGCAGCCCCACCAGTGTGTCCTGGGGGAAGGCTCGGGGAGAGGAAAAGGGGGCGACAGGGCACCCTGTGTGCACAGCCGGGGCGGTGGAGGCATCTTGAGATGTAACCCTTTTCCTCCCCTCATTTTAGCAGGGAGGTAAACTGAGGCCCAGGAAGGTGAGGAAAGGTCGCGCACCCGGACTCAGGTCTGGGGACTTACAGAAAGGGAGGTGACATCAGGAGGTGGGCACGCACGGCCTCAGAGACCCCCGCCTCCACCCAAGCAGCCGCCACTCACACGACGGGCAGCCCCTGGGAGCGGGTCAGGCAGAACGGGGATCCCCAGCGGCGCCCACGCCGAGTCGCCCCCGGCCCGGGAGCGGTGGGAGGTAGCCCCTCGCAGGCCTCCCGCTTCCCGGCGCGGCTTCAGCCCCGTCCTCCCCGCGGCTCCAGGGGACTGCCCCGCCCCAGGCTCCTGGAACCGGCGGCGCCCCCGCAGCGACCGTGCAGCCCCCGCCCCGGCCCCGCAGCCCCGCGACTCTCGGCGCTCGGACGAGCCCAGCGGGCCGCAGCCCCGGGAGGCCGGGCCGTTACCTGCCGCCGCCCCGCTCTCTGCCGCCCACGCCGCCTCCGAGGGCACGGCCCCCGCCTCAGCGCTCTCCGCCTCGTCCGGTACCTCCAGCTCCATGGCCGCGCGCGGACGGCGGCGGGGGCGCCCGAGGGGGACCCGAGCTGCGACCGCCGCCGCCGAACAACAAGCGCCGCCGGCCAAGGGAGGGCGCGCCGGGCCGGCGCGGGGCGGACGGGGCGGGGCCTGCGTGCGTGCGACGCCGCGGACGGCGCGCGGCCAATCGGGGCTCGGGGGCGGGGCCTGCTTGCGACCCGCAGCCAGGAGCGCCTCGAGTGCCCCCTCGCGCCCAGGGGTGGGAGTACAGAGCCAGGCTCGCCATTCCATCGTATTAGGTCAGTAAGATTGACAGGCACGATACGTATCAATAACATTGCTGTGCACAACACATACCAATAACATGGATCTACACAACACATGACAATAATATGGATCTATACAGCACGTGCCAATAATATGGATGTACACAGCACATGCCAATAACATGGATCTAAACAGCACATGCCAATAACAGGGACCTGCACAGCGCATGACAATAACATGGATCTGGCCGGGCGCGGTGACTCACGCCTATATTCCCGGCACTTTGGGAGGCCGAAGAGGGCGGATCACCTGAGGTCAGGAGTTCAAGACCATCCTGACCAACATGGTGAAATCCTGTCTCTACTAAAAATACAAAAAATAGCTGGGCGTGGTGGCACATGCCTGTAATCGCGGCTACTCGGGAGGCTGAGGCAGGAGAATCGCTGGAACCCAGGAGGGAGAGGTTGCAGTGAGCTGAGATCGCACCATTGCCCTCCAGCCTGGGCCACAGAGTGAGACTCTGTCCCAAAAAAAACCACACATGGACCTACACAGCACATGCCAATAACATGGAGTTACCCAATGCATGCCAATAACATGGATATACACAATACATGCCAATAACACGGATATGCACAATACATGCCAATAACATGGATATACACAATACATGCCAATAACATGAATCTATACTATATCATTGACATGGATCTACATAAAACATACAAATAGCATTGCTATATGCAATACATGCCAATCACATTGCTATACACAATGAATACCAATAACATTGATCTACACAATACATGTAACTAACATTGATACACACACTACATGTCAATAACATTGATATACACACTACATGCCAATAACATGGATATACACACTACATGCCAATAACATTGATATACACACTACATGCCAATAACATTAATGTACACACTACATGTCAATAACATTGATATACACACTACATGTCAATAACATTGATATGCACAAAATATACCAATAACAGTGATATACACAGTACATGTAAATAATATTGATCTACACAGGGCCGGGCGCGGTGGCTCATGCCTGTAATCCCAAGACTTTGGGAGGCCGAGGCGGGCGGATCACGAGGTCAGGAGATTGAGACCATCCTGGTTAACATGGTGAAACCCCGTCTCTACTAAAAATACAAAAAATTAGCCAGGCGTGGTGGCGGGCGCCTGTAGTCCCAGCTACTTGGGAGGCTAAGGCAGGAGAATAGGGTGAACCTGGGAGGCAGAGCTTGCAGTGAGCTGAGATCGTGTCACTGCACTCCAGCCTGGGCAACAGAGCGAGACTCCATATCAAAAAAAAATATATATATATATAGATCTACACAATACATGTTATTAACATTGATCTACGCAATACATATCAATAACATTTGCAATTAACTACCTGTTTATTATCATATTGCAAATAATATTTATATTCCATCGTTTGTATTACGTAAGTATAGATATGTTATTGTTTTCTTTATATTATTTTATCAATAATAATACAGTTTGCTATTATAAGAAACATATAATTATAGAAATACATAATAAATTATATATATTTATGCAAATGTAAGTAGCAATATTTATATCCTTCTTTTTTTTTTTTGAGATGGAGTCTTGCTGTTGTTGCCCAGGCTGGAGTGCAGGGGGGCGATCTGAGCTCACTGCAACCTCTGCCTCCAGGGTTCAAGTGATTCTCCTGCCTCACCCTCCCAAGTAACTAGGACTACAGGTACGTGCCACCACGCCCGGCTAATTTTTGTATTTTTAGTAGAGATGAGGTTTCGCCATGTTGGCCAGGCTGGTCTTGAACGCCTGACCTCGTGATCTTCCCGCCTCAGCTTCCCAAAGTGCTGGGATTACAGGTGTGAGCCACTGCGCCCGGCCATATTTATGTTCTTTATATAAGCACATAATAAGGCTTATGTTGTTTATGTTAATTTAAGTAATAACGTTTATATTATTTACATAAATGTAAATCATAATGATTATATTACCTATGCACATAAATAATGTTTGGGGTGGGCACAGAGGCTCCCGCCTGTAATTCCAGCACTTTGGGAGGCCAAGGCAGGAGGATTACTTGAGCTCAGGAGTTCTAGACCAGCCTGGGTAACATAGTGAGCCCTCTCATCTCTACAAAAAAAATTTTTTTAATTAGCTAGGTGTAGTGAGACCCCTCATCTTTACAAAAAAAATTGTTTTTTAATTAGCCAGCTACTTAGTAGGCTAAGGTGGGAGGACTGCTTGAGCCCGGGAACTCAAGGCTGCAGTGAGCTATGATCGCACCACTGCACTCTGGCCTGGGCAACAGAGAAAGACCCCGTCTGTCCCCGCAAAAAAAAAAAACAAACAAAAAAAACAAAAAGACAAATTCTGTGTGGTTCCACTCCTAGGAGGTCCCTAGAGTTGTCACATTCACAGAGACAGAAAGTAGGATGGGGGGTGCCAGGGGCTTGGGGGGAGACGAGGAGTGAGTGTTTCACAGGGGCAGACTTCCAGTCTCAGAAGATGAGAACATTCTGGAGATGATGGCGGTGATGTTTGCACAGCCATGGGAATGTGCTTAAGGCCACGGAGCTGTGCTCTTAGACATGGTGAAAATGGGCCGGGCGCGGGGGCTCACACCTGCAATCCCAGCACTTTGGGAGGCCGAGGTGGGCGGATTACCTGAGGTCGGGAGTTCAAGACCAGCCTGACTAACATGGAGAAACCCCGTCTCTACTAAAAATACAAAATTAGCCAGGCGTGGTGGCGCGTGCCTGTAATCCCAGCTACTCGGGAGGCTGAGGCAGGAGAATCACTTGAACCCGAAAGGCAGAGGTTGCAGTGAGCCAACATGGCACCACTGCACTCCAGCCTGGGCGACAGAGCAAGACTCTGTCTCCAAAAAAAAAAAAAAAAAAAAAAGAAGAAGAAGAAGAAGAAAGAAATGGTGAAAATGGGCCGGGTGCGGTGGCTCACGCCTGTCATCCCAGCACTTTGGGAGGCCGAGGCTGGCAGATCACCTAAGGTCAGGAGTTCAAGACCAGCCTGGTCAATGTGGTGAAACCCTGTCTCTACTAAAAATACCAAAAAATTAGCTGGGCATAGTGGCACAGGCCTATAATCCCAGCTACTCGGGAGGCTGAGGCAGGAGAATCACTTGAACCTGAGAGGCAGAGGTTGCAGTGAGCCAACATGGCACCACTGCACTCCAGCCTGGGCAACAGAGCAAGACTCGAAAAAAAAGAAATGGTGAAAATTGTGAATTGTATGTTGTGCGTATTTTACTACCATTTTTTGTTTTTTCTTTTTTGAGATGAGTCTTGCTCTGTTACCCAGGCTGGAGTGCAGTGGCGTGATCTCGGCTTACTGCAGCCTCTGCCTCCCAGGTTCAAGCGATCCTCCCACCTCAGCCTCCCAAGTAGCTGAGACCACAGGTGTGTGCTACCATACCTGGCTAATTTTTGTAATTTCAGTAGAAATGGGATTTCACTGTGTTGGCCAGGCTGGTGTCAGGTGATCTGCCCACCTCGGCCTCCCAAAGTGTGAGGATTACAGGCGTCAGCCACTGCAGGCGGCCTTGACCATTTTAAGGCTCCAGGAAGAGTTCTTTGGACGCAGGTCATGGACAGAGCTCCTGATTCACCCAGAATCTGTTTTGAAAAAAGATTTAGACCACTGGCTCTCAAGGTGTGGTCCCTGGGCCAGCCACATCAGCCTCACCCTGGGAGCTTGTTAGAAATGCAGGTTCCAAAGCCAGGTGCAGTGGTTCATGCCTGTAATCCCAGTGCTTTGGGATTGAGGCTGAGGCAGGAGAATCACTTTAGCCCAGGAGTTCAAGACCAGCCTGGGCAACATAGCAAGATCCCATCTCTACAAAACAAATTAAAAATTAGTCTGGCGTGGCCAGATGCAGTGGCTCACGCCTGTAATCCCAGCACTTTGGGAGGTTGAGGCAGGTGGATCGCCTGAGGTCAGGAGTTCGAGACCAGCCTGACCATCACGGAGAAACCCTGTCTCTACTAAAAATACAAAAATTAGTCGGGCATGGTGGCGCATGCCTGTAATCCCAGCTACTTAGGAGGCTGAGGCAGGAGAATTGCTTGAACCCGGGAGGCAGAGGTTGCAGTGAGTCAAGATCTCGCCATTGCGCTCCAGCCTGGGCAGCAAGAGCGAAACTCCTCTCAAAAAAACAAAAATAGCCTGGCATGGTGGTGCACACCTGTAGTCCCAGCTACTTGGGAGGCTGAGGTGGGAGGATCGCTTGAGCCCAGAAGTTTGAAGCTGCAGTGAGCTATGATCACACCACTACAGTCCAGCCTGGGCAACAGAGCGAGACCTGGTCTCAAAACAAACAATGAAAAGTAAAAGAAATGCAGGTTCCTAGGCCCCCACCCAGACTTCACACACCAGAAACTGGGCAGAGTAGGGTGGTGGGAGGGCACAATCTGGGTGTTCATGACTCCTCCCTTCCAGGCAAACTGGGTGCCAGATAAAGTTTGGGGGAAGGGGCCAGCCACGGTGGCTCATACCTGTAATCCCAGCACTTTGAGAGGCCAAGGTGGGCGGATCACTTGAGGTCAGGAGTTCGAGACCAGCCTGGCCAACATGGAGAAACCCCATCTCTACTAAAAGTATAAAAATTAGCCAGGCGTGGTGGCATGCGCCTGTAGTCCCAGCTACTTGGGAGGCTGAGGCAGGAGAATCACCTGAACTCAGGAGGCAGAGGTTGCAGTGAGCCGAGATTGCACCACTGCACTCCAGCCTGGGCGACAGAGCGAGACTCTGTCTCAAACCAAAGAAAAGGAAAAGAAATGCAGTTTCCCAGGCTCCAACGCAGACTTCACACACCAGAAACTGGGCGGGGTGGTGGGGGTGGTAAAATCTGGGTGTTCATGACTTCCCCCTTCCAGGCAATTTGGATGCCAGATAAAGTGGAGGAAGTGCTGGAGGTTAGATCATTGATGAGGATAATGAAGAGGAAATATACTTAAAAAAAATTACTAAAACTGGCTGAACAGTCATGACTTACAGACGCAAAAGTCAACATCAAAACAAGCAGTTAAAAGCAGCCTCTTGGCCGGGCGCGGTGGGTCACGCCTGTAATCCCAGCACTTTGGGAGGCAGAGGTGGGTGGATCACCTGAGGTCAGGAGTTTGAGACCAGCCTGGCCAACATGATGAAACCCCACCTCTACTGAAAATACCAAAAAAGTAGCCAGGCGTAGTGGCACATGCCTGTAATTCCAGCTACTCGGGAGGCTGAGGCAGGAGAATCGCTTGAACCCGGGAGGCAGAGGTTGCAGTGAGCCGAGATGGCGCCACTGCACTCCAGCCCGGGAGACAGAGTGAGACTCCGTCTCAAAACACAAAAACAAACAAACAAACAAAAAACTTAAAAAAAAGAAAACTAGGGCAGGGATGGGGTGACAGGAGGGGAGAGGCAAGGGACAGAGAGGAGGGGCTGGGGTCCGGGAGAGCCACCAGCCTTCTGTGCCTTCCCCGCATCCCCCCACGCCCCTGGTTGGCTGTCCCCATTACGCAGGGTGGAAAACCGAGGCTGCCCGGCGGGGGCCGGTTGCGTGGTTTCTGGCGCCGCCTGGTGGCCATAGTGGCTACTACCGTCAGCAGGAGGTACTGCAGGCTGGAGGGACCCTAGTCCATTCATTCCAAAAACATGTATTGAGCACCTACTGTGTACCAGGCACTGTGCTAGGCCATAGGACACGGCAGGGATGAGCACGACAAAGTCCATGACCTCTGTGAGGTGGCATTTTAATATTTATTTATTTATTTTTCAGCCAGCGTCTTGCTCTGTCTCCCAAGCTGGAGTGCAGTGGCGCGATCTCGGCTCACTGCAACCTCTGCCTCTGGGGCTCAAGCGATTCTCCCGTCTCAGCCTCCTGAGTAGCTGGGATTACAGACGCATGCCACCTTGCCCGGCTAATTTTTGTATTTTTAGTAGAGATGGGGTTTCACCATGTTGGCCAGGCTGGTCTCGAACTCCTAACTCAAGCAATTCTCCCACCTCAACCTCCCAAAGTGCTGGGATTACAGGGGTGAGCCATTGAGCCCAGACTTAATTTTTTAAATTTTAATTTTAATGTACTGGTAAAGATGGGGGGGTGTCTCACTATGTTGCCCAGACTGGTCTCGAATTCCTGGCCTCAAGTGATCCTGCCACCTTGGCCTCCAAAGTACTGAGATTATAGGTGTGAGCCATCATGCCCAACCCTTCCTGGTTAATTTTATTTTATTGAGATAGGATCTTGCTCTGTCACCCAGGTTGGAGTGCAGTGGCACAGTCATAGCTCTCTGCAGCCTCAACCTCCCAGGGTCAATTGATCCTCCCACCTCAGCCTCCTGAGTTTCTGGGACTACAGGTGTGTACCACCACATCTGGCTAATTTTTAAAAAAGTTTTCTGGGCTGGGCGTGGTGGCTCACGCCTGTAATCTCAGCACTTTGAGAGGCCAAGGCAGGCGGATCACCTGAGGCCAGGAGTTCAAGACCAGCTTGGCCAATATGGTGAAACTCCGTCTCTACAAAAATACAAAAATTAGCTGGGCATGATGGCTGGTGCCTGTAATGCAATCCCAGCTACTCGGGAGGCTGAGGCAGGAGAATCACTTGAAACCGGGAGGCAAAGGTTGCAGTGGGCCGAGATCAAGCCATTGCACTCCAGCCTGGGCAACATAGCAAGACTCTGTCTCAAAAAAATAAAAAAAAAATAAAATAAAAACAAAAAACAAAACAAAACCAACAACAGCCAGCAGCAACAACAAAAAAACTTTTCTAGGCCAGGCTCGGTGGCTCACGCCTGTAATCCCAACACTTTGGGAGGCCGAGGCGGGCAGATCACTTGAGGTCAGGAGTTTGAGACCAGCCTGGCCAACATAGGAAAACCCCGTCTCTACTGAAAAAAAAAAAAAAAATTAGCTGGGCGTGGTGGTGCACGCCTGTAATCCCAGCTACTTGGGAGGCTGAGGCAGAAGAATCACTTGAACCCAGGAGGCGGAGGTTGCAGTGAGCCGAGATCGCGCCACTGCACTCCAGCCTGGGTGACAGAGGGAGACTCCATCTCAAAACAAACAACAAACAAAAGATATATAAAAATTTTTCTAGAGATGGGTTTCACCGTGTTACCCAGGCTGGTCTCAAATTCCCAGGCTCAAGTGATCCTCCCACCTCGGCCTCCCAAAGTGCTGGAATTACAGGTGTGAGCCACCACACCTGACCCTTTCTTGTTTTTTAGATGAGGACAGCAAGAAGCCCCTGTAATTTGCCCAAAGCCACACAGCGGGGAAGTGGCAGAAGCTTCTGTACGTAGGAACCCAGTCACTTCGTAGCAGAGAGGCAGACTGCGCACAGATCTGCGTGGGGAAGGGAGTGCGCCAAGCCACAGCCTGATGGGCCGGCGTGCCTGGCAGGAGGCTCAGCAAGCACAGAGACTGGGCAGCTCCAGATGCAAGAAGCAGGAGGGAGGGGGACTCCGGGAGTGCGGTCCATTCATGTCTGAATGTAGCCAACGAGGGTTTCCTAAGCACCTACCATGTGCGGACGCTTGATACCAGGGCCTCGGCGGTGAGGGCACAGGCAGGAGCAAGCTCACCTCTGGGCAAGCAGGGGTTAAGGCCAGTTGCTCCCACGTGAGGGCACCTTGCGACAGAGCCACACACCCAGTCCTCCTGCTGGCCCGCCCCTCACCCTGGTCCGTCTCCCTGTGTCTGTGGTCGTCAGTTCCACTGGCAGGGGACCTGCCTCCCTGTTGCCACCACAAGAGAGGAAAAGTTGGTCAAACAGGTGGGGAGGCCAGAGCTACAAGCCTCGGGTTCCCTCCCCACCACCCGTGCCAGGCAGGCACCCGGGCCCTGGCACCTGCTGCCTGCCCAGAGGCCACCCAGCCTCCTAGACAGGTAAGTCCCCCGCCCCACTGTGCTTTTCCACCCAGTGTGCATTGTCTGAGCTGGCCTTCCCCAGCTGAGGGTCCTTAGACTCCCCCCCAACCTCCCCCACCACGAGCTGTCTCCCCGGCTCCTCGGAAAGCAGGAAACTGACACTCCTGCGTGGGCATCTGACATAGTTTCGTAGGGATTATCTGACCGGCAGTTACTGCACCTGGCGGCCTGCCCAGGACGCTGAGCTGGAAACTTAAAAGGGTCATTGTTACCTAGGTGGCGCAGGGACCGGGGAGGCGGCAAAGGGGCACAGGTTGGTCTCTGATCCCCCTAACTGAGGAGGGGAGGGGATATCAGTCCAGACGGAGCCTGGGTTTACCTCCTGCAGCCCGAGGCTAGGAGGTGACAGGTGGGAAAGGCTGCGACCTCACTCATCTCTGAGCCTCCTGGAACTTCTTAAAAGGCTCCCAAGTTTTGAAACAACTGCGTCTCCCGCCCCCCAACCCCTCACCCTGTTCTCACCGCTGGAACCTCCAGGAGCTTTGCAGGGAGGGATTGGGGTGGCCTTTCTTTTGCTAATTTTTTTTTTGAGACGGAGTTTTGCTCTTGTTGCCCAGGCTGGAGTGCAGTGGTGCGATCTTGGCTCACTGCAACCTCTGCCTCCACCTCTGCCTCCCGAGTAGCTGGGATTACAAGCGCCCACCACTATGCCCAGCTAATTTTTGTATTTTTAGTAGAGATGGGGTTTCACCATGTTGGCCAGGCTGGTCTCGAACTCCTGACCTCAGGTGATCCAACCCCCTCGGCCTCCCAAAGTGCTGGGATTACAGGCGCAAGCCACTGCGCCCAGACTTCTTTTTCTAATCTTTACTCCTCCGAGCAAAATCTCTGTGGGATGGGGCAGAGGGGAAGGAGGAAGGAGCGCTCAGAGCCAGAGAGGGGAGGGGTCGGCAGCAAAAGTGTTTTTCTGGGTCATTTGCTCCCAAATGGGAAGACCAAGGGAGCTTCCTCGTGAGCCAAGTGTCCGATTGCATCTCAAGTCTCTCTCCAGAACCAAGAGGGTCCCCCGGGGCCGAGGAGGCATGGATGATCGCATAGTGGGGGACAGAGCGGCCCGGCATTTGGGGTCACCTTGTGGCTGTGTGGCTGCAGAGCTCCCAGGGAGCAGGCTTGCTTGAGATTCGGGAGTCCGTGGGGGTGGGCGACATGGATCCCACCTTGCCTGGGTTTTGAGAGCAAACCCGTGGACTCAGTTAGATCTGGCTTCCACACCTCCCTTCTCTCCGGGCCTCTGTTTCCTGCTCTGTAAAATGGGGATATTGAGGGCCGGGCGCGGTGGCTCACGCCTGTAATCCCAGCACTTTGGGAGGTCGAGGCGAGTGGATCACAAGGTCAGGAGTTCGAGACCAGCCTGGCCAACATGGTGGAACCCTGTCTCTACTAAAAATACAAAAAATGAGCCGAATATGGTGGCAAGCACTTGTAATCCCAGCTACTCCGGAGGCTGAGGCAGGAGAATTGCTTGAACCCAGGAGGTGGAGGTTGCAGTGAGCCGAGATTGTGCCACTGCACTCCAGCCTGGACAACAGAGTGAGACTCTGTCTCAAAAAAAAAAAAAAAAAAAGGGGTGGGGGGATATGGAGTCACCAAGGCACAGGGCTGTTGAGTGCCGGATGTAATAAAGCGGGTAACAGATTCTCGGTCATTCTGGGGTCAAGACGAGCTATCCCGGTCCGAATCGGAGTCTGGTCTCATCAGCTTCCTGGTTTGTAGAGGATGAACCCTGGCTCAGAGAAGGACAGCCGCTTACCCCGGGCCGCACAGCCAAGTAGAAATGTCAGGCGGCCAAGAGTCAAGACGCAGAGGACAGGGAGCTGGTGGCGGGGGTGGTGCTCTGGAGGCTGGCCCTGCCCCCAGCTGATGCCTCAGGCTCAGCATCTCGAGAAAGTCCTGCCCCCTGGCTTGGTGCTTCCTCGTGGCCCTGAGTCCCGGGGAAAGTCCAGGGCAGGGAGTATGGGTACTTGTTCTTCCTCTTTAGGGCTGGCCAGGGGCCAGGGGAGCTGTGTTTGCTCAGGGTGGAACCTGACACCCTTTGGAATGGATTGAGGTTAGCGGAAGCCTAGGCTGGGGGGAGGGGTCGCCCAGGGAGCGAACGGGCATTTATTGTGCACTTACTGTATGCGCGAGTGTGGGGTCACCAGGCCTTGGAGATTCAGCAGTGAGCAAGGCAGGCCAAGCTTCCTGCTCTCGTGGGGCGCATATTTTGGTGGGGAAAGACAGACATGAAACAAGAGCGCAGTAATGGAGCCAATGGCTGCACAGAGGGTAACATGCGTGAGAGGCGCTTTGTAACTTTATTTTACTTTTTATATTTTTTTGAAACGGAGTCTCGCTCTGTCGCCCAGGCTGGAGTGCGGTGGCGCGATCTCGGCTCACTGCAAGCTCCGCCTCCCGGGTTCACGCCATACTCCTGCCTCAGCCTCCCGAGTAGCTGGGACTACAGGCGCCCGCCACCACACCCGGCTAATTTTTTGTATTTTTAGTACAGACGGGGTTTCACCGTGGTAGCCAAGATGGTCTCTCCTGACCTTGTGATCCGCCCACCTCAGCCTCCCAAAGTGCTGGGATTACAGGCGTGAGCCACCATGCCCGGCCTTATTTTATTTTTTTTTGAGATGGAGTCTCGCTCTGTTGCCCAGGCTGGAGTGCAGTGGAACGATCTCCGCTCGCTGCAACCTCCACCTCCTGGGTTCAAAGCGATTCTCCTGTCTCAGCCTCCCAAGTAGCTGGGATTACAGGCGCCCACCACCACGCCCAGCTAATTTTTGTATTTTTAGTAGAGACAGGGTTTCACCGTATTGGTCAGGCTGGTCTCGAACTCCTGATCTCAGGTGATTCGCTCGCCTCGGCCTCCCAAAGTGCTGGGATTACAGGCGTGAGCCACCGCGTCCGGCCAAAATGAAGGGAGAGCTTTAAATGCTGGCCTGAAGACATTTGGCTTTATGATATTAAAGGATATTTTTTCCCAAAATAGTAAAATCATTACTCTCATACAAATACAAAATGAGGCCGGATGCGGTGGCTCACGCCTGTAATCCCAGCACTTTGGGAGGCCGAGACGGGTGGATCACGAGGTCAGGAGTTCAAGACCAGCCTGGCTAACATGGTGAAACCCTGTCTCTACTAAAAGTACAAAAAAAAAAAAAAAGGTGCTTTATGTGTCTGCTTAATTCATTAATTAATATGGGAACCGGTAAGACTTTATAGCCTATACAGAGGGGAATTAATTTGTTTCCTTTCTTTCTTTTTTTTAAAAATTGAAAATAGAAATGGGGTTTTGCTGTGTTGGCCGGCCTGGTCTCGAGCTTCTGGGCTCAAGTGATCTGCCAGCCTCAGCCACTCAAAGTGCTGGGATTTCAAGCGAGAGCCACCGACCCGGCCTCAGCATTCTTGATTGCCTGTGTGTGTGTGTTCTTTCAGTTCTCCTCTGGACCAGACACGGTGGCTCACGCCTGTAATCCCAGCATTTTGGGAGGCCAAGGCAGGTGGGTCACTTGAGCCCAGGAGTTTGAGACCAGCCTGGCAAACGTGGTGAAACTCTGTCTCTACTAAAAATACAAAAATTAGCCAGGTGTGTTGGCGTGTGCCTATAATTCCAGCTACTTGGGAGGCTGAGGCAGGAGAATTGCTTGAACCTGGGAGGCAGAGGTTGCAGTGAGCCGGGATCGCACCACTGCACTCCAGCCCCAGAGACAGAGCAAGACTCCATCTCAAAAATGTCATTCCGTGCCCAGAATGACAGCACCTTAGCGTAGATGGTTTCCATGGGGCAGGGGGCCCCCTCTAGCCCTGGGACACTGTAATTCACCTTTGGCTTTCCCACTGGGGGCCCGAGTGGAGTTAGAAGCATGGAGAGGCAGCCCAGGGGATCCTTAGTGGCAGATGCTTAAACCTTTGAGCCTTCCCTGAAATACTGCTCAGGGTCAAAACCGGGATCCCCGTTTTACAGATGAGGAAGCTGAGGCAGGGGCTGGAATTCACATGGGCTCTGCTTTTCTCTCTCTGCTGTGGAACTTCCTTCTAGAGCTCAGCCGTCCTCCCTTTTGGGGGAAATGGCATCTTTGGCATGGCTTGGTGGCTCCCGCCTGGAATCCCAACATTTTGGGAGGCCGAGGTGGGAGGATCGCATGAGCCCAGCAGTTCAAGACAGGTCCGGGCAACATAGCGAGATACCGTCTCTACAAAATATACAAAAATCTGCTGGGCAGGGTGGCGTGCACCTGTGGCCCCAGCTACACAGGAGGCTGGGGTGGGAGGATCGCTTGAGCCCAGGAAAGTGGAGGCTGCAGTGAGCTATGATTGCACCACTGCACTCCAGCCTAGGTGACAGAGCAAGACTCTGTCTCAAAAAAAAAAAAAAGAAAAGAAAAGAAAGTCCCCTGTTGAACACCCTGAGCTGCATTCCATACTCCAAGCTTCTAGCAGGTTCCACACTCCTCCTACTTCAAAGTGCCCCCCATGAGTCCTACTTCAAAGTGCCCCCCATGAGGTCCTCCAGCCTCCCCAGGACGCCAAACCCTGAGACGTTCTTCAGCCCTCCAGTGCCTTAGGGCTGAGCCGGCCACACCTAGAATCTGCCCTTCCTCAAAGGTCGTTTGGATCTTGGCAACCCACAGACCGGGGCGTCTCCTCCCACCTGGCTGCCCTCCATCTCTGCTCTCTGTCTCTGCTCCTGCCCCGTCCTCTCCACACGGCTTCCTTAAAACCTCCCAGGGTCCCCCAAAACCCATGACGCCAGTCTAGTCATGAGGGAAACAGCTGGTCCCCAATGTCCCCACATTGAGAGTTATTCTGCAAAAGACCTGCCCAGCACAGACTAACAGGTCACAGAACAGGAAAGACAGAATCGGTCACAGCCCAGCGGTGTCTAAGGAGACGTGACAGCCAACTACCAGGTGGGATCCTGGATGGGGCCCTGGGGCGGCAAAGGGCCTGCGGAGAGACGTGAATAAAGTGTGGAGTTCAGTGAACAAGGTTGTACTGATGTTGACTTCTTGGTTTTGACATATGTACCCGTGTAATAATGTTAATGTTAGTGGAAATCAGTTGGGTGTATAAAGGAATTCTCTGTGTATTTACTTTTCTGTAACTTTAAAATTATTATTATTATTTATTTATTTCTTTTTTTGAGACAGAGTCTCGCTCTGTCGCCCAGGCTCTGGAGTGCAGTGGCACGATCTCGGCTCACTGCAACCTCCGCCTCCCAGGTTGAAGTGATTCTCCTGCCTCAGCCTCCCGAGTAGCTGGGACTACAGGCGCCCGCCAACATGCCCAGCTAATTTTTTTTTTTTTTTTGTATTTTTAGTAGAGACGGAGTTTCACCGTGTTGGCCAGGATGGTCTCCATCTCTTGACCTCGTGATCCACCTGTCTCGGCCTCCCAAAGTGCTGGGATTACAGGGGTGAACCACCACGCCCGGCCTATTATTATTACTATTATTTAATTTCTTTGTTGTTGTTTTGAGACAGAGTCTCTCTCTGTCACCCAGGCTGGCTGGAGTGCAGTGGCGCAATCTTGGCTCACTGCAACCTCTGCCTCCCGGTTCAAGAGATTCTCCTGCCTCAGCCTCCTGAGTAGCAGGGATTACAGCAGCCCGCCGCCACACCCGGCTAATTTTTGTATTTTTAGTAGAGACAGGGTTTCATCATCTTGGCCTGGTTGGTCTCAAACTCCTGACCTCATGATCCTGCCTCAGCCCCCTGAGTAGCTGGGATTACAGGCACGTGCCACTACGCTTGGCTAATTTTAGTATTTTTAGTAGAGACAGGGTTTCACCATCTTGGCCAGGCTGGTCTCAAACTCCCGACCTCGTGATCCACCCGCGTTGGCCTCCCAAAGTGCTGGGATTACAGATGTGAGCCACCGCGCCCAGCCCGTTCTTTTAGTATTTATTGAGCACGTACTGCATACACAGTGATGGGGCTGCAGAAGAACTGATTGACAGACACAGTGGAAGCCCACAGTCTTTAGGGGAGACAGACAATAATTGAATAATCGCATATGTAACTAAAAAGTACAATTAGGCCAGGCGCAGTGGCACACACCTGTAATCCCAGCACTTTGGGAGGCCAAGGCGGGCGGATCACGAGGTCAGAGTTCGAGACCATCCTGGCCCTGATCCACTGGGGGACCTCAGCCCAGCCCCTGCTATCTCTGGGCCTCAGTTTTCCCACAAGCACTCAGAAGGGGTTGAGCTGGCTCATCCCAGGGAGGCCTCCAGAACTCCACCTTCCCTGGGTCCTCCTGTCCCTCACCCTGCTCAGATCACACTGGCCCTGAACGCTGGTTCCCAATCACACGTCATATACTTGGCTTGCAACAGTTTTGTTGACTGAGTGACTGAATGCACAGAAGAATTAAGGCACAAATGAAGTAGATTGCTGAAAAGCAGATTTTCTCTTTTTTTCCTTTTCTTTTTGCTATTATTATTTTTACTTCGTGAGGCAACAGTAGAAAACCAGGTTTTTTGTTTGTTTGTTTGGTTGGTTGGTTTTTTTTTTTTTTGAGATGGAGTCTCGCTCTGTCGCCCAGGCTGGAGCGCAGTGGCGCAATCTCGGCTCACTGCAACCTCCGCCTCCCGGGTTCACGCCATTCTCCTGCCTCAGCCTCCCGAGTAGCTGGGACTACAGGCGCCCGCCACCACACCCAGCTATATTTTTGTATTTTTAGTAGAGATGGGGTTTCACCGTGTTATCCAGGATGGTCTCGATCTCCTGACCTCGTGATCCGCCCGCCTCGGCCTCCCAAAGTGCTGGGATTACAGGTGTGAGCCACCGCGCCCGGCCAAAAGCAGGTTTTTAATTCATTAAGGTGATCCGAAGGTCAGGGGTGGTGGGAATAAGGGGCTTAAGGCTATGCCCATCTCCAAAGCCTTGGATTTGAACCCAGGTTTGGAGGATGGTACTAGGGAGCCATCGAGTGTTCTTGAGCAGGGCATGGATATGAGAGCAGACGGTGGGTGGTTGGAGGAAGACAATGTGTCCTGGTGCAGTTATCCAGCTTCCTCTCTTAGAGGGGTTGACAGTGGGATTTCTCTGCGTTGCCCATTGACATTTGGGGCCAGATCCTTCTCTGGGATGGGGCCATTCTGGGCAATGCAGGGTGCTTAGCAGTATCCCTGGCCTCCACTCACTCATGCCAGGAGAACCTTCCAGGTTTATTTTTTTATTGTTTCATTTTATTTTATTTTTTTGAGTTGGAGTCTCGCTCTTGTCATCCAGGCTGGAGTGCAATGGCGCAATCTCGGCTCACTACAGCCTCTGCCTCCTGGGTTCAAGCAACTCTCCTGCCTCGGCCTCCCGAGTAGCTGGGATTACAGGCACCCACCACCACACTCGGCTAATTTTTGTATTTTTAGTAGAGATGGGGTTTCCCCATGTTGGCCAGGCTGGTCTCGAACTCCTGACCTCACGTGATCCACCCACCTCAGCCTCCCGAAGTGCTGGGATTACAGGCGTGAGCCACCACGCCCGACTTGTTTTATTTTTGAGATGGAGTCTTGCTCCATTGCCCAGGCTGGAGTGCAGTGGCGCCATCTCAGATCACTGCGACCTCTGCCTCCCGGGTTCAAGTGATTCTCCTGCCTCAGCCTCCCGAGTAGCAGGGATTACAGGTGCCTGTCACTACGCCCAGCTAATTTCTGTATTTTGAGTAGAGACGGGGTTTCACCCTGTTGGCCAGGCTGCTCTCGAACTATTGACCTCAAGTGATCCGCCCATCTCAGCCTCTCAAAGTGCTGGAATTACAGGTGTGAGTCACCGCGCTCGGCCTGGTATTGAACACCAAAATGTCTCAAGACGTTGCCAAGGGTCCCCCTCTGGTGAGAGGCACTGGCTTGGAGTTCGAGGTGCAGGGGCAAACAGAGCTGCAGCCAAATCCCTCAGGCCAGCTCACCATCTGGCCTCAGTTTTCTCAGCTGCAAAGTGGGCGCACGAGTGTTGTGTGTAACTGGGGCTGCAGCCAAGCATATGCCAGTAAACATGGCCCGGGAGCCCCATTCACTGCTAGGACTTTAACCCACTTATTTCTTTATTTATTTTTGAGACAGCGTCTAGCTCTGTCACCCAGGCTGGAGTGCAAGGGCAAGATCATGGATCACTGCAGCCTCGACCTCCTGGGCTCAAATGATCCTCCCACTTCAGCGCCTAGAGGTGCCTGCTACCACACCCAGCTCATACATATATATATATATATATATATTTTTTTTTTTTTTTTGAAACAGAGTCTCAGTCTGTCGCCCAGGTTGGAGACAGTGGCACGATCTCGGCTCACTGCACCCTCTGCCTCCCAGGTTCAAGTGATTCTCCTGCCTCAGCCTCCCGAGTACCTGGGATTACAGGCGGGTGCCAACACGCCCAGGTGACTTTTTTTTTTTTTTTTGAGACGGAGTTTCGCTCTTGTTGCCCAGGCTGGAGTGCAATGGCCCGATTTCGGCTCACTGCAACCTCCGCCTCCCGGGCTCAAGCAATTCTCTTGCCTCAGCCTCTCTAGTAGCTGGGATTACAGGCATGTGCCACCACACCCAGCTAATTTTGTATTTTTAGTAGAGACGAGGTTTCTCCATGTTGGTCAGGCTGGTCTCGAACTCCCAACCTCAGGTGATCCGCCCGCCTCGACCTCCCAAAGTGCTGGGATTACAGGCACGAGCCACCACGCCTGGCCCATGACTGTTATATTTTTAGTACAGACAGAGTTTCACCATGTTGGCCAGGCTGGTCTCAAACTCCTGACCTCAAGTGATTCGGCCGCCTTGGCCATCCAAAGTGGGATTACAGGCGTGAGCCACTGTGCCCAGCCATAGCTTATATATATATATATATATATATAATTTTATTTTTTTTTGAAACATAGTGTTGTGCTGTCTGCCCTGTCACCCAGGCTGGAGTGCAGTGGCGTGATCTCAGCTCACTGCAACCGCCGCCTCCCAGGGTCAAGTGATTCTCTTGCCTCAGCCTCCTGAGTAGCTGGGATTACAGGCGCCTGCCACCATCCTTGGCTAATTTTTCGTATTTTTGTAGAGATGGGTTTTGCCCTGTGGGCCAGGCTGGCCTCCAACTCCTGACTCAAGTGATCCTCCTGCCTTGGCCTCCCAGAGTGCTGGGATGACAGGCATGAGCCACTGCACCCTGCCTAAGATATTTTTAAAAATTTTTGTGGATGTGGAGATGGGGGTCTCACTGTGTTGCCCAGGAATGAGAGTACAGTGGTGTGACCATGACTTACTGCAGCCTCCACCGCCTGGGCTCAAGCAATCCTCCCAGCTCAGCTTCCCAAGTAGCTGGGAGTACAGGCAAGTGCCACCAAGACTGGCTAATTAAAAAAAAAAAAAAAGGCCGGGCACGATGGCTCACGCCTATAATCCCAGCACTTAGGGAGGCCGAGGGGGGCGGATCACAAGGTCAGGAGTTTGAGACCATCCTGGCTAACACGGTGAAACCCCATCTCTACTAAAAGTACAAAAATCAGCCGGGCATGTGCCTGTAGTCCCAGCTACTCGGGAGGCTGAGGCAGGAGAATGGCGTGAACCCGGGAAGCAGAGCTTGCAGTGAGCTGAGATTGCGCCTGGGCAACAGGGCGAGACTCCAACTCAAAAAAAAAAAAAAAAAAAAAGTGTGTGTGTGTGTGTGTGTGTGTGTGTGTGTGTGTGTGTGTGTCTGTGTGTGTGTAGAGATGGAAGTCTCACTCTGTTACTCAGGCTGGTCTCTCCTGGCCTCAAGAGATCCTCCCGCCTCGGCCTTCCAAAGTGCTGGGACTACAAGCGTGAGCCACTGTTCCTGGCCAAGCCTCTTATTTTAAAGACGCTGAAGTCAGAAAGCCTGTAGGACAGGAATGCAGCATTTTCTTTTCTTGCGGTTTTTTTTTTTTGGGGTGGTGGGGGGCGGGGTGGACAGGGCCTCACTCTGTGGCCCAGGCTGGAGTGCAGTGGCGCAATCTTGGCTGACTGCAACCTCTGCCTCCCAGGTTTAAGTAATTCTCCTGCCTCAGCCTCCCTAGTAGCTGGGACTACAGACGTGCGCCACCACGCCCAGCTAATTTTTGTATTTTCAGTAGAGACAGGGTTTCACAATGTTGGCCAGGCTGGTCTCGAACTCCTGACCTCAGGTGATCTGCCCGAATGCAGGATTTTCTACCAGCTCCAGTCCCCTGCAGAACCCCTGTCCGATTTTGCCAGACCTAAGCAGAGACTGCTTTGAGCAATGGCAGCCACGAACCTTGACGTGTGCGGGCCGGTAGGGAATGATGTGTTTTTCTCACGACTCATTAAAACAAATACACGGCTATTTAAAGATCGCTGGACTGGCCGGGCGTGGTGGCTCACGCCTGTAATCCCAACACTTTCAGAGGCCGAGGTGGGTGGATCACCTGAGGTCAGGAGTTCGAGACCAGCCTGGCCAACATGGTGAAACCCCGTCTCTACTAAAAATACAAAAATTAGCCACGCGTGGTGGCCGGCGCCTGTAGTCCCAGCTACTCAGGAGGCTGAGGCATGAGAATGGTGTGAACCCCGCAGGCGGAGCTTGCAGTGAGCCGAGACTGCGCCCGGCACTCCAACCTGGGTGACAGAATGAGTGTCCGTCTTGGGGGGTGGTGGACATCGCTGGACCTTAATCATCTAAAATGATTTTTTGCGCCACCTGCTGGTGGCGGAGTGTCACACAGGGAAGGGCTGAGTTGCCTGTAGGTATACAGTAGGTGTTCAGTAAGCCTTAGTTTTGGTTAATGGTGTTTCTACATTGGCTCAGCATGGGGTCTTGGAAAGAGTTTGGGGCTCCAGGAACCCATGCTGTGCAACCTTCAGTGAGTCTGGGGCCCTTTCTGAACCTTCATCTATAAAATATGTGTGTGTGTGTGGCTGGGAGTAGTGGCTCATGCCCATAATCCTAACATTTTGGGTGGCCGAGGTGGGCTAATCACTTGAGGCCAGGAGTTCGAGACCAGCCTGGCCAACATGGGGAAACCCCATCTCTACTAAAAATACAAAAATTAGCCAGGCGTGGTGGCGGGTGCCTGTAGTCCCAGCTACTCGGGAGGCTGAGGCAGGAGAATGACGGGAACCCGGGAGGCGGAGCTTGCAGTGAGCCGAGATCGTGCCTGCAGTCCAGCTGGGCGACAGAGCGAGACTCCGTCTCAAAAAAAAAAAAAAAAAAAAAAGAAGGGAAGACATATAACCTTCATGCGATGTGAGAAGGTGCGTTGAAATGCCTTCTACAATTCTTGCTTCGGTCGGAAGTCACAAAGGGATTGAACTTCATTTTGGCTGCTCCCACTTCTGTGATGGCCGCAAAAGGGAAGAGAACTACATGCTCCTTTTTATTTATTTTGTATGGAGATTGGGTCTCGCTATATTGCCCAGCCTGGTCTCAAACTCCTGGCCTCAAGTGATCCTCCCACCTGACTCTTCAAAGTTCTGGAATTACAGGAGTGAGCCATTGTGCCTGGCCTCTACGCCCCTTTTAATCCTCCTGACAACCCTGTGATGTAGGGGCTATTATTTTCCCCAATTACAGATGTGGAAACTGAGGAACAGAGAGGGGCAGTAAGTTGTCTGAGGTCACACAGCAAATAGGTGAGAGCTGGTTTTAGAACTCTCCTAGCTCTGAAGTTCCAAGTGGGTCCCCACAAGAGGCTTTGGCAATGCTTTATTCGGGCCCTTGGAGACCCTTGAGGGGCTGACTGTAGCTGACTTGGGTCTCTGGACTAGTGTTTTGGGTACAATTGCAGTGGAGGAGGTGAGATGTCATCTTCGGGGACCCTCTAAGACTTTGATATTGTTGGCCTTGTTTACTAAGCAAACTCTTAACCAACCTTCAAATCCCCAGCTACGATGCCCCCTCCTCCAGGCAGCCTTTCTTTTACCGCTAGAGTTTTCTCTATGCTCTTCACCCCTAGCCACAACCTGGGACTCCTGTCCCTGCCCAGCCCTGACTGGATAAGGCTGGGAAGGGGTGTTTATGTGTAGCTTTGCCCTTTTACCCTTTTAACCTTGGGGTGGGGCCCAGGCACAGCTGGGCGCAGGTTTTTTTTTTTATAGTAAGGAATGTGGGGGTGCAGCCACGACCAGCCCCGCCCACCCAGGTGACTTGAAGGTTTCCTACCCTGGTCCAGTCCCTCCTAGGTCTAACCTTAGGAATCCCGGAATCCCAGGCCCCTGAGCGGGAGGCTGGGCTGGGCTGGGTGAGAAGAAGGAAACGACCTTTACTCCCTCCCAGAGCCTGAAGAATTTCCTCCTGCCTTGCACTCTGCCCCTTTCTTTTCCTTCGTTCCTTCCTTCCTTCCCTTCTTTCCTTCCTTCCTTTTCTTTTTTTTTTTTTTTTTTTGAGACAGGGTCTCACTCTACTCTGTCGCCCAGACTGGAGTGCAGTGGCGTGATATCAGCTCACCGCAACCTCCGCCTCCCGGGTTCAACCGATTCTCCTTCCTCAGCCTCCCGAGTAGCTGAAGCATGCGCCACCACGCCCGGCTAATTTTTGTACTTTTAGTAGAGACAGACGTTTCACCATGTTGGTCAGGCTGGTCTCGAACTGCTGACCTCGTGATCCGCTCGCCTCGGCCTCCCAAAATTTGGGGATTACAGGCATGAGCCACCGCGCCCGGCCCTGCCCTGCCCCCTTTCTTTTCTGGATGCTGGGTGTGAAGACAGAGCCCGCAGGCCAAGACCGCAGGAAAAAGGCACGCAGCCGCTGTTGTATCTTCAGAGTCCACGCCTCTGGCCTCTGGGGCCTCCGGTTCCCCTCTGTGGAATGGGGCAAACCTTCCAGAGATAAGGTGACCCAGGGACCAGCGCTATGCTAAGGAGGTCTCTGGCCTTCGACAAGCTTCTAATCCAAGAGGCCTCCCAGATGCACCTCAAAATGTGCCCATTTCGCGGACGGAAACACCTTCCAAATAGTAGGCTCCGTTCCAAGCGCGGGGGTTATTCCTGCCGGGTCTTGCTGGCAGCCTTGTCGGGCCGGGCTCTGGCCGCGGCCGCCGGCCCCCTCTCGGCTGCGTGGATAACCCGGCCTGGAGTTTCCGCCTCAGGACCTGGCTCCTGTGATGGGAGGTGGGGAGAGAAACCTCCGCCGCGTCCAGGGGGCGTGTCTGGGCAGGGGCGGGGCTGACCCGAGACCTGGAGGAGGAAGAGGGGCAGGTGCAGCCGGGAGCTGCGGAGCTGGAGGGAGGAGGACGAGAGCCCGGCCCTCAGCCCGCTGTGACTCTCCTCAGCCCCCTCCCCCAGCCCGGGGTGGGGGCCGATTGACTGTTTCCAGGACCCCCTCGGGTAGGGGGGCTGGAGAGCCCCCAGGTGGACCATGGCGGTGAGATTCCAGGCGAGTAACCCTCCAAGGGTGGCAGGGGGAGGGGCTCGGGCTGAGGTGGGGTGGGGGGAAAGCAGGGTTTGGGAGTCGGACCCAGGACCCCAGAACGCCTACCTACATAACAGGCAGGGAAACTGAGTCCCAGAGGGATGAAGTGGCTAGCTGGAGGTTGCACTTCGAGATGCGTCCGCGCGTCCGCGCCCCCCTCCCTGCCTCCAAAGACCATCTCTTCTGGAGCCTCCTCTGCCCCAGGACCGGCCTCCTTTAATACCGCAGGGCTGGGTTCAAATCCCGAATTTTCTGTCCACTATGCTGTGTGTAACGTGGGGCCAGTGAGTGAACCCTCTCCTTCCCTCATCCGAAAAATGGGTGATCGGCATTTTAAACAGAGAGAAAAATGTGTTTTAAGAGCTTGGCGCATCGTAGGTGGGCAGAAAAGATGTTCATCCCCCTTTGCTGGGGGCGTGCAGCCGGCTGAGCTTGGGCGCCCGCGGTGGCACGGTGGGCAGTGACTTCATTTGGGGGCTGGGGTGGCTTTGGTGAACATTCACCTCCTACAAGGCTGCACGAGGGAGCACCAGCATTTATTGGGTGCCTACTGTGTACAAAGCTATTAACAGGCATTACCAGGCAGAGGCAGGGGTGGGGTGAGCAAGCCGGCTGGGGTGCGCCGTGGCGGGGGCGGGGCGGGGGGCGATCCTTGTCTCCGGAGGGATTTCACCCTCCAGGCATGGAGCCTGGGCTGGTTTCTTCAGACCCACCAGCCAGGGTAGACTGGGACTGCAGCGGTATGCGGCCAGACCCAGGCCACTCCGCCCCAAGCTTCAGGACCCGGCACTTCTGGTTCCCGCTGACTTCTTCCTTGCCTCCAGGCACAGCTCTCAGAATCCCCTCCCCAATCGGTGTATTTGTTCGCTGAAACCGCCCTCTCTGCCATTGTTCCTGGAGATGGGGTGGCGGGGGGGGGGGGCACAGGGGACGGCGGCCCGGGAGCCCCGTACCCGGGGGCGGTGTGACTTGGTACCGGCCCCGTCCCCTCTGGGCGGGCCTCTTGTTCGGTGTTTGTGTCCAGCCCTGGGCGGGGGGCGGGGACAAAGACCCAAGCCCCACCCTCTCAGAGTTCACCTGGACAGGGGCAGGGCTGGGAACTCAGGACACACCTGTTGAGCACCTGGCCACAGTGTGTTTTACTCAACCATTCACTCATTCCTCAAACTCTTCCCTAAGGGGGCCTGGTCCTATGGGGTCCCAGGGGCCCATCCCTGCCCATCGGGAGCGCTCAGACTGAGGGGGAAGGTGTAAGGTGGACAAATCCACTCTGACATCCCACACCCCAATCATCACATTTGGGCCAGAGGGAAGGATGTATGATATGCGTACGGAGGAAGAGGCTGGGGCTGTGAAGGATGAATAGGAGTTTGCCAGGGAGTCCAGTACCAGCACTCAAGGCCTGGAAAGGAGGCTGATGGCCAATCACCTGGGCCTTAAGTAGCCAGAGAGACAGACATGTCTCCTTTCACAGCCTAAGAGGAAAGACCAGAAACATACTAACCGATGGTTAAAGAGAATAAAGATGATTTTTAGATGCCTTGAATAAAAAATAATAAAACAGGCTGGGCGTGGTGGCTCACTCCTGTAATCCCAGCACTTTGGGAGGCTGAGGGAGGTGGATCACCTGAGGTCAGCAGTTTGAGCCCAGCCTGGCCAACATGGTGAACCCCCACCTCTACTAAAAATACAAAAATTAGCCGGGCGTGGTGGTTGGACGCCTGTAATTCTAGCTACTTGGGAGGCTGAGGCACGAGAATTGCTGGAACCCAGGAGGCGGAGGTTGCAGTGAGCTGAGATTGTGTCACTACACTCCAGCCTGGGTGACAGAGTGACACTCTGTCTCAAAAGAAAAAAAAAAAATATATATATATATATATATAAAATAATAAAATAGGCAGGAGTGATAGGGGATCAGAGAAGACTGGTTAGCTAGGTGGTCAGGGAGGACTTCCTGAGGAGGTGGCATTTGAGCCTAGACCTCAGTGGCAGGGGCCAGCCAGGCAGGAATCCCGTGAAACATGTCCCAGATTCAGGGGACAGATGGGGTAAAGGTTTGGAGGTGAACTAAGATGAGGTGGGCTGTGAGGTTAGGCTTAATCCCTCAGGCACTGTGGAGCTCTGGAGGGTTTAGACAAAGCTTCTGGTTTCCATGGAGACGAACCCGCACAAGCTGGGACAAGCCTGGACCACCTGGACTCCCTCGCCCCTCTCCCACTCTGGGTTCGGGGGCCCTGGTTCCCTGGGGCTGTCTCTTTTTTTTTTTTGAGACGGAGTTTCCCTCTGTCGCCCAGGCTGGAGTGCAGTGGCACAATCTTGGCTCACTGCAAGCTCCGCCTCCCAGGTTCACGCCATTCTCCTGCCTCAGCCTCCTGAGTAGCTGGGACTACAGGCGCCGGCCACCACGCCCTGCTAATTTTTTGTATTTTTAGTAGAGACGGGGTTTCACCATGTTAGCCAGGATAGTCTCGATCTCCTGACCTTGTGGTCTGCCTGCCTCAGCCTCCCAAAGTGCTGGGATTACAGGCATGAGCCACTGTGCCCGGGCAGGGCTGTCTCTTAAAGTCAGGAAATACAAATTCCTTGGGGCCATTTAAAAATTTTTTTTGAGACAGGGTCTTGCTCTGTCGCCCAGGCTGGAGTGCAGAGGCACGATCACAATTCACTGCAGCCTCGACCTCCTGGGCTCAGGTGATCCTTCTGCCTCAGCCTCTCGAGGAGCTGGGACCACAGGTGCATGCCACCATGCCCGGCTAATTTTTGTATTTTTTTGTAGAGATGAGGGTCTCACTATGTTGCTCAGGTTGGTCTTGAACTCCTGGGCTCAAGCAATCCTCTTGCCTCGGTCTCCCAAAGTGCTGAGATTATAGGCAGAATCCACCGTGCCCGGCCCTGGGGCCATTTAATGACACAAAGTATAACATCAAAGCAGGTTAAAAAAAAAAAAGATGCAGTTTTGAAAAATAAGCTCAGAAGAAAAAGAGTAAATAATCAGAAAGCCACTGTAGCCTGGTGGTTAAGAGCAAGAGTGAGGCTGGGTGCGGTGGCTCACGCCTGTAATTCCAACACTTTAGGAGGCTGAGGTGGGAGGATCGCTTGGGCCCAGGAATTTGAGACCAGCTTGGTCAACATAGCAAAACCCCATCTCTACAAAAAAACAAAAAAATATGCTGTGTGTGGTGGTGCATGCCTGTGGTCCCAGCTACCTGGGAGGCTGAAGCAGGAGGATCCCTTGGGCCTGGGAGTTCAAGGCTGCAGTGAGCTGTGATTGAGCCACTGCACTCCAGCCTGGGCAACAGAGTGAAACCCCGTCTCAAAAACCAAACAACCAATCAACCAACCAACCAACCAAAAAAGAGCCAGAGAACAGGGCAGGCTGCCAAGTTCACCACTGTGCTGCGTGACCTCAGGCAAGTTACTGAACCTCTCTAGGCCCCTTTTAATCTCACCTCTAAAGTAGGAATAATAACTGTGCCACTTCCTAAGGTCACTCTGAGGATGAAATGAATGGGTCCACATCAAGCGCCTGCTTGCAGCCAGGTTCAAGACAGCCTGACCAACATGGTGAAACCCCGTCTCTACTAAAAATACAAAAAGTAGCTGGCTGTGGTTGTGGGTGCCTATAATCCCAGCTACTCGGGAGGCTGAGTCAGGAGAATAACTTGAACCCAGGAGGTGGAGGTTGCAGTGAGCCGAGACTACGCCATTGCACTCCAGCCTGGGCAACAAGAGCAAAAAACCCCATCTCAAAAAAAAAAAAAAAAACTACACAAGGAGAAAGTCATTATTTGGCCACCACCTCCCCAAGGCTCCTTCTGCTTTTTGCTTTTCAGGCATTGAATCTGTACCCTTTTCCCAAACCACATCCCTGCAAGACAGGGCAGCAGTGCCATTTCACAGATGGGGAGACTGAGGCTGGGAGAGGCCCCGCCATAGCTAGCACGGGTGGGCAGACTTGGGATTTGAGTCCAGTCCTGAGCGCTGCCCTGGCTCCTTCAGAACTGCAGAGCCCTGCCCTCTGCTCTGTTTCTCTCCCCTCCACCCGCCTTCCCACTCCTGGAGATCAGGAATGCTGGCCTCGCTAGAGACGCTGGAGCTTATAAGAAAAGGCACTGGAGCGCACCAATGGGGGGTGCCTGGGCAGAGGGAATCACACACCCGCTGTGCCAAGCCTAGAAAACCCGCCCCGGGGAGGAGGAGGAGTCACTTCTACAAACTCCCTCCCCACTCCCTCCACCTGTCCCCTGCCTGGGGAGCAGGGCATGGTGCGTGCTGGCAGGAGGGAAGGGAGGGTGGAGGCGTGGCCAGGTGACCTTGCACCTGAGTCTGGTGTTCTCATTCATGCCATGGACATGAAAATAACAGAATCTGCCTGGTGTGGAGGCTCACGCCTGTAATCCCAGCACTTTGGGAGGCCAAGGCGGGCGGATCACTTGAAGTCAGGAGTTCAAGATCAGCCTGGCCAACATGGTGAGACCCCCGTCTCTATTAAAAATACAAAAATTAGCTGGGCATGGTGGTAGACACCTGTGATCCCAGCTACTTGGGAGGCTGAGGCAGGAGAATCGCTTGAAACTAGGAGGCAGAGGTTGCAGTGAGCCAAGTTGGCACCATTGCACTCCAGCCTCAGCAACAGAGTTTTTTTTGTTTTTTTTTTTTCTAAGTGGGAAAGCCCAGGTGGGAGGATCATTTGAGCCCAGGAGTTCAAGAAGAGTCTGGGCAACACAGCAAGACCCTCCTGTCTCTATAAAAATAGAAGTTAAAAAATTAGCTGGGCATGATGGTATGCACCTATAGTCCCAGTTACTCAGGAGGCTGGGGCAGGAGGATTGCTTGAAGCCAGGAGTTCGAGGCTGCAGTGAGCCATAATGGCTCACACTTGTAATCCCAGCACTTTGGGAGGCCAAGGCTGGAGAATCACTTGAGCCTAGGAGTTTGAGACCAGCCTTGGCAACACAGAGAGACTCCATCTCTACAAACAATAAAAAAAATTAGCCGGGCATCGTGATGTGTGCCTGTGGTCCCAGTTACTTGGGAGGCAGAGGTGGGAGGATCACTTGAGCCTGGGAGTTCGAGGCTGCATTGAACCGTGATCACACCACTGCACTCCAGCCTGAGTGACAGAGACCCTGTCTAAAAAAAAAAAAGTGTGGGAGGGGGGACTTCATGGCTCTGTGCCTCAGTTTCCTCATCTGTAACATGGGGATAATTGAATGCACCTTTGATGAATGTATTAAATGAGATAGTACATGTAAGGCTGGGCGCGGTGGCTCATGCCTGTAATCCCAGCACTTTGGAAGGCCAAGGGGGTGGATCACAAGATCAGGAGTTCGAGACCAGCCTGGCCAACATAGTGAAACCCCGTCTCTACTAAAAATTCAAAAAAATTAGCTGGGCATGGTGGCACATGCCTGTAGTCCCAGATACTTGGGATGCTGAGGCAGGAGAATCACTTGAACCTGGAAGGCGGAGGTTGCAGTGAGCCAAGATCACGCCATTGCACTCCAGCCTGGGCAACAAGAGCGAAACTCTGTCTCAAAAAAAAAAAAAAAAAAAGAGATAGTACATGTAAAGCACCTGGCACAAAGGAAGTGTTTCATTCATTCACTCATTAATTCATTCAGCAAATCCTTCTTGAATCCCTGCTGCAACTCAGGCGCTGTTCTAGGCAGGGAACTGAGGGCTCAGTTTTGGACAAAGACAAAAATCTCTGCCCTCTGTGGGTGGATCAGTTGAGGTCAGGAGTTTGAGACCAGCCTGGCCAACATGGTGAAATCCCGTCTCTACTAAAAATAGAAAAATTAGCCTGGCGTGGTGGTGGGCACCTGTAGGTGCCCAGCTACTCAGGAGCCCAGCTACTCAGGAGGCCAGTAGGCAGCCAGCTACTCAGGAGGCTGAGGCAGGAGAATCACTTGAACTTGGGAGGCAGAGACTGCAGTGAGCAGAGATTGTGCCACTGCACTCCAGCCTGGGCAACAGAATGAGACTCCGCCTCAAAAAAAACAAAACAAGGCTGGGCACAGTGACTCACCCCTGTAATCCCAGCACTTTGGGAGGCCGAGGTGGGTGGATCACTTGAGGCCAGAAGTTAAAGGCCAGTCTGGCCAATGTGGTGAAACCCTATCTCTATTAAAAATATAAAGATTAGCCAGGTGTGGTGGTGCACCCCTGTAATCCCAGCTACCTGGGAGGCTGAGGCAGGAGAATCGCTTGAACCCGGGAGGTGGAGGTTGCAGTGAGCTGAGATCGTGCCACTGCACTCCAGCCTGGGCGACAGAGCCAGACTCTGTCTCAAAAAATGAAACAAAACAAAAAAACAAACAAAAAAACCTGAGGCCCTGAGAGAGGTAGTAACTTGTCACAGGCTCCAAACACAGGCCTGTCAGAGCTGGACTCCCCACCCTGAGCTGGGGACCCCCAAGTGCTCAGATGAACCTGTGTGGCCTCATGCCCATCTTCCCCGCTCCCCTCGACCAGGTGGCTGACATGGAGGAGCTGACCATCTGGGAACAGCACACGGCCACACTGTCCAAGGTGAGGCCTCCCTCTCCCTGTCTGGGTGCCAGAGAGTATGGCGGCTTAGGCCCAGCTCAATAGAGGGGAGACCCTTTACCCTGGGGGAAACAGCAGCTCTTCCTTCCCCTCATCCTCTCTCAGGACCCCCGCCGGGGCTTTGGCATTGCGATCTCTGGAGGCCGAGACCGGCCCGGTGGATCCATGGTTGTATCTGACGTGGTACCTGGAGGGCCGGCGGAGGGCAGGCTACAGTGAGTATCCAGGCAGCTGGGTTCTGGCGGGGGAGGGCACGTGGAGAGGAGAAACCAGGCCAGGCACAGTGACTCACACCCGTCATCCCAGCACTTTGCGAGGCTGAAGTGGGCGGATCACCTGAGTTCAGGAGTTTGAGACCAGCCTGGCCAACATGGTGAAACCCCGTCTCTACTAAAATTACAAAAATTAGCGGGATGTGGTAGCGTGTTCCTGTAATCCCAGCTACTCGGGAGGCTGAGGCAGGAGACTTGCTTGAACCCGGGAGGCAGAGGTTGCGGTGAGCCAAGATTGCGCCACTGCACTCCAGCCTGGGTGACAGAGTGAGACTCTGTCTCAAAAAGAAAGTAAGTGAGGTGAGGAGAAACCTTTGTGAGCCTGGCACTTTCCAGCTCTGTCAACACAGGGCTCGGACTTGGCAGTAGGACAGTGTCAGAGACTTGGGCCTCACTTCCCTAAGGTACTTCCTGGTCCTTCACAGGAATTCTTGGGGTCATAGTGGCCCCAGAGCCCTTTTGGAACATAAAGTCCTGGAAACCATCGAGTGTTTGAGGGTTTGATGCTTCTTGGAATTATGTTGTTAAAATGGTTCTGGGCCCCAAGTGGCTGACAGGTGATATGGCTCAGCCCAGCCCAGAATTAGGGACCACCAGGTTCAGAGAGAAAGAGCTAGAAAGAAAATATGAAATACAGACAGGAAGAGAGGGAAAGAAAAGCAGAAAGTGGGGATTTGTGGTGTGGGGAGCGAGGAGTGAGAAGATGCCAGGTGTAGCTGTAGCTTCAAGGCCGGGTGCAGTGGCTCACACCTGCAATCCCAGCACTTTGGGAGGCCGAGGTGGGCGGATTACCTGAGGTCAGGAGTTCAAAACCAGCCTGGCCAACATGGTGAAACCCCATCTCTACTAACAAATACAAAAATTAGACGGGTGTGGTGGCGGGCACCTGTAGTCCCAGCTACTAGGGAGGCTGAGGCAGAAGGATCGTTTGAAACGAGGAGGTGGAGGTTGCAGTGAGTTGAGATCATGCTACTGCAATCCAGCCTGGGCAACAGAGTGAGACTCTGTCTCAAAAAAAAAAAAAAAAATGTAGCTTCCACTCTATGATTATAGTAGGTTCTACAATTGGCTCCATTTTACAGGTGAGAAAACGGAGGCCCAGAAGGATAAATGTCTTTGTGAACCTAGGGACACCAATGAATTAGAACCAGGCCTTGTAGATCTGGAGGTTCCAGGGGCACCCCCTCCCCAGGGAGGGCTTGTTACGAGGGTCTCCCCTGCAAAGCCTCCTCCGTAAGACCCGCCCTCCTCTCTCAGGACAGGCGACCACATCGTCATGGTGAACGGGGTTTCCATGGAGAATGCCACCTCCGCGTTTGCCATTCAGATACTCAAGACCTGCACCAAGATGGCCAACATCGTGAGTAGGCAGCCCCTGGCATGGCCAGCATCTCTGACCCCAGCCTGGGTCGTGCCGCTGTGGGGGTTGTAAGCTTCTGAGAGCAAGGAGTCATCTTCTCATCTTACAGTTTGGACATTGAGGCCCAGAGAGAGACTGGTGTCCCCCAGGGCCACCCGGGGGCTGAGCAGAGCCTCCCCCAGCCCTTGCCTGTAGCTGACCCTTCCTGTCCCCTCCTCTAACAGACAGTGAAACGTCCCCGGAGGATCCACCTGCCCGCCACCAAAGCCAGCCCCTCCAGCCCAGGGCGCCAGGACTCGGATGAAGACGATGGGCCCCAGCGGGTGGAGGAGGTGGACCAGGGCCGGGGCTATGACGGCGACTCATCCAGTGGCTCCGGCCGCTCCTGGGACGAGCGCTCCCGCCGGCCGAGGCCTGGTCGCCGGGGCCGGGCCGGCAGCCATGGGCGTAGGAGCCCAGGTGGTGGCTCTGAGGCCAACGGGCTGGCCCTGGTGTCCGGCTTTAAGCGGCTGCCACGGCAGGACGTGCAGATGAAGCCTGTGAAGTCAGTGCTGGTGAAGAGGAGAGACAGCGAAGGTCAGAAGAGGCGGGAGGTCGGACACGATCAGTACTGGACACAGGGCACCGTGGTCGGATGGGCGACGGTTTCAAGTGATTCTCCTGCCTCAGCCTCCCTGGTGGCTGGGACTCCAGGCGCCCGCCACCATGCCTGGCTAATTTTTGTACTTTTGGTAGAGATGGGGCTTCACCATGTTGGCAAGGATGGTTTCGAATTCTTGACCTCAGGTGATTCACCCACCTCGGCCTCCCATAGTGCTTGCTGGGATTGTGGGCGTGAGCCACCGCGCCCAGCCTGGAAGCTACAACTACACCTGGCATCTTCTTGCTCCTCGCTCCCCCCACCACAAATCCCCACTTTCTGCTTTTCTGTCCCTTTCTGCCTGTCTGTATTTCATATATTCTCTCTAGCTCTTTCTCTCTGAACCTGGTGGTCCCTAATTCTGGGCTAGGTTGAGCCATATCACCTGTCAGCCACTTGGGGCCCAGAACCATTTTATCAACATGTCCCCGCGCTGATCCCCGGGACCTCTGTTTAGGCCACCTCACTTAGCAAGAGGGACTCAGCAGATGGGATGGAGTGAAGGACCCTGAGCTCAGAGGTGATCCTGGATGATCTGGGGGGCCCAGTGTCACCACAGGGTCCTTATAAGAGGAGGCCTGGCTGAGTGTGGTGGCTGATGCCTGTAATCCCAGCACTTTGGGAGGCCAAGGCAGGCAGATCACTTGAGGCCAGTAGTTCTAGACCAGCCTGACCACTATGATGAAACCCCATCTCTACTAGAAATACAAAAATTAGCCAGGCGTGGTGGTGTGCACCTGTAATCCCAGCTACCTGGGAGGCTGAGGCACGAGAATTGCTTAAACCCGGGAGGTAGAGGTTGCAGTGACCTGAGATTTTGCCACTGCACTCCAGCCCCGGCGATAGGAGTGAGACTCCTTCTCGAAAAAAATTAAAAAATAAAAAATAAAAATTGAAACAATGATGATGTTATGAGCAATAGAATGCCCTTAGCCTGTGCATGGCAACATCACGAGTGGCACGGTGACCTGGTGTCCCCGCCCCGTGGAGATGTCATTGACACAATCAGATCTCGGGTCCTACGGGCGACATCACTGTTCTCCTTATGATGCCATCAAGGTGTTAGGATGGGAGGGCCCGCACCTGGACTGCTTACAGCAGGAGAATGCTCCCAGGCACCCGTCTCCAGAGTCCTGCCTCAGTTTCCCTCCTCCCCCCTTACAGAGTTTGGCGTCAAGCTGGGCAGTCAGATCTTCATCAAGCACATTACAGATTCGGGCCTGGCTGCCCGGCACCGTGGGCTGCAGGAAGGAGATCTCATTCTACAGGTGAGGCCGGGCTTCTTGTCCTGAGAGCAGGGAGACAAGGCAGGGTTGGGGCGGGCAGTCCCACGGAGTCATACAGCAAGGACAGCAGAACTGGGCCCCAAAGCATTTACCTTCAGTGTTGTTGCTTGTATCTCAAAGGTTGCAGATGGCCAGGCATAAAACCCCCTTTTTCCCCAGCTACTACTAATCCACAGCCAAATGTCGGTTTCTAGTATCCCCATGGGGTTGTCTGTTTCTAATACCCTCTAGCTTTGATGTGCATCAGAGACTCATGTGGGCAGCTGACTCCTGGACCTACCCTAGGTGACTGGATGCTAATGACCCAGTCACCAGGTTTAGGGGAGCTGCCCTGCCCTAAAGGATGGTATCTTTCTGGATTCTTCCCCTGAAAGTCTGTTTCTAGTGACTCCTAGTGTTTGATTTCCAAATTGCTTTCAGCTGATTATTTCCAGTGTCTTCAAAAAGTTATCTGTTTCTTTTTTTTTTTTTCAGACAGAGTCTCGCTCTGTCACCCAGGCTGGAGTGCAGTGGCGCAATCTCGGCTCACTGCAACCTCCGCCTCCCAGGTTCAGGTGATTCTCCTGCCTTAGCCTCCCGAGTAGCTGGGATTACAGGTGCCCGCCACCACACCCAGCTAATGTTTGTATTTTTAGAAAAGACGGGTTTCTCCATGTTGGCCAGGCTGGTCTCGAACTCCTGACCTCAGGTGATCCCCCCCGCTCGGCCTCCCAACGTGCTGGGATTACAGGCGTGCACCACCACACCTTGCTAATTTTTTGTATTTTTAGTAGAGACGGGGTTTCTCCATCTTGGTCAGGCTGGTCTCGAACTCCCGACCTCAGGTGATCCATCCGCCTCGGCCTCCCAAAGTGCTGGGATTACAGGCATGAGCCACCACACCCGGCCGACATTAAGTTCTTTCTAGGAATTGTGTGTTTCTAATCTACCTCTAGATGACTGTTTTCTTTTCTCTTTTCTTTTCTCTTCTCTTTTTTCTTTTCTTTTCTTTCTTTTTGATATGGAGTGTCGCTCTGTCACCCAGGCTGGAGTGCAGTGGCGGGATCTTGGCTCACTGCAACCTCCACCTCCCGGGTTCAAGTGATTCTCCTGTCTCAGTCTCCTGAGTAGCTGGGACCACAGGCGCCCACCACCACGCCCTGCTAATTTTTGTATTTTTAGTAGAGACAGGGTTTCACCATGATGGCCAGGCTGGTCTTGAACTCCTGACCTCAACTGATCTGTCTGCCTCTGCCTCCCAAAGTGCTGGCATTACAGGCGTGAGCCACCGCGCCCCACTCTAGATATCTGTTTCTAGTTATCTCCCAGAAGATTGTGTGTTTCTAGTATCTTTTAAGTATCTGATACTCCCTCTTCTCCAGTTAGAGTTGTTTATAATGTCACCCTCACATCTGTTCCTAGTATCCCCTGAGACATTTCCACTTTTGGTAAGAAAGGAGAGTCAACCTGTTTCTCATTTTCCCCAGTGTCTCCCACCCCTCTTAGAACATTTTCTGTTTCTAGAATTCGGTGCTCAGTTCTTGGTGTGGTCTCCACTCACAGCAGGAATCCAATTCAACACTTTCCTTAGGGAGTGGCTGTTTTTAGCAACCTCTGGGGGAATTGTCTGTTTCAAGTTCCCCCACACCAGGCTGTTTCTACTGTCTCCCATCTCTCATTAACTCACTTCCGCTCTTTCATTCCTGGTCCCTTTCAGATCAACGGGGTGTCTAGCCAGAACCTGTCACTGAACGACACCCGGCGACTGATTGAGAAGTCAGAAGGGAAGCTAAGCCTGCTGGTGCTGAGAGATCGTGGGCAGTTCCTGGTGAACATTCCGCCTGCTGTCAGTGACAGCGACAGCTCGCCATTGGAGGGTGAGGACCTAGAGGTTAGGACCTGGGAGGGGGTTGAATGGATGGCAGGGAAGGTGGGAAGCCCCAGGCAGGGCCAAGGAATCAATGAGCCTGGTCCCTAGAGGCTCAGAGAGTGACAGGAACTTGCTGAAGGCCACACAGCAAGTCAAGAGTTCAGGGGGGCGATCTCGGCTCACTGGGTTCAAGCGATTCTCTGCCTCCTGGGTTCGAGCGATTCTCGTGCCTTGGCCTCCTGAGTAGCTGGGATTATAGGCGTGAGCCACCGTGCCCAGCTCCAGAGCCGAATCTTCTAACTGAGCTTCTGACTTTGGTCTAGGGCCCTTTGTTTAGAGGGGTGTTGATATACCCCTCTGTAAAATGGGTCCAGTCCAGAAGGCGTGACCATGGCTGATGAGATGTCCTCTCCCCCTGCAGACATCTCGGACCTCGCCTCGGAGCTATCGCAGGCACCACCATCCCACATCCCACCACCACCCCGGCATGCTCAGCGGAGCCCCGAGGCCAGCCAGACCGACTCTCCCGTGTAAGTATCACCCATCGGCCAGAATGGTGATAGGGAGGGAGAGGGAGGTGGGAGGGAGAGGGGAACGCGGGCGTAGCTTTCCAACTGGGGGTAACCTTGAGGACGCAGTCCTGTATTTCTAGCATGTGCCTCAAAATACCTCCAGCCTCTACCCATTACCCAGTTCCAAAGCCGTGTCCGCATTTGTAGGTGTTGGTTACAGCAGCACCCCACTTCTTAGTATCAAACTCTGCCTTAGGCCAGGTGCGGTGGCTCACGCCTGTAATCTCAGCACTTTGGGAGGCCGAGGAGGGTGGATCATCTGAGGTTAGGAGTTCGAGAACAGCCTGGCCAACGTGGTGAAACCCTGTCTCTACTAAGATACCAAAATTAGCCCGGCGTGGTGCCGGGTGCCTGTAAGCTCAGCTACTTGGGAGGCTGAGGCAGGAGAATCACTTGAACCCAGGAAATGGAGGTTGCAGTGAGCCGAGATCGTGTCATTACACTGCAGCCTAGGCAACCAGAGCAAAACTCTGTCTTAAAAAAAAAAATTTCTTTTTCCTCTATTTATTTATTTGTTTTGAGACTGAGTCATGTGAGACTGGCTAATTTTCATATTTTTGGTAGAGATGGGGTCTGTATTGCCCAGCTATGTTGCCCAGGCTGGTCTTGAACTCCTGGGCTCAAGCATTTGGCCTGCCTCAGCCTCCCAAAGTGCTGGTATTACAGGCGTGAGCCACCACGCCCAGCCCAGATAAATTAAAATTATTTTTATTTTGTTTATTTATTTATTTATTTTTTTGGAGACAAGGTCTCACTCTGTCGCCCAGGCTGGAGTGCAGTGGCATGATCTTGGCTCACTGCAACCTCTGCCTCCCGGGTTCAAGCAATTCTCCTGCCTTAGCCTCCTGAGTAGCTGGGATTACAGGCGCCCACCATCATGCCCGGCTAATTTTTGTATTTTTGGAGAGACGGGGTTTAACCTCGTTGGCCAGGCTGGTCTTGAAATCCTGACCTCAGGTGATCTGCCCACCTCGACCTCCCAAAATGCTAGGATTACAGGCATGAACCACCGTGCCCGGCCTAAAATTCTTTTTAAAATGGCCCCTTGAAATCCATCCCTGCCTCACTCCCAATCTGTTCCCCACCAGGGAGAGTCCCCGGCTTCGGCGGGAAAGTTCAGTAGATTCCAGAACCATCTCGGAACCAGATGAGCAACGGTCAGGTGGGTGGTGACTCTGAGCACCCCTGTCCCTGACATTTCTGATCCCTGACAGCAAGGCTGTGCCAGGCAGAGCTGGGGGAGGTTGGCCTGAGCCTAAGTGGTGAGACATGGTTTCCTGAGAAGGACTCGAGGTGGGTGACAGTCCTTCCAGGATGAGGACATAAAGCAAAGGTTTGGAGGCTGGACTGAGCCAGTGTGCTTGGGAAAGAGACTGGCTTTTCCCTTTCAGAGTTGCCCAGGGAAAGCAGCTATGACATCTACAGAGTGCCCAGCAGTCAGAGCATGGAGGATCGTGGGTATGTACCCCAGAAGAAAGCAAACCCGCTCAAAACTCCTACATCCCAGGCTGCCTCCCTCATCAGCGCAATCCTGCCTGCTTGTATCCATTGTGTTGAGTGGGACCATTAAGTGGGGGTTTTGGGGAAACTGAGGCCTGGAGGGGGTGGGGGCTTTCCCAAGGACAATGCTGAGCCCTCCCTTTGTCCGCCCACTCTGCTCTGACCCCATCTCTGCCTCCCCTTGCAGGTACAGCCCCGACACGCGTGTGGTCCGCTTCCTCAAGGGCAAGAGCATCGGGCTGCGGCTGGCAGGGGGCAATGACGTGGGCATCTTCGTGTCCGGGGTGCAGGCGGGCAGCCCGGCCGACGGGCAGGGCATCCAGGAGGGAGATCAGATTCTGCAGGTGCTCCGGGGGCGGCTGGCCAGCCCCACTGATCATGGGCGTGCAGTGTGCTAGGTCCTGCCCTTGTCTGTTCCAGTCCTCCCCTTGGGTCCACCTGGGGACTGTCGAGACCCCAGATGGGTATTTGAACATTTCAGTGTCTCCTTGGCTGTGTCATGATTTTGCTGATGTCACGACCTTATCTTCCAGGTCATGACCTCATCGTCCAGTTACAACCTCCTTTTCTGTGCCTTGACCTTATCTGGGTTCATTTTTTGTTGTTGTTGTTTTTGAGATGGAGTTTTGGTCTTGTTGCCCAGGCTGGAGTGCAATGGTGTGATCTTGGCTCACCGCAACCTCTGCCTCCCAGGTTCAAGCAATTCTTCTGCCTCACCTCCTGAGTAGCTGGGATTACAGTTGTCCACCACCACGCCCGGCTAATTTTTATATTTTTAGTAGAGATGAGGGTTTCGCCATGTTGGCCAGGCTGGTCTCAAACTCCTGACCTCAGGTGATCCACCTGCCTCGGCTTCCCAAGTAGCTGAGATTACAGGCATGAGCCACTGCGCCTGGCTAACTTTTTTTTTTTTTTTTTTTGAGATAGAGTCTTGCTCTGTCACCCAGGCTGGAGTGCGGGGGTGTGATCTTGGCTCACTGCAACCTCCGCCTCCCGGGTTCAAGGGATCATCCTGACTCAGCCTCCCAAGTAGCTGGGATCACAGGTGGCCGCCACCATGCCCAGCTAATTTTTGTGTTTTTAGTAGAGACAGGGTTTCACCATGTTGGCCAGGCTGGTCTTGAACTCCTGGCCTCAAGTGATGCACCCGCCTCAGCCTCCCAAAGTGCTGAGATTATAAGCTTGAGACACTGTGCTCAAGATTGGGAACAACAATCTTGTTGTTCATGTCATATGACATTGTTCATGTGACATTCTTGTTATCAATGTCACAATCTCCTTGTTATCAATGTCAGGACTTTGGGTCACAGCCTCATTGCCTATGTCATGACCTTGTCTGGGTCGCAATCCTCTTGTTCCTGACATTGGCTGTGTTGACCGTGTCATGACCGTCTTGTATGTCCTAATCGTGTGGTCAGGTCACAGATCATTCTCTCATGATCTCCATGTCCACTTATAGTCATTTTCTGTGCCACCATCCCCTGTGTCTGTGTTGTGACCTTGCCTGTGTCCTGCCTTCATGACAGTGTCATAACTACCTCCAGGATCCACAGCCCCTCATCATCCCCCCATCTCTGTCCTTGCCTCATCTCATCCCCAGGCTGTCTCCCCTGTCCCTTGCGCGAGTTCACTCACCAAGTCTCACCCCCACTTTGCTCTCATGACCTTGCTTGTGTCTTGACCTTGCAGTGTGAGTTGTGATTCATGATGGAGTCACAGCTCCCCACTTTCCATGTCATAAGCCCACTGGCTGGGTGAAAACTTGATGCCAAATTGCCTGAGGGTCATGGTATTTTTTACTGTATTTCTACTCATTTTGCTTGTGGGATTCTAACCTTGACATCCACGTCATGACCCCGAGAGTAGGTGTCTGTGCCCACAAGCTGTGCAAGTATATTGCTGTCCCTGTTATGACCCTGAGAGCAGGTGGCTGTGTCTGTATATTGCTGTCCATGTCGTGACCCTGAGAGCAGGTGGCTGTATATTGCTGTCCATGTCATGACCCGGAGAGCAGGTGGCTGTATATTGCTGTCCATGTCATGACCCTGAGAGCAGGTGGCTGTGTCTGTATATTGCTGTCCATGTCATGACCCGGAGAGCAGATGGCTGTGTCCATATATTGTTGTCCCTGTCATGACCCTGGTGGTAGGCATCTGTGACCCACTGTGTGTCCATATATCGTTGTCCCTGTCACGACCCTGTGACTACTGTGACTACGTCTGAGTTCTTTTGAGCATTTCACACAGTTTCCATCGAGCTCCATGCCATGACCTCTGTTCCCATGTTTTGATATTGACAACCCACCATGATTTGGTTATCTGAGGACAAGTGCAGTGCCTGTGCCCGTTTCTGTGTCAAAACTCTTGTATCCTTACAATGCCACCAGCTGTCTGTGTCACACATCACACAGCCATAGGGTGATACCCCAGTCGGAAAGCCCTCGGGGAACTGCCGGGTCCCTTGGCAGCAGCTCTGGAAGCAGCTGGGGCTGAGTTTTGCCCAGAGGAAGGTCCAGGATCTCATGCACGCCCAAGAGGTACCAGAGCTTTTTCTATAGCTGCACTTGCTTTCTGGCAGGTGAATGACGTGCCATTCCAGAACCTGACACGGGAGGAGGCAGTGCAGTTCCTGCTGGGGCTGCCACCAGGCGAGGAGATGGAGCTGGTGACGCAGAGGAAGCAGGACAGTGAGTGCGCGTGGATATGGGTGTGCCTGTGTGTTGCGGGGGGAGGACCTGGCTGTGTGGCCTGGTGGTGAGTGCAGGGATGTGGTTGAATCTGCATCTCTGCACCCTCCATCCCTCTCCCTGGCCCCTACAGGGAGAGTGCCCCAAATCTCCAGCCAGGCCCACTCTCGGGTGGGGAGGGCTCAGATCAGGCAGCAGCCCAGGCAGCTCATGTGGCCTCCCGCTCTCCCCAGTTTTCTGGAAAATGGTGCAGTCCCGCGTGGGTGACTCCTTCTACATCCGCACTCACTTTGAGCTGGAGCCCAGTCCACCGTCTGGCCTGGGCTTCACCCGTGGCGACGTCTTCCACGTGCTGGACACGCTGCACCCCGGCCCCGGGCAGAGCCACGCACGAGGAGGCCACTGGCTGGCGGTGCGCATGGGTCGTGACCTGCGGGAGCAAGAGCGGGGCATCATTCCCAACCAGAGCAGGTGGGGACTGTGTGCTCCTGCAGTGGGGCACTTCTGCTTCAGCCTCAGTCTCCCCGTTAGAAATGGGCTCGATTGGGCTGGACGCGGTGGCTCAGGCCTGTAATCCTGGCACTTTGGGAGGCTGAAGTGGGCAGATCATGAGGTCAAGAGATCGAGACCATCCTGGGCAACATGGTGAAACCTCGTCTCTACTAAAAATACAAAAATTAGCTGGGCGTGGTGGCACATGCCTATAATCCCAGCTTCTTGGGAGGCTGAGGCAGGAGAATCGCTTGAACCTGGGAGGCAGAGGTTACAGTGAGCCGAGATCACGCCACTGCACTCCAGCCTGGCAACAGAGTGAGACTCTTGTCTCAATAAATAAATAAATAGGCATGATATCACTGCTTAGCAGTGTTGGTGGTTCAATCTGAGGAGGTCCACAAAAGGCTCTGGGCGGGCCCCATTTGGTGCTGGTATGAGCTTCCTGTTGTTGCTGTAACAGATGCCCAGAAACTTAGTGGCTTTAAACAACACACACATCCTCTTACAGTTCTGGAGAGCAAAAGTACTAAAGTCAAGGTATGGGCAGGCCTGGGCCCTCCCAGAGGCTCCAGGAGAAAACCAATTTTCCACCTTTCCCAGAGTCTAGAGGGGCCGCATCCCTCAGCTCGGGGCCCCTTCCTCCCCCTTCATAGCCACAGCACAGCCTCTTCTAGTCTCTCTCTGACTCTCACCCTCCCGCCTCTTCTTGTGAGGACCCTGTGAGGACATCGGGTCCCCTGGGTCACCCAGGATCATCATCCACCTCAATAGCATCAGTTTAATCCCATCTGCAGGCCAGGCACGGTGGCTCACGCCTGTAATCCCAGCACTTTGGGAGGCTGAGGCGGGCAGATCACGAGGTCAAGAGATTGAGACTATCCTGGCCAACATGGTGAAACCCCATCCCTACTAAAAATACAAAAATTAGCTGGGCGTGGTGGTGCATACCTGTAATCCCAGCTACTTGGGAGGCTGAGGCATGAGAATCGCTTGAACCTGGGAGGCGGAGGTTGCAGTGAGCAGAGATTGCACCGCTGCACTCCAACCTGGCGACGGAGCGAGACTCTATCTCAAAAAAGTAAATAAATAAATAATAAAGATTAGCTGGGCGTGGTGGCGGGCACCTGTAATCCCAGCTATTTGGGAAAGTGAGGCAGGAGAATCGCCTGAACCCAGGAGGCAGAGGTTGTAACGAGTCCAGCCTGAGTGACAGAGCAAGACTTTGTCTCAAAAAACCCAAAATAATAATAATAGTAATAATAATCCCATCTGCAGAGTCCCTTTTGCCATACAAAGTGGCCTGTCCACAGGCTCCGAGGGGTAGGACGAGGACGTCTTTGGGGCCACCATGCTGCTGACCCCAGTGCTCAGTACTGTCCCCTCTTCTCCCCAGGGCGGAGCAGCTGGCCAGCCTGGAAGCTGCCCAGAGGGCCGTGGGAGTCGGGCCCGGCTCCTCCGCGGGCTCCAATGCTCGGGCCGAGTTCTGGCGGCTGCGGGGTCTTCGTCGAGGAGCCAAGAAGACCACTCAGCGGAGCCGTGAGGACCTCTCAGCTCTGACCCGACAGGGCCGCTACCCGCCCTACGAACGAGTGGTGTTGCGAGAAGGTGGGGCCCGGAGCTGGAGGGGCCCTGGGGAGGCCTCACACACAGCTCCTGGTGCACCTGTTCACTAACATTCAGCCTCTAAAAGGCACAGTCTTGGCCCGGCGTGGTGGCTCACGCCTATAATCCCAACACTTTGGGAGGCCGAGGTAGGAGGATCGCTGAGGCCAGGAGTTCCAGATCAACCTGGGCGGTAAAGCAAGACTACATCTCTACCTCAAATTTATTTATTTATTTATTTTTGTTTTTATTTTTATTTTTAGACAGAGTCTTGCTCTGTCTTAGGCTGGAGTGCAATAGCGTGATCTGAGCTCACTGCAACCCCTGCCTCCCTGATTCAAGCGATTCTCTTGCCTCAGCCTCCCAAGTAACCGGGATTACAGGCGCCCATCACCCCGCCCCCAGCTAATTTTTGTATTTTTAGTAAAGACGGGGTTTCACCATGTTGGCCAGGCTGGTCTTGAACTCGTGACCTCACGATCCACCCGCTTCAGCCTCCCAAAATGCTGAGATTACAGGCGTGAGCCACCACGCCCGGCCTCTACATCAAATTTAAAAAGATAGCTGGGCATGGTGGTGCATACCTATAGTCCCCGCTGCTTGGGAAGCTGAGGCAGGAAGATTGCTTGAGCTTGGGAGGTCGAGGTTGCAGTGAGCTATGATCGCACCAGCCTGGCCCACATGGTGAAATCCCATCTCTACTAAAAGTACAAAAAATTAGCTGGGCATGGTGGCAGGCGCCTGTAATCCCAGCTACTTGGGAGGCTGAGGCAGGAGAATCACTTGAACCCGGGAGGCAGAGGTTGCAGTGAGCTATGATCGCACCACTGCACTCCACCCTGGGCCACAGATTGACACTGTCTTCAAAAGAAAAAAAAAAAAAAGCATGTTTCTAACCACTCTCCTTCTATCAAAAATACTTTTGGGCCTGGGTGCGGTGGCTCACGCCCGTAATCTCAATGGTTTGGGAGGCTGAGGCAGGTGGATCACCTGAGGTCAGGAGCTCTAGACCAGCCTGGCCCACATGGTGAAATCCCATCTCTACTAAAAGTACAAAAAATTAGCTGGGCATGGTGGCAGGTGCCTATAATCCCAGCTACTTGGGAGGCTGAGGCAGGAGAATCACTTGAACCCGGGAGGCAGAGGTTGCAGTGAGCGGAGATCACACCACTGCACTCCAGCCTGGGCAACAAGAGCAAAACTCCGTCTCAAAAAAAACAAAAAAACAAAAAAATTTTGGGTTATTTTAGGGGACAGAAGGACAGGAAGGGGGTTCATTCCTTAAAAATCTATTTGTGTCTCCAACAGAAATATGGTGCAAGGCATGTAGATAGCCTTACAAAAGGAAAAAGAAATAGCAATAATAATAATTTTAATAATTTATCTTCTTTGACCGGGCGTGGTGGCTCACGCTTGTAATCCCAGCACTTTGGGAGGCCAAGATGGGTGGGTCACTTGAGCCCAGGAGTCTGGGACCAGCCTGGACAGCAAAGTGAGACTCTGTCTCTACAAAATAAAAAATAAATTAGCCAGGTGTGGTGGTACGCCAGTAGTCCCAGCTACTTGGCAGGCTGAGGTGGGAGGATCCCTTGAGCCCAGGAGGTCGAGGCTGCGGAGAGCTATGATCATGCTGCTGCACTCTAGCCTGGGCAACAAAGCCAGACTCTGGGGGGAAAAATGCCTCATCCTGATTTCAGGAAGGGAAGAGATTAAGCTCTTATCAGAGGACAGGGGGTTAAAAACCCAGGTGCAGCGATTTTCCAAATAAAACCACAAAAGGGGTGGGAAGAGCAAATTGCCCGGGACAGGGGTGGGTGGATGGACCTTGAGAAAAGCCTTTGACACTGTCATCGCGCTGCTCCAACATCCAGATGAAAACGTCCTAGAAATACAAGGCCACGGCCAGGCGTGGTGGCTCACGCCTGTAATCCCAGCACTTTGGGAGGCCGAGGTGTAATCCCAGCACTTTGGGAGGTGGGTGGATCACCTGAGTTCGGGAGTTCGAGACCAGCCTGGCCAACGTGGTGAAACCCCGTCTCTACTGAAAATACAAAAATTAGCCGGGCGTGGTGGTGGGCGCCTCTAATCCCAGCTACTCAGGAAGCTGAGGCAGGAGAATCACTTGGACCTGGGAGATGGAGGTTGCAGTGAGCCAAGATTAAGCCACTGCACCGCCAGCCTCGGTGACACAGCAAGACTCTGTCTCAAAAAAATAAGTAAATAGGCCACGTGCGGTGGCTCACGCCTGTAATCCCAGCACTTTGGGAGGCCGAGGCGGGCGGATCACGAGGTCAGGAGTTCGAGATCAGCTTGACCAACATGGTGAAACCCAGTTTCTACTAAAAATACAAAAATTAGCCAGGCATGGTGGCGCACGCCTGTAATCCCAGCTACTCAGGAGGCTAAGGCAGGAGAACTGCATGAACCTGGAAGGTGAAGGTTGCAGTGAGCCAAGATTGCGCCACTGCACTCCAGCCTGGGCCACAGAGCTAGACTCCATCTCAAAAAAAAAAGTAAATAAAATAAAAGAAAGAAAGGGAGAAAGAGAAGGATTAAGTTGCAAAGACCCTGGGCTACCACTTTTCTCCCCTCAAGACGCTTCTGTGACTGTTTCTTCAGTGGTAAAATGGTGTATCTGGTAGGCCAGGTGTCAACATACTTTTCCTGCAAAGGATCACATAGTAACTATTTTAGGCTTTGTGGGCTAGTCTCTGGCAGAACTACTCAGCTCTGCTCAAAGGTAGCCATAGACAGGACATAAAGAAATGGTTGTGACTGTGTTTTGATAAAACTTTATTGACGAACACATGCAGTGGGCCAGATGTGGCCCTCAGGTTGTAGTCTGCTGACCTATGAGTTAGCTAGGTTCAACTGCTAAAAAGAGACCCTACAGCCAGGAAGAAAGGGAATGAAGGCAGGAGAGGGGCTTATTCCTGCCCTTGAAGGCGGAACCCAGAAATGTACACATCAATTCTGCTAGTGTTCCATTGGCCATTATTTGGTCATAAGGCTAACCTAGCTGCAAAGGACACTGGGAGATGTAGTATTTGGCTGGGTAGCTATGGTCCTGGTTAAATAGGCTGTTTACTATAAGGAAGTGGAGGGGTTTGTACAACACACTAGCAGTCTTTGATCGCAAATGGGACCCTGATTCTTTCACTGTGTCTCTACCCCTCAGCCAGTTTCAAGCGCCCGGTAGTGATCCTGGGACCCGTGGCCGACATTGCTATGCAGAAGTTGACTGCTGAGATGCCTGACCAGTTTGAAATCGCAGGTGAGAAGCCAGATCCTCTGGAAACCTCGTTGGTGAAATAGTTTCACAACTGTTTTTTTGTGGGGGGTCGGGGGAGAGTTAGAATAATGATGGCAAACATGAAGCAGATGGGCCACCAGTGCCCCCCCCAATACCCAAGCCAGACATCCTCAATCCATCTTGGCACCGTTTGTCTGGATAGAACCTCCAAATCCTTCTTAACACAGTTCACCAGGTAGCCATTGCCAATTGAGGCAAAGTGCCACCTGTTATTTGTTTAAGAGAAATTTATTGATCTTCTGAGACAGCAGTGAACACGACAGGCAAGGTCCCTTGGAGAAGACTCCAAATTAACAACTGTAGAAACAATGGCCGGGTGCGGTGGCTCATGCCTGTAATCCCAGCACTTTGGGAGTCCGAGGCGGGTGGATCACGAGGTCAAGAGATTGAGACCATCCTGGCTAACATGGTGAAACCCCGTCTCTACTAAAAATACAAAAATTAGCTAGGTGTGGTGGCGCGTACCTGTAGTCCCAGCTACTCGGGAGGCTGAGGCAGGAGAATTGCTTGAACCCGTGAGGCAGAGGTTGCAGTGAGCCGAGGTCATGCCACTGCACTCCAGCCTGACGACGGAATGAGACTCTGTCAAAAAAAAAAAAAACAAAAACAATTAAGATAGACTAGGAGGCCGGGCGCAGTGGTCAGGAGTTCGAGACCAGCCTGGCCAACATGGTGAAACCACATCTCTACTAAAAACACAAAAAATTAGCTGGACATGGTGGCGCATGCCTGTAATCCCAGCTACTCAGGAAGCTGAGGCAGGAGAATTGCTTGATCCCAGGAGGCGGAGGGTGCAGTGAGCAGAGATCACGCCACTGCGCTCCAGCCTGGGTGACAGAGGGAGACCCTGTCTCGAAATAAAAAACAAAAAATAGTTAAGATTGCAAATTTTGGCTGGGTGTGGTGGCTCACATGTAAAATCTCAGCACTTTGAGAGGCCAAGGTGTGAGGATGACTTGAGCCTAGGAGTTTGAGACCAGCCTGGGCAACACAGCAAAATCACGTTTCTATAAAAGAAAAAAGAATTTTTTTAATTAAAAAAAGATGCAAATTTTATGTCTTTTTTTTTTTTTTTTTTTTTTTTTTTTTTGCATCAGAGTCTTGCTCTGTTGCCCAGGCTGGAGTACAGTGGCAGGATCTCGACTCACCGCAACCTCTGCCTCCCAGGTTCAAGTGATCCTCCTGCCTTAGCCACCCTGGTAGCTGGGATTACAGGCACGCGCCACCATGCCCGGCTAATTTTTGTATTTTTAGTGGAGACAGGTTTCGCCGTTTGGCCAGGCTGGTCTCAAACTTCTGACCTCAGGTGATCTACCTGCCTCAGCCTCCCAAAGTGCTGGGACTACAGGCATGAGCCACTGTGCCCGGCCAATTTTACGTTTTTAACCACAAAAACAAAAAGGGGGGATGAGATCACGTCTCCCTCCTTGAACCCCTCCATGCCAGGCTATGTCTCCTTCCTGAAACTTTGCACGATCCAGGAGGGCTTCCTGGAGGAAGCAGTGCTCCTCTCAGGTCCTAGAAGACAGATAGGGGCAAGAGTGGAGTTTCCTGTGGGGTCGTAGCCTGAGCAGAGCCCTGGAGTTGGAACTGAGTCTGGGAGAGCCAGGGGCTGCAGCTCAGGCTCAGCATCAGGCCTCTGACCCTGCAACCCTGAGCAAGTGGCCTGTTGTCTCTGAGCCTCAGTTTCCCCACCTGCCACATAGGCCAGTACCAGCCACCCACTCCTCAGGAGGAGGAGGGGGCTGAGGTCAGGAGGGGATGTGAGTGCAGTGCCTGGCACTTGGCCAACATGAGTTTCTGCTGCTGTTAGGATTTCTCTCCAGGGCAATGGGGAGCCATGGTGGCTTCTTGAGCAGGGGAGGGGCAGGTAGGCATGAATTTGAGGGGACGGGGGCTGCCCTCCTGAAGCTGCTGGTCCTCTCTGCCGTCCACAGAGACTGTGTCCAGGACCGACAGCCCCTCCAAGATCATCAAACTAGACACCGTGCGGGTGATTGCAGAAAAAGTAAGCCGGGTCCTGCTACGGGTCCCATTTCATGGATGGGGGAAACCGAGGCCTGGGCATCCAACTGAATGTCCTGACCTGTTCTCAGCCCACACCCCACAAGTGCAGTCTTCCATAGAGCCCCTTTTGGAGGCTTTGTGAGGCAGGAGGCCCGAGACAGACAAGGGCTTCTCGGAGTCAAACAGCAGCCAGCCCTGGGCAAAGGCAGAGAGACTCAAGTTGAGGTTTTGATGCCCAAGATGCTGCGACCTGGGCTGTTACCACCCCCATCCCCAACTTGCTAGCCTGTGGATGTGAGAGGCTGGGGTCCACTCTGACCTCAGACTCTTCATCTTTCTATCTTTCTCTCTCTGTTTACCCTGCTGCAATCCCCCTCACCCCAACGTCCGCCGGCCTGGCCCAGGACAAGCATGCGCTCCTGGATGTGACCCCCTCCGCCATCGAGCGCCTCAACTATGTGCAGTACTACCCCATTGTGGTCTTCTTCATCCCCGAGAGCCGGCCGGCCCTCAAGGCACTGCGCCAGTGGCTGGCGCCTGCCTCCCGCCGCAGCACCCGTCGCCTCTACGCACAAGCCCAGAAGCTGCGAAAACACAGCAGCCACCTCTTCACAGGTTGGGGGGTGGGTGTCCCAGGGTAGGCGGGTGGGCCCCAGCCTGAGTCTCCTGCACACACTGACGTCCCCTCCCTGCAGCCACCATCCCTCTGAATGGCACGAGTGACACCTGGTACCAGGAGCTCAAGGCCATCATTCGAGAGCAGCAGACGCGGCCCATCTGGACGGCGGAAGATCAGGTACTGCCGCGGTGTGGGTGGGTCGGGCAGGGAGGCCCCACAGACGCTGTGCAGGCCCAGCTGGGGTTTGGGGCCTCTGTCGGGAGTTAGGGCTTGGTCAGGGATCAGGACTGTGGCCAGAGTCAAGATGGGACCTGAGACAAGGGTGTTGGACTGGAACTTGGGTGAGATGAGATTGGAGGAGCTGTTTTTTGTTGTTTGATTTGAGATGGAGTCTCATGTCACCCAGGCTGGAGTACAGTGGTGTGATCTCAGCTTGCTGCAACCTCCGCCTCCCGGGTTCAAGTGATTCTCCTGCCTCAGCCTCCCGAGTAGCTGGGACTACAGGCGAGCGCTACCAGGCCCAGCTAATTTTTGTATTTTTAGCAGAGACGAGGTTTCACCATGTTGGCCAGGCTGGGCTCAAACTCCTGACCTCAGGCGATCCACCTGCCTCAGCTTCCCAAAGTGCTGGGATTACAGGCCTGAGCCACCGCGCCCAGCCTGGAGGAGCTGTTTTGAGAATGGAGTCAGTGGGGCACGGGAGCTCACGCCCATGGTCCCAGCTACTCAGGAGGCTGAGGCAGGAGAATCACTTGAACCCGGGAGGCAGAGGTTGCAGTGAGCAGAGATTGCGCCACAGCACTCCAGCCTGGCAACAGAGACTCCTTCTCATAAAAAAGAGAGAGAGAATGGAGTCTTCTCTTGGGGCTGGAGTCAAGGTTTGGGGCTCAGCTTGGATTTGGGGGCTGAGCCTCTCAGGTGAAGGGTCAATGGATACAACCCATCCTGGAGTCAACAGAGAAGCCTCCACTGAGGCTCCAGGCTCCAGGCTCCTCGCCTTGATTTGGGACCAGAGTTTGAAGGTGGGGGGATGTCGTGGGTGGCAGCTGGGGTCCTGGCCAGGGCCAGCCGCAGCATCCACACCCACCCCACAGCTGGATGGCTCCTTGGAGGACAACCTAGACCTCCCTCACCACGGCCTGGCCGACAGCTCCGCTGACCTCAGCTGCGACAGCCGCGTTAACAGCGACTACGAGACGGACGGCGAGGGCGGCGCGTACACGGATGGCGAGGGCTACACAGACGGCGAGGGGGGGCCCTACACGGATGTGGATGATGAGCCCCCGGCTCCAGCCCTGGCCCGGTCCTCGGAGCCCGTGCAGGCAGATGAGTCCCAGAGCCCGAGGGATCGTGGGAGAATCTCGGCTCATCAGGGGGCCCAGGTGCGTCGGACATGGGGGGCAGGCCTGGGAAGGGTCTCCGGAGGGGATGCCAGCACAGAGCAGACACACACTGGGAGCCTGTTTTCTACCAGGACGTCAACAAACACGGCTTCCCTGGTCAGACTGGTTTCTGGGACTCAGACCTGGGGTAGCTGAGACCCACGTGGCACTGAGTAACTTGCAGCATTTTTTTTTTTTTTTTTTTTTTGAGACGCAGTCTTGCTCTGTCGCCTAGGCTGGAGTGCAATGGCGCAATCTTGGCTCACTGCAACCTCCACCTCCCAGGTTCAAGCGATTCTCCTGCCTCAGCCTCCTGAGTAGTTGGGATTACAGGCACCTGCCACCATGCCCGGCTAATTTTTGTATTTTTAGTAGAGACGGGGTTTCACCATTGGTCAGGCTGGTCTTGAACTCCTGACCTTGTAATCCACCCGCCTTGGCCTCCCAAAGTGCTGGGATTACAGGCATGAGCCACTGCACCCAGGCTTTTTTTTTTTTTTTTTTGAGATGGAGTTTCGCTTTTGTTGCCCAGGCTGGAGTGCGATGGCGTGATCTCGGCTCACCACAACCTCCGCCTCCCAGGTTCAAACGATTCTCCTGTCTCAGCCTCCTGAGTAGCTAGGATTACAGGCGTGCACCACCATGCCTGGCTGATTTTGTATTTTTAGTACAGACAGGGTTTCTCCATGTTGGTCAGGCTGGTCTGGAACTCCAGCCTCGGCCTCCCAAAGTGCTGGGATTACAGGTGTGAGCCACTGCACCCGGCCTTTTTTTTTTTTTTTTTTTTTTTTTTTTGAGTTAGAGTCTCGCTCTGTCACCCAGGCTGGAGTGCAGTGGCACGATCTGGGCTCACTGCAACCTCGGCCTCCTGTGTTCAAGCGTTTCTCCTCCCTCAGACTCCCAGGTAGCTGGGATTACAGGTGAGCACCACCATGCCCAGCTAATTTTTTTTTTTTTTTAAGGTATTCTTAGTAGAGACAGGGTTTCACCACGCTGGCCAGGCTGGTCTCCGATTCCTGACCTCAGGTGATCCACGTCGGCCTCTCAGAGTGTTGGGATTAGAGGCGTGAGCCACCGCACCTGGCCTCCAGCCAACATTTTAACCTCTCTGTGCACCTGTTTCCTCATCTAGGACACAGGGTGGATGGTATCAGACTTGGTGGCACAGGGCGGTGGTGAGCACTCAATGTGCTCAGCCCAAGTTTTGGCACATAGTAGTTGCGTGTCTTTTTGAACTTGACCTATCTAATTTATATATTTTATTTTTTAAATTTTAGAGATAGGGTCTTGCCCTGCTGCCCAGGCTGGAGTGCAGTAGTACAATCATAGTTCGTTGCGGCCTCCAACTCCTGAGCTAAAGGGAGCCTCTCATCTCAGCCTCCGGAGTAGCTGGGACCACAGGCGCGCACCACCACCCACACCCAGCTAATTTTTTTTCATTTTTTGCAGAGATGTGGTCTTGCTATGTTGCCCAGGCTGGTCTCTAACTCCTGGGCTCAAGTGATCCTCCTGCCTTGGCATCTCAAAGTGCTGGGAGTACAGGCGTGAACCACAGCGCCCAGCTGTAGTTGGGTGTTTAACAGTAACAAATGTGTATGTAGCTCTTAGTGTATATGCCTCAGCATCTTCTTCCACACCCTCTCTAGGTCAATGTAAAAATCTATGAATCAATGACATCTCTGATTAGAGTGATTTTCCTGGGGTTGTGCAGTACCCAACCTGCTCAACTGTCCATGGCAGGCTGCATACGGAGCAGCCACTGTACTAAGTCCTTTACGTACATGAACTCATGGCTGTGGCCCTGTGAGGACTTGCACAGATGAGAAACCCAATTCCCCTTTTGCTGACAGGCTAGGAGGTCTCAGCTAAGGCCTTCCCCTATCCCAGCCTCAGTTTTCTCATTTAGATTTGGGGATGACCTGCAGACTTGTCACGGGGTTAGCAAGTGGGCAGCATGGCCCGGGCCAAGGTGGGGGATGGGATGGAGGTGGTTATTGATCTCGACTCACCATGCTCTGGGGGGAGTTTTGAAGCTCCTCTCTCCCTCTCCTCCAAGGTGGACAGCCGCCACCCCCAGGGACAGTGGCGACAGGACAGCATGCGGTAAGAACCCCATATTCCAGATTGGGGCCCTCAACCCTTCCCTTGGGACTCAGACTCTGCGGACTCAGATCTAGATCCAAGCTATGCCTTCATGGTGCCCCTAGCCTAGTGGGGAAGACAGAGCCTGCCAGAGCCTCTCTAAGCCCCATATAATCAGGGCCAAGGGAGTAGGAATCCACTTCCTGGGAGGCCTAGGAAGGCTTCTTGAAGGGCAGGATATTGCAGCTGGGGCTTTGAGGGATGCATAGGAGTTTGTTAACAAGGCCCTACCCATGAATGCCCAGATGTGCTTATCTCTGCCCACACCCACTGTGCCTAGCACAGCCAGCCTCAGTTTATGGTGAGAAAGCTCACACCCTTCCCACCCACAGCATCTATTCTATTTCCTGATCCCCAGAACCTATGAACGGGAAGCCCTGAAGAAAAAGTTTATGCGAGTACATGATGCGGAGTCCTCCGATGAAGACGGCTATGACTGGGGTCCGGCCACTGACCTGTGACCTCTCGAAGGCTGCCAGCTGGTCCGTCCTCCTTCTCCCTCCCTGGGGCTGGGACTCAGTTTCCCATACAGAACCCACAACCTTACCTCCCTCCGCCTGGTCTTTAATAAACAGAGTATTTTCACAGCACCGGCTTCTAGTGGCTTCCAGGAAGGACAAGGTCCTCGGTCCCGTAGACCCTGATCCGAGACTTTGCCAAATGCATAAGCTTTTACTGTTTTTATATTAGGAAATCATACAGGACCAAGAACCGCTGGGGTCCTGGCCAGCCAGGGCAGGCCCAGGATGGGGCTCCGGGGCCATGGAGGCGAAGGCACAGTGGCAGGCAAGGGATGAGGTGGTCACAGGTACACGGGCTGCTCCTGGCCTGTAAGGAGGCGATATGTGGCAGCTGGCATCGTCTTGATATGCACCTGGGGAGTGGAGGCGGAACGGGGCTCAGGGCAGGCCTGGGCTCGTGGGGGACGTGGGGGCGCCCCTGGCCACCACCCACCACCCGCACACCTCGCCATAGGCCTCGGTGAGCAGCTCGATGATGCGGGCGTGTGGCGTGGCCACCACACTCTGCCCATTGATCTCAATGATGCGGTGGCCGACGCGGATGCCCCCACGCTCGGCGATGCCACCACGGAGGAGGCTGCAGATCTGGGGGAGAAAAGAGGGGGACGGGAAAGAGGTGGGGGCTGCTCAGGGGCCGTGCTCAGGGCCGCCCTACCCCCCCACCCCGGGGCCAGGGGCCGGGGCCTCACGATGCCGTCCTCCACGCAGAAGCCCAGCTGCTCGCGGGCGTGGGGCCGGTGGATGATGGCGGTGGTGACGGGAGGGCAGTGGACGATGCTGAGTGTCACCGACGTCTGCGACTTCGTCTCCTGTGGGGCGGGGGCCGTTGGCCTCACTCAGCTGCCGGACAGCCTGGCAGGTTGTAGCCCCCTCTGGGCCTCAGTTTACCCTCTCATAAACCAGAGACCTGGAGTCCAGGGGCTCAATTCTGGAAGACCCCCTCAGATGTGATAGAGAACAGACTCGGGCCCGGTGGGCATGGGGTCGAAGCTGTCTGACCCGAGCCATATCGCTTCCTTATGGCCAAAAGCCAAGCCGACAGCCGGGCTCTCCAGGCAGGCTGCAAACATCTGTAAGAGGCTGCACGGACTGTGGCCTCATTCCTCTGACGGGGGCAGGTCCCTCCCTATCTCTGGGCCTCAGTTTCCCCATCTGAGCAACAAAGGTTGAGACTCAAAAACATGGCCAGGTGCAGTGGCTCACACCTGTAATCCCAGCACTGTGGGAGGCCGAGGCAGGTGGATCACTTGAGGCCAGGAGCTCAAGACCAGCCTGGCCAACCAACATAGTGAGACTCCATCTCTACAAAAAATAAAACAATAAACTGGGCGTGGTGGTGCACACCTGTGGTCCCAGCTACTCGGGAGGCTGAGGAAGGAGATTTGCTTGAGCCCAGAAGGTCAAGGCTGCAATGAGCCAGGTGCACCGCTGCACTCCAGCCTGGGCAAGAGTGAGACCTTGTCTCAAACAAACAAACCCCCCCAGAAATTAGCTGTTTCTTGTTAGAGAGAGAGAGTGGCCCAGCCCTGGAGCTGGGCCACCCGCATTTCCATCCTGGCTCTGGTACTAGGGAGGTGCCCTGGACAAGTGGCCTCCCTTCTCCAGGCCTCAGTTTCCCCAAGGGCACACCAGTGGGCAGGACTTAAAAGTTCGACTTTGTCCCTCCTGGCTGGGCTGGAGAGACCTGGCCAGGGAGGAGACCTCTCTGGGACTCAGCTCCCCTTCCTGGGAGTGTGGGGGCCCTGCCACACCAGGAAACTCACGCGGACAGCGGCCTGGCACGCAGCCAGGGGCAGCCCCACCAGGCTGGTCCCGTTGATGGCGGTCAGGCGGTCCCCGATGCTGAGGGCCCCCGAGCGCTCAGCAGGCCCCCCGTGCAGCAGGTTGGCGATGACGGCTGTGGGCAGCAGGGAGCCCCAGCCCGACTCCACCAGGGCCACGCCCAGGCCCTCCCCTCGCCGCTTCTCGAGGTGCACCTGGGACACACAGGGGGCGCGGAGGCTGCTCAGCAGGGCCCGGTGCAGGTGCACGGGTGTGGGGGGCACCAGGTGGGGGCTGCCCAGCACCTCACTCACCTCCCGGCAGTTGTCACTGTTGGAGAAGTGGTCCAGGTCCCCATTATGGAGGTGGCAGGCGCCTGGGCTCGGGTGCACGCCCACCTGGCTGGGGTCAATACCGCTTTCCCGTAGGAACTGGCTGTAGGCGGCGGCGAAGGCCTGGCCAATGGCCTGGGCGATGAGCTGGGCCTGCGGGGAGGAGTGGCGCGTCCCTGGGGTGTCCCACCCACCTCCTCCAGGTCCCCAAAGTCCCCAGGGTCCTCAGAGCTGAGCCCTCCTGTCCCCACCTGGGGTGAGAGTCCCAGGACACAGCCTTCTGCCCTGGGGCTTTGGGGGAGGTGGAGAGACAGCCGCATCTTGGGGAATCTACGGGGAGAAGGAAGGGGAGGGGCAGCCCTGGGCTGGGGGGACGATGAGGGAGGCAGCTCCCTGCGCATGGGCTGTGGGAAAAGCTATCAAAGACCCAGCCAGGGGGCCTGGGGCCTCATGGGTGGCAGGGACAGCCCAGGAGCGGGCAAGGTTTCGGGGAGTCGGCCGAGAGTCTTGGAGTCTTATAGGAGGCTGGACGCGGTGGCTCACGCCTGTAATTGCAGCACTTTGGGAGGCTGAGGTGGGTGGATCGCTTGAGCCCAGGAGTTTGAGACCGTGTTCACCTGGGCAACAGAGCGAGACCGTGTCTCTATAAAAAATACAAAAATTAGCCAGGCATGGTGATACCCCGGTGGTCCCAGCTACTAGAGAGGCTGAAGTGGGAGGATCGCTTGAGCCTGGAAGGTTGAGGCTGCAGTGAACTATGATTGCGCCACTGCACTCCAGCCTGGGTGACAGAAGGAGACCTTGTCCCAAAAAAAGAATTTAAAAATAAGCTTATGGGAGGGAGGTTAAATGCACGGCCCACTGAGGGAGGCGACAGTTGCAGTGAGGAGGGCCTCAGGAGGGTGGCCCCGCGCCCTGGCTGCTCACGTCCTCCGCGTAGAATACGTGGCAGAGCATCTTGTAGAGGCGGCGGCCGTGGTCCTGGGGTGCCGGCCTCCGTGCCAGCCGCCGCCGCGCCATCAGCACCAGCACGCAGCCGATGTCGGCTGTGTAGGAGATGGTATGCAGGGCGTGGTCCATCATGGCCTCCTGGGGCGGGAGAGGCAGCCTGGGTGGGTTGGGGGGCCGTGCCAGGCTCGATCACCCCACCCGCATCCCTGGGGCGGGTCCCTGCCCCGTACCTGGGAGTCCGCTGTCAAGACCTTGATCCTCTTGGTGGAGACGAACAGGTCCACCTCCGTCATGGGCTGGGTCTCCCCATCGGGGGCCTGTGGGTGGCGGCGTGGGAGGTGGAGGCCCCCACAGACCCAGCCTGCAGCCCACCCGCCTGCCCGCCCGGCCCCGGCCGCCCCCTCACCTTGACGCGGTCCATGGCCTCCCGGGCCTGGGCCATGCGCGTGCTGGTGGGCGGGTTCCGTTCCGACACCAGCTGGGTGGACCCCAGGTACCTGGCCCCAAATATGACACCGTCCAGGAGGTCTTCATGGTCACAGGGACCAGGCACTGAGGGCGACAGCGAAGAGGGTCGGCCCCCAGGGGCCCACTCCCACAGGCTCTGCCCCAGGGCTACGCTCTCCGAGATGGCCGGGAGACACAGTGTTCTAGCTGGTGGCTTAGCACTCTCCAGCCAGGAAGCACAGCCCACTGTTCTAGAACCATCCAAGCAGCCTGGCCCTCACAGGTCTAGAACCTTCTGTCCATCCCTCAAGGACTCGCAGGTGGGAAACCAGTGAGTCCAGGCCATGGCTGGATTCAAAGCCAGATCTAGCACCCACAGATACCTTCACCCCGTGTCCCCAGAATTCCATGATCAGGCCGGAACCAGACAGTCCCACTCCTGCTTTTTTGAGACACGGTCTCGCTCTGTCGCCCAGGCTGGAGCTCGGTGGTGTGATCTCAGCTCACTGCAACCTCCGCTTCCTGGGTTCAAACGATTCTCCTGCCTCAGTCTCATGAGTAGCTGGGATTACAGGCGCCCACCACCACGCCTGGCTAGTTTTTGTATTTTTAGTAGAGACGGGGTTTCGCCACGTTGGCCAGGCTGGTCTCAAACTCCCGACCTCAAGTGATCCACCCGCCTTGGCCTCCTAAAGTACTGGGATGACAGGCGTGAGCCACGACGCTCCACCCCCCACTCCAATTTCGAAACCTCCACAACATTCTAGAACCACAGTGGACCCCTGCTTCTTGGTTCTGGAATTCCCTCCATCAATCTAGAACTGGCCAGCTCTGCCCACTGTTCTAGAACCGTCTGCAGTCAGCCCAGGATAGCAGGCAGCTCTGTTCCCGGGTTGTAGAACCACTCAGAACAGAGACAGACCCTGCTGCCTGTCTAAAATTCCCATACTCTCCAGAACCCCAGCTGGTTCTGACCCTTGATTCCAGAACTCTCTGACAGGTCTCATAGCAATTCTGTCAGGAGTTTTAGAATCTTATTATCACTCTAGAATCAGACTTCTCTGCTCCGTGATTCCAGAACATCTTAATCACAATCGCGTCAGGCAGCTCTTCCTGTGGTTCTAGAATCTCCTTCAGTAGTTCACACCTTTGGCTACACCAGGGATTCTAAGAATTACCTGACCAGTCAAGGAACAAACAATTCTGTTCCAGGAGAATTCTAGACAGTTCCAGAATACTCCCAACCCAGCCCAGAACTACATAAAGCTTTACTCCTGGCTGGGTGCGGTGGCTCACGTCTGTAACCCCAGCACTTTAGGAGGCCGGGGGGGGGGGGTGGATCACCTGAGGTCAGGAGTTCGAGACCTGCCTGGCCAACATGGCGAAACCCCGTCTCTACTAAAAATACAAAATTAGCTGGGCGTGGTGGCGCGTGCCTATAATCCCAGCTACTTGAAAGCTGAGGCGGGAGAATCACTTGAACCCAGGAGGTGGAGGTTGCAGTGAGCCGAGAGAGATCGCACCACTGCACACCAGCCTGGGTGACAGAGCAAGATTCCATCTCCAAAAACAAAAAGGAAAAAAAAAAAAAAGCTTTACTCTCATGGTTCTAGAATTCCCTGAGCTACCCAGAGCCAGACAGCTCTGCCAGTGGCCCTAGAACATTCTAACCAGTAACTACGGCTCTTTGGTTTAGAACCACGGGTGTAGGGCCCCGTTCTGGACACCACTAAGTGAAATTCACCCTACACCACAGTCGGTTCTGCCCACTATCCTTCAGGATCTAAGCATTCTGGAACAAGAGCTCCACTCTGGGGTTCTAGAGAGATACGTCATTCACTGTGGTAGCCACCAGGCACATGTATCTATCACAGACTTGAAATGTGGCTCGACTGAATAGAGATGTAAATAGAAAATACACACTAGATATTGAAGATTTGGTATGAAAAAAAGTAATTTAAGGTCAGGCATGGTGGTTCACGCCTGTAATCCCAGCACTTTGGGAGGCAGAGGCGGGCGGATCACCTGAGGTCAGGAGTTTGAGACCAGCCTGGCCAACATGGTGAAACCCCGTCTCTACTAAAAATACCAAAATTAGCTGGGCATGGTGGCAGGCGCCTGTAATCCCAGCTACTCGGGAGGCTAAGGAAGGAGAATCACTTGAACCCAGGAGGCAGAGGTTGCAGTGAGCCAAGATTGCGCCATTGCACTCCAGCCTGGGCAACAAGGTGAGACTGTGTCTCAAAAAAATAAAAAAGTAAATTAAAAATATTGATTGTATGTTGAAATAATATTTTAAATATGTTAGCTTAATTAAAATGTTATTAAAGTTAATTTCTTAGCCAGGTATGGTGGCGTATGCCTATAGTTCCAGTTACTCAGGAGGCTGAGGCGAGAGAATCGCTTGAAGCTGGGAGGCGGAGGTTGCGGTGAGCTGAGATCGTGCCACTGCACTGCAGCCTGGGCGACAGAGCGAGACTCCGTCTCAGTTTAAAAAAAAAAAAAGTTATTTCACCTGTTTTTAATTTTTTAACGTGGATAACTACAAAATTTTAAATCACATATGGCTCACGTTGTATTTCTATTGTAGTTCCATCTAGAACTTTCTGATTACACTATAATTGGACAGCTCTGCCCAGGGTTATAGAACACTAGATAACTATTCCCTCCATGGTTCTAGAATTCTCCAGTCTGAGTAGAACCAGATGCCTCTGTTCACCAATTCTGAGCATTCTCATCAGCCCAGATTCCTTTACCCTAGAAACAGACAAAATGCCAAGCCCTGGAACTCCCTAGGTGTCACAGCTCTGCTCGATTCTAGAACCTTCTTAGAGCTATAGGTTCAAACCAGTTTTTCTCTCTGCAACCACAGAACTGTTTTTTTTTTTCTTTTTTTTGAGACATGGTCTCACTGTCACCCAGGCTGGAGTGCAGTGGCACAATCTTAGCTCACTGCAGCCTCAAGTGATCCTCCCACCTCAGCCTCCCAAGTAGCTGGGATTATAGACCCATGCCACGTGCCTGGCTAATTTTGGGGGGGGATTTTATTTTTGTGGAGACAGGGTTTTGCTGTGTGGCCCAGGCTGGTCTCGAACTCCTGGGCTCAAGCGATCCTCCCACATCAGCCTTTCAAAGTGTTGGGATTACAGATGTGAGCCACCCTTCCCGGCCAGAACTTACTATCTGACCTATATCCTTAGCGAAGTGTAGAACAGAGGCTGGCCGCGGTGGCTCACACCTGTAATCCCAGCATTTTGGGAGGCCGAGGCGGGTGGATCACAAGGTCAGGAGTTTGAGACCAGCCTGACCAAGACGGTGAAACGCCGTCTCTACTAAAAATATAAAAATTAGCTGGGCACGGTGGCGGACGCTTGTAATCTCAGCTACTCAGGAGGCTGAAGCAGGAGAATCACTTGAATCCGGGCGGCAGAGGTTGAAGTGAGCTGAGATTGCACCACTGAAAAAAAAAGTCTAGAACATTCCAGAGGGCCAGAAATTGTTCTTCCCATGCTTTTAGGGCAGGGCTTGGCAAACATTTTCTGTAAAGGGCCAAAGAGTAAATATTTTCAGCCTTGTAGGTCACAAGGTATCTGCTGCAGCTACTCACCTCTGCCATTCGAACATCAGAGCAGCCATGGACAACACATGAATAACCAAGCATGATGTGTACCAATAAAACTTTATTTATGTACACTGAAATTTGTTTTTCTTTTTTTAGAGACAGAGTCTCACTCTATTGCCCAGGCTGGAGTGCAATGGCGTGATCTCAGCTCACCGCAACCTCCGCCTCCCGGGTTCATGTGATTCTCCTGCCTCAGCCTCCTGAGTAGCTGGGATTACAGGCGTGCACTACCATGCCCGGCTAATTTTTGTATGTTTAGTAGAGACGGGGTTTCACCAATGTTGGCCAGGCTGGTCTCGAACTCCTGACCTAGTGATCTGCCCACCTTGGCCTCCCAAAGTGCTGGGATTATAGGCGTGAGCCACCGCGCCCAGCTTATGCACACTGAAATTTGAATTGCATTTTTTTATTTTTGAGACAGAGTCTCGCTCTGTTGCCTAGGCTGTAGTGCAGTGGCGTGGGGTGATCTCAGCTCACCGCAGTCTCGACCTCCTGGGCTCAAGAACTTCTCCCGCCTCAACCTCCTGAGTAGCTGGGACTACAGGCATGCACCGCCACACCTGGCTAACTTTAAACATTTTTTGTAGAGATGGGGTCTTGCTACGTTGCCCAGGCTGGTCTCCAACTCCCGGCTCAAGCGATCCTCCTGCCTCAGCCTCCCAAAGAGCTGGGATTACACGTGTGAGCCACCATATCCAGCCTAGCATATCATTTTCACATGTCAAGAAATAGTATTCTTTGGCCAGGCGTGGTGGCTCACGCTTGTAATCCTAGCACTTTAGGAGGCCAAGGCGGGCGGATCACAAGGTCAGGAGTTCAACACCAGCCTGGCCAACACAGTGAAACCCCATCTCTACTAAAAATACAAAAATTAGCTGGGCGTGGTGGCGAGCACCTGTAATCCCAGCTACTTGGGAGGCTGAGGCAGGAGAATCACTTGAACCCGGGAGGCGGAAGTTGCAGTGAGCCGGGATCACGCCACTGCACTCCAAGCCTGGGTGACAGACTCTGTCTCAAAAAGAAAGAAAGAAATAGTATTCTTCTTTCAATGAAAAAAAAAGTCAATTAAAAATGCAAAGGACACCCGGGCATGGTGGCTCACGCCTGTAATCTCAGTACTCTGGGAGGCTGAGGCAGGCAGATCGCTTGAGCTCAGGAGTTTGAAACCAGCTTGGGCAACATGGTGAAACCCCATCTCTACCCAAATAAATACGAAATAAAATTAGCTGGGCGTGGTGGCACGCACCTGTAGTCTCAGCTATTTGGGAAACTGAGGTGGGAGGATCGCTTGAACCTGGGAGATGGAGGTTGCAGTGAGCTGAGATCAAGCCACTGCACTCCAGCCTGGATAACAGAAGTCATCAAAAAAAGTAAAGAAGCCCCAAACGCAAAAACCATCTTTAACTCGAGACCTACGTGAGCAGGCAGTGAGTTGGGTCTGGCCCGACGACGATGATTTGCCAAGCCCGGTTCTAGAACCCAGTGCTGCCAATGGCCGGAGCTGCCCCACAGTCCCCTTCTCACTCTACCCCGTTCTCAAGGCTGGCTCTCCTCTCCCTGGCCAGCCGGAATCTGCTCGAAACCACCCTCAGAGGCTCCCGAGAACCTCGTCCTTACTGGCAAGCTGTTGCCAGGCTGGTGAGCCTGATTCTGGCTGTCTAGGGGCCTTCAGTGCCTGAGGCTAGGGTGGGCGGGACACTCACCCTCCTGGGGGGCAGGGTAGGAAGCCAGGGTCTCGGGGCTCTGGAAGAAGATAGAGGAGGGGCAGGACTGAGTCTCCCTGCTTGGTTCCAGGCAGTCCAGGATGCCTGGAGGGCGGGGCGGGCACTACCTGGGCACCAGCGGGTGGCTCTTCAGGTGTGACTAGAGGCACCGTCTCCAGCCAGGGTTCCGGGGAACTGCTTGAGCTCCTGCTGCCCTCCTGCTCAGCAGAGGCCCCCTCCACCCATTCTGGGGAGTCAGAATCCTCATCTGGGTCCTCAGGGGGCTGCAACAGTCGGGGGGCAGGCTCTAGAGGCTCTTCAGGACCAGTCTGGGAAGGCGGGCATTCCTCGCAGTGCAAGAGGCCCAGCAGGTCATCCCGGCCAGCTTCGGCAGACAGGAGCCCGTGGGCATCAGCAATCTCCTGGGAGGCCAGGCCATGGCCTGTGGCAATGTGTAGGGGACAGGGGGCTCCACCTGGGGATGGGCCCACCAGATCGCCTGGCAGAGCTTCAAACTGCTGCACCAGCTCCTGAAGGCTTGACTCATCAAGTTCCATCCGACTGAGGCTGCCGGGGCCTCCTGGCATAGGGTCCCACTGGCTGTCAGGGGTGAGGTCCTCCGAAGGCACAAGAATGTCCCTGGGCCCCTCCAAGTCCATGGCTGGAGGCCCCGAAGGGGATCGGGAAATTGTGGGGAAGTCCATGCCTGGACTCCAGGCTTAGGCCGGCATCTTCAGGCAGCTGAAAGAGAGAGAGTCAGCACTGAGGTTTCGCCCGGGTGCAGTGGCTCATGCCTGTAATCCCAGAATTTTGGGAGGCCCAGAAGGGCTGACTGAACCCAGGAGTTCAAGATCAGCCTGGGCAACAGAGCAAGACCCTCTCTCTACAAAAAATACAAAAAATTAAGGCCGGGCACAGTGGCTCACGCCTGTAATTCCCAGCACTTTGTGAGGCCGAGGCGGGCAGATCATGGGGTCAGGAGTTTGAGACCAGCCTGACTAACATGGTGAAATTCCGTCTCTACTAAAAATACAAAAAATTAGCCAGGTGTGGTGGCAGGCACCTGTAATCCCAGCTACGCAAGAGGCTGAGGCAGGAGAATCGCCTGAACCCGGGAGGCGGAGGTTGCAGTGAGCTGAGATCGCGCCATTGCACTCCAAGGTGGGCGACAGACGAGACTATCTCCAAAAAAAAAAAAAAAAACTAGCTAGGGGTGGTGGTGTAGGCTGTAGTCCCAGCTACTTGGGAGGCTGAGGTGGGAGGATCACCTGAACCAGGGGAGGCAGAGGCTGCAGTGAGCCTTGATTGTGCCACTGCACTCCAGCCTGGGTGACAGAGTGAGGCCCTGTCTTAAAAAAAACAAACAAACCCGAAAAACAAAAAACTTGAGGTTTCCCGGCTGCCTATCCGGTGCTAGGCTCTAGCTGGGTACTGTTCATACAGGGCACATAATTTAATACCCACTAACCCTTGCAAGGAAGTTAGGATTCCCATTTTACAGATGAAGAAACTGAGCCACAGAATGGGGAGGTGTGAGGCAGTGGCTTCCCGAGCCCCTGTGTCATCCCAGACCTCTCTCAACTAATGGAGTCTGTTCACTCCAGCCCTGGTTCTTCCAGGTCCTCCTCCCTCAAGACGCGGAACCCAGGCTGGAGACCCAGACCTCACACCCTGACTCTACCGACTGGTCAGAGGCAGTTCCCCAAGACCCCAGACCCAAGACCCCAGTCCCATGACCTCAACCCCCAATACCTCCATCCAGAACTTTAGACCCAGGACCCTGGACTTAATACCAGAGACCCAAGACGCCATAAGGCGGACCCCAGTCTCCAAACCTCCAATGCTACCCCAAGATCGACTCCAGACTCAGACCCCGACTTCAGGACCCAGCCCCAAGCCCAGACCCTAGTCCCCCCTCAGACCGAAGACCTCAAGCGCCGACTCAGACTGCGCTCTGCACCTCGAGGACACTCACTTCCCAAATCGAGGCCGCCTCAGCCCCGCGCAGCCTCCAGGACCCCGCTCCCCACGGACGGCCCCGACGTAGCCCGGGCCGCGTCCCCAGAAGGCGCAGCTCGGGGATTCCCGGTCCCGGCGCCCGCTCCTCTATCCGCGCAGAGCCCTGGCCCATTGAGCATGCGCGGCCTCGCGAGGCCTGCTGGGAAATGTAGTTCTCCCACCCAGCCTCGCCACGCGGGGGCGCTGGGACAACTGCAGATGTTGGAGGGGAGTTCGAATCCCAGGCTTCCCGGCCCGCAGACTGCCCCGGCTGGCCCCAGGACCTGTTTGTTCTCCTGCAAAATAGGGTTAATAATCACTGCCTGGCTCTGGGGGCTGTGTTCATTATTCCAAAGGATGGCAGATGGGGAGAAGTGGGGTTGGGAAATATTAAAGAAGTGTGAGAGGTGGTTTCCTTGGGACCTTGAGGCACCGGAAGCGTCGTGGAGACCCTGTTAAAGACGGACTTTCGGTTTGGCTCACAGTAGGGAGACACATAGGTGCACCATGGATTTGGGGTCGGCCTGGGAACTTTACCTCCCTGAGAACTCAGTTTCCTCATTATAAGCTGGGGAAAAAATAGTACCTACCTCTCAATTGTGAGGATTAAATTAGATCAAGCGGGTTAAGGATTTAGCAGTAGTAGAGCTGGAAAAGAATATATAAAATATATATTATTAATTTATATATTATATATAAAACATACTATATATTATATGTATTATATATGTTATATATAATTTTAAAAATATAATGTTATAAAAATTAACAGTGATTAGACTCCAGCCCTACTGGAGTATATTAGACTCATTGTTAATCTTCTTTTTTTAACTTTAAAGCTTTGAATAATTACTCATTGGATGGAATCAGGAACATATAAAGTGTGATATTTTTAGTAAATGTTATGTAATTGAAGAAGGGCAAGAAGTCAATGAAATATCCCTTGAACGCCTCCTCCTATAGTAACTGTGTATGTCTACAAAAGTCTGAAGAAATCACCATAGATTATGAAAGCTTGGGAGACCGCATTTCCCAGACACCTCCACGGGGCCTACACTTCCACGGGGCCTACAACTCCCAAACACCCTTGGGCCACTGACGTCTTCCGGAAACGTGCACTTGCAAGCTGCCCGCAATACGTCATGGCGACCAAACGCCTTTTCGGGGCTACCCGGACGTGGGCCGGCTGGGGGGCCTGGGAGCTCCTAAACCCCGCCACTTCCGGAAGACTCCTGGCCCGGGATTATGCCAAGAAACCAGGTGAGCTGGGTTAAGAGGAACCAAATGGGGACGGTGGGTGCACTGAGGAATTGACAGTGCGCAGGCGGTGGTTGGGGAGGTGGTGCTAGAACTGATGCGCAAGCGCAGAGAGGCGGATGCCAGGCTGTATGCGCAGGCGCAGTTTGAGGGACCCAGCGCCGCTTGGAGCTCGGGCGTCTGGCTCGGAGATACTGTAGCGATTGGACCCAGGGCGCAGGCGCCAGCTTGGGGCGGAGCGGCCTGGGAGGAGGATGTGGTTACGTGGAGACCACGCGTTTCACTGCGCAGGCGCGGGTTGGAAAGGATTTGAAGGGAGTCTGGGGAGGTCATGAACTTGGGTTCCAGTTCTGTTTCTCTGCCTGCCTCCAAATCGCTGGGTAACCTTGGCCAAGACGTTACCAAACATTCAAAGAAATTATGGAGCCCGTTTAATTGGCCACTTCAGCAAGAACAAAACAAGGTTATTAAGGTTTAGCTGGATACAGCCTTGCCTGATCTCCTTTGTTGAAAGGGGGAAATTGTCCAATGTTCGGCCTTAAAGACAGACACATAGCAGACAAAATATAACTTGAATGACTTGGTCATTCCAAGCATCGGTGTTACTTAATGCTATGTCCAAATCCCACTTAAAGTTACTTAATGCTGTGTCCAAATCCCACTTAAAGTGATTTCGAGGCCAGGCATGATGGCTCACACCTTTATTCCCGGCACTTTGGGAAGCCAAGGAGGGAGGATCGATTGCTTGAACCCAGGAGTTCGAGACCAGCCTGGGCAACATAGCAGGACCCTGTTTGTATAAAAAAAAAAAAAAATTGCCTGGCGCGGTAGCTCACGCCTGTAATCCCAGCACTTTGGGAGGCTGATGCAGGTGGATCACAAGGTCAGGAATTCAAGATCAGCCTGACCAACATGGTGAAACCCTAGCTCTACTAAAAATACAAAAATTAGTGGGGCATGGTGGCACATGTCTGTAATCCCAGCTACTCAGGAGGCTGAGGCAGGAGAACTGCTTGAACCCAGGAGGCGGAGGTTGCAGTGAGCCGAGATCACGCCACTGCACTCCAGCCTGGGCGACACAGTGAGACTCTGTCTCAAAATAAATAAATAAATAAATAAAAATAAAAATAAGCGGGGCATGGTGGCTCACAACTGTGATCTCAGCTACTTGGGAGGCTGAGGCAGAAGGATCACTTGAGCCTGGGAGTTTGAGGCTGCAGTGAGCCATGATTGTGCCCCTGCCCTCCAGCCTGGGCTTTTATTTTTTATTTTTTTATTTTCTTCAGACGGAGTCTCGCTCTGTCGCCCAGGCTGGAGTGTGCAGTGGCGCAATCTTGGCTCACTGCAAGCTCCGCCTCCTGGGTTCACGCCATTCTCCTGCCTCAGCCTCCCAAGTAGCTGGGACCACAGGTGCCCACCACCATGCCCGGCTAATGTTTTTGTATTTTTAGTAGAGATGGAATTTCACCATGTTAGCCAGGATGGTCTCAACCTCCTGACCTCGTGATCCGCCCACCTTGGCCTCCCAAAGAGCTGGGATTACAGGCGTGAGCCGCCGCGCCCGGCCGGGCTGTCTTTATTTTTTAATTTTTTAGATTTTTTATTTTTTTGAGATGGAATCTTGCTCTGTAACCTAGGCTGGAGTGCAGCGATGCGATCTCAGCTCACTGCAACCTCCGCCTCCCGGGTTCAAGTGATTCTCCTGCCTCAGCCTCCCGAGTAGCTGGGATCACAGGCATATGCCACCATGCCCAGCTAATTTTTTTTTTTGTATTTTTAGTAGAGACAAGTTTTCACCATGTTGGCCAGGCTGGTCTTAAACTCACCTGACCTCAGGTGATCTTCCCACCTCGGCCTCCCAGAGTGCTGGGATTACAGGCATGAGCCACTATGCCTGGCTGAGACCCTGTCTTTAAAAAAAAGTTTTGAGTGGCCGGGCGCGGTGGCTCACGCCTGTAATCCCAACACTTTGGGAGGCCAAGGTGGGCAGATCACGAGGTCAGGAGATCGAGACCATCCTGGCTAACACGGTGAAACCCCGTCTCTACTAAAAATACAAAAAATTAGCTGGGCGTGGTGGTGGGCGCCTGTAGTCCCAGCTACTTGGGAGGCTGAGGCAGGAGAATGGCTTGAACCCGGGAGGCGGAGCTTGCAGTGAGCTGAGACTGCGCCACTGCACTCCACCTGGGCAACAGAGCGAGACTCCGTCTCAAAAAAAAAAAAAAAGAAAGTTTTGAGTGTAGCAGAGTCCAGCCAGGGGCAGAGGCCACCTGAGACAGGGTTCTGTGAGAGAAGTTTGGCTTCCAGAGGAGGGGCTGGGCTGAAATGACTCTCCCTCTCGTCTCCCCAGTTATGAAGGGGGCCAAATCGGGAAAAGGTGCAGTGACCAGCGAGGCCCTCAAGGACCCCGACGTATGCACAGATCCTGTCCAGCTCACCACATATGCCATGGGCGTCAACATCTACAAGGAAGGGCAGGATGTACCCCTGAAACCGGATGCTGAGTACCCTGAATGGTGAGTAGGCCAGGCTGTGTCATCCTGCAATGACTATTCCTTCCTCCGCCCCAGGAGGACCCCTTCCCGGAGAGGCGGATCGCCACTCCAGCCGGAGCCTAATAGTCACACCTACCCATCCTGGCTTTAGGGCAGGGGGCTTCAGGGCTCTGCCCATCTGTAATGGGGTGATGGGACCCATCCCTCCCTCAGAGGGCTGTGAGGAATTCATGAGATTAGAACACATGTCAAGTACCTAAAACAATGCTTTATCTTAAGCAAATACTTAAAAAAAATTTTTTTTCAGGCTGGGCGCCGTGGCTCACACCTGTAATCCCAGCACTTTGGGAGGCAAGGCGTTTGGATCACCTGAGGTCAGGAGTTCGAGACCAGCCTGGCCAACATGGTGAAACCTCGTCTCTACTAAAAATATAAAAATTAGCCGGGTGTGGTGGCACATTCCTGTAGTCCCAGTTACTTGGGAGGCTGAGGCACGAGAATTGCTTGAGCCTGGGAGGCAGAGGTTGCAGTGAGCTGAGATCACGCCATTGTACTCCAGCCTGGGCAACAGAGTGAGACTTGGTCTCAAAAAAAAAAAAAAAAATTTTTTTTTTTCTTCTATATGGAGTCTTGCTCTGTCACCCAGTGTGGAATGCAGTCATGTGGTCTTGGCTCACTGCAACCTCTGCCTCCTGGGTTCAAGCGGTTCTCCTGCCTCAGCCTTCAGAGTAGCTGGGATTACAGGCATGCGCCACCATGCCTGGCTAATTTTTTTTTTTTTTTGAGATGGAGTTTTGCTCTTGTCGCCCAGGCTGGAGTGCAGTGGTGTGATCTTGGCTCACTGCAACCTCCACCTCCCAGTGTTCCAATGATTCTCCTGCCTCAGCCTCCCGAGTAGCTGGGATTACAGGTGCCCGCCGTCACACCCAGCTAATTTTTGTATTTTTAGTAGAGACAGGGTTTCACCATGTTTGCCAGGCTAGTCTCGAACTCCTGATAACCTCGTGATCCGCCTGCCCTGGCCTCCCAAAGTGCTGGGATTACAGGCGTGAGCCACCACGCCTGGCCTAATTTTGTATTTTTAGTAGAGACAGGGTTTCTCCATGTTGGCCAGGCTGGTCTTGAACTCCTGACCTCAGGTGATCCGCCCACCTCGGCCTCCCAAAGTGCTGGGAGTACAGGCGTGAGCCGCCGCACCCGTCCTGCAAATACTTATTGACCACTGACTGCATGCCAGGCCCTGCTCTAGGCTTGAGGGATACAGAAGGGCTCAAAACAGACACAAGTCCCCACCCTGGCGGAGCTAGCTGGGGAGGCAGACAGGAAGGAGGAAGTCAGGCAGCTGTGGTGGTGACACTTCCAGGAAGGGGGCAGGAGAATGAGGGACAGAGCCGGGGTGTTTGGCTGCTCTAGTTTGAGGTTTGGGGGACACAGAAGCCAAGACGGGAGTGGGTGGAAGGGGCTTTCCAGGCAGTGGGCACAGCCTGTGCAAAGGCCCCGGGGCAGGACCGCACCTGGTGTGCTGGAGGAACAGCGGGGAGGCCTGTGTGGCTGGAGCACAGTGAGGAGGGCGAGAGAGGGAGGAGGTGAGGGCAGGACCTGTGGGCTGCAGGAAGGGTTCTGCTGTGGCCCCAAGCTGATCTGAAGGCTGGGGAGGGTCAGGAAGGCTGAGCAAGTGGGGGCAGGTGGCATGATGTGGACAGTGCTAGGAGGCAGGAGAGGGCTTGGCGTGTGCCAGCCTCAGATGTGCCACTGGGATGGGGTTGGCTCCATTGCTGCATGGCCAGGGACCCACCCAGCCCAGGGTCGGGGAGGGACCACCCTGAGATCATGCAGCCAACCAGTGGGCCTGGCACCCAGCCCCGTCGCCGCCTCTGCCCGAGGTGCCCGGGACACCAGGGAGCCCAGGGGTCACCGTGTAGCTCTGATTCCTGCCCGCACCCCCGTCAGGCTGTTCGAGATGAACTTGGGTCCCCCAAAGACCCTGGAGGAGCTGGACCCCGAGAGCCGGGAGTACTGGCGGCGGCTGCGGAAACAGAACATCTGGCGCCACAACCGGCTGAGCAAGAACAAGAGGTTGTAGCATGGAGGGCCCGGCATCGCTGACCCCCACGCCGAGGGCTTGCCGTTTTCCCGGAGGACGTGGACTTTTGTGAGACAAGAGGCGGCTCCCCAGCCTGGGTTTCCATGTGACCCCACAGTGGGGCTGGACCAGGGCCCTGGAGGCCAATAAAGAGCTTTCTGGGTAGACCCTATTTCCCCTTGGTATTGTCTGGTGTCGGCCTGGCGGGAAGTGGGTCCCTCAGACCCCAGGGATCCCAGCCTCCACCCCAGCCAGTGGTGGGCCGTCTGCAGGTCCCCTGTGCCTCCGGCCCTTGGTGGGCTTCTCTCCCCAACTCCTGGAATTCCTGACACTGCTCACGAGGCCCCGGCCCCAAATCTCAAGTTGCTGGGTGAGGGGGTTGTCCTAGCTAAGCCACTCTTGGTTGCAAGGGACTCAAACCTAACTATCTCAAGCCATCAGAGTCAGAAAAGAGGCTTTATGAGCTTCAAGAAAGGAGATGTCCGGAGCGGGTAGTGGTGTGGCTTTAGGTGTGGCTGGATCCAGGTGCTTCGGTATTCAGACCCAAGGCTCTCTCCATCTCAGGGTCCTTGGATCCCCCAGGGGCTGGCACTCATGGGCAGGGTAGCCCGAGGGCTCCTGGCCGACGTCCCCACCAGCGCAGCAAGTAGAATCAGAGGGAAGGGACTGCCCCTTCCTTCCTGCTGCAGTCACAGCGTGGTCCTCACTGGCCTATCCCTGGAGCCCAGGGGCTTGGGCCTTCCTTCCCCACCCCCAAGTCCTCTGTCCACTCCACTGGAGCCCAGGTCTCAACCTCCGCCCCCAGTCCACCCTCTGGAGTCGGCTTTCGGCACCCTGACCCTGACCCAGGGTCTGACCCTAGGCCTGAGTGAGGACTGGCCTCCCTGCAGTCCCAACAACTCCTGCCCTGCCTGGCTGTGATGGGGCGGGATCACGAGGGCTGGAGTCCACCAGATTAGAGGAGGCTGAGGGTGACACGTAGTTAGGGAGTGATGGGGCCTCTTGCTGGGGGTAGATCACCTCATGGACCCCACGTCCTGCAGAACCCCCAAGGGTCATGCCCTCGGCCCCACCCTTGCCACAGCAGCCCCACCCATGCCTAGGTGGGTGCCCTGGGGGATTTGGACTGGGCTCACCCACCCTCCGGCTTCCTCTGTCCACAAGCTGGATGGGCGGGGCGGGGCCCGTCTCAGGGAAACCCTAACCTTCATCCTCTTAGGGGACTCTGGAGTGGAGGGGATTACTGCGCACCTGCTGTCCCCGGCGGCCTCCCTGGGCAGGCGGGGGTGTGAGCGCGCCTTCTCTCGCGCTCACTGCAGGTGGTGCCAGCCGTTCCCACCCTCCTGTTGTTCCCCAAGGTTCTGAGGGTAAAAATCAAAGTTATAACAGCCACTGGCCCTGCCTGGCCTCCCCATCACCTCCCTCCTCCCCCTCCTCACTCTGCTCCAGCCGCATGGGCCTCCTCGCTATTCTTTCAATGCACGAGGCGTGGTCCTGCCCCAGGGCCTTTGCACAGCCTGTGCCTCTGCCCAGCTCCCTCCTTCCCTAGACCTTCTCCCTCCCGCCCCCGGTCTCTACCTTCACGCCAGCCTCCCCTCCTCCAGAACTCCCTATTAAAATTGCAGCCCCTGCCACACTCCACATCTGACTTTCCTGGTTTTTTTTTCTCCCTATCACTTATCACTGTCTGAAGTCTTTTGTTTTAGATTTGTTTTTTATTTGTATTGAGTCAGGGTCTGGCTCTGTTGCACAGGCTGGAGTGCAGCAGTGTGATCACAGCTCCCTGCAGCCTCGACCTTCTGGGCTCAAGTGATCCTCTTGCCTCAGCTTCTTGGGTAGCTGGGATGACAGGTGTGCACCAGTACACCCGGCACATTTTAAAAACGTTTGTGGAGATGGGGTCTTGCTGTGTCACCCAGGCTGGTCTCAAGCAATCCTCCCACCTCAGCCTCCCAAAGCACTGGGATTACAGGCATGAGCCACCGCACCTGGCCTGGTTTAGCTTTAAAAAAAAAAATCTTTCTTGTGCTTACTGCCGTGTCCCCACTGCCTGGTGTGCGGTGACATTGGGTGATGGCGGGGCGTTGGACCACAGGACTGGTGTGTGAGGTGCCGCCTAGAGATGGGGTGACCTGGTGATCTGGGAGTGATCTGGGGAGCCCAGGCTGGAGACGGGGAGGGTAGCTACTGCAGCTCCTGCCCTGGTGCCGCACTTCTGTCCCGGGAGGTGGCGCTGGCCCAGACTGTCCCATCCCATGCCTCAGGGCCCCCTCCTGCTGCACTGGGCCAGCCGTGCTTGCCAGTCCCAGCGGGTTCTCGGCCCCGCGACAGCCTCCTTGCTCAGAGCTCTTGGGCGATGCGGCTGGGTTGGACAGAGCAGATGCTGGCCATGCCTCCACTGGGGACATGCACAGGGCCTGGGGTCTGTGGGGACGTGAGGAACGGTCTGACGATGACGACACACCCAGCATCAGCCCGCCTCCACCTGGAGGCCCACCAGCACCTGGCCCGGGACCCACCCTCTCTCCAGAACCTGTCGCTGTGCCCCGGACGGTAGGACCGGTGATGGGTCTGAAAGGCAGCTCCATCCACTCCTGGCCGTGCGACTTTGGGGACCTGGCTTCCTGCCTAAGCCCCGGTTTCCCTCTCTATAGAATGGGCTGACAGCTGTGCCCGAGGTCCAGGGCACAACGGAGAGGGGAGTGCTCACATGGCGAGCACACGGTGAGAGGAGACCAGGCTCGCGGGAGCTGCTGCTATTTGTTATTTCCAGGGGACTGGGAGCCTGGAGAGTGGGCAGCTCTGCTGATGGGGATTAGGAGAAGCAGAGAGATTTACACTCATCTTACAGAGTCAGCGGTCCCGCCACCCACAGCCTCGCAGCCCTCGAACCTCGGAGGCCCCCACGCCCAATTAACAGACAGGAGACTGAGGCCCCAGGAGGGGAGGAGGTCCCCGCACCTGGCCTGAGAATACTTGGGTCACCTCCTGCCTGACACTGGGGGCCAGTCCGCTGCCAGCAGGACGGGTGGCGATGGGGTGGGAGACGGGATGGGGGCAGGGAACCCAGCAGCCTGTCTCTCTGGTCCCGCTCCCCAGTGGTGGTGGCCTGGCCTGACCACGGTTGCTCCATGACCTCGGCCTAGGCCAAGGCGTGGTGGCTGTCACCAGGGCACGTCCCCGGTTCTCGGGTTGGGCCGAGGAGGGGGCCCGGGAGGGCGGCAGGCTCAGGCTGGCGGCCAGGCCCTGTCCAGAGCCTGTGCATGTTCCTTGGCCAGCAGCCGCAGGGACGCCTCCTCCAGGGCGAAGCCATCTGCGAAGGTGGGAGCAAAGGCATGAGGCCCGAAGGACGCTTGCAGCCCCGGGCCCGGGCCCAGGAGGCGGGGGAGGCCTGGCACGGCCGGCGGTCCGGGGCCCAACCAGGGCTCCAGGGGCAGCGACATGGCCGGGGGGCGGGCGAACGGCAGCGCTGGGGCCTCGGGGAGTCTCGGAGCTGCCACGGCACCCGAGCCTGACTCCAGCCGCTCCTGGCGGCGCCACTTGGCCCGGCGGTTCTGGAACCACACCTGGAGGGTGCGAGAGGGAAGGGGGGTTGCTGTGAGCTCAGCCGCTCCCCGCCAATCCTCGGACCCCCTCTGCACACCCCAGCCCTGGGGGTTCTGACTCCCGTCTGACCCGACTCCTACCTGCTGCTTCGCTGTTCTGCCCCAAGAAGATGAGGATCTCCCAAGCGTTCCCTAAGCCCAGGCTCCCCTCCAACTCCTCACTCCCCTCCTTGGCCTCCCTTGGCCCTTAGCAAGTAACCTGAGCTGCCTAACGTGGCATTCAAGGCCTTCAAAAGCGTTGTTACCCACACCATTCTCTGCCTCCTCCTTCACCCCTGGCTCAAGGGAAACGCCTCCAACTTAACCCCTCCATGTCTTTGCACACACTGTTCAGGATGCCTAGAAAAACTCCCCTTTTCCTTCCCAGCTGGCACACTCCTACTCAAATGTCAAAACCTCAGCTCCCACACCCCCTCCTCCAGGAAGCCTTCCTAGCTTCTCTTCTGCTGTTGCTCCGGGAGGGTCAGGATCTTGCTTTGCCTCCCTCCCCAGGTTGCAAAAGATGTGTGTGTTGGGGGGTGCCCTCACCTGCACGCGCACCTCAGGTAGGTGCACCTTGGCTGCCAGCTCCTCACGGCTGTACACATCCGGGTAGTGAGAGGCCTCGAACGCCCGCTCCAGCTGGTGCAGCTGGTAGGTGGTGAAGGTGGTGCGGTTCCTCCGGTGCTTCTTCTTGGGGGCCTCCTCGCCCGGCCCCAGACCCCCACCCTCGGTTGCCGGCCCCTCGCCCGGGCTCAGGAACATGGCTCCCACCTGGTGGGACGGCAGCGGGACAGATGGTGGGGAGACGGCTGGGGGGGCTACCGGCAGGGACAGGGCAGGGGAGCCCCAGGCTTGCCTCCCGGCTCCGGGGAAATCGGTTCCCTCCACTGGGGCCGGCATGCGCTCTGCATCCCCAGGCTGTCCTCCTCGGGCTTGGGGGGGTCTCCTGCTGTGCCTCTGTCTGCTCTTCCTTCTCTCTGTGTGTGTCACCGTCCCTGTTTTCTCTTCCCCTCTCTGTGACTGTCACGGCCTGTGTGTGTGTGTGTCGGCGGGGGGGGGTCAAGGATGCCCCCCCGTCAAGGAAGGCAGGATCCCTTCTCACGCCCTAAGCCCTCCACCCTGAGGGGATCTCTGCCCCCACCACCTCCTACCCAGGCCCACCAGTGCCCACCCCGCACTCACCGCCCACGGCAGCCCCTCCGTCGATTTCCACGGGACACCTGCCCCAGCGGGCCTGGCGCTGCGTCTGCTGTGGCCTGGCCCTGCCGGAGCCGAGCCAGGTCGGGGCTGCGTGGGGGAGGATTAGCTCAAGGTGATTAATTGAGGCGGCCCCTCCCACTTGGTCCTGGGCTGTTCTGAGCCAGGAGGGAGGGCAGGGTGGATGGAGGGCTGGGGCTCTAAGTGGGTGGCTGGGGGGATAGTCTTACAGGCTCCACGGCCCCTTGCCATAAGACGGCAAGGGCCTCTCCCTCTCTGGGCCTCAGTTTCCCTGGCTGTAAAACTGCCACACTAGGACCTACCCTGGGGGGATTTCAGCTTCTCAGAGCATCGCACAGAAATTGGCATACAGGGGGCACTTAATGAATGCTCACTGTTAATATTTTTATCTGCTGGGGGCAGAAAAAGGTGTCTTAGAACTCACAGATGTCAGAGGCAGTTGGGGAAGCTGAGGTCCAGAGGTGAAGGCACTGCAGTTGGTTCCTCTGGACACAAGGGGTAGGGACCCTTTTAGCTGGGTCTGGAGGTATGAATAGACGTTCACCATTCACAGCCGGGCGCAGTGGCTCACGCCTGTAACCCCAGCACTTTGGGAGGCTGAGGCGGGCGGATCACCTGAGATCATGAGTTTGAGACCAGCCTGGCCAACATGGCAAAACCCTGTCTACTAAAAATACAAAAATTAGCCAGGCGTGGTGGTGGGTGCCTATAACTCCCAGCTACTCGGGAGGCTGAGGCAGGAGAATTGCTTGAACCTGGTGGGGTGGAGCTTGCAGTGAGCCAAGGTCATGCCATTGCACTCCAGCCTGGGCAACAGAGTGAAACTCCATCTCAAAAAAAAAAAAAAACAAAAAACCAAAACCACCACCAACAAAAAAGAAAAACAGAAGTTCACCATTCAATAAACATTTATTGAGCACTTACTGTGTACCAGGTACTGCTCACAGCAGTAGTGACCAAAACAGACAGAAGTCACGGGGCTGACTTTCTAGCAGGGCAGACAGACAACCAACCACTGTGTTAAAATGCAGAGCGTGGCCAGTGGCCACGAGCCTAGGGAGAAAACCCACGGAGGGGGGCCTGTGGGGGCAAGGTGGGTTGATATTTCATTTAGTTTTTGGGTTTTTTTTTGAGACAGAGTCCTACTCTGTCGCCCAGGCTGGAGTGCAGTGGCACGATCTCAGCTCACTGCAACCTCCGCCTCCTGGGTTCAAGCAATTCTCCTGCCTCAGCCTCCTGAGTAGCTGGGATTACAGACACCTGCAACCACGCCTGGCTAATTTTTGTATTTTTTAGTAGAGACACGGTTTCGCCACCTTGGCCAGGCTGGTCTTGAACTCCTGACCTCGTGATCCGCCTGCCTTGGCCTCCCAAAGTGCTGGCATTACAGGTGTGAGCTACCCCGCCTGGCCTATTTTTGTTTTTTTGAGAAGGAGTCTCACTCTGTTGCCTAGGCTGGAGTGCAGTGGTGAGATCTCGGCTCACTGCAACCTCCGCCTCCCAGGTTCAAGTGATTCTCCTGCCTCAGCCTCCTGAGTAGCTCGGATTACAGGTGCGCCACCACGCCCAGCTAATTTTTGTATTTTTACTGAAGATGGGGTTTCACCGTGTTGGCCAGGTTGCTCTTGAACTCCTGACCTCAGGTGATCCACTTGCCTCGGCCTCCCATAGTGCAGGAGTTCCAGGCGTGAGCCACCGCGACCAGTCGGGTTGCTATGTTAAGGAAGGTGGTGAGAATGGAAGATGGAGTGCAAAGCCGCAAGTTCTGGACACATGGGGTGTGAAGGATGGAGTGCTGGGGAACCATGGGAGGTTGTGGAGCAGGGACACAGTGGCATTTTATACAAACATCAATGATGAGCAGCTGAGAAACCAGGGGCAGGTGCCAGGCAGGTGAGGCTACAGGGTCTAGTCAGGCCAAGGGCCGGGGGAGATGGGGAGGACAGAAGGGTGGGGGTAGCAATTCCAGAGGAAGGAAGCTGGAGAGGGGCAGGGTGTGGGTATGGAGGTGCAAGGGCGTTGCCCAGGCCCATTCTGGGCTGTGAGGTGGGACTGTTTCAGAGGCAGAGGCCTGAGAGGTGGAGCGGGCTCCAGGGGAAGCCCCAGAGACGAGTGCCCCCCAAGTCCAAGGAGCCAGGGGGCTCAGGCAGGGGAGTGCCCTAGAGATGGAAAGGAGAGGGTACTCCAGGGACAATGGGAAGGGGAGAGGAGGGGAGGCCTGATTTAGTGACATGGAGGACAGGGGGGAGGTGACTGCGGTGGAGTGAGGGGGAGACCCAGGCCTGTGGATGGGCGAAGGGGCCAGTGCAAAGTGAACTAGAGATCCTTCCAGAATGTTGGCATGTTGGCTTTGAAGGGAGAGACACACAAAGAAAGAGAGACAGAGACAGAGACAGAGAAAGGCGTGACACACACACACACGAGAAACCAGGTGCCCAGGCCCCAGAGTAGTCCCGGTCGGATCCCAGGGGGCAGGTGGCTTCGGCCCAGGATCTGGGTGTAGCTCCCCCATCCCAGGGGCCAAGTTCAGGTGGGCAAGGTGCAGAGGCAAACAGGGGTTCAATCCCTGGCCAGAGGGGTGGCTGCAGCTTCTGAGGCTCCAGGTGCCTCCCCTGGCCTCAGCTGCCCGTCGGCAAGGTGGGCCCACCAGGCTCTGTGTCCAAGGTGGAGCCAGGCCTGTCACCCATCGAGGGACAGGGCTGTGGGCTGGGGAGAGAGAACTCCCCTGATCGCTTCATCACTTTAGAGCACTAACGAGCTGCTTCAGGTCTCAGGCCGCAATTAGCTAATTGGCCAGTGTGGGTTAAGAGGCCCCAGGAAGGATCGTGGCGTGAGGCGCGGCGGGGGGGGCTTTGGGCGACTTAGCCGGACAGGCAGAAGCTGCAGACGCTGTGTCAGCTTAGAGGGCCGGATTAGGAGCGCGGGCTGGGTGGGCAGGGCCAAGGGGACAGGTGGCCCCCTGCAGTGGATTAGGCAGAGGCCAGGCCACTCCGGGCCTTTCCAGCCTCCACCTTTCAATTTTCCCCAAGAAAGAACCACTAACCTGCCTCAGGTGCTGGTGGGGAGAGTGAGGCCCGAGGGTGTGCAGGGCTTTAAGGGGGCCACACAGGAGGTCGGCGTGACCTTGGGACATTTCCGTGTCTCAGCTCAGGCTCTGCTTGGCCAGGATGGGAGGGTGGGCTGGGAGTCCTGGGGTGGGGGCCATACCCAGCCTGGCCAGAGACCCCTCTCCGTGTATCCTAAAGGCTGGCTCCATGGGACTCAGCTGAGAGCAGGTGTTGGACCGTCCCAGCAATAATGGAGCACCAGCTGTATGCCTGCCTTCTAGGTGCCCCTCCCTTCACTGCTCACACCCCTCTGGGAAAAGGTGTCCATTGGCTGGAGGAGGCTGCTGAGGCCCAGAGAGGGTAAAAGCTTTCCCAGTAGGGACCACCTCTCCCCTGTTTGCCCAGGACTTTCCCTGTTTTAGCACTGAAGTCTGACACCCTGGAACAGCCCTCAGCCCTGAGCAAACCAGGGTGGTCACACCAGGGTGGTCACCCCAGGGCCAGCGTCACACAGCTGGGGGGCGAGTCAGGATTGAACCTGTGTGTGCAAAGTGGATCCCCGGCCCGCTGTGCCAGAGAGGACAGGAGGGCCAGTGTTTCCCTGCCATTCTGCCCCCCAGAGTCAATGGGTCAGCCTGCTAGGTCCCTGGACATTTGGACTGCCTCTGTCCAAGGACAGTGTCACCTGAGAGCTGTCACTGCAGAAGCTGTGGTGATACTCAGTGCCCAGAGGGCCAGCACACAGTCAGCCTGAGACAGAGGCCGGGACGCCCATGCTGCACAACTCCCGGGCCAGCTTCTCAGCCAACTTGCAGAAGGGTGCCCAGCGGGCGGGCTCTACCTCCCAGCAGCTGCTCATGAGGACATGCATGGGGCCTGGACAGCCCTTGGGGGCTCCATGTGGTACCCCTTCTCCACAGCCTCTGACACCTCCTTCAGCCTGGCTTTGTTAAGAGGAGAGGTGGATGGATGTGTGAATGGATGGTGGGTGGGTAGGTGGATGGAGGGATGGATGAATGGGTGGGTAGATCAATGGAACAGTGGATGGAGGGATGGATGAATAGAGTGGATGGGTGGGTGAATGAATGGATGGGTACATGGATGGACATGGGAATGGGTGGGGGATGGATGGGTGGGGAGATGGATAGATAAGTGGATGGGTTGGTGGATGGATGCATGCATGGATGGGTGGGGACAGGGGGATGGGTGGGTGGGTGGATGGATGGAAGGATGGATGGATGGATGGATGAAAGGATGGATGGGTATGTGGATGGATGATGGGTAGATAAATGGGTGGACAGATGTGTGAGTGGATGGTAGGTGGATGGATGGATGGGTGGACAGGTGGATGGATGCATGGGTGGACGGATGGATGGATGGATGGATGATTGGGTGGATGGATGGATGAGTGGATGGTGGGTAGGTGGATGAGTGGATGGTGGGTGGATGGATAGGTGGGTGGGTGGATGGATGAGTGGATAGTGGGTAGATGGATGGATGAGTGGATAGTGAGTGGGTGGATGGATGAGTGGATAGTGGGTGGGTGGATGGATGGATGGATGGGTGGATGGATGAGTGGATGGTGATTGGGTGGGTGAATGGATGGGTGGATGGTGATTGGGTGGGTGGATAGATGGGTGGATGGTGATTGGGTGGGTGGATAGATGGGTGGATGGTGATTGGGTGGGTGGATGGATGGATGGGTGGATGGTGATTGGGTGGGTGTGGATGGATGGGTGGATGATGGGTGAGATTTTCATGATTGGTTCAGGCCATCATGAAAGAAGCAGAAGTGAGAGACATGCAGAAGTGGGAGAGGCAGGAGCAGGAAGAGAGGGGAACGAAGCCTGGGCTGTGGACCCAGACAGGCCCAGATTCAAATCCAGGCTCTACCATATTTTCTTGGGGCAACCCAGTGTGAGCAACCTGCCCTCTCTGGGCTTCAGCGTCCACGTCTGTGAAATGGGTGTAATCCTGGCACTCACCTCCAGTGGCATTTTGGGGGTCTGACCTGAAAGCACTCAACATGGGGCCTGGCCATGAATGGGGGAGGCAGGAGGAGGAGGGTGGCCTCCCCAGGCCATCCCTAAATGGGGCTGCTGCCACACATGCAGACCCTCCTGGGGCTCCCATCATGGGGGCTCCCATAGGGATATGGATGGCTGGGGCCTGAGAAAGGGCTGTGGTGGGAGGGGAGACTTGGACCTTGAGGGCTGTTGGCAGCCTCCCAAGATCCTTTAAGCCTGGGACCCCATGGGTTGGGAAAGGGTGCCCACCACTGAATACCACATGCCCTGGGGGACTGCAGTGGGGAACCCGTGGGTAATGGCAAGTGGGTCCCCTGCCCAGAATCCCCCAGGGAACGGTGTCCCCACAGTGGCCAGCAGGCAGGTGCCAGCTGGGCAGATCCTCCATGGGCCAAGATGGGGAGGCCCCCGTGTGCAGGCATGTGGCCACAGGAGGCAGGGGCTTGGGGCCGGTGGGTGCCCAAGACTCGGCCAAGGATCAGTGGGGTCCCAATTAATTGATCCCATCATGTGGGCTGCAGTGGGTTCCACAGAGTAGGAAGGTGACCACTGGGGCTGGGGCACACAGGGCATCTAGGGGGGGTGGACCTCTAAGGGAGGACCCAGGATGCCTGGCGCCTGGGGGTGTCCGAGAGCAGATCACCAAAGGTGGCCCCCGGGGAAGAGGGCACGGGGACACAGAGACACACAGGCGCCTAGAGTCCTTAGAATCCGTCTTTATCGGGCGATCATCCTTCGCAGGTCTGGGGTGTCCACGGGCCGCCCAGAGCCCCCTACGTGGGCCAGCCCCTGCTGTGGGCACCAGGAGGATGACTTGCCCGCCTGGACCCTCCTTGGGCCTGGTCAGTGCCCCCACGCCGCACTCTCCACTCTCTCGGTCCTCTGGGGCCAAGGGCCCCACCGGGTGGGGTCAGGGCTCCTGGCTTCGGGGCGAGGTGGAGCCGTCGGCGTCCTGCCCTGAGACGGAGGCTGGGGCACCTGCACTGCGTAGCTCCCGGGCCAGCTTCTCGGCCAGTTTGCGGAAGGGTGGCCGGCGGGCGGGCTCTGCCTCCCAGCAGCTGCTCATGAGGACGTGCACGGGGCCTGGACAGCCCTCGGGGGGTTCCATGCGGTACCCCTTCTCCACGGCCTCCGACACCTCTTTCAGTGACTGCGGACAGCAGGCGTGGGCAGGGGTCAGGGCCACAGCCTCTGGACCTGCCCGGAACCCAGTGCCTCCCTGGGACCCCCGCTCACCATTTTAGGGTACGGAGCCCGTCCATATGAGAAGACCTCCCAGAGCAGCACCCCAAAACTCCAGACATCCGACTTGCTGGTGAACTTCTGTGGGGCCCGAGACGGGGGTGAGGAGGGACCCCTCAGGTTTTCTGCTCCAGCCCCTGCTTCCTCCAGGAAGCCCTCCTGGGTTGACCCTCACTCTCTGGTCTTCTCCTAATTGAGTCCTCCCCCAACGCCGCCCGCAGTTGAGTCTAGCTCAGCCTTAGTGCATGAAGGAAGCCTGGTTATTCTTCCCTTCAGTCCTGAGCCCACGCCTTTTTCAGAGCTGGAGAAACTGAGGCCCAGAGGGGGGCTACGAGGAACAATTATGGGCCAAGAGCTTCCTGGGGAGGCATAGCCATTGCCCTTGGAGTTTCAGAGAGGCCAAGGGACATACCCAGGGTCATACAGCAGAGCTGGGGGGACCCCAAAGCCCCAGGGGTATGTGAAGGCAGGGCTCACCCCGTGTTTGAGAGCCTCGGGCGCCGTCCACTTGACGGGCAGCCGGCTTGAGTCTAGCCCCTTCCGCTCGGCTTTGGCCAGGCCAAAGTCGCTGACCTTGGCCACCAGGTCCTCTGAGACCAGGATGTTGCGGGCGGCCAGGTCGCGGTGCACAAGCTTCTTGCTCTCCAGGTACTCCATGCCCTCGGCCACGTGCCTGGGGGTAGTAGGGGGCAGTGGGGGCTCAGGTGCCAGGATGCCCACATTCAGGGCTCAGAAAGCTCGGGGTGCCTGGGGCCACAAGCTCACAAAGCCTCCCTGCCCCGTGCCTCAGTTTCCCCTTGATGGATCTTGGAATCTGCGCCCCGACGACCCCAGTGCCGCAGCACCCTGAGAGTCCCACTTACAGAGAAAACTGCAGGAGCTGAGCGGTGTTCACGAGGGCTCGACCCCGGGTCCGCAGAAAGTTCACCAGGTTGCCCTGTTGGGGGTGGGAGATGGCCGCGGGATGTTGGGGCTGCTCCGCTGCGTGGGCCCCCTCCCCGCCTGGGCCCCGCCCCACCTTGCTCACGTGCTCCATGACAATGTACAGCCCCTGGTGCAGGATCACGCCCAGGAGACGCACCAGGTTCTCGTGTTGCATCTTCCTGGGGGCGGTGGGGTGGGCGTGAGGGCAGGGCTGGGACCCCCCCCGTCCCACGGTCCCCAGCCCCACCCTGGGACTCACGTCATGACGGCCGTCTCGTCCAGGAAGGCCTGGGCTGTCACATCACACTTGATATTCTTCACGGCCACCTTTTGCCCCAGGTACTCACCCTGCAGGACAGCTGGGGGGTGGGGGTGGGGAACGGGGTGAGATCAGGACCCCCAACAAACAGGGACAGAGAGACAGACGGACAGGCCCGCTCACACCGGTGCCCATGTAACATTCACACAGCTGCGGGTCCCCAGACCTTGAAACACAGACCCCATGCTCCTCACCCCTGCCGCCCTTGCAAGCTCCAGACCCAAGATCAGAGAACCATCTGGCTCTGGCGCGGTGGCTCACGCCTGTAATCCCAGCACTTTGGGAGGCTGAGGCAGGCGGATCACCTGAGGTCAGGAGTTCAAGACCAGCCCGACTAACATGGAGAAACCCTGTCTCTAATGAAAATACAAAACTAGCCAGGTGTGGTGGCACATGCCTGTAATCCCAGCTACTCGGGAGGCTGAGGCAGGAGAATCACTTGAACCCGGGAGGCAGAGGTTGCAGTGAGCCAAGATTGTGCCATTGCACTCCAGCCTGGGTGACAGAGCGAAACTCCATCTCAAAAAAAACCCCACAAAAAACAAAAACAAAGAGAGAACCATCTAAGCCAGGGGTCTGTGAACCCCCACCCCCTCGGGGCCAAATCTACCTATCACCTCTTTTTGCAAGACCCTTCAGCTCAAAATGTTTTTTGCATTTTTATTTTTAATTAATTAATTATTTATTTGAGACGGAGTCTTGCTCTGTCGCCCAGGCTGGAGTGCAGTGGCGCCATCTCTGCTCACTGCAAGCTCTGCCTCCCAGGTCACGCCATTCTCCTGCCTCAGCCTCCCAAGTAGCTGGGACTACAGGCGCCCACCACCACGCCCGGCTAATTTTTTTTTTTTTTTTTTTTAGTAGAGATGGGGTTTCACCATGTTAGCCAGGATGGTCTCGATCTCATGACCTCGTGATCCGCCCGCCTCAGCCTCCCAAAGTGCTGGGATTACAGGCATGAGCCACTGTGCCCGGCCAACATTTTTATTTTTAAAATATTGATACAGGGTCTCACTCTCTCACCCAGGTAGAGTGCAGTGGCGTGATCACAGCTCACTGCAGGTTCAAATTCCTGGGTTCAAGGGATCCTCCCATCCCGGCCTCCTGAGTAGCTGGGACTACAGGCATGCTCCACTGTGCCTGGCTTTTTTTTTGTACAGATGGGGGTCTCGCTACGTTGTCCAGGCTGCACCTGAACTCCTGAGCTCAAGGGATCCTCCTGCCCCGACCTACCAAAGTGCTGGGATTCCAGGCATGAGCCACCGTGCCTGGCTGGTTTTTGCATGTTTAAATGGTTGTAAAAACAAATCAAAAGATGAGTGCTGTTTCAGGACATGTGAGCATTACACAAAATTCAAATTTCTGGGTCATAGTTTTCATGGCCACGCCCATATGTTTACATATTGTCTGTGGTCGCTTTCACTCCACAAGGGCAGGATTCAGTAGTGGTGACAGCAGCTACCTGGCCCACAAAGCAGGAAATATTTACAATCTGGCCTTTTACAGAGAGTCTGCCGACCCCTGATCTAAACCCCAGAGCCTTCCAGAATAATAATTTCAGGGAATGGTGTTTCAAACATTCCAAACAGTGGGACTGACCATACAAGACCCTGGCAGTGTGAAGAAGTCACTAACGTTGACTGAGCGCCTGCTTGAGTTCACTTACTCCTCATGACAGCTGCCATTACCCCCTGTTCCAGAGGGGGAAACTGAGGCTCAGAGGATTTGCACGTCTTCAGCTGCACAACTAGTAGGTGGTTAAGTATGGGTTTGAATTCAGCTCTGTGACTCCAAAGCCTCAATACGCACCTCCCATCTTCCTTCAGCACCCCCAACCCAGTCCGCCACTCACCTCCAAACTCTCCCTCTCCGATCTGTGCTCCCAATGTCAAATGCTGCAGGTTCAGTAACCAGCCCGCTGTGGAGTGAAGACCCAGTCAGAGGGGTAATGGGCCCCCTAAATCCTCCCATTGGGGGTTCTACTTGGTGAGAGACTAGGTGATGTCTCTCACAGTGCTGCAGCTGTGGATACACATTTGAGTGGCTGCTGGGCCTGGCAATGCCCCTAGGACATATCAGAGACACCCCACTCCTGGTACCAATTATTGTTGTTGCAAGCAACAGAACTATCTCAGGTTGACCTGAACAAAAAGGGGCTTACAGGAGGGATAGTGGTGTGAATAGTCAAAGCTGGGGGCCTGCCTGGCTGAGACCCTCAGACCCCACACTTGCCCTCCAGGAACTCCCAGTCAGGCCCAAGGGGTAGTGCCAGGAAACACTTCAGTTCTCAGAGATAAGAGCTGCCCTTTTCTCTTTGGCTCTCTTGTCCCTCCAAATACCCTCTGGGCTCTTCCCTACACAGTTCTTTACCTCTGACCACCCCAGAAACACACACAGAGCAAAAAAACACAACATGGAGACCCATAAAGGTTCCAGAATATTCCAGGGCTCTAGCCTCCCTGACCCTTCTCCCAAGCACTCCTGTGTTGTCCCCTCCACTGCCCTCTGGTCGGTTCTGCAGACGTTCTCTTCTCCCTCCAGAAAGTGCCCCCTCCAAATGCCACGGTCTTAAGAGATCATTGGCCAGGGTGATGCTAGTCTCCACCTGGATGCCATCCCTGATGGGTACAGACTTCCCCAGCAGAGAGATACTTTCAAGGAGACAGACATGGGGTCAGAGGAGGCATTTGCTTTTGACCTTAAATATTGAGGATTTCACTACTTAGGGGCTGGAAAAGCATTTCAGGTGAAGGGAACAGAATATACAATGGCTCAGAGGCATGAAGAAAACGATGATCACAGTTGACCTGGGAGGGGGTGGATGTGTGGAGGAAGGGCTTTGCAGATGAGGCTGGAAAGGTGGCTCAGGCCATGCAGGCAGGTTCTGGAAGGTGGTGGAGCTGCTGGGCCTCTCTCCCTGGAGGCATGGTTTCATGATAGAAAGATAACCTTGAGGCTGCACTCAAGGCCTGGGCTGGAAGGGGGACTCGCCCTCTGGGAAGGAGGCGGTCTGATGGGAGGGCCTGAGGCTGGGCTGTGGGGAGGGGAGGGGAGAAGATTCACCAGGTCTTGGGAACCTGGCCAAGGAGGGAATGCTGGAGGATGGGGTGGGTGGAGGTTCGGGGCCAGGTTTCTGGCTCAGATGGTGGATGATGGTGACAGATGAGTGGCGAAGCTGGGGACCTATTGAATAAAGGACTGATCTGTGTCTGTGGGCACCCCCGAGGCAGCCCAGGTCTTCTATCCCATAGCTGGGCATGGAGACAGGCTTGGGTGATCTGGCCTCAGAGGTGCGGGGCCCCAGGGCCCTTCCTCCCGGACTGGGCTAACGTGGGTAGGGAAGGGGGTCTGCCCTCCTGGGCGTCCCCTACCCCTGGCCAGCTCCTCCTCGGCCGACTTGGTCCCGTGTTTCCGCTTTGGTCTCACCAGCTTGGTGCAGATAGCGCCCTTGTCCTTGCTGTAATGCTGCAGGATGGTGGGACAGCCATGAGCCCAGCCCCAGGGAGGGGAACCCCAGCATCCTGTTCCGTTCCCGGGTGGCCTCTGGGTGGGGTGGGTGGGACCGGGGAGGAGGAGAAAGGCTGGTTTCCATAGGAACGGGAAAGGAGGCAAGCCAAAAGGAGGGGGAGTCCTCTGGATTGGTATCAACTTGGGGGGTCCTGGGGGGTCCCCAGAGGAGTCACTCTAGTCCCTGGAGGTAGAACCAGGCTGACTCAGGCCACCTGTAGATTGGGCAGTCCATAGGGATCAGCCCCCCTATTTCTGCATTAAGGGGAATCCTACTGTGGGGGTCCTCCTGTCTGCCCATCTGAGATGGGATGGGGGCCTGGGGGTGCCTGGGGGGCCCTGGGGAATACCCCCTTCATCTCCACATTGGGGAAGCACAGAGCTCAGGGGGTCCCGGGTGATCAGCACAGGAGGTAGGGATGGTGTCTGCCCAGCTGCTGGGGAAGGGATGGAGGTCAGGTGACCCGCCCCTCTATCTCTACGTAGGGGAGTCTCCGGAGTCCCTGGGCTGCCCCACTGCAGGGACGGGGTGGGGCCTCTGGGTGGCAGCACCTCCACCATGTCCATGAGGTTGCAGAAGAACACGGCCTCATCGATTGTGAGGTGGCCGTCGCGGTGCAGCACGCGGTAGTGGATGACGTCGCGGCCAAAGCTCACGCACAGGACGTAGTCGCCGGGGTGGCGCGCGGACTCCCGCACCAGGAACAGCCCATCCTCGGGAGGCTGCAGCTGCTGGACAGCCTCCTGGCCCGAGATCTTCCCGTGGAACCACCTGCGGCCACGGAAGGGGTGGGTCAGACTGGGCTGTGGAGGGGGGGTCACTTGCTGTCCCCTACCCCAGGCCCCTGTCCTGCCCACTCACGGCATGAGGCTGAGCTTGGGGTCTGCGGAGAGGGCCTCCCGCTCCCGCAGCGCCCCAGCTGCCAGCAGCCCCTCCTGTCCACTGGTGTGGTGCTTGACGCGGTACCAGCTCTTGTTCTGCCAGGGAGGAAGCACGGGGTTAGTGTGGGGGGTGTGGGGGTGGTCCTGGTGGAGCCCCCAGCCCCAAGCACCCACACCCGCCGGCCACCTCTCACCTCGCAGGCCTCCAGGATGGTGACCACGTCGCCCTTGCGGAAGGCCAGCTCCCCTGGCTTGGGGCGGGTGTGCTCGCATTTGGTGATACACTGGGTGCCCGGGGCCCAGCGCCTCTGCAGAGGGGGCCGGGAGAGGGGCAAAGGGAGGACATCACGGAGATGTGGGGAGCAGAGGCACGGGAGGGGAAAGAGGACAGGAGGGAGAAAGGTATAGAGATTGGAAAAGAGCGGAGAGGCAGAGAAAACAGACGCAGACATCGGGGGAAAGAAAGGGGGAGTGGGGTGCTCAGAGAGAAATCGTAGAGTCACAAAGAGAGGCGGCCTGGGACAGAAGGTCAGGAAGCCAAGATGACTGAGAAAGGCCAGGCCGAGGCCAGCAGAAGGGGGTAGGGGGCAGAGAGTACAGCCCTTCAGGAAGGGGTCTCAGGGTGTGGACGGAGTTGAAGAAGGACCCGGGGAGCAGAGGAAGCAGGCTAGACACACTCACCGTTGGCATCCTGGCTGAGACGGGAGGGGGGTGCCAGGCTCGGAGGAAGCGGGGGCTCACCTGGGGAGGGGACAGAGTCCAGGTGGGAGCTGGGCTGGGACCCACGGTCCAGTTCCTACCACTTCCAGCCCAGGTCAGGTGGGGGCGATGGCTGGGCAGGCAGAGAGAGCCTCCCCAGAGGCATCCTGGATGGGACCCAGAACTGGCTCCCCAAGCCCCTGTGGGGAAGTGATCTTTACCCGGGGAAGTTCCTCAGCAGAATCACAGCCGTGAAATGCCCGCCAGGAAACCAGAGAGCCTCGCCCCGCCATCGCCCCCAGAGGGAAACTGAGGCAGGTGAGAGGCACACTGAGCAAGTGGTCACAGTCGGGGACGCTGGGAATGGCCTGCCACAGGCCAGTCGGCTGGCACAGGAGGTAGGGAGCTGGGTGCCACTGGACCGAGCCTGGTTCTTCCTGTTTTCTGGTTGGTAGGCAGGGGCAGGGTGGGGAAATAGGGATGAGTCAAGGTCATTCCCAAGAATCTCTGACCGTGGGGTGGAGCTGGGGGCAGGGGCGGGTCCTGTAGCCCTGCTGGGCTCCTCCGGCCACCCGCTGAGCCTCTCTGATCCCCCCCCAAACCCAGGACAGACACACAAAGTCACTCATTGCTGCAGGGGTGGGGGAGCCTCCCTGCCTCCCCCATCTCCCCGACCGCTAGTGGCTGGGAAGTGGGCGGTGCTGGGGGGTGAGTCTCGGCCCCTCCAAGATGCGCCTCCCATGAAATCCTCCAGTCCCACGTGTACTCACACGCATACGGATGCATGCACACGCACAGAAACACACAGGGCTCGGACACAGCTGCGCGCAGACAAGCAAAGGACCACGTCCACGTGGAAACAGGTGTGCGCACACGTCCCCGCGCATCCGCGCGCACAAGCGCTCCACACCTGGGAACGTGCGCACCTGTCCCCCGCCCCCGGCACACACACAGCCGCCCCACACTGGAACACCTGGGCGCCAGCGCCGGGCCACTCGGGCACGCAGGGCGCTACGCAGGGCCGCGCACACGCTTTTCGGCCACACGCGCACAGCCCTCCACGTGGACGCGCGGGTACACACGCCCGGGGCTCGTAGCCGCGCACACCCGCACCCAGGAAACCCCAGCCACCACCACGCGGGGTCCGATCGCCTCTGAGCACCCTCCGCCCCAGCCGCGCACCCGCTGCGCGCCCGGGACGCGCACACTCGCGCACACACCGGCCCTTCCTGCGCACGTCCCGGGCCCACCCCCGCCTAGAGCCCTCGGGGTTTCCCCCCACCCCGGCCTCGGGGTCTCTCCACGTCTCCCCGCCGACGTGCTCACCTGCTCAGGGGGCGCCCCCGAGCCGCGCCCCGCGCCCGCCCCCAGGAGGGCCTCCGCGAGCCGGCTGCACACCCCGAGGCGGTCCCGGCTGCACAACTTGGAGCGAGTTGCTCCGTTTCCTCATTTTGGGGGCGAAGAAGGGTCGGGGAGTGGGGGAAAGCGGGAGGCGCCGCGGCCTGGGAGGCCCCCGCGGGTCCTAGCGCCGGCCGCACTGCGGTCTCCTCCGCGCGCCGCCGCCGCCGCCGGCCCCTCCCCGCCCCGCCTCCGCGGCCCCCGGCGCCTCCCGCGCGCCCCGGGCGGGGTCCCGGGGCGCACGCGGGCTCCACGCCTGGCCCTGACCTGGCCCTGTCGGGCGTGCACCCCCCACCCACCCTGGGAAGCGGGGTTCTTGGAGCGTGGAACGGGCGCCGCCAGTGCGCGCGGCGGGGACCGGGGGTGAGGGAGAGTGAGCTGCCCGTCCGGGGAGATAAGCAAGGCGCCAAGCCCGGACTCCCAGAGGACACTTCGTACTCTGCAATTCCAACTCCCTCAGTGTCGCCCATTTGAGCACCCACCGTCTCAGAGGGCTATTGGTGGTTGACAAAAAAAAAGCTTTCAAAATGTCAGCCGCTATCAATATCATTATCATAATCATCAACATTAAGGGAAAATTGGAGTAACAGAATCATCGGGAACTGTAATCATCCGGATGCAAACTTCTTAGAGCTGCCCTCCTTGGAGGGTAAAAGGGGGGCCTGGGAGTTGGAGGGACCTGGCTCTGCCCGTAGGTAGGAGGTACCCCTTTTCCAGCCGGGATTTCCTCCCCCATATGGAGGGTGGGGGCCCCACCCGCTTTCACCTCACAGAACAGTTTGATCTCACTTGGTCTTGGTGGACAGGGCCCTGGCCCCCAGCGATGGCTTTGTGGTTGGGGTGACCAAAACGCCCAATCTGCTTTCACCCAATGCAGGCCTTTATCTTTATTTTTATTCATTTATTTTTTGAGACAGGGTCTCACTCTATCCCCTGGGCTGGAGTGCAGTGGCGTGATCATAGCTCACTACAGCCTTGACCACCTGGGCTCAAGCCAGCCTCCCGCCTCAGCCTCCCGTGTAGCTGGGACCACAGGGTAATTTTTTTTTTCCCAAATTTTCATAGAGCCATAGAAGGGGTAGCCTCAGGAGGGGGTGAGTTCCCTGTCCTGGGAGGAATCCAAGAATTGGCCACTTTGCCTTTTTTTTTTTTTGAGATGGAGTCTTGCTCTGTTACCCGGGCTGGAGTGCAGTGGCGCTATCTTGGCTCACTGCAACCTCCACCTCCCGGGTTCAAGCAATTCTCCTTCCTCACCCTCCTGAGTAGCTGGGATTACAGGTGCGTGCCACCACGCCCTGCTAACTTTTGTATTTTTATTTTTATTTTTTTGAGATGAAGTCTCACTTTGTTGCCCAGGCTGGTCTTGGACTCCTGGGATCAAGCGATCCTCCCATTTCGGCCTCCCAAAGTGCTGGGATTACAGGCGTGAGCCACCACGCCTTGCACCTTATCATCCTTTCTAAGGGATGAGTCCTCTGAAACAAAGATGAAGTTCATCTTAGGAGGGCAATGAACCGAGATGCCCAGGTGGCCTGCGCCCATATTTAATCTTCTGTTACCCCAAAAGGCTGTGTGTCTGGACTTGGGGGCATCACATGATTTTGCGGGGAGCAGAGGCCCAGTTACAAGAGAATTACAGAACAGCTATATTAAGGAACATTATGCAGCAGACTAGGAAACTATATTATTATTATTATCATTATTAGAGCTGGGGGTCTCTCTGTGTTGCCCAGGCTGGCCTCAAATGCCTGGGCTCAAGCGAACCTCCTGCCTCAGCCTCCTGAGTAGCTGGGACTACACGTGCACACCATGGTGCCTGGTTAAACCATACTATTATATATATTATATTATTAATATTTATATTATATTATATTATATTATATTATATTATATTATATTATATTATATACCTGGGGCATCCAGGATGCTCTCTCATCTCAATAGCATCAACTTAATCCCATCTGTAGGCTGGGCCCAGTGGCTCACGCCTGTAATCCCAGCACTTTGGGAGGCCAAGGCGGGCAGATCACCTGAGGTCAGGAGTTCTAGACCAGCCTAGCCAACGTGGTGATACCCCGTCTCTACTAAAACTACAAAAATTAGCTGGGCGTGGTGGCACATGCCTGTAATCCCAGCACTTTGGGAGGCCGAGGCGGGTGGATCACGAGGTCAGGAGTTCGAGACCAGCCTGGCCAAGATGGTGAAACCCTGTCTACTAAAAATACAAAAATTAGTCTGGTGTGGTGGTGGATGCCTGTAATCCCAGCTACTCGGGAGGCCAAGGTAGAGAATTGCTTGAACCTGGGAGGCGGAGGTTGCAGAGAGCCAAGATCGCGCCACTGCACCCCAGCCTGGGCAACAGAGTGAGACTCTGTCTCCAAAAAAAAAAAAAAAAAAAAAAATAGAGATGGGATCTGGCTATGTTGCCCAGGCTGGTCTCAAATTTCTGCACTCAAACGATCCTCCAACCTTGGCCTCCCAAAGTGCTGGGATTCCAGATATGAGCCACTGCACTATCTCAGCTCACTGCAACCTCTGCCTCCTGGATTCAAGCAATTCTCCTGTTTCAGCCTCCTGAGTAGCTGGGATTACAGGCACATGCCACCACACCCAGCTAATTTTTGTACTTTTAGTAGAAACAGGGTTTCACCATATTGGTCAGCTGGTTTCAAACTCCTGACCTCAGGTGATCTACCAATGTTGGCCTCCCAAAGTGCTGGGATTATAGGCGTGAGCCACGGCGCATGGTTTACCGGCCTCAACTTTCTTTCATGGGGTTGTAATTTACTATTAGAAGATCTTCTGGGAGGATGCCCGTGTCTACAATTTTAGCACCCACAGCTTCGTGGATCTGGCTGTGGGATAGTCTGGGGTGTGGCTCCCCAGAAAGGGCTGGGGACGCTGCAGCTGTCCTTCTGTCACAGTCACTGCGGGCCCACCATATATGGCAAACCACCATCACTTGCCTGAACTAGAAGTGTTAAGTCAAAATATCTGCAGCGGAAAACCCAGCCGCCTAATTTGATTCTCACCAGAAGCTGCTGCTGACCACGGGTCCCTCGCCGAGGTCTGCCTTCTCTTCGTTCAGCAGGGAAATGTCCCTGCATGAGAGGGACATTTAAGATGCTCTAGCACCCCATGAAGACTTTCTCCTCTTCCTCTCTCTGCAAATCAATGATATTAGTGTCAGTCCTCCCGAGGAGCCCCAGGGCTCCGGGCAGGAGGCCTCACCCCAGAAGAAATAATAAGGGGAACCAAGGTCTTGAGCCCAGAGAAGGGCGGACTTAAGGAGCTGGTGTTGGGTTCGCAAATTGTCAAGGGCTGGCTGGGGCAGGGAGCTCCCCTGACTGGGTGGAGACATAGACACTGAGCTGTGCCTGACTCTAGGGGGATAGATTTGAGCCTGCGGTTTATTTGAATCAGAGCCACAGAAGGGGTAGCCTCAGGAGGGGGTGAGGCATCCAAGAATTGGCAACTTTGCTTTTTTTTTTTTTTTTTTTTTGAGATGGAGTCTTGCTCTGTTACCCGGGCTAGAGTGCAGTGGCCTGATCTCGGCTCACTGCAACCTCCATCTCCCAGGTTCAAGCGATTCTCCTTCCTCAGCCTCCTGAGTAGCTGGGATTACAGGTGCGTGCCACCACGCCCTGCTAACTTTTGTATTTGTATTTGTATTTTTTTGAGATAGGGTCTCACTCCTGTCACGCAGGCTGGAGTGCAGTGGCGCGATCTCAGCTCACTGCAACCTCCATCTCCCGGGTTCAAGTGATTCGCCTTCCTCAGCCTCCTGAGTAGCTGGGATTACAGGTGCCCGCCACCATGCCCAGCTAATTTTTGTATTTTTAGTAGAGACAGGGTTTCGCCATGTTGGCCAGGCTGGCCTGGAACTCCTGACCTCCTGACCAAGAATTAGCCACTTTGAATCACAAAGACTCTAGGGCTCTTTCAGGCCCCAGAGGTGGCCGCACCAGTTTCTAATGCTTCCTGCCAAGGAGCTGGGGGACTCACCCCTTCCTTATACCAGCCTGAGTGGGTAGACTGGACACCCAGATTCCCCCAGTCCTGAACTCCCCACCCTCCACCTCTCATCCTTGGTGACCCCCTGTCAACTTGATTTCAGAAGTTCTCTGATCTGCAGGTCACCCTCCTGGTGCAGGCTGGTGACAGAGCAGTCCCCTTTCTGGCGTCCTGGCTGCCTCCAGGTTTTCACCTTTCACTGCAAAGCCAAGGGAAAGAAACGTGACTGTGTCCTCCCTCACTCTAAATCCTTCCATAGCTCCCCACTGCCTGCAGGAGAGAGCCTAAAATGCTCAGCCTGGCATCCAGGGCTCTTCATGTTTGGCCTCCAGCTGATCTCCCAGGTCCCATTTTCTCCTCCTCCCTCCAAGAACCTAATATTCTAGTGAGTCCGAACTGCAGAAGTTTCCACGCCTTTGCACTGGCTGTTCCCTCTCCCCTGGAATGCCCTTCCCCGCCGTGTCCAGCTGGCCTCTCCAAGCTCACTCTCCCACACACAACTCATGTGGCACCATTTGGGGAAAGCCTTCCTCAAGGACATCCCCATACTTCCTAGAGCAAGGTCTCCCTGAAAGGGCCCCTTGCTAGAGGCACTAGCTCTCTTGTCTCACTGTGTGATAGGTGTGAGCCTGGCCGTCTCTCCTTGGTCTTGGTGACTGAGCCCATTAGCCTGCCTGAGAAGGAGGCCAGCCTGGAGGAAACAGAGCCAAGAAGCAGGGAGAGACACTGAATCCCAAGGGAAAGACTGGTTCCGTATCCTTAGAACCAGCGATGCCTGGAATTCACGTGACACCTAGTTTTAGCAGCCAGTCTTTCTTTTTTGATTTCTTCCCGAGGGGGTTCTGCTGCTTACAATCAAAGGGATTCTTAATACTCAAAATAGTACCAGAAGTGGGGAGTTAAAATTAACAGACTAATGTGGAATTGCTGAGTCAAATTAGATTCCCTGATCCCAGCTGGGAAGAGGGATGCCTCGAGCTTCTCTTTCCGAGAGTCCATAAACCTGCCTTCCATTCCCTGAGTCAGGCGGCACCAGGCTTCTGTCCTTTGCAATGCAGCAGCCCAGTGGACACAGTCATCTCTCCACCTCCCCCCACTTTTTTTTTTTTGAAACAGAGTATTGCTCTGTTCCAAGACGAGTCCAGTGGCACGATTTCGGCTCACTGCAAACTCTGCCTCCCGGGTTTAAGTGATTCTCCTGCCTCAGCCTCCCAAGTAGCTGGGATTACAGGTGCCCACCACCATGCCTGGCTAATTTTTGTATTTTTAGTAGAGACGGGGTTTCACCATGTTGGCCAGGCTGGTCTCGAACTCCTGACCTCAGGCGATCTGCCCGCCTCGGCATCCCAAAGTATTGGGATTACAGGCGTGAGCCACCGCACCCAGCCTCCACCTCCTCCCCTTCTTGAGTGTTTTTCTATTTCTTTCCTATCCAAATCTCACAGTTCTTCACATATCACTCTCCTCCCATAGACCCCCCTCTGGCTGTCATAATCTGCCTAACCCACTACTCTCCAAATTCCTAGAGATCACTGAGACCAGTCTTCTCATTTGAGAAGTAGAACAGCTGAGGCCAGGCACGGTGGCTCACACCTGTAATCCCAGCACTTTGGGAGGCCGAGGTGGGTGGTTCACCTGAGGTCAGGAGTTCAAGACCAGCCTGGCCAACATGGCAAAACCCCGTCTCTACTAAAAATACAAAAATTAGCTGGGCGTGGCGGCGGGTGCCTATAATCCCAAGTACTCAGGAGGCTGAGGTAGGAGAATCGCTTGAATCCAGGAGGCTGAGGTTGCAGTGAGCCAAGATCGCACCACTATAGACCAGTCTGGCAACAGAGTGAGACTCCATCTTAAAAAAAAAAAAAAAAGTGTAAAGTGGAACAGCTGAGACCCAGAGAGGCAAGACTACTCATCCTTGATCACACAGCTGGCTGGGGGCTAAACCTCAGGCCTGTAGACTCCCCTGATTGGATTGCAAACTTCTCTAAGGCAGGGCACGATTCTTATTCTTCTCTACAAATACTGTTGGAAATCATAGTAGGCAATAAACATAGTAGGTGATGAGTCATATGACAGATACTTTACAAAATTTATCAGTCAGGGTTGGGATTGGCTGGCTGGGATGGAGAACTTCAAACGCTAGAGGCTTGAAATTGATAGAAAGGCATCGTGACTGAGGCAGGCAATGCTGGGCAGTGTTAGGGACTGGGCTCCTGCCTCTTGTTCAGCCTTTTTCAGCACATGAATTTCCAACTCTTTTTTTTTTTTTTTTTTTTTGAGATGGAGTCTCGCTCTGTCACCCAGGCTGGAGTGCAGTGGTGCGATCTCAGCTCACTGCAACCTCTGCCTCCTGGGTTCAAGCGATTCTCCTGCCTCAGCCTCCCGAGTAGGTGGTATTACAGGTACCTGCCAGCCACCATGCCCGGCTAATTTTTGTATTTTTAGTAGAGATGGGGTTTCACCATGTTGGCCAGGCTGGTCTTGAACTCCTGACCTCAGGTGATCCACCCACCTCGGCCTCCCAAAGTGCTGGGATTACAGGCGTGAGCCACCGTTTCCAGCCTCACAATTGAACTTTCTGAACCTGGAGGACAGGCCGGGGTGGGGAGGCCACTGCAGCCAGACATGGGGACACCTGAGCCGCCATGGCCTCCATGGAAGCCGTCCCCGGCCTAGCCGTCCTCGGCTGGAATCTGCAGTTAGATCACACTGCCCCAGTTAGCAAACCTTTAAATTTAGCTTCCTCCCCCCAGCCAGGGGACTCCGGGATTGAGGGGAGGAACGCTGGCTCTTTCGAGGAAGAACGCTGCATCACTCATTCTGCAACCAGTCGCTGTCTGCCCGGCCATTCTCGATTCCTTGAACGAAGGGCCTCTTGGGGCGAGCTGCTTTGGGCGTCTTTGCTGGAAAACCCTTGCCCCGTCTTCCTCGTCCTTAAGACGCAGCCGGACAGGTTGTTTTCCAGCCACACTTGCAGGTTTCATCCGTGGAAACTGGGTCTGTGTCACATCCGGCCTTAAAAGCTTCCCGGCTGGGCGTGGTGGCTCACGCCTGTAATCCCAGCTCTTTGGGAGGCCGAGGCTGGTGGATCATCTGAGGTCAGGAGTTCGAGACCAGTCTGACCAACATGGTGAAATCCCGTCTCTACTAAAAAAATACAAAAATTAGGCCAGGTGCGGTGGCTCATGCCTATAATCCCAGCACTTTGGGAGGCTGAGGAGGGTGGATCACGAGGTCAGGAGATCGAGATCATTCTGGCTAACATGGTGAAACCCCGTCTCTACTAAAAATATAAAAATTAGCCAGGTGTGGTGGCGGGTGCCTGTAGTCCCAGCTACTCGGGAGGCTGAGGCAGGAGAATGGCGTGAACCCGGGAGGCAGAGCTTGCACTGAGCGGAGATCACGCCACTGCACTCCAGCCTGGGCGACAGAGTGGAGACTCCATCTCAAGAAAAAAAAAAAAAATTAGCTGGGCGTGGTGGCATGTGCCTATAATCCCAGCTACTCGGGAAGCTGAGGCAGGAGAATCACTTAAACCTGGGAGGTGGAGGTTGCAATGAGCTGAGATCAGGCCACTGCATTCCAGCCTGGGTGATAGAGTGAGACTGTCAAAATAAATAAATAAAAAATAAATAAAATAAAAGCTTCCCATGGTTCCCACTAAGCTCAGTGTGCCTCCCGGTGCTTTGTCACCTCTGCGGTCCAGTGGCTGTCACCTCTCTGCTCCCAGCTTCTCCCTTGTCTCCCAAAAGCTCAGGCATGGGGCAGCCACAGGACCTTTGCACATGCTCTTCCTATCTCCTAGTACTACATCCTTCCCCCAGCTCTTCTCAAGGCCAGCTACTTCTCTGCACTTTCAGCTTCTCCAAGAGACCCTCCCTGGCCACCCCACAGTGGTCACCCTTAGTTACTCTCTATTGTCAAAGCCGGAATCCCCACCTGTTATCCTGTCTCACTCGTCATTGTCAATCTCCCTCCATCCTTGCTTCCCACGACAGAATATATCTTCCTAATGAGGGTAACGACCAGCCCTGGGCCCGGCAACCATTTAGGTCTGGAGCCTGGCACATAAAAGGCCCTTACAGAAGCAGATGAGAGGGTAAAGTCTGAGGAAGGAGGCCAGGCATGAAGGCTCACGCTTGCAATCCCAGCACTTTGGGAGGCTGAGGTGGGAGGATTGCTTGAGCCCTGCCATTGGAGACCAGTCTGGCCAACATAGTGAGACCCTGTCTCTACAAAAAATAAAATAAACTAGCTGGGTGTGGTGGTGTATGCCTGTAGTCCCAGCCACTCAGGAAGCTGAGGCAGGAGGATCACTTGAGCCCAGGAGGTTGAGGCTGCAGTCAGCTATGATTATGCTACTGCACTCCAGCCTGGGCAACAGAGCAAGACCCTGTCTCAAAAAAAGAAAAGAAAAGATCAAGTAAGGAGAACAGGAGATACACATTATTCCGGAATAAACCAGTCATGTCTACTCAAGAGCAGCCCCTAAGTCTCTCCTCCAGGATCCCTCTTCATCCTCTCATGACCTCATGCTCTAACTCAGGGCCCAGCAAACTGTCTCTCTAAAGGGCATGCTGGTCTCTGTCCCAACTACTCAGCTCTGCCATTTCAGGGACACCATAGATAACACAGAAGCCAAAGACCGTGGCTGCATTCCAATAAAACTTTATTTATGGACATGGACATTTGACTTTCATATTACTTTTCTTTTCTTTTGCTTTTTTTTTTTTTTTTTTTTGAGCTGGAGTCTCGCTCTGTTGCCCAGGCTGGAGTGCAGTGGCGTGATCTTGGCTCACTGCACGCTCCACCTCCCAGGTTCACACCATTGTCCTGCCTCAGTCTCCCATGTAGCTGGGACTACAGGCGCCCGCCACCACACCCGCCTAATTTTTTGCATTTTTAGTAGAGAAGGGATTTCATCGTGTTAGCCAGGATGGTCTCGATCTCCTGACCTCGTGATCCGCCCACCTCGGCCTCCCAAAGTGCTAGGATTATGGGCGTGAGCCACCAAGCCTGGCCTTTTTTTTTTTTTTGAGACAGAGTCTCACTCTGTTACCCAGGCTGGAATGCATTAACGTGATCTCGGCTCACTGCAACTTCTGCCTCCTGGGTTCAAGCAATTCTCATGTCTCAACCTCCCAAGTAGCTGGGATTACAGGCATGTGCCACCACACCCGGCTAATTTTTGTATTTTAGTAGAGATGGGTTTCATGTTGGCCAGGCTGGTCTTGAACTCCTGACCTTAGATGATCTGCCCACTTTGGCCTCCCAAAGTGCTGGGATTACAGATATGAGCCACCATGCCCGGCCTCATATGACTTTTCATATGTCATATAATATTGATTCCATTTTCCTCCAACTATTTACAAATGTAAAAAAACGATTTTAGCTGGAGGAGTTGTGCGGATACAGATGGCAGGTTGGACTTGGCCCTCAGACTGTAGTTTGCTCTCCGCTGCCTTCTCACAGTCTTTATTTTCTCATAAGTAGGTGCTTTTTTTTTTTTTTTTTTTTTTTTTTTTGAGATGGAATCTCACTGTTTCGTCCAGGCTGGAGTGCAGAGGCGTGATCTTGGCTCACTGCATCCTCCGCCTCCCAGGTTCAAGCTATTCTCCTGCCTCAGCCTCTTGAATAGCTAGGATTACAGGCACGCGCCATCACGCCTGGCTAATTTTTGTATTTTTAGTAGAGATGAGGTTTCACCATGTTGGCCAGGCTGGTCTCGAACTCCTGACCTCAAGTGATCTGCTTGCCTCGGCCTCCCAAAGTGCTGGGATTACACGTGTGAGCCACCAGCTGTATTTTTCAATCTGTTAAATTAAATGTGCTGATACTCATGGCATGTAATAAGCTCTCAAGAAGTGTTTAAAAAAATAAAACTCAAAATATATAAATAAAGCTCCTCAACTCAGCAATGAGCCTCTCAAGGGTAAGTATATTCTTGTTGGTATGAATAGCAGCTGATATTTATAGGGTGTTTTACTGTGTGCTGAAGACAAAGCAATATAATGTCCCACTCCTCAGGGGTTGCTGTTGCTGTTTTCAGGTATTTACCTCCATAGTTCCAAGTAATGTGTTTTACACATCCCTTGATTTATCAGTTGGATGTTGTCCATTGACTTCCTATTCCAGAAGGTCAAGATTTAGCTCTCTTAGGCATTCTGCTCCCCCAACAGTTAAATCACAATTTTTGCTTAAATGAAAATTCAGTGCTTATAGTATATATATTAATATAAATATTATTGACAGTGGAGCAATGTATACTAAGAACATTATTTTCTGGGACCTGCTTTTTTATTTCCCTGGAGTTAGTCATCGCCTTGGTTTTATGTGTCTGTGACTCTTTCCCCCAGCCTCTCCACCAGAACTGACATCTCCACTCAGGACTTTCTCCTACTGCCCAGCTGTGATCCTGGCCCCTCTCTTCTTCGGCACAAGGGGATTCTTAGATATAGCTCCTGTTTCTTGGGTGTGGGTCTCCCTGTTTCTTGGTTTGGTCCCTTGTTTTAGGAATGTGCTCCCCCTAGGGTTTCCAGAGAAAGTGTTTTCCTCCTACTCTCCTGGGTAATTAGAGGTTTGGCTGACAGTATTGTAGGTGGATACTTTTCTTTTGCCCAATGTTTTCCAGCTTCTAGTCTTGGGCAGCTGAATGATCAGAAGTTGTCCTGTTTCCTCATACTTTGCCTGTCCCATGGTTAATTTCTGTCTCTCTCTCTCTCTTTCTGGAAGCTTGTAGAATCTTCTTGTTCCCTACATCCTGCACTTTCACAGTGGTGGGTTTGGTGTGGGTCTGTTTTCAACCATTGTGCTGAGTACTTGGTGGGCTCTTTCCTGTGTTCTCTTCCTGGCAAACTTTCTTGAATGATATCATTGGTGATTTCTTCCACTTTGGTTTCTCTGGCGTGTTTGTGGAACACGTTATTGTCATAGGGTGGACTTCTTGGATTGATGTTTTCATTTTCTTGCCTACCTTCCCCCCCACCCCCCCACTTTCTACTTTTTCTTCCAACCCTTCTATTGACATTTTAATTTTGACTATTAATTTTTTTTTTTTTTTGAGACAGGGTCTCACTCTGTTGCTCAGGCTGGAGTGCAGTGGTGCAATCACAGCCCACTGCAGCCTCGACCTCCTGGGCTCAAGTGATCCTCCTGCCTCAGCCTCCCAAGTAGCTGGGACTACAGGTGCCTGCCACCATGCTGGCTAATTTTTTTGATTTTTAGTCTCACTATGTTTCCCAGGCTGGTTTCAAACTCCTGAGCTCAAACAATCTGCCTGCCTCAGCCTCCTGGAGTGTTGGGATTACAGGCATGCACCACCACACCCAGTGACTGTCAGAGTTTTAATTTCCAAGAGCTCTTTCTGGTTCTTTTACCGTTCCTCTTTAAAGGACAAACTTGGCTGTGTGTGGTGGCTCACGGAGCTCAGGAGTTTGAGACCAGCCTGGGCAACATAGTGAGACCCCAATCTCCAAATAATATGTAAATAAATAAAAGAATTTCTTGGCCCAGTGCAGTGGCTCACACCTGTAATCCCAGCACTTTAGGAGTCTGAGGCTGATGGGTCACCAGAGGTCAGGAGTTCGAGACCAGGCTGGCCAACATGGTGAAACCCCATCTCTACTAAATATACAAAAATTAGCCGGGCATGGTGGCTCATGCCTATAATCCCAGCTACTTGGGAGGCTAAAGGAGGAGAATCGCTTGAACCTGGGAGGTGAAGTTTGCAGTGAGCCAAGAACACATCACTGTACTCCAGCCTGGGTGACAGAGGGAGACTCCATCTCAAAAAATAAAAAATAAAAATAAATAATAAATAAATAAGTAAATAAATAAAGGCAAACTTATACTTGTTTCCTGGCTGTTATATCCTCTATGAGCTCTCCGAGGATAAGATGCATACAGGTTTTGTTTTTTTCTGTTCTGTGTTTGAATCAGGAACATAAGGATTTTTCTAGAACTGTTTTCTTCTGCCCTCTTTGTCTCTCCTTCAGGTTACTTTTCTTTTCTCTTTGTGGGTTTTGGTCTCTCTGTTGACTAACAATTATGATGGAGTGCTACAGAGCTGACGGAAGCCTCCTCACCACAGGGCGGCCTCACTGTGGGGTGGTTGGCGGGTGGGGGTGGGGGTCACTGGGCAGGAATCCCGAAACATTGGCAGCATCTGGAAGGCTTTTCTCATAGCCTGGCATCCAGCGTTCTAGAAGCCACAAGAGGTTAGACATCTGGGGTTGTGACTTTAATGGCCTGGATTTTTTATTTTTTTTATTTTTTTGAGACAGAGTTTTGCTCTTATTGCCCAGGCTGGAGTGCAATGGCACAGTGTCAGTTCACTGCAATCTCTGCTTCCCAGGTTCAAGTGATTCTCCTGCCTCAGCCTCCCAAGGCTGGGATTACAGGCATGTGCCACCAAGCCTGGCTAATTTTTTTTTTTTTTGGTAGAGACGGGATTTCACCATGTTGGTCAGGCTGGTCCTGAACTCCTGACCTCAGGTGATGCACCTGCCTCAGCCTCCCAAAGTGCTGGGATTACAGGCGTGAGCCACCGTGCCCGGCCTGTTTTTTTTTTAAGGCAGGGTCTCACTCTGTCGTACAGGATGGAGTGCAGTGGCGTGATCATAGGTCACTGCAGCCTCAACCTCCAGGGCTCAAGTGATCCTCCTGCCTCAGCCTCTCAAGTAGCTGGGACTATAGGCATGCATCATCATACCTGGCTATTTTTTTTTTTTTTTCAGAGATGGGGTCTTGGTATGTTGCCCAGGCTGGTCTCAAACTCCTGGGCTCAAGTGATCCTCCCGCCTTAGTCTCCCAAAGTGCTGGGATTACAAGCATGAGCCACTGCACTTGGCCTTAATAGCCCATTTGCACAGCCCCTCATCCCTGCCCTCCATGGCGCCTGGGTCCCTGTGCCTGAACCTTTCTGTGCAGCAAGCATTTTAAAATGCATTTTCTTACTGAATTCTCCTCACAGCTCTCTGCACAGTTGGGGACTACCAGTTTGACCCCAATTTTATGGAAGCTTAAGGCGGTAACATGAGCTGTCCCCACACTCCATAGCTGATAAGTTAAAGGGCCACGCTGTGACTAGAGCCCAGAGTCACCCTCACTGCGTGAAGTGACGGCTTCTGGCTCATCCTTGGGTGTCCCAAGGAAGGCAGTGAGTGTTTGCTGATTGTCTATGGAATAAATGTCAACATCCTCAATGGGAGAAATAGGGAAACCACATGAATGAAGGCCCAGCACACATCACAGGTGTTCAACACACAGACGGAATTAATGAGCAACTGAAAGAACAGGAGTTGAGGCCGGGTGTGGTGGCTCACGCCTGTAATCCCAGCACTTTGGGAGGCTGAGGCAGGTGGATCACCTGGGGTCAGGAGTTCGAGACCAGTCTGGGCAACGCAGTGAAACCCCATCTCTGCTAAAATACAAAAAAATTAGCTGGGTGTGGTGGTGGGCGCCTGTGGTCCCAGCTACTTGGGAGGCTGAGGCAGGAGAATCACTTGAACCCAGGAGGCAGAGGTTGCAGTGAGCTGAGATCACACCATTGCACTTGAGCCTGGGTGACAGAGCGAGACCTTGTCTCAAAGAAAAATAAGATGTGTCAGCCGGGCGCGGTGGCTCACGCCTGTAATCCCAGCACTTTGGGAGGCTGAGGCGGGAGGATCACGAGGTCAAGAGATCGAGACCATCCTGGCTGACACGGTGAAACCCCGTCTCTACTAAAAATACAAAAAATTAGCTGGGTGTGGTTGCAGGCGCCTGTAGTCCCAGCTACTCGGGAGGCTGAGGCAGGAGAATGGCGTGAACCCGGGAGGCGGAGCCTGCAGTGAGCCGAGATTGTGCCACTGCGCTCCAGCCTGGGCAACAGAGCGAGACTCCGTCTCAAAAAAAAAAAAAAGAAAAAAAGGAAAAAAGAAAAATAAAATGTGTCTTGTAGGGTCATGAGAAGAATTAAATTAGATAATAAGCACACAGTAAATAGGTGATGAATCAATGTCGTTATAATACCAAGTGAAGAAAAGCAGGAAGCAAGATGGTAAAAATGACCCACCCATAAACAACAGGGCATTAAAGAATAGAGAGCAGGATGGCCGGGCGTGGTGGCTCAGCCCTGTAGTCCCAGCACTTTGGGAGGCCAAGCACTTTGGGAGGCCGAGGAGGGCGAATCATCTGAGGTCAGGAGTTTGAGACCAGCCTGACCAACGTGGTGAAACCCCATCTCTACTAAAAATGCAAAAATTAGCTGGGCGTGGTGGCAGGTGCCTGTAATCCCAGCTACTCAGGAGGCTGAGGCAGGAGAATCGCCTGAACCCAGGAGGCGGAGGTTGTGGTGAGCCGAGATTGCGCCACTGCACTCCAGCCTGGGCAACGGGAGCAAAACTCCGTCTTCAGAAAAAAAAAGGAAAAGAAAGCAGAAGGGAAATGGAGTGTTCACAGTAGCTGATAATTTTGTGGTTGTTTTGTGATTGTTTTGTTTTCCTTCTTCCATTTTTCTGGATTGTCCAAGTTTTTCATAATGGGAAAAACCCAATTCATGAGTAAAAACATTTATGTGGAAAAACACATGTAACAAAATTTGCCATCTTAATCATTTTTTATTTTTATTTATTTATGTATTTTTGAGACAGAGTGTCGCTCTGTCATCCACGCTGGAGTGCAGTGGCGCAATCTCGGCTCACTACAACCTTGGTCTCCAGGTTCAAGCGATTCTCCTGCCTCAGCCTCCTGAGTAGCTGGGATTACAGGTGCCCACCACCACGCCCGGCTGATTTTTGTATTTTTAGTACAGACGGGGTTTCGAACTCCTGACCTCAAGTAATCCGCCCGCCTCGGCCTCTCAAAGTGTTGGGATGACAGGCGTGAGCCACCGCGCCCGGCCGATGCTTCCTAATGCATTTCGTTTGCAAAATTTGGGAGTGACCGTTTTCTACCCAGAGGTGGCTTCTCCACCTTAACCAGGAAAGCGGGTCTTAATCCGATCACCTGAGACACCTTCTCAGTCCCAGAAGCTAAACTAGGGAGGCATCCCGGGACAAGACGGGCAACAATCTTTTCCCAAACGACCCCCGAGCCTGGCCAGGGAGATGCTGCCTGCAAGGCTGACTGTGACTGGGCCGGGGGACTCAGGGCATCTTAGCGGCCGCCTCTCGCTCCTGTCCGTGACCTTGCAGATGCAGGTGACAGCCTGCCCTTCCGTTTTTGTCTTTCCAGTCCCGCCTGCCGGATTGGGTTCCAGCCCTGCCCACACGCCCGGTACATCCCGCCTACACTCACCGATGTCGCCTAGCAACCCGGCTCGCAGCTAGCATCCGCAACCGAGGTCCCCGCGCTCCAGTTCTCTGGCGGGGAGGGAGAGGGGTGTTGCTTCTCCAGCCCCCTGCAGCCTGGTGTCTTCCTGCCACCCGCCGGCCTGCTCCGGGAACCGCGGCCTGGTGGGACGAGGGTTGCGGAGGACGGGTCAGGAGCGACCGCGTTTCAGGCCCGTGGACTCCGCAGCCCAGACGGTCCATCCATCTGCACCGAATCCCTTCGCTAACCAACTGCTTGATTTTGCTGTCGCGCCGCCTAAACTTGGTTTTTTGGAGTTGCTAGGAGGGCCGACTTAACTCTTTGTCAGCCGGGCTGGTTTTCACCCACCTGGTGGCAGGAATCCTGTTTGCCTTCCCCGGGAGCCAGGGATGGGAACGGGAACTGTGGGTGGGAGGCTTCCGAGAGCCGCCTCTCCCGGGGCATAAGGAAGGAAGCGGGGCTGCAGGTACCGCCTGGGGTTCACAGCAGGGGACGAGGTGCCTCCCACCAGGGGCTGCTGTGATCGCCAGGCCTGCCAGGGTGTGCCCCTTCCCCTGTCCCTTCCCTCTGTCCCCACAGCCTTGGCTGGAGTCCCTCACCGGTAACGAGACAGAGACAAATGGTGTTCTCTGTCTTTCTGAGACAGAGTTTTGCTCCTGTTGCCCAGGCTGGAGTGCAATGGCGTGATCTCAGTTCACCACAACTTCTGCCTCCCGGGTTCAAGCGATTCTCCTGCCTCAGCCTTCCAAGTAGCTGGGATTACAGGTGCCCGCCACCACACCCAACTAATTTTTGGTATTTTTAGTAGAGACAGGGTTTCACCACGTGGGCCAGGCTGGTCTCGAACTCCTGACCTCAAGTGATCCGCTCGCCTTGGCCTCCCAAAGTGCTGGGATTACAGGCACATGCCACTGCACCCGGCCGACAAATGGTATTCTCATAACCACCAGAAAGAGACACGTCCTCTGGTGTCAGAGCGTGGCTCTGAGCACTGAGACCGACTCAGTTGCTAGCGTCCACCTGGCCTGCCCGAGATCTGGGAATACAGTGGTGATCCAATTGATGGTGAGAGGCTTCCTGACAGGCAGAGAGTTCACATTCTCAAGGGGAAGACAGATACCAAATCGTTTCAAAGATGCATGGTTTAAAGTCAAGGAATAGGCCAGGCGCGGTGGCTCACGCCTATAATCCCAGCACTTTGGGAGGCTGAGGTGGGCGGATCACCTGAGGTCAGGAGTTTGAGACCAGCCTGGCCAACATGGTGAAACCCCGTCTCTACTAAAAATACAAAAAATTAGCTGGGCGTGGTGATGTAGGCCTGTAGTCCCAGCTACTCGGGTGGCTGAGGTGGAATAATCACTGGAACTCAGGAGGCGAGGTTGCAGTGAGCTGAGATCGAGCTGCTGCACTCCAGCCTGGGAGACAGAGACCCTGTCTCAAAAAAAAAAAAAAAAAAAAAAGGTGGAACTGGAATTGACAAGACATCCTCATGGATTGGCCGGGAGCACAGAGGAATCCAGGAGGCCTCCCTGGTTGTGCTGGCTGTCACCTTGAGCCCTGGGCAAATGGCGGTGCTGCTGCCGCGATGCTGACGGAGAGAGGGGCTGTGTGTGGACGGAGTGTGTAGCAAGGGAGTGAAGTTCCCAAGAAATCTGGGATAGAGTGGAAAGCAGGAGAGAGGGTGTGAGGTGGAGGAGGACGGTGGCCTAGAGGCCGCCTGCCCTCCGGGGAGGCTTAACCAGCAATTCCTGTTGCTGACAGATAATCCCTGCTAGAAGGGGACCCCTCGGTGGCTCCCCACCCCCCTCCTTTGGCCTGGGCCTGAAACAGCGGTCCCTGCACACCCAGCCCCTGCCACTCCCGTCCCGCCGCCCCCACCCTGCATCTGCCTCCTCCCCCACCCTGCATCTGCCTCCTCCCCACTCTGCTCCCCGCCTGCCCCCCGTCCCAAACACTGCCAGGGAAGCCCTGTGGGCTGGAAACTGTCACGAAACTCTTCCACTGTGACCAGGTCTCAGCATCTGAACACCCTCCGCCCGCCTTCTGAGGGTTTGGGAATGTGGCGGGGGAAGCACTCTGTGGGCAGAGGCATCTCTCCCAAACTCAGCGTAGTTGCCTCCTCCTCCAGGAAGCCCTCGGGGAGCCTCCAGAGCATCTCACTGTGTGTCTCTAGGATGGGGCCAGGGGAACCCTCAAGGACCGAGGCAGAGAGCTGGGTTATGGGAGGCGTTGAGATGAATGATTCTCAGCCGGTGTGTCTGTGTTCCCAGGGGACCCTTGTGAGGGGACAGCCTGAGGATGCCCACACCTTGGGGAGCAGCCACTGAGCAGTGCCAGCCCCTTGGGCCCCTCCCAGTCCACATTTGGGCTGCAGGGTTTCTGGGAGACCCCCACCCGGGACCCTGAGAAGGAGGTGAAGAGCCCAGCATTTGGGGTCACCTGCACCCCGCAGGAAGGACGGCACGGCTCACACAAAAGACAAATGATTTCCTTTATTCCCCCTGCCTCCCAATTTCCAGGTAGCTCTACAAAGACATTCAGACAGAGCCACATGCAGGCTGTCCTTCAAACACAGAGAAACAAAACTGAGCCACTGGCTGGAGATCACATCTGCCCAAAGGTGGACTTTTCTCATTCAATGCCACTGGGCAGCTGGCCAAAGAAAAAAAAACTGACCAAGCGGAAGGTTTGAACAGGTTGGGGTGGGGACTCAGAAGGGGGTGCCCCCACATCCATCAGTGCCAGGAGGCGCCTGCCCACCATGGCCAGCATCCACAAGACGGCGGCCCCTCCCCGGGTCCCCCAGGCACGGGTCCCGGGCCCTGCTACCACAAGGGGGGATTGGGGACCCCCTGCCTCAGGGCCAGCCAAGGCCTACATCAGGGAGAGAGGGAGGAAGGAAGGACGGAAGCTCAAATCCAGGCCTCAGTGACACATGGCAGAGTGGGTTTTCTCTGTGAAAGGCACTCAGTGGTACAGGGCTCGGGGCGGGGGGTGGGTGGGGGTGCCTCTGGGCTCCGGGTCTGACTGTCCAGCACAGCTGTTCCCGGGGGAGGCCCAGCCAGGATCCTCATCGCCCGTCGGCGTGTCCACCTGGCCCTGTGGCTCTCCCCACAGGGGACGAGCCTGGCTCAGGCCCTGCTGACATCCTGGCTGTGGAGGTGGGTGGGGGGTCTGTTTGGAGCAGGCTGGGCTGGGGGCGTGGGGATGCCGGCTGGGAGCTCCCCTGGGCTTGTCCTGCACATGTGGTGGGGCCCCAGAACAGGGCCTGCCCACGTGATTTCAAATCCATGCCGCAGCCGCATCCAAAGAAAGTTTTGTTTGTTTGTTTGTTTGTTTGTTTGTTTCTTTGAGACAGGGTCTCGCTCTGTAACCCAGGCTGGAGTTCAGTAGCGCAATCTCGGCTCGCTGCAGCCTCGAACTCCTGGGCTCAAGGGATCCTACGGCCTCAGCCTCCCGAGTAGCTGGGACTACAGGCTTGGGCCACCACAACTGGCTAATTTTTTGTAGAGATGGGGTGTCACCATATTGCCCAGACTGATCTTAAACCGCTGGGCTCAAGCGATCCACCAAGCTTGGCCTCCCAAAGTGCTGGGATTATAGGTGTGAGCCACCATGCGCAGCCCAGAGGAAGTATTTTAAAACCCCTTCCTGTACCACGAGGTGAGTTTAGAGCCAGCAAGATGCCCCCGAGTTTAGAATCTGCTTGCTGTACTGCTGGCCCCCCTGGCTGTGGGGGATGGGGCCCTCGAGGAAGGGGTGCCACTCCCAGGGCTGGATGGTGTCATTTCTGTAACAATTTAAGCACAAATGTTAAAAAACATTTCTTTTAAGTGACAAAGTCTTCTTCTGTTGCCCAGGCTGGAGTGTCACGGTGCAATCACAGCTCACTGCCCTCCTGGCCTCAAGGCTCCGGACTCAGCCTCCCAAGTAGCTGGGACTACAGGTGCACACCACCACGCCAGGCTAATTGTTGTGTTTTTTACTAGAGACAGGGTTTCACCATGTTGACCAGGCCGGTCTCGAACTCCTGACCTCAGGCGATCTGCCCACCTCGGCCTCTCAAAGTGCTGGGATTACAGGCGTGAATCACCGCGCCTGGCCACCAACCATGCCAAGCTGATTTTTAAAAATATTTTGGAGAGATGGGGGTCTCACTCTGTTGTCTGGGCTGGCCTTGAACTCTCAGGCTCAAGCAACTCAGCCTCCCAAAGTGCTGGGATTAAAGGCATGAGCCACAGTGCCCGGTCTGAAGCACAGGTGTTTTAAAGGAAACCTACAGAGCGTTACTCAAAAGGAAATGACCATTGTCCAACGTCGGGGATGAAGCAGCCATTGGTCGGCGCGCACACGTCCAGGAGTGCAGGGATGCAAAGGCCCGCAGGTGGGGGAGGTAGGCGGCTCACACGAGCCCCTCTCCGCCCCGCCGGCCCCGCTTCTTCTCCCCTGCGCCCTCCTCTCCCTCGCCAGGTCCCCGTTGCCTCTTCCGGAAGCGGGCCCCCAGCCGGTGTCTGGGCGGCAGGAGATCCATGCCCAGGACCTTGTGGGTCTGCCGGAAGGCCAGCATTCGCAGGGCGTGCTGCGGGGCACACACAGCCTGTCAGGACCCCCGCCCGCTCTGCTCCCCGAGTGCTGGGGACACAGAGGGGCTGGTGTCTGTGGCCACCAGCAGATGGGCCAGGCCTATCCTGTATCCCTCGAGATAGCCCCCGGCCCCCCGCCGCTTTCTTTTTTGAGACACAGTCTCGCTCTGTCACCCAGGCTGGAGTGCAGTGGCGCGATCTCAGCTCATTGCAACCACCGCCTCCCAGGTTCAAGTGATTCTCCTGCCTCAGCCTCCCAAGTAGCTGGGATTACAGGCGTGTGCCACCACGCCCAGCTAATTTTGTATTTTTAGTAGAGACAGGGTTTCACCATGTTGGCCAGGCTGGTCTCGAACTCCTGACCTTGTGATCCGCCCGCCTCGGCTTCCCAAAGTGCTGGGATGACAGGCGTGAGCCACCCGGCCCGGCCGACACCGCTTCTTACGACTGCGGAGCTTGGGTCACTGCAGGGCCTGAGGAATTTTCGCGTGGTGCCGGCTGACCACAAGGACTGTCCCAGGAGGCCCCCCCGCTCCACTGACCACCAGCTCTTTCCGCCTCACTGGAGGGACCCCACATCCTGCACTGCAAGCCATTCCAGTGATCCCATTCAAGGCAAAATTCAGAAACGTCAGACCCGATGCGGTTTGGTTTTGGTGCTGCTAGGAGATTTTTCTTATAAACAAATTTGCAAACAAGGTAACCACAGGTGAGGGCTGGGCAGGCGGAGCTGTCGGCCACGGCTGGGCTTCTAGGACCATGGTCAGTGGTGTGGGGGAGGACGGTCCCTGCCAATGAGACCTGAGGTCTGGGCGTCATTAACGGTGGTGGCTTTGGCTCTCAGCTGCTGGCCCCACGCCACCATGCCAGGCTGGCCCTGTCCCTGTGCGTGGTCCTGCCACCCACGGGCCGCCCTCCTGTTCCTGTACATCTCAGTGGGAGGGAGAGAAGGGGAAACCCAGGCCATTTCGGGGAACACTGCACAGCTGCAAGCCGGAGCTGGGGCCTGGGTGTCACCCTTGCCGTGACTTGACCCTCCTACCTGGGCGCTGGCGGTCACGTCTTCCCGCTCTTGGAGGGTCATGGGCTCGAGGGCATCTGTCTGGTCTCTCTCGCAGGGATCCTGGAGCCCGGGCCCGTCTTTGTGACGGGGAGTGGGAACAGCAAAGAAGGCGAGAATGCCCTCGTGAAAGACGGTGACAGGGCCGTCCCTCGACACCGTGGGGCCTCAGGGGCCCGTGCATGGGGCTATACTTGCAGCCGTGGCACCTCTGACCCTCAGGCCTCTCTCAGCAGGTTCAGGGTCTCACCCGGGCACATGGGGGAGTCCTCCTGGCCCCTCAAAGCCTGTTGGGCTGCCAGCATCTCCTGGGCGTTGTGTGTGTGTTCGTGCCTGTGTGCACCCATGCATATACACATACGCTGACGTGTGTGTCCATGCGTGCCCATGTGCACGTGTGTGTCCGTGTGTGCACGTGTGTGCTCATTGGCGTATGTGCATGTGTGCCTGTGTGTGCATGTGTGCCCGTGTGTGCACCCATGTCGGTGTGTGCTTGTGCATGCACCCATGTGTGTCCATGCATGCACGGTGTGCCCGTGTGTGTGTGCATGTGTGCCTGTGCATGCATGTCCATGTGTGTGCCCATGCGTATGCATGTGCGCCTGTGTGTGCAAGCATGTCCACGTGTGCCTGTATGTGCACTCATTCCATGTGTGTGCCCGTGTGTGTGCATGCATGTGCCTGTGTGTGTGCATGTGTGCCCGTGTGCACTCATGTATGTGTATATGCCCATGTGTGCATGCATGTCTGTGTGTGCATGCACTCATGTCTGTGTGTGCCCGTGCGTGCTTGTGTGCCCGTGTGTGCAGGTACATCCATGTGTGCACCTGTATGTGCACTCATGTCCTTGTGTGCCCGTGCGTGTGCGTGCATGTGTGCCCGTGTGTGCAAGTACATCCATGTGTGCCTGTATGTGTGCTCATATCCATATGTGTGCCCGTGCGTATGTGTGCCCGTGTGTGCAAGTATGTCCATGTGTGTGCCTGTGCGTGTGCATGCACGTGCCTGTGTATGTGCGTGTGTGCCCGTGCGAGTGCGTGCGTGTGCCCGTGTGTGCAAGTATGTGCGTGTGTGCGTGTGCATGCCTACACGTGTGCTTTACATGATGGCCCAGGCAATGGGCCGAAAGCTTCATGCTCCCTTTTCACTTGCTATCATCCTATGTCACTAAAAATGACTCGAAAACACCCTTTTCCGTATCTGGCCGCCACCCTCTCACATGTGTGTCCTGGCGCGTTCTCTTCCCTCTGCTGGTGTAGAACGCATTGTGCTGGGCAGCTCTGCGCCCTCTGTCCTCTGAGCTCCTGGCTGTTCCCTCTGGATAATCTTTGGAGGACAGGCACCGGGGTGGATTTGTGCCAGAGTGGCTCTGTGCCGGGGTGGCTCTGTGCCGCCGCCGGTGGGCGTGGCCACCAGAGAACATAACTGTTGTCTCCTGGGTGGGGGCTGAGCCCTCCCTTCCGGGACCTGCGTGTCTGTGCCCTGCGTGCAGGGTGGTGTCCTCCATGACCGCGGCCCTGTCTGCCTTCCTGCTGGGAGCATGTGTGTGTTGTGGGCCGCACTCCTGCCTGGGCTGGACACTTCCTCTGTGTCTGTGACCCCAGCTCTCTGTGCCATGGCCACGGGCCCTGGTCTCTGCGATTTGCCGCCCACCTCCTGGGCCCTCCGGCCCAGCGACTGACCTGTCAGGAGCGTCCCTGTGGCCACGCACTCCAGGACTCGCCTGACTGCATCCCCGGGGCCCAGGGGCCCAGCCGCACTGCTCACAGCCTTCTCCACCAGCAGCTCCATGGCCTGGTGGGGACAGAAGAGCAGTTGCTGTGTTTTGGGCGCGCGGCAGCCCCTGCCTGCCCGGGAGGTCCTGGGGTCCCTGGGACAGGAGGCCCCCCTCAGCTCTTTCTCTAACTCCCACCACCCACTGAACTTCCGCCGAGGAGGGCTGCCCGTGGCAGGGCTCTGCCACCTCCTGGCACGGCCACAGGCTGGTTTCTTTCTTTTCTGAGAGCGGAGTCTCGCTCTATTGCCCAGGCTGGAGTGCAGTGGCACGATCTCAGCTCACTGCAACCTCTGCTTCCCCGGTTCAAGCGATTCTCCTGCCTCAGCCTCCCATACTGGCTGGTTTCTTCACCCCTCTGAGCCTCAGTTTCCCCGGCCGGTCCACAGTGACATCACATGCCAGTGTCAGGTGCACTGTCCACCACGTGGGGCCCGCCTCAGCTGAGGGGAAGGAGCCACCCTATCCCACCACGTCCCCCCTGTGGCCAGTTCCCGAGGGCACGAGGGGACAGGGGCATTGCTGGCCTCCCACAGCACTGTGTGGGTGCCTCTACAGTCACAGCAGGAAAACAGGTCTCAGGGAACACAGGCTTTCTCCACGTCAGGACAGCCGCACACCGGTCACCCAGCACGGAGGCTACTGTGACCTCCTCCCAGGAGAGGAGAGGACGTTTCCCCTAAACAATGAGTGTGAAAGGTCCGGCGCGGTGGCTCATGCCTGTAATCCCAGCACTTTGGGAGGCTGAGGCGGGCAGATCACTTGAGGTCAGGAGTTCGAGACCATCCTGGCCAACATGGCGAAACCCCATCTCTACTAAAAATACAAAAATTAGCCAGGCGTGGTGGTGCGTGCCTGTAATCCCAGCTACTCGGGAGGCTGAGGCAGGAGAATCGCTTGAGCCCAGGAGGCAGAAGTTGCAGTGAGCTAAGATTTCGCCACTGCACTCCAGCCTGGGCAACAAGAGCGAGACTCCATCTCAAAAAAATGATTTTAAAAAAAAGTAAAAAAGAGACTTAATCTCTACCAAACCAAACAGAACAAAACAAACAAACGCCTCTGTACCATGCTGCATTCTGGACACTGGGCAGTGGGTGGGTGTGGATGAGGCACACAGGCCCAGTGGGAGGGACCACGGGCAAGACACCACTCCAGCACGGGATGGGGGACGCCACTCCAGCATGAGATGGGGGACGCCCGCAGGGCGGGGGGGAGGCCGGGTGTGGATGGCTGGCTTGTGGCTGGTGGAGAAGGTGTGGGGACTGGGTGGGTTCCCGGGGTCTCCGTGGGGAGCGTGGGCATGGGGCGTGCTCTGTGAACCTTGTGGTGAGGGGATTCTGTTTCTTCTCTTCCCTCCCCTTTCTACCAGGATGGGCTGGGGGGTGGTGTTTGAGCCACAGGGGGTCTCCCCTCCAGAGCAGGTGGGTCTGGGCTGGGTCACCCAGAGGCCGGTGTGCAGCCAGGATGGGGAGTCCGGCTTCCGCCCCTCTGCCTGGGCCCCTCTGCCCCGGTGCCACGAAGTCGGGCAGACACCTCACATTTCCCTGGCCAGTCCCACATTTGCATGTGAGGTTCTGGGTTTTGAATAGTGGCAGTCAAATGAGGCTGTGGAGAGGGCCGTCTCCCCCGCAAGGGGACCTCAGGGACTCCCACGGCCTCTCCTGAGTACTAGGTCTCCCGCCGGCTCCTTCGAGGGAAAAGGTCTGTCTCTCAGCCTGGGCCTGTCAGGGCCATGGAGGCCCTTGGGGGTCCCAGTGGAGGGCCGGGCCGCCAGGCACTGCCTTACCCAGGCTGGCAGGGCCCCCCAGGTGGGCACACGCCGGCAGAGGTCCCTCAGGACCCTGATGACGATCACGCATGGCTGCAGGCCGCTGGCTCGAGCCTTCGGGGGAGAAGCACACGGTTAGCTTTCAGGGGCTCACGTGGCCACACGGCATGGCGCCGGGCTCTGTCGTGAGCGTGAACCCCAGGGAGGATAATAGGGAGCCTGGCGGGCCTCGAAGGTGGCGGGTGGAAACAGAGTCCACTCCCACATGAGCCCGGTGCCACCAGGCTGTTGAGTGGCCACGAGACGGCAGCGTCCCCACCCCCAGGGCAGCACCCACTCCTTCCACACTTCCCGACCCCATCAGCCAGGAGCCAGCGTTGGTTGTCAAGTCAGCACTCGGCCAGGAAGCTGATGGCAGGCGTCCCGGTCTGCGCTGGGAGCCCACGGGGCTGAGGCGGCCGCGCCGGGTTGACCTGGTGCCTCTGAGCTACGTTCCTCAAAGTCACCCCTCTCCCCCTGCTCCACCCCTGCCCCCCTGACCTGAAACCACCTGGCATGACGGAGGGCGGCCAGGGACTCGAGGCACTTCTTGGGGCTCAGGACATCACCTGCATCAGCCTGAGGCTCCTCCACACCTTCTAGAAGAAAAACCTCGAGGTGTGCGGGGAAGGTGCCTCGTCCCGCTCTGCTGCCGACGGGGTGAGGGGCTCAGTTTGGGCCCCTCGACGCTTTTTTTTTTTTGAGACACAGTTTCACTGTGTCACCCAGGCTGGAGTGCAGTGGCATGATCTTGGCTCACTGCAACCTCTGTCTCCGGGGTTCAAGTGATTCTCCTGCCTCAGCCTTCCAAGTAGCTGGGATTACAGGTGCCCGCCACCACATCTGGCTAATTTTTGTATTTTTAGTAGAGACGGGGTTTCCCCATGTTGGCCAGGCTGGTCTTGAACTCTTGACCTCAGGTGATCCTCCCACCTCAGCCTCCCAAAGTGCTGGGATTACAGGCGTGAGCCACCGTGCCCGGTGGGGATTTTATTTTTTACGTATTTAGAGACAGGGTCTCGCTCTGTGGCCCAGGCTGGAGTGCAGTGGTGTGACTGGAGCTCACTGCAACCTCGAACTCCTGGGCTCACGTGATCCTCCTGCCTCAGCCTCCTGAGTAGCTGGGACTGCAGGCGTGCACCACCACACCCAGCTAATATTTATTTATTTATTTATTTGTTTGTTTGTGTTGAGATGGAGTCTCACTCTGTTGCCCAGGCTAGAATGCAGTGGCGCAATCTTGGCTCACTGCAACCTCCGCCTCTCGGGTTCAAGTGATTTTCCTGCCTCAACCTCCTGAGTAGCTGGGATTACCGGCGCACGCCACCACGCCCAGCTAATTTTTATATTTTTAGTAGAGACAGCGTTTCACCGTGTTGGCCAGGCTGATCTCGAACCCCTCACCTCAGGTGATCCGCCGGCCTTGGCCTCCCAAAGTGCTAGGATTACAGGCGTGAGCCACCGCGCCTGGCCAAATTTTTTTGTTTTTTTTATAAATGGGGTCTCACTACCTTGCCCAGGCTGGTCTCGAATTTCTGGGCTCAAGCAATCCTCCCACTTGGACCTCCAAAAGTGCTGGGATTAGAGAGGTGGGCCGCTGTGCCCGACCTAAAAAGGGAGTTTTAGAAGCTCACCTCCCCACCACGCTGGGCCTGGGGAGAGGAAGCGGGGGCAGGAAAAGGCCGACAGGAAGTGCACTTTCCTGGGGGGCGGCTCACGGGGCTCTTCTGTCACTGATCTGTCCTCACAGAAGGATTTCCGCTCACTTCATCACCCACCCGAGCCAGGAAAGAGCCACTGTCTAGTGGCCGCCAACCCTTAACCCGCCCCCACAACCGCGCCACTCCCCAGCCTCCTCCGCATTTGTGTCACAGCCTTCAGCTAGCGCCAAAAGCCACTCTCTTCCCCACACTGTACTTAGTTTTTAGATGACTATTTGTGAGGACTGATCGTGACTTTCCATTTAATGATTCAAGGCTCTTATTAAAAAACAAAACAAAACACTTAAGCTTTAAAAAACAAATTGGGCCAGGCATGGTGGCTCATGCCTGTAATCCCAGCACTTTGGGAGGCCGAGGTGGGTGGATCACCTGAAGTCAGGAGTTCGAGACCAACCTGGCCAACCTGGTAAAACCCTGTCTCTACTAAAAATACAAAAAAATTAACTGGGTATAGTGGCGCACACCTGTAGTCCCAGCTACTCGGAGGCTGAGGCAGGAGAATCGCTTGAACCCAGGCGGCGGAAGTTGCAGTGAGCTGAGATTGCGCCATTGCACTCCAGCCTGGGCAACAGAGCGAGACTCTGTCTCAAAAAACAAACAAACAAAAAATACCAAATCGATTGAAAGAGAAACATCAGTAGGTCATGGCCCTCAGTTATGACCAAAAAAGATTACGAAGGGGGTAAAAGATGATAGGAGTTTGGAAAACTGCCCTAGAGACTGTTCTGGAAGATTCCACAGCTGGCTGAGACTTCGGGAGCACAGACGTGCAGTGTGTTACTGATGCCTGTCTTCGCTGTGGCCGCTGGCCAAGACCCTCGCTGCCCCTAGCCTGGCCCGGCCCCTCACCCACCCTCCCAGGCCTGGCAGGTCTGGCTTTAAGACCCCCGATTCCCTACATTCCTAATCAGTGGCACTGGGACTGTGGTGACTGATGGACAGAGTCAAACTGAGCTTCTGCCGTGACCCAGGGGAAATGGCTCAGACCTGTCCTTTGCCGCCAGGGCTGGTGTCACCAGGGCCTGAGAAGCAGGTGCCAGCCCTGGGTAAGGGCAAGGGAGGTGACACGGTGTCGCTTGCCCGAGCAAGGCCCCTGCAGCCAGGCTCTGAGCCCATCTGATGCTGTCACCGACTCGCCGCCTCTGCTGCCCGGAGACCCAGCTCTTGTGTGACCCATGGAATCCTCAGGGGGACAGCAGTGCTGGAGCGTGGCTGCTGTGGCATTTCCTGCTCAGGGCAGAGGCGGACGCTGCCCCAGGCCTGGGTGTGGGGAGCGCCCTGGGGAAGCGTGAGGGGGACAGTGGTTGGAAGGAAGGGCTGGGCCGCACCTGGGTCTGTGGAGGGGTCCTCCCGCATCAGAGGTGAGGTGACAGATATGGTGACCTGCATCCTGGGCTCCTCACAGGAGGAGATGACAATGTTGGCTTCAGGGTCGGAGGAGACCTCATACTCATCCTCGGTCACCATCTGGGAGGGGTAAATACAACACAAGGCCACCTTACTGCAGCCCAGATTCATGTGTAAATCAGCCAGGATGTGGTTGGTGTGTGTAAATTAATCCCGTCGGGCCTCCCACACTTGCTGCCTGGGTGCCGGGCCCTGTGCCCTGTGTCTGGAACCTCCAAGTGACCAAGACACAGCCGCAGCCCTCCAGGAGTGCACACATGTAGAGATATGTACAGACAACAGATCATGTGATGCAAGGAGCCTCCATATGTAAAGAATACCTGTAATTCAATAACAAGAAGACCAGCAATCCAATAAAAAAATTGGTGAGTGAAATAACAGATACCTGGCAGAAAAAGAAACACAAATGGCCCTTTTTACACAGTGACACACATTACCCCATAGTCAGGGAGGAGTAAACTAAAACCATAATGAGACGCCACCATCTCCTGTGAGCAGGACATAGCTCAAGAGGTCTGTGTCACAGTCTGGTCTTCCTGTCCATGGTCATCACCCTCCATGAGGCCTGTGCTCACACCTGAGCCTGGCCTCCCACCTGAAACGCACCTCTCTCCCCATCCTCCATCCCTTCCCTTCTCAGGGCCTCCCTGCTGCAAGGCAGCCCCCAGGGGGCTCCGTTGACATTACTGGGGTGGATGTTGTCAGCTTCCCCACAGCCTTATACATTCTCATGGGGCTCAGTTATTGTCTTTGCCACCAGGCTGCAAGTTTTCCAGAAAGCAGGGGCTGTATCTATCATGTTGTGGCCACTGTCATGTTGTAGGTGTGCAGGAAATGTGAGATGCAATTATTGAAGTCAGAGCATGTCACTCCCCTGCTCAAAACCCTCCAGCCTCCCCACTTCCCTAAGAATGCAATCCTACCTCCTGGTACGGCCTTCAGGCCTGGCTTGATCTAGGTGCCCCCTCATTCCCTCGTGCCCACCCCTCCTTGCTCTGGGCCTCCTGCTTTTTGGCCTCTGCAGGTGCTGGTCATTCTATGGGGAACACTGTCTCCCCGACCAGGCACTGCCCATCCACTGGGCATCCAGTGCCCACTGGAAAAGTCAAAGGAGTAAGGCTGAGTTTTCCCAGGGATGGTGACAGACGCTCAGGAAGAAGGAACGACTCTGGGGACTGATTTTTCATTTTTCTTTCTTTCTTTTTTTTTAAGACAGAGTCTTACTCTGTGGCCCAGGCTAGAGTGCAGTGGCACTATCTCTGCTCACTGCAACCTCTGCCTCCAGGGCTCAAATGGTTCCCCTCCCTCAGCCTCCTGAGTAGCTGGGATTACAGGCGCCCACCACCATGCCCGGCTAATTTTTGTATTTTTAGTACAGATGGGGTTTTACTATGATGGCCAAGCTGGTCTCGAACTCCGGACCTCAGGTGATCCACCTGCCTTGGCCTCCCAAAGTGTTGGGATTACAGGCATGAGCCACCACGCCAGGCCCGATTTTTCTTTTTAAACCTAAGATGATCAATGTAAATTCTTCAGTATGAGAAGAGTATATGAAAATTCTCTAGAGGAAAAAAATTCAGTTGACATTTCACAGCCCTAAAATTGAAATTGGGTTTTTGCTTTTCTTACGGCTTCCTAGTCGCCATTGCTGCGAATGTTTTCTGTGCAGCTTTCATCATCATTTACTCTTTTTGAATTTCTTTTGAGACTGAGTTTTGCTCTGTTGCCCGGGCTGGAGTGCAGTAGTGAATCACAGCTCACTGAAGCCTCGAACTCTTGGGCTCAAGGGATTCTCCCGCTTCAGCTCCCTGAGTAGCTGGGACCACAGGTACATGCCGCCATGCTCAGCTAATTTTTTTTTTTTTTTTTTTTAGACGGAGTCTCGCTCTGTCGCCCAGGCTGGAGTGCAGTGGCGCGATCTCGGCTCACTGCAACCTCTGCCTCCCGGGTTCATGCCATTCTCCTGCCTCAGCCTCCCGAGTAGCTGAGACTACAGGCGCCCGCCACCACGCCTGGCTAATTTTTTTTTTGTATTTTTAGTAGAGACGGGGTTTCACCGTGTTAGCCAGGATGGTCTCGATCTGCTGACCTCGTGATCTGCCCATCTCAGCCTCCCAAAGTGCTGGGATTACAGGTGTGAGCCACCCCGGCTGGCCCATGCTCAGCTAATTTTTAAGTTTTTTGCAGATACAGGTTCTCACTATGTTGCCCAGGCTGGTCTCAAACTCCTGGACTCGAGTGATCCTCCTGCCTCAGCCTCTCAAAGTGCTGGGATTTCAGGTGTGAGCCACCATGCCTGGCTAACAAACTGGTTGGTTTCTAACAGCGATGCTTCTTCTTGTATCTTTTTTTTTTTTTTTTTTTTGAGACCCAGTCTCGCTCTGTCGCCCAGGCTGGAGGGCAGCAGTGCAATCTCAGCTCAGTGCAACCTCTGCCTCCGGGATTTAAGTGATTCTCCCACTTCAGCCTCCCACATAGCTGGAATTACAGGCACATGTCACCAGGCCTGGCTAATTTCTGTATTTTTAGTAGAGACGGTGTTTCACCATGTTGGCCAGGCTGGTTTCAAACTCCTGACCTCAAGCGATCCACCTGCCTCAGCCTCCCTAAGTGCTGGGATTACGGACGTGAGCCACTGCGCCTGGCTTAATGCTTCTTGTACCTTAAAGTTGTGTAGTAACAAAGGTCCCCTGCCATCTAGGAGCGCAAGGGGCTGCGGGGAGAGGGCTGGCAGCCAGACGCCAGAAGCAGCGATGAGCAGGGCCCTGACCTTACCTGGAGCTGCCGGGGCAGCTGCTGGGCGATCCTCCGCAGCAGGCTGTGCGTGGGCTTCTCGGAGCAGAGCAGAGCGAGGCGCACGTTCCTGTCCCCACGCAGGAGGAGGCCTTTCGCCAGGATGCCTACTCGCATGACGCCTTTCAGGACCCGAGTCTGGGGGGCAACGCTGCTGTGGGGACAAAGCCACAGACGTGCGCCATCAGCGGAGAGACGCGGGGTACCCCAGCTGCCTCCCTCCTGAGCTACGGGGACCCTGCAAGTTACAGAGCCTCTCTGTGCCTCGGCATCCTCATCCATGAAATGGGACCAGGCCGCTCTGTCGGAGGCGCTTGCGGGATGAAATGAGACACCGTGAGATCGATCTCGGAGGTGCTGTCACCGGGCATGCCTCGGAGTAGCCGGGACGCGTGGCCAAACCCACATTTTCCTTCCTTGTGAGCAAACGCTAAGCCCCAGGCCCGCCCCGCGAGGTCTGGTGGCTCCCGCGTTCACGGACTCTGTCACCCTGTTGTTTCGGCTCCACATGGGTTCCAGAGAGGACAGAAAGCAAGGCTGCTTTCTGCTCTTGCTTCACGGGGGTTAAGAAAATTCACAAACCTAGGCCGGGCGCAGTGGCTCACGCCTGTAATCCCAGCACTTTGGGAGGCCGAGGTGGGCAGATCACTTGAGGTCAGGAGTTTGAGACCAGCCTGACCAACATGGCGAAAACCCATCTCTAATAAAAATATAAGAATTAGCCAGGCATGGTGGCGGGTGCCTGTAATCTCAGCTACTTGGGAGGCTGAGGCAGGAGAATCGCTTGAACCCAGGAGATGGAGGTTGCAGTGAGCCGAGATTGTGTCACTGAACTCCAGTTTGGGAGACAGAGCAAGACTCCATCTCAAAATAATGATAATAATAATAATAATAATAATAATAATAATAATAATAATTAGCTGGGTGTGGTGGTACATTCCTGTAGTTCCAGTACTTGGAAGGCTGAGGCAGGAGAATCACTTGAACCTGGGAGGCAGAGGTTGCTGTGAGCCGAGATCGCACCACTGCACTCCAGCCTGGGCAACAGAGCAAGACTCAGTCTCAAAAAAGAAAAAAAAAAAAAAAAAAGGAGAGGGCAGCTTCCTGGGCGCTCCTTGTATTGGGACACTTTGCAACCCACAGGTGCAAGGCTCACATTTCCTATATGGAGCTCTGTGCTCCAGCAAAAGGAAGCCCTCAGGCCAAGTGGATCAGCCAGACACAAAAGGCCACACGGTGTGCGACCCCATTTCTATGAACTGTCCAGCACAGGCCAATCCACAGAGACAGGGCGGGCACGCATGGGTGCACGAAACAAAAAGAGGAGTTTGCTTAATTGGGACAGAGCTTCTGTTTGGGAAGATGAGACAGCTGTGGAGATGGACAGGGGTGTAGTTTGCACGTGTGAACGTGCTTCATGCCCCTGAACTGTGCACTTAGACAGGTTAAAATGCTCAGTGTTGTGTGATGTGGATTTTACCACAATAGAGAAGCATTCAAAGAGGAAAGTGAACCCGTAATCCCGGCACTTTGGGAGGCCGAGGTGGGAGGATCGCTTGAGCCCGGGAGTTCAAGACCAGCCTGGCTAACATAGCGAGACCTCTCCCTGCTACAAAGAGTTAACAATTAGCTGGGTGTGGTGGTGGGCGCCTGCAGTCCCAGCTACTCGGGAGGCTGAGGCGGGAGGACAGCTTGAGCCCGGGGGTCTGAGGGTCAGTGAGCTCTGATCGCGCCATTGCCCTCCAGCCTGGGTAACAGAGTGAGATCTGTTTCTTAAAAAACAAAACAAACAAAAAAACAACAACAACAAACAGCAGCTGCCAGAGCAGGAAAGGACTTTGAAAAAAGGTAACTCCCGCTCAGATGAGTTATCTCCATGGCAATTACTTAGACGACGTGGGGACTTTCTCACTTCCTAAGAATCACAGGGGTTGGGAGCTGATTCACACGGGCACTCAGTGACATGAACTACTCTGATTACTCAGTCACTCCCCAAGGCGGAGAAGTCCGTCAGAATCACGCTCAGCTTTTCCTTTTGCCAATGAGGAAACTGAGGTTTACAGAGACTGTCAGTCCCTTGTGAACTATTTTTAGATGCGCCTTCAATAGCAAAAGGGAATGCTAAGGCATTAGAACAGCACGGATCACCCGCTGCAAACCAGCCTCGTTCAGTGCCGAGAAGCTCCAGCTCTGAGACCTGGGGAACTTCCTACTCCTGGGGCTGGAAAGCTGCCGCGGGCCACCGACGGCTCCAGGCCCATCAGAGCTAGGGGTTCCTGCAGGGTCTCGTCCCGAGGAGCTGACCTCTGTCCTGGCTGAGAGCCGGGCCCTGGGGAAGGGGATCTCCAATGACCTGCGCTTGTCACCCTCTTCCTCTCGGCGGCCCCGGTCCTCCTCGGCCAGTGTGTCGGACACCAGCTTGAGGGCCCGCTCTGCGTGGGACACGGCCCTCTGCACGGCCAGGAGCTCCTGCTCCGTGGGGTAGATGGTGGCGTGCTTGCACATGACGTGCCGGTCGTCGCTGGACGCCGGCCGCCGCCCGGGCTGTGGGGAGAGGCCGCACGTGTCAAGGGTGGTCTGTGGGGACCCTTGGGGAGTGCTGGGCAGGCGGGCAGGTGGGGGCAGGTGGCCGTGGCCAGCCAGGTTACGAGGCGGCAGCGTGGCCAGGTGAGAATCCAGTGCACACAGAGAGCCCCGGGGTGGGGAACAGGGAAGTACCTCGGGCTGCCCCGATGGCTGCAGGAAGCTCGGGTCTGAGTGAAGGAATGGGGGGAAACTCCGCCACCTTTGGCCATATTCTTAAATTTCCAGACCAGAGGCTTTTGAGTCAGCCTGGGAACCCTTTCTCACAGCAAGGTGCAAATCCGAGGTTCCCATTGAGGCCGGGCGCGGTGGCTCACGCCTGTAATCCCAGCACTTAGGGAGGCCGAGGCGGGCGGATCACCTGAGGTCAGGAGTTCCAGGCCAGCCTGGCCAACATGGTGAAACCCTGCCTCTACTAAAAACACAAGAGAGCCCGGCGTGGTGGCGGGCGCCCATAGTCCTGGCTACTCAGGAGGCTGAGGCATGAGAATCGCTTAAACCCTGGAGGCAGAGGTTGCAGTGAGGCCACGATTGCACCGCTACACTCCAGCCTGGGCGACAGAGTGAGACTCTGTCTCAAAAAAAAATAGTTCCCATCGAACCTGGGGGCTCGGGCTGCGGGGACAGGTGCTTCTGAGAAGAGACAGTAGTAGCCACAGAGGCATGAGGCTCCCCAAGGGAGGCGACCACCCGGGGCTCCAGGAAGCAGAAGGGATCTCTGTGGCCAGTGGCAGGGGCTGGGGTGCTGGGGCTCCCATCTGTGGAGTGAGGAGGCCTGGGCCATGGAGCCCCATCCCCTGAGTACTATGTGGGAGTTGGGGGGAGGCCGGGTCCTCCCGAGGAGGTGTCCGCTGCTCCGGGGAGTGTGAGGTCGCCCGCGTTTGCACACAGAGGAAACTGTACCTACCTGGAGTGGGGCGCTGGCGGGTGACTCCGGCCTGCCCATGAGCAGAGGCTGGGCCCAGTCGGGCGGCGCGTGGGGCGGCACGTCCTGGGGTGGCTCCTCCTCCAGCCGCCTGCAGGACCGAGACGTGACAGAGCATGGTCAGGCCAGCAGTGGCCCTAAGCTGGGGGCAAGTCAGAAACACTGGGGCCTTATGCTCCCAGCAAGGAAGGAAGGGCCAAAGCTCTTGCTGGGGCTCCACTGCACTGCATGGGTGCCTGCTGTATGCACAGAAGACTGAGGCTGGGAAGGCTGGTGTGGGGGGCAGCCAAAGACACCCCTTAGGCAAATGAGGCCCAGCCCGGGCAGCCATGGCCTTCAGGAGGTCCTGGTTCCCTTCCCAATGCAGACCTGCTGCTGCTGGACACACCAGAGTCAGATGTTACATCAGAAAATGCTCTAGGATGGACACAGGGGACACTGGGAATGAGGGGACGCTAGGGGATCAGGGGGACACAGGAGACTCCAGGGGTCAAGGGGACTCAGGGGATACCAAGGGTAAGGGGACACAGGGTCATCAGGGGTCAGGAGACACAGGAACACCAGGGGACAGAGGGACACCAGGGGTCAGGGGGACTCCAGGGGTCAGGGGTCACATGGCACACTAGAGGTCGGGGGACACAGGGACACCGGGGGTCGGGGGACACAGGGACACTAGAGGTCGGGGGACACAGGGACACTAGAGGTCGGGGGACACAGGGACACCGGGGGTCGGGGGACACAGGGACACTAGAGGTCGGTGGACACAGGGACACTAGAGGTCGGGGGACACAGGGACACTAGAGGTCGGGGACACAGGGACACCGGGGGTCGGGGGACACAGGTCACAAGGCACCTCTGCAGCCGTGTGGTCCAGCGAGTTGGCCGGCAGTGTCCCTGCGTCTACGGAGGCCCTGGAGCCCACGTGTCAGGTCCGCACGCCACTGTGCCCTTGCCCGTCTGCTCTGGAACCCTCTCACGCTCCCACACCAGGACGTGCCCACTGCCCGGGCACCCGTCTCCCCCCACTGCTCGAGAGCTCACACGGAGGAGCTCCGTAATCTGCAGCAGTGGGCGTCTAGGTTCCACGCTGGACCTGCCCTCCCTCACCAGGCCCCCTTGCCAAGACCCGCAGCCGGGCACCTCCTCTCCGCGTGCCAGCGCCGCAGCTGCTCCAGCCGCTCCTCCGCCAGGTGCCGCTGCTTCCTCATGCGCTCCTCCAGGACCTTCCGAGCCCGGCTGCTGGGCTCCGTGGCAATGGGAAGGTCCGGGTTCACTTTCTTCTGGAAAGGACAGGCAAGGCTCTGAGAGTAGGGACCTTGCTTTAGACAGGGATGCCAGGAGGATCTTGGGGTGCAGGGAGAGGCCCAGAGACTAGAACTGTTGGGCTGAAAAATCTCCCAAAGCCTTTTTTTTTTTTTTTTTTTTTTTTTCGAGACAGAGTCTTGCTCTTGTCTCCCAGGCTGGAGTGCAATGGTGTGACCTCGGCTCACTGCAACCTCCGCCTCCCGGGTTCAAGCGATTCTCCTGCCTCAGCCTCCCGAGTAGCTGGGATTACAGGTGCGCACCACCACACCTGGCTAATTTTTGTATTTTTAGTAAAGATTTCACTATGTTGGCCAGGCTGGTCTCGAACTCCTGACCTCAAATGATCCACCCAACTTGGCCTCCCAAAGTGCTGGGATGATAGACGTGAGACACCGCGCCCGGCCGAAGATACACTTTTGAGACGAGGACCAAGACGTTGAAAACCCAGAAAATCACCCCTCCCTCTTAAGTTCGTCGGATCACACGCGCGGAAGAGGCCCGACCACAGGCCTCCCAGCGCCCGCCGGGCCCTAGCACAGCCCGGACGGGTGTCGGAGCTCCCCCTGCTGGACGCACCCGGTACTGCAGCCGGTGCCGCCGCCCCCTCACGTGCAGGTCCTTCGCGTTAAGGTCGTTGAAACTGCACTCGCACAGCTTGCAGTGGAAGCGAAGCACTCGCCCTTCGTCGCTGAACACCTGAGACACAGAACAGCCGCACGCGCACCAGGCACGAGGCGGGGTGGGATGTGAGATGCTACCGCTGCCAGGTCGCGGCGGAGCCTTCCTCCTTGCTGCTCATTTTATTTATGTATGTCTTTTTAGAGACAGCGTCTTGCTGTGTCACCCAAGCTGGAGTGGAGTACAGTGGCTCGGTCTTGGCTCACTGCAGCCTCAAACTCCTGGGCTCAAGCGATCCTCCCACCTCAGCCTCCCGAGTAGCTGGGACCACAGGCACACGCCACCATGGGAGGCTGGAGGATTGCTTGAGCCCAAGAGTTCAAGACCAGCCTGGTCAACATAGCGAGACCCCCATCTCTACAAAAAAAATAAAAAATACAAAAATTAGCTGGGAGTGGTGGCTCATGCCTGTAGTCCCAGCTACTCAGGAGACTGAGGTGGGAGGATTGATTGAGCCCAGAAGTTTGAGGTTGCAGTGAGCCATGATGGCACCACTGTGCTCCAGCCTCGGTGACACAGCAAGACCCTTTCTCTTAAAAGAATCCCAGGCCTACAGGCAAGGCAGAGGAAACCCAGCCCTGCCTCTTTGGCACGCACAAGGCCAACCGGGGTCTGAACTGCCGCTGGCCTGGGAGCTGGCAGACCTGGCCCAGGAGCTCGGCTCCACTGCTCACCAGCCTGACCTTGGCAGGTCCCAGGGTCCCGCAGGCCCAGGAAAGGGGCTAGACAGAAGGGCTTCCAACCTCCCGGGGAGCTTTCTACTGCCCAGATCCCTTCCACCTTCCAGACAGACGGCTCCGCAGGGTCCCCTGTTGGGAATGCCTCGGCCTGTCTCTGGCCCTCACGGGGCCATATTCATTTCCTGCTGATACCAAAATCCGGCACCCAAAGTGTCAAGCGGGTCTGCACGGGGTTTTGGTCCATGGAGGTCTGGCCTGTGCAGCTCAGGAACGGGGATGGGTCTGTAAATCTCGCTGGGAGAAGCCGGGTGAGGTCTCGAAGCCTGATCCATGGGAAGGTCCTTCCCTGACCGGGGCACCAGGACTTGACAGCCTCGACTTACCTCCTCCACATATTCCGGGCCCACCGGCTGCGCATCAGAGCAGCCCGCGGGAGCTTCCTTTGAGCCTCCTTGGGTAGGTGCTCCGGGACCCTCTAATTTAGGTTGGGCTGGTTTCCCCCACTGGGGTCTGCAGCCTGCTGCCTGTGGCTCAGGAGGCCCTGAGGGGAAAAACCATGTCACTTATACCCTGTTCCAGGAGAAAGCACTGCAGCTGCAGACCCGCCAGGCGGCATGGGGTGGAGAGCCACCCAGACTGCAGGCTGTGCCATCCCCCTCCCTCCTGTGATGTCAGGGGGAATGGCCCCGGACAGCAACCTCGCTCTCCCTTTCATGCCTGCGTGTGACCCAGCCAAGAAACCGAGGCCAATTTCAATCCATCCGGGGAGAAGCCCTGGTTTTAGGCCCTCGCTTGAGGAACCCACCGACAGCACAAAATCCACAGTTAATAGACCATGAAGTATCAGGCGGACCAAGGCTCGCACTTAACCTACCCCCGTTAGGCGAAATGATGGAGCCTCGGGGGGAGACAAATATCTTTGTTATAAGAATGACTTGATGGTTTGATCTTCAAAATCATGTTGCTATTCAAGAATCAACGCTGCTGAGGCTAAAAATAGAATGTGGCTCCCTCGACCCCTGCCCACGCACAGCACGGTGGTCCAGGGCAGAGACTCTTAGACAGACCCGGGTTCCAATTCCACCTCCACCGTTTACGGCTTTTCCATCTACACATTGGGACTGGTGACAACATTGACTCAAATGAGTTGTGGGCTGGGCACAGTGGCTCATGCCTGTAAACCCAGTGCTGCGGGAGGCCGAGTTGGGAGGATCGCTTAAGCCTAGGAGTTTCCGACCAGCCCCAGCAACATAGCAGAACCCCACCTCTACAAAAAAAAATACAAAAAGTAGTGGGATGTGGTGGTGCACACCTGTAGTCCCAGTTACTCAGGAGGCTGAGCTGGGAGGATCGCTTGAGCCCAGGAGGTGGAGGCTGCAGTGAGCTATGATTGCACCTCTGCACTCCAGCCCGGGTGACACAGTGAGACTCTGTCTCAAAAACAAAACAAAACAAACCACGAAAAAAGAGTTGTCGTGGAGGTAAAGCGAAGCAATGCACACAAAGCAGTGAGCAGACGCCTGGCATGTAATCCTAGTTAACGCGGGTCAGCTCTGACAGCTGGGGCTTTGCACGCAGGGAAGGTAGGGTCACAGGCAGAGGGGTGTGAGGATTCCACCTTCATTTCCTGGTACCCATATAACTCTGATTCTGAGCCCAATTTGTTCACCGTGAGCACCAGGGCATGCAGGGGAGCACAGTGGAGGTGGCAGCCCAGGGAACCCTGTAGGTGCAGGGTGAGGGCTTCCAGAGAACCCCAGCACCCGGCACCAGGCCAGATTCTACCAGAAGAGGCCGGGCGCAGTGGCTTACGCCTGTGATCCCAGCACTTTGGAATGCCGAGGCTGGTGGATCACTTGAGGTCAGGAGTTCGAGACCAGCCTGGCCAACATGGTGAAACCCTGTCTCTACGAAAAATACAAAAATTAGCCGGGCGTGGTGGTGCATGCCTATAGTCCCAGCTACTCAGGAGGCTGAGGCAGGAGAATCGCTTGAACCCAGGAGGCAGAGGTTGCAGTGAGCTGAGATCGCACCACTGCACTCCAGCCTGGAGGACAGAGCGAGGCTCCATCTCAAACCAAAACAAAACAAAAAAACTCTACAGGAAGAAATGGCATTACCATTTTATTGGTTCTGCCAGCACTCTCTGGAAATGGTCTCAAAGGGTCTCCAAGGTTCAGGGCGGTGTGGGCCAGTGGGAGGCCATCTTGCTCTGCAGGAATAAGGGAGAGACGGCACCAGCCAGCCCCTCACCACCCCCCGGGAAGACATGACGAAAATCGACTGGATGGTAGATTTTCTCACGAAACTTTCACTAGGCGGCCAGGGCTCTGGTGGGTACACGAACACGCATACAGACACACGTACCCTCGCATAAGGCCTTCGAGGCCACGGGTCTCTTGGCCAGCGCTGGCCTGCTCGAGGCACACACGCTGGGGCCAGTGGGGGACGTGGGCTTGGCCTCTGCCCCGGGGGGGCTCTCTGTGGCCAGTGCAGGCTCGAGGGTGGGAATGGGCTTCCCCAGTTTGGCGTGCAGCTTGAAGACCTGCAACAGACAGAGCCGGGCTCCCGCGTGAGGGCCGCTCCCAGCCTGATGGCCTTTTTCAAGAGGCAGGAAGGGCCTCCACGGGCGTGCAGCGCGAGTGTGGGCTGGCCGGTCCCAGGGACCCCCCTCTCTTCTCTCCTCCTGCTCTCTGGATAACACCCACTCCAGAAGGCCCTTCCCAGGTGGCCTCCTGCCTTGCACACGTGCTTGTGACTTCTCTAGCACGGTGACACTCCTCTAGTGTGTGAGCACGTGGCTCACCGGCTCACACGGACGCTCTTCCTCCTCCTCCACCACGTGGGCTGCCAGGTGGGGCCGTTTCTCAGCCTCCCAAGCCCCAGCCTAGTGCTCCCTGACTGCCCGGGACTCAGCATGTGTGGATGGATGGTGGGTGTGCACGTGTCCCTGGACGGACACCCACGTTCTGCACGCACGTGTGCACATGGTCACGTCCGTATTCTGGCCGTGCCCCATTCTCAGCACCTCTAGGTACAAGGTGTTTCTGGCAAAGGTTCCGTGTGCACAGGGCCACTGTGTGTGTGCTGGGGACCATCTCAGACACACTTCCCAGCTCTGTCTCTGACACGCTGTACCCTGGTACAAGACCTGCCCTGTACCCCCCAACCCCACAACGGGCAGCAGGGCCTGCCTGACCCCCAGACTGAGCCCCAGCCTGTGGGGGTGACACCTGCAGCTCTGCCCCACCGGCCCCTAGCTCTCCGGTCCCCAGGCCAAGTCTCCTTCCCCCGTTTCTCTGCCCCGCTCCTTCCCTCCTCCATGCCTCCCTGCTCATTCCTCTTTCCCCTGTGGGTTCACACGGGCCCTCAGCAAGCTGTCCTGAGCCGAGCCAGGGAATGAGGCCCTGGATGAGCCTCCAGGCAGCTGGGGGAGAGAAGCCAGGTCCTCAGCCAGGCCTCTCAGGGTGGCTCAGCCTGACAGCCCGGGCTACAGCACAAGCCAGCTGTCCCCTCCCTGCTCTCAGGTGGGGACTCCATCCCCTCCCCGCCGAACATGACGAAACCCAGGCCTCTTTTTTTTTTCTTTTGGCGACAGAGCCTTGCTCTGTCGCCCAGGCTGGAGTGCGGTGGCGAGATCTCAGCTCACTGCAACCTCCACCTACCGGGTTCAAGCAATTCTCCTGCCTTAGCCTCCTGAGTAGCTGAGATTACAGGCACGCACCCACCACGCCCGGCTAATTTTTGTATTTTTCAGTAGAGACGGGGTTTCACCATGTTGGCCAGGCTGGTCTCAGGCTCCCAACCTCATGCGATCCACTCGCCTCGGCCTCCCAAAGTGCCGGGATTACAGGCGTGAGGCACCACGCCCGGCCTGACCCAGACCTTACTAAGGCCTCAGGAGAACAGTGATACTACAGCAGGGAGTGTGAAGAGCAAGACCTCAAAGGGAACACAGCATTGGGTCTCATCACAGGGCAAGCCCTGTCTGTCACCACGCCCGAATGCCAAGCTTTCTTGGAAGTCCGGGTGTGAGTGTCTCGGCCACTTCATGTTTTTGTGCAATGAGCAGGAACCCTTTTTATAAGTGGAAAGGAGTCCCCGCACGGTGGCTCACGCCTGTAATCCCGGCACTTTGGGAGGCTGAGGCGGGCAGATCACTTGAGGTCAGGAGTTCGAGACCAGCCTGGCCAACATGGTGAAACCCCGTCTCTACTGAAAACACAAAAATTAGCCGGGTGCGGTGGCGGATGCCTGTGATCCCAGCTACTCAGGAGGCTGAGGCATGAGAATTGCTTGAACCCAGGAGGCAGAGGTTGCAGTGAGCCGAGATTGTGCCCCTGCATCCCAGCCTGGGGAACAGGACGAGACTTTGTCCCCATTAAAAAAAATAATAAAATGAAAACTAAAATAAAATAACTGGAAAGGAGTTTGGATCCTTGAAGATGAGGACGCATGGGCCTGGGCGGCTGGCCCTTGGGGCGCGCTCCACTTGGGGAGGCTTCTCCCAGCTCCCTCTGATCTCCCCAGGTACCTCTGTGGGTCCCAAGTGCTGACCTGGGGGCCTTCTCCCCAGGGTGGCAGAGCCTGGGCCGGGCGGGGCCGTACCTTCTGGTGCTTGGATCCCCGGATGTGGGCCGCGTAGGCGTCCGCCCCGGTGCAGGACACGGCGCACAGGTCGCAATGCAGCTGCGCCTGCACCCCGCGCGGGCTCCCGTTGGGCTGCACGCCTGTCTTCTGGGCCGCCTCCTTCTTTCTGTGCTTCTGCCCTCCCAGATGTTCCCGGTAGGTCTGCGGCAAGGGGTGAGAGGCAGCCTGGGCGGGGGTTTGCACACTGGCCACTGTCCCCTCCCCTGCAGGCCCCCGGCTTAGCGCGAGGGAACTCGGTGGTAACAGAGGCCCGCTGTCCCCAACCCTCCATTCCCTGGTGCCATGGAGGTTCCAGTGTCCCTTTATTTTTCTTATTTTTATTTTTTGAGATGGAGTCTCGCTCTGTTGCCCAGGCTGGAGTGCAGTGGCACGATCTCAGCTCACTGCAACCTCTGCCTCCTGGGTTCAAGTGATTCTCCCGCCTCAGCCTCCTAAGTACCTGGGACTACAGGCGGGTGCCACCACACCCGGCTAATTTTTGTATTTTTAGTAGAGACGGGGTTTCACTCTGTTGGCCAAGCTGGTCTCGAACTCCTGACCTCAAGTATCTACCTGCTTTGGCCTCCCAAAGTGCTGGGATGACAGGAGCGCACCACCGCGCCCAGCCTATCTTCTTACTATAGACGTCTCAAATTTTTTTTTTTTTTTTCGAGACAGGGTCTCACTCTGTCACCCAGGCTGGAGTGCAGTGGCGTGATCTCAGCTCACTGCAACCTCCACCTCCTGGGTTCAAGCGATTCTCCCGCCTCAGCCTCCCAAGTAGCTGGGACTACAGGTGCACACCACCACGCGTAGCTAATTCAAGTGTCCCTTTATGAAGCCCACGTAACAAACCCACAGGCTCAGACTGCTAGACATAAGGTTTCTTCCTTCTTCTGGAATTCAAGGAGTTTCTTTGGAAAGCATGCTCCATGCATCACACATTCCTTTTGGGGGCTGCTGTATACAGAAAATTCTGACTTCAGAATTCAACGTCAGAAACCAAGCAAGGGCACCTGCTGCCCGAAGGATAGTCACGTACACTTCCATCTTAGGAAACTGCTAATAGACACAGGGGCTCCACCCGGGGGAAGCCACCGTGAGTCACAGGCCTACGCATCCGGTACTACTGGGCCCAAAATATCTGATTGCGTCTGGGGAAGCGACAGCCAAGCCCTTAGGCAGAATCCTGGGTGTGCTGCTTGAAATCCTCAAATGAAGCCGGCCACAGACAAGACGTGGCAGGAGGGCCACGAAACCAACACGCCCTGACAATGCCAAGAATAAACATTCTGCAGACTGAAAAATGCCCCTGAAAATACTGGGGCACAGTGGGCACTGCCCCGTCACCTGCAGGCCACCGGCTTGGCACACAAGAACTCAGAGACATTGTCTGGTTTTAGGGAAGAAAAATAGGACGTGGGAGAGGCATACATTTTACTGTATGCATGCTCTCTGGAACTTAGGAATCTTTTTTTTTTTTTTTTTAAGACGGAGTCTTGCTCTGTTGCCCAGGCTGGAGTGCAGTGGCGCGATCTCAGCTCACTGCAGCCGCCGCCTCCCAGGTTCACGCCATTCTCCTGCCTCAGCCTCCCAAGTAGCTGGGACTACAGGCGTCTGCCACCACGCCTGGCTAATTTTTGTATTTTTAGTAGAGACGGGGTTTCACCATGTTGGCCAGGCTGGTGTTGAACTCCTGACCTCAGGCGATCCTCCCACCTCAGCCTCCCAAAGTGCTGGGATTACAGGTGTGAGCTACCACGCCCAGCCTGGAATTTAGCAGTCTTGAACCTCATAAATATATTACCTAAGCAATAGAATAAATACGCATCCCTGTGCACACATACTAACTTAGAAAGAGAGACTGCCTGTGGAATAGAGAAGACTCTGGAAGGATACACACCAAGATGCTACCGCTAAATCATTTCAGGGTGGAGGGATTATGGGGGACTATAGGTAGGTTTGTGTGTGTGTGTGTGTGTGTGTGTGTTTTGTTGTTGTTGTTGTTGTTGGTTTTTGGGGGGTTTTGTTTTTTTGTGGACAAAGGGTCTCGCCCTGTCGCCCAGGCTGGGGTGCAGTAGCGTGATCATAGCTCACTGCAGCCTTGGACTCCTGGGCTCAAACGATCCTCCCACCTCAGCCTTCAAAGTGGCCAGGACTATAGGTGCGTACCACCATGCCCAGCTAATTTTTAAATTTTTTTTAGAGACAGGGTTTCACCCATGTTGCCCAGGCTGGTCTCGAACTCCTGGGCTCAAGCGATCTACCGGCTTCGGCCTCCCAAGGTGCTGGGATTACAGGCATGAGGCACTGCACCCAGCCAGTAGGCTGTCTTTGTGCACTTTTGGCGTATACTGCAGTAATTAGCCACGTGGGCTTCAACACATCTTGGTTTGATTTCTGCCTGGGTCACTAAAACTGACTCTGAGTTCCTCAAAGTACTGACCCTTTCTGAGCCTCTGGGATTTTATCTGCCACACAGAGATGGTAGCCACAAGGCAGATATAAGGATTAAATAACCCACACGGGCCTGGCGCAGGGACTCAGCTTGTCATCCTGGCACTATGGGAGGCTGAGGCAGAAGAATTCCTTGAGCTTAGGAGTTCGAGACCAGCCTGGGCAACATAGTGAGACCCTGTATCTACAAAAAAATTTTTTTTTAAATAGCCAGGCATGGTGGTGTGCACCTGTAATCCCAGCTACTCAGGAGGCTGAGGTAGGAGGATCGCTTGGGCCCAGGAGTTCGAGACTGGACCTGGGCGACATAGTGAGACCCCATCTCTATTGAAAATTTAAAAAATTAGCTGGGCATGGTGGTTCGTACCTGTCTCAGCTACTTGGAAGGCTGAGGGGAGGATCACTTGAACCCAGGAGGTGGAGGCTGTAGCGAGCTGTGATTGTACCACTGCACCCTAGCCTGAGCAACAGAGCGAGACTTTGTCTCCAAAAGAAACTCAAACTTCTATGCGAGCACTCTGCAAAGAAGGCCGGGGTCTCTCCCAGCATGAGACACAGTGGAGAGCTGCTGGAGGAAAGAGTCTGAGACAGGGAAAGGGTGATCTGGGGCGGGAGGGGTCCTGAGCAGGGACCGGCCCCCCATCCCCAGCTGGGTCAGGGGTCCTGATAACGGTGTCCTGAGCCTTCTCACACCTCTCCAGAGTCTGCGATTGCAGACTCCGTGTCTCTCCGCGGTCCAGAGCTTCCTTTCAGAGTATTAAAAACAAAAGAAGATCAGGGTGTGTGTTTTGCAAAGACAGAGCTCTAGGGTCTAATTATCTTTCCAGGAATTGAGCCCACGATCTCAGCTGGGTGATTTGCAAGCTTTAAAATCTCAAGCTCGTGTGTTTGGTAAAGATTCTTTCACGTATGTCCCAAACAAGCACTGCCAAGCACAAGCACGCATGCACACACACACACGGGCGCATGCACACACATACACATGCAGGCATACATGCGCACACATACACACACGCACACACATGCACACACATACACACACGCTTGCACACACAGGCACATGCAGGCACACATGCGCACACATACGTGCAAGCACACATACATGCACACTCACGTTTGCACACACATATGCACACATATACACATGCATAAACACACGCACACATACACACTCACACTTGCACACACACACAAGCGCTTGCACACACAGGCCATGCATACAACATGCAAGTTAACACCAGACCTTCTTTCAGCAGGCAGCGACCCTGACCACCCCACCGGCGCCCACATTCGGGTTCAGACGTTGGGGACAGAGAGGTCCCTGGGGCCTGCCCATGGCAGGAGGGCGACTGACCTGGGGGCCAGCGCAGCTGATCTTGCAGATGTCGCAGTAGTGAAGCTGGAGCTGCCTGGGCCCCGCCTTGGGTCTCGGCAGCTTGCTGGGAAGCGGTGGCTTCGAGTCGGCCCTGGGGCTGCTTCCTGAGCCTGCAGGCGCGGGCGGCGGGGGCAGCTGCTGCGGGGGTCCCGGGGGAGGCGGGGGCTGCGCTGGAGGATAGAAAGGGCTGGCAGCGGAGTACACCGACGCGTCATAGTTCGGGTAGCTTGGTGCTGAGCAGCAGAGAAAACAATGAGTCGGGGGGAGATGCTGATTCCACTGAGTTGAAGTGGGGACCGACGGGCAGACCACCTGGGCAAGGAACGCTGGTCTTACCCGTGTAGGCGGTGCAGGTGGGGTTGTAGGAGGGCGGGGGGTAGGAGGTCACGATGGAAGCTGACGACTCGGGCTGGACGCCTGTCGCCGTGGGGTAGGTGTATCCCGAGGACAAGGTGCTCGCTGGCTGTCCGGACTCCACTATGGGCGCCTGCTGTGGGGGCTGAGCGTGGCTGTGACTGCCATGGGGGCTGGGCTGCCCGCAGGCTTCTTGGGTCCCTAGGGGACAGGGACAGGCCCTCTGCAGAGCCAACCCCCACCCCACTGTCCCTCACCTGCAGATGGGCCCTGGACTCAACTGGCTGGAACACGCTAGATGCTTAAGCCAGGACCAGAGGCCAGAGCCTTGGGCCAGGTGCTGGCAGCGACTCGCAGGTTACCTTGTGCCCACCTCTCCTTTCCAGAGCCCGGCTTCTCTCTCCTGCCATGGGGGAGGAGGGCTGTGGGTGCCCTAGACAAGCTCCTCTGCATCTCCAGCTCCATCACCCACAGAGCTCACCTCCTGCCACCCCGGGAAAGCTTCCTTGGAAAAAATGTTAGCTGCATTTTCAGTCCTCACTTTCCTTCATTCATAGGCCCACACCTGGCAGAGATCCCAGGGCCCATCTGAGCAGCCAGCTCTGAGGCTCACCTGCAAATCTAGGATGTTTTTATTATCATTATTATTATTTTTTTTTTTTTGAGTCGGAGTCTTGCTTTGTCACCAGGTTGGAATGCAGTGGCATGATCTCGGCTCACTGCAACCTCCACCTTCCAGGTTCAAGTGATTCTCCTGCCTCAGCCTCCCGAATAGCTGGGATTACAAGCATGCGCCACCCTGCCCGGCTAATTTTTCTATTTTTAGTAGAGATGGGGTTTCACCATGTTGGCCAGGATGGTCTCGATCGCTTGACCTTGTGATCCACCCGCCTCTGCCTCGCAAAGTGCTGGGATTACAGGCGTGAGCTGCTGCACCCGGCCTTTATTTTGTTTTTTTTTTTTATTTTTTATTTTTTAGAGACAGGGTCTTGCTCTGCTGCCCAGGCTGGAGTGCAGTGGTGCGATCACAGCTCACTGCAGCTCAGTTCCTGGGCTCAGGCGAACCTCCTACCTCAGCCTCCTGGGTAGCTGGGACTACAGGTGCACACCACCATGCCTGGCTAATTTTTTTGCATTTTTTGTAGAGACGGGGGTCTTACTATGTTGCCCAGGCTGGTCTCGAACTCCTAGGTTCAAGCAATTCTCCCACCTCGGGCCTCCCAAAGTGTTGGGATTACAGGCGTGAGCCACCGTGCCCGGCCTCTAGGATGGTTAACATGTAACTTTCACGGGGTGCAGTGGCTCACGCCTGTAATCCCAGCACTTTGGGAGGCCGAGGCAGGTGGATCACCTGATGTCAGGAGTTCAAGACCAGCCTGGCTAACATAGTGAAACCCCGTTTCTACTAAAAATAGAAAAAAATTAGCCAGGCATGGTGGCGCGTGCCTGCAGTCCCAGCTACTTGGGAGGCTGAGGCAGGAGGATTGTTTGAACCTGGGAGGCAGAGGGTGCAGTGAGCTGAGATCGCACCACTGCACTCCAGCCTGGGCAACAGAGTGAGACTCCGTCTCAAAAAAAAAAAAAAAAAAGAAAAGAAAAGAAAAGATGTAACTTTCAGGCCGGGCATGGTGGCTCACGCCTGTAATCGCAGCACTTTGGGAGGCCAAGGCGGGCGGATCACGAGGTCAGGAGATGGAGACCATCCTGGCTAATACTGTGAAACCCCGTCTCTACTAAAAATACAAAAAATTAGCCGGGCGTGGTTGCAGGCACTTGTAGTCCCAGCTACTCGGGAGGCTGAGGCAGGAGAATGGCTTTAACCTGGGAGGCGAAGCTTGCAGTGAGCCGAGATCGCACCACTGCACTCCAGCCTGGGCAACAGAGCGAGACTCTGTCTAAAAAAAAAAAAAAGTAAGTTTCCCAAGGTTTCCCTGTGCTGCGGGGAGCGTCTCCTCGTTCCCAGCCCCGACCCTGCAGATGGCTCACCTGGCTGGCCGGAGTCTGCGGCTGTCATGCGCCCAGACTGGAGGGCAGCAGACTGGAAGTACGGCCTGTCCTCATAGCTCCTGGCAGCTGCTGACTGTCCGTAGCTGTAACTGTCCTATGTGGGGGTTTCGGCAGGAGAGAGACAGAGAACGGAGGAGAGCAGCTCAGGCGGTGGGTGCGACGCGCCCTGCCACACTGCACTCTGCACTTAGTCCTTCCTGCAGCGCTGGCTCCTAAGCGTCTGCCCAGGACCAGGCCCTGGCCCGGAGGCAGGGGGCAGGGGGCAGGGGGCAGGGGGCAGGGGGCGTGGTTGACACAGCAGCTGTCATGGAGCCGACACTAATTTCCAAGAGTTCGACTGCAATTTACAAGAGGACGCTTGGTGCGGCAGGAGAGGGCGGGTTTGCAGGGAGAAGCCCCCGAGGCCTTGGCAAGGAAATGGAGAGGGGAGGAAGAGGGTGGGGTCAGGTGGGTGCTGAGCTTGAGTGACAGGGTGGCCTCTGATGCCGTTGACCGACACAATCTGGGGACGAGGTGCGGGTGGCAGAGCTGGGAAATTGGAGCATGGTCACGGGGGACATCTTTGCGACACCAAGTGGGAACACGGTGGCTGGATCTGCAGCCTGAGTGCCTCGGTTGGGAAGGTGAGGTCGTCAGCACCCAGGTGCACCCCACACACCACAGACTCCCTCTTAGAAGGTAGGAATCTGGAGCGTGGGGAAGGTGGGGTGAGTCCTGGTCTCTCTGGGCCCAGGTGGCCGAGGCCATCTGCCCTGACCAGGGAGGGGTCCTGTAACCCAGGCGACCCTCCTCCTCCTTCATAGTCACTGCTGAAGCTGGGACAAAGCTCTGTGCGCCGTCACTGTCCCCACTGCCCCGACGTGGAGGTACGCATGCGGCCTGTCCCCGAGAGCAGTGGATTCTTTCGGAAGCGACTCTGCCCTGATTTCTCCCCACCACGGGTACGCAATGCCAGCAGAAGGGTCCCGAAGGAAGGATCACGGTTAAGAGGCCTGGGAGAAGGAGTAGCTGTGGGAAGCCCACCGCTCTCACCCATGCAAGGCGACCCACGTTTCCCGGCAACGCTGGTCAAAGAAAGGACTGGATACCTGGTAGGTAGCCATGGTGGTGGCCGTGGGGACGGGCTCCTGGGGTCGGCTGCCGTAGGCGAAGTCCTGGCCGGAGTGGGGCTGGTATCCACCGTACCCTGCCGGGGCAGCTGGGGGAAAGGCCGGGTTCACGGCAGGGTCCATCCCAGGAGTGGGTTGTGCAGTATAGCTGGCCCCCACAGTGGGCAGGGGAAGGGTCGGAGGCTGGGCGCTAGAACCACAAACACACACCAAAGCCCCACCAGGTTAGAGCGAGTTCTCAGGTGCACTGAGTTGACGGTGTCAATTCCAGCCACCACTGGACCTGAGCTGCCCTGCTTGGTGGAGACCCTCCTAGGAGCCCAGGCACGGCCGGAAGCACTTTACACAAATTAACACCGTCTCACAACAACGCTGTAATGCTGGGCCTATCACTGCACCCAATTTACAGATGAAGAAACTGAGGCACTGTCAGTGGCAGAGCTGGGACTCGAACCCATCTGACTTCCGCTTTGCAGATGATCTACTTGTGTGGCAGGGCTTTTTCTCCATGTCAAGATTCTTCAAAGAAAATTGAACTTTTTTATTTTTTGAGACAGGGTCTCGCTCTGTTGCCCAGGATGGAGTGCAGTGGCACGATCTTAGCTCACTGCAACCTCCGCCTCCCAGGTTCAAGCAATTCTCCTGCCTCAGCCTCCCGAGTAGCTGGGACTACAGGCGCCCACCACCACGCCCAGCCTTTTTTTTTTTTTTTTGTATTTTTAGTAGAGACAGGATTTCACCGTGTTAACTAGGATGGTCTCAACCTCCTGACCTCATGATCTGGCCGCCTCGGCCTCCCAAAGTGCTGAGATTACAGGTGTGAGCCACCACGCCCGGCCAGAAAATTGAACTTTAACAGCACAGTGTCTGGCCGGGTGTGGTAGCTCATGCCTGTAATCCCAGCACCTTGGGAGGCCAAGGCGGGAGGATTGCTTGAGCTCAGGTGTTTGAGACCAACCTGGACAACATAATGAGACCTTGTCTCCACCAAAATTAAAAAAAAACAAACAATTAGCGAGTGTGATAGTACACGCCTGCAGTGCCAGCTACTCAGGAGGCTGAGGTGGGAGGATGGCTTGAGCCCAGGAAGTAGAGGCTGCAGTGAGCTATGATCTCACCACTGAACTCCAGCCTGAGCAACAGAGTAAGACTCTGTCTCAAAACAAACAAAACAAAAAACAGTACAGCTGTCCCTCACTATCTGCAAGGGTTGAGTTCCAGGACCCCCTCAGATGCCAAAATCCATGGATGCTTGAGTCCCTGACATAGAACGATATAGTGTTTGCATATAACCTAAACATATCATCCCATATACTGTAAATCATCTCTGGATTACTTATAATACCTAATACAATGTAAGCACTATGCCGATGGCTGTTACATTCCATTGTTTAGGGAACAATGAGAAGGAAAAACCCCATACATGTTCAGTACAGATGCATTTTTTTCCCAAATATTTTCCACCCTTGGCTGGTTGAATCCATGGATGCAGTGCCTATGAATGCGGAAGGCCAACCGTATTTTCTCTTTAAAAAAAAAATTTGTTTTTGAGAAAGGGTCTCGCTCTGTCACCCAGGTTGAAGTTCAGTGCTACGATCACAGCCCACTGCAGCCTCAACTTCCCAAGCTCAAGCAACCCTGCCTCAGCCTCTCAGTAGCTGAGAACACAAGTGTGAAACCATGCCCAGTTAATTCTTTAAAAAATTTTGGTAGAGGTGGGGTCTCACTATGTTGCCCAGGCTCTGACTGTATTTTTTTTAACAGAACAAGTCAGTCCACCTGAGTATTAAAATAATTACTTTAGTTAGCACTAAACTAATAACTCTTCACTAAAAAGAATGAGTCTTTGTAGGGTTTGCACAGTGCCGAGGCCTTTGTCCACATGGCCTCATTCACCCTTCAGAGGACATGCGGCACCATCGCTCCCCACGGTCTAGACGAGAAAACCTCCAAGGAGGACCAGGGGCTCATGTCAAGTGCAGGGGAGGGTTCAGACCCAGATCTTTCTGACCCCAATGCCCCTTGTTCAGCTAAATATCAGCTACCCAGTAGACAGTTCTGGAGTCTAAAAGCCCATTTGCCAGGGAAAAGTATCAGTAAAGATTTTAGCCCAATACCGCTATGGATATATATTAAAAAGTGAACCTCCAACCCCATAGGGGAAGGAGCAAGGTATGAGGGTCATTTTGGGGAAAATGGATTAGAAGGCAAAGAGGCTCTACACCACCTGGCCCCCAACCGGGCCCTGCTGTAGACTCCTGCCAGCCAGGTGAGTCATCCGCAGTGTCAGGGCCGGGGACAAGGAGACATTCTCTGCGGCACAGGAAAACCTCATGAAAGTTACAGCTTTTTTTTATTTTTTGAGACAGAGTCTCACTCTGTCACCCAGGTTGGAGTGCAGTGGTGCAATCTCGGCTCACTGCAACCTTTGCCTCCTGGCTTCAAGCATTCATTCCTCTAGCATTTTCACACACTTGTCCTGAGTGTCCACATGCTGGACATTCATGAACACCATGACTGTGGACACTTGATGGACACCATGACACAGACACCCGATGAACACCATGACCATGACACTCGATGAACACCATGACTGTGACACTCGATGAACACCGTGACTGTGGAACTTGATGAACACCATGACTGTGGAACTTGATGAACACCATGACTATGGGACACTCAAACACCATGACCATGACACTCAATGAACACCGTGACCGTGACACTCGATGAACACCATGACCGTGACACTCGATGAACACCGTGACCGTGACACCCAATGAACACCGTGACCATGACACTTGATGAATGCTGTGACTGTGGAACTTGATGAACACCATGACTATGGGACACCCGATGAACACCATGACCGTGACACTCGATGAACACTGTGACCGTGACACTCAATGAACACCGTGACCATGACACTTGATGAATGCTGTGACTGTGGAACTTGATGAACACCATGACTATGGGACACCCGATGGACACCTTGACTGTGACACTCAAACACCATGACTATGGACACTCGATGAACACCATGACTGTGACACTCAATGAACACCATGATTGTGACATTTGAACACCATGACTACAGACACCTGGTGAACACCATGACTGTGACACACGATGAACATGACTATGACACTTGATGAACACTATGACTGTGACAATCAATGGACACCATGACTGTAACACACGATGAATGTGACTGTGACACTTGATGAACACCGTGACTGTGACACACGATGAACACCATGACCGTGACACGTGATGAACACCATGACCGTGACACGCGATGAACACCGTGACCGTGACACTCGATGAACACCGTGACTGTGACACACAATGAACACCGTGACTGTGACACTCGATGAACACCATGACCGTGACACCCGATGAACATCCCGACAATACATTCGATGAACACCGTGACTACTGACATTTGATGAACACTGTGACTATGGACACTGAATGAACAGCATGACTACAGACACCTGATGAACACTATGACAGTGGCAGTACTCCTGTTCCCACACTCCCTCCCGTAGGTGGCTATGAAGAAAACAGAACTACAGAGTGAGTGCTATCCAGGCTGCACTGAGCACCGACCGATGAGCCAAAGAGAGGAAGGTGGAAGGTTCCATACGGGAGCTGGGGCAGAGCAGAGCTGGCCTCAGCTGTACAGCCCTTGCTGGAGACCACCCCAGCCCCTCACTCTCCTCCCTCCTCGCCAGCATTTCTTTGTCCTCCTGGCAGCCAGAGAGGGGTCTTTTCAAAGTACAGCCCTAACCATGCCATCTCCTGCTCAAAGCCCTCCCAAGGCCCTGCCACAGCCACATCCCACCGATCCCATCCCCCCGTGTCTATGGCTCCCGTCCCCGCTGCCTGCAAGTGGCTGCTCAGTGACACCCTGGGACGAGCCCTCCTGGAGCCCCTGTGGCCTGATGCTGATCAGCCTCTGTCCCCTGGTCCTGCTTTTTCTTCTTCCTGGCACCACCCAGTATACACTGCACGTCTGTCCACAGGCCGTCTCCTCCCTGGTCCCGATGCCCTGAGATGCAGGACCAGCTGCAGCTGCCCAGCTGTCTCCCGGGGCCGCGGCACGTGGCATGCAGCAGGGGCTCCATGCACATCTAGGGAGGTCAGGCACATGTGCTGAACGGCGCTTGTGTTGGGGAGGGCTCTGTCAGACACCTCAGCCTGTTTCTCCAAGATTCTCCTGAAGGACCAGAAATCGGCAGCTCTACAGAAGGATGGACATGTCCCCTGGGACCGCACACGCTCTGATCTGCACCATCGTGGGGTGTTTTCATCTCTCCCAGGAAAAGCAGAAGGGCCCTATCCATAAAGAAGAAACATTCAGATTCCACAGATCGGCCACTGTGAGATTTGTGTTTCTCTTCTGGAAGTCTCAGAGACTTTATTGGCCAAAAAGTCGATTAGGAAAGTGGTCCAGGCCGGGCACATGGCTCACACCTGTCATCCCAGTACTTTGGGAGGCCACGGCAGGCAGATTACCCGAGGTCAGGAGTTCGAGACCAGCCTGGCCAACATGGTGAAACCCCGTCTCTATTAAAAATACAAAAACTAGCCCAGTGTGGTGGTGGGTGCCTGTAGTCCCAGCTACTCAGGAGGCTGAGGCACGAGAATCGCTGGAACCCAGGAGGCGGAGGCGGAGGCTGCAGTGAGCCGAGACCGCTCCATTCCACTCCAGCCTGGGTGACAGAGCGGGATTCTGTCAAAAAAAAAAAAAAAAAAAAAAAAAAAAAAAAAAAAAAAAAAGCAGAAAGCAGTGATCAGTAGCTCTCTTAATCTCCTTGGGGATGACACTTCTTTTTTATGACAAAATATTTCAAACATAAAACCACTTAACAAACACATATCACTGAGATGGGTAAGTGCTAATGTTTGGCTGTATTTGTGTCAGAGCTTATTGTTTAAATACAGAGAATTGAAGCACCACCTGGATCCTATTCCTTTTTCTTCCTCCCTAGGGTTGGTGGCTGTCTTGTCTAATCATGATTCTTAGACTTTTAACTACATATGTATGAAGGTTTTGTTTGTTTGTTTCAGAGACGGGGCTCGCTTTGTTGCCCAGGCTGGATGGAGTGCAATGGCGCGATCACAGTTCACTGCAGCCTCTAACTCCTGGGCTCCGTATGAATCTGTATACAACACGGTGTTGTGTTTTTCAGTTACATGTGTGCAAAATGATGTTCTTATTGTGTATGTCACCCCGCAACTCGCTTCTCCAATGCCCGGCAAACCTTGTCTGAAATGTACTGATACGAGTCCACACGGTTCACTGATTTTAACTCCTTCTTCCCTACGCTGTCCTCCTACCTGGACAAAGGATCCTCTGCCCAGGCCCTGCATCTTAGAGTTTCATCGCCCAGTACAGAAGCAGCAGCCACACGTGGCTGAGCTCTTTTTTGTTTGCTTGTTTTACTTTTTTTTTTTTGAGACAGTCTTGCTCTGTCGCCCAGGCTGGAGTGAAATGGTGTGATCTCGGCTCACAGCAACCTCTGCCCCTCGGGTTCAAGCAATTCTCCCACCTCAGCCTCCCAAGTAGCTGGGATTATAGGCACCTACCATCATGCCGGGCTAATTTTTGTATTTTTGTAGAGACGAGGTTTCACCATGTTGGCCAGGCTGGTCTTGAACTCCCAACCTCAGGTGATCCACCCGTCTCAGCCTCCCAAAGTGTTGGGATTACAGGCATGAGCCACTGTGCCTGGCCTGATTGTTTTAGATATGAGGTCTTGCTCTGTCGCTCAGGCTGGAGTGTAGTGACGTGATCATAGCTCACTGTAGCCTCGAAACTCCCAGGCTCAAGTGATCCTCCTGCCTCAGCTTCCCAAGAAGCTGGGACCACAGGCATGCACCATCACACAAGGCTAATTTTGTTTTTTTGGGGTAGAGATGGGGTCTTGCTATGTTGCCCAGGATGACCTCCAACTCCTGGCCTTATGCGATCCTCCTGCTTCAGCCTCCCAAAGTGCTGGGATTACAGGCCTAAGCTAGGCTGAGCACTTAAAATATGGCTTGTGCAGCTGAGGAACAGAATGTTAAATTTTAAAATTTGTTTCATTTCAGTTAATTTAGATTTTGATGGCCATGCATGGCTGGTGGTGACCGGGGGCCAGCATGGATCTAGGTCACGCCGGTCACTGCACAGATCACACACATACACACACACATGTGCATGAGTGAAGAAGCACATGGTGACTCGGTGCCTTGTTCGCTCTAGGTTGGCCACGGTTCAGGGCCCGGGAGACCCAGGCCCCATCTCTGGCTCTACACCATGAAGGCAAAAGGCGACCACGTCAGAATGCTTGCAAAGTTTGAGGATTCTGCCTCCCAGCTACAGAGAGAGCTCCAACGTGGTTTCAGAGTGCAAGGAGGGTGGAGGAAAGACCACCCCCTTCGCAAACCCTCCTGTTGGGAACACGGCCGGCAACGGGTCTTGGAGAGGAGGCCTCACTCCTCGGCAGGGCCATGGGGCCGTGGCCTTCCTCTTCTGTGGGTCTGATTTGTGGTCTCAGATGCACCCATGGATCTGTGTGTTCAAAGCATGGTTCTGGCAACTGAGGAGCATTTTGTAATATGCAGGTGCGGTGGCTCACCCCTGTAATCCCAGCGCCTTGGGAGGCTAAGGCGAGAGGACTGCTGGAGCCCAGGAGTTCGAGACCAGCCTGGGCAACATAGCCAGACCCTGTCCCTACAAAAAATAAAAAAAAATTAGCCGGGTGTGGTGGAGCACCTGTAGTCCCAGCTACTCGGGAGGCTGAGGTGGGAGGGTCACTTGAGCCCAGGAATTTGAGACATAGCCAGACCCTGTCACCACAAAAAATTAAAAAAATTAGCTGGGTGTGGTGGGGCACCTGTAGTCCCAGCTACTCAGGACTTGAGGCGGGAGGATCGCTTGAGCCCAGGAGTTTGAGGCTGCAGTGAGCCATGATTGCACCAGCGTACTCCAGCCTGGGCCACAGAGCTGGACACTGTATTGAGACAGAGTCTCACTCTGTCGCCCAGGCTGGAGTGCAGTGTCACAATCTTGGCTCACTGCAACCTCCACCTCCCAGTTTCAAGCAATTCTCGTGCCTCAGCCTCCCAAGTAGCTAGGATTACAAGCGTGAGCCACTGTACCTGGCCAAAATCCATAATACTCTTAAACTTGTAGGTCTGATGTGTCACAGGTAAAGCAGAGTGACTTTTTTTTTTTTATTTTTTTGAGATAGGGTCTGGCTCTGTCACCCAGGCTGTAGTGCAGTGGCATGATCATACCTCACTGCAGCCTCCAACTCCTGGGCTCAAGAGATCCTTCCACCTCAACCTCCTGAGTAGCTGGGACTACAGGCGTGCACCACCATGCCTAGCTAATTTTTTTATTTTTTGTAGAGATGGGGGTCTTGCTGTGTTGGCCAGGCTGGTCTTGAACTCATGAGTTCAAGTGATCTGCCCGCCTCGGCTTCCCAAAGCACAGGAATTACAGGCGTGAGTCACTGTGCCCGGCCAGAGTAACTCTACCATAGCAACGAGAGACCCTGAGCATTAGAATTGCACATTGATGTTTGGAAAATGTTAGACAGCATGCAATTCAATTTTTAAAGCAAAGAAACCCTGTAGCTGTATATAATTTTGATCTAAAAACTTGAGTCATTACATTATCTTTTCCATTTTGTCTGAAAAAATGACAGCTTTATTGAGATATAATTCATTTCCTATAGAATTCAACCATTTAAAGTATAAAATGTAGTGGTTTTCAGTATATTCACAGAGATGTACAATTGTCACTTCAATGCATTTCAGAACTTTTTTTTCTTTTTTCTTTTTTTTTTTTTGAGACGGAGTTTTGCTCTTGTGGTCCTGGCTGGAGTGCAGGGGCATGATCTCAGCTCACTGCAACCTCTGCCCCCAGGGTCCAAGTGATTCTCCTGCCTCAGCCTGTCGAGTAGCTGGGATTGCAGGTGCACGCCACCAAGCCCAACTAATTTTTTGTATTTTTAGTAGAGATGGGGTTTCACCATGTTGGTCACGCTGGTCTCGAACTCCTGACTGCAGGTGCTCCACCTGCCTTGGCCTCCCAAAGTGCTGGGATTACAGGTGTAAGCCACCGTGCCTGGCCCATTTCAGAACATTTCATGACCCCACAATGAAACCCCAGCAGAAGGGAAAATGTAATGGTGCAGCCATTGTGGAAACAGTCTGGCAGTTGCTCGAAAGTTAAATCTAGAATTATCTCATGACTCAGCAATTCCACTCCTAGGTTCCTACTCAAAGGAAAAGAAAGCAGAGGCTCAAGAAGGTATTTTACACCAATGTTCACAGCAGCACTGTTCACAGTGGCTAAAAGGTAGGAGCAACCCAACCGTCCATCAGTGGATAAATGGGCTGGGCGCGGTGGCTCACGCCTGGGATCCCAGCACTTCGGGTGGCCGAGGCGGGCGGATCACTTGAGGTCAGGAGGTCGGGACCAGCCTGGCCAACATGGTGAAACCCTGTCTCTACTAAAAATACAAAAAATAACTGGGCCTGGTGGGGCGTGCCTGTAATCCCAGCTACTCAAGAGGCTGAGCTGGGAGGATTGCTTGAACCCAGGAGGTGGAGGTTGCAGTGAGTTGAGATCGCGCCACTGCACTCCAGCCTGGGAGACAGAGCAAGACTCTGTCTCAAAAAAATTGGATGAATGAACATAACGTGGTCCATCCACACAGTGAAATATGATTCGGCCTTAAAAAGAAAACAAGTCCTGGCCGGGCGCGGTGGCTCACGCCTGTAATCCCAGCACTTTGGGAGGCCGAGGCAGGCAGATCACGAGGTCAGGAGATCGAGACCATCCTGGCTAACATGGTGAAACCCTGTCTCTACTAAAAATACAAAAAGAAATTAGCTGGGCGTGGTGGCGGGCGCCTGTAGTCCCAGCTACTAGGGAGGCTGAGGCAGGAGAATGGCGTGAACCTGGGAGGCGGAGCTTGCAGTGAGCAGAGATCACACCACTGCACTCCAGCCTGGGTGTCAGAGCAAGACTCTGTCTCAAAAAACAAAAAAGAAAGAAAGAAAAAAAACAAGTCCTGACATAGGCTACAAGGTGGATGAACCGTGAGGACATCAGGCTCAGTGAGAGAAGCCAGGCACAGAAGGACAAATCCTGTGTGGTTCCAGTCCTAGGAGGTCCCTAGAGGTGTCAGATTCACAGAGACAGAAAGTAGGATGTGGGGGGGGGGGTGCCAGGGACCGGGGAGGGGAAGGGGAGTGAGTGTTTCACGGGGACAGAGCTTCAGTTTGGGAAGATGAGAAAGTTCTGGAGATGGATGGTGGTGACGGCTCCCCAACCACGTGAATGTGCTTAATGCCACTGAACTATGCACTTATTAATAAAACGGTAAAACTGGTCAATTTTATGTTATCTAGACTTTATCATAATAAAAAGCAAAGAAACCTCATATCCACTACCAATCACTTCCCCTCTCCACCCATCTATCTTGCTTTTTAATGTTAATAGAAATTTCTGAATATTATAGGAAAGTAACTTTTAAAAAAACATACAAATGAAGTTAACTTTTCAATGTTTTACTTTTTTTTTTTTGAGACAGAATCTTGCTCTGTCACCCACACTGGAGTGCAGTGGTGCGATCTCGGCTCACTGCAACCTCCACCTCCTGGGTTCAAGTGATTCTCCTGTCTCGGCCTCCGGAGTATCTGGGATTACAGGCATCTGCCACCATACCTGGCTAATTTTTGTATTTTTGGTAGAGACGGGGTTTCCACCATGTTGGCCAGGCTGATCTTGAACCCCTGACCTCAAGTGATCCACCTGCCTCAGCCTCCAAAAGTACTGGGATTACATGTGTGAGCCACTGCGCCTGGCCCAATGTTTTACATTTAAATTGCATTTATAATGAAGACATATTTAATTTTTGCACATTTGTGGTTTAATGGCATCTTGTGGTTGAATCCTTTAGATGAGTCAGGGTTCCAGCAGAGAACGAGGCCTGGTACTCTGAGGCCTCCACGTGGGAAGGAATTCCTCTCCCTCCCTGGAGTCTGGAATGGAGCTCCCCGTGGCCCACTCCCGGGGGACTCAGTCTCTGCAGCTAGTGTCTGTGCTCTGCAGTTTCCAGGCAGAACCCTGATTGGGAAAGGGGGCTGCAGGGTTGCCCCAGGTGGTCATGGCCAAGTACCACAGCTGGGTGGCTTCAGCAACACAGACTTATTTATTCTCACAGTTCTGGAGCGTGGATGTCCTAGATCCAGGTGTCAGCAGGGCCGGTCCCTCTGTGGCTTGCAGACGGCAGTCTTTGCCCTGTGTCCTCACGTGGTTGTCCCTCTGTGCGTGTCTGTGTTCTAATCTCTTCTTACAGGGATCCAGTCGGATTGGATTAGGGCCCATTCTGCATTGGGCTAAATTGATTAAGTTTAATTCATTTCAACTTAATTCTCTCTTCAAAGACCCTGGCTCTCCAACTGCACCCTAGACTGGGCAGCATAGTCAGACCCTGTCTCTACAAAATTTTTTTTTTATTACAGAAGTATAAAGGGGGGCCAGTCATGGTGCCTCACACCTGTAATCCCAGCACTTTGGGAGGCCGAGGCAGGAAGATGGCTTGAACCCAGGAGTTTGAGGCCAGCCTGGGCAACATAGTGCTACCCTATCTCTATTAAAGAAGAAAATTTCAAAAAAAGAAAAAAAAAAAAGGTAAAACTGCAACATGGTCCCTACAAGGTCACACTTTTGTAATCCCAGCACTTTGGGAGGCTGAGGCAGGAGGACTGCTTGAGCCCAGGAGTTTGAGGCCAGCCTGGGCAACATGACAAAACCCCATCTTTACAAAAAAAAAAAAAAAAATTAGCCAGGCGTGGTGGTGTGCACCTGTAGTTCCAGCTACTCAGGAGGCTGAGGAAGGAGGGTCACTGGAGCCCAGGAGGTCAAGGCTGCAGTGAGCCATGATCACACCACTGCACTCCAGCCTGGGAAACAGTGAGATCCTGTCTCAAAAAAAGAAGAGGAAAGAAAAAAACTAAAAATAAGTCAAGACCCTGTCTCCAAATCCGGGCATATTCAGAGGTACTGAGGGTTAGGACTTCAACACAGGAAGGTGTGGGAAAAGGGCGCGGATTCAGCCCCTGATGGCTGCTTCAGGTCATGTCCATAATACACTGAAATGATATGGAAATCTTTTTCTTTTTTGTTTTCTGAAACGGAGTCTTGCTCTGTCGCCAAGGCTGGAGTGCAATGGCACAATCTTGGCTCACTGCAACCTCTGCCCCCCAGGTTCAAGTGATTCTCCAGCTTCAGTCTCCCAAGTAGCTGGGACTAAAGGCGTGTGCCACCACGCCTGGCTAATTTTTGTATTTTTAATAAAGACGGGGTTTCACCATGTTGGCCAGGCTGTTCTTGAACGCCTGACCTTAGGTGATCCACCCGCCTCAGCCTCCCACAGTGCTGGGATTACAGGCGTGAGCCACTGCACCTGGCCCATTTTTCCAAATATTTTTGATCGGCAGTTGGTTGAATCCACAGAGGCAGAACCCATGGATAGGGAGGGTGGGCTAATTAAATCCAGCCATCTTTGATGTTTTGCCGACTCGAAAAGCCACAGCACCACACAGTTTTTGTGTATGTTGTTAGAAAGGTATGTTTGTCATGGTGAGCGGGACAGAACATACTGTATTTAACTTTAGCGAGCTTGGTTGGTAATGTTAAAATATGTAGACATATGGTAGGCAGGCTTCCATCTGTACTTCTGCCCTGGGCCTCCCAAATGTAAAGACTGATTAGTTACATAAGCAGAACACGCATCTTTAAAAAAAGACTGTTTACTTGTTTGAAACTGTCCCGATTCATTCACCTTTTTCCCATTTTCCTTACTACATAAGCGGAATGTGCTTCTAAAAGAAGAATAATTGTTTACTTGTTTGAAAATATCACAATTCATTCACCTGTTTTCCTTAATTACATAAGCAGAATATACTTCTACAGAAAAGACTGTTTACTTTGAAAACATCATGATTCATTCACCTATTATCCGATTGGTGGACATTTATACTATGTGTTAGTTATCTCCTGCTAAGTAATAGATTAACCTTGCAAAACAACGAGGCTTTAAACACTGTGTCTGTGGATCAGGAATTTGGGACGGGCTTCGGGCTTCTGGCTTGGGGTCTTTTATGAGGTTGCCAATGAGAGGTCAGCGGCGGGCAGCAGGATCTGCTTCCAAGATGCCTTCCTGCCAGGGTTGGCAAGTTGGTGCTGACTGTTGGTGGCAGTCCTTGTTCCTCCCAGGCAGGCCTTTCCTCACACGGCTTGAGTGTCCTCACAACATGGCGGCCAGCTTCCTCCAGAGCAAGGGATATGAGGGAGAGCAGGGGAGAGGGCGGCACACACAGCAGGTGAAAGTTGCCCTTGTTATGATGCAGCTTCAGGAATCATTTCATAGAGCCGGGGGCAGGGGGGTGGCTCACACCTGTAATCCCAACTACTCGGGAGGCAGAGGCAGGAGGATCGCTTAAGCCCAGGGGTTCTAGACTAGCCTGGCCAACATGGTGAAAGCCCATCTCTACTAAAAACACAAAAATTAGCTAGGTGTGGTGGCACGTGCCTGTAATCCCAGCTACTCAGGAGGCTGAAGCAGTAGAATCACTTGAACCCGGGAGGCAGAGGTTGCAGTGAGCTGAGATTGCACTACTGCACTCCAGCCTGGGCAACAGAGCGAGACTCCTTCTCAAAAGAAAAAAAAAAGTATTTTTTGAAAATAAGAATATTTGTAAAAAAGAATCATATAGCATAACTTCTGCCACATTCCATTAATTAGAAGCGAATCACCGAATCCGACCTGCACACACGGGGAGAGGCTCAGGCCTCACCTTTTGAAGGAAGGCATAGGGAACAATTTGCAGACGTATTTCTAGACTGCCTCACGTTGTTTCCAATCTTTCGCCATTAAAGCAATGCTCCAAGGCTTATTCTAGAGTGGCTTCTTGTCCTGCCTGAGCCCTACACCACCCACAAGGCACTAAGAGTCAACGGCAAAGAGGCCGGGAGAGCTGATTTAGAATCATCAGGCTCCACTCCTGGAGCCGGGACCACCCTCTCCTGAGACATACAGGAGAGGGGCGGAGTCCAAACCAAGCTGGCCAGAAGACAGGACAGGATGGAGACTGGGAGGACACCCACAGGCCCTCTCTTTGGTTTTGTACAATCTACAGAGCTCAACAAGAGGGTATGATCGGCCCAAGATATAGTGCAGGGGCAGGGAAATCCAAGTACGGTTGCAGCTCTAGAGCCCTTTGGACTGAGACCTGCTGCCTCTTTTGTATAAAAAGCTTTCATGGCTGGGCACAGTGGCTCACGCCTGTAATCCCAGTACTTTGGGAGGCCGAGGCAGGTGGATCACCTGATGTCAGGAGTTCGAGACCAGCCTGGCCAACATGGTGAAACCCCGTCTCTGCTAAAAATGCAAAAATTAGCCAGGCATGGTGGCGGGCGCCCGTAATCCCAGCTACTTGGGAGGCTGAGGCAGGAGGATCGCTTGAATGGGGGAGGTGGAGGTTGCAGTGACCCAAGACTGTGCCATTGCACTCCAGGCTGGGCAATAAGAGCGAAACTCCATCTCGGAAAAAAGCTTTCATGGCCAGGTGTGGTGTCTCACACCTGTAATCCCAGCACTCTGGGAGGCCAAGATGGGAGGATCTCTTGAGCCCAAGAGTTTAAGACCAGCCTGGGCAACATAGCAAGATCCCATCTCTACAAAACAGAAAAATTAGCCAGGCATGGTGGTGCACCTGCAGTCCCAGCTCCTCAGGAGGCTGAGGCAGGAGGATTTCTTGAACCTAGTAGGTTGAGATCACACCACTGCACTCCAGCCTGGGCAACAGAGCAAGACCCCATCTCTTAAAAACACAAAGTGTTAGGCTGGGCGCGGTGGCTCACGCCTGTAATCCCAGCACTTTGGGAGGCTGAGGTGGGCGGATCACGAGGTCAGGAGATCGAGACCATCCTGGCTAACACGGTGAAACCCCGTCTCCACTAAAAATACAAAAAAAAATTAGCCAGGTGTGGTGGCGGGCACCTGTAGTCCCAGCTACTCAGGAGGCTGAGGCAGGAGAATGGCATGAACCCCGGAGGCGGAGCTTGCAGTGAGCCGAGATCACACCACTGCACTCCAGCCTGGACAACAAAGCGAGACTCCGTCTCAAAACAAAACAAAACAAAACAAAACAAAAACCAAACAAACAAAAACACAAAGCGTTCAGTACTAGATAGTAAATCGTGAGTAGCTTTCTGGGGAGGAAGCTCCATTCTTCTCTGGCTTCCCTGGGTCCTGAGACCTTGCCCCTCCAACCTGGAGGCCCAGGCGTGCTGAGCAGCACCAGCAGAGGGCTGTGGGGGCAAGTGAACCTCAGGTGGAAGGCTGAGCAGAGTCCTTCAGCCCAGGACCCCAAGGAAGGAGCAGGAACCTGTGGGGCTTTCTCTATCTGCTCCTGCTGTGCCTCCGCACACAGCTTTGTCTCCACCTGGTGGACACCCCACCTAAGAGGACAGTGGAGGCGGCTGGTTGGTGAACTGGCTCCATGGCAGAGATCAGACAGCCCATGCAGCAGAGGGCAGAGCTTTCCAACTCAGGCCCTTCTGACATTTGGGACAACATTGTTCTCTGGGGTGGGGCCGTTCTGGGCCCTGCAGCGTGCTGAGCAGCGTCCCCAGCCTCCACCCACTCCATGCCAGGAGCTCCCCCAAATCGTGACAATGACAAATGTTCCCAGACCTTGACCAGTTAAGAACTGATGGTCTAGGACAAGCTCAATGCCAGGGCGTAGCCTTGTGCAGGTGGACAGAGCCAAAGGCTGCTTCCTGCCTGGTTCAGCCCATACTCTGGAAGGATCCCCAGGATGTTGTAGGCTGGCCTCTGACTTGGAGTCAGGCTTGAGTCAGCACCATGAAGACAGTGAATGAAAAAGAACACGCTCTTCTTGTAGACAACCCTGAACAGCAATGCTCAGGCACGCTACAGTTTGGAATCCACTGAGCCAGGGCGCAGGGAAAATGGATGTGCGACCAACATGCAGATGGCTGGACGTCCGCTGGCTGAGGGCAGGTCTCAGCATCCCTGCTGGCCTGCAGGGCAACTCCCACTGGTTTCAGTGTTACACCCTGTGAACGTCACAGCTGTGAGCAGACTGAGGACCTGTGAGGGATACAGGGTCAGGGTGACATCAGGCAAGATACCCTTGACCTCGCCGCAGGTCCCCACCCTGTCCCGCCACTCTGCTGTCTGATGGCAGGAATGGAGTGCCTCTCCTACACAGATAACAGAGACGCGGGGGCAGAGGCAGCGAAACCCAGGCACCCTCTGGGAGAAGGAGGGGCATGCCAACTGCTCTGAAGACCCAGGAGGCTCCCCCAGAGGCTGGAAAAGCCCCGGGGAAGGGTGCCTGGGATTTCAAAGAGGAGGGGCTCGCTGAGAGGAGCGTGGGAGAAATGAGGAGTGCTGGTGGGGCGACTGTCCTGGGTGCTGAGGGACAGAGGTTATCAGGGTGAGGGGTGACGGGAGGCAGCTCAGGGCTCTCCAGTGCCAGGTAGAACCTGGGATTTATCCTCAGCCATGAGGAGCCACCTGGGCATCTCATGACAAGCTTTGGCCTGAATTACGTCCCCCTGCCCCCAATTCTTATGTTGAAGCCCTAACCCCCATGTGACTGTATTTGGAGATGAGGCCTTCAGGGAGGGAATGAAGGTTATATGACGTCATCAGGTGGGGACTGATCTGAGCAGAACTGGGGTCCTTATAAGAAAAGGAAGAGGCCGGGCACAGTGGCTCACACCTCTAATCCCAGCACTTTGGGAGGCTGAGGCAGGAGGATCACTTGAGCCCAGGAGTTAGACATCAGCCTGGGCAAGATACTGGGATCCCATCTCTACAGAAAAACAACAACAACAACAACAACAACAACAAAACAAACACACACAAAAAAACCACACTTTGCGCCTGTGGATCCTTGGGAGGCTGAGGTGGGAGGCTCGATTAAGCTCAGGAGATTGAGGCTGCAGTGAGCTGTGATCTCACCACTGCACTGCAACCTGGATGACAGGGCAGTCTTTTCAAAAAAAAAAAAAAAAAAAAAAAGAGACACCAGCAGTGCACATGGACAGAGAAAAAGCCACAGGAGGACACTGTGAGGAGGTGGCCATCTGAAAGCCAAGGAGAGAGCCCTCACCAGAAACCACCCCCTGCTGGCACCTAGATCTCACACTTCTGGCCTCCAGAACAGGGAAAAAATACATTTTGTTTAAGCCTCAGTCTGTGGTATTGTTAGGGAAGCCCCAGCCGACCAAGACAGGTGGAGACGGTTAGAGAGGGGAGCAGTTAGAGGGAAGGCCCATTAAGGACACGAGACACACAGGGGCCAGAACTAGAGGGGGTGATGGACAGGGGGACAGAACACATGCGCCATCATGTCACCGGCAGGAAAGCACAGTCAAAGCCAGCTCTCAGCAGTGTAGGGCTTTACAAACACCTAAAACAGGGCCTGGGAACAGCCAAGAGTAATATGTGTTTGGTGACTGTGACCACACAGTGACCATGACTCAGGAAGGGAACACTTGGCCTGCCTCATCTCAAGTCATTGCTTGTGACCCCAGAAGCCACCAAAACATGCAAATGCATGCACACACACGTGCATGCACACACTGCTGTTCCATTCCACTAAGCATGCTTACACGAGGAAGTAGAGCATGGGCTTTGTCTCCAATGGGGCAGCCCACATCTTCATGGGTCTCACACCCACTCTCAGGGGAGACCATGGCCTGGCAGAGCCCAGAATTTAGGGGAGGAAGGGAGGGGACAGAAGGGTTTTTAAGATGGAGTCAGCTATGTATGGCCAAATGCGGCCTGCCTGTTTTTGTACAGTCCCAAGCTAAGAATGGTTTTTATAATTTTAAGTGACTGGAAAAAGTTAAAAGGGTAATAATACTTCATGGCATGTGCAAAATTACATGAAATTCACATTTCAGTGTCCAAAAAAATAAAGTTTTATTGGCACACAGCCAAGCCCACTGGATGACACATTGTCCACGGCTCATCTTGCAATACAATAGCAGGGTTCACTAATGTGACAGACATGGTGTGGCTCACAAAGCCAAAGATATTTACTATGTGGCTTTTTACAGAAAAGGTCCGCTGACCTCTGACTCAAAGCAACAATCATTTATTTCACTTGTGATTCTGCAGGCGGGGATCAGCTGGGCAGCTCTCCTGGCCAGGCGGGGCTCAGCTGGGTGCCTCTTCTGGCCAAGGCGGTGCTCAGCTGGGTGGCTCTTCTGGCCAAGGCGGGGCTCAGCTGGGTGGCTCTTCTGGCCCAGGCGGGGCTCAGCTGGGTGGCTCTCCTGGCCAAGGCGGGGCTCAGCTGGGTGGCAATCCTGGCAGAGGTGGGGCTCAGCTGGATGGCTCTCCTGGCCAGATGGGGCTCAGCTGGGTGGCTCTCCTGGCTGAGGTGGGGTTCAGCTGGGTGGCAATCCTGGTGGAGGTGGGCCTCAGCTGGGTGGCTCTCCTGACCATGGCTGGGCTTCTCTGCCCCTGGAGGGCAGCTACCTGTTGGATGGGGCACTGTGACTCTTCTCCTTATATCTCCTCCTCCAGCAGGCCAGCCTTGGGTCCTTCACCAGGCAGGGTCCCATAAGATGGAGCAGATGCAGGCAAGGCCTCTTAAGCTTGGGCACAGGGCAGTCACAGCGTCACTTCCACTGCAGCCAACTGTCCAAGGCAGGGCACAAGGAAGCCCAGATGCAAGGGCCGGGGGAGTGGTCTCCACTTCTGGACTGGAAGAGTAGCAAGGACATGGTGGGAAGGGCATGGATATAAGGGTGGATGAAGGATGAAGGCATTTTGGCAACAATCTGCCACATTGTGGTTTCAGGAGCTGAGCCAGCAAAAACACAGCTCCTGGGAAGAACACCCCACAGCATGACTCATCCAGACACCAAAACCAAGGCAGCCCAGGGCAGTGGTTCTCAAAGAGGGCAGGTTTTGCCCCCAGGAGACACTGGGTGATGTCTGAGGACATCTGTGGTTGTCACCACTTGGGGGAGCTCCTGGCATGGAGTGGGTGGAGGCCAGGGACGCTGTTCAGCACCCTGCAGTGCCCAGAATGACTTCACTGCAGAGAATAATCCAGCCTCAAATGTCAAAAGTGCTGCTGTTGGCCAGGTGCAGTGGCTCACCTGTAATCCCAGCACTTCGGGAGGATCACTTGAGCCCAGGAGTTGGAGACCAGCCTGGGCAATACAGTGAGACCCCATCTCTTAAAAACTGCTGCTGTTGAGAAACTCAGATCTGGGAAGGACAGGCTGGGGTCCCTGGGGCTGGGGACTAGGGATTAGAGCCTAGCTCTGCAGATGGTCGGCAGCCAACATTGCTGCTTCTGCCAGGTCTCAGATGCGACAGGGAGAGGCCCACAGCCCTCCCCGGGTTCCCAGCGTGGGCGGTCACGCTGACTCCCCCTTGCCTTCTCACAGTTTAGAGTCAGATGAAAGCTGTGGCCTCCCGCCCTGCCCTGATCCCCTGAAAATGACAAAGACAGGTGTGCCTGTAGTTACCTTAGGTTTCCCAGACCCCGGGTTGAGAATCCCTGCTGTCACAGGTGGATCAAAAAGCATTTGTTGAGGTTAAATGGAAAATTTTGTATTATATATATTTTGCCACCAAAAAAAAAAATTACACTCTAGCACATGCTGCATGGATGAACCTTGAGGACATCACACCCCGTGAGAGAAGCCAGACACAAAAGGCCATACAATATGTAATTCCATTTCTACAGAATGTCCAGGAGAGGCCAATCCACAGAGGCAGGAAGGGGATTTGTGGGTGCCAGGCCCTGAAGGAGGGGTTAAAAGTAATGGCTAATGGAGATGGAGTTTCCTTTTGGGCCGATAGGAATGTTCTGGAATTTGAGGTAACAGTCACACAATTCTGTTAATATACTAAAAACCAGGCTGGGTGTGGTGGCTCACACCTGTTAATCCCAGCACTTTGGGAGGCCAAGGCAGGAGGATAGCTTGAGCCCAGGAGCACAGTTCAAGACCAGCCTGGGCAACACAGTGAGACCCCCGCCTCTACAAAGTCTCTACAAACTACAAAAATTGGCCAGGCACAGTGGTGTGTGCCTGTAGTCCCAGCTACTTGGGAGGCAGAGGTGGGAGGATTGCTTAAGCCCTGGAGTTTGAGGCTGCAGTGAGCTTTGATCACACCACTGCACTCCAGCCTGGGCAACAGAGCGAGACCCTGTCTCAAAAAAACCACTGTGCCCTGACACAGGCAGGGCACAGTGGCCTACGCCTGTAATCCCAGCACTTTGGGAGGCCGAGGTGGGCAGATCACTTGAGGTCAGGGTTCAAGACCAGCCTGGCCAACATGGTGAAACCCCATCTCTATAAAAATACAAAAAAAATGAGCCAGGCATGGTAGCAGGCTTGTATAATCCCCAGCTACTCCGGAGGCTGAGGTAGGAGAATTGCTTGAACCTAGGAGGCGGAAGCTGCAGTGAGTTGAGATCGCACCACTGCACTCCAGGCTGGGTGACAGAGCGAGACTGTCTAAAAAAAAAGTCTTGTTCTTTCTAGGCTTTTCTAGCAACTACCACATAACAGGCGCTTCACAGCCATCTGCAGAGTCTGATTCAGAGACACCTGTGGTAGCTGAGACCAGCGATCATGTGAACACATCATCTCCGGACCAAAACCAAAAGTCGATTATTCCAAACATGGTCAGAGCTCAGATTCCTACATCCCAGAGAGAAACCACTCAGAGGCTGACATAGATGACACTAGATGGTTAGGGCAGGGGTCTTGATGTAGAGCATGTGCCCGTAAACTCTGCAATAAACTCACAGGACAGGAAGTAGCCCTTTTACATTCTTGCAGAGAAAAAGAGTTGGGCAGAAAACAAGAGTTCTTCTAAACTACATCATTAAGAGGTTTTTTGTTTTAAGAGACAGGGTCTCGCTCTGTCACCCTGGCTAGAGTACAGTGATGCAATCATAGCTCACTGCAGCCTCTAACTCCTGGGCTCAAGTGATCCACCTCAGCATCCCAAGTAGCTGAGACTACAGGTGTGCACCACCACACCCAGATAATTTTTAAATTTTTTGTAAAGTCAGGGCCTTGCTTTGTTGCCCAGGCTGGTCTTGAACTGCTGGCCTCAAGCAATCTTCCTGCCTCAGCCTCCCAAAGTGCTGGGATTACAGATGTGAGCCACTGTGCCCAGCTAATTTTTTAAATTTTTGGTAGAGATGGGGTCTCACTATGTCGCCCAGGCTGGTCTCGAACTCCTGGGCTCAAGCAATCCTCCACCCTTGGCCTCCCAAAGTGCTGGGATTACTGGCATAAGCCAACGTGCCCAGCCAAGTTTTTCTTTTTTTAATGTGAATTTTTTACTTCTACTTTAAATCCCAACTTAGCATGGAAAATCATTTGCATTTTCAGAACAAAGGAGGCCATCTTCTGGCTAAGCTGAAAAAAAAAGTCATTAGAGGCCTTCTGAGGCACCATTTTAAAGATGATATTGCTTTTGCGGGTTGCACTATGAGAAATTCTGTGTGTACAAAATACCTGACAGAAAGTGAAAGCAGTCCCGGGCGATCCGGCGGCAGATTCATTGAGTCATTGGATAAATACTTCCTGGGTGCTAGTGGGGACCAGCTGCTGTCATGGGCGCTGTCACAGCAGCGGGGAATAACCAGACCAAAGTCCCGTCCTCCAGGAGGGTGCTGCGCGATAGTCCAGGGAGACACGGGGTCAGCAAAATAATTCAACGCGATCTGATGGTTCTCATGCCGCCGGGAAGGACGCGGCAAGGGGGTGTGAGCAGGGGGTTGCACTTTCTCACGGGCTGGTCATGGCGGGCCTGGTGGGTGAGGAGGAGGGTGAAGACACAAAGTTGGGGAAACAGGGCAGCGCATTTGAGCAGAGGGAATTGCATGGGAAGGGCCTGAGGGTGAAGTGCCCGGAACCTGGATTGGTCCAGAAGGCAGCGTGACTAGAGCGGAAGGAATGAGGGGAGATGGGGTCAGAGAATAAAGGGTGTGGAACAGGGGGCAGAGGACACCATGATGGATGTCACAGGCCATCGTAGGGGCTCCAGCTTGTCCCCTGAGACCCCACGGGGGTTTCCAGCGGAGGAGGGACATGGGCTACGTTGTGATGGGGCCTCTTTGGCGCTGTGCGCGGATGGAAATGGGGGCGAGAGCAGAAGGAAGCGTGAAGGTCCAAAATACAGACGAGGCAGGCTGGTGCGCGGTGGAGGCGGTGCGCGTGCAGGGGCGTGCGCTCAAGGTCAGAAGAAGGAAAGGAGGCCAGCCTGGCTTCCCATTTTGGGATCTGCACGAAGGACTGCCGGCGGCCCTGCCTGCCGCGGGGAAGCCAGCAGGATGAAGGGGTTTTGGAGAAGCGTGCAGGCGCTTGGACTTGGATATGATCAGCCTGAGATGCCAGTCAGACATCCACAGAGCATGCTGCATGGGCCGCTGTATGCAGGGGCCGAGACTAGAGCTCCAGGGAGAGGCCTGCGCTGGAGTCAGAAACTGGGTGTCATCGATAGTTAATATTTTTTTAAGATTGAGATATAGTCCACACTGTAACATCCCCCCTTTAAAGTGCACGGTTCGGTGGCATCTAGTACATTTACAAGGCTGTGCAAACATCACCTCTACCTAATTTCAGAATGTTTCCACCACCCCAAAAAGAAACCTGTCCCCATCAACATTCTCTCCATCCCTCCCCAGCCCCCGGAACCACTAATCCATTTCCTGTCTCTATGGATTCACCTGTAAAATGGGAACACCTAATTTGGTATGGTGATGGTGTGATGATTAAACAAGAACTCACAGGCTACAGGGCCCAGCATGTGGCAGGAGCTTACGATGTAGCCCAGGGTAGCCAGAGTTTCCTTTATTTTTGGAGACGGAGTCTTGCTCTGTCGCCCAGGCTGGAGTGCAATGGCGCCATCTCGGCTCACTGCAACCTCCACCTCCCTGGTTCAAGCGATTCTCCTGCCTCAGCCTCCCCAGTAGCTGGGAATATAGGCACCTGCCACCACGCCTGGCTAATTTTGTATTTTTAGTGGAGATGGGGTTTCACCATGTTGGCCAGGCTGGCTCGAACTCCTCACCTCAAGTGATCCGTCCACCTCGGCCTTCCAAAGTGCTGGATTACAGGCAGGAGTCACTGCACCTGGCCCCAGAGTTTCCAATTTTAAGCGATGCTAGGAACCAGAGGTTTTGTGAAATCTTCTTTTTTTTTTTTTTTTTTTTTTTTGAGACGGAGTCTCACTCTATCGCCCAGGCTGGAGTGCAGTGGCACAGTCTCGACTCACTGCAACCTCTGCCTCCTGGGCTCAAGCGATTCTCCTGCCTCAGCCTCCCGAGTACCTGGGACTACAGGCGCACCCCACCACGCCCAGCGGAATCTCCCACTTTTAAATGCTGGCAACTAATTCAAATAAAGCAAGCAAAAAGCTCACTGCACAGGCGTGAGAACCAAACACGGCCTGCAGGCTGTCAATTTTCAAAGTCTGACCCACACTGAGGAGGTGAGAGCGATAGTTGAGAAACAGGTATAAAAAGTCACAAACTGGCCGGGTGTGGTGGCTCACACCTGTGATCCCAGCACTTTGGGAGGCTGAGGTGGGCGGATCACTTGAGGCCAGCAGTTCGAGACCAGCCTGGCCAACATGGTGTATACAAAAAAAAAAAAAAAAGCCGGGCATGGTGGTGCATGCCTGTAGTCCCAGCTACTCAGGAGGCACTGAGGTATGAGAATCACTTGAACCCAGGAGGCGGAGGTTGCTGTGAGCCGAGATTGCGCCACTGCACTGCAGCCTGGGCAATGAAGCGAGACCCTGTCTCAAAAAAAAAAAAAAAAAAAAGTCATGAATTTATTCTCAGTAAAGCCTGCCCATAACCAATGAGCCCAGGCTATTTGCTGCTGCTGCTGCTGTTTGGAGTCACCTGTTGCTGGAAGGAACTGTGCCACTGTACTACACCAGAGACAGCTGCCATCTCCATGACAACAAGCACGCGCTGGTGCTGCCTGCCTGGGAGGGGAGAAGAGCACAGGTGGGAAACGGGGAGCCCAGGCTAACATGGACTTACAAACAGTGGTGACACACGTCTACAAGTCCTGCCCGGCACTCCCACCTTCAGGCCCCAGGCTAATGTCTTTTGATGGCTTTTTGGTCGGAGAATTTGTTTTGGGAAGTCAAGCTTTTTCAGGTGCATCCTTCTAAACTGAATTTTGGGATGCAAAGCTAGCGAGCCCCACTGATCTCATTTTGTTCACACGGCCACCAAACTCAAGGGGACGTCAAGGCCTAGGGGATGGAATGGGCCCATCTGAGCTGCCCACGTCACCTGGCCCAGAGCTCTTTCTGTAGGGCCATGCTCTTGCTTGCTCCGAAGAGACGGAGCAGGCTTAGGTGTGGTCCACACTTCAGAGGGACACGGGTGGGATCTGCAGATAGAGGCAGGTGGCGAAATGTCTTAGGGACAGCCAGGAAGATGGGTCATTCTCTATTTGCATATAATGCTAATTTCTGCTGAACACTGCATTGAATAACTCAATGGGAACACACACACACAAAACCCCCCAAAACATTTAGAGTCCAAGGAAAAACTCAAGTGGAAATAAAGATTTTCCTGGAATCACAGGCTGAGAAATGTCATCATTCTTTCTAAAAACAAGGACTCAGTCAGGTGCAGTGGCTCACGCCTATAATCCCAGTGCTTTGGGAGGCCAAGGCAGGCGGATCACCTGAGGTCAGGAGTTCAAGACCAGCCTGGACAACATGGTGAAACCCAGTCTCTACTAAAAATACAAAAATCAACCGGGCATGGTGGTGCATGCCTGAAATCCCAGCTACTTGGGAGGCTGAGGCAGGAGAATCACTTGAACCTGGGAGGCAGAGGTTGCAGTGAGCTGAGATTGCACCACTGTACTCCAGCCTGGGCGACAGAGTGAGACTCCGTCTCAAAAAGAAAAAACTAAAATAATTAAAAACAAGGACTCTTTCTTCCCGAACACAGCTCATCACCTATTTCTCTATCACCCCCATGGCAGATGGAGATGAAGGCTGAGGCCACCCAGCTGGAAATGGAAATGTCACAGGGCCCTGTGATGGTTAATACTGAGTGTCAACTTGACTGGATTGAAGGATGCAAAATATTGTCCTGGGTGTGTCTGTGAGGGTGTTGCCAAAGGAGAGTGACATTTGAGCCGGTGGACAGGGAGAGGCAGACCCACCCTCACTCTGGGTGGGCACCATCTAATCAGCTGCCAGCTCGGCCAGGATAAAAGCAGGCAGAGGAACGTGGAAGGACTGGACTGGCTGAGTCTACAGGCCTTCATCTTTCTCCCATGCTGGGTGCCTCCTGCCCTCGAACATCAGACTCCAAGTTCTTCAGCTTTTGGACTCTTGGGCTTACACCAGCAGTTGGCCAGGGGCTCTCGGGCCTTTGGCCACAGACTGACGGCTGTGCTGTCGGCTTCCCGACTTTTGAGGTTTGGGGACTCGGACTGATCCACCCCTGGCTTCCTTGTGCCTCAGCTTGCAGACGGCCTATCGTGGGACTTTACCTTGTGACCGTGTGAGTCACTTCTCCTGGATAAGGTCCCTTTCATGGAGACCTCTATCCTGTGAGTCCTGTCCCTCTAGAGACCCTGGCTCATCCAGCCACTGACTTCCGTGCCCCGGGAACCGCTGGAGAACACCTGCACTCCCGCGTTCTGACCTTGGCGCGGTGGGTCTGCGACTGCGTGCAGCGTGAGCCACACCCAGGTGGAGGGCGCAGGGCCTCAGGGGCCAGAGAGACAACGTGCCCTGCCACACCAGAGGCTAATGCGTCCAGTCAAGTCCTTCATCAGGGAGAGAGTTTTCAAGTCTGTTTTACCAGCAGTAAGACGACATTTCAATCGCTGTGTGTACACACAACACACACACACCCAGAATTTCATTTTGTGGCACTTCTGTTCACAGGGGTTTTATATTCAAAATGCATCTTACACATTCATACCCGTAACAGTCCTGATTTTGTAACCAGTTTTTTTCTTTTTCTTTTTTTCTGACCATGAAACCCTTAGGTGCAGTCTCCATGTGAAATGCCCATTTCAGATCCAGAAACCCCCAAAATGTCCCAACGTATTGGAAAGGAGTTCTGTTAACTCAATCCTCGGGAAGATACCAAAAGGACTTTTTTGCTTTTTGAGTCAGGGTCTTGCTCTGTCGCCCAGGCTGGAGTGCAGTAGCACAATCATAGTTCACTGTGGCCTCAAACTCCTGGGTTCAAGTGACCCTCCCGCCTCATCCTCCCAAGTAGCTGGAACTACAGGTGTGCACCACCATGCCTGGCTAATTTTTTTTTTTTTTTTTTTCAGAGATGGGGGGGGTCTCACTATGTTGCTCAGGCTGGTCTCGAACTCCTGGGCTCAAGTGATCCTCCTGCCTCGGCCTCCCAAAGTGCTGGGATAACAGGCGTGAGCCACTGCACCCGGCCCGAAAGGATTTTATCACCCCAGGCTCACTTTCAAACCGTCTTCTTTTGAATGGAGTCAAGAGGCCAGCTCCAAACCAGGACCCGCCTGGTTCCTCAGGATGGAGCCACCATAGGGCGGCAGGTTCTTGAGGTGGGAATTGGATTCCAGAGCCTGGGCGTCGAGTTTCCCGAGCCTCGGGGGCGAGCCAGGTTATGCGGCAGTGGGACTGATGGGCTTGTCCTCTGCCCTGCTGAGAAGGAACATGGTCCCACGTGGAGCTGGCTGCATGGTGAGCCCCACCAGGCAGGTGCTTGAGAACACCAACTTGACGATACCATGCTGATCACGCTAGAGAAGGCATTAGCTACGTGCCCTCCCAGACGCAGGACAAGCGACAGAATTTCCAACAGCATCGGCTCACTACGGCAACACCTTTTTACTCTTGTGCACCAAACTGGCCGACATCTCAGGAACAAGGAGGGGTCATCTCCTGTTCCAGCCCTCTCCTGCTGCTTTAAGAAACGGAACGACCTGCAGAGCCCTGTCTGTGCTGGCTCATGAGCCGCTCGTGTCAAGGGCAGGACAAGATGGCAAACCCCAGGTTCTCATGAGCAACCACAACCGGCCTCGAACCACCAACCTGGACTCAACCAACGACACTCAAAACAACAGACACCACCGGCTCTTTATACATCCATGGCAAGGGCCTGGGGACATTACAGGTCACTCTGCTCCCAAGGGGCAGAGCTCACCACAGACTTCACCTCCTGCGGCAGGACTGGCCTTCCCAGATCCACAATGCCGCGGAAGCAGAGCCATGCCGCCTCTCCACTCTCCGCCAACCGCGACAAGTAAACGACTCACAATAGGTCCATTTAAAAAGGCAAATGGAACTTACCTTAGGGGAAAAAAACCTGCCCAAAGCAAAAGGAACATATCCACCAAAAAAAGAAGTGTCATTCCCCCAAATATGTACAAATTAACTTTCTAGCTAAAAGAAATCTGGCAACTTTAAAATTAAAGTTGAGCAGAGCGCGGTGGCTCACATCTGTAATCCCAGCACTTTGGGAGGCCGAGGCAGGTGGATCACTTAAGCTCAGGAGTTTGAGACCAGCCTGGCCGATGGCAAAACCCCGTCTCTACAAAAAAATACAACATTTAGCCTGGTGTGGTGGTGTTTACCTGAAATCCCAACTACTTAGGAGGCCGAGGAGGGAGGACTGCTTGAGGCCAGGAGGTTGAGGCTGCATTAAGTTATGACCACACCACTGTGCTCCAGCCTGGGTGACAGAGTGAGACCCTATCTCAAAAAATAATTGAAATAGGGCTGGGCACGGTGGCTCACGCCTGTAATCCCAGCACTTTGGGAGGCCAAGGCAGGTGGATCACCTGAGATCAGGGGTTTGAGACCAGCCCGGCCAACATGGTGAAACCTCGTCTCTATTAAAAATACAAAAATTGGCTGGGCGTGGTGGTGCATGCCTGTAGTCCCAGCTGCTAGGGAGGCTGAGGCAGGAGGATTGCTTAAACTCGTGAGCCAGACGTTGCAGTGAGCCGAGATCGCGCCATTGCACTCCAGCCTGGGCAACAGAGTGAGACCCTGTCTCAAAAATAATAATAATAAAATACAAAGACAATGAACACAGGGTTTACAAGTCCCTTTCTACGTGTTTTCCTTATTTTTCTAGGGCTGCCTAGTTATTTATCTGATCAGGGCCTTTGTCCCATGACCCCCAGAACCCCAGGAAAGAACACCAATATTCATTACCCTCAGGTGAAAAGACTGTTTTCCAGGGCCATTTGAAAATGCTTTTAAATCTGATGTATTTGTTCTGATCATTCTAAATACACACGTTGGTAGACCCACACAAGAGACAAATACAAAATAAAACTATTAAAAATCCAGAAACAGAGAATATGTTTAGGAGAGAAAAAAGTCTCCTAGGAATTTACTTCTGCCCCAGTATGTATGAACTAACTTTTGGTTCTTTTCTTTTGAGATGGAGTCTCACTCGGTTGCCCAGGCTGGAGTGCAATGGCGCAATCTCAGCTCACTGCAACCTCCACCTCCCGGATTCAAGCGATTCTCCTGCCTCAGCCTCCCGAGTAGCTGGGACCACAGGCACGTGCCACCACACCCAGGTAATTTTTGGATTTTCAATTGAGATGGGGTTTCACCATGTTGGCCAGGCTGGTCTGGAACTCTTGACCTCAGGTGATCTGACTGCCTCAGCCTCCCCAAATGCTGGGATTACAAGTGTGAGCCACCGTGCCTGGCCTAACTTTTGGTTCTAAAACAAGTAAGATGAAAAATCAAAATCCACACTTCAAAAACATCCAATCTACCTAATTCCTTGTATAGGAGCTCAGACCGCAAGTCCTGTCATTTGAAAAGGTTTCCTGAAAGTACACTTCAACCCATTTTCACGTGCAGCCGGCAGCTGCCTCTCGGATTCTCTTCTAAGGAGTTCAGCCCCTAACACGTATTTCAGCCTTGCTGAGAAGGGCGTGAAAAAGACCGCAGCAACATGGGAGGGGCAAGTTCCCCCCTCGCTCCTCCAGGGTCGTGCTCCCTGGAAAGAATGGGTGCAGCAGAGGCACAGTTACTTATTAGGATGTGCAAACAGCTGGAGGGGCCCACGGTCTCACTTTCCTGGGGCTTTTTGGACCTGGTGGTAGGAGTCCATTTACAGGTATGCGCCCTGGCCCCCAAGGTGGCGACATCGGACTCTCCAGGGCAGCCTGTGTTCCTTGGACCTAAGCTCAAAGGACGGGGTTGGCCTTGGTGGGTGGGGTTTCCACTGGAAGGACCTGGAGGCCTGCCGGAGGGCGAGCGTGGCGTCTGGGCTGGGTATGACCAGGTCGGTTCTGAAGCCGGTTGCAGCCACACCTGGCAGGCAGGGGCTCCCATCAGGGGTATTAACAGGTTCTGTCACTGGCACTGGGGCTGCCGAGCCTGTTCTCATGGTCAGCATGGGCTCCGGGCCTTTTTCAAGCTACCTGTTGCCCGGGAGACATTTTTGAGAGATACGGGTTGGGTCACCGTTACTTTCCCAGTGACACGGGGCCATGTGCTGTCTCAATGTCCCCACTCCGGGGAGGGGCTCTTGTTTTTTTATTGTTTTTTGAGACAGGGTCTCTCGCTGTCGCCCAGGCTGCAGTGCAGTGGTGCGATCATAGCTCAATGTAGCTTCAACTTCCTGGCCTCAAGCAATCCTCCCTCCTCGGCCTCCCAAAGTGCTGGGACTGCAGGTGTGCACTGCCATGCCTGGCCATGTGTTTTTTAATGTCTAAAGGATGTAGCCCTAAACCACTATCTGACCGGGCCCTGAACTAGCAGGGCAGGGGCAGGTGACAGCGTAAAGGATGGCAATAACACAGTCTCTACCACAGGCGCAACCTCTAAGCTGACGTGGTCAGGGCTGGGTTCCACACCACGGCTGCCTCTCTAGGCTCCAGCAGCCCTGACTGTGAGTGAGGCACTGGCCTGGGCCCATTCCTAGCCGGGCCGACCACTGGGCCCCCACGTCAGTCCAGTGACTGCCCCCAAGCCTCACTTTCCTCATCAGCAAAATGGGCTTCACAACACCTACCCCAAGGATCACGTGAGGGCTCAGTCAGTATCAGGTGCCCGGGACTCACCTCACACAGAGAATCAATAACCAGCAACGAGCATCCTGCCCATCACTAACAGAGTGTGATGGCGTTCCAACCCCGCCTCCCACTTCCTGAAACTCTCCAGGGGAAGGAGCTCAGCTTATAATGTATGCTAATAGTGTCAGAATCTAATTGCAGGGAGGAAGTGCCTGTAATCCCAGCACTTTAGGAGGGAAAGGCAGGAGATCTCTTGAGGCCGGTTCAAGACCAGCCTGGGCAAAATAGCAAGACCCTATCTCTACAAAAATAAATATCGCCAGGCATGGTGGTGCGCACCTGTCGTCCCAGCCACTCCAGGAAGCTGAGGGGGGAAGACTGCCTGAGCCCAGAAGTTAGAGGCTGCAGTGAGCCAAGACTGCTACGGCACTCCAGCCTGGGCAACAGAGTGAGATCCTGTCTCACAAACAAACAAACAAACAAACAAACAAACAAACAGAGGTTCTCTGGACAGGACATCAAGTATTACACCAAAATCCAGTAGTCTTCTAACTCAGATTTAACAAGAATGCAAAGGCACAGCTAGCCGACTGCGTAATACTGGTGGAACTGTGACAAACTGCTAAACAAAGAGAAAGGTAACGGCAGAGGCCTCTGGCCTGTCGCTTCCCACTACTCTGCACTTCCAACACACCACTTTGAGCTCTACATACTTTCATGACTAGTGTGACTTAACATGTACAGACCCTGTTGGAGCTCCTCAGCTATTCTCAGCTAAAAAACTGTGCTCAATGCTAATCTTTCTTTTCTTTTCTCTCTTCTCTTCTCTTTTCTTTTTTTCTCTCTTTTTCTTGAGACAGACTCCCGCTCTGTCACCCAGGCTGAAGTGCAGTGGTGCCATCTCAGCTCACTGTGACCTCCACCTCCCGGGTTCAAGCAATTCTCCTGCCTCAGCCTCCCAAGTAGCTAGGATTACAGGCATGCGTCACCACAGCTGGCTATTTTTTTGTATGTTTAGTAGAGATTGGGTTTCACCATGTTGGCCAGGCTGGTCTCGAACTCCTGACCTCAGGTGATCTACCCGCCTCGGCCTCCCAAAGTGCTGGGATTACAGGTGTGAGCCACCGTGCCCGGCCTGCGCTCAGTGCTAATTAAAAGCACTGCTGCATTCAGTTTTCCACATGGGATTAATGTTTCATTCTGAAGACCTGCAGCACTAATTCAACTTCTAAAAAAAAATATGAGATTCATAAGACCATATAAAATAAAATAAAGATAATCAACATTATCAACAGCTAACTGTAAACTTTTCTTATGCCTTCAAGAGTGAATGTGGGTCCAATTCTTACTGACCAACAATTAAGCAGTTCAGATACCAACCCTATTTATGGATGAAAATGTTAAGGAAATTCCTACCCAGGGCTACGGTTATCATTTTTTTGTTCATTTGTTTTAGAGACAGTGTCTTGCTCTGTTGCCCAGGCTGGAGTCCAGTGTTGCAATCCCAACTCACTACAGCCTCAAACTCCTGGGCTCAGGTGATCCTCCTACCTCAGCCTCCCAAGCAGCTGGGGACTATAGGTGCACACCACCACATCTAGCTAATTGTTAATTTTTTTATAGAGATGGGGGGAAAGGTCTCATCATTTTGCCCAGGCTAATGTCAAACTCCTGGGCTCAAGTGATCCTCCTGTCTTGGCCTTCGAAAGTGCTGGAGCGACAGGCATGAGCCACCATGCCTGGCCTGGTTATCAATTTTATAAGCTAAGAAAACCTACCCAAAACTCCTAAAAAATGAATTGCTGCCTTTGTTTTGGCAATTCTTGAAACAGGTGTTGTAAATACTGCTGTCCAAATGCTGCCATAAAATTGGTACACAAAATCTGGTATCTCATCAGTTTTCTCATGGCAGGTTATATAAACCATAGGTACTTTTTTGTTTGTTTGAGACAGTCTCACCCTGTCGCCCAGGCTGGAGTGCAGTAACGTGATGATCTCAGCTCACAGCAACCTCCACCTCCCGCGTTCAAGAGATTCTCCTGCCTCAGCCTCCCGAGTAACTGGGATTACAGGCGCGCGACACCACGCCCGGCTAATTTTTGTATTTTTAGGAGAGACAGGGTTTCACCATGTTGGCCAGGCTGGTCTCGAACTCCTGACCTCAAGCGATCCGCTTGCCTCGGCCTCCCAAAGTGCTGGGTTTACAGGCTGAGTCACCGCGCCTGGCCAAAACATACGTACTTTAAAAGCAGCCAAAGTTTCCAAACAAAAGTCATTTCCCACAAGAAAGAATGTCTAGTTAACCTAAAGTCATTCAAATAATGCCTATCATCTTGTTTCAAGGTTTTGTGAGAATGAAATGTATTTTGCTATGATTCCTGTGTTATTTTTAGTTAATAGCTTACTATTTTCTTAAGGAAGAACACATTCTCTCTGCGGCAATTCTAAGGACGGACTAACTCAACAACTCAACACCGGGTTGCGTGTATACTGTATCACCTAAGCCATCAGAACACAGAAGGTAGCTGTGCTAAAATGGGTTGCGTGTATACTGTATCACCTAAGCCATCAGAACACAGAAGGTAGCTGTGCTAAAATGTATAAGCACGTTAATTCAAATCAATGACAGAAGCCTCTACTGAAGCTTAGCAATCACCTATTTGAACAACATAAACATTCAATTTCTCCTCTGGAAGGTAATTTTAATAGCAAGCATAATATTCAAGTGATTTTCCACGTCTGATGGAAGAATACAATGGAGAAAGAAAGAAGAGAAAGAGAAAAGAAGGAAGAGCTAGCAGGCAGAGGGGTGGAGTGTGTCCAGAAGTTTGTACTAGCCTGGATCGCTAGCCAAGTCCAGCCGCTTTAACTGAGCCCTGGCAATCAAAACACCACTGAGGATGAAGGAAGCAAAAGAAAAGATCAAATAAAAATTAAATGCTCCATTCTGGGAAATCAGCAGGTCATAGATTCTTTCCCTAATAGGAAATCCATTACTAGTCAAATACTCCACCAGAGAAACCACTCCGAGTGCAGGAAACAGATGCACTCCTCATTCCCACAGCCCTGGTTTCCAAGCCCTGGGTGGTTTCTCTTTGTGATTCCATTAGAAAGGGCACAGCAATATCACAGCACTGGTGGAAGGGTCGGCACTGCCGCTCCACCGCGGGAAGCTGAAACACCAGCCTGGATCTCTCTTCCATGTGCTGAAATGCAGTAGGAACACCGCGGGGGGCAAAGACCCCCCTGAGCTCAGCAGAGGCCCCTCTATGAGGTGCCCAAGGGGTGGTTTGTATCTGTGGGGGCTCAGCAGGGACTGTGAGAAACAAGGTTATAGCAAGCTACCAGCTGGAAACTAACACAAGGGTGACACGCGGAAATGATCAACTGTTGGGGGGGGAATCTGGTCCCCTCAGAGATGCCAGCCCTGGCTCCCGGACTGGGACTCCAGTCTTGGGGGCAGATGGACGGGCTGAAGATAGCAGAGATGCTCCGAGGAGCAGGCCTGGGAGAACAGTGTAGAGTGTGTGTTTGTACACTTGGGGCACAAACTTACCCCGTGTGTGTCCCTACCCTCTGAGCCCTTCTGCCCCTGGCCAGTTCCCAGTGTGTCCCCATCCCCTGCCATCTCTCCTCCAGGATCCTTTCTCTCCCTCCCCTCCCAAACGACCACATATTTAAGACCTAGAAAAGGATCTTAAATATCACAACACTCAGGGCCCTTTCTCCCTCCTCACTGTCCCAGCAGGGTCCCAGTTCCCTGGAAACCCAGGTGCCCACCCTCTTATTTGACCTCAGGACCTCCTCCCACATAATACTGGCTTCCCGCCAAGTCTCTGTCCCCCTTCCCCAGTCAGGCCTCAGTTCCCCACCAACCTCGGTTTCCGCCCCTCCCTGGGGTAACCTCCCAGGTCTCTGTCTTCTCTCCTCCACCCCACATCAGGGGTCAGGTTCCCACCCCTACTCCACACCCCACCCCAGGTCTCTGCCCCTGCCTGCTAGGTACCCTCCCAGGTCTCTGCCTTCTCTCCTACCCCCACCATCAGGGGTCAGTGCCCTCCACACTCGAATGTTGCTGCCCCCTGCCCAGTCGGGAAACTTCCCAGGTCTCTGCCTTCTCCTCCTCCAGCAATCGGGGATTAACGCCCCTCTGCCCTTCCCCTCCTCCTGCCCAGCCAGACACCCTCCCAGGTCTGAATTCTCTCCCCCTACCAGCAATCGGGGTCAGCTCCGCTCTAGCTCTCCCCCTGTCCAGCCAGACACCCTCCCAGGTTTCTGTCTTCTCTCTTACCCCCATCAGGGGCCAATTCCTCACCCCTCGACTGTGGCTTCCTCCTGCCCAGCCAGGAACCCTCGCTGATCTCTGTTTTCTCCTCCCCTACAAGTAATCGGGGGTCAGCTACCCTCTGTCCATCCCCCTGCCCGGCCAGGCACCCTCCCAGGTCTGTGTCTTCTCCTCCCCCCGCAATCGGGGGTCAATGCCCCTCTGCCCTTCCCCTCCTCCTGCCCAGCCAGACACCCTCCTAGGTCTGTGTCTTCTCTTCCCCTACCAGCAATCAGGGGTCAGCTCCCCTCTGCCCATCCCCACCCACTCCCCGGCCAGGCACCTCCCAGGTCTCCTCCCTGCATTGGGTCAGTTCCGTCCCCTCCCCTCCTCGGTCAGACCACCCACCCCCCGCCCGGGTCTGTCCCCTCTCGCTGCCCTCCTCGTGGCGCCCCCATCAGGGGCTGACCCCCCCGACCCCGCACAGGCCCAGGCCCAAACCCAGGCCCCCTCCCACTTCAGGAGCCCCCTCCCGCTCCCGCCGACAGACACCGTTGGCTGCAGAGACGTCTCAGCCGGAGCCCCGGAGCCCGCATCCCGCCCGGTGCCTAACCTGAGGCCGCCCCGCCTGCTTCTCCCGGCGCCGCGGCTTCCCTCAGGCCGGGGTTCCAGGTTGGGGCTGGGACTGGGGCCGGGCCGGGCGCACGCGGCGGGAGAAGGGGTAGGCGGGGTCCCGGCCAGGCTGCAGGGGCCGGGACTGGCGGGGGCTGGCGCGGCGGGGCAGTTACCTGTACTGCGGGCCGCCGCCCTGCGCGAAGTCGAAATACTGACTCGTCGCCATCTTGGCGTCTTCCCCGAGCCTGGCGGACCCGCGACGTCACCCGCCCCGCCCCCGAGCCGCGTGCCGCTCGCGCCTGGCCACGCGCCCCAAGCTCCGCCCCCTGCGCGAAGCCCTCACCTTCTCGCTTCCTTCTCTTAGGCTAGGGAGACACCGCCCCGCGACCACACCTGCCCCGAGGCCCCGCCTCCTACGCAGAGCCCCGCCCTCCTCTTAACCACTCAAATGTGGAGGTCTCTGCTCAAGCCCCGCCCATGCTAGAAGCCCTGCCTCTTTCTCGGAGCCCCACATTCCCTTTAACCACTCAGATGTGGTGGTATCTGATCAAGTCCCGCCCATGCTACAAGCCCCGCCTCTTACTCAGAGCCCTGCCTTCCCTTTACCCACTCAGATGTGATCTCTGCTCAACCCCCACCCATGCCACAAGCCCCGCCTTTTTTTGGAACCGTACCTTCCCTTTAACCATTCAGGTGTGGAGGTCTCTGCTCAAGCCCCACCCATGCCACAAGCCCCGCCTCTTTCTCGGAGCCCCGCCTTCCCTTTACCTGCTCAGATATGGTCTCTGCACAAGCCCTACCTCTGTCTCCGAGCCCCACCTTCTCTTTAACCACTCAGATGTGGAGGTCTCTGCTCAAGCCCCACCACCACCACAGCCAGCTAATTTTTAAATTTTTTGTAGAGACAGTGTCTTGCTATGTTGCCCAGGCTGATGTTGAACTCCTGGCCTCAAATAATCTTGCCTTGGCCTCCAAAAGTGCTGGGATTACAGACGTGAGCCACTGCATCTAGCCTCAGAATGACTCTTCAGAAGGCCCCCATGGTCTCTGCCTCCTGTGTTCACAACGTGATATAAATAAATGATAGGCCGGGCACAGTGGCTCACGTCTGTAATCCCAACATTTTGAGAGGCGGAGGCAGGAGGATCTTGAGCCCTAGGACTTTGAGACTAGCCTGGGCAACATAGCAAGACCCTGTTTCTACAATTTTTTTTTAATTAGCTGGTCATGGTGGTACATGCCTGTGGTCCCAGCTACTCAGGAGGCTAAGGTGGGAGGATCACTTGAGCCTGGGCTGTCAAGGCTGCAGTGATCTGTGACTGTACCACTGCACTCCAGAGTGAGACCCTGTCTCAAAAAAGAGAAAAGAAAGAAAGGGCTGGGCGTGGTGGCTCACGCCTGTAATCCCAGCACTTTGGGAAGGCGAGGTGGGCAGCTCACCCAAGGTCAGGAGTTCAAGAGCAGCCTAGCCAACATGGCAAAACCCTGTCTCTACTAAAAATACAAAAAAAAAAATTAGCCAGGCGTGGTGGGGCACACCTGTAATCCCAGCTACTCGGGAGGCTGAGGCAGGAGAATTACCTAACCCAGGAGGTGGAGGATGCAGCGAGCCGAGATCACACCACTGTACTCCAGCCTGGGCAACAGAGCAATACACCGTCTCAAAAAAATAAAAAAATAAAAAATAAAAAAATAAATAAATAAATAATAAAAGAGGAGAGGGAGAGGAGCAGGGAGGGAGGGAAGGGAAGGAAAGAAGAGAGAGAGAGAGAGAGAGAGAAAGAATTGAATGAATAAACAAATAAATGGAGGCAAACAGACAAATCTCTTATGCAGAAGAATTCCTAATTTGTGTAGCTACACTGCGCTTAAGGAGATAGAGAGTAACTCTACACCTCTTGAGTGTGGGTTGTGCATAGTGACTTCCTTCCCAAGACTGCAGCCTGGAAGGAGGGGGAGGGAGAGTCACTTGACAGTATTGAAACCTGACAAGCAGCAGCGTGTTTGGCGGTCCCGCGGATCCGTCTCTTGCTTCCACAGTGTTTGGATGGAACAGATCCGGGAACTCACTTCCAGCCTCCGACCACCCGCTGATTTCCTCTCTTCTTGCAACCTCCAGGAGCATCGGCTCAGCCATCTCCTGCTTCTCGGACCAACCAACGCCGTTTTTTTGGTTAGCTCCTTCTTGCCGACCAACCATGAGCTCCCAGATTCGTCAGAATTATTCCACCGCGGTGGAGGCAGCCGTCAACCGCCTGGTCAGTTTGCACCTGCGGGCCTCCTACACCTCCTCCCTCTGCGGGTTTTTTTTTTTTTTTTTTTGCTTGTTTTTTTTTTGAGACGGAGTCTGGCTCTGTCGCCCAGGCTGGAGTGCAGTGGTGCGATCTCTGCTCACTGCAAGCTCCGCCTCCTAGGTTCACGCCATTCTCCCGCCTCAGCCTCCCGAGTAGCTGGGACTACAGGCGCCCACCACCACGCCTGGCTAATTTTTTTGTATTTTTAGTAGAGACGGGGTTTCACCGTGTTAGCCAGGATGGTCTCGATCTCCCGACCTCATGATCCGCCTGCCTCGGCCTCCCAAAGTGCTGGGATTACAGGCGTGAGCCATCGTCTGCGCTTCTATTTCGATCACCAAGATGTGGCTCCGGAATGCGGGGCTTACTTCTTCCATGAATTGGCCAAGGAGAAGCGCAAGGGTGTTGAGCGTCTCCTGAAGATGCAAAACCAGCGTGGTGGCCCTGCTGTCTTCCAGGACATCCTGAAGCCAGGTCAAGATGAGTGGGGTAAAACCCTGGAAGCCATGGAAGCCGCCATGGCCCCGGGGAAAAATCTCAACCAGAGTCTTTTGGATCTTCATGCACTGGGTTCCGCCCCTACAGACCCCCATCTCTGTGACTTCCTGGAGAGTCACTTCCGAGATGAGGAAGTGGGCTGCACGCGGTGGCTCACACCTGTAATCCCTGCACTTTGGGAGACCGAGGCAGGCAGATCACCTGAGGTCAGGAGTTTGAGACCAGCCTGGCCAACATGGCGAAACTCCAGTTCTTCTAAAAATACAAAAATTAGCCGGGCGTGGTGAGCTACTCAAGAGGCTGAGGCATGAGAATCGCTTGAACCCAAGAGGCAGGGGATGCAGTGAGCCGAGATCACGCTACTGCACTCCAGCCTGGGGAATAGAGTGAGGCTCTCCAAAAAAAAAAGAAGAAGAAGATGGGTGACCACCTGACCAACCTCCACAGGCTGGCCGGCCCGGAAGCTGGGGGGCCCAGAGGCTGGGCTGCATGAGTATCTCTTAGAAAAGCCGACTCTCAAACACGGCTAGGAACCTACTGAGCCCAGCGACTTCTGAAGGGCCCCACGTAAAGTAACGGGGCTTCTGCCTAAGCCTTTCCCTCCATTCACTAGGCAGCTTTTTTGTTTATTTGTTTGTTGGTTTGTTTTGTTTTGTTTTGAGAAGGAATCTCGCTCTGTCGCTGGAGTGCAATAGCACAATTTCAGCTCACTGCAACCTCCGCCTCCCAGGCTTTGGCGATCCTCCAACCTCAGCCTCCCGAGTAGCTGGGATTACTGGCATGCGCCACCACACCCGGCTAATTTTTGTATTTTTAGTAGAGACGGGGTTTCACCATGTTGGCCAGGCTGGTATCAAACTCCTGAGCTCAGGTGATCCACCCGCCTCGGTCTCCCAAAGTGCTGGGATTATAGGCGTGAGCCACTGCGCCTGGCTTTGTTATAGCACCCTGAACAGACTAAGACGCCCACTTTGAACACTAGATTCCAAAAAGCATCATAGAAGTCTTGGGCTTCTGTTAGATAGGCATGGTGGCAGGTGCCTGTGGTCCCAGCTACTCAGGAGGCTGAGGCGGGAGGATCACTTGAGCCCAGGAGGCAGAGGTTACAGTGAGCCAAGATCTCACCACTGCACTCCAGCCTGGGTGACAGAGCCAGACCCCCGTCTCAAAACAAACAAACAAACAAAAAACATAAAAGGGGCCTGGCGCAGTGGCTCATGCCTGTAATCCCAGCACTTTGGGAGGCTGAGGCGGGCGGATCACCTGAGGTCACGAGTTCAAGACGAGCCTGGTCAACATGGTGAAACCCTGTCTCTACTAAAAAATACAAAAATTAGCCAGGCAAGGTGGCGGGTGACTGTAGTCCCAGCTACTCGGGAGGCCAAGGCAGGAGAATTGCTTGAACCTGGGAGGCAGATGTTGCAGTGAGCCGAGATCGCGCCACTGCACTCCAGCCCAGGTGACGGAGTGAGACTCAGTCTCAAAACAAAACAAAACAAACAAAAAAGGAAGTCTTGGGTCTTGGGCATCTATGAACTTTTGCTTTGCTGAAGTCTTTCAAATCAGTTGGCTTTTTGACAATGGAGTATTACGAGAGCATTAAAGTAAGAAGTGCATTCAGCAGATACAGGGCTACTAATTCTTGGACAGGCTCCATGGAGAGCCCAGGGTGCTGAGGGAAGCCACATTTGGTGATTTAGCGGATGGCACTCTTCCATCTGTAACTCCATGACCATGTGTGGCCACCAGGAATGGTCTGGTGGGTCTGGCCAGTGCAGCTCTCCCTGCCATGCCCTGGCTAAAGTCCAACAAGGTAATTAATTGCACACGGCCTCTCTCCAAGTCCCTGCCGTTCTAATTAGGTAATGAAGGCTGTGTCTCTTTACAAAGGATCTGTTGTAGTGTTTTCTCTGGGTTGCATTTTTTCTATTATTTACTGCAAGGATTGTGCTAAATGCTTTACATGCAAAATGTGATCTAGTTCCCACAACAGCCTTCAGAAGGCCGGGCATGGTGGCTTACACCTGTAATCCCAGCACTTTGGGAGGCCGAGGTTGGGAGTTCAAGACCAGCCTGGCTAACATAGTGAAACCCTGTCTCTATTAAAAATACAAAAAAATTAGCTGGGCGTGGTGGTAGTTGCCTATAATCCCAGCTACTCAGGAGGCTGAGGCAGGAGAACTGCTTGAACCTGGAGGGCAGAGGTTGCAGTGAGTTGAGATCACACCACTGCACTCCAGCCTGGGTGAAAGAGTGAAACTCTGTCTCAAAACAAAAAAAAAACCAAAAAAAAAAAAAACAGCCTTCAGAAGTAGAAACAGGCATAGTGGCTCATACCAGTAACCCCAGCTACTTCGGAGGCCAAGGCAGGAGGATTGCTTGAGCCCAGGAGTTTGAGACCAGTCTGGGCAACATAGGGAGACCCCATCTCTACAAAATACAAAAATTAGCTGGATGTGGTTGTGTGTGCCTGTAGTCCTAGCCACTTAGGAGGCTGAGGTGGGAGGATCGCTTGAGCCCAGGAGGTGGAGGCTGCAGTGAGCCATAAGTGTACCACTGCATTCCAGTCTGGGTGACACAGCAAGACCCAGTCTAAAAAAAAAGAAAGAAAGAAAAGAAAAGAAAAAAGAGGCCAGGCGTGGTGGCTCACACCTATAATCCCAGCACTTTGGGAGGCCAAGGCAGGCAGATCATGAGGTCAGGAGATGGAGACCATCCTGGCTAACACAGTGAAACCCCGTCTCTACTAAAAATACAAAAAAATTAGCAAGGCATGGTGGCACCTGTAGTCCCAGCTACTCGGGAGGCTGAGGCAGAAGAATGGCATGAACCCGGGAGGCGGAGCTTGCAGTGAGCCGAGATTGCACCACTGCACTCCAGCCTGGGCGACACAGCAAGACTCCGTCCCCCAAAAAAAAAAAAAAAAGAAGTAGACACAGTCGATTCTCATTAATTCTGTTCTCTAAAGTCAATACCAAGCTCACTAATACTGACCATCGCTCCTAAGAGAAACACGAGGTTGAGTTCCTGTGAGCCTCTAGTCACAGTGTTTGCATCAACCATCAATACACGACCTCGGCCAGTGCAGTGGCTCACGCCTGTAATCCCAGCACTTTGAGAGGATGAGGAGGGCGGATCAACTGAGGTCAGGAGTTCGAGACCCGCCTGACCAACATCTCTACTAAAAATACAAAATTCGCCAGGAGTGGTGGTGCATGCCTGTAATCTCAGCTACTCAGGAGGCTGAGGCAGGAGAATCACTTTAACCCAGGACGTGGAGGTTGCAGTGAGCTGAGATTGCGTCATTGCACTCCAACCTGGGCAATAAGAGCGAAACTCCGTCTCAAAAAAAAAAAAAAAGAAAAAAAAGAAAGTTCAAATGTCTAGCCAACCGGGATTAGTTCAGATTGTGTGACCCGACCCCGGCCAATGGGGAAAGGGCACAGGGGCAGGACTTGCCTCAGGAATAAAGGCTCTCATGCCCCTTTGTTCAGGTGCGCTCTCATGACGACTGGACAAAGAAAAACACCTCTCTGCGCAGAAGTAAAATTGCTTTGCTAAAATCCCTTTGTTTGTGTATTCAATCTTCTTAGGATTTTGAGCGTTATTCCCAACAAATAGACATGGTTGATTCATTCACATTGAACTCATAGCACTTTTACTCATATCTGAAGTTCTCTAACACACTGCTTTTCTTCTTGGAGCTTTCTTTTTTTTTTTTTTTGAGATGGAGTCTTGCTCTGTTGCCCAGGCCAGACTGAAGTGGCGCGATCTTGGCTCACTGCAAGCTCCGCCTCCCGGGTTCACGCCATTCTCCTGCCTCAGCCTCCCGAGTAGCTGGGACCACAGGCGCCCGCCACCACGCCCGGCTAATTTTTTGTATTTTTAGTAGAGACGGGGTATTGCCGTGTTAGCCAGGCTGGTCTCGATGTCCTGACCTTGTGATCCGCCCACCTCAGCCTCCCAAAGTGCTGGGATTACAGGCGTGAGCCACCGCGCCCGGCCTCTCCTTGGAGCTTTCTTGCACTTAGGAAGACTAGACAGTGCTTCAGCATGAAGCTTGGAAGTCATTTTATTTTATGGATTTATTTATTTATTTTTGAGACAGAGTCTTGCTCTTTCACCCAGGCTGGAGTGCAGTGGCGCAGTCTCAGCTCACTGCAACCTCCGCCTCCCTGGTTCAAGCAATTCTCCTGCCTCAGCCTCCTGAATAGCTGGGATTGCAGGCGCGTGCCACCACGCCCGGCTAATTTTTGTATTTTTAGTACAGACGGGGTTTCACCATGTTGGCCAGGCTGGTCTTGAACTTCTGACCTCCTGACCACCCACTTTGGCCTCCCAAAGTGCTGGGATTATACGCGTGAGCCACATTGCCTGGCCTGTATCAAGCATTCTTTTAGGGCAGAATTTTTCTTGCTCAGTACCGTGGACATTGGGACCAGATTATTCTCTGGGGCGGAGCCATCCTGGGCACTGCAGGGTGCTGAGCAGCGTCCCTGGCCCCCATCCACTCCATAACAGGAGTATCCCCCAGTCGCAACAAACACAAGTGTCCCCAGAAATCGTCCGGTGTCCGCTGCGGGCAGGATCACCACCCCCCCAGGTGACAGCCACTGGTGTAGGGGTTAAAGATACAGGGTGACAGGCCGGGATTACACCTGTAATCCCAGCACTGAGCCCAGCACTCCTGGCCTCAAGTGATCCACCCGCCTCAGACTCCCAAAGTGCTGGGATTACAGGTGTGAGCCACTGCACCCAGCCCACAAGAAAATTTTCTACAAGCTCACCTTCAGAAAAGTTTCAAGATCCTACAAAATCTAGCCCTTTTGTGCATTTCCAAACGAATTCCTCAGGGATGGCCGGCAGAATAATGGCCCCTAAAGATATCCACACCCACTGGGTGTGGTATGTTTGCCTGGGAAAAATAGTGAGACCCCATCTCTACAAAAAATTGTCAAATTAACCAAGTGTGATGGCATACACCTGTAGTCCCAGCTGCCAGGGAGGCTGAGATAGGAGGATCACTTGAGCCCAGGAGGTTGAGGCTGCAGTGAGCCATGATCACACCCCCGCACTCCAGCCTGGGCTACAGAGCAAGAACCTGTCTCAAAAAAATTAAATTAAATTAAAATTTTTCCATTTTAAAATTAAAATAAAACGAAATGAAAACAGACAGAGGCCAGCTGCAGTGGCTCACACCTGTGATCACAGCACTTTGGGAGGCCAAGGTAAGCGGATCACCTGAGGTCAGGAGTTTGAGACCAGCCTGGCCAACATGGTGAAACCCCGTCTCTACTAAAAATACAAAAATTAGCCTGGCGTGGTGGTGGGTGCCTGTAATCCCAGCTACTCGGGAGGCTGAGGCAGAAAAATCGCCTGAACCTGGGAGGTAGAGGTTGCAGTGAGCCGAGATCGCACCAGCCTGGGTGACAGAGCAAGCCTCTGTCTCAAAGGGAAAAAAAAACAGGGAACCAAGCTTAGGTCACACGCTGTGGCTCCTCGGTGGTGGCTGTAGCACCATGGACAGCTCCCAGGCTTTGGTGGACTGGGGAGAAGCTGTTGCTCTTTAAATGCCAGTCTGGGCAGGCCTGTCTGTCCAGAATATGCCTTCCTCCCTCTTTTTTATTCATCTAACTCCACTCACTCCTCAGGGGTCTCACTCATGCAGTCGCCACCTCTGTGCCCCACCAGGAAACCTCCCCAACGGTCCCCCAACCTGCACCACTCCAAAGATGTCTCTAGATCAGCCCAGACTCTGTTGTCCACCTGTTTCTCTCAACTGAATGGGAATTATTTATTTTTTTTTTTTTTGAGATGGAGTCTCACTCTGTCACCCCACCTGGAATGCAGTGGCTCAATCTGGGCTCACTGCAACCTCCACCTCCCGGGTTCAAGCGATTCTCCTGCCTCAGTCTCCCGAGTAGCTGGAATTACAGGCGCCCACCGCCACGTCTGACCAATTTTTGTATTTTTAGTAGAGGCGGGGTTTCACCATGTTGTCCAGGCTGGTCTCAAACCCCCAACCTCAAGTTATCTGCCCGCCTCAGCCTCCCAAAGTGCTGAGATTACAGGTGTGAGCGGCCTCCCAAAGTGCTGGGATTACATGCCTGGCCTCAACTGAATGGTCATTCTAAGAGAATTCCCAATCCTGCACACAAAAACAGCATAAATTAACTGAATTAGGGAAGCCACGCCTCTGCCAGCCGTGAGCTGGGAAGAAGCAGATACCTCAGAGGCAGGGAGCGCAGGCGGGTGATGATGAGAGGGGCCACAGCCGCAGCCCCACGCAGGGGAGCCCACCACTAACCCTGCACCCCCACCCCTGCACAAAAGAGCTGGTGGGCACTAGCCATATCGCCTTGCAACCTTCCTCGGATGCAGAATCCACTCCTTCAGGCATCCTCTTCCTCCAATGCTCTGAAGGCCTGGGGAGCCTGAGAGATGCCCGCTGCACCCAGGCAGGGCTCGCCTTTGTTTGCCAGTAATGGGAATTACTCATATCTTGTGCCCAGTGCCCAGCACAGGGACTCATCGAATCCACCCCTCAGTTAACACAAGTGTCTCTTACAAGACCTCCATTTTCTCCAGCCAGGAGATGGGAAGTCCCAACCTTGTGCTAAAGTCTCTGGGGCCTCTGCTTCCCCATCAGGGCTTTCTGCCTCTGCTGTGGGCAGGTTACCTTTATGCCTCGGAAGAGTGCAGACCTCCATGCAGCGGGTGAGGCTGCCAGCCTAGGTGGGGTGTCATTGAATGTCATGAAGGGAGCCAGCCTTCATGCACTCTGCCTGCGTCTCCTGAACAGCTTTGGACCAGGAGTTGCTACCTTGTGCGGAGAACGTGTGGTGCATAAGAACAACCGAGCCTCTGCTCTTCGAAAATGTATATTCTGGCCAGGTGCGGTGGCTCACGCCTGTAATCCCAACACTTTGGGAGGCCAAGGTGGGCAGGTTGCCTGAGGTCAGGAGTTTAAGACCAGCCTGGCCAACATGGTGAAACCCCGTTTCTACCAAAAATAAAAAAAATAGCTGGGTGTGGTGGTGCATGCCTGTAGTCCCAGATGCTTGGGAGGCTGAGGCATGAGAATCGCTTGAACCTGAGAGGAGGAGGAGGTTGCGGTGAGCTGAGATCACACCACTGCACTCCAGCCTGGGAAACAGAGCAAGTCTCTGTCTCAAAACAAAACAAAACAAAACAAAACCCAGTATATTCTAATAAGGAGGAGCAGAGAATCAACAACAACAACAAAAAAGTGTAAATAATTTCAATTAATAGTAAGTGCTGTGGGTCAGGCACGGTGGCTCACACCTATAATCCCAACATTTTTCGAGGCTGAGATGAGAGGCTCACTTGAGCCCAAGAATTCAAGACCAGCCTGGGCAATAGAGAGATACCCTATTTCTACAAAAATTACACAGATTAGCAGGGCGTGGTGGTAGGAGCCTGTAGTCTCAACCACTGGAGAGAAAGAGGTGTAAGGATCACCTGAGCCCGGGAGTTCAAGACTGCAGCGAGCTGTGATTGTGCCATTGCACTCCAGCCTGGATGACAGGGAAAACTCCTGTTTCTTAAAAAAATAAGTAAATAAAATAAACATTAAAAACAGCAATAGCAAGAAATACATATAGGCCGAGCACAGTGATTCGCACCTCTAATCCCAGCACTTTGGGAGGCCAAGGTGGGCGGATCACCTGAAGTCAGGAGTTCGAGACCAGCCTGGCCAACATGTTGAAACCCCGCCTCTACTAAAAATACAAAAAAAAAATTAGCCAGGTGTGGTGGTGTGTGCCTGTAATCCCAGCTACTTGGGAGGCTGAGGGAGGAGAACCACTTGAACCTGGGAGTCGGAGGTTGCAGTGAGCCAAGATCGCACCACTGTACTCCAGCCTGGCAACAGAGCGAGACTCCACCTAAAAAAAAAAAAAAAAGAAAGAAAGAAAGAAAGAAAGAAAGAAAGAAAGAAAGAAAGAAAGAAAGAAAGAAAGAGAAAGAAACACATAGGGAGCTTTTCTTGTGCCCCAGCACTGTGTTTAGTGCTGTCTATGCATTATCTCATAATGTGGAAAAGCCATAGCGGCTCCATTTCACAGATGAGAAAAACTGAGGCCCGCAGGTGAGATCACTCATGCCCACTGGTCTGCCAGCTGGGGAGTGGCTGGGCTAGAGTTCAAACCCACTTCCAGTCCGACTGCACGGCCTGCACTCTCCACCCTACCATCTTCCACAGTCTCCTTGAATTCCTCCAGGGCGAGGCCACGCCAGCGCACAACTGCAGGGGGCGCCGTTCCCACAGCAGCCCTGCAAAGTGAGTGTGCCTGAGAAACTTCCGCCTCCCCTGCACCCAGCCCTGTTTAGGGCACGAGGCTGAATCAATGGTAAGTGACCATCTAATGGACCCACAACACGGTGACCTGGGGACAGTCATTTCTTTCTTTTTTTTTTTTTTTCTTTGAGACAGAGTCTCCCTCTGCCGCCCAGGCTGCAGTGCAGTGGCGCCATCTCGGCTCACTGCAACCTCCGCCTCCCAGGTTCAAGCGATTCTCCTGCCTCAGCCTCCCGAGTAGCTGGGATTACAGGCGCACGCCACCACGCCTGGCTAATTTTTGTATTTTCAGTAGAAACGGGGTTTCACCATGTTGGCCAGGCTGGTATCGAACTCCTGACTTCAGGTGATCCTCCCTCCTCGGCCTCCGAAAGTGCTGGGATTACAGGCGTGAGCCATGGCATCCGACCTGGGGACAGTCATTTCTTTGCCTGCACAGACTTTTTGGGGGATGCCACCCCTCACCCCTGCTCCCTTTGCAAGGAGAAGTGCCAAGAAGACCTTTCCCAACTCCCCCACCCCCCATTCTCTAAGGAATGAGGCCATCTTGCCATTTATTTATTTATTTGTCCGTTGTTTTGTTTTTAAATCTCTGATGCGCCATCAGAAAATTATTTCTGCCTCTGCCCCTGGCGTGGCTTTCGGAGATGCTTGTCTGTCAGCCAATGGGGAGGATCGGATTCTGGCAGGGGGCTGTGCTTTTCCGTCAGGCCGCCACCCCCCACCCCCTCCTCCCTGCACACAAAAGCAGCATAAATTAACCGTCTTCGGGAAGCCGAGCCTCTGCCAGCCCTGAGCTGGGAAGAAGCAGCTACCTCGGAGGCAGGGCGCGCAGGCGGGCGGCGATGAGAGGGGGCGCAGCCGCAGCCCCGCGCTGGGGAGCCCACCGCTAACCCTGCACCCCACCCACCCCTGCACAAAAGAGCTGGCGGGCGCTGGCCACGTCGCCCTGGGTGACCTTCCTCGGATGCAGAATCCGCCCCTGCGAGCATCCTCTTCCTCCTAGGCTCTGAAGGCCCGGGGAGCGTGAGCGATGCCCAGCTGCACCCGGGCAGGGCTCGCCTTTGTTTGCCAGTAAGGAGGAGAGGCTGTCTCAGCTGCAGAGGTGAGTGCGCGCATCTCCCCTTCTCCCAGGATAAACCGTCTCCCTGGAAGGTTTATCCGGCAGCCTTTGCCGCCTCTAAATCCCTTTCCAGCAGATGGGGCGGGTGGGAGCAGAGAGCCACGGTCTTGTGACTCCGTGAAGGCCCTCACATCCCTGTTCCCGGTACCAGGGAAAACCGTTCCCTGAGCTGCGCCCAGCAACACAGTTTACCTTCCGCGCGCACCGTTCCCCTCTAAGTGCACCATTTTCAGGACACGCTGAGAGCTCGGGCGGATGAAAACCTCAGCTTCTCTCTGGGACGCTGAAATAGACCCATCCTAGCCCTATGTATTTCCTATTTATAACGCTAGGAAGGCCACCAGCCGACGATTTCGGGAAAAAAAAAAAAAAAAAATCTAAGTGTGTCGATAAAGGCTGTCCTGTGGGGTGGGGAGGAAGGGGGTGGTTTATGGTTTAAGACACAGATGCCTCCTCCTTATTGGAACTCGTATGTGATTTGTTAATAATCAGACATCAGGGCTCAAATGAGCGCTTCACTCCCGTTCCTTGATGTCACTGTCTTCTTTTGGCCGTCCCCAAATGCGAAGCCAGGATCTGAGTGCAGGAGTGTCCGGGGCCCACTGAGGACCCACCCCACCCCATCCTTAGAAGACTGTGGAGTCAACGCCTGTGGCTGCAGCTGGCAGGGGGTGGGGGTCGGGGGCGGGGCTGGTGGGAGTGTTCCTGGGGGCTGAGGTCACACCCAGCTCAGTATAAGGAAGGGAGAGGCGAAGACCCCTTCCTCCGGAGAGCAAATGCGTTTCTACTGCCGAGGAGAACTTACCCTCGCGGGAAGGGCCTGGCTGGCTGCTGCCACCGCCCCCCCCCCGACCCCATAGCATCCAGGAGGGATTTTTTTTTTTTCCATGCTGCGTGTTACTGTCCCTCCTCCAAGCATGAATGACGACATTGAGGACAGAGAATCGAGTGAGAAACGCTCACCCTGTACGGGGGAGGGTCTAGTTTTAGCCGTCCCCTCCCCCCACTTCCTCATCTGGCTGAGGCTGCCTCTGGGTCCTTCCTTGCTAAGCCACAGTCCCCTGTCCCCGATGCAAACCCGATATCTATGCTGGGGGGCTGCAGGTAACCTACTCCACAGAGAGGCAGCCTGGATGCCATGAGAGTTGGGGGCCTTAGATGCTTCATGTATTTGGTTTTTTTGAGACAGGGTCTTGCTATCTTGCCCGGGCTGGTCTTAACCTCCTGTGCTCAGGCGATCCTCGCAAAGTGCTGGGATTACACGTGTGAGCCACTGCCCCCAGCCAGATGCTTTATCTTTTATTTTATTTTTTGAAGTAGGGTCTCTGTTGCTCAGGCTGGAAAGCAGTGGCATGATCATAGCTCACTGCAGTCTCGACCTCCTGGTCTCAAGCGATCCTCCAACTTCAGCCTCCTGAATAGCTGGGACTTCAGGCACCAGGCACCCATCACCATGTTTGGTTAATTTTTGTATTTTTTTTTTTTTAAGAGATGGGGACTTGCTATGTTGCCCAGGCTGGTCTTGACCTTCCAGGCTCAAGCGATCCTCCTATCTCAGCCTCCCAAAGTGCTGGGGATTACAGGTGTGAGCCACCGCACCAGCCAGATGCCTTATTTTATTTTATTTTATTTTCTGAAATAGAACCTCACTCTGTTGCTCAGGCTGGAATGTGGTGGCACAATCATACCTCACTGCAGCCTCCACCTCCTGGGCTCAGGCAATCCTCCCACCTCAGCCTCCTGAACAGCTGTGACTTCAGGCACCCACCAAATTTAATTAATTTTTGTTTTTGTTTTTGCTTTTCGTAGAGATGGTGTCTTGCTATGTTGCCCAGGCTGGTCTTGACCTTCTGGGCTCAATCCTCCCACCTCAGCCTCCTGAATAGCTAAGACCTCAGGCACCCACCATTGTGCTTGGTTAGTTTTTGTATTTTTTTTTTGAGAGATGGGGTCTTGCTGTGTTGCCCAGGCTGGTCTCGAACCCCTGGTCTCAAGTGATCTGCCCAAAGTGCTGGAATTCCAGGCATGCACCACTGCACCCAGCCCCTAGACGCTTTAAAAAGTGGATCTAGTGGCCCGGCAGGGTGGCTCACACCTGTAATCCCAGCACTTTGGGAGGCAGGTGGATCATGAGGTCAGGAGTTCGAGACCAGCCTGGCCAATATAGTGAAACCCCATCTCTACTAAAAATACAAAAATTAGCTGGACGTGGTGGCACGCGCCTGTAGTCCAAGCTACTCAAGAGGTGGAGGTTGCAGTGAGCCGAGATCGCACCACTGCACTCTAGCCTGGGCGACAGAGCGAGACTCTGTCTCAAAAAAAAAATGACAACAAAAAAAGTGGATCTAGCTACTCGGAAGCTGTTGAGAGACAGACAGAGGTAATGGAAGGACAGAGTGTACAATACTCTATAATGACTGCCGGACACAGGCCTGAAATCCTTTCGCAAACACGGGAATGCACACAGAAATGACTATTGCCTTTAAGACAAGGTTTCTCCACCTTGGATCTATGGATATTTGGGACCCAGTCATTCTTGGTCATGGGCGGCCATCCTGGGCACTGTAAGGTGCTGAGCAGCACCCCTGGCCTGCCCAGGGGGCACTCCTTCCCCTCAGTTGTGACAAAAGTGCCTCTAGACAATGCCAAGTGTCCCCTTGCAGCAGGGGAGGCAGAATTGTCCACAGGTGCAAAGCACTGGTTTCAAAGCCCAAAACAGATGGGGTTGGTTGAGTCATAAGATGCTGGTATGTTATGTCCAAAAGGTATCTTAGAGGTCATCTCTAATTCAACTCTTTTGTTTACAGAAAGGGAAACTGAGACCCAGAGAGGGAGATGGTCTGAGAGTCTGCCATGCCCCAGAGCAGACCACAACTCAGTCTCACCTGGCAGCTCTGATCCTGGCCCCCACCCAGACTGCTCCCCCCTGCCCTGCCCCTGCCCCTGCCCCCAGTGAGCTCCTCAGAACAAGAAAAACAAAACTGGTGTGGGGGGTGGGGCGGCACAGTGGCTCACACCTGTAATCCCAGCGCTCTGGGAGGCTGAGGCAAGAGGATCACCTGAGCCCGAAAGTTCAAGACCAGCCTGGGTGACATACCAAGATCAGAGAAATTAGCCAGGCATGATGGCACACACTCGTGGTCCCAGATACTTGGGAGGCTGAGGCAGGAGGATCGCTTGAGCCCAGGAGTTGGAGGCTGTAGTGAGCTGGGATCACACCACTGCACTCCAGCCTGGGCGACAGAGCAAGACCCCGTCTCTAAATAAATAAATAAATAAATAAAGTGGCATTTTGTGGTAGTAAAGATGAGGGTCTCCTTTCTAACCCCAGTCTCTTTCCACACTGCCTTAGTGAGCCCTGGAGTCAGAAAGTCACTAGGACTTGCTTGAGGGAGGACAGAGAGGCAGGACAGGTGGCCTGGTACATATGGCAGATAGCGATGGGTTAGAGCCTACTGGATTCTCTTTGAACTTGGCATTCCCAGCACGGAAGCTGAAGTATATCAGCCATTCACACTTTAGTATGAATGACTGTTTGGATTTCTTGCTTTCTAGTTGAGGTCCAAGGCACAAGAGGGAGGGTAAGTCTATCTGGGTCATGGCTCACCCTGGAGAAGGTAGATTTCGAAGTTTCCAAGGGAGCAGGACTTGTATCTGAAGGCTCAGCCTCTCGCCCACGTTCAAACTCTGAACCCCACTGTGCATCCTAAGCTCTCTGTGCCTCTGTTTTCTCATCTGTAAAACAGGGGAACCTCATGGGGCTCGGTGATGGTTCAATAAGAAGTGCTGGCCGGGCACAGTGGTTTACCCTTGTAATCTCAGCGCTTAGAGAGGCCGAGGCAGGAGGATTGCTTGAGCCCAAGAGTTTGAGACCACCCTGGCCAACATAGCAAGACCCAATCTCTTAAAAAAAGATTTTAAAAAATTACCCAGGCATGATGGTACACACCTGTGGTCACAGCTACTGGTGGGGGGCTGAGGCAGGAGGATTGCTTAAGCCCAGGAGTTCAAGGCTGCCATGAGCCATGATTGTGCCCCTGCACTCCAGCCCAGGCAACAGAGCAAGATCATGTTTTTTTTTTTAAAAAAAAAAAAAAAAAAAAAAAAAACAGCCAAGCTCAGTGGCTCACCCCTGTAATCCCAGCACTTTGGGAGGCTGAGGCGGGTAGACCGCTTGAGCTCAGGAGTTTGAGACCAGCCTGGCCAACACAGTGAAACCCCGTCTCTATTAAAAATACAAAAATTAGCCGGGTGTGATGGCTCAAGCCTGTAATCCCAGCACTTTGGGAGGCCAAGGCAGGAGGATCACCTGAGGTCAGGAGTTCGAGACCAGCCTGGCCAACATGGCGAAACCCTGTCTCTACTAAAAATACAAGAATTAACCAGGCGTGGTGATGGGTGCCTGTAACCCCAGCTACTTGGGAGGCTGAGGCGGGAGAATCGCTTGAGCCTGGAAGGTGGATGTTGCAGTGAGCTGAGATGGCACCATTGCACTACAGCCTGGGCAACAGAGCAAGACTCCGTCTCAAAAAAGAAGAAGAAGAAGGAGAAGGAGAGAGGAGAGGAGAAAGGAGAGAGGGGGAGGGGAAGGGGGAGGGGGAGACGGAGGGGGAGTGGGAGGGGGAAGAGCTGCATGGGGTAGACGATTGTCATTAGGACTATTGTCCAGTAAAACCCATTCCTCTGCGGCTTCCTTTCAGGGGTCATCCCTGCTTCAAGCCAGTGCCTCTTCCCAGCTCCCATGGGGACCACCGAAGCCACGCTCCGGATGGAAAACGTGGACGTGAAGGAGGAATGGCAGGACGAAGATCTTCCCAGGTAGGACTTCCACATCCCTGAGTCAACCGTTGGGGGAGCAGGTGTCTCTCCCAGGTGGGACACAGGAGCGGCCCGGGTCTCTCTCTAAGTGGGAACCGCCCGGGGCTGGCCTGGTTCCATCTCCGCGTCCTCCTCTCCCGCACACTCTGGGAGGCCTGAGGCCCTGTGTGCGAGTCTTCTCTGTGGCCTCACAGTGGGGTAGTCCTGGCCAGGCACATAATGGGTATTTGCTCAATGATTTAAGATTCATTTCTGTCTTCCCTGCCCCAAAGCTCCAAAGGACCCCCCACCCCTACACCATTTTAAGAGTTCTTAACATTCTGGCTGGGCGCGGCGGTTCACGCCTGTAATCCCAGCACTTTGGGAGGCCGAGGTGGGCGGATCACTTGAGGTCAGGAGTTCGAGACCAGCCTGGCCAACATGGCAAAACCGCGTCTCTACTAAAACTACAAAAATTAGCTGGGCATGCCGGGCGCAGTGACTCATGCCTGTAATCCCAGCACTTTGGGAGGCCGAGGCGGGCGGATCATGAGGTCAGCAGATGGAAACTATCCTGGCTAACATGGTGAAACTCCATCTCTACTAAAAATACAAAAATTAGCCGGGTGTGTGGCAGGCGCCTGTAGTCCCAGCTACTCGGGAGGCTGAGGCAGGAGAATGGCGTGAACCCAGGAGGCGGAGCTTGCAGTGAGCCGAGATCGCGCCACTGCACTCCAGCCTGGGCGACAGGTGAGACTCCATCTCAAAAGAAAAAAAAAAAAATTAGCTGGGTATGGTGTCATGCGCCTATAATTCCAGCTACTCGGGAGGCTGAGGCACCATGGTGATTTATTAGCAGCCTTTAGGAGACACTTACCTCCCCTAACATGCTGAACTTTTTTTTTTTTTTTTTTGAGTCTCACTCTGTCCCACAGGCTGGAGTGCAGTGGCACGATCTCAGGTCACTGCAACCTCCAGGTCCTGGGTTCCAGTGATTCTCCTTCCTCATGCCCCCGAGTAGCTTGGATTACAGGCACCCGCCACCACATCTGGCTGATTTTTCTATTTTTAGTAGAGACCGGATTTCACCATGTTGGCCAGGCCAGTCTCGAACTCCGAAAGTGCTTGGATTCCAGGCAAGAGCCACCGCGCCCGGCCCCTACGCTGAACATTTTGCAGGGACATCTTGTCTACACTCTGTCTCCCCACCACACGGAGCGCCACAAGAGCAGGGGTCTTTGTTTAGCTCACTGCTGTATCCCAACCTAAGGATAGTGCCTGGCATACAGTCGGCGCTTAACAAATATTGGGTGACAGGTGCTGATCACTGGTCAGAATAAGAAATCACAGGGGCTGGGCACGGTGGCTCACGCCTATGATCCCAGCACTTACAGAGGCTCAGGCTGGGGGGATTGATAGAGCTCAAGAGTTCGAAACCAGCCTGGGCAAGATAGTGAGACCCCATTTCTACCAAAAAAAAAAAAATTAGCTGGGCATGGTGGTGTGCACCTGCAGTCTTAGCTACTTGGCAGGCTGAGACAGGAGGATCCCTTGAGCCCAGAAGGCAGAGGTTGCAGCGAGCCATGATTGCAGCCCTGCACTCCAGTCTGGGTGACAGAGCGAGACTCTGTCTCTATTTTATTTTATTTTTTTTATTTTATTTATTTATTTATTTATTTTTGAGACAGAGTGTCGCTTTGTCGCCCAGGCTGGAGTGCAGTGGCGCGATCTTGGCTCACTGCAAGCTCCGCCTCCCGGGTTCACGCCATTCTCCTGCCTCAGCCTCCCGAGTAGCTGGGACTACGGGCACCCGCCACCACGCCCGGCTAATTTTTTGTATTTTTAGTAGAGACGGGGTTTCACCATGTTAGCCAGGATGGTCTCGATCGTCTGACCTCGTGATCCGCCCACCTCGGCCTCCCAAAGTGCTGGGATTACAGGCGTGAGCCATCGCGCCCTACCACCTGTCTCTATTTAAAAAGAGAGGAAAAAAAAAAAAAAGGCCGGTCGCTGTGGCTCAGGTGTGTGTAATCCCAGCACTTTGGGAGGCCAAGGTGGGCAGATCACAAGGTCAGGAATTTGAGACCAGCCTGGCCGACATAGTGAAACCCTGTCTCTACTAAAAATAAAAATTAAAAAAAATTAGCTGGGCATGGTGGTGCACGCCTGTAATCCCCAGTACTCGGGAGGCTGAGGCAGGAGAATCACTTGAACCCGGGAGGCAGAGGTTGCAGTGAGCCGAGATGTGCCACCGCACTCCAGCCCGGGTGACAGTGTGAGACTCCGTCTCAAAAAAAAAAAAATACTACATGGAAAGGAAGCTGTGCGAATTTGCTGTTGAGACGTGTGACTCTGATTTGCTGGCTAAAGATAGCTGCTCATCCCTCTTCCCTTTCAGAACCAGGAATTCATCCATCCCCCAAACACAATGCCCAAGGGTCAGTTATAGAAACTATTGGGTGAGGTTCAGTCAAAAAGACCAGGTGTGTTCCGCCTGAAAAAGAGAATTGGAAAAGAATCTCCAGGCCGCGCACAGTGGCTCACGTCTGCAGTCCCAACAGTTTGGGAGGCCGAGGCGGGCAAATCACTTGAGGTCAGGAGTTCGAGGCCAGCCTGGACAACATGGTGAAACCCCGTCTCTACTAAAAATACAAAAATTAGTCGGGCGTGGTGGTGGGCACCTGTAATCCCAGCTACTCAGGAGGCTGAGGCAGGAAAACTGCTGGAACTCGGGAGGCGAAGGTTGCAGTGAGCCGAGATCGCGCCACTGGACTCCAGCCCGGGCAGTAGAGTGAGTGAGAGTGTCTCAAAAAAACAGAATCTCCAGTTCCAGGAAAATTTCAATCTGAGAGGGTTCCGGAGGGCAGAACGAGGCCAAAAGAACGAACTTAAAAGAGAATGGGGTTTGAAGGAGATACAGAAGAATGCCTTGAAGTAATCGGTCTCCTTCAAAATGAGTCAGGCTGGTGTGGGAGGCCGAGAGCTTCCTTCCCATTCATGTCCAGGCAGAAGGAGGACTGTTGAAGACGGCATCTTGATATTCAAGAACTTCAGCCCTCTCCTGAATCCAGTCATTGCCAGGCCTCTAAGGCCCATGCACCTGTCTGTGTTTCTTTGCAGCAGGAGGTCCCTGTTCTCAGAATAGCCGAGAATCAGAGAATCACGGCTGGGAGCGGAGGCTGATGTCTGTAATCCCAGCTCTTTGGGAGGCCAAGGCGGGAGGATCGCTTGAGCCCAGGAGTTTGAGATTAGCCTGGGCAACATAGCAAGACCTCGTCTCTTAAAAAAACAAAAAACAAACAAAAACTGGCTGGGCCTAGTGGCTCACACCTATAATCCTAGCACTTTGGGAAGCCAAGGCTGGCAGATCACCTGAGGTCAGGAGTTTGAGACCAGCCTGACCAACATGGAGAAACCCCGTCTCTACTAAAAATACAAAATTAGCCGGGCGTGGTGGCCCATGCCTGTAATACCAGCTACTCGGGAAGCTGAGGAAGGAGAATCGCTTGAACGCGGGAGGCGGAGGTTGCAGTGAGCCAAGATCGCACCACTGAACTCCAGCCTGGGCGACAGAGTGAGACTCCGTCTCAAAATAAATAAATAAAAATAAAAAATAAAAAAAAATTAGTCAGGTATGCTGGTGTGCACCTGTAGTTTCAGCTACTCAGGAGGCTGAGGCAGGAGGATTGTTTGGACTTGGGACATCGCAGCAGTGAGCTATGATCACACCACCGCACTCCAGCCTGGACAACAGAGCAAGACTGCATATCTAAGAAAAATAATAATAATTTTAAAATAATGTCATTTCAAGCAGCACAGCATAAACAAAGGCGCATAAGCTTTGGAATCGGACGCCCATGGTTCAAATCCCAATTCCCCAGCAGGTTTGCTCTGCCACCTGGGCTACCTCTTTGGGCATCTCAGTGCCTCTGTTTTCTGATCTGTAAAATAGGACAATAATCTCTCGCGCACCAGGTGGTCATGAAATTTTGATAAAACAGCCGAGATGGGCTGTGCAAATGGCGAAGGCAGCACAAATAAATAATCATCTCCAGCGTTATTACTATTATTAGCTTAGCTCCCTTTCCCCCTACTGATTTTTTTTTATTTCTTTACTTTTCTTTTCTTTTTTTTTTTTTGAGACAGAGTCTCGCTCTGTCACCCAGGCTGGGGTGCAGTGGCGCCATCTCAGCTCACTGCAACCTCCACCTCCTGGGTTCAAGTGATTCTCCTGCTTCAGCCTCCCAAGTAGCTGGATTACAGGCATCTGCCACCACGCCCAGCTCATCTTTGTATTTTTAGTAGAGACGAGGTTTCACCGTGTTGGCCAGGCTGGTCTCGAACTCTCAACCTCAGGTGATCTGCCCACCTCCCAAAGTGCTAGGATTACAGGTGTGAGCCATTGGGCCCAGCTCCACCTATAATTTTTTTTTTTTTTTTTTTTTTTTTTTTTTTTGCAGACAAAGTCTCACTCTGTCACCTAAGCTGGAGTGCAGTGGCGCGAGTTCGGCTCACTGCAACCTCCACCTCCCGGGTTCAAGCAATTCTCCCACCTCAGCCTCCCGAGTAGCTGGGATTACAGGCACACACCACCACACCCAGCTAATTTTTGTATTTTTGGTAGAGACGGGGTTTCACCATGTTGGCCAGGCTGGTCTCGAACTCCCAACCTCAAGTGATCCGCCTACCTCGGTCTCCCAAAGTGCTGGGATTACAGGCGCAAGCCACCACACCCGGCCTCCACCGATAATTTTAAAAGCTCTCATCTCACCCAAGCCTTCTTGAGACAAAAACCAAGGCCGAGCGCACCTGCAAATGCAAGCTGGAGGCCCTTTCTGGAAGGCGCGAGGCCAGCGGGAGCGGGAGGAGGGTGTGTTTCTGGTGGATTTCTTACAGCTGCAAGGCTTCTCGCCCACCCGCTGCAGCAGCTTTGTGTTTGCAGGACAGTGGCCTCGCTGTGCCAGCCTGGCCCCCACGAGCTACGCCTTTGCCAACAGGACACTTCCTCCACGAGGCTTCTGTCTTCCTCGTCTCTGGAAGAACTGAGTCGGCTCCTCGGTGCAGGTCCAGCTGCGGCCACACATAACCACCTCTGTCTGCCGCAAAACAGCTCACAATTCTGTTTCTTCCAGCCCAGCCATCCCCTCCCCTGGGGACTGCAGAAGTGGTCTTTGTACTGCCCTTAAGGGTGTCAGACAGAGCCCTGCATGGCCTCTGCCCTTCTAGCACTTTTTTTTTTTTTTTTGGAGACAGAGTCTCAGTGTATCACCCAGGCTGGAGTGCAGTGGTGCAACCTCAGCTCACTGCAACCTCCACTTCCTGGTTTCGAGCAATTCTCTTGCCTCAGCCTCCCAAGTAGCTGGGATTACAGGTACGCACCACCATGCCTGGCTCATTTTTGTATTTTCGTTAGAGACAGGGTTTCACCATGTTGGCCAGGCTGGTCTCGAACTCCTAACCTCAAGTGATTCGCCTGCCTCGGCCTCCCAAAGTGCTGGGATTACAGGTGTGAGCCACGCGCCCGGCCTCCTTCTAGCATTTTCCTTCACTCTCACCCTTCTGCAGCCTACTACGGAGCTAGAGCTGAAGGCAGCCCGGAGATTGCTGCCTCAATTTCTCCATTCATTCATTCTGATGCTATGCGCCAACTGTATACCAGTCCCTTATAGCCTCACAACCCAATACAAGGTGGCAGCTGGGTTCATGGCACTTCTGACCAGGCCAGGGAGGGAAGGGGAGCTGTGATTCTTGGCTGTGAAGGGTGAGGAGGGATGAGCCGGGGAAGGAAGTGGGGTGTAGGGGCCCCACATTCCAAGCAGAGAGGGCAGCATGTGCAAAGGCTCTGGGCTCAGTGGAAGCAGGTTGAGGGACTGGGGAAGGCTGCGTGGGGAAACTGAGGACTTGGGGGAGGAGCTTACCCAGGGCATCCTAGCCAAGGAGGGTCAGATGCAGGGTGAGCTGCCCCATAGCTCCCTCTACTCTCTTCCCCTCACAGCTGAGTGGCTGCCAGTTTTGTTTGCTTGCTTGTAACTTTTTCTTTGTTTGTTTTGGGTTTTCTGGGGGGTTTTATTTATTTATTTATTTGAAACAGAGTCTCGCTGCAACGCCCAGGCTGGAATGCAATGACGTGACCTCGGCTCGCTGCAACCTCCACTTCCCAGGTTCCAGCAATTCTCCTGCCTCAGCCTCCCAAATAGCTGAGTTTACAGGCGCCCACCACCACGCCCAGCTAATTTTTGTATTTTTAGCAGAGATGGGGTTTCACCATATTGGTCAGGCTGGTCTCGAACTACTGACCTCAAGTGATCCACCCGCCTCAGCTTCCCAAAGTGCTGGGATTACAGGCGTGAGCCACCATGCCCAGCTGCTTGTAACTTTTTAATTTTTTTTTTTTTTCCAGACGGGGTCTTGCTCTGTCACCCAGGCTGGAGTGCAGTGGTGCGATCATAGCTCACTACAGCCTCCACATCCCAGGCTGAGGCGATCCTCCCACTGCAGCCCCCTGAATACCTGGGACCACAGGCATATGCCACCACACCCAGCTATGTTTTATTTTCTGTAGAGACAGGGTCTCACTGTGTTGCCCAGGTTGGTCTCAAACTCCTGGGTTCAAATGATCCTCCCACCTCAGCCTCCCAAAATGCTGGGATTACAGGCATGAGCCACTGCGCCTGGCCTATTTGATATACTTCCAAACTTGGAAAAAAATTACAAGAATGATATAAAGAATATCTGCATACCTTTAGTAGGATTATACAATTGTTAACATTTTGCTCCTTTTATATCAAAGTCAGCCCTCAGGGCTGGGTGCGGTGACTCACATCTGTAATCCCAGCACTTTGGGAGGCCAAGGCAGGTGGATCACCTGAGGTCGGGAGTTCAAGACCAGCCTAGGCCAACATGGTGAAACCCCGTCTCTACTAAAAATACAAAAATCAACTGGGTGTGGTGGCGGGCACCTGTAATCCCAGCTACTGGGGAGGCTGAAGCAGGAGAATTGCTTAAACCCAGGAGGCAGAAGTTGCAATGAGCCCAGATTGTGCCGCCACACTCTAGCCTGAGCAACACAGCAAGACTCTGTCTCCAAAAAAAAAAATTTACCCTCAATTGTACCGATAATGTCCCATGTCCCTATTTAGCTAATGCCCCTGCCCCAAACCCTGGGTCCAAGACCCAATCTGGGACCACTCATTGCATCAGGTTGAGTATACTGGGTTGTGTGTTTACTGGGGTATGTGTCTCACCAGGCACTGGGACTTAAACTTATCTCTTTTAGGGGAACACGATCCAACCCACCTCAGCAGGACGAAGCCACGCTGTGCATCTTGCATGTGGGGGGGACCCCCACTTTTTTTTTTTTTTTTTTTTGAGACGGAGACTTGCTCTGTCGCCCAGGCTGGAGTGCAGTAGCATGATCTCAGCTCACTGCAACCTCCGCCTCCTGGGTTCAAGCGACTCTCCTGCCTCAGCCTCCCAAGTAGCTGTAGCTGGGACCACAGGCATGTGCCACCATGCCAGGCTAATTTTAGTATTTTTAGTAGAGACGGGGTTTCACCATGTTGGCCAGGCTGGTCTTGATCGCTTGACCTTATGATCCACCTGCCTCGGCCTCGCAAAGTGCTGGGATTACAGGTGTGAGCCACCATGCCCGGCTAGGATTTCCACTTTTTACCTGGATTGCCCATCATGGACTTTGAGAGCCGGCTCTGCAGAGGGCTAAGTGGATATATTATACCCCAGGGCCACGGAGGGGATCTCCAAGTCTGGAGAGTCTGCGGTTCTCCTGGAGCTTGCGGAAGTAACAGGATCTCACCTGACCTTGGAAACTGCAGCTCCATGAACAGGCGGGGAGAGCTTGCTCCACCCATGTTCCAGAGCAGTGGGTCTTCCTTCAGGGAGCCTGGAGCCCTGCCAGGTCGGCTTCTCCAGTTCTGCATGATCTTAAACCTTTCCTGAACATCCACTGCAACTGGCAGCTCAGCCTCAGGACCTCATCCCATCCCCGAGGCACTGCCTCTCCCTGGCCCTCCCTCCCTACCCTCCATCCTCCAACCACTCCCTCCTCCCCCACTGCTCTCTCTGCGCCAGGCACCCTGAGTCTGCTTTCTGATCTGCCCTTGAACTTGGCAAGCTTATTCCAGTCCCGGAGCCTGGGCCTCTGCAGTGCCTTCCATCTGGAGTGCTCTTGCCTGGTCTCTGCAGGACGCCAACATCATGCTTAAAAGTCTACACTTAAAAGTCGCTTCCAGCCAGGCACAGTGGCTCACTCCTGTAATCCCAGCACTCTGGGAGGCCAAGGCGGGAGGATCACTTGAGCCCAGGAGTTCAAGACCAGCCTGCAAGACCCCATCTGCAGAAAAATATAAAAATTAGCTGGGTGGCCGGGCGCGGTGGCTCACGTCTGTAATCCCAGCACTTTGGGAGGCCGAGGCGGGCAGGTCACGAGGTCAGGAGATCGAGACCATCCTGGCTAACACGGTGAAACCCCGTCTCTACTAAAAATACAAAAAATTAGCTGGGCGTGGTGGCAGGCGCCTGTAGTCCCAGCTACTCGGGAGGCTGAGGCAGGAGAATGGCGTGAACCCGGGAGGCGGAGCTTGCAGTGACCTGAGATCGCGCCACTGCACTCCAGCCTGGGTGACAGAGTGAGACTCCGTCTCAAAAAAAAAAAAAAAAAAAAATTAGCTGGACATAGTAGTGTGTGCTGGTAGTCCCAGCTACTTGAGAGGCTGAGGTAGGAGGATTGCTTGAGCCCAAGAATTTGAGACCAGCCTGGGCAACATGGCGAGACCCTGTGTCTGCAAAAAAAAAAAAAAAAAAAAACTGTAAAAACCTGAAAAATTAACCAGGTGTGGCAGCTCACTCCTGTAATCCCATCACTTTAGGAAGCTGAGGCAGGAGAATTGCTTGAAATGTGAAGTTCAAGACCAGCCTAGGCACCACAGTAAGACCCTGTCTCTACAAAAAATTTTATAATTAGCCGGGTGTGGTGGTGCACACCTAGGGTCCCAGCTACTCAGAAGACTGAGACAGGAGGATCCCTTGAGCCCAGGAATTTGAGGCTGCAGTGAGCTATGATTTCACTACTGTGCTCTAGGCTGGGCAACAGAGCAAGACCCTGTCTCAAAAAAAAAAAAAAAAAAAAAAAGCTGCCTCCTCAATGAGGCCTTCCCTGACCACCCCACAGATTTTTTTCTCTCTCTCTCCTCTCCTTTATTTCATTCATTTTCTTTGCCGTAAGCATCACTATCTGCCTTGTTCACTTATTTGCTTATTGTCTTCCTTTATATACATGGTCTCAAGCCAGGAATTGCTTTGCACAATCCTGGGAACCACCAAGTCCAAAATCCACAGGGCAGGCTGGAAACTGTCAGGTAAGAGCTAATGCTGCAGTTTTTGTTTTTGTTTTTGAGACGGAGTCTCACTCTGTCGCCAGGCTGGAGTGCAATGGCACGATCTCAGCTCACTGCAACCTCCGCTTCCTGGGTTCAAGCCATTCTCTTGCCTCAGCCTCCTGAGTAGCTGGGGTTACAGGCATGCACCACCACACCCAGCTAATTTTTGTATTTTTAGTAGAGATGGGGTTTCACCACGTTGGCCAGGCTGGTCTCGAACTCCTGACCTCAGGTGATCTGCCCGCCTCGGCCTCCCAAAGTGCTGGGATTACAGGTGTGAGCCACCGCGCCTGGCCCCCATTTTAGTCATGAGGAAAACAGAGGCTCAGGGAGGAGAAGGCACCACCCAGACTCGTAGCGCTGGATGGAGTGGCAGGGCTGGGAGTTGTGCTCAGACTCTCTGAGACTCTCTTAGGCATTCCCACCCTTTCTCCTGCTTTCCTCACTTTCCCAGTATGTGCAGCTGAGATGCTTTCTTTTTTTCTTTCTTTTCTTTTCTTTTTTTTTTTTTTTTTTGATAGACTCTTGCTCTGTTGCTCAGGCGGGAGTGCAGTGGTGCCAATCACAGCTCACTGCAGCCTCAAACTCCCGGACTCAAACGATCCTCCTGCCTCAGCCTCCTTAGTAGCTGGGATTACAAGTGCATGCCACCATGCCTGGCTAATATGTTGTATTTTTTGTAGAGATGGGGTCTCACTATGTTGCCCAGGCTAGTCTCGAACTCCTAGTCTCAAGAGATCCTCCCACCTCAGCCTGCTGAGTAGCTGGGATCACAGGCATGAGCCATCATGCTGGGCTAATTTTTAAATTTTTAGTAGTGATGGGGTCTTGCTGTGTGGGCCAGGCTTGTCTTCAACTCTTGGGCTTAAGTGATCCTCCCTCCTCAGCCTCCCAAAGTGCTGTGATTACCGGCATGAGCCCCTGCGCCCAGTCTGAGATGCTTTCTACAGCTTCACATTTCAGCTGCAGCCCAGCAGTGGTCCACCTAGTTCACAGCCAATGTAGAATCTGTGTGGACCATCCAATGTTGTGAGGTTGAATCACATCCCTTTTTTTTTTTTTTTCTCGAGACAGAGTCTCACTCTGTCACTCAGGCTGGAGTGCAGTGGCACGGTCTCAGCTCACTGCAACCTCCACCTCCCGGGTTCAAGCGATTCTCTTGCCTCAGCCTCCCGAGTAGCTGAGATTACAGGCACGTGCCACCACACCCAGCTAATTTTGTGTTTTTAGTAGAGACGGGGTTTCACCATGTTGGCCAGGCTGGTCTTGAACTCTTGGCCTCAGATGATCCACCTGCCTCGGCCTCCCAAAGTGCCGGGATTACAGGCATGAGCCCCTGCGCCCGGCCTGAGATGCTTTCTACAGCTTCATATTTCAGCTGCAGCCCAGCAATGGTCCACTCAGTTCACAGCCTACGTAGAGTCTGTGTGGACCGTCCAAGGTTATGAGGCTAAATCACATCTTGAGAATCGAAGGCAGTGCCGGCTGCAAAGCAATGGGGCTTTCCTCTGGCGGGAGGAGATGGTGGCTGGACAGGGACCCTGGCTGGGCAAGTGGTTGTTTGTTTGTTTGTTTTGAGACGGAGTCTCGCTCTGTTGCCCAGGCTGGAGTGCAGTGTCACGATCTCGGCTCACTGCAACCTCCACCTCCCAGGTTCAAGCGATTCTCCTGCCTCAGCCTCACCAATAGCTGGGATTACAGGCGCCCGCCACCATGCCCGGCTAATTTTTGTGTTTTTATTAGAGACAGGGTTTTGCCATGCTGACCAGGCTGGTCTCGAACTCCTGACCTCAGATGATCCACCCGCCTCAGCCTCCCAAAGCGCTGGGATTACTGAGGCATGAGCCACCACGCCCAGCCAGAAATCTAGACTTTTTGCATCTCTTCTTCGACAGCAAATGGAAAATGTTTTTAAATGCTGCATGGGTGGGACATAACTAGGCTTGGTGCATCAGCCATCAGCCTGCAATTTTGCAGCGCTGGTTTGGGTTAACCTTCTGAATGAGCAGGTCAGTTCATTCTTCAGTCCTTTCTTTGAAGTTTGCTATATATATATATATATATAGCAAAATCTATATCTATATCTATATCTATATCTATCTATATCGCCTCGCTCTGTCATCCAGGCTGGAGTGCAGTGGCTCGATCATGGCTCACTGCAGCCTTGACCTCCTGGGCTCAGCTGATCCTCCCACCTTGGCTTCCCAAATAGCTGGGACTACAGGGACACGCCACCATGCCTGGCTTTTTATTTTTTATAGAGATGGAGTCTCGCTGTGTTGCCCAGGCTGATCTCAAACTCCTGGGCTCAAGGGATCCTCCCACCTCAGCCTCCCAAAGTGCTGGGATTACAAGCGTGTGCCACCTCATGCCCAGCCAAAGCTTGCTTTTTAAAAAATTGAGGTGAGGCCAAGTACAGTGGCTCACGCATGTAATCTCAGCACTTTGGGAGGCCGAGGCAGGTGGATCTCCTGAGCTCAGGAGTTCGAGACCAGCCTGGCCAACGTGGTGAAACCCCATCTCTACTAAAAACACAAAAATCAGCTGAGCATGGTGGTGGGCGCCTATAATCACAGCTACTCTGGAGGCTGAGGCACAAGAATCGCCTAAACCCGGGAGATGGAGGTTGCAGTGAGCCAAGATTGTGCCACTGCACTCCAGCCTGGGCAAAAGAGTGAAACTCCGTCTCAAAAATTAAATAAGTAAAATAAAATTTAAAAAATATAAAAAATTGAGGTGGAATTCTCATAACATGAATTCATCATTTTAAAGTTCATGATTCAGTGGCAGAGTCCATTCATAATGTTCTGCAACCCCACATCTATCTAATTTGAAGACATTTTCATCACCGTGAGAGGAAATCCTATCTACTAAGTCAGCCCCATTTTCATCCCTCTCCCCCAACCCCAGTGACCACACATCTACTTCCTGTGAGAATTTACGTGTTCTAAACATCTCTTTTTTTTTTCTTTTCTTTTCTGTTTTGAGCAGGGTGTCACTCTTTCACCTAGGCTGGAGTGCAGTGGTGCAATCATAGCTCACTGCAGCCTCGACCTCCCAAGTTAGAGCAATCCTCCTGCCTCAGCCTCCTGAGTACTTGGAACTAGACGTGTACCACCACACCCAGCTAATTGTTTTGTATTTTTAGTAGAGACGGGCTTTCGCCATGTTGCCCCGACTGGTCTTGAACTCCTGGGCTCAATGAACCCGCCCGCATCAGCCTTTCAAAGTGCTGGGATTACAGGCATAAGCCACCACACTCAGCCAACATTTCATGTAATTGGAATCACACACTGTGTGGCCTTTTGTGTCTGGCATCTCTCACTGAGCATGATGTCCTCAAGGTGCATCCATGCTGTGGTCTGTGTCAGAGCCCTGTTCCTTTTCAGGGCTAAATAGTATTCCATTGAATGGATATACCACATTTGTTGATCCAGTCAGCTGTTAATGGACTGGTGTTGTTTGTTTGTTTGTTTGTTTTTGAGACAGAGTCTCACTCTGTCCCCAGGCTGGAGTGTAGTGGCGTGACTTCAGCTCACTGCAACTTCCACCTCCCAGGTTCAAGTGATCCTCTTGCCTCAGCCTCCCAAGTAGCTAGGATTATAGGCATGCGCCACCATGTCCAGCTAATTTTTGTATTTTTAGTACAGACAGGGTTTCATCGTGTTGGCCAGGATGGTCTCAATCTCTTGGCCTCATGATGTGCCCTCCTCGGCCTCCCAAAGTGCCAGGATGACAGGCGTGAGCCACCGCGCCTGGCCGTCAATGGACTCTTGAATTGTTTCCACTTTTTGGTTTTTATGAATTATGTTCATTCAAGTATGAGTTTTCGTGTGAACAGATGTTTTCATTTCCTTTGGGAATCCGCTCCATTTTGATCTTTGCCATGAACAGGAGGAGGGTGACATCTGATTCCTCCTTTACCTCCAAGCCCCATAGATGCACTGGAGACGCAGTGGTTACGCAAAAACATTTGATGAATAGAGAAAAGAGAGGGAGGGAAAGGGAGAGGGAAAAAGCATAAATAGATTCCGCCCCAAAAAGGTTAACAGCTCATGCCCTAAGTGGAACAGAAATGAGGGAATAAATCTTTTTTTTTTTTTTTTTTTTTTTGAGAGAGAGTCTCACTTTGTTGCCCAGGCTGGAGTGCAATGGCACGATCTCGGCTCACCGCAACCTCCGCCTCCAGGGTTCAAGTGATTCTCCTGCCTCAGCCTCCCCAGTAGCTGAGACTGCAAGCACGCACCACCACGCCCAGATAATTTTTGTATTTTTCAGTAGAGACTGGGTTTCACCATTTTGGCCAGGCTAGTCTTGAACTCCTGACCTCAGGTGATCCGCCCGCCTCGGCCTCCCTAAGTGCCAGGATTACAGGCATGAGCCACCACGCCCGGCCAATAAATCATTTTTTTAAAGGAAAGGAACATGCATTCCACCGCCCTTCCATCTAAACAGCTTGCCTTGCAGCTGAGCCAGGAATGCTGAGTTACAGAGACGAATTAAGCTGTAGCCTGGCTTTCCGGAGTCAGCACGCCCTGCCGCTAGGACCTCTGGCAGCCCCGTGCAAAATGTTCTGCCCGGAATGGAATATTTCCCAGGGTAGCCAAGGAGCCAGTGCTCCTGGGTCAAACTCGGGCAGCACGGGCTGCGGCTTCAAGAAGTGATCTGGGGCCGGGTGCGGTGGCTCATGCTGTAATTCCAGCATTTCTGTCTCAAAAAGAAAGAAAAAGTTGCAAAGTTAGTACAGATAATTCCTGTAGACTGGGAACCTAGTTTCTCCCATAATTAACATCTTATATTAGCTGTGTATATTTTATATTTGTCACAATTGATGAATCAATATTGATACTATTGGTTATTGATAATCAACATTGATCAATAACAATATTGATCAATATTGGTTATTAGTTACCAAAGTCCATGCTTTTTTAGATTTTCAAAGTTTTTCCTAATGTCCTCTTTTTTTTTCTTTTCTCTCTTTTTTTTTTTAAGAGACAGGGTCTCACTCTGTCATCCAGGCTGGGGTGCAGTGGTGCCATCATACCTCACTGCAGCCTCCGCCTCCCAGGCTCAAGCAGTCCTCCCACCTCAGCCTCCAGAGTAGCTGGGACTACAGGCACCACCACGTCCAGCTAATCTTTGTAATTTTTGTAGAGACAGAGTTACGCCATGTTGCCCAGGCTGGCCTAATGTCCTTTTCCTTCTGCCCCACAACCCCATCCAGGATCCCAGATGACATTTAGTTATCACATCTCCTGACACTCCTCTGGACTGTGGCAGTCTCCCTGTCTTTCTTGTTTTGATGCCCTTGATAGTTTTGTTTGTTTGTTTGTTTTGAGATGGAGTCTCACTCTGTCACCCAGGCTGGAGAGCAGTGGCACGATCTCGGCTCACTGCAACCTCCGCCTCCCGGGTTCAAGCGATTCTCCTGCCTCAGCCTCCTGATAGCTGGGATTACAGGTGTCCTCCACCATGCCTGCCTAATTTTTGTATTTTTAGTAGAGATGGCGTTTCACCATGTTGTCCAGGCTGGTCTCGAATTCCTGAGCTCAAGTGATCCTCCTGCCTCAGCCTCCCAAAGTGCTGGGATTACAGGCGTGAGCTGCTGCGCCTGGCCCATCCTGTATTTTTTGGAATGACATCACTATACACAGCCTACACAGAGTTATCCTTCATCTTTTTTTTTTTTTTTTTTTTTTTTGAGACAGAGTCTTGCTCTGTGGCCCAGGCTGGAGTGCAGTGGCACGATCTCGGCTCACTGCAAGCTCCGCCTCCTGGGTTCATGCCATTCTCCTGCCTCAGCCTCCTGAGTAGCTGGGACTACAGGCACCTGCCACCACGCCCCGCTATTTTTTTTGTACTTTTAGTAGAGACGGGGTTTCACCATGTTAGCCAGGATGGTCTCGATCTCCTGACCTCGTGATCCGCACGCCTCGGCCTCCCAAAGTGCTGGGATTACAGGCGTGAGCCACCGCACCCGGCCTATCCTTCATCTTCTTGAGGGCAGAACTGTACATAAACTATTTCCAATTCTTCTGCACAAGAAATGTGTCTCTTCTCTCCTGTTTATTTGTTCAGTGACTTATTTATATCCGTATGGACTCATAGACATTTATTTTACATCTTGGGTTATAATTCAATATTTCATTATTTATTTGGTTGCACAAACTGTTCCAGCATTGACATAGAGATCTCTTCTGGTTGACTCAGGTTTTTGTGGGGGTTTTATCTATTTATTTATTTTTAATACTTTTTGCTGCATTTGAGAGTCAACAACTCATCAGAGACCAAATCCCACAGGGTCGCCCTAGAGAGAATTCAACTTACTAACTTATTTCAAAGTTTTTGAAGTCATGTGATGCTGGGGAAAAACCTTCATTCTCCTCAAGCCGTGCAAAAATCTCCAAAAGGCTTAATATAAATTTGATTATCTAAAAGAAGCCCTTCAGCCCTGATGCGTTATAATTTTCTTCCTCTGCTAAAGAAAAAACATGCTGGGCGGGCGCGGTGGCTCATGCCTGTAATCCCAGCACTTTGAGAGGCCGAGGTGGGCAGATCACAAGGTCAGGAGTTCCAGACCAGCCTGGCCAATATGGTGAAACCCCGTCTCTACTAAAAATACAAAAATTAGCCGGGCATGGTAGCGGGCACCTGTAGTCCCAGTTTACTTAGGAGGCTGAGGCAGAAGAATGGCCTGAACCCGGGAGGCGGAGGTTGCCGTGAGCCGAGATCATGCCACTCTACTCCATCCAGCCTGGGCGACAGAGCGAGACTCTGTCTCAAAAGAAAAAAATAAAAGAAAAAGAAAAAACATGCGCTTGTGGTGGCTCACGCCCGTAATCCCAACACTTTGGGAGGCTGAGGTGGGAAGATGGCTTGAGCCCAGGAGTTCAAGAGCAACCTGGGCAACATAGTGAGACCCCATCTCTACAAAAAACCAAAAAACTACAAAAATTAGCCAGCCGTGGTGGTGTGCACCTGTAGTCCCAGCTACTCAGGAGGCTGAGGCAGGAGGATCTCTTGAGCCCAGGAGGTTGAGGCTGCAGTGAGCCATGATCACGCTACTGCACTCCAGCCTGGGCGATACAGTGAGGCTCTGTCTCCAAAAAAATGTATATATTTAGGTCCAGTGATTCTCCAGAACTAAATGTGTTTTGCTTTTGTTCTTGTCTGACTCGCCTGGCTGGACCTGTCTGGGCCACTCCACTGTCCTCTGCCTGAATCTCTGGTGCCCGGCGACTGATGCCTGTTCCTGGATGGGTCCGCAGGCCACTCCCAGAAGAGACGGGGGTGGAACTGCTTGGCAGCCCGGTGGAAGACACATCCTGTAAGTTTCCACGTCCACAGAAGGGCGGAAACAGGCTCAGTGTTTCCGGGTTTCAGCCCTGCCTGGGGCTGTAACTGTAGAAATGTCAGAGGCCACACACCGTGGGTAGAATGTTCTGTCCTGGGGTCTATGGTGGAAGTGGCCGTGGTGGGTGAGAGACACAATGGATGATGGCGCTCTCATGAAGCCAGCACGCTGTGTTGCTGTGTGTCCCTGTGCTAGTCACTCAGCCTCTCTGTGCCCCAATGCCTCATCTACTAAATGTAGGTAGCGAGCTTCTCGCAGAGGGGGCATGTAAGGATTAAATGAGGTGATGCCAAATGCCCTGGAGGCACAAAGTCAGCACAGCCAAGGGTGCACTGGGAGGCTCTGCTATCTGGAGCTCTAAACATATACATTTTAATGTGTAATACCTTATATTAGACCCAAATATATACATTTTTTGGGAGACCGGGTCACACTCTGTCATCCAGGCTGGAGTGCAGTGGCGTGATCATGGCTCACTGCAGCCTCAACCTCCAGGGCTCAAGAGATCCTCCTGCCTCAGCCTTCTGAGTAGCTGGGACTACAGGTGCACACCACCATGGCTGGCTAATTTTGGTAGTTTTTGTAGAAATGGGATCTAGCTATGTTGCCCAGGCTGCTCTTGAACTCCTGGGCTCAAGCCATCTTCTTGCCTCAGCCTCCCAAAGTGCTGGGATTACGGGCGTGAGCCACCACGCCTGGCATGTTTTTTCTTCAGCAGAGGAAAAAAATCATAATGTATCAGGCTCTGAAGCCCCAGATCCCGGGGATGGGAGTCCTGGGCGGCCAGAGGAGAGTTTTAGCCGTAACCTGGCGATTGCAACGTGCCTCCGGAGGCAGGGAAAGGGCCCAGGTTGGCACCGTGGGGAGAGGTGGGGTCTGGGGAGGACCTGGCAGCCAGCCCCACTTAACGACATTCAGTTAAGCAGAATATGGAAAATAAACCTGTGAGGGCCAAACAAAATTTTTTTGGAGACAGAGCCTCACTGTATCGCCCAGGCTGGAGTGCAGTAGCGTGATCATGGCTCACTGCAGCCTCAACCTCCTGGGCTCAAGAGATCCTCCTGCCTCAGCCTCCTGAGTAGCTGGGACTACAGGTACACACCACCATGGCTGGTTAATTTTTGTAGTTTTTTGTAGAGATGGGGTCTCACTATGTTGCCCAGGCTGCTCTTGAACTCCTGGGCTCAAGCCATCTTCCCACCTTGGCCTCCCAAAGTGTTGGGATTACGGGCGTGAGCCACTGCACCCGGCCGCCTGTCTCTATTTAAAAAGAAAAAAAAAAAAGGCAGGTCACCGTGGCTCACGCCTGTAATCCCAGCACTTTGGGAGGCCGAGGCGGGCAGATCACGAGGTCAGGAGTTTGAGACCAACCTGGCCAACATGGTGAAGCCCCGTCTCTACTAAAGATACAAAAAAAAAAAAAAAAAAAAATTAGCCGGGCATTGTGGCACTTGCCTGTAATCCCAGTCACTCAGGAGGCTGAGGCATGAGGATCGCTTGAACCCAGGAGACGGAGGTTGCAGCAAGCTGAGATTGTGCCATTGCACTCCAGCCTGGGTGACAAGGCGAGACTCTGTCTAAACAAAACAAAACAAAAAAAGATTAGTCGGGCTTGGTGGCGCATGCCTGTAATCCCAGCTACTTGGGAGGCTGAGGTGGGAGAATCACTTGAACCTGGGAGGCGGAGGTTGCAGTGAGCTGAGATCCTACCATTGTACTCCAGCCTGGGTAACGGAGTGAGACTCCATCTCAAAAAAATAAATACATAAATAAAACAAAATAAATTAGCAGACTTTGGATTAAAGCAGGCAGCCATCTGTGATGTGGGTGGGCCTCATCTAATCAGTTGAAGGTTTTAAGAGAAACAGACTGAGGTTCCCCCAGGCAGAGACAATTCTGCCTGCGGACGGTTTTGCAACATCAACTCTTCCCTAGGCGTCCCGCCTGCTGGCCTGCCCTGCCGATTGAGGACTTGTCAGTCTCTGTGATCACACGAGCTAATTCCTTAAAATAAATTTCTCCCTCTCTCTTTTTTTCCATACATATAGGAAAAAAATATGTATACACACACACACACACACACACACGTCCTATTGGATTTGTTTCCCTGGAGCACTCTGATTAAAATAGGAGACTATCCTGGATCCTGTATTATCCAGGTGGCCTGACATCGTTACAGGATCCTCATGAGTGGAGACAGGAGGGTGAGAGTCAGAGAAAGCCTAGAAGAAGATGGGCTGCTTTCACAATTTGTCTGCACAAGAGATATGTCTCTTCTCCTTTATTTATTTATTTATTTATTTTTGAGATAGAGTTTCACTCTGTCACCCAGGCTGGAGTGCAATGGTACGATCTTGGCTCACTGTAACCTCCGCCTCCTGGGCTCAAGTGATTCTCCTGCCTCAGACTCCCAAGCAGCTGGGATTACAGGCGCCACCACTGTGCCCGGCTAATTTTTATATTTTTAGTAGAGATGGGGTTTCGCCATGTTGGCCAGGCTGGTCTCGAACTCCTGACCTCAGGTGATCTGCCCGCCTCGGCCTCCAAAGTGCTGGGATTACAGGCGTGAGCCACCGCACCCGGCCCAAAGTCAGGCTTTGAACTCATGTCTGCCCAATGTCCAAGCATCCATCCCCTTAATCTCTGAGGCTTGCCCACAGGACAGAGGTTATAACATTCACCCCTGTCAGGATGATGTCGGTTTAATTCTGCCCACCCCCGCCAATGGCATGGATACAGAAGGGAGCCCACCCTCTCTTCCCATTCCTGCATGATGAAACAGCTTCCACCAGGTAGGAAAATGGGGGGAAGGTAAAAGAGAGAAAGCAAAGATGTTTTCCATTTTTCTCATTTCCCTGCAGCTCCTCCCAACACGCTAAATTTCAACGGAGCGCATCGTAAGAGGAAGACGCTGGTGGCCCCAGAGATCAACATTTCTCTGGATCAGAGTGAGGGGTCCCTGCTGTCCGATGACTTCTTGGATACCCCTGATGACCTGGATATTAACGTGGATGACATCGAGACCCCCGATGAGACCGACTCGCTGGAGTTCCTGGGGAATGGCAACGAACTGGAGTGGGAAGGTAAAGTTCAGGGTCTCTCTGGGGCCTGCTGGAGCCCACCCCCCCCACCCCACCTTTCCGTCTCTGGATTCCCATAGGCTCAGAGAGTCACAAGTGGGGCAGGGGCTCTAAGCAGTCTAGCCTTAAACCCAGGAGATCAAGACTGCAGTGAGACGTGATCATGCCACTGCACTCCAGCCTGGACAACAGAGTGAGACCCTGTCTCAAAAATAAAATTTTTAAAAAAGAGAGAGGTGGCTGGGCGCAGTGGCTCATGCCTGTAATCCTAGCACTTTGGGAGGCCGAGGCGGGCAGATCACGAGGTCAGGAGATCGAGACCATCCTGGCTGACACAGTGAAACCCCGTCTCTACTAAAATACAAAAAATTAGCCAGGCATGGTGGCGGGCACCTGAAGTCCCAGCTACTCAGGAGGCTGAGGCAGGAGAACGGTGTGAACCCAGGAGGCCGAGCTTGCGGTGAGCCAAGATTGTGCCACTGCACTCCAGCCTGGGCGACAGAGCGAGACTCCGTCTCAAAAAAAAAAAAAAAGAGAGAGAGAGGTTGGTGAATGGGTACCAACATACAGTTAGACAGAAGGAATAAGTTCTATTGTTCGATAGCAGAATAGGAGGGGTGCCAGGAGGAGGGTCCATCCGCTCCTGCGACTGTTTTTTTTTTTTTTTTGAGACAGAGTCTCACTCTGTTGCCCAGGCTGGAGTGCAGTGGTGTGATCTCAGCTCACTGCATCCTCCACCTCCCGGGTTCAAGCGATTCTTTTGCCTCAGCCTCCCGAGTAGCTGGGATTACAGGCATGCACTACCACTTCCGGCTGATGTTTATATTTTTAGTAGAGATGGGGTTTTCCCATGTTGCCCAGGCTGGTCTCAAACTCCTGACTTCAAGTGATACACCCACCTCGGCCTCCCAAAGTGCTGGGATCACAGGTGTGAGCCACGGCGCCCAGCCTGCCCCTGCAATTTGATGCATATTTTTCTTGTGGGCTTGTGAATTTTTCTGCAGAACGTGGCTTTCATCAGAATCTCAAAGGCGACCAAGATCCCAACAAACTGCCCTCGATGTATGCAACAAATACTTTTTGACCATTTACTCCAGGGCAAGTCCTGATTCAGGCGTGGGGTATATGGCAGGGCTATGATAAGAAGAGATGGTCCTGGTCCCTACCTGCACACACAGATCATCAGAAAGACAGACCACGAAAGGCCAGGCGCAGTGACTCACGCCTGTAATCCCAGCACTTTGGGAGGCTGAGGTGGGCAGATCACCTGAGGTCAGGAGTTTGAGACCAGCCTGGCCAACATGGTGAAGCTCCATCTCTACTAAAAATACAGAAATTAGCCGGGCATGGTGGCGTGCGTAGTCCCAGCTACTCGGGAGGCTGAGGCAGGAGAATCGCTTGAACTCTGGAGGCAGAGGCTGCAGTGAGCAGAGATCGCACCACTCCACTCCAGCCTGGGCGATGGAACAAGACTCTCTCAAAAAAAAAAAAGAAAGAAAAAAAAAAATTAAGGACAATGTAGTGGCTCATTCCTGTAATCCCAGAGCTTCGGGAGGCCAGGGTAGGAGGATCGCTTAAGGCCAGGAGTTTGAGACCAGCCTGGGCAACATATTGAAACCCCATCTCTACAAAAATATAAAAATTAGCTGGGTGTGGTGGTGCACAACTGTAGTCCCAGGTATCTGGGAGGCTGAGGCAGGAGGACTGCTCTCTGTGTGCCAGGCTCCTGGGAGAGTAAAAACCAAGCATGCATGCCCCGAGTATCCTCGTGGTTTGATGAAGCAGATGCATTCACCAGCTCTGAGAAGCTCCAGGACACAGGTCCTTAACCAACAGAGTGCCCTGGGAGGCCAGCAAAGGGAATGTCCAGAAAGGCTTCCTGGAGGAGGCGGCATTTGAGCCAGGCCTTGAAAGGGGAGTAGGAGAGGAAAATGGGTCAGCAGGGCAGCCAGGTGGGGAGAAGCGAAGGACTTGTGGGTCCCGGCAGCGAGGGAGGTGGGAGAGGGGAAGGAAGGCTGAGCAGGAGGGCAGGAGATATCCGGACTCTGGCGTCCATGCGACTCTCCGCCACCTGCTTCTAGACGACACCCCCGTGGCCACCGCCAAGAACATGCCCGGGGACAGCGCGGATCTATTTGGGGACGGCACGACGGAGGACGGCAGCGCCGCCAACGGGCGCCTGTGGCGGACAGTGATCATCGGGGAGCAAGAGCACCGTATAGACCTGCACATGATCCGGCCTTACATGAAAGTGGTCACCCACGGAGGTGAGACCCGCCCCCCGGTGCCCCCTTGGGGCTCCAGCCCGGCCCACTGGGCAACAGGGGGTTCGTCAGTGCCCCTCTCTGATGCACGGGGATGTTAAGCCGTCAACTCGCTTCGGGTGGACGGACTGTGGGCAAGGCGTGCATGGTCAGGGAGGCGCACTGGGGGCCCCTGATGGTCGCTGTCACTCCTCAGCGAAGGCAGAGACTGGCTAAGGGGTCGCCGGCTGCTGTGGCTCGGAGCCATGCCCTCCCGAGCGTGTGGGCACCGGGACGTGGTGGGTGGTGCGCGGGAGGCAGCTCAGGGCTGGGAGAGGACTCTGACGTTGCCGATCGGCTGCCTCTCCTCAGGGTACTACGGCGAAGGCCTCAACGCCATCATCGTCTTCGCAGCCTGCTTCCTTCCAGACAGCAGCCTCCCCGACTACCACTACATCATGGAGAACCTCTTCCTGTGAGTCCCCGCCCGCGGCGAGCAGCCTCGGGCCAGCTCTGATGCCTCCCTGGCCACAGGGGCACCAGGCTGCAAGGATTGCATTGTGGCCCTAGGAAGCCTGCCTGGCACCAGGGAAGGGCGTGGTGGCCACAGACCTTGATCTGAGTCCCTGCTGGCCCTGAGGCTCACAGTGGCCTTCCCTCTGGGCCACCCTGTTCTCCTCCCCGTCCTCCTCCTCCTCCTCTTCCTCCTCCTTCCCCTCCTCCTCACTGTCCTCCTCCTCCTCCCCTTCTTCCTCCCCCTTCCCCTTTCTTCTCCTCCTTCTCCTCCCCTTCTTCCTCCCCCCTCCTCCTCCCTTTTCTCCTCCTCCTCCCCTTCCCTCTCCTCCTCCCCCTCTTCCCCTTCCCTCTCCTCCTCCCCCCTCTTCCTTCTCCTCCTCTTCCTCCCCTTTCTCCACCTCATCCTCTTTCTCTTCCTCCCCTTTCTCCCCCCTTCCTCCTCCTTCTCCTCCTTCCCTCATCTTCCTCTCCTTCCCTCTCCTCCCCCTCCCCATCCTCCTCCTCCCCATCCTCTTCCCCTTCCTCCTCCTCTTCCCGCTCTGAGATGGCACCACTGCACTCCAGCCTGGGTGACAGAGTGAGAACCTGTCTCAAAAAAAAAAAAAAAAAAAAAAAGCAAGGCCTAGAGACCAGCCTGGCCAACATAGTGAAATCCTGCCTCTACTAAAACTACAATTTAGCTGGGCTCGGTGGCAGGCGCCTGTAATCCCAGCTACTAGGGAGGCTGTGGCAGGAGAATGGCGTGAACCTGGGAGGCGGAGCTTGCAGTGAGCCGAGATCGCACCACTGCACTCTAGCCTGGGCAACAGAGCGAGATTCCGTCTCAAAAAAAAAAAACGACTCAATAAAAGAGTAACTGCCCTATGAGGATGCCCGCTGACACTCATGTGGAGTGTGCTGGGATCATCCACGTCCTCTCCCACCCTGCAGTCCGCCAGGACAGCAGACAACACCTGGACCAGTGGGGCTGACCCAGCCAGCGGCAGGAGTGGAGGCAGGCAGGGTCGGCACCGCAGGTGTCCTGACCCTGGACCCCTCCATGTTGGGTCCCTGCCTTCTGTGCCCCGTGAGCAGGTACGTCATCAGCAGCTTAGAGCTCCTGGTGGCTGAGGACTACATGATCGTGTACCTGAACGGTGCCACGCCCCGGCGGAGGATGCCTGGAATCGGCTGGCTGAAGAAGTGCTACCAGATGATCGACCGGAGGTGAGGTGGGGATGCCTCAGGAAGCACAGTGGGGGCATGAAAATCACACAGGGGGCTGGACATGGTGGCTCACACCTGGAATCCCAGCACTTCGGGAGGCTGAGGTGGGAAGGTCCCTTGAGCCCAGGAGTTTGAGACCAGCCTGGGCAACGCAGCAAGACGCTGTCTCTACAGAAAAACTTTTAGGCCGGGCAAGGGGGCTCACACCTCTAATCCCAGCACTTTGGGAGGCCAAGGTGGGTGGATCACCTGAGGTCAGGAGTTCAAGACCAGCCCGGCCAACATATAGTGAAACCCCATCTCTACTAAAAAAATTCAAAAATTAGCTGGGCGTGGTGGCGCATGCCTGTAGTCCCAGCTACTTGGGAAGCTGAGGCAGGAGAATCACTTGAACCCAGGAGGTGGAGGTTGCAGTGAGCCGAGATCATGCCACTGCACTTCAGCCTGGGCAACAGAGCGAGACTCTGTCCCCATGAAACACTCACTCCCTATTCCTTCTCCCCAGGCTCCGGCACCCCCCATCCTACTTTCTGTCTCTGTAAATCTGATGACTCTAGGGACCTCCTAGGACTGGAATCACACAGGATTTGTCCTTTTGTGTCTGGCTTTCCTCACTGAGTGTGATGTCCTCAGGGTGCATCCACATTGTAGCCTGTGTCAGAGCCTCCTTCCTTTTCATGGCTGCATAATATTCCACTGTATGGACATACCACATTTGGTTTGTCCATTCCATTCATCTCTTGATGGACATGGGTTGCTTCCACCCCTGAGTTATTGTAAATAGCCTCAGAGTGACATTAAAATTGAGCCAGCCAATCCATCCTTGCACCCAGGTTAGTGGAGGGAGGCTCCAAGGACAGGCTGGTCCCTCCTAGGGCATTAGGTGGTGAAAATACAATCTTGGCTGCTCAAATAACTACCAACCTGGTTCACCTGCTCTGCACCATGGGGTCTCTACCTACCTCATCCACCTGAGGGTCTTAGGGACTCAAAGGGTGTGTCTTTATCCCACCATAGGACCCCCATGTCTTGGATGGGGGCAGGGATTTGACAGGTACCTGGAGACCACACGTGGAATGAGCAGAGTGACGAATGCTTGCTTGTGGCTCTCCCGTCCCACCCAGCTCCTCCCTCCCCAGGGCTCGCCCCAGGAGCCCATCTTGCTTCCTTTGCGGCCCCACACAGGTTGCGGAAAAACCTGAAGTCCTTGATCATCGTCCACCCCTCGTGGTTCATTCGGACTGTGCTGGCCATCTCTCGCCCTTTCATCAGGTGAGACGGGGAGGCTGCAACCCAAGTCCAGTGGCCTCAGTGTGCGTGTGTGCGTGTGTGTATGCATGCATTTGTGTGTGCATGTGTGCACGTGTGTGCGTGTGTGCATCTGTGTGTGTGTGCATCCATGTGTGTGTTTGATGTGCATGTTCCAGCTTCTCTATGATGAATACATATTATTGCTTTAAACAGTTTTAAATTGCACACAGCCAGGCACAGTGGCTGACACCTGTAATCCCAGCTACTCAGAAGGCTGAGGTGGGAGGATCGTTTGAGGCCAGCCTGAGCAACATAGCAAAACCCCCATCTCTACAAAAAATACAAAAATTAGCAGGACGTGGTGGTGCACACCTGTAGTTTCAGCTACTTGGGAGGCTCACGTGGGAGGATGGCTTGAGCCCAGGAGATCAAGGCTGCAATGAGCCGTGATCGAGCCACTGTACTCCAGCCTGGATGACAGAGTGAGACCCTGTCTCAAAAGAAAATCAGTCATGCATGGCATCACATGCCTGTAGTCCCAGCTACTCAGGAGGCTGAGGCAGGAGGATCACTTGAGCCCAGGAGGTAGAGGCTGCAGTGAGCTATGATCACTCCACTGCACTCCAGCCTGGGAGACAGAGCAAAACAACCCTGTCTCTAAAAATAAAATATATATATATGTATGTATAAATAAATAAATAATATGACTAATAAATTTAAAATTTAAAACTACATATATTCTATAATGTATATCATATATAGTTACTATATTAAACATATAGTAAAACAGATCAAGTGAAATAAAATTAGGCATGTTAAATGCCCTATTCAATCCAATAAAATGTCATGCAAATTTAATTTAATCTAATGCAAAACATTGAATTGAATAAAGATTCCTAATGTTCACGTTCCCAGTTACAAATCTGGGATGAGCGAAAGAGACGAGGGCTTCACTTTCCCTTGAACAACAGGACACATTCACAGCAGGCCCGATTTTCAAGGAAGACTCTTTAAACATGCTGTTTTCAAGGACTGCTAAGTACCCTGAAGGGGCTTATTTGCATATTAGCGAAATGAGATGAGGAATACACTAATTATGGATCATTTTAGCTAATAATGAATCAACAGGCAAAACGGTAAACACGCATTTCAGTCTAAGATAATTGCATTTGCTCCTCTATATTCCAGAATTCAGTAACATAGACTACCTTTGCCTTTAATGTAGATATTAGGATGGTGCAAAAATAATTGAGGTTCTTGCCATATTTTCATTACAAAAACTGCAATCACTCTTGCACGAACCCAATAATTCTGTCACTCTTCACCGGTCGCCATGGCTCACACCTGTAATCCCAACACTTTGGAAGGTCGAGATGAGAGGATCGCTTGAGCCCGGGAGTTCGAGACCAGCCTGGGTGACATAGCGAGACCCTGTCTCTACAAAAAAAAATTTTTTTTTTTTTCAGACGGAGTCTCACTCTGTCGCCCAGGCTGGAGTGCAGTGGCGCGATCTCAGCTCACTGCAAGCTCCGCCTCCCGGGTTCACGCTATTCTGCCTCAGCCTCCCGAGCAGCTGGGACTACAGGCGCCCGCCACCAGGCCCAGCTAACTTTTTGTATTTTTAGTAGAGATGGGGTTTCATCGTGTTAGCCAGGATGGTCTCGATCTCCTGACTTCGTGATCCGCCTGCCTTGGCCTCCCAAAGTGAAAAAAATTTTTTTTTAAATACGGCCAGGTGTGGTGACCCAGGCTTGTAATCCCAGCACTTTGGGAGACCGAGGCAGGAGGATCGCTTGAGGCCAGGAGTTGAAGACCAGTCTGGGCAACATAGCAAGACCTCCATCTCTACAAAAAAAAATTTTTTTTAATTAGCCAGGCCTGGTGGCGCGCACCTGTGATCCCAGCTACTCAGAGGCTGAGGGAGGAGGATCACTTGAGCCCAGGAGGTCGAGGCTGTAGTGAGCCATGATTACACCACTGCACTCCAGCCTGGGTGACAGAGTGAGACTCTGTCTCTTAAAAAAAAAATACCATGAAGTGCTGGTGATGAAACACCACATGGTATCAGATGGCCAGAATTCAGGATTGGAAGGGAAAGAAGGGAAAGAACCATTCATCCCTGAAAAACAGAGAATTGGGCCAGGCAGGGTAGCTCATGACTGTAATCCCAGCACTTTGGGAGTTAGAGGCAGGCAGATCACATGAGGTCAGGAGTTGGAGACTAGCCTGGCCAACATGATGAAACCCCATCTCCATTAAAAATACAAAATTAGCCGAGAGTGGTGGTGCATGCCTGTAGTCCCAGCTACTCGGGAGGCTGAGGCAGGGAAAATCGCTTGAACCGGGGAGGCGGAGGTGGCAGTGAGCCGAGATCACACCACTGCACTCCAGCCTGGGTGAAGAGCAAGACTCTGTGTCAAAAAATAACAATAACAGAGAATCAATGGGCAGCCCCGTGTGCCCCCTTCTTGTGCCCAGCTGAGTGTTGGCTGTGCCGTCCTGTGCGGTGACATGGAGAGAAAGCATCCCTGGGAAAAATTAACACAGAGGAGCAACTTTTAGAGATGATGGGAAAACAGCCTGTAGAGTCTAAGACAATCTCCCCACCTCCTGACTTCCTTCCAACAAGATCCTCATTGCAGGGACCCATGTCAGGTGCATGGCCCTGCTTGCAAGGGCCTCGGCGCAGACCCGGGGTCTCCACTCCATGCATGGGGTGCAAGATAATTAAGGCTGTCATCGGGCGGGAGGGAGGTGTCGTCGTCTGCACTGGGGCATCCTGGAGTGGGGTCCTGTGGGGATCCCTGTCGCCATGGCTCTGTCTGGACCTAGGTAACCCCCACCCCATGGGTTGCATTTCAGACCTCTCCCTCCTTCTCCCCCCGCCAGCGTCAAGTTCATCAACAAGATCCAGTACGTGCACAGCTTGGAAGACCTGGAGCAACTCATCCCTATGGAACACGTCCAGATCCCAGACTGCGTCCTGCAGTGAGTGGCCCCACAGTCCACCCCGCCGTATTAGTCTGTTTTCGTGCTGCTGATAAAGACACACCTGAGACAGGGCAATTTACAAAAGAGGTTTAAGGGGCCGGGCGCGGTGGCTCCTGCCTGTAATCCCAGCACTTTGGGAGGCTGAGGCGGGCGGATCACGAGGTCAGGGGATCGAGACCATCCTGGCTAACATGGTGAAACCCCGTCTCTACTAAAAATACAAAAAATTAGCCGGGCGTGGTGGCGGGCGCCTGTAGTCCCAGCTACTCAGGAGGCTGAGGCAGGAGAATGGCGTGAACCCCGGAGGCGGAGGTTGCAGTAAGCTGAGATCGCGCCACTGCACTCCAGCCTGGGCCACAGAGCGAGACTCCATCGCAAAAAAAAAAAAAAAGGGCTAACGGACTCACAATTCCATGTGGCTGGCAACGCCTCCCAATCACGGTGGAAGGCAAAAGGCACGTCTCCCATGGCGGCAGAGAAGAGAAGGAAATTTGTACAGGCAAATTCCCCTTTATAAAACCATCAGATCTCATGAGACTTACTCACTGTCGCGAGAATAGCACAGGAAAGACCTGCCCCCATGATTCAGTGACCTCCCACCAGGTCACTCCCACAACAGGAGGGAATTATGGGAGCTACAATTCAAGATGAGATTTGGGTGAAGAGACCAGGCAAGGTGGCTCACACCTATAATCCCAGCACTGTAATCCCAGCATTTTGAGAGGCTGAGACAGGCAGATCACTTGAGGTCAGGAGTTCGAGACTAGCCTGGCCAAGATGGTGAAACCCTGTCTCTCCTAAAAATACAAAAATTAGCCAGGTGTGGTGGTGCATGCCTGTAATCCCAGATACTGAGGAGGCTGAGGCAGGAGAATCGCTTGAACCTGGGAGGCAGAGGTTGTGGTGAGCCGAGATCGCACCACTGCACTCCAGCCTGGGCAACAAGAGTGAAACTCCGTCTCAAGAAAAAAAAAAAAAGATTTGGGTGGAGATACAGTCAAACCCTGTCACCCCCAACACCCCCCCACCGGGTCCCCCTGGCTACCAGGAGCCAGCAATGAGGGGAAACGCAGACTTGGAAGGGAGGAACTAGAACCCACCCATTTTATTTCCTGGAGCCCCTCAGGGACCCCCCGGAGCTTGGGGAAGGGATGGGCAGCTTCAAGTCCTGTTGTTTTTCACTGAATGTCATATCATCGGCACCTCCCCTAGGTTCATGCTGCAAAAATCTCCTTAAACGTACATTTTTTTATTGTGGTAAAATACACGTAACATAGAACTTCCCATCTTAGCCATTCCTTTTTTAATTTTATTTATTTATTTATTTTTTGAGAAGGAGTTTCACTCTTGTTGCCCAGGCTGGAGTGCAATGGCGCCATCTCGGCTCACCACAACCTCCGCCTCCCGGGTTCAAGCGATTCTCCTGCCTCAGCCTCCCAACTAGCTGGGATTACAGGCATGAGCCGCCATGCCTGGCTAATTTTTTTTTTTTTTTTTGTATTTTTAGTAGAGACAGGGTTTCTCCATGTTCGTCAAGCTGGTCTCAAACCCCTGACCTCAGATGATCTACCGGCCTCGGCCTCCCAAAGTGCTGGGATTACAGGCGTGAGCCACTGCGCCCGGCCTATCTTAGCCATTTCTAAAAGCACATTCGCATATTTGTGCAGCCATCACCACCATCCTCTCCAGACCTTTCTTTTTTTTTTTTTTGAGATGGAGTCTTGCTCTGTTGCCCAGGCTGGAGTGCAGTGGCACGATCTCGGGTCACTGCAACCTCCACCTCCTGGGTTCAAGTGATTCTCCTGCCTCAGCCTCCCCAGTAGCTGGGATTAAGGCACCCACCACCATGCCCAGCTAATTTTTTTTTTTTTTTTTTTTGAGATGGAGTTTAACTCTTGTTGCCCAGGCTGGTCTCGAACTCCCGACCTCAGGTGATCCGCCCACCTCAGCCTCCCAAAGTGCTGGGATTACAGGCGTGAGCCACCACGCCTGGCCGATTTTTGTATTTTTAGTAGAGACGGAGTTTTGTCATGTTGGCCAGGCTGGTCTTGAACTCCTGACCTCAGTTGATCTGCCTGGCTCGGCCTCACAAAGTGCTGGGATTACAGGCATGAGCCACTGCACCCGGCCCTCTCCAGAACGTTCTCATCTTCCCAAACTGAAACTCTGTCTCCATGAAACACTCACTCCCCATTCCACATCCCAACCCCTGGCAGCCCCCATCCTACTTTCTGTCTCTGGGAGTCTGACGACTCTAGGGACCTCCTAGGAATGGATCCACACAGGATTTGTCCTTTTGTGTCTGACGTCTCTCACTGAGCGTGACATCCTCAAGGTGCATCCACATTGTAGCCTGTGTCAGAATGTCCTTCCTTTTCATGGCTGAATAATATTCCATTGCGTGAATGGACCACATTTTGTCAATCCATTTGTCCATCAATGGACAATTGGGTTGTTTCCACCTTTTGGCTCTTGTGAATAGTCATGTTATTTATATGCTACTCACCTATGACCGTAGATGTACAAATATCTCTGTAAGACCCTACTTTCAATTCTAATGAGTATATACCCAAAAGTGGAATTGCTGATAATTCTGTTTTTTTGAGGAACCACCATACTGTTTTGTTTTGTTTTGCTTTGCTTTGCTTTTTTGAGACGGAGTCTCACTCTGTCACCCAGGCTGGAGTGCAGTGGCGCTATCTTGGCTCGCTGCAACCTCCACCTCCCGGGTTCAAGCAACTCTCCTGCCTCAGCCTCCCGAGTAGCTGGGACTACAGGCGCCCACCACCACACCCAGATAATTTTTTTGTATTTTTAGTAGAGATGGGGTTTCACCATGTTGGCCTGGCTGGTCTCAAACTCCCCACCTCAGCCTCCCAAAGTGCTGGGATTACAGGCGTGAGCCATCGCACCCAGCCTGTTTTTTGTTGTTGTTGTTTTGTTGGGGTTTTTCTGGTTTTTTTTTTTAGACAGAGTCTCACTCTGTTGCCTACGCTGGAACGCAATGGCGCAATCTCGGCTCACCATATCCTCCAGCTTCTACGTTCAAGGGATTCTCGTGCCTCAGCCTCCCGAATAGCTGGGATTACAGGCACCTGCCACCACGCCCAGCTAATTTTTGTATTTTTAGTAGAGATAGGGTTTCACCATGTTGGCCAGGATGGTCTCAGTCTCCTGAACTCAGTGATCTGCCCGCCTCGGCCTCCCAAAGTTCTGGGATTATAGGCGTGAGCCACCGTGCTCAGCCAACACATAAACATTTATAATCAAAAATGCATCTATGGGCCAGGTGTGGTGGCTCATGCCTGTAATCCCAGCACTTTGGGAGGCTGAGGCCAGAGGATCGCTTGAGCCCAGGAGTTGGAGGCTACAAGTGAGTTCATGCCACTGCACTCCAGTCTGGGCTATGACAGAATGAGAACCTGTCTAAAAAAAAGAGAAGAGGCCGGGCGCGGTGGTTCGCGCCTGTAATCCCAGCACTTTGGGAGGCCGAGGTGGGTGGATCATGAGGTCAGGAGTTTGAGACCAGCCAGGCCAACATAGGGAAACCCCGTCTGTACTAAAAATACAAAAAATTAGCTGGGCGTGGTAGCAGGTGCCTGTAAGTCCCAGCTACTCCGGAGGCTGAGGCAGCAGAATCACTCAAACCGGGGAGGTGGAGGTTGCAGTGAGCCAAGATCGCACCACTGCACTCCAGCTTGGGCGACAGTGCAAGACTCCATCTCAAAAAAAAAAAAAAAAAAAAAAAAAAGGAAGAAGAAGAAGAAGAAAAGAAAGAAAAAAGAGAGCTTGTTTCTCTGCTTGAAAAGGAAAGGGATTTCCCCAAAAAGTATATCTCAGGGGAAAGGAAGGTTGTGTCTGACATCTTTTTCTTTCTTTCAGATACGAAGAGGAAAGACTGAAGGCCAGGAGGGAGAGGTGTGTGCAGAGTGGTTTCTGCTGGGGCTGGGTCGGGGCAGCGGGGGGCTGAGCTGAACTCTCAGTTAGGGCAACCCGGTGACTTCTGGGCAGCAGGGACCATTGTCCTGTGCAGGGCTCAAGACGCTGCCCTTCTGGCAAGGACTTTAAACTCAGACCTGGGTTCAAATACTGGCTCCCGCATTGAGCTGCAAGGTAACATTAAGCAAATAAAAAGCTAACAACCACCTTGGAGGTTATTGTGCAAGATGAGGCACCCTTGGCAAAAAAGGTTGAGCACAGACTTCACGCTCCATAAAGCATAAAAGTCAAGACGGGCGCGGTGGCTCACCCAGCACTTTGAGAGGCTGTAATCCCAGCACTTTGGGAGGCTGAGGCAGGAGGATTGTGTGAGGTCAGGAGTTGGAGAACAACCTGGACAACATGGCGTAACTCCGTCTCTACCAAAAATACAAAAATTAGCCAGGCGTGGTGGTGCGTGCCTGTAATCCCAGCTACTTGGGAGGCTGAGCCAGGAGAATCACTTGAACCTGGGAGGCGGAGGTTGCAGTGAGCCGAGATCATGCCACTGCACTCCAGCGTGGGTGACAGAGCAAGACTCTGTCTCAAAAAAAAAAAAAAATAAATTAGCCAGGTGTGGTGGCATGCGCCTGTAGTTCAGCTACTTGCAGGGAGACTGAATCGGGACGACTGCTTGAGCCCAGGAAGTTGAGGCTGCAGTGAGCCATGATTGTACCATTGCACTCCAGCCTGGGCAACAGAGCAAGATCCTGTCTCAAAAAAAAAAACAAAAAAAAACAGCCTTTATCATGCCAGGTCCAATGCCAGCTTTGAGGGAAACAGAGGCAAATAAGACAGAGTCTTGGTCCCAGAAGTTTTCTCAAATAGCAAAGGCAGGGAACATCTCACTGGTTTGGAAAACAGGTCCCAGGGGACAGGAAAACCAGAGAGGCCAGTACTAGCTGAGAGCCCACCCCTTGGCCTGGCTGGGCTAGTCACCCTTGTCACCTCGTTCTCTCTGTCCACAGCGCGAGGCCCCAGCCGGAGTTTGTGCTGCCCAGGTCTGAAGAGAAGCCAGAGGTGGCACCAGTGGAAAACAGGTAGGTGTGCAGGGGACCATGGGCAGAGAGCTGACAGTCACGGGAGGCTGCCTACTCCCTTGGGGGAGGCTAGAGAGGAAGATGGGTCCTTGTTCAGGGACAGAAAATGGAACTAAGTGGCCGGCCATGGTGGCTCACGCCTGTAATCCCAGCACTTTGGGAGGCCGAGGTGGGCAGATCACATGAGGTCAGGAGTTCGAGACCAGCCTGGCCAGCATGGTGAAACCTCATCTCTACTAAAAATACAAAAATTAGCTGGACATGGTGGCTCACATCTGTAATCCCAGCTACTTGGGAGGCCGAGGCAGGAGATTCGCTTGAACCCAGGGGGCAGAGGTTGCAGTGAGCCGAGATAGTACCACTGCACTCGGCGACAAAGTGAGACTCCATCTCAAAAAAATAAATAAACAAATAAAATAAAAATAAAAATTATCGGCCGGGTGTGGTGGCTCACGCCTGTAATCCCAGTAGTTTGGGAGGCTGAGGTGGGCCGATCACAAGGCCAAGAGATCGAGACCAGCCTGGCCAACATGGTGAAACCCCATCTCTTCTAAAAATACAAAAATTAGCTGGGCATGGTGGCTCGTGCCTGTAGTCCCACCTACTTGGAAGGCTGAGGCAGGAGAATCACTTGAACCTGGGAGGCGGAGGTTGCAGTGAGCCGAGATCAGACCACTGCACTCCAGCCTGGCGACAGAATGAGATTCTGTCTCAAAAATAAATAAATAAATAAATATCATCCAGGTGTGGTGATGTACACCTCTAGTCCAGCTACTCAGAAGGGTGAGGCAGGCAGATGGCTGGAGCCCAGGAGGTCAAGGCTACAGCAAGCTATGACTGCACTCCAGCCTGGGCAACAGAGCAAGACCCTGTCTCAAAAAAAAAAAAAAAGTTATCATGATGTTCTCATATTATCGCAATCTCAATGTTATCATAATGATGAAAGGTGACCTTTGTCCAGGTCCCAGCAGGTAGATTCAGACTCCCCCAATCCAGTAGACCCTGAGCAACATTATTGGCTTCATTTTATGTTAGTGAAGGGCCTTGGCCAATTTCCTCAAAACTGTCTGTTTGGGCTCATTTGTTACGCAGCAGATGCACGCTGACATCTGTTTTGTACCAGATACAGCAGTGTCGGTCCTCATAGGGCTTACAGCCTCCACGAACAGGTAGAAAATGCCCAAGAATGGGCACTGTGGCTCACGCCTGTAATCCCAGCACTTTCGGAGGCCAAAGCAGGAGGACCATTTGAGGTCAGGAGTTCGAGACCAACTTGGGCAACATATTGAGACTCCATCTCTACAAAAAGTTTAAAAGTTAGCCAGGCATGATGGTGTATACCTTGTAGTCCCAGCTACTTGGGAGGCTGAGGTGGGAGGATCACTTGAGCCCGGAGCTGGAAGCTGCAGTGAGCCATGATTGCACCACTGCCCTCCAGCCTGGGCAACATAACAAGACCCTGTATCTTTTTTTTTTTTTTAAGACAGATTTTCACTCTTGTCGCCCAGGGGCCAGAGTGCAATGGTGCGATCTTGGCTCACTGCAACCTCCACCTCCCGGGTTCAAGCGATTCTCCTGCCTCAGCCTCCCGAGTAGCTGGGATTACAGGCACCCACCACCACACCCGGCTAATTTTTGTATTTTTAGTAGAGACAGGGTTTTACCATGTTGGCCAGGCTGGTCTCGAACTCCTGACCTCAAGTGATCCACCCACCTCAGCCTCCCAAAGTGCTGGGATTATAGGCATGAGCCACTGCACCCAGCCAAGACCCTGTATCTTAATAATAATAAATAAATAAAAATAAAATAAGTTAAAGAAAAAAAAGGGAAAATGCCCAGGCTCCCAAAAATAAGCAAATAACGCCCAGTCTCCGTCTCTCCTCCACAGGTCTGCTCTGGTCTCAGAAGATCAGGAAACAAGGTGGGTGTGATGCAGAGTGGTCTTCGTGCTGTTTTCAAAATGTCCTTCATGGACCTGTATTAGTCAGGGTTCTCTAGAAGGACAGAAAATCAAACCAGCTGCCAGCAAATATAAAGCAGGCAGGGATCCTAATCCCAGGAAAACTGCCCCATGACTTATCGGGAGTGGGGGATACGGCACCGGGAAGGCAGGGAGGTAGTGGTTCCCTTAACCAGTCAGGCCGTCCTTGCACAACTCCAGGGGGGCACCATTACCTAGACCAGGATGCAAATGAGGCCCCAGAGTTATGCAGTGGAGCGGCCCTCAGGGAAAAACCCACACAGAGCCAAGCTCCCTGAAGCCCAGGATATGATACCACAAAAGGGTAGACTGTCCACGCTCTGCCTCCGATTCTCCACCTGGTTCTGGATGCCAAGAAAAGCCTCCCTGTGGCCGGGCGCAGCGTCTCACGCCTGTAATCCCAGCACTTTGGGAGGCCGAGGCAGGCGGATCATTTGAGGTCAGGAGTTCAAGACCAGCCTGGGCAACATGGCAAGACCCCGTCCCTAAAAAAAATACAAAAATTAGCCAGGTGAGCCAAGATCGTACCACTGCACTCCACAGCCTGGGCAATAGGGCTAGACTTTGTCTCAAAAAAAGAAAAAAAAAAGGAAAGAAAAGAAAAGCCTCCCTGTGTGTTGATGTCCAAGGGTATCCTCAGGCACAATGGTTTGCCAGAAGGACTCACAGAGCTCAGCAAAGCTGTCATACTCACAGTTATGGTTTATCACAGTGGCATGGTTTATTACAGTAGAAGGGTACAGTTAAAAATCAGCAGAGTTGGGTGTGGTGGCTCATGCCTGTAATCCCAGCACTTTGGGAGGCCGAGGCAGGTGGATCACTTGAAATCAGGAATTCAAGACCAGCCTGGCCAATATGGTGAAACCCCATCTCTACTAAAAATATAAAATTAGCTGGGTGTGGTGGCACACACCTGTAGTCCCAGCTACTCAGGAGGCTGAGGCAAGAGAATTGCTTGAACCTGGGAGGCGGAGGTTGCAGTGAGCTGAGATTGCACCATTGCATTCCAGCCTGGGCAACAGAGCAAGACTCTGTTTAAAAAAAAAAAAACAAAAAAACAAAAAACTTAACAAAAGGAAGAGGTGCATAGGGCTGGATCCAGGAGAGATCGGGTGGAAGCCTGCAAGTGTCCTCTCCCAGTGGGGTTGTGTGGACAGCCTTTATTTCTCCCAGCAGGGATGTGTGGCAAAACACACAAAGTGCTGCCAACTAGAGAAGCTGACCCAAGCCTTTCTAGCCAGGGTGTTTATAGAGAGTCAACTACATACACCTGGCTGACTGTCTGCATGGCTTTTCTTAGCCTCCAGCCCCTGCACAGATCAAGCTGATGCCACGTGGCCCAAGTTCCAACCCTAAGTCACGTTGTGAGTGTTATTAGTCCATTCTCATGCTGCTATGAAGAAATACCCAAGACCGGGTAAATTATAAAGAAAAGAGGTTTAATTGACTCACAGTTCTGCATGGCTGGGGAGGCCCCGGGAAATTTATAATCCTGGCGGAAGCCACCTCTTCACCAGGCAGCAGGAGCGAGAAGTGCTGAGCAAAGGGGGGAAAGCCCCTTATAAAACCATCAGATCTCGTGAGAACTCACTACCACGAGAACAGCATGGAGGTAGCCGCCCCCATGGTTCAGTTACCTCCCACTGAGTACCGCCCACGACAAGTGGGGTTATGGGAACTACAATTCAAGATGAGATTTGGGTGGGGACACAGCCCAACCATATCAGTTAGCATAGACTATCTGGCATGACCCACATAGACACTCCAGCCAGGATGCTCCAAGAGTTTAGAAGTTAATCCCAGGAGCCAGGGAAGGACCAAACTTTTCTTTAGAATGTGTGGGATTTATCCTTGACCACACAGTTTTTTTGTTTTGTTTTGTTTTTGTTGTTGTTGTTGTTTTTGAGATGGAGTCTCGCTCTGTCGCCCAGGCTGGAGTGCAGTGGCATGATCTTGGCTCACTGCAAGCTCCGCCTCCCAGGGTCACTCCAGTCTCTTGCCTCAGCCTCCCAAGTAGCTGGGACTACAGGCGTCTGCCACCACACCCAGCTAATTTTTTGTATTTTTTAGTAGAGACGGGGTTTCACCATGTTAGCCGGGATGGTCTCGATCTCCTGACCTCGTGATCCACCCGCTTCGGCCTCCCAAAGTGCTGAGATTACAGGCGTGAGCCACCATGCCCAGCTGACCACACAGTTTTATACAAATCTATAAGATGGCCTGGCCACATGCCTTACTACCCATGTGACCCAGGAAGCTCCAAGCTAAGAAATAAACATCAAAAATGGCCTTAGACCAGTGCTGCTTAAGGGGCACTGAGTAAAAGTTCTCAATGTATTTCTGAAAAGACCACCTCAACCCAAGCTCTCTGGAGATGAGTTCACATATACAGACAGAAAACACAAGGAAATCATCCACCATGAGCAAAAGACAGCAGAGACAACAAACAGCAGAATTAGATCTTGCCTGGAGATCCTTAGGTGGATAAGATATAATAAGCATGTTTTAACAATTAAAAACACAAAAGAAGGAATTGTAAGAAGCAATAGATGAATGGATGAATGGATAGGTGGATAAATGGATGGATGGATGGATGAGTGGATGGATGGAAGGATGTTTGGATGATGGGTGGATAGATAGATGAATGAATGAGTGGAGGGATGGGAGGATAGATGGATGATAGGTGGATGGATGGATGGATAAATGGATGGATGGATGGATGGGTGAAGGTTGACTGTGTGGATGGATGAGTGGATGAATGGATGGGTGGAGGGATGGAAAGATGGACTGATGGAGAGATGGATGGGTAGGCATATGGATGGGTAAATGGTAGATGAATGGTTGGTTGGATGAATGGTTGGGTAGATGAATGGGTGGGTGGATGGATGGATGGGTAGATGGATGGGTGAGTGGGTGGGTGGGTGGATGAGTGAGTGACTGGATGGGTGGGCAGATGGATGAATGGATGGGTGGGTGGGTGGATGGATGGATGGATGGATGGATAGATAGGTGGATGGATGGGTGCATGGATGGGTGGATGGCTAGATGTGTGGGTGGTTGTATGGTTGGTTGGATGCATGGATGGATGGCTAGATGGATGAGTGGGTGGGTGGATGGATGGATGGATGGATGGATGGATGGATGGACAGATGGATGAGTGGGTGGATGGATGGGTGGGCAGATGGATCAATGGATAGGTGGGTGGATGGATGGATGGATGGTTGAATAGATGGATGAGTGGAGGGATGGATGGATGAATGGATGGATGTGTGGGTGGGTGGATGGGTGGATGGACGGATGAGTGAGTGGCTGGATGGGTGGGCAGAGGGATGAATGGATCCCTCCATTGAGTGAATGGATGGGTGAGTGAGTGTGTGGATGGATGGATGGATGGATGGATGGATGGATGGATGGGTGGATGGATAGATGTGTGGGTGGTTGTATGGTTGGTTAGTTGGGGGGTGGGTTGAAGCCTCCCTCCAGGCTGATTGAGGTTGCCAGTCTCCAGGGCCTGTTCTGCTGAGGCACCAGGAAGGAGGCCCTCAGAGCCACACTTAGAAAGTGGGTGGCAGGAGCCGGGCCCTGAAGGGCATGTGCCACTCTTGCTGCTGGGAGTTCACCCACGCTGGGTGGGATCATTGTTTTGGATTACATACATGTAGAAGCGCATTTTGCACTTTTAACATTAACAGCAATAACTTGGCCTGTGTCTTTCCCTCCCTAGCATGTCCTGAGGCGACGTGAGCATAACAAAGGACATGGAAGAAGATTCCAGATGCCAGAAAACCTCTGTCAGACGCCCACTGGCCCCAGATCTCATCCTGCCTCATCCTGAGTCCCAATCTTCCAAGGGTGCCAGCCCCTCCGTTCATCTCTGAAACCCAGCATCCTTTTCAGCTGCTTGAAAACATTGTATTTTTTTTTTTTAACGATGCAGTATTTGTGCGTTCCAGAAAAGGGCCCAGCTCTGAGCCCCTCACCCTTCCACACTCACGAACTCTCAGCCGAGGAAGGCAAGAAGCGCAGGGGGTGGCCCGCGTGGCGTCGGTGGCCTCCGCTCCTGCTCGCAGCCTCTGTGGTCAGAGCTGGATACAAGATTCAAGACCCTTCTCTTGCTTGTCACCCGCTCCAGGTTGGAGCCACAGACACCCACCGCCACCCCGGCTGGGTCTGCGTCCTTTCCTGTGCCTTTCCCTCCAGAATGCGGCCTCAGACCTAGAAGCTCAACCCCCCTATGAGGGCCACGTCCTGGGGTAGCTCCTGACCTCCGACCTTATGTCCAAATTTCACACCCATGGTTTTTCATTTGACCCGCCCCCTTCTCGCTCATAATGACACCCAGCTCCTTTGAGAGGATCAGAGCCCATTGCACAAGAAGAGCCGCTGCCAACCATCCTTGTCCTCCGATTGCAAAATGACACCCCAGTAATCTAGAACATTCTCAAGCCCCTTTAACTCAGATGTCAAGCCACCGGGCAAACCCCGTCAATACCTCCCACCAAGGAATGAGATATGTGGACCTCACTGCTCCCCCAACCCAGCGTCAGGCTGGGACACGCCAACGCTGTTCCGGGTTGGAACAGCAGAGGCTCAGAAACTGGCTCTGAAATAGGCAGACCTAGCAAGAGGAAGATACAGGGTATCGGGCGTTTGAGTGTTTCAGAAGTCATTCGGGAAGATAAATCCAGTGCGCTGGCCGCAGCCACCTGCATTCAAAGCTTGGACCAGCGGGTTCTTGTTCGGGAGGCAAATTTCCCTAGGAAAAAGAAGACAGACTTTTCTAATGTGGTCCAAATGCGGATCACTGGTCAGATGGACTCTAGAAGCACTGAGCTCCCTGTCTCTGGAAGTATTTAAGAAAAGGCTGGGCCAGGCACGATGGCTCACGCCTGTAATCCCAGACTTTGGGAGGCCGAGGCAGGCGGATCACCTGAGGTGAGGAGTTTGAGAACAGCCTGGCCAACATGGTGAAACCTCATCTCTACTAAAAATACAAAAATTAGCCAGGCGTGGTGGCAGGTGCCTGTAATCCCAGCTACTTGGGAGGCTGAGGCATGAGAATCACTTAAACCTGAGAGGCAGAGGTTACAGTGAGCCAAGATCGTGCCACTGCATTCCAGCCTGGGCGACAGAGCAAGACTCTGTCTCAAAAAAAATAAAAAATAATCAGGGCACAGTGGCTCATGCCTGTAATCCCAGCACTCTGGGAGGCTGAGGTGGGTGGATCACCTGAGGTCAGGAGTTCAAGACCAGCCTGGTGAACATGGCGAAACCCCGTCTCTAATAAAAATACAAAAATTAGCCGGGCATGGTGGTGCATGCCTGTAATCCCAGCTACTCGGGAGGCTGAGGCAGGAGAACTGCTTGAACCCAGGAGGCAGAGGTTGCAGTGATCCAAGATCATGCCACTGCACTCCAGCCTGGGCAACAAGAGCAAAACTCCGTCTCAAAATAAAAAGAAAAGAAAAGAATGGACAGTGTTTGCAGAGAGTTGCTCACGAGTTTCCCTCTAATCCTAAATGTCTTCATGTCTATCAGTCTGAGCAGACGGTGAGTAGGGCGGGCACATTCTCCAGGCCCTTCTTCCTAGCTCTGTGGTTGACCTCTCAGCAAGTGCTATCCAGGCTGGGCCAACCAGACCCACAATTAACTGAGCCTCAGTGAAAGCGTCCAGTGCATCTTGACCTGAGACAGCAAGGAATTGCATTTGGGGTTATTCCAACGATGATGGCAGGGAACTGGTGGTATTTAGTGCTGAGGGGCAGTGATACAGAAAGATTTGCCCTGTGGGACAGGGTCCTGCGCGAGTCCCATCCCCAAAAGCCAGCAGCTCCTGCCATGAGGAAGACGGGGTTTCTGAGCAGGCTTATGCCTGCAGGTTCCTGTGGAGCCACCGGCTGTGACGGGACACCTCTGGGTCTCAGCATTGCCCTGGGGAGGCTGGGACATTTAGGGACATGGTAGGGTTTTAACATTTGTTTCCCAAATGTCAAATCCCGGGCACAGGGGCAAGACCCTGTCCCGAATTCCCACCCCAGTGAATGGTGTCGCTGCCAAAGCCAACACAAGATGACAAAAGTGGCTGGGTACGGTGGCTCACGCCTATAATCCCAGCACTTTGGGAGACCGAGACAGGTGGATCACCTGAGGTCAGGAGTTCGAGACCAGGCTGGCCAACATGGTGAAACCCCATCTCTACTAAAAATACAAAAATTAGCTGGGTGTGGTGGCGCGCACCTGTAGTCCCAGCTACTCAGGAGGCTGAGGTAGAAGAATAGCTGGAACCCAGGAGGCAGAGATTGCAGTCAGCCGAGATTGCACCACTGCACTCCAGCCTGGGAGACAGAGCAAGACTGACTCAAAAGAAAAAAAATGACAGAAGCCTGATTATCAGACTGCCCGGAGGAGACAGGCTCCAGCAGATAGATGCCAGCCAGGCCCAGCTGCCACGATTTGTCCCAGGTGACCAAAGGCACGCAGCTCCAGCATGAATCGTTCTAACCCAACAGTGACAAGAACTGCTGGGCCTTAACCGTCATGGAAGACTGGGGCCGCTTCCAAGTCACAGACAGGAGACGGGGACAGGAAAGAACTCATTCCACCCAATCGGACACCTAATAATTGAGTGTCTACAGCAGCAATCAAGTGACAAGTGAGGCCCTACCTGACCCAGAAGGTGCCTGCCGGCTAAACATTCTGCCCCCACCAGAAACTCCAGGGGGTCCGCCCGTTATGCCGTGGCCCACCCACGCCCCTTTGGATCACCAGCAGTCACAGACAACAGGCAGGCGAAACTGAAGACCCCAACTCAGCCCCAGCGGACCCTCCAGAGCAAAAGAGGCCCCCGGCGAGGCCACCTGTCGGCAGGCATGCCGAGGTCAAACAGCCGGGGCCACCGTTCCCAGCTGGGCCACGACCTGCACCGTCCACAGATGGGCTTTGAGATGGATTTGTATCAGGGTGGGGGGTGTGGTTTGGCCAAAATGCAATGGACCCCGACCCCTCCTCGTAAAAGGATGTTGGGTTTCCCTCTGGTGACACATGGGATGCGTCATAAACCCTCCCCCAAAGTCCTGGTCAGCAGCCCATCCTTCCAACGATGAGTTTTGCGGTTTTTCAGAACAGAAATGATCACTACGATTGACGACGGTCGTGATGTTAAGACGTCGTCTCCATGAGCTTTGGGGGGACTTTTATGTGGAATAAAGAAACTATCACTGAGAAGGGAGGTTTGTTCCTTTTGAGTACTAGTAACAGGCAGGGCCCAGTGGCTCACCCCTGCCATCCCAGCACTTTGGGATGCGGAGGCGGGAGGATCACCTGAGGTCAGGAGTTCCAGACCAACCTGGCCAACATGGTGAAACCCCGTCTCTACTAAAAATACAAAAATTAGCCGGGCGTGGTGGCACACGCCTGTAATCCCAGCTACTCAGGAGGCTGAGGCAGGAGAATCACTTGAACCCGGGAGGCAGAGGCTGCAGTGAGCCACGATCACGCCTGCCAGTTCTCTCCATCCACCCAGTGGGGACACTGTGCGGTGGCCATGTCATACCCACCTTGATGTCTCTGTCACCAGCAGGTCCCAAAGTCATGCTACTGTGCTCCAGTTGTGTTTATGCCGGCAGGTGCCCTTTAGGGGAAAAGGTGGGGTCTTCGTGGGTGGATGGAGGGGACAAAGAGGGTGGAGCTGGTGCTGGGATCCTGGGGAGCCGCTCCCAGTTTGGAGGTGACAGCCCCCTCCTTTATCCTACTGCACGGGGTCTCTGATTACCCTGAGAGGTTTCTTGAAAACCCCATTCACGGCCAGGCACGGTGGCTCACGCCTGTAATCCCAACACTTTGGAAGGCCGAGGCAGGTGAATCACTTGAGGTCAGGAGTTTGAGGCCAGCCTGGCCAACGTGGTGAAACCCCGTCTCTACTAAAAATACTAAAATTAGCCAGGCGTGGTGGTGCGCGCCTGTAATCCCAGCTACTCGGGAGGCTGAGCCAGGAGAATTACTTGAACCCAGGGGGCGTAGGTTGCACTGAGCCGAGATGGCGCCACTTCACTCCAGCCTGGGCAAAAGAGACTCCGAACCCCCCACCAAAAAAAAACAGAAAAGAAGGCCGGGCGCGGTGGCTCACGCCTGTAATCCCAGCACTTTGGGAGTCCGAGGCGGGCAGATCACGAGGTCAGAAGATCGAGACCATCCTGGTTAACACGGTGAAACCCCGTCTCTACTAAAAATACAAAAATTAGCCCGGCGTGGTGGTGGGCACCTGTAGTCCCAGCTACTCAGGAGGCTGAGGCAGGAGAATGGCGTGAACCCGGGAGGCGGAACTTACAGTGAGCCGAGATCGTGCCACTGCACTCCAGCCTGGGTGACAGAGCAAGACTCCGTCTCAAAAAAAAAAAAAAACAACAGTAAAGAAAACCTCACTCGCTCTTTCATTCATTTCGGGGCACAGGGGGTCCAGTCCCTCACACCACTCCCAGCCCAAGGGGTGGGCTCAACCCAGGGACCTGGGGCCTTCCTGGGGACCAGGAGGAAGGGACCTTTCTGATCAGAGAACTAATACACAAGCAGCCGTCAGCCAAGCCAGCAGGAGGAGGGGTGTCCCCGGCAGAGTGACCCACGGGGAGCAAGGCCTGGGGCAGCCAGAGAGGGGCCTGAGGGCCGGATCGGCGCCACCAGTGTTGCAGAAAAACCCAGGACGAAATTAAAGTCTTCATCATTTGGTCACTTTCTTTTTATTATCATAATTACTTTTTTTTTTTTTTGAGACGGAGTCTCACTCTGTCACCCAGGCTGGAGTGCAGTGGCACAATCTCAGCTCACTGCAACCTCTGCCTCCCGGGTTCAAGCAATTCTCCTGCTTCAGCCTCCCGAGTAGCTGGGATTACAGGCGCGCGCTACCACGCCCGGCTAATTTTTGTATTAAGTAGAGATGGGGTTTCGCCATGTTGGCCAGGCTGGTCTCGAACTCCTGACCGCAGGTGGTTCTCCTGCTTTGGCTTCCCAAAGTGCTGGGAGTACAGGGGTGAGCCACCGTGCCCAGGCTTTTTTTTTTTTTTTTAATCAGGGTTTTCCTCTGTTGCTCAGGCTAGAGTGCAGTGATGCAATCTCAGCTCACTGCAGCCTCAACCTCCTGAGCTCAAGGGATCCTTCTGCCTCAGCCTCCCAAGTAGCTGGTACTACAGAAGCAGGCCACCACACCCAGCTAATTTTTTTTTTTTTTGGTAGAGATGGTGGGGGGCAAGGAGGCGGGGGTCTCACAACGTTGCCCAGACTGGTCTTGAACTCCTGGCCTCAAGCGATCCTCCCACCTTGGCCTCCTAAAATGCTGGGATTACAGTAGTGAGCCACTGCAAACATTTCTTTTTTTGAGACGGAGTCTGGCTCTGTCGCCCAGGCTGGAGTGCAGTGGCGCCATCTCGGCTCACTGCAAGCTCCACCTCCCGGGTTCATGCCATTCTCCTGCCTCAGCCTCCTGAGTAGCTGGGACTACAGGCGCCTGCCATCGTGCCCACCTAATTTTTTGTATTTTTAGTAGAGACAGGGTTTCACCGTGTTAGCCAGGATGGTCTCAATCTCCTGACCTCGTGATCCGCCTGCCTCGGCCTCCCAAAGTGCTGGGGTTACAGGCGTGAGCCACCGCGCCCGGCCAAACAGACACTTTTTTAATAAATCAAGATGAGAGTCACTTAATATAAAATTAACCATTTTTTTGTTTTTTCATTCTTTTTGAGATGTAGTCTCACTCTGTCGCCCAGGCTGGAGTGCAGTGGCGCGATCTCAGCTCACTGCAAGTTCCGTCTCCCGGGTTCACGCCATTCTCCTGCCTCAGCCTCCCGAGTAGCTGGGACTACAGGCGCCCGCCACTGCGCCCAGCTAATTTTTTTTTTGTATTTTTAGTAGAGACGGGGTTTCACCGTGGTCTCGATCTCCTGACATCGTGATCCGCCCACCTCAGCCTCCCAAAGTGCTGGGATTACAGGCGTGAGCCACCATAGCATACCCGGCCTAAAATTAACCATTTTTAAGAGTACATTCTTCACAATGTTTTGCAAATACCACCTCTATTAAATTCCAGAACATTCCATTACCCCAAAAGTAAATCTGTCCCCAGCAGCCACAGTCATCCCCACCCACCTCCCCCAGCCCCTGGCACCCACGCGTCCCCTTCCTGTCCTCGTGGATTGACGTGTCCTGGGCATTTCATGTAAATGGGATCACTGCACCGTGGGGCAGTGAGGTCGCTAATCAATACCCTGGGACCTGGGACTGCTTGGGGACTGGCAGGCATTTGTAGCCCCTGTGGCTTCTCCCTCTCCTTCCTGCCGGGGTGGGCTGGCACAGGGAGGCCTCCCAGAGGTGCCCTGCCAGGGCCTTTATCTGGGCATGTCACTGTCACCTGAGGCCCTGGGCCACGTGCCCCACCAAGAGGCTGCCAGGAAATTCTTGCCACCGAAACTGGGCCAGAGGTGAAGCCCAGGAGCCGGGCTTTCCTGGGTGCCTGCTTGAGCACCTGGAGGAGCTCTGGCCACAGACATAGCCACCCCGCTGCACTGCCACAGATCCTGTGGCTGACTGCTTTTTCTGAGCTTTCCTCATGAATACCCCAAGATTTCCAGTCCATTTTGCAAAAGCTCTTGAAGTCCAGGGTCACAATTCTGTTAACAGGACTCATAAAGTACATCATTGGTCGGGCGTGGTGGCTTAAGCCTGTAATCCCAGTACTTTGGGAGGCCAAGGAGGAAGGATCACTTGAGGCCAGGAGTTAGAGACCCGCCTAGGCAATGTAACAAGACCTCATCTCTTAAAAATTCTCTCTCTCTTTGGTGTATTGATCTCTTACTGCATACAGACATACAAACTTGGCCATCCTATCACCCCACCTTCCTAGTCACTTCCCATCCTCTGATCACCCCCCTGCTCCTGGGCTATAATTTCCCACTTTTCCTTGTATTGGTGGAAAGGGAGAAGATTGAATTCAATCTCCCTCCCATACTACAAAACCCCATGGTAGTAGTCCCTCACCCGCCTCAACAAAGTCAGCCTTACTGTTTTAAGAAGCATCAGAAAAATTATTTTCTGGTGGGGAGAGGCGTCACATGCCTGTAATCCCAGCACTTTGGGAGGCCGAGTTGGAGGAATCATCACGTGAGGCCAGGAGTTCAAGACCAACCTGGGCAACATGGCAAGACCCCATCTCTACAAAAAATTTTAAAGTTAGGTGTGGTGGTGCGAACCTGTAGTCTCAGCTGCTCGGGAGGCTGAAGCAGAAAGATCGCCCCAGTGTGAGAAGTTGAGGCTGCAGTGAGCTGTGATCACATCACCACACTCCAGCCTGGGCCACAGAGCGAGACCCTGTCTCAAAAAATTCAAAAATGTAGGCTGGGCATGGTGGCTCACACCTGTAATCCCAGCACTTTGGGAGGCCTGAGGCGGGCAGATCACCTGAGGTCAGGAGTTCAAGACCAGCCTGGCCAACATGGTGAAACCCCGTCTCTACTAAAAATACAAAAATTATCTGGGCGTGTTGGTGCTCGCCTGTAATCCCAGCTATTGGGGAGGTTGACGAAGGAGAATTGCTTGAACCTGGAAGGCAGAGGTTACAGTAAGCCAAGATGGTACCACTGCACTCCAGCCTGGGTGACAGAGCAAAACTCTGTTTCAAATTTATTTATTTTTATTTTATTTTATTTTATTTTTTTGAGACGGAGTCTCGCTCTGTCGCCCAGGTTGGAGTGCAGTGGCACAATCTCAGCTCACTGCAACCTCTACCTGCCAGGTTCAAACGATTCTCCTGCCTCAGCCTCCCAAGTAGCTGGGACTACAGGCGTGTGCCACCATGCCCAGCTAATTTTTTTTGTATTTTTAGTAGAGACGGGGTTTCACCATGCTGGCCAGGCTGGTCTCGAACTCCTGACCTCGTGATCCGCCCGCCTCGGCCTCCCAAAGTGCTGGGATTACAGGCGTGAGCCACTGCACCCGGCTCCATCTGAAATTAAAAAAAAAAAATTAAAACATTTAATAAGAGAATACTTTTTCCCTTTACCAGTAGAAGAGAGAAGCAGCAGAGTGTCATTCCTCCCCATTACCCCCTCCCCGCCCCGCCGGCCCCCAGTCAAATGACTCCACCCACAAGGCAGGCACGGGATGAATGGTCCCTGGTGTCACGCTGAGATCCTGTGGCTGGGCCCCCGGTCACCTGGGCAAGGCTATCTTGTGATTCACTGCTAAGGATCTTAAGCCCACCTTGGCCCTGACCTCGTTGGAAAACGAAGCTCCCCGCAGGGTCCCGGCCTCTAGGGCTGCTGTGCGGGCGGGGGTGGGTGAGTTCGCTTCCTTGACGCCACGAGAACCAGTCTTAATGTCAGGGTCAGGCCATAGGACACAGAGAGCGGGATATTTTTAGGGAGGGAAAAGTGTGGGGCTGCTGATCTGAGCTCTCTGGCCAGGAGGAGGGAAGAGGGTGGGGGTGGAGAGGAGGGAGGAGGGGGTAAGAAGGGGAGGAGAGGGGAGGAGGGAGTGGAGAGAGGGCAGGGAGGTGGGAGGAGGGAAGAGGCAGCCCCCTGCCCGGCCAGCTCGTGACTAATTTAGGCAAAAGGCAGCCTGGAGCTATTTCCATTCGGCGGCGGGAACAGGTGCCGGCGCCTCCGCCCCATCCCCAGGGGCCGCCTCCCCCGGGGCGGCCTCCAGGCTGCCGAGACCTATAAAGGCGCCAGGTTTTCTCAATGAAGCCGGGACGCACTCCGGAGCGCACTGCGTGGTCGCACCCTACCCGGGCTGCCTTGGAAGTCGTCCCCGCCGCCCCTCCGCACCGGCATGAAGCTCATCGTGGGCATCGGAGGGTGAGCGCCGGGGGACCTGGTGGGCGGCCCTGCGGGGCAAAGCCCCCTGTGCGCGCAGAGGGGGAGGCCCGGGAATGAATGGAGGGATGCCTGGCGCCTGAGGTCACCTACACGCCGCCCGAGGTCAGAGTGCAGGGAGGATTTTCTGCCCTGGGGGTCTCGGTGTCCCCAGTGGGAAGGGGGGCTGGACACTGAGCCCAGTGTTTCATTTTTTAAATGGAAATGATTCCCGCCACCTTCCAATTATACTCAGCATAAAAAAAAAATAGACCAGACACGGTGGCTCAGGCCTGGAATCCTGGCACTTTGGGAGGCCGAGGCGGGTGGATCACCTGAGGTCAGGAATTTGAGACCAGCCTGGCCAACACGGTGAAACCCCGTCTCTACTAAAAATACAAAAATTAGCTGGGCACGGTGGTGCATACCTGTAATCCCAGCTACTGGGGAGGCTGAGGTGGGAGAATCGCTTGAATCCGGGAGATGGAGGTTGCAGTGAGTGCGATCATGCCACTTCACTCCAGCCTGGGCGACAGAGTGAGGCTGTGTCTCAAAAAAAAAATCAGTAGGGACAGAAAATTAACTAAAGCTCCAGTGAACCCTCCTCCCGCCTCGTGGCTGTCCTGGCTAAATCGGGGACTGACACGTGGGCAGGTGGGATGGGGTCCCCAAAATGTCATTCCACATGACTGTGCCTTTGGAGCCTCTCTCAGGCGACCTCAGGCTAGAAGAGATTCAAACTCTCTGTAACCAGCACGGCTGGCTTTGTGGGGCTCACACCCCCGCCTCAGAAGGGACGGGAGCTTGGTCTAATGCTAGCCGGACTCCCTCTTGAATTTCATATTTTTTGTTTTTTGGGGTTTTTTTTTTTGGGGGGGGGGTGTTGTTGTTGCCGTCGTAGTTTGAGACAGAGTCTTGCTCTGTTGCCCCAGGCTGGAGTGCAGTGGTGTGATCTCGGCTCACTGCAAGCTCCGCCTCCCGGGTTCAAGCAATTCTCCTGCCTCAGCCTCCCAAGTAGCTGGGATTACAGGCGTGAACCACATGCCTGTCTAAACTTTGTGTTTTTAGTAGAGATGGGGGGTTTCACCATGTTGGCCAGGCTGGTCTCGAACTCCTGACCTCAAGTGATCCAACTGTCTCAGCCTCCCAAAGTGCTGGGATTACAGGCGTGAGCCACCGTGCCCTGCCCCTAATATTTTTCGAGTAAGAAGCCTCGAATTTTCATTTTGCACTCAGCGCTGCAAATGTCACAGCCCACCCGGGGCACAAAATAACTTGGATTCATGTCAGGCACTTTCTTTTTATTTTTATTTAAAAAATTATTAATACCTGGGGGCTTACATTTTAAAAATTGGGTTTTAAATTTTATAATACAGATGGGAGTCTCACTATGTTGCCTAGGCTGGTCTGAAACTCCCAGGATCAAGTAATCCTCCTGCCTCAGCCTCTCCAAATGCTGGGATTACAGGTGGGAGCCACCACACCTGAGCAACATTAGGCATTTTTCTAACCTGCCTCTTCTGGATATGATATAGGTGTCCTCTTTTTCCGTCAGTCTTTTTTTTTTTTTTTTTTTTTTGAGACAAAATCTCGTTCTGTCACCAAGGCTGGAGTGGAGTGGCACAATCTCAGCTCACTGCAACCTCTGACTCCTGAGTTCAAGCGATTATCTTGCCTCAGCCTCCCTAGTAGCTTGGATTATAGGCACCCACCACTACGCCCAGCTAATTTTTGTATTTTTACTAGAGACAGGGTTTCACCAGGTTGGCCAGTCTGATCGCAAACTCCTGACCTCAGGTGATCTGCCTGCCTCTGCCTCCCAAAGTGCTGAGATTACAGGCATGACCCACCACGACCAGCTAAAATTGTTTATATTATCTATTTATGTATTTATTTATTTATTTAAAGACAGGGTTTCACTCTCACCCAGACTGAACTGCAGTGAGGTGATCACAGCTCACTGCAGCCTCGAACTCCCAGGCTCAGGCGATCCTCCCATCTCAGCCTCCCAAGTAGCTAGGACTACAGGCATGCACCACCACACCTGGCTAGTTTTTAATTTTTTGTTAAGATGGGGTCTTACTATGTTGCCCAGGCTAGTCCTGAGCTCAAGCGATCCACCTGCTTCGGCCTCCCAAAGTGCTGGGATTACAGGCATGAGCCACCGTGCATGGCCGGTGCTGTTTTATTTTTTTAAGCCCTGCTGAGACTAAATCAATTTCCTTATCTGTAAACATAGGTGGGCCGGGCTCACACCTGTAATCCCAGCACTTTGGGAGGCCAAGGCAGGCGGATCACCAGAGGTTAGGAGTTCGAGACCAGCCTGGCCGACATGGCAAAACCCCATCGCTATTAAAAACACAAAAATTAGTTGGGTGTGGTGGCGCACGCCTGTAATCCCAGCTACTTGGGAGGCTGAGGCAAAAGAATTGCTTGAACCTGGGAGGCAGAGGTTGCAGTGAGCCAAGATTGCGCCATTGTACTCCAGCCTGGGCAACAGAGTGAAACTCCGTCTCGGAAAAAAAAAAAAGAAAGAAACCCTGTCTCTACTAAAAATACAAAAATTAGCCAGGCGTGGTGGCGTGTGCCTGTAGTCCCAGCTACTCAGGAGGCTGAGGCAGGAGAATTGCTTGAACCCGGGAGGTAGAGCTTGCAGTGAGCTGAGATCGCGCCACTGCACTCCAGCCTGGGTGGCAGAGCAAGACTTGGTCTCAAAAAAAAAGAAAAAGAATCAGAAAAATCCTGGGAGCTGATTTGCAGGAAGACCCTGAGACATGGACAGGCCCCGGGGAGCCCAGGCTGCACCTCAGGCCCCCTTCTGAGCACCCTGACCTTCTTGGGGGGAGCCCAGGCAGTCTCATGCACACGCTGTCTCCCCAGCATGACCAACGGCGGCAAGACCACGCTGACCAACAGCCTGCTCAGAGCCCTGCCCAACTGCTGCGTGATCCATCAGGATGACTTCTTCAAGGTGCCCGCCCTTGCCCGGGGAGGTGGAGCTGAGAGGGGATGCAGGGTGGGCAGCCAGGCCCGGCCAGCCCCGCCCTCCACTGCCCAGTGCCCGTGTGGGCTGGGCACTGGCTCCACTCCCTGCCTGACCCCTCCTGGGGTCTCTGGGATAAACTGGGCCAGGAAAGTGAGGGACGGGTGTCGTGTTCCCATTTCCTAAGCACCTATTTCATACGCAGCCCATTCTCACTGGACATCCCTACAGTGGGGACCCCAGTTAGATGGATGGGAAAGCCACCATTCCTCCACAGGGCCAGCCGGCTGTGGCTTTCTGGGTGAATACCCTTTATTCCTCTCCACCTCCCCTTTCCCATCTGCAAAATAGACTCTGAGCCCAGCTCGCTGTGTGGGTGTGGGTGGGGGTGAGGGCTAATGAGATGATTGATGGTCTGGGGAAAATCTGAGGGTCAGGCAGAGCCCCCACGCCTCAGGGACCTCAGCAGCTCCAGCAAGGGACCCCCTAAGACTCCATCACCCAGGCCGGGGGTGAGGCAGGACCGGGCACTGAGCCCGAGGTTCAGGCTCCTCTGTTTCAGCCCCAAGACCAAATAGCAGTTGGGGAAGACGGCTTCAAACAGTGGGACGGTAAGGACAAGCATCACCTCCAAGCCCCACTATCCCCCGGGGTCCGCCCTCCTGCAATGCCCGCTCCCCCTCCACTATTCCCCCGGGGTCCGCCCTCCTGCAATGCCCGCTCCCCCTCCACTATTCCCCCGGGGTCCGCCCTCCTGCAATGCCCGCTCCCCCTCCACTATTCCCCCGGGGTCCGCCCTCCTGCAATGCCCGCTCCCCCTCCACTATTCCCCCAGGGTCCGCCCTCCTGCAATGCCCGCTCCCCCTCCACTATTCCCCCGGGGTCCGCCCTCCTGCAATGCCCGCTCCCCCTCCACTATTCCCCCGGGGTCCGCCCTCCTGCAATGCCCGCTCCCCCTCCACTATCCCCCGGGGTCCGCCCTCCTGCAATGCCCACTCCCCCTCCACTATTCCCCCGGGGTCCGCCCTCCTGCAATGCCCGCTCCCCCTCCACTATCCCCCGGGGTCCGCCCTCCTGCAATACCCGCTCCCCGTCCACTGTCCCCCCGGGGTCCGCCCTCCTGCAATACCCGCTCCCCGTCCACTGTCCCCCCGGGGTCCGCCCTCCTGCAATGCCCGCTCCCCGTCCACTGTTCCCCCGGGGTCCACCCTCCTGCAATGCCCGCTCCCCGTCCACTGTTCCCCCGGGGTCCACCCTCCTGCAATACCCGCTCCCCGTCCACTGTCCCCCCGGGGTCCACCCTCCTGCAATGCCCGCTCCCCCTCCACTGTCCCCCCGGGGTCTGCCCTCCTGCAATACCTGCTCCCCGTCCACTGTCCCCCCGGGGTCCACCCTCCTGCAATACCTGCTCCCCGTCCACTGTTCCCCTGGGGTCCGCCCTCCTGCAATACCTGCTCCCCGTCCACTGTCCCCCCGGGGTCCACCCTCCTGCAATGCCCGCTACCCGTCCACTGTTCCCCCAGGGTCCGCCCTCCTGCAATACCTGCTCCCCGTCCACTGTCCCCCCGGGGTCCACCCTCCTGCAATACCCGCTCCCCCTCCACTATACCCCGGGGTCCGCCCTCCTGCAATGCCCGCTCCCCGTCCACTGTTCCCCCGGGGTCCACCCTCCTGCAATACCTGCTCCCCGTCCACTATCCCCCAGGGTCCGCCCTCCTGCAATGCCCGCTCCCCGTCCACTGTTCCCCCGGGGTCCACCCTCCTGCAATACCTGCTCCCCGTCCACTGTCCCCCCGGGGTCCACCCTCCTGCAATGCCCGCTCCCCATCCACCGTCCCCTGGGGTCCGCCCTCCTGCAATGCCCGCTCCCCGTCCACTATCCCCCAGGGTCTGCCCTCCTGCAATGCCTGCTCCCCTTTCCCCAGTGCTGGAGTCTCTGGACATGGAGGCCATGCTGGACACCGTGCAGGCCTGGCTGAGCAGCCCGCAGAAGTTTGCCCGTGCCCACGGGGTCAGCGTCCAGCCAGAGGCCTCGGACACCCACATCCTCCTCCTGGAAGGCTTCCTGCTCTACAGCTACAAGTAAACATCTGCAGGCTCTGGCCCCAGGCATGGCCCTCTCTGGGCGGGTATAGCCATCTCTTGTTTTTTTTTTTTTTTTTTTTTGTTTTGTTTTTTTTTTTTTTTGAGACAAGAGTTTTGCTCTTGTTGCCCAGGCTGGAGTGCAGTGGTGAGATCCTGACTCACTGCAACCTCTGCCTCCCAGTCCAAGCAATTTTCCTGCCTCAGCCTCCCAAGTAGCTGGGATTACAGGCCTGCGCCATCACACCCGGCTAATTTTTGTATTTTTAGTAGAGACTGGGTTTCACCCTATTGGACCAGGATGTTCTCAAACTCCTGACCTCAAGCCATCCGCCCGCCTCGGACTCCCAAAGTGCTGGGATTACAGGCGTGAGCCACCACGCCTGGCTCACATCTCCATTTTAATAGTCAGGAGACCCAGGAGCAGAGCCACCACGGGAAGTCAGGAGTTGGGGGCAGAGCTGGGATCAACCCAAGTCTGGAGCCAGGCGTGGTGGCTCACCAGCACTTTGGGAGGCCAAGATGGATGGATCACCTGAGGTCAGGAGTTCGAGACCAGCCTGGCCAACATGGCGAAACCCTGTCTCTACTAAAAATACAAAAAATTAGCCAGGTGTGGTGGCGTGTGCCTGTAATCCCAGCTACTCAGGAGGCTGAGGCAAGAGAATCGCTTGAACCCGGGAAGTGGAGGTTGCAGTAAGCCGAGATCGCACCACTGCACTCCAGCCTGGGCGACAGAGAGAGACTCCATCTCAAAAAAAAAATTAAAACTAAAAACTCAAGTCTGGGACAAACAGCCACCCTTCTTGGGGAGACTGAGTCTTTCTTCTGGAACCTCAGACTTCTCGGGCAGACCAGTAACCTAGGCTGCGCCCTCTGGCTTCACTGTGTGGCCCTGAGCAAGACATTCTGTCTGTCTGTGCCCGTCCAAGTTGGAGAAGAAGCGTGATTCAATTTTGTGGGGGGCTGCTGCAGGGATGTTGGCCAATTCAGCTTCCCTCCCTGACCCCTAAACTCACTGGCCCAGACCACCCCATGTGCTCGCCACCCTCTGAAAGCCAAGGCTGGGGGGTTGGATATTTTGACTGCGGTTGAAGGAAAGCTCACAGGTGCTGACCGTGTCTCCCCCACTCCGCCCAGGCCCCTGGTGGACTTGTACAGCCGCCGGTACTTCCTGACCGTCCCGTATGAAGAGTGCAAGTGGAGGAGAAGGTGCACTTGGTGTCTGGGGGTGCGGTGGGCTCCTGAGGGCCCTGTCTTGAATTACTGGGTGGAACCAGCGGTAACCTAGAAAATGCCACTGGGGGCTGGGCACAGTGTCTCTGGGCTGTAATCCCAGCACTTCCGGAGGCTGAGGCAGGTGGATCACCTGAGGTCAGGAGTTCGAGACCAGCCTGGCCAACATGGTGAAACCCCGTCTCTACTAAAAATACAAAAATTAGTCGGGCGTAGTGGCGTGCACCTGTAATTCCAGCTACTTGGGAGGCTGAGGCAGGAGAATCGCTTGAACCTGGGAGGCAGAGCTGAGACTGGGACACTGCACTTTAGACTGGGTGACAGAGGGAGACTCTGTCTCAAAAAAAAAAAAAAAAAAAAAAAAAGGCGGCCAGGCGCGGTGGCTCACGCCTGTAATCCCAGCACTTTGGGAGGCTTGGGCGGATCACCTGAAGTCAGTTCGAGACCAGCCTGGCCAACATGGTGAAGCCCCATCTCTACCAAAAAATACAAAAATTAGGGAGGCCGAGATGGGCGGATCACCTGAGGTCAGGAGTTTGAGACCAGCCTGGCCAACATGGTGAAACCTATCTCTACTAAAAATTGAAAAATTAGCCAGGCATGGTGGCGGGCTCCTGTAATCCCAGCTACTCAGGAGGCTGAGGCAAGAGAATGGCTTGAACCCGGGAGGTGGAGGTTGCAGTGAGCCAAGATCAGGCTACTGTACTCCAACCTGGGCAACAGAGCGAGATTCCATCTCAAAAAAAAAAAAAAAAAAAGAGAAAACGCCACTGGACACGGGCCACATCCCAACGCCACAGGCACTGGCCACTTAGCTGGCTGGAGCTCTGTGCCAGGTGCCCAGAGCCTGAGGCCTGGATAGCACGGCCCACCCCAACCCTGTCCAGGGCATCTCCCGGACCCACAGGGTGAACATGCCGGAGGTTGGAGCCTCTAGCCCAGGGCTTCTGACCGAGGGTCCCCTTGCTCAGAGGTTCTGTCCCTGACTATGACAGCTTTCAGGCCCCCCACCGGGGGTATATTCTTAGCATCACCCTTCTGTGCTCTAAGCCATCCTTGCCTTCTCCCTCTGCAGTACCCGCAACTACACAGTCCCTGATCCCCCCGGCCTCTTCGATGGCCACGTGTGGCCCATGTACCAGAAGTATAGGCAGGAGATGGAGGCCAACGGTGTGGAAGTGGGTAAGCCCCTGAGCATGACCAGGCCTTGCCCCGGGCGGGCGGGGGGGACCCTGGGCCCAGCCCCTCTCCATCTTTTTTTTTTTTTTTTTCAAGACAGAGTCTCACTCTGTCACCCAGGCTGGAGTACAGTGGCACGATCTTGGCTCACTGCAACCTCCGCCTCCCAGGTTCAAGCCATTCTCCTGCCTCAGCCTCCCAAGTAGCTGGGATTACAGGCGTGAGCCACCACACTCGGCCCCTAATTTGTGTATTATTAATAGAGACAGGGTTTCACCATGTTGGCCAGGCTGGTCTCGAACTCCTGACCTTAGGTGATCTGCCCTCCTTGGTCTCCCAACGTGCTGGGATTACAGGCGTGAACCACTGCAGCTGGCCACCATTCTAAACGCCCTTCAGTACTCCCCACTCAGGACCTTTGGAAACCTGGACATTCCTCCGTGAGCCTCGCCCCCAGTCCCTCTTGCTATTTTTGTTGTTGTTGTTTAGACGGAGTCTTGTTCTGTCGCCCAGGCTGGAGTGCAGTGGCGCGATCTTGGCTCACGGCAATCTCCGCCTCCCGGGTTCAAGCCTTTCCCCTGCCTCAGCCTCCTGAATAGCTGGGATTACAGGCGCGCGTCACCACACCCATCTAATTTTTGTATTTTTAGTAGAGATGGGGTTTCACCCTGTTGGCCAGGCTGGTTTCGAACTCCTGACCTCGTGATCCGCCTGCCTCGGCCTCCCAAAGTGCTAGGATTACAGGTGTGAGCCACCGCGCCCGGCCCCCTCTTGCTGTTGGTCCAGGAAACTGACTCCAGCAGCCCGACTCTGCAGATCTCCTTGCTCCTGACCCAGCCGTCCACTCGTCCCCCCGTGCTCTGGCCCCCTTCCTCCCGGCAGCCCTGACGCAGCCTTTCTGATTTCAGTCTACCTGGACGGCATGAAGTCCCGAGAGGAGCTCTTCCGTGAAGTCCTGGAAGACATTCAGAACTCGCTGCTGAACCGCTCCCAGGAATCAGCCCCCTCCCCGGCTCGCCCAGCCAGGACACAGGGACCCGGACGCGGATGCGGCCACAGAACGGCCAGGCCTGCAGCGTCCCAGCAGGACAGCATGTGAGCGTTTCCCTATGGGGGTGTCTGTACGTAGGAGAGTGGAGGCCCCACTCCCAGTTGGGCGTCCCGGAGCTCAGGGACTGAGCCCCAAGACGCCTCTGTAACCTCGCTGCAGCTTCAGTAGTAAACTGGGTCCTGTTTTTTTAACTGTTGGTGTCTACCGTGTTCTGTCTAAGATCCGTCAGGCCAGGTGCAGTGGCTCACGCCTGTAATCCCAGCAGTTTGGGAGGCCGAGGAGGGCGGATTGCCTGAGGTCAGGAGTTCAAGACCAGCCAGGCCAGGATGGCAAAACCCTGTCTCTACTAAAAATACAAAAATTAGCCAGGCATGGTGGTGCATGCCTGTAATCCCAGCTACTTGGGAGGCCGAGGCAGGAGAATCGCTTGAACCCGGGAGGCAGAGGTTGCAGGGAGCCGAGATCGCACTACTGCACTCCAGCCTGGGTGACAGAGCAAGATCCGTCTCAAAAAAAAAAAAAATTAAAAATTAGCTGGGCATGGTGGTATACCTGTGTAGCCTCAGCTACACAGGAGGCTGAGACAGGAGGATTGCTTGAGCCCAAGAGGTTGAGGCTGCAGTGAGCTATGATCAGGCCACTGCACTCCAGCCTGGGTGACAATGCGATAACCTGTCTCAAAAAAATTTTTTTTCTCAATGCCTATAAATAAAGTTTTATTGGCACCCGGCCCCTGCCATTTGTACGTGTCAGCCCTGTGGCTGCTTTAGTACTACAATAGCATGTTGAGTCACCCTGACAGAGAAGGTCTGTCTGCAAAGCCAAAAATATTTACTATTTGCCCCTCTGTGCAAAATGTGTGCTGAACGGTGTGGTGTATGCCAGGTCGAGTCCAGGGCCACAGGGAGGGTCTGAGGTCTCCGTGCTGGAGGGGAAGCAGGAGTGGATATGGAATGGGAGGATGACGTGGAAGAGGTGGCTTGCCAAGGCTTCTCCTTCCCCATAAGCACAGAGTGTGGTAAGGATGATCTGCCGGTCACTGTGCCCAAAATAGTCCAGGACAGGACAGAGACATGAGGGAGGTGGTTCCAGGACAGCAGAAGCCCTGCCTGGCAGCCCAGATACCTTGGGCATTATTGTTCTTTTAAAAAAAAAAGAAAGGTTCATGCCTGTAATCCCAGCACTTTGGGAGGTTGAGGGGGGAGGATCACTTAAGCCCCGGAGTTCCAGTCCAGCCTGGGCAAGATAGTGAGACCCCCATCTCTACAAAAAATGATAAAATATTAGCAAGGCGTGGTAGCCCATGCCTGTAATCCCAGCACTTTGGGAGGCCAAGGAGGTGAATTGCTTGAGCCCAGGAGTTTGAAACCAGCCTGGGCAACAGAGTGAGACCCCGTTTCTGTTTTTATTTTTCTGTATTTATTTTTACTTAGTTATTTATTTTTGAGATGGAGTCTCGGTCTGTCGCCCAGGCTGGAGTGCAGTGGCGTGATCTCGGCTCACGGCAATCTCCACCTCCCAGGTTCAAGCAATTCTCCTGCCTCAGCCTCCCAAGTAGCTGGGATCACAGGCATGCACCACCACGCCCAGCTAATTTTTGTATGTTTAGTAAAGACGGGGTTTCGCCATGTTGGCCAGGCTGGTCTCGAACTCCTGACTTCAGGTGATCCACCCGCCTAGGCCCCCCAAAATGCTGGGATTACAGACGTGAAACACCATGCCCGGCTGTGAGACCCCGTTTCTACAAAAAATTAGCCAGGCATGATGACACATGTCTGTAGTCTCAGCTACTCGGGAGGCTGAGGTGGGAGGATCCCTTGAGCCCAGAAAGTTGAGGCTGCAATGAGTTATGATTGCATGACTACACTCCAGGCTGGGCGACAGAGCAAGACCCTATCTCAAAAAAAAAAAAAAAAAAAAACAAAACAAGAAGGGGAACAGTAGCCACAGGGTAACCAACCAAAAAACGGAAGATGATAAGGGTTGGCCAGGATGTGGAGAGAGCAAAACCCTTATGCTCTGAGGTGGGAAATGGAACACAGTGAGCCTGACGAGAAACAGTCTGGCCGTTTCTCAGAATTAAACATGGAATTACCATAGGGCCTAGCAATCCTGCTCCTGGGCAAGGCCCCAAGGAATTCACAGCAGGGACTCAAAGAGATCCTTGCACAGCCATGTTCATGGGGGCACAGCCCACAACAGCCAAAAGGTAGAGGCAACCCAAGTGTCCACAGACAGATGAATGAATGAACACAATGTACTCCATCCGTACATGAATATTACTGAGCCATGAAAAGGAAGGGAATCTGGACACAGGGCACAACAGGATGATCCTTGAAGATGTCACGCTCCGTGAAATAAGCCAAGGCCGGGCATGGTGGCTCACCCTTGTAATCCCAACACTTTGGGAAGCGGAGAGGGGTGGATCACCTGTGGTCAGGAGTTCAAGACCAGCCTGGTCAACATGGCAAAACCCCGTCTCTACTAAAAATACAAAAATTAGCTGGGCATGGCGGTGGCGTGCCTGTAGTCCCAGCTACTTGAGAGGCTGAGGCAGGAGAATCACTTGAACCCAGGAAGTAAAGGTTGCAGTGAGCCAAGATTGCGCCATTGCACTCCAGCCTGGGCAACAGAACAAGACTCCATCTCAAAAAAAAAAAAAAAAAAAGGGAAGGAAGGGAGGGAGGGAGGGAGGGAGGAAGCTGGGCGTAGTCGCTCACACCTGTGAATCCCAGCACTTTGGGAGGCTGAGACTGGAGGAGCCAAGGAGTTTGAGATCAGCCTGGACAATATAGCAAGACCCTGTCTCTACTTTTAAAAAAAATACTGGGGGGCTAGAGCAGTGGCTCACGCCTATAATCCCAGCACTTTGAGAAGCCAAGGCAGGAGGATCGCTTGAGCCCAGGAGTCTGAGACCAGACTAGGCAACATAGTGAGACCCTGTTTCTTTTTTTAATTTAAAATGTTATTCTTGGCCGGGCACAGTGGCTCATGCCTGTAATCTCAGCACTTTGGGAGACCAAGGCACCCAGATCACTTGAGGTTAGGAGTTCGAGACCAACCTGGCCAACATGGTGAAACCCCGTCTCTGCTAAAAATACAAAAATTAGCTGGGTGTGGTGGTGCACACCTGTAATCCCAGCTATTTGGGAGGCTGAGACAGGAGAATCACTTGAACCCAGGAGGCGGAGATTGCAGTGAGCCAAGATTGCACCACTGCTCTCCAGCTGGGGTGACAGAGGGAGATTCCATCTCAAAAAAATAAATTTAAATTTAAAAAGTAAAATAAAATATTTTTAATTAAAACAACTTTTTTGGCCAGGCGCGGTGGCTCACTCCTGTAATCCCAGGACTTTGGGTGGCTGAGGCAGGCAGATCATGAGGTCAGGAGTTTGAGACCAGCCTGGCCAACATGGTGAAACCCCATCTCTACTAAAAATACAAAAATTAGCCGGGCATGGTGGCACACGCCTGTAATCCTAGCTACTTCGGAGGCTGAAGCAGGAGACTAGCTTGAGCCAGGGAGGCAGAGGTTGCAGTGAGCTGAGATCACGCCACTGCACTCCATCCTGGGCGACAGAGCAAGACTCTGTCTTGGGGAAAAAAATAATAATGATTAAGATGGCAAATTTTGCTTTGTGTGTTTTGCTAAAAGTTAAAAAAATAGGAACAGGAGCACTAGGGTAGCTAGCTCATCCCAGTTGGCCCAGAACGTTCCTGGTGTTACCACTCAAAGTCCTGTGTTCCCAGGAGAAACAGGAGGATGAGTCACCCTTATGGGAGCCAATCAGCTTGAGAAGTCAGATTACTCCATGACCCATTCTTATAGGGCTCAGAGAGGGAAAGAAACTTGCCCAAGGTCACCCAGCAGAGCTGATATTTGAACTCAGCTCTGTTGAATGCCAACCCCCTGACCTTCTCCAGCCCCATGTGGCCTTCCATCTTCACACTCGCCTGCTGGGAAGACCCCCTCTCCCCTCCCAGAGCCATCTAAGGGGCCCAGAGAATCCCACCCCAACATTGCCCGAGTACAGCTGGATTCTGGGTGCAGTGATGGTGTCGGTTAACCTCTGCCTGTCTCGCGGCTCCTGCCCTCCACAAACAGAACCAGTGACTCATTCTCCCCAAATGCAAAGCAGATGCACCTGTAATTTGTCCCCCTAGGAGTACCCGTCCATCAGCGACAGGGACAGGGCACCCCGAGACCAGGCAGCCCCGGGTGCAGGTGGGCAGCTCCAGGACCCAGCCTGCTCGGCCCAAACCCAGGCAGCCTCTGCCACTTCCTGGCCCACTGTCCCCAGGCAGGTAAAACGCCGTCTCTGTGCCTCAGTTCCCTCCCTCGTGTGCTCAGCGTAGCACCAGGCGCTTGGAGTTATCACAGCTGCTGGGTTGATGGCTGGTGTCGCTATGCACCACAGTGACAAACCGAGGCAGGCCCCGACCCACAGGCCAGCCCGATGGGCACAGTGAGCGGGATCCACCTGCCAGGTGTCTAGCAGGGCTTGGAATTCTCCCCAGCACCCCGAGAGAGATGCGTGCAACTGACTCCTTTTTGCAGATGGGGAAACTGAGGCTCGGGAAGTGGATTTGCTTACCCAAGACCACACATGAAAGGTGGAATCAGGGCCAGGTGAGGTGGCTCACGCCTGTAATCCCAGCACTCTGTGGGGCCAAGGTGGGTGGATCACCTGAGGCCAGGAGATCGAGACCAGCCTGGCCAACATGGTGAAACCCCGTCTCTACTAAAAACACAAAAATTAGCCAGGTATGGTGGTGCATGCCTGTAATCCCAGCTACTCGGGAGGCTGAGGCAGGAGAATCGCTTGAACCTGGGAGGCGGAGGTTGCAGTGAGCCGAGATCTCTCCATTGCACTCCAGCCTGGGCACCATGACCGAAACTCCATCTCAAAAAAAAAAAAAAAAAGAAGAAAAAGGAAAAAAGGGGGAATAAGGATACGAGTCCAGGTGGCCGAGCCTGGGAACCTGAGCCAGGTCCACTGTCCCATGCCTGGGCCCAGTGTCAGGGTACCATCACCTCGGGAATCCTCGTTCCCCCAGAGGAGACCCCTCCTGCTCCTGTGTGGGACCCCCCTCCATCACCTCCAACTTCCTGGAATCCCCTCAGGGTCCCGCCAGTCCCCCAGGGCTTTCTGGTCCCCTCAGCGGAGGCCCTAGTCCCCAGCAACCACCCCCTTGGCTGGATGCTTCTGAAGTCCCTCATTCTCCTCCTGCACTCACAATGGGGGCCACAGACACCCCCACACACAAGCTTGTGTTCTTTCTCTCTCTTTTCTTCCCTCCTTCCTTCCTCTCTTTTCTCTCTTTCTCTCTCTCTTTCTCTCTTTCTCTCTTTCTTTCTTTCTTTCTTGACAGAGTCTTGCTCTGTTGCCCAGGCTGGAGTACAGTTGCGCAATCCCGGCTCCCTGCCTGCAACCGCCGCCTCCTGGGTTCAAGTGATTCTCCTGCCTCAGCCTCCCGAGTAGCTGGGATCACAGGCGTGCACCACCACGCCCGGCTAATTTTTGTATTTTTTAGTAGAGATGGGGGTTTCACCATGTTGGCCAGGCTGGTCTCAAACACTTGACCTCAGGTGATCCTCCCGCCTCGGCCTCCCACAGTGCTGGGATTACAGGCGTGAGCCACTGCGCCCGGCCTGTGTTTACTTTACAAGTCCCACTTATTTTATTGATTTTTAACTAAATTCCTCTGAAGAGGAACCTTTCTGACACAACATGAGGAAACCTGGATTTTCTGATACATGTTAAACCACAGAGCGGCTCGGGTGGCTCATGCATGGAATCCCAGCACTTTGGGAGGTCGAAGCCGGAGGATCACTTGAGCCCAGAAGTTCAAGACCAGCCTGGGCAACATAGCAAGACCCTGTCTCTACAAAAAATATTAAAAATTAGCTGGGCTTTGGGGTGCATGCCTATGGTCCCAGCTACTGGGGAAGCTGAGGTGTGAGGACTTTTTTTTTTTTTTTTTTTTTTTTGAGACGGAGTCTCGCTCTGTCGCCCAGGCTGGAGTGCAGCGGCACAATCTCGGGTCACTGCAAGCTCCGCCTCCCGGGTTCACGCTATTCTCCTGCCTCAGCCTCCCGAGTAGCTGGGACTACAGGCGGCCGCCACAACGCCCGGCTAATTTTTTGTATTTTTAGTATAGACGGGGTTTCACCCTGTTAGCCAGGATGGTCTCGATCTCCTGACCTCGTGATCTGCCCGCCTTGGCCTCCCAAAGTGCTGGGATTACAGGCGTGCACCACCGTGCCCAGCTGGTGTGAGGATTTCTTGAGCCCAGGACGTGGAAGCTGCAGTGAGCTATGATCACACCACTGCACTCCCACCTGGACAACAGAGCAAGACCCTGTCTCAAAAACAATGCAAAAAGCCACAGAATTCATATCATCTAAAATCATCCTTGCCTTCACCTTCCTGAAATGCTCCCGGCCAAGAGCAATCTCAGGCCAATAGTTCTCACCTGGGGGTGATTCTGCTCCCGCCAACCAGGGAACACTGGACAATGTCTGGAGACATTTGTGGTCCTGACGCCTTGGGAAGGGGTGAGCGGAGGCCAGGGATGCTGCTCGACCCCTGCAGTGCCCAGGACAGCCCCACCCCAGAGAACAGTCCAACCCCAAATATACACAGTGTCCCAGGGAAGAAACTTCTTCTAAGGGCAGAGAATGGGCTCCAATCCTACCCTGGGCTGGGCATGGTGGCTCACACCTGTCATCCCAGCACTTTGGGAGGCTGAGGCGGGCAGATCACTTGCGGTCAGGAGTTCGAGACCAGTCTGGCCAACATGGTGAAACCCCATCTCTACTAAAAATACAAAAATTAGCCGGGCATGATGGTGCACACCTGTAATCCCAGCCACTCAGGAGGCTGAGGCAGGAGAATTGCTTGAACCTGGGAGGCAGAGGTTGCGGTGAGCCGAGATCACACCACTGCACTCCAGCCTGGGCGACAGAGCCAGACCCTGTCTCAAAAACAAACAAACAAAAAATCCTGCCCCGCTCCCTTGAGGTACCTATCGTGGGCCCAGGAAGGGACTGAGAGTCCAGGGCAGGCACCAACCATCACACAGAGGCCCCCATGTTGTCGCGTGGCTGACACTTCTCTGGGCCAAGTCATTCCCGGAGCTTGAGGAACTTGGCTGAGGGTAGCCTGGCTCTACTGAAAGTCCCCTGCCTGGGGGCCTCCCTCCTTGACCCTTGCAGGACCCCAGGTGACAGGCAGCCCATGGAGTCTGTGGAGGGCAGAGGACCTCGTTGGAAGCTGGCCTTCCGAGCTCCCGTGCGAGGGCGGGATTCTCGTGCCCACAGTGGGGTCCTTGGTTTGCAGCTTCTGAAGCCTTTCCCTGTGAGGGGTTGGGGAGGGGTGTCTCAGGGTTCCCGGGGCCTGGGACAGACAGGCAGGACCCCGCTGTGCCCCTGGCTCAGTGGCTTCTCCAGCTGGGAAGGCAATCTTTGGGGGGTTTTTTTGAGGCAGGGTCTCACTCTGTCACCCAGGCTGGAGTGCAGAGGCACCCTCATCGCTCACTGCAGCCTCAACCTCTTGAGCTCAAGCAATCCTCCTGCTTCAGCCTCCCAAGTAGCTGGGACTACAGGGCGTGCCACCGTGCCCAGCTAATTTTTTTATTTTATGTAGAGATGGGATCTGTTTCCCAGGCCAGTCTCGAACTCCTGGGCTCAAGGAAGCCTCCCAACTCAGCCTTCCAAAGTGCTGCGATTATAGGCGTGAACCACCTGGGTCATCAGGAAGCCAGTCTGCAGCCCCCTCCCTGCCTGGGAGGCACTGGAGGGTGTGTGCGCAGACAGATGGACAGTCCCTTCCATGGAGAACCTGAACTCCCTGCCCTGCCCTGCCCGCTCCCCTGGGACCACCCAGCCCTGGGACTCTGCCCTCAGGCCCTTCCCCAGAAGTCCTGCTGGCCATGGGAAGAGAGAGGCTGAGACCCACCCGGATGGAAGCAGAGAGGCCCTGGGAGGTGGGGGGGATGAGGTTTTAGTGCCGGCCTCCCCCCAACTCTATTTCAGGCACCCCCACCCCACCCCCAACCATCTGCCACTCACATCAAGTAGTAGTCAGCCGGCCCCTTAATCAGCAGTTACTCCGCTGGCGCCGCCCCCCGCCCCCCACCCCAGGGCCCTACCAGGGCCAAAGCTGTCACCTCCAAGGCCACCGAGCTTGGGTGCCCCAGACTCCCTGCTGCCAGGGCCTTAAGGGGGTGTCCTTGGGGCCAGCTGTGGGCCCAGCTAGGGCCTGGGGGAGAAGCAGGCTGAAGAGGCCAGACAGGATCCACCCTGCACATTCTGGGGGAGCTGCGGGCTCCCGAGAAATGGCCTTGTCTCCTCTCTGCCCCCGTTAAGCTTCTGCAGCATTCAACGAGGTCGAGAAACCACTGAGCTTCCGGGAGGACGAGGGCCCAGCCCCCTCCAAGGTAGGGGAGGGGGTGACAAGGTGGGGGTCCAGCGGCTCTCCAAGCAGGGAACCCGTGAGGTGCAGTCAATCCAAACAGGGCTCATTGAGGACATGGCCTGTAAGTTCTCCCCTAAAGGGACCTTCAAACTATGAAACCCCAGAGAGGGGCGGGAGACCCCAGGACAGCCAGGGGTTGGGGTGGGGAGGGGGCCGGAGGGAGGGAGCCCCCACCTCCGTCCTCGCCATTCGCCTCCCCCCACTGAGGGAGCCACAGCTGTGGCCACATCATCGCAAGACACACATGCATTGTTGGGGTCACCCGGCCTGCGGCGGGATCCCCGGCTCTGTCCCCTTAGATAAGGAGAAGCAGTGAGCAGGCCCAGCCCCCAAACAGCTCAGCCGCTGCCTCCTCCTCCTCTTCCTCCTCCTCCCCACAGCCATCTTCCCTGCTCCTTAGGCAGGGCTGGGCCTGGGCTGTCCTGGAGGCCACCGAACCGCCTGGGACAAGTAGGTACCACCCCGGATCTGTGCTTCGGACGTCCTTTGAGGGGGGATCTCATTTCACCACTGTTCTGTGTCTGACTTCCGGCCGCCGAGCGGGGGCCCGTGTTCTGCACGAGGCTGACCAGGGGGACGGGGGGAGAGATGGTTTTGGTACTTACTTTTCTTTTTGTCTCACAACAGGGGGGTTAAGGTTCTCGGGGGCTGAAGGAGCCGCTTGGGGCTGGCAGGCCTGGCTTTATAGCGGCTGTCACCCTGGACCTGGGCAAAGGCACCGTGGTTATTAATAGTGACCGCAGTTTCATGCCCGTGTATGGTCAAGGCCACGGCAGCTGCGGGCTCTGCTGGACTCAGGCCTCCTCCCAACACCTGCTCCAGGCCCTGACCTGGAGGCGCCAGGCAGCGCTCGCCCCACCCAACGCGACTTGGCAATGACTAAGTCTGAGACCCTAGAATCAAACAAGACTCATAGTTGGGGGCCCTCCAGAGGGTGCCAGGCCCCGCTGCAGCCCTTCCTTCCGCCCTCACCACCATCTTGGGAGGCAGATGGAATCGCTGTCCCCTGGGGAGGGGGAAATGGCAGAGAGGCAGCACCGTTTACCAGGAGCAGAGCCAGGATGTGCTTCAACCCAGGACACATTTTGCAGACAGTGTGTAACTAAATCCAAGCTGCGGCGCAAAGCCTCAAATGCGTGTTCTGTGTCCTGTGCTGCCTTTGCTCAGCCTGGGGAAACCGGGAGGGCCCCGATGGCCTCCTCTGCTCCTGCAGGTGCGTCCCCTAGGCAAAGAGCCCTCCATCCTCAGAGGGGGCTGGGCAGGGTCCTGCTTCTCCTTGAGTCACTTCTGTTCCCTGCTAGCCCTGGAACTCTTCTGCTTTCCTCTTCTCCCCTTCTCCTCTTCTTTTCTTTTTGAGAGAGTCTCACTCTGTTGCCCAGGCTGGAGTGCAGCAGCACAACCGTGGCTCACTGCAACCTCCGCCTCCCGGGTTCAGAATGATTCTCCTACCTCAGCCTCCTGAGTAGCTGGGACTTCAGGTGCCCACCACCACGCCTGGCTAATTTTTTGTATTTTTAGTAGAGACGGGATTTCACCCTGTTAGCCAGGTCGGTCTCAATCTCCTGACCTTGTGATCCACCCGCCTCGGCCTCCCAATGTTCTTGGATTGCAGGCGTGAGCCACCGCACCCGGCCTCTTTTTTTTTAGACGGAGTCTCGCTCTGTCGCCCAGGCTAGAGTGCAGTGGTGCAACCTCGGCTCACTACAACCTCCGCCTCCTGGGTTCAAGTGATTCTCCTGCCTCAGCCTCTGGAGTAGCTGGGATTATAGGCGCCCGCCACCACACCTGGCTAATTTTTTGTATTTTTATTAGAGACAAGAATTTCACCATGTGGTTCAGGCTGGTCTCGAACTTCTGACCTCAGGTGATCCACCCGCCTCGGCCTCCCAAAGTGCCGGTTCTGTTCTTTTTTTTTTTTTTTTTTTTGAGACAGAGTTTTGCTCTTGTTGCCCAGGCTATAGCGCAGTGGTGCGATCGCAGCTTACCACAACCTCCACTTCCCGGGTTCAAGCAATTCTCCTGCCTCAGCCTCCCGAATAGCTGGGGTTACAGGCATGCACCACCACGCCCAGCTAAATTTTTTATTTTTACTAGAGACAAGGTTTCTCCATGTTGGTCAGGCTGGTCTCAAACTCCCGACCTCAGGTGATCTGCCCACCTCGGCCTCCCAAAGTGTTGGGATTATAGGCGTGAGGCACTGTGGCCGGCCTGCTTTTTTCTTTTCTTTTCTTCCACCCCTCCCTTGCCCTCTCCTCCCCTCTCTTCCCCTTGCCTTCTCTCTTCTTTTTCTCTTCTCTTCTCTTTTTTTCTTTTTTCTTTTCTTTTCTTTTCTGACAGGGTCTCACTCTGTCACCCAGGCTGCAGTGCAGTGATATAATCACAGCTCACTGCAGCCTTGACCGCCTGGGCTCAAGTGATCCTCCCGCCTCAGCTTCCTGAGTAGCTGGGATTGCAGGCATGAGCCACCACACCCAGCTAATGTTCTAATTTTTTGTAGACACAGGGTCTCCCCAGGTTGCCCAGTCTGGCCTGCAACTCTCGGGCCCAAGCAATCCTCCCGCCTCAGCCTCCCACAGTGCTGAGATGACAGGCGTGAGCCACCGCACCCGGCCTGAAATTTTCTCAACAGGCCGATCATCTCTTCTCTGGGGAAGCGGAGGCCCCCTCACCCTCTCATTACTGCAAAGCCTGCCTCCCACGGTCCCTGGCTGTGTGCTGTGTTCCTGAGCGCAGCCCAGAGTTGGGGGGGACCCTGCGTGGTGTGGGGTGTTCCCTCCCCCGCGACGTCTATCTTATCTGTCCAGCACCTGAGGTCCTGTGTTCAACCAGCCCCATGACCTTTCTCTGATGCCCCAGGGTTGAGTCACAGCCAAGCTATGGCCTGAACCCAGCTTGCCTTGTCCTGGAGGTCACGCCTGGCCCAGCAGCTGCAGGGGGGCGGGGGGGGGGACCCGCACGCGACAACCCTGCCCAAGAGCAGCAGCACGGACGCCCAGGACGCAGGCAGCTGCAGTCATCGCTGGATGCACAGGGATGGGCACCAGGCAAGAAACACACCAAGCCCTCACTGGCTCTCCCTGGCGCTGAGCCCTGTCCCAGGGATGTCTTTGAAAACTTGCTCCCACTGGCTGGACGCAGTGGCTCACGCCTGTAATCCCAGCACTTTAGGAGGCTGAGGCGGGCAGATCACCTGAGGTCAGGAGTTCGAGACCAGCCTGGCCAACATGGTGAAACCCCGTCTCTACTAAAAATACAAAAATTAGCCGGGCGTCATGGCGGGCGCCTGTAATCCCAGCGCTACTCAGGAGGCTGAGGCAGGAGACTAGTTCTGTCTCAAAAAAAAAAAAAGAAAACTCGCTCCCACCAGACAGACCCTGAGCCCCCCCCACTCCTCTCTGCCTCACTCCATCCCAGCCACTCCTTGGCTACTGGCATGACCAAGAGGTTGTCTGCCCATACATGGAGCCTCCCGGCAGGGCCTCCAGCTGCCGCCCCTCCTGAAAGCCGAATTCGACAGGCCAGATTCTGCAGGGGCGGTGAGACCACGGCTCGCCCCAGGGCGGGCCATGGGTGTTTTCTTGACCTAGAAATCAGACCAGTGACCGTCCCAGCCTGTGGGAGCTGAGGGCTGGAAACTGCCAGGGACCTGCCAGTGCCAGGTATAGTCACAGGGCAGGTCATGATATGCCCGTGTGAGCCAGACACCACGCTACTCAAGAGGCTCTCAGAGCTCCAGAGGTCAGGAGGCCAGAAGGAAGGTGCCAGCAGAGCCAGGCTCCCTCCTACCCCTCCAGATTCCGGTGGTGGCCAGTGGTCCTTGGCTCCTTGGCCGCACCGCTCCAATCTCTGCCTCCATCTTTTTTTTTTTTTTTTTTTTTGAGACAGAGGCTCGCTTTGTCACCCAGGCTGGAGTGCAGTGGCACGATCTCAACTCACTGCAACCTCCAACCTCCCGGGTTCAAGTGATTCTCCTGCCTCAGCCTCCCAAGTAGCCTGCCATCACACCCGGCTAATTTTTGTATTTTTAGTAGGGACGAGGTTTCGCCATATTGGCCAGGCTGGTCTCGAACTCCTGACCTTGTGATCCACCCAGCTTGGCCTCCCAAAATGCTGGGATTACAGGTGTGAGCCACCATGCCCGGCCTCTACCTCCATCTTCACATGGCCTTTCTCGGTGGGTAGGGGGGACAGGGATTCACTTTGTTGTCCAGGCTGGAGGGCAGTGGCACGATCATAGCTCACAGCAGCCTCAACCTCCCAGGCTCAAGCGATCCTCCCACCTCAGCTTCCCAAATAACTGGGACTACAGACGTGTGCCACCACGCCCAGCTAATTTTTGTATTTTTTGTAGAAACGGGGGTCTCACTATTACCCAGGCTGGTCTTGAACTCCCGGGCTCAAGCGATCTTTCTGTCTCAGTCTCCCAAAGTGCTGGGATTACAGCTGTGAGTCAACATACCGCGCCCAGCCCCCACGTAGTCTTTTCTTTCTTTTTTGAGACAGAGTCTCACTGTCGCCCAGGCTGGAGTGCAGTGGCATGATCTCGGATCACTGCAACCTCCCCCTCCCAGGTTCAAGCAATTCTCCTGCCTCGGCCTCCCGAGTAGCTGGGATTACAAGCACCTGCCACCACGCCCAGCTAATTTTTGTATTTTTAGTAGTGACGGGGTTTCACTATATTGGCGAGGCTGGTCTCGAACTCCTGACCTCAGGTGATCCGCCTACTTCGGCCTCCCAAAGTGCTGCGATTATAGCCGTGAGCCACCGTACATACCCAGCCCCCATGCAGTCATAAGGACTAGGGCCCACCCTACTTCAGCATGATGTCATTCTAACTACCTCCACATCCGCATCCTAACAAATTACATCTACCCTATTTCCAAATAAGGGCCTATTTAGGAATTCAGTATTTTTGTGGAGGACACCAATTGAGCTCTCACCGGACACCCTGAGTGGGGGACAGGGTGCCCCATCTGACCCTCTGCCAGTGGAACTCAGCCTCACACTGCTGTGGAGTGGGAATCCCGTAGAATTGTGAGCCCCTGAAGCTGCTGCACGCCACTGCCACCCAACGTGGATTCTGGGGTGTCCTTGACAAGACTGAGCACTCCACGGGTACCAGCCCCATCTCAGGTGCCCAGAGGAAGGCCAGAGACGGGGCTGGGGACTCGGGGCTCGGGGTCACCCCACTGAGGAAGGCTGGGCCAGAGTGTGGTTGCATGCTCCCAGCAATGGGAGCCCCCGGGGGTCCTGGTCTCCTGGTGTAGCTGGTCCGCCCCTCCCCAGCAGGGTTCATGTTCTGCTGGTTCCAGGAAAAGGGCTGGGAGTATGAGTTTGGGCCCTGCTGTGCTTCCGTGGACCTCAATTTCCTTGACTGACCAGAGGGGCTGACCTGAGAGGCCTCCTGGTCTTCTGGGGGCTGAGGGGGTGATGGTCCTGGCCTCCGGTGGGGTCCCAGAGGCCTCCGAGAGGCCAAGGCTTGATGCTTTGTGTACTAGGGGATGAGAAGCCCTAGGGGGTCTGGTAGGGAGTGCTGAAGGCTGTGACGATTAACCAGATTGGATGTACTAGATGTATTATTATTATTATTAATTATTGTTATTTGTAGAGATAAGGTCTCACCATGTTTGCCAGGCTGGTCTCGAACTCCTGGGCTCAAGTGATCCTCTGCCTCCACCTCCCAAAGCACTGGGATTACAGGCATGAGCCACCATGCCCAGCTTGAAATATGTTTTTATTATGGTTAAAGTACACATAGCAGGCCAGGTGCGGTGGCTCACGCCTGTAATCCCAACACTTTCGGTGGCCGAGACGGGTGGATCACCTGAGGTCAGGAGTTCGAGACCAGCCTGGCCAACGTGGCGAAACCCCGTCTCTACTAAAAATACAAAAAATTAGCTGGGTGTGGTGGCAGGTGCCTGTAATTCCAGCTACTCGGGAGGCTGAGGGAGGAGAATCGCTTGAACCTGGGAGGCAGAGGTTGTAGTGAGTTTAGATCGCGCCACTACACTCCAGCCTGGGTGACAGAGGCAGACTCCATCTCAAAAAATAAATAAATAAAATACACATAACATACAATGCACCACTTTCACCCTTTTTCCTTTTTTTTTTTTTTTTTTTGAGACGGAGTCTCGCTCTGTCGCCCAGGCTGGAGTACAGTGGTGCGATCTCGGCTCACTGCAAGTTCCACCTCCCAGGTTCACGCCATTCTCCTGCCTCAGCCTCCCGAGTAGCTGGGACTACAGGTGCCACCACACCCAGCTAATTTTTTTTTTCGTATTTTTAGTAGGGATGGGGTTTCACCGTGTTAGCCAGGATGGTCTCGATCTCCTGACCTCGTGATCCGCCCACCTCAGCCTCCCAAAGTGCTGAGATTACAGGCGTGAGCCACCGTGCCCGGTGTACCGTGCATTTATGAGACAAGGTGTTGCTCTGTCACCAAGGCTGGAGTGCAGTGGCGGGATCACAGCTCACTGCAGCCTCCACCTCCAGAGCTCAAGTGATCCTCCCGTCTCAGCCTCCTGAGTAGCTGGGACCACAGGCAACCCCACTACACCTGGCTCACATACAATTTTTGTGTGGATGTACCTTTTCCTGCCTCTGTGAATGTATAAAACCACTGAATTGCACACTTTAAAAGAAAGATTTTAGGGTGTGTGAATCATAGCTCAATGAAAGAAAAAAAAAAGTTAAAAAAAAAAATGGCCAGATGCGGTGACTCACGCCTGTAATCCCAGCACTTTGGGAGCACAAGAAGGGCAGATCAATTGAGGTCAGAAGTTCGAGACCAGCCTAGCCAACATGGTGAAACCCCATCTCTGTTAAAAATACAAAAATTACGGCCAGGCATGGTGGCTCACGCCTGTAATCCCAGCACTTTGGGAGGCTGAGGCGGGCGGATCACCTGAGGTCGGGAGTTCATGACTAGCCTGACCAACATGGTGAAACCCTGCCTCTACTAAAAATACAAAATTAGCCCGGTGTGGTGGTACATGCCTGTAAACCCAGCTACTCGCGAGGTTGGGGCAGAAGAATCGCTTGAACATGGGAGACGGAGGTTGCGGTGAGCCAAGACCACACCACTGCACTCCAGCCTGGGCAACAAGAGCAAAACTCCACCTCAAAAAAAAAAAAAAAAAAATTAGCCACGTGTGGTGGTGTATGCCTGTAATCCCAGACACCTGGGAGGCTGAGACAGGAGACCCGCTTGAGTCCAGGAGACCGAGGTTACAGTGAGCCAAGATCGCACCACTGCACTCCAGCCTGGGCAACAGGGCCAGACTCGCTCTCAAAAAAAAAAAAAAAAAAAAAAGCAAAAAAACTTCCTCCAGGGAGGATGGACAGGGTCGGGGCCCCTCTCTGAAACCACCTGTGAGCCCTAGCAGCTGAGCTGAGCCGCTCCCCCTCCAGGGCCACCTGCATGTGGCTCCAGACGGGGCAGGGGCTCCCACGTGGGACACAGCAGCATCCCGTAAGGCGCAAAGGGACAGGAAACGCTTCTGATCCACCTCAGCTGCCCAGAGCTTCCACCTCATTGCAATCAAAACACTCGGGGCAGCTGAGACCAAGATCCGGCAGCTCCCAGGACACCGTGAAGGTCTGCGAGGACCCCCGGTTTGTCCCCTCCTTCCTGAGCACAGCGGCAGGCATGGAACACAGAGAGAAACATGAACGCCGCGGAGGGCATATCCCCAGTGGCCAAGGGCTGGCTGTCCCCTGCCAAGGCCTGAGGCACACAACACCCGCGTATCTGGAAGCCAGTATTTTATTTCTCTTGGCTGCAGAGGGCCGCTCTTGCCTAGGCGTCCACAGGCGCGACGATGGGGCTCGCGGAGGAGTCCGCAGCAGGGCACCCCACACCCGGGGGACCGGCCTCGGCGAGAAGGGCACACAGTGGAAGACCCCACCAAGCCCGGCGCCACCCAGCAGCGTGGGGACTGCCTGTCCGCCGTCCATCCCACCCTCCCCGTCCCACGACCTCCTCCTGGGCTAATGGCAGCAACAGGCAGCACCCCGCCGAATTGTCCGTGCAACTACCCGCAAACCCTCCTCCGGGCCTGAACCAGGGCTGCATTCGGGCCGCCTCTGCGCCTCGGTGGGTCCCAACCCTCACGGTGCCACAGGCCACGCTGCCTGGAGGGTCCCAGGGTCACCGACGATGCAGGGGTGAAGGTGAAGGCCAGCGTGGAGGCTGTGTAGAGAAGCAGCCCCGTCCCACACCCACCCCTGCCTGCGAACTTACGGGCCTGGCTCCAGCTCCTCCCACTCCGCCTCCAGCCTGGTGGCGCTGGGCAAGGACAGGCACCCGGGCGATGGGAGGCGCAGCGTCCACAGGAAGCGCCCCCACCGCAGGCCGAGCTCCGGCTGTCCTGGGGCCTGGCCCACCCCACTGCGCCTAGCGCAGCCCGCACTCCACGCCCTGCAGCTTCTCCTGCTCCAGGGCGCGCACGAGGTCCTGCACGAAGCGCATCTCGGAGGCTACTTGCTTGGCCAGCGCCTCGTAGCGGTTCTCCAGGCGGCTGAAGCGGCGCTTGAGGCCGCTGGTCCCCAGCAGCGCGCCCTTGGCCTCCTCCTGCGCCTGCCGCTTGAGCGCCTCGGTCTTGAGCAGCTCCTGCCGTAGCCTCCGCAGGTCCTGGCCCAGGCTGTCGCTCTCCTCGCGGTACCAGGCCTCCTTCTCCTCGTAGATGGCGGCCAGCGCCTCCACGTCCTCGTGGCAGAGCCGCCGGCTGCGCTGCAGCTCGCGCAGGCCCTCCTCGGCGGCCGCCGCCTCCTCCAGCACCTTGGAGAAGCGCTCGAAGTCGGCGTAGCTGTTGTTGGGCGGCAAGCTGGAGTGCGACTTGATGGTGTACTCCTTCAGACGCGTGGTCTTCAGGCGCCGCCGCTCGGGCTTGCGGCCGCTGTCCTCACCACGCACGTTCCGCCGCCGGATCGCCTAGGAAGGAGGGAAGCCTGAGCGGGGTCCCCGCGATGCCACCCAGCCCCGCCAGCCCCCACCTGCCAGTGTGAACTGAGGTTCAGGGGCTCATCCGGCAGCAGAGTCAACGCCTCGTGACGGAGACTGCCCAGCCCGACGCAAAGCCGAGAGTGCTCTCTCGAGAAAAACGCTGCGGCCCTGGCCCCAGGAGTCAGCCCCGTTGGACACACACCAGCCAAGGATGCCACCAGGTCTGTCGGGTGCTGGACATCCCACGCCCAGGACCCAACCCCCGCCACACAGGCTCACTCCTCTGGGGACCCTCCCCAGCCACTGGGGGTTGTCACATCCACAAGCCTTAAATGCTGAAGGCCCCCCGGGACCCCAGCGAGAAGGCCAAGGCGGGAAGCCCAGGGAGCTCCCCCACCTCCCCACTTACCTTAATCCAGGAATGTTCCAGGCTCTGGGCAATGGTCATTCTCCGCCTGGAAGACCCCCGCTCTGGTTAGGTACACCTGCACCATCTGTCCCGTCCTCCCGTGAACAACTGACTCCCGGGACCCCCAAAAGCCCTAAAGTCGCCCCCCAGCCTCTGCTCAGCCAACCACAGAAGCTGAACAAGGGTACTGCAGGGAGCGTGGGGTTTTCTGGGGGGTGGTGGAGAGAGCTGAGACCTCAGGCTGGAGTCGCAAACCCAGGCGCCCGAGAGAGGGACTGGGCGGCCATGGAGGCCCGGGGAGGCCTACGAGTGAGGGCTCAGCACTGCCAGAATTCTAAGTGTTTACAGGAAAACAAGTGACCTGGAATTTTACATGGATCCTTACTTTACACACCGGCAACTAATTAAAAGTTTGCTAAAAACACAGCAAGCAGCCAGACACGGTGTCTCACGCCCGCAATCCCAGCACTTTGGGAGACCAAGGCAGGCAAATCACAAACCAAGGAGGTCAGGAGTTCAAGACAAGCCTGGGCAACATGGTGAAGCCCTGTCTCTACTAAAAATACAAAAATTAGCCAGGCGTGGTGGCGGGCGTCTATAATCCCAGCTACTTGGGAGGCTAACGCAGGAGAATAGCCTGAACCCGGGAGGCAGAGGCTGCAGTGAGCCGAGATCACGCCACTGCACTGCACTCCAGCCTGGGAGACAGAGCAAGACTCCGTCTCAAAAAAAAAGACTCCGTCTCAAAAAAAAAAAAAAAAAAAAACCATGGCAATGGCCAGCTTGGGCCACCAGTTTATCAGTTTACTCTCTCCAGCCCAAGGGGTAAGCAATGTCTGATCCCCAGCCGCAGGGAGGTGGCGCTGGGAGGAGAGTCCTCTGGAGCCTCCGTGGGTGGAGTGGGCCTGTGTCCCATGTCCCACCCCGTGCCCCCTGCCGGCCCCTCGTACTTGGGATCTTTGACGAGCAGCCGGCGAATGAAGTCCTTGGCCAGCTCGCTGGTGTTGCTGAAGTACTCCTCGTCGAAGTCGTAGTTCACGGCTGAGATGTTGGTGAGCGTCTCCTGCTTGGTCTCGCCCAGGAACGGGGATGCACCGCTCAGGCTGCGAGACAGGCGTGGGGGCTCAGTGGGGTCCTGGGCTCCCACCACGGCCGCGCCGCCTCTCCGGCTGCCCACGACAGGCGGAGCACAGAAGACAGGCTGACGGCAGGTGCCTGGGCCACTCACACTCCTGAGCCCTTAGAACCTTCCTGCAACGATCCCAGACACCACCCAAGAGGCATTCAAAATCCACCCCCCCACCCCGCCACTGACAGCAGCAGAAATGAACAGGCAGAAGTCTCCTTGGAGACTCGAAGTATCTGTGCAGACGCAGAGCCCGAAAGCCCCCAGTGCTCAGTAACGCCGAGGGGAGGGTAACTGCAGTGGGGAGCCCGAGCCAACACCTTAGCCAAAGGATCAAGGTCAACAGCCCGGCAGTGAGAGGCCCCAACAGCGTCTGCCTCCCAGCCTGACGCTGGGAGGGTGACACAGCATCATCCCTGGGGTTTTGAGCAGAGACACTGAAGCCCCGTCTGATCGTCTGATCGTGACAGCGCACGAGACTAAACGTGGACTCAGACGCCTTCTGCAAAACACCTGACCCGTGAGCACAAGTCAGGGTCAAGGTCATGAAAGCCAGACAGAGGAACAGCCTCAGACTGGAGGCGGCGAAGGAGCTGAATGGCTAAATGCCGTGTGGGGACCTCAGAGAGGACAGGAGTGGAAAACGGGGGTGTCTAACCACCTCTGGCACTTTAAATTTTTTAAATTTTTTAGAGACGGAGTCTCGCTCTGTCACCCAGGCTGGAGTGCAGTAGCGCGATCTCGGCTCACTGCAAACTCCATCTCCTGGGTTCATGCCATTCTCCTGCCTCAGCCTCCTGAGTAGCTGGGACTACAGGCACCCGCTGCCACACCCAGCTAATTTTTGTATTTTTAGTAGAGACATGGTTTCATCGTGTTAGCCAGGATGGTCTCAATGCCCTGACCTCGTGATCTGCCCTCCTCAGCCTCCCAAAGTGCTGAGATTACAGGCGTGAGCCATCGCACCCGGCCCATCTAGCACTTTTGTGATTAGCGTAGCACCAAGGCTAACGTCTTGGTGTTCATAACGTTCGTGTTCATGAAAAATGTAAACTGAAGGAGGAGGAAGCTGCAGGGGGCGTCTGTGCTGTTTCTGTTGCTCCTTTGTAAGTCTGAATTATCTGAACATTTAAAAAGAATACAAACGGTCTAGCCCATCTCCTGAAGCCTTTGGGTCCGCTCACGCACTACAGCGGGCTGGGCCCACGCCATTGTTTATTTCCTTGCTTACTGAATGAGCTATGCCCATTCAATATGGCTGGGCAACACAGTGAAACTCCACCTCTACAAAAACTTTTAAAAATTAGCCAGCTGGGCACGGTGGCTCACACCTGTCATCCCAGCATTCTGGGAGGCCAAGGCGGCCGGATCACTTGAGGTCTGGAGTTCAAGACCAGCCTGACCGAAATGGTGAAACATCGTCTCTACTAAAAATACAAATAATTAGCCAGGCATGGTGGCAGGCACCTGTAATCCCAGCTACTTGGGAGGCTGAGGCATGGGAATCACTTGAACCCGGGAGGCAGAGGTTGCAGTAAGCCTGAGCTGAGACGGGGCCTTGGCACTTCATCCAGCCTGGGCAACAAGAGCGAAACTCTGTCTCAAAAAAAAAAAAAAAAAAAAAAAAATTAGCCAGCTGGGTGCAGCGGCCCACGCCTGTAATCCCAGCACTTTGGGAAGCCGAGGCAGGCAGATCACCTGAGGTCAGGAGTTCAAAACCAGCCTTGATCAACATGGTGAAACCCCGTCTCTTCTAAAAATACAAAAATTAGCTGGGCATGGTGGTGGGCGCCTGTAATCCCAGCTACTCAGGAGACTGAGGCAGGAGAATCGCTTGAACCTGGGAGGTGGGGGTTGCAGTGAGCAGCTGAGATCGCACCACTGCACTCCAACCTGGACAACAAGAGCAAAACTCCATCAAAAAAAAAAAAAAGTCCGAGCATGGGAGCATGGTTGTGTGCACATGTAGTCCCAGGTACTCAGGAGGCTGAGGTGGGAGGATTGCTTAAGTCTGGGAGGTGGAGGCTGCAGTGAGCTAGGACAGCACTCCAGCCTGGGCAAGAGAGTAAGACCCCGTCTCAACAAATAAAAATAATAAACAACAGCAGGCCCACGTGTGGCCCAGGGACAGGAGCCAAAACCCAGCGTGGGGTCGGACCCCTTCCTTGCACTTCGAGAGGAGGCTGGGCTCCCTAGCAGCCAGAGGGACAGGAGCACACACGACCCCCAACCCGGAGCCTGCTCAGCCGCTCTGTGAGTGTCCTGCCTTCAGAACTCTCCAGAAGCCTCTGTGACAGCAGCCACAGAGAATCACTCATCCGTTCACCCGGTATCCCCTGAGTACCCGCGATGGGTCACAGCCAGGCTGGGGACCCCTGGCGTCCACATGAGACACACGGAGCCGGGGACCCATGCCAGCTGTGTTGCACAGCCGAGGGGGCCCCCGCCAGGTACTCACAGGATATAGGTGATGACACCGATGCTCCTGGGGACAGACAAGAGGCAAGGGTCAGCGCAGCGTGGGGCCGCCCACCCTCCCAGGACCGTGGCGTCCAGCGCCCCTGTTCTAGGGCAACGGTCCCCCCATACCCCAACAGCAGCAAGGCCCCGCTTCATCCCCAGCTGCAGCACTGGCCTGCGCTCCAGGAATGCAGGGAGGCCCGGTGGGAGCAGGTGGTACACTCACCACATGTCCGCCTCCAGGCCCAGCGGCTCATAGTTCACAATCTCTGGGGCTGCAGAACAGGGAGATGTGGGTCAGGCACTGGGGACATGCTGGCCAAGGAAGAGGCTCAAGACACAGGCATGGGGTCAAGGTTCTCACATGTCGCAGCCCTTGGGGGCATGAATGCGGCAGAGCTGGCCCTCAGGGCCTGACGGGTAGGACAGCGGGGCTGCACCAAATGGAGGCCCAGACCTCCCGCAAAGCCGGGCCCAAGAGGGGTGGCTTCAGGGCCGAGGACGCGGCACCCAGCACCGGGCATGACCCACCCCACGCACAGCAGGCAGCCCCAGACCACCCTCCCCAGGCCGGGGCTGCCCACTGGGCAGGGCCTCACCCACAAACTCCGGGGTGCCGAAGATGTTCTTGAACTCGTTCCCCGCCTCGATCTTGTGCGCGATGCCGAAGTCGATGAGCTTGATTCGTGGGTTGGGCACGTTCTTGTCCAGCAGCATGATGTTTTCCGGCTGGGGTGGGAGGAGGCTCAGCAGGGAAAGCACGGGCCTCCCCCACCCTCACCCCCACGCTCCCCAAACCTCACCCTCACGCTCCCCGCAACCTCACCCCCACGCTCCCCCAACCTCACCCCCACGCTCCCCAAACCTCACCCCCACGCTCCCCACACCTCACCCCCACGCGCAGGAGGTGCCTTCCAGGCTCTTCCCCGCCCCATCCCCACCCCCACACTGGCCAGGCCGGCCCCACAGGGCCCTACAGGGCTCACCTTCAGGTCAAAGTGTGCGATGCGCTTAGAGTGCAGGTAGTGAACGCCGTCCAGGATCTGCTTGAGGAACTGGGTGGCCTCGTCCTCCGTCAGCGACTCCTTCTCCGCCAGGAAGTCAAAGAGCTCCCCGCCAGAGACCAGCTCCAGGATGAGGACCACGTCCGTCTTGTTCTCGAAGATGTCGTGCAGGGTGATGATGTTGGGGTGCCGGATCTCCCGCAGGATGTTCACCTCCCGCTCGATCTCCTCCCGGCTCACCCCACGCCGGCTGGATGACAGGCGGCGCTTCTTGATGAACTTGGCTGCGTACTCCTTGCCCGTGCCCTTCTGCCGGCACTTCCGCACGATCGCAAACTGGCCGCTGGAGGAGGGGGAGGGAGTGAGTGGGGGTGGAGGAGGCGGAGGGAGTAAGTGGGGGTGGCTGGCTCCCCGTCACCTCCACTTGCTCCTCTTGGGCGCGGCCCTGCACCAGGCACTTGAAGGACATGAGCTGGCCACTGCGGGGGTGCAGACTCTGCGCCTTCTCAGAGAGCAATTCCTTAGCGCCCCACACCATCAGACGCGGCGTTCCCACCCCTCCCAGGGCTATGCCCAGCAGGTGTGTGGAGGGGAGTGCAGAGCCACACGTTAACACCATGGCACCGGCGTATTTTTGAAAAGTGAAAGAATGAACAGTTCAATGCATATCAAGAGGGAACTGAGGGGGCCAGGCGCGGTGGCTCACGCCTGTAATCCCAGCACTTTGGGAGTTCGAGGAGGGCAGATAACTTGAGCTGAGGAGTTCAAGAGCAGCCTGGCCAACATGGTGAAACCCTGTCTCTACCAAAAATACAAAAAATTAGCTGGGTGTGGTGGCGGGTGCCTGTAATCCCAGCTACTTGGGAGGCTGAGGCAGGAGAATCGCTTGAACCTGGGAGGCAGAGGTTGCAGTGAACTGAGATTGTGCCACTGTACTCCAGCCTGGGCAACGTAGCAAGATCCTGCCTCAAAAAAATAAAAAGTGCAAGGCAAGTGCCAGATCCGCTTTTTTTGTTTTTGTTTTGTTTTGTCTTGAGACAGGGTCTGGCCCTGTTGCTCAGGCTGGAATGCAGTGGTTCAGTCATGGCTCACTGCAGCCTTGACCTCCTGGGCTCGGGCAATCCTCCTGCCTCAGCCTCTCAAGCAGCTGGGACTACAGGCACATACCACCACACCCAATTAATTTTTTTTTCTTTTTGTAAGGATGAGGTCTCACTATGTTGCCCACGCTGGTCTCGAACTCCTGGGCTCAAGTGATCCCTCCCAAGTAGGTGGGACTACAGGAACACACTACCACACCTGATTTATTTATTTTTTGTAGAGACAGGGTCTTGCCGTATTGCCCAGGCTGCTTTGGAACTCCTGGCCTCAAGAGATCCTCCCACTCCCCCACCCCAAGTGTTGGCAGTACAGGTGGAGCCGCTACATCTGGCCAGTATCCGCATTTTAAAGAAACCAAGGCTGAGAAAAGGAAAGCAACTAGCCCAAGGTCATGCAGTCAGTCAGTGGCGGGAGGATTCAAACCTTCAAACCAGGTGCTGCAGGCTCCAGAGCCCAGGTGCTCTAACAGGAAGCAGACAGCTGCTGCTGGGTACCGGGTTCCTGCGTGCCTACCTCCCGGCTCCACGCTGTCTCCTGCTAACAGACCCAGCTGTCCCAGGGCAGCCTTTGCCGCTCACTCTCAGTCTGTGGGACTCAGTGGCCCAGGAAAGGGGTGGAAGGGGACACGACTGGACCTGGGCAAGCAGAAAACCACGCCTTCCAGCCCAAAGAGACCGGTCCAGTCCACAGGGCTCTGAACGCCTGCTGGGAAGAGAGGATCTCTCTCTCCCTCTGCTGGGCTTGGATCCAGGCTCGCGGCAGGGGCCACCACGTAGAAGGCTACCTAAGAAGCCTGCCTAAGAACAGACCAGGCCAGGAGAGGGGAGCCACCAGGCACTGCGGGTGGCACATAAGCCCCGTCATTCACTCTGCCAGGGCGCCTCCTCCATGCTGGAGTGGACTTCGGCCCCGGGGACACAGGGCACCATATGCACCAGCACCCAGTCACACCTGCGGCCGCTGCACACCTGGACAACCTGGTTCTGTAAACCACGCCTTTCCCTGTTTTGCTATTGCCAACCAGATTTCAGGTTCTGCCACTGAGTCCTCCTACAGCAACAGCAGACCACAGCCGCCCACCTCCAGACAGCCCCCGGTCTCACTGGCCACAGACTTGCTCCTTAGAGGCAAGGCCACTGGCAGGCTCTCAGTTCCTCTACGGAATGTGAAACGTGCCTCATCTCCCCAGCCGGGAAAGAAACTCCCCAAGAGCTGAGCCCACCCTCTTCGCTTCTCTGTAACTTCCCCAGCCCCCAGCGCAGGTGGGGGCACAGCAAGCCCTCCTCAGTGATGGTCTCAGGTGTCACTCCCAACCCACTTCCTAAGTGCCTGCCACAACCCAGACACGACCCAAGCGTGGCCTACACACCGACAATTTCTACTGATAGAGTTCATGATGTTTAAAAATGCGGGCTGGGAAGCCGGGCACAGTGGCTCACGCCTGTAATCCCAGCACTTTGGGAGGCAAAAGCGTGCAGATCACGATGTCAGGAGTTCAAGACTAGCCTGACCAACATAGTGAAAGCCACGTCTCTACTAAAAATACAAAAACATTAGCCGGGCGTGCTGGCAGGCATCTATAATCCCAGCTACTCGGGAGGCTGAGGCAAGGAGAATCGCTTGAACCTGGGAGACGGAGGTTGCAGTGAGCTGAGATTGCGGCATTGCACTCCAGCCCGGGCGACACTGCAAGACTCCGTCTCAAAAAAAAAGTGTGGGCTGGGGCCAGGCACAGTGGCTCACACCTGTAATCCCAGCACTTTGGGAGGCAGAGGCGGGCAGATCATTTGAGGTCAGGAGTTCAAGACCAGCCTGGCCAACATGGCAAAACCCCGTCTCTACTAAAAATACAAAAATTAGCTGAGCACGTTGGTGGGCGCCTGTAATTCCAGCTACTTGGAAGGCTGAAGCAGGAGAATCACTTGAACCCGGGAGGCGAAGATTGCAGTGAGCCAAGATGGCACCACTGCACTCCAGTCTCGGCAACAGAGCCAGACACCGTCTCAAACAAACAAACAAAAATTGCTACATTCTGGGCCTTCATCTTGCACTTCATGTATCTCTGAGAATGTTCCAGACCACTACCTGAAGCAGTGCCGTCAGAACAGCAGACACTGGCCACCCAGAGCTGTCAAACCCGTGAGGTGTGGCCAGTCCCGAGAAAAACTGCGACATGAAATACACACCAGACCTCCAAGGCTTCACGGCAAAAACAGAAGGCTAAATACTTTTTTTAAAATTATGAATTTCTGTTTGTTTGAGAGATGGGGGTCAACTTATGTTGCCCAGGCTAGTCTTGAAGTCCTGGGCTCAAGCGATCCTCCCGCCTTGGCCTCCCAAAGCGCTAGAATTACAGGCGGAAGCCGCCGCACCTGGCCCTGCCTGGTTCTTTTTACAAGCTGCATCCTATTCCAGCCCTGATGCAGTGGTTTGGGGAAGGCCATTTAAGAGGCTGCTGTTCCCAGCGGGGTGCGGTGGCTCACGCCTGTGATCCCAGCACTTTGGGAGGCCGAGGCAGGTGAATCACCTGAGGTCAGTAGTTCGAGACCAGCCTGGCCAACATGGTGAAATCCTGTCTCTACTAAAAATACAAAAATTAGCCAGGGGTGGTGGCGGGCTCCTGTAATCCCAGCTACTCGGGAGGCTAGGCTGGAGGCCGAGGCTGCAATGAGTCGAGATCGCATCACTGCACTCCAGCCTGGGCGACAGAATGAGATAGTGTCAAGGAAAAAAAAAAAAGGCTGTTATTCTGGTAAACGTTCTAGCAACTACCCCAGTCTTAAGTCATTCCATCCATGTATGTACAGTTTTCCAATGAATTAATTCCTAGAGGTGAAATCGGCGAGTTAAAAGAAATTTGGCTGAATTTTGCTGACTTTTGCCAAACGACCCCTAGCAGGAGGGGTCAACACTGAAGCATGAGAAGGGGGAGGAGGGAGCATGCTTTCTCTGCCACTAACGAGGAAATTCCTGAAGGAGGGACCTCAGGATCCCAAAAGAGCCTGCAGCACTCTCCCTAGCCTGACACAGAGCTCACTTATTTACATTCCCTTCTGGTGACATCATGGGGAGGCTCCAGGGAGGCTGGCCAGTAGCAAACTCACCAAATAAGGCTGGAGGCTCTACAAAAGGAGGCAGGGCCTAGTGGTGCCTGGCTAGTCTGGAGGGGGTGGGGCCCCAGGGGGACCCTCCAAGGCCCAGACAGGCAGGAAATCAGCTGCCTCCCTGGAAGAGGAAACCTCTGCTTTTTCCCACAAGCATGTTAAACAATTGACCGAGGTTTGGGCCCAGCTGGGAGACACGCCCCTCCCTCCCCCCACTTTAAACATCCAAGAGCTGGGCAAAAAAACTAAAGTGCCTCCCACAAAAGAGGATTAACACAGGGAGATTTTTTTTTTTTTAAATAAATGGGGTTTCACTCTGTTGCCCAGGCTACAGTGCAGTGGCACGATCATAGCTCACTGCAGCCTCCTCCAACTCCTGGGCTCAAGCCATCCTCCCGTCTCAGCTTCCCTAGTAGCTGGGACTACAGGCATGAGCTACCACACCTGGTTAATTTTTTTTCATTTTTATTTTTTGTAGGGATGGAGTCTTGCTATGTTGCCCAGGCAGAAGACACATCTTTTAATAACAAAAGCAGCTGGCATCTGTTGCTCTGGTGCCCCATGCCAGGCACGGTCTTGGCTGCTGTAACGGCTCAATTACTTTTCTCCCCACAGGAAACACACAGAGGATTCCCAAGCAGGAATTCACAGCCGGGGCTGTCTGACTCCACGGCCCAAATTCGTTCCCCCACCGCATGATACTGACTCATTCCTTCTCAGCATACAGGATAAAGAACAGGAAAGGAGAGCTGCTGTTCAGAAAACCCCACAGCGCCTCTCTCCTATCCCTGGAGCCCAGCCGTGCGGGCAGACAGCTCACCTGCCCAGCTCCTCCCCCATCTCATAATGGTCCTCCACGTCCTCCTGCCTGAACGTGGACATGGCGGCCGGTCCGCCTTCCAGCAGCTTCCACTCCAGGGAAAGTGCAGTCACCGCAGCCTGGAGATAGGACCTCAGGAGTCCCCTAATGGCAACCCTGGAGAAGACAGGGAAAGACAGAAGTGAGGAACTGAGACACCACCCTTTTCTCCTAGATTAATGGACAGACCTGTCCAGCAAACACAAGCCTCCCACCTCTCCACTCTGAAGCTCCAAACTCGACAAAAAGAGGTGCTGTGTTTACTGGGCTGGGTCCTGTCATGTCACCTCTTAGAGCCCCATAACCACTCAAAAGTTTGGTAACAGCCCCACTGGGCCACCTTCACCCCGCAAAACTCTCTCCAGACACATAATTCTGATTTCCCCGACGCTGCCTGCGTCTTTTTTTGCCTCTCACTCCTAGACTTCTCTCAACCTGCTCAGCCAAAATCCCCCACCATTCCTGCACGTTCTCCTCAACCTCAAATCCCAGGGCTACCTTACTCCCTGGCCAATGTCTTAACGAAGTTCTCAAGTCTACTTCTTTTGTTGTTGGTGTTGTTGTTTTTTGAGAAGGAGTCTCGCTCTGTCGCCCTGGCTGGAGTGCAGTGGTGCAATCATGGCTCACTGCAGCCTGGAACTCCAAGGCTCAAGCGATCGTCCCAGGCCTCCCAAAGTGCTGCCATTCCGATCAAAATTCCCAAGTTACTACCTTAACCCCTCCTGGTCCTTGCCCTCGGCAGGTCTCTTAAGACCCTCATCGATGGAACACCCCCGCCCACCCCCAACCATCTCTGACTCCCTCCAATTCTGAATTTTCCAAGAACCGGACGACGCCTTCCACGCTCCTGAAAGCCCACTTTGCCTCCCTCCCCCGCTGACCTCCACTGTCCTCGCAAGATTAACCTCTTCCTCCACGCTCCATGTATCAAAGTCCCCCAACCGCCGTCTCCCCTACCCCCCAAAACGGGCCGCCAAAAAGGGCCCCATCTGAGTCTCCTCCACCGTCCTCTGCCCCTTCTCGCCCGCAATCTCCGCACAAGCCCCTAGGCAGACCCCAGTGGCTCCCTTTGCAGAACCTCCCCCCGCCCCCAAGGCCTTGCCCATCCCTAAGGCTCCGCTCCAGCATCCCTGGGGCCGCTACGCCCCTCGCACGCCCGGCCGAGCCCTTTCCCCGGCCCGGTCACCCAGATGGGTCCCCAAACCTACCAGCTCCTCAGATTCTCTCCCTCCCTCGTCCTCCGCGGGCCCCCGAAGCGCCGCTCTGGCCCCACCCAGCCCTCCAGCCTCGGCCCGAGCCCGCTCTTTACCCTCCGCAGCCCGGAGAATACGGCCGGCGCCGCCGCGCTGGCCACCGCCGCCGCCTCCAGAAGCCCCGCGCCCCTGCCGCCGCGACGCGCCTGCGCCGACGTCACCGCACCCGCCAGTGCCCACCCCCGGGAAACGAACCCCGCCGCCTATTGGCCGGTGCGCCCGCCGCTCGTGCCGCACCTCGACGTCCCGCCCCCAGCTGCCTTTTCGGCACCCACACCCGGATGCAGCCTCACCACTGGCTGAACACTCGCCATCCCTGATTTCATTGGCTGCAGTCGACGCTGGTCAAGCGGACGGAAAAAAGGCCGACTTCCGGTCCCTTCATCGCCCCGCCCGCCTCTCCTCTGACCCAGGTGCTGAAGCTGCGAGAAGTGAGGCTGAAGCCCTGCATCCCGCTTCCTGCCTTCCTGGAGCACCGGTTGGGCGAATGGATGGCTCACCTGTGGCCGAGCGCGCCTGGCAGCTCCTGGAGTGGACCCTGGGACTGCTTTAGTCCCTATGTGGCAGTTTCCTCCACTGAAAACTGTTACCCACATTCTAAATACTTAAAATGCAAATGAGGTCAATCTGGGGTTGTCATACACAGGGTCCCTCTTCGTCTCAAAATAGAGGGTAACAGCAAGCATTTTATTGAGACATAGTATGTGCCAACTGACAACACTGGGAGGTATCAGGTTTGTTTTTTTTTTAATTTTATTTTTTGAGACAGGGTCTCACTCTGTCACCCAGGCAGGAGTGCAGCGGCGGTATCCAGCTCACTGCAACCTCCACCTCCCGGGTTCAAACGATTCTCGTGCCTCAGCCTCCCAAGTAGCTGGGATTACAGGTGCCCATCACCACGCCCGGCTAATTTTTGTATTTTTAGTAGAGACGGGGTTTCACCATGTTGCCCAGGCTGGTCTCGAACTCCTAAGCTCAGGTGATCCGGCACCTCAGCTTTCCAAAGTGCTGAGATTACAGGCGTGAGCCATTGCGCCCGGCCTAAATTCATTTTTTATTATTATTTTGAGACGGAGTCTCGCTCTGTCACCCAGGCTGGAGTACACTGGCACAATCTCGGCTCACTGCAAGCTCCACCTCCCAGGTTCACGCCATTCTCCTGCCTCAGCCTCCCGAATAGCTGGGACTACAGGCGCCCGTCACCACGCCCAGCTAATTTTTTGTATTTATTAGTAGAGACAGGGTTTCACCGTGTTAGCCAGGATGGTCTCGATCTCCTGACCTCCTGATCCGCCCGCCTCGGCCTCCCAAAGTGCAGGAATTACAGGCATGAGCCACCTTGCCCAGCCTTTTTTTTTTTTTTTTTTTTTTTTTGAGACAGTCTCCTTCTATCGTCCAGGCTGGAACGCAGTGGTGAGATCTGGGCTCACTGCAATCTCTGCCTCCTGGGTTCAAGCGATTCTCCTGCCTCAGCCTCCCGAGTAGCTGGGACTACAGGTGCACGCCACCACTCCCAGCTGATTTTTGTATTTTTAGTAGACGCAGGGTTTCACCATGTTGGCCAGGATGGTCTCAATATCTGTGATCCGCCGGCCTCGGCCTCTCAAAGTGCTGCGATTACAGACGTGAGCCACAAGCCGGCCTTTATATTTTTTATTTACATTTTCAACGTACAATGGGTTGGCCAGGTGTGGTGGCTCACGCCCGTAATCCCAACAGCTTGGGCAGCCAAGGCGGGCAGGTCACTTGAAGTAGGAGTTCAAGACCAGCCTGCTCAACATGGTGAAACCCTGTCTCTACTAAAAATACAAAAGTTAGCCAGGCCTGGTGGCACATGCCTGTAATCCCAGCTACTCGGGAGGCTAGCGCAGGAGAATTGCTTGAACCCAGGAGGTGGAGGTTGCAGCGAGCCGAGATCATGCCACTATACTACAGCCTGGGTGACGGAGGGAGACTCCATCTCAAAGAAAAAAAAGTGGCAGGGCATGGTGGCTAACGCCTGTAATTCCAGCATTTTGGGAGGCCACGGTGGGCAGATCACGAAGTCAGGACATCAAGACCATCCTGGCTAACACGGTGAAACCCTGTCTCTACTAATAAATACAAAAAATTAGCCGGGCATGGTGGCGGGTGCCTGTAGTCCCGGCTACTCGGGAGGCTGAGGCAGGAGAATGGCGTGAACCCGGGAGGCGGAGCTTGCAGTGAGCCAAGATTGAGCCACTGCACTCCAGCCTGGGTGACAGAGCAAAGACTGTCTCAAAAAAAAAAAAAAATTCAGCTTCCACATACCATCTTAACGTTTGCACTACTAAAAAAGAATAGGACCCGGTATGGTGGCTCACACCTGTAACCCCAGCACTTTGGGAGGCTGAGGCGGGCTGATCTCTTACGGTCGAGCTTGAGACCAGCCTGGCCAACATGGTGAAACCCCATCTCACCTAAATATACAAAAATTACACAGACCTGGTGATAGGCGCCTGTAATTCCAGCTACTCGGGAGGCTGAAGCACAAGAATTGCTTGAGCACTTGAATCCGGAGGCAGAGGCTATAGTGAGCCAAGATCACAACACTGCACTCCATCCTGGGCGATAGAGTGAGATTCTCGAAACACAGTAATCCGTTACCCTGACTGCTGGAAACAGCGTCAGTTACAGCCCCAATTCAAATGCGACAGCCAAACCAAACCTCAGGCATACCTACATGTGGGCAAAACCTCAGCTGAGGCTTGGCCTTGACAATGCAGGGCCAGAGCTGCCCCCGCCTTTGCCGAGAACCCCACAGCCCTACTTCACAGTCCCCACCTGCCTTCCTGAGGACAGAGTAAAAGGCGGAAAATGATCATGTTAACCTTATCAGCACTGACAAGATTAGGCCTCCTCACATCTTAGGCACTATTTAGAAAAACAAATAGTTTTCTAAGCTATTGGCGCTCACACCTGAAATCCCAGCACTTTGGGAGGCTGAGGCAGAAGGATCGCTTGAGCCCGGGAAGGAGACCAGCCTGAGCAACATAGTGAGACCCCATTACTACAAAAAAAGTAAAAATTAGGTCAGCACAGTGGCTCACGCCTATAATTCCCAGCACTTTGGGAGGCCGAGGCGGGTGGATCACGAGGTCAGGAGATCGAGACTATCCTGGCTAACACGGTGAAACCCTGTCTCTACTAATAAATACAAAAAATTAGCCGGGCATGGTGGCGGGCGCCTGTAGTCCCGGCTACTCGGGAGGCTGAGGCAGGAGAATGGCGTGAACCCGGGAGGCGGAGCTTGCAGTGAGCCAAGATTGAGCCACTGCACTCCAGCCTGGGTGACAGAGCAAAGACTGTCTCAAAAAAAAAAAAAAATTCAGCTTCCACATACCATCTTAACGTTTGCACTACTAAAAAAGAATAGGACCCGGTATGGTGGCTCACACCTGTAACCCCAGCACTTTGGGAGGCTGAGGCGGGCTGATCTCTTACGGTCGAGCTTGAGACCAGCCTGGCCAACATGGTGAAACCCCATCTCACCTAAATATACAAAAATTACACAGACCTGGTGATAGGCGCCTGTAATTCCAGCTACTCGGGAGGCTGAAGCACAAGAATTGCTTGAGCACTTGAATCCGGAGGCAGAGGCTATAGTGAGCCAAGATCACAACACTGCACTCCATCCTGGGCGATAGAGTGAGATTCTCGAAACACAGTAATCCGTTACCCTGACTGCTGGAAACAGCGTCAGTTACAGCCCCAATTCAAATGCGACAGCCAAACCAAACCTCAGGCATACCTACATGTGGGCAAAACCTCAGCTGAGGCTTGGCCTTGACAATGCAGGGCCAGAGCTGCCCCCGCCTTTGCCGAGAACCCCACAGCCCTACTTCACAGTCCCCACCTGCCTTCCTGAGGACAGAGTAAAAGGCGGAAAATGATCATGTTAACCTTATCAGCACTGACAAGATTAGGCCTCCTCACATCTTAGGCACTATTTAGAAAAACAAATAGTTTTCTAAGCTATTGGCGCTCACACCTGAAATCCCAGCACTTTGGGAGGCTGAGGCAGAAGGATCGCTTGAGCCCGGGAAGGAGACCAGCCTGAGCAACATAGTGAGACCCCATTACTACAAAAAAAGTAAAAATTAGGTCAGCACAGTGGCTCACGCCTATAATTCCCAGCACTTTGGGAGGCCGAGGCGGGCAGATCACTTGAGGTCAGGAGTTCGAGACCAACCAGGCCAAGCAAAATTCTGTCTCAAAATAAATAAAAATTAGCTGGGCATGGTGGCACATGCCTGGAGTCCCAGCTACCTGGCAGGCTGAGGCAGGAGAGTCCAGGAGGTGGAGGATGCAGTGAGCTGACTGCACCACTATACTCATCTGGGAGACAGCAAGACTCTGCCTCTAAAAAAGTGTTTACAAGGCCGGGCACAGTGGTACAATCCCAACGCTTTGGGAGGCCAAGGCGGGTGGATCACAAGGTCGAGTGATCAAGATCATCCAGGCCAACATGGTGAAACCTCATCTCTACTAAAAATATAAAAATTGGCTGGGCGTGGTAGCACACGCATGTAATCCCAGCTACCCAGGAGCCCGAGGCAGAATTGCTTGAACCCGGGAGGTGGAGGTTGCAGTGAGCAGAGATGGTGCCATTCCACTCCAGCCTAGCAAACGGTGAGACTCCATCTCAAAAAAAAAAAAAAAAAAAATGGGTTTCTAATAAACTAGTCAGGACTGGGGTGACCACAGAAAATCCTGATGGCAGATAGAACTTGTGAGCTCGTCAGCAATTCGGAAAGTTGCTGAAACCTGCGAAGTTCAATCCAGAGCCCCTCGCTCCACAGGGCCATCCAAATGCGTTCAAAGTGACATCTCGTAATTCCTTGCCGCACTGATCCTACTTCAAATGCTCAGCAGACCCGCGCAGCTGGCAGCTGCTTCTCTGAATGACACAGGGGTAGGGCATTCCCACCATTCCAGAACGTTCCACCTAACACTGAGGCAGCCCCAGGCTGCACCTAACTAGGGCCCGGGTCCCCTTCTAGGCTCCAGGGAGCCCAGTACTGGGCAGCCCCGCTCCCCTGCGAAGACACCGTGAAAAATGCAGAACAGAGTCACCACCTTATCAAATTTATTATTCCAATGGCACTAGTACAGCTGGAGGTGCTCATGGTGACACCGCACAGGACTTCCTGCCTGCTAGAAATCATCTACCCGCGTGTTCCTTTCCCCTTTCTGGGGCAAAAGCCACTGCGGGCCATGTACCCAAATAAACCTCTTAATGCGTTTGTTAAAATTAGTTTGGACATCTGAGTTTCCCTCTGAAGAAATGGAAAAAGTGTTGGGTGTCCCATCCCGCCTCCCCCTCCCCGACCGGCCCATTAAGTCCCTACTAAGAGGGCGTGTCTGCTGCCTCCGGACTCTGGAAATAAATATTGAAAGAAACGGCATCAAGTGTTATGGTTGAGTGATGGCACGCAGCGGGCCCCAGAAACCTCTCAGGGGAGCGTCGCTGTGTCGGGACAGTCTCCAGGTGTCGTCTGAGAATTCGAGGACGTGGTGCTGTGGGTGCTGCGAGTCCCCGGGGCGGCAGGCGCTGCAGGAAGGGCCGCCTACAATTTGTCCAGGAAGTTGTCCAGGGCAGGGATGCCTTCTTTCAGGCCCTTGCGCTTGCGGGTCTCCGCCACCACCTGGCTGGGGCGGCTGCTGTTGTCGAAGGGGTCTCCGGGCAGGATCTGCCAGTGGTCAAACACACACTGGGGGAACGCCTGGCCGCCCGTGTTGGACCTCAGGTCAGCGGTGAAGCCTGCAGAGGGAAGCGAGAGGCTCACTGGGCCATCGAGAAGGTGGCAGGGCAGAAGGAAAGTCCTGTCAGGAGCTCAGGCTAGTTCCTCAGCCTGAGTCACCCTGCAGACCAGACACTCGGCCTGGTGCCCAGCACTTCACGAAGGGCCTAGCAGGCCACTCATGGGCCTCATGCCGCTGCTCGTTTGGGACAACCCTGTGCTACAGCTCGGCTGCTCTACCGGCCCAGGGCGTAGGCCTTCAGAGCTCCAGGCCCAGAGCCCTTCTCACACTGGGGATAGGAGAGCCCCTCCCCTGGGAATTCAGTGATTTAGGGGGTCCACAAGCTGTCAGAAACTGGACCACCTGCTCCATCCATCACCTGCTCCCATCAGGACGCCTCCTTTAACACCTTGCTAAGCTTAACTGGGCTTCTGTCCCCCAAACCAGCCTGCCAGGCTCTGCAGGCCACACCGGGCAGGCACTCACCAAAGGACTCGTTGACGGGCAGATAGGCCTTGACCACAAACATGGGGGTGCCGGCCACCTGGGACTCCTCGAACACGTGGCCCCGCTTCCTGTTCAAAACCCCGTAGATGCCACCGACCACCTGCTCTGGACACTGCCAGAAGGGAAAGAAAACCTGTCAGTGGCCGCTGGGCAGGACGGTGGCAGGGTCAGCGGTGGGCGGGTAGACCTCACCTGGATCTCCACAAGGTAGATGGGCTCCATGAGGCGTGGCTGGGCGGTCAGCACACTGGCATAGAGGCAGCGCCGTGCTGTGGGGATGATCTGGCCCCCTCCGCGGTGGATGGCGTCGGCGTGCAGGGTGACGTCGTGGACGTCGAAGCGCACACCCCGCATGTTCTCCTCACACAGTGCGCCCTGGGGGAGGGGGAGAGCCACCGTCAAGGGCCGGACACACCTCGGCTGCTTGCCCTCCACCTGCCAAGTCCTGCAGGTCTCCACCAGGGGGACCTGGGGCCTTGCCCGCCTTGGCCCCATTAGGGTCTCTGTCTCGGGAGGCAGGACCATGAGGTCCCTCTAGAGCCTGGAAACGGGTGTGGTCTGCACATGCTGAGCCGTGCCTCACCTCCTTGGTGGCCCACTGGAAGCCGGCCACCACACTGTCCTTGATCTCGTTGAGGTACTGCACACCCTTGGTGATGTCGGTGAGGATGTTGGGGCCGGTGCCGTCGGGCCCAAAGCACCAGATCTTGCGGGCCTCAGCCACGTCCCACTCGTACTTCTCGGCCAGGTAGCGCGCCCGCTGCTTGAGCTCCTGACGGGCGGACACCTCGCCTTTATCGATGTCCTCGGCCAGGCCGTCGGGGAAGGGCCGCGCCTTCATGTACAGCCGGTTGTGCTTGTTGGGGGACTTGGAGAGGCAGAGCACGTTCGACTCTTCACTGACCGTCTCGCGGTACGAGACGACCGGGTCAGATTTCTGCAAAAAGAGGTTAAGTCCCACTCTTGCCTGGAGAAAGAGGTGACCTTACACACAGACGCATCCTTAAAAGCTTTTCCTAGCAAGGCGGACCTCATACAGCCTGGTAGAGCCACGTCAATCAGAACGAAGCGGAGTCAGTGTTGCAGTGCCAAGCGCATCTCACTCCAGACAAGGACAAGGAGCAGGGGCTCCACTGAGCTCTCCGGCGCAGAAACCACGGGCTTGTGGAATTTTAAGCATTAACAGGGAAGAAACGAGGTCTGGAGCAGGCCTGTCCCAACCCCTCCAGAGCATTTGTGTTGTTTGTGGACAGAAGACAGCAGGATGTAACTCAAAAACTGCCCCGGAGGCCGGGCGTGGTGGCTCACGCCTGTAATCCCAGCACTTTGGGAGGCCGAGGCGGGTGGATCACGAGGTCAGGAGATCCAGACCATCCTGGCTAACACGGTGAAACCCCGTCTCTACTAAAAATGCAAAAAATTAGCCGGGCATGATGGCAGGCGCCTGAAGTCCCAGCTACAGGAGGCTGAGGCAGGAGAATGGCGTGAACCTGGGAAGCAGAGCTTGCAGTGAGCCAAGATCACGCCATTGCACTCCAGCCTAAGCAACAGAGCAAGACTCTTGTCTCAAAAAAAAAAAAAAAAAAAAAAAAAAAATAGCCCTGGGCCAGGCATGGTGGCTCACACCTGTAATCCCAGCACTTTGGGAGGCCGAGGCAGGGGGATCACGAGGTCAGGAGATCGAGACCATCTTGACTTACTAACACAGTGAAACCCCGCCTCTACTAAAAATACAAAAAAAAATTAGCCGGGCGTGGTAGCACGCGCCTGTAGTCCCAGTTACTCAGGAAGCTGAGTGAGGCAAGAGAATCGCTTGAACCCGGGAGGTGGAGGTTCTAGCGAGCCAAGATCACGCCACTGCACTCCAGCCTGGATGACACAGCGAGACTATCTCAAAAAAAACAACAACAACAACAAAAACAGCCCCACATGCCTGTGGAAGACTGCAAAGAAGAAACTTGAGGAACTTAAGAAGCTGAGACCAAGACCGAGATCAAGTCTAGGCGTCTGCAGAGCCTAGCTCAGCTCAGCTTTAAAGCAGAGGGCAGGTGTCCGGGGTGGGGCGTGGGGAAGGCTGGTCACTGGCGCCTCACCTTGATGGGGATGCAGGCGTGGTCCTCCTCCAGGTCCTTCAGGCAGATCTCCAGGTGCAGCTCGCCGGCGCCCGCGATGATATGCTCTCCCGACTCCTCGATGATGCACTGAAAGGGATGCGGGTCAGCACCAAAGGGGTAGGCGGCTCGGAACAGGCGGGACCAGGCTCCCAGCTTCCCTTTAGCTAGGGACCCCGCCAGAACAAGATTTCAGGGAAGGTGCTGGGAAACTGGGACCAGCACAAACTCCTGAAGAAATGTTAAGTCCCACAAGCTACAGTGAACACGCGCAGAGCAGCCTAGGAGAGGGTGGTGGCTGCCTGGGCAGGAGTCTCCATTTACAGCCACAGCCAAGAACCCCTCCTTTCATGACCAGTCACCCCAATCCACCAACCACAGCAACCCACACAGCCACAACTCAGGACACAAGCCGTCCCCCCTCAGGGTGTCTGCTCCCAGCAGGTGCACTCCGTGCCCACCTGCACCATGGGGTCGGACTTGGCCAGCCGCTTCAGCCCCTCCACCAGCTTGGGCAGGTCAGCCGGGTTCTTGGCCTCCACGGCCACTCTGACAACAGGGCTGACGCTGAACTTCATCACCCGCATGTTGTGCGCGTGCTCGAAGGTGGTGATGGTGCCCGTCTTCACCAGGAACTGGTCCACGCCCACGAGGCCCACAATGTTCCCACAAGGCACATCCTCGATGGGCTCCACGTAGCGGCCCATCATCAAGATTGTTCTGGAAGAAGCAGAAGGCGGCAGCAGGCCGCAGGGATGGTTGTGCTGGACCCTGGAGGGCCAGGGCAGGTCCCTCCCGGAGTTGGTGGCCCTCCTGCCAGGTCCCAGGGCAGACTGGTGGCTTCCACAAGGCCCTGACTGCTGCGTCGGGGCTGTCAGGAAACATCCTCTTCAGAATCACTGCCCTCCTCCCTGGGTATGGGTCGACGGCCGCCACCCACCTGTGCCCAGGGACACAGATGAGCAGGGGTGTGCTGTGCCCTGGGGCTTGGAGCTTCTCCAGAAATGCCCTCACTGGGCTAAGAACAAAAGTTGTGGCTGGCACAAGTATCACCCTATATTCCTTCTATGCTCCTTACTTCTAGCTCCCGACTGAGGAGCCCAAGACTTGGAGCAGGGCAGGGCCCGCAACAGTGCCAAGGGGCCTGCACATCACCCAGCTGCTCACCTCTGGATTGGCTTCAGGTAGAGGTCCTCCTTCTTCCCAGGGGTATAGTTGGGCCCCATGATCCTGACCTTCAGGCCAGTGGAGACCAGCCCCGAGAAGACTCGTCCAAAGGCGTAGAACCGACCTTTGTCGGAGGTTGGCACCATTTTGGAAATATACATCATAAGAGGGCCTTTGGGGTCACAGCTTTTAATGCCTGAGGGACAGAGAAAACCCGCAAGCTTTATTCCAGTGCAGCTCAGCCTTCTGGAACCCTGCAACCCACAACCTTGGGCAACAGGAAGTCATCCGGCTGCATCTCAGGGCCCGGCCACCGGGACCACGTACCCATGGCAGCCTCGTCGTCCGGGGGCCCCTCGTACAGGAGCTCGCAGCGGTACTTCTGGGCCGTCACAGGGGAGGGCAGGTGGATGGTGATCATCTGCAACAAGGCGTCTCCGGCAGGCAGCCAGCGGCGCATCACAGCCTGCGGGGGCAGAGAGCGGTGCATGAGACACCTGGGGAGCCCAGGATGGCCCCACCCCGTACACGCTTCCTCTCTTGAAGCCAAGGAAGCCAAAGTCAGGACTAACGTTCTCCAAAGCACAGTCCCTTCTGGAAGGCGGCAAAGGCCATGCACACTCCTGCCAAGGCCCTCACCCACACCTGTCCCGGATGGGGCTGGCTGCTGGGATGTGTCTCCAGCAGCACCCAGAGTCTAAAGCGAAAGGGGCAGCAGCTGTCCCTGCCCAGCTGAGGACTTCAGCCCCCAGGCCTGGGCTGTCAGAGCATCCGGAAACAGCAGCCTGTGTTCCCTCCACCCCGAGGGCTGGGCCCAGGCCGCACCTTCAGCAGGGGTTTGCCTTCTTTGTCCTTGTCCTCGCTGTCCAGTTTGATGTCCAGTTTCTCTATCAGTTTTGCTGTCTCCTCTTTCTTGAAATTCATGATCGCATCAAACACCTACATTCCCCACCAAGAAACAAGAAAGCCCATTTGGGAACAGCAGGAGGAAGCCTGGCACTGCTTCCTGCTTGGAAGACTCAGGTCAGCGCAGGGGGACGCAGCACGGGAGCAGGAGCAGGCCTGGCCTGCCTACCACGGGCCCAGCCAGCTGAGCGGATCGGGAGCTGGAGGAAACCTCGTGGTGGAGCAGAGGAAAAAGCCCACTCTGACTCAGACAAGGACCCAAGTTCTGACTTACAAGCACTGAACCGCCAAAGCCACAAGTTATTCAACCCCCTCAATGCAGGAGAGGTCCCAAGGCTCTGGCTATGCAGTCCAGATCTTAAGAGAGGAGCCCTGACTCCACCTCAGTTAGGAGCTGTGCCTCCTCCCATCTCGCATCTGCCCCACAAGGAGACGGGCCCAGTCAGCCGACAGGCTACCGGCCGGAGCCCACAGGGCCGAGGGCCAATAGTCGCATCGGCGGGGTGCCTGGCGCAGCCCTCACTCACCTTGAAGATGGGGTCCAGGATCAGCTGGCAGAAGGTGCGTGGCAGCTTCTTCCCTTCGGGGCTGGTGGCTGACTTGCTGAACTTGCCGTTGGCTGGGTCAAAGTACCTGGCAAGGAGAGGCCAAGCCAAATCAAGTTAGGGTCTCCAGGGGATGACTTGGGGAGGGTGGTCGCCAAGGGGACATGCTTGGGCAAGACCTGGTGGGCTTGAGCCACGCTGTGAATAGCACACCACGCCCCTACGTCGCTGCCACTACCCCCAGGTGTCAGGAATCCCCCACCATATCCCGCGGGGCTCACCTGTCACCCCACAGCTTCTTCATCATGTCCTCTACTTTCTTGGCCCGCTCGGCAGGCCCCAACTGGCCCTCCCCCTTGGCGGCGAACTTGGCCACATACATCTCGGCAAACTGCTTCAGGGTGAAGGCCCACCCGTGGAGGCCAGACCCAAAGCCCACGGTACCGAGGACAGGATCGATCTGGAAGTGTGAGAAACGAGAAGCAGCCGTGAGGGCCCCTGCGCAGAGCCTGAAGCTACGGGCTGGGCGCCTTGGGCATGGGCCTCAGACGCAGGCTTTCTTCAGTAGACATCTGGTCAAAGTGAAGAAATGATCAGTCATCACGAATAGGGGGGCCAGCCCCTCCACCACCCAGGGCAGCGTTCCCTGAGCTCGTCTCTTCCAGCTGCCCAAAGATCAAGGGCTGGGTCAAGTCGGATGAAAACATTCCAGCCCCCTTCTCTGTCACCCAACATTCCTGGCAAAAACACACTTCCAGTCCCCCTCAGCTCAACTCCACTCCCCACCGGCTCCTGCAGATCCCGCTGCGGCAAGCCCACCACCCAGCTAGGGAGGGCCGTACCATGATGTTGCCCATGGGGCCGCTCTCGCCCTCGCCGTAGGTGGAGATGATGACGTTCACGTTCTCCACGATGCGCTGGAAAGTCTGGTAGAGCTCCTCGGGCTCCAGCTGCAGCTCCAGCAGGGCGCGGTCCATCTTGTTCATCATCAGCACAGGCTTGATGCGCTCGGCAATGGCCTGCCGCAGCACTGTCTCCGTCTGCACGCACACGCCTGGGGACACGGGGGACAGGGCGGCGCTGTCATCCTCAAGCAAGGATGGCCCCCGGTTCCAGGCCGTGCCTCAGGGGGACCCACTGCTTACCTGACACGCAGTCCACCACCACCAATGCGCCATCGGTGACTCGGAGGGCAGCAGTCACCTCCGAGGAGAAGTCGACATGCCCGGGGGAGTCAATGAGGTTGATGAGGAAGCCGGCACCGTCCTTGCTCTGCTTGATGAAGTTCAAGTCATTCTCCGAGAGCTCGTAGAAGAGGGAGATGGCACTGATGGAGGGAGGGACTCGTCAGGGGGACAGGAGCCACACACCTGGCCCAGGGAGTCTGGGATGCTGTCAGAAGCCAGGCTGCTCCTCCCTCCATGACTCATCCCTGGAGAGGCTCCCACAAGAGCCAACCCACCCTTGTCCTTTGCCTCTGTCCGAGACATGCCACCCCCATGACAGGGAACTCCTGGTACCAGCCCCATAGCCAGATCCTCAGAGCCCTCCTGACCAGACATCCTGCCCCACCGACTTGGTCCCAAGATTCATCACACCTGACTCAAAGTAGCAACTAAAAGACCCAGCAGGACGGCAAAAGCCTCCAGAGACTCCGACCCTCCCCTCCTCACTTCTGCCCCTGCTCCAGGGGAAATGAAGAGCCTTAGCCAGAGTCCCTCACCAATGTACCAACCCAGGACAAAAAGCAGTTGGGGTCACCGTACTCTGCGCTCCCCCTACTCATATCGGGGCCAGAAACTGACATGGAATGAACATCATCCAGTGCAACACAGGAGCTTCCCAGCGTCCCAAGCACTAGAACACCCTCCCCTCCCAGGTGTGACAGCCAAACCTCTCCAGATATTGTAGGAGTGGGGGCAAGTCCCCCAGGGAGGGAGAACCACGGAGTTAAGCCCCCTCCTCAAGAAAACCTTCCAGCTCGCAGTACCCCGAATCCCTGTGCCTCTCCATCCTGTCTCGCTGGACTGAACCTCACTCATTCTCCCATGAATTAAGAAACCAGGGGAAAGAGACGTTGCCAAGTCTCTCCCCGCGCACCCTGGCCCAGTGGCCTCCAGCTGCCAGGCCAGCACCTCCCTGCCTGGGTACAGAGGGCACAGGGAGCTCACGTTGACTTGATGGTGATGCAACGCTCCTGCTCGTCCTTCCGGGTATCAGTGAAGCGTGTCTCCCCGGCCCGGGCCGAGGCGATGATGCCCGCCTTGCACACCAGGGAGTCTGTCAGCGTGGACTTGCCATGGTCCACGTGGGCGATGACAGACATGTTGCGGATGTTGGCCTTCTTGTCCATGATGGCGCGGATCTGGTCTACCGTGAAGTTCACCTGGGCAAGACAAGGAGGCTCAGACCAGCTCGTGATTTCCAGGAACACAGCATGGCACGGAGCGTTCAGTCCAAACGAACCAGCATGCCCAAGGCCAGGAGGGGGTTGGTGCTGGGGTGCCCCAAGCCCACCGAATCTTGCCAGCCTAACACCCCTTAAGAGCCACCCCGCAATCTCCAAGGAACCACCGTTAATAGGTGTCATTCATGATTGACAACCCAGAAATAAAAGTGCTCAGGAATAAAACTGAGTGTCAACAGATTTCCTTGATACCAGGTACAAATACTAAAGTCTCATTTGGGGCCAAACACGTAAGGGATGAATCCTCTCCTAAAGCCCCCTCCACGTTGTCACCGGGCCACCCAAACTTCCCCGAGCAAGAAGCTTCATCATAAAATGCAAGGTCACCCCTTGGCAAACGGGATCAGACAAGGCCACCCACCCCAGGAAATAACGGGGAGCCGGAACGGCCCTAACTGCCACAAGCCTACACCTCGTGTCTCAATAAGAGTCTTTGTACATCTGGGAGTCATAGGAAGGACAAGTGCCTAAGGTCGACGATTAACAGCATCAGGAGAAGGTATTTGGAAGGAAAAGGGGAGCCTTTCAGGTGTCGCTTTGCTCGTTCTGCCATTCCCTGCCGCCCCTAGTCCCCCGGCAGAAAATCGATCTCAAACTCGCGGCCCGCGGGTTACATAAGGCGCCTCCCTGTCTCCCCGCTTCCACCGCGGTGCCCGCCATTACTACGCCTGCCACATCATCATTCCCCACCCCCATCCCCGCTAACAACCCAGCTCCAACCAGGTCTGGGCAAGGTTATGGCGCCCTCGGAAACGGAGAAAGGGCTCGGTGAACAGCGCGGCGCACAGACATGGCGGCGGCCGCTTCCCCAGCCCCGGGTCCTCCGGCCCCGCCGCCGCTACGTCTCCTCCTGGCACGGGGGGCCCCAGCGTCCCAGGCTAGGCAGCGTAGGCCCCGCGGAGGCCCCGCCGCCGCTCCGGGGCACCAGCGAGGCAGGGTTACTCACCATGGTGGCGGATGGCGGTGGATTCTCCCAGGTAGAACCGAAAGAAGCGAGTCGCGCCGAGGATGGCGGCGACGACGGCGGAAGAGAACGCTGACGTCAACACTCAGCTTTTTATAGGCGGACGCCGGTTGGGCGGGTCATGTGACTGCGCTGCGAAGGCGGGGCGAAGGGACGCCGCGCAAGCGCACGGAGGCGTGTCCCCCCGCCCGTTAACCCATTCGGCGCCGGCGCGGCGCTCTAGAATAGAAGCTGGGCATCTCGGGGGCGGTGGTCGCCCTCGGTGTGCAGTGTTCAGGTGCACAAAGTAAAGAGCGCCGTTTTAGCTGAGAACGAGAACCATAGCAACGATATTAGCTTACAAGTTGTCCAGTACTTCTATTAAAACCAATTTACAAGGTGAATAGAGTCTGTGGATTATACCCAAGTCAATTTCCCTGTTTGGACATTGTTACGTAAGACGATACCCCTGGGAGAAGCCGAGGGAAAAAGGACACTCGCGACCACTATACTGTTTTTGCAACTCCTTACCTGTAATTATTTCTAAATAAAAACTTTATAAGAAGCAGGCATCGGAATCACTGATCCCACAAATGCATACTGAGCATCTATACACCAGGCATTGTTAGGGGTTTTGTAGATATAGCAGTGGACCAAACACCTTGCTAGCTTGACCACACTGCGTGTTCTTCTACCAGCTACTAGGATTTCTCTGTGCCTCAATTTCACCTGCTCGGAGGTGATCAATACCACCCTATTGTTTGGGGGAGAGTGAAACGAACTAAAGACATCTAAAAGAATTAGGACCGTGCCTGATACCCAACGCTCAATAAACGCTATCTATTTTAATTAGCTAAGATTGCTATTAATAAAACAGTTATTTATTTCAGGACTGGTTTGCCATGTCCCAGGCACCCGGCTAAGCGGTTTACTGGCACAATTTCATTTTCTATTTCATTTCCTCTCCAGGGGGAGGCGCAGGAAGACTGTTTAGCATTTGTGTCCTAATCTGACCCTAAGAAACAGTTGAATGTATTTCATATCTCATGAATTGGCATTCAATTGTGTAACTCTATCCCTTATGAAAAGCCCAACCCGCTGTTTAGCACATAGTAGGTACTCAGCATTTCTTGCATGAATGATGTTCTCACAGTGCAAATGAACCCCCTGCGGTACATCTTTCCTTAAACTCACTTTGTGAAACAGGAGAGCCACTGCAGTGCTTTTCCTGGGCTGGGAGAGGGGGAGGTGTGGATCCACAAAAAGCAATGCAAATTCCAGCCTGGACTCTAAAATAAACCTGTACACTCCTCCCCCTCACGAATGCTTCGGGCACTTTGCTTTACAAAGCGCTGTCTCAACCTTGGGTTTCATTTAACGGATGATTGCTCTTCCTATCACCATTTAACCCAGTGGAAAACTGAAAAGTATCTTCCGAAAGGATTGAGGCTCTGAAAGGCAGAGGGCGCGGCAGGGAGCAGATGGGAGCGCCCGGGGTCCCTAACCACCTACACCTGTACCTGTGACGCGTTTAGTTAAGTTGCAAGTCAAGCGCATGCGCCATTTGGGGCATGAGTTTTTAGCAGAGGGGTAGTCAGTTTCGCATTATTAATAATAAAATTCTTCAAAATTTTTAAATGCACTGAGCACCTGCTACGTGTTGCGTTTCCTATTGGGGGCTTCGCAGCCGTTTTTTCCGTGCAAAGTGGGAGCATTTCAGAGATGTAATGGAAAGGTTTTCATTAAAAGAGGTGTCAGGCGAGAGGCGGAGGTTGCAGTTAGCCGAGATCGCGCCACTGCTCTCCAGCCTGGCGACAGAGCGAGATTCCGTCTCAAAAAAATTTTTAAAAATTTTAAAAATTAAAGAGGGGTTAGGCTGCTTGCGGTGGATCACGCCTGTAATCCCAGCACTTTGGGAGGCCGAGGCAGGCAAATCACCTGAAGTCAGGAGTTCGAGACCAGCCTACCCAATATGGAGAAACCCCGTCTTTACTAAAAATAAAAAAATTAGCCCGGCGTGGTAGTGAACGCCTGAAATCCCAGCTACTTTGGAGGCTGAGGCAGGAGAACCGCTTGAACCCGAGAGGCAGAGGTTGCAGTGAGCCGAGATCACGGCACTGCATGCACTCCAGCCTGTGCGACTGAGAGTAAGACTCTGTCTCAAAAAAAAAAAAAAAAAAAAAGGAGGGGGGGCTGTTCACAGGTATCCCGGAACTTAATAAAAGAGGGGTTGAATTTCTTCTCAAGTGCATGGGTTGCTTATTGAAAAATTCTAACATCATGTAATTTAAAGAACTAGGGGGAGAGCTTAAGGGAAAAAGGGGAATTTTCAACCCCATAACTGCAGGGATGGAGCCAGGTGTTGGCAGGGAAGGATCTCTCCCACTGTCATCCCCACATCCATGAAGAGCAGAATCCTGGAGTACCACAAGCAGCCACAACCAGGTCAGCTGTAATAAGTACAATAATAAATATACGCTGGGTCTTTTAGGGTGGGGACCAATAAAAAAATTCACCTCTGCAGAGAAGCTCCGCTGCGCATGCGCCTGCTGCGGCGCCAGGAGAGCTCAGAGACCGCAGTAGCGGCCCCTGCTGACCGACAGTCGCCAGTGCAGGCCTCTCGACACTGCCTTTTTTTTTTTTTTTTTTTTTTTTTTTAAGACCAAGTCTCGCTCTGTTGCCACGCTGGAGTGCAGTGGTGCGGTCTCAGCTCACTGCAGCCTCCGCCACCCGATTCAAGCGATTCACCTGCCTCAGCCTCCCGATTAGCTGGGATTACAGGCGCCTGCCACCACACCCGGGTAATTTTTTTGTGTTTTTAGTAGAGACAGGGGTTTCACCATGTTGGCCGGGCTGGTCTTGAACCCCTGACCTCGTGATCTGCCCGCCTTGGCCTCCTAAAGCGCTGGGATTACAGGCGTGAGCCACCGCGCCCGGCCAACACTGTCTTTTAACAGTTTATTGAGCGTTTACTAGGACCTGACCTCACGGTCCTTTAAATCAAATACTTCAGCTAACCTACCCACACCCTGGGCTTCGGGTGGCCTCCTTTACGCCTGAGAAAATGGAGACTCAGATAAGTTAAGTCATTTGCCCACGTTCACAGAGCTAGTAAAGGTGCAGCCAAATCCGACTCAAGTAGTGGTTTAATCGGGAAGGAGCCCGGTCCTGCAACCGTTGTCTAGATGCATTTCAGATTTGGGAAAACGGGCCGGGCACGGTGGTTTATGCCTGTAATCCCAGCACTTTGGGAGGCAGAGGCAGGCGGATCATGAGCTCAGGAGATTGAGACCATCCTGGCCAACATGGCGAAACCTTGTCTCTACTAAAAATACAAAAAAATTAGCTGGGTGTGGTGGCACGTGCCTGTAATCCCAGCTACTCGGGAGGCTGAGGCACGAGAATCGCTTGAACCTAGGAGGTGGAGGTTGCAGCGAGCTGAGATTGTGCCACTGCACTCCAGCCTGGGTGACAGAGAGAGACTCCGTCTCAAAAAAAAAAAAAAAAAAAAAGGCCGGGCGCGGTGGGTCACGCCTGTAATCCCAGCACTTTGGGAGGCCGAGGCGGGCAGATCATGGGGTCAGGAGATCAAGACCATCCTGGCTAACATGGTGAAACCCCGTCTCTACTAAAAATACAAAAAATTAACCGGGCATGGTGGCAGGCGCCTGTAGTCCCAGCTACTCGGGAGGCTGAGGCAGGAGAATGGCGTGAACCTGGGAGGCGGAGCTTGCAGTGAGCCGAGATCGCGCCACTGCACTCCAGCCTGGGCGACAGAGCGAGACTCCATCTCAAAAAAAAAAAAAAAAAACAAAAAACGTGGTGGCTCACGCCTGTAATCCCAGCACTATGGGAGGCCAAGGCGGGCAGATCATGAGGTCAGGAGTTCGAGACCAGCCTGGCCAATATGATGAAACCCCATCTCTACTAAAAATACAAAAATTAGCTGGGCATGGTGGCAGACACCTGTAGTTCCAGCTACTCGAGAGACTGAGGCAGGAGAATTGCTGGAACCCGGGAGGTGGAGGTTGCAGTGAGCTGAGATGGCACCATTGCACTCTAGCCTGGGCAACAGACCAAGACTCTGTCTCAAAAAAAAAAAAAAAAAAAGTGGATTTTGTCTTTTAGATGATTAAACAAATGGGTTCAGGGAGGCCTGGTGAGTCTGTGTAGTAAGAACAGGCGCAATGGCTCACGCCTGTAGTCCCAGCACTTTGGGAGGCGGAGGTGCGTGAATCACTTGAGGTCAGGAGTTGGAGACCAGCCTGGCCAACATGACGAAACCCCATCTCTACTAAAAATACAAAAATTAGCCGGGCATGGTGGCAGGCGCCTGTGGCCCCAGCTACTCAAGAGGCTGAGGCAGGAGAATTGCTTGAACTCAGGAGGCCGAGGTTCCAGTGGGCAGAGATCACGACACTGCACTCCAGCCTGGGTGATAGTGGGAGACTCCACACCCTGAAAAGAAAGAAAAAAGGCCGGGCGCAGTGGCTCATGCCTGTAATCTCAGCACTTTGGGAGACCGAGGAGGGCGGATCACAATGTCAGGAGTTAAGACAACAGCCTGGCCAGCATGGTGAAGCCCCGTCTCTACTAAAAATACACAAATTAGCTGGGCATGGTGGCGCGCCTGTAGTCCCAGCTACTCGGGAGGCTAAGGTAGGAGAATCGCTTGTCCCCGGGAGGCAGAGGTTGCAATGCGCCTAGATCGCGCCACTGCACTCCAACCTGGACGACAGAGCGAGACTCCATCTCAAAAAAAAAAAAAAAAGAAAAAGAAGATAATTGAAACAATTACCCTCCCAGGTAGAAAGTCCCTGCTGATGGGGTGCATCTGTTCAGCAGCGGTGTTGAGAGCTCAAGCTCTTTTTAACGCTTTGCCTTGCTGTCTCCAAAGTATTGCCTTCATCCTCATAGTTCAAAGTGTCCACCATCACATTCACGTTTCAGCCAATAGGAAGAAGGAAAGAGAAAAACAGGAAAAGAGTTTACATGCCACTCCTGCTATTGGTCAGAATGTGTCACGTGACCATACTCAGCTGCAAGGGTTGGTGGGAAATGTAGTCTTTTTTTCTGGGAGGCCATGTGTTCGGCTTAAAATTGTCTTTTTTTCTTTTTCTTTATTTCTTTTTTCTTTTCTTTCTTTTTTTTAGACGGAGTTTTGCTCTTGTTGCCCAGGCTGGAGTACAGTGACGCGATCTAGGCTCACTGCAACCTCCGACTCCCGGGTTCAAGCGATTCTCCTGCCTCAGCCTCCTGAGTAGCTGGGATTACAGGCGCACACCACCACGCCCAGCTAATTTTTTGTATTTTTAGTAGAGACGGGGTTTCATCATTTTAGCCAGGCTGGTATCGAACTCCTGACCTCAGATGATCCACCTGCCTCGGCCTCCCAAAGTTCAGGGATTACCAGCGTGAGCCACCACGCCCAGCCTTTTTCTTTCCTTCCTTCCTTCCCTCCTTCCCTCCTTCCTTCCTTCCTTCCTTCTCTTCCTTTCTTCCTTCGTTCCATCCTTCCTTCCTTTTTTTGTTCCTTCTCTCCTTTCTTCCTTCTTTTTTTTCTTTCCTTACTTGTTGTTTCTTTTTTCTTTTCTTTTTTGTTTTTCTGAGACAGAGTCTTGCTGTGTTGCCCAAGCTGCAGGGTGCAGTGGTGCATTCATAGCTCATTCTAGTCTTGAACTCCTGCGTTCAAGCAATCCTTCTGTTTCAGCCTCCATATTGGCAGGCACGCACCACCACATCCAGGTAATTTTTAAATTTTTTTAGAGTTAGAATCTCACTATGTCCCCGAGGCTGGTTTTGAGCTCCTAACCTCCAGGAACCCTCCTGCCTCTATCGATTTCTTTTATTTTATTTTTTGTAGAGACAGGGTCTTGCTGTGTTGCCCAAGCTGGTCTTGAACTCCTGGGTCCAAGGGATCCTCCTACTTCAGCTTCCCAAGGTGCCGGATGACAGGCATGAACCATTACACTCAGCCAGTTTTTTTGTTTTCCTTTTCACAAAGCACCAAAGAAGAAGCACAGTTGTGTTGTTTGTTGTTTTTTTGTTTGTTTGGGGGTTTTTGGGTTTTTTTGAGATGGGGTTTTGCTCTTGCTGCCCAGGCTGGGGTGCAATGGCGCGATCTCGGCTCACCACAACTTCTTCCTGGGTTCAAGCGATTCTCCTGCCTCAGCCTCCCAAGTAGCTGAGATTACCACGCCCGGCTAATTTTGTATTTTTTGTAGAAACGGGGTTTTTCCATGTTGATCAGGCTGGTCTCAAACTCCGGACCTCAGGTGATCCACCCGCCTTGGCCTCCCTAAGTGCTGGGAATACAGGCGTGAGCCAATGCACCCGGTCTAATTTTTGTATTTTTAGTAGAGACGGGGTTTCACCATGTTGGCCAGGATGGTCTCAATCTCTTGACCTTGTGATTCGCCTGCCTTGGCCTCCCAAAGTGCTGGGATTACAGGCGTGAGCCACTGCGCCCGGCCTTTTTTTTTTTTTTTAATTGAGATAGCGCAATCTCAGCTCACTGCAACCTCCCTTTCCCAGGCTCAAGCAATTCTCCTGCCTCAGCCTGTTGAGTAGCTGGAATTACAGGTGGCCGCCACCACGCCTGGCTAATTTTTGTATTTTTAGTAGAGATGTGGTTTCGCCATGTCAGCCAGGCTGGCCTCGAACTCCTGACTTCAGGAGATGGGCCCACCTTGGCCTCCCAATGTGTTGGGATTACAGATGTCAGCCACCATACCCAGCCTTTTTTTTTTTTTTTTTTTTTTGAGATGAAGTCTCACTCTTGTACCCCAGGCTGGGGTGTAATGGCATGATCTCGGCTCACTGCAACCTCTGTCTCCCAGAATCAAATGATTCTCCTGCCTCAGCCTCCCGAGTAGCTGGGATTACAGGCGCCTGCCACCACACCCAGCTAATTTTTGTATTTTTAGTAAGGACAGGGTTTTATCATGTTGGCCAGGCTAGTCTCGAACTCCTAACCTCAGGTGATCCGCCTGCCTCGGCCTCCCAAAGTGCTGGGATTACAGGCGTAAGCCACCGCACCTGGCCTGTTTTCATTTTTAAACTTTTTTTCTTCTTTCAACTTATTTTAAGATCTGGGGTACATGTGCAGGATGTGCAGGTTTGTCATACAGGTAAATGTGTGCCATGATTGTTTGCTGCACAGATCAACCCATCACCTAGGTATTAAGCCCCACATCCCTTAACTATTCATCCTGATGCTCTCCCCGCCCCCCACCCCCACGTCCTAAATTTTTTTTTTTTTTTTTTTTTGAGAAGGAGTCTTGCTCTGTCGCCCAGGCTGGAGTGCAGTGGCGCCATCTCAGCTCACTGCAAGCTCCGCCTCCTGGGTTCACGCCATTCTCCTCCCTCAGCCTCCCGAGCAGCTGGGACGACAGGCGCCCACCACCACACCTGGCTAATTTTTTATATTTTTAGTAGAGACGGGGTTTCACCGTGTTAGCCAGGATGGTCTCGATCTCCTGACCTCTTGATCCACCCACTTTGGTCTCCCAAAGTGCTGGGATTACAGGCAGGAGCCACCGCGCCCGGCCAATTTTTTATTTTTTGTAGAGACAGGGCCTCCCTACGTTGCCCGGGTTAGTCTTAAACTCCTGGACTTAAGCAATCCTCCAGCCTTAGCTGCCCAAAGTAAGGGTATACAGGTGTGAGCCACTGGGCCTGGCCAACATTTCTTATTCTGAAATAATTATAGATTCAAAGGGAGCTGCACATATAGGACAAACAGGTCCTACGTGCCTGTCACCAAGCTTCCCTCAGTGGTCACATCTTATGTACAACATCCGAACAAGAAATATGACATTAGTACAATGTGTGTATACATTTCCAAGTTATTGTAGCTGGACACTGTGGCTCATACCTGGAACCCAGCACTTTGGGAGGCCAAGGAAGGAGGATCCCTTAAAACCAGGAGTTTGAGACCAGCCTGGGCAACATACTGAGACCCTATCTCTAAAAAAAAAAAAAAAAATTAGCTGGGGGTGGTGGCACATGCCTGCAGTCTCACCTCCTAGGGAGGCTTGAGCCCAGGAGGTCAGGGCTGCAATGAGCTATGATCATGTCACTGCACTCCAGCCTGGGCGACAGAATGTGACTCTGTGAAAACAAAAACAAAGGCTGGGCGCAGTGGCTCACGCCTGTAGTCCCAGCACTTTGGGAGGCTGAGGCGGGTGGATCACCTGAGGTCAGGAGTTTGAGACCAGCCTGGCCAACATGGTGAAACCCTGTCTCTACTAAAAATACAAAAATTGGCCACGCGTGGTGGTGAGCACCCGTAATCCCAGCTACACGGGAGGCTGAGGCAGGAGAATCGCTTGAACCCGGGAGGCGGAAGTTGCAGTGAGCCGAGATCACGCCACTGCACTCCAGCCTGGGCAACCAGAGCAAAAGTTTGTCTCAAAACGTATGTATAAATAAATAAAACAAAAACATACAGAACTATTTCATCACCACAAAGATCACTCTTCTGTTACCTCCCTATTGTCACAACTATTCCCCTCCCCATGGCCCTGCCCTGATCCCTGGAAACAACTGACCTGTGTTCCAGCTCTATAATTCTGTCATTTCAATAACCTTTTTGTTGTTGTTCTTGTTGTCATTGTTTCGAGACGGAGTCTCACTCTGTCGCCCAGCTGGAGTGCAGTGGTGCAATCTCAACTCACTGCAACGTCTGCCTCCCGGGTTCAAGTGATTCTCCTGCCTCAGCCTCCCGAGTAACTGAAATTACAGATACCCGCCACCACATCCAGCTAATTTTTGTATATTTAGTAGAGACAGGCTTTCATCATGTTGGCCAGGCTAGTTTTGAACTCCTAGCCTCGAGTGATCCACCCGCCTTGGCCTCCCAAAGTGCTGAGATTACAGGCGTGAGCCACAGTGCCCAGCCCAGATTGGCTTTTGCCCCCCACTCAGCAGAATGCCCTTGAGACCCTCTTGTCCTTTCTAAATTAATGGCAATATAATAATATTTCACAATTCCTGAGGGCTTACTGTGTACCAGACACTGAGCTAAATGCTTTATGGCCCTACAATCACCCTGTAAAATAGATACAATTTGTGGTGCCCAGCCTGCACGATTGTCCCAACGAATCTGCCCTCCTGACATCCGGGTATGACCTGCTCACATTGAACAGGGCTGAGCTTTATAGGATGTTTTGAAAATGGGAGCGTGCAGGCCGGGCGCGGTGGCTCACGCCTGTAATCCCAGCACTTTGGGAGGCCGAGGCGGGCGGATCACGAGGTCAGGAGATCGAGACCATCCCGGCTAAAACGGTGAAACCCCGTCTCTACTAAAAATACAAAAAATTAGCCGGGCGTAGTGGCAGGCGCCTGTAGTCCCAGCTACTTGGGAGGCTGAGGCAGGAGAATGGCGTGAACCCGGGAGGCGGAGCTTGCAGTGAGCCGAGATCCCGCCACTGCACTCCAGCCTGGGCGACAGAGCGAGACTCCGTCTCAAAAAAAAAAAAAAAAAAAAAAAAAAAAAGAAAATGGGAGCGTGCTGTTTCAGGTTAGGCTATACAAGACATCGTGGCAGGTCCCAGTAGCTCACATCGTAATCCCAGCCTTTTGGAAAAGGGGAGGATTGCTCGAGGCTAGCAGTTCAAGACCAGATTTGGCAACATAGGGAGACCCCGTATCTACCAAAAAATCTTTTTTTTTTTTTTTTGAGACAGTGTCTCACTCTGCAGCCAGGCTGGAGTGCAGTGGCACAATCTCGGCTCACTGCAACCTCTGCCTCCCAGGTTCAAGTGATTCTCTTGCCTCAGCCTCCCGAGTAGCTGGGACTACTGGTGACCAGAACCATGCCCAGCTATTTTTTTTTGTATTTTTAGTAGAGATGGGGTTTCGCCATGTTGGCCAGGATGGTCTCGATGTCTTGACCTCGTGATCCACCCGCCTCAGCCTCCCAAAGTGGTGGGATTACAGGCGTGAGCCACCGCGCCTGGCCCTCCAGAAACCTTTTTTAATAAGCTGGGCATGATGGTGCACCCGTGTAGTCTCAACTACTTGGGATGCTGAGGCAGGAGGGTCACCTGAGCCCAGGACTTTTTTGTTTTTTTTTTTTTGAGACGGAGTCTCGCTGTCGCCAGGCTGGAGTGCAGTGGCACAATCTCAGCTGACTGCAACCCTCCACCTTCTGGGTTAAAGCAATTCTCCTCATCTCTACAAAAACTGCAAAAAAATTAGCTGGGCATGGTGGCGTGTGGCTATAAAACCAGCTACTCAGGAGGCTGAGGTGGGAGGATTGCTTGAGCCTAGGAGGCGGAGGTTGCAGAGAGCCAAGATATTGCCACTGCACTCCAGCCTGGGTGATAGAGTGAGACTCAGTCTCAAAAAGAAAAAAAAATAGTAGGCGGGTGGTTATTCCTATGAAAGAGACTTCTGTGTCCCTGAGAAAATGCCCTGAGGGTGGGGTGGTGGGAGAGAGAACAAATTCCTTAACTCCCAATTCAATTATTTACTTATTTATCTTTAGACAGCATCTCACTGTTACGCAGGCTGGAGTGCACTGGTGTGATCATAGCTCACTGCAGCCTCGACCTCCCAGGCTCAAGCAGTTCTCTCACCTCAGCCTCCCGATTAGCTGGGACTACAAGTTCACGCCACCATACCTGGGTTTTTTGTTGTTTTTTTTTAAATTGAGATGGAGTCTCGCTCTGTCGCCCAGGCTGGAGTGCAGTGGCGCCATCTCGGCTCACTGCAAGCTCCGCCTCCCGGGTTCACACCATTCTCCTGCCACAGCCTCCCCAGCATCTGGGACTACAGGCGCATGCCACGACACCCGGCTAATTTTTCTGTATTTTTAGTAGAGACAGGGTTTCACCGTGTTAGCCAGGATGGTCTCAATCTCCTGACCTTGTGATCTGCCCGCCTCGGCCTCCCAAAGTGCTGGGATTACAGGTGTGAGTCACCACGCCCGGCCATACCTGGGTATTTTTAAGATTGTTGAAGAGATGGGGTCTATGTTGCCCAGGCTGGTCTTGAACTCCTGAGCTCAAGCAATCCTCCTGCCTCAGCCTCCCAAAGTGCTGGGATTCTAGGCCTAAGCCCCGGCGCCCAACCTGTCCCCCAATTAGATTATATTTGTTTATACAATCTGTTTTATTTATTTATTTACTTATTTATTTTATTTTTTTGAGATGGAGTCTCGCGTGTTGCCCAGGCTGGAGTGCAGCAGCATGATCTCAGCTCACTGCAACCTCTGCCTCTCGGGTTAAAGCGATTCTCCTGTCTCAGCCTCCTGAGTAGCTGGAATTACAGGTGTGTGCCACTATGCCCGGCTAATTTTTGTATTTTTAGTGGAGACAGGGGTTTCACCATGTTGCGTGGGCTGGTCTCAAACTTCTGACCTCAGGTGATCCTCCTGCCTCGGCCTCCCAAAATGCTGGGATTACAGGAGTGAGCCACTGTGCCTGGCCTACAATCTGTTTTAGAGCCAGAAAATGCAATCAATTGTGATAATACATTGCTATGTTTTGAAATACATATATACAAACGTGCACACAACTTTATTTAAATTTAAGATGCTTTTAATATTCAGCTAACACCAAATTCACAATTTGATACTTTTTTTTTTTGGTAAAGATGGAGTCTCCTTCTGTCACCGAGGCTGGAGTGCAGTGTCCTCATCTCGGCTCACTGCAACCTCTGTCTCCCAGGTTCAAGAGATTCTCCTGCCTCAGCATCCTGAGTAGCTGGGATTACAGGTGCGTGCCACCACGCCCCAGTAATTTTTTTTGTATTTCTAGTAGAGACAGGGTTTCACCATGTTGGCCAGGCTGGTCTCAAACTCCTGACCTCATGATCCACCCGCCTCGGCCTCCTAAAGTGCTGGGATTACAAGCTTGAGCTACCGCGCCCAGCTCATAGGTATTTTTGCCCAGGAAACAACTCCATTTACTTAAGTGCAAAACGGGAGTAACTATCTGTATCTATATCTACCTCTCTCCATCTATCTCTATGTATCTTACATAACAGTGGAGGTGGTTTGTGAATTTTGTCAGAATTGCAAAGGATCTGATTTAGAACTGATGAATTCTGTCCTAAAACAGGCTGTAAAGCTTTAAATTGGTCGTGTGGGGATTTTCCATAGCCTCCCTCTCCTCTTTCTTGTCTGTCTACCTCCCATCAGTGTCTGAACATGTTCTGTATTTAGCCTTTTTTTTTTTTTTTGAGATGGAGTCTCCCTCTGTTGCCCAGGCTGGAGTACAGTGGTGCCATCTCGGCTCACTGCAAGCTCCACCTTCCGGGTTCAAGTGACTCTCCTGCCTCAGCCTCCCAAGTAGCTGGGACTACAGGCGTGTGCCACCACGCCCAGCTAAATTTTTATTTTTGGTAGAGATGGGTTTTCACCATCTTGGCCAGGCTGGTCTCGAACTCTGGGCCTCAGGTGATCCGCCCATGTCAGCCTCCCAAAGTGCTGGGATTACAGGCGTGACCCACCACGCCGGGACCTTTAATTAGCTTTTGATTTTGTTTGTTGTTGATCTCCCTCCTGGAATGCCAGTTCCACGAGGACAGGGAATTTTGCCTGTTGTGGTCACCACTGTGTCTGAGCATCTCTAACAAAGACTAGCAAGCTACAGCCCTCAGCCCTAATCTTTTTTTTTTTTTTTTTTTGAGTCTCGCTCTGTAACCAGGCTGGAGTTCAGTGGCACAATCTCGGCTCACTGCAAGCTCCGCCTCCCGGGTTCACGCCGTTTTCCTGCCTCAGCCTCCCGAGTAGCTGGGACTACAGGCGCCCGCCACCATGCCCGGCTAATTTTTTGTATTTTTAGTAGAGACGGGGTTTCACCGTGTTAGCCAGGATGGTCTCGATCTCCTGATCTCGTGATCTGCCCGCCTCGGCCTCCCAAAGTGCTGGGATTACAGGCATGAGCCACTGCGCCCAGCGTATTATTATTATTATTATTATTATTATTACTTTTGAGACAGAGTCTCTCTCTGTCACCCAGGCTGGAGTGCAGTGACACAATCACGGTTCACTGCTGCCTGGAACTCCTGGGCTCAAGCCATCCACCTGAGTAGGTAAGACTGTAGGCGTGCACCACCATGCCTACTTAATTTTTTATTTTTTGCAGAGAGAGGATCTCATTATGTTGCTCAGTCTGGTGTAGAAATCCTGTGTTCAAGCAGTCCTCCTGCCTGGATCTCCAAAAGTTCTGGGATTACACACCCGACCCACAGCACCCGGCCTTCTTTCTCTTTTAAATGTTCAAACAAAAGCATAATAATAACATGACATGTGAAAATACGTAAGATTGAAATTTCTGTGTTTATGAAGTTCTACTAGCATACAGGCCTGGCTCAGTGGTTCACACCCGTAATCCCAGCATTTTGGGAGGTCCAGGAGGGCAGATCACTCGAGGTCAGGAGTTCAAGACCAGCCTGGCCGGGGGCAGCCCCCGCCCGGCCAGCTGCCCCGTCCGGAAGGGAGGTGGGGGGCAGCCCCCGCCCGGCCAGCCGCCCCGTCCGAGAGGTGGGGGGCGTCTCTGCCCGGCCGCCCCGTCTGGGAAGTGAGGAGCCCCTCTGCCCGGCCGCCACCCCGTCTGGGAGGTGTACCCAGCAGCTCATTGAGAGCAGACCATGATGACGATGGCGGTTTTGTCGAATAGAAAAAGGGGGAAATGTGGGGAAAAGAAAGAGAGGTCAGATTGTTACGCTGTCTGTGTGGAAAGAAGTGGACATAGGAGACTCCATTTTGTTCTGTACTGAGAAAAATTCTTCTGCCTTGGGATGCTGTTAATCTATAACCTTACCCCCAACCCCGTGCTGAAACATGTGCTGTGTCCACTCAGGGTTAAATGGATTAAGGGCGGTGCAAGATGTGCTTTGTTAAACAGATGCTAGAAGGCAGCATGCTCGTTAAGAGTCATCACCACTCCCTAATCTCAAGTACCCAGGGACATAAACACTGCGGAAGGCCGCAGGGTCCGCTGCCTAGGAAAACCAGAGACCCTTGTTCACATGTTTATCTGCTGACCTTCCCTCCACTAGTGTCCTATGACCCTGCCAAATCCCCCTCTCCGAGAAACACCCAAGAATGATCAATGAATACTAAAAAAAAAAAAAAAAAAAGACCAGCCTGGCCAACATGGTGAAACCCCGTCTCTGCTAAAAATACAAAAATTAGCTGGGCCTGGTGGCGTGCGCCTGTAGACTCAGCTACTCAGGAGGCTGAGGCAGGAAAATCTTTTTTACCTGGGAGGCGGAGGTTGCAGTGCACCGAGATCAGGCCCCTGCACTCCAGCTTGGGCAACAGAGCAAGACTTTGTCATAAATAAATAAATAAAATAAAATAAAGTTTTACTAGCACACAGCCATGCTCATTTGTTTTTCTTTTTTCTTTTCTTTTCTTTTTTGAGACGGAGCCTCGTTCTGTCGGCCAGGCTGGAGTGCAGTGGTGTGATCTCGGCTCACCACAACCTCCGCCTCCCGGTTCAGGCGATTCTCCTGCCTCAGCCTCCCAAGTAGCTGGGACTATAGGTGTGCACCACCACGCCCTGCTAATTTTCGTATTTTTAGTAGAGATGGGGTTTCACCATATTGGCCAGGCTGGTCTCAAACTCCTGACCTCATGGTCCGCCTGCCTCGGCCTCTCAAAGTGCTGGGATTACAGGCGTGAGCCACCGCTCCCGGCCAGCCATGCTGATTTGTTTATTTATAGTCTACGGTTTCTTTTGCCCTTAGATGGCAGAGTTGAGTAATTGCTCTAGACATTATATGTGGTCCAAAAGCAGAAAATAGTTATTTCCTGGATCTCTACAGAAAACGTTTGCAGATCCCTGAACCAAAACAGTGCCTTGTATACAGTAGGTGCTTGATAATACAGAAAGATTATTGTTTGCATGTCTTTTTAATTTTTTATTTTTGAGACAAGGTCTTGCTCTGTTGCCCTGGCTGGAGTGCAGTGCCACTATCACAACTCACTGCAGCCTCGACCTCCTGGGCTCAAGCAATCCTCCTGCCTTGGCCTCCCAAAGTGCTGAGATTATGAGCGTTAAGCTACTGTGCCTGGTCATTACTTGTATATCTGATGTAAGAAGGGGAGGTGTTTTAGCCTTTGGAGACAGCTGGATGCAGATTAAGACAGTGGTTTAGGCTGGGCATGGCAGCTCAAGCCCGTAATCTCAGCAGTTTGGGAGGTCAATGTAGGAAGATGGTTTGAGGCCAGGAGTTTGAGACCAGCCTAGGCAGCAGAGTAAAACTCCCCCTCCCAAATCTACAAACAAACAAACAAAAAAACAAAACAAAACAAAAAAAGGCCAGATGTGGTGGCTCATGCCTATAATCTCAACATTTTGGGAGGCCAAGGCAGGTAGATCACTTGAGGTCAAGAGTTCGAGACCAGCCTGGCCAACATGGCAAAACCCCGTCTCTATTAGAAATACAAAAATTAGCTGGGTGTGTTGGCACGAACCTCTAATCCCAGCTACTCAGGAGGCTGAGGCAGGAGAACAGCTTGAACCCAGGAGGCGGAGGTTGCAGTCAGCCAAGATTGCACCCAGCCTGGGTGACGGAGTGAGACTCTGAATCCAAAAAAAAAAAAAAAAAAAAAAAAAAAAGATAGTGGCTTAGCCAATGCCTGGGCAGGTGTTCCCATCTGATACTGGCTTTCATCATCACAGAATGGGGGCTGATACAGACGCAGCTAACATGGAAACACCTTATTCTGACAGTTTCTAGGACAGGGCTCAGCAATTTTTTTGTTGTTGTTGAGATGGAGTCTTGCTCTGTTGCCCAGGCTGGAGTGCAGTGGTGCGATCTCAGCTCACTATAACCTCTGCCTTCAGGGTTCAAGCAATTCTCCCGCCTCAGCCTCCTGAGTAGCTGGGATTACAGGTGCCCACCATCACACCCAGCTAATTTTTGTATTTTTAGTAGAGACGGGGTTTCACCATGTTGGCCAGGCTGGTCTCAAACTCCTGGCCTCTAGCAATCCGCCTGCCTCAGCCTCCCAAAGTGCTGGGATTACAGGTATGAGCCACTGCACCAGGCCACGGCTCAGCAATTTTAGGTAGAGAGCATCCTGAGTCCCTCCTGATCCACCCTTCAGGTTCAACAATTGGCAACACATATATTCCATTTTGTTTTATTTTTCTCCCTCAATACTCTCCCCATTATTTCTTTTCTTTTTTTTTTTTTGAGACAGAGTTTCGCTCTTGTTGCCCAGGCTAGAGTGCAATCTCGGCTCACCACAACCTCTGCCTCCCGGGTTCAAGCGATTCTCCTGCCTCTGCCTCCCGAGTAGCTGGGATTACAGGCATGTGCCACTACGCCCAGCTAATTTTGTATTTTTAGTAGAGACAGGGTTTCTCCACGTTGGTCAGGCTGGTCTCAAACTCCTGACTTCAGGTGATTCGCCCGTCTCGGGCTCCCAAAGTGCTGGGATTACAGGCGTGAGCCACAGTGGCCAGCCTCTTCCTGTTATTTCAATGCAAATCCTATACCATTTCTTCTGTAAATATGCTTGGCAGTTATTTGTAACTGATAAGGACTCTTCATTGATTTATTATAATTATTTTAGAGACAGGGTCTAGCTATCACTCAGGCCAGAGTACAGTGGTGCTATCATAGCTCACTGCAGCCTCAAAGTCCTGGGCTCCAGTGATCCTCCTGCCTCAGTCTCTGGAGTAGGTGGCACTAAAGGTATGTGCCTCCATGGCCAGCTAATTTAAGAAAAAATTTGGGGTCAGGCGCGGTGGCTCACGCCTGTAATCCCAGCACTTTGGGAGGCCGAGGCGGGCGGATCACGAGGTCAGGAGATCAAGACCATCCTGGCTAACACAGTGAAACCCCTTCTCTACTAAAAATATAAAAAATTAGCCAGGCGTGCTGGCAGGTGCCTGTAGTCCCAGCTACTCAGGTGGCTGAGGCAGGAGAATGGCGTGAACCCTGGAAGTGGAGCTTGCAGTGAGCCGAGATCGTGCCACCCAGCCTGGGCAACAGGGCAAGACTCTCTCAAAAAAAAAAAAAAATGGGGGGGGAGCTGGGCGCAGTGGCTCACACCTGTAATCCCAGCACTTTGGGAGGCCGAGGAAGGCAGATCACCTGAGGTCCAGAGTTGGAGACCAGCCTGGCCAACATGGTGAAACCCCGTTTCTGCTAAAAATACAAAAATTAGCCGGGTGTGGTAGCACGCGGCTGTAGTCTCAGTTAGTTGGGAGGCTGAGGCAGAAGAATTGCTGGAACCAAGGAGACGGAGGTTGCAGTGAGCCGAGATCACGCCATTGCACTGCAGCCTGGGTGACAGAGCCAGACTCCATCTCAAAAAAATAATAATAATTTTTTTGTAGAGATGGGGATCTCGTGTTATTTTGCCCTGGCTGGTCTCAAACTCTTGGGCTTAAGCAATCCTCCTGCCTCAGCCTCCTAAAGGGCTGGGATTATAGGCTTGAAGCAGGCACCCAGCCCAAAACATATTTTAAAACACAGACACAGTACCATGATTACACAGAACCTTCAAACCACAAGGGTTGCAGGAATCTACAAGTGAGACAAAATTTCTCTCAACTGCCAAGCACGCTGTCTCATGCCTGTAATCTCAGCACTTTTGGGAGATTGAGGCAGGTGGATCATTTAAGGTCAGGAGTTCAAGACCAGCCTGGGCAACATGGCGACACCCCGTCTCTACTAAAAATACCAAAATTAGCTGAGTGTGGTGGCGCCCGCCTGTAATCGCAGCTACTCAGGAGGCTGAGGCACGAGAATTGCTTGAACCTGGGAAGCGGAGGTTGTAGTGAGCTGAGATCGCGCCACTGCACTCCAAACTCGGCAATAGAGACTCTGTCTCAAAAAATAATAATAATAAATAATAGAACCAAACACACACAGAGGAAGGTACATGTAAAAACGGGTGCAATCGAAATAATGTCTGCACTCGAGTTGATTCCATTATACTAACATCAACGCCCAGGTTTTGACAACATAACATGGCTATGTAAAACTTTTTTTGAATCTTTTTTTTTTTTTTTTTTTTGAGATGGAGTCTCGCTCTGTCACCCAGGCTGGAGTGCAATGGCGCAATCTCAGTTAACTGCAACCTCCGCCTCCTGGGTTCAAGCTTTTTGTTTGTTTGTTTGTTTTACATGGAGCGTTGCTCTTGTTGTCTGGGCTGGAGTGTGATGGCACAATCTCGGCTCATTGCAACCTCTGTCTCCTGGGGTCAAGCGATTCTCCTGCCTCAGCCTCCTGAGTAGCTGAGCTTACAGGCTCCCGCCACCATGCCCAGCTAATTTTTGTATTTTTAGTAGAGACAGGAGTTTCACCATGTTGGCCAGGCTGGTCTCAAACTCCTGACCTCAGTTGACCCGCCCGCCTTGGCCTCCCAAAGTGCAGGGATTACAGGTGTGAGCCATGGAGCCCAGCCAGTTATAAAAATACTATCACTGGGGAAAGCTGGGAGAAAGGTGCACAAATCTCTCTGTACTATTTTTGCAACTTCTTGTGAATCTGAATCTTCACCAAAACAAATACAAATTATACTTAAAAACAAAACCTGGCCAGGTGTGGTGGCTCACACCTGTAATCCCAGCACTTTGGGAGGCTGAGGCTGGCAGATCCCTTAAGGTCAGGAGTTCGAGACCAGCCTGGCCAACACGGTCAAACCTCGTCTCTACTAAAAATACCAAAAATTAGCCGGTGTGATGATGTGCACCTGTAGTCCCCACTGCCCGGGAGGCTGAGGCAGGAGAATCACTTGATCCTGATAGGTGGAGGTTGAAGTGAGCCAAGATCCCACCACTGCACTCCAGCCTGAGTGACAGAGAGAGACCCTGTCTCAAGAAAATTAATAAATTAAATAAAATTACAAAAATGAGCCAGGTATGGTGGCACACACCTGTAATCCCAGCTATTCGGGAGGCTGAAGCACAAGAATCAGTTGAACCTGAGAGGCCGAGGTTGCGGTGAGTCGAGATTGGCACCACCACACTCCAGCCTGGGTGACAGAGCAAGACCCTGTCTAAAACAAAACAAAACAAAACAAAAACAAAAAAACCCAATCCCCCGCAGAATCAGCAGGGCCGGAATGAAGGTAAGACTCATACGTGCAATGGCAGAGCTGGGGTTTTGCTGTCAATGGACAACATTTCAACAAATCTAAGGACCTTAACCGGCTTCATTGCAATTTGCTACACTTCATTCCATAAAATAGGATAACTGTTCCAATCAGTTGGGCAGAGGAGGTTGGCTCTACAGGAAGAGAGGGGTTGTAGAGAGCAAAATCAAAGAACAGGCTGGGCGGGGTGGCTCATGTCTGTAATCCCAGCACTTTGGGAGGATCCCCGAACTCGGAAGTTTGAGAGCAGCCTGGGCAACTTGGCAAAACCCCATCTCGACAAAAAATACAAGAATTAGCCAGGCGTGGTGGTGTGCACCTGTAGTCCCAGCTACTCAGGAGGCTGAGGTGGGAAGATCACCTGAGCCCGGGCGGTTGAGGCTGTAGTGAGCCATGACTGAGCCACTGCACAACAACCTGGGAGACAGAAACCTATCTCAAAACCAACAGCAACAACAACAACAAAAACCCAACAGCAAAGAATGTGTTAACTCATTAGTGTTACCATCAGGTTGTTTCAGGCTAGTTTTTTTTTTTTTTTTTTTTTTTGAGACGGAGTCTCCCTCTGTCGCCTAGGCTGGAGTGCAGTGGCGCGATCTCGGCTCACTGCAAGCTCCGACTTCCGTGTTCATGCCATTCTCCTGCCTCAGCCTCCCAAGTAGCTGGGACTAGAGGCGCCCGCCACCAAGCCCGGCTAATTTTTTGTATTTTTAGTAGAGACGGGGTTTCACCGTGTTAGCCAGGGTGGTCTCGATCTCCTGACCTCGTGATCCACCCGCCCTGGCCTCCCAAAGTGCTGGGATTACAGGCGTGAGCCACCACACCCGGCCAGGCTAGTTTTTTTGTGTAAGGATTAAAGAAATTAAGCAGAGGGAATTTTAGGACATTGGCCACTGAAGGCTGAAACTGGCCTGTTTGGAAAATTGGTTGGCCGGATCATCTAAGGTCAGTAGTTCTCGACTAGTCTGGCCAACATGGCGAAACCCCGTCTCTACTAAAAATACAAAAAAATTAGCCGGGTGTGGTGGCGGGCACCTGTAATTCCAGCTACTCAGGAGGCTGAGGCAGGAGAATCGCTTGAACCTGGAAGGCAGAGGTTGCAGTGAGCCGAGATTGCGCCATTGCATTCCAGCCTAGGCGACAAATGTGAGACTCCTCCTGGAAAGAAAGGGAGAGAGAGAGAGAGAGAGAGAGAGAAAGAAAGAGAGAAAATAAAATAAAAGAGAAAATGGGCTGATAGGGCTCCCTCCTGGTTTTCCCAAAGGTCAGATAACAACTTAGCTTCGTCATTGTGACTTAGAATCTGAGTGTGACTAGCTGCATTTTGTTTATTCCTGTGTCTTGGTGCCTAGCACAAGAGTTTAGTCTAAAACAACCGCCTCCTATAATTTTGTCGCCCAGGCTGGAGTGTAGTGGCATGATCAAAGCTCACTGCAGCCTCCAACTCCTGGGCTCAAGCGATCCTCCTGCCTCAGCCTCCTAAGTAGCTGGGACCACAGGCGCACACTCCTACGTCTGGCTCTTTACTTAAAATTTTGGTATTTCAGGCCGGGTGCGGTGGCTAACACCCATGATCCCAGCACTTTGCGAGGCCGAGGCCGGTGGATCACCTGAGGTCAGGAGTTCATAGACCAACCTGACCAACACAGTGAAACTCCATCTCTACTAAAAATACAAAAATCAGCTGAGCGTGGTGGTGCCCACCTGTAGTCCCAGCTACTCGGGAGGCTGAGGCAGGAGAATCACTTGAACCCGGGAGGCAGAGGATGCACTGAGCCGAAATTGCGCCACTGCACTCCAGCCTGGCGCCACTGCACTCCAGCCTGGTGACAAAGCAAGACTCCGTCTAAAAAAAAAAAAATTAGCTGGGTATGGTGGTGCATACCTGTAATCCCAGCTACTCGGGAGGCTGAGGCAGGGGAATCGCTTGAACCCAGGAGGCAGAGGTTGCAGTGAGTGGAGATCGCTCCATTGCACTCCAGCCTGGGCAACACAGCAAGGCTCTCAAAAAAAAAAAAAAAAAAGGCTGGGCATGATGGCTCATGCCTGTAATCCTAGTACTTTGGGAGGTTGAAGCGGGCAGATCACTTGAGGTCAGGGGTTGCAGAAAAGCCTGGCCAAAAAAAAAATTAGCTGGGCGTGGTGGCAGTCGCCTGTAATCCCACCTACTTGGGAGGCTGAGGCAGGAGAATCCCTTGAACCCGGGAGATGGAGGTTGCAGTGAGCTGAGATCGCGCCATTGCACTCCAGCCTGGGCAACAAGAGTAAAACTCCGTCTCGAAAATAAATAAATAAATAACAATTTGGTATTTCATCCATCATGGACTCTTTTGCACTGATTTTTTTATGTTTAAAGTGTTGGACTAGCCAGGTGTGGTGACTCGCGCCTGTAATCCCAGCACTGTGGGAGGCCCAGACAGAAGGATCATTTAAGCCCAGACATTCGAGACCACCCTGGATAACATAATGAGATCCTCGTCTCTACAAAAATAAAAATAAAAAATAAATTGCACTAAAATACTTGATTATTGAAGTTTGAAATCCACTTCTACGGGCACGAAGCCACTTAGCTCCAAAGCCAAGGAGCGCTTTGGAGAAGAGGTCCCAACTGGTGCAGATCCAAGGTTTCCCATGGGTGGGGAGGCAGGATGGGGGGGGCGCCTGCAAAGAGGTGAGGGCTGTACGATCTCCAAGGAATTTGGGAGCAGGGGTCCCGCTTTTCTCCGCCGGGCGCCCCCAGCCAGCTGGTTGCCGAGCCCACGCCCCATCTGCACACCAGGACCCGGATGTGCAGCGCGCGGGGTGTCTGGGCCCGTGGAGCCTGCACCGCGCTGCGCTGCAAGGCGCCTCACTGTACGCACTGGCGGCCGTTGCGGCGGAGCAACCATCCCCTGCCCGACGCCGCCGGGAGTCTGGAGACGCACCTGGCGGCCGCCGCGCGCAGGAAGCCACGGCACCTAGCTGCATTGTTGTCGCTGCCACCGCCCCCTCTCGCCTTCCCTCCCTAGAGGAAACCGAGCACCCGTCCCCACCTGCGCAGGGCTAGTACCACTTTAAGGAGTCAGGCGCCGCCGGGGTAGGCGTGGTCGCCGCGAGCGGGGGGGGGGGCGCTGGTGTAGGACGGACCTGATTGGCCGGAGGCCCGGGCGGTGGCCGCGCGCGCCTGCGCAGGAGGCAGCAGCGCGCACCGGCGGCGGGAGGAGCGCGCGCGGGTGCTAATTGGCCCGGGCGGCGGCCCCGCCCGCGAGTGGTGAGCGGTCACGTGACGCGACGGCTGGGGGCTCCCGGCGCGGGGGACGCTGGTGACCAAGATGGCGGCGGAGCTGGTGGAGGCCAAAGTGAGTGAGCGGTGGCGGCGCCGGCCGGGGCAAGTGGGCGAGAGGGCGGGGGCCGGGCCGCAGGTCGAGGTCTGCGCCTTCTGTCCGGGGCCCCACAGCGCGGCCGGCCCGCGGCTCGCCGTCCCGGCCCCCAGACCCCGACCCCCGGTCTCAGGGTGAGGGCGGGGGGCGGGGAGGCCGGGGGCGGGGCCCTCCTGCCTCACCCAGGTCTTCGCGCCGGGGGTCGCTCCCCCGGCTTCAGGCAGGGTCCCCCCACCCAGCCCGAGCCCTTAGGGTCCCGGTCCCTGAGCGCCAGGCCAGGGCCGCGCCTCCCGGTTGAGGCACCGTCCCGCCGGGATGCGGGACGTGTTGAGCTACTCGTTGCCCTCTTGGTTCCGAGCCGGGGTCCTTGCTTTTTGGCTGGTGTGTTGGGGGGAGTGTCTGCGCCTCCCCGCCCACAGGGCTCCCAGGACTGCTATCTGGGTCTCGTCCCCGCCCAACAGGCCAGGCTGGGGTTTGCGAGTCTCCTGCTCGGAAGGGTCCCCCGAGTCCTGGATAGTGTCCTGCCACCGTCCAGGTGGAGGAGTCAGGGCCCTGAGACCACCCCCAAGACACGGCACGTCCTCTTGGGGTCTGGAGTTCAGGCTCGGTCTTGAGCCCCTCTTCAGCTCCTGCATTGGTCCCAGAACCCCGCCCCCTTCCCGACACCGTCTCTCACACGCCGGAGTGGGCGCTTGGGGGAAGGCTGGGCCCTCCCTTTCCCTCCCCATAGGATGGAGTTCGGACCACTCTTCTTGGTCACAGACCTTCTTTATTCTCCTTTTTTTAATCTTAAATCCTGGACTGTGCTTTGGTCCTACCTCGTTCCTCTCGGGACAGAATCTGAGGCTACTGATTCTGCTTCAGGGGGCTCTAAACCTCACCTGTGCAGCATCAGATACTGTCCTCAAACCTTGGCTGCTTCTCCTATTTTCTGCTCTTGAGCGAGTCTACTTCTTAGGTCAGACACCCACCCTCCCCCTACACAGCCCCCAGAACTTTTATGCACCCCAACTTTGGTTTCTAAGGTCCCCTCTCTTTCTGCCTATTCTCTTTTGTTGATCTCTGGAGGGTCCCCACTGGGTCCAAGGCTGGCCTCTTTAGAACAACTGTTGCTGCTGCTCTATTATACTTTGGGTCCTGTCCAGGTCCCATGTCCCATAGATACCATCTCCTAGCTTGGAACCACTTTTAATCATCCTGGGATTGAGCTCAGAGTATCCCCATTCCAGGGGATGTACCTTCTTGTAGGTGCCTACCTAGAGCTGAGGGTCTAAAACCCTTAGAAGTGCCCGCAAGGCCACGGCTTCCGGGGAGGTTAGGGGACCTCTCCCTCCCCCATCCCCTTTCACATCTTCCCTCCCCACGGTCCTGACCTGTACGTATCTTCTTCTCGGTCCTCTCACATTACCCCCTGGGATCTGAAAACACAGCACTCAGGGCTCTGTGATTATAGCATATACCTCTCTTCGCCTCCCAACCCTACACCCCTGCGCACACTTCTGCTCCTCTCTAGAGTTTTGAAAAGTGGAGACTCGCCCTGGAGATGTGGAGGCCTGAACTCTGTAAACCCAAAGTGGCAGGCTCTGGGCTTGAAGTGTCCTGGAGTCCTGAAATGTAACCTCCCGTTTCGGGGCTTGGAGCTGTGACCCTGGACCCCAACCCCCACCCTGGCTGAGGGCAGGGTCTGCACTCTTTTGTACCATCCAGGCCTTGAAATATGATCTGATGAACTTTCCTTAACCCTCTGGTGGCTGGGCCCCCCCCCACCCCAATTAAATCAAGTTGACCCTTCTTTCAGGTTCTCTAAACCGTGAGCCTCCATTCAAGGGGGCCTGGACCCTGGGGAACCTTCTTTCTCCTTGAGTCTGTTGCTACCTCTCCAAGTACCTTAAATGTCATTGAAACATCCCCTTCTTTACAGGGGCCTTCCCCAGCCTGTCATATTCATGGCTGCAGATTCTGTCTTTTGGGGTGCATCACAGACTGCTCGGAGGGGCGAATGTTGGGGGTTTGTTGGTGAACTTTGAAATCTGAGACTCTCAGCTTGAGGCCTGCAGGCGGGTTTGGGGCAGGGGTGTCTGTGAGCTCCCTGAAATAGTCCACAGCGTTTCGCACAGATCTCCGCTTTCCTGGAGAGAGGCGCCTTCCTGAGCTACCCCCGGTGCTCTGAGGGGCCTATGCTGGAGGAAAGGTTCAGCGCAGCTGCTGTGTCTCGGCTGATGTCTCCCCATGCGACTTCCAGGCAAGCCTGGAGTTGAAACTCTGGAAGCTGCCGGGGCCTGGCACTGTTTATAAACACAGCTCTGACGGCAAGCAGGTCAGCTTGAAGCCAGGGCAGGAAGTGATCTTGGGGCATTTGGGGCTTCTTCCTGAATGCTTGTCCCCCCCGCACTCCCTCCAGTGTCAAGGGCAGGCTCCTCCGAGGTGGCAGCTGCTGGGAAATCTGAGTCGTGAACATATGGCCACCTAAGGGGTGTGCTCCGGGAAGCGGGAGCTGCGGCTCCACTGTCCAGCCTGGGTGGGGCAGGGGCTCCCGGGGTGCGAGGATGTCAGCAGGTTCCCCAGCCCACCTGCCTTCGGCCAGTCTGCCAGTGTGAAGTGTCCACATGACATCGTCTCTCCCTGCTAAGGCTTTGGGCCACTTCCAGAAGAAACATCTTGTCTGCAAGCCTTTTTGTTTTCTGCACAAGGTAGGAAGTCAGGCCAAGGGAGATGAGGCATTTTTGTTTTCAAAGCATCCCTGACTCTCAGGCCCAGCAGACCATGCAGGTCCCCATAGCCAGTGTGCTGGTGAGTGAGGGTCCCCCGGGCAGCAGACGGGAACACCCTTGGGAGGCCAGAGGCCGAGGGGCCGATGCCAGTCCCACGCATGTACTAGGGAGGCTCTGGGCCAGCCTCTTCCCTCTGTGAGCCTCGGTTTCCTCACCTACACGATGGGTGTCCTCATTGTGAAATTAGCGACACAGGCCTTGCTGGTGCCTGGTAGGGAGCAAGACGCTGGCATCCCGATTCTTTACAGTCACGGGGCCCCGCAGCCCTGATATGGGAAGAGGCTTCTCCCGAGGCTCTTTGGGCAGGGCTGGGCCGCCTGCACGTGTGTCCCTGTCATTTTGAGCCTGGACAGCCTCTCCGTCTCCAACAGGACCCTGGCCCGATACAGCTGGAAGAAATCAGAGCTGACAGATGAGGACCCGACAGTGGGCCCCGGCTGCTGCAGCTTTGGTGCTGAAATGTGCGGCTAGGCTCCTGGTCTCACCCTGGGGCAGCCAGGAGCCGGAAACCTCAGCGCCTCCTGGCACGGAGGCTGCAGTTTACATACCCCACTGGGACTGCCTCTGGCTTCGACCCTCAGGGTCTTTCGAGTGGAGTTTGAATGGTTTATTGGTTTCTTCGGGTACCCGCCAGCTTTCCTTAACACCCTTGACGCTTGAGCTTTCTCCCCATTCCTCCTGGAAGCTACTGTTTCCCACCACATCTCATTCATCCCAGGCCAGCTTCAGGGCTAAGGGTGGGTGGCCCTGAAACCCTGCCAGCCCATCCCTCGAGGACACCTGGCTTCTGCAGCCTGTTGAGGAGCCTTCCTTCCCCTTCAGGGTCCTACCCCTCATGGAGGTCAGGCCACTGCCAGTCTACCCCACCTCAAACACCAGGGTCAGCTGGGCTCTGCTGTTTGGTTTTTATTTCGCTGGAGAGGCCCGGCCAGGCGATGAGGGCCAGGTCCTGCCAAGCCTCATTTGTCGCTTTGACCCAGGTCCTGCAACAGCCCCTGTGGCTGCTATCTTCCCCTTGGACCGGTCCCCCAGGGACTCAGGGCAACGTGTGGAGGTGTGTTTGGTGTGGAGGTGTGTTTGGTGTGGAGGTGTGGGGGGTGTGGAGGTGTGTGGGGTGTGGAGGTGTGTGGGGTGTGGAGGTGTGTGGGGTGTGGAGGTGTGTGGGGTGTGGAGGTGTGTGGGGTGTGGAGGTGTGTGGGGTGTGGAGGTGTGTGGGGTGTGGAGGTGTGTGGGGTGTGGAGGTGTGTGGGGTGTGGAGGTGTGTGGGGTGTGGAGGTGTGTTTGGTGTGGAGCTGTGGGGTGTGGAGGTGTGGGGGGTGTGGAGGTGTGTGGGGTGTGGAGGTGTGTGGGGTGTGGAGGTGTGTGGGGTGTGGAGGTGTGTGGGGTGTGGAGGTGTGTGGGGTGTGGAGGTGTGTGGGGTGTGGAGGTGTGTGGGGTGTGGAGGTGTGTGGGGTGTGGAGGTGTGTGGGGTGTGGAGGTGTGTGGGGTGTGGAGGTGTGTTTGGTTGTCGTGAGCTGTGGGTATTTAGCACCACACAGAGCCCAGGATGGCCCCAGTGTCCACAGGGCCAAGGAGGAGAAACCCTGCCTGGGATGATCAGCAGATGTTTCGGAGGCCCCCACAGGCCCAGCCCTGTGTTGACATCCAGAGGGTAGTGTGGCAGCAAGAACCGCCCCTGGCTTCAGAGCCAGGCCTGGGTTCGAATCTTGGCGCTGCCACCTCTGAGCCGACAGTTCCTCATTTGTGACAGAGCTCACACACCAGCCTAGCAGGGGTGTTTTAAGGATCAGAGTTAAATATATAATCACATGACCGGCTTGGTTCCCGGCAGGTGATTAGTACTAAGTAAACTGTGGCTACCGTTGGCGAGACCGAAGGGAAAACATATCTGTGGCTGACATGGGTTGAGCGCCCGCCCAGCCAGTGCTTTATGTCATTATCCTCCCGACGTAGAGACTGAGGGTCAGAGAGGCATTTGGTGTTTGCCGGTAAGGCACTGGCAGAGGCTGTTTACAAGTAAAGCACAATTGTCAGTTCCTGCCCTGGGGATGCTTTCAGGCTGAAGACAGGGAAAGAGAACCTAAAATAGAAGGGGGGGCCTAGTCAGAGGCGCTTTTGCTGCGTTGGCGATGCTGGGGAAAGTTTGATGAGGAGGAGGGAGGGGGCAGGGCTTTGCTGGGAGGGGGCACCGTAGGGGCAGGGCACTCCACCAGCCCCAGCCAAGGCTGGCGCTTCCTGGCGAGTGGGTGTCTTTCACGGCCCCCACATCGGGGCCTGGCCTCCATGGAGTCCCCTGCCTCGCAGCTGTGTCCTCTGAGTGTGTGTGTGCTTGCTCCTCCTCAGAACATGGTGATGAGTTTTCGAGTCTCCGACCTTCAGATGCTCCTGGGTTTCGTGGGCCGGAGTAAGAGTGGACTGAAGCACGAGCTCGTCACCAGGGCCCTCCAGCTGGTGCAGTTTGACTGTAGCCCTGAGCTGTTCAAGAAGATCAAGGAGCTGTACGAGACCCGCTACGCCAAGAAGAACTCGGAGCCTGCCCCACAGCCGCACCGGCCCCTGGACCCCCTGACCATGCACTCCACCTACGACCGGGCCGGCGCTGTGCCCAGGACTCCGCTGGCAGGCCCCAATATTGACTACCCCGTGCTCTACGGAAAGTACTTAAACGGACTGGGACGGTTGCCCGCCAAGACCCTCAAGCCAGAAGTCCGCCTGGTGAAGCTGCCGTTCTTTAATATGCTGGATGAGCTGCTGAAGCCCACCGAATTAGGTGAGTGGTCACCCTGGGGAGGCTGCGACTGGAGGCTTCACCTAGGCCCCGTCGCCCAGCCCAGCCCAGCCACACAGCCGACTTCGAGTGATGTTCTCTGTGGCGCAGCCAGGGCGGGGAGCCACAGTGGCCAGGGGTGTCCTTCCTCGGAAGCAAAGGGACCATCTTTGATATTGGTCACCCCTTGCTGTGTTACAAGTTACCCCGAAATGGAGCCACTGGAAGCAGGGGGCGTCTGTTAGCTCTCAGGAACCTGTGAGCTGTGTTGCGGGGCATTGGGGCTTGGGGGCTCTCATGAGGCTCAGTCAGGCTGGAGCCACCTCATCTGGAGGCTCGACCAGGGCTGGAGCAGGCACATCCTTGTGTGGTGGCTGGCAGGCCTCAGCTCCTCGCCAGCTCTTGGCCACAGTCCCCAGGTCCTCATGGTGCGGACTCCTGCACGGATTGCCTGGGCGTCCTCAGCCTGGTGGCTCCCTCACCCTAGGGTAGCGAGTGTGCACCTCCAAGCTGGGAGCTGGAGCCCTTTTTATAACCCAACCTCGGACACGCCTCGCCATCTCCCCCACAGAGTCCGTTGCTCACACAGACTCTGTGGCGCATGCAGGGACCACACCAGGCTGTGACTGCCAGGGCCAGGGGTGACCAGGGCCACCTGGGAGCCTGGTTTCCCTGCTTATTCCCCTTGGAAAGGGGGCTGGCCAGTGGCATCCTTCCCCCGGGCTCTGGTTCCTCGCTGGCAGCCTGCAGGAGTGTCCTTGGTCAGTGGGCTCAGGTCACTGCCAGGCTGTGTGCACCGGGCGTGCTGGGGGTTCAGGGCGATCCCAGGCGGAGGAGAGGTGCTGGGCTCCACGCTTCTCTCTCTCGTGTCTTTGTCTGCAAGCACTGACTGAGCAGGAACTGTGTGTCAGGACCTCATAGCCCACAGCAGTGTGGACAGGCCCCTGGTGCCTCCCCAGCAGCCGTGGCCATTCAGGCTGCAGGTGGGCATTGAGCCCAGTCTCTGCCTCAGCCATAGCCCTGAGCTCAGGGCCAGGGAGGCCTCCGCAGCCCCAGCCCCCAGGGCAGAGAGAGTGTGCAGCCTCTGGGACTCCCAGATAGGGAGCGGAACGTCCTGGGCCTTTGCGGACCTGTGCCTTGAGGCGCTCAGATTTCACCAAGTCCTCTGTGTGCCTGGAGGTCTCTCCGTCTCTTCTTCCTGCCTCCCCTCCCCTGCCCCCACTCTTTCCTTCGCACAGTAAACATCGGAGCGCCTGCTGGGTGGGTGCGTGATGGGCACCAGGCGTGGGCACGCAGCAGGGAACAGGACCAAGGCCACGAGGTTCAGAACCCTGTGCATGCCCCCTCCCACCCTGCTGACCCAGCAACCTGCCTGGCCCCTGCTGTGGCCTGAGGGCCCTTCTCTGGCACGCTTCAGTCCATTGGGTGCCAGCTGGCCCCCGCTCCCCTGCCCAGGGAGGCAGCGTTGATGGGGGTAGGGGGAAGGGGAACTGGCTGCTTTTCCCCTCCCATCTGCAGCCCTGGGACTTAGTGAGGTTAGGCTGGAGGGGCTGTGCTTCCAGGTGAGGATGGAGGAAGTGGAGGAGGGAGGAAGGTGCTGTCGGTGGTTCCTGCGGCAGCCGAGGCTCCTCCCTCCAGCCTGAGGCTCCGCCTTCCAAGTGAGGCTCCGCCTCCACCTTTTTTCTCTTGCAGGAGGTGTCTAGCAGCAGCCTCCTGGGGAGCAGGTTGGCCCAGTGGCACCTGTCCTGGGGGACTCAGGGTCTTGGCCTGAGTTCCATCGGACTGACTTTCCCAGCCTTTGCTCTCTCATGAGGGAAGCTGTTCCCCCTGCCAGGTTCTTGGGCAGAGCTGGCTGTCTCTGAAGGTTGGGCCTTGGGAAGGACCTGCATCACAGGGAGGCTGGGCTTTCCTGGGAGCGGCAGGGCAGGCTTGGTCCAGGGCGGGGGACGGGGCTGACCAGCTTCCTTCCTGCACGGGGACCAGTAGCTCCGTCCCACAATACATCGCTGTGCCCTGAGCCACCAGGGACCCCGGTCACCTGATCTCCGGGAGAGCCTGCTCCCCTGTCTACACCAGTGTGCCTGTGCTGGCGGCTCAGAACAAAGAGGCCATCCCCACCCTGCCTCTCTCTCCCACTGGCTCTCTCTCCATCTCAGGCCGCCAGGTGAACCTCCTTTCCTGGATTCCGTGCTCTTGGGGGACTCCCTGGGGGCCACCTCGGTCCTCAGAAGTTTCCTGGAGCATAGCCCCTGGCCCCGAAGCAGTGGTCCCCATGGTTTTAGGACCTGAGATGCCATCTGTCCGCCCTGACCCTGGGCTGTGTCCCTCCCCAGGGTGCACTCTGTGGTGCTGGCCTTGCCCGGGGGCCGCCTCCGGAGGACCCAGTTCCACCGGCTTCTCCCTCACTCCCTCCTCTGGCTGTGACCCACCGTCCAGCGTGAGGCCCACCGCTCTGGTCTGTTTCCCCGGAATAGCCGCCGGCCGGCTCCAGGATGGAGACCGCGCCAGGCGGACAGGAGCCATAAATCACGCGGTGCGGAATGCTGGGCTGGGGGAGGGGGTGACAGAGCCACAGAGCAGGCTGCAGGGGCCTCAGGCTGTAGGTGATCGGCTCCAGTGGGAGGTGCCGTGTGTGGGGACGGGGCTGGCACCCAGAACAGTGCGGAGAACGGCCCAAGGTCGCACAGCGGCCTGCCTTCCCTCCTCCCGAGCCGACTGGCTCCTGCTCCTGAGCAGAGGCTCTGGCCTGGACCTCTGCAGGCTGGGAACCCTGTCCTGCCTGTCGGCAAGGAAGCCGGCGCCACCCCTTTCCAGCCTGCGCCACCTGGGGAGTCCGGCTAGGGAGCCTGACCCTCCTGTCAGGGTACTTGGGAAGAGAGGCTGTCAGGAAATGTGGGGCAGAAGGAAGGATACATGCTGGCCGGGCACAGAGCTGCTCCTCCAGGGTCTTGGCCCGCAGCGGGCACCCCGAGGAATCTGCCTGCCCACCCGCCTGCTGTGCAGAGTGGAGCCCCTGTCACCACGACTCCAGATGCCCCCAGAGGCAGATAGCCCTGGTACCAGCCAAGAGCCGCCGGTCTGGCATGTGCTGTGCTGTGTGTAGGCACCTGTGCCCTTCAGCCTCTGAAGCCCTTGGGCCAGCATTGCCCAGGCCACAGCAAGGTAGCGTGGTCCCTGCTCAGGTGCAGCACAGAAGTGCCAGGTGATAAGTCTCATGGCACACGGAGGGCTTTCAGGGGCAGCTGTCAGTAGCAGGAGCCATTTACTCTACATTTGTGAGGAGGTAGCAGTCAGGAAGGCCTCCTGGAGGCAGCAGCGTTTCAGTCCAGACCCGAGGGTGACTCTCAAGAAGCCAGGCAGAGAGGAGGGGGCAGGGGAGCGTATTCCAGGCAGAGGGCAGTGAGGGCAGAGGCCGATGGCCAGAGAGGGCTCATTCATGGGGCTGAATGGAGTTCATTGTGGCCAGAACATGGTGCGCCCAGGAGGAGGGACGCAGTAGCCTGGGCGCGGGCGGCAGAGGCTGGAACCCGAGAATGGTGGGCCCGGGGAAGGCTGGGGGCTACCCTGCTTGCCCCGAGGGCTTCAGCGCCCCTGAGGTTCTGGTATGATTTTTGGGGTCAGTGAGGAAACTGAAGTGCAGGAGGCAAGTGGCCGTCTGCCTTCCACAGCCAGGCCTGCTGCCCGCCCAGGCCCACCATCTGTCCGTCTGCACACTGGGGGCCTGGATGGGCACGGAGCGTCCTGTGTCACTGTCCCACATGTGGGGTAGTCTGACCCACTCAGCCCGCTGGCACTTCCCATACCTGTGGTTGGGGAACAGGGGGACTCCGCCAGCTCTGCCCCAGGTCTTGGCCTTCAGGTTGAAGAGGAGGGATGGGCCCACTGCTACCAGATGGGGGGCTGCCAGCAGCCACCCCCATGTCCCGCTAGTCCTTCTCCCATCCCCTGTGGCCCCCTGCCCTGCCCAGCCCAGCTCCCCAACCTGCCCGCTGGCTGCAGCCTCCTGCTCTGCTTCCTGCCCACTGGTCCCCCTCCCATGGCAGCCTGTGAATGTTTTCACTGATGGGTAGAGTGGTCGGCATCACCCCTGTGCCTAGCCAGGGGCACCTGTTCCCCGCCCCTCCAGGACAGTGCCCCCTGTGTCCCTCATACCTGACTGTGCTGCCTCTACTCTTGATCTGGGGGACCTGGGTTGGGGAATCAGTGCTGGTAGCTCTTAGCTGGACAGGGTGGGTCCGGGAGTTAGAGAACTTGTATGTGCCGGGGAGGGGACAGCCTGGGGAGGGGGCCAGCACATGGGCCAGCTGGAGGGGGAATGGTCCCATCCGATCAGCTTTTTTTTTTTTTTTTTTTGAGATGGAGTCTGACTGTCGCCCGTGCTGGAGTGCAGTGGCGCGATCTTGGCTTACTACAGCCTCCTGGCTTCAAGCGATTCTCCTGCCTCAGCCTCCCAAGTAACTGAGATTACAGGCACGCACCACCACACCCAGCTAATTTTATGTACTTTTAGTAGAGACGAGGTTTCACCATCTTGACCAGGCTAGTCTTGAACTCCTGACTTCAGGTGATCCACCTACCTTGGCCTCCCAAAGTGCTGGGGTTACAGGCGTGAGCCACTGCGCCCAGTCTCATTTTTTGTATTTTTAATGGAGACGGGGTTTCGTCATGTTGACCAGGCTTGTCTTGAATTCCTAACCTCAAGTGATCCACCTGCCTCGGCCTCCCAAAGTGCTGGGATTATAGGCGTGAGCCACCAGGCCCGGCCCCAGTCAGCCTTTTAAAAACTCCCTGTGTTTCATTTCTATTTAAACTTGTACAATTATGCGCTTGTCCTAGAAAACTGGAGTCAACAGCAGAGCAGTCCGGCCGGCGCCCTGCTGCCCGAGTGGGCCGCCTCGGTACACCGGGCCGGTGCTTGCCGCCTTCTCCCTTTGCATGTGTGATTGTAGGAATGTGTGGCTGTGTCCTGGCTGCTATTTTATAACCACCCCCCATACTGTGAGCATCTGCTCACAGCGTTAAATATTCATCGTCAGCAGCATCTCGTGAGGCTCCCTGGCAGCCTTGGGTGGAGCCAACGGCTGGGCCCTTCTTGTTGGGCTCTCGGATCGGGCCCAGGGGCTGCTTTTCGTGCCCGGGCCGGAGGGCCTGGCTGAGCACCTCACCCCAGAACCGGCTCTGCCTGGCAGGGCCCCCGTGGTCACCTGATCTTGCACCTGGCCCCAAAGGTGCATCTGGTTCAGTGGTGCCCTTGCCTTGGTCCCGTGGCCTTGGATGCTGGGCAGCCCACGAAACCATCTCCCCCTTGGGGAACTTCATGCTTCAGTGGCCCAACAAGAAGGAGCAGCAGAGTGATGTAGGGAAACTGAGTCGCTCCTTAGGAGGAGAAGGTTTGGAGAAAAGTGAGGTGGCGGGGGGTGCGGTTTTTAAATGGGGTGCTCAGCGAAGGCTTTCCTTCTGGTGACATTTGTACAAAGACAAATATAGGGCCATGAGGCTGGTCGGGGGAGGAAGGTTCCAGAAGAGGGAATGGCAGGTGCGGAGGCCCTGATGCAGCATGGCTGGTGGGGCCCAAGCAGGAGGCCAGGGTGGTGGCCGTGTGTGCGCCGGGGTGTGTGTGGCCCTGAGCAGGGGTACTGAGGGTCAGGGGTCTCCTGCGGAGCCATCCCAGGGGGCGGGCTCTGGCTGCTGAGACCGGCAGAGCTGGGGGCAGTCGTCTGCACCGGGCGGGATTTGAAAACAGAGCTGACAGGACTGGCTGAGGGAGTGGATGTTTGCAGGACAGCAGAGACGGGGGCTTCATGGATGCCACCTGGGTTTCTGGCCCCAAACAGCTGACCCCGAGGGCAGAAGGGCAGGTTTGAGGGAGACCCCACAGCCCCTTCCCCAGCATAGGGGGGCCGGGTGTTTGGGGGGAACCGTCAGCGGCCCGGGGCCAGTGGCACAGCAGTGAGAGCACAGGGCACCTCCCAGGCCCCCAGCAGAGAAGCACAGCCCGGTCTCCCCCAGAGGGAGGAGCCCTCCCAGGGCAGGGACCCCAGAGTCTTGTTCTTCAATGACTGGGCCCTGTCTGCCCCAGGCATGGGCTGGCAACAATCCCTGGCCAGCTGGGTGGCTCCCTTGCTGCCTGCTGGGGACCCACCCTTCTCCCCTACCTCCTTCTGAGACACTGAGGGGTGGGGTGTCTGTGTTTTCACCTCCGACCCAGCCTGGAAGCTCAAGGCCCAGCTCAGGTGTAGGCTCCCGTGCAGCCTCCCTGCCCCTGAACCATTGCTCCCCTGGCACTCAGGGCAGACCTGGGCGCGTCTGCAGGTGGCCTGTGTGCCCCCCTCCCAATTAGGCGGCCTTCCTCAAGGGCCCAGCCGGGACTCCACAGCCCATCACCTCTGCAGAGACTGGCTGTGCCCTGAGCATATAAACGGGAACCGGCTGTGGCAGCCCCCTCTTCCTGAGGGCCAGCCACAGACCCGGCACCGGTCCCCGAAGAAACAGGTCAACATGGGCGGGACGTGCAGGCTGAGGCCACAGAGGCCCTGGCAGGGCTGGGAGCCGAGCCCAGGGAGTCTGGCTTTTTTCTTTTTTTTTTTTTTGAAATGGAGTCTCGCTGTCGCCCGGGCTGGAGTGCAGCGGCAGGATCTCAGCTCACTGCAAGCTCCGCCTCCCAGGTTCACGCCATTCTCCTGCCTCAGCCTCCCGAGTAGCTGGGACCACAGGCGCCTGCCACCACGCCCGGCTAATTTTTTGTATTTTTAGTAGAGACGGGGTTTCACCATGTTAGCCAGGATGGTCTCTATCTCCTGACCTCATGATCCGACTGCCTCGGCCTCCCAAAGTGCTGGGATTACAGGCGTGAGCCACTGCACCCGGCTTCTCGTGGGTTTTAATTGAGAAAGTTCCAAGACAGTGCTGGTAGTTGAGGTGCGATCCCATGGCTCCGGTTCTTGTAAAGGCCCTGTCGTGGGTGCAGGCCACACCACTGTGTGCACTGCCGTCCTGGGAGCACCTGGGAGCACAGACATAGCCTGCGAAGCTGATGAGCTCCAGCCTTTACCAGGGGCAGTTCGCCATCCCTGTTCTAAAGGGCTTGCCTGTCATCTCGTTGTCTCGTCTCCCGGCCACTGCAAGGCTGCCATTGTGGCCAGATTCTCGCTCCCCCACGCTCTTCCGATATTTTTTACACTTATAAACAAATAGGTGTTTACTCAGATGCCTTCTCTCCATTTTCATTACACAAGTGATAGCAGGACGTGCACGCTGCTCAGCGTTTTTGCTTTGTATCTAAATATATTTTTTAATGTAGACACAGTCTTGCTATGTTGCCCAGGCTGGTCTCGAACTTCTGAGCCCAAGCAGTCCTCTCACCTCAGCCTCCTGAGTAGCGGGAATGACAGCTGCACACCAGCACACCTGGCTCAGGCTTATTTAAAAACTTTTTTTAGAGACAAGGTCTCACTGTGTTGCCTGGGCTGGGCTCCAACTCCTGTGCTACAGCGATCCTCCCACCTTGGCCTCCTGAAGGGTTGGGGTTACAGGCATGAGCCGCTGTGCCCAGCCTGCAAGTTTCTTTGAACGCATGTTTCCATGTATTGAGGGAAAATACTTTGGAGTGGGATTCCTGATTCCTGGGTGATAGGGTAGGTCTGTGCTTACCTTTATAAGGGTAGTTTCCCAGAGTGATGGTACTGTCTTATAACCCCACCAGCAGAGAGTTCTGATTGCTCTACACCTTTGCCATCTCTTAGAGTTGCCAGTCCTTTCATTTTAGCCATGCTAGTGGGTGTGTAGAGAGGTATTTTATTTTATTTTACCTCATTTTATATTATTGATACAGAGCCTCACTCTGTCACCCAGGCTGGAGTGCAGTTACACAATCTCGGCTCACTGCAACCTCCGCCTTCTGGGTTTAAGCGATTCTCCTCAGCCTCCCGAGTAGCTGGGATTAGAGGCGTGTGTCACCATGCCTGGCTAATTTTTGTATTTTTAGTAGAGATGGGGTTACCATATTGTCCAGGCTGGTCTTGAACTCCTGACCTCAAGTGATCCACCTGCCTCGCCTCCACAGTGCTGGGATTCCAGGCATGAGCCACCGCACCTGGCCTGGGTGTGTAGAGAGGATTTAAACCGGTCTTGGATTTCTACACAAATCGCAGGGGCCTGAAATACTGGCTGATATTTTGTGGAGGATTTTACATCTGTGTTCATGAGGGGTATTCATCGGGAATTTTCCTTCCTTGATGCTGAGTTGTGAGGTTTTGGTATCAGAGTTATGCTGGCCTTGTAAAATAAGAAGTATGCTTTCCTTCTCTGTTTTTTGAAAGAGTTTATGTACGGTTTATGTGGTTTCTTTCCAAAATGTTTTATAGAATTCACCGATATGGACCTGCATTTTCTTTTTCTTTTTTTTTTTTTTTTTTTTTGAGATGGGGTCTGATTCTGTTGCCCAGGCTGGAGTGCAGTGGTACGATCATGGCTCACTGCAGCCTCCACTTCCTGGGTTCAAGCAATCCTCCTGCCTCAGCCTCCAAAGTAGCTGGGACTACAGGTGGTGTGCACCTCCACACCTGGCTAATTTAAAAATTTTTTGTAGAGACAAGGTCTCACTTTGTTGCCCAGGCTGGCCTCAAACTCCTGGGCTCAAGCAATCCACCCACCTCAGCCCCCAAAGTGCTGGGATTACAGGCATGAGCCACCATGCCCAATCTGGACCTGCAGTTTTCAGAAAAGGTTTTAATTATGGATCCAACTTCCTTAACAGGTAAAGAGCTTTTCAAACTTCCTGTATCTTTTGGTACCCGTTTTGGTAATTTGCATCTTTGGGAGGATTTGTCCATGTCACTAAGTTGTCAGATTCATTGGCATAAAGTTTCACCTTTTATTCCCCTATTGAACCGAAAAGCTGTAGGGTCTGTACTATTGTTCTTTCATTTCTGATATTGGTAGTTTGTGTTCTCACTGTCTTTTTGTTGTTCAGCTAGAGTTTTGTTTTTTTTGTTGTTGTTGTTGTTTTTGGTGGTTTTTTTTGAGACAGAGTCTCGCTCTGTAGCCCAGGCTGGAGTGCAGTGGCACGATCTTGGCTCACTGCAAGCTTCGCCTCCCTGCAAGCTCCGCCTCCCAGGTTCGCGCCATTCTCCTGCCTCAGCCTCCCTAGTAGCTGGGACTGCAGGCGCCTGCCACTACACCCAGCTAATTTTTTGTATTTTTAGTAGAGATGGGGTTTCACCGTGTTAGCCAGGATGGTCTCGATCTCCTGACCTCGTGATCCACCCCCCTCGGCCTCCCAAAATGCTGGGATTACAGGCGTGAGCCACCGCGCCTGGCCGTTTGTTTTTGTTTTTGTTTTTTTGGGTTTTTTTGGAAACAGTCTCACTCTGTCGCCCAGGCAGTGGTGTGATCTCCACTCACTGCAACCTTTGCCTCTCAGCTTCAGACAATTCTCCTGCCTCAGCCTCCCAAGTAGCTGGGATTACAGGCGCCCGAACCAGGCCTGGCTATTTTTTTTTTTTTTGAGACACCACACCCTGCTGTTTTTTTAAGAGATGCGGCAGCCAGGCGCCGTAGCTCATGCCTGTAATTCCAGCACATTGGGAGGCCGAGGTGGGCAGATCACCTGAGGTCGGGAGTTCGAGAGCAGCCTGGCCAACATGGAGAAACCCTACCTCTACTAAAAATAGAAAATTAGCCGGGCGTGGTGGCTCATGCCTGTAATCCCAGCTGTTTTGGGAGGCTGAGGCAGGAGGATCACTTGAACCCAGGAGGTGGAGGTTGCAGTGAGCTGAGATTGTGCTATTGCAGTCCAGCCTGGGCAACAAGAGTGAAACAAAGTCTCAAAAAAAAAAAAAAAAATGGGGCTGGCTGGGCACAGTGGCTCACGCCTGTAATCCCAGCATTTTGAGAGTTTGAGATGGGCGGATCACCTGAGGTCACGAGTTCGAAACCAGCCTGGCCAACATGGCGAAATCCCATCTCTACTAAAAATACAAAAATTAGCCAGGCTTGGTGGCTATTCGGGAGGTTGAGGCAGGAGAATCGCTTAAACCCGGGAGACGGAGGTTGCAGTCAGCCGAGATCGTGCCATTGCACTCCAGCCTGGGCGACAGGGTAAAACTCCATCTCCAAAACAAAACAAAACAAAACAAAACAAACAAAAACCAATGTTTTCTGACTGCGCCTCTGCCTGTCAGTCCAGTTGTAAGTAAGAGGGTAGGGCCCAGGCTTGTGAGCACCATGGCCTTCATCCCGTCAGTACCCCCCGCACCACCTCTGTCCGGGTGACGTGGCCACCCTGCAGGCAGGAGGAGAGCAAGGGCCGGGTCCGGTTTGTGCTCAGGAGAGAGGAGGTATGGCAGTGTCCTGCTGGCCTGGCTGGGTCCAGCTCTCCCCGCCAGGCAGCTCGGCACTTTTCGGTTTCCTAAGTAGACGCCTGCATCCCACAGGCTGCGAAGGTCACCCAGCAATCTGAGTGGCCGTCAACAGGACACAGGCCATGGTGAGCGGCCCCGAGAAGGGGATGGGCGGGAGTCCTCCCTCATCCTCCTTCCTGGGCGGCCCCCACCTCTGCCCCACATATCTGTCCAGCCAACTTCCCATTTCCTGTTTCCTGGTCTGAAGAGGCGCAGGCTGGGAAAAGCGACTGGGCTCGGGGGACCTGCCAGGGACCAGACATGCCCCTGACCCCGTGTTTGTCTTCAGTCCCACAGAACAACGAGAAGCTTCAGGAGAGCCCGTGCATCTTCGCATTGACGCCAAGACAGGTGGAGTTGATCCGGAACTCCAGGTGTGCGGCACCTCCCCCAGCCCAGCACCCCACCGCCCGCCCACCCACTTTCTCCTGGGCTCACTGGGGAGAGCCGGCAGCCACGTCCACTGCAGGCCTCGCTCGGGCTCAGTCCAGAACCGTGCTGCAAGGCAGTGGCCGGGTTTGCTTCCTTCCAGAAAACCCCATCCTGGGTCTCAGGTGCTGGCCTGTGTGCCCACTGCCTGTGCCCTGCAGCCTGCTAGAGAGAGGCGGACTGACTGTGCCCTTTTAACACGGTCTTGCCCTCCTGGGCCCATCCTGGGCATTGCAGGGAGCGGAGGAGCATTCCTCGCCTCCACCCACGCCATGACAAGAACACACCCCTGTTGTGACAACCACAGATGTCCCCAGACATTGTCCAGTGTCCCCTAGGGCAGGATAACCCGGGCGAGACCTCCCTGGGTTAGGGGATTCCACGTATCCCCAAGAGACTCTGTGTCCCATGATCCTCTGCCCTGCTGAGGTCCCAGAAGGCTGCATACATTGAAATCCACACCCTGAATTGGAGGGGGAGAAAGTAGGTGAATCCCAGGAGCTGGGGGTCCCCGGTTTACACCGCCCGCCTTAGGAATTTATTCTGGTGTCCAGCATGAGCAGGAAGTTAAGTCAGGTGTTTTTTTGTTTTTTTTTTTTGAGACTGAGTGTAGCTCTTGTTATCCAGGCTTCCAGGCTGGAGTGCAGTGGCGCGATTTTGGCTTCCTGCAACCTCCACCTGCTGGATTCAAGCAATTCTCCTGCCTCAGCCTCCCAAGTAGCTGGGATTACAGGCGCTCACTACCACGCCCGGCTAATCTTGTATTTTTAGTAGAGATAGGGTTTTGCCATGTTGATCAGGCTGGTCTCGAATTCCTGACTCAGGTGATTCACCCACCTCAGCCTCCCAGAATGCTGGGATTACAGGCGTGAGCCACTGCGCCTGGCGGAAGTCAGGTTTTTTCCCAGTTATATAATGAATACGGGGTTTCCCCCTCCATACCGTGGATAGTGAGGTGGGATGGTTCCCTCGGTGGGGCCGTCCTGGGCACTGCAGGCTGCTGAGCAGCATCCCTGGCCTCCACCTGCTCTGTGCCAGGAACACCCCTAACTCTGACAACCACAGATGTCCCCAGACACAGCTCGGTGTCGCCTGGGGCAGGGTCGTCCTCAGATGAGGACGGTTGAACTGTGGCAGGTGAGGGGCCAGTGTGGCTGCCCTGCGCTCTGCTCCTCCCTCAGTCTCTCCGAGGCTGTACTGCCTCCAGCTGAGACAGATTCCTGCTGGGCAGGCTAATGGTAGGTGCTGGGCCCTTAGGACAGGGGAGGCCATTTGCCCAGGTCACCCCTGAGTCCATGGCAGGGCTGGGCCGGGCGCCCCCATTTAATGCCTAGCTTCTCGTGCCCAGCCGCTTCAGACCCACCGCCCCCACCTGCTGTGGGGCCAGGTTCCTGGGGCCTCCCAGCCTGGCCCTCACACCTAGTAAGGGTTCAGATCCAGCCGAGCCAGGCTTGGCCATGGAGGCCTCTCTGCCTGGGTGACCCAAGGTGGCGACCTCGTCTTTCTCAGCCTCGTCTTCCTTGTCTATGTACCTGGGTCAGCACAGCCTCCACCTGCACTGGGTCCCTGCTGCAGAGTGCTCAGAGCCAGCCACACAGTATAAAAAAATCAGTTTGGGCTGGGCACGGTGGCTCACAACTGTAATCGCAGCCCTTTGGGAGGCCAAGGCAGGTGGATCACGAGGTCAGAAGATCGAGACCATCTTGGCTAACACAGTGAAACCCCGTCTCTACCAAACATACAAAAAAATTAGCCGGGTGTGGTGACGGGCGCCTGTAGTCCCAGCTACTCGGGAGGCTGAGGCAGGAGAATGGCGTGAACCCGGGAGGCGGAGCTTGCAGTGAGCCGAGATCCTGCCACTGCACTCCAGCCTGGGCAACAAAGGGAGACTCCGTCTCAAAAAAAAAAAAAAAAAAAAGTTTGGTTTTCTCCTCAGAAAGCTTCTGGACATTTCTTTTTCTTTTTCTTTTTTTTTTTTGAAATGAAGTCGCTCTGTCGCCAGGCTGGAGTGCAGTGGCGTGATGTCGGCTCACTGCAACTTCTGCCTCCCAGGTTCAAGCGATTCTCCTGACTCAGCCTCCCGAGTAGCTGGGACTACAGGTGCGCACCACCACGCCTGGCTAATTTTTGTATTTTTAGTAGAGACAGGGTTTCACCATGTTGGCCAAGATGATCTCAATCTCTTGACCTCGTGATCCACCCCACATCTGCCTCCCAAAGTGCTGGGATTACAGGCGTGAGCCACCCTGCCCATCCCACATTTCTTTTTCTTATGTCGAGATATGATTTGCATACCATAGAATATACAGTTTTTAAGGGTGTCATCGAGTGGGTTCTCGTGGATCAGTAGGTATCGCAGCTCCCACCACTGCCTAGTCTCAGGGCAGTCATGTCCATCCCCAGCAGCTGCCACCCTTCATCCACTGGCCCCCACGCATCCCCTCCTGTCTGTAAATGGGTCTGTCCTGGACATTTCATAGAAGTGGAATCACATACTATGTGGCTTTCGTTTATTATTATTATTTAAGACAGAATCTCACTCTGTCGCCCAGGCTGGAGTGCAGTGTCGCGATCTCAGTTCACTGCAATCTCCGCCTCCCAGGTTCAAGTGATTCTCTTGCCCCAGACTTCTGACTAGCTAGGATTACAGGCGTGCACCACCACACTCAGCTAATATTTGTATTTTTTTTGAGACAGAGTCACACTCCGAGGCCCAGGCTGGAGTGCAGTGGCACGATCTTGGCTCACTGCAAGCTCTGCCTCCTGGGTTCACGCCATTCTCCTGCCTCAGCCTCCCAAGTAGCTGGGACTACAGGCACCCGCCACCACGCCTGGCTGATTTTTTTTTTTGTATTTTTAGTAGAGACGGGGTTTCACCATGATAGCCAGGAGGGTCTCGATCTCCTGACCTTGTTATCCGCCCGCCTCGGCCTCCCAAAGTGCTGGGATTACAGGCGTGAGCCACTGCACCTGGCCTAATTTTTGTATTTTTAGTAGAGACGAGGTTTCACCATATTGCCCAGGCTTGTCTCGAACTCCTGACCTCAAGTGACCCACCCACCTCCGCCTCCCAAAGTGCCAGGGTTACTGGCGTGAGCCACCTGCCTTGTGTGTCCTTTCGTGTCTGGCGTCTCTCACTGGGTGGGACATCCTCACGGTGCACCTGTGCTGAGGCCTGGGTCTGAGCCTGGCTCCTTTCCATGGCTGGGTCGCGTCCCGTGCGTGTTGGTCCTTCGGTCTACGGAAGGACACTCAGGATGCTGCTAGTTTGTGGCTGTTGTGGTCAGTTCTGCTGTGAACATCCACGGATGCGTCTTTGGGTAGATAGACTTTTTCCTCTTCTTCTGGGGGCGTTTCTTGTTAAAGTTTATCCTCAGGTGTTACTGGTTTTTGTTTTTTTTTTTTTGGAGAGTGTTTCTCTTTGTTACCCAGGCTGGAGTGCAGTGGTGCAATCATAGCTTGCAGCCTGTGCCTCCATGGGTTCAGACGATCCCCCTGCCTCAGCCTCCAAGCAGCTGGGACCACAGGTGTGCACCACCACGCCTGGGTAATTTTTTGTGGAGACAGTTTCACCATGTTGCGCAGGCTCGTCTCAAATTCCTGGGCTCAAGAGCTCCGCCAGCCTTGACCTCCCAAACTGGGTGTTTTCTTGCCATTGTGAGCCAGCTGCTAGATTCCCGCATGCACGTTTTAGCTATGTTTCTTCGCAGGGAGAGGCACCTGGCTGCCCTCTCTGGTTCAGGGTTTTGCTGTGGATTCTGTTGCATTTTCCAGGGAGGCCAGCCCCTCTCCTGACCTCACAGCCACTCCTCTCACCCAGCCCGTACAAAAGAGTCCTGGGCCTCAGTTTCCCAGCTCTGGGGGAGGGAGCCTTGTGGTGTGGCGGTCTCCACCTTGTCGGGTGGGCTGGGGTCACGCCCTCCTCACTCAGCTCTCCTTTCCTTTCCTCTGGTTTGCTCCACACCCACAGGGAACTGCAGCCCGGAGTTAAAGCCGTGCAGGTCGTCCTGAGGTATGCCCAGGTGTGCCCGCGACCCCAGGGCTGGACCCCCAGCCACCCGCCCCTCCCCGCCCCCCAGTCCTGGCCCAGGCCCTTCTCAGTCTCCCCTGCTAACAGCAGAGCCCAGCTCTCCTCACCTGCTGTCTATCCCTGTCTGGGGATACATCACCATCCGACCCCCACTCAGGCCACACCCGGGGGCCCTGATACCCCCCGTGTCACATTCTCCGGTGCCCCCATCACTGCCGCCTGGCTACCACTCGTGTACCCCCGCAGCAGCCTAGTCCCTCCTGTGCGCCCCCTCCCCGCCCCATGGTCCCTGTTGTCGTTGCAGAATCTGTTACTCAGACACCAGCTGCCCTCAGGAGGACCAGTACCCGCCCAACATCGCTGTGAAGGTCAACCACAGCTACTGCTCCGTCCCGGTGAGCATGCCCCGCCCCCGCGTCGGCTGCACGGGTTTGGGGGGCGTGGAGGGAGGGTGGGGGCCGTCGGATTTCCCAGCCGCTCTTGGCTCGAGGCTGAGCGGCCCATCTGCTTGCAGGGCTACTACCCCTCCAATAAGCCCGGGGTGGAGCCCAAGAGGCCGTGCCGCCCCATCAACCTCACCCACCTCATGTACCTGTCCTCGGCCACCAACCGCATCACTGTCACCTGGGGGAACTACGGCAAGGTGAGTGCGTGCCCGGGTGCCCACCCTGCCCCCCAACCCCGGCCCCGTCCTGCCAGCCCTGACCCCTTCCTTCTGTCCCCAGAGCTACTCGGTGGCCCTGTACCTGGTGCGGCAGCTGACCTCATCGGAGCTGCTGCAGAGGCTGAAGACCATTGGGGTAAAGCACCCGGAGCTGTGCAAGGCACTGGGTGAGCAGCTCAGGCCACCTCGGCCGAGGGGTGCCAAGTCCACCCTGGAAACCCGCCCTGTGCTGGGTGAAGCGGGGGGCCCTGCACCCGGAGGAGATCGATCAGGGGCCGCCTGTCACTCTGGGGGTCCATGGCCCCCCGGCTGTGGCTGGGGAGGTCTCTGGAGGATACGGATGGCAGAGGGGGCACTTGGCAGTGGGAGCTGCTGTGCGGAGGCCTGTGGGGTCACACCTCGTGTTGCTGGCCCCAGGTGCTCCAGCCCACAGGGGTCTAAGCAGCAGAAGAGCTGGAGCCTCATTCCGGGACAGCACAGAGGCCGGGAGGGGTGAGAGGAGCACAGAGGGAGCTGTGGTCTAAGCAGCCCCTTCTCGTTGCCTCAGCGGGGCCGAGGGTGCTGCGGGACCTGGCGGGTCACGGACGGCCAGGGTCGTGGAGGCAGTTGCTGTGGGAGGAAGACGGGCGGCGGCGGTCTGACCTCACGTTGGTGAGGCCCCGTTTAATCTTTTTTCTTTTTCTTTTTCTTTTTTTTTTAGAGAGTCAGGGTCTCTGGGAGGTAGAGGTTGCAGTGAGCTGAGACTGCATCGCTGCACTCCAGCCTGGGCTGCAGAGCGAGACTCCACCTCAAAAAAAAAAGTGTCTCGGTGTATCGCCCAGGCTACAGTGCAGTGGTGGGATCGTGGCTCACTGTAGCCTCTAACTCGGGCTCAAGCCATCCTCCTGCCTCAGCCTCCTGAGTAGCTTGGGACCACATGTGTTCACCACCACACCCAACTAATTTTTTTTTTTTTTTTTTTTTTTTTTTTTGAGACAGAGTCTCACTCTGTTGCCCAGGCTGGAGTGCAATGGCACGATCTCGGCTCACTGAAACCTCTACCTCCTGGGTTCAAGCGATTCTTCTGCCTCAGCCTCCTGAGTAGCTGGGACTACAGGCATGTGCCACCATGCCCGGCTAATTTTTTGTATTTTCAGTAGAGACGGGGTTTCACCTTGTTAGCCAGGATGGTCTTAAGCTCCTGACCTCGTGATCCGCTTGCCTCGGCCTCCCAAAGTGCTGGGATTACAGGCGTGAGCCACCACGCCCGGCCCCAACTAATTTTTTAATGTTTCGTAGAGATGGAATCTTGCTGTGTTGCCCAGGCTGGTCGTAAACTCCTGAGCTCAAGCAGTGCACCTGCCTCAATCTCCCAAAGTGCTGGGATTACAGTCTTGGCCACTTTCGCACCTGGTCTCTTTTGTCCTTGTAACAATGAAAACAATTTTTTTTAAGTGACACGCAGAGCAATTTTAAAAGAAAGCCTGCCGGCAAGGCGCAGTGGCTCACACCTGTAATCCCAGCACTTTGGGAGGCCGAGGCGGGCAGATCATGGGGTCAGGAGAGCAACACCATCCTGGCTAATATGGTGAAACCCCATCTCTACTAAAAATACAAAAAATTAGCCAGGCGTGGTGGCAGGCACCTGTAGTCCCAGCTACTCGGGAGGCTGAGGCAGGAGAATGGCGTGAACCCAGGAGGCAGAGCTTGCAGTGAGCGGAGATCGTGCCACTGCACTCCAGCCTGGGTGAGAGTGTGAGACTCCATCTCAAAAAAAAAAAAAAGCCTGCCAAGCCTGGTAGGCAAATCAGTCCTCACCCCAAGCAGCCACGCAGCACAAAGCCAGCGTACAGCAGTTAGCCCTGCCTGGCGGCTGTGTGGCCTCAGAAAGTCGCTGGCCTTCTCTGGTGGCCACTGTCTTCAGGAGAATAGATCTGAGCCATCTTGAGGGCACCTGGACATCTCTCTGGACCCCACATGCTTGGGGCCCAGGCCTCAGTGGGCTCTGCAGGCCTGTCTTATGGAGAGGCTAGGCCTAACCTGGAGTCATTTGGAGCTGGGAGTGGGAGTCAGGCAGGTGGGTGAGGACTGGGACCACCTGCCAGGCTGACGAGAGGGCGGTTCTGGGCCAGCCGGGTTTGCTCGCACCCCCTTCCCGAATGGTGGCTGTTTTCAGGTGGAATCTGGGCACCACCCCAGCCCCTTGGCAGAATGTGGGCCAGAGGGTCTTCCAGCTGCCCCTCCTAGCTGCCCAGGCCCCTGTGCCCAGGCCAGAGAGTTCCCCATGAGCACTGCCCTCCTGGCACAGCCAGGCCCAGGCCTCTGGTCCCTGTTCCTGACCACCAAAGGGCACCTCCTTGCCTGGGTGTCCAGAAGCCTGGAGCAGTGCTGGCACTGCCAGGGGCCTGCGAGCCCCATCGTGTTGAAGCCTCCTGTGCACTCCAGCCCCCCAAGTCAGGAAAGATAGCCGGCAGCACCCCCTCTGCAGAGCAGGACGTGGAGGGTGAGGGGTCCCTCCACGGAGTCCGGCATCCTTGGCCAGCCTCCTCCAGGCTCGGGGATGGAGGGCCTGGCTATGTACCCGTGTGACCAGTGGGGACACTGAGGCACAGAGTGGCAAAGTTAGGGTTCTGTGTCCTGGGTTACCCCGCCCCACCTCCCTCTTCCCTCAAAGGGCCCTTTTTTCAACCGCCCCCGACCTTCCCTGCCTGTGGGGACATGGCCAACTTGAGGGAGGAGGCTGGGGCCGGGCAGGCCTCTTCTAGGCCCACGGGGTGGGGGCCGGGCTTAACTCCTCAGTGACCAGAGCCCGCAGTGCTGGGGGCTGTGGGGTCAGGCTTCCTCTCCGAAGGGGTCTCCTGCTGCTTCCCACAGCCGGCCCCAGGCTCAGCCTCTCTGTCACTGGATTTCTTTCTTGCTGCACCTAGGAAGTCCTCACCTTTGCCTCACTTGAACCCTTCCTGCTGCGCACGTCTCTCCATACACAAAGGAGGGAGAGTTTGCTTTAAAATCAGATGGGCACCTGCATCCCCTCCTAGCTGCCCCTTTGCCAGGCTTGAGGGTCCACCCGGGCACCGGGTAGCCAGAGCTGGGATCCAAGGATGGAAACTCAGCTGAGGAGTGAGCGGCTGGGGCAGCCTTGGCTCAAGCAGGGGAGCTGCTGGGAGCCAGCACGTGGCTGCCACCACGTCCCCACGGGAGAAGGAAGAGCCCACTGCTCCACACCCCGGCTGGGGGTCTGGGTGGGGGTCAGGAAGGAGGAAGTGGCTCCCAAGCGGGCAGAGATAAGTGGTGTTTCAGGCCAATAAGGGGTGGTAGGGGCATTTCCAGGCGGAGGAACGTCAGGACAGCTGGGGGGAGTGGGGGGGCAGGCTGGCACCATCACTCTGGACCCCAAGTCACTTGGGCAGGTGGCTTCCTGGAGGAAGCAACACTGGTCCACCAGGCAGCTGAGGGCCAGGTGGTGGATGGAGAGGCCCTGTGGGTTGTGGGCCAGGGTGGCCTGCCCCCCATGGCCCAGGGCTGGGGTCTCTCCTGAGCTACCCATGGATGGAGTTTACCCTGGGATGGAGCCACATCCCAGAAGCCTCAGGAGGGCAGCCAGGGTCCCTGCGTGAGTTTCCTTCTGGCTGTGGGCCTGCTGCCCGTCGAGGGGAGGGCGGCGCCTGCCTCCAAGACTTCATGTTTCACATATGTTTCCCCATGTTCCGTGCAGCTTGCTGGCGGGCACCGTCTTTTCCTTTAAAGAAGCAGCTACACTCCTGTCTGCAGGCTGCCTTGGGGCGGTGCTGGGGCTGGGCGGCAGCCGCTTGCTGGCTCACAGCCAGGAAGCCCCAGGATCCGTCTCCCAAAGAGTCCCTGCCTCATTCCCCGCTGTGGCCTTGGGGATGGTGCTTCGGTGACAGAATGAAGTCACAGCAATGACTCTTTCGGTGGCTGTGTTGCATGAAACTTGCCAGAAAAGTCCCATGGGTCATAGTCCACGCAGGGTGGGGGAGGCCACATAGGCCACCTCCGTGTGGGGGCTTCGGCTGGGTCTGTGCTGTGCCCAGGTTGTGGTCAAATCTAATGGTGGTTGCCACCCGGCTTTCTCCAATCCCTCACGGCCCCGAGCCACACAGCGAAGCTTGGGACTCATCGTCAGGGGCCTGTTCTGGGAGGTGGACGTCAGTGCCGGAGAGAACTCGAATCACAGCCCCGCGCCCTGCTGTTCCCACCCTCCTGACGGTGTCTTCCGTTCCCTCCCCACAGTCAAGGAGAAGCTGCGCCTTGATCCTGACAGCGAGATCGCCACCACCGGTGTGCGGGTGTCCCTCATCTGTCCGGTGAGTCGGGGCGCGGTCCCCTCCTCGAGGCCTCTCCTGCGGCCGGCCTTCCCCCCTGGCGGCCCTGGGCCCGGGGCGGCTTGGCTGGGCCGTGAGCCTGCGGGGGCGAGGCTGGTCTTCGTCCCCTCCGTGTTCCTGAGGCATGAGTGATTGGAGCGAGCCACAGGATGGAGCTGGGGGTGAGGGGCACCGGGCAGGCGGGCACAACAGGAGGGGTGCCCTGCTCACGCAGCCCCTCCCCCACAGCTGGTGAAGATGCGGCTCTCCGTGCCCTGCCGGGCAGAGACCTGTGCCCACCTGCAGTGCTTCGACGCCGTCTTCTACCTGCAGATGAACGAGAAGAAGCCCACCTGGATGTGCCCCGTGTGCGACAAGCCAGCCCCCTACGACCAGCTCATCATCGACGGGTGAGCCCGGGGCCCCGGGGAGGGCGGCCGGAGCCGGACATCCGTGGAGGTCTCGGTGGCACCCCGCTTCCTGCAGACCACATGGTGCCCCAGCAAGACACAGCAGTGGGGGCACATGGTCCTGGAGCTTTGGAAACCCCGGGCTGCGAAAAGAGCCGGTTTCTTTCTCGCGGAACTTCTCAGAGCCTTTGCTATGCAGGTGACAGCCACGTAGCTTAGGTTGCAGAAGGTGGGCTCCGGTCCACCCCGCTCCCACGTGACCTCAGGCAAGTGTGACCCTGAGCTCCAGGAGTGTGGTTTGTGCCACAAAAAACTGAGCCAGGTCGTGCTTTCACACGGCGTTCACCCCAGGACGCGCAGCCTTGGGGGTGACCTCCTCACAGAAAGGCAAAGGAGGTGGCGCCTCCTGGAGCACTCTGGCTACGCCATGCCCTTCCCTTCCTAGGTGGCACAGCTGTGGCCAGGCATTCCCCAGGCCACAGGGGACAGGAGGACAAGACCTTTCTCCCTGGTGGAAGGCTCTGCCCAGGGCTTAAGTTTCCAGAAACTGAGCCCCGTTGTCTGTGGTGCCTGATGCGGCTCCTGCCCGGCGCCGACCGCGCCCACCTCGTCCCCAGAGCCGCCGGCAGGGCGCGAGGCCACAGCGGCACAAGCTGGCGCCCTCACAGGCGGGAGCAGGCCCTGCCTGTGGGGGTGGGCCGGGTCCCCAGCCCTCAGGCATGGCCTCAGCGGACTGTGCAGGTGAAGGCAGGGCTGGCCTGCCTCTGGGGTTGTAGATTTCATCCCCAGGTGGACCTCCGGTTCATGCACTTGTCCCCATCCCAGGAGACAGACCTGTGAGCGTCCTCAGTTTACAGACGAGGAAACAGGCTCAGAGGAGGCAACCAGCAGCTGGAGCTACCCCGGCTCACGGGGCCAGGCTGAGACTTGAACCCAGCCTGAGTCTGGGTCCCCTCTGTGGAGGGCTGGGTGGCCACCCCCTTGCATCCCAGCTTCGGGTAGAGAGAGGAGTCCTTTGGGCCGGGCACGTGGGCTGCCTGAATGGCTGCTCTGTTCCCAGCCTGACAGCTGTGCAGCCGGGTGCCCGCCTTCCCCCACAGGCCCGGAGTGGGGCTTGGGCTTGGGGTGGCGGCAGCTCTCACAGCTCCAGGGCCACCAGGGCTGGGGCAGGCAGCTGTGTCCCATGCAGGCCTTGGCCTCAGCAGCCCATGGGACTCGGTGTAGCCAGGGAGGCTTCCTGGAGGAGGGGTCCTTGGTTCATACTTTGTTCCATGAGCCCTATCACCTCTCTGTCCCTGGCTCTGAGCTGGGTGACCCCAGGGTCCCCAAAAGAGCCCCGTCCCAGACCCTGCCTTCAGAGTCTTGTTCTTGGCCAGGGGAGCGGATAGAGGAGCAGAGCCAGACATAAACGTTCCCGTTGCTGTGTGTGTCTTGGGGAGGAGGAAGAGAAGCTGTGGGGTGGGGCTTTGGAGGGTGAAAAGCAGTTTTGCAAGCAGGGAAGTGGGCAGGCAGGGCTGTGCTACGCCTGGGGCGGCCCTGGCACGGTGGGCTCCGAGCATCGCCTCAGAGAGAGCTCGGCGGGGCGGAGGGGCTGGCCTGGGTGAGAGCCTCAGAAAGGGTGGCCCAGAGTGGGACGAGGGCTCTCCTGTGTGATGAGAACGATGCCACTGCGGGTGCCTGGGAGCAGCTGTAGCCTTGACAGTAACAGGCCAGCCTGGGCCCTGCATGGACCCGTGGGGCAGGGGGCCTCTCCTCAGACGCCCCCCAGCCACTGCACCTTTCCCTTCCTGCGGGTGGGGAGACTGAGGCCCTTTGGCTAAGACGGGTTGGGGAGCAGAACCAGGGCCTGCCTCCAGTTGGCCTTGTGGCCTCAGGGAACTCGTTCCCTTCCCGAGCCTCTGTTTCTGCATTTGTAAAATGGGGCTGGTAGGACCTCCGAGTAAAAAGGCCGGACACAGTGGGGGTGCTCTGGAGAGGCTGTGGCTGGCATGGGCGTGGGGAGCCCGCACTCTGCTCCCATTGCTACCCTCACAGCCTCTGCAGGGGCTTTGAGCAGCCAGCACCTTCACTCCAGCCTGTTTCCTGATCTGGCGGGCACACAGTGCAATGTGAAAGCAGGTGTGCGTGCACACCCACACCCGCATGCCCACACATCCATACAGTCCACACCATCACACACACACACCCACACACATCCATACAGTCCATACCATCACACACACCCGCACACATCCATACAGTCCACACCATCACACACACACCCGCACACATCCATACAGTCCACACCGTCTCACACACACACCCGCACACATCCATACAGTCCACACCGTCTCACACACACACCTGCACACATCCATACAGTCCACACCATAACACACACATACAGTCCACACCGTCATACACACACACACACATCTGTACAGTCCACACCTTCACACATCCATACAGTCCACACCGTCATACACACACACATCTATACAGTCCACACTGTCACACATCCGTACAGTCCACACCGTCATACAAACACACACACATCTATACAGTCCACACCGTCACACATCCGTACAGTCCACACCGTCATACAAACACACACACATCTATACAGTCCACACCGTCACACATCCATACAGTCCACACTGTCATACACACACACATCTATACAGTCCACACCATCACATGCACACACATCTATATGGTCTACACCGTCACACACACACACATCTATACAGTCCACACCTGTTACATGCACACATCTATACAGTCCACACCGTCACACATCTATACAGTCCACACCGTCATACACACACACGTCTATACAGTCCACACTGTCACACATCCGTACAGTCCACACTGTCATACAAACACACACACATCTATACGGTCCACACCGTCACACATCCATACAGTCCACACCGTCATACAAACACACACACATCTATACAGTCCACACCTGTTACATGCACACATCTATACAGTCCACACCGTCACACATCCATACAGTCCACACCGTCATACACACACACATCTATACAGTCCACACCGTCTCACATCTATACAGTCCACACTGTCATACACACACATCTATACAGTCCACACCGTCACACATCCATATAGTCCACACCATCATACACACACACATCTCTACAGTCCACACCATCACATGCACACACACATCTATATGGTCTACACCGTCACACACACACACACATCTATACAGTCCACACCGTCACATATCTGTACAGTCCACACCGTCACACACACACGCCCACACCCGCATGCCACACATCCATACAGTCCACATTCACGTATGCCCATATGCATCCATTCACACGTGTGTACACATGCTCACACACACACATTCATAGACTCCACACATGCACACGTGCACACACACGCACATGCTCGCACACATGCACAGATACACTCACGTCCACACACGCTCAAACATGCGTGCACACCCGGAGGTGCCCAGAGGGGCAGGGTGGGGAGGACCCCTGCAGCTGCCACACTCCCTGCTCTTGTGGGTAGTTGGGGGCCACTGGGTATGTGTGTCCATGCCCCGTCCCCCCGGCAGTGCCGTGCACTGCAGACCTGCCTGGGGCTCAGCACCTGCAGGGGCCTGAGGGCGGGGGAGGGAATGCGGGGTCCCTGGACCCCTGCGGTCGGGGTGGTGAGGCTGCTCTTGCAGAGAGAAGTGGGGAGTGCCTGGCTGCATCCGGGAGGGATGGAGGGCTGGGGAGTTGGGGGGGTGGGGCACCTCCAGCCCCGGCGTCAGCTGTCCGCCTCGCCCCAGGCTCCTCTCGAAGATCCTGAGCGAGTGTGAGGACGCCGACGAGATCGAGTACCTGGTGGACGGCTCGTGGTGCCCGATCCGCGCCGAAAAGGAGCGCAGCTGCAGCCCGCAGGGCGCCATCCTCGTGCTGGGTGAGTGCCTCACCCCACCAGCCGCGCAGTCCGCAGCCAGGGCCGCCTCAGTTTCCCCATTTATCAGTGGTTGCATCCTAAGTACCTGCACCCTGTCCCTGTTGCCCGTAGGCCCCTCGGACGCCAATGGGCTCCTGCCCGCCCCCAGCGTCAACGGGAGCGGTGCCCTGGGCAGCACGGGTGGCGGCGGCCCGGTGGGCAGCATGGAGAATGGGAAGCCGGGCGCCGATGTGGTGGACCTCACGCTGGACAGCTCATCGTCCTCGGAGGATGAGGAGGAGGAGGAAGAGGAGGAGGAAGACGAGGACGAAGAGGGGCCCCGGCCCAAGCGCCGCTGCCCCTTCCAGAAGGGCCTGGTGCCGGCCTGCTGACCCCGGCCGCACACTCGACTTTCCTGGTGCTCACCACGCAGAGGGGCACGGGCCAGCCTCGGGCGCAGAGGGAGGAGTGACCTTTCTTTTTCTTTTTATTGTCGTTCGTTTTGTTTTTCCACCCTTTTGCCTGGCTCCTGGCACCTGTACCTCTGGACTCTCCTATCGGGGGATTAAAAAAAAAAGTAAAATGACAAAAAAAGATACAAAAAAGAAAAATGAAACAAAAAAGTCAAACTCTTAAAAACAAGGCCGGCCACCCACACAGCCGCCTCCCCGGCTGGAGTCCGAGCCGGGAAGGGGTAGTGGGCGGGAGGGACCAGGACGCCGCCCCGCGCCCTCCCCTCCGGATGCCCCGCCGCCCGCCGCCCTCTGCCCACGACCATTCCAGCCAGTGCGCGGGGACCCGGGCGGCGGGCGGTGGGGCGCAGCCCCTCTCTGGCGACCACTTTGACGTTTGTCTCTTCCTTTGCTTTTTCTCTGCAAATGCATCCTCGCCCAGAGACCCTCACGCGCCGAGCAGCGAGCGTTTTAGCCGAGAAGCCATGGAGTGGGTTGGGGCGGGGAGGGGCAGTAGGGTGGGGGGATGGGTGGGCAGGATGGGGGTACAGTGGGCGGCTGGGGAGGGTTTAGCCACAGATGTGTTGTATTTTTTGAAAGTGCAATAATTTGGTATTTTGAAGACCCGGCGTGTGGTCAGGAACCCCCGGGGAAGGCGGGGGCCCAGGGTGCGGCACCGTGTGGCGTGGGGGGGTCTCAGTTTTCTAGCCAGCTACCTCGGTAATTCCAATTCAGGTTAACTTCCCTACGGAACAGCACAGATGTCCACAGATGTCCACAGCTGCCGCCGCCGCCGCCGCCACCATACCCCGGTCCTTGGGGCATGGGTTGCGGTCGCTTCCCAAGGGGCAGCAGGGACCCCGGCCACCCCGGCTCTCGGTTTGGGTTGATTCCTCTCCTTTTTGCTCTTGGTTTTCCGACGGGTACGAGGCTGGCCCGGCACCCTGTCCCCCGGGAGCCTCACTCTTCCAGCAGGACCAGACCAGGGGCCTCCTTCCTGTCCCCAGGCGTTCCCGGCCCCTCGCAGGCCCCACCCATGCCCTTGGCCTCAGGGTCCAACAACTGGGGGAGCTACCAGGGCTCTGCCTTCAGGAGCCCACAGCTGGGCACCCCCCTTGCCCCGCAGGAGACCGGGGCGCAGGCGGGGCACCGGCCTCACCTGGTTCTCCAACACCGCTGCCTGCGGTCTGTTTTGCTTTTGTCCTCCCCAGCCCAGAATTTTCCTTTGTATAAACAGAACTCCTAGTCAGGAAGCAATATCATTTCAGGTCTAAAGAAAGGGACGTGCATCTGGCCGAGGGCAGTTCAGTCTCACTGCAGAGCCCGCAGCCCGCTGCGCAGCTCGGCCCCTCCCGCCCGCACGGGCAGCTGAAGGCCGCTGTTTTCTAATATTTGTATTCTAATTTAATTGTTTTTAAAAAATGCAAATAAAAAAGGTCGAGGTGAAGCCATCCAGGCGTCCGCTTTTCTGTGCCCTGTGTCTCTTAAGTGTGTACCCTGTAGTCGGGGGGCGGAGTTGGGGGAAGGACAGAAACTCAGCCTCACCCACATCTCTCTTTCTTGGTTATTGCCTCAGCTTCAGAATTCAAAAGGTGCTGCTCGTGGTCAAATGAGGCAGATTTTTATTTATTTACTTATTTTTAATAGAGACAGGGAGTCTTGCTGTGTTGCCCAAGCTGGTCTTGAACTCTGGGCCTCAAGTGATCCTCCTGCCTCAGCCTCCCAAAGTGCTAGGATTACAGGCATGAGCCACCATGCCCGACCTGAATGAGGCCAGTTTTACTGTGTACTGTACTGCCTGGGCCTGGTGTCCACCACGCTGGGAGAATGGGAGAAGGGACTTGGGCTGTACATGGAATTCAGGTCCCAGGATCGTCCATGTCTCTGGGTGGCCAAGACGATACACAAATGTTTTGCTTTTGTAAGGTGAAAAAAAAGGGCCGGGTGCAGTGGCTCACGCTTGTAATCCCAGCACTTTGGGAGGCCGAGGCGGGTGGATCACCTGAGGTCAGGAGATCGAGACCATCCTGGCTAACACAGTGAAACCCCATCTCTACTAAAAATACAAAAAGCTGGGCGTGGTGGCGGGCGCCTGTAGTCCCAGCTACTCGGGAGGCTGAGGCAGGAGAATTGCTTGAACCCAGGAGGCGGAGGTTGCAGTGAGCTGAGATCACGCCACTGCACTCCAGCCTGGGCGACAGAGCGAGACTCCGTCTCAAAAAAATATATATACAGACAACCAATGAGCACATGAAGAGATGTTAGGGATGTGAGTCAAATGCACGGTGAGATACCTGTCACCCCCACCAGGACAGCTAGCATCAAAAACAGCAGCGAGGGTCAGGGAAGCTGCAGTCCACATGGCTGGGGAAGATAACGTGGTGCAGCCCCTTGGAAACAGTTGAGGCTAAATGTGGAGTTAGCGTGGGACCTGCAATGCCAGCCCTAGACGTGTCCCCAAGGTAAGTGAACACGTCCGTCCACACAAATGTGCTCACGGACGTGCACAGCAGCCAAATGTGGCAATGACCCATGTCCAGCCGGGGAGTGAATCAGTGCAGTGTGGCCATCCACACTGCAGAATGACAGCCATGGAAAGGAGCGAGGCTCTAACACAGGCCCCCAGCCCAGACGAACTCTGAGGATGCCATGCTTAGTGAGAGACATCAGACACCAAAGGCCACGAGGCGTGTGATCCCATTTCTGTGAAATGTCCAGAACAGGCCAATCCACAGAGACAGGAAGGGGATTCACGGGTGCTGGAGAGTGGAGAAGGGGATTGAGAGTGATCACAAATGGATATGGGGCATCCTTTGGGCTGGATAGAATGTTCTGGAATTAGTGGTGACAGGTGCATAATTTTTTTAAGGGAATTTTTTGTTTGTTTGTTTGAGACAGTCTCGCTCTGTCGCCCAGGCTGGAGTGCAGTGGCGTGATCTCAGCTCACTGCAAGCTCTGCCTCCCGGGTTCACGCCATTCTCCTGCCTCAGCCTCCCAAGTAGCTGGGACTACAGGCGCCCGCCACCACGCCCGGCTAATTTTTTGTGTTTTTAGGAGAGACGGGGGTTTCACCGTGTTAGCCAGGATGGTCTCAATCTCCTGACCTCCTGATCTGCCCACCTCGGCCTCCCAAAGTGTTGGGATTACAGGCATGAGCCACCGTGCCCAGCCTTTTTTTTTTTTTTTTTCTTTTGACATGGAGTCTTGCCCTGTTGCCCAGGCTGGAGTGCAGTGGCACCATCTCGGCTTACTGCAACCTTCACCTCCCCCCAGGTTTAAGTGATTCTCCTGCTACAGCTTCCTGAGTAGCTGGGACTATAGGCGTGCACCACCACGCCCAGCTAATTTTTGTATTTTTACTAGTCACCATGTTGGCCAGGATGGTCTCAATCTCTTGACCTCGTGATCCACCTGCCTTGGCCTCCCAAAATGCTGGGAGCATTACAGGCATGAGCTGCCGCACCTGGCTTTGAAGAGCAATTATATGGTGTGTGAATTACATTTATTTTCATTTCTGAGAAAGGGTCTCACTCTGTCACCCAGGCTGGAGTGCAGTGGTGCAATCATAGCTCACGGCAGCCTCGACCTCCTGGGCTCAAGCAATACTTCCACCTCAGCCTCCAGAGTAGCTGGGACCACAGGTGTGCACCATCACACTCGGCTAATTTTTGTATTTCTTGCATAGACGTGGCTTCACCTTGTTTTTCTGGCTGGTCTTGAACTCCTGGGCTTAAGTGATCCTCCCTTCTTGGCCTCCCAAAGTGCTGGGATTTCAGGCATGAGCCACCGCGCCTGGCCTTGAAGGGAAATTGTATGGTATGTGAATTATATTTTTGTATTTTTATTTTTGAGACAGGGTCTCACTCTATCGCCCAGGCTGGAGTGCAGTGGTGTAATCATAGCTCACTGCAGCCTCGACCTCCTGGGCTCAAGCAATCCTTCTGCCTCAGCCTCCAGAGTAGCTGAGACCACAGGCGTGCACCACCACACCTGGCTAATTTTTGTATTTTTTGCAGAGACGTGGTTTCACCTTGTTTTTCTGGCTGGTCTCGAACTCCTGGGCTCAAGCAATCCTCCCTCCTCAGCCTCCCAATGTGCTGGGATTACAGGCATGAGCCACCACTCCCGGCCCTCTCTGAAGCACAGAGGTTAGGAAGCACCTAACCCTGGCTTGTGGTCCTGAGGCTGCGGCTCCTTCAGCTTCCCCATGTGGGACCTCTGAGCAGAGGCCTCAGTGTGCCCTGAGGGTCCACGGTGCAGGGGGCTCAGGACACGGCTGTAGAACCGCTGACCCCCAACCCTGCTCCAGCGCGTGTCGGGGACTTGGGCACGAATCCTGGCTGCAGCAGGTTCATGGGTGGCCTCGCACAGGTATGGTGCTTTAGCATGGGGTCCACACAAGGACCCGGAGGCCCTCAGACTTCGTGGTGTGGCCTCTGTGGTGTTTCCTGGCAAGGGCTGGGCCAGGCTTTGTTGACTTCCTGTGGCTACTAGGAAGAGCCCAATCCACAGAGGAGGAGCTGGGGTTCTGAGTGGACCCAGTGCCCGGCTCAGTGCAGCCATTGCTGCCTCACTGTGCCATCTGCTTCCATGAGTGCCTCATCCATCCCTTGGGGCTGGCCCCATCCCCACCTTTGCTGGCCTGGACAGATTCCTTGGACATGGGCCGAGTCTGGTTGGAGGACAGGAGGAAGGAGGAGGCCCTCCCTCAGAGACCCTACCCAGAGGTAGGGGCTGCAGCTAGCTGAGGCTTCCGGCTCCAGATCCTGGCTCATGTCCCTGGGGCCTGGCATGGGGCAGCACCCTGGGGTCCTCTAGCAGAGTCAGGTGGCCCCCAGGTGAGGCTACCCCGCCTGGGGCCTCGGGAAAGCCTGGAGCCAGTGGTGCCCAGGGCCCAGCCCTGGATTCTGCTGACAACTCGCCCGGCCGGTTCTCCCTGCTGCCCCTCTGGCCTTATCCTGTGCCAGCTGCCTGCCCGCGCCAGGGGCTATGGGTCACCTTCCCCGCAAGAGGGGCCTCTGGACCTGGGTACTCCTCGGACACTCACCCCCACCCCGGTGCTCTGGGTCACCATCCACACCCAGCCTCTCTGCCACGCGACAGACGGACCCCAGAGAGATGGGCCTGGCTTCCAAGGCCGGGCAGGAAGAGCAGGAAGGGTCGGGGACCTGGGGCTTCTCTCCTTGGGACCCAGGATCCGGTCACCCTGGGCCCAAAGGTGTGGTGTGGACGAGGTGCTCAACCCACCCAGTCTCTTCAGGGCCAAAAGGGGAAAAGGGGGACCCCCCCCAAGCCCCCCATCCCCGCTCCCCAGCCTCCCCCGAACAAAACACAGAGAACATCAAATGAGGCGACTGAGGCGGCAGCGGTCGTAACAGGCTGCGTTTAGTGGTTCTTTTTTTTTTTTTATGTACAAGAAAAATGAATTTTTTTGTTTTTTCATCTTTTGTGTTTTTGTTTGTTTTTTATTACTTTTAAAGCTTCTCCCTCCCCACTCCCAAAAAGTGCATTTTTATCAGTTTTTTTTTTTTTTAAATCTCCCACACTTTATAAAGACTCTCAATACAGTCTCTGGAATGTCTATCTGTCTGTGCTCTGTACCCTGAGGGCGCCGCCCCGCCCCCCATTCACCAGGCCTGGCCCCTCCAAAGTCCAAGGCACCTCGATTCTGGGCCTGGGGTGGGGTGGGGGGCGGGACCTGGGCATCGGATCCTGGTCCACAGCCTCCAGGCAGCCCCGGCGAGGGATGGGGGTCTCCCTGGCCCCCTCCACCCCCTGGGCCCGGCCCCCCCCCCCCCCCCCCGTAAATCTATGTATTTAATGCGAGCTAGTCTTAACTCTGAGGTTGTAGCTCCTGGGGCACCCCCAGCCTCCAGGCCCCTGACCCGTCCTGCGCCAGCCACCCACCACCCCCCCCCCCCCACCTCCAGGAAGGCTGCTTCAACTTAAATAACTTTTTAAAATAAAACTGCAAATATAAATATCTTTCTTTCTCAAAAAATAGGATTTTTGCTTTTTTTGTTGGTTTTTAATATTTTTTTTTCTTCTGTTTTTCCTTTCATTCTCTCTGTCTTGCCTCCAACCATTCTGGTTGCCGGGCGGGAGGGGGCACCCCGAGGCCCCTGCCTCAGTGTCACCACCTGTGAGGTGACCGCTCCTGCCACGGCCCCGGGGTCTGAATCGTGCAAAGACCCCTGTCCCCCACCTTCCCTGCAGCCGCCCACTTCCAGGGGAAGACCCTGGAAGAGGCTGGGGGACCCCCCTCGGAAGGAAGCAAAAAGACAGTGACAGGACTGCATGGCCACAATGGTGGGGGGGCAGACTTTGGTATCGCCCGCTCGAGCCTGCCTGGCTGCAGGTCCACACCCATGCCAGGCCGGGCCTGCTCCGGCATTTTACATTCACTGGTTTATAATTTTTTTTTTTCATTTTTAAAAACTTTTTTGACTTTTTTTTTTTTTCCTTAATCTCAAAAGGCGGGGGGCGTCGGGGGGCAGAGGCAGGTAGCAGCAACAGCTAGTAGCAAAGATGCTTCTCTCTCTCTCCTGGGCCCGGCAGGCTGGGGGGCACTGCAGACGGGGGCTCCGGCCCGGCCACCTCCCCGGCCCCCGGGCGCCCCCGCCTGAAGCCCCCCAACCCCAGCCTGGACCTCACTCCCGCTCTCTTGCACACACGCACACACGCGTCCACGCAACTTCACCATGAGAATGGAAATAACAATTTCGCATTGTTTTTCTTTTTTTTTTTTCTCTTTTTTTTTTTGTACCAGGCAGTTAAAAAAAAAACACCCCAAAAAAAGAAAACACAAAAAACCCCAAACAACCAAACAAAAAAGCTTTGAGCTGTGTCCTTTCATATGGAGTCAACACGACCCTCCTCAAATATCATTTTTTTTTGTTTGTTTGTTTCCTGAAACGCGAGAATTCAGCAGGTATCTTTGGCAACACTTTATCACGACCTTAATTTAAAGAATAAAAATAAAATCGATTCACGTCTATATACAGTATGTGATTGCGCGGAGTCTGGGGAGGGCGGGGCTGGGCTGGGGGGGTCCCGGCTCTGGGCCCATGCAGAGGCTGTGGCCCCCAGGACGGGCGGGTAGTTAAGGCAAAGTGGGCGGGCAGGACAGGCGAAGCTGAGTGCGGAGCTAGGAACGAGGGTTTAGTGCAATCCCCGAGGTCTGTGTAAGTGTCGCGGTGGGCCGCAGCCCTTGTTCCTACGGAAGTCCCAGAGGGCTCCACCCCCCAAGTCCGGTCGCCCCCACTGGCTAGGACGACAGCTGTGATTTTAGAGTTGGTTTTATTGCGAGGGGGTGCATGGATAGGGGAAGGTGGAAAGAGGGCTCACCCCTCAGGGGGCCTCTCTGGGAGCTGGGGAGGGGTGTCCCTGGCCTGGGTGTTCAAGCTCCCCGCTCAGCCACGACAGATGGTTTTCTCTCCAGAACAGCTCGCCCTGTGACACTGGGGTGTGAACGCAGCCGGGGTGCTGTCACCCAGCCCCAGGGGAGAGGGGGGATCCTGAGACATTTGGAGGGGGCTGACAGGCTTAAGGGGGGGTGGGAAGGGAAGGGAACCAAAACCATCCTGTAGAAACAATATGAAAATTGCCTTCTTAAAAAGCTTCCCTTTAACAATGAAAGAAAAAGAGACGAGAAGATGTGTGTGTCACAGAGAAGGGGGTATGGGGGGGTCGGGGGCAGGGAGACACCCCCCCGCCGGTTGGGCATTGACAAGAAGTCTCAGTGCAGCAGAGCGTCTATTTTCGGGGTCCCATGCTAGCATTGCATATGCAAACGGGGTGAGGGCGTCCTGGCATCTGGCGACATAGTCTCCCCAACCCCGGCCCCTGTCCGTGGCCTGTGGCTCGGTCAACACCGGGCCTTGTGGGAGCCAGAGGTTGGGGGGAGGCAGGTCCCAGTCCCCCTGGATTACAGTCAGTGCCTTTGAGTAAAAAGAGGGGTGCCTGGGGTGGGGAGAGGGGCGGTGGTTCTAAGGCCCTGGAGGTGGGGGGCCCCTGTCACCCACCTCAGCAGGGTAGGCGCATCCAAGGTCCAGCTCCTTGGTGGCCATGCGGGAGGGACAGGCGTGTTGGGGGATTGGGGGGTGCCGGATGGGGATCGGGGTGCTCCGGCTGGAAGGCCCATCCCTGAGCTAGGGAGGAGGAAGGAGAGACCCCGTGGACAGAAGCGGGCGCTAAGACCTCTTCACGTCAGAACCAAAAAAGGGGACAGAAAGGGGGAGCGGGGGGAACACAGCACGAACACCCCACAGTCCTGCCTTCGAGGCTGACGTCTGGGGGTGAAGCACAAACACCTCGGGGCGTCTCCCAGGTCCCCTGCGATGGCTTCCTCCTGAACCCCCCTTCTCGCTTTTTGGGGAACAGAAGTGGATTCTACGTTTGTGGTGGGTTTTTTTTTTTATTATTTTGTACAAAAATAAATCGACTTTTAGGAATTTCTTCTGCTCTCGCTCTCTCTCTCGCTCTCTCTCTCGCTCGCTTTTTTTTTTTTTTTTTGTCTTTTCAACTTTTCATAGAAGTTGGTTGTAACTTGTAAACATGTTTTTAAATTAAGAATTAAGATAAAGTGTAGTACCCGTTCCGTTACAAAGTGCCAAGACTTCTAATGTGGTTGGTTGCCTTTTTTTTTTTCCTTCCTTTCATTTTGTAAAACCTTTTTTTTTTCTAGTTTGTTTTATTGCTTTTGTGACATTGGAATTTGTGGATTTTCTCTCTCTCCCCCCATCCCTGCCATCACCAGACCCTGGGGTTCCTCTGATCGTGACTCTGTTTATCCCACACTGTTGCCTGCTCCTCTGAGGAAAAGTATATTATTTATATATATATATATATCTATATATAAATTTTGTTTTTAAGGAGGAAAGAGAAAAAAAAATCTAAAAAGTGCTTTAAAAATTTGGGAGAGGGGGCTCGGGGGAGAGGACGAAGACAGAAGTTTTGAATCTCCAAACGTGGGGGTCTAGGTGGACCGGGCGGGGGTGGGGGGGCGCCCTGAGGGGTGGTCCCTGGGGGTCCCGCCGGTTGTAAGTGCCGTGAAGGAAGGCGGCAGGAGCACCCCCAGGAGCCATCCTGGCGCCCCACCGGGAACCCCAGTCCGATCTCCTTTCTCCAGGCCTAGAAATAAATAGGTTTGTGTCTCAGTGGCCAGGAGACGTGGGGTGGGCGACGGGGGGAGGCCGCAGGCAGGGTTGGAGGCGGGGAGGCCACTGGGGAGATGGAGAGGGAGACCCCTCCCTTAGTAAGTGCCCTGAGGAAGGAGGGTGCGGGTCGGGGGACGGGGGCCCATTTTAACGTCCGCTCAGAGCAGACAGAAATCATTTAAGGTCTTGTCTGAAAGACTCATAGAAACCAGCGAGGGGAGGAAATTAAAAGCCCACCCCAGTCCCCCCCCAGCGCCCCCACGTCTACCCTCCCCCCAGCCCAGGGCCTCGGATCGGGCCCCAGGCCCCATGCCGGGTGCCCAGGGGGCTGTGCGGGGTCTCGGATTCCTTGTGTCCTACAAAAAACCCCAAACCAAGCCCCGAAACCCAGCGATGGGGTGGTGGGGGGAAGGGGAGCCAGGGAGGGCCGGGGCCCCTGCGGAGGGAGAAAAACGTCAGAAAGGAGGGAAATCTGAGAAAGCGCTACCCTAGATTCTGTGACGCGTCATATATATATATCTGTATATATATATATAGATATAGATATCTGTATATAGATAGATTTTCTTTTTTTGTGTTTTTGGGGGGGTGGTGGGTGATTTTTTTTCTCTCTCTCTGTCTCTCTCTTTCTCGGGTTTCTGTTTTCTCTTTTTGGTTTTTAGGCGAGTCCGGCTGTGAAGTTACCGTCGGTGGCGGCCCCGGGGCCACCTCCGCTGTCACCTCCTCCACCGGCGCCCGCTACATTCAACCGGCCCAAGCCGTCGGGGCTGGCCACGTCCTCGTCCTCGTCCTCGTCCTTAAAGTGCTTCTCCTGGCCGTTGCGCCGGGCGTCGGGGGAGCTGGGCTGGGCGGGGGCGCCGGGGGTCGCGGTGGCCCCCGGGCTGGGGTCGGGCGCCCCGCCCCGGACGCGGGGCTTGCGGCCGCGGCGCGAGGGGACGCCGTTGCAGCCGTCTTTCTTGAGGTGTCTGTGCAGGTGGTCGGAGCGGACGAAGGTCTTGCAGCAGCTGTCGCACTGGTAGGGGCGCAGGCCCGTGTGCACGCGCATGTGGTTCTTCAGGTCGTAGTTGTGGGCAAAGGCGGCGCCGCACTGCTGGCACAGGTACGGCTTCTCGCCCGTGTGCTTCCGCATGTGCACCTTCAGCTTGTCCTGCCTGTGGACGGGGCACGGGGCGGGCACGGTCAGTGGGGCCGGGGACCCCCGATCCCCGCCCAGGGACCCTCACGGACACGGCAGGCCCTGGATCATCACCCTTGCAGAACACGGACCGTGCACCAGAGGTTTCGGTGCCCCGATGGGGACGGTCCCTCGAAAAACGAGACGAGTGGGGGCGATTTCGCATTCTGAACATCTAAAGAGGGCCTCGGACCCTGAGTGCTGTGTGGCCTTGGGAAAACGCTATGCCTCTCTGAACCCCGTTTCCTTTCCTTTTTTAACTTTTTAAGAGACAAAGTCTAGGCCAGGCGCGGAGGCTCAGGCCTGAAATCCCAGCACTTTGGGAGGCCGAGGCGGGCGGATCACTTGAGGCCAGGAGTTCGAGACCAGCCTGATCGACACGGTGAAACCCTGTCTCTACTAAAAAAACAAAAAACAAAAAAACAAAAAACAAAAATCAGCCGGGCATGGTAGCAGGCGCCCGTAATGCCAGCTATTAGGAAGGCTGAGGCAGGAGGATCACTTGTATCTGGGAGGTGGAGGTTGCAGTGAAACTCCGTCTCAAAAAAAAAAATTTCACTTTTTAAGAGCGAAACTCCGTCTCAAAAAACAAATCTGCCAGGCGTGGTGGCGCAGGCCTATAATCCCAGCTACTTGGGAGGTGGAGGTTGCAGTGAGCCCAGATCACGCCACTGCCCTCCAACCTCGGTGACAGAATGAGACTGTCTCCAAAAAAAAAAAAAAAGAGAGGCAGGGTCTGGCTTTGTCCCCCAGGCTGGAGGGCAGTGGCGTGATCACGGTTCCCTGCAGCCTCGAACTCCTGGGCTCAAGCCATCGTCCTGCCTCATCCTCCAGAGTAGCACACGCACCACCACACCCTATTAAATAGCTATTAAACTATATGTGTGTGTGTGTGTGTGTGTATATATATATATATATATATATATATATATATATATATATGTAAGTTTGAGAGATGGGGGTTGAGCTACGTTACCCAGGCTAATCTCAAACTCCTGGGCTCAAGTGATCCTCTTGCCTCGGCCTCTCAAAGCTCTAGGATTACAGGTGTGAGCCACTGCGCCCGCCATGAACCCCTTTCCCTACCACAGAAGGAGACAGTGGGCTTCTGCCACTCCATCCTGCCCCTACCCCTGGGGTAGGATGAGGCCAGCCAGTGCCTGGTGCCTTCATTCATGCCACAGACCTTTGCCGAGCGCCCGCTGAGGGCCAGGCCCTGTTCCAGGTGCTGAAAATACCGCAAGGAACAAGACAGGCAAACATCCCTGCCCTCTCGAGGCTGGCGGCGGCCGAGGTGTTTGGTGACAGATAGGGTGACCAACTGTTCTGGTTTTAGCACTGAAAGTCCTGCATCCTGGGAAACCCCTCTGTCCGGGACAAAGTGGGGCAGTTGGTCACCCTAGTAACCAAGTCCCCACCCCACGACACCCAGGACTGCCCACTCTCCCCTCACTTCAGCGTCACTCCCCTATCTGGGCTCCACCCTGACGTGCAAAGGTGCAAAGCACAAGCTACGCTGGGGCCTTTGCATGTGCTGCTCCCGCAGTCCGGGGTACTTTCTTTTTTCCTCCTGGATCTTCACAGTCAAATTTGGGCTCAAATGTCACCTCCTTCCCCAGCCCTGTCTCCATCCTCCTGTCATCACCACCTGACTCTTCTATTGTTTTTTTTTCTGAGACCGAGTCTCGCTCTATCTTCCAGGCTTGAGCGCAGTGGTGTGGTCTCCGCTCACTGCAACTTCCGTCTCCCGGGTTCAAGCAATTCTTCTGCCTCAGCCTCCCAAGTAGCTGGGATTACAGGCCCTCTGCCACCACACCTGGCTCATTTTTGTATTTTTAGTAGAGACGGGGTTTCACCATGTTGGCCGGGCTGGTCTCGGACTCCTGACCTCAGGTGATCCACCCGCCTCGGCCTCCCCAAACGCTGGGATTACAGGCGTGCGCCACCACACCTGGCTGATTTTTGTATTTTTAATGGAGACAGGGTTTTCACCATGTTGGCTGGGCTGGTCTTGAACTCCTGACCTCAAGTGATCCGCCTGCCTCGGCCTCCCAAAGTGCTGGGATTACAGGCGTGAGCCACCGCGCCCGGCCGGTCTCTCTTGTTTCTGTTGATTTCCTTGTTTCTCCTCTGTCTCCCTGATTGGATTGTGAGCCCCGAGAAGGCAGGGGTTGGGTGTGACTTGAGGGCCCCTCCCTGCCTGTCTCGCCCCATGGGGGCAGCGTGGACCCAGCTTAGCCTGGAGCCTCTAGCCTACAAAGCCGGTCACCATATCAGTGGGGTGCCTGTGGCCTAGGTGGCTCCTGAACCCTTGGAATGTGGCCACTCTGAACTGATGTGCGCTGGAAGTGCAAAAGGTACCCCAGCTTTTGAAGACTTGATATGCAAAAGGTGATGTAAAATGGCTCAATGAGGATCGTGCACATTGACTACACATGGAAATGCATCTACTGGGTTAGGTAAAATGTTTCAAGTCACTTTCACCAACTCTCTTTGACTTTTTTTGAACGGGGCTGTCAGAAAATGTAAAAATATGTAAGTGGCTTGCTGGCCGGGCATGGTGGCTCACACCTGTAACCCCAGCGCTTTGGGAGGCTAAGGCGGGCAGATCACCTGAGGTCAGGAGTTCGAGACCAGCCTGGCCAACGTGGTGAAACCCCGTCTCTACTAAAAATACAAAAATTAGCCGGCATGGTGGTGGGCGCCTATAATCCCAGCTACTTGGGAAGCTGAGGCAGGAGAATCGCTTGAACCTGGGAGGTGGAGGTTGCAGTGAGCTGAGATCGTGCCACTGCACTCCAGCCTGGGCGACAGAGCAAGACTCGTCTCAAAAAAAAAAAAAAAAAAAAAAAAAAAAGTAGGTGTCTTGCCTATTCCCATTGAGTGATGCCAATCTATAGTAATAAAGTGTACTCCTTCCTGGGATCCGGAGGGCAGGAGGGAGCCCTGGGTCTCAAGAGCCCTGGCTAGAACCTGACCTACTCCTTGCTGCTGCCTGTTGTGCCCCACATCTGAGCCACCTCGGGTTTCTTCCTTCTCACACTCAATAGACTGAAGACTTCTTTAGTGTGGGGACTGGCAAACTCCTACTCATCCCTCAAAGCCCTACCTTGAATGCCCCTCTACCTTTCCTAATTCCCAAAGACCTGGCTCCCCTCTGGGTTCCTCCAGCCCTAAGTCCCTCCCTCTGGCACCAGCTACAGAGCTGGTGTCCCTAACTTTAACCCCTCCTTGGCTCTGTTGCCCTGAGGGTCAAGGCCTGGCCCTTGGCAACCAGACCCCTACCTTATCTCTAGCCTTGCTGCCCCACTGAAGCCAACAGAACGTGGTAACTTGCTAACAGAACCCTGGCCTAACCAGGTCTGTTACCAGCCTCCAGGCCTCTGGTTTACTGATCACCTTCTGCAAAGCCCACGGCAAGGTCTCCGGGCTGCCTTGCCCAGATCTGGCACAGGGCCGGGGTCACAGAGGGGATGGCAGCCACTAGGTTTTTCTAGAACCGTGCAGAGACTCCCCAGATGAGCCTGGGAGGCCCAGAGAGAGGAAGGGACTTGCCTGGAGCTGCACAGCAGGCCAGAGGGCCACGCAGAGGCGGGGTGGGGGCGGAGGTATCCCTAGTTTCATCACCCCGAGCCCCAGCCTGGGTAATTATAGCCCCGGCCACCACAGGCCCCACTTACTCAACGCCCTGCTGTGACTCAGAGGGGCCTCGGGCTCCCAGGCTTTTGGAGGGTGGAGGTGCTGGTGTCCTGGGGAGGGGGGACCAGAGCACGGGGTGGGGGAAAAGAGGAAGCAGGTGGGTCTAAATTGGGGTGGGAGGAAGAGGTCTCCACAATTGTCCCTCTCTAAGCCTCAGTTTCTCTGACTGAGGGGATCAGCCCCGGGTCGGGTGGGATAGCCAGCAGTGCCCGAGTCAGAATGAAACCGGGCCTGTGGCCTGCGGCCAGGGAGGCAGGGTGGGGGTCACCACCTTCGCTCAGCCTGGTCCCCTCTGCAGACCCCAGTTCTCTGCACCCCACCAAGCTGCTCTTCCTGAGCTCAGAGACGAACCCACAGTGACCCCTGCCTGGAGGAAGAGGAGCCCCCCAAGACCTCCAGTACCCCAACCTCACCAAGGAGGGACAAACCACCAGCTACACTGCCTGCCTCCCAAAGTGCCCTTTGCCCCCTGCCTGGCACTCCTGGGCGCCGGAGTCCAGGCCGCACCTTCCTCTCCTGGCCTGCTGGGGAGGGGGCCGGGGTGCTGGGGAGGGGTCAGTCCCAGTTCCTGTCCCCACGGGGTGGGGTTGGGAAGCTGGGACAATGGCCTCTTTCTTCAGCCTCGGTGGGCGTGGCTGGGGGAACCCCAGGGCGGGCGGGGGGCAGGGGGTGGTGCTGAGTCACCCAGCCTGGCCAGGTCCCTGCCTGCCAGCCCCCTGCCCCCACCGCTACAGCCCGCCCCGGATCTACGAGGCCCAGCCAGCCACCTCTGGACTCCTGAGACCGAATTGCAAACTGCCCGGGCCTGGCCTTGAACTCCTGCTGTTTAGGGACCAAGTCCTGTGGCTCCCAGGGGGGCACAGTGATCTCTCAAGCTGAGCTGGCCTCAGGGCCTCTGCACTGGCTGTTCCCTCTGCCTGGAACGCCCTTTCCCACAGCTGCTCCTCCCCTCCTTCAGGTTCCGGCAAGGCCTGTCCCCGGCGCCTAGAACAGGCCTGGCACCAGCAGACGCTTCATAAATGTTGGCTGATTGAAGCAAATGACCCAGGCTCACGGGAAACTCAGAAGCCGCTCCACGGCCTGGGCTGTCCCTCCCTAAGCCTGAGGGCCTGTCACCCTCTCCCAAAGCAGAAAAAGAAAAAAATCCAAAAGTGCAGAAGAGAAGAACCAGCCCTCCAGGAAGGAAGAACGACTGTGCCTTCCCGCCCACCTCCCGCAGCTCAACCCTGTCCGGCACGCTTTGCATATGATGTGGCTGTCATCTTATGTCTGGCCTGTGCTGTCACCCACCGGGATGTCCACCCACAAGGGCAGGGCCTGGTCTAGGCTGTTCTTAACAGCCACGTGGGTCAGGGAAGCGTTCGTTGGCTTTGGGCCCAAGAGGTGGGGTGTGTCTGTTTGCGTGTGTGTGCATATATGTGTGTCTGTGGGTGCATGTTTGCATGCATGTGCATGTATGTGTGCGCATGTACGTGTCTGTGTGCATGTGCCTGCATGCATGTCTGGGGGTGCGTGTGCATCTGTGTGCGTGCCTGGGTGTGCGTGTGTGCGTGCGTGCGTGCGTGCATGTGTATGTGATGTGTATGTGGTGTGCGTGTGTGTGCGCGCATGTCGGTGTGCGTGTGTGTGCGTGCATGTGTATGTGATGTGTATGTGGTGTGCATCTGTGTCTGCATGTGTCTGTGTAGCATGTCTGTATGTGTATGTGGTGTGCGTGTGCGTGTGTGCGTCTGTGTGTGTGCATGTGTACGTGGCATACGCGTCTGTGCATGTGTGTGCATGTGCGTATATATGTGCAAGTGCGTGTATGTGTGTCTGCGTGTGTGTGGATGTGTAGGTGACGTGCATGTGTCTGTGCGTGTACGTGTCTGTGTGCACGTGCGTGTATGTGTGCGTCTGCGTGCATGTGTGCGTGCGGTGCAGGGAGAGAGGCGGGAGGGGTCGTGAGCGGCGGATGCTGGGGCAGAGAGCAGGACGGCGCCTCCCCCGCGGCGGGCAGCTCACCTGGTGAAGCGGACCTTGCAGATGTTGCACTCGTAGGGCTTCTCGCCCGTGTGGGTGCGGATGTGTCGCGGCAGCTTGCCGGCGCCCTGGATGACCTTCTCGCAGATGGGGCACTTCTGGAAGGCCTTGGCTCGGATCTTCTTCTCCACCTTCTGCGACCAGGCCGGGTAGACGTCGCCGTCGTGGGCGCCGCTGAAGTACTTCAGGTAGTAGTCCATGACGCCCTTGTCGTCGGCCCGCGACTCCTCGTCGCTGTCCCCCGCCGCGGCCCCCGCCCGGCCCACCGATGACATCATCTGCTGCAGCAGCGTGCTGGCCGCCAGCCCGTCCACGTCGGGCCCGTCCCCGTCCTCGCCCTCGGCCGCTCCCGACAGGAAGCCCGGAGAGTCGCCCGGCTCGGGGGCCGCCTCCGACAGCGAGGCGGCCTCCTCCTCTCCGCCGCGGCCGTAGTGGCCGTTCTGCGTGGCGGCCGGCGGGGCCACCGGCGGCGGAAAGAGACCCCCGGTGGGGGCGTCCTCATCCCGCTCTGGCCACAGACCCGGGTTGCTGTCGCCCTCGTCCCCGTCCCCCGTCGGGGGCCGCTCGGCCGGGGGGCCCGGCCCATAGAAGTCTAAGCCGTTGCAGTCGCCCGCGGCCACGGCGGCCACAGCGGCGGCCACGGCCTCCTTGGTGGCATCCAGGTCATCATCGGACGCCCCAAAGGCGGACCACGGGAAGCTGGCAGCGGCGGCGGCGGCCGCGGGGGGCAGGCTGTTCATGGGGTTGCTCTGGAAGAACTCGAGGTACTCCTTGGCGCGGAGGAGGTTGCGCTGATCAATTTGATCTACAAGGTCCAGCTGCCCGGCGTCGGCGCCCGCGTCGGCCGCCAGGATCTGCCGGTCCAGGAGGTCGGCGCACACGTGGCTCACGGCGGGGATCTCCAGCAGGCGGGCGGCGCTGAGGATGTCACCCACGTTGGCTGTGCTGACGGTGAGCGTGGCCGTGTAGGCGAAGTCCATGAGCGCGGTGAGCGCCTCGGCGCTGACGAAGTCGATCTCGTACACGTTCTGCTGGTCCACCACGGCGCCCGACGTGAACAGCTTCTTGAAGTACTGGCTGCAGGCGGCCAGCACCGAGCGGTGCGTGGGGAACTCGCGGCCCTCCACCAGGATCACCACGTCGCACAGCAGGCCCTGCGTCCGCTGCTCGTTCAGCCCACTCAGGATGTCGCTGCTGTGGTCGGGGAACGGGATCCCGATGGGGCCGTCCACGCCGCCGGCCATCTTCCGCGCCGAGACCTGCAGCAGTGGGGAAGGAGAGGGCGCTCGTGAGTGGGGGTGCGGGGGTTCCTGTGCCCACTGACAAGGGCCCGAGGCCCTTGAGAAGCAGCGTTCCACCCTGCTCCCCCAGCCTCACATTCCCACCTGCACGTGAAGGCGGTCAGATGTCGCGCCTTTCCAGCCCCAGCTTCCCCAGCTGTGCACCAAAGCGATACATGCCCTGCCTCCAGCCTCTTTTCTTTTTTGTGTGTCTTTAATACAGAGACAGGCTATCACCATGTTGGCCAGGCTGGTCTCAAACCCCTGGCCTCGGCCTGGCGCGGTGGCTCACGCCTGTAATCCCAGCACTTTGGGAGGCCGAGACAGGCAGATCATGAGGTCAGGGGATGGAGACCATCCTGGCTAACACAGTGAAACCCCGTCTCTACTAAAAAATACAAAAAATTAGCCGGGCGTGTTGGCGGGGGCCTGTAGTTCCAGCTACTCGGGAGGCTGAGGCAGGAGAATGGCATGAACCCAGGAGGCAGAGCTTGCAGTGAGCTGAGATCACGCCACTGCACTCCAGCCTGGGCAACAGAGCAAGACTCCATCTCAAAAAAACAAAACAAATCAAAAAACCCTGGCCTCAAATGATCCAACCGCCCCTGCCTCCCAAGGTGCTAAGATTACAGGCATGAACCACGGCACCCGGCCAAGACTGTTTTCCATCTGTGCATGAGGATAGCCAGATGTCCCGGCTCCCCAGCCTCAGTTTCCCCAGCTGTTCCCAAGTGCAGTCAAATGTCCTATCCTCTAGCCTCAGTTTCCCCAGCTGTGCATGAGAATGGTCAGATGTCCTGCCTCCCCCAGCCTGTTTCCCCAGCTGTACACAAAAGCAATCAGACGTCATGTCCCCAGCCTCAGTTTCCCCAGCTGTACAGGAAGGCAATCAGGTGTCCCACTCCCAACCTGTTTCCCATCTGTACACAAGGGCGGCCAGCTGTCCTGCCCCCAGCCTCAATTTCCCCAGCTGTGCATGAGGACAGTCAGGTTTCCTGCCCCCCATCAGCCTCAGTTTCCCTAGCTGTGCCCAAGAGCAGTCAGATGCCCTGTTCTGTCTCATCAGCGTGAGATGAGGCTGGCAAAACCCACACTGGACGCTTAAATTTCACAAGCACACTGGCACCACCCCTCCGAGGAGGGCCCCCGGGAATGCCTGTTGAAAGGGCACTTTGAGGCCCGGCTCGGTGCTCACGCCTGTAATTCTAGCATTTTGGGGAGGCTGAGGTGGGCAGATCACTTGAGGTCAGGAGTTCAAGACCAGCGACCAGCCTGGCCAACATGGTGAAACCCTGTCTCTACTAAAAATACAAAAATTAGGCTGGGTGTGGTGGCTCACACCTGTAATCCCAGCACTTTGGGAGGCCGAGGCGGGCAGATCACCAGGTCAGGAGATCGAGACCATCCTGGCTGACACAGTGAAACTCTGTCTCTACTAAAAATACAAAAATAGATGGGCGTGATGGCACGTGCCTGTAATCCCAGCTACTCGGGAGGCTGAGGCGGGAGAATCGCTTGAACCTGGGGGGTGGAGGTTGCAGTGAGCCGAGATTGCACCACTGCACTCCTGCCTGGGCCACAGAGCGAGACTCCGTCTTAAAAAAAAAAATCAGCCAGGCGTGGTGGCGCGTGCCTGTAATCCCAGCTACTCAGGACGCTGAGGCAGAAGAATCGCTTGAACCCGGGAGGCGAAGGTTGTGGTGAACCTGGATGGAGCCACCGTACTCCAGCCTGGGCAACACAGCGAGACTCGGTCTGAAAAAAAAAAAAAAAGAAAAAGAAAAAGAAAAAAAAAAAGGGCTGGGCACTGTGGCTCACATCTATAATCCCAGCACTTTGGGAAGCCAAGGCAGGCGGATCACCTAAGGTCTGGAGTTCAAGACCAGCCTGACCAACATGGTGAAATCTCGTCTCTACTAAAAATACAAAATTAGCCAGGTGTGGTGGCGCGTGCCTGTAATCCCAGCTACTCGGGAGGCTGAGGCAGGAGAATCGCTTGAACCCGGGAGGCGGGGGTTGCGGTGAGATTGCGCCATTGTACTCCAGCCTGGGCAACAAGAGCGAAACTCCGTGTTGGAAAAATAAATAAATAAGGAAAGGGCACTCTGAGGCGCTACAGGAGGACGCAGTAGCTCGAGAGAAGTGCCCTGATCTGAGCCATTTTCCTGTTGATCTGAGCACGGGCTTCGGCCGATACAGAGGGGAGGCCACGCAGTGACCTTTACAAAACACCTACTATGGCCAGACGCGGTGGCTCACGCCGGTAATCCCAGCACTTTGAGAGGCCAAGGTGGGTGGATCATGAGGTCAAGAGATTGAGACCATCCTGGGCAACATGGTGAAACCCCATTTCTAACAAAAAATTAGCTGGGCCTGGTGGCGCGGGCCTATAGTCCCAGCTACTCGGGAGGCTGAGGCAGGAGAATCACTTGAACCAGGAGGTGGAGGCTGCAGTGAGCCACCTAGATCACGCCACAGCACTCCAGTCTGGTGACAGAGCGAGACTCGTCTCCAAAAAAAAAAAAAAAAACAATAACAACAACACATAACACCTACTTCCCGCCAGTTCCACCCGAACCCCACCGGCAGCACCCACTCCGTCGTGAGCTGAGGCCACTTGCCCGAGGCCCCACCATGAGGACACAGTTGCGTCCAAACTCAAACCCAGAGTGGACCTAAGAGCCGACCCCTTGGCCTCCCCAACCCTGACTCCTGCCTCCTGGTCAGGCCTGGTTCTTTTCAGGGGGGCTCTGAGTCAGCAGGAAGGGGTGTGGCAGCCCAGGCACGGGGACCCAGTGCCGAAACCCAGCTGAGGTCAAGGCCACCGTGGGTGTGCCCCGTCCGGACAGGGCCAGTGACTCCGCAGGCTAAACCCCTTCCTGCCCCTCAGAGCCCCCAGCATAGGGCTCAGCCCTGGCTGTGAGTAACAGAGACCGGGCTACAGCCCAGGAGGAGCAGGGAGCCGGGGGAACCCCTGTCCACCTCCTGCCTGCCCACAGGACTGCCTGGCAGCCCCTCCCCAACTCTCAGCCACCCCAGCTGAGCTGTTCAGCCCCAGCCAAGGCCTTGGCCCTCTCTGGGCCTCAGTCTCCCTATCTGTCAAATGGGCAGAGGTTTCGGGCAGCGCCGGGCCCTGGGGGGACTGTGTCTGTCCCACCCCTTTCTCCCCCTCCCTTTTTTCCGCCTTCCCCTCGGCTGTGACTCATCCACCCACTCGGAGCTTGTGCAACCCTCTGGCCCCTGTCCCCACCCCTCCGCCCTCTCCTGGGAGCCCCTGGCGGCCCCGAGTCACCCAGCACAGCTCACATTCCTCCAGGCCGGCCGGTGGCTCTCGGGCCAGAGCCCCTGGGCAAGGCCCCTGGGGAGAGGGCCTGAGCTGGGCCTTTCATGGCCTCCTCCGGGCCACCAGACCCTCCTGTCCCCCAGCCCAGCAGCTCAGGCAGGCTCTGACGCCGACGGGCTTGAGCCAGGCCCCACAAGGGAGGCATGGTGTCGGTCCAGCCGGACCCAAAGCCCAGGGCCCTCAGCGCGGGGCCTGAGCTGCCAGGCGACACAGAGGCCTTTGTGAGCTTGCTCAGTGCCACCACGCTCCCCAGGCCCCTCCACCCGCCTTCCTTCCCTCCTTCCAGCCTCGGCCCAGGGCCCAGCTGCTCAGCACCCCCGTCTACTCTAAGGCCTGTGGTGGGGCGGTGGGCTCAGATGTGGCTGCTGGGAGCAGGGAGGGTAGGAGGGGAGCGACCCCACCCAAGGCTCGGCCCTGGGAAGCCTCCGAGGAGTCCCCTTTGGTGGTGTCCACCCCCTGCCACCATCTGCCGTCTGGCCCTGGGCCGCGGGGAGCGTGTGAGCAGATGGAGCTCCGGATCAGACGGGCCCGGGCCCTCCTACCCACCCCAGCATGGGGGGAGACCTCTGACCCAGGCCACCAACGCCCCAAGATGGCTATCCCTGGCCTGCTGGGCCGTTCCTCCCCTCGGGTGACCAGGGTCCCCGCTCTGGAGTGGCTGGGAGGTGTCTTTCCTGGGGCCTGGAGGATGGGCCCAAAATAATCCAGGTGGCTCAGCGACCTCCTGCAGGTCCCCGCCAGTGTGAAGATCCCAGTTCCAGGTTGGGTCCGGGGGTCCCAGTCTCTGCCCTCTCCAGCCTGGGACCCTCTCTTGGGCCCCTGTTCCCCCCTAAATATCACTGAGGCCCTCCCTCAAAGCAGCGAGGCCCGGGGTGATGTCAGCCAAGGAAAGCCCCCGTGAGAGGACTGTGGCCGCGTTTTACAGATGAGAATGCCGGGGCCCAGAGAGGGCTGCAGTCCTGGCCTAAGGATGCCCGGCAGGGCTGACTCCCAGGGGCTGGGGGCCAGGAAATGATGGAGGGGCCGGTCCCCCCACCCACCCAGGGCAAGGCCCTGCCCTCGCCCTGGAAACTAAACTCGCTCTGAGACAACTGACCCACGCCCTCACTCCAGGAACACAAGCCACCTGCCGGCCACGCCCTGCGCCAATGCCCCCACCTAGGCCTCCTGGAGGCCTCCCCTAAGGAAAGGGCCGAAGACCCTGCCTCCGAGGTGGGAGAGGGGAGGCCGGGCCCAGCCAGAGCACCCCCGGCGGGGGCCACAAAGTCTTGGCAATAAAAAGTCCCCGAGTGCTGAAGCCCCACTGTGCGCCCGACACACGGTACACGCCTCCGGAGGTGGCGGTTTCGTTCCCCTCCTCCAGGAAGCCCCGGCCCCACGCCAGCCAGGTCCCCACCCCTGCCGGCCAGGGTCCCCTGGGCTCGGCCCACACCCACCCGGGGCCCCATCTTTCATCACAGCTCCTCCCCCGCGCTGGCCTCCGTGGGATTTCCGGGGCTGCTTGGTGCTGACTCGGCGGCCGAGGGGCAGGCCCTGGCAGGCCCCTCCTGGGCTGGAGGTGGGGCGCCCTCCTCCCCCCGGGCCACTCCCAGGCCCCTAAGCCCAACCCTCCCAGGGTGGCGCATAGTAGGGGCGCAGCAAACCGCCGGATAAACCAGAGACAGCCCACGCCCCGGCCCACCCAGCTGGCTGCCAGGCATACCCAGAAGCAGGGGGCTGTGCAGCCTGCCGGTCCCACCTCCCATCTAACCTAAGGGTCACTTGCTGTAGTGTTTGTCGAGAGCCACGGCACCCGGGCCGCATTTCGGCCCCCTCTGTGCTCCCAAACTAACTGGGCACCTTCACTTCGTCTTCCCCAGGTCCCTGAGAGGCTCAGAGAGGTGAGGCGGCCCAGTCGAGGTCACACAGCAGCCCTCTGATCTGGGCAGCTGCCACTTCCCAGCTGCGGGGGATGTGTCGTGAGCTCGGAAGCACCCTGACGTGGCTCAGGGAGCAGCAGATGTCGCCTAGGAAGGACCCCGGCATCCCAAGAAGGGCACCCCAGCACGGGGAGCATCAGGAACTGAGGCCTGGAGGTGGGCGACCGGGGAAGGGGGACCGGCAGAGAGGAGGCTGCATCGCTAGTGCAGGGTGTGGGAGCCAGGGGCCTCCCCAAGGTCACACGACAAGGTGAGGGCTGGGCAGGTAACTGCCACCCGCCACCTTCCCGAAGGTCACTTCCTGGAGCAGGGGGCCGTCTAATGAGGGGATCAGGGCCCCCACCCAACCCTCTGCCCAGGGAGAGCAGGGAAGGAGGCCAAAGGGACCTCTCACCCCTCATGTGCTGTGCAGAGCAGCTCGGGTTCAAGCCTCGGCTCCCCCACCTCCAAGCTGTGTGACCTTGGGCAAGATGCGAGACCTCTCTGAGCCTCTGTCTCCTGGGGGATGGGGGTCGTAACAGTGGAAAGGGGCCCCCCACTGTGGTCAGGGTCCCGCTCACATCCATTCAGCAAACTTAGCCCAGGGACCTAATGTGCGCCAGAGCCAGTCCCCAAAACACATTGCCAGGCTGTTCACCACCCCTCACGGATGGGAACTTTGCTCCTGAATGCTATTCCGGGAATTCAGTCCCCTCCTCACCTACCAAGGGAGTGAGTGGTGGGGCCTGAGGAGGAAGCTGGAAGGGGAGATCAGGCCCAGAGAGGGTGGGCGGCCGGCCCAAGGTCACACTGTAAGCCTGGTGTGCAGGTGCGGCTGCCAGGCCCGCACCCGGCAGCCCCCGCCCCCTCCCCGCCCAGCGGCCTGTGTTGCAAGGTTGGTCCCGACGGGTAACCCCGCCCTGACCTGGTGCCAAGCCCCGCCTGGCCCAGTCCTCGGCCTGGGTTTAATGGGACAGGAATGCAGTGTCCCGATCGGGGGGCACCAACGGCCTGGGGTGGCTGCCAGCTGCCAGCCCGCCCCCTGCCCGCCTGCCCTCGCCCGCAGGCCTCCCTCTGGGCCAGACATGGAGCAAACAGGCCCTCGGCCATTTTACGTGTCCATTTATTGCCCTAAATGGGGAGGGGCTTCCTGCCTGGGCCTTAAAGGGCCAGAGGCAGGAAGGCCGTGGGGACCCAGTGGGAAGTGTGACAGCGGGGATGGGGGCAGCGATGAGGAGGCCAGGGGGATCCCATCTGACGCCCAACTCATGGGCGGGACTGAGGCCCACCCTGTTCCCACACTCTGAGATGTCATGGGCCAGGAAGCCCAGACTACAGCCCGAGCCCAGGTTCCAAGAGGAAGCTTCATGACGACAGTGGAGGGGCTGAGCTTCCCGTCACTGGGGGCAAGCAAGGCCAGACTCTCGGAAGCCCATCCTTGTCCACCCTGCCATCAGCCCAGGCTGCACCTGCTTAGCTGAGATGCCTGTGAGAGGCCGAGGTGACCTCTCTCTCCCTCCCCTGAGGGAGGCCTGCTTGTCACCTGGAGATACCTGCCCCACCCCCACTCTCGCCTGAGCAGGTGGAAGGCTCAGCCTGGGAGCCTGGCGGCCTGCAGAATCCGGCCAGATCCTTCTCTCAGGCATCCTGATAGGTGGGATGGGCCTTGTTTTCCAGTCAAACCAGAAAGGCGTGGGTGGCGACACTTCCACCGAGTGGCCGTCCACAGCCTGCTGGGGGGACAGATGGAGGGGCTGGTCCTTTGGCCACGCTCCTCCCGAGCGCCGGATTCTCTGAGGGGCGCCTTCTGCGCTTTGGGGCTCTGGACTCGGCGCTCGGGGCCCAAGGGCCAGAGCCGCTCCTCGGAGCAGCTGGGGGAGGCTGGGCCTTGATAATCGCCCCAGAGACCCACGGTACGTGACGGCACCCACAGCGCTGGAAGGCAGGATCTGTGTCTGTGCCCCATTTTGCAAACGGGGAACGGGATCAGAGAGGGGGAGCAGCTTGGCCAGGGTCGCGCAGCAGAACTGGAATTTGAGCACGGGCCGTCTGTCTGGCTCTGGCCTGCCTAACTAGTCCTCCCACGGCTCCTTCCATCCCCTTTCCTGGCCCCCGGATACCAGCAGGAGATGAAATCCCCCTACCCTGGGGGCTGAGAGGAAGGACGGCTTATCCTCATACCCTCAGAGCTGCCTTGCAAGGGAGCTCTCACACAGGAGCCTGGGGCAGGGCTGGAGTCCAGCTGACATGGGTGGCTCAGGGAGGGGCCTCTGCCCCTCCAGCTCTCAAGACAGCTCCGCAGGGGCCTGACACAGTGCACAGTAGTCGCTCAACAAGCATTCCCAATGAGCCGCTGAGCGAACCCTCGAGACAACACTCTAGGGCTGATGACCATCTCCCCACTGTCTGGATGGGAAGACTGAGGCTGGCAGAGGGGGAGTGACTGCTGGGGTGGACCCAAGGGCTGGGCTAGGACTGGACCATGCTCACCCCCACCCAAGGCTCACCCCCACCCAAGCTCGTTCCTCTTGTCCTTGTTGCCCAGGGCTACTGCAGGGCAGTTTATGGTCTGGCAGGTGACAGGTGGGGGTGCAGGTGTCTCACGCAGTTCTGACCCACACCCCACACTCAGGTCTCTGCCATGCCCTGAGCTGACCTGGGAGTTTCCGCCGCGGAGGAGAAAAGACACCACGGGTGGCTTTGCAGGCAGCAGCTGGGGGACCCTCCACAGCCCCAGGAACACAGCGCGCCCCGGCTGCAGGGGTCACGGGGCTCATCCAAGGTCGCAGAGCAAGCGTGCCAGCATTCCAACCCTTGAGGAGCCCTCCTTGGAGCATCTGGGCTGCAGTGGGCTGGCTCTGGGGAGGTGACCTCGGTCTCCTCTGGTCATAAAACCCAGAGCCCTGCCCGCCTCTGAGGACCAAGGTGAGACGAGTTTGTGGCTCGGCAGGATTGCAGAGGGGCCTCGTATGCACGTGCGCCAGCCAGGGCCTGCCCGGTGAGGCAGGGAGGCGAGAGGGCTGTGGCTCGTGCTGTGTGACCTTGGGAGCCATGCTGGCCCTCTCTGAGCCTCAATGTCATCTTCGGACACAGGGTTTAATAAGCCTCGGTGACACTCCATTTGCAGGCAGGTGCCTGCAGTTGAGCCTCTACTGCCAACCTCCGGCCCTGCTTAAAGACAGGTGGGCAGGCGCCCCTGGGCCACCACACAGTGGGAGGGGACTTTGGACAGGCCCCGAGCTGGAAGGATGGAGCACAGGGGGCAGCTCTGACCCCACCTGAGTGACCTTGGGCCGCTCTCTGCTTCCCCCTACGCTTCAGTCTCCCCTGCCTAGTACCGGCACCTGCTCCGAGGCTTGCTCTAACCTCCGGAGTTTCCAGGCTCACATTTGACCTCCCCTCCCGGCCTTGGTTTCCTCCTCATATGGCAACGGGGATCTGCCACCAGGTGGACCCAGCTATAGGTCAGAGGGACTCAAGGAAAGAAAAGGAAAAAACAAACAAACAAACAAACACCCAGCAGGGATTTGTGATCGCCCCAGGAACCTTTCCGACCAGGCCCCAGGCTGGGCTCTGCCTCGGCCGCGCCTCAGTCTCCCGCACAGAGCAAAGGACCCATCCACTGCCTGCGGCCGCCCGCGGGCCTCTGCCGATGCGTGGCTGCCCGCCCGGGCCCAGGTGCTGACTGGCCGCCACGCAGCCAATCGGAACTGAATAATAAATACCCCCCGGACTGACCCACGAATTAAAATTTCAGTGTCCCGGTTGGCTCTTCTTTCCTTCCTTAGACTTCGCTTTTCCAGCGGCCGGCTCCTGCCCCCCCTTCTCCCCCAAGCTCTGTCTCCACAGCGATGGCTGGTGGTAAACAGAGGCCCCGGCCCCGCCGATAGGTGCTCTCGGGGCCCCATGGCGGGTGGCCCTCGCGGACAAACGCCCCCGGCCTGAAGCCCTCAGGCCCTGGCAGCAGCAGGGCTGGGCTTAGGCCTGGCCTGGCCTGGGCCCCTGCCCCAGCCTGGCCTCCCCGGGACCTCTCCCAGACCAGTTTGCCAATAGGAAGTGATCGGCCGGTGGTGGGGAGGCACCCCCAGTGTGGGAGCGGCACGCTCAGGGTTACGCCCTGGTCCAGTTCTGAGGTTGGGGCGGGGGGCACTGACACGGAATCCCCACGCCCTCTCCGGAGGCAGCTGGCAGGGAGGTGGGGGGGCCCACCGAGCCCGCCACCCATGGGTGAGCCAGGTGGGTGCCGCGGGTGGCAGGGGCACCAGCACCTCTGTGACTTCCGCCGCCTGACTGGGGGGAGAGGAGTTGCTGCCTCCCCCCGCCTCGCCGCCAACTCCTGGCTGCATTCCGCCAACATTTAGTGGGCGCCGACTGGGTGTCCGGGCCCGGGTGGACAGCAACCTCCCGCCGCGGCCCACCGTGCGCCCCCGCCAGCCAGCCCGGGCAGCGCCTCCCAGAACCCGCAGAGGCCCGGTCCCTGGGGGGGCACCCGCTCCTCCGCTCCGCTCAGCCCCCAGCCAGGCTCCCAGGCCGGGGGGGCTGGGTCTCCCGCCCGGGAGGTAGGGAGCGGGAGGGAGGGGGCTGGATCCCACCAGCTCCCCCCTCCCCTGCCCGGGCTCAGGCTTCGCACGTGGTGGTGGCGTCAAGGGAAAGGAGGGGGGGTCCGGGCCAGAGGAGACGGGGTCACGCGCTTTGGGGGCGCGGACGGCGGGGACTGGGGTGCTCTCTCCGCCCCCTCCCGCGGGTCGGAGCCGGACGGCCGTCCGGGCAGGGCGAGGGGCCAGGCCAGGCCCCCCACCCGGGGCTGAGTCAGGCCCGGGCGGGGGCAGGAAGCGGCCCCCTCCCCCGCCCCGGCCGCAGCGCGCGGCCCCCGCCCGGCCCGCGGTCCCCCGCCGCCTCGCCCGCGCGGGGGGCTCCTACCTCCTTCCCGGGGCAGCGGCGAGGGGGCCCGGCCCCGGCGGCGGCGGTGGCGGCGGCTGCGGCTGGGCTGGCTCCCTCCGAGGGGCCGGGAGGCGGCAGTGAGCCTGGCCCCGCGCCACCCCCCGCCGCCGGCGGCCAATCCCCACCCGGGCTGGGGGGAGGGCGATGCAAATTACCCCGGATCTGGGTCCGCCCGCCCGCCTCCCCCACGCCCGGGCCCGGCCTGCGCTAGGCCGCGCATCCCCGGGCTCGCCTGCACCGCGCGGCCGCCCGGGCCGCCGCCCTCCCCGGGGAGCGCGGGGAGGGTGACCCCCCCCCCACGGGCGGGGGGCCGAGGGGAGGGGGGCTGGGGACGGTTACACAACCAGGCGGGGAGGGGCCCCGGGGCGGGGAGGGGGCCGGCCCGCGGGCCGCGCAGCCGGAAGCCGGGACCGCCACCGGCCCCCGGCGAGGGGAGCCCGGCTCCAGGCCCCGCCCCCTGGCGGGCTGGCCCCGCCCCCGCGCCGCGCCGCGCGATCGGCCCGCGCCCATTGGCTCTCCGGCCCGCCGCTCACCGCCCCTCCTCCGCACCGCCCCTACCCGCAGGCCGCGGCGGGCTGTCGGCGCGGGGCACCCTGGGACTTGTAGTCCAAGCCGCTTGCCACCTGCCGGCTGCAAACGGCGGAGGGACTACGAAGCCCAGAGGTCCCTGCGGCCCTGCCCGCCCACCCGGACACCCCACCCCTTCCCCCTCCTTTCCGAAGCCCCCCTCCCTGTTTTTTCAGCCCCCTCCCCCCCATCCCCCATGGAGCTCAATCCTGGCCAACTCCAACGTATGCACGCAGCACCGAATAGGCCCCCGGGGGGCGAGAGCGCCCCTCGTCTTCAGCTGGAAACTTAGCAGGCGACGCGCCCCCCTATCTCCCCACGCCGGCTCCCCCCACCCTCAATGCAGCCCTGCTTCCCCTCCCCCGCTCCCCGCGCGCCTGGGAGCCCCGAAAAGCCATGCACCCGGGTTGGGGGGGGCTGGCGCACAAGCTCATGCACTTAGCCCCCAATCCCCCCTTCCCGGGCGGCGCCCCCTCCCCGCGCTCGGGATCCAGGGCGCCTCCAGCCTCCGGGCAGCTGCCAACCACCCCTTCCTCTGAAACTTGGGGGAACGTCCCCGGCTCCCCGGATCTCCCCTTCCCGAGGGGGCAGCGGTGGCCGCAGCGACCCCCGCCCGTCCCCGCCCTGCACCCCGTGCCGGGGGCCGCGCCGGGCGCTGACTTACCTCGCGGGGCCGGGCCGGGGCGCGCGGGGCCGGGGCCCGAAGTTGGGACTGGGCTCCCTCGGCCGCTCGCCTCCGGGGTCCGCGGCGCTCGCTCTGCCCGCGTCGCGCTGCCCTGGTCGCTCCCTCGCGCGGCGGCGGCGGCGTCACTGCCCCTACAGTAACTGTACAGTACAGCCAAAGCCCCGTATGATGCTCGCGACTCCCTTCCTGGTTTCTCCGAGGGCAAGAGGGGTCCTCCCTTGTCTTAAAGGTGCCGCAGCCGCCGGCCCCCCCACGCCCAGCCCGCCCCCCCCAGCCTGGCCTCGGAGGCCAGAACAGGCTCGGCAGGTCCCCTCTTGCCACGTCTCTGCCCTCCCGTGGGGCTTCGCCCGCTGCGCCGGGGAGACCGGGCTGTTATTAGGTTTTGTCAAGTCGGGGGGGGGGGTCCGGCCCGCCCCGGCGCGCCCCCCCGCCTCTGACCTCTCCGCCCCGCCGCGCGGCGCCGTGCCAGCTTGCCAGCTTATCTGGCCCCAGAGCTCCCCGGGGCGCGGGGGGAGCGGGCCCCCCGGGGTGGAGGGGGGGTGGGGGCCTCCAGATAAACAGGCCCCCAGCCTCTGCGCAGGGGCGGGGTGCGGGGGGGCGCGGGCTGTGCCCCCGACGCCCGGGGCGTGGCAGGATGGCAGCGGGGGCGGGGAGCGCGGTGCGCACAGCGAGGAGCGACGCGGGCGTGTGGGTCGCGCGGCCTGGGCTGCCGGGGGTGGGTTGGGGGTGAGGCGGTGGGGATCCCCCCGCAAGGCCAGGCCCTGGGCCTCCCCGGGCCTCAGTGGGACTTGCCGCGCCAGGGACCCCGGGGGGTGGCCTTGCCAAGGACAGCCCGGGTCCGCGGGGCTCCCGGGTCCCTAAATGAAACCACCAACCTGCCCTCCCGCGATTATATAAAGGAGTCGCCTCCACCCCGCTGCGCTAGGGGCGTCAGCGGGGGAAGGGGTTGGCGAGGGGCGGGGAGGGCGGTTGTTTTCCCGGCTTCGCGAGTTCCCCCACCCGGCTGCGGGCCGCGGGGCGGGACGGGGACCGGGCCCTGGACGCCTGGTCCGCGCGGGCCGCTCCTTGGCACAAGGGGGTCTGCATGGCTCGCGAGGGGCGGAGGTGGGGAGTGGGGAGGCGTTGGTTCAGCGCGACTTTTTTTTTTCCCCTGTCCGTTTCTCCCACTTCCTCCCCGGTCGTGGGAGAGGTCCGGCGGGGGACAGGGAAGGGGGAGCAGGGCACGAGTGGTGAGAACGTCCTGGCCCGGCCCGGGGAGGGCTGGCTGGTGCGACCGCGCGCCTGGGGGGGGGGGGGAGGGCTCCAGGACTCAGTTTCCCCTTCCTCATTCCTCCAGACAGAGAGAGTACTGACAGCTGCTTTAGCTGCCGTTTAGTGAGCGCTTATCCAGTGGGTGACCCTGTTCCGGGGCTCACTGTGCCTTCATTCTAACACCTAATCCCAGGGTCATTATTATGTTTTATTATTATCTGGCATTCTTAGTACCAACACCACCTGACAGCGGGAACCACCACCGGCCTGGGTGTAGTGTACCCAGCCTGTCCTCTGACTTCAAAGCCTCTCCTGCGAGAGACACAGTTTATGGCTTCTTCGCACAATTTATTAAAAGCGCCTTTCAACACCCAAACGGGTTGGATTGGCTTTTGTAATAATAATCTGGCTACGAGGGGAAACCCGGGAGGGCCCCCCGGAGGGGAAGTGGACTGTCTCAGGACTCGCAGCCTGAAACCAGCCGGGTAGGTGGGAAGGGACCCAGGGAGGGGCCGCGTGGATCTAGGGCGAGGGTGTCATCCAGGGACTTTGCTCCAAGGACCCTGCCTGGGATAGAAATCCTTCTTCCTTCAACCACCGGCCATCAGCCTCGGGACCAGGAGGCCACGCTGAAGCACGATTCTTCCCAGATCCCACTGTTGTGTTTGGATTTCTGCAAATGATGCCCAGACGTTTTTTTTTGTTTTGTTTTTTTGTTTTTTGTTTTAGACAGACTTGCTCTGTCGCCCAGCCTGGAGTGCAATGGCACGATCTTGGCTTACTGCAATCTCCGCCTCCCGGGTTCAAGCGATTCCCCTGCCTCAGCCTCCTGAGTAGCTGGGATTACAGGCACCTGCCACCACGCCCGGCTAATTTTTTTTTTTTTTTTTGTATTTTTAGTAGATACAGAGTTTTGCCATGTTGGCAAGCCTGGTCTCAAACTCTTGACTTCAGGTGATCCAACCACCTTGGCCTCCCAAAGGGCTGGGATTACAGGCGTGAGCCACCGTGGCTGGCCTTGGTTTTTTTTGTTTGTTTGTTTTGTTTTTTGTTTTTTTAATAGAGATTTGGTGGGGCCGTGGGGGGGTCTTGCTATGTTTCCCAGGTCTCAAACTCCTGGGCTTCAGTGTTCCTCCCACCTGAGCCTCCCACAGTGCTGAGATGACAGGAATGAACCATCGTGCCAGCGAGACGCCCAGGCTCTAAGCTCTACATGGTCTAACTTCCCCCACACCAGGAGCAGCAGGTGACTCAGTTTCCCCTCTTGTACCACCAGCCTCAGATCCGATCCTGCAGGAAAAGGATCGAGAAAGCCCCACTCGGATTCTCCATGGTGAGAACCTGACTCAGAGGGGCAGGGGCTCCTCTGTGAGACGGGCATGGACCCTAATCCTCATCGCAGCCCTGAGAAGAAGCAGAGACTACAATTTCCACCATACAGTTGGGGAAACTGAGGCCCAGAGATGGACAAGGAGCAAGGATGTTAAGTCCAGCATTCGCGTGTCTCTGGACGCTGCCAGGGGGACCAAAGGGAGGTCCTTCAGGAAGTGCCAGGATGTGGCACACCCCAAACCACGCCCCCCGCCCCTGTCATGAAAACAGAACGAAGGGGACCCAAAGCTTCCTCCTGACCTCTGCCCTTCACTTCCTTTTTCCTCCCCCAACCAAAAAAAAAAAAAAAAAAAAAAAACCCGAGTTGATACTATTGAAAACCTAATAAAGTATAAAAGATTGGGTTGCTGTGTGATCTTGGGCAGGTTGCTTAACCTCTCTGATCCTCAGACTCCTTTGGAGAGAAGAATCGATGCAACTTCCTAGTGTTGTGACAAGGGAGAAATGAGACGGTGCATGGAACGCTGAGACAGCACAACCCCTGCACCAGGGAGGTCTTCATTACATGATAGGTGTGATTATATTATTAATGTTTGAGTCACGCCTATTATTTTTGTCTCTGTGTAGCCAGGGGTTTTCTGTTTGTCTGTTTGTTTGTTTGTTTATTTGTTTGTGAGACAGAGGTTCACTCTTATTGCCCAGGCTGGAGTGTAATGGCACGATCTCGGCTCACCACAACCTCTGCCTCTCAGGTTCAAGCGATTTTCCTGCCTCAACCTCCCAAGTAGCTGGGATTACAGGCATACGCCACCACATCCGGCTAATTTTTTTTTTTTTTTTTTTTGAGACAAGTCTCACACTATTGCCCAGGCTGGAGTGCAATGGCACGATCTCGGCTCACTGCAACCTCCGCCTCCCTGGTTCAAGCGATTCTCCTGCCTCAGCCTCCTGAGTAGCTGGGATTACAGCCGCGCACCACCATGCCCAGCTAATTTTGCGTTTTTATAGAGATGGGGTTTCACTATGTGGGCAAGGCTAGTCTCAAACTCCTGACCTCATGATCCGCCCGCCTCGGCCTCCCAAAGTGCTGGGATTACAGGCATAAGCCACCGTGCCCGGCCTCTAATTTTGTATTTTTAGTAGAGACGGGGTTTCTCCATGTTATTCAGGCTGGTCTTGAACTCCCGACCTCAGATGATCCGCCCACCTCGGCCTCCCAAAGTGCTGGGATTACAGGCGTGAGCCACCGGGCCCGGCCGTAGCCAGGGTTATTATCCTTGGTGGATAGATGTAGACAGGGGACCAGGGAGGAGGAGTAACTTAGCAAAGACACAAAGGGAGTGGCTGGGGGGACTTGAGTTTCAGTTACGTTGACTAGACTGTGCTGTGAAGTCATGTAATATTTTATTTTATTTTTATTTATTTATTTATTTTGATACGGAGTCTCCCTCTGTTGCCCAGGCTGGAGTGCAGTGCCGCGATCTCAGCTCACTGCAACCTTCACCTCCCGGGTTCAAGCAATTCTTGTGCCTCAGCCTCCCAAGTAGCTGGGACTACAGGTGCACGCCACCATGCACAGCTAATTTTTGTATTTTTACTGGAGATGGAGTTTCACCATATTGGCCAAGCTGGTCTCAAATCCCTGACCTTGTGATCCACCCACCTTGGCCTCCCAAATTGCTGGGATTACAGGCATGAGCCACCGCGCCTGGCCCCATCTCCATTTTTTAAAAATAAATGAATAATAATAATAATGAAATAGAATGTTTATTTTATTTTATTTTATTTTTTTGAGGTGGAGTCTCGCTCTGTCGCCCAGGCTGGAGTGCAGTGGCGCGATCTCGGCTCACTGCAAGCTCCGCCTCCAGGGTTCACGCCATTCTCCTGCCTCAGCCTCCCGTGTAGCTGGGACTACAGGCATCCGCCACCACGCCCGGCTAATTTTTTTTGTATTTTTAGTAGAGACGGGGTTTCACTGTGTTAGCCAGGATGGTCTCGATCTCCTGACCTCGTGATCCACCCACCTCGGCCTCCCAAAGTGCTGGGATTACAGGCGTGAGCCATCGCGCCCGGCCGAAATAGAATGTTTATAACAGCATAATTCACAACAGCCAAAAGGTGGAAACAATTCCAGTGTCCATTGCTATTATTCTTTTCTTTCTTTCTTTTTTTTTTTTTTTGAGACAGAGTCTCCTGTGTCACCCAGGCTGAAGTGCAGTGGCACAATCTCAGCTCACTGCAACCTCCATCTCCCAGGTTCAAGCGATTCTCCTGCCTCAGCCTCCCAAGTGGCTGGGATTACAGGCACCTGCCACCATGCCTGGCTAATTTTTGTATTTTTAGTACAGAAGAGGTTTCACCATGTTGGCCAGGCTGGTCTCAAACTCCTGACCTCAGGTGATCCACCCATCTCAGCTTCCCTAAGTGCTAGGACTACAGGCATGAGCCACTGCGCCCAGCTTCCATTATTAGATCAATGGATAAACACAGCATAGGACATCCACACAGCGGAATATGACTCAGCCATGAAGAGGAGCAAAGCTCTGATGCAGGCCACAGTGTGGATGCACCTTGAGGACATCATACTCAGTGAGAGAAGCAAGACACAAAAGTCCAAACTGTGTGATCCCATTTCTCTGAAATGTGCTGAACAGGCCAATCCATGGAGATACAAAGTGGATGCGTGGTTGTCAGAGGCTGGGGAGGGGAATGGGGGTGACTGCTATTGGACATGAGGTTTATTTTGGTGATGATGAGAATGTTCTGAAGTTATATAGAAGTAATGGTTCCATAACTCTTTCAATATTCTAGAAACAACTGTGCTTTTTATTTTTCATTTTTATTTTTATTTATTTTCTTTCTGACGGAGTCTCGCACTGTTGCCTGGGCTGGAGTGCAATGGCACGATCTTGGCTCACCGCAACCTCCGCCTCCCGGGTTCAAGCAATTCTCCTGCCTCAGCGTCCTGAGTAGCTGGGATTACGGGTGCCCGCCACAACGTCCCACTAATTTTTTGTATTTTTAGTAGAGACGAGATTTCACTATATTGGCCAGACTGGTCTCGAACTCTTGACCTTGGGAACCGCCCACCTCGGCTTCCCAAAGTGCTGGGATTACAGGCGTGAGCCACCGTGCCCGGCCTTGTGCTTTATTTATTTATTTATTTATTTAGAGACAGAGTATGACTCTGTCTCCCAGGCTGGAGTGCAGTGGCGCAATCTTGGCTCACTGCAACCTCTGCCTCCCAGGTTCAAGCAATTCTGCCTCAGCCTCCCAAGTAGCTGGGACTACAGGCACACACCATCATGCCCGGCTAATTTTTGTATTTTTAGTAGAGATGAGGTATTACCATGTTGGTCAGGCTGGTCTTGAACTTCTGACCTTGTGATCCATCCGCCTTGGCCTTCCAAAGTGCTAGGATTACAAGTGTGAGCTGCCGCGCCTGACCTATTATTTACTTATTTATTTAGAGACAGAGTTTTGATTTTGTCACCCAGGCTAGAGTACAATGGCGCGATCTTGGCTCACCGCAACCTCCACCTCCCGGGTTCAAGCCATTCTCCTGCCTCAACCTCCGAGTAGCTGGGATTACAGGCACCCACCACTACACCGGGCTCATTTTGTATTTTTAGTAGAGACGGGGTTTCTCCCTGTTGGTCAGGCTAGTCTCGAACTTCTGACCACAGATGTTCCACCTACCTCAGCCTCTCAAAGTGCTGGGATTACAGGCGTGAGCCACCGTGCCCGACCTAATTACTTTTCTTTTTATTTTGTAGATAGAGACAGAGTCTGGCTATGTTGCCTAGGCTGGTCTCAAACTCCTGGGCTCAAGTGATCCACCAGCCTTGGCCTCCCAATGTGCTGGGATTGTAGGCATGAGCCACCGTGCCCGGCCATGCCTTCCTGTCTCATTTATTCACTGGACAAAAATGGACCATGTGCTTTCCATGGGCCAAGTCCCTGCTCTCCAGCGTACAGGCTAGAGGAGGCTAAAGATAGTAAGAAAGAAGACAAATGAATACAAGGATTCCAGACATCATGAGTGCAATGAGAAAAGCAAGCCATAGGAATGGAAATACCAGGACCAGTCCTGGAGAATTGTTTTTTGTTTGTTTGTTTGTTTTTGAGACGGAGTCTCGCTCTGTCGCCCAGCCTGGAGTGCAATGGTGCAACCTTATCTCAGCTCACTGCAACCTCCACCTCCCGGGTTCAAGTGATTCTCCTGTCTCAGCCTCTGAGTAGCTGGGATTACAGGTGCATGCCACCACCCCCAGCAAATTTTTGTATTTTTCGTAGAGACGGGGTTTCACCATGTTGGCCATGCTGGTCTCGAACTTTTGACCTCAGGTGATCCACTGCCTTGGCCTCCCAGAGTGCTGGGATTACAAGCGTGAGCCACCATACCTAGCCAGGGAATTTCTTTTTTTTTTTTTTTTGCATAATTAGGAACCAAGCGCAGTGGTGCATGCCTATAGTCCCAGCTATGTGGGAGGCTGAGGCAGGAGGATCACTTGAGCCCAGGAATTGGTGGCTGCAGTGAGCTATGATTGTGTCCGTCAGTATCCTCTGCACTCCAGCCTGGGCAACAGAGCAAGACTCCATCTCTAAAATTTAAAATAATAATAATAGGCCGGGCATGCTGGCTCCCACCTGTAATCCCAGCATTTTGGGAGGCTGAGGCGGGTGGATCACCTGAGGTCAGGAGTTTGAGACCAGCCTGACCAACATGGTGAAACCCCATTTCTACTAAAAACACAAAATTAGCCGAACGTGGTGGCGCACGCCTGTAATCCCAGCTACTCAGGAGGCTGGGGCAGGAGAATCACTTGAACCCGGGAGGTGGTGAGCCATGATCGTGCCATTGCACTCCAGCCTGGGCAACAAGAGCAAAACTCTGTCTCAAAAAAAAAAAAAAAAAAAAAAAAGGGCCGGGCACGGTGGCTCAAGCCTGTAATCCCAGCACTTTGGGAGGCCGAGGCGGGTGGATCACGAGGTCAGGAGATCGAGACCATCCTGGCTAACACGGTGAAACCCCGTCTCTACTAAATATACAAAAAATTAGCTACACATAGTGGTGGGTGCCTGTAGTCCCAGCTACTCAGGAGGCTGAGGCAGGAGAATGGTGTGAACCCAGGGGGCGGAGCTTGCAGTAAGCCAAGATCACCCCACCGCACTCCAGCCTGGGCGACAGAGCGAGACTCCGTCTCAAAAAAAAGAAATGCTAGAATGGATCTACAAATAGAAGGAAGACGACGTGACGATACACAATGAATTTGTTTTCTTGTGGACAGGAATCGTTGCAATTATTATCAGTTTTCTACAACTTACGGGGTTGTGAAATAACTCAAAGATAGCAAAAGACACAGAGATCCCACAGAATCAGACAAAACCGACTTGTGCCTAGAGGCTATTTCATTTTTTAAATAGTCCTGAAGGGCCTACACGGTGGCTCACGTCTGTAATCCCAGCATCTTGGGAGGCCAAAGCTAAAGGATCGCTTGAGCCCAGGAGGTCAAGATCAGCCTGGGCAACATAGTGAGACCCTGTCTCTACCAAAAAAAAAAAAAAAGATCATGAAGATGATTTCTTCAAAGGAAGTGATGTTTGAGCAGAGATCTTTTCTCTCCTTTCTTTCTTTCTTTCTTTCTTTCTTTCTTTCTTTCTTTCTTTCTTTCTTTCTTTCTTTCTTTCTTTCTTTCTTTTATTTTGGAGACAGAGTCTTGCTCTGTCACCAGGCTGGAGGGCAGTGGCACGATCTCAGCTCACTCCAACCTCCGCCTCCTGGGTTCAAGAGATTCTCTTGCCTCAGCCTCCCGAGTAGCTGGGATTGCAGGCTCCTGCCACCACGCCTGGCTACTCTTTGTATTTTTAGTAGAGACAGGGTTTCACCATGTTGGTCAGGCTGGTCTCGAACTCCTGACCTCATGTGATCCACCCATGTTGGCCTCCCAAAGTGCTAGGATTACAGGGGTGAGCCACTGCGCCCGGCCATGAGCAGACATCTTAATGAAGATAGAATTAGCTGAAGACCTCCGTATGTTTCCTAGGTGAGAGGAACAGCCAAGGTGCCCAGAGTGGCTGCAGTTGGGAGCCAGAGGGCACCCAGTGGGGACTTGTGGCCGTGGTGCAGGCTGTGGACTTTATTTAAAGTGTTCTGAATTCAGCCATGAAAAGGAAGGAGGCTCTGACTCAGGCCACCGCGTGGATGAACCCTGAGGACCTCACACTCAGTGAGGGAAGTCAGACACAAAAAGCCACACAGCGTGTGATCCCATTTCTATGAAATGTCCAGGACAGGCCAAGCCACAGAGGCAGGAAGGGGATGCGTGGGTGCCGGGGTCGGGAGGGGCATGGGTAGTGACTGCCGATGGGGATGGGGCTTCCTTTCTGGGGTGATAGGTTCTGCAACTAGATAGTGGTGATAGTTGCACAAGTCTGTGAATGTATTGAGAATGACTGAATCGCACCCTTTAAAAAGGGCAGGCTCAAGGCTGGGCGCGGTGGCTCACGCCTGTAATCCCAGCACTTTGGGAGGCTGAGGCGGGCGGATCATGAGGTCAGGAGTTCGAGATCAGCCTGACCAACATCATGAAACCCCATCTCTACTAAAAATACAAAAAAAAAATTAGCCGGGTGTGGTGACGTGGGCCTGTAATCCCAGCTACTCAGGAGGCTGAGGCAGGAGAATGGCTTGAACCTGGGAGGCGGAGGTTGCAGTGAGCCGAGATTGCGCCACTGCACTCCAGCCTGGGCAACAGAGTGAGACTCTGTCTCAAAAAAAAAAAAAAAAAAAAAGGACAAACTCATGCCTGGAACCCCAGCACTTTGGGAAGCCGAGGCGGCTGGATCACCTGAGGTCAGAAGTTCAAGACCAGCCTGGCCAACATGACGACACCCATCTCCACTAAAAATACAAAATTAGCCGGGCATGGTGGCTCATGCCTGGAATCCCAGCACTTTGGGAAGTCGAGGCAGCCAGATCACCTGACGTCAGGAGTTCAAGACCAGCCTGACCAACATGACGACACCCCATCTCCACTAAAAATACAAAAATCAGCCAGGCATGGTGGTGGGTGCCTGTAATCCCAGCTACTTGGGAGGCTGAGGCAGGAGAATCACTTGAACCTGGGAGGCAGAGGTTGGAGTGAGCCAAGATCGTGCCATTGCACTCCAGCCTGGGCAACAAGAGCAAAACTCTGTTTCAAAAAAATAATAAATAAATAAATAAATAAATAAATAATAAAAGGTACATATTCTGGTATGTGAATTATATCTCAATTTATTTATTTATTTATTATTTTATTTTTTGAGACTGAGTCTCATTCTGTCACCCAGGCTGGAGTGCAGTGGTGTGATCTCGGCTCACTGCAACCTCCACCTCCCGGGTTCAGGTGATTCTCCTGCCTCAGCCTCCTGAGTAACTGGCATTACAGGTGTGTGCCACCACACCTGGCTAACTTTTGTATTTTTACTACAGATGTGGTCTTACCGTGTTGACCATACTGGTTTCGAACTCCTGAGCTCAGGTGATCCACCCGCTTCGGCCTCCCAAAGTGCTGAGATCACAGGCGTGAGCCACCGTGCCCGGCCTGGGAGAAATACTTTCTGAGCTGCTGATTTCTCCATGGCTTCTGAATTCATAGCGGTTGGGGAGATGGTGCCTGGGTATTTTCACCTGGGCAGCTGCTAAGAGGTGACTTCTATTTGTTCCAGAAGACAGAAGCCTTGGTAGCTATGCTGGGACTGGATCCGTGTCCACCACACCACTCAGAATTCCCATCTGCAATGGGTCCCTTCTGCCCCGTTTTTACCAAGCCCAGTTCCCTCTCTGCAACTGAGAGGCAGCCTCTTGCCCCACCCCCTCTCTTCCAGACTGGATGGCTGCCTCCCAGGCACCTCTCAGGACCTGGCCACAGAGCTCCAAAGCCCAGGGCCTGCTGCCTTTTGGGTCATGGCTCAGGGCCCAGTCTCTACCTCTCTCTGTGGCCCAGTACCCTTTAGCTCAGGAGGTCTCATCTGGAGTGACTCTGCCTCCTTCCAGGCGATACTGGGTGATATCTGGAGACATTTTTAGGTGTTGTGATTGGGGAGGGGGTGGGTGGAGGCCAGGGACACAGCTCAGCACCCTGCAGTGCCCAGGACGGACCCACCCCAGAGGTTGATCAGGTCCCATAGTGTCCACCACACCGAGGGGCTGAAATTCTAGCCTGGGTCTAACTTCAGTCTTGCTCGCTGTAGAAGGCACCCACACACTTCTCTCCTCTCTGTGCTCTGCAGAGAAGAAAAGCCACTGGCCAGTGACCCCTGGACAAGGCAGGACTTCAGCCATCCACTGCCCTCCACCACCACCCCTGGGCACCCCCTTGTCCAAAGCAGACAGTCTCTACTCTGGGATAAGGGGGGGACCCTGGCCCCAGGCTTTACCCACTTTGGGGTGATTCCTGGACCCTGGAGATGGACCCCAAGGGTCACCCTCACCCCACGGGACCTCCCAACAATGGACAAGGCCAGTCTGTCCTCTCCCCCAGCCCCCAGTTGTGCAGAATCCTCAACATGGCACCCCCAGTGTGGAGCTGAAGACTCCAGACTTCAGGGGTGGGGGCGGGGCTGTGGGAGGGGAGATCATGGCTGCGGTTCTGGTCCAGCCAGACCTCCTGGGTTTGTTCTTTTTTTAAGAACCACCGCAATTTAAAGAGCGGAGTCCTCCCTCCCTGCAGCCCACCTGCCACGTGGGCTGGCCCCTGTTCCCCTCTCCTTCTCTCCGTCTCTGCCTGCCGGGCTTGGGCTGCGGGGGCCGGAGCTTCCGTTTCACTTTGGTATCACCGGTTTCACTTTCAGGGCTGGGGACAGAGAGAGGAGAAGAGGGACAGAGAGATGGACAGAGCCGGGGAGGGTGGCCTTGTTAAGTCGGGGGCCGGGGAGGGGTCCACCACCTGCCGCTCCTTTTCCTGACCTTCCTGACCTTCTTCTGGCCTGGCCGGGGCGGGGGGGGGGGGGGGGGTCCTGGAAGTCAAGGTCATGGGGTCAAGGTCAAGTTCTCCCTGTGTGACCTTGGGTGGGAGAAGCAACTTCCCACTATCCCTGAGCCTCCTTTCCTGAACCCCTCAGTTACCCAAAAGTGGGGCTAAGAATCACGTACACCCCACCCGGCGCTGGGAAGTTCAAAGATTCCTCCAGCACCGCGGACCATCCCATAATGTCCCCGTGGGAGGGGGCGGGGCCAACTCCCAGGCAGAACAGGATGTCGGCCGCTCCTTTGGCCAGGGAGAGACCCTTGGCCCAGAAACCACCGGGAAGGAGGCTCCGGGCTGCCCGAGTCCCGAGCCCGGGATGAGCCACTGTCCCCCAGAACCCCCAGCGGAGGCTGGAGCTCTGTCCGCTAGCAGATCCAGGCTGGAAATTCAGTTGGGCATGGCCTTGTCCCACCCCACCTCCATCCCCACCCCACCCTCAGGTCCTTCCTGCTTGGTGGGGGCCTGGGGCTTGAGCCACTCACTCAAGAGCAGGGACTGGGACCCACTGACCTCCCTGTCCCCAGCACCCCCACAGGGCCCAGTCAAGGTGGGGCAGGTGCTTGGTGCTGGTCAGACAGGATAGGGGAGTGACCATTTGCATGTCAATATCAATAACATATCTCGGTAGAGATAGGCGGTTAGTCTGTGTCAAAATGTGAGAGGGCGGTAGTTTTCTTTTTTTTTTTTTTTAACAGCTTTATTGAGATATAATTCACATGCCATGCAATTCACCCATTTAGAGTATAGAGTTCAGTGGTTTTTTGTTTTTCTTTTTTCTTTTTTTGGAGACACAGTCTCACTCTGGAGTACAGCAGAGCAGTCTCGGCTCACTGCAGCCTCCACCTCCCAGGTTCAACTGATTCTCGTGTCTCAGCCTCCAGAGTAGCTGGGACTACAGGCGCCCACCACCATGCCCGGCTAATTTTTGCATTTTAGTAGAGACAGTGTTTCACCATGTTGCCCAGGCTGGTCTTGAACTCCTGCGTTCAGGCAGTCTGCCCGCCTCGGCCTCCCAAAGTGCTGGGATTACAGGCATGAGTCACCTCACCCAGCCTCAGTGGTTTTTAGTATAGTCACTTGGCTGGGCTGGATGGCTCACACCTATAATTGCAGCACCTTAGGAGGCGAAGAGGGGCAGATCACTTGAGGTCAGGAGTTCAAGACCAGCCTGGCCAACGTGGTGAAACTCCGTCTCTACTAAAAATATAAAACTTAGCCAGGCATGGTGGCTTGCACCTGTAATCCCAGCTACTCTGGAGGCTGAGGTGGGAGAATTGCTTGAATCCGGGAGGCAGAGGTTGCAGTGAGCCAAGATCGTGCCACTGCACTCCAGCCTGGGCAAGAGAGCCAGACTCCATCTCAAAATATAAACATTAAAAATTAAGAAAAATAAAAATTAGCCTCTTCATTGTAAAACGGGAATAATAAAAAGAGAGAAAATAAATAAATAAATATTAACCAGCCGTGGTGGCAGGCGCCTGTAATTCCAGCTAGTTGGGAGGCTGAGGCAGGAGAATCACTTGAATCTGGGAAGTGGAGGTTGCAGTGAGCTGAGATCACACCACTGCACTCCAGCCTGGGCAACAGACTGAGACCCCGTCTAAAATAATAATAATAATAATAAAAAAATGGATAGAAAGGCAGCACCAGCTGGCTGAGGTGCTGAGGGGATCCACCTGGGCTGGCAGCTCTGTGCTCCTGGAAAAGCCCCTTCTCCACCCCACACAGGGCAGGAACCCAGGACTTCCAAACAGGAGGCTTAGGGAGGCTGCTGGAACCTTAGAAACCCACATTAGCAGTCCAGTGCAGTGGCTCACACCTGTCATCCCAGCAATTTGGGAGGCCGAGGCAGGTGGATCATGAGGTCAGGAGTTCAAGACTAGCCTGGCCAACATGGTGCAACCCCAGCTCTACTGAAAATACAAAAATTAGCCGGGCGTGGTGGCAGGCGCCTGTAGTCCCAGCTACTCGGGAGGCTGAGGCAGGAGAATGGCGTGAAACCGGGAGGCGGAGCTTGCAGCGAGCCGAGATTGCGCCACTGCACTCCAGCCTGGGCAACAGAGACTCTTGTCTCAAAAACAAAAAATAAATAAATAAAAAGGGAAACCCACGTTAGCATTTACAGGTGGCGCCCTGCGGAGGCCCAGAGAGGTACAGAGACAAGTGGGCTGGGTACACAATGGCCCCTCCCCTTTAATGATGGGGAGAGGGGGCATGGCGCGGTGACTGACACTTGTAACCCCAGCACTTTGGGAGACCGAGGCAGGAGGATGGAGGATACCTTGAGCCCAGGACTTGGAGACCAGCCTGGCCACATGACGAAACCCTGACTCTACAAAAAAAAAAAAAAAACTAGTCAGGCATGGTGGTGTGTGCCTGTCATCCCAGCTACTCAGGAGGCTGAGACAGGAGGTTCACCTGAGCAGGAGGCTGCAGTGAGAGGTGATCGTGCCGCCACTGCCCTCCAGCCTGGGTGACAGAGTGAGATCCTGTCTCAAAAAAACAAACAAACAAATTATGGGGAGAGAAGGGGAAAGGGAGAGGGGATGGGGAGGGGAAAGGAGGGAGGAGGTGGAGGGAGAGAGGGAGGGGTGGGGAGGGGAAGGGGGAGGGGGAAGAGAGGAGGAGGAGAAGGGGGAGGGGATGGGGAGGGCAGGAGGAAAGGAGAGGGGGAGGGGAAGAGGTGGGAGGGAAAGAGTAGGGAGGGGAAGACAGGGAGGGGAGATGAAGGGAAGGGGAGGGAGAGAGGGAGGGGTGGGGACGGGAAGGGGAAAGGGAAAAGAGGGGAGGAGGGGGCCGGGCATGGTGGCTCACGCCTGTAATCCCAGCACTTTGGGAGGCTGAGGCAGGCAGATCACAAGGTCAGGAGATCGAGACCATCCTGGCTAACACAGTGAAACCCCGTCTCTACTAAAAGTACAAAAGTTAGCTGGGCGTGGTGGTGCGCACCTGTAATCCCAGCTACTCGGGAGGCTGAGGCGGAAGAATCGCTTGAACCTGGGAGGTGGAGGTTTTAGTGAGCTGAGATTGTGCCACTGCACTCCAGCCTGGGTGACAAAGCTAGACTCTGTCTCAGAAAAAAAAAAAAAAAAAAAGGTATGGGGAGTGTAGAGTGGATACCTGCAAGTGTCAGCTAGGACTCCAGTCTAATCTCCCTTGCAGGGTTCCACATTCAGGATCTCCTCTTTCCTCAGCCCACCTGGCTCTGGCACTAGGATCTTATGAAATCCCAGGGAGCTCCCTCCTGTGTCTGTGATCATTGCTCCTCCTCCCTTCTCCTTGATGCTCCTCCTCCCTTCTCCCTCCTCCTAGATGCTCCTCCTCCTCCCTCCCGCCTCCTTCTTGCCCCTCCTCCCTCCTCCTCCCTGCCCCTCCTCCCTCCTCCCTGCTCTTCCTTCCTCCCTCCTACTCCCCCCTCCTCCTCCTTGCCTCTCCTCCCTCCTCCCTGCTCTTCTCTGCTCCTCCTTCCTCCCTCCTACTCCCCCTTCTCCTCTTTGCCTCTCCTCCCTCCTCCTTTCCTCTCCTCCCTCCTCCCCCCTGCTCCTCCTTCCTCCCTCCTACTCCTCCCTCCTCCTCTTTGCCTCTGCTCCCTCCTCCCTGCCCCTCCTCCCTGCTCTTCCTTCCTCCCTCCTCCTCCTTCTTGCTCCTTCTTCCTCCCTACTCACCCCTGCTCCTCCTCTCTCCTCTTCCCTACTCCTCCTCCCTCCCCCTACTCTTCCCTGTTCCTCCTCCTTCCTCCTCTCTGCCCCTCCTCCCTCCTCCTCCATGCCCCTCCTCCCTCCTTCCTCCTCCAAGAGCCCAGGGAGCCCAGTGTCCGTGGGGACAGAGCTGCAAAGGCCTGACAGGAAGGGTCTCCCGAGGCCTGAGAAACGGTGTGAGCTTGGTATTCCGGGAGGAAGGGGGACCCAGGACAGCCACTCAGGGCCCAGCCTTTGTCTCTGCACAGAGCTCAAACTGGCTTGAGGGAGGAAGGGAAGGCGACCTGGACGGCGGTGTTCCTGGGAGTGCGAGTTCCAGATAGTTCTAGATACTGACGGAAGTTGCGGCAACATCTGCATTTGAACCTGCCACTGCTCCAGGCCTGGTGACCTCCAGCCTTTAACCTTTGTGTGCAGTGAGCCTTACTCCAAGAGGCAACCAGCCACCAGCCACCAGCCACACTCAGGGGGCCCAGTAGGGACCCCGTGCCTTGGAGGGCCCTCAGTGCCATCTTGGCAGCGATGCCACAGCTCAGGAGGTTGTGCCAGGGGCTTTCAAAGCTGCCCCCCTTGGCCAGGAGCAGTGGCTCACGCCAGTAATCCCAGCACTTTGGGAGGCCGAGGCGGGCGGATCACGAGGTCAGGAGATCGAGACCATCCTGGCTAACACGGTGAAAACCCGTCTCTACTAAAAAATACAAAAAAATTAGCCGGGTGTGGCGGCAGGCACTTGTAGTCCCACCTACTGGGGAGGCTGAGGCAGGAGATTGGCATGAACCTGGGAGGCAGAGCTTGCAGTGAGCCGAGATTGCGCCACTGCACTCCAGCCTGGGTGACAGAGCGAGACTCCATCTCAAAAAAAAAAAAAAAAAAAAAAAAAAGCTGCCCCCCTTTCTTGCCTGGAGGGAGGAAGGGATCTCAGCTTCATGGCCATATTTTGAACCTCGTTGCTCCCAGCCCGCGCCCCCAGCCAGGCTGGGCCTCTCCAAGGGCCCCTGTCACCCAGTCCTGCCACCCAGCCTTTGCTGACACCGTTGCCCATGTTGGCCCCGCCACTGTTGGGAATGTCCTCTCCAGCCCTCAGCTGTGGATTCCCCTCCTTCCCAGGACTTCTCCTCTAGGTGCTGGCTAAATTTGCCTTTAGCCCTTAGGGCGGCTATAAATTCTAATTTCTGGGCCCGAGCGAGCGCCGTGGGGAGGCTGCAGGCTCCCCAGCGATGGACAGGGGCTCTTATCTTTTAGGATCCCACAGAGCACTGCAGAAAAGCCCCAAATATTTGTGGGTCACGAAGGCAGTGTCCTGTCAGGGGAGACAGCAGGATGGTGGGACCACAGGATCGTCCATGTCTTCCCTGGGGGAGGTTCGAGTCACCTTCAGAAGGTCACCTAACTTGCAGGGACTCCGCTGCCGCAGAGGTTGTGTGGGGAGAGGCAAACCTGGTCAGCCTATTTTGTGGGGTGCAAACAGAAGGGATGTGGGCCTCCTCGGAAGTCTGCAGAGAGGATTCGCTCCTCCGTGGACGCTTCTCTCTTTTCTTGAGCCTGTGATGAGTTCCTTTGCAAATAGGGAAACTGAGGCTCTCAGAGGGGATTCTATCTTCCCCAAGGTCACAGGCCCAAGGACAGCAGAAATATCGTCAGGCCTGTGGTCCTGATGTTCAAACAGGAGGCCCTGGCTGGCCGCAGCGACTCACGCCTATAATCCCAGCACACTGGGATCAGAAGGATTGCTTGGGGCCAGGAGTTCCAGGAGTTTCAGGCCAGCCTGGGCAATACGGTGAGACCCCATCTCTACGAGAAAGTTTCAAAAAATGAGCTGGGCATGGTGGCGCGCGCCTGCAGTCCCAGTTACTCAGGAGGCTGAGGCAGGAGGATCGCTGGAACCTGGGAGGCGGAGGCTGAAGTGAGCTATGATGGCGCGCCACTGCCCTCCAGCCTGGGCAACAGAGTGAGACCCTGCCTCAAACAAAAACGTAAACAAAACAGGAGGCCCTGCTCTCCTGAGGGGCTGGTGGTGAGTCACTGGTAGATGGGAGAGAGCTGGGGTCAGGGTCCCAGCTGGGGGGGTGGGTCCTCACCTGTGCTACCCTCCAGGGGGCCTCTCTCCAGGCCTCTGTCCCTCCCCTGGGAAGCCTGGCAGAAACCTGAGACTGGGCCTCCAGTTCCAGGTCGCCACTGGGCCCAGGCCTCTCCTGTCCGCCTGCCAGGGACTGCGGAACAGGTAACTCCTGCGCCACCCTAAACCCACCTGGCCTGTTGCTCCAGGTGCGGCCTGGAGGCCCCGGGGCCTGCACACCTGGTCAGCTCAGAGGCCAGGAAGAGGAGCGGAGGGAGGGGTGGGGCCGCCGGCCGCTGCTGGTTTCGTTTTGAGCCGGGCCCCTTCTTCCTCCCTCCCTCCCACTCCTCGCCAGACCCCTGCATTCTGGGAAAGGCTGTGACAACTTCCTCTGAACTCTCCTTAACCTGCCCTGGAGCCCAGGGCCTCCAGGAGGCTGAGTTCCGCCTGCGGGACCTGAGGCTTCCTGCAGGTCACACACCTCCACCCCTGGCCACGTGGCCCTAGACCGCCCACCTTCTAGAAGCTTCTTTATGTGCTGCCCCATCATGTCCCCACCCCGGGTGCAGCTGTCCCCTGCCTGCACCCCCTCCACCCTGTGTCCCAGACTCTGCACACAGGAAACCGCCCTGGCCCCAGGGAGGGCTGCCTGAGACCCCCGCCTCCAACCTGCACTGGGGACATCTGGGCTGGATGGTCCTCGGGAGGTGGGGCTGCCTTGGGCACTGCAGGGTGCTGGGTGACATCTCTGGCCTCCATCCATTCCATGGCAGGGGCACCCCCTGTCTCGACAACCACAGACGTCTGGGAGTTTCCAAGCCTCCCCTGGGTGGGGGGACAGAATTGTTCCTGCTAAGATCCAGTGGATTAAAAGACATCTGTGAGGGGACAGAAATGACTGAGTTTTGTGCCGGCCGGTCAGGCAGTCCCTGGCAGACAAAATTCCCAAGTATTTGCATCCAAAAAAACAAAACAAAACAAAACAAAACAAAACCACCCAGCGTGGTGGCTCACACCTGTCATCCTAGCACTTTGGGAGGCCAAGGCGGTCAGATCATTGAAGTCAGGGGTTCGAGACCAGCCTGGCCAACATGGTGAAACCCTGTCTCTACTAAAAATACAAAAATTAGCCGGGTGTGGTGGCACATGCCTGTAATCCCAGCTACTCGGGAGACTGAGGCAGGAGAATCGCTTGAACCCGGGAGGTGGAGGTTGTGGTGAGCCGAGATCACGCCACTGCACTCCAGCCTGGGCAGCAAAGCGAGACTCCATCTCAAAAAAAAAAAAAAAAAGAGAGAAAAACCTAAATATTTCATATTGATTCCAAGGTGAAACGGGAATATTTTGGCTCTGCTGGGTGAAATATACTATCAAATCATCTGTTCTTTTCCTCTATTTTGTTTATTAATATTTATTTATTTATTTATTTATTGAGATGGAGTCTGTCTCCCTCTGTTGCCAGGCTGGAATGCAGGGGCGCGGGGTGGAACAGGTAACTCCTGCGCCCCTGCCTCAGCCTCCCAAGTAGTTGGGATTACAGGTGCCCACAACCATGCCCAGCTAATTTTTGTATTTTTTGTAGAGATGGGCTTTCATCATGTTGGCCAGGCTGGTCTTGAACTCTTAACCTCAGGTGATCACCCACCTTGGCCTCCCAAAGTGCTGGGATTACAGGCATGAGCCCCTGCACCAGAACGGTATTTATTTTTTTTGAGACAGAGTCTCGCTCTGTCACCCAGGCTGGAGGGCAGTGGCATGATATTGGCTCACTGCAGCCTCCGTCTCCTGGGTTTAAGTGAACAGGCCGGCTAATTTTTGTTTGTTTGTTTGTTTTGAGACAGAGTGTTGCTCTGTCGCCCAAGCTGGAGGGCAGTGGCACGATCTTGGCTCACTGCAGCCTTCCTCTCCTGGGTTTAAGTGAACACGCTGGCTAATTTATGTTTGCTTGAGATGGAGTCTCGCTCTGTTGCCCAGGCTGGAGTGCAGTGGCATGATCTCAGCTCACTGCAAGCTCCACCTCCCAGGTTCAAGGGATTCTCCTGCCTCAGCCTCCCTAGTAGCTGGGATTACAGGCGCCCGCCACCATGCCTGGCTAATTTTTGTATTTTTAGTAGAGATGGGATTTCACCATGTTGCCCAGGCTGGTCTCGAACTCCTGACCTCAAGTGATCCTCCCGCCTTGGCCTCCCAATGTGCTGGGATTATAGGCGTGGGCCACTGTGCCCAGCCCTTTCTATTTAAAATGTTTTAACAGGGAAATCCTGCTAAAACTGGGAAATGTACATTTCGTCTGGGGTGCAATGTGCACATTGGGTTGGGGTGGCAGGGATGGGGACAGGACGGGGACGCTATGGCGTGGTGCCCCGCGTGGAATCTCACCCTCTGGGCGGCTGGTTGCTTCTCCGGCCTCATTTCATTTGATGACCTTTCCACTTGCCCCACCCCGAGGCGGTTGTTGCAGGAGGAGAAGGAAGTATGTGCCTGTCCCAGGGCCGGCCTGGGTCCCACCTGGGGAGAATTCCACAGGATGAAGCGAGCAGGCAGTCGCCTGTGACCCCAGCTTCATAAATCAAATATGTTAGCAAATCCTGCCCGGCACACAGCCTGGGGCACTTGCATGGAGCCAGTGACTTTTTGGTGTGTCCGGGGACAGACTGCACTATGGAGAGGGATGTCAGGGCTGCCCATGCTCTCCGGAGGCAGAAGCCAGCACATATGAGCAAGTCAAGCGCTGTTTATTTACGATGAAAATACCAAGCTGGGGGGTGGGCGTGGTGGCTCACGCCTGTAACCTCAGCACTTTGGGAGGCCGAGGCGGGTGGACGGCTTGAGGTCAGGAGTTTGAGACCAGCCTGGGCAACATGGTGAAACCCTGTCTCTACTAAAACACAAAAATTAGCTGGGTGTGGTGGGCACCTGTAGTCCCAGCTACTCGGGAGGCTGACACACAAGAATCAGTTGAACCGGGAGGTGAAGGTTGCAGTGAGCTGAGATTATGCCACTGCACTCCAGGCTGGGCGACAGAGCAATACTCTGTCTGGAAAAAAAAATACCGAGCTGGGAAAACAGCCGACAAAACACTGTAGGAGTCTTCTTGGGGCCACAGGTGGTGTGCCCCAGGTCCACGTGGGCCTCAGACATGGGGGCAGGGCTATCATGTTGTCGAGAAGTTTTTTTTTTTTTTTTTGAGACAGAGTCTTGCTCTGTCGCCCAGGCTGGAGTGCAGTGGCGCGATCTCGGCTCACTGCAACCTCCGCCTCCCGGGTTCAAGCGATTCTCCTGCCTCAGCATCCTGAGTAGCTGGGACCACAGGCGTGCTACCATGCCTGGCTAATTTTTGTATTTTTAGTAGAGACAGGGTTTCACCATGTTGGCCAGGCTGGTCTCGAACTTCTGACCTCGTGATCCGCCCCTCTTGGCCTCCCAAAGTGCTGGGATTACAGGCATAAGCCACCGCTTCCGGCCTATCTGGAGGTTTTTAATAACCACAGAAAACCTCAACACGTCTGTGTAAAACCTTCCAATGTCAAGGAGTGAGCTGCCCCAGGGCCCCCCAAGGCCTGGCTTTCAGTGACACTCCCTTCACCCTAAAGCCCCGCAAACGTTATTTATTATTTATTTTTTATTATTTTTTTGAGACGGAGTCTCGCTGTCTCGCCCAGCCTGGAGTGCACTGACACAGTCTCAGCTCACTGTAAGCTCCGCCTCCCAGGTTCACGCCATTCTCCTGCCTCACCCTCCCCAGTAGCTGGGACTACTGGCATCCACCACCAAGCTCGACTAACTTTTTTTTGTATTTTTAGTAGAGACAGGGTTTCGCCGTGTTGGCCGGGCTGGTCTTGAACTCCTGACCTCAGGTGATCTGCCCACCTTGGTCTCAAAGTCCTGGGATTATAGGCGTGAGCCACCCAGCCCATGCCCTGCAAATTTTAAAATGCTGCATGTTTTACAGGAAAGGGTCTGGCCCCGGGAGGCAGGGAAATCCTACCCCCTGGACTGCAGCATGTCCGTGGCCAGGGCAAAAAGGGGCATCCCCAGGTGTGTAGCCACCTTTGGGAGCACCCGGGATCCCTTCCCAGGCCTCCACAGTGGAGAAAATGAGGCAACGAGTCCAAAGGACAGCAGGCAGGAGGGGGATCTCGGATGAGGCGGCGGCTGGGTCTGGGAGGTTTCTTGGGGGAGCAGGAGTTGAGAGATCTAGAAACCGCCAGGGTGGACGCACTCTTGCCACATCTACAAAGTAGTTTCTAGAAGTCTGACCCTGAAGCGAGGCAGGGAAGATAGGCAAGACCACGGCTTCTCTCCCGTCCTTCCCTCTGGGGTGCCGTGGGGCTCCAATGAAGCTGCAGGATGGCTGCGCACACCGCAGGGATCCTGGCGCGGGGTCCATCCCCACCTAGCCCAGACTGCCCCTGCTCCCCTGGGACTCCGTGTCCTTTCATTCCTTGCCAATGGCAGGGGGTGGCCGGGACCCTGGGGTTTCCAGGACCGGCCGAGGTCCCGCCGGTTTGGAGCACAGGCAGCCAACACATTCCCCCCGGCCCTCCCGGCAATCCTGAGGGTCCTGGTTACCCACAGGGCGGCACCTTCAACACTTTTTTTTTTCTCCTATTTTTTATTTTTTGGGGCCACACTCCGTCGCCCAGGCTGGAGTGTGATGGTGAGATCTTGGCTCACTGCAACCTCCACCTCCCCAGGCTCAGGTGATTCTCCTGCCTCAGCCTCCTGAGTAGCTGGGACTACAGTTGTGCACTACCATGCCCGGCCAATTTTTTTTTTTTTTTTTTTTTTTTTTTGTAGAGATAGGGTTTTACTATGTTGCTCGGGCTGGTCTTGAACTCCTGGGCTCAAGTGATCTTCTTGCCTCGGACTCCCGAAGTGTTTAGATTACAGGTGTAAGCCACCAAGCCTGGCTTTTTTTTTTTTTTTTTTAAGTCATGTGAGACTTTAGGGCAAAACATAAAGGAGAGCAGCCTGGGGAGCTGTTTGCAGGAGGTGTCAACTCATCTCTTCTTTGGTGTCTGCAGAAAAAAAAAAAAAAAAAAAGCCACACAAGACTAGAAGGGTCACCCTAAGAAGAAAAGGACAATCCAGCAGTTCCCACAGAACCACAAGCCCCCACCTTCTGCTTTGTTTCCTCCAGAAACACAGTTGCCAGCCACCCTTCCCCTACAATTCGCCCGCAGATAATATCAGCTTGCTGGTAGTCTCCAGGAAGTACTGAAGGGGGAGGCTCACAGCCTCAAGAGCTTTAGAGAGCTCAGAGGGACCCTAGAACAGCCCAGCTGCCCACCACACCTAGCCCAGAGGTGGCCTCCTCTATCCGAGCACACAGTCCCGAAGGTAGAAAGGCTGGGCTTTGGATCTCGGACAACCGGAGAAGCAGGCGATGGGCCTCCGGGAACCCCGAAGACCCCAGGACAAGCCCTCACCGTTTCATCTGCAGCCCACTGCGGCGGAACAGTTCAAAGGCCCGAAAGTGTCACATGCCCTGGTGGTCACTTCTGATTTGTTGGGCGAGGAGAGGTGACAGAACCACCCGCCCTGGGCTGGGCCTGCTGCGGACGCAGGGGGAGTGCAGGGCGTGTCTCGGGACCTGCTGGGGTTTCCAACCAAACCGACAGCTTGGAAAGCCAGCGCTTCCTTTCTGTGGGGCTGAGTCTCAGCTCAGCTGCCACTGCTGGGAGCCCCCACTCCCTGAAGCGGGGGGACAGGGAGAGGATGGTGCCACGCTGGGGAAGAGGCAGGGGCGGCCTTCCCGCGGAGGCTACGTGACAGGAGCAGTGTAGAGGAAGTGGTTTCCATCACGGAAGGCCGAAGCTCTGCCTTCCACAGGGGCAGAGATGGTGGCGGGGAGGACACAGAGGGAAACCAGGTGGCATTTCCCTTCTTTTTTTTCAGTAGCCTTGCTCTGTCACCCATGCCGGAGCGCACTGGCACCATCGAGGTTCACTGCAGCCTCAATCCCCTGGGTTCAAGCGATCCTCCCGCCTTAGGCTCCCAAAGCACTGGAATGACAGGCATGAGCCGCCGCCCCCAGCCTCACTCTCCTTCCTTTTGGTGAGAGCCGCCATCGCCTGGGGGCTCACTGCAGGTCTTCATCCCTTGACCCAAAGGGAGAGGCGAGCTCTCCCTAAGGGAGGGCCCTGCGCCCTCCAGCCTCGGCGCCCGGCGATGCGGGTCAGCTCAGGGATGTCCTCTCCGTGCTGGGCTGAAGCAAAGCCCAGCACCCAACGCCGAACGGAAGAAAGAAGCAGGATGGCGCGGTTTGCTTTTTCTCTCCCTGTTTTGTTTTGTAACCTAAGGAAGCAGAGCCTCTGAGACCACACACAGCAGCGTCGCCCGTCCCCAGAGGCACCCCGGCCAGGACGGGCAGGAGAGGAGACCCCCGTTCCTGCATGCGCTGTCGCCCCGCCACGGTGCTCTCCGCAGGGGTGAGGCAGGAGGGTGGGTGGAGGCGCCAGCCTGTCCTCAGCTGGAAGGGCGGGGCATGGACAGGGACGGTGGGCAGGTCACCAGCGGGACGCAGGGAGCCCGGCCACTGTCACACGGCGGTGCGCGTGGGTGTGCCGGGCTGGTTCAGCCGCAGGGTTTTACACAACCAGCCGGCAAAATCCACTTCTTCCACCTCGGACCGCTTGATGAAGGTGTGGTTCTGCAAGGAAAGGGGAGCCGTGAGCACCCGGGCCTGGAGTCACAGTAGGACGGGGAGGGCCAGCGTCTGCCCAGCCCTGGCAGATGGTACGGGACAGAAAGCAAAAAACAGAGGAGACCCTCCCTTCCCCACAGGAAGACGCACTCGGGGTAGGAGAGGGAAAGAAACCCAGAAAGGGGCAGCGGCGTGTGCCAGGCCTGGGAGGGGTCTCAGGATGCTGCACTCCACCTGGGGCGGGGACACCACCAGCACGGCAGCCTGCGCTCCCAGGGGAGGGTCTACGCTCGCGCAAGCCCAGGGTCCTCCGGCCGCTGTGGACACCGGGGCCGGATCATTCTCTGGCGTGGGGCCATCCTGGGTACTGCAGGGTACTGAGCAGCGTCCCTGGCCTCCACCCACTCCATGCCAGGGGCTTCCCCAAGTCGTGACACCACAATGTCCTCAGCCATTGCCAGGGTCCCCCGGAGCAGGACAGCCCAGGCAAGAACGGGCTGTTCCACAGAACTCCGCGAAGAGCATTGTACAGGCACCGTCCCACTCGCCAGCACATGAGGCTCCAGAGCCCCTGGACTGTGGCTCCCATGGCTTGAGAACAAAAGCCTCAATTTTATTTCAGTTTAACAAATTAATTAAATACTTTTACTTTAATTTTTTTTTTTTTTAGATGGAGTTTCACTCTTGTTGCCCAGGCTGGAGTGCAGTGGTGTGATCTTAGCTCACTGCAACCTCCGCCTCCCGGGTTCAAGCGATTCTCCTGCCTCACCCTCCCCAGTAGCTGGGATTACAGGCATGTGCCACCACACCCAGCTAATTTTTGTATTTTTAGTAGAGACGGGGATTCACCATGTTGGCCAGGTTGGTCTCGAACTCCTGAACTCAAATGATCCTCCTGCCTCAGCTTCCCGAAGTGCTGGGATTATAGGTGTGAGCCACCGCAACTGGCCTTAATTTTTATTTTTTGAGACAGTCTTGCTCTGTCGCACAGGCTGGAGTGCAGTGGTATGATCTCAGCTCACTGTAACCTCTGCCTCCCAGGTTCAAGCAATTCTCCCGCCTCAGCCTCCCAAGTAGCTGGGATTACAGGTGCGTGCTACCATGCCCAGCTAATTTTTGTATTTTTAGTTGAGACCGGGTTTTTCCATGTTGCCCAGGCTGGTCTCGAAATCCTGTCCTCAAATGATCCGCTCACCTCGGCCTCCCAAAGTACCGGGATTACAGGTGTGAGCCACTGTGCCCGGCCCCACTGAACACACTTCAACAGCCACGTGTGACCAGCGGTTCCTGTACAGGACAGCACAACATGAGAAGCCTCTTGGTTGGAAGGGCTGGGGGAGGAGGGCGGGTGCCCTTGGGGAAGAGGCTGTGCTGGGCCACCCCACAGTGGGTGAGTAGAGGCCTTTGGGGTTCCCAGGAGGGTGGTGTCCAGGACCTTGGGCCCCTGAATGCTGCCTCTTTTGCAGCTGGAGGCAGGCCAAGGTGCCTATCTTCCTAAAAGTCGGTGTAGGTATGGGTGAAAAACCAACCAACTTGATAGGACACATCTTGGCTAGGTCCAGGATACCCAACAGGGGAGCATTTTTAAGAAGCTGGTTCAAAAATGGCTATTTCAGCCAGGCCCAGTGGCTCATGCTTATAATCTCAGCACTCTGGGAGACCTAGGTGGGTGGATCACAAGTTCGAGACTGGCCTGGTCAACATGGTGAAACCCCATCTCTACTAAAAACACAAAAATTAGCCGGGTGTGGTGGCACGAGCCTGTAATCCCAGCTACTCGAGAGGCTGAGGCAGGAGAACCGCTTGAACCTGGAAGATGGAGTTTGCAGTGAGCCGAGATTGCGCCACTGCACTCCAGCCTGGGCAACAGAGCAAGACTCCGTCTGAGGGAAAAAAAAAGTTATTTCAACATTAGTACCCCTCTCTTTTTAGTTATTTATTTATTTTGGAGAGGCACAGTCTCACCATGTTGCCCAGGCTGGCCTTGAACTCCTGGCCTCAGAGAGCCATCCCCCTATGGCACTAGGATTCCAAGTGCCCACCACAATGCCCAGCCTGCCTCATTAAAAAAGAAAAAAAGTCACACATGCCAGGTGCAGTGGCTCACACCTGTAATCCCAGCCCTCTGGGAGGCCAAGGTGGGAGAATCATTTGAGCCCAGGAGTTTGAGACCAGCCTGGACAATTAGCAAGACCCTGTCTCTATAAAAAAAACTAGCTGGGCAGGTCGGGCACGGTGGCTCACGCCTGTAATCCCAGCACTTTGCGAGGCTGAGGCAGGCAGATCACCTGAGGTCAGGAGTTCGAGACCAGCCTGGCCAACACGGGGAAACCCCATCTCTACTAAAAATACAAAAATTAGCTGGGCGTGGTGGCAGCCACCTGTAATCCCAGCTACTTAGGAGGCTGAGGAGGCTAAGACAGGAGAATTCCCTGAACCTGGGAGGCGGAGGTTGCAGTGAGCCGAGATCGTACCACTGCACTCCAACCTGGGTGACAAGAGTGAGACTTCATCTTTGCGGGGAAAAACAAAACCCACACACAAAAACTAGCTGGGCTTGGTGGCACACATCGGTAGCCCCAGCTGCTCAGGAGGCTGAGTGGGAGGATCACTTGAGCACGGGAGTTGGGGCTACAGTGAGCTACAATCGCACCACTGCATTCCAGCCTGGGGGACAGAGCAAGGCTGTATCTCAAAAATTTTTTTGACCAGGTGCGGTGGCTCACATCTGTAATCTCTGCACTTTGGGAGGCTGAGGCAGGTGGATCACCTGAGGTCAGGAGTTTGAGGCCAGCCTGGACAACATGGTGAAAGCCTGTTTCTACTAAAAATACAAAAATTAGCCGGGTGTGGTGGCGGGTGCCTGTAATCGTAGCTACCTGGGAGGCTGACTGGAGAATTGTGTGAGCCTGGGAGGCTGAGACTGCAGTGAGCTGAGATTGCTTCACTGCACTCCAGTCTGGGCGACAGAGTGAGACTCTGTCCGACTCTCAAGAAAAAAACAAAACTGAAAGCCACATTCCAGTATTAGAAGGCACCCGGTTGGGTGTCTGTAGCTGGCATCTCTTCTTTTCTTACAGGCACAGAAAGTAACGGGCTGTCTAGGGGGGTGGCATCTCCAATCCGCCAATCAGCTGTCGAGGGGTTTGAAGGTCGCTGACGGTGGCTGTGGTATGGGAAAGCACTCGGGATGCAGGCTGGGCTGAGGGCAGGAGGATGATGCCCGGGGCCCTCCTCTGAGGGTGTAGTCCCCGCTGGGGAGGCGAGTTTTGGTGAACAGCTGGGCTTCCGAGGATATCAGAGGATGGGGGTTTAAGGGGACACCGAAGTACGCACGGCCTCGGGGGACCTGCTTGCCAGTGTGCAGAACAGGGATGGTCACCCTCTAGTTTGCAGGGAAAGGAGCCTGGGGGGCTGAGAGCTGCCTCCAGCCTCTCATGAGGGCAAAGAAGCCCGGGGTCTCATCCTGTGGGTGCGGGACCAGCACCAGGCAGGAGCGGCGGAGCTCAGAGCCCAGAGCTGTTCCCACGCACACACCCTCTGCTCCCCGCAGCCAGCCCAGGATGGCTTCTCTCATGGATGAGAGAGACCCACAGAGGGTCCTCGGCGTGGCCTGGCACACCCGGCCTGCCCACATCCTGGTCGCAGGTGCTGGCTCCCCGGGCAGGGCCAGGCCCAGCAGCCTTATTTCCTGGGGCCTGGGTGGCAGCCTGCACCCTCCCGGTCCCAGAACCCGCTGGCATCACTCACTGTGAGCATCTTCAGGTCCGCCCGCTCCGCTGGGTTCTTGATGAGGCTGGGGGTTCCAAGAGGCAGGACCGGGAGGCGGTGGAGGAGACAAGACAGGGCAGTCAGCTGGTGGCCCCGGGGCACCCGCGTGTGGGCCGTGGTCGGAGGGGGCCTGGATCTCTCCGACCAGAGAGAGTGGCACAGAGTGGCTGCTCTGTTCTGCCTCCTGGCAGAGGACGAGGGATCCACCTCTGCACTTTGGTGCCAGGGGCAGGACACCCCCCAGCGGGAGGGTGAGAGGGAAAGAGGGTGGGAAACCCCGCCTGGTGGGTCAGAAGCCTGGACGCAACCCCAGCTAACTGTCTAATAAAACCCCAGGCCCGGGGCAACATCGCCGGAGCGCACGCCAAGGGCCCGGGGCAACTCCGGCACCAGGAGTGCGGTGCCGTTCCACGGCGTCCCGAGCTCACACACATGGACCGGCCCTGTGGGCAGCGGGGTGTCCGCAGCTCCTTCCCCGTGGTCTGCGGCACATGCCTGTGAAGCCCACGCCACAGGTGCTGCTGGGTGCTTGGGGGCAGGAGAATGGAGTGGGGCTGGCGACCCTCCCAGAACCTGCGGGCGGATCCCGGGGAGCCCACAGTCAGCACACCAGGGGTCCGGGGACCAGACAGAGGCTTCTCCTGCTGCAGACAGTGAGCTGGGGACACCGTCATGTGCACAGGGCCTGCAATCCTGCTTCACCCCTGGGCTCACGGACAGGATGGCATGGCAGCCGGGAGCTGCAGCCCCACAGCTCTGGGAAAAGGAATCTGGCTTCCCGTTGGGCTGAGTCCTGCCTAACGCTGCACTGGGATTCTGGATGGGCAGGCTGGGCCACGGGCCCCACCCAGGACCCGGAAGGAGTGGCACATCTGGGTCCCGGCCAGGGGTGTGGGCAGCCCGGCTCCACCTACCATTTATTGACAAACTCCTGGAAGTCGGGGGTGAACACACCGTTGGGCAGCTTAGGAGGTGGCTGTGGAGGAGAACAGAGGGTGGGGTCAGCCCTGGGCATCGTCAGGGACCCTCGGCTGCAGCCCTCTCTACCCCTCACTGTCCTGTCCGGTCACCCACCCTGCAGGCCTGGCCGACACCACATGCCAACTGGGCTGCACCCTGTCAGAGGTGGCCTTCTCCCGAAAGCTCTCGTTTGAGAGTCACGGCTGCTTAGAGGGAAAGAGTGGGGTGCGTCCCCCTTTTATCAACAGGACAACCTCTCGAGTGTCGTCACTTGCTTCCTTCCCCAGTGTCACTGGCTGAAGGATGAGCTTTGGGACTGGGCCCCACAGAGGGACATCTGGATCCAAAGTTATTTTGTTTTGAGACAGTCTCGCTCTGTTGCCCAGGCTGGAGTGCAATGGCGTGATCTTGGCTCACTGCAGCCTCCACCTCCGGGGTTCAAGGGATTCTCCAGCCTCAGCCTCCTGAGTAGCTGGGATGACAGGTGCCCACCACTGCGCCTGGCTAATTTTTATATTTTTAGTAGAGACGGTATTTCACCAGGTTGGCCAGGCTGGTCTCGAACTCCTGACCTCAGGTGATCCACCCACTGTGGCCTCCCAAAGTGCTGGAATTACACACCTGAGCCACCGTGCCCGGCCAAACTGGGTCCACAGTTTTAAGCCCAAGCACTGGGGAGCCTGGCCTGACACACGTCCCCGGAGCGGGAGTGGCCGTGTAAGCGGTGCCAGCAGGGCAGGGGCAGGCCTTTCCCGCGCAGGGGCAGGGGCGGGAAGAGGCGGGGGAGAGGTCGGGGGATGTGCTCACTGGGCATGGGTGTGGCTGCTAGGTGCAGGGAGAGCTGGGTCACCAGGGCCACCCCACCTGGCTCCGTCATCATCTCGCCACCCAACCCCAGGCCTAGCCCAGTCTGCAGGCAGCTCAAATGCCCGTTTCTCTGCCCCAGCTCCAAAGGGCCACCAAAGACACAGAAACCCACAGAAGGCCCAGGGAGGTGGCCCGGCCTGGTCACGTGGCCAACAGGACCTTGGGGTGCAGTCCTGTGCCTCCCTGACAGCTGCAGGCCTGGAAGGAGGCCGCGTCCCTCCTTGTGCCTTGTTTTACTCATCTGGGCGGTGGAAACCCTCATACTGTGGCTCACTGGGTTGTTATGGGGACTGACGGAGCAGGAGCCACCCCGGGACCTACAGGTCCTTCTAGGCTCTCTGGGCCTCCTTCCAAGAGGCAAGGGCCATTCCTGTACCTTTCTCCGTGGAAGCGGGGTGATTTATGAGTCCACGCCCACGGGCGCCAGGACGCTCTGATGCAGAGACACTGGGCCACTGCTCAAGGGGCAGGCTGGCTCCTCGGCCTGAGCCCAGGGCTGCTGGCACACACCTCCCTCTGGACTCAGGGTGAGAGGCTGCGGTGGGAATTCTGGGTTCGTCTTCATAAAAAAACAATGCCCTTGGGAAGGAGCTGGGCTTGTGCAGCACAGTAGAAGATGGGAGACGCGACACACGTGGAATTGGTTCAAGAATTGCTTGAACCTGGGAGGCGGAGGTTGCAGTGAGCTGAGATCAAGCCACTGCACTACAAAGCTAGACAATGTCTCAAAAAAAAAAAAAAAAATTAGCTGGGTGTGGTGGTGCGCACCTGTAATCCCAGCTACTCGGGAGGCTGAGGCACGAGAATCACATGAGCTTGGAAAGTGGAGGTTTCAGTGAGCCGAGAAGGCACCACTGTACTCCAGCCTTGGTGACTCTTGCTCTGGTCAGAGAGAGACTCTGCCTAAAAAAAAAAAAAAAAAAAAAAAGAAAGAAGAAAGAAAAGGAAAAGAAAAGCCAAAAGGCATCAAGCACAAACCTCGTTCACAATATAGTCCAGGAGTTCAAAGATGGCCATGGCAGGCCGGCTATCCATCCCGTGACCTGCACAGGGAGAGAGATGGAGGTGAGATGGGCCGATGGCCACCTCACTTCTGCTGGGGGTTGGGCTCCCAGGGGGCTGATCACCACCAGGCGCCCTCCTCCACATGCCAGCCTAAATTGGAGGCGGGTGTGCAGAGGCACTGGACAAAGCTCCCCTGCCTGACTCTGGGTTCCATTCCCTGGGACAGCTACTCCTTGCCTGAGCCTCTAGTGAATTAAAAAAAAGGCAAAAGGAACAAGAACATTTTTTGAGAAGTCACACATTTGGCTCGGTGAGGCTTGCCGGACGTGCCAAAGTCATCACCCCTCCTCTCTGGAGGGCAGGGGGAGGGACGGTGCTGACCGCAGGCAAGGACAGCCGCGTGACCTTGCATGGAGCTGCTGGCGGTGATGGGGGCAGGCCCCAAGTGCCACTCAGGACGGGAGACTGGCTAGGGGTGGCTGACCCCTGTCTGAGAACCAGCTGGCCAGGCCTGGGCTTGGCAGCTGGACTTTCGCCTTCTGCCCGTCCTGAAATGGGCAGGTGGGCTGGGGCCCTGGGCTGGGGATGGTATACCACCTGAGAGTTGGGACTGGGAGAGGCTGAGGCTAGGCCTGAGGATAAGGACTTGGGGGCCTCTCCCTGGGATGAGATCAAGACATCCCAGCAGTCTGGCTGGAGAGGAGGAGGTGGGCTTGCCAGTGCTATGAAAATCTCCTTCTCACAGCCCCAATCCATCCGGGTAGGACCACAAAACGTGGCCTGTTCGTGTCATAAAATACTACTCAGCCTTTCAAAAGGACCCAGGCTCTGACACGCACCATGGCGTGGATGACCCTTGAGGACACTGCGCTCCAGGAGAGAAGCCACACACAAAACACAGAAGGCCACACAAGTGTGTGACCCCATTTCTGTGAAATGCCCAGGACAGGCCAGTCCAGAGGCAGGAAGGGGATGGAGAGTGACAGCTGATGGGGACAGGGTTTCCTCTTGGGGAGCTGAGAAGGTTCTGGAATTAGAGGTGATGGGGCGCAGCACTGTGACTGAAAACCACTGAACTGCTCACCTGAAATGAGTTGTGGGGTGTGTGCTTTGTAGTTCGGAAACATGGTTTTAAAACCAACCACAGTCCGCTACAGGGTCCTTTGGGGTCTGACGCCACCAACTCTCCCTGATGTCTGACTTTAAAAAAAATCACAGGACCCTCCTGTGATTCTGCACCAAGCAGGGTCCGCCCCCGGCTCTTCCCTCAGGCGGTGGAAGTGTCCGCTCGGCCCTCTCTGACTGGCGTCAGGGAGCTCCCGCTCCCGAGGTGCCCGCCCTAAGTGCCGGATTGTCCTCTGCGAGCCCAGCTGTCCCTGGGGCCTGAGCCCTCCCGCCCCCTCCCGGGCTGTGTCCCCTCCTGTGTGTGTTGGGGCCGGAGCCAACAGGCCACTGAGGGCCATGCCAAGTCCAATCTCCACTTCAGGACTCCCTGGAAGGCTTGGCCCGCAGCACAGGAGCGTGTCACCTGCAGAATGCAGGCTCTGTGGCGGCCAATTCCTTCCACTTTTCTGTGCGTTTGAATGCTTTCGGGATAAAATGTTGGAAAATCCAACTGCCCAGGGGCTTGGTGGCAAAGCTGCGCTCCCAGATCCCTCCAGCTGGCAACAACAGGTGCAGCTGCCCCGGACAGAACAGGTTTGGGGTGCTCACTGCTTCCAGCTCTGTCCCCGGAAACCCCAGGACCATGGGAGGACTGCTGACCACAGTCGGCACCATCCAGGGGGACAGGTGGTGCGCCAGGGGCAGAGGGGAGGCAGCTGCTGACCCTGGCACAGCAGGCCCCGCGCAGGGCACTGCGCGTCCAGACCGGAAGTTGCAGATTCAGGCCGTACCGCTGACGGGGCGCCCGGGGGGCCTCGGCCGAGGCGAGATGCTGTGAGGCTCTCCTTCTTCCCCGTCGACCACGGGCCGGCCAAAGATGGCCTCCAGCTCTTTGGCGTCGGGCGGGGGGATGGGGTACCTTCCGACGGCCAGCTCCACCAGGGACAGGCCCATGCTCCAGATGTCCGACTGCACCGAGTAATGTGTGCCCTGCAACCGCTCCGGCTGCAGCAGAGCCAGGGAGGAAAGAGCCCAGAGGGGCGAGGATGGCAGCTGGAACCCGGGAGGCTTGCCCCGTTACAGCCCCCGTCACCCTCTCCATGGCTAATGACCGCAGCAATGGATAGAGAGCTGTTACGCAATTCTACCTCCCGGCTCACCCACCCAGGGCCTCCCTGCGGCACTTGCTGAAGAGGCTTCCAGCCCGAGGCCTGGAGCTGGTGTTGACCGCAGCTCTTGAAGAGCCTGCAATGCTCAGCACTTTTGGGAATGGATGATGGGCCCCAGGAAGCAGGGGCCTCCTCCTCCACAGCTAACATCTCAGAGGCTGCTCCAAGGCTCAATTTGGCAGGTTGCTGAATCCCCAGTCGTTTCCTGAAAGACCCCAGATTCCAATTCCTTGGTCCAGAAATTAACTAAGGGCCGGGTGCAGTGGCCCATGCCTGTAATCCCAGCACTTTGGGAGGTTGAGGTGGAAGCCCAGGAGTTAAGACTAGGCTAGCCAATATGGCGAGACCCCATCTCTACTAAAAACATTTTTTTAAAAGTTAGCCAAGGCTGCCGGGCACGGTGGCTCACGCCTGTAATCCCAGCACTTTGGGAGGCCGAGGCGGGCGGATCACAAGGTCAGATTGAGACCATCCTGGCTGACATGGTGAAACCCTGTCTCTACTAAAAACACAAAAAATTAGCCGGGCGTGGTGGCGAGCGCCTGTAGTCCCAGCTACTCGGGAGGCTGAGGCAGGAGAATGGTGTGAATCCGGGAGGCGGAGCTTGCAGTGAGCGGAGATGGCGCCACTGCACTCCAGCCTGGGTGAGAGTGTGAGACTGTGTCTCAAAAAACAACAACAACAACAAAAACAAAAACCAAATTACCCAGCTGTGGTGGCACATGCCTGTAGCCCCAGCTGCTTGGAAGGCTGAGGCAGGAGAATTGCTCCCGGGTGGGAGGCGGAGGTTGCAATGAGCCAAGATTGTGCCATTGCACTCCAGCCTGGGTGACAGAGCAAGACTCTGTCTCAAAAAAAAAAAAAAAAAAAAAAAAAAGAAAGAAACCTGGTAGGCACTGCTAGAGACAAAAACCTAAGAGAGAATTCCAACAGGAAGGGGAGATCTGGCCGGGCGTGGTGGCTCAGGCTCACTGCTAGTGGAATCCCAGCACTTTGGGAGGCTGAGGAAAGAAGGTCACTTGAGTCCAGGAGTTCATGAGCAGCCTGGGCAATACAGCGAGACCCCGTGTCTACAAAAGATTAGTAAATTAACAAATAAAAAATAAAGAGCAAGGGGAATCCGAAAAGCAGGCTCCCAGGAGGCACCAGCTTTAGACGTGCCTTGTGGCAAGTGGGGAGAGCTGATGAAGGGGAGGGTGCAGCTGGGGTGGGACTGTCCCGGGGGTGCTAACAGCCATGTAGGAGTGTGTGCCCACGAAATAGTTGGGAAAGCCTCGTGGGAGGCGGGGAGAGCTGCGCAGGAGAACTGGGAGGGACAGCTGCGCAGGAGACATGGGGGTGAGAGCTGAGGGGGAGAGCTGGCTGGCAGAGCTGGGTGGGGAGAGCTTGGGGGAGAGCAGCAGGGAGGAGAGCTGGAGGGGAGAGCCAGCGGGGACTCACAGCCATGTAGGAGCGCGTGCCCACGAAGGAGTTGGCCATGGAGTCGATGAGCTGGCCGCTCACCCCGAAGTCACACAGCTTGATCTCCCCTCTAGAGTTCACGAGGATGTTGGAGGGCTTCACATCTGGAGGCGGCAGGCTGCGGGTGAGGGGCGCCCAACAGTTGCCTGCCGGCCCCCGGGGCTCTGGGGAGGGCGGGCTGGGCCTTACCTCGGTGCATGATCTGGTGCTTCTCTCGGAGGTACGCCAAGCCCCGGAGAACCTGCAGGGGAGCGCGGAGGGAGTCACGGGACAAGGCCACCAGGGCTTAGCTCCTGACCGAGCCCGGGGGTCAGAGCTGAGCAGTCAGAGCTGGAGCGAGGGAGCTGCGGCAGGAACCATTTCAGGCTGTGAGGAGCTCGCTGGGGTGGAGCAAGCGAGGCCAGAGACGAGACAGTGCTGACAGCCCTGTGCTGGCGTGTGCAAGTCAACCCCGGTTCCCATGGCCGCAGTGCCGCCGATGCCACTACTGCCTTTGATTCAGAGCACACGGCTTAGCCCCAGGGAAGCTGAGATGGTGGCCCATGGCCCGGGAGTAGGCTGGGCTGCCGAGTTTGCCCACATCAGCCTGAAAGGCAGCATCTGGGGTCCCAGGGACTGTGCTAAGGGCCCCCAGATGGGACGGGCTAAGGGTGCCTGGGAAGGACGATGTTTCCCCCAGGCCCGCCCTGGAAGCAGCATCCCGAGAAGTGAAGCAAGCAGCACAGGCAGTGTGACGGCAGCTTTCAACTCGGAAACGCGTGTCTGGCAGCATGCGTCCTGTGTCTTAATCCAACACTGGTATGGGCAGGCGGGACTCGGCCCCTGCTATGGACAAGGTGCAAGCTCCAAGAAGCAACACGCACGGTCTGCTGAAACCACACGGCTCTACGGAGCAGCTGTGCTGGAGACCGGGCAGCAGAGACGCCCTTGGCCCCGGTGACATTTCTAACAGCAATGGTGAGTGTGTCTGGAGGTCCTGGCGTCCCACATCCCACCCCAGAGTCTCCCTTTCAACAAGCTCCTGTCCCCTGCAACGTGCCAGCTGCCAACATCCCCCTGCCACGAGGGGCAGAGGGGACCAGTGTGGCAAACAGAGGATACTAAGAGTGAAGAGGGACCTATAACGTCTTCACTTGGCAGATGGTGACCTCAGGCCCCAAAAGGGACGTCACTTGTTCAAGCTCCACAGCAGGTGGGCACAGCCTTGGCCACTCTCTTTCTGCAGGGGCCACCCTAACCCCCACCACACTGTGAGTGGCTCCCGGAACCCTGGCCGTGTGGAAGAGGTCCGTGCAGAGTGCGGTGGGGGCGCGATGTGGGTCTGCGGTGGACTCACCGCGATGCTGACTTTCCCCAGGATCTCCTCGGGAATCCTCTTGGCCTCTTTCAGCACCTGGTCCAGGGAGCCGCCGTCCTAGAGGGCACACAAGGAGTGAGTGCAGGCTCTGCGCAGGTGGCCGGGAAGCCACGGATGCGTCCCCCCACTCCCGGCGAGGGGGTGGTCTGCCTCCTGACGGGAAGCAGGGGCCGGAGCCCAACTCCACCCACGGGCCAAGGGCAGGGCGTCTTCTGACAGTTCTGCCTTTGGGTCTGAACACCCACCCACAAGGTGGGGAAGGAACAGGGCCCAGGGTTCCCCCGCCTCCCGTCCCATCCTCGAATCAGTTGCGTGACTCGGCCCTCCTGAGGTCGCCACGGCAGAGGCTCTGCTCCGGGCCAGCCCAAGCCGCGGCCGGGGGCTCAGGCAGCTGTGGGGCCCGCACTCCCTGCAGCCTACGTGGTGGGCTTGTCTGTGCGCCACGGGAGGCGGCCAGGCTGGAGACCAGCGTCTTGGGCCTGCGTCCTCTTCCCAGCACACGAAGGGAAGGGGAGGGTGAGGGCGCGGAGGAGACGCGGGTGCTGCCCCGCGTGGGAGGAGGCGGCGGGTCGCTGTGTGCCCGTCCAGACCCCCAGGGGGCTCCCTCGCCAAGCCCTGCGGCTCCACTGCTGGGCGTCTGCCCTGCGCCTGTCCCTGCCACCTAGGGCAGAAAGGCCAGGCCGAGTAGGACCAGGGGCCAGGGGGTGCATGGACTGCAGGAGGGATCCCAGTGACGCCAGCCCAGGTGACGGTAACCTCGGCCCCTCCCCACAGCCTGTGGTCTCCTCGCCACTGTGCCGGGCATCCTGCGGAGGGCCTGGAAACGAGTCATCATGGGTAGGCTGGTCCCCGGGTGTGGCCCCACATCCATGTCATAAATGATGAAACAGAAATTCCATGTCTTGCCCAAGGCTGCCTGGCAACAAACCTGGGGACCAAAACCCCCAAATGCCAAAACCCCAGGCACTGGGAGCCACCCAAGGTGCCTCTTCAGAGGCAGAGGCTCCGGACACACCTGCCAGGCCACCCCCAGGACAGCAGGGGTGACAGGCCAAGTTCCCACTGCCACCGTCTGGCGTGCGTCTCTTCTGTGCTCAGCAGAGAGGAAAGTGGAACTGAGGCTAGAGAGGGCGGGCTGGAGGAGCCTGGAGAGGCTGGCTGGGGAGCCTGGATTTCCCCACCATGCTGCTCCAGGACTCCTGCAAAAGCCCAGCCTTCCCTGGGATGGCTTTCATTCACATGGGTGGGAGGAGCCGGGGGAGAAATCCTGGGACTCAGGGGTGCCCGGGTTGCCGCTCTCTGGCCACTTCTGCCCAGCTAGGCTTGGAGAGAAAGGCCGAAGGCAGTTCTAGAAAACCCAACACGCTTTGAGACCTCTAAAGCATACACGTGACTCCATCCACCAGCTCCAGGCTGAAGACGCAGACACACAGGGTGAGAGGGCAGGTATGGCCAGGGCTCAGACAGCCCAGGAGGAGGTGCCAGGACGGGAGCTCCAGTGAGCCAGGGCCAGGTGGAAGCTGCTTCTATTCTCAGTTTTTATCAATCTACCTTAAAAGAATTACTTAAAATGAGGCCGGACATGGGCTGGGAGCGGTGACTCACGCCTGTAATGCCAGGACTTTGGGAGGCTGAGGCAGGCGGATCACTTGAGGTCAGGAGTTTGAGACCAGCCTGGCCAATATGGTAAAACCCCATCTCCACTAAAAATAAAAAAAATTAGCTGGGCGTGGTGGTGGATGCCTGTAATCTCAGCTACTCGGGAGGCTGAGGCAGGAAGATCACTTGAACCTGGGAGGCAGAGGTTGCTGTGAGTCGAGATCGTGCCACTTCTCTCTCGCCTGGGCGAGAGAGCAAGACTCCTCAATTAAAAAAAAAAAAAAAAAAAGCCGCACGTGGTGGCGCACACCTATAATCCTACCACTTTGGGAGGCCAAAGCAAAAAGAATGCTTGAGCTGAGGAGTTTGAGACCATCCCGAGCCACACAGTGAGACCCCATACCAAAATCAGCCGGGCGTGGTGGTGCACGCCTGTAGTCCCAGCTACTCAGAAGGCTGAGGTGGGAGGATCCCTTGAACCTGGGAGGTCAAGGTTGCAGTGAGCCGAGATCACACCACTGCACTCCAGCCTGGGTGACAGAGCAAGACCCTGTCTCAAAAAAACAAAAACCAGAAAGAGACCAACGACTCGAAAGAGGCAGGGTGGCGAAAACCAAACAGACGCACCAAACGCAACCCTAAAACCCCTGCTCCCCAGCACAGCTCCTTCCGTCTTCGTTTCTCCTGGGGCCGCAATCAATGTTTGTTTAGTGAGAAAATTCAAAGAGCCTCTCCCCGGAGATGAGGGCGGGCGGAGCGCTGTGCTGCAGCCTCAGGAGCTGGTGGAAGACGCCTCACAGGAGCATCGCTCTCTCTGCAGCCGCCTTTCTCCACTGTGACATCGGGGCCAGGTCACTCTCTGGGGTGGGGCCGACCTGGGCACTGCAGGGCGCTGAGTAGCGTCCCTGGCCTCCATCCACTCCACGCCAGGAGCATCCCCCAGTTGTGACAACCACACACATCCCCAGACAGTGCCAGGTGTCTCCTGGGAGGGAGAACTGCCCCTGGTTGAGAAGGGCTGATCTCCAGCTATAAAGACCAAAGTCTGGCAGGGTAAGCAATTTGTCTGAGTCACAGAGACAGGATGTGGTGCAGGGGGTATTGCAGCTGTGTACTGCTGACCCCAAATCTCACTCTGTGCATGACCATACACGTCTACCGTGTGTGTGTGTGTGTGTGTGTGTGTGTGTGTGTGTGTGTGTGTGTGTGATGTTTAAAATGGTCTTGTAACTGTAATTTTGTTACGTAGGTAGTAGGTGAACACATTTTTCTTTCTTTTTTTTTTTTTCCTGAGGCGGAGTCTCGCTCTGTTGCCCAGGCGGGGGTGCAGTGGCACCATCTCGGCTCACTGCAAGCTCCGCCTCCCGGGTTCACGCCATTCTCCTGCCTCAGCCTCCTGAGTAGCTGGGACTACAGGTGCCCGCCACCACACTCGGCTAATTTTTTGTATTTTTAGTAGAGATGGGGTTTCACTACTGGTGTTAGCCAGGATGGTCTCGATCTCCTGACCTCGTGATCCGCCCGCCTCGGCCTCCCAAAGTGCTGGGATTACAGGCTTGAGCCACCGCACCCGGCAAACACATTTTTCTTATAAAAAATTCAAATGAGGATAAATAACCTGGACGCCGCATCACTTCCACCATTCCCCCCTCAAGTGTGACTTATATTGTTCCAGATCTTTCTTCATCTCTCTCTTTCTTTCTTTCAGGCAGGGGTCGCCCAGACTGCAGCATAGTGCTGTGATCTTGGCTCACTGCAGCCTCCACCTCCTTGGTTCAGGCAGTCCTCCCACCTCAGCTTCCCAAGTAGCTGGGAGTACAGGCGCGCCACCATGTCCTGCTAATTTTTTGTAGAGACGGGGGTTCCTCATGTTGCCCAGGCTGCTCTCGAAGTCCTGGCTGAAGAGGTCCTCCCACTTCAGCCTCCCAAAGTGCTGGGATCACAGGAGTGAGCACCTGGCCCCCGCATCTTGCTGTGTATTTGGAAACACAGACTCGGGACTCACTCTCTTGCCCAGGCTGTAGAGCAGTGGCTCAATCATAGCTCACTGCAGCCTCGACCTACTGGGCTCATGGGATTCTCCCAAAGCACTGGGATTAAAGCATGCTTGCCCAGCCAGAGTTTAAAACAACATCGAAATGGGCTCATGTCTGTAATCCCAGCACTTTGGGAGGCCGAGGCAGGAGGGTCACTTGTGGCCAGGAGTTCAAGACCAGTCTGGGCAATATGGAGAGACCCTATCTCTACACAAATAAGCAAATAAATTAGCTGTGCATGGTGGCTCACGCCTGTGGTCTCAACTACTCGGGAGGCTGACGTGGGAGGACAGCACCAGTACACTCCAGGCTGGACAACTGAGCAAGACCCTGACTTGAAAATACAATAAACAAATGAATGGGCCAATGCTATGTTTATTTTATTTTTCTTTTATTTTGAAATGGAGTCTTGCTGTCGCCAGGCTGGAGTGCAGTGGCATGATCTCGGCTCACTGCAACCTCCGCCTCCCGGGTGCATGTGATTCTCCTGCCTCAGCCTCCTGAGGAGCTGGGACTACAGGCGTGCGCCACCATGCCCAGCTAATTTTGTATTTTTAGTATAGATGGGGTTTCACCATGTTGGCCAGGATGGTCTTGAACTCTTGACCTCGTGATCCGCCTGCCTTGGCCTCCCAAAGTGCTAGGATTACAAACGTGAGCCACTGCACCCAGCCCATGCTATGTTTATTTTCTACAACCACCCCTCCACTACATGAATAGTGTTGTACTGTGGGGATACTCCCATTCAGTACACCATTGTGGATTTCACTTTGCCACTGCAAAGCAGCCAAATATCATTCTTTAATCACTCCCTTACTGATGGACATGTCCAGTTTCCATTACAGTAGAACAAGACGGGCATTCTTCAGCAGATAGGACGAGACCCCCAGAAAGGCCAAGGGGCACCTCTACGAGGTCCGTAAGCCACTGGCTCTCCTTTCCCCATCCCATGAGGCCCCACTGTCCACTGGGTTCTTGCCCCGAGTTATCCAGTAATAGGTTCAGACCCCAGGGAAGCAGCCAGCCCCACTGTTCCTAAGTTCCAGTCACCAACAAGTGCTTGCCATTTTATATAAATACATCACTGGGCACGGTGGCTCACCCCTGTAATCCCAGCACTTTGGGAGGCTGAGGCGGGAGAATCGTTTGAGCCCAGGAGTTCAAGATTAGCCTGGGAAACATAGTGCCATCCCATATCTACAAAAAAACTTGCCGGGCGCGGTGGCTCACGCCTGTAATCCCAGCACTTTTGGGAGGCAGAGGCAGGCGGATCACGAGGTCAGGAGATCGAGACCATCCTGGCTAACACAGCGAAACCCCGTCTCTACTAAAAATACAAAAAATTAGCCGGCTGTGGTGGCGGGCGCCTGTAGTCCCAGCTACTCGGGAGGCTGAGGCGGGAGAATGGCGTGAACCTGGGAGGTGGAGCTTGCAGTGAGCCAAGATTGTGCCACTGCACTCCAGCCTGGGCGACAGAGCTAGACTCCGTCTCAAAAAAAAAAAAAAAAAAAAAAACAAACTTAAAAAGCTACTCAAGCGTGCTGGTGCACCTGTAGTCCCGGCTACCTGGAAGGTTGAGGCAGGAGGATCGTTTGAGCCCAAGAGGTGGAGGCTGCAGTGAGCTAGGATCATGCCACTGCACTCCAACCTGGGTGACAGAGAGAGACCTTGTACCCCCTACCCCCCACAAAAAAAGAAGGAAAAAAATGCAAAATAAAGATGACATAGAAATATGAGGAAACAGCGTAGAAATACAGGGAAATGGCTGCAGCAGCCAGGACATGGATGCAACACCTGTGCGTGCCGGGTGCCATCCTGGGAGGAGCTCACACAGTCCTCACCCCAGCAGGGACTACGACCTCCCTCAGCTTCACAGCAGAAGCGGCAAGAGTCCTGTCCCGAACCCGTGGTAAGGGTGAGCGGTGGGGCCGAGACCTGACCCGGACGCCCATCCTCAGCCCCGGTGCTAAGCTGCCCCTTTGCCTCACTGGGGTGGCCTGGGAGGGAATGAATCAGGTGCTGGGCAGGCCCTTCCATGGAAACCTATGGGCACTCAGGTGAATTCCGAGAGCATCGTTCAGCATGGAGAGAATTCACAGGGCCGGCGAGGATGGCAGGGATGGCCCCCTTGGATGACTTTACTTCCACGGATGCTGCCCTGTCAGGGCTCACCCAATGCTTTAAAAATCAACGTGCTCCACGTTGTTTTTGTTTGTTTGTTTGTTTTGAGATGGAGTCTCGCTCTGTGGCCCAGGCTGGAGTGCAGTGGCACGATCTCAGCTCACTGAAAGCTCTGCCTCCAGGGTTCACGCCATTCCCCTGCCTCAGCCTCCCAAGTAGCTGGGACTACAGGCACCCGCCACCATGCCTGGCTAATTTTTTTTGTATTTTTTTTTTTTTTTTTAGTAGAGACGGGGTTTCACCACGTTAGCCAAGCCAGAATAGTCTCGATCTCCTGAACTCGCCTCGGCCTCCCAAAGTGCTGGGATTACAGGTGTGAGCCACCGCCCCTGGCTAGACCACCTCGGAACTTTTAAAGGGTGCACTCCATAACACAGACAGCACGGCCTGTGTCTCCCTCCTGCAGCCTGGTGGTCTGTGTGGTGTCCCCTGGGGTGCCAGCACCCACTCTGGGAACCCCCATTTTAAATTCACCAAGAATAGAGGTTGGGGGCGGGTTGCCACACTGTCCCCTTTCTGCATGGGAGGAAGGGGGCTCGAGAACTGAGTCAGCCACACAAAACGAGGATGGACAGAACTCCTGAGTAGCGAGGGTGCCTGCCGGGCGCGAGGAGGAGGGGGAAGACGAGGAAGACGAGGAGGAGGAATAGGGAGCACCACATGACAGAGGGGCTGCCTCAGACCACAAAGCGCTTCCTCATCCTTTCCTCGCCCTTTGATGCCGCCGGCAACGTGACTCTGCGAGCAGCGGGGCAGACGCCAGGTCTCCCTCGCAGGCGGGAAAGGGGCTCCAAGGCGGGTGCTGCCTTGCTCGGGTCACATGGCTACGTGGGGGCCTTGCTCAAATTCACTTCCTGCCTTCATTACAAAACTGTCAAAGGGGATCGCACGTTTGCAGGGTGTCACCCAAGCATTCTGGTTTTGCAAACGACGCTGTGCGGCAGGCGGTCTGATACCTGATGAGCTCGGTGTGGCGGGGTCGGCAGCATTTCCTCCGGGGTTTTGAGCTCTGGCCACTTCTCCTTTTGTTCCACCCAATCTCACCCACTTCTGGGCTTCGAGGCCAGAGTGTCTTAACAAGGGGGCACGTCAGAGTCAATGAAGGGGGTGCCTGTACCCCACCCTAGAGACTGTGGTCCCACAGATCTGAGCTGGGGGAGGCACAGGCCTGCCTTGACAAGCTCAGACTGCCACACTTTCCTGAGAAGGCCATTTAAAAACAGTCATCAGCTTTGTTATGTTTTGAGACAGCATCTCGCTCTGCTGCCCGGGCTGGAGTGCAGTGGCGTGACCAAAGCTCACTGTAGCCTCAACCTCCTGGGCTCAAGTGATCTTCCCACCTCAGCCTCTCATGTAGCTGGTGCTATTTTTATCCCCATTTTTAAATGTTGTTAACAATTTTAAAACAGGCACGTGCCACCACACTCACCTAATATTTTAAATTATAGAGATGGTTTCTCACTATGTTGCCCAGCCTGGTATCGAACTCCTGGGCTTAAATGATCCTCCCACCTCAGCCTCCCAAAATGGTAGGATTACAGGCATGAGCCACCGTGCCCGGCCTAATAGGGATCAGTTTTTAATTGCATCTACCCTGGAACCCAGCAATTCCCTCACACAGCTTACCTCACAGGTGTGCCTGCGAGTCAGTGCCATGTTATTTGAGATAGGGCAGAGACTGGAAACAACCTACGTACCCCCCAAAACGGGAGTGTTTTCCCTCTCTGCTGTCATAAGGACGCCCGGGATACAGCAAGAGAAAAAGCAAAGCTGGGAGGAAGACATGAGTGCTTAAAAAACAAAATCATTGGCTGGGCGCGGTGGCTCACACCTGTAATCCCAGCACTTTGGGAAGTCGAGGCAGGTGGATCACCTGAGGTCAGGAGTTTGAGACCAGCCTGGCCAAGATGGTGAAACCCTGTCTCTACTAAAAATACAAAAATTAGCCAGGAGTGGTGGCGGGCGCCTGTAATCCCAGCTACTCGGGAGGCTGAGTCAGAAGTATCACTTGAATCTGGGAGGTGGAGGTTGCAGTGAGCCGAGATTGTGCCACTACTAGATTCTAGCCTGAGTGACAGAGTGAGACTGCCTCTCAAAAAAACAAAAAGAAAACAAAACAAAACCAAAGGCATCTACATATACATACTTGTATGGCATCGACTGCCTTGAGAAGGATCCCCTGGAAGCCAGCGCACTGTTGCCTCTGAGGAAAGGGGCCGTGAGGGGGTCTTCCTTCTCCCCAACATGCTCTGTTCCGTGGAGGCCCTGCCCCTGCCCCTGCCCCGGACGCACTCACCATGTGTTCCATGCAAATGCTGATCTCCCCGTCACTGTAGAAGGCCCCGTAGAAGCCCACGATGTACGGCGAGTTGCATTCGTGCAGGACCTGCAGCTCGCGGATGATCTGGTTCCGGATGGCCGGCTTGATCTCAAGGTGGATCAGCTGCAAGGGGAGAGGGGCGAGACTGGCTTGGGGGGTGCCCGAAAACGGGATGAAGGCATTTGGGGCCTCTGCTCTGCAGGCGTTCCCAACAGTGGTCAAGACCAACTCAGTACCCCCTCCGCAATTCCACCCCTAGGTGTCTGCCTAGAAGTGGACACATACGTCCACACAGAAACGTGTCCCAAGTGCTCACAGCAGCACGACTCACAGCAGGCAAGGGTGGAAAGAACCCAGGCGTCCACCCAGGGCAGAACAGGCCAACCCAGCGCAGCCCACCCCTCACTGAAACAGGACTCAGCCGTAAAGAGGAACCAGGCCAAGACCCCGGCCACAGCGTGGGTGAACCCTGAGGATGTCATGCTTAGTGCGAGATGCCAGACACAAAAGGCCACATAATATGTGATCCCATTTCTGTGAAATGTCCAGGACAGGCTGATCCAGAGACAGGAAGGGGATGTGTGGGTGCCGGGGGCTGGAGGAGGGGATGGGGGTGACTGCTGATGTGGACAGGGTTCTTTTTGGGGTGATGGAATACTGTAAAATTGACTGTGGTGATGAGGACGATGCCGTGAATATCCTACAATCCACTGAGTCACATACTTTCAAAGGGGACACTGTAAGGTATGTGAATTACACCTCAATAAACCTGTTTTCAAAAAAGACCAATTAAGCAAACACTTAATTCCCACTCAGTTGTAGTGGGAGCTGTGTGAAAGCATTTTTCCCCATCAAATCAGACTTTGACAAAGTGCTTGCCTTTCCCAGGAGGGAGGCAGGGCAATGGCTCCCCTCCAGGCCTCTCTCCACTTGGGGTGGGTCTATCCCGAGCCCCTTCCCACCCTCAAGCTGGAGACACCCCGTGGAGACGTTAGCCACACAGAGCCGCGGGCGCCCCTGAGAATTCTCCCTCTCCTTCAACCCAAGTTCAAGACGGCAGGGGAAATTTTCATCAAGTTGACCCCGGTGCCACTTTAAAAAGGCAAGAAGCCAAAGATCCGCTCAAGAGATGCAGAAAGGAGGCCTGGTGTGTGGCTCACGCCTGTAATCCCGCACTCCGGGAGGCTGAGGTGGGCGGACTGCTTGAGGTCAGGAGTTCAAGACCAGCCGGACCAACATGGTGAAACCCCGTCTCTACTAAAAATACAAATTTAGCCGGGTGTGGTGGCAGGCGCCTGTAATCCCAGCTACTCGGGAGGCTGAGGCAGGAGAATCACTTGAACCCAGGAGGCAGAGGTTGCAGTGAGCCGAGATCGCACCATTGCACTCCAGCCTGGGGGACAAGAGCGAGACTTTGTCTCAAAAAAACCCCCAAAAAAACAAAACAACAACAACAACAACAACAAAAACACCACGGGCAACCCCTAACCCCATGGACAAGCCCCAGAAGAGCCAGGACCCCCAGCATGGCAAGGAGCAGCCTGAGGCTTTGGGACGGCACCCTGGAGAATCACAGCATCCCGCTCCAGCCACTGCAATAAGACAAGAAAAAGACATGGTTTCCACTCATCCGCCACAGAGGCAAAGCCAGGCCCAGGTGCAGTCAGTGAAGGGGCGGCCAAGCACGGAGACAGCTCCTTCCTGGAGGAGACCTGGGGTCAGGACGGGAACAGGAATGGGTAAGACCACCTCAATGTGGCAAAAAGTCCACCAAGGAGAATCAACCCAGGTGCCTGGGGAGCAGCAACAAGGAGGTGACACTGGGGCCGGGCCTTGAGGAAGGACAGAGTCACCATGAGGAGGAGATGGGGGAGGGTGTTCCAGGCAGAGGGACAAAGAGCCGCCTGTCAGCGGGCACGGAGGCATGAAGGAGCCCTCGCTGTGTTCAGGGCAGCAGGAGGCTGACCGTGGCCACAGCACAGGGCGTGTGTGGGGAGTGGCCCCTGCTCTAGGCCTGTGACCTTGAGAAGCATGGCAGGGCCCGGGGCACGGTGCCCACCTCCCCCCGCCCGGCCGCTCCTCAGGCTAAGCGTCTCCCACCTTGACCGCAGCCCTGGCGCTGCCTGCCCCTGCCTGCCCGCCCCTGCCTGCCCCTGTAGCGCTGGCTTCTCCCCTCAGGCCAGCCTGCAGAATCCAGCTCCAGACGGTGGCCCCTGGGCTACTCCACTCCCTCATGGTGACCCCACAGGCCCCAGGGCCACCCCAGCACCCCAGGATGCTCTCCCCTCCAGCCAGGCTGTAACTGAGAGGTGCTGGTGCTCACTCCCGTTGCACAAGGGCCTGGTACTGAAGCTTGGATGTTCACGTGGAGGTTGGGAGATTTACTGGAAAAGGCCACATTTGTTTTCACACCGAGCCCTTGAAGCTTGGTGCGTGTTTTCCATGTTCAGCACGTCCGGACTGACCGCATTTTAAGAGCCCGGTAGCCACATCTGAACGGGGGCTGCTGTCTTGGACGGCTCAGTTCCTGACCAAAAACTTCAAAGGAGCCACAGATGGGTGACAAGAAGCAGGAAAGAGCGCGCGTTCGGCTGGCCGTCGCAAGTCGTAATTTAGGAGAGGAAGTGGCGGATGGGCTACTGGGAGGAATCCCAGAGGCCTTGGAACCCAGGAGCTCCGAACGTGAAATGAGGCCGTCGGAAGCGAGAGGCCTTCTGGAAGGCTGTAGTAAATAGCAGAGGCGAGGGAGGCCAGTCTGCACAGGGCGGCTGCGGCGTGATCTCAGTTTTAATGGTTCTGTAATACCTGGGGCCTGTCGAGCGAGCATTCCAGATAAACGGGCAGCCACCACTGAGGGTGTGCAAGGGGAAAGGCAGACAGACAGACAGATGGACAGGAGGGGAGGGGGCGTTCCTGAGCACCTGCACCCTCTAAAGTTCACCCTGACAAGCCCGGGGGATGGGTGTACTGCCCCACTGGTGCTGACTGAGCAAGCTCAGGTTCGGAGCCTCGGAGCCATGTTCCCAGTGGCATTAGCTGCTAAGTCAGGACTGGGGCTGCCTCGGGGAACACTGGAGCCCGTATTCTTTCCAGGACACCACAGCCCAGGCCGTGCCAGCTCTAATAGCTGATTAAATGTGGATGGTGTCAGGGTGTTAAAACTAAATGCCAGACCTGGCTCGGAGGTGGAGACGGTTGCTACAGAAGAATGAGGAATTTGAGCCAGGGGTGGGGTTGGGGGATTCGGAGTAGGAAAAGAGAGGAAAGAGCTTCACTGAGTGTCAGCGAGAGCAGGAGGGGAAGAGGAGGACCGAGCCGCCCCCCGGCCGCCACCCCGCAGGCCTGGAATGATCTCAGCAACCTCGTAAATCATGGATCAGAAACTGACAGCTCCCAAGCTGGATGTAGCCAAGAGTCACGTGCAGCCCACACTGCGCTTCCAAACATCCTGAATTAGGTGTTGTCAAAAATTGGAAGAGAGCCGGGGCAGTGGCTCACATCTGTAATTCCAGTGCTTTGGGAGGCTGAGGCGGGAGGATCGCTTCAGGCCAGGAGTTCAACACTGGGCAGCGTAGCAAGCCTTCATCTCTACAAGAGATTTTAAAAATTAACACACAGGCTGGGAGCGGTGGCCAGCTAGGGGACCGCAGTGCAGTGGATCTGGAGGCTCAGCCCCGGCAGCTGCTCCCAAGTCCGAGCAGATCCAAGAGGGTTCGAATCCGATTCAGGCACTGACCCCACACAGCCTCGGTTTCTTCAACTGTAAAACGAGGCTGCTGTTCAATTTTAATGAGAACACGCGTCAAAGGTGTTGGCAGCGGCTTCGACTCAGGTCGTCACTTGTGAGACAGCAGCTGGTACTGTGAGGTGGCCTTGGGCAGGCCGTGTGACCGCCACCCTGGAAGTAAGCTACAGCGGAGTGGAGGAACTCAGAGGCGAGAACAAACACTCTCATCTCTGCTATGAGCATGGACAATTCAAAGAAGCCCCACACGCGTAACAAGCAGCAAGTTCTTCACCTATCTCCCTGGCCCAGGTAACGCGGGGACGCTGCTCCAATGGGAGAGGGGTCAGAGGCCACGGTCAAGCCAAAAAGACATTTACAAACCAGCATGACCTCAAATACCGAGACTGGGCCAGGCGCGGTGGCTCACGCCTGTAATCCCAGCAATCTGGGAGGCCAAGATGCATGGATTCCTTGAGGTCAGATGTTTGAGACCAGCCTGGCCAACATGGTGAAACCCCGTCTCTACTAAAAATACAAACATTAGCCAGGCATGCCAGCCACTCAGGAGGCTAAGGGAGGAGAATCGCTTGAACCTGTGAGGTGGAGGTTGCAGTGAGCCGAGATTGTGCCACTGCACTCCAGTCTGGGTGACAGAGCGAGACTCTGTCTCAAAAAAATAAATAAATAAAAATAAGTAAATAAATAAGATGAAATGAAAGGAGCCCTTGCAGCCCTACCTGCATAGCAGCCAGAGCCGCTGAGCCCACGAGCTCAATGCATCCTCTCCCACCCGAGTTTTCGGGCACTTTAAAGAAAACCTAATTTTGAAAGAATTATAGAAGCACAGGAAGTTGCAAAAATAGTAACGAGAGTCCCGTGCGCCCTTTCCCCGCCTCCCCCAAGATGACTGACATCTTACATGACGGAAGGACAGTACTGACACCCAGAGCTGATGCTGGGACATCTCCACCCACCAGACCACAGAACCTGCCCAGCCACGCCTGCCCTCAGGTTCAAAGGCCCCGATCTCCCTTTCCCCGCTACAGTAAAGCTGCAGGTGGGCCCGGCTTCACCTGCGCCTGTCAGCAGGAGCAGGAGCTGCTGATACAGCAAGCATTGGGTTCATGTCCACTGCCCAGCCCATCAGGGACCACTGGAGGCTCCCCCAGAAGCCTGAGGGTCCCTGGCACACACGAGGACTGGCACTGTCTCAAGGCCCTGCTGTGGCTGTGTGAACCACACGCTTGCCTTTTTCCACCCAGTGCTTCGGGCGGAGGCGGACCTGAGCTTTCCAAGGCTGCTCCGGTTTGGAAGAGGCTGCCTGCAGTACGGGGACAGAAATAGCAAGTCCGCGGCTGCACACTTCAGGAGGGAGGGAGGGCAGCACTCTAGAGGCCAGAAGACAGAGCTGCAGAGCTAAATCCCCGCAGGAGTTGAGCCGCTGCTCCCGAGGAAGGCAGGGCCCTCAAGCACTGCTGCCACCTGCGCAGACCCACGGGACTAGGTGCAGTCACGTTCCCCCAGTTTGGGGAACTACAGGATGGTGGGCTTCCAGGAAGAGGCAGCGTTCTAGGTCTGAAAGAACACCGGTGAGGAGCTGAACACCCTGTCAACACTAAGTCCCCTACTTCTGTGTTTAAGAGCCACTGTCCCCAAGTGGTCACATCCTCCCTGTATCCCCTGGGCACTATTCTCAAACACAGAGCACAGAGGCTGCATCATGGCCCAGGAGCCCGGGATGACTAAGCACGGGGGCCGTCAGCACCAGGGCTTGCAGACTTTCAAAGGGTGGGTGACAGTCAGCTTTGTGTGTCTCCTCGGTGAGACCACGGTGCCCAGTTGTCAAACGCCAGTCTAGAGGTTGCTGGGAAGGTATGTTTTTAAGATGTGATTAACCTTTAAATTGGCAGACTCTGAGCAAAGCAGATTACTCCACCCCAGGGTGGGTGAGTCTCAGCCAATCAGCTGAAGGCCTTCAGGGAAAAGCCTGCCCAGGCGCGGTGGCTCATGCCTGTAATCCTAGCACTTTGGGAGGCCGAGGCAAGAGGATCACTTGAGGTCAGGAGTTCGAGACCAGCCTGGCCAACACGGTGAACCCCATCTCTACTAAAAAAACAAAAATTAACTGGGTGTGGTGGCATGCACCTGTAATCCCAGCTACTCGGGAGGCTGAGGCAGGAGAATCCCTTGAACCCAGGAGGTAGAGGTTGCAGTGAGCCAAGATCGCACCACTGCACTCCAGCCAATTCCTTAGAATAAATCTCTCTCTACACATACACTCAAGTATCATTAAGGACAGGGATACACTGAGAAATCCCTCTCTGGGCGATGTCGTCACTGTGCAAACACTGGAAAGCCCATTCCACACCCAGGCTCCCATGCTCTGTACAGCGCAGTGCTGAGCTGCTGTCTGTTTATTTAAATATAGAGAACCGAGGCAGGCGGATCACCTGGGGTCAAGAGTTCCAGACCAGCCTGGCCAACATGGCGAAACCCTGCCTCTACTAAAAACACAAAAAAATGAGCTGGGCCTGGTGGTGTGTGCCTGTAATCCCAGCTACTCGGGAGGCTGAGGCAAGAGAATCCTTGAACCCAGGAGGCGGAGGTTGAAGTGAGCCAAGATCATGCCACTGCACTCCAGCCTGGGCAACAGAGCAAGACCCCGTCTCAAAAAGTAAAAATAAAAATAAAAATAAACATACAGAAGGCACAGCAAAAACATGGCCTGATCATCTTACGTCGCCACCGCTGCGTAGGCGGTCTGTCACTGGCTGAGCCATCGCCCTGAGGTGGCTGTACACATAGGCGCAAACACACACACGCTTCGTCTTCATCGCTTGTTTCTCTGGAGAACCATAACACACTCGCATTTCTGAAACCCCCACGTGCTAGCTTTCTGGGAATATGGATTTCAAGTGCCCTCCAGGGCAGAAAGTAGTCACTGGAGGGCACAGCTGTGTGTGGCTGGTGTGGCTGGCACGGCTCCCATCTGCCCAGAAGCTGGGCCCTTTCTCAGGACCTAGAGTCCCTGGTGGGGATGAGGGACAGAGCCTGGAGCTAATCAGAATGCAGAGACCCGGCTGCCTTCCCAACCTGCCTCCTGTTTCCAGGGGGACCTTCCCCACCACTCCCCGACCTCCCCGACCCCGCAGTGCTCACCTTCCTGGCCATGATGAGGCCCGAGGGTCTGTGCTGGACTTTGGTGACCACCCCGCCGTTGCCCGCGCCCAGCTCTGAGATCCTTTCGAAGTCATCGTCTTTGAGTTCGCCGACCTTGGCTTTCTGGGTGAGAAAGGCTTCCAGCCGCTTCTTCTGCTGCTCGTCAAGTTCCAGCTCCTCCAGCTTCTTCTGCAGGTCCACCAGGTTTGCCCTGCAGAGACCCCCCAGGGTAGGGGTTAGCTACCTAGGGAGACTCCATCTGGCCGTTTGCTATGTGGCCGTGGTGCATCGGCCCCCAGGAGGACACAGACTGGATTCCTGCACTTGAGGGGTTCATGGTGTAGAAGGAAAGGATCCATGCTGTGTACCCCCATAGACACACCAATGACCAGAATCCAGGGCGGCTCCCCGGGAACTGAGGACGCTGCCTTGATCCTGTCTCAACAAGTCTAGCAGACCTCAGGACCTCAAGGATAAGCTGCAGCTCAAAGGACCCAGGAAGCCTCCGTCTTTTTCTTTTCTTTTTCTTTTTTTTTTGAGACGGAGTCTCCCTCTGTTGCTCAGGCTGGAATGCAGTGGCGCGATCTCGGCTCCCTGCAACCTTGGCCTCCCGGGTTCAAGAGATTCTCCTGCCTCAGCCTCCCAAGTAGCTGAGATTACAGGCTCCCGCCACCATGCCCGGCTAATTTTTGTATTTTCAGTAGAGACAGGGTTTCGCCATGTTGGTCAGGCTGGTCTCCAACTCCTGACATTGAGTGATCCGCCTGCCTCAGCCTCTCAAAGTGCTGGGATTATAGGCGTGAGCCATTGCACGCGGCCGGGAGACCTCCTTCCTAACGCACGAGCTCCGGACCATGTCGGGAGGAGACGAGGAAGCTGGGATCGGGTGAACGGAGCCCGGGCCAAGATGTCTGTCTTTGCAGGAGATAGAGGAACAAGCGTTCTGAGCAGCCTCAGAGCACAGAATGAGAACCAAGAGTAGAGGGCAGAAGGCTCAGCACAAAAGCTGCATCAGGTAGGCACGGTGGTGCACGTTTGCAGTCCCAGCTACTTGGGAGGCTGAGACACGAGAACTGCTTGAACCCGGGAGGGGGAGATTGCAGTGAACTGAGATCTTGCCACTGCACTCCAGCCTGGGCAGCAGAGGGAGGCTCTGTCTCAAAACAAAACAAACCAAAAAACAAAAAAAACAAAAAATAAGCATGACCAGCCTGGGCAACAAAGTGAGACCTATAGCCGAGCACAGTGGCTCATGCCTGTAGTTCTAGTTACTCAGGAGGCTGAGCCCAGGAGGTCGAGACTGCAGTGAGCCATGATCGTGACAATGTACTCCAGCCTGGGTGACAGAGCAAGACCTTGTTTCTACACAATAAAAAATTTCTAACAATTTAAACAAGCAAGTACATTGCACTTTATTGGGTGATTCAAGGAATCTTCAGAGGAAATTTCGACAGTAAGCTATTTTCACAAATGCCTTGACTCAGAACCAGATCCTGGAGTAACAGACAACTAAGCGCAATGCACACAGGAACCCATTGCTGTGCACAAGCAATGGAATGTAAACCATGCGCACAAATTAAAATCTTCTAGTACCCATGTTTAAAAAGAACAGGTGAACTCACTTCATTTATTTAGAGACAGGGTCCTGCTCTACCTCCCAAGCTGGGGTGCAGCGGCACGATTACAGCTCACTGCAGCCTCCAACTCCTGTCCTCAAGTGATCCTCCCACCTCAGCCTTCCTAGTAGCTAGGATCACAGGTGTGAGCCATCATGTCTGGCTCTTTTTAATTAATTAATTTTTATTATTATTATTATTTTCTGAGACAAAGTCTCATTCTGTCGCCCAGGCTGGAGTACAGTGGTGTGATCTTGGCTCACTGCAACCTCCACCTCACGGGTTCAAGCAATTCTCCTGCCTCAGCCTCCGAAGTAGCTGGAATTACAAGCACCCGCCACCACGCCCAGCTAATTTTTGTATTTTTAGTAGAGACAAGGTTTCGCCATGTTGGTCAGGCTGCTCTTGAATTCCTGGGTTCAAGCCACCTGCCCACCTTGGCCTCCCAAAGTGCTGGGATTACAGACATAAGCCACTGCACCTGGCTGAAATTAATTTTAATAACACATTTGATTTAACCCATCAAAAATGTTATCATTTTCAACGTACAACCAGTATGAAAAATGAATGAATGTTTCACACTGTTTCCGTCTTAAGCCTTTGAAATCTACAATGGCATTATTGCGCCTATGCTCTCGTGGGTTTGGGCAATTCTTGTTTTATGTGTTGCCTGTAGCCAGGGGCTACTCAACCAGGCAGTGCAGCTTTAAATGGCTCTCTGGAAGAACAGGCCACCTCCAGAGGTCCCAATTCAGGAAGGAGCTAAAGCCAAGGTGGACAGCCAGAGAGGGGACTGAAGCAGGGAATGAAGGCGTGGACTGCTCCTTCCATCTGGAAATTTCCAATCCCAAAGTTCGACCACTGTTCGCCTACAGCTGGAAGTGGCGTAAGCCACGGGGCACACAGGCCAGAACCGAGGCGATGGCGCTGGAGCTGGTGCTGCAAAGAGCTCGCTGGAAGGCAGGGGCCTGGGCACCGCTTCCTGGGCTGGACAAACACCATCTCATTCCATTCTCACCATCGTCCCCGGAGGCCCAGGCAGGAGGGAACAGACTCACAGGGGTGGGGGAACCTGCCCGAGGTAACAACACCTGCCTGAGGTCAGGACAACCCCTGCTCATCTTAGTGTCCCCCATGAGGGGAAACAGGGCCCTAGTAGGTGCTCACTGAGGAGCTGCTGAACAAGGACCCAGAAGAAGCAGAAATGGCGAGACCCTGGGAGTGGGACAGAAGGTAAGGAGGGGAACATGAATGAATGAATGAATAACATCAATGAATAAATGAATATTTATTTTTTTTGAGACAGTCTTGCTCTGTCGCCCAGGCTGGAGTGCACTGGCACGATCTCAGCTCACTGCAACCTCTGCCTCCTGGGTCCAAGCGATTCTCCTGCCTCAGCCTCCTGAGTAGCTGGGATTACAGGTGTGCATCACCGCGCTCAGCTAATTTTTTTGGCATTTTTAATAGAGACGGGGTTTTGCCATGTTGGCCAGGTTGGTCTTGAACTCTGGGCCTCAAGTAATCCACCCACCTTGGCCTCCCAAAGGGCTGGGATTACAGGCGTGAGCCACCACACCCAGCCATGAATGAACACTTCTGATGGCAGACTTGGAAGGTCTCAAGTACTGCTCAAAACATTGAAAATGCATTCTGGAGTCAGCTGACTAATCCATCTTAAATTTACTGGCAACCCAACTGTGGTTATTAAACAAAACAAAACAAAACCTTGGCGTCCCTACAGCCAGCTTCCTCTCCTGGGGGAATCCTTCAAGAGATGGGAATCAAACCCCACACGGAAGAGAAATGTGAAGGGCGAGTTCTGTGCAGAGAATGAGGAACGGGTCCCCGTGTCTGGCTGTGCCCGTGTTGACTTGCACACATTGGCATCAAGAGTCTTCATCTGGGTCACAGAAGGCCGACCCCCAAGCGGGAGAGGCCACCAGACATGCCACAGTCCCTGACACCTGGTTCTTGAGGGGTCACACCGCAGGCACGGCACCCGGACCCCAGCCAAGGGCCCCGGGGATCGCCCTGCCCTGCCTCGGCCTGCAGAACGGGAGTGCAGAGATCACCCTGGCATGACCCCACCAGTGTGTGCCCCCAACACCCAGTCCCCTCCCTCGTCCTGGAGCAGTGCGATTCTGCCAGCACGCCACCCGGACCCCAGCATACCCCTTTCTCAGATCCCTTCACCCAGGCCTCTGGTCGCCCTCCACCTCCTCAAAGCTTCTGCACTGGGTCAGCCCCTCACAAGGGTTTTCCGGTCCACTCACTTCAGAATCTGCACCTCTGCTTTCAGGGGCCAGCAGGGTCCCCTGATCCCCACGCCTCCTCGTTCCTCACACTCTGGCTTCCCTGTCTCCTCACACTTCCAGCTTCAGGGACTCCACACACTGGGCACCGCCACAAGCAGGAGATGCCCTCTCAGAGATGCCCATCTTGACATCTTGACCTCCCTGGGACCCCATCCTGACCCCCTCAGAACCCCAACATGAGACCCCTAGGACCCCCTGCTCTGCCCTCCCAGAACCCCCACAACATGACCCCCCGAGGACCCCCTAACCTGACCCCCCCAGAATCCCCCAACATGACCCCCGAGGACCCAACCTGACCCCCCCCACAACATGAACCCCCTGGAACCCCTGTCCTGATCCCACTAGACCTCCCCCAGCAGAAACCCCTCCATCTGGAACCCGCTAGAACTCCCATCCTGACCCCGCTAAAGCCCCCCCATGTCCTGACACCCCTAAGACACCCCCTTGTCCTCAGATACCCCAGAACTCCCACCCTGACCCCCCCAAAGTCCCCCGATCCTGACCTTTCTAGGGTCTCCCACCCCATCGTGACCCCCTAGGACACCCCTCTCCCACATCCTGACCCTTCTGGGAGCCCCCTGTCCTCCCCTCTCTTCCCTTTTCCCTGGTTGTCTATGGACCTCCTCACCCCATCCTCTCCCCTAAGGGACCCCCCTGCCCCACCTTGGCACCCTAGGTGCCCTCTTCATCCCATGCCAACCTCATTACTCAGGGACTCATTCCCCAAAAGGACCGCTCCCCGCCCCCCCAAGACCTCTCAGCCTGTCCTCCCCACCCAGGTGCTGCACTCTCAACCTGTGGCTCAGGCACCCTCCCACCCCATCTCTCCCCCATAGGAACCCTCCCACCCCATCTCTCCCCCATAGGGACCCTCCCACCCCATCTCTCCCCCATAGGGACCCTCCCACCCCATCTCTCCCCCATAGGGACCCTCCCACCCCATCTCTCCCCCACAGGGACCCCCTCACCCCATCTCTCCCCCATAGGGACCCCCTCACCCCATCTCTCCCCCATAGGGACCCTCCCACCCCATCTCTCCCCCATAGGGACCCCCTCACCCCATCTCTCCCCCATAGGAACCCTCCCACCCCATCTTTCCCCCATAGGGACCCCCTCACCCCATCTCTCCCCCAAGGGACTCGCTTCACTATCATTTCAATATGCAGAACACCCCTTGCCTATCCTTCCCCCACAGGCCCCCACCGACACATCCTCTCCTCCCAGGGACCCCCTCAACCCCATCTCACAATTCAGGGGCCCTGCACCCCATCTTCTCTCTGCAAGGACATCTCCTTGGCCTGATCTCACGACTTAGGGATTCCAAACCCCATCTTTTCCCCAAAGGGATCTCCCCTCACTCCAATCTCATTACTCAGGGACCCCACCATCTCCCCGATTTCACTATTCAGGGACCGTTCACCCCATTTCACTACTCAGAGACCTACCACCATTCTGCTACTCAGTGACTCCATGCCCTGTCTTTTCCCACAGGGACCTCCCTTGGCCCTATCTCATTATTGAGGGACCCTTACCCCGTCTTTTCCTACCAGGGACCCTACCCCATCTCAGTCTCATTACTCAGGGACCCCTCACCCCATCCTCTCCCCTCTGGAGCCCCCTTGCCCAGATTTCCTCCTCAGGGGCTGCCTGACCTCCCCACACCCCATCCTCTCCTCTCAGGAATGCCCTGCACCCCGATTTCCCTACTCAGGGTCTCCCCTCACCCTCATCTCATGACTACGGCAACCTTTACTCCGTCCTTTCCTCTTAGGAACTCTTCACCCTCATTTCACTACTCAAGGACCCCACACTGTGTTCTCTCCTCTTAGAGATACCCCTCACCCCGATCTCACTGCTTGGGGAGCCTCATCCTGTTCTCTCCTTGGGGACACCCCTCATTCCGATTTTCCTACTGAGGGACTCCCCTCACCCCAGCTTCACTTTTCAGAAGCCCCACACCCCATCTTCTGCACTGCAGGGACCTCCCCTCACTCAACCTCGCTGCTCAGGGACCCCTGTCCCCATCCTCTCCTCTTAGAGACATCCTTCACCCCAACTTCACTACTCAGAGACTCCCGTTATCCCAATTCCACTCTTCAGGAACCCCACACCCCATCTTTTCCACCACAAGGACCTCCCCTCGCCCAATCTCACTGCTCAAAGACCCCCCTGCCCCGTGCACCCTTCGCCCCGTCCTCCGAGGGCCCCCTGCCCCGTCCTCCCCCGAGGGCCCCCTGCCCCGTCCTCCCCCGAGGGTCCCCTGCCCTGTCCTCCCCTCGAGAACCCCCTGCCCCGTGCACCACTCACCCCGTCCTCCCCCGTGACCCCCCTGCCTCGTGCACTCCTCGCGAACCCCCGTCCCCTCGCCCCGTCCTTCCCCGAGGGCTCCCTGCCCCGTGCACCCCAAGCCTCCGGCTGACCCCTGCCCACTCACTCGGAGGCGCCCTCGCTGGTAGGGGATGGGCCCTCGGCGATGGTAGGGTTGATGGTGAGCGCCGGCAGCACCGGCTTCCTCCGGGCCAGCATCGGGGCTCCGCGGGCCGGCGGCGGCGGCGCCTCTAGCCGGGGCCCATAGGGGGCGGGCCGGGAGCGGTCGGCGCCTACGCGAGCCCGGGGCTGCGGCCGCGGCCCAGGCCGGCGTCGGGGCGGCCGAGGGCGGGCGGCGCTGCGGGCCTGGGCCGAGGGTAGCCGAGGGGCGCTGGGGCTGAGGCGAGCGAGCCGCTACCGCTGCCGAGGCCCGAAGAAGGCTGACGCCGCAGCCCGAGTCCGAGAGGCAGGGGGAGGGGAGGGGCGGCCACAAGATCGCGGACCGGCTTCTCGCGATAACGGGATCGGGAGCCGCGATGGACCCCACCCCCAGCCGCCGCGCCTGCGCAGCAGCACAAGGCCGCCTTTCGGAGGGGAAAGGGGCGGAGACCGACGCGAGGCGGTGCCGGGACCGGGCGCCCTCGCTTGCCTTACCACGGCGCGTGTGCCCAAGCGCTTGGGGCATGAGGCGCGGGAGCAGGGGAGGAGACGGAGGGATGAAGGCTGGGGTGATGGTCGTGCACAGGTGGGCAGGGTAGCCAGACTCCTGAGAGCCTGTGGTGCCCCAGGCTGGGGCTGAGAGAACCCGTAAGACCCCAGAACAGTGGACGAGACCCACCCAGAGTCCATTTAATCTTTTTGGCAAGCGTGGACACACGCCCCTAGCCCCCACCGCCTTAGAGTGTCAGTTACTCCCCCTCCTTCATCAGAACAAGGCCACTCTAAAACATTTTTAAAATTTATTTTAATTGACAAATAAAATTGCATATATTACTATGCGCATGTTGAAACATTTTTATTATAAAATACACATAACATAAAACTTGTCATTTTAACCATTTCTAAATGCACAGCTCAGCGGCATTAAGCAACCACCACCACCACCATCTCCAGAATTTTCTCATCTTCCGAAACTGAAACACTGTCCCCTATGAAACCTCACTCCCTATCCCCCTCCCCAGCCCCTGGAACCCAACGTCGTACTTCCTGTGAATCTGATGATTCTAGGGACTTCATATGAGTAGGATCACACAGGTTTTGTCCCTTTGTGGCTGGCATATTTCACTGAGGGCCACGTCCTCAAGGTGCCTGTTGTAGCTGTGTTAGATCCACGTTGTAACCTGTGTTAGAATTTACCCACTTGACTACTCCGGGCATACTTCCAATCGGGTAGCCCTGCTCCAAAAAAGAGCAGAAAAAAAAAAAAAAAGAAAAATTTCCCTTTTTTTTTTTTTGAGACGGAGTCTCGCTCTGTCACCCAGGCTGGAGTGCAGTGGTGCGATCTCGGCCCACTGCAAACTCTGCCTCCCGGGTTCACGCCATTCTCCTGCCTCAGCCTCCCGAGTAGCTGGGACTACAGGTGCCCACCACCATGCCCGGCTAATTTTTTTGTATTTTTAGTAGAGACGGGGTTTCACCGTGTTAGCCAGGATGGTCTCCATCTCCTGACCTCGTGATCCACCCGCCTCGATCTCCCAAAGTGCTGGGATTACAGGCGTGAGCCACCGCACCCAGTCAGGATTTTCCTCCTTTTTAAGGCTGAATAATATTCTATTGTGTGCATGGACTATATTTTGCTTATCCATTTATCTGCCACTAGACACTTCGGTGAATCGTGCCGCTATGAACACAGATGTACAAATATCTGTTTGAGTCCTTGCCTTGAGTTCTTTTGGGTATATGTTCTGAAGAGGAATTACTGGATTATATGGTAATTCTATGTTGAACTTTTTGAAGCACCACCTTACTATTTAATACAATAGCCGTACCACTTTATAAGAAAGGTCATAGGCTGGGCGCGGTGGCTCACGCCTGTAATCCCAGCACTTTGGGAGGTCGAGGCGGGTGGATCACCTGAGGTCAGGAGTTGAAGACGAGTCTGGCCAACATGGTGAAACCCCGTCTCTACTAAAACAAAAAAATACAAAAATTAGCCGGGCATGGTGGCGCGTGCCTGTAATCCCAGCTACTCGCGAGGTTGAGGCAGAAGAATTGCTTGAACCCGGGAGGCAGAGGTTGCAGTGAGCCAAGATCACGCCATTGCACTCCAGCTTGGGAGACAAGAGCGAGACTTCGTCTCAAAAAAATCAAACAAACAAACAAACAAACAAATAAATAAATAAAATACAAAAATTAGCCAGGCCTGGCGGTGTGTGCCTATAGTCTCAGCTACTCAGGCGGCTGAGGCAGGAGAATCGCTTGAACCCGGGGGGCAGACGTTGCAGTGAGCCAAGATTGCACCACTGCCCTCCAGCCTGGGCGACAAAGTAAGACTCCGTCTCCAATAAAACAGAACAAAAAAAAATTTAATTTTTTGCCAGGTGCCGTGGCTCACACCTGTAATCCCAGGACCCTGGGAAGCTGAGGTGGGCTGATCACTTGAGGTCAGGAGTTCGAGACCAACCTGGCCAACATGGTGAAACCTCGTCTCTACTAAAAATACAAAAATTACACAGGTGTGGTGGCGGGTGGCTGTAATTCCAGCTACTAGGGAGGCTGAGGTGGGATAACTGAACCCCGGAGGCGGAGGTTGCAGTGAGCCGAGATTGTGCCATCGCATTCCAGCCTGGGCGACAGAGCCAGACTCACGCTCAAAAAACAAAACCAACCAACTGGCCGGGCGCGGTGGCTCACGCCTGTAATCCCAGCACTTTGGGAAGCCAAGGCAGGTGGATCATGAGGTCAAGAGATTGAGACTATCCTGGCCAACATGGTGAAACCCCGTCTCTACTAAAAATACAAAAATTAACTGGGTGTGGTGATGCGTGCCTGTAGTCCCAGCTACTCGGGAGGCTGAGGCAGGAGAATCGCTTAAACCCGGGAGGTGGAGGTTGCAGTGAGCCGAGATCACGCCATTGCACTCCAGCCTGGGCGACCGACCGAGACTCCATCTCGAAAAAAACAAAACAAAACAAAACAACAAACAAAACACTGCTCCTGGGGAAGCCTGCTCCTGGGTTTTTACAATCTGGGCCTTTCAGTTTTACTTCTCATCGCTCCCACCCGCTTGTCCAAAATTCAGATGGATGCATATGTGGCCTCAAATAAGGACAGGCCCTTTCAGAGACAGGGCTATTTCCATGTTCCTTCTGTTTTGCCTAGCAATCTTTCTCCCATTTTATCCTATTTTAGGCTTTTTTTTTCTTTTTAAGACAAGTTCTGACTCTGTCACCCAGGCCTCAGGCTGGAGTGCAGTGGCACGATCATAACTCTCTGCAGCCTCCACCTCCCTGGCTCAAGCGATTCTCCCACCTCAGCCTCCCTAGTAGCCCTGGCTACAAACATACGCCACCACACTCGGCTAATTTTTGTATTTTTTGTCCAGACAGGGTTTCTCCATGTCACTCAGGCTGGTCTCACACTCCTAGGCTCAAGCGATCCTCCTGCCTCGTCCTCAGCAGTGCTGGGACTAGAGCCGTGAGCCACTGCACTCACCTATTAATGCACAAGTTTCTGAAGTTCAATTTCTTGGATTATTACAACTCTATACATCCATGTAACACTTCCCCTTACTCCAGAAAGTCTGTTCACTGCCTTTTTAGTTCATTCTCTTCCTCTGCACCCAGCAGTAGTGAGCTGGTAAATGTTTAACAATGAGCCATTAAAATAAGGAGAGGCCGGGTGTGGTGGCTCACACCTGCAATCCCAGCACTTTGGGAGGCCAAAGCAGGTGATCACTTGAGGTCAGGAGTTCGAGTCCAGCCTGGCCAACATGGTGAAACCCCATCTCTACTAAATATACAAAAATTAGGCTGGTCACGGGTGTAATCACAGCACTTTGGCAAGCCGAGGTGGGCAGATCACCTGAGGTCAAGAGTTCAAGACCAGCCTGACCAACATGGTGAAACCCCGTCTCTACTAAAAACACACAAAAATTAGCCGGGCATGGTGGTGGGCACCTGTAATCCCAGCTACTCGGGAGGCTGAGGCAGGAGAACTGCTTGAACCCCGGAGGTGGAGGTTGCAGTGAGCCAAGATTGTGCCCCTGCACTCCAGCCTGGGCAACAGAGTAAGGCTCCATCTCGGAAAAAAAAAAAAAATTAGCTGGGCATGGTGGCAGGTGCCTGTAGTCTCAGCTACTTGGGAGGCTGAGGCACGAGAATTACTTGAACCTGAGAGGTGGAGGTTGCAGTGAGCCAAGATCGTGCCACCGCACTCCAGCCTGAGGGAGACTCTGTCTCAAAAAAAAAAAAAAAAAGAAGAAGACCAGATGTGGTGGCTCATGCCTATAATCCCTGCACTTTGGGAGGCCGAGGCGGGTGGATCACCTGAGGTCGGGAGTTCGATACCAGCCTGACCAACATGGACAAACCCTGTCTCTACTAAAAATACAAGGCCGGGCGCGGTGGCTCACGCCTGTAATCCCAGCACTTTGGGAGGCTGAGGCAGGCAGATCACGAGGTCAGGAGATCGAGACCAGAGACCATCCTGGCTAACACAGTGAAACCCTGTCTCTACTAAAAATACAAAAAAATTAGCCAGGCGTGGTGGCGGGCACCTGTAGTTCCAGCTACTCAGGAGGCTGAGGCAGGAGAATGGTGTGAACCCGGGAGGTGGAGCTTGCAGTGAGCTGAGATTTCGCCACTGCACTCCAGCCTGGGCAAGAGAGCAAGACTCTGTCTAAAAAAATAAATAAATAAAAATAAAAATACAAAACTAGCCAGGTGTGGTGGCACATGCCTGTAATCCCAGCTACGAGGGAGGCTGAGGCAGGAGAATCGCTTGAACCCAGGAGGTGGAGGTTGTGGTGAGCCGAGATGGTGCCACTGTACTCCAGCCTGGGCAACGAGAGTGAAAGTCAGTCTCAAAAAAAATAAAGTTGACAATGGTATCAAAGATGCTTACGAGTGGCTGTAAGCCAGCTGCAGTCCACTACTACTCCCAAAACCCCCCCAGATTCTGCGTTCTATCCCCATAGATTAGTTTTTGCCTGTTCAAGAGTTTCATGTAAATGGAATTGCACTCATGGTGTCAGTTCTTTTTTTTTTTTTTTTTTTTTGAGACAGAGTCTCACTCTGTCACCCAGGCTGGAGTGCAGTGGCACGATCTCGGCTCACTGCAACTTCCACCTCCGAGGTTCAAGCGATTCCCGTGCCTCAGCCTCCGGAGTAGCTGGGATTATAGGCGTGTGCTACCACACCCAGCTAATTTTTGTATTTTTAGTAGAGATGGGGTTTCACCATATTGGCCAGGCTGGTCTTGAACTCCTGATCTCGTGATCCACCTGCCTCGGCCTCCCAGAGTGCTGGAATTATAGGCTGGGATTACAGGCGTGAGCCACCGCACCCGGCCTGGTGTCAGCTCTTTCTGCTTTAGGACAATGTTTTGTTTTTGGTTTTGGTTTTGTTTTAGACAGGATTTTCCTTTATTGCACAGGCTGGAGTGTAGTGGTGTGATCTCAGCTCACTACAGCCTCCACTTTCTGGGCTCAAGCCATCCTCCCACCTCAGCCTCCGGAGTAGCTGGGACTACAGGCTCCCACCGCCATGCCCAACTAATTTTATATTTTTTGTGGAGATGGGGGGGTCTCATCATGTTGCCCATGCTGGTCTCAAACTCCTAGGCTCAAATGACCCCAGTGACTTGGCCTCCCAAAGTGCTGGGATTACAGGCGTCAGTCACTGTACCAGGTCCTGAGACAATATTTTTGAGATTCATTTATATTATTTCACATAACGATAATTAGTTCGGTTTCCTTGCTAGATGATATCCCATTGTATGTACTGTGGGCATTGCCCTTGACATAGAACAGTAAATGAATCATCCTTCTGGCCGGGCGCGGTGGCTCACGCCTCTAATCCCAGCACTTTGGGAAGCCGAGGCGGGTGGATCACGAGGTCAGGAGATCAAGACCATCCTGACTAACATGGTGAAACCCCGTCTCTACTAAAAATACAAAAAAAATTAGCAGGGCGTGGGGGCAGGCGCCTGTAGTCCCAGCTACTTGGGAGGCTGAGGCAGGAGAATGCCGTGAACCCAGGAGGCGGAGCTTGCAGTGAGCCGAGATCGCGCCACTGCACTCCAGCCTGGGTGATTGAGCAAGACGGTCTGTCTCAATAAGTAAGTAAGTAAATAAATAAATATATAAATTCTCCTTCTTTTTTTTGGAGACGATCTCACTCTGTTACCCAGGCTGGAGTGCAGTGGTGTAATCACTGCTCACTGCAGCCTCTACCTCCCGGGATCAGGTGATCCTCCTGCCTCAGCCTCCTGAGTAGCCGGGATGACAGGTGCACACCACCATGCCCAGCTAATTTTTTATTTTTTGTAGAAATGGGCAAGGGGAGTCTCACCATCTTACCCAGGCTGGTCTCAAACCCATGGGCTCAAGCGATCCTCCTGCCTCAGCCTCCCAAAGTGCTGGGATTACAAGTGTGAGCCACCAAGCCCAGCCTGTTATGAACTTTTTTTTTTTTTTTGACAGGGAGTCTTGCTCTGTCACCTGGGCTGGAGTGCAGTGGCGCAATCTCGGCTCACTGCAACCTCCGCCTCCTGGGTTCAAGCGATTCTCCTGCCTCAGCCTCCTGAGTAGCTGGGATTACAGGTGCGCGTGCCACCACCCCCGGCTAATTTTTGTATTTTTTGTAGAGATGGGGTTTCACTGTTTTGGTCAGGCTGGTCTCGAACCCTTGACCTCGTGACCTGCCTGCCTCAGCCTCCCAAAGTGCTGGGATTACAGGCGTGAGCCACTGTGCCGGGTCTGTTATGAATTTTTTGAGGCCAAAGAAGATGTTGGATGTATCTCCTTCTCTCCCACTTTACCTCCCCGGACATAATGGATGCTGGATACATATGTGTTACTTGAAGGAATGTCCTGGGTGTTCTTGTTCTCAAGGAGACAGGTTGCCTTATTACAAGGCAACCATTCGCAGCACTTATGATAAAACAGGAGCTTTAATTGCTGAGGTTACAGTGCAGCCTCACCCCCTCCACCCATTCTCTATCTTTACTACCAAGCATAGTTTGCCCTGTGACCTCTCTCTGTGATATATTTTCTACTTATCATTGCTTCCAATAACACTTTTTCTGAGTACATCTGTCTCTTGGTCCCAGAGACGTGGGTGTCTCCTAAATTGCTCCTCCCAGGAAATAAATTTCTAATAGCTTTCTTGATAGATTCAATCCAAGGTGACATTTATCTTGTAGAGGCATATGCTGGTGTTAATATCACATGTGTACATTGTTTCCAACTAGCAATGTCCTGTGAACTTTATCTCTGTCACCTGTGCAATGGATTAACTGACAGAACAGCGAACTGAACCCTTTGGAAAGCAATTTAACCCTATCGTGAGCGCGCTGTGACTCAGCAGTTGGGATCGTGGGCATGTGACTTAGAGAGACTCTTGCCTGTGTGCAAACGGGAGACTCACACAATAATGTTCTCAATGGCAAAAATTTGGAAAGTACACAGAGTCCATTGATGGGAGAATGGAAAAATACGTCCTAGTGCAGTCCCACAGAGAAATATGATACAGCAGAAAATTCCTAAGTGACAACAGCATAAAAGAATCTTAGTTAGTCTCAGCTACTTGGAAGGCTGAGGCTTGAGGATTATTTGAGCCCAGGGGTTCCAGGAAGACCTGGGCAACATAGGGAGACCCCCCTTCTCTAAAGAAAAGAAAAAGGCGGGCTGGGCGCGGTGGCTCACGCCTGTAATCCCAAGACTTTGGGAGGCTGAGATGGGCGGATCACCAGGTCAGGAGATTGAGACCATTCTGGCTAACACAGTGAAACCCCGTCTCTACTGAAAAAATAAAATAAAATAAAATAAAATAATAAAAAAATTAGTCGTGGGTGGTGGTGGGCGCCTGTAGTCCCAGCTACTCAGGAGGCTGAGGCAGGAGAATGGCATGAACCCAGGAGGCGGAGCTTGCAGTGAGCCAAGATCACGCCACTGCACTCCAGCCTGGGTGACAGAGCGAGACTCCGTCTCAAGAAAAAAAAAAAAAAAAGAAAGAAAGAAAAAGGCTGGATGTGGTAGCTCACGCCTCTAATTCTAGCACTTTGGGAGGGCGAGGCAGGCAGATCGCCTGAGGTCAAGAGTTCGTGACAAGCCTGGGCAACATGGTAAAACCCTGTCTCTACTAAAAATACAAAAATTAGCCAGGTGTGGTGATGCACATTTGCAGTCCCAGCTACTCAGAAGGCTGAGGCAGGAGAATTGCTTAAACTGGGGAGGCGGAGGTTGCAGTGAGCCAAGATAGCACCACTCCAGCCTGGGAGACACAGTGAGACTCAATTTAAAAAAAAAAGAAAAAGAAAGGTTATAAAAGACTATAATGCCATTTTTATTTTTTAATTAATTTTTTTTAAAGAGACAGAGTCTTGCTGTGTTGGCCAGTATAAGCTTGACCTCCAAGCCTCAAGCCATCCTCCCACCGGGACCTTCCAGAATGCTGGGATTACAGGCATGAGCCACCCCACCTGGCCTTATGACAACCTTTTTTTTTTAAATTAATTTATTTATTTTTGAGATGGAGTCTTGCTCTTTTGCCCAGGCTGGAGTGCAGTGGTGCAATCTCGGCTCACTGCAACCTCCGCCTCCTGGGTTCAAGCGATTCTCATGCCTCAGCCTCCTGAGTAGCTGGGATTACAGGCATGTGCCACCACGCCCAGCTAATGTTTTTGTATTTTTAGTAGAGATGGGGTTTCACCATGTTGGCCAGACTGGTCTTGAACTCCTGGCCTCAAGTGATCTGCCCGCCTCGGCCTCCAAAAGGGCTGGGATTACAAGTGTAATCAAGTGAGCCACCACGCCTGGCCTTATGACACCATTTTTATAAAATGAAAATGGCTCAGTGTTATTAGCCATTAGAGAAATGCAAATTAAAACCATGATGAGATACTTCCATACGCCTATTAGAATGGCTAAAATAAAAATACTGACCAGGCATAGTAGCTCTTGCCTATAATCCCAACACTATGGTAGGCTGAGGCGGGAAGATGGCTTGAGGTCAGGAGTTCCAGACCAGCCTGGGCAACATAGTGAGATCCTTGTTTCTATGAAAACAAACAAAAAAAAACTTAGCTAGGTGCACACCTGTAGTCCCAGCTACTTGGGAGGCTGAGGTGAGAGGATCGCTTAGGCCCAGGAATTCAAGGCTGCAATGAGCTATGATAGTGCCACTGCACTCCAGCCTGGGTGACAGAGCAAGACCCTGTCTCAAAAGGCAAAAGAGGCTGTGTGAGGTGGCTCACGCCTGTAATCCCAGCACTTTGGGAGGCTGAGGTGGGTGGATCACCTGAGGTCAGGAGTTCGAGACCAGCCTGGCCAACATGGTGAAACCCCATCTCTACCAAAAATACAAAATTAGCCAGGTGTGGTGCCAAACGCCCGCAATCAGAGCTACTCGGGAGGCTGAGACAGGAAAATCTCTTGAACCCAGTAGGCAGAGGTTGCAGTGAGCCGAGATTGTGCCACTGCACCCCAGCCTGGACGACAAGAACAAAACTCCGTCTCAAAAACAAAAACAAAATTTGGCCGGGCACAGTGGCTTGCACCTGTAATCCCAACATTTTGGGAGCACAAGTAGGCAGATCGCTTGAGCTCGGGAGTTGGAGACCAGCCTGGGCAACATGGCAAAACCCCGTCTCAGCCGGGCGCGGTGGCTCACGCCTGTAATCCCAACAGTTTGGGAGGCCAAGGAGGGTGGATCACAAGGTCAGGAAATCGAGCCCATCCTGGCTAACACGGTGAAACCCCGTCTCTACTAAAAATACAAAAAATTAGCCGGGCGTGGTGGCGGGCGCCTGTAGTCCCAGCTACTTGGGAGGCTGAGGCAGGAGAATGGCATGACCCCAGGAGGTGGAGGTTGCAGTGAGCCGAGATCGCGCCACTACACTCCAGCCTGGGTGACAGAGTGAGACTCCATCTCAAAAAACAACAACAACAACAAAAACCCGTCTCTAGAAAAAAAAAATTATTTGTGTGTGGTGGTGCATGCCTGTTGTCTCAGCTACTCAGGAGGCTGAGGCAGGAGGATCACTTAAGCCTGTGAGGTCAAGGCTGCAGAGAGCTATAATGACACCACTGTACTCCAGCCTGAGCAGGAGAGCAAAACCCTATCTCAAAGAGAAAAAACAAAAACAAAAAAAAACCAGCAACGAAAAGATTAAGATGGTAAATTTTTTGATATACATGTATTTACCACAATTTTAAAAAGATTAGGGCTGGGCGCGGTGGCTCACGCCTGTAATTCTACCACTTTGGGAGGCCGAGGTGGGGGAATCACGAGGTCGGGAGTTCAAGACCAGCCTGGCCAATACGGTGAATCCCCATCTCTACTAAAAATACAAAAACTAGCTAGGCATGGTGGCTCATGCCTGTAGTTCCAGACACTCGAGAGGCAGAGGCAGGAGAATCGCTTGAACTCAGGAGGCGGAGGTTGCAGTCAGCCAAGATTGCGCCACTGCGCTCCAGCCTGGGCAATAGAGATTCCGTCTCAAAAAAAAAAAAAGAAAAAAGAAAAGAAAGATTATACATAAATTATAGAAAAGGAAAAGTGCACCTTATAACGTTTAGGGATATGAACACATGATTAATTGAATTTCGTGAAGTCTGTGAGTTCCTGGAATGCCGGGAACTCATCCATCTTGGCATCCCTGGCTGCCAGCACCAAGCCTGACACACGGGAGGTGTTTGGTGAGCACAGATGTGAGCAATGAATGTGGCTGCCTTGGGGACCTCGTGGCATGGTGGCAGTGTGCAACCTGCAGGGGTTTGGGGCAAACATACCTGGCTCAAAGCCTGGTGCCTTGGATCACTGGATGTTCTCATCCTATTCCAGTGAGTTCCCGATGAAACCTCTCTTGCTCTCAGCCTGTGGTGGAGCTCCCAGGGTAGTTCTAATCTGAAACTTTGGAAGAAACCAATCTGAGCTTTCTTCCAGAGCTGCAGCTGATTAACTTAACAACCTGGGGTGCAGTGTTCAAGGAGGAAAACAGGATGCTCTGAGAGAAGCTTAGCAGTGCTGTGCCAAAGCCAGCTCCTTCTGGTGGGCAAGAGCCGATTTGTTCAAGTTTTGGGAAATTTGGGAACTGCTGGTTAATAGCTACGATTTCAAATTAGGCCAGGCGCAGTGGCTCACGCCTGTAATCCCGGCGCTTTGGGAGGTTGAGGCAGGCAGATCACAAGGTCAGGAGTTTGAGACCAGCCTGGGCAACATGGTGAAATCCCGTCTCTACTAAAAATACAAAATTTAGCTAGGCGTGGTGGCAGGTGCCTGTAATCCCAGCTACTGGGAAGGCTGAGGCAGAGGAGTTCCTTGAACCCGAGAGGTGGAGGTTGCAGTGAGCCGAGATTGCACCACTGTACTCCAGCCTGGGACAGACCGGGACTCTGTCTCAAACAAACAAACAAGCAAAAATTAGGCCAGGAGCAGTGGCTCGCCCCTGTAATCCCAGCACTTTGGGAGGCCGAGGCGGGAGGATCATTTGAGGTTAGGAGTTTGAGACCAGCCTGGTCAACATGGTGAAACCTCGTCTCTACTAAAAATAGAAAAATTAGCTGGGAGTGGTGTTGGGCACCTGTAATCCCAGCTACTCGGGAGGCTGAGACGGGAGGATGGTTTGAACCCGGGAGGCGGAGGTTACAGTGAGCGGAGTTAGCGCCATTGCACTCCAGCCTGGGCAACAAGAGTGAAACTCTTAAAAAAAAAAAAAAAGGAATAAGGAAATATTTTCCAGTATTCAGAAATGATTATGTGATTCATCACAGAAGTCATCCACATTTTTGATGACCAAGTGAAGTTCTTTTTTTTTTTTTTTTTAATTTGAGATGGAGTCTCACTCTGTCTCTCAGGCTGGAGCGCAGTGGTGCCATCTCGGCTCACTGCAACTTCTGCCTCCCAGGTTCGAGTGATTCTCCCTGCCTCAGCCTCCCAAGTAGCTGGGATTACAGGCACCTGCCATCACAACCGGTTAATTTTTGTATTTTTTTTTTAGTAGAGACGGGGTTTCACCATGTTGGCCAGGCTTGTCTCGAACTCCTGACCTCAGGTGATCTGCCCGCCTTGGCCTCCCAAAGTGCTGGGATGACAGGCATGAGCCACCACACCCAGCTGGTTTCTAGAGTTTCTTTCTTTTTTTTTTTTTTTTTGAGATGGAGTCTCACTCTGTCGCCAGGCTGGAGTGCAGTGGCGCAATCTCGGCTCACTGCAACCTCCGCCTCCTGGGTTCAAGTGATTCTCCTGCCTCAGCCTCCCGAGTAGCTGGGACTACAGGCACATGCCACCACGCCTGGCTAATTTTTTGTATTTTTAGTAGAGACAGGGTTTCACCATGTTGGCCAGGATGGTCTTGATCTCTTGACCTTGTGATGCACCTGCCTCGGCCTCCTAAAGTGCTGGGATTACAGGAGTGAGCCACTGTGCCCAGCCTAGAGTTGTTTTATGACTTTGTGCCACGTCCTGGCCGATGGATGCTCATGATGACATTTATTTTATCGCTCTGCAATCAAAGATTTGTGCAGATGAATGGGAACTGCGAGAGAACATGGGAAAATGAAAGGGGTTTAATTGCGGGAGGGAAGGAAAACACATAAAATGTATTTTTTCGCTTTCCCATGATTTATTTATTTATTTTTATTATTATTATATTTTGAGATAGAGTCTCGCTCTGTTGCCCAGGCTGGAGTGCAGTGGCATGATCTCGGCTCATTGCAACCTCTGCCTCCTGGGTTCAAGCGATTCTCCTGCCTCAGCCTCCCGAGCAGCTGAGATTACAGGCATGTGCCACCAAACCCGGCTAATCTTTGTATTTTTAGTAGAGATGGGGTTTCGCCATGTTGGCCAGGCTGGTCTCAAACTCCTGACCTCAGGTGATCCGCCCACCTCCACCTCCCAAATTGCTAGGATTACAGGCGTGAGCCACCGCGCCCGGCCTTACCAAGTTCTGATTGAAGTGAAATGCCTGGAAGAAAGATAAAGTTAAAATGAGGTTTTCACAACATGTCGAAATCACTCTGAGCAAAGTTCCAAACCCAAGGTTCTAGAAAGTGCAATGACTTTTTTTTTTTTAAACAGGGGCAATTAAAAATTTCCCAGGCTTAGCAAGATCAAATGGGTGTGTGCAGCGCTCTCTCTGACATGCAATTTATGGAATTATTGATTTGTCAATGTGATCTCTGCACTTCCTGTGAGGAATTTGAGGTCCTGTTTGGAGAATTTGGTAAATAGGGAATCTCGCAGAAACATGGGGTCTTGAGAAACTCATTTCAACCCTCTGAGCCTCAGTTTCCACTTTTCTTTTTTTCTTTTCTTTTCTTTTTTTTTTTTTTTTTGAGACGGAGTCTCACTCTGTCACCCAGGCTGGAGTGCAGTGGTGCAATCTCGGCTCACTGCAAGCTCCGCCTCCCGGGTTCACGCCATTCTTCTGCCTCAGCCTCCCGAGTAGCTGGGACTACAGGCATCCGCCACCACGCCCGGCTAATTTTTTGTGTTTTTAGTAGAGACGGGGTTTCACCATGTTAACCAGGATGGTCTCGATCTCCTGACCTCGTGATCTGCCCACCTCGGCCTCCCAAGTGCTGGGATTACAGGCATGAGCCACCGCGCCCGGCCTTCACTTTTCTTTTTTTAGAAAGACAGGGTGTCTGTCACTCAAATTGGAGTGCAGTGGCATGATCATAGCTCACCACGGCCTCTAATTCCTGGGCTTAAGTGATCCTCTCACCTTAGCCTCCCAAGTAGCTGAGACCACAGGCATGTGCCACCATGCCCTGCTAATTTTTAAACTTTTTGTAGAGACAGGTTTCACTTTGTTTCCCAGGCTGATCTCAAACTCCTGGGCTCAAGCTATCTTGTCACCTTGGCCTCCTAAAGTGCTGAGGTTATAGGCGTGACCTATTATGCTGGCAATAAAATAATTTAAAACAAATTTTTTAGAGACAGGATCTCACCTGGCACCCAGGCTGGAGTGCGGTGGTGCAGTCATAGCTCACCGCAGCTTCCAACTCCTTGGCTCTGGTGATCCTCCCACCTCAAGCCCCTGAGTAGCCTGGACTACGGGCACTTCCCACCATGCCTGGCTAATTTTTAAATTTTTTGTAGAGACAGGGACTCCCTGTGTTGCCTAGGCTGATCTTGAACTCCTGTGCTCAAGCAATCCTCTCACCTCAGCCCCTCAAAGTGCTGGGATTACAGGCGGGAGCCACCATGCCCCGGCCATAAAATCAGTTTTTAACTCAGGCTGTACAACAATAGGCAGTGAGCTGTGGGCTCTAATTTGCCCACCGCAATACAGGCTGTGATTATATTGGGAGGCATTTGGGACATGAAACATGGTCATGTTTGTTTGTTTTGTTTTGTTTTGCTTTTGGCCTTGTTCTTTTTTTGTTTTGTTTTGTTTTGTTTTGTTTTGTTTTTTCAGAGAGTCTCGCTCTGTCACCCAGACTGGAGTGCAGTGGCGAGATCACGGCTCACTGCAAGCTCCGCCTCCTGGGTTCACGCCATTCTCCTGCCTCAGCCTCCCAGGTAGCTGGGACTACAGGCACCTGCCACCACGCCTGGCTAATTTTTTTTTGTATTTTTAGTAGAGACGGGGTTTCACCGTGTTAGCCAGGATGGTTTCAATCTCCTGACCTTGTGATCCGCCCCCCCTCGGCCTCCCAAAGTGCTGGAATTACAGTCGTGAGCCACCGCACCCGGCCAGCCATGTTCTTTATTATCAAACTACTGTGAGTCACTTTTCTTAAGGTTCATTGATTTGACACATTTTTATTGAAACCCTACTAAGTGCCAGGCATTGGATGAGACAAAACCCCTGCCCTCACAGAGTTTACAGTCTGGGGGAGAAATAGGCCACAGATAAGATGCCAGGAAGAGCCACAGAGATGAAAAAAGTGGGGAAGGAGCTTAGGTGCAGTGGTTCATGCCTGTAATCCCAGCACTTTGGGAGGCTGAGGTGGGAGGATCACTTGAGTCCAGGAGTTCCAGGCTAGCCAAGGCAACATAGTGAAACCTTGTCTAAAAATTAAAAATAAAGGCCGGGCATGATGGCTCACGCCTGTAATCCCAGCACTTTGGGAGGCCAAGACAGGCGGATCACCTGAGTCAGAAGTTCGAGATCAGCCTGCCCAACATGGTGAAACCCAGTCTCTACTAAAAGTTACAAAAATTAGCCGGGCGTGGTGGCAGGTGCGTGTAATCTCAGCTACTCGGGAGGCTGAGGCAGGAAAATTGCTTGAACCCAGGAGGCGGAGGTTGCAGTGAGCCAAGATCGCACCACTGGACTCCTGCCTGGGCGACAAGAGCGAAACTCTGTCTCAAGAAAAAAGAAAAAAGAAAAGGGAAGGAAGGGGATAGAACTGTGGAAGCAGAGAGTTGAGGAAAGGTTGGAGTTTTAGTTTTTGTTTTGTTTTTTTTGAGACAATCTTACTCTGTCACTTAGGCTGGAGTGTAGTGGCTCGATCTCGGCTCACTGCAACCTCCACCTCCTGGGCTCAAGTGATTCTCCTGCCTCAGCCTCCCGAGTAGCTGGGACTACAGGTGTGCACCACCACGCCCAGCTAATTTTTGTATTTTTAGTAGAGACAGGGTTTCATCATGTTGCCAAGGCTGGTCTCGAACTCATGAGCTCAAGCAGTCTGCCCACCTCAGCCTCCTAAAGTGCTGGGATGGGAGGCGTGAGCCACTGTGCCTGGCCAAGGTTGCAGTTTTAAGAAGTCTGTTGGGGTGAGTCTCATTGAAAAGGTGACATTTGGGCAGAGGCGGGAGTGTACCCCACAGATATCAGGGAAAGGTTTTGAAGCAGAGGGCACAGCCCATGCAAAGGCCCTGAGGCAGGAGCACGCTTGGTGTTGGAGGAGCAGTAAGGAGGCCTGTGTAGCTATAGCAGAGTGAGCAAGGGGGAGAGAAGGAGGAGGGGAAGATGGGGAGGGGGTAGGGGTAGAGGACAGGGCAGATCATGCAGCACATTGTGGACCATAGGGAGGACTTGGGCATTGACCTCCAAGGAGGTGGGAGCCATAGAAGATTTCCGGCAGAGGAGGGACAGGCTCTGACTCCGGTGCTCACGGGCGCCCTCTGGTGTCTGCTGCAGGGAAGACAAGTTTGCAGGACGAGAATGGGAGCTGAGAAACCAGGGTGGAGGAGAGTGGGCTGGTCCAGGCCGGCTAAGGAGAGGCTGCGCCAGGTAGAAGGATGCATTTTGAACATGGAGCAGACAAGACTTTCCTGGTGTAGAGTTTTGCAGGTATGAGAGAAAAACTCAGGGATAAGAAATTTGGACCTGACCCCTCTGGAAGGATGGTGCTTCTGTTTGTAAAATGGGAACGACAGACCAGGCGCGATGGCTCACACCTGTAATCCCAGCACTTCGGGAGGCCGAGGTGGGCAGATCACCAGAGGTCAAGAGTTCGAGACCAGCCTAGCCAACATGGTGAAACCCCTTCTCTACTAAAAATAGAAAAAAAATAGGTGGGCGTGGTGGCGGACGCCTGTCATCCCAGCTACTCGGGAGGCAGAGGTGGGAGAATTGCTCGAACCTGGGAGGCGGAGTTGAGATGGCACCACTGAACTCCAGCCTGGGCAACAGATCGAGACTCCATCTCAAAAGAAAAAAAAAAAAAAGAAACTTTCCCCATGGCAGAAGAAAGACTGGGAGGTTAGGTAGTTCCGGCTGCAGTAGAGAATGTGAGTTTCTCATAAGATCCTCTAGAGGGAGCCGGGAGCTAGGACGCAGGTCCAGCCTCTTATCCGGAGTCCTCCTCGTATCCCCCATCCCCCAGCAGGATGGGCCTGGGTGGGAAAAGTGGTGGGGTCAGCAGGGGTGGTCTTTGTCTTTGCAACAGGGAAGGCCCTGTCTACCCTTCCAGAGTTGGGGGCTTGGAGGAGAGGGGATGCCAAATTCGCACAGGGGTTAGCAAACTTTTTCCTAAAGAGCCGTATAATAAATACACACACACTAAATAAATATATACACAGTTTAGGCGGGGTGCAGTGGCTCACGCCTGTAATCCCAGCACTTTGGGAGGCCGAGGCGGGGGGATCACTTGAGATCAGGAGTTCGAGACTAGCCTGGACAACATGGCGAAACCCAGTCTCTACTAAAAATACAAAAATTAGCCAGGCATGGTGGCGCGTGCACCTGTAGTTTCAGCTACTTAGGAGGCTGAGGCAGGAGAATCGCTTGAACCCAGGAGGTGGAGGTTGCAGCGAGCTGAGATCGTGCCACTGCACTCCAGCCTGTGCGACAGAGACTCTGTCTCAAAACAAAACAAAACAAAACGAAAAAACACACACACGCACACACACAAAAAACCACCCAGCTTAAACTCTGTCTGTTGCAGCTCCTGAAATCTGCTCTCGCAGTTTGCAAGAGGCCTTAGATAACCTGTACGCAACTGGGCATGGCTGTGTCCTAATACAGTTTTATTTTTAGAGGCTGAAATGAGAATGTCACATAATTTTCTGTGAATGCTACCGCTACCATGAAATAATTCTTTTTTTTTTCTTTTTTTTTTTTTGGAGACGGAGTCTCCCTCTGTTGCCCAGGCTGTAGTGCAATGGTGCAATCTCGGCTCACTGCAACCTCCACCTCCCGAGTTCAAGCGGTTCTCCTGCCTCAGCAAGACTCCATCTCAAAATTAAAAAATAAATAAACATATAAATAAAAGTTGCCTAATCTAGAACCTCCTACAGGCAACAGTAGCTGCCTGGAATTTAACAATGTTGTTTATTTATTTATTTATTTATTTTTTGCTTCTGTTTCAGGCACCAGATACTACATTTCTTTTTAATTTACTCTAGCATTATAATGTTTCCTTTTACAAAAGTTGTTGAGAAGGAGTCTTGCTCTGTTGCCCAGGCAGGAGTGCAGTGGCGGGATCTCGGCTCTCTGCGAGCTCCACCTCCTGGGTTCACACCATTCTCATACCTCAGTCTCCCGAGTAGCTGGGACTACAGGCGCCCGCCACCATGCCCGGCTAATTTTTTGTATTTTTTTTTTTTTTAGTAAAGACAGGGTTTCACTGTGTTAGCCAGGATGGTCTTGATCTCCTGACTTCGTGATCCACCCACCTCCGCCTCCCAAAGTGCTGGCATTACAGGCATGAGCCACCACGCCCGGCCAACCTTCATTTTTTTTCAATAAATTTATTTTAAAAAGAAAACTTTGTAACAGGATAATAAATTGAAACCAATAATGGATACCCAAAATAGAAGGGAACTGTAAAAATACATGCAATGGCCGGGCTGGCGCAGTGGCTCACGTCTGTAATCCCAGCACTTTGGGAGGCTGAGGCAGGTGGATCAACACAGGTCAGGAGTTCAAGAGCAGCCTGGCCAACATGGTGAAACCCCATCTCTACTAAAAATAAGAAAAATTAGCTGGGCACGGTGGCGGGTGCCTGTTGTCCCAGCTACTCGGGAGGCTGAGGCAGGAGAATCGCTTGAACCTGGGAGGTGGAGGTTGTAGTGAGCCGAGATCACGCCACTGCACTCCAGCCTGGGCTACAGGTGAGATTCTGTCTCAAAACAAAACAAAACAAAACAAAACAATAACAATAACAAATAAATAAATGCAATGTTTACTGTTCTTAAGATTATTATTATTTCTTTCCTTCTTTTATTTTTTTGAGACAGTCTGGCTCTGTCGCCCAGGCTGGAGTGCAGTGGTGTGGTCTCAGCTCACTGCAACCTGCACCTCCCAGGTTGGAGCAATTCTCCTGTCTCAGTCTCCTGAGTAGATGGGATTACAGGCGTGCACCACCGCGCCTGGATAATTTTTGTATTTTTAGTAGAGACGGGGTTTTGCAATTTAGGCCAGGCTGGTCTTGAACTCCTAACCTCAGGAATATCCTCCTGCCTTGGCCTCCCAAAGTGCTGGGATTACAGGTGTGAGCCACCACGCCCAGCCTGCCAGGGATTAAACATTAACGTCAATATTTGAGCTGGCAGGGGCTTTATATTACCTTCACATCTATCCCCACATTTCATAGACCAAGAAACAGTCTGGGAGAGAAGCAACTCTCTGGCATCACAAGTTTGCTGCTGAGCTAGGGATAGGACTCTCTTTCTCTCTCTTTTGAGACAGGGTCTTGCTCTGTCACCCAGGCTGGACTGCAGTGGTGCCATTATATACCACTGCAGCCTCAACCTCCTGGGCTCAAGCAATCCTCCTGCCTTGGCCCCCTGAGTAGCTGGGACCACAGGCATGCACCATCACACCTGGCTAATTTTTGTATTTTTTGTAAAGATGGGATCTTGCTGTGTTGCCCAGGCTGGTCTTGAATTCCTTGGCTCAAGTGATCTGCCCGCCTCAGCCCCCCAAAGTGCTGGCATTATAGGCATGAGCCACCATGCCTGCACCCCACCCCAGATTTTTTAATTAGCTGAGCTAGGTGGCATATGCCTGTGGTCCCAGCTACTCAGGAGGCTGAGGTGGGAGGATCACTTGAGCCTGGAGTTTGAGGCTGCAGGGAGGCCTGGGTGACAGAGGGAGACCCTGGCTGAATAAATAAATAAATAGCCTTGCGCGGTGGCTCACGTCTGTAATCCCAGCACTTTGGGAGGCCGAGGTGGGTGGGTCACCTGAGGTCAGGTGTTCAAGACCAGCCTGGCCAACGTGGTGAAACCCCGTCTCTTCTAAAAATACAAAAATTATCCAGGCATGGTGGCTTATGCCTGTAGTCCCAGCTACTCAGGAGGCTGAAGCAGGAAAATCGCTTGAACCCAGGAGGCAGAGGTTGCAGTGAGCCAAAATCGTGCCACTGCATTCCAGCCCAGGCAACAAAGTGAGACCCTGTCTCAAAAAAAAAAAAAAAATAGTAGGGTTACATGTTGGGAAATTTAGGTACAGAATCAGATACGCGCAGGAAGGTAGATAATGTGAAGTGAGACTCAGGGAGAAGGAAGCATGTATCGGCCAAGCAGAAAGACCTCAGAAGGAATGAACCCTTGGCCACATGTGGTGGTGAACGCCTGTAATCCCAGCTACTTGGGAGGCTGAGGCAGGAGAATCGCTTGAACCCGGGAGGTGGAAGTTGCAGTGAGTTGAGATGGCACCACTGCACTCCAGCCTGGGCAACAAGAGTGAAACTCCGTCTCATAAAAAAAGAGAAGGAATGAATCCTGCCCACACCTTGATCTTGCAGACTAGATAGGGAAGCCCAGGGATACTTCAGTTCTTGGGGCCTGGAAATGCTGTCCTCCTCAACCCCCAGGCCAACCCCGGTAGGGTGGAGCGGAGGAGACACCCCCTGCCCCTGCCCTGTTTCCTCCTCCACCAACGGGAAGGATGCCAGTGGGGGCCTCCTGTGCCTCCTTTTCCAGGTGAGAGGGTCCGCTGTGACCCTTGGACCTACCAGCCATAAAGCAATCACCGGGAGGAGGTGGTGGCGAGACTGGGAGGTGCGGACTGGACTGAGGGGTGTGGATCAGGAGATGAGACGGGTTAGGTGCTGACTCTCGGTACCGTCCTGCAGACAACCTGTTCCCCTGAAACTGGTGGACAGACTTTCTTTTTTTCTTTCTTTCTTTTTTTTTCTTTTTCTTTTTGAGACAGAGTCTCACTCTGTTGCCCAGGCTGGAGTGCAATGGCGTGATCTCAGCTCACTGAAACCCCTGCCTCCTGGTTCAAGCGATTCTCTTGCCTCAGCCTCCCAAGTAGCTGGGATTACAGGTGTGCGCCAGCACGCCCAGCTAATTTTTTGTATTTTTAGTAGAGATAGGGTTTCACTATGTTGGCCAGTCTGGTCTCGGACTCCTGACCTCAGGTGATCTGCCTGCCTCGGCCTCCCAAAGTGCTGGGATTACAGGTGTGAGCCACCGCGTCCAGCCTATTTACTTCTTATACAGGAATGGTTTCATTCAGCATCTTCCTCTCGTGGGTGGGGAGTGGGGAATGTCTCCTCAGTCTTGCTCCCTGTTGGATCCCAGCACCCGGCACACAGCAGGTGCTCAATAAATAACAGTTACAGGAATGAATGAATGAATGAATTCTCAAGCACAGTGTCCTCCATTCTTTAAGAAGGGCAGAGCGAGTCCCCCAAACTCACAGGATTTGGAGGCCCTGGCTCCAGTGTTCTGTCTTCACCCACCCCTCTGAGAGCAGAGGCTGGAACTCCTGGGATCCACCCAGGACATCAGAGGAGAGTTGGATGCCTGGAGGGTCAGGTCCTAATCAATGTCATCGCCCGTGAGGCCGGCCAGAGTCCCCCTGTGGCCTCCCAGCCTCTGGCTGGCCCCTGGCACACCCACATCACAAGGGTTTTACTCACTGCCTGGCTGTATTACAAGGGAGGGAAGGGGAGGAGGGGGAGGAAAAGGAGGAGGAGGAGGAGGGAGGGAAGGGGAGACGGGAGAGGAGAGGAAGGGGAGGAGGGCAAGAGGGAGGAGGAGGAAGGGAGGAGGGAGGGGGGAAGGGGAGGAGTGGGAGGAGGAGGGAGAAGAGAGGAGGAGGGGGAGGAGGGAAAGGAGGAGGGAGAGGAATGGGGAAAGAAGGGGAGGAGGGGAGGATGACGGGGGAGTGGAAGGAGAAGGAAGGAAGCACGGAGGAGTGGGAGGAAGAGGAGAAGGAGAAGGAAGGGAGGAGGGAGAGGAGAAGGGGGAGAAGGGAGAGGTGGGGAGGAGGGGAAGAGGGGGAGAAGGGGGAGGTGGGGAAGAAGGAGGAGGGTGAGAGAGAGGAGGAGGGAGGAGGCTGAGGAGGAGGGAGAGGAGGGAGAGAAAAAGAAGGAGGGAGAGGAGTGGGGAAGGAGGGGAGGATGAGAGAGAGGATGGGGAGGGGAAGGAGAAGAGGGAAGGGAGCAGGGAGGAAGGGGAGGAAAGAGAAGGGGAAGAGGAGAGGGAGGAGGAGGGAAAAGGCCAAGGAGGAGGGAGCAGGGAGGAGGAGGAAGGCAAGAGGAACAGAATGGAGAGGGAGGAGGGAGAGGAGGAGTGGGAGCTGCTGCCCTCCTGGACCCACTCACTTTTTCCACCGGGAACTGGCCCACAAGGGTGGTGCTCAAGGACCCCAGGGCAAGTCCCCCCGACCCCGCATCTGTAGCAGGGGACCTGGGTGTTGTCAGTTCTCCTGCCTGACTCATGCAATGGCCAAGTGAGTCACATCCCCTTATCAGCTCCTCTGTCCTCCTGTGCAGAATGGGGACTGTCCTTACGATCAGAGCTGTGCAGAGGCCAAAGGGCTAAGGCAACCAGGAAGGGACAGCCGGGCATCCGCTGGGCGTCACGGGACTGCAGTCAGATAGATTTCTTTTTTCTTTTTTTTTTTTTTGAGACGGAGTCTTGCTCTGTCGCCAGTCTGGAGTGCAGCGGCAAAATCTCAGCTCATTGCAACCTCTACCTCCCGGGCTCAAGCCTCCTGAGTAGCTGGGATTACAGGCATGCACCACTGCGCCCTGCTAATTTTGTATTTTTAGTAGAGACGGGGTTTCACCATGTTGGCCAGGCTGGTCTCAAACTCCTGACCTCAGGTGATCCTCCCACCTCGGCCTCCCAAAGTGCTGGGATTACAGGCGTGAGCCACCTCACCTGGCCAGAAGTCCCTTTTTAGCGCTTTCCGTGGGAATGCTCCCACATGTGGTTCGTCCTTTATCCCTGGCTTTACACATGAGGAAACTGAGGCAGGGGGAGGCAGTCGTTTGCCCACAGTCACAGGGGGGCAAGTGGCAGAGCCAGGATTCTGTCCAATAGACCATGTAGACTTTTTTTTCCTTTTTGAGATGGAGTCTCACTCTGTCACCCAGGCTGGAGTGCAGTGGTGCAATCTGGGCTCACTGCAACCTCCACCTCCCGGGTTCAAGCGATTCTCCTGCTTTACCCTCCTGAGTTGCTGGGATTACAGGCGCCTGCCACCATGCCTGGCTAATTTTTGTATTTTTAGTAGAGACGGGGTTTCACCATGTTGGCCAGGCTGGTCTCGAACTCCTGACCTCAGGTGATCTACCTGCCTCGGCCTCCCAAAGTGCTGGGATTACAGGCATGAGCTCCTGTGCCCAGCTAATTTTTGTATTTTTAGTAGAGATGGGTTTTCACCATGTTGGTCAGGCTGGTCTCAGACTCCTCACCTCAAGTGGATCGCCTCAGCCTCCCAAAGTGCTGGGATTACAAGCGTGAGCCACCGTGCCCGGCCCACGTAGACTTTTATTTATTCACTTATTTATTGTTTATCTCCACGTTCCTGAGGTATCCTCTTAAGTTTTCCAGCAGCTATATTTTAAAAGTTCAAGGCAAAATTAAATTTCACTTAAAAAATATATTTGTGGCCGGGCGCAGTGGCTCACGCCTGTAATGCCAGCACTTTGGGCGGCCGAGGTGGGAGGATCACGAGGTCAGGAGATTCAGACCATCCTGGCTAACACGGTGAAACCCCGTCTCTACTAAAAATGCAAAAAATTAGCCGGGCATGGTAGCACGTGCCTATAATCCCAGCTATTCGAGAAGCTGAAGCAGGAGAATTGCTTGAACCCGGGAGGCAGAGGTTGTAGTGAGCCGAGTTCGTGCCATTGCACTCCAGCCTGGGCGACAGAGCAAGACTCCGTCTCAAAAAAAAAAAAAAAAATTAAATAATGATGAACTCTTGCTCGTTTGATGACATTGTATTTTTTGCGCAATGGGAAACTCCTGTGGTTCCCGGGACAGCACGCTGTTGTATGTTCTGCTGGGTGGGTTTATGAGAATTGACAACAGTGTGCAAACACATTGGGCAATGCAGGGCTTTATACAGGGACGTGTTCCATTGTCAAGCTTTTATTGACTTTACCACTTGGCTCAAAACATGGGAAGGGCCAGGTGTGGTGGCTCATGCCTGTAATCCCATCACTTTGGGAGACCGAGGCAGGCAGATCACCTCAGGTTGGGAGTTCAAGACCAACCTGATCAACATGGTGAAACCCCGTCTCTACTAAAAACACAAAATTAGCTGGGCGTGGTGGCGGGCGCCTGTAATCCCAGCTACTCAGGAGGCTGAGGCAGGAGAATTGCTTGAACCTGGGAGGCAGAGGTTGCAGTCAGCCGAGATCGCAGCCATTGTACTCCAGTCTGGGCAACAAGAGCGAAACTCAGTCTCAAAAAAAAAAAAAAAAGAGGGTTTGGCGTGGTGGCTCATGCCTGTAATCCCAGCACTTTGGGAGGCTGAGGTGGGAGGATCACTTGAGGCCAGGAGTTTGAGACCAACCTGGGCAACATGAAGAAACCTCATCTCCACAAAAAAATACAAAAATTAGCCAAGCGTGGTGGCACGCACCTGTAGCCTCAGCTACTTGGGAGGTTGAGGTGGGAGGATCACTTGAGCCTGGGAGGCAAAAGTTGTAGTGAGCCAAGATGGCGCCACTGCACTCCAGCCTGAGCGACAGAGTGAAACCTTGTATCAAAACAAACAAACAAACAAACAAACAAACAATGATGTGTTAGCAATAAAGTGACAGAGAGTCTACAGAGGGAACATGTACTTAAACACATTGCTGAAAATGACTGCAGGAATTTTACTTTAGATTCCAAGTTATTGTCCCTTTGAGATACGTAGTCGTGTTCAGTGGATAAACTGCTATGAGGTCAATGGCAGTGAAAAGTCCTTCTGTCCCCACAAGAGCTTCTTTTTCTTCTTCTTCTTCTTCTTTTTTTTTTTTTTTTTGACAGAAGCTTTCTCTGTGGCCCAGGCTGGAATTTAGTGGCGTGATCTCGGCTCACTGCAACCTCTGCCTCCCAAGTTCGAGTGATTCTCCAGCCTCAGCCTCCTGAGTAGCTGGCATTACAGGCGAGTGCCACCACGCCCAGCTAATTCTTGTATTTTTTAGTAGTGACAGGGTTTCGCCATGTTGGGCAGGCTGGTCTCAAACTCCTGACCTCAGGTGATCCGCCCACCTCGGCCTCCCAGAGTGCTGGGATGACAGGCGTGAGCTACCATGCGGGCCAAGTGCTTATTCTTATCCTCCCTGTTAACAGATACCTGAAATCCCTTCATTGAGGTGTACAAAAGGCTTCTAAAGTTCATAATAATAAGTATTGTTATTTTTGAGAAAAAGTCTCGCCCTGTGGCCCAGGCTGGTGCAGTGGTGCAGTCACAGCTCATGGTAGCCTCAAACTCCCAGGCTCAAGCGATCCTCCTGCCTCAGCCTCCCAAGTAGCTGGGACTACAGGTGTGCACCACCATGCTTGGCTAATTTTTTTTTTTTTTTGAGACGGAGTCTTGCTCTGTCGCCCAGGCTGGAGTGCAGTGGCGCGATCTCAGCTCACTGCAAGCTCGGCCTCCTGGGTTCACGCCATTCTCCTGTCTCAGCCTCCCGAGTAGCTGGGACTACAGGTGCCCACCGCCATGCCCAGCTAATTTTTTGTATTTTTAGTAGAGACGGGGTTTCACCGTGTTAGCCAGGATGGTCTCGATCTCCTGACCTCGCGATCCGCCCGCCTTGGCCTCTCAAAGTGCTGGGATTACAGGCGTGAGCCACCATGCCCGGCCCTTTTCTTTTTGATAGAGGGTCTTGCTCTGTCACCCAGGCTGGGGTGCAGTGGCATGATCTCGGCTCACTGCAGTCTCCACCTCCTGGGTTCAAGTGATCCTCCTGCCTCAGCCTCCCGAGTAGCTGGGATTACATGTGCCCGCCACCACATCTGGCTAATTTTTGTATTTTTAGTAGAGACGCGGTTTCACCATGTTGGCCATGCTGCCTGGCTAATTTTTTAAACTTTTTTGTAGTTATGAGGTCTTGCTCTATTGCCCAGGCTGATCGGGAACTCCAGGGCTTGAGCAATCTTCCCGCCTCAGCCTCCCAAAGGGCTTGGATTACCGGCATGAGCCACGGTGCCCGGCTCCAGCAGGTTTTGATAAGAGAAGGGGGAGTGATCTCTCTCGAGGGCACTAGAACTCCCAAGAGTGATAAACGGGGTGAGGAGAGGCAGAGAGGAGTCCAGAAGTCAAACATCACCTACTTGATCCACCCACTGTGATGGCCCTGGAAAAAAGCCTCCACGGCAAATGCTGAATAAATATTATGACTGGGATCACTAAAGCCAAGCCAAGGCAAACAACCCCTCTAAAATCCAACACAGAGCAGATAAAAGGAGATCAGAAAAATGTAGAGGTCAAGGGCGAGATAATTCTAGTAGCACCCAGACAGGGACAGGTACCGTTATCGGGGTCTCTTCTTGGGCCCCGTGGAGCTTGGGGACCCGGATCCTTCTATGGGGTGGGGCCATCCTGGGCACTGGAGGTTGCTGAGCAGTGTCCCTGGCCTCCACCCACCCCGCGCCAGGGCCACCCCCCTTTGTTGTAACAACCACAGATGTCCTCAGACATCACCCAGTGTCCTCGGGGGAGTGTAAAATCACCCTGGGTGAGCTCCCCTGGGTTAGGGGATTCCATGGACCCCCAAGAGACTGTATCCCGTGATGCTCTGCCCTGCTGAGGTCCCAGGAGGCTGCACACATTGAAATCCATGCCCTGAATGGGGAAGGAGGGAGGAGGTGAATCCCAGGATCTGGGGTTCCCCTGGTTTATACCGTCTGCCCTGTTGGGAGTTTATTCTGGTGTCTGGTGTGAGCAGGGAACCCACTCAATTTTTTCCCAAATAATTAATGCAGTCTTTCTCCCCCAGATCCCGTGGCTGTGGGGCAGGATTGCTTTCTGGGGTGGGGCCGTCCTGGGCACTGTAGGGTGCTGAACGGCATCTCTGGCCTTCACCCATTCTATGCCAGGAGCATCTCGCACTCGTGACAACCACAGATGTCCCAGACATTGCACAGTGAGTGTCCTGAGTTTCCGTCCGGAAGGTTGAGGCTGCAGTGAGTTTTTTTTTTTTTTTTTGAGATGGAGTCTCGCTCTGTCACCCAGGTTGGAGAACAGTGGCACCGATCTCGGCTCACTGCAAGCTCCGCCTCCCAGGTTCACGCCATTCTCCTGCCTCAGCCTCCCGAGTAGCTGGGACTACAGGCGCCCACCGCCACGCCCGGCTAATTTTTTTTTTCGTATCTTTAATGGAGACAGGGTTTCACCGTGTTAGCCAGGATGGTCTCAATCTCCTGACCTCGTGATCCACCCACCTCGGCCTCCCAAAGTGCTGGGATTCCAGGCATGAGCCACTGTGCCCGGCCTGCTGCAATGAGTTTTGATCACAGCACTGCACTCCAGTCTGCCCTAGTGGAGGGCAAGTGCAGTAATGTGAGTTAGTGTTGGATAAAAGAACCATATCGTGTGTGGCATATGGTAGCCCCTTATTGAATTTTGATTTCATGAATACATATGAGTGATCCATTGAAAAATATAAACCAGGCCGGGCGTGGTGGCTCATGCCTGTAATCCCAGCACTTTGTGAGGCCAAGGCGGGTGAATCACTTGAATTCAGGAGTTCAAGACCAGCCTGGCCAACATGGTGAAACCCCATCTCCACCAAAAATACAAAAATTAGCTGGGTGTGGTGGTGGGAGCCTGTAATGCCAGCTACTCAGGAGGCTGAGGCAGGAGAATCGCCTGAACCTGGGAAGTGGAGGTTGCAGTGAGCTGAGATTGTGCTACTGCACTCCAGCCTGGGCGACAGAGCGAGACTCTGTCTTGAGAAAGAAAGAAAGAAAGAGAGAAAGAAAGATAGAGAGAGAAAAGAGAAAAAAAGAGAGAGGAAAGAAGGAAGGAAGGAGGGAGGGAGGGAGGGAGAGAAGGAAGGAAGGAAGGAAGGAAAGGAAGGAAGGAAGGGGAAGGGAACCAGGATGTGAATTTTTTTAGAGCAAGGAGGGCACATAAATTACCCCTCTCAACCTAGCACATGGCACAGTGTCCAGCAAACAGAAAGCTTGATTTAGTCTCCTATTTGCTAAACTTCCAACAGTGCCCTGCTGTTTAGCACAAACCAAACTCCTTGCCACAACACACAGGGCTTTGCACGACCTGCCCCGTCCCCTCCCTGCCTTCCCCTCCTCCCTGCCTTCCCCTCCTCCCTGTCTTCCTCTCCTGCCTGTCTTCCTCTCCTCACTCTGCTCCAGCCACAGGGGTCTCATTGCTGTTCCTCCAATGCGCTAGGCACGGACCTGCCTCAGGGCCTTTGCACAAACTGTGCCTCTGCCTGGGACACCTTTCCCCAGACCTTCCCAGGGCCAGTTCCATCTCATCCTTCAGGACTGCACTGAACATGTCATTTTTTTTTTTTTTGAGACAGAGTCTCACTGTCGCCCAGGTTGGAGTGCAGTGGTGTGATCTCAGCTCACTGCAACCTCCGCCTCCTGGGTTCAAGTGATTCTCCTGCTTCGGCCTCCCGAGTACTGGTATTGCAGGCATGTGCTACCACACCCATCTAATTTTTATATTTTTAGTACAGATGGGGTTTCACCATGTTGGCCAGGTTGGTCTCAAACTCTTGACCTCAGGTGATCCACCCACCTCGGCCTCCCAAAGTGCTGGCATTACAGATGTGAGCCACCACGCTTGGTCTAATATGTCATCTGCTAAAGGGGGACTTTGCCTGGGCACAGTGGCTCATGCCTGTAAATCCAGCACTTTGGGAGGCTGAAGCAGGTGGATCATTTGAGCCCAGGAGTTTGAGACCATACTGGCCAACACAGTAAGACCCCATCTCTATAAAAAAAAAAAAACAAAATTAGCCAGGTGTGGTGGTGCACGCCTGCAGTCCTAGCTACTTGGGAGGCTGAGACGGGAGGATCACTTGAACCCAGGAGTTGGAGGCTGCAGTGAGCTATGATCCTGCCACTGCACTCCAGCCTGGGCAATAGAGTGAGACCCTGTCCTCCACCAACACCAAAAAAAAAAACAAAAAAACAAAACAGGGCTCCTCTCTCTTGGTAGGGGGTGGAGGGGAGGTCAGAGACACCTCTCAGCCACCCGGGCTGATTCACAAATATCGAACATTCACTAAAATGTCAATACAGTGACCTAGAGCCAGAGGGGAAGAGGGAGGGTACAAGAGGAGAGTTCCAGGCAGAGGGGCGAGCAGGTGAGTAGGTGCAAAGGCCCTAAGCAGGAACCAGTTTGGCTCCATAAATATTTGTTGACTCAATGAACGATAGAAGATTCTAGAGAGAATTGATTGCACAGAATCACCCATGGGGACTCAGAGGCGGAGTCCAAGCTGGTTTCGGAGGGGGCTGGGGGCCGGAGGTTGGCAGGTGGGGTGAAGGATGGGAGCCGCTAGCTGCTGGCAGGAAAACTGGCTTCAGTGAAGATCTGGTCTGGTCCTCTTGGTTTGTTTCTGTCCAGGGAGTGGACAGGACCCATGTAAGGGCCCTGGGCTATCCCAGAACCCATCTGGGAATTCTGAAGAGAAAAAGTCCTGTAACTGGCCGGGTGCGGTGGCTCACGCCTGTAATCCCCGCACTTTGGGAGACTGAGGGGCCGATCACGAGGTCAGGAGTTCGAGACCAGCCTGGAAAACATGATGAAACCTCGTCTCTACTAAAAATACAAAAGTTAGCCGGGCATGGTGATGGGGACCTGTAGTCCCAGCTACTCGGGAGGCTGAGGCAGGAGAATCACTTGAACCCAAGAGGCAGAGGTTGCAGTGAGCCGAAATGAGATGGCACCACTGCACTCCAGCTTGGGCCACAGAGCGAGACTCCGTCTCAAAAAAGAAAGAAAAAAAGAAAAAGTCCTCATAAGTAGGGCAGAGGTCACGGCAGAGTGGAGGTACCCCAGACTTCGACCTTTGCTCACTGAGGGCTGGAAAACCACAAAACACCCAGATAACGGTCTTCCCTCCCCTGCTCCTGCCTGCCCCAGTGTCACTGGCCCTCAACCCTGTCTCTCCACCCTGTCCACCAATCAGCACCTGGAGGTGGGCTGGGAGCTGCCTGTGACCGCTTCAGCATCTTTTGGGAGTGGTGACAGAGCCACAGAGGGCTGTGAGCTTGCCCGGCCCCAGGTAACGCTGGCGGTGGGTGGGCCTCCAGCTTGGAGCAGAGACCCCCCGAGGCATCTGCAGACAGAACTGGATGGACCCATGAATACGGATTTAGCTGCTGGAAAGGTGAGCCCTACTAGGTCCCCAGGGAGAGCGGGAGTCTAGGCTGGGAAAGCCTACCCAAGCTGCCAGAGCTGGAAGGACCCCATCTCCACCCCTATTGTACAGATGGGAAGACTGAGGCCCAGAGAAAGGATGCAATGAGCAAAACTGTGTGCCTTTGCCCCGGGGCTGCCCTTGTCTTTCTTCCAGGTCCCCCTGCCTCCTAGGAGCGGGCACTTGGGGAGGCTGTGAAGGCCTGAGAGGCAAGCGGCATCTCTAGCTAGGGCCTCTCTCCAGCACTTTTTATTTTATTTTATTTTATTTTTATTTTTATTTTTTGAGATGGAGTCTCCCTCTGTCACCCAGGCTAGAGTGCAATGGCACGATCTCAGCTCACTGCAACTTCCACCTCCTGGGTTCAAGAGATCTTCCTGCCTCAGCCTCCCAAGTAGTTGGGATTACAGGTGTGCACCACCACGCCCGGCTAATTTTTGTACTTTTCCTAGAGACAGGGTTTCACCATGTTGGCTAGGCTGGTCTCAAACTCCTGACTTCAGGTGAGCTGCCCGCCTCGGCTTCCCAGAGTGCTGGGATTACAGATGTGAGCCACCGTGCCTGCCATACTTTTTTGTTTTTTGAAACAAGGTCTTGCTCTGTGACCCAGGGTGGAGTGCAGTGGGGTGGCCATAGCTCACTGCAGCCTCAACCTCCTGGGTTCAAGGGATCCTCCTACCTCAGCCTCCCCAGTAGCTGGGACGACAAGTGTGTGCCACCGCAGCCAGCTAATTTTTTTAAATTATTTGCAGTAGGGATAGGGGTCTCTATGTTGCGCAGGCTGGTCTTGAACTCCTGGGCTCAAGTGATCCTCCTGCCCCGGCCTCCCAAAGTGCTGAGATTACAGGCATGAGCCACCACATCCAGCCTCTCCAGCACTTTAAGAGAAATTGGCTCTCACACTGTGGAATTCTCTCTATCAGCCTCAAAGTCCAGATTTGGAAAGGGAGTCTCAGCGAGGGGCAGCAGCTGGCCCAACCCGGAGGCAGAGCGGCAACTGAACTCTAGCCGGAAAGAGCCAGGGTTATGTGCACATGGGAGGTGGGGAGGACAGGGGCTGTATGTGACCCTCACATCTGTTCCTCGCGCCCCAGATGGCTTCTGCTGCCTGCTCCATGGACCCCATCGACAGCTTTGAGCTCCTGGATCTCCTGTTTGACCGGCAGGACGGCATCCTGAGACACGTGGAGCTGGGCGAGGGCTGGGGTCACGTCAAGGACCAGGTGAGGAGTCCACTGCAGTTGCCCCGGGACCACAGAGCTCCAGGCGGGCCAACTGAGGCCCCACGAAGGTGCTAGACCCGCCAGAGCCCAGCCAGAGCTCTGCTCAGCTCTACGATGCACTAATGGGTCACGGTGCTTGATTTTAGCCAAGCACATCATTTAGCGGGTAGCATCAGCTCCTTCTTACAGGTGGGGAATGGAGGCCCAGAGCAGGGTGGAAACTCATCCAAAGTCACACAGCAATTTGGAGTTAGGTTCAAACTCAAACTTGGGGCATCTCCCTGGCTAGGTTCGGTTCTCTTCTCCTTCCTCTCCTTCCTTTCTCTCTTTCTTCTTCTTTTTTTTTTTTTTGAAGGAGTCTCGCTCTGTTGCCCAGGCTGGAGTGCAGTGGTGCCATCTCGGCTCACTGCAACCTCTGCCTCCCGGGTTCAAGCGATTCTCTTGCCTCAGCCTCCCAAGTAGCTGGGATTACAGGCGCCCGCCACTGCACCTGGCTAATTTTTGTATTTTTAGTAGAGATGGGTTTCACTATCCTGGCCAGGCTGGTCTTGAACTCCTGACCTTGTGATCCACCCACCTCAGCCTCCCAAAGTGCTGAGATTACAGGCGTGTGCCACCGCGCCCGGCCCACTTTCTTTTTTTTCTTTCTTTTCTCTCTCTTTTTCTCTTTCCTTCCTTCCTTCCTTCCTTTTTTCCTTCCTTTCTCCCTCTTTCTTTTACTCTCTTTTTTTTTTTTTGAGATAGAGTTTCACTCTTGTCACCCAGGCTGGAGCGCAATGGCGCGATCTTGGCTCACTGCAACCTCCGCATCCCAGGTTCAAGTGATTCTCCTACCTCAACTTCCCGAGTAGCTGGGATTACAGGCAGCCGCCACCACGCTCGGCTAATTTCTTGTGTTTTTAGTAGAGATGGGGTTTCACCATGTTGGCCAGGCTGGTCTTGAACTTCTGACCTCGGGTGATCCACCTGCCTTGGCCTCCCAAAGTGCTGGGATTATAGGCGTGAGCCACCACACCCGGCCCTTTTTTCTCTTTCTTTCTCTCTCTCTCTCGTTTCTCTCTCTCTCTCTCTCTCTCTCTCTCTCTCTCTCTCCCCCCCTCTCTCTCTGTCTCTCTCTCTCTCCCCCTCCCTCCCTTCCTCCCTTCCTCCCTTCCTTCCTCTCTCTCTCTCTTTCTTAGACAGAGTTTCGCTGTTGTTTTGCCCAGGCTGGAGTGCAATGGTGTGATCTTGGCATACCGCAACCCCCACCTCCCAGGTTCAAGTGATTCTCCTGCCTCAGCTTCCCGAGTAGCTGAGATTACAGGCATGTGCCACCATGCCTGGCTAATTTTGAATTTTTAGTAGAGACGGGGTTTCTCCCTGTTGGTCAGGCTGGTCTCAAACTCCCGACCTCAGGTGATCTGCCCGCCTTGGCCTCCCAAAGTGCTGGGATTACAGGCCTGAGCCACCGTGCCTGGCTCTTTTGTTTTTCTTTTTTTCTTTTTTTTTTTTTTTTGAGATGGAGTCTTGCTCTGTTGCCTAGGGTGGAGTGCGGTGGCGTGATCTCGGCTCACTGCAGCCTCCGTCTTACGGGTTCAGAATCTCCTTCCTCAGACTCCCGAGTAGCTGGGACTACAGATGCCCGCCACCACGCCCAGCTACTTTTTGTATTTTTAGAAGAAATGGGGTTTCATCATGTTGGCCAGGCGGATCTCGAACTCCTGACCTCAAGTGATTCGCCCTCCTCGGCCTCCCAAAGTGCTGGGATTACAGGCAGGAGCCACTGCACCTGGCACTGGCTGGGATTTTTATGCTATGTTACTGCGTTTGAGCCTCAGCAGCCCCGGGAGGAAGAAGCAGTAACTCATCTTGGAGAAGGGAAGGACACCTAAGGCCCAAAGAGGGTCACTGGTTTCCCTGGGGCCACACACTAATCTAAAAAGAGTGAGCACTTCCTAATTCCTACTACCCCTCCCTGTCCACCCCAGCAGGTCCTGCCAAACCCCGACTCTGACGACTTCCTCAGCTCCATCCTGGGCTCTGGAGACTCACTGCCCAGCTCCCCACTCTGGTCCCCCGAAGGCAGTGATAGTGGCATCTCCGAAGACCTCCCCTCCGACCCCCAGGACACCCCTCCACGCAGCGGACCAGCCACCTCCCCCGCCGGCTGCCATCCTGCCCAGCCTGGCAAGGGGCCCTGCCTCTCCTATCATCCTGGCAACTCTTGCTCCACCACAACCCCAGGGCCAGTGATCCAAGTACCTGAAGCCTCTGTGACCATAGACCTGGGTGAGTCCTGCTGTGTCTCTGCCCACCGCCCTCACCTTGTTCCAGGGCCCTTCCTGTAAGTGAGGAAATGGAGGCCCAGAGAGGGCTGGCATCTTGTCCAAGGTCACACAGCAATTTGGAGCTGGGCCCAGACTCAAACTCAGGACACGTGTCTCCCTTGGCTAGGTGTTTCCATGCTTTCACGTGGATGCTATTGGGAGCCCATTTTCCAGATCGTGAAACAGTCCTGTCAGGTTGAGCAATGAGCTAAAACCACAGAGCTAGGATGCAACCCCGGCAGGTGGCTCAGGCACCAGGCATGGTGCTGACAAGCACAGCCCAAAGTCAGGGTCTTGCCTTCTACGTGTCTGTACCCCGTGCCTGGTTCCTAGTAGATTTTTTTTTATTTTTTATTTATTTTTATTTTTTGAGACAGAGTTTCACTCTGTCACCCAGGCTGGAGTAAAGTGGCGCGATCTCGGCTCACTGCAACCTCTGCCTTCCAGGTTCAAGCAATTCACCTGCCTCAGCCTCCTGAGTAGCTGGGATCACAAGCATATGCCACCATGCCCAGCTAATATTTATTTTTTAGTAGAGACGAGGTTTCACCATGTTGGCCAGGCTGGTCTTGAACTCCTGAGCTCAGGTGATCTGCCCACCTCAGCCTCCCAAAGTGCTGAGATTACAGGTGTGAGCCGCTCCACCCAGCCTGTAGATGCTCAATAAAAGTGCATGAGGTTACCAGGTCCTAGGTTCCAGGGTGCTCCTCCTAGACGTGGGGAACAGCAGATCAGTAATGATTTACTCTATTGATTAAGCATTCCCGGCGGGCCAGGCAGAGCCCTGGCTGGAGATACTTGGCCTCTGGGTGGCCTTTGTCCCTTGACCCTTGCTATGAGCTCTTCTTGGTCCCATTGGAGAGTTGACAAAACTGAGGCTCAGGCCCGGAGCGGTGACTCATGCCTGTAATCCCAGCACTTTGGGAGGCTGAGGCAGGCGGATCACTTGAGGTTAGGACTTCAAGACCAGCCTGGCCAACATGGTGAAACCCCATCTCTACTAAAAATACAAAATTAGCCGGGCATGGTGGGGGCCACCTGTAGTCCCAGCTACTCAGGAGCCTGAGGCAGGAGAATCACCTGAACCCGGGAGGCGGAGGTTGCAGTGAGCTGAGATCATGCCACTGCACTCCATCCTGGCTGACAGAGCCAGACTCTGTCTCGAAAAAAAGCCAAAAACAAAAAATGCTGGGCACAGTGGTTCACGCCTGTAATCCCAGCACTTTGGGAGGCCGAAGCGAGCGGATCACGAGGTCAAGAGATCGAGACCATCCTGGCCAACATGGTGAAACCTCTGTCTCTACTAAAAATACAAAAATTAGCTGGGTGTGGTGGCAGGCGCCTGTAGTCTCAGCTACTCGGGAGGCTAAGGCAGGAGAATCTCTTGAACCTGGGAGGTGGAGGTTGCGGTGAGCCAAGATTGCCACACTGCTCTCCAGCCTGGCGACAGAGCGAGACTCCGTCTCAAAAAAAAAAAAAAAAAAAAATCTGAGGCTCAGAGAGGTGAAGTCACTTACTCAAGGTCACACAGCCCTGCCCAACCAGGATTAGAACCAAGGGTTACCTGACCCAAAGTTTGTGTGCTGGGACAGCATGCCTACTGCATGCCGGCTACCAGGAGGGGACAACCAGAGGTGAATCAGACCTCGTCCCTGCCCCTTGGGTGAGATAACGCCTGGCTGGCTGCAAATCTAGCCTGTAATTCTGTGTGATAACAGCCACTCCCTTTTGAATCAGCCGGTGTCTCCTGACAATGTCCTGTGTCTTCCTCAGCCTTGTGGGACGGACAGAACCAAGCCCTGTTGAATTTGGGTCCCCATCTTTTTTTTTTTTTTGAGATGGAGTCTCGCTGTGTCACCCAGGCTGGAGGGCAGTGCCACATTCTCAGCTCACTGTAACGTCCACCACCCGGGTTCAAGTGATTCTCCTGCCTCAGCCTCCCGAGCAGCTGGGATTACAGGTGCACGCCACCAGGCCCGGCTAATTTTTGTATTTTTAATAGAGATGGGATTTCACCATGTTGGCCAGGCTGGTCTTGAACTCCTAACCTCAGATGATCCGCCTGCCTTGGCCTCCCAAAGTGCTGGGAATACAGGCGTGAGCCACCATGACTGGCTGGGTTCCCATCTTATAGCAGAGGGGAGACCGAGTCACTAGTGAGGGCTGCCCCCTTCAACTCAGGCCTTGGGGACTCCAAACTCTGGCAGAAGTCATATGAATGTTGGGATTAATCATGGGAGACTTGGTGGAGGAGGCGGTTAGAGGCTGGAAGCTCAGGACTCCCCCCGTCTGACACTCTCCCTGTCTCCGTCCCCACCTGCCCTGGTCAGAAATGTGGAGCCCAGGAGGAAGGATCTGTGCTGAGAAGCCGGCTGATCCGGTGGACCTGTCCCCACGATGCAATCTCACCGTGAAAGACCTCCTCCTTTCGGGCAGCAGTGGGGACCTGGTGAGCACCCCCACACCCTCCCATGGGGCGTTGGAGCTGGGAGGGCTGCTCGGGTTCGAGGAGCCTAAATATCCCCGTTTCAGAGACTGGAAAACTGAGTCACAGAAAGGCGTGGAATTTGCCCACAGTTAGAGACCATTCCAGTCCTGGGCTCACTGTCGCCTGGGCTGGGGTGTCTTCCTCTGTAGTACTTAGTAGTAACAATAGCAACAACAACTAAAAGCTAAAACTGGCTGAGTGTGGTGGTTCACACCTGTAATCCCAGCACTTTGGGAGGCCAAGGCAGGCAGATCGCTTGAGCTCAGGAGTTTGAGACCAGCCTGGGCAACATGGTGAAACCCCATCTATACAAAAAATACAAAAATTAGCCTGGCATGGTGGCACATGCCTGTGGTCCCAGCTACTCGGGAGGCTGAGGTGGAAGGATCGCTTGAGCCCAGGAGGTCAAGGCTGCAGTGAGCTGTGATTGTACCACTGCACTCCAGCCTGGCCAACAGACCAGGACTGTCTCAACAATAACAACAACAAAAAGAACAAAGCTAAAACTGAGGCTGCACCTGCTATATGCCAGGCGCTCTTTATTTATCATCTTAAAAAAGTTTTTTTTGAGACAGGATCTCACTCTATCGCCCAGGCTGGAGTGCAGTGGCGCAATCCTAGCTCACTGCAGCCTCAAACTCCTGGCCTCAAGCGATCCTCCTGCCTCAGACTCCCAAGTAGCTGGGACTACAGGCGTGCACCACCACACCCAGCTAATTTTTCTTGTCTTTTTTATTTTATTTTATTTTTCTGAGACAGAATCTTGCTCTGTTGCCCAGGCTGGAGTGCAGTGGTGCAATCTCGGATCACTGCCACCTCTGCCTCCCGGGTTCAAGTGATTCTCCTGCCTCAGCCTCCCAAGTAGCTGAGATTACAGGCATGCACCACCAGGCCTGGCTAATTTTGTTTTTCTTTTTTCTTTTTTTTTTTGAGATGGCGTCTTGCTCTGTCACCTAGGCTGGAGTGCAGTGGCGTGATCTCGGCTCACTGCAAGCTCCGCCTACCGGGTTCACACCATTCTCCTGCCTCAGCCTCCCCAGCAGCTGGGACTACAGGAGCATGCCGCGCCACCTGTCTAATTTTTCTTTTCTTTTTTTTTTTTTTTTTTGAGACGGAGTCTTGCTCTGTCACCTAGGCTGGAGTGCAGTGGCGTGATCTCGGCTCACTGCAAGCTCCGCCTACCGGGTTCACACCATTCTCCTGCCTCAGCCTCCCGAGTAGCTGGGACTACAGGCGCCCGCCACCACACCTGGCTGATTTTTTGTATCTTTTTAGTAGAGATGGGGTTTAACTGTATTAGCCAGGATTTTTTTTGTATTTTTAGTGGAGACAGGGTTTCATCATGTTAGCCAGGATGGTCTCGATCTCCTGACCTCGTGATCTGCCCACCTCGGCCTCCCAAAGTGCTGGGATTACAGGCGTGAGCCACCGTGCCCCGTTTAGACCCAGCTGATTTTTCTTTTAATTTTTTTCTGTAGATATGGGTCTTGCTATGTTTCCCAGGCTGGTCTTGAACTCGTAGCCTCAAGTGATCCTCCTGCTTTGTCCTCTCACAGTGCTGGATTATAGGCATGAGCTACTGCGCCCCGCCTGGGGCTTTTATTATCTTAATTTTACATAGGAGAAAAAGGGCACAGAGAGGTTCAGTCATTTGCCCAATGCTACACAGCTGATGCAGGCTTGATCCCTGGGATGGTCTATTGAGCTTATGGTGCCCATTGCACACCAATTGAAGGCCATCTACCCTGCCAAGGGCTTCACGCTCCCATAAGCCAGGTTTGACAACCCAAACCCATTTTGCAGATGAGAAGGTAGGTCAAGGCCCAGAGAGGTTAAGCCATGAGCCCTAAGTCACACAGCATGCAAGTGGCAGACTCAGGGTTTTGAAATCCTGTTTCTCCAATGCCAAAGGTTATCCTGATAATCTCTAGTGAAGGCCAGGGTGCCCCTGGCAACTAGAGGGATATGCAGTGAGCACCAGCTGTGTGCTCAGCCTCTAGGATCTGATGGTCAGGATGGGGCGATGTACTGTTCATTAAGGTGTACAGAAAAGAAAGAGAGCCTGCAGGGTCACTGCAGATCCAGGAAGGCTTCCCGGAGGAGGCAGTACTTCAGCAGGCCATGAAGGAAGGGAAAGGAGAATGAACGACTGCTTTGGCAATGATAACTGGCTTATTTTGTTTTATTTTATTTGTTTATTTTTTGAGACAGAGTCATGGTCCGTCGTCCAGGCTAAGTGCAGTGCCACAGTCTCGGCTCACTGTAGCCTCCACCTCCTGGGCTCAAGTGATTCTCATACCTCAGCCCCCAGGTAGCTAGGACTACAGGTGCCTGCCACCATGCCCGACTAATTTTTGTATTTTTAGTAGAGACGGGGTTTCACCATGTTGGTCAGGCTGGTCTCGATCTCCTGACATCAGGTGATCCACCCGCCTCAGCCTCCCAAAGTGCTGGGATTACAGGCATGAGCCACTGTGCCTGGCCTTATTTTATTTTATTTAAAGTCAAGGTTTCCCTCTGTCACCACAACTGCCTCAAATTCCTAAGCTCAAGTGATCCTCCTGCCTCGACCTCCCATTTTTTTTGTATAGCTGACATACAGAACAACGATACAAAAAAAAATGATGCATTTATAAATGCTAGTTATCAGCAGTTGAAGACCAGCCTGGGCAACATAGCAAGACCTCGTCTCTACAAAAAAAAAAAAAAAAAATTAGCTGAGTGTGGTGGCGCACACCTGTAGTCCCAGCTACTCAGGAGGCAGAGGCAGGAGGATCACTTGAGCTCAGGAGGTCAAGGCTGCAGTTAGCTATGATCACACGACTGCACTCCAGCCTGGGTGACACAGTGACATCTTGCATCTTAAAAGAAGAAAAGATGGGTGTGGTGGCTCATGCCTGTAATCCCAGGAATTTGGGAGGCTGAAGTGGACAGATTGCTTGAGCCCAGGAGTTTGAGACCAGCCTGGGCAACAGAGTGAAACCCCATCTCTACAAAAAATTCAAAATTAGCCAAGCATGGCGGTACGCTCTGTGGTTCCAGCTACTCGGGAAGCTGAAGCTGGAGAATCGCTTGAGCCCGGGAGGCGGAGGTTGCAGTGAGCCAAGAGAGCACCACGGCACTCCAACCCGGGTGAAGTAGCAAGACCCTATTTCAAAAATAATAATAGTAATAATACAATGAAAAGAAGAAAGCTGTCAAAAGGGCCGGGCGCGGTGGCTCACGCCTGTGATCCCAGCACTTTGGGAGGCCGAGGCGGGCAGATCACGAGGTCAGGAGATCGAGACCTTCCTGGCTAACACGGTGAAACCCCGTCTCTACTAAAAATAACAAAAAATTAGCCGGGCGTGGTGGCGGGCACCTGTAGTCCCAGCTACTCAGGAGGCTGAGGCAGGAGAATGGCGTGAACCCGGGAAGCAGAGCTTGCAGTGAGCCGAGATCGCGCCACTGCACTCCAGCCTGGGCGACAGAGCGAGACTCGTCTAAGAAAGAAAGAAAGAAGAAAGAAAAGAAAGAAAGAAAGAAAGAAAGAAGGAAGGAAGGAAGGAAGGAAAGAAAGAAAGAACCCTGTCCATATGCCATTTTGCGCGTGTGTGAGGATATCTGTAGGACTGATTTCTGAAGGTAGAATGACCCGGTCAAAGGACCGTGTGTTGGTTATTTCGAGCCCTGCTGCCAAGGGAGATTCTGTGGTGGCAGGAGTGATAGTTTTTGTTGTTGCTGTTTTGAGACAGAATTTCTGTCGCCCAGGCTGGATCTCAGATCACTGCAACCCCTGCCTCCCGGGTTCAAGCGGTTCTTCTGCCTCAGCCTCCCGAGTAGCTGGGATTGCAGGCACGTGCCACCACACCAGGCTGATTTTTGTATTTTTAATGGAGACAGGGTTTCACCATGTTGGCCAGGCTAGTCTCGAACTCCTGACCTCAAGTGATCCACCTGCCTCGGCCTCCCAAAGTGCTGGGACTACAGACGTGAGCCACCTTTTCTTTTTTTTTTTTTTTGAGACAGAGTCTTACTCTGTCTCTCAGGCTGGAGTGCAGTGGTGTGATCTGGGCTCACTGGAACCTCTGCTTCCCGGGTTCAAGCAGTTCTCCTGCCTCAGCCTCCTGAGTAGCTGGGATTACAGGCGCCGCCACCATGGTCGGGTAATTTTTTTTTTTTTTTTTTTTTGAGACGGAGTCTCATACTGTCACTAGGGCTGGAGTGCAGTGGCACAATCTCGGCTCACTGCAACCTCTGACTTCTGGGTTCAAGCGATTCTCCTGCCTCAGCCTCGCAAGTAGCTGGTATTACAGGCACCCGCCACTACGCCCAGCTAACTTTTTGTATTTTTAGTAGAGACGGGGTTTCACCATGTTGACCAGGATGGTCTCAAACTCCTGACCTAGTGATTTGCCCACCTCGGCCTCCCAAAGTGCTGGGATTACAGGCATGAGCCACCGCACCTGGGCAATTTTTGTATTTTTAGTAGAGACGAGGTTTCATCATGTTACCCAGGCTGGTCTCGATCTCCTGAGCTCAAGTGATCCACATGCCTCAGCCTCTCTAAGTGCTGGGATGACAGGCGTGAGCCACCACACCCAGCCTGGGGTGATAGTGTTTTCGATCTGATACCTCTTTCATTTCCTGAAGGCAGTTGGCGTCCCTGCACCCGCCGTCATTCCTCTGATTTTTTCCGTAGCAACAGCATCACCTGGGGGCCTCCTACCTCCTGCGACCTGGGGCTGGGCACTGTCAGGAGCTGGTGCTCACCGAGGATGAGAAGAAGCTGCTGGCTAAAGAAGGCATCACCCTGCCCACTCAGCTGCCCCTCACTAAGGTGAGTCTGGGGGGACTTCCAGCCCTGGATCCATCTCCCCTTCGTGCACTTACCTGCATGTGTGTCCCACCTTTATTTATTTATTTAGAGTAGAGTCTTTCTCTGTCACTGAGGCTGGGATGCAGTGGCACGATCTCAGCTTGCTGCAACCTCTGCCTCTCAGATTCCAGCGATTCTCCCGCCTCAGCCTCCTGAGTAGCTGGGATTACAGCCATGCGCCACCACGCCCAGCTAATTTTTGTATCTTTAGTAGAGACAGGGTTTCACCATGTTGGCCAGGCTGGTCTCGAGCTCCTGACCTCATGTGATCCTCCTGCCTCGGTCTCCCAAAGTGCTGGGATTCCAGGCGTGAGCCACCGCACTGGCTATGTGTCTCACCTTTAGAACACCCGTACTAGAATGCTATGCTGTGTCTGTCACCAGAGCCAAAACAATCAGTCAGAAGCCCCATTGTAAATTCAACTCAGAGGGTAATTATCAACATCCAGGAATGAATGGCGGACTCCAGGTGGCAGCAATTTGGGTGCAGCAAACTTTTTTTTTTTTTTGGAGATAGGGTCTTGCTGTGTCCCGCTGGAGTGCAGTGGTGCCATCATAGCTCACTTCAGCCTTGACCTCCTGGGCTCAAGAGATCCTCCCGCCTCAGCCTCTCAAGTAGCTAGGATGACAGGTGCACGCCACTACACTTGGCTAATTTAATTTTTTTTTTTTTTTTGTAGAAATGGGGTCTTGTTATGTTGCCCAGGCTGGGCTGGGACTCCTGGGTTCAAGTGATTCTCCCACCTTGGCCTCCCAAAGTGTTGGGATTACAGGCATGAGCCATCATGCCTGGCCCTGCAGACATGTTTTGATTGGACTGTACTGCATTTTATACATTTTTGAATTGCTTGATAATGTTTTTCTGACCGGTAGATTTTACAAGAGAACTCAGTGACTTGAGGCTGGGCACGGTGGCTCACACCTGTAATCCCAGCACTGTGGGAGGCTGAGGCAGAGGATCACTTGAGGTCAGGAGTTCGAGACTAGCCTGGCCAACATGGTGAAACCCCGTCTCTACTAAAATTACAAAAATTAGCTGTGCCTGGTGGTGGGCAACTGTAAGGTGCTTCTCAGCCTCCCAGCTTCTCAGGAGGCTGAGGCAGGAGGATCTCCCTTGAACCCGGGAGGTGGAGGTTGCAGTGAGCCGAGATGGTACCACTGCACTCCAGCCTGGGTGACAAGAGCGAAACTCTGTCAAAACAAAAACAAAAACAAAAAAACTAAAAACATAAACAAAACAAAATCCAAAAAACCAACTCAATTACTTGAATGTCCTCTGTTTCATATTCTCAAACCTCCATATGCACCAGTCAATGGCTGGGTAGCTGTTTGGGTTCTCTAGCTAACCACAGTCCCCACCCAGCCTGCTGCACTCAGTATCAATGCCTGAGTTTGATATTCTCATCTGTTTTTTTTTTTTTTCTATTGAGACAGGTTCTGACTCTGTTGCCCAGGCTGGAGTGGAGTGAGGTGATCTTGGCTCACTCCAACTTCCCCCTCTGGAGTACAAGTGATTCTCCCACATCAGCCTCCCTAGCAGCTGGGACTACAGGTGTATGCCATTATGCCTAGCTAATTTTTTTTTTTTTCCTGAGACGGAGTTTCGCTTTTGTTGCCCAGGCTGGAGTGCAGTGGCGCGATCTCGGCTCACTGCAACCTCCGCTTCCCAGGTTCAAGTGATTCTCCTGCCTCAGCCTCCTAAGTAGCTGGGATTACAGGCACGCGCCACCACGCCTGGCTAATTTTTTTTTTTTTTTTTTTTTTTGAGTAGAGACAGAGTTTCACCATGTTGGCCAGGATGGTCTCGATCTCTTGACCTTGTGATCTGCCCAGCTCAGCCTCCCAAAGTGTTGGGATTACAGGTGTGAGCCACTGCGCCCAGCATTTTTTTTTTTCCTTAGAGACAGGGTCTTGCTATGTTGCCCAGGCTGGTCTCAAACTCCTGGCCTCAAGCAGTCCTCTGACCTTGGCCTCCCAAAGTGTTAAGATTACAGGTGTGAGCCACCGTGCCTGGCCCCATCTGTTTCTATTGTTGTTGTTGTTTGTTTTGAGATAGGATCTCACTTTGTCGCTCAGGCTGGAGTGCAGTGGTACAATCTGCAGGTAGCAGCTAACTGCAACCTTGAACTCCTGGTCTCAAGGGATCCTCCTGCCTCAGCCTCCCAAGTAGCTGGGACTATAGGCATGCACCACCACACCCAGCTGATTTTGTGGTTGTTGTTTTGTTTTAGTAGAGACAGGGTCTTTACTAAATGTTGCCCAGTCTAGTCTTGAACTCCTGGACTTATGCGATCCTCTTGCCTTGGCCTCCCAAAGTGCTGGGATTACAGCACTGTGAACCACCGCGCCCAGCCTGACATTCCCATTTGAAGACACTTATTGGCCGGGTGTGGTGTCTCATGCCTGTAATCCCAGCTCTTTGGGAGGCAAAGATGGGCGGATCACCTGAGGTCAGGAGTTTGAGACCAGCCTGGCCAACATGGTGAAACCCTGTCTCTACTAAAAATACAAAAATTAGCCAGGCATGGTGTTGTGCACCTGTAATCCCAGCTACTTGGGAAGCTGGGGTGGGAGAATCACTTGAACCCTGGGGGTGGAGGTTGCAGTGAGCTGAGATCTTGCCACTGCACTCCAGCCTGGGTGACAAGAGCGAAACAAGAAAGAAAGAAAGAAAGAGAGAGAGAGAGAGAGAGAGAAAAGGAAGGAAAGAAAAGAAAGAAAGAAAGAAAGGAAAAGAAAGAAAAGAAAGAAAGAAAGGAAAGAAAGAAAGGAAGAAAAGAAGGAAAGAAAGGAAGAAAAGGAAAGAAAGAGAGAAAGAGAAAGAGAAAGAGAGAAAGAGAGAAAGGGAGAAAGGAAGGAAGGGAGGGAGGGAGGGAGGGAGGGGAAAAGAAAGGAAAGAAAAGAAAGAAACGTAAGAAAGAAGAAAAAAATTATTAATTAGTCTTAAAACACTTGCTGTCGCCAGGGAAAGGTGATGTTTCCAGGGATGGCCACAAGGTGGTGGAGTGGTACCCATGCCCAAAGTCTGGTGGGCAGTTGCCCATTTTACAGTATTGGGAGCTGGGAAAAGACCCTCAGAACCCAGGCACCTCCCAGAGACTCTGTGAGGGTTTGGGCAAAGGGTAGCTTCAAGTCATTAGGAATCTGCCTCTGGGTCCTTGGCTCCGGGATGTCTTGTATGCAAAGAGGATGGGGTGAAGTTGTGGGGTCGAGGTTAGGTGAAGTGGGGTCAGGACAGTGGGGACTGTCGCACCATCCCCAAAGTGAAGACTTTAATTTTTTAATTTTAATTATTTTATTTATTTATTTATTTATTTATTTATCTATTTATTTATTGAGATGGAGTTTCGCTCTTGTTGCCCAGGCTGGATTGCAATGGCACGATCTTGGCTCACTGCAACCTCCGCCTCCCGGGTTCATGCCATTCTCCTGCCTCAGCCTCCCGAGTAGCTGGGATTACAGGCACCCGCCACCATGCCTGGCTAATTTTTGTATTTTTAGTAGAGACGGTGTTTCACCATGTTGGCCAGGCTGGTCTCGAACTCCTGACCTCAGGTGATACGCCTGCCTCGGCCTCCCAAAGTGCTGGGATTACAGGCGAGAGCTACTGCCCCCGGACTCCAAGTGGGGACTTTCTGGCCTGAAACCCTCCTCCCCATTTCACTTGGCAGTACGAGGAGCGAGTGCTGAAAAAAATCCGCCGGAAAATCCGGAACAAGCAGTCGGCGCAAGAAAGCAGGAAGAAGAAGAAGGAATATATCGATGGCCTGGAGACTCGGTGGGTAGTGCTGGACCCAGACTCTACACTCGTGGAGGAAACTGAGGCCCAGAGAGAAGGAGATGTGGCTAAGGCCACACAGCTTAGAGTCTGACAAAATTGGAGGTGATTCTCCTCTCTGGGAGAGATCATGCTTCTTACTGATTGCAGGGATGGAAAGATGCCTAGTGATGGTGTAGGACAAGGGTTTGGGGGACCCTTTGCCCCCTAGAAGGTGTGCGGAAAAAGGACAAAGTGTGACCCATCCTATTCTGACCCTCTGCCTGAAGATAGACACTTCCTTTTTGTGTGTGTGGAAGGGTCTCCTTCTATCACCCAGGCTGGAGTGCAGTGGTGCGATCTTGGCTCACTGCAACCTCCACCTCCCGGGTTCAAGCGATTCTCCTGCCTCAGCCTCTCCAGAAGCTGGGATTACAGGTGCATGGCCACCACGCCCAGCTAATTTCTTTGTATTTTTGGTAGAGATGGGGTTTCACTGTGTTGCCCAGGCTAGTCTCAAACTCCTGACCTCAGGTGATCTGGCCGCCTCAGCCTCCCAAAGTGCTGGGATTACAGGCGTGAGCCACTGCGCCTGGTCTCTCCCCTTTCTTAAATGCAATCTGCTAAGCTCCTGATCATCTTTATCCAGGGTCATTCCCCCCACCACCCTATGTCCTGGGTAATTGTATCCCATTTTACAGACACAAAAGCTGAGATCAGAGAGTGGAGTGGCCCAAGGTCATGGGGAGAGGGAGAGATGAAACTTGAATCTCGGCCGGGCGCCGTGGCTCACACTTGTAATCCCAGCACTTTGGGAGGCTGAGGCAGGCGGATCACGAGTTCAGGAGATCGAGACCACGGTGAAACTCTGTCTTTACAAAAAATCCAAAAAAATTAACTGGGCTTGGTGGCGGGTGCCTGTAGTCCCAGCTACTCGGGAGGCTGAGGCAGGAGAATGGCGTGAACCCAGAAGGCAGAGCTTGCAGTGAGTCGAGATTGTGCCACTGCATTCCAGCCTGGGCGACAGAGCGAGACTCCATCTCAAAAAACAAACAAACAAAAAAAGAAACTTGAGTCTCCCAGGATGCCTGGTTGTCCTGATATTTCATCTTCTGGAAACATCACTGCCTGAATCTAGGAGGCTCAGCTTTTTTTTTTTTTTTTTTTTTTTTGACACAGAGTTTCATTCTTGTTGCCCAGGCTGGAGTGCAATGGTGCGATCTTGACTCACTGCAACCTCCACTTCCCGGGTTCAATCGATTCTCCTGCCTTAGCCTCCCAAGTTCCCAAGTAGCTGGAATTATAGGCGCCCACCACCACACCTGGCTAATTTTGCATTTTTAGTACAGGCAGGGTTTCACCATGTTGGCCAGGCTGGTCTTGAACTCCTGACCTCAGGTGATCCGCCCACCACGGCCTCCCAAAGTGCTGGGATTACAGGTGTGAACCACCACACCCATCCAGGGGGCTCAGCTTTGAATGAAGCCCCCTCCATATTAATGCAGAAATGGGACCTAGGAACCAGGCAGATGTGGGTTCAAATCCCAGCCCTGTCTGACCTGCCGAGTAACCTTGGATGAATGACTTCCCCTCTCTGGCCTTGGGTTCTCTTGGCTTGTAACGTGAGGCCTCTGGGGGAGATGTCAGTGGGGCCAGCTGGTGACTGGCATATGCTGAATGTCGATGCGTCTTCCTCCTTTCAGGATGTCAGCTTGCACTGCTCAGAATCAGGAGTTACAGAGGAAAGTCTTGCATCTCGAGAAGCAAAACCTGTGAGTCTGGGTCCAGCTGGGGCAGAGGACAGGGGAAGCAGCCCCAGAGTCCCTTTGCAGGAAGAGCAGAGAGCCCATGTGATGGCAGAATGACATAGGGAATAAGAGTTTTACCTATGGGCCGCGTGCAGTGGCTCACGCCTGTAATCTCAGCACTTTGGGAGGCCGAGGCGGGTGGATCACCTGAGGTCAGGAGTTCAAAACCAGCCTGGCCAACATGGTGAAACCCCGTCTCTACTAAAAATACAAAAAAATTAGCCAGGCGTGGTGGCGGGCACCTGCAGTCCCAGCTACTCGAGAGGCTGAGGCAGGAGAATTGCTTGAACTCGGGAGGCGGAGGTTGCCGTGAGCCGAGATCGCACCACTGCACTCCAGCCTGGGTGACAGAGCAAGGCTCTGTCTCAAAAATAAATAAATAAGGCCTGGTGTGGTGGCTCACGCCTGTAATCCCAGCACTTTGGGAGGCTGAGGTGGGCGGATCACAAGGTCGGGAGATCAAGACCATCCTGGCTAACACGGTGAAACCCCGTCTCTACTAAAAATACAAAAAAAATTAGCTGGGTGTGGTGGTGGGCGCCTGTAGTCCCAGCTACTCGGGAGGCTGAGGCAGGAGAATGGTGTGAACCTGGGAGGCGGAGCTTGCAGTGAGCTGCCATCCCACCACTCACTCCAGCCTGGGCGATGGAGCAAGACTCTGTCTCAAAATAAATAAATAAATAAATAAACAAATAAATAAATAAATAAAATAAATAATAAAGAGCCAGAGGCCCTTGAAGAATGGATGGAATTTGGACTTTAGCGGGGCTGGGGGACCCCGGAAATGGACGAGAAGCAGAACCGAGGCCCTTTAGGGCTCAGCGGAGGCCTGCCTGTCTCTCTAAGGTCCCTCTTGGAGCAACTGAAGAAACTCCAGGCCATTGTGGTGCAGTCCACCAGCAAGTCAGCCCAGACAGGCACCTGTGTCGCAGTGAGTCCTGGTGCCCCCAGGCAAGCCGGGGACCTAGGCTTCTGTAGAGGGGCCCATAGGGAGGTGACAATGAGTCCAAGCTCTCCTTGTGCCCCAGCTCAAGTATGATCCAGTCTGGTCTTTGGGGCCTCAGTTTCCCTGCCTGTGGGATGGAGATGCTTGCAGGGGAGGGGAGGGAGGGGGTGACTCTGCCGCTGTCTCCACCAGGTCCTGTTGCTGTCCTTTGCCCTCATCATCCTCCCCTCCATCAGCCCTTTTGGCCCCAACAAAACCGAGAGCCCTGGGGACTTTGCGCCTGTACGAGGTAGGGGATCCCCACCTTTGAAACCCTTGTCTGGTCTCCCCAAGTCCCCGTCCTGGGCCTCTGGGGGAGGGGGAGAAGACCCCTGTGCCCTTGTTCCCTGAGGCTGGGGGCCAGGGAAGGGAGCATAGGACCCCACCTCCACCTTGTCCCCTGTGATGCCCCCCTTCCCCAATCAGTGTTCTCCAGAACTTTGCACAACGATGCTGCCTCCCGCGTGGCTGCTGATGCTGTGCCAGGCTCCGAGGCCCCAGGACCCCGACCCGAGGCTGACACAACCCGAGAAGAGTCTCCAGGAAGCCCCGGGGCAGACTGGGGCTTCCAGGACACCGCGAACCTGACCAATTCGACGGAGGAGCTGGACAACGCCACCCTGGTCCTGAGGAATGCAACAGAGGGGCTGGGCCAGGTCGCCCTGCTGGACTGGGTGGCGCCTGGGCCGAGCACTGGCTCAGGACGTGCAGGGCTGGAGGCGGCGGGAGACGAGCTGTGAGCCCCGCCAGGACTATGCTCCCAGGCCCCTCTGCCCAGGGGTGCCTTGGGGATGCTGCACTGGGCAGCTACCCACCTGGGGATGGGACGTGAGGCCAAGACCCCAGCAGAGATGCCAGAATGGGGGAGGCACAGCTCATAGCCACACACCCAGGGCCTGACTGAGGCCCACGCAGGAACCGACACTCAGACACAAGGCAAAGAGGGCCACAGGACCCGGGAAATACACACAGAGCCAGGAGCAGAAGCAAAGAGCAGACACACATACAGCCTGAAACAGACCTGGACAGACAGACACAGCCTGAAACAGACCCGGACAGACAGACACAGCCTGAAACAGACCCAGACAAACAGACAGACAGACACAGCCTGAAACAGACCCAGACAGACAGACAGACAGCCTGAAACAGACCCAGACACAGCCTGAAACAGATCCGGACAGACAGACAGAAACAGCCTGAAACAGACCCAGACAGACAGACAGACACAGCCTGAAACAGACCCGGACAGACAGACAGACACAGCCTGAAACAGACCCGGACAGACAGACAGACACAGCCTGAAACAGACCCGGACAGACAGACAGACACAGCCTGAAACAGACCTAGACAGACAGACACAGATTGAAACAGACCCAGACAAACAGACAGACACAGCCTGAAACAGACCCAGACACAGCCTGAAACAGACCCGGACAGACAGACAGACACAGCCTGAAACAGACCCAGACAGACAGACAGACACAGCCTGAAACAGACCCAGACAGACAGACCGACGCAGCCTGAAAGAGACCCAGACAGAGAGACAGGCAGACACAGCCTAAAACAGACCTGGACAGACAGGCAGACGTAGTCTGAAACAGACCTGAACAGACAGACAGACGCACACACACAACAGATGCGCAGCAACTCCCCGCCCAGGGACCCCTCCCGGCCTCCCTCGCACACTGGGAGGAGGAAGCCGCCGAGACTGCAGGGAGCCTGGCCCCGGAGCCCCGGGTGCGCCCTGGTCTTTGGAGCAGCCACGGCCCACAATCACCCCCCTTTTCTAAGACTGCCTGATCCGAAATAAAGTATTTTGACAGAACCTTGTTTTGGTGTGGAGGCGGAGTCTGGGGCTCCTCGACTCCCCAGAAGGAGGGGCTGGGCCAGCCTGGGATGGGTGAGTGAGGTGTGGGCTCCACACCCCCGCCAGATGCCCGCGCTGGAGCAGCGGAGGGAGAGGCGCCGGGCACGACTTCAGCACCTTGGAGAGCGGCGGCGGGCGGAGTGCGGGGAGGCAGGCGTGGCGCTTCCAAGGTGTCCCCTCCGGAGTTGCGGGGAAGGCAGCTGCCTTCCCGGGGATCTGGGCGGCCCACCCTGCTCATTTTGCGGGCGAGGACACCGAGGCGTCGGAAGTGGAGGGACTGCCTAAGGTCACAGCTGGGGAGAGTGGAACCCGGCTGCTCCTGCGCTCGTCTGTGGGGTCGCCCCCACTGCGGGCTGTGCGCGCCTGCCCGGGCGCCATCGCAAAATCGCGCCCAAAGCACAGGTGGGGACTCATAGCCTGGGGGTAAATGTTAAACAACAACAAAAAGCATGTGCATAAGTGTATAACTACAAACTGAGTGCTCAGAAAATGCCAGCTGCCTTATTGGCTTCATCATCAGAAAACTGGCCTGATCCCTCCAGAGGCGGGGTGGGGGGAGAGGTGAGCCCTTGTTCCTCGGCCCCCAGGCTTGAGGGGCAGGGATTGCAACGGAGCCCAAGCAGCTGGTCCAGGGAGGAGGGGACCACGAACTCCTGACCCAGGGGGGCGAGGACCTGCCACAAATAGGGAATTTAAACACTCACTGGGCACAGTGGCTCACGCCCGTTAAGTCCAGCACTTTGGGAGGCCAAGGTGGCCTGACTGCTTGAGCCCAGGAGTTTGAGACCAGCCTGAGTCACATAGTGAGACCCCCATCTCTACAAAAAATGCAAACAATTAGCTGGGTGTGGTGGCACACACCTATAATCCCAGCTACTCTGGAGGCTGAGGCAGGAGAATTGCTTGAACCTAGGAGGCAGAGGCTGCAGTGAGCTGAGATCACGCCACTGCATTCCAGCCTTGGTGACAGAGTGAGACTCTGGCTCAATAAAATAAAGTAAACACACTGAGATGCAAGAAAGAAATTGTTTTTATTGCATTGAGGACTTTTCCAGAAGCCTGGTGGACCCACGTCTCCCTCCAGCCCCAAAGGCAGTGCAAGCCTCTACTGATCCCCCACTTCAAGGTGGGTCTCCCCTCCTGCAGGGCCCATGGAGGAGGGGTAGGGTGGGCTGTAGGGGGCCCAGAAGGGAGGCCCTGGGGACAGAGGGAGTTCACTCCTGTTTAAGCTGGAGACCAGGGAGGGCCCAGCCTCACCTCTGGACAACACAGCAAGTCAGAGGCTGGGGTGTGGCAGGGGCTCACCTGTCACCTCTGGGGTGTGGCTTCTTCCCGGAACCGCACCAGAGGCCCCTGGAGCCCAGGGAGGGACCACGGAGGGCAGGTGTAACCCCTGGCCTGGAGCACAGCTCTCAGAGCCCTGAGGCTCCCGGGGACAGAAACAAGTAACAAAGTGAGACCACGAGAGAAAAAGAATCCACAGTTTCTACAAAAAGCCCCACCCTCCCCAAGCACCCTGGTCAGCTGGGGACCGCCTTGGCCTTCACCCTTTTGGGGGGTCTGTGGGGGGCAGGGCTGGTGGGCCGCTCCCGTTTGGGGCTGGCGGGCTCTGAGCCGTTGTGCTGGGCGCAGGGCTCCTGCTTGGGGCCGGCGGGGATAGAGCCGTTGATCCGGGTGGGAGATTCCTCCTTGGGCTCCAGCTTGGGGGTGGGCGGGCGGGGCAGGGGTGGCAGCGCCCTCTCCAGCACACGGGGGCCGTCCCAGGCGGGGATCTCCAGCCCCAGGTGCTTCATGAGCCGGGTCATGACCTCGTCAACGTAGCCATGGATGCGGAGGTCAGCATGGCGGTCCTGCCGAGGGGCGGGACGGGTCAGGCGTGGGGGACAGAGGGTGCATGGTGGCCCTGGGCAGGGGTAGGCTCAGACACCTACGTGCTTGGTGGGCTGCAGGTTGACGATGACCAGGCGGCCTCCCCGGCGCTTGGTAGCCAGCGGCAGGTTCCCGCTGGGCCGGATCTGCAGCGATGTACCCAGCGTGATGGACAGGTCGGCGTTCCTGGGGCCGGGGAGCGTGGGCTGAGCCTGATGCCCTGCTCCTGCCAACATCCCGAGCCAGCCCTGGGGGCCGGTTCACACCTAGGCCATCTGTGCTCACCGGGGCGGTCAAGGCCAGCCCCACTCCCGAGTCAGCCTTTGGGATCCCGCCCTGCCCTCCTCTGCGGTCCGTTGGCGGGGTCATTGATCTGGGCGGGCCCTTAGACACTTCCGGGGAGTATCACAGTGTGGTAAGAGCTTGGACACCTAGGGTGGGACCCTGGCTCGGTCACCTCCCGGCTGGGCAGCACTGGATAGAGGAGACACCTGGCGGAAGCCTTGGTTTCCTTGTGTAGCACCCACCCAGAGCCATGAGGTGACGAGTGTGTGTGAGTGCGTGTGTGCAGCCCCTGGCCTGGCCCACCTGCTCCAGGAAGCCTCCCCTCACTGCCTGTGAGCCTCAGCCACTGTCCCATGCTGGAGCTGGCTGTGTTTCTGCTGTCGTCCCGCCCCGCCCCACCATGGGCTCCCTGGGGGTGGGGGGTCAGACCTGCTGGCCTCATCGGCGAGTGCCAGGTCCCGGTCGGGCAGGGAGTCCTCCCAGTCTAGGATGGTGTCCCTCAGCTCTCCCCTGCAATGAGGAAGCTGAGGAGAGTCCTCAGGGGCCTCGCAGCCTCCCCTGGAGCCCAGGGCATGGGTGGGGGTGGCTCACCTGCAGGCTCGCAGCCCCCTTGCCTTAGCCACGGTGCAGAGCCGGCCCGTGGCCTTCAGGCCCATGGTGCCCACGACTGTGTCTCGGACGTACTGCCTGTGTCAGGGAGGAAGGGGGAGGATGGGACCAGGTGAGCTCCCATGGGTGACTCTCGCACTGTTTCTAGGGTGACGTTCTCCCAGGGAGGTGGGGGGTGGACAGGTGACCAGAACTAGCACCCAGCGACACGGAACGAGTAGCCTTCCATGAATAACGGGCTGGGATGCTGCTCGGTGCCCGGAGCACAGAAAACAAAGCAGGAAACTGTCCCAGACAGACGAAGGGGCTCGAGAGACAAGACCCAGCATGGGATCCCGGACCAGGAGAAACAGGAACAATTGGAGCATGGGGGCGACAGGCCGAGTCTGGATTCGGGATTAGAGAAGGCGATGTCCACTTTACTTTTCCTGACTTTAATCGTTATACTGGGCCGGGCGTGGTGGCTCACGCCTGTCATCCCAGCACTTTGGGAGGCTGAGGCGGGCAGATCACAAGGTCAGGAGTTCGACACCAGCCTGGCCAATATGGTGAAACCCCGTCTCTACTAAAAATACAAATATTAGCCAGGTGTGGTGGCGGGCGCCTGCAGTTGCAGCTACTTGGATGGCTGAGGCAGAATAATTGCCTGAACCCGGGAGGCGGAGGTTGCAGTGAGCCGAGATTGCCCCACTGTACTCCAGCCTGGATGACAGAGCGGGACTGTCTCAAAAAAAAGGAGAAACACAGAGATAAGAAGGCCCCTGTGGCTGTAGGTCCAGGACCACCAAGGGTGGCTGGCTGCCACCAGCAGCCAGGAAAAGGCAGGAAAAATCCTCCCCTACAGGTTGCAGAGGGGCATGGCCCTGCAGACACCTGGATTTTGGACTTCTGGTCCCCAGAACTGTGAGATCACAAATTTCTATTGTTCTACGCTGCTCATCTGTGGCAGGTTGCTACAGCAGTGCCAGGACACGGATGTACCCCCCACAGGAGGGAGGCACGGCCCCCCCAAATCCCTCCAGGAGGAAGACATGCCCCCCAAATCCCTCCAGGAGGGAGACATACTCCTTATATCCCCCCAAGAGGGAGACACGCCCCCAGATCCCCCCAGGAGGGCCACACCCCAGTCCCCCCATACCCTCTGGGTCTCTGGGACATCGGATTCGACCCCCAACCCCCTCTGGCAGAGCCCCCACCCCTGCACCCAGGTGGCACTCACGTCTTACACTTGGCACATTCTTCCACAAACATGTTCCCGTGGAGCTCTGCCAGTTTGTCCCTGTGGGAAGAGCAGGAAGAGGCTTGATGGTGGGAAAGGATCCCTGGATGCCCAGGCTTTGGAGCTGGTGCTAAGCCCCTCTCCTCCAGGAAGGCTTCCCGGACTCCTCTCCCACAACATTGATCAACTCCTTCTTTCTGGCTCTTCTAGCTCCTGGCTCCACCATTCATCTGCTGTGCATCTCTGGGCAAGTGGACCAACCTCTCTGAGCCCAAGGAATCATTAACCCCCAAGGCTGAACCCACCTTAGATAACGGGAAGCCCTTTCCACTCACAAAATGCCCGTCCCCCTCCGAGAGCATATGGGAACCTCTTGATGTCACCAGGTCAGAAGCACAGGAATTCAAATTCCCAGTTTATAATGGAAGAAACCGAGACATTGAATGGCCCTGAAGCATGAGATCCAATCCCAGCTTTATTTTATTTATTTATTTATTTTGAGACAGAGTTTTGCTCTTGTTGCCCAGGTTGGAGTGCAATGGTGCAATCTCAGCTCACCACAACCTCAATGGCACAATCTCAGCTCACCACAACCTCTGCCTCCGGGGTTCAAGTGATTCTCCTGCCTCAGCCTCCTGAGTAGCTGGGACTACAGGCGCCCGCCACCACGCCGGGCTAATTTTTTGTATTTTTAGTAGAGACAGGGTTTCACCGTGTTAGCCAGGATGGTCTCGATCTCCTGAGCTTGTGATCCACCCGCCTCGGCCTCCCAAAGTGCCGGGATTACAGGCGTGAGCCACTGTACCCAGCCTAATTTTTCTGTTTTTAGTAGAGACGGGGTTTTACCATGTGGCCGGGATGGTCTCGATCTCCTGACCTCATGATCCGCCCGCCTTGGCCTCCCAAAGTGCTGAGATTCCAGGCATAAGTCACCACACCTGACCCTCCTTTGCTTTTTTTTTTTTCAAGACAGAGTCTTGCTCTGTCACCCAAGCTGGAGTGCAGTGGCGCCATCTCGGCTCACTGCAACCTCTGCCTCCCGGGTTCAAGCGATTCTCCTGACTCAGCCTCCCGAGTAGCTGGGATTACAGGCATGCGCCACCACGCCCAGCTAATTTTTGTACTCTTAGTAGAGATGGGGTTTCAACATGTTGGCCAGGCTGGTCTCGAACTCTTGACCTCGTGATCCGCCTGCCTCGGCCTCCCAAAGTGCTGGGATTACAGATGTGAGCCACCATGCCCGGCCCCTCGTTTGCTTTTATAAGCAGAGAAAAATCTCTTCCTCACCCCTCACCCCTGGCTGCCGAGCTCCTCGTCTCAACAACTGACCTGGCTGTCATTGGTTGCCCCAGGGGTGAGACCTGGCAAAGAGGGGCAGGGGAGGGCCACACTTTTATTGGGAAATCAGCCTGCCCCAGAGCACAGGTTCACTTCAGTGTCAGACACGTTTAGTGTCAGATTAATAAAGATGGATATTAAAAACACAACAGGCCAAGCGTGGTGGCTCACACCTGTAACCCCAGCACTTTGGGAGGCTGAGGCGGGCAGATCACCTGAGGTCAGGAGTTCAAGACCAGCCTGGCCAACATGGAGAAACCCCGTCTCTACTAAAAATACAAAATTAGCTGGGTGTGATGGCGCATGCCTGTAATCCCAGTTACTAGGGAGGCTGAGGCAGGAGAATCGCTTGAACCTGGGAGGCTGAGCGGAGATCACGCCATTGCACTCCAGCCTGGGCAACAAGAACGAAACTCGGTCTCAAAAACAACAACAACAACAAAAAACAAACTGCAACTTCTAGACCCTGACAGCTCTCCTCCCCTTAGCCCCATCTCGAGGGAAATTCTGCCTCTGGCCTCAGCCGGGACAGCTCTGAGCCATGGGACTCAGAGATCTCCACACACTGGGCCAAGAACTCAGGGCTAGAATCTTATAGAACCAGGAAAAGGGGACTCTCCCCCTAAAAATGCAAACACGGTTTGTGGGGCCCCAAGCTCTTTTGTGGGGGCGGGGCCAGGGTGTTACCTGGGGAAGCCTGAGCGCACATGGAGCCCGTCCACGTTCTGGCTGACCAGGAAGCGGAGGAGGCCCACGCGCTCCAGCTGCACCAGCGCCATGTGGGTCTGCGTGGGCCGCGCGCTCTCAAAGGTGGTGTCGAACTTGGGGGCCAGACCTCGCTCCTCCATGGTCCAGACTCCGTGGGGACCCCTGAAGGTGGCAGGCCGGGAGAGATGGACGGGGAGAGGGGAACAGAAAAAGAGACAGAGGGAGAATCAGAGAGGTATAGAGAGAAAGTTGGAGAGAGAGAAAATCAGGAGACAGAGAGAGACAGGGAGACAGAGAGAGGGAATCAGAAACAGAAATAGAGGGTGAGTTGCAAGAACAGGGAGAGGGGGATAGAACAAGACACAGACAGAGAGATAAAGAGTTAAAGACAAAGCAAGTCAGAGACAGAATTGGAGAGAGACAGAGAGAGGGAGAGGCAGAGAGAGAGAGATGAATTCACACGAAGGCAAAAATGACTTATTCTATTCAACCAACACTGCTGCTGCAATGAGCCCGACGATGCTCACATGGGCCCAAGCCCTGCCCTCCAGAAGCCCTTGATCTTGGGGGAGACAGGTGGACACAGATCCTCTGGCCCCAAGAGTCAAGCCTGGATCAGAGGAGGTACCTGGGCCTGGGGAAGCCCCGTGGAGGTGGGGGCCCTGGGGCACGTGGAAGGGCTTCCTGGAGGAGGCTAAGCAGTTTCTTGAAGGGTGAGAGGGAAGATCAGACAGAAGGGGTAAACAAAGGCCTGGGTGCTGGGAAGAGCCCATGAGTTTAGGAGAAAATGCAAGTGTTTTGGGGGCTGCAGCAGGAGCAGGAGGGGCTGAAGTTGGAGAGGTGATTCAGGGCTGGGGCAGGAAGGGCTTCAGCTTCCAGCACAAGGTATTCAGAACTCTACACTGCCTGGCAATGGGGAGCCACAGCAGGTTATGGAAGAGGAGAAGGAGGAGAAATTCACGCCTTGGCTTTTTTTTTTTTTTTTTTTTTTTTTTTTTGAGATGGAGTCTGGCTCTGTTGCCCAGGCTGGAGTACAATGGCATGATCCTGGCTGACTGCAACCTCTGCCTCCCGGGTTCAAGCGATTCTCCCACCTCGGCCTTCCAAGTAGCTGCGATTACAGGTGCCTGCCACCACACCTGGCTACGCTTGCAAATATGAAAGACTACATTTCCCAGCAACCCTTGCAGCCAGGTGTGATCAGGTGACCGTGTTCTGGCCAATGAGGTGAGTGGAATGCTGGTTGTGACAAGGGACACATCTTTTTGTTTTGTTTTTAGACGGAGCCTCACTCTGTCGCCCAGGCTGGAGTGCAGTGGTGCAATCTCGGCTCACTGCCTCCACCTCCCAGGTTCAAGCAATTCTCCTGCCTCAGCCTCCCGAGTAGCTGGGACTACAGATGTGTGCCACCACAACTGGCTAATTTTTGTATTTTTAGTAGAGACAGGGATTCACCATATTGGCCAGGCTGGTCTGGAATTCTTGACCTTGTGATCCACCATGCCCAGCCAAGGGACACATCTTAAAGGGAGTACCCAGGACACATCCAGGAGGAAAGCAGATGGATGTGTTCTCATTCCCAGATGTGTGTGGCTCGCAGGGAAGCCTCTGGCAGCCTGGTAGGCCTTGCCTCGACTTCCCCTGCACAATCACAGACCTGAAGTCGGGGATGCCAGAGGCAGTGCTGATGCCGGCACCCGTGTGGAACACCACACTGGAAGACTGCCAGACCAGCCTCGCCAGTTCCCACACCTTCCGCTCCAGCTCCTCCGGGGGGTCGAAGATCTGTGGGGGGAGAGAGCAGACGGAGGGGTCAAAACAGTTCCCCCAAGTGGCAAGGCCACGCACGAGCCACAGACTGAGCTGTCCCTGTCTTGCCTGAGGGAGGAAAATGGATTGGAAAAGGCAGCTTGTCCTCATGCCCCTCCTCTTCCTACAACCTTCCATGCCTCCCACCTGCCTTGTCAAAGCCCTAGCCCTTCCCACGGCCCACCAGGCCCTGCACTACCTCCCTTGCCCCCTCCCTGCCCTCTTCTCCTCCCTCTCCCTGCCTCACTCTGCTCCAGCCACACAGGTCTCCTCCTTGTTCCTCTATCACACCAGGCACAGTCCCGCCTCAGGGCCACACCCTTTAATGCTCTTCCCCCAGATACCCACATGGCTCCCTCCCTCACCTCCTGTAACTTGTGGCTTAGATGTCACTTCAGTGACAGTGATGCCTCCCTTGGCCAACTGGTTTCCATGCAACCCCTAGTCAGTCTCCCTTACTAGAAGGAGGGGTTTTTAATCTGTGTTGCTCCTGGCTGTGGCCTTAGTACCTAGAAAGTGCCTGAGCTACAGTAAGTGCTCTATAAATGTTGGTGGAATAAAGTGACTAACAGGCCGGGTATGGTGGCTCACGCCTATAATCCCAGCACTTTGGGAAGCCAAGGTGGGTGGATCACTTGAGATCAAGAGTTCAAGAGCAGACTGGCCAACATGGTGAAACCCCGCCTCTACTAAAAATACAAAAATTAGCCAGGCGTGGTGGCAGGTGCCTGTAGTCTCATCTACTCTACTCAGGAGGCTGAGGCAGGAGAATCGCTTGAACCTAGGAGGCGGAGGTTGCAGTGAGCCGAGATCGCGCCACTGCACTCCAGCCTGGGCGACAGAGAAACTCCATCTCAAAAATATAATAATAATAATAATAAAGTGACTAACAGCAGCAGTGAAGAGTGGGGCTTCTGGACGGGCGCACACCATCAGCGCTCATTAAATGCATGAGTCAGAATGCATGGGCCAGCCTTATGGAATGGGGCCATCTTCACCTCGTTTGCAGAAAGTTTGGAGATGGAGACCCAAAAGGGAAGTGACTTCCCCAAAGTCCCACAGTGCGTGGAGGGGGCAGCCGATCCCTCCACTTCCCCTCTGAGTGGCTGGAGGGATCTTTCTGGCACATTCTGTCCAGTCCCCTCGCCAGGGCAAAACCCTTCCCCATCACCCTCAGGATAAAGTGCCAACTCCCCAGCCTGGCATTTGAGCCCCGTCCTGGCCCGGCTCTGGAAACCTCCCAGGCCTAATCGTTCTCCAGGTGTGTTTATTCCCACCTCCCTTTGCGCCTGTCGTCCCCTCTTCCTGGAACTACATCCCCTCTCTCCCCGATCAGCCCCGACAGGGTGACCACAGAGTTGGGCGTGTTGGCGTCCCCCGGCGCGCAGGGGCGTCACTTCCCGCCCCTTCCTCACTGGGAAGTCCCTCCCATTGTCTAGCCTCAGTGCCCCCTGATATTCCCACAATGCCCCCCTGCCATCCGGCCGCTCCCAGCCCGCGGCCCTGGGGCGCGATGCTCGGGACCCTCAGACGCGCTCACCTCCGGGAGGCCGCACTTGCCCTTGTCCGCGTACGGCGACAGCCCCGCCGCGTAATTCACCGACATCCTCGACTGCCCCACGGGAACAATAAAGTTTCCCTTGTTGAGGCCGCTTCCGCCGGAAGCGGGGCGGGGCGGGGAAGAAGGAGGAACCGCGTTCCAGTCCTGCGCACCCGGCCTCCCACGGCAAGGCGCATGCGCCTCTTGCTGACGCCGCAGGCGACATGTTATCTGCTGTCAGAAGGAAGCCTGCCTCTTTGCATGCAGGTGTTTGCGGGGCTTGGGAAGGGGCTCCCCGATGACCCGGGCGGGAAATTGGGGCGGCCGCCTACGTGAGAGTTCTCCAGTCACCTCTAAAATGCGGGACACAGGCTATCCATGTCCCCACAACCCCTTTTACGGATTAGTAAATTCCGTAAGGACAGAGCCGGACAGCAGGGACCCCAGCCTAAGGGTTTTGAATGCCACGCAGAGTTACCTGAATATCTCATTTGTGTGTGTGTGTGTGTGTGTGTGTGTGTGTGTGACGGAGCCTCGCTCTGTTGCCCAGGCTGGAGTGCAGTGGCGCAATCTCGGTTCACTGCAACCTCCGCCTCTTGGGTTCAAGCGATTCTCCTGCCTCAGCCTCCCTAGTAGCTGGGATTACAGGCGCCCGCCACCACACCCAGCAAATTTTTGTATTTTTTAGTAGAGACGGGGTTTCTCCATGTTGGTCAGGCTGGTCCCGAACTCCTGACCTCAGGTGATCTGACCGCCTCGGCCTCCCAAAGTGCTGGGATTACAGGCGTGAGCCACTGCGTCCGGCCAAGTTATCTGAGTATCATCCAACTGGAGGTTCTGCATTCTGCAGGACAGGTCCTGCTCAAGGTCAATGGGGCTGGTGGCCTGGAGGACTCATTTAAGAATCATGTGTTGAGTACCTACTTTGTACTGGGCACACTGGAGAGCAAAGGTGGTACCATCTATGCCCTGGTGGCTGCGGGTGGACACAAACATGTGACCAGGTAATGGTGACATGGTGTGGTTGGGGTGCAATGGGTGATGCAGAGGGCACAGGGCAGTGAGGGGGCTCACAGGAGGCACCTGACCCAGGCTGGGGGCATCCGGGAGGGCTTCCTGGAGGAGGGGATGTTGCAGCAAAGATCTAAAAAGTGAGTGAGCCGGGCGCAGTGGCTCACACCTGTAATCCCAGCACTTTGGGAGGCCAAGGCAGGTGGATCACCTGAGATTGGGAGTTCGAGACCACCCTGACCAACATGGAGAAACCCCGTCTCTACTAAAAATACAAAATTAGCTGGGTGTGGTGGCCTGTAATCGCAGCTGCTCGGGAGGCTGAGGCAGGAGAATTGCTTGAACCCAGGAGGCGGAGATTGCGGTGAGCCGGAGATCGCGCCATTGCACTCCAGCCTGGGCAACAAGCATGAAACTCCGTCTCAAAAATAAATAAATAAATAAATAAAGAGTGCATGAGTCAGGTAGAGCCGGTTGGGGTGACATGAAGTACAGAAAGAATGTTCCTGGTGGGGGGAACAGCAAGTGCAAAGGCTGAGAAAGAGGAAGAGCATGGCTCCTTCCAGAAACTGAAATCAGTCCAGTGATGATAGGGAAGATCGTGGGTGTCTTCCCGCCAGAGCCAGTTGGCCAACAGGCAGTCCGCTGCCAGCCTGTCTCCTCCCTCGGCTCATCCCCGGCCCCCTGGGGCGGCCGCCTGCTCAGAGCCGATCAGGTGTCAGAGTGGAGCGGCTGGAGCTGCTCGTGGCCCAGCTGGGAGTGGGTAACCGGAGCCGGCAGTGGGCACTGTGGCCGGGAGCTCGGGGCACTGGAGCTGCAGGAGGTAGGGGAGGAAGGAGGTGGGAGAGGCCCAGGACGGAGGATCCCCTTATGGCCCCAGGCCCCTGAGCCCTTGTATGTGGGAGAAAGAAGCCGTGCTGAGTCCTAGCCAGGCTGCGGAGCTACCCAGGTACCCTGACACACACATGCACTCGTTCACCCACGCACTTCCCACTTGCCGGCCTGTGCCCTGCCTAGCTTCCTCCAAGGCAGGTGCTCAACATCCCACCCGGCCATCAGGCCCTTCTTATTTACCATCACCTCTTCCAGCAAGCAGCTTCCTAAATTTAGCAGGCGTTTCTCCCTCCCCCAAGCCCACGGATTGTCTTCTCCCAAGCAGCCTGTGAACTCCTCTGTTGGGTGTCTTATTACCCCCTGCTTTGGGTGTGATTGAATCCTCCAGTCAGAGGTAGAAGAAAAAAGGGTAGGTAGTGAGTGAATGGGCACCGGTGGAGGGGTAGATGAATGGATGGGTGGGTGGATGGATGGGGGGCGAATAGGTGGATTGGTGGTTTGGTAGATGGGTGAATGGGTAGATGTATGGATGGATGGGTGGATGGATGAATGGGTGGGTGATTGGGCAAATGGATGGAGGGATGGATAAGTGGATGGATGGATGGATGGAAGGATCCATGGATGGACTGGTGGGTGGGTGGATGGATGCACTGGTGGGTGGGTGGGTGGATGGATGGATTGGTGGTTGGGTGGGTGGATGGAGGGATGGATAAGTGGATGGATGAGTGGATGGGTGGGTGGGTGGATGGGTGGATGGGTGTGTGATTGGGTGGGCAGATGGGTGGATGGATGGATGCTTGGGCAGATGGATGGATGGGTGGTTGGGTGGATGGATGAAGGGATGGATAAGTGGATGGATGGGTGGATGAGTGGATGGATGAATGGTGGGAGTTGGTAGGTGTTTGGGTGGGTGGATGGATGTGTGGGTGAAATCTGATTAAAGGGTGATGAAGAACCATGAGAACATGAATTGGGTGGGTGGGTTTGTGGGTGGTGGCCAGTGGGTGGTTATACAGTGCTTAGGTGGGAGGATGGATGTCCAGGTGAGTGCATAGGTGGTAAATGCGTGGAAGGGTGGCTTGGAGAATTCACGAGTAGATAGGTGGACAGGTAGAGGCCATGCCAACCCCTACTCCTTGGTAAGAGGCAAATACAGATTCTCCATCACAGAAATCCCTTTCACACATAGGGCCTCACAGTCACACCCCTCAAAAAACACACCCCCTCAAGATAGGCCTGCCTGACCTCCGTGCCTGCCCATGCGGAACGTAGAACAGGCCCAGGTGGACAGAAGTGCACGTGTGCACACGCCCCACACTCAACGTCACACACATGCATGCAGCCATTGCCCCAGACCTCCACCCACTATGGGTGAATTGCTGTCACATGGAGGTTCCCTCTGACTATGTAGCAAACATGCCTCTGTGCTGAGAGCCGTCAGCCCTGGCTTCAGTCCCCAGGGAGCCCCTGACTGTTGAAAAGGACAGAATCAGCCCAGACCCTTCCAGCCCATGGAGCCAGGGGTGAGGCAGAGGCAGAGACCCAGCCAGGGTAGGCGGGAACCCAATTTGGGGAGTTAGATCTCTGCTTGGGAACAAGAGGCAAAGCTGATAAGAGCAAGGGATTTTGGAACTGGGCTTTGAAGGATGAGTAGGAGTTCAGAGAAGAAAAAAGAAACCATTCTAGGCAGAAATAACTGCACAGGTAAAAGTTAGGAGACCAGAAAAGGCTTGATCTGTTTGGACCGCAGGAAATACCAGTGAGATGCATTTATGAAGCCCCTCATGTTTGGCCAGGCTCTGTGTAGGGACCATGCTGAAAACTGACCATGAGTTGGTCAAGAAAGGATCATTTCTGTCACTGTATAGATGAGGGAAGTAAAACAGAGAGGGCAAGTAAACTGCCAAAGGACACACAGCAGGTAGGAGATAGAGCAGGTCTGTGTCTTGCTCTAGGGGCCAGGACTGGTCAGGAAGGAGGAAGCGGTCCTTTTGAGGAGGGCGAGGCAACGGACCCTGCCGCCCACCAGGACTGGTGTCCCTCACCTTACCCCCACCCTTGCCCTCCTCAGGTGGCCTGTGGAGAGGAGAAACACAGGGCACCAACTATGAAGACTCTCAGGGCGCGATTTAAGAAGACAGAGGTGAGTGTGAGGCCCTAGATGCCCGATACACCCCTGCAACTTCAGCCTTCTGTCTCCTGGGGCTTGGCTGAAGATCCACCCTTTCATTCCAGTACCCACCTCTTCTCCTTTCCTCTCTGCTGCCCCCTAGCGTCATGACCTCCCCACTGCTCCCCGTACAAGCTTTCCAGCCCAGGCCTTTACCCAGGCCCTAGTCCGCTCTCCATGGAATTCCTTCTCGCCGCATTGCCACCAATCAGACCCTCCTAATTCCTCACAATTTGGCCCCAGTACCACCTCCCCGTCCAATCTCCGCTCTCCCCGGCCACAGTAACCCCTTGCTTTTCCAAGGACCCACTTTCCCGAGGATCCTGATCTTTTGCTTTGGTGTGTGTGTACTCAGCACATATTTATATAGCAGGCGCTGTTCCAGGCACAGGGGAATCAGCCAGGGAATAGGGCAGGCAAAAATCCTTGCCCTCGTGGAGCCGACCGCTGAGTACGGGAGATGAACACGAAACAAGATAAATAAGTGACAATGTGTATTTTGTGTCGCAAAGACAGACAAAGCAGGAAAAGGGAATTGAAGCATTCAGGGCAGGGGAGGTGGCTGCAGTTTTAAAGAGGGTGGCCAGGGAAGGCTTCCCAGAGGAGGTGGTATTAAAGCAAAGATTAGAAAGGGAAGGGGAGGGCTGGGCGTGGTGGCTCACACCTGTAATCCCAGCATTTTGGGAGGCCAAGGCAGGCAGATCACGTGAGGTCAGGAGTTCAAGACGAGCCTGGCCAACATGGTGAAACGTTGTCTCTACTAAAAATACAAAAATTAGCTGGGCACGGTGGCGGGCACCTGTAATCCCAGCTACTTGGGAGGCTGAGGCAGGAGAATTGCTTGAACCTGGGAGGTGGAGGTTGCAGTGAGCTGAGATTGTGCCATTGCACTGCAGCCTGGGCAACAGAGTGAGACTCCATCTCAAAAAAGAAAAAAAAAAGAAAAAGGGAAGGGGAGTGGGGGAGAGAGTTTGCAGGAATTGCATTCCAAGTGGCTGGAACAGCCAGTGCAAAGGCCCTGAGGTAGATCCAGCTGTCTTCTCTTGCATCCGTGTCTTTGGCTATGAACTCCTAGAAAGACATGCTTCTTCCTCCATTGTCCCCATTCTTCTCAGCCCCCTCAAGTCCCTGTGGCGGCCAATTCAGGGCACAGATGGGGAGGATGAAAGGGAGGGCTCACCTCCAGGGACAGGCAATCAGCCTTCCTGAGCACCTCTTTGTGCCTGGCCTGGGTGGGCAAGCTTGACTTGGAGCCTTTAGTTTTCGTATCATGGGATACAACATCCCCATCTGGTGTGGCCTGGAGAAATCAGGGAGTCTGCCTGGAGGAGGTGGCACCGGAGCAGAGCCTGGAAGAATAGGGAGGATTTAGAGAAGTGAAGGCAGGCACGTGAGGAGCGGGGCACGGACCTGTGTGGGTAAAGATTCGGAGGCTGGACCAGGTCTGCTTGATGCACAGGCATAACAGGCAGATTCTCTTGGCAGGAGCAGAGAGTGCGAGTGAGTGGGAGCTCAGGATCTTTGAAAGCCATTTTTGAAAAGCCAAAAAGAGAGGCCTGTGGAACAAGCCTGGATTTCATTTTTTATTTTATTTTATTTTATTTTTGAGATGGAGTTTCCCTCTTGTCGCCCAGGCTGGAGTGCCGTGGCTTGATCTCGGCTCACTGCAACCTCCACCTCCCGGGTTCAAGTAATTTTCTTGCCTCAGCCTCCCGAGTAGCTGGGATTACAGGCACGCACCACCATGCCCAGCTAATTTTGTATTTTTAGTAGAGGCAGGACTTCACCATGTTGGCCAGGCCGGTCTTGAACTCCTGACCTCAGGTCATCCACCCGCCTTGGCCTCCCAAAATGCTGGGATTACAGGCATGAGCCACCACGCTTGGTCCATTTTTTTTTTTTTTTTTTTTTTTGAGACAGAGTCTCTTTCTGTCACCCAGGCTGGAGTGCAGTGGTGCTATCTCAACCGACTACAGCCTCCAACTCCTGGGCTCAAACGATCCTCCTGCCTCAGCCTCCCAAAGTGCAGAGACTATAGGCGTGCACCACCACACTGGGCTAATTTTTATTTTTTGTACAGATGGGGTGTAGCTGTGTTGCCCAGGCTGGTCTTAAACTCCTGGCCTCAAGCGATCCTCCTAACTCCCACCCAGAGTGATGGGATTACAGGCGTGAGCCACTGCGCCCAGCCAAGCCTGGGATAGAATCAGGTGGCTCTGAGTTCAAATCCTTCCTCTGTCCCTGGTGTCCTGGGTGACTCTGGGGATGTCATGCCCCCTCTGTGGCTTCCTTCAGTTGTTTGGGCTCATTTGATTTGATTTGATTTCATTTATTTTTGAGACAGAGTCTCACTCTGTTGCTGAGGCTGGAATGCAGTGGCACGATCTCTGCTCACTGCAACCTCTGCCTCCTGAGTTCAAGCAATTCTCCTGCCTCAGCCTTCCAAATAGCTGGGACTACAGGCGCCTGCCACTATGGCTGGCTAAATATTTTGTATTTTTAGTAGAGACAGGGTTTCACTATGTTGGTCAGGCTGGTCTCGAGCTTCCGACCTCAGGTGATTTGCCCGCCTCAGCCTCCCAAAGTGCTGGAATTACAGGCGTGAGCCACTGCACTCCGCCCATTTTATTTTGTTTTTAAACTATTTATTAATTATCATGTACCCATTCATTTCATTATTCATTTTTATTTTATTTAAAACATTTTAATTTAATATCATTGGATTCACTTTATTTTTTTTAATTTTTCTTTCTTCTTTTTTTTTTTTTTTTTTTTTTGAAGGAGTCTCACTCTGTTGCTCAGGCTGGAGTGCAGTGTTGTGATCTTGGCTCACTGCAAGCTCCACTTCCTGGATTCAAGCTATTCTTTTCTTATGCCGCAGCCTCCCAAGTAGGTGGGACTACAGGCACGCACTACCACGCCCAGCAATTTTTTTTGTATTTTTAGTAGAGATGGGTTTCACCATGTTGGCCAGGCTGGTCTCAAACTCCTGACTTCAAGTGATCCACCCACCTTGGCCTTCCAAAGGGTTGCCATTATAGGCATGAGCCACCATGCCCGGCCCTAAGTTTTTTTTTTTAAGAGATGGGGTCTCACTATGTTGTCCAGGCTGGTCTCAAACTCCTGGGCTCAAGAGATCCTCCCGCTTCAGCCAAGTAGCTGGGACTACAGATGTGCAGTACTGTGCCCGGCTTATTTATTTTCATTTTTGTTGATTTTTGAGCACTATAAAAAATATAAGATGTGCTTTGCAGGTGTCAGCTCATTTAATCCTCACCACCGTGTTATGAGGCAGGAGCTTTTATTATCTTCATTTTATAGATGAGGGAGGGAAGCCCAGAGAGGTTAAGACACCTGCTCAAGGTCACACAGCTAGGAAGTGAGACACAAGCCTTCCCCCAGGGCTGCGTTACTATGAACATGATTGGCCTGGAGGTGGGAGGGGAGTGCATTGATTGAAAAGAGAATGGGTGGAGACAGACAGCGGGAGAGAAAGAGGTGAAAAACGGTCCATTAACTGCCTACAAAATGTGGCATTGGGTGAGCTTCATTCACTGTGGAGTGATCCTAAAATTTTTCTTCCCACGTGGACTCAATTCCTCGATGATAGTTGACCCTTGAACAATTACAGCCCACCCTCCTGCACAGTCAAAAATCCATGTATAGGCTGGGCGTGGTGGCTCACATCTGTAATCCCAGCACTTTGGAAGGCCGAGGTGGGTGGGTCACGAGGTCAGGAGATCGAGGCCATCCTCATTAACACGGTGAAACCCCGTCTCTACTAAAAATACAAAAAATCAGCCGGGCGTGGTGGCGGGCGCCTGTAGTCCCAGCTACTCGGGAGGCTGAGGCATGAACCTGGGAGGTGGAGCTTGCAGTGAGCCGAGATGGAGCCATTGCACTCCAGCCTGGGCAACAGAGCGAGACTCCGTCTCGAAAAAAAAAAAAAAATCTGGCTCGGCATGGTGGCTCACGTCTGTAATCCCAGCACTTTGAGAGGCAGAGGCGGGCAGATCACCTGAGGTCAGGAGTTCGAGACCAGCCTGGCCAACATGGTGAAACCCCCTCTCTACTAAAAATGCAAAAATTAGCCAGGCAGCCGGGCATGGTGGTGGGCACCTGTAATCCCAGCTACTCAGGAGGCTGAGGAAGGAAAATCTCTTGAACCCAGGAGGCAGAAGTTGCAGTGAGCCGAGATCACGCCATTGCACGATTGCCCAGCCTGGGTGACAGAGCGAGACTCCGTCTCAAAAAACGAACAAAAAAATCCATGTGTAAGTGGACCTGGGCATTCAAACCCATATTTTTCAGGGGTCAACTCCTGAATGCTTTTTTTCCCCAAGCATTCCTCAGAAGTAGTAGCCACTGGTAAACCAAGCCATATGATTGCTTAATTTCCAAAGCATAGTTATATTTAATATTTAAGTAAATCTTTCAAGAAGTGTGGGTGGCTAAAAAAGAGATACCTCATTCGGGATGTGGGTGTGTTTTGATATGTTTGCAATGGGAGGGGTCGGGACAAAGTCAAAATTGGATGGGGACAGGATAGGTGTTAAAACCTCAGACGGGTGTGAGGGCCTCTGAGAGTGTCTGGAGCTGGAGGGGCCTGAGGTTAGCCCATAGCCTGGGCTGGAACTGTTGCAGCAGATGGGAGGCCTGGCTGTTGCTGGGAAGCTGCAGGGCCTCCATCCTCCCCTCCCAGAGCACCTTGCCATCCATCCCTCCACCTGCCCTTCTCCAGTTTCGCAGCAGGCAGCCGGAGTCAAGTTCAGCTTTTGTTCAGCAGCCCCGAGGGAAGAAAGCAAACACCCATGACTGCAGGGGCCAGGCCCCCCCCTCCTGTCACTGGGACCTTGTGTTCCGTGTCTTCTAGCCACTGCTACCCCTCTCCTCCTCTCCTTAGGGCACTCTCCGGCCTTTCCTGGTCCCTAACACCGGCTTTTTCTTATTTATGTATTTACTTTTATTTTATTTTCTTTCTTTTATTTTTATTTATTTATTTATTTATTTTTGGGACAGAGTCTCGCTGTGTTGCCAGGCTGGAGTGCAATGGCATGATCTCGGCTCACTGCAAGCTCCGCCTCCCGGGTTCAAGAGATTATCCTCTCTCAGCCTCCCGTGTAGCTGGGATTACAGGTGCACGCCACCACACCTGGCTAATTTTTGTGTTTTTAGTAGAGACGGGGTTTCATCATGTTGGCCAGGTTGGTCTCGAACTCCTGACCTCAGATGATCCGCCTGCCTCAGCCTCCCAAAGTGCTGGGATTACAGACGTGAACCACCGTCCCCAGCCTATTTATTTATTTATTTTGAGACAGAGTCTTGCTCTGTTGCCCAGGCTGGAGTGCAGTGGTGTGATCTTGGCTCACTGCAACCTCCGCCTCCCGGGTTCAAGGGATTCTCCTGCCTCAGCCTCCCGAGTAGCTGAGATTACAGGTGCCTATCACCACGTCTAGCTAATTTTTTTTTTTTGGTATTTTTAATAGAGATGGGTTTTGCCATGTTGGCCAGGCTGGTCTCAAACTACTGACCTCCAATGAGCCATCCGCCTCAGCCTCCCAAAGTGCTGGGATTACAGGCGAGAGCCACTGTGCCCAACCAACACCGTTTCTTTCTTTGGGGTCCCAACAGTTGGCATTGCTTACTCTGATCCCCCTTGGGCTGTCCGTGGGCCTCAGTGTTTCCATCCATAAAATGGGAGTTACCTGGAGCTGTTCACTTGGGGCTTCACTGACCTCCTGCCTTTACTTTAGGTTTCAGGAAAATCTCCCAAGTGGGAAGATTGGGGTTTCTAGAGAGTCACAGACTCCATACATCAATGCTTCCTGGAAAGTCCTCTTTCTCTTTCTGTCTTTTTTCTTTTTATATTTTTATTTTTTACTTAAGTATGCATTTTTTTTTTTTCAGAGGTGAGGTCTTACCACGTTGCCCAGGCTGGTCTTGAACTCCTGGCCTCAAGCGATCCTCCCGCCTTAGCCTCCCAAAGTGCTGGGATTACAGGCGTGAGCCACCGCGCCCGGCCAGGCCTCGTATTTTCATTTTTCACCGAGCCCTGCAAAACCTATAGCTGGTCCTGCATGGAATACAGCAGTGACTAAGATAGACAAAAATCACTGCCCCTGAGGAGGTGACATTCTAAGGGAGAGATCAAGAGGAAACAAGCTGGGCGCAGTGGCTCACGCCTGTAATCCCAGCACTTTAGGAGATCAAGATGGGAGGATCACTTAAGCCCAGGAGTTTGAGACCAGCCTGGGCAACATAGCAAGACCCCATCTCTTCAAAAAAAATTCAAAAATTAGTTGGGTATGGTGGTGTGTGCCTGTGGTCTCCAGTTACTCAGGAGGCTGAGATGGGAGGACCACTTGAGCCCAGGAGGTCGAGGCTACAGTGAATGATGATTGTACCACTGCACTCCAGCCTGGGTGACAGAGCAAGACCCTGTCCCAAAATAAATAAATAAATAAAAATAAAAAATGAGAGTAAACAGAATATTTTTAAAAAGGTATGTAGTATCTTAGGTGGTGATAAGAGGCCTGGCGCAGTGACTCACGCCTGTAATCCCAGCACTTTGGGAGGCCGAGGTGAGTGGATCACTTGAAGTCAGGAATTCGAGACCAGCCTGGCCAACACAGCAAAACCCCGTATCTACTAAAAAATACAAAAATTAGCCAGGCGTGGTGGTGGGCACCTGTAATCCCAGCTACTCAGGAGTCTGAGGCAGGAGAATCGCTTGAATCCGGGAGGCAGGGGTTGCAGTGAGCCGAGATCCCTCCACTGCACTCCAGTCTGGGCAATAGAGCGACTCCATCAAAAAAAAAAAAAAAAAAGACAACAATGAAGGAAAAATATAGCTAAAGAAAGGGCTGTCAGAGAAGGGCTCTTGGAAGAGGCATCTCCAAGAGTGGACAGCAGTAAAGAAAGCAGCCATGTGCACGGTGGGGCAGGTGCTCCAGGCAGAAGGAGCTGCACTGGCCAAGGCTTGGAGGTGGGACCCAGCTGTTTGAAGGACAAGAAGGAGGCTACTATGGCAGCATGGATTACACCGAGGGAAATGTAAATGGAGATGATGGCAGGCGCGGTGGCTCATGCCTGTAATCCCAGCACTTTGGGAGGCTGAGGCGAGCAGATCACCTGAGATCAGGAGTTCAAGACCAGCCTGTCAACATGGTGATACCCCGTCTCTACTAAAAATACAAAAATTAGCCAGGCATGGTGGCGGGTGCGTGTAATCCCAGATACTCGGGAGACTGAGGCATGAGAATCACTTGAAGCCGGGAGGTGGAGTTTGCAGTGAGCAGAGATCATGCCACTGTACTCCAGCCTGGGCGACAGAGCGAGACTCCGTCGGGAGGGAGGGAGGAAGGAAGGAAGGAAGGAAGGAAGGAAGGAAGGAAGGAAGGAAGGAAAAACTCCATGAGGTCAGGGGTCAGGCACTGGCAGAGTGGGGCTGCTCAGAGAAGGGTTAGCAAATTTTTTCTTAAAAGGCCAGAGGATTAATATTTTTGGTTTGTGGTGCAGACCAGCCTCAGCTCTGCCATTGCAGCCTGAGAATAGCCTTTGACTGTCTACACTTTTTTCTTCATATCCTGCATGTGGCATCCAACGATCTACAAATGAATGGGCAGGGCTTGGCCCCGAAAAAACTTTATTTATGGACACTGAAATGTGAATTGTTTTGTTTTGTTTTGTTCCGAGATGGAGTCTGGCTCTGTCACCCAGGCTGGAGTGCTCTCAGGTTACTGCAACCTCAGCCTCCCACTTTCAAGCGATTCTCCTGCCTCAGACTCCCGAGCAGCTGGGATTACAGGCGTGCACCACCGTGCCCAGCTAATTTTTGTATTGTTAGTAGAGACGGGGTTTCACCATGTTGGCCAGGCTGGTCTTGAACTCCTGACTTCAGGCGATCAGCCCACCTTGGCCTCCCAAAGTGCTGAGATTGTAGGCGTGAACCACCGCACCTAGCCAGAAATGTGAATTTCATATCATTTTTCACGTGTCAGGAAGGATGATTCTTATTTTGCTTTTCTCTCCCCCCTCCAACGACTCACACGTGTAAATACCATTCTCTACGGAAACAGGCAGTGGGCAGGATCTGGGCTGCTGTGAGCAGTTTGCATTTTAAGCTGAGTGAGGTCTCTGGAGGCTTTTGTGCAGGAGAGATGAGATCTGATGCAGGTTTAGGAAGCTGCCTCTGGCTGCTGGGGGAGAAGGGACAAGGGGACAAGGTCAGAGGCTGAAGAAGAAAGATGCATCCCAGAGGCAGAACCTGCAGTGATGGGGCTAGACTATGGTGGTGGCCGTGGAAGGGGTGAGAAGGGGCAGAACAGGACACAGTGTGCAGCCAGTGGGCTTGGCCGGTGGACCGAGTGTGGGGCAAGAGAGAGGTGTCACGGTGATGCCAGGGCTTGGATGAAGCCTGGAGGGCTGACAGTATCCATGGTACACACCTCAGTGGGCTCCGAGGGGCATTTGCTCTGATTGATTGATTGATTTTTTTCAGATGGAGTCTCGCTGTGTCTCCCAGGCTGGAGTGCAGTGGTGCGATCTCGGCGTGAGCCACCGCGCCCAGGTTTTTGTTTGTTTGTTTGTTTGTTTGTTTTTAGAGAGGGAGTCTCACTCTGTCACCCAGGTTGGAGTGCAGTGGCACGACTTCTGCTCACTGCAAGCTCCGCCTCCCGGGTGCACGCCATTCTCCTGCCTCAGTCTCCCGAGTAGCTGGGACTACAGGCGCCCACCACCACGCCCGGCTAATTTTTTGTATTTTTAGTAGAGACGGGGTTTTGCCACGTTGGTCAGGCTGGTCTCGAACTCCCCATCTCAGGTGATCTGCCTGCCTCAGCCTCCCAAAGTGCTGGGATGACAGGCGTGAGCCACCATGCCTGGCCATTTGCTCTGATCTTGTATGGCATCCAGGAGGACAAGTGTAGGAGACAGTTGGAAACTGAAGCCCTGAGCTGGGAGATCCGTTTCGGTCTCTTCTCTGGAGAAGCTCAGAGGACCTCCCCACCCCCAAGGGTGGAAGGAGAGAAGAGTTCCAAGGACACCCTCCTTCCCAAATGCCTGTCACTTTCCATTTTCCTGCCTTGGTTCCCACTCCTCCCTCCTCTTGTCCAAACATGTCTAAGAGGGCCGGGCGCAGTGGCTCACGCCTGTAATCCCAACACTTTGAGAGGCCAAGGCAGGTGGATCACGAGGTCAGAGTTCAAGACCAGCCTGGCCAACATGACAAAACCCCGTCTCTACTAAAATACAAAAATTCGCTAGGCGTGGTGGCGTGTGCCTGTAATCCCAGCTACTCGGGAAGCTGAAGCAGGAGAATTGCTTGAACCCGGGAGGCAGAGCTTGCAGTGAGCCGAGATCGCACCACTGCACTCCAGCCTGGGTGGAAGAGCAAGACTCCGTCTCAAAAGAAAAAAAGTAAAAGTCTAAGAATAATCACGGACCACACCGACGTGTAAATGCTCAATGCTCACCCAGCCCTAAGCCAGTGGTCAATGTGTCAATGGAGGGACACTTGCCAGTGTTGGGATATCTGTGGTTGTCACAACTTGGAGTGCTCCTGGTGTGGAGTGGGTGGAGGCCAGGGATGCTGCTCGGCACCCTGCAGTGCCCAGGACAGCCCCATTCTAGAGAAAGATCCAGCCTCAAATGCCCACAGTGCTTCCTTGGTGCCTGTCCTATTATCTATCTCATTTAACCGTTGAGAAATTGAGAGGGAGAATTTCAGAGAGGGAAAGCGATTAGCTCAAGGTCACACAGCAAGGATGATATAACCAAACGGAATTCAAGCCCCTGTCACCTGTCTGCTGCGTCGTTGCTCTTAAATTCTGGCTCTGGAAGACCTCGGTTTTGTTGTTGTTGTTGTTGTTTTAGTTTGTTTGTTTTTGTTGTTGTTTATTTGTTTTGCAGTGGAGTCTCGCTCTGTCACCCAGGCTGGAGTGCAGTGACGCGATCTCGGCTTACTGCAACCTCTGCCTCCAGGGTTCAAGCGATTCTCCTGCCTCACTTCCTGAGTAGCTGAGATTACAGGCGCCCGCTACCACACCTGGCTAATTTTTGCATTTTTAGTAGAGACGAAGTTTCACTATGTTGGCCAAGCTGTTCTCGAACTCCTGACCTCAGGTGATCTGCCCGCCTCGGCCTCCCAAAGTTTTGGGATTACAGGCGTGAGCCACCGCGCCTGGCCTCCAGGGCTCCTTCTAAAATGCCAATTACCTGCAAGGGTCTTGGCTGTGCCCCAGAGTCTCCAGGCCTGCGAATGCTGCGTGGCATCCAGTGGGCGCTCAATAAATGCTTACTGCTTGAAGGAGCATCTCCCCCAAGTGTTCATCTGATGCATGTTTGTGGAGCACCTGCCATGGGCCAGGCACTGGGGACGCTACAGTGACAGAAAGGAACCCAAGGCCCCTCCTCTACCGGAGGAGCCGTGGGTCCCAGGAGTGGCGGAAATTGACCGGAAATGGCTAGAGAATGTCAGAGCTGCGCCGGGACCAGCTAGCTCTTTCTGTGAGGAACGAGTCACAGTTTTATGGTGCGCTTACTGTATGCTAGGCACTGGTCGACTGAGTGCTGCCAGGTAGTACCTTGGCATCCTCCCGGTAACCCTCCGCAGTAGGAACTATTTATTATGAAACCCATTTTACGGAGGAGGAAGGAGAAGTCCAAAATAGGTAAGTCTGTTGGCCCTGTCATATAGGTAGGAAAGGCTGGGGCAGGGGCGGGGTGCTGGATTCAAATTCAGGTGTGTAGGATTGCAGCTCCCCAGTGGCGAATGAATGAATGAATGAACGAATGACTGATTGAATGAATGAATGGATGAGGCAATGAGTGAATGAATGAACGAATGGGCGTGCCAATGAATGAGCAAATGAGTGTGGGAATGAATGAATGAATGAATGGTGCGGGAATGAACAAATGAATGAATGGGTGGTGAACAAATGAATGGGTGAGTGAACTAATGAATGGATGAATGGGTGAGCCAACAAATGGATGAACAAATGAGTGAGTTAATGAATGCAGGAATGAGTGAATGCAGGAAGGAATGGTGTGGGAATGAATAAGTGAATGGGTCATATAAGAATGAATGAATGAACAAATGGGTGAGACCAATGAATGAATGAAAGAGTGAGCAAATAAATGGGTGAACGAATGAACGAGTAAATGAACGAATGAATGAATGAATGAATGGGTGAGCCCGTGAATGGGTGAACAAATGAATGAGTGAATGAATGAAAGGGTGAGCGAATAAACAAATGGGTGAAGGAATGAACGAGTGAATGAACGAATGAACAAGCGAATGAATGAATAAGTGAATGAACGAATGGGTGAGTGAATTAATGCATGAAAGGGTGAGCGAATAAACAAATGAGTGAAGGAATGAACGAGTGGGTGAACGAATGAACGAGTGAGTGAATGAATGAACGAGTGAATGAACGAATGGGTGAGTGAACGAATGAATGAATGGGCGGGCCGGTGAATGAATGAACGAATGGGCGAACGAATGAATGAGTGAATGAATGAAAGTGTGAGTGGCGAGAGCCCTGCCGGCCGCGTGGAGGTGCGAGGCTGCGGACGTCGCGGGCCCGGAGGCACCTGCGCGCCCTTGGCCGACTCGGAGGAGGTGGAGATGGACGCCCGCGGGTCCCCTGGAGATGCAGCCGGCGGCCTGCGCTGGTGAGGGAGCCGGGCCCCCGGCGCCGCGTCCTCCTCATCCTCCAGGCGACAAGGTCAGGAGGGGCCGGGGCGGCGCCCCTTCCCTCAGCCCCCAGCCCCCAGCCCCCTACCTGGGTCTTCCCATTCCATCCCGTGGGGGAGGGGGCTGGCGAGGAGGGCAAGGGGGAGGGGGCGGCACCAGGGAGGGCGGGACCGGGCGGGCGGGCGGGGCGGGGAGCTCCGGCAGCGCCCAGCCCCGCCCTCCGGCCGCTCCCCGCGGTCCCTCCAGACCCTCTGGCCGCCGCCTCCTCTTGGAACCCCGTGCGCCCCCCGCGCCCCGCGCCCCGGACGCCATGAAGCAGCTGTGTCTGTGCGCAGCCGCCTCCTTCGCGGTAGGGCCCGGGGAGGGGGCGCAGGAGCGGGCGGGGCGCGGGTACCTCCTCTCCCCTCCCTTCCCCGTCCCCGGCTGACCTGGACCACCCCCCCATTCCAGACCCGGGAAAGATGGTCGGCGGCGGGGGGTGGGGGGGAACAGAGGTTGGGGCAGCTTTTGGGGGAATGGAAGAGACATTTGGGGAGACATGTGGACACGTTTTGGAAGACTCTTTGAAACAAATGGGGACATTTAGGAACATTTAGAGGGCATTGGGGGGTGCAGTTTTGGGAAAACATTTTGGAGACAGATGGGGTCATTGAGGGGACAACTTGGAAGCTATTTTGGGAGAGCCGATTTTGCGAAGAGGTAATGATTTGGAGAACAGTTTGGGAGAACATTTGAGGGATGTTTTTGGAGGATATTTTTGGGACATGACGGTATCATTGGGAAGGATGGTTTTACAGAACACTTCAGGAATTTGGGGGAGACATTTCGTAATGCATTTCAGGCTATAGTGTTGAGGGGAGAAGCCTCGGGATGTTTAGGGGACAGTGGTGGCATTTCAGGGCAGTTGTGGATAAACAGGGCAGAGGATGGTCCTGAGAGGCATTTAAAGGGGACTTTTAGGGGTTCAGATGGGACTTTGGAGGGTAGTTTGGAAAAGACTCATGGATCCATTTGCTGGGGGCGATGTTGCAGGGGTGGCTTTCACTAAGGGATGAATTGGGGGACAACTTTTTTTATTGTACAGAGTGGGTCTTGCTGTGTTGCCTAGGCTGGTCTCAAAATTCCTGGGCTCAAATGATCCTCCCACCTCAGCCTCCCAAGCAGCTACAGGCATGAGCCACCATGCCCCGCTGATGATTTTTATTTTTTGTAGAGACGGGGTCCTACTATGGTGCCCAGGTTTGTCTCAAACTCCTAGGCTCAAGCGATCCTCCCACCTTGGCCTCCCCAGATGCTGGGACTACAGGCGTGAGCCTCCATGCTCAGCCCAGGGGACAACGTTTTGGAAATAGATGCCAGGGGGCTGCTCAGGGGATGATGCTGGTGGTGGGCTTTTGTTGGACAACTGGGGTGATGGGCCTGGGGGCAGATGCTGGGGGTCGCAGGCTTGGGGGACACTGTCTGAGGACCCCCTCGCCCAGGACCACCTCCCCCTGCAGCTGCGGCTCAGCCCCACTGACCTTGGCTCCTGCCCGCCCTGCGGCCCCTGCCCCATCCCGAAGCCGGCAGCCAGAGGCAGGCGCCAGGCAAGTGCCCAGGGGCAGGTGGTGAGAGCCCGGAGCCCCTGTCGGGGGCGTGGGGAGGGGACAGCAGCCAACACTGCCCCACGCACTTCTGGGCGTGCCCTGCAGAGTCAAGACTGGGGCAAGAGTGACGAGAGGCTGCTACAAGCCGTGGAAAACAACGATGCACCTCGGGTGGCCGCCCTCATCGCCCGCAAGGGGCTGGTGCCCACGAAGCTAGACCCCGAGGGCAAGTCCGCGTGAGTGCCCGCGACCCGGGAGTGAGATGGCTGAGGGGTGGCAACCTTGCGGCTGAACCCTTGTCTCTCACCTCCAGGTTCCACCTGGCGGCCATGCGGGGTGCGGCCAGCTGTCTGGAGGTGATGATAGCTCATGGCAGCAATGTCATGAGCGCGGACGGGGCAGGTACTGCCAGCTGGGCCCCGGGGAGGGAGGAGGAACTAAGCCCAGGTGCCCAGCCTGAGGGTCCAGCCAGACCCTGCTCCCAGGTCTCAATGTTCCCCGCTGAAAAAAGGGGAGGCTCCCTCTGGTGCTCCTCCCCTGCCCCCAGGGAGACACACAGGGGCATGTTAGGATGGGGTGGCCAAAGATAGAGACTGTGGCTGGCACCGAGCAAAGCCAGTGGACAGCTTGTGGATGGGGAGTGACTAGGATTCAGGTATTGGTTCAGTTGGATGGGGAAGTAGCTGGCATGGGGAAGTAGCTGGGGCTTGGGGGATAGCTGCAAAGTTTCTGGGGTTTTGTTGTTTTGTTTTTCTTTTTTGGGGGGAGGGACAGGGTCTCCCTCTGTCACCCAGGCTTGAGTGCAGTGGCCATGATCTCAGCTCACTGCAGTCTCCATTTCCTGGGCTCAAGGGATCCCCTCCAACCTCAGCCTCCCAAGTAGCTAGGACTATAGGCGCACACCACCATGCCCAGTTAATTTTTCTATTCTTAGTAGGGATGGGGTCTCCCTGTGTTGCCCAGGCCGGTCTTGAACTCCTGGGCTCTAAGTGATCCTTCCACCTCAGACTCCCAAAGTGCTGAGATTATAGGTGTGAGCCACCATGCCAAGCCTGGGGAAGTTTCTAGAAAGTGACTGAGGCAGAGGAAGAACTGGGGCTTGGGAGATAACTGGGACCATTGGACGAACTAAGCTTTGAGGTGCATCTGGGATATAGGAGTATCCGAGATAAAGGAAGTGACTGAAGGGAACTGCTTGGAGTTTGGAGGAGGAACTGGATTCATGGGAGTAGCTGAGCTTGCAAAGTATCTGGGGCAAGAGAATAACAAGTAGAGTTTGGGGATATCTGAGGTATATGGGATAGCTGGGATCTAGGAGTAGCTGGAGCTGTGGGAGTAGCTTGAGCTCTTGGAGTAGCTGGGTTACGAGGAGAACTTGTATGTATGTATGACTTAACTGGAGACCTGGGGGGAATAACTGAGATAAAAATGTGTGGCCAAAAGGAGTAGTTGGGGCTCAGGAGGCAACTAGGCATGGGGACACAGTCAAATCTGAAGCTTTAGGGTCACAGGCATGGTGGGCAGGGAATATGGAATAGCTGGGGATTCATGGAGCATCAGACAGGGACAGAGTTGGCATTTGGAAGAGGAAGGGTATATGGATTGGCAAGAACATATACAGCAACTGTGGGTTGTGAAGGGCAGAGCTGAAACTTTGGTGTAGTGGACCCTGTAGAGTATCTGGGGACATGGGGAGTAGCTGAGGCAATAGGGCTTGAGGAATAGGTGGGTGTGGACAGTCGCTGAGATGGGATTGTCTGGAATACAGACTAGCCATGGCTTAGAGAGTCTCTGGGTACAGGGAATAGCATGGTTTTGAGAAGTACCTGATGGCCGGGCACCATGGCTCATGTCTGTTAATTCCAGCACTTTGGGAGGCTGAGGTGGGAGGATCGCACGAGCCAAGGAGTTCAAGACGAGCTTGGGCAACATAGCAAGACTCCTGTCTCTACAGAAAATACAAATAAATTAGCCAGACATGGTGGCACTTGCTTGTAGTCCCAGCTACTCGGAAGGCTGAGACAGGAGGATCGCTTGAGCCTAGGTGTTCAAGCCTACAGTGAGCTATGATCACACTGCACTCTAGCCTGGGCCACAGAGCAAGATCCTTTCTGCAGGGAAAAAAGGAGAGAAATACTAGGGTTTACGGACTTTGCTAGACTCAGAAACTCATCACAAGTAGTTGACATGGCTTGGGGAGCAGCTGGGAGCTACTTGAATAGCTGGAGCTCCAGTAAATCTTCTTTCCTTCCCCAGGTTACAATGCCCTCCACCTGGCCGCCAAATACGGGCACCCACAGTGCTTGAAGCAACTACTGCAGGTCATTTACTGTCTTATCTCAGCTACTCCCTTGGCCCCTACTACTCCTGAGTTCCAGCAATTCCTTGAACCCCCAGATGCTCTATGAATCCTAGATATTCCTTGGCCCCTTTTACTCCAGAACCCTAGCTACTCCCTGGATAACCAGGTACTCTCAGACCATCCACATGCTTCTCCTATTTAAGATGTACTCCCAAGCCAGGCGCGGTGGCTCACGCCTGTAATCCCAGCACTTTGGGAGGCTGAGGTCGGTGAAATCGCCTGAGGTCAGGAGTTCGAGACCAGCCTGGCCAACACAGTGAAACCCCGTCTCTACTAAAAATACAAAAAATTAGCTGGGAGCGGTGGTGTGTGCCTGTAATCTCAGCTACTAGGGAGGCTGAGGCAGGAGAATCCCTTGAACTTGGGAGGCGGAGGTTGCAGTGAGCCGAGATCATGCCATTGCACTCCAGCCTGGGCAACAAGAGCGAAACACCATCTAAAATATATATATATACTCCCAATGCCAGGTATTTCCTGAGCTCTGTTTCTCCCCAAGCCCTGGGTCCTTCCTTAGCCCCAGACACTCCCAGAGTTCCCAGCCACTCCTCAAATTCTCAGCTGCTTCTCAGCTCTCAGCTATTTTCTTTTCTCACCAATTTTCATGAAAATGGAGTCCCTTGGGGGCCACGGAAGGGTGAGGCTGAAGTATAGCAGAGCCCAGGGTAGGGAAGGCAGTCCTAGAGAAATCAGGCAGCAAGAAGGATGGCTCCGCCTCAAAGGACTCGCCCCATCCCCAGGCTTCCTGCGTGGTGGACGTCGTGGACAGCAGCGGGTGGACTGCCCTACACCATGCAGGTGGGTGCAGCCCAGCCCTGCCCTGACCCCGAAGCCCAGAGGGTGCTAGACTTGGGGGTTATTCTGCCCAGGGCCCTAGGGACCTGACCTGCTGTGAAGCTTCCTGTCTCCTCCTTTCTTTCTTTCTTTTTTTTTTTTTGAGACGGAGTCTCACTCTGTTGCCCAGGCTGGAGTGCAGTGGCAAGATCTCAGCTCACTGTAACATCCATCTCCCAGGTTCAAGCAATTTTCCTGCCTCAGCCTCCCGAGTAGCTGGGACTAGAGGCACCTGCCACCACACCTGGCTGATGTTTTGTATTTTTAGTAAAGACGGGGTTTCACCATGGTGGCCAGGATGGTCTCGAACTCCTGACCTCAGGTGATCCACCCGCCTTGGCCTCCCAAAGTGCTGGGATTACAGGCGTGAGCCACCGCTCCTGGCCTTCCTTTTCTTTTTATGAGATAGGGTCTTGCTCTGTTGCCCAGGCTGAAGTACAGTGGGGCAATCATGGCTCACTGCATCCTTGACCTCCCGGGTTCAAACGATCCTCCTGCCTCAGACTCCCAAGTAGCTGGGACCACAGGCGTGCACCACCATGCCTGGCTAATATTTTAAATTTATTTGTAGATACAGGATCTTGCTATGTTGCCCAGGCTGATCTCAAACTCCTGGGCTCAAATGATCCTCCCACCTCGGCCACTCAAAGTGCTGGAATTACAGGCGTGAGCCACCTCACCTAGCCTCCTCCTTTTTTTCTTGACATAGAATCTCCCTCTGTCGCCCAGGGTGGAGTGCAATGGCGCAATCTTGGCTCACTGCAACCTCCACCTCCCAGGTTCAAGCAATTCTCCTGCCTTAGCCTCCTGAGTAGCTGGGACTACAGACCTATGCCACAACACCCACCTAAAATTTTTTTGTATTTTTAGTAGAGATGGGGTTTCACCATGTTGGCCAGGCTCATCTCGAACTCCTGACCTCAGGTGATCTGCCCGCCTCGGCCTCCCAAAGTGCTGGGATTACAGGCGTGAGCCACCGTGCCGGCCCTTCTCCCTTTTTTTTTTTTTTTTTTTTTTTTGAGGTGGAGTCTCGCTCTGTCACCCAGGCTGGAGTGCAGTGGCGTGATCTCGGCTCACTGCAAGCTCCGCCTCCCGGGTCCACGCCATTCTCCTGCCTCAGCCTCCCGAGTAGCGGGGACTACAGGCGCCTGCCACCATGCCCGGCTAATTTTTTTGTATTTTTTAGTAGAGACGGGGTTTCACTGTGTTAGCCAGGATGGTCTTGATCTCCTGACCTCGTGATCCGCCTGCTCGGCCTCCCAAAGTGCTGGGATTACAGGCGTGAGCCACCGTGCCGGCCCTTCTCCTTTTTTATTACCTACTGTGTGCCAGGCACTGGAGCCCATCATAAATCCCGGTTACCCTTTGAACCACAGGCTATTAGCCCATTGCACAGATGAGGCTTGATGAGGCTTAATGAGGCTGTCACTTGTCCGCAGCAGGTAAATCGTAGGGAATCCAGGTCGTCTGACCTCAAGGAGCAGTCGAATGTACTCCTGGGCTTTGTGAGGATGAGGAGAGGTCCCTAGGGTTTAATTTCCTTTGTGGAGCCCCTAGGAGATACCAGGAAAACCATAGCTCCAGGCAGCTGGTACCCTCATAATCACCTAATCCAAACTCCTTCCCAGAGGGAGGGAAAGGGACCCACCGACTTGAACCAGAACTCAGCCCCCGACCTGTCCGCTGTCCCCGTGAAATTCAGGCATGGCTTTCGCTGACGACTCAAGAAACATCTGTTCTTTCGGAAACTCAGAATAAAATAGGGCTTTGGGGGTTTTAGTCACTGGGTGAGAATTCTCTGCAGTTGGAGTATGCTGCCACCTAGTGGCGGCAATGCTTCTGGTCACAATATAGGAGTCCGTTGGTTTTTGTCACTCAACAGTTAACTGAGCACTCTGGGAGGCCCAGGCGGGCAGATTAGCAGAGGTCAGGAGTTCGAGAATAGCCTGGCCAACATGGTGAAACCCTGTCTCTACTAATAATAAAAAATTAAGGCCGGGTGCAGTGGCTCACGCCTATAATCCCAGCACTTTGGGAGCCTGAGGCGGGCGGATCATGAGGTCAGGAGATCAAGACCATCCTGGCCAACACGGTGAAACCCTGTCTCTACTAAACAATGCAAAAAATTAGCCAGGCATGGAGGCATGTGCCTGTAATCCCAGCTACTCGGGAGGCTGAGGCAGGAGAATTGCTTAAACCCGGGGAGTGGAGGTTGCATAGAGCCGAGATCATGCCCCTGCACAGCCCGGGCAACAGAGCGAGACCCCATCTCAAAAAAACCAACCAACCAACAACAACAACAAACAGTTATTGAGTACCTACTGTGTGTCAGGCACCGTTCTACGTGTTGTAGATAAGGTTTGCAGCAATCAAAACCTCATACTGCCTCAGACATACAGCAGGTATTCAAACAGAGTTTGTTGACTGAAAAATGGATTTTTGTGCTTAATCAGACTGGATGTCAACCTGCTGGAATTCATACCCAGGGATTCCAGAGACCATGCCCTTGTGTCAGCTGCACAGCCTCCTGGGGAGCCTCCCTGTTTCCACTCTGGTCCTGGGCAAATGGCAGTAGGAGGGATCTCTTAAAATATAAATAGACAGGCCAGGCACAGTGGTGCACGCCTGTAATCCTAGCACTATGGGAGTCAGAGGTGGGAGGATTGCTTGAGCCCAGGAGTTTGAGACCAGCCTGGGCAACATGGCAAAACCCCATCTCTACTAAAAATATAAAAATTAGCCAGGCGTGATGGCTCATGCCTATAATCCCAGCTACTCGGGAGGCTGAGGCAGGAGAATCGCTGGAACCGGGGAGGCGGAGGTTGCAGTGAGCCAAGATCACACCCCTGCACTCCAGCGTGGGTGCAGAGGGAGACTCCATCTCAAAAAATAAAAATAGGTCGGGTGCGGTGGCTCACGCCTGTAATCCCAGCACTTTGGGAGGCCGAGGCGGGTGGATCACGAGCTCAGGCAATCGAGACCATCCTGGCTAACACGGTGAAACCCCGTCTCTACTAAAAATACAAAAAATTAGCCGGGTGTGGTGGCGGGCGCCTGTAGTCCCAGCTACTCGGGAGGCTGAGGCAGGAGAATGGCATGAACCCGGGAGGTGGAGGTTGCAGTGAGCCGAGATCGGGCCACTGCACTCCAGCCTGGGTGACCAGAGCAAGACTCCGTCTCAAAAATAAATAAATAAATAAATAAATAAATAAATAAATAAAATTAAATAAATACATAAACACATAAACGGGGCCGGGCATGGTGGCTGCAGCCTATAATCCCAGCACTTTGGGAGCCAGAGGCAGGAGGATTGCTTGAACCTAGGAGTTTGAGACCAGCCTGGGCAATATAGTGACATTCCATTTCCATAAAAAATTAAAAAAAAGAATTAGCCAGGAGTGGTGGTGCACGCCTACAGTCCCGGCGGCAGATTGCTTGAGCCCAGGAGTTCAAGAAAAGCCTGGGCAACGTAGCAAGACCCTGTCTCTAAAAAAATAAAATAATATAATATAAAATAAAATAAAAATTAGCCAGGCACGGTTGCACATGCCTTGTAGTGTGGGTCTCATTCCTGTAATCCCAGCCCCTTGGGAGGCCGAGGCAGGAGGATCACTTGAGCCCAGGAGTTCGGGACCAGTCTGGGCAACACAGCGAGACCCCGTCTCTACAAAAAGTATAGGGAACCACAGTGCTTGGGACTGGCAGTCGGCAGACCTAGATCCTAGATCTGACTCTGCCTCTTACCCCAGTGGGTGACCACTGGCCTGGTTGGGCCTCAGTTGCTGCATCTGTAAAATGCAAAACTTGCCTTTGTTACAAATTCCTCAGGGCACATGGGAATTTCTCATGAAATAAAGGAGCAGGGTCACACCCAGGCAGAAAGTGCCCAGAAAATGTCGAAGTCTCACCCTACCCCTACTCTTCCCCCTTTTGTTTGTCTTCCTTTCTTTTCTTGGTTTTTGAGACAAGATCTCACTCTGTCACCCAGGCTGGTTTGCAGTGGTGCCATCATGGTTCACTGCAGCCTTGAACTCCTGAGCTCAAGCGGTCCTCCCGCTTCAGCTGGGGACTCCCTAGTAGCTGGGGCCACAGACACACACCACCACACCCAGATAATGTTTGCTTTTTTTTTTTTTTTTTTGTAGAGACAGGGTCTCACTGTGTTGGCCCAGGTTGGTCTCAAACTCCAGAACTCAAGCGAACCTCCTGCCTTGGCCTCCCAAGGTGCTGGGATTACAGGGTTGAGCTACCGCACCGGACAACCTTTTCTCTTTTGCAGCGGCTGGTGGCTGTCTCTCCTGCTCAGAGGTGCTCTGCTCCTTTAAGGCACATCTAAACCCCCAAGATCGGGTAAGCTTCTGGGATCTCTTCAGGGAAGATGTTATGCTTGAGGTATGCTGCCACCAAGTGGCAGTATCTCAGGCACCCTTTGAAAGTCTGAGAAAGTTTGAGGTGAAACTCAAGGGCAGTTATATAGGCTTCTGCACCTCCCGGGGGTCAGTTTCTCATGCCATCGCATCCCTCCTCCTCCCTACCAGTCAGGCGCAACACCCCTCATTATAGCAGCTCAGATGTGTCACACAGACCTGTGCCGTCTCCTACTGCAGCAAGGGGCTGCCGCGAACGATCAGGACCTGCAAGGCAGGTGAGCATCTCCCCTCCCAGCCAGTCCACCCTATGCTGTGTGACCTTCGGCAAGACTTAACCTAAGTAAGACGATCTAGCCAGCCTCCTCTTCCCAGCCTGGCCTGGGTGCTGAGGTGGGCATGGGGGCTTGGGGGATGTTCTCATCTCCTCAGTAGCCCCCTCCCCTGGTAGGACGGCCCTGATGCTGGCCTGTGAGGGGGCCAGCCCCGAAACAGTGGAGGTCCTGCTGCAGGGCGGAGCCCAGCCGGGCATCACCGATGCGCTGGGGCAGGACGCGGCTCACTATGGCGCCCTGGCGGGGGACAAACTCATCCTGCACCTTCTGCAAGAGGCGGCCCAGCGCCCCTCCCCACCCAGCGGTATGCAAGCCCCACCTCCCCAATGCATTTGCTTCTTGGCAGCTTCTTGTCACTCCCCTTCTCTTTATCGTGAATAGTTTCAAGGTACCCCCGATTGGCTGCATTCTAGGAGGTCCTAGAGCTTACCCAATTCTACTCAGAACAGTTTCAAGGAGCCCCAGGGCATTTAGAGTAGTCTGGGAGGGGGTCTGCTTCTGCTTTCCTGGGTCATCTGTACAGTAAGAACTTTGCCTGTCCTAAGAAGGGCACCCCCTGCTGGGCAAGGTGGCTCATGCCTGTAATCCCAGCACTTTGGGAGGCCGAGGTGGGCGAATCACTTGAGGTCAGGGGTTCAAGACCAGCTTGACCAACATGGTGAAACCCTGTCTCCACTAAAAATACAAAAATTAGCTAGACGTGGTTCAAGCAATTCTCCTGCCTCACCTTCCAGAGTAGCTGGAACTCCAGGTGCCTGCCGCCTAAGTCCCTCACGCCTGGCTAATTTTTGTATTTTTAGTGGAGTCGGGGTTTCGCCACGTTGGCCAGGCTGGTCTCAAACTCCTGAACTCAGGTGATTCACCCGCCTTGGCCTCCCAGAATGCTAGGATTACAGGCATGAGTCACCCCATCCAGCCTATCCTCTCTTTTTAACAGTCCCAAGTCCCTCTCTCAGCACTCTACCCAAGCGCCAGATTTCTACCTTAAACGCCCTGATTCTTGGGGAAATCGGGAGCCCCCTACAAGTCCCTGGGGCCCACCAATGCCCTTCCTGGGCCTGGGAACAGAATGCCTGACCCTGCTTCCCTCTCTCCCCAGCCCTCACAGAGGATGATTCAGGCGAGGCGTCATCTCAGGTATGGACCCCTAAGCAGTGAAGGAGCCCCTCCTCCCTGCATCCACACTAACTTCTCCCCTGCCCCAAGCTCTGTGAGAAGAGAAGGAAGTTAGACCTGGGAAAACCTGTTTGGAAAGAATGCTACCTTCAGGGTATGCTGCCACCAAGTGGCGGCAGTGTGCTCAGCCTAACTCCCAGAACTGGGTGAGAATACTGGATGGGGCCAAATTATGGGGCTGGGGTGGGAGGGCAGTGGGGACTGAGGTTGTTGAGGGTTGGTGTCTTCGGGGAAGGAAGCAGATCTGGCCTCTTCCCCTCTTTCAGTTTTTTTGTGTTTTTTTTCCCCGAGGTGGAGTCTCACTCTGTCGCCCAGGCTGGAGTACAGTGGCTCGATCTTGGCTCACTGCAACCTTCACCCCCTGGGTTCAAGCGATTCTCCTGCCTCAGCCTCCCTAGTAGCTGGGATTACAGGCACCCACCACAACTGGCTAATTTTTGTATTTTTAGTAGAGATGGGGTTTCACCCTGTTGGCCAGGCTGGTCTCAAACTCCTGGCCTCAAGTGACCCACCCGCCTCGGCCTCCCAAAGTGCTGGGATTACAGGCATGAGCCACTGAGCGCGACCCCTCTCCTAGTTTTTTTTTTTTGTTGTTGTTGTTGTTTGTTTGTTTTGTTTATTTTTTGAGAGATGGAGTCTCGCCCTGTCACCCAGGCTGGAGTGCAATGGCGTGATCTTGGCTCACTGCAACCTCTGCCTCCCAGGTTCAAGTGATTCTCCTGCCTCAGTTTCCCTAGTAGCTGGGACTACAGGCGTGCGCCACCATGCCCAGCTAATTTTTTGTATTTTTAGTAGGGTCGGGGTTTCACTCTGTGTTGTCCAGGCTGCTCTCGAACTCCTGACCTCAAGTGATCACCCACCTTGGCCTCCCAAAGTGCTGGGATTACAGGTGTGAGCCACCGCGCTGGCCCCTCTCCCAGTTTTAAAGCATCTCTGTTCCACAGAGGAGTGAAAACGTGTGGGCAATGTGGTCTAGCTGGGGAAAGAACTGAGAGACAGAGAGGAGCAGAGAGTAAAGAGTAAGATCTGGAACTTACAGGGAGTTGGTCTTGTCTGCGCTTTGCTGGGATAAGTAAGCGGCAGGAGGCAGGGGCTGCTGGTTCCATGTTCTCAGGAAGTCAGGCCATGGCTGGGGCTGGCTGGGTTGGTTTACTGTGGGGGAGGCTGGCATGGCCCCCCGATCGGCCCCCTTCACTCTCTCTCCCCTCCCTTCCCAGAACTCTATGTCCAGCCATGGAAAGCAGGGGGCCCCCAAGAAGCGGAAGGCGCCTCCACCTCCCGCCAGCATTCCCATGCCGGTGAGAGATGCTCTGGGCACGGGAGGAGGCATGGGGAGCCCCCAGGCACGGGGAGGGGCTCTGGCTGAGACCTGGGATGGGGCAACCTTAGGCCCCATCTAAAGGCCGTGGTGGGGAGGGGAACAGGATGATCGAGATGCCTATGAGGAGATCGTGAGGCTGCGGCAGGAGAGGGGCCGCCTCCTGCAGAAGATCCGGGGCCTGGAACAGCACAAGGAACGGAGGCAGCAGGAGGTTAGGAGGCCTCGGAGATTTGGGCGTGGGCCAGCCTGGGTGGGGTCAATGCAGGCATGAAGATCCCCCTACTTTTCTCCCACCTTCCCTCCTCCATCTCTCTCCCTCCCCACCCTGCTGCAGCCACCTGGGCCTCCTCGCTGTTCCTCCAACTCGCCAGGCGCAGTCCTGCCTCAGGGCCTTTGCACCACCAGTGTCCTCTGCCTGGAATGCTCTAGCGCAGTCCTGCCTCAGGGCCTTTGCACCACCTGTGTCCTCTGCCTGGAATGCTCTAGCCCCAGATGGCCCCACAGCTCTTTACCTCACCTACTTTATGCAGTAGGCTCCTCGCCAAAGACACTTCCCATGCCCACTTCCCATGCCCACTTCCCATGCCCACTTTCTTCAAAATTGTAACATCACCCCCCACCACCCCCCCGGCCAACTCGCTAGTTCACTTTATTTTTTTTTTATTTATTTTTGGTTTTGTTTTGTTTTTGAGACGGAGTCTCGCTCTTGTTGCCCAGGCTAGAATGCAATGGTACGATCTCGGCTTATTGCCACCTCCGCCTCCCGGGTTCAAGCGATTCTCCTGCCTCAGTCTCCCAAGCAGCTGGGATTACAGGCGCCCACCACCACATCCAGCTAGTTTTGTATTTTTAGTAGAGACGGGGTTTCAGCACATTGGCCAGGCTGGTCTCTAACTCCTGACCTCAGGTGATCCTCCCGCCGCGGCCTCCTAAAGTGCTGGGATTGCAGGTGTGAGCCACCGCACCCGGCCTCTTTATCTCCATTTGCATCACTTGCTGCTATTGGGCATGCATCTGTTTTATGTGTGTCCACCCATTTGACTGTGAGCCTGCGAGGGCAGGCATGGCTGATGGTGCCTGGGTCACAGTATGGGCGTCGTCAATATTGATTGGGTGAGTGAATATTCAAGTGAGTGTATGAATGAATGGCCAAAACCAGGTCTGCCCCATAAGAGGCACCCAGTAAAAACTTTCTGGCTGGGCACGGTGGCTCACACCTGTAATCCCAGCACTTTGGGAGGTTGAGGTGGGCAGATCACTTGAGGTCAGGAGTTCGAGACCAGCCTGGCCAACATAGTGAAACCCTGTCTCTACTAAAAATACAAAAAAAAAATTAGCTGGGCATGGTGGCAGGGGCCTGTAATTCCAGCTACTTGGGAGGCTGAGGCAGGAGAATTGCTTGAACCCGGGAGGCAGAGGTTGCAGTGAGCCAAGATCACACCACTGCACTCCAGCCTGGGTGACAGAGCAAGACTCCATCTCAACAACAACAACCACAACAACAACAAACAAAAACAATCTTGTTGAGTGAATGAGTGGATGGAACGGTGCCTGGCATACAGCAGGTGCTTAATAAGTACATAGTAATTGTCCAGAATGGTGCATACTGGCACACACAGCAGGCACTTAATAAATACTTAGAAATGAATGACTGGTCAGAATGGTGCATGCTGGCACACAGTAGGTGCTCAATAAATACTGAGTGACAGGTCAGAACAATAGCTGGCACAAAGTAGGCACCTAATAAATAGGAATGAGGCCGGGCGCGGTGGCTCATGCCTGTAATCCCAGCATTTTGGGAGGCTGAGACAGGCGGATCACGAGGTCAGCAGATCGAGACCATCCTGGCTAACACCGTGAAACCCCGTCTCTACTAAAAATACAAAAAATTAGCCGGGCCTGTTGGCGGGCGCCTGTAGTCCCAGCTACTTAGGAGGCTGAGGCAGGAGGATGGCGTGAGCCCAAGAGACGCAGCTTGCAGTGAGCCGAGATCACACCACTGCACTCCAGCCTGGGGGACAGAGTGAGATTCCATCTCAAAAAAAAAGATAAATAAATAAATAAATAGGAATGAATGAGGCTCAACATACAGCAGGTGCTCAATAAATATTTAGTAATGAGTGAGCAGGCAGAATGGTGCCTGGTACACAGCAGGCACTCAATAGTAATGAGTGAGCGGGCAGAATTCAGTAGGTGCTGAATAGTTGCACGTGGAATGCGTGAATGTGCATGGAATGGAGGCTATGAAGCAGGAGGTGGGGCAGGGAGGCCTCTTGCCCAGATCCAAACCCCTGTCCCTGTTTCTCCCGTCAGTCCCCGGAGGCCAGCTCCCTGCACATCCTGGAGAGACAGGTAGGTGGGAAGGTGGGGAGGAGCCGGTCCTCCTGCTGCCCAGCCTTTCCTCCCAGAGGCAGCTGAGCCTCCACTGCTGCTCCCAGGTGCAAGAGCTACAGCAGTTGCTGGTGGAGAGACAAGAGGAGAAGGAGAGCCTGGGACGGGAGGTGGAGAGTTTGCAGAGCCGGCTGTCCCTGCTGGAGGTAGGAGCAGTGATGAGTCAGGGCTGGGCTGGGGCTGGGTCGGGGAACTTCTCTCCTACAGCAGCGACAAGACAGTCACACCAGTGCATGCACAGCCTCACACACGTGCAAACACACGCACCAGACACATGCACCCACAAACCCACAGTCTTGGCTGGGTGCGAGGGCTTACGCCTGTCATCCCAGCACTTTGGGAGGCCGAGGCGGGCGGATCACGAGGTCAGGAGATCGAGACTGTCCTGGCCAACATGGTGAAACCCCGTCTCTACTACAAATACAAAAATTAGCTGAGTGTGGTGGTGCGCGCCTGTAGTCCCAGCTACTCTTAAGGCTGAGGCAGGAGAATCACTTGAACCCGGGAGGCGTAGTCTGCAGTGAGCTGAGGTCGCACCACTGCACTCCAGCCTGGGTGACAGAGCGAGACTCAGTCTCAAACAAACAAACAGTCCCACAGTCACATGCACCCATGCACATTTACAAATGTGCACAGACACAGAAAGGACCTTCCTTTCTTCCCCTTCTCCTTCCTTCCTTCCCTCCCTCCTTCCTTCCTTTCCTTCTTTCCTTTCCTTCCTTCCTTCCCTCCTTCCTTCCTTTCTTTCCTTCCTTCCCTCCCTCCCTCCTTCCCTTCCTTCCTTTCCTTCCTTCCTTCGTTTTCCTTCCCTTCTTTCTTCCTTTCCTTCTTCCTTCCCTTCCTTCTTTCTTCCTTTCCTTTCCTTTTCCTTCCTTTCTTCTCTCTTTCCTTCTATCCTTCCTTCTTTTTTTTTTTTTTTTTTGGACAGAGTCTCGCTCTGTCACCCAGGCTGGGATGCAATGGTGTGATCTCGGTTCACGGCAACCTCTGCCTCCCTGGTTCAAGCGATTCTCCTGCCTCAGCCTTCCAAGTAGCTGGGTCTACAGCTGCACGTCACCATGTCCAGCTAATTTTTGTATTTTTTGGGGAGTGGGGAGGATGGAGTTTCACTCTTGTTGCCCAGGCTGGAGTGCAGTGGTGCAATCTCAGCTCGCTGCAACCTCCGCCTCCCTGGTTCAAGTGATACTCCTGCCTACCGCAGCCTCCCGAGTAGCTGGGATTACAGGCGCACACCATCACACCCGGCTAATTTTTGTATTTGTAGTAGAAATGGGGTTTCACCATGTTGGCCAGGCTGGTCTTGAACTCCTGACCTCAGGTGAACCGCCTGCCTTGGCCTCCCAAAGTGCTGGGATTACAGGTATGAGCCACCACACTCAGACCCAGAAAGGAGTTTTCTCTAAGCATACGCATCCATGCAGGGATGGATAACCACTCTCTATGCACGTGGCGGAGCATGGTTAACAGCAGGCACACCCACAAACACACAGTTTACAGACACGCAAGAAACAACGTCCAAGAACACATCATCACACACGCATGCATTGCACGTGCACCCGTCTTGTGCAGTCACACACAGACAACATGCCCACAAATACATACACATGCAACAAATATTTCTTTTTTTTTTTTGAGACAGGGTCTTGTTCTGTTGTCCAGGCTGGAGTGCGGTGGCACGATCATGGCTCACTGCAGCCTTGACTTTCCCGGCCTCAAGCAATCCTCTCACCTCAGCCTCCCGAGTAGCTGGGACCACAGGCATGTGCCACCACACCTGGCTAATTTTTTTCTTTTTGGAGAGATGGGGACTCACTATGTTCCCCAGTCTGGTCTCGAACTCCTGGCCTCAAGTAATCCTCCCATCTTACAGGTATAAGCCACCAAGCCCCACCAGTATTTCTGAAAACACACAATTATGCAAACATGTATACATATAGAAAACCATACACACAAACACAGAGATCCACAGGCACATTCAAAACACAACCACACATACACCAGACTAAAACTCAAGCATGAAGCCGGAAACGGTGGCTCACGCCTGTAATCTCAGCACTTTGGGAGCCTGAGGCGAGTGGATCACCTGAGGTCAGGAGTTTGAGACTAGCCTGGCCAACATGGGGAAACCCCATCTCTACTAAAAATACAAAAATTAGCCGGGTGTGCTGGCGAGCTCCTGTAATCCCAGCTACTCGGGAGGCTAAGGCAGGAGAATCGCTTGAACTCAGGAGGCGGAGGTTGCAGTGAGCCAAGATCACGCCACTGCACTCCAGCCTGGGCGACAGAGCGAGACTCTCTCAAAACAAATCAACAAAAAGTCATGCATGTAATCTCACATAGTCACAGGAAGGGAGGGGCCCCCAACCCACAACACTATACCCACACGTATGGTCACAAAGACACACCTCCAGCCAGCTCTTTGCATGCCAAATGGATACTGTCGCATCCACTCTCATGCAGACAAACACACCCACAGGTAACCACAGCCTGCCCCGAGTCCCCTCACCCAGGAGGGAAACGCCCATGGCACATAGGCCAGGAAGCTGGGGGATGCTGGCATACACCATGCATCTGATAAGGAGTTAATAACCAAAATATGTAAGGAATTAATGCAACTCAATACCCAAAAAACAACCTAGTTTTAAAAATGGGGGCAGGCTCGGTGGCTCACGCCTGTAATCCCACCACTTTGGGAGGCCAAGGCGGGTGGATCACCTGAGGTCAGGAGTCCGAGACCAGCCTGGCCAACGTGGTGAAACCACGTGTCACTAAAAATACAAAAATTAGCCAGGCGTGGTGGTACATGCCTGTAATCCCAGCTACTCTGGAGGTTGAGGCGGGAGAATCACTTGAATCTGGGAGGCGAAGGTTACAGTGAGCCGAGATCGTGCCATGGCACTCCAGCCTGGGGGCAAAAAAAAAAAAAAAATAGGGCCAGGCACAGTGGCTCATGCCTGTCATCCCAACACTTTGGGAGACTGAGGCAGGAGGATCGCTTGAACCCAGGAGTTCGAGACTAGCCTGGGCGACGTGACGAGACCGCATCTCTGAAAAAAAAAAAAAAAATTAAAAATTAGCCAAGTATGGTGTTGCACACCTGTAGTCCCAGCTGCTTGGAAGGCTGAGGTGGGAGGATTGTTTGAGCCCAGAGGTTGGAGGCTGCAGTGAACTATGATCGCACCACTGCACTCCAGCCTGGGTGACAGAGTAAGACCCTGGCTCCAAAAAAAAAAAAAGTGGCACGGGGAGTGGGTGGCAAAGGACATGGAAGGTGCTCACTAAATCCTTGTGGGCCAAATGCAGCCATCTGGTGCTCGTGGGAGACATACAGGTATGTGAACAGCCCAGTCCCCACTGGAGTCTTGGTGGGGACACACGGGGGCTGAGAGCAGAACCCCGAGCTGGACTCTGCTCCCTCCCCCCAGAACGAGCGGGAGAATACTAGCTATGACGTAACCACCCTGCAGGATGAGGAGGGTGAGCTGCCTGACCTTCCAGGTGAGCCCCCACCTCCCCACGCACTCCCAGCCGCCTTGTCCCCTGGGGCCCTGGAAGACGGAGCCTCTGGGTGTGGGGGAGTTTGAAGCTGGGAGGGAGGTTTGTACTCATCCGTTTTTTAAATTCTGCTTGGCTGAGCCTGCCCTGGGAACCCTGATCCACCACTCCAGCCCCCCACCTCCTGTCCCCCTGTGGCCCAGGTCCCCAGGGCCTGACTCTGCGTCCCCCTCCAGGGGCCGAGGTGCTGCTGTCCAGACAACTCAGTCCGTCGGCCCAGGAACACCTGGCCTCGCTGCAGGAACAGGTGGCTGTGCTCACCAGACAGAACCAGGAACTGATGGAGAAGGTCCAGGTAGGGAAAGTGAGGCTGGGGACAGATCTGAGGACCTAGGGCTGGTTCCCTGAGGTCAGGGTGGGCAGGGAAGGTGGCAAGGCTGCCCTGTGTCCCCACGGTCACATCAACTCCTGCCAGACTCCTGCCCCCCACTCCACTCCCCAGATCCTGGAGAACTTTGAGAAGGACGAGACACAGATGGAAGTGGAAGCTTTGGCAGAGGTCATCCCTCTTGCCCTCTATGACTCTCTCCGGGCCGAGTTTGACCAGCTACGCAGGCAGCACGCTGAGGCCCTGCAGGCCCTGAGGCAGCAGGAGACACGAGAGGTCCCCAGAGAAGAGGGGGCAGCCTGTGGGGAGAGTGAGGTTGCTGGAGCCACGGCCACCAAAAACGGGCCAACCCACATGGAGCTAAATGGCTCAGTGGCTCCAGAAACCAAAGTTAACGGAGCCGAGACCATAGATGAGGAGGCTGCAGGAGATGAAACCATGGAAGCCAGGACTATGGAAGCTGAGGCCACGGGAGCCGAGGCCACGGGAGCTGAGGCCACAGGAGCCAAGGTCACAGAAACAAAACCCACAGGGGCTGAGGTCAGAGAAATGGAGACCACAGAAGAAGAAGCAAACATGGAAACTAAGCCCACAGGAGCTCAGGCCACAGACACAGAGACCACGGGAGTGGAGGCCATGGGGGTGGAGGCCACAAAAACAAAAGCAGAGGAAGCAGAAATGCAGGCCTACGGAGTGGGTGCTGGGCAAGCAGAGCCCCCAGTCACAGGGACCACAAACATGGAGGCCACGGGCTCTAGGGCCACAGGGATGGAATCCACAGGAGTCAGTGCCACAGGTGTGGAGAACCCAGGGGTAGAGGCCACGGTCCCGGGGATCTCTGCTGGCCCCATCCTACATCCTGGTGCCGCAGAGGCCTCGGAAAAGCTTCAAGTAGAGCTGGAGACCAGGATCCGTGGCTTGGAGGAGGCTCTCCGGCAGCGGGAGCGGGAGGCAGCTGCGGAGCTGGAGGCGGCCCTGGGGAAGTGCGAGGCCGCGGAGGCCGAGGCAGGCCGGCTGCGAGAGCGTGTCCGCGAGGCCGAGGGCAGCGGGGCCAGCGGGGGCGGTGGCGGTGACACCACACAGCTGCGGGCGGCCCTGGAGCAGGCCCGGGAGGACCTCCGAGACCGGGACTCCCGCCTGCGGGAGCTGGAGGCGGCCTCGGCCTGCCTGGATGAGGCTCGGGCCAGCCGGCTGCTGGCGGAGGAGGAGGCGCGGGGCCTGCGGGCCGAGCTGGCCCAGCGGGAGGAGGCGCGGCTGGAGCAGAGCCGGGAGCTGGAGGTTCTGCGGGAGCAGCTGGCCACGGCCAGGGCCACGGGGGAGCAGCAGCGCACGGCGGCCGCGGAACTGGGCCGGGCACGGGACGCCGCTGAGGCCCGAGTGGCTGAGCTGCCTGCGGCCTGCGAGGAGGCGCGGCAGGGCCTGGCCGAGCTGCGGGAGGCCTCCGAGGCCCTCCGCCAGTCCGTGGTGCCGGCCTCTGAGCACCGCCGGCTGCAGGAGGAGGCCCTGGAGCTGCGGGGCCGGGCAGCCAGTCTGGAGCAGGAGGTGGTGGCCACGGGCAAGGAGGCCGCCCGGCTGCGCGCGGAGCTGGAGCGGGAGCGTGTGTGCAGCGTGGCGCTCTCGGAGCACGAACGCATCGTGGGCACCCTGCAGGCCAACGTGGCCCAGCTGGAGGGGCAGCTGGAGGAGCTGGGACGGCGGCATGAGAAGACCAGCGCAGAGGTCTTCCAGGTGAGCAGGGCTGGTCACCACCCGGGCCCCACCCCCATTGGCCACGTGGCGGCCTGTTTTAGCCCCGCAGCCTTGAGGTGTTTTGAACCCATCAGTTTTACTTGAACAGACCTACTTTATTTTATTTATTTATTTATTTATTTATTTATTTTTGAGATGGAGTTTCACTCGTGTCGCCCAGGCTGGAGTGTAGTGGTGTGATCTCAGCTCACTGCAACCTCCTCTTTCCCGGTTCAAGTGATTCTCCTGCCTCAGCCTCCGGAGTAGCTGGAATTACAGGCACCTGCCCCCACGCCCAGCTAACTTTTGTATTTTTAGTAGAGATGGGAGTTCACCGTGTTGGCCAGGCTGGTCTTGAACTCCTGACCTCAGGTGATCCACCCACCTCAGCCTCTCAAAGTGCTGGGATTATGGGCATCAGCCTCCGCACCTGGCCTTGAACAGACATTTGACCCTGCAGCCATCCTGACCTCTTGGAATTTTCCACTTGTGTTTTCTCTCTTTCTTTCTCTTTATTTCTCCTTCCTTCCTCTCTCTTTCCTTTCTTTCTTCATCCCCCTTCCCTCCCCCCTTCCCCTTCCCTTCCTTTCTTTTTTTTTTTTTTTCAGACAGGGTGTGGCTCTGTCTGAAAAGTCACCCAGTCACCCAGGCTGGAGTGCAGTGGCACAATCATAGCTCACTGCAACCTCCACCTCCTGGGCTCAAGTAATCCTCCCACCTCAGCCTCCCAAGTAGCTGGTACCACAGGTGTGCACCACCATGCTCGTCTAACTTTTTAATTTTTTGTAAAGACAGGGTTTTGCCATGTTGCCCACGCTGGTCTCAAACACCTGAGCTCATGGCCGGGCACCGTGGCTCACGCCTGTAATCCCAGCACTTTGGGAGGCCAAGGTGAGTGGATCACCTGAGGTCACAAGTTCGAGACCAGCCTGGACAACATCGTGAAACCCCGTCTCTACTAAAAATACAAAAATTAGGTTGGCATTGTGGCACGTGCCTGTAATCCCAGCTACTGGGGAGGCTGAGGCAGGAGAATCGCTTGAACCCGGGAAGTGGAGGTTGCAGTGAGCTGAGATTACACCACTGCACTCCAGCCTAGGCGACAGAGCAAGACTCTGTCTCAAAAAAAAACAAAAACAAAACAAAAACAAGCAAATAGTAGCCAGGCATGGTGGCACCTGTGGTCCCAGCTACTTGGAAGGCCGAGGTGGGAGGATCACTTAAGCCTGAAAGATTGAGGCTACAGTGAGCCATGATCGCACCACCGCACTCCAGCCAGGAGTGCAGGTCCGGAGCAACAGAGCAAGACCCTGTCTTAAAAAAAATCCAAAAACAAAAGAACAAAGTAGAAGGATCATATGAATTCTGGGGTCTAGCATCATTGGAGTCTTAGTGTCCTGAGAGTCATGCGTGGGCTTGGGCCACAGGTGCAGCGTGAGGCCCTGTTCATGAAGAGTGAGCGACACGCAGCCGAGGCACAGCTGGCCACAGCAGAGCAGCAGCTACGGGGGCTACGGACCGAGGCGGAAAGGGCTCGCCAGGCCCAGAGCCGGGCCCAGGAGGCTCTGGACAAGGCCAAGGAGAAGGACAAGAAGGTGGGTGCCCCCTCTCCCACACTCAGTCAGGGAGGCATCCACTCAGCAAAGGTTGGGGCCAATCTACGAAGGTCCTCACTGCAAGGGCCTTGGAAAATCAACCCATTTTCCAGAAGGGAAACTGAGGCTCAGAAACGGAAGGGGACCTGGTTACAGCCTCTGACAAGTCAGACACACACAGGCTGCTGTTCCAGGTACCAATTATAACCACAGTTACATTTATTTTATTTTTTTACTTGAGACGGAGTCTCGCTCTGTCGCCCAGGCTGGAGTGCAGTGGCATGATCTCGGCTCACTGCAACCTCTGGGTTCAAGCAATTCTCGTGCCTCAGCCTCCCGAGCAGCTGGGATTACAGGCATGCGACACCACACCCAGCTAATTTTTTATATTTTTAGTAGAGATGGGGTTTCGTCACGTTGGCCAGGCTGGTCTCGAACTCCTGAGCTCAAGTGATCCGCCTGCCTCAGCCCCCAAAAGGGCTGGGGTTACAGGCGTGAGCCACTGCGTCTGTCTCCACAGTTACATTTATTGAGTGCTTACTGCATGCCAGGCCCTGTGGACTGGATGCATTTAGTCACATCCAGTTCTCACAGGATAGGGGCTTTTATTATCCCCATTTGAGGAAACAGAAGCACAGAGAGGTGAAGTCACTTGCCTAAGGTCACACAGCCATGCAGTCTTTCAGCTGGGTTTGTACCCACGTTCCCACGTTTCGTTCCTAAACAATACTAATGATGATAACAACAGCCTCCAGGTGTTAGATTGGGAATTTTTCACACATTACCTTTTTTTATTGTTGTTTTGTTTTTTTCTGAGGCAGAGTCTTGCTCTGTCACCCAGACTGGAGTGCAGTGGCGTGATCTTGGCTCACTGTAAACTCTGCCTCCCGGGTTCACGCCATTCTCCTGCCTCAGCCTCCCGAGTAGCTGGGACTACAGGCGCCTGCCACCACGCCCGGCTAATTTTTTTGTATTTTTAGCAGAGATGGGGTTTCACCATGTTAGCTGGGATGGTCTCAATCTCCTGACCTCGTGATCCGCCTGCCTCGGCCTCCCAGAGTGCTGGGATTACAGGCGTGAGTCACCGCGACCGGCCTCACACATTACCATTTTTAATCTTCCTGCAACGCTAAAAGCCAGAAAGCTTTTTTTTTTTTTGGCAGAGTCTCACTTTGTCACCCAGGCTGGAGTGCAGTGGTGCAATCTCAGATCATTGCAGCTTCGACCTCCTGGGTTCAAGCGATCTTCCTGCCTCAGCCTCCTGAGTAGCCAGGACTACAGGTTACAGGTGTGTGCCATCATGCCTGGCTAATTTTTTTGTTTCTTTCTTTTTTTTTTGAGAGAAAGTTTCACTCTGTCGCTCAGGGTGAAGTACAGTGGCATGATTTTGGCTCACTGCAACCTCACCTCCCGGGTTCAAGAGATTCTCCTGCCTAGCCTCCCGAGTAGCTGGGACTGCAGGCGAGTGCCACCACACCCAGCTAATTTTTGTATTTTTAGTAGAGACTGGGTTTCACCATGTTGGCCAGGCTGGTCTCGAACTCCCGACCTCAGGTGATTCAGCCTCCCAAAGTGCTGGGATTACAGTCATGAGCCACCGTGCCTGGCCTGTTTTTTTTTGCTTTTGTTTGTTTGTTTGTTTGTTTGTTTGGTAAGAGATGGGGTTTCACCATATTGCCCAGGTTGGTCTCAAACTCTTGAGCTCAAGCGATCTGTCTGCCTCAGCCTCCCAAAGTGGTAGGATGACAGGCGTGAGCCACCGCACCTGGTTTCAGAAAGTATTTTTGTCCCCATTTTCCAGATAAGCAAACCAAAGCTTTAAGAGATGAAGTGAGTGGCTCAAAGTCACGCAACATGTCACTGGACAGGAGACGAGACACCCAGAGTCCCAGGCGCTTCAGCATAAAGAATGACCCAGCCTCGACTCACTGTGGGACCTTAGACCAGACACTTCACCTCTCTGAGCTTCAGTTTCCCCTCTGTAAAGGGAGGGCAAAATTGCAGTTAGGATGATGGTTTATCTGTAGCCTGGTTTCTTCCCTTGCACACTGTGGACATAGGAGCGGGATCATTTCCTGGGCTGGGGCCATCTGGGCATTGTAGGGGACTGAGCAGCGTCCTTGACCTCTACCCACTCCAAGCCAAGAGCTCCTCCAAGTCGTGACAACCACAGATGTCCCCACACAACACCCAGTGTCCCCTTGGGGGGCAGAATTGCCTCAAGTTGAGAACCCCAGATCTATAGTAATAATAAGGCCCGGCATTTATTGAGTGCCTACTGTTGACTAGGCACAGTTTAAACTTAATCTCTGTGCAGGATCACAGCAACTACTAAGTTAAGAACTATTGGCCGGGCGCGGTGGCTCACGCCTGTAATCCCAGCACTTTGGGAGGCCCAGGCAAGTGGATCACCTGAGGTCAGGAGTTCAAGACCAGCCTGGCCAACATGGCGAAACCCCGTCTCTACTAAAAATAGAAACATTAGCCAGATGTGGTGATGGGCACCTGTAGTCCCAGCTACTCAGGAGGCTGAGGCAGGAGAATTGCTTGAACCTGGGAGGCGGAAGTTGTAGTGAGCTGAGATCACACCACTGCACTCCAGCCTGGGCAACAGAGCGAGACTCTGTCTCAAAAAGAAACAAACAAAAACAAAAAAATGTGAAAACCAACCTTAGCTTGTGGGTTGTATAAAAACAGGCTGTGTTGGTAACCATAAGCATCTAAAATATAAATAAATACAATTAAAACAGGCTGTGGGCCAGACGTGGCCCTCAGGCCAGAGTTTGCTAACCCCAGGGACGGGACCTTCCCTTGAAAGCCTTTATCCCTGGCCTCTTCCTGCGGCTGCAGAGAGGTCCTCAGCCCCCAGCTCTGGGCTTAGGGTGATCGCTGACAGCACCTGCACCCTCAGATCACAGAACTCTCCAAAGAAGTCTTCAATCTTAAGGAAGCCTTGAAGGAGCAGCCGGCCGCCCTCGCCACCCCTGAGGTGGAGGCTCTCCGTGACCAGGTGAAGGATTTACAGCAGCAGCTGCAGGTAAGGACTGGGCCACGCAGGGGCCAGGGGACCATCAGGGTGGAGGAGTCCAAATATTTACCAATCAGCACAGCGCAGGTGGGAATCCCAGGAGAGGGGCTGGGGTAGGCAGGTGGGGTCCACATCACATGCACGGCATGGCCAGGAAATACTTCCTTTATTTTTTTTGAGACAGGGTCTCACTCCATCGCCCAGGCTGGAGTGCAGTGGCACAATCTCAGCTCACTGCAGCCTCCACCTTCCGGGTTTAAGCAATTTTCATGCCTTAGCGTCCTGCGTAGCTGGAATTACAGGCACGCACCACCACACCCAGCTAATTTTTGTATTTTTAGTAGAGATGGAGTTTCACCATGTTGGCAAGGCTGGTCTTGAACTCCTGGGCTCGCATAAGCCTCCCAAAACGCTGGGATTACAGGCATAAGCCACTGCTCCTGGCCGCCCTCTGCCTTTTTTTTGGACATAGGATCTTGCTCTATTAGGCTGGAGTGCAGTGGTGCAATCATAGCTCACTGAGCAGCCTCAAACTCCTGGCCTCAAGCAGTTCTCCACCTCAACCTCCCAAAGTGCCTGGCCATACATATATATATATATATATATATATATATATTTTTTTTTTTTTTTTTTTGAGCCAGTCTCACTCTGTCACCCAGGCTGGAGTGCAGTGACACGATCTTGGCTCACTGCAACCTCTGCCTCCCGGCTCCCGGGTTCAAGTGATTCTCCTGCCTCAGCTTCCTGACTAGCTGGGACTACAGGTGTGAGCCACCTTGCCTGGGAAATTTTTTGTTTTTTTTGAGTCTCACTTTGTCACTCAGGCTGGAGTGCAGTGCACGATCTCAGCTCACTGCAACCTCCGCCTCCCGGGTTCAAGCGATTCTCCTGCCTTAGCCTCCTGAGTAGCTGGGACTACAGGCATGTGCCACCACTCCCGGCTAATTTTTTTTACTTTTAGTAAAGACGGGGTTTCACCATGTTAGCCAGGGTGGTCTTGATCTCTTGACCCTGTTATCCGCCCGCCTTGGCCTCCCAAAGTGCTGGGATTACAGGTGTGAGCCACTGCACCTGGCCAATTTTTGTATTTTTAGTAGAGACGGGATTTTACCATGTTGGTCCAGGCTGGTCTTGAACTCCTGACCTCAAGTGAGCCACCCACCTCAGCCTCCCAAAGTGCTGGGATTACAAATGTATGCCACTATGCCCCGCCATATTTTCATATTTTAGCAGTCGGCCATCAACGTACAGGCTTGGGGTGCAAAGGGTGCTTTTTGGTGTGTTTTGCTCAGTGGGGAGGTGCTCCTGCTCTTCTGAGCGCCCCTTCCTCATGCCCACAGGAAGCTGCCAGGGACCACTCCAGCGTGGTGGCTTTGTACAGAAGCCACCTCCTATATGCCATTCAGGTGAGTGGCCCAGCTCCTGGGTACCCGGTGGCTTTGGGCATACCACTGTTGCTCTCTGAGCCTCAGTTTCCCCTTCTGTACAGTGGGAGGCTGGTCTGGGGAGAGGTTCGTGGCATGTGGGAGCCCCCCTGTGTGCATTTCCCTCCTGGCTGGCTTGGTCTATGGGAGTGGTGGAGGGACTTGGGGCAGCCATGGAGGGTATACTCAGGGTCTTCCTCTACTCCCCCAACCCTAGGGCCAGATGGATGAAGATGTGCAGCGGATTCTCAGCCAGATTCTGCAGATGCAGAGACTCCAGGCTCAGGGCCGCTGAGAAAGGCCAGGCCCAGTGGCTACACTGACCACACCCACGCAGGGACCTCACCCCCCTGCAGGCCCCTTGCAGACCGGCTTCACTTGGCTTCACTTGGCCCTATCCAGGCCCATGCACTTGGAGACCAGCCTGGTTCCCTGCCCGACCACCCCCAGCTGGCTCCATCACCCCACCTGGTCTCTGCACGCACACACTGGTCAGTCTGGACCCGGGCCGTGACTGCCCCTCCCCCACCACCGGAGACTGTGATTCCCTGTGTCCTCCACATCCAGACGCCAGCCCAGGAATAAAGGCATTCTGTGCACAGGGCCAACGCGTGCCGTCTCGTTGCTGGGCTTCCACTGCGGGGAGCGGAGAGGGTGGCCCAGAAAAGGAAGCGCTCACACCCCTCCCCACCTACCCCACGCCACAAATCAGCCATCAGGATAAACCCCATCTTTTTTCTTTCTTTTTTTTTTTTTTTTTTGAGATAGAGTCTCGCTCTGCCGCCCAGGCTGGAGTGCAGTGGCGCCATCTCGGCTCACTGCAAGCTCTGCCTCCTGGGTTCACGCCATTCTCCTGCCTCAGCCTCCCAAGTAGCTGGGACTACAGGCGCCCGCCACCACGCCCGGCTAATTTTTTATATTTTTAGTAGAGACGGGTTTCACCATGTTAGCCAGGATGGTCAATTTCCTGACCTCATGATCCACCCGCCTTGGCCTCCCAAAGTGCTGGGATTACAGGCTTGAGCCACCGCACCTGGCCTCTTTTATTTTTTTTTATGCGGAGTCTCCCTCTGTCACCCAGGCTGGAGTGCAGTGGAGTAATCTCGACTCACTACAACCTCTGCCTCCCGGGTTCAGGTGATTCTCCTGCCTCAGCCTCCCGAGTAACTAAGATTACAAGGCATGTGCCACCACACCCGGCTCATTTTTGTATTTTTAGTAGAGACAGGGTTCCACCATGTTCGCCAGGCTGGTCTCGAACTCCTGACTTCAGGTGATCCATCCGCCTTGGCCTCCCAAAGTGCTGGGAATACAGGCATGAGCCATGGTGCCCGGCCTTTGGATAAACTCCATCTTAATGCAATATTTCAAAAAGGCAAAATGGGTGCAAAAAAAGTGCATGCTGAACTAAGTATGGAAATGTTAAAGAAAGGCAGGCTTGGCCGGGTGCGGTGGCCCATGCCTATAATCCCAGCATTTTGGGAGACCAATGTGGGAGGATCTCTTGAGCCCAGGAGTTGAAGACCAGCCTGGGCAACATGGGGAAACCCCCATCTCTATCAAAAATACAAAAATTAGCTGGGCATGGTGGCGCGCACTTGTGGTCACAGCTACTCAGGAGGCTGAGGAGGGAGGACCGCTTGAGTGCAGCAGTTAGAGGCTGTTGCACTTCAGCCTGGGTGACAGGGCAAGACCCTGCCTCTAAAAAAAGATTTAAAAAAAAAAAAAAAGGAAAGAAAGATACTTTCCTAAATCCTAAGGCTGGCCATGGTGGAAGCCCCCTACCCCCAGCCTCTCCCTGCCCCTTGGCAACTCCCCCGAAATCCCCACGGGTTTCTTGGCATTTTTCAGCAAACAGAGGGGAGGCAGGAGTGGGAGCGGGGATCCCCGAGCCTGTCCAGCCTGCCCCTGGGGGTTTCCTTGTTCCTGGGCATCCTGATCGCTGGGATATCTGCGGTGGCAGCTGCCTCCCCTGGCCTGCGCTCCTGTGTCTCTCTCTGTCTCTCTTCTCCATGTCTCTGTCTCTCTCTTTTTTTTTTTTTGAGATAGATTTTCGCTCTTATTGCCCAGACTAGAGTGCAATGATGCGATCTCGGCTCTCTGCAACCTCCACCTCCCGGGTTCAAGCAATTCCCCTGCCTCAGCCTCCGGAATACCTGGGATTACAGGCACGTGCCACCATGCCCAGCTAATTTTTGTATTTTTAGTAGAGACGGGGTTTCACCATGTTAGTCAGGCTGGTCTCGGACTCCTGACCTCAGGTGATCCACCCATATTGGCCTCCCAAAGTGCTGGGATTACAGGCGTGAGCCACCGCACCCAGTCTCCACGTCTCTGTCTCTATCTCTTGGTCTCCATCTGTCTGTCTTGCTGTTTTGTCTGTCTCCCTGTGTCTTTGTCTGTGTCTTCCTCCTCTCTTATCTCTGTCTCTCTGTGTTTCTTTTGCTCTGTCTCTGTCTCTCTCATGTCCCCATCTCCCATCTCTCTGTCTCTTTCTATCTCTGTCTTCTTTTTTTTTTTTTTTTGAGACGGAGTCTGGCTCTGTCGCCCGGGCTGGAGTGCAGTGGCGCCATCTCGGCTCACTGCAAGCTCCGCCTCCCGGGTTCACACCATTCTCCTGCCTCAGCCTCCTGAGTAGCTGGGACTACAGGCGCCTGCCACCACGCCCGGCTAATTTTTTTGCATTTTTAGTGGAGACGGGGTTTCACCATGTCAGCCAGGATGGTCTTGATCTCCTGACCTTGTGATCCGCCCGCCTCGGCCTCCCAGAGTGCTGGGATTACAGGTGTGAGCCCCCACGCTCAGCCTTTTTTTTTTTTTTTTTTTTTGACACAGAGTCTCACTCTATCTCCCAGGCTGGAGTGCAGTGGCGTGACCTCGGCTCACTGCAACCTCCTCTCACTGCAACCTCCGCCTCCCAGGTTTAAGCGATTCTCCCACCTCAGCGTCCCAAGTAGCTGGGATTACAGGTGCGCACCACAACGCCCAGCTAATTCTTGTATTTTTAGTAGAGACGGGGTTTCACCATATTGGCCAGGCTGGTCTCGAACTTCTGACCTTGTGACCCGCCCGCCTCAGCCTCCCAAAGTGCTGGGATTAGAGGCGTGAGCCACCACACCCGGCCCTCTGTCGTCTTCTCTTATCTCTCTGTCTCTCTTTCTGTGTCTGTCATCTCCCCGTATCTCTATTTCTGTCTTCCTGTCTTCTTTCTGTCTCTCTTTTGTCTCTCTTTCTCCATCTCTGTCATTGCCCCATCAGTCTTTTTGTTGTTGTTGTTGTTCTTTTTGAGATGGAGTCTCACTCTGTCACCCAGGCTGGAGTGCAGTGGTGTAATCTTGGTTCACTGCAACCTCTGCCTCCCAGGTTTAAGTGATTCTCCTTCCTCAGCCTCCAGAGTAGCTGGGATTACAGGTGCCTGCCACCACGCCCAGCTAATTTTTGTATTTTTAGTAGAGACAGGGTTTCACCATTTTGGTCAGGCTGGTCTCGAACTCCCAACCTCAGGTGATCCATCTGCCTTGGCCTCCCAAGGTGCTGGGATTACAGCCGTGAGCCACCGTGCCCCACCATCTCTCTATCTCTGTCTATCCTACTCTCTCATCTCTGTCTCTCTGTCTCTGTCTCTCATCTTCCCATCTGTGTCTCTCTTTCTCTGTCTTCCTCCCTTATCTCTGTCTCTGTGTCTCTCTCATTTCCCTATCTCTGTCTTCCTCTCTTATCTCTGTCCCTCTGTCTCTCTTCCTCTGTCTGTCTGCTCTCTGTGTTTCTCTTTCTGTTTCCATCATCTCCCTGTCTCTCTCTGTCTCTGTGTCCTCCTCCTCTCATCTCTGTCTCTGTCTCTCTCATTCCCCTGTCTCTCTCTGTCTCTATCATCTCCCTATCTATCTCTGTGTCCTCCTCCTCTCATCTCTGTCTCTCTCTGTGTTTCTGTCTCTGTCATCCCCCTTTCTCTGTCTCTGTCATCTCCCTGTCTCTCTATCTCTGTGTCCTCCTCCTCTCGTCTCTGTCTCTCTGCCTCTCTCATCTGTATCTCTCTCTGTCTCTGTCATCTCCCTGTCTCTGTCTCTCTCTATCTCTGTGTCCTCCTCTCATTTGTCTCTCTGCCTCTCTCATCTGTATCTCTGTCACTTTCTCTGTCATCTCCCTGTCTCTCTATCCCTCTATCTCTGTGTCCTCCTCTCATCTGTCTCTCTGCCTCTCTCATCTGTAGCTCTCTCTGTCTCTGTCATCTCCCTGTCTCTCTATCCCTCTATCTCTGTGTCCTCCTCTCATCTGTCTCTCTGACTCTCTCATCTTTGTCTCTGTCTCTGTCTCTGTCATCTCCCTGTCTATCTCCGTGTCCTCCTCCTCTCATCTCTGCCTTTCTCATCTCTGTGTCTCTCTCTGTGTTTCTGTCTCTGTCATGCCCCTTTCTCTGTCTGTCATCTCCCTGTCTCTATCTATCTCTGTGTCCTCCTCCTCTCATCTCTGTCTCTCTCATCTGTATCTCTCTCTGTCTCTGTCGTCTCCCTGTCTCTCTATCTCTTTGTCCTCTTCCTCTTGTCTTTCTCTCTGCCTCTCTCATCTGTGTCTCTCTCTGTCTCTGTCTCTGTCATCTCCCTGTCTCTGTCTCTCTCTCTCTGTGTCCTCCTCCTCTCGTCTCTTTCTCTCTGCCTCTTTCATCTGTGTCTCTGTGTCTCTCTGTCATCTCCCTGTCTATCTCTGTGTCCTCCTCCTCTCGTCTCTGTCTCTCTGCCTCTTTCATCTGTGTCTCTCTGTCTCTGTCTCTGTCATCTCCCTGTCTCTGTATCCCTCTATCTCTGTGTCCTCCTCTTCTTGTCTCTGTCTCTCTGCCTCTCTCATCTGTGTCTCTCTCTGTGTCTCTGTCTCTGTCATCTCCCTGTCTCTCTGTGTCTTCCTTCTGTCTTCTCTGTCTCTCTGCCTCTCTCCCCCATCTCTGCCTCTGTCTCCCTCCATGTCCCTGAGCCCCTGCCTGCCTGCCTGGGGTTTCCCCCGCTTCAGGGCAGCGGAAGGAAGGCCAGCAGGACATGCTGTGCTGGGAAAAGCCAGCAGGTCTCCACTTCTCCCTTTCACAGCCTCCTCCCCCGCCCCCACCCTCGGGGCCTTCCGAGCAGGGGTGGCCTGTGCTCCCCAGGGGGCTGGGGCTCCTCCACACCCTAATTCATCTCCCTAGCGGCCCCACGAGCCCCACCAGTGAGTCAGACCTGAAGGAAGTCGGGGAGGGGGCGGGCCTTGACCCTGGGCTGGGCTTTCCCCTGGGCAGGTCCCAAGTCCTCACCTCCCCTCTCAAGTCTCCCACGACGTTCCCACCCACTCCTGAGAGCAGAGCTGGCCGCAGCCATGACCCCGCAGCTTCTCCTGGCCCTTGTCCTCTGGGCCAGCTGCCCGCCCTGCAGTGGAAGGAAAGGTATGTGGGGCCCCTGGGGGACTGGGGGGCCCAGGCAGACGGACATGACACGAGGACTGGCCTCGGATCATGTCTGGGGTGGGAAATCACATCCTCCCGTGCCCAATGGTGGGATGGGGTTACCCTCCCATTGTACAGATGGAGGAACTGAGGCACAGAGAGGCAGAGTGCCACATTGGGGGTGGAAGGATGTCACCTTGTGGGTGATAGGGACTGGCAGTCACAGCTCAGAGGTATCCATAGAGCTACACAGACATAGCTACACAGACATGCGAATTTGAGTCACACTCATTCCTTTGGTTTCTTTTTGGTTTTGTTTTTTGAGACAGAGTCTCACTCTGTCGCCCAGGCTGGAGTACAGTGGCACCATCTCAGCTCACTGAAACCTCCATCTCCTGGGTTCAAGCGAGATTCTCCTCCCTCAGCCTCCCGAGTAGTTGGGATTACAGGTGCCCGCCACCATGCCCGGCTACTTTTTATATTTTTAGTAGAGATAGGGTTTTACCATGTTGGCCAGGGTGGTCTTGAACTCCTGACCTCAGGTGATCCACCCACCTCGGGCTCCCAAAGTGCTGGGATGACAGATGTGAGCCACCGCGCCCGGCCGACATTCATTCATTTTGCACTAGAGAACATCTCCATGTCCTTGAAGACAAAATGGTTACAGCAGGGCATGGTGGCTCATGCCTGTAATTCCAGCACTTTGGGAGGCCAGGGCGTGAGGATCGTGAGGCCAGGAATTCGAGACCAGCCTGGGCAACATAGTGAAACCGGACCCCACCAATCTGTACAAAAAATTAAAAAATTAGCTAGATGTGGTGGCACGTGCCTGTAGTCCCAGCTACTTGGGAGGCTGAGGTGGGAGGATAATTTGAGCCCAGGAATTGGAGGCTGCAGTGAGCTATGATTGTGCCACTGCATTCCAGCCTAGGTGACAGAGTGGGATACCTTGTCTCAAAATAATAATAATAATAATAATTTATAGGCTGGGTTTGGTGGCTCACGCCTGTAATTCCAGCACTTTGGGAGGCCAAGGCAGGTGGATCACCTGAGGTCAGGAGTTTGAGACCAGCCTGGCCAACATGGTGAAACTCCCTCTCTACTAAAAATACAAAAATTAGCCAAGCGTGGCAGTACATGCCTGTAATCCCAGCTACTCGGGAGGCTAAGAATCGCTTGAACCCGGGAGGCGGGGGTGGCAGTGAGCCGAGATCTCGCCACTGCACTCCAGCCTAGGCGACAGAGGGAGACTCCCTCTTTAAAAAAAAAAAACAATTACAAAAGAGAGAACACGGTAAAATCTCTCTCTCTTACCCGAGTTCCTCTCTGTAGATGCTTAAACCTCAGCTTCCCTATCTGGAAAATGGGCTAGTAGTCCTCACCTAGATGGATTGCAGTGGGGATAAAAGATGACAGATGACTTTTGTCCATGTACCTATTTATTCCGAAAGCCTTTATTAGGCACCTACCATGTACCTGGTGCTGGCTGGCAACGTGGCAGGAGCCCAGCGCACGGGAGGGCTATGACAATCTGGGGGTAAACCAGAAGCTCACTCTTTCTGTCTTCCTCCAGGGCCCCCAGCAGCTCTGACACTGCCCCGGGTGCAATGCCGAGCCTCTCGGTACCCGATCGCCGTGGATTGCTCCTGGACCCTGCCGCCTGCTCCAAACTCCACCAGCCCCGTGTCCTTCATTGCCACGTACAGGTCGGAGAGCCTGGAAGGGGGCCTCAGGGACACTGGACTTCCTGGAGAGCCCAGAACTCTGGCCCTGAGAGCCCTGGGGTCAGGAAAACTGGAGACCCCGACATCCTGAACCCCAGGCCTATGGAATTCTAGGGCGGCCCCGTCCAATAGAAATATACTTTCTGGGCCAGGCACAGTGGTGCATGCCTGTAATCCCAGCGCTTTGGGAGGCCGAGGTGGGCAGATTGCTTGAGGTCAGGAGTTTGAGACCAGCTTGGGCAACGTAGTGAGACACTGTCTCTACGAAAAATTTTAAAAATTGGTCAGGTGCAGTGGCTCATGCCTGTAATCCCAGCTACTCCGGAGGCTGAGGCAGGAGAATAGCTTGAACCCAGGAGGCGGAGGTTGCAGTGAGCCAAGATGGCACCATTGCACTCCAGCCTGGGCAACAGAGCAAGACTCCATCTCAAAAAAAAAAAAAAAAAACTACTTCCTGGGTTGGGCACAGTGGCACATGCCTGTAATCCCAGTACTTTGGGAGGCTGATGTGGGAGGATCACTTGAGGTCAGGAGTTTGAGTCCAGCTTGGGCAAAATAGTGAGACCCTGTCTCTAAAAACAATTTTTAAAATTAGCTGGGCATGGCCAGGCGCGGTGGCTCACGCCTGTAATCCCAGCACTTTGGGAGGCCGAGGTGGGCGGATCACAAGGTCAGGAGATGGAGACCACCCTGGCGAACACGGTGAAACCCTGTCTTTACTAAAAATGCAAAAATTTGCCAGGTGTGATGGCACGCGCCTGTAGTCCCAGCTACTCGGGAGGCTGAGGCAGGAGAATTGCTTGACCCAGGAGGTGGACGTTGCAGTGAGCCAATATTGCATCGCTGCACTGCATCCTGGTGATAGAGTGAGACCCCGTCTCAAAAAAAAAAAAAAAAAAAAAAAGAAAAGAAAAGAAAAGAAAAGAAAAGAAAAAATTTCGAAAAAGAAAAAAAAATTAGCTGGGCATGTTGGTACTTGCCTGTAGTCCCAGCTACTCTGGAGGCTGAGGTGGGAGGATCACTTGAGCCCAGGAGTTTGAGACCAGCCTGGGCAACATAGCAATATCCTGTCTGTACTTAAAATCAAAAAAATTAGCTGGATGTAATGGCACACATCTGTAGTCCCAGGTACTTGGGAGGCCGAGGTGGGAGGATCACTTGAGCCCAGAAGTTCAAGACCAGCCTGGGCAACATACTGAGACCCCCCCCCATCTGTAGAAAAAAAATTTAAAATTAGCCAAGAGTGGTGATGCGTGCCTGTAGTCCCAACCGCTCTGGAGGCTGAGACAGGGAAGATCCCTTGAGCCAGGAGTTCAAGGCTATAATGAGCTAGGATCATGCCACTGCACTCCAGCCTGGGCGCCAGAGGGAGACCCTGTCATGAATGAATGAATGAATGAAGGGATGAATTAATGAATGAATGAAGGAATGAATTAATGAATGAATGAAGGAATGAATTAATGAATGAATGAACGGATGAATGAATGAATGAATGGATGGATGAATGAATGAATGCTGACATCCCAGAAACCTTTAGAATCCCGGACCCTAGCATCTAGCTTGGGTTGTAATCCCCGACCTGAACCATCAGGGGCACCGTGATGTTGGGGCCCATGCCCTGCCCCCGGGGGGTGGCACGGCCACCACCAGGACCCCACCCCGGGATCCCCATCCGCTGCCCCCTCCTGTTCCTGCCTCTCCTTGGGGTCCCGGGTCAGGCCCGGCAGTAGGAGGTGCTGAGGCCACAGGCACTCCCTGAGGCGCTCAGCGAGCCCCACCCTGTGCAGGCTCGGCATGGCTGCCCGGGGCCACAGCTGGCCCTGCCTGCAGCAGACGCCAACGTCCACCAGCTGCACCATCACGGATGTCCAGCTGTTCTCCATGGCTCCCTACGTGCTCAATGTCACCGCCGTCCACCCCTGGGGCTCCAGCAGCAGCTTCGTGCCTTTCATAACAGAGCACATCAGTGAGTGGGGGCGGCAGTGGGGGCGGGGGCGGGGCTGCCGTCTCCTTCCAGCTCCCCCCACCCCACCTCCCACCTGTCCTCCAGTCCTGCGGCTGCACCTTCACACTTAAGCAAAAATCTGACCCCTTCTTCCCCCTCCTCTACCAGTACGTGGAGCACCCCCATCATTGACAGCCCAGTCCCCTCCATCCTGAGCCCTGGCCTCCACAGTCTGTCCTTCCCACAGCAGCCACCAGAGGGCGCCTGAGAGCACCTGAGTCAGGGCACGTCCCTCTGCCTACAGCCCTCCATGGCTCCCACCTGCCTTGGGGTCAAAGCCCAAGTCCTTCCTACTGCCCACCAAACCCTGGACAACCTGCCCTGTCTCCTCCATGCCCTCCCCTCCTCCCTGTCTCCCCCTTGCTCACTCTGCTGTGGCCACATGTGATTCCTTGATGTTCAACATGCCAGGAATAGTTCTGCCCCAGGGCCTTTGCATGGGCGGTGCCCTCTACCTGGAACACCTTCCCCCAAATGTCCCCATGACTTATTCCCTCACCTCCTTCGGGTCTCTGTGCATACATCACCTCCTCAGTAAGACCTCTCCTGAGTAGATTATTAAAAATTGCAAGCTCTGGCTAGGCTCAGTGGCTCACACTTGTAATCCCAGCACTTTGGGAGGCTGAGGCAGGCCGATCACCTGAGGTCAGGAGTTTGAGACCAGTCCTGGCCAACATGGTGAAACCCTGCCTCTACTAAAAATACAAGAATTAGCTGGGCATAGTGGCAGGTGCCTGTAATCCCAGCTACTCAGGGGGCTGAGGCACGAGAATCACTTGAACCCAGGAGGTGGAGGTTGCCGTGAGCTGAGATTGTGCCACTGCATTCCAGCCTGGGCGAGAGAGCGAGACTCTATCTCAAAAAACAAAACAAAACAAAACAAAAATTGCGGCCACTGCCATTCCTGCACTCCCCAGCTTTCTTCCCTATTCTGTGTGACCTATGGATTTGTTTATTTCCTGTCTTCCCCCTGATGGATTGTGAGTTCCATGAGGACAGGGGTAGGTCAGTTAAGGTCACTGTTTTGTCCCCTCTGTGGCAGCCCCAGGCACACAGTTTCTCAATAAATATTTGTTGGTTGAGCCAGGCATGGTGGCTCACAACTACTCGGGAGGCTGAGGCAGGAGAATCGCCTGAACCTGGGAGGCAGAGGTTGTAGTGAGCTGAGATCACGCCGCTGTACTCCAGCCTGGGTGACAGAGTGAGACTCCGTTTCAAAACAAACAAAATATATACATAATATGTTGGTTGAATGAATGAGTGAATGAATGAATGACTGGACTTACTGTCCCCTGACCCTGCTTCCTGCTTGTCCGTCAGTCAAGCCCGACCCTCCAGAAGGCGTGCGCCTAAGCCCCCTCGCTGAGCGCCAGCTACAGGTGCAGTGGGAGCCTCCCGGGTCCTGGCCCTTCCCAGAGATCTTCTCACTGAAGTACTGGATCCGTTACAAGCGTCAGGGAGCTGCGCGCTTCCACCGGGTGAGGAGGATGAGGGGGAGGCTGGAAAGGGTGGTGCCTGGCAGAGGGAATGGTTTTTACCAAGACTAGCAGGTGTGCTGGGCTCTTGCACATAGCTTGCGATTCCGGGTGCATTGAATAAGAGCAGTCCAGCAATCTGATTCCTAGGCCTCTACCGAAAAGGATGGAAAGCAGGGACTTGCACAAGCTGTCGCACACCCGTTTTTGTTGTTATTGTTTTGAGACAGAGTCTCGCTCTGTCGCCCAGGCAGTGACACAATCTCGGCTCACTGCAAACTCCGCCTCCCAGGTTCAAGCGATGCTCCTGCCTCAGCCTCTGGAGTAGCTGGGATTACGGGCACGTGCCACTATGCCCGGCTAATTTTTGTATTTTTAGTAGAGATGGGGTTTCATCATGTTGGCCAGGCTGGTCTCGAACTTCTGATCTCAGGTGATCTGCCTGCCTCGGACTCCCAAAGTGCTGGGATTACAGGCGTGAGCCACCGAATTGTTCACTTTATTGATTGATTGATTGAAACAAGGTCTAGCTCTGTCACCCAGGCTGGAGTGCAGTGGCGCGATCTTGGCTCGCTGAAACCTCCGCCTCCCAGGTTCAAGTGATTCTCCTGCCTCAGCCTCCTGAATAGCTGGGACTACAGGCGCCCACCACGCCCGGCTAATTTCTGTATTTTCAGTAGAGATGGGATTTTGCCATGTTGCCCAGGCTGGTCTCAAACTACGGAGCTTAGGTGATCCACCTGCCTGGGCCTCCCAAAGTGTTGGGACTACAGGTGTGAGGACTTCATCTGGCCAGAATTAGCCATTTTAAAGTGAACAATTCTGGCTGGGCAGGGTGGCTCACACCTGTAATCCCAGCACTTTGAGAGGCCAAGTTGGGAGGATTGCTTGAGTCCAGGAGTTGGAGACCAGCCTGGGTAACATAGTGAGACTCCCATCTCTACAAAAAATTTAAACATTAGTTGGGTGTGGTGACACACACCTGTACCCCCAGTTACAAGAGGCTGAGGTGGGAGGATCACTTGGGCCTGGAAGATTGAGGCTGCAGTGAGCCGTGTTGGCACCACTGCCTTCCAGCCTGGGTAACAGAGAGAGACTCTGTCTCCCAACTTAAATAAATTAAATAAAATAAAAAGCACGGTTAGGCTAGGTGCAGTGGCTCATGCCTGAAATCCCAGCACTTTAGGAGGCCAAGGCAGGCAGATCACTTGAGGTCAGGTGAAACCCCATCTCTATTAAAAATACAAAAATTGGCCTGGCGCGGTGGCTCATGCCTGTAATCCCAGCACTTTGGGAGGCTGAGGCAGGCAGATCACGAGGTCAGGAATTCGAGAACAGCCTGACCAACATGGTGAAATCACAGCTCTACTAAAAATACAAAAATTAGCCGGGTGTGGTGGCGGGCGCCTGTAATCCCAGCTACTCAGGAGGCTGAGGCAGGAGAATGGCTTGAACCCGGGAGGTGGAGGTTGCAGTGAGCTGAGATCATGCCACTGCACTCCAGCCTGGGTGACAGAGTGAGACTCCGTCTCAAAAACAAACAAACAAAAATTAGCCAGGCATGGTGGCGGGCGCCTGTAATCCCAGCTATCTGGGAGGCTGACGTGAGAGGATGGTTTGAGCCTGGAGGCAGAGGTTGCAGTAAGCCAAGATTGCCCCACTGCACTCCAGCCTGGGCAACAGAGTAAGACTGTCTCAAAAAAAAAAAAAAAAAAAAAAAAAGCATGGTTAATATAGTGGGACCAGGGGTAAAGGGAGGTATGGGGTCCTATCCCAGAGGTCCTGGTTTAGTCCCAGGGAGGAGAAAGAAGAGGATTATAGGGATCAGGGATGTCCTGATGAACAAAGACCCTCCTGGGTGAGACATCCACAGGGGCTAGTGTGGTCCAGGAAGGATTCGTAAGAGAGGTGGCTCTGGGGGCCACACAGACAGAGGCCGGGATTGGGAGGAGCCCATGATGCTATTTGGGGTGGGGCCGCACAGCTGGGGCCAGAGTCCTGGACTGGAGCCTGCAGGGGGCAGGGAGGACTGCACGCTCCGTTGTGTGGTTCTGTGCACAGTGGCCCCTCTCCATCTTCTGGTTCTAGTGACCTGACGCTCTCTCTTCTCTCAGGTGGGGCCCATTGAAGCCACGTCCTTCATCCTCAGGGCTGTGCGGCCCCGAGCCAGGTACTACGTCCAAGTGGCGGCTCAGGACCTCACAGACTACGGGGAACTGAGTGACTGGAGTCTCCCCGCCACTGCCACAATGAGCCTGGGCAAGTAGCAAGGGCTTCCCGCTGCCTCCAGACAGCACCTGGGTCCTCGCCACCCTAAGCCCCGGGACACCTGTTGGAGGGCGGATGGGATCTGCCTAGCCTGGGCTGGAGTCCTTGCTTTGCTGCTGCTGAGCTGCCGGGCAACCTCAGATGACCGACTTTTCCCTTTGAGCCTCAGTTTCTCTAGCTGAGAAATGGAGATGTACTACTCTCTCCTTTACCTTTACCTTTACCACAGTGCAGGGCTGACTGAACTGTCACTGTGAGATATTTTTTATTGTTTAATTAGAAAAGAATTGTTGTTGGGCTGGGCGCAGTGGATCGCACCTGTAATCCCAGTCACTGGGAAGCCGACGTGGGAGGGTAGCTTGAGGCCAGGAGCTCGAAACCAGTCCGGGCCACACAGCAAGACCCCATCTCTAAAAAATTAATATAAATATAAAATAAATTAGCCAGGTGTGATGTTGCGCGCCCACAGTCCCAACTACTTGGGAGGCTGAGGTGGGAGGATCACTTGAGTCCAGGAGGTTAAGGCTGCAGTGAGCTGTCGTCACACCACTGCCTTCATGCCTGGGCAACAGAGCAAGACCCTGGTTTTTTTGTTTGTTTGTTTGTTTGTTTTAATCATAGTTGAGGCCGGGTGCGGTGGCTCGCGCCTGTAATCCCGACGCCGAGGCGGGCAGATCACGAGGTCAGGAGTTCGAGACCAGCCTGACCAACATGGTGAAACCCGGTCTCTACTAAAAATACAGAAATTAGCTGGGCATGGTGGCCTGAGCCCGTAACCCCAGCTACTCAGGAGGCTAAGGCAGGAGAATCGCTTGAACCTGGGAGGCGGAGGTTGCAGTGAGCTGAGATTGCACCACTGCACTCCAGCCTGGGCAACAGAGCAAGACTCCGTCTCAAAACAAAAACAAAAAAAATAATAGTTGAAATGAAGACTCCAGCTGGGTATGGTGGCTCACGCCTGTAATCTCAGCACTTTGGGAGGCCAAGGCAGGTGGATCACTTGAGGTCAGGAGTTCAAGACCAGCCTGGCCAACATGGTGAAACCCTGTCTCGACTGAAAATACAAAAATTAGCCAGGCGTGGTGGTGGGTGCCTATAATTCCAGCTACTCGGGAGGCTGAGGCAGGAGAATTGCTTGAACCCGGGAGGCAGAGGTTGCAGTGAACTGAGATCGCGCCATCGCACTCCAGCCTGGGCGATGGGGTGACTAAGACTCCGTCTGAAAAAAATAAGGAAATGAAGACTCCTCTTTTCACTTAGAGGAGATCCAGCGAGGACTTAGCCCTAAACCAAAGGACACAGAAACCACAAATCCCCACTCCCATAGTGTCAGGGCTGGACCAGGGGACGTCATGGGCCTGGGGATGCCAGGGTGGGGTGGCAGGGATTCCGCCTGGAGTGGGACAGTAGAATCCATTCAGGGGCAGGTGCGGTGGCTCACGTCTGTAATCCCAGCACTTTGAGAGGCTGAGGCGGGTGGATCACAAGGTCAGGAGTTCAAGACCAGCCTGGCTAAGATGGTGAAACCCCATCTCTACTAAAAATAATAATACAAAAAATTAGCCAGGCGTGGGTATCCGCCTGTAGTCCCAGCTACTCGGGAGGCTGAGGCAGAAGAATTGCTTGAACCCAGGAGGTGGAGGTTGCAGTGAGCCAAGATCGCGCCACTGCATTCCAGCCTGGGTGACAGAGCGAGACTCGATCTCGGAAAAAAAAAAAAAAAAAAGAATCCATTAAGAATCCATTCAGATTAGCAGTTAGGTTGGTTCGCCCAGATGTCAGCCTCATTGAGGATAGACACCAATAAGGTATGAGTGGCTCTGGGGAGATTTAACTGAACAGTGGGCAAGGAAGGCAGCCAGGCCCTGAAGGAGAGAGAAACAGCCTTGGGCTTGTCTGTGGGTTCCACCTGGGTCTCCAGTCAAAAGTCACCTCCTCCGAGAAGCCTTCCCTGACTACCCCATCTGTGGCAGGTAGAGTAACACTCCCCAATCCCGCAAAGACATCCATGTCCCAATCTCCAGAGCTCATGAGTATTTTGCCTGATGCAGCCAAAGGAACTTTATAGGAGTGATTACATTAATAATCTCAAAGGTCTTTAAAGATGAAAGATCTTTCATCAAATTAATGAAAATGGGCCGGGCGCAGTGGCTCACGCCTGTAATCCCAACACTTTGTGAGGCCAAGGCAGGAGAATTGCTTGAGGCCAAGAGCTCCAGACCAACCTGGGCAACATAGTGAGACCCCCATCTCTAAAAAAATAAAATAGGCCAGGCATGGTGGCTCATGCCTGTAATTCCAGCACTTTGAGAGGCCGAGGTGGGTGGATCACGAGGTGGGGAGTTCGAGACCAGCCTGACCAATATGGTGAAACCCTGTCTCCACTAAAAAATGCAAAAGTTAGCCAGGCGTTGTGGCACACACCTGTAGCTCCAGCTACTCGGGAGGCTGAGGCAGAAGAATCACTTGAACCCGGGAGGCGGAGGTTGCAGTGAGCCGAGATCGTACCACTGCACTTCAGCCTGGGCAACAGAGCGAGACTGTCTCAAAAAAAAAAATAGTAATAAAATAAAATAAAATAAAAATAAAATAATAAAATAAGTTAGCCAGGTGTGATGTCGCGTGCCCATAGTCCCAGCTAATCAGGAGACTGAGGTGGGAGGATCTCTTGAGCCCAGGAGATCAAGGCTGCAGTGAGCTATGATCTCACCACTGTACTCCAGCCTGGGCAACAGAGCAAGACCCTGTCTCAAAAAAAAAAAAATTAGCCGGGCTCAGTGGCTCACGCCTGTAATCCCAGTACTTTGGGAGGCCCAGGTGGGCAGATCACAAGGTCAGGAGTTCGAGACCAGCCTGGCCAATATGGTGAAACCCTGTCTCTACTAAAATACAAAAAAATATTAGCCAGACATGGTGGCATATGCCTGTAGTCCTAGCTAATCGGGAGGCTGAGGCAGGGGAATCGCTTGAACCTGGGAGGGGGAGGTTGCAGTGAGCCGAGATCGTACCACTGCACCCCAGCCTGGCAACAGAGCGAGACTCCGTCTCAAAAAAAAAAAAAATTAAAAATTAGCTGGGCTTGGTGGCTCACAGCTATAGTTCCAGCTACTTGGGAGGCCAAAGTGGCAGAATCTCTTGAGTCCAGGAGGAAGAGGCTACAGTGAGCTGTGATCACATCTCTGCACTCCAGCCTGGGTAACAGAGAAAGACTCCATTTCAAAAAAAAAAAAAAAAAAAAAGCCAGGCACGGTGGCTCACGCCTGTAATCCAGCACTTTGGGAGGCTGAGGCGGGCAGATCACGAGGTCAGGAGATCAAGACCATCCTGGTGAACACGGTGAAACCCTGTCTCTACTAAAAATACAATTAAAAAAATTAGCTGGGCATGGAGGCAGGCGCCTGTAGTGCCCGCTACTTGGGAGGCTGAGGCAGGAGAATGGCGTGAACCTGGGAGGCGGAGCTTGCAGTGAGCCTTAGATCGTGCCACTGCACTCCAGCCTGGGAGACAGTGAGACTCCTTCTCAAAAAAAAAAAAAGAAAAAACAAGTATTTCTAAAAAATTTAATAGATGCCAGGCACAGTGGCTTACGCTTGTAATCCCAGCACTTTGTGAGGCTGAGGCGGCTGAATTGCTTGAGCTCAGGAGTTTGAGACCAGCCTGGGCAACATAGTGAGACCCCATCTCTACAAAAAATACAAAAGTTAGGCAGGCATGGTGGTACATGCCTGTGGTCCCAGCTACTCTGGAGGCTGAGGCAGGAGGATTGCCTGAGCCCAGGAGGTTGAGGCTTCAATAAGCTATGATTGTGCCACTGCACTCCAGCCTGGGTGAGACAGTGAGACCCCGTCTCAAAAAAAAAAGATTAATAGGGATGGGGTCTCACCATGTTCCTCAGACTAGATTCCAACTCCTAGTCTCAAGCAATCCTCTCACCTTGGCCTCCCAAAGTACTGGAATTACAGGGCTGATGAGCCACCATGCTCAGTCCATTTTTTATTTCTGACCTGTAAAACTATAATAAATGTGTGTCGGGCAGAGGCAGTGGCTCATGTCTATAATCCCAACATTTTGGGAGGCTAAGGTGGGAGGATCACTTGACCCCAGGAGTACTAGACCAGCCATGGCAACATATCAAGACCCTGTCTCTCAAAAAAAAATTTAAAATTTAGCTGGGCATGGTGGCATGCACTTTTAGTCCCAGCCACTTGGGAGGCTGAGGTGGGAGGATCTCTGAGTCTGGGAGCTTGAGGCTGCAGTGACTATGATCATAGAACCGCACTCCACCCTAGGTGAAAAAGCAAGACGTGTCTCAGAAAAAAATATAAATAAATAAAACAAATGCATGTTGTTTTCAGACACTGAGTTGGTGGTCAATTGTTACAACAGCCATAGGCCCCTCAAGCATCACCTACAATTGACCCTTTCCATCACTATCCATGGTCAAAAGATAAAGCTGCAACCTTGGCCAGGTGCAGAGGCTCATGCCTGTAATCCCAGCACTTTGAGAAGCTGAGGCAGGTGAATCACTTGAGCTCAGGAGTTCCAGACCAGCCTGGCCAACATGGTGAAACCCCGTCTCTACTAAAAATACAAAAATTAGCTGGGCGTGGCACACGCCTGTGGCCCCAGTGACTTGGGAGGCTGAGGCAGGAGAGTCACTTGAACTCGGGAGGTGGAGGCTGTGGTGAGCTGAGATCGCGTCACTGCACTCTAGCCTGAGCAACACAGTAAGACTGCATCTCAAAACAAAACAAAACAAAAATGCTGCAACCTATATAGTTCAGAGATCTGAATTGGGTTTTCTTTGCAATTCTGGAATCAGGCAACACCTCATTTCATCAAATCGAATTAGCTACTAAAACACCAGGTGTTTGGTCTAGGTCTTGCTGCCCTCTGCGCAGAAAGCCAATCACCGAGGCAACAAGGATTGCCAGGGAGGAATGCTTTATCCTGCCGCTGCAGTCAATGAGAAGGGGTGGTAAAGTCTCATATGTCTCCCTGACCAACTAAAATTGGGGAGTTTATATAGCTGGGGAATGGGAGAAAACAAATTCAGGGAGGGTGTTAAGGAAGTAATCTTGATGGATGATGGGGTCTGGCCTCTCATTGTCTGGATGTGATGATCTGATGAGTTTCAGTTCCTTGCCTGATGGTCAGTTTCCTGAGGAAGGAACTGAGATGAGACAAATGTAAGTTTCAAGTTTTAAGACTAGGGAGGATCCATTTCTGTGTTTATTCAAATAATCATAAGTATTCGTTTTATGGAACAATTGGACCAGTTTCAGAATGTTTCCATGAGCTGAGCAGACAACATTAGGGGTTCTTTTTCTTTCTTTTTTAAAGTCTGTTAAACCTTCCATTTTTTTTTTTTCCCGAGACAGAGTCTCTCTCTGTCACCCAGGCTGGGGGGCAGTGGCGTGGTCTTGGCTGACTGTAACCTCCGCCTCCTGGATTCAAATGATTCTCTTGCCTCTGCCTCCCAAGTAGCTGGGACTACAGGTGCCCATCATCACACCCGGCTAATTTTTGTATTTTTAGTAGAGATGGGGTTTCCCCATGTTGGCCAGGCTGGTCTTGAACTCCTGACCTCATGATCAACCCGCCTCAGCCTCCCAAAGTGCTGGGATTACAGGAATGAGGCACCATGCCCGGCCAAACCTTCCACTTTTGCAAAGCAGGTTTTATTTATTTATTTTGAGACGGAGTTTCACTCTTGTTGCCCAGGCTGGAGTGCAGTGGTGATCTCAGCTCACTGAAAAAGAGGTTGGTTTTATAGACAGAAAAAGGCTGAGTAAAGCAGAAATAGAAAACAAAAAGTGGATTGGTCTTTTCAAAGTTACTTTTCTTGTCAAGTTTAGAGCAAAGGAGACTATCGTGCTGGCTAAAACAGGCCTGTTCAGGGATTTTTTTTTTTTTTTTTTTTTGAGACAGTCTCGCTCTGTCACCCAGGCTGGAGTGTAGTGGCACAATCTTGGCTCACTGCAGCCTCCACCTCCCGGGTTCAAGCGATTCTCCTGCCTCAGCCTCCCAAGTAGCTGGGACTACAGGCGTGTGCCACCCTGCCCAGCTAATCTTTGTATTTTTAGTAGAGACAGGGTTTCACCATGTTGGCCAGGATGGTCTCAATCTCCTGACCTCGTTATCCACCCGCCTCCCAAAGTGCAGGGATTACAGGCATGAGCCACAGTGCCTGGCCTTTTTTTTTTTTTTTTTGAGACAGAATCTGGTTCTGTTGCCTAGGCTGGAGTGCAGTGGCATGATCTGGGCTCACTGCAATCTCCGCCTCCCAGGTTCAAGCAATTCTCGTGAGTCAGCCTCCCAAGTAGCTGGGATTACAGGCACCCACCACCGCACCCCGCTAATTTTTTGTATTTTAGTGGAAACGGGGTTTCGCCATGTTGGCCAGGCTGGTCTTGAACTCCCGAGCTCAGGTGATCTGCCTGCCTCTGTTCATGGATTTGACTATTCCCTCTCTTTCTCTCTCTCCCTCTCTCTCTCTCTCTCCCCACTTCCTTCCAGTTCTCGATTTCTTGGAAAACCAGAAAAACAACTTAGTTTCAGCTTGGTGTAAAACTTCCGCATGAGGGACTTCATTTTGGTTTAGTCTTTTGGGCCTAGTGCAGGAGCTCAGTCCAAACCCATGGCTTCCTGTAAACTTTATTTAACACCATTCCTTGTCCCATATTATTGTCTTCCTGGTGCCAGGAAAAGGGGTCCCTAGCTGGGTGTGGTGGCTCACACCTGTAATCCCAGCACTTTGGGAGGCTGAGGTGGGTGGATCACCTCTTGAACACCTCAGGAGTTCAAGACCAGCCTGACCAACATGGAGAAACCCCGTCTCTACTAAAAATACAAAATTAGCCGGACGTGGTGGCACATGCTTTTAATCCCAGCTACTTGGGAGGCTGAGGTAGGAGAATAGCTTGAACCTGGGAGACGGAGGTTGCGGTGAGCCGAGATTGTACCATTGCACTCCAGCCCGGGCAACAAGAGCAAAACTCCTCAAAAAAAAAAAAAAAAAAAAAAAAAAAGGAAGGCTACTCAGTTACAAAGTAGGGCGTCCTCAGAAAACAAGAGGAGGAACGCCTTGTCTTTGTTTTAAGGTTTTTATTTTTATTTTATTTATTGATTTATTTTTGAGATGGAGTCTTGCTCTGTCACCCAGGTACAATGGCACGATCTTGGCACGATCTTGGCTCACTGCAACCTCCACCTGCCAGGTTCAAGCGATTCTCCTGCTTCAGTCTCCTGAGTAGTTGGGATTCAGGCATGTACCACTGCGCCCAGCTAATTTTTATATTTTTAGTAGAGACGAGGTTTTACCGTGTTGGCCAGGCTGGCCTTGAACTCCTGAGCTCAAGTGATCCTCCCACCTCGGCCTCCCAAAGTGTTGGGATTACAGGTGTGAGCCACCATGTACAACCGGTTTTTTCTTATATAGGGGTCTTATCTGTGTGAAAGCTATGTCCACGTGTAGGTGGGCTGACCGCGTGACAAAACGTAGTACTTTGTCGACTTAAAGAAAGTTATCCTGGCTGGGTGCAGTGGCTCACACCTGTAATTGTAACACTTTGGTAGGCCGAGGCCGGCAGATCACTTCAGCCCAGGATTTCCAGACCAGCTTGGGCAACATGGCGAAACCCTGTCTCTACAAAAACTGCCAAATATTAGCCAGGTGTGGTGGTACCTATAGTTCCAGCTAACTCGGAAGGCTGAGGTGGGGGATCGCCTGAGCCGGGAAGTGGAGGCCACAGAGAGCCATGATTGCGTTACTGCACTCCAGCCTAGGTGACAGAGCGAGACCCTGTCTCAAAAAGTATACATACATATCCTTGCCATTTTAGTGCCTAAGTACATTACACCATGACTATAACCATATTTTCTTTTTTTTTTTTTGAGATGGAGTTTCACTCTTGTCACCCAGGCTGGAGTGCAATGGCGCCATATCGACTCACCGCAACCTCTGCCTCCCAGGTTCAAGTGATTCTCCTGCCTCAGCCTCCCAAGCAGCTGGGATTACAGGCATGCACCACCATGCCCGGCTAATTTTGTATTTTTAGTAGAGACAAGATTTCTTCATGTTGGTCTGGTTGGTCTTGAACTCTCGACCTGCACCACCGCACCTGGCTAATTTTGCATTTTTAGTAGAGACGGGGTTTCTCCGTGTTGGTCTGATTGGTCTTGAACTCCTGACCTCAGGTGATTCGCCCACGTCGGCCTCCCAAAGTGCTGGGATTACAGGCGTAAGCCACCATGCCCGGTATCTTTTTCTTTTTTTTCTCTTTTTTTTTTTTTTTGAGATGGAGTCTCACTCTGTCGCCCAGGCCACAGGGCAGCGGCACAATCTCGATCTCAGTTCACTGCAACCTCAGCCTCCTGGGTTCATGCAATTCTCCTGCCTCAGCCTCCCAAGTAGCTGGGATTACAGGTTCCCGCCACCACGCCCGGCTAATTTTTGTATTTTTAGTAGAGATGGGGTTCCACCATGGTGGCCATGGTGACCAGGCTGGTCTCGAACTCCTGACCTCAGGTGATCCACCCTCCTTGGCCTCCCAAAGTGCTGGGATTACAGGCATGAGCCACCGCGCCTGGCGACTATAACGATCTTAAAAGCATACATTGCTATGCAATATCAGGACATCTGGACCTTCCATTGTTGTAGTAGTGTGTCCTCCTAGGCATTTGTAAGACGTTTTCTCAATTGTAAACATCTTATGACCCTGGCTCGTGACTGGCAGCGAATGTGCCTTGTTAATTTTAAGATGGAGTTGATTTTTGGCCAGGTGCAGTGGCTCATGCCTGTAATCCCAGCACTTTGGGAGGCAGAGGCGAGCAGATCACCTGAGGTCAGGAGTTCGAGACCTGCCTGGCCAAAATGGTGAAACCCCATCTCTACTAAAACTACAAAAATTAGGCAGGTGTGGTGGTGCGTGCCTGTAATCCCAGCTACTCGGGAGGTTGAGACAGGAGAATCACTTGAATCCTGAGGTGGAGGTTGCAGTGAGCCAAGATCGCACCACTGGAGGCAGAGGTTGCAGTGAGCCAAGATCGCACCACTGCCCGTCAGCCTGGGCAACAGAGCAAGACTCCTCAAAAGATAAATAAATAAACAAACAATTGCCACAGCAACATCAAGAAGTTACCCTATATGGTCTAAAAAAGGGAGGTATGAATAATCCACCCCTTGTTTAGCATATCATCAATAAATCACCATAAACATGGGCAACCACCAGCCCTTGGGGCTGCTTTGTCTGTGAAGTAGCCATTCTTTTATTCATCTACTTTCTAAATAAACTTGTTTTTGCTTTGCACTGTGGACTCGCCCTGAATTCCTTCTTGCACGAGATCCAAGAACCCTCTCCTGGGGTCTGGATCCGGACCCCTTTCCTGGAACAATCTGACACAGAGGAAACGTCCATGAAAGGTGGGGAGGAGGCTGGGGAAGGAGGCTGGGGAAGGAATGGGATGGGAAGTCCTCGTTAAGGGGAAGGCACAGGTGGGCAATGGAGGGACATTTGGGAGACACTGCGTATGTTTAGGAAGTTGGTTTGGAGCCTGATCTTTAAGTCAATGTCTGTGACTCAAGAGTCGTCCAGGGTCCTCTTAAGTCACCCTATGTGTGGCCCCAACCCCATGTGAGAGTTGCGGGCCCAGGAACGATGTGTGGATTCCCAGAGCCCAGAATACAAGGCAGGCGCATAATACATATTTGCTGAATAAAAGAATGAAGAACAAGAGGTCACGTTACAAAATTTTAACGAGCCGCTGCCCGCTTCTAGGGGGCGCAGCGCACTATACAAAATTCTCCAATTCCACATGGCTCCCGGAATCCTTATTTCGCGCTACTCAGGTTGCAACTCCGGAGGGAAGACGCTGGGACTTCCAGCTTGATAGGCGGGGATTGGAACCAATGAAAGAGGTCTGCTGTGTATGCTGCAGCCAATAATAGCGGCCGAAGGAAGTGACGTTTGCGGAAGTAAGGCTTCCGTCGGAAAAGCTCGATAATTACCCAGCCTAACCATTTCTCAGGTGCTTGCGAGGTGATCAGAAGGCAAAGATGTCGGAGCGAAAAGTATTAAACGTAAGTGTTGGGCGACTGGGGCTTTTCAATCGGAGCAGGACATCCCGGAACTCCGGGAGAGGGAGGAGCTTCCTGAGATCTCTTCTTTGGAACCCTTCTTTCCCAGCGGCCTTCCGCGAGATGGGGCTTCCCAGACTCCTCCCTAGACTCCTCCCCATCGCCTTCCGTCGGGGGGGTGGGCCTTCGCTAAGTCTCCCTTCTGGGCTGGGGTGTAGTTAGTCACCTGCGGGGCGTGGCTTGGGCTTTTACCCAATCACCACCAGATAGGGTTTTTTTTCTGGGGGCGGGGCTTCCTTAAATGCTGGCGGCCGTGTTTTGCCCTCTTCTTGAGGGGCGTGGCTCTGAGAAGCCCCGCCCCACTTGGGGACTGTAACCAATCGTGTACTTTGGGTGGGGTGGGGTGGGGTGGCGCGTGTGTGTGTGTGTGTGTGTGTGTGTGTGTGTGTGTGTGTGTGTGTGTGTGTGTGTGTGTGTGTGTGTGTGTGTGTGTGTGTGTGTGTGTGTGTGTGTGTGTGTGTGTGTGTGTGTTTTGTTTTTTTTACTGGGGTCTGGTCATGCAGATAACCTCTGCCTTACAGTGGCCAAGATTTTACTGGGGTCTGGTCATGCAGATAACCTCTGCCTGACAGTGGCCAAGATTCCAGACTCCCAGAAGAAAAGCAGAGGTTCAGTATAAACTATACTGTTGGCACACTTCTGTTTTTTGGTTTTTTGAGATGGAGTTTTGCGCTTGCTTCCCAGGCTGGAGTGCAGTGGCACGTTCTTGGCTCACTGCAGCTTCTGCCTCCTGGGTTCAAGCGATTCTCCTGCCTCAGCCTCCTGAGTAGCTGGGACTGCAGGCGCCCGCCACCATGCCTGGTTAATTTTTTTTGTATTTTAGTAGAGATGAGATTTCACCATGTTGCCCAGGGTGGTTTTGAACTCTTGATCTCAGGCATTCCACCCACCTCATACTCCCAAAGTGCTGGAATTACAGGCGTGAGCCACCGCGCCCGGCCCCACGCAGGTCTTTCTAGGAGAGCAGTCTCAGGCTTGCTGTAGGAACTCCTGGGAAACAGGAGCCCTGGGATACAAAGGGAGTGTGAGTATGGATTATGACAGATACCTCCACTGCACCACTGGAAAATAAAGCACTTTGTGTTTGGAGCACCTACTGGGTGCCAGACACTGCAAAGAGCACTTTATCCCCCTTGCCTCAAGGAATGCGTGCAAAGACTCTTGGAGACAGAGGACAGTGTGCGCATTTCACAGAGGAGTAAACTGAGCCCTGCAGGTTTCAGCTCCTCAGGATTCAGATCCAGGGAGATGACTCTGTAGGAAACGGATGTAGTATCGTGATTGGGAGGCTGAGCTAACAGAGTCCTGGTTTACCCTCTACAGAATTGCTGGGGAGTTGGGACTCCTCGGGGAACTCGGTCTCCTGCCTGAACAACAGAAGTGCTAAGCAAAGCTTAACCTCTACAAAGGGCAGGGCATGATGGCTCACGTGTGTAATACCAGCTCTTTGGGAGGCCAAGGCAGGTGGATCACCTGAGGTCAGGAGTTCGAGACTAGCCTGGCCAACATGGTGAAACCCCATCTCTACTAAAAATACAAAAATTAGCGGGGAGTGGTGGTGGGCGCCTGTAATCCCAGCTACTGTAGAGGCTGAGGCAGGAGAATCGCTTGAACCCAGGAGGCGGAGGTTGCAGTGAGCCAAGATCGCGCCACTGGACTCCAGCCTGGGCAACAAGAGCAAAACTCCGTCTCAGAACAAAAACAAAAACAAACCCTGGCTTTTTAGAGCTTCCCGTGTAGACAGCATTTCATGTGTATTGTCATGACTGGTATTTAGGAGAATTAAATGCGTCCTGTATAACTCCACTAGGAGAGAGTCAGGAAGCTTGTGCCTGGCCTCCCTCTGACTGTACTGAGTCCTGCGAGTCCTCCCTGCCTGTCGCGGAACCTGGGGTGGGCTTGGGGACCCCCGACACAGCTCCCCAGAGCCCCTTCCCTCTGCCATGTCCTGCCCCTGCTTCTGAAAATAACTCCCCCAACGTTTCCTTCCTCCCCTGCAGAAATACTACCCGCCGGACTTTGACCCATCAAAGATCCCCAAACTCAAGCTCCCCAAAGACCGGCAGTACGTGGTGCGGCTGATGGCCCCCTTCAACATGAGGTGAGCACCCCCTGCGTGACCCCACACACCAGTCATGGCTGAAGGACGCAGTGCCTGGCATCCACAGAGGTGACTCGTCCGGTGTTAAGACCAGATCACTGGTCTTAGACATTGTCCTGGCTCAGACATTGACCATTCCAACCCTCCTTCGCCTCACCACTTGGGATTAAGCTTTGGATCTTTTAGAGCCCTCCAGCCAGTGCCTGCCTTGAGATCATGGTGGTTAGTAAACGTGTGTGCAGAGAGGATAGGACGCCACAGAGATGCAGCCCCATAGATATATTTCAGCTCCTCCAACAGCCAAGCTCGTTCCTACCCCAGGGCCTTTGCACACACTGCTGCCCCTGCTTGGAACTCTCTCCCTCTACTTTCTTTCTTTCTTTTTTTTTTTTTGTTGAGACAGAGTCTTGCCGTGTTGCCCAGGCTGGAGTGCAGTGGCGTGATCTCAGCTCACTGCAACCTCCACCTCCTGGCTTCAAGCGATTCTCCTGCCTCAGCCTCCCAAGTAGCTGGGATTACAGGCGTGCACCACCACGCCCGGCTAATTTTTGTATTTTCAGTAGAGTTGGTGTTTTACCATGTTGGCCAAGCTGGTCTCGAACTCCTGACCTCAGGTGATCTGCCCTCCTTGGCCTCCCAAAGTGCTGGGATTGCAGGCGTGAGCTGCCGCACCTGGCCTTCTCCTTCTACTTACACATGGCAGGCTCCTCTTGTCTGCCATAGGTCATGGCTCCAATCTCACCCCTCCGGGAGGCCTCCATCATCCCCTCACGGTGCCCAGATCTTGCCTTTTGTAGCACTTCAGAATTACTGTATTTCACCAACTCTCAACCCCATACCTTTTCATGCTCTAGCATATCTGAAATCACGCACCTAACGAGGAAAGAGACATCTGGGTCAGTGAAATTCGGTTCATGCCCATGTGTTGTTGGCCTGTCTACTCCTCCCCCTCATTCATTCATTTATTCATTCAACACTCATTTATTGGGCACCTGCTGTGTGCCAGGGTCTGTGCCGAGCGCCAGGAACAAAGTCCCTGGCCTCATGGAGCCCACAGTCTAATGGGAAGTGGAGAATAGTGGTAGTCAGGCAGGTGCACGGGCCCCCGAAGTCAGGCAGGAGAGAGCCCCTGGGGCAGTGGCGCAGGAGGGAGGGCTATAGGTAGCTGGGGTACGGTGACATCAGGCAAAATACTGGTGGCGCTGAGGTCTGAGGATGAAGGGTGTCGCCGGCCATGAGACTGTAGGAGCAGAGGCCTTGAGCTGGGACTGAGCTGGGGGTGTTTGCAGGATCAGACAGGAGGCGGGCGTGCTGGGCTGGGGAGCAGAGCCCGGAGTAGGAGGGGAAGAGGGGGGTGGGGCAGCATTTTTCTGTGTGGCATCTTTCCTCCTGGAGGGTGGGGTGCCCCGTAAGCACAAAGATTGCTTCTGGGAGTGCATGACAGGCAGGCCTCACCTACTCAGGGGGCTTCCCAAGCAGGCGACCCTTGGACTGAGCCCCAGGAAGATATGAATGAGAACACGAAGTTCTCAGGTAGAGGAAATTTGGACACAGGGTGGGGCAGCCTGCCTCTTGAAGGAGGGAGCTCCCCGTTGCTGGAGGCAAGCAAGCAGTGATCTTGCAGGATGCCGCAGGGACAGCCTGCCAGTGGGAGCCAGCGTCCCAAGACAGCTCACATCCCTACATGCTGCCCCGCAGGTGTAAGACGTGCGGAGAATACATCTACAAGGGGAAGAAATTCAATGCTCGGAAGGAGACGGTGCAGAACGAGGTCTACCTGGGCCTGCCCATCTTCCGCTTTTACATCAAGTGCACGCGCTGCCTGGCAGAGATCACCTTCAAGGTAGGTGAGACGGCCGGCCAGGCCGGTCCCTCTCCCCCAGCACACCTCAGATCAGGGCGGGCCCTGGGGTTCCTTAACTCCAATCCTCTCCATCCAGGGAATCTCATTTCAGTTTATCCCCAAGAAACAGACAACAGTTTGGGGGAGATGTTCATGGCAGCATTCTAAATAAAGGCAAAAAGACAGAAGCAACCTAGATAGATAATAATAAGGGATGAGAAGAACAAATTAGCATGCAGGCTGGGCATGGCTCACACCTGTACTCCCAGCACTTTGGGCGGCCAAGGCGGGCAGATCACCTGAGGTCAGAAGTTCAAGACCACCCTAGCCAACATGGCGAAATGCCATGTCTACTAAAAATACAAAAATTACTGGGCATGGTGGCGGACTATAATCCCAGTTACTCGAGAGGCTAAGGCAGGAGAATCACTTGAAGCTGGGAGGCAGAGGTTGCAGTGAGCGAAGATTGCACCGCTATACTCCAGTCTGGGTGACAGAGCAAGACTCCAACTAAAAAAAAAAAAAAAAAAAGCCAGGCACAGTGGCTCATGCCTGTAATTCCAGCAGGTTGGGAGGCCAAGGCAGGAAAGAGAGCCCCTGAGGTCAGGAGTTTGAGACCAGCCTGGCCAACATGGTGAAACCCCGTCTCTACTAAAAATACAAAAGTGAGCCAGGCGTGGTGGCTCATGCCTGTAATCTCAGGTACTTGGGAGACCAAAGCAGGAGAATCGCTTGAACCCGAGAGGGAGAGGTTGCAGTGAGCCAACATTGCGCCATTGCACTCCAGCCTGAGCAACGAAATGAAACTCTGTCTCAAAAAGAAAAAAAAAAGTAGCGTGCAATGGAATATTACACAGCCAATAAAAATTGCAATTTGACTTTTATTTGTTACCTTGAGAATTTAAGGAAAGACTGAAGATAACTTAAAATTTTCTCTTCCTATGCTTAAGTACTCTTTGAATACTTTTTTGCCATAAGCTTTTTTTCTTTGATTAAAAAAACATTTTGGGCTGGGCGCAGTGGCTCACAGCTATAATCAGCACTTTGGGAGGCCAAGGCAAGTGGATCAGTTGAGGTCAGGAGTTCGAGACCAGCCTGGACAACATGATGAAACCCCAACTCTACTAAAAAAAAATACAAAAATAGGCCGGGCGCAGTGGCTCACGCCTCTAATCCCAGTACTTTGGGAGGCTGAGGCAGGCGGATCATGAGGTCAGGAGATCGAGACCATCCTGGCTAACACAGTGAAACCCCGTCTCTACTAAAAAAAAAGCAGAAAAAAATTAGCCAGGCGTGGTGGCGGGTGCCTGTAGTCCCAGCTACTCGGGAGGCTGAGACAAGAGAATGGCGTGAACCCAGGAGGCGGAGCTTGCAGTGAGCTGAGATCGCGCCACTGCACTCCAGCCTGGGCGACAGAGCGAGACTCCGTCTCAAAAATAAATAAATAAATTAATAATAATAATAATATTTTGGCTGGGTGCAGTGGCTCACGCCTGTAATCCCAACACTTTGAGAGGTCAAGGGAGAAGGATCGCTTAAATCCAGGAATTCAAGACCAGCTTGGGCAACATAGTGAGATCCCGTCAGTACAAAAAAATATAAAAATTAGCTGGGCATGATGGCATGCGCCTATAGTCCTAGCTACTTGGGAGGCTGAGGCAGGAGAATCAATTGAGTCTGGGAGGCCAAGGCTGCAGTGAGCCATGATTTCACTGCTATACTCCAGCCTGAGTGACAGAGTGAGACCCTGTCTGCAAAAAAACAAACAAAAACTTTTTTTGAAATACCTGAAGATTTACAGAAAAGTTCCAAAGATAGTACAGATAATTCTCACCTACCCCCTCACCAACTTCCCCGAATATTAGCATCTTATATAACCAGGGTACATCTGTCACAGTAAGATACTAAGGGTGGGGCCAGGCATGGTGGCTTACTCCCAGCGCTTTGAGAAGGCAAGGCAGGAGGATTGCTGGGGACCAGAAGTTCAAGACTAGCCTGGGCAACATAGTGAGACCCTGTCCGTGTCTACACACACACACACACACACACACACACACACACACACAAATTTTAATTAAAAAAAGAAACTAAAGGTGGAATGTTACCATTAACATTGTAGGCTGTGGCTGGGTGCAGTGGCTCATGCCTGTAATCCCGGCACTTTGGAGGCCAAAGCAGGAGGATCGGTTGAGTCCAAGAGTTAGAGACCAGCCTGGGCAACATGGCGAAACCCTGTCTCTACCAAAAAGAAATTTAAAAATTAGCCAGGTGTGATGGTGCATACCTGTAGTCCCAGCTACTCGGCAGGCTAAGGTGAGAGGATTGCTTGAACCCGGGAGGCTGAGGTTGCAGTGAGCCATGATCCTGCCGCTGCACTCCGGCCTGGGCAACAGCACGAGACCCTGTCCCCAAAAAAATAAAAAACATAGTGTTACTATTAGCATTTAGACCAAAGGTAGATTTCAGTTTTTCTGCTAATGTCACTTTTCTGTTCCAGTGTGTAATTTAAGATACCAGGGTGTATTTAGCCTCTCTATTCAATAAACAAAAACAGGGGCATGCTGTATACATATTTGTACATGTGATTTATAATCAAAGAAAAGGTGTTAATAAATACAAAGGGCAGAAATCACAACATGTGCAGAACCTTGGAGATTTTTTTTTTTTTTTGAGACAGGGTCTCACTTTGTAGCCAAGGCTGGAGTACAGTGGTGTGATCTCAGCCTCCCAGGTTCATGTGATTCTCATGCCTCAGCCTCCAGAGTAGCTGGGATTACAGGCATGCACCACCTTGCCCTGCCTAATTTTTTGTATTTTTAGTAGAGACAGGGTTTCTCCATGTTGGCCAGGCTGGTCTTGAATACCTGACCTCCAGTGATCCACCTGCCTCATTGGAGAGTTTGTTTGCAGTCATGTTAAGGGTAGGGAGTGGAGGATGCAGGGAGGCAGTGGGCAGATGAGAAGAGTCTTAAAGTCCATGCCAGGGAGTTGGGCATTTTTGCCCATGGAGATGGGAGGAGCACTAGGAAGAAATCTCACCAGTCAAAGCAATAAGACAAGAAAAAGAGAAGGTAGTAGAACCAGTAAAAATCAGAGAGAAGGGGCCCTGATCTGCTGGTGGTACTTTAGAAGATTCTAGTGCCTGGGGATGTAGGAGCTGATGTCTGTCTATCCTCCCTGCAGACAGACCCTGAAAACACAGACTACACCATGGAGCATGGAGCCACGCGGAATTTCCAGGCTGAGAAGCTCCTGGAGGAGGAGGAGAAGAGGGTGCAGAAGGAGCGGGAGGACGAGGAGCTGAACAACCCCATGAAGGTGAGTCGGGGGCCATGTAGGTGTTCATGGGCGCTGTGTGTGTGGGTGTGTGTGTGTGCCAATGGTTGTGCCCTTCCTGCCTCAGGTCCCCAAGGAAGGAAGATGGGGTGGGGGGCGTGGTTGGTAAAACTTTAAGATGTCCCCAGGAGGCCAGGCATAGTGGCTCATGCCTGTAATCTCAGCACTTTGGGAGGCTGAGGCGGGAGGATCACTTGAGGTCAGGAGTCCTAGACCAGCCTGGCCAATGTGGCGAAACCCTGTTCCTACTAAAAATTTTAAAACTTAACACTGGGCGCAGTGGCTCACACCTGTAATCCCAGCACTTTTGGAGGCCGAAGTGGGTGGGTCACGAGGTCAGGAGTTTGAGACCAGCCTGACCAACATGGTGAAACCCCGTCTCTACTAAAAATACAAAAATTAGCCAGGCATGGTGGCACGCTTCTGGAATTACAGCTACTCAGGAGGCTGAGGCAGGAGAATCGCTTGAACCGGGGAGGCAGATGTTGCAGGAAGCCGAGATGGCGCCACTGCACTCCAGCCTGGGTGACAGAGTGAGATTCTGTCTCCAAAAAAAAAAAAAAAAAATTAGTCAAGCATGGTGGCGCATGCCTGTAATCTCAGCTACTTGGGAGGCTGAGGCAGGAGAATTGCATGAACCCGGGAGGCAGAGGTTGCAGTGAGCCGAGATCAAACCACTGCACTCCAGCCTGGGCAGCAAAGCAAGACTCTGTCTCAAAAAAAATAAATAAATAAAAGAAATTATGTTCACTTCCAATAGGACAATTTTGTATTTTCTCAGAAATATTAAAAGGAGCCATGCATGGTGGCTTGAACCTGTAGTCCCAGCTACTTTAGGGGTTGAGACAGGAGGATCACTTGAGTCTAGGAGTCAAAGACCAGCCTGGGCAACATAGTGAGACTCTGTCTCTATAAAACATTAAAAAATTAGCCAGGTGCTTGCCAGGCGTGGTGGCTCACACCTGTAATCGCAGCACTTTGGGAGGCCAAGGCAGGTGGATCACAAGGTCAGGAGTTCAAGACCAGCCTGGCCAAGAGGGTGAAACCCCGTCTCTACTAAAAATACAAAAAATTAGCCGGGCATGGTGGCAGACACCTGTAATCCCAGCTACTCGGGAGGCTGAGGCAGAGAATTGCTTGAACTCAGGAGGCAGAGGCTGCAGTGAGCTGAGATCATGCCACTGCACTCCAGCCTGGGTGACAGAGCAAGATTCTGTGTCAAAAAAAAAAAAAAAAAAAAAATCAGCCAAGTGCTTTGGGAGGCTGAGGCAGGCGGATCACCTGAGGTCAGGAGTTCAAGACCAGCTTGGCCAACACGGCGAAACCCTGTCTCTACTAAAAATACAAAAATTAACCAGGCGTGGTGGCACGCGCCTATAATCCAAGCTACTCAGGAGGCTGAGGCAGGAGAATTGCTTGAACCCAGGAGGCGGAGGTTGCAGTGAGCCAAGATCGCGCCATTGCACTTCAGCCTGGGCAACAAGAGTAAAACTCTGTCTCAACAACAACAACAAAAATTAGGCAGGTGTACTGGTGTGCACCTGTGGTCCCACCTACTAGGGAGGCTGAGGCGGGAGGATCACTTGAGCCCAGGAAGTTGAGGCTGCAGTTAGCTATGATCACATCACTGCACTCCAGCCTGGAAGACAGCAAGACTGTCGCAAAAAAAAAAAAATATATATATATATATATATATATATGTACACACACATATACATATATATACATACACATATATATATAAAACAGATTTTTAAATGACTGTGTTCCCTGCTGTCCCCTCCTGCTTCCATATTTCCCATCCATTCTTATCTATTCCTGGACCCACCCACCCCTGCCAAATGTGAGTTTTCTGAGCAAGCCACATCAGACCAGATACAACATTTTCCATGGCCATGCAGAGCAACAGGGAGGGAAATGAGCCTTGGCAAGGGTTTGGTGTGTGCCTGGGCCTGTCGCACTGCTGTCTGTGTGTGAATTTAGTTACCTCCACACTGACAGCAAGGGGCTCTTACCCTGGTGTTAGTCAGCTATTGCTACATAACAGGTTATCCCAAAACTTAGTGACTGAAAACAACAAACATTTATTATCCCACAGTTTTTGAGAGTCAGGCATCCAGAAGCAGCTGAGCTGGATGGTTGTGGCTTGGGGGCTCCCATGAGGTTGCAGTCAAGGTGTTGGCCAGGGCAGTATCATCTGAAGGCTGGACTGGGGCTGGAGGAGCCACTCGCAAACTGGCTCCCTCTACTGGCTGTTGGCTGTCAGCCTCAGTTCCTCGCTGTGTGGGGAGCTGCTTGAGCAACCTCACAACATGGCAGCTGCGTACCCCAGAGCATGTGACCCAAGAGTGAGAGCAAGGAGGAAGGCCTGTGCTTTTACATCCTAGTCTCAGAAGTTACGTGCCATTATTTCTGTCATATTCCATTAGAGCAAGTAGCTTGTCCAGCCCCTGCTCAAGGGGAGGGGAGTCACCTCCACCCCTTAAATGGAGGAGCATCAGAGAGTTTGTGGACATACTTTTAAACTGTCAGAATTGCCATTTTTCCAAAGGGTAAATACAACAAGGTCACAGCACTGGGAAGCAGCCAGGCAGGATTCACTCCCAACCTGCCTGGCTCCAAAGCCACTTCTCAGGGACCCGTGGCCACCAGACTCGCCTCCCTCAGCCTCAGTTTCCGTTTCTGTAAAATGGGGGTTGTGAGGATTAAATGAGATGGCATATGGAAACCTCTTAGCCCAGGGCCCGGTGTACAGTAGGTGCTCAGGTTGTCTTTTACAATTTTTCCTTAATATTATTATTTTTGAGATAGAGTCTCGCTCTGTCACCCAAGCTGGAATGCATTGGCACGATCTGAGCTCAGTCAACCTCTGCCTCCTGGGTTCAAGTGATTCTCCTGCCTCAGCCTCCCAAGTAGCTGGGATTACAGGTGTGTGCCACCACGCCTGGATAATTTTTGTATTTTTATTATTTATTTATTTTTTTGAGATGGAGTCTCACTCTGTCACCCAGGTTGGAGTCCAGTGGTGCAATCTTGGTTCACTGCAACCTCTGCCTCCCGGGTTCAAGCAATTCTCCTGCCTCAGCCTCCCAAGTAGCTGGGATTACAGGCACATGCCACTACGCCCAGCTACTTTTTGTATTTTTAGTAGAGATGGGGTTTCGTCATGTTGGCCAGGCTGGTCTTGAACTCCTGACCTCAAGTGATCTGTCTGCCTCGGCCTCCCAAAGTGCTGGGATTACAGGCGTGACCCATAACACCCAGCCTGTATTTTTAGTAGAGACAGGGTTTCACCATGTTGGCCAGGCTGGTCTCGAACTCCTGATCTCAGGTGATCCGCCCGCTCCGGCCTCCCAAAATGCTGGGATTACAGACGTGAGCCACTGTGCCTGGCCAAATTTTTCCTTATTATTCTTACTGAAAGATGGCACCAGGCCAGAAATCCAGGCCACCTGGGTCCAGAGCCAGCCTCTTTCCACCCCACCCTGCCCCAGGGCTCAGATCCCGGCTCCACCACTGCTCAGCCCCATGTGGTCACTTTCCCTCCCCAGACCTGAGTGTTCTCACCTGTGAAATGGACACAGCGCTGGGCATGGGCAGGGGGTTCCCTGAGCAGGATGGAAACGTGGGGGTAGGGGTTCCTCCCGTGGCCCGCAGTGGCCCCCGAGGCCAGACAGGGTTTGCCCCGTGGTGCGATCCCCATGCACTCAGCCCCGCCGCCCCGCGCCCGCCAGGTGCTGGAGAACCGGACCAAGGACTCCAAGCTGGAGATGGAGGTGCTGGAGAACCTCCAGGAGCTGAAAGACCTGAACCAGCGGCAGGCGCACGTGGACTTCGAGGCTATGCTGAGGCAGCACCGCCTGTCGGAGGAGGAGCGGCGGAGGCAGCAGCAGGAGGAGGACGAGCAGGAGACCGCGTGAGTCAGGGCCGGCCCAACCCAGCCCCACCTCGCAGCCTCTGCCCCGGCAGGCGCTGCCTCTGCCCCAGACCCTTTCCCCGCTCTCTGGAGTGTCGCCTTTGCAAGGACCCCTTTCCCACCGCCCATCTCACTTTCTCCCTTGTGGCGTCTCTCGAGGGGGTCCCAGGCCACTGCCGGGCACGGTGACTTAGCACGTGGTCGCCCGCATGGCTGCGGTTTGTCACAGCGAGAGGACACAGCAGATTCAGCAAAGGGGAAAGGCATGTGTGGTGTGTCGGGGGCCAGGCCTTCCAGATCCTCTCCTGGTGGAGCTTCGCAGGACGCGCCTCATCCCCTAGCACCAGCCTGGAGGACTCGAGAAAGGCGCCATCACTAGGGAAGCTCCTAGAGACCCAGCGTGGGGTTCCTATGGGGCCTGGTCCCACAGCCCCCGCTGCCTCACCCATGCCGGGATTCCAGACTCCAGAGGAAAGCAGGGGTCACGCATAAACCATGGTGTTTGCAGGAACAGCTGAAGCCCCAGAGCCCGTCCCATCCATGAGGGTGGGAGGCCCCCAGCACAGGCTCCCGGACACCCACCAAGGGACGCCCTCACCAGCCGCCTTCTGAGGACACAGCCTCAGGCCTCCTGGGTGAACACTTTTCTTTTTTTTTTTTTTTTTTTTTTTTTTTTTGAGACGGAGTCTCCCTCTGCTGCCCAGGCTGGAGGGCAGTGGCGCCATCTCGCTCACTGCAAGCTCCGCCTCCCGGGTTCATGCCATTCTGCCTCAGCCTCCCGAGTAGCTGGGATTAGAGGCATCCGCCACCAAGCCCGGCTAATTTTTTGTAATTTTTAGTAGAGATGGGGTTTCACCGTGTTAGCCAGGATGGTCTCGATCTCCTGACCTCGTGATCCGCCCGCCTCGGCCTCCCAAAGTGCTGGGATTGCAGGCGTGAGCCACCGCGCCCGGACGACGCTTTTCTTTTTCTTTGAGACGGGGTTTTGCTCTGCCGCCCAGGCTGGAGTGCAGTAGTGCAGTCATAGCTCACTGTAGCCTCCATCTCCCGGGCTCAAGCGTTCCTCCTGCCTCAGCCTTCTGGGTAGCTGGGACCACAGGGACACATCACCATGCCCAGCTAATTGTTTTTATTTCTGTAGAGACAGGACCTCGCTATGTTGGACAGGCTGGTTTTGAACTCCTGGCCTCAAGCGATCCTCCCACCTTAGTCTCCTGAAGTGCTGGATGACACGTGTGAGCCCCTGTGGTTGGCTGGTGAATGCCTTTGACGCCGACCACCTCTGAGCCCGCGTGCTGATCCCCTCCTTTCCTGGTGCCTCATCTCCCCTCCCTCCTTTAGAATCTGAGCTGTAAGGACAGGGACGTGGTGGCCTCTCCTGTGTCCCCAGGGCTTCCAGCAGGTAGGTTCTGGTAGGTTCCACGTCAGTGCCTGATGGGTGTGCAGAGCAGCGATACCGTGCAGAACAGTGTTGGGAGCCTGCGTTCATCCTGCACCTTCCGGGTGCCGGGCGTGGCTGTAACCTCACTACCCACACAGCCCTGGGGGTCAGTGTGATCTTCATCATGGAGGGGACTGAGGTCCAGGGAGGTCCAGGCATGAGCCCCACCAAGGTTACCCTCCAGGCTCCATCCAGACAGGCTGGTTCCGGCATCCAGGCACTTAACCACACCACTGCCCTCGGTGGACACGGAAAAGTTAATGTAAAAAAGTAGAAGGGGCCGGGCGCAGGGTCTCCTGCCTGCCATCCTGCACTGTGGGAGGCTGAGGCGGGCGGATCACCTGAGGTCAGCAGTTCGAGACCAGCCTGGCCAACATGGCGAAACCCCATCTGTACTAAAAATACAAAAACAAATTAGCTGGGCGTGGTGGCAGATGCCTGTAATTCCAGCTGCTCCAGAGGCTGAGACAGGAGAATTGCCTGAACCCGGGAGGCAGAGGTTATAGTGAGCCGAGATGGTGCCACTGAACTCCAGCCTGGGCGACAGAGCAAGATTCCTCCTAAAAAAAATGAAAATTAAAAAGTAGACTAGGTGCGGTCGGTGGCTCACGCCCGTAATCCCAGCACTTTGGGAGGCTGAAGTGGGCGTATCACCTGAGGTCAGGAGTTCGAGACCAGCCTGGCCAAGATGGTGAAACCCCGTCTCTACTAAAACTACAGAAATTAGCTGGACATGGTGGTATGTGCCTGTAGTCCTAGCTAACATTTTTAATTTTTTTAGAGACGGGGTCTCGCTATGTTGCCCAGGCTGGTCTCTAACCCCTGGCTCAAGCGATCCTCCCGTCTCAGCGTCCCAAAGAGCTGGGATGACAGGCATGAGCCACTGCATCTGGCCCCTTTAATCTGTTTTATGTTTAAATAGAGGAAGTGGTAACCACTGGGTTAAGGAAGTCCCAATGGGTGCTCTGCCCTCACGGAGCTCACTGTGTGGGGAGGGAGAGGGACAAGGAGACCAATACCCAGGACAACATCCATCTGGGTGAGAGAGAAGCCAGGATGCGTGAGCTTGAATTATGAGGATGAGCTTCTCAGAGGAAGAGCGTCTTGCATTGGGTATTGAAGGTCGAGTAGGAGTTCACCAAGCGAGTGCTTGGCAAAGGGGTCATCCCAGGTAAGGGGATGTAGGCCCCTGATTTTTAAAATCCTTTTTGCAGAGATGCGGTCTTGCTGTGTTGCCCAGGCTGGTCTCATGCTCCTGGCCTTAAGCATTTCTCCTGCCTTGGCCTCTAAAGGCACAGGGATTACAGACATCAGCCACCATGTCTGGCCCCAAGACATTTTTCTAAAAGACATTTTCTTTGAAGCTATATCCCCTGATTAGAGTTCTCACACTGTGGTTCTCACATAAACCACTCCCAGAATTAGAGACCGGCCTGGCCAAGATGGCGAAACCCCGCCTCTACTAAAAATACAAAAATTAGCTGGACACGGTGGTGCGTGCCTGTAGTCCTAGCTGCTCGGTAGGCTGAGGCTGGAGAATCGCTTGAACCCAGGAGGCGGAGGTTGCAGTGAGCCAAGATCACGCCACTGCACTCCAGCCTGGACAACAAAGACTCCATCTCAAAAAAGAAAAAAAAAATACAAAAATTAGCCGGGTGTGGTGGCAGGCACCTGTAATCCCAGGTACTTGGGAAGCTGAGGCAGGAGAATCGCTTCAACCTGGGAGGTGGGGGTTGCAGTGAGCCAAGATTGCGCCACTGCACTCCAGCCTGGGCAACAGAGCGAGACTCTGTCTCAAAAATAAAATGAAATAAAATTTAATAAGGCATAGGAACACGCCTGTGGACCCAGCTACTCAGGAAGCTGAGTGGGGAGGATCGCTTGAGCCCAGGAGGTTGAGGTTGCAGTGAGCTGTGATTGTGCCACTTCACCCTCCCTGAGTGACAGAGTGAGACCTTGTCTCTTAAAAAAAAAAAGTAATCTGTGCTCCCCCTACTCCCTCCCACCCCTGCTCACTGAGGGCAGGAAGAGGTCTCCAGGCACCCAGGCCCCTCGCCACCCCAGCAGGTACATCCCAGGCACTGTTCCCCAAACAGAGCACGTCCAAGTTCCCATCTTCCATCCCACAGGGCCCTGTTGGAGGAAGCCAGAAAGCGAAGACTGCTGGAGGACTCCGACTCAGAGGATGAGGCTGCTCCCTCGCCCCTGCAGCCAGCCCTTCGGCCCAACCCCACCGCCATCCTGGATGAGGTAAGTGGGGTGCCTGAGTCCTGGGGGCTCCCAGGTGAACTAGGGACAACTGAAGCCAGGGGTCAGCTTGACTTTTTCTTTTGTTTTTTGTTTTTGTTTTTTGAGACGGAGTCTCGCTCTGTCGCCTAGGCTGGAGTGCAGTGGCACGATCTTGGCTCACTGCAACCTCTGCCTCCCAGGTTCAAGCGATTCTCCTGCCTCAGCCTCCCGAGTAGCTGGGACTACAGGCACGCGCCACCAAGCCCAGCTAATTTTTTGTATTTTTAGTAGAGATGGGGTTTCACCATGTTGGGAAGGATGGTCTCAATCTCTTCACCTCGTGATCCGCCCGCCTAGGCCTCCCAAAGTGCTGGGATTACAGGCGTGAGCCACCATGCCCGACCAGAACTTGACTTTTTCTTAAAAGGCCAGTCTGCACCCTAACTCCTCCACCCTGTGGCTGTAGCCCAAAACACCCATGATCAGGTGTAAATAAGTGGGTGTTGCCTGGTGCCAATAAATCTTTATTTATAGGCGGGGTGCAGTGGCTCATGCCTGTAATCCCAGCATTTTGGGAGGCCAAGGCAGGAGGATCGCTTGAGGCCGGGAGTTTGAGACCAGCCTGGGCAACAAAGTGAGACCCCTTCTTTACAAAATTACAAAAATTAGTCATGGGTGGTGGTGCATGTCTGTGGTCCCAGCTGTTTGAGAGACTGAGGCAGGAGGACCGCTTGAGCCCAGAAGGTCAAGGCTGCAGTGAGCTGCATCAGTATGACCGAACTCCAGCCTGAGCAAGAGTGAGACCCTGTCTAAAATAAACAAATAAAAATTAAGGCTGAGTGCAGTGGCTCACGCTTGTAATCCCAGCTACTCAGAAGGCTGAGGCAGGAGAATCGCTTGAACCCGGGAGGCGGAGGTTGCAGCGAGCCGAGATCGTGCCACTGCACCCCAGCCTGGGTGACAGAATGAGACTCTGTCTCAAAAAAAAAAAAAAAAAAACTTAATTTACTAAAACTGGTGGCAGGCCTATGGGTCTGTAATTCGCCAACCCCTGTTTAAGCTGCCGAAAGAAGAGAATGTAAAGAAAGAACATAGAAATTTATTTCTCAGTCATAACAGCCCTGGGCTGACAGTCTAGGACTTCGGGCAGCTCTGCTCCTTGGAACCATTCAGGGACTCAGCCTCCTTCCTTCTGGAGCACGGCTTCCTGCGCTGTGGCCACAGCTGGCTCAGAGCACCTTCAGGGTCCGGCTGTGGGAAGGCAAAAAGTGTGTGGAGGACCACGCAGCCTCAGATGCGGCCCACCTCAGTTCTTCTCTCATGCCAGAGGCCACAGCATAGTCACAAGGCCCCATCTGGTGGCGAAGGAAACTGTGAGATGCATCCTCCAGCTGGTCCGTGCCTGGCTGTGCTGCCAACTAGAACGAAGGGAGGCCGGGCACCGTGGCTCAAAGTGCTGTAATCCCAGCACTTTGGGAGGCCGAGGCAGGCGGATCATCTGAGGTCAGGAGTTCGAGACCAGCCTGGCCAACATGGAGAAACCCTGTCTCTACTAAAAATACAAAAATTAGCTGGACATGGCGGTGCCTGCCTGTAATCCCAGTTACTCGGGAGGCTGAGGCAGGAGAATCACTTGAACCTGGGAGGCAGAGGTTGCAGTGAGCTGAGATTGTGCCATTGCCCTCCAGCCTGGGCAACAGAGTGAGACTCTATCTCAAAAAAAAAAAAAAAAAAAAGGAGGAAGGAGTTTTGGTGGATGACCAGCATTTTCCACCACAGCTGACTCATCCAAGGTGGCCTCAGCCACTCTGGTTTGTTCATTGAAGAAGGTGGTAAAAGTAGGGGCTCATAAACCAATAACACAGACACACAGAAACGATTGTTCTCGGCCGGGCGCGGTGGCTCACACCTGTAATCCCAGCACTTTGGGAGGCCAAGGCGGGTGGATCACGAGGTCAGGAGATCGAGATCATCCTATCTAACACGGTGAAACCCCATCTCTGCTAAAAATACAAAAAATTAGCCGGGCGTGGTGGCGGGCGCCTGTAGTCCCAGCTACTCAGGAGGCTGAGACAGGAGAATGGCGTGAACCCAGGAGGTGGAGCTTGCAGTGAGCCGAGATTGTGCCACTGCACTCCAGCCTGGGCGACAGAGCGAGACTCTGTCTCAAAAAAAAAAAAAAAAAAAAAAAAAGAAACGATTGTTCTTTCTTCCTTTTTTGTTTGTTTGTTTGACACAGGGTCTTACTCTGTTGCCCAGGCTGGAGTGCAGTAATGCAGTCCCAGCTCACTGCAGCCTGAACCTCCTAGGCTCAAGCAATCCTCCCACCTCAGTCTCCTGAGCAGCTGGGACCACAGGCACGCACCACCACGCCTGGCTAATTTTTCTTTTCTTTCTTTCTTTTTTTTTTTTTAGACAGTTTCACTCTTGTTGCCCAGGCTGGAGTGCAGTGGTGTGATCTTGGCTCACTGCAACCTTCGCCCCCCGGGTTCAAGCGATTCTACTGCCTCAGCCTCCCAAGTAGCTGGGATTACAGGCGCCTGCCACCATGCCCGGCTAATTTTTGTATTTTTAGTAGAGATGGCGTTTCACCATGTTGGCCAGGCTGATCTAGAACTCCTGACCTCAGGTGATTCACCTGACTCGGCCGCCCAAAGTGCTGGGATTACAGGCGTGAGCCACTGTGCCTGGCCCCTAATTTTTCAAATTCTTTTTGCAGAGATGCGGTCTTGCTGTGTTGCCCAGGCTGGTCTCACGCACCTGGCCTCAAGCAGTTCTCCCGCCAAGGCACAGGGATTACAGACATCAGCCACCATGTCTGGCCCCAAGACATTTTTCTAAAAGACATTTTCTTTGAAGCTGTGTCCTCTGATTAGAGTTCTCACACTGTGGTTCTCACATAAACCACTCCCAGAATTCATTGTCTACAACTTCCTCTCTTCTTTTCTTTTTTTTTTGAATGAATCAACAGAGTAAAGGTACTTTGAAAGCAGTCCAACCTTTTTTGATTTACTCCCTCAGTCTTGTGCCTCTACCTGATTTGATAGCAGGTGTTTTATTTGGTTTTAACGTGATTCACCTTCATCAAGACTTTTCAAACCTTCACCCTAACTTTTATAGGAAGGAATATCTCCACACTTGCGTTTTCTTGGTTTATTTTATTTTTATTTTAGAGATGAGGTCTTGCTCTGTCACCCAGGCTGGAGTGCAGTGACGCGATCACAGCTCGCTGCAGCCTCCAACTCCTGGGCTCAAATGATCCTCCCACCTCAGCCTCTCAAGTAGCTGGGACCCACAAGTGTGTAGTGTGTGCCACCACAGCCAGCTAATTTTTAATTTTCTTTTCTTTTTTTTTTTTTAGAGGCGAGTCTGTATGTTGTCTAGGCTGGTCTCAAACTCCTATCCTCAAGCAGTCCTCCCGCCTTGGCCTCCCAATCCTTAGTTTAGTTTAATGATGATGAGTACCACCTGTAGAAACAGGTTTGGGAACTAACCTAGGTAACTTTTTTTTTTTTGAGACGGTCTTGTTCTTTCGCCCAGGCTGGAGTGCAGTGGCACGGTCTCGGCTCACTGCAACCTCCGGCTCCCAGCCTGTAGCAATTGTCCTGCCTTAGCCTCCTGAGTAGCTGGGATTACAGGCGTGTGCTACCACACCTGGCTAGGTTTTGTATTTTCTTTTTATTAATAAAGAGACGGGGTTTCACCATGTTGACCAGGCTGGTCTCGAACTCTTGACCTCAAGTGGTCCACCCGCCTCGGCCTCCCAAAGTGTTGGGATTACAGGTGTGTGCCTCTGTGCCTGGCCATCTGTGCCTTTTGACTTCTTTTCCTCATTTTGACATCAGCCCAGAGCTACGACATTTTTTTTTTTTTTTTTCGAGACGGCGTCTCGCCCTGTCACCCAGGCTGGAGTGCAGTGGCACGATCTCGGCTCACTGCAACCTCTGCCTCCCAGGTTCAAGCGATTCTCCTGCCTCAGTCTCCCGAGTAGCTGGGATTACAGGCGTGTGCCACCAAGCCTGGCTAATTTCTTGTATTTATAGTAGAGACGGGCTTTCACCGTGTTAGCCAGGATGGTCTCTATCTGACCTCGTGATCCACCTGCCTTGGCCTCCCAAAGTGCCGGGATTAGAAGCATGAGCCACTGCGCCCGGCCCAGAGCCACAACTTTAAGGAGGCCTCTCCACCACCTTAGCAGTGGCCGCCCCTCACACCGTCAGCTTGGCACTCAAGGTCTCTGCCCATTCTCCATCCCACCTAGCCTGCCCTGGCACTTCCTGAATCACACTGTGGCTTCTCATCACGCCTTTACCCATGCCATTCCCCTTACCTGGGATGCCCCCTTTGCCAAGCACTCGCTTGGTGAACTCCTACTCGCCCTTCAATACCCAATGCAAGACGCCCTTCCTCTGAGAAGCTCATCCTCACAATTCAAGCTCACGCACCCTGGCTTCTCTCTCACCCAGATGGATGTTATCCTGGGTATTGGTCTCCTTGTCCCTCTCCCTCCCCACACGGTGAGCTCCGTGAGGGCAGAGCACCCATTGGGACTTCCTTAACCCAGTGGTTACCACTTCCTCTATTTAAACATAAAACAGATTGAAGAGGCTAGATGCAGTGGCTCACGCCTGTCATCCCAGCTCTTTGGGACGCTGAGACGGGAGGATCGCTTGAGCCAGGAGTTTGAGACCAGCCTGGGCAACATAGCGAGATCCCGTCTCTACAAAAATTAAAAATGTTAGCCTGCCATGGTGGCGTGCACCTGCAGGAGGCTGAGGCAGGAGAATCGCTTGAGCCCAGGAGTTCGAGGCTGCAGTGAGCTATGATTGCACCACTGCACTCCAGCCTGGGCAATAGAGTGAGACCTTCCCCCCAAAAAAATTTTTTTAATAATATAGATTAAAGGGTCCCTTCTGTTGCAGTTAAGGAGCTGGAGGCCTTTTCTACCTGCCCCTAACTCTTTCTCAAGGCGGCTTCCTCCATTTTCACTCGTTCTCTCAAGTACATTGAGCACCTCCTTGTGCCAGGAACTGTTTGTGGCACCGCAGAGCCAGCAGTGGGGAAGACAGGAGCTCACGGCAGAGTTGGGGAGAGAGTTATAACAGCCAGCAGAGGGCACTGTGAGCGTGGACATGCAGCCTGCATGTGAGCTTGAACCATGATGGGCTTCTCAGAGGAGGGGTGTCTTGTGTTGGGTATTGAAGGGTGAGTAGGAGTTCACCAAGCGAGTGCATGGAAAAGGGGGCATCCCTGGTGAAGGGAATAGCATGGGTAAAGGCGTGGAGATGAGAAGCCATGGTGTGACTCAGGAAGTGCCAGACCAGGCTATGTGGGATGGAGAATGGGCAGAGGCCTTGAGTGCCAAGCCTAGGGCAGTGGGGAGCCATAGAGGAGTTTAGAGCAGAGGAGGAATGTGGTCAGTGCAGCAGTGGAAGAGTGGGCATGGGGCAGTGAGCAGGGGTTGTGGCGAGGGGCCAGACTGGGCCCTGGATCCGGGCCAGACCCCCACATGTGTCCCCATCACCTGCAGGCCCCAAAGCCCAAGAGGAAGGTGGAGGTCTGGGAGCAGAGCGTTGGCAGCCTGGGCAGCCGGCCCCCGCTGTCGAGGCTGGTCGTGGTGAAGAAGGCAAAGGCCGACCCGGACTGCAGCAACGGGCAGCCTCAGGCGGCCCCCACCCCAGGTAAGGTCACAGAGTTCCCAGAGCCGGGCGCGGTTTCTATAGTGGCCTGTAGGTGGCAGCAGCTCCCTTTGCAGTTACAGAGACTTCATGGGGTGGGTGGGGGCGGCCTGCGACCCCCACAGGACCAATTAGTGGAGTGAGCAGAGAAGGCAGGCGGCTTCTTTTTTTCTTTTTTCTTTTTTCTTTTTTTTTTTTTGAGACAGAGTCTTGCTCTGTTGCCCAGGCTGGAGTGCAGTGGTGCCATCTCGGCTCACCGCAACCTCCGCCTCCCTGGTTTGAGCAGTTCTCTGCCTCAGCCTCCCAAGTAGCTGGGACTACAGCACCACGCCCGGCTAAATTTTTGTATTATTAGTAGAGGTGGGATTTCTCCATGTTGGTCAGGCTGGTCTGGAACTCCCGACCTCAGGTGATCCACTCACCTCGGCCTCCCAAAATGCTGGGATTACAGGCATGAGCCACCGCGCCCGGCCTGTTTTTGTCTTTTAGTTGCCTTAGTATGATGTTTCCTAAGGCGATTAAGTCCACAGTGACTGGACTGTGAACTTTGCGCCATTTCCATTCTTGGCAGCGCACGTTGCCTGCCTGGGCAAGGTTTGCATTGGCCATTGTTCAGAAGCGGAGCTGTTGAGTCCCGGGTGTGCAGATGTAAATCTGCAATGGGTCCCATCAGGTGCCATCCAGAAAGGCCAGGCCATTCACATGCTGTCACCTCTGGACCTTGCAAACCTGCAGAGGTGGCCGGCCCCGTGCCTTGTCCCTGGCCTGTCTGCTGTGGAGCTGAGATGAGCTAACTCTCGCTCTCCCACCAGGAGCCCCGCAGAACAGGAAGGAGGCCAACCCTACACCCCTGACGCCTGGCGCGTCCTCCCTGAGCCAACTGGGTGCATACCTGGACAGTGACGACAGCAACGGCAGCAACTGAGCCCTCCCAGGACCCCCTCACGGGGTCAAAGTCACACGTCCAGCTTCAGCCACATTGAGGCCAGCATTGCTGGTGGTCAGGGCAGGAGGCCTTGGCGTGACTGGAGGCCGGACAGACAAGCGCCAGCGTGCTCCAACACATAGGGCCACCAGGGGCCTCAGCCCCAGGAGGTCCCTTCTCTGTGCCCTCACCAGCCTCTCAACACCTCGGGGACCCCTGCTGCTCCTGCCCCCACCTGTCACTGTGCTTAGGGCTGCAACATCCCTGGAGCAGCTTCCAACACTACTTCAGGGTGGCAGTGTTTGGGGCACTGGGCGAGCCTGCCGGCCTCTAGATGGCCTCATCTCTTCCTTCCACAAACTGTCTAGAACCAATAAAAGGAAACCTGCCAACCGCCTGGGCCCCTTCTCTCTCCCAGAGTCTGATGAGGAGGTCCCAGGACCTCCTCTGTTAGCACAATTCGAGGGTCATTCCACAGAGGTTTGTTTGTGTCTTGAGACAGGATCTCACTCTGTTGCCCAGGCTGGAGTGCGGTAGCGTATTCTTGACTCACTGCAGCCTTGAACTTCCGAGCTCAGGTGATCCTCCCACCTCAGCCTCGCGAGTCGCTGAGACCTCAGGTGGATGCCACCATTCCTGGCTAACTTTTTGTATATTTAGTAGAGACTGGGTTTCATCATGTTGCCCAGGCTGATCTTGAACTCATGGGCTCAAGTGATCCTCCTGCCTCAGCCTCACAAAGTGCTGGGGTCACAGGCATAAGCCACTGTAACAGGCATGAGCCCAGATATTTATATTTAGTTGTCGCCTGAGTGTGCATCTGGGCTCTTTTTGTTTTCTCTTCTTTTTTTTTTTCTTTCTTTACCTTTTTTTTTTTTTTTTTTTTTTGGAGACGACGTCTCGCTCTTGTCCCCCAGGCTGGAGTGCGATGGCGCGATCTTGGCTCACTGCAACCTCCGCCTCCCGGGTTCAAGCGATTCTCCTGCCTCAGCCTCCAGAGTAGCTGGGATTACAGGCGCCCGCCACCACGCCTGGCTTAATTTTTGTATTTTTAGTAGAGACAGGGTTTCACCATGTTGGCCAGGCTGGTCTTGAACTCCTGACCTCAGGTGATCTGCCTGCCTCAGCCTCCCAAAGTGCTAAGATTACAGGCCTGAGCCATTGTGCCCTGCCTGTACAATCTTTTTGTTTGTTTGTTTGAGACAGAGTCTCCCTCTGTTGCCCAGGCTAGAGTGCAGTGGTGTGATCTTGGCTCACTGCAACCTCCACCTCCCAGGTTCAAGCAATTCTCTGCCTCAGCCTCCCCAGCAGCTGGGATTACAGGTGCCTGCCACCACGCCCAGCTAATTTTTGTGTTTTTAGTAGAGACGGGTCTCACCATCTTGGCCAGGCTGGTCTTGAACTCCTGACCTCAGGTGATCTGACTGCCTCAGCCTCCCAAAGTGCAGGGATTACAGGCGTGAGACACTGCACCAGCCTGGAATCTTTTAAAGTGAACAATATGAACCTTCTTTGAGTAGGCAGTTCCATTTCTGGCTGTCTGTTCTAAGAGGTATTTGCCCACATTCATAAGGAAACACCCACGAGGAGGTTTGTCGTGACACTGTGTTTAGCAGCAACATTATGGGGAACGAACCCAATGTCCCCAGTAGGTGAAGGCTGAACTCTGGCATAAATAATGGAATTCCAGCCGGGTGTGGTGGCTCAGGCCTGGAATCCCAGCTACTTGGGAGGCTGAGGTGGGAGGATCACTTGAGCCCGGGAGATTGAGGCTGCAGTGAGGTGTAACTGTACCACTGCACTCCAGCCTTGGTGAGAGACCAAGATCCTGCCTGAAAAAGGGGGAGGGGGGTGGGGAGCTAGGCCCAGGACAGGAACTGTGGCATGTTCCTGTAATCCCAGGACTTTGGGGGGCTGAGGCAGGAGGGTTGGTTGAAGACAGGAGGTCGAGTCCAGACTGGGCAACATGGCCAGACCGTTTCTCAATTTGTCTTTTTTTAAAGAAAGGTGGGGCACGGTGGCTCACGCATGTAATCCCAGCACTTTGGGAGGCCACGGCGGGCAGATCACCTGAGGTCAGGAGTTCAAGACCAGCCTGGCCAACATGGTGAGACTCCCACCACCCCCACTAAAAATAAAAAAATTAGTCAGATGTGGTGGCGGGCACCTGTAATCCCAGCTAATTGGTAGGCTGAGGCAGGAGGATCACTTGAACCTGGAAGGTGGAGGTTGCAGTGAGCTGAGATCATGCCACTGCACTCCAGCCTGGGCAACAGAGTGAGATTCCATCTCAAAAAATAATTAATTAAAAAAAAAGATGCTACAATTTGCCTTCAAAGGGGCTGCGCTCTACATACTCAACAAGGATGGGACTCACTGGCTTTATGAGTAGAAAGCTCTGGCTGGGAAGTTCCCCTCCTCGGCGGGGGCAGCAGAAGGAGTTGGCAGAGGGAAGGAAGGAACCTGTGTTTATCAAATGTTCCCTGAGCATTTGGCAGAAACAAAGTTGAACTCCCACTTCCAACACCCGTTCTTATTTTAATTTTAATTTTTTTTTTTTTTGAGACAGCATCTCACTCTATCACCCCCGCTGGAGTGCAGTGGCAGGATCTCGGCTCACTGCAACCTCCGCCTCCCGGGTTCAAGCGATTCTCCTGCCTCAGCCTCCAGAGTAGCTGGGATGACAGGCACGCGCCACCCTGCCTGGCTTAATTTTTGTATTTTTAGTAGAGATGGGGTTTTGCCATGTTGCCAGGCTGGTCTCGAACTCCTGACCTCAAGTGATTCGCCCGCCTCAGCTCCCAAACTGCTGGGATTACAGGCGTGAGCTACCGCACCCGGCCCCCAAAAAACTTTTATGTATTATATATTTTTACAATAACATATAAATAATGTATACCGAAGGTGGTGAAAATAAAGCAGGTGAGTGTGTTCTAAGGAGATGCAGAGGGGATGCCTTGGGAACGTGTTTATTGCCCATCTCTCCCTCTGTTTGTTTTCTGGTGCTGCATAACAAATTATACCAAAACTGAACAACTTAAAAACAACATAGAGCTGGGTGTGGTTTCATTGGGTCTCCCGCTTTAAGGTTTAGCAAGAATGCAATCAAGACAGAGGCCAGGCTGGGCGCAGTGGCTCATGGCTGTAATCCCACCACTTTCACAGGCCGAGGCGGGCGGATCACTTGAGGTCATGAGTTCAAGACCAGCCTGGCCAACATGGCAAAACCCTGTCACTACAAAAAAGTACAAAAATTAGTTGGGCATGGTGGTACATGCCTGTAATTCCAGCTACTTGGGAGGCTGAGACAGGAGAATCACTTGAACCCAGGAGGCAGAGGTTGCAGTGAGCCAAGATTGCACCACTGCACTCCAGCCAGGGGGACAGAGCGAGACTCCCGTCTCAAAGAAAAAAAAAAAAAAAAGACACAGGCCCAGGCTGGGGTGTCATCTGAAGGCTCAACTGGGGAAGGACCTGCTGCCAAACCTTTGTGGTTGTTGACAGAATTCAGTCCCTCATGGCTGTTGGCCAGAAAACACTCTCAGTTTCTTACCTACACAGACCTTGTCTGCAGCTTGTGTCTTTGTCCATTTGCTGCTGCTTTCACAGAACACCACAGACTGGGTAAATTATAAACAGTAGAAGTTTATTCGGGCCGGGCGCAGCGGTTCACACCTGTAATCCCAGCACTTTCAGAGGCTGAGGTAGGTGTATCACCTGAGGTCAGGAGTTTGAGACCAGCCTGCCCAACATGGTGAAACTCTGTCTCTACTAAAAATACAAAAATTAGCCGGGCATGGGGCAGGTGCCTGTAATCCCAGCTACTCCAGAGGCCGAGGCAGGAGAATAACTTGAACCCGGGAGGCAGAGGTTGCAGTGAGCCAAGATTATGCCATTGCACTCCATCCAGCTTGGACAACAGAGTGAGACTCCATCTCAAAAAAATTGGTGCACCCCAGCACCCCAAAACCAGCTGGCACATCGTGGGTGCTCGCAAATGGGTTGAGGGGGCATCACCCCATTCCCCAATGAGGAAACAGGCTCAGGGAGCCCCAGGTTTCACCTCCTCCCCTCTCACACCCCACTCTTTCATACACCACTGGAATTTTATTTTTATTTCTTTTTTTTTTCCCCTGAGAAGCTTTGTTCTCTCACCCTGTGTCCTGGGGGCAATTCTGCTCTCAGCCCCCAGTTCTCTCCTGGGGGTTCCCAGGACTGAGGGAGTAGAGGGGCAGGCACAGCCATGCATCGGGCTCTGTCCCTCCTGACCAGCGGGGGACCCCTCCCTGCCCTGCCCCACCTCTCAGGGCCCCCTACCCTCACCCTCTGAAGCCTGCCCTTCCCCTATCCCTGCCGACAGTACCCGTTCCCCACCAGCCCGCGTCTGTCATCCTGTCTTCGGGAGCTGTCAGCCTTCATCTGAGATCTCCATCAACTCCTCCGGGGCTGCCTGGCTGCTGGAGCACATCAGAGGGATGGGGAGGAGGGGCGATGGGGGCCCCTTCTGCTGGAGCCCACTGCCGCCCCAGCCTGGGCTTACAGGAGAAGAGGGGCCATGCCATTTCCCCAGCTTTTGCCAGTTCCAGTGTGAACTTGGGGCTCCCTGAGCCTGTTTCCTTATCTGGGAATGGGGTGACACCACCCACTCAGTCCACAAACACCCCCCGGGCACACGCTCTGTTGCTGCCCCATTTACAGGTAAGGGAGACTCCTCGACCTCCAGGGTGAGGGAGGGACAGGGCCTGGGTATGAAGCTCCAGGCTCCGAGGCTACGCCTTTGGTCACCCACCCCACTGCAACCCCAAGAGCTGGGCTGTGCCTGCGTGTCAGACTGGAGCCCTGGAAGGGCTGGATCATGCCTCCCCCATCAGGTAGGGGCCCCTAGAAGGAAGGCTCGCTTCTCCTCCAGCAGACTGGGACCTTGTAAGTTAGTTAGGGCCATGCCTCCTGTGTTGGACTGGGCCCTTGAAATTTACACCATACCTCCCCCATCAGACTGGGGACGCTTGAAGTTTGGACTATGCCTCCCTCATCAGACTGGGGACTCTTGAAGGCAGGCCTATGTCTCCTCCATTACTCTGGGACCCTGGAAGTCAAGACTATGTCTCCTGCATTAGACAGGGGACCGTTGAAGGTTGAACCTGCCTCCCCCATCAGACTGAAGATAGGTTCACGTCTCCTTCCTCAGAGTGGGAACCCCTCAAGGTAGGGCCATATCTCTCCCATCAAATGGAAGCTCCTGAAGTCAGAGCCGCAACTCTTCCATCAGACTGGGGGCTTCTGTGGACAAGGCCATGCCTCTGCCATCAGACCGTGAGTTAAGAAAGGCAGAGCTGGCCAGGTGCAGTGGCTCACGCCTGTAATCCCAGCACTTTGGGAGGCCGAGGCGGGCGGATCACGAGATCAGGAGATCGAGACCATCCTGGCTAACACAATGAAGCCAAGATTGCGCCACTGCACTCCAGCTTGGACGACAGAGCGAAACTCTGTCTCAAAAAAAAAAAAAAAAAAAAGACAGAGCTGGCTAGGCACAGTGGCTCATGCCTGTAATCCCAGCACTTTGGGAGGCCAAGGCGGGCGGATCACAAGGTCAGGAGTTCAACACCAGCCTGGCCAACATGGTGAAACCCCGTCTCTACTAAAAGTACAAAACTTAGCCAGGCATGGTGGCATGCACCTGTAATCCCAGCTACTCCAGAGACTGAGGCAGGAGAATCGCTTGAAACAGGAAGCGGGAGGTTGCAGTGAGCCAAGGTCATGCCACTGCACTCCAGCCTGGGCAACAAGAGTGAAACTCCATCTCAAAAAAAAAAAAGGCAGAGCTGGCCAGGCGCAGTGGCTCACGCCTGTCATCCCAGCACTTTGGGAGGCCAAGGCTGGCATATCACCGGAGGTCAGGAGTTCAAGACCAGCCTGGCCAATGTGGTGAAATCCTGTCTCTACTAAAAATAAAAAATTAGCTAAGTGCAGTGGCACACACCTGTAGTCCCAGCTACTTGGGAGGCTAAGGCAGGAGAATCGCTTGAACCCAGGAGGCGGAAGTTGCAGTGGGCCAAGATTGTGCCACTGCACTCTAGCCTAGGCAACAGAGTGAGACTCTGTCTCAAAAAAAAAAAATAAAGATGGCTGGGTGCAGTGGCTCTCACCTGTAATCCCAAAGCTTTGGGAGACCGAGGCAGGAGGATCACTTGAGGCCAGGAATTCAAGACCAGCCTGGGCAACATTGCAAGATCCCAATTCTAGAAAAAAAGATTTTTTTTTTTCCAAGATGGAGTCTCACTCTATTGCCCACGCTGGAGTGCAGTGGCACGATCTCGGCTCACTGCAACCTCTGCCTCTCAGGTTCAAGCGATTCTCCTATCTCTGCCTCCTGAGTAGGTGGGATTACAATGTGCCTGCCACCAAGCCTGGCTAATTTTTGTATTTTTAGTAGAGACGGGGTTTCACCATGTTGGGCAGGATGGTCTCGAACTCCTGACCTCAGGTGATCCACCCGACTCAGCCTCTGCAAGTGGCGGGATTACAGGTGTGAGCCACCACACCCAGCCCTCTAGAAGAATTTTAAAAATTAAAAAACACAGGCCTGGCCAGGTGCGGTGGCTCACGCCTGTAATCCCAGCACTTTGGAAGGCCGAGGCGGGTGGATCATGAGGTCAAGAGATCGAGACCATCCTGGCCAACATGGTGAAACCCTGTCTCCACTAAAAATACAAAAATCAGCTGGGCGTGGTGGCACATGCCTGTAGTCCCAGTTACTCGGGAGGCTGAGGCAGGAGAATCACTTGAACTCGGGAGGCGGGGGTTGCAGTGAGCTGAGATCGTGCCATTGCACTCCAGCCTGGTGACAGAGCAAGCTCCGTCTCAAAAAAACAAACAAACAAACAACAACAACAACAAAAAACACAGGCCCCAGAATGGACGCAGCTTGAGGACATCACGCTCAGTGAGAAACACCAGACACAGAAGGCCACAAAGTGTGTGATCCCATTTCTATGAAATGTCCAGGACAGGCCCATCCACAGAGGCAGGAAGTGGATTTGTGTTTACCAGGAGCTGGGGATTTGGAGAGATGGGGAGTGACAGCTAATTGGGTATGAGGTTTCTTTTGGAGGTGACGAAAATGTTCAGGAATTAGGGGTGATGGTCGCACAACCTTGTGGACACAGGAGAAACCACTGAATTGTACACTCTAAATGGGTGAACTGTAGGATATGTAAGTTATGTTTTTTGTTTTTTTGAGATGGAGTCTCGCTCTGTTGCCCAGGCTGGAGTGCAGTGGCTCAATCTTGGCTCACTGCAACCTCTGCCTCCCGAGTTCAGGTGATTCTCCTGCCTCAGCCTCCCGAGTAGCTGGGATTACAGGTGCCCGCCACCACGCCTGGCTAATTTTTGTATTTTTAGTAGAGACGGGGTTTTACCATGTTGGCCAGGCTGGTCTCGAGCTCCTGACCTCAGGTCATCTGCCCACCTCAGCCTCCCAAAGTGCTGGGATTATAGGTGTGAGTCACTGCACCCAGCCAATGTGAATTGTATCTTTAAAAAAAAAAAAAGCAACAAGGCCGTGTATGGCAGCTCACTCCTGTAATCTCAGCACTTTGGGGGCGCCAAGGTGGGCGGATCACGAGGTCAGGAGTTTGAGAGCACCCTGGCCAACATGGTGGAACACCATCTCTACTAAAAATATAAAAATTAGCTGGGTGTGGTGGCGGGCGTCTGTAATCCCAGTTACTTGGGAGGCTGCGGCAGGAGAATCGCTTGAACCTGGGAGGCGGAGCTTGCGGTGAGCCGAAATTGTGCCACTGCACTTTAGCCTGGGCGACAGAGCAAGACTCGGCCTCAAAAAAAAAAAGCGGCCGGACTCGGTGGCTCACGCCTGTAATCCCAGCACTTTGGGAGGCTGAGGCGGGAGGATCACAAGGTCAGGAGATCGAGACCATCCTGGCTAACAGTGAAACCCCATCTCTACTAAAAATACAAAAAAGTAGCCGGGCATGGTGGCGGGTGCCTGTAGTCCCAGCTACTCGGGAGGCTGAGGCAGGAGAATGGTGTGAACCCGGGAGGCGGAGCTTGCAGTGAGCCGAGATCGCACCACTGCACTCCAGGCCCGGGCAACAAAGTGAGACTCTGCGTAAGAAAAAAAAAAAAGCAAAAAAAAAGCCGGGTTTTGTGGTATGCACCTGTGGTCCTAGCTACCAGGAGGCTGAGATGGGAGGATCATTTGAGCCCAGGATGTTGAATGTGAGGCTGCAGTGAGCTGTGATTGCATCTCCAGCCTGGGCAACAGAGCGAGAGACCCTGTCTCAAAAAAAAAAAAAAAAGGGAGAAAAGAAAAATCCAAATCTCACAAGGTTACGTGGCTGATTCAAGGTCACAGGGGAAGGTGACTGGACCCCTAGCCTGGATCTCTTTCTCTTCTACCTAATCCTCCTGCCTCTCCCTGCCAGCCTCTCCCCACTCCCCTCCTTGGGGTAGGGTCGGGGTGCAGCCCCAGGAGAAGCCAGCTCCAAAGCACAGGAAAGTCAAATGCCGTTTGATTCCGGCCCCGGGGCCTCTAATTGCTATTCCTGACACAGATTGTAATTAGAAGGCCCCTTTCAAATATTTATACCTCAGACATCTAGTTTTATCCGGCAGGGAGACGACTTGGATTTGATGAGATCTGTCAACAGCTCATCCCCGTGGCCCGGAATTGCCTTGCGGCTGACAGAAAGCAGGACAATTACCCGCTGTGCTCCCTGGCCGCCCCCAGGGACGCAGCCTTGTCGCTGATCTGAAAGGGTGGGGGGAAGCGGGGGTGGCCATGCACTTCAGGAGGGAGGAAGGAGTTCAACAGGTCTGTGTTGGGGGACACAGCCAGTGCAGGGAAGGGGAGGAACAGAAGGGTCTAGACGCCTGCATCCTTCAGGGGCTTTGCCTTGTTGGCTCCAGGCCTCAGTTTTCCCATCTGGATAATGGAGCTCATCGTGGAGAGGAGTTGCAGAACCGATTCCATGAAGAGCATTTTGGGAGGCCGAGGCCGGCAGATCACCTGAGGTCAGGAGTTCCAGACCAGCCTGGCCAATGTGGTGAAACCCCATCTCTACTAAAAATATAAAATTATATAAAAATTAGCTGGGCGTGGTGGCAGTAATCCCAGCTACTCAGGAGGCTGAGGCAGGAGAATTGGTTGGACCTGGGAGGTGGAGGTTTCAGTGAGCTGAGATCGCAACACGGCACTCCAGCCTGGAGGACAGAGCAAGGCTCCGTCTCAAAAAAATAAAAAGAGAGACTCCAGTGCCACCCTAGGCCAGGCCCCACGGCGATGTGCAGGCAGAATCAGCTGTGGAGTGGCTCTGAACAAGTCCCTCCCATCTCTGTGCCTCGGTTTCCCCATCCATAAAATGAGGAAGCCAGGTGATAGCTCGGTCCCTCCTGGAATCCTTCCTAGAGCTGTCTGGGATTTCCTGTTAGAAACCACATCTTTCAAATAAGGAAAACCAAGACTCAGGGAGTGACAGACCCTGCCCTCAGCCCCGCCGGGCTGCCAGGAGGCCCCAGTCATAGCAGTGTTGGTTCTGACTTCTGTCTTGTCCTCCAACTGTGCTCTCCAAGCTATGACCTGTGCCTGACCAGGGGGCTGGCCACAAGAGGAGAGAATCTGGGGTCCCATCCTTCCTGACCACCCCTCTCTCACTCCCCTCATTAGGAGGAACTGGGCAAGCCCCCTTATGGGGAAAGAAAAAAAACGGTTCTGCACTGGAAAATTGGCCAGTGGCTCCCTTTTCCTCTCCCACCCCCCAAACCTCTCAGTGCCCTCACCCTCAGACAACGACAGCTGACAACAGGCAGCCAGTTCAGGCCAGACCCCTCTCACTTCTGCCCCTCTTCCCGCCACCGCTCCCCCCCACCCCGCCCCCAGAAGCCACAAAAGGACAGATGCAGAGGACAGGCGCCAGGCACAGATACCATCTCCCTTCCCCAAGCCAGCTGCCCCCAACCCTCCCCCTGCCCGCAATTAGTCCTCTGGGGCGGGAGCGGGGCACAGAGCAGAGCCCTCTTGGGGGAGGGGAAGCCCGATCCGCACCCACCCTTCCTTTGCCCCCCTCTTCCTTCTGCTGCTCCAATATCAATTTCAGCCAGTGACCTCTCCACCAATTTGCACATCCCCACTCTCCCGGTCCGTTTCACCGCCAGACATCGGTTCCATTTCGACCCTCACTGGCGGTCATTCCCACCCCCTCTGCTGGTCAATTTCACCCCTTTTGGCGGTCAAGTGCAGTCCCCCATTTCCCGGGCAATTTCCCCCTCCCCTCCTTCTCCCTCTCCCCTCCCCTCCCCAGCAGTGTCACTCCCAGCTGCTCCCCACCTCCCGCGCTCCGCGCTCGCTGCGGCCAGTCTCGGGCGTCCCGGTCAGTGTCCAGCTGCCGCGGCCTCGGCCCCGGCGACTCCCGCCCCCAGCCCCCCTTCCCTCCGCGGGCAGCGGCTCCCTCCCTCCCCAGAACAGCTGAAGGTCTCAGTCACCTCCGAGGGGAGCGCAGGGGGAGGGGAGGGGCGGGGGACGCGGCGGAGGGGAGGTGGGGGAGCCTTGACGCTGCTGCCCGGGACGCGGCCCGGGGCTGGTGGGAACAGGGGCGTCCTCCTGCGCGCCCCCCTCCCCAGCGTCCCACCTCCCGGCGGCGGCGGGGAAAGTCTCTCCGAAAGCGTGAAGGGGGATTGGAGGAGGTTTTTATTTCCCTTTGTGCGGGTGGCTGGGGCCGGATCGAGGCGGCGGGGGCCGCGGGACTGGGGGCTCCCCGCTGAGCCGAGAGGAGCGCGACAAAGGATGCGTCCCGCCGGGGTCACAGTCTCCGCGGCCCAACTTTGCGCGCGGCGCCCGCGCCCCTGGGGAGCCCGCCCGCTGCGCTGAGAACCCAGGCGTCCGGGCTGGGAGAGGGGCCGGGAGCGTCCGCAGGTGGCGCTGGCCCGGATCTCCCGACCCCAGGAAGGGATCCCGGAGCTTCCTGGAGGCGGCGGGCGGCCGTGTCGCTCCAGGGAACCGCGCTGCCCGCGGAAACTCCGCGCGCCTCCGCGGATGCCCCTCGCCCTAGCCCCCAGCGCGCGGGGTTCGGGGCCCTGCGAGGTCCCCCCTTCCCCCGCGGTGCTTCCCAAGCTGGGCTAAGGCGGGCTTCTCTTCCTCCCTCCTCTGTCGCCTCCTTTTCCTCCCCCTCGTTCACCTTTTCCTTCCCTCTATCCATCCAGAGCCCCGCCAAAGGGCGCACCTGATCTTTCTCATCCTTCCCTGCTCTTCCCTTCCTCTCCACCTCCTCCTCCTCCTTGGGGAAAGGGGCCCGGAGAAGGGCATGTGGGGGCCCCTCTGACAGTGGCCCGATTGGGGTGACAGGCGCCCAAATGGCCAAGTGGCTACGGGACTACCTGAGCTTTGGGGGTCGGAGGCCCCCTCCGCAGCCGCCCACCCCGGACTACACCGAGAGCGACATCCTGAGGGCCTACCGCGCGCAGAAGAACCTGGACTTCGAGGACCCCTATGAGGACGCGGAGAGCCGCTTGGAGCCGGACCCCGCGGGCCCTGGGGACTCCAAGAACCCCGGAGATGCCAAGTATGGTTCTCCCAAGCACCGGCTCATCAAGGTGGAGGCTGCGGATATGGCCAGAGCCAAGGCCCTTCTGGGCGGCCCCGGGGAGGAGGTGCGTGGCTGGGTGGCCTGGGGAGACTGGGTGGAGGGGAGGCTCAGGATGGGCTCTCTGGATCGTGGAGAGCTTATTTTATGTGTGATCACAGGAGGGGACTGGGGCACCAGACAGACCCTTCCCAGTCCTCCAGACCTCCACCTGCTTGGGGAAGTCTGTTCTTTTTATGTATTTATTTATTTTGAGACAGTCTCCCCCTGTCACCCAGGCTGGAGTGCAGTGGTGGGATCTCGGCTCATTGCAACCTCCACCTCCTGGGGTTCAAGCGATTCTCCTGCCTCAGCCTCTCCAGTAGCTGAGATTACAGGTGTGTGCCACCACACCCGGCTAATTTTTGTATTTTCAGTAGAGACTGGTTTCACCATGTTAGCCAGGCTGGACTCAAACTCCTGACCTCAGGTGATCCTCCCGCCTCTGCCTCCCGAAGTGCTGGGATTACAGGTGTGAGTCACTGCGCCCGGTGGATATCTGTCCCTTTTCAATGCATAATGCTGGTTGTCCTTCTGCCTCTCTGACCACCCTGCTTGGTCTCCGGGTCCTCCTCCTCCTCCATGGTCATCCCCTGCAGTCCCCCAGCCCCCTCCCCTCAGCACCCCTTCCTCTTGGAACCTGGTGGGATCTTCCTAAAATAGATCTGAGTGAGTTGCTCCCCTGCTGGGCACCTAAATATCCTCCCGGTGATGCTGCCCTTCCTACCACTATGTTCCCGTTTTACAGAAGCGAAACTGAGGCTCGCAGAACGGTAGTGACTTGGCTAAGGTCTCACGGGGTTCTAGCTTACTAGGATTTGAACCCAGGCCACCGGGTGCAGTAGCTCATGCCTGTAATTCCAGCACTTTGGGAGGTCGAGGTGGGAGGATTGCTTGAGCCCAGGAGTTCGAGACCAGCCCGGGCTAACAGAGTGAGACCTTGTCTCTACAAAAAAAAAATCAAAACATTAGCTAGTTGTGGTGGTGCACACCATAGTCCCAGCTACTCAGGAGGCTGAGGCAGGAGGATCACTTGAGCCTAGAAGGTCAAAGCTGCAGTGAGTCATGATTGCGCCACTGCACTCCAACCTGGGTGACAGAGCAACACCCTGTCTCAAAAAAAAAAAAAAAAAAAAAAAAAAAGGCTGGGTGTGGTGGTTCACACCTGTAATCCCAGCACTTTGGGAGGCCAAGGCAGGTGGATCACCTGAGGTCAGGAGTTCCAGACCAGCCTGGCCAACACAGTGAAACCCCATCTCTACCAAAAATGCAAAAATTAACCAGGCGATGTGGCGTGCGCCTATAATCCCAGCTACTCCTGAGGCTGAGGCAGGAGAATTGCTTGAACCCAGGAGGTGGAGGTTGCAGTGAGCCAACATCGCGCCACTGCACTCCAGCCTGGGTGACAAGAGCGAGACTCTGTCTCAATAAATAAATAAATAAGAAGTAAGACGTTGGTAAGAAGAGCCAGGGACTCGAGGAAACCAGTCAGCCGGGATCAGACTCGGCCTCTTACTTACCAGCTGTGTGTCCCTAAGCAAAACACTTACTGTCTCTGTGCCTTGGCTTCCTTGTCTGGAAAAGGGGAATGGTGTACTTATTACATGTTGGTATTACAAATCAACACAGGTAAATCCTTGACAATAGTGCACGGAGAAGCACTGAAGTGGGCGAAGGAGGGAGGCAGGTGTCTGTGCTGGGGAAATGGGATCAAGACAGAGGGAGACGTGGGAAGCCAGCCGCTGTCTGCGAGCACTTTTGGGTAACAGACTCCCTCTCCAACCCCCAAAAAGAACTCTTGGAGAGGCCAGGCACTGTGGCTCATGCCTGTAATCCCAGCACTTTGAGAGGCTGAAGCGGGCGGATCATCTGAGGTCAGGAGTTGAAGACCAGCCTGGCCAACATGGTGAAACCCTGTCTCTACTAAAAATGCAAAAATTAGCCAGGTTTGGTGGCCGGCACCAGTAATTCCAGCTACTCCAGAGACTGAGGCAGGAGAATTGCTTGATCCCGGGAGTCGGAGGTTGCAGTGAGCCGAGATCACACCACTGCACTGTAGCCTGGGCAACGGAGCAAGACTCCATCTCAAAATAAATAAATAAATAAAACTCAGCTGGGCGCGGTTGCTCACGCCTGTAATCCCAGCACGTTGGGAGCCCGAGGCGGGCAGATCACGAGGTCAGGAGATCGAGACCATCCCGGCTAACACGGTGAAACCCCATCTCTACAAAAAGTTAGCCAGGCATGGTGGCGGGCGCCTGTAGTCCCAGCTACTCGGGAGGCTGAGGCAGGAGAATGACGTGAACCCAGGAGGCAGAGCTTGCAGTGAGCCCAGATCCCGCCACTGCACTCCAGCCTGGGTGACAGAGCGAGACTCCATCTCAAAAAATAAAAATAAAAATAAATAAATAAATAATAAAAAAATAAAAACTCTTGGAGAGGTGTCAGATGGCCCTGTGGGCAGGCAAGAGGTGCAGCGTCAATTAGCAGGGAAGCCCCTCTGAGTCCTTGTCTTCTCCCCTTCCTTCTCTCCGCAGCTGGAAGCCGACACTGAGTATTTAGACCCCTTTGATGCTCAGCCTCATCCTGCACCCCCGGATGATGGGTACATGGAGCCCTACGATGCCCAATGGGTCATGAGTGGTGAGTAGGCACGGCTTGGGGGAAGGTGACAGGGTCCCAGATGGGAGCAGGAGCTGAACAGTGTCCCTGGCCTCCTAGAACTTCCCGGCAGAGGGGTGCAGCTCTATGACACCCCTTATGAGGAACAGGACCCAGAGACAGCAGATGGACCCCCTTCTGGGCAGAAGCCTCGGCAGAGCCGGATGCCCCAGGAAGATGAACGGCCAGCAGATGAGTATGATCAGCCCTGGGAGTGGAAGAAAGACCACATCTCCAGGGCGTTTGCAGGTGCTTCTCAGACCCACACTCTGACATCTGAATGCCCCATCCCTGCATTTCCTCATCTGGTCATGTCTCCTGTTTCAGTTTACAAAGTAGAGTCCAATTACTTGTCACTTTTGTAGTTTGTTAATTCTCACTAGAGTGTGAATGACTGATAGTCCTAAATTCTTTCTTCCAAGACAACCTGCATCTTCCTTGGAAACGCAAACACTTTTTAGAGTGGAATGGAACCTACTTATCCTGCTCAGTGTGGTGTGGGGAGAGGAATATGGCTTGCTTTTAGAATAGGATGTGGGGGTGGCAGGGGCAGCATTTCTTTATTTTATTTTATTTTATTTTATTTTTCTTTCGTTTTTCTTCCAGGCGGAGTCTCACTCTGTCGCCCAGGCTGGAGTGCAGTGGCGTGATCTCGGCTCACTGCAAGCTTCGCCTCCTGGGTTCACGCCATTCTCCTGCCTCAGCCTCCCGAGTAGCTGGGACTACAGGCGCCCGCCACCACGCCCGGCTAATTTTTTGTATTTTTAGTAGAGACGGGGTTTCACCATGTCAGCCAGGATGGTCTCGATCTTCTGACCTCGTGATCCACCCGCCTCGGCCTCCCAAAGTGCTGGGATTACAGGCAGGAGCCACCGCGCCCCCGCCCGGGGCAGCATTTCTTAATAGCTGCTAGTAAACTACAGGTGAATTTCCAGCTGAATTGGATGAGCTTGGAGAAGCCTCTGAACCTTAGTTTTCTCTTCTGTAAAAGAGATAATGATAAAATCAGTTTTAAAAAATAAAATAATTGCCGGGCACGGTGGCTCACGCCTGTAATCCCAGCACTTTGAGAGGCCGAGGCGGGTGGATCGTTTGAGGTCAGGAGTTCGAGACCAGCCTGACCAACATGGAGAAACCCCGTCTTACTAAAAATGCAAAATTAGTCGGGCGTGGTGGTGCATGCCGGTAATCCCAGCTACTCAGGAGGCTGAGGTAGGAGAATTGCTTGAACCTGGAGGCGGAGGTTGCGGTGAGCCAAGATCGTGCCATTGCACTCCAGCCTGAGCAGCGAGAGCAAAACTTTGTCTCTAAATAAACAAATACATAAAATAAAATAAATAAAATTTGGACCAGGAAGAGTTGTGCAAACACGACTTTGCCCCCAAAGTTTTATGACTGGGAGGGTATTTAGAGCTTAGTGCCTTTGTCCACCTGTCTGTAGATTGGGGGTGATTTTCTAGTTTTAGGACTTGGCCACAGTCTGGGCTGAACCCCAGAAGGGGTTTAGGGACTAGGGCTCCTCTTTGGAAACTTCGAACCGACCCCGTCTAGCCACGCCCCTTGTGCTCCTTGCCACCAGATTTATAAATGACCGCACCTATTTCTTAGGAAGGCCAAAAGGTTGCACCTGTGGCCAATCCTGCCCCTGCCTTAAGCCCAGCCCCTGGGCTGTGATAGGTTGTCCCAAGCTGGCCCTGCCTTTCTACCGAGATTCCATTGGCTTGCCCCTGCCCCGCCCCCCAAGGTAGGCTGGACTTAACCCTTTCCTCTCTAAATCTCCTTTCCAGTGCAGTTTGACAGTCCAGAGTGGGAGAGGACTCCAGGCTCAGCCAAGGAGCTCCGGAGACCTCCGCCCAGAAGCCCCCAGCCTGCGGAGCGTGTGGACCCAGCCCTGCCCCTGGAGAAACAGCCGTGAGTGGGGAAGCTGAAGGTGGAAGAGCCCCGTTGAACGTATCTGTAGACTCCAATGTATCAGGCAGAAGTTTTTTCGTTTCCCAGATTAGAGGAACTGGGGGAACTTCGATTCATTCATCCACTTATTTCTTCAGCTAATCTTTACGGGCTCCAGAGCCTGCTGCGTGCCAGGCACCCAGCTAGACACAAAACAATCTTATGGGGTCCCTTTTCCTTTGGTATCAAGTTCTGGGTTCACATTCCTGCTCTCCTCTCCTGGCTGTGTAGCCTGGGGCAAGTCACTTAACCTCTCTGAGCCTCAGGTTCAAACAGAAAAGGCAATTTCCTTCCTTAACTTGGGTGGGGCTTACAGCCTCAGAGCCAAGAGACAGAAATCATTCTCAGCCAGTTCTTGGTTCTTGGGATGGAACCAGGAGATGCAGGATTTTGGTGGGCTCACAGCTCCGTGCTGGGGTGGCACGTGAGCCGGGAGACGCTGACTCTGTGTCCTTCCAGCCTGGGCGCTCCTTGAGGGAGTGCCCAAGTCCCCAGAATCCAGACCATGTTGTCACAGTCACCCCTAAAATCTCTTCGGTGGGCAATACAGAACTGGCTATTTAACTCTGAGGCCGAGGGTGTGAAGATTGTTCTCTTTTTTTCTTTCTCTTCCTCCCTCCCTCCCTCCCCGAGTCTTGCTGTGTCGCCCAGGCTGGAGTGCAGTGACGCGACCTCGGCTCACTGCAACCTCCATCTCACAGGTTCAAGCGATTCTCATGCCTCAGCCTCCAGAGTAGGTGGGACTACAGGCGTGCACCACCATGCCTAGCTAATTTTTGTATTTTCAGTAGAGACAGAGTTTCAGTATGTTGGCCAGGCTGGTCTGGAACTCCTGACCTCATGATCCATCCACCTCGGCCTCCCAAAGTGCTGGGATTACAGGTGTGAGCCACCCCGCCCGGCCCTTCCTCCTTCTCTTCTCTTCTCTTTCTTTTCTTTTCCTTTCTTTTTTTTTTTTTTTTTTTTTGACAGAGCCTCGCTCTTGTCGCCCAGGCTGGAGTGCAATGACACAATCTCAGCTCACTGCAACCTCCGCCTCCCTGGTTCAAGCAATTCTCTTGCCTCAGCCTCCCAAGTAGCTGGGAATACAGGCTCCTGGCACCACACCAGGCTAATTTTTGTATTTTTAGTAGAGACAGAGTTTCACCATGTTAGCCAGGCTGGTCTCAAACTCCTGACCTCAGGTGATGTGCTTGCCTTGGCCTCCCAAAGTGTTGGGATGACAGCCATGAGCCACCGCACCTGGCCCGCTCTTTCTTTTTCTTTCTTTCTTTCTTTCTTTCTTTCTTTTCTTTCTTTCTTTCTTTCTTTCTTTCTCTCTTTCTTTCTTTCTTTCTTTTTTTCTTTCCTTCCTTCCTTCCTTCCTTCCTTCCTACCTTCCTTCCTTCCTTCCTTTCTTTCTCTCTTTCTTTCTTTCTTTTGAGACAGGGTCTCACTCTGTTGCCCAGGCTGAAGTGCAGTGGCACAATCAGCTCACTGTACCCCTGCACTCCTGGGATCAAGCGATCCTCCAGCCTCAGCCTCTCCATGGGACCACAGGCACGCCATATGTGCTTATTCTCTTTTCAGATTTCTTTCATTGTGAACAACAGCAAAGGCTCTGGTGCTTCTCTGTCTTTGATATCTTGCTTGCTACTGCAAACCCCTTTGTGAGCACATTAAAGCAAAACATTAGGCCAGGCACGGTGGCTCACGCCTGTTATCCCAGCACTTTGGGAGGCCGGGGTGGGCAGATCATGAGGTCAAGAGATCAAGACCATCCTGGCCAACATGGTGAAACTCCATCATTAGCCGGACATGGTGGTGCGTGCCTGTAATCCCAGCTACTCGGGAGGCTGAGGCAGGAGAATCTCTTGAACCTGCGAGGTGGAGGTTGCAGTGAGCTGAGATCACGCCACTGTACTCCAGCCTGGCGACAGAGTGAGACTCCATCTCAAAATAAAACAAAAAAACATTAAGAAAGGGGCTGGGTAAGGTGGCTCATGGATGTAATCCCAGCACTTTGGGAGGCTGAAGCAGCGGATAACCTGAGGTCAAGAGTTTGAGACCAGCCAGGCCAACATGGTGAAACCCCATCTCTACTAAAAATAGAAAAAAATTAGCCAGGCAGCCGGGCGCAGTGGCTCATGCCTGTAATCCCAGCACTTTGGGAGGCCGAGGTGGGCGGATCACAAGGTTAGAGATTGAGACCAGCCTGACTAACATGGTGAAACCCAGTCTTTACGAAAAATGCAAAAAATTAGCTGGGCGTGGTGGCGGGTGCCTGTAGTCCCAGCTACTTGGGAGGCTGAGGCAGGAGAATGGCGTGAACCGGGGAGGCGGAGCTTACAGTGAGCCGAGATCGTGCCACTGCACTCCAGCCTGGGTGACAGAGCGAGACTCTGTCTCAAAAAAAAAGAAAGAAAAAGAAAAAAACAGAAAGGGACAGGTGGGTGAGGTACAAGATGAAGCACCACTTTTGTGAAAGTGGTTGAAGTTGACAAGGACATGAGGGAGGCTGTGAAGATCAATGTCAAGTGTACGATAACCAGGGCTCCTCTTGAAAAATCCAAGGGTATTGGCCGGGCATGGTGGCTCAAGCCTGTAATCCCAGTACTTTGGGAGGCCAAGGAGGGCAGATAACCTGAGGTTAGGAGTTCGAGACCAGCCTGGCCAACATGGTGAAACCCCATCTCTACTAAAAATGCAAAAATTAGCCATGTGTGGTGCTATGCGCCTGTAGTTCCAGCTACTCTGGAGGCTGAGGCAGGAGAATCGCTTGAACCCAGGAGGCGGAGGTTGTGGTGAGCCAAGATTGCACCACTGCACTCCAACCTGGCAACAGAGCAAGACTCTGTCTCAAAAAAAAAGAAAAAAGAAAACTCCAAGGGAATTGTCCTTCTTCATTTGCCCAGATGCCACAAGCCCATGCACCAGCTGTGACCCAACAGATCCCAGAGTGTGTTTTTTTGTTTGTTTGTTTGTTTGTTCGTTTGTTTTGAGACAGAGTCTCACTCTGTTGCCCAGGCTGGAGTGCAGTGGTGCAATCTCAGCTCACAACTTCCACCTCCCTGGTTCAAGCAATTTCCCTACCTCAGCCTCCTGAGTAGCTGGGATTACAGGCACCCGCCACCACGCCCGGCTAATTTTTTTTGTATTTTTAGTAGAAACGGGGTTTCACCATGTTAGGGAGACTGGTTTCGAACTCCTGACCTCAGGCAATCCGCCCGCGTCAGCCTCCCAAAGTGCTGGGATTACAGGGCCCCAGAGTGTGTTTGAAGGGAATGGCCCTTGATGAGACATCTGTCCATACTCGCTAGGTGGTTTCATGGCCCCCTGAACAGGGCGGATGCAGAGAGCCTCCTGTCCCTCTGCAAGGAAGGCAGCTACCTAGTGCGGCTCAGTGAGACCAACCCCCAGGACTGCTCCTTGTCTCTCAGGTGAGAACTCAGCCTCACAGGGACGAAGGGTCACAGGATTGCGTGAGTCACCCTTTTGGGTTAATTCAGAGGGAAGGGGAGGGTGTGGCTCCCGCAGCCATAGGGAAGGGCTTCCAGGTCAGTGGGTGGGACTTCTAGGAGAAGGGGTGGGAGTTCTGGGGAGGCCATTAGCTGGTTGCAATTGAGAATGAGCTCACCATCGCTGGAGGTATACAAGAAGATGGAGTGGAAGGCATCGAGGAGGTCCAGGCCTTGGGTAAGACAAGGAACTAGGTGCACAAGATTCCTCTGGACTCCCCTTGTCCAAAAATGGAGGTATATCAATTTGTGTCCATCTGAAGCCAAAATTTCAGGGTGTACCTGTAAGCGTTTTAGGTTGAGACCCTGTTTGTACGCACTTCCGTCCCTAAAATTCTAAGTCTGTCTAATTATAAACCACTCCTAAGATTCTGCTAGGTGTCTGAGTGGAAGATCTAAAAGCACGAGATTGGGGCTGAGCGCGGCAGCTGACGTCTGTAATCCCAGCACTTTGGAAGGCTGAGGAAGGTGGATCACTTGAGGTCAGGAGTTCGAGACCAGCCTGGCCAACATGGTGAAACCCCTTCTCTCCTAAAAATACAAATATTAGTTGGGCATAGTGGTGCATACCTGTAATTCCAGCTACCTCGGAGGCTGAGGCAGGAGAATTGCTTGAACCTGGGAGACGGAAGACTTTCGGCGCATACCACCGTGCCCAGCTAATTTTTTTTTTTTTTTTTTTTTTTTTGAGACGGAGTCTAGCTCTGTCACCCAGGCTGGAGTGCAGTGGCGCGATCTCGGCTCACTGCAAGCTCTGCCTCCCGGGTTCACGCCATTCTCCTGCCTCAGCCTCCCGAGTAGCTGGGACTACAGGCGCCCACCACCACGCCCGGCTAATTTTTTTGTATTTTTAGTAGAGACGGGGTTTCACTGTGTTAGCCAGGATGGTCTCGATCTCCTGACCTCGTGATCCGCCCGCCTCAGCCTCCCAAAGTGCTGGGATTACAGGTGTGAGCCGCCATGCCCGGCTAATTTTTGTATTCTTAGTACAGACAGGGTTTCGCCATGTTGGCCAGGCTGGTCTCAAACTCCTGGCCTCAAGCAATCCGCCTGACTCGGCCTCCCAAAGTGCTGGGATTGCAGGTGTGGGTCACTGCACCTGGCCTCTTATTATTATTATTATTTATTTATTTATTTATTTATTTTTTGAGACAGAGTCTCGCTCTGTCGCCTAGGCTGGAGTATAGTGGCACGATCTCGGCTCACTGCAAGCTCCGCCTCCCGGGTTCACGCCATTCTCCTGCCTCAGCCTCCCGAGTAGCTGGGACTACAGGCGCCCACCACCACACCCAGCTAATTTTTTGTATTTTTTAGTAGACACGGGGTTTCACCGTGTTAGCCAGGATGGTCTCCATCTCCTGACCTCGTGATCCGCCTGCCTTGGCCTCCCAAAGTGCTGTGATTACAGGCGTGAGCCACCGCGCCCAGCCTATTTTTTTATTATTATTATTTTGAGACAGAGTCTCACTCTGTCACCCAGGCTGGGGTGCAGTGGCACAATATCAGCTCACTGCAGCCTCTGCCTCCCAGGTTCAAGGGATTCTCATGCCTCAGCCTCTTGAGTAGCTGGGACCACAGGCACCCGCCACCACGCCCGGCTAATTTTTGTATTTTTAGTGGAGATGGGGTTTCACCATGTTGGCCAGGCTGGTCTCAAACTCGTAACCTCAAGTGATCTGCCTGACTCGGCCTCCCAAAGTGCTGGGATTACAGGCGTGAGCCACCGCACCCGCCTAATTTTTAAATGTTTTTTGGTGGAGACGGGGTCTCACTCTGTTGGCCAGGCTGGTCTCTAACGCCTGGCCTGGAGTAAGCCTACAGCCTCAGCTTCCCATATCACTGGGATTACAGGTGTGAGCGAGTATACCAGCCACCACACTGCTGTTTACCAGAGACTGGAGACACACGAGCACCTGGCCTGGGCACTGTGGGAGGTGGCTTTGGGGATGGTGCCTTTCTGGGTGGGTCCGGGATGCTCAGGAGTCCCTTTCTCCCTCATCGCCCAGGAGCAGCCAGGGCTTCCTGCATCTGAAGTTCGCGCGGACCCGTGAGAACCAGGTGGTGCTGGGCCAACACAGCGGGCCCTTCCCCAGCGTGCCCGAGCTCGTCCTCCACTACAGTTCACGCCCACTGCCGGTGCAGGGTGCCGAGCATCTGGCTCTGCTGTACCCCGTGGTCACGCAGACCCCCTGACAGTGACCCTCGGCCCCCTTTTGAGTCCTCGGGCCCAGAATCGTATCCCAAAGCCCTCCCATGGCCTAGAAAATAAATAAGTTATTGTTTGTCTTAGTGTCCTTTCTGGGCTACAGAGGGAAGTGGGATCGTTGACTCCCAGCGGGAAAGCCCTAAGCAGCCCTGGAGAGGGGGATAATGGGGTAATTGAAACCCTGGAGGAGGCCAGGCACGGTGGCTCACGCCTGTAATCCCAGCACTTTGGGAGGTTGAGGCAGGCAGATCACCTGAGGTTGGGAGTTCGAGACCATCCTGACCAACACGGAGAAACCGCGTCTCTACTAAAAATACAAAATTAACCGGGCGTGGTGGCGCATGCGTCTAATCCCAGATACTCGGGAGGCTGAGGCAGGAGAATCGTTTGAACCCAGGAGGCGGAGATTGCAGTGGGCTGAGATCGCACCATTACACTCCAGTCTGGGGAACAAGAGTGAAACGCCTCCATCTCAGAACAAACAAACATAAAAAACCCTCGAGGCCTTGAGGGCCAAGCACATCCCCAGCACTTTGTTTTGGGGACAGAGTTGGGATTGGAACCTGAATCTCCCATAGGGAGGGACCAGAACTCAGCAAGAGACAGAGCGTCGTGGAGCAGATTAAAAACCGCACTCCATAGAAACCGACAGATACAAAGATGGAGAAACTGAGGGGGGCCAGGCTCTCGGGCCAGCCCCGCTCCCTCCCCCCGGCAGCAGTGGCTTGATCTGCAGAAAGGACATCTGTCCCCATGGAAACAGCAGAAGTAGGGGAGGGGAGCTGGGCCTAGCTGGTGTCACTTCAAGGTGACAGGCCAGGCAGGCAGGAGACCTGGGGGGCTGGTAAACACCATGAATCTCCTGACCTCCCCTTCTTCTCCCCACCTCCAGGCCTGCCTGGGAGTGATGCCAGCTGCGGGGGGGGTCTTCCATGGCAGGGGACTGTTTGGAAGCCAGAGTACCACTTCTTCCTCCTTGGATTTGTCCCTATAAGGTGGGAGGGGGGCTTTGAGTTGCCACAAAGTCCCTTGGCCACAGTGGGCCTCTCCAGCCACCCCTGAGAGCTCTGGGACCCCAGATGACCCCTTAAGTCTTTTTGGTGCGTGTATGTGACAGGGTCTCACTCTACCACCTAGGCTGGAGGGCAGTGACATAATTAGAGCTCACTGCAACCTCAACCTCCAGGGCTGAAGTGGTCCTCCCCTCTCAGCCTCCCAAATATCTGAGACCAGAGACATCAGCTGCACCATCACGCCCGGCTAAATTTTGTATTTTTCGTAGAGACGGAGTTTCACCATGTTGGCCAGGCTGGTCTCGAACTCCTGACCTCAGGTGATCCGCCCACCTCGGCCTCCCAAAGTGTTGGGATTACAGGCGCAAGCCACCGCGTCTGGCCTTGTTTTTAAATTTTCTGTAGAAATGGAGTCTTCTTGCTCTATTGCCCAGGCTGGTCTCAAACTCTTGGCTTCAAGTGATCCTTCCACCGCAGCCTCCCAAAGTGCTGGGATTAGAGGCGTGAGCCACCGCACCCGATTTCTTCAGATCTTTTTAGCACTCCCAAATCGCCACAAACACCAGCTTTGCTTTTTCTTCACAAGCCTTTATTAGGTTCTTGGGGGAAAGTGGGAGCGAGATCCATCATTACAGAAATGAGGACGGGGTCTCAGGATGGGGCTGACAGGCTCCCAATCCTCCTGCTTTTTGTTTTTTTTGAGACGGAGTCTCACTCTGTCGCCCAGGCTGGAGTGCAGTGGCGCAATCTCGGCTCACTGCAACCTCCGCCTCCCAGGTTCAAGCCAGGCTGGTCTCAAACCCCTGACCTCAAGTGTTCCACCCGCCTCGGCTTCCCAAACTGCTGGGATTACAGGCGTGAGCCACCGTGTCTGGCCTCGATCCCCCCTTTTTTGTGTGTACCTATGGGTGGGGTCCTGTTGAGGTCTCCTGGGATCTCTCACTCCTCTCCCACTTTGGGGAACCCTTTTGGCCTCGGCTGCTGGGTGGGGCTTGGTCTAGGAGAGACCCTGACCATAGAGACGGGGTGGCCGGGCCTGGGGCTGGGGCAGGGTCTCGGGCTGGGGCAGGGTCTTGACGCCAGGTGCGGCTGGCGGGGGGCCGGTTGCGGGAAGGAGGTTGAATAAATGCTCTGGCCCCTCTGGTCCTTCCCCTCTCCAGAGCAGTCCTCACTCTTCTTTGGGGCCCCCCGGGGCCGGTATAGGACGTTGCTGTAGAATGCATTTCCTAGGATGGATGACACAGACCAAGAGGATCACTTAAGAGAGTCCTGCCCTCTCCAGCTGACCTCTGGGGGATCTGTCTCTTTTTTTTTTTTTCTGTGAGACGGAGTCTCACTCTGTCGCCCAGGCTGGAGTGCAGTGGCGCAATCTCGGCTCACTGCAAGCTTCGCCTCCTGGGTTCACGCCATTCTCCTGCCTCAGCCTCCCAACTAGCTGGGACTACAGGCTCCCGCCACCATGCCTGGCTGATTTTTTGTATTTTTAGTAGAGACGGGGTTTCACTGTTAGCCAGGATGGTCTTGATCTCCTGACCTCGTGATCCACCCGCCTCGGCCTCCCAAAGTGCTGGGATTACAGGCGTGAGCCACCGCGCCCGGCCTTTTTTTTTTTTTTTTTGAGACAGTCTTACTCTGTCACCTGGGCTGGAGTGTAGCAGCGGTGCGATCTCAGCTCACTGCAGTCTCCACCTCCCAGGTTCAAGTGATTCTCCTGCCTCAGTCTCCCTAGTAGCTGGGATTACAAGCCCCCGCTACTACGTCTGGCTAATTTTTTGTATTTTTAGCAGAGATGGGGTTTCACCACGTTGGCCAGGCTGGTCTCGAACTCCTGGCCTCGTGATTCGCCCGCCGTGGCCTCCCAAAATGCTGGGATTACATGCATGAGCCACTGCACCCGGCCAATTTTTTTTTTTTTTTAATTTCAAACTGTCTTTTTGTTTGTTTGTTTGTTTTTTGAGACAGGGTCTCTCTCTGTCACCCAGGCTGGAGTACAGTGGGGAAACTATAGCTCACTGCAGCCTCCGCCTCCCAGGTTCAAGCAATCCTCACACCTCAGCCTCCCAAGTAGCTGGGACCACAGGCGTGTGCCACCAAGCCAGGCTAATTTTTTTGTTGTTGTTGAGATGGAGTCTGGCTGTGTCGCCCAGGCTGGAGTGTAGTGAGGCAGTCTGGGCTCACTGCAATCTCTGCCTCCTGGGTTCCAGTGATTCTCCTGCCTCAACCTCCCAAGCAGCTGGGACTACAGGCACAGGCCACCACGCCTGGGTAATGTTTGTATTTTTAGTAGAGACTGGGTTTCACCATGTCGCCCAGGCTGGTCTCAAACTCCTGACCTCAAGTGATCCACCCGCCTCAGCCTCCCAAAGTGCTGGGATGACAGGCATGAGACACCATGCACAGCCTAATTTTTAAATTTTTTTTTTTTTGAGACCGCGTCTTGCTCTGTCACCCAGGCTAGAGTTCAGTGGCGCGATCTTGGCTCACTGCAACCTCTGCCTCCCGGGTTCAAGCGATCCTCCTGCCTCAGCCTCCCAAGTAGCTGGTATTACAGGCGTCTGCCACCACACCTAGCTAATTTTTTGTATTTTTAGTAGATACAAGGTTTCACCATATTGTCCAGGCTGACCTCAGGTGATTCGCCCACCTCGGCCTCCCAAAATGCTGGGATGACAGGCATGAGCCACCGCGCCCAGCAATTTGTAATTTTTTTGTAGAGATGGGATCTTGCTAGGTTGCACAGGCTAGGGGCTTTGTCTCTATTTCTGAAAAACATGAGCATAGGATATAGGAGCCAGGCTTCTCCTCCCTTCATCCCTCCTCCATCCTTCCCCCAGGCGGGAGCACAGATGCAGTGGGTCTTTGTCAAGCAGCTGCAGTTCCCACCTCCTCCGCCCTACCCTCCCTTACCTGGGCTGTTACCTGAGTCCCTTTGCTGGCAGCTGCGGCGGCCCCAGAACCAGGCACCCCACACGATCGCAGCCACACCCATGCTTCCCACCCCCAGCAGCACGAAGAGGAATCCTGGGTAGGGGGAGAAGAGATGGTCTAATCAGGAGGGGAAGGGGTGGTGATGCGGGTGGAAGACGCTGGGGGAGGAACACAGGGCAGGGCTCACCTGGGAAGCTTGCGATCCGGTTTCTGTTCTGTGTGGGGTCATCTGCAGAGAAGAAATCTATGTCACGGGGGTGCCAGGCTTCTCCACCCTCCAAGGACAGAGCTCACTTGGGGGGACCTAAGTGTTCCTCCTCCTGCCAGGCTTTGTGGATTTGGGCAAGTGTTCACTCTGAACCTCTGTTTCTTCTTCTGAAAAATGAGGCTCAGCAGGACGCGGTGGCTCAGGCCTGTAATCCGAGCACTCTGGGAGGCTGAGGCAGGAGGATCACTCGAGGTCAGGAGTTCGAGACCAGCCTGGCCAACATGGTGAAACCCCATCTCTACAAAAAAATATAAAAATTAGCCAGGCATGGTGGTGGCGCCTTTAATCCCAACTACTCAGGAGGCTGAGGCAGGAGAATCGCTTGAATCCAGGAGGGGGAGGTTGCAGTGAGCCGAGATCGTGTCACTACGCTCCAGCCTGGGTGACAGAGCAAGACTCTGCCTCAAAAAAAAAAAAAAAGAAGGCCAGGCGCAGTGGCTCACACCTGTAATCTTAGCACTTTGGGAGACCGAGGTAGGCGGATCACAAGGTCAGGCGATCGAGACCATCCTGGCTAACACAGTGAAACCCCGTCTCTACTAAAAATACAAAAAATTAGCCGGCCATGGTGGTGGGCACCTGTAGTCCCAGCTACTCGGGAGGCTGAGGCAGGAGAATGGTGTGAACCCGGGAGGCGGAGCTTGCAGTGAGCCAAGATCGAGCCACTGCACTCCAGCCTGGGCGACAGAGCGAGACTGTCTCGAAAAAAAAAAAGAAAAATGAGGCTCATCGTCCCTGTCTTGTTGGGTCATTGTGGAAAAACTGCCAACTGGGATTTGTCATCATGAGCCCCGCCATCTTTATCCTGGGATCTATCACTCTCCAGATCCTGTTTGGTTGTTTTTGTTTTTGTTTGAGCCTCTACTCCATGCCACGCCCATTTTATAGACGGGGAAACCGAGGCTCAGAGAGCCTAAGTCACTTGCCTAGGGTCCCCTACCCAGGCGGCAGCAGGAACCAGCTTTGGACAAAGCCCTGTCTCACCTCAGCTCGGAGATCCTAACACTGAAGTTCCTTGAGAACTTACTATGTCTCAGGCCCTGTGCTAAGCATTGTTTTGTTGTTGTTGTTTGTTTTTCTGGAGACAGGGTCGCTCTGTGTCACCCAGGCTGGAGTGCAGTGGCGTGATCGTAGCTCACTGCAGTCTCCAACTCCTGGGCTCAAGTGATCCTCCCGCCTCAACCTCTCAAGTAGCTGGGACTATGGGTATATGCCACCATGCCTGGCTAATTTTAGAATTTCTTGTAGAGATGAGGTCTTGCTGTGTTGGCCAAGCTGGTCTCGACCTCCTGGCCTCAAACAATCCTCCCACCTTGGCCTCCCAAAGTGCTGGGATATCAGGCGTGAGCCACTGCACTTGGATTATAGCAAGCACTTTGGCTATAACTGCTCTAAAGTCACCCGACCTGATGAGGAAAAACTATTCACTGTATTTTGACAGCAGAGGGAACTGGCACAGAGAGGTCAAGTCACTTGCTCAAGGTCACACAGCAAGTAAATGAAACAGAGGATTGAATCCAGGTTGTATAATTTACAGGAACCCCAGCTAAAGGCTGTGAATGCCGCAATTAAGATAAGGTCCAGCACCCCAACCCCCTTCTTTTGCAGCCTCTGAGGTTGGCAGGGGATCCCTGGGGACTGCCAAGCTGCTGTTCAGGATTGGTGGGGTGTGGGGAAGCCAGCTGTGTGGGGTTGGACCCGCGCCCACTCCCTGCTCTCTCACAGCTGCCAACGCACAGCCTGGCGCCTCCACCACCCCGCCTCCTCTAATTGCTAATTGGCCCCTTTGACATCAGAGGGGTGGGAAGAGGTGGGTAACACAGCCATAACACACCCCTCCCTTGAGGCAGGCACGTGTCCCCCGCCAGCAGGCTGGTCCTACCAGCTGGAGAGGAACAGGCATCTCTAGGGGCTGAGAGCTGGGTGCTTCATTCTGCCAGAGGGGGCTGGACAGAGGCCCGGGGCCCACAGGCACCTCTCACAGAGCAGGAGGCAAAGCCTGCATCCCCTTGGGTTTCCCGATTCTGCCCAGGATGGGTCCATAAGTGGGGGACATGGCAAAGGGGACAGTGCATAGGGTGCACCCCTGCCTGGTGCATAACGCTAGATATGTCTTGGCCCTCTCTGGTTCACCTGGCTCATCTGTAAAGTGAGGCAGCTGGCGTTGCTGACCTGGAAAGCTATCTGGAGGGTTTCTTCCAACTTTGAGAGTCTGTGGCTTTTTTTTTTTTTTTTTTTTGAGACAGAGTCTTGCTCTGTAGCCCAGGCTGGAGTGCAGTGGTACAATCTGAGCTCACTGCAACCTCCCCCTCCCGGATTCTCCTGCCTCAGCCTCCTGAGTAGCTGGAATTACAGGCTCACACCACCATGCCCAGCTACTTTTTGTATTTTTAGTAGAGAGGGGGTTTTCATCATGTTGGCCAGGCTGGTCTCGAACCCCTGACCTCAGGTGATCCACCCACCTTGGCCTTCCAAAGTGCTAGGATTACAGGGATGAGCTACCGCGCCCAGCTGATGGCTTTATTTTATTTAGAGACAGGGTCTCGCTCTGTCGCCCAGGCTGGAGTGCAGTGGTGCACTCATAGCTCACTGCAGCCTCCAGCTCCTGGGCTCAGGTGATCCTCTTGCCTTAGCCTCCCAAAATGCTGGGATTACAAGCATCAGCCACTATGCCTGGCTGATGACTTTCAATTTTGTATCCTAAAATTCTTGGATTATGGGCCGGGCATGGTGGCTCAGGCCTGTAATCCCAGTACTTTGGGAGGCTGAGGCAGGCAGATCACGAGGTCAAGAGATCGAGACTATCCTGGCCAACATGGTGAAACCTCGTCTCTACTAAAAATACAAAAATTAGCTGGGCGTGCTGGCACGTGCCTGTAATCCCAGCTACTTGGGAGGCTGAGGCGGGAGAATCGCTTGAACCTAGGAGGCGGAGGTTGCAGTGAGCCGAGATCGCGCCCCTGCACTCCAAGGCCTGGACGACAGAGCAAGACTCTGTCTCTTAAAAAAAAAAAAAAAAGTTTGATATGAAGAATTTAGAGTTTTTTGTTTCTAGGAGTTTAAGACTCAAAAGTCTTAAGATTCTAGGATCCTCCCCACTGCCCCTCCCTCTCCCCGCTGGCTCCCGTACCTGGGTCCACAAAGAGCCTTGTTATGTTGCCCTCAGCCTCCTCCAACTCAGGAATCTCTACGGCCGCCCAGCACACGTACGCCCCGCTGTGGTTGAGGCTCACAGGGTCCAGCTGCAGGGTGAGATGGCTGGGTGCCTGCCAGGAGAGCCGTCCCTGGGGCCCGCAGACCCCCAGGCTGAGGCTGCCGTTGGTGATGTACGGTTGACACAGGATGGCCCCATCCTTTGTCCACTTAACACGGAGCCGTTCCCAGGCTGTGGCCTGGTCCACCTGGCAGACCAGGGTCGCCTGACTGCCCTGCCTCACCTGCAGCAAGTTGGGCCCCTGCTGCACGCTCAGGCTTGAGGCTTCTTGCAGGGCTGGAGGACAGAAGAGGTAGAGGCGACCTTTCTGACTGTGCGCATGTGAGGCTGTGTGACTCACTCCCCTAGTGAGCCCGCAGTCTGGGTTTGAAACCTCACTTGTCTAAGACGGGTGCAGTGGCTCACGCCTGTAGTCCCAGCACTTTGGAAGCCCGAGGTGGGAGGATTGCTTGAGCCCAGGAGTTCCAGACCAGCCTGGGAACATAGCAAGACCTCATCTCTACAATAAATATTTAAAAAGTAGCTGGGTATGGTGGCGTGCACCGTGGGCCCAGCTATTTAAGAGACTAAGTGAAGGGATCGCTTGAGCCCAGGCGTTCGAGGCTGCGGTGAGCTATGATTGCACCACTGCACTCCAGCCTGGGTGACAAAGCAACACCCTGTCTCTAAAAATTTAACATAAAAAAAAAACCAAAGAACCTCACTGTCTGTATGACCTTTGGAAGGTCATGTCTTGCTGAGGCTCAACAACCCCATCTGTAAGATGGGTATAAGTCGCTCAGAGCTTGTGGAATTCTGAGATAGTCTCCAGTACTCAGCTACACAAATACCGCCTAGTATATGCCAGGCCCTATGCTGGGTGTGGGGAACACAGACACAGGCATGACCAAAACAGATGAAAATCCCTGCCCTTCAGAAGCTGACAATCTAGGGCAAGAGAGACACAGGAAGTCGTGAAATGAGAACTGCAGTGGGGGAAAGGAATGGCAGTGGCCTCAGCAGACACCAGTGAGGTCAGGGAGCATCTATTCCTTGAGAGTAATCAGGGAAGGCCTCCTTGAGGTGGTGATTTTTTATTTTTTTAATTTTTTTTGAGTTGGGGTCTGGCTCTATAGTCCAGGCTGGAGTGCAGTGGCACCATCACAGCTCACGGCAGCCCTGAACTCCTGGGCTAAAGTAATCCTCCTACCTCAGCCTCCCAAGTAGCTGGGACTACAGGCATGTAACCACTATGCCTGGCTAATTTTTTTGGTTTTGTAGAGATTGGGGTCTCACTGTGTTGCCCAGGCTGGTGTTGAATTCCTGGGCTCAAGTGATCCTCCCCGCTAACGCCTCCCAAAGTGCTGGGATTGTAGATGTGAGCCACTGTGACCGGCCTTTTTTTTTTTCTTAAGACCACGCCACTGCACTCTAGCCTGGGCAACAGAGTGAGACTCCATATATAAGAAAAAAAGACTCCATCTCACTCTGTTGCCCAGTCTGGAGCGCAGTGGCACCATCAAAGTTCATTGCAGCCTCAGCCGCTTGGGCTCATGGGCTGGGTGCTGTGACTCATGCCTGTAATCCCTGTACTTTGGGAAGTCAAGGCCGGTGGATCACCTGAGGTCAGGAGTTCGAGACCCGTCTGGCCAACGTGGTGAAACTCCATCTCTACTAAAAATACAAAAATTAGCCAGTGTGGTGGCGGGCTCCTGGAATCCCAGCTACATGGGAGGCTGAGGCAGGAGAATCACTTGAATCCGAGAGGCAGAGGTTGCAGTGAGCTGAGACCCTGCCACTGCACTCTAGCTTGGGCAACAGAGCGAGACTCCATAGCAAAGAAAAAAAGACTCCATCTCATTCTATTGCCCAGTCTGGAGTGCAGTGGCACCTTCATAGCTCACTGCAGGATCAACCTCCTGGGTTCATGGGCCGGGTGCAGTGGCTCACGCCTGTAATCCCAGCACTTTGGGAGGCCGAGGCGGGTGGATCACCTGAGGTCAGGAGTTCAAGACCAGCCTGGCCAACATGGTGAAACCCTGTCTCTACTTAAACTACAAAAATTAGCTGGGCATGGTGGCGGGTGCCTGTAATCCCAGCTACTTGGGAGGCTGAGGCAGGAGAATCGCTTGAACCCGGGAGGTGGAGGTTGCAGTGACCTGAGATCGTGCCACTGCACTCCAGCCTGGGTGACAGAGCGAGGCTCTGTCTCAAACAAAACAAAACAAGGCCGGGTGCAGTGGCTCACGCCTATAATCCCAGCACTTTGGGAGGCAGAGGCGGGCGGATCACGAGGTCAGGAGATCAAGACCATCCTGCCCAACATGGTGAAACCCCGTCTCTACTAAAAATACAAAAATTAGCTGGGTGTGGTGGCATGTACCCGTAGTCCCAGCTACTCGGGAGGCTGAGGCGGGAGAATCACTTGAACCCGGGAGGCGGAGGTTGCAGTGAGCTGAGATCGCGCCACTGCACTCCAGCCTGGCGACAGAGCGAGACTGTGTCTCAAAATAAAAAACAAAACAAAACATTCCTGGGCTCATGTGATCCTCCCACCTCAGCCTCCCAAATTACTGGTGTTACAAGTACATGCCACTGTGCTCAGCCTGACCAGGGATCTTAATGGAAAGGTATAACCAGTGTGAGAAGGAAGGTATTGGGGGGTAAGAGCATTCCAGGCAGTGCACAGCCCATGCAAAGGCCCTGGGGCAGGACTGTGCCTGGCGTGTTGGAGGAACAGCGAGGAGGCCCGTGTGGCTGGAGCAGAGTGAGGACAGGGAGAGAGGGAGGAAGGGTTGGGCAGGGCCTGTGAGCCTTGGGGTGGTGTGGGGAGGTGAAGGAAGTTAAGCAGTTTATGTTTTAATGTAAGTGTGATGGAAAATCAGAAAGCAGGGAAGAAATAGTCCAATTGAAGTTTTTGTTTTTGTTTTTGTTTTTGTTTTGAGATGGGGTCTCACTCTGTTGCCCAGGTGGGAGTGCAGTGGTGTGATCTCGGCTCATTGCAACCTCTGCCTCCCAGGTTCAAGTGATTCTTGTGGCTCAGCCTCTTGAGTAGCTGGGACTACAGGCACTCGCTACCACGCCCAGCTAATTTTTGTATTTTTGGTAGAGATGGGGTTTCACCAACATGGCCAGGCTGGTCTGGAACTCCTGACCTCAAGTGATCCACCTGCCTCAGTCTCCAATTTAAGTTTTAATAAAAAGACCTTGGTTGGGTGTGGTGGCTCATGCCTGTTATCCCAGCCCTTTGGGTGGCCAAGACTGGGTGATTGCTTGAGGCCAGGAGTTCAAGACCAGCCTGGGCAACATAGTGAGACCCATCTCTAAAAAACAAAAATGACTGGGCACGGTGGCTCACGCCTGTAATCCCAGCACTTTGGGAGGCCAAGGTGGGTGGATCATGAGGTCAGGAGTTCGAGACCCACCTGGCCGAGATGGCGAAACCCCGTCTCTACTAAAAATACAAAAAAAATTAGCCAGGCGCAGTGGCGCGCGCCTGCAGTCCCAGCTACTCGGGAGCCTGAGGCAGGAGAATCTCTTGAACCTGGGAGGCAGAGGTTGCAGTCAACCGAGATCGCGTCACTGCACTCTAGCCTGGGTGACAGAGCAAGACTCCTTCTCAAAACAAAACAAAACAAACAAACAAAAAAACACAAATGAACAACAAAAAAGTGCAAGCGGCTGGAATCAGAGGAGAGGGAAAGAGGAATGGAGGTTTTCGCCCCAGGAAATGTGTGAAGGGCAGCAGCCTTTGTCCTTAATTGGAAACACAGAGGGAGCTGCTGCCGGAGTAGAAAGTCTGCTTTTAGCTGTGAGAAGTCTGACGTGTCTGTTAGACCCCCGGAGAAGTTGAGGTTATGTGAAGTTCCTGGCATTTGAGATGCAATTGCAGAGGAGGGTAGAGACATGAGATCTGGAGAAGGGTATTAGGCAGCTGGAACAGCAGGTGCAAAGGCTCGAAGGCCAGATCCAGCCTTCCCATTGCGGAAACAGAGAAAGAAAAGTCCCCAGGCTAGAGCAAGAGGGAGGGAGCAAAGGCACTGCGGAGGGTGGAGATGAGAGAGGCCAGGCCAGGCTGGTATGTAGGGCAAGGTTTAGATTGTATCCTAGGGGCCCTCAGAGGATCCTTCCTTAATCCTCCAGCCCCCATCACGTTCTGAGTCTCGGAGGGAGATGGGCCTTATCTGACAGTAGAGAGACTGAAGTTTAGAGGGGCCCTGAGCTGGGGGGCAGGCAGCTGGGGATGACAGCAAGAGTGGGGTTCAGAGGGGAGGGAGGCCCAGATACTCACCCCAGATCTGCACCAGGAGGCCCAGCACCATGCCCGGGGACCCCATTCCTGGCCCATCACCCCCCTCTCCCCCTCCCAGTTGACAGACTTCCTGCCACAATCTCCGCCTCCCGCTGCAGAAGCAGATGCAACACCCAGGGCCAGACAACAGACGTCCGGTGTTCCAGCCTGCTGGGGGCTCCACTTCCTGCCACCTCGTGCCTCAGTTTCCCCAATGCATTTTCTATCTGAAAGGCAGTGTACGGACCAGGCAACATGGCTCATGTCTGTAATCCCAGCACTTTGGGAGGCCGAGGCAGGTGGATCACCTGAGGTCAGGAGTTCGAGACCAGCTTGGCCAACATGATGAAACCCCTACTAATTTCTACTAAAAATACAGAAATTAGCTGGACATGGTGATGGGCGCCTATAATCCCAGCTACTTGGGAGGCTGAGGCAGGAGAATGGCTTAAACCCGGGAGGCGGAGGTTGCAGTGAGCCAAGATCACGCCACTGCACTCCAGCCTGGGCGACAAGAGTGAAACTCCGTCTCAGAAAAAAAGAAAAGAAAGGCAGTGTATGCAAGTGAGTGGGAGGAATCCACCCCTGTGAGCTTTCTGGAAGGCTCTACATAAACACATCTAGGTACAGGAAGACACAGTGCGAGAGCAGGTGGCTCCGTGGGGGAGGGGCAGGCGACATAGGCCTGAGCAGTGAGTTAAATGACAGGGTCCCTGCCTCAATTATTTTGCTCCCAAAATGTCTTTCTTTTGCTGGGCGCTGTAGCTCACACCTGTAATCCCAGCACTTTGTGAGGCTGAGGTGGGAGGATCACTTGAGCCGAGTTTAAGATCAACCTGGGGTAACACAGCGAGATCCAATCTCTATTAAAAAAAAAAAAAAAAAAAAAAAGATACAGGCTGGGCATGGTGGCCCAGGCCTGTAATCCCAGCACTTTGGGAGGCCAAGGCGGGTGGATCACCTGAGGTCAGGAGTTCAAGACCAGCCTAGCCAACATGGCAAAACCCGGTCTCTACTAAAAATACAAAAATTAGCTGGGCCTAGTGGTGGGCGCCTGTAGTCCCAGCTACTCAGTGGGGTTGAGGCAGGAGAATCGCCAGAACTGGGGAGATGGAGATTACAGGGAGCCGAGATCCTGCCACTGCACTCCAGCCTGGGCGACAGAGTGAGACTGTGTCTCAAAAAAAAAAAAAAAGATACAAAACCAACCCAGGGTGATGGTGCATGCCTATAGTCCCAGCCACTCGGGAGGCTGAGGCAGGAGAACCGCTTGAGCCCAGGAGTTGGAGGCTGCAGTAAGCCATGATTGCGCCCCGTTACTCCAGCCTGGGCAACAGAGTGAGTCCGTCTCTAAAAAAAAATAATAATAATAATTTAAAAAATCTTCCTTTGAGGTTCAGAGAAATAGATTTCTGTTGATAACTTTGGGTCCTATTACATGACCTGCTTGGGGGTCCCGTGGAGGAGGTTCATGGGCTCTCGAGTTCCTCCCAGCCCTGCATCCCTCACCCCTGATTCTGTAGTGCATTCTGGGAGGAGGTGGCGAACCCACAGACCTCAATGTCTCAGACCCAACTGCAGAGTGACCTCCTTTCTCACTCGGACCTAGAAGGCCTGCATCGTACACAGCGTTCCCCTCCACCACAGGGAGGTTCTGCGGTGGCTATGCCTGCACCTCCCCTGCAGACACGTACACCCGCCCAGCCTCCCCTACCCACTCCTTCCCCTCCCCAGAACATTCTGAAGCTCCACCCTTCCCCCCACCGTCTGCTGAGGGACCCTGGATAGATTAGCCCCCAGGTCCTTCCAAAGCTGGACCCAGACATTCTTAGCTTCCGCACCTGGGCTGGCACGGAGACTTCTGGAGGAGCTGTTGGAGCCTGGGGCTTTGTGGGGTGTATAGGAGTTCAGTTGTGACATAGGGACAAATGGAAAGAAGGCACTGGAGGCTAAACACCCTCTTGGGCAAAAGCCTTAGATTTTCAGTAAATGCCAGGCGGGCTAGACAATTTGAGTAGCAACGGATAACCTGTGTGAGTGAACAAGTGGGGAAACTGAGGCACGGGAGCATTAGAGATGATTCTGAGGTCCCACGGCAGGGCCAGGGGTCGAGCCCCTTGTCTTCTCATCCAAGGCTCTCTCCAGCTCACATATCACCACCAACACCGCCCAGTGAGCCCCAGGCGCTGGATGTGAGGGCTCTGGGCGAGGCCAGCGCGGAACTACATTTCCCAGGCGGCCGCGGCGGGTGCGCCTGCGCAATGCGCGCGGTGATGGAGCGCTAACCGGGGGCGCGGCGGCGGCGAGGGCTCGGCGGGCCATTGGCTACCGGCCGCGGCAAAGGCAGCTTGGGGACCCAGCGTGCGCGGGGCCCGCGGGCCGGGCCGGGGTGACCTGGGCTGCAGCCATGGAAGAACAGAGGGTAGGACGGGGTGGGGCAGGGCGGGCCCGCAGGGGCGTCGGGGGCGGGGAAGGGGACCAGGTGTTGCCGCAGCGCCCCCACTCCCTCCCCGCCTCCACCCCAGCTGCTCTGCGGCTGAGGCCCCACCCCATTCGCGACCCCGCCCGGATCTAGCCCCCCTACCCCAGTTTGGGACGCAGCCCCCCCACATCTTGGCTTGGGGCCAGGCACGTGCCTTCTACGCCCCCCCACCCTGCCCAGTATCCCAGTCCCATCCCTGACCCCCATCCCCCACGCCCTCCCTCCTGGCCGCGGACCAGGCGTCCCGGCCCCCCGCCCCACCCCTGGAAGACGCCCCGCCAGCTCCGCAGTGCGGACCCCACCGACCCTGCCCCAGGAAAAAGGAGCAGGTTGGAGCCTGGGTCAGAGCAAGAGGCTCCCGAGCGGGATCCTCCCTCCCAGAATCCCCTGCCCTTCCCCAAGACCTCCCTGCCCCCTCCCCGCTTACCTGGCGCCCCCGCATCCCTGGCCCCCAGGTTCCACCTTTGCCCAGGTAATTTCTTTCTCCTTGCTTATCTTTCTCCCCCAGGTAGGCCCCACCCCTGTTCCGAGGCTAGCCCCTATCCCAGGCTATCCCACCTCCCTGGGGTTTTTCCTTCCACCGAGAACCCTTTCCCCAGGTTAGCCCATTTTCCAGCAGACATCCTTCTCCTCTGGGGTTTTCTGTCCTCAGGCTAGCCCCTCACGCCCCACCTTCAGGATGTAGGTATCGGGTTGTAGCCTTTGTGCTCAAGCACGCCTGGTTCGGGGCCAGGGTCTGTCCCTTCCTGAGAGGTTCTCTGTGAGCCTCAGTTTCCTCTCCTGTAATATGGGGTAGCTTAGGGCGCCCAGCTGCTATGGGTGAATTGTATCAGCCCGGAGCTTTACCTCCTGGCTGGTGCCCAAGCTCAATAGCGTGGCAGCCCCCACATCTCCTCTCTGGATCCCTGGAGGGGAGCGCGGGTCAGGGAGCCTGGCCAGGCTGACGGGCTCACCTGCCTGCCGTGTGTGTGTGCGCATGTGTGTGCATGTGTGTGCGCACGCGTGTGCATTTATGTACGTGTGTGCATGTGTGTGCACGTGTGTACATGTGCGTACACGTGTGTGTACCTGTGTGCGCACATGTGTGTGTGCACCTGTGTGTGTCCACACTTCTGGTGGTGCAGGAGGCCCTGAGGAAGATCATCAAAACACTGGCTGTGAAGAATGAAGAAATTCAGAGCTTTATCTACTCCCTGAAACAGATGCTGCTGAACGTGGAGGTGAAGGCGGTGGGGCAGTCCTGGGGAGGTAAGGGGAGGGGAGGAAGCTGGAGGGTGCAGCCTTAGGAACTGGCCCATTGCTGTTGATGCCTGTGGGAGGTCTCAGGTTCCCTCTCTGAACACGGGCTTTGGCCGATTCTGGCTGTTCCGACCCAGGCGAACTCGGCGAAGGTGCAGGAGGACCTCGAAGCAGAGTTCCAGTCCCTCTTCTCCCTCCTGGAGGAGCTGAAAGAAGGCATGCTTATGAAGATAAAACAGGACCGTGCCAGCCGTACCTACGAGCTGCAGGTGAGGGCTGAGGGCATCTTCCTCTCCCCCCGCCCCTCCTACTCAACAGAACGTAGCTGACCTCGGCACCTTCCTCCAAAAACTGGGTGCTCTCGAGTTTCTGATCTCTCCCCTGACCCCTCCATCCACCTGTACACTCTCTCTTTTTTTTTTTTGAGACGGAGGTCTCGCTCTGTCGCCCAGGCTGGAGTGCAGTGGCATGATATCGGCTCACTGCAACCTCCGCCTCCTGGGTTCAAGCAATTCTCCTACCTCAGCCTCCCAAGTAGCTGGGATTACAGGTACCCGCCATCATGCTGGGCTAATTTTCGTATTTTTAGTAGAGATGGGGTTTCACCGTGTGGGCCAAGCTGACCTCAGGTGATCCTCCTGCCTCAGCCTCCCAAAGTGCTGGGATGACAGGCATGAGCCCCCGCGCCTGGCCCATCTGTGCTCTCTCTGAATCCCCTCTCCATCACGGCGTCCCCGAGTCTGGCTCAGATCTTCCCCTCCTGTCTTCACTCAGTGCCTCCGGTTTCTCAGCCCTTCCCACTGGCCCCCCAGATCTGAAGGTATCACCTCCACTCAAACACCACCCATGGCTCCCGTGGGCTGTCACTCAGACTCCAAGCTGGAGTCACACAGGCTGCATCCAGACCTCCTGGGCAACTTCCTGACATCCCAGATTCCTGTCCCAGGGGGAATCTAGAGCCCTGGAGCTCGGATGTGGCCTAGGCATGTGAGTTTTTGGTTTGTTTTGTTTTGAGACAGAGTCTTATTCTGTCACCCAGGCTGGAGTCCAGTGGCGCAATCATGCCTCACTGCAGCGTCCGCCTCCCAGGCTTAAGCGATTCTCCCATCTTAGCCTCCCAAGTAGCTGGGACCACAGGAAGGTGCCACCACGCCCAGCTCATTTTTGTATTTTTTGGTGGAGACTGGTTTTCACCATGTTGCCTAGACTAGTCTTGAACTCATGGGCTCAAGCGATCCTCCTGCCTTGGCCTCCCAAATTGCTGGGATTACAGGCATGAGCCTCTGTGCCTGGCTCATGTGAGTTTTTTTTGTTTTGTTTTGTTTTTGAGATGGAGTCTCTCTCTGTGACCCAGGCTGGATCAGTTGCACAACCTCAGCTCACTGCAACCTCCGCCTCCCGGGTTCAAGTGATTCTCCTGCCTCAGCCTCCCGAGTAGCTGGGATTAGAGGTGCCCACCACCACACCCAGCTACTTTTTTCTATGTTTAGTGGAGACAGGGTTTCACTGTGTTGGCCAGGCTAGTCTTGAACTCCTGACCTCAGGTGATCCTCCCGCCTCAGCCTCCCAAAGTGCTGGGATTACAGGCCTGAGCCACCACACCCGGCCTTACGTGTTTTTAGGGAAGGGATTCCCCAGGGATTCTGTTCTGCTCCCCGAGCCCAGCCCCATTTGGTGGGGCGCTCAAGGCTCCAATCTCCATCTCTCACCTGGAGTTCGAGAAGGGCATGGTACCCTGGATTCTGAATGGGGTGGGGAGCCCTCAGGGGGCCTGAGGCAGTGGGGTGAGTTGTCCCCTCCTTTGGTGCCTGGTATCCACAGAACCAGCTGGCTGCCTGCACGCGGGCCCTGGAGAGCTCCGAGGAGCTTCTGGAGACAGCCAACCAGACTCTGCAGGCCATGGACAGCGAGGACTTTCCTCAGGTGGGTGCCTCTGATGCTGCCAGGTAAAGAACAGTGTGCCCAGTCACGTTTGCATTTCAGGTGAACAAGCACATTTTTAGTGTAAGTATAGCCCACCCATGCGATAGTTGGCAAAAGTACATACTGATACCAAGAAAGTGTCCAGGCCGGGCACAGTGGCTACGCCTGTAATCCCAGCACTTTGGGAGGCTGAGGCAGTGGATCACCTGAGGTCAGGAGTTCAAGACTAGCCTGGCCAACACGGGGAAACCCCATCTCTACTAAAAATACAAACATTAGCTGGATGTGGTGGTGGGCGCCTGTAATCCCAGCTACTTGGGAGGCTGAGGCGGGAGAATCGCTTGAACCTGGGAGGCAGAGGTTGCCGTGAGCTGAGATTGTGTCACTGCATTCCAGACTGGGCAACAGAGGGAGACTTCATCTCAAAAACAAAGAAAAAAAGAAAAGAAAGCATTCAGGCTGGGTGCAGTGGCTCATGCCTGTAATACCAGCAGTTTGGGAGGCCGAGGCAGGAGGATTGCTTGAGGCCAGGAGTTTCAGACCAACATGGGCAACATAGTGAAACCCCATCTCTACAAAAAATAAAATAATTGGCCAGGCACAGGGGCTCATGCCTGTAATCCCAGCACTTTGGGAGGCCAAGGCGGGCGGATCACGAGGTCAGGAGATCAAGACCATCCTAACACAGTGAAACCCCGTCTCTACTAAAAAAAAATACAAATAAATTAGCCGGGCGTGGTGGCGGGCACCTGTAGTTCCAGCTACTCGGGAGGCTGAGGCAGGAGAATGGCGTGAACTCGGGAGGCGGAGCTTGCAGTGAGCCAAGATCGCGCCACCGCACTCCAGCCTGGGCAACAGAGCGAGACTCCGTCGCAAAAAAAAGAGATTGAGACCATCTTGGCTAGGACGGTGAAACCCCGTCTCTACTAAATATACAAAAAGTTAGCCGGGCATGGTGGCGGGCACCTGTAGTCCCAGCTACTCAGGAGGCTGAGGCAGGAGGATGGTGTGAACCCGGGAGGCAGAGCTTGCAGTGAGCAGAGATCGCACCACTGCACTCCAGCCTAGGTGACAGAGCAAGACTCTGTTTCAAAAAATAAAATAAAATAAAATAATTAGCTGGGTGTGGTGGCACACACCTGTGGTCCCAGCTACTCAAGAGGCTGAAGTGGGAGGATTGTTTGAGCTCCAGAGTTCAAGGTTACAATGAGCCGTGATTGTTACACTGCACTCTAGCCTGAGGGACAGAGCCAGACCTTGTCTCAAAAAAAAAGAAAAAAAAAGTATTCATTGTTGATCTGAAATGCAAATGAATAAATACTTTTTTAGTATAAGGGTATATATGTGCACACTAAGAACTGCATTTGTGTGAGTATATCCCAAAGAGTGCATGGGACATAGTCATGATTTATCTGAAATGCCAATTTAACTGGGCATCCTGTAGTTTTATTCAGTGAATTTGCCAGCTGTATGGGCTGGGTGTGGGCAGGAGGTTGGGGTGGGGATGGGAGCCTGTCTTGGCCATCCTCTGTCTTCAGGGCACAGTCCAGAAGTGCAGGGACACTTTGGCAAATACCTTCCTCGAGAGGCCTCAGTCTTCATGTCTGTAGAGTGGCTTTATGATTTGGTAGAAACAAATCTTTGGGCCGGGCGCAGTGGCTCACGCCTGTAATCCCAGCACTTTGGGAGGCTGAGGCGGGCCGATCATGAGGTCAGGAGATCAAGACAAGCCTGGCTAATACAGTGAAACCCTATCTCTGCTAAAAATACAAAAAATTAGCTGGGTGTGGTGGCGGGCGCCTGTAGTCCCAGCTACTCGGGAGGCTGAGGCAGGAGAATGGCGTGAACCCGGGAGGCGGAGCTTGCAGTGAGCCGAGATCGTGCCACTGCACTCCAGCCTGAACGACAGAGCAAGACTCCATCTCAAAAAAAAAAAAACACAAAAAATGAAACAAATCTTTGGGCCAGGCACGGTGGCTCATGCCTGTAATCCCAGCACTCTGGGAGGCTGAGGCAGGCGGATCACCTGAGGTCAGGAGTTTGAGACCAGTGTGGCCAACATGGCAAAACCCCATCTCTCTAAAAATACAAAAAATTGGCCGGGTGTGGTGGTGGGTGCTTGTAATCCCAGCTACTCAGGAGGCTGAGGCAGAATTGCTTGAACCCAGGAGGTGGAGGTTGCAGTGAGCCGAGATCTCTCCACTGCAATCCAGCCTGGGCAACAGAGCAAGACTCCGTCTCAAAAACAAAAAAAGAAATCTTTGAATGTTGTTCTGTTCCTCTCTCTAGGCTGCCAAGCAAATCAAAGATGGGTAAGACACTGGGGTCTGGCCCCCACCCCACTACCCTGCCCCTGGTGTGAAGACAGGGGCCACCTGGTGAGGGTGTCTCATCTCAGAGCCCTGGACGGGAGCCCTGGGGAGGGGCCCCCTCGCGCCACGGATGACCAGGCCTGGTCCCCCACGCAACGCCTGCCACCTCCTTCCTGCAGAGTGACCATGGCCCCTGCCTTCCGGCTATCATTGAAAGCGAAGGTCAGTGACAACATGAGTCACCTCATGGTGGACTTCGCGCAAGAGCGGCAGATGCTACAGGCACTCAAGTTCCTGCCTGGTGAGAGGGGCACGCACTAGAGGGCCAGGACTTCCGGGGAATGACCTGGGAGGCTAGGAGGCCCTGAAACAGGACCTGGAGTATGGTGGACGACCCGGTGTCTGAATTCCGCCTGGGGGAGGTGGAGCTCTGAGAATTCCACGCCCTGTGGGGGGTGGAGTTCTCATGGAGCCCCGCCCCTGGGTGGAGCCATGGGAAGACCCCACCCACTGTGTAGTGACATCCTGGGAAAACTCTGTACCCAGGGGTGGAACTGTGAGAATACCATGTCCTGTGGGGTTGGTTGAGTCCTCATGAGGCCCCGCCCTGGGGTGGAGCCATGAGAAGGTCAAACTCACCAGGTGGGAAAATCCTGTCCCCAGGGGTGGAGCCCTGAGAATAGCACGTCCTGTGGGGGTGGGGTATTCATCAAGTCCCGCCCATGGGTGGAGCCATCAGAAAGCCCCACCCACCAGGGGGTGAGGTCCTGGGAAAACTCTGTCCACAGGGGTGGAGCCCTGAGAATACCATGTCGTTGGGGGAGTGGAGTCCTCCCGAGACCTCCTCCCTGGATAGAGCCACGAGAAGGGCCTGCCCACCACATGGTAGCTCCTGGGAAAACCCTGTTTCCAGGGGTGGAGCCCTGAGAAGGCCACGTCCCCGAGGAGAAATGGACTGAGAACCCAGCCTGTCTATGATGCAGCCCCAAAGAAAGCCGCATCCCTCATTGGCAGAGATTTTGGAATAATTCTGCCTGTAAATGATGGAATCCCAAGAAAGCTCAGCCCTCCCCCAACCCACTGATGGAACCTTAGCGTCTCCATGGCCGGGCGCGGTGACTCACGCCTGGAATCCCAGCACTTTGGGAGGCCGAGGCGGGTGGATCACTTGAGGTCAGGAGTTCAAGACCAGCCTGGCCAACATGGAGAAACCCTGTCTCTACTAAAAATATAAAAAATTAGCCGGGCCATGGTGGCTCACGACTGTAATCCCAGCTACTCAGGAGGCTGAGGCAGGAGAATCGCTTGAACCAGGGAGTCGGAGGTTGCAGTGAGCCAAGATCGTGCCACTGCACTCCAGCCTGGGTGACAAGAGCAAGACTCTGTCTCTAAAAAAAAAAAAGTCTCCACCCTGCCAAACATGGAACCCCTTTGTGGCCATGCCCCCAAAATTGTCCAACATGTGGTTGGGCAGCCCTGCAGCAAGCCCCCTGCCCCCTGAACCAGGCACAGAATCCCGACCCCCTCTCCTTTCCGTCTTGGTCAGTGCCCAGCGCACCCGTGATCGACCTGGCTGAGTCCCTGGTGGCAGATAACTGTGTGACCCTGGTGTGGCGCATGCCGGATGAGGACAGCAAGATTGACCACTACGTGCTGGAGTACCGGCGGACCAACTTCGAGGGCCCGCCCCGCCTCAAGGAGGACCAGCCCTGGATGGTCATCGAGGGCATCCGGCAGACAGAGTACACCCTGACAGGTAAGGGCAGTGTGTGCCAGCTCCGCCCAGCTGTGAACAGCCACCTCTTCCAGCCTCCCGTCTCGCCATCAGTCACTGGGGGCCTTGGGGACGATCCCCAAAGCTCATGGGGTCTGGAAGCAGCCTGGGGAGGTGGATCAGAAATATGAGACAGTGGCCAGGCGCGGTGGCTCATGCCTGTAATCCCAGCACTTTGGGAGGCTGAAGCGGGTGGATCGCCTGAGGTCAGGAGTTCAAGACCAGCGTGGCCAACATGGTGAAACCCTATCTCTACTAAAAATACAAAAAAATTAGCCGGGCATGGTATCGGGCACCTGTAATCCCAGCTACTCAGGAGGCTAAGGCGGGAGAATTGCTTGAACCCGGAAGGTGGAGATGGCACTGAGCCGAGATCGCGCTATTGCACTCCAGCCTGGGCAACAAAAGCGAAACTCATCTCAAAAAAACAAAAAATAATAATAATGAATATAGGCCGGGCGCGGTAGCTCACGCCTGTAATCCCAGCACTTTGGGAGGCCGAGGCGGGCCGATCACAAGGTCAGGAGATCGAGACCATCCTGGCTAACACGGTGAAATACTGTATCTACTAAAAAAATACAAAAAATTAGCCGGGCGTGGCGGTGTGCACCTGTAGTCCCAGCTGCTCAGGAGGCTGAGGCAGGAGAATGGCGTGAACTCGGGAGGCGGAGCTTGCAGTGAGCCTAGATTGCGCCACTGCACTCCAGCCTGGGCGACAGAGCAAGACTCCGTCTCAAAAAATAAATAAATAAATAAATAAATAAATAAATAATAATAATGAATATATTTTTCCAGACATGGGATCCTGCCATTTCCCTAGGCTGGTCTCCAACCCCTGGCCTCAAGCAGTCCTGCCTCAGCCTCCCAAATAGCTGTGTACTGTCCTCGGAGCAGGGAACAAAGCAGACAATAATCTTTTCCCTCCTAGAGCTGGCGTTCTGGATTCACCCTCCAAGTATTTGGGGTCCTCCTTGGCAGTTACAAGAAATTGAAAGCTGGCCAGGCATGGTGGCTCAAGCCTGTGATACAGCACTTTGGGAGGCTGAGGCAAGAGGATTGCTTGAGGCCAGGAGCTGGAGACCAGCTTGGGTAACAAAGCAAGAGCCCATCTATAAAAAAAAAAAAAATTTAAAGTTACCTGAGCATGGTGGTCCCCGCTACCAAGGGAGGCTAAGGTGGGAGGATTGTTTGAGCCCAAGAATTGGAGGCTGCAGTGAGCCATGACTGCACCACCGCACTCCAGCCTGAGCAACAGAGCGAGACCCTGTCTCTACTAAACAAAGAGAGAAAAATAAAGAAAAAAAAAAACAAAACCCAAGGAATCCACCCAGCTGGTGGAGGTAGGGTCTGAAGGGGGAAAGCCTCCTGGGCCGGGCGTGGTGGCTCACACCTGTACTCCCAGCACTTTGGGAGGCTTAGGCGGGCGGATCTTGAAGTCACGAGATTGAGACCAGCCTGACCAACATGGTGAAACCCTGTCTCTACTAAAAATACAAAAATTAGCTGGGTGTGGTGGCGGGCGCCTGTAATCCCAGCTACTCGGGAGGCTGAGGCAGGAGAATTGCTTGAACCCAGGAAGCAGAAGTTGCAGTGAGCTGAGATTGCGCCACTGAGCTCCAGCCTGGTTACAGAGCGAGACTCCGTCTCAAAAAAAAAAAAAACAAAAAGCCATCCTGGCCAGGCGTGGTGGCTCACGCTGTAATCCCAGCACTTTGGGAGGCTGAGGTGGGTGGATCACTTGAGGTCAGGAGTTCAAGACCAGCCTGGCCAGCATGGTAAAACCCTGTCTCTACTAAAAATGCAAAAAAATTAGTGGGGCATGGTGGCGGATGCCTGTAGTCCCAGCTACTTGGGAGGCTGAGGAGTGAGAATCACTTCAGCCTGGGAGGCGGAGGCTGCAGTGAGCAGAGATCGCGCCACTGCACTCCAGCTTGGGCAACAGAGGGAGACTCCGTCTCAAAAAAAAAAAAGAAAAAAAAAGCCATCCTGATCCAGGGGAATCCCGGAGGGGCGGGGAGAGGCTGGCTGACGGGTTTAACTATCACCATTCACTAGCTGCTTTTGGGCTGTAATCAGCCAGCTAGTTATCTGTAATTAGCATACATGGTTAATCATGAGCACGCTAACTGCAGGGGGAAAAGTCATCAGCCTCAGGAGCTGCAAACAGCCATTGGCTTATCCTTTGCTTGAGAATCAAAATAAACACACCCCTTTTATTTGTTGTAAATAGGATTCCTCAAATCCCTCCTCCAAGTGCCCCCGCCTTTTGGTTTTGTTTTCTTGTAACTTTGTATTTTGAAATAATTATAGATCCACAGGAAGTTGCCAAAACAACTAAAACAAAAAGTACAGTGAGGACCCATGTAGTCAGCATAAAACCCGGGAAATGGACACGGGTGCAGTGGACTCACATTCTACCTTTTTTTTTTTTTTTTGAGATGGAGTCTCGCTTTGTCGCCCAGGCTGGAGTGCAGTGGCCTGATCTCGGCTCACCGCAACCTCCGCCTCCTGGGTTCAAGCAATTCTCCTGTCTCAGCCTCCCTAGTAACTGGGATTACAGGCGCCCACCACCATGCCTGGCTAATTTTTGTATTTTTAGTAGAGATGGGGTTTCTCCATGTTGACCAGGCTGGTCTCTAACTCCTGACCTCAGGTGATCCGCCTGCCTCGGCCTCCCAGTGCTGGGATGACAGGCGTGAGCCACCACGCCCCGCCACATTTTACCAGTTTTACACGCGCTCATTCGGGTGTTCCACACAGTTTTCTCCCATGTGTAAATTCATGTCACCACCAACACCACGGTCAAAGTATAGATCTCTTCTGTCACTACGAGGCTTCCAGGTGCTACGCTTTATAACCATGGCTTCCTGCCTTTGACAGACTTCCTAGTGAGTGAATTCCTCAGGGCAGAAAGTTGGATTCATGGAAAGCTGTGCAGGAGTAAGGATACCGATGAAAGCAGCTGCCTATGTGGTCGTTTGCAATCCACCTACTGTTTTGTTGATTGCTTGGAAAGATGGGAGGGTTTGGGTTATTTTCTTCTTTCTTTCCCTTTTTTCTTTTTTCTTTTTTTTGAGACAGAATCTCGCTCTGTCGCCCAAGCTGGAGTACAGTGGCTTGATCTCGGCTCTCTGCAACCTCTGCCTCCCAGGTTCAAGCGATTCTCCTGCCTCAACCTCCCAAGTAGCTTGGACTACAGGCACTATAGGCATGCGCCCCAACGCCTGGTTAATTTTTTTTTTTTTTTTTTTTTTTTTGAGACAGAGTCTCACTCTGTTGCCCAGGCTGGAGTGCAGTGGTGCTATCTCGGCTCACTGCAAGCTCCGCCTCCCGGGTTCACGCCATTCTCCTGCCTCAGCCTCCCAAGTAGCTGGGACTACAGGCGCCTGCCACCACGCCTGGCTAATTTTTTGTATTTTTAGTAGAGACGGGTTTTCACCGTGTTAGCCAGGATGGTCTTGATCTCCTGACCTTGTGATCCGCCTCCGTCGGCCTCCCAAAGTGCTGGGATTACAGGCGTGAGCCACCGTGCCTGGCCTTTTTTTTTTTTTTTTTTTTTGAGTTGCAGTCTCGCTCTGTCACCCAGGCTGGAGTGCAATGATGCGATCTTTGGCTCACTGCAACTTCTGCCTCCTGGGTTCAAGCAATTCTCCTGCCCCAGCCTCCCCAGTAGCTGGGATTACAGGCCCCCGCCACCACACCTGGCTAATTTTTGTGTTTTTAGTAGAGACGGGGTTTCACCTTATTGGCGAGGCTGGTCTCTTGGCCAGGCTGGTCTCGAACTCCTGACCTCAGGTGATCTGCCTGCCTCAGCCTCCCAAAGTGCTGGGATTATAGGTGTGAGCCACCGCGCCTAGCCAGTTTTTTGTATTTTTTAGTAGAGACAGAGTTTCACCATGCTGGCCAGGCTGGTCTCAAACTCCTGACCTTATGGGTTCCTCCTGCCTCCACCTCCCAGATGTGCTGGGATTACAGGCGTGAGCCACCGCACTTGGCCTTTTTTTTTTGAAAGACAGGTTCTTGCTATGTAGCACAGGCTGGAGTGCAGTGATGCAATCATAGCTCACTGCAGCTTCAACCTCTTGGGCTCACATGCTCCTCCTCCCTCAGCCTCCTGAGTAACTGGGACTACAGGTGTGCACCACCACACCCAGCTAATTTTTTTGGAGGGGGTCAGAGTTTCGCTCTGTCACCCAGGCTAGAGTGCAGTGGTGCGATCTTGGCTCACTGCAACCTCTGCCTCCCGGGTTCAAGTGATTCTCCTTCCGCAGCCTCCTGAGTAGCTGGGATTACAGGCGCCACCCCCCGCCCCCACCAATTTTTATATTTTTAGTAGAGATGCGGTTTCATCATGTTGGCCAGGCTGGTCTTGAACGCCTGACCTCAAGTGATCTGCCCACTTCGGCCTCCCAAAGTGCTGACATTACAGGCGTAAGCCACCGCACCCAGACTAATTTTTTATTTTTTATTATTTATTTATTTGAGACAGAATCTCAAATAAATGTGTCGCCCAGGCTGGAGTGCAGTCGTGCAGTACAAATCTCTGAAACAATCACTGTGACAGGGTCTTAAAGCATCCTGATTGGTCTACGTGGGTTGGAGGTGGAGTCAAGTAATTCATAGCCCCTCAGGGAGAGGAGGGCAAGGAATGGTCTCAGGGGTAAGATGTTTGTTTATTTTTTATTTTTTATTTTTTTTGAGATGGAGTTTCGTTCTTGTTGCCCAGGCTGGAGTGCAATGGCATGATCATGGCTCACTGCAACCTCCACCTCCCGGGTTCAGGTGATTCTCCTGCCTCAGCCTCCTGAGTAGCTGGGATTACAGGCACACACCACCACGCCCGGCTAATTTTTTGCATTTTTAGTAGAGACGGGGGTTTCACCATATTGGTCAGGCTGGTCTCGAACTCCCAACCTCAGTTGATCCATGCGCCTCGGCCTTCCAAAGTGCTGGGATTACAGGCGTGAGCCAGTGCGCCCGGCTGGATAAGATGTTTATAAGGTGGTTCTTAGAATGGCGTTGGGAATCACTGTGGGACATGACAGCTTTAACCCATGACTCAGAGTCTCAGGGAATAATACACAGTGTTGAAATGCCTCTCTTGCCTACCAGGTCTCAAGTTTGACATGAAATACATGAACTTCCGTGTGAAGGCCTGTAACAAGGCAGTTGCAGGAGAGTTCTCTGAGCCGGTGACTCTGGAGACACCAGGTGACTGGATTCCACCCTTGTCCTACCCCTAACTCCATGGCCCCTTCCTCCCACAGCCCCCAGAGACCATGAGAATCCTCGAAGCAGGGTTGCCCTGGCTGCCAGGAAGCTCAAAGCTCCGTCCACAGTTGGCTTCCTTAGCCTGAGTGTCTGCTATAACCCTGTTTTTGTCCTTTGCTTCTGAGGTTTACCCAGTATATCTCGATGGTTTTTGTATACAGCCACACACACTCTCTCTTTGCCAAAAAATAGATAAGTCCTCTATAGAGCTGGGGATGAGATTTGAGTAGTGAAGACTGATTCCAGAGCCTTTCACAGTGACACCTTCACATGCCCTGCTAGGAAGTCCCTCTGAAATCTAGCCTAACTCCCTTGTGCTGTAGCCCAGCCCCTTTTTTGGGATTAGTCCTCCATGGAAGCACAGGGTAGTGCAATTGGCTTGAAAATGCCTCCAGAGGCTGGGCACAGTGGCTCACGCCTGTGATCCCAACACTCTGGGAGGCTGAGGCGGGCGGATCACGAGGTCAGGAGTTCGAAACCAGCCTGGCCAATATGGTGAAACCCCGTCTCTACTGAAAATACAAAAATTAGCTGGGAGTGGTAGCGTGTGCCTGTAGTCCCAGCTACTTGGGAGGCTGAGGCAGGAGAATCGCTTGAACCCAGGAGGCGGAGGTTGCAATGAGCCGAGATTGTGCCACAGCACTCCAGCCTGGGCGACAGAGCGAGACTCCATCTCAAAACAAAAAGAAAAGAAAATTCCTCCAGACGTGGGAGGGAGACTTTTAGGCAACAACCCTTGGCCTTCGCGCTTCTGGCTCCATGTTCTGTCCCCTCTACCCTTTGCCATCTTGTCTCTCCTGTTGTCCTTCTGCTTGTCCATCTCTATATCTGTCTCTCTCCGAGGCTTCGTCAGTCTCTTATCTCTGTCTTGGACTCTTATCTCCTTGGCTCTTTGATTCTCTGTCCCTGTCTTGGTCTGTCTTGGTCACTCTCTGTCTCTCTGTCTCTCTCTGTGTCTCTCCGGGTTTCCCCATCTCTGTGACTCCCACGTCTGCCCGGCCCCAGCGTTCATGTTCCGCCTGGATGCGTCCACATCCCACCAGAACCTGCGGGTGGATGATCTCTCCGTGGAGTGGGACGCTATGGGCGGGAAGGTGCAGGATATCAAGGCTCGCGAGAAAGATGGCAAGGGGCGGACGGCGTCTCCCATCAACTCCCCAGCCAGGTAGCCTGCCCCCTCCCCTCCCTAAGTCTCTGGTGGAGGAGATCAGTCTGGACATGGACACAGAGCCCAGTGTGGTCAGAGTTGGGGTGGAGAGGGGACCTGGGGCTGGTGGAACCCAGAGAGGGAATGAAGGGAGAGGAGGTTTTGAGTGGAGTTTTGATGGTTAAATAGGAGTTTCCCAGATGACGGAGGGCACAGGCATGTTCTGACATAAACATGAGGTGCTCGATATATAGATAGAGCCAAATACTGCCAGAGATTGACCCAACATCCACGGTGGCTGGGGTGGACTAGGGTAGCCTTACCGTGGGAGAGAGAAGTGTTGAACTGAGCCTCCTGAGCCTGCCCACTCCCTGCCCACCACAGAGGTACTCCATCTCCCAAGAGGATGCCCTCAGGTCGTGGGGGACGGGACCGCTTCACCGCTGAGTCCTACACAGTTCTGGGTAAGGAAGGGGAGAAGAAAGGGGAGAGGGGAGTTTTGGGCAGGGGCCTAATGGTGGGGGTTGAGGGAGAACCTTTGCCTTTGGCTGCGGAAACAGGCAGCCATCAGCAAAGCTGCTCCCGGAATAACAGGTTGTTCTGGCACTGCCCAAATGGAAATATTTCGGGATAAGGGATTGCTGGGGAAAGCCAGAATTTATGGAGTGAAGGAAAGAGACTCTGGACCAGACAGTGCCTGGGCAGGAGCTTGGGGGCAATTTTCTGGACTCCATGGAGTATCTGGCACTTGGGGAGTAGCTGGGATTTAGGGAGTAGCTGGGATTTGAGGAGTAGCTGGAAAGAATCATTGCCTATAGAGCAACTGGGTTTGTGGGGGAGCTGAAGCCAGGCAGGAATTTTGGGGGATCACCTGAGGGTATGTGGAGGAGCCAGAGAAAACAGTCTGAAGAGAAGTCAATAGTAGCATAAGAATGATTGGATCCTGTGAAGAAGAAGCTGGAGTTGGTGGAGGATGGGCAAGGGAGGAACTGGACTTTAGGGGAATTGCTACTGTTCAGAATAGAGCTGGAGAAAGAGGCTAAAAGTATGAGGAAGTCATTGTGGTCAGGAATATCTAGAGAGAAGGAAGTTAGGGAGTAGCTGGGGTCATGAGGATAAGCTAGGGCCTAAGGGGAAGTTATGGTTCTATGGGGATCTAAATTTTCCTGGGTGCACCTGGGATTGGTGAGAGTTTTAGGGAGAAGCAGAAGATATAGGGAGTTGTCATTGGAGTTGCTGAGATTTGAGAGAGAGAGAGAGATCATCCTTGGGAAAGGACCTGGATAATTTGTGGTGTGGGGAGTAGCTGAGATCAGGGAGGAGCAGACCTGGAGAAGACGTGTATAGAGGTTCATCTTGTATCTGGAGAGGAACTGAGATATAACAAAGATCAGTTGTGATCTGGGAGGGGCGAGAGTATGAGGAGAAGCTGAAGCTCATGGAATAGCTGCATTGGGTGAAGGAGTAGCTGAGATGGCAAGAACCTGGATCTGGGGCCTGGGGAGGATCTCAACTCTGGAGAGAATCTGGATTGTGTACAGAGCTGAAGCCAAGGGGTATCCCAATTCAGAGGGTTCCTGGAGAGTGTGATGGAGGTTTGAGGAACACCTGGATTCCAGGAGGAGCTGAGGCCTGGAGAGTATCTGGCTTGGGGAATGCCTTGGGGGAACTTCTGGCCTCAGCAGTAGCTGAGGCCTGGGAGAACCTGCCTTCCACGTGGAGTTGGGGTCTGGATAGAATCTGGATTCAGAGAGCAAGAGGAGGGAGTCTTGAGTCCTGGGGAGTATCTGGACTCTGTCACAGCAAGGAGCTAGAGGGAGCTTCTAGACTCTGCCAGAGCTGAGAACTAGGGGGAGCATCTGGACCCTGCCAGAGCTGGGAACTAGGGGGAGCATCTGGACTCGAGGAGGACTTGAGGCCTGTGGGAACACTATGAGTCTTCCAGGAACAAGGGTTTGAGGATGATCTAGTTTCTGGGAAGAACTGAGGGGTATTTGGACATGGGGAGGAACTGAAAGAAGTTTCTATGGCTTGGAGGAGTCTGGAAGGAGTAGCTTGGGCTTGTAGAGAATCTGAAAGGAGTAACTGAGGCTTGGGGAGTATCTGGGCTTAATAAATTTCTGGAGGAAGTTGATAAAGCTTAGGAGTATCTGGGGGGAATACCCGGGAATCAAGGAATATCTGGAGGGAATAGCTGGGACTTGAGGAGCATCTGGAGGGAATAGCTGCAGCCTGAGGAGTATCTGGGGGGAAAAGCTGGGACTGAGGAGTATCTGGGGGAAACAGCTGGGACTGAGGAGTATCTGGAGGGGAATCGCTGGGACTGAGGAGTATCTGGGGGAAATAGCTGGGACTGAGGAGTGTCTGGAGGGGAATAGCTGGGACTGAGGAGTATCCGGGGAAATAGCTGGGACTGAGGAGTATCTGGGGGGAATAGCTGAGACTGAGGAGTATCTGGAGGGGAATCGCTGGGACTGAGGAGTATCTGGGGGAAATAGTTGGGACTGAGGAGTATCTGGAGGGGAATAGCTGGGACTGAGGAGTATCTGGAGGGGAATCGCTGGGACTGGGGAGTATCTGGAGGGAAATAGCTGAGACTGAGGAGTATCTGGGGAAATAGCTGGGACTGAGGAGTACCTGGAGGGGAATAGCTGGGACTGAGGAGTATCTGGGGGGAATAGCTGGGACCTGAGGAGCATCTGGAGGGAATAACTGCAGCCTGAGGAGTATCTGGGGGGAATAGCTGGGACTGAGGAGTATCTGGGGGAAACAGCTGGGACTGAGGAGTATCTGGAGGGGAATAGCTGGGACTGAGGAGTATCTGTGGAAATAGCTGGGACTGAGGAGTATCTGGAGGGGAATAGCTGGGACTGAGGAGTATCTGGGGAAATAGCTGGGACTGAGGAGTATCTGGAGGGGAATAGCTGGGACTGAGGAGTATCTGTGGAAATAGCTGGGACTGAGGAGTATCTGGAGGGGAATAGCTGGGACTGAGGAGTATCTGGGGAAATAGCTGGGACTGAGGAGTATCTGGGGGGAATAGCTGGGACTGAGAAGTATCTGGGGGAAATAGCTGGATCCCCGAGGAGTATCTGGGAGGAATGGCTCAAGCCAGAGAAGTATCTGGAGGGACTAGCAGAGACTGAGGCATATCTGAAGGGAATTACTGGGGCCCAAGGAGTATCTGGAGGGAATAGCTGGGACCCAAGTATTTGGAGGGAATAACTGGAGTCCAAGGAGTATCTGGGGGGAAATAGCTGGGGCCCAAGGAGTATCTGAGGGGAATAGCTGGGACCCTGAGGAGTATCTGGGAGGAATAACTTGGATCCCGAGGAGTATCTGGGGGAAATAGCTGGGTCCCCAAGGAGTATCTGGGAGAAATAGCTGGGTCCTCAAGGATTATCTGGGAAGAATAGCTGGGATCCTGAGGAATATCTGGGGGGAATAGCTGGGTCCCCAAGAAGTATCTGGCGGGGGGATAGCTGGGATCCCGAGGAGTATCTGGGAGGAATAACTTGGACCCCAAGGAGTATCTGGGAGAATTACCTGGGGCCCAAGGAGTATCTGAGAGGAACAGCTGGGTCCTCAAGGATTATCGGGGGGAATAGCTGGGATCCTGAGGAATATCTGGGGGGAATAGCTGGGTCCCCAAGAAGTATCTGGAGGGGATAGCTGGGATCCCGAGGAGTATCTGGGAGGGATAACTTGGACCTCAAGGAGTATCTGGGAGAATTAGCTGGGGCCCAAGGAGTATCTGAGAGGAACAGCTGGGTCCTCAATGATTATCTGGGGGGAATAGCTGGGATCCTGAGGAGTATCTGGGGGGGCGGATAGCTGGGTCCCCAAGAAGTATCTGGAGGGGATAGCTGGGATCCCGAGGAGTATCTGGGAGGAATAGCTGGAGCCCAAGGAGTATCTGGAGGGAATAGCAGGAACCAAGGAGTATCTGGAGGGAATAGCAGGAACCGAGGAGTATCTGGAGGGAATAGCAGGAACCGAGGAGTATCTGGAGGATATAGCAGGAACCGAGGAGTATCTGGAGGGAATAGCTGGGTCCGAAGGAGTATCTGGAGGGAATAGCTGGGGCCCAAGGAGTATCTGGAGGGAATAGCTGTGGCCCAAGGTGTATCTGGAGGGAATAGCTGGGGCCCAAGGAGTATCTGGAGGGAATAGCTGGGGCCCAAGGAGTATCTGGGGGGAATAGCTGCGGCCCAAGGAGTATCTGGAGGGAATAGCTGGGGCCCAAGGAGTATCTGGAGGGAATAGCTAGGAACTTGAGGCGTATCTGAAGGGAATAGCTGGGGTTCAAGGGGTACCTGAGGGGAATAGCTGGGAACCTGAGGAGTATCTGGGGGGTACAGCTAGGAACCTGGGGAGTGTCTCTGCAGGGAGCAGCTGTGGTGTAAGGAGCACCTTGGGGGCTGGCCCTTTGTGGAAGGGCATCTGTGGCCCAGTTCTATCCAGTTCCCCTGCCCACCCCTCCTGCCCTGCGCCACAGGGGACACGCTGATCGACGGCGGGGAGCATTACTGGGAGGTGCGCTACGAGCCGGACAGCAAGGCGTTCGGCGTGGGCGTGGCCTACCGCAGCCTGGGCCGCTTCGAGCAACTGGGCAAGACGGCCGCCTCCTGGTGCCTGCACGTCAACAATTGGCTGCAGGTCAGCTTCACGGCCAAGCACGCCAACAAGGTCAAGGTGCTGGACGCCCCCGTGCCCGACTGCCTGGGTGTGCACTGTGACTTCCACCAAGGTGACCCCAAGCCCCAGCTGCCGTCTCTGGCTGCCCCTGCCTGAGTCCCCTCCGTCTGCCCCCATCCCACTTCTGACCGGTCCCACTGTCACTCTGCCCCCCGACCCCAGGCCTCCTGTCCTTCTACAATGCCCGCACCAAACAAGTGCTGCACACTTTCAAGACCAGGTTCACACAGCCGCTGCTGCCTGCTTTCACGGTGAGCTGCCCTCCGCGGCCCAGGGGGAGGAGAGGGTGGTGCTGGGCGCTGGGGTTTGAAGCTGAGCCCCTCCCCCCTCCCCCCGCTGTCCCTCAGGTATGGTGTGGCAGCTTCCAGGTGACGACAGGCCTGCAGGTCCCCAGTGCTGTGCGCTGCCTGCAAAAGCGAGGCAGTGCTACCAGCAGCTCCAACACCAGCCTCACCTAGGCCCCCAGGCACCCACCCAGCTGGGGTGTTTTTGGGGGAGTCGCCGCCAAGCCCAGGCTGCTGGAGCCAGGCACCCTCCTCTGTCACTTGCTGCTTGGAGCCTTAACTCCAGATGGGGGGGTCACCAAGAGGGAGTGGGCACCCTGGCGGGCCCTCTCCCCACCTCACCTCTTAATAAAGGTCAGACACTGGCCAGGCGAGGCCGCGGTGCTGGTTCTTTGGGCCTGGGTGTGGCACCGGGACCTCATCCTTCCCAGCTGTAAAATGGGCTTTTCTCACAGAATATGGTGGTAGATTTCACTGAGCTGAGGGTCACTGGGAGTAAATGGGGCCATCCGTAGGCAGACATCTGACGGACCCCTCGTCCCCTAATCCCCCAAGCCAAGCCAGACACATGGGTCCTGGGGTCAGAGTTTTAATCCTGGGAAAAAGAATCTGGCCGCTGGGCCATGCCCTGGGACTAGCCCGCTGGTCCCTGGTGTGTCCGAATCAGTGCTCCAGTGCCCGCCTCTTCTCCAGCTTCTTCTGTAGCTCTGCCGTCATGTCTGCCAGCCCTGGGGGTTCAGGACCAGGAGCTGCAGCTGGCTCAGGGATCCCCAGTCCATGCCCACCGCCCTGACAGCCACCCAGGACCAGCTACAGATTTGCAGGGCCCCGTGCAACAGGACAGTGTGCTCGAAGGCATTAAGAATTTCAAGACAGAGACAGCAGAACCTTAAAAGACAGGGCGCTTCGGAGTGTGGGGACTTGTGTGACTGTACGGTCACACACCTGGGAAGCCCGCCCCGCACTGACCCCGCAGACCCCTTACCGGCTGTGGGGAAGAGAGGCTGGGCTGAACTGACTGGCAGCTTCCTGCCCAAGCCACCATTAAAGACTTTGGGCTCTGGAAGAGAAGACAGATGAGGCCAGGTGTGGTGGCTCACGCCGGTAATCCCAGCACTTTGGGAGGCTGAGGTGGGTGGATCACTTGAGGTCAGGAGTTCGAGACCAGCCTGGGCAACATGGTGAAACCCCTTCTCTACTAAAAATACAAAAATTAGATGGACGTGGTGGCAGGTGCCTGTAATCCCAGCTACTTGGGAGGCTGAGGCAGGAGAATCACTTGAACCCGGCAGACAGAGGTTGCAGTGAGCTGAGATCGCGCCACTGCCTGGGCAACAGAGTGAGACTCCATCTCAAAACAAAAAACAACAATAAAGACAGATGAGCTGGGTGCGGTGGCTCACGCCTGTAATCCCAGCACTTTGGGAGGCCGAGGTGGGCGGATCACGAGGTCAGGAGATCAAGACCATCCTGGCTAACATGGTGAAACCCCGTCTCTACTAAAAATACAAAAAAAAAAATTAGCTGGGCATGGTGGCGGGCACCTGTAGTCCCAGCTACTGGAGAGGCTGAGGCAGGAGAATGGCGTGAACCCAGGAGGCGGAGCTTGCAGTGAGCCAAGGTTGTGCCACTGCACTCCAGCCTGGGCGACAGAGTGAGACTGTCTCAAAAAAAAAAAAAAAAGTCAGATGAGGGCTGAGGCTGGCCTGCCATCAGGTGAGGGTGGGATATGGGGGGGACCCCAACCTGGCTTGGGTCCAACGGGTGGCTTTGGAAGCTTGGCAGGAGGCTTTGGCAACTTCTTTGGCTTCAGGATGACTGGCCAACTAGAGGAAGCCACTGCGTGGACAAAAGTGTAACGTGTCACATCAGCTGTTAACCTGTTTCCCCAACCCCCAGCTCTCAGCAGCTCTGTTCCCCACCCACCATCTTGGTTCTCATAGTCAACAGCTGGGCCATCTCCAATGGGGGTCACGTAGTTCTCTTCCTGGTTCGGTAGTGGGGGCAGTGGGGGCAGCTTGTCCTGGCTAGACGCAGGTGACAGCGGCTTGGGGCCACCTGTGCAGGGTGCAGGACCTGATGGGGAAACGTGGTCACTGTCAAGACCCATGTCATACAGGGACACCTTGCAGGTTGGCGGGGGGGTCTGTGTGCATGCCTGGAGACAGGCATGTGTCCCTGTGTGTCTGTGTGTGTGCCCATGTATAAGTCTGTGTCTGGGCCGGGCGCGGTGGCTCACGCCTGTAATCCCAGCACTTTGGGAGGCCAGGGTGGGCGGATCACCTGAGGTCAGGGGTTCAAGACCAGCCTGGCCAATATGGTGAAACCCCGTCTCTACTAAAAATACAAAAATTAGCTTGGCGTGGTGGCAGGCTCCTGTAATCGCAGCTACTCGGGGCTGAGGCAGGAGAATCGCTTGAACCTGGGAGGGAGAGGTTGCAGTGAGCCGAGATTGCGCCACTGCACTCCAGCCTGGGTGACAGAGCAAGACTCCATCTCAAAAAAAAAAAAAAGTCTTTGTGTGGCATACACGTGTACACTAATTGAATCTAGATAAGTTAAAGTGCAACGTTTGTACACACACACCTGTGGTGTGTATACGTGTGTGACTGCACGCCTGCTGAGGTGGCTGCTTTAGTCCTTGTCTACATGAGTGCGTTTTGCCCGTGTATCTACACGTGTCCGAGTTTGTGCCGGTGCACGGACGTATCTGCATTTATGTGTACACATGTGATTGTGGCATGACACAGGTGTATCTGTGCTACATAGCATTTGTATGTGACTGGAATTGGGGCACACGTGTATTTATGCATGTGTGATCTGTTGTGCCCGCACAAGTGTGTGTCACCTTCTGGCTAGGCAGGTGGCCACAGTTGCATGGATCATGCATGTGTAATGTGTGTGTGGATGTGGCACTTGGGGGTCCTTGCATACGCCCAGACCAGGGAAGACCAGACAACCCACGCTACATTCCTTTCTAGTGTGTTCTCTGCCTCCTCTTCCCACTCCATAAACAGGACCGATTTCCACCTCTTTCCCAACACCCACCCGGATTCTCGGTCCCTGTGGGGCTACTGCTTGTCCGGGTGTACCCTCTGACCCCTCAATGCCCATTTCTACCTAAGGAGATCCTTTGGGACCATCTGCAAAGACCCACTCTTCTGGGAAGCTTTCCCTGCTCTGCCCCCATCTTCTCCCGAACTCTAGGCGCCTCCCCCGAGCCCAGGTTTTTCCTCCACCCCAAATTCAACCCTACAGGATGAGAGTGTCTGTGTTTAGCTCTGTCCCAAGCTGGGACCCCCGCCCCCTCCCCCACACACACACCCTGACGGCAGGGTCTGAGTCATTTCTGTCCCTGCAACTTTGGGAACATCAGATGCAGGAGGTGCAGCCACCAAACTGACTGAGGGGGCGTGGCTGAATGCGGGGTCCTCGATCCCTCCCACCTCGGCCCGCGGGAAGGGGGCGTCACCTGGGCCCGGAGCGGAGGGCGCCACCCACACATTCTCGCCATTCTCCTTATCGGCTTCCACGTAGCCTGGAACAGAGAGGGCGGCCTGGAGGAAGCGCGGCGGCCAGGGGCGGCCCGGTCCGTCCGAGCGGGGGCGGGAGAGGTGAGCACTGGGCCCCCGAACTCCCCGAAGGGGCACCCACCTAGCACCTTCTCGTAGTCCTCGTCTAACAGGAATGGCACCAGCGCCTTTTTGGTATGCGACACGAAATAGTTGACCACGGCGTCCAGGGAGGTGCAAGAGAACTGGGGGCAGATGGGGGAGCGGTCAGGCTGCTGGAGAAGGGACGCGGACCCCACAAAGTCACTTCTAGGGACTCTGGCCCAACGCTCACCGGCTGTTCCACATCGATCACGTACTTGGGGCCCTCCCGCTTCACCTTGTAATGCCGGACCACGTGCGTCCTGCACCAGGAGAAAGCGAGTGAGTGGCTCAGCCCAGGCTCCCACACCGCCCCTCAGGGAAGGCCCCGCCCCAACTCCAGGCTCCGCCTCCAATAGAAACAGGTCCATACTGGCTCCGCCCCCACAGAAGGCCCCGCCACTGACTGGTTCCACCCCATAAAGGACCTAAGCCCCGTTGACCTCCCGGAGCACTGACTGCCCGATCCCAGCACTGCTCCCAGCGGGGACCAGGCCCGACCGACCCACCCCCACAGAAGACCCCACCTCTAGTCTTGGCACCACCTCCAGCGAGGGACCAGGCCAGACTGACAACACCCTAGGAAAGGTCCGCCCCTAATTCTGGCACCGCGCCTAGGGAGAACCAGGCCCTAAAGACCCCGCCCCAGGTAGGCCCCGCCCCCTGTAATGGCTCCACCCCCAGGCACCGACTCTACCTTCTACATCGCCTTGCCCAACCCTGGACTGGGCTTGAGAATTTGGCATAAGGCTCTGACTTCGCCCCCAGGGCTGGCTCCGCCTCCATAGCCCTACTCAACTTCCAAAAAGGATCACGGCCATGACTCCCCCCCGTAGATCCTGACGCTGCCCAAAGAGCCCATTCCCATCCCTGGATTTGACTTCATCCCCTCCAGTGGCCCAGACCTGGCCCCTGCGTACCTGACGTTCCGGAGGGGCCGATCCTAACCTAGGAGTCTGACTCCACCTACAGGGAGTCCCAGCTCCTAACCCAAGACCTGGCTCTTCCTGCAAAGGAGTCGGCCTGGGCTCTACCTTCTTCCCTAGGCATTAACCCCATACCTGGGGCAAGGCCAGCCTCAGGATCCCACGACCCCGGAGCTCTGATCCCGCCCCCAGCCCTCCCTGCCCAGCTCTGACTCCGCCCCCATGCTCCCCTGCCTAGCATTGACTCCACCCCTCCCCCAGCCCGCCCACCCCAGCTCTGACTCCGCCCCAACACGCCCAGCGTAGCTCTGATTCCGCCACCAGTGTACTCTGCTCAGCTCTGACTCCACCCGCCCCAGCTCGCCCAGCCCAGCTCTGACTCCTCCCCCAATCCGCCCAGCCCAGCTCTGACTCCTCCCCCAATCCGCCCACCTCAGCTCTGACTCCTCCCCCAATCCGCCCAGCTCAGCTCTGACTCCGTCCCCAGACGCCCGTCTCGGCTCTGGCTCCGTCCCCTGGCCTACCCACTAGCGGGTCGGACTCCGCCCCTGCTTCTGACCACGCCCCCGCGCCCACCCTCTTCCCACCCTCCTCCCACCCAGGGCTCTCCAGACGCGCATGCGCACCCGTTGTGCATCTGCCGCGTGGTGACCGACACGCCGTCGGCGCCGTCCCCGCTGGGCCGCAGCAGCAGGTTCCCGCACTCGGGGTAGCGCTCCAGGAGCAGTTGTGCCTCCAGCCGGCTCACCTTCAGGAAGCACCTGTGGCGGGCCGCGTCACCCACTCGGGACCCCGGAGACCAAGTCCGCTCTTCTGCACGTAAACCCTGCCTCCTCTGAGACCCAGCCCCATCCCCATCCCCTAGGCCCAGGAGACCCTGCCCTGCTCTCCAGACCCAGGCCCCTCCCACGGAGACCCAGTCCGGCCTTCCAGGCTCCTAGTTTTTGTGGGGTTTTTTGTTTTTTTTTTGAGACAGGGTTTCGCTCTTGTTGCCCAGGCTGGAGTGCAATGGCGCTATCTCGGCTCACCGCAACCTCCGCCTCCCGGGTTCAAGCGATTCCCCTTCCTCACAGGCCCGGCTAATTTTTGTATTTTTAGTAGAGACGGGATTTCTCCATGTTGGTCAGGCTGGTCTCAAACTCCCTACCTCAGGTGATCCGCCCGCCTCGGCTTCCCAAGGTGCTGGGATTACAGGCGTGAGCCACTGCATCTGGCCGGGTTTTTTGGTTTTTTTTTTCTTTAGAGATGGGGTCTCGCTATGTTGCCCAGGATGGGTCTCGAACTGGGTAAAAGCAATCCTCCCGCCTCGACCTCCCAAAACGCTGAGATGACAGGCGCGAGCCACCGCGGCCAGCCAGGCTCTTAATTCTGGCCCCGGAGATGCAGCTCCAACCCCTAGGGAGACCCAGCCCTGCCTCGTAGGCACCTAGAGCCTCCCCTGGAGATCCTGTCCCGCCCTCCAAACACCTAGACCTTACCCTGGAGGCCCTGCCCGCCTCCCTGATCACCAAGAACCGCCCACAAAGACGATGCTCCGCCCCCCATCCAGGCCCCGCCTCTAGGGTCCCGGTTACCCTCTCCGACAAATAACTCCTCCCCGGAGACGAAGCATCACCTTCTAGACACCTAGACTGACCACCCCCAGACCCTGTCCCTACTCCTCAGGCCTAGGCCCCGCCACTGAAGACCTTACCAGTCCTCTAGGCCCCTAGACCCGCTCCTGGAGATCCTGCCCTGCCTCCCCAGCATGGGCCATAACTCCCCCTCCCCCTCCCCCACCCCCAGCCCCAAGGCAGTCCTCATGCAAAATCCAAGACCCAACTCCAGGGGACCCAACTCACCGCCCACCCTCAGCCACACAACCACCTCCCGTCCCCATCCTGCAGCCCCTCGGGACAGGCGGGACACTCACGAGGGTGTCTCCAGTGCACGGCGCGCCTCCTCTTTGGCCAAGACTTCAGACATCATGTATAGGTGCCCAGGAAGCAGGGTCAAGTCGGTCGGGACACGGAGCTGAGGGGCGATCGAGGGACAGTGACTGCACCTGGCCAGCCGGGAATGGACGGCTGTGCCCAAGTCACAGAGTGGCAAATTGAGGCCAGAGCTCAGAGCAATGAACTCTGACACCTTAGAGGGCAAAGAGGGCTTCGAGAGGGTTGCAGAGGAGTGTTGCATGAGAGTAGATGCTGGGGCCGGGCGCGGTGGCTCACGCCTGTAATCCCAGCACTTTGGGAGGCCGAGGCGGGCGGATCACCTAAGGTCAGGAGTTCGAGACCAACCTGGGCAACATGGCGAAACCCCGTTTGTACTAAAAATACAAAAAATTAGCCGGGCGTGGTGGCAGACACCTGTAATCCCAGCTACTCGGGAGGCTGGGGCAGGAGAATCACTTGAACCTGGGAAGGCGGAGGCTGCAGTAAGCCAAGATCACGCCATTGCACTCCAGCCTGGGTGACAGAGTGAGACTCCGTTCCCCGCTCCCCAACCCCACCAAAAAAAAAAAAAAAAGTAGATGCTGGAATCTAGGGTCTCAAACTAAAGTCTGCAGGGGCCAGGCAGGTCTCAAACTCAATGGCCTGCCAGGGTGAGGTAGGAAACAGGGAAATCAGAGGGAAATCAGGAAGGTAGACTAAAATTCCCGGTTGATAAATGATGTCAGCTAATTTTTTTTTTTTTTTTTTTTTTGAGATGGAGTTTAGTTCTGTCACCAAGCTGGAGTGCAGTGGCGCGATCTTGGCTCACTGCAACCTCCGACTCCCGGGTTCAAGCCATTCTCCTGCCTCAGCCTCCCGAGTAGCTGGAATTACAGGCTCCCGCCACCACGCCCAGCTGATTTTTGTATTTTTAGTAGAGACAGGGTTTCACCGTGTTGGCCAGGATGGTCTTGATCTCCTGACCTCATGATCTGCCAGCCTCGGCCTCCCAAAGTGCTGGGATTACAGGCGTGAGCCACCACGCCTGGCCAATGTCAGCTAATTTTTAAAAACTTAGCACTCTGTGGCCAGGCATGGTGGCTCACATCTATAATCCTATCACTTTGGGAGGCCAAGGAGGGTGGATTGCTTGAGCACGGAAGTTGGAGACCAGCCCGGGCAACATAGTGAGACCCTGCTCTACAAAAAAATTTTTAAATTAGTCAGATGTGGTAGTGTGTGTCTGTATCCCAGCTACTTGGGAGGCTGAGGCAGGAGGACTGCTTGAGCCTGGGAGTTGGAGGCTGCAGTGAGCTATGATCACACCACTGCACTCCAGCCTGGGCAACAGAGAGAGACCTTGTCTCAAAAAAATAAAATAAGAAATACGGTTGGTCGCTGTGGCTCACGCCTGTAATCCCAGCACTTTGAGTGGCCAAGGCGGGCAGATGACTCAAGGTCAGTTCAAGACCAGCCTGGCCAACAGGGTGAAACCCCATGTATACTAAAAATACAAAAATTAGCCAGGCGTGGTGGCGGACGCCTGTAATCCCAGCTACTCGGGAGGCTGAGTCACAAGAATTGCTTGAACCGGGGAGGCAGAGGTTGCAGTGAGCTGAGAACGTGCCATTGCACTCCAGCCTGGGCAACAGAGTGAGACTCTGTCTCAAAAAAATAAAACAAAATTTTGGCCGGGCCCGGTGGCTCACGCCTGTAATCCCAGCACTTTGGGAGGCTGAGGCGGGTGGATCACGAGTTCAGGAGACAGAGACCATCCTGGCTAACACAGTGAAACCCCGTCTCTACTAAAATACAAAAAAATTAGCCGGGCGTGGTGGCGGGCTTCTGTAATCCCAGCTACTCCGGAGGCTGAGGCACGAGAATGGCGTGAACCCGGGAGGCGGAGCTTGCAGTGAGCCGAGATCGCACCACTGCACTCCAGCCTGGGCGACAGAGCGAGACTCCGTCTCAAAAAAAGAAAAAAAGAAAGAAAGAAAAAGGAGGCTTTTTGAGGAGATCTGGAGAATGGGAGAGAGGGCGCAGAGAGCCACTACTCTTACCTCCACCACCGTTAAGATGAAGCCTTTCCACATTTCCCGACACTCCAAGGTCTCTACCTGGGGAACAAAAGAAAGGAAAGAATCCAAGTCAGTGAGCCTCAGTCTACTCATCAATGAAATTGGACTAGGGAAGAGTCCCTGCTTCAAAGGGCCGTTTTCTTTTTTCTTTTTCTTCTTTTTTTTTTTTTTTTTTTTTTTTTTGAGATGGAGTCTCATTCTTCTGTCGCCCAGGCTAGAGTACAGTGGCGCGATCTCAGCTCACTGCAACCTCCACCTCCCAGGTTCAAGCGATTCTCCTGCCTCAGCCTCCTGAGTAGCTGGGACTACAGGCATGCACCACCTCGCCCAGCTTTTTTTTTTTTCTCTTAGACATGAGGGTCTCGCTTTGTTGCCAGGCTGGTCTTGAACTCCTGGGCCCAAGCTATCCTTCTGCCTTGGCGTCCCAAAGTGCTCAGATTACAGGCATGAGCCACCATGCCTGGCTGATATTATGATTTTTGATGTTATTATATCAACATTTGAAAAACATAGATCAGGCTGGATGCAGTGGCTCACTCACGCCTGTAATCCCAGCACTTTGGGAGGTCGAGGCGGGAGGATCACTTGAGCCTAGGGGTTCAAGACCAGACTGGGTAACATAGCGAGCCCCCTGTCTCTACAAAAAAATAAAATATTAGCCAGGCATAGTGGCATGTGCTTGGCTGAGGTAGGAGGATCGATCGCTTGAGCCCGGGAGGTCGAGGCTGCAGTGAGCTATGATCTCACTACTGCACTCCAGCCTGGGCGACGAGCAAGACCCTGTCTCAAAATAAAATAATAAATAAAATAAAATAATAGAAAAACATAGATCAGTTCCCAGACCTCTCATGCTCTAAACCCTCCCATAGGCCAGCCACCGTGACTCATGCCTGTAATCCCAGCACTTTGGGAGGCCGAGGTGGGTGGATCACTTGAGGTCAGGAGTTCGAGACCAGCCTGGCCAACATGGTGAAACCCTGTCTCTACCAAAAATACAAAAATTAGCTGTGCGTGGTGGCACACGCCTGTAATCCCAGCTACTCGGGAGGCTGAGGCAGGAGAATCACTTAAACCTGGGAGGCAGAGGTTGTAGTGAGCCAAGATTGCACTACTGCACTCCAGCCTGGGTGATAAGAGCGAAACTCAAAAAATAAAAATAAAAAATAAACCCTCGGCTGGACACGGTGGCTCACGCCTATAATTCCAGCAGTTTGGGAAGCCGAGGTGGGTGGATCACCTGAGGTGAGGAGTTCCAGGCCAGCATGGCCAACATGGTGAAACCCCATCTCTACTAAAGATTCAAAAAATTAGCCAGGAGTGGTTGCGTGCGCCTGTAATCCCAGCTACTTGGGAGGCTGAGGCAGGAGAATCACTTGAACCTGGGAGGTGGAGGTTGCAGTGAGCCAAGATCGTGCCATTGCACTCCAGCCTGGGTGACAGGGCGAGACTTGGTCTCAAAAAAAAAGTAATAAAATAAAATAAAATAAACCCTCCCATAGCACCCAGCTCCTTTGGGGTCAAGACCCAAGTCTTACCCAGGGCCCACAGGGCCCTGTACTACCTGCCCCTTCGTGGTTGGCACAATGGAGGGTAGGAGCATTTGAGCATCTTCTGCAAGCACCGCCCCTCTGCACCCCTCCAGCAAGGGACCTACCTTGAACTTGATCTCCTGATCCCGGAGAATCAGGCTGAAGTGGGTGCCAGGGTCACGTGAGCTTCCCCAGGGAATCTCATCTGTGAGTTTCTCAAATGCTCCCAAGTTGAGCTTCTCCACGTGCTGGGGGCATAGAAGCAGGGGATCTGGGCACCAGTTCCTTGGCCTCCAGGCCCCCTGGATGATGTAGCAGCCACCTTGACCACACCATCTACATTGTCTGCTTGGTCTCTGGGCTCAAGGGAAGGCCTGCTCTGGAGCCTCCATTCCCATCCTTACCTGGAAGTCCCGATTGCTATTGTAGAAATAAATGGTGAGACCCTGCAGGCCTGCCCAGAACTTCTTGTAATCCTAGGGACCAGAAGTGCAGAAAGAAGAGGTGAGCTGGCCAAGCTGAGTGCCTTTCATGTACTCAATCCTGTCTCGGGGCCTTTGCACTGGTTGTGCTCTCTGCCCCACGCTGCCCCCAGATCTTTATTACCTCCTGCCTTGAGTTTCTGATCAAATGTACCTTCTCAGGGAGATCCTCCCCACCCATGGCCCAGCTTCTGGGTGTCTGTTTTCGTCTGAGAAAGGACCAGACGGAACCTCGATGTGATGAGGGATTCAGAGCAACCCCCGCCAATCTATAGAGATGGGTGCTCTAGGGGTAAGTTAACTAACTGGTTTAATGGTATCCCATTCATCTTTCATCATCCAGCTACCCACTAGCCATCTATCTATCATCCATCTGTCCATCCGCCCACCCACCCATTCATCCATCCACCTACCATTGACCCATCCATTCACCCATTCATCCATCCATCCATCTGCCCACCATCCATCCACCAATCCGTCCACCCACCCACCCATCCACACATCCATCCATCCAGTTATTCATCCACCCACCCACCCATTCATCCATCCACCTACCATTTACCCATCCATTCATCCATTCATCTATCCATCCACCCACTCATCCATCCGTCCATCACCCCCATCCATCCATCTATCCATCATGGAGCCATTCATCATCCATCCATCCAGTCATTCATCAATACCTACATCACCCACCATCCATCCAGTCATCCATCCACCCACACATCCATCTGTCCACCCATCCATCCATCCCTCCATCATCCATCCACTCATCCATCCACCCACTCATCCATCCATCCACTCATCTATCAATGCATCCCTCCATCCATCCACCTACTCATCCATCCATCCACCCATCCATCCATCCCTCCATAATCCATCCATCCATCCACTCACCGTCCATCATCCATCCACCCACTCATCCATCCACCCACTCATCCATCCACCCACTCATCAATCCATCCACCCATCCATCCACCTATCCATCCATCCCTCCATCATCCACCCACCATCTATCATCCATCCACCCACTCATCCATCCACCCACTCATCCATCCATCCATCCATACATCCATCCACTCATCTATCAATGCATCCCTCCATCATCCATCCACCTACTCATCCATCCATCCCTCATCCATCCATCATCCATCCATCCACTCATCCCTCCATCATCCATCCACCTACTCATCCATCCATCATCCATCCATGCATTCATCCATTCACCATCCACCCACCCACGCATCTTCCCGTTCATCCATCCATACATCCCTCCATCGTGCATCCACCTATTCATCCATCTATCATTCATCCATGCACTTGTTCATCCATCCATCATCCACCCACCCACCCGTCTGCCCACTCATCCATCCATCCACTCCCCCATCCATCCATCCACCCACTTGTATATGCACTCATCCATCCACCCACACATCCTCTCAGCCACCATCAAGCCCGCATGTATTCACCAAGCCTCCACTCATCCCCCCATCTACCCATCCACCTGTCCATCCGTAGACACAAGCACAGATACACACATGCATTTACCTAACATTTACTGAAGGCTTTTTATGTGCCAGCCCTGCTCCAGGCACTGGGACTAGAGCAATACAGGATTAAACACTGTATTGCTTCATTATGTACCCACGATGTGCTGTTGGGCAAGTTATTTGAGCTGTCTTTGTCTGTTTCCCCAGCTGTAAAATGGTGATAATAATGGTGCCAACTCTGGAGGATCTCATGAGAATTAGGTGACTTTCCACATGGGAAGCACCAGGGCCTGCGTTGAGTCAAGTCCTCAACACGTGAACTGTGACTACAGCCCTAACTCCCTATTTCAGAAGACAGAAAACTAAGGCTCAAAGATTAAGTCACTTGCATAAGGCCTGGGAGTAAGGAAAGTGTGGAGCCGGGATTAGAACCTGGGTCTTCTTAATTCGGGCCCATGATCTTTTTTGTTTTGTTTTGTTTTGTTTTTAAGAGACAGAGTCTTGCTCTGTCGCCCAGGCTGGAGTGCAGTGGTGCGATCTCGGCTCACTGCAACCTCCACCTCCCAGTTCGAGCCATTCTCCTGCCTCAGCTTCTCAAGTAGCTGGGATTACAAGTGCGCACCACCACATCCAGCTAATTTTTGTATTTTTTAGTAGAGGTGGGGTTTCACTATATGTTGGCCAGGGTGTTCTCGAACTCCTGACCTCAAGTGATCCGCCGGCCTCGCCCTCCCAAAGTGTTGGGATTACAGGCGTGAGCCACTGCACACTGCCTTTTTTTTTTTTTTTTTTTTTTGAGACAGAGTCTCACTCTGTCACCTAGGCTGAAATGCGGTGGCACCATCTCAGCTCACTGCAACCCCCCCGCCCCAGTTCAAGCAATTCTCCTGCCTCAGCCTCCCGAGTAGCTGGGATTACAGGTGCACACCACCACGCCCAGCTATTTTTATTTTTAGTAGAGATGGGGTTTCATCATGTGGCCAGGCTGGTCTTGAACTCCTGACCTCAAGTGATCCTCCCACCTCGGCCTCCCAAAGTGTTGGGTTACAGGCGTGAGCCACCACGCCCGGCCCCCATTATCTTTCTTTTCTTTTTTTTTTCTTTTTGTTTTTGAGAGCAGTCTCGCTCTTGTCCCCCAGGTTTGAGTGCAATGGCTTGATCTTGACTCACTGCAAACTTCGCCTCTCAGGCTCAAATGATTCTCCTGCCTCTGCCTCCCAAGTAGCTGGGATTAAGGCGCCTGGCACCATACCCAGCTAATTTTTGTATTTTTTAGTAGAGACGAGGTTTCACCATATTGGCCAGGTTGGTCTTGAACTCCTGACCTCAGGTGATCCGCCTGCCTCGGCCTCCCAAAGTGCTGGGATTACAGGCGTGAGCCACAAGCCCGGCCTCCCCCATTATCTTTCTTAACTGCAGTGATCTACTGGCTCTAAAGGGTTTGTTGGTTGGGGAGGATTTGGATGTATGGAGGTAGAAGGAAAGTCTACTCCACTACAGGTAAGGGAACCTCAGGGGCAGAGGCGGGGACATGGGCAGGGAGGAGCTGGGGGTGTTTGTTTTGATCTGTATTAGAAAATGAGGCAGTCATGGTGGCTCACACCTCTAATCCCAGCAGTTTGGGAGGCTGAGACAGGAGGATCACTTAAGGCCAGGAGTTTGAGACCAGCCTGGGCAACATAGCAAGACCCCATCTTTTTTTTTTTTTTGAGACGGAGTCTTGCTCTGTTGCCCAGGCTGGAGTGCAGTGGCACGATCTTGGCTCACTGCAACCTCTGCCTCCCAGGTTCAAGTGATTCTCCTGCCTCAGCCTCCAGAGTAGCTGGGATCACAGGCACGCACCACCACGCCCGGCTAATCTTTGTATTTTTAGTAGAGACGGGGTTTCACCATATTGGCCAGGCTGGTCTCAAACTCCTGACTTCAGGTGATCCACCTGCCTCAGCCTCCCTAAGTGCTGGGATTACAGGTGTGACCCACTGCGCCTGGCCAGCAAGACCCCATCTTCAAAAAAAAAAAAAAAAGGCTGGGTGCGGTGGCTCATGCCTGTAATCCCAGCATTTAGAGAGGCCGAGACAGGTGGATCACCTGAGGTCAAGAGTTCAAGACCAGCCGGGCCAACAAAATGAAACACTGTCTTTACTAAAAATACAAAAATTAGGTGTGGTGGTGCGTACCTGTAATCCCAGCTACTCGGGAGGCTGAGGCACGAGAATCGCTTAATCGTTTGAACCTGGGAGGTGGAGGTTGCAGTGAGCCGAGATGGTGCCACTGCACTGCAGCCTGGGTGACAGAGTGAGACTCAGTCTCAAAAATAAATAAATAAAATAAAAGCCAGAAGAGGCAGTGCATGCCTGTGGTCCCAGCTACTCAGGAGGCTGGGGCGGGAGGTTCACTTGAGCCCAGGAGTTTGAGGCTACAGTGAGCCATGATCGTGCCCCTGCACTCTAGCCTGGGTGACAGAGCAACTCTGTCTCTAACAAAAAGAAAGAAAGAAAATGAATATGCGGCATTGGGAAGGAGAGATAGGGCCTCACGGGGAACGGAGGGGCTGGGACTTTATTCTGAGGGAGACATAAGCACACACACACACACACATGCACGCACTGTCCATGGCAACTATCTGTCCTGTGGAATGTGGCCCCCGCTAGCTCTTACTGTCCTCACATGTCACCTGTCCTGGCCTTCGCCCCAGCAGCTGAGGTTCACGGAGTTTTTCCTGGGCTGGGAGCGGGAGGAAGCTCGGGAGTCAGAGGACTCCCCATTTCCTGGAGGAAGTCCCTGATCTTGTTTGTATTCAAGAGAGTGAACGAGAGACAAAAGCAAAGATTGAGACAAAGAGAGAGGGAGACTGAGACAGACATCGGGAGAGACAGACGGGGCCAGGGAGAGAGAAAGAGAAAAAGAAACCAAATTCAAAGACACACGGAGACAGAGATAGACGCACAGAGAGGCAGATGGCCAGAACCCACCCCAGTCCCCCAGCACGTGTCCTGCCCCATCCAGCACCCACCCCGCCCCCCCTTGGCGAGTGGGGAGACAGGGACTCAGAGAGGTGCCGCAGCTCCCCACGGTGGCCCAGCAGGGCCAGCCCCCGCCTCCCCACCTTACCCGGTCACAGGGCCCCTTCTTCTCTAGAAAGCTCTCATAGTAGTGTGAAGGCAGGACACCCTTAGGCTTGGGGACACGGGGTGGCCTCAGGGCAGAGGCCATGACGGAGCCAGGGTCTTCCGCCTGGCCTCTCCTTCCAGTGGGTGCCCCAGCTGGGCCGGGAAGCTGAGAAACAGGTTTCAGGGGAGTTTCCTGTGTCAGCCCGTCAACTCCCTCCCCTGCCAGGGCTGGGCAGAGGCTGATCCCAGCAGGTCCAGTGATCCTAGGGAAATCCCCGCCTCTCCGGTGTGGAACTGAGAACAGAGAGAATGTATAAGTCTACTTGAATGGGAGAATAATCTTCGCTATATCTGCAAAGACAGAGACATGGTCTGTCTCTTTATTTATTTATTTATCTATTTTTCCTATTTTGAGACAGAGTTTCACTCTGTTGCCCAGGCTGGAGTAAAGTGGTATGATCTTGGCTCACTGCGACCTCTGCCTCCCGGGTTCAAGAGACTGCGCTGCCTCCCGGGTTCAGAGACTGAGTCCAAGCTCAGTCTCCTGACTAGCGTGGATTGCAGGTGACCGCCACCACGCCTGGCTAATTTTTGTATTTGTAGTAGAGACGAGGTTTCCCCATGTTGGCCCAGGCTGGTCTCGAACTCCTGACCCCAAGTTTTCTGCCCGCCTCAGCCTCCCAAAGTGCTGAGATTACAGGCATGAGCCACCACACCTGGCCCTTTCTCTTACTTTGATGGACCCTAATGATTACATTGGGCCCACCTGGATAATCCACGCTACTCTCCCTATTTTAAAGTCAGCTGACTAGCAACTTTAATTTCATCTGCAATTTTTCTTTTTTAGACGGTGTCTCATTCTGTTGTCGATGCTGGAGTGCAGTGGCACGATCATAGTTCACTGCAGCCCTGACCTCCCAATCTCAAGCGGTCCTCCTGCCTCAGCCACCCGAAGAGCTGGGACTATAGGTGGGCACCACCACACCCAGCTAATTTATTTTCCTTTTTTAAGGATGAGTTCTCACTATGTTGCCTAGGCTGGAGTACAGTGGGGCGATCATGACTCACTGTAGCCTCGACCTTACAGGCTCAAGTGATCCTCCAGCCTCAGCCTCCAGAGTAGGTGGTACTACAGTTGCATGCCACCACACCTGGCTAATTTTTTTTTTTCTTTTTTTTGAGACAGACTCTCGCTCTGTAGCCCAGGCTGGAGTGCAGTGGCGTGATCTCGGCTCACTGCAAGCTCCGCCTCCCAGGTTCATGCCATTCGCCTGGCTCAGCCTCCCAAGTAGCTGGGATTACAGGTGCCTGCCACCACGCCCAGCTAATTTTTACACTTACTAGAGACAGGTTCTTGCTATGTTGCCCAGGCTGGTCTTTTTTTTTTTTTTTTTTTGAGACAGAGTCTTACTCTGTCACCCAGGCTGGAGTGCAGTGGAGCGATCTCGGCTTACTGCAACCTCTGCCTCCCAGGTTCAAGCAATTCTCCTGCCTCAGCCTCCCGAGTAGCTGGGATTATAGGCACGTGCCACCATGCCCAGCTAATTTGTTTGTATTTTTATTTTAGTAGAGATGGAGTTTCACTGTGTTAGCCAGGATGGTCTTAATCTCCTGACCTTGTGATCCACCTGCCTCGACCTCCCAAAGTGCTGGGATTACAGGCATAAGCCACCGTGCCCGGCCCTCAGGCTAGTCTTGAACTCCTGGGTGCAAGTGATCCTCCAGTCTAGGCCTCCCAAAGTGCTGGGGTTACAGGTGTGTGCCACTGTGCCTGGCGTCTATCTTTAATCTTCAAATCCCTTTGCCACGTATCCTAACGTATTCACAGATTCTGGGAATTAGGGCGTGGATATCTTTAAGAGACCATTATTCTGCCTACCACAGCCTGTTTAATATGGTGGACAATTGATTAATTTTGAATACTGAATCAGTCTTGGGTCCCTGGAGTAAACCCCACTTGTCATGGTGTATAATTCACTTTATATATTGTTAAATTCTACTTTGTAATATTTTGTTAAGGATTTTTGCACGTCTTCATGAGGGATATGGGGTGTAGCTTGCTTTCTTTGTACCGTCTTTATCTGGTTTTGGTATCAGGGTCATAGTTCCATAAAATGAACAGGGAAGTGTCCCCTTCAATTTTCTGGAAGAGATGATGTGAAATTGGTGTTAATTCTTCTTTGAACCTTTGGCAGAATTCCTTAGTGAAACCATCTGGGTCTGGAGATTGCTTTTTTGGGAGTTTTTAAATTACAAATTCAATTTCCTTAGTAGTTACCAGGGCTAGACTTTGTATACATAGCAGAACAGGTGTTCTAGAAATCACAGAAAGGCCGTGGGACTGTGGCAATGTGTTCATCCACTGAACTGTCTGATAAAGTTGATAGTATCAGCTATACTAAGTAAGGTCAGAGAGTTGATTTTTGTTTCGTTTTTTTGTTTGTTTGTTTTTTCAGACAGGGTTTTGCTCCTTTTGCCCAGGCTGGAGTGCAGTGGCATGATTTCGGCTCACTGCAACCTCCGCCTCCCGGGTTCAAGCGATTTTCCTGCCTCAGCCTCTGGAGTAGCTGGGATTACAGGTGCCTGCCACCACCCCCGGCTAATTTTTTTGTTTTTATTAGAGATGGGGTTTCACCATGTTGGTCAGGCTGGTCTTCAGCTTCTGACCTCAAGTGATCCCAAAGTGCTGGGATTACAGGCGTGAGCCACTGTGCCCAGCCAGGGTGGTTAGTTTTTATTGTATTTGTCTAAGGCAATGTGGAGCGACAGAAGGATTTACAGCATGAGAGGAGGGCAGGGTGCGGTGGCTCACGCCTGTAATCCAAACACTTTGGGAGCCCAAGTGGGAAGATTGCTTAAGGCCAGGACTTGGAGACCAGCATGGGCAACATAGTGAGATCCCCTTCTTTTACAAGAAAATTAAAAATTAGCCAGGCATGCTGGTCACGCCTGTTGTCTCAGCTACTCTGGAGGCTGAGGCAAGAGGATCATTTGAGTCCAGGAGGCCAAGGCTGCAGTGAGCCATGATTACACCAATGCACTCCAGCCTGGGAGATAGAGCAAGGCCCTGTCTCGAAAAGAAAAGAAAATAGGCTGGGCGCAGTGGCTCACACCTGTAATCCCAGCACTTTGGGAGGCTGAGGCAGGTGGATCACCTGAGGTTGGGAGTTCGAGACCAGCCTGGCAAACATGGTGAAACCCCTTCTCTACTAAAAATACAAAAATTAGCTGGGTGTGGTGATGTGCATCTGCAGTCCCAGCTAATTGGGAGGCTGAGGCAGGAGAATCGCTTGAACCTGGTAGGCAGAGGTTGTAGCGAGCCAAGATCTTGCCACTACACTCCGGCCTGGGTGACAGAGCGAGACTCCGTCTCAAAAAAAAAAAAAAAAAAAAAAAAAAAAAAAGAAAAAAGAAAAGAAAAGAAAACAAAATAATAATATGGGAGGGAGGTGGTAATAGGTGCATTTTAGAAAGAGCCCTCTGGGGCAATGGTGGAAGACCGACAGGGTGGGGCATGAGTTTGGAGGCCTGAGACTCACTGCGATGGCCAGGATTTGGGTGCAAGAGGCTGGAGGTGTGGCTCAGGGTTTTGGAAGGCAGGGGACGGAAAAAAAGCCAAAGAGAAAGTGCGTAAGGAGTTGGGGAAATAAACTGAGGCCGGTTTGGGCTATGCTGAGTCTGCAGGCCTTGGGGATGCCCGTTGTTGGCTGGACAGTCAGGGTGGGGCCCCTAAAGGGTGCCTGGGCTGGACAACAATAGTTCACATGTACCCAGCTCTTGCTCTATGTCAAGTCTTCTTCCTGAGAACATTCCCGAGCACCCTGGAGAGCCTCCCCCGCACCCCTACTGTCCAGTTCCCACTTCCCGACTGCGGTCTGGGCAAAGCCACCCGCACTTGAGCCCATCCCACGGCGTCCCGGAGCTTTAGGAAGTCCCCATCCCGGACTTTCAACCCTGCCAGGGACTGAGGGAAATCCCAGAGCCTGGGCTCCGGGACGAAGGTCCCAGGACAGGGTCGGGGATGTAGTTGCAGAAACAGGGTAGGGGACAAAGGCCGGGGCTGCACTGATCAGGCGCGCAACGAGCCCGGCCCTGCCTCCTGCTCCGCCCAAGGGTATGGAGGGCCGGACTCGGCTGGCCTTATACCCGGAGCTGATTGGCTGGTGAGTCCAGTCCCTGCCTCTGATGGTTTGCGCTCATAACTAAGGGTTTCTACTGATTGGTTTACATGGACGTCTGCCCATTGGTCAAATCCGAGTTGGTGTAATCAGATAGTTGACACGGATTGGTTGGTGCGGGAATCCAGTAGCTTGCTATCGATTGGTTGAGGGTGAAATAAATGGGACTCTTATCATTGGCTGGCGGGCTCCGCAACGGTCCAATCATGGAATCAGTCGAGGGCCGCCCGGGAGGGTGGGAGTTAATTCTTTAGCGACTGAGGCCGGCTTGGGCTCTTTGGCTCCACCTGTGTCTGCGCGAGGCTGTTCCCTATTGGAGTCCGCATTGTTCCCCTGGACCTGAGTTTCTCCCCTGGTCCTAAAGGCCGAGGCCTCTGAGTTCCTCAAGTGCGGTGACCGCAGGTCTCACCTTCTCCTCTCCTTGCAGCAGGCTGAGCCACTCGCGCACCCGCCCCAGGCTTCCACCTTGCAACCTCTATCCCTGGACAGCGAGGCCTCAGTTTCCCCATTCGCACCAATGAGCTCCCGGTCAACACCCCGTCACGCCTCAGTTTCCCGAATGTTCCCAGAGGGCTGAGTTCCCGATCTCTCTCCCGCGTGGGCATCCCCGAGGCCTCAGTTTCTCCGCCCACCCCAGCGCGCCGAGCCCTTCCCCCGACCCCGGCGACGGCCAATGGTTGGGGCGCCCCTCCCCTCCCCGGGGCGGGGCCGCGTGACGTGCCGGGAAGCCGGAGTCTAGAGCTCCGGGCGCGGGGAGGCGCGGCCATGGCAGGTACGGCGGGCCCAGCGGGGCGGAGGCGCGGGGCGCGGGGCTGCAGGGGCGCGGGGCTGCAGAGCCGTGGGGCGAGCGGCCTCCCTGCAGCCTCTCGCTGTCCGCAGCTCCGGAGCCGCTGTCCCCGGCGGGCGGTGCGGGCGAGGAGGCGCCGGAGGAGGACGAGGACGAAGCGGAGGCCGAGGACCCTGAGCGGCCGAATGCGGGAGCGGGCGGTGGACGCAGTGGCGGCGGCGGCAGTAGCGTCAGCGGAGGAGGCGGCGGCGGCGGGGCCGGGGCGGGGGGCTGCGGCGGGCCCGGGGGCGCGCTCACCAGGCGCGCGGTCACACTGCGGGTGCTCCTCAAAGACGCGCTGCTGGAGCCTGGCGCCGGGGTGCTGTCCATCTACTACCTGGTGAGCACCCCGCCTCCCTCGTCCCATCGCGGCTCGGGCAGGAAGGGGAAACTGAGGCCTGGAGTTCCCTTGCTGCAGGACAAGCTTCAGTGTAGGGAGGGGACACTGAGGCCCGGAGCTCCCTTGCTGAGAGACGAGCCCCGGTGTGGCGAGGGGAAACTGAGGCCCGGGGCTCCGTTGACTGCAGGAAGAGCTCCAGTGTGAGGAGGGGAAACTGAGGCTCGGAGCTCTCTTGGCTGCAGGAAGAGCCCCGACATGAAGAGGGGAGACTGAGGCCCGGAGCTCCCTTGGCGGCAGGAAGAGCCCCGGTGTGAGGAAGGGAGACTGAGGCCTGGAGAGCTCCCTTGCTTTAGGACAAGCCCCAGTGTGGGGAGGGGAAACTGAGGCCCAGAGCTCCTTTCCTGCAGGAGGAGCTCCCGTGGAGGGGACACTGAGGCCCGGAGCTCTTTTTACGGGACAAGCCCCATGTGGAGAGAGGAATCTGAGGCACAGATGGGTCCTTCTGGTGGGGAGGACGTAGATTACCAAACACCCCATCCCACAAAGGAGAAGCTGAGGCTCAGAGAGGAGCCACCACCCGCGCAGGGTCAGATGGGCAACACCCCGGCCTTCCTGTGGTTTCCCAGCCGTGAAATGGAATATTTCCCCACCATGGGAAAATTAGGGGATGGTTAAATGAATAAAGCCCTCAGCAGGCGCCTGCCACATGGTAAGCACTTTATCTGTGGTAGGTATTAGTACTTTTTTTTTTTTTTTTTTTTTGAGACAGAGTCTCGCTTTTTTGCCCAGGCTGGAATGCAGTTGCTCGATCTCGGCTCACTGCAACCTCTGCCTCCCGGTTCAAGCGATTTTCTGCCTCAGCCTCCCGAGTAGCTGGGACTACAGGTATGCGCCACCACGCCTGGCTAATTTTTTTTTTTTGCAGTTTTAGTAGAGACGGGGTTTCACTATATTGGCCAGGCTGGTCTTGAACTCCTGACCTCGTGGTCCGCCTGCCTCAGCTCCCAAAGTGCTGGGATTATAGGCGTGAGCCACCATGCCCGGCCTTTTTTTTTTTTTTTTTTTTTTTTTGAGACAGAGTCTCGCGCTGTTGCCCAGGCTGGAATGCAGTAGCATGATCTCGGCTCACTGCAACCTCTGCCTCCCGGTTCAAGCAATTCTCCTGCCTTAGCCTCTTGAGTAGCTGGGATTACAGGCACCCGCCACCACGCCTGGCTAATTTTTATATTTTTAGTAGAGATGGGGTTTCACCATGTTGGCCAGGCTGGTCTCAAACTCCTGACCTCAGGTGATCCGCCCGCCTCAGCCTCCCAAAGTGCTGGGATTACAGGCGTGAACCACTGCACCCAGCCCTGTATTATTACTATTACTGTTGTCATTATTGTTTGATTTGTGAATGGTAGCACATTATTCCCCTTCTGAATGGGAGTTTCTGAATGGAGCAACTGCTGAGTGTTGCATCCTGGAGACACAGCAGTGATCAAGACAGACAGACCCTATCCCCGATCTTAGGGGTTTCTTGGTCATGGTGGGCGGGGTGCAGATATCTGCCAGGCAGCTTGGTGCAGGCTGATCAGGTTTGTGGGTGTGGACTCCCAGGCACTGAGGAGGCCCTGCAGCCGGCCTGAGAGGTGTTCCTGGAAGCCCTGTAAAGACATGCCTGAGGGAGCGTAGGTCTGGGGAGGACCCCCCGGGAGAGAGGGCATGGTGGGTGTTGGTCCTGGGCCCAGCCAGCTGACTGTCACTGCAGGGGAAGAAGTTCCTGGGCGACCTGCAGCCAGACGGAAGGATCATGTGGCAGGAGACCGGGCAGACCTTCAACTCACCCAGCGCCTGGGCCACCCACTGCAAGAAGCTGGTGAACCCTGCCAAGAAGTCGGGCTGTGGCTGGGCCTCTGTCAAGTACAAAGGCCAGAAACTGGACAAGTACAAGGCCACCTGGCTCCGGCTGCACCAGCTGCACACGCCTGCCACGGCTGCTGATGAGGTACGTGCTGCAGCCTCCTCCAGGAAGCCGCCCAGGTCACTGTGGAATGAGGGGTGCCCAGCCTGGCACAGCTCTCTCCGGAGGAGGTATTAGTAATATATACAAACACGGATGGAGCCCTTACCACGTGACATGCCTCCTCCATCCCTCCAGGGCTGGGGCGGAGAGAGGGGACATGGGAGCTTGGGCTTTGAGGGATGAGCAGGAGTTTGTCAGAGCAAGTTGAAGGGAAGAGCTTTCTAGAAGGATGGAATGGCATACGCAAAGTCATGTAGACAAGAAGAAAGACCTGCTGGTGTCATGGGTGGCTGAGGGGGCTGGAAATGATGGCAGGGACCAGAGGGGCACTGGGGGAACTTCAAATGCTATGATAATAGATGTTCCCTGAGTGTTCACCAGCCGGGTGAACTTGACCAAGGACCCTTTGTGTGCCTTAGTTTTTTTCTTTTTTTTTGAGACAGGGTCTCACTCTGTGGCCCAGGCTGGAGTGCAGTGCCCCCATCTTGGCTCACTACAGCCTTCACCTCCTGGGTTCAAGCGATCCTCCCACCTCAGCCTCCCTAGTAGCTGGACTACAGACGCATGCCACCACACCCGGCTAATTTTTGGATTTTTAGAAGAGATGAGGTTTCACCATGTTGCCTAGGCTGGTCTCAAACTCCTGGCCTCCAGCAATCCTCCCACCTGGACTTCCCAAAGTGTTGGGATTGCGGGCGTGAGCTACTGCACTGGCCGTTTTTTTTTTCTTATGTGAAATGGAGATGGTAGGCCAGGCACAGTGGCTCATGCCTGTAATCCCAGCATTTTGGGAGGCTGAAGCAGGCAGGTTCACGAGGTCAAGAGATCCAGACCAGCCTGGCCAACATGGTGAAACCCCGTCTCTACTAAAAAGACAAAAATTAGCCAGGCGTGGTGGTGCACGCCTGTAGTCCCAGCTACTCGGGAGGCTGAGGCAGGAGAATCACTTGAACCTGCAAGGCGGAGGTTGCAGTGAGCTGAGATCACACCACTGCATTCCAGCCTGGCAACAGATTGAGACTCCATTTCAAAACAACAACAACAAAACCCCAAAATGGAGATGGTACCAGTGCCCATGTGTGGAATCTGTAGGGCAGGCAGGAAACTGAGGCAGGAGCAGATGCTGTAGTCTTGTGGCAGAATCTTTTTTTTTTTTCTGTTTTTGCTGTTATCGCCTTCAACTGATTGGATGAGGCCCACCTGTAGTATCAAGAGTAATGTCCTTTCTTCTTTTCGTAGATATGTTTTTTTTTTTTTTCAAGACGGAGTCTTGCTCTGTCGCCCAGGCTGGAGTACAGTGGCACGATCTCAGCTCACTGCAAGCTCTGCCTCCCGGGTTCATGCCATTCTCCTGCCTCAGCCTCCCGAGTAGCTGGGACTACAGGCACCCACCACCACGCCCGGATAATTTTTGTATTTTTAGTAGAGACGGGGTTTCACCGTGTTAGCCAGGATGATCTCGATCTCCTGACCTCGTGATCCACCCACCTCGGCCTCCCAAAGTGCTGGGATTACAAGTGTGAGCCACCGCGCCCAGCTGCCTGTAGATATGTTTTCATAAACTTTTTTTTATGTACGAAGTTTATTGCATGAAGGAGTTAACACTAGTCCATGTTAAAAGCAGACCACAAATGGTTACGTTATACAAGCTGTGAGGTTTTTAAACTTGTGACAAAGGACAGAAAGGAAATTCTACTCATTGCAAGGAAATCCTCACTTAAGCTTCAGTGAGCCACAAGCACTTAAAACCCATGAACCTGCCCGACGCAGTGGCAAAAAAACCCTTGACCCTTCACATGATCCTCCTTAGTCAGTCCAGTGTCTACAAGGAACTGGCAAATGTTCTTGCACTGGTCACTCTGTAGCTGAATTACTTCTCCATATTGTGTTTTTTTTTGTTTTTTTTTTTTGAGACAGACTCTCGCTGTGTCTCCCAGGCTGGAATGCAATGCCACGATCTCTGCTCATTGCAACCTCTGCCTCCCGGGTTCAAATGATTCTCCTGCCTCAGTCTCGCGAGTAGCTGGGATTACAGGCGCCCACCACCACACCCGGCTAATTTTTATATTTTTAGTAGAGACGGGGTTTCACCACGTTGGCCAGGCTGGTCTCGAACTCCTGACATCAGGTGATCCGCCCGCCTCCGCCTCCCAAAATGCTGGGATTACAGGCGTGAGCCACCAAGCCCAGCTGACTTATCCATATTCTGGATGCTCAATTACAGTATCATTGCAGGCAGGCAAATTGCAAATTTCTTTTTTTTTTTTTTTTTTTTTTTTGAGACGGAGTCTCGCTCTGTCGCCCAGGCTGGAGCTCAGTGGCACAATCTAGGCTCACTGCAACCTCTGCCTCCCAGGTTCAAGCGATTCTCCTGCCTGAGCCTCTTGAGTAGCTGGGATTACAGGCACACACCACCACACCCGGCTAATTTTTGTATTTTTAGTAGAAATGGGGTTTCACCATGTTGGTCCGGCTGTTCTCAAACTCCTGACCTCGTGATCCACCCCCATCGGCCTCCCAAAGTGCTGAGATTATAGGCGTGAGCCATCGCGCCCGGCCTAAATTTCTTCTTAAACACCTTCACTAGTTTCTTTTTATCGTAATCATCACTGATCTCTTGCAGGACAGCAGTAAGCGTTTTCCTGCCATTTTTCTGTTGAATTCTTTTTTTTTTTTGAGATGGAGTCTCACTGTGTCGCCCAGGCTGGAATGCAGTGGTGCAATCTTGGCTCACTGCAAACTCTGCCTCCCGGATTCAAGCCATTCTCCTACCTCAGCCTCCAAGTAGCTGGAATTATAGGCGCCCACCACCAGGCCTGGCTAATTTTTTTATTTTTAGTGGAGACGGGGTTTCACCATTTTGGCCAGGCTGGTCTTGAACTCCTGACCTCGTGATCTACCTGCCTCAGCCTCCCAAAGTGCTGGGATTATAGGCGTGAGCCACCATGCCCGGCCTCTGTTGAATTCTTATATGGATACAGTCCTCAGTGCCAGCAGGAAGCAGGTCATCACTGTTACTTGCATCAGCAGAGGGGTTGAAAGAGTGGAGGTTCTGGATAGTGGACAAAAGATATAATTCTGTTTTTGAGATGGAGTCTCGCTCTGTTGTCCAGGCTGGAGTGCAGTGCTGTGATCTTGGCTCACTGCAACCTCCCGTTCCCGGGTTCACGCAATTCTTCTGCGTCAGCCTCCAGAGTAGCTGGGACTACAAGGGCGCGCCACCAAGCTCAGCTGATTTTTGTATTTTTGCATGTTTATTAGAGATGCGGTTTCACCATGTTGGTCAGGCTGGTCTCGAACTCCTGACCTCAAGTGATCCACTCGCTTCGGTATCCCAAAGTGCAGGGATTACAGGCATGAGCCACCGCAGCCAGTCACGATTCCTTTGCCTTGGTGGGAACTGCCTGTGGAAAGCAGTGGTGGCGGGAGAAGGCGAGTGGGAGGGATGGAGCGTCAGGAAGTGAGGGTGCTCAACGGGAGGCTGCCGAGTCCTCAGTGGCTCAGTGAGTGGGTCTATTTTTTTTTTTTGAGATGGAGTGTCGCTCTTGTTGCCCAGGCTGGAGCGCAATGGCGTGATCTTGGCTCACTGCAACCTCCGCCTCTTGGGTTCAGGCGATTCTCCTGCCTCAGCCTCCTGAGTAGCTGGGACTACAGATGCCCACTACCATGCCCAGTTAATTTTTGTATTTTTAGTAGAGATGGGGTTTCACCATGTTGGCCAGGCTAGTCTTGAACTCCTGACCTCAGGTGATCCGCCCACCTCTGCCTCCCAAAGTGCTGGGATTGCAGGCGTGAGCCAGCCATGGAGCCTGGTCAAGAGCAATGTCCTTTCTGAAAGTCACCTTACTGTAGATATGAATCACATGTAACAAATGCCATCGCAGTAATGCCTAGATCAGTGTTCCATTAAATTACCAGGCACTCTTGCCTAGCTAAGATGACACAGGAAACCATTCTTTCAGTATGTATTCAGTTAGTGGCCAACTGTGTGCAAGGCCTGTTTTAGGCACTGAATATAAAGCAGAGGGCAAAAAAAGTCAAAAATCCCTGCCTTTGGGTGGGAGTTGTGGGGGAAGAAGGTGGTTGGGGGGGCTTCACTGAGAAGGTGACATTTGAACGGAGAACTGAAGGTGGGGAGGGAGGGAGGGTGCCATGAGGACTTCTGAGAAACAGCCTCTGCAAAGGCCCTGGGGCACGACCGTGCCTGGTGTGTTGGAGGAACAGCGAGGAGCCTGTGTGGCTGGAGCCGAGTGAGTAAGGGAGAGAGAAGGAGGTGGGGAGGATGGGAAGGGGACAGGGCAGGTCATGCAGGGCTCTGTAGGTTATGGGGAGAACTTGGGCTTTGACCGGGAGGAAGGTGGGAGCCATGGAGTGTTGCAGGCAGAGGAAGGACAGGATCTGACTGAGGTGCTCACAGGCGTTCTCTGGTGGCTGCTGTGGGGACTAGACTGTCGGGGGTTAGGGTGGGATCCAGGGACCAGGGCAGAGGTGAGTGAGCTGGTCCAGGTGAGGGATGATGGAGTGGCCCAGGCCGACCATGGAGCAGGGAAGAAGTGGGCAGGTTCCAGGTATTTTTGGAAGTGTATCCGCCAGATTTGCTGATAGATCAGATGCTGGAGTCCTGAGCAAGTGGGTGGATCGAGCTGCCAAAATTGGGGGATGTGGGAAGGGCAGATCTGGGGGTTCAGTGGGGCCCAGCATGGCTGTGTTGAGTGTGACCCTGTGAGTCCCCCACATGGAGACATAGAGAGGCAGCTGGGCCCTGAGTCTGGAGCCGGGCGAGGCTTGGGCTGGAGACAGGACTGTGGGCAGTGTCAGGTGTAGACAGGATTTGGAGCCCTGAGAGGGGATGAGGCCACCTGGGAGGGGTGTGGAGGGAGGAGGCCTGAAAACCCAGCCTGGGGCCAGCAACAGCGAGAGGGGAGGTGAGAGGGAGCCAGGCGAGCGTGGGATCCGGGGGTTGTGTGAGGACCGTGTCCTGGTAGGTAGGAGGCTGTGCTGGGTCAGATGCTGCCGAGAAGGTGACGAGGACAGAAAGTGAGATGTGACCCAGAGAGGTCACCTCCACAAGGGCAGTTTAGGACAGAACTGGAGGAGAGGTTATTTTTAATTTGTATTTTTGTAGACAGAGTCTCGCTCCGTCACCCAGGCTGTAGTACAATGGTGTGATCTCAGTTCACTGCAGTCTCCGCCTCCCGGGTTCAAGTGATCCTCCTGCCTCAGCCTCCTGAGTAGCTGGGATTGCAGGTGTTCGCCACCATGCCTGGCTAATTTTTGTATTTTTAGTAGAGATGGGGTTTCACCATGTTGGCCAGGCTGGTCTCGAACTCCTGACCTCAAGTGGTCCACCGCCTCAGCCTCCCAAAGTGCTGGGATTGCAGGCGTGGGCCACTGTGCCCGACTGGGAGGAAAGGTTACTGAAAGACGTGAAAGCCACCTATGTATGGTGCTGGCTCGCTCAATGAACGGAGCATCTAGGTGTATGCTAAATGCTTTGTGCGTATGATTTCATTTCACCCTGATGCCATCCCCGTGGAGTTGGAGGTCATTGTGCCCTTTTACAGATAAGAATAGACTTGGCGGCCGGGCACGGTGGCTCACGCCTTTAATCCCAGCACTTTGGGTGGCCGAGATGGGCAAATCACAAGGTCAGACGATCGAGACCATCCTGGCTAACACGGTGAAACCCCATCTCTACTAAAAATACAAAAAATTAGCTGGGCGTGGTGGCACATGCCTATAATCCCAGCTACTCGGGAGGCTGAGGCAGGAAAATCACTTGAACCCGGGAGGTGGAGGTTGTAGTGAGCCGAGATCATGCCACTGCACTCCAGCCTCGGCGACAGAGTGAGACTCTGTCTCAAAAAAAAAAAAAAAAAAAGAATAGAGTTGGCTGGGCACGGTGGCTCACACCTGTAATGCCAACACTTTGGGAGGCTGAGGCAGGTGGGTCACTTGAGGTCAGGAGTTTGAGACCAGCCTGGCCAACATGGCAAAACCTCATCTATACTAAAAAGACAAAAATTAGCCAGGCATGGTGGTGGGCAACTGTACTCCCAGCTACTCAGGAGGCTGAGGCAAGAGAATGGCTTGAACCCGGAAGGCAGAGGTTGCAGTGAGCCAAGATCGTGCCACTGCGCTCCAGCCTGGGTGACAGAGTGAGACCGTGTCTCAAAGAAAAAAAAAAAGATAAAAGAATAGATAGAGTTCAGAGAGTTTAAACCCATTTATGCCTGAGGTTGCAATTCTTTGAATTTTTGCAATCAGACCTTGGCGATGACTTTGAGCAGTAGGATATAAATAGCTCCCATATGCTTAGCGTTCCAATAATGGAACCCTAGGCATAAATGGCAATGGTGCTCACCAAAGGTTGCGCAGGGCTTGTATTATAAAATGCGAGGTGAGCCGGGTGCGGTGGCTTACGCCTGTAATCCCAGCACTTTGGGAGGCCGAGGTGGGTGGATCACCTGAGGTCGGGAGTTTGAGACCAGCCTGACCAACATGGAGAAATCCCGTCTCTACTAAGAATACAAAATTAGCTGGATGTGGTGGTGCATGCCTGTAACCCCAGCTACTCAGGAGGCTGAGGCAGGAGAGTCACTTGAACCCAGGAGGCAGAAGTTGCAGTGAGCCGAAATCACACCACTGCACTCCAGACTGGGCGACAGAGAGAGACTCCGTCTCAAAAATAAATAAATAAAAAATAAATTACAAATAAATAAAAAAAAATGTGAGGTCTTAGCTTAAGGCCTTCTCTGCTCCCTCCCTCCCTCTAGTGGTCATGTGGGGCAATGGCACTTACGGCTTAGGCCAAAGGGCTGGGGTGGGATTTAGCAGGGAGCGGGGGGGCACCCAGCTGAGGGTCCCACCGCTGTCCCTGACCCCTAACCCCTGCAGAGCCCAGCCAGTGAAGGGGAGGAGGAGGAGTTGCTGATGGAAGAGGAGGAGGAGGACGTTCTGGCAGGGGTCTCAGCAGAGGACAAGAGTCGGAGACCACTGGGGAAGAGCCCTTCAGAGCCTGCCCACCCGGGTGAGAGGCGTGGGGAGGGGAGGCAGGACAGGGGCGGATACAGCTCGGGTTGGGGAGGAGACTGGGGAGAGGTTGGGCCTTGATCTTCTCCTAGGGCCCCCAAGATGGAGACATGGAGAGTCAGCTGGGCCCTAAGTCTGGAGCCGGACGAGGCCTGGGCTGAAGACAGTCCCACTGCCCAGTTTTACTCACTGCCTTGACTTCTTAAGCTCAAATGCTGGATTTTATTTTATTTTATATATTTATTTATTTTTTGGTGATGGAGTCTCCCTCTGTCGCCCAGGCTGGAATGCAGTGGCTCAATCTCGGCTCACTGCAACCTCTGCCTCCCGGGTTCAAGCGATTCTCCTGCCTCAGCCTCCCAAATAGCTGGGACTATAGGCGCCAGCCGCCACGCCTGGCTAACTTTTGTATTTTTAGTAGAGATGGAGTTTCACAATGTTGTCCAGGCTGGTCTTGAACTCCTGACCTCAGGTGATCCACCTGCCTCGGCCTCCCAAAGTGTTGGGATTACAGGCGTGAGCCACTGTACCTGTTTTTTTGTTTTTTTGAGACAGGGTTTTGCTCTGTCCCCCAGGGCAGAGTACAGTGGTGCAATCATGGCTAACTGCAGCCTCAACCTCCTGGGTTCAAGTGATGCTCTCACCTCAGCCTCTTGAGTAACTGGGACCACAGGTGTGCACCACCACACCCGGCTAATTTTTGTATTTTTTTTCAGAGACGAGATCTCATCATCTTGCCCAGGCTGGTCTTGAACTCCTGGACTTGAGCAATCCTCTCACCTCAGCTTCCCAGTGAAAAAAAATTTCTTCTTTGTAAATAAGAGTCTCACTCTGTAACTCAGGCTGGAGTGCAGTGGTGTGATCACAGCTCCCTGCAGCCTCAACCTCCCATGCTCAAGCGATCCTCCTGCTTCAGCACTGGGATTATAGGCATGCACCACCACACCCAGTGGCCACCTAATTTGTTCTAACTTGGGCTGGGGAGGGACTGACCCTGCCTTTTTCTCTCCCAGAGGCCACAACCCCAGGGAAGCGGGTGGACAGCAAGATCCGGGTTCCGGTCCGCTACTGCATGCTGGGCAGCCGCGACTTGGCCAGGTCAGACTCACCCCAAGTTCTGCCCCTGCCCCAGCTCACCTGGATCTCTTGCTGGTCTTGGGGTAGCAAGGGCAGGGGTGGGGGGTGGGACAGAGCCTCAGATCCTCAGAGCTGTGGGGTTGGGGGAGTCAGTGTGGGGGCGAGGGAAGAGCCTGGGGATTCCTGAGACTGTGCGACCCTCCTGGCCCCTACAGGAACCCCCACACCCTGGTGGAAGTAACATCCTTTGCAGCCATCAACAAGTTCCAGCCGTTCAACGTGGCTGTTTCTAGCAACGTGCTGTTCCTGCTGGTGTGTGGCCCACCCTGTCTAGGGGCAAGGGGCTCCGGAGCCCAGTCGGTGGGCAGCGGGCGGGGCTCCCCTGCGTATCAGCTCCATGAGAGCTGGGGCCTTGTCTGCTTTGTTTGCTACTGGTACACTGTGGGTGCTCAATAAATGTATGAAGGAGGGTGCGTGGCCAGGCCCAGTGGCTCACACCTATAATCCCAGCACTTTGGGAAGCTGAGGCAGCGGGTCACCTGAACTCAGGAGTTCGAGACAAGCCTGGGTAACACTGAAACCCTGTCTCTACTAAATATACAAAAATTAGCTGGGCATGGTGGTGCACGCCTCTAATCCCAGCTACCTGAGAGGCTGAGACAGGAGAATGGCTTGAACTGGGGAGGCGGAGGTTGCGGTGAGCCAAGATCGTGCCACTGCCCTCCAGCCTGGGCGACAGAGCAAGACTGAGTCTCAAAGAGAATGAGGGCACAGGCTGGCTCCAGTGTTGGGGCAGGGCCACAGCCTGAGCCAGTCTTTTGCTGTTCCTCCCTTCCCCAGGACTTCCACAGTCACCTGACACGGAGTGAGGTCGTGGGTTACCTGGGGGGCCGCTGGGACGTCAACAGCCAGAGTGGGTATCCAGGGCCAGGTGGGCGGGGGCGTTGGAGGACCGGGGTCACGGGGTCACAGCTGCCCCTCCCCACAGTGCTGACGGTGCTCAGAGCCTTCCCTTGTCGGAGCCGGCTCGGGGACGCAGAGACTGCAGCTGCCATCGAAGAGGAGGTGAGGGGCTACCTGGGAGGTGGCATTCTGGGGAGGGTTGGGAAGGGACATAGCTGTCCTGGCGACTGCCCAGTGGCTGGCAGTGTCATCACCCAGCAACCGTGCAGGTGAGCATGCCCGTCTGTGTGCTTGGGACCCCATGGTGAAGGGTGAAGAACACTGCTTTTTTTTTTTTTTTTTGAGACGGAGTCTCGCTCTGTCACCCAGGCTAGAGTGCAGTGGTGCGATCTCAGCTCCCTGCAAGCTCCGCCTCCCGGGTTCACGCCATTCTCCTGCCTCAGCCTCCTGAATAGCTGGGACTACAGGTGCCTGCCACCACGCCCAGCTAATTTTTTGTGTTTTTAGTAGAGACGGGGTTTCACCGCGTTAGCCAGGATGGTCTCGATCCCCTGACCTCGTGATCTGCCCGCCTCAGCCTCCCAAAGTGCTGGGATTACAGGCGTGAGCCACCGTGCCCAGCTAATTTTTTGTATTTTTAGTAGAGACAGGGTTTCACCATGTTGGTCAGGATGGTCTTGATCTCTTTACCTCGTGATCCGCCCACCTCAGCCTCCCAAAGTGTTGGGATTACAGGGGTGAGCCACCGTGCCTGGTCAGGATGGTCTCGATCTCTTGACCTCGTGATCTGCCCACCTCGGTCTCCCAAAGTGCTGGGATTACAGGTGTGAGCCACTGCGCCCGGCCTTTTTTTTTTTTTTCTTGAGACATTCTCGCTCTGTCGCCCAGGATGGAGTGCAGGGCGCGATCTTGGCTCACTGCAACCTCCACCTTCCGGATTCAAGTGATTCTCCTGCCTCTGCCTCCTGAATACCTAGGATTACAGGTGTGCGCCACCATCTCCAGCTAATTTTTGTATTTTTAGTTGAGACAGGGTTTCACCATGTTGGCCAGGCTGGTTTCAAACTCCTGACCTCGTGATCCACCCGCGTCAGCCTCCCAAAGTGCTGGGATTACAGGTGTGAGCCACCGCGCCCAGCCTAAGAGCACTGCTTTTGGATCTCCTAGCCCTGGTGCTGAAACCTCGCCAGCCCCCTCCCCTCTCAGAGCCTTGGTTTCCTTGTCTGTAAAATGAGCGGCTTCAATGAAAGGCCATCAGATCCAGGCACCGGGGGTTCACACCTGGAATCCCAGCACTTAGGGAGGCCGAGGCAGGAGGTTTGCTGGAGTTCAACACCAGCCTGGGGCCACAGCAAGACCCCGTCTCTACAAAAGATAAAAAAAATTAGCCAGACATGGTGGTACGCACCTGTAGTCCCATCTATTTGAGAGGCTGAGGCAGGAGGATGGATTGAGTCCAGGAGGTTGAGGCTTCAGTGAGCTGAGATGGCGCCACTGTGTTCCAGCCTGGGTGACAGAGCAAGACCCTATATCTAAGAACATAAAAAGTGAAGGGCTGCTAATATTGAATGCTCAGTGCCAGGCCTCATCTATTAAACACTACTCATAAGTGCCAGTTGCTATTCTTTTTTTTTTTTCCTTTTCTTTGAGACACGATCTTGCTCTGTTGCCCAGGCTGGACTGCAGTGGCATAATCATGGCTCACTGCAGCATCAGCTGCCCAGGTTCAACATCCTCCTGCCTCAGCCTCCATAGTAGATGGGAGTACAGACACACGCCACCACACCTGGCTAATTTTTGTATTTTTAGTAGAGAAGGGGGTTTCTCCATGTTGGCCAGGCTAGTCTTGAACTCGTGACCTCAAGTGATCTGCCTGCCTCAGCCTCCCAAAGCACTGGGATTATAGGCGTGAGCCACTGCTCCCAGCCTAGTTTTAACTGTTTGTTGAGTGCTTACTGTGTGGCGACCATTATTCTGTAAGCTGGGCTACAGCAGTGAACAAAATGACTTTGGTGTCCTGGCTTTGTGGCAGGGTGCATCTTTTATATTAAAAGAGGTCCTTGTTGGCTGTCTCTCCAGCTCCCACTGGACTCAGTGGCGGTGGGGGCAGGGCCTGTCTTGGTCATCACTGTGTCCCCAGGCCTGATACACAGCAGGAATTCGTTCAGGGCTGGCCAGCCACATAAGCTCACTAGAGCCGTTCAGGCCCCTGTGCCCGCTGAGCTGCGCCTCTGTCCCCAGATCTACCAGAGCCTGTTCCTGCGGGGCCTGTCCCTGGTGGGCTGGTACCACAGCCACCCACACAGCCCGGCGCTGCCATCTCTGCAGGACATCGACGCACAGATGGACTACCAGCTGCGGCTGCAGGGCTCCAGCAATGGCTTCCAGCCCTGCCTCGCCCTGCTCTGCTGTACGCGGGATGGGGCTGTGGGGGGAGCAAGGAGGGGGGATGCTGGGCCAGCCGAGCCTCCCAGGGCCAACCCCTCTCCCTCTCTCCCGCCAGCCCCTTACTATTCTGGCAACCCAGGCCCCGAGTCCAAGATCTCACCTTTCTGGGTGATGCCTCCTCCCGAGGTAGGTGGGGCTGTTGGGAGAGCCTGGGGGGCCCGGGAGCACTGGGGCATTTGGGTCACGACTAGGCAGGGGCCCCTGGTTCCAGGCTCCACTGGAGAGTTGGGGCCCCAGTTTCTCCATCTATGAAATGGGGACGTGACTGCTGCCCTGCCCATATTTTGGTGAGGTCCTGGGCGTGGGGCCTCCGTTGTGTCATTGGCTGCTCAGTACAAAGAGGGCTCCCTTCCTGACCCTGCCTGGCTTCATTCCCCAATCCTGCCCTGAAGTCAGAGGTCAGCCCTGGGAAGTCATTTCAGGGCCCTGGCTCTCCTCTGGGCCTCTCCCACAGTAAGGATGCTACACTGCCTCCCTGGTCCCACCACCAGGTGCCGATCCCGGTGCAGAGCTGAGCCGGGGTGTGCACTCTCCCGTTCCCAGCCCGGGCACTGCCAATTGTCCCCAGCTGCCATGGGCTGCGGGCTGGTGAGGCTTCTCTCACTGGTCTGTGTCCCTGCCAGCAAAGGCCCAGTGACTATGGCATCCCCATGGATGTGGAGATGGCCTACGTCCAGGACAGCTTCCTGACCAATGACATCCTTCACGAGATGGTGAGCTCGCTGCGGGGCGGGCAGGCAGGGGCTGGCAGTGCGCAGCTGGGCACACGATGCGTTGGTCTGCTTCCCACCGGTGGGCTTGGGAAGCTATGGCTGGTGGCGCCTTGGGGGCCTGGGTTAGGGCTTCTTCCATCACTCAGGACAGAGTCCAGGCCCTTGCCAGGGTCCCTCCAACTTCTGCCCTCCCTCACCTCCCCACCTGCTGTTCTCTAAGGCACTGGCCTCTTCTGCCAGGCTGTCCAGTAGAGAAACCCCAGGGACTTTGGGTGGTAACTGGATGAACACTTAAAAATTGTGTGTTCAACATGCATTTAAAACACTAAACTAAGGCAGACATAGTGGCTCACGCCTGTAATCCCAGCACTTTGGGAGGCTGAGGTGGGTGGATCACCTGAGGTCAGGAGTTCGAGACTAGTCTGGCCAACATGGCGAAACCCTGTCACTACCAAGATAGAAAAGCTAGCCAGGAGTGGTGGCGGGTGCCTATAGTCCTAGCTACTTGGGAGGCTGAGGCAGGACAAGCTCTTGAACCCGGGAGGTGGAGGTTACAGTGAGCCGAGATCACGCCACTGCGCTCCAGTCTGGGCCACAGAGTGAGACCCTACCTCAAGGAAAAAACCCAACAAAACCTAAACTAGTTCGTCAAACCTGTGACCTCACAGGTGTCACTGCTGGGGATGAGGCCGAACCAGGGGGCCACGTCAGGCCCGCGTGGTTCTGGAGAACTGGGCTCGGTGAGTGCAGGTCCAGGTGGACCTCTCGTGGCAGCCACTTGGGCAACGCTGCTGCCTCCCCCTCGAGAGAGCCCTCCTGGACCTAAGCTAGGTGAGCCCTCTGGCTAAGGTCACTCGTGATCTCTTTGTGGTTGGTTTGTTAGTGATGGGGTCATGTCTCAGGGCTGCCTGAGACTGGAACCCCAGGAGAGGCGCTGAGGTACCTCAGGCTTGGAGGGAGCCTGGGAGTCCATGCTCCTCTGTCCTGTAGATGCTGCTGGTGGAGTTCTACAAGGGTTCCCCTGACCTCGTGAGGCTCCAGGAACCCTGGAGCCAGGAGCACACCTACCTCGACAAGCTTAAGGTGAGCCCCAAGTCCCCGCAGACCTCCTAACGGGGCCCCAGGAGAGGCCCCCTGGGCAGCCTAAAAGGTGGCAGCAATGAGCCCCGTGGGCCTCAGGGGCCTGAGACAGCCCAGCTGGCAGACTGGTGACCCTGGTCACCCCGTGGCCACCCCAGCAGGGTGCAGGCCAGATTTGATTGGACTGTGGAGCTTTAAGCTCCGGCAGTGCCGGATGAGGTCCTGGCAGCGGGTTTTGGGAGTGGCTCCCCTGCAGAGGGCCCAGGGTCCTGGCCACCCCTGAGTGTCTTAGGGTAGTGGTTCCTGGTTTCCCTCCACCTGGCATAGAAAGGGACTCATTCTGCTCAGCTCTCGGCTAGCTGTGGAGGCTGTGGTGTCCCCATGGGTGTCTGGAACCAGGCAGGGAGGGGCTGAAGTGGGGGCAGGATCGGGAGTGTGCACATAAGCCCCACCCCTCCACACAGCACCGCTGCCCCTGGGAGCCAGGCCCTCGGTTACATACTGCCCCACTGGGTAAGCAGCAGGCTGTGCTGCGGGACCCCAGCCCTGTGCCTCGGTCTCAGGGGGGCTCAGTCAGGATGCTGGACTTGCACGGTGGACTGTGAGGCGCAGGGCTGGCTAGGACCCCCGGGCACAGCCTGAGGCCCAGCCCCCTCGTTTCAGATCTCCTTGGCCAGCAGGACGCCCAAGGACCAGAGCCTGTGTCACGTCCTGGAACAGGTGTGCGGCGTCCTCAAGCAGGGGAGCTGAGCCTTCCAGGGCAGGGTGGGCTCCAGTTGTCTTGAGGGTCCGGATGGGCTCAGGTAATAAAGAAACGGAAGCAGCAGCCAGCCACGCTGGTCTCCCCAAGGCTGGGGTGAGGGTGGCTGGGTGCCCAGGCTGGTACCATCACCCCAGCTTCCTCACTTCCAGGGCAGGGCATTAACTTCCAGGATACCCCTCAGCCCCTGCACCTGGGAACTGGCACAAAAGCCTCAGGGCCAGTCCCACCCACCTTGGGCTCAGGAGCACCTGGGGTGCTGGAGGGACCTCCTGGGGTGTGTGTGGCTTTGGAGCCGGCCCCTCAGGAAGGCGGTGGGTGGCAGGCCCACCCCTGCACCAAGACGAGGCAAGGGGCTGTAGAAAGAGACATTTAATACTTCTGTTTACAAAATTCAGGCGTACATTTCAGTTTGCCCTGGACCGTGCCCAAAGCTGTGTGCTCATCTCTGCGCCCCTCATGTACTTCTGACGAGGGGGGTGCAGGGCAGGGCAGAGCAGAGCCTGGGGTCCGGAGGCTTCACTGGACCACAGGGGGAGGGGAATGTGAATGTGGCCTGGCCCAGAGAACTCCCCATTTCATCGATTTTGCATTGGGCGATAGAGGAAGCAGATGTCGGGGCTGCCTGCCTTGGTCTAGAGGAGATGGCTGGGGCCACTTCCCACAGGGTGAAGTGGCAGCGGCTCAGCAAGGGGAGCCTGGCCACCAGGGGCTGGGACATGCGCTCACTGGAACCTTTGTGCTTGGCCCTCGGCAGCGCGGCTGTGGTCCCGTGTGAGGTGTGCTGGGGTGGGTGTGGGTGGCTGGTGGTGGCAGCTTGTGCCAGAGTGACACAGGCCTCCCTGGGTTGGGATGGGGGCAGTTAAAAAGCTGAAAAGGTACTTGGCTTTCTGAGGGCGGGGCTTGGGAGGCAGGGCCCTGCAGGAGACCATGTTCTCTGTCCTCAGGCAGATCCCAGCTGGCCTCTGTCCCCGGGCTGCAAGCTGACAGCAGGCCCGGGAGGCGGTGAGGCCCTCTGCCCTGGCCTTGAGGAGAAGGAGTGCGTGTGTGAGGCGGGGGTGCATTGGCCCTGGAGTAGGGCCAGGGCCCATCACCAGCACCAGGCTGGGAGGGATTTAAAACCAGGGTCCTATCTCTGAGCCACCCCATGGGGACCCTCGATCCCATCCTGTTAAGGCTGCGGGACTCGAGGGTAGGCAGTGGGCCGGGCCCCCGTCGGGTCAGGACGGAGGTGGGGGCTGCCCCAGAGGAACATTAGTGTTTCTAAGAGCACCTTAGTGTTGCCCCGCCTCGGCCAGCTGGGCGAGAAGTTGGGGAGCGGGGGAGGAGGCTGGCGCCATGGAGTGGGGAAGGGAGCCGTCACCGTTGGGAGTCAGCGCTAGTGTAAACAGGCATCCCCACCCACCCAGATAAGCCCCCCCACCCAAGTGTGGGGTCCTGCTCAGGGAGTACCTCAAGGGCCGGGGCCCAGGTGGCGCCGGCAGGCTCAGACACCGCCCTGGCAGCAGGGGCTCCGTGGAATGCAGGAGACCCAGCAGGGGGTGCCGGCCAGTGTGGACGGAGGGGCGGGGCGGGGACACGGGTGAGTCACTGCGGCAGGGGCACAAGCACCTCCACGTAGCTGAGCGGGAAGAAGCCCGACTGGCCGTCCAGCATGCCCTCGTACCAGTTCTCATCGATCTGGTTGGTCAGCGTGATGACGTCGCCCTCATGGAAGCCCAGCTCCCCGTCGTTCTCGGGCTCGAAGTCGTACAGCGCCTTGCAGCTCGGCTGGTCCAGGGGCGCTGGGGGCGGGAGCGGGCTGTGGGGCTGGGGCTGCTACGCCTCACCCCGCCCAGTCTGGGGTCTCAGACCTGCTGTGACCTGGAGCGTGTGGGTGGGCATGGGCCTCCCCTCTGCCCTGCCTGGGCCACCCCCTGCCCCTGCCACTTCTGGGGTCCGGCCTCTACTGCCACCCAGGAGGGAGGATGGGAGAAGCTTGGTTTAAGTGGTCACCAAAGCTACTCCTGGGAAGTGCTGGGGACACCCGGTGCTGCTGCGGTGACAGGGAGTGACCAGATGCCCTCAAGCCCTTGTAGCCACCACACAGCCTAGAGCTAGCTGGGCTAGTGCCCTTGGCAATCCCTCATTCACACTGTGAGGCTGAGACCCAGAGGGGTGGCATCTTGCAGGCTGTGGGGCCTGTGCCCCCTACTGCTGCACGAGCCTGGCCCCTCCCTGCTTGAGATGGGCAGAGAACAGGGCGGGAGGAGAAACACCCTCCCCGAATGGCCGAGAAGGCAGCACTGAGGTCGAGGCGGGCCTGGGAACACTCACGCATGCTCCGGCTAGGGGTCCGGATGGGCTTGTCGGAAGATCGGAAAGACGATGAAGCTAAACACAAGCAAAACGAGGAGGCTGTGGGCTCAAAACGGTCGGGCAGGGCCCCTTCTGCAGAAGGCTGGGGCCAGCCCTTCCCGTCTGCCTTGGCGGTCCAGATGGAGCACGGCTGAGAGCTGCACCCAGGAGTCTGGCGCTCAGAGACCCAGGACAGGGCCAGCCCTTGGCCACTCCCACCCGCTGGCATTTGCCTCCGCAAGAGGGCTCCATGCCCCATTACCTGCGATCTTGGGGGCTGTGGTGCAGGGGAAGCCCCCGTTGGACTGCTCAGGCTCTCCAAGGTCAAAGGGCTCCCGGGGCTTGGGCTTATACTCCCGCTTAGGGCGTGAGGAAGCTTCCCGCATCCTGTGAAGGGAGAGGCGTGAGTGGACCGAGCCCGTGTCACGGCCGAGGCAGCCCCACTCTTGTATTTATGCTGCTGCCTAATGACCTGGCCTGGGACTGCAGGAAGAGGCCGTCAGTGGGGTTGTGACACATGGACCCTGGGACACAGCTAGACTGGGATGTCTACCCAGAGGGCCTCCAGCCTGGACCCCCACCTTGGAGGCATCCCAGAGATTGCCAAGCAGCTGGGGCCTGCCACAGCATCTACCTACAACACCCCCAGTCGCATCCCCTGCCTCCTCCCCCAATTCCCCACCACGGACGGCGCCCCACATACGCCAAGGCCCCTGAAGCAGGTCTGGCCTCTGCATTCAGGGAGGGGAGCCTGGGTGTTCCTGTGGCAGCAGCAACGTGCAGCCAGGGAGGGAGTCCCCGGGGCCTGCATCGGGGCAGGGCTGGGTGTTGACTCAGAGTTCTCAGAGCCCCAGCTCCTCTGACCTCGCGGCCCCCCAGGCCTTTCCACTCAGTCCCCAGGAAGAATCCAGGATGCTGCTCTGCCATGTGCTCACCCCACAGCGAGGTGTGCTGCCCACTTGCGCTGGCAGAGGGCGCATGGCAGCCCAGACTCTGGAGAGACCAAGGCCCTGGGCTCACCTGCGCTTGAGCTTCTCCGCCAGCTCGTCCAGGATCTGCACGGCCTGCCGGTGGTAGTCCAGCTGTGCATCCACCAGGGCCGAGAGCTGACTCACCTGCTCGATCTGTGGGGACAGTAGGGCTCAGGGGCTCCTGCCAGTGCCACTGTCCTGTGCCTTCCCTGACTCCCGAGGTGAAGCCACAGGAGGCAAGGGGGCTGAGAGGGGACAGGGGACTGGGGCCCATACCCTCCACCTCCCCTGCTGCAGCGGCCAGGTAGGTGCCGATCTGTCCTCCAGCTCCCTTGAGGCACCACCCCGGCCTCCCAAGGGCATAGGTCTTCTCAGGATGTGACACCCCGAGCTACTCACGTCAGTCTCCAGGAGGTTGTGCATGCTGGTTTCTGCCACCTCCTTGGACTCCTCGAACTTCTCCAGCGCCTGGCGTAGCTCCTCATCGGGGATCTTGCCCTGCCGCTTCTTCTTGTAGTCAAAGTCCAGGCGGCGGCCCTCCAGTTTCTTCAGGTGGTGCTGGAGACGTGGGGGACATGGGTCACACCAGTAGCGGCCAGAGGGCCGCCCCACGCATGGCTTTGACCCACTGTCCCTGCACCACTGGGGATCCTGCCTGCCTGAGACCCAGAGGGCAGTGCCGAGGCTGGAGGTGAGGGTGGCAGGAATGGGGCTGCCCCATCCGGCAGGGGGAAGGGACAGGCCCCAGGCTGGCGCAGGAGCAGCACCTGGATCTCCTTCAGGTCTTTCTCGCACAGGTTCTGGAGGGGGTCAATGAAGTTCTGCTTGACCTCGATGTCCAGGGAGTCCTTCACCTCTGCCAGGCGCTTCATGGACTCGCCGGCATCCAGCAATGCGTCACCTGTGGAGAAGTGGTGGGGGAAGCCATCATACCGGGCCTGGGACCACTAGACTGAGACACTCCTCAGCCTTTGTTTTTGAAATAGCGTTTCACAGGCTGGAACGCAGTGGCGCTGTACCAGCTCACTGCAGGCCTCAAACTGGGCTCAAGCCATGCTGGCACCTCAGCCTCCCAAGTAGCCGGGACCACAGGCGTTCACCCCCACACCTGGATCCTTTCCAACTTCTTTGAGATGAAGTCTCGCTGTTGCCCAGGCTGCAGTGCAGTGGCATGATCTCAGCTCACTGCAACCTCTGCCTCCCAGGTTCAAGCAATTCTCCTGTCTCAGCCTCCTGAGTAAGGGGGATTACAGGGGCCTGCCACCACATCCAGCTAATTTTTGTATTTTTAATAGAGACGGGGTTTCACCATATAGACCACACCGGTCTCGAACTCCTGACCTTGTGATCCGCCCGCCTCGGCCTCCCAAAGTGTTGGGATTACAGGCGTGAGCCACCGCACCCGGTTTTTGTTTTGTTTTGTTTTGTTTTGTTTTTTCATAGTCTCGGCTCACTGCAACCTCCACCTCCTGGGTTCAAGTGATTCTCCTGCCTCAGCCTCCCGAGTAGCTGGGGTTACAGGCATGCACTACCACACCCGGCTAATTGTGTGTGTGTGTGTGTGTGTGTGTGTGTGTGTATATATATATATATATATTTTTTTTTTTTTAGTAGAAGCGGGGTGGGGTTTCTCCATATTGGTCTTGCTGGTCTCGAATTCCCGATCTCAGGTGATCCACCTGCCTTGGCCTCCCAAAGTGTTGGGATTACAGGCATGAGCCACCACACTTGGCCCCATCCCAACTTCTAACAGCCCCCCAACACTCTAAGCCCAGGGCCCGGAAATTGGAACTCAGGGCAAAACAAAGGATCCTAAAATCCGAATCGATGCTGGACGTTAAACCAGACCCTCCAATGCTCCTAAAAGGGCCTAGGTTTGCCCTTAACAGGTGGAAGGACAGATGCTGGGGGGTCCAGGCCCTGGGGAAGCAGCTGGCTTGAGTTGGGGAAGGTCTGGAGCTACAGGAAGGGGCCCTATCAGCTGCTGGCCAGTGCTGGATGGGTTGGTCTGTGCAGTCTCCTGCACCTCTGCAGCTGGAAAGCTGTGGGGGCCACTGTACGTCCCCGGCACTCAGCACATGCAGGGCCTGGACCTGCCCTGCCTGTGTTGAGGTGTGGCCTCCAGGGACGGTGGGCGTGGCTTCCAGAGAGCACCACTCACCAAAGTTGGACTCGCCGCCCAGCTCCTTCCCGTGGCGGATCATGCACTCGCCCAGAAGCCCCTCCGACTGCGGGTAGCCGGGGTTCTTCACCTGGCCCCGGATCTTGGACACCGTGTTGAGCATGGTCAGCTTAGCCCGCGAGGCTGGGATAGGATGGCCAGGTGGGTGTGGGCTGTGAGGCCTGCACTCCTCTGCCCTGGCAGACTGCAGCCCCCACATCTCCTCCCCACCCTTGCTTCCTGTGCCTGTGGACAGCCTAGGCCACACAAAGCACAGTGGAATCCCCAGAGGGTCCCTTCCCTGCTCCTGCTAGCCTCAAAGGAGCTGGCAGCGGGTGGAGAGGTGACCAAGCTCCTCAGGGGGCAAAACCTCCTCCTTCCAAGGGCTGCTCCTCTTGGAACGTGGCTATGACCCCTCATCTGGGGGGTGCCAGGGAGGAGGCGCAGCAGTGATGTGCAGCGGGGGGTGGTTGAGGCCAAGGCTCCCGGGGTGGGTGATGAGCTGTGTCCCTTCCGCTGCCCGCTTGGGTCTGCTCCTGGCAGGGCCTGAGTGGACACTGCTGGGTGTGCGTCTGCCCCCTGTCCGTGGCCTCCTATGGAGCCAGCATTTGGGTTTTCCTTGGGGAAAAGCCCGTCTCTCAGCCAGGGAGACCCAGTCCCAAGCCCAAGAGGTGAAGTCCAGGCCAGGGGCACTGGGGAGGGGCGGCCAATACAAATGGATCCCACAAGTAAGCTGGGGGAGAGGCTCCCTGCCAGGACTGCTGGCTGGAAGAGGGGTTGAAGGCTGGGACGGCCCTGAGGAACCAGTCGGCATGAGAGTGAAGCCAACAGAGGGGCTGAGCTGCTGGTTGAGGTGGAAAGGCAGCATGCAGCACCAAGGATGGCCTCTGCACTCCGGGATCCAGCTGTGCCTGAAGCCCACAACCCATGAGCCTGGCGGTTCTGTCATCCCCTGCCTTCCCTCTGACACAGAGGCCAGAGGGCCTGGGGCAGGCCCTGGCAGTGGCTGGAGCACCCACCTGGGTTGGGCTGCAGGTACTCGATGGTCCTGGCCAGCACTTCTGTCACCGCCTTGCTGGTGACATCCACCTTCTGTGAAGAGAAGCAGCATATAAGACTCCACAGCCAGTGGGGGCCCAAGGCACACAAGACCCCCGCTGCTGCACCGCCTCCTGCCCTAAGAGCCCATACCAGGACCCCCCAACCCCCTCTCCATGTCTTCAGCTCAGCCATGTCCCCACAGCTGCCTGCCCACGGCAGGGGAGAGAGCTGGTGCCCGTCAAGTCCAGCTGACGAGGCCCCCACACCACCCCATCTCTCCACACCTGCCGGGCCCCATCACTCCAGACCCAGGCCCATCAAGGTTGGCCGCCTCCACTATGCCCGGCAGAGGTCAGGCCCCAGCAGTGCCACCACCACACAGAGCACGCAGTTTCTTCCTCACCTTCTCCATCTCTTTGAAGTCATCATCCAGCTTGGTCCCCTCGGCCCCTCCGACCTTCTCACTGACCAGCTAGAGGACAGAAGAGGGGAAACGCTGTGAGCCCAGGGGTAGGAGGAAGAAGAGGACAGGAGGCCCTGAGCCGCCTTCCAGCCACATCGCATCCACAGCTGGAGGCAGGAGGCCAAGTGATCAGGACACACACCTCAGGCACTGCCGTGGGCACCCCAGGGCCACACGCTGCCTGCAGAGCAGGGTGGGCCTGCAGGGGGAGGGGGAGGGTGGGGGTGGCCTGCCCACCTGTGTGTGTCCCGACTGCCACTCACATACCCACTGGGGACCCTGCCACAGTAGGCCCCATCTGGGCCACGGTGGAGTCCAGAGCCTCAGCCTGAGAACACATGGCTCAGAAGACACTGCTTCCAGAAGCGCCTACACAAACATCCCCACAGATAGCAATGTGGGGATCTGCCCCCATCCTTGAGTATGTGGGGTCTACTTAAAAAAAAAAATCCTGCCAGCTTGGCTGGGAGAGGCAGCAGGAGCTGACAGTTACGAGAAGAGGTGCAGGCAGCCGGGCAGGGAGGCCGCCATTCTCCTGTGCTCTGGTGCCCGTGTCTGCAGGATGGGACAGCCCAGCCCTTGCCCCATGTGGACACTGAGTTTCACAAGGCAGTCAACACAGGCCTGGCACACCTTGGTCCTCACGGCTCTCAGCTACGGTGAAAGCGATGACAATGACAGGCACTTACAGCGTCTTTCCTCGTGTGGTGGGAAGGCAGAAGCAAGCACTGAATTCCCAAACCACTCCCTCTGACAGCGCCTGGGATGCGAAAAACAGCCCTGAAATGTCCCATGGAACATGGCGGGAACCACTGAACCCCAGCACCGCTGTCTGAGCACAGGCGTTGCTTTCTTCACCCCACGTATCCCATGTGTGCCTGGCGCCAAGGGATGCCGCACAGAGTGAGGATGGACAGTGTGAGGCCCTTCCCAGCACACAGCGCTTCATGAAGAGCCGAGTGGCTGCCAGGCCCTGCCACAAATGGAGGCTCCCAGAGGGAGGCCGCCTGAGGTCACAAGCTTGGCCCTGCCCTCTGGGGGCCAAGTGTCACAGGGTGTGCCATCTCTGAAGTCATCGGCAAATTTAACATCCCGGGTCTGATCACTTGTGTGAAGACGTGCACACACGGCCTGGGCAGGAGAGTGAGGTGTTGCGTGCCGTGGGCCATGGCCTGTGCCCCTGGTGCTCCCCAGGTCTGATTGGTGCTTGCCTGCCCCGAGCTGTCACAAGACGTGGCCAAGGGATGCCATGAGGGTCCGTGTGGTGCCACACTGCGTTGGCTGTGTGGGGCTGGGGGGTGTCCAGCAGGGCAGTCAGGAGTTTAGGACCCAGCCTGGGAGGAAGTGACCCAAGAGCAGGAAGTGCGGGGGCAGGAGAAGCTTGAGCCTGGGGCTCTGCCCACGCCAGGCACCTGGTGTACCCTCTAGCCCATGCCTGGAGGTCACAGCCCAAGGCACCATGAGTGCAAATGCCCCCAACCCCAAGTTCTGCAAAAGGTAGCCTGCCCGGAGTACACGGCTGGTCTTGTGTCCTGGCAACCTGCCCAAAAAGACACCAGCCCCTTTGCCAAGGAATTCCTGGCCCTCCTCCAAGGCTTGGCTCTGGAAGCCCCCACACCACGGGACTGTCCTCACCCACGCATCGGGACCCTTTCTGTCCACCTGCCTTCATGTGCGGGGTGTGCCGGGCATTCAGTGAGCACAGGCCCCATGCCTCTGACCCCTGTCCCTTTCCTGCCTGTGGGTTGGTGGCTCTCAACTCAGCCACACAGCACCTTGGAAGCTTCTTAAAAATCCCCTCGTTGGCCGGGCGCGGTGACTCATGCCTGTAATCCCAGCACTTTGGGAGGCTGAGGCAGGCGGATCATGAGGTCAGGAGATCGAGACCATCCTGGCTAACACAGTGAAACCCCGTCTCTACTAAAAATACAAAAAAATTAGCCGGGCCTGATGGCGGGTGCCTGTAGTCCCAGCTACTCGGGAGGCTGAGGTAGGAGAATGGTGTGAACCCGGGAGGTGGAGCTTGCAGTCAGCAGAGATCCAGCCACTGCACTCCAGCCTAGGCGACAGAGCAAGACTCCATCTCAAAAGAAAGAAGAAAGAAAAAAAAAATCACCTCGTCACACCCACCGCGGGAGGGCTGACTCTGGCACAGGTGAGAAGCAGGAACTGTCCCTTGCGGGGCAGGAGAGTGGGGCTGCCCTCCATTTCTGCTGAAGGCATTAGGAGGAAGGAGCCCCCCCTCCCTAGGTGTTTTTGGGGCGTTCCACTCTATTTCCTGGGACAGTTTCACTTCTTTTGATTGTGGCGAGAGAGGGCGTGCTCAGAGCCAGCGGCTGCCGGAGAGGGAAATGAGTGGCTGATGTGAGACTGGACTCTTCTGGGAAGCCGGGAGGAGAACTGAAGCCAGCGGGCTGCGAAACCACACCTTCTGGGCGGAGGCCACCCCGGCCCCACGACCTGCCCAGGCAGGACCCAGTGTGCAGGCTGGCAGGAGTGGCTCCGTCAGGGCCCTTCCCCAGCCCCCTGCCTCTCACAGGGCAGGAGGAGAGGCCCTACCGGCGAGGACCACATCCTGCCTCTGAGGGGAGGGGCTGGGGACCCGCCACGGTACCAAAGACCCACCTGGTGGCCTCTGGCTCTGGCCCTGGCCCCACCTGCCCATCTCACCTGGGAATCCAGGACCCTGCCTTCCTGAGCCCCAGGACGACTTCCTGAACCCCCACAACCGCCTGACTCCTCGCACCCCTGACACCCGGGAGGCTGTGCCCTAACTACCCGGGTCCCTCTGCTCAGCTCCAGCCAAGTCCCTTGTGGTGACTGATGGTCCCCCACGGGCCAGGCACTGGGCAGGGGACACAACCCTGTAAGGCCCCTTCTCTCCAAGGCTTATGGGCTAGAAACCAGCACAGATGGACACAGGGATGAGCAGCCACAAGGGAAACACGGGAAAAGCAAGGCAGCCGGGCCACGTGCAGCGCCGGCCGCAAGCGCGGAAACCAAGCGTGGGCTCCTGCCCGCTGGGGCCCTACTCACTGCGGTCTCCACACCAGCACACTGCTGAGCACGGAGGGGACCGAGAGTCTGCGGCAGAGCTGGGCGCCACGGGGAGGCTCACCAGAGGGCGCCTCTGGGCTCGCTGTCAGGAGCGAGTGTTCCTAACCCTGGTGCCATCTGCCAGGCAAGAGCTGCCTGTTGTGGGGCAGCCAGCCCCAATGCCCCCGCATCAGAGACCCTACCGGTGGGGAGGGAGGACTGAGGCCATGGTCCCAGCAGTCCATTCCTGCCGAGGGAGACTCTGCAGGCTGGCTGTAGCCCTGACTAGTGCAGCGGACTCAGCAGTGGCAATGACAGCTCCGCACTCGAGTCCATCCCATACCCACAAGGCTCGCCTCCTGTTCCCACCCCGCATGGCAGGAAACGGAGGAAAATAATGGGGCCACTCAGTAGCCAGGGACCCAACAGGGCTCAGGGGTGAGACCACCCTCCGCTGACTGAACCTGCATCAGGGTGGCAGGGTGGGTGGGGGCCCCCTCCCCACTCTCCCACAGGGCCCCACCTGGACGGGGTCAGAGTACCAGCTGCAAACCCCGAGTGACCAACCGCAGGCCCCACAAGGGCTGCCATCCTGAGAGCAACACCAGCGCCTTCTCTCCCCATGCCTGGAACAAACAGGCCGAGCCCAAGAGGGAACAGTCTCCAAGACTCTGCCCCTGCTTCAGATGCCGGCTGGCCTCCCACAGAGGCTGTGACATGTCCCCGCCTGGAGCAGGGAGAAGTGAGGTTTGGCCAACCCTGCCAGGCGAGGACCAGGGCTGAGAAGTCACTATGGGAGAGGCCCCGGCTCAGTCAGGCCTGGCAGTGGCCTCTGGGAAGGATCCCACTGTTGCCTGCCGGACACTTCCCCAGGGTTTGGCAAGACTGGCTTGTGGTCTTTCAGATCTTTGCCCAGAGATGCCCAGCGGAGACCTGCCCACTCTATGCTCACGCATCCCACCTGCACCCGCCACCTGCATGCCGCATGGATTTTCTGCCTGACCCTGTACTCTGTCACCTGTGAGCCAGGCACCTGGGAAACGAGCAAGCTGGACACGAAGATGGGGTTTTGCCCCAGAGCATGGGACTCTTGTCCCCCTGGGAGAAGGGGGCTATTCCTTTGAAGCCTGGCATTCATTAGAGTTTAGACCTTTGGCTCTCTTTGGAGGGGAGCAAGGGATGTGACACACAGAACAGAGAATACAAGGTGGAAAAATACAGAAATGAACTGTGAAGACACTGTGGACTGAGAGTCAGGACAGGGCTACCGTAGGCAGGAGAATCCCAGGTTTTACCCAGAGGGGTGTGGGCAGCTGCCCTGTGCCCGGCAGGCACAGCTGTGGTGGCCACTTGGCAGGAGCAGGAGGAAAATTCCGAATCCTGCCGAGTGGAGCTGGCTGCTGCCGATGGGCGGCCTTGGGATTTAAACATCTCAGCGGGGAAACCTGATCCACACAGCACGGAACACAAATGCCCGTCTCGGGCTTGGTGCCCCAGCAGACTATCTGCTCTGATGAATTCACAGGGTTTTGTTTTTTTTTCTCTTTTAAAGAAGAAAGCCAGCGTGGGGGAGGGCAAGGGAGGGCTGCTGTGGCCCAGCCTGCAGGGATGCGCCACATTTGCCCGCAGAGGGGTCGGCCCCAGGGTCCTCAGGTCTCACTGGCAGTCATGCTGTGGTGCTTGGTAATTTCCAGGTTCACAGCAGAGTTCACGGGTCCTCCCTCGGCTGGGGAGCGGGTCTCTGGCTGGTGTCTGCCTGCCCGTCGGCATCGGTGGTGCTGTGGTGCTGCACGCTGTGCTACAGAGCCATCTCCGCGTCCCTCCCTGCAGTCCTCCTCAGCGGAATCTGTGAGCGCACAGACCACAGGGGCCTCGCCCAGTGCCAGGCACAGAGCGGAGAAATGGCAGGTGGGCACGGCTGGTCAACCGCAGCGAATACCTGTGACAAGGCCTCATCTTTTTTTTTCTTTTTAAAGAGGCAGGGGTCTCACTATGTTGCCCAGGCTGGTCTCAAACTCGGCCTCAAGCAATCCTACCTCAGCCTTCCAAGTGCCAAAACTACAGGCATGACACAGTGTGCCTGGCCAAGGCCATACATTTACAGGACTAGGGGACAACAGCCCCAGGACAAAGCATGGGTTGGGGAGCTGGGGACCATAGGAGGGGGTCCAGGCCCAGCCACCTGCAGGACCAGGGACAGGGCAGGCAGGACACACGGAACAAGGGCCACTATTCACAGTCCCATGTGCCAGCCCCCATGCTAGGCACTCTGTGCCCGGCCCCCAACGTCACAGAGGAGGAAGCTGAAGGGGACGTGGAGGAGGCGAGTGCTCAGCCCCTCCTCACAGTGGGCGCAGTTCTAACACTGCAGCTGTGTTCAAGGCCTGGTCAGCCATGGAAAGGGGCAAAGCCAGGGTAAGGCCTGCAGAAGCAGCAGAGTCCTTATCAGACCTCTGTGCAAAACAGCTGGAATACAGGGTCGGGGTGGAGGCCCCAGGGAGGGACGTAAGGATCCCTGTGGTGTAGAAAAAGCCCTGACGTGGGAAGAGGGCAGGGGCAAAGGATGTAGGGATGTATCATATCCGTGTGTCTCTGAACCCCTTTCCATCTGCAACGCCCTTCCCTGCTGGCCCAACACCTGGGAGCCACTGCCCAACACACATGGCCACCTCGAGTCCATCACAGCTTCTTTCCCATGAGTCAAAAAGTCGAAGACGCGCACAGCCTGGAGGCGGCCTGCTGCCCAGCGACACAGGAAGCCACTGGCCTTCGTGTCCCCTTTTCCATGTGGGCTCCCAGGCTCCTGGCTTGCTGATGTGTCTGTCTGTCCTTCCTGGAAACCTTCAGTGGCCCCAGTGGCATGGGGACTCTCCAGACCTGAGGCCCTTGCGTGCTGACTATGAAAGCTCGCCTATCTACAGGGGCGGCGCTGGCTGCAGGCAGCTCTGAGCTTTCCTGTGACAGTAAGTGCCTGGCATGGGTGGGGTTGTGGCCCCTGGGCTCCTGGTCTGGGAGCCTGCAGGGCATCCGCAGGTGAAAAGCAGGAGTAGTCATTCCTGCACATGCTCAGGGATGAGGCCAGGAGGGGGAGGGAGAGGAGCAGTGGGAGGGGGGGCCACAGGAGCACCACAGGTGCCAAGTGACCCTCACAGGTGCCAGGTGATCCTCATGGCCCGGCGGCGAGGAATCAGACGGCAGAAACCCACTCCCCAGCCCAAGGGAAGATGGAGGGAGCCTCTGCCTTGGGGCTGACTGGGTCATCACCCACTGTGTGTGATGCACGGAGGGAAGGGTCCCGACAGCCGGGGCTCCCCTCAGCATCTGGGAGTTCTGAGAGCCCTGGATTTGCCACTGTCCTTCGAGCCTCCAGCCTCTCAGTAGAGATCTCCCCTCCTGTCCATCAAGGCTGAATGGTTTTTAAAAAGCAGCCTTTGGGAACGGAGGCACTGAAAACAATGAATCAAGACAAAGTTTCTGAAATTATTTTCTCACGGAAACCCCAAACCAGACGCTGCCACCATGGCCAGATTGGGCACCCGGGGACAGCCACAGACCCACCTCTGTGGCGGGTCAGGCGCTCCTCTGGGAACCAAGCTCTGGCAGCAAAAGGACAGTGGCTCTGGAAGCCCCAGGCGTCCTCTCAGCCAAAGGGGCAGTCCCTTGGGCCTGGGCTGGCAACCGAGATACCGGCTCTGGACTGGAACCAGAATGGGCTCTGCCTCAGACCAGGCCACAGAGGGCCCCCTGAGAGCCCGGCTTCCCCACGGCCCCCAGGCTGTGGGGACAGGCCTGCCACAGACTTCCTGGCCAGAGGTGTGGCTGGGTGCCATGGTAGGGAAAGACAGCCAGACATTGGGGGCCATGGTGCGGCCCGGCCACCGCAGTCTAAATCGCCTTGGGGGTGCGTTTCTGCCAACTGTGGTGCTGGCCATTCATGCCGTCTCTCAGGCTGTCGGGCCCTGCCCTGCCTGACTCCTGGCTCTTGGAGCTGGAGAAAGGACTCTCAGATTGGCAGAGAGCGATAAATGCTTTGTTGTGTGCGCGGCAGCGAGCCGATGTCATTTGAAGTCACAGCACATGAAAATGAGGGGGAGAAAAAAACTTAGGCAAGAGAAATCCTCCAGATGGGCCCTGGAGGCCCCATCCAAGAGTCTGAGGCCAACACATCAGGGGAACTGGAAGCAGAGAGGGAATCAGCCACTGGAAAGAAGTCACGCAGACGAAGTGGTGACAGCCACGACAGGAAATTGCTCAGCGGTGGCCACAACAGAGTGGCAGCCAGGGGCCAGGGGCCAGCTCTGTGACCATCCCCGAGAGAGAAAGGGGACATTCAGGCCTGGTCTATGATGGTCTGGTGGCCGGAGGCTCCGTGAGGGCAGCCCCAGGGCCAGAAGGACCTCTCCTGTGCTGACAGCAAAGTCACCAGCGGGAGTCCAGCCCACACTGCCTTTCTGATGAGGCCTCCAGCTCTGGCTGCTGACTTTAAACCCTAAGGAACCCTGTGCAGGGCCTGCATCCCGGAAGGCCTCCACCAGCCCGAACCTGGCCCGTCCGCCCTAGATGGGGCAATCGGCGTTTCTCCCGGGACAGCCTCCTCCCTGGCCTCCTGGCCCTCGTCTGCATTGAGAGGCTTGGCCTCTGGTCCGCATGCTGCCCTTCCCGTGCTGTGGCCTTGCAGCCCGGCCTCTCCCCTGCTGTCCCCCTTGGCTCTGGCCTGGCCCCTGGGCCCCTGAGTCACCCCTGAGGTGACTCAGCAGTCCTTGGAAACGCATGCCGAGGACGCACCCTGCCTGGCCCAGCTCCACATGGGTGTGGGGGAGGCTGCGGGCTGCGCCTGGTGGCCGTATGGGGCCTAGGCTGGCCAGTGCTGCCCAATGGTGGGGGCTCCCTCACCGCCCGTCTGGCAGAAGCCATGGGCCACACGCTGTCCCAGCACATGGTGGCAGGGCGGTGACCTGGGCTCGGCTCTAATGACCGGCAGCCCTGGGGCTCCCATCACCACTACCAGTCTGCCCAGGAGGCAGCAGAGCACTGAGCCCGACCTGCTCCCCTCGGGCACCTACGAGACCCACCTGCCCCTCCATGCGTGGGGGAGAAGGGGTGCCCTCTGCTGTGGAAAGCTGGGACCTACTGTCTGTGGTGCGAGGCTGACCCCACAGAGCTCCAGGACAACCCCGAGAGGAGTGGACAGAGCCAGCCGGGCCCTCCAGCCCCCACCTGGCCCAGCTGCCGCCTCTGGGCAGATGTCTCCACTTGATAAACAGGACAGCTAAGGGCCTAGGAGAGACATGCCTGGCCCAAGGCCAGACAGCAGGAGTGGCTAGGAAGGTCAAGGGATCCCCACTGCAGGCCCCACCAACCCTGGCTCTGCCTGGAATGCAGTCAGGGCAGGTGGAAGGGGAGGGGCAACGCCCCAGGGCTGGGCGAGGAATCTGGGAGCAGGTGGGAAGCTCATGCTACCTTCCCAGGAGACGGGAGGACAGGCCTGCCAACCAGGGGGCTCAGCTATGTGGGACACACGCTCCCACCCTTGCCCTTGCACAGGGTTTCATCCAAACATGGAGATGCCAGTGAGTGCCTGGGGCTCCTCTCCCAGGAACAAACCACACCCAGAGCTCCAGCCCGAGCGAACACATCTACATGAAAATCAGCCTCATGCATCATGCATTGTAATTTCTCATCTTGGGGACCAGGCAGGAGGGCTGTGTGACATACAACTGGTAAAATCAGTTTCCGATGAAAACTTATAAAAGGAAAAAGCCAACCCACAAACAAATGAGGCGATAAATCCCCTGAGGCTCCGCCTGGCAGGGAAACACCAGCTCTGCAGCACTGAGCACAGGCTGGTGTTCCCACTGGGGGCAGCATGGAGGATCTGCGTCCAGGGGGCAGAGTGTGATGACATCACCCACATGCACAGGAACGATAAGGCTTTCTTAAAAAACGATCTTTTCTCAACAGCTCCTCAAAAGGAGCTGAGGCAATGCATAGCCCTGCAGGAAGAGACTGGAAATGGTCTTGGAGAGAGAACTGCGGGGCATGGTGACAGCGGTGAGAGGCTGCAGGTGCACAGATCTCAACGAGGGGCCGTGAGTTCCCTCACTCCCTGAGAGCTGAGGAGACTTGCCCGAAAGCCCAGAGCCCTTCCTGAGACACAGAAACCATCTTCACCATCTCTAAGATCCCTTCCATTTCTGAAGGACTTCCATTTCTTTGTGACTGTGGGCCACCATGGGCATGAGTCACCTGTCACCAGAGCCTGGTGTCCCTGTGCAGCTGTGCCAGGTGGGCAGAGGAGACAGGTGAAGGCACATTCCTCAGCGCCCGCTCACAGCTCTGCCCACCGTGCATTCTGTAGAGAACCTCAGCGCCCTCCTCCCTGCCGGCAGCCAGGCAGGGATTTAGGTGGTTTCTGTTTGGCCTCCAGTGCTTGCCTCTCCCGTGTCCTATCCGCCCAGACCTCAGACCTCAGAGAAGCCTCCTCCCACAGGAAGCTCTCCTGATTGATCCCCATCACTGGTCTCCTCACCTTCTCCCAACACACCACTGATGCCTCCTCTCTCGTGCGCCTGCCCCTTCACACTTCATCTTACACCCCCATCTGCCTGGGCGGCCCCCCCATCTCCCCTCAGAGCTTTTGCTCTCGCTGTTCCTTCTCCCTCACTGAGCCTCCCTGGATCTTCCCATGCTGGGTCTTAGCCACCAGGGCTCTGTCCATCCAAATGTCCCCATGGCTGCAAGGCTGCCCCACCCTCCTGCTATCCTCACGGGGCCTCGCATTCCTCTTGCTTGCTTGTTTTCGGGTCCCCTGCTGTCCCGTCTCAGACACAGGAAGCACTCTCCAATGCTTAGCGCCCTAGAATAAAGGACCCCGGGCAACCTCTTGGGGGTCCTCGCCACATCCCACCCCTTGACAGCAGCTAAGCTCCGGGGGCAGCAACTCCCCGCAGTGACCCGGAAGGCAGCCAGATGATACTCCTCCCATCACCTTCCCTTTTGTGGCTCGTGGACGGTTCACCTGGGCTGACACTGATGGAGGCCGCCAGGCCCATTCCCAGCCTGGAGCTGGCTCCCTCCCCAGAGAGCTGCAAGGTTGGGAAAATTTGCAAAGAACAAAACGTGAGCTAGGCAGGCCTAGCCTGACTCACATCCTGGGGACCCAGCTACCACATTTGGGCAGTTTCTTATCCAGGAGGATGCCCGGGAACAGTGACAGGTCTGAGGTCTGGGCGGATAGGACACGGGAGAGGCAAGCACTGGAGGCCAAACAGAAACCGCCTAAATCCCTGCCTGGCTGCCAGCAGGGAGGAGGGCACTGAGGTTCTCTACAGAATGCGTGGTGGGCAGAGCTGTGAGCGGGCACTGAGGAATGTGCCTTCACCTGTCTCCTCTGCCTATCTGGCACACTTACACAGGGACACCAGGCTCTGGTGACAGGTGACTCATGCCCATGGTGGCCCACAGTCACGAAGACAGGTTTTCTGAGGTGTGGCTACCAAAAGCACCCAGGCCAGAAGTCATCCCGGGTGGCACGGGGCAGGGCAGGGGGTGGTGAGAGGCGGTCAGCAGCTCTGCACAGCCAGCCGCGCCTGTGCACTGGGGCCCTCTGCGAGCATTAGGTGCCAGCAGCTGTCACCTTGCAGTGGCCACTCCTGCCCCCTCGCCAGGTCACGTGCACTGGCTCTGGCGCATGGGTGCCCCTGGCCGCTCAGAGGCACTGCCTGCTCCTTACACAGTGATGTCGGTGGTGGAAACCCGGGCTGGGAATCTCAGAATTGCTGACCACGGCCTCAGCACAGAGGAAGCAGGCAAATGGCCCGAGTCCCCCCACCATCTCCCCTGCAGCGAGAAGACTGCAGCCTCTCCTGTCTGAAGACTCGCGTTTGGGTCCCGGGCCTGGGAGATTCTGGCGGGTGCAGCCTGCTTCCCAGGGCCCCTTCTGCCCCGCTGTGGCTCATCGTCCTTGGAGGGACACCACTCGGGACAGGCTCTCGTCGCCAACCCACCCCAAGTTCTCTGTCCTCAAACACAAGCTTCCTGCCAGCAGGGCCAGGCACAGGGACAGGGGTGGCAGAGGCAGCACAGGGCCTGGCACCCAGGTGGCGTCAGTCACTGAGTATATGGTGAGATAATAAATACTAGTTGTTGAGATAACAAATAAATAAGAAGCAGCCCTGCCCTCGGGAGCTCAGGTGTGCCAGTAACACATCAGAGCAAAGGTGTGCCGTAACGCCACGAGGCAAGCAGGCTGACGTGGGATTAGGGTGCCTGGATGGGCGACACCGGGACTGGATGTGGTTCCAGCTCTGCCGTTCGGGGCTGTGACTCTGAGCAGGAACACAAACCCCTCTGAGCCTCGGTTTTCTCAACCATCTCAGGCGTGGATGTGCTTTAGAAACTACACACCACCAGGCCAGGTGCGGTGGCTCACACCTGTAATCCCAGCACTTTGGGAAACCGAGACGGGCAGATCACCTGAGGTCAGGAGTTTGAGACCAGCCTGACCAACAGGGAGAAACCCCATCTCTACTAAAAATACAAAAATTAGCTGGGCATGGTGGTGCATGCCTGTAATCCCAGCTACTTGGGAGGCTGAGGCAGCAGAATCGCTTGAACCCGGGAGGCGGAGGTTGTGGTGAGCTGAGATCGCGCCATTGTACTCCAGCCTGGGCAACAAGAGTAAAACTCTCTCAAAAAATAAAAATAAAAAAAACAGAAACCATACACCACCCTACGATCCTAGGCTACTGTGCACTGAGCAACTGAGTCCCGAGGAATGATGGGTGTGGGGCCGGCCAGGGGTTTCACCTCCGCCCCACGACACTGCCTCTGAGCCCAGTTTTTCTGGAGCAAGAGGCTTCATGCAGGCCCTTAAGAAGAAGAAGAAAAGGAACACACCTTACCTGAGTCACACCCATCTCCAAGGGACCCTGGTGAGGCACTCACAGGACCACGCACACCAGGAAAAACTGGCTACAGCTGGCTGATCGTGCACGAAATCTCATGTTGCGCCCAGAGCGCCTCCAGATCAGCCACAGAGTCAAGTCCCGGTTCCAAAATGCTCACAGCACGGGACATATTTGTCAATGGCCGTGACACAAATTCTGAGGTTCTACTGGCGGACGAGGGCGGGAGGAAAGAAGCAAAGGACTGCCAGGCTTGGTGGCTCATGCCTGTAATCCCAGCACTTTAGGAGGTCAAGGAAGCAGATCACCTGAGATTGGGAGTTCAAGACCAGCCTGGCCAACATGGTGAAACCCCAGGCATGGTGGCTCATGCCTGTAATCCCAGCTACTTGGGAGGCTGAGGCAGGAGAATTTCTTGAACCCAGCAGGTGGGGGTTGCTGTGAGCCAAGATCACACCACTGCACTCCTGCCTGGGTGACAGCGCAAGATGCTGTCTCAAAAAAAAAAAAAAAATAAAGCAGCAAAGGACCAAGAGAGAAAATGACTCAACTTAAAAAGAAGGTTGGTAGAAAATTCCCCACATCCCTGACACACACCTGCTGCTGTCTCACACCCCAGGCAGCTGCCACAGCCGCTGCGCCCTCTCTCCTGTTTCCCAATCAACCTGCATTCCTGTCTTCCTACCAGCTGGGAACTTGGCACAGCTGCCCATCCTGAACGCAACTCCTTCCCTGGGGATGTCCCGCCCTCCCTGCACCTCTGCACACCCACGCTCTTCCTGCCTTCGAGAACGTGCCTCTGTGCATGGGCGAGCCTGTGGCCGTGACTGTGACCCCTCACTGCCAGGATGGCTGCTGCTGCGACGTCAACACAAAGCACGCCGCTCTGCCTTGTGCTTACTTGTATTTTGGGGGGAAAGCAGCCCTGCCCCCCAAGGCTTGCTTCTCTGTTGTCATCGCCCCAAAGGACAAGGGACTGGTGCTGCCACTTCCTGAGCTACGAGCAGTAAGAATATTCAAATCTCTCCCACCCTGCCATCATGGTCTGGTAGCCAGGCTCCTCCCAGGGTGGCTTCCACTTCCCTGGAAGGACTGGCCCCACGGATGCTGCATGGGCTCAGGTTGGAGGGGAAGGACACGGCAGGGCAGACCCATGCTGCTGGGGCCCCAGTGCTGGGGGCCTCCCTCCAACACCTGCCTAAGGGATGCCCAGGGCAGGGCTCTCTCCCTGCACCGGAAACTCTCCCTCCTTTCCTTGCTTCTTCCTACATCCAAATTCTGCCCATTCTTCAAAGCCACGGTCTGGAGCCATCACTGAGGTCCAAGTCAGGCTGAATGAGTATTTACCTGTGCCAGGTACAGTGGAAAAGGAAAGACACGTAACCCAGGCTCGCACACACACAAGAACCTAAGGCCCTATGACAGACAGGACGCCAGCGGGGAGGGGCCGCTTCCTCCTTGCGGGGAGGGAGCCAGGGTGAGGCAGGAAGGAGGTGGCCGTGGCCGTGGGCTTTTAAGGATGGGTGGGATCTGGGAGCACGCAGGAGAGAGGGCATGACATGAGCCTGCAGCAGTGAGGCTGGCTTGGAAACATGCCCAGGACAAGGTTTGGAAGTGCCCGTTTGGAAGATGTGGGAGGGCGTCACGGGTGGGTATCTGGCTCCAGCTCTTGGACTGGAAAAAACGTGCGTCAAACTCATGAATTGTCAACTGTCTTCAGGACAGTCGGCGGTTTTGAACATGATCTGCTCTGGTGTTTCTGGGGTGTGTGGTCCCCTCAGGCTTAGACGGGCAATAGCATGTTCTGTGTAAACCTGAATGAGGGGACGGTTTTCAAAATCCAAGTTAAGTAACGGGGACTGAATTTTCTATCAGTCCACTAGCTTTTAAGTCACCAAGGTGGGATTCCAGAGGCCAGGGAACAACTTCTGCGAAGTTGAAGATTAGTTCCACAGAGTGTCACAGCCAAGGAAGGCTGGATGGAACCCCAGCTCTTAGCAGGGCACCTCAAGCCAACATGGCAAAGTGAACCGGTCCTATTTCCTTGTTGATTTCAGGGATGAGAGCTAACAGAGGAAAAAACAACTCTGTTTCCCCACCGGCCTCCTCTCCCTCTCTCTGTTCCCCCAGCCTCTCTGTCCCCCTGCCTCTCTCTGTCCCCTCTCTCTGTCCCCTTTGCCTCTGTCCCCCTGCCTCTCTCTATCCCCCTGCCTCTCTGTTCCCCTGCCTCTGTCTCCCCTGACTCTCTCTGTCCCCCTGCCTCTCTCTCCCATCTCTCTCTGTCCCCTCTGCCTCTGTCTCCCATCTCTCTCTGTCCCCTCTGCCTCTCTCTGTCCCCCTACCTCTGTCTCCCGTCTCCCTCTGTCCCCTCTGCCTCTCTCTGTCCCCCTATGTCTCCCGTCTCTCTGTCCCCTCTGCCTCTCTCTGTCCCCTCTGCCTGTCTCCCATCTGTCCCCTCTGCCTCTCTCTGTCCCCCTACCTCTGTCTCCCCTCTCTCTGTCCCCTCTGCCTCTCTGTCCCCCTACCTCTGTCTCCCATCTCTCTGTCCCCTCTGCCTCTCTCCGTTCTCCTGCCTCTGTCTCCCCCGCCTCTCTGTCCCCCTGCTTCTCTGTCTCCCGTCTCTGTCCCCCTGCCTCTCTCTGTTCCCCCTGCCTCTCTCTGTCTACCCTGCCTCCGTCTCCCCTGCCTCTGTCTCCCCTGTCCCTCTCCACCCCCTCTGCCTCTCTTCATTTCCCCCGCCTCTCTGTCACCCCCCACACGCCTTTTTTTTTTTTTTTTTTTTTTGAGACAGAGTCTCGCTCTGTTGCCTAGCTGGAGTGCAGTGGCGCGATCTTGGCTCACTGCAAGCTCCACCTCCCGGGTTCACAACATTCTCCTGCCTCAGCCTCCCGAGTAGCTGGGACTACAGGCACCCGCCGCCACGCCCCGCTAATTTTTTGTATTTTTTAGTAGAGACGGGGTTTCACCATGTTAGCCAGGATGGTCTCGATGACCACAACAAATCGCCACAAACCTAGTGACTTACAGCCACACACGACGTCTTCAACGACATATTAAAGCAACACAAAGTCTTCACTAGGTCAGACCCTGACAGGGATCACCCCGGGCTAAGATTGAGATACTATGAGCTGCACTCTATTCTGGGGGTTCTGGGGCTTTCCTGCCTTTTCCAGAATCCAGAGGCCACCCACATCCATTGGCTCACGGCCCCCTCCTCCCTCCATTGTCAGAGCTAGCAGGCGCTGGCCCCTCAACAGCTATCTCTTGTTCTCTCTTCCGTTGTCTCAGCTCCCTGTGACCACAGCAGGGGAAGGTGCTCCGCTTTCTTTTTTTTTTTTTTTTTTTTTTGAGACGGAGTCTCGCTCTGTCACCCAGGCTGGAGTGCAGTGGCGCGATCTCGGCTCACTGCAAGCTCCGCCTCCCGGGTTCACGCCATTCTCCTGCCTCAGCCTCCCGAGTAGCTGGGACTACAGGCGCCCACTACCACGCCCGGCTAATTTTTTGTATTTTTAGTAGAGACGGGGTTTCACCGTGTTAGCCAGGATGGTCTCGATCTCCTGACCTCGTGATCCGCCTGCCTCGGCCTCCCAAAGTGCTGGGATTACAGGCGTGAGCCACCGCGCCCGGCCCAGGTGCTCCGCTTTCTGAGGGCCTTCTGATGGGACTGGGCCCTTGTGGATAAGCCAGGATAATCTCCCACCCCCAGGTCCGTACCCTTTGTCCCATCTGCAAAGTCCCATTTTCCATGTAAGGGAACAGTCACAGTTCCAGGGGTGGAGGTGAGGGGCAGCCGTGGCGGGTGCTGTCCTGCTTGCCACAGGAGCTCATCACTTCTCGTTATTCGTGGCAGCTCTGTTCTAGAAAGCTACCTCAAGCACAGAGTTGGCCAGTACTGAGCCACTGTTCAGAGGGGAAACACACAGCTAGGTTTCTGTGAGCCTCTGCTCACAACATGTTCATCAAATGGTCACTATGTAACCCAGTTTTGTGTATTTCATTTTTTCTTTTTGAGACAGAGTCTCACTCTGTCGCCCAGGCTGGAGTACAGTGGCACAATCTTGGCTCACTGCAACCTCTGCCTCCCGGGTTCAAGTGAGTCTCCAGCCTCAGGCTTCTGAGTAATTGTGATTACAAGTACACACCACCACGCCTGGCTAATTTTGTATTTTTAATAGAGGCAGGGTTTCACCATGTTGGCCAGGCTGGTCTCGAACTCCTGACCTCAAGTGATCCACCTGCCTCAGCCTCCCAAAATGCTGGGATTACAGGCATGAGCCACCACGCCTGGACATTTTTTTTTTTTTTGAGACCAGGTCTTGCTCTGTCACCCAGGCTAGAGTGCAGTGGCGTGATCATGGCTCACTGCAGCCTTGACTTCCCAAGCTCAATCAATCCTCTGGCCTCAGTCTCCCGAGTAGCTGGGACTACAGGCGTGCATCACCACACAGAGTTATTTTTTTTTTTATTTTTTATTTTTTGGTATTTTTGTAGAGACGGGGTTTCACTTTGTTGCCCATGCTGGTCTCAAACTCCCAGGCTCAAGCCATCCTCCTGCCTCAGCCTTCCAAAGTGCTGGGTGACAGGCATGAGCCGCTGCACCTGTCCTTTATGCGTATTTCCTTAGTTCATATTTACTGTGATTCACCCACACTGAACTCATGGACACGGAGCTATCACTCCTGCCTGAGAGAACTGCTCTCACACATGGTTTCTCTGTGAGGCTCATCCCAGCCTCCTGGCACTGAGGAACACGAGACGGCACTGCTGCATGATGCTGGGACCATTCTCAACAGCGAAATCACCAACAAAATCCCAAAAATGTGAGAAACATGGCGCTAAAAGCCTGCAAATCCATGCCGGAACACAGCGTGAGAGCCGGGAAAAGGCAGCGTGATCCACGCCGGAACACAATGCGAGAGCCGGGAGAAGGCAGAGTGATCCACGCCAGAACACAGCGTTGAGAGCTAGGAGAAGGCAGTGTGGCTTTGTTTGACCTCGGCTAGGAACATATGCGATGGGTGACAGATTTTTTGCTGCTCTGCACTTGTCTGCAAAAGACTGCAAAAGGAATGATTTGGGGCTACAAATCAATCTTATCAAGTAGGTGAATTTGCACAGGGAGCACGTGAGTCCTGGCCCAAGCTGCCCTCTGCGACAAGGCTGGGTGCTAGGTGCTTTCTGTGAGCGCGGCCTCACTGTACACAACAAAACTGAAAACGCAGGCTCCAGAGGAATTTACAGGCTGGAGGGGATGTTACATCCGTGAGGAGGATGCCCAGCAGAAGCAGAGTCCTCAGAGCTGATGGCGCAGGAGCCCCCCAGTTCATCCCGCTCCGGACCACACAGAGCTAACCCTGAGCTGGGAGCCTCCTCCCCGCCCACTTGGCTTCCTGGCCAAGGCCCCCAGGCACATACAGCACGGTGGAGGAGGGTTGAAATAACACACTTTACGAGTGCGCAACACACGATATTGCTAGCCACCGGTCCAGGACTTTCGGTCATGCAAATTGAACAGGTTGTTTTTTTCCAGGCTAGGACTGCTGAAAACCTATGTGGCTATTTTTCTTTTTTTGAAGGCAGGGTCTCGCTATATTGCCTAGGCTGGAGTGCAGTGGCTATTCATGGGCATAGTCATCAAGCACTACAGCAGATGATCATATTAAGCAAGGTACCGCACTGGAGAAGCTCTCAGATACATGCCACAGGGGACCGCTCACTGCCAGGCTGTGTGAAAATGCAGAAACTTGGAGACTCTAAATGTCCACTGGCTGGAGAACGGATAGACACACTGTGGAATAACCACGAGGGAAAGCCACGCAGCTGCGGATGCGAGTGGAGCCTCGTGTGTCAGTGTGAACGGTACTCACAAGCAGTGCTCAGCCTAAAAGTAGGGTGAGCAGGTGCGGTGGCTTACGCCTGTAATCCCAGCACTCTGGGAGGCCAAAGCAGGCAGATTGCTGGAGCTCAGGAGTTCGAGACTAGCCTGGCCAACATGGTGAAACCTTGTCCCTACTAAAAATATGAAAATTATCCGGGTGTGGTGGTTGGTGTCTGTAATCCCAGCTACTCGGGAGGCTGAGGCAGGAGAATTGCTTGAGCCTGGGAGCGGGAGGTTGCAGTGAGCTGAGATTGCGCCATTGCACTCCAGCCTGGGTGACGAGAGACTCCATCTCAAAAAAAAAAAAAAAAACTAGGGTACGAGAAACCAAGCAAGAAAGCACGTGATCCTGTTGACAGGCAGTGTGGACCGCCACACAACCCTGCGTGTTTTGGCGCAGTGAACGTGCGCAGTGAAGGCACGCCGGCCCTGCTCTGGCTTCCTTGGGATGGGGTGGGGGCACCTGCTCATCTGCTGGTCATTCTTAGCTGCCTTTCTGGATCTGAAACCCTTTATGATACAACCTTCATGAGGTGCCTGAACAAGGGAGGTGCCCTGTGCCACATACTGGTGCCGACCAGCGTGTGGCCCAGGGAATGTGTTCTGAATGCAGTAAGAGGCAACCTCTCCTGGAAGGAGGGCGACCCCCTACCGGCTCCTCTGACAGCCGAGTGGACTCCTGGGCTCCAGAAACGTGATTGCAGCAGGCAGACCAAAGGTCTTTCTCCTGCCCTCCCTCCCAGCAGCACTCTTTCCTTCCGGGCCCCAAAGACCCTCCCTGGCTGTGCAGCTGCCCACTATGGAACCCTCAGCCAGTCTAGAGGTGGCACAGGGACCCCACTCAACAGAGGGGCCCACTGGTGCCTTCTTCTGACAGGCACAGAGTGCTCTGGGGCTAGCCGGGGAGGCTGCTGTGGGAAGGCTGGGAGTGGGAGAACACTGGAAAAATACACAGGATTCTGCAAGTATGAAATAAAAATGTAAAAGCTAGGGCACAGCGCAGCATTCCAGCGGCCTCCGAGCCAGCCTCTGCAGTGGGCAGCACATACCTCCCAGACACCCACACTACGCTCAGCCAGGGGTCCGACAGCTCCAAGGCTCCTCGTGGGTGGAACGCTGACTTGACCAGAGTCAGCAAGAAGCAAGATACTCTGCAGTTCTGGGGGTTGTCCTTCCTTCCTAAAATAATAGCAGGGATTCTCAACCTTAGAGAAAACCATCAGAGGCCTCAGGAGAGGATGAAGATGATCTTATGCCAGGGTGGGTGAAGGTTGGGAGATGGGGAAATTCCAACCAGGTCCCTGGGCTGCCCTCTTCTGAGCCACAAAGGCTGGCCTTGAAGGGCCAGGGCTGCCCATCTGTTTCAAACAATCGGGACTCTGATGAGTGAGGCTGTTAGGCTGATGGATGCCTGCCTGAGTCAGCTGTGGGGCCTCATCCCACAGAGGCGGGTGGCAAGGGATTGCGGCGAGGGCGGGCAGAAAGTTCCCAGAGCTTCCTTCCGCAGGGGGCTTCCTGAGAATAAGGGTCTCTGCTTAGTGCTGGGGCAAAGTCCCGAAATGACAGCAGAAAAATAATCAGTCAGCAGTTCTGCTTCCAGCACGCAGGGCTGGATGGGGGTGTCCTGGAGGAAGATATTTGCATTACTGCTTGGGTGATGTTTGGGAACTCTTTTTTTTTTTTATTTCTTTTTCACTTTTTTTTTTTTTTTTTTGGAGAACAGGGTCTTGCTATACTGCCCAGGCAGATCTCAAACTCCCGGGCTCAAGCGCTCCTCCTGCCTCTGCCTCCCTCAGAGCTGGGATTACAGGCACGAGCCACCGTGCCCAACAATGTTTGGGAACTCCTTAAGAATGCTGACTGCTGGGTCTCCAGCTTCCATGCCTTTCCCCAGGCACTCAGGACCTGGCTGTTACCAACCCATCAGCCCTCTTTCCTGAGCCCAAATCCCAGTGTGCAGGATCCCCCGATCCTAAGAGGCGAGACTGCAGAGGGCATGGCGGTGGGCCCCAAGGGAAAAGGCAACGTGCCTTCCGTGAGGCATTTCCCACAGCGTGGCAGCTAACACAAGCATAAGGCACGTGAATCACGTGGTCAGAACACAACTCCGCTGCAATTCCCCTTCTGTATTTCTTTTTCTTTTTCTTTTGAGATGGAGTCTTGCTCTGTCGCCCAGGCTGGAGTGCAGTGGTGCAATCTTGGCTCACTGCAAGCTCTGCCTCCCGGGTTCACGCCATACTCCTGGCTCAGCCTCCCGAGTAGCTGGGACTACAGGTGCCCGCCACCACATCCAGTTAATTCTTTGTATTTTTAGCAGAGACACGGTTTCACCGTGTTAGCCAGGATGGTCTCGATCTCCTGACCTCGTGATCTGCCCGCCTCGCCCTCCCAAAGTGCTGGGATTACAGGCATGAGCCACCGCGCCTGGCCCCTCTTCTGTATTTCTTATTCTGGCAAGAAGGAACTTCCAGGTGGGCACTACTATAGTACAGGCTTTGTTTTTGTTTTTTTTAGGCAGGGTCTTGCTCTGTTGCCCAGGCTGGAGGGCAGCGGCATGATGATAGCTCACCGCAGCCTCAAACTCCTGGACTTAAGTGATCCTCCCACCTCAGCCTACCAAGTAGCTGGGCTACAGGTGTGCACCGCTATGACTGGCTAATTTAATTTTTTGTACAGACGGGGTTTCATTGTGTTGCCCAAATGGGCTTGAACAACTGGGCTAAAGCAATCCTGCCTCAGCCTCCCTAAGTGCTGGGATTACAGGCAAGAATCACCACGTCCAGCCCGAACAGCTCTTTCACAAGAGAGCACACCTCAGGCTCAGGGGTGGGGTATCCAGCAAAATTTCACTCTATTGTTTTGCTGCTGTTGTATTTGTTATTCCACTTACTGTGCGGGGTTTTTTGTGTTGTTTTGTTTTTGAGGCAGAGTGCAGTGGTGCTATCTTGGCTCAAGGCAACCTTCACCTCGCAGGTTCCAGCGATTCGCCTGCCTCAGCCTCCCGAGTAGCGGGGATTACAGATATGCATTACTACGCCCGACGAATTTTGTTTGTTTTTGTTTTTGTTTTTTTGAGACAGAGTCTCGCTCTGTCGCCAGGCTGGAGTGCACTGGCGCGATCTCAGCTCACTGCAACCTCTGCCTCCTGAGTTCAAGCGATTCTCCCGCCTCAGCCTCCTGAGTAGCTGGGATTACAGCCATGCGCCACCCACGCCCAGCTAATTTTTGTATTTTTAGTAGAGATGGGGTTTCACCATGTTGGCCAGTCTAGTCTCAAACTCCTGACCTTGTGATCCACCTGCCTCGGCCTCCCAAAGTGCTGGGATTACAGGTGTGAGCCATCGTGTCCGGCCTATTCCAGTTACTGTTATTGAGCAAGGAAAAATACCACGATCCCCTTTAAAATACATTTTAAAAGTGATAAAATAAAAGTAATTTAAGAGGAAAGAGGCCGAATCAGCTAATGGGTTCAAGCTGAAGGACAGGCGATGAACCCTGGCTGTCATTTCAGGGCATCACCGCTGGCCAGCTGCCTGCTGTGGTCTGCGAGTCGTGGGAGTGTCACATTTGAACGCTGGGACAGGGGACGCAGGCTTAGAAGACAGGTACAGAGAGGGGCAGCGGAAGCACAGGAGACAGCAGGCTCAGAGACAGAAGGGGCCATCCACAGGGAGAAGTGGGAGGAGCCGCAGGGCCTATTGTGGCAATCAGAGAGAAGTCACTGCAGCAACTGGGCACAGAGGCCAGGGAGAGAGCTGCAGGATGGGTGGCCAGGCCCAGCCATGGCAAAAGTCCTAAGAATCTTGGCAAACAGGGCTGGGGAGCCAGTTTCTGGAGGCTGGGAGTGGTTTAGTTTGGGGAAGCATTCAAGCCAGGGAACCACCAACTCTGAGCAGACCGGCCCAGCCGGGCAGCAGCAGGTGCATTTCAGCCTGGCCTCGATCAAGGGGGGAAGCAGGCGTCTGGGCTTGGCTTCTTAGGGACCCTGCTCAGGCAGGCTCTGGGTCAGAGACTGCCTGTGACACAGTCAGGCCCTCGGACCTGGCCAAGTTCAGGTGACTGTCAGCTGCAGCCCTGGAGCTGGACACACACCCTAAACCACAGGAGACACTCTCTGAGCTGTTGATTTTTTCAGAGCAGTCGGACCTGTTCCCAACCGAGTTCTCCGAGGCCTTGTCAGCCACCTGCCTCCCTGGTGCTGTGACACGGCCTGGTCAGATGCCTGGCCAGCGGACCAGGGGCTGCTGTTGAGCCACCACCAGGGACACCACAGGGGCCCTGTGGAGGACAGCCCCTCACTCTGAGAAGGAGCCCTCTAGCTCAGCCTCTGTAGGGGGCGTCTCTGGCAACCTCATCAGCAGGCCAGTGCCCAGCAGAACATGGCCCATCACACATGCCCGAGCACAGCCCAGCCTCAGGAGCTGCCGTCCGATGGGAGGAGAGCACCTCACACGAACACCAGCGTGTGGCATCTGGGTGGGGGACCCCGAGGCCAGAAGCTCCAAGGGCTGAGAACTCAGTTCCCACATGCATCCCCGGAAGATGCCAAGGATAAGGGGAGATAGAAACGCGTTCGTTATAGGGCAGACAGGAAGTGGAGAGAAAATGAGGTTGGGAGGTAGGAGAGGCCGGTGACATGGACAGGAGGCAGGAGAGTACAGGGCCCCACACAGGGTGGGCGGGAGGGACTGACTGTGTGAGTTCCCATGCAGGGGAAGAGTAGCATTTAAACCTGGGACCAAGGCAGGGGCTCCAGAAGCTCCCGAAATTCGGCTGAGAGCTTGAACTGTACCCTGGGCCAGGTGGAGACCTGCTTCTCTTCCTCTAGGGCGTGCTCACACAAACTCGACACGAGGCCATCCGCTGTAGGGTGGGGGCCACGGTGGCCCATCCGTCCTTCCATGTGATATTTACCGGCTCCCTGGGGCAGGCCAGCCAGTAAACCAAACACTGGGGATGCAGCAATGAGCACAAATGCCTGGCTCCGGCGGCAATGGGCTCATATTCCAGTGGCAACGGCAATGGAATAATCACTCCCATTGGCATGAAACCATGTGGGGAGCTGTCCACTTGGGGGCCAGGGCAGAGGAGACGCATGTTCCCGGCCCAGGGAGGGGAGTGGGCCCACTCACCCCATGCCCTCGCAGGCCTGATGCCATCTGGATTCTGAGTATCTGCCATGACCACCGCCCCTACAGACTGTGTCACACGCGGCATGACCCCTGCTGGGTGCTTCGTCCCCTTACCCAGGTGTGGAACTGCGGCCCGCTAGGCGGGAGCCCCCTCCCAGGCGGTCAGTGGGCCGCTGCTGAGTCAGGTCCAATGGAGGAAACTGTCCGTCTATCTTCCTGCTGTGGTGAGGAGGTCTCCCCGTGACCCTGCTCTCAGGGCCTGGTCAGCAGGTTTTTCTAGGAGTGGAGAGGAAAAGGAAGACAGGGCCGTCCTCCCAGAGCCTGAGTTCAGGGAGCCCTGGGTACTGCTTAACAGGAAATGAGCAGAAACGCACCAAGCTGCAGTGCTCAGGAAAAGTGCTTGCCAAATCCAGCCCTGCAAAAGGCGAGAGATAGAGAAAGAGAGAGACAGGCAGGCAGACAGACAGGAAGAAGGTGTGGAGAGGACAGACAGAGAGAGAGGAAGAAGAGGTGAGAGGGCAAAAGAAGGGAGAGACAGAGAGAAAGACAAGGGAAGAGTGAGAACAGAAAGAGAGGAAGAAGAGGGGGGAGAGATAGGGAGAGGAGGGGAGAGAAGGGAGAGAGGGAAACCCGCTGCAGCCCTGGCCACCACATTCTTTCATCCGCTTTCCAGGGACAGCTTCGAAAAAGAACCAGAAGAGACCGCCCCCTGACACTTCAGCTCACACATTAAAAAGCCATTAGAGTTGGAGAGCTCAGGTCCTGCTGAGATGCCTCCAGAGCCTGTTGAGCTCCTGACACCTACCCCACCCCCACCCCGGGGCAATGCTTCCCCTTCCAACCCTCCCGGCACTTAAAGACCTCAGGGGCTTGGAAAAGAGAAACATGGAGGCCGCTCTGAGCTTCTCCTCTAAGCTCTGCCCCGGGCAGCGCCGAAACCTGCGGCTGCCTCCGAAATCCTACTGGGGACGTTGGCAGCATGCTCCAAATTAAACACGACGTTTCCCCAGATCAGATCAGTTGCAAAACACTGGAAACAATCACGGAGGAGGAAAAGGGCTAAGGCAGCAGTGAAGGCTTGGCTGTACCCTAGGCCCCTGGATTAAAGTCCACTGGACACAGAGACACAGGCAGGTCTGAGCGGGACGGGCCTCAACCTGCAGGTTTCTCCTTTGAGGAAAAAATGCAACAGACACACACACAGACATCTGAGGGGCCCAGCTGCCAGCTCAGACCTCAGGTGCACTGCGCACGTGACAGCGGCCACCCCTGGGTGGCCAGGGGTGGGGTGAGCAGTGTCATGTTCTCTGTGTGCTTGATAGGTCTGGGGTGTCAAAATGTGACAGCCCCCAATTTCTTCAACTGAGCGGCATAAGGTGAGACACCTCATCTCGCACTCACAGGCTGTTATTAGGGGCACCTGGAATATAATTAAGTACTGCAGAGCTGGGCTTTAACACACACCCAGATAAGCAGGGCGATCAGCACCCACGGAGCCCCAACTGGTCTTTGGTGAACACGGGATTCTGAGTCAGAGACAAACTTTTAGCCGAACTTTCAGCCCTTGACTTGTTCTGGGACCTACTGTACAGCAGTCACGGGTGGCAGAAATCGGAGTCTGATGACCCCTTGGTCCTGGTTTGTTAAGAATGGGAAAACGTAGGATGCTGCTTGGTTACAAAGTGCCCAGTGACCACCAACAGCCAACCCTGTGAAGGGGGCCAGGTGAGCCAGGTTTCACAGACAGGCCCGGGGAGCCGTGGGGTGTAAGGAGCCTCTAGCTTCCTTTGGGGAAAGGCAGTCTCAAACTTCTGTGTCTGCACAGCCCAGCTGGCACACAGTTCAGGCCTCCACACAGCTGCTGGTTCCACCCGTCTGCAAGCCAGAAACAGAGTGAGCCCTGCCTGTCCTGGGGTGGCCCAGGGTCCACGCCGCCGGCTCCAATGCCGGCTCCAATGCCTCAAGGCACACACCAGTACATGCCGCACGTTCCTGGATTCAGTCACCAGAGCTTCCTGCAAGAACGGACTTAACTCCATTCCCATCATACGTGGACATCACAAAGCAAAGTCCCTTCCTACATCTGTTGCCAACACCTCCCCGAGGGAGAGGGGGCTTCCGGAGGTCAGCCTGCAGCTGCTGGACTCACCGGCCTTGTCCCGGGCACAGCCTCTGAATCACCAACGCCGGCCCTTACCAGCCCACACAAAAGTGCCTCTCAACTACCTGTCACTCCCAGCACAAGGGTATACACTTTTATCTGTGCCAAGGTGAAGGGGTTATGAACCCCATATTTTTGTATCTTAAGATTATTCCCACTGGCTCACGCCTGTAATCCCAGCACTTTGGGAGGCAAGGCAGGGAGATCACTAGGTCAGGAGTTCAACAACAGCCTGGCCAACATGATGAAACCCTGTGTCCACTAAAAATACAAAAATTGGCCAGCTGTGGTGGCGCACGCCTGTATTCCCAGCTACTCAGGAGGCTGAGGCAGGAGAATTACTTGGACCCAGGAAGCGGAGGTTGCAGTGACCTGAGATCGGCCCGCTGCACTCCAGCCTGGGACAGAGCAAGACTCCGTCACACACACACACACACACACACACACACACACACACACACACACACACACAAAAGATCATTCCATGTTTATGGCTTAACAAGTCAAGCACTTTGGTAGGAAAACCAAGAGTGGCCCCACAAAGTGAGGTTTTAAAAAAGAGGTCAGGGCCGGGCACGTGGCTCAGGCCTGTAATCCCAGCACAATGGGAGGCCAAGGCGGGCGGATCACCTGAGGAGTTCAAAACCAGCCTGGCCAACAAGGCGAAACCCCGTTTCTACTAAAAATACAAAAATTAGCTGGGCATGGTGGCAGGCACCTGTAATCCCAGCTACTCAGGAGGCTGGGGCAGGAGAATCGCTTGAACTGGGCAGCAGAGGTTGCAGTGAGACAAGATCGTGCCACTGCACACCACCTTGGGAGTGGGGACAGAACAAGACTGCATCTCAAATACGTAAAATTTTAAAAAATCATAACAACCCGGGCGTGGTAGCTCACACCTGCAATCCCAGCCCTTTGAGAGGCTGAGGCAGGAGGATCACCACCTGAGGTCAGGAGTTCGAGACCAGCCTGGTCAACACAGCAAAACCTCATCTCTACTAAAGATACAAAAATCAGCTGGGCGTGGTGGCACATGCCTGTAATCCCAGCTACTTGGGAGGCTGAGGCAGGAGAATTGCTTGAACCCAGGAGGCGGAGGTTGCAGTGAGGTGAGATTGCGCCACTGCATTCCAGCCTGGGCAATGGTGTGAGACTCCGTCTCAAAAACAAAAAAAACAAAAATAACAAAACAAACAAACAAAAAAAAACACCATCATAAATAAACTAAAAAAAGGTCAGGGCCAAGCACAGAGGCTCACGCCTGTAATCCCAGCACTTTGAGAGAATGAGGAGACAAGATCACTTGAGTCCAGGAGTTCAAGACCTGGAGTGGTGGGGTTTAAGGAGCCTCCAGCCTAGGCAACATAGTGAGACTCAGTCTCTACAAAAAAATTAAAAAATAAATAAAAATAGGCGAGGCACAGTGGCTCACTCCTGTAATCCCAGCACTTTGGGAGGCCAAGGCAGGTGGATCACGAGGTCAGGAGTTCGAAACCAGCCTGACCAACATGTGAAACCCCGTCTCTACTAAAAATACAAAAATGAGCTGGGCGTGGTGGTATGTGCCTGTAATCCCAGCTACTCAGGAGGCTGAGGCAGAAGAATTGCTTGAACCCGGGAGGCAGAGGTTGCAGTGAGCAGAGATCGCGCCACTGCACTCCAGCCTGGGCGACAGAGCTAGACTCTGTCTCAAACAAACAAAAAATTAATATTAAAATTTAAAAATAAATAAAAATAAAAATAGGTCAGAACAAGCAGTATCGTTGACATTCTGAAACACCAGCCATGTCCCAGACACTGCTTACTCTGACCTACAGCCCCCAAATAGGTGGGGCCCAGGATCCCCCGGCAGACAGTCCTCCCCCAACCCCCCTGGCCTCTCCTTTTCTCCTAGGCACAAACCCAGGGCCTAAGGAGCATCAGGCAGATTTCAAAGCTATGGGAGGTGACGCTTGTGAATGTCCCTCCTAGCTCAGTCTGAAGCAATCTTTCCATTCAAATGTTCAAACCCTCTCCCTCCTTTCAGGCAAAAAAAAAAAAAAAAAAAAGCCAGCATTCCAGGCAGCTGCCAGCTCTACCCCTAGTTACACTCTCAATCTCACACAGCCCGGCCACAAGATTTATCAGGAAGCCAGTTAGCAGCTTAAGCCTGGAAATAATGTCACCCAAACCCCCAGCACACCAAGGGAACTTCTGAGAGCAGCTCTCGCTAGCGGCATTCTTTCACCCTCCTTAGTCCCCCAGTTCTAGCTGCGCACGGATGCCAGGAGGCTCTTGAGGGAGTGGGTGTCACACAGGCAGAAAGGAGGGAACCAGGGAGATGGGACCATGACGGACGGCTTTTTACTGCTTTCTTCCAGATGATTCAACTTTCCCCAGCTCAGGCCCTCAACCAGTCTATGGCCAGTTCATGACAAGAAGTAAAAACTCACAAACTGCCCACTCAAGCCCAAACCAATTTTGAACAAGTTCCCAAAAGGTTTTGCAGGGAGATGAACTAGCCTGGAACCCACTAAGGTTCTTACCATTATCACCAACGAGAGATCAGAAACTCAGAACCAACAACACAGCCTCGCCTGTTAGAAAGTAAGTTTATCTTTTCCAGCACTCTCTCCCGCATCCTCCCGGCCTCTGTTGATCAATTTAGAAAGGACACCGTAAGAACCCTTGGAAGTCTAGAGCCTGGTTTAAAGCAGGGTTTCTTAAGCTCAACTCTACTGACGTAGGGCTGGAGAATTCTTCCTTTGCAGCGGGGGGAAGCTGTCCTATGCATTGTAGGATGCTTGGCAACCATCCCTGGCCCCTATCCCCTCGATGCCATGAGCATTCTCTCCCAAAGTTGCGATAACAACTGTCTCCGACATTGCCAAGCCAAGGAAGGGGTCTGCGCCATCCCCGGCTGACAGCGCTGATGGGCGCGTGCCCCTCCTTCAGGAGCCCCGATGCCTGTGGCTCTCAACTATTAAATCAAGTTCCAGCAAAGAACTGGAAACCTTTAAGCTGTGTATGGAACCATTGTGTGTAGCACTGGAAACTGTCCCTTTTCTAAGTCACTGTAAATGGTGTTTTTTTTTGGAGACAGGGTCTGGCTCTGTCTCCCAGGCTGGAGTGCAGTGCTACAATCAGGGCTCCCTGCAGCCCTGACCTCCTCAGGTGCAAGCGATAAAGGTTCCTCGTGATCAGCTGGAAGGTACTTTTGAATTAAAGGTTCACACTGAAGAACCTAAGTGGATAGTGGCATTTGAGGCCAGCAGTGAAAGTGTTTCCTCTCAAAGAGTTCCCTACACAGCAGCAGACATGGTTATTCTGAGAGTCATGTATGTTCTGTGTTTCTCTGTGAACCATGTTTCAGTCTTTGTTTCTGTCATCATATGTACGGGAAATTCCATAGAGACTACATCACACAAAACTGACATTGTCAATTACCAGGAAATACAGGTGCTCACCTTTTGAAGGCTTATTCATACATATGGTTGCCACAATACGTATATATGATAAACAGTGTATGTATACATACAAGTTGTTTAGGCCAGGCACGGTGGCTCACACCTGTAATCCCAGCACTTTGGGAGGCTGAGGCGGGCAGATCATGAGGTCAGGAGTTCAACACCAGCCTGACCAACATGGTGAAACCCTGTCTCTACTAAAAATACAAAAAAAATTAGCCGGGTGTGGTGGCGCACCTGTAATCCCAGCTACTCAGGAGGCTGAGGCAAGAGAATCGCTTGAACCCGGGAGGCGGAGGTTGGTCTCAGTAAGCCAAGATTGCGCCACTGCACTCCAGCCTGGGTGACAGAGCAAGACTCTGTCTCAAAATATATATATATATATACAGTTGTCACAATATGTATATGATAAACGGTGTACATATACACATAAAATGTTTATGGTGGATCTAGCTCCCCCCTAAAAAAGAAGCCCAGATACTGAAAGACACTCGAATTTTCCTAAAGACTTGAGGGTGGGCTCGACCTTAGGGTCTGGATGCTGAGTTTTATGTAAATATCTACCTGTGGGGCGGGGTGCCATGGCTCATGCCTGTAATCTCAGCACTTTGGGAGACTGAGGCAGGTAGATCACCCGAGGTCAAGAGTTCGAGACCAGCCTGGCCAACATGGTGAAACCCCGTCTCTACTAAAAATACAAAAAAATTAGCGGGGCATGGTGGTGGGTGCCTGTAATCGCAGCTACTCGGGAGGCTGAGGCAGGAGAATTGCTTGAACAGAGGAGGCGGAGGTTGCAGTGAGCCGAGATCGTGCCATTGTACTCCAGCCTGGGCAACAAGAGAGAAGCTCCGTCTCAAAAACAAACAAACAAACAAAAACAAACTACACATGTGGCTATCTGTGTTTAGCAAACTAGGAAAATCTTTGTTTTATTTTATATTTTACTTTTTTTTTTTTTGAGACGAAGTCTCGCTCTCATCCACCAGGCTGGAGTGCTTCCCAAACTGCTGGGATTAAAGGCGTGAGCCACCACACCTGGCCAAACTAGGAAAATCGTAAGAATGGCTCAGTGGGGATTTTTTTGTTCCTTTGTTTTGGTATAATTATCCTCATTTTTTTTCCAAATCTTCAAGCAGGGTTTCTCAAATTTTGGTACTATTGACATTTGGGGCCAGGTAATTCTTGGGGGCAGTGGGGAGATGCTGCCCTGGGCACCGGAGGATGTCCAGCAATATCGTCTACCTACTAGTAGCCAGCAGCACCGCACCAAGCTGTGACAACCAAAAAGGTCCCAGACATTGTCAATGTCCCCTGGAGGACAGAACTGGCCCTGTTTTACAGGAAGATAAATGTCCCCTAATCCTTTTGTGTAAAAGGGGGAATGTTTTTTACCCTTAGACCGGATAAGCAAGACCAGCTGAGACCTACTGGTATAAAGCATACTGCCTGCTCACATGGTGAGAACTCAATAAATGTTTGTATCACTACGTAATGAGAGATCCCGAGAGATGTCACTTTCCAACAGGCACAGCAGAGGGTGAAAGAGTTGTTATTAGACTAAAAACAAAAAAAGAGACACAAATAGTCGGATACGTCCAGATAACAGCTGAGATGTCAGAGGGAACCATGGCAATGATCACAGAAGAGCATGGAACGCAGCCAGGGTGACTTCTAAGAGCACGACTCAGGACAGAATTGACCAGGAGGCCAAGACGACAGCCCCGAGGGTGGGCTGTGGCCATTGTGCTTTGGGACTAGGCCTCGGGATGTGGAAATAGGCAATCCTAAGCCCAGCTAACACCACACTGTCCTTTCCAGGCTTCAAGGCGCCATTCACAGATCTGAACGCAGGTCATCCTGCTTCCCTTGAGAGAGACAAAGTCCTGGTGGCCGGCACAAGAGGCCTGGTTCATTCCTCTAAAGAGGGTGTCAGCTCAGGACAATATGGGCACAGGCCCTGATCGCTGGGAGTGGGGGTGGTGGCTTCCAGAGACCTGTCTATAGCAGGGAACAAAGTGGCCCAGGAATTCCTCCAAGACCTCTGAGGACATCTTTCCTGCTAGGGAGCAGTACTCTATGGTGCTCTAACCAAGCAGGTGAAGGTCTGACGCCTGCTGGGCAAGGTCTAACCCAGGGCCAGGCCATCTGATTTCAAAGTGCTGGGGCAAGGGGGTGGGACTGTTCTCAGTGACAACTCTAAAATTCGTCTGGATTAAATCTTTCTCCAGGGTTTAACCATCATCTGGGGTGTAGAGATAGACCCTAAGTATCTATATCCCTAAACAACCACTAGGGTTGTTACTTTTTTTATTTATTTTTTGAGACAGGGTCTCACTTTGCTGCCCAGGCTGAAGTGCAGTGGCACGATCATAGTTCACTGCAGCCTTGAACTGCTGGGCTCAAGTGGTCCTCCTGCCTCAGCCTCCCAAGTAGCTGGGACTGCAGGTGCACATCACCACACCTGGCTAACTTTTTCATATTTTGTAGAGATGGGATCTCCCTATATCGCCCAGGCTGGTCTTGAACTCCTGAACTCAAGGGAACCCCTGCCTCAGCCTTCAAAGTGCTGGGATTACAGGCATGAGCCACAGCACCTGGCAGGGTCCTTACTTTTTTCTTTCCAGGGGCAAAGGTACCTGCTGGGTGTTACTGGGGACTCGTTTCTCTTTGCTCCCACTGGGCATCTCCGAACTGTGGGCAGAGAACCCTGTTTGCCACCTTGGCCCAAGCATTTGCTAAGATCATTGCTCATTCCTCGGTGGACTCTATCTACACAAATTCCACACAACCTCACCCTGCAGTACACGGACCAATAGGATTCAACAATCTGAGGCTTCTTGTCTTTTTTTTTTTTTCAAGACGGAGTCTCGCTCTGTCACCCAGGCTGGAGTGCAGTGGTGCAATCTCGGCTCACTGCAACCTCTGCCTGCCGGATTCAAGAGATTCTCCTGTCTCACCCTCCTTAGTAGCTGGGGTTACAGGCAAAAATACAAAATTTTTGTATTGTTAGTAGAGATGGGGTTTTGCCATGTTGCCCAGGCTGCTCTCAAACTCCTGGCTTCAAGTGATCCGCCCGCCTCGGCCTCCCAAACTGCTGGGATTCCAGGCATGAGCCACCGCGCCCGGCCAAATTTGAGGCTTCTTGCATTCGAAATTGCAAAGTGAAAATTTTAAATGTGCCCAGTTTTCTGGAGAGTGGATCCACAGCTTTCACCAGATTCATGAGCAGTGGGCCCTGGAGTTTCCAAAAAAAACCCTTTATCTGTCCATATCAAATGCACTTAGGCTGGGATGCAGCATTCTACTTCTGGGAATTCATCCTATAAAACTAATCCCACTGGTGAGCAAAGATATTCACTGGCTATTTATTGTAGTAATGGTAACAGAAAATTCCGGTAAACAATAGAGATATCTATCAACTGACAACTGGTTAAATAAATTATGGTATATGTCATGGAATGAAATACAATGTACCCATTAAAAAGAGCCAAGTAGGCCAGGCAGGTGGCTTACGTCGATAATCCCAGCATGTTGGGAAGCCGAAGCAGGCGGATTACTTGAGGCCAGGAGTTCGAGACCACCCTGGGGCACATGGAGAAACCCTGTCTCTGCTAAAATTACAAAAAGTAGCCGGGCGTGGTGGCGCATGCCTGTAGTCCCAGCTACTGGGGAGGCTGAGGCAGGAGAATTGCTTGAACACAGGAGGCGGAGCTTGCAGTGAGCCGAGATTGCACCACTGCCCTCCAGCTGGGGCGACAGAGCATGACTCCCTCTCAAAAAAAAAAAAAAAAAAAAAAATCCAAGAAGTGTGGAGTATGGTCTAGAGCAGTAGTCCTGGGGGACAGGAAAGGAAGGGAGGAAGGAAAGAAGAGAAGGGAGGGAGGGAGAGAGGCAAGGAGGGAGGGAGGAAGGAAGGAAAGAAGGAAGGAAGGAACGAAGGGAGGGAAGGAGGACTGATTCTAAGGGGACACACGGTGATGTCTCAAGATATTTTTGGTTGTCACGACTTGGGGGTGCTCCTGGCCCGGAGTGGGTGGAGGCCAGGGGCGCTGCTCAGCACCCCGCAGTGCCCAGGACGGCCCCACCACGGAGAACAATCCAGCCCCAGATGTCAACAGTGCCGACGGAGGGGGAGAAATCCCGCTCCAGTGTGATCTCCAAGCAATGAAAAACACAGCACACAGGATTCTGTGGCATATGCTATCACAGGGTACGTGTTTTTAAAGGAAAGGCACACACGTATCTTAGGAAAGGGACATACGGAGTCGATGACAGTCGCTTGTCTCTGGGGAGAAGGGCTGGCTGCCCGAGGAGCAGAGAGGGGAAACTGACTTCTTCCTCTACCTTTTCAACTTTGTACCTTGCCCATCCAGAGGATTTTGAACGTAACTGCTCTAGACGCAACTTTTCCCTGGCTCTGGGTTATCTGGCAAGAGTCCTGTGTCGACAGCCTCGGGACTCCTCTCTTCCCCTTCTCTCCCCGCACCCCGCCTTTGCAGCGGAGAGAAGGAGGGGAGAGGTCCGCGTCCCTGGGCAGCCCAGGGTGCCTCTCCCCTCCTCCCAGGGGCTCTGTCCCCGCTTCTGGAGCCCGCATGGCGGGCAGGGCCTGGGCCACCTCGTCGCCCCCGTCCGTCCCTTGGTCTTCCCACCTGGCAGGGGACACGCGCCAACGTCCCCACCTCGGTCCCCCCGGCCCCCTCCCGGGCCAGGTCGGGCCTGGCTCCCTCATCCGGGCAGCCCGGGGCCCGGTACTCGGCTCCCGCCTGGGCCTGCGCTCACCTGGCTCGCCTTGTAGAACTGCTTCTTCAGCCCCGCCACCGACATGCTGCCGCCCGCCGCCGAGCCTCCCGCCCGGACCGCGCCAGCGACAGGCTCCCGGGCGCCGCCGACCCTCTGCGCGCCTCAGCAGTCCCCGTCGGCGCCGCCTCCGCCACCCGCTTGCCAGCTCCGCGCCCGCCCCGGCGCCGCCTCAGCCGCTCGCGCGCCCGCGCGGCCAGGATATTACATGGCAACCGCACGCTTCCGGTGCCGGCCCCCGCGCGCGCCCCCGGCCCCCGCGCGCGCCCCCGGCCCCGTCTGCGCACGCGCGCCCTCTGCCGGCTGAAGAGCGCACGTGCACATTGTCTACCGCGGGAGAGGCCGCCTCTGTCAGTGAGTTGAGCGGGGCGAGCCTAGAGGGGCCGTAGCAGTTGCAGCGCCCCCTGGAGTCGTGGAGGTGACCCTAACGTCTTGGAAAACGCGCTTAGTTTAAACCTGGCCAGGGAGGTTGGGAAGTAGAAGGGGCCCCTGCTTACGATTCTTCAGATTCCTGTTTACTCATCTTAGCTAAATCCAGTTCGTCTAAGTGTTCAGCCCCCTCCCATTTTTATTTATTTATTTATTTTTTTTTTGAGACGGAGTCTTGCTTTGTCTCCCAGGCTGGAGTGCAGTGGCGTGATCTCGGCTCACTGCAACCTCCGCCTCCCGGGTTCAAGCGATTCTCCTGCCTCAGCCTCCCAAGTAGCTGAGATTACAGGCGCGCACCACCATGCTAGGCTAATTTTTGTATTTTTAGTAGAGACAGTGTTTCGCCATGTTGGCCAGGCTGGTCTCGAACTCCTGACCTCAGGTGATCCAACCCCCAACCCCCCCACCAAATCCAGCCTCCCAAAGTACTGGTCTCACAGGTATGAGCCACCGTGCCCGGCCACCTCTCTTCCTCTCTCTCTCTGTCCTGTGTTCATCCATTCAGTTGCCCACGTGACACATCTAGACATCTAGGTCTGTCTTCATGCCTTGACCATACTTTCCACCAGTCCTCCCCTCCAATTCTTCCTTGTCATGGCAGCCAGAAAGATGCTTCTAGAATGCAATTCAGGGCCAGGGGCGGTGGCTCACGCCTGTAATCCCAGCACTTTGGGAGGCCTAGGTGGGCGGATCACGAGGTCAGGAGATTGAGACCATCCTGGCTAACACGGTGAAACCCTGTCTCTACTAAAAAATAGAAAAAATTAGCCGGACGTGGTGGCGGGCGCCTGTGGTCCCAGCTACTAGGGACTCCGTCTCAAGAAAAAAGAAAGAAAGAAAGGAAGGAAGGAAGGAAGGAAGGAAGGAAGGAAGGAAGAAAGAAAGAAAGAAAACCTGTTTCTACACTCACAGGCTGACACTGAAGTTCTCTGTTTTGTGTGAGGCTTTTAATCTGCTTGATCTACACAGTTCAATCAAATATTTATACATTCACTCAAACATTTATTGACCTGGTAAATATGATCAGTTACTAACAGGTCCTGGGGTTCCAGTGAGGAATGAGTCCTACCCTCGCCAGAACTAATGACAAAAGGCAGAAATTAATTCATTAGTCAAATAACAAACTAATAAATAGACACAGCTGTAATTGCTTTAAGGAAAAGAACAGTGTTGTAGGCACTTGATATTGTCAGGGTTGGGGAAGAAAAGGCTTCCTGGGGTGACGATCTAAGATCTGAAAAGTATAAATTAGCCAGGAAAAGAGCTGCGAAAAGATTGTTCTAGGCAGAGAAAACAGCATGTGCCAATTTCCTGAGGATTAAACCAGAAACGATCCATTTCGTCCATTTCGTTCACTCATTCTACATGTTATTTACTGAATGTCAAATACTTCCGAAGCGCTCCCCAGACTTCGTTTTATTGTTCTTGTAGAAAGCAATTTATAATTTTAATTGCTGTTGCTATATTTAGCCGATGTCCCATTAGGATAAACTCAAAACTCCAGGTTCCTCATCTAAATCCCACTTTCAAGTTGTCATCTGCGCCTTGCGTAAAATGTTCTGGTGACGTAAGAGCCTGGGCCTCCCTCCTCTTAGGGACTATCCCACGCGATCAGCCAGTCGCAGCGCAGAGCAATGAGCTTGACACCTCCTTCCTCCAATCGCAGGGCAGCTCCTCCCAGCCAATGACAGGCCTCCGAGGGGAAGCCCAGTCCCTCGCGGATATGTCAATGGGCGAGCCCTGGGAGGAATGGAAGTCACGGATCTCGCGAGGATGCCCCCGGCGCCCCTCAATTCCCGAGGCGGGCCGTCACGTGACCCGGGCTCGCCCAATTGGCGCGCGGACTGCGGGGGTCGCCGCGGTTCCCGCCAAATACGAGCGCGGCGGCCGCGGCGGCAGCAGCGGCGCGGGCGGGAGGGCGAAGAGCAGCGGCCGCCTGAGGGGAGCCCGCGCCTCCGCCGCCTGAGAGGAGGTCGAGCTGCCGCCGGGGCGATGCTGGAGGAGCTGGAGTGCGGGGCGCCCGGCGCCAGGGGAGCCGCCACAGGTCGGTTCGGGCCCGCGCCGAGGGGAAGGGGGGGCGCGGCGCGCGGCCTGGACGGGCCGAGGCGGCGATGGGAGGCGGACGGGCCTCCGGGCGCCAAGCCTGGTCCTGCGGGCCGGGCGTTCACCCCCTGGGGCCTTCTCATCCCCAGCGAGGGCCTGGCGTCCCCAAGGGCACCCTTGTTGACGTTATTGTTGTAGCCGCGACCATATTGTTTGTTTCCGGCGCTTTTGCGTCAGTTCGTCCCTCCAGGACTCTCTGGGGCGGTGGGTCGGAGGGGCCGAGAGGGGAAACTGAGGCCCAGGGAAGCGAAAGGGCTTGCCCTGCAGGTTACTGGATGCGTTTGTGTCCCTTGACCATGTTGGACCTTGCAGCGGGTGGGGAAACTGAGGCCCAAGGTCGCACGGGCTCGGGGACCAGTACCGATGCCGCTGAGGGTCGGGGTAAGCCCGGGTAAGAAGAGGCCCAGATGGTAGAGATGGCCAGGAGGGTGGGACTCCCGAGTTCTTGCTCCTTCCTGATATGCACCGTGACTTCCTCCTCCGTGTGCCTTGGAATGGGGTCTTTGGAGCCCACCACAGGCCTCCTGAAACGTGGGAGGGTGAACCAAGGAAGACCAGACTGTCCCTCTCCCTTGCTGGACTCTGCATTACATAACGCTTTGGCAGCACTTGGCATTACGCTTTGGCACATAGTAGGTGCTCAGTAAATAACGTGAACGAATGAAGGGCTAGAATGGACGCCAGTCCAGTTTCTCAGCCTCAGCAGTGTTGATATTTGTTGCCGTCCTGGGCACGGCACTGCAGGGTGTTAAGCATCATCCCTGGCCTCCGCCTTTTGCAGGCCAGTAGCAGCCCCTCTCACCATGCCTTAGTAACAGCCAGAAATACCATTGCCCTGTGTCCCCTATGGGGCAGATTCCGCCTTGGCTGAAAATCATGGCTGTAGTTCCTTCTAGCCTGTGGGATTTCCCGGAGACATAAAATTAATATAAAGTTGGTACTGTCGTGGAGCTGTGATGTTTTAAGTCAGGATGTTTAACTTTATTTATTTATTTATTTTGAGACTGAGTCTTGCTCTGTTGCCCAACCTCTGCCTCTCTGGTTCAAGCGATTCTTCTGCCTCAGCCTCCCAAGTAGCTGGGATTACAGGCCTGCACCACCATGCCTGGCTAATTTTTGTATTTTTTAGTAGAGACGGGGTTTCACCATGTTGGGCAGGCTGGTCTCGAACTTCTGACCTCAGGTAATCCACCTGCATTGGCCTCCCAAAATGCTGGGATTACAGGCATGAGCCACCATGCCTGGCCAGGATATTTAACTTTAAAAAAAAAAATCGCTACTCGCTAGGACCATGCTATCATGAAAGGAAAGTATATTTTAGTGCCAAATAAAATTAGAAAGGATGTAATCGCAGAATAAAGAGCAGTTAGTAACTTTATACACACATATGTGTTAATCGTGTGTATCTTTGGATCTCTGGATTGGGAGTGTCCCGTTTTATATACAAGATTTTTTAATGAGGGTGGGTCCTGTTTTTAATGAGGTTGTTTCTGTTCCACTTGCACCAAAGCTAGTGACTCAAAGCCACACAAATAGATTTTTGTGATTGTCTCGAAAATAAAGTTAAGTGACTAAAAATCATATCCTTCAGTTAGGGGGTAGAAATCCATGGCTTTTGGTAAGTGGACACTTGAGAATGATACTGTCTTTATTTCTTTGAAGTGGCTAGAAAGGAAACATGAATTTTCTCAGTACCTTTTCTTATTCACTAAGCTTGGGGCGGTGGGTGAGGGGTGGTTTCATGTATGGACGATGGAGTTTTTTAGGAAGCCCCAGTCTGCTTTTAAAAAGTACTCACTTTTATGTAATGCTTACAAAACATACGTAGATTAACCAAAATAACTAAACTAGGTTTTGCCAAGCCAGATCTCCTGGTAAGTGTGAGCTTCCTAAACTTACTCTGTTTAAGGTATTTATCTAAAGACTCGCTTCTATTTATGATCACTGCTGCATCTGCTTTGATATTATTAGATGGTTTCTTGAGATTTTTTTTGCAGGAAAATATTTTGTCTTATCTTCTCTTGACAGCACTTCAGCTCCTGCCTGGCAAGCTCAAAGTGCTTTAAATTGTGGTACCTTCATGAATTCTCTTTAAAAAGAAAAGGATCCCTTTTCTGATTTTACAGATTTGGTGGTGGTATGGGGGCTTGGGTTGGAGGAAGATGTTTGGGGATCATGGGAATGAAATAGGTAATCTGATGTTTTCTCTCCTCCCTACTTTTACTCATTCCACTTTCATTTCATGAAACAGTTCCGGTTACTCTCTTAGTTGGCTTTCTGATTTATTCCAGACCCTAACCAGGTACCATAGGTGCAGCATGGAACAAGTCTTTCTGCTGTCATAGAGTTGGCATTTTGTTTCCAGAGAGACGTAATAAACACGAAAGTTTCAGATTAAATGCCACAAAGAAAATAAAACAAGACATGACAGTGTCTAGGGTAGGATTTCTCAACCTATTAACATTTTGAGGCCAAGCGCCGTGGCCAGCACTTTGGGAGGCTGAGGCGGGTGGATCACGAGGTCAGGAGTTCGAGACCATTCTGGCTAACATGGTGAAACCCCGTCTCTGCTAAAAATACAAAAATTAGCCGAGAGTGGTGGCATGCGCCTGTAGTCCCAGCTACTTGAGAGAGTGAGGCAGGAGAATCGCTTGAACCCAGGAGGCGGAGGTTGCAGTGAGCTGAGACTGTGCCATTGCACTCCAGCCTGGGCGACAGAGTGAGACTCTGTCTCCAAAAAAAAAAAAAAAATTTTTTTTTTTTGGCCCATATAATTCTTCATTGTGGTGTGCTGTGCATTGCATTGTGGGACATTTAGCAGAATCCCTGGCCTCTACCCACTGGATGTGAATAGCATCCCTTTGAGCCCTCCCTGCATCATGACAACCAAAAACATCTCTAGACTGTGTCAAATGGCCCCCGAGGACAGAGGGGTCAGAATTGCCTCCACCTTGTACATAATTGGCTCTACATATGTATTTGCTAACTTGATTATTTGCAGAATTTAACAGTTTACCCTTTGACACTTTTATTTGCAGCCATGGATTGCAAAGATAGACCAGCTTTTCCAGTTAAGAAGTTAATACAAGGTAATTATTTGGAAATGGGTTAAAGAGTTGTTCGTAGTTTATAGTCTTCCTTGTCTCTTGTTGGAGACCTCAGTGGAAGCCTGGAGCTAGAGGGGAGAGAAACAGTCCTTCTTCAGACCAGGAAGCTGGGAAAATGCTTTTCACACAGTAATGTCTCGTGGGGTTCCCACAAGTAAACCCCGAGGCCTCCACTTATGCACGATTGGTGTTTTGTAACTTGCAGCTGGGAGCTCTCCTGTATGTTGTAGGGAGCGTAGCAGCATCCCTGGCCTCTTCCCACCGGATGCCAGTAAGTGCATCCTCCAAGTCGTAACAACCAAAAATATCTCTATACGTGGCTGATGTCCCCTGGGAGGTAGAACTGCCCCCTCAGAGAACCACTGTTGTCCTGGAAGATAAATGCTCCCAAATCCTTCTGCATAAAACGGGGAGTGTGTTCACCCTTGGGCCAGATGAGCGGTTGGATTGTAATTTTTTTTTTTTTTTTTTTGAGACGGAGTCTCATTCTGTTGCCCAGGCTGGAGTGCAGTGGTGCGATCTCTGCTCACTGCAACCTCCGCCTCCTGGGTTCAAGCAATTCTCCTCCTTCAGCCTCCCAAGTAGCTGGGATTACAGGCGCGTGCCACCACACCCAGCTAATTTTTCTATTTTTAGTAGAGATGGGGTTTTACCATGTTGGCCGGGATGGTCTCGATCTCCTGACCTTGTGATCCCCCTGCCTCAGCCTTTCAAAGTGCTGGGATTACAGGTGTGAGCCACCGCACCCGGCCCAGATTGTATTTTTAGAAACTACAGTTTTGGGTTTTTCAAACTTGGGCTGGGTGCAGTGTTGCATACCTGTAAAACCAGCTATTTGAGAGGCTGGGGTGGGAGGAGTGCTTGAGTCCAGGAGTTCAAGGCTGCGGTGAATTATAATGACACCACTGCTCTTCAGCCTGGATGACAGAGGAAGACTCTGTCTCTTGAAAAAAAGGGGGACGCCAGATGCTAGGCTCACACCTGTAATCCTAGCACTTTGGGAAGCTAAGGTGGGCGGATTGTCTGAGCTCAGGAGTTTGAAACCAGCCTGGCCAACATGGTGAAACCCCGTCTCTACTAAAATACAAAATAGCTGGGCATGGTAGGGGGCACCTGTAGTCCCAGCTACTCAGGAGGCCGAGGCAAGAGAATTGTTTGAACCCGGAAGGAAGAGGTTGCAGTGAGCCAAGGGTGCGCCACTGCACTCCAGCCTGGTGACAGAGCAAGACTCTGTCTCAAAACAAACAACTCCCCCCACACCCCCCCCAAAAAAAAACAGGTTTTTATTTGGTCTATTACATGATGAAATAGTTAATAAAAGATGCAATGGCATTGAAGTAAGTGAACATAGGTTCTTTGGGAAATTCACTCTCCAAAGTGTTTCTGTGTTCCTCCTAACCAGCCCGAAGCCTGGCAGACTCTGGGAGAACAGTTTGATTGATGAGAAAAGCCTAACAGAGCCTAGGGTGCTGAGGCCAGGAGAAAAAAAAAAAACCCTGTCCACAAATGTGTCTATATTTTCTACTTGAGAACCAGATGCAGTTATTATCAAATGAGATTTTCACCCATTAAAAATAAATTTGGAATATGAACTGCATCTGAAATAAACAAATGTCTCTTGAAATTCTGGCGATGGCTCTGCTAAAAGGCTTGTCAGGATTTTGTTTTTTAAGTTAGGATGTTGAAGCGGGGCATGGTGACTCACATCTGTAGTCCCAGCACCTTGGGAGGTGGAGGCGGGCAGATCACCTGAGGTCAGGAGTTTGAGACCAGCCTGGCCAACATGGCGAAACCCTGTCTCTACTAAAAATACAAAAATTAGCTGGGTGTAGTAGTGCATGCCTGTAATCCCAGCTACTTGAGAAGCTGAGGCAGGAGAATAGCTTGAACCCAGGAGGTGGAGGTTGCAGTGAGCTGAGGTGGCGCCATTGCACTCCAACATGGGTGACGAGCAAGACTGTCTCCAAAAGAAAAAAAAATAAGTAAAATTAGGATGTTAGAAAAGGATAGAATGAAAAGATAGCACCCCCCACCCCCTCTTTTTTTTTGAGACGAGGTCCCTTTTGCCCAGGCTGCAGAGTAGTTGCACCACCACAGCTCACTGCAGCCTCTACCTCCTGGGCTCAAGCGATCCTCCTGCCTCAGCCTCCCGAAGTGCTGGGATTATAGATGTAAGTCAGTGTACCTGGCTTCAGATAGCCCCTGCCCCGTCTTTTTTTTTTTTTTTTCTTTTGAGAGTTTCGCTCAGGTCGCCCAGGCTGGAGTGCAGTGGCGTGATCTCAGCTCACTGCAGGCTCCGCCCCCCGGGTTCACACCATTCTCCTGCCTCAGTCTCCCGAGTAGCTGGGAATGCAGGCGCCCGCCACCTCACCCGGCTAATTTTTTGTACTTTTAGTAGAGACGGGGTTTCACCGTGTTAGCCAGGATGGTCTCGATCTCCTGACCTTGTGATCCGCCTGCCTTGGCCTCCCGCACCCGGCCTTTTTTTTTTTTTTTTTTTTTTTTTTTTTTGAGAGGGAGTCTGTCTCTGTCGCCCAGGCTACAGTGCAGTGTTGGGATCTCAGCTCACTTCAACCTCTGCCTCCCAGGTTCAAGCGATTCTCCTACCTCAGCCTCCTCAGTAACTGGTATTACAGGCGTGTGCCACCATGGCCTGGCTAATTTTTGTAGTTTTAGAAAAGACGGGGTTTCACCATTTTGGTCTGGCTGGTCTCAAACTCCTGACCTTGTGATCTGCTTGCCTCGGCCTCCCCAAAGTGCTGGGATTACAGGCATGAGCCACCACACCCGGCCCAGATAGTCCCTTTTTAAACTTTAAAATTATCTCCCACCCCCATGTCCCAACAAATCAGTAATTTTCAAGCTCATGAGTGGTTGTAACTTTAAACGTTCACTAGAGATGGCTTTCTGTCTTTGTTTCAGCCCGTCTGCCGTTTAAGCGCCTGAATCTTGTCCCAAAGGGGAAAGCCGATGACATGTCAGACGATCAGGGTACTTCTGTGCAAAGTAAAAGCCCCGATTTAGAGGCCTCTTTGGACACCTTGGAAAACAACTGTCATGTGGGTTCTGACATAGACTTTAGACCGAAACTTGTCAACGGGAAGGGTCCCTTAGATAACTTTTTAAGAAATAGAATCGAAACCAGTATTGGCCAGAGCACAGTCATCATTGATTTGACAGAGGACTCGAATGAGCAGCCAGACAGTCTTGTGGACCACAATAAACTAAATTCTGAAGCCTCTCCCTCCAGGGAGGCAATAAATGGCCAGCGAGAAGACACTGGGGATCAGCAGGGGTTGTTGAAGGCCATTCAGAACGACAAGTTGGCATTTCCTGGAGAGACCCTTTCAGACATTCCTTGCAAAACAGAGGAGGAGGGTGTTGGCTGTGGAGGTGCAGGGAGGAGAGGCGACTCCCAGGAATGTTCGCCACGGAGCTGCCCGGAGCTGACGAGTGGCCCGAGAATGTGCCCCAGAAAGGAGCAGGACAGTTGGAGTGAAGCTGGGGGCATCCTGTTCAAAGGGAAGGTGCCTATGGTGGTCTTGCAGGACATCTTGGCTGTGAGACCACCGCAAATCAAGTCCCTTCCAGCCACACCCCAAGGCAAGAACATGACCCCTGAGAGTGAGGTGCTGGAATCTTTCCCCGAAGAAGACTCTGTACTCAGCCATTCGTCCCTGAGCTCTCCCTCTTCCACCAGCTCGCCCGAGGGGCCGCCTGCTCCCCCAAAGCAGCACAGCAGTACCAGTCCCTTCCCCACCTCCACGCCCCTCCGCAGAGTGAGTATCTCCCATGGAGTCCCTGCACATCAGTGCTCACGGATCTCAGAGCGCTGTCAGTCTCCACTGGGTCACCCAGGTGTTTTGTGGCAGAGTGAGCGGGGCCACGGGCTGGGTCCTGGGACTCGACGTGGAGTTCTTCCTGGTATCAAAACTCACAGTGTTCAGTTCTGCATTCGTTGTGATGCCCCTGGGACTTAATTCATCAACAGTGTACCTGGTGTACTGTGTGAATAACACCCTGCTGTTTTGCCTTCGTTGTTCACATCTAATCAGTGATAGCTTAGCCGTTTTAGGGAATTAGGATCTGAGCTGGTGCTGTAACCCCTCACTTCAGATTCGAGGTCCAGCTTTCTCTGTGCCCTTCCTGTCTAAGCATAGAAATGTAGGGACGGGGCTGCAAAGACACTGAGCACTGAAGTGGCAGTGAGACGGCAGGAAGCATGACTTGGGGAATTCTGTAGGGTCAGCACAGCCAGCCATCTTAAAAACCTTACCTGGGGCCAGGCACAGTGGCTCATGCCTGTCATCCCAGCACTTTGAGAGGCCGAGGTGGGAGGATCGCTTGAAGATCACTTCAAAACCAACCTGGGCAACATAGACACCATCTCTATGAAAAAAAATTACTTTTTTTTTTTTTTTTGACAGAGTCACTCTATCACCCAGGCTGGAGTTCAGTGGCGTGATCTCGGCTCACTGCAACCTCCACCTCCCAGGTTCAAGCGATTCTCCTGCCTCAGCATCCCTGATAGCTGGGATTACAGGTGCGCACCACCACACTTGGCTAATTTTTATATTTTTAGTAGAGACAGGGTTTCACTATCTTGGCCAGGCTGGTCTTGAATTTCTGACCTCAAGTAATCTGCCCGTCTTGGCCTCCCAAAGTGCTGGAATTATAGGCATGAGCCACTGCACCCAGCCCTGCAAAAAAATTTTTAAAAGTTATCCAGGCATGGTGGCACATGCCTGTAGTCCCAGCCACCTGGGAAACTGAGGCAGGAGGATCACTTGAGCTGAGGAGTTGGAGGCCGCAGCGAGCTATGATCACACTGCCGCGCTCCAGCCTGGGTGACAGAGCGAGACCCCATCTGGAACCATTTTTAAGGACCCCATAAGGGGGACTTTTGCATGGTCTGTCTCTGTTATTGATTTTTTATTAGCACAATGGTGTCCTTAAGGTCTTAGGGACCAAACTGATAAAATCAGTCACGAGTCCCACGGTGTTTAGTGGTGTCTTTTGATTTTATAATTTTTTACTTTTTATCTTAAGTATGTAGAACCAGAAGAGACAGTGCCTTTTTATGTTTTTGGTTTTGTAGCACTTTTGTTTGTTCATGTTGGGTCTTTATATGAGAGTAGTAGATCCTGAGATGGGTCATTTAATCTGTACCTGTAAGCAGGTACAGTAGACCACCTGGACCATAAACCACCAACCTTGTTCGCTTTCGGGATTTTGAGCTCTAAGGAACCATTTATTTATTTATTTTTGAGACAGAGTCTTGCTCTGTCACCCAGGCTGGAGTACAATGGCGCCATCTCAGCTCACTGCAACCTCCGCCTCTTGGGTTCAAGCAATTCTCCTGCCTCACCCTCTCAAGTAGCTGGGATTAGAGGCACCCGCCACCATGCCCAGCTAATTTTTGTATTTTTAGTAGAGACGGGGTTTTGCCATGATGGCCAGACTGATTTCAAACTCCTGACCTCAGGTAATCCACCCGCCTTGGCCTCCCAAGTTTCTGGGATTATAGGCGTGAGCCACTGTGCTTGGCCAAGAGCATTTATTTTTCTGAATGACTTCATTTCTTGTCTTTCACCTGAGAAGATGAAAAAGGAAAAAATGGCTTCCTCTTTAGGTTTATGAAATGTTGTAAAAATGGTGCAAATCTTTTTTTTTTTTTTTTTTTTTGAGACATGGTCTCACCCTGTCGCCCAGGCTGGAGGGCAATGGCATGGTCTCAGCCTACTGCAGCCTCCACCTTCTAGGTTCAAGCGATTTTCCTGCGTCAGCCTCTTGAGTAGCTGGGATTACAGGTGCCCACCACCACGCCTGGCTAATTTTTGTATCTTTTCAGTAGAGACGGGTTTCACCATGTTGGCCAGGCTGGCCTCAAACTTCTGACCTCAGGTGATCCGCTTGCCTCGGCCTCCCAAAGTGCTGGGATTACAGGCATGAGCCACCGCCCCAGTCTTCTACTTTGTTTTATATGTGCTGGTTTGTTATATAGGTAAACTCTTGTCGTGGGGGTTTGTTGTACAGATTATTTTATCACTCAGGTACTAAGCCTAGTACCCTCTTCTAAGTTACTAAATGTGCCAGACTGGCATGTACACATTTCAGCTTCTACCTAATCCACCACTCAATCTCCCAAAATCAGAGTTGAAGTCTCTCCCCATTGGGCATCCTGTAGTGTACATTCGATCACTTGAATTTCTTCCAGGCTGCTGCCGCTTTGCAAAATTTCGTCCTGTGATGTGAGCCATTTAGCAAGAACGGGACACATGGCTGGGCGCGGTGGCTCACACCTGCAATCCCAGCACTTTGGGACGCCGAGGCGGGTGGATCACCTAAGGTCGAGAGTTCAAGACCAGGCTGACCATTATGGAGAAACCCCGTCTCTACTAAAAATACAGAAAATTAGCTGGGTATGGTGACGCTTGCCTGTAATCCCAGCTACGCCGGAGGCTGAGGCGGGAGAACCGCTTGAACCCAGGAGGCAGAGGTTGCGGTGGCCTGAGATCGTGCCATTGCACTCCAGCCTGGGTAACAAGAACAAAACTCCGTCTCAAGAAAAAAAAAAAGGACAGGACACAAGCACATGTTTCCATTAAGTTTGTTTCCATGTCCACAGCTTAGTCTGCAAACTGGGAAGTCCCCTCGTTGGGCATCATGGTGGCACAATCCTGCCCGCTTTCTAAAACAACTGAGCACATGAACCCAGTGTGCAACATTTAGGAAACCCTGCATTTAGGACGCTAGATCTTGTTCTGAACACAGACTCGAGGTTTTGGGATGCACTTGAAGGCAATATTATCCCAACTTTTCAGATAATTTACAAGTGGTAAAGGCTTCAGGCTGGCCCAGAGCCTATGGCAGAAAGCGGCCACAACCACCCGCAGAGGGCCTGTCAGTCACCGAAGCTATGAGGGAAGCGATTATCGGGAGGCCTCCTCATGCCCTGATGGCAGGGATCCCTGAGATCCCAGCTGAGAGAGACTCCATCCCCAACCCCTACTTTATCTCCGAACCTTTAAGGAGTCCTGCATTTCTGGTTTGGTTGGTTTGCTTGCTTCATAGTTGGTACCTAACTCTTTTTTATTTTTTATTTTTTTTGAGGCGGAATCTCACTCTTTTGCCCAGGTTGGAGTGCAATGGCGTGATCTTGGCTCCTGCAACCGCTGCCTCCTGGGTTCAAGCAATTCTCCTGTCTCAACCTCCCAAGTAGCTGGGATTACAGGCACGCGCCACCAGGCCCAGCTAATTTTTGTATTTTTAGTGGAGATGGGGTTTCACCGTGTTGGACAGGCTGGTCTCGAACTCCTGACCTCGTGATCCGCCCGCCTCGGCCTCCCAAAGTGCTGGGATTACAGGTGTGAGCCACCGCGCCTGGCCAGTTGGTACCTAACTCTTAACACCTTTCCTTGCCGTGACGTCCAAGCCACCCCCTTCCCACAACCCCTGTTCCTCTGGGGAATACACTGTTTTTGCACTTTACCTCCCTACCAGCAGCTCTTTCCAGATTGCAGGGGCGAGCTGGTGGGAAGCTTGCAGATTGTTTCGCACTGCCGTGTAATCTGTGTGCTTGTCACTGGGGTCTGTTCTTCCTTGAGTTGGTACAGTGAAATATGCATTGAGAGTCCCAGGGCAGTCATTGCCACTGTACTTTGTGGGCTGGCTTGCCTTCTTTATTATTTCTTCTTTAAAATAAAAGAAAATGGGAGTTTGTTCCGATACAGGTCCTGCTGTCCCTTTGCAGGGAGCTTCATGGCGTGTTTTTGTTTGTTTTGGTTTTTGTTGTTGTTTTAGTACTGCAGGATCTGGAGAATCTCACTTTGGAGAAACAATGATTTAAAAAGATCCCCCTTTAGATACTCCCAGGGTCCTTTGAATAGCTGAAGTGTTCCTTTTTAGTATTAGAGTTTTCTACCATGTGGGAAAGAACCATTTCTGAAGTTTGCAATCAGACTTGTGATTTAGCCTCTTCTGTTAGTGATCGAGATGATTATTTGACAAATGATCATGTTGGTGCAGTTGTGTTACTGGAATCTTTGGCTTGCTTCTGTGCCCAGATTGCTGGAACTTCTTTCCATATACTTGAAATTACATTTGTAATAAATTCTCCATGTTTAAAAGAAATACTGGTCTAGGTGCAGTGGCTCAAGCCTGTAACCCCAGCACTTTGGGAAGCCGAGGTGGGAGGATTGCTTGAGCTTAGGAGTTCGAAACCAGCTTGACCAACATGGTGAAACTCCGTCTGTACAAAAAATACAAAAAATAGCGGGGCATGGGGGTGCACACCTGTAGTCCCAGCTCCTTGGGAGGCTGAGGTGGAAGGATCACTTGAGCCAAGGAGGCAGAGGTTGCGGTGAGTCATGATTGCACCACTGTGCTCCAGCCTGGGCAACAGCCAGACCGTCTCAAAAAAAAAAAAAAACAAAAAGGAAAAAGAATGGAAACCTTGAAGCCCTCTGTTCTCCCAGGAGGTTGCCATTATTATCATCATCATCACCTTGTGTTTTTCTGTGTCCTGTATATCCAGAGAGATCTCTAGGAAACACCCAGTATCATTTTGTTTCCTTGTGTATGACATATACTGTAAATATCTGTCTTTGTTACTCAAGGGTGTCTTAGATGTTTTTTATATTGGGATGGAAAGATGGAGCTCTTTTTAACAGCTGCGTGATATCCCATGGTGTGGACATGCTGTAGGTTACAGAGCTGTTTTCTCAGTTCTGCTGTTTCTGTGCTTGGCTTTCACAAAATGATTGTTCCCTTGAGCTTCCTTCTACAAGTGGCCTTGGGCTGTTAAGGAGAATGAGGTCTTGGTAGCTCAAGGCAATGCGTGCGTTCTTATTTTCCCAGCTTGCACTCTCTCATGCTTGGGCCAATTGGAGGTTTTCTCTTTTCCCCCCTGCCTCCGCTCCCCTGCTGTCAGGTTTTAGCGGCTTATCTGGTCTGGGCTTAGAAATTAGATACCCTTTAGTATAAAATCAGAGTCCATAGGCTCTGAGAGGATTATCTGAGAAAGGGTGCAGGAATTTTCATGCCCACACATAGTGAGCTCTGTCGCGACTCCTTGGGATTGTCGGTTTTTGTGTTTTGGCTTCCTTCTGGGATCCTGGATCACGTTTTTGGCAGTTGAGGGTGCTGTCTGACCGGGCTCCAGCTGGGTAGAATGTGGGAGTGTTGCATAGAATTTTGAGAGTGAGATCTATAAACACTTGGGTCAAATTTCAAGAAGATAAAGTTCTGTCAGACTTCAAGGTCCATCTGAGGGTTTGGCAAAGCAAAAAAGATACCAGTTTTAAATTAAGCAGTAATTGCTCTGTTTTGGTTGTTGGATATTACTGAGCGGGCTCTTGCCAGTCACATCAAGTCTGTTATCTCTGGACTCACAGCAGAGGGGGGGCATTGTAAGAGGCAGGAGATTCTGCAGCTGAGCTTCAGGCATGGGCAAGACTAAGGAACTGAATTCCCCGCCACCCCAAGACCACATTCCGTATTATAATCTCTGAACACAAAGGGCAGCCCCGGAGAGCTGCGGCTCCCATATTCTGCAGTTAAATCCCTCAGCGTGGGGGAGAGGCACACAGCCTTGGCAGGCAGAGTAGATGCTGGAGAGACAGATGCTTTTTCTGCAGCATTTGGTGAGGCTGCCTCGGGCTGGCATTTCTGTTGCCACATTCTCAGCAAAGACTGAACACCCTGGCCTGATCTCGGTGGTGAAAGAGCTCCTGCCAACACGGGCAGCCTTCTCACAACGGCTCGGCCTTTCCCTAAAGAAAGGTTTAGTCCAGAAAGGACTCAGTGGGACCCAGGTGGAAAGGCTGTCTTGAGCTCATTCATCTGAAGCTTTTATTCTGTGAGAGGTCCTAGTCAGGGGTTCAGCTTTCCCAGATAAAGAAATCACTGTTGGCCGGGCGCGGTGGCTCACGCCTTTAATCCCAGCACTTTGGGAGGCCGAGGCGGGCGGATCACGAGGTCAGGAGATCGAGACCATCCTGGCTAACATGGTGAAACCCCATCTCTACTAAAAATACAAAAAAATTACCCAGGCATGGTGGTGGGCACCTATAGTCCCAGCTACTGGGCAGACTGAGGCAGGAGAATCGCTTGAACCCGGGAGGCGGAGCTTGCAGTGATCCGAGATGGCGCCACTGCACTCCAGCCTGGGCGACAGAGCGAGACTCCGTCTCAAAAAAAAAAAGAAATCACTTACATAATTTTGTTGACCCCTCAGACCATTGCCAGGAAAATGGGCCTTTGGTTTTTCAGTCAACTTCAGTCTTACACTGCAAGTCTGCAATGAACCCGGAGAACTATTTCTTCCCACTCTTAAGCGTCTCTTCCCATTGCTCTTCACTTCTACTAGTTTGGTTTTCAGGATTCCCTGCCCCGGTGGGAGATAGCTTAGGCCAAAGTCCAGACTCCCTGTTCGTCTTCCTTCCTGGGACCATTTAGGTGGATGGTGAGTCACACCATGGATCCTATTGGTAATTCCTAGTAGCTCATGCTCAGTTTGAAGGTAGGTGATAGAAAATATTGTGCCCTAGAAGGTAGAAGTCCTAGAAAACCCCAGCAAGTTTCCCTTTTGTCTTAAGCTTTCACTCCACATTCTAAAAAGCAGAGTTGGCTGGGCGCGGTGGCTCACGCCTGAATTCCTAGCACTTTGGGAGGCGAGGCGGGTGGATCACCTGAGGTCAGGAGTTCGAGACCAGCCTGGCCAACATGATGAAACCCCTATCTCCACTAAAAATACAAAAATTAGCCAGGTGTGGTGGCACACGCCTATAATCCCAGCTACTCAAGAAGCTGAGGCAGGAGAATCGCTTGAACTTGGGAGGTAGAGGTTGCAGTGAGCCGAGATCGTGGCACTCGCTGCACTCCAGCCTCTGTGACAGGAGTAAGACTCCATCTCAAAAATAACATTAAAATAAAAAGCAGAGTTGAGCTAGACAGAATGTAAATTAGTGGTGCACAGGAAACCAGCCTGGAGACATGTTTTATTTGATTAATTTAGTATCTTTTTATTTTTTTTTTAGACAGTCTCACTCTGTCACCCAGGTTGGACAGCTCAGTGCAGCCTCAACCTCCCGGGCTCCTCCCACCCCAGACTCCTGGGTAGCTAGGACTACAGATGTGCACCACAACACCCGACTAACTAAAAGCTTTTTTTAGAGACAGGGTCTTGCTTTATTGCCCAGGCTGGTCTTGAACTCCTGGGCTCAAGTGATCCTCCCGCCTTGACCTCCCAAAGTGCTGGGATTACAGGCATGAGCCACTGTGCCCGTCTGTGTCCATTTTTAAACACCTAAAAAAATTCATATGAAATTCCTAATATCAGCTTCTCTTGGAGAAATTGGAAGGACCAGCAAATAGGGATCTATATTCCTGTAAGAACTCCATCTCCTTTGGACAGGCAGGTCCTCTCTCCTTTGCTACAAATCCATCCTCTCCCTGTCGCCCAGGCCAGCTGTCGCTTTTTTTTTTTTTTTTTTTTTAAGACAGAGTCTCACCCTGTTGCCCAGGCAGGAGTATGGTGGCGCAATCTCGGCTCACTGCAACCTCCTTCTCCTGGGTTCAAGCGATTCTTCTGCCTCAGCCTCCTGAGTAGGTGGGATTACAGGCACCTGCCACCACGCTCGGCTAATTTTTGTATTTTTAGTAGAGATGGGGTTTTGCCACGTTGGCCAGGCTGGTCTCGAACTCCTGACCTCAGGTGATCTGTCTGCCTCGGCCTCCCAAAGTGCTGGAATTACAGGCGTTAGCCACCGCGCCCAGCCTTGTCTGTTGCCTTTATTTCTGAGCTTGCCTTGTTTTTCTTGTGCTTGGTGTCCTTCACTCATTTCTTTATCTGCCTCCGTAGTCTCTCTTGTTATCTAATCCCAGATACACACATGTATGCACACTTACTGGAGTTTGTGACCCTATTATGACATTTTGGTTCTGTTGGTGGAAAAACTGATCACCTGGAAAGGTTTCTCTTTTTCTCGAAGCAATTGAAATAACCCGTGTTTAAAGATAAACGTCTTCTGTTTTCAGATAACTAAGAAATTCGTCAAAGGCTCTACAGAGAAGAACAAGCTCAGACTGCAAAGAGTAAGACATTTTCCCTGAAATAGAAAATTAACCTGCTGTGCTTTTTGCATTAAATAGTAAGCAAAGCCCTTTGAAGTTCCTTTGGTCTAGTTTTTACATTTTCCCCAGCCTTCTCTGACCATCATTTTGATTCCTGCTTCATTTTAAGTACTTGGACTTCATGGTTTGTGGATTGTGTCATTTTTTGGCTTGCTGAGTGAGTCCTAAGGTTTTGTGTGTGGCCTTTTCTAAGCTTTTATCAATAGTGCTACCACTGTCTTAATGGTTCAGTATCCCATTGTAGCTTCAAATTACCTTCCAAAAACCCAGTCCATTTCCTTGTAGTCCTGTCTCTTTTTTTTTTTTTTTTTTTTTTTTGAGACAGAGTCTCGCTCTGCCACCCAGGCTGGGGTGCAGTGGTGCGATCTCGGCTCACTGCAAGCTCCACCTCCCAGGTTCACGCCATTCTCCTGGCTCAGCCTCCCCAGTAGTTGGGACTACAGGCATCCACCACCACGCCTGGCTAATTTTTTGTATTTTTAGTAGAGACGGGGTTTCACCATGTTAGCCAGGATGGTCTCGATCTCCTGACCTCGTGATCCGCCCGCCTCGGCCTCCCAGAGTGCTGGGATTACAGGTGTGAGCCGCCGCGCCTGGCCAGTCCTGTGTCTTTCACTTATTGCTAAGTGCTATAACATCTGAATAGCCTCTACACTCGATGGGTGGTTATCCTTTAGTGACTCTCTGCTTAGTCTCCTATTCTGTGGGGGGCATCACCACGTTTTCCACACAGCAATGCAGGGGGCTTTTGTTTTGTTTTGTCTTTGAGACGGAGTCTTGCTCTGTCACCAGACTGGAGTGCAGTGGCACGATCTCGGCTCACTGCAACCTCTGCCTCCCGGGTTCAAGCGGTTCTTCTGCCTCAGCCTCCCGAGTAGCTGGGACTACAGGCACTTGCTGCCATAGCCAGCTAATTTTTTTTTTTTTTTTTTTTTTTTGTATTTTAGTAGAGATGGGGTTCACCATGTTGCCCAGGCTGGTCTCAAACTCCTGAGCTCAGGCAATCCTCCCGTCTCAGCCTCCCAAAGTGCTAGGATTACAGGCCTGAGCCACTACACCTGGCCGCAGGGGACTTTTTACTTATTGCTTAAAGGTTAGAGAAATTGAACATCATGTCATACCGAAACAAACCAAAACTCCAGGGAAGGCCTCTGGGCTTTGCCTATGCAGTGCCAGCTCACAGGAGGGGCCTGGTGACCATGGGCTCTGCGTTTACTGAGTGTTTCCTGAGCTCCCTGATGTTCACTGGGCGTTTCCTGAGCTTCCTGATGGCCACACTGAGTTTTTGTGTTTCAGATTTGGGGTTGATTTTTATTTTATTACTTTTTTTTTTATTGAGACACAGTCTCTGTTGCCCAGGCTGGAGTGTAGTGGTGCAATCTCGGCTCACTGCAGCCTCTACCTCCCGGGTTCAAGCGATTCTCCTGCCTCAGCCTCTCGAGTAGCTGGGATTATAGGCACGAGCCACCACGCCTGGATAATTTTTTGTATTTTTAGTAGAGACAGGGTTTCGCTATGTTTGTCAGGCTGGTCTCAAACTCCTGACTTCAGGTGATCCACCCACCTTGGCTTCCCAAAGTGCTGGGACTACAGGTGTGAGCCACCACGCCCAGCCTGATTTTTATTTTTACAGTTTATCTCATTCTTTGGAACAAGAGCACTTTTAAAGCTCATTGGAACCTCCGAGTCCCGCACACCGGGTTGGGGAGCGGAGAAAGTATCCAACGGCGGCTGAAGAAATCTGATTCACCTGCAGTTTCTAGAAGCCTTCTATTTCCTGCTTAGCAACAGGGTGGGAGACTCTTCACCCAGTTATGTTTATAGTCTCCTTGTTCAGTCCAGACGGTCACCTTCCTCGTGTGTCTCGTATATCAGATGCAGTCACACAGCACACTGGCAGGAAATGCACATCAGACATCTTCCAGGCTGTGTCTCTGTGGCTTTTGTTAAAGCTACCAGAGATGTATTGGAACACATTTAGAATTTTTCCTTAGAGACAAGGGCAGATATCCTAACCCAAACTGAAAGCTGAGCTGTCAGGCTCCAGACGTGTGGGAAGCCCATATTGGATGAGAGGTGGTCCTCATGCAGTGTTAGGAGCGGGCACCTGTGGAGCTGGGCAGGTGAGCGTTTTTTTTTTTTATTTTGAGACAGTCTCGCTCTGTTGCCCATGCTGGAGTGCAGCGGCGTGATCTCGGCTCCCTGCAACCTCCACCTCCCAGGTTCGAGCGATTCTCCTGCCTCGGTCTCCCAAGAAGCTGGGATTACAGGCACGTGCCTTCATGCCCAGCTAATTTTTGTATTTTTAGTAGAGACGGGGTTTCACCATGTTGGCCAGGCTGGTCTCGAACTCCTGACCTCAAGTAATCCGCCTGCCTCGGCTTCCCAAAGTGCTGGGATTACAGGTGGGAGCCTGCGCCTGGCTGAGCATGTTTAACATTGAACTTCAGATTACGTAATGACTGAGTGTCCCAGGCCACTGCCAAGTCTTTGGAATGAGGAACGTAGTGATGAAGTGTTACTTCCTTAAAGAATTTGAAACAAGGCTGGGCGTAGTGGCTCGCCCCCATAATCCCACACTTTGGGAGGCCAAAGTGGGAGGATTTCTTGAGCCCAGGAGTTTGAGACAAGCCTGGGCAACGTAGTGTCTCTACTAAAAAGAAAAAGAATTCCTGGGCTGGTTGCAATGGGTCATGCCTGTAATCCTAGCACTTTGGGAGGCTGAGGTGGACAGATTGCTTGAGCGCAGGAGTTAAAGATCAGTCTGGGCAACATAGTGAGACTCCATCTCTACAAAAATTAGCCAGGTGTGGTGACAGGTGCCTGTGGTCCCAGCTACTCGGGAGGCTGAGGCAGGAGGACTGATTTGAGCCCAGGACGGAGGTTGCAGTGAGCCAAGATAGCATTGCTGCACTCCCTCCAGCCTGGGCACTAGAATGAGACTCTATCTCCAAATAAATAAATAATGTTTTTTTGTTTTGTTTTTCAGACAGAGTCTTGCTCTGTCACCCAGGCTGCAGTGCCGTGGCGTGATCTTGAACTGCCTTGTGGGTTTAAGCGATCCTTGTGCCTCAGACTCCTGAGTAGCTGGGACTATAGGTGTGCGCCACCACATTCAGCTAATTTTTTTGTATTTTTGGTAGACTTGGGGTTTCACCTTCTTGGCCAGGCTGGTCTCAAACTTCTGGCCTCAAGCAATTTGTCTGCCTCAGCCTCCCAAAGTGCTGGGATTATAGGTGTGAGCCCCCTCAGCCCAGCAGGATTGTGTTTTAAATGAATCTTATATTGAATTTCCCACAAGTACCAGGACACAGGGCTAATTCTTAACATTTTTCTCATGATGGAAGGAAGCATAATGGATTATGAAAATCACTTCTGTGGCTGGGTGCTGGGGCTCATGCCTATAATTCCAACACTTTGGGAGGCTAAGGCAGAAGGATTGTTTGAGGCCACGTGTTCAAGACCAGCCTGGGCAACACAGCAAAACCCCATCTCTAGGAAAATTACAAAAATAGCTGGGTATAGTGGTGTGTGCTTATAGCCCCTGCTACTCAGGAGCCTGAGGTGGGAGGATCACTTGAGCCTGGGAGGTCGAGGCTGCAGCCAGCTATGACTGCACCACTGCACTCCACCATGGGCAACAGAGTAGACTTTGTCTCAAGAAAAATAAAATCACTTCTGTGTAAAGTTGTTGACTGGAGGCTCCTCCTGGAGCTGGTCTCTGAATTCTTATTTATTCATTTATTTTTTTAACTGAGTCTCAGTTGCCCAGGCTGGAGTGCAGTGGTGTGACCTCAGCTCACTGCACCCTACGTCTCCTGGTTCAAGTGATTCTCCTGCCCCAGCCTCCTGAGTAGCTGGGACTACGGGTACCCTCCACCACGCCTGGCTAATTTTTTTTTTTTTTTTTATTAAATGGAGTCTCACTCTGTCACTGATGCTGGAGTGCAGTGGCACCGTGTTGGCTCACTGCAACCTCCGTCTCCTGGTTTCAAGCAATTCTTCTGCCTCAGCCTCCCCAGTAGCTGGGATTACAGGCGCCCACCATGCCTGGCTAGTTTTTTTTAAAAATATTTTTAGTAGAGATGGGGTTTCACCATCTTGGCCAGGCTGGTCTCGAACTCCTGACCTCAGGTGATCCACTTGCCTCGGCCTCCCAAAGTGCTGGGATTACAGGCGTGAACCACCGCGCGCAGCCAATTTTTGTATTTTTAGTAGAGACAGGGTTTCACCCTGTTGACCAGGCTGGTCTCAAACTCCTGACCTCAGGTGATCTACCCACCTCAGCCTCCCAAAGTGCTGGAATTACAGGCGTGAGCCACCATGCCTAGCCTTGGTCCCTCAATTCTGTTCATCCCGTCCAGGCCGTGCTGTCCTCCATGCTGTGAACCGAGCTTCCTCCTGGGAGTTGGAGGGAGGGCCACCTGTCACTTGCCACACTGTCTTGTAGGATCAGGAGCGTCTGGGCAAGCAGCTCAAGTTACGTGCAGAAAGGGAAGAAAAGGAGAAGCTGAAAGAGGAGGCCAAGCGGGCCAAGGAGGAGGCCAAGAAGAAGAAGGAGGAAGAGAAGGAGCTTAAGGAAAAGGAGAGGCGGGAGAAGCGGGAGAAGGATGAGAAGGAGAAGGCGGAGAAGCAGCGGCTCAAGGAGGAGCGGCGCAAGGAGAGACAGGAAGCCCTGGAGTGAGTGTCCTTGGAGGCCATGCTGGGCCCGCCACCCTGCTGCTGGATTCCGCTCCTGGCCACTCTGATGGGGCCTTTCCACTTCACAGGCAGATGGCGGCTCCCTTCAGTTCCTTCCCATTTCTCCTTCGTGAGGTGCCCGTGGGGCCCTGACGTGGGAGCGGTGGAAAGCAGCTCCCTGCTCTTTAGTGCTCCCCCACGTCCAACTCACCCTGGACCCCTTGTCTCTGCTGTGACCATCCTTCCAGTTCCCAACCAACTTAGGCATTTGCATTGCAGGATTGTGGGTTTTGTCTGTGCTAATTGTGCTCTGACTGGCTAAAGTTTTTTATATATATTCTAGTCACAGGAAGAATTTTATTGACTGTTTTCCATTTTTATTGTGAAGACCTATGTAAAAGCCTTATACTAGACATGAAAATAACTTATATTCATTTAATGTAAAATGAAATACTTGCCATATACTAACAGTTGAGTGCTGCGGTCCCTTCCAGAGCCAAAGCAAAGAGTCGGCTGAAATGTCATTTGCTGTCTCACAGGGCTAAACTTGAGGAAAAAAGGAAAAAGGAAGAAGAGAAACGGTTAAGAGAAGAAGAGAAGGTAGAGTGTTTCCCACAGAGCTTCCCCGTCCCAGCCCGTTGGAGAAGCAGATGCCCAAAGTGGAATTCTTGCCACAGCCGTCACCTAATATTCTCTTGGTTTGGGGAAACCAAATGGCGCCCGCAGGGAGGGCGAGTCTGTCTAGATGCGTTCTTGTTGCTTCTTCCCAGTGCTGGCTGTCACATGCCTACTGGCCCTGCAATCCTGGCACTTCTACCCACAAGGGCAACTTGGACATTTTGAGATTGGCTGGCTCAGTTGCGGGTCCGTGGGTTTTGAGAGCTGAAAATCACAGTAGTGCCTTCAAGCTAAAATGCTTGACGTTCGGTTCTGGGGGCCTTTGCATGTTTTGCAACACATACTGTTCCTCTTCCTCTCCTCTTTCTCATCACCATCTCTTAACATCACAGCGCATTAAAGCAGAGAAGGCCGAAATCACGAGGTTCTTCCAGAAACCAAAGACTCCACAGGCCCCCAAGGTGAGCAGCCGGCTGCCTTTGCTTTTGGGTTTCAGCTCTGCTAGACTTTTCCTTTCTGAAAGTGAAAGGGTCTCTCCCCAGCCAGCTTCTCTCATTAGGAGGGAGGGAGCCTCCAGTGACCTAGGGCACTTCCATTTCTGGTTAAGTCTTGAGGCTCAATATTTTGTCCTTCGCTTTGTCCCAAAGAGGTAAAAAGTGGCATGTCTGATTAAACAGTGCTGTTTTCAGAGGTTACTTCATGAATAATTTTGTGTTAGGCGTAAGAGAAATTCACCATGTTTTTACCCTTGGGAAACTTAGGCTTAAGGAGGGAGCACGTTTAGCTGTAAAACAACAGTACAATTCACAAAGGTTTACTTTCCCTGCCTGGCGTCGGTCACCTGGCATCTCAGACCTTCTGAGCCACCATCTGTGCATGGAAACCACAGCCCTCCTTCCCCTTTACCCAGAGGGAGCCCATCTCCAATGTTAGGGGTCCTTCAGTGCCTTTCCCTGCTCCACTCACTGTATTTATACACATGTGTACTTAGCTATCTCAGATTTGTGCCATGTTGCCACATTTAGATGTATTTCATTCTTTTTAATGTATCTGGCCTTTATTTATTTTTTGAGGCAGGGTCTCACTGTCACCCAGGCTGTAGTGCAGTTGCACAATCAAAGCTCACCACAGCCTTGACCTCTCAGGGTCTGGTGATCCTGTCACCTCAGCCTTCCCGAGTAGCTGGGACTACAGGCATGTGCCACCATGCCTGGCTAATTTTTTATTTTTATTTTTTTTGAGATGGAGTCTCACTCTGTCACCCAGGCTGCAGTACAGTGGTGCGATCTCAGCTCACTGCAACGTCCACCTCCCGGGTTCCAGTGATTCTTCTGTGTCAGCCTCCCAGGTAGCTGGGATTACAGGCACATGCTACCACACCTGGCTAATTTTTGTATTTTTAGTATAGACGGGGTTTTACCATGTTGGCTAGGCTGGTCTTGAACTCCTGACCTCAGGTGATCCGCCCGCCTCAGCCTCCCGAAGTGCCGGGATTATAGGCGTGAGCCACCGTGCCCGGCCTAATTTTTTAATTTTTTTTTGTAGAGACTGGGTTTTGCTATGTTGCCCAGGCTGGTCTCGACGACCTGGCTTCAAATGATCCTCCAAACCTCGGCCTCTCAAAGCACTTGGATTACAGGTGTGAGTCCCTGCACCTGGCCTGTCCTTTTATTTGTATGTTGAGACATTTGATGGCAATTGTGTATCCTGAAGGTGCACAATGTGACATTGTTGTACCTACACATCATATTGTGACAGCCAGAGATCCACATCATGTATTTTCACTGCCGCATAATACTTCATAATGCAATGATATGGTTTCTCTCTTTTTTTACAAAAATTATTTATTTATTTAGAGACGGAGTATTGCTCTGTCACCCATGCTGGAGAGCAGTGGCGCTATCTCTCGGCTCACTCTAACCTTTGTCTCCCGGGTTCAAGCAATTCTTCTACCTCAGCCTCCCGAGTAGCTGGGATTACAGGTGCCTGCCACCACTCCCAGCTAATTTTTTGTGTTTTTAGTAGAGACGGGGTTTCACCATATTGGCCAGGCTGGTCTTGAACTCCTGACCTCAGATGATCTGCCCATCTCAGCCTCCCTAATTTTATTTTTAGTAGAGACTGGGTCTCACTGTGTTGCCAGGGCTGGTCTCGACCTCCTGGTCTCAAGCATTTCTCTCGCTTTGGCCACCCACCGTGCTAGGATCACAGGCATGAGCCACAGAGCCTGCCACTATCTCAACCTCTTTGCCCCTCAGTGGTGTAGGGGGGGTCCCTGCACATGCTTCTCTGCACACATGCATTCCTCTGGGACAGCCAAGTAAGCATGAGTTCACCTCTAGGACAAAATAGCATATTGCTGAAGCATCATGAGCCATGGCCAGAGTGCGTGCCAGATGGGAAACTCAGATGTACATTCCCGGCGATGTGTGGAAATTTCCTCCCCATTCTCTGCTATCACTGCAATTTTTATGGGATTAATTTTCTTTTAACTTTGCCAGTCTGATGGATTTTTAAAAATTGACATTGTTTTACTTTCCATTTTTACTTGACTCTTGGTGCAGTTGAGCATCTTTTTCTGTTCGTTTGCCATTTTAGTTCTTCTATGACTTGCCAATTCCTATTTTTTTACCTATTTTTCTACAGGATTTTCTTTTTTTTTCTTTGCCTGATCTGTAAGTTTTTTTTAACATAGTCTAGTATTTCATTCTCCGTGATATTTCGTCTCAGCCTGTTACCTCTTTGTTTACAGTCTTTTTTTTTTTTTTTTTTGAGACACAGTTTCACTCTGTTGCTGAGGCTGGAGTGCAGTGGTGCCATCTCGGCTCACTGCAAGCTCCACCTCCTGGGTTCACACCATTCTCCTGCCTCAGCCTCCCGAGTAGCTGGGACTACAAGCGCCCGCCACCATGCCCCGCTAATTTTTTGTATTTTTAGTAGAGACGGGGTTTGCACCGTGTTGGCCAGGATGGTCTCGATCTCCTGACCTTGTGATCCGCCCGCCTCGGCCTCCCAAAGGGCTGGGATTACAGGTGTGAGCCACCGTGCCCGGCCTTTGTTGTTTTTTGTTTGTTTGTTTTGAGACAAAGTTTCGCTCATTGCCCAGGCTGGAGTGCAGTGGCATGATCTCAGCTCACCACAACCTCTGCCTCCTGCGTTCAAATGATTCTCTTGCCTCAGCCTCCCGAGTAGCTGAGATTACAGGCATGTGCTGCCACGCCCAGCTAATTTTGTATTTTTAGTAGAGACGGGGTTTTTCCATGTTGGTCAGGCTTGTCTTGAACTACTGACCTCAGGTGATCCGCCTACCTCGGCCTCCCAAAGTGCTGGGATTACAGGTGTGAGCCACCACGCCCAGCTACAGTGTCTTTCATTATACTGAAATTTCTCCTTTTGGCCAGGTGCGGTGGCTTATGCCTGTAATCTCAGCATTTGGGGAGGCCAAGGCGGGTGAATCATCTGAGGTCAGGAGCTTGAGACCAGCCTGGCCAACAAGGTGTCTCTACTAAAAATACTAAAAATACAAAAATTAGCCGGGCGTGGTGGTAGGCGTCTGTAATCCCAGCTGCTCATGAGGCTGAGGCAGGAGAATCGCCCAACCCAGGAGGCAGAGGTTGCAGTGAGCCGAGATTGCACCACTGTACTCCAGGCTGCGCAATGAAGCGAGACTCCATCTCAGAAAAAAAAAAGAGGAGTTGTGATCTTTCAAAAAAAGACCCTGTCTTTTTTTTTTTTTTTTTTTTTTTTTTTTTTTGAGAAGGAGTCTTGCTCTGTTGCCCAGGCTAGAGTACAGTGGCGTGATCTGGGCTCACTGCAACCTCTGCCTCCCAGATCCAAACGATTCTCCTGCCTCAGCCTCCTGAGTAGCTGGGACTACAGGTGCCCACCACCATGCCAAGCTAATTTTTGTTTTGTTTTGTTTTGTTTTGTTTTTGAGATGGAGTCTTGCTCTATCCCCCAGGTTGGAGTGGTGCAGTGGCACGATCTCGGCTCACTGCAACCTCTGCCTCCCAGGTTCAAGCAATTCTCCTGCCTCAGGCCCAGGCTAGAGTACAGTGGCGTGATCTGGGCTCACTGCAACCTCTGCCTCCCAGATCCAAACGATTCTCCCGCCTCAGCCTCCTGAGTAGCTGGGACTACAGGTGCCCACCACCATGCCAAGCTAATTTTTGTTTTGTTTTGTTTTGTTTTTGAGATGGAGTCTTGCTCTATCCCCCAGGCTGGAGTGCAGTGGCACGATCTCAGCTCACTGCAACCTCTGCCTCCCAGGTTCAAGCAATTCTCCTGCCTCAGGCTCCCAAGTAGCTGGGACTACAGGTGCATGCCACCGTGCCCGGCTAATTTTTTGTATTTTAGTAGAGACCGGGTTTCACTGTGTTGCCCAGGCTGGTCTCGAACTCCTGAGCTCAGACAATCCACCCGCCTCGGCCTCCCAAAGCGCTACAATTACAGGCGTGAGCCACCGCGCCTGGCCTAATTTTTGTATTTTTAGTAGAGACGGGGTTTCACCATCTTGGCCAGGCTGGTCTCGAACTCCTGACCTCAGGTGATCCGCCCTCCTCAGCCTCCCAAAGTGGTGGGATTACAGGCATGAGCCACTGCCCCTGGCCTAATTTTTGTTTTTAGTAGAGATGGGGTTTCACCATGTTGGGCAGGCTGGTCTCGAACTCCTGACCTCAGGTGATCCGCCTTCCTCCGCCTCCCAAAATGGTGGGATTACAGGCATGAGCCACTGCCCCTGGCCTAATTTTTGTTTTTAGTAGAGATGGGGTTTCACCATGTTGGGCAGGCTGGTCTCGAACTCCTGACCTCAGGTGATCCGCCCTCCTCAGCCTCCCAAAGTGGTGGGATTACAGGCATGAGCCACTGCCCCCGGCCTTTTTTTTTTTTTTTTTTAAGTGAGGTTTGTTGAGATATAATTTACATCCAATAAAATAAACTCTTTTCAGGACATTTGTGTTGACAAATGACAGGGCCAGCTAACCATAATGAAGATAAACCCTATTTCCATCACTCAAAACAGCTCCCTTGTAGTCTGTCCCCCCACCGCCGGCCCTTGAGACTGCCAATCTGCCCTCTGCCCTGTAGCTCTGGAAACTCGGCTCTGTGGACCCACACAGTGCCTGGGCTTTTGAGTCTGTGCCTTGGCCTTAGCCTGGATGAATCCCACCAGCACCCTGCTGTGTGCGTCCATGGTGCCTCCTTTCTCCCATTGCTCGAAGACCCCATCGGGTCTCTTCTTGATTTCAGACCCTGGCCGGCTCCTGTGGGAAGTTTGCCCCCTTTGAAATTAAAGAGCACATGGTCCTGGCCCCTCGGCGTCGGACCGCTTTCCATCCAGACCTCTGCAGTCAGCTGGACCAGCTCCTCCAGCAGCAGAGCGGCGAGTTCTCCTTCTTGAAAGACCTCAAAGGCCGGCAGCCCCTGAGGTCCGGACCCACGCACGTTTCCACCCGGAATGCAGATATTTTTAACAGGTCAGAGCCTGAGGAGGTCGGCCTTCACCCACTAGTGATGCTGGAGGCCAGCATCCTGAACCCTGGGGTCCCCGGGGTGGGAGCTCTGGGTCCTTCTGTTGCTTGCTTCCTAGTGCCCTCGGGCCCTGGGCTTCGGTGCTGGCTCAGGCCTCTCTCCACCTGGCCTTCCTGTAAGCTCCTGAAGTCTTCCTCTCCCTGTCTTCCCAGCTCCTCGTGGAGGAATCTTATTTCCCTGCTGGTCTCCAGTGAAGGATACCCCCCAACACCTCGCTCTTGCAAATCTCATTCCACAGAACCTCCCTTGCTAAAAATGCTCTGGGGCTGCACCTGGGCAGCTGTCCTCCCTCTCACCCTGCAGGCTGCACCCTCCTCCATCTGTCCCTTCAGTCCATGTTCCTGACCTTTCTTTGGGGACAGGCAGTGCTGCTTTTTAACAAATGCCCATCTTTCTAGAATTGTTAGGCCAGCTTCACAGGGAGGTTCCTGGGAGGTTTGTGAGCAGGTCTGTAAGGCAGCGTGATCCTGAGCCTGGGGTTTTCCTTCTCAGTGATGTCGTCATCGTGGAGCGTGGGAAGGGCGACGGTGTTCCCGAGAGGAGGAAGTTTGGCAGGATGAAGCTCCTGCAGTTCTGTGAGAACCACCGGCCTGCCTACTGGGGTACCTGGAATAAGAAGACGGCACTCATCCGCGCGCGAGACCCCTGGGCCCAGGACACGGTGAGCTAGCCCCAGAGTGCCTCCGTCCCCGTACCTCCTCACTGTGCCCCTTTCCTCCAGCCCCAAAGACAGTTGTGAGTCCCATGTGTTTCTTTTCTCAGAAGCTCCTGGACTATGAGGTGGACAGTGATGAGGAGTGGGAAGAAGAGGAGCCTGGGGAGTCCCTGTCCCACAGTGAGGGGGTAAGGATGTGCCCCAGCTGTCTTCACTCACAGACGGCTTGTGTTTGAGTCTCTGTCCCACAGTGAGGGGCTAAGGATGCAGCCCAGCTGTGTTCACTCACTGACAGCTGGTGTTTGACCTGCTGTGTGGTCTGAAACCTGAACGCACCTCAACATCCAGACTTCCAGCTTCTCTCGAAAAATCTCATCTGGTGACACTCGCCCACGTGGCTGCTGGGGATGGGATCCCGTCCGCATCTGCACCGTGGCCCCACAGCCCCCTCTTGCCTCCTGCGGGCCTGCTGCACACCATTTCCTCCTGACTGCCCAGCTGCTGTGACCTAGTGGGCTTTCTGCCGATGCTCACCGTGTCTGTCGGGAGGCCATGCAAAGCAGATGTTCACAGCTTTACATTTTTTTGTTTCTTTAAGATGGAGTCTCACTCTATCACTCAGGCTGGAGTGCAGTGGCGCGATTTCGGCTCACTGCAACCTCTGCCTCCCAGGCTCAAGTGATAGTCCTGCCCCAGCCTCCCTAGTAGCTGGGATTATAGGTGCGTGCCACCATGCCCAGCCAAGATTTGTATTTTTAGTAGAGACAGAGTTTTACCATGTTGGCCAGGCTGGTCTCAAACTCCTGACTTCAGATGATCCGCCCACCTCAGCCTCCCAAAGTGCTGGGATTAGAGGTGTGAGCCACTGCGCCTGGCCTACTTTGTTTTTAATAAGGCACACACTCTGCTTTTCTATCTGATGAACTCTTTTTTTTTTCTCCTTTTGAGGATGATGATGACGACATGGGAGAGGATGAAGATGAGGACGATGGTTTCTTTGTGCCCCATGGGTACCTGTCTGAGGACGAAGGTGTGACAGAGGTGAGGGAGTGAAGGGGGAGGTCACCGGCTCAGCAAAAGTTCATTTCTGGACTGGTGCTCAGTGGCCTGACCTGGGAGGGTGACGGGGGTCCCAGCCCAACCATACGAGATTTGGACTGCATTCCAAGCACGCAAGCTCACTCGTGGGAACAGCTGGGCCTGAACTTGGTATTACCTGGGAGGGTGGCAGACGTAGGAGGAGCTTGCAAGCGAGGGGAGCCATAGGAGCAGACACCCTGGTGAGGGAGCGTGGCCATGGTCTGTGGGTTAGAAGGCTGGAAACCACCCGAGCTGACATACAGTCAGCATGCAGCAAGACATGTGCATTGTAAGTGTTGAGTTTGATGACGTAACAATCAAGTGAATGTGGGCAACCACCGCCCGAAATAAAACAGAACTTCCCTATCTCTCCAGAAGATTGCCCACGTCTCTGCAGGCGAACCTGCCTGCCACCCCTTTCCAGATTCCATAAGGTTGTGGAACTGTCTTTTTTTTTTTTTTTCTTGAGACGGATTCTCATTCTGTTACCCAGGCTGGAGTGCAATGGCCCGGTGTTGGCTCACTGCAACCTCTGCCTCCCGGGTTCAAGCAATTCTCCTGCCTCGGCCTCCCAAGTAGCTGGGACTACAGGCGTGTGCCACCACACCTGGCTAATTTTTGTATTTTTAGTAGAGACGGGAGTTCATTATGTTGGCCAGGCTGGTCTTGAACTCCTGACCTCCAGTGATCCACCCGCCTCGGCCTCCCAGAGTGCTGGGATTACAGGCATGAGCCACCGAGCCCGGCAGGAACTTGCTTTCAAGCAAGTTGTTTTTGGTCCTGTTTTGTTTTGAAGGCCTGTCGTTTGGGAAGTGGGGATTTGGTGGGACTGTCTCATGGTTGGACTGGAGGCCTAGGCATTCCTTGTGCATATCTGACCACCGAGGCCTGAACTGTCAGTCAGAGAGTGGTCTCAGGCCCTGCATGTGTCTGCCAGATGCCTGGGCCATGTGGGTAGACACCCAACCCTGTTAAACGGCTCCACGATCACACATTCACCAGAAAATTCAGAGGGGTGTTAAAAGAGGCCTCATGGGTGAGTTCAGAAATATCTGTGACGCTCCCAAAGGAGACCAGGTGTGAATTATTCCATCTGGAAGAGGGGCAGCCAGCGCATGGTGTGCTCTGCCCTGGCCCTGACACTGTGGGAAGTTTTGTGCCCCTGTCCTTTCCTCTTGCTCCCCAGCTGGCTGGGGACTGGTTCCTCAAAAGAGTGCCCGGGCATAGGGGAGCAAGAACCCCAAATAAACTTCTGCTTTCTAAACCACAAGGAGTGTGCCGACCCTGAGAACCATAAGGTCCGCCAGAAACTGAAGGCCAAGGAGTGGGACGAGTTCCTGGCTAAGGGGAAGCGCTTTCGCGTCCTGCAACCTGTGAAGATCGGCTGCGTGTGGGCGGCTGACAGAGACTGCGCAGGCGATGACCTGAAGGTACTGCAGCAGTTCGCAGCCTGCTTCCTGGAGACCCTGCCGGCCCAGGAGGAGCAGACGCCCAAGGCCTCCAAGCGGGAGAGGAGAGACGAGCAGAGTGAGTGTGGGCGGGGCCAGGCCACCCACCTGTTCCTGGGCCCAGCTAATTCCAGGGCTGAGGGCAAGAGTCACAGGCTAGTGGGTCCGTGATGCAAATGTTCTTTCCACAAATAACAGAGGCCAGCCCTTTTCCTGTACATGTCCGTACGTTCAATGATGTCCCTAGCAGCAGGACGAGGCAGGTCCCTTAATTGGCTTGTTTTATCAACCAGGACACAGGCACAGAGAGTGCTGGAGTGGGGGCTGTGCTTTCTCAAAAGCCAGGGAGGGGCCGGGCACAGTGCCTCATGCCTGTGATGCCAGCACTTTGGGAGGCCAAGGTGGGAGGATCGCTTGAGCCTAGTGCTTCGACACCAGCCTGGGCAACATGGCAAAACCCCATCTCTGCAGAAAATGCAAAATTACCTGGGTGTGGTATCACGCACCTGTGATCCCAGCTACTCAAGAGGCTGAGGTGGGAGGATTGCTTGAGCCTAGGAGTTTCAGACCACAGTGAGCCATGATCCTGCCACTGCACTCCAGCCTGGGTGACAGAGCAAGACCCTGTCTAAAAAAAAAAAAAAACTCAAAAAACTGGGGAGGGACCATGGCACACAAGGAGAGCAGGGCAGTCATTTGGGTAGGAACAGCAGGCATTTGAAGTCAGCCCTGGCAACACACGTGCCCGGCCAAGGCTCACTTCTGGGCAGGTGCGTAGGTGCTACCCTGTCTTACACCCGCCCTCATGAGGCCACCTATCCCCGAAGCTGGCCATGCCCCAAGCCTCGGTGGCAATGAGCTTGTGTATGTGTTTTGTTTTTTGGCCTGTGGTGATGGGTGGCTCCCCAAGCCTCATGCCCACCCATGTTCCCTCCTGCCAGTCCTGGCCCAGCTGCTGCCGCTCCTGCACGGCAATGTGAACGGGAGCAAGGTCATCATCCGGGAGTTCCAGGAGCACTGCCGCCGGGGACTGCTCAGCAACCACACCGGCAGCCCGCGGAGCCCCTCCACCACCTACCTGCACACCCCCACCCCCAGCGAGGATGCCGCCATCCCCTCTAAGTCCCGGCTCAAGCGGCTCATTTCCGAGAACTCAGTGTATGAGAAGCGGCCTGACTTCAGGATGTGCTGGTACGTGCACCCGCAGGTGCTACAGAGCTTCCAGCAGGAGCACCTGCCCGTGCCGTGCCAGTGGAGCTATGTGACATCGGTGCCCTCGGCCCCCAAAGAGGACAGTGGCAGCGTCCCCTCCACGGGGCCCAGCCAGGGCACTCCCATCTCGCTGAAGAGGAAGTCAGCGGGCAGCATGTGCATCACCCAATTCATGAAGAAGCGCAGGCACGACGGCCAGGTGAGGTGGGGTGGGCAGGTGGGGGCCTCTGCAGGGCTTTTCTTTTTTTGTTTGTTTTTTGTTGTTTTGTTTTTTTTTCGAGATGGAGTCCTGCTCTGTCACCCAGGCTGGAGTGCAGTGGCGCAATCTCAGCTCACTGCAACCTCCTCCCTCCTGGGTTCAAGTGATTCTCCTGCCTTAGCCTCCTGAGTAGCTGGGATTACAGGTGTACGCCACCATGCCTGGCTAATTTTTGTATTTTTAGTAGAGACGGGGTTTCACCATGTTGGTCAGGCTGGTCTCGAACTCCTGACCTCATGATCCGTCTGCCTTGTCCTCCCAAAGTGCTGGGATTACAGGCGTGAGCCACCTCGCCTGGTGTTTTTGTGTTTTTTAAATAACCTTACTCTTAGAGCAGTTTTAGGGTCACAGCAAAATCGATTGGAAGGTACAGAAAGTTCCCATACACCTCCTTCCCCAAAGCCAAGCCAAGCCACCCAACATCACCTCCCAGAATGGTGCATTGGTTACAATCAGTGCACCTCAGGCCAGGCACTGTGGCTCACGCCTGTAGTCTCAGCACTTTGGGAGGCTGAGGCGGGAGGATCACTTGAGCCCGGGAGTTGGAGACCAGCCTGGGCAACATGGCAAAACCCCATCTCTAAGAAAAAATTTTTAGATTAGCCAAGCGGTGGCATGCACCTGTAGTCTCAGCTACTCAGGAGGCTAAGGCGGGAGGATTACTGGAGCCTAGGAGATTGAGGCTGCAGTGAGCTATGATCATGCCACTGCACTGCAACCTGGGCGACAGAGCAAGACCCTGTCTCTAAAAATAAATACATAAAACGCACCTTCGTTGATTTATCACCACCACTAGGGTTTGTTGCTGGTGTTGAGGGTTCTGTGATTTGAATGAATGTTGGATGCTGTGCGTCTACCTTTATTGTTTTAAACAAAGAGGCTTCTCCCCACTGAAAGGCCCCTGTGCTCTGCCCGTCCAATCCCTTGGAAATCACCAACCTCTCTATCTCCGTGGATCAGCCTTTTCCAGATTGCCCTGTAGCTGGAATCGCATCGTGTGTGGCTCCTTTGACTTGGCAGTATGCGTTGACAGTTCCTCCGTGTCTGTTTGTGGCTTGATAGCTCTTTTTTTTTTCACACTGAATAATATTCCATGTGGTAGCATTTTTATTTTTGTTCAACGGTTCTTGAATTTTGCATTCAAGCACAGTTATTAAGCACTTACTGTGCTCCAGGCACTCTGATCGGTCTCTCAGACACAGGTATATGCAGAACACCGCCCGGTGTAAGGCACAGACAGGAGCCTGTAAGGGGAATGAATGGCTGTGTGATTCCAGCCTTATGGGTGCCTCGGAGGCACAAGCGCATGGAGCCCTGGGGTGTGTGATGGGGGCACTGTCTGGTCTTAAGAAACTCTCATGCCCAGAGAGCCACTGGCCCCTGGCACCCACCCCTGGCCATAGATCGGCTTTGTTAACGTTCATTGCATACTTTTTGTCCTTACCACACAGTGTTCGGAAGTGAGTTTCTCTTTTTTCTTTTTTTTCCTTTTTTTTTTTTTTTTTTTTTTTGAGACAGTCTCGCGCTGTTGCCCGGGCTGGAGTGCAGTGGTGTGATCTGGGCTCACTGCAAGCTCCGCCTCCCGGGTTCACACCATTCTTCTGGCTCAGCCTCCCGAGTAGCTGGGACTACAGGTGCCCGCCACCACGCCCGGCTAATTTTTTGTATTTTTAGTAGAGACGGGGTTTTACCGTGGTCTCAATCTCCTGACCTCGTGATCCGCCCGCCTTAGCCTTCCAAAGTGCTGTGATTACAGGCATGAGCCACCACGCCTGTCCTGGCCTTTTTTTGAGTCAGGGGTCTTACTCTGTTGCCTAGTCTGTAGTGCAGTGGCGTGATCACCACTCACTGCAGCCTTGACCTCCCCAGGCTCAGGCGATCCTCCCACCTTAGCCTCCTCAGTAGCTGAGAGGGACTACAGGTGCATGCCACCACACCCAGCTAATTTTCTGTAGAAACAGGGTTTCACCATGTTGCCCAGGCTGGTCCCCAACTCCTGGGCTTAAGCAATCCCCCTGCCTTTGCCTCCCAAAGTACTGGGATTATAGGTATGAGCCACCGTGCCTGGCTCCCTGAGTTTGATTTCTAATATCTACACTTAACGCAGACCTATCTGTCCCTGTGAACCTTGGGCTTTCCTTCAAGGCCACGATCTGATGGAGTTACAGGTTTTCAGAGACTTGGGACAAGGAGCAAGACAGTGGATAACCCCCGGCCCCAGCTTGCATCCTCTTCTCTGATGTTAAAGGTGGTCGTTGGCTGGGCACAGTGGCTCACGCCTATAATCCCATCACTTTGGGAGGCCAAGGCGGGCAGATCACCTGAAGTCAGGAGTTCGAGACCATCCTGGCCAACATGGTGAAACCCTGTCTCTACTAAAAATACAAAAATTAGCTGGGCATGGTGGCAGGTGCCTGTAATCTCAGCTACTCGGGAGGTTGAGGCAGGAGAATCGCTTGAACCCAGGAGGTGGAGGTTGCAGTGAGCCGAGACCACACCATTGTACTCGAGCCTGGGCAACACAGCAAGATTCTAGTCCCCCAAAAAAAAAAGAAAAGAAAAGGTGGTCGTTAGGGGCAGGGAGGCGAGAGAAATGGCTCCTGAGATGATGCTCAGCCATCTCCCTGCTGCCAGCACACAGCCATGGGCCTTAATATGCTGTGAATCTCCCTCAGCTGTCACAGCAGGAGGGGCCATCATAACATCCCAAAGGGTCCAGGGCTACGACTGAAACTGTTCCTGGCACTCCCTAGAGCCTCTGTCCCTGTACAGTGTGTCATGTGCATAGTTCCCCTGGCTCTGTGGAGGCGGCTTGGCGCCGTGGGAAGCTCAGTGCATTGGAGCTGGGGCCACAGGAGGCCCCCACACAGAGCTTTGCTGGATGCATTCTTTGTTCAAGCCCTGTGTGAGCAGTGCCTTTCCCTGGTCACCTGAGCAGCCTTAGAGGGAACCGGAGCTCCCCAGCCTGAAAATGATCGGGGCGGGAAGGTACTATCTGGTTGTGTCACTATGCAAGCAGTTTTCCAGGGCCTTTGCTGATCAGCCCTCCCCTGGGAACCCCTGTGTCCCTCAGATGTTCCTTTGGGGTCTCCTCATGCTCCACACAGTAGTCCAGGCCCTGGACGGCCTCCTTCCCCACCCCTCTCCACTGATTTGATGCAGCAGCTGCCTCTCCCAGCTGGGGTGCAGTGCCCCGCCCCTGGTCCTCCCAAACACTGCTCTTGCTCCCTGTCAACATGTGGAACCCATGTTTCCCCACCCGGAAAATAGCGCCCTGAGCCCCATGTGCCCAGCACCACATCAGAGTTACTGTGCTTCGGGGGCAGTGAGTGCCTGTTTATCATCCCTAACCACAAGGAAAGAAGGGTGCACCCAGTTTAACTAGAGTGGGTCAGAGAGGTTGGGTGGGCCTTGGAGTTAGCAAAACACAGCATCTCACCTGCTAATGGATGGCAGTGGTGGCCACATGCGCGTGATTGGTGGCCTCTGCTGCGTGGCACAGGTGAGGGCCTCCTGGGGCTCAGCAGTGCAGCGGACGCACGAAGGTCACACGTGAAGGAATGGAGACCCAGGCCCAGCTTGATGCTTAACCCCCACCCCTGAACCTCCTGCAGTTTGGGACATAAACGTCCCTGGGGAGCAGGGTCTGGTCCTGTGTTTTTTTTCAGAGCTTGTGTGGGGAGGGGCACACAGGTGGGACCCAAAGGTGGGGCTGTGGAAGCACATGAGCCCGGATGGGACATGTGCCCTGGCATCCTCTGTTTTTTTTTGACAGGGTCTCACTCTGTTACCTAGGCCGGAGTGCAATGGTGCAGTCACAGCTCACCGCAGCCTCCACTCCTGGGCGCAAGTGATCCTCCTGCCTCAGCTTCCTAAGGAGCTGGGAGTATAGAGGCACGTGCCACCATGCCCAACTAATTTTCAAATATTCTGTAGAGACAGGGTCTATGTTGCCCAGGCTGGTCTCCAACTCCTGAGCTCTAGCGATCCTCTCTCCAGCCTCCTGGCATTTAATAAAGCTGCTGACTGATGCTTCTGCACCCAAGGGGAGGGATAAGCCATTCATCTGCAAGTGGTGTACATCCATATTTTTTACTCGGTTACACTTTTTTTCCCAATTTGAAAGTTTTCATCTTTTTTATTTTATTTTATTTTATTTTGACGGAGTCTCGCTCTGTCGCCCAGGCTGGAGTGCAGTGGTGCGATCTCAGCTCACTGCAAGCTCCACCTCCTGGGTTCACGCCATTCTCCTGCCTCAGCCTCCCAAGTAGGTGGGACTACAGGCGCCCACCACCACGCCCAGCTAATTTTTTGTATTTTTTTAGTAGAGACGGGGTTTCACTGTGTTAGCCAGGATGGTCCCGATCTCCTGACCTTGTGATCTGCCCGCCTCGGCCTCCCAAAGTGCTAGGATTACAGGCGTGAGACACCACGCCCGGCATCTTTTCTTGTTGTTAAATTAGAAACAGGGTCTTGCCCTGTTGCCCTTTATTATTTTAGGTTCAGGGGTACATGTGCAGGTTGGCAAACTCATGTCACGGGGGTTTGGTGTATAGATGATTTATTGGGTACTAAGGTATTTTTTCTGAATTTCTCCCTCCCACCGTCACATAGGCTCCAGTGTCTGTTGTTCCCCTCTTTGTGTCCACATGTTCTTATAAGTGAGAGCATGTGATATTTGGTTTTCTGTGCCTGCGTTAGTTTGCTGAGGATAATGGTTCCCAGCTTCATCCATGTTCATGCAAGAAGAGGTTTTTTTGTTTTGTTTTGTTTTGTTTTGTAGATATTGGGTCCTGCTGTGTTGCCCAGGCTGGTCTTTGAACTTGTGGGCTCAAGCAATCCACCTGCCTCGGCCTCCCAAAGTACTGGGATTACAGACCTGAGCCAGGGAGTCTTTAAATCTTTTTACTTAGAGCTCAAAAGAGATATTCTTAAGGCATTCTGACCTAGTGGGGTGAAGTGCCATGTATCTGTGAAGCCCTAGGACACCTCAACTCTTCGGGCCTCCGTTTTATTTAAAAATTTTAAAATACAAGGAAGGATGTGTTTGCCCTTGCCAACAAAACATTATGTGATCAAAATAAAACTAAAGAAGCATAGATGGCCGGGTGTGGTGGCTCATGCCTGTAATCCCAGCACTTTGGGAGGCCGAGGTGGGTGGCTCACAAGGTCAGGAGATTGAGACCATCCTGGCTAACATGGTGAAACCCGTCTCTACTAAAAATACAAAAAATTAGCCAGGCGTGGTGGCGGCTGCCTGTAGTCCCAGCTACTCGGGAGGCTGAGGCAGGAGAATGGCATGAACCTGGGAGGCGGAGCTTGCGGTGAGCCGAGATCGCGCCACTGCACTCCAGCCTGGGCAACAGAGCGGGATTCTGTCTCAAAAAAAAAGCATAGATGGCTGGGTGCAGTGGCTCACGCTTGTAATCACAAAACTTTAGGAGACCGAGGCAGGCGGATCACTTGAGAGGCCAGGAGTTCAAGACCAGCCTGGCCGACATGGTGAAACCCCATCTCTAAAAATGCAAAAATTAGCTGAGCATGGTGGTGCACGCCTGTAATCCCAGCTACTCAGGAAGCCGAGGCAGGAGAATCACTTGAACTCAGGAGGTGGAGGTTGCAGTTGAGCCGAGATTGTGCCACTGCACTCCAGCCTGGGCAACAGAGCAAGTCTGCGTCTCAGAAAAAAAAAAAAAAGACAAAAAGGCACAAATGTTAGTGACACCATCTTCATCCCATGTAGTCGTTAAACGTTTTCCTGACTCCTGTTTTCCGTAGTCTGCGCTCCTCCGTGTCTGTGTTTAGCACTTGCAGTGCTGCTGGCGAGATGACAGCTGTCCCCGTGAAGCAAGCTGCCGGCAGCTCAGCACAGTGGGACTCGGTGTTATGTGTTAAATCCTGTCTTCAGCCTAGAGGGTGAAGAGTGGTGATTGCTCTGAAAAATTTTGGATCCAAGAAAAGCCTAATGTGTCAACGCGTCTCCTGTGTGGAGGGAGGGCCCAGTGACTTGAGGTGGCTCTGAAGAAATTGGCATGTTCTTTTGTTTAACGTCCCCAGACACCTCCAGATCAGAATGTCCCTCCTCAGCAGCGTCTACAGGGGACTCTTAGACTCTTCTTTGCTTAACTATTCTTTCAAAAAGGTAGTTGAAAATGGCCGTAGGCCAGGCTCAGTGGCTCATGCCTGTAATCCCAGCACTTTGGGAGGCTGAGGCAGGAGGATCACTTGAGACCAGGAGTTGAAGGGTGCAGTTACCTGTGATTGCACCACTGCACCACAGCCTGGGTGACAGAGCAAGATGTTTCTCCTGTGTCCTCACAGGGTCAACCCATGCTGCCTGGGGAGAGGGACAGCCTGGGCTCCCAGCCACTGAAGAGAGGATCCAGGAGGGGAGCCCCTACCCAGGAATTGATGAGGCTACGGTAGGAACCCAGTCTGCCTGGCCAGGCACTGTGCTCTTACATGACAGCCCATGAAACCAGTCTATGGCCTGACCGTTGTGTTGCTGTGCGGTCACTTTTCTAGGTTTTTGTAGAGGAAGAATTCCTGGAATTTTTTGAGGACTATCCTCCCTACTGAAATAAGTGTGGCTGTCTGTCCTGGGATGGGCTTGTGTTCATGCACAGAGAGGGTAAGCACTGACGTGGAGGCTCATGGTGGCCTCTACGCATCCTGTCTTTCTCCTTTGGTGAAAGCAAATGGAAACAGCTCAGGAATCTTACTAGGGTCAGGTGCGGTGGCTCACACCTTGTCATCCCAGCACTTTAGGAGGCCGAGGTGGAAGGATGGCTTGAGCCCAGGTTGAGACCAGCCTGGGCAACATAGTGACACCCCCTTGTCTCTACTTAAAAAAAAAAAAATTAGCTGGGCGTGATGGCGGGTGCCTGTAGTCCCATCTTCTCAGGAGGCTGAGGCAGGAGAATGGTGTGAACCCAGGAAGTGGAATTTGCAGTGAGTCGAGGTCTAAAAAAATAATAATAATAATTCACAAGTCACAGTCATCACTTCACATCAGGGACGTGTTCTGAGAGGTGTCCTCAGGCAATTTCATGGTTGGGTGGGGCTAGGTTGCTCTTACACATCCTAGATGGACAGCCTGCCACACGCCTGGGCCGTGTGGTACATAGCCCAGGGCTCCTGAGCTGTGGACCTGTGCAGCAGGTGACTGACTGCTCCATCCTGCAGGCACTTGTAACCCAGTGGTATATGTGTCTTTAACATAGAAAAGGCACAGCAGAGGCCAGGTGCGGTGGCTCATGCCTGTAATCCCAGCACTTTGGGAGGCTGACGTGGGCGAATCCTGAGGTCAGGAGTTCGAGACCAGCCTGGCCAACATGGCGAAACCCCCGTCTGTACTAAAAATACAAAAGATTAGCTGGGCGTAGTGGCGGGCACCTGTTAAAAAAAAAAAAAAAGGCACAGCAAAAATATCGTTGCGGCTGGGGCAGTGGCTCACGCCTGTAATCCCAGCACTTTGGGAGGCCAAGGCAGGCGGATCACTTCAGGTCAAGAGTTCGAGACCAGCCTGGCAACATGGTGAAACCCCATCTCTACTAAAAATACAAAAATTAGCCGGGTGTGGTGGCAGGTGGCTGTAATCCCAGCTACTCAGGAGGCCGAGGCAGGAGAATCACTTGAACCTGGGAGTCAGAAGTTGCAGTGAGCCAAGATCGCACCACTGCACTCCAGCCTGGATATATGGCAAGACTCTGTCTCAAGATTTATATATATTAAATAAAAATACAGTTGTCTGTAATCCCAGGACTTTGGGAGGCTGAGGTGGGTAGATCATAAGGTCAGGAGTTTGAGACCAGCTTGACCAACATGGTGAAACCCCGTCTCTACTAAAAATACAAAAATTAGCTGGGCGTGATGGCATACACCTGTAATCCCAGCTACTCAGGAGGCTGAAGAACGAGAATCGCTTGAACCCGGGTGGCGGAGGTTGCAGTGAGCTGAGATTGTGCCACTGCACTCCAGCCTCAGTGACAGAGTGAAACTCCCGTCTCAAAAATAAAAAATAAAGGCCAGGCATGGTGGCTCACACCTGTAATCCCAGCACTTTGGGAGGCTGAGGCGGGCGGATCACGAGGTCAGGAGATCAAGACCATCCGGATAACACGATGAAACCCCGTCTCTACTAAAAATACAAACTGGGCGTGGTGTCAGGCGCCTGTAGTCCCAGCTACTCAGGAGGCTGAGGCAGGAGAATGGCGTGAATCCGGGAGGCGGAGCTTGCAGTGAGTCGAGATCGCGCCACTGCACTCCAGCCTGGGCAACAGAGCGAGACTCCGTCTCAAAAAAAAATAAAAATAAATAAATACAGTTGTAATCTGATGGGGCCACTATCAGGTATGCGGCCTGTCACTGACTGGAAATTATTCTGCAGTTGGCAATGATGGCTGTTTTTGGAGATCTGAATCCAGTTCATTTGAGGGAACCCCCAAGGTTCTCTGGTTGTGGCCTCTTGAATAAACCTCTCACATTTGGACAGTTTGTTACCAAATTGGGTTCTGGATGTTGGTTTCCTTCCGTGTTGGGGGTGGGAGGAAGGTGTCACACCTGTGGAGTTCCCCCCGCTACCGCACTGGCACCAGGGTGGCTGCTGCCTGCAGTGCTGATGGCCGTGTACCCTGTCTGTCCAGATTGGTGCTGAAGACATGGACGGCTTCCAGGCAGACACGGAGGAGGAGGAAGAGGAGGAGGGCGACTGTATGATCGTGGATGTCCCGGATGCTGCGGGTGAGAAGGGCTGTAGATAGCAGAACGCACTGGTGAGGTGGGCGCTGGAGGTAAACCTCAACAGAGAAGGGATGGGGCTGCCTAAGACTAGCTCCACTGTGAGCAGCCAGGAGGGCTTGCAGCTGGAAGTGGCTCCTGCCCTGCCACATCCTCGGGCGGGCTGGGCCGTGGGTGCTGACCATGCCAGGCATCGTTCTGGCCGCAGAGCCACAAGGGCCTATGCTGGGAGTCTCAGGTGGTTGTGACGTTAGATGGGGGTCAGGGAAGGCTGCACTGAGGCAGCAAGGGAGGGCCAGGTGGATTTCTGGAGCACTCGCCAAAGAGGAAGTACAGAGGCCCTGCAGCAGGCTGCGTGGGAGGAGTGTGCCCGGGTGGTGGGGGGCAGGCAGGGTCAACCTGAGAGCAGGTGAGCAGGTCACCTCTAGAAGAGGCACAACGCCCCAGCCTCTGCCTGTCCCCACTGTCAGGTGGAGGGTCCCGCCCTGGGGTTGTTGCAGGCCCCATGAGGCAGCAGGGTGGGGTCTTCCCCCAGGGAGCCCAGAGGGCCCAGCCAGCTCAAGACCCTCCCTCTCTTGCCCTGCAGAGGTCCAAGCCCCGTGTGGAGCCGCTTCCGGAGCTGGGGGTGGTGTGGGGGTGGACACCGGCAAGGCCACCCTGACCGCGAGCCCACTGGGTGCATCCTGAGAGCAGGGGTGACGTATGTAGAATGCTTAGGGTGTCCTCCCCACAGAGCAGATACTTGAACCGACTCAATTCCTGTGTAAAGAGCACTTTGTCCTGCTTCACGGACCTCCCCAAAGTGTGCAGAGTTCTATATAGGATGCTGGATTAGTTCCTTTGATATTTGTAAAAATTCCCCCAAGAGCCGCATATGAATCTGCCCTTTAATAAAGCATTATTGAGATTGCTGGCCTATTGGGGAAGCCTGCGGGCACAGGAGCAGGCGTGGAATCCAATACTTGTAAATGAATTGAAGCGTCAGGACCACCCGCCTGGCCACGTGCGCGGGCCCCTGGACCTAACGAGGCAGTGTATAAACTTATTCTCTAGCCCTGAGCTGCTCTGTCTGTCTTTTCCGAAAACATTGTGTTTCTCTGAGAGTGCACCTTGCCCATGGCCCGGCCCCATGTGGTGCCTGGTGTCTGGGGCCAGCCTTGTGCCCTGCAACAGCACCGTCCCATCTGTTTGTCACTAAGTCACCCTCATACCAGGCTGACCTGGGTCAAGGTGCGGGTTTTTCCGCACGTGCTTCTGTCCGGCGATCCCTCCTGCCCTGGGTTGGGGGGTTAGGAGAGGGTGTTCCCAGAGACCTGCTAGGGTCACCTCCCTGAACCCGGAGCTGCTGGGAGCCGAGTTTGGCTTCGAGTCTGAGGCTTTGTGAGAGCCCACCCCAGGTCAGGTGCATCTTTTGCGAGTGCTGGAGCTAGAAGGTGACCTCCTCCCCGCCCCAGGTTGAGTGGGCTTTATCCACACTGTCCGAGGGAGGACAGGCGACAGCCGCTGTGGTACTGAGCAGCTCAGAGCACACGCAGCCACGGGGAGGGTCACGCTCGCCAGTCCTGCTCTTCCCAGCCACACCCCACCTGAAGTCCTAAGCTTCCCTTCAGGGAACCCTATGTGGGAAAAGTGTCAGCTACCTCCATCCACCCAGTCAGGGACGGCAGGGCGCCCGGGCCAGGCCTTCCTGCTGGGAAGCAGGATTCAGCTGTGCCTGAAGCAGAGGCTGCCCCTGTGCCACACCTTTGATGAGCTTTACAGGGGCTCCCGACAACCCGGAATCAGGTCCTGGGGCCTGCAGGACGCAGGACTGGAGTGACAGCCTCCATTCTCAACAGGCCGGGTGCCCACACCAGCTGGGGCAGTGCCGGGGGCGAGGGAGGGACCAATGCAAGGTCAGGGGCACGAGCATAGGCCCCGGGCACCTCCCCCAGGTGCAGACCTGCATCCCCAAGTCAGCAGTGGGGCCGGGGCACACATGCCTTCCACACTGCAGGGCAGAGTCCCTGTGTCTCCTGGGGCTGCTGTACCACAAACCTGGTGGCTTAAAGCAAGTCACCATCTCACAGCTTGGGGGTCAGAGTGCACACATGCCCCGCCAGGCTAACATCAAGCTGTGGGCAGGACCAGGCCCTCCTGGAGAGTTTCCCAGTGCTCGGAGGCGCTGCATCCCTCAGCTCGGGGTCCCTTCCTCCACCTTCACAGCCATGCGCAGCCTCTTCCAGTCTCTCTCTGATTCACCCTCCTGCCACCTCTTGTGAGGACACTGGGTCCCGGACCACCCAGGATCATCTCCCAGCTCAAGACCTTTCATCATACCCAAGCCCCTCTTGCCAGGTGAAGTTGCGCATCTGCAGGTTCCAGGAATAGGATGTGGCCGTCTCAGGACACCCTGTCCCTCTGGCCACAGGGAAGCCAGGCCTGTGACAGCACTCGCCTCCCCTGCAGGGACTGGGCCTTTGTGGGCACAGCACAGCCTCCCCTAGCGCACGGGACTTCCTCCCCAGGTGGGTGGCTCATCGGGCACTTGTGGCCAGGTGCTGGCCTGAGAACAGGTATCCACATGGTCCCACCTTGACAGGGAGCCACACCCAGCCCCCAAGCCATCCGCTCTTCAGCAGGTGGGCCTGCCCTGTGTCCCACGGTTTCAACGGAGAACCAAGAAACTATATTCAAACAACCTGTTTATTTGGGCTTATGATTTACTAACTGCAGGTCTATGTGCAGGAAGGCCAGCATCCCCTCCTGCCGTTGTCACCCACATCCACAGAGCAGCCCTAGTGCCAGGTGCAGCCACTGCCACCCACGGCACACGGGAACAGGACCCATGCTGCAGGCCTGCTCTCCTGCCCAGGGAGATGCCACGTGTGTCTGTCCGGCAGCTTCATGACACAGTTACCAAGCAGCTAGGGAGGGCTTAGATTTGTTGGTGTCCCCAGGCCTCTCCCTCGGGGGCTTGGGCGCATCCCCACAGCCCCCAAGGGATGGGGGCTCTGCCACGGGGCCCAATTCCACAGCTCCACGGCTGGCGCCCCTCCCGTGCCCATGGGGCAGAGCCAAGTATTTCCAGAGGTGGCTTGGAGGCCCTGGGGTGGCGGGGAGAGGAACAGGGAGAGCATGAGACAGACCCACAGGGCTGAGGCCAACCCTGCTTTTATTTCACAAGAGCTTCTCGATGGCTGACAGGAGCTCGGGTTTCAGGATGGAGTCCGGCTCGGCCCCCGCGGCCTTGATGTCCTCCAGCACAGCCATGTCCCACGAGAAGGTCAGGAGGGCAGAGGGCACCTGCGGTAGGGGTAGGCCGTCACTCTGAGACCGAGAGTCGGCCCTTGCCGCGGCAGGGAACTCAGCGGGCAACCTGGGCGCGGGGATGCCCCGGCCTGGAAGCCATCTCAGCTGGTGGAGGCTGTGGCTCGCACCCAGGCCTCCTGCCCTCTCCCTCCGGGACTCCAGGACCTAAGCCTAAACCTACTGCACTAGCTAACGCACGTCACCGCTCCCATTTGATGGGGAAACTGAGGCGTGGAGTAGTTATGAACTTGCTCGAGGCCCTGCTGCCAGTAAGTGGGAAAGCAGGATTCAAACCCAGGGACCTGCCCAGGCCCCCTGCTCTGAGAACAAGGAGGCTCCCTCCTGGGGGTGTCTGTGCCGGTCCCAGGAGAACCTGCAGAGGCATCGGGTCAGCGGTGCTCCTGCGGGCCGACACTCACCAGCCCGCACTCGTTCAAGGCCAGGTTCTCGTCCTCGGACAGCTTCTGCCCTCCCGAGGCCAGCAGCTCAAAAGGCAGCCAGTCGCTCTGCAGGGCCTCCCGGACGAACCCGTACACCGCCCCCAGCCGCTCCCGAGCGTAGAAAGTGCCTGGGGAGTGGGGGAGTCAGAGCGGGTGGGGCCCAGGGCCCCCTACCAACCCGAGCCGCCCTCCACGGGCATCGTTGGTGCCCACCCTGCAGGAGGCAGCCATCGGGGAGGCGCACGCGCAGCAGCGTGTAGTTGTACTTGCGCAGCCCCCGCTGCTCCTCCTTCTCCCGCATGGCCTTGGTCCGCAGCACGCTCAGCCGCTCCACCGCCTCGGACCTGCACACGCGGGCCAGGTCACGAGGGCTGGCCGGGGTTCTTCCACCCCGCCCCGCCCCACTCTGCTCCGCGGACGTCAGGCCCACCTGAGCCTCTGCTCCCGCTTGATCTCCTCTGCTGTGAGGTTGAAGAAGTCCCCAGGCAGTTCGAACTGCGAGGCCAGGGGCGAGGGCTGGAAGACGCGGCGCTGCCTGTCCAGCTTGGCGCGCACGGGCTCCGCAGCCAGCAGCTGTTCCTTGTGCCTCTCCAGGCTCTGGGGCTGGGCCAAGGTGGTCTCGCTCAGCACGTAGAACTCCTCGGGGTCCTCTACAGCGTGGCAGGACATGGGTGTCACTGTGCAATGGAGAGACCCCCAAGCCGGGCCCTCCTGCCCCGAGGCCCCTCGTCCCCATTCCCTACTCAGCCAGGCCCTGTCCACTTACCCTGATCCTGGGCGGGAAGCAACACCTTCTGGAACCCAATGGCCTCAAAAAACTCGTGGGTCCCTTCCAGGCAGTTAATGCGCTCCTGGGGGTGGAGATGGGCGTCACTGGGGGCCCCTGGCTTCCTCCATGGCCTGGCCACACCCCACCCAGTCCAGGGGCCCGGCTCTCGCTATTGGGAGCAGCTGTCGACCCCTGGATGGGGCCCAGCCCTGGGGGTGCCTCAGTGCTGGATGCAAACCTGCTTTTCTACGGTGGGGGCTGTGGAGTCTCCAACAGCTCTGCACAGAGGAAAGAGTCACAACCAGGCACGAAGAGTGAGGCTGAGGAGCCAGACACTGCTGGGGCCTGATGCGAGGCTAACACCGCCCAGGACCCCAGTCCCTGCCCTTTCCCCCAGAAGAACCAGACATCTGGTTTGCATGAGAAACCTCCCCAGAGTCGACATGTTCCCAAACAAGCCCAGCTGAAGAGGAGGAAAAGGATGCAGGTGAGGAGAGGCAGAATTTGTTGATTTGGGGTGACCGGTGCATAAAAGTCTTGCTCTCCATCTTGTCCTGCTACCTTCTACTGGCCGAACCCTTCACTGCTTGTGGCTCAACTCTCGCTAGCTCCTCCAGGGAGCCCACCGCCTGGTGTGGGCCACCACCGGCTCCTGCAGGCCAGCTGCCCCCACCCCCAGCCTGGGCCCCGGGGGCCAGAAGGCACGCCCACCTGAAACACCTTGTTCTGCAGCTTGATCTTCCGGTACTTCTCCTCCTCGGGGTGCAGGTGGATGTTGTCCAGGTACCTGGGGTAGGTGGAGAAGGTGAGTGGGGCACAGCCCAGGCTGCCCACCCGGCCCCTCTGTGCCTCCTGCTCCAGGTAACAGCAGCTCAGCCACACTTGGCCTCTAGTCAGAGGGAAGAAGCGGCCCAGTGACGCGAGGGCAGCAGACCATCTCCGGGTGGAAGGCACACCTCGGACACCCCATGGAGCCCACCCCTGGTGCCAGCAGGAGCCCCACGGAACCCCTCACCGTCCCACCAGCCCTGGAAGGGCACAATTAACCACAGCGGTGGGGAAGCCACAGTGCCGGAAGAGTGGAGAGCCAGAGCTGAAGGGCCGCAGTGCCAGCAGGGGGCTCCTGCGGGGTGCTCCCTCGGCGTTGGCGGGCAGCGTGGACCTCCAGGCCTGCCCCCGATCCTGAGACCCGGGGAGTGGGGTGGGACCCTGCCTCCTCCACATGTTCCCCAAGGAAGCCAGGGTGGGAAACCCCTGATTCCTTCAACACCTTCATTTTGCACACGGGTAAACTGAGGCCCAAGGAGGCCCAGCCCTTTGCCTGAGGCCTCTGGGTGGAGCTGCCTCACTCTCGGCCTATGCTCCTTCCCAACCCACCTCAGCAGGTAATGAGGGGGCCAGAGGGGGTGACAGCCCCAGTGGGAGGGGTGCTGGGATGAGCTGGAGGGGCCAGGCAGGGCAAAGGGGCCACACGCTCACTTGGCAATGGTGTCCACACCCAGCTTCACCCGGTCCTGGTCTTTGTTGAACGTGTAGATCTTCATGATGGAGGCGGCCACTGGGTCGGTGGAGAAGTGCTGGGAGGAGGGAAGCAGGGAAAGCCACTCACTGAGAGCCCGGGCCGCACGGCCCTCCGCTGCCCAGGTAACAGGGGCAGGAAAAGGAAGGCAGAACAGCGGCTTGGAGCGGCCCCAGCTGTGCGCTCATCACAGAAAGGAAAAGAGAGACCCTCCAAGACCGCAGCCCTGCCCACGCCCCAGGGCAGAGGCGACGCAGCCAAGACCCAGCAGAACTCAAGTCTCCCCTTCCGCCTTCTCAAGGCTAGATCCATGGGACTTGGAAGCCAGTGTGACGCGACAGAACTGTGCCTCACACTCTGGCTTTAGAACTCGACCTCAGTGCTGAGATCCATCAAGGCCACCGCCACTTACAGAACCTCCCGCCACCATGGACGCCCCATCCCTCCTGCTCTCGCAGCCCCATGATGGACGTTCTGGAACCACTCCCGGGCCTCATGTTTACAAAGAGACCGAGAGGCCCATCGTCCAGGGTCACAGGGATGGCAGGTGGCAGAGAGGACACAAATGAGTCTGCAACCCTCAATGTCTGAAACTCAATAGCTGGAAGACGGATACCCCCAGCCCCTGCCCCTCCCCGAGGTCCCACCTATCCACCTATGTTACCGGGGGAGGGGAGAAGTCATAGCTGGAACTCTGGGGGTTTCCCAGAACCAGCCCTGCTGACTGCGAACAGCGTCCCAGCATGGAGAGGCTGAGAACAGTACGTACCCTAAGACCTGGAAAAGATTGGGGCACAAATCCACGCTCGGCACAGCCATCACACACGGCCACACCCAGAGAGCCACCCATGGCCTGGGAAGCAGGGCTGCCACCCGCACCTCCCTGGGCTGCCCAGACGAGGGCGGGTGAACAGAAGGGCAGCCCAGGGCCATGTGTCAGGATTCGGGCCACCTGCCCAGGCAGCCCAGAGCTCCACCCACCACCCCCCACCCTCAACTGCACAGCAGGGTCCCTCAGCAGCCCCCTGCGTCACACGGACCAATGACCTACACACTGAGCCGGGGCTCATGCCAACTGAAAATTGGGACCCGGCCCAGTCTGCCGGTTTAGTTGCTGAGATGATGTGGGGAGCGGGACAGAGCACGTGGATGCAGAGAGGCAGAGCTGCCAGATGGGCATGTCCCCAAGACAACAGCTTCCTTGGGATCAGAGCGCCCGGGACAGCACACCAGCCAAGGGAAGCGTGTCAGCTCCAAAAGCGGGCCTCGGGCGTTTTGGGCGACTGGCTGCCAGGCTTAGGTCAGGAGCTGGGTACATGCACAGACAAGGGACGAAGGAACAGCAGCCAGGAAGGGGTCCAAATCCATACAGGAATGTACTTTGTGAGAAAGGTGGGATTTCACAGCTGTAAGCAAAAGACAGGTGCTCTCGACAGGTGGGGCTGAGAAGAAAGCTGAGCCAAGATCTAAAAAAAAAATTACATCAGCTCCATCCCACCATGTTACATAATAACATGCTCCAGCTGGATCAAAGCTTCAACCATGGAAACAAGCAAGCAGTCAAGGAGAAGCCAGAAGAAAAGCTCTGGAGGCCGGGCACGGTGGCTCATGCCTGGAATCCCAGCACTTTGGGAGGCCGAGGCGGTCGGATCACGAGATTAGGAGAGCGAGACCATCCCGGCCAACATGGTGAAACCTCATCTCTAAAATACAAAAGTTAGCCCGGGTGTGGTGGCGTGCACCTGTAGTCCCAGCTACTTGGGAGGCTGAGGCAGGTGAATTGCTTGAACCCGGGAAGCAGAGGTTGCAGTGAGCTGAGATTGCACCACTGCACTCCAGCCTGGTGACAGCAAGACTCTGTCTCAAAAAAAAAAAAAAAAAAAGCACTGGAGAGGCCACAAAAGAATTCTCTCAGCATGGAAATGGGGAAGGCATTTCTAAGAATGACCCCAAACCCAAAAGCCATGAACTAAAACTGACACATTTAATTATACAGAGATCAAAAAATCCTACACAGCAAAGTGACCATAAGCAGAGCCAACATAGAAGCAACTAGAGGGAAACATGTGCAACTCATATCATAGGCAAAAGCCTAAATTGCCTAATATGTAAAGAGTGCTGCCGGGCACGGTGGCTCCCGCCTGTAATCCCAGCACTTTGGGAGGCCGAGGCGGGCGGATCACGAGGTCAGGAGATCGAGACCATCCTGGCTAACATGGTGAAACCCCGTCTCTACTAAAAATACAAAGAATCAGCTGGGCGTGGTGGCGGTTCGCCTGTGGTCCCAGCTACTCGGGAGGCTGAGGCAGGAGAATGGTGTGAACCTCGTAGGCGGAGCTTGCAGTGAGCAGAGATGGCGCCACTGCACTCCAGCCTGGGCGACAGAGCGAGACTCTGTCTCAAAAAAAAAAAAAAAAAAAAAAAAAAAAGAGTGCCTACAAATCACTAATAAAAAGACAAACTATCTACTAAATAATGTAGAAAGGACGCATTCTCATATGAAACATGGCCAATCCAAAATAAGGAAAGTGCAAATTAACTCTATCCTGAGATGTTATTTTCACCTACCAACAGGCGTAAAGATCAAAGTTTGGTGATTTACAGTATGGTGAGAGGATGGGGACACGGGTGCTTTTGCACACACTGCTGGAGTGGGTGTGAGTCTGGAGAGTCTATGGAACTATTACTATTTTGTTTTGTTTTGTTTTTAAGATGAAGTTTCGCTCTTGTCACCCAGTGTCCACGCTGGAGCTCAATGGCGTGATCTGGGCTCACTGCAACCTCCACCTCCCAGGTTCAAGCGATTCTCCTGCCTCAGTCTCCTGAGTAGCTGGGATTACAGGCGCCTGTCACCACGCCTGGCTAATTTTTGTATATTTAGTAGATAGGGGGTTTCACTATGTTGACCAGGCTGGTCTTGGAACTTCTGACCTCAGGTGATCCACCTGCCTCAGCCTCCCAAAGCACTGGAATTACAGGCAAGAGCCACCGCGCCCAGCCACTTACTATTTTCTGAGAAAGGGTCTCACTTGTCACCCAGGCTGGTGTGCAGTGGCATGATTACAGCTCACTGCAGCCTCTACCTCCCAGGCTGAAGCAATCCTCCCACCTCAGCCTTCTGAGTAGCAGGGACTGCAGGTGCACGCCACCATGCCCAGCTATTTTTTTTTGTTTTTGGCAGAGACAGGGTTTTGCCATGTTGCCCAGGCTAAAGCCGAAGTTTCTGAGAACCTATTGATGGTGTTAAGTGAGGACTTGCTGTATTGGAAAAAAATGCTGTGGACGTTTTTATTTTTTGAGATGGAGTTTTGCTCTTGTTGCCCAGGTTGGAGTGCAATGGCGCTATCTCGGCTCACCACAACCTCTGCCTCCTGGATTCAAGCAATTCTCTTGCCTCAGCCTCCCGAGTAGCTGGGATTACAGGCATGTGCCACCATGCCTGGCTAATTTTGTAGGAAGTTCTTTCTGTATTGAAGCAAATAATACTTAACCTTTTATGAAAAACAACCAGGCCACGCGTGGTGGCTCACGTCTGTAATCCTAGCACTTTGGGAGGCTGAGGCGGGTTGATCACTTGAGGCAAAAGTTCGAGACCAGCCTGGCCAACATGGTGAAACCCCATCTCTACTAAAAATACAAAAATTAGCCAGGCATGGTGGCAGGTGCCTGTAATCCCAGCTACTTGAGAGGCTGAGGCACGAGAATCGTTTGAATCCAGGAGGCGGAGGTTGTAGTGAGCCGAGAATGCGCCACTGCACTCCAGCCTGGGTGTCAGAGTGAGACTCCATCTCAAAAAAAAAAAAAAAGACACCTAGTTGGGAGAGAGGAGATACAGATGCATACACAATGGTGTGCCTGGATTTGGGGTATCAGAGGAGGGGCTTCACTACTAGCAGTGGCCTCTGGGGACTCTGGGAGGGATCTGTACCACCTGGGCTTCCGATGGAGGGTGGCTCAGGCACAGGAAGCTACAGGTTGGGGCAGGAGCACACAGGGTGCCACTCACCAAGAGAATGGCCTCCTTGATGCAGGCGTCCCGCTGGTCCTTCCTCAGGGTGGCCCCAGTGAGCGGACAGGTGAAGTACACGCCAGGCACAGCCAGGTGGGCAGAGCCTTCCTCTCTGGGCTCAGATACCTGGGGCGGTGAAAGCGTCCAAGTCTGGACCGTGGACAGAGGCCACCCCGACCCTCGCCGAGCACCACAGTCCTGAGTGTGGCCCGTAGAACCAGACATCTCCAGCCCCCATGCTGTCCCTTCCACCTGGTGGCCGTGGGAGACACCCTGGCCAAGTGACCGGATCCCCGAGTCTTTTCCCTGGTATGTCAAATGTCCCTGTGGGGCCTGCTCAGAACTAAACGAGGTAAGGAACGGAAAGTACGGAGCAGCTTCTGACACGCAGGAAACACCCAGCAGATGGCAGCTGGGTTCCTGCTGGTCCTGTCCCCAAGCTGTTGAGGAAGGAGCTCTGTGTGGGTGTCTGCGGGCACAGTGCGCTGGACAAGGCATGACTTCTGGGCCTCCATTTCTAGGCCATCTCTAAGGTCCCTGCGTGCTAAAATTCACTGAATCCTCGAGGGTCAAGCTGCTTAGAACTCCTTTCAGCGGAGCTCTGAAGGCCCACCTCCTAGAGGAAGGCCTCCCTGATTCCACCCGTCTCCACAGAGCCTCTTGACCTCCAAGGCAGGCAGGACTGGGCAGTGCTAGGGGACAGGCTCTGAAACCACAGACTGGCTCTGGTCCTGCCTTTGCTGGTCCTGGGGTGTAGGAGAGAGGACAGCTGGTTTCACCTCTCTCAACCCCGGTTCTCTTTTTGAATAGTGGAAACTGTAACTGCATCTGCCCTTAAGGGGTTAAGGGGAGGGAGCGATGGGCTCGTGTACCTGAGGCCCACTTCTCCAGGCCTGAGCCGGCATCCTCAGCTGCCGAGCCCCGAAGGTCCCAGACAACACCGTGTTCCACCACAACCTGTGTCCACCTTGCAAGGCAAGGTTTTCCAACAGCCCTTGAGCCCCAAGGGCAGAGGCCACATCTCCCCCGTGACACAGTCAAGCTGTCCCCACCCCTTGGCATGGGACAGTGCCACCAGTGGCTGTTCTTACCACGTTGGTCCCTGGGGCCTCGGGGCTCCCGCTGACGGTGGCTTCGGCTTGAAGTTCCTTTCTCACTGGAAGGCAGCCCAAGAAAGAGAGGCAGAGACGGGATAGTGAGCACGCCGCTGTCCTGGCCCAAGCCCCCTCATTCCCGGGGTGGGCCTGGGGGCCACGCACACCGCCCCAGCCTGCTTCTGCTGGAGGTCAGGCTGGAGGTCCCCTGCAGGACTTGCTGTGCAGCCACCCCTCAGCCTGAGCAAGCACCCCACTGCCTGGGCAGCCCGTTTCTGCTCCAAGTCTCTGCTCCCACCCCCTCCCCAGGAAGCTGCCCTTCCCCCAGCACCTGCCCTTGATGAGCCGCTCCCAAGGGTGACCCTCACACCCCCACGGTTGCTCATGTGACTTCTGCATCCAGGGCCAGGCACCAGGGCCGAGAACCTCAAACAGCCCCAACCTGGGCCCGAGGAGGGCCATATCTCACCCTGGTTTCGGATGGTGTCCTGCGATGTGGGGCCCCAGGCCCGGGACTGCTTCTGCTCCAGCCGGGCTAGGGCGGCAGCGGCTGCCATCTGTGCCTCATTGGTGGGTCCCTGGCGGGGCGGCCTGGGGGCTGGCTGGTTGGGCTTCTCTTTGTGGGCCTTTTCCCTGGGAACAGACCGAGGGAGAGTGAGTGTATCCTCCCGAGGTGGCCGGCAAAGCTGACGTGCAGTCACACAGAGGAGCTTCTGCCCCTCCCCAGCACCATCAGCCAGACGTGTCCCTGCCTATGTGGGCCAGGACACCTGGTTCCCAGGGGCCACCTGCAGCCACCAGATGGTTCTACTGCAGGCGGAAGAGCCCCTGGAGGAAGGAGATGCTGGTTCCACTCAGCTCTGCACCATCGGGCAAGTCCTGCCCCCACTGGCCCTCAGCGTCCTCATCTGTAAAATGGGGTGACAGCACCCCTCCTGAGGTGAAGGCACCTTGACATCCTCAGTGCTTTTTTTCTTTTTGAGACAGGGTCTTGCTCTCTCACCAAGGCTGGAGTATAGTGGCACGATCATGGCTTACTGCAATCCTGAGCTCCCAGGCTCAAGGAATCCTCCCGCCTCAGCCTCCCAAGTCGCTGGGACTTAGAGGCAAGCATCATCATGCCTGGCTAATTTTTCTATCGAGACAGGGTCTCGCTATGTAGCTCAGGCTGGTCTCGAACTTTTGCCTCAAATGATCCTCCCACCGTGGCCTCCCAAACTGCTGGGATTATAGGCATGAGCCACAGCACCCAGCCCGCATCCTCAGGAATTGAGGAGACTCAAGGGGTGTCACATCCTCCCTCCCTCCCTGCCATAAGACTCTCCACCCTCAGGTCACAGCTTCGTTTGCTGAGCACCTACTGTGTGCCAGGACCCTGCTGGGAGCTGGTCGGCTCGCTTGGTTTACTCCTCCTAACAAGCTGCCAGGGAGGCCTCACCATCCCATTCCTAAACCCAAGAGGGACAGGAAGTCCGGGCGATGTGCCCCATGCCACGCCACCCTCGTGGCGGGACCCTGGGGAGAGCGGACAGCAGAACCAGCCTCGCCCTGGCCACTCCATGCCAGGCCTAGGGCTGTGCAAGTACGAAGAGCTCATGGACTCGTGGCTCCACCCTGTTGAGCCCTACACCAAGGAGAGTTCCGTAACCCACGTGGCACAGTGACCTGGCAGAGAAGCCTCGCAGAGAAGCCCTTTCTCCCAACCTGCTCGGACGCGTCTGTCTCACCCGTCTCCTCTCAGGCCCCTCCCATGAACTTACGGGCTGTGTCAATTTCTGTGCCGTAGGTCTATTAAAACCTTCTGGGAGGCCAGGCTCTCAGTTCAAGCCCTATACTCCTCTGGCTCTGCTTACATACCCGGGCAGCCCTCCCTCCTCGTCCCACCCCTGCCTATCTAGTCCTCCCACAGCTGAGCATCTTGGGTGGAAGAGGAGATGACTCATGAAGACCCACCCCGGCCTCATCCGATATCTGGGTCTTTCCAACAAAATGCCATTTCCCAGGGCACCTCACCCCAACCAGCCATGGACCCTGCCCCCCTGGGCAGCCACAGGGACCCTTCTGGAACCTCAGCCAGGGAGCGTCAGCATCACTCCACTGCACAACGCCCTCCCACTGCAAAATCCTAAAGCTTCCCTTGGCCAGAGAGCCCTTCCCAGCCTGGCCCACTGCCCTCCCGTGGCCTGTCTCCCCTGGGCTCCCCGCAGTTCTTCCCACACCCCAGCTGCTCCCCACTGCAGGCCCCTGCACTGTCTGCACCTTCTGCCCAGAATGTTCTCCGGGGGAGTGGGAGGAGGATGGGGGTCTGGAAAGGGCTAGAGCTGCCGCAGGGAGAGAAGGAGGGGCAGATTTCCCCACAGCTGAGTCTCACTGTGTCCTGGGAGAGGCCTTCCCAAACCACCTGACGGCCCCTGCTCACCCTCCTTGGAGGCCCTGGGCACTCATCCAAGCACTCATCGCCTGAGCGCTCATCCAAGGTCTGTTGGTTTATTTGTCCATCGGCTCCCTCTAGAAGGTGAGCCCTGGGACAGCAGAGGCCTTCTCCTGTCCACCACTGCAGCCTAAAACAGGACTTGGTGCCCACCCACCCCACACACCCTGGATATGCAGTCTCGCTCCACAAGGGACCTCCGCACCGCTTCCTTTCCCAACCTTCCCCTCCAACCTTCCCCTCTCCGCCCAGGCTCTGGGCTGATCCAGCCATCACCCCGATACCCTGCATCCTTCCTATCATGCCCAGTCCCAGTGGCCCCAGCACCCCCCACCCACTATTGGTTGAATCAATGAAGGGCTCCCCCGATTTGCCCCCTTCTCTCCCTGACCCCTCTCCCTCCCTCACTCAGCCTTTGCTCTCCTGCTCTCCCCCAGGAACCCTGACGTCCTCACTATGCCCCTACCTCCATCACCACCCCACTGCCCCGTGATTCCTGACCCCCACTTCCTGCCACCTCCCTGCCTCTCCCAGCCCCCACTCCCTCACAATCCCTTCCACTATTGCTTACAGACCCGTGTCCTGGCTGCCTGGCTGACTTCCTCAGTCCCTCTCCATCAGTCCCCACCACCCTCTGGCCAGCCAGCTCCCTGCAGCGGCCCCAGCTCTCCAGTTTCCCTTTTCTCAACCCAACAGCCCTCAGCCTTGCACCTTCCCTAGCTCCACTTCTTCCCCGGCCCTCCCAGCTGGCTCAGCCCTGCTCAGGCCCTTCTCTCCAAGTCCTCCCTAGACAATCCGGAAGCCTGCCCGGCATCTATCTCCTTTCCCCTCCTCTCCCACTTCCATAATCCACTTGGCACAGTGACGTGGCAGAGAAGCCTCGCAGAGAAGCTCTTTCTCCCAGCCTGCTAAGACGCGTCTGTCTCACCCGTCTTCTCCTCTCAGGCCCCTCCCGGGTAAGAGTCCATCTGTCAGAATCCCTCACCTCCACTCTCCTCACACACCTTCCTCAGCCCCTCCCTCTCAATTCGCCAGGACATCCCAGGTCACTGACGACGCTGCCCACCCCGGCCTCCCTGGCCTTCCAGACTCTTTCTAGTCTCCCATCAGCCTCCCACGTGCTCCAGATACCAAATCCAGAACCCCTCTTCCCATGGATACCTCAAAACAACTCTTCACCACCCCACCCCACAGCTGTGCGTCCTCCTCCAAGCTCAGCTCCCATCCATGGTCACCTAGATTGCCCCAAATCATCCCGGCCTCTTCGGCCAGCCGGGTCCCCAGACAGAGCTCTCCCTCACCACCCGGCTCAGGACTCATGATCCCGTTTTTCCCCAAAGGTCGTTCCACTGACCCCCAACTGCCTACAGCCCCGTCGCCCTAATCCCCCGCCACTGCATCGGACCCTCCTGCGGCCCCGCCCCCGAGACCTCCCCTCCCGCCCCGCCCCCTGCGCTAGTTCCCCTCCCCTCGCCTCCCCCGCCGCGCCCCCGGGTCATACCCGCCCCCTCCTGCCCCGCCCCCAGATCTCTCTCCCCTCCCCCTGACGCCCACCCTCGGCCCGACTTCGTCCGCCCCCGGCGCCTCTCCCCCTCCCCTGACCCTCGCGTGCCGCTCCCAGCCCCTCATCCTCTCCGATCTCCCGAGCCGCCCAAGGCCCCAGATCTCTCTCCCCGGCCGTCCCCGCCCCGCAGGGCCTCAAGCCCCTGCGTTCCTCACGCACCCCACGGACTCTTTGAGCTTCTGACCGGGTCCCGCGCTCTTGAACTTGATGTCGGCCTTGAACTCCTGAAAGAATTTCTTCATGGTGGCGGCTGGCCCGGCGGCGGGGGGCCGCGGGGGCGGGGGGGCACGGGGCCCAGTCGGGGACGGGGCCGCCGGAGACCAGCCACCGGAAGAAAATTAAAAAAAAAAAAAAAAAAAAAAAAAAAATTTACCTCGCCGCCGGAAGTCCCGCCTTCCCCTGGCCTGCCACGTGACAATCGACTAGACGTGCCTCTCTAGCGCTCGGTGCCTTGCTGGCCCAGGGCGGCCGCTCTGTACGCTGGAGCCGCGTCTCTGTGGTTCTTCCGGACTCCGTTGCCAGGGCGACGAGTGCACCTCTCGATTGGAGACAGGGCATTCCGTGGCGCTCCCCAAACGGTGACAAACGGTGATAGGACAGGGACAGGCCAACTGAACCTCGCAGAGAAAGCACTGGGCCCTATCCCTTTCGCTGCTCAACCTAAACTAGGCGCGGTGGCTCACGCCTGCAATCACAGCACTTTGGAGGCTCAAGCGGAAGGATTGCTTGATCCCAGAAGTTGGAGACCAGCCTGGCAACATGGCAAAACCTCGTCTCTATAAAAAAAAAAAAAATAAAATAAAATAAATTAGCCGAGGGTGGTGGCGCGCGCCTCTCAGCTACTTGGGAGGCAGAGGCGGGAGGATCGCTTGAACCCAAGAGGTCGAGGCTGCAGTGAGCTGTGATCAAGCCACTGCATTCCAGCCTGGGCGACAGAGAGAGACCCTGTCTCAAGCAAAACAAAAAAAATTCCAACCTTCTCTGTCTCCCCAGAGCTTACGTGATAAAATCCCAATTCAATGTTGGGTATTGGAGGCCCCCACGATCTGGCCTGTTTTGGTGCCTGAAGCACCCCCCCGCCACCATCACCACGTACCCTAGGTAGGAGCTGTTTAAGAGGATGCACCTGGGCCGGGCGCGGTGGCTCATGCCTGTAATCCCAGCACTTTGGGAGGCCGAAGCGGGCGGATCACAAGGTCAGGAGATCGAGACCATCCTGGCTAACACGGTGATACCCCGTCTCTACTAAAAATACAAAAAATTAGCCGGGCATGGTGGCAGGCGTCTGTACTCACAGCTACTCGGGAGGCTGAGGCAGGAGAATGGCGTGAACCCGCGAGGCGGAGCTTGCAGTGAGCCGAGATCTCACCACTGCACTCCAGCCTGGGCGACAGAGCGAGACTCCGTCTCAAAAAAAAAAAAAAAAAAAAAAAAAGAGGATGCACCCAATGCACCCAATTGGGACCTGGGGATTGGGGATCCACTTTGGTGGACACCAGTTAATAGTGGCGTACTTTGGTCTGTGCAATCCACAAAGAAGATACACAAAGTGACAGTTAAAACAAGCCTCAAAAAATGGGAGTTGGGGGTCAGACGTGGTGGCTCATGCCTCTAATCCCAGCACTTTGGGAGGCCGAGGCCGGCGGATCACTTGAGGTCAGGAGTTTGAGACCAGCCTGGCCAACATGGTGAAAGCCTGTCTCTATGGGCACCGGTAATCCCAGCTACTCGGGAGGCTGAGGCAGGAGAATCGCTTGAACCCGGCAGGTGGAGGTTGCAGTGAGCCGAGATCTCGCCATTGCACTTCAGCCTGGGCAACAGAGGGAGACTCTGCCTCAAAAAAGAAGGAGTTGGAATGAGATACACAGAGACTGATGGAGGAGAAGCCTCCAGGTGAGGAAACAGCCCACCCCAAGACTGAAATTGAAATATCATGGGTTGGACGGGTGGCTCAGGCCTGCAGTCCCAACATTTTGGGAGGCCAAGGTGGGAGGATTGCTTTAGCCCAGGAATTGGAGGCTGCAGTAAGCTAGGATCACGCCACTGCACTCCAGCCTGGGCAACAGAGCCAGACCCTGTCTTATTAAAAAAAGAAAAAAAGGCCAGGCACGGTGGCTCATGCCTGTAATCCCAGCCCTTTGGAAGGCCGAGGCGGGTGGATCACGAGGTCAGGAGATTGAGACCATCCCGGCTAATACGGTGAAACCCTGTCTTTACTGAAAATAATTTTTAAAAAAATTAGCCAGCCTTGGTGGCGGGCGCCTGTAGTCCCAGCTACTTGGGAGGCTGAGGCAGGAGAATGGCGTGAACCCAGGAGGCAGAGCTTACAGTGAGCCGAGATCATGCCACTGTGCTCCAGCCTGGGCAACAGAGCAAGACTCCGTTTCAAAAAAAAAAAAAAAAGGAAAAGAATTGGGCCAGGTGCGGTGGCTCACACCTGTAATCCCAGCACTTTGGGAGGTCAAGGCGGGTGGATCACTTAAGGTCAGAAGTTCAAGACCGACCTGGCCAACATAGCAAAACCCCGTCTCTATTAAAAATACAAAAATCAGCCGGGTGTGGTGGTGTGTGCCAGTAATCCCAGCTACTTGAGAAGCTGAGGCAGCAGAATCACTTGAACGCAGGAGACAGAGGTTGCAGTGAGCTGAGATTGCACCACTGCACTCCAGCCTGGGCGACAGAGCGAGACTCTGTCTCAAAAATAAATAAATAAAGTAAAAAAATAAATAAATAAAAGAAGAATACAGTGCAACCCAAACTTCAATCTTTCTGATCTCCAGTCTCCTATCTATGAAATGGGGATAAGAATAACACTCTCTATAGATTGTAGGGGTGATCATGTGATTAGAAAGTTCTCAGTATGCCGGGCACGGTGGCTCATGCCTGTAATCCCAGCTACTCAGGAGGCTAAGGCAGGAGAATCACCTGAACTTGGGAAGCAGAGGTTGCAGTGAGCCGAGACTGCGCCACTGCAATCCAGCTTGGCAACAGAGCAAGACTCCGTCTCAAAAAGAAAAGAAAAGAAAATTACAGCTCATTGTTGTGAATAAGGAATTGTATACCCTATAACTCAAATAAAGGTACAACACTGGGCCAAAGTCACACAGCTGGAAAGTGGCAGAGACCCATCCCACTTCTCCAAGAATAAAATCCTATGGGGTTCCTCAGCCTGGTCTAAGGAGATCCTAACATTAATAGGCCCTAATAAATTTCTATTTCAGGTTCTAAGTATTCTGAGGGTTTCAGAAACCCCGTTTCTTGTTATCACCCACCTTTCCACCTCTGCCTCAGTTACCTGGAAGTATTTCCAGCTCACCTCTGGGCCTTTGCCTAGGCATTCTCCTTTACCAGAAGGGACTTCTCTTCCTCTGCCTAACTCAATCCTCTTCCACCATGACGCTCTCCTGGACTATCTTCCTCATGTCGGATGAGGTTATGAGATTAAATAATTTAACATTTCTGCCAGGAGCGGTCGGTGGCTCACACCAGTAATTCCAGCACTTTGGGAGGACAACATTTATTTTTCTTTTCTTTTCTTTTCTTTTTTTTTTTTTTGAGATGGAGTCTCGCTCTGTTGCCCAGGCTGCAGTGCAGTGGCACAATCTTGGCTCACTGCAAGCTCCACCTCCCAGGTTCACACCATTCTCCTGCCTCAGCCTCCCGACTAGCTGGGACTACAGGCGCCCGCCACCACACCCGGCTAATTTTTTGTATTTTTAGTAGAGACGGGGTTTCACCGTGTTAGCCAAGATGGTCTCGATCTCCTGACCCCGTGATCCGCCCGCCTCGGCCTCCCAAAGTGCTGGGATTACAGGCATGAGCCACCATGCCCAGCTTTCTTTTTTTTTTTAGACAGGGTCTTACTCTCTTCCCCACGCTGGAGTGCAGTGGCACAATCATGGCTCACTGCAGCCTAGAACTTCTGAGCTCAAGCAGTCCTCCCCACTCAGCTTCCCAAGAAGCTGGGACTGCAGGCATGTGCCACCACACTCAGCTAATTTTTTTTTTTTTTTTTTTTTTGAGAAGGAATTTCGCTCTTGTTGCCCAGGCTGTAGTGCAATGGTGCGATCTCGGCTCACCACAACCTCCATCTCTCGGATTCTCCTGCCTCAGCCTCCCGAGTAGTTGAGATTACAGGCACCCGCCACCATGCCTGGCTACTTTTTTGTATTTTTAGTAGACACAGGGTTTCTCCATGTTGGTCAGGCTGGTCTTGAACTCCTGACCTCAGGTGATCCGCCTGTTTCAGCCTCCCAAAGTGCTGGGATTACAGGCGTGAGCCACTGCACCCGGCCTCCGGGTAATTTTTTAAAAATTGTTCAATCTTGCGCAGTGGCTCACGCCTGTAATCCCAGAACACTGGGGGGCCGAGGGAGGAGGATTGCTTGAGCCCTGATGTTCAAGACCAGGATGGGTAACATAGTGAGACCTTGTTTCTACTAAAAAATAAAAATAACAGGCCAGGCACAGTGGCTCACCCCTATAATCCCAGTACTTTGGGAGTCTGAGGTGGGTGGATCACAAGGTCAGGAGTTCAAGACCAGCCTGGCCAACATGATGAAACCTTGTCTCTGCTAAAAATAAAATACAAAAATTAGCTAGGGGTGGTGGCAGCACCTGTAATCCCAGCTACTCAGGAGGCTGAGGCAGAGAATCGCTTGAACCCGGGAGGCAGAGGTCACAGTGAGCCAAGATCATGCCACTGCACTCCAGCCTGGGCAACAGAGCAAGCCTCCATCTCAAAAAATAATAATAATAATAAATAAAATAAAAATAACACCCTGGGCAACATGGCGAACCCTTGTCTCTACCAAAAAAAAAAAAAAAAAAAATCAGTGCTGGTTGTGCCTCCCTGTAATCCCAGCTACTTGGGAGGCTGAGGCATGAGAATTGCTTGAACCTGGGAGGCAGAGGTTGCAGTGAGCTGAGATCATGCCACTGCATTCTGGTTTGTGAGACTCTGTCTCAAAAAACAAACAAACCAAAAATTAGTGAGGCATGGTGGTGCGCACCTGCAGCTTCAGCTGCTTGGGAGGCTGAGGCAGGAGGAGATCGAGACCATCCTGGCTAACATGGTGTAACCCCGTCTCTACTAAAAATACAAAAAATTAGCCAGGTGTGGTGGTGGGTGCCTGTAGTCCCAGCTACTTGGGAGGCTGAGGCAGGAGAATAGCGTGAACCTGGGAGGTGGCGCTTGCAGTGAGCTGAGATCGCGCCACTGCACTCCAGCTTGGGCGACAGAGCAAGACTCCGTCTCAAAACAAAAAACAAAAAACAAACAAACAAACAAAAAACCATTAAAAGATAAACTCGGCCGGGCGTGGTGGCTCACACCTGTAATCCCAGCACTTTGGGAGGCCAAGGTGGGCGGATCACGAGGTCAGGAGATTGAGACCATCCTGGCTAACATGGTGAAACCCCATCTCTACTAAAAATACAAAAAATTAGCCGGGCGTGGTGGTGGGCGCCTGTAGTCCCAGCTACTCGGGAGGCTGAGGCAGGAGAATGGCGTGAACCCGTGAGGCAGAGCTTGCAGTGAGCCGAGATCCTGCCACTGCACTCCAGCCTGGGTGACAGAGTGAGACTCTGTCTCAAAAAAAAAAAAAAAAAAGATAAACTCAAAGTAAACAAATAACTGTTTAAATTTTAAAAATGAAATATGTATTATACTGATGGGGTCTCGCTAGGTTGCCCAGGCTGGTATAGATCTCCTGGTCTCAAGTGATCCCCCTCAACCTCCCAAATCACCAGGATTAGTGGTGTTAACCACCTCGCCCAGCGTTTGATTGTAAAGCTGTTGGAACTTTAAATTATTCTTCTTATTATTATTTTTGAGACGGAGTTTTTGCTCTTGTCACCCAGGCTGGAGTGCAATGGTGTGATCTCAGCTCATTGCAACCTCTGCCTCCTGGGTTCAAGCGATTCCCCTGCCTCAGCCTCCTCAGTAGCTGGGATTACAGGCACACGCCACCACGCCCGGCTAATTTTTGTATTTTTAGTAGAGACAAGGTCTCACCATGTTGGCCAGGCTGGTCTTGAACTCCTGACCTCGTGATCCACCCACCTTGGTCTCCCAAAGTGCTGGGATTACAGGTGTGAGCCACCGTGCCTGGCCCAAAAATTTTTTATACAGATGTGGTCTTCCTATGTTGCCCATGCTGGAGCACAACTACAGTGGCCATTCACAGGCACAATCATGGGTCACTGCAGCCCAGAACTCCCAGGCTCAAGTGATCCTCCCACCTCAGCCTCCCAAGTAGCCGGGACTACAGGCATGAGTCACTGCACCTAGCTTAACCATTGCAACCTCCGCCTCCTGGGTTTAAGTGATTCTCTTGCCTCAGCCTCCCGAGTAGCTAGGATTACAGCCACCACGCCCAGCTAATATTTGCATTTTTAGCAGAGACAGGGTTTTACCATCTTGGCCAGGCTGGTCTAGAACTCCTGACCTCCTGATCCACCTGCCTTGGCCTCCCAAAGTGCTGGGATTGCAGGTGTGAGCCACCGCGCCCCGCAATTTTTTTTTTTTTTTTTTTTTTTTAGAAAGAGTCTTGCTCTGTCACCCAGGCTGGAGTGTAGTGGTGCAATCTCAGCTCACTGCATGCTCTACCTCCCGGGTTCACGCCATTCTCCTGCCTCAGCCTCCCGAGTAGCTGGGACTACAGATGTCCACCACCACGTCCGGCTAATTTTTTTTGTATTTTTAGTAGAGATGGGGTTTCACTATGTTAGCCAGGATGTTCTCGATCTCCCGACCTCGTGATCCGCCGGCCTCGGCCTCCCAAAGTGCTGGGATTACAGGTGTGAGCCACCGTGCCCAGCCATTAACCACTTTTACGTGTACAGTTCGGTGGCCTCAAGTACATTCGCATTGTTGTGCAACCATTACAGCAATCGTTACATTTCATCTAGTGAAACGTAAATTCTGCCTAATTAAGTAATAACTACCCCCAACCCTGATAACCTCTAGTCTACTTTTCGTCTCTATGAATTTGACAACCCTAGGGACCTCTTATGAGTGGATACATATAAGACAGTACTTGTCTTTTTACGTCTGGCTGATTTCACTGAGGATATCGTCTTAAGGTTGCAGCCTGTGTAACAAATAGTTTTTAAACGATACTGCAGGCCGGGCACGGTGGTTCATGCCTGTAATCCCAGCAATTTGGGAGGCCGAGGCTGGTGGATCACTTGAGGCCAGCAATTCGAGACCAGGCTGGCCAAGATGATGAAACCCCGACTCTACCAAAAATACAAAAATTTGCCAGGTGTGGTGGCACGTGCCTGTAATCCCAGCTACTCGGGAGGCTGAGGCAGGAGAAACCCTTGAACCCAGGAGGTTGAGATTGCAGTGAGCCAAGATTGTGTCACAGCACTCCAGCCTGGGTGACAGAGACTCCGTCTCAAAAAAAAAAAAAAAGGAAAAAAAAGATATTGCACCAGCCTTGGCAACATGGTGAAATCCCATCTCTACAAAAAAAAAAAAAAAAAAAAATTAGCCTGCCATAGTGGCACACACCTTTAGTCCCAGCCACTTGGGGGACTGAGGCAGGAAGATTCCTTGAGCTCAGGAGGTCAAGCCTGTAGTGAGCCAAGATTACACCACTGCACTCCAGTCTGGGTGACATAGTGAGACTGTTTCTCAAAAAAAAAAAAAAAAAAAAAAAAAAATTGCATGGGGCCGGGCAAGGTGGTTCATACCTGTAATCCCAGCACTTTGAGAGGTCGAGGCAGGAGGGCTGCCTGAGCTCAGGAGTTTGAGACCAGTCTGGGTAACAAAGTGGGATCCCATCTTTATAAGAAATTAAAAATTAACCAGGTGTGCTGGCACATATCTGTAGTCCAAGCTACTCAGGAGGCTGAGGCAGGGGGATCACTTGAGCCCGAAGTGTAGAGGCTGTAGTGAGCTGAGATCATGTCACTGCACTCCAGCCTGGTCAGGACAGCAAGATCCTATCTCAAAAAAAAAAAAATTCTTGGCCAGGCGCGGTGGCTCACGCCTGTAATCCAGCACTTTGGGAGGCCGAGGCAGGTGGATCATGAGGTCAGGAGATTGAGACCATCCAGAGAGGCCAACAGGGTGAAACCCCATCTCTACTAAAACACAAAAAATTAGCTGTGCTTGGTGGCGCACACTGTAGTCCCACCTACTCGGGAGGCTGAAGCACGGGAATCGCTTGAACCCAGGAGTGGAGGTTGCAATGAGCCAAAATCGCGCCACTGCACTCCAGCCTGGTAACAGAGCAAGACTCTGTCTCAAAAAAATAAATAAGCTGGGTGTGGTGGCTCACGCCTGTAATCCCAGCACGTTGGGAGGCCGAGGTGGGCAGATCACGAGGTCAGGAGTTCGAGACCATCCTGGCGAACACGGTGAAACCCCGACTCTACTAAAAATACAAAAAAAAAAAAAAATTAGCCAGGCGTGGTGCCTGTAGTCCCAGCTACTTGGGAGGCTGAGGCAGGAGAATGGTGTGAACCTGGGAGGCGGAGCTTGCAGTGAGCTGAGATTGCGCCACTGCACTCCAGCCTCGGCGACAGTACGAGACTCTGTCTCAAAATAAATAAATAAATAAATAAATAAATAAAATGCATGGGAGATATTTATACTAAGAAATCATTCAGCCAGATGTTGTGGCTCATGCCTGTAATCCCAGTAATTTGGGAGACTGAAATGTGAGGATCTCTTGAACTCTGATGTTCTAGATCACCTTGGGTGACATAAGTGAGACGCTGTCTCTAAAACAAACAAAATCATGTGATGTGTATCTGCTCTTCAGATGTAACTTGACATCCTGAATTTTAACTGGAAATTCTAACTATAGCCCTTCTCAATGTAGCAGGCTAAAGGATCTTTTTAAAAAAAAAAATGGCTTTGGCCAGGTGCAGTGGCTCACATCTGTAATCCCAGCACTTTGGGAGGCCAAGGCGGGCAGATCAGAAGGTCAGGAGATCGAGACCATCTTGGCTAACACGGTAAAACCCCGTCTCTACTAAAAAATAGAAAAAATTAGCCGGGCGTGGTGGCGGGCGCCTTTAGTCCCAGCTAGTTGGGAGGCTAAGACGGGAGAATAGCGTGAACATGGGAGGCGGAGCTTGCAGTGCGCCGAGATGTGCCACTGCACTCCAGCCTGGGCAACAGAGTGAGACTGTTTCAAAAAAAAAAAAAAAAGGCTTTATTTATTTTTTGAGATGGAGTCTCACTCTGTAGCCCAGGCTGGAGTGCAGTGGCACGATCTCGGCTCACTGCAACTTCCGCCTCCCAGGTTCAAGTGATTCTCCCGCCTCAGCCTCCTGAGTAGCTGGGATTACAGCGTGCGCCACCACGCCCAGCTAATTTTTTTGTATTTTTAGTAGAGATAGGGTTTCACCATGTTGGTCAGGCTGATCTTGAACTCCTGACCTCGTGATCTGCTGGCCTTGGCCTCCCAAAGTATTGGGATTATAGGTGTGAGCCACCATGCCCCGTCTGTTTATATATATATATATACACACACATATATAATATATACACACATATATTATATATATATATTATATATACACATATATAATATATACACACATATATATACATATATATTATACATACACATATATATTATATATACATATATTATATATATACATGTTATATATACATTTATATTATATATACATATATATTATATATATACATATATACATATATGTATATTATATATACACATATATTATATATGTGTGTATATATACACATATATTATATATACACACATATGTAATATCTAATATATAAACACACATATATAATATATTATATATTATATATTTAATATATGTATTATATATAATATATAATATATACAATATATAAATATATATTAATATATAATATATAAATATATATAACATAATAATATATAAATATTTAATATATATTTATATAAAAATATATATTATATAATATATAATATATATTATATAAAAATATTATATATAATATATATTATATATATATTTATCTACATACAATATATATATATATTTTTTGAGACAGAGTCTCTCTGTTGCCCAGTCTGGAGTGCAGTGGCACCATCTCGGCTCACTGCAACCTCAGCCTCCTGGGTTCAAGCAATTTTCCTGCCTCAGCCTTCTGAGTAGCTGGGATTACAGGCGCCTGCCACCACGCCTGGCTAATTTTTGTATTTTTAGTAGAGACGGGGTTTCACCATCTTGGCCAGGCTGGTTTTGAACTCCTGCCCTCGTGATCCACCTGCCTCAGCCTCCCAAAGTGCTGAGATTACAGGCGTGATTTATTTTTAATACGGACAGTCTTGCTATGTTGGCCAGGGTGGTCTCAAACTCCTGGCCTCAAACAATCCTCCCGCCTCAAGTGCTAGGATTACAGGTGTCAGCTACCGTGGTCACCCAGCTTTACTGATATATAACTTACATACCATCAATTTCACCTCTTTCAGTATATAATTCAATGAAGTTTATCATGTATTTACAGAATTGTACAACCATCATCACAATCTAAATTTAGAAAGCTTGCATCATCCTAAAAAGACACCTCAGGCTGGGCTTGGTGGCTCACACCAGTGGATCACGCTTGTGGCTCACTTTGGGAGGCCGAGGCAGGCAGATCACCTGAGGTCAGGAGTTCAAGACCAGCCTGCCCAAAATGGTGGCACACACCACCACTCCAGGCTAATTTTTTGTATTTTTAGTAGAGACAGGGTTTTACCATGTTGGCCAGACTAGCCTCAAGCTCCTAACCTCAGGTGATCTGCCTGCCTTGGCCTCCAAAAATGCTGGGATTACAGGCGTCAGTGACTGCGCCTGGTCAGCCTTCTTAAAGGCCATATCTCCAATATGGTTCCATGGGAGGTCTGTGCTTCCACATACACATTTGAGAGGACGGTACAAAATTCAGTCCCTAGCAGGTAGGAATGGAATTGCTGGGTCATATGGTAAGTCTATGTATTTTCTTTTTGTTCTTGTTTTCAGACAGAGTCTTGCTCTATTGCCCAGACTGGAGTGTATTAGCACAATCTCGGCTCACTGCAACCTCTCCCTCTTGGGTTCAAGCAATCCTCCTGCCTCAGCTTCCCGAGTAGTTGGGATTGCAGGAATGTGCCATCACACCTGGCCAATTTTTTTGGTATTTTTAGTAGAGACAAAGTTTCACCATGTTGGCTAGGCTGGTCTCAAACTCTTTTTTTTTTTTTTTTTTTTTTTGAGACAGAGTCTCGCTCTGTCGCCCAGGCTGGAGTGCAATGGCGCCATCTCGGCTCACTGCAAGCTCCGCCTCCCGGGTTCACACCATTCTCCTGCCTCAGCCTCCCAAGTAGCTGGGACTGCAGGTGCCCGCCACCACGCCCGGCTAATTTTTTGTATTTTTAGTAGAGATGGGGTTTCACTGTGTTAGCCAGGATGATCTCGATCTCCTGACATCGTGATCCACCTGCCTCGGCCTCCCAAAGTGCTGGGATTACACGCATAAGCCGCGGCACCTGGCCTATGTTTAATTTTTATTTTATTTATTTATTTTTTTGAGACGAAGTCTAACTCTGTTGCCCAAGCTGCAGTGCAGTGGCGCAATCTCGGCTCACTGCAACCGCCCCCTCCGGGTTCAAGCGATTCTCCCTGCCTCAGTCTCCTGAGTAGCTGGGACTACAGGCACACACCATCATGCCCAGCTAATTTTTGTTTTTCAGTAGACATGGGGTTTCACTATGTTGGCTGCCCTGGTCTCAAACTCCTGACTTCGTGATCTGCCCACCTCAGCCTCCCAAAGTGCTGGGATTACAGGCGTGAGCCACCGCGCCCGGCCTATTGTATTTTTTTGAAACAGGGTCTAGCTCTGTTGCCCAGGATGGAGTGCAGTGGTGCAATCTCAGCTCACTGCAACCATTGCCTCCCTGGGCTCGATCCTCATTCCTCAGCCTCCTGAGTAGCTCAGAGTAGAAGTGTGCGGATCATGCCCAACTGATTTTTATATTTTTTGTAGAGATGGGGTTTAACCATGTTGCTCAGGCTGGTCTCGAACTCCTGGGCTCAAGCGAATTTTCCACCTCAGTCGTGCTGGGATTACTGGTGTGAGATGCCATGCCAGGCCTTACGTTTCAGTTTTAAAGAAATGGTCTTTGTTGATCCATATTTCACATGCATAGGGATGTTTTTTGAGAATAAAATACTCTCTTTGTATCCTCTGATCAGATCCCCCCAATAGTTTCCCAAGAAGTTAAAATAAAACCCAAACTTCTCATTTATGTTTGTAATGTATTGTGATAGGTCCTCTACGGACCCCTCCAGCCCTCCAGCTTTATCTGTTTCCCCTACTCACACACAGTCATCCTAGGATCAGATGGGTTTTTTGTTGTTGCTGTTGTTGTTCTTGTTTTTGCTTGTTTGCTTTTTCTTTTCTTTTCTTTTTTTTTTTGAATCAAAGTCTCGCTCTGTCACCCAGGCTGGAGTGCAGTGGCATGATCTTGGCTCACTGCAACCTCCGCTTCCCGGGTTCAAGTGATTCTCGTGCCTCAGCCTCCCGAGTAGCTGGAATTACAGGCGCCTGCCACCACGCCTGGCTAATTTTTTGTATTTTTAGTAGAGATGCGGTTTCACCATGTTGGCCAGGGTGGTCTCAAACTCCTGACTTCAAGTGATCTACCCGCCTCGGCCTCTCAAAGTGTTGGGATTACAGGCGTGAGCCACCGCGCCCGGTCTCGTTTGTTTTTTGCAACGGAGTCTCGCTCTGTCACCCAGGTTGTAGTGTAACGGCGTGATCTCGGCTCACTGCACCCTCCGCCTCCCAGGTTCAAGTGATTATCCTGCCTCAGCCTCCCAAGTAGCTAGGAGTATAGGCGCCCACCACCACGCCCGGCTAATTTTTGTATTTTTTCTAGAGATGGGATTTCACCATGTTGGCCAGGCTGGTCTCGTACTCCTGACCTTAAGTGAGGATCAGACGCTTGTTTTTGCTCTTCCCTCTGCTCCTCATGCCCTCCCAGGGCTCGCCTCACTATCATGTCCAACTTCTATTCATTCTCCCAGTGTCTGGTTAAACTCACTTCATCCAGTAACCCTCTGTGATCCCCCAGGAGAGAAGAAGTCGTCTCCATTATTCAGCTTTTTTTCCTCAAGCACCCTGGTTCATTTTAGTTCTTACCATGGATCCTAATTACAAAAAACAAAACAAAACACAGCAACATCAACAAATTTTAAAACTTAACATTTCTTGGCCCTGTTATACTTGATTCCTGGAAGGTAGAGTTTTGTTTTTTGTTTTTGTTTTTTTTTTGAGACAGAGTCTCGCGCTGTCGCCCAGGCTGGAGTGCAGTGGCACGATCTCGGCTCACTGCAAGCTCCGCCTCCCGGGGTCAGGCCATTCTCCTGCCTCAGCCTCCCTAGTAGCTGGGACTACAGGCGCCTGCCACCACGCCTAGCTATTTTTTTTGTATTTTTAGTCGAGACGGGGTTTCACTATGTTAGCCAGGATGGTCTCGATCTCCTGACCTCGTGATCCACCCACCTCGGCCTCCCAAAGTGCTGGGATTACAGGCGTGAGCCACCACGCCCTGCCGGAAGGTAGAGTTATAGCTTTTTTTTTTCTGCTCTGTCACCCAGTCTGGAGTGCAGTGGCGCGATCTCGGCTTACTGCAACCCCCCGCTCCTGGGTTCGAGTGATTCTCCTGCCTCAGCTTCCTGAGTAGCTGGTATAGGTGCGTGCCACCACGCCCAGCTAATTTTTGTATTTTTAGTAGAGACGGGGTTTCACCATGTTGGCCAGGCTTGGTCTCAAACTCCTGACCTCGTGATCCGCCCGCTTCGTCCTCTCAAAGTGCCGGGGTTACAGCCGTGAGCCATCGCGTCCGGCCGAGTTATAGCTTCTAATACTTCCTGTATTTCCTGTTGCCGGGCTCAGTCTAGAGCAGGGTCCTCACAATCATTATGGGCCCCATCTTCCAAGTGCAGAGAGCGAAGCCCAGGACAATCAAGTGACTCGGCCCCACGGTATTCAGTACATTTTTCTTGAATGAATGAATAGGTCTGTGTGGCGTTTTGGGGCCCTGGCATATAGTAGGTACTCAGTTAAGTTTTTAACTAAGTGAAGAAATAACTATTTTGTGCATTTTGTGGCTGTTTATACTAAGAGCTCCCCCGGAGCCTGCCCCTTCCTCTAAGTCCCGCCTCCTCGAGCTGGCAATCGCCCGTCCCTGTTTTATGTTGTATCGCTCTTCTTTCGATAGCCAATGGCCGACGTTCCCGCTGAAGCCCCGCCTCTTGTGATGGCCAATGCCTGCTCCCTACCTTGAGGCGCTTCTCTTGTGGTATCCAATGGCTTGCATATCTACTTTAAGCCTCTCCTCCTGAGCGGGAGAGGCTGTCAATGACCCGCCCATTGCGTTAAGTGATTGGCCTTCTTTTCTGCGGTATCCAATGTTCTGCCCTCCTTATATCCCCTTCTCTTGTGGAGGTCTATGTCCTGCCTCTTTCCCTTAAGCTCCACCCCTTCACTCCCTTAGAGCGTCTGTTCGTCTCCTCCCACCTTTCCCTTTCACCTCCCATAACCTCCCATTAGAGTCTCTGGGTTACGCCCCTTGGGTCTGTCCGTTATCCAATCCCGTTAACTGCTGTGCTCCAACCTCTGTTCTTATTGGTCGCCTCCCTTCTCTGTCCCCTGCACGTGGTCCTGATCGACGGCTTTGCCGGCCCGTGACGGCCGGAGGGCTGAACTTCCGTTGGCGCAACGCCCAATAAGCGCGCGTCGGCAGGCTGCCCAGACAGCCTCCCCCGCCCCCTCGGCGTCCCGCTCCCGCCCCCGGCTTCGCCTCCCGCTGCCGCCGCCGCCGCCGCCGCAGCCGCTACCGCCGCTGCAGCCGCTTTCCGCGGCCTGGGCCTCTCGCCGTCAGCATGCCACACGCCTTCAAGCCCGGGGACTTGGTGTTCGCTAAGATGAAGGGCTACCCTCACTGGCCTGCCAGGGTGAGGCCGCGCGGGAGATGGGGCCGGTGGGGGGGGGGGGGGGGGCAGCGGGGGCCCCGGGCCGGAGGCGGGCACTGGAGGGCCGGGGTTGTCCTGGGCCTGAAGGAGCTGCGCCCCGGGGGTCTGGGGTTCATGGGGTCTGGGGGTGTCCGAGACCCGCAGCGGCCCCGCCCTGGGGGTCTGGGGGTCCTGGGCCGCAGGGAGCTGCGCCCTAGGGGTCTGGGGTTGTCCGGGGCCTGCCGGAGCCGCGCCCCGGGGTCTAGGGATCCTGGGCCTCAGGGAGCCCCGCCCTCGGGGCCTGGGGGTCCTGGGCTGCAGGGAGCCGCGTTCTTGTGGTCTGGTGGTGTTCGGATCCTGCAGGACCCGCCGTCTGGGCCTGCAGGAGCCCCTCCCGGGGTCTGGGGGTCCTCGGCCTCAGGGAGCTGCGTCCTGGGGTTCTGGGGGTGTCCAAGCCCTGCAGGAGCCGCGCCCCGGGGTCTGGGGGCCCTGGGCCTCAGGGGGCCGCGCCTAGGGGTTCTGAGGGTGTCTGCGGCCTGAGAGACTCTCGCCCTTGGTGTATGAGGGTTTTGGGGCTCAGAGAGTCGCTCCCTGGGAGTCTGGGGGTATCCTGGGCCCGAGGGAGTCGCACCTTGGGGGTTTGGGGGTGTTTGGGGCCTGAAAGAGCCGCGCGCCGACGGTCTGGGGGTCCCGGGCCCGAGGAAGCGGTGCCCTGGGGGTCTGGGGCCTGATAAATTCTCACTCTGGGGGAATGGCGGTCCTGGACCTGAGGGAGCTGCGCCGTGGGGATCTGGGGGGTGTCCAGGGCCTGAAGGAGCTGCGGCGCCAATGGTCTGGGGGTCCTGGGCCTGAGGAAGCTGCGCTCTGGGGGTCTGGGGCTTCTGTGCCTGAGGGAGCTGCACCATGGGGATCTGGGGTTGCCCTGGCCCAGAGGGAGCCACGCCTCGTGTGTCTGGGGGTGTCCAGGGTGCCTCAGGGAGCCGTGCGCAGGGTGTCTGGGAGGGTCTGGGACCTGAGGGACCCTCACCTGAGGGCCTGGGGATCCCAGGCCTGAGGGCTCAAGGTTCAAGTTTGAGCAGAACTGCGGAACTTGAGATTTGGGGTCAGATATGGGGGCTGAAGCACTCCCTTGTGGGTCCTGGAGAAGCCCAGTTTTGAGGGGCTGGGGGGCCGAGGGCCATGTGCTAGGGGTCCAGGGTTGGAGGAGGCAGTCAGGGGGGAAGGTTGAGGGTCAAGGCTAAGGGAAGCTGGGACCTCTGAGTGAGGGGCTGGGGGTGGGGGAATGGGGCTCGGGGCTCTGTTCACGGGGTCACTGGGACTCGGGGAACTGGACCTTAGAATGAAGTTGGCATCGGGACTGTTGGGGGACCCTGGGGATTGGTCCCCTGTGGGGAGGAGGATGTAGAAGCTGGTTTTGGAGGGACTTGAGGGTGGGGTGGTCCAACCCCAATGCTTGAAATGGAGACAGGCCCGGGCCCAGGGAGTGGGAGCGCTTCTGAGGGAAGGGGGCTGGCCGAGGGGACCTTGGATGCCCCTTTGGTGGAAGCTGGGGTCCCGACGACCTGGATAGTCCCAGGTGTCCTGGCCTGAAGGATATTCCGCACCTTGGAGTCCCAGGTGTGGAGGGGGTGAGTTCCAGGCCCTGAGAGGTACAGGCCAGCGGGAAGCAGGGACCCCAGGCTATTGTCATCCCCAGGTCTTAGGGCTGAGTCTCCCAGGGCTGAGGTTGGTGGAATTTGCCGGGCAGGACTGAGGAATTTGGCACTGGGGGTGGAAGGCTGGGGCAGCAGGGAGGGGCTGTGGAGGGGGACACCAAACGGTGCTCTGGACCAGAACCAGCCCAGGTCCGAAGCTGGCAATGCCGCTGGGATGGGTGGGCCTCGGAGGACCGTGGGCGGGTCTTGGGAGAAGCGGGGCTGTGAGGCATGCCGGGCTGGTCCTCGGGTGGACTGAATTTAGGATGCTTCTGGCGGGAGAGGGATGCTGGGCCTGGCGGCCCATGGCCGAGCCCAGGGGCCAGGGACTCTGATAAAGTAGCTCTGAGGAGACCCAAGCGAGAAGGAAGCTGGGTGAGTGGGGCAGGGAAGATCGGGAGCCCCCTAGAAGCTGGAGACGTGGATGGGGAAGGAATGCATTGGGAGGGGAGAAGCCACTCCAGCCTGCTGTGCTCGCGCTGACTTTCTTGGGGGAGACCAGAGCAATGCAACTTTATAGGCACTTCCCTCCCTTTCCCAGCTCTCTTCTTCCCAGAGCACTCGCTTTTCTCTCCCCCGTCCCCCCTTCTCCAGCCTGCTCTCCTAGCCCCAAACGTTTCCAAGCACCTGATTGGAAGTGAAGGGGCTGTTAGTCTCCTGTGGGGAGGTGACTGACAGCTGCCGGAGCCCATGGGCCTGCAGGGAGAGGGTGGGACTTCCTGGATGCTCAGGGCCGTTTCTTGTAGCCCACCCCCCACCCTCTGCATCCTTGGAGCTGCCAGCTGCATCCTCTGGGGGACCGCCCGTGAGCCCCTCTTTGCGGGAGGGGTCCCCAGGAAAGGTCCTGGGAGTCCATAGACGCTGAGCTTGGCCCCACCCCCTGGTTGCTTCAGAGGGCCGGATCTGGCTTTGCTCAGGTGGAGCACCTGCCCTGGGGCCAGCTCCGTCCCTGGGGTAGGGGGAGAGCTCTCTGGGTGGGGCACAGCTTTGCAGTGAAGGGTACACAGAAGAATGCAGCTTCCCATCGGGAAGGGGCTGCTGCTTCCTGGGTTGAAGGCTCCCCTCCTCCCAGCGTGATTTGCCCCAAGTAACTTGGCTGATTTCTCGGTGATTTCCTGGGTCAGTGGGTAAAGCCACCCCCTCACTGGCCTCTCACTGCAGATCGACGACATCGCGGATGGCGCCGTGAAGCCCCCACCCAACAAGTACCCCATCTTTTTCTTTGGCACACACGAAACGTAAGTGTCCCCTTCTGGGGCTTGGTTTTCTCCTCTGGTGCCTCCCGGGGTGGCCTCACTCACCTGGGACTGGCCCCCGTTTCCCTTCTCCAGAGCCTTCCTGGGACCCAAGGACCTGTTCCCCTACGACAAATGTAAAGACAAGTACGGGAAGCCCAACAAGAGGAAAGGCTTCAATGAAGGGCTGTGGGAGATCCAGAACAACCCCCACGCCAGCTACAGCGCCCCTCCGGTGAGTACCCGGGGTGGAGAGCCAGTGTGAAGCGCGCTACTGATGCAAGAAGGGGCCTCCAGTTAGGGTCTCTCCCCTGGGCACTGTGGACACATGGGGCTCGATCGTTCCCTGTGGTGGGGCATTCTGGGCCCTGCAGGTGCTGAGCAGTGTCCCTGGCCTCCACCTACTCAGTGCCAAGGCCACCCCCACCCCATTCATGGTGATGACAGATGTCCCCAGTCATTGCCCAGTGTCCCCTGGGTGGAGGGGAACGGGATAGAATCAGCCCTGGCGAGAACCCCTGCTGTAGAATCAGTCCAAGTTTCTTTTTTTTTTTTTTTTGAGACAGAGTCTCGCTCTGTTGTCCAGGATGGAGTGCAGTGGCGCGATCTCGGCTCACTGCAAGCTCCGCCTCCTGTATTCCCGCCATTCTCCTGCCTCAGCCTCCTGAGTAGCTGGGACTACAGGTGCCCGCCACCACACCCGGCTAATTTTTTTGTATTTTTAATAGAGACAGGGTTTCACTGTGTTAGCCAGGATGGTCTCAATCTCCTGACTTCGTGATCCACCCGCCTCAGCCTCCCAAAGTGCTGGGATTACAGGCATGAGCCACTGTGCCCAGCCTTTTTTTTTTTTTTTTTTTTTTGAGACAGAGTCTTGCTCTGTTGCCCAGGCTGGAGTGCAATGGCGTGATCTCAGCTCACTGCAACCTCTGCCTCCGGGTCCAACTGACTCTGCTGCCTCAGACGCCCGAGTTGCTGGGATTACAGGTGCCCACCACCACACCCAGCTAATTTTTGTATTTTTGGTAGAGACAGGGTTTCACCATGTTGGCCAGGCTGGTCTCGAACTCCTGAACTCAGATGATCCACCCGCCTCGGCCTCCCAAAGTGTTGGGGTTGCAGGGGTGAGCCACTGCGCTTGGCCAGCCCGAATTTCTAACAGAGTGTTATCATAGCTCTCATAAAACCTTTTATTTTCTTAGGAAAAGACGTTTTTTTCTTTTGAGAAGAGCCCCCTCTTTCACTGTTACTGCCAGATTTTAGAGGAGTGAAAAGTCTGTAGTGTGTAGATGTGAGCGTTCTCAGTCAGGTGGAAAAAAACACCAAGAATCAGATGACATCTCATTGGCAAATGAGTGTCTGGAAATAGTCAGGGAAAGGAAGGAATTTAGAAAAGCGGAAGGCAAATGGCTAAAAGGCAGTGGAAGGATGGGAGAAAGGTGCCTTACTCTGAGTATTCTGGGGTGAGGTGGGGAGTGGGGGAACTGGGCTGGGGTTCTTTCCTCTGCTTTAACCACACTGCTTTTGAGGTTTCTGTGACAGGCTGGGGGCCGGGGTTAGTAGCCCAGGCTTAGCTGGGGGGGCATGAATTTGGCGGGGAGGCCCAGGGAACTGACCACAAGCTAGGGAAAACTTGGCCATTAAGGAAGAAAAGCACATCCGAGGTGGTCTGAGTGGAGCAAGGCAGGAGGGGCCCAGCCTTTGGCTTTTGCGAGTGGAGGATGCAGTCTCTTTGTGGTTCCTGGTCCTGTTTGAGAACCTGGGGTCTTGAGGTGGCCTGTCTGTGCCTCTCCTTTGTTTCGGCCTGGGCTGGGTGGTGCTTGTGAGCATTTGCTCCAGGATCCGCAGACGTTTCGGTGGTGACACCTGCCACGCACACGTGCCGCACTGGGGACCAGGAACAGGGATGAGTCAGGCACAGTCCTTGCCTTCTGGGAGCTCATGGTCCAGAATTGAGGATTCACTCAACGGATGTCCCTTGAGCGCCGAGGATCTGGCAGCCCCTTCTCAGGGGGCCGGGGCCCACCGATGTTGCATGCTGAGGGTATTTTACTTTAACACCCATGGTGTGTCTAGGAGACTGAGGTTTCCCTGGTTTCATACTTGCTATCTTTCCTCACGCTGTGCCTGTCCCCAGCCTGGAAGGATAGGTCAGAAATCCTTCAAGGTAGCTGTTTCAGGAGATCTTTTTCTGGCCCCAGGTCAAGTTCTCTTTGGTTCCGTCCTGAGCTCATTACCTCCTGGTGAATCATCACACCATTTAATATTTATTGGACACCTACAGCTTGCTAAGCATTATATAGAGGCCTGTCTTTGAGGAAAGGAAATTAAACAAGCCCTGTACAGATCCCCCAAGATGAGAAGTAGCTTTAGTTGAGGCCACTGCTGCTCTTAGCTTCTCTGGCCCATCTATGCTTCTAGATGGAACGTGTGTTTAAGATGCAGATTCCTGGCTGGGCACTGTGGCTCACACCTGTAATCCCAGCACTTTGGGAGGCTGTGGCTGGTGGATCACGAAGTCAGGAGTTCAAGACCAGCTTGGCCAAGATGGTGAAACCCAGTATCTACTAAAAATACAAAAATTAGCTGGGCGTGGTGGCAGGCGCCTATAATCCCAGCTACTCGGGAGGCTGAGGCAGGAGAATTGCTTCAACGCGGGAGGGAGAAGTTGCAGTGAGCCAGGATTGTGCCACTGTACTCCAGCCTGGGCAACAGAACGAGACTCTGTCTCAAAAAAAAAAAAAAAAAAGATGCAGATTCCTGGGCCATTTTCCTAGAGGCATAGATTTAATTGTGTAAGATGGGAGCCCTGAAGTTTTTCTTGCCAAGTTTTGTCCCGGATGCTGCTGTTTTTTTTTTTTTGTTTTTTGTTTTGATGGAGTCTCGCTCTGTCGCCCAGGCTGGAGTGCAGTGGTGTGGTCTTGGCTAATTGCAACCTCCGCCTCCCGGGTTCAAGCGATTCTCCTGCCTCAGCCTCCCGAGTAGCTGGGACTATGGGCGCCCACTACCATGCCTGGCTAATTTTGTATTTTTAGTAGAGACGATGTTTCACCATGTTGGTCAGGCTGGTCTTGAACTCCTGACCTCAGGTAATCCGCCCACCTTGGCCTCCAAAGTGCTGGGATTACAGGTGTGAGCCACCACACCCAGCCCAGGCTCATTCTTTTAACAGCCTTAGCGCAACTACTAATGCCACCAAGAGCGGACAGGAAGGCCTGGGTCCCATCCCCTTGCGAAGCCAGTAGGTGAAACATGGCAGCTTGGCCTGGTTCCACTTGCATCGCCTTTTGGTCCTCACAGTAATCCTCAGAGTGGCCCAGGTGGGTAGTTGGTTGGTTGGTTTTTTTTTTTCAGACGGTGTCTCACTCTCTCGCCCAGGCTGGAGTGCAGTGGTGCGACCTCGGCTCACTGCAACCTCTGTCTCCTGGGTTTAAGTGATTCTTCTTCTGCCTCAGCCTCCCAAGTAGCTGGGACTACAGGCATGTGCCACCACGCCCGGCTAATTTTTTGTATTTTTAGTAGAGACGGGTTTCACCATATTGACCAGGCTGGTCTCGAACTCCTGACCTCATGATCTGCCCGCCTCAGCCTCCCAAAGTGCTGGGATTACAGGCGTGAGCCACCGCGCCCAACAGCGGGAAGTATTTTTTCCATTGAGTAGATGAGCAGAATGAGACTCAAGGGGTTGCTCAGATGGGCCAGGCATGGTGGCTCACGCCTGTAACCTCAGCACTGTGGGAGGCCAAGGGGGCAGATCACTTCAGGTCAGGAGTTCCAGACCAGCCTGTTCAACATGGCGAAACCCCATTCTACCAAAACTACAAAGATTAGCCGGGCTCACGCCTGAAATCCCAGCACTTTGGGAGACTGAGGAGGGGTCACCTGAGGTCAGGATGTCAAGATCAGACTGGCCAACAGAATGAAACCCTGTCTCTACAAAAATACAAAAATTAGGCCGGGTGCCGTGGCTCATGCCTGTAATCCCAGCACTTTGGGAGGCCGAGGCGGGCAGATCACAAGGTCAGGTGATCGAGACCATCCTGGCTAACTTGGTGAAACCCTGTCTCTACTAAAAAAAAAATACAGAAAGTTAGCCGGGCGTGGCACCTGTAGTCCCAGCTACTCTGGAGGCTGAAGCAGGAGAATGGCATGAACCCGGGAGGCGGAGCTTGCAGTGAGCTGAGCTCCCACCACTGCACTCCAGCCTGGGCGACACAGCGAGATTCCATCTAAAAAAAAAAAAAAAGAAAGAAAGAAACCCCGCCTCTACCCAAACTACAAAAATTAGCCACGCTTACACCTGTAATCCCAGCACTTTGGGAGGCCAAGAGGGTGGGTCACCTGAGGTCAGGAGGTCAGACCAGCCTGGCCAACACAGTGAAACCCTGCCTCTACAAAAATATAAAAATTACCCAGATGTGGTGGTGGGCACCTGTAATCCCAGCTACTCTACAGGCTGAGGCCGGGGAATCTCTTGAACCCGGGAGGCGGAAGTTGCAGTGAGCTGAGATGCTGCCACTGCACTCCAGCCTGGGCGACAGAATGAGACTCTGTCTAAAAAAAAAAAAAAAAAAAAATTTGCTTAGATGCCCAGAGGGACCCAGCTGGTGTCTGAAGCCTTGTAGACCCAGGCCACGGTTTCTCAGCATCAGTACCTTATAAGAGAGTATAGCAGTGACAGTTGGGGCCAGGTCATTCTCTGGCATAGGGTCTGTCCTGGGCATTGCAGGGTGTTGAGCAGCATCTCTGGCCTCTGCTCACTCCATGCAAGGAGCGCCCACTGGTAATCTTGATGACCAAAATGTCTCTAGACATTTGACCTAGAAGGATCCCACCTAATACATCCTTGTTGCTTGGTAGATGAAGAGGTAGAGAGACCTGTCCAGGGTTCTCAAGCTTGTGAGCAACAGAGCTGAGCTGGGGTCAGAAACCAGGGCCCCCAGCTTGCAGGTCCCCCAACTCCCAGATCCCCTGACTCCCTGGCCCCCCAGCTCCCAGGCTGGCATTCTTTTCCTTCTGGCTGGTACAAGCCAGGGGCAGGCCCTGGAGGATGGGAGTCCCGGGGAATAACCTCTTAGAAGTGGGAGTTGGGAGGCGTAGTGGCTCACACCTGTAATCCCAGCACTTTGGGAGGCCGAGGCAGGTGGATCACCTGAGGTCAGGAGTTTGAGATCAGCCTGGCCAATGGGGTGAAACCCCATCTCTACTAAAAATGCAAAAATTAGCTGGGCATGGCGGTGGGTGCCTGTGATCCCAGCTACTCGGGAGGCTGAGGCAGGACAATCACTTGAACTTGGGAGGTGGAGGTTGCAGTGGGCTGAGATTGTGCCATTGTACTCCAGCCTGGGGGATAGAGTGAGACTCCGTCTCAAAAAAAAAGTGGGAGCTGGGGCCAAGAGCCTGTTGTATGAGCGGGTGGACCTGGGAGCCAGGCCTGGCTCTGCCCTGTGCTCACTGTGAATCTTGACCATTGACATCCCCTCTGTGAGCCTCAGTTTCCTTATTTTTTATTATTTTTTATTTTTTTAGACTGAGTCTCACTCTGTTGCCCAGGCTGGAGTGCAGTGGCATGATCTTGGCTCACTGCAACCTCCACCTCCCGGGTTCAAGCTATTCTCCTGCTTTGGCCTCCCTAGTAGGTGGGATTACGGGCATCCACCACCAAACCCGGCTAATTTTTTTTTTTTTTTGAGACAAGAGTCTCACTCTGTCGCCCAGGCTGGAGTGCAGTGGTGCGGTCTCTGCTCACTACAAGCTCCGCCTCCTGGGTTCACGCTATTCTCCTGCCTCAGCCTCCCGAGTAGCTGGGACTACAGGCGTCCCCCACCACGCCTGGCTAATTTTTTTTTTTTTTTTTTTTGTGATGGAGTCTTGCTCTGTCGCCCAGGCTGGAGTGCAGTGGCGCGATCTTGGCTCACTGCAACCTCCACCTCCTTGATTCATGCTATTCTCCTGCCTCAGCCTCCCGAGTAGCTGGGACTACAGGCGCCCGCCACCACTCCTGGCTAATTTTTTATATTTTTAGTAGAGACGGGGTTTCACCATGTTAGCCAGGATGGTCTCGATCTCCCGACCTCGTGATCCGCCCGCCTCGGCCTCTCAAAGTGCTGGGATTACAGGCTTGAGCCACCGCGCCCGGCCTTAATTTTTTGTATTTTTAGTAGAGACGGGGTTTCACCATGTTATCCAGGATGGTCTCGATCTCCTGACCTTGTGATCCACCCAACTCGGCATCCCAAAGTGCTGGGATTACAGGCTTGAGCCACCGCGCCCGGCCAATTTTTGTATTTTTTAGTAGAGATTTCACTATGTTGGCCAGGCTGGTCTCGAACTCTTGACCTCAGGCAGTCCTCCTTCCTTGGCCTCCCAAAGTGCTGGGATTACAGGCATGAGCCACCGTGCCCGGCCCTCAGTTTCCTCATCTAAAACAGAGGATTTGGTAGTGCTGACCCCTCAGCGGGCTCCTGGGAGAGTCCGGTGAGAAATTGCACATCGACACTTAGGAAGCGCTCACTGGATGGTGGAGGGGATATTTGGGAACAGAGAGGCAAAGCTGGATTTGACCTTCCCTTTTCCAATTTAGTCACACCCCCTGCCCTGATCCTCCAAGACAGCTACAGAAATGAGCTGTTCCCCTCACTCTCAGCCGGGGGGACTGGAAGTTGGCTGGCTTTGGCCTTTTTTTTTTTTTTTTTTTTTTTTGAGATGGAGTCTCGCTCTGTTGCCGAGGCTGGAGTGCAGTGGCGCGATCTCGGTTCACTGCAAGCTCCACCTCCCAGGTTCGCGCCATTCTCCTGCCTCAGCCTCCCACAGTGCTGGAATTACAAGTGTGGCTTACTGCGCCCTGGCCTTGTTTTTTCTTTCTTTCTTTTTTTTTTTGAGATGGAGTCTCGCTCTGTTGCCCAGGCTGGAGTGCAGTGGCATCATCTCGGCTCACTGCAAGCTCCACCTCCCAAGTTCAAGTGATTCTCCTGTCTCAGCCTCCCAAGTAGCCGGGACTACAGGCGCACATCACCACACCCAGCTAATTTTTGTATTTTTAGTAGAGATGGGGTTTCACCATATTGGCCAGGCTGATCTCGAACTCCTGACCTTATGATCCACCCCTATCGGCCTCCCCAAGTGCTGGGATTATAGGCGTGAGCCACCGTGCCCAGCCATTATTTTTTTCATAGAGACAGGCAACACTTTGTTGCCTAGGCTGGTCTTGAATTCCTGGGCTCAAGTGATCCTCCTTCCTTGGCCTCCCAATTTGCCGGGATTACAGGAGTAAACCACGGGCCCTGCTAAAGGAAAGATTTTTAATGAGGAGTGGCTATGACCCAGGCTTCGAGGCCAAGACCTGCTCGTGCTTTCATCTCAGATCTGCAGTTACTCGCTGTGTGATCCTGAGCTGTTACTTGACCTCTCCCTGCCTTTTTTCCTCATCTGCAGAATCAGGCTGGTCATGCCCACCGGTTACATGGGGCATTGATAAGTCCTATAACTGCCGGTGGCTCCTGGGTTCGTGGCACTCACCAGCTCCTCCTGTGGAAGATCCTGGGGCATCAGGGTTGGGTCAGGGGCGGGGCTGGGTGGAGGGAGCGACCAGGAAGGAGCCCGGGGCTCCTCATTCTCTGAGCTGCTACTCCCCACCCCCAGCGCTTGTCTCCTTACCAGGGATGCTCCAAAGAGAAACCCCAGGTACGCGAGCCCTTCCCCAAAGGCTCTGTGGAGAGGCGTGATCGAGATTGGCCGCGAGAGCGTTATTACTCTCAGCGTTCTCCGTTTGCGGCCTGACCTACTTAGTATTACCCTTTTTAATCTTGTCAAAAATTACACAGACAGGGCCCTGTCGCTTGGGCCACGAAGACACAAGGGAGACAAAACGTGCTCGGGCCGAGCGGTGACGCTTCACCACACCCGGTTCTCGTTTTCCTTGTGTGCTGATTGGGGGCCGCTAGCCTGCGGCTGTGCGCACGGAGGCTGGTGTGCGCCTGCTGTGGGCTCCCAGCCTCTCCTCCCGGCGCGGGAGGACCAGGCTAAGCCTGGAGGGAGCCGGGAAACTGAGGAAGGGCCGAGGTTCCCTCCTGTGGTTCCCTCCTCCTGGCCCCCCCTCTTGACCAGCGCTGACGCCCTCATTCCTCAGGCCATGCTTCCATTCTGTCCGGGCATTTCTACTCAGACGCTGGCCTCGCCTGCAGCATCCGCCCAGCCCTGCACCGTGTACTCCCTGCTCCCTCTTGCCCGGCCGCAACACCCGGTCACAAACGTGGGCCTTACTCTGCCTGTCCTTCCTGGCCTCGTCTCCCGCGAGCCCCGTGACATGCCTCTCACCCATTCTCACACCCTTATCTCCTCCACCTTGCTCTCTCCTGGACACCATGCGTGCCCCACTCCAGCCTGTCACACGCCATTTTGGTCATCACACCAGGAGAATGGGACTTAATTGTTTCATGATTTTTTTTTTTTTTTTTTTTTTGAGACAGTCTTGCTCTGTCTCCTAAGCTGGAGTGCAGTGACGCTATCTGGGCTCACTGCAACCTCTGCCTCTCGTGTTCAAGCGATTCTCCTGCCTCAGCCTCCTGAGTAGCTGGGACTACAGGCACCTGCCACCACGCCCAGCTAATTCTTTGTATTTTTAGTAGAGATGGAGTTTCATTGTGTTAGCCAGGATGGTCTTGATCTCCTGACCTCGTGATCTGCCTGCCTTGGCCTCCCAAAGTGTTGGGATTACAGGCGTGAGCCACTGCACCCGGCCTTTTTTTTTTTTTTTTTTTGAGACAGTGTCTGTCACCCAGGCTGGAGTGCAGTGGTGTGATTTCAGCTCACTGCAATCTCTGCCTCCCAGGTTCAAGTGATTCTCGTGCCTCAGCCTCCTCAGTAGCTGGGACTACAGGCGCCTGCCACCAGGCCCGGCTAATTTTTGTATTTTTAGTAGAGACAGCATTTGGCCATCTTGGCCAGGCTGGTCTCGAACTCCTGACCTCAGGTGATCCACCTGCCTCGGCCTACCAAAGTGCTGGGATTATAGGCGTGAGCCACCACGCCCGGCCTGTTTTATTATTATTTTTTTTCCCATCGAGATAACTTCACCATTTTAATCATTTAAGAGTATACCGTACAGTAGCTTCTAGTACATTCTCAGTGTACCATTCTTGCTAATTCCAGGATATTTTCTTTTTTTTTGAGACAGAGTCTTCGCTCTGTTGCCCAGGCTGGAGTGCAGTGGTGCGATCTCGGCTCACTGCAAGCTCCACCTCCCGGGTTCACACCATTCTCCTGCCTCAGCCTCCTGAGTAGATGGGACTACAGGCACCCGCCATCACGCCTGGCTAATTTTTTTTTTTTTTTTTTTTTTTGACACGGAGTCTTGCTCTGTCATCCAGGCTGGAGTGTAGTGGCACAATCTCAGCTCACTGCAAACTCCGCCTCCTGGGTTCACGCCATTCTCCTGCCTCAGCCTCCCGAGTTGCTGGGACTACAGGCACCCGCCACCATGCCCAGCTAATTTTTTGTATTTTTAGTAGAGGCGGGGTTTCACCATGTTAGCAAGGATGGTCTCGATCTCCTGACCTCGTGATCTGCCCGCCTCGGCCTCCCAAAGTGCTGGGATTACAGGCATGAGCCACCGTGCCCGGCCAATTTTTTGTATTTTTTAGTAGAGACAGGGTTTCACTGTGTTAGCCAGGATGGTCTCCATCTCCTGAGCTTATGATCCACCTGCCTTGGCCTCCCAAAGTGCTGGGATTACAGGCATGAGCCACTGCGCCTGGCCCAGGATATTTTCAACGCTTCACAAAGGAATCCTCTACCTGCTAGGTATCCCCCCAATTCTCTTCTCCCCTCAAGCCTCAGGCAACCATGGATCCACCTTCTATCTCTCTGGATGGGCCTGTCCTGGACATTTCATAGAAATGGAATCACACACTGTGTGGCCTTTTGTGTCTCACTTCTGTCAGCTGAGCGTGGCATCCTCAAGGTTCATCCATGCTGTGGCCTGGGTCAGAGCCTCGTTTCTTTTCATGGCCAAGTCATATTCTATCCTATTGTTATACCACGTTTGTTTATCAGTTAACGGACATTTGGGTTTTTTTCAGAGAATGTGGCTTTTAAAAATCTCAGTTTTGGCCAGGCGTGGTGGCTCACACCTGTAATCTCAGCACTTTGGGAGGCCGAGGTGGGTGGATCACGAGGTCAGGAGATTGAGACCATCCTGGCTAACACAGTGAAACCACGTCTCAACTAAAAAAATACAAAAAAAATTAGCCAGGCGTGGTGGCGGGTGCCTGTAGTCCCAGCTACTTGGGAGGCTGAGGCAGGAGAATGGCGTGAACCCAGCAGGCGGAGCTTGCAGTGAACCGAGATGGCACCACTGCCCTCCAGCCTGGGCGACAGAGCGAGACTCCGTCTCAAAAAAAAAAAAAATCTCAATCTCGTGGGGTGCGGTAGCTCACACCTGTAATCCCAGCAGCTTGGGAGGCCAAGGTGGGAGGATTGCTTAAGCCCAGGAGTTTGAGACCAGCCTGGGCAACATGGTGAAACCCCATGTCTACAAAAAAAAAATACAAAAACGTTAGCCAGGTGTGGTGGTGCAAACCTGTAGTTTCAGCTGCTCAGGAGGCTGAGGTGGGAGGATCACCTGAGCCCAGGAAGTTGAGGCTGCAGTGAGTCGTGATCGCGCCACTGCACTCCAGCCTGGGTGACAGAGTAAGACCCCGTCTCAAAAAAAAAAAAAAAAAAACAACAACCACGAAAACTCAATCTCTCTCTGTCTTCTTAAAAAAAAGCAGTTATTTAGAAAAGAAGTGACGGGCAATCACTCGGTCAGGTGTTCCACGCTGGCAAGGCTGGCCTGTGTGCTGCTTGGTGCCTGTGCTGGGAGCTGTGGCAGCACAGCTTGAGCTTGTTGTAACTGCGTGGACTTGTCTGTCTCCCCGGTAGACCATGAGCTCCCTGACAGCAGGGACTGCGTTTTAGCTGTTTCTATCCCCAGTGCCCAGCACAGAGCTGGGCACATAGCAGGTGTGTCATGATGTTTGTTGGAGGACCTAGCAGGTGTCTCATGATCATCACTGAATGAATGAGTAATGGGGCTGAGGCAGGAGAATTGCTTGAACCCGGGAGGCGGAGGTTATGGTGGGCCGAGATCATGCCATTGCACTCCAGCCTGGGCAACAAGAGCGAAATTCCATCTCAAAAAAAAAAAAAAAGGAAAAATCGCAATCTCTGCCAAGCACGGTGGCTCACTCCTGTAATCCCAGCACTTTGGGAGGCTGAGGCGGGTGGATCACGAGGTCAAGAGATTGAGATCATCCTGGTCAACATGGTGAAACCCTGTCTCTACTAAAAATACAAAAAATACACCTGGCGCTCATACATTTTCCTCCCACAAGCATGAGCCACCCACGGCCTAACTCTTCATCCTCCTCTTCACCATCTCCACCCGCTTCTCTGTGCCCCATATGGGTATATGTCAGCTTCTTCTGGTTCCCAAGGGGACCTTCACTGGTGCCATTCCTGCTCTCTGGAACGCCGCTAGCTCCTACCCCTTCCCATGCTTCTGACAACTCCTCTGTAAAAATGTCACATCCTCCGAGGGGCCTCCTCGATCACCCAGTGCTAAACACTCTCCTCTCTCTCTCTTTTTTTTTTTGAGACGGAGTCTCGCTCTGTCACCCAGGCAGGAGTGCAGTGGTGTGATCTCGGCTCACTGCAACCTCTGCTTCCTGGGTTCAAGCAATTCTCTGCCTCAGCCTCCCGAGTAGCTGGGATTACAGGCGCCCGCCACCACGCCTGGCTAATTTTTTTTGTATTTTTAGTAGAGACAGGGTTTCACCATCTTGGCCAGGCAGGTCTTAAACTCCTGACCTCGTGTTCCACCCACCGCGGCCTCCCAAAGTGCTGGAATGACAGGCGTGAGCCACCGCACCCGGGTTCTCTCTTACAAACGGGGTCTTGCTCTATCACTCAGTCTGGAGTGCAGTGGTGTGATCATAGCTCACTGAAACCTCTGCCTCCTAGGCTCAAGCGATCCTCCTGCCTCAGCCCCTTAAGCAGCTGGGACCGCAGGCCCACACCGCCACACCTTGCTAATATGTGCATCTTTTGTAGAGAGGGGGTTTCGCCATGTTGCCCAGGCTGGTCTTGAACTCCTGGGCTCAAGTGATCCTTCTGCCTTGGCCTCGCAAAGTGCTGGGATTACAGGCGTGAGCCACCAGCCCTACTCCCCTCTGAATCCTTACAACCATACGCCCGTGTTTTCTTCCTGCCTGTCACCACGATTTGGAATTGTCTGTGTTTAAATGGCAATGTTCAGGGTCTCCCGCTAGAAAACCAGCTCCCAGGGGCAAGGGAGATGCCACGGTCACTTCTGTGTTCTTGATGCCCCCGGCCCAGTGCCCGACACTCATGACTGCTCAGCAAACGTTGGCTCAGTGTGTGACCCGGTCACGTGCCTGGCACATAAGAAGCATCAGATAGGTGTTTGTGATTTCTGTGGCTGTCACTGCCTGAGCGGGCATTTTGAGTGTAGGAGAAATAGCAGTGCCTGGATGGTAGAAGCCCAGAGGTCTTGTCCTAGCTTGGCTTCTTCCTCCTGATAATTGAATGACTTAAAAAAAAAAAAAAGGAACCATTTCTTTTCTTTTTTTATTTTTTTGAGACAGAGTCTCACTCTGTTGCCCAGGCTGGAGTGCAGTGGCGTGATCTCGGCTCACTGCAACCTCCACCTCGTGGGTTCAAGTGATTCTCCTGCCTCGGCCTCCTGAGTAGCTGGGATTACAGGCGCCCACCACCACACCCATCTAATTTTTGTATTTTTAGTAGAGACAGGGTTTTGCCATGTTGGCCAGGTTGGTCTCGAACACCTGACCTCAGGTGATCTGCCTGCTGCAGCCTCCCAAAGTGCTGGGATTATAGGCGTGAGCCTCCGCGCCCGGCCAGGGCAGCCATTTCTGGACCTCTTGACATGGTCTCGGCACTGTCTTAGGTGCTCCACCTCCCACTTCCATGCTTTCCTGGTCACAGGCCTCTGAGGTCAAAACTGAGCCATCCCCATTGCCCAGAAGTGGTCACTGAAGCACAGAGGGTTGAAGTCATTTGCCCCAGGTTTAACCCTGAAGCCCGCGGCCCGACCCTAGTGCCCACCATACACGAATCCATCTCACTCTCCTGCCTTCGTTCTTCGGCTCTTCTGGGCCTCGGTTTCCCCATTTGTAAAGCCAGGAGACAACACGCCTGACATTCAGGATCCCGCATGTGGTTGCCGTCCTCTGGGTCATAGTCCTGATGGGGAAATCCACCCACGACTGGTGGTGACGCGCGTTCTCTGCCCCGACTCCCACAGCCAGTGAGCTCCTCCGACAGCGAGGCCCCCGAGGCCAACCCCGCCGACGGCAGTGACGCTGACGAGGACGATGAGGACCGGGGGGTCATGGCCGTCACAGCGGTAACCGCCACAGCTGCCAGCGACAGGATGGAGAGCGACTCAGACTCAGACAAGAGTAGCGACAACAGTGGCCTGAAGAGGAAGACGCCTGCGCTAAAGGTAGGGGAGGACCAAGGTGGGCTGGCCCTTCATCCCCTTGCCCTGATGTCTCGCCTGGCAGCTTGCTCTCCTGCCCTTTTTTTTTTTTTTTTTTTGAGACAAGGTCTTACTCTGTCGCCCAGGCTGGAGTGCAGTGGCGTGATCTCGACTCGCTGCAACCTCCGCCTCCCAGGTTCAAGCAATTCTTCTGCCTCAGCCTCCCTAGTAGCTGGGATTACAGGCACCTGCCACCGCACTTGGCTAATTTTTGTATTTTTGTTAGAGACGGGGATTCACCAGGTCCCCAAGTTGGTCTTGAACTCCTGACCTCAGGTGATCTGCCTGCCTCGGTCTCTCAAAGTGCTGGGATTACAGTCTTGAGCCACTGCGCCTGGCCACCTTTCTTTTTTTTTTTTTGAGATGGAGTTCCCTCTGTCACCCAGGCGGGAGTGCAGTGGCACGATCTTGGCTCACTGCACCCTCTGCCACTGGGTTCCAGCAATTATCCTGCCTGAGCCTCCCCAGTAGCTGGGATTATGGGCACCACCACCATATTTTTTTTTTTTTGAGACGGAGTCTCATTCTGTTGCCAGGCTGGAGTGCGGTGGCACGATCTCAGCTCACTGCAATCTCCACCTCCTGGGTTCAAGTGATTCCCCTGCTTCAGCCTCCGAAGTAGCTGAGATTACAGGCATCCACCACCACGCCCGGCTAATTTTTCGTATTTTAGTAGAGACAGGGTTTCACCATGTTGGCCAGGCTGGTCTTGATCTCCTGACCTCATGATCCGCCCGCTTCGGCCTCCCAAAGTGCTGGGATTACAGGCGTTAGCCATGGTGCCTGGCCTGGTCCCTTTCTTTAATATAATTGTTTTTCAGTATGCATTTAAAAAAAATTGAGTTATAGTCCATACACCATGAGATTCATCCTTCCTGAATATACACCTCAGTGGTTTTTAGTGTGTTCACGGAATTGTGCAACCATTACCATTATTCCAGGAGATTTCCGTCACCCCAAAAAGAAACCTGGTCCCCATCAGCTGATCCTCCGCATCCCCTCCTCTGGCCCCTGGCACCCACACATCCCCTTCCTGCCTCTGTGGAGGGGCCTGTCCTGGGCATTTCATAGAAATGGGGTCACACACTGCATAGCCTTTGTGTCCGCCTTCCTTCACCAAGCGTGACGTCCTCAGGGTGCATCCGCACTGCAGCCCGGGTCAGCTCCATTCGTTTCATTTATTTATTTATTTTGAGACGGACTCTAGTTCTGTCGCCCAGGCTGGAGTGCAATGGCATGATCTCTGCTCACTGCATCCTCCACCTCCCGGGTTCAAGCAATTCTTTTGCCTCAGCCTCCTGAGTAACTGGGATTACAGGGGCCCGCTACCACGTCCGGCTAATTTTGTGTTTTTGGTAGAGACGGGGTTTCTCCATGTTGGCCAGGCTGGTCTCGAACTCCTGACCTCCTGATCAGCCTGCCTCGGCCTCCCAGAGTGCTGGGATGACAGGCGTGAGCCACCGCGCCTGGCTGCCTCCCTTCCTTTTCCTGGCCGGGTCAGATTCCGGTGTGTGGAGGGAACACGGTGTGTTGATCCACATGTCGCTGGCCATTTGGGTTGTTTCCACTTTTGGGCCATTCCAGATCAGGCTGCCGTGAACGTTTCTGTACAGAGTTTTGTGCAGATGTGTGTGTTCCATTCTCCTGGGTATATTCTCTGTCCTGCCTTTTGACCATTTCTCACTATTTGGGTGTAGAAACAAAGGACCAGATTCTAGCAGCAAATTCTTTTGATAGAGTCACGTGTACTTTGTATTATTTTCTGATTCTAAAATGATAAGCCATATTTATAGTAGATAACTTGGAAAATGCAAAGAACAGAGAGAATTTGGAAAAAATACCTGTAGTATATGAGGGGTTTCTGAGCCAAGGAAGGATTATTTCTTTTTTTTCTCTTTTTTTTTTTTGGCGGGTGGGGGATGGAGTTTCACTCTTGTCACCCAGGCTGGAGTGTGATGGCGCAATCTCGGCTCACCGCAACCTCTGCCTCCCAGGTTCAAGCGATTATCCTGCCTCGGCCTCCTGTGTAGGTGGGATTACAGGCATACGCCACCACACCCAGCTAATTTTGTTTTTCAGTAGAGATGGGGTTTCTCCATGTTGGTCAGGCTGGTCTCAAACTCCCGACCTCAGGTGATCTGCTCGCCTCAGCCTCCCAAAGTGCTGGGATTACAGGTGTGAGCCACCGTGCCTGGCCAAAATTAGCCATTTTTAAGTGCCCCGTTCAGCAGCATTAAGCACATTCACGTGGTTGTGCAACCATCACCACCATCATCTCCAGAACTTTCTCGTCTTCCCAAGCTGAAATGCTGTCCCATGAAACACTCACTCCCACCACCCACCCCCCCACCCCCCCACCCCCCCACCCCCCCCGGCGCAGCCCTGGTGCCCCTCATCCTACTTTCTGTCTCTGTGAGTCTGATGGCCCTAGGGACCTCCTATAAGAGTTTGTCTTTTTGTGACTGGCTTCTTTCACCAAGCATAATGTCCTCAAGGTTCAAGATCCCTGGTTTGATCAGGTTCTCAGAGGGTTCCTGGCCCGCCAGAGAGGTTCCAGAGCTCAGCTGTCGTGGGTGGTGGGCAGTCAGCTGGGGGCTTCCTGCCAGGAGCCCGGCCTTCCCATCACTGAGCATTCAGGCCGTTCCCCTTCCAGATGTCGGTCTCGAAACGAGCCCGAAAGGCCTCCAGCGACCTGGATCAGGCCAGCGTGTCCCCATCCGAAGAGGAGAACTCGGAAAGCTCATCTGAGTCGGAGAAGACCAGCGACCAGGTGGGCCAGTGGCTCCTTGGGATGGCAGGGAAGCGTGGTGGCTGCCAGTGGGCCCCAGTTCAGCTCACTTCTCTCCCCCAGGACTTCACACCTGAGAAGAAAGCAGCGGTCCGGGCGCCACGGAGGGGCCCTCTGGGGGGACGGAAAAAAAAGGTAGCGTGCACTTGACTTTGTTTCCCATGCCCACTCGTGGGGCACCTCTGCGGTCTCCAGTGCTGTCCCCAGGGCAGGGCGGGCCATTTCTGGAGGGGGTGGGACACGGACTGCAGGGTACCCGAGGGGACCGCCTCTGCCCTGAGCGTGGCACCTCGTTATGGCCGCACTGCCTCCAGGAGCCCACCATCTGGTTTGGAAAGGGGCATTCTGGGATGCTGGCATCAGAAGGGAGGGAAGCAGTCCTGACGCGCCTGCATGAGAGTGAGAGAGTGAGAAAGCAAGAGCGCGAGAGGGACACAGAAGAGAGGAGAGAGGTGTGTGCCAGTGTGTATATGAGCGGATTGTGTGTGTGTGTTCTGTCTCTGTGCACGTGTGTCGACGTGCATGTGTGTGTGTGTACTTGTGTGTATGCATGTTTGTGACCATGTAGGTGTGTATGTGTGCAGTGTGTGTGTAGATTGTGCATGTGTGATGTGTGTGTCGTGTGTGCACATGTCGTGCCTGTGTGTGTGTTTCTGGTGCCTGTGTCCCTGTGCCTGTATGCCTGTGTGTGTGTGTGCTGTACCTCTCCTCTGCGTCTATGTGTTGTGCCTCTGTGTTCCTATGTGAGTATATGTGGTGCCTGTGTGTGTGCCTGTGTGTCCATGTGTGCATACTGTTCATGTATCTATGTGTCTGTGTTTGTGTGTCTGTGTGTGGTGTCTGTGTTGTGTGTGTTTGTGTGTCTGGTGTGTCCATGTGTATGGTTTGTGGTATGTGTGTTGTCTGTGTGTTATCTGTGTATGGTGTGTGTTTTGTTTGTGTGTGTTGTCTGTGTGGTGTGTGTGTCTGGTATGTGTGTTGTCTGTGGTGTGTGGTATGTGTTGTCTGTGTGTGGTGTGTGGTGTGTGTGGTGTATGTGTGTTGGGTGTTTGTGTGTCTGGTGTGTCTGTGTCTATGGTGTGTCTGGTGTGTGTTTCTGGTCTGTGTGTTATGTGTGGTCTGTGTGTGTTATCTGTGTGGTGTGTGTGTTGTCTGTGTGTGTGTGGTGTGTGTGGTGTGGTGTGTGTTATCTGTGGTGTGTGTGTGGTGTCTGTGTGGTGTGTATCTGTGTGTGTGGTGTGTGTGTGTGGTGCGTGTGAGTTGTCTGTGGTGTGTGGTGTCTGTGTGTAGTGTGTGTGTGGTTGTGTGTGGTGCGTGTGTGTTATCTGTGTGTGGTGTGTGGTATCTGTGTGGTGTGTGTGTTGTCTGTGTGTGGTGTGTGTGTGTTATCTGTGTGGTGTGTGGTGTGTGTGTTGTCTGTGTGTGGTGTGTGTGTTATCTGTGTCTGTGTGGTGTGTGTTGTCTGTGTGTGGTGTGTGCGTGGTGTGTGTGTTGTCTGTGTCTGTGCGGTGTGTGTGGTGTGGTGTGTGGTATCTGTGTGGTATGTGTGTTGTCTGTGTGTGTGTGTGGTGTGTGTGTTGTCTGTGTGTGGTGTGTGTGTGGTGTGTGTGTGGTGTCTGTGTGTGGCGTGTGTGTTTGGCAGGGTACTCGGGTGGAGGCGGTAGAGCACGGCAGCTTGTCTGATGTGGCCTCCGCACAAGATTTTGCATAAAGAAAAAGATGTCCCCACTGGGAAACCCGGGCTTCTGATGTACCCGGTTCACTGAGGAAGATGAGGGGAAGGGCCAGCAGCTGCCCGGCGTGCCCAGGGCCGCCTGGGATCCCGGTTTTCACTTGGGGTGGAGGTGGGTTTTGTGGGTGGGAGGGGATTCGGAGCCGGGCCCTGAGCCGAGGCCCGCAGAGCCTGGCGGCTGCAGGGGTGCGGGAGCCTCCTCTGGCCTGGTGCGCCCCGCTTCTCACGGTGGGGCTCCTGATGCTCACGCCTGTCCCTGCTTCTCCCCAGAAGGCGCCATCAGCCTCCGACTCCGACTCCAAGGCCGATTCGGACGGGGCCAAGCCTGAGCCGGTGGCCATGGCGCGGTCGGCGTCCTCCTCCTCCTCTTCCTCCTCCTCCTCCGACTCCGATGTGTCTGTGAAGAAGCCTCCGAGGGGCAGGAAGCCAGGTAGGGCCCTCGTGCTCGCACATCTCTTGGCCTGGCCCCTGCCGGGGCGCTCCCAGGCAGTCCCCTGGTCACCTTGGAGCCCTGGAAGGGAAGGTCACCCCCTCCTCCTCTTCCTGTAGCGGAGAAGCCTCTCCCGAAGCCGCGAGGGCGGAAACCGAAGCCTGAACGGCCTCCGTCCAGCTCCAGCAGTGACAGGTGGGTGCTGGGGCTGGGGTCCCCTCTGGCGGCTCCTCCATCGGCTGAGGGGCAGGGCGGGCTCCTGAGGGAGGAACGGAGGTCCCCAACCGCCCCCTCCGCCTCCAGTGACAGCGACGAGGTGGACCGCATCAGTGAGTGGAAGCGGCGGGACGAGGCGCGGAGGCGCGAGCTGGAGGCCCGGCGGCGGCGAGAGCAGGAGGAGGAGCTGCGGCGCCTGCGGGAGCAGGAGAAGGAGGAGAAGGAGCGGAGGCGCGAGCGGGCCGACCGCGGGGAGGCTGAGCGGGGCAGCGGCGGCAGCAGCGGGGACGAGCTCAGGGAGGACGATGAGCCCGTCAAGAAGCGGGGACGCAAGGGCCGGGGCCGGGGTCCCCCGTCCTCCTCTGACTCCGAGCCCGAGGCCGAGCTGGAGAGAGAGGTGAGCCGGGAGGGCGCCGGGAGTCCCTGCCTTCACTCCACACGTTTATGGAGCATCTACTAGGTAGGAGGCAGTATCCCAGGTTCCGGGACCCATCAAGAAAGCAGTGCGTGGGCCCAGAAACTCCTGCCCTGGAGGAGGGGACATTCATGGGAGGGAGGGGGCCGGGCTTGGTGGCTCACGCCTGTTATCCCAGCACTTTGGGCAGCTGAAGTGGGACGATTACTTGAGTCCAGCTCGAGACCAGCCTGGGCAAGATAGAGAGACCCTGTCTCTATAAAAACCTTAAAAAATTAGCTGGGCGTGGTGGTGTGCGCCTGTATAGTCCCGGCTGCTCAGGAGGCTGAGGCAGGAGGATTGCTTGAGCCCAGGAGTTGGAGGCTGCAGTGAGCTGTCATCAATCCACTGCACTCCAGCCTGGGCCACACAGCAAGACCCTGTCTCAAAACAAAACAAAGGAGGGAGGAGCTGTACAGATGACATGAGGGTAGTGCGTGCTGTCCGGAGTTTTCGGTGCTAAGGAGAAGAGTAAAGTGGGGTGGGGGGTTTCTCTTTTAAATAGAGTAGACCCTGAAGGTGTGAGTAGACTCCAAAGGCTTGCGTTTGGGTTTAAGTAAAAGGCTCCGAATGGGCTGGGCGCAGTGGCTCACGCCTGTAATCCCAGCACTCTGGGAGGCCAAGGCGGGTGGATCACGAGGTGAGGAGATCAAGACCAGCCTGGCTAACACGGTGAAACCCTGTCTCTACTAAAAATACAAAAAAATTAGCCAGGCGTTGTGGCAGGTGCCTGTAGTCCCAGCTACTCAGGAGGCTGAGGCAGGAGAATGGTGTGAACCTGGGAGGCAGAGGTTGCAGCGAGCCAAGATTGTGCCACTGCACTCCAGCCTGGGCCAGAGCGAGACTCCATCTCAAAAAAAAAAAAAAAAAAAAAAAATAGGCTCCGAATGAAGGGAGGGGATCTACGAAGACTCCTGGGAGGGGATACATTCTAGGCAGGAGAAGCAGCTCACACACAGGCCCAGAGGACTGCGCCTGGCGTGCTGGAGGAACAGCGAGGTGGCCTCTGGGGCTGGAGTGGAGGGAGGAGGGGAGAGAGGGAAAAGGAGGGCGGTGGGGAACGGACAGAGCAGGCCGGGTAGGGCCATGTGGGCTGCAGGGAGGATTTGGGCTTTGACCCTGAGGGAGGTGGGAGCCATGGAGGGCACTGGACAGGGTAGGGACAGGCCCTCACTCGGGTGCTCTCGGGTGCCCTCTGGCTGCCATGGGGTACAGCTTGCAGGTGAGCGTGGGAGCAGGTAGGAGGCCTCCTAGGGTGGTGACTGTCAGGACTCTCCTATACCACGTGTGGTGCTGCGGGCCCTGTCACGCCCTCTACCCTTGTGGAGATTCAGGCAATGTGGCCTGAATCCAGAGTCTCACCTAGACTGAGTGCCTGGGGCCCACGTGCTGGTGCCCCTCAGCCAGGCCTGCCTTCTTTGGGGAAAGCACGAACAGCGCCGTGTTCTCTCTCTGTCACTCCCTTCATCACAGAAAGGGCACCGAACTCCTGGTGCAGGAGGCGTTTCAGCCACAGCCCAGGACTGCTGGGCAGGAGGAGTGAAGGGGGCTGTTCCTCCACTGAATGGGGCCTGGGCTCCAAGAACCCCACGATCCACTCAGGACCGGACACTGGGTCCTCCCTCCTCTCCCATCCTGCCCCAGCACCTTCAAACAGTGTGGAGGGCGACAGAAAGGGTCGAGCTGCATCTCCTGGTAGTGGGATGGGCTAGGGGTCTGGGTAATCCCCTCTTCCCACTGCTCCAGCGCGCCCTTCCTGACTGCTATAGGCCAAGAAATCAGCGAAGAAGCCGCAGTCCTCAAGCACAGAGCCCGCCAGGAAACCTGGCCAGAAGGAGAAGAGAGTGCGGCCCGAGGAGAAGCAACAAGCCAAGTGAGCCCTGCTCTGCCCCTCCACACCCTGGGGGCCCCGCACCCCGCATCACCCCACAACCCTCACCCCTCACAGGGGCAGCCCCACCTCTGAGTTCAGCCTTGGAGCCGGACCCGGTTGAAGTTCCTGGTCCTTGGGTTGTGTGGGCTGCGTAGGAATCGCTGCTGCGGGAGTGGGATCTTTGCCCAGCCCAGGGGTCTCCTCCAGGGCGATCCCGCCTCCAGAGACACGGCCACGTCCGGGGACATCTGTGGTTGTCATGACTGGGGGGTGCTCCTGGCATGGAGCGGGTGGAGGCTGGGGACGCTGCTGAGGGCCCTGTAGTGCCCAGGATGACCCATCCCAGAGAACAGTCCATCCCCAATGTCCACAAGCAGAGGAGGAGGGAGAAACTGCACCCCGGCCTAGGGGTTTGCATCTTGGTCCCCCTGTGGTGGGCAGACAGAGCCTGTCTCCCAGCTCACTTTTTTTTTTTTTTTTGAGATGGAGTCTTGTTCTTGCTCTTTTGCACAGGCTGGAGTGCAATGGCGTGATCTCAGCTCACTGCAACCTCCGCCTCCCGGGTTCAAGCGATTCTCCTGCCTCAGCCCTCCCGAGTAGCTGGGATTACAGGCACCCGCCACCACGCCTGGCTAATTTTTGTTGCTTTAGTAGACACGGGGTTTCATCATGTTGGCCAGGCTGGTCTCGATCTCCTGACCCCGTGATCTGCCCGCCTCAGCCTCCCAAAGTGCTGGGATTACAAGTGTGAGCCACCGTGCCTGGCTGCAGCCCACGTTTTTGTTTTTGTTTTTGTTTTTTTTTGAGACAGAGTCTTGGGCTTGCTCTGTGGCCCAGGCTGGAGTGCAGTGGCGCCATCTCAGCTCACTGCAACCTCTGCCTCCTGGGTTCAAGCGATTTTCCTAGCTCAGCCTCCAAAGTAGCTGGGACTACAGGTGTGTGCCACCACACCCGGCTAATTTTTTGTATTTTTAGTAGAGACGGGGCTTCACCGTGTTGGCCAGGATGGTCTCTATCTCCTAAACTCATGATCCCCCCGCCTCGGCCTCCCAAAGTGCTGGGATTACAGGCGTGAGCCACCGTGCTTGGTCCCCCAGCCCACTTTCTAAATGGCCTTGAGTGGGCAAACCTGCCCATGAGAATTCGGCAGGCCGGTATGGCAGTGGCGGGGTACAGAGCAGCACATGGCACCGAGCCTCAGCAATGGGCCTCTCTCCTGCACGCGTGTCACCCTTGAGGGCCTTTTCCTAGCTCGCTGACTCTGGTAGACAAAGCCAGCCCTTGGCCATGTGAACGAGGAAAAGAATCCTGGGATTTCATGAGAACTCGGGAAAAGGCTTGTATCTTTGGGCAGCTCGAGCCTGTGGCTGCCCTGGTCTGCCCTAGGCCTAGGCTGTGGCAGGGCCTCCCCGCCTCCCGTTTCCCGGCTTAGCTCCCAGGGCCTCCCAAAGGTTTCCTTTGCAGTGGGTTTGGGTCCACCCCTTCAGGCGCCAGCCCCTCAGTGGCAGAGTGCCGGTGACGGGGCCCGACTGAGGGGAGCACTTCTCCACAGGCCCGTGAAGGTGGAGCGGACCCGGAAGCGGTCCGAGGGCTTCTCGATGGACAGGAAGGTAGAGAAGAAGAAAGGTGAGGCCTGGCTGCCCAGCACTGCCCACACTGAGTTCACTGAGGGGAACGGGGACAGCCGTGGCGTGGCTGGCCTGTCCCGCCTGTCCCTAGAGAGGGTGCTCAGCACATCCTCGGCCGGCCTGGCCGGCGGTGCCTCCAGGGGTGGGGGCTGAGCCTGCAGACCTGGGGCCCCCATGACAAATCCTCCAGAGGCTCTCAGGCTCCTGCCCTTGAACAGCTGGCCCCCTGTGGCCCTGCCTGGGCCCACACGGTGCTCTCTCTCCTGGCCCAGAGCCCTCCGTGGAGGAGAAGCTGCAGAAGCTGCACAGTGAGATCAAGTTTGCCCTAAAGGTCGACAGCCCGGTAAGACCCTCAGGGCCTGTGAGCCAAGCAGTCCCCGCTGCCACCTCCCTGCCAGGCTCCCTTAGATGTCTCGGGAAACTGAGGCAAAGCCGGGGTCCTGCAGTTGGGTGGGCCAGGAGTCTGTTCCGGTTGCTAGTGAGCGCATGGGGTCTCCTGGCCAAGGGCCCTGGGGGAGCTGGTCCTGACATGCAGCACCCAGCTTTCCCGGCAGGTGGTGTGTGGAGGCCCCCAGGACCAACCCCCACGTACCTGGGACCCCAAGTATCTGGCTATCCCTGGAGTTCCCCGTCAACTGGACGGGGGCTGAGGGGAGCTGTTCTGCAGATACAGCTCCCCTCAAGGAGAGCCCAGGATGTCTTCCTCCACCCATCGGGGCCCTGGGACCCCTGGGGATCCCTTGGCCAGGCCGTCTCCCTCACTCCCACCCCACCCTGCAGGACGTGAAGAGGTGCCTGAATGCCCTAGAGGAGCTGGGAACCCTGCAGGTGACCTCTCAGATCCTCCAGAAGAACACAGACGTGGTGGCCACCTTGAAGAAGGTATGGCGGGGGAATCAGAGGCGCAGGGTGCAGTCGGGGGAGCTGGGAGCAAGTGCCTGCCCGGGAGCCCAGGCCCCCAGCAGGTTCCTGTCGGGACAGCCCTGGGTCAGCGAGGAGGCCGTGGGCTGCTGGGTAGAAATGCCTGGTGCTTGCCAGGAGTGGTGGCTCACGCCTGTAATCCCAGCACTTTGGGAGGCTGAGGCAGGCGGATCACGAGGTCAGGAGATCAAGACCATCCTGACCAACATGGTGAAACCCCATCTCTACTAAAGATACAAAAATTAGCCAGGTGTGGTGGCGCACGCCTGTAATCCCAGCTACTCAGGAGGCTGAGGCAGGAGAATCGCTTGAAGCTGGGAGGCGGAGGTTGCAGTGAGCCGAGATCGCGCCACTGCACTCTAGCCTGGGTGACAGGGCGAGACTCTGTCTCAAAAAAAAAAAAAGAAATGCCTGCTGCACAGAGCTGTGCTCCCGGGAGGGGCTGCGGGAGGGGCGCATTGCTGGGGCGAGGGGTTCAGAGCCGGGGCTAGGGCCGCTGCACTTGGGTGAGCCAGGCCTCTTCTCTTGGTGGCCAGATTCGCCGTTACAAAGCGAACAAGGACGTAATGGAGAAGGCAGCAGAAGTCTATACCCGGCTCAAGTCGCGGGTCCTCGGCCCAAAGATCGAGGCGGTGCAGAAAGTGAACAAGGCTGGGATGGAGAAGGAGAAGGCCGAGGAGAAGCTGGCCGGGGAGGAGCTGGCCGGGGAGGAGGCCCCCCAGGAGAAGGCGGAGGACAAGCCCAGCACCGGTGAGGGGCGGGTGGGGTGGGCCCTGTACCTCAGTCTCCTCAGCTGAAGAAACAGATGCTTTGCAGAACATTCCAGAAGGGGAGTACAGCTCTACTCTCTGCCCCAAACCTGCCAGAGTGTCATGTCCTGTTGGGGTCTCCGTGCAGACCCGGCTTTAATCCCTGGGGCAGCCAGTGAGGGGCATTCAGGTCCTACCGTGTGCCAGGCAGCCAGCATGCAGGTAACTTGGGGCTCACGCCAGAGGGGTGACGGGGACAGTGCATGACAGCACACGCCTCCACCGTCTCCCACCCTGGGACGCCCAGAGAGGGGGGTGGCTCTGTGCAGCGGGGGCAAAGAGTGGGGGCATTGTTCAGAGAGGCAGTCGGTGGAGGCTCGGGGGCGGAGGCCTCAGGTGCCCTTGCTTGCCTGGTGGGCCGACAGGAGATGAGGTGTGACCCTCGGGGCTGCTGGCTGTGGGGCTACTGGGCTGACATGGCCCCATTACAGGTGCTCAGAGCAGCCCTTTGGAGATGGGATGGGCGAGCTTGGGATGGGGCTTTGCGGCCCAGGGGGCAGCCGAAGGCTAGTGTCTTTTTTTTCTTTTTTCTTTTTTTTCTGAGATGGGGTCTCGCTCTGTCCCCCAGGCTGGAGTGCAGTGGTACAATCACAGCTCACTGCAACCTTGACTTCCTGGGCGCAAGCCATCCTCCACCTCAGCCTCCTGAGGAGCTGGGATTGTAGGCCTACACCACTATGCCCTGCTAATTTTTTTTTTTTTTTTTTTTTTTTTTGAGACGGAGTCTTGCTCTGTCCCCCAGGCTGGAGTGCAGTAGCGTGATCTTGGCTCACTGCAAGCTCCGCCTCCTGGGTTCACGCCATTCTCCTGCCTCAGCCTCCCGAGGAGCTGGGACTACAGGCACCCAACACCACACCAGGCTAATATTTTGTATTTTTTAGTAGAGATGGGGTTTCACCGTGTTATCCAGGATGGTGTCAATCTCTGGACCTCATGATCCGCCCTCCTCGGCCTCCCAAAGTGCTGGGATTACAGGCGTGAGCCACTGCGCCCTGCCAGGACGTGCTAATTTTTGTATTTTTTGTAGAGACAGGGTTGCTGGCATGTTACTCAGGCTGGTCTTGAACTCCTGGGCTCAAGTGAGCCTCACGTCTCGGCCTCCCACGTGCTGGGATTGTGAGCCCCCGTGCCCGACCTTGTCTTCCTTTGTCTTTCCCAGGCTGCTGTGGGCTTTTCTCAGGGCTGCCCACGTTCCCTCATTTCTTGGGCCCCCAGTTCTGCAGGCCAGTGTGGCTCGGGCTGGGGCTGGCTGCAGCATCCCATGTCAGGAGCTTGCAGACTGGACAGCAGGTGCTGGGGTCCAGGTGGATGGGCATGTGTCACCCACGGCGCTCAGCTTGGCCCCTGGTCCAGTCCTTGACAGGCAAGGGTTCTGGGGTGCCCAGCTGGAGCCCAGCAGTGTCCTGTGACCCCTCTGTCCCACCCAGATCTCTCAGCCCCAGTGAATGGCGAGGCCACATCACAGAAGGGGGAGAGCGCAGAGGACAAGGAGCACGAGGAGGGTCGGGACTCGGAGGAGGGGCCAAGGTGTGGCTCCTCTGAAGACCTGCACGAGTGAGTGTCCCGGGCCGTGGGGTTTGGACTCCTGAGCGGCAGCGGTGTGACGCGCACCCTGGGTCCGAGCCGCTCCTCCTGTGCCAGTCCCTCTGGGATGGGTCCCAGGGATGTCGTCCTTACTCGGGCCTCCCACCTTCACAGCTGACCCCAGGGCCCCGCTGGCTGGCACTTCCGGCGGCCCCTACAGAGAGGCAGCTCCAGGGCTTTGAGCTGCCTGCCCCTGGCCTCCTGGGAAGGTGGCTTCTTGCCGAGCCTCCAGGGTGGCCCAGGTAGGTAGGCCCCGAGCACGGGCACCCGGCTATCTGACGGTGCCTGTGCCCATCACTGTGGGCTGCTGTCTGGTACAAGGCTCAGTGGAGTCACTCACTTACCCAGCAGCTGCCTTGTGCTATGCCTGGCTGGCGCCAGCGTGGGGACCCTGGAGATGGTTGTGGTCTCTAGTGGCAGAAGACAGGCAGATAGGAGGGCGGCACTCGAGCCTCAGGTGCCACAACGGGGGTACACTCCTCGGTGCCCATCCCACCCAACCGCCCTACAGGCAGGGCAGGGGCGGGAGGGCATCCTCACACCGCCTTTGCTGTTCCCACCAGCAGCGTACGGGAGGGTCCCGACCTGGACAGGCCTGGGAGCGACCGGCAGGAGCGCGAGAGGGCACGGGGGGACTCGGAGGCCCTGGACGAGGAGAGCTGAGCCGCGGGCAGCCAGGCCCAGCCCCCGCCCGAGCTCAGGCTGCCCCTCTCCTTCCCCGGCTCGCAGGAGAGCAGAGCAGAGAACTGTGGGGAACGCTGTGCTGTTTGTATTTGTTCCCTTGGGTTTTTTTTTCCTGCCTAATTTCTGTGATTTCCAACCAACATGAAATGACTATAAATGGTTTTTTAATGAAAAAAGAAATCACTTTTATTGGCTTGGTTTTCTAGCATTGCTGGTGCAGTGGGGGCCTGAGCTGGGGCGCAGGCGGCAGTGTCACTGGGCCCGTTTGGGACTGGGTTGAGCCATCAGGCCACCGTGAGAAGCGACTAAAAGGCACTCTGGGCCCAGCCCAACCCTGAAAGGCCAGTGGCAGGAGAGCTGGGCGGGAGCAAGCTCTTCCCAGGAGACAAGAGGGACAAACCAGGGCATCTAAGCTGTGCTGCCTGCGCCCTGCCCCGCACCCACGAGGCTGGGGGGTTTGATGCTTCCTGCATCTGGCAGCCCAGGGTCCAGGCAGGTGAGCAGGTCCGATGTGGGGAGGACGAGGGTCCGCGAGGCTAGGCTGGGAGGGTGGAGACCAGGCCTTCCCTGAGAGCCGCTGCTAGCCGACAGTGGTCTCCAGCGTTCAGGGAGCATGGGCCTCAGGGGCCAGCCTCGACTCACCCCAGCTGTGTCACCCACACACCGTGTGACTTTGGACAGGTTCCCCTCCCACTCGGGGCTTCTCTTTCCTCCTCTGCATAAGGGGCTGTCACGTGGGCACGGTCCCAAGCAAGTCACCCCGTGCTCCGAAGTTGCTCATTCCACAGTGGCGTCTCGTGTTTGTCGTCCTGCCCAGCGTAGCCGAGTTGCCTCCGTCCCAGTAAGAATTAGGCTGTGGTGTGGCGGGAAGGGACTTCCTGAGCTGCGGCCCCATGCTTGGTTGGCTGGACGTGAGCTGCAGTCACTGTGCCTGATTTCTGCAAATGGCTGTGTCTGGCATCCTAGCCTCCGATGGCCATGGGTGTCGGGCTGAGGAGAAGGCTTGGGAAGGCTCCTGACCCGTCCCCTCTCACGGCCCGTCACCTGAGGCAGTCCTTGCCGTGCCAGCTTCCCCGGTTCAGAGCTGAGCTGAATGCCCCGGCCCCTCACGGCCCCTGGTGCACACGGTGACCCCTGGGGCCCCTCCACCCTTCCTCCCCCTGGGTCTGGGGTTCCTGGGCTCGTGTCCTAGGAGAGCATGGAAAGGGGACGACAAGGTTCTCTTACCGGGTGAGTGGGGATATGGCTTCCTGGGGAGGCCGGGCTGAACGGCTCCTCCCCGCTGGACTGAGCGCAGCCACGGCACGTCTCACACCCGACCTGAGCCTGCCAGCCTCCACGACCTGGGCTAGCCTGAGAGCACGGGGCCCGGCGGCCGGGTCCGCCACCACCAGTGTCTCTGATGCCTGCAGCCTCCCCAGCCCCGCTTCCTCTGCAGCCCGGCGCTTGGGTGGGCCTGAGGACCCAGGGGGAGTGTGCGGCGGAGGAAGGGCTGTGCCATAGGCACGCAGCCTCTGTGGCTGTTCCCAGCCCTGTCTGATCCCTCCATAGGGCACAGTTCCCTGCGGGGAAGTCCTTTGTCTGTGTTCTCCAGGGGCAGCTGCTGGGCCCAGCCTCCCCAGGGGCCTCAGAGCCCCAGGTGCCTGGGGCAGGCCTGTGGTGGGCAGCTGGAGGCAGCAGCAGCCTGTTTGCTTGTTTTTTGCACCCCCCACCCCCTGCAAACTGCTCAGTCTCAAGCCAGGCTGGTGCAAAGCCCCAGCTGTGGCTGCTGTGGCTCCTGGCAGCTTTGTCCCCACCGTGAGGCCACCCCGGGGGTCAGCAAAGGCAGTAGCAGCCTGCCTTGGGATGATGATGGCAGTGTCGCTTTTTCTAGTACTTTCTACTATGAGGGAATGTGGTTCTTAAGACCCTCAAGGTGTGTGTGCTAAGGCCGGAGACCCACTTTCAGCATGAGAACGGAGCTGCCCGGAGCCTGGGATGCCACAGCACTGCCTGCACCGCTGATAGCTGGGGGCCCGTGCTGCAGGACTGGAAGAGCCCTGCTAGATATAAAAGGGTTGCTAGCGGGGCAAACAGATGCCCTTCCAGGCTGGGCACGCTGCTTTTTCTCTTTCCTAATTGCAGTGCTTGCTTGGGGACTTCAAGGGAAGGCTCTTGGCTGGTGGTCTGAGTGACCCCAGGCTCCGAGAGGGGCAGGCAGCGCTGGGGAGGAGGTGGGAGATGCAGGCAGGCCCGGAGCAGGGCGTGGGGTGGCTCAGTTAAGAAGGTCACTGCCTCCGCAGCCCCTCGGCGCTCAGCCAGCTGCAGCCCCAAAGGTCTAGGGCTTTAGGGAACCGATCCAGGTTTGGGGGCGGGGAGAAAGTTCTGAGGCAGCTCCTCCCTGGACAGAGCAGGGCGACCCCGCGCCGGGCCTGCAGGCTCCTACAGCTACTGCCCGCCAGCGGGCAAGGCGAAGGGCCCTACCAGCCAGCTGAGCGGGGGATTGTGCTGTAGGCCCTCCAGCAGCTGCTCTAACCCCTGCCAAGCCTGGTGCACACCCTCGCGGCTCTGCACCAGCCGCTCTGCGGGCAGCTCCTCTACAGAGCCAGCTGAGGCCACGATGCCATAGAGCTCACAGAGGCTGTGCCGCGCCCGCCCCACTGGCTGCTGGAGCTCGGCGGGCAGGCCCTGGAGGCTGGAGACCAGGCCACTGTAGGCCGTGTGCAGCTGCCGGAGAAGGCCGCAGACCCTGGACAGAACCCCGGCATCCCGCTCCTGTGGGAGGAAGGCGCAAGGTGAGTGGAGACCCATGGGCGGGGTGGGGGGACCCTAGCCCTGTGCCAGACCCACCTCCTGGACAGCAGCGTCCTCCGCACTGGCACCTGAGCCCTGGTCCAGACGTGGCTGCCCTTCTGGAGCCTGCTGGGCCTTTTCAATCTGGAGAGAGAGTACAGTGGGGAAATGATGGCTTCTTGGCAAATGACCTTTCACAACCCCCACCTCCCCCTCCCCCAGGGACCTGGGCACATTCACAGTCCTGGGAGAAAGGCCACGAGTTCCAAGTCAGTTGTACCACAGTGGGCGTGTTGTCTTGCAGAAAGAGGCAATAGTTCAAACTTCCCCATGAGGTCATCAGGGAGTGCACGTAACACAGTGTCTGTGGGGTCGTGTCACTCCTCACCCCTAAACCTGTGGCTGCCCAGTACCCTTAAGATAAAACCCAGCTCCTCACCATGGCCTTGGTGGGCTGGCCCCTGGGACACCTCTGGCCTCATCTCCCATGGCACCCCACTGCTGTCTCCACTGAGGCCACACTGGCTCCATTCTGCCCTCCGGCCACTCCAGCAGGCTTCTGCCCCAGGGCCTTTGCACACACTGCCCACTCAGCCGGGAGCCTGCTTCCCGGGCCCTTCACAAGGTCCGCGTTCGGCCTCAGCTCCAGGTGACCCTTGGTGAGACCTTCCTGGCCCATGGTGTGGCAGCCCCAGTCCCTCCCGTCACATCTGCCCCTCTCCTCGGGAGCACAGCGTGCGGCTTTGGTGTTCATTGACTTGGTGTTTATCCGCCCCTGGCAGGGGAACACTCAGGACTCTGTCCTCGTTGTTGCTGTGTCCCCAGCACGTGGCACCCACGCCCCACCCTGTCCACAGGGCCCCATCTTCCTCATCATCTCAATGGCTGGTAGGGATGCGGCACGCCGTCAAAATATCGACTCCAGACTGCTGTCGCCCTCCCAGCCCTCGCCGCGCCAGTGCTGGAGACCTGAAGCCAGCTGCATATGCAGACGCGTCCCCTCGGTGCCCACCAGGCATCTCCCCTCACCCTGTCCAAGGCCAGGCTCCTAATATCCACTCTGCAACCCGCCCGGCCTCCCCTCAGCCCCCCTGCTCTCCTTGTCTGCTCAGGTTACAAGCCTCAGGGGTCTCTTGGGGTCTTCTCTCACCTCCCACATCGGACCCGGGCAGCTCTGACTTCGAAACACCCAGAGCCCAGCTACTTCTCACCACCACAGCGTGACTCCTGAGGCCCGGCAGCACTTGCCTGGGTTTACGTCCCACTGTCTCCTCTGGCCCTCGCCCCCACCCGGTGGCCTGACCTCCCCCATCAGAGTGATCCTTTTAAATGAAACCCACCTTGGATCAGGCCGCTCCTCTGCCCAGAGCCCTCCAGGGCTCCCAACTCCCTTGGGGTCGAAGCCCAGGTCCGGCCCAACCTGCCCCATCCCCTCCTCACTCGGCTCCAGCCTCCCAGGCCTCCTTCCTATTCCTCCAACATGCCGGGACAGTCCTGCCCCAGGGCCTTTGCACGGGCCGTGCCCTCCGCTCAGATCACACTCCTGCCCATTCTGACGCACTCCCTCTCTGTCATTTAGACCTGACTTCAAGTGTCCCCTCTTCAGGGTGACCAGCCCCAGCACAGCCACTTCCTTATCCTGGTACATGTTCCATTTTCCAAGCATCATCCAACGCGACGCCCTATATATTCATCTGTGAATTGTCTTCCCCAACCATGGCGCCCCCCACCCCCCAAGGGCAGGCCTGGATATCCAGGGTCTTCAGTAGCACTTAAAGGAACAAGTGAGACATGATGAGTCACACACCACATCCCATTTCCCAGCCCAGCATCCTTCACGTGTGGCCCTGAGCAAAGCTCTTCTCTTCCTGTGGCCTCCTTCTCCCCTTCTGAAGAGTGCCTGGGCTGAGTTCTGGCCCAGGCTACTTTGCTGTGAGGATTCAAAGGTGGGAAAATGCTTTGTGATCAGCCGCTTGCAGCGTGCTGCGAGGGTGGGCCCATTCCTTCATTCCTCCATGGCGTTTACAGGAACGCCTTCCAACTGCGCCATTGTACCGCGTGCCAGAGGCACGGCAGCGACTGTGCATCTGGGGGTGGCCACAGTGACATGAGGTGTCCTGAGGGTCCCTAGGACAGACTTGCCCTTGGCACTGTGGACACGGGGGCTAGATGGTTCTCTGGGGTGGGGCCACCCTGGGCACTGCAGGGTGCTGAGCAGTGTCCCTACTCTCCACCAGGGGCTTCCCCCAGTTGTGACAACCACAGATGTCCCCAGACATGGACTAGTGTCCCCTGGAGGCAGGTCATCCACACTGAGAACCCTGGGTTAGACCCTCAAACTGCGGCTTGTCACAAACCCCGGATGTTGATGGAAAACACAGTGGCCTAGGCTGCACGCCAGGAATCCTGACCGAGGGCGGCATCTCAAGGTTTCTCACGGCCCGCCGGGGTGGGACTGCTGTCCACCAACATGTAAAACCTGTGACTGCTGGGCACGGTGGCTCACGCCTGTCATCCCAGCACTTTGGGAGGCCAAGGCAAGAGGATCGCGGGAGCGCAGAAGCTCAAGACCAGCCTGGGCTACATAGGGAGGCCCCATCTCTACAAAAAATTTAACCAGGTTTGGTAGTGTGCACCCAGAGGCTGAGGCAGGAGGATCACTTGAACCCAGGAGTTTAAGACCAGCCTGGGCAACATAGCAAAATCTAATCTCTACTAAAAATACAACAACAAATACTAAGCTGGGCGTGGTGGTGCATGCCAGTTGTCCAGCTGCTTGGGAGGCTGAGGTGGGAGGATCTCTTGACCCCAGTAGGTTGAAGCTGCAGTGGGCCATGATCAAGCCACTGTAGTCCAGCCTGGGTGGCAGAGCAAGACCCTGTCTCACTGTCTCCAAAACATAAACCCCTAGAGCAGTCCTGTGAGATTTCTGCCTCCCGGGCTGCACAACAGCTTCTAGAGGAAATGTTGGCCCTCAGGACTGGGGACGGGGAGACTGGAGGCCAGGGACGCTGCTCAGCTCCCTGCAGGGACCAGGATGATCCCACCCCAGAGCACGATCCGGCCCCAACGTCCACATTGCCAAAGGGGAGAACCTAGGCCAGAGGAAGAGAGCGGGGCCAGTGGGAGGGGTGGACGACTCTGGCCAGGGTGCATGACCCCTGGATGCATCCGAGTCATGTTGCGTTGGGTCCTTTCCTGCGTGCGTTGCAGCCCCAGGCCCTGCGGGCTCCCTGGATCCCATCCTGGCTTCACTTTACCCAGCCACAGCGCCGCCTTTCCATTCCCCGAACACACCCAGCTTGCTCCCCGGTAGCTTGCTGTCCTGTCCCTGCTTTTGGGGGCTTTGCAGAGCTGTCTCCCCATCGGTCAGGACAGGGCCCAGAGGGACGGCCTTCCTGCCCAGCCCACATCCCCCTCTGCACACAGATTGTTTTGCTGTCTTTGTGTCCCCACCGTCTTTATTTTTTTGAGACAGAGTCTTGCTCTGTCGCCCAGGCTGGAGTGCAGTGGCACCATCTTGGCTCACTGCAACCTCCGCCTCCCGGGTTCAACCTCGCCTCCCAGATTCTCCTGCCTCAGCCTCCCAAGTAGCTGGGATTACAGGCGCCTGCCACCACTCCCAGCCAATTTTTGTATTTTTAGTAGAGACGGGGTTTCTCTGTGTTGGTCAGGCTGGTCTCGAACTCCTGACCTCAAGTGACCCACCCGCCTCGGCCTCCCAAATTGCTGGGGTTACAGGCGTGAGCCACCGCACCCAGCCTACCCGCTGTCTTTAAGGATCTGATCTAGCTCCGTCCCCCTTGCCAGGAGGCAAGCCCCATGAGTACAGAGCCATGACCATTGGTGACGCTGACAGCATCATCTCCTAGGTGCTCAGTCAGTATCTGCAGCTGGGTGAGTCCTGGGCAGGGGTTCTAAGAAGTGCCCTGGGGACGGGGCAGCAGCAGGGGGAAGCTCTTACCAGCCTGAAGCAGTCCTGGAGCTGGGCCAGAGTGTCCCTGGCTTGGAACTGGCCGTGCTGCAGGTGGCTCACCGCGTGTTCAAATGCCCGCTGGCGGAAGCTGGGACCCAGGTCACCTAAACGAACGAAGTAGCTCCCCTGTTCCGCCGACAGCACCTTTGGCCCAGGCTGGGAGGCAGCCAGCTGAGCTGGAAAGGAAGGCGCACCGCTCAGTCCCGGAAGCCCCTCAGGGCATCAGGGCTTTATAAAAGTCAAGTGAGGGCCGGGCGCGGCGGTTCCCGCCTGTGATCCCAGCACTCTGGGAGGCCGAGGCGGGCAGATCACGAGGTCAGGAGATCGAGACCATCCTGGCTAACACGGTGAAACCCCGTCTCTACTAAAAAAATACAAAAAATTAGCCGGGCGTGGTGGCGGGTGCCTGTAGTCCCAGCTACTCGGGAGGCTGAGGCAGGAGAATGGCGTGAACCCGGGAGGCGGAGCTTGCAGTGAGCCGAGATGGAGCCACTGCACTCCAGCCTGGGTAAGAGTGCGAGACTCCGTCTCAAAAAAAAAAAAAAAGTTAAGTGAGGCCAGGCGCGGTGGCTCACGCCCGTAATCACAGCACATTGGGAGGCCAAGGCGGGTGGATCACCTGGGATCAGGAGCTCGAGACCAGCCTGGCCAACATGGTGAAACCTTATCTCTACTAAAAATATAAAATAATAATAATTAGCCGGGTGTGGTGGCGGGCGCCTATAATCGCAGCTACTCGGGAGGCTGAGCAGGAGAATTGCTTGAACCCAGGAAGTGTGGAGGTTGCAGTGTGCTGACACTGCCACTGGACTCCAGCCTGGGCGACAAGAGTGAGACTCTGCCTCAAAAATAAATAAGTAAAAATAAAAGTCAAATGAAGCTGGGTATGGTGGCTCATGCCTGTAATCCCAGCACTTTGGGAGGCTGAGGCTGGAGGATCACTTGAACCCAGGAGTTTGAGACCAGCCTGGGCAACATAGAGAGACAAAAAACATACAAAAAAATACATAGCCGGGCATGGTGGTCCTAGCTACTTGAGGCTGGAGCAGGAGGATCACTTGAGCCCGAGAGATTGAGGCTGTAGTGAACGCACCACTGCACTCCAGTGTGGGTGACAGAGCAAGACCTTGTCTCTAAAAAAATGAAAAAGGGCCAGGTGCTCTCACGTGTAATCCCAACACTTTGGGAGGCTGAGGCAGGAGGATCGTTTGAGCCCACAAGCTTGAGACCAGCCTGGGCAACACAGGGAGACCCCCATCTGAAACAAACCAAATAAATACATTTTTAAAAAAAAAGTCAAGGGCCCAGCTGGGCGTGGTGGCTCACGCCTGCAATCTCAGCACTTGGGAAGCTGAGGCGGGCGGATCACGAGGTCAAGAGATCGAGACCATCCTGGCTAACACGGTGAAACCCTGTCTCTACTAAAAATACAAAAAATTAGCCGGGTGTGGTGGTGGGCGCCTGTAGTCCCAGCTGTTTGGGAGGCTGAGGCAGGAGGATGGCGTGAACCCGGGAGGCGGAGCTTGCAGTGAACCGAGATCACGCCACTGCACTCCAGCCTGGGCAACAGAGCACGACTCTGTCTCAAAAAAAAAAACAAAACAGTCAAGGACCTGCTAGCAGCTGTGCCTGCCTCAGGGACCCATGAACCCAGGCGTCCCCTCACCTTGCTCCTCCGCATTCATGGGGTGGAAGATGTCCCCCAGCCCCTCCAACTCATTCTGCAGCATTGCCAAGCGTGGGGCTTCTTCGGGGCCGTGTGTGGTGGCCAAAAGCCCCGTGTCCTCCCTGCCTGGGGCGGCCCCTTGGGTGAACGTCGCCACGTCAGTCGCAAGGCCCTTGGTAGTGGCTGCGGCTTCCCAGGCAGGCTCCGGGCCTACACTGAGCACATCCGGGGGCGTGGAGATGCCAGAGAACGGGGCCTCTTGGGGGCTCAGGGCAGTCTGCTCCCCACCATTGTCTGTGGTCCTGGAACTGGTGAGTCCACCCCAGGAGGTGGCGGGGGTACTAGGTAACCAGTTCTGGAAGGTGCTGAGGCCAGTGTGGGTGGCCCCTGTCGCCACGTTCCCTGACCCCATGAGCCCAGCGGACACTGCGTCTTTGGTTCCGGTCAGCACTGTCTTGGTGGTGTCCAGGCCCCCCTGGACGGCCCCTTTGGCCATGCTCATGGCACCGGTAACCCCACTGAAGACAGTGTCCTTGGTACCCATAAGCACAGCCTTGGAGGCGTCCACGCCGGTCTGCACGGTTCCTTTGGCCACATTCACTGCCCCCGTGACTCCAGTAGTCACTGCATCCTTAGCGCCACTCAGCACCGTCTTGGCTGTGTCCACACCTGTCTGGACGGTCCCTTTGGCCACATTTACGGCACCAGTGACTCCACTGCAGACGGTGTCCTTGGTACCGGTCAGGACAGTCTTGCTGGTGTCCACGCCGGTCTGGACAGTCCCTTTGGCCAAGTTCACAGCCCCTGTGAGCCCAGTGGACACGGCATCTTTAGTGCCAGTCAGGACAGACTTTGTAGTGTCCAGGCCCCCCTGGACGGCCCCTTTGGCCACTTTCGCAGCACCGGTCACCCCACTGCCAAGGGTGTTCTTTGTACCTGTTGCGATATTTTGGGTCGTTTTCAGCCCAGTTTGCACAGCACCCTTGGCCACGTTCGCAGCACCGGTGACCCCACTGCAGACAGTGTCCTTGGTACCGGTCAGCACGGTCTTGGCCGTGTCTACACCCATCTGGACGGCCCCCTTGGCCACATTCGCAGCACCGGTCACCCCACTGCACACAGCATCCTTGGTACCAGTTAACACAGTCTTGGTGGTGTCCATGCCGGTCTGGACAGTCCCTTTGGCCAACTTCACAGCCCCTGTGAGCCCAGTGGACACAGCATCTTTAGTGCCAGTCAGGACAGACTTTGTAGTGTCCAGGCCCCCTTGGATGGCCCCTTTGGCCACATTCGCAGCACCGGTCACCCCACTGCAGACGGTGTCCTTGGTACCAGTTAGGACAGTCTTGGTGGTGTCCACACTGGTCTGGACAGTCCCTTTGGCGACATTCACTGCCCCCATGAGCCCAGTAGTGACTGTGTCCTTGGTGCCGGTCAGCACGGTCTTGGCCGTGTCTACACCTGTCTGGGCAGCCCCTTTGGCCACATTCACAGCACTGGTCACCCCACTGCCAAAGGTGTTCTTTGTACCTGTCGCGATATTTTGGGTCGTTTTCAGCCCAGTTTGCACAGCCCCCTTGGCCACGTTCACGGCACTGGTGACCCCACTGTAGATGGTGTCCTTGGTACCGGTTAGGACAGTTTTGGTGGTGTCCATGCCTGTCTGGACGGTCCCTTTGGCGACATTCACTGCCCCCACGAGCCCAGTAGTCACTGTGTCCTTGGTGCCGGTCAGCACGGTCTTGGCTGTGTCTACACCTGTCTGGACAGCCCCCTTGGCCACATTCGCTGCCCCCGTGAGCCCAGTGGACATCGTGTCTTTTGTACCTATGACCACAGACTTGGTGGTGTCCAGGCCCCCCTGGACGGCCCCTTTGGCCACGTTCACAGCACTGGTCACCCCACTGCAGACGGTGTCCTTGGTGCCGGTTAGGACAGTCTTGGTGGTGTCTACGCCGGTCTGGACGGTCCCTTTGGCCACGTTCACAGCCCCTGTGAGCCCAGTGGACACAGCATCTTTAGTGCCAGTCAGGACAGACTTTGTAGTGTCCAGGCCGCCCTGGACGGCCCCTTTGGCCACATTCGCAGCACCGGTGACCCCACTGCAGACAGTGTCCTTGGTACCAGTTAGAACGATCTTGGTGGTGTCCACGCCTGTCTGGATGGTTCCTCTGGCCAAATTCATGGCACCAGTCACCCCACTGCAGACGGTGTCCTTTGTACCTGTTGCGATATTTTGGGTTGTGTTCAGCCCAGTTTGCATGGCCCCCTTGGCCACATTCGCTGCCCCTGTGAGCCCAGTGGACATCGTGTCTTTCGTACCCATGACCATAGACTTGGTGGTATCCAGGCCCCCCTGGATGGCCTCTTTGGCCAAGTTCACGGCACCGGTCACCCCACTGCAGACAGTGTTCTTGGTGCCAGTTAGGACAGTCTTGGTGGTGTCCACGCCGGTCTGGATGGTTCCTTTGGCCACATTCATGGCACCAGTCACCCCACTACAGACGGTGTCCTTGGTACCTGTTAGGACAGTCTTACTGGTGTCCACGCCGGTCTGGATGGTTCCTTTGGCCACATTCATGGCACCAGTCACCCCACTACAGACGGTGTCCTTGGTACCTGTTAGGACAGTCTTACTGGTGTCCACGCCGGTCTGGATGGTTCCTTTGGCCACATTCATGGCACCAGTCACCCCACTACAGACGGTGTCCTTGGTACCTGTTAGGACAGTCTTACTGGTGTCCACACCGGTCTGAATGCTTCCTCTGGCCACATTCACTGCCCCTGTGAGCCCAGTGGACACAGCATCTTTGGTGCCGGTCAGCACAGCCTTGGAGGTTTCCACGCCAGTCTGGACAGTCCCTTTGGCCAAGTTCACTGCCCCCATGACCCCAGTAGTCACTGTGTCTTTGGTGCCGGTCAGCACAGTCTTGGTGGTGTCCACACCGGCCTGTACGGTCCCTTTGGCCACATTCACTGCCCCCGTGAGCCCAGTGGACACCGTGTCCTTGGTGCCGGTGAGGACAGCCTTCGAGGTGTCCAGACCCCCTTGGACGGCCCCCTTAGCCATGTCCATGGCCCCTGTGACCCCGCTGGACACCACCTCCTTGGTGCCCGTAAGTGCAGACCGAGTGGTGTCCAGGCCTCCCTGGACCACTCCCTTAGCCACGTCCACCACGCTGGCCACCCCGGAGGACACGGCATCCTTGGCCCTGGACATCTTGGAACACACCAGGTCTTTGGCCCCGGACACCATCTGCTGAGAAAGGACACAGGTGGATCAAGAGAAGGACTGAGAGGTGTACTCCACCCCGATGTCTGCCAGCCCAGCCCCCTAGTGTGCTTTGGGGCAAGGAACTGCAGGCACCCAGAGGCCCCACCTCCTCAAAAAGCAAGCTGCTTCCTCCTCACCCCGACCCCGGTCAGCCAGACATTCATCGGGCTGTGGTGTGGCACCCTGGCTCTCCGGGATGAAGTCCTCATGAGCTCACAGCGCCAGCCTCTTCCATTCTCACGCACCCCCTTTCCCGGCTGCAGGCAGGCCTCGTCCATGACAGCATGTCCTAGGCTTGGACTCAGCCAGGGTCCCCAGGCCTGGACTCAACGCAGGTCCTACAGTTACATTTCTGTTCCTCTTGCTTATTCTCCATTCATGGCAAATGTTGAGCCTGGCGTCCCAGGGACACCAGGGAGACTAAATTGCTTATTAAAATCATTATATCCAGGCTGGGTGTGATGGCTGATGCCTGCAATCCTAGCATGTTGGGAGGCCAAGGTGGGAGGATCACTTGAGCCCAGGAGTTTAAGATCAACCTGGGCAACCAAACAAGACCCAGTCTCTACAAAATTTTAACAACTGGCTGGGCGGGGGGCACACCTGTAGTCCCAGCTATTTGGGAGGCTGAGGTGGGAGGATTGCTTGAGCCCAGGAGGTTGAGGCAATAGTGAGATATGATCGTACCACTGTACTCCAGCCTGGGCAACAACATGAGATTCTGTCTCAAAAATAATGATATACGCCTGTAATCCCAGCACTTTGGGAGGCCGAGGCGGGCAGATCACGAGGTCAGGAGATCGAGACCATCCTGGCTAACACAGTGAAACCCTGTCTCTACTAAAAAAATACAAAAAATTAGCCGGGTGTGGTGGTGGGCGCCTGTAGTCCCAGCTACTCGGGAGGCTGAGGCAGGAGAATGGCATGAACCCGGGAAGGCGGAGCTTGCAGTGAGCCGAGATCGCGCCACTGCACTCCAGCCTGGGTGAAAGAGCGAAACTCTGTCTCAAATAATAATGATAATGATAATAATAATAATATATTCAGGCTGGGCACAGTGGCTCATGCCTATAATCCCAGCACTATGGGTGGCTAAGGCAGGAGGATTGCTTGAGCCCACGAGTTTAAGAGCAGCCTGGGCAACGGTGAGACCCCATCTTTAAAAAAAAAAACAGGCCGGGCACGGTGGCTCACGCCTGTAATCCCAGCACTTTGGGAGGCCGAGGCAGGTGGATCACCTGAGGTCAAGAGTTCGAGACCAGCCTGACCAACATGGCGAAACCCTGTCTCTACTAAAAATACAAAAATTAGCCAGGCATGGTGGCAGGCACCTGTAATCCCAGCTACTCTGGAGGCTGAGGCAGGAGAATCGCTTGAACCCAGGAGGCAGAGATTGCAGTGAGCCGAGATCGTGCCATTGCCCTCCAGCCTGGGTGACAGAGCGAGACTGTCTCAAAAGATAAAAAAAAATTAAAAAACACAAAAATGAATGAAGATGATGATGGCCTAGGAGTTCTAACTCTCGGGTGTACCTGTGAGGTGCTACTTTTTTTGTTTGTTTGTTTTTTGAAACAGAGTCTCACTCTGTCACCCAGACTGGAGTGCAGTGGCGAGATCTCGGCTCACTGCAGTCTCCGCCTCCTGGGTTCAGTAATTTTTCTGCCTCAGCCTCCTGAGTAGCTGGTATTACAGGCGTGCACCACCATGCCCAGCTAATTTTTGTATTTTTAGTAGAGATGAGGTTTCACCATGTTGGCCAGGCTGGTCTCAAACTCCTGAGCTCAACTGATCTGCCTGCCTCAGCCTCCCAAAGTGTTGGGATTACAGGTGTGAACCACCGTGCCCGGCCAAGGTGCTATTTTAATTCAGTAGTTTTCAACTGGGTGATTCTGCCCCCAGGGGGCACTGGGTGATGTCTGGAGACATCTGTAGTTGTCACAACTTGGGGAGGCTCCTGGCATGGAGTAGGTGGAGACCAGGGATGCTGCTCGGCACCCTGCAGTGCCCAGGATGGCCCCACCCCAGAGAATGATCCAACCCCAAATATCCACAGTACTGAGGTTGAGAAGCCCGGAAATTGTATTCTCAGAACACATCTCCCAGCTTTGGCTCAGGTGGGCACCTTGGGCCCTGTAGTTGGAGAGACCCAGGTTCAAGTCCCAGCTTTTTACCCTCTCCTGCTCCCGACACTCGCTGTGTGGCCTTAGGCAAGCCACATGCCCTCTCTGAGCTAATATCCTCATCTGGAAAATGCTGATTAAAACAGATCCTCTTGCCAGGCGCAGTGGCTAATGCCTGTAATCCCAGCACTTTGGGAGGCTGAGGTGGGTGGATCACTTGAGGTCAGGAGTTGGAGACCAGCCTGGTGAAACCAACATGGTGAAACCCCGTATCTACTAAAAATACAAAAATTAGCTGGGCATGGCGGTGAGCACTTGTAGTCCCAGCTACTCAGGAGGTTGAGGCAGGAGAATCGCTTGAACCTGGGAGGCAGAGGTTGCAGTGAACTGAGATTGTGCCACTGCACTCCAGCCTGGGTGAAACAGCAAAACTGCATCTCAAAAAATAAAAGTAGAAGAAATAAAGTGCTTACGCTGCTGTCGCTTTGGTCTCATCTTGCCAGGCACAGCCCTGTGTAGACTGGAACCTTACGTGATTAGAGTGGGGTAGCACTGCACCCATTTCACAGATGTGGAAATAGAGGCTCAGAGGGGAAGCTCCGCCTGGGATCCCCAGGCTGTCTGCCTTCCCTCAGGCCCACAGCAGCCCCCCAGATAGCAGGAACTGAAATGTCCCAGGAGGGAGCAGCCCCCCAGATAGCAGGAACTGAAATGTCGCAGGAGGGGGCACCCCCAGGGCTCCTGCCACATCAGACCCTGCCCTGCACATCCTCTCACCTTTTCCGAAGGTTGCAGCTCCTTCTCCGTCCATGGGGCCGTCTGCTCTGGGTGGGCAGCCACTGTGGGGACAGGGGCCGGTCAGGGAGAGTGAGGGATGCAGTTAGAACCATCTACCCGGCTGCCCATTGCACAATAGCCAGGCACAGCCTAAAAGGTCAGGAATGTTTCAGCTACCCCGCCAGGGACAGCAGGAGGTGACATCCACGGCTACCAGCCAGACCTGGTCACCCCCCAACCCCGCTGGGGGCTCCCCCCAAGCCCAGGGCCGCTGTTCCCTGAAGTAGGGCTCTGTGGAACTTCCTCTGCTGGGTGGACACCCACCCTGAGTCCCGGGGTTCATATAGCCTGGCATGGGGGAACAGCCCCTTGCCCAGCCCGCCCCGCCCCCACCGCAGCTGCCTGCTGCCTATTGCCAGGCCAAGGCATGTGGAGCAGAAGTCAGCTGCCTGGGGCTCTGGGCCCAGAGGGAGGCCCAGCTCAGGCGGCTGCCCCAACCCTGGGTTCCCTGTCACCGTCCCTGATCGCCCAAGCTGAGCCACAGGAGGCTGGGGAGCCCCTGGGCTGTGTGACCCCAGGGGAGCTGTTGCTCCTCCCTGGGAGTCTGGATCTCACTCTGATGAGCTCAGATGGGCAGAGCACCCAGCCTGGGCCATGGTGCATCAGAAACGGAGTGCAGGGTGGGGGAACGGCCGAGGGACTGAGTGGGGGGGCATTGCAGGGAGACAGGCTGGGTTGAAAGCCACCTTCGGCCACTCACCCCCCATATTTATGCCTCAGTTTCCCCATCCACCACAAGATGTCCTAGTGTCTGATGAGAGCACACAGACAAATATGGAGGACTCCCCAAATGGCTGGAAGTCCCTGCCCGGGGAGCTCCTTCTCCCAGGTCCATGTGTAGAGTCCCCCCACGCCCCCAGCTGGGCCAGCCACTCACCCTGAGCCTGTGGTTGGGCAGCCTCGGCAGCAGGCGCTCCTGTGGGGTCAGCGGCCGGCCGGGCTCTCGCCGAGCTATGTGCGTTGGCCACCAGGTTCCGGGCAGAGCTGAAGCCAGGCAGGGACCCAAAGAAGCTGCCCAGGGTCTGCATGGGGGCGGGGGGTGTGCAGGATGAGCAGGCCAAGCCTCGGCAGGAACGGGTCAGAGGAAGCATCGATTGATCAGCCCAATGCCGCCCCGGCCCCTTGCTCCTGGGTGACCTCAGGAAAGTGTTTCAGCCACTCAGCCTCAATTTCCACACCTGGGCAATGGGCAGACTCAGCCTGCCTCCCATGCACAGAGGAAAAGATCGTCTACCCGATCTCCAAAGACCTTTTCCTTCCAGGATCCCCACTGCACAGATGGGGAAACTGAGGCTCAGAGAGGGGCGGAGCTGAGGCCGGCCCAAGGTCACTTGCTGGGGAAGGTGTCGAGGTCTGCGTGGGTCCCCCGCCTCCAGCTTGGGTCAGAAAGGAAGGGATTGGCATCATGGCTCCCAGACCGCCCCCACCAGCCCACCAGGGAAGCACCTCTCCAGATTCGAGACCCCAGGACTGTGGAGGTCACCTTCCCCGGCTCTGGGGCATCTCCAGGCCCCAGCAAGAATCTGCCCCATTTCCCCTCTTTACCTTGCCCTTCGGTTTGGGGGGATCCCGTCTCCCTTCGTCTGGAGCAGACATAGTGAGAACGTGAGAAGCTGGAAGGGGGCAGAGAAGGTGCGTGAATGGGGGTTCCCTAGCCTCCCATCCCACACCCACTCCCCACTGAAAGCCTGAGCAGCCCGACACCCACCTGCAGGCCTGGCCTCACCCTGGTGTCACCGAAGCAGACGCGGCCCCGCTCACCTGGACTGCGCGGGGTCCCCTGGAGGACGGACCGGCCCGGCTGGCAGCTGGCTCTACCCTCAGCTCCCTGGCCTTATAGGGTCCGGGGCAGGCGCAGGCCCAGCCAGCAGCGGCAGGCGGCCAATGGGCCCGGGGGAGGTGGCCTGGACGGTCACATGGCTACCTGCCCAGCCCAGCATGGGCCCAGGCCCAGCACCTTTCCCCTGTTTCCTGCCCACAGCTTGCATCAGGCTGAGTGGCTCACAGGCCAGATGGGCTCCCCTCCCGGGCCCCTGAGCCTCCAGTTCCATCCACGAGGTGGGTGTAGTTCAAATCTCTGCTGCACCAGGATGCCTTGGCCAGTTACCATCTTTTTGCTTCAGGTTTCTCTCTCGTACTCCGCACCACGTCCCGTAACATCCAGCTTCTTCTCTGCTCTCATCTCCCCCAGCTTCCTCCTTCGCTTGCTTCATCCCAGCCACACAGGCCTCCTCGCTATGCCTCCAGCGCACCTGGCACGGTCCTGCCTTAGGGCCTCTGCACGGGCTGTGCCCTCTGCCTGGAACACCTTCCCTGCAGGTTCCCACAGGGCACCCTCTTCCGCCCACAGAACAGTGCCTGGCATACATTTGGCGCTTAATACACGTTTGGCTCAATGGAGCAACACAGAGAGTGGTTGTGAGCCTCTGTGAGATGAGGTCATGCACTGAACAAATGCTGCCTTCGCGTTACCCAGGCAGAAGCGGGGTCTCGGGGTCTCGGCAAGGAGCAGGGGGTGTCCTCAGTGTGGAGGGGAGCCCATCACTCTCCGGAAGGGACTTGGGCCAAAACGCAGACCAAGATGGAGCACCAGCCAAGCTGGGGGCACCCTAGGAGTGGAAACCCAGCCTGGGGGGCTTGGGCCAACCCAGGGAGGCTCCCTGGAGGAGGCGTCCTGTTCCAGAAGTGGTGAGGATGGGATTCAAACCCAGACCCTCCTGTTCCAGGAAGTGGTGAGGACGGGATTCAAACCCAGACCCAGGACCTTCGTGCTGAGCCCAGCCTATGTGCTGGGCTGTCTGTGGGTGGGTGGGCAGAGGAATGGCCGTAACGCCCACCCTGGGCTGTGTCCCCCTCCTACCTGCCCCTGAGACAGGGTTCCTAGCCCTGTGTTATTGGGGGTGAGAGGGCAGACCCCATGGGTGGCTCTGGGCACTGGGCTGGGAGGAGGGAGGGTACAGCCACAGGATCTGATGATTCCCAGGCCGTCTGTCTCCTTGGAGCCGACACTGTGTTTGCCAAACAGTGGGGGAACAGAAGGGGGGGTGTCCCCCAACCTCTTCTACCAGCCAGTGCTTCCCAAGGGTGGCTGGGAGAGCTCTGGGTGCCCCTCCCCTTCCCAAAGGGCAGCCACAGCCCAGTGTGTGGAGAGAAAAAATTAAAAAGTGATCATAAACATCCCAGCCAGGATCTACCCCTCCTCTGCCCAGCACCCTCCATGGCTCCCACCTTCTCCGGGGTGGGAGCCCAGGGTCAAAGCCCAAGTCCCCTTCCTGCAGCCCGGTAGGCCCTGCATAACCTGCCTCGTCTGCTCCCCACCTTCCTCTCCTTCTTCTCTTCACTCTGCTCCAGCCACACGGGCCTTTTCACTGTTCCCATAACATGCCAGGACAGAGTCCCTCAAAGACACACGTGACTGTGCCTGCTTAGCCCCGCACACCCTTCCTCAGGGCTTTCGTGTGGGTTGTTGCTTTTGCCTCCAGCACCCTTTCCCACATCCCTCACCTCCTTCCAGGTCTTTCCTCAAATATCACTTCCTCAAAGAGGCATTCCTGGATCTCCTCTCCCTTTAAAAAATATATACCTCAGGCCAGGTGCCATGGCTCACCCTGTAACCCCAGCATTTAGGGAGACCGAGGCAGGAGGATTGGCTTGAGCACAGGAGTTTGAGACCAGCCTGGGCGACAGAGCGCCACCCCGCCTCAAAAGAACAAAAGAAAAAAAAAAAAAAATAAATAAAAAAAATATATTTTATATATATATATTTCTGTTGAGGCGGGGTCGCGCTCTGTCGCCCAGGCTGGAGTACAGTGGTGCGATCTCGGCTCACTGCAAGCTCTGCCTCCCGGGTTCATGCCATTCTCCTGCCTCAGCCTCCCGAGTAGCTGGGACTACAGGCACTCGCCACCACACCCAGCTAATTTTTTGTATTTTTAGTAGAGACAGGGTTTCACTGTGCTAGGCAGGATGGTCTCGATCTCCTGACCTCGTGATCCACCTGCCTCGGCCTCCCAAAGCGCTGGGGTTACAGGCATGAGCCACTGTGCCCGGCTGCCCAAAATATATCTTTAAATAAAAATTAAATGAATTAATGGGCCAGGCGCGGTGACTCATGCCTGTAATCCCAGCATCTTGGGAGGCCGAGGCAGGTGGATCACCTGAGGTCAGGGTTCGAGACCAGCCTGGCCAACATGGCAAAACCCTATCTCTACTAAAAATACAAAAATCAGCTGTGTGTGGTGGCGCACGCCTGTAATCCCAGCTACTCGGGAGGCTGAGGCAGGAGAATCACTTGAACCTGGGAGGTGGAGGTTGCAGTGAGCCAAGATCGCGCCACTGCACTCCAGCCTGGGTGACAGAGTGAGACTCCTTCCCCACCCCCCCAAAGAAAAGAAAAGAAAAGAAAAATCCCAGGGCTTAGCTCAACCCATTCTCTTTTCCTCACCTCTGCTGCAGTGAAACTGATTTCCCTACTGCTGTGCCTTTCCCTAAGCTGTTCCCTCTGCCAAAATGCCTACCCCTATGTGCTGTTCTGATCATCCTCAACAGGCCTGGCCCTGCCAGGAGCCCCCAGCCTCATGTGGGAAGAGAGAGCAAGGCTGCCTGTGGCTATAAAGTCAAGGTGGAAAGGGCAAGAAACCTTGAGAAGGTGGCCTGTGGAGGACCGGAGGAGGGAAGTATCCGGCTGGGATGGAGTCCTGGAAGCCTTCCTGGAGGAGGAGGCATTGAGGCTGGGCCTTGAGGATGTATGAGATGTGTCCGAGGGACGGATGGGGGGTGGGAAGAGTATTCCAAGGTGGCCGCACAGCCTCAGCAAAGGCCCGGAGGTGGGAATGTGCCCACTTCAATGGTAAGAGAGCAAAGTATCCAGGTCAGGCTGGAGGAGGAAGCTGGAAGGTGAAGAGTTTGGTCTGTGGGCAGTGGGGACCTGTGGGAGATTCCAGAACAGGAGCAGGGAGGTAGATTTGGCTGGTGGAAGTGGTCGGAGATCCCAGAGCTGCCCTCTGGACTATGTCCCAGGGAAGTCAGGGGCCACCCTGACCTCACCATACCAAGCTGTGGTTTCCCAACACCCCGCCCAGCCCCAGGGGAGTCGGAAGAGCAGCCAGGAATGCGGTCAGAGGACAGGAGGAAACCCCCGAGACCAGCCTATGGCCCTTGCCCTGCCTCTGTCTTCCCATCCTGGCCAGTGCAGCTGGAGAGACCACAGCAAGACCAGCTCCTGCAGGACCAGGAGGTAGAGAGAGAGCTGCCCCATCTGACTCCTTCCCCATCTTTTCTGCTCCCTGCAATTCCATGAAATTCACCTGTACCAAGATGAGAACAGCTTCCATGCGGCCAAAGGGGCAATGCTGTTGTTTATTTTTAGAGACAGGGTCTCACTCTGTTGCCCAGGCTGGAGTGGAGTGGTTACTGATCCAAGCTCACTGCAACCTCAACTTCCTAGGCTCAAGCGATCCTGCTGCCTCAGCCTCCCGAGTAGCTGGGGCACAGGCTCGTACCATGTGTCATTTTAAAATTTTTCGTAGAGACAAGGTCTCCTATGTTGCCCAGGCTGGTGTCAAAACTCCCGGGCTCATGAAATCCTCCCACCTCAGCCTCCCAAAGTGCTGGGATTACCGATATGAGCCATGGTGCCCGGCTAATTTTAAGTGGTAATGCTTACCCCACATGGGCTGGGCAGTAACGGTGGATCCCAGACAGGATGACAGGCAGGTCAGAGAAGCACCATTCTTCTAGATCTTGAACTCTGGCTCTACACACCCCCTTCTCCATGTCTCAGCAGTGACACACCTCCGTGGCCCCCAGCCCCCTGGGACTGAGACTCACCCTGGCTGGAACACACACGTGGGCCTTTCAACAACAAAAAGGACCTTTATTCTGGAGGCAAATCCCAAACAGCAAAGCAAGCGAGTATGGCAGGCTGAGCAGCACGGCCCATGGGCAGAGGAGGGCTCACTTTTCAAAGTTCCAAATAGGGCAAAATGTGTGTTTCCCTAGGAAGTATTTTTTAAAAACATTTTTGAGATAGAGTCTTGCTCTGTCACCCAGGCGAGAGCGCAGGGGCAAGATCATGGCTCACTGCAGCCTCCAACTCCTGGGCTCAAGCAGTCCTCCCACCTTGGCCTCCCAAAGTGCTGTGATAACAGGTGTCAACCACCACACCCAGTCAGGGCTCACTTTTCAAAGCCCCAAACAGAAGGCATTGGGCAAAATGTGTATTTCTTCGGGAGGCTGTTACTATTATTTTTTGTTAGATGGAGTCTCGCTCTGTCACCCAGGCTGGTGTGCAGTGGCGCGATCTCTGCTCACTGCAAGCTCCGCGCCTCTCGGGTTTAAGCAATTCTTCTGCGTCAGCCTCACAACTAGCTGGGACTACAGGTGCACACCACCACACCTGGCTTTTTTTTTTTTTTTCTTTCTTTCTAAGTAGAGACAGGGTTTCATCATGTTGGCCAGGATGATCCCGAACTCCTGACTTCAGATGATCCACCTGCCTCAGACTCCCAAAGTGCTGGGATTACAGGCGTGAGCCACTGTGCCCAGCCTCTTGGAAAGATTTGGATTCGCTTCATGGAGCCAGGGAGCAGGACATAGGTGAAGAACCCAGCTTGTGGCTCAAGTTGGCCTGAATAGGGTTCGAGGCCCTGCTCCCCCGGGCCTCTTTGTCCATGTGTTCAAGGAAAAAATGGGAGAGTCCAATACCAAAAAGGTGGTCAGAGATCCGGAGTTGGGCCTGATTCCAAAGAAGGGTCAAGGCCAAGGCCTCGAGCTTACGTGTGGCCACCAGGGGGCAGCAGGGATCGGGGTGTGCAGGTGGCCTTTCCTCCCCGCCTCCACTGGCCCATGGGTCAGAAGTCCAGCTCGGGCATCAGGGTGTGCTTGACCGGGCAGCTGGGGGTCTCGGGTTCCTGCTCGCAGATGTCCCCGGCAACACCCATCCTGTCCCCATCCCCATTCCCACTCCCGTCCCTGTGCTCTGCCTCCCAGGCTCTCTGCTGGGCCGGCCAGTCCAGGTGCGCCCAGCGGGGGTCAGGGCCCCCGATGACCTCGTCCACCAGGTCCGCCAGGTCGGGCAGGGGCTCGGGTCGCTCCACAAGGATGGGCGCGAAGGGTCCCACCAGCCAGGGCAGCGGCACGGCCTGCACCACCAGCTCCAGCAGCTCGTCCACGCAGGCGTGCGCGTGGGCCACGCGACCCCGGCCCTCGGCCAGCGCGGCCGCTGGCACGTCCCTGAAGCAGCGGGCATCAGCGAAGGCGGTCTGCAGGGCATCCACACTGCGCCGCACCTCAGCCACCTTCTCCTGGGCGCCGGCGGGCAGGCCCCGCACGCTGGACTCCAGAGCCTCTACCGTGCCCTGCAGCTCCTGGGTCAGGCTGCGGGACAGCACCAGCGTCTCCAGCTCTGCCTGCAGGGGGCGGGGACCTCAGTTTCCCCTATGGACGCCCAGGAGGACTGCTGTCCTGCCTCGGTTTCTCTGATGGACCCACAGTGGAGCTGTCAACCTGTCTCATAGACCTCATAGTCCTGTCCCCTGTAGACACAGAATGTGACCCAGCCCTGACTCAGTCTCCTTCATAAACACACAATGGGGCCGGTCGCGGTGGCTCACGCCTGTAATCCCAGCACTTTGGGAGGCCGAGTCGGGCGGATCACCTGAGGTGCGGAGTTCAAGACTAGCCTGGCCAACATGGCGAAACCCCGTATCTACCAAAAATACAAAAATTAGCTGGGCGTGGTGGTGGACACCTGTAGTCCCAGCTACTTAGGAGGCTGAGACAGGAGAATCGCTTGAACCCGGGAGGCGGAGGTTGCAGTGAGCTGAGATCGCGCCACTGCACTCCAGCCTGGGCGACAGAGACAGACTCCTTCTCAAATAAATAAATATAAATAAAGTGGAAAGTGGAGAGATGGTTTCTAGGCTATAGGTTCAGGGAGAGAATGTGGAGGGAGGGAAAGCGAGAAGGGGCGGGAAGCCAGGGACTACTGCTTGCTTGGGCCAACACCCCCCTTTCCCCCCACCTCCCTCCATCTCAAAAATAAATAAATAATAAAATAATAAAACTCCATCTCAAAATAAATACATAAATAAAACACACAATGGGACTTAAACCTGCCTCAGTTTCCCCCCCCAGACACCTCAACTAGCTGAGCTCAGCACTTGGTTTGAGATAGCTTGAGTTGGGTCCCCGGCAGTACTGGGCTGACCCGCAGTCCGTCGCTCCCCCTCTTCCTCCGCGGCCTGGTGGCAGACACCACCTCACCTGGCACTCCTGCGGTCTCACCTGGCTCCGGCGGCGGCTCTCCGGAGGGCGCTGGCCCCATTCCCCCCACAGCTCGTGCACCTTCCCAGGGCAGGCCGGGGCGGTGGGGGTCACCCCACACTGCATGTGGTCTATCTGCAAGGACAGAAATGGTGGTCTTCAGAGCTGGGGGAGCTGGGGGAGCTGGGGGTCGGGGTGGGGTCCAGGACCACTGATCTGGCCTCAGTAAGCATTTAGGAGACCGAGGCAGGTTGTGCAGGGCCGTGGGGAAGACTTGGGCTTGGACCCCAAGGGAGGTGGGAGCCATAGAGGGCTGTGGGTAAAGAAGGGACAGACCTGACTCAGGGGCTCACAGGTGCCCTCTGGTGGCTGCTGCGGGGAGGGAAGAGCTGAGGATGGGAGGATTCTGATGAGGAGGAAGGCTCTCTTCTGACCTACCCTAACTTGCTATAAATTCCAGCTTCTCCTTCCCCTCTTCCACAAAACCCCTCCCTGACTCTCCAGGCAGAGCCATGACATCCCTGGGCTCCTCCAGGCCCGGGTCCCCCAGCCCTGAACACATGCAGCTGGAGACAGCTGCACCCAGCTCCGCCTCCTGCTTTAGGCTAGCACGGGATCCGGTATTCAGCTGGTGCTCAATCCATACTGATTGGCCTGCATCCCGGAGCAGGGGCGGGCAGCGGGCTCTCACCAGCTCCAGCGTCTCCTGCAGCTGGGCCAGGGTGTCCTGGGCACGGTGTTTGCTCTGCCTCAGTTTCCCCACAGAGTGCTCGTAGGCCAGGTGGCGGATCCGTGCTGACAGGGAGCCGAGGCGCACAAAGTAGCCCTGCTGTCTCCTCTGATCCTCCACCGAACCCACTTCAGGGCCTTCAGCCTCAGCCGCCAGTGCCGCTGGAGGACAGGATACGGGGACAGCACGGGGACAGGATACGGGGACAGCACGGGGACAGGATACGGGGACAGCACGGGGACAGGATACGGGGACAGCACGGGGACAGGATACGGGGACAGCACGGGGACAGCATGGGGTCAGCACAGCCACCCACCCCCTCCACATCTGCTCACCCACCTCTGGGTACAGAAGCCACAGGTTCCCACATTCACAGTTCCCCTTGACTGACATCAACCCATTTGGTCTTCCCCAAACCCTAAGATGTAGGCACTATGGTGGGCCCTGTTTTACACAGGAGGAAAACTGAGGCAAAGGAGAGGTGAGATCCTGCAGGATCCAAGAAGCAGACCCAGATTGGAACCCAGGCACGTTGGTCCCAAACTGCTTAACCATTTTTTTTTTCTTTGAGATGGAGTCTCGCTCTGTCCCCTAGGCTGGAGTGCAGTGGCACTATCCCAGCTCACTGCAACCTCTGCCTCCCAGGATCAAGCGATTCTCCTGCCTCAGCCTCTTGAGTAGCTGGGACCACAGGCGTGCACCACCACACCCGATTAAGTTTTGTATTTTTAGTAGAGACGGGGTTTCACCATGTTGGCCAGGCTGGTCTAGAACTCCTGAGCTCAATTGATCCGCCTGCCTGGCCTCCTAACGTGCTGTGTTTACAGGTGTGAGCCATCATGCCTGGCCTGCTTAACCATTCTTTTAAGCAGCCTTTTAAAAATATAGGTTGGGTGCAGCAGCATGCACTTGTAATCCCAGCACTTTGGGAGGCCGAGATGGGAGGATTGCTTGAGCCCAGGGAGGATTACTTTGAGACTAGCTTAGGCAATACAGCAAAAAACCCTGTCTCTAAAAAAGAAATACAGAAATTAGCCAGGGCTGGGCACAGTGGCGTGTGCCTATAGTCCCAGCTGCTTGAGAAGCTGAGGCAGGAGGATCAATTGAGCTCAGGAATTGAAGGCTATGGTTAGCTACGATCACACCACTGCCCTCTAGCCTGGGCAACAGAGCAAGACTCCATCTCAAAAAAAAATTAAAATTAAAAAAATGAATGAAAAATAATAAAAAAAGAGAAAATCCACACAAGATATGGTGGAAAAAAATAAAAAGAATATATCATAGTCCAGGCACAGCGGCTCACGCCTGTAATCCCAGCACTTTGGGAGGCCAAGGCAGGGGGATCACTTGAGCCCAGGAGTTGGAGACCAGCCTGGGTGACAGAACAAGACCCCATCTCTAAGAAAAAAAATTTTTTTTTTTGAGATGGAGTCTCGCTCTGTTGCCCAGGCTGGAGTGCAGTGGCGCAATCTCGGCTCACTGCAAGCTTCACCTCCCAGGTTCACGCCATTCTCCCACCTCAGCCTCCTGAGTAGCTGGGACTACAGGCACCCGCCACCACGCCCGGCCAATTTTTTGTATTTTTAGTAGAGACGGGGTTTCACCATTCACAGGATGGTCTCGATCTCCTGACCTTGTGATCTGCCCTCCTCGGCCTCCCAAAGTGCTGGGATTACAGGCGTAAGCCACCGCGCCCGGCCTAAAAAAAAATTTTTAAATCAGCCAGATGTGGTGGTGTGCACCTCTAGTTCCATTTGTCTAGGAGGATGAGGCAGGAGAATCACTTGAACCCAGGAGGCGGAGGCTGCAGTGAGCCAAGATCATATCACTGCACTCTAGCCTGGGCGACAGAGTGAGACTCCACTTCAAAAAAAAAAAAAAAAAAAAAAAAAAAACAACAATGGTTGGGCGTGGTGGACTCACGCTTGTAATCCCAGCACTTTGGGAAGTCAAGGCAGGTGGCTCACCTGAGGTCAGGAGTTTGGCCAACATGCAAAACCCCATCTCTACTAAATACACAAAAATTAGCCGGGTGTAGTGGTGGGTGCCTGTAATCCCAGCTACTTGGGAGGCTGAGGCCGGAGAATCGCTTGAACACGGGAGGCAGAGGCTGTAGTGAGCTGAGATCGCAACACTGCACTCCAGCCTGGGCAACAAAGTGAGAGATTCTGTCTCAAAAAAAAAGAAAAAAAAATTCAGGAGTGCCTGGCACACAAGAAGTGCCTGATCAATGCCTCACTGCCTTTTTTTTTTTTTGAGATAGAGTCTCGCTCTGTCACCCAGGCTCAAGTGCAGTGGTGCGATCTCTGCTCACTGCAAGCTCCACCCCCCGGGTTCACGCCATTCTCCTGCCTCAGCCTCCTGAGTAGCTGGGACTACAGGCGCCCGCCACCACGCCCGGCTAATTTTTTGTATTTTTAGTAGAGACGGGGTTTCACCGTGTGAGCCAGGATGGTCTCGATCTCCTGACCTCGTGATCGGCCCGCCTCGGCCCCCCAAAGTGCTGGGATTACAGGCCTGAGCCACCGTGCCCGGCCGCCTCCCTGCTTTTCTGCTGAGGTGGGGGTAAGCCCATACATTCTTCCAGTACTGTAAGGCCAGAGTTGGACATTCACATGGTCTCCAGGGCCAGGCAGGTACCAAAAACCATCAAAGTAGATATGACATAAACCACTGGGGACTAGTGGAGCTGAGCAAACCATCTGAAGGAGCAGACAATATTCTGGCTGTGTCTAGTTTTTCTTTTTTTTTTTTTGAAACGGAGTCTCGCACTGTGGCCTGGGCTGGAGTGCAATAGCGCGATCTCAGCTCATTGCAACCTCCACCTCCCAGGTTCAAGTGATTCTCCTGCCTCAGCCTCCCGAGTATCTGGGAATACAGGCACACGCCACCACGCCTGGCTAATTTTTTGTATTTTTAGTAGAGACGGGATTTCACTATGTTGGCCAGGCTGGGCTCGAACTCCTGACCTCATGATCTGCCCACCTTGGCCTCCCAAAGTGCTGAGATTACAGGCGTGAGCCACTGTGCCTGGCAGTGTGTCTGGTTTTTCAAAACAAGCCAAGAATCGGGACATGTAATGCAAAATCTGGTTGTTAAATGCATGCAAAGAATGAAAATATTTAAAACACGCTGCACAGGCATTTGGGGGCCACCAGTTTGGGACCTCAAGTCTAAAAGCCCTATATGCCCTTAGGGTCTGGGTGTTCTGACTCCTGGCGGGATGCAGGTTGAGGGGCCGTGGAAGTGACCGGGAGGGAGGACAGGCCTGGTTTTGAGTTGTATGTTTCCTGCTGATCTGCTGTGTGACCTTGGGTGAGTCTCAGACCTCTCTGATCTGTACCACAGGGGATGGGGACGGGGCAGGACTCAGGGGTTAGGGTTGAGGGTGTCGTCCTCACCGAGCTCTTCCTCCGTCATGGGCAGGAAGTGATCCACCAGCTCCTCTGATTTTTCCAGTACAACATCCACAGCATGGCTCACGGAGCGCTTCAGCTCCACGCTCCAGCGCCGGCCCCTCCGGGCCAGGTCCACCACACCCGTGACACTGCTGGCCACCACGTCCTTGGCTGAGGTCACCACCTGGAAGGAAGGGCCCCCCCACTCCAGGCACCGTGGGACTCCAGCTCCATTTCTGCCACCCTAGTTCCCTGGGGCTGGGACTCAAAGATCCCTGGACTTCTACCTGGCTCCGTGCCTCAGTTTCCCCTATAAAATGGGTGATAAAACCCTTCCCTCACAGAGGGTGTTGAGGGAGTTAACTGCCCTTACTAGCAATACATATGTATACACACATACATATACATATATACACATATACACACATATACATATATACATGTATATATACACATATACATATATACTTATACGTATATATACATATATACTTATACGTATATATACATATATACACTATACGTATATACATATATGTATACACACACACACACACACACACACACACACACACACACACGTTGCAGTTATTTTAACCTGGCTGTTTTTTCTTGAGTTAACTAAAAGCCTGGTTGTCACCATCCCTCCCTCCCTCCCGCCTCTAATCTGGCCTGCCCCCACTGGAGGTCCCCATGTCTAGTCGTCCGGGGTACCGTCTCCGAAGGTTGCTGGAGAAAGGGAAGCTTCTCTTCCAGCTTGTCCAGGCCCCTGCAGGCGAGGCTGTTCATAGTGGCCACTGAAGGGAGAGAGGCGGGGAGTGAGACTCGGGGAGACGCAGAGGGAGATAGGGACGCAGTGAGAGTTGTAGAAGGAGGGAATGCTAGAGAGAGAAGCAGAGACAGAGAAGGAAGGAGACCAGGATAAGACAGGGAGAAACAAAACGGAATGATGGAGACGAGACCCACACCAGGAGATGGACAGGCTTTCTGAGACCTTACACCAAGAAGCCGCTTACACCAAAGACGCTGGGGCAGACACCTGTGGCGCCTGGAGAGAGAGTCTACGAGGGAGATGGGGAGAAGGCCTAGACCACAGGGGGACCTGGCTGCCTCCCTAGGTGAGACTGGGGGCCCTGAGGGTGTGGGTAGGCCGCTGGGTTGGGCACTGCCTCCTCTGCCATCCTGCCTGGGCCCTGCCACCCACCCTGTTCTCCCAGCACCAAGGCGACTTTTCAGCCGTGCCCAGCTCAGATGGCCCAGCGGACAGACTCAAGGTCACAGAAGCTGGCTGAGAGGGAGGTGAGGAGGTGCTGGGCTAGGACCCTCAGGTGACCCTCTTCCTGGGTCAGACTAGAGGCCAAGGATCCTGTAGTCCCCCGCCTGTCATCGGCTCAGGGGTCCACAGAGATGTGAGAACTACAGAGCGGAGGCTGCGGGGCTTAGGACAGGCAGAGGCAGGTGCAGAGGGGAGGGGGCCTGGAGAGACAAATGGACCCAAGGCACATCAGGCCAACAAAGGAGGGGACACAGGGAGACAGATGGATAGGGACAGAGAGGAGGGGCCCCACCAGTAAACAGGTAAGGGCAGAGGGCCAGGGGATCAGATTTATTTATTTATTTTGAGACAGAGTCTAGCTCTGTCACCCAGGCTGGAGTGCAGTGGTGCGATCTCGGCTTGCTGCATCCCCTGCCTCCCAGGTTCAAGCGATTCTCCTGCCTCAGCCTCCCATGCAGCTGGGATTACAGGCGCCCTCCACCACGCCTGGATAATTTTTTGTATTTTTAGTAGAGTTGGGGTTTCACCATGTTGGCCAGGCTGTTCTCGAACTCCTGACCTCAAGTGAGTGATCTGCCTGCCTCGGACTCCTAAAATACTGGGATTACAGGCATGAGCCACCGCACCTATCAGGGGATCAGTTTTTTTTGTTTGTTTTTGCTTTTTTTTTTTTGAAATGGAGTCTCACTCTGTTGCCCAGGCTGGAGCGCAATGGTGCGGTCTTGGCTGACTGCAACTTCTGCCTCCCGGGTTCAAGCAATTCTCCTGCATGAGCCTCCTGAGTAGCTAGGATTACAGTTATGTGCCACCACACCGGGCCAAGTTTTGTATTTTTAGTAGAGACAGGGTTTCACTATGTTGTCCAGGCTGGTCTTAAACTTCTGACCTTGTGATCCAACCGCCTCAGCCTCACGAAGTGCTGGGATTACAGGCATGAGCCACCACACCCAGCCAGATTTAAAAAAAAAATTTTTTTTTTGAGATACAGGGTCTCGCTACGTTGCTCTGGCTGGTCTTGAACTCCTGGCCTCAAGTGATCCTCCTTCCTCGGCCTCCCAAAGTGCTGGGATCATAGGCATGAGCCACCATGCCTGGCTGGTGATCAGATTAAAGAAGGACTTAAGTGAAGAGATTGAGGACAGGTGGCATGGCAGTGGGACAGGTGGCTAGGCTGAAGATGACCCCCAGGAGTGTCATGCAGATAGACCAAGGAGGATGGGACAGGGGGCGGTGGGGGGGTGGCAAGCCACAGCTCCCAGGGACACGGGCCAGGGCACTCACGCTGGGGCTGCAGGTGCTCGAGCAGCGGCTGGGCGTGGTCCAGGGCACGGGTGGTCAGGCCGCACACGCAGTTCTCAGCCAGGCGGCAGGCGGAGCCCAGCAGCGGGTGCCTGTCCTTGGCTGCACTGTAAACATCGCAGACCGCGGTGCACGTGGCCCTGACCAGGGGCAGAGCCACCACACGCTGCACCACGTTCTGCGGGAAGGGTCGGCATCAGGGGGACCCTGGGGGAAGTGGGGCCCTAGCCACACCTCAACCTACTTCCCCTCTCTGGGCCAGGACGAGGGATGGGAGAGTGGAAGGATGGAGTACTGAGCACCCCGCCACGTAGAGGCAGTGAAGATAAACGTGGATGTGAGAATGTCATGGTTCCTGCACTCACAGGCTCCTCTTCCCATGGCGTACACAGAGCATTACAATTTTGTTTGTAATGGGGTTTCACTCTTATCACCCAGGCTGGAGTGCAGTGGCACCATCTCGGCTCACGGCAACCTCCTCCTGGATTCAAACGATTCTCCTGCCTCAGCCTCCCAAGTAGCTGGGATTACAGGTGCCCGCCACCACACCTGGCAATTATATTATAAGAGGGAGTCTCGCTCTATCGCCCAGGCTGGAGTGCAGTGGCACGATCTCGGCTCAGCGCAACCTCCGCCTCCCGGGTTCAAGTGATTCTCCTGCCTCAGCCTCCCGAGGAGCTGGAATTACAGGCATGCGCCACCATACCCGTTTTTTTTGTTTGTTTTGTTTGTGTATTTTTAGTAGAGATGGGGTTTCTCCACATTGGTCAGGCTGGTCTCAAACTACCGACCTCAGGTGATCCACCTGCCTTGGCCTCCCAAAGTGCAGGGATTACAGGCGTGAGCCACCGCGCCCAGCCAATTTTGTTTTTATTTTTATTTTTAGTAGAAACAGGGTTTCACTATGTTGACCAGGCTGGTGTCGAACTCCCGACCTCAGGTGATCCACCCACCTCAGGTGATCCACCCACCTCAGCCTCCCAAAGTGCTAGGATTACAGGCCTGAGCCATTGCACCTGGTCACAATTTTTTTGTTTTCAATAGAGACAAGGTCTTGCTCTGTTGGCCAGGCTAGAGGGCAGTGATTCAAGCACGGCTCACTGCAGCCTAAGCCTCCTAGCCTCAAGCAATCCTCCAACCTCAGTTTCCAAGTACCTGGGATTACAGGTGCACACCACTGTGCCCAGCTAATTTTATTTTATTTTATAGAGATTGGGTCTTGCTGTGTTGCCCATGCTGGTCTTGAACTCCTGGCTCAAGCGATCCTCCCGCTTCAGTCTCCTAATATGCTGGGATTATAGGCATGAGCCACTGCACCTGGCCAAATACTATATTTTTTTTATCTGCATTTGGTTGAAAAAGGTCTGCATACTTCTGTCTCCTGGGTTCAAGAGATTCTCCTGCCTCAGCCTCCCAATTAGCTGGGATTCCAGGCAGGCACCACCCCACCTGGCTTTTTTTTTTTTTTGAGATGGAGTCTCGTTCTTGTTACCTAGGCTGGAGTGCAGTGGCGTGATCTCGGCTCACTGCAACCCCCGCCTTCAGGGTTCAAGCGGTTCTCCTGCCTCAGGCTCCCGAGTAGCTGGGAATACAGGCACCCGCCACCACACCCGGCTAATTCTTGTATTTTTAGTAGAGACAGGGTTTCACCAAGTTAGCCAGGCTGGTCTCGAACTCCTGACCTCAGTTGATCTGCCCGCTTGGCCTCCCAAAGTGCTGGGATTACAGGCGTCTGAGCCACCGCACCCAGCCTGACCTGTGCAGTTCAAACCCATGTTGTTGAAGGGTCCACTGCGATCTGTCTGCTCGAGGGAGGAGATGTTAGAGTCTGGGGGTTCAGAGCACTGCCCCTGGAGCACAGTGGCCTCTGTTCACTTCTGGTTCAGCTGCCTGCAAGTTGTGTGAACTTGGGCAAGCCACTGAACTGTTCGGTGCCTTTGTTTCCCCATCTATGAAATGGGTTACTAGGGTTGTGATGGGTGTTCAAGGAGCCAATATACATGAAACGGTTGGAACTGTGACTGATACAGTGATTGCTGCTCTTACTATTGTTGTTACTGAGGGCGCCATGATGGTGGACGTGGAGACAGAAGGATACAGGTGGAGACCCAGGGATCAAAGGAGAGGGAAAGGGTTGGGTAGGGGCCACAGAAGCCAGCTGGGTGTCTTTGAGAGACACTCCCCTCCCAGGGCCTCATTAAGCCCCCACTAGGAAATAGACCATCCCCTCCATGGACCAAAATATTTTATGACTCAGGTTTTCCCAGCAAGGAGAGGAGTGGGGCGGGATACCTGGCCTGAAACGCTCCTAGAAGGGACTGTCCCACACAATACCTTCTGTCCCTGCTCCATGGGAGGGGCAGCCCTCACCTGCTGGTCCTGCTCCCACACACTGGATCTGGGGATCTGAGCCGCCTCTTCTTCAGACATCGTGCTGCAAACAGGGTCACCCTGCGGGGCAGGATTGAGTAAGGGGAGCACCTGCCCAGGCATCAGATCCTGTCAAATTGGGCTCTGTGACTTGAGCAACTCTCAAACCTCTTGGGGCCTCAGTTTCTTCATCTGCATAATGGGGCATTCTGTGGAGCTCAGACAATGCATGTCCAGAGCTCTGTACACAGAGGGTGTCCAATAATGAGCCTCTGGCAAGGTAGGGTTGCCGGAGTGACTCGAAGCATGGTCTCTGAGGTGAGAAAGACCTGGGTTCAAATGCTACCATTAATTGCGGTGTTATTTTTATTATTTTTTTAAAGACAGAATCTCTCTCGCCCAGGCTGGAGAGCAGTGGCGCCATCCCAGCTCACTGCAATTTCCGCCTCCCAGGTTCAAGTGATTCTCCTGCTTCAGCCTCCCAGTTAGCTGGGATTACCCACGTGCCACCATGCTCGGCTAATTTTTGTATTTTTAGTAGAAACCGGGTTTCGCCATGTTGCCCAGGCTGGTCTCAAACTCCTGGGCTCAAGTGATCTGCCCACCTCGGCCTCCCAAAGTGCTGGGATTACAGGCATGAGACACTGCACCTGGCCAGCTGTGTGATTTTTGGCAAGCACCTTCACCTCTCTGGGCTGCTTCCTGTTTTGTAAGATGTGGGAGGTCCCTGCTACCCCTGCGGCCCCTGCCTGGGCCCAGAACTGCCCAAGCACCCTAGACGGCTGGAGGTGGTAGCTGCTGGGTCCCAGTCCACTCACAGCTCATTTGACAGACAGGGCAACTGAGGTACGCAGCAGGTCCATGCTGGTCCCAAGGTCACGCAGCCAGCTAGAGTTACAGGGGGGGAGCTCGACCTCGGGCCTCAGACCTGCCGCCTGCGATCCCTCCGGTTGCCACCCCGCGTCCTCTGAGGCCTGGTCCTCGCCCAACTGGGTCCTGAGCTGGGGCCAACCGGGCCAAGGGTCCCAGCCACCTGCTCTGGCCGGTCATACCCGTCCCACGCCGCCGGACCTTCGCCCAACCACCCTATCTGGAGCTCCTCTCCTAAGCCCGGGGGGGCGCTCCCGGACGCCGCCCTCAGGGCACTCACCTGGGCGCGAGCGGCTTCAGACACCAGCTGTCTCCGCCGACCCCAGGCTCGAGTCTCCACACCCCCGCCGGTCCCGCCCGCCCTTCTTATAGCTGCTCGCGCAGTGGGGGCCTCCGGAACTGACCAATGGGGAGAGGCCGTGCGGGGGCGTGCCCAGGGGGCGTGGCTCCAGGCTTCCCTCGCCCTCTCCTTGAGCTGGCCCAGTGCCCTACGGTTGCCATAGTAATTCGGGAGCGCTAGATTCAAAAGATTGAGCTATTATACGTTCCCGGACCAAGTTTGGCCACCTGTCATCCTCACTGCTGTTGCCATAGAGACAGTCCATGCGATCACAGCCCCCATAGCCCTGCTGAGTGACCTTGGCCAACTCGCTGATGACTTTTCTTATTAATTATTATTATTTATCGATTTTTGAGACTGGGTCTTGCTCGGTTGCCCAGGGCTAGAGTGCAGTGGTGTGATCATAGCTCACTGCAGCCTTGCCCTCCCAGGCTGAGGTGATCCTCCCGCCTCAGTCTCCTAAGTAGCTGGGACCACAGGCACACACCACCACCCCCAGCTAACTTTTTAAACTTTTTGTAGAGACGAGATGTCCCTGTGTTGACCAGGCTTGTCTTCAACCCCTGAGCCCCAAGTGATCCTTCCACCTCAGCCTTCCAAATTGCTGGGATTACAGGTGTGAGCCATTGCACCCAGCCTCTTTTTATTTCTTAATCTGCCCCTTAACTAAGCCAGAAGCCAGGCCTTCCCTTTCCCTAGGATCCCCATTTCACAGATGAGCAAGCTGAGGCTCAGAGATCATAAAACACTTGCCCCGCATACCACAGCAAGTGAGGGATCCTATTCCTTTTTTTTCTTTTTTTTTTTTTGAGACAGAGTCTGACTCTGTCGCCCAGGCTGGAGTGCAGTGGCGCGATCTTGACACACTGCAACCTCCGCCCCCTGGGTTCAAGTGATTCTCCTGCCTCGGCCTCCGGAGTAGCTGGGATTACAGGCGCCTGCCACCACACCTAGCTAATTTTTGTATTTTTAGTAGAGACGGGGTGTCACCATATTCGTCAGGCTGGTCTTGGACTCCTGACCTCGTGATTTGCCTGCCTTGGCCTCCCAAAGTACTAGGATTACAGGCATGAGCCACCGTGCCCGGCCAGGGATCCTATTCAAACCCAGCCCTGCTGGACCTCAGAACCCTGCCTTTTCATTGCCTTGCCTGGAATGACCACAGATGTAGGCATGGTCTTTTTATTTTTATTTTTATTTTTGAGACACAGTTTCACTCTGTCGCCCAGCCTGGAGTGCAGTGGCGTGATCTTGGCTCACTGCAACCTCCGCCTCCCAGGTTCAAGTGATTCTCCTGCCTGACCCTCCCAAGTAGCTGGTATTACAGGCACGTGCCACTGTGCCTGGCTAATTTTTGTATTTTTAGTAGAGACAGGGTTTTGCCATGTTGGCCAGTCTGGTCTCGAACTCCTGACCTCCGGTGATCTGCCTGCCTCAGCCTCCCAAAGTGTTTGGATTACAGGCATGAGCCACGGCGCCAGGCTGCATGGTCATTTTTTAGGGAGCTGGGAAAACTGGACATGCCCCCAAGCCCCAGGGTCTTCCAAATCCGATTGCAGCCCCCACATGGCCAATGCTGTATCAGCAGGTGGGCCCGGGACCCTGCTCATCCCTTCAGCCCCATCCTGCCCCTGCAACCTTGCCCGGGGGCAGGTGCCCCCTTCGATGATCTCAGGTCAGCATGACAAATCGTTTGGAGACCTGGGCAATCTGGTTTAACTTAAACCTTCTCCTAGGACACAAGCCCTGGCAGAAATCCACTGGTAAAATGACACCCGGGCAACAGTCAAGGTTTTATTTCCAGTTAGGTCCCAGGATGGGGGAAGGGAGAGGAGAAGTCACAGGCCATTGATCCCAACTGTCATCCCCTAGGGAGACCATATCCCACACCCCAGGGCCTGGGCCATGCCTCTTTTCCTCCTTCACCCTGGAGTCCTGGGAAGTTGATTTGAGAAGATGCTAGGAACACAATGAAAGCCAATTCATCCGATCCAGTTTTCAAGGGTTATTTATTAAACCCCTTGGTTCTGACCCCAAGCTAAGTGGGACTCAGCATCAGACCCTGCACTCAGAGAGCCCCCTGACTTGGGGAAGACAGAGTCAGAGAAAGGCAGCCCCAGTGTGGCCAGGGCTCAGCTGGAAGGAAGGACAAGGGGCTGGGAGAACCCAGAGTTCAAGAGATCTGGGAAACAGGGAACGGCATTCCAGACGGAGGGCACACCTTGGGCATGGGTAAGGAAAGCCCATCGTGTGTTCTAGGAAGCATGGATGGATGAAACGGGGTCCCAGCCGCTATGGACAGCCCCGAGTTTCACCTGTAAAAGGCAGGATTATTTGTTTTTAATTTTAATTTTAATTTTTTTGAGACAGTCTTGCTCTGTCGCCCAGGCTAGAGTGCAGTGGCACGATCTTGGCTCACCGCAAGCTCCGCCTCCCAAGTTCACGCCATTCTCCTGCCTCAGCCTCCCGAGTTGCTGGGACTACAGGTGCCCACCACCACGCCTGGCTAATTTTTTATATTTTTAGTAGAGACAGGGTTTCACCATGTTAGCCAAGATGGTCTCGATCTCCTGACCTCGTGATCCGCCCACCTGGGCCTCCCAAAGTGCTGGGATTACAGGCGTGAGCCCCCGCACCCGGCCAAAGGCAGGATTATTTGTTAAGCGGGTTGCAGTGTTCTACCAGACCCCCCACCCTCAACCCAAGCCCCTGGTCTCACTGGGACTTGGCCACTGCCAGGAGCGTCTGGCCCTTCACGGCTTCAGGCCCAGCACAGCGCGTGTCATTCTGGGAAAACATCTTGTCTTTTTGGGCCTGAAGCCAACGATAGAGGTCGCTCAGGTTCTGGTCACAGATCCAGGGGTTGCCGGAGATGTCGAAGCCATCCCGCATGTCCCAGTTTGGCTGCCCTAGGGATGCCCAGAGCCCCTCGGGCACGCTGGCCAGTGAGTTATTGGAGAGGTCCAGCATGTCCAGCTGCCGCAGGCCCTGGAAGGCACCGGCTGCCACCCTGGCCAGCTTGTTGCCGTTCAGGAAGAGGTAGCGCAGGTCCGGCTGCGGCAAGAGGAGATCTTTTCCCAGTACTTGCAATTTGTTGCCTTCTAGATGTAGCCGTTCTAATTGCAGCGGACCCCTCAGGAGGTCAGGTGGCAAGGTCTCCAACTGGTTCTCCCCAAGGTCAAGGGTGCGCAGGAGGGTGAAGTTGGCCAGCAGCCCGGGGGGCAGTTTCCGGAGGCGGTTCCCAGACAGGTCCAGATGCCCCAGAGCTTTCAGGCCGTGTAGCCACGAGACCTCCAGGACCTCCAGCTGGTTTTCTTTCAATACCAGGGTGTCCAGGGTGGCTGAGGCCTGGAAGAGGCCCGGGGGCAGCCCGGTCAGGGCGTTTCGGGTTAGATCCAGCACCCTCAGCTGCGGCACTGGCCGCAGGAATTCGGGCGAGAGGCTTTCCAGCCCATTGCTGGAGAGGTGCAATTCTTGGAGCTTAGAGGCGCCCTGGAGGAGGTTGGCTGGCAGGTGGGTCAGGTTGAAGAATTCCACGGCCAGGTGCACGGTGTCGGCTGGCAGGTAGCCGGGGATTTCGGCAGGTGGTTGACAGGAGATGGAGCTGCCATGGTCTGAGCGGAACACCTGGCAGTCTTTGGGGCTCAGGGTGACCCCCCAGGCTGAGGCTGCCAACAGCAGCAGCAGGAACAGAGTTCTAGAAACATGGGGTTGAATGCCCCCTGGGCTGCAGGCAGTAACAGAAGATGCTTACTAAACCACAGTGAAAATACACTCAGCTAGGTGAAAATACACCAGCAAATCCGCCCACTTCTTCCCATCTCTGCGGCTACCAGCCTGGACTATGCTACCTCATCTCTCACCTGTACTAGGGCAGTTGCTTCCTCCTCCTCTTCCAGCTTCTACCCTCACCCCCGACAGCTGCCAGAAGTGGCCCCTGTTCCAGGGAGAATTATAATTCTAGGAAAGTTGAGTTTCTGAGTGTAACTCCCGCATAATATGAATACACTTCCCCATCACCAGCCTAGCCCCCATGAGCTGTTAATTATTCACAGTCCAACTTGCTAGTTTCTTCTGATCTGGCTTATTTTCTGGGTCAGTCCTTGTCTCCCTGGCTCTGTGTTTTGATGTGAACTCCTATTCATCCTTCAAAGCCCCAGCTCCAATGCCCTCTTTTCCATGAAGACTTCTCTGCTCTGGGATCCTGGTCTTTTTGTCCACTCTTGACCAATTGGGTGCTTGGAGGAAGACAGACGTTCAGGTTCATGTTTTTGAGACAGAGTCTTGCTCAGTTGCCCAGGCTGGAGGGAACTGGCATGATCACAGCTCACTGCAGCCTCTGAACATGAAAAGTGTGTCCTGCTTTGGCCAGGTCTGAGGGTGGGCATTTGGCCTTGGGAAGCGGTGGTTTACACTTAGCACCACAACCCTTGGAAGCCTGGGGCTTCCCCTCCTCCTCCAGGGCTTCCCTGGCCCGGCAGCCATCAGACATGATCTCGACAGCCTTGGTCACTGTGGCCCCAGGCCTCTAACAAGAAGCCTCCCCCGGCTCCCTGCTGCCCATGCCCACCTGGGCTTCTGTAGGGGTGTGTGTGTGTGTGCACGCGCCAGTCTTTCTGTCACAGATAAGGTTGATCTGTGCCAGCCACCAGGCCTGTATCTGCTCCCTGTGACTTCTATGGGTTAGCTGGAATGTCCTGTATCTCCGCATGGTCTGGCGTTCAAACCTGCCTAGGACAGGTAGTGTGGGGACCTACCTTTTTGGTCGCTGTCTGCTCCAAGAGGACATGGTAGCTCTGCTCTTTTGCTTCTGGGTTGTCCTGGCCTGCGGAGGTGGCCTTATACCTGCCTGGACTGGGGGCAGGGGAACCAACCCTGGGGAAGTCCCCACCCCCGTCCAGTTCCTGATAGGGGCTGAGCCTAAGCCAGGCAGGGGAAGGGGAGGGGTCAGGATTACAAAATTGCTTCCTGGAAATTGTTTCCTGTTCAACCCCTTTTTGACCCTGCTTCTAGAACACAGGTTTTTCTTTCCTTGCTTCCTGATTTTTGGGGGGCATCCAAGAGTCTCTCTAGTTGCATCCTCACTTCCCCCAACCCGGAGTTCAAGGGTCAAGGTTTGCAAGGCACTATTCCTGGAGACAGGGACAGCTCTCTGAGCAAGAGGAGGGATTTACCATAAACTTGAGCAACCCAGAAGCTCACTGAAAAGAACAAAAAAACTCGTCTTGATTTCATGGTATGTTGATATTGCTTTTTTTAAAAGAAGTCATTTTAAAAATACAGTCCAATAGTGAGTAATGCCAAACGTCTCTACGGTCCTTAGACAGTGGCTTGGGAGGAACCAAACCTGGTTCTGAATTCCAGCTCTGTCATGAACACCTTTGCTTTGTGACCTTTGGCAAGTGACTTAACTTTTCTTGGCCTCAGTTTCCCCATCTATGAAGCTGAACTCAAATCTCCAAGGGCTCCTTCTGCCCTTTTTTCTCTTCATCTGAATCTGACATCCATGCTATTGTTTCCATTCTTCCTCATTTCCTATTAAATGCGTTTGGAGGCTACAAATTTCCCTTTGAGAACAGCTTTGGCTGCATCTCATGGACTTGGCTGCAGAGTGCTTGCATTCTTGTTGAGTTCTAAATATTTAGGTATGATGGTGTCACCTTTATCTGCAGCTATGACTATTTTTTTTTTCTTTTTTTTTTTGAGACAGAGTCTTGCACTGTTGCCTAGGCTGGAGTGCAGTGGCGTGATCTCCACTCACTGCAAGCTCCGCCTCCCGGGTTCACGCCATTCTCCCACCTCAGCCTCCCGAGTAGCTGGGACTACAGGCATGCACCAGCGTGCCTGGTTAATTTTTATATTTTTAATAGAGACAGGATTTTGCCATGTGGCCCAGGCTGGTCTTGAACTCCTGAGCTCATGTGATCCACTGGCCTCGGCCTCCTAAACTGCTAAAATTACAGGTGTGAGCCACCATGCCCCGTCATTTTTTTTTTTTTTTGAGACAGCATTTTGCTCTGTTACCCAGCTTGGAGCAGTGTGGTGCAATCATAGCTAACTGTAGCTTTGACCATGGGTCCAAGGCCTCCCAAGTAGCTGGGACTACGGGCACGTGCCACCATGCCTGGCTAATTTTTTTTGAGATGGAGTCTCCCTCTGCCACCCATGCTGGAGTGCAGTGATGCAATTTCGGCTCACTGCAAGCTCCACCTCCTGGGTTCAAACGATTCTCCTGCCTCAGCCTCCCGAGTAGCTGGGAATACAGGCACATGCTACCATGCCTGGCTAATTTAAAAAATTCTTTTGTATGTTACCTAGGCTGGTCTCAAACTCCTGGGCTCAAGGAATCTTCTCAGTCTCTCAAAGTGCTGGGGTTATAGACGTGAGCCACTGCACTCCGTCAGTCTTGTGCCCTGCCCAGTCTCCGGAGCCCAGCCGTTAGTTGGTCTTAATCAACATGGACTGAGAGGAAGGAAGGCTTGTGAAATGTAGTGACACAGTAACAAAACGATCCATTAAAATGAAATGAGATCACATCCCTGCTTAAAACTCTCTGATGGCTTCTTGTCCCACTTAAAACAAAATTCATAAGGCTGGCCAGGCGCAGTGGCTCACGCCTGTAATCCCAGCATTTTGGGAGGCCGAGGCAAGCGGATCACCTGAGTTCAGGAGTTCGAGACCAGCCTGACCAATATGATGAAACCCCGTCTGTACTAAAAATACAAAAATTAGCGGGGCGTGGTGGCGGGTGCCTGTAGTCCCAGCTACTGGAGAGGCTGAGACAGGAGAATTGCTTGCACCCAGGAGGCATAGGTTGCAGTGAGCCGAGATCGCGCCACTATACTCCAGCCTGGGTGACAAAGTGAGACTCTGTCTCAAAAAAAGAAAAAGAAAAAGAAAAAGAAACTGGCTCCTATGCAGATGAAGATGGGGACCCCGAAGTCTCCATGTTTCCACACTCAGCTCCCCAGATTTGTTTTGACCCAGCCTTTTTTTTTTTTTTTTTTTTGAGACAGCGTCTCGCTCTGTCACCCAGGCTGTAGTGCAGTGGTGTGATCTCAGCTCACTGCAACCTCTGACTCTCAGATTCAAGCTATTCTTCTGCCTCAGTCGGCCGAGTAGCTGGAATTACAGGAACCCGCCACCAAGCCTGGCTGATTTTTTGTATTTTTAGTAGAGACGGGGTTTTGCCATGTTGGCCAGGCTAGTCTCGAACTCTTGACCTCAAGTGATCTGCACACCTCGGCCTCCCAAAGTGCCGGGATTACAGGCGTGAGCCACCGCGCCCGGCCTGGCCTTGACTTTTGAGGGTGCCCCCACCCGTGCCACCCCCAGGAGGCAGAGCAGAGCCAGAGTCATGGGGGCCGGTGGTTGTAAACAGAGTTTTATTGATGGGGAGGGGGCTGGGGGAGGCAAACTCCAGAGAGGGCAGAGGACCCAGCCAGCCACGTGGCATGCATGGTCAGCTGGAGGTCAGAGGGGGGAGGTCACAAGGGGACGGGTGGCATGGGACTCTCTCACCACCCTGGGGCCGTATTTACAGAGGGGCCCCACCCACCTTCGCCGCCCCCCAGGCCCCCAAGCCCTTTAGACAGCTGCTGCCGATGTGACTTCCGGGCAGGCCCTCCTCGTGTCTCCTGCCTGAAACCCCGGCATTGTCCCCGCTTCCCTCTGCAGAGTGGGGGGGGTTCAAACTCCTAACCGGCACCTCGGAGACCCCCGGGCCTTCTGGAAGCCCCAGCGTCGGCTCAGCCAACGCCCAGGCCGCTGGGGCCACCACGATCGTCGCTCGTGGACACACACCCTGCACGCGTGGCCCACTTGACACACACGCCCACAGCAGCCTTCGCTGGCACGCACACACACGCCCACCTCCCCGGCCCCTTGCACACGAACACGGCACGCACACGCACGCACACCCACACACGCCAGGGGCCTGGGTTGGGGAGGGACCTTTCCAGGGGTGGGGGAGGGCTTAGGTCTGCAGCTGTGGCCCCCCATTCCCCACCGGCGTCCAAGCCTCCCCTGCCTGCCGCCACCCCGAGAACGGAGTTGTGCAATTGGTTAGAAAACCGCAAAAGAAACCAAAACTGCAAAAAAAACCAAAACCTACGCGCATAAGGTCAACCTCAAATCCATAGCAAAGTCCTCCCGCCCACCCACCCCCAAACCGTCTCAGCGTCCTGCGGCCCCGGGTAGGGGGAGGGCGAGCTGGTTGTGCTTCCTTGTGGCGGAGGGGGCCCCCCACTCCGCGGGTGGGTCGCGGGGGGGACTTGAGCACCCACTCGGAGTTGCCCCGGGCCCCGGCGTTCTGGCACCGTCTCTCGCTCCTGGTTCCCGTGGCTGGCACTGCCAAGGCATCGGGGGGCCCCCGGCCTAGGGCACGGGGGGCGCAGTCCTGTCCGCCCCCCCATAGGGGAGGAGGTGGGCCAAGTCTGTGCCCGGCCGGGCGTGGCAGCCGCGGTGGCGGTCCCCAGGCCGGGCCTCGCCGCTGTTGAACGTGTGGGTGCGGCGCAGGGTGGCGGCCGGAGGGGCGTGGGGGCCCAGTGGCCTCCTCAGGCTGCCCGTCGGGGGCGGGCTCCAGGGCCGCGGGAGGCCATCGGCGGCTGAGGCTGGGTCCAAGGGGCCCGTGGGCGCGGACACCACCCGCCGGCGGTCCGGGCTGGCGTGGGGGGTGAGCGGGAAGTCGCCGTGGGAGGCGCGGCCGGGCCGGGCAGCATAGAGGCGGCCGTCGGGGGTCGGCTCCCCAGGCGCGGGGGGCTGCTCGGGGGCCCGGGCGGGCGCCAGCAGCAGGAGGGAGGATGAAGCGGAGGCCGGGAGCAGGGGGTGGCCGTGGTCCCAGGCGCGGGGGCCCAGGGCGTGGGGGTGCGGGTGCGGAGTGGGCAGGCGCTTCTGCGGCAGCGGCGTCTGCTCGGGCGTGGGCAGCAGCCCCGAGTCCAGGTCGTGGGGCCCGCCCTGCAGCAGCGTGGCCTTGGCCCAGCCGTTCTGCATCAGGGGCGCCAGCAGGGCCTCCGGGGGAACCCCGGCGCCACCGCCACCGCCTCCGCCCCGGCCCCCGGGACCCTGCGCCCTGCGCTCGCCCAGGCGGCTGACGCTCAGCACCGCCTCGCCCGCCCCGTGCGCCAGGATGGCCTCCTTGTCCTTGCGCCGGGCCAGCTCCCGCCGCTCACGGAGGCCCACGAACCAGCCCACGCTGAAGCCGGACACCACGGCTCCCACCACGAAGGCCGCCACCGACGACGTTACCAGCAGGTTCACCGACACCAGCCCCGCGCGGTCCTCGGAGAGGCTGGCCCGCAGGAGTCCTGGCCGGGGAGCACAGGGGGGTTAGTGGGGCCGGCGGGGTGGCCCTGGGCATCCCTCCTACCTCCTCGGGGCCCTCTGTCCTCTTTTTTATTATTTTTATTTTTTTTTATTTATTTATTTTTTGAGAAGGAGTCTTCCTTTGTGTGCCAGGCTGGAGTGCAGTGGGGCGATCTCGATTCACTGCAACCTCCGCCTCCCATGTTCAAGTGATTCTCCTGCCTCAGCCTCCCGAGTAGCTGGGACCACAGGTGCCCACCACCACGCCCGGCTAATTTTTGTATTTTTAGTAGGATGGGGTTTCACCACGTTGGCCAGGCTGGTCTGAACTCCTGACCTTGTGATCCGCCCACCTCTGCCTCCCAAAGTGCTGGGATTACAGGCATAAGCCACCACGACTGGCCTTATTTTTATTATTTTTTAATTTTTTTTGTTTGTTTGTTTTGAGACAGTCCCCCAGGCTAGAGTGCAGTGGTAAAGCTCACTGCAACCCTGCCTCCAGCTACCTGTTTGTTTTATTAAAGACAGGATCTGGGCCAGGCATGATGGCTCACACCCATAATCCTAGCATTTTGTGAGGCTGAGGCAGGAGATCACCTGAGGTCAGAAGTTTGAGACCAGCCTGGCCAACAAGTGAAACCCATCTCTACTAAAAATACAAATTTTAGCCGGACATGGTGGTGTGCGCCTGTAATCTCAGCTACTTGGGAGGCTGAGGCAGGAGAATCAATTGAACCCGGGAGGTGGAGGTTGCAGTGAGCTGAGATCACACTACTGCACTCCAGCCTGGGTGACAGAGCAAGACTCTGTCTCAAAAAAAAAAAAAAAAGACATGTTCTCACTCTGTTGCCCAAGCTGGAGTACAGTGGCCTGATCACAGCTCATTGCAGCCTCCACCTCCCTGGGCTCAAGCGATCCTCCCGCCTCAGCCTCCCAAGTAGCTGGAACTACAGGCATGCACTGCCACGTCTGGATTATTTTTGGGTTTTTGTTTTAGAGACAGGGTTTCACTATATTCCCCAGGCTGGTCTCAAACTCCTGACCTCAAGTGATCGTCCTGTCTTGGCCTCTCAAAATGCTGGGATTATAGGCAGGAGCTGCCGCGCCTGGCCCCTTCTGTCCTGTTGAAGTTGGTCTGTCTGCCTTCTGTTGTCTCTTCGTCCTTGCCAAAGCCTGCCTGTTTCTTGGTGTCTCTGTTCTTCCCCTATCTCCCTCCCCAATAAATGAGATGAGACCACCCCATGCCTTTCTTTTCTTTTTTTGAGACGGAGTCTTGCTCTGTCGTCCAGGCTGGAGTGCAGTGGCGTGATCTTGGCTCACTGCAGGCTCTGCCTCCCGGATTCACGCCATTCTCCTGCCTCAGCCTCCCGAGTAGCTGGGACTACAGGCGCCCGCCACCACGCCCGGCTAATTTTTTGTATTTTTAGTAGAGACGGGGTTTCACCGTGTTAGCCAGGATGGTCTAGATCTCCTGACCTCGTGATCCACCCACCTTGGCCTCCCAAAGTGCTGGGATTACAGGCGTGAGCCACCGCGCCCGGCCCACCCCATGCCTTTCTAAAGTTCTCTGATGGAGTCCAGTTTCCCCACCCACCTCCCAGAGGATTCGAGGGTCCTCCAGCCTCCTCCCTCCCCTCCCCCATGGTAGTGGGGGATGGGGGTCTTAGCCTGCCGTCCCCCCAACTCACCTGTGCAGTCCCCTAAGCCTGAGGTGCTGGCCCCGGACACGTCCTGCTCAAAGGCGGCTCTAATGGGGAGAGGAGGCACCGTCAGCAGAGGCCCCTCTCACAGTCAGAGATCAGGGGGATCTGGGATCATGGGCGGGTCTGACACACCCTCCACCCACCTCCCTCTCCCGCAGTACCTGGTGCCCGGGCTGAGGAAGATGCAGGAGCCGTCGGGGGCCCACCCGCAGTAGGGGTCCTGACTGCCGATACAGTTCCTAGAGCAGACCAGGGACCGAATGGGACAAGTGTCCAAGTCACTTACACAACCCCAATGGTGATGGTGACCTGTGGGCCCTGTTCCAAGCACCTGCCTCTTTATTTTTATTTTAATTAATTAATTTTTGAGACGGAATTTCGCTCTTGTTGTTTATTTATTTAGTTATTTTTGAGATGGAATTTCGCTCTTGTCGCCCAGGCTGGAGTGCAGTGGCGGGATTTTGGTTCACTGCAACCTCCGCCTCCCGGGTTCAAGCGATTCTCCTGCCTCAGCCCCCCGAGTAGCTGGGATTACAGGCACGCGCCACCATACTTAGCTAATTTTTGCATTTTTATCAGAGACAGGGTTTCACCAGGTTGGTCTTGAACTCCTGACCTCAAGTGATCCACCCGCCTCGGACTCCCAAAGTGGTGGGATTACAGGTGTGAGCCACCACGGCTGGCGTTTTCTTATTTTAAAATTAAAAAAATTTTTTTAAATTAAAATTTAATTTTTTTTTTCTTTAAGAGACAGGGTCATGCTCTGTCACCCAGGCTGGAGTACAGTGTCATGATCATAGTTCACTGCAGCCTCAACCTCCCAGGCTCAAGTGATCCTCCTGCCTCAGCTTTCTGGGTAGCTGGGACCACAGGTGTGTGCCACCACGCCCAGCTGATTTTTGCATTTTTTTTTTTTTTAGAGACAGGCTCTCACTATGCTGTGTTGCCCAGGCTGGTCTCGAACTCCTCGGCTCAAGGAGTCCTCCTGCCTTGGCCTCCCAAGTGCTGGGATGACAGACGTGAGCTACCAAGCCCAGTCCCTCTTCTTAATAGCAACTTCTGGAGTCCTTAGAACAAATCTGTGTGCAGGGCACTGTTCACTCCCCACTTTACAGATAAGCAAACTGACGCTCCAGAAAGTAAATGTTTGCCCAAGTGGCAGAGCTGAGATGGGAGCCCAGGCATCGTGCCAGAGGCTGTGCCCTTGGACTCGGAGCTACTGGGTCATTGTTGCAATAACGGCGGGCAGGAAGCAGGGTCCTCCGCATTGACGGCTCACATGGAGTGCAGGCGTGTGCCAGCACTGGCATGCATCCTAGCTTTCCTCCCATTTTAGAGACGGGGAAACAGCCTCCACCCTGGTCCCTGGTTCTCCTTCCCCTGCAGTCTCCTCCTGGCAGCAGCCACCAGAGGGCACCTGTAAGCACCTGAGTCAGGGCCAGTCCCTCCTCTGCCTGCAACCCTACATGGCTCCCATCTCCTTCAAGGTCAAAGCCCAAGTCCTCCCCGAGGCTCACAAAGCTCTGCACAAACTGCCTCGTCCTCTCCCATCCCCTCCCCGTCCTCCCCTCCTCCCTCACTCCCCCTTGCTCACTGTGCTCCAGCCACACCGGCCACCTTGCTGTTCTTCCAACACACCAGGAGTGGTCCTGCCCGCGGGCCTTTGCACGGGCCATGCCCTCTGCCCAGCTCAATGACCAGGACATCATTGGGCTTTTGACTGGAACCCAGCTGTCCCTCCCTGTGCCCATCCTCCCTTGCTTCCCGCCCACGGCTGGCCTGGGGTGGACACTCACTTCATACACCCCGAGTACTGCTGGCAGCGAGCCACAGGCACTCGGACCACGCAGCGGGGGAAGGCAGCCAGCAGGCCCCCCGAAGCTGCGTCCAGCTCCAAGCTCAGCAGCCGCTGCCCTGTCTCGCCACCGCCGGGCCGTCCACACCTGGGGACAAGCAGAGTGGTGAGGCTGAGCGCATCTCAGCCCATCTCCCCTCCTGCTGGCGACCCCTTCCCACCTTTGCCCAGACTTACCTGTCCGGCCGGTAGGTCTCAAACTCCTCCAGGAAGACACTGAGCCCAGACGTCCCTGAGGTGCTGGCATTGGGCCGGACGAGGAACTTGAGGACCGTCCCCGCCTCAGAACCCAGGAAGACAACGGTCTGGTTGCCCCAGGGGCCGGCTCCCACGTCCACAGCCACTCGAGTCAGCTGGTGCCTGGGGGACAGGGCAGGGGAGGGTCAGGCTGGCCCCATATCACCACATGCCACCAACACGGGCATGGCCATAGTTACACGGGTGCATACAGACACTGACACACCAACACATGTGACAGCAATAAATGCGTGTGTGCATGGATGCCGGGGACATGCGTGACTACACAGGCACGTGGGCACACTCGCCCTTTTTTGAAACATAACCCCAAACCAGGCTCTCCTCAGCCCTGTCTCTTTGGTTGAGATGGAGTCTCACTCTGTCACCCAGGCTGGAGTGCAGTGGCGCAATCTCAGCTCATTGCAACCTCCGCCTCCCGGGTTCAAGCAATTCTCTTGCCTCAGCCTCCTGAGTAGCAGGGACTACAGGCACACGCCATCACGCCTGGCAAGTTTATGTTTTGTTTTTTTTGAGACAGAGTCTCACTCTGTTGCCCAGGCTGCAGTGTAGTGGCTCGATCTCGCCTCCTGGGTTCAAGCGATTCTCCTGCCTCAGCCTCCCAAGTAGCTGGGACTACAGGCGCACACCACCACACCGAGCTGATTTTCTTTTTTTTGTATTTTTAGTAGAGACAGGGTTTCACCATTTGGCCAGGCTGGTTTCAAACTCCTGACCTCAAGTGATCCTCCCGTCTTAGCCTCTCAAAGTGCTGGGATTACAGGCATGAGCCACTGTGCCCAGCCCCGCTTTCTCCTGATATGTATGTGTGTCTGTGTATCTTTCAGTCTCTTTCTCTCTTTGTCTCTCTTCCCTATCTCTGTCTCTCTGGGTGTCTGTCTGTCTCTGATTGTCTCTCTCCCTGTCTCTCTGTCTCTTTCCCCCTTTGTTCTCCTGGTGTGTGTCTGTCTGTCTACCTCTTTTTTTTTTTTTTTTTTTTTGAGGTGTAGTCTCCCTCTGGCCCCAGGTTGGAGTGCAGTGGCGTGATCTCGGCTCACTGCAACCTCCGCCTCCCGGGTTCAAGTGATTCTCCTGCCTCAGCCTCCCGAGTAGCTGGGACTACAGGCGCCCACCACCACGCCTGGCTAATTTTTGTATTTTATTTTATTTTATTTTTGAGACGGAGTTTCGCTCTTTCGCCCAGGCGGGACTGCAGTGGCGTGATCTTGGCTCACTGCAAGCTCCGCCTCCCGGGTTCATGCCATTCTCCTGCCTCAGCCTCCTGAGTAGCTGGGACTACAGGCGCCTGCCACCACGCCCAGCTAATTTTTTGTATTTTTAGTAGAGACGGGGTTTCACTGTGTTAACCAAGATGGTCTCCATCTCCTGGCCTCGTGATCCGCCTGCCTCGGCCTCCCAAAGTGCTGGGATTACAGGCGTGAGCCACCATGCCCGGCCAATTTTTGTATTTTAAGTAGAGACGAGGTTTCTCCATGTTGGCCAGGGTGGTCTCGAATTCCTGGCCTTAGGTGATCTGGCAGCCTCGGCCTCCCAAAGTGCTGGGATTACAAGCATGAGCCACCGTGCCCAGCCCCATCTGTCACCTCTTGATCCCTCTGTCTCTCTCTTTGTTCTCTCTTTCCTAGTGTCTCTCCATCTTTCCCTCTCTGTCTCTCTGTGTCTCCAGCTCTCTGGGCAGCGCCGGAAGCCATGGGCTCATCTGTGTTGAGCATCTGGATCCTCTCACCCTCCATCTACCCCATCCTGTCTCCCCTCGCCATGCCCTGCCTCTCCAGGACCGACCTCATCAGGGTCCGCAGGATCCAGGGCGCATGGCCCAGCGAGGGCACCGCCTCGTCCATCAGAGGGTGGGTCTTGACAAAGTTGAGGATGTCATCCGGCAAGGCGCTGGAGGCATTGTACTGCATCCCGGGGGCTGCGCAGCACCCGGGCCTGGGGGTGACAAGGGTGTGGTCAGGACGAACGTAAAGGTTCTCATAAAGGGGCCTGATTCACCAGAGGTACCCATTGCTTTGCCCAACGACCCTCAGGTTTTTTGTTTGTTTTGTTTTTGAGACAGAGTCTCAATCTGTCGCCCAGGCTGGAGTGCTTTGGCTCACTGCAACCTCCACCTCCTGGGTTCAAGCGATTCTCCTGCTTCAGCCACCCGAGTGGCTGGGATTACAGGCACGTGCCATCACGCCCGGCTAATTTTTGTATTTTTAGTAGAGACAGGGTTTCGCCATGTTGGTCGGGCTGGTCTCAAACCCTCGACCTCAGGTGATCTGCCCACCTCCGCCTCCCAAAGGGCTAGGATTACAGGCGTGAGCCACCACACCAGGCCTCAGTTTTTCCCAACTGTATAACGGGTACAGCTGAACTCAGCATCAGCTAAATAACCACCCGGAAGCCCCAGCCCTCGGCCCTGGGGATCAGGACCTCATCCGGGCATGTGACTCAGGATGGAGGGGGTTCTCACCGGGGTCGAGGCACCTGATCCTCCGGCACCGGCGTCCAGATGGACTCGGGGGACTTCTGCTCTCGGAAGCGGCCTTCAAACACAGCTGCCACCTGTGTCAGGTCAAAGGCGCAGACAGCCGAGCCAGGGATGCTGAGGGGTTGGGATGAAAGAGTTTGGTGAGCCCGGTGGGAGGCCCCATCTCGGACAAGTGCGTGCAGGAGCCTCTGTCTGCAGGAGCCAGTGAATCTTCAGTCTTCCTAGGCCAGAGATGTCCCCTGTCCCTCCCGCATCTGTCGAATGCAGCCACTCCTCCTGAATAACATCTCAGATTGGGCCACAGTTCAGGGTCTACGAGGCCACCCCTGTCCAGGCCCCCATCCCTGTTTAACTGGATGTCCTGCCTGCCCAGTGTCACTGTTAGAGCCCACTCCCCAGCAGGCTTTTTTTTTTTTTTTTGGAGACCGAGTCTTGCTCTGTCGCCCAGGCTGGAGTGCAGTGACGTGATCTCAGGTCACTGTAACCTACACCTCCCAGGTTCAAGCAATTCTCCTGCCTCAGTCTCCCGAGTAGCTGGAATTACAGGTGCCCACCACCACACCCAGCTAATTTTTGTATTTTTAGTAGAGATGGGGTTTCACCATGTTGGCCAGGCTGGTTTCGAACTCCTGACCTCAAGTGATCTGCCCTCCTCAGCCTCCCAAAGTGCTGGGATTACAGGCGAAGCCACCGTGCCCAGTCCACAAGCAGGCTTTTTAAAAATGCAAACCTTGGCCGGGTGCGGTGGCTGACGCCTGTAATCCCAACACTTTGGGAGGCTGAGGCGGGTGGATCACGAGGTCAGGAGTTTGAGTCCAGCCTGACCAAAATGGAGAAACCCCGTCTCTACTAAAAATACAAAATAAGCTGGGTGTGGTGGCGCACGCCTGTAATCCCAGCTACTAGGGAGGCTGAGGCAGGAGAATTGCTTGAACCCAGGAGGCAGAGGTTGTGGTGAGCCGAGATCGCGCCACTGCACTCCAGCCTGGGCAACAAGAGTGAAACTGTCTCAAAAAAAAAACCAAACCAAACAAACAAACAAACAAACAAAAAATGCAAACCTGATCTCATCCCTCTTGCTCTTCACTCTTCCATGGCTCCCCAGTGCTCTCAGGGAAAAAGTCCAAGTTTCTGCCTGCAGCCCACAAAGCCTTGCCTGATCCATCCTACCAGTTCCCTGCTTTCCTGTTGTGCATTCTCCCCTAGTTCCCTTCCCACACAGACTCTCTCACGATTACTTAAGTATACTGAACTCACTGAAGCCTCAGGACCTTTGCACATGCTGTTTCTCCAACTTTGAACACCCTTCCCTCTTCCTCCATCTCACACCCAAAGTCCAGCTCCAATGTCCCCTCCTCCAGGAAGCCCTCCCTGCTCCTCTCCCCAAAGGCAGAGGATGAGGATATCTTTGGCCCAGTTCTGACCAAAGGGACTTAGAGGGTCAGTGTCAGCTTGTCCCACCCCAGCCTGGGGCCGAGGCCTCTCAGAGGTCTAATCCAGTGGTGCCCAACCTAGCACCCAGGGCATACCTGAGGAGTGAATACAGGCCCTCTCTACCCATGCCCACCAAATGCTCCCAGTTTGCTCCCATTGGTGGGCGCTGACCTGTTGCTGGGCGTGGAAAAAACGGCCAGGACCACGGGCCGGCCCCCGAGGCTGACCACGCCCGTGACAGCCTGCAGCACGTTGAAGTAGAAATGGGAGTCTCCGGGTACAGAGCAGTTGAGCCGCGCCTTCAGGAAGGACGTCCACTGCTTCTCCAGCACGCGGGGGGAGCCTCCCACGTCGTTCTTGCACACTCGGGCCACGCGGGACACCACCACCTGGGCGTGACAGTGGACGGACGGGGGCCTGAGCTCTGTGTCCCAGGAAGGCCTGTTCACAGGCTGTGCCACTCACCACCCAAACTGTGATGGAGGAGTCTGACCCTGGCTCTGGTGGGACCCCGGCCAGTCACCGTTCCTCTCTGGGCACCGGCTTCCCTGGCAGAAATTCCCGGTGGGAATGTCAATGATGATAATAGCAACAGTGACAACCATAATCATCACTGTTTCCACGAAGACCCACATTTTATTCTCACATCTCTTACACTCTTCCCGAGGGGGGCCTACTGATATCCCCCCATTGTACATGTGGGGACACTGATAAGAGGCACAGATAAAAGGAAGTGACTGGTCCAAGGTCACAATAGTAGTTAGTGGCAGTCTGTGCACTTCAGCACTGCCTGGTTGCCTGGATGGACGGATGAGTGGATGAGTAGATGGACGGACGATTACAATGGAGGGATGAGTAGGTGGATGGATAAATAAATACATCTGAAGAAGGATGATAGATAATGGAAGAGATGGTGAAGGAGAACAAGGTAATCAAGCAATTGGTAGATAAGTAGATGGATGTGTGGGTGGATGGATGAACAGATGGATAGAGAGAAAGCTAGGTGAGTGGATGGATGGATGCATGGATAGGTGAATAAGTGGATGAATGAATGGATGGATAAGTGGGTGGATGGATGGATGGATGGATGGATGGGTGAGTTGGGTGGGTAGATGGTTGGATGGGTGAGTGGATGGATGGATGGATGGATGGATGGATGGATAGGTGAGTTGGATGGGTGGATGGTTGGATGGGTGAGTGGATGGATGGATGGATGGATGGATGGATGGATGGATGGATGGATGGGTGTGTGGGTGGATGGGCAGATAAATGGATGGATAGATGGGTGGGTGCATAGATGATGAGTGGGTGAATGAGATGGATGGATAGATGAGATGGAAGGGTGGATGGATTGGCAGATGGATGGATAGATGAAGGATGGATGGATGGGTGGGTGGATAGGTAGATGGATGAATGGATGGGTGGATGGATTGGCAGCTGGATGGATGGATGGATGTGTGGATGGATGGATGGATGGATGGGTGGGTGGGTGGGTGGGTGTGTTGGTGGATGGGTAGATAAATGGATGGATGGGTGGATGGGATGGATGGATGGATGAATGGATGGGTGAATGGATTGGCAGATGGATGGACAGATGATGGATAGATGGATGGATAGGTGGATGGACTGATAGATGGATAGGATGGAAGGGTGGCTAGATGAATCGATGGGTGGATGGATGCATGGACAGATGGATGAGTGCACGGATGGATGGTAGTGGGTGGATGAGTGAGTGGGTGGGCAGATGAGTAGATGGATTAATGGGCTCATGAAAGTGTGGGTGGGCTGAAGAACAGACAGATGGGTAAGTGGGAGGGTGAGCAGGTAGACGGATGGACAGGGGATGAAGGATGGATAAGTGATTGTGGCTGGGTGGGTGGGTGGACAGGTGAACAGCAACAGCACCAGGTGTATCTGACTTCCAACTCAAGTCCCTCGTCAGGGCTGAGTGCTCCACGGCTGCTCCGTAGATGTCTTCAGCCTCAGGGCCTGATCATGGCTGGAAAGGAGGCCCTGGGGACCAGAAATGGAGGGCAGGACCCTCTCACCCCATGCAGGGATTCATGGATCCACCTCTGCCCCCTCACTTCGCATGATCAGAGCCTCTCAACTTCATGCCCCACTGCACCGGCCTCACCTTCTCCAGGTAGTTAAACTCCATCGCAATCTCCCGGAAGAAGAAGTAGACATGGCTGCCCCACTCCACCGCATGGACAAAGTAAGGCTCTGCAGGACAGGAGGGGTCAGAACTCAGCCCCTGACATGACAAAGGGGGTTTCTGGGGCTAAGAACTCACTGGCTTTTATGGTGAAGGGGGGACATAGGCTGGTTACCCAGACAATATGAAACAGACTCAAAGTTTGGTATTTTGCAGGGGAAGGGAGGTCAGAAGCCTAAAATCGCTGTGTCTCTTGCTGCAAATGGCAACATCAACTATTTTTTGTTATCTTCCTCCCTCATGTGTTGAAGAGCTGAGTCCTGCTATATCTTTTCTGTGGTTCCATTTTGGGCTTCTAAGCCACCCACTTCCAGCGGGTTCTACTTTAGATCCAACTAAACTTGTTCCTCTAGCTTTCTAGTCTTCAAAAAGGCCAACAGATTCCAAAGATGTGGTGGAAATCTCTCCACCAAGCTCCTCTGGGACTCTTATTCTGGTGGGGAGATTTGATGAATGTCAGGTTCTGGGCCCTGCCAGGTCTGGGCCCACTGCCCTTCCTGGTCTCACCTTTGAACCACTTGGAGTCATGTTTCACGGTGCGCAGGGTGGGCCTGTCCCCGAGGCTGCGGTAGATGACAGCATCAATGGCTAGGAAGTCGGTAACAGTAGCTGTGAAGAGCATCCCGTCTGGATGGGGTGGGTGGGGAAGGCAGGCAAGAGATGAGACCGCAGAGGCCAGGGGCTGGGTGGGTCGAAACTCGATTTTCTGAGACTGAGTCCTGAGCCTAGGGGAGCCCCTGTCTCCAGGCTGAGCCCTGATCCCATCCAAGCCCCACCTCCATCCAAGCCCTGACCTTAACTGAGCCCCTGACCCCGGCTAAGCCCCAAATCCCGCTGAGCCTCAATCCCAGCTGAGCCCCAAACCTGGGCTGAGAGTCTGCCCATGTCACAGCTGGGACAAGTGGTCGTCCAGCTGCCTTCTAAACAACCCAGACGCTGGAGTAGAAAATGCCAGGTCTTGCCTGTGGCTGGGGCTGATCAGATGGAGGTTGGGGGGGTACTTACCAGAGAAGAGGGCAACATTGGCGTGCTTGGGGTCGTACGGGCAGCGGGCCATACCGCTGATGTTGTCTCCGACGGGCTGCAGGGTGTCTATCTGCAGGGACCATGGGGCCTGAGTGACAGATCTCCTGACCCCACCTAGCAGCCCCTGGCTCCCTCAGCCCCCCACTCCAGGGGGAATCCTGATCCACCACGGATTACTGTGTGACCTTGGCCACTCACTTAACCTCTCAGGGCCTCAGTTTACTGATCTGTAAATGGGTTTAAGAGTCAATGCCTAGTTAGACCTGTAACTGGCTCATTACCTAAGTAGCTACGGCTTCCCCGGCCCCCTGTACAGGCCTCGTTTGGACAGCGCTGACTCCTCTTGAGCTCAGGGGGAGGAGGCAGGGAGAGTATATCCAGGAAGGCTTCCTGGAGGAGGTGACACGGCCTGGGGAAAAGCCATGGCCAGCGGAGGTCGGGCGAGCAGAGGCCTGGAGGTTGGACCTGGGGCGCAGGGAGTCTGAAGACTCACGCTGTAGTTGGCGCACACCGGGTTGAAGGCGTTGGAACCGCACACAAAGAGCGTGGACTCGTCCCGAAGGAGCAGCACCTTTACGAAGTTTCGACACTCGCCCTGAGGTGGGGACAGGAGGAAGCGGGGAGCGCGATGTGGGCGTGGTCATGGTGATGGGCGTGGCCAGAACCTGAGTTGTGTGGGTGGAGGGCCGGTCTGTTGTGGGCATGGCCAAGGCAGGGGCTGAACCTAGGACTGGCTGGGGACACGGTGCGACCCAGACAGGGAAACACTTTGTATCAGCAACGCAGGCAAGGCCAGGATGGTGGGCATTGTCAGACTGTGGGCATAACCATGGCAATAGCAGAGTCCTAACCTGGGATGGAGGAGAAGGATCCGCCCTGGGTGTGGTCACGGCCGATTGGGGTGGGGCATGGTCGTGACCAGAACTAACTGGGGCGTGGTGGGCACGGTTATAGCTGATTGGGGCCAAGTTGGGAGCGTGGCCAGAGCTGGTGGGGTGGGCGTGGCCTGGGCTTATTGGGGCGGGCCGGGGGCGTGGGGGGCGGCAGGACTGATAGGGGAGGGGTCGGGATGGGGACCTGATCGATTGGGTGGGGAGTGAGCTATTGGGTGGCGTGTGAACATGGCCTGGGCTTGTTGGAACGAGGCTGGGGGTGGTGGTAGGACTGACAGGGGCAGAAGTGTGGGCATAGCCAGAACTATTTGGGGCGTGGTTATGGATAATTGTGGCTAGGCTGGAGGCCGGGCTAGGACCAATTGGGTGGGGACGTGGACGTGGCCATGGCTGTTTGGGGGTGTGGCCAGGGCTGGCAGTTGGGCGGGGCCAGGGCTGATTGGGGGTGGGTTGGGGCGTGGCCAGGGCTGGCGGGGTGGGCGTGGCCTGGTCTGATTGGGGCGGGGCATGGGTAATGCCAGGGCTGATTCGCAGGGGCCGGGACCGAGCCAGGGCCAACTCACCTCCTGTTTGCCCTTCATCCGACACACGTTTATGTCGCTGGGGTTAGATCTCCAGGTCAGCTTCTGCAGACAGAGAGAGCTGGTGAGGGGGTAACGGGTCCCAGCAGCCCTGAGTGACCCCGCCGTGCTGGGCCGAATCCACCCAGCTCCCCGGCGCAGTGCCGCGTCCCCCTGGCCCTACCCCTCCACTCCCACCTGCACCCCTTCCTCACCCTCTGGTACCGCAGCTCCGTGGACGTGGGGGGCTCCAGCTCTACGCGGTAGAGGTTGTCCCTGGGGGAGGGGCATAGTTAGTGAGAACTGGGGGCTCCGCCACCCTCTCCCGTTCCATCCTTCCCACTGCCAATGTGGTGTGCACACGGGGGCATGCAGGGCCATGCCAATGCCTCTGACACGAGCAACTCTAGCGCCGACCACACCCCCCCAAGGGCCCCAGCAGGCCTTCATATCCTGCACTCCACCTCCTGCCCGGCACGCCCCACGGACTGCCCCCAACACCATGTCCCATGGCCTTAGGTCAGGTGCCCCACTCGGCGCCTCCCAGGCGCCCACCAGGCTCTCTCCCCTCACACCCTTGCCGAGGAAGCCGCCCTGCTCAACGTCATTGGTGACCTCGTGTAGTTAAGCCCAGTGGTCACTTCCGCATCCTCCTCATCCTCTCCAAAGCATTTGATCTGTCCGGTCTCTCTCCTTCCTGGGAAGCCCATCCCTAGAAGCCCCGTAATCTCACACTTGCTTCTCCCCACGACAGCTTCCACCTGGTCCAGCCTCAATCATAGCCAGCCTGGACAGCCCAGTCCCCTCCACCCTGGTCCCCTGGATTCCATTCTCGCCCCCTCCCAGAAGCAGCCACCAGAGGGCGGGCGCGTGTGAGCACCTGAGTCAGGTCCAGTCCTTCCCCTACCTAAAACCCTCCGTGGCTCCCACCTTCCTCCGGGTCAAAGCCTAAGTCCTCCCAATGGCCCAACAGGCCCTGCACGACCTGCTCCATCCCCTCCCTGCCCTCGCCTCCTCTCTCTCTCCCCCTCGCTCATTCTGCTCGTCACACAGGCCTCCTTGCTGTCCCCAGCAATACCTGTCCCCAATGAACAGCGTCCTGTTGACCCGCAGGACTCGCTGGATGTTGAGGTCGTCAGCACCTTCTGCGGGGGTCAGGCGTCCGGGCCCGCTGCCCACAAACACGGGATAGTGGTTCAGGTCTGAGTGAGGGGGTGGAGAGGGGTGTGAGCAAGGGCTGGGGGTGAAGAGAGGGTGGCCTGAGGTCATGCCCCTTCTAGGGGTGGCTCCTGGACTGCTTGAGTCCCCCAGTGGGGGCAGCAGACCCAACTGGGAACCCAGATACTCCCACGGGACTCCACCCCCGCCCAAAGACACCCCCAGACTCACAGTCCCTGGGGGCCACGCTAAGCGGCGGCGGCTCCTCAGGAAAGAGGCCGTGGGCGCCCCCCAGTAGCAGCAGCAGAAGCAGCAGGGCCGGGCGGGGAGGGGACGCTCGCGGGGTCTGCATGGCGAGGGCCAGGCGACAGGAGGAGGTGACGCCTGCGGGCAAGGGGCGGCGAGGTGAGCGGCCTGCAGTCCCGCTCGTGGCCACAAGACGGCGGGCGAGAGCAGCAGACGCTCCTTCAAATCCCAGAAAAATTCCTCACGGGGATAATAATTAATAAAAACAATAATGGCAATAATAATAATAATACACAGCACTGATTTAATTATCAGAACAACTTTATGGCCACGTGTGCGTGAAAGCCCAGGAAACGACTTCAAACAAAACTGCATTCGGTAATTTAAAACTAATAATAATTATTATAATAATAGATACAAATATCCTAAAACATATATTTAAAAATGCAATCGCAAAATACATGCATAAAAATACTTAGAATTAAAACACAAAAATATTAAACTCAAAGGCTAAAAAAAAAAAGAGTCAAAGGCTCTTGGAATTTTATAAGCCACAAGCTGGCTGTGTGTGGTGGCTCACGCCTGTAATCCCAACATTTTGGGAGGCCGAGATGGGAGGATCATCTGAGGTCAGGAGTTCAAGACCGGCCTGCCTAACATAGCGAAACCCTGTCTCTACAAAAAAATACAAAAATTAGCCAGGTATGGTGGCCTGTGCCCGTAATCCCTGCTACTGGAGAGCTGAGGCAGGAGAATCCCTTGAACCCAGGAGGTGGAGGTTGCAGTGAGCCAAGATCGCACCACTGCACTCCAGCCTGGGCAACAGAGCAAGACTCCATCCAAAAAAAAAAAAAAAAAGCCACAAGCTGGGAATGACAGTACTACATAACCACAGAATCACAGAATATTCCCCATGCCAAGGGCCTCTGTGACCCTGGTAGATCTGACCTCCTTCCCAAATCCAGCCTTTTCATTCTCCGCTTGCACACCTCCATGACAGGCACCTCACTACCTCTCACGGGGGACTGCTTCCCACTCCCATTCAAGGTAACTTTGCAGAAACTTCTAGGTGTGTGGAGTGGAGACACTCTCCCATCCAGGTAATGACATAGCAGCGGAATTCACCCTCTGAACCCCCGCCCTCCATGCTGAAGGTCCCAGTTCAGAGCACCCCCTACCAGAAAGGGGTACAGTCCAGGTCCCGGAGCCCCGAATGAGAAGTTCAGCAGCCTCGTCCTTCTGGGAAGTATTGGGCAAGCTCCGAGCCCATTTTCCTGTCTGAGCAGCAGGGGTATCCCCCAGCCCTGCCCTGGCCTTCTGGCTCAGGGATTCTGAGCCCCCAGAGGTGAAGGTGATTCGCGACAATCGGCCCTGGGGTGCCTGCCCCCTCCAAAAACAGGAAGACCTCGCATAGCGCGGCTGGACTTCCTCTTCACGACCCTGAGCTTCCAGGATTTGTGACTCAGCGAACACCCGGATTCCACGTGTGTTCAGGGCACGGCCCTGTTTCCTTCAGAATTTCCTTCCCTGGCTCCTCCCCTGCTCTACAGCCTCCTGTGGCTCCCAGGGACCCCTGAGTCCAGGCCCCAGCCTCTCCCTGGGATTCAAGGCCCCTGACCTCAGACCCCACTTCGGCCTACCCTCCCCTCATGCCACGGGCCTTTCTAGCCCCCTACCCCAGAACCTAACTAAGAGCCCTGTCTGCCCTGTGCCTTTAAAAAAAAATGGCTAAAATATATATAACATAAAAGCTGTCATCTTAACCATTTTCATTTAACTATTATTAGTAGTATTATTATTTGAGACAGAGTCTTGCTCTGTCGCCCAGGCTGGAGTGCAGTGGTGCCATCTCAGCTCACTGCAACCTCCCCCTCCCGGGTTCAAGCGATTCTTCTCAGCCTCCCAGGTAGCTGGGACTCCAGGTGCATGCCACCATGCCCGGCTAAATTTTTTTGTATTTTTAGTACACATGGCGTTTCACCATGTTGGTCAAACTGGTTTTGAACTCCTGACCTCATGCTATCCACCCACCTCGGCCTCCCAAACTGCTGGGATTACAGGTGTGAGCCACCATGCCCAGCCTCCTTCATTCTTATTATTTTTTTGAGATGGAGTCTCGCTCTGTCACCCAGGCTGGAGTGCAGTGGCATGATCTTGGTTCACAGCAATCTCTGCCTCCCAGGCTCAAGCGATCCTCCCGCCTCAACTTCCCAAGTACCTGAGACCACAGCCACGTGCCACCACGCCCAGCTAATTTTTGTATTTTTAGTACAGATGGGGTTTCACCATGTTGGCCAGGCTGGTCTCGAACTCCTGACCTCAGGTGATCCACTCGCCTTGCCCTCTCAAAGTGCGAGGATTACAGGTGTGAGCCACCACGCTCGGCCACCTTTTGGTTTTTTGACAGTCGCCATCCTAATGGGTATGACATGCTGTGTCTTTCATCTTGTGTTTTATCAGAATAATATTTAATTCTAGAAACTATTTCTTTAAACATTAAGAGACAGGGTCTGGCTCTGTTGCCCAGGCTGGAGTACGGTGGCACAATCACCACTCACTGCAGCCTTGAACTTCCAGGCTCAAGCAATCCTCCTACCTCAACCTCCCGAGTAGCTAGGACCATAGGTGTGCACCACCAAGCCTGACTTTTTTTTTTGCCGGGGGTGGGGGACGCAGGGGAAGGTGGACAGAGTCTCACTCTGTCACCCAGGCTGCGATGCAGTGGTATGATCTCGGCTCACTGCAACCTCCACCTCCCAGGTTCAAGCAATTCTCGTGTCTCAGCCTCCTGAAAAGCTGGGATTACAGGTGTGCACTGCCACGCCCGGTTAATTTTTGTATTAATTTTGTAAAGCACTTTGTGAGGCCAAGGCAAGAGGATCACTTGAGCTCAGGAGTTTGAGACCAGCCTGGGCAACATAGCGAGACACGCCCCCATAATCTCTACAGAACATAAAAAATTAACCAGGCATGGTGGCACGTGCCTGTAGTCCCAGCTACTTGTGAGGCTGAAGCAGGATGATTGCTTGAGCCCAGGAGTTCAAGAATGCAATGAGTTATAATTGGTCCACTGTACTCCAGTCTGGGCGACCGAGTGAGACCCTATCTCAAAAAAAATAAAATTAATTTAAATTAAAACAACGACAAAAAAACACCTAGCAAACATAAAGCACTTGCTAGGTGCCAGGCATTATCATAAGTACTTAAATTAACTCATTTAATCTTCACAGCACCCCCAAGGGGTGAGTGCTCTTTTTTTTTTTTTTTTTTTTTTTTGGAGACAAGAGTCCTGCTCTGTCGCCCAGGCTGGAGTGCAATGGCGTGATCTCGGCTCACTGCAACCTCAGCTTCCCGGGTTCAAGCAATTCTCCTGTCTCAGCCTCCCAAGTAGCTGGGATCACAAGTGCCCGCCACCATACCCGGCTAATTTTTGTATTTTTAGTAGGGATAAGGTTTCACCATATTGGCCAGGCTGGTTTTGAACTCCTGACCTCAGGTGATCCACCCACCTCGGCCTCCCAAAGTGCTGGGATTACAGGCATGAGCCACTGCCCCCGGCCAATTTTTGTATTTTTAGTAGGGATAAGGTTTCACCATATTGGCCAGGCTGGTCTTGAACTCCTGACCTCAGGTGATCCACCCGCCTCGGCCTCCCAAAGTGCTGGGATTACAGTTGTGAGCCACGGTGCCCGGTGGGCCCTTAACTGTTTTTAAGTACACACAGTTCACTAGCATTAAGAACATCCACATAATTGTGCACCCATCACCACCACCATCTCCAGAACTTTCTCGACTTCCCAAACTGAAATTCTGTCCCCATGAAACACTCACTCCTCACCCCCCTCCCCAGCCCCTGGCACCTCCCATCCTACTGTCTCAGTGAACCTGATGACTCTAGGGACTTCCTAGGAGTGGGTCACACAGTGTTTGTCCTTGCGTGTCTGGCTCTCTCACTGAGCGGGATTGCCTCAAGATGCATCCACACTGTGACCTGTGTCAGGGTTTCCTTCCCCTTTTTTTTTTTTTCTTGTTTTGAGACAATATCGCTCTGTCTCCCAGGCTGGAGTGCAGTGGCACGATCTCAGCTCACTGCAACCTCCGCCTCCTGGGTTCAAGCGATTCTCCTTTCTCAGCCTCCCAGGTAGCTGGGACTCCAGGTGCACGCCACCACGCCCGGCTAATTTTTTTTTTGTATTTTTAGTATACATGGGGTTTCACCATGTTGGTCTGGCTGATCTTGAACTCCTGACCTCATGCAATCCACACACCTCGGCCTCCCAAAGTGCTGGGACTACAGGTGTGAGCCTCCATGCCCAGCCTCCTTCATTCTTATTATTTTTTTGAGATGGAGTCTCGCTCTGTCACCCAGGCTGGAGTGCAGTGGCATGATCTTGGTTCACCGCAATCTCTGCCTCCCGGGTTCAAGTGATCCTCCCGCCTCAACTTCCCAAGTACCTGACACCACAGCCACGTGCCACCACGCCCAGCTAATTTTTGTATTTTTAGTACAGACGGGGTGTCACAATGTTGGCCAGGCTGGTCTCGAACTCCTGACCTCAGGTGATCCACCCGCCGTGGCCTCCCAAAGTGTGAGGATTACAGGTGTGAGCCACCATGCCCGGCCACCTTCCAGTTTTTTGACATACCCATCCTAATGGGTATGACATGGTGTGTCTTTCATCTTGTGTTTTATCAGAATAATATTTAATTCTATTTCTTTACACTTTTTTTTTTTTTTTTTTGAGACAGGGTCTCACTCTGTTGCCCAGGCTGGAGTGCAGTGGTGTGATCTCGGCTCACTGAAAGCTCCGCCTCCCGGGTTCTCGCCATTCTCCTGCCTCAGCCTACCGAGTAGCTGGGACTACAGGTGCCCACCACCAAAAATTAGCACCCGGCTAATTTTTGTTGTATTTTTTAGTAGAGAGAGGGTTTCACCATGTTAGCCAGGATGGTCTCAATCTCCTGACCTCGTGATCCGCCCGCCTAGGCCTCCCAAAGTGCTGGGATTACAGGCATGAGCCACTGCCCCCGGCCAATTTTTGTATTTTTAGTAGGGATAAGGTTTCACCATATTGGCCAGGCTGGTCTTGAACTCCTGACCTCAGGTGATCCACCCGCCTCGGCCTCCCAAAGTGCTGGGATTACAGTTGTGAGCCACGGTGCCCGGTGGGCCCTTAACTGTTTTTAAGTACACACAGTTCACTAGCATTAAGAACATCCACATAATTGTGCACCCATCACCACCACCATCTCCAGAACTTTCTCAGCTTCCCAAACTGAAATTCTGTCCCCATGAAACACTCACTCCTCACCCCCCTCCCCAGCCCCTGGCACCTCCCATCCTACTGTCTGGGTGAACCTGATGACTCTAGGGACTTCCTAGGAGTGGGTCACACAGTGGTTTGTCCTTGCGTGTCTGGCTCTCTCACTGAGCGGGATTGCCTCAAGATGCATCCACACTGTGACCTGTGTCAGGGTTTCCTTCCCTTTTTTTTTTTTTCTTTTTTTGAGACAGTCTCGATCTGTCTCCCAGGCTGGAGTGCAGTGGCACGATCTCAGCTCACTGCAACCTCTGCCTCCTGGGTTCAAGCGATTCTCCTTTCTCAGCCTCCCAGGTAGCTGGGACTCCAGGTGCACGCCACCACGCCCGGCTAATTTTTTTTTTTTGTATTTTTAGTATACATGGGGTTTCACCATGTTGGTCAGGCTGGTCTTGAACTCCTGACCTCATGCAATCCACCCACCTTGACCTCCCCAAGTGCTGGGATTACAGATGTTAGCTACCATGCCCAGCCTCCTTCATTCTTATTATTTTTTTGAGATGGAGTCTCGCTCTGTCACCCAGGCTGGAGTGCAGTGGCATGATCTTGGTTCACCGCAATCTCCGCCTCCTGGGTTCAAGCGATCTTCCCGCCTCAGCCTCCCGAGTACCTGGGACCACAGGCGGGTGCCACCATGCCTGGCTAATTTTTGTAATTTTAGTACAGACAGAGATTCACCATATTGCCCAGGCGGGTCTCGAACTCCTGACCTCAGGTGATCCACCCACCTTGGCCTCCCAAAGTGCGAAGATTACAGGTGTGAGCCACCACACCCGGCTATCTTCCAGTTTTTTGACAGTAGCCATCCTAATTGGTGTAATATGGTCTGTCTTTCATCTTGTGGTTTGTTTTTTTTTTTGAGACGGAGTCTCGCTCTGTCACGCAGGCTAGAGTGCAGTGGCACGATCTCGGCTCACTGCAAGCTCCGCCTCCCGGGTTCACGCCATTCTCCTGCCTCAGCCTCCCCAGTAGCTGGGACTACAGGCTCCCGCCACCACCACGCCCAGCTAATTTTTTGGATTTTTTAGTAGAGACGGGGTTTCACCATGTTAGCCAGGATGGTCTCTATCTCCTGACCTCATGATCCGCCCACCTCAGCCTCCCAAAGTGCTTGGATTACAGGTGTGAGCCACAGCACCCGGCCTCATCTTGAGTTTTATCAGAACAATATTTAACTCTAGAAACTATTTCTTTAAACATTGTTTTAAGAGACAGGGTCTGGCTCTGTTGCCCAGGCTGGAGTACAGTGGCACAATCACCACTCACTGCAGCCTTGAACTTCCGGACTCAAGCAATCCTCCTGCCTCAGCCTCTCGAGTAGCTGGGACCATAGGTGTGCACCACCATGCCTGGGTTTTTTTTTTTTTTTTTGGGCAGGGGGGAGGGAGCCGGGGAGGGGGGAAAAGATTCTCACTCTGTGGCCCAGGCTGGAGTGCAGTGGCTCACTACCGGCTCACTACAACCTCCACCTCCCAGGTTCAAGCGATTCTCGTGTTTCAGCCTCCTGAGAAGCTGGGATTACAGGAGTGCACTGCCACGCCCGGTTAATTTTTGTATTAATTTTGTAAAACACTTTGGGAGGCCAAAGCAAGAGGACTGCTTGAGCTCAAGAGTTTGAGACCAGCCTGGGCAACATAGTGAGACACCCCCTCACAATTCCTACAGGAAATAAAAAATTAACCAGGCGTGGTGGCACATGCCTCTAGTCTCAGTTACTTGTGAGGCTGAAGCAGGATGATGGCTTGAGCCCAAGAGTTCAGGAATGCAATGAGTTATGATTGGTCCACTGTACTCCAGTCTGGGCAACCACGTGAGACCCTGTCTCAAAAAAATAAAATAACAACAGGCCAGGCGCCGTGGCTCACGCCTGTAATCCCAGCACTTTGGGAGGCCAAGGCAGGCGGATCACGAGGTCAGGAGATAGAGACCATCCTGGCTAACACGGTGAAACCCCGTCTCTACTAAAAACACACAAAAAAATTAGCTGGGCGTGGTGGCAGGTGCCTATAGTCCTAGCTACTCGGGAGGCTGAGGCAGGAGAATGGCATTAACCCGAGAGGCAGAGCTTGCAGTGAGCCGAGATCGCGCCACTGCACCCCATCCTGGGTGACACAGCGAGACTCTGTCTCAAAAAAACAACAACAACAAAACACCTAGCAAACACAAAGCACTTGCTAGGTGCCAGGCATTGTCATAAGTACTTAAATTAACTCATTTAATCTTCACAACACCCCCAAGGGGTGAGTGCTCTTTTTTTTTTTTTTTTTTTTTTTGGAGACAAGAGTCCTGCTCTTCGCCCAGGCTGGAGTGCAATGGCGTGATCTCGGCTCACTGCAACCTCAGCTTCCCGGGTTCAAGCAATTCTCCTGCCTCAGCCTCCCGAGTAGCTGGGATTACAGGCATGTACCACCACACCCAGCTAATTTTTGTATTTTTAGTAGAGATGGGGTTTCACCATGTTGCCTAGGCTGGTTTCGAACTCCTGGCCTCAAGTGACCCACCCTCCTCAGCCTCCCCAAGTGCTGGGATTACAGGCGTGAGCCACCGCACCTGGCCTGGTGAGTTCTCTTAATAGGCCCCTTATACAGACAGAGAAACTGAGGCACAGAAAGGTAAAGTCATTTGCCCGAAGTCAGGGATCAGCGGAGCCCACAGATCCTGCTCCATTTTACTTATTTTGATAATAACACACAACTGAACCCCAAATGTTTACTGCGGGGAGTCCAGGCCACTTCACAACGAACCCCATCTACTTAGCTTCAGTTTACCCCCTCGATCTGGGGTTACCCGACGCCTGTGCGCCTCCCCCTATCCCCAAGACCATCTGCTTCTCTCCGTGAAACTCGAGGAGCCTCTGCCAGCAGCCGCTCGGCGCCTGCCTGCTCAGAAGCGGCCCCAACACCTGCCACGCTGCGGCTGCCGGACACCTGGTCACAGGGAGCCACGGGGCTGGCGGGTGCGCCCCGTGGCGTGCGGGGTTCTCCGGGGCACCCGTGCACCCACATGTCTGCGTGCCCCAGGGGTTGGGGGGCTCCTGCCTGCAACCCTGGGGACTTGCATGTACTCTGTGGGGGCGCCTTGTTGGGGGAGAGGGGCCACAAAGCAACAGCTCCCTCCAGGAGGCCCCCAGCTGTCACTCCAGCTCTGCAAACATGAGCCCACTGTGCAGATGTGGAAACTGAAGCTCAGGAATGGAAACGTCCTCGGGGACCCCCTAGTTTAGCTCTTCTTCCTGGGAGCTCTGTCCTCTGGCGACCCCCATGCCCCACACTCGCCAGCCTCACTCCCAGCTTTCTGTCCCGCCTTGCACCCCCCTCAACCGCCAGCTCTCCGTCTCTCTTTTCCCTCGACTCACGCCCCTCTTGGGCGGCCTTGTACGCTCCTGGGTCCCGAAACCCCGTCTATATCCGATGACACCCACCGTCCTGACTGTAGCCAGGCCTCCCCCAGCTCCGGATTCGGGGTTCAACTTCCCCTCAGCCGCTCCAGGCACGGGGCTCATGAAGTCTCACCCTCAGCCATACGGGGCACGACCCCAGAACCGCGCCGCCCTAGCTACTGTCACCCCGTCATGGGCCTGAATTTCCTGGGGGAACTCTCCCCCAACCTTCTCTCCTCCAGGCCAGCGCGTCTGGGCTGTTCTTGGCCCCTGAGGCTTCGGTGTAAGTTTTAGGATCCGGTTGTGAGTTCCAAGACAAACAACAGATAAAACAAAAACCCTAATGGGGTTCTCGCTGGAGTGGCACTGAGGCTACCGATCCAATCGGGGTCAACGGATGGTCGATGTCCCCCGACCCGGCCCCACTTCTGCGTCCTCCGTCTCAGCTGATGGCTTAGGACACAACTGGAGCTCATCCTGACTTCCCCGCCACACCCCATTCCACCAGCCTCACAGCCAGCATTAGCCACTCCTGCGGCCTCTGCCTTCGAGTTTACGCAGAACTCTCACCGCTTCCCGTCCATGCCGTGGCCACTCACATCCCCGCCTGCCTGGCCCAGCTCAGCCCAGCCCAGTCCCCTCCGCCCTGATCCCCAGGCTGTCCTTCCCGAAACAGCCACCAGAGGACGCCTCTGAGCACATGAGTCAGGTCCCGTCTCTCCTCTGCCCTTACCCCTCCATGGCTCCCACCTGCCTCGGGGTCAAAGCCGGGGTCTTCCCTGCAGCCCACAAGGCCCTGTACAACCTGCCCCATGCCCTGTCTACCCTCTCCTCCTCCCTCTCTCCCACTCATCACTTGGCTCCAGCCACAAGGGCCTCCTTGCTGTTCCTCCAACAGGCCAGGCATGGTCCTGCCCTAGGGCCTTACCCCAGGCTGTGCCCTCTGCTTTGGGAGTTCCCCCAGATACACACGCAACTCACTTCCTCACTTCAGGTCATCTAAGAGAGGCTCCCCTTGGACCTTCCTGGAACCCAGACGCCTCTGCCCTCCCCACTTTATGCCCTCCTCTCCTCCCCCATCACACGCAGGCCCGTGTGCTGCTGGGAGTGTGGGTCTGGGAACAGCTGTGTGGGCACCACTGTCAGAAATGCAGAATCCCAGGACCAGGCCCGCTCACCCAGGCCTGCACCTGATCAAGATCCTGCAGGGATCCACGTGCATCACAAACTCTGAGAGGTGCAGCTTCATGCGTGGATTCCCCAAATAAAATAATCACCTGGGGCCGGGCACGGTGGCTCACGCCTGTAATCCCAGCACTTTGGGAGGCCAAGGTGGGAGGATCACTTGAGCTCAGGTGTTTGAGACCAGCCTGGACAACATAGAAATACCCCATCTCTACAAAAAATGCAAAAATTAGCTGGGCGTGGTGATGTGTGCCTGTGGTCCCAGCTACTTGGGAGGCTGAGGTGGGAGGATCGCTTGAGCCCAGGAGGTGGAGGCCGCAGTGAGCTGCGATTGCCCCACTGCACTCTGAGTGACACGGCAAGGCCCTGTCTCAAATAAAATAAAATTAAAATAATTGCTTGTTGGGGCCGGGCATGGTGACTCACGCCTGTAATCCCAGCACTTTGGAAGGCTGAGGTGGGTGGATCACCTGGGGTCGGGAGTTCAAGACCAACCTGGCCAACATGATGAAACCCCTTCTCTACTAAAAATAAAAATATTAGCCAGGCGTGGTGGTGCATGCCTGTAATCCCAGGCTACTCGGGAGACTGAGGCAGGAGAATCACTTGAACCCAGGAGGCGGAGGTTGCAGTGAGCAGAGATTGCGCCATTGCCTGGGCAACAGAGTGAGACTCTGTCAAAAAAAAAAAAAAAAAAACCCCAGTGAACCAGGGGCACCATCGACAAGCCATCCTGCCCCGCCCTGCTCAGCCCAATCTCACTGGCTGGTTGGGGAAACTGAGGCCCGGACAGAAAACATCGGCAGCTGAAGAAGTCCCAGAAGAAGAGCTTTGGCTCCAGAACTGCACAGCCCAGGTTCAAACCCCGGCTCTGCCTCAGCTGTTTGACCGCAGACAGTCACTTCCCTTCTCCAGGCTTCAGTTTCCCCATCTCTGTACACTGTGGGTGATTTAAAATTCAACCCTAAAGCACCTCCATGAGGAAGAAAGAATGTAATCTGAACCAATGTGCGGCAGGTGAAATATGTTTTTTTCTACATTTTTTTGTTTCCTGATAGCTGGTCTGTAGCTAAAATTCTTTTTTTTTTTTGAGATGGAGTCTCACTCTTTTTGTCCAGGCTGGAGTGCAGTGGTGCGATCTTGACTCACTGCAACCTCCACCTCCCGGGTTCAAGCGATTCTCCTGCCTCAGCCTCCCAAGTAGCTGGGACTACAGGCACCCGCCACCATGACTGGCTAAATTTTTTCGTCTTTTTAATAGAGAGAAAGTTTCACCATGTTTGGCCAGTCTGGTCTTGAACTTCTGACCTCAGGTGATCCGCCTGCCTCAGCCTCCCAAAGTGTTGGGATGACAGGCGTGAGCCACCGTGCCTGGCCCTTTTTTTTTTTTTTTCTTTTTTGCCTGAGCAGGGAAGTTTTACTTTCAATCTACCTTGAATCCTTCTTACTTCCAGAAGCTGGCTTGGTCCCTGGCTCTGTCCCAGGGGTAATTCCTAGCCTGGGTATTGAGCTGTCCTTCAAGGGCAATGCCCACTCTCCTCTCTGACCCCGGCACCACCAACAAGCCATCCCTTTACTGCATATCCCAAGCTCAGCTCTGACCCTGCCACTCCCCTGCTCAAAGGCCTACCATGGCTCCCCAGTGCCCCACAGAAGAAGAACCAATTTTGTTTGTTTGTTTGTTTTGAGATGGAGTCTCACTCTGTCGCCCAGGCTGGAGTGCAGTGGCACGATCTTGGCTCACTGCAAGCTCCGCCTTCTGGGTTCACGCCAATCTCCTGCCTCAGCCTCCCGAGTAGCTGGGACTACAGGCGCCCGCCATCGCGCCCAGCTAATTTTTTGTATTTTTAGTAGAGACGGGGTTTCACCATGGTCTCGATCTCCTGACCTCGTGATCCGCCTGCCTCGGCCTCCCAAAGTGCTGGGATTACAGGCCTGAGCCACCGCGCCCGGCCTAGAACCAATTTTTTTTATACCTCAGTGTTCAAGGACACCTCCCACCCTGGGAATAACTTGAAGCTTCTTCTTGCCCTCACCTACTATCAGGCATTTCCAGCCCCTCCCTGCAGACCTTGGCTCAGGCTGTCCCCTCTGCTGGGGAACCTTTTTAGCCTCCTCAAGGTCCAGCTGCCCTCCCAACCAGCCAGACATAGTAACCTCACGCTCTGTCCTCCAAGCCCTACAGCTGACTCCTGCTTACCAGTCAAGGCCATGCATGCGTGTCCCCGACTCCAGGAAGCCTTCTCTGACTGCCCTGGCTGGGCCTCAGTTTCCCTGGGTTCCCCCAGCCACAACTACCCTGCCCTCATCTTCGCTCAACCGCCAACTTGGAAGCAACTGCATCCAGCTCTGGCGCCCTGTACCCCAAATTGGAAGTCACTTACTTACTCATTGGATTAATAATTATTTGGCACCAGCTGTATACCAGACACATGTGTTCAGGCATGGGGACACAGCTGTGACCGAGACAGCTACAAAGCCCTACCCTTATGGGGCTCCCAGTCCCGTGGGGAGACGGGGGTACACTACACACGTTAACCAATATCGGAACTCGATAGCTTCTGACAATAATAAGCACGACCATAAAAACATGAGGAATGATTAGAGGAGGGGACATTTGAGCTGAGGCCTGAAGGTCGAAGGGGAGACCTCGTGACAAGGTGAGGAAGGTGCTCCAAGGGGAAGGAACTGCAGAGGAAAAAGCGTGGAGACTGAGACCACTAGAGGAAGAGACAGAAGGTCAAGGTGGATGGGGAGGCTGGCACAGCACAGAAAGGACTCCTGGGGCTCTCCCCTTCACTCAGACACGACACTCAGCCTCATTTCTTGTTTGTTTCTAAGGACAGGGTCTTGCTCTGTTGCCCAGGCTGAGTACAGTGGTGCCGTCATAGCTCACTGCAGTCTCAACCTCCCAGGTTTAAGCAATCCTCCTGTCTCAGCCTCCCCAGTAAGCTGGGATCATAGGTGTGCATCACCATGCCCAGCTCATTTTTGTACTTTTTGTAGAGACGGGGTTTCGCTATGTTGCCCAGGCTGGTCTTGAACTCTTGGCCTCAAGTGATCCTGCCACCTCGGCCTCCCAAACTGCTGGGAGTACAGGCATGAGCCACCGTGCCCTGCCCGCATCTTTTTTTTTGCTGTTGTCCATAAAATAAAGACACTAGCTCAGGGCCTGGCACACAGGCATTCACTTTAGGTTAAATGACCTTACTGTGTGACCTTAGGCCAGCTACACGCCCTCTCTGGGCCTCTCTGTTCCAAGATGACAGTGATCCCAGGCAGGCTTGAAGCCTCCGTTTCTCCATCTGCCACAGCACAAGGGACGAGGGCGGGATGTCTGCCTCCAGTTCCATACAAGGAGCTCCCTATCGTCCGGGCCGCCCCAGGATTCTGGCTCCGGGGCCAGCATCCCTCGGGGGATCGAGTAACCTGGTCCCGGCAGCCGGGCCCCAGGGCCGTCCAGGTCTGGTTACGGGCTCTGCTTACAGCTGCCCCTCCAGCTGCCTCGGTCGCCCCCATCACAGCCCAGCCAGGCTCTGGGGCTGTCTAGGAACTTGGCAGGAAGGCTGGAGGGAGTCCCTGGGGCCCAGGCATGAGGGGTGGGGCAGAAGAGAGAGGCCCCCGTGTCCCCCATCCTACTGGATGTCGGTTAACTCATCCCTGCCCAGCCTGGGAGGCGGCCTATGAGCCTCCCCTCCACTTTTTTTTTTTTTTTTTTTTTCTGAAGCAGTCTCGCTGGTGTTGCCCAGGCTAGAGTGCAGTGGCATAATCTAGGCGCACTGCAACCTCCACCTTCCGGGTTCAAGCGATTCTCCTGCCTCAGCCTTCTGAGTAGCTGGAATTACAGGTGCATGCCACCACACCTGGCTAATTTTTGTATTTTTAGTACAGTTGGGGTTTCACCATGATGGCCAGGCTGGTCTTGAACTCCTGACCTCAGGTGATCCGCCCAAGTCGGCCTCCTAAGGTGCTGGGATTACAGGTGTGAGCCACTGCGCCCGTCCTAAGCTACTGCGCCCGGCCTCCCCTCCACTCTTTTTTTTTTTTTTTTTTTTTTGAGACAGAGTCTAGCTCTGTCACCCAGGCTGGAGTGCAGTGGCGCGATCTCGGCTCACTGCAAGCTCCGCCTCCCGGGTTCACGCCATTCTCCTGCCTCAGCCTCCCGAGTAGCTGGGACTACAGGCGCCTGCCACACACGTCTGGCTAATTTTTTGTATTTTTAGTAGAGACGGGGTTTCGCCGTGTCAGCCAGGATGGTCTCGATCTCCTGACCTCGTGATCCGCCCGCCTCGGCCTCCCAAAGTGCCGGGATCACAGGCGTGAGCCACCGCGCCCGGCCTCCCCTCCACTCTTGACCTTCCCTCCTGAGTCCTCAGTTCTCAGAGCCTCAGTTTCCCCATCAGCGAACCAAGCATGATAACCATCCACATCGGCTTCTCATGAGGGGTAAATGAGCAACCCATGATAGGTGCTTAGTTAACTGTCGTGACTGCTGTGTTGCCTTGGGTTAGAACCCTCCCATCTCTGAGCTTGTTTCCTCCTGTGAAAGATGAGGATAAAAATATTGGCTCCACAAGGGCAGGGGTCTGTCTCAGTTACTGCTGTGACTCCAGTGCCCAGCATGGGGCCTGGCACACAGTAGGTGCTCAACAAATCAGCTGAACGAATGTCCCAGCAAGAGCCCCCACTTATAAAATAGTTCCAAGGAGGCTGGGCGAGGTGGCTCACATCTGTGATCCCAGTACTTTGGGAGACTGAGGCAGGAGGATCTCTTGAGGCCAGTTCAAGACCAGACGGGGCAACACAGCCAGACCCCATCTCTAAAAAATAATAATAATAATAATTAGCTGAGTGTGGTGCGACATGCTACTTGGGAGGCTGAGGTGGGAGGATCACTAGGGCCCAGGAGGTCAAGGCTACAGTGAGCTGTGACGGCCTCGCTGCACTCCAGCTGGACGACAGAGTGAGAGCCCTGACTTAAATAATACTACTAATGATAATAATAATAATAATTTAAAAATAAAATAGCTGGCCAGGCGCGGTATCTCACGCCTGTAATCCCGACACTGGGAGGCCGAGGCGGGCAGATCACCTGAGGTCAGGAGTTCGAGACCAGCCTGGCCAACATGGTGGACCCCCCGTCTCTACTAAAAATACAAAAATTAGCCGGGCGTGGTGGTGGGCGCCTGTAATCCCAGCTGCTTGGGAGGCTGAGGCAGGAGAATCGCTTGAACCTGGGAGGCGGAGGATACAGTGAGCTGAGATTGCACCATTGCACTCCAGCCTGGGTGACAGTAAGACTCCGTCTCAAATAAATAAATAAATTAATTAAAATAGTTGCAAGGATATGTTCATTCCAGACTTCTTAAACACCTACTGTGCACCAATATGGCTGGAGACTCAGCCATGCTCAGGGTTGTGCATGTCCAGGGCTTGGCACAGAGCCCTGCATGCAGGAAGCACTCAATTAATGCCGAGTGTCTCTTTTGCAAAGGATGGGACTCTACCCTGAGCCGCCTTCCACATTCAACTCACAGCAGGCCAGGAGAGAAGGAATTCAAGATCAGATTTAGGAAGACTGCACCTACTATGCGCCATGCTTTTCCCACATATGAACTTATTTCTTGCCGGCATCAACCCTCAGAGACCAGCACCCTCATCTCTGTTTGCAGATGGAAAAACTGAAGCTCAGAGAGGTTAAGCCATTTTGCTGAGGTCACATAGCACATAAGGGTGCCATGGATGCAAACGTGATCTTGCTTCTTGCTGACATTTTTTTTTTTTTGAGACAGGGTCTCTGTCACCCAGGCTGGAGTGCAGTGGCGTGATCTCAGCTCACTGCAACCTCGACCTCCCAGGCTCACCCGATCCTCCTGCCTCAACCTTCTGAGTAGCTGGGACTACAGGTGTGCACCACCACACCCAGCTAATTTTTTGTATTTTTTGTAGGGGGTATGATACCCAGGCTGGTCTTGAACTTTTGGGCTCAAACAATTCTCCTGAGTCAGCCTCCCAAAGTGTTGGGATTAAAGGCGTGAGCCACTGTGTGAGGCCGCCTCTTGCTGACATTTTCCAAGTGCTCACAATGTGCTACCTGCCCGTGATGATGGCACACCCTAAATTTTTTTTTTTTTTTTTGCGACAGAGTCTTGCTCTGTCACCCAGGCTAGAGTGCAGTGGCACAGTCTAGGTTCACTGCAACCTCCTCCTCTCAGGTTCAAGCGATTCTCCTGCCACAGGCTCCCAAGTAGCTGGGATTACAGGCACGTGCCACCTTGCCTGGCTAATTTTTGTATTTTTAGTAGAGACAGGGTTTCACCATGTTGGTCAGGCTGGTCTCGAACTCCTGATCTCTAGTGATCCACCCGCCTCAGCCTCTCAAAGTGTTAGATTACAGGCGTGAGCCACCGCATCTGGCCAGCTGAAATATTTCACAGATAAGCAAGCAGAGACCCAGAGAGAGGCTGTCCCTGTCCCCAGGCCACTCGGGAAGCCAGGGTGTGGGAGCCCAGGCAGAACCTCCAGTGGGGACGTGGATGCATCTCTGGGGCTCCTGGGGCTCCTCCCCTCCGGGGAGGGGGCCCCCAGGTAATTAATTTTAATCACTGTTTTGAAATTGGGCCACCAGGAGGCAAGTCGGAAACAGCAACTTGTAATTAGGAATGGGTGGGGCGGTGGGGGGGGTTGCAACGACCATTCAGAGGAAATTAAAGTGTCATTTATACCCAGCAGGTAATTAAGGGACCCAGGAGGGGGTGGCTCGAGGGGGCTGGGGCTCCAAGGGAATCCAGGCTGGGGCTGGGGCGTCGAGCACCCACAGATTCCAAAGCAGGTTTGGGGACGGACAGGTCCTCCCTTCAGACCCAATTTGGAGGAAGTACAGAGGGGTGGGTCGTGAGCTTGGGACCCAGTTGTGGAGTTCAGAGGAGAATAAGGTTCTGTTATAGGGACTCCACTTAGGGAGGAAGAAAGATGGCCCGGCCTTTGGGGGCTTGATCTAGGGGCAGAAAATGAGGAGCCCTTCCCCTCCAAGTTGGGGTTCTGGGTGCCCTTCCCCGCACTGCTGAACTCCTCCCCCAGAATTCCTCCAGTCTCTGCCCCTCCCAAGAGGCTGGGGATCCCCAGGTGGCCGGGACCAGTGTGAGAGGCCTGGAGGGGGCCCCGCTGAGAGAGGTGGTGGGGAATGGGGGTGGAGGTCTCAGGGAGTGCCAAGTGCTGCTGGGAACGGAAGACCTGGCGAATGAACTTGAAGAAGACAAAGGCGGGAAATAGGTCCCAGGGGAAAGGCCCCGGGGTCAGAGCGGACCACAAGTCCTGGTGAGTCAGGGCTCAGGAATGATGGAGGGGCTGGCAGAGTGACGTGGGTGCTGGGGGATGGGGCTTGAGAACCGTCAGACTGTGGAGAACAGTGTTCGAGGGGAAGGGGCCCCCAGTTTGCTGGGTCATCTCAGGGAGGCTGTCATCCCCATCTGTGCCTCACTGCTCCCCAGAGCCTGAGGCTCCGACCTTCAAAGAGGGACAACAGCAAACACTTACAGGGTGCCTACCCCGTGTTCCCAGCCCTGTCCCTCACTGAGCCCAGCGGGGTAGGTCACAGGGGCTCTTCTGACCATTCCATAGGTGGGAAAACTCGGGGCCAGGGTGGGCAAGGGATGGGGCCAAGGTCGCACAGCCCAGAAATGGCCAAGCTGGGATCTGAACCCGGGCCCAGGAGTCCAGACGCTGCGCTGTTAACCACAGCACTGCCCTGCCCCCAGAGAAAGGGGCTTTCAGCCTCTTCACATCCATCTCAGCAAGTTTTGTGGGTGACTCCAAAAATCTGTCCCCTATCCATCCACTTTGCCCCCCTCTATTACCCTTGCCTGGCCGGCCCCCATCAATTATTACCAGGACCTGGTCCTCAATTCCAGCCTCGCCCCCGTCTGTCTTCCCCAAAGCTGCCACCAGAGGGCACCAAGAGTCAGGTCCTGTCCCTCCTCTTCCCGCAGCCCTCCATGGCTCCCACCTCCCTGGGGGTCGAAGCTCAAATCCTCACTGCAGCCCACGAGGCCCTGCATGACTGGCCCCGTACTCTCCTTGCCCTTCCCTCCTCCCACTCTCCCCTCCACACTCTGCTGCAGCCATACGGGCCTACTTGGTGTTCCTCCAACACGCCAGGTGAGGTCCTGCCCCAGGGCCTTTGCACGGGCCGTGCCCTCTGCCTGAAGTGCTGCTTCCCAAGATCTCTGCATGACCAGCTCCTTCTCATCTTCCAGGTCTCAGCTCAAATGTCATCTCCTCAGAGACACCCTCCCCGACAGCCTCAGTGAACACAGCCCCGCCCTTCTCAGCCACTTGCAAGATAACTGTCTTCAGGGCACTGACTATACCTGATTTACCTTGCCCTTTCTCTAGTTAGTGTCTGTGCTCCCCTGTCCCCCCACCCAGCTGGGAATTCGACAAGGGCAGGATGCAGTAGTCTATGCCTTGGTCATTGCTGGGTCCGCGGCACCTGGCACTTAATAGGTGCTCACTAAACATCAGTCCACTTGTTAAATGCAAGCAATGCTCCCACAGCTCCAAATGAGATCATGGCCAGAAGCTCCACGTTTCTGCTTTGCAAGGTTGTTCCTTTTCTTGGAGTCAGAAACCCAACAGAACTATATGTGGCATTTTGCCTGCAACCTCTTGTTTAAATGGTCAACCCTAAGGGAGGCAGAACAGCAACCCCTGTTTTACCCATGGGGAAACTGAGGCTCAGAGAGGGGGCATGAGTGAGTGAGAGAAAAAACTGATTCAATCTCAAGTCAGTCTGATCCAAATGCTACGGCTGCCTATGAGGGCGATAATTCAGAATGGCTACTTCAGCTTCCCCAGGGGCTCTGAGTCCATGGCCTTCAGGGGAGGGAGGTTCTTCTGCAATCATCAGAAAACATATGGCTGCCCCCTAGTGAACTCCTAAACATCCATCATGGCCCTAGCTACAGTGCCCCTTCCTGGTACATCTTCCCTGATCCATGAGGCAGGGTACAGCTTTCCCTAGCCCCAGTTGCTCCCTCTGCCCTAGCCCTGAACCTGTGTAGCACGGGTGGCCAGTGCCTGCCCCTGTTTCTCTTCCTCTGGCCTGGAAGCCCCTCCAACTAGACAGAGGAGTTAAAGTTACCTCTCTGGGATCCTAGCATCACCCAGCACAGGACACAGCACATGGGGACCACTGGCAGCATTTGTTGACTGACTGAGGGACCTAATTGCCTGGAACCAGGCCCACCTGGGAACCCACAATCCTCCTCTGGGTTCCTGTATTTGGGAAGCTCCCTCCTAGGTCCGCCCTTGGAAGGCTGGCTTAGCTGGGCCATGGTGCATCCTGGGAAATGTAGTCTAGAGTGGGCCTTGCCTCCCAGTGGGGCCCTGGGGTGGCCAGCTTTGGACCCTGGGGCCAGATAGAGAAGGAGCATTGAGGGTGGCAAGTAGTAGGGCCCCATGTCCCTGCCAAAGAGTCCTAAGGGTGGTCCCCAGCCTCCCAAGTCTCTTACTTTTTCTTTTTCCTTTTTTTTTTTTTGACGGGGTCTTGCTCCGTCCCCCAGGCTGGAGTGTAGTGGCGTGATCTCAGCTCCTTGCAACCTCTGCCTGCTGGGTTCAAGCGATTCTCCTGCCTCAGCCTCCTGAGTAGCTGGGATTACAGGCGTGAGCCACCACGCCCAGCTAATTTTTGTATTTTTAGTAGAGACGGGGTTTCGCCATGTTGGCCAGGCTGGTCTTGAACTCCTGGCCTTAAGTGATCCTCCCGCCTCGGTCTCCCAAAGTGCTGGGATCACAGGCGTGAGCCACCGCCACTGTCTTACTTGTCCTAATGTCTGCCACTTCACCTGGATGTCCCTGGAGGAGAGGTGATGAAGGACCGTGATAACGAAAAAGGATTGCGTGCCTGGGTTCCTATGGTCACACACCCGACCCCAGCACCACCATGCATGATGGTGAGGGTGTCTAGGGTGAAGGGTCTGTTTTGGGATAATTCAGCCAAAGGACATGGGGCCGGTGGCTGGGGCCTGAATCCTGGGCTGCTTTGAGCCTTAGTTTCCCTACTGCTGCTACATGAAGACAGGGAGGGAAGAAATGCACGACCATGGCCAAGAGAAAGCCACAGCCCAACCAAATCACGGCTGGGTTTTGGAGGAGTCACAGTATGAGAGCCCACAACCCCTTAAATACCTGAGACTCTCAGAACCTGCTATCTCAAACACGACAGCAGTTCAGAAAACCCACAGTACCTGGAAATTGAAAAAAAAAAATCCAGGAGATCACTTGGGGCTGACCAATATCAGGATTATTTATCCAGGATTCTGCAAAGACAGCCGTCCAACCCCTCTGGCCTGCCTCCCACGAGGGGCGGCTCACCACTCCTTCCAGCAATGCATTTGGTTTCCAAGGAGCCTGTCTCCTCGTAGCTACCCTTCCTCAAGATCTGAAATGTGACTCATGCCCCTCCCCCTGCTCTATAACCTTCCATGGCTCCCCATTGCCCTTGGGATAAAGTTTGCTCCTTGGCTTGGCATTCAAGGCTACTGCCTACCTCATGGTCCTCTTAAATAGTCTAGCCACTCAGGGCTCCTCCAACATACCCCACTGTGATGATCCTTGCTGTTCCCTCTGCCTGCAATGCCTGTCCCCCTCTCCTCCAGGCAGAATCCTTCTCCTTCAAGCCCAGTCCCAGTACTCCCTCCTCCAGGCAGCTTTCCCTGCTCCCACCTGTCCTGACCACTGCCCTGGAAGTTTCTCCCTCCAGCATCTCCCTTTCCGGGCCCACAGGACAGGGCCACGCCCAGGGTCAGCTCGGGACACCTTCCTTCCCAGGAGACGGGCGGTGACCAGCAACATCCTTCAGTCCCCAGGGATCCAGCTCACCTGTCCTGCAGGCTGACGTCATGGTCACCTTTCCAAGGGCAGTTTGATTTCTATCTTCCAGGCCCAGTCCTGGTAACCCCAGCAAACTCCGGCTGCCAGCCTGGTGTGGCCACTGCAGAGGACATGCCACATCTCCAGCCCCTTCTATGCCCATCGGTCAGAGGCGAGGACTGAGGTCTCAGGGGGAAAGGCCCCTCCTGGGGGGACTGGATACCTAGGCTTGGAGACAACTCACTTCAAAGCAGAGAAGGTGACACAGACCCTAAGATCCTGTGGGGGCTCAGCCCCAGCCGAGTCTGGTGGGGGAACCAGAGGCAAAATGGGGCAGGCACAGATCAAGACAGTCTCAAGCGACCCCTCTCTGCCTCACCTCCCCCAACTCCAGTCCAAAACCAAAGCGCATCTCCTGGGGAGACTGAAGCCCAGAAAGGACTAGGGACCAGCCTGAGGCCACACAGCTAAGCGCCTCCTCTCAAAGCTCCTGCATAGCCCAGAGTCAAGGGGAAGAAGGGAGGAGCAGAGCTTCAGGGCAACCCTTAGGAGGAGCTGGGATGCAGGAGAGCTCTTGGGTTTCAACGGCTTCCTCGGGCCTCAGTTTCCCCACCTGCTGTTGGGATGGGCCGGTTCAGAACAGACAAGAGGCTGACGCCAGGCTGCCACCTACCCAATATCCGAGGCGTCTCTGTGTGGGTGGCAGTGACTCCCAGACAACTTCCCGGAGAGTTTAAGACCCCCTCCCAGGTGAGTTCCAACTCAGCCTTGGCCCCAGCCGTTCCCCACCACCCACCCCACAACCTGTGCTCTCCCTATGTAGAGTTTAAAGCAATTGTTCAGGTACATCCTGAAGTCCCGCGCCTGAAAGAAACTGGTCTCCCGGGATGTGGGAAAGGGTTTGGGGGCAAGGGGGATGCCCCAGGGGTCCTGAATTTTTATTTTGGAGAGGGAATTTGGACCTTCTCACAAGCTGAAGGAACACAGAAAAACAGAAATGCAATTTTACAAATGGGGCAGGGGCCCCCTTCAGTCACCATAGCCATGAGTCCCTCTCTCCCTCCTCCCTCCTTAAACCCAAACCCAGAACCCCAAAGCCTCAGAGCACCCCAGTAACTCCAAGTCCCCGTTCCGCTCCAGTCTAGGGGTCAAAGATGACAGCCTCAGGTAGAGGATGTCAAAGACCTCAGCGAGAGAGAGAGGGCCACATGGCGGCGGGGGTGAGGGTCTGCGAATCCCTCCCCCAACCCCAGGACTCTTGCAAACGCTCCTAGCTCCAGCATTAACCCGGCCGGGGCAGAGGTGGGGGTTCATGACAGTAGCGCCCCCTCTGGGAGATGCCCCAAACTCGGAGAGCGCCCAGAGGCGGAGAGCAGGAGAGGAGGGCACGTGACCCCCACCCCGGGGACCAATCAGCGCCCGCGGGAGGGGGCCACACTCGGCGCCCCCCACCCATCCCGGCGCGCTTGGAGATAGACGTTTTCTTTGTCCTTTTGTCAGCTCTTGGGGGCCCCCGAACCCCCAGGCCCCCACTGCAGCGGGGGGGATCCGGACCGGCCGGCCCTCCCCTCCAACACCACTGCGACCCCTGCCCCGCGGCCTGGACCCGCGACTCGTCCTGTTCTGGGCTGGACAGGAGGCCGGAGAGGACTCGGGCGCCCAAGGTGCGGCGGCCGGACGCGAAGTGGGGCGGAGGGGCCTCCCAGTGCCAGGACCCCCACACCAGCCCCGGGTCGCCTCGACTTGGCTCTCAGGACCCCGCCCCCCAACGCCACCCCCAACCCCCGACCAACAGGCCCCCTGCCTGCCCCGAACCCCCCACCTGGGCCCCAATCCAGCTCCCCAGCGGCGCAGCCGCGAGCCTCATTATTGTGTCTTCTCCGGGCCCCCCCAGGACAAAATCTCCACCCGCTGCGGTGCCGACAGAACCCCCAACCTAGCTGCACATACAGGCCCCCAGTCAACAATCCAAGCGCCCCCCCCACGTTGCGGTGCCATTAGACACCCCCATAATGGAGGCTCAGGGAGCGCCCCAGGCCAAAATCCAGCCCCTCCAAAGCGATGCCACCGGACCCCCACCGGATCCCTCCATACGGCCAGCGACCCCCTCTCCAATCCGGTCCCCTCCCCAGTTGTGTGGCTGAGAGATTCCCCCCCTCGTTCTAGCGCTCCCCAAACCCCCTCCCTGGCTCCAAATCCGTCCCCTCCCAGTGGCAGGGCCCGCAGGCCCCCCAGTCCTAGCGCCTGACCTGGCCACCCCAGCCAGCCTTTCGGTCCCCCCAGCTGCGTGCCGACAGACGCCCCCATCCCCGCGCCTCCCCCAACCCCCTCCGCAGACGCCCCGGGGCGCTTACCTCGGAGCCGCGGCCGCCGCGAGTGCGCGGGCGGGAGGCGCGAGGGCGGGAGGGCGCGGGCTGGGGGGGTCCGTGCGCGCACCTGTCCCGGCCGGGCCGCTCAGCCCGGCATCCCCGGCTGGGGAGGGGGGCTGGGGGCGCGCGCTCTCCCCGCCCCCGGGCCCACGGCGCTGCGCTGGGGGAGGGGGCTCAGCCCCGGCCCCCCGCGCGCTGGCGTCGGCTCCGGGGGGGGCGCTGCGCGGCGGCCGGACCGGGGGCGCGCCGCGGCCGCATCTCCTCCGCCCGCCGCGGCCGCCGCTGCGACTCGCGGCTCTGCCACCTCCGCCCCCCCTTTCCAGCAACCCCCCACCTCCCCAAAGCCGGGCTGGAGCCGCGCAAAACCCGGCCCGGAGCAACCGCGGCGCGGAGCGGAGGGCGGAGCCGGTGGGTGGCGTTTGGGTGAGTTGTGGGGGAGGCCCAAGGGGGTCACCCTGCTTTGGTCCAGGTGGTGGACTTATTAATTGAGCCGCCCCAACTTCCTCTCCTGGTCCCCTCTGTTCAAACTCGCATCCCCAGGATCCAGCCCCAATCACACCCAGCCCATGGGGTCAATGAGGCTGTCAGGAACCCTACGGTCTGGGTGGCCCCCTTCATAGACGAGATCATTTCTTCAATCCACAAGTATTCCATTTAGCAACATTCACTCGACACTTCAGGAAACTGAGGCACAGGGAGGTCTTGTCCAAGGTCACCCAGTTAGAGAGCGTCAGGGGGTTTTCGACCTGAGCAAACCGGCTGCAGAGATCTCCATGGTTCACGACTCCCGGACCTGCCCCTCTGTCGCCAGCGCCCTGTGGGACGTGGCCCAGAAAGGAGTTTTTCGAGGACTGCAGGTTCCCCCATGAATTTGAGACCCCAGGACAGAGCCTAGAGGTTTCAGAGACCTTCCTGTAACCCTCCTGACCCTTCGAATGAATTCAGGACAGCAGGGGCTGCTCTCCATGCCTCAGTGCCCCTCCCTGTCCAAAGTACCTCCCCATGTGGATGTGATCCTGTACGTCTCCCCCACTGGACTGAGTGCTGTCCTGGTCGCTCTGGCCTCTCTCCATACAGTAGATGCTCTGTAAACACTTATTTTTTCTTGTCTTTTCTGTTTTTCTTATCTTTTTCTTTCTTTCTTTGAGATGGAGTCTTGCTCTGTCACCCAGGCTACAGTGCAGTGGCATGATCTTGACTCAGTGCAGCCTCCGCCTCCCGGGTTCAAGCAGTTCTCCTGCCTCAGCCTCCTAAGTAGCTGGGATTACAGGCAACTGCCACCATGCCTGGCTAATTTTTGTATTTTTAGTAGAGATGGGCTTTCATCATGTTGGCCAGGCTGGTCTCGAACTCCTGACCTCAGGTGATCCGCCCGCCTCGGCCTCCCAAAGTGCTGGGATTACAGGCATGAGTCACCGCGCCCGGCCTCTTTTCTGTTTTTCTATAATTTAGATAGATAATAGAGAAATGGGGGAGAGAGAGGATAGATGATTTTTTTAAAAATTGTTATTATTATTTGTAGAGACCGGGGCTTGCTACATTGCCCAGGCTGGTCTTGAACTACTGGCCTCAAGCGATCCTCCCACCTTGGCCTCCCAAAGTGCTGGGATTATAGGCATGAGCCACTGAGACCAGCCAACACTTTGTTGTTATGTAGCTTGTGACTTTTCTTGCACACTTACTGAGTGCTGGGGCCACTATGCCCCATCCCTGGCTCCGTGCCATCCAGGGGGTCCAGACAGGTTGTGCACTGGCTTCCAGCAGCCACTCAGTGGGGACTGGGTATCAGGACTTGAACCCCGCTCCCCAGGCCACCCACGGCAATCTGCAGGCTCCCTGGCACCCATGGAGACAGCCCAGGTCTTCCAGTTCCTGGGCATGTTCCCAGGGCCATCCTGGTGACCACAAACCTCCGGGAGCAGCCAGGCCTTCCTGCCCGTGGTTTTGCCCTTCCCGCCTTCCGGCCGCCCCAGCATCCCAGGCAAATCAGCCAAGGCACCTGCTGGTGTCCAGCCCCCACCCCGCCCCGTGTCCTGCCCGCTGGGGGCCACTGAGGCCTGCTCCACAAGGGAGGGGGCCGAGCCCCAGCTCCAAGGCTTGGGGTCTAGAATCTGCGTCCTCCCACCTACACTCCCTTCCCTGCGCTGTGCCCAGCCCCTGGCATCCCCTCCCTCCCCTGCCTTCTTGGCTGTGCCCAGCTGGGTACTTCTGCACCCTAGTCATTCAGCAAACATTTATTGAGCACCTACTGTGTACCAGATACTGGACTGAGCTGTCAACAAGACAAATCTGCCCTGTGCCTTTTGTCTAGCCTGGGGATACAGAAACCAGTGGGCACAGAACTGCAGGCTGAGACAGACTGGCTGGAGGTCCAGGAGGACCTCGAGGAGGTGGCATGGAGGCCTTAGAGGGACCATAGATCCAAGCAGGGGGGTGGGGGTAGGGGTGTGCGGGGAGGGCGTTCTAGGCAGAGAGACCTCGGGGACAAAGGCCTTGAGGGAGGCCCCACCCCCACCGGTGGCTCAGCTGCCACCCAGGCTTCTGCGACCATGAATGGGTCTTTCATGTCCTGGACCGGGGCAAGGTCAGGCCGGGCCTCTCCCTCCTCCCGCCCAGGGCTCCTGGCTGTCTGAGCCCTGACCTGGAGGACAGTGGCAGGATGGGCCAGGGAGGCCCAGGGAGGGGCAGGGCATCGCCCGAGGTCACCAGAGCCAGCAGCGCCCTCCCAGCCGTGGGATTCTGAGCAAAGCCCCGCCCCGCTGGGCCTCAGTTTCCCCGGCCTGGGCGGGCGCGTTGGCAGCGCAGCGCTCCCGTCCTGCTCCGACCGGGTGGATTCCAGTGCGGGTTTTGCGGGCGCCCGCGGCCACCGACACCTTCTTCCCAGTGCGGCCCGGGCTGCGGCCCCGGGTCCGAGGAGGCCCGGGGAGACCCGGAGGAGGTCAGAAGGCCTTCAGGGTCCCCGGGATGGGGTGAGGCTGAGCTCGGCCCCTTACTGCCGGCGCCTGCCAGGAAGGGAAGCCCCGCCCCAATGCCTGCGCGCCCCCATCAGGACCACTAGCCTCGTCGCCCCGCTGTGTGACTCCCGGGGGTCCCTGGCCCTCTCTGGGCCGAGCTGTAGTCAGGCTCACGGGCAGCCGCTCAGAGAGGTCGCCTGGGTCCCATCCCTTCCCCAAATGGCCCCCCGCCTCAGTTTCCCCGGCCAGGTGCAGGCTCTCTTTAACCCCAGGTTGGGGGGTCCTCGCTGCTAGGTTGCACCCCGGGTCTCCGCTCAGGCCAGGGAATCCCCTGGGGGCTCCGAACGGGCAGCTCCGATTGGCTGGGGCCACGTGTGACGTCAGAGCCTCCCCAACGCCCCCTCCCCTAGAGGCAAGTGGGGGCGGTCGCGGCCGGGGAGGGGTCCCGGGTCCGAGCGGATTCGGGGTGTCCCCCCAGCTCAAGTCGGCAGCTGGGCCGCGCAGACGCGATTCTCCTCGGACAGATTTTTCCCTCGTCCCAAATCCCCCTCCGGCCCCCCCCAGAACGGCAGCTGCTCAGGCGGCAGATGCGCCGGCTAAATCCGCCCAGCTGGTCCTCCGCGGAGCTAACCGCCTGGAGCCCCGGGGCTGGGGGAGTGCTGGCCGCATGGTCCTGACCCTTCCTCGCTCCCTGTTCTTTGACCCCTGACTCTTCGCGGAAAGGGGCCGGGATTCTGTTGAGGACACTTTCTCAACCTCCAGTTCCCTCCTGGAGCTGCTGAGAGGATTTGGGGGAGTCTGGCGCCCAGAGAGGGTGGAGCCCTTTCCAAAAACCACACAGCATCCCTGGGCGTGCTGTCCAAAATATGCCCTGTATTGCGCATATATTAATAATTATGATGATGACTTAACATATTAGGCCTCTGCTATATGCACCCCCACGATTCTAGGACTATTATGCTATTACTCCATTTTCAAAGGTGGAAACTGAGACCCAGAGAGCCGTGACTTGACTGATCCCACAGCCAGGAAATGGTGGAGCCTGGATTTGAACCCCAGCTTTTAAGAAGAAGGTGCCACTGTCCTGGAAGAACTCTCAGGACAGCATTAGTGTCTCAGGGATCCCCCTAATCGGAGGGGCCTTAAGGCAAGTGAGTGTGACCTGGGGTGAGTGAGTGGGGTCTCTTAGACCTCTTCCCTGCCCCCTGCCTGGTGCCCCTGAGCCTGACACAGACTGCCTCCCTGCCTTGCTTTTTCAGCCTAATCATGATTGTCACTGAAGATCCAGGAGGGCTTCCTGGAGGAGGAGGCAGCTCCATTCTGAAATGCCAAGGGTACAGCTTTATTGGGACAGCCAGTGTCTCTGAATATGTAGGTTTTGCACAGAGCTTGTACTGCCCCAGGGCCTGTACACTGCCTGTCCCCTCTGCCTTGTGCACTCTTTCCCTAGATGTCCAAATGGCTCCTTTCCTCACCTACCCCAAATCTCAATTCCAGTGTTTCCCCAGCCTCCCCTCATTTCAGTAATCACTCTGCAGTGAGCTAGGATTGCGCCACTGCACTCCAGCTTGGATAAGAGAACAAGACCCTGTCTCTTAACTAAATACATAAATAAAAATAATTCCCCTCTTCATCCCTCTTTACCCTGTTTTGATGGTTTTGTTCAACTTTTCACCAATAGGACTTTCTCTTATGCATTTACTCGTTTCTCTTCCAATCCCTCCCCAAGACAGTCAAGTTCCCAAGTCTGTCCAGGACTCCACTGTGTCACGAGGCTTAAAACAGAGCCAAGCACACAGTAAGCACTCAACACATGTGGTGAATGAATGAACGAATGAAGGAGTGAATGAGTGGGAGTCTGAGATTTCAACAGGGCTTGCCTTCATTGTATCAAAGGGGAAACTGAGGCCCATTGATCAGAGAGTGAGACCAGAGTCACTTATTTTTCTCTTTAGCAAAATAGGACATAATGGTGACCACCTCCCCAGTATGCAGCAGGGGTATCCAGGGAAATAATAATGTCGGAAGCACTTATTAAGCACCTACTGTGTGCACTGCACAGCTCCAGGTGCTTTGCGCATTTCGAATGGAGACAAGGACTCCAACCCAGAACCCAGGACGCCTGGTCCCATGGTCAGCCTGAGTTCCCTACACCTCACTGCTTCCCTCTCATTGAGAGAGGGGTTATATATGCAAGCTCCGGGTGCACAGGAGACCTTCAGCCAGGGAGGCAGTGGTCCCCACTGTGTCTGAGGCCCCCTCTGCAGCCCCGCAGACCCTGGGCCCGAGGTTCAGGCTGTGTGTCTGGCTGGAGCTAACAGCACCATGCCTGCACGCAGGAAACATTAAATTAGAGACGGAAGCAGCAGGACCTGCGCCTGATTTATAAATTGAAATTAGAGCAATTACAAGGCTTCCTCCTTCTCAGAAACTGAGAAATCCCCCAGAAAGGCCCATGTGTGTCCTGGGTTGGCCCAGAACCCCCTCCCCCAAGGCATCATCTGCATATGATGTAGTGACAAATGAGGCAGTGGCATCCTGGTCTCCAAAACAAGGAATTTGTGGGTGGAGCGAGGGTGTCCAGGGACCTTCAACCTCCCTGGGGTCTGTCCTTGGGTATAGATAGGAAACTGAGGCATGGGAGGTGAGTGTCATTTGGGCAGGGGCAGGTGTCACATTCTCCGCTTTCAAAATCTCCCCTCTGGCCTGGTGCGGTGGCTCATGCCTGTAATCCTAGCACTTTGGGAGGCCAAGGAGGGCGGATTGCCCGAGCTCAGGAATTCGAGACCAGCCAGGGTAACAGCAAAAGCTCATCTCTACTAAAAACACAAAAAATCAGCCGGGTGTGGTGGTGCATGCCTGTAATTCCAACTACTCGGGAGGCTGAGGCAAGAGAATCCCTTGAACCCGGGAGACGGAGGTTTCAGTGAGCCGAGATGATCGTGCCACTGCACTCCAGCCTGGGAAACAAAGCAAGACTCTATCTCAAAAAATAAAAAAATAAAAAATAAATCTCCCTTCCCCTAGATCTCCCTTCCCCTAGGCTTCCCATTCCAGCCTAGTGAGCACACCCAGCTCACTCCTGCCTCGGGGCCTTGGCACTTGCTGTTCCCACTGCCTGGAAGCTGTTCCCCACCAACGTTCCCTTCTCTGAGAGGCCTTCCCTGATCATCCCAAGTTGGAGAGGATGGCTCTTTTCCACCCACTGTTTTCTTTTCTCTAAAATCAGTGATGGGATAGTGAGCTGCCTGTCAAGAGAGGCAAGCAAGCAGACAGTGGAGTGGATGTGATCTCTGCAGCTCACACACTGGCGTCCATCCCCTAGCTTTACCACTCACCAGCTGTGAACAAGTTGTTTAACATGAGAACATTCCAAAAGATGCCGGGGCCTAGGACGGACGCCATGGCTCATGCCTGTAATCCCAGCACTTTGGGAGGCTGAGGTGGGTGGATCGCCTGAGGTCAGGAGTTTGAGACCAGCCTGGCCAACATGGTGAAACCCTGTCTCTACTAAAAAATATATAAAAATTAGCTGGACGTGGTGGTGCGTGCCTGTAATCCCATCTACTTGGGAGGCTGAGGCACGAGAATGGCTTGAACCTGGGAGGCAGATGTTGCACTGAGCCGAGATCATGCCGCTGTACTCCAGCCTGGGCGATAGAGCGAGACTCTGTCCCCCCATTAAAAAAAAAAAATGCTGGAGCCTGTCACATAGTTGGTGCTTAATAAAGATAAGTAGTCTTCTCCATGGGAGGTCCTGAGATTCTTGTTTCTTCCTCTTGGTGATTTTTCCTAATCTTCCTCCTCTCTTGGAAGCTGTGGGAAGGAGCTTTGATGCCGTTACATTTGCGTAGGGCATTGTCAAAAGAGAAATAAAAACAGATGACCAGAACAGATCCTGGCACCCGTGTTCACAGCAGCAAAAGGGCAGAAGCAAACCGACTGCCAATGAGCAGATACATGGATCAACATAAGGGGGTCCATGGACACGGTGAAATATGACTCAGCCATCACAGGCTTCAGATGTGGATGCATCTTGAGGACGTCAGACTCAGTGAAGTAAGCCAGACGCAGAAGGCCAAATCCAGTGTGGTTCCACTCCTAGAAGGTCCCTGGAGTCATCAGATTCATAGAGACAGAAAGTAGATGGGGAGTGCCAGGGACTGGGGAGTGGGTGGGGAGTGAGTGTTTCTTGGGGACAGTTTCAGATTGGGAAAAGGAGAAAGTTCCGGAGAGGATGGCGGTGATGGTTGCACAACCACGTGAATGTGCTTAATGCCGCTGAACTGTGCACTTAGAAATTGTTAAAATGCTGATTTTTCTGTGATGTGTGTTTTACCACATTTTTTCTTTCTTCTTTTTTGAGACGGAGTCTCGCTCTGTCCCCCAGGCTGGAGTGCAGTGGCACGATCTCGGCTCACTGCAAACTCCGCCTCCCGGGTTCACGCCATTCTCCTGCCTCAGTCTCCTGAGTAGCTGGGACTACAGGCGCCCGCCACTGCGCCTGGCTAATTTTTTGTATTTTTAGTGGAGACAGGGTTTCACCGTGTTAGCCAGGATAGTCTCGATCTCTTGACCTCGTGATCCGCCCCCCTCAGCCTCCCAAAGTGCTGGGATTACAGGAGTGAGCCACCGCGCCTGGCCCACATTTTTTCTTTAAAGATAGAAAGAAAACCAGAACTGGTATGCAGAAAGGGTGGCAAGATCCAAGCACAGAAAACAAATGTATTAAAAAATACAATATGGTTGGGCGTGGTGGCTCACGCCTGTAATCCCAGCACTTTGGGAGGCCGAGGCAGGCGGATCACCTGAGGTCAGGAGTTCGAGACCAGCCTGGCCTACATGGCGAAACCCCGTCTATACTAAAAATACAAAAATTAGCCGGGTGTGGTGGTGGGAGCCTGTAATCCCAGGTACTCGGGAGGCTGAGGCAGGAGAATCACTTGAACCCGGGAGGTGGAGGTTGCAGTGAGCCGAGAGACTCCGTCTCAAAAAAACAAAACAACAAAAAATTAGCCAGACATGGTGGCAGGTGCCTGTAATCCCAGCTACTTGGGAGGCAGAAGTAGGAGAATCACTTCAATCCAGGAGGCAGAGATTGCAGTGAGTCAAGATCACGCCATTGCATTCCGGCCTGGGCAGCAGAATGAGACTCTGCCTCAAAAATAAATAAATACATAAATAAAAATAATAGCAACAGCAGAAACAGGCAGTGACGGTGGAGGGTGTGTGTGTGAATGACCTCAGCTAGTGGCAGTTCGTCATTGCCACTAAGGCCAGCCACACAGGTGACACTGACAGTGTGCAGAGAGGCCATCAAGGGTGTCGAGCTCAGATCACACCCTTCCCTCCCCACCAGGGGGCCTGCTCAGCGTCCACTACAAAACCTCCGACACCTTCAGGAAGCAGAACTGAGCCTCGGGGGTCTTGCCCCTTGCTGGCCTATTTTTCAGCTAACTTTATTGAGCACCTACTGTGTACCAGGCTCTACTAGGCAGTGCTGGGGACACAGTGGCTGAGCAAGACACAAATGGACCCTCATCTTGGCAGAGTTCAGAGATCAGAGGCGAGGATTCACTCATTTTATTTTAGTTTTTAGAGATACAGTCTCACTCTGTGGCCCTGGGCTGGAGCGTGGTGGCCTGATCATAGCTCACTGCAGCCTCCAACTCCCAGGCTCAAGGGATCCTCCCACCTCAGCCTCCCCAGAGTGCTGGGATTGCAGGCATGAGCCACCACGCCTGGCCTAGCAGAAAGATTTTAAACAGGTAGTCAGGGAAGGCTTCACTGAGGAGGTGATATGTGAGCAGAGACTTGAAGAAGAGGGGGTAGAAAATCATGCAGCGGCTGGGCAAAGTGGCTCATGCCTATAATCCCAACACTTTGGGAACCTGAGGCGGGCAGATCACTTGAGGTCAGGAGTTCAAGGCCAGCCTGGCCAACATGGTAAAACCCTGTCTCTACTAAAAATACAAAAATTAGCCAGGCGTCATGGCACACACCTGTAATCCCAGCTACTCAGGAGGCTGAGGCAGGAGAATCACTTGAACCTGGGAGGCGGAGGTTGCAGTGAGCAGAGATCATATGTCTAAAATCTTATTGCCAGCCTGGGCAACAGAGCTGTCTCAATAAATAAATAAAAAATCATGCAGGTACCTAGGGAAAGAGTGTAGTAGGTGGGCGGGCACAGCCCTGTGCAAAGGTCCTGGGGCAGGACCGTGCCTGGCATGTTGGAGGAACAACGAGGAGGCCCGTGTGGCTGGAACAGAGTGAGGAATGGGAGGAAGGGAGGGCAGGCAGGTAAGGGGGCTTTTGGAATTAATTCAGCTCCTCTAGGGCGCCAAGCTCTACCCTGCCTCAGGGCCTTTGCACGGGCTGTTCTCTCCTCCTGGCCTTCTGCCTCCCTCTCCCCCCAGGTTGACCTGGTCAACCCGTCCTCCTTCATTCCCAAGGTAAATGTCTCAGTTTGAATCCCACACACCCGACTGGGAGCCCAAGGACCGGGCCCAGAACTGTCCAGGCCAAGGTGATGTCCAGCACTGCCCAACATAGAGTTGGCATACAGTAGGCACTCAATAAGTGTCTGGTAAGGTTCAGGAGATTGTCAGGGAAGCCTCCCTGCCCCTGCCCTGCAATGATGGTGAGGCTGGTGGCCCTCCCTTATCTGGACTCAGTTTTCCCTTCCAGAAGATTCCAAAGGCTGCGTCCAGGATGGAGATGGGAAGGTCGCTCCTCTACTCCAAAAGCATGGTGGGGGACAGGTCCCTCTGTAGTCCGTCCCCAGCCTGCTCTGCGACTGCAGGGGGAACCTGCCTTGCCCTCTCTCCTCACCCCTCCAGGCCTCTCTCCTTTCGTCTCCGTCTCTAGGTCCATCTCACCGCCTGCTTCCTCATCTCTCAATCTTGCTCTCTCACTGTCTCTGTCTCAGTCTTTCCCCTGGGTCTCCAGTTTTCTATCCCCCCATCCCCGTCCCCACCCCAGGGTCTAGAGATCTGCTCATCTTTGGGCAAAGCCTGGAGGCCAGGAAGGAGGAGGGGGTAGGGGAAGTTCCAGATGCTCCTCAACCCTCACCCGCCTAAGTGTGGGTGGGTCCCCAAGGAACCTGGGCTGAGACAGCTCTACCCCCTCCCCAGCTTCTTCGGGGATCCCCAAGGCCAGTGGGGAATTTCTAGGGAGAAATAAACATCCGTATCATTTACATAAAATCTGCATCAATTAGCATATCGATTACAAGAGTCTACAGAACCAGGCAAGCCGTTTGCAAGGAAAATAGTAACTTTAATGACAAATGAGGCCAGCAGCTTCTCCATGGAAGCGACTTGTCACACTTCCACCCTGCTTTACAGGTGGGAAAACCGTGGAGGTGAGTTCTAGACAGAGAGAGGGAGATAATCTAGGTGGGCAGGGTCTCTGCCCTCTCCAGGCATTTGCAGATAGATAATGAGGAAACAAGTAATTGGCTAAAATGATTTCAGATTATTATAAGGACCAGGAAGAAAAGAAATGAAGGAGGCCAGGTGCGGTGGTGGCTCACGCCTGTTATCCCAGCACTTAGGGAGGCCAAGGCGGGTGGATCACCTGAGGTCAGGAGTTCGAGACCAGCCTGGCCAACATGGCAAAACCCCGACTCTATTAAAAATACAAAAAATTAGCCAGGCATGGTGGCATGCACCTGTAATCCCAGCTACTTGGGAGACTGAGGCAGGAGAATCATTTGAACCTGGGATATGGAGGCTGCAGTGAGCCAAGGTCATGCCACTGCACTCCAGCCTGGGCAGCAGTGAGACTCCGTCTCAAAAATAAAATAAAATAAAAAATAAAACAAAATTGCCAGGCACGGTGGCATGTGCCTGTGGTACCCGCTGCTCAGGAAGCTGAGGCAGGAGGATTGCTTGAGCCAGGGAGGTTGAGGCTGCAGTGAGCTGTAGTGACACCACTGCACTCCAGCCTGGATGACAGAGCGAGACCCTGTCTCAAAAAAAAAAAAAAAAAGGAAAATTTAAAAAGAGAAAATGAAGGGCAGCGATTCTCTGGGGGCATCAGGGAGGGCCTCTCTGAGGAGGTGACATTGAGCTGAGACCTGAAGGAGGAGTAGGGGCCAGATGGGGAGGAAATATATATATATGAAGAGCGAAGAATGAAGGAGGACTCCAAACTCTTTCCCTTCCATCCCCCTCGCCACCTGTTCTTCACCCTCTCCAATCATTCCCATCATCCTTTGGGCTCAGCTCATATCATCTCCTCCAGGAAGCTCTCCTTGACTGCCCCAACTAAGTCAGCCTTGTTCCTGCCAGCTTCCCAGAGCCCAGCACAGGGCAGAAGCCCTACACGTTCCCCAGGAGATGGAAAGAAGATTCCCTGGTTCTGGGGACTGAAGATTTTGACAAGCTGGTAATGCGCACCTCTGGTCAGAACCACGTCTGCAGAGGAAAGACCCAGCCATATCCCTCTTTTCTCAGCTGCCTGGTAGGGGAGGAGAGGGCAGAGGAGGTTGAGTTTCTTGGGGAAAACTGGGGTGCCATCAGCTGTTCCCCTCCACTGCCTTCCTGTAGGGGGTCCCTGGGGTTGAGGGCTTCAGCCCAGCTCCTGGGGTGGGAACCCAGCCAGGAAAGATCTGGAGTGGGAGAGAAGGAAGACTGGGAGGGGCCAGGAAAGTGTCTATTTTTCCTCCTGCAGCTGTATTTATAGATTCCCTTTGATGTCCCAGCGTTGGGCTGACCTGGTTCTTGGCTGCATCAGGAGAAAGACAGGTTCTCAGAGTTGTTTCTAGAAGTTGGGCGGGCGGTGGGAGGGTGGGTCCTCAAATGAGGAGAGCTAGGTATGCAACAACTGGACCCCTGAGCTTGGAGGGGGTCTGGGATGGGGGGAGGCAAGGAGCTGGCCTCAGTTTCCCTGTTTGCAAAATGGGGATTTACATGTCTCTTCCAGGTTCTGTTCAGTTAAAGAGAAGAGAAACTTAAAAAAAAAAAAAAGACATATATAGTTCTCAAAAAGTTGAGACTGGGCAACATAGCAAGACCCCTATCTCTACAAAAAAAATTTTGAAAAAAATTAACAGGGCATGGTGGTGCTTGCTTTTAGTCCCAGCTACTCGGGAGGCTGAGGCAGGAGGCTTGCTTGAGCCCAGGAATTGGAGGTTGCAGTGAGCTATGATTGCACCACTGCATTCTAGCCTGGGCAACAGAGCAAGGCCCCGTCTCTAAAAATAAAGAAAGAAAGAAAAGAAATGCTGAAAACTTGAGTCACCCAAACGTCAAGTAAGCACATGTCCATGATTCATTAGCTCATTACTCAGGGAACCAATAAAATGTTGAGGCTGGTTCTAAGAGTATTTGAGGAACTAGGTATCTACGGAGATTTTTTTTTTTTTTTGAGATGGAGTTTTACTCTTGTTGCCAGGCTGGAGTGCAATGGCGCGGTCTCAGCTCACTGCAACCTCCGCCTCCCTGGTTCAAGCAATTCTCCTGCCTCAGCCTCCCAAGTAGCTGGGATTACAGGCACCCACCACCATGCCTGGCTAATTTTTTGTATTTTTATTAGAGATGGGGTTTCACCGTGTTGGCCAGGCTGGTCTGGAACTCCTGACCTCAGGTGATCTGCCCACCTCAGCCTCCTAAAGTGCTGGGATTACAGGCGTGCGCCACCACGCCCAACTAATTTTGTATATTTAGTAGAGATGGGGTTTCACCATGTTAGCCAGGCTGATCTCGAACTCCTGACCTCAGGTAATCTGCCCACCTCAGTCTCCCAAAGTGCCGGGATTACAGGCATGAGCCACCGCGCCCAGACCGAGATTGTTTTTTTTTTTAAGGTGGAATGTTAGATTAAGATCAGGCTAGATACAAACGAATTAATGGTCTATATTTCAGTAAAGCCCTAGTTGGGGTTCTCTTTTCTACCAGACAGACAGAAATGATCAAGTTAACTGTAACTTCGCAGGGCCTGAGCTCTCATCACATGGCCAAGTCATAGACAAGCACATGCTCCCACAGCAAGGTTCCAACAGAACTTCCTGCAGTGAAAGAGGCGTTTGAAATCTGTGCTAACACAGTAGTCAGCAGCCATGTGGCTATTCAGCGCTTACATGGTGACTTGAGGCTGAGTGCAGTGGCTCACGGCTGTAATTCCTGCACTTTCAGAGGCCGAGGTGGGTTGGGGGATGGCTTGAGCCCAGGAGTTTGAAACCAGCCTGGGCAACATAGCGAGAAGCTGTCTCTACCAAAAAAAAAATAAAAATTAGCTGGGCGTGGTGGTGTGGGTCTGTAGTCCTAGCTACTTGGAGGCTAAGGTGGGAGGATTGCTTGAGCCCAGGAGGTCGAGGCTGCAGTGAGCTATGATCCCACCACTGCACTCCAGGCTGGGTGACAGAGCGAGACCGTGTCTCAAACACACAAACAAAAAACAGTGACTTCAGCAAGTGAGGAATTGAATTTTTAATTTTATTTCATTTTAATTGACAATTTAATTTATTTTTGAGATAAGCTGGAGCACAGCGGCGCAATTTCGGCTCACTGCAGCCTCCATTTCCCGGGTTCAAGCGATTCTCCTGACTCAACCTCCCAAGTAGCTGGGATTACAGGTGCCGGCCACCACGCTTGGCTAGTTTTTTTTTTTTGAAATGGAGTCTCACTCTGTTGCCAGGCTGGAGTGCAGTGGTGCAATCTCGGCTCACTGCAAACTCTGCTTCCCGGGTTGAAGTGATTCTCATGCCTCAGCCTCCCAAGTAGCTGAAACTACAGGTGCACACCACCACATCCAGCTAATTTTTGTATTTTTAGTAGAGACGGGTTTTGACATGTTGGCCAGGCGGGTCTCGAACTCTTGACCTTAAGTAATCCACCTGCCTCAGCCTCCCAAAGTGTTGGGATTACAGGCATGAGCCACCGCGCCCAGAGATTGTGATTATTATTGACTGGATTATTTTGTGCTGTAAATTGGGTAACCTCCGTCTTCATACCTTAGTTTTCACATCCGTGAAATGGGGTCAGTAATACTTGGGAACACAGAGAGCTGTTACAATAATAGAGTTTATTCATGAAAAGACTTTTTTTATTTTTTCTTTTTGAGATGGAGTTTTGCTCTTGTCACCCAGGCTGGAGTGCAGTGGCGTGATCTCAGCTCACCGCAACCTCTGTCTCCCAGGTTCAAGCGATTCTCCTGCCTCAGCCTCTCGAATAGCTGGGATTACAGTCATGCACAACCATGCCTGGCTATTTTTTGTATTTTTAGTAGAGACAGGGTTTTGCCATGTTGGCCAGGCTCGTCTCGAACTCCTGACCTCAGGTGATCCACCCTCCTCAGCCTCCCAAAGTGCTGGGATTACCGGCATGAGCCACCACACCTGGTCTAATTTTTTTTTTGAAACAGGGTCTCCTGTCGCCCAGGCTGGAGTGCAGTGGCACAATCATGGCTTTCTGCAGCCTCAAACTCCTGGGCTTAAACCAACCTCCAGTGTCAGCCTCTTGAGTAGCTGGGACTACAAGCACGTGTCATCATGTCTGGCTAAAATTTTTATTTTATTTTATTTTTGTAGAGACAGGGTTTCGTCATGTTTCCCAGGCTGATCTGGAACTCCTGGCCTCATGTGATCCTCCTGCCTTGCCTCCCAAAGTTTTACAGAATTACAAAGAATTCACGAATTCTTTGTAATTTGTAAAAAAAATTTACAAAGAATTACAGGCCTGAGCCACCACATCATCTTGTAAGTATTATTATTGGTGGAGATGACCAGAGATGTTGGCTAAATTTCCCAAGGCCACACAGCCGGGCAAGGCCAGAGCTCGGAGTTGAAGCAAGGTCTTTCCAGTGAAGGCTGGGAGCAGTGCCCGGGCTCTCTATGGGGTCAAGAGGGATGGCATCGGGCCTCTGAGGACCCGGCGCCCAGGCTCCAGGGTTAAGCCTGTGTGGCAGCTGAACTTCCGCGGACCTGTCCCTCTAAAATCCCTGGGAAGCAAGGCATCAGGCGTTCCGGAACAGGCGCCTGCTCCTGTCGGGCTGGCGCACACTTGGAGAGACAGCTGGCAGGGGACTGACGGGCCAGGGAGGAGGGGCCTGGGGGGGGGAGGGGGCCTTGGCCAGGAGAAGAGGTCAGGAGCTGCTCCAACCCACCCACCTCCAGATGGGAGCCAAGCGCCTCCTCTTTCGCATTCTCTAACGCCTCTCAATTCCTTCATCCACTTTTGACAAATATTATTCAACACCTACTATATGCCAGGTGCCCTCCTGAACCCTTTAGTTGAGTAATATGTCAGGAGTCCCCTTTACAGATGTGGAGATCAGGCTCAGAAAGCACTGGCCACTTGTCCTGGACAAACAGCAAGAAAATGGCTAAGCTGGGATTGCCAGCCAGGGCTCTTGGTCCTGACTCAGGGCCTTTGCACTGGCTCTTTCCTCTGCCCGGAGCACAGGCGTGAGCCTGCCCCGCCAATGGGGTTTTTTTTTGTTGTTTGTTTTTTTGTTTTTTTTTTTTTTGAGACGGAGTCTCACTCTGTCTCAGGCTGGAGTGCGGTGGTGCGATCTTGGCTCACTGCAACCTCCACCTCCCGGGTTCAAGCGATTCTCCTGCCTCAGCCTCCCGAGTAGCTGGGATTACAGGCGCCCGCCACCAAGCCCGGGTAATTTTTGTATTTTTAGTAGAGACGAGGGTTCACCATGTTGGCCAGGCTGGTCTCGAACTCCTGACCTTGTGATCCGCCGGCCTCGGCTTCCTAAAGTGCTGGGATTACCGGCGTGAGCCACCGTGCCCGGCAGCTAATGGATTTCTTTAGCCCTCAGGTTAGATCACACGTCCTGAGGAAAGCCTTCAGGGAGCCATCATAAACTCCCGTGCGCCCCCCAGCTAGGCCCTCTGACCCCCATCACCGCAATGACCACCTCCCCCACTGAACTGCGAACCGCACTGGGGGCGAGGCCGGCTCTGTCGGGGTCACGTATCCCTGTATCCCTGGCCCCTAGCACAGGTTTGCAGAGCTCACGACTGTAGGTACTAGACGCTCTATATACGAATGAAAGGATGAAGGGATGAAGTCAGAATTTCTGCCCATCGCGCACTTCCATGCTGGGGGAACCCCAGCTCAAGGATGAGGAATCAGGTGCTGAGGTCCACGCTGGGATCTGAAGGGGTCTTCATGGAGGACGGTCCTTCTGGCAGGGTCTCTGCTCAGGGGAGCCCAGCCCGGGACTGGTGTGCCGGGCAGGGGGTCTCTGTAGGGAGAGTCCCTGCCGAAGGGGCTGGAACTGTGCGGGGCGCCCCTGAATGGTCGAACCTGGAGAGCTTTGTTGCTCAGATGAGGAAGGGCCAGGGAGGCCACCCTGGACCAAAGGGTCACGTTTCTATTCTTCCTGGCCCAGAATGGACAGCCCCAGAAGAAGCTGACAGTCGGGGTGCGCCCCGCAAGGGGAGGAGCTGAGAGAGGGGCGGGGCTGAGAGAGGAGGGGGCTGAGGAAGGAGAGGGGGCTGAGAGAGGGGAGGGGCTTAGAGGGGAGGGGTGAGGGAGGAGAAGGGGCCGAGAGGGGGAGACGTTCAGAGGGGAGGGGTGAGGGAGGAGAGGGGGGCTGAGAGACGAGAGGGGCTGAGAGAAGAGAGGGGGCCGAGAGAGGACGGGGTTGAGAGAGGGGAGGGGCTGAAAGTGGTAAAGCTGAGAGGAGAGGGGCGGGGCTGAGAAGAAGGGGCGAGGCGGGAAGGGGCAGGGCTGAGAGAAAATGGGTGGGGCTGAGAGGAGAGGGGCGGGGCTCGGAGGCGGGGGGCGTTGTGGGGCAGGGCTGAGTGGGGCGGGGTTGAGAGGAGAGGAAGCTGAGGTTGGGGAGGGGCGTGGAGAGGGGAGGGGGGGCTCTTCGAGGGGCGGGAACAGGGCTCAAGGAGGCTGAGTGGGGCAGAGGGGGCCGCCTAAGTTCTGTCCTCCCCTGGGGCCCCAGGACACAGGGTCAGGAGTGTATCAAGTCACCGGGTTTCTGACCATCCAGAAACCTGACCGCGTGCGTCCCCGGGGCTCGGGGTCGCCCCTATCCCATGCTCTACCTCCCTCCCTCTCCTCGGGCCCTCCTGGCTCCCTCTGACCTCCCCACCGCCAGTCAGCTGTGTCTGTATTTAGAGCGGTGCAGGCCTGTGTCACTTTACTTCCGAAAGGGATTTTGCATCTCTTAGTGCTGCCTTCAGAACCCCCAACACCTGTTGCGGCGCGAGCCCGTGCCACGGGGAGGGGGTGGTCTCGCTTCTGGAGCCACTGTGGGGGAGGAGGCTCAGCTGCCTCCCCTCCCCGAGAACCTTCTCCCTTTGTGCACCCCCTCCCTTCTGAGCCCCTTCTCTAAGTCCCCATGTCCCCCTCCCGTCCCGGAGCCCCCCCTTCTCTAAGTCCCCCCGGCCCTGCCCCCTGCCCTCTCGGAGCCCCCTCTCTGCACGCCAACTCAGAGCCGCCTCGTTCCCAGGCTCCCCAAGGCCCCGAGCCCTGCCTGTCCCCCTCCTCCCCTGGCCTGTCCATTGTCCTGGTGAGGGGGTCCTGGAGGCTGGGCGGGCCGGGGTCTGCATGCAGGGGGCGGGAGTCGCCTGCTACCCAGTCGTCTCTGGGCAACGCTGGCAAACCTCACGCCTAGACACAGAGGCTGCGCTGTTCTCTGGGAGGGGACAGGGGGCACAAGGTGACTGGGGAGATGCTGGGGGTGACGGCTGTGGATATGAGTTTTCAGGCAGGGGGTGCCAGAGGCAGCTCCAACTGCTCCAGGTGGGAGAAAGGTTCGAGAGCGTGGCCATGGGAAACGTTGTCCCCCTGCTGTCCCCACGGCGACCTCCAACTCACTCGACATCCTTCCTTCCTCTGCAGGCCCTCCTGCTCTGCCCCATCCCACAGTGGGGTCTTCCATGCCTGCTCTGATATGTTCATCATCACAGCCTTCCCAGTTGGATTTTGCAATTAAACCCACTTTACAGATGAGAAAACCGAGGCCCAGAGAGCATTTGGTGATTGAAGCAGTGAGGAGACCACACTTTTGGGGCTATGGCCCAGGACCCGAGCCCCAACTCTCCTGTTTTCTCTCCACATGACCTAACAGCTTCTCTGAGCCTCAGTTTACTCATCTGTACCGTGGGCAGATGGTGGTACCCATTTCCTGGGCTGTTTTTACTGTGTGGGGAATAAGATGCTTAAACAGTCTAGGGTTCAAACTTGGGTGCCAGTTACCAGCTGTGCAACTGGTCAGGCCATGTTGCCGCTCTGTGCCTCAGTTTCCCCGTCAACAAAATGGGGTCTATAATAGCATCTACTTCATAACGTGGCTGTGACAGTGAAAGTTAATTCTAGGCCGGGCGCGGTGGCTCACGCCTGTAATCCCAGCAATTTGTGAGGCCAAAGTAGGCAGGTCACTTGAGGTTAGGAGTTCAAGACCAGCCTGGCCAACATGGTGAAACCCTGTCTCTATTAAAAATACAAAAATTAGCTGGGTGTGGTGGCGGCCACCTGTAATCCCAGCTACTCAGGAGGCTAAGGCAAGAGAATTGCTCGAACCTGAAAGGCAGAGGTTACGGTGAGCGAAACTCTGTCCAAAAAAAAAAAAAAAAAAAAAAATTAATTCTAGTACATACTGGCTTGTAGAAAACCCTTTATAAATGTTATTGTTACTATATTTTTTCCTTCTGAGTTTGTGCCTTTTTTCTTTTTTGGTGATAGGGTCTCCCTCTGTCACTCAGGCTGGAGTGCAATAGAGTGGTCTCAGCTCACTGCAGCCTCCAACTCTCAGGCTCAAGTTATCCTCCTGCCTCAGCCTCCCGAGTAGGTGGGACTACAGATGTGCGCCGCCACGCCTGGCTGTTTTATTTTTTTGTAGAGACAGGGTCTCGCAATGTTGCCCAGGCTGGTCTCGAACTCAGGCTTAGGTGATCCTCCCGCTTCGGCCTCTGAAAATGCTGGGATTCCAGGCATGAGCCTCCGCACCTGGCTTGAGTTTGTGCTTTCTATGAGGTTCAGAGAGGCTTGTGTGTGGGGAGGTCATCGTCCCAGGCCCTTCCAGGCCCTCAGGCTTGGAGTTAGGGATTGAGGGTGTGAGATGGTTCCCTGGGGTAACTCTATCTGGGAACCAGTCCCCGTGCCTGTTGAGTGATATAGTGGATTCCACTGCCACACCTTCTGTCTCCCCTGCCTGAACTGTGTAGACGACCCAGGGCCCCTGATGGTGAGGACTCTGAGTCTGCCCCTGTCAGGGTAATTGCCAGAGAGTGCACAGAGCAAAGCCTCCATAGCTCCCACCCTGGACTGTGACTCCCTGGGTGCAGAGGGGGTGCAGACCCTGTTTTCTGCACATAAACAGGTGCACCTGTTGGGTCCTCACTTGAGGCTGCTGGGCCAGCAGCCCCCTAGCTCTCCCACTACAAGCAGAGGGGAGAAGGGGCATAGCTGCCCCCTCCGCCTGCCACAGCAGTCACCAAGGTTCCTGCCAGCTGCTCCCTTCTCAGAGTTCACTGGGCATCAGCCTGTCAGGCACTCACAGCCGTGCCCTACCTCCTGGGGTTACCATAAACATACATTAACAGCCCCATCCAGCACTTATTGAACCCGATATGCAACATGTGTAATTGCATGCAATCCCCCCCAACAGTCCCCAAGGAGGCAGGTGCTATTATCAGCCTCATTTTATAGATGGGAAACAGGCTCAGAGAGGTTCTGTCACTTGGCCAAGGTCACACAGCAGGGAAGTCACAGAGCAGGGATTCAAACTCCAGGCTGCATTCTTTATTTTTTTATTTTTTATTTTTTCTGAGACAGGGTCTTACTCTGTTGCCCAGGCTGTAGTGCAGTGGCTCGATCTCGGCTTACTGCAACCTCTGTGTCCCGGGCTCAGGTGATCTTCCCACCTCAGCCTCCTGAGCAGCTGGGACTACAGGTTTGCACCACCACACCTGGCTAACTTTTGCGTTTTTTTGTAGAGACAGGGTTTCTCCATGTTGCCCAGGCTGGTCTTGAACTCCTGGGCTCAAGCAATCCTCCCACCTTGGCCTCCCAAAGTGTTGGGATTACAGGTGTGAGCCACCGCACCCAGCCCAGGCTGCACTCTTAACCACCACCCTTTGCTGTCTGTCACAACAAATAACAACTGTGTGTGGCCTGAGGCCACTGTGCAAAACTTGGAGGTCTGTGCTCTCATCAGCCTCACTGTGCAGAGGAGGAAAGCAAGGGCCAGAGACAGGGAGGGCCTGGCTCAAGGGCACAAAGCAGGCAGGGGGAGGAATAAAGATGAGCATAAGGGTTAGCCTGCCTCTGAGTGAATGAGTGCATGAGGTAGGGAGGGAGTGAGGGTGGTTGGATCGGTGGATGGATGGGTAGAAAGGTGGTGAATAGGAGCTGGGCGTGGTGGCTCACGCCTGTAATCCCAGCACTTTGGGAGGCTGAGGTGGGCAGATCACCTGAGGTCAGGAGTTCAAGACCAGCCTGACCAACAAGGTGAAACCTCGTCTCTACTAAAAATACAAAAATTAGCCAGGCATGGTGGTGGGCACCTGTAATCCCAGCTACCTGGGAGGCTGAGGCAGGAGAATCACTTGAACCCAGGAGGCAGAGCTTTCAGTGAGCCGAGACCGTGCCACTGCACTCCAGCCTGGCAGCCTGGGTGACAGAGTGAGACTCCATCTCAAAAAAAAAAAAAAAAAAAGGTGGTGAATGGATGGGTGATTAGATAGATGGATGTATGGATGAGTGAATAAATGAATGGATGGATTATGGATGGATTATGGATGAATGGATGAGCGGGTGGATGGATGGATGGATGGATGGATGAATAGAGAGGTGGGTGGGCAGGTTGGTCAGTAAATGGATGTATGGATTTGTGAAATGATAGTTGTATGGACGATGGATGGATGGATGGATGAACAGATGAATGTATGCATTATGGGTGAGCGGACTGATAAATGGGTGCAGGTGTGGATTACGGATGGATAGATGGATGGATGGATGAATAGAGAGGTAGGTGGGTAGGTAGGTGGGTAAGTGGATGTATGTATTTGCGAGAGGATGGATGTATGGATTATGGATGGATGGATGAACAGGTGAATGTATGGATTGTAGGTGGGTGGATTGATAAATGGGTGCAGGTATGAATTATAGATGGATGAATGGATGTATGGATGAGTGGATGGATGAATGGATTATGGATGGATGGATGAATGGGTAGGTGGATAGATGGATGAGTGAATGGATGGGAGGGCGGATGGTTATATGGATTATGGGTGGATTAATGGGTGGGTTAGTGGATAAATATATGGATTATGGATGGATGGATGGATGAGTAAATGGATGAATGGATGGGTGGATAGATGGATGTGTGGGTGGATGGATGGATGGGTGAGTGCATGGATATATGGATTATGGATGGATGGATTTGGATAGATGGATGAGTGGATGGGTGGGTGGATGGATGGATGGATGGATGGATGGATGGGAGTATTGATGGGTGGGTGGATGGATGGATTGATGGGAGGGTGGATGGATGGGTGAGTGGATGGATATATGGATTATGGATGGATAGTTGGATAGACAGATGAGTAGATGGATGGATGGGTAGATTGATGGGTGGGTAGATGGATGGATGGATTGATGGGTGGATGGATGGATGGGTGAGTGGATGGATATATGGATTATAGATGGATGGTTGGATAGATAGATGAGTAGATGGATGAGTGGATGGATATATGGATTATAGATGGATGGTTGGATAGATGGATGAGTAGATGGATGGATGGGTGAGTGGATGGATGGATGGGTGAGTGGATGGATATATGGATTATGGATGGATGGATCTGGATAGATGGATGAGTGGATGGGCGGGTGGATGGATGGATGGATGGGAGGATTGATGGGTGGGTGGATGGATGGATGGATTGATGGGAGGATGGATGGATGGGTGAGTGGATGGATATATGGATTATAGATGGATGGTTGGATAGATAGATGAGTAGATGGATGGGTGGATGGGTGAGTGGATGGATATATGGATTATAGATGGATGGTTGGATAGATGGATGAGTAGATGGATGGATGGATGGATGGATGGGTAGATTGATGGGTGGGTGGATGGATGGATGGGTGGGTGTGTGGATGGATATATGGATTATTGGTGGGTGGATGGATGGATGAGTTAGTGGGTGGGTATATGGATTACTGGTGGATGTATTAATGGGTGAGTGAATGGATATATGGATTACTGGTGGATGGATGGATGGATTGTTTTTCACCCTTCCTCTGTAGGGAGCTCTAAGCTTGGTTCACACAGCAGATGGGGTGAGAGGGTGGTGGGTGGGATAGACACTACTGGAGTCAGTTCCAAGTAGGTAGAGAAGGATTCTGGAATCAATTCCAGGGCAGCATCTAAGAGAGCATCCAGCCATTCACTCCTTCAGCAAACACGTATTGAGCACCTGCTGCATGCCAGGTGCTCTTCTAGGCACTGGGCGTCTGTCCGGCAGGGAACAGAGCAGACAAAATCCCTCTCCTGTGGGGCTGACAACTTCAGGAGGGCGTGGGGGGTGTGAGAGCCCCATTGGAGCAGGTTTAGGAGGGAACAGGAAATGGGGAAGTGGAGACAGCAAGTGTTGATGGGTCTCGGAATTTTACTATAAAAAGAACCAGGCCGGGTGCGGTGGCTCACGTCTGTAATCCCAGCACTTTGGGAGGCCGAGGCGGGTGGATCACTCTACGTCAAGAGTTCGAGACCAGCCTGGCCAACATGGCGAAACCCCGTCTCTACTAAAAATACAAAAATTAGCTGGGCGTGGTGGCATATGCCTGTAATCCCAGCTACTCAGGAGGCTGAGGCAGGAGAATTGCTTGAACTCGGGAGGTGAAGGTTGCAGTGAGCTGAGATCACGCCACTGCACTCCAGCTTGGGCAACAGAGTGAGACTCTGTCTCAAAACAAACAAACAAAAAATCATTACCCTAATGCGGGTTATTACAAGTTCCTGATGCTTCAGACAATTCTCCAATGGCCCCAGAGTCTGTCGTGCCCTTTCCCACAAGGTTAAAAGTGACAGCAGGCCTGTAATCCCAGCATTTTGGGAGGCCGAGGTGGGTGGATCATGAGGTCAGGAGATCGAGCCCATCCTGGCTAACACGGTGAAACCCCGTCTCTACTAAAAATACAAAAAATTAGCCGGGCGTGGTGGTGGGCGCCTGTAGTCCCAGCTACTCGGGAGGCTGAGGCAGGAGAACGGCGTGAACCCGGGAGGCAGAGCTTGCAATGAGCCAAGATCGCGCCACTGCACTGCAGCCTGGGCGACAGGGCAAGACTCCGTCTCAAAAAAACGAAAAACAAAACAAAACCAAACAAAAAAAGTGACAGCAGGCAGCCAGGGCCTCACAGCCCAAGGTCTAGTCCCAAGGGTCTCCATTTAGAAGTTGTTGGTTTTTATTTTAATGTGTTGGTTTGAAAGTCCTGGAGGCTGCAGGTTCTTGCATCTCAGCCCTAGAGGAGTAATGAAGCTTCTCCAGGGAGAATGAGAAGCTGGAAACAGCTTCAAGAAATCGGGTTACTGAGGCAGGGACAGGCCTGATGAAGGCTGGGAGGTGGGAGACCCCTGTCTGGCCTATCCCACCTGCCAGTTTATAGATTATGTGTGACAGGGGGCAGCACCCAGGAGCCGGGCTGAATCCTTTCAGCTAATGGACATTTATGGCGTGCACAGCAGGTGCAAAGGCTCTGGGGCCACGTGGAGCATGGACTGTTACAGAAATGGTTACAGGTTCCTGAATTAGCCCATTTTCTTTTCGTCTCAGAGCCTCATTTACCCCATCTGTGTAATGGACATAAGAGAACCTATCTTTCTAAGTTGTGTGCATATGTTTTCACCACGTTCAGACTGTGTGTGTGTGTGTGTGTGTTACCTGTGTCCTCCCCAAAACACTTTAACATTCACTCGTTTTTTTCCTTGGAGACAGGGTCTCTCTGTCACCCAGGTTGGATTACAGTGGCACAATCACAGCTCACTGCAGCATTGAACTCTTGGGCTCAAGCAATCCTCCTGCCTCAGCCTCCTGGGTAGCTAGGACCACAGGCATGTGCCACCATGCCTAGCTAATTTTTAATTTTTTTTTTTAGAGGTGGGGTCTTGTGGTCAGGCGTGGTGGCTCGTGCCTGTAATCCCAGCACTTTGGGAAGCTGAGGTGGGCAGATCACTTGAGGTCAGGAGTTCGAGACCAGTCTGGACAACATGGTAAAACCTGTAATCCCAGCTACTCAGGAGGCTGAGGCAGGAGAATCACTTGAACCCAGGAGGCTGAGGTTGCAATGAGCTGAGATCCTGCCACTGCAATCACTCCAGCCTGGGCAGCAAAGCGACACTCTTTTTTTTTTTTTTAAAGATGGAATTTCGCTCTTGTGGCCCAGGCTGGAGTGCAATGGCACGATCTCGGCTCACTGCAACCTCCGCCTCCTGGGTTCAAGCGATTCTCCTGGCTTCAAGTGATTCTCCTGGCTCAGCCTCCTGGGTAGCTGGGACTATAGACGCCCGCCACCACGCCCGGCTAATTTTTGTATTTTCAGTAGAGGCGGGGTTTCACCATTTTGGTGAGGCCAGTCTCGATCTCCTGACCTCGTGATCCACCCACCTCGGCCTCCCAAAGTGCTGGGATTACAGGCGTGAGCCACTGCGCCCAGCCCGCAACAGTCTGTCTTAAAAAATAAAATAAAATAAAATAATAATTTTAAAAAGTTAGATGGGGTCTTGCTATTGCCCGGGCTTGTCATGAACTCCTGGCCACAAGCAATCCTCCCCTCTCAGCCTCCCAAAGTGCTGGAATTACAGGCGTGAGCCACTGTGCCCAGCCCCAATGTTCACTTTTTTAAAATTAGGTTTACTCTCTCTCACCATTTGAATGTCAGCTCTACAAGGACAGCAATCTGCGTGTTCTATTCACTACTGAAACTGCACAGCCTGGCATACAGTAGGTGCTCAATACTTGTGGAAATGCATAAGTGATAACCTCCACAGAACACTAAGTACAGGCTAGAGCCGGGCTTCAGCATTTCCTAGGCATGCATTTATTTAATTACCCCAAGAAGCCCCGTGAGAAAGGTGGTATTAGAGGCTGGGCATGGTGGCTCACACCTATAATCCCAGCTATTTGGGAAGCTGAGGTGGGTGGATCACCTGAGGTCAGGAGTTCGAGACCAGCCTGGCCAACATGGCGAAACCCCGTCTCTACTAAAAATTCAGAAATTAGCCAGGTCTGGTGGTCGGTGCCTGTAATCCCAGCTACTTGGGAGGCTGAGGCAGGAGAATCACTTGAACCCGGGAGGTGGAGGTTGCAGTAAGCTGAGATCGCGCCACTGCACTCCAGCCTGGGAGACAGCGAGACTCGGTCTCAAAAACAACAACAACAAAAAGGTAGTAGTATTAGGATCCCATTTTATAGACGGGAAAATTGAGGCATAGAGCTGTTAGATTTGAGCCCCCCCACTCCCCTCTCCTCCCCCCACCCCCGCCCCCCCACCACCCCGAGTCCAGCCCCTGTGTGCTACCACCTCTGGCTCTGGACCTGTGGGTTTGTCAACACGTGTTCTTGGCATGACCAGGTGCAGGAACATCACACATACCAGGAGCTTGCACGGGTCTGGGGTGGGGGCCACATCAGCCTCCGGAACCTGAGCCTGCAGGGCAGCGCGTGCCCCAGTCCCGGGGGCCACAGGAGGGAGCGCGTAGGTAGAGGCGGCGGGTCCAATCTCCACGCCTTGTTCCCTCTCCGGGAGCCGGCTTCCCTCCCGCCTGCCTCGGCCTGGACCCGGCCCAGCTGCTGACCTCGGGAACTCGAGTGCCCCCAGGGACGCAGACAATCAATTAGAATTGGCAGCGCCTGCCTAAGTAAAAGGCCTGCTTTAATGAGGAGGCTGTGGCTCTGCCGTGGGCGCAGGCGCTGGGCTGAGCCCGGCGCGGGCTGGAGCTGAGGGGTCACGTGGCCACCAGGGCCCACCTGCCTGTCACAATTATGAGTCCCCGTGTGTGAGCTCATTATGTTTATCATTAGGCCAGGGCTATTTACAGATCGGGGAGAGCAGCCCCTTGTCATGCAAGCCGCAGACATTTATTGAGCACCAGCTGTGTGCTAGGTCATGTGCTGGGTTCGAGGAAACAGTAGGGACAAGACGCCCTCCAGTGGGGGCCAGGGGAGACATCAGGGTGGGCTTCCTGGAGGAGGCAACACATACACTGAGATTGGAATGATGACTCGAAATTCGGTCCTGAAGAAGGGAAGGGAAGAGGATTGTCGAGGCCTGGTTAAGAATGAGGCCAGGTGCGGTGGCTCACGCCTGTAATCCCAGCACTTTGGGAAGCTGAGGTGGGTGGATCACCTGAGGTCAGGAGTTCCAGACCAGCCTGGCCAACATGGTGAAACCCCAAATCTACTAAAAATACAAAAATTAGCTGGGCGTGGTAGCGGGTGCCTGTGATCCCAACTACTCGGGAGGCTGAGGCAGGAGAATTGCTTGAACCCGGAAGGCGGAGGTTGTGGTGAGCCGAGATTGCGCCATTGCACTCCAGTGTGGGCAACAGAGCAAAACTCCATCTCAAAAAAAAGAAAAAAGAATGAGCGCAGCCTGGGTTGTGGCGGGGGGGGCTCCTACCTGTAATCCCAGTGCTTTGGGAGGCTGAAGTGGGAGGATCACTTGAGGCCAGGAGTTAAAGACCAACCTGGGCAACATAGTCAGACCCCCATCACAAAAAAAATAAAAAAATTAGCCAGGTGTGGTGGCGCACATCTATAGTCCAGCTACTTGGGAGGCTGAGATGGGAGGATTGCTTCAGCCCAGGAGGTCGAGGCTGTAGTGAGCAATGATTGTGTCTCTGCACTCCAGCCTGGGTGGCAGAGTGAGACCCCATCTCAAAACAAAAAATTGAATTAGTTCCCGTGTACGGGTTGTTCAAAGCAAGATAACACAGCAAAGGACCATGAAGCCTGCAGATGAATTTCATCTCGAGGTCCTGAATCAATTACATCTGCAAAGACCCTATTTCCAAAAAAGCTCATATTCTGAGGTTCTGGGTGTGTATAATTTTTTTTTTTCAGACAGGGTCTCACTCTGTTGCCCAGGCTGGAGTGCAGTGGTGTGATCTCGGCTCACTGCAGCCTTTACCTCCCCGGTTGACGTGATTCTCCTGCCTCAGCCTCCTGAGTAGCTAGGATTACAGGCAGCTGCCACCATGCCCGGCTAATTTTTGTATTTGTATTTTTATTACTTATGATCTTTTTCCTGAGACCAAGTCTCACTCTGCCACCCAGGCTGGAGTGCAGTTGTGTGATCTTGGCTTACTGCAACCTCTGCCTTCTGGGTTCAAGCGGTTCTCCTGTCTCAGCCTCCCGAGTAGCTGGGACTACAGGCGTGTGCTACCACCCCCGGCTAATTTTTGTATTTTTAGTAGAGACGGGGTTTCATCATGTTGGCCAGGCTGGCCTCGAACTCCTGACCTCAAGTGATCCATCTGCCTCGGCCTCCCAAAGTGCTGAGATTATTACAGGTGTGAGCCACCGTGCCCGACCTATTTATTTATTTATTTTTGAGACGCAGTCTCGCTCGTCACGAGGCTGGGGTGCAGTGGCGCGATCTTGGCTCACTGCAACCTCTGCCTCCTGGGTTCAAATGATTCCCCTGCCTCAGCCTTCTGAGTAGCTTGGACTACAGCCGTGTGTCACCATGCCTGGCTAATATATATTTTTTTTTTTTGTATTTTAGTAGAGACAAGATTTCTCTATGTTGGCCAGGATGGTCTCGATCTCCTGACCTCATGTTCCACCCACCTCGGCCTCCCAAAGTGCTGGGATTACAGGCATGAGCCATCGCGCCCGGGCTTTTATTTTAATTTCTATTTATTTATTTATTTTGAGATGGAGTTTCACTCTTGTTGCCTAGGCTGGAGTGCAGTGGCACAATCTCAGCTCACTGCAACCTCTGCCTCCCAGGTTCAAGTGATTCCCCTGCCTCGGCCTCCTGAATAGCTGAGATTACAGGCACTCACCACCATGCCTGGCTAATTTTTGTATTTTTAGTAGAGACGGGGTTTCACCATGTTGGCCGGGCTGGTCTCAAATTCCTGACCTCAAGTGATTCGTCCACCTCATCCTCCCAAAATGCTGAGATTACAGGCTTGAACCACCGCGCCCAACCGAGGTGTATGTATTTTTTTTTTTTTTTTTTTTTTTTTGAGACAGAGTCTCGCTCTGTCGCCCAGGCTGGAGTACACTGGGATGATCTTGGCTCACTGCAACCTCTGCCTTCCAGATTCAAGCGATTCTCCTGCCTCAGCCTCTCGAGTAGCTGGGACTACAGACGCGTACTGCCACGCCCAGCTAATTTTTTGTATTTTTAGTAGAGACGGGGTTTCACTGTGTTAGCCAGGATTGTCTCGATCTCCTGACCTCGTGATCCACCCGCCTCAGCCTCCCAAAGTGCTGGGAGTACAGGCCTGAGCCACCGGTCCCAACCGAAGTGTATGTAATTTTTGAATTTATTTTTGCAGGCAGGCACTACTCAACATGGTACAATGTGTGCTTGTTCCTATCTGCCTCCTGCTCTGGAATGTCAACTCCAGGAGGGCAGACTTCTGTCTGTCTTGAATGCCACAGTGTCCCCTGTACCTCAAATACTGTTTGGCACACAGTAGGCACTCAATACGTGTTTGTTTATTCCGCAAACAACTATGAAGCACCCACTGTGTTGTTCTCACACGGAGGTGGAGTTTTTCATGCTCCGAGGACTTGGGGCAGAGAGAAGGACAAGTAGGAGCCACGGTGACTGCGACTTCCTTTTTTTTTTCTGCAGCCTCAGGTGCCAGCAGCAATAACACAGGACCTCTAGGCAGAGGAAGGGAAGAGGCGCTGAGGGAGGCAGGGCTTCTGCGGCGGGGAGGGGGGGGCAGAGCCCCTGGGGATCAGGCCAGGGAGGCGGGAGTCCTGCTGGAGTCCCTGGGGTCCCCAGCAGAGAGGCTGGCTGGCTGCCCTGCCCTGGCCTGGCTGCTTTTTCTGGCTTGGACGGGAAGGGCTGACACCGCCAGAGGAGGGCAGGGTGGAGGCGGGGAGGGGGCCCGCACCTGGACCCAGGAAGAGGTGGGGGAAAGAAGTGGAGCCTGGGAAGGGGAGACAGAGGAGGTGAGGAGAGAAAGAGAGAAACCAAGAGAGATAGAAAGAGACCCACACAGAGAAGCTGAGCTGGAGTCAGACAGATAAAAGACACGGAGAGACTCACGCAGAAGGTGGCAAAGACAGAAACACAGAGAGATGGACAGAGACAGTCAGAGATAAAGGGAGACTCAGAGAGACAGAGGAGACCCACAGAGATACAGACTCAGAGAGATAGAGAGACACAGACCTAGAGAGAGAGAGAACAACAGAGACAGAGATAGAAAGAGATAGTCAGAGATAAAAGGAGACTCAGAGAGATGGAGAATTAGCCGGGCGTGGTGGCGGGCGCCTGTGATCCCAGCTACTCGGGAGGCTGAGGCAGGAGAATCGCTTGAACCCGGGAGGCAGAGGTTGCAGTGAACCGAGATTGCACCACTGCACTCCAGCCTGGGAGACAGAGGGAGACTGTCCCCCCGCCAAAAAAGAGAGAGAGAGAGAGAGACAAAGAGACTTAGAGAGAGAGAGAGAGGGAAAGAAAGACAGGGATAAAAGTAGATTCAAAGAGACAGAGAGAAAACAAGAGAAAGGAGACCAATAGAGATCAAAAGAGGTAGTCAGAGATAAAAAGAGACTCAGAGAGACCTAGAGACAGAGAAAGACAGAGACAGAGACTTAGAAAGAGAATGGGGAAGAAACAGAGAGATAGAGGCAGGCGAGAGGCTCCCTAGCCCATCCCCCTCCCCAATTTTCCTCTCTGGGGCACCCCTGGGGTCTGGGGCTCTAACCCTGTCCTGGTCCCCACCCCTCCCCCTAGCTGGTACTTCAGACCCCCTCCACAAACTGGCTGAGTGCCCCCAGTCCCTAACTCAGGGTCTCCTCAGCTCAGAGCTCCGGGGCTCAGCCCTGAGACCTTCTGGGATTCAGGATCCGAATGCCCAGTGGAGCCAGAATCTGAATCCCAGAGGCAGGGACACCATTAATCCTGGAAAGAGGGCACCCCCTCCACCCGGGCCTGAGCTGAGAGCGGGGAGGCTGTCTATATGAAGCCCCCACTTCACACTTCCCACAGGAGAGATTCACCCTGTTTCACAGGGGAGGAAACTGAGGCTTGGAGAAAGACGGGATTGTGGAGAGGTACACGTTTGTTCATCCAGAAAATATGCACTGAGATGGGCGCAGTGGCTCATGCCTGTAATCCCAACACTTTGGGAGCCCGAGGTGGGCAGATCACCTGAGGTCAGGAGTTCGAGACCAGCCTGACCAACATGATGAAACCCCGTCTCTACTTAAAAATACAAAAATTAGCCGGGCGTGGTGGCGGGCGCCTGTAATCCCAGCTACTCAGGAGGCTGAGGGAGGAAAATCGCTTGAACCTGGGAGGCAGAGGTTGCAGTGAGTGGAGATCACGCCACTGCACTCCAGCCTGGGTGACAGAGTGAGACTCCGTCTCAAAAAAAAGAAAGAGAAAAAAATGAGAGCGGGAAAGAAAGAAAGAATACTGGGTATCATATAATTGACTCATAAATATTTCAATTTTTCAATTTGTATCTTTTTTTTTTTTTTTGAGACAGAGTTTCTCTCTTGTTGCACAGGCTGGCGTGCAATGGCGCAATCTCGGCTCACTGCAACCTCCACTTCCTGGGTTCAAGCAGTTCTCCTTCCTCTAACTGGGATTATAGGAGTGCGCTACCACGCCTGGCTAATTTTGTATTTTTAGTAAAGACAGGGTTTTACCACATTGATCAGGCTAGTCTTGAGCTCCTGACCTCAAGTGATTCACCTGCCTAGGCCTCCCAAAGAGCTGGTATTATAGGCATGACCAATTGGTATCTTTAAAAGATAAGGAGGACTATGCTGAAAATTTTAACAATGGCCACCTGCAGTGGCTCATGCCTGTAATCCCAGCACTTTGAGAGGCTGAGGCAGGTGGATCACTGGAGGCCAAGAGTTCGAGACCAACCTGGCCAACATGGTGAAATGCCATTTCTAATAAAAATACAAAAATTAGCTGGGCGTGGTGGCAGGGGCCTGTAATCCCAGCTACATGGGAGGCTGAGGCAGGACAATCATTTGAACCAGGGAGGCAGAGGTTCCAGTGAGCCGAGATCGTGCCACTGCACTCCAGCCTGGGCAACAGAATGAGACGGAGTCTTGCTCTGTCACCCAGGCTGGAGTGCAGTGGCACGATCTTAGGTCACTGCAAGCTCTGCCTCCCAGGTTCACGCCATTCTCCTACCTCAGCCTCCTGAGTAGCTGGGACTACAGGCATATGCCACCACGCCCGGCTAATTTTTGTATTTTTAGCAGAGACGGGGTTTCACCATGTTAGCCAGGATGGTCTCGATCTCCTGACCTCGTGATCCACCCACCTTGGCCTCTCAAAGTGCTGGGATTACAGGTGTGAGCCACCGTGCCTGGCCAACAATAATTTTATTCTATCAGCAAATATCTCATCGGCCTCAAATTTCTATCAAAAGTGTCATAATTTTTTTTACAGTTTGGAGCATGATCCAAATACAGTTCACACATGTATTTGGTTGATATGTCTTTTTTTTTTTTTTTTTTGAGACCGAGTCTTGCTCTGTCACCCAGGCTGGAGTGCGGTGGCGTGATCTCGGCTCACTGCAATCTCCACCTCCCGGGTTCACGCCATTCTCCTGCCTCAGCCTCCTGAGTAGCTGGGACTGCAGGCACCCACCGCCACACCCTGCAAATTTTTTGTATTTTTAGTAGAGACGGGGTTTCACCATGTTAGCCAGAATGGTCTTGATTTCCTGACCTCGTGATCCACCCGCCTTGGCCTCTCAAAATGCTGGGATTACAGGCGTGAGCCACCGTGCCTGGCTGCTTGATATGTCTTAAAGTTTCTTTTAGCCTATAGGTTCCTATCCATCGCTTTCTCTTCTTTTTTTTTTTCGTGTAATTTATTTGCTGATGATGCATTATTTTATTTTAGGTGTATTCAAAAGAACATACACATGGATTTTGTTTATTCTTTGTTGTTTCTATGTATGCAATCTGACAGCCTATGTCTTTTAAGCGATCAGTTTAATTCATTTATATTTATTGTGTTTGCCAACATATTTGGCTTTATTTTCATCACTTTCTTTGATTGTATTTTATAGTTAATATGAATTTTTTCTGCTGCTTCCTTTTCATCTTCTCTTCAACCTTCTGCTGAATTTGCCAGATTTTCTTTGTTCCTTCTCTTTTTTTTTTTTTTTTGAGACAAGAGTTTCGCTCTTTTTGCCCAGGCTAGAGTGCAATGGCGTGATCTTGGCTCACTGAAACCTCTGCCTCCCAGGTTCAAGCGATTCTCCGGCCTCAGCCTCCCAAGTAGCTGGGATTACAGGCGCCCACCACCAAGCCTAGTTAATTTTATATTTTTAGTAGGGATTGGGGTTTTACTACGTTGGCCAGGCTTCAAACTGTAAAAAAAATTGGGTCTCAAACTCCTGACTTCATGTGATCCACCCGCCTTGACCTCCCAAAGTGCTGGGATTACAGGCATGAGCCACCGTGCCCGGCCCAAGCCCAGCCAATTTAATATTTAAAGTAGAGATAGGATTTTACCATGTTGGCCAGGCTGGTCTTGGACTCCTGACCCCAGGTGATCTGTCCGCCTCGGCCTCCCAAAGTGCTGAGATTGCAGGTATGAGCCACCGAGCCTGGCCTTCTTTGTTCCTTTCTTATTCCCCCTCATGATTTGGAAGTTATGCATTCCATTTCTGCCTTTGAGTAGTCACCCTTACACTCTTACCATGTATACTTAGCTTACAATAACTGGAAGTTAATCAACATCTCTTTGTTCCTCCGAATGAGACAAGGACTTCAGATGTGTACATACTGGAGCTTTCCTCCACTCTGCATGTCACTTTTATCCCATATTTGAGTTCTGCCTTGGCACACCTAAGGATGGAGATGAGGACAGGGGGTGGTGTGTGCCCATGTGGGTCACCATTCTCCCAGATGGATGGCAGATGTGGAGATGGATTCCAGAGACCCTAACTGTCTGTGAGTTCAGGCAGGTTCTGCATTGGGCCTCAGTTTCCCCATTTGTAGGACAGCACTGAGTCCCTCTAGGGCTAATATCTGAAGACTGTGAGCTCCCACCCTCTCCCTTCTTCCCACCACTCAGGATGACCAGAGTGCAGGGGCCTCTGGTTACACTGCAGATAATGAGGGGCCTCTGTCGCTAGGCCCACCACAAAATGAGCTTGCAGGAGAACGCGACAGCTAATGTCATTATTTACTTCACTGAGCTAAATAATCTAGGGAATTGCTCATCAGGACCTGATAATTTGATTGGATTTCATGCACAATTAGGTCTTCAGAGCTGAGGCATTAGTCGGCGAGTTCAGGAAAGACACCAACCTCCCTGCTGGAGAGGCTCAAGGTAAGGGGACAACGACGGAGATCCCCAGCCCCAGGAAAGGGTCAGGCGTGCAGGCCAGAGGGAGGCCTGAATTGGCCAAATTCAGTGGATCCAGCCTAGGCTGGAGCTGGAGACCCACCAGTCATAGTCAACTTGACATTGCTTACTTACGAGTTGGTTGATATTAGCAGAATTATTATTATTATTATTATTATTTGAGATGGAGTCTTGCTCTTTTGCCCAAGCTGGAGTGCAGTGGCGCGATCTTGGCTCAGTGCAATCTCCGCCTTCTGGATTCAAGCGATTCTCCTGCCTCAGCCTCCCGGGTCGCTGGGATTACAGGCACCCGCCACCATGCCTGGCCAGGAGAATGATATCACGGGAGAAACAACCATAGTGAACACAGTTAGGTTTGGTCACTTTTGCTTGAGATGTTTATTTTTCTTCTTACATGAAAGAATTCAAGATGACCCCTTAAAATCTAAGTCAGGGCCAGGCTCAGTGGCTCACATCTGTAATCCCGACACTTTGGGAGGCCGAGGAGGGTGGATCACCTGAGGTCAGGAATTTGAGACCAGCCTGGCCAACATGGTGAAACCCCATCTCTACTAAAAAATACAAAACTTAGCCAGGCAAGGTGGCAGGCGCTTATAACCCCAGCTACCCTGGAGGCTGAGGCAGGAGAATCGCTTGAACCTGGGAGGCAGTGGTGGCAGTGAGCCAAGATCATGCCACTGCATTCCAGCCTGGGTGACAGAGTGAGACTCCATTTCAAGCAGAAGAAGAAAAAAATCTAAGTCAGATCTGTCCTTCTCCTGCCTACAGCCCTCTGGCTCCCACCTCCCTCCAGGTCAAAGCTCAAGTCCTCCCAGAGGCCCACCAGGCTCTTTACAACCTTTCCTGCCCCCTTCCTGCCCTCCCCTCCTCCCTCTCTTCGCCTCGTTCACTCTGCCCCAGCCAGACGGGCCTCTTCACTGTCCCTCCAACACCAATACACCAGGTGCGGTCCTGCTCCAGGGCCTTTGCATGGGATGCACCCTCTTCCCAGAACAGCTGTGCCCCCAGATCCCCTCAGAGTTGTCTCATTTTCCTGTTCTAGGTCTCAGCTTAAACGTCACCTCCTCAGAGAAGCCATTCCTGGCTAAAATAACTTCATCCCCACCATTTGCTATGACGTCATCTTGTTAAATTATTACCTAGGCTCAGCACCCCAATCCAAAAATCCAAAATCCAAAATCCAACATGCTCCAATTGAAAATGCTTTGACCGACGAGTTAATGGGTGCAGCACACCAGCATGGCACATGTATACATATGTAACTAACCTGCACATTGTGCACATGTACCCTAAAACTTAAAGTATAATAATAATTTAAAAAAAAAAAAAGAGAAAATGCTTTGACCGCCGACATGGCACTCAAAGGTAATAAGGCTCCTTGCAGCATTTCAGATTTTGGATTTTCAGATTAGGGATGCTCAGCTGGCAAGTATAATGAAAATATTCTGAAATCCGAAAAAATCCCCAATCCAAAACACTTCTTCACCATGGAAAAATGCTTCTGTTCCAAAGGTTTTTTTTTCTTTTTTCTTTTTTTTTTTTTTTTTTTGAGACGGAGTCTTGCTCTCGCCCAGGCTGGAGTGCAGTGGCGCCATCTCGGTTCACTGCAAGCTCCGCCTCCCGGGTTCACGCCATTCTCCTGCCTCAGCCTCCCGAGTAGCTGGGACTACAGGCGCCCGCCACCACGCCCGGCTAATTTTTTGTATTTTTAGTAGAGACGGGGTTTCACCGTGTTAGCCAGGTTGGTCTCGATCTCCTGACCTCGTGATCTGCCTGCCTTGGCCTCCCAAAGTGCTGGGATTACAGGCGTGAGCCACTGCGCCCGGCCTTTTTTATTTTTTATTTTTTTTGAGGCAGAGTCTTACTCTGTCCCCCAAGCCGGAACGCAATGACGCAATCTTGACTCACTTCAACCTCCGTCTCCTGGGTTCAAGTGAGTCTCATGCCTCAGACTCCCAAGTAGCTGGGATTACAGGTATGCGTCAGCACCCCTAGCTAATTTTTTTTTTTTTTTTTTGAGACGGAATCTCGCTCTGTCACCCAGGCTGGAGTGCGATGGTGTGATTTCGGCTCACTGCAACCTCTGCCTCCTGGGTTCAAGCGATTCTCTTGCCTCAGCCTCCCAGGTAGCTGGGATTACAGGTGCCCACCACCATGCCCAGCTAATTTTTTGTATTTTTAGTAGAGACGGGGTTTTGCCATGTTGGCCAGGCTGGTCTTGAACTCCTGACCTCAGGTGATCCACCCGCCTCGTCCTCCCAAAGTGCTGGGATTACAGGTGTGCGCCACCATACTTTTGTATTTTTAGTGGAGATGGGGTTTCACCATGTTGGCCAGGCTAGTCTCGAACTCCCAACTTCAGGTGATCTGCCTGCCTCAGACTCCCAAAGTGCTAGGATTACAGGCATGAGCCACTGCATCCAGCCATCCCAAGCATTTTGGATAAGGGATTCTCAGCCTGTTTTATCCCAGGGACCAGTGTCTGGTGCCCCCACTCTCTTCCCAACTCTGAGCTCCCCAGGATTGTCCCTCTGTCCCAGCCCTGACCCCTCAGTCAGTGTCCAGCTGTGTCCAGTTTTACTTCTCCACAGCCTGGTGGCTCCTCATGAGCCAAACCAAGACGGAGGACTCTCTGGGCCCCAATGCCTGTATTTTGGGGTACATGACCCTGGAGGCCTTTCCTGCGTCATCTCCATCCTATCCCCTCCACAGCACCCATTCCAACATGAGCCACAGGACAATCTTGCCATGTCCAAGTGCACTGACTTTATTTCACCCCCACCCGGCCTTTGCCCATGCTGGTCCCTGTACCAGAAACGCTTTTCCCCAAAGCCTTTTCTTCCTGGCAATCAATTGCCTTCAATAGCTTTGCTTCCAGCTCCTCTTTCTGAGCCCCTCTGGCCACTGCCCACCCAGTTCTGGGTTTCTTCCACCCCAGCCTGAACATGAGGGGCTGTGGGGTGGACTCTGGGAGACCCCGAGGCTCCAGCACTGGCCAAGACTGGCCCGAATACCCCATGATGCCTGCTAAAAGAACCCCCAAAAGCTACTCAGGCGATTATGATCCGAACAGCACTCTGAGTGTCTAGGGCTGGCCACATCTCTCTCCCTCTCTCCCAGTTCTCCATGATGATCTCTCCGTCTCTCCTTATCTCTGTGTGTATCTCTGGGTCTCTACACGTCTCTCTGTGTCTACATCTCCCTCTCTCCCTCTCTCTCTCCCTCTCCCCCCTTTCTCCCTCCGTTTCTCTTTCTCTCTCCCTCCTCTTTCCTTCCCCCTCTCTTTCTCTCTCTCCCCTTTCTCATTCTCTCTTTCCCCCTCTCTCCCCGCCCTTTCTCATTCTTCTCTCTCTCTCCCCAGCCCTCTCTTTCTCTGTCTTCCCCCGACCCCCCACCTGGGTCTCTCTGCTTCTGTATCTTTTTGTCTCTGCTCCTCCCATGGGGCACCAGCTTCACCCACCACCTTCTTCCCCACCCCTCCCTCTTCTCCACTTTCTCCCTTCCCCACGCCACTGTGGATCTGGCACTGGCTGGGCACAGGGGGATGGTCTGGCCTTCCTCCCCCACCTCTCCTGTCTCTGCCTCTCCTCTGACTCAGCCTCTCCTCTGTCTCTGCCTCTCCTCTGACTCGGCCTCTCCTCTGTCTCTGCCTCTCCTCTGCCTCTCCCTCTCCTCTGTCTCTGCCTCTCCTCTGTCTCTCCCTCTCCTCTGTCTCTGCCTCTCCTCTGTCTCTCCCTCTCCTCTGTCTCTCCCTCTCCTCTGTCTCTGCCTCTCCTCTGTCTCTGCCTCTCCTCTGTCTCTCCCTCTCCTCTGTCTCTGCCTCTCCTCTGTCTCTCCCTCTCCTCTGTCTCTCCCTCTCCTCTGTCTCTGCCTCTCCTCTGTCTCTGCCTCTCCTCTGTCTCTCCCTCTCCTCTGTCTCTGCCTCCCCTCTGTCTCTCCCTCTTCTCTGTCTCTGCCTCTCCTCTGTCTCTCCCTCTCCTCTGTCTCTGCCTCTCCTCTGTCTCTCCCTCTCCTCTGTCTCTGCCTCTCCTCTGTCTCTGCCTCTCCTCTGTCTCTGCCTCTCCTCTGTCTCTGCCTCTCCTCTGTCTCTCCCTCTCCTCTGTCTCTGCCTCTCCTCTGTCTCTCCCTCTCCTCTGTCTCTGCGTCTCCTCAGTCTCTCCCTCTCCTCTGTCTCTCCCTCTCCTCTGTCTCTGCGTCTCCTGTCTCTGCCTCTCCTCTGTCTCTCCCTCTCCTCTGTCTCTGCCTCTCCTCTGTCTCTGCCTCTCCTCTGTCTCTCCCTCTCCTCTGTCTCTCCCTCTCCTCTGTCTCTGCGTCTCCTCTGTCTCTGCCTCTCCTCTGTCTCTCCCTCTCCTCTGTCTCTGCCTCTCCTCTGTCTCTGCCTCTCCTCTGTCTCTCCCTCTCCTCTGTCTCTCCCTCTCCTCTGTCTCTGCGTCTCCTCTGTCTCTGCCTCTCCTCTGTCTCTCCCTCTCCTCTGTCTCTGCCTCTCCTCTGTCTCTGCCTCTCCTCTGTCTCTCCCTCTCCTCTGTCTCTGCCTCTCCTCTGTCTCTGCGTCTCCTCTGACTCCGCCTCTCCTCTGTCTCTGCGTCTCCTCAGTCTCTCCCTCTCCTCTATCTCTCCCTCTCCTCTGTCTCTCCCTCTCCTCTGTCTCTGACGTTCTATTTCCGTCTCGCAGGCTCTGGGTGCACATCTCCCCCGGGGCTGCCAACCTCTGGGCTCCACACTCCCCACTCTCCTGCGGCACCCCCCTCTCTGCTACTTCCAGATCCCCCACCTGCTCCTGCCTCCCAGGTACTGAGGCAGAGACGGGAGATGGAGTTTATGAGTTTTTTTGAGGCGGGGTCTCGCTCTGTCGTCCAGGCTGGAGCGCCTCATAGTGGTGCGATTATAGCTCACTGCAGCCTCGAACTCCTGGGCTCTAGCAATCCTCCTGCCTCAGCCTCCTGAGTAAATGAGACTACAGTTGCCTGCTACCATGCCAGCTAATTTTTAAATTTTCTGTAGAGATGGGATCTCGTTACATAGCCCAGGCTGGTTTTGAACTCCTGGCCTCAAGGGGTCTTCCCGCCTCAGCCTCCCAAAGCGTTGGGATTCAGGCGTGTGCCAGAACACCTGGCCCAGGGAGATGGAATTCAAATGGATTTTAAGGCTTCACCTTCTCCCTGGCTGGCTGGGGAGGAACAGAGAGGGAAAGGGGCCTCCCCGAGGTCACACAGCACCTGGCCTGGGACCCCCTGCGGCTTTGAGTGGGAGTCCCCACAGGGCTCCGGATTTGAGTTCAGCAGCCCAACCCTTGCTGTGCGATTGGGGGCAGTCAACTCTGCATCTCGGAGCCTCAGTGTCCTCCTCTGTGTAGCAACAATGGCTGTGCCACCTCCATGGGTGACAGTGAAGCCAGCCAACATAGGGAAGGTGCTTCTGACTTTAGAACATGGGAAATTGGAAGCATGGGAACTACTATAGACATCTATTCCCATTCCCAGGAGGTGGCCGGGCGCTGTGGCTCACTCCCAGCACTTTGGGAAGCTGAGGCGGGTGGTGAAACCCCATCTCTACTAAAAATACAAAATTAGCTGGGTATGGTGGCACATGCCTGTAATCCCAGCTACTCGGGGAGCCGAGGCGGGAGACTCACTTGAACCTGGGAGGCGAAGGTTGCAATGAGCTGAGATCGTGCCACTGCACTGCAGCCTGGGCAACAGAGTAAGACTCTGTCTCAAAAAAAAATTATATATATATATTCCCAGGAGGCGGAATGGGAGGATGGGAGGTGGGGAGGGGCCAGCTTTGTGTGAGACCCTCATCCAGAGGGCAAATTTGTTCTGAGAGAGTGCCCAGGGGTGCACAGACTTGGGGTGAGGCGGCTGGGAAGAGCTTGTCTGTTTCACCAAGAAATAAGTGTGAATGCAGGGAGATGGGGGTGGAGGAGAGCACTGGGGTTGCCTAGCAACAGAGATGAAGCTGACAGACAGGATCCAGACCTGCTGTCCAGGGTCTGGGGGGTTTCAAGAAAGGGGGGTGCTGATATTTGGGATCTTGTGTTTTTCTGGCTGAGAAGGTATCCCCACCATGGCCCTCCAAACTTCAGCAGAGTTGACCCCAGACTCAGGGGTCTTAGGGACCCCGGAGCCTAGAACAGAGAGATTCAGTGGTAGCCGGAGATTCATGTACTCGGGAAAGAAGCAGTGGAGACAAAAGCAGACTCGGCCCCCTTTCCAGCCCCGGCCCTGACAGTTGCAGAGATGTTGATGGCTGAGGAGAACCGGATTGCCATTTATGAACTTCTCTCTCTCTCTTTTTTTTTTTTTCTGTGACTTGAGTTTTGCTCTTGTCGCCCAGGCTGGAGTGCAATAGTGTGGTCTCGGCTCACTGCAACCTCCGCCTCCTGGGTTCAAGTGATTTTCCAGCCTCAGCCTCCTGAGTAGCTGGGATTGCACGTGCCCGCCACCACGCCTGGCTAATTTTTATATTTTTAGTAGAGACGGGGTTTCACCATGTTGGCCAGTCTGGTCTCGAAATCCTGACCTCAAGTGATCCCCCCGCCTCAGCCTTCCAAAGTGCTGGGATTACAGGTGTGAGCCCCCGTGCCCAGTCTATGAACTCCTTTTTAAGGAGGGAGTCATGGTGGCCAAGAAGGATGCCCACCTGCCTAAGCACCCAGAGCTGGCAGACAGGAATGTGCCCAACCTACACGTCATAAAGGCCAAACAGTCTCTCAGATCATGAGGTCATGTGAAGGAACAATTTGCCTGGAGACATTTTTTTTTTTTTTGAGATGGAGTCTCGCTCTGTCGCCCAGGCTGGAGTGCAGTGGCGCAATCTCGGCTCACTGCAACCTCCGCCTTCCGGGTCCAAGTGATTCTTCTGCCTCAGCCTCCTGAGTAGCTGGGATTACAGGCACCCACCACCATGCCTGGCTAATTTTTGTATGTTTAGTAGAGGAGGGGTTTCACCATGTTGGTCAGGCTGGTCTCGAACTCCTGACCTTGTGATCCGCCCGCCTCAGCCTCCCAAAGTGCTAGAATTACAGGCGTGAGCCACCATGCCTGGCCAACTGGAGACGTTTCTACTGGTACCTTACCAATGAGGGTATCTAGTGTCTCCATGATGACCTCCAGCTGCCCTCAGAGAGTGTGCCTGCCACTCTATGCCGCAGCCGTCCAGAGACTGGTAGACCTTGGCCTAAACGTCTGGAGGGTGAGTGCCCTCCAAGACTCCCAAGAGGGGAAGCTGACAGAGACCCACAGGTGGGGCGCTGTGCCCCCTGGTGCTGGCCAGGAAGCCAAGGCTGGGGCTGGGCCAGCAACCGAATTCCAGTTTAGAGGTGGATTTGGTGGTGGACATGGTCAGCCACCTCGGTAAAATTGGAGAGGATTAGTTTGCACTGAATAAACTTACAGCCAGAAAAACAAACAAACAAACAAAAAACAGACTTGGCCCTGTCTTCCTGGCAGTTCCAGCCTCATGGCTGGAAACATATATAATTGTTTGTTTTGAGACAGAGTCTCACTCTGTCACTCAGGCTGGAGTGCAGTGGTGCAATCTCTTTGCTCACTGCAACCTTCACCTCCTGGGTTCAAGGGATTCTCCTGCCTCAGCCTCCTGAGTAACTGGGATTACAGGCATGTGCCACCACACCCAGCTAATTTTTGTATTTTTAGTAGAGACGGGGTTTCACCATGTTGCCCAGGCTGGTCTCAAACTCCTTACCTCAGGTGATCCACCCGCCTTGGCTTCCCAAAGTGCTGGGTTTACAGGTGTGAGCCACCTCGCCTGGTCGGATTCTAGATTTTAGATTGGCCAGTTTGGTCCCAGCTGTTGGGGGCGGGACTGGAGAAGGTGGGAGAGGCTGGGGAAGAGCCCTTGGGCAGAGGGGAGGGAAGGATGGAGACGAGGCAGGAGGTGGGACCTATGTAGAGGGCAGGGCAGGAGGTGAGTTTGATGCCTGCCTGGGGCTGGGGCCTTGGACCTTCCCCTCTAGGCAGCCCTGCCTCTGAAGCTGTTTCTGAGTTTTCTGCCTTCCCCATCCTCTGAATTCCCCTGTCTCTCCCCGCCTCGCTCCCTCTGCTGCCCGTGATGAAGAATGGAATTATATTTTTATAACTTCTTGTTTTTCCTGAACCAAGTTCCATGTGCACTGGGCTAAATTTAAAAAGCGGATGGATGGAGAGATGATCATGTTCACTTTCACTCCCTTGGAAAAAAATAAACGCCTTGATTCAGGTGCCATTTCCCTCGGGGACACTGGGGGCGGGGTGGTGGCCTTTCTGCTCACAGTGACAGGGCTGGACAGAGATAAGTCAGACCTGGATTCCAGCTGCCTCCTTCCGGAAGCCTTGCCTGACCTGTGCCTGAACCAGGCCCACCCCTCAGATCTTCTGACACCCTGGGCATCCCCCAAAACAGCCCTGGTCACCCTGTGCTGGAACTGCCTGTTTGCTTGTTCTCTCTGCCTGGTCCTCCTTTCCCATTCTTTTTTTTTTTTTTTTTTTTTTTTGAGACAGAGTCTCGCTCTGTTGCCCAGGCTGCAGTGCAGTGGCGCGATCTTGGCTCACTGCAACCTCCGCCTCCCAGATTCAAGCAATTCTCCTGCCTCAGCCTACCTAGTAGCTGGGATTACAGGCGCGCACCACTACACCCATCCTTTGCCATCTTTAGGGCTAGCTTCTCAACCTTTAGGGCTTAGCTCCAATGTTACCTCCTCCAGGAAGCCCTCCCGGACCGCCCTGACTAAAGAAGCTACGAAGTTGTTTTCTATCACATCATCATCATAATCTTCTTTTTTTTTATGAGACAGGGTCCCCTGTCGCCCAGGCTGGAGTGCAGTGGCATGATCACAGCTCACTACAGCCTTGAACTCCTGGACTCAAGCAATCCTCTTGCCTCAGCTTCCCCCGTAGCTGGAACGTAGCTAGCACACCACCATACCTGGTGCTTGTATTTTCTTTTTTTTTTTTTTTGAGACGGAGTTTCGCTTTTGTTTCCCAGGCTGGAGTGCAATGGCATGATCTCCGGTTCACTGCAAGCTCCGCCTCCCGGATTCAAGCCATTCTCCTGCCTCAGCCTCCCGAGTAGCTGGGATTACAGGCATGTGCCACCACACCTGGCTAATTTTGTATTTTTAGCAGAGATGGGGTTTCTCCGTGTGGGTCAGGGTGGTCTCGAACTCCCAACCTCAGGTGATCCACCCACTTCGGCCTCCCAAAGTGCTGGGATTCCAGGCGTGAGCCACCGCACCCAGCGCTTGTATTTTCTTTAGAACATTTTTTATCACCCGGAATTCTCTTAGGCTAATATTTGTAATTTGTTAAGCACAGTTAAGGGAACTGGATCTGGACTGCCTAACCCCTCCCAAGTCCCAACTACAGGCTGGCCCCTGCCAGCCTGTCCCTGTAGCCTTCATTTTCACTCTCCCTGCATTATTCAGTCACCACTCAGCAAACATGTTTTAAGTGGCTACTGCACTAGACCGTGTATCTCATGGCTCCTAGTCCTGCCCTGGTGCTTACAATCACCCAGGGAGTTTCAAATTCCAACCAACACCTTCCATCCCTCCCCTCCACTGGAGATTATGAATGAATCGGTCTAGAGCTGGGGGCTGGGAAAAGGATTCAAGTGTGCCCTCAGGACATAGAACAATTGCTGTAGGTTTTGTTTTTTCCTTTTTTTTTTTTTTTTTTTTTTTGAGGCAGCGTCTCACTCTGTCGCCCAGGCTGCAGTGCAGTGGTGTGATTTCGGCTCACTGCAACCTCCGCCTCCCAGGCTCAAGTGATTCTCCTGCCGCAGCCTCCTGAGTAGTAGCTGGGATTACAGGTGCATGCCACCACGCCTGGCTAAGTTTTGTATTTTAAGTAGAGATGGGTTTCACCATGTTGGCCAGGCTGGTCTTGAACTCCTGATCTCAGGCGTTCCTCCCACCTTGGCCTCCCAAAGTGCTAGGATGACAGGCATGAGCCAACATGCCCAGCCTCTGCAATAGGTTTTCTTATCTCCCAAAGGCCGTGCTCACTGCTGCCCCCAAGCCTTTGCTGAAGCTGGTCCCTCTGCTGGAACACACTCCTGCTTCCTCTCCACCTATTTAAATCCTCCATAACTTTCTTTGTTATAAACATTTTTTTTTTCTAATTTTGAGGAAAGTAAAAAGGAAAGACAAGTGCAAAGACAAATATAGCAAGCACCTGTGTTTCCTCCACACAGGACCAGCGGTGCTTAACCCTTCTCATGTTTGCTTCAGGCCTGTTTTGTTTTGTAAGTAAGAATGGAAATACTGGAAGTCAAGGTACAGTGGCCTTTGACCTCCTCCAGTCACGCATTTTTCTACATTCTTATGTGTATAAACTCTCACCCATCCATGAACGTGACTAGTGTAATTTTGCACACTAAAAATAAATCTTAATATTCTCATAAGGTACATATCATCCTGCAATTTGCTCTTTTCACTCAATATTTTATTTTATTAATTTTTTAAATATTTATTTTATTTATTTATGGATTTATTTTGAGATGGAGTTTCATTCGTGTTGCCCAGGCTGGAGTGCAATGGTGCAATCTCGGCTCACCGCGACCTCCGACTCCCGGGTTCAAGTGATTCTCCCGCCTCAGCCTCCTGAGTAGCTGGGATTACAGGTACACGCCACCACTCCTGACTAATTTTTTTGTATTTTTAGTAGAGGTGGGGTTCCTCCACATTGGCCAGGCTGGTCTCCAACTCCTGACCTCAAGTGATCCACCTGCCTCGGCCTCCCAAAGTGCTGGGATTACAGGTGTGAGGCACTGTGCCCCACTCTGTCAATGAACTTTTAGGTTAATTCCTGGTTTTGGTTTTGGTTTTAGAGATGCAGTCTTCCTATGCTGCCCAGGCTGGAGTGCAGTGGCTATTCACAAACACAATCATGGCACACCACAGCCTCGAACTCCTGGCCTCAAGTGATCCTCCTGCCTCGGCCTCCCAACTAGCTGGGACTACCACTGCACCCCGCTCTATTCCTGGTTTTTAATATTACAAAAGGTGCTACTATGAAAAGTCTTTTCCTCTCTCTTTATGCACTTGGCAAAGTATTTCTCTAAGAACTATGACTAGAAATGGAATCACTGGAACATTGGATGTGTGCGTGGTTTACCTGACTATTTAATGCCCAAGTGCTTTCTAGGATTAAGCTACAACCGGTAACTGTGGAAGCTCCCCTTCTTCCATTTTTTTTTTTTTTGAGACGGAGTCTCAATCTGTCGCCCAGGATGGAGTGCAGTGGTGCGATCTCGGCTCACTGCAAGCTCCGCCTCCCGGGTTCACGCCATTCTCCTGCCTCAGCCTCCCGAGTAGCTGGCACTACAGGCACCCACCACCACGCCCGGCTAATTTTTTTTGTATTTTTAGTAGAGACGGGGTTTCACTGTGTTAGCCAGGATGGTCTCGATCTCCTGACCTCGTGATCGGCCCGCCTCGGCCTCCCAAAGTGCTGGGATTACAGGCGTGAGCCACCAGCCTTTTTTTTTTTTTTGAGATGGAGTCTTGCTCTGTCACCCAGGCTGGTGTGCAATGGTGCAATCTTGGCTCCCTGCAACCTCCGCCTCTCAGGTTCAGGTGATTCTCCTACTTCAGCCTCCCAAATAGCTGGGATTACAGGCACCTGCCACCATGCCTGGATAATTTTTGTATTTTTAGTAGAGACGGGGTTTCACCATGTTGACCGGGCTGGTCTCGAACTCCTGACCTCAGGTGAGCCACCTGCCTCGGCCTCCCAAAGTGCGGGGATTACAGATGTCAGCCATTTCACCTGGCCGTCTCCCATGGTTTTGCTGATACTTGAAACCTTGAGTTTTTCAGGCTTTCTCTTCAAATCTCCCCCAGTCTATTGTGGCCTTTTTGGACCCTCCAGGCTCCTGGGTTTTGCCACAGGGCCACCTCACTGCACTCATGGTGCTAGGCACCCTCGCCTGCAGTGCACCATCGCTACCCAGTTTGAGCATGAAAGAACCAACTGTCTCTGGCTTCAGACTCTTAACAATTGGAAGTGGAACCTGCCAGGCACTGCGGCTCATGCCTGTAATGCCAGTACTTTGGGAGGCGGAGGCAGGAGGTTCTCTTGAGGCCAGGAGTTTGAGACCATCCTGGGCAACGCAGCAAGACTCCCGTCTCTATGACAAATATATAATAAAATAATAAATTGGGAGTGACTCTCAGGTCCTAGCGCTTTCCCCCCATAGCTATTCCAGAAATTCCAAGATCTTACACATTACGCAGAAAAGGCGCTTATCAACATTCTTTTGCCAGTCATTAAAACAACCACTCCCACGATAACAACAAAAAAGAAAAAGTGGCCGGGTCCGGTGGCTCACGCCTGTAATCCCAGCACCTTGGGAGGCCGAGGTGGGCGGATCACTTGAGGCCAGGAGTTCAAGACCAGCCTGGCCAACGTGATGAAACCCCGTCTCCACTAAAGATACAAAAATTAGCTGGACATGTTGGCACATGCTTGTAATCCCAGCTACTCAGGAGGCTGAGGTAGGAGAATCGCTTGAACCCGAGAGGCAGAGGTTGCAGTGAGCAGAGATTGTGCCACTGCACTCCAGCCTCGGTGACAGAATGAGACTTTGTCTCAAAAAAAAAAATTAAAAAAAAAAAAATAAGGCCGGGCGCGGTGGCTCACGCCTGTAATCCCAGCACTTTGGGAGGCCAAGGTGGGTGGATCACGAGGTCAGGAGATCGAGACCATCCTGGCTAACACGGTGAAACCCTGTCTCTACTAAAACTACAAAAAATTAGCCAGGCGTGGTGGCGGGCACCTGTAGTCCCAGCTACTCAGGAGGCTGAGGCAGGAGAATGGCATGAACCCAGGAGACGGAGCTTGCAGTGAGCTGAGATTGCGCCACTGCACTCTAGCCTGGGCGACAGAGCGAGACTCCATCTCAAAAAAAAAAAAAAAAAAAAGGAAAATTACTACCCAGGCTCATTGACAAGTGCAATATTACAGCTTCAGGTATGGTTGGATCCAGGAACTTGACTCATGACATTAGCAATTTTTCTCTTGCCATCTCTCAACTCTGCTTTCTTCTGGGCTGGCTTCTCCCAGCCTCACCCCCGAGGTGGGCTCCCCTTTCTTAGTGGCAAGGATGCCCCTCAGTGGCTCCAAATTCCATCCTCCCAGCTCTATATCCTGCGGGTAGGGACACAGAGCCTCCTCTTCTCATTCTCACTGGCTCAGTCCTGAACCAATCATAGCAACCCCCAGAAGAGGTAGTGCTCTGATTGGCCAGGACAGCTGGGGGAGGGTGGAGTCAGCTAACTACTGAGACCAGAAGTGGGGAAAGGGCTGCTCCCCAAGGAAAATTGGGGTTGCTGGTTGCTAAGGAAGAGAGTCGGCAAAACCAACTGTGATTGCCACTAGGAAACTCAAGGCAAAGAATTCTCAAATTCTTTTTTTTTTTTTTTGAGACAGAGTCTTACTCTGTCACCCAGGCTGGAGTACAGCGGCGTGGTCTCTGCTCACTGCCACCTCCGCCTCCCGGGTTCAAGTGATTCTTCTACCTCAGCCTCCCAAGTAGCTAGGATTACAGGCGTGCACCACCATGCCTGGCTAATTTTTTTTTTTTTTTTTTTTTTTTTTGTATTTTTAGTAGAGGAAGGGGTTTCACCATGTTGGCCAGGCTGGTCTTGAACTCCTGACCTCAGATGATCCGCCCACCTCGGCCTCCCAAATTGCTGGAATAACAGGCATGAGCCACCGCACCTGGCCTCCTTGGGGTTCTGAGTTCTCTTACGCTAAAATCAAGGTGACTGCAGGATTGCATTCCTTCTGGAGGCTCTAGAGGAGAACTACTTTCCTTGCTTTTCCAGCTTCTAGAGGCTTCATTTTTAATTTAATTTAATTTTATGTTGTAGAGACTGGGGTCTCTCTATGTTGGCCAGGCTGGTCTTGAACTCCTGACCTCAAAGGATCCTCCTGCCTTGGCTTTCCAAAGTGCAGGGATTACAGGCATGAGCCACCATGTCCAGTCTTCAGAGGCTTCTTGGATTCCTTGGCTCATGGCCCCTTCCTCCATCTCCAAGCCAGCAAGGGCTGATGGAGTCTTTCTCAAGCTACCTCACCCTGGTTGTTCCTATTATCGATCAGGTCTACTTCTCTGAACCTGGCCTTCCTGCTTCCTTCTTTTTTTTTTTTTTTTTTTGACAGAGTCTCCAGAGTCTTGCTGTCTTGCCCAGGCTGGAGTGCAGTGGCGTGACCTCAGCTCACTGCAACCTCCGCCTTCTGGGTTCAAGCGATTCTTCTGCCTCAGTCTCCCGAGTAGCTGGGACGACAGATGCGAGCCACCACACCTGGCTAATTTTTTTTTTTTTTTTTTTTGTATTTTTAGTAGAGACGGGGTTTCACCATATTGGCCAGGCTGGTCTGGAACTCCTGACCTTGTGATCCACCCGCCTTGGCCTCCCAAAGTGCTGGGATTATAGGCATGAGCCACTGCGCCGGGCCCCATCTTTTCTTTTTTGGTTAGGTTTGGTTTGTTTTTTGGAGACGGAGTCTCACTCTGTCACTCAGGCTGGAGTGCAGTGGGGCAATCTCGGCTCACCGCAACCTCCACCTCCCGAGCACAAGTGATTCTCCCGCCTCAGCCTCCAGAGCAGCTAGGATTACAGGTGCCCACCACCACACCTGGCTAATTTTTGTATTTTTAGTAGAGACAGGGTTTCACCATGTTGGGCAGGCTTGGTTCAAACTCCTGACCTCAGGTGATCCACCCTCCTCGGCCTCCCAAAGTGCTGGGATTATAGGCATGAGCCACTGCGCCCAGCCTCCTTCTTCCTTCTTATAAGCACCCTGTGATTGCACTGGGTTTATCCAGATAATCCAGGATCATCTCCTCATCTCAAGATCCTTAATGTAATCCCATTTGCAAAGTGCTTTTTGCCAACTGAAGTACCATATGCATAGGATTTGGGAATTAGGATGTGGACATCTTTGGACGGGGAGGTGTCAATATTCTTCCAAGCACAATGGGCCATAAAGAGGAACAGACATGGGTGCATTTGTTTATTTCACAAACATTTATTGAGCACCTACTGTGTACTCACCTGTTCTAGGTCCTGAGAACACAGCAGAAAACAAGACAGGCCAGATACAGTGGCTCAAGCCTATAATCTCAGCTCTTTGGGAGGCAGAGGTGGGCAGATCACTAGAGGTCAGGAGTTGAAGACCAGCCTGGCCAACATGGTGAAGCCCCGTCTCTACTAAAAATATAAAAATTAGCCGGGTATGGTGGCAGGCACCTGTAATGCCAGCTACTTGGGAGGCTGAGGCAGGAGGATCGCTTGAACCCAGGTGGCAGAAGTTGCAGTGAGATCATGCCACTGCACTCCAGCCTGGGCAACAAAGCGAGGCTCTGTGTCAAAAAAAAAAAAAAAAAAAATAGGCCATGCGTGGCGACTCACACCTGGAATCCTAGCACTTTGGGAGGCCAAGGGAAGAGGATCACCTGAGGTCAGGAGTTTGAGACCAGCCTGGCCAACATGGCAAAACCCCATCTCTACTAAAAATACAAAAATTGGCCGGGTGTGGTGGCTCACACCTGTAATCCCAGCACTTTGGGAGCCAAGGCGGGTGGATCATCTGAGGTCAGGAGTTTGAGACCAGCCTGGCCAACATGGTGAAACCCCATCTCTACTAAAAATACAAAAATTAGCTGGGTGTGGTAGGCGCCTGTAATCCCAGCTGCTCGGGAGGCTGAGGCAGGAGAATCGCTTGAACCTGGGAGGCGGAGGTTGCAGCGAGCGGAGATTGTGCCATTGCACTCCAGCCTGGACAATAAGAGCAAGACTCTATCTCAAAAAAATATATAAATAAACAATAAATAAAAATACAAAAATTAGCCGGGCGCAGTGGTGCGCACCTGTAATCCCAGCTGTTCAGAAGGCTGAGGCAGGAGAATCACTTGAACCTGGGAGGCAGAGGTTGCAGTGATCAGAGATCACGCCACTGCACTCCAGCCTGGGCGACAGAGTGTGACCCCGTCTCAAATAAATAAATAAATAAACAAATAAAAAAGAAATAAATAAATTACCCAATCTCAGGGACGTTCTTTATAGCAGTGTGAGAACAGACCAATACATTCAGACTGCAGTGAGCCGTGATGGCACCACTGCATTTTAACCTGGGTGACAGAATGAGACCCTGTCTCTAAAAAAAAAATAAATAATAATCCTTTTTTTTTTAAATCACAAAGGTGAAAGGAAAATCAGCTTCTCTCACCATAGATTGAAGGTAACTGAAAATATAATTTAGTCTGATTGACTTAAATGGATCCCGTAGTGACGGAAGGAATGACAGGTGGGAGAGACTTAACAACCACTCCCTCGACCCCTCGCCCCTGGCAGGACCCACTTGAGACTTGAGAAAGACAGAACAGATATTCAAAGGGGTCACTGTGCAACTGGGCTTCCAGGTTATTTCATACCACGCCAAACACTCTCTGAAGTCATATTTTGTTTTGTTTTTTGTTTGTTGTTGGTTTTGAGATGGAGTTTCGCTCTTGTTGCCCAGGCTGGAGTGCAGTGGCGTGATCTCTGATCACTGCAACCTCTGCCTCCCAGGTTCAAGTGATTCTCCTGCCTCAGCCTTCTGAACAGCTGGGATTACAGGTGCGCACCACTGCGCCCGGCTAATTTTTGTATTTTTATTTATTGTTTATTTATATATTTTTTTGAGATAGAGTCTTGCTCTTATTGTCCAGGCTGGAGTGCAATGGCACAATCTCCGCTCGCTGCAACCTCCGCCTCCCAGGTTCAAGCGATTCTCCTGCCTCAGCCTCCCGAGCAGCTGGGATTACAGGCGCCCACCACACCCAGCTAATTTTTGTATTTTTAGTAGAGACGGGGTTTCACCATGTTGGCCAGGATGGCCTGGATCTCTTGACCTTGTGATCTGCCCACCTCGGCCTCCCAAAGTGCTGGGATTACAGTCGTGAGCCACCGTGACCGGGTAATTTATAAAGGAAAGAGGTTTAATTGACTTGGTTCCTCATGGCTGGGGAAGCCTCAGGAAATTTACAATCATGGTGGGACAGGAAGCAGCCTTCTTCACAAGACGGCTGGACAAAGGAGAAACTTCAAACACTTATAAAACCATCAGATCTCATGACAACTTACTCGCTATCAGGAGAAGAGCATGGGGGAAACTGCCCCCATGATCCAATCACCTCCCTCCCTCAACACGTGGGGATTACAATTCAAGATGAGATTTGGGTGAGGACACAGAAGCAAACCAGATCACTGGGCCTTCCAGGCTCAAGTGATCCTCCCACCTCGGCCTCCTGAGTAGCTGGGACCACAGGTGTGCACCACCACATCTGGCTAATCTTTGCATTTTTTTTTTTTTTTTTTGTAGAGATGGAGTCTTTTTATGTTACCCAGACTGGTCTGGAACTCCTGGCCTCAAGTGATCCTCCCGGCCTCAAGTGATCCTCCCGCTTCAGCCTCCCAAAGAGCTGGGATTACAGGCAAGAGCCACCGTGCCCGGCTAAAAAAGATTTTTAAAATACATTGACTGATATTTCAGATGTGAGGTTTAAAGGAAAATAGATAACTGTGGATATGGGGAAATGGAAGAAAAGATGAGAAGCCATTGGCACGGATTTGGGAAGCATTACCTGTCTCTTACACATGGGGAAACAGAGGCCCCGCCATGACCATGACTCACCAGGTGGGCTGAAGGTCTTTCTTCAGGAGGAGAGCTGAAGGGAGCTAGAAAAGTTTTCATCGGTTGGCTGCAGGGGCTCACGCCTGTAATCCCAGCACCTTGGGAGGCTGAGGCAGGTGGATCACTTGAGCTCAGGAGTTTGAGACCAGCCTGGCCAACATGGTGAAACCCATCTCTACTAAAAATACAAAAATTAGCTTGATGTGGTGGCATGCACCTGTAATCCCAGCTACTCGGGAGGCTGAGGAAGAGGAAGGAGAATCGCTTGAACCCGGGAGGCAGAGGCTGCAGTGAGCCGAGATCACGCCATTGTACTCCAGCCTGGGCGACAGAGCAAAACTCCATCTTAAAAAAAAAAAAAAAAAAAAAAAGAGCGTTTCATTAGCATTCCCCTATCCCTCTGTGAGTGGTTTTCTCCCTCTCCCTTGCTCATCCCGAGCTGATTAGAGCAAGTGCTCTATGAAGATCTCCAGGGAACAGCATCCCAGGCTATGGGCACCATGCATGCAAAGGCCCTGGGGCAGGACCACACCTGGCATGTTGGAGGAATAGCAAGGAGGCCCATGTGGCTGGAATAGAGTGAGCTAGGGGTAGAGAGGGAGGAGGGGAGGGGAAGGAGGGGACGGGACAGGTCGTGCGGGCCGTCATGGGCTGCAGGAAGGACTTGGGTCTTGACCTTGAGGGAGGTGGGAGCCATAGAGGGCTGTGGACAGAGGAGGAACAGGACCTGAGTCAGGTGCTCACAGGCACCCTCTAGTGGCTTTGCAGAGAATGCACTGAAGAGGCAGGGCAGTGGCCAAGGAGAGACCAGTCCAGCTCTCAGCACATGCTGTGTGTCTCCGGGGCAAGGGAAGTCACTCTATGGGCTCATTTTCCTTATCAGCTAAAAGGGGAACTTTAACAGCAGGCAGAGACTCAGAAAATGAGCAGAAGGAGCTCGCTGCCTGAGATTCAGGCCAGGCGTGGGGCTGCTGAGTTAATACTTTTAACAGGTCAGGATTCTGCTCACCACACTCCGGGAGGTGGGAAGATGAGGTCAGCCACACCCCCAGCTCAGGCTCTGATGAAGTCATCGTGACAGATGGGTAAGTGTGAGGACAGCTGTGGGAATATTTCCCACCTGTGCCCTGTGCCTCCTGCAAAGATGTAGATGAGCAAATCAACCGGCATTTCACAGTCAGACACAGCTCTCAGCACACCGCGCTGTCTAGGAGCCCTTCCTGCAGGAAGCCCTCCCGGATTGCCTGGGCCCTGTGGGGTCTCCCTGGAAGCTGTGGCAGGGGTGGGGGGCATTTCAGGGAGATAAGGAGCAGAGAGGCTGGCTAGACCGAGCCATGGTGAGGAAAGACAGGGCGGACGACAGAAGTGCTCCACGGGTGAAGGGACATGCTGGGCCATCAGCCACATAAGTCTGATTTGAATCCTGACCCAGATTCCCACTTGCTTTGTGGACAAGTCTGCTCCCTTCCTGGGCTTTGTTTTCTCAACCACAAATTGAGAAAAGAAATCTCATTTGATTGCTTAACACTCATTTAAGTGAGCACCTACTGTGTGCCAGGCCCTGTTTTGGGCACCAGGAACATGGCAGGAGAAAAATGGGCCCAGACCTGCTCTTCCAGGACCCTCAGTCCAGTAGAGGACCTGAATGTATCACCGAGCTGTTAAAATACAAGGTGTTAGGGCTGGGCGCAGAGGCTCATGTCTGTAATCCCAGCACCTTGGGAGGCTGAGGCAGGTGGATCACTTGAGGCCAGGAGTTCAAGACCAGCCTGGACAACATAGTCAGACTCCACCAAGACGGGGGTTGGGGGGGGAGAGAGAGAGAGGAGAGGAGAGAGAGAGAGGAGAGAGGAGGGAGAGAGGGAGAGGGAGAGAGAGAGAAAGAGAGAGAGAGAGAAATGTCCTTGCCTAGTCTAGAGGGGCTTCAGGCACAGTTTGATCAAGGGGCCCCAGTATTCAGTCTCCTTCCCGGACTTAGCTCTGTTCTCCTCCCCTGGCTTCTGCCACAAGGCAGATCTCATACCAGTCCTTAGCAGATCCCAGCTGGTATTTCCCCAGGCTGGTGCTGCCTCCTCTGTAGTTCTGGACTAAGCCCCGGGGCTGGCTCTCATCAGCCCACACTGAGTCATGTCCTGTAGCAGCTGCTCAGAACCACAGACATATCTCCCTGTTTTGGGGCGTTCTCTCTGCCCAGAGCTAAGGTTCCTGGGAGTAGTCCTTTGTCAACGCTGGTTGAACATGAGGGGATAAATACCCTAGCTTTTCTGATCTCTGGGTGCGGCGATTCTCAGCTGTTTTCTTTCTTTTTCCTTTTCTTTTTCTTTTTTTTTTTTTTCAGACAGAGTCTTGCTTTGTCACCCAGACTGGAGTCCTGTGGCACAATCTCGGCTCACTGCAACCTCCCAGGTTCAACCTCCCAGGTTCAGATGATTCTCCTGCCTTAGCCTCCTAAGTAGCTGAAACCACAGGCCCTCACCACCACGCCTGGCTAATTTTTGTATTTTCTGTAGAGGTGGGGTTTCACCATGTTGGCCAGGCTGGTCTCGAACTGACCTCAAGTGATTTGCCCGCCTTGGCCTCCCAAAGTCCTGGGATTACAGGCGTGAGCCACCGCGCCCGGCTGCCGGTGTCTTATTGAGGCCATCAGACAATGCAAGAGTGCTGAGTCCCAGCACCCTGTCCTTGCAGTTTTACAAATCTCTGAATCTGCTACGATCACTGCATCCATCTTCCAGATGCAGTCACTGAGGTTCCAAAAAGTGAAGTTTCCTTTCCTGCCCGGGATGACTAAGGACGCTCTATCCCCAGGGGCAGCAGAAGATCGGGCTGCCCTCTCCCCAAACACACCCACCCACCCACCCACAGGGGCACACACGGGCACACACGCACCGTCTACCTCCCCAGACACCCGGCTGACACAGGCTGGCGTCTGCACGGCTGACACTTGTAAATCCACCCTCCTTCGGGGGCAGGCTGGCTCCTTCTCTGGCAGCAGGAAGATAGAGGGAGTTGGTTTAGTGGTTGGGGGGAAAGGAGTGCGCCCCTGACCCCATGCCCAGCCCCCGACCCCAGGGAGGGTGACAGCCCCTCCCTCTCTTCCAGTGACCTTGGGAAAGTTCCAGGAGGCCCCCGGGCCTGGACTTTGAGAGGTGAGCGCTCCAGCAAGATTCGCTCCCCTCCTTCTGTCCCTGCTCTGGGCCCGCCCACCCACTCCCTTTCTCAAGCGGCCTTGGAAAGGGTCTTGCAGAGACAGACAGATGGCCTGGGGACAGATGGCGGACGTGTAGGAGTTACCACTGGGAGAGGGGTAAGGGGGAGGGGAGTGCGTTCTGGCCCCCAAGACGAGTCCCACAGGCTCCTGCAGAACAGAATAAGCCGCCTCCTTCAAGCCCCTCAACTGGGATATCATCGTCCCCCCGCAACCAGGATCCCATCACCCCATAAACGGAATCCCATCCCCCATCCCAACCAGGGTCTCATCATCCCCGCAAACGGAGTCCCATCGACCCCACATTCAAGGTTCCATAGCTCCCCCAAACGGGATCCCATGGCACTGGGCCGGGGCAGAGGCCCGGAGAAGAGGGTCGCTAGCTGCAGGTTGCACAGCCCGGCAGGGTGCGAGGCCTGGCCTGGGGGTGCGGGTGACTCTGGTGGGTCTAGGCTCCGCGGGGAGACTTGGGCCTGGAGACCCCGCCCCGCACGCAGATCCCGCCCGCCCCGGCCGCGGGTTCCGGGGAAGCGAAGGCGCCGCCAGCCCGGGCTGTGGGCAGAGCGCGCCCTCTGCCGGGCATGATCGGAAACGGCGCGGCGGCGACTCCCGGACCCTCGGGACTCCGGACCCGACTCCCACCCGGCTGAGCTTTACCGGGTTATAGAGCCCCCAACTCTGGATCGATCCCCGACCTCCTAAGGAACCGCGACACTGGGCTGAGCTCCCGCCTTGGGCTAAACCTCAATCCCAGTAGAGCTGGGACCTGGGCTGAGACCCCAACTTTGGATAGAGCCTCTGATCTGTCTTTGAGCCCTGGTCCTGAGCCAAGCCTCAAACTCCAATAGAGTCTCCATCGACCTGAGCTCCCAACTCAGGGCTGAGCCCCCCTCTAGGCTGAGGTCTGATACGGAATAGAGCCTGCGACCCCTTCTAAATCCCGACTCTGGGCTGAGCCTGGACCCTCGATAGAGTCTCCAACTCTAGGCTGAACCCTAACCCTGGGCTGCACCCTTACTGTAGACAGAGCCCAATCCCAGCAGAGGCCCTATTCTCACTAAGCCCCATCACCCAGTAAGCCTGCATTCCCGGCCAAGATCATCCCTCCCCCACCCCTAACACCCACTGAACCCTAGCCCTCCCGAGTCCCAACCTTCTTATCTGATACAGAAAAGAGACCAGGTGTGGTGGTTCTTGCCTGTAATCCCAGCGCTTTGGGAGGCAGAAGCAGGAGGATCGCTTGAGGCTAGGAGTTCGAGACCAGCCTGGGCAACATAGTGAGACACCCCCTATCTCTATTTAAAAAAATAAAAATTAGCCGAGCTTGGTGGTGCACACCTGTGATTTCAGCTACTTGGGAGGCTGAGGCAGAAGGATTGCTTGAACCCAGGAAGTTGAGACTGCAGTAAGCTGTGACTGCACCACTGCATTCCAGCCTGGGTGACAAATCGAGACCCTGTCTAAAAAAAAAGAAAGAAAGAAAAAAGGTGAAATCATGCTAGGCTCAGATGCCTCCAGTCCTCCTGCCCTGATGGGGAGACCCCCTTGATGCTGGGGTTGCGAGAGGAGCTGTACACACCACACCAAAGTCAGACCTAATCAGGTCCTAATCCCATCTCTGCCTCATCTGGCTGTGTGGCCTGGAACCTATCCCTTCCTCCCTCTGGGGTTCCATTTCGTCATCTGTGAAATGGGACAGTCACTCCTGACTCTACCACCTTGTGCCTGTGTGACCTCAGGCAAGTTACTTCCTCTCTCTGGGCCTCAGTCTCCTCCTCCAAAATGAAATAAGAAGGTGTTTTGTTTTGTTTCTTGAAACAGAGTCTCGCTCTGTCGTCCAGGCTGGAGTGCAGTGGCGCGATCTCGGCTCACTGCAACCTCTGCCTCCTGGGTTCAAGTGATTCTCGTGCCTTAGTCTCCCAAGTAGCTGGGACTACAGGCGTGCACCACCACTCCTGGCTAATTTTTTCATATTTTTGCTTTATTTTTTATTTTTTGAGATGGACTCTTGCTTTGTAGCCCAGGCTGGAGTGCAGTGCCGCGATCTCGGCTCACTGCAATCTCTGCCTCTGGGGTTCAAGCAATTCTAGCACCTCAGCCTCCCGAGTAGCTGGGACTACAGGCGTGCACCACCACGACCAGCTAATTTTTTTTTTTTGTATGTTTTATTTTTTGAGATGGAATTTTGCTCTGTCGCCCCGGCTGGAGTGCAGTGGCCCGATCTTGGCTCACTGCAACCTCTGCCTCCAGAGTTCAAGCGATTCCCCTGCCTCAGCCTCCTGAGTAGCTGGGATTACAGGCATGTGCCACCACACCCGGCTAATTTTTGTATTTTTAGTAGAGACGGGGTTCCACGATGTTGTCCAGGCTGGTCTCAAACTCCTGACCTCAGGTGATCCGCCCACCTCGGCCTCCCAAAGTGCTGGGATTACAGGGGTGAGCCACCGGGCCCAGCCAATGAGATATTTAACTTACTTTTGCCTCCTGAGGCCTGTGCCTCGGTCTTCCTGAATCCCGTGTGCAGGTCAGGACACACAACAGGCCCTCAACAATTTGTTGTCTGGCTTCCTGGAGGAAGAAGCAGCGAGGTTGCTATGGGCTCCCTAGGCCCTAGCTGCAACCGGGACCCAGAGTTGGGCTGCAGGGCGGAAATGGTGCTGCAGGGGACCTGGGAGCAGCTCCAGGGCCTGGTTCCCAGGACTCACAGCTGCATCCTCCCCGGGGGACCCCAGCTGGCGCTGCGCAGCCGGGAGGCTCCTGTGTGTCCTGCAGGCTCATTCCTACGGAAATCGAGGCTGGACCTGGGGATCCTCTGATGAGGTCTCCAGGAGCCCTCCACCTCACCCCAAAGATTCATCTATAGCCCCACAACCCTGGGTTAGATTCATCCCTTCTTGTGGCACAGAACTCTGTATTTTTAAAATTTTAACTTATTTTGATCTTCTTCTTTTTCTTTCTTTCTTTTTTTTTTTTTTTTTGTAGAGACAGGGTCTCCCTAGGTTGCCCAGGCTGGTTTCAAACTCCTGGGCTCAAGGGATCCTCCTGCCTTGGCCTCCCAAAGTGCTGGGATTCCAGGCGTGAGGCACCACACCTAGTTGGAATCTGCATTTTAAAATGGACTCTCAGATCTTTCTGACGCGAAGGGTTCCCCGAGGCCGTACTTTGAGAAACACGCTTCTGCCGAAATTCCTATTACCCAGGCGGGTAAACTAGCCCCAGAAGGAGGAAGGGGCCCGTGCAGAACCACGTGGTTGGTCTGTTTTGCCTTTTGGCTCTCTGGTCTCTTCCTGTTGGTGTCTCTGTGCCTCCCTCCCCAGGTTCTCTGTCTGTCTCGTACTCTTATCTCTTCCCTTTTCTGTGGCCGGCACCCCCACGACGGCCTCGCCCCCGCATCCGGGCCCCTTCGCGATTCCGGAGGAATCCCCCAGAGCCGCCTGACCCCGCCCCCAGGCTCCGCCCCTTCCCCCCACTTCCCCCCCGTCGCAGTGCCCTGCTCCCATTGGCCTTTTCGTACATTGCCCGCCCTGTCATTGGCTAATCCGGAGCGCTCGGCCCGCCCCCCAGGCCTGGCAACTCTCCGGTCCCTTCCGCGCGGGCGGGGCGAGTGGAGGGCGTGGCCTGCCGAGGGGCGAGGCGAGTGGAGGGCGGGGCCGCGCTGCCCGCCCCGCCCCGGCCCCGGCCCCGGCTCCGGCGCTGCTCCCACCGCCGCGGCAACGGCCCCGGCCCACGGAGGCGGCTGGACGGACCCCCGACGGTTGGACGTACGGACTCTGCTTCGAGAGTAGGTGAGCGAGCAGTGCCGGGGCGCCCCCCATTTCAGCGCATCTCGGGGGCCACCTGGCCGCCCTCTGTCTCTCCCGCCCCTTAATGCTTCTGCACCCCACCGCCTGTCCGTCTACATTCCTGCCTCAGTTTCCGTCTGTCTCTCTGTCACTCTCGCTGTATAGGTTAGGGGGAGACAGATTGAGTCTCAATTGCCCCCCTTGGCGTGGGGCTCTGCTCTGGGACCAGCACCCCCATCCCCCATGTGGACTCTAGTGGACTCTGCCCCCTTTAACTGTAGGGCCGCAGGTGCTCAGGCCAGATTCCAGAACCCTGAGGGCATTCCAGGCGGTGGGCAGCTGGGCCAGCCGTGCGGAGGTGGGCATGACTGTAGCTTCTAGCTAAACCAGGCATCGGTCCAGGCATCGGTGGCGGGGAGCCAGGCCTAGGCCAGCCCGGGCCCACCCAGACTGGCCCCTAATGAGCTCCCAAGTGGCCTGTGGGGACTTGGCCTCAGTTTTGCCAGCTGTGAACTGGGACCGTCGCTGCTAAGGTAATTGGCAGGTGATCTGAAGGACACCTGCCGCCTCCTGGCCTTTTCTGTGAAGTCGAACTAGGCCCATTTCCTGGGATGGGAAACTAAGGCCTAGAAAGAGGCCAATGCTTCCAATGTTTGTCCAGGGAAGTGGGGACAGAGGCAGGACAGAATCTGTTTTCTCTGCATCCTCACATTTCCCAGCACCTTCTCTATGGAGGGGGGAAGGGCTGGTGGAGGAGCAGCCCCAGGTGTAAACAGGCCGCCAGAGTTTATTTCCTGAGCCAGTCCCAGCTCAGCTGGAGGCGATGAACGCCTTGGGAGGCCCCAGGGGGGCCAGCCCAGTGGTGGCGGAGCTTGGACCAATCTAGGTTTGAGCTCTGCCACCCGCATGATATCTTGAACCAGTTTTTCAATTCTGCGGAGCCTCAGTTTCCTCATCTGTAAAACAGGAGTGGGTCGTAACTCCCCAAGTTGAGGGCTGCTGGGGGATCAGATGCAGGAATACAGGCCCTGCTCATAACCTGCCTGACTCTCGCTGTGGCTCTGCCCCAGTCACACTGGCCTCCTCCTGTTTCTCCAACACCCCAGGCGAGGTCCTCTCTCAGGGCCTTTGCATGGGCTGTGCCCTCTGCCACTACGGCAGGTCCGAGGGCGCCAACTTTGAAACATAACAAGCTCCCTGGATGGGCCGGACCCAGGACCTGCACAGGCAAGGGCTGGGAGGGGCAGAGGAGGGGCCGCTCAGGGACGCTGTACCTATGGAAACCGTGAACAAAGGGCTGTCTCCAGCCACACAAACACCTGGGTGAATCGGGCACTGGCCAGAGGCTGGAGCAGCCTGGGATACAGGTGGTGGGTGAGTGCCTGGACCCCTGCAGGGAATATGGGGCCGGGGGGGGGACTTGAACCCTGCTCCAATGGTGGGGTGGCTCTGCAGACGGGTGCAGGTCTGAGGCCCCGCGGTACGGCCCCTCCCACTGTGTGGCCTTGGACCGACGGTCAGGTGCCCCCAGAGCCTCAGTTTCCTCATCCCCGTTCCCCCAGGGGTCAGCCCAGGTGGGTGAGGGGTCTTTTGATTGCTTGACAATTCAGTATGGTGGGTTCCGGAGGCCTCAGTGTCCCTGTCTGTCCAATGGGGCCACGAAAGGGTGCCTTGAGGACAAAACTCCAGCCGTTGACAGGGGAACACTCCTCCCAGAGAGACGTCAACGCTAAAAAATGACTCACACTTGCCCAGGTACAGCTCAGGTGTTACAGACGGGGAGCAGGGCAAGGAGGCAGAGCGAGAGGCAGGAACGGCCCAGTTCCACAGCATGCCTGCCCCTTCCCAGCATCTCCCGACACCCCTCAGCAGATGACCTCCCTGGAATCACACCCGCTCGAGCTTTGACGCAGGGACCTCTGGCAGAGTTCTTGGGATCTTGTAAATCCCCAGCTTCTAGGCCTCAGTTTCCCCATCTGTCCAATGGGGCTGGTCATCTCCTTTTTCTTGTGGGGCTGAGATAACTGTGGGGAGGGAGGGTGCTTTGAGGGGTGGGGGAGATTCAACAAGATATTGTTAAAAGCCCGAGGAGGGGATTACAGGACACAGTACTTCTAGAAGCTTCCTAAGGCTTCGATCCTTCCCCTCTGGGGTGGGCTCTGGGAGAGACGAGACTTGAACCCCAAATGTGCCATTGACTAGGATGAGGAAAGGATTGCACTAGGTTAAAGGCTGGGTTCAAATTCTGATTCTGCCACATCACTGCTTTATAAACAGGCAAGCTCCTGACCCTCTGTGACTCAGTTTCCTTATAACCAAAAACTTGCAGGTCCATCTAGAGAATTTCCCAGCCTGGGCAACATGGTGAAACCCTGTCTCTACTTAAAACAAAGAAAAAAAAATTAGCCAGGTGTGGTGTCGCAGGCCTGTAGTCCCAGCCACTCTGGAGGCTGAGGTGGGAGGATCACCTGAGCCCAGGGAGGTTGAGGCTGCAGTGAGCCGAGCTCATGCCACTGCACTTCAGCCTGGGCGACAGGAGTGAAACCCTGTCTCAAAGAAAAAGAAGAGAATTGGCTGGGCGCCGTGGCTCACGCCTGTAATCCCAGCACTTTGGGAGGCTGAGGTGGCCGGATCACCTGAGGTCAGGAATTCGAGACCAGCCTGGCCAAGAGGGCAAAACCCTGTCTCTACTAAAAATACAAAAATGAGGCGGGCGTGGTGGTGGGTGCCTGTAATCCAGCTACTCAGGAGGCTGAGGCAGGAGAAACACTTAAACCCAAGAGGCAGAGGTTGCAGTGAGCCGAGATTGCACCACTGCTCTCCAGCCTGGGTTGACAGAGTGTGAGACTCCATCTCAAAAAAAAAAAAAAAATTAAAAATATACACATAAAATAAATAAAATAGATGGGGGATCTGGGAGGGCTTCCTGAGGAGGGGCCATGTAAACCCAGACCTGGATGACAAGAAGGAAACAGCCATGTGGAGACCTGGGAGAAGAGCAGCTCAGGCAGAGGGCACAGGTTGTGTAAAGGCCCTGGGGCAAGATGGCGCCTGGCATGGTAGAGGAGCAGCAAGGAGGCCCGTGGGGCTGGAGCAGTGAGGAGGAGGAGAGAGGGAGGAGGGGAGGGCAGGGAGGGGACAGGGCAGGGTGCGCAGGATCTTATGGGCTGCCAGGAATACTTGGCTTTGACCCCAAGGGAGGTGGGAGCCATGGAGGGTGGTGGGCAGGGGAAGGATGGAACCTGACTCAGGTACTCACAGGCACCCATTGGCTGCTACAGGGAGGACAGACGGGGGGCATGGGGATAGATGGTGCTGAGGGACGAGGGGACCAGGATGGAGGCTGTGGGGGAGATAAGAAGTGGGTTGCGTTAGGCCAGGCAGGGTGGCTCATGTAATCCCAGCACTTTGGGAGGCTGAGGCAAGTGGATCACCTGAGGTCAGGAGTTGGAGACCAGCCTGACCAACATGGTGAAACCCCATCTCTACTAAAAATACAAAAATTACCCAGGCATGGTGGCACGTGTCTGTAATACCAGCTACTCAGGAAGCTGAGGCAGGAGAATCACCTGAACCCAGGAGGCGGAGGTTGCAGTGAGCCGAGATCACGCCGCTGCACTCCAGCCTGGGCAACAGAGTGAGACTCTGTCTCAAAAAAAAAAAAAAAGTGGGTTGCATTGGGACACATTTAGGGGCTGGATGCACCTCCTGCCAGGTGATCCTAGGCTTCTCTGCACTCTAATAATTTATTGCTTGGGCTGAGGCAAGCCTGTCCCCTCCTCTGCAGAGTCATGGGCTGTGGGTAGCTGATAATTCATGTTTGGCCCTCGAACCCTTTCTCCAGTGGAAATCTGGCCACAGTGGAAAGTGTCCAGGCTCCCCGCCACAACCCAGCAGGCAGCTGGCCCCTGCCCATCCATGGGGTGGTCCTGAGGGTGCTGGGGAACCCAGTTTGAGAACAACTGATGTCACCCCCAACTTGGGCCAACAGATTCCCCTCTCTCTTTTGCCATAACTAAAATGGACACTGGCGAAGTATGGCGGCTCATGCCTGTAATCCTAGCATTCTGGGAGGCCGAAGCAGGAGGATCGCTTGAGCCCAGGAGGAGACCAGCCTGGCCAACATGGCAAAACCCCATCTCTACTAAAAATACAAAACTTAGCCAGGCATGGTGGCAGGTGCCTGTAATCCCAGCTATTTGGGAGGCTGAGGCAGGAGAATTGCTTGAACTGGAGAGGTGGAGGTTGCAGTGGGCTGAGATCGCGCAACAGAGCGAGACTCCATCTCAAAAAATAAATAAATAATAAAATTGGCCGTTCACGGTGGCTTATGCCTGTAATCCCAGCACTTTGGGTGGCCGAGGCGGGTGGATCACCTGAGGTCAGGAATTCGAGACCAGCCTGACCAACATGGAGAAAACCCCGTCTCTACTAAAAATACAAAATTAACCGGGCGTGGTGGCGCATGCCTGTAATCCCAGCTACTTGGGAGGCTGAGGCAGGAGAATCACTTGAACCCAGGAGGCAGAGGTTGCAGTGAGCTGAGATCATGCCATTGCACTCCAGCCTGGGCAACAAGAGTGAAACTCCGTCTCAAAAAAATAAAATAAAAATAAAATAAAATGGACACTGGCCAAGTGTGGCAGCTCACGCCTGCAATCCCAGCACTTTGGGAGGTCAAGGCGGGAGGATCACTTGAGCCCAGGAGTTCGAGACTAGCCTGGGCAACATAGCAAGACGCCATGTCTACCAAAAAAAAAAAAAAAAAATTAACCAGGCATGGTGGCACATACCTGTAGTCCCAGCTACTCAGGAGGCTGAGGTGGGAGGATCACTTGAGCCCAGGAGGTCGAGGCTATAGTGAGCTATAATGGTACCACTGCACTCCAGCCTGGGCAACAGAGTAAGACCTTGTCTTAAAAAAAAAATGAATAAATAAAAATAAAATGGACACCGGCTTGCAAGTCCTGAGTCATGGATTTTTTTTTTTTTTTTTTTTTTTTTGAGATAGAGTCTCACTCTGTTTCTCAGGCTGGAATGAAGTGGAGCTCACTGCAACCTCTGCCCCCCAGGTTCATGCGAGTCTCGTGACGCAGCCTCCCGAGTAGCTGGGATTACAGGCGTGTGCCACACACGGCTAATTTTTGTATTTTTAGTAGAGATGGGGTTTCACCATGTTGGCCAGGCTGGTCTTGGACTCCCGACCTAAGGTGATCTGCCCGCCTCGACCTCCCAAAGTGCTGGGATTACAGGCATGAGCCACCACGCCCAGCCTGTGAGTCATGGGTCTTAAAGGGCTTGGTGCAGTGGGACCCTGGGAGTCGGTGGGATGAGGCCTGGGATCACTGGCCTCGGCGGGAAGAGGCCTGAGGCCCCCCCTGGGCCCCCGGACTGAGTGCAGCCGGGGCTGAGACAAGACAGATGGAGCGGCTGGCGTGCACCTGCAGAGCAGATCCATCAATTATTGACACTCTGTGAGGTGCATGAAGAATTCATGGGACAGGGGTGGGGACGGCAGGGACTTGTGACATAATTGCAGCCAGCTCACCAGAGCCACCTCCTGTGTTTTCAGGAATTTTGCCATCTGGTAGTTAAACGCAGCCATTATTTAACGTGGGAGAATATAAACTTATAGTTAAGGCTGGGCGTGGTGGCTCCCACCTGTAATCCCAGCAGTTTGGGAGGCCGAGGCGAGTAGATCACTTGAGGCCGGGAGTTAGAGACCAGCCTGGCCGACATGGCCAAACCCCGTCTCTACTAAAAATACACAAATTTGTATTTTTGTACAAATACAAATACACCAGCTGGGTGTGGTGGCATGCACCTGTAGTCCTAGCTACTTGGGAGGCTGAGGCTGAGGCAGGAGAATCGCTTGAATCCGGGAGGCAGAGGTTGCAGTGAGCTGAGATTTGGCCACTGCACTCCAGCCTGGGAGACAGAGCAAGACTCCATCTCAAAATACATACAAACATACATACATACATAAACTTATAGTTAAATAAAGTACATTTAAGCCAGGGGTGGTAGCTCACACCTGTAGTCCCAGCACTTTGGGAGGCTGAGGCAGGAGGATCCGTCTCAAAAAAAAAAAAAAAAAGGAATATAGGGAGCAGGGGAAGAGTCAAGGGAGCCAGGGAGTTGGTGCCTGGTCACCCATTTTGCAGATGGGAAAGCTGCCCCCATGCATGGGGCCTGCCAAGGGTCACAGCAGGGAGACCTCAGAGCTGTGGACGGACCTGGACAGAGGCTGTGGACAGGGCTGAGGCCTCCTGGCTGTTCCTGTAACAAGCGTGACACAGCCCTGCCCCAGGGCCTTTGCACAGGCTGTGCCCTTTGCCTGGAGCATCTTCCCGCAGACCCTGTCATTGCAGGCCCAGTTCAACTGGCCCAGCCTCTCCCTAGAGAGGCCCTCCTGGTTACCCTGAACTTCATCCCCCACCCCCGTGGCCCATATCTCTCTTCCTGAAATTAACTTGTTTGTTTCTATTTATTGGTTACCGGCACCTCCTCCTTCCAGCAGGGGAACAGTTTTTGCACCCAGGCTGGAGTGCAGTGGAACAATCTCGACTCCCTGCAACCTCCGCCTCCCAGGTTCAAGCGGTTCTCCTGCCTCAGTCTCCCGAGTAGCTGGAATTACAGGTGCTCGCCACCACGCCCGGCCGACTTTTTTTTTTTTTTTCAGTTGAGTCCGGGTCTCACTATGTTGGCCAGGCTAGTCTTGAACTCCTGGCCTCAATTGATCCTCCTCCCTCTGCCTCCCAAACTGCTGGGATTACAGTTATGAGCCACCGCACCTGGCCAATCATTGTTTTAAAGTGTACAATTTATAACCAGAAAGTTATGTGACCATCATAAATTTCTGGAATCTCTAATTCCAGAACATTCCATTACCACTCACCCCAAAAAAACCTGGTTCCCAATTTAGCAATCGCTTTCCATTTTCCCCTCTTCCAGTTTCCAGCACCCGCGAGTCCGCTTTCTGCCCTTGTGGACAGGCCTCTCCTGAACATTTTTTTTTTTTTGAGATGGAGTCTCGCTCTGTCACCCAGGCTGGAGTACAGTGACGTGATCTTGGCTCACTGCAAGCTCCGCCTCCCGGGTTCACGCCATTCTCCTGCCTCAGCCTCCCGAGTAGCCAGGATTACAGGTGCCCGCCACCGCGCCCCGCTAATTTTTTGTATTTTTAGTAGAGACGGGGTTTCACCGTGTTAGCCAGGATGGTCTCGATCTCCTGACCTTGTGATCCGCCCGCCTCGGCCTCCCAAAGTGCTGGGATTGCAGGCGTGAGCCGGTGCCCGGCCCTTCCTGAACATTTCATAGAAGTGGGATCACACACTTTGTGGCCTTGTGTGTCTGGCTTCTGTCACTGGGAATGATGTCCTCAAGGTGCATCCACGCTGGAGCTTGTGTGTGAGCCTCGTTCCTTTTATGGCTAGAGAACATTCCATTGTTTGGACCGATCTCATTTTGTTTATTCATTCACCCATTAATGGACATACGGACATTTGAGTTGCTTCCACTTGCAGGCTACCCTGGGTCACGCCGCTGTAAACTGTGACGTGCAAAACAAGTGTTTGCGTGGTGTATGCTTGTGTTTCTCTTGGGTAGATCCCCCAAAGTGGAATTGCTGGGTCCTATGGTAACTGTGTGTTTAGATGTCTGAGGAGCCGTCGGACTGGGTTTTTTTGTTTTGTTTTTTGTTTTTTGTGACGGAGTCTCGCTCTATCACCCAGGCTGGAGACCTCGGCTCACTGTCACTGCAACCTCCACCTCCCGGGTTCAAATGATCCTCCTGCCTCAGCCTCCAGAGTAGCTGGGATTACAGGTGCCTGCCACCATGCCCAGCTAATTTTTTTTGTATTTTTAGTAGAGATAAGGTTTCACCATGTTGGCCAGGCTGATCTCAACTCTTCACCTCAGGTGATCTGCCCACCTCAGCTTCCCAAAGTGCTGGGATTACAGGTGTGAGTCAGTGCACCTGGCTTTTTTTTTTTTTTTTTTTTTTTTCCTTTTGAGACAGGGTTTTGCTCTGTTGCTCAGGCTGGAGTGCAGTGGTGTGATCATAGCTCACTGCAGCCTTGACCTCGTGGGCTCAAGCGATTCTCCCCCTCTCAGCCTCCCGAGTACCTGGGACCACAGACCCGTGCCACCATGCCTGGCTAATTAAAAAAAATTTTTTTTTGTAGAGATGGGATCTCGCTATGTTGCCCAGGCTGGTCTTGAACTTCCCAGTTCAAGCAATCCTCCTGCCTTGGCCTCTTAAAGTGTTGGGATTACAGGTGTGAGCCACCTTGCCTGGCCCAGATGATTTTGTAATGAGGAGGCAGCTTGGGGTCTAGAAAGCCAGGGCCTTAGCAAGGCAGGGATGGGATCTGTTTTGATGCCTGCTGTATCCCCAGTGCCTCTGTGGTCTCTTCTGCAAAGCAGGCAACCTGGCCAGTACCAGGTGGGAATGACGAATAGGCACAGGTCGCTGGCTCAGGACACTGGGGTTTGGTTACAAGCTTCTGCCCCAGGACAGCTGGTGCTCCATAAATGCTCGTTGAGCCACTGAATGGGTGTTAACACCTGAATCCCAGAAGCTGTAGCAGGCTGTGTGTGTTTGTGACGATGGCAGGGTGCCCTGGCATTTGGAGGGCGATGCCCCTAGGCCCCAGGCAGTCCCTAGGAAGGCCCCTGCCCTGTAAGGGCTGATGCGGCCGCTACACCGCCTCCTGCAGGAAGGAAGACCCAGGTTTATTTTGGTCCTCGGCCTGTTCCCCTGGGAGAGCAGTCATCCTCCTGTCTGGCTGCCTGGATGGGAGCGTTTCTGGCAGAACAATGGGTCAGGGAGGAGGAAGGGGAAGGCCAGGCAGCTGGGCCGCCCCAGGTGTCAGCAGGTCCCGGGGCTGCCCCGGCCGTCTTAGGAGTGTGGGGGCCAGGAAGGGAGGCCACAGCTGCTTGCCCCCCATCCCTCTTCCTGTTGGCCTTGCAGGGGGCGGGGGTTGCTCTTGGGAGCCCAGGCCCTTCCTGAATCTGTAAACAGGCCTGACTCCCGTCCGGAATCAACTTCTTCAGCCTCAGGACTCACAGATGGGAAAGTCAAGGCCCAGCGAGGGGCACAGCCCTGCCTGGGGTCACGGAGCTCCCGAGATGGGCAGAAAGATGTGGGCTCCAGGGCCGATGGGGTCCAGGGGCCTCATCCCCAGATGCAGAGAAAGGCCTTTTCCTCTTCGAGTCCCCTCGGTTTATTCATCTATGAACTGGGGAGGCTGGACCCAGGGGTTCGGGAGTTTCCTCTTAGAATCTGCAAACATCCTTTTTTTTTTTTTTTTTTTTTTGAGATTGAGTTTTGCTCTTGTTGCCCAGGCTGGAGTCCAGTGGTGTGATCTCAGCTGACTGCAACCTACGCCTCCTGGGTTCGAGCGATTCTCCTGTCTCAGCCCCCAAAGTAGCTGGGACTACAGGCGCCCACCACCATGCCCAGCTAATTTTTGTATTTTTAGTAGAGACGGGGTTTCACCATGTTGCCCAGGCTGGACTCGAACTCCTGACCTCAAGTGATCCTCCCGCCTTGGCTTCCGAAAGTGCTGGGATTACAGGTGTGAGCCACCGCGCCCGGCCAGCTTTTTTTTTTTTGCACAGGGAATCTCACTGAGATAGAACTAGGTCTGCAAGTTCACAGAGCTGAGGTGGGCACGGAAGGGCGGAATTCCAGGCAGTGGTTGCAGCCTCTCGTCCAGAGGAAGCTCACAGCTTAGGGGGCATTGCGGTTTGGTCACAAGCTTCTGCCCCAGGACAAAGTTCGTTCCGATCTTCCCCATATTTCAGATGGGGAAACTGAGGCACATTGTTAAGTTGCTTGCTGCAGAGGCCAGAGCTGGGAGCAGGCCCTAAATATCAGGGTTGCCCTCTAAGACTCACGGCCAGTTGAGGGCGTTAGGTGGGGAAGGCACAGGGAGTTGGGGTTCAAGGGCGTTGAGAGCCAGTGGTTACTGTATTGCTGTGTGGTCTTGGGGAAGTGGCTCAGCCTCTCTGAGCCTTTGTGGTCTCTTCTGCAAAACAGGCAACCTGCCTAGTACATGGTGGCGATGACAAAGTGGGCACACATCGCTGACTCAGGGTCTGCCACGTGGCACTGAGTCAACAGCACCCCTCTTCTGGCCTAGGCCTGTGCAGAGCCAGGGTCTGGTGACCGAGGTCGGAGGGCAGGGGCGGCCCATCCAGCAATTCCCGTGCCTGCCCTGACCTCAGAGGGCGGCCGAGGGTTTGGAACTTCTCCCGGAGTCTGAACTCACACAAAGACCGGCTTTGTGGGGGCTCCTGGGGTAGGTGGGTGCCCACATGGCATTCCAAGGCTGGCAGCCTGGCGCTGGGGTGGGAGTGGAGGCTGAGCAGGGTCTGGGGCAGTGAGAGAGACCGGGGGCGGGTCTCAGGCCCTCCCTCCTCCGCCAGTTCTTCCACACTCCCCTCTTCATTCAGCAGATGTTTCTGGAGTCTGCAGGGACACCGTGGATAAGGAATTGGGCCCATGACCTCCCCTGTGGCCTGGGGTGAGGCAGACCAGTTGGGGTGCAGAGCTGGGGAGCAGAGGAGCAATGGGGATGCCTGGGGAACCTGCGGCTCAGAGGAGGCAGAGACTTGGGGGCCAAAGTGATGGGGATGTATAGTTTACCAGGGAAGAGGCAGGGGCTTGGGGGCCAGGCTTTGGGGGGTGTATAGGAGTTCACCAGGGAGGAGATGGGGCCTTAGGGTATTGAGGTCCACAGGGAAGAGTCAGGGCTCCAAGTGAGGTGTGGAGCTTGGTCCTGGGAGCTTTGAGGAGCTGTCAGCTTGTTCTCAGCAGGTAAGGGCTATGCCCTACTCTGAGATTTAGGAAGAATTCCGGAGCTGCAGGAAGGAGGTGGGTGGAGGGGGAAGCTCCAGGGCTGGGGAAACTGGGCAGGCTACAGGGCAGGGTGGACAGAGAAAAGGAGCAGACAGGGACAGGGGGATGGTTCTGCAGTGAGAGGCCTGGCCCTTATGCCTCGAGAGCTGGCCAGGCTCTCACCTTGGCCACCTCCCCAGTCCCAGCCTGGACGGGGGCTGTCCAAGTCAATGTTTCCCTGTTGGAGGAATCATCGGAGCCATGCCTTCCCAGAAACCCCACAAATGGCCCCCTGTGAACCCATCACCCCCTGGCTCACTCGGGGCTGAAGGCCTTGGACATGCCTGTTATAAACCCTGTCGGGGGCCAGGTGTGGTGGCGGGCGCCTGTAGTCCCAGCTACTCCGGAGGCTGAGGCAGGAGAATGGCGTGAGCCCAGGAGGCGGAGCTTGCAGTGAGCCGAGATCGTGCCACCACACTCCAGCCTGGGCGACAGAGGGAGATTCCATCTCAAAAAATAGTAATAATAATAATAATAAAATAAATAAATAATAAATAAACCAACCCTGCGGGGGCAGTGGGACTGGAGGCACTGCCATAGTAATGGGGCTCCTCCACCCTGAACAGCCCCGGGTCTGGGGCTCACTTGGAACCCCACCTCATGGAGCTGTGGGGTGAGGGTGGGGAGTGTTGAGCTGGACCTAGGGGATGGAACGGAACCCCCTGTAACAATCACCTTGAGCCCCTTCTCAGCTCATAGCAAGGATATGATGGGTTTGAGGGCTGGCATCAGACCCTACAGATAGTGGGGTTCAGAAGGGCCTTCTCTGTTTGTTTATAATAATAATCATAATAATAAATACAAAATAAAATTTTTGATTTTTTTTTTTTAGAGATAGGGTCTTGTTATGTTGCCCAGGCTGGTCTCAAACTCCTGGCCTCGCAATTCTCCTGCCTCAGCCTCCCAGAGCACTGGGACCACAGGCATGAACCACAGGCTTGAATTATAGGCTGCAGTGCGGTGGCATGGTCTTAGCTCACTGCAACCTCCGCCTCCCGGGCTCAAGGGATTCTCCTGCCTCAGCCTCCCAAGTAGCGGGGATTGCGGGCACCCATCACCAAGCCTGGCTAATTTTTGTATTTTTAGTAGAGAGAAACATGGGTTTCACCATGTTTGCCAGGCTGGTCTCGCACTCCTAACCTCGATCTCAGGCGATCCGCCTGCCTAGGCATCCCAAATTGCTGGGATTACAGGCGTGAGCCACTGCGTCCGGCATGACACTTTTTAAAGAAACAAATTCCGTTAGGCCCTCTGGGGTCTGTGGTGTTGTCACCTCTTCTGTGTGAGGAGTGCCCCAACGTGCAAAACTGAGGGCTGGTCTGTGTCCCCCGCAGGCCATGGACACCTTCAGCACCAAGAGCCTGGCTCTGCAGGCGCAGAAGAAGCTCCTGAGTAAGATGGCGTCCAAGGCAGTGGTGGCCGTGCTGGTGGATGACACCAGCAGTGAGGTGCTGGATGAGCTGTACCGCGCCACCAGGGAGTTCACGCGCAGCCGCAAGGAGGCCCAGAAGATGCTCAAGAACCTGGTCAAGGTGGCCCTGAAGCTGGGACTGCTGCTGCGTGGGGACCAGCTGGGCGGTGAGGAGCTGGCGCTGCTGCGGCGCTTCCGCCACCGGGCGCGCTGCCTGGCCATGACGGCCGTCAGCTTCCACCAGGTGGACTTCACCTTCGACCGGCGCGTGCTGGCCGCCGGGCTGCTCGAGTGCCGCGACCTGCTGCACCAGGCCGTGGGTCCCCACCTGACCGCCAAGTCCCACGGCCGCATCAACCACGTGTTCGGCCACCTAGCCGACTGCGACTTCCTGGCTGCGCTCTACGGCCCCGCCGAGCCCTACCGCTCCCACCTGCGCAGGATCTGCGAGGGCCTGGGCCGGATGCTGGACGAGGGCAGCCTCTGAACCCCGGCGCCGCCCAACCGCGCCCCTCGCGCCTTTTGGGGCTCTCCTGCTGGGCGCGGGTGGGGTTTGTGGGTTTTTTTCCACCTCTTTTCTCCCAATCGGACTCCGGCCAAACTCCCCTAGACAGATGGGTGACCTGTCTCCTTTGAGAGGATGCTGAGGCATCTGTAGCAGCTGTTTCAAACACCAATGTCACCTCTCCTCCTGGCCCCCGCCCAATGGGGAGAGGAATTTGGGGCCCTACTCTGGGGACCACCTTTCACCCGTTTGTACTTTCTGGGCCACGCCGACCCCTGGGTCGCTTGATGTAAAAGCCAAAAGCTGCTGCCTCCCACTTGGATCATGTCGCCTGGGATTTTCATCCCTCGCACAAGGACTACGGGTTCACACGGTGAACTGGGGGAAGGGAAGTGTTAGGGGGCAAGTCGCGGCACCCCCCCTTCCATAAACTCACGTCCTAACCCCCAGGACCTCAGAAGATGATCTGATTTGGAAATAGGATCATTACAGATGGAATTAGTTCAGATGATCTCATCTTGGAGTAGGGTGGGCCCCAATTCAAGGACTGGGGTCCTTAAAAAAAGGGGGCCTGGGGCAGGGCGCGGTGGCTCACGCCTGTAATCCCAGCACTTTGAGAGGCTGAGGCGGGCGGATCACGAGGTCAGGAGATCGAGACCATCCTGGCTAACACGGTGAAACCCCATCTCTACTGAAAATACAAAAAATTAGCTGGGCATGGTGGCACATGCCTGTAGTCCCAGCTACTCGGGAGGCTGAGGCAGGATAATCACTTGAACCAGGAGGAGGAGGTTGCAGTGAGCCGAGATTGTGCCACTGCACTCCAGCCTGGGTGACAGAGCAAGACTCTGTCTCAAAAAAAGAAGCGGGGGAGTGGGGGATTGAGGCCACGTGCAGTGGCTCACTACTCTAATTCCAGCACTTTGGGAGGCCGAGGCAGGAAGATTGCTTGAACTCAGAAGTTCAAGACCAGTCTGGGCAACATGGTGAGACCCTCGTCTCTACAAAAAAAAAATTATCGTGGTGGGCCGGGCGTGGTGGCTCACACCTGTAATCCCAGCACTTTGGGAGGCTGAGGCGGGCAGATCACAAGGTCAAGAGATCGAGACCATCCTGGCCAACATGGTGAAACCCCGTCTCTACTAAAAATACAAAAATTAGCCGGGCATGGTGTTGCGTGCCTGTAGTCCCAGCTACTTGGGAGGCTGAGGCAGGAGAATCGCTTGAACCTGGGAGGCGCAGGTTGCAGGGAGGCGGAGGTTGCAGTGAGCCGAGATTGCACCACTGCACTTCAGCCTGGTGACAGAGCGAGACTCGTCTCAAAAAAAAAAAAAAAAAAAAAAAAAAAAGTGACTGTGGTGGTGCACACGTATAATCCCAGCTACTTGAGAGATGACGAGGGAAGATCACTTGAGCCCAGGAGTTAAGAGGCTGCAGTGACCGATGATCATGCCACTGCACTCCAGCTTGGGTGAGAGTGGGACTCTGTCTTAGAAAGAAAAAAAAAAGTATTTGGACACAGACATGCATGCAAGGAAGGCCAATGATGCCGGCCACCACCAGGAGCTGGGAGAGGCCCAGGGCAGATCCCCTTCAGCCTTGGAGGGACCTAGCCCTGGCCACACCTTCATCTCAGACTTGCGGCCCAGAGAACTGAATGAGAATAAATGTGCGTGAAGCCCCTCAGTCCACAGGATGTGGTACTGGAAGCCCCCACTCAAGAAGGCTCCAGTGAATGCTGGCACGTTCAGCCAGGATGCCTCCGTGAAGCTGGAGACCTCTGCCCTGGGTCGGGAGGGGAAACTGCTCCAATCCAGGGACTGCCACATGGGAGGGGACGGAGCGTGCCCACCTCCCAGGGGTGAGGGGGGACCCACCTGAGATGTGTGCACATTTTATTTATTTATTGTTTTGAGACAAAGTCTCGCTGTGTCACCCAGGCTGGAGTGCAGTGGTGAAATCTCGGCTCATTGCAGCCCCTTCCTTCCAGGCTCAAGTGATCCTCCCACCTCAGCCCCGGGTAGCTGGGACTACAGGTGTGCACGAGCACACCCGGCTAATCTTTGTATTTTTTGTAGACAGAAGGTCTCACCATGTTGCCCAGGATGGTCTCGAACTCCTGGGCTCAAGCGACCTACCTACCTCGGCCTCACAAAGTGTGCACATTGTAATATCGTGATTTCATATTTGGAGAATCAGCAACCAACCAGCCAACCATGTTGCTTTTATAAGACAGAGCTGAGAAAGCAAAGCTTGGCTGTCGTCTTGGCTCTGGTACCACCCACGAGATGCGGGCGATTCTCAGCTCAGGGCGTGGAGGCGTGGTGTGGGGGAGTCTATTTGCCATTTTTGTTTGTCAGCAGGGGGCAGGGGTTCTCAAAGATTGCAAAATGCTGCTGCAGGTCAGGAAGGTTATTTTGGGTGCCTGTGGGGGAGGTGAAACAAGGTCCCATGACTGTTTTGCAGAACCTTGTCTGTGGAGGGTAGAGGTTGCGGCAGGGGCCTGTGGGCCTTACTTGGTGAGAAGGTAGGTCTAGCTGGCTCCATTCAGTATTTGAGACATTTGGAATTTGTCTGCATTTAAAACCAAGAGATCACACACACCTGTCTGGATTTGGAGTTTCTCTTGAAAACTCGCCAGTCCGGCCGTCTGAGCCTGCACTGACGCCTGGTGAAGCTGTGCAGGGGCCGCCCCTCTCCCTTTCACCACAGTCCTCTCCACTCCCTTTCGCCTCTCCCTGGCCTGCTGCACTCACTGATAGGAAATTCTGACCCCAGACTCGGAGCAGCCTTCCCGTGGTTCGGTTTTTGCTTCCGCGAAAAAGCCAAAGGCCTTGGCCAGAGAGCCAGCTGTTCCTACCTCTACCCCACGCTTCCAAGGCAACCTTCTCCACTTATCTTAGGCCGAGAGACAGCTCTTCAAGAACGTACATGGATCCTGATTTTCTCACGAAGTCCCGATGGAACCCTGTGCTGTTGAGACATCAGTGTGTAAAACTCTCTGTGTCCCTGTTGGGCTGTCCAGACAGTCTGGACTCTTGTAAATTTGAGATTTAATTAAAGGAAACAAACCAAATAGGACTGCGGAACAATTTAAATAAAAGCACACACCAGCCTGGGCGCAGTGGCTCATGTCAGTTAAACCTAGTGCTTTGGGAGGCCGAGGCAGGAGGATCACTTGAGCCAAGGAGTTCAAGACCACCCTGGGCAACATAGCGAGACCCTATCTCTAAAAATATATATATATAAGGCCAAGTGCAGTGGCTCACGCCTGTCATCCCAGCACTTTGGGAGGCTGAGGCAGGCAGATCACCTGAGGTCAGGAGTTCAAGACCAGCCTGGCCAAGATGGTGAGACCCCATCTGTACTAAAAAGTACAAAAATTAGCTGGGCATGGCGGCGGGTGCCTGTAATCCCAGCTACTTGGGAGGCTGAGGCAGGAGAATCACTTGAACCTGGGAGGCGGAGGTTGCAGTGAGATGAGATCGTGCCACTGCATTCCAGCCTGGGCAACAGAGTGAGACTTGGTCTCAGAAACAGAATAAAAAAATAAAAAATTATAGCCAGTCAGGGTGGCATGCACATGTGGTCCCAGCTATCTGGAAGGATGGCTTGGACCCAGGAGGTTGAGGCTGCGGTGAGCCGAGATCGCACCACTGCACTCCAGCCTGGGTGATGGAGCAAGATCCTGTCCAAAAAAAAAAAAAAAAAGCACACATATGCACACGTAAGGTCAGAGGGGAAGCTCCTGTGTGTCCCGAGATGCCCTGATGTATGCTGGTGCATCAGGCCACCCGGGCATCATCCTTGATGACAGCCAGGGATCCAGAAGCTGTGGGCGAATCCCAGCTGACCAGGAGAGAGTCCCCCTACCTTGGCCAGGGTACTGGTGGTAGGCACTGTTTCCCACGGCCTTTTCTGCACAGGAGGCCCTGGCAACCCTGTCGTGCTCATCTTCTGGGCCCCGTGGAGCCTCAGAGTCAAGAGCTGGAAAGCCTCCTGGCCTTGGCGGGGGGGTCTTCAGACCTCAGAGCACTGCCATTCTTGGTCTAGGGGCCCTTCCCGCTGATGTGTGCGGCCGTCAGTCCTTTCCTCATGTGGTGGCATCAAGTGTGTGCTGGGAAGTCAAGGCTGGCTGGTTCTTTTTCTTTTGAGACAAGGTGTCACTCTGTGGCCCAGGCTGGACTGCAGTGGCGCGATCTTGGCTCACTGCTGCCTTGGACTCCTGGGTTCAGGCGATTCTCCTGCCTCAGGCTCCTGAGTGGCTGGGATTACAGGTGTGCCCCACCACACCTGGCTAATTTTAAAATTATTTATTTTTTGGTAGAGATGGGGGTCTTGCTATGTTGCCTAAGCTGGTCTTGAACTCCTGGTGTCAAGAGATTCTCCCACCTTGGCCTCCCGAAGTGCGGGGATTCACGGGCGTAAACCATCCTGTCTGGTCTGTTTTTGTTTTTTAGTCACTGTTGCAACCCAGCTTCAAAAAACTACGGGAGGCTGGCCACAGTGGCTCATGCCTGTAATCCCAGCACTTTGGGAGGCCGAGACAGGTGGATTGCTTGAGCTCAGTTCGAAACCAGCCTGAGCAACATGGCAAAACGCTGTCTCTATCAAAAGAAGATGCAAAAATTAGCCGGGCATGGTGGCGTGTGCCTGTAGTCCCAGCTACTTGGAAGGCTGAGGTGGCAAGATCGCTTGAGCCCAGGAGGTGGAGGTTGCAGTGAGCCGTGTTACACCACTACACTTCAGCCTGGGTGACAGGAGAAGACCCTGTCTCAAAAGAAAAACAAACTAAGGGAAACCAATGCCCCAGGCTGCAGAGAGCAGGTCGGCCTTGGAACATCCTCCCGCGCTGGGGCCTGTGGCAGCCACAGAAACCCGGGTGTGAATTCACAACATGTGGGGGACCCAGGGACAGCGAGTGCCAAGGGGGGAAGGGGGCAAGTTCACATACAGCCACCTTGGGATCTAGCGCTTTGATGCCTGCAGAGAAGTCCCACCCAGAGACACCGCCCACCCGCCCACGGTGGGGCAGTGTCAGCCGCGTCTGAGCTCCTGACCCGCAACGGCCAGCCGGGAGGGCCCAGGCTGTGGGGTTGCTTTTTAATGTTCTTATTTATTTAAATATGAAAAAACATTTCATCTCTTCCCAGTTCATCTGAAAGGAGGTCCCCTGGGTAAACATAGGAAAGCAGTTCTGCAGGCTCATGAAGGATGCTCGGCTGGAGGTCGGGGGGAGCATGGCTGCTTTCCCCAGCATAGCCCCCATGTTCCCCACCCTCTTTGTGCCCCGGATCTGCGATCCTGAGTCCAGAAGAGCTCAGCAGGAAGTGGGAACTGAGAAGCTGTTGGGAGCCAGGAGGGCCCTGGACCCTCTGTTCTCTGCCCCAGGGCTTCAGCCACCCTGCAAGCCCCTCCGGACAAGGCAACGTCAGCCCAGGTAGAAAACTTAAGAGTCCCTCCTAGAAAACCAGTGATGTGCTGGCCCTTTCAGGGACACAGGCCCCTTCAGCTTCACCGGAGATGAGAAGGTGCCACCCGCAACAGGGCTGCTGGTCACAGCTCAGTGCGCGATGCCTTGGCCACAATCACCAGCTTGGACAGCTCAGCTTTGAATGCCCCGGGCCTGTGAGCCACTGCAAGAAAGAAACACATGGTTGGGCCCTCAACATTGAAAATTCTCAGAAGTCCGGAGGATTTGGGGTGGGGCCCATGGTGGGGGCTAAGCAGGCAAGGGGAGCAGTCTCCAAAGCAGACTCCCATGTGAAAAGGCCCCAGGCACTGAAAGTCTTACGGGTGACAGACAGGAAAACAGTGATGTGGAGGGTAAGGTCGGTGGGGCTAACATAGATGGCAGGCAGCAGGAAGCCACAGAAAGACCTGAGGTGGGAAGAACCCTGGTCATTTGTGCCATGTTGTCAAGAAGAGATGCAGAAAGGGGCCAGAAGAAGCCCAGGAAGGAGATGATCCCGGCCTGAACAGGATGCAGGGTGGGTCAGGCTGCAAGACCTCCTGCTCAGTGGGTGAACCTGTCTGAGGCCCTCATGACACTTCTCCAGCAGGGTCAGAACTCTGGCTTCCACTGCTTCACCCAAGTCTCCCGGCCCTACCTGCTGTGTCCACTCCCTTGGCTCCCACCCTTGCCCCAGCTCGGCGCCTCCGATTCCTCTTTCTGCTTAGCATTGGCGCCATGCAGCTGAATGTGGCTTGAGGACACCGGTGCTGCTCAGGCAACCGAAGAAGGACCCTGATGTTTCCCAGTGACCCCTGCAGCCTCCCCTCGGCATGCCACAGTCCCAACCTCAAAGCCCTGATGGTTTCTACTTTGTTTTATTTCATTTATTTATTTTTTAAAATTTATTATTTTTTTTGAGATGAGAGTCTTCCTCTGTTGCCTAGGCTGGAGTGCAGTGGTGCAGTCTCGACTCACTGCAACCTCCTGCTCCTAAGTTCAAGAGATTCTCCTGTCTCTGCCTCCTGAGTAGCTGGGATTACAAGCATGTGCCACCATCCTTGGCTAATTTTGGTATTTTTAGTAGAGAAGGGGTTTCACCATGTTGGCTAGGCTGGTCTGGAACTCCTGGCCTCCCAAAGTGCTGGGATTACAGGTGTGAGCCACCATGCCCAGCCCTGTTTATTGTTTTTGAGACAGAGTCTTACTCTGATGCCCAGGCTGGAGTGCAGTGGTGCGATCATAGCTCAATGCAGCCTCGACCTCCTGGGCTCAAATAATCCTCCCACCTCAGCCTCCTAAGTAGCTGAGACTACAGGTACACACCACCATGCCCGGCTAATTTTTTTTCTTTTTGAGACAGAATCTTGCTGTCTTCCAGGCTAGAGTGCAGTGGCATGATCTCAGCTCACTGCAACCTCCACCTCCCAGGTTCCAGCAATTCTCCTGAATAGCTGGGATTACAGGTGCGCACCACCACGCCTGGCTAATTTTTTGCATTTTTAGTAGAGATGGGGTTTCATTATGTTGGCCAGCTGGTCTGGAACTCCTGACCTCAAGTGTTCCGCCCGCCTCGTCCTCCCAAAGTGCTGGGATTACAGGCGTGAGCCACCGCACCCAGCCTGATTTTTAAAAAAATTTTGTAGAGACAGGGTCTCGCTATGTTGCCCAGGCTGGTCTTGACCTCCTGGGCTCCAATGATCCTCCCACCTTAGCCTCCTGAGCAGCTGCGGTAACAGGCATGAGCCACCGCGCCCAGCTAAGATAAAGTTCTAGTGGCACACAGCCACACCCACGCATGGACATACTGTCTGCAGCAGCTTTGTGCCACAATGGCACAGCTCTAGACAGAACCCACAGTGCCACAAAGCTGAAGATATTGACGAGGTGGCCTTTATAGAATCAGTTTGTGGATGCCTGGTCTACAGTCTCCAGGACCCCTATGGCTGACCCCCCTCTCCAAACTGCCCCGATTGCCCACCCTTGGATGGGGGTGGCGTCACCTCTACCCCATCCCCATCTTTCCGTACCTGCTGTTTTGGTCACTTCAAATTCCTCAGTTTTCAGAGGGACATCACTTTCCCTTTCAAATGCGGCTTTAGACTGAAAAAGAATGAGTGGAAACTTTACCAGGGCCAGTTCAATGCTCATCATTAGGAAAACGATTGAGTTTGCTTTCCAGAGAAGCACAGACTAAAGCTTTCTACTTTTACTAGAGATGGAGAGGAGACTTTTTTGTTTTTGAGCCAGGACCTCACTCTACTGTCCAGGCTGGAATGCAGCAGTGCAATCATAGCTCACTGCAGCTTCAAAGTCCTGGACTCAAGTGATCCTCCTGCTGCGGCCTCCTGAGTAGGTGGGACTATGGGTGCATGCCAACACGCCTGGCTATTTTTTTTTTACTTTTGGTAGATATAGGGTCTTGCTATGTTGCCTAGGCTGGAATCAAATTCCTGGCCTCCAGCAATCCTCCTGCCTCAGCCTCCCAAATTGCTGGGATTACTGGCGTGAACCGCCGCGCCTGGCCTGGAGAAGTCTTTTCTGGCATATACAAGAGAAGCCAGCAGCAACAGGTTACCAAACCCCCGTGCCCCTGGCCTGGGGGCGTCTGTGTGCCAGGTTCCTGCAAGTTACACACCCTACCTCTGCAGGATTCGCTGTCCCCTCTCCTCCCTGTCCCCATGGAGCCCTCTTGTGGCAGGACATCTCACAGCTGCCCCAGTGCACAGAAGCCACACCCGGAGCCTGCCCCACTCCAAGATACTCACGTAGGCCATGGCGTACTCAATCTCAGCGCCCCGCACCTCTGCCTTGAACTGTGTGAAGTACAGATAGGACTTCCCCTGGGGCCTGCAGAGGAAGAGGGGGCGAGGGAGTCAGGCCAGGCCTGCTGGGTCTGGGTCTGTGTGCCCTGGAAGGAGCCCCGCCAGGGACTCGGGCTGGGGTCAGCAGGTCTCGTGCCTGCTTCTCAACATGGACGCCATTCCCGAGCACGAGCACCTGCTGACTGGGAAGGATGGATGGGGCCCTCTCAACAGCAGACCCTCTTTCTTTTGTGCCAGAATTTTTTTTTTTTTTTTTTTTTGGAGACGAGTCTCACTCTGTTGCCCAGGCTGGATGGCAATGGCACAATCTCACTCACTGCAGCCTCTGCCTCCTGGGTTTAAGTGATTCTCCTGCCTTAGCCTCCCTTGTAGCTGGGAGTACAGGCACCCGCGACCACATCTGACTAATTTTGGTATTTTTAGTAAAAACATGGTTTCACCATGTTGGCCAGCCTGGCCTGAACCCCTGACCTCAAGTGATCCACTCGCCTCAGCCTCCCAGAGGGCTGTGATTAGAGGTGTGAGCCACTGTGCCTGGCCCCTTTGTGCCAGAATGTTCTTCCAGCTCATTCATAGACACGCCTCTCTCCCCTGTGGGCTGGGAGCTGCTCTGGGACAGGACCCCATGTCCATTCACTGCACATGGCTTCTTGGTTGCTGACAGCAATCCAGGTACTACGACGGGGGCTGGGGCTGGGCAATGAGAGGCCAGTAAAGGCTTCTCAGAGGGCATTGACTAGGAAGTACAGGAGTTAACTTAAGAAGTGGGGAGGATCATCTGCCCAGGTCTCTAGAAGGCTGCTAACGGAGGCTTCTAAGGAACTGGAGTGGCAGAAGGTGTCGGAAGGTGACAGCAGGGGATGATGGCATCTCTGGTGTGAAGAGAGTGTGATGGGGATGGAGGGGCAGCAGGGGGGCCATTTCTGTGGAAGCCCTGGCTGGGGTTCTATGTGCATGGGTGGGGCGGGGGTATCCAGGGAGCCCTAGATTCTTCTTTAAGCCCTAGCACTGCCAACAGCCCTGGTCAGGGAGGGTCCAGTCACTGTCTGAGATGAGGAGGCCTGGGGTGGCAGGTCTCCGGGGCTGAGCATGCCCCTGGGGAGCTTTTGTGGGGGTTGGACAGGAGGATTCAGGCTCAAGGTGAGCCCAGCCACCATCCCAACTGCTCCAGACCTGCACCTGCCCAGATGCCCTCTGGGGAGCTGGCACTCAGGGGTCCATGCAGGGCAGTGGCCTGCAGACAGACGATGGCGACCGTGGGCTTCCCCAAGACTACAGGGCGGCCTCTGCAGGGTCTCTCTGGGCTGATGGGGCCTATCTCCTCTCAATGACCCTCCTGATGCCTCCTGGGGCCTTGGCCTGCCTGTGATGCAGCCAGTTCCATGGAGTGGGTGAGAATCTCCCCAGAAACACCTGCTGTTTGTAAAGCGCCCCGCAGGGCACGGCGGGACAACACCCACACGAGGCAGCAAATCACACCCTGTCCTTCAGTTAAACGTCGCCACTCCCTGATCTCTGCCTCCCATTTGTCAACGTGCTTTAACCTGACCGCAGTGGTGGAGCTATAGCTTGGACTTCTCCCTCCAAAGTGTCTGCACAAAATAAAGGCTCAAGAAATACCCACTGTTTGGGCTGAGACATTCTGGGCCAAGGATCAGGGAAGAAGGGACAAGATTCCTGAAGCCCCCGACCCCCTCCCCACCGGGGGGCCTGACGGCTTCCTTCCCTTCATGACCTTGCCCAGATCGAGCTGGGATCTAGGCAGTGGGGTTACGAGAATGAGTGGGGCGAGTGGAGCCGGGATAAGCCCATAAACCATGAGCCTGACAGAGGATGGCGGCAGGGGCAGAATCGGGCGGTGTCTGGGGAGACTTGGGGAGGGGCTGTGGACCCAGATGCATGTGTGTTCGGGCAGGTGGAAGAGAGTGCACAGCTTTTGTCTGATTCCCAGATGTCTGCACCCCAAGAAGGCTATGAGCCATCAGGCTGGTCCTTCAGAGAACATGCTGGTAAAGACCTGCCTGAGGGGAAACAGCTGGGGCCCCTTCTGGTGGGACACATTCCCCGGGAGATAGCATCATCCAAACCTCCACAGCCACTACCCCACAGACTCCCACACCTGCCACCTGCCTAGCTCGTCCCCAGCCCAGACCTGCACCAGCTCCGCCAGTTCCACCAGGACTCTGCCCAGCACCTTCCTCCTCCTCCTACCCCAGCTAGCTGATTCCACAGCCTCCAATCTGTGCCCTCCCCTCCTCCCTGTCCTCATTTTACACAGCCTCCAGTCTGTGCCTTCCCCTCCCACTCCGTCCTCATTCTACAGCCTCCAATCTACTCTCCCCACCCCACTCCATCCTCATTCTACAGCCTCCGATCTACATTCCCCACCCACCTCATCCTCATTCTACAGCCTCCAATCTACCCTCCCCACCCGTCCTGTCCTCATTCTACACAGCCTCCAATCTACCCTCCCCACCCGTCCTGTCCTCATTCTACACAGCCTCCAATCTACCCTCCCCACCCACCCCATCCTCATTCTACAGCCTCCAATCTGTGCCCTCTCCACCCATCCCATCCTCATTCTACACAGCCTCCAATCTACGCTCCCATCCACCCCATCCTCATTCTACAGCATCCAATCTACTCTCCCCACCTACCCCATCCTCATTCTACACAGCCTCCAATCTGTGCCCTCTCCACCCACCCCATCCTCATTCTACACAGCCTCCAATCTACCCTCCCCACCCCATCCTCATTCTACAGCCTCCAACCTGTGCACTCTCCACCCACCCCATCCTCATTCTACACAGCCTCCAATCTATCCTCCCCACCCACCCCACCCTCATTCTACACAGCCTCCAATCTACCCTCCCCACCCACCCCATCCTCATTCTACAGCCTCCAATCTACCCTCCCCACCTCATCCTCATTCTACAGCCTCCAGTATACCCTCCCCACCCACCCTGTCCTCATTCTACACAGTCTCCAATCTGTGCTCTCCCCACCCACCCCATCCTCATTCTACAAAGCCTCCAATCTACCCTCCCCACCCACCCCATCCTCATTCTACACAGCCTCCAATCTGTGCCCTCTCCACCCACCCCATCCTCATTCTGCACAGGCTTCAATCTGCGCCCCACCCCCAACCCCCGACTCCATCCTGGTTGGTGCCTGGAGGGGCTCCCTGCCTCAGCCTGCCTCCTTCAGCCGGGGGGATCTGAGCTCCACATGTTCCTGCAGGGAGCCCTCTGGAATAGGACTCAGCCAGGAAAAGAAATGAGGCTGACACGGGCCTCAGCATGGATGAGCCTTGAGGACGTCACGTTCAGTGAGAGACGCCAGACACCAAAGGCCACACAGGGAAGGTTTGACCCCATTTCTATGCAATGTCCAGGACACGCCCATCCACAGAGACAGGAGGGGGATGCGTGGCTGCCATGTGCTGGGAAGGAGAATGACTCTGATGGGAACAGAGTTTATTTTCAGGGGATGAAAATGTTCTGGAAGCAGAGGTCTGGCTGCACACCTCTGAGAAAGTACTCCATGCAGCTGAATTGTGAGCTTAAAATGCTGTGCTTTATGGAATTTTATCTCAGTTTTTAAACATTGCCAAAAAGGGTCAGGCATGGTGGCACACGCCTGTAATCCCAGCTACTCAGGAGGCTGAGGGAGGAGAATCGCTTGAACCCAGGAGGCGGAGGCTGCAGTGAGCCAAGATTGCTCCACTGCACTACAGCCCGGGCAAAAGATGGAGACTCCATCTCAAAAAAAAAAAAAAAAAAATTGCCAAAAAGCCCTTTGGTGAGTTCGTCTCACCCTTAGGGGAGGGTGGAGCCCCTTGGGGCCTTCCTGGGCCCTGGTCCACGCTCCGCACCCTCTGAGCTGCTTCTCCTTTTCCTGGGACCTTGCCCCGCACAGGCTCCCCCCGTCTCCCCCAGACCTTCTCAGTCTCTGCATCAGTGCACTTCCTTGGGGAGCACTCCCACCCCAGCGACCCTGCCACCCCCCACCTGCACGTGCATGAGTCTCCCTGCTGGTCTGTCTTCCCCTCCAGGGGTGCAGCCCTCGTTCCCTGCCTTCCAAAGCAGCTCCTGAGGCCACAGGGCAGGCCAACGGCAGCCGGAAATGCCATCCCCACCCCGAGTCTCACCTCCAGATGGTGCAGGTGAAGTGCTGGTGGTCTTCGCTGGTCCCCAGACTCATCTGCCATTGCTGGGGAGAGAAGACAGCGCGGGTCAGCCCCGGACACACAGCTGCTCTCGGAGACTTCTAGGTGTGCCTCTGATTCTACAGTCAGGCCACCTCTTCTGTACCTCCCGATTCAGGGGCTGGCCACTAAATCCCCTGCCCCGCCCTCCTGGTGGCCTGGGGTTTGCTGTCATCTGTGATCAGGGAGCCTGCCTGCACCACATCCTTCCCATAAAAGTGGTGCCTCTAATGAGAACTACCCCAAAGTGGCTCCCACGGATGGGGAAATAGGAACAACGCTGTTTGTTTGTTTGTTTGTTTGTTTTTGAGATGGAGTCTCTCTCTGTGGCCTGGGCTGGCGTGCAGTGGCACGATCTCGCCTCACTGCAACCTCTACCTCCTGGGCTCAAGCGATCCTCCCACCTCAGCCTCCCAAGTAGCTGGGACCACACCCAGCTAATTTTTGTGTTTTGTAGAATCACTGTCTTGCCATATTGCCCAGGCTGGTCTCAACCTCCTGGCCTCAAGCAATCCTCCCACCTTGGCCTCCCAAAGTGCTGAGATTACAGATATAAGCCACCATGCCAGGCCTAAGAACAACTCTTAAACATATAAATAGATGTCCAGGCCGGGCGCGGTGGCTCACGCCTGTAATCCCAGCACTTTGGGAGGCCGAGGCAGGCAGATCACGAGGTCAGGAGATCAAGACCATCCTGGCTAACATGATGAAACCCCATCTCTACTAAAAATACAAAAAATTAGCCGAGCGCAGTGGTGGGCGCCTGTAGTCCCAGCTACTCGGGAGGCTAAGGCAGGAGAATGGCGTGTACCCGGGAGGCGGAGCTTGCAGTGAGCTGAGATCGCGCCACTGCACTCCAGCCTGGGCGACAGAGCGAGACTCTGTCTCAAAAAAAAAAAAAAAAAAAAAAAAAAAAAAAGATGTCCCATATCATTTATGAAAAATAAATAAACACAAGCTGAACTATCGTGAGATACCTTTTTCTCCCAGGTCAGAAGGGCAAAAGCCCTCCTGTCTGCTAACACACCATATGGGTGTGAAAACCAAGACTATTCCAGGTTGTCGGTGGAGCTGCAACAGGTACAAGCAAAATGGAAAATGCAGGCTGGGCATGGTGGCTCATGCCTGTAATCCCAGCACTTTGGGAGGCCAACGTGGGATGATCACTTGAACCCAAGAGTTCGAGACCAGCCTGGGCAACATAGCGAGACCCCATCTCTAAAATGACTGGCCTCTTGCACGATGTTACCACCGGGGAACCTGGTTAAACGGTACTTGGATCTCTCTGTAGGATTTCTTACAAGTGAATGTAAATCTACCATGATCTCAAAACATACAGTTTTACTTTTTTTTTTTTTTTTGAGATGGAGTCTCGCTCTGTCACCCAGGCTGGAGTGCAGTGGTGCGATCTCAGCTCACTGCAACCTCTGCCTCGTGGGTTCAAGCGATTCTCCTGCCTCAGCCTCCTGAGTAGCTGGGATTACAGGCGCGTGCCACCACGCCCTGCTAACTTTTGTATTTTCAGTAGAGATGGGGTTTCACCATCTTAGCAAGGCTGGTCTCAAACTCCCAACCTCAGGCGATCCACCTGCCTTGGCCTCTCAAAGTGCTGGGATTACAGGCGTGAGCCACCGCGCCCAGCCCAGTTTTACTTTTAAGAAAATGGACCCATGAATCCCACTTCTGGGTGGTTTTCCCACAGATGTAACTGCACTTGTACAATGAACCCTGGCCAAGGTTATTCACGGACTGGGTTGGAAGTAACCCTCAATCCATTAGTACGGGATTGTCAACTCCACACGTCCATGCAACTGAAGCGCTTTACATAGGATACAGAAAAATCTCTAGGAGGCCGGGCACCGGTGGCTCACACCTGTAATCCCAGCACTTTGGGAGGCCGAGGCAGGCTGATCATTTGAGGTCAGCAGTTCAAGATCAGCCTGGCCAACATGGCGAAACCCATCTCAAGGTGTTGACCGGGCTAGGCTCTTACTGGTAGCTCAAGGTCCTCTTCCAAGCTCTTGTGGTTGTGGCAGATTTCAGTTCCTCTTGGTTGCGGGACTGAAGTCTTCATTTCCTTGCTGCCAGCCAGAGGCTGTTCTCAGCTCCTAGAGGCCGCGTGTATTCCCTGCCCTGCAGTTCCCTCAAGGGCAGCAGTGGCGTATGTGTCCATGTGCTTCAAATCACCCTTTTTTTTTTTTTTTTTTTTTTTTTGAGACAGAGTCTCGCTCTGTCGCCCAGGATGGAGTGCAGTGGCGCGATCTTGGCTCGCTGCAAGCTCCGCCTCCCGGGTTCACGCCATTCTCCTGCCTCAGCCTCCCCAGTAGCTGGGACTACAGGTGCCCACCAAAACACCCGGCTAATTTTTTGTATTTTTAGTAGAGACGGGGTTTCACCGTGTTAGCCAGGATGGTCTCGATCTCCTGACCTTGTGATCCACCCGCCTCGGCCTCCCAAAGTGCTGGGATTACAGGCATGAGCCAGTGCGCCTGGCTCGCCCGGCTAATTTTTGTAGTTTTAGTAGAGACGGGGTTTCACCATGTTGGCCAGGCTGGTCTGGAGCTCCTGACTTCAGGTGATTCGCCAGCCTTGGCCTCCCAAAGTGCTGGGATTATAGGCATGAGCCACTGTGCCTGGCCCAAATCATCTTTACTGGCTCTTCTGCCACCAGCTGGAGACAACAGCCAGCAAGGAAACCGGGACCTTGGTCCCTGAACCACAAGTAACTGAATTCTGCCAACTAAGAGCTTGAAGGAGAGGATTCTTCTCCCAGCCCAGAGACTTTTTTTTTTTTTGAGACAGGGTCTTGCTCTGTTGCCCAGTAGCACAATCACGGCTCACTACAGCCTTGACCTCCTGGGCTCAAGCGATCCTCCCACCTCAGTCTCCCAAGTAGCTGGAACCACAGGTGCACGCCACCACGCTGGGCTAATTTTTTTATTTTCTGTAGAGATGGGGCATGAGCCACCATGCCTTGCCTGTGATACCTTTATTTATTTATTATTTATTTTTTGAGACAGAGTCTCGCTCTGTTGCCCAGGCTGGAGTGCAGTGGCACAATCTTGGCTCACTGCAACCTCCGTCTCCTGGGTTCAAGTGATTCTCCTGCCTCAGCCTCCTGAGTAGCTGGGACTACAGGCATGTGCCACCATGCCCAGCTAATTTTTGTATTTTTAGTAGAGATGAGGTTTTGCCATGTTGGCCAGGCTGGTCTCGAACTTTGACCTCAGGTGATCTGCCCGCCTCAGCCTCCCAAAATACCTTGAGTTTGGTTTTATGAAGCACACAACTGAGCTGACCCAGACTTCTGACCTACAAAGCTATGAGATAATAAATGGGTGCTGTTTTAAGCCCCTAAGCTGTGATAACTTGTTGCACTGCACATAAAATACAACATCCCAACAGATGCTCATGGGGATGGCAGACTCCCATCTCCCCTCCCTCCTTCTGTCCAGACATTTGCTTGCTCTGTAGAATAATAACAGCAGAATCTGTCGTCACTGTTTAATGCCAATACTCTCCCTTTTTATTGGTTTAGGAAGAGTCATTCAATGAGTGTAAGGTGATATAGGTGAGACCCAACCCTGCTGTCTGCTACAGAACATCTCCCTACAACAATGGATACTGTCACAGTAAGCTAGAGGGAATTTTGAACAACTCACCTCATTGGTCCCTCCTTGAGAGGCGTAAGTGAACATACACGTATATTTGTCCTAGAGAATGGAAGGAAAAAAAAGGTTTGGTAGAAGGAAATTTTTATTTTGTTTAAGAGACGGGGTCTTGCTGTCACCCAAGCTGGAGTGCAGGGGCACAATGACAGCTCACTGCAGCCTCGAACTCCCAGGTTTGAGTAATCCTCTTGCCTCAGCCTCTCAAGTAACTGAGACAATAGGTACGCAACCACCACACCCGACTAATTTTTTTTTTTTTTTTTGAAGCAGAGTCTTGTTCTGTCGCCCAGGCTGAAGTGGGATGATCTCAGCTCACTGCAACTTCTGCCTCCCGGGTTCAAACGATTCTCCTGCCTCAGCCTCCTGAGTACTTGGGATTACAGGCACCTGCTACCACACCTGGCTAATTTTTCGTATTTTTGTAGAGATGGGTTTTGCCATGGGACCTGGACAAGTGAAAACTTTTCTGAGCCTCTAGTTTCTCTCTGTTTCTCTTTTTTATGTGAAGCATTTTCTCATCTGTAACTTGGGCCTAACATATAAAGGACTTGGCATCACACCTAACTATAAGGAAGTAGTCAACAAACTGGCCTGGCACAGTGGCTCACGCCTGTAATCCCATCACTTTGGGAGGCCGAGGTGGGCGGGTCACCTGCGGTCAGGAGTTCAAGACCAGCCTGGCTAACATGGTGAAATCCCATCTGTACTAAAAATACAAAGATTAGTAGTCCCAGCTACTTGGGAGGCTGCGGCAGGAGAATGGCATGAACCTGGGAGGCAGAGGTTGCAGTGAGCCAAGATCGCGCCACTGCACTCCAGCCTGGGCGACAGAGTGAGGCTCCATCTCAAACAACAACAACAACAATTATCCGGGTGTGGTGGCACACGTCTGTAATCCCAGGTACTGGGGAGGCTGAGGCAGAAGAATTGCTTGAACCCAGAAGGCTAAGGATGCAGTGAGCCGAGATCCCGCCACTGCACGCAAGTCTAAAAAGAAATAGTCAAAAAACAGTAAAGATACTGTTATTACAGGCGGGGAAAGGGAGGCTGAGAGGGGAAAGGACTTTGCCGACAAGCTGAGTACAGGGCTGAGGGCCCGGCCTCACACCCTCGGTGAGGGGGGACCTTGTGCAATGGAAGGAAGGAGCACTTCCTCCCTCTTCGGAGCTGCAGCGACTGATTTCCTTCAGGCCCAGGAGGGCAGATGCCCTTTAGCCTCCTGCCGCTCCCATCACTGACCCCTCCCCACCTCTGCGTCTGGAGGGCAGGGGTGCCTGGACACTCCAGGCAGGCGACAGGTGACAGGTGATCACGCCCCCTCAACGCCGCCGGGGCCCACAAGGCCCCGCTCCCTATGAGTTCAGTCCTGCCCCAGTGATGACCCCGGCCTCACGGTCCCGCGCCCCCCACTCAGCCTCCGACCCTAACAATCCGCACCCCTTCTTCAGTACCCACCTCCGCGGTCCGCGCCCCCTCCTCGGGCCCCGCCCCCAATGCTCCGCGCCCCCTCCCCGGGCCTGCCAGCACTCAAATATCCGGGACGGCGGTGGCACGTACCCCCGGGCCCACGTTATGGGAGAAGGAATGCACGACGCCGCCGGGCCGCACGTCAAACGCCACCGTCGTGGGCTCGGACACCGCCTCCGCCGGCCTCAGCGCCACGGCCCCTAGGAGCAGCGCGGCCCACAAGCTCGCGCCGACGCCGTTCCACCCTCCGCTGGGCGCCGCCATGTTGGACTAGGGTCCTCAGGGCAGGGGCGGGTAGACGGGGCGCGGCGAGGGACACGTGGAGCGTCCGCCGGAGGCCACGTCGGCGTCGGCTGTCCACGTGACCCGGCACGCCCCGCCCTGTCCACCGCCCGGGGCCACCATCTTGGGGGCGGGACTTTGTCGAGGGGGCGGGACTTTTGCCGAGGGGGCGGGGCCGCCGAGGGGGCGGGGCCGCCGAGGGGGCGGCCTCGTACCCTAGGGACCCTGCGTAGCCCGGCGATCCTTGGAGGGTCCCTCAGGTGGTAATGGAGTTCGTTTTGGGGTCTCAGGGTCCCTCACCAGCCGTGTGACTGACTGCAGCTCTTTCAGTTAGGAGATGTACAGGGAGTGAGGGAAATCGAAGGTCACCATTAGGCGAACTTCTCATAATCGTTGCAGCCAAGATGTGTGTGCATCGATATTCAAAATTAGCAGAGGGAAAGTAGGATGAGAAGCAGGATGCTTGCTTTTGTTTCCCTCTTGTTGCCCAGGCTGGAGGGCAGTGGCGCGATCTCGGCTCACTGCACTCTCCGCCTCCCAGGTTCAAGTGATGCACCTGCCTCAGCCTCCCGAGTAGCTGGGACTACAGGTGTTCACCACCACCCCTGGCTAATTTTTGTATTTTTAGTAGAGACAGGTTTTCACCATGTTGGCCAGGCTGGTCTTGAGCTCCTGACCCCAAGTGATCCGCCTGCCTCGGCCTTCCAAAGTGCTGGGATTACAGGTGTGAGTCATCACGCTCGATCAGTCTGTGTATTTGTTAATAGGATTATGTGGGTGTTCACTTCCTGGCTTTGATAACCTGGCTTGTCCTAGGGGTTACAGACGATGTTCACATTAGGGGGAGTTGGATGAAGCGTATTAGGAAACCCTACAGTTTCTGCAGATTTTCTGGGAGGCAAAAATTATTTCAAAATAAAAAGTTAAAAAGAAAATAATCCCTACCTCAAGGAGTTGTTGGGAGGAGTAAGTGAGGGAATTAAGTTCCCACACCGGGACGAATGAACTGAGAATTATATATTGTAGCTATTGCTATCATTAGATCCCAGGTTTTCAACTAGAGAAGGAAGTCATTCTTTGGTTACAAATGGCTTAACATTTCAAGAAAACACCAGTGGCCAGGCCTGGGGGGTCAATAATTAAGCTGGTGTTTCTAGTCCTTCCCAACTGGCAAAAAACAGAATCCAGAGAGAAAACGTCATAGATGACTCCTAAGATGGGTTATAATTCACCCTTTGAGGAATTAAATCACTCTACTCCATAGCTACGGAGGGTGGTGAGCCCCAGGGAGGTGAGAAGGATCCCCGTGGAGGCTGACTCCTCTGCCAATGACAGAAGTCCAAGCCAGTTGCCTTTCTGCAGTGGCAGCCTGTTCTAAATTGGGATACCTGCTTGCGTTAGGAAATTTATTGGCCGGGCGTGATACTTCATGCCTGTAATTCCAACCCTTCGGGAGGCCAAGGTGGGTGGATTGCTTGACCTCAGGAGTTCTAGACCATTCTGGGCAACATAGTGAGACCCCATTCCTATATATATATTCATATATTCACATATGTGAATATATATATTCATATATTCACATATGTGAATATATATATTCATATATTCACATATGTGAATATATATATTCATATATTCACATATGTGAATATATATATTCATATATTCACATATGTGAATATATATTCATATATTCACATATGTGAATATATATTCATATATTCATATATACTTATATATTCATATATTCATATATACTTATATATTCATATATATGAATATATATTCATATATTCATATATATGAATATATATTCATATATTCATATATACTTATATATATATTCATATATTCATATATACTTATATATATTCATATATTCATATATATGAATATATATTCATATATATGAATATATATATTAATATATTCATATATATATACTTATATTCATATATTCATATATATACTTATATTCATATATTCATATATATACTTATATTCATATATTCATATATATACTTATATATATTCATATATTCATATATATACTTATATATATTCATATATTCACATATATACTTATATATATTCATATATTCATATATATACTTATATATATATATATTTAAAGATATTTTAAGATTATTTTTTAAAGATAGCCGGACATGGTGGTGGGCGCCTGTAATCCCAGCTACCTGGGAGGCTGGGGCAGGAGAATCTTTTGAACCCAGGAGGCATAGGTTACGGTGAGCTGAGATCATGCCACTGCACTCCAGCCTGGGTCCCAGAGCAAGACTCCGTCTTAATAAATAAAGAAATAAACAAACAAATCTCTTCCTCCATGCAGCTGTCTGTTCTGGACCCATGAGACACTGTCTCCATAAACTGGACAAGCACAGAGCAGCCCTGTTCCTTAGGTGAGTGACACAGCACGGTTCCACTGATGGAGTCCCCATTACCTTACCACGGTGTTCAACTTTCAGCCTGTCACCATGAAGGATTCGATGCATGGCCGAGCTCTGCGGCTAACAAGGAATTTCAGTTGTGAGCTGTTGGGAGTCTGCTACGGAACCCAGGCAGGTTGTGCGTATGCGTGTGCATGCGTGTGTGTGTTCTTTCCAGAAAGGTTTCGGCCCCAAGTTTCACCCACCCACCACAAATCATCACACTAAAAGGATTAAAAGAAAAAACAAGGCTGGCCCCAGTACTTTGGGAGGCAGATCACTTTGAGCTCAGGAGTTTAAAAACTGCCTGGGCAAGATGGCAAGACACCGTCCCTATAAAAAATACAAAAACATTAGCTGGGCATGATGGCTTGTGCCTGTAGTCCCACTTACTTGGGAGGCTGAGGCCAGAGGATGACTTGAGCCATGGAAGCAGAGGTTGCAGTGAGCTGAGATTACACCACTGCACTCCAGCCTGGGTGACAGAGCGAAACCCTGTGTCCAAAAAAAAAAAAAAAAAAAGGAAAGAAAGAAAAAGAAAAGAAAACAAGGCTGGACACAGTGGCTCTTGTAATCTCAACACTTTGGGAGGCCAAGGTGGGAGGATCACTTGAGCCCAGGAGGTCGAGGTTGCAGTAAGCTGTGATTATACCACTGCATTCCTGCCTGGGTGACAGAGGAGCAAACAACAAATTATTCCACGGATCCCACTAATCATGATATGAAATCTGTCAGTCCTAAAGGACAAGATTCGATCACACAAATATTAGATTATTTATTTATTTTTTTTTTTAAATTTGAGACAAGGTCTTGCTCTGTCGCCCAGGCTGAAATGCAGTGGTAGTTTCAGCTCCCTACAGCCTTAACCTCCTGGGCTCAAATGATCCTCCCACTCAGCCTCCCAAGTAGCTGGGATTACAAGGCATGCAACACTCACCCAGCTATTATTATTATTATTTTTTTGTAGTGATGGGGTTTATGCCATGTTGCTGTGGCTAGTCTCAAACTCCTGTGCTCAAATGATTCACCCACCTTGGCCTCCCAAAGTGCTGGCATTATAGGTGTGAGCCACTGTGCCTGGCCTCCTTTTTGTGTGTGTGTGTGTCTGTGTGAGACAGGGTCTCACTCTGTTGCCCAGGCTGGAGAAACCTCCTCAGCTCACTGCAACCTCCTCCTCCTCCAGGGCTCAAGTGATCCTCCCACTGCAGCCTCCTGAGTAGCTGGGACTACAGGCGTGCACCATTGCGCTGGGCTAATTCTTCAATTTTTAGTCGAGATGGGGTTTCACCATATCGCCCAGGCTGGTCTCAAACTCCTGGGTTCAAGTGATCTGCTGGCCTCAGCCTCCCAAAGTATTGCGATTACAGGCGTGAGCCACCACACATGGCCTTTTTTTTTTTGAGGCTGATCTCAAATGCCTGGGCTCAAGCCAACCTCTCGCCTTGGCCTCCTGATTAGCTGCGATTACAGGTGGAGGCCACTGTGCCTGAGTCCCCTAAATATCATTTTGTACTGGAATTTTTTTCTTTTTTATACTTCCTTTTTGATGTTGTTGTTGTTGTTTTGGAGACTAGGGTCTTACTCTGTCACCCAGGCTGGAGTGCAGTGGCATGATCACAGCTCACTGCAGCCTCGACCTCCCGAGACTAAAGTGATCCTCCAGCCTCAACCTCCTGAGTAGCTGGGACTGCAGGCATGCGCCACTACACCCAGCTAATTTTTGTTTTTGTAGAGCCAGGGTTTCACACCATGTTGCCCAGGCTGGTCTCCAACTCCTGGACTGATGCAATCCACCCATCTTGGCATCCAAAAGTGCTGGGATTACAGGTGTGAGCCACCACGCCCGGCCTCGTATGTTTTTTTAAGCCCCCCCCCCCCTTTTTTTTTTTTTAAAAAAAGTGGAAATTTCCAAAGGATGGAGCAAGTGGATAAGCAGGGCAGTCCATCCCTGCTGTTAGAAATGGAGCCCACATGCCCCGCACGTTGCAAACAGGGTCTGCTGGGTGTCTTGGCTGCTGGGACGATGTGAGGAGGGCCTTGGCCTGTCGTGGTCCTCAGGGTGCAGAGTCTCAGGTAGAAAAGGAGGTGTTGGCTGGGGGAGGATCCAGCATGGAGGATGCTGTAATTTGGGTTGTGCTGAGGCTCTGGGGAGCCCGGGGGGCCAGTCCAGGCCACACACGACAGCCAGAGCTGAGTCCCTGGAGACCGGTAGACCTTCCTAGACCAGCGAGGACAGGACTACCCTCATCAGGTGGCTGGGGCCATCCTCTGTGGGTCAGTCTGATCAGGGCATGGTGCCCAGGCAGCCCCAGCACCCCAGGAGTCCCCACAGATGGCAGTGCCCTTCTGCCATGTCTTGTCTGTTGCCCCCCGGAAGCCCCTCCCACTCAGGAGCCCCAGGACTTAGAAGGAACCTCAGGCAGGTGACATGTTTCCAACTGGAATCGTTTAATGTGTCTACTTCTTCCACGCATAATTATAAAAGAATAAGAATCGACAAAAATATTTTCTTTCCATAATATGTAGAGGTGGTTTGTTTCTTTTTTTTTTTTTTCTTTTCTTTTTACTTTTTTTTTTGCCCGCCCCTGGCAGAGCTCTTGGCGGGGAGGGAAGGGGAGAGGGAAATATAACCCTGAGGTGGGGATGGTTCAGCTCCCAACCCCGGAACCCCTGGTGTGTACGGGTCAGGCAGACACATGTGGCTGGGCGGCTGGGCTGGGGAGGGGACAGCCGCCACTGACCAGCAGAGCGTGGAAGTTCGGTGCGTTTCAGTGCCTGCCTGAAAGCTTGGGGACAGGAGGGCTGTCCACAGGTGGTGCCCCCCGCGGGCCCTGGCCGCTTCTCCTGTGGGGCCCGCATGACCCTCTGCTCGGGCTTGGGAAGAAATGGAGCCTACCAGGTGCTGGGTTGCAACCCCGCTGCCCGGTGTGGACCCCAAGTCTAGATTTAGGCACCCCTTGCTTTCTGTCTTTTATTTTTTATTTATTTTGAGACAGAGTTTCGCTCTTGTTGCCCAGGCTGGAGTGCAATGGTGCGATCTTGGCTCACCGCAACCTCCACCTCCCGGGTTCAAGCGATTCTCCTGCCTCAGCCTCCCGAGTAGCTGGGATTATAGGCACGCGCCACCACACCCGGCTAATTTTTTGTATTTTTAGTAGAGACGGGGTTTCCCCATGTTGGCCAGGCTGGTCTTGAACTCCCAACCTCAGGTGATCCGCCCGCCTCAGCCTCCCAAAGTGCTGGGATTACAGACGTGAGCCACCGCGCCCGGCCTGTCTTTTAAATAATTATGAAAAATATCCCCCCAAACAAAACACAAACATCAAGTTGGGGAGGCTGGCCGGGGGGGACAGGCAATTGCATGCTTGGGTGCTGGGGACGGTGGCTGGCCGGGCCAGGGGACTGAGAGGTCACAGGGAGCCCCAGGCGGAAGGCAGCCCGCTCCTCTGAGTCTCTTCTGGCCTCTCCAGTGCCCATCAGCGTGTGACCTCCTCCTCCCAGAAGGCGGGGAGAGGAGGGGCTGGCCCGAGACCACCATCTCTCTGTCTCGGCAACCAAGAAGCAGCGGACATAAAACCCAAGAGCGTTTAAAAAAGGATAAAAGGCGTCGGGGCGGTGAAGGCAGCGGCTCCTCGGGGCTGGCCAGCGCTGGGCGGGACAAAGTGCCTCACTGGGGCCCGCGGGCCACTCAGTCCCTCCCGCCTGGTTCCCCGCGGAGGCTGCAGCCACTTGTGCTGTGATGTGGCGGCTCCCGGTGGGCAGGCTCAGAGGTATTCCTGTAGAAAGTGCAGCAACGTGACTTCATAGTGCTCGCCCGACTCGGGGCAGCGAATACTGTGTCTCTCGTTGGGGTAGATCTGCGGGGAGACAGGAGGCAGGGCTGGGGGGCGTGGCCGGACCACCCCCGTGTCCTAGGCTCCTCCCTTATTCTGGCTCAGGGCATCCGGGAAGGCGCAGGTGCTCTGAGGCCCAGTGATCTGGGTTTGAATCCCACCTCGGCTGTTGACTTGCAGTGTAACTCTGGGCCTCTCTAAAAAATGGGGTGAATCCGGACCTCACAGTCTTTGGGAGGATTTGGTAAGACAAAGTTTACAAAACGCCTTGCGGTGTGCACGCGCTTGCACAGAGGAAAGATTTAGGAAGAAACCGTTTGCCTCTTTCCCCCAAACCGGCTGACGGGCGACCAACTCATCTCTGTGGAGGTGGCTGAGGCTTCAAGCCTCAGGGACATCTGGTGCCCTGGTCTCGAGCCATTTCCACTTTACCAAAAGGCATGTGACTAGCTCTGGGCCTTAGGACAGCTGCCTGTGAGGATTTGTGAAGCATTTTCTGGGTCCTCTTAGCGCCCAAGGGGGATCAAGCCAAGAGGCAGGCAGTAACATGGAACTCCCCAGGCTCCTGAGACCTGGACCAGCCAACGCCAGGCCTGGGGGTGGATCCACACGGGGATGCAGGTCCTGCCTCTGGCCACGAAGGAGGGCTCTCGAGGCACTGACGGACAACCCCTATAGCTCCCCACTGCCCCCTAGGGGTTGGTAGGACCAAGGCATGAAAATAACCCTACGTTCTCCACAAAGAACCCCGGGGCTGGCCGGCAGCAGGGGCAGGTGGCCCATCTACGCCACCTCCTGCCAGTGAGATGGGTTTCTGAATCATCCCCTCCTCTCCAGGCTCCTGGTCCCCACTGTTGCCCATCACCCTGGGAATGCACCAAGCCACCCACTGGTTTCCCCTCCTCTACTCTTGCCTTCTTTAATCCATCCCTGGATGAATCACGAGTTTGATGACACCGTCCCCAGCCTAGACCTCTGCAAGGACTTGCCAGTCTGACATCAAGACCAGCTTCCAGGTCCTGCTGCCCCAGGCACTTCAAGGGCCCACTCCTTCCCCAGCCCGGGCAGTGGCACTCCCTGGGGCAGACTCTGCTGCCCTTGACACCAGCCATATGCACATGTTGTGCCCATGCCTTTATGCCACTCTGGGTCCCAGCTGCCTGGTTACTTTTTCCTCTTGGCTAAGAGGGCAGATAGAGGGTCTGTCTGGCTCCCCAATGAGCTTCCAGACCAAGCCCAAGGCCCGGCATGTGACAAATGTGATTTGTGTATAAAGAGGGCCTGGGGCCGCCAGCTGCCTGGCCCAGATGTTTTGGGGTCTTTGAAACAGAAGGAGAGGTGCACTCTATCTGTCCCACACAATGCCATGTTCCCACCCCACAGCCTATCTCATCTCACGTTCTACTTCCTGTGGGGAGGCAGTGAGACAGGACCCTGGGCCCACCCTGTGTGCTGAATGCTTTTCTTTTTTCTTTCTTTTCTTTTTTTTTTTTCTTTTGAGACGGAGTCTCCCTCTGCCGCCCAGGCTGGAGTGCAGTGGCACAATCTCGGTTCACTGGAACCTCCGCCTCCCAGGTTCAAGCGATTCTCCTGCCTCAGCCTCCCGAGTAGCTGGGACTACAGGCGTGTGCCACCACACTCGGCTAATTTTTGTATTTTTAGTAGAGACGGAGCTTTGCCATGTTAGCCAGGCTGGTCTCAAACTCCTGGCCTCAAGTGATCCACCCGCCTCAGCCTCCCAAAGTGCTGGGGTTACAGGCGTGAGCCACCACGCCCGGCCTGAATGCTTTTCTGAAGACCTTGTTTGGCCCCAGCAGCCTTCAAGGAGGCCGAGTTATCATGACCGTTTCAAAGACGGAGAAACGAGGTGCAAGGGTGAATGCTGTCCCAGCTACCTGGCCCCTGGGAAGGCAGTGGGCTCGGGTCTCAGGCTGGGAAGAGACATCTGAAGTTCCATTCCAGCCCTGCCTGATATCACTCCCTGGGCTGCTTGGGATGTGGGGTGTCGGTGGGGGGCACCGCCAAGAGATCAGCTCATCACCGCACAAGGTGGCTCTGCCTCCCTCCTGCTCTGCGGCCCCATTTCCCTGCTCTGTTGAAAGGCAACAGGACGCTCCCCACAGGACAGAGCATGCCGAGGCGCCCAGGAAGCAGAAATTGTCTGCAGTCCACAGGTAATAAAACCTGGCCCTCTTGCCTCCAAGATACCTCCTGAATCTCCCGCCGGTACAACTATGGACCACGTCCCACTGTCCCCCACAGGCCATCCACAAAGCAGCCAGAGAAATGTGGGTCAAATGGCAAGCCGCCCAACTCTATGCTCTGCTCACAAGCCCGAGTCACCTCCCACCACCCTCAGTTGAAAATCCAGCCGAAGCCCCGCCCCCGCTGAGGCCCCACCCCTCTATAGCAGAAGCTCCACCCTGCTTACTGAGGGCCCCCCCTCCTCTACAGCAGAAGCCCCACCCTCCTCACCGCTGAGGCGCTGCTCCCACACCGAGCCCCACCCTCTCCACTACCGAGGCCCTTCCCCACACCGAGGCCAACCATTTACTGCGGAAGCCCCACCCACCGTAACACTGAAGCCCCGTCCCTCTGCAGAAGTCCCACCCTCCTCGCCATTGAGGCCCCGCCCATAACCATGCCCACCCCTTAGCGCAGAAGCCCCGCCCACCTAGACTGAGCCCCACGTTGCTGCCAAGGCTCCACCCACTCCCCCACTCTCCTCCCGCTCGGTCCCCCAAGCCTGGCTGGCTCCACTCACTCTAGCACCCTTCACTGCTGCCTCCTCAGGGAATGCTTGGCCCCAGCGCCTTAGGAAGGAGCCTGCTAGGGCCTTCAGCACTCAGCGGTTTCTTCTACGCAATTTCTCAGTTTCAAATAAAGCCCGTCTGCGGGGCAATTTCGGTAAGGGTTCCTCCCTCCATTAGGCCCGGAGCAGGGGTGGGTGTGGCAGCCCCCGATCCCGTGCTTCCAGCACCGAAGGCAGGCGGAACCCTGAGCTGTCAAGACAGGACTGATACATCAATGGCCCTGGGAGCTGGGAGGGCGGGGACACAGGGCTGTGGGGTGGGGGGCTGGGAGCCCCAGATCCCCCAGGGAGCCCCTGGTCACAGTGGGAAGCCACCCCGCCTCGTCCCACCCCCCACTCCCAGGGATCTGTCGGCTCGCGGAGGGGCCGAAGCCCCCAACAGCCACCCACCTGGAGCTGGTAAGGTTTCCCTGCTCGGATCAGTTGGGAGACGAGGAAGTTTGTGTGGAAAAAGTGCACGTTTTCGTCCAGGAAGCCGTGGAGGATAAGCAAGCGGTTGGGCCTGGAAAACAGATGGGGAAGGGTCTGAGGCCAGGGATTGTCCGTGGGGTAGGAGGGGAGCAGATCACAAGGTCAGGAGTTTGAGACCAGCCTGGCCAACATGGTGAAACCCTGTCTCTACTAAAAATATATTTAAAAAAAATTAGCCAGGCATGGTGGCAGGTGCCTGAAATCGCAGCTACTTGGGAGGCTGAGGCAGGAGAACTGCTTGAGCCTCAGAGGCAGAGGTTGCAGTGCGCTGAGATCGCGCCACTCACTCCAGCCTGGGCGACAGATGGAGACAGCATCTCAAAAAAAAAAAAAAAAAAAAGATCAGCTGAGTGTAGTGGTGCGCCTGTAAGTCCAGCTACTGTGCAGGCTGAGGCGGGAGGATCACTTGAGCCCAGGAGGTGGAGGCTACAGTGAGCTATGATCATACCACTGCACTCCAGCCTGGGTGACAGAGCAAGACCCCATCTCTAAATTAGAAAAACAAAAACAAAAACCCAGGCCGGGTGCAGTGCCTCATGCCTGTAATCCCAGTACTTTGGGAGGCCAAGCTGGGTGGATTGAGTCCAGTTGTTTGAGACCAGCCTGGGCAACATGGCAAAACCTCATCTCTACAAAAATATTTAAAAGTTAGCCAGGCGTGGTGGTGCACACCTGTGGTCCCAGCTGAGCCTGAGGCAGGAGGATCACCTAAACCCTGGGAGGGTGCAGTGAGCTATGATTAAAAAAAAAAAAAAAAAATGCTGAGCATGGTGGCTTACACCTGTAATCCCAGCACTTTGGGAGGCCAAGGCAGGTGGATCACTTGAGGCCAGGAGTTCAAGACCAGCCTGGGCAACATGGTGAAACCCCATCTCTATTAAAGATACAAAAATTAGCTGGGTGTGGTAGTGCATGCCTGTAATTCCAGCTACTGAGGAGGCTGAGGCACGAGAATTGCTTTAACCTGGGAGGTGGAGGTTGCAGTGAGCTGAGATTAAGCCACTGCACTCCAGCCGGGACCACAGAGTGAGACTCTCTCAACAAAACAAAACAAAAACCCACCTAGGTCTGCTGCTGTCTGTGGTCTGGAGTGTGGCATGGGCTACTGGTGAGGCCAACACGCAGCCTCACCAGAATCGGCTGCCCTAGCCCTTCCTGTCCGATACGGGAGCCAGTGGCCACACGTCGCCGTTGAAATTCCAGTTTACATTCATCCAAATTAACGGAACTTATAAACCCATTGAGACAGAGCACAGATCGGTGGCTGCCCCGGGACAGGGAGTGACTGCTAAGGAATGGGAACAGGGTTTGACGCTGGAGTGCTGGAAAGGTTCTGGAACCACTGCAAATGCACCGAGGGCTGCTTTAAGGTGACTGTTAGGTTCTGTGAATTTCACCACAATAAATTATTATTTTTTGAGACAGAGTCTCGCTCTGTTGCCCAGGCTGGAGTGCAGTGGTGCGATCTCAGCTCACTGCGACCTCACCCTTCCAGGTTCAAGCAATTCTCCTGCCTCGGCCTCCTTGAGTAGCCGGGATTACAGGTGTGTGTCACCACACCTGGCTAATTTTTATATTTTTAGTAGACATGGGGTTTCACCGTGTTGGCTAGGCTGGTCTTGAACTCCTGAAGCCACCGTTCCTGGCCTATTATTATTATTATTGTTTTGAGACAGTTTCTCTCTGTTGCCCAGGCTAGAGTGCAGTGGCACGATGTTCGCTCACTACCAACTCCACCTCCTGGGTTCAAGCGATTCTCCTGCCTCAGCCTTCCAAGTAGCTGGCATTACAGGCATGCACCACCATGCCCAGCTTATTTTTTGTATTTTTTTGTAGAGACGGGGTTTCACCATGTTGGCCAGGCTGGTCTCGAACTCCTACCTTAAGCAATCCTCCTGCCTTGGCCTCCCAAAGTGCCCAGGCAGACTTTTTTTTTTTTTTTTTTTTTTGAATTGGAGTCTGGCTCTGTCGCCCAGACTGTAGTGCAGTGGCGCACGATCTCGGCTCACTGCAAGCTCCGCCTCCCGGGTTCACGCCATTCTCCTGCCTCAGCCTCCCATATAGCTGGGACTACAGGCACCCGCCACCACACCCGGCTAATTTTTTGTATTTTTAGTAGAGACGGGGTTTCATCTTGTTAGCCAGGATGGTCTCAATCTCCTGACCTCACGATCCGCCCGCCTCAGCCTCCCAGAGTGCTGGGATTACAGGAGTGAGCCACCGCGCCCGGCCCATGCCCAGGCAGATTTTTAACCCCCTAGGTGACTGCATGGGATTCCGGGGAACATTTTCTGGAGACGTGCCAGAAAATGGGAACACTGTTTTCTCTCCATCAGAGAATAAGACCCATGTCAAAAGCATAAAATGGGACATCTGAGCTGGTCCCTGGCCCTGTGGACATCTATGTCCTGAAGCACAAGACAGAGGCTGTGATGGGGCCTCCAGCAGGATGCAGGGGAGTGGGGGAGGCTTGCCTGTGAAAAGCAGTGACTCGAATTCCCTCATCTTTCCCAGGGCAGGGCTGTGAGCCTCCTTCCCCAGACAAGCATCCCTGGGTGCCCCTTCCTGCAAGGTGCAGTGAGGAGGGAGGGTGGGCTGGAGGGGACTGTGAGGCACATGCAGGCAGACGCCACCACAGGAGCACAGCGGGGAGGCTCCACATGGCCTGAGGCTCCCTGGGCAGGGCCAGCTGGGGCAGGAGGGCACCCTCATAGAGACAGCTGGTGCCGGGGTGCAGGAGAAGCCCCGGGGAGGAGCGCAGGGCAGGGCAGTGGCCTTACTCATTGGGCAGCTTCTCCACGTGCAGGGCCACGGAACCCGCCTCATAGCCGTGCTGGTTGTTCTCAGGGACGTCCATGTAGCGCTCAGTGTACCCTGTGTCGTAGGCCATCCAGACGGTGACCGGGGCACCCGCGATGGCCACCTGAGGGACACAGCAGACAGATGGGGGCAGAGAGAGAGAGAGAAACAGGCGTCGGGTCCTACAGCCAGCATCAGCCGCTGTCCCGGGGCCGCCCTGGAGCCCGTGAGGAGCGCTCATGCACATGGGGCCGGCAAGGAAGGGGCCCTCAGACCGCGTGGCCCCCGTGGACGGTGCGTGGCATGGGGGTGGGCAGGGCGCCACAGGCGGGCAGGTGCGGCCCCTCCCCGCCGCCGCAGAGGGCCGGGTCCCACTGCCCGTCTGCCTCCTCCTCCTCCTCATCGCCGCCGCCCCGCAGTGCCCTGACTGCCGCCGGCCTGGGGCCCCCCCGCCGCTCTGCACACCATGCCCCACCTCTGCCCATCCGAGGCCGGGGTCCCGGGCTCAGCCTCCCACAGAGAGCTGCTGGCGGGGTTTTGTGCAGCCGGATGCCATCCTGCGGTCGGCGGTGGCGGGCAATGAGGAGGGGGGCTCGGCCCCGTGGGGCTGCTGCAGGGAGAAACAGCCACGTGGCAAGGCCCCTGCCGAGGCGCCTCCCCGGTAGGTGGGCTCCGGGTGGCGCGGGCGGTGGGCAAACGCGGCGTAGATGGGGAAGGGGGCAGGGAGGGGCGTGGCTGAGGCCGGCCAGGGGTGGGACCCACCTTGAACACCTGGGGCTTGTGGATTAGCCCCATGAGCGAGAGGAAGCCCCCGTAGGACCAGCCATGGATGGCAACTCGGCTCAGGTCGATGAAGCCATACTTCTCGGCCACGAACTGCAGGCCCTCCACCTGGTCCTCGATCTCCACCTGGCCCTGAGGGATGAAGCCGGGCACCTCTCAGTGGCCTCCTCCCGGTATGTCCCTCCCCTGCAGTGACACCTCTGCTCCTTTCAGGGCGTCTCTCCCTCTTGGATGAAAAGTGGCTCGCTGGAAGCCCCCTGTCCTTCCAGGCCCTGCTAACCCTGCCTGCTATCTGGGGATGGCTGGACAGATCCAGCAGCCATCTTGCTCTGCCACCTCCCAGGTGAGTGGCTCTGGGAGCCACGTCCCCTCTGAGGGCGTCAGTTTGCCCATCCCTAATAAAGGGACATTAACAGGAAGAGGACCCATTTTCTAGAGGGCACAAGGAAGAAAAAGACGGGTGCCCAGGCATGTGCAAGGGCACAAAGAATGGCTGGTGCCATCGCCGTTGTCACTACCAGCCACATCCCCACCACCGCCACTGCCACGATTTCAATGCTGGTGTCCCCTCTGAAGTCCGTGCTGAGATCACTACTGCGGCCTTCAAGCGACTGATCCATGGGGCCCACTCATGTGAATGGGATGAGGGGCCCTTATAAAAGGGCCTGATGGAGGGAGGCCACGGCTTTTCCGCTCCTTGCAACCCCTCTGCCGTGTAGGAAGCAGCACAGGGCCTCTCTGGAGGGTTGCTGACCAGGCAACCTCGTGGGAACAGAGAGCAGCCCTCCCCGACACAGCCCTGCCTTGGCCTTGGACCTCCCAGCCTCCAGAACTGTGAGAGATTTTCGTTCTTTATAAATCCCCAGGCTGTGGGGTTTTGTTCCAGCAGTGCAAAGGGGCCGAGATGATCGCCATCACCACCGTCGTCATCACCAGTGTCAGCACAACTTGTCTCTGTCCCTGCAGGGCGCAGCCCAGAGCTGAGCAGCAAAGCATACATCCCCTTTTGTTCTAAAAGGGCGCCTCATTGAGCCTGCGTCACCCCAGCCAGAAGTGCCCTTCTGCGGGTGGTATTCCAGAGCCGCTCCCATGCCCTGCACCCACACGGCCCAGGGCTCCCTTCCCGAGACCCAAAGGACCCAGAGCAACAGGGAGGAGTTGTTACCATTTGGTTTTTCAGGGCCCCTTCGAACCGAAGCCCTCGCTGACAGGAGCCCCTGCCGTCAATCACAACCACGGCGTAGCCCAGGGAGGCCAGTGTGTTGAGCCGCAAGTACTTGATGCCTTTGAAGGAGTTATTCACCAGCTGCACCTGTGGGGAGGTGAGGGCCAGCAGTCCAGCACGAGATGCCGGGCAGGACGGGCCTGGCAGGGGAGATGCCGGTGGGCTGGGGACCGGGCCGGGCTGGGGCCTCAGAGCCTAATGAAAGCACCTGTGCCCCGGAGGCTCTGGATGGACACCTGGGAGTGGCAAGGCGGGAGGGGCCCATACTCGGGACCCTGCTAGGGAGGGGGAAGGGCCACTGTCAGGCTCTTTCTCAGCTGGGCCACTGCCCCAGTCCTGCCTGGAACAACTACTCTGGCATGATGGACATTGGGGTGGCTCCTTCTCGGGTGGGGCCATCTGGGCACTGCGGGGTGCTGAGAAGCCACTCCAGGCCAGGAGAACTCGCAGTGGTGATGAACCACAAAGTACCCAGACATCGCCCCGTATCCTCTGTGGGGACAGAGCTGCTCTGGGTAAGATGTGCGCCTAAGATGGTCCAACTGCCAATCTGCTGCCTGCTTTTGACCCCTGCTCCAGGAATTGGGCCCAGGGCCCATGGCCACCTCCATACCAACCTGGAGACTAGGGGACTTCCTAGAGGAACAAGGGAGAGTCAGCAGGCGGAGGGGGAAGGGGAGGCCATCCAGGAAGGGCGGGGAGCGTGCAAACGGGCACAGAGAAAGGAGGGTGAGGGGCCCCGAGGACCCTGTGTAGTCAGGGCAGGCGGGGTGGGCTGGGGCACCAGGCAGGTAGCCGGGGAGCCTCCTCTGGTTGACTGTTCTACAGCTGGCACTTGAGTGGGGATGGGGAGTCCTCGGGTGGATGGTGGGGTGGGGGCCTGGGGAGCAGGTGTGCACTCACCTGGGGGCCTCCATATACAAAGAGGACGGTGGGGTGCTTCTTCCCTGGCTGCAAGGCGTGGGGCTTGTAGATCATGCCGTAGAGCCGCACATCCGAGCGCGTGTGGAAATGGAAGATCTCTGGAGGAACATAATCCGGGGGGCAGCCTGCGGGAGACAGGGCGGCTATCTGGCTGCCCGGGGAAGCCACATCCAGCTGACACCCTTGTTCTCCTGCCCACCCCAAGCCTTGGAGGGTGGACCAAAGCACCCCCTCTTTTCCTGGGCTTCCCGAGAGTTGATAATTGAAAAAAACGTTTTTTTTTCATTAAATAAGATTTGTACAGTTTTTGTAGAGATGGGGTCTTGTCTCCCTGTTGCCCAGGCTGGTCTCGACTTCCTGGCCTCAAGCGATCCTCCCACCTCGGCCTCCTGTGTAGGGTCACTGCTATTTTTGCAAAGCAACAGTTGTTGTCCAATTAGGATGGTGGGGGTTTTTCTGTTTTTTTTCTTTTTCTTCTTTTTTTTTTTCAAGACAAAGTCTTGTGATCTTGGCTCACTGCAACCTCCGCCTTCCTGGGTTCAAGCGATTATCCTGCCTCAGCCTCCTGAGTAGCTAGGATTATAGGTGCACGGCACCACGCCCGGCTAATGTTTTTGTATTTTTAGTAGAGACGGGGTTTCACCATGTTGGCCAAACTTGTCTCGAACTGTATTTTTTTTTTTTTTTTTTTGAGACGGAGTCTCACTCTGTCACCCAGGCTGCAATGCAGTGGCACGATCTTGGTTCACGGCAACTTGCACCTCCTGGGTTTGAGCAATTCTCCTGCCTCATCTTCCCAAGTAGCTGGGATTACAGGTGCGCGCCACCACATTTGGCTAATTTTTGTACTTTTAGTAGAGATGGGGTTTCACCATATTGGCCAGGCTGGTCTCGAACTCCTGTCCTTAGGTGATCCACCCACCTATGTCTCCCAAAGTGCTGGGATTACAGACGTGAGCCACCACACCCAGCCATCGAACTCCTGACCTTGGGTGACCCGCACACCTTGGCCTCCCAATGTGCTGGGATTACAGGCGTGAGGCACTGCACCTGGCCCAAAGTTTTTTCTTTAAATAAATGTATGTAGGTAAATTTTGGTGGGGCAATTTATAGGAAGGTGAGTAAAGGGTACTACAGGTCTAGGGGTAGCAGAAGTTTACTGTGGAGGGCCAGATAGCAAATATATTGGGCTCTGGGAATTGGGCGTGGCGGGACACGCTCCGTGCTGTGTCTCTGTGTCATCTGCTGCGGTAGCGCTAATGTGGCCACAGACCACAGAGGGACTGCACGTGGCTGGATTTGGCAGCAGTTGGCCTGCTCCTAATGCAGGCAGTCTTCAAACGTGGCACAGATTGGGAGTTTCGGGAAACAGTGCCTCGTTCCCCAGGGCACTGAGGTTCTGGTCTCTGCCCCCACTGCTAGGCTGGGTGCCCTGCTGAGCCCCTTCCCCTCCCTGACCCATCTCCTCATCTGAAGCCAGGGCTCCAGCTCCTGGCGGTGTCGGTGCGGACAGGAGAGTGAGGACTGGGCTCTAGAGGGAGGCCTGGGATCTGTTTCTGCTCAGGGGTGAGGGCATCACAAAATGCTTTCCAGCCCACGGAATACCCCGCATATGCTGGAAATTCGTTGTGTTTAGAATGTTCTGGAAACCCACCAACATGGCAGAGACAGGGCCAGGGTGGGTTGTCCTTGTACTGAGTGATGCCTGGGAGCCCAGCAGTGTGCTGACCCGCTGGTTTTCATCCCACACTCTGTATATACAGTTTCGTTGATAAAGAAACACTTCATGGTGATACGCTGATGTGTGTGACGGAGCCAGCACTGGAACCCGGAGTCACCAATGCAGGGTCCTGGCCAACTTCCAGGTTCTGGGCAAGGTGTCAGGTTGCCTCATTTCCTGAGGCCCCCCTGTGACTGACCCTTTGCTCCTTTTCCTGATAAAGGCCTCGGAGTGTCGGCTCTGAGCAGGTGCTGCTGTGGGCGGCAGCCTCTGGGCACAGGACACCATAAAGGGCCCTCTGCATGCCGCTGTGGCCAGGACTGCAGGGTCCTGGAGAAGGTGAGTGGAAAGCCTGATAACCACGGCGGGTTTCAAACCAGTGTGGGTGGACTCTGACATCCCGGCCACCCCTGCATGGACCACCACTGTTCAAAAGGTTTTTTTTTTTTGAGACGGAGTCTCGCTCTGTCGCCCAGGCTAAAGTACAGTGGTGCGATCTCAGCTCACTGCAACCTCTGTGTCCTGGGCTCAGGCCATTCTCTTGCCTCAGCCTCCCGAGTAGTGGGACTACAGGCGCCCGCCACCATGCTCGGCTAATTTTTTGTATTTTTAGTAGAGATGGTGTTTCACCGTGTTAGCCAGGATGGTCTCGATCTCCTGACCTTGTGATCCACCCGCCTCAGCCTCCCAAAGTGCTGGGATTACAGGCATGAGCCACCGCGCCTGGCCCAAAATGTTTTTAATTTTTAATTTTTTTTTAGAGTCAGGGTCTTGCTCTGTTGCCCAGGCTGAAGTGCAGTGGTACAATCACACTTCACTGCAGCCTCCGACTTCTGGGCACAAATGATCCCCCCCATCTCAGTCTCTGGAGTAGCTAGGACTACATGTGCACACTACTACACCCGGCTAATTTTTAACATTTTTGTAGAGGGAGTTCTTACTATGTTGCTCAGGCTGGTCTCAAACTCCTACGTGCAAGCAATCCTCCTGCCTTGGCCTCCCAAAGCATTGGGATTACAGGCAGAAGCCACTGTGCCCGCTGATGAAAATGTTTACTTGTCACCTGCCCACTACCCTGGGAGCTCCCAGTGACAGGGTCTGTGTCTCACTGGTTACCATTTTGGCAGGGGGTTGGCACGGAGCTGCATCCCTGCCGGGTTCTGTGCAGTCCGGCCCTTTACTGCAGCTCGAACCCAGGACCGTCTCGGACGGCAGGGGCTGTGGCTTATGTCCTATGACGAGTTCCCAGATGCTTGGAGGGGCCTGGGTGCTGTGGGAGGCCAGGCAGGCCAGCTCCAGGCCTCTGCCTCTTTCCCCAGCATGGGGCCCTCGTCCCGTTTTACAGCCGGGCGGGCGGAGGCCTCCGTGGGGCGGGGCAGGGGCTACTCACTGGCTGCCTCCATCATGCTAGCCCAGAAGCGGGGCTGCTTGTGCAGGGGGTCGTCGTCGGGGCCGCTCAGCTTGTAGACGTGCACGCAGGGCGGCGTGCTCACGCTGCTGTAGTGGCTGACGAACATGTCGAAGTTCTGGGGGTGGAATGGGGTGATGAGCTCCACGGGATGCCGCTGCGCCCTTTCCACTGGGTGCCGACCGCAGATCCAGGGTAGCTTCCCTCCCGCCCGCCCCCATCCCTCTGCCCCTGCCTGTCATGAAACCTCAAAGCTCCACCCGCTGCTGCAAGGGGGGCACCACTGCCATCGCCCCATTCTGCAGAGCAGGAAACTGAGGCCAGGACGAGTCTGTCCCCCAGCCAGGGGCCTATGGACAGTCACCGACCGCTGGATCTGCCGAGGGCTCTGCCACTGCACAGGCCTGCAAGCTTGCTGGCTCCACAGCTGGCAAACTGCAGCTGACTCGTGCCCTGGACTAGGGGTGGCCCTCTGCATGGCCACCGCCTGACATTCTAGAATGTTCTGAGAGGCTAAGGGCCACATCCCACCGCACACAGAGCGGCGGAGCCCCAGCTCAGCGGACGGGCACTGGGGGGCTCCACCACTTACTACCCTGGGATTGGTGGTGGGCAATTCACTCCCTTCCCTGCCCTACCCAGGAGGCAGGGGTGGGCACTGCCTGCCCCAAGGCAGCTATGAGAATGCGAGACCATGAGAATGACCCTGAGTGCTGTGCCGGGCCATGAGGGACTGCTCTGGCTGGGAGCTGTTGGACGGGCACAGGGCGGTGCCGTGAGGCTGGGCGGTCCCACCTGGCTCATGGAGCAGCTATGGGAGAAGCCGGGCGTGGTGAGGCGTACGATCTCGCCGGCCGCCTCATAGCTGACCACGTAGAGGTGGTGCTCCAGCGGCGTGTCCTTGGTGCCCTGGAAGTACACCAGCTTGGTCTCCTCATTGACCCAGATCTGCAGGGGGACAGGGGATCCTCGTGATGCGTCCCAGATGCCCCTGGGCCCACACCCCTCTCCACGCCCCACAGGAGTGGGCCCCATGTTCCTCGGACTGGGGACGCATGCTGTCCTCGCCCAAGTCTGGCTTTAGGGCTGGAGATGAACCATCCCTGAGAGATGCGCTTATCTGGCCCCGTGGGCTGGGAGCAGCCCCTGGTCGAGCTGGGAACTGCGTGTCCTCAGGCGGGACCTGGGGCCTGCATTCCACCCCCAGACAGCTCTTTCCTAGCTTGAATTGGGAGGGCCCACCAGAGCCAGGTGGGAAGGCCAGGGAGGGCACCGTGCCCGAAACAGAGGCTCAGGGAAACCCGGCAGTCCCCAGCCTGGTCAGCCGTTCCTCCGACCCAGGTGCTTGGGTTCAGAAGTGGCAGGGCCCTACCTTCCTGTGGGAAGCCCCAGTAGGCCCCGAAGTGGTGTCTCCTGGAGGAGTGGGAGGGCAGCCTGCACTGCGTGGAGCAGCGGGGCCCCTCCTTCACCTGTGCTGGGATGCTAATGGTCTCGAAACAACTGCTGCTGCCCAGGAGCGAGCAGGCTTTGGCTGATGCCTGGAAAGGAGCCGGGAGGCCTCAGAGCCCCGAGGGAGGAGAGGGCATTGCCCCTGTGCCCAGGGCCTGAGAGGCCGGTGGAGGCAGCTGGAGCGTGGGGTGACCAGGGACCCTAAGACGTGAAGAAACTGAGGATAAGTGGTCTCCTGGGACAGCGGGGCACAAGCTTCCAGTCGGGGGAGCATCATGCCCCACAACAAGGCAGCTGGACGCATGGCCCCAGACGGCCTGCAGAGGACACACTTCCTCTTTCATGATTTCTAAAAGGCTTCCAATGTTTTCCTTAATTTCAGGGTGAAAGGATAAAGCACGTGAATGGCACAACGTTCAAGATGAGACGGGGAGGTGATGAAATGATTGGCTTGTGTGTATGGTAGACACCGTGCTGAGGCCTGCGAACTGCTGTAAAGCAGGGTCCTCACAGGTGTGTGTGCGTGTGTGTATGTGTGAGAATGAGTATGTGTGTGAGTGTATGTGTGTGTATGCGCGTGCGTGTGTGTGTGAGTGTATGTGTGTAAAACACACATGCATGGAGCAGGGGAAGGCTGCAAGGAGACCCTGGTACCTTGGAGCCGTGCCTCGCCAAAACCTCCCATTCACCGCTGGTCAGAGCAATCTCTTCCTTAATGGGGCACTTAAATTCATCTGGAAAGAAAGAAAGAAGGGAGGTGAAGGGGCCTGGGAGGTGATGCAGGCGCCCAAAGGCACCCAGGCCAAATTCCACCCGAGCAGACTCACCATGGAGCCACTGAAACCCCGGCTTGCTGTGAACTCAGACGCCAGCACAGGCCACTGCGTCAGACCTGCCACATGGGCAAGGAAGCCTGCGGGGCCTGTTCCTGCCATGTGGATGGCAGGCCCAGTGTTTCCCACGATAAACCAGGAGACCCGTGGCTCACTCCTGAAATCCCAGCACTTTGGGAGGCCGAGGCAGGAGGATTGCTTGAGGCCAGGAGTTTGAGACCAGCCCGGGCAACATAGGGAGACCCTGTCTCTCCAAAAAAAAAAGAAAAATTAGCCAGGCGTGGTGGCGTGTGCCTGTGGTCCAAGCTACTTGGGAGATTGAGCTGGGAGGACTGCTTGAGCCAGGAGGTTGAGGCTGCGGTGAGCTATGGTTACACCACTGCCACTCCAGCCTGGGCGACAACAAGAACCCGTCTCAAAAAAAAAAAACAAAAAACAAAAAACAGGAAGAGAAACCAGGAATCTGGATTTTCATTGGAATTTCCCAATTTTAGAACCCTCCAAAGGCCACATGACATCTGTGTGTGGCACGGGAAGGGGGGCGGGGAGTGTGGGGGAGGAGCCAACTGGGCCCATGACCTCTTAGGACACATTAGGACTTTGTAAAACCAGACTTTTTTTTTTTTTTTTTTTTTTTGAAGACGGAGTCTTGCTCTTGTCGCCCAGGCTGGAGTGCAATGGCGTGATTTTGGCTCACTGCAACCTCCGTCTCCTGGGTTCAAGTGATTCTCCTGCCTCAGCCTCCCGAGTAACTGGGATTACAGGCACCTGCCACCATGCCCGGCTGGATTTTGTATTTTTAGTAGAGACGGGGTTTCACCATGTTGGTCAGGCTGGTCTCCAACTCCTGACCTCAGGTGATCCACCTGCCTCAGCCTCCCAAATTGCTGGGATTACAGGCACGAGCCACTGCGCCTGGCCGACTTTTTTTGTGGGGGCGAGGGGGTAGAGACAGGGTCTTACTATGTTGCCCAGGCTGGTCTTAAACTCCTGGGCTCAAGTGATCCTCCCACCTCGGCCTCCCAAAGTGCTGGGATTCCAGGTGTGAGCCACATCCCCGGCTGGAACAAGATGCTGGTGAAAGCGCTAGGGCTAGAGACCAAGGCTCTGCTGGTTTTATGATTGTTTTTTTGGGGGGTAGGAGGGTTGACTTCATGTTTGAATTTTCACCAGGTAAAGAATGACAGTGCGGGGTGCATCATGGCACACAGCAGAAACACACTGAGATGGTTTGTAACTGAGGGCTCACTGTCCTTTCCTAACCTTTTAGGTCTAAACAAGCTACGGCAAACGTGTCTGTCAGGAGCACGGGAGGGCAGATGTGGTTTCCCTGGCGTAGAGGTCTGGGTGTGGTTACTTGTGGCATCGGGGCCTGGGGAGGAGAGCGGTTCCCACCCAGCCCCAAGACCCAGGCTCCTGCCCGCGTCCCGACGTGTTCCTTCTGATGCAATGTCACTTGGGGTCACCTCCTCGCCATGCAGCTGCTGTCTAGGAGATGCATGGTGTGTGCTGGGGGCTGAGCAGGGTGCTGGGAAATCTGGTGTGCCCACCTCACAGGCCGGGGGTCCCTGGGGGCACTGCAGCAGCCTGGAGGGTCTGTGCCCCTGGAGAGTGGCAGCTGCAGCTGGCTCCACTTGAGACCACATTTGAAACGTGAGCACTCGGGCTGGCCCATTTTCCCACAGGGGGCAAAATGAGCATTTACATGAAATCCCAATGCCAGATGGCGGTGGCTGAGCCAGCCAGACAGAAAGTGAAACACCAATGAGCCGAAGACAGCTCCCCTTTGAGACGCTTAGCCAGTAAGTCTGCACTGGCCGCATCCCACCCAGGAGGACCCCGATGCTGGCCTGAGGCAGCTGTCACCCCGCCGGTCCGCATCATACTCAGCTCCGTGGCAGCCTACAGCATCACCTGTCCCTGGCTCATTCGCCCTTCAGCTCCTGCAGTCCCGGATGCCTCGCTCCCTGGGGTCTCTGTCCCCTGTGTTGGGGGACGCCTTGGCTGCTGTGTGGGCTCTGCCCCCAGAGGGCACCGGACCACATCTAGGGACATCTGTGGTTGTCACAACTGGAGGTGCTCCTGGCATGGAGTGGGTGGAGGCCAGGGATGCCACTTGGTGCACAGGATGGCCCCGCCCCAGAGAACCACCCGGCCCTGGCGTCCATGGTGTCCCTGCTCTAACTTTGAAGAGCCTGGGCCGGGCTCCCGGACCACCCCACCTCTCTATCCAGAAGTGACCCTTGGGAGCTCTGTCCCATCCCGAGGCTGACACTGTCAGTGTGCAAGGACACCTGCAATCCCACCAGGAGTCTCGGTTCCCTGAGCTCCAGGCACGGGAACTGGCCCATACAGCATCTCCACTACCGGGCACCTCAACTTGAACACATCCAAACCCGACTCTGGATTTTTTCTCTCCTAGAACAGTCCCTCTCTGAGTCTGTCTTAGACTGGACCTGCGGAGCCCTCCGGGCATCCATGCCGCCTCCCTCCTCTCTGATCCCCCACCCTTTCCACTGCAAACGGTGTGGGCTCAGCTGTCCAAGCACATCCAGAATCAGACCCACCAGGACAGCTCAGCCACTGCCATGACAGCAAGCCTGTCGCCTCTCCCGGCCCCTGGGCCTGTGTGCAAGCTGCAACCAGAGGAGTCATCTGAAACTGAGGTGAGGGTGACGACTTCCTATTTCTCTCGGGGTCAAAGCCCAAGTCCTCCTGGAGCCCCAGCAGGCCCTGCACCATCTGCTTTTTCTCTCCCCACCCTCTCCTCCCTCTCTCCCCCTCCTCCCTGTGCTCCAGCCACAGGGGCCTCCTCCCTATTCCTCCAACATGCCAGGAACAGTCCTGCCTGCCCCAGGGCCTTTGTACGGGCTGTGGCTCTGCCCAGAGCCGTGGTGTGGACCCCTCACCTCCACAGCATGCTCTCCAGAGACGTCCTCATGCCCTCCCGTTGTAGAAAGAAGGCCCCTCACCCTCAAGCCTCTCGCCCGACTGCATTTCCTTCCACCACGCACATCACACCAGAGGCAGCACCTCTAACTGTTTCTGGAATACTGCCTCCTCCACTAGAAGGTCCCAAGAGCAGGGATTTTCCTTTTTCTTTATTTACAGTGAACAATTCCATCACAGCTACCTACAGCAGGAGCTGGCAAATGTTTCTACAAAGGGCTAGACAGTAAATCTTGGCCTTGCACAACAGTTTCTGCTGGGACTACCCAGTTCTGCTGCTGCAGCACAAAAGCGACCACAGACAGTCTCTGTAAACAAGTGGCTGTGGCTCAGTGCCAATAAAACTTTATTTATGAACACAGGTGGTGGGCCGGATTTGACCTGTGGGCCGTAGGTGGCCAACCCCTGGTTGTGCTAAGGGCCTGGCACAGGGGAGGTGCTCAGTAAATCTGCTGCCTGAATAAGCCAACAGTTGGGTGCTCTAAGCCCTGCCAGATCATGCAGTCACTGGGGAAGGCTGGCTTCCTGCCGATCCCTGTTCCTTCTCCCGCAGGGTGTGCTGGCTGAGTGGGGGGGCCGACCAATGAACAAACAGCATATTGAACCACACGTGACTAACGCGATGAGTCGACAGCATTCGTCAGGCTCTGCTCACCTTCCCCGGGGCTGAAGGGCTCACTCCAATCGTAGCCCTGGGATTTTAAAACGGCGGTGACTTTGTACAAATGGCAGAAGCCGGTCTTGCATTCATTGGCGCGGAGAAAGCAGAGCTCGTCCTCTCCCTCTGATTGGGGGAAGGGATAGAAGATGTCATGAACCTGTCCGGAAAGCAGATAGAAGATGCGTCAGAAGGTGTGGGTGGCCGGGCATGGTGGCTCACACCAGTAATCCCAGTAGTTTGGGAGGCTGGGGCAGGAGACTTGCTTGAGCCCAGGAATTTCAGAGACCAGCCTGGACAACATAGTAAGACCCCACCTCTAAAAATAAATAAATAAATTAGCCAGGCATGGTGGTGCAGGCTTGTGGTCCTAGCTACTCTGGAGGCTGAGGTGGGAGGATCACTTAGGCCCAGGAGGTCAAGGCTGCAGTGAGCTATGACCACACCACTGCACTCTAGTCTGGGCAACAGAGCAACCCTGTCTCTAATTAAAGAAAAAAATAGATGAGGGGAGAGGCTCCAATGGCTGCCAGACTCACCAACCCCCCTAGACCCTCTTCCCTGCCAGCCAGGGATGGCCAAGGCCTGAGCTCACTTCTCCACACAAGGGCAAACACCACCTGCCATTGGCGCTCAGCCTTCTAGGACGTGGGGGTGGGGACAGTGTGACTCCAGGGCCCAGGCGGGCATACAGCCAGCGCTTGCCCCGCTTACATTGATCCAGACGTTGGTGACCTCCTCGTACACCACATACGGCTGGACATTCCTGGGGACAGCTCTGGCAGAGGCTAGCCGCTGCTCCTCATTCTCTGTGCTCGGGATGAACAGGGCCGGGGGGAGGAGGACGAGCTGGAGCCACTGCTGGGGCCGGTCCAGGAACATGGCCCAGGCGCTAAGGGGGAAGATGCGGGGGAAGATGAGAGGGAAGCTGGGAGCCTCAGTGGCCTGCACAGAGAAGCTGGGGACGCAGCGTCCAAACCCGTGTGGAATCAGGGCTGGGCTTCCTGCGCTGGCTTCACCTGCACTTGGCCAAGTAACCCTGCAGCACCCACAGGCTTCCTTCCTGGCACATGCTTAGGGGAGGACAGGATGGGTGACAAGATTTCATGATCCAAGTGTTCCGGAAACAATGGCCTAAGTCTCACAGCGGCAAGCTCTAATAGTTTCTCCTCTTCACTGACTCTTCGGCCCACAGTCGCTATCCTTTATTTCGTAGTTTGCTTTATTTTATTTATTTATTTCTTTATTTAATTTTTTGAGACAGAGTTTCACTCTTGTCCAGGCTGAAGTATAGTGGCACAATCTCAGCTCACTGCAACCTCCACATCCCAGGTTCAAGCGATTCTCCTGCCTCAGCCTCCTGAGTAGCTGGGATTATAGGTGCCTGCCACCATGCCCGGCTAATTTTTGTATTTTTAGTAGAGACAAGGTTTCATCATGTTGGCCAGGCTAGTCTCGAACTCCTGACCTCAGATGATCCGCCAGCCCCAGCCTCCCAAAGTGCTGGGTTTACAGACGTGAGCCACCGCACCTGGCCTAAATGAACAATTTTTAAACTTGAATTTATTTTAAGAGGAGATGTTAGTATTCTACGTGGAAAAGCAGCACCTCCACACACAGAACAACGAAAACCAAACCAAAGGGAAGCATCACAGGGACATAAAATACTAACTAGAGTGGGTGCCTGGGCTCAGGCCTGCAATCCCAGCACTTTAAGAGGCTGAGGTGGGCGGGTCGCTTGAGCCCAGAAGTTCAAGACCTGCCTGGGCCTGGGCAACATGGCAAGACCTTGTCTCTACAAAAAAAAAAAAAAAAGTCCAGGCACAGTGGCTCACGCTTGTAATCCCAGCACTTTGGGAAGCCGAGGGGGGCGGATCACAAGGTCACGAGTTTGAGACTGTCCTGGCCAACATGGTGAAACCCCATCTCTACTAAAAATACAAAAATTGGCTGGGCATGGTGGCACGTGCCTGTACTCGGGAGGCTGAGGCAGGAGAATTGCTTGAACCTGGGAGTCAGAGGTTGCAGTGAGCCAAGATCATACCACTGCACTCCAGCCTGGTGACAGGGCAAGACTCCGTCTCAAAAAAAAAAATTAAAATATTAGCTGGGAGTGGTGACTCACACCCACAGTCCTAGCAAATGTACATATGGCAGCAGCACATAATAGAATTCATTGTTAACATTCCATTGGAGGCATTAACCAATGCAATTAGAAAAGTGAACAGGCTAAGAGGCATAGGAATGCAAAAGCAAGACCCTCATATCTATAAAAAATACAAAACATTGGCCAGGCATAGTGGCGAGTACCTATAGTCCCCTCTACTCAGGAGGCTGAGGTGGGAGGATTGCTTGAGCCTGGGAATTCGGGGCTGCAGTGAGTTATGATCGCACCACTGCACTCCAGCTTGGGCGACAGAGCGAGACTCCATCTCAAAAAAAAAAAACAGGCAGAGGCTGAATTTGCCCACTGGGGTTTGGGGCCCCCGTTTAGGGAGGTGGTAGAGTTCTCTCCTCGACATGGGTGGGAGGCTGGGGAGTGAGTACAGGGGAGCACCTCTACTTTGTGACTCAGTTTTTCTGAGCCTGAGGTCTGGGGACACCTGAAATCCCCTCTGTAGGTCTCCTCCACACTCTGGGTAACTGGATCAGCATGTCCTAGTGGCACTAACACTGGGACTCATAAGTCCAGTGTTTCATCCTCAGACTGGCTGAGGTCAGGAGGGCCCTTTGGACACTGGTCTGAGGCCTGTCCTGGCGGTTGCACTGCGGGAAGACGTGAGCAGATGGAAGGAATGGCACGGAAGGCCAGGAGGCAGCTTCGGTGGCTGCCCAGGGCCCAGGGCCCTGCAGGTGAATTCCTTGGGTTCCAGCCAGAGACACTCACTATTTGCCATCCCGGGTCCACCCGGCCCTGGCGATGTACTCCACCTTCGGGAACAGCGAGCTGAAGGGCTGCACCAGCTCCTTCTCCTGGGTCGAGACGATCTGAAGGGAAACAAACAGGTGTGGGTCATGCCCTGGCCTGCCCGGCGCTGCTCGGAGGAGAAGGCCACTGCGCTGGGTCCCATCATGTCCCCCCCAAATTCATATGCTGGAGTCTCAGCCCCCAGAACCCCAGAACGCAACCTTCTTTGGAAATGGGGCCACTGGAGATGTACTGAGTTAAGACAAGGTTGTGTGGATGAGGGTGGGCCCTGATCCAGCATGACTGCTGTCCTTACAGGGGGACACATAGACATAGACACATAGAGGGAAGCCGTCTTGAGAAGAGATACAGGAAGCAACGGCCACCAAGAAGCCATGGAGAAGGAGCCACCTGCTAGCAGCTTGGTGTTGGACATTATCAATTTCGGCCGTGTAAGCCTCCCAGTCTGTGGTCCTTTGTCATGGCCCAAACAAATGACTACACCCAACAGGGGCAGGTGGGCTGGGCAAGCCAACGGCGGCACCCCAGCAGGTGCCTGGACCCAAAGGCTCTGGTCTGGGCTGTCCCTTAGAGCCAGGTGGCTCTGGGCAAGCACAGTCCCCGGACCCAGGGCTTCCCCATGCTTAAACAGGGCTGGCACGGCGTTTCCAGGGTATTGAGAGATAGGGGACCTGAGCCTTCCTCGTGTCTAAATGGGGCTGGCACAGCATCTCTGGAGGATCAAAGGGAGAAACGGCAGCAGGGCCTCCAGCTCTACCACTTGAGTGGGTCACCAGCCCCACATCCCCAAGCCGACTTGTTTGATTGGCATCACCCCAGCCCACCTAAGGACTCTGCACGTCTGAGAGTGCAAGGAGCCACTAAAACAGCCTGGCGGGGCCAGGTGCGGTGGCTCACACCTGTAATCCCAGCACCTTGAGAGGCTGAGGCAGGTGGATCACTTGAGGTCAGGAGTTCGAGACCAGCCTGGGGAACATGGCAAGACCCCATCTCTACAAAACCCACAATTAGTTAGGTGTGGTGGTGCATGCCTGTAGTCCCAGCTACTCAAGAGGCTGAGGCAAGAGGATTGCCTTGAGCCTGGGAAGTTGAGGCTGCAGTGGGTCATGATTGCACCAGTGTACTCCAGCCTAGACGACAGTGAGACCCTGTCTCAAAAAACAAGAACAAACAAGCAAAGCAAAACCCCAGCCTGGAAGGAGGTTTCACGTGCATCACTGGCAAAGCCACTCAGACTGATCACCTAAAATCTGCCAGAATGCTACTGTCAAGAATGCAAAAGAAGGCCGGGTGTGGTGGCTCACACCTGTAATCCCAACACTTTGGGAGGCCGAGGCGGGCGGATCACGAGGTCAGGAGATTGAGACCGTCCTGGCTAACACGGTGAAACCCCGTCTCTAATAAAAAATACAAAAAATTAGCCGGGCATGGTGGTGGGTGCCTGTAGTCCCAGCTACTCGGGAGGCTGAGGCAGGAGAATGGCATGAACCCGGGAGGCGGAGCTTGCAGTGAGCAGAGATCACGCCACTGCACTCCAGCCTGGGCGACAGAGCGAGACTCCACCTCAAAAAAAAAAAAAAAAAAAAAAAAAGAATGCAAAAGAGGTCTGGAGAGGTCCTAATCACATTATGTCATTTTTGCAAGAGCACACAAGGGCCTCCTTGGTTTGTCCCAGCCCTTCCATCCTCTGGTGCAGGGGAAGGGAGGGTTTCTCTGGACGCCTGGTGTCCCCATCATCATCTGCTCTCCTCTGCCCCAGCCTCTTTGGCCCAGGGCTCTGTCTGCGAGTTCTCCAACATGATGTTACTTAACTTCCTGACACCCTTCTGGGTCTTATGGGATTTGCAACTTCCGAGAGAACTGATCAATGTGGGGCTATTGGGGGTCCCCTGGGAGGGCAGGGATGTGAGAGAAGGGAGGGATATGCTGGGCTGCAGGGGGTGGCTACGGAGGAGGGGGCCGAGGGAGATGCGGTCACAGGTGTGGTCTGCTGGTGACCGCCTTGCTGCGGGGTGATGATGCCTTTTGCTGCCTGATGGCGCCTCCAGGCTGTGGGGTCCTTTGAGATGACCCCCAGGTGATGAGGACCCTGTGTACTAGATCTGAGGAGGTCGGGGGGATGGGGATCCAGAACACTCTCCTCCCCACAGTAGCTGACGGGTCCGGTGAACGGACCTGAGGATCTGCCTGAAACGCTGGAGGAAACAGCCCGTCCGAAGTTGGGGTCCCCCAGCCATCTGCCCCACGGAGTTCTCTGTTCTGGAAACTTGGAGAGAGGGCAGCTCTGGATCCACACGTCACCCACTCCCGAGGTGGCCTGGGAGCACCTGCCGCGCCTGTCCTCGCAGGGCCCCTGCCCGGTGCTTGTTCCTTACCGCGGCGTGGCCTCCAGTCTCAGGACCCACTCTGTGAGGCAGGGAGGCCAGCTCGCCACGCCGCATTCTAGGCACAGGTCCAGAGACACACAGGGAAGGCCTGTGGCTAGGCGGACCGGGCGGCAGGGCTGGGGCCTGGGGAGTGCCCCCGAGAGGGAGGTGAGTGACCTGCCCATCCACCCAGCTGCCTACCCGGCCCTTCCCCGCATCATCTAGTAGATTATCTGGTATGCAGCAGGCCCCCTTACCTTGCCCTGGCTGTCAGTCTGGAACTCAGCCAGTTTCAAGGCAATCTTGGGATTCTTGCTGCCTGCAAAAACCGAAGTGAGGTGAACACCAGGCAGGCATCACCCGTGTGTGCCGAGAGCCGGCACGGGGGGCCTGGGCTGTGGGGTGACGTCCACAGAGAGGTGTACAATTGGAGTGGGGGAGGCAGGAGAAGCCAGGTGTCCCACGGTCTGTCTGTAGGCACATCGTCCTGCTGGAACAGGCATGACACCCTCAGGTGGGGACCTTCTGACTTTGGGCCTGGATCGCATTCCCAACAGTGATGTGGCATCTGGCTTTCTCATTTAAAAACACGGGCCACACCCTGTGCTGAGAGCTGGGGCTTGTAGGGGCCGCAGATACCAGGAAGATGCCATCCCTGCCTTGGGAGAGCTCCAGAGCAGACGGTGAAGCCCGAGGCATCACAGTAAAACTGACAACGTGACAAGTGGGGTGTGTCCCATGCAAAACCAGGGAGCCCGTGTGACAGCCAGACCTGCGCCCTCCGGAGGCCAATGGCGACAGAATAAGGGACCCAAGAGGCTTCTGAAGAGTGGGACTTAGTTCAGGCTCCGAAAGAGGGCGCGGGCCACAGCAGAGCGGAGAATGCTTATTTTTTTGGCTAGACCTACGAGAAACTCAACTCCAGCCCTCGTGGCTCTGGCCTCCAGGGCAGGTGACATCTCTGAGCCTGTTTTCTCATCTGTCATACGAGGGGGAAAAGACTGACTTAGCTCATTTGCAGTGGGAGTTGGAAAGACCGTACAGGAAGCTTCCATCTAGCACGGCACAGAGCAGGCACTCGCGGAGTATGGGCAATAACGATGCTCTTATATGGTCCCATGGGGGTTGCAAACCCAAGGCCTGAACGCGGAATCTGGGCTGCACGTGTGTTCTGTTTGGCTCCAGAGATATTTTTAAATAATTGGAAAGATGTTTAAGAATTGGGAGTGGCCGGGCGTGTGGCTCACGTCTGTAATCTCAGCATTTTGGGAGGCCGAGGCGAGAGGACCACTTGAGGCCAGGAGTTCGAAACCAGCCTGGGCAACAAAGCAAGACTCCATCTCTACAGAAAATTTAAATATTAGCTGGGCATGGTGGCACACACCTGTAGTCCCAGCTACCTGGGAGGCAGAGGTGGGAGGATCACTTGAGCCTAGGAGTTGGAGGCTGCAGTGAGCTGTGATTGCACCACTGTACTCCTGCCTGAGCCACAAGGTGAAACCTTGTCTCAAAAACAAACAAACAAACAAACAAACACCACTGTAGTGTGAGGGCCAAATCCAGCCTGCCTTCTGTTTTTGTATGGCTGAAAATCCTTCTTTCGTTCTGAGACGGTTAAGAAAACAAACAAACAAAACAAGAGTGACATTTTCGCTAATATGAAAATCATATGTATCTCAAGGTGAATTATTTGTAATCCAAACTTCAGTCAAGTTTCCTTGGCACATGGCTACGCCCATTCCTGCACGTGCCACTTCTGTGCTCCAGCAGCAGGGTGGGGCAGTTGCAAGAGAGCCTGCCTTCGTCTGGCCCTGGAAGCCTGAGATACCTGTGCCCTCATCCCTTCCAGAGACAGCTTGCTCACTTCTGAGCAATATGATCCGGTGGCCATGGTAAGCCAGGAGAAAGGGGCGGCCCCTGCAGGGCAGAAGCCTTCCTTCTACACCCCCATAGATGCCCAGAGCACACACATGCAGCTCAGAGGGCCTGGGGGACAGTGCACCTCACCAGCCATGCCCCAGGGGCCTCAGATCCCCGGCCCAGCCCCTCACATGTACCGGGCACTCACCTGTCCTGGGGTACCGATACGAGTCCGTCTTCCTTTCTTCTAGCGCAGGAGAGGGGACGTGAATGACCTCCACCTCGGACTCATCGACTTCCTCATACAGGATTCGCAGCGTCTTGAGGCCCTCTGAACCTTGGGTGGGGTGGTGGAAAAACTGCTGAGGGTGCCAGAGGCAGAGTCCCTGCCATCAGCACCCCCCGCCCCCTGCAGCACCGGGGCCTGAAGATGGGCACCGAGGGCTCTGAAACCAGAACCCCGGCTCTGCCATTCGCTAGACCTTATGCCAGTCCCAACTCTCTGGGCTTCAGTTTCCTCCCCTGTGCAGTGGGAAGCAGAGCAGGGCTACTCCCAGCATGAACTGGCATGGGAAGTGGCCACGTGGGGTGTAACGGGCTGAACTGTGTCCCCTCTTAGGGCAACAGCGATGTCTACAGTCGTTAAGGAACTCTCTAGGTGTTGGTATTGACAGACTGTGGAGGTGGTTTGAGGTGAAAGGAGTAAGGCGCAGGAAGGACACAGCCTGTGATTCCAGGAGGAAAAGCACGCCCGGGAGCATGTTGAAAAATGGAAGGGACCTACCTTCCCAGGAGGCTGTGGGGCACCACCAGTACCCAGTGAAGCGGTCGAACTCTTCCTGTATGACGAAGGTGGCCACACCCGCAGACTTGGGGTCATCCAGGACATTGGATAAACCTAGGGGGAGGGACGGAGAGCATCAACAAGGGGTGAGCAGCCTGCTAACACTGGGGACAGCCAGGGGCTCAAGGAGAGCATGAGAGAGAGGGAGAGAGAAGGAGGGAAGGAAAGGGAAGGAGAGGGGGAGGGAGAGGGAGGGAGAGGGAGGGAGAGCTCGGAGCCGACTGCTTTCAAGCAGGGTTGCTCCACCCCACACTGTGGACACTGGGGCCCTCTTGGTCTCTGGGGTGGGGCCGTCCAGGGCACAGCAGGGTGCTGAGCAGTGTCCCTGGCCTCCACTCACCCCATGGCAAGCCAGGAGCACCCCCGCCCAAGTGTGCCGTCTAAAAACGTCTCTGGACATCGCCGAGTGGCCAGGTTTGGAAAGTGGGGCCCGGGCTTATGGGACGGAGAGGCAGCGATCAGTGACTTGAAACCAAGACAAGGAAGGATGGGGTCACTTCTGATGAGCAAGGGAGTGGAGAGAACACGCAGGAAGCAGGTGAGATGTGGCCTTGACTTGATGGGGCTGGACAGGCAGAGTGGAGGGGAAGGTGTGCAGGGGCAGAAATGCCCAGGGGCACCTGGAAGAGGGTCCAGAGCACCGTGGCTGGGCTGACGCCTGCAGCAGAAAACCACAGAGCGGCAGGGTGCGGTAGCTCATGCCTGTAATCTCAGGACCTTGGGAGGCCGAGGCAGGTAGATCATTTGAGGTCAGGAGCTCAAGAGCAGCCTGGCCAACATGGGGAAACCTCGTCACAACTAAAAATACAAAAAAAAAAAAAAAATTAGCCAGGCGTGGTGGCGGGCACCTGTAATCCCAGCTACTCGGGAGGCTGAGGCAGGAGAATCACTTGAACCCAAGAGGCGGAAGTTGCAGTGAGCCGAGATCATACCACTGCAGTCCACCTGGGCACTCCCGCCTGCGCTCCCGCCTGGGCAACTGCACTCCCACATGGGTGAGACTCTCTCAAAAAAAAAAAAAAGAAAGAAAGAAAGAAAGAAAACTACAGAGCGGCAGGGACGCCAGGACCTCCCGGGAGACATGGTAGGCTACAGAAGGTATGCACGGGAGGGTGGCTTGTGAGGGGTGTGTGCAGGAAGACCCTGGCTGTGGGGGCAATGGGGCCTTTCTGGAAGCTGGCCAGGTGGCTATGGTGGCCGTGCACAGGAGGGGCTGGCCCCACCTTGGTGGCAGAAGGTCAGCCGCCGCTCCTCGCCTGTCTCGATGTTGGCCACCCACAGGTCGCTGTTATTGATGAAGGAGAAGAAGGCAGGGTCGGCAGGGCAGATTTTGGGGTCCATCCGGGGCCCTGAGCACTGGGTCTTGATTTCCAGCGGTTTCATAGGGGACACCTGAGGACAGAGACGCCCAGCTCAGGGGGAGGGGCCCTCCACGCCACCCCCGCACACAGCCAGGGCCAGGGCTCACCATGAAGCCGTTCTTGCCGCCGTCGCGGCAGTGGAAGAGGCTGTTGCTGGCCTGGAAGAGGAAGAGGCCACTCTCGCTGTGGAAGTCGTAGGAGGTGATGCCGAAGACCCCCAGGCGTTTCCGCTCCCTCAGCAGCTCCTCCTCCCGAGAGTAGACCCCATGGTGGGGCGTGGCCTGGAAACATACAGGGGACAGGGGGCAGCGTCAGTGGGCAAAGAGGATCTCCCGCTGGCCAGGGCAGAGATCCTCGGGCTGGGGCATTCCCAGGGAATCTGACTTCGGGCCTCGCCAGAGAGAACTTCCTGTACTGGGCAGAATTGGCTGCCGGAGCCCTTGACACAGTGGGTGGCCAAAGATTGCCAGCGAACCTGGCCCTGCAGGACTGGCTGAGTGTCCTAGGAGGTGGCAGGGGAGACTCTGGGGCCAGAAGCCTCCTCACTTCCTGAGTTCCCTCCCCACAGACCCTCTCCATAGCAGATGGGGGCCCCTGGGAGGGGCTGTCCCTGCCCCACACCACCGGAGTACTCTCTCCGGGTCCCTAGTGCCATTCTTACAGACTCCCCACCCTCCTACCCTATTCACAATCCCTTCCCATCAAGAGCTTTCAATTTCGTAATCCCAGCACTTTGGGAGGCCGAGGTGGGCAGATCACGAGGTCAGAAATTCGAGACCAGCCTGGCCAATATGGTGAAACCCCGTCTCTACTAAAAATACAAAAATTAGCCGGGTGTGGTGGCACGCGCCTGTAGTCCCAGCTACTTGGGACGCTGAGGCAGAAGAATCACTTGAACCGGGAGGCAGAGGTTGCAGTGAGCCGAGATTGCGCCACTGCACTATAGCCTGAGTGACAGAGTGAGACTTTGTCTCAAAAAAAAAAGCAGAATCAAAAGCAAAATTACCCCTACACTCTGTGGAAAGCAGTGTAAACACAAGGACACTGGCTTGGGGACTCAGAGACAGGCCAAAGTGAGGGCCAGTGAACCAGTGGTGGAGAAAGTGGGAGTGTCACGATCTCAGCCACTGTTAGATATCATTATTGTTACATTGTTATGTTTATGTTGTTACTATGTTATAATGTTATGTTATTTTTATTGCTATATTGTTACTATTTTAGAGACTGGGATTCGCTGTCTCCCAGGCTGGAGTGCAATGGTGAGATCACGGCTCACTGTAGCCTTGCCCTCCTGGGTTCAAGAGATCCTCCCATCTCAGCCTACCAATTAGCTGGAACTACAAGGCGAGTGCCACCAGGCCTGGCTAATTTTATTTTTTGTAGAGACAGGCTCTTGCTGTGTTCCCCAGTCTGGTCTCAAATTCTTGGGCTCAAGCAATCCTCTTGCCTCGGCCTCCCAATCATCAAACACAAAAACACGCCAATCAATGCAAAAGGCATTTTTCCTCCCTCAACTATCCCCAGAGAGCCAACACTGGATGAGATTGATGATTAACCAGTCTCTCTAAAAGGGCCTCAAGCCAAGTTAATTCCCAATCTTTGGTGATGCCGTTAAAAGGAAGAGATGCTTTTGGTAAGAGTTTCTCTGTCGCTTGAGTACAGGTGGTCAGGGGGAGGAGGGAAGGCTCACCCGCCAGAGTCCACAGGACGGAGGGTTTGTGGGAACTCACAGCCGGTGGGGCAGAGAGGTGACCGAAGGCATGTATGGCCTGTGGGGCTGGCCTTTGCCACCTCCTCGCCCACGGTAGGGCCCACGCCTAATAGCACAGCTTACCTGGAAATGATCCAGCATCTGCTTCCAGGACAGGAGCAGCAGAGCCTCTTTCCGGACCTTCTTGGGAATCTCAGAGTAGAGGAGGGAGTTCTCTCGGCTGCCATATGGCATTCCTAAAGGGAGAAAGGAAACACCCAGAACGGGTACCCTGGCTCAGGATGGGGAGACGCCCTCAGCCTGCAGCTGGGCCCAGCTGGTTCCCTCTGCTTCTAGAACATTCTGCCAGGCCGCCGGCGGGACAGCCCTCCCCGGAAAGCTATGGATCCTGGGTTTGCTTAAGTAGGCAGTAGGGCCTTCCACCTGAGATATTTCTGCTGAATCTCACGGCCTGAATTACCGAAGAAACAGCACACAAGAGGCTGGGCATGGTGGCTCTTGTTTGTAATCCCAGCACTTTGGGAGGCCGAGGCGAGAGGACTGCCTGAGCCCAGGAGTTTGAGACCAGCCTGGGCAACATAGCAAGGCCCCGTCTCAAAAAAAAAAAAAAGAATAAAATAAAAGAAAAAAGAAAGAAAAATAAATCGCACACAAGAGAACAAGAAGGGCAGTCAGAAACAAACATCCAACTCTCAACAGGTTGGGTTCGGCTCTCCAAGGCCCTTTATCAAGGCTTTTGCAGACGACAAGAATTTAATATAGGATTAGAGGGAGGGCAAAACCATCAAAAAGGAATGAGGGCCAGGCGACATGGCTCACGCCTGTCATCCCAGCACTTTGGGAGGCCGAGGCAAGCAGATGACTTGAGGTCAGGAGTTCGAGACCAGACTGGACAACATGGTGAAACCCCATCTCTACTAAAAACACAAAAATTAGCCGGGCGTGGTGGCACGCGCCTGTAATCCCAGCTACTCGTCAGGCTGAGGCAGGAGAATCACTTGAACCTGGGAGGCAGAGGTTGCAGTGAGCCGAGATTGCGCCACTGTAGTCCAGCCTGGGTAACAGAGCAAGATTTTGTCTCAAAAAAGGGAATGGGGAAGCGTGCACCTGGTCCAGTATTTCCCAACCTCGCCCCTAATTACATTCGGGCCTGGACCATCCTCCGGGGTGGGGCTGTCCTGACCACTGCGAGGCGCTGAGCAGCATCCCTGTCCTCCGCCCACTCCATGCCAGGGGCACCCCACAGTCGTGACAACCACACATATCCCCAGGCATCTCCCAGTGTCCCCTGCAGGGGCAGAATCACCCCGACCTCAAACCACTGATTTAATCGAAGCTTCTGTAGAAAATGACGGTAGTGAGAGCTGCCAAGCGAGGGTTTTGGGTGGATTACATGAGGTAAGAAACGTAAAGCTCTCGGCACAATGTGTGTGACCCTCTGTGAAATCAGCGTATTTCATCAGTAAGCCGCGGCTTTCCACCTACGCATGTCTCTGGGCTTGGGATGGGTCTTACTGCGGAAGGCGCAATCAGGTCCTTAGTGGCAAATAAAATAACTGTGTATTTTCCAAATGGTCATGTCTTAGATCTGCTGGATGACAGTACAATTGTCATTAGAAAAGGGAATGGCAGAAGCAGGATGGTAACCCCTGGGAAGCCTCGGTTTCCCCTCTCCATGCGACACCACTGAAAAACCGGGACAGGGCTCCTCCAAGCATAAAGCTGTCCAGTAGCCCACAAACGTGACATGACTAACGACAAGTCACAGACAGCCCGGTGCCCTGGCCCCTCCTTGCTCTACTTTCAACCCTGAGTTTCTCCAGGACGAAGCCTCGGATTGGTGCTGTCCTGTCCTCTTTTCAGGACCTCCTCATACTCGCTTTTTTTTTTTTTTTTTTTTTTTTTTTCTGAGACACAGTCTCGCTCTGTCGCCCAGACTGGAGTGCAGTGGCACGATGTTGGCTCACTGCAGCCTCTGCCTCCCAGGTTCAAGCAATTCTCCTGCCTCAGCCTCCAGAGTAGCTGGGATTACAGGCGCCCACCACCACACCCGGCTAATTTTTGTATTTTTAGTAGAGATGGGGTTTTACCATGTTGGCCAGGATGGTCTCGAACTCCTGACCTCAGGTGATCTGCCCACCTTGGCCTCCCAAAATGCTGGGATAACAGGCATGAGCCACCACACCCGGCCCTTGCTTGCTTTTAAGAGGAGAACAGGAAGGCCACAAGCTCGCCGCCTCTGGGATTAGTGCTTAATTAGTAATATCTGTGCCATTTTTATTTCTTGTTACAGGCAGCCGCAGGGTCCTCCAGTTCCTCCTGCTTGCTTTCTGTGTCCTGACTGAAAATCACAGACTGCCCTGACCTCTGTGGCTCAGCCAGCTGCAGGTTTTTCCCTACAGGCTTGAACCAGAGCCTAGAACATTCCCAGGCACTGATAAATACCGAAAGCCAGCCCAGGCCCTGAGCCAAAATCCTTAAACCCTCACATAAACTCCATACCCTGACCCCCTTGCCGAGGACACACCTGGCTGTAGAACACGCCTTTTCTCTGATGCCCATTGCAAGGACACTGAAGCCCACCCTGCACCGAAGACCCCCTGGAAAATGCTTTGGACTCATCCCCCTGGCATTTAGGGTTCCTTTCTTTGGAATCCCAACCAGCCCCATCTGGGGACGGTTCAGGGCACTCCCTTGTGGGAACTCCTCTGCTGCTGCTTTTGGGGTGACTGTAGCTGTGGGTTCAGTGGGATGAAACAGAATCTTCTCACTATTCACAACAGCAAAGACATGGAATCAGCCTAAATCCATCAACGGTAGACTGGATAAAGAAAATGTAGTACATATACACCACGGAGTACTCTGCAGCCATAAAAAAGAATGAGATCATGTCCTTTGCAGGGACATAGATGGAGCAGGAGACCATTATCCTTAGAAAAGTAATGCAGGAACAGAAAACCAAATACCACATGTTCTCACTTTATAAGTGGGAGTTAAATGATGAGAACACATGGACACATAGAGCAGAACAGACACTGGGGCCTATTGGAGGGTGGAGGGTGGAGGGGGAGCAGCAGACAAAATAACTATCGGGTACTAGCCTGGGTGATGAAATAATTTATACAACAAACCCCCGTGACACAAGTTTACCCAAAGAACAAACCGGCACATGTGCCCTTGAACCTAAAAGTTTGTTTTCTTGAGAGAGAGTCTCGCACTGTCACCCAGGCTGGAGTGCAATGGTGCAATCTTGGCTCGCTGCAACCTCCACCTCCTGGGTTCATGCGACTCTCCTGCCTCAGCCTCCCGAGTAGCTGGGATTACAGGAGCACAACACCACACCCGGCTAATTTTTTGTAGTTTTAGTAGAGACAGGGGTTTCACTATGTTAGCCAGACTGGTCTTGAAATTCTGACCTCGTGATCTGCCTGCCTCGGCCTCCCAAAGTGCTGGGATTACAGGCGTGAGCCACCACACCCGGCCAGTTGTTTGTTTGTTTTTTTTTTTAAAGAAAGAAACAGCAACTTCTAGTTGTGGCAAGGAACACAGGTTTCCCACGCATGAGGAAGCGCGCTTGTGAAGTACAGTAGTGACGGAAGGATGTACTTAAAGAAAAAGATTAGATTAACAGGGTTCCTTTTAAAGTGTATTTATGAAAAATGCAAAGTTCAGTGAGATGTGTGTGGGAAGGAGAAAAATCGTGCGGAGACTCAGGGGTGAGCAAAAGAACGCAAGTGCTGGAAACACGACTCAATCTCTAAGAGCCCTTGAAGCTGCCAGGACCCTGCCCGTCCGGCCGCCCATGGGGATGAGGGTCAAGTGATGTGTGATTTCGCTCGTGTGAAATGTCCAGAACAAGCCAATCCACAGAGACAGGAAGTGGGTTCATGGTTGCCCGGGGCTTGGGAGTGATGGTTGATGGGGTTGCTTTTTGGGGCGAGTGAATGTTCTAGAAGTAGACAATGGTGATGGCTGCACAACTCTGTGAATGCGTGACTAAAAGCCACTGAGTTTCACACCTTCAAAAGTGAAACTGTGCAATGTGAATTACATCTCAATTTTTAAAAAGCACCCTGGGCCAACAGGAGGGGTGGGAGGGATGGGAGGGCCTGGGCAGCTAGTCCACAGGGACTCTCCAGGAGAGCTGGAGCTTTCCAAACAGGAAATCAAAGCCACAGACTTGCCAAGGACACCAGGGCCACCTCCTTCTAGGCTGATTAATCAATGATCACCAAATGGCCCCTGCCAGCACATTCCTCGGGCGAGCTGCTGCTGGCACTATGATGGTGACAACTGGCCTTTGAGGCAAGGGCTAGAGGTGACCGCCAAGGGCTGTGGATTTCTGCTGCCCCATCCCTCCTCGGACCTCCCTCACCAGCTCTGCCCCTGCAAACACACCTGATGCCAACCTGTCACCCACCCATGCCCCGGTGACCCAGGCCTGCGCAAACACCATTTCCCGTCACTGCACGCTGTGGCCTCGAGTGGCTGGCCTGGTGGGGGATCGTGATCCACACAGGGCTAGGGCTCTCCCCTGGATCTCAGCCTGGGACGTCGGGAGACAGGAATTCTTGCTTTCCCTTTCGAGGGAGTTCCAGAACTGTCTGGAACCCTGTGGCCTCCTCCAGCCACAGAAGTCACCGTTTGCAGTGGGGAGAGGCTGATCCGCGTGGGGCGGGAGCGGGGTCGGGAGCGTTTCCCAATGCTGCAGTCTGAGGCCTGGAACCTGAGCCGGCCCCAGCCCATCTTCCCAGCAGCAGGAACCGCACGTTCCCCCGCTGCTCCTGCTAGCCTGACGCTGGGGGCTTTATCATGTGGATCTGAAAGAGCCTTTCCGGAGGGGCCCAGTGATTAGCTCCACATGCCCCACAGCAAACCTGGTGCCTGCTGAGGGGACAGGTCCCATGCTTTGAGCAGCAGGCCAGGCCTGGCCTTGAAGTCTGGACACTGGGCTAGTGCTAAGAAGTGTTATTATTACTCAGGGGCTGGGGGGAGGCCTGCCCCGAGAACCTGGATGTGACGTGAGCTCAGTGCTGCCCCTGACAGTGTGAAGTGACAGCCTGGAGTCGTTGAAGGGTGAATTTCACCCCGAAAGGGGCAGTCTGGTTTTTGAGCTACTCTAGGTACGTTCTGGGGTTTCTGCCAAGTTCATGCCCACTGGGGTGGGCCCTCAGCACCTCCTGTGTACTGTGAGGACCTGCCTGTCCCAGCCCCAGACACACACACGAGCCACAGGCGACCCGACGATCTCATCTATGCGGAGTCAATCTGAATCTTTGTCCCGGAAATTTGGAGAAAGTTCCTCCGTTTCTGCTGGTGGCTAGAACCTGAGGCATGGAATCCCAGGCGCTGTGGAGGGGTTGCGGAGGACAGGTGGGCAGCGAGGTGGGGTGGACCCAGGCACGGACAGATGCCTGGCTTCTGGAAGGCTCTGGTTCTCAGGCGCTGCTTCCTGAGGTCCACTGGGCTTTCTGCTCTTGGGTTCCATGAGATGCCCCTCTACCTTTACTCCAGGAGTACTTCATGGCTCAGACGAGCTTGGAGGGTTTCTGTCCCTTTTAGCAGCTCCACGGAGATTTGAATGATGGCCCTGACAGAGAGGTGTCCACATCCTGGGGCTCGGGTGTGGAGGCTACGTTACACAGAGAGACAGGCCTGTGCGGCTGGGATTAAGTGAAGGCTCTTGAGCTGAGGAGATGATCCTGGATTACCCAAGTGACCCAGATGGCATCATGAGTCCTTATCAGAGGGAGGCAGGCCAGGCACGGTGGCTTACGCCTGTAATCTCAGCACTCTGGGAGGCTGAGGCAGGCGGATCACCTGAGGTCAGGAGTTTGAGACCAGCCTGGCCAACATGGAGAAACCCTGCTTCTACTAAAAATACAAAAATTAGCTGGGTATGGTGGCAGGCACCTGTAATCCCAGCTACTCGGGAGGCTGAGGTAGGAGAATCGCTTGAACCCAGGAGGCGGAAGTTGCAGTGAGCCAAGATTGCGCCATTGCACTCCAGCCTGGGTGACAGAGCGAGACTCCATCTCAAAAAAAAAAAAAAAAAAAAAAAAAAAGGAGGCAGAGGGGAATTTCAGACAGAAGAGAAGAAGAGGAGGAGGAGGAAGCTGTGTGACCATCAGGCCAGAAGTTCCAACGTTGTGGCCACAAGCCAAGGGATGCTGGCCGCCACCAGAAGCTGCAAGAGGCCAGGACTGGTTCTCCTCTGGAGCCTCCAGAGGGAGCGTGGCCCTGAGGAAACCTTGATCTTGGATTTCTGCCCTCCAGAAGTGTGAATAATTTTCACAATGGCAGCCACAGAAAACTCCTCCAAACGCCCTGACCAGGACAGCAACCCCAACGGGAGCAAGTGGCCCAAGACTGTGGGCGCCACAGGATAAAAAAGAGGCAACGGCCCATGGCAGCCGTGGTCTGTACACTTGTAGTCGTAACAGCCAAGCTCTCTCAGGTAACTGAAACTCAAGCCATTTCAGTCCAATTTCTCCCAGACTAGAGTTGGCCAGCATTCTTAAAGGCCCAGACAGCCCAGGTGCAGTGGCTGATGCCTGAAACCCTAGCATTTTGGGAGGCTGAGGCAGGAGGACTGCTTGAGCCTAGGGGCTCAAGACCAGCTTGGGCAACACGGCAAAACCTCATCTCTACAAAAAATACAAAAAATTGTCTGGGCATGGTGGCACGTGCCTATAGTCCCAGCTACCTGGAGGGCTGAGGTTGGGATGATCACCTGAGCCAGGGATTTCCAGGCTGCAGTGAGCTGTGATTACACCACTGCACTCCAGCCTGGGCAATGGAGTGAGACCTCATCTCTAAAAAAAAAAATGAAAAATAAAAGGAAGACAGTAAATGTTTTCAGCTACGTGGGCCATATGACCTCTGTTGCGGTGACTCTCCTGCTGTAGCTTGAGAACAGCCAAAGATGTCAGGAAAGTAACAGGGACCAGGAAAACCTGACTTCTGAAGACGGCTGTCACCTGCCGACCCCTGTTCTGGATGATTCTTCCTTTTAAATTCTTTGTTTGCCAGACCACCATCTGATTCCCACACAAGTCTGTCTGTGGAGAGGGACTGCGCTGATGGCGGAAGAAGACAGCCACCTGGTGTCCACCTCGGTCACTGTTGTTAGCATGTGGTCAGCCTCAGGCAGAGGATGACGGCCGTTCACTGGTTCCAATGCTGGCTGGGGGCTGCAGCACACGCGGGCCTGGGCTCAGGGGCTGAGGACACCACCATGAGTCCCATGGATGAGTGCAGCGGTCTGGACAAGGATCCCAGCGCCACCCCACCCCCAAGGAACACTTGGCGATGTCTGAGGACATCTGTGGTTGTCACCACTGGGATGTGGCTGCTCCTGGCATGGAGTGGGTGGAGGCCAGGAACGCTGCTCAGGACCCTGCAGTGGCCGGACGGCCCCACCCCAGAGAACGATCTGGCCCCAATGTCCATGGTGCCAAGCGGGAGAGACGCTGCCTTTGGTCCCCAGCCATGTGTCACGCTGCTTTCAAAGACACAGGCCTGGCTGATCTCTCCAAGGTGTCCTTCCTCCCAGCTCTTAAGGCCTCTGGGTGCAGTGGGCACCATCCGAATATCCGCTGCCCACCTCACGGGAGCCAGGCCCACAGTGGCTGCAGAAGCTGCTGGAGGACATGCAGCCTAACCCGTGCCCTGAAGGCACTCGTGGTGCAGAGGAGCCCAGTCCCGTGAGGCACTGCAGACGCTGCAGGAGGAGCTGCGTGCAGGCACACGCCCAGAGGAGGAAGTGTGGATCCAGAGCCTGCAGCAGGGGCTGCAAGCGCGTGGCAAGCCGCCCCTGTGCTGTCACCGGCGGCAAACCAGGTTCTGCCATCCGGGCGGCTTTCCCGGAACCTCGGGATCCTTCTTGACGCACCTCCACGGCGAGCTCCTCCTGGAGTTACTCCCGACTCCCTCTGGGAATGGTTCAGTCCAGTCCTGTTTGTCACGAGCCCCACCCAGCCCGGACCAGGTGGCTGGGAAGTGACTCAGGGGGTGGACCCGGCTGACTAGCACTGGAAACAATCTCCGGGCTTGGAGCCACAGGGCCGGCTTGAGCCACGGCATCCTGGCCACATGGAGGAGCGGGGCTGCCCTGTGCATGGCTCCCTGCACGGCTGACCCTCCGGGGGCCGCCCCACCCACCCCGCGGCAGCCCTTCCCTGTAGTCAGAGCTGTCTGTGGCTGAGCCTCGAAGGACAGCATGCCCAGGGCCCAGCCATCCGAGCAGATCTTCCAACTCCTGTGGACCTCTGGGAACAGAGAGGACCAGGGAACTGTGGTCCCAGATGCTGTCCCCGCCCAAGCAGCCTGCAGGGCCCGGCTTACCCAGGTAGTAGAGGCGGTGGGAGTGGGGCCCAGACTCATCCGTCTTCTGCACAAACTGGAAGTCGTGGGGCGCCTTGTTGACAATGAGGCCCGAGTACTTGCGGCTGCCGTGGATGATGCTCCGGAGCCCGTCCCACGAGTGCTTCTGCACCTGGAAGCGGGCGGCCGGGTCATCTGTGGCGGCTGCGTCGCCTCGGTCGGCCGTTGGGGTCCCGGTGGTGGCCATCCTCTCAGCCCCCTCGGAATTCAGCGAGAAGCTGCGGGGAGGAAGCAAAGACTATGAGAAAGGAGAACTGTTTTACCTACGAGCTGCCCCAATGCTGCCCCTTGCGAGGCACTCAGGTTCTTCCAGACGAGCCCCACCCCTGCCGCTTTCCCCACTCCCTAAACACTTCTTGGGTTGGTCTACCTCTCTCCATGTCACTAATGCTGCTAAGATTCAAGCCACCATCACCTCTCAAATGAATGATCTTTAAAAACATTCTTCTTTTTGGAGATGGGGGTCTCAACTATGTTCCCCAGGCTGGTCTCAAACTCCTGGCCACAAGCAATCCTCCTGCGTCAGCCTCCCAAGTTGCTAGGACTGCAGGTGTGAGCCACCATGCTTGGCTTTGGCTGAATGACTGAAACCACCTCCCACCAGGATGTTCCACATCCACTGCCAAGACCCCATCACTTAAAACCCTTCCTGGTTTTCCACAGTCCCCGGGATAACAACCAGTTCTCACCACCACCTCAAGGCTGCTGTCGACCCCTGCCAAGCCCTTGAATCTCATCCTTCTTATCCCTGTGACCCAGCCAAATGAGCCTTCACTCAGCTCCTCAAACAGGCCAAATTCCTTTCCACCGCAGGGCCTTTGCACATGCTGGCCCTCCTGCTCGGAGTGCATTTTTCCTCACTTTGCTTAACTTCTTTGATATATGTTTATATATATATACTTTTTTTTTTTTTTTTTTTTTTTTTTGGAGACAGAGTCTCCAAAGGCTGGAGTGCAGTGGCGTGATCTCAGATCACTGCAGCCTCTGCCTCTTAGGATCAAGCGATTCTCCTGCCTCAGCCTCCCAAGTAGCTGAGATTACAGGTGCCTGCCACCATGCCCAACTAATGTTTTTTGTATTTTTAGTAGAGACAGGGTTTCACTATGTTGGTCAGGCTGCTCTCGAACTCCTGACCTCAAGTGATCCGCCTCCCTCAGCTTCCCAAAGTGCTGGGATTACAGGCATGAGCCACTGCACCCAGCCTGCTTGGCCAGCTTCTAATCAGATCTCAGCTGAAGTACTTGGCAGGCCGTCAGAAACCTTTCACACCATCCACGCTGAAGCTGGTCTTTCTGCTCATCTTTCACACGCCACCTGGCTGTCCCCTCCCTCCACCTTCATCACAGCGGTTATTTGTGGGACCCCTGTCTCCCCCATGTCTGTCCCATTCACAGCTGTGCTCCCAGAACCTTAGCTGGTGGCTGGCACGTGGCAGGCATTCCACGGAGCACTGTGGAATGATTATCTCTCAGTGGGCTCGCGGGGAGACATGCTGGGTCTCGGGAGAGGCCCGGGCGTGAAGGAATGAAAATCCATCCTGGTCACCTGTGCTGTTGGCTTGCTGTCCAGCCGGGGAGATGCTTGGCCTTCACTGGAAGTTCCAGAGCCTCGGGATGTGGGAGGTGCAGGTGAAAGGGTGAATGGCACGCCCTTCCCCAAAGAATATCCCACTCTCTCCTCCCACTCAGGACACTCTGGGTCCGCAAAGCAGCCACCGTGAGTGGCCGCCGCGGTGTCACATCTCCCACCACCCCACTCCCGCCCTCGTCACTTAGCACACTCCTTGACCTGACTGGACTGGCCAGGCAAATATTTGTTTTACAGAAATCTAAACATGGCCGCAGTGACCCAGTTCTGCGAGAGCCAGTGGTCTGGAAAGGGTGGCACCGGGGCTGGTCTCGCTTCCCTTTGTGGGCTCCGAGTGACTGCCGACCTTGCCAGAAGCCCTGTCCTCCGGGACCAACAGCTTGGCTTGGGGAAGTCGCTGCTTGCTTGGAGGAAGTGGGAAAACCCGCGGGAGTGGACAGCAGGGACTGGGTGTGAGAGAAGTAAAGGGCAGAGATGAGTGGGCCGCCTTGACTCTGCAGTGTGCCAGTTCCCAGAAGACTCTGCCTCTTGCCAAGAGGAGACCCCACAGGGTAACCACTGCAAGAGAAAGGGCCCCAGCCTGCTTTGAGAGGGAAGGGGAGAAAGAGCTGCAAGGATGTCAACGAGCGCCTTTGAAAGATCAGGACTTGGCCGGGCACAGTGGCTCATGCCTGTAATCTCAGCACTTCGGGAGGCCAAGGCAGGAGGATCATGAGATCAGCAGATCGAGACCATCCTGGCTAACACGGTGAAACCCCATCTCTACCAAAAATACAAAAAATTAGCCGGGCGTGGTAGCGGGCGCCTGTAGTCCCAGCTACTCGGGAGGCTGAGGCAGGAGAATGGCGTGAACCCGGGAGGCGGAGCTTGCAGTGAGCCGAGATCGTGCCACTGCACTCCAGCCTGGGCGACAGAGTGAGACTCTGTCTCAGAAAAAAGAAAAAAAAAAAAGAAAGAAAGATCACGACCTGCAATTGTCACCTCATTTGGGCCTTACTTGGGCTTGTGACAGCCCATTCTACAGGTGGGGAAACTGAAGCTGGGAGGTCACTGGAGCTTGCTCCCAATCAGAGCCGAGTGAATGAGCAAAAGGGGTTCAGTGGAGGCAGCCCGGCCCCCGGCCTCCCACTGACATGCTGTGTGATAAGCCCAGCAATTACAGCAGGAAAAGTCACAGAGTGCAGCCCAGAGAACTGCCCGTGCCGTGCTCTGCGAGACACCCGTGTCCTGTGGGAAGGTCCCGTAAGCCAAGGAGAGTAGAAGCCACCTCAGCAAGGGACATACGAAAGGCTCATGGGGCGGAAGACCCCTTGGGAAGGTGGCTTCTGAGTATCACGGCTGTGGGCTGATTTCTGGAGGTCCCTCTCCAACTCGACCCCAAAGAAATGACAGGGGAAAATGCTTCCCTTGTTTCATCCTACTCCATCCAGGCAGGGCCAGCGTGTCCTGCCCTCCAGCCAGAAGGGGCGCAGTTTGTTAGTTCAGCTCCTCCTGAGACAGAAATAAAGACACGAACCAAAGGACATCAGCACTTACAGGGCTCTCAGGTCACACACAGGATGTCCGCGCCCACTGCAGAGCTGCAGGTCCCCTCCAGGGCAGTGGGGAGCCACAAGCAGCGTTAGGCAGCGGCTGGGACCAGGACCGCCTGAGCACTCAAGAACCCCCACTGCCCCAAGCACTGCTGGCAGCAAGCCCAGAAAACTGAGCCCGGGGAGCTCCTCTGAGCGGCCTAAGCACCCCTCTAAGCTGTGCTGCCCCAATTCAAGCCTGGCTCACGGCAGCAAAGAAAAAATGTGACCTTCGGAGCTCCCAAAGGGGCCACCCATAAGCTGAGAGCCTGCCCGGAAGCACTTATAGACCCGCGTGGCTTGTTTTCATTGCAAAGAACAATAAAAATTATCTTGCCTCTGATCACCACTGATAGCCCAAGAAGCAAAAATTCGATCCCGGAGATGAGAAATGAAATGAAACATCGCGAGAAACTTCCAGGAATCTTCTGGATGTGGCTAGACTCTTTAGCTTGAGCTTCCAGACAGGCCGAGGCTTGGTGCTGGAGCCTGGCCCTCCGCTGACCTCTCTTCTACCCGGGGGCACAGCCCGGATTGCAGAGAGGCTGGCGCAAGAGTGAGGGAGCGAGGGCTAGCCTGTGATGGGCTTTCTCCACCTAGCACCACCCTATGCTGTGGCTCAGGGGAGTCAAGAGTTTACACAGCTGCAGAGATGGATTCCAGGCCACTTACTCAAGTCTACCTACTCCTTCCTTCGGCCAATCAGCTGGGTGCCTCTGCGGCCTGTGACACCACCAGCAAACAGCTCCAGACCTCCTAGCATGGTCTCTGTCAAGGCTGGGTGGCAGATCTGTGATCTCCTTTTTAAATTTTTCATTTTTTTTAAGAGATGGGGTCTTGCTATATTGCCCAGGCTGGTCTCAAACTCCTGGGCTCCAGCGATCCTGCCACCTCGGTCTAGCAAATAGCTGGGATGAGAGGGGTGCAAGCCACCGTGCCCAGCTCCAAAGCTCTGTGATGTCTGTGTCTGAGCTGGTGCTTTGGTGGCGAGCGGGGGCGGGGGAGTAGTTGGAGATGGGGGAAGTATTTGGACGCCTAGAAGGAACTGTAGATTCAGTGCTGACTGCAGTTCTGAGTTCAGGCCGACCACAAGGTGATAAGGCAGAAAGAAAGGTGGGAGCCCCTGGCTGGCGTGGGGCAAGGGGCGTATGGGGGTGGTGAGGACAGGGTCCTACCCATGCGCTGGATGGGGAAATGCCTCAAGGTGGACTTTGGGCAGCCGGCCCAGGCCAGGCAAGTGCCCCTGCAAGTGGGGGCTGCCGGGGAAACAGCATGCCACCCTCTGTCCTACCCAAACTGCCCCCAGCACTGCCTGGGCCTTTAGCTTTGATGAGCAACCTTTACAGAGTCACCCAGCAGCCTGTGCCCAGGTGGGACATTAAGTGTGTGCAGATAAGGGAAGGGACACAGATCCCCTTCAGTAACTGACCCCTAAGGCATGTGCCCACCAGACGCTGGGACCACCCGGTTTTAGAGCCCATGGCTGGGCCAATCATAGCCCTTCACACCGTCCCCGTCTTCCCCGGTCCATTCTTCAATTCCCTTCCCAGCTGAGCATGCTCCATTGAAGCAAACAAGCCTAAGAGTATTAGAAAATTGAATACTGAGAAAGGTTCGCAGGGTCGAGGAATTCCTACCGCCTTTTCATCTCGTGCCAGGCCCTGAGACATGGAGTTTACTGACTGCCCCGGGGGGTGCGTGTCTAACCACATTCCATCCACACCTGATTTTAGGGCACTTCTTCAGTTCTGGGATCCTCCTCATTTTCAGGACCAAAATAATGGGCTCACACCTGTAATCCCAGCACTTTGGGAGGCCGAGGCGGGCAGATCACAAGGTCAGGTGATCGAGACCATCCTGGCTAATGTGGTGAAACCCCGTCTCTACTAAAAATACAAAAATTAGCCAGGTGTGGTGACACGCACCTGTACTCCCAGCTACTTGGGAGGCTGAGGCAGAAGAATCGCTTGAACCCGGGAGATGGAGGTTGCAGGGAGCCAAGATCGTGCCACTGCACTCCAGCCTGGGTAACAGAGCAAGACTCCGTCTTAAATAAATAAATAAATAAATAAATAAATAAATAAATAAATAAAAATGGACTCAGTGAGGTTGAATGGCCTGTCCAATGTCACCCAGAGAGGAAGGGGAGTGGAGCCCCAGTCTCTTGGAGCCCAAAACCCACATCCTTACACTGAGATCAGCAGTTCTTACCCAGGAGTGATTCTGCCCCCAGCAAACACTTGGTGACATCTGGAGACATCTGTGGTTGTCTCAACTGAGGGGAGCTCCTGGCATGAAGTGGGTGGAGGCCAGGGACGCTGCTCAGCACCGTGAAGTGCCTGGGATGGCCCCACCCCAGAGAACATTCCAGCCCCAGCGTCCACAGTGCCGAGGGGGAGACCCCGCACTACGCCACACTGCCTCCTCGCTTGAAATAACCAGAACAGTCTTGGGGACGTGCTGGGGAAGCCAGGGGAGAGGGAAAGAAGGGGCCTTCCAGATCTTAGACTGTTGGGGAATTCCAGAAGCTGGGCCACATCCTCACGGATCAGGGCCTCCGAGGCCAACCTCACCTTCTCCAACTTCCGGTGTTCTCCTTGTCCAGGCGCAGTTTCTTAACCTTCCGCATTAACCGCTCAGCTGACCTCAGGAGGGCAGGGGTGCCTGCGGGCAAGTGGGAGGAGAGATCAAAGGGCTGCAACCCCAGCAGGTGGGGAGTGGGCGCTCCTGCCCCCTTCGCCCCCTCCTCATTGCTCCAGGCAGCCCCCCAAGCCTCCGGGGAGCACCCTGAAGCCAAGGGCATTCTGAAGAGACGATGCTTCAGGCCCTGGCCTGAAATGCAGGAGGTTCTGGGCATTTGCCAGAGCCCGTCATCTTTCTCAACAGGAGGTTCCTTTCAAGGTGTAAAGTCCCTGGGAGTTTCAAGTGACTCCAGGGACATCACACCAGGGCACCTGCTGGAAATAGAAGAATCCCAAATTCCTCACTGTGGCCGTTGCCTGATGGCCCTGGTGACCTTGCCTACTTGCTTCACCCTTGACCATGACCTTCGGCCACACTTGCCTCCTTCTTGTCCCTCAACACACCTGCTCGCTCCTAGCACACAGCTTCTGCACGACGCACCCCGTGGCCTGAAATGCCAGTTCCTGCTTTTGATATGACTTGCTCTTTCTTGCCCTGTGGCTCCTGATACCACCTCTTCAGAGGTCTTTCCTGAGCACCCCATCTGAAGATGCTACCTGGCGACCCCCATCACCACACCCAGACGCTGATACAATGGCCTGGACCATAATTCCAGTTGTCCCCTTCCCCAGGGAGAGTGGTTCTCAACTGGGGGCGATTTGGCCCCTCAGGGGACACTGGACAATGTCTGGAGACATGTGTGGCTGTCACAACTCGGGGGTGACCCTGGCATGGAGTGGGTGGAGCCCAGAGATGCTGCTTAGCACCCCACAGTGCCCAGGATAACCCACCTCAGAGAAGGATCCCACCTCAAATGTCAGCAATGCCAAGCCGGAGACCCCTGCATCCATTACTTGGGGAGAAACTTGAGTTCAACGCCTACGCTCATATTAATACTGGAATAAACTTCCCATGGAACAAGCATTCTAAACGAGGGGGACCCCCAGCTCCTGGGATTCACCTCCTTTCTCCCTCCCCACTCAGGGTGAGGATTTCAATGTGTGCAGCCTCCTGGGACCTTAGTAGGGCAGAGGATCATGGGACGCAGTCTCTTGGGGATCCATGGAATCCCCTAACCCAGGGGTCTCACCTGGGGATAACCGGCCCCCCCAGGGGACATTTTTGGTTATGACGACTGGGACGGTGAGGGGAGGCATGTGGCCAGTGGAGGCCAGCGATGCTGCTCAACCCCTTACAGTGGACAGAACAGCCCCCCTCCCACTCCTCTGCCAAGAATGACCCAACCCTAAATATCAGTGGCAAAGCTGAGAAACCCTGCTGTGGGTAAGGGGGCACTCCTCACGGGAATATCAGTTCCACAGGGCAGGCCACATCTATCCTGGTCCCAACAGATTGCCTGAGCCCAGACCATGCCTGGTCCTCAACAAACATTTCAGGTTGAATGAATGAGCTACTGTGCTTTCTTGGATGCCGTCTAAAGTCAAAGGGGCCCCTTGTTTGGTTGGTGCCCAACTACCTTCTCAGACAAGCCAGGTCCCATGATGCGCAGTTGCCCAAAGGCTTAAAGAAGAGAGGGCCAGCTGGGTACAGTGGCTCACGCCTTTAATCCCAGCACTTTGGGGGGCTGAGGCGGGCAGATCACCTGAGGTCTGGAGTTCGAGACCAGCCTGGCCAACATGGTGAAACTCCAGCTCTACTAAAAATACAAAAATTAGCCAGCTGTGGTGGTGCAAGCCTGTAATCCCAGCTACTCAGGAGGCTGAGACAGAAGAATTGCTTGAACTCAGAAGGCGGAGGTTGCAGTGAGCTAAGATTGTGCCATTGCACTCCAGGGGTGACAGAGCGAGGTTCTGTCTCAAAAACAAAAGAAGAGAGGGAAGCACATGGGGACAGGACTGAGATTTTAAGGGAAGAGGTTAAGCATAAAGTCACCACGAAAAATCACTGGCCATACTCTCAGTCCAGTGGTGAAAAGCGTGGGCTCTGGTCTCAGAGAGAAAGGTTCAAATCCTGACTCTGCCACTTCTGGGGAAGTCGCTGAACCTCTCTGAGCTTCCACTTCCCCAGCGAGAACATGGTATGACAGTATCTACGCCTGGGGCCACCAAGGGAATTGAATGAGACTGCACACATACAGCTTTTAACACAGTGTCTGATGTAGCACAAACTAAATGACAGCTAGCATTGTCAACTAAACAAGATACTCAAAACCACAGGAAGGGGGAGACTCAAACTAAAGTCCTTTCAGGGCCAGAATCCACACCATTTACTGACCGGGTCAGGCAGTGTAGGTGGATCCAGGCACCCCTCCACCAAATCCTGCTGAAATCAGCACTCTCCCCTTCCTCTCCTCAAAGCCTTCAAAAAGCTCCTTCCAGGGGCAGCTAGAGGGGGACAGGGGTGGAAAGAAAAGCCTCCAGCAGGCGCACAAAAAACTGCAGCCACTGCCCTGCGGAGGACAACCATCCAGGGCCATAGAAAACCATTTCCTGCCCATGTCTATATTCTAGAGCAGGCAAAGGAATCCCACCAGCCCACACCCCAGCCTTCCTGGCTGCCAAACCCCAGCACAACTGACCTTCTAAAGGGTCCAGAGAGCCTCCATTCCAGCTGCAGGCGTGGGACACAGACCTTTATAGGATAAACATGTCATGAATGTGGCAGGTTAATGGAAGCACCGGCCAGCCGTTCAGCCTCCCCCACTCAGGAGCTGCAGACTGTCAGGCCCGATTCTACCTGGCTAGATTCTAGCTCTGCCTTGAAGCCCTGCAGCACTGTCTGCATGCCCTGGACAGAATCTGGGAGAGAAGCCATCCCACGGGCCCCGATTCCCCTGGGACCCAGCAGAGGAATGCAGGGATTGGTGCCTACGGTCCACACCCCCTGGGCTTTAGTCCCAGCTCCTCGAAAGCAGGTTGGTTCTTGCCTGGGAGGCAAGTGACTTCCTCCTGGGGCCCCTGGGGAAGACCAGGGGGTGGGGGCCAAGGGAATAGACCACTTTTGATGGCTCAGAGGCAGCGTGAACAGGGAAGTGTCAGGGCTGGCCTAAGGCTGTGTGGGAAGAAGGTAGGCGGTTGGACAGGCCTGAGAAGGGAGGCTGAGAGAAGGGGGCTGAACCCTGTGGGCTGGACCCTTGGAAGACAGCTATGCTAACCACTACACCACCAACGCCTCGGCAGGAAAAAGAGTCTCTGGATACCCTTAATAGAGGGATCAAGTAGGGTTGAGGATCAGGACTGGATTGGGGAGACCAAGCCTCGGGGCGAAGGTTGGAGGAAGTGGTAAAGGAGTGAGGACAGGATGCAGGTCGAGGGAGGTGGCCTCTGTGCATATACAGCATTTGCATGGGGAGAGGGAGGAGATCGGGACCTCCAGAGCCTGCACGAAAGGGGAGAGGGTGTCAAGGTCTGCAGCTACGAGGACGTTCTTGGGTGCGGCCACCTCCGGAAGGGGTCAGAGCCTGGTGGCCTGGGCAGCAACGGGATGGGTGGGGAAGCCCATCAGGGAAGGGGAGAAACTGGGAGGTGGCCTGGCCAGCGCAGGAATCGGGGAGGGAAAGAAGGTGGAGGAGGGCCTGGGGCGGAGAGGAAACGAGGCAGGGGGCCGGAGGGACCCACAGACGGGTGCATGGAGGCTCCGGGGTGCGGGGAGGCCAGGCGATGGCGAGGGCAGGGTCAGGGCCGAGGCGGGGCCGGTCAATGGCGGGTTCAGGGTCGCGGCCGGGGCGGGACGAGGCGCGCGGGCGCTGCTCACCGGGACGTGGGGCGGCGGCCGGACTGGGCAGGTCGTCCCGGGTCCAGCGGCGCCTCACGGTCGCGGCTCCATGCCCGGGACTGCGACCCCGGAAGTGGCGGGAGCGGGGGACGACAGCCGCGGCGGACACAGGGGACCCGCCGGCTCAGGCACCTTTGACCCGGAAGTTGAGCGACCCAGGCGGCGGCCTGGGATTGGACACCACCAGGCACGTACCAAGGCGTCCGCGGCGCTTGGGGGGGAGCCCGCGGCGCGGCGGCCTAAGGTGCGTAACGCCCCATGAACGACATCTTCCGGTGGGTTAGGGAGAGACACCCCCCTGTGACTTGGTATCACTCAGTCAAACCCATGATCCCCCACTATTAAGGATATCCGGAGAGGATGCTACCTATCAGGGCGTTGGTGGTATAGTGGTTAGCATAGCTGCCTTCCAAGCAGTTGACCCGGGTTCGATTCCCGGCCAACGCATGCGGTACCACTTTTGCGAGTTTGAAATTTTCATTTTAGTTTTGAGACGGAGTCTCGCTCGGTCCCCCAGGCTGGAGTGCAGTGGCGTGATCTCCGCTCACTGCAACCACCACCTCCCAGGTTCAAACGATTCTCCTGCCTCAGCCTCCCAAGTAGCTGTGATTACAAGCGCACGCCACCACGCCCATCTAATTTTTGTATTTTTAGTAGAGATGGGGTGGGGTGGGGCGGGGTGGGGCGGGGTGGGGGGGGGGGGGCGGTTCACCATTTTGGCCAGGCTGGTCTCGAACTCTGACTTCAGGTGATCCGCCCTCTTCGGCCTTTCAAAGTGCTGGGATTACAGGCGTGAGCCATCAATCACGGAAAATTTTTTTAAATCCCATAAAAATGTCTAAAAGGCAGGAGGAAGGCGGAAGAGAAAGAATGGGACTAGAATCGTTCTTTCGGTGAATTTCAAATAGTATTACTCTCCGGTTAGGAAAAACAGCTGACCTGTTTCCGCCCGGGATCGAACCGGGGACCTTTCGCGTGTGAGGCGAATGTGATAACCGCTACACTACGGAAACCGGTAGGCGTCAGGGTTCTTTAAATTCTCCTATAGAGATAATGTTGCAGTGATAGTTGCGTTGTCCCACCAAAGAAACACTGGCTACAGTCAGCTAAAGCAATATCCGCTCTTCCTGAATATCTGTTATTGTATTTGATACAGTAGAGACCGAAAGAAGGAAAATAAGGAAGACAAAAAGAAATCCAATAAACACCCTTTCCAACACACCCACCCACCCACACACATGTTTATCACTTTATCATAAATCCACCTTCCATTAAAACAATGCACGTCAAACGGCCCACAAACCCATCCGGGGTCAAATGAAGCTTTTCATCTCATAGATATCAATCTATACTTGATATCACATTAGTTTCTGCAGATATTCACCATTTTGCTTTAGATCAAACTACTTTTTTGTGTGTTTTGTTTTTTGTATTTTTTAGAGAGAGTCTCGTTCTGTCGCCTAGGCTCGAGTGCAGTGGTACGATCATCCCTCCCTGCAGCCTCCACCTCCTGGGCTCAAGCGATCCTCCCACCTCAGCCTCCTGGGTAGCTTGGACCACAGGTGTGGACCACCACGCCTGGCTGAATTTTAAAAAATGCGTTTGTAGAGACGGTGCCTTATAGCTGGGACTACAGGCGTGTGCAACCACTCCCAGCTAACTTTTGTATTTTTTGTAGAGACTAGAGGGCCTGCACTATGTTGCCCAGGCTGCTTTCCAGCTCCTGACCTCAACGTGATTCGCCCGCCTGCAGCCTCCCAAAGTACTGGGATTACAGGCATGAGCCACCGCGCCCGACCCCAACTACACTGTAAAAGAGCTTTCTGAAAAGAAAAACTGTGTGTGTATGTGTTTACCTTCCGATGGAGTTTTGCTCCTGTTGCCCAGGCTAGAATGTAGTAGCGCAATCTCAGCTCACTACAACCTCCGCCTCCCGGATTCAAGCGATTCTCCTGCCTCAGCCTCCCAAGTAGCGGGGATTACAGGCACCCGCCACCACGCCTGACTATATTTTGTATTTTTACTAAAGATGGAGTTTCGCCATATTGGTCATGGCTGGTCTCGAACTCCTGACCTCAAGAGATCCGCCCGCCTGAGTCTCCCAGAGTGCTGGGATTACAGGCATGTGCCACCACGCCAGGCCTCTTTATTTTCTTAAAGAGACAGTAGAAGAGGTGGGAAGATGATGGCAAGAATTTAGAATCAGACTGCTGTAAAATTCTGCACACCCTCACTCCTGCGGGGCTGGGATTAGGGTGAGGAGACTAAAGCATTGTAAGGCACTGGCACCAGGTGCAAAAATTAAGGTGGTGCCAAAAAACTCAATAATCAAGATAAATAATATTTCAATACATCTTTTTTTCTCTCTCTGTTGTCGCTGGAGTACAGTGGCACAATCTTGACTTACTGCAACCTCCACCTCCCAGGTTCAAGCTATTCTCGTGCCTCAGCCTCCCTAGTAGCTGGGATTACAAACATGAGCCACTATGCCAGGCTAATTTTTGTATTTTTCGTAGAGATGGGATTCCACCATGTTGGCCAGGCTGGTCTTGAACTTCCGAGCTCAAGTGATACGCCCGCCTCCGCCTCCCAAAGTGCTGGGATTACAGGCGTGAGCCACTGCACCCCACCATAATATTCTTTTAAAAATTAGCCGGGCGCAGTGGCTCACGCCTGTAATCCCAGCACTTTGGGAGGCTGAGGAGGGCGGATCACGAGGTCAGGAGATCGAGACCATCCTGGCTAACATGGTGAAACCCCGTCTGTACTAAAAATACAAAAAAATTAGTCCCAGCTACTCGAGAGGCTGAGGCAGGAGAATGGCGTGAACCCGGGAGGCGGAGCTTGCAGTGAGCCGAGATCGCGCCACTGCACTCCAGACTGGGCGACAGAGCGAGACTCCCTCTCAAAAAAAAAAAAAAAAGAAAGAAAATTTAATTATTGGTTGGCCGGGAGCGGTGGCTCACGCCTGTAATCCCAGCACTTTGGGAGGCCAACACGGGCGGATCACGAGATCAGGAGATCGAGACCATCCTGGCTAACACGGTGAAACTCCGTCTCTACTAAAAATACAAAAAATTAGCCGGGCGTGGTAGCAGGCGCCTGTAGTCCCAGCTACTCGGGAGGCTGAGGCAGGAGAATGGCATGAACCCGGGAGGCGGAGCTTGCACTGAGTGGAGATCGCGCCACTGCACTCCAGACTGGGCGACAGTGAGACTCTGTCTCTAAATAAATAAATAAATAAATAAATAAATAAATAAATAAATTTAAACAAATAAAAATAAAATAATTACTGGTAAATAACTCCATCATGAACAAATTGTCAAAAGTTTCCATTGAGGCAAGTTTTCGTAGAGATTTGCCAAATTCTATTGGAGTCTAAAATGTGTACCTCTCTGTGCCTGTTTTTATGTGTTTTGAGGGGTTTTTGGGTGTTTTTGAGACAGGGTCTCACTGTCACCCAGGCTGGAGTGCGGTGGTGCAATCACAGCTCACTGCAGCCTCGACCTCCTGGGATCAAGGGATCCTCCCACCGCAAGCCTCCCGTGTAGATGGGACCACAGGTGGGTGCCACTATGCCTGGCTAATTTTTAAAAAAATTTTTAGTAGAGATGGGGTCTCGCTATCTCTCCCAAGCTGGTCTCAAACTCCTGCGCTCGAGTAATCCTCCCGACTTGGGTTCCCAAAGTGCTAGGATTACAAGGCTGAGCCACTATCCCTGTCCTGATTTTATGTATTTTAATGGTTATTTCTCTCAGAATGCTGTTGAAACCATATTGAAACATTAAAAGTAGATATATTAAAACTCACAACATTAAGAATGTATTCTAGGCCGGGCGAGGTGGCTCACGCCTGTAATCCCAGCATTTTGGGAGGCCAAGGCGGGCGGATCACTGAGGTCAGGAGTTCGAGACCAGCCTGGCCAACATGGCTAAAACCCATCTCTACTAAAAATACAAAATTAGCCGGGGGTGGTGGCACACGCCTGTAATCCTAGCTACTCGGAAGGCTCAGGCAGGAGAACAGCTTGAATGCAGGAGGCAGAGCTTGCAGTGAGCTGAGATCTCGCCACTGCACTCCAGCCTGGGCAACAAGCAAGACCTCTGTCTCAAAAAAAAAAAAAAAAAAAAAAAGACTGTATTCTAGCAAGGGCAACATAGCAAAACCCCATCTCTACAAAAAATATAAAAACTAGCTGGGTGTGGTTGTGCGCACCTGTAGTTCCAGCTACTTGGAAGGCTGAGGTGGGAGGATTGCTTGAGCCCAGGAGGTCAAGACTACAGTGAGCCATGATCATGACAAGCACTCCAGCCTGAGTGGTAGAGTGAGACCTTGTCAAAACACACACACACACACACACACACACACACACAACAACAACTCACTATGATAATTGTGCTTTTCTGGCTTTTTTTTTTTTTTTTTTTTTTAGACAGAGACGGAGTCTCGCTCTGTTGCCCAGGCTGGAGTGCAGTGGCGCCATCTCGGCTCACTGCAAGCTCCGCCTCCCAGGTTCAAGCCATTCTCCTGCCTCAGCCTCCTGAGTAGCTGGGACTACAGGTGCCCACCACCACACCTGGCTAATTTTTTGTATTTTTAGTAGAGACGGGGTTTCACCGTGTTAGCCAGGATGGTCTCGATCTCCTGACCTCGTGATCCACCCGCCTCCGCCTCCCAAAGTGCCGGGATTACTAGGCGTGAGCCACCGTGCCCAGCCAGTGGCTTTTTTGTGTGTGTGTATTTTTTTTTAGATGGAGTCTCACTCTTGTCCCCGAGGCTGCAGTGCAATGGCACGATCTCTGCTCACTACAACCTCCACTACCTGGGTTCAAGCTATTCTCCTGCCTCAACCTCCAGAGTAGCTGGGATTACAGGCACCCGCCACCACGCCCAGTAAATTTTTGTATTCTTAGTAGAGACAGGGTTTCACCACGTTGGCCAGGCTGGTGTCGAACTCCTGACCTCAGGTGATCCACCCGCCTTGGCCTCCTAAAGTGCTGGGATTACAGGCGTGATCCACTGCGCCGAGCCCATGTTCCCTTTTTATAAGGACACCCATGATATTAGACTACAGCCCACCCTAATGATCTCATTTTAACTTCATTGCCTTTGTGAAGACCCTATCTCCAAATAGGGTCATGTTCTTAGATACTCAGGGGTTAGAATTCTGACTTACCTTTCCGGGGAGTGGGACACAAGAGAGGGATTAGCCATTGTTTGATGAATTGCAACTAATTAACCAATCCCCTATTGTCGGTCTTCTAATGCTTCCCTGTTAACTAAGCTGCCACGAAATCCTGGTTGCTACAATTTATCATAATGTTGCCCATTTACGTGTCTGTTTCTGCTTAGAGCAAAACCCACTGAATCTAATGAGATGTCCTCATTCTCCAGTTCCACTTTCTCTTCTCCAATTATCTTTTTGTTTTGTTTTGAGAGAGTCTCGCTGTGTCCCCCAGGCTGGAGTGCAATGGGGTGATCGTGGCTCACTGTAACCTCCGCCTCCTGTGTTTAATCAATTCTGGTGCCTCAGCTTCCCGAGTAGCTGGGATTCCAGGCGTGCCACCATGCCCGGCTAATTTTTGTATTTTTAGTAGAGATGGGTTTTCGCCACGTTGGCCAGGTGGATCTCGAATTCATGACCTCAGGTGATCCACTGGCCACGGCCTCCCAAAGTGCTGGGATTACAGGCATGAGCCACTGCACCCAGCCTCCAATTCTACTTTGAGCTAAGGTGACTATACACCTGGCTTTGGCTAGGACGGTCCCGGTTTATGCCCCCACCCCCTCAGTGCCCCCTTTCTTGCTCAAAAGTGTGTTGATTGACCAGGCGCAGCGGCTCACGCCTGTAACCCCAGCACTTTGGGAGGCCGAGGTGGGCGGATCACCTGAGGTCTGGAGCTGGAGACCTGCCTGGCCAACATGGCGAAACCCCATCTCTATAAAAATATAAAAATTAGCCTGGCGTGGTGTGTGCCTGTAATCCCGGCTACTTAGGAGGCTGAGGCTGGAGAATCTCTTGAACCCGGGAGGCAGAAGTTGCAGTGAGCCGAGATCGCGCCATTGCACTCCAGCCTGGGTGGCAGGGCGAGACTCCATCTCAAAAAAAAAAAAGGGTCCTGATTTTGACTATAAATTATAGGGTCGCTCTGTCTTGAGCTTCAACACAGACTCCCGCATCCACCACTCCCCAGAAACTCTTCTCACTGATGACCCTCCTGCATCCGGTTCCAAGGTCAGTCTCTCCGTCCCAGTCCTCTCCATGGCATCTGACCCGCCGGATCCCTCCTGCTCCGGGGAGCTCTGTCCTCAGACCATGCACTTCCCTCCAACCTGTCTGGGACATCCTTCAGTCTTCCCTTCTCTCCATTGCTGGCCAAGGGCTGAGTCCTCCAGCCTCCTCCCTCCTCCACCCACACCCCTCCCCAGCGGGCTCCAAACCCCGTCTACAGCCAGCATCGCCTACAGTCTCATCTCCAGCCTGAGTCTCCCTTGAAGTCCAGACTCTGTTCAGCAGCCCCTGATGTCTCCACATGGGGGGCTCATGGGGTCTCACATTCAACGCAGTCACATTGGGCCCCACTGGACCCCCAAACCATTCCTCCCATGTCCACCACCTAGGCTGAGGGCAGGTCCGTCCTTCCAGGGACTCAACCAGAACCTGGGAGTCACCCTGGGCCTCTACTCTCCCACCCATATCCAATCACTCAGTAAATTTGATTAACACTGCTTTCAAAATGCACCTAGATAGGCCGGGCGCGGTGGCTCACGCCTGTAATCCCAGCACTGTGGGAGGCCCAGGCGGGCAGATCACCTGAGGTCAGGAGTTCGAGACCAGCCTGACCTACATGGAGAAACCCTGTCTCTACTAAAAATACATAGCTGGCCGTGGTGGCATGTGCCTGTAATCCCAGCTACTCGGGAGGCCGACACAGGAGAACTGATTGAACCGAGGAGGCAGAGGTTGCGGTGAGCCAAGATCACGCCATTGCACTCCAGACTGGGCAACAAGAGTGAAACTCCTTCTCAAAAAAACAAAAATGCACCTAGAATCTAATCACTGCTTTCCCACTCAGTGCCTGTTCCCTGGTCCAGCCTCCAGCACAGCTCACCTGAGCCAACACACAGTCACCCCTACCTGGACCCCAGTTCCTGCCCTCACCCCCCACAGGCTGTCTCCCCACCAGCAGCCACCAGAGGGTGCTTTTGAGCACCTGAGTCACTTCCTATCCCTCCTCTGCTCACAACCCTCCATGGCTCCCACCTCTCTCAGGGTCAAAGCCCAAGGCCTCCCCATGTCTCACCAGGTCTGGCATGACCTGCCCCATCCCCTCCCTGCCCTCTCCTCTTCCCTTTCTCCCCATTGCTCACTCTGCTCCTCCTCACTGTTCCTCCAACACACCAGGTGAAGTCCTGCCGCAGGGCCTTTGCACAGGCTGTGCCCTCTGGTGGACCCAGGTATTTCCAAGGCTCACTCCCTCTCTTCCTTCAAACCTTGGTTCCAAGGTTACCTCCTCAGAGGGCCTTTCCTGCCTGAGCCTGGCTAAGTGGTAGCCAGTCCTACCTGGCCTTGGAACTCACAAACTTGGTACCTATCATTTATACATGTCCTTCCAGGGCGGCGCAGTGGCTCACGCCTGCAGTCCCAGTACTTTGGGAGGCTGAGGGTGGCAGATAGCTTGAGGCCTGGAGTTCAAGACCAGCCTAACCAACACACTGAAACCCTGCCTCTACAAAAAAAAAAAAAAATACAAAAATTGGCCAGGCATGGTGGTGCATGCCTGTAATCCCAGCTACTTGGGAGGCTGAGGCAGGAGAATCTCTTGAACCTGGGAGGGGGAGGTTTCAGTGAGCTGAGATCATGCCACTGCACTCCGGCCTGGGTGACAGAGCAAGACTCTCTCTCAAAAAAATAAAAATAAAGATGTCCTCCCAATGGCTTTTTAGTCTCTGAAATAATCACATTTGTAGATCTGTTTGCTAATTTTGCCTCCATTTCCCTAGCCAGGCTATGAGCTTCACTAGCAGTATTTTTTGTTATTTATTTTAGTCCATTTTGTTTCCTATTGTGTCACTAAGTCTCAGTAAACATTTGTTGAAATTATGAACAAATGCACAGCCGGCCAAAGGAGAGAAAAGGCCTGGGGTTTGGAGATGGTAGTGAAGTAATACAGGTGGACTTCCTGGTGGAGGGGGCGAACCTGGGAGAACATGTTACCTCCCCCAGAAGCCCCATCAAGGCCTGAGAACTCATTAATCTGCCAAAACCCAACCAACCAAACAAACAAACCAAACACTCCTTTAAAACTTTTTCTTGGGGCCGGGCGCGGTGGCTCATGCCTGTAATCCCAGCACTTTGGGAAGCCAAGGTGGGCGGATCACTTGAGGTGAGGAATTTGAAACCCACCTGGCCAACGTGGTAAAACCCCCTCCTCTACCAAAAATACGCCAATTAGTCAGTCGTGGTGGCGCGCGCCGGTAATCCCAGCTACTTGGGAAGCTGAGGCAGGAGAATCGCTTGAACCAGGGAGGCGGAGGTTGCAGTGAGCCGAGATCGCGCCATTGCACGCCAGCCTGGGCCACAGCGTGAGACTCTGCCTCAAAATAAAATAAATCAGCCGGGCGCGGTGGCTCAGGCCTGTAATCCCAGCACTTTGGGTGGCCGAGGCAGGCGGATCACGAGGTCAGGAGATCGAGACTATCCTGACTAACACGGTGAAACCCCGTCTCTACTAAAAATACAAAAAATTAGCCGGCTGTGGTGGCCGCGCCTGTAGTCCCAGCTACTCGGGAGGCTGAGGCAGGAGAATGGCGCGAACCCAGGAGGCAGAGCTTGCAGTGAGCCGAGATCCCGCCACTGCACTCCAGCCTGGGCGACAGAGCGAGACTCCGTCTCAAAAAATAAAAATAAATAAAAATAAAATAAAATGGTTTCTTGGGTCCTTGAAGCTCTCTCAGGGCAGCCAACATGCTGTGCGACTCCTGGCAAGTTACACCATTCAGTGCCTATTTGCCTGCCTGAAGTCAGGTAGATGTTTCAGAGGTGGCTACTTCACAGAGGCGGCTTGTTTAAAAGGAACAATAGTTCCCTCTTTCCACTAGGTGTCAGCAGAAGCACAGCTGGCCTCACTCGGCATCTCTCCACCCCTACCCCCGTAACCACCCCCGTCCCATCCTCTCCATCTCCACTCCGGGCCCCAGACCTCAGCATCTCAAATTCAGACACTTCCCTCCCTCAGTAGACACCCTTGTATTTGCAGACAAATTCCTGTCCCCAGGCAGGCCTTCGCAGCAGGCATGGTTGGTGGCCTGTCCTACCTGGTGTCCGATCACACCAGGAAACTTCAGCAAGGGCTGCAGAGAAGAGGAAAGAGCAATAAAAGAAGGAAGGTACCTAGGGCCTGGGTGCGGTGGCTCATGCCTGTAATCCTAGCACTTTGGGAGGCTGAGGCGGGTGGATCGCTTGAAGTCAGGAGTTCAAGACCAGCCTGGCTAACATGGCGAAACCCCGTATCTATTAAATTACAAAATCAGCTGGGTGTGATTGTTCACGCCTGTAATCCCAGCTACTTGGGAGGCTGAGGCAGGAGAATCACTTGAACCTGGGAGGCCGAGGTTACAGTGAGCCGAGATCGTGCCACTGCACTCCAGCCTGGGCGACGAGAGCGAGACTCCATCTCAAAAAAGAAGGAAAGTACATAGGGATTCAATGTTTCCAGCCAGGAAACATTTCATACAAATGTTTGTGTTCAAGAATAACTTTGCATGGAATAGCGGAAATCTGTATTGAAAATTGTTCTAAGAAAATGTCACTTTTTGCCTAGGTACAGTGGCTTACACCTGTATTCTCAGTACTTTGGGAGGCTGAGATGGGAGGATCACTTGAGCCCAGGAGTTCAAGACCAGTCTGGATAACATAGTGAGACCCCCGTCTTAGCAAAAACAAAACAAAACAAAACAAGACAAAACAAAAAAAACCTTAGCTGGGCATGGTGGTGAGTGTCTATAGTCCCCACTACACAGGAGGCTGAGGTGGGAGGATTGATTGAGCCTGGAAGTTTGAGGCTGAAAATGAGCTATAATTGAATCACTGCATCCCAGCCTGGGCAACAGAGTTAGATCCCACAGAAGGAAAGAAAGAGAGAGGGAGAGAGAAAGAGAGAGAAAGGAAAAGAAAGAGAGAGAGAAAGAGAAAGAAAGAAAGAGAGAGAAAGGGAAAGAGAGAAAGAGAAAGAAAGAGAGAGAAAGGGAAAGAAAGAGAAAAGGAAAGAAAGAGAGAGAAAGGGAAAGAAAGAGAGAAAGGGAAAGAGAAAGAAAGAGAAAGGGAGAGAGAGAGAAAGAGAAAGAAAGAAAGGAAGAAAGAAAAGAAAGAAAGAAAGAGAGAGAGAAAGAAAGAAAAGAAAAGAAAAGAATGGTTACACTTTAAACTCATTTAGTTCCCCCAACAACCCCATTATGCAGGTGCTATCCAGAATCATCATTGCCCTTTTAATGGGTGAGAAGACAGAGGGACAGGGAGGTTAATTTAACCTGCTCAGGGAGCGACAGAGAGGTTAAGTAACTCAACCAAGGTCACCCAGATCATGAGTAGCAGTATTGGGATTCAAAGCCAGGTGGTCAGGCTCCAAAGTCCATGGTGCATGATGAGACTGCATTCAACACAGATGAATTTCAAGGTAATCAAAGTAATTAAAAATAAAATAAGATATAATAAAAGACCATTGAATTGAACCAGCCAGTAGAAGAACCAGCCTGGACCTTAAAAGGGTCATGGGGCCAGGCACAGTGGCTCACACGTGTAATCCTAGTACTTTGGGAGGCTGAGGAGGGAAGATCGCTTGAGGCCAGGAGTTTAAGACCAGCCTGGGCAACAGGGTAAGACCCTGTCACTACCAAAAATACAAAAATTAGCCCGTCATCGTGGCATGTACCTGTAGTTCCAGTTACTCAGGAGGCTGAGGTGGAAGGACCGCTTAAGTCCAGGAGGCTGAGGCTGCAGTGAGCTATGATTGCACCACTACTGCACTCCAGCCTGGGTGGCAGAGTGAGACCCTGTCTCAAAAAAATAAAGTGGGGGGCTGGGTGCCGGTCATGGTGGCTCACACCTGTAATCCCAGCACTTTGGGAGGCTGAGGCAGGCAGATCACCTAAGGCCAGGAGTTCAAGACCAGCCTGGTCAACATGGTGAAACCCCATATCTACTAAAAATACAAAAATTAGCTGGACGTGGTAGCACACGCCTGTAGTCCCAGCTACTCAGGAGGCTGAGGTAGGAGAATAGCTTGAACCTGGGAGGTGGAGGTTGCAGTGAGCCAAGATCACACCACTGCACTCCAGCCTGGGTGACAGAGCGAAACCCTGTCTCAAAAAAAAAAAAAAAAAGGAACAAAGAGAGAAAGAAACAGAGAGAGAAAGAGAATGAAAGGGAGGAGAGAGGGAGTGAGAGAAATAGAGAGAAAGACAGCGATTCCAGAAACCATCTCACTCACTTCTCGCCCTCCCTGGCCTCTTCAACAGTAGTATTTCAACTGAGTGGAATGTTTGCCTTTGAAAAAAAAATACATTTAAATTAAATGAGCTGGGCAAGGTGGCTCACGCCTGTAATCCCAGCACTTTGGAAGGCCATGGCGGGTGGATCACCCGAGGTTGAGAGTTCAAGACTAGCCTGACCAACATGGAGAAATCCCATCTCTACTAAAAATACAAAATTAGCCAGGCCTGGTGACACATGCATGTAATCCCCGCTGCTCCGGAGGCTGAGGCAGGAGAATCGCTTGAACCCGGGAGGCAGAGGTTGCGGTGAGCCGAGATTGCAGCATTGCACTCCAGCCTGGGCGACAAGAGTGAAACTCTGTCTCAGAAAAAAAAAAAAAAATTAAATATTTATTCCCTCAGCATCATATCTACAATAATCCCATTTATTCTCAATGCCACAGTGGCAATTCTTCGATGGATCGGCCAGGGAGATTTGAAGTACCCGGGAAGCCCTCATTGTACTACATCTTTGTAATTTTCATTGATTTATGAAACGATGCCTGTTGTCTGCAGCCCCTGCTAACACGGTCCTCTAAGATTACTGCCATTTGGGGGTGTTTAAATCTATCATACATGGTACTATAATAACTACAACCTTAACAGCAGATAACATTTCTCAAAGCCCCCCAAGCACTAAAGAATTTAATCTGGCCGGGCGCGGTGGCTCACGCCTGTAATCCCAGCACTTTGGGAGGCTGAGGCGGGTGGATCATGAGGTCAGGAGATCGAGACCATCCTGGCTAACACAGCGAAACCCCGACTCTACTAAACATACAAAAAAATTTAGCCAGGCGTGGTGGTGGGCACCTGTAGTCCCAGCTACTCGGGAGGCTGAGGCAGGAGAATGGTGTGAACCCGGGAGGTGGAGCTTGCAGTGAGCCGAGATGGTGCCACTGCACTCCCGCCCGGGCAACAGAGTGAGACTCCATCTCAAAAAAAAAAAGAAAAAAGAATTTAATCCTCGGCAACCACCCTATGAGGTGTGATTAATATTATTGTTTGTTTGTTTGGGTTTTTTTTTTTTTCTTTTTCTTTTTATACACAGGGTCTTGCTCTGTCGCCCAGAATGGAGTGCAGTGGTGTGATCGTGGCTCACAGTAGCCTGGAACTCCTGGGCTCAAGTGATCTTCATGCTTCAATCTCCTGAGTAGCTGGGAGCAGAGACACATGCCCCAATCACTGAAATTTGCCCCAAATCACTCATATAGGGGCAGGGTCAAAACACAAACCTGTTTCTCTATGAGGGCTGTGTCCTGTGTCCACATTATCACTTAATATCAGTGAGTTTCACCTGGGGGTGATTCTGTCCCCCCACAGGGGACACTTGGCCATGTCTGGGGACATTTGTGGTGGGTGCCCCTGGCATGGAGTGTGTGGAGTCCAGGGATGCTGCTCAGCATCCTGCACTGTCCAGGGCAGCCCCCACCCCACAGGATGGCCCAGGCCTAAATGTCCACACTGCCAAGGGGGAGAGAGCCTGGCCTGGCCCTCAGCTCCCCTCCAGCGGCCCCTAGCCCCTATGACCCACCATGGGTGGTGAGGCTTCCCTGTGTTGCTGGCCTTGCAGGCTGCACCCCTGTGGTTGGTTTCCCTTAGCTCTCCCCACATTCCTATAGGTGGAACTCCTTTCTGGTACCCAGTCTGGAACAGACCAGCCTCGTTCCGCCGTCCCCCTTTGGGAGGCCAAGGCAGGAGGATCCTTTGAGCCCAAGAGGTTGTGGCTGCAGTGAGCTGTGTTTGTGCCACTGTACTCCACCCTGGGCAACAGAGCAAGACTCTGTCTCTAAAATAAGTTTTAAAAATATAAACCACTAAGGCCAGGTGTGGTGGCTCACGCCTGTAATCCCAGCACTTTGGGAGGCCGAGGTGGGTGGATCGCTTGAGGTCAGGAGTTTGAGACCAGCCTGGCCAACACGGTGAAACCCTGTCTCTACTAAAAATACAAAATTTAGCCAGGCGTGGTGTCACACGCCTGTAGTCCCAGCTACTTGCGAGGCTGAGACAGGAGAATGGCTTGAACCTGGGAAGCAGAGGTTGCAGTGAGCCGAGATTGCTCCATTGCAATCCAGCCTGGGCAACAAAGCAAGACTCCATCTCAAAAAAAAAAAAAAAAAAAAATATATATATATATATATATATATATATATACACACACACATATACATATATATATACATATATATACACATATACATATATATACATATATACACATATACATATATATACACATATATATATACACACATACATATATACACACACATATATATATATATATATATACACACACACCATCGGCTAGGCATGGTGGCTTACACTTATAGCTCCAGCACTTTGGGAGGCCAAGGCAGGAGGATGTCTAGAGCCCAGGAGTTAAGATCAGCCTGGCATCACAGTGAGACCAATCTCTACAAAAAATTCACTGGCATAGTGGCGTTCGCTTGCGGTCCCAGCTACTTGGGAGGCTGAGGCGGGAGGATGGCTTGAGCCCAGGAGTATGAGACCAGCCTGGGCAACATAGCAAGGCCCGGTGCTCTACAAATAATAAAAAAATGAGACAGGCATGGTGGCACACACCTGTGGTCCTAGCCACTTGGGAGGCTGAGGCAGGACGATCACTTGATCCCAGGAGGTTGAGGCTGCAGTGAGCTTTGATCGCACCACTGCACTCCAGCCTGGGAACAGAGCAAGACCCTGTCCCTAAAAAAAAAAAAAAGAAAATAAAAAAAAAAAGAGAGAGACAGAGAGAGAATGACAGGGAGGGGATAGCCAAGGAAGGGGTGAGGCCAGAGGTGTCTCCAGTTAAAACAGGGGCAGTAGTCTGATTTGCAGATGCCACCATGGTGCAGCTGGGCATGCAATCCCCTGGCAGGGTTCAATGCTATGCCCATTTCCTAGAAGGCAAAACTGATACTCTGAGGGCAGAGCTGTTCTATTCTTTCCTTCCTTCCCCTAGCTGGGGGGAAGGGAGGGCTCCCCAGAGGAGAGGAGAGCTGGGTGGCAGGGGTGGGGGTGGGAGAGATAGCTGATTAGGGGCCCGTTTATTAGCTGTAATTGCTGTCTCCTGGGCTGAATTAGACGAAATTACAGCCGCTGGCCCTTCAGGATGTCGAGCTCTCGGCATTGTCTGTGGAAGCAATCCAACGGCGGAGGGGAGTGGAGAGGGGGATGGGGGGTGCCTCTTGACAATAGAGCCCCCGAATTAGCCAGGCAGGGAGGCGGGGAAGCTGCGGCCTGACCACCCCCTCCCCACCACCCTAAAGAGCTGTCAGAGTCTCAATGAATTCAGCTCCACGAAGGCCAATTAAAGATAGCAGGGGGCCCAGTGGGCTGGGACAGGAGGTGGGAGAAGAGGGGGGAGGGGGACCACATGAACCAGGGTAGGGAGGTGCCAGCGAGGGGTGCCCAGGTCCACAGAGATCTGTGTGGAGAGACAGGCTGTGGGGGCATCGTGGACCCCCCAAATATTGAAGGGGGTGGGGTTCTATTCTTCCTCCTCACACTACCCTTTGCCCCCCATGCCTGATTAGAAAGATGGGGTTGCCCTGGAAGAGCAAGAGGAGCCCCCCAGGAGAAGAAGAGACAGTGGGACCCACCCAGCAAGCACTCCTCCTACCTCTCCCGTGGCCCTTGGCTGGTGTTCCTTGGTCAACAAGCATCAGCTGTTCTGTCCCTCTGTTAGCCACTGCTCACGGGGCCACTTCCAGTAGCATCCTGAGGGAAGGCCAGCCACACCTCTTGGAAGCCCTCCAGGATTGCCTAAGGCCTCACCACAGAGAGTCTCCAATCCCCAGGCACCCTCCCTTCCCCATCTCCTCTCTAATCTAACCCCCGCTCCCCGTCTTCCAAGGAACTCCCCCTCCTCTGTGAGCCCCACCTCTAGACCTCCTCCCTTTCTTGTTCTTTCTTTTTTGAGATGGAGTCCCACTCTGTCTCCAGGCTGGTGTGCAGTGGTGTGGTCTTGGCTCACTGTGACCTCCACCTCCTGGGTTCAAGCGATTCTCCTGCCTCAGCCTCCCGAGTAGCTGGGATTACAGGCGCCCGCCAGCACGCCTGGCTAATTTTTTCTATTTTTAGTAAAGACGGGGTTTCACCGTGTTAGCCAGGATGGTCTCGATCTCCCGACCTCACGATCTGCCCGCTGCAGCCTCCTAAAGTGCTGGGATTACAGGTGTGAGCCACTGCGCCCGGCCAGTCTCTACTAAAAGTTTAAAAATTATCTGGGCATGCTGGGCACGGTGGCTCATGCATGTAATCCCAGCACTTTGGGAGGCCGAGGCAGGCGGATCACTTGAGGTCAGGAGTTCGAGACCAAGCTAGCCATCATGGTGAAACCCCATTTCTACTACAAATACAAAAATTAGCCGGGCGTGGTGGCATGCACCTGCAATCCCAGCTACTCGGGAGGCTGAGGCACGAAAATCGCTTGAAACTGGGAGGGGGAGGTTGCAGTGAGCCGATATTGTGCCACTGCACTCCAGCCTGGGCGACAGAGTGAGACTTCCTCACAAACAAACAAACAAACAAATAAAACCTCTGGACCCCAAAGCTTGGTGGAGCTTCCTGATTGGTGAACATATTGATGTTCTTCCAGGAGAGGAGACACACTCTAATGCCTCAAGAAGAGGACATGGGGCCGGGCACGGTGGCTCACACCTATAATCCCAGCACACTGGGAGGCTGAGGTGGGAGGATCACTTGAGCTCAGGTGTTCGAGACCAGCCTGGCCAACATGGTGAAACCCCATCTCTACTAAAAATACAAAAATTAGCTGGGTGTGGTGGCGGGCAACTGTAGTCCAAGCTCTGGCGGCTGAGGCAGGAGAATCACTTGAACCTGTGAGGTGGAACGCTGTGAGTCAAAATCACACCACTGCACTCCAGCCTGGGCAACAGAGAGAGACTCCACCTCAAAAAAAAAAAAAAAAGACATGGAAGCTCTTTTGGGGACCCTCCCAGACTTTGTCCTATGTGTCTCTTTGTTTGGCTGTTTCTGACTTGTTTTGTTACTTTTTAAATGTTTTTTTAGAGACATGATCTCACTTCGTTGCCCAGGCTGGAGTGAAGTGGTGAGATCATAACTCACTGTAGTCTTGACCTCCTGGCCTCAAGAGATCCTCCTGCCTCACACTCCTGAGGAGCTGGGACTACAGGTGCATGCTATCATCGCTGGCTAATTTTTTTTTTTAATTTTTTGCAGAGATGGGGTCTCACTATGTTGCCCAGGGTGGTCTTGAACTCCTGAGCTCAAGGTATCTTCACTCCTCAGCCTCCCAAAGCGCTAGGATTGCAGGCGTGAGCCACTGTGACTGGCCTCTGACTTGTGGGGTTTTTTGCTTATTTGTTTTTTGTTTTTGAGACGGAGTCTCACTCTGTCACCCAGGCTAGAGTGCAGTGGCGCGATCTCGGCTCACTGCAACCTCCGCCTCCCAGGTTCAAGCGATTCTCCTGCCTCAGCCTCCTGAGTAGCTGGGACTACAGGCGCCCACCACTATGCTTGGCTAATTTTTTGTATTTTTAGTAGAGACGGGATTTCACCATGTTAGCCAGGATGGTCTCGATCTCCTGACCTAGTGATCCGCCCGCCTCGGCCTCCCAAAGTGCTGGGATTACAGGCGTGAGCCACCGTGCCAGGCCTGACTTGTGTTTTTAATTAAAAAAATTCTTTCCGAGACAGGGTCTCACTCTGTTGCCCAAGCTGCAGTGTAGTGATGCAATCATGGCTCACTGCAGCCTCAACCTCCCAGGATCAAGTGATCCTCCTGCCTCAACCTCCCAACTACCTGGGACTACAGGTGCACAGCACCACACACAGCTAATTTTTGTTTTTTTTTTTTAGAGGTGGAGTTTTGCTACGTTGCCCAGGCTGGTCTCAAATTCCTGGGTTCAGTCCTCCTGCCTCGGCCTCCCAAAGTCCTGGGATTACAGGCATGAGCCATTGCTCCTGGTGACGAGGACAGCCTTGTTAGGGACTGTGCCCATAACTTGAGTCTGTTATAACCCCAGGCGGTTAATGTCAGAATTGCATTGTAGAGCCTGGGTAATGTGGCAAAATCCTGTCTTTACAAAACATCAAAAAATTGGCCCGGCACAGTGGCTCATGCCTGCAATACCAACACTTTGAGAGGCCGAGGTGGGCAGGGCACGAGTTTGAGACCAGCCTGGCCAACATGGTGAAACCCCGTCTCTACTAAAAATACAAAAATTAGCCGGGTGTGGTGGCGAGCACCTGTAGTTCCAGCTACTCGGGAGGCTGAGGCAGAAGAATCGCTTGAACCTGGGAGGTGGAGGTTGCAGTGAGCCAAGACCATGCCATTGCACTCCAGCTTGGGCGACAGAGTGAGACTCTGTCTTAAAAATAAATAAATAAGTAAATAAAATTAAAAAGGAAAAGAAAATAATGTATTTTATTTATTATTATTATTATTATTATTATTTTTATTCTTCTTATTATTTTTTTGGAGATAGAATCTCACTCTATACCCCAGGCTGGAGTGCAGTGGCATGATCTCAGCTCACTGCAACCTCCAGCTCCCGGGTTCAAGTGATTCTACTGCCTCAGCCTCCAGAGTAGCTGCGATTACAGACGCCCACCACCATGCCTGGCTAATTTTTGTATTGTTAGTAGAGATGGGGTTTTGCCATGTTGGCCAGGCTGGTCAAGAATATATTCCATTTATTTTATATTATATATAGTACATATGTAGAGTATTAGCTAGAGTATTCTATAATGTATAGTAATATGTATCTATTGTCTATCATATAAATCACATATACTCACACCAAGAGTGTATCTTTTATTTTTTATTTTTGTGATGGGTCTTGCTCTGTTGCCCAGGCTGGAGTGCAGTGGCGCAATCATAGCTCACTGCAACCTTGAACTCCTGGGCTCAAGCAATTTGCCTGCCTTGGCCTCCCAAAGGGCTAGGATGACAGGCGTGAGCCACCACGCCCGGCCTCTGAGTGCCTCTGTGTTGTGTGTGAAGCCCAGTTTGCTGGAATGTTCTGGTGTTACAACTGTTCCAGCCTGACCGTGTGTGGCAGTGGGAGTGTATGTCATGATCTGCGCTTCTGTGACTGTGTTTCGTGGCTACATTTGTGTGTGTGTGTGGGCATGTTCGTGGGCATGTGGAGGTACGTTCGTGTCCCCTGTGTGGTTGTACTTGTAACCCTGCGTGTGTGTCTGTGTGTGTGTGAACCCGTGACCATCTGAAAGTGCACGGCCGAGCTTGTGGCTGGGGTGTGTCGGGCCTCTGTGCTCCGAATCCTGTCCCGAGGCTGTTGCACGTGGCCTTGGGCGTCCTCCAGAGAGACAGTCATGCTCCACGGCCACGTGCGTGCGTGTGTGTGTGTGTGTGTGTGTGTGTGTGTGTGTGGCTCTGGCACATGCCTGTGTGACCCTGCAGGGCTGTGTCCAGGGGACCTAGGGGGACAGGAGAGAGCTCAGGGGCTGTCTGAGCCGTAGGGGGTGTCTGTGATTTTCAGTGTGTGTGGCCCTGTGGTGACTCTGAGTGGCAGGTACATGTGCATTTAGAAGAAGCCCCTGGGGCCCAGCCTCCCCCAGCCCCCAGCCAGCCTGGTGCATGTTCTCAGGACACACCCAGGCCTGAAGAGCTCATAAGTGGAGATGAGTCCCCACCAGCCTTGCAGTCCTCCGTTCCCTCTCCTCCTCTCCTTTCCTCCCCCTTTCTCCCCTCCTCTCCCCCTTGGTCCCCTCTCCCTGCCGAGTACAAGGGGAGAAGCAGCCTCTGCCATCAGCTGGAACACGCTTAAGTGGCCCATTTCCTGGGAGGCTGGGTGGCCTCACCAGCCATTAGGGTAATGAGCCGCATGCTGTCCCCCATCCAGCGCCCTGGTAACCAAGGAGGGGGGCATTGCTCGCTCTGCAGGGCTGCGTTTTCCTCCTCCTGGCAGGGATAGGGATGGGGAGCAGGGAGGGAGGGCCCTGCAGACACAGACCAAGGCCAGAGGGGAGGGACACAGCAGAGATTCACATACAGGTCGGTTGGAGGCAGGAAGGGAACAAGAGACAGAGAGGAGAGGGAGAGACAGAGCCAGAGATAGACTGAGAGCGAAAATGGGGTGGAGACAGAGATAGAGAGAGACTAACGACCAGGCAAGGAGGAGGAAGACAGGGAAATGAGAGAGAAGATGTTTGGGGGGTGGGAGAGAGAAACAGGCAGAGAGACAGACAGGAAAAGAACCAGACAGGTGCAGACTCACAGATCACCAGGGAGATGGCCAGGGACAACCGAGGCAGGAAGAGAGACAGGGAGGCAGCAGGGGCAGGCAGGAGGGAGAGAGAGAAAGAAAGAGAGAGCGAATCCAAAAAAGAGACAGAGACAAAAAAGGGACAGAGAGAGAGATAAAAAAGAGACAGAGGTATGGTGACTTATGTCTGGAATCCCAGCACTTTGGGAGGCCAAGGTGGGTGGACCATTTGAGCCTATGAGCTTGAGACCAGCCTGGGCAACATAGGGAGACCCTGTCTCTACCAAAAATTTTAAAAAGTAGTCAGGCCGGGCACGGTGGCTCACACCTGTAATCCCAGCACTTCGGAGGCCGAGGTGGGCAGATCACCTGAGGTCAGGCATTCAAGACCAGCCTGCGGCCAAGTGCGGTGGCTCATGCCTATAATCTGAGCACTTTGGGAGGCTGAGGCAGGTGGATCACGGGGTCAAGAGATTGAGACCATCCTGGCCAACATGGTTAAACCCCGTCTCTCCTAAAAATACAAAAAAATTAGCTGGGCATGGTGGCACGCGCCTGTAGTCCCAGCTACTCAGGAGGCTGAGGCAGGAGAATTGCTTGAACCCGGGAGGCAGAGGTTGTAGTGAGCCAAGATCGCGCCACTGCACTCCAGCCTGACGACACAGCGAGACTCTGCCTAAAAAAAAAAAAAAAAAAAAAAAAGGCCGGGAGTGGTGGCTCATGCCTGTAACCCCAGCACTTTGGGAGGCCGAGGCGGGCACATCATGAGGTCAGGAGATCGAGACTATCCTGGCTAACAAGGTGAAACCCCGTCTCTACTAAAAAATACAAAAAATGAGCCGGGCGTGGTGGCGGGCACCTGTAGTCCCAGCTACTCGGGAGGCTGAGGCAGGAGAATGGCGTGAACCCGGGAGGCGGAGCTTGCAGTGAGCTGAGACTGCACCAAGGCACTCTAGCCTGGGTGACAGAGTGAGACTCCATCTCAAAAAACAAACAAACAAACAAACAAACAAAAAAACCAGCCTGGCCAACATGGTGAAACCCCATCTCTACTAAAAATACAAAAATCAGCTGGGCATGGTGGCAGGTGCCTGTAATCCCAGCTAAGGAGGTCAGGAGTTTGGGACCAGCCTGGCCAACATGGTGAAACCCCATTTCTACTAAAAATACAAAAATTAGGCCGGGCACGGGAGGCTAAGACAGGAGAATCGCTTGAACCCGGGAGGTGGAGGTTGCAGTGAGCCAAGAAGGTGCCACTGCACTCCAGCCTGGGCAACAAAAGCAAGTCTGTCTGAAAGAGAAAAAAAAAAGAGTCAAGGTCCATGTTACAGTCAGCCTGGTATATTTATACATCAGCACAGCAAAGCCACACTGTGACCCACATATTTGGACACAAATGCCATCCTCCTTACAGGGGAGTACAACATTGCACCCCTCCTTTTCTCTCCAACCCTTCTCATAGCTTGGTCTTCCCAGGCCCAGTGACATCTCAAGGCTCTGTCTCTCGACGATCTCGCAGATGACTCATTTTTTGTTCCTGTTCTAGCAGCAATCCTGCACACAGAGTAATAGCCTTCCATTCCCTCCCACGCCTGTCCCTCCTCTCTGCCCTCACTCCAGCCTCCTGATTTCATTTTTCTTTGGATATATTCCCAGAAGTGAGATTGCCAGATCATATGGTAATTCTAGTTTTAACTTCTTGAGGGAGAAACCTCCTTACCATTTCCCATAATGGCTATCACAATTTCCATTTTCACCAACAGAGCAAAAGGGTTCCCTTTTCTCCACATCCTCACCAATGCTTGTGATGTCTTGTCTTTTTGATAACACCACTCTAACGGGTATAACGTGGTGTGTCCTTGAGACTTTTTCTTTTTTTTTTTGAGATGGAGTCTCACTCTGTCACGCAGGCTGGAGTGCCGTGGCGCAATCTCGGCTCACTGCAACCTCCACCTCCTGGGTTCAAGCGATTGTCCTGCCTCAGCCTCCCCAGTAGCTGGGACTATAGGTGGGAGCCACCACACCCAGCTAATTTTTGTATTTTTAGTAGAGATAGGGTTTCACCATCTTGGCCAGGCTGGTCTTGAACTCCTGACCTCGCGATCCACCTGCCTCGGCCTTTCAAAGTGCTGGGATTACAGGCGTGAGACACCGCACCTGGCCTAATTTTTGTATTTTTAGTAGAAATGGGGTTTCACCATGTTGGCCAGTCTGGTCCCGAACTCCTGACCTCAAGTGATCTGCCGCCTGCCTCAGCCTCCCAAAGCTCTGAGATTACAAGTGTGAGCCACTGCGCCTGCCCCACCCCCCTTTTTTTGAGACAGAGTCTCACTCTGACACTCAGGCTGGAGTACAATGGCATGATCTTCGCTCATTGCAACGTCGAACTCCCAGGCTCAGGTGATCCTCCCCACTCAGCGTCCCAGGTTGCTGGGACTGTAGGCACGTGCCACCATGCCTAGCTACTTTTTTTTTGGTTTGGTTTCTTTTTTTTTTTTTTTGTAGAGATGAGGTTTTGCCATGTTGCCCAGGCTGGTCTCAAACTCCTGGGCTCAAGCAATCCTCCTCCCTCAGCCCCTCAAAGTGCCAGGATTACAGGCATGAGCCACTGCGTCCTGCCAGATGACCACCCCTTTGAAGTAATTTGTTTCTAAAAATGGCTGCAATTGTTTCCATCCTCTTATTTTTTTTTTTTTTTTTTGAGACAGAGTGTCGCTGTGTCACCCAGGCTGGAGTGCAGTGGCATGATATCGGGTCACAGCAACCTCCGCCTCGCAGGGTCAAGCGATTCTCCTGCCTTAGACTCCCAAGTAGCTGGGACAATAGGCGCCTGCCACTACACCTGGCTAATTTTTGTATTTTTAGCAGCCTTAAAGCCTGGACAGGCTTGGATGGCTTCAACCAACACGATATTGTGGAAGTGGTGCTGTGGGATTTCCCAGGCTAGATCGGAAAAGATCAGCAGCTTCTTGTTTACTGGACACTGGTTTTCAGAGCTCAGAGGCAGCCGGGCGTGGTGGCTCACGCCTGTAATCCTAACACTTTGGGAGGCCGAGGCGGGTGGATCATGAGGTCAGGAGTTCAAGACCAGCCTGGCCAAGATGGTGAAACCCTGTCTCTACTAAAAATACAAAAATTAGCTGGGCACGGTGGCTCACGCCTGTAATCGTAGCACTTTGGGAGGCCAAGGCGGGTGGATTGTCTGAGCTCAGGAGTTCGAGACCAGCCTGGGCAACATAGTGAAACCCCATCTCTACTAAAATACAAAAAATTAGCCGGGTATGGTGGCATGCACCTGTAGTCCCAGCTACTTGGGAGCCTGAGGCAGGAGAATTGCTTGAACCTGGGAGGCAGAGGTTGCAGTGAGCCGAGATCGTGCCACTGCACTCCAGCCTGGGGGATAGAGCGAGACTCCATCTCAAAAACAAAACAAAACAAAAATTAGCTCAGCATGGTGGTGGCGCCTGTAATCCCAGCTACTTGGGAGGCTGAGGCAGAGAATTGATTGAACCTGGGAGGTGGAAGTTGCAGTGAGCTGAGATGGTGCCACCGCACTCCAGCCTGGACGACAGAGCAAGACTCCATCTCAAAATAACAACAACAAAAAACAAACAAAAACAAAACAAAACAAAAAAACACAGAGTTCAGAGGCTCAGGCCTCCTCAGACCCTTTCCCCCACAGCGTCTCCACCTCCTGGTTGGGCCTGACTGCTGTTTCTCCTCTCCTTGTCCTCATGTCTCTGTCTCTGGTGGGGTTTTGGACTCTTGTTTCTTTCCGAGGTGGATTTCTGTGGTTCTCTTGGTGCCTTCTGTCTGGGGGTCAGGATCAAGCTCTCTCTGGGTCTCTCCCTGTCTCTGCTCTGTGTTTCTCTGTGTCTCTGTTTCTGTTTGCTTTGGGGTCTTTTGCTCTGTGTCTCTGATGCTCTCTGTCTCTGTCTCTCTCTGTTTCTTTGTTGTTGTTGTTATTTAGAGATGGAGTCTCGCTGTGTCACTCAGGCTGGAGTGCAGTGGCGTGGTCTCGGCTCACTGCAACCTCTGCCTCCCAGGTTCAAGTGATTGTCCTGCCCCAGCTTCCTGTAGCTATGATTATAGGCGTACACCACCACAACCAGCTAATTTTTGTGTTTTTAGTTGAGATGGGGTTTCATCGTGTTGGCCAGGCTGTTCTTGAACTCCTGGCCTTAAGTGATCCTCCCGCCTCAGCCTTTCAAAGTGCTGGGACTACAGGAGTGAGCCACTACTCCTGGCCTGGGGTGTCTTACTCTGTGTCTCTAACTGTCTGTCTCTGTCTCTCCCTGTATCTTCGTATCTCTGTTTGCATCTCTCTCTCTAGATCTCTCCATCTCTGTCCCTGTCTCTCTCCATCTCTCTGTCTCTCTGCATCTCTATGTCTCTGTCTCCATCTCTCTACATTTTTCTCTTAATCTCTGTCTCTGTCTATCTCTGTTTCTGTCTTTCTGTGTGTTTAGTCTTGCCTCTGTCTCTCTGTGTTTTCATTTCTCTTTTTCTCTCTATCTCTCTGTGGGTGTCTCTCTGTGTCTCTCCCTGTATCTCTAACTGTCTGTATGTTCAGTCTTGCCTCTGCCTGCCCTCTGCCCCACCTGGCTCTCTCTCTCTCTGCATCTCTGAGCATCTGTCTCCCTCCCCACCTCCACACCCCTTCAAATTCTCGACCCCCGGGCTTTGAGGAGGACCCCCGACAGTGGCAGATATTCAGACAACCAGACACCCTTGAGCTACTCTGCCCCTAACTCCCCAGACTGCCCCAGGAGATTCGATGCCACTGACTTTTTTGCTGCACCTCGATTAAATTTCCTCTCCTCCACCGGTGAAGCCCACACCTTTCCTAATGCAGCCTGAATCCTGGGCTGCACTCCACATTCCCAGCCTACTCCCGGGTCACCAGATGCCCGCCTGCACAATGCACCCCTGCACCTGCCTGGGTTGCCCACCTGAGCCCCGCCCCTCCCCAACACAGCGCTGGGGTCGTCATCTCCACCTGGGACGCTTGGGGGCATCAACCTGAGTTCTCAGTGAAAGTCTTATTTAAAAAGCCTTCAGTGATTTGTCTAGATTCTTCCGTTTTCTCCTGCTTGTTTTGAGAACACACACACACACACCATGTGTGAAATTCGTATTTCTTTTTCTCATCTCCAGACTTTTTAAAAACTTTCTATTTTAAAAATAATGATAGGCTGTACAGGAAGTTGCAAAAATAGCACAGCCAGCCCCTGTACCCTTCACCCCGCTTCCCCCTGGAATAGCGTCTTACATAACTCAAATAATTCTCAAAGCCGGAAGCGGCTGTGGGCGCCACACCTGCTCCCTCGTTGGCAGAGCTCCATTTCCAGATTTTTCACATTAAGCTTCCCTCTTGCACACACCCCTGAGTATGTGTACGTACACTTCTGGAGTCACACACTGCACCTGACCCACACTCACAGAGTCACATGCCTACATCCAAGCACACGAGTTGCTCACACACAGTGACGTGCACCACATATGTACAGGCAGATTCAAATACCTACAGAGGCCAGGTACAGTAGCTCATGCCTGTAATCCCAGCATTTGGGGAGGCCAAGGTGGGAGGATCACTTGAGCCAGGAGTTTGAAACCAGCCTGGACAACATGGAAAGACCCCATCTCTTTAAAAAAAAAAAAAGAAAGAAAGAAAGAAAAGAAAAAGAAAGCAGGTAGAGTGATGGGGCTCACGCCTATAATCTCAGCACTTTGGGAGGCTGAGGTGGGTGGATCACTGGAGGTCAGGAGTTCGAGACCAGCCTGGATAACATAGTGAGACTCCGTGTCTACAAAAAATAAAGAGTTAGCTGGGCGTGGTGATGCGCACCTATAGTCCTAGCTACTCAGGAGGCTGAGGCGAGAGGATCTCTTAAGCCCGGGAGGTTGAGGCTGCAGTGAGCCGTGATCACGCCACTGCATCCAACCTGGGTGATAGAGCGAGACCCTGTCTTAAAAAAAAAAAAAAAAGGTAGAGTGTGGTGCTTCACACCTGTAATCCTAGCACTTTGGGAGGCTGAGGTGGGTGGATCACTGGAGGCCAGAAGTTTGAGAACAGCCTGGCCAACATAGAGAAACCCTGTCTTTCCTAAAAATACAAAAAAATTAGCCAGGCATGGTGGTGCATGCATGTGGTCCCAGCTACTTGGGAGGCTGAGGCAGGAGGATCACTTGAATCCAGCAGGCAGAGACTACAGAGAGCCGAGATGGCACCGCTGCACTCCAGCCCGGGTGTCAGAGCCAGACCCTGTCTCAAAAAACCCCACAAAAGCCAAAAAACAAAAGACAAAAAAAAAAAAAGACTGTAGAAAAGGACAGGACACGGTCACAGCACAGATACACACACACACGCGACCAATTACATGGTGCATGGAAATGAACCCTGTTGTGCACACACAGCTCTGAATACCTTTGTTAAAGTGCCCACACACACATCACATCCATGCAGAGACCTACACGTGGGGTTGCAATGCAGATTCAAACAGCTACACAAATATGCATGCACACAGTCACACTCATGCACGCACACACACACACGCGCGCACCACCCCACGTCCACACTCACAGTCATACATGCGCGTGCACACACACACACACACACACACACACACACACGCTGCCTTGCTGGTACCGTAACCTGTGCTGGAAAAATCTGCACAGAGAATTATGAATGTCATCTGCGTCCCCGCCCCCAAGCCGTACTAGTCACCATGGTTTCAGTAGGATGCTGTCTGTATTAGGCAGTCTCTCTCTCTCTCTCTGTCTCTCTCTCTCTCTCTGTCTCTCTTTCTCTGTTTGTGCGTGTGTGAAGAAAACAGAAAACATTTGCTGCCTTGGTGTAAGTTTGTCCAGCTTTGGATCTGACAGACATAGAATATACTCAATGTTCTGGAAGGGAAGATTAACGCAGCTGTAGCAAGGCCTGCAGTGGTCACCCGTACAGAGCCCTCCCCAGCTGTGTCCTTCTTCTAGTGTAAGAGAAATAAGATGGGGGAAGATGAGGCTCAGCGCTGGTCTCCCAGGCTCCAAAGCTGGTGCTGGGGCCATGAGGCCACCCGGCCCCCTCACCCCTGTTTGTCCCTCTGAAGAACCCTGGACACTGAGTTCTTTCTTGGGCCCAGCCTCTCACCCACCCACTGCCCTTACCTCTTTTTTTTTTTTTTTTTTTTTTTTGAGACGGAGTCTCGCTCTGTCGCCCAGGCTGGAGTGCAGTGGCGCGATCTTGGCTCACTGCAAGCTCCACCTCCCGGGTTCATGCCATTCTCCTGCCTCAGCCTCCTGAGTAGCTGGGACTACAGGTGCCCACCACCACGCCCAACTAATTTTTTGTATTTCTAGTAGAGATGGGGTTTCACCGTGTTAGCCAGGATGGTCTCGGTCTCCTGACCTTGTGATCCACCTGCCTCGGCCTCCCAAAGTGCTGAGGTTACAGGGGTGAGCCACTGTGCCCGGCCTGACCCTCCCTTTTTTTTTTTTTTTTTTTTTGAGACAGGGTCTTGCTGTGTCACCCAGGCTGGAGTGCAGTGGCACGATCACAGCTCACTGCAACCTCCGCCTCCTGCCTTCAAGCAATTCTTCTGCCTCAGCCTCCGGAATAGCTGGGATTACAGGAGCCACCACGCCTGGCTAATTTTTGTAATTTTAGTAGAGACAGGGTTTTGCCATGTTGGCCAGGCTGGTCTCAAATTCCTGATCTCAGGTGATCTACCCGCTTTGGCCTCCCAAAGTGTTGGGATTGCAGGCGTGAACCACTGAGTCCAGACTCAACACATAATTTCACTTGTCTTTTTCGTATTACATGAGTACACATTCCCTGTTTAATTTTTTTTAATTTTAATTTTAATTTTTTTTGAGACAGAGTCTTTCTCTGTCTCTGGGAGCCACATTGCCCAGCCTCAATAAGTAGGTTTAAATTTTTTTTTTTCATTTTCAGAAACAGGGTCTCACTCTGTCACCCAGGCTGGACTGCAGTGACATGATCATAGCTTACTGCAGCCTCAGACTCCTGGGCTCAAGTGATCCTCCCGCCTCAGCCTCCCAAAATGCTGTGATTACCAGGCATGAGCCCAGCAATAACTATTTGTTGAATGAAAATGAATTAGACCGCTGGGCGAGGTGGCTCACACCTGTAATCCCAGCACGTTGGGAGGCCAAGGTGGGTAGATCACCTGAGGTCAGGAGTTTGAGACCACCCTGGCCAACATGGTGAAACCCTTTCTCTACTAAAAATATAAAAATTAGCTGGGCGTGATGGTATGTGTCTGTAATTCCAGCTACTCAGGAGTCTGAGGTGGGAGAATTGCTTGAACCCGGAAGGCAGAGACTGCTGTGAGCTGAGATTGTACCACTGTACTCTACCTGGGCCACAGACCAAGACTCTGACAAAAAAGAAAGAAAGAAAGAAAGTAAAGAATGAAAAGAAGAAAGAAGAAAGAAAAAAGGAAAGAAAGAAAGAAGGAAGGAAGGAAGGAAGGAAGGAAAGAAGGAAGGAAAGAAAAGAGAAAGAAAGGAAATGAGGCCGGGCACGGTGGCTCACGCCTGTAATCCCAGCACTTTGGGAGGCCGTGGCAGGCGGATCACCTGAGGTTGGGAGTTCGAGATCAGCCTGAGCAATATGAAGAAACCCCATCTCTACTAAAAATACAGAATCAGCCGGGCGTGATGGCACATGCTTGTAATCCCAGCTACTCGGGAGGCTGAGGCAGGAGAATCGCTTGAACCCAGCAGGGGGAGGTTGCAGTGAGCTGAGATCGTGCCATGCACTGCAGCCTGGGCCACAGAGCAAGACTCTGTCTCAAAAAAAAAAAAAAGAATTAGACCACTGGACAAACCCAAACCAAAAGATCATCTACAAACCCTGTCTCCTGACAAACATTCCCGGAGAGGGCACAGTCTCTACCCACCTTCCAGTTGACTACCCCTGGTGCAGACACCTTGAACCAAACTCCCTCTGTTTTTCAGCCCACGAATTGGCATCACAGGTGAGCTGGGAGACTCTGTAAGGCCATGACGGACATGGGGATTATCAGCATCCGTCCTGATCAACCAGGCCTCATTTCCAGGCCCCACACCTGCTCAGGGCCGGCAGCAGCTGAGCAGAGCTGAAACTTGAGCCCCTATACTCACAGCTTGCGACAGACGCACCCAGACCTGTGCAGACACAGCTGATGAACCAGAAACAGTCCCTGGGAAGCCCCAGCAGCCCCAGAGGCTGGCGGCATGTCTGGCCACAATTTGGGAAATATTACACTTGTGGGACCAGAGACCTTGAGCTCAAAGGGGCTTAGGATTGCAGCTTGAGACTGGGCGTGGTGGCTCACACCTGTAATCCCAGCACTTTGGGAGGCCGAGGCAGGCGGATCACTTGAGGTCGGGAGTTCAAGACCAGCCTGGCCAACATGGTGAAACCCCATCTCTACTAAAAATACAAAAACTAGTCTGGCATGGTGGCATGTGCCTACTTGGGAGGCTGAGGCAGGAGAATCGTTTAAACTCAGGAGGCAGAGGTTTCAGTGAGCTGTGATCCCGCCACTGCACTCCGGCCTGGGTGACAGAGTGAGACTTTGTCTCAAAAAGAAAAAAGAAAGGGCCGGGTGCGGTGGCTCATGCCTGGAATCCCAGCACTTTGGGAGGCCGAGGTGGGCGGATCATGAGGTCAGGAGATCGAGACCATCCTGGCTGACACGGTGAAACCCCATCTCTACTAAAAATACAAAAAATTAGCCAGGCGTGGTGGCGGGCGCCTGTAGTCCCAGCTACTGGGGAGGCTGAGGCAGGAGAATGGCATGAACCCGGGAGGTAGAGCTTGCAGTGAGCCGAGATCTAGCCACTGCACTCCAGCCTGGGCGACAGAGCGAGACTCCATCTCAAAGAAAAAAAAAAAAAAAGGTTGGCCGCAGTGGCTCATGCCTGTGGTCCCAGCACTTTGGGTGGCTGAGGCAGGTGGATCACCTGAGGTCAGGAGTTCAAGATGCAGGGGAGGTAAGTCCCCAAATTGGGTCTTAGCAGGGGAGGGTTTTTTACTTTGCCCAGGAGAGAATTCAGGGCAAGCTGGTGGTGTTAGCAACCTTTTTTTTTTAAAACGGATTCTCATTCTGTCGCCCAGGCAGGAGTGCAGTGGCGTGATCTCAGCTCACAGCAACCTCCACTTCCCGGGTTCAAGCAATTCTCCTGCCTCAGCCTGCTGAGTAGCTGGGACTACAGGCGTGCGCCACTGCGCCCGGCTAATTTTTTTTTGAAATGGAGTTTTGCTCTTGTTGCCCAGGCTGGAGTGCAATGGTTCGATCCCGGCTCACAGTAACCTCCACCTCCCGGGTTCAAGCGATTCTCCTGCCTTAGCCTCCCAAGTAGCTGGGATTACAGGCATGTGCCACCATGCCTGGCTAATTTTGTATTTTCAGTAGAGACAAGGTTTCTCCATGTTGGTCAGGCAGGTCTTGAACTCCTGACCTCAGGTGATCCTCCCACCACAGCCTCCTAAAGTGCTGGGATTATAGGCGTGAGCCATGGCAGCTGGCCTAATTTTTGTATTTTTAGTAGAGACAGGTTTTCACCCTGCTGGTCAGACTGGTCTCGAACTCCTGATTTCAAGTAATCCACTCACCTTGGCCTTCCAAAGTGCTGGGATTACAGGCGTGAACCGCCGTGCCTGACCGTGGCGTTAGCAATCATAATTGCAGCGGCCGTATAAGGAGCTGCAGAAGTCCTGCTCCTTGCAGAGTAGGGCTACCCCATAGGCAGTGAGCTCAGAGCAGCAGCCCAGAGGCAGTTCTGCAGGCGTATTGATACCCACTTTTAATTATATGCAAATTAAGGAGCAGATTATGCTGACATTTCTAGAAGAAAGGCAGTAACTTTTGGGTTGCTGGGTTGTTGCAATGGAAAGGGATGGTTACGTCTGGGTGTTGCCATGGCAATGGTAAACTGATATGGTACACAGATGGGGAAGTACTTTCTGCCTTTGCCTGTATTAGCTAGTCCTCAATCAGGTCCGTTGTCTGGGCCCACCTGTGGAGTCAAGAGCCCCGCCTCTTATTTCAACAGTCTTTAATGCTTATGGAAGTTGTGAGAATTCAGTGGGTTGACAAATGGTGAGATTGGTGAATACTGAACGCACAATAAATAAAGTTAACTCTTTTTTTTTTTTTTTTTTTTTTTTTGACAGTCTCGCTCTGTCGCCCAGGCTGGAGTGCAGTGGCGCAATCTCGGCTCACTGCAAGCTCCGCCTCCCGGGTTCACGCCATTCTCCTGCCTCAGCCTCCCGAGTAGCTGGGACTACAGGTGCCCGCCACCACGCCCGGCTAATTTTTTTGTATTTTTAGTAGGGACGGGGTTTCACCGTGTCAGCCAGGATGGTCTCGATCTCCTGACCTCGTGATCCGCCCGCCTCGGCCTCCCAAAGTGCTGGGATCACAGGCGTGATAAAGTTAACTTTTAAGTGTGTTATTATTCCATGAATCCAGTTCATACTTTCTCAATCTCGGCACTAATAACATTTGGGCCAGATAACTCTTGGTTGGTAGGGGTGGGGTCCTGTACGCTATCGGGTGCTGAGCAGGTTCTAACTACTCCATGCCAGAGGCATGCCCGGTTCTGGGGGTAAAAATGACTCCAGACATTGCTCAGCATCCCCTGGGGACAGAATCACCCCCAGGTGAGGCCTCTACTGATCTAGGTTAAGTGATTTTAAAAATGACAATAATTGACGGAAACCACGATGAGGAGATTAGACACTCCATATCCGTGTAACTAAAAATCGAGAGATGTCCATAAATTTCAAGCTGCAACTATGTGTTTTTAAAAATTGTTTAGGCCAGGCACGGTGGCTCATGCTTGTAATCCCAGCACTCTGGGAGGTCGAGGCGGGCGGATCACCTGAGGTCAAGAGGTTGAGACCAGCCTGGCCAACATGGTGAGACCCGCCGTCTCTAATAAAAATACAAAAATTAGCCGAGTGTGGTGGTGCGCGCCTGTAGTCCCAGATACTTGGGAGACTGAGGCAGGAGAATTGCTTGAACCCTGTAGGCACAGGTTGAAGTGAGCTGAGATCGCACCACTGCACTTCAGCCTGGGTGACAGAGTGAGACGCCATCTCAAAAAAAAAAAAAAAAAATTACAAAAGATCTCTTCAAATGTCACACAGGCACACTGAGGGCAACACATGTTCCCAGACCACAAAGGAAAAGAGCTGTAAAGAACGTGATAGCGACAGGTGGCGAAGTGTGCATATGGATTATATATTGGATAATAACATCAAGTCAACGTGAAATTTCATGAATTCATTGTATCTTCATCATTATGTAAGGGAACAGCCTTGTTCTTAGAGGTGCCCAGTCCCTTCCGGGCTTATTAACAATAAACAGTTGTACATATTAAAATGTTCACAATGGGTGAGGTGAGGAAAGACAGTACCTGAGAGGTCATGGTACTCTTCTTGCATCTTTTGATATTCTTTCCAAAATAAAAAGTTAAAAAAAAAAAAAAAAGGGCCGGGCGCGGTGGCTCACGCCTGTAATCCCAGCACTTTGGGAGGCCGAGGCGGGCGGATCACGAGGTCAGGAGATCAAGACCATCCTGGCTAACACGGTGAAACCCCGTCTTTACTAAAAAAAAAAAAAAAAAATACAAAAAATTAGCCAGGCATGGTAGCGGGCACCTGTAGTCCCACCTACTTGGGAGGCTGAGGCAGGAGAATGGCATGAACCTGGGAGGTGGAGCTTGCAGTGAGCCAAGATCGCGCCATTGCACTCCAGCCTGGGCGACAGAGAGAGACTCCTCTCAAAAAAAGAAAAAAAAAAATACATCTAAGTAGGGATGAAAAAATTACAAAATAGGGCTGGGCACAGCGGCTCACGCCTGTAATCCCAGCACTTTGGGAGGGTGAGGTAGGCAGATCACTTGAGGTCAGGAGTTGGAGACCAGCCTGACCAACACGGCAAAACCCTGTATCTACTAAAAATGCAAAAATCAGCCAGGCGTTGTGGCTCAAGCCTGTAATCCCAGCACTTTGGGAGGTCGAGGCGGGCAGATTGCTTGAGGTCAGGAGTTTGAGACCAGCCTGGCCAATGCAGTGAAACCCTGTCTCTACTAAAAATACAAAAAATTACTGGGGCGTGGTGGTGGGCACCTGTAATCCCAGCTACTCGGGAAACTGTGGCAGGAGAATCGCTTGAACTGGGGAGGCGGAGTTTGCACTGAGCCGAGATCAGTCCAGCCTGGGGGACAGAGGAAGACTCTGTCTCAAAAAAAAAAAAAAAAAAAAAAAAAAAGTAAAAAAAGTGTGCTGGAGGAGAAGAAATTCTGATTCATGCTACAACATGGATGAACCTTGAGGACATCATGTTAAGTGAAAGAAACCAGTATGAGGAGACAAACACATAATTCCAGTTACATGAGTTCCCTAGAACCGGCTAATTTATAAAGACAGAAAGTAGGTTGGAGGTTAGCAGGGGCTGGGGAAATGGGGAGTTTTTGCATAATGGGTACAGAGTTTCTGTTTAGGAGGCTGGAAAGATTCTGGAGATGATGATGGTGATGGTGGCACAACAGTGAATGTACTTAATGCCACTGAGCCGTTCACCTAAAAAGGATTCAGGCCAGGTGCCGTGGTATGCGCCTGTAGTCCCAGCTACTCGGGAAGCTGAGGTGGGACCACTGCTTGAGCCTGGGAGTTTGAGGCTGCAGGGAGCTATGATCAAGCCACTGCACTCCAGCCTGGGGGACAGAGTGAGACCCTGTCTCGGAAAAAAAAAAAAGTTAAAATGGCAAATTTCATGTGACACAGTCATGTATTAATTGATAATGGAAATACATGGGAGGCTGAGGCAGGAGAATCGCTTGAACCTGGGAGGCGGGGATTGCAGTGAGCCGAGATCGCGCCACTGCACTCCAGCCTGGGTGACGGAGCGAGACGCTGTCTCAAAAAAAAAAAAAAAAAAAGGAAATGCATTCAGCAAGATGTGTCATTAGGCAATTTCGTCGTTGCGTGAACATCATAGAGTGTGCCCACGCACACCTAGATGGCACAGCCTACCACACACCTAGGCTGTATGGTAGAGCCTAATGCTCCCAGGCTACAAACCTGCACAGTATGGGGCTGTACTGAATCCTGCAGGCAACTGTAACACGATGGTAAGTACTTGTGTATCTAAACATATCTAAGCATAGAAAAGGTGCAGGAAAAATATTGTATAAACGATTAAAAATTGGCTGGGTGCGGTGGCTCATGCCTGTGATCCCAGCACTTTGGGAGGCTGAGGTGGGTGGATCCCCTGAGTTCAGGAGTTTGAGACCAGCCTGGCCAACATGGTGAAACCCTGTCTCTACTAAAAATACAAAAATTAGCCAGGAGGGGTGGCGGGCACCTGTAATCCCAGCTACTCGGGAGGCTGAGGCAGGAGGATTGCTTGAACCTGGGAGGTAGAGATCATAGTAAGCCAAGATGGCACCACTGCACTCAAGCCTGGGCCAGAACAAGACTCCATCTAAAAAAAAAATCTTATTGAACAACCATCATAATTGCAGTCTGTCATTGACTGAAATGTTGTTATATAATGCTTAACGGTACATATTTTACCACAATAAACACACGTAGAGTAATAAGATGTCATTTCCACGCTCAGGTTGTAAGACACTGTAACTTCCATCTTGTTAGCCGAATGTATTGCCTTCTCAGTTTTCAGGCTTCAATAAAGCAATCCACCACGTTGAAGAGACCCCTATGTGAGTTTGCAAGTGGCTCTTTTCCCTTTCCAATCTTTTTTCTTTTCTTTTAGGTATAGGATCTTGCTATGTTGCCCTGGCTGGGATGCAGCGGCTATTCACAGGTGCAATCATAGTGCACTACAGCCTCAAACTCCTAGCCTCAAGCAATCCTCATGCCTCAGCCTCCAGAGTAGCTGGGCCTACAGGTACTTAACACCTCATCTGGCATCCCCCAGTCAGATATTTGGATGAGACCCCTGCCTTGGCTAACACCTTGATGAAAACCTGTGGAAGGTTCTAAGGCAGGTACGACACAGAAACAGTGAGATAATGAATATGATTATTTTAAGCCATTAAGATTTGAGGGGCTGGGCAAGGTGGCTCATGCCTGTAATCACAGCACTTTGGGAGGCCGAAATGGGTGGATCACTTGAGCCCAAAGGTTTGAGACCAGCCTGAGCAACATAGCAAAACCCCATTTCTACAAAAATTTTAAAAATTAGCTGGGCATGGTGGTGTGCCCCTTTAGTCCCATCTAGTCTGGAGGCCGAGGTGGGAGGATCACTAAGCCCAGGAGACAGAGGTTGCAGTGGGCCCTGATCCTGCCACTGCACTCCAGCCTGGGTGACAGAGGGAGACCCTGTCTCAACAACAACAAAAAAGATTTGGGGCTATTTGTTACACAGCAATAAATAACTAATACACGTGTGTGTGTGTGTTGTTTGTTTGTTTGGTTTTGAGACAAAGTCCTGCTCTGTCACCCAGGCTCTGGAGTGCAGTGGCACGATCTAGGCTCACTGAATCCTCCCCCCCACTGGGTGCAAGTAATTCTTCTGCCTCAGCCTCCCAAGTAGCTAGGACTACACGTGTGCCACACCACGACTGGATAATTTTTGTATTTTTAATAGAGAGGGGGTTTCACCATATTGGCCAGGCTGGTCTCAAACTCCTGACCTCGTGATCCGCCTGCCTTGGCCTCCCAAGGTGCTGGGGTTACAGATGTGAGCCACCGCACCTGGTCCACTATTTTTTTTTTATCATTATTATTAGAGGAAGTTTCATAAAGAGAATGAATATGTGGGCTTTTGTAGCCAATCCTAGAGGGTGGGAGTCCCTCCCTGCCTCCTAGCTTGTACTTGCCCCATTGGGAGCCTCAGTTTTCTCATCTGTAAAAGGCGAATGATAACAATGCCTGCTTCTGGGGCATAAGAAGCATGAGATGCAAATAAAGCGTTTCGCTCAGGCTCTGCACGTAGGGAGTGGTCAGGTACAGGGGCCGTGGTGATGCCGCTGATGGCTAGGGGGACAGGGACTGTCTCCTGTCTTGTCTGGTGACATCCCCTTCTGAACAGAGACTTGGAGCCTGCAGGGGTTTCAGCAATTGTTTGTTGATGCTGCAAGATCTCTGTGCCCCTGCCGTGTTTGTCTGTCTGTCTGTCAGCGTGCCCTACCCTCTGTGCTCGCTGGCCTGGTTCGTGATCCTCGCCGTGTCCTGTCCACCCACTTGGATGTCCTGTCATGTCCGTGGGGGGCTCGGAGCGACTGAGCTGTGGGGGCCGGAGACTGGGAGCGGGAGCTGAGGGAGGGAGGGAGGAGGGAGGGAGGGAGGCAGCGCTTGCCTGGCCCTCATGATCCCCCCTCCTCGTCTCTTGCCGAGGACCCTCAGCGCAGCCACTTCTCCAGGCACTCGGCAGAGAGAACGCGCGTAGGCGTTGCCCTGGCAACGCCGGGATGCCCAGCAACAAGTCCGCGGCGTGTATCACGTGCTCGGCGCGGACCAATCCGAGGGCCCGCCGGGAAGCAGGTCAGCCTGGGCCAAAGTCCGCCTCCTCCCTCGCGGCGAGAGGCTCCCAGCTAATTACCGTAATTGCGGTGGGAGAGCTGCCGGATGCGCGGGGGCTGGGGCTGGGGGCTGGGCAGGCCCTGAGGAGCTGAGCGGGGAGGGCTGGAAAACAGGACTCTCCTCCAACAGCCCTGCCGCTGCCTCCAACCCCACCATCGAAGCGTTCATTAGGCGCCTACAGTGTGCACCTGCTGTTGGAAGGGGTGGGTTTGGAGTGTTTCCAGTGGTGGTGGGGAACCCTAGCCTCCAGCCTGGGTAAACCTAGATTTGGGGGCGCGGGGAACAGATTTGACTCTTAAGACTCGGGGTCTCATGGAAACTGTCCAATCGCCGTTGGCTGTATTGAACCAATCCCCCCCTCCCCCATCCCGATGGGTCACGGTTTCCTCCTGCACAAAAATACAAAAAGTTTAACTCTTGAAGAGGGTGTATTAAAAGATTTGCCTCTGGGTGGACAGAATTCACATCCCGTCTCTGCCATTTGCGGCTGTGTGACTCTAGGTGAGTCCCTTAACCTCTCTGAGCCCTCGACTCCTCATCAGTTAAAAGAACAAATAGGACCAGGCACAGTGGCTCACTCCTGTAATCTCAGCACTTTGGGAGGCCGAGGCAGGCAGATCACCTGAGGTCGGGAGTTGGAGACCAGCCTGGCCAACATGGTGAAACCCCATCTCTACTAAAAGTACAAAAATTACCCGGGCCCGGTGACAGGCACCTGTAGTCCCAGCTACTCGGGAGGCTGAGGCAGGAGAATTGCTTGAACCTGGGAGGTGGAGGTTGCAGTGAGCTAAGATAGCGCATTGTGCTCCAGCCTAGGTGACAGAGCAAGACTCTGTCTCATATTATTGAGAGAATGTGTGTGAAGTGTGCAGCAAGTATTTAATAAACAGCAGCTAATCATCACCATGGTCCCAGCTCTCAGTTAGGAGCTGTGAGACCTTCCAAGTGTCATTTAATGGCACTGAGCCCCAACTGTTTCCATAGATGAGGTGAAGGAGTGGGAGAAGTGGCCTCGTGTCAGATTCCCTGCCACTGCAGTTTGTTTCCTACACAATGTTCTCTGGGTTGTTTTTCTTTCTAATTAATAATAGCTCAAGGCCAGGTACAGTGGCTCTCACCTGTAATCCCAGCACTTTGGGAGACCTGGCGGAGGCAGGAGGATCTCTTGAGGCCAGGAGTTCAACACCACCCTGGGTGACAGACTGAGACCATGTCTCTAAAAAACAATAGAAATTTAAAAAAAGAAAGAAAATTAGCTCAAAGTGGGGGCCTTCATGTGAAGGCATTTAAATTTCTGATTCCTAGACTACCTGATTTTTTTTTTTTTTTTTGAGACGGAGTTTTGTTCTTGTTGCCTAGGCTGGAGTGCAATGGTGAGATCTTGGCTCAATGCAACCTCTGCCTCCCGGGTTCAAGCGATTCCCCTGCCTCAGCCTCCAGAGTAGCTTGGATTACAGGCCTGTGCCACGTGTATTTTGTATTTTTAGTAGAGACGGGGTTTCACCGTGTTGGCCAGGCTGGTCTCGAACTGCTGACCTCAGGTGATCCTCCGGCCTCGGCCTCTCCAAGTGCAGGGATTACAGGCTTGAGCCACCACGCCTGGCCTAGCTGATCTCTTCTTAACTCCTTTCCAGTTATTTGCTTTGTTTGTTCTTTTGTCGACAAGCATTAATTGAGCACCTAGTGTGTACCAGGCTCTACTGTGGGTCTGAGTCCTCAGCCTCGCTGTGCTGAACTCAGGGTCCAACTGAGCCGGACTGCAGGGCAGCTTCGAGGAGTAAATGAGACCCTTCAGTCATTCAGTGAATTTCAGGCATTGGGAAATACAGTGCCAATAGTTGTGACTATCGCATTGACCACAGGAAGTGGCCCAGGACCTCAGTGGACGGGAGGACACATCTGATCATCGTTCATTTTCACCAGTGCTGATTTCCTCCTCCAGGTCTTTCCTCCCGCTCGCTGTTCCATCTTTCCCGGAAGACTTTCCTCTGAGCAGGCCCTCTGCTCACCTGCTCCGGGAACAGCAGGAGCAAAGACACAAATGGCAGAGCCTCTGAGGGGCTCCCCTGGGTGTACCCCCCTCCACCACTGTGGCTGCCAGGAACTGTCTTCCTATCTGCTCCCCTCTTAGAAGGGCAGTCACCAGACGGCAGTTGCAGAGAAGGACTGTACTTGGAAGTTGTTTTTATTGTTGTAGTTGTTGTTTTTGAGACAGGGTCTTGCTCTGTTGCCCAGGCTGGAGTGCCGTGGCACGATAATAGCTCACTGCAGCCTCAACCTCCTGAGCTCAAGCCATCCTCCTGCCTCAGCCTCCAGGGTAGCTCGGACCACAGGTGCATGCCACTATGCCTGGCTAATTTTTGTATTTTTTGTAGAGTCAGGGTCTTGCTATGTTGCTTAGGCTGGTCTCAAACTCCGGCCTCAAGTGATCCTCCAGTCTTGGCCTCCCAGATTACTGAGATTACAGGTGTGATCCACTGTGCCTGGCCCAGAATTTTGTTAATATGCATATTTCAGGAGCCTCTGCAAGCTAAGAAGGGAGAATACAACTTCCATGCAAGGGCCTCCCAGGACTCAGGGCTGGTGAGCAAACCAGGTCTGCAGGAACTTGGCTTGACTCTGCAGCCCAAAAGGCACATTTTGGAGGCTTGGGTCTGGTCCCACTTCAGACTCAGGTACCAACCACAGAATTTGGCTGAAAGTGGGGACTCTGGTCTCAAAAGGCAGCTCTCTCTGTTTCTCTGCTGTGTGAGCCTGGGCAAGAGTCTCAACTCTCTGTGCTTGCTTCTGCCCCTGGGACATGGTGCTAATAAGCACCAAGCTTGGAAAGTTAACGTGAGGACGAGATGAAGAGAAGAGCCAGCACCTAGTAGGTTTTCAATAAATGGTAGCTGGCATTATCATTTACACAGATTGGGGACTGATTGGAAGGAAGCCGTGACGGCCACAGAACCAACAGAAAGCTAGAAAATCGCTTTTGAGAACAGGCAGATGCCAAGAGAAGAGCCATTGAGGGGAGCAGCAAGATGGCAGGCAGGGAAATATCAAGCCTAGCCCCAGACAGACTCCGTCTTTCAGTAGGACTACGGGCTAGCAATCCAACCTCTGTCTTCTTCCCTTTTCCCCATCTTTCAAACAGGAACAAAACAACAGGTCCTGGTTCCCTGGAGGATGAGGGTGTGAGTTGGAACAGATACCCTTGGAGAGGTTCCGGAAGGTTCCAGAAGGTTCTGGAAGGTTCTGGAAGGTCCAAATCTGGACCTCATCGTATCATTGACAAATATCTATTGGGGCTCAATATTTTCAGGACACGGTGCTTCATGTTAGGGCTGCCAGAAAGTATGGCAAGCCAAGACAAGAAACATCAAAGACGGGGATAGGAAAGCTGGATTCTAGTCCTGGCTGGGCCTCTGACGTGCTGTTTGAGCTCTCTGGGCCTCAAGGAATTGAAAAGTAGGGGGGTTCTATAATAGGAAGGCCACCCTTCAGAGCCCTTCTCTGCCCCCTGCTTGCTAGGTGTCCTTGGGGAAAATGTCTCCACCTCTCTGGGACTCAGTTTCCACATCAGAACAGTGAGATTCAGTCACTGTGCTGCAGGACAGCTTTGAGGAGTAAATTAGATTATTTAGTCATTCAATGAATTTCAGGCATTGGGAAATACAGTGCCAATTAAAATGGGGCATGACCTGGCTCTCTATGGTCTATAAAACGCTTAGCACATAGTGAATGACAGACAATGAGTACCACCATTGGGCCATCATCATCACCCGTAAAGTGCTCGGCACAAAATAGATGCTCAGTAAACCCTAGTTAGTAATACTGCAGCAGTAGTTCCAGGACCTACATTGCAAGATTCTCTCCTCTCCCACTGTGTCCAAAGCATTAACGTGCCAGGAAGCAGGAACTGAGACCTTTATTAGGGATTCCCTGGGTGGCCTCAGGTGGGGAGGGTGACCTGCGTGTGGTCCTGTTTTCATGCCCTGCCTCTTCTAGGTAAACGCCTCTGCTAATCTCCCCTTGCCCAGGCTGCAGGTCAGGTTTCGGGGCCCCAGGCAGATGTTGTCCAGAGTAGCCCTGTTTCCTTAATCCTCAGGGCTCCAGAAATTGTCCTTAGAAGAAAGAACAACAGACCCGCTGAGGTCACCATCTGTGCAGTCTTGATTTGTAAATGCTCATGAGGGTGGCAGGAAAGAGGTCTCTATAGTAACGGCTGAGGAAGGGGCTGCGTGTGTGTGTGTGTGTGTGTGTGTGTGTGTGTGTGTGTGTGTACGCGCACATACAGGGAGGAGGAATCACCCAAGGCCCTTATTCCTAGACTTTTCTTTTCTACCCTGATGAGCTATTAATTAATACTCATTGCTGGCTTGTTATTCCCAGAGATAATTAGCTACTGTTCCTAACTGGAGTCGTGGGGCCATTTTCTAAATAGATTCGTTCGCCTCTGCCCACCCACACCTGTCTATCTCCCGGGACACAAGGAAATGTTACAGAACACAGAGACCCAGAGAGGAGAAAAACTGAACAAAGGGGTCTCTCTGGGAAGCTCAGATTCCAAGTGAATAGACAAGAGCAGAGCCTGAATGAGCAAGGGCCCAGTGCACAGAAAGTTATTATAAAAATGCCAGCTATAGCTGAGAGTGGTGGCTCACGCCTGTAATCCCAACACTTTGGGAGGCCAAGGCAGGAGGATCACTTGAGGTCAGGAGTTCGAGACGAGCCTGGCCAACGTGGTGAAACCCCATCTCTACTAAAATACAATCGCTCTGGAAAAGTTTGACAGTTTCTTATGAAGTTAAATATACACTTCCCATATGACCCAGCCGTCACCCTCCTAGGTGTTACCCTGGAGATGTGAAAATTTATCGCCCACATGAAAGCCTGCATGAAAATATTTATAGCAGTTTTATTCCTAATAATCTCCAAACACAGAAGGTGTTCCAGAACCTAATGTCCTTGGACTGATGAATAGCTAAACAGGCCATAGTTCATCCACATGATGGAATACTACTTAATAATAAAAAGGAACTAACTCCGGGTTCACACAACAGCATGAATGGCTCTCCAGTGTATTCTACTGAGGAAAGGAAGCCAGGCCAGGCGTGGTGGCTCACACCTGTAATCCCAGCAATTTGGGAGACCGAGGTGGGTGGATCGCTTGAGGTCAGGAGTTCAACACCAGCCTGGCCAACATAGTGAAAACCCATCTCTACTAAAAATACAAGAATTAGCTGGGTGTGGTGGCGGACACCTGTAATCCCAGCTACTCGGGAGGCTGAGGCAGGAGAATCGCTTGAATCCGGGAGGCAGAAGTCGCAGTGAGTCGAGATCATGCCACTGCACTCCAGCATGGGCAACAGAGTGAGATTTCATCTCTAAAATAAAATAAAATAATAAAAAATAAAAATAAAAAGTAGCAAACGTGCATGTGGGCGGAGAATGTACACACTTATATATGCATGTACTTCTGGAAGGGCACAGGAAATGAAATGAACAATTGATAAGAGATTAAACCTTGGGGTTGGCAGACTGGGGTCCCCAACTCCCACACCCTCTCCCTGTGGTCCTTGGGCAAGCCCCTTCCCCTCTCTAGCCATCTATAAAACATGCATATCAGCCAGGCATGATAGCTCATGCCTGGAATTTCAGCACTTTGGGAGGCCAAGGTGGGAGGATTGCTTGAGCCCAGGAGTTCAAGACCAACCTGGGCAACATAGGGTGACCCTGTTTCTACAAATAATTTTTAAAATTAGCTGGGCATAGCGGTGCACACCTACAGAAGGCTGAAGTAGGAGGATTGCCTGAGCCAGGAGGCAGAGACTGCAGTGAGCCATGATTGCACTACTGCACTCCAGCCTGGGTCACAGACTAAGACTCTGTCTTAAAAAAAAAAAGGTCTTTCTTCCTTTTTTTTTTTTTTTTTTTTTTTTTTTGAGAAGGAGTCTTGCTCTGTTGCCCAGGCTGGAGTGCAGTGGCACGATCTTGGCTCACTGCAACCTCCTTCTCCCGGGTTCAAGTGATTCTCCTGCCCGAGCCTCCCAAGTAGCTGGGATTACAGGCACCCGCCACTATGCCCAGCTAATTTTTTGTATTTTTAGTAGAGACGAGGTTTCACCATGTTGACCAGGCTGGTCTCGACCTCCTGACCTCGTGATTTGCCCGCTTTGGCCTCCCAAAGTGCTGGGATTACAGGCATGAGCCACTGTGCCCAGTCAAAAGGCCTGCTTTCCTTTCTCTCTCTCTCTCTCTCTCTCTCTCTCTCTCTCTCTCTCTCTCTCTCTCTCTGTCTATTTTGAGATGGAGTTTTGCTCTTGTTGCCCAGGCTGGAGTACAATGGTGCAATCTTGGCTCATTGCAACTTCAAACTCCTGGGTTCAAGCGATTCTCCTGCCTCAGCCTCCTGAGTAGTTGGGATTACAGGCATGCACCACCATGCCCAGCTAATTTTTGTATTTTTAGTAGAGATGGGGTTTCAACATATTGTCCAGTCTGGTCTCAAACTCCTGACCTCAGGTGATCCACTTGCCTTGGCCTCCCAGAGTGCTGGGATTACAGGCATCCAGCCAAAAAGAACTTTCTTTCTTTTTCTTTCTTTCTTTCCTTCTTTCTTTTTCTTTCTTTCTTTCTTTCTTTCTTTCTTTCTTTCTTTCTTTCTTTCTTTCTTTCTTCTTTCTTTCTTCTTTCTTTCTTTTTCTTTCTTTTTTCTCTCTTTCTCTTTCTCCTTCCTTCCTTTCTTTGTTCTTCTTCTTCTTTTTTTTTAACAGAGTTTTGCTCTTATTGCCTAGGCTGGAGTGCAGTGGCACAATCTTGGCTCACTGCAACCCCCACCTCCTGGGTTCAAGCGATTATCTTGCCTCAGCCTCCCAAGTAGCTGGGATTAGAGGCACGTGCCACCATGCCGGCTAATTTTGTATTTTTAGTAGAGTCAGGGTTTCTCCATGTTGGTCACGCTGTTCTCAAACTCCCGACCTCAGGTGATCCACCCACCTCTGCTTTCCAAAGTGCTGGGATTACAGGCGTGAGCCACCATGTCCGGCCCTTTTTCAATTTTTTTATTATTTTTATTTTTTTTATACAAGGTCTCGCTCTGTCACCCAGGCTGGAGTGCAGTGGCATGATCTTGGCTTACTGCAACCCCTGCCTCCCGGGTTCAAGCGATTCTCCTGCCTCAGCCTCTGTAGTAGCTGGGACTACAGGCACCCGCCACCGCACTCGGCTAATTTTTGTATTTTTAGTAGAGACGAGGTGTCACCATATTGGCCAAGCTGGTCTCGAACTCCTGACCTCAGGTCATCCACCCGCCTCGGCCTCCCAAAGTGCTGGAATTACAGGGGTGAGTCAACGCACCTGGCTGGGATCTATCTCATGGGGCTGCCCTGAGGCCTTCAGATCACTCAGCAGGTAGAATGTCTGGCACTGACCCTGGCACAGAGTAAAAGCTTAGGGAAGGGGAGAGAGAAAGGGTGGCAGGTCTTCCTGTGCAACCTGAGGAACTTCACTTTTGTCCTGGCCTGAATGATCAGGTCCTGTACAGCTGTCCCTGATTTATATCCTAACTGTCCCTTCTATGCTTGCTCACCCCCCAGGGCCTGTTCTTTCCCCCACCCCCACCAGGGCCCTTACACTGACTGTTCCTTCAACCCAATGCCCATACCAACATGTGAGCAGAGTTTTCATGTCTTTACCCTCCCTAAAGGCAAGGTTGGTTGCTGAATTCATGTATGTATCTCCAGTGCCTAGTACAACAAGTTTGTTGAGCAAATAAATGGGTGGAATAGATCAGGAAAGAATAACAGCTGCATTATTAGAAAACTTACCGTAAACAGACATGATTGCTAGTGCCATGCCAAGCCATATTGGGACCTCAGGCAAAAGGAAAAGTCAGAAAGGCTGGTTCTGCCTTTATTTACATTTTTGATATTTTGTTCATTGTGGATTTTGGCATACATTTTGATTTCTTAAAACATTGCATCGATTTTTTTTTGAGACAGGGTCTTGCTCTGTCACCTAGGCTGGAGTGCAGTGGTGCAATCATAACTCACTGCAGCTTCGACCTCCTGGCCTCAAGTGATCCTCTCACCTCAGCCTCCCAAGTAGCTGAGACCACAGGTGCCATTCTCTCTCTCTCTCTCTCTCTCTCTCTCTGTTTCTCTCTTTCTCTCTCCCTCTCTCCCTCTTTCTCTCTCAGAAACGGGGTCTCACTATGTTGCCCAGGCTCATCTTGAAATCCTGGCCTCAAGTGATCCTCCCACCTTGGCCTCCCAAAGTGCTCAGATTACAAGCATGAGCCATTGCACCTGGCCTGAAATATTATTTACCTTGATTATTGAGTTTTTTGGTGCCCCTTTAAGTTTTGCACCTGAGGCTGGTGCCTCACCCAACTCACATTAGCCCCTGCCCTGATTATTTCTAACATGCAATCCACACCATATCATTAGTTCCTCAGCAAATACTCTACTATTATCACTACTTCACAGTTGCAAAAACTGAGGCACAACTGTGCCCAATGTCCCAAAGGAAGGAGAAGAAAAATCTGAACTTGAACCCCAGTTTCTTCGTTTTTTGGTTCAGAGCCTGCCCAGTATAGCACTACAATAAGCTGAATTTTATAAATTGGGTTTTGAGTTAAGGAATCAAAAGCTTCAGGCTTAAGTCCCACCTCTGCCCCAGAGTCTTCTGAGCCCTCCATTTTCACAGACGTCAGTTGCCCTAGGTGGAACTGGACTTTAATATTCTCCACATCCCTTATTTTTTCCCAAAACAGTTTACCAGCTTTTTCTTTCCTGAACCAGGAGCAATAGCAAAAATTGGGAATGGGAAGAAACAGGTACCAGCCAGGACACCTGAACGAACTTGGAGCTCAGGAACCCAGGAGGGGATTGGAGAGAGTGGGGAGACTCCATGGTCCACAATGAATGCTCCTTCCCCATCCGAAAAAATCCCCTAGCCCAGTTTTTGGGCAGATGCCAGACTTTTATTCTGAAGCGTGGGCCACAACCTATGAGGTAATCTTTGGAGCTTCATTCTGAGGCGGAATCCCATTGGCCAGTTGGGGAAGCCCCTCCCAGGATTCCTGGCGCTCCGCCTTCCCTGAAGCCTATAAAAGCGCAGGTCCCCGCCTCGGCAGCCACGGGACACCTGCATCTGCCAACAAGACTGGAAGCAGGTGAGGCACACAGAGGGGGAGGCCCGCAGCTGCGTGGGAGGAGGGGTGGTCTGAGGGACGTGGGATGCCGGGAATGAGGCTGGTTTGCAGGTTGGCGCATGGACATTTTCCCAGAAAGGGACAGAGACGGCGAAGTTTGACGGTCTGGAAAGCAGAGACCAGCAGGGCTGACTGCTTGGGAGGTAAGTTCTGGGGACATGGTACAGGGTGAGGAGCAGGTATCAGTGCTAGTTGCGACCCCTCTGTGTCTCCCCCCCGCCACCCCATTGCCATTCTGAAGCTCCCCAGGAAGAAGCTAGGAGGGGAAATAAATTGAGTGGGGGTGGGGTTTCCCAAGAATCGGAGGAACCGAGAACGAAGAGGGGTGGGGGAACGGGGAAAGAGAGAGGAAAATCAAGTTTTCTTCAGCACGAGGGACAGCTCTCCACCGACCGAAGGAGGAGAATGCTATTTATTTCAGCACCAAATATCCGGACAGCGCCTCTCGGGAGGTCCGAGAAGAGAACCGCGATCTGTTTCAGCACCGGGGCTCAGGACAGTTCCCAGCGGGCTCCGTTTCGTCTCCAGAACCCTGGACAGCTCCTCCAGGTAACGGGAGAGCCCTTTGACCCTGATTTTGCAGGGGGAGGACGAGAGAGGGTGGTCTGAGGTGCCTGGCATTTCTGGAGACCTGCACCTCATGTAATGGATTTTTAAACAAAGTATTTTCCAGATAAGCACACACAGAAGTCTGCAATTTTCTTTTTTTTTCGAGACGGAGTCTTGCTCTGTCGCCCAGGCTGGAGTGCAGTGGCACGATCTCGGCTCACTGCAACCTCTGCCTCCTGGGTTCAAGGGATTCTCCTGCCTCAGCCTCCCGAGTATCTGGGATTACAGGCACATGCCACCACTCCCGGCTAATTTTTGTATTCTTAGTAGAGACGGGGTTTCACCATGTTGGCCAGGCTGGTCTCAAACTCTTGACCTCTTCATCCGTCCACCTCAGCCTCCCAAAGTGCTAGGATTACAGGCGTGAGTCACTGCGCCTGGCCCAAGTCCGGAATTTTCAACAGGTAAGATACCTCACTGGGGTAACAGCTGCCTGCTAAGATGACATTATGGTGTCTCTTCCAGACTTCGGTGAGAAACCTTGTGCCAAGCATTTTACATACATCATATCATGCCATCTTCAACCCTAGGACATGGGTGTTACTGTGCCCATGTGACATTTGGGGAACCCAAGGCCCTGAGAAAGGCAGAAAAATAACCCACGCAGGGACTCTCAGCCCACAAGTGAAGCTGTAAGTCAACCCCACCAGTCCAACTCCAAATCCCATGTCTCTGACGTGCCTGGGTGGGAGGTGGGCCCTTGGAGATCAGACCCTGCTTCTCTCCAGGAGAACCGGGAATGGAAAACAGGGAGGCAGCACAGAGGCAGGAAACTCAGGTGTCATAGCTTGGCTCAGGTGAGAAGGAGGAGCTGGGCAGGGGTCTCAGACATGGGGCAGAGGGTGGTGAAGAAGATTAGAGTGGCTGTGGTCTAGTGCTGTGTGGAAGACTAGTGATTTTGTTGTTCTGATGTACTACGACAACAAGTCACAGCCGGCCTCATAGCGCAGACTCCCTTCGACCTTCGCCTTCAATGGGCTGGCCAGTGGGGGAGAACCGGGGAGGTCGGGGAAGAATCGCTTCCACTCGGAGTGGGGGGGCTGGCTCACTCCAGGCGATACAGGCACAGGCAAAGGAGGGAAGCAAACAAGGACATACATCCTGTGCTCATACAGCCATGCACCATGTATGGGGTTTGTCACATCACTCGTACGCCCCCACAAGCCTGGAGATAGAACATACCTGACTCTAAACCCAAGACCTCTAACCACCTTATGGCGCTTTCCTGGGAGACCCAATGAGGGAATGACATTTAAAGCCCTCCCTAGACCAGAGTTCTCAGGGTACTTTTCTATTAAAAAAAAAATTATTATTTTTTTGGCCGGGTGGCTCACGCCTGTCATCCCAGCACTTTGGGAGGCCAAGGCAGGTGGACCACTTGAGGCCAGGAGTTCAAGACCAGCCTGGACAACATGGTGAAACTCCATTTCTCCTAAAAATACAAAAATTAGCTGGGCGTTGTGGCACACACCTGTAGTCCCAGCTACTCGGGAGGCTGAGGCATGGGAATCCCTTGAACCCAGGAGGCAGAGGCTGCATGACCCAAGATTGCACCACTGCACTCCAGCCTGGGCAACAGAGAGAGATTCTGTCTCAAAAAACATTTTTTTTTTCTTTTTTGTAAAGACATGGTCTCCTGCCTCAGCCTCTCAAAGTGCCAAGATTACAGGTGTGAGCCACCGAACCCAGCCTAAGGATACTTTTCAATAAAAGTTCCAGAAGTGGGCTGGGTGTGGGAGCTCATACCTGTAATCCTAACATTTTGGGAGGATGAGATGGGAGGATTGCTTGAGTACAGGAGTTTGAGACCAGCCTGGGCAATATAGTGAGACCCCGTGAGTTGACACATGCCTGTAGTCCCAACTACTTAGGAGGTGGGAGGAACACTTGAGCCTGGGAGATCAAGGCTGCAGTGAGCCATGACTGCACCACTGCACTCCAGACTGGGCAACAGAACAACACCCTGTTTCAAAAAAAAAGTTTCAGAAAAGATTCCTTTCCTGTCTGCTACCCATCAGTGTCATGGGCCAATCATAGGACAAGTGTGAACTTGTGCCCAGTGGTGACTTATGACATCATAAAGGCTCACCACCTTTGCCAGACATGGTGGCTCACACTTGTAATCCCAGCACTTTGGGAGGCCAAGGTGGGAGGATAGCTTGAGCTCAGGAGTTCGAGACCAGCCTGGGCAACATAGCAAGACCTCATCTCAGTAAAAAATAATAAATAAATAAATAAATATATAAGACTCACTCCCAATTCTCTGCAACACCCTAATCAAGTGAAAAACTGCACATGGTTACCTGTTCTCCAGCCTCAGGGCTTTTGCCTCTGCTGTTCCTGCAGCTTGGAATGCACTCCCTCCACCTCCAACCAGAGCTCCCCACAACTGACCCTGCCTTCTTCTGCAAGCTCCATTTCATCAAGGGAAACGATCCTTATTGCCTCACCATTTCCCACGTGAAGTCTGTATTGACATTCTCATAGACCTGGGATATTGTGTCTGCAGCACATAGTCCAATTATTTTCATGTTATCTACTGACAGGTCTATTTGTCTCCCTGTTACACTGTGAGCTCCGTGAGGGCAGAAACAATGTTAGTATTTTCACTGCTGTGTCCCCAGCGCCTGGTCCGGGGCCCGGCACACAGCAGGCATATAATAAGCATGTGTTGAATCAATAAAGGCATCAAAGAATAAACCAATACATCAATCAATAAATGAATGAATGGCCTCAGCACACACAGGAAGATCCTTCTTCTAGGTCTCCCCCAGAGAGATACTGGAGGGCAATGGTTGCTGGAGGTGTTTATTGGGGAAGCATAATTGAATTTGTGGACACTTAAGGGCCGGCCAGCCAACTCACAGCCCCAAGAGAGAGAGCCAGGCTCATTTAATTAGCAATTACAAGGCACTGATTCCTCATTAGCTCTGGCAACCCTCGTCTCCCTCCTCAGCCCCAGACAAATGAAATCTTTCTCTCTCTCCCAGGAGTACTGCCTCAGTGGGTCCATTAACAAGCAGAGAAAATGAGATTAGAAGACACCTAAATGCCAGAGGCACTTTATGAATGGGCTGAGCAGAGGGAGGTTCAATGTCTGGGTTAGGTCTAATTGTGGGAGGTTTCCTGGTCTATTTAGAATTGCCCCCTGGGAATGCAAGGTCTTTCAGAAAGGAAAAGGCACACAGATATTGCCTTCTGGGGTCCTCAATGGAGGAGGACATTCTGCTATGGGTGTCTCCCAGTCACCCCAAATTAATCATTTCAAAGTGAACACTCAATCTGCCCAGCCCCTAGCTTCCTCCCCTGACATGCCCATGAATATGACAGTCCCTCTACATGCCCAAGATCCTCCCCTCCTCATCCACTCCCCATGATCCCCAAGATGAGTCACTGTGCTCAAATCCATCCTCTCTCCTCCAGCCCTCTGCCTCCATGACCTCCCTCCAGCCCTCTGCCTCCATGACCTCCGCCTCCCTGCATGTCCGGATCTCCTCACTGTCTCCCCTCTGAGCATACACACACATACAGCCTGTTCATTCTCTACATGCAGCGAGGGGACTTTCCAGAACACACATCTGACCAAGTTCCACTCCTGCCTGTCACCCTTCCAAGAGCCCCACTGACTGCAGAATAACGTTCAAATATCCGGTTGGGCGTGGTGGCTCATGCCTGCAGTCCCAGCACTTTGGGAGGCCAAGGTGGGTGGATCACTTGCACAGGACCACAGGCGTGTGCCACCACACCCAGCTAATTTTTATATTTTTGGTAGAGACGGAGTTTCACCATGTTGGCCAGGCTGACCTCAAGTGATCCACCCGCCTCAACCTCCCAAAGTGCTGGGATTACAGGCATGAGTCACTGCACCGGTCTAATTTTTTCAGAGTCTCACTCTTGCCCAGGCTGGAGTGCAGTAGCATGATCTCGGTTCACTGCAACCTCTGCCTCCTGGTTTCAAGCGATTCTCTTGGCTCAGCCTCCTGAGCAGCTGGGATTACAGGCACGTGCCACCACACTTAGCTAATTTTTGTATTTTTAGTAGAGATGGGGGTCTCACCATGCTGGCACAGTTGGTCTTGAACTCCTGACCTCAAGTGATCCACCCACCTCGGCTTCCCAAAGTGCTGGGATTACAGACGTGAGCCACCGCGCCCGGCCAGCCTTTATTGATTCTTTTTAAAGCCACACTAACCTTTTATTTTCCCCCAAAGACCCCTGGGAGCCCTCAGTTTTTCCTGGCAGTTTCATCTTTGTACCCCTGACCTCCCCACACACACGCCTAGCTCAGTGCTGGCATCCAATATTCACTTTGGGTATAAATGCTTGTGCCTGAGCCTATCACCTTCATCACACAGAAAATCCTGGAGGCCACACACCCCTGTAAAGACGAGCCATTACCCACAGAGGTCCAACCAACTTACCACCCTCTCCCAGCCACCCCCAAGGACCCAGCTTGCAGCTGCCTGCTCAATGGCTTTAGAAACTAAAAAAGGTGAATGAGTTTCCATCACTGCCCTCCTGGGCTTTGCCGTTATGGCTGGTTAACTTGACAGAAGAACACATTATACTTCATTTTTTGCTGTTGTCTTGTTGGAAAAAAAAGTGACAGCTGGGTGCAGTGGTGCACACTGTAGTCACAGCTACTCAGGAGAATTGCTTGAGCACAGGAATTGGAGGCTACACTGAGCAATGATCGCCTCACTGCACTCCAGCCTGAACGACAGAGCAAGACCCTCTTAAAAAATACGTGAGAGAGGGTGCGTATGATGGCTCATGCCTGTAATCCCAGCAGTTTGGGAGGCCAAGACAGGTGGATTGCTTGAACTCAGGAGTTCAGGACTAACCTCGCCAACATGGTGAAATCCTGTCTCTACCAAAAATACAAAAAAAAAAAAAAAAATGTCGAACATGGTGTCACGAGCCTGTAGTCCCAGCTTCTCAGAAGGCTGAGGTGAGAGGATTGCCTGAGCTTGGGAGGCGGAGGTTGCAGTGAGCTGAGATCGCACCACTGCACTCCAGCCTGGGTGACAGAGCGAGACCCCATCTCAAACAAAACAAAACAAAACAAAACAAAAAAAACGGGCATGATGGCTCACACCTGTAATCCCAGAACACTTTGGGAGGCCAAGGCAGGCAGATCACTAGGTCAGGAGATCGAGACCATCCTGGCTAACATGGTGAAACCCCATCTCTACTAAAAATACAAAAAAAATTAGCTGGCCATGGTGGCGTGAGCCTGTAGTCCCAGCTACTCGGGAGGCTGAAGCAGGAGAATTGCTTGAACCCGGGAGGCGGAGGTTGCAGTGAGCTGAGATCGTGCCACTGCACTCCAGCCTGGGTGATAGAGCGAGACTCTGTCTCAGGAAAAAAAAAAAAAAGTGTGAGAGAGACCCCCTTCTCCCCTGGCCATGAGCAATTAAATTATGATTTTAATCACCCAGAGTTAAGTGTCAGAATCCACAGGTTAGCCAGGTGCAATGTCTCATGTCCTGTCATCCCAGCTACCCGGGAGGCTGAGGTGGGAGGATGGCTTGAGGCCAGGAGTTTCATACCAGTTTGAGTCTTACTATGTTGTGGGCAACATAGTAAGACTCCCCTCTCTTAAAAAAGAAAGAGGAGGCTGGGCGCAATGGCTCATGCCTGTAATCCCAGCACTTTGGGAGGCCAAGACGGGTGGATCACCTGAAGTCAGGAGTTTGAGACCAGCCTGGCCAACACAGTGAAACCTGAATCTATTAAAAATACAAAAATTAGCCGAGCGTGGTGGCACACGCCTGTAATCCCAGCTACTTGAGAGGCTGAGCTGGGAGGATTTCTTTAACCAGGAAGGCAGAGGTTGCAATGAGCCAAGATTGTGCCACTGCACCCTGGCCTGAGCAACAGTGAGTCCGTTTCAAAAAAAAAAAAAACAAAAGCAGTCACTCCTCATTCTTCTTCCCACACTCCAGCCCCTGGCAACCATTTATCTGATTTCTATCTCTCTGGATTGGCCTGTTCTGGACATGCCATAGAAATGGGATCACACACTGTGTGGCTTTTTGTGTCTGGCTTCTCCCACCTGAGCCTGACGTCCTCAAGGTTCTTGTAGCCTGTGTCAGAGCCTCATTCCTTTTCATGGCTGAGTCATATTCCATTGCATGGATATACCACATTTTCCTTATCCAGACGCTGTTTTGATGGCTTTAGACACATGATCTCCTGCGAGGTTGGTGGTCTTATTGCACCCTATTTTGCAGGAGAGGAAACTGAGGCCCAGGGAGGTCAAGCAAGTTGCTCGAGGTTGCACAGCTGCTGGTGGCATAGCCAGGACTTCAATCCAGGCAGTATCATCTAGGGTCTGCAAGTTGAACCCCTACCTTCTACCCCTCTAACAGTTTAGTATTCAGAGACTATGTAGCAATTATTATCATTTTTTAAAAAATGGAGTCTCACTCTGTGGCCCAGGTTGGAGTGCAGTGGTGTAATCTCAGCCCACTGCAACTTCTGCCTCCTGGGTTCAAGTGATTATCCTGCCTCAGCCTCCCGAGTAGCTGGGATTACAAGCACCCATCACCATGCTCTGCTAATTTTTGTATTTTTAGTAGAGACGGGGTTTCACCATGTTGACCAGGCTGGTCTTAAACTTCTAACCTCAAGTGATCTGCCTGCCTCGGCCTCCCAAGGTTCTGGGATTATGGGCGTGAGCCACCGTGCCCAGCCCAATCCAGGCAGTTTGATCCAGTCTGCAAGTTGAACCCCTACCATCCACCCCTCTAACAGTTTGGTATTCAGAGACAATGTGGCAATTGTAATGTATCTCTATCATTTTCCCAGGGAAGGATGCCAAGACACAGACAGGAGTTTGTGGCGGTCACCCAGTGAATCATCCCCAGCTAGGGCTGGAACTGAAGCCTCAGGCTTGGGGAGGGGTCAGTTCAGAAACCTTGAGGGTCTTCTCTGACGCCTGCTTGGCTCCCTTGTGTATGTTTTGGAGAATTTTTTTGTAGGGAGGCAAGTGAGGGAGGAGGGCAGAACTTAAATGCTGCAACATTCAAGGGCTCAAACGGTGGTTGCCTCCCACTAGGGAGGGCAGGGGGCCGCCAGAGAGAGCCTTGATTATGTCCTGCACCTTAATGGGTCCTTCCTAAGAGAGTGGCTTTGGTTTCCATGACAACAAGCCGGCAGCATCAGAGCAAGATAGTGGAGTCTCCTCCCCCGACCCACATCTGGTTCTGGAATCTCTACCCCTCTATCCCAGTCATTCCAAATCGCAGGAATCCAGCTGTGGCTCAGCCCAAGACCAGAGGGGGCAGCCACGCAGTGGACAGCGCTCCTTCTCTGTGGCCTAGCAGGCAGGAGGACCCCTGGCCCTGCCCCACGCTGGTAAGGAAGAGATGAATGGACAGAAATAGCGTATGCCGGGCCTGGCACAGTGGGTTACGCCTGTGATCCCGCACTTTGGAAGGCCGAGGCAGGCAGAACACTCGAGGCCAAGAGTTCAAGATCAGTCTGGCCAACATAGTGAAACCCCGTCTCTACTAAAAATACAAAAACTAGCCAGGTATGATGGCAGGCGCCTGTTAATCCCAGCTACTCGGGAGGCTGAGGCAGGAGAATCGCTTGAACCCAGGAGGCAGAGGTTGCAGTGAGCTGAGATCGTGCTACTGTACTCAAGCCTGGGCAATAAGAGCAAAACTCCGTCTTGAAAAAAAAAAAAAAAAAGCTACAGCCAGGAAGGGAGCAGTGGCTCATGCCTGTAATCCCAGCACTTTGGGAAGCCAAGGAGGGATGATTGCTTGAGGCCAGGAGTTCAAGATCAGCCTGGGCGACATGGCAAGACCATGCCTCACCAATAAGTAAATAAATAAAAAATTAGTTGGGTGTGGTGGCACGTGCCTATTGTCCCAGCTACTTGGGAGGCTGAGGAAGGAGGACTGTTTGAGCCCAGGAGGAGGAGGCTGCAGTGAGCCATGATTGTGCCACTGCACTCCAGCCTGGGCGACAGAACAAGCCCCTGTCTCAAAATAACAGCAAGAAAACAAACAAAACAAAACAAGACAAAAAAACTCTACAGCTAACAGTACACTTAATGGTACAAGACTGAATGCTTTCCCCCTAGAATGGGACTAAGACAGAGACGTCCAGCTCTGTAGCCCAGGCTGGAGTGCAGGGGTGTGATCTCAGCTTACTGCAACCTCCACCTCCTGGGTTCAAGCAATTATTGTGCCCCAGCCTCCCATGTAGCTGGAATTACAGGTGTGCACCACCACGCCTGGCTAATTTTTTGGGGGTAATTTTAGTAGAGACAAGGTTTCAACATGTTGGTCAGGCTGGTCTCAAACTCCTGGCCTCAAGTGATCTGCCCACCTCAGTTTCCCGAAGTGCTAGGATTACAGATGTGAGCTACCATGCCCAGCCGACTCTCATCATTCCTTCCTTCCTTCCTTCCTTCCTTCCTTCCTTCTTTCCTTTCTTCCTTCCTTCTTTCCTTCTTTCCCTTTCTTTCTTTCTTTCTCTTTCTCTTCCTTCCTTCTTTCTCTCTTCCTTCTTTCTTTCTCTCTTTCCTTCCTTCCTTCTTTCTTTCTTTCTTTTCTTTCTTTCTTCCTTCCTTCCTTCCTTCCTTTCTTCCTTCCTTCTTTTTTCTTTTCTTTTTTTTTGACAAAATCTCACTCTGTCGCCCAGACTGGAGTGCAGTGGCACCATCTCGGCTCACTGAAACCTCCGCCTCCCGGATTCAAGTGATTCTCATGCCTCAGCCTCCCTAGTAGCTGGGATCACAGGTGCCCACCACCATGCCTGGCTAATTTTTGTATTTTGGTAGAGATGGGGTTTTACCATGTTGGCCAAGCTAGTCTCAAACTCCTGACCTCAGGTGATCCACCTGCCTCGGCCTCCCAAAGTGCTGGGATTATAGGCGTGAGCGACCACATCCAGCTGCCACTTCTATTCAATATTGTATTGGAGGTTCTAGCCAGTGCATAAGAAAAAAAAAAAGGCATCCACATTGCAAAGAAGTAAAACTGTGTTTATTCACGGGTGCCATGGTTGTCTATGTAGAAAATATTACAGAATCTACAAAAGATTGCAGGCTCCAAGAACAATATAAAACATTAATTATATTTCTATATACTAGTAACAATCTTTCAGAAATTGAAATTAGGCCAGGCATGGTGGCTCATGCCTGTAATCTCAGCACTTTGGGAGGCCAAGGCAGGCAGATCACAAGGTCAGGAGATCAAGCCCATCCTGGCTAACACGGTGAAACCCTGTCTCTACTAAAAATACAAAAAATTAGCCAAGTGTGGTGGCGGGCGCCTGTAGTCCCAGCTACTCAGGAGGCTGAGGGAGGAGAATGGCTTGAACCGGGGAAGCAGAGGTTGCAGTGAGCTGAGATGGTGCCACTGCACTCCAGCCTGGGTGACAGGCAAGACTTCGTTTCAAAAAAAAAAAAAGAAAAAAGAAAGAAAATTACAGAAAATTGTAGACATAAAAGTTTCTCTTTTACTTGTTATGAGGAAGCAGACATCCTGGGCAACATAGTGAGACCCCGTCTCTACAAAAAATAAACAATTAGCCAGGCATGGTGATGCACCTGTAATCCCAGCTACTTAGGAGGCTGAGGTAGAAGGAAAGATTGCTTGGCCCTGGGAGGTCAAGGCTGCAGTGATCTATGATTGTACCACTGCACTCCATCCAGCCTGGGCAACAGAGTGAGATCTTGTCTCAAAAATAAATAAATAAATAAATAAATAAATAAGAGAGAGAAAAAGCAGGTATGCCTGCTACTCCATAACATTTCTGTTAGAAGGCTAGATGAGGGTTGTCTCTTAAGGTCCTTAATGAAAAAGAAAAAAGACAGGTTCTTTTTTTTTTTTTTTTGAGATGGAGTCTTGCTCTGTTGCCCAGGCTGGAGTGCAGTGGTGCAATCTCGGCTCACTGCAAGCTCTGCCTCCCGGGTTCACGCCATTCTCCTGCCTCAGCCTCCCGAGCAGCTGGGACTACAGGCGCCCACCACCACGCCTGGTTAATTTTTTGTATTTTTAGTAGAGATGGGGTTTCACTGTGTTAGCCAGGATAGTCTTGATCTCCTGACCTCATGATCCACCTGCCTCGGCCTCCCAAAGTGCTGGGATTACAGGCATGAGCCGCCACATCCGGCCAAAAGACAGGGTCTTGCTATGTTGCCCAGGCTGGTCTGTAACTCCTGGGCTCAAGTGATCCTCCCATCTTGTCCACCAAAATTGCTGGGATTTCAGGTGTGAGCTACTGTGACCTGCAAGGGACCTCATCTTTGATGGAGAATTTCCCTAAAATGCTCCTTTTCTTAAATAGGGTCTCACTCTGTAGCTTGGGCTGGAGTCAGTGGCATGATCATGGCTCACTGCAGCCTTGACTTCCTGGGCTCAAGAGATCCTGCTGCCTCAGCCTCCCAAGTAGCTAACTATAGGCACACACCACCATGCCAAGCTAATTTTTTTATTTTTTGTAGAAATGAAGTATCACTGTGTTGCCCAGGCTGGTCTCAAACTCCTAGGCTCCAGTGATCCTTCTGCCTTGGCCTCCCAAAGTGTTGGGATTACAGGCATGAGCCACCACCCCCAGCCAAAATGCTGTCTGATGAGCAAGGGATGTCAATACAATACGGAATGTACCATACCTGCCAGGTTGTCCATCCTCTGCATTTTTGGTGCTGTCTCTTCCTTCCACCTGTGTGATGGTCTTAAAACATCCACAGCCGGGCACGGTGGCTGCTGGGCGCGGTGGCTCACGCCTGTAATCCCAGCACTTTGGGAGGCCGAGGTGGGCGGATCACGAGGTCAGGAGATCAAGACCATCCTGGCTAACACGGTGAAACCCCGTCTCTACTAAAAATACAAAAAATTAGTCGGGCGTGGTGCCGGGCGCCTGTAGTCCCAGCTACTTAGGAGGCTGAGGCAAGAGAATGGCGTGAACCTGGGAGGTGGAGCTTGCAGTTAGCCAAGATCACGCCACTGCACTCCAGCCTGAGCGACAGAGCAAGACTTTGTCTCAAAAACAACAACATCAACAAAAAAAAAAAAAATCCACAAACATCTAACTCTGTTTTCTTGTGAAGATCCAATTCTCTCCCCTTGAAAGTGGGCTAGACTTGGCAAATACGATGTGGCAGAAGTGACACTATGACTTCTGAGGCTGCGTGATAAGAGGTGATACGATACAGCTTATGCCTGGTTCTCTCTCTGGATGCTTGCTCCTGGGACCCAGCAGCCATCTTGTGAGGAAGCTCAAGCTACATGGAGGTGTTCCTGCCGGCAGTCCCAGTTGAGGTCCTTCAAGATGACTCCAACCCCAGCCTCCTTCTGACTTGAACCACATACGAACTGCCCCCAGTGAGAACTGTCTAGCAGAGTCCACTCTCAGAACCATGACAAGTAATAATAATAGGTTGTTGTTTATGTCAGTAACCTTGAGGTCGTTTGTTAAGTCAATTTAGGTATCTAGAGCAATCTGGACCATTTGTTTCTTCCAAAGTTCTACCTAAAAAAAAATCCCTGTCCAGGCCAGACATGGTGGCTCACGCCTGTAATGCCAGCACTTTAGGAGGCTGAGGTGGGCGGATCATAAGGTCAGGAGATTGAGACCATCCTGGCTAACGCGGTGAAACCCCATCTCTACTAAAAATACAAAAAATTACCTGGGCGTGATGGCGGGCGCCTGTAGTCCCAGCTACTCAGGAGGCTGAGGCAGGAGAATGGCGTGAACCTGGGAGGCGGAGATTGCAGTGAGCCAAGATTGAGCCACTGCACTCCAACCTGGGTGACAGAGCAAGGCTCTGTCTCAAAAAAAAAAAAAAATCCCTGTCCATACTTGAAGACCTAGCCTCGCACATGAAGTATCTCCCAGGTTCCTCCTTCCCTCCCCAGCCAGATACAATCCATTCATTCTCAGGCTCCTGCATCCCCAACCACACAGTCTAACTTGAGTTATTCTCCTCCCATCAGATTCTGGGCTCTTGAGAACAACATCTGCTTGTTTACTGCTATATAACCAGGATCCAGCACACAGCCCAGCACATAGCAGGTGCTAAGAATATAAATAAATGTGGCTGAATGTTTAAATGAATGAAGAAATGAAACAAAGATACATACTAATGCCTTCAGGCTGTGCTACATTATATAAATCTATCTAGTCCCTTCAGGGAGTGGGAGACACACTGAGACTGTTTCTTAGAAACTAAACCATGGCATATTTTCCCAATGAACAGACAATTCCCCGGAGAGGAAACAGACATCGTAAACAAACTCTTGGGGAACTGTGTGATTTGGTTAGTAATTATAGACAGGCAAATTAAAGCTACCAGCTAGCACGTGGCACAATCCCAGTTACTATTACTGCACCACAGATGACCCCAAAATGTTCAGGCTTAAAACAATCATCATGGCTGGGCGGAGTGGCTCACGCCTGTAATCCCAGCACTTTGGGAGGCCGAGGTGGGTGGATTGCTTGAGCTCAGGAGTTTGAGACCAGCCTGGGCAACATAGTGAAACACCGTCTCTACACAAAAATACAAAAATTAGCTGGACATGGTGGCACAGGCCTGTAGTCCCAGGTACTTGGAAGGCTGAGGTGGGAGGATTGCTTGAACCCAGGAGGCAGAGGTTGCACTGAGCTGAGATCATGCCACTGCACTCCAGCCTGGACAACAGAGACAGACCCTTTTTTTTTTTTTTTAATCATTTTCTTATATCTTATGGATTCTGTAGGTCAGGAGCTTGGGGCAGGGCTCCACTGGGAAGGTAGCCATTTGCCCAAGCCAAGGAGAGAGGCCTCAAGATAAATCAATCTTTCCCATATCTTTCTTGTTTTTAAGTCAGGGTCTTGCTCTGTCACCCAGGCTGGAGTGCAGTGGTGCGATCATAGCTCACTGCAGCCTCCATCTCCTGGGGTCAAGATCCTCCCACCTCAGCGTCTCAAGGAGCTGGGACCACAGGTGTACATCACTGTACCTGGCTAACTTTTTAAATTTTTTCATAGAGACGGGGTCTCGCTGCATTGCCCACACTAGTCTTGACCTCCTGGATTCAAGCAATCCCTCATGTCAGCCTCTCAAGTAGCTGGGACTACAGGCGTGCCCTACCATACTCAGCTCATTCTGCCCATATCTTGATCTTGAACTTCTAGGCTCCAGAAATGTGGAAAAATAACTTTCTGTTGTTTAAGCCACTCAACCTGTGACATTTAGCTATGACAGTCCAAGCAGACTAATACACTTACTCCTCTTCTCGTCTCTTTCCTTTTCTTTTCTTTTCTTTTTTGAGACGGAGTCTCGCTCTGTCACCCAGGCTGAAGTGCAGTGGCATGATCTCGGCTCACTGCAACCTCTGCCTCCCAGGTTCAAGCAATTCTCCTGCCTCAGCCTCCTGAGTAGCTGGAACTACAGGCGTGCACCACCACACCCAGCTAATTTTTGTATTTTGAGTAGAGACGGGGTTTCACTGTGTTGGCCAGGATGGTCTTGATCTCTTGATCTTGTGATCTGCCCGCCTCAGCCTCCCAAAGTGCTGGGATTACAGGCATGAGCCACCGAGCCCAGACTTGTTTGTTTTTTTTTTTTTTGAGATGGAGTCTCATTCTGTTGCCCAGGCTGGAGTGCAGTGGCAAGATCTCGGCTCACTGCAACCTCCACCTCCCAGGTTCAAATGATTCTCCTGCCTCAGCCTCCTGAGTACCTGGAATTACAGGCATGTGCCACCATGCACAGCTTATTTTTGTATTTTTAGTAGAGATGGGGTTTCACCATGTTGGCCAGGCTGGTCTCGAACTCCTGACCTCAGGTGATCTGCCCGCCTCAGCCTCCCAAAGTGCTGGGATTACAGGGGCGAGCTACCGCACCCAGCCGAGACCAGTGTTCTAAGTGAAGTAACTAGTAATGAAAAACCAAATACTGTGTATTCTCACATAAGTGGGAGCTAAGCTATGGGTTTGCAAAGGCATACAGAGTGAAATAATAGGTGGGACACAGTGACTCACACCTGGAATCCCAGCACTTTGGGAGGAGAAGGAGGGAGGACCATTTGAGCTCAGGAGTTTGAGACCGGCCTGGGCAGTATAGCAAGACCCCACAAGCATCTAAAAAAAATTAGCTGGGTGTTGTGGTACATGCCTCTAGACCCAGCTACTCAGGAGGCTCAGGCGGGAGGGTCACTTGAGCTCAGGAGTTCAAGCCTGCAGTGAGCTATGATTGCACCACTGCACTGCAGCCTGGACAACAGAGCAAGACCTTATCTCAAAAAATAAAAATTTAAATTAAAAAAATGGTATAATGGACAGTGGAGACTCAGAAGCGGGGAGGGAGTGGAGAGTGAGGGATAAAAAGCTACATACTGGGGCCAGACGCTGTGGTTCACACTTGTAATCCCAGCACTTTGGGAGGCCGAGGCAGGTGGATCACCTGAGGTCAGGAGTTTGAGACCAGCCTGGCCAACATGGTGAAATCCTGTCTCTACTAAAAATACAAAAATTAGCCAGGCATGGTGGCAGGCGCCTGTAATCCCAGCTACTTGGGAGGCTGAGGCAGGAGAATCACTTGACCCCAGCAGCTGGGGGTTGCAGTGAGCCGAGATCTTGCCACGGCCCTCCAGCCTGGGCAACAGAGCAAGACTCTGTCTTAAGAAAAAAAAAAAAGAAAGAAAAGAAAAGAAAAGAAAAGAAAAAAGCAAAACGAGAAAACTACGCATTGGGTACAATGTACTCTACCTGAGTGACGGCTGCGCTAAAATCCCAGGCTTCACCACTACCAATCATCCATGTAACCAAAAACAACTTGTACCCCAAAAGCTATTGAAATTAAAAAAATTTTTTTTTGTTTTTTTGTTTTGAGACGGAGTCTCGCTCCGTTGCCCAGGCTGGAGTGCAGTGGCACAGTCTCGGCTCACTGCAAGCTCCGCCTCCCGGGTTCATGACATTCTCCTGCCTCAGCCTCCGGAGCAGCCGGGACTACAGGCGCCCGCCACCGCGCCCGGCTATTTCTTTTTTTGTATTTTTAGTAGAGATGAAGTTTCACCGTGTTAGCCAGGATGGTCTCGATCTCCTGACCTCGTGATCCGCCCGCCTCGGCCTGCCAAAGTGCTGCGATTACAGGCGTGAGCCACCGCGCGCAGCCTTAAATGTTTTTTTAAGGGTCCGTTTTGTTTTATTTTGCTCCCTGGTCTAGCTCAGCTCCGGAATCGGTGCAGACACGCAATATCCTCTCAGTAGATATTTATGGAATAAATAAATCTGTCTCATCTTTGGCATTGCTATGATGGGGTCTATTTTGTCTTTTTCTCTATTTATCCCCATGTTTAAAATATTTTTTTATTAGAAAAAAAAACGGAAGTCACCTTAGGATGAAAGCGCCTCCCCTCCCAACCCCCCAGTGGGGTTTGGCATGTCTCTCGCTGTCCCCATCACCTCCCTGGCCCGTGCAGGTGGCCTGGCCGTGGTTCTGCACGGGCCGCCGCGTTTAGGCGGCACTGCAGCTAATGACACCCCGCAGCGTGTGCCTGGCTGGCCGCCCGAGATGTGCCTGCGCATGGCATGGGGACGTTTGCAAGCCTGGATCCTGGCGCGGGGGCAGGTAGCGGGAGAACAGGCACGCAGATGGCAGAGGGGCTGGGGCGGGGACGCTCGCCTGGCGTGGGCCACAGTCACGACCCAATCGTAGCCCCCACTGTGTCTCTTCATAGTTGCATCCTTGGAAACCGGCGGGGCTGCAGGAAAAAAATTAAAAATCAGATGAAAGAAAATAAAGCAGTGGAGACCTCCAGAAGGTGCCCGCCCCACAGAATAGTAGTCAGAGTGGTGCTGTGGTTACAATGTGCTTCCTGGGGTGATGACTTTATTCATTCCACAGATATTTATTATTATTATTATTATTATTATTATTATTGTTATTATTTGAAATGGAGTTTTGCTCCTGTTGCCCAGACTGGAGTGCAATGGCGCGATCTCGGCCCACCACAACCTCTCCCTCCCGGGTTCAAGCGATTCTTGTGCCTCAGCCTCCCGAGTAGCTGGGATTACAGGCATGCGCTGTCACGCCTGGTTAATTTTTGTATTTTTAGTAGAGACGAGGTTTCTCCATGTTGGTCAGGCTGGTCTCGAACTCCTGACCTCAGGTGATCCGCCCATTTCAGCCTCCCAAATTGCTGGGATTACAGACGTGAGCCACCGCGCCCAGCTTCCACGGATATTTATTGAGCACCTACTCTGTTCTAGAAACAGGAATGCAGCAGTGAACACGACAGAGAAGAGTCCCTGAACAAACATTCTAAATTTGTTAATTATACAGCAGGGTAGGTTGGAAAGTGATGTATGCTACGGGGGGAAAAATAGGCTGAAAGGATCGTCGTTCCACCTCGGCCTCCCAAAATAGTGGGATTATAGGTGTGAGCCACAGTGCTCAGTCTTAATTTTCAATATTGGCCATGATTAACAACTGGTAGGAAAAAAAAATCCTGAAAATATAACGATCAGCTCTTGTGAGTCAGTATACACCAACATCTGCACACTCTGGAGGGGTAAATTCTGTTTTGTTTGTTTGTTTTGTTTTGTTTTGTTTTGTTGAGACGGAGTCTCTCTGTCGCCCAGGCTGGAGTTCAGTGGCATGATCTTGGCTCACTGCAACTTCCCAGGGAGTTGGAAGGAGGGAGGAGGTTGGAGGGAGGAGGTTAGAGGGAGGAGGTTGGAGGGAGAGAGGAGGTTGGAGGGAGGAGGTTGGAGGGAGGAGGTTGGAGGGAGGGAGTAGGTTGGAGGGAGGGAGGAGGTTGGAGGGAGGGAGGAGGTTGGAGGGAGGAGGTTGGAGGGAGGAGGTTGGAGGGAGGGAGGAGGTTGGAGGGAGGGACGAGGTTGGAGGGAGGGAGGAGGTTGGAGGGAGGAGGTTGGAGGGAGGGAGGAGATTGGAGGCAGGAGGTTGGAGGGAGGAGCTTGGAGGGAGGGAGGAGGTTGGAGGGAGGAGGTTGGAGGCAGGAGGTTTGCTGATTTTTAGCATTTGCCCATTTCCTGTGGTGTAAATATTCAAGCCAAGAATGATTTCCAGCTACCACCAAGGAGCCATAGAACAGGGTATGGGGGCTGGGCGCGGTGGCTCACACCTGTAATCCCAGCACTTCGGGAGGCTGAGGCGGGTGGATCACAAGGTCAAGAGATAAAGACCATCCTGGCCAACATGATGAAATCCCACGTCTACTAAAAATACAAAAATTAACTGGGCGTGGTGGTGTGCGCCTGTAGTCCCAGTTACTTGAGAGGCTGAGGCAGGAGAATCATTTGAACCCGGGAGGCGGAGGTTGCAGTGAGCCGAGATCACATCCCCGCACTCCAGCCTGGTAACACAGCAAGACCCCGTCTCAAAGAACAAACAAATAAAAAAGAACAGGATAGTCGGAAGGAACGTGCAGGGGGACCCCAGCACACAGTATCCCGGTACCACTGGGCAGGTGCAGTGGACTTGAATAACCCAGGAAACATAGAACATAGTGGGACATAGTAACAAAAATAGTGAATTTGTGAGCATTTGTTATTTGTTATCTTTGTTTTTGTTGTTGTTGTTGTGTTTTGGGAGTTTTTTTGTTTTGTTTTGTTTTTTTGAGACGGAGTCTCGCTCTGTCGCCCAGGCTGGAGTGCAGTGGCGCCATCTCGGCTCACCACAACCTCCGCCTCCCTGGTTCCAGCCATTCTCCTGCCTCAGCCTCCCGAGTAGCTGGGAATGCAGGCGCCCGCCACCATGCCCAGCTAATTTTTCTATTTTTAGTAGAGACGAGGTTTCACCATGTTGGCAAGGTGGGTCTTGAACTCCTGACCTCAGGTTATCTGCCTGCCTCGGGCTCCCAAAGTGCTGGGATTGCAGGATTGAGCCACCACACTTGGCCTAAAAAACACTTTTTTTATTTTTTATTTTTATTTATTATTATTATTTTTGAGACAGAGTCTCGCTCTGTCACCCAGGCTGGTGTGCAGTGGCACGATCTCAGCTCACCGCAACCTCTGTCTCCCAGGTTCAAGCAATTCTCCTGCCTCAGCCTCCTGAGTAGTTGGGATTACAGGCGCCTACCACCACGCCTGGCTAATTTTTATAGTTTTAGTAGAGACTGCATTTCACCGTGTTGGCCAGGCTGGCCTCAAACTCCTGACCTCAGGGGATCCTCCTGCCTCAGCCTCCCAAAGTGCTGGGATTACAGACGTGAGCCATCGCACCTGGCCACAAAGCACTTTTAGACATGTTTTCTCTCTCACGCTCCTATGTTCTCATTTTACAGATGAGAAAGCTATGTTCAGGGAGCTTGGGCCACTGTCCAAAGCCATGCAGCTGTTTGGCCGTGGACTTGGTTGTTGAATCCAGGAATTCAGCTTTTAGAATTAACCTCTTGTCTGTGTTGAGAGGCAAATGGTTCGTAAAGTATTTTCACTCAAAACGCTTAGCCTCCCTACGGTGCCAAATACTATAACAGGCAAAAAGAGTGTCCCGGGGGTTGACCAAGGTCCATCTGGCTGGAGCTTCTCATGCCCCTAAATGGTCTTATGGCCAGTCCCAGGTGCACTGTGGAAGTCTCAAAAGTAGACATTTAACATGCAACTTTAAGCTGCTGTCCTGTTATTGGACCACAGTCCCTCTAATTTTTTAAAATAAATCCTGTAATTGCTTCGTGGAAAGAACAATTATATTGCAAGACACTGCCATCTGTGGAAGGACATTAAAATACAATGAAGTGGCCAGGCATGGTGGCTCACGCCTGTAATCCCAGCACTTTGGGAGGCCGAGGTGGGTGGATCACTTAAGGCCAGGAGTTCGAGACCAGCCTCGCCAACACGGTGAAACCCCATTTCTACTAAAAACACAAAAATTAGCTGGGTGTAGTGGCGCGCGCTTGTAGTCCCAGCTACCTGGGAAGCTGAGGCAGGAGAATCACTTGAACCTGGGACGTGGAGGTTGCAGCGAGACAAGATCACACCACTGAACTCCGGCCCAGGCGACAAGAGTGAAACTCCATCTCCCCCCCGCCAAAAAAAAAAAAAAAAAACTTCAGGGTATGTGTGTGTATATTTCAAATGGTTGAACTGTTCATTAAAAACATTTCAAATATGCCATGAAATCCTATTTGGAGGCATTTCTTCATGTTGTACCACACATGAGAAAGCATCAAAAAACAATTGGTGGCCAGGTGAGGTGGCTCACGCCTGTCATCCCAGCACTTTGGGAGGCCGAGGCGGGCGGATCATGAGGTCAGGAGTTCGAGACCAGCCTGACCAACATGGAGAAACCCCGTCTCTACTAAAAATACAACATTAGCCTGGCATGGTAGCACATGCCTGTAATCCCAGCTACTTGGGAGGCTGAGGCAGGAGAATTGCTTGAACCCGGGAGGTGGAGGTTGTGGTGAGCCAAGATCGTACCATTGCATTCCAGCCTGGACAATGAGAGTGAAACTCCGTCTCAAAAAAAAAAAAAAAGAAAAGAAAAAAAGAAAAAGAAAACAACAACAACAAAAAAAGAATACTTACACTCGTAGGCATTACCCAAGAGAAATGAAAACATATTTCCACACAAAGACCTGTACGCAGAAGTTTATAGCAGCTTTATTTGTAATCATCTAAAACTGGAAAGAACCATCACGTAATGGATAAAAGAATGGTGGCTCGTTCTTGCCATGGAATACAGCTCCGTAATAAAAGGCAACGAACTGCTAATACACGTAACAGCATAGATGCATCTTGAATGCATTGTGCTGAATGAAAGCTGCAGACCCCAGAGGCCGCATACTGCATTTTTCCGTTTCTGTGCTGTTAGTATGAAACGCAGAGAACAGATCAGCAGTTACCAGTGGCTGCGGGTGGACAAAGGCGTTGATCAACAGGGCATGAGATAACATTCTTTTTTTTTGAGACGGAGTCTCGCTCTGTCGCCCAGGCTGGAGTGCAGTGGCGCGATCTCGGCTCACTGCAAGCTCTGCCTCCCGTGTTCACGCCATTCTCCTGCCTCAGCCTCCCGAGTAGCTGGGACTACAGGCGCCTGCCACCACGCCCGGCTAATTTTTTGTATTTTTAGTAGAGACGGGGTTTCACCGTGTTAGCCAGGATGGTCTCGATCTCCTGACCTCGTGATCCACCCATCTCGACCTCCCAAAGTGCTGGGATTACAGGCGTGAGACACCGCGCCCGGCCGGCATGAGATAACAATTCTGAATGAAGACGCTGTTGAACATCTTGGTTGTGATACTGGCTACATAGCTGCATGTTTGTCACACCTGTTCTCTTTATTTATTTTTATTTATTTATCTTAGAGACAGGGTCTCCCTCTGTCACCCAGGCTGAAGTACAATGGTGCAATCACGGCTCACTGCAGCCTTGACCTCCTAGGTTCAAGCGATCCTCCCACTTCAGCCTCCCGAGTAGCTGAGACAACAGGTGCACGCTACCACGCCCGGCTAATTTTTCTATTTTTGTAGAGATGTGCTATGTTTCCCAGGCTGGTCTCGAATTCCTGGGTTCAAGCAATCCTCCCACCTCAGCCTCCCAAAGTGCTGAGATTACAGGTGTGAGTCACCTTGCCCGGCCAAACCTGTCCTCTTTATTAAAAATGCATTTTATTGTATATATATTACACCTCGAATAAACTTTAAAAATAAAGAATTCGGGTCACCAAAGATTTCTTTTTCATAATATAATTCATTGTTGTCAAAAAATGCCAGGGAATGGATCACCTTACAACTGCTAGAATAGCTATCATCAAAAAGACGAAAGGTAACAAACGTTGGCAAGGATTTGAAGAGAACACTTATACACTACTGATGGTAATTTTAATTAGTATAGCCATTATAGAAAATGGTATGGAAGTTCCAAAGAAAAATTTAAAAATAAAACTACCAGGTGATCCAGGAATCCCACTTCTGGGTCTTTATCCAAAGGAATTGAAGTCAGCACGTCAGGCCGGGCATAGTGGCTCACGCCTGTAATTCTAGCACTTTGGGAGGCTGAGGCGGGCGGATCTCCCAAGGTCAGGAGTTCGAGACCATCCTGGCCAACATGGCGAAACCCGTCTCTACCAAAAATACAAAAATTAGCCGGGCGTGGTGGTGGATGTCTGTAGTCCCAGCTACTCGGGAGGCTGAGGCACGAGAATCACTTGAACCCGGGAGGCAGAGGTTGCAGTGAGCCGAGATTGCGGCATTGCCCTCCAGCCTAGGCAACAAGAGCGAGACGCTGTCTCAAAAACAAAAACCAAAACCAAAAAACCCCACAAAGTTATTGAAAGAAATAAATAAAAATAAATACGTAAATAAAAGAAGGAAATTCTGACACATACTAGAATATACATAAATGTATGTAAATGAATAAATGAATATATGAATGTGAGAATAAGAAGTGAGCGCGTCATTTTTTACCGTTCTCCCAGCTCAAAACGTTTTCGCCCCGTCCAGCTTTTCGGCCTCCTCCGGGCGCCCCCTGCCGGTGGGCCGCTTGCCCGTGCTCCAAGCCCAAAACAGACGCGTCCCCTCTAGTCGCTTTTAGCCTTCGGTCTCGGTCCTGATTGGCTCAGAGTCGCTCGTGATCCCTTTTGGGAAATGTAGTCCTTAAGGGTATCGCGCCTGCTTTTTCTATACGCTCTGACGCAGAGATAGCCACGGGAAGTACGTCACCAAATTTCGCCGGTTCCCACAAGCTAGGTCGTGTGACGCTGCATGACGGGAATTGTAGTCCTCAAATTGCTAGCTTCCGATGCCATGCGCTGCGACTGGAACGCCAATTCCCACCATGCCGCGCGCTCACAGCTCTCAGGGGCTGTCCTGTGGCCTTTGGGGAAGTGTAGTCTTGAGCCCCCAAGATTCCTTTTCTGTTCTATGGAGTGGGCCCGCGCAAAGGACTCCATTTCCCGGCGTGCTGCCATCCGTCGGGTCGCGGCAGCCATTTTGTTCCGCCCGAGGAGACCCTAAGATGGCGGCGAGGGGGACGGTGAAGGTTGCCTCCCGCCCGTCCGGGCTCTGATCCTCCGTCTCCCCGTCCCCCGGCGGCCGGCCCATGGCCTGGCGGAGGCCCGAACCATGGACCTCCGCACCGCCGTGTACAACGCCGCCCGTGATGGCAAGCTGCAGCTGCTCCAGAAGCTGCTCAGCGGCCGGAGCCGGGAGGAACTGGACGAGCTGACGGGCGAGGTGGCCGGCGGGGGAACGCCGCTACTCATCGCCGCCCGCTACGGCCACCTGGACGTGGTGGAGTACCTGGTGGACCGGTGCGGCGCGAGCGTGGAGGCCGGTGGCTCGGTGCACTTCGATGGCGAGACCATCGAGGGCGCGCCGCCGCTGTGGGCCGCCTCCGCAGCCGGCCACCTGGACGTGGTGCGGAGCCTGCTGCGCCGCGGGGCCTCGGTGAACCGCACCACGCGCACCAACTCCACGCCTCTCCGCGCCGCCTGCTTCGACGGCCACCTGGAGGTGGTGCGCTACCTGGTCGGCGAGCACCAGGCCGACCTGGAGGTGGCCAACCGGCACGGCCACACGTGCCTCATGATCTCGTGCTACAAGGGCCACCGTGAGATCGCCCGCTACCTGCTGGAGCAGGGCGCCCAGGTGAACCGGCGCAGCGCCAAGGGCAACACGGCCCTGCATGACTGCGCCGAGTCCGGCAGCCTGGAGATCCTGCAGCTGCTGCTGGGGTGCAAGGCCCGCATGGAACGTGACGGCTACGGCATGACCCCGCTGCTCGCGGCCAGCGTGACGGGCCACACCAACATCGTGGAGTACCTCATCCAGGAGCAGCCCGGCCAGGAGCAGGTCGCAGGGGGAGAGGCTCAGCCTGGGCTGCCCCAAGAAGACCCCTCCACCAGCCAGGGGTGTGCGCAGCCTCAGGGGGCTCCGTGCTGCAGCTCCTCCCCAGAGGAACCACTGAACGGGGAATCTTACGAAAGCTGCTGTCCCACCAGCCGGGAAGCTGCCGTGGAAGCCTTGGAATTGCTGGGAGCTACGTATGTGGATAAGAAACGAGATCTGCTTGGGGCCCTTAAACACTGGAGGCGGGCCATGGAGCTGCGTCACCAGGGGGGCGAGTACCTGCCCAAACCGGAGCCCCCACAGCTGGTCCTGGCCTATGACTATTCCAGGGAGGTCAACACCACCGAGGAGCTGGAGGCGCTGATCACCGACCCGGATGAGATGCGCATGCAGGCCCTGTTGATCCGGGAGCGCATCCTCGGTCCCTCGCACCCGGACACTTCCTATTACATCCGTTACAGGGGTGCCGTGTACGCCGACTCGGGCAATTTCGAGCGCTGCATCCGCTTGTGGAAGTACGCCCTGGACATGCAACAGAGCAACCTGGAGCCTCTGAGCCCCATGACCGCCAGCAGCTTCCTCTCCTTCGCGGAACTCTTCTCCTACGTGCTTCAGGACCGGGCCGCCAAAGGCAGCCTGGGCACCCAGATCGGCTTTGCAGACCTCATGGGGGTTCTCACCAAAGGGGTCCGGGAAGTGGAACGGGCCCTGCAGCTGCCCAGGGAGCCCGGAGACTCAGCCCAGTTCACCAAGGCGCTGGCCATCATCCTCCACCTGCTCTACCTGCTGGAGAAAGTGGAGTGCACCCCCAGCCAGGAGCACCTGAAGCACCAGACCGTCTACCGCCTGCTCAAGTGCGCGCCCAGGGGCAAGAACGGCTTCACCCCTCTGCACATGGCTGTGGACAAGGACACCACAAACGTGGGCCGCTATCCCGTGGGCAGATTCCCCTCCCTGCACGTGGTCAAAGTGCTGCTCGACTGCGGGGCCGACCCGGACAGCAGGGATTTTGACAACAACACCCCGCTACACATAGCAGCCCAGAACAACTGCCCGGCCATCATGAATGCCCTGATCGAAGCAGGGGCCCACATGGACGCCACCAATGCCTTCAAGAAGACGGCCTACGAGCTGCTGGACGAGAAGCTGCTGGCCAGGGGTACCATGCAGCCCTTCAACTACGTGACCCTGCAGTGCCTTGCGGCCCGGGCCCTGGATAAGAACAAGATCCCTTACAAGGGCTTCATCCCGGAAGATCTGGAGGCGTTCATCGAACTGCACTGACCTGCCCAGAACGCCTGCACCCTCACCTCTCCCCTCTCCTGCTGAGATGGGGGAAATCCGGCTGCGGCATAGCAGATGCTCGTTCTTGCCTCCTTCAGGCACCAATCAGGAGAAGGGTTCTGCCTCCCATCCCCTCTACCTGCAGACAGGGTCGGAGGTGTTAGCGAGCCTTTGGTGCTAGAAGCCTGCGGGGTCATGTGCTAAGAGGACAGTCTTTCTCCGGGAGCCCGCTCACTCATTCTGAGTTAGGAAAAGACACAAGACCTTCCCCACATCCTGTCTGCCTGGGTTAGGGAGGCCTTTGCCTTGTTACCTAGAGGCGGAGGGACTGAAGCCATTGCGTTCCTTCCCTGCTAGAAACACAGGAAGAAGTTGAGGACTGTCTGCCTTCCCTCGTCCCTTTACCTGGCCAGATAACTCCAGCCGCTGAATACAGTGTTAGGACTGGGGGCTCCTGAGATGAGAGTTTGAGATTCAGGGAATGAGACCACCTCTCATTTCTTCCAGCATGATCGCGCCCTGCTCCCGTGCCACCGTAGTCCCTGGCAGACAGGCAGGGCTCTGCCCAGGGCAGCCTGCCACTTGCATAGCTTTCGGTTGGTTTGGTGTTCTGTTTATTTAATAAGTGGGCAGGTTGCAAGCGTTGCACAGAAATTCTGAGATTTTACTGCCTTTTTTTTTTTTTTTAAGAAAGTTGTTTGTTGGACTCCATAAGTGAATTTCAAGCAGTGAGGATTTTGTGGTGCCTGAGATGGCCGAGGGCACAGGGAGTGAGCTGTATGTGTGAGGAATTTGGTGAGCGAGATAAAAGTCCACGGTGTCAACCCCTAAAACATGGGTGACCGTACATTTTTATACATCTCCACTCTACGGCCTTTTACAGGCTTTCCGATTTTACAGGCCTTTCCAAGTTTCCATTCTCCTTAGAGAGAGAACTGTGCTTCCAAACAGAAATCAGGAGTGACCACAAAGCCTGAAAACACTTTGCCACCCAGCAAAGAACTGGCACAATTGGTTTGGGTCTGCATTGCCATAGTGCCCGAGTTAAAACTGCAGGCCACTCTGCCTTGCAGTGGCCTCTGATTTCATTGTGGGTGCATCCACAGGTGGCCCGAGCTGTTCTTTCAGCTGCTCCAAGGATTGAGACCCAAGTCATCATGAAAAAGGCCCAAGTACAGTCTTAATGCGATAAATCCACTAGCTAAGACGTCGAGTGCCAAGACCAGCCTTCCAGCCGAGGTTTGGACAAAGTCTCAGGTTCCCGTGACTCAGGGTAAGGTGCTGGGGCTGCCAGAGGACCTGCCCCAGCAAGATTTTTGTCAAGAGCGAGACTCCATCAGCCCAGGCAGACGGGAGCAGGTTCTTGGCCAGCGTAGACAGCAGCAAACAGCAGCAGGGAAGCCATTCTCACTGCATCCTCCCTGCAGTAGCCACGGCCAGGCCCTTAGGAGGAGCAGTGACCGGGGGTGTCCAGAAATATCCTGTCCCTGGATGGAAACTAGGTCTCGTTTGGATTTTTTTTTTTTTTTGCCGTGTTAGGAAATTATTTATTAATTTACAAGACAGGTTTTAACTCAGCCGAGGTGGGAAATGGTGTCCCTGTCCCTCCCAAAGCACAGAGCACAGAAATGAGGCCGTTTACATGGCGAGTCTCCGTGCTGGTGTTTAAGTCATTAAAAAGATACTCAAAGAGAATGGCCTGCCTGATGCGTCCTTGGCGTGGGTTAACTGGGGAAGTCGGAGGTGGGTGAGTCAGTCCATGGCATTGGTGTGAGTGAACAGAGAGCCCTAGGGCCACCTCCCCTAGCCAGAGGGGTTTCTGTGTTACATACTGGGGCTTTTTTTTTTTTTTTGAGACAGAGTCTCACCCTGTCCCCCAGGCTGGAGTGCAATGGCGCGATCTCAGCTCACTGCAACCTCTGCCTCCTGGGTTCAAACAATTCTGCTTCAGCCTCCTGAGTAGCTGAGATTACAGGCACCTGCCACTATGCCCAGCTAATTTTTGTATTTTCTGTAGAGGCAGGTTTTGCCATGTTGGCCAGGCTGGTCTCAAACTCCTGAACTCAAGCGATCCTCCCACCTCAGCCTCCCAAAGTGCTGGAATTACAAGCATGAACCACTGCACCTGGCCTCTATGTTACATACTGGGGCTTTGTGTAAAATTTCATTTGAAAAACAGTATGTTGCTCTTTGAAAAAAAGCCTGGGCAACATAGTGAGAGCCTGTCTTTACAAAAATAAAAAATAGGCTGGGTACGGTGGCTCACATCTGTAATCTCAGCACCTTGGGAAGCCTGGGCAACATAGTAAGACCTCTGTCTCTACATTTTTTTTTTTTTTTTTTTTGAGATGGAGTCTTGCTCTGTCACCCAGGCTGGAGTGCAGTGACGCCATCTCGGCTCACTGCAACCGCTGCCTCCCGGGTTCAAGTGATTCTCCTGCCTCAGCCTCCTGAGCATCTGGGACTACAGGCATACACCACCATGCCTGGCTAATTGTGTATTTTTAGCAGAGACGGGGTTTCACCATATTGGCCATGCTGGTCTCAAACTCCTGACCTTGTGATCCACTCGCCTCGGCCTCCTAAAGTGCTGGGATTATAGGTGTGAGCCACCACGCCTGGCCCTTTTTTGTTTTCCTTTATCTGCCATCTCATCTCACCTCCTTGTGTAAACTTGTTCCATTCTAAAATTCTGGTTTTCTCCATATCAGAACAGTCAAACCCCCACCAGAAAGCACCACCCCGTTAGCTGGGTCCATGGGATTTTGCTGAGCCCCTGCCATGTGCCAGGCAGGTTTCAGGCCCCCTTGGGGATAAGGATTGAGCTGTCGATATGAACGTCCGGTTAATCCCTGTGCGCCCGCCTCACGTGGCAGTGGGGAGAGGCCCTGCTGTGGGGCACCGCATGCTGCTTCCATGGTGCATTGGGTTGGAGGGCTCTTCTCCCGAGGGTGGGTGTCTCCCATCTCTTGCCTTCACACACCTGCTGTCTTGTTTCATTTGGGACTGGACAGTCCCACAGGTGACAGCTGTTGGGCTGTTGTATGCCTGTTTGGTGTTGCATCAAAGGAGTGGGTTTGAATCAGCAGGTGCTCTCAAAGCTGTCTCCTGGGAGACACAGTACTAGTGAGCATTTATTGAGCACCTACTGTATGCCAGGCACCATTTTCTGTGGTTAAATGCACTGCCTGTTTACACAACAGCCCTCTAAAGGAGGAAAAACATATCAGAGTCCCATGGATGGAAGAAAAATAATGAAGTAGGAAAAACGGCCCTCTTAAGATGAAGGTCATCTTTTTTTTTTTTTTTTTTTTTTTTTGAGACGGAGTCTCTGTCGCTCAGGCTGGAGTGCAGTGGTGTGATCTCGGCTCACTGCAAGCTCAGCCTCCCGGGTTCACACCATTCTCCTGCCTCAGCCTCCCGAGTAGCTGGGACTACAGGCACCTGCCACCATGCCCGGCTAATTTTTTGTATTTTTAGTAGAGATGGGGTTTCACCGTGTTAGGATAGTCTTGATCTCCTGACCTCATGATCCGCCCACCTCGGCCTCCCAAAGTGCTGGGATTACAGGCATGAGCCACCGCACCCGACCAGATGAAGGCCATCTTAAAGCTCAACCAGTTTCAGGTGAGGGCTGATCCAGCAGATCCCAATTATTCCTAAAGACCTGGTTGATAGCTCCCTTGAGACTGGGGTGGGGTGGGTGTCCCAAGATGACCGCCAGCAGAAAAGAGAGCATCTTTCTCCCAGTCAAAAGCCAAAGTAGGACCTATCTAAAGTAAGTCCTGGCCGGGCACGGTGGCTCACACCTGTAATCCCAGCACCTTGGGAGGCTGAGGCTGGAGGATCGCTTGAGCCTGGGAGTTTGAGACCATCATGGGCAGCAAAGTGAGATCCTGTCTCTACAAAAAAAAAAAAAAAAAAAAATTAGCCATGTGTAGTGATATGTAGTCCCAGCTGCTACTGGGGAGGCTGAAGCAGGAGGATTGATTGAGCCCAGGAGTTTGAGGCTGCAGTGAGCCTTAATGGCACCATCACACTCCAGCCTGGGCAACAGAGTGAGACCCTGTTTCAAAAAAACAAAGCAGGGCCGGGCGCAGGGGCTCACGCCAGTAATCCCAGCACTTTGGGAGGCCAAGGCGGGCGGATCACGAGGTCAGGAGATCGAGACCATCCTGGCTAACACGGTGAAACCCCGTCTCTACTAAAAATACAAAAATTAGCCGGGTGTGGTGGCAGGTGCCTGTAGTCCCAGCTACTCCGGAGTCTGAGGCAGGAGAATGGCGTGAACCCGGGAGGCGGAGCTTGCAGTGAGCCGAGATCGCACCACTGCACTCCAGCCTGGGCGACAGAGCGAGACTCCGTCTCAAAAAACAAACAAACAAACAAACAAAACAAAGCAGGTCCGGTATGGCAGGCGGGGGAACTGAGGCTACTAAGAGACATTAAGATGCTTAAGGACAGCCGGGCGCGGTGGCAGACGCCTGTAATCCCAGCACTTTGGGAGGCTGAGGCGGGCGGATCACGAGGTCAGGAGACCAAGACCATCCTGGCTAACACGGTGAAACCCCGTCTCTCTACTAAAAGCACAAAAAATTAGCCAGGCATGGTGGTGGGCGCTTGTAGTCCCAGCTACTCGGGAGGCTGAGGCAGGAGAATGGTGTGAACTCAGGAGGCGGAGCTTGCAGTGAGCCGAGATCGCACCACTGCACTCCAGCCTGGGCGACAGAGCACAAGACTCCATCTCAAAAAAAAAAAAAAGAAAGAAAAATGCCTAAGGACACAGCGCATGAAGGAAGGGTCGAGATTGGAACCCAGGACCGTCAGAGTTCATACCTTGTGCTGATTCTCCATCCGGGACGCCAGACACATGGATCCCTTTCCCCTGCTTTCTGGTGTTGTTTTGGCACAAGCTCTCCCATCCCTGGGGCAGGTGGCCATCCTGCCTCCGCATCCTGAGCGTCTGTTTCCCTCGGGGATCTGCCAGACTCAGCCCCCTAACCCCAAGAAAATCACTCACAAAAATCATCTGAGCTAAATGCTTGCTTTGAAAGCTCAGACCTGGGGATTGTAACTTTAGCCTCATACCTTCTAATGAAGGCCATCTTAAAGCTCTACCAGTTTCAGCTGAGGGCCGATCCAGCAGATCCCAGTTGTTCCTAAAGACCTGGTTGCTAGCTCCTCTGAGACTGGGGTGGGGTGGGTGTCCCAAGGTGATGACCAGGAGAAAAGAGAGCGTCTTCCTCCCAGTCACATCCCAAGATTCGTGACCGAGCGCGGTGGCTCACGCCTGTAATTCCAGCACTTTGGGAGACCGAGGCAGGTGGATCACGAGGTCAGGAGTTCGAGACCAGCCTGGTCAACATGGTGAAACCCTATCTATTCTAAAAATACAAAAAATTAGCCAGGCACGGTGGCAGGCACCTGTAATCCCAGCTACTTGGGAGGCTGAGGAAGGAGAATCGCTTGAACCCGGGAGATGGAGGTTGCAGTGAGCCGAGATTGCACCACTGCACTCCAGCCTGGGCAACAGAGCAAGACTCTGTCTCAAAACAAAACAAAACAAACAAACAAACAAACAAACAAAAAACTAAAAACATCAAGATACGCTCTGATTGGACCAGCCTGGGTCCCATGTTCTTCCATGACCCAATCCTAGTAGCCCAGGAGTGGGATGTGCCAATTGGCTTGGCCTGAGGAGGGCCCCCAGAGGGTCTGTAATCCATGTGTAACTGGAGTTGCTGTAAAATGGGGCCATCTGGCTGGGTGCGGTGGCTCACGCCTGTAATCCCAACACTTTGGGAGGCCGAGGCGGGCGGATCACGAGGTCAGGAGATCAAGACCATCCTGGCTAACACGGTGAAACCCCGTCTCTACTAAAAATACAAAAAATTAGCCGGGCGTCGTGGCAGGCGCCTGTAGTCCCAGTTACTCGGGAGGCTGAGGCAGGAGAGTGGCGTGAACCCGGGAGGCGGAGTTACAGTGAGCCGAGATCGCGCCACTGCACTCCAGCCTGGGTGACATAGCAAGACTCTGTCTCAAAAAAAAAAAAAAAAAAAAAAAAAAAAATGGGGCCATCAATGCCATGGAGGGTAGCAAAAAATGTTCACAATAGTAAAATGACTACCTGCCGTTGATCAGTGAAGAAAAAAGCTCAGAGAGCTCAAGTGGAGTACCTAAGGCCACACAGCCAAGAGGGAGAGCCAAGTCGTTTGTGGTTAAATGTCCTGCCTGTTTACACAGCAGCCCTCTAAAGGCGGAAAAACATGTCAGAGTCCCATGGACGGGAGAAAAATAAGAATAATAATAAAGTAGGAAAAACAGCCCTCTTAAGAGGAAGGCCATCTTAAAGCTCTACCAGCTTCAGGTGAGGGCTGATCCAGCAGATCCCAGAGAAACAGGCTCACAGAGAGGGGAGGGGGCTTGTCTAAGCTTACCCAGCCCGGAAGCATCGGGGTCAAAGCTTAACCCCCTGCTGGAAGGTGTCGAGAGCCAGGCAGCCAAGCCTGACCTGGGAGATGGGGAAGTGGGGGCCCCCCCAAGCTCGCCGACTGCCCTTCCCAGCCTGCTGCCAGTCTGATTCCACAGAACTGAAGTCGGGACCTGGAGTTCTGCTCATTCGCTCATCTACTCAGTGACTTTCTTAGACCCTCCCCAGCACTTTGAGGGTGTCAGTCACTGCTGCGTCCTCAGCACCCACGCCAGGGTCTGTCCCACGCCAGGTGGCCTGTAAATATGGGCTGAGCAAGCGAACAGTGAACGAGTTGGGAATTCACATCCTCCTCTGACTACTTGGGGCAGCAGCAGGGGACACAAGCAGGCCCCTATGGCTTTGCCAGACCCCGGGTGCCGCCGCCCCCATGGAATTGCAGGACTGTTATCTGAGCAACGTCGACGGGGGAGAACACCCCTGCCCGAGGTTAAAGATAGCACCGCTCGAATCACATCACAGGCCGAAAAGGCCAGATGACCCACCAGGGACATTGAATCCGTGTCCCGAGAGGGGTGGGGCGGGGGTGTGGATTCCTGCGGGGAGCTTCGGGACTGGAAAAAACAGAGGGTGCTCTGACCGAGTGTTTACCAAAACATGTATTAGGCAAGACCCGGGCCGAATGTGGGTGGCACCGCCCCTGTGCTGGGCCAGGAGAATGTGCCCGCACCGGTCCCAGATCCTGTTTCCCCAGTGGGTTGTACAAGACACCTTGAACTTCTGCATGAACTGGGACATTCAGAATTCCCTGGAGCAACCCCCTCCCTCCACCCTGTGCCTTGATATCTCCTATTAAAGCTTGTGTTTGAATGTCTGTTAATAGACATGATTTAATTATTGATATTAATTCAAATGTATTAATTTGAATTATTAACTTATTAATCATTTGATGTCGATTAAAGCAATGATCTTGATCCAATGTCATCTCCTCCATGAAGTCTTCCTGGATTATCTAAGGTGCAGCCCCACAGCCAGGGACAGTGGTTCATGCCTATAATCCCAGCATTTTGGGAGGCTGAGGTGGGAGGGTTGGTTGAGCCCAGGAGTTCGAGACCAGCCTGGACAACTTAGTGAGACCCACTCCCCTCATCTCTACAAGAAATATATAAAAATTAGCTGGGTGTGGTGGTGTGCACCTGTGATCCCAGCTGCTCAAGAGACTGAGGTGGGAGGATTGCTTGAGCCCAGGAGGTGGAGGCTGTAGTGAGCTGTGATTGCACCATTGCACTTCAGCCTGGGTGACAGAGAGAGACCGTCTCTAAACAAACAAACAAACAAATAAATAAATACGAGTTGAATGGCATTTACATTTTTTTTTTTTTTTGAGACGGAGTCTCACTGTCGCCCAGGCTGGAGTGCAGTGGTGCGATCTCCGCTCACTGCAAGCTCCGCCTCCCAGGTTCACGCCATTCTCCTGCCTCAGCCTCCCGAGTAGCTGGGACTACAGGCGCCCGCCACCACGCCCGGCTAATTTTTGTATTTTTAGTAGAGACGGGGTTTCATCATGTTAGCCAGGATGGTCTCGAGCTCCTGACCTCATGATCCGCCCGCCTCAGCCTCCCAAAGTGCTGGGATTACAGGCGTGAGCCACTGCGCCTGGTCAGCATTTACATTTTTAATGGCTTTTACATTTTTTAATGTAGATATAATTTGCAAAACATAAAATTCACCATTTTAACATGGATAATTCAGGGGCTTTTAGTACATTTACAAGGCTGTACAACCATCACCAAGATCTAATTCCCAAAAAATAAAGGTTGATTTTCAAAGCCTATTTAAAGAAAAATATTAACTGGCTCAAGCAATAGAAAATATATTAAAGAGCCAGCCACAATGGCATGTGCCTATAATCCCAGCCACTTAGGAAGGTGAGATGAGATCATCACTGAAGGCCCAGAGTTCAAGACTAGCCAACATAGCAAGACCCCATCTCTTAAAAGAAAAAAGAAAAGAAAATACATTGATTTTGGCCAGGTGTGGTGGCTCACGCCTGTAATCCCAGCACTTTGGGAGGCCGAGGCGGGAGAATCACTTCAGGTCAGGAGTTCAAGACCAGCCTGGCCAACATGGGCGAAACCCCGTCTCTACTAAAAATACAAAATTAGCTGGGTGTGGTGGTGCATGCCTGTCATCCCAGCTACTCGGGAGGCTGAGGCACGAGAATCGCTTGAACCCAGGAAGCAGTGGTTGCAGTGAGCCAAGATCGTGCCATTGCACTCCAGCCTGGGCGACAGAGTAACACTTTGTCTCAAAATAAATAAATAAATAATAAAAAATAAAAATAGAGACAGGGGTCTCACTGTGTTGGCCAGGCTGGTCCCAAACTCCTGGGCTTAAGCGATCCACCTCAGCCTCCCGAAATATGGGGATTACAGGAAAGAGCCACTGCGCCCAGACACTCCTTTTCCTGGGAAGATAAAAAGTTTTGCAGCTTCCCTTGGAAACTGGAAACCGTGGCAGCCTCCCAGGGCTATAATAAGGCCACAGCCAGTGAACAGGTTAAAAATAAAAGATCCCCGCCCAGGGGCACTTGGGGATGGCATTTGTGAGCCCAGGCAAACCCCAGGGCTGCAGCGAGACACTCTTGGGGGAGGGGACTGGAGAAGAGCCTGCTGTGTGGCCTCAGGCTGGCATCTGCCCCCTCTGGGCTCCAATTGGGCTGGAAACAACATTAGACAGTGATTTCCAAAGATCCCACACCTGCGCACCCCTGACGATTAACTCTGGCTTTAATTTGTCTCTGAGGGGCCTTTCTGGCTCATCCTAGTCCCGGCCTTGCAGTCTCATTGTGTGACTTTGCAAAGCGACACTACCTCTCTGTGCCTCAGTTTCTCCATCTGCACAATGGGGCAAAGAAAGCCCTGGTGACCTGCCGATGGGGATAGGTATTTGGCTGTCATTATTGTTGCAATGTATTATTTATCTATTTATTTATTTTTATTTTTATTTTTATTTTTTGAGACGGAGTCTCGCTCTGTTGCCCAGGCTGGAGTGCAGTGGCGCGATCTCAGCTCACTGCAACCTCTGCCTCCTGGGTTCAAGTCATTCTCCTGCCTCAGCCTCCCGAGTAACTGGGACTACAGGCACCCGCCACCACACCTGGCTGATTTTTTGTGTTTTTAGTAGAGACGGGTTTTCACCGTGTTAGTCAGGGTGGTCTGGATCTCCTGACCTCATGATCCGCCCGCCTCGGCCTCCCAAAGTGCTGGAATTACAGGCGTGAGCCACCATGTCCGGCCTATTTATTTATTTTTGAGGTGGAGTCTTGCTCTGTCACCCAGGCTGGAGTGCAGTGGTGACATCTCGGCTCACTGCAATCTCCACCTCCCGGGTTCAAGTGATTCTCCTGCCTCAGCCTCCCGAATAGCTGGGACTACAGGTGCCTGCCACCACGCCTGGCTAATTTTTGTATTTTTAGTTGAGATGGGGTTTCACCATGTTGGCCAGGCTGGTCTTGAACTCCTGACCTCAGGTGATCCACCCACCTCGACCTCCCAAACTGCTGGGATTACAGGCGTGAGCCACCGCACCAGGCCTATTATTGCAATTTACAGAGGGACGAGGGGGCTGTTGGCATGGCTGGGGACTGGGCACTTTTCAGGGAGCCCCCTTTGGGCTCTCTCTTTGGAGCAGGCCCGGGAAAGAGGGACCGTCCCCTCCTCAGCCGGGGTCGGGAGAGGCTGGAACCGCTGTCCGATGGTGCCCTCTGGTGACACTGTTGGCTCATTGCGGCACCTTCTGGGTCCCCACAGATAGTTCATGCGCCCCCTGCCTCCAGGCTTGGGGGACACAAGGCCTGCACCACGGTGGGCCACACTGGCTCCCCTCGGTCCCTCGGAGGGTCCACGCTCCCTCCTACCCCTCAGGGTTGTTACCTGTGCCATGCCCTCCACCTGGAGTGCCCTTTCCTTCCTGGGGGCTGCAGAGAGCTCTGAGCACTACTGGTGGGTTCAGGTCCCTGTCCCCGGGTCCCCACCCCCTATTACTTCTGCATCCCCATCACACCCAGGGCAAGCCCACACGAGACCACCCATTCCTGTGTCTGCCTCCCCTTGGAGCTGTGAGCCCTATGAGGGCAGCAACGGGATCCGTCCCAGAAAACAGCGTTCACTCGATCTGAAGCCATCCCAGGCATACAGTAGATGCTCAATACACACTGCTCAACGAGGGAATGAACGGATAATGGGGGGAATGAACAAAATACACCGGCTAGCAGGAAGCGAACGTGGAATCGAGAAACGGAAAAACTGACTTGAGGCCAGGCGCAGAGGCTCATGCCTGCAGTCCCAACACTGGAAGGCCAAGGCGGGAGGATTGCTTGAGCCCAGGAGTTCGAGACCAGCCTGGGCAACATGGTGAAACTCCATCTCTACAAAAAATGTAGGGCCGGGCACAGTGGCTCACGCCTGTATTCCCAGCACTTTGGGAAGATGAGGCAGGTGAATCATTTGAGGTCAGGAGTTCGAGACCAGCCTAGCCAACATGGTGAAATACCGTCTCTACTGAAAATACAAAAAAATTAGCTGCGTGTGGTGGCACATGCCTGTAATCCCAGTTACTCAGGAGGCTGAGATGGGAGGATTGCTTGAGCCTGGGAGGTCCAGGCCGCAGTGAGCTGTGATCGCACCACTGCACTTCAGCCTGAGCAACAGTGAGACCCTGTCTCAAAAAAAAAAAAAAAGCAGCTGGGCATGGTGGTGCATGTTTGTAATCCCAGCACTTTGCGAGCCTGAGGCTGAGCTGGACAGATTACTTGAACCCAGGAGTTTGAAACCAGCCTGGGCAACACAGCAAAACCCCATCTTTACAAAAATTACCTGGGTGTGATGGTGTGCACCTGTGGTCCCAGCTACGCAGGAGGCTGAGGTGGGAGGATTGCTTGGCCTGGAAGTGTTGAGGCTGCAGTGAGCTGTGATCAGACCACTGCATTCCAGCCTGGGTGACAGAGTGGGACCTTGTTTCAAAAATAAATAAATAAATAAATTAATTAATTAATTAATTAATTTTTAAAAAGACTTGGGCATCCACCGGGTGTGGTGGCTCACACCTGTCATCCCAGCACTTTGGGAGGCCGAGGCGGGTAGATCATTTGAGGTCAGGAGCTCGAGACCAGCCTGACCAACACAGTGAAACACTGTCTCTACTAAAAATACAAAATTAGCTGGGCATGGTGGCGTGTGCCTGTAATCCCAGCTACTTGGGAGGCTGAGGCAGGAGAATCACTTGAACCCGGGAGGCAGAGGTTGCAGTGAGCCGAGATAGCACCACTACACTCCAGCCTGGGCAACAAGAGTGAAACTCCATCTCAAAAAAAAAAAAAAAAAAAAAAGACTTGGGGATCAATTCAAATTCAAACATTTATTGAGCATCTGCTATAGACCATACCTTGGGATCCCACAATAAAGCCCACGGACAGGCAGACCATAGACATGTGGGCCATGAATAAGTTGATTGTATTTGTCTCAAACTCCAAAGTGCTGTGGAAAGATGAAGCCTATTCAGGGGATCTGGTGGGTTCTGTTTTGAATGAATTATATTATATTATATTATATTATATTATATTATATTATATTAATTTTTATTTTTTTGAGACAGGGTCTTGCTCTGTCACCCAGGCTGGAATGCGGTGGTATGATCTCGGCTCACTGCAACCTCTGCCTCCCAGGTTCAAGCAATCCTCCTGCCTCAGCCTCCTGAGTAGCTGGGATTACAGGCGTGAGCCACAGTGCCCGGCCAATTTTATTTAATTTTTTAATTTTTTTTTTTTACAGGTACCACCAGGCCCAGCTAATTTTTTGTATTTTTGTTAGAGATGGAGTTTCACCATGTTGGCCAGGTTGGTCTTGAACTCCTGACCTCAAGGCATCCCCCTGCCTCGGTTTCCCAAAGTGCTGGGATGACAGACGTGAGCCACCATGTCCAGCCTTGAATGAATTTTAAATGAGGAGCACGCATGGAGAGGGTGAGGCCTTTGATACCACAGGGAATCAAGAGACAGCATCCCGCTCTGTCGCCCAGGCTGGAGTGCAGTGGCGTGATTGATCATAGCTCACTGCAGCCTCGAACTCCTGGGCTCAAACGACCCTCCCACCTCAGCCTCTGGAGCAGCTGGGACAACAGGTGCCCACCACCAGCTCAGCCAGACGGTGATGTTTGAGCAAAGATCTGAAGCAAGTGATGAGGGAGCCATGTAGGTACCTGGGGGAAGGGCATTCCAGGCTGAAGTCACAGCCTGTGCAAAGGCCCTGAGGCAGGACCGCACCCAACATGTTATAGGAACAACGGGAAGGCTCACATGGCTGGAGCAGAGTGACAAAGGCCAGAGGTCAAGGCAGATGTAAAACTGACCCTGGATTTAACAACACAAGATCACCAAGGACCTTGAGCAGAGCAGTTTCTTTTTATTCTTTTTATTTTATATTTTATTGTATTTTTTTGAGACAGAATCTCGCTCTGTCGCCCAGGCTGCAGTGTAATGGTGAGATCTCGGCTCACTCCAACCTCTGCCTCCCAGGTTCAAGCGATTCTTCTGCCTCAGCCTCCTTAGTAGCTGGGATTACAGGAGTGAGCCACAGTGCCCGGCCAATTTTATTTTATTATTTATTTATTTATTTATTTATTTTCAGACAGAGTCTTGTTCTGCCGCCCAGGCTGGAGTGCAGTGGTGAGATCTCGGCTCACTGCAACCTCTGCCTCCCGGGTTCAAGCGATTCTCCTGCCTCAGCCTCTCAAGTAGCTGGGATTACAGGCGTGTGCCACCACGCTCAGCTATTTGTTGTAATTTTTGTGGAGACGGGGTTTCACCATGTTGGCCAGGCTGGTTTCGAACTCCTGGGCTCAAGTCATCCACCAGCCTCAGCCTCCCAAAGTGCTGGGATTACAGACGTCAGCCACCGCGCCTGGCTGAGCAGAGCAATTTCTGGGACATGCGGCTGGGGTGGGTGGTGGATGGTAATAGTTTCACAGGAAGGACAGGACAGGAAGAGGATCCTGGGGGAACTTCTGGAAATTCTGTTCTGGTGCAAAGCCTGTAGGAAGTGAAGCTGCACCCTGGCCCCTGCCTTCCAGAAGGGCCCTTTATTTTCATGGCCAGAGGGGCCAAGCGGGTCCTGGCTGTGCAGCCTCAGAAACTTCCTCTTTCAGTTCCTGGAGGGAGCCCGCAGGGTCTGGGTCATGCAGTCTCTAGCTTGAGCAGCAGGGTGACCCCTGGCAAAGGCTCAGCATCATGCCAAGCCCAGGAGGGCAACAGATGCTTCTAGAAGAAACTAAGGGCCGGGTGCAGTGGCTCACGCCTGTAATCCCAGTACTTTGGGAGGCCAAGGCAGTAGGATCGCTTGAACCCAGGAGTTTGAGATCAGCCTGGGTAACATAGTGAGATTCTTGTCTTTACAAAAAAATACAAAAGTTAGCCGGGTGTGGTGGTGCCTGCCTGTAGTCCCCGCTACCTGGGAAGCTGAGGCGGGAGGATCGCTTGAGCCCAGGAGTTCAAGGCTACAGTGAACCATGATCTTGCCACTGCACTGCAGGCTGGGTAACAGAATGAGACCCTGTCTCAAAAAATAGGATGGGCATCAGAAAACATATTCATGTTTTGCTCAGTGAGAGAAGGCAGACACAAAAGGCCACACAGTGTGTGATCCAATTTCTTTCTTTTTTTTTTTTTCTGAGATGGAGTCTCGCTCTGTTGCCCAGGCTGGAGTGCAGTGGCGTGATCTCGGCTCACTGCAAGCTCTGCCTCCCAGGTTCACGCCATTCTCCTGCCTCAGCCTCCCGAGTAGCTGGGATTACAGGCGCCCGCCACCACGCCCGGCTAATTTTTTTATATTTTTAGTAGAGACGGGGTTTCACCGTGTTAGCCAGGATGGTCTCGATTTCCTGACCTTGTGATCCACCTGCCTTGGCCTCCGAAAGTGCTGGGATTACAGGTGTGAGACACCGCGCCCGGCCACGTGATCCAATTTCTGTGAAATGTTCAGGACAGGCTCATCCACAGAAACAGGAAGGGGATGCATGGGTGCCGGGGCTGGGGGGAGGCAGTGGGCAGTGTCAGCTGATGGTTCCAGTGCTGCTTTTTGGGGTGATGAAAGTTTCTGAAATTAGATAGTGGCAATAGTTGCATAATATAGTGAATACAGTAAAAACCACTGATGTCTCCACTTAAGAAATAACAGGACCAGGCGCAGTGGCTCACGCCTGTAATCCCAACACTTTGGGAGGCCGAGGTGGGCAGATCACCTGAGGTCAGGAGTTCGAGACCAACCTAGCCAACATGGTAAAACCCCCGTCTCCTACTAAAAATATAAAAAATAGCTGGGTGTGGTGGCGGGCCCCTGTAATCCCAGCTACTTGGAAGGCTGAGGCACAAGAATCGCTTGAACCAGGAGGTGGAGATCACGCCACTGCACTCCAGCCTGGGTGCCGGGGCGAGACGCCATCTCAAAAAATAAAAAATAAACAATAATAATAATAAATGCCGGGCACAGTGGCTCAGGCCTGTAATCCCAGCACTTTGGGAGGCCGAGGCAGGTGGATCACCTAAGGTCAAGAGTTCAGGACCAGCCTGACCAACATGGATAAACCCCGTCTCCACTAAAAATACAAAATTAGCTGGGCATGGTGACGCATGCTTGTAATCCCAGCTACTCAGGAGTTCAAGACCAGCTTGGACAACATATGTGAAACCCCATCTCTACTAAAAATACAAAAATTAGCTGGCCGTGGTGGCGCATGCCTGTAATCCCAGCTACTCGGAAAGCTGAGGCAGGTGAATTGCTTAAACCTGTGAGGCGAAGGCTGCAATGAGCTGAGATCAGGCCACTGCACTCCAGCCTGGGCGACAGAGTAAGAGTTGGTCTCAAAAAAATATGTATCAGAAAGAGATCATTCCAAGCAGGCACATATAGCTGCCCAGCCCGGTCTGGCTGTGTGTATACTGACTTCCAGAAAGAAATCCTCTGTTATTTATTCACATTTCACCGTTTTTAAATAGAGGGGACATTGGGCCGGGCTCGGTGGCTCACGCCTGTAATCCCAGCACTTTGGGAGGCCAAGGCGGGCAGATCACCTGAGGTCAGGAGTTCGAGACCAGCCTGGCCAATATGGAGAAACCTCGTCTCTACTAAAAACACAACATTAGCTGGGCATGGTGGTGCATGCCTGTAATCCCAGCTACTTGAGAGACTGAGGCAGGAGAATCGCTTGAAACCGGGAGGTGGAAGTTGCAGTGAGCCAAGATCGCGCCACTGCACTCCAGCCTGGGCAACAAGAGCAAAAACTCCATCTCAAAATAAATAAAGAAATAAATGGGACATTTTCTTATTTTTTTTTCTTCCTATTTTTCTTCAAGGCTGTTAGGCTCCCAGGGAATCTGGGCTTTCGTGGCCACGTGGGGCCGGCGGGCGGTGGCCACCAGAGGGCGCTGGGGCAGCGCAAATCGCAGCTGAGCCCCTAGAGCTGGGGACCTGGTCCTGCCTGGAGCTGCCTTCCAGACCTTCCAGACCTTCACCCATGCTGTACCACCTTCTAGAACTCTCTCCCCGCCCGTGGCTCATTCCAATGAAGGCCTGAGGTCTTAGCTTACTTCCTTCTTTCAGAAACTTCCTTTAATCTCCCCAGGCCAGTCTAGGGTCCCCTTTGGGGTCCCACAGCTTCCCCATCAGAGCCCCCATCACCCCATAACTGCCTAATACTGTCTGTCTCCAGCACTGGACAACATAGATTTCTTTTCTTTTCTTTTCTTTTCTTTTTAATGGAGTTTCGCTCTGTCATCCAGGCTGGAGTGCAGTGGTGCGATCTCAGCTCACTGCAAGCTCCGCCTCCCAGGTTCACGCCATTCTCCTGCCTCAGCCTCCTGAGTAGCTGGGACTACAGGCGCCCGCCACCACGCCTGGCTAATTTTTTTGTATTTTTGGTAGAGACGGGGTTTCACCATGTTGGTCAGGATGGTCTTGATCTCCTGACCTCGTGATCCGCCTGCCTGGGCCTCCCAAAGTGCTGGGATTACAGGTGTGAGCCACTGCGCCCGGCCTCTTTCTTTCTTTTTTTTGAGACAGAGTCTCACTCCGTAGCCCAGGCTGGAGTGCGGTGGCGTGATCTCGGCTCACTGCAACCTCCACCTCCCAGGTTCAAGCAATTCTCCTGCCTCAGGCTCCTGAGTAGCTGGGATTAAAGGCACGCATCACCACGCTCGGCTAATTTTTGTATTTTTAGTACAGACAGGGTTTCACCATGTTGGTCAGGCTGGTCTTTTAAATCCTGACCTCAAATGATCCTCCCATCTTGGCCTCCCAAAGTGCTGGGATTACAGGCGTGAGCCAAGGAGCCTGAGCTTTTTTTTTTTTTTGAGACAAGGTCCAGCTTTGTCACCCAGGCTGGAGTGCAGTGACACCATGATATCTCACTGCAGCCTTGACTTCCTGGGCTCAAGGGATCCTCCTGCTTCAGCCTCCCAGTAGCTGGGACAGCAGGTGGGTGCCACCAAGCCTGGCTTTTTATTTCATTATTTCATTTCATTTCATTGAGACAGGATTCTCACTGTGTTGACCAGGCTGATCTCAAAGTCCTGGCTTCATGTGATCCTCCCACTTCGGCCTCCCAAACTGCTGGGATTACAGACGTCAGCCACCGTGCCCGACCCTCAGGGCATTCAAAATGACCCTGCTTTACAGATCTACAGGAGGTATGTGGAGACAGCTGGGAATGGGAGTTCCAGACGTGAGGTCTATGGTACAAATGAGGAAGATGAGGCCCAGAAAAAGGCTGCCGGCCGGGCGCGGTGGCTCACGCCTGTAATCCCAGCACTTTGGGAGGCCGAAGCAGGTGGATCACCTGAGGTCAGGAGTTCAAGACCAGCCTGGCCAACATGAGGAAACCCTGTCTCTACTAAAAAAAAAAAAAAAAAAAAAAAAAAAAATTTAGCTGGATGTGGTGGTGGGTGCCTGTCATCCCAGCTACTCAGGAGGCTGAGGCAGGAGAATTGCTTGAACCCAGGAGGCGGAGGTTGCAGTGAGCCGAGATTCCACCATTGCACTCCAGCCTGGGCAAGAAGAGTGAAACTCTGTCACAAAATAGAAGAAGAAGAAAGAAGAAGAAAGAAGAAGAAGAGGAAGAGGAAGAGGAGGAGGAAGAGGAAGAAGAAGAGGAAGAGGAGGAGGAGGAAGAAGAAGAAGAAGAGGAAGAGGAAGGCTGTGTCTTGCCCCAAGTGCCACACTATCTCAGGGAGAAGCAGGGGCTTGAACCCGCTGTTCCTGCTGCCGAGGCCAGCCTGGCTGACCTGGGACAAGTGAAGGTTCCTGGGCCGAATTCTTTTTCAGTCACTTTAAGGAACAGGAAAGGGTCCTCTGAACTGGGCAGGCCCTGAATGTGCCCACATCTCCTCTGCTCTTGTCTCTACCTGGTCCAGCCCCAGCCAACATCACTCACCCAGACCAGTGCAGTCGCCTCCACCCTGGTGCCCCAGCATCAGCCCTGGCCCACCAAGGTCTGTCCTCCCTGCAGCGGCCACCAGAGGGCACCTGTGAGCACTGGAGTCAGGTCCTGTCCCTCCTCTGCCCACAGCCCTGCATGGCTCCCACCCGCCTGGGGGTCAAAGCCCAAGACCTCCCCATGACCCACCAGGCCCTGCTTAACCTGCCCCATCCCCTTTTCGCCCTCCCCTCCTCCCTCTCTGCCCGTCGCTCACTCTGCTCCAGCCTCCTCGCTGTTCCTCCAACACACCAGGTGCCATCTGCCCCCAGGGCCTTTGCATGGGCTGTGCCCTCTGCCTAGAAGGTCATTCCCACTTTCACCTCCAGCTCTTCCCATGACTGACTCCTTTTCTTCCCCCCAGGTCTCAACTCCAACACCCCCTCCTAGAGAGCCCCTTCGGCCACCCCTGCTGAAATTCTTTCTCCTGAGACACTCCCACCACCACTTCTTTTTTTTTTTTTGAGACGGAGTCTCGCTCTGTCGCCCAGGCTGGAGTGCAGTGGTGCGATCTCGGCTCACTGCAAGCTCCGCCTCCCGGGTTCACGCCATTCTCCTGCCTCAGCCTCCCGAGTAGCTGGGACTACAAGTGCCCGCCACCACGCCCGGCTAATTTTTTGTAGTTTTAGTAGAGACGGGGTTTCACCGTGTTAGCCAGGATGGTCTCGATCTCCTGACCTCATGATCCGCCCGCCTCGGTCTCCCGAAGTGCTGGGATTACAGGCGTGAGCCACCGCGCCCGGCCTGTTTTTTGTTTTTGAGACAGAGTTTTGCTCTTGTTGTCCAGGCTGGAGTGCAATAGCCCCATCTCAGCTCACAGCAACCTCTACCTCCTGGGTTCAAATGATTCTTCTGCCTCAGCCTCCCAAGTATCTGGAATTACAGGCGCGTGCCACCACGCCTGGCTAATTTTTTGTATTTTTAGTAGAGACGAGGTTTCACCCTGTTAGCCAGGATGATCTCGATCTCCTGACCTCATGATCCGCCCGCCTCAGCCTCCCAAAGTGCTGGGATTACAGGGGTGAGCCACCGCACCCAGCCCGAAGGCTCTTCACTTTCTGAAACTATTTTGCTTTCTTCTTTTATAATTTGTTTACTATTCCTTCCTCTCCTCCCCTACGGAAATGACAGCCAATGACTAATCACTTCTGTCTGCTGTCTGGGACAACTCCCAGCACACAGTAGGCGCTGGATGAACGTTGGTCAAATGAAGGAATAGCCAGTTCACTGCCCCTGCTCAGGTATTTGCAGCTGGTTCCGGCCTGGATGGTCCGAAACCCTTTGTTGGGAACAACCTCACTGCACCCTGGAATCTCATCTCAGAACTCCACTCCCCAGGTTTCACTTCTGGGCCGCTGCGGCTGCCACCGGGACCAGAGCTCTGACAAAGTCTGAGTCAACAACTAAAATAGCAAGTAGTGCATGGCTGCTGGGTGATTCACACCAGCCTGCTTCCATGTGGCCTGGCAATGGAGGAAGGAGCCTGCAAAGTCAAATCAGGTTGTCAGGAGGGAGGGGCTCCTCAGCTTCCCAGCTCAGTGAGTCCAGTTTCACCTTCGAGGACCCTCCTTTGTTTCCTCCCTTGGAAGTTCAGCTCCTTCCATTGTGATTCCCCGTTTCTGATCTGTGTGAGTTTTGGAGTCAGAATTAATCTCTTTAGGCCTCGGTTTTCCCCATCTGTAAGGTGGGTCCATAATAGAAGCTTCTACCTTGAGGGGTCATTTTGAGGATGAAAATGTGTTTGTTTATTTATGTATTTAATTTTTTGTTATATAGATGAGGCCTTCCTATGTTGCCCAGGCTGATCTCAAACGTCTGGCCTCGCCTCCTTACACGCCAGGACAACGGGCCTGCAACACCGTGCCTCCCTATTTATTTTTATTTTATTATTTTATTGTTATTTTTGGAGATGGAGTTTCACTCTCGTCACCCAGGCTGGAGTGCAGTGGTGCAATCTCGGCTCACTGCAACCTCCACCTCCCGAGTTCAAGCGATTCTCCTGCCTTAGCCTCCCAAGTAGCTGGGATTACAGGCACCCACCACCACACCCAGCTAATTTTGTATTTTTAGTAGAGACGGGGTTTTACCATGTTGGCCAGGCTGGTCTCGAACTCCTGTCCTCAGGTGATCCACCCACCTCGGCCTCCCAAAGTGCTGGGATTACAGGCATGAGCCACCATGCCCTGCCTATTTTTATTTATTTATGTATGTATTTACTGATACAGAGTCTTGCTCTGTTGCCCAGGCTGGAGTGCAGTGGCGCAATCTCAGTTCACTGCAATCTCCGCCTCCCAGGTTCAAGCGATTCTCCTGCCTCAGCCTCACAAGTAGCTGAGACTACAGGTGTGTGCCCCATGCCCAGCTGGTTTTTCTATTTTTAGTAGAGACAGGGTTTCATCATGTTGGCCAGGCTGGTCTCGAACTCCTGACCTCAAGTGATCCGCCTGCCTTGGCCTCCAAAAGTGCTGGGATAACAGATGTGAGCCACCATGCCTGGCCTATTTATTTATTTATTTTTTAAAAAGAGTTGGATGTCTTATTCAGTTGATAAATAAATAAATACATACATAAATAAGAAAGATGCGGCTGGGTGTGGTGGCTTACGCCTGTAATCCCAGCACTTTAGGAGCCCAAGGCAGGTGGATCACCTGAGGTCAGGAGTTTCAGACCAGCGTGGCCAACATGGCGAAACCCCATCTCTACTAAAAATACAAAAATTAGCCGGGTGTGGTGGCGAGCTCCTGTAATCCCAGCTACTCGGGAGGCTGAGGCAGGAGAATAGCTTGAACCCGAGAGGTGGAGGTTACAGTGAGCTGAGCTCTCTTCACTGCACTCCATCCTGGGTGAGAGAGCCAGACTCCATCTCAGGAAAAAAAAAAAATAGAGATGGGGTTTCATTATGTTGCCCAAGCTGGTCTTGAATTCCTGGCCTCAAGCAACCCTCCCACTTCAACCTCCCAAAGTTCTGGGATTAATTACAGATGTGAGCCACCACAGCACCCAGTCTTGTTTATGTATTTAGACACTCCAGAATCAATACATGTTAAGTGTCCAACAAACCTTGGCTCCATTCTTATTCTTAGAAGGTCTGTCACCCTGAAAAATATTAATCCCTTCCATGTGGGTCCCCATACTTAATGAGTGCTGCACCTGCTACCCAGGTATGGTGTACCTGATATGTGGTTCTGCATATGATCCGCTGAGGCCTTGAAACAACAGCCTCCACAGACCCATTTCTCAGATGAAAAAGCAGAGGCTCCGACAGGGGAGGCACTTGCCAAATGTCACACAGTGGCATCGGAGTCCAACCTTGGTGGGGGCATCAAAGGCAGACCCCAAAGAAAAAGGAAGGGCTGCAGCAAAAACTGCTAAATGTCCCCCAATGGCATTCATTCAAATTCATGCATTTATTCACTCATCCATTCATTCACTCACTCATTCATTCATTCACTCATCCTTTCACTCACTCATCCATTCACTCATTCATTCACTCACTCGTTCATTCATTCACTCATTCATTCACTCACTCGTTCATTCATTCACTCATTCATTCACTCGTTCATTCTTTCACTCATTCATTCACTGACTCGTTCATTTATTCACTCACTCATTCACTCATTCATTCATTCACTCACTCGCTCACTCATTCATTCATTCATTCATTCATTCATTCATAGCTCACTGCAGCCTTCGGCTCCTGGGCTCAAGCAATCCTCCCACCTCAGCCTCCTGAGTACCTGAGACTACAGGCGTGCACCACCACGCCCAGCTAACTTTTGTATTTTTGAAGAGACGCGGTCTCACCATGCTGCCCAGGCTGCACCCTCCCCGCCCTCAACAATATCTTTTCCCTCCACCTTTCCTGGTATTAGAACCCCGACTCGGGAGGCACACGGCCGTTCAGAAAGGACTACATTTCCCAGGGTTCCTTGCGGCAGGAGCAGGGCCATGTGATTATATTCTGGCCAATGGGATGAGGGCAAAGGCCGGTCTATGCCCTCCAAGAAGAGGCGTGCACTTCCCGCTTCCTGTTCCCTTTTGCGGGAGCGGGAGCCACGTGTTTTATAACAAATAGCCAGGCAGAAGGTGTCCCAGAAGACAATGGCGCTGCGGAAGCATTCAATAAATATTTATTATAATTAAAAGACCGTAGCAATACCCCCACCACCAAGACCCTTCACCCAGAAATAGAGAGATTGGAATTGTAAACACCGTATCCAGTTCTGACCACCCTGAAAGCCAGGGCATCATCGCGCCCGTTTTGTCCTAAATGAAGGGCTCCCGGACAATGTCCTGAAAGTGGCAGATGACCTCATCTTCCACTGTCCACAGGGCACAGGGCAGACCGGGGTGCTCTATGGGGTCCTGGCCGATGCCTGGGTCCAGGGGTGTTCCCCAGGTGGTCAGGCAAGGACACGCGGTCATTCTGCCTCCTGCGTCTTGTCCTCGGGCGCCTGGGACCCTCTCTGGTTCCACATGTGGTTGTTCAGCCCCAGCTGTACCATCTGTGCGTGGTGGATAATGAGGGGTTGCAGCCCTGGGCTCTGAGGGGGTGCGGGTGAGGCCGTAGGGAAGGCTGGGGACTGCGGGAAGGGCAGTGACTGTGGAAAGGCTGCTGGCTGTGGGGAGGGCGGTGGGGGGGTGCCAGCCTGCCATGCGTGCAGGGGTGGCGGCTGCGGGCACCCCGGCCAAGTGGGAAAGGGTGGCGGGGCTCCCAGGGGCACCTGGCCCCCAAAGGGCATTCGAGCCCCATAGGGCGCCCCAGTCCCAAATGACATGTGGCTCCCAAAAGCCACCTGGAGCTGCTCCATCTGTGCCTGGTAGGACAAGTAGCTCTGGAGGTAGGCTGAGTAGGCTGCGTTCAGTGCCGCCGCCTGCATCCGCTCACCGTCCAGGTGTTGGCTCTGTTCCCGCAGGGCTCGGGTGTCCTGTTCCTTCCTCCACATGGCCTTTCGGGCCTGAAGCCTGTGGGGCTTGAAGGTGTTGGCCACCTTCCTGGCGAAGATCTGGGAGTGTTCGTCCAGCCGCACCAGCCCGGAGAGCAGGCTGGCCGTGTCGGAGCTGAGCTGGGCCGGGGAGCTCTCCAGGGGCAGGAAGGGGATGACACAGTCTGGCGACCCCTGTCGCGTGAGGTTGCTCATCATGGCTTGGTTCACCTGGTGCAGGCTCAGGCGACAGTCGAAGTTGGAGGTGAGAAGTAGGATGATGAAAGCTGAGTGGTCTATGGCGTCCTGCAGGCAGCTCAGCTCCCCGCGCCCCGGCACCTGGAAATCCTCGCAGAAGGTGGCCCCGTCGGGCACGCCAAGGGCCTCCAGCTTCTCCCGAACCCGCAGGGCGATGTGTTCGTCTGCCCTGGCGTGGAGGATCACAAAGTTATAGAATTTCTGTTCCGATGATGATTCCAGGGAGGAAGGGAACAGGGAGGAGGGGGTCAGGTGAGCTGAACAAGGAGTAGATGAAGGAGGAGGAGGAGGAGGAGGAGGGGATGTTTCTGGGGTGGTGGGAGTAGGTGGGCACGGCTTGGTATTTGGAGAGGTGGTATCTTCTACAGAAAGTTGGAGTGGCGTCTGGTCTTTGACAGAGCAGGGGTTTTTGACCGGCTCCAGAATAGGCAAGGGGAGAGACTGGGGGCCTGCAGACCCCTCGGTGCACTCCACTGGGTAGTTGGTGCTGGTTTCTGGAGCTGCGGGGGTATCAGGGAGGCCAGTGGAGGTTGCATCTGGGGCCACTTCGGGAAGCCCAGGAGGTGGGCTGCTTGGCAGCTCTGGTGGGCTGGCAATCTCCCCCGATGGCGGCCAGCTCATCTCCTCAGGCTCCTGGCAGCCACCGGGGACAGGCTCGGGCACCAAGCTGGCCTGGGGGTCGTCACAGAGCTTGCTGGGCCCATGTGGGCTGCGGTGCAGGCTGAGGAAGGGCATGGTAGGGGACTGGCTGATTTCCAAGTTGCTGGCCAGGGAGGCAGGGCTGCCAGTGGATCGCAGGGAGCACCCTTGGCTCCAGTCCGAAACACCGTCAATGGGGCGTGGGAGGCTCCTGGTCCCAGAGGGCAAAGCCGAGGATGGTGGGAGGCAGCCCAGATTGGACTGGAGCGTCCGGATGCTCCCTGGATCCCCAGCAATGTCCCACCCACACCGGTTTCGGGCCTCATCCTGAAGTTCCCCCAGCCGGTGGTCGTCCCTGGAGCTGAGGGTGCGGACGGCTTCCTGGTAGGCCACGTCCCGCAGCGAGGCGGGGCACAGCTTCTCCTCAGCCAGCAGGTGGTACAAGCGGGCCACAGCCCAGGACACATCTGGGGGCTCCTCTGGGTCCTCGGTGCTGTCCACGCCAGCCCACTGGCGGGCCACCAGCCGGGCCACCGCATCGGCCTTCAATGCCTCTAGAGAGATCCTGGCCTCAGTTTCCTGGCCCAGCTTCAGGAGAACCATGGCATGCAGGAGGTCCTGCCCCTGGCAGCCTGGGCGTGGGGTCTTCAGTTTGTGCTTCAGATACAAGAGCTTGTCCTGGCCTGCTGCACCTAGAATGTCGAAGGCGCTAGGAAGTGATGGGCCTGTGCAGGCCATGGGCACAGGTGGGTGCAGCCTCCGGCAGCAGAAGCTGGAGGTGGTGAAGGCATGTTCCACACTGCCCCCCGCCTTCTGCACGCCCAGTGTCCCCTACCCATTCACTGTTCCAGGTTCTGCAGGAGCTGCCCAAGCAGATCTGTAGGAAACAGGAGAAGCAAACACACTTACCCCCAAGAAAGGTCAGCACGGGAAGGCGGCCCACACACCCCCGCCTGCTTTCCCCGCCTGCCACCCAGACCTAGCCAGGTGACCTTCGGCAACACGTCGCCTCCTTCAACTTCCATTTCTTCCTCTGCAAAATGCTATGAGGCCAGTGTGGTGGCTCAGGCCTGTGATCTCAGCACTTTGGGAGGCTGAAGCAGGAGGATCACTTAAGCCCAGGACTTCGAGACCAGCCTGGGCAACACAGCCAGACTCCGTCTCCACTAAAAGTTTAAAAATTAGCTGGGCTGGGTGAGGGGGCTTAAGCCTGTAATCCCAGCAGTTGTGGAGGCCGAGGCGGGGGGATCACCTGAGGTCAGGAGTTCGAGACCAGCCTGGCCAACATGGTGAAACCCCGTTTCTACTAAAAATACAAAGAATTAGCCAGGAGTGGTGGTGCATTCTTGTAATCCCAGCTACTTGGGAAACTGAGGCAGGAGAATCGCTTGAACACAGGAGGTGGTGGCTGCAGTGAGCCAAGATCATGCCACTGCACTCCAGCCTGGGCAGCAGAGTGAAACTCCGGCTCAAAAAACAAAAAAAGTAGCTGGGCGTGGTGGCACGTGCCTGTTGTTCCAGCTACTCCGGAGGCTGAGATGGGAAGATCGCTTAAGCCCAGGAGGTTGAGGCTGCAGTGAGCTATGATGGTACCACTGCACTCCAGCCTGGGCAACAGAGTGAGACCCAGTCTCAAAAAAAAAAAAAAAATGCTGTCATCTGAGACTTACCTGGTGTTACCTGAGAGGTAAACACTATTACACTATTTTCCCCATTTACAGATGAAGAAAGCAAGACACACAGAGGTGATGTCACTTGCCCAAAGTCACACTATCAGTGGATGGCAGAAGACGGATTTCAACCCAGGCAGTCTGGCTGTGGAGGCTGTGTGCCTAATGGCATACACTTACAGACTTGTTTTGGGGAATTGAGTTGGATTAACACAGAGATACTTCTGAGCTTGATGACTGAAAGCCAGTAGGTGCTCAATACATGCTTGCTAAATAGCCTCGGCTGAGCACGGTGGCTCACACCTGTAATCCCAGCACTTTGGGAGTCCAAGGAGGGCGGCTCACCTGAGGTCAGGAGTTCAAGACCAGCCTGGCCAACATGGTGAAACCCCATCTCTACTAAAAATACAAAAAAATTAGCCGGGTGTGGTGGTCCGCGCCTGTAGTCCCAGCTACTCAGGAGGCTGAGGCAGGAGAATCGCTTGAATCCGGGAGGCAGAGGTTGCAGTGAGCAAAGATCGCACCATTGCACTCCAGCCTGGGCAACAAGAGCGAAACCCCGTCTCAATAAATAAATAAATAGTCAGCCTTCTAGATGGTCCTCAAGGACCCAACATCCTGGTATTTGCAGTCTTGAGCAGTCCTTCCAACACTGTCCCAGCGTTGGACTATGACATTAACAGAATATGGCAAGGGAGCCAGGCACCACATCCACTCATTTTTCAAGAGAAGCCAGAGATCTAGATTTTTAGAAATCCGCTCATTCTTCTCGGGATGACAATCAATTCCAATATTTTTAAGAGACTTTGTGAGTTTAAAAAAAAGTTTGGGCCAGGCGCAGTGGCTCACGCCTATAATCCCAGCACTTTGGGAGGCTGAGGCGGGCAAATCACGAGATCAGGAGGTCGAGACCAGCCTGGCCAATATGGTGAAACCCCGTCTCTACTAAAAATACAAAAAATTAGCTGGGCATGGTGGCAGGCGCCTGTAATCCCAGCTACTCGGGAGGCTGAGGTAGGAAAATCGCTTGAACCTGGGAGGCGGAGGTTGCAGTGAACCGAGACTGCACCATTGCACTCCAGCCTGGGCGACAGAGTGAGACTCCATCTAAAAAAAAAAAAAAAAAAGTTTGGAGCCAGGCCTGGTGGTGTGTGCCTGTGGTCCCAGCTACTCGGGAGGCTAAGGCAGGAGGATTGCTTGAGCCAAGGAAGTTGAGGCTGCAGGGAAGGATACATACATAGCATTCATTCATTCATTTAAGAAGTAATTTTTTGGCCGGGCGCGGTGGCTCATGCCTGTAATCCCAGTGCTTTGGGAGGCTGAGGCAGGTGGATCACAAGGTCAGGAGTTCAAGACCAGCCTGGCCAACATGGTGAAACCCTGTCTCTACTAAAAGAAAAATAAAAAAAATAAAAAATAAAAAATTTAGCCGGGCATGGTGGCGTGTGCTTGTAATCCCAGCTACTTGGGAGGCTGAGGCAGAAGAATCGCTTGAACCTGGGAGGTGGAGGTTGCAGTGAGCCGAGATCGTGCCACTGCACTCCAGCCTGGGCAAAAGAACAAGACTCCATCAAAAAACAAACAAAAAGAAGTAATTTTTAGCCAGGTGTGGTGGCTCATGCTGCTAATCCTAGCACTTTGGGAAGCTAAGGCGGACAGATCATTTGAGGTCATGAGTTCAAGATCAGCCTGGTCAACACGGTGAAACTCCCGTCTCTAGTAAAAAAAAAAAAAAAAATTGCCAGACATGGTGTTGGGCACCTGTACTCCCAGCTACTTGGGAGGCTGAGGCAGGAGAATCACTTGAACCCAAGAGGCGGAGGTTGCAGTGAGCCGAGATCACGCCACTGCATTCCAGCCTGGATGACAGAGTGAAACTCCATCTCAAAAAAAAAAAAAAGTAATTTTTTCAGCATCTGCCATGTATTGGGTACTAGTGAATACACCAGTATGCAGACAAGGAAAAACAGCAATGGACTCTTCCCTGGAGCAACTGACTGTCTAATGGTATGTTAGTTATATGTAATATATAAGCATCATATATATTACATACGACAATATAACGGGCATGTGTGGATACACACACACACTTACATGCAACCACTTATTTGAGGGCTTACTACATGCTATATTGTGCTCCCCATCTGTTCTTTAAACTGGGCACAGTCCTGCCTCAGGACCTTTGCACTGGCTGTTCCCTCTGCCTATATCTCTGTTACCCCCCAGATATCCCTATGGCTCACTCCCTTACCCTCCTTCATGTTTTTGGTTAAGCCTGTCCTGATCCCACCGTGCAGATCTCCCTTTGACAGGGGCCACAAAATATGGCCCACGATTTTTTTTTTTTTTTTTGAGACAGAGTCTCACTCTTGTTGCCCAGGCTGGAGTGCAATGGCACGATCTCGGCTCACCGCAACCTCCGCCTCCCGGGTTCTAGCGATTCTTCTGCCTCATCCTCCCAAGTAGCTGGGATTACAGGCATGCACCACCATGCCTGGTTAATTTTGTATTTTTAGTAGAGACGGGGTTTCTCCATGTTGGTCAGGCTGGTCTTGAACTCCCAACCTCAGGTGATCTGCCTGTCTCGGCCTCCCAAAGTGTTGGGATTACAGGCATGAGCCACCCCGTCCAGCCTTTTTTTTTGAGACAGAGTTTCACTCTTGTTGCCCAGGCTGGAGTACAATGGTGCAATCTCAGCTCACCGTAACCTCCACCTCCCGGATTCAAGCAATTCTCCTGCTTCAGCCTCCCGAGTAGCTGAGATTACAGGCGTGCGCCACCATGCCCGGCTAATTTTGTATTTTTAGTAGAGACGGGGTTTCTCCGTGTTGGCCAGGCTGGTCTTGAACTCCCGACCTCAGGTGATCCGCCTGCCTCTGCCTCCCAAAGTGCTGGGATTACAAGCGTGAGCCACTGTGCCGGCCAATTGTTTTTTAGTTTTGTCTTGTTTTGACACAGAGTCTCGCTCTGTCGCCCAGGCTGCAGTGCAGTGGCATGATCTTGGCTCACTGCAACCTCCACCTCCCAGGTTCAAGCGATTCTCCTGCTTCAGCCTCCCGAGTAGCTGGGACCACAGGCACCCGCCACCACGCCCAGCTAATTTTTGTACTTTTTATAGAGACGGGGTTTCACCATATTGGCCAGGCTGGTCTCGAACTCCTGACCTTGTGTGATCCGCCCACCTTGGCCTCCCAAAGTGCTGGGATTATAGGTGTGAGCCACTACACCCAGCCAATTGCTTTTATAAATAAAGTTTTATTGCAACACAGACATCCTCACTCATTTACACACATCGATGGCTGCTTTCCCACTAGAGTGATGGAGTAGCTACAACAGAGACCATGGGGTCTACAAAGTGGAAAATATTCACTCTCTGACCCTTGACAGAAAAAGCTTGTAGACACCTGGGTTATGAGACAGGCATGTGATTTTTTTTATTTTCCATTCCACAGAGGGGCAAACATGACCAAGATCACACAGCTAGTGACTGACAGAGCAGCCATTTGATGCCAATGTTTGTAACTGTAACACCAAATGCCTTTTAATTAGTATGGGGTATGACTGGCTATTATGGGTTCAATCGTGTCTCTCCCCAAAATCATATGTTGAAGTGCCAACCTCCAGTAGCTCAGAATGTGACTTTATTTAGAGAAAAGGCCTTTTTTTGGTTTGTATTTGGCTTTGGTGTTTTTGTTTGTTTGTTTTTGATGTTGAAAGTATTTTTATTTGGCCGGGCCTGACGGCTCATGCCTGTAATCCCAGCAATTTGGGAGGTGGAGGTGAGCTGATCACTTGAGATCAAGAGCTCGAGACCAGCCTGGCCAACATGGTGAAATCCCGTCTTCACTAAATATACAAAAATTACCCAGGCATGGCCAGGCGCAGTGGCTCACGCCTGTAATCCCAGCACTTTGGGAGGCCGAGGTGGGCAGATCACCTAAGGTCAGGAGTACGAGACCAGCCTGGCTAACATGGCGAAACTCCATCTCTACTAAAAATGCAAAAATTATCCAGGCATGGTGGCGGGCGCCTGTAGTCCCAGCTACTCGGGAGGCTGAGGCAGGAGAATGGCGTGAACCTGGGAGGCGGAGCTTACATTGAGCCAAGATAGCGCCACTGCACTCCAGCCTGGGTGACAGAGCAAGACTCTGTCTTAAAAAAAAAAAAAAAAAAAAATTAGCCAGGCATGGTGGCATGCGCCTGAAATCCCAGCTACTCAGGAGGCTGAGGTGGGAGGATTGGTTGAGCCTGGGAGGTTGAGGCTGCAGCAAGCAAGCTAAGATCTCGCCACTGCACTCCAGCCTGGGTAACAGAGCAAGAACCTGCATCAAAAAAGGAAAAGGCAGGGGGCATTCAGATACAGACACGTAACTGCACAGAAGGAAGATGATGTGAGGAGACCCAGGGAGAAGGCGGCCGTCTGCAAGCTAAGGAGAGTCCTCAGAGGGAACCAACCCTACAACACCTCGATCTTGGACTTCCAGCCTCCATAACTGTGAGAGAATAAATTTCTGTTGCTTAAGCCATCCGGGCTGGGGCACTTTATTACCACAGCCACAGTAGCTAATACACTGCAGATACTTGCAGTCTAGATCAGCCTCAACACTCTCTGTCTGTGTTGTCCAGTATGGCAGCCCCCAGCTACCTGTGTCTACTGGGCACCTGAAATGTGGCTGTGGTAGTAAAGAGACACTGAATTTTAATTTTTTTTTTTTTTAGGATGAAGTCTTGCTCTGTCGCCCAAGCTGGAGTGCAGTGGTGCGATCTTAGCTCACTGCCACCCCCCTCTCCTGGGTTCAAGTTATTCTCGTGCCTCAGCCTCCCCAGTAGCTGGGATCACAGGCACATGCCACCACGCCCAGCTAATTTTTGTATTTTTAGTAGAGACAGGGTTTTGCCATGTTGGCCAGGCTGGTCTTGAACTCCTGACCTCAAGCTATCTGCCTGCCTCAGCCTCCCAAAGTGCTGGGATTACAGGTATGAGCCACCATGCCTGGCTTGAATTTTAACTTTTATCCAATTTTTTTTTTTTTTTTTTTTTTGGAGACAGAGTCTCGCTCTGTCATCCAGGCCGGAGTGCAGTGACGCAATCTCAGCTCACTGCAACCTCCGCCTCCTGGGTTGAAGAGATTCTCCTGCCTCAGCCTCCTGAGTAGCTGGGATTACAGGTTCGCACCACTATGCCCGGCTAATTTTTGTATTTTTAGTAGAGATGGGGTTGCCTCATATTGGTCGGGCTGGTCTGGAACCCCTGACCTCAGATGACCCACCTGCCTCGGCCTCCCAAAGTGTTGGGATTACAGGCGTGAGCCACCGCAGGACACAAAGAAGGGAACAACAGGGCCAGGCACAGTGGCTCACACCTGTAATCCCAGCACTTTGGGAGGCCGAGGCAGGTGGATCACCTCAGGTCAGGAGTTCAAGACCATCCTGGCCAACATGGCGAAATCCCGTCTCTACTAAAAATAGAAAAATTAGCCACGTGTGGTGGCGGGTGCCTGTAGTCCCAGCTACTAGGGAGGCTGAGGTGGGAGAATCACCTGAACCCAAGAAGTCGAGGCTGGAGTGAGCAGAGATCACACCACTGCACTCCAACTTGGGTGACAGAGCAAGACTCTGTCTCCAAAAAAAAATAAAATAAAATAACAGAGCCTGCTTAAGGGTGGTGGTGAGGAGGAGGGAGAGGAGGGTCGGGAGCGGTGGCTCACGCCTGTAATCCTAGCACTTTGGAAGGCCGAGGTGTGTGGATTGCCTGAGCTCAGGAGTTCGAGACCAGCCTGCGCAACATGGTAAAACCCCGTTTCTACTAAAATACAAAAAATTAGCCGGGTGTGGCAGTGTGCGCCTGTAATCCCAGCTGCTTGGGAGGCTGAGGGAGGAGAATTGCTGGAACCCGGGCGGCAGAGGTTGCAGTGAACTGAAATGGCGCCACTGCACTCCACCCTGGGCGACAGAGCGAGACTCTGTCTTAAAACAACAACAACAAAAAACTACCTATCAGGTACGACAGTTATTACCTGTGTGATGGAATAATCTGTACACCAAACCCTGTGACATGCCATTTAGCTATATAACAAACCTGGATATGTACCCGTTAATTTTTGTATTTTTGTAGAGACTGGGTCTCCCCATGTTGCCTGGGCTCAAGTGATCCTCCCACCTTGGCCTCCCAAAGTGTTGGGATTACAGGCGTGAGCCACCGCGGCCGGCATTTTATCTAATTTTTAATTAATTAAGGCAGGGTGCAGTGGCTCATGCCTATAATCCCAGTACTTTAGGGGGCTGAGGTAGGAGGATCTCTTGAGCCCAAGAGTTCGAGACCAGCCTGGGCAACAGTGAGACCCATCTCTACAAAAAATAAAAATAGGCCGGGTGTGGTGGCTCACGCCTGTAATCCCAGCACTTTGGGAGGCTGAGGCAGGTGGATCACCTGAGTTTAGAAGTTCGAGACCAGCCTAGCCAACACAGTGAAACCCTGTCTCTACTAAAAATAAAAAATATTAGCAGGGCATGGTGGCAGGTGCTGGTAATCCCAGCTACTCGGGAGGCTGAGACAGGAGAATCGCTTGAACCGAGGAGGCAGAGGTTGCAGTAAGCCAAGATCACACCATTGCACTCCAGCCTGGGCAACAAGAGCAAAACTCCATCTCAAAATAAAGAAACAAACAAATAAATAAATAAATAAAATTAAAATAAAAATAATTAGCTGGGTGTGGTGGTGCATGCCTGTGGCCCCAGCTCCTTGGTAGACTGAGGTCAGAGGATCGCCTGAGGCCAGGAGAATCAAGGCTGCAGTGACCGGAGATCGCGCCACTGCACTCCAGCCTGGGCAATAGAGTGAGACGCTGTCTCAAAAACAACAAAATAAAAAAGGTATGGAAGATGCCTCATTCGTAATGGAACATTATATTGGACCATGTTGGGTATATTGAGTTAAATAAAATATATTATTAAATGCATTTACATATTGGATTAATAAAATGTATTATTAGGAGATATATATATATATTTATTTATTTATTTATATATTTTGGAGATGGAGTCTTGCTCCATTTTCCAGGCTAGAGTGCAATGGCATGATCTCGACTCACTGCAACCTCTGCCTCCCAGGTTCAAGCGATTCTCTTGCCTCAGCCTTCCGGGTAGCTGGGACTACAGGCATCCGCCATCATACCCGGCTAATTTTTGTATTTTTAGTAGAGACGGGGTTTCACCATGTTGCCCAGGCTGGTCTCGAACTCCTGACCTCAAGTGATCTGCCAGCCTCGGCCTCCCAAAGTGCTGGGATTACAGGCGTGAGCCACTGTTCGCGGCTGCTTCATGTTATATTTCTGTTGGACAGCACAGTTTTAGACATCTCCACTACAGTCCAGTAATATTGGAGTATGGCCCCTTTTTGACACAAGGAAACAGAGGTACAGAGAAGTTGAGTAAGTAGTCCAGAGTCACACAGCTCATAAGGGATACAGCTGGATTGGAACCCAGGCTGTCTGGTTCTAGAATCCACTGAGCTTTTTGGCTCCTTTTAACATTTTCAGATTTAACACAGACTCCAGCTTATGTGGACCTGGTTATGGGGCCTGAGAAACAGCCTCACCTAGTTTTAATTAAACTAATGTTCAGGAAATAAGCATATGGCCTAAGTACTCCTCTAGAGAAGTGGAGGATAAAAGGTTTTTCCTAATAATCTTAGGAAATAATAATAATAATAATAATAAAATAATGCAGGCACAATCGGACAATAAGAAAAAGGCCAGACGGCCGGGCGCAGTGGCTCACGCCTGTAATCCCAGCACTTTGAGAGGCCGAGGCGGGTGGATTGCCTGAGGTGAGGAGTTCGAGGCTAGCCTGGCCAACATGGTGAAACCCCGTCTGTACTAAAAATACAAAAATTAGCCGGGCATGGTGGCGCAAGCCTGTAATCCCAGCTATTCGGGAGGCTGAGGCAGGAGAATCGCTTGAACCCGGGAGGTGGAGGTTGAACCCGGGAGGCGGAGGTTGCGGTGAGCTGAGATCATGCCATTGCACTCCAGCCTAGGCTACAAGAGTGAAACTCTGTCTCCAAAAAAAAAAAAAAAAAAAAAAAAAAAAAAAGAAAAAGGCCAGATGCCCAGCTTCTATCTCTGTTGTAAGCTCTACATAAAATGGGATAAAAATGAAAATGGGCTGGGCGCGGTGGCTCACGCCTGTAATCCCAGCAGCACTTTGGGAGGCCGAGGCGGGCAGATCACGAGGTCAGGAGATCGAGACCGTGCTGGCTAACACGGTGAAACCCCGTCTCTACTAAAAATACAAAAAATTAGCCAGGTGTGGTGGCGGGCACCTGTACTCCCAGCTACTCGGAAGGCTGAGGCAGGAGAATGGTGTGAACCTGGGAGGCGGAGCTTGCAGCGAGCCGAGTTGGTGCCACTGCACTCCAGCCTGGGTGACAGAGTGAGACTCCATCTCAAAAAAAAAAAAAAAAAGATCCTATATTCAGGTGGGACCACAAGTCGGCCAAAACTTTTTGAAATGATCAAGACAACTACTTGGAATACGGTCCAATACCCCCACCCCCCGTTAAGTTCGATGATCCACGAATCAACTGCTCTTCCCACCTCCCGGTGTTTCCTGGGAACGGTTGTGTGTATAACTTACCAAGCAAAAAGCAAACATACATTGGCACGTACCCTCCAATTTTTAGCTGATAAGAGGGCATAGATGATAAAGTGTGGAGAAGGGCCATGCTGGGACAGGGTAGCAGTGGGGCTGGGCGTCATGCTGAAAATTCATTGAGTTTAACACTTAGAATTCACACTCTTTTTTGTTTTTTTTATTTTTTTTGAGACGGAGTCTCGGTCTGTCTCCCAGGCTGGAGTGCAGTGGCGCGATCTCGGCTCACTACAAGTTCTGCCTCCCGGGTTCCCACCGTTCTCCTGCCTCAGCCTCCTGTGTTGTTGTTTTTTGACAGGATCTTGCTCTGTTACCCAGGCTGGAGTGCAGTGGTGTGATCATAGCTCACTGCAGCCTCAACCTCCTGGGATTAAGAAGTGATCCTCCCACTCAGCCTCCCAAGTAGCTGGGACTACAGGCACATGCCACCATGCCCAGCTAATTATTAATGTTTTGTAGGGACGGGGTCTGGAACTCCTGGGCCCAAGCGATCCTCCCACCTTGGCCTCCCAAAGTGCTGGGATTACAGGTATGAGCCACTGCACCCAGCCTACATGTCAGTAAAATATATATACATATATATATTTTTTGAGACGGAGTCCCACTTTGTCGCCCAGGCTGGAGTGCAGTGGTGCGATCTAGGCTCACTACAGCCTCCGCATCCTGGGCTCAAGTGATTCTTGTGCCTCACTCTCCTGAGTAGCTGGGATTACAGGAGCCTGCCACCACGCCCAGATAATCTTTTTTTTTTTTTTTTTCTGAGACCGAATCTCCCTCTGTCGCCAGGCTGGAGTGCAGTGGCGCGATCTCGGCTCACTGCAACCTCCACCTCCTGGGTTCAAGCAATTCTCCTGCCTCACCCTCCCGAGTAGCTGGGACTACAGGTGCATGCCACCATGCCCAGGTAATTTTTGTATTTTTAGTAGGGACGGGGTTTCACCATGTTGGCCAGGATGGTCTCAATCTCTTGATCTCGTGATCCGCCTGCCTTGGCCTCCAAAATTCTGGGATTACAGGCGTTAGCCACCACGCCCTGCTAGTTTTTGTAATTTTAGTAGAGACAGGGTTTCAGGCTGTTGGCCAGGCTGGTCTCGAACTCCTGACCTCAATCGATCCGCCTGCCTTGGCCTCCCAGAGTGCTGGGATTACAGGCATGAGCCACTGCGCCCGGCCTGTATAGGACTCTTAAAGCAGTGCCTGGCACACGCATGCCCCACAAACATTAGCATGCAAGACTGAAACCTCCTTGCAAGAAGGACTCAGGGGAGTTTTGCAGAAAACACGACAAAGCCAGCCAGACTTAGAATCATCAAGGCAGGACCATCTCCACCTGAATGCCTGGCAAATCTCTAAAATCACGTGGTCTTTCTTCTCATTCTCTCTGCCCCCCCGGGCCTGAACTCAACTCTATTTCAGTGACTGCCCCAGCTTCCCCCGCCCGCCTCCCCTGCCCACTGCCACCTCCACCTTCTCGAGACCCAGCAAGTTTCATTTCTCACTGTCCATGGCTGGGACAAAGTCCACTCCTCACTCTGAAGAGCAGGCGCCTGGCGGGACAAAAACACCCATGGGGTAGGAGGGTTCTGGCTCTGCCACCTGCCGGCTTGTGTGGTCTGTTTCTCAGCCTCAGCTTCCTCATTTATAACACCCACATGAACTGGTACTTAGGATGAATGGGAGTCTGTTTTGAAGCTTTCATGCGAAAATATGGTTAAAAAGTTTAGATCAGTGCCCAGCAAGGAGCAAGAGCTTGATATAATAATATTAGTGTGACAATAAATATTGGCAGACTTTTTCTCTTCCTCTTCCTTTTTAAAAAAATTTTTGATTTTTAATTTCATTTCTTTTTTTTTTTTTTTTTTTTTTTGACACAGAGTCTTGCTGTGTCGCCCAGGCTGGAGTGCAGTGGCGTGGTCTGGGCTCACTGCAACCTCCGCCTCTTGGGTTCAAGTGATTCTCCTGCCTCATCCTCCTGAGTGGCTGGGATTACAGGCATGCACCACCACGCCCCGCTAATTTTTGTATTTTTAGTAGAGACAGGGTTTCGCCATGTTGGTCAGGCTGGTCTCAAACTCCTGACCTCAGGTGATCTGCCTGGGATTACAGGCGTGAGCCACCTGCCCAGCCCCATTTCATTTTTTTTAGAGACAGGGTCTCACTCTGTCACCCAGGCTGGAGTGCAGTAGTGGGATCACGGCTCACTGCAGCCTTGAACTCCCGGGTTCAAGTGATCCTCCCACCTCAGCCTCCCGAGTAGCTGGGACTACAGGTGTGCGGCACCACACCTGGCTAATTTTTGTATTTTTGGTAGAGACAGAGTCTCACCCATGTTACCCAGGATCCTGGGCTCAAGCAATCCACCTGCCTCAGCCTCCCAAAGTGTTGGGATTACAGGCATAAACCACTGCACCCGGCTAACTTTCTTTTTGAATTTTTTTGTAGAGGTGGAGTCTCGCTATGCTGCCCAGGCTTGTCTTGAACTCCTGGGCTCAAGTGATCCTCCCACCTTGTCCTTTTTAAATGTTTTAACCACCTCTCCCACTCTCCTTCCCACACTCTCATGCAGCCTTTCATGCATCGAATATGCATTTATTGAGCACCTACTAGGTCCAGGAACTGTTCAAAGTGCCACTGCATATCAAGGCAGGCACATCTACCCTCACAGAGCTCCCAGTCTGGTTCAGGGAGACCAACAGTAAGCGAGAAAATAACCCAAGATCATTTCAGAGAATGAAAAGTAACGTGAAAGCCATGAGCCGGGGGCTGTGTGGCTCTGAGAGACTGGCTGGGAAGGGGCTACAGGGGACCACGGTGGTCAAGGGAGGCCTTTGGGGACAGGAGGTAACATTGAGCTGAGACCTAAAGGAGCTGAGGGAGGAGGCTGGGTGGAGATCAGGGAGGAAAGCTTCTGGAAGGTGAAGCCACCTGCCCAAAGGCCCTGGGGCAGGACTGCGCCTGGTGAGCTGGAGGAACAGTAAGGAAGCCCATGTGGCTGGATAACCGTTAGGAGGGGGAGAAAGGAAGAAGGTGTGTGGTGGTACAGGGTGTGAGGTTGGGATCCTGGGTGTCAGGGAAGAGTTTGGGGTGTCAGGGAGGAATTTGGGGTGTCTGGGAGGAATCTGGGGTATTCGGGAGGGATCCTGGGTGTTGGGGAAGAATCCAGGGTGTCAGAGAGGGGTCCTGGGTGTCACGGAGGAATTTGGGGTATCAGGGAGGGACCTTGGGTGTCAGGGAGAAATTCAGGGCGTTGAGAGAAATATGGGGTGTGAGGTAGGAAGCTTGGGTGTCAGGAATTTGGGGTGAGAAGGAATATGGGGTTTCAGGTAGGAATCCTGGGTGTTGGGGAGGAATCTGGGGTGTCCGGGAGGAATCTGGGGTTTGGGGGAGGGGTCAGGCTGTCGGGGAGGAAGCCAGGGTGCTGGGGAGGATCCCGACAGTGGGGGAGGATCTGGGCCACCAGCGCGGGGAGCTGGAGGTTGAGGGGAACGTCAACCTCCCAACGCGCGGCGCCAGGCCCCCTCCTCCGCACCGGGGCCCTAAGAGGGAGGCCAGGTGGCCTGGAGCCCTGGCGAGCGGCACGGGCTCAGGGCCACCCCCCACACCCCCGACACCTTCTCCACCTCAGGCCCGTCCTCGCCCCTTCCCCACCTACCAGGGATCCGGGGCTGCCGGCTGCGCCACTGGGTCCTGGGGTCCTGGGGGCTGGGGCTTCTGCGGAGTTGCCCGCGGACCGTAGCGCGCTGAGGGCGCTGGCTCCACCCCGCGGCCCGCGCCCTGGGAAGGAAGCGCGCCGCCCCTTCCGCGTCCCGGGTGGGTGTGGGACGTGAGGTCACGGTTTCGGAGTCCTGCCCCGCAGCACCGGGAAAGTCCCCGGGTCGCCCCGCACCCATGCGCTCTCTTCCCAACCCTTGCGGTCACGTTCAGCAAGTGTGAGCACCTACTGTCTGCAGGGGGCCAGAAGAACTCGCATCTGCTCTCGGGGAGCCCACAGTCATCTGGGCGGGGGTCCCAGATGAGAAAGTAATCACAATTGTAAAGTGGGATCATCTCCGTTAGTGATAGGTGCTTTCCAGGAAATAAATGTAGCAGCTGTTTTTATTTTATTTCTCTTATTTTATTTGTTTGTTTGTTTATTTATTTTTTTATTTATTTTCCGAGACGGAGTTTCGCTCTTGTTGCCCAGGCTGGAGTGCAATGGCGCAATCTCAGCTCACTGCAACCTCCGCCTCCCGGGTCCAAGCAATTCTACTGCCTCAGCTTCCTGAGTAACTGGGATTACAGGCATGTGCCACCACACCTGGCTAATTTTGTATTTTTAGTAGAGATGGAGTTTCTCCACCTTGGTCAGCGTGGTCTCGAACTCCCAACTTCAGGTGATCCACCTGCCTTGGCCTCCCAAAGTGCTGGGATTACAGGTGTGAGCCACCGTGTCCGGCCTCCCTTTTTTTTTTTTTTTTTTTTAGTTGGAGTCTTACTCTGTGGCCTAGGCTGGAGTGCGGTAGTGCGACCTCGGCTCACTGCAACCTCCACCTCATGGGTTCAAGCGATTCTCCTGCCTCAGCCTCCTGAGTAGCTGGGATTACAGGCACGTGCCACCACACCTGGCTAATTTTTGTATTTTTAGTTGAGATGGGGTTTCACCATGTTGGCCAGGCTGGTCTCGAACTCTTGACCTCAGGTGATCTGCCCGCCTCGGCCTCCCAAAGTGCTGGGATTACAGGCGTGAGCCGCTGCGCCCGGCCTAATTTTATGATTATAATAATTATTATTATTTGAAACGGGGTCTCCCTATATTACCCAGGCTGCTTTCAAACTTCCAGGCTCAAGCAATCCTCCCGCCTCGGCCTCTCAAAGTGCTAGGATTACAGGTGTGAGCCACCGCACCTGGCCTATATTATTTTTATCACCACATTAAATAAGATCTAATAATCACAGTGATTTTGCCGTGGTGACAAGTGTCAGATGTGTTTCTGGTTGCAATGCAATCTGAAAGTATCTGTGGTTTTTATTAGGGACAAACGGACAAAGTCCCAGGTCCTGTGGTTGTCTTCATTAATAATTGAGGGAATGGTAATTATCAGTTAGAGTCAGTGAAAATAAAGATGTGAAATTTTTTTCCTCCATCAGAATTCACAGACACCCTGAACACCCCTAAGAGGCTCAGGGACCCCAGGCTGAAGTTCACCTAAAAGTTCTTGTAGGGAGATAGCAATGGAAGTTATGTTGATGTCAAATCCCCCACAGTTCCCCTTATTGAGTACTTCTCTCCAGTGAGGGAGAAATTTTATTGAGCACTGACTGTGTTCCAGGAACGTCTAGGCTCTGGGAATACAGTAGCGGGGAAGACAGAAATGGTCTTACCCTTCAGGGTCTCCAGGGCTGGTGGGGGAGAGAAAGTTAAACACATCCTCCTGGCCTCTCTGTCTCCCACCCCAAAATTACCAATTCAAGGAGTGTCTCATAGGTGCTTGTACCCATGCAAAACTGTGCCCAGACTTTTTTTTTTTTTTTTTTTTTGAGACAGAATCTCACTCAGTCACCAGGCTGGAGTGCAGTGGTGCAATCTCGGCTCACTGCAACCTCAGCCTCCCGGGTTCAAGCGATCCTCCTGCCTCAGCCTCCCGAGTAGCTGGGACTACAGGTGCATGCCCCCATGCCTGGCTAATTTTTGTATTTTTAGTAGAGATGGAGTTTCACCATGTTGGCAAGGATGGTCTCGATCTCTTAACCTCGTGATCCACCCGCTCAGCCTCCCAAAGTGCTGGGATTACAGGCGTGAGCCACTGCACCCGGCTTTTTTTTTTTTTTTAGAGATGGGATTTCACTCTGTCGCACAGGCCGGAGTGGAGTGGCGCCATCATAGCTCAAAGCAGCCTCCAATTCTGGGCCTCAAGCGATCCTCCTGCCTGAGCCTCCCAAGTAGCTGGGACTACAGGCACGCAACACTGTGTTGAATTATTTTTTACATTTTTCTTTTAGAGACAGGGTCTCACTATGTTACCCAGACTGGTCCCCGACTCCTAGCTTTAAGAGATTGTCCCAATTTGGCCTCCCAAAGTGGTGGGATTACAGACATGAATCACCGTGACTGGGCTTTGCTGGTCAACTGATCAATGTCCTTTTTTTTTTTTTTTTTTTTTTTTTGAGACAGGGTCTTAATCTGCCACCCAGGCTGGAGTGTAGTGGTGTGATCACTAATCACTGTAGCCTTGACCTCCTGGTCTCAAGCGATCCTCCCACCTCAGCCTCCCAAGTAGCTGGGACTGCAGGTGCATGCCACCATGCCTGGCTAATGTAATTTTTTTTTTCTTTTGTAGAGATGATGTCTTTCTATGTTGACCAGGCTGGTTTCAAACTCCTGGCCTCAAGCAATCCTCCTGCCTTGGCTTCCCAAGGTGTTGGAATTACAGGCGTGAGCCACCATGCCTGGCTTGATCAATGTCTTAAAACAACCGTTTCTCCATCAAAATGGGTTTGATGGTTCCCATTTTACAGATGAGAGAACAGGCTCAGAGAAGGTAATGGCTGAAGAATTCAGAATTCCAGGGCTGCAGATGGGTGAATTTGGCCACTTGCAGAGAGGTGCAGTTGCCCCCTCTCTTCTTCAGTGAAAGAAACAGGCCGGGTGCGGTGGCTCATGCCTGTAATCCTAGCACTTTGGGAGGCTGAGGCGGGAGGATTGCTTGAGCCCAGGCGTTCAAGACTAGCCCTGGCAACACAGTGAGATCCCATCTCTACAAAAATTAAAAATAAAGAAAAAATGAGGGCCGGGTGCAGTGGCTCACGCCTGCAATCCCAGCACTTTGGGAGGCCGAGGCAGGTGGATCATGAGGTCAGGAGATCAAGACCATCCTGGCTAACACGGTGAAACCCCTGTCTCTACTAAAAATACAAAAAAATTAGCCGGGCGTGGTGGCGGGCACCTGTAGTCCCAGCTACTCAGGAGGCTGAGGCAGGAGAATGGTATGAACCCGGGAGGTGGAGCTTGCAGAGAGCCGAGATCACGCCACTGAACTCCAGCCTGGGCGACACAGCGAGACTCCATCTCAAAAAAAAAAAAAAAAAGAAAGAAAGAAAAAATGAGGCATGGCAGCACGTGCCTGTAGTCCCAGCTACCTGGGAGGCTGAGATGGGAGGACCACCAGAGCCCAAGAGGTTGAGACTGTAGTGAGCTATGATCGCACCACTGCACTCCAGCCTGGGCAACAGAGAGAAACCCTATCTCAAAGAAAAAATATAAAAAAAAAAAAGAAAGAAAGATAATATTCCAGTAAAAGTCCAAGTTTTTTTTTTACTTTCCCTCTCCACCACCTCCCCTAGAAGCCTCCACCCACAAGCCCATCCATTCTGTTTTCCACTTTTTTTTTTTTCTTTTTGGAGTCAGAGTCTCGCTCTGTCGCCCAGGCTGGAGTGCAGTGGCACGATCTTGGCTCACTGCAACCTCCTCCTCCTGGGTTCAAGCGATTCTCCTACTTCAGCCTCCTGAATAGCTGGGATTACAGCTGTGCGCCACCACGCCCAGCTAATTTTTGTATTTTTAGTAGAGATGGGGTTTCACCATGTTGGCCAGGCTGGTCTCGAACTCCTGGCCTCAAGTGATCTGCCTGCCTCAGCCTCCCAAAGTGCTGGGATTACAGGCATGAGCCACCATGCCCGGCCTCTGTTTTCCACTTTTGCACACATATCCACAGATCCGTGATCATGATACTGAATATTCTTCGATCTGATTTTCCTTTTTAATTCGCATAGGCCAGAGTTCAGCAAACTGTTTGTTGTAAAGGACCAGACAATAAATACTTTCGGCTGGGCGTGGTGGTTCACGCCTATAATCCCAGCACTTTGGGAGGCCGAGGCGGGCGGATCACAGTGTCAGGAGATCGAAACCATCCTGGCTAAAGCGGTGAAACCCCGTCTCTACTAAAAGTACAAAAAATTAGCCGGGCATGGTGGCAGGTGCCTGAAGTCCCAGTTACTCAGGAGGCTGAGGCAGGAGAATGGTGTGAACCTGTGAGGTGGTGCGGCTTGCAGTGAGCTGAGATCGCGCCACTGCACTCCAGCCTGGGCTACAGAGCGAGACTCCGTCTCAAAAAAAAAAAAATTTACTGTATTCCATTGTCAATATATCTTTGACACTTTCACAAGTCAACATATGTGTCATGTATGATATTCCAAAACAGGCATTGCTACCTTAAAATGTGGTGGTTATAAGCACCGTGGAGAGAACTTGACTCTTTGAGTCCAATTTTTTTTTTTTTTTTGAGACAGAGTCTCGCTCTGTTGCCCAGGCTGGAGTGCAGTGGCGTGATCTTGGTTCACTGCAACCTTTGCATCCTGGGCTAAGTGATTCTTGTGCCTCAGACTCCCCAGTAGCTGGGATTACAGGTGTGTGCCACCACACCCAGCTAATTTTTGTATTTTTAATAGAGAGGGGGATTTCACCATGTTGGCCAGCCTGGTCTCGAACTCCTGACCTCAAGTGACCTGCCCACCTTGGCCTCCCAAAGTGCTGAGATTACAGGCGTGAGGCACCATGCCTGGCCTGAGTTCAAATTACTACTCAGCTATTAGTAGCTGAGGTGGGGCTGAGGGTGGGCTCTCTGGATTACACCTCATTTTCCCTGGAGATAATAGCATCTATCTGATGGGATTGGGAAAAAGATCGGGTGAGAGCCAGGTGCAGTGACTCTCACCTGTAATCCCAGTGCTTTGGGAGGTTGAGTGGGAGGTCGCTTGAGCCCAGGAGTTTGAGACCAGCCTAGGCAACATAGCAAGACCCACATCTGTGTGTGTGTGTGTGTGTGTGTGTGTGTGTGTGTATAATTTAGCTGAGTGTGGTGGTGCACGCCTGTAGTTCCCAGATACTCAAGAGGATGAGGTGGGGCCAGATGTGGTGGCTCACACCTGTAACCTCAGTACTTTGGGAGGCCGAGGTGGGCAGATCACTTGAGGTCAGGAGTTTGAGACCAGCCTGGCTAACATGGTGAAACCCCATCTCTACTAAAAATACAAAATTACATCCTGGCTAACACGGTGAAACCCTGTCTCTACTAAAAATACAAAAAATTAGCCGGTTGTAGTGGCAGGCACCTGTAGTCCCGGCTACTCGGGAGGCTGAGGCAGGAGAATGGCGTGAACCCAGGAGGTGGAGCTTGCGGTGAGCCGAGATCGTGCCACTGTACTCCAGCCTTAGCCGGGCGTGGTGGTGCACGCCTGTAATCCCAGCTACTCGGGAGGCTGAGGCGGGAAAACCACTCGAACCTGGGAGGTGGAGGTTGCGGTGAGCTGAGATAGTACCACTGCACCCCAGCCTGGGCAACAGAGTACAACTCTGTCTCAAAAAAGAGCGAAAAAAAAAAAAAAAAAGGCTGGCATAGTGGCTCACGCCTGTAATCCAGCACTTTGGGAGGCCGAGGCGGGCAGATCACTTGAGGTCAGGAGTTCAAAGCCAGCCTGGCCAATATGGCAAAACCCCGTCTCTAGTAAAATTCAAAAATTAGCCGGGCATGGTGGGGCACGCACCAGTAATCCCTGTGGCTGTTGGTTATAGGGAGTGGATTCCTATGTAACATTCATTGAACTGTCCCTTTAAGATTCATATACTTGGGTGCATATGAATTCAACTTGAATATGGATTAACAAAGAGAAAGTAACATGTGGTTGGTGATGGGGGAAATGAACCCTCTCAGGACTTAGGGTGGGAGTGAAAAGACTGACAATGATTTGGGCAACAGTCCAGCAGTATTTAGTAAGACTGAGAATGTATCTTCTCCATGTCCCTGGGAGAAGTCCCTGAAGTTCCCCTTCTCTGTAGCTACCGTAGAGAAACACTGTAGATTGTCACTTGGATTTTTTTCCGAGATGGTATCTTGCTCTGTTGCCCAGGCTGGAGTGCAGTAGTGCGATCTTGGCTCACTGCAGTCTCAAACTCCTGGGCTCAAGTGACCCTCCCACCTTACCATGCCTGGCTAACTTAAAAAAAAAAAATTTGTGTAGAGATGGGGTCTTGCTATGTTGCCCAGGCCAGTCTCAAACTCCTGGCCTCAAGTGATCCTCCCACCTCGGCCTCCCAAAGTGCTGGGATTACAGGCGTGAGCCACTGTGCCAGGCCTGCCAGTGTCTTGATCTTGGACTTCCCCGCCTCCGGAACTGTGAGAAATCAATTTCTGTTGCTCATAAATTACCCAGCCTGGCCAGGCACTTTGGGAGGACGTGGTGAGAGGAACGCTTGAGCTCAGGAGTTCAAGATCAGCCTGGGCAACATAGCAAGACCCCGTCTCTACAAAATAAATAAATGAATAAATAAATTACCCTGCCTAAGATATTTCTGTTCTAGCAGCAGGGACAGATGAAGACACACACACGTACACACATGGCCTGTATGCAGTTGTGGGTGAAGTTTATTAAGGCAATACTGAATACCAGAGCATTTCAACAAGGCTTACCACACAGGCCCCAGTACCTTTCTACTCTACAATGAGGCTCAGAAGCTCAGTGTACCACCCCATCCCCAGGAGGCCCACTTAGACCAGAAATCCCAAGTCCATTAGCTACAGGCTGATATTCAGGGACATCGGTGTAAACAAAGAAGTGGGATATGAACTATATCCCTGATTTTTTTTTCTTTTTTTTTTTTTTTGAGACTAAGTCTCACTCTTGTCCCCCAGGCTGGAGTGCAATGGCGCGATCTTGGCTCACTGCAACCTCCGCCTCTCAGGTTCAAGAGATTCTCTTGCCTCAGCCTCCTAACTGGGATAACAGACACCTGCTACCATGCCCGGCTCATTTTTTTTTGTATTTTTAGTAGAGACGGGGTTTCACCATGTTGGCCTGGCTGGTCTCGAACACCTGACCTCAGGTGTTCCGCCCGCCTCAGCCTCCCAAAGTGCTGGGATTACAGGTGTGAGCCACCGCACCCGGCCTATATTCCTGATATTTAACAAGGAAAAAAAATTCTGCAGGGGAGAACTTTCCTGAAAGATATTTTTTCTGGACATCTCTCTCTACTGACTGATAGGGTGAGGCTCAGAACAGGCTTCTTCCAAGCTCAGAGAGGCTGAGAGATGGGTCAACTGGGTGATGCCCGTTTTGAGAGCCTTAGCTTCCCAAGTGGACAGCACAGAAGAGCTGGGAGGAGTGGCTAGAAAATAAGTTTGAAATGAGCCCCGGGTTGAGGACTCCAGAGCACAGCTGCATTATAGAGACGGGGCCCGCTGAGTCCTCTCCTCTCCCCCTACTTCTTCTCCTCCGGGGCTTTCTCAGTGATTCCAGGGGCAAAGGGTCCCACGAGCCACGTGACAGGTGTGTTCTGGGCCACATATTCCACCATGTGGTCCAGGGCCTCGCGGGCGCTGGCGACACGCTCACGGCTCTGGGCCAGAATGCTGCTGGACAGGTCCTGGAAGGAGTGGATGCTGGAAAACGTGGCCTGGAGGTCCTCCACCTGGCGGCGGGCCTGCTGCACCTGGTCCTTCACATTGGTGGGGAGGCCCTGAATGCTGGACCCCAGGGAGGTACAGGTGGCCTGCAGTTGCTGGGCAATGTCCCGGAACATGGTGAGCGCCCGGGACTCGACCTGCTGAGAAGGGAGATGGGGACACCAATCAGGACCATTTGTTTCAGGAAAGGCGATCGGAGCTGAAGCCAGGGAAAGAGGGGAAGAGGGGTTCTACCACTGACCTTGGGGCAAACGCTTTCCATAGGCGAAACTTTTTTTTTTTTTTTTGAGACGGAGTCTCGCCCTGTCGCCCAGGCTGGAGTGCAGTGGCACAATCTCAACTCACTGCAAGCTCCGCCTCTCAGGTTCGCGCCATTCTCCTGCCTCAGCCTCCCGAGTAGCTGGGACTACAGGCGCCCACCACCACGCCAGGCTAATTTTTTGTATTTTTAGTAGAGACGGGGTTTCACCGTGTTAGCCAGGATGGTCTTGATCTCCTGACCTCGTGATCCGCCTGCCTTGGCCTCCCAAAATGCTGGGATTACAAGCGTGAGCCACCGTGCCCGGCCCTTTTTTTTTTTTTTTTTTTTGAGATAGAGTCTTGCTCTGTTGCCCAGGTTGGCGTGCAGTGGCATGATTTTGGCTCACTGCAACCTCCGCCTCCCAGGTTCAAGCGATTCTCCTACCTCAGCCTCCCGAATAGCTAGGACTACAGGCGCGTGCCACCACGCCCGTCTAACTTTTGCATTTTTAGTACAGATGGGGTTTCACCATGTTGGCCAGGCTGGTCTTGAACTCTACCTCAAGTGATCGGCCCTCCTTGGCCTCCCAAAGTACTGAGATTACAGGCATGAACCACCGCGCCCAGACTCTTTTCTTTTAATTAGAAACAGGATCTCACTTTGTCGCCCAGGCTGGAGTGCAGTGGCGTGATCATAGCTTACTACAGCCTGTAACTCCTGAGCTCAAGTTATCCTCTCATTTCAGCCTGCCTGACTACAGGCACTCACTACCACGCCCAGCTACATTTTTAAAATTTTCTGTAGAGCCAGGATCTCACTAAGTTGCCCAGGTCTTAAACTCCTGGGCCCAAGTGACCTGCCCACTTCAGCCTCCCAAAATGCTGGAATTACAGGCACGAGCCACTGCATTTGGCCACTAGTCAAATTCTTTAAAGGGCATAGACAAATCACCAAAGAAGATATAGGGAGAGCACATGAAAAGCTGTTTGACCTTATAAGTCATTGAGGAAATGCAAATCAAAACCATAAGGAGGCCTGGCATGGTGGCTCATGCCTGTAATCCCAGCACTTTGGGAGGCCAAGGTGCGTGGATCACCGAGGTCAGGAGTTCAGCCTGACCAACATGGCGAAACCCGCATTTCTACTAAAGATACAAAATTAGCCGGGTGTGGTGGCATGTGCCTATAATCCCAGCTACACAGGAAGCTGAGGCAGAAGAACTGCTTGCACCCAGGAGGCGGAGGTTGCAGTGAGCCAAGATCATGCCATTGCACTCCAGCCTGGGCAACAGAGCGAGACTCTGTCTCAAAAACAAACAAACAAACAAAAACCCCAGAGGCTATCAGATGATACCCACTGTCAGTCAAGAGGCGGAGAAATTGGAAGCCTCGTGTATTGCTGGTGGTATAGTTACTTTGGAAAACAGTCTAGCGGTTACTCAAAATGTTAAACCATAGAATCATCATATGACTCGGCAATTCTAGTTGTGGGTGTGTGCACAAGAGAAACGGAAACATACGTCCACACACAAAGACATGCACACAGGGGCACAGCAAAAAGTAGAAACGACTCAAGTGTCCTTCGGTTGATAAATGGGTGAACAGAATGTGATCCACCCATACAACAGAATGTGACTCAGCCATGGAACGTCATGGGGCTCTGACCCAGGCCACAGCATGGGTGAGCCCTAAGGACGTCACGCTCAGCGCGAGAAGCCGGACACAAAAGGCCAAACAGGGTGTGATCCCATTTCTATGAAATGTCCAGGACAGGCCCATCCAGAGACAGGAGGGGATACGTGGTTGGGAGGAGGAGGAAATGGGGCAGTGACTGCTGATGGGAAAAGGGTTTCTTTTTAGGGGCATGAGATGAGATAGGGATAGTTGCACAATGCTGAGAACCAGCGATGTGTATGCTTTAAATGCGTGACTTGTATGGTATGCAAATGAGATCTCAATAAAACTGTTAAAAAAAAAAAAAAGGCTGGGTGCGGTGGCTCACCCCTGTAATCCCCAGCACTTTGGGAGGCCGAGGAGGGTGGATCATGAGGTCAGGACGATCGGGACCATCCTGGCTAACATGGTGAAACCCCATCTCTACTAAAAAAACACAAAAAAATTAGCTGGGCATGGTGGCGGGAGCCTGTAGTCCTAGTTACTTAGGAGGCTGAGGCAGGAGAATGGCGTGAATCCGGGAGGCGGAGCTTGCAGTGAGCCGAAATCGCGTCACTGCACTCCAGCCTGGGCGACAGAGCGAGACTCCATCTCAAAAAAAAAAAAAAAAAAAAAAGAAAAAAAAAAGCTGTTAAAAAACAAAAAGTGGAAGCCAGGCTGGGACAGCCTGGAAGAACTTTCTAGGCAGAAGTTGTAAACCATCCGGGGAGAACATAGTTGAAATCAGGTCCTTGAAAATTTCCTTGGCCAGAGAGTGAGATGAGCACAGACAGGGTTCGAGACCAGCCTGGCCAACATGGTGAGACCCCATCTCTACTAAAAATACAAAAATTAGGCCGGGCGCAGTGGGTCAGGCCTGTAATCCCAGCACTTTGGGGGGCCAAGACGGGTGGATAACTTGAGGTTAGGAGTTCTAGACCAGCCTGGCAAACATGACAGAACCCTGTCTCTACTAAAAATACAAAAAAATTAGCTGGGTGTGGTTGCAGGCGCCTGTAATCCCAGCTACTTGGGAGACTGAGGCAGGAAAATTGCTTGAACCCAGGAGGTGGAGGCTGCAGTGAGTCAAGATCACGCCACTGCACTCCAGCTTGGGTGACGGAGTGAGACTCTGTCTCAAAAATAAATAAATAAATCAAATTAGCTGGGCGTGGTGGCAGGTGCCTGTAGTCTCAGCTACTCGGGAGGCTGAGGCAGGAGAATCGCTTGAACCCGGGAGGCAGAGGTTGCAGTGAGCCGAGATCATGACATTGCACTCCAGCCAGGGTGACAGAGTGAGACTCTATCTCAAAAAAAAAAAAAAAAAAAAAAAAGGCACACACTGGGAGGTAGGGTTTTGCCCAGAGCCCTGGCAGCTGGAGGACTCTGGACTTGAGCGAGGGATTACGGGAGAGTGCCCACGTGAGAGAGATAAGATCTGGTTTTTTCATTTGAAAAGTCATTCTGGCTGCTGTGCTTAGCAGTCGGGGAAACAGGAGACAGTTTTAGGCAGCAGGTGGTCTAGTTCTGCCTCCCGAACAATTTGCATTTATAGAGATATTCACCATATCTTTATGCATGTCACTTTTGTAGCCCTTACTATGTGCTTTTGATATGATCTCATTTCAGTTTTTAAAAAATCGATCTGGGTCCGGGCACGGTGGCTCACGCCTGTAATACCAGCACTTTGGGAGGCCGATGTGGGCGGATCACCTGCGGTCAGGAGTTTGAGACCAGCCTGGCCAACATGGCGAAACCCCGTGTCTACTAAAAAGTACAAAAATTAGCCGGGCGTGGTGACGCATGCCTGTAATCCCATCTACTGGGGAGGTGGAGACAGGAGAACCACTTGAACCCAGGAGGCAGAGGTTGCAGTGAGCTGAGATTGTGCCACTGCACTCCAGCCTGGGCAACAGAGCAATAAATAAATAAATAGGCAGGGTGCGGTGGCTCACGCCTGTAATCCCAGCACTTTGGGAGGCCGAGGCGGGCGGATCACAAGGTCAGCAGATCAAGACCATCCCGGGTAACACGGTGAAATCGCGTCTCTACTAAAAATACAAAAAAAATTAGCTGGGCCTGGTGGCGGGCGCCTGTAGTCCCAGATACTCGGGAGGCTGAGGCAGGAGAATGGCGTGAACCTGGGAGGCAGAGCTGGTAGTGAGCTGAGATTACACCACTGCACTCCAGCCTGGGTGACAGAGCGAGACTCCATCTCAAAAAATAAATAAATAAATAAATAAATAAATAATTGATCTGGGGTCGGGTGTGGTGGCTCATGCCTGTAATCCCAGTGCTTTGGAAGGCTGAAGTGGGAGTATTGCTTGACACCAGGAGCTCAAGACCAGCCTGGGCAACACAGTGAGATCCTGTCTCTACTAAAAATTAAAAAAAAAATTAGCCAGGCATCGTGGCACACGCCTGTGTTCCCAGCTACTTGGGAGGCTGAGGCGAGAGGATTGCCTGAGCCTGCAATGGCGAGGCCACAGTGACCTGTGATGGCATCACTGCACTCCAGCCAGGGCAACAGAGTGAGACCCTGTCTCAAAGATAAATAAACAACTATTTCAAAAATTGATATATAATCCACACACCCTAAAACTCGCCCTTTGAAGTGTACGATTCATTGGTTTTTAATACATTCACAAGGTTGGGCAAATACTACCTTCATCTAATTTCAGGACATTTTCTGTTTTTTGAGACAGAATCTCCTTCTGTTGCCCAGGCTGGAGTGCAGTGGTGCGATCTCGGCTCACTGCAAACTTCCTTTGCCCCTGGGGAGCTTAAGTGGGTGGTGGGACAGGCAGCGAGACCCATTAGAGAACACAAGAGGCCAAGGCTTGAGATAGAGTGGAGGGGGCCGGAGAATACTAGTCAGAAGTTGCTGCTAGGGGCCGGGCTCAGTAGCTCACGCTTGTAATCCCAACACTTTGGGAGGCTGGGCAGGGCGGATCACTTGAGGTCAGGAGTTCAAGACCAGCCTGGCCAACATGGTGAAACCCTGTCTCTACTAAAAATACAAAAAAATTAGCCAGGCGTGGTGGTGAGCGCCTGTAATCCCAGCTACTAGGGAGGCTGAGGCAGGAGAATCACTCGAACCCAGGAGGTGGAGGTTGCAGTGAGCCAAGATCATGCCATTGTACTCCAGCCTGGGTGACAGAGCAACACTCCATCTCAAAACAAAAAACAGAAGCCATACCTATGCATGCCCAAGAGGAGAAATCAAGGCAGGCTTCCTGAAGGAGGTGTCATTAGCTTCCAAAAGCAGGTGAGGCTAGGGAAATCATTCGAAGCAGGTAGGCCCATGAAGCAGAGGTGTAGAGAGTGGCATCGGGACTCCAAGTACCCTAGGCCACCCCCCAGTCCCCTCATGGGTACCTCTGGCTTGGGCGGCTCCTTCTCGGGGCCCTGGAGCTGCTTCTGGTTCCAGCTGAGCCACATCTGGTGCAGCTTCTCCTGGCCTTCCACCAGCTTCTGATCAACGCCTTGCTTGACAGTTTCCATCTGGGGCAGGGGAGAGAGAAGTGAGGGAAGGAGGCTCCCCTGGGAGAGACGGGATTCCAGAAGGAACCCAAGGAATCCTTCCAGCATCTGACTTACATGACAGTCTAGAAAAGAGAAAGGGAGGGAGGGAGGAAGGGTTTCCTGGCTACGGTGAGCTCTGGGGCCTTTGGTTTAATCATTGACATACTCAGGCTCTGTGTGGTTGGTGCAAAGAAGGGCTGCACATCCCCTGTAGCTCTTCCCATTGTGTCAATTTCTCCTGCGCTTGCAAGGGAGCCTGGACACGTGGCTGGCTTTGGCCAATGGGACATGAGCAGATGGAACCAGCAAAGGCTTAAAAAGTGCTTGTAGGCTGGGCATGGTGGCTCACACCTGTAATCCCAGCACTTTGGGAGGTTGAGGTGGGTGGATCACCTGAGTTCAGGAGTTCGAGACCAGCCTAACCAACATGGTGAAACCCCGTCTCTACTAAAAATACAAAAATTAGCCAGGTGTGGTGGTGCACATCTGTAGTCCCAGCTACTCAGGAGGCTGAGGCACGAGAATCGCTTGAACCTGGGAGGCGGAGGTTGCAGTGAGCTGAGATTGCGCCACTGCACTCCAGCCTGGGTGACAGAGCCAGACTCTATCTCAAAACAACAAAAAACAAAAAACAAAAAAAAGTGCTTGTAATGAAATATGACTCAGCCTTCCAAAGGAACGAAGCAGGCTGACTTCTGCAATCCCAGCGCTTTGGGAGGCCAAGGGGGTTGGATCAGTTGAGCTCAGTAGCTCCAGAACAGCATAGGCAACACAGTGACATCTCATCTCTACATATTACATAAAGTTTAAGAGAAAAGAAAAATAGTCGGCCGAGCGCAGTGGCTCACACCTGTAATCCCAGCACTTTGGGAGGCCGAGGCGGGTGGATCACGAGGTGAGGAGATCGAGACCATCCTGGCTAACACGGTGAAACCCCATCTCTACTAAAAATACAAAAAATTAGCCCAGCGTGGTGGTGGGCGCCTGTAGTCCCAGCTACTCGGGAGGCTGAGGCAAGAGAATGGTGTGAACCAAGGAGGCAGAGCTTGCAGTGAGCAGAGACTGCATGCCACTGCACTCCAGCCTGGGTGACAGAGCGAGACTCCGTCTCAAAAAAAAAAAAAAAAAGGCCGGGCGCGGTGGCTCACGCCTGTAATTCCAGCACTTTGGGAGGCCGAGGCGGGCGGATCAAGAGGTCAGGAGATCAAGACCATCCTGGCTAACACTGTGAAACCCCATCTCTACTAAAAATAGAAAAGAAAATTAGCCAGGCATGGTGGCCGGCGCCTGTAGTCCCAGCTACCAGAAGGCTGAGGCAGGAGAATGGCATGAACCCAGGAGGCGGAGCTTGCAGTGAGCTGAGATCGCGCCACAAAAAGAAAAGAAAAATAAATAAAGAGGAATGATGGCAGACATATGCTCCAAGATGGGTGCACCTAAGAGGCTGCAGTGAGCCATGATCATCCACTCCAGCCTGGGCAACAGAGTGAGCCCCTGTCTCTGGAAAAAAAAAAAAAAAAATCGTCATAAAGGTAAATGAAGCTATCCATTAGGGTGGGCTCCAATCCATAAAGGGCTGGTCTCCTTCAATAAGGAGATTAGAGCTGTGCGTGGTGGCTCGTGTCTGTAATCCCAGCACTTTGGGAGGCTGAGGTGGGTGGATCACTTGAGGTCAGGAGTTTGAGACCAGCCCGGCCAACATAGTGAAACCCCATCTCTACTAAAAATACAAAAATTAGCCAGGCATGGTGGCAAGTGCCTGTGATCCCAGCTACTCGGGACGTGGAGGCCCAAGAATCACTTGAACCCGGGAAGTGGAGGTTGCAGTGATCTGAGATTGCACCACTACACTCCCGCCTGGGCAACAGAGCGAGACTCCGTTCAAAGAAAAAAAAGAGATTAGGACACAGACATACACAGAGGGAAGGGACGACCACGTGAATACACAGAGAGAAGATGGCTGTCTACGAGTCAAGGAGAGAGGCCCCAGAAGGACACTCTGATCTTGGACTTCCAGCCTCCAGAAATGTGAGAAAATAAATATCTGTTGTTTACATTTCCCAGACAGTACGAATTTTTTTTTTTTTTTTTTGAGATGGAGTCTCACTCTTGTCACCCAGGCTGGAGAGCAGTAGCATGATCTCGGCTCACTGCAATCTCTGCCGCCCGGGTTCAAGCGATTCTCCTGCCTCAGCCTCCTGAGTAGCTGGGATTACAGGTGCCTGCCATTGTACCTGGCTAATTTTTGTATTTTTAGTAGAGATGGGGTTTCACCATGTTGGCCAGGCTGGTCTTGAACTCCTGACCTCGTGATCCACCCGCCTCAGCCTCCCAAAGTGCTGGGATTACAGGCATGAGCCACCGCACCTGGCCACGATTTTTTTTTTTTTTTTGAGATGGGGTCTTGCTCTGTTGACTAGGCTGCAGTGCAGTGGCACAATCATAGCTCACTGCAGCCTCCAACTCCTGGGCTCAAGCAATCGTCCCACCTCAGCCTCCCAAGTAGCTGAGATTACAGGCACGCACCACCACAGCCAGCTAATTGTTTTAAATTATTTTTTGTAGAGATGGGGTCTTGCTATATTGCCCAGGTGGGTCTCAAACCCCTGGACTCATGCGATCCTCCTGCCTTGGGCTCCCAAAGCACTTGAGGGACTCACACAAAGAGGTGTGAGCCACTGTGCCCGGCCCCAGACAGTGTGGTTTGTGGCAGCATCCTGAGCAAATGAGTGTACAACCAGATACAGTGCCAGGAGCAAGCGGGAATGGCCCTGCCAGCCTGCAGAGGGGTGAGCAATAAGCCACTGAGCTCTGGGTGGGTGTCTGCTGCGGGGTGAAGGCTGCTGGCTCAGGGCCCCGACCCCCTGGAACCTCACCAGGCTTAGGACCTGCGACAGCTGCAGCAGAGCCTCCTGTGCCCTCTGCTTGGTGGCTCGAAGCTTGCCCAGCGAGTGCTCATAGGCGTGCTGCCGCAGCCTCTCCGACAGGGAGCCCAGACGTACGAAGTAGCTCTGTTCCTGCCGCTGCTGCTGCACGGACGCGACGTCAAAGCCATCCAGGGATGTGGCGATGCGGGCTGCAAGGAAAAGGAGAAGGGTCTCTGTGAAGACCAGAACACACAGCTGGGCTCGTCCCATGCAGACAGTCCCAAGAATCACACTGTCCAGTTTATTTATTTATTTATTTAGAGATGGAGTCTCGCTCTGTCGCCCAGGTTGGAGTGCAGTGGTGTCATCTCGGCTCACTGCAACCTCTGCCTCCCGGGTTCAAGTGATTATCCTGCCTCAGCCTCCCGAGTAACTGAGATTACAGGCGCCCGCCACCATGCCCAGCTAATTTTTGTATTTTTAGTAGAGACGGGGTTTCACCATGTTGGCCAGGCTGGTCTCGAACTCCTGATCTCCAGTGATTCATCCGAACTGGCCTCCAAAAGTGCTGTGATTATAGGCGTGAGCCACCACACCTGGCCATGCTGTCCAGTTTATAACCCAGTTCTACTTCTTATAAACCTCGAAGGCCTGGGAGCAAAGGATTCTGCCTTGGTTTTCCCTATCTGCAAAACGGGGATAAGGAAAATTAAACCTCACAGGAATCAGAGACCTTAGACTAGCAGGAGGGTCTCAAGCTATGGCCTGCAGGCCAGACCTGCCTTGGACAACCTGTGAATATAGGCCTGAATGTTCATTATGCAGTCCTGCAGAGAATAACAGCATTCCAGCCAGCAATACATCACATATACTACAGAGGTCCCATAAGATTATAATACCGTAGGCCGGGTGCAGTGGCTCATGCCAGTAATGCCAGCCCTTTGGGAGGCCAAGGCGGGCAGATCACTTGAGGTCAGGAGTTCAAGACTAGCCTGGCCAACATGGCACTACCCCATCTCTACTAAAAATACAAAAATTAGCCAGGCGTGATGGCACTAGCCTGTAATCTCAGCTACTTAGGAGGCTGAGGCAGGAGAATCGCTTGAACCCGGGAGGTGGAGGCTGCAGTGAGCCAAGATCACACCACTGCACTCCAGCCTGGGTGAGAGTGAGACTCCGTCTCAAAAAAAAAAGAGAATAATGACATTTCAGCCAACAATGGACTGCATATACTACAGTGGTCCCATAAGATTATAATACCATATATACCGTATTTTTCCTGTACTTTTTCTTCTTTTTTTTAGACAGGGTCTCGGTCTGTTGCCCAGGCTGGAGTACAGTGGCACGACCTCAGCTTACTGCAGGCTCAACCTCCCAGCTTCAAGCTATCCTTCAACCTTGGCCTCCCGAGTAGCTGGGACTACATAAAGCTGGGACTACGGCAAGACACCTGGCTAATTTTTGTACTTTTTGTAGGAATGGGGTCTCACTATGTTGCCCAGGCTGGTCTTGAAATCCTGGACTCAAGCAATCTGCTCGCCTCAGACTCCCAAAGTGCTAGGTTTACAGGTGTGAGCCATTGCACCTGGCTTCCTGTACCTTTTCTATGTTTAGATCTGTTTGTTTTGTCGGTTTTTATATTTTGAAGTACAGTCTCGCTCTGTTGCCCAGGCTGGAGTGCAGCGGTGCAATCATAGCTCACTGTAGCCTTGAACTCCCAGGCTCAAGTGATCCTCCTGTCTCAGCTCCCAAATAGCAACTGGGACTACAGGCGTGCACTAGCACACCCAGCTAATTTTTAAATTTTTTGTAGAGATGGGGTCTATGTTGTCCAGGCTGGTCTGGAACTACTGGGCTTAACTAATCCTCCCACCAAAGTGCTGGGATGACAGGTGTGAGCCACCACGCCTGGCCTCATCCCATGTTCGTAGGTTCATATGTGTATATGCATGTATTTATTTACTTATTTATTTATTTATTTATTTTTTTGAGACAGAGTCTCACTCTGTTGCCCAGGCTGGAGTGCAATGGCATGATCTCGGCTCACTGCAACCTCCGCCTCCCGGGTTCAAGTGATTCTCCTGCCTTAGCCTCCTGAGTAGCTGGGATTACAGGAATGTGCCACCATGCTTGGCTAATTTTTGTATTTTTAGTAGAGATGGGGTTTCACCATGTTGGCCAGGCTGGTCTCAAACTCCTGACCATGTGATCCAGCTGCCTCAGCCTCCGAAAGTGCTGGGATTACAGGCATGAGTCACCACACCTGGCCTTTATTTTTTTTGAGATGGAGTTTCACTCTTGTTGCCTGGGCTGGAGTGCAATGGCGCAGTCTTGGCTCACCACAAGCTCTGCCTCCCAGATTCAAGCCATTCTCTTGCCTCAGCCTCCCGAGTTAGCTGGGATTACAGGGATGCGCCACCATGCCTGGCTAATTTTGTATTTTTAGTAGAGATAGGGTTTCTTTATGTTGGTCAGGCTTGTCTCGAACTCCCGACCTCAACCTCCACCCGCCTCAGCCTCCCAAAGTACTGGGATTACAGCCATGAGCCACTGCGCCCAGCTGCATGTATTTATTTAATCCTGCTCCTACTGTACCCATGCTTTTTTTTTTTTGAGATGGAGTCTCACTCTGTCGCCCAGGCTGGAGTGCAGCGGCCCAATCTTGGCTCACTGCAACCTCTGCCTCCCAAGTAGCTGGGATTACAGACGCCTGCCACCGCACCTGGCTAATGTTTATTTTATTATTATTATTTTTTTGAGACGGCGTCTAGCTCTATTGCCCAGGCTGGAGTGGAGTGGCATGATCTCGGCTCACTGCAAGCTCCGCCTCCCAGGTTCATGCCATTCTCCTGCCTCAGTCTCCCGAGTAGCTGGGACTACAGGCACCCGCCACCACGCCCGGCTAATTTTTTTTTTTTTTTTTTTTTTTTTTTTAGTAGAGATGGGGTTTCACTGTGTTAGCCAGGATGGTCTCGATCTCCTGAACCTGTGATCCGCCCGGCCTTGGCCTCCCAAAGTGCTGGGATTACAGGCGTGACCCACCGTGCCCGGCCTAATTTTTGTATTTTTAGTAGAGACCGGGTTTCACCATGTTGGCCAGGCTTGTCTCAAACTCTTGACTTCAGGTGATCTGCCCACCTCGGCCCACCAAAGTGCTGGGATTACAGGCTGAGCCACCGCGCCCTGCCTATATCCTAAGCTACTTATTTGCAAAAATCCCAATCCCCGCACTTTGGGGGGCTAAAGCAGTAGGATCACTCCAGCCAAGGAGTTCTGGATCAGCTGGGATGACAGAGGGAGACCCCGTCTTTACCAAAAATTAAATAAAGAAAAATTAGTTGGGCGTGATGGTGTGTGCTTGTAGTCCCAGCTACTCGGAGGCTGAGATGGGAGGCTCGCCTCAACCCAGGAGTTGGAGGCTGCATTGAGCTATGATCGCACCACTGCACTTCAGCCTGGGCAAGAGAGTGAGACTCTATCTCTAAAACAAATAAATAAAAAAGGGCCGGGCATGGTGGCTCACACCTGTAATCCCAGTACTTGGGGAGGCCGAGGTGGGCAGATCACAAGGTCAGGAGTTCGAGACCAGCCTGGCCAACATAGTGAAACCCCGTTTCTACTAAAAATACAAAAAATTAGCTGTGTGGTGGCAGGTGCCTGTAATCCCAGCTACTCAGGAGGATGAGGCAGGAGACTCGCTTGAACCCAGGAGGCAGAGGTTGCAGTGAGCTGAGATCACGCCATTGCACTCCAGCCTAGGTGACAGGGCGAGACTCTGTCTCTAAATAAATAAATAAATTAATTAAAGAAGAATATCAAATAAACAGTGCAGGGAGTGCGAATATGTGACCGAGATGACTGGAGTGGGATGTCTGGCCTGGCGGGAACACCAGCATTGTTGTCACAGTTCAGTGAGATCTCAAGTTTAGTCACGTATTTATGCAGGAGCGGAGTGGCGAAGGGGGAAGAGGAGGAGGGCGGGGAGAGGACAGGGGAGGTTGTGCAGGACCTTGTGGGCTGTGACGAGGACTTGGGCTTTGACCCCAGGGGAGGTGGGGTCCATGGAGGGCTGTGGGCAGAGGGACGGGTTCTGACTCAGGTGGTCACAGGCGCCCTCTGGTGGCTGCTGTGGGGAGGAGACTGTGGTGGATGAGGGCGGGAGCTGGTGAGCAGGACAGAGGGGACTGCGTTAGTGATGAGATTCCAAGATGCCCGGGAGAAGTGGCAGGGACGAGGCGGCAGTGAGTGTCGGCACAGACCCCAGGAGGCCGACAGCGGCTTCCGGTCAGGGGGCCTGGGGAGGGGTCCCAGAGCAGCCCGCTGGCCACACTTACCCAGTTCGGCATCCGTAAGGGGCAGGTGGTTGTCCGCCCACTCCTCCGACTTCCCCAGCACCGTGTCGACCCCACTCAACACCATCTGGCCCAAGCGGGAGCCCATGACCGATTGGACGCCGCCGGTCACTACGGACTTTGTCTTGTCCACGCCGCTCTGCACAGCACCGCGGGTCGCGTCCACCGCCTCCGACAATTGGGTGGCCACCGTGTCCTTGGCGCTAGACACCATCTCTTGGGCCCCCGACACCTTAGACGACACAAGCTCCTTGGTGTCCGCCAGGACCTAGGAGATGCAACAGCATCAGCATCTCTGCCTTCCCTCCATATCTGGGCACCCCTCCCCTGCACCCCAACTTCCAGGGAGACCGAGGCGGGGAGCGCCATCCCCCGGGTGACCCCAGCATCTCCGTCTTCCCTCTGTATGTGGGCACCCCTCCCCTGCACCCCAACTTCCAGGGAGACTGAGGCAGGGAGCGCCATCCCCCAGGTGACCCTGAGTCTGGAGTTGTGGGCATGACCTCATACTCTGCAGCCAGACTACCTAGGCTCCGTTCCTAGCTAGCTACTTCTCAGCTGTGTGGCTTCAGGAAAGTCACTCTACCTCCCTGTACCTCATTTCTTTCTTTCTTTTTTTTTTTTGGAGACAGGGTCTTGCTCTCTTGCCCAGGCTGGAGTGCAGTGACACCATCTCAGATCACTGCAACCTCTGTCTCCCGGGTTCAAGCAGTTCTCCTGCCTCAGCCTCCGAAGCAGCTGGGATTACAGGTGCCCGCCACCATGCCTGGCTAATTGTTTTTTGTTGTTGCTGTTGTTGAGATGGAGTTTCACTCTCGTTGCCCAGGCTGGAGTGCAATTGTGTGATCTCGGCTCACTGTAACCTCCGCCTCCTGGGTTCAAGCGATTCTCCTGCCTCAGCCTCCCGAGTAGCTGGGATTACAGGCATGCGCCACCACGCCAGGCTAATTTTGTATTTTTAGTAGAGATGGGGTTTCACCATGTTGGTCAGGCTGGTCTCAAACTCCTGACCTAGTGATCCGCCCACCTCAGCCTCCCAAAGTGCTAGGATTACAGGCATGAGCCACTGCACTCTGCCTGTTTTTTGTTTTTTTTTTTCAATTTAATTTTTTTTCTTTTGAGATGGAGTCTCCCTCTGTCACCCAGGTGGAGTGCGGTGGCACAATCTCGGCTCACTACAAACTCCACCTCCTGGGCTCAAGTGAGCCTCCCACCTCAGCTTCCCCAGCGAGTAGCTGTGACCACAGGCACGTACCACCACTCGTGGCTATTTTTTATCTTTTATTTTTATTTATTTATTAATTTTTTTGAGGCGGAGTTTCACTCTTGTTGCCCAGGCTAGAGTGCAATGGTGCAATCTCGATTCACTGCAACCTCTGCCACGTGGGTTCAGGTGATTCTCCTGCCTCAGCCTCCCAAGTAGCTGGGATTACAAGCACATGCCACCATGCCGAGCCGATTTTTGTATTTTTAGTAGAGACGGGTTTCACCATGTTGGCCAGGCTGGTCTTGAACTCCTGACATCAGGGGATCCACTTGCCTGGGCCTCCCAAAGTGCTGGGATTACAAGCATGAGCCACTGCGCCCAGCCTTATTTTTTATTTTTTGTAGAGACAAAAAATACAAAAAATTAGCCGGGTGCAGTGGTGCATGTCTGTAATCCTTACTACTCAAGAGGCTGAGGCGGGAGAATCCCTTGAACCCGGGAGGTGGAGTTTGCAGTGAGCCGAGACTGCACCACTGCACTCCACCCTGGGTGACAGAGAGAGACTCTGTCTCCAAAAAAAAACAAAAACAAACAAACAAAAAAAAGCTTTGCATGGAATCCTTTGACTACGCCCCACCCAGCACATGGTGAGCGCTCATCTGTCAATACCTGCTGTTCTCGAATCTAAGTCTTTTTTTTTTTTTTCTTTTGAGACAGGGTCTCACTGTGTCACTCAGGCTGGAGTGCAGTGGTGCAATCATAGCTTACTCAAGCCTTGACCTCTTCGGCTCCAGCGATCCTCCCACCTCAGCCTCCCAAGTAGCTGAGACTACAGGTACGCACCACCACACCCGGCTTATTTTTTTATTTTTTGTAGAGACAAGGACTCTCCATGTTGCCCAGGCTGGTTTCGAACTCCTGGCCTCAAGCAGTCCTCCTGCTTTGGCCTCCCAAAGTGCTGGGATGACCGACATGAGCCACTGTGTCCAGCTGAAGCTAAGTCTTTAGACAGATCTCTATGCAGAGGGCTCTCCGCAAAGTTGAAAACCACACCTGCCCCATTCCTACCCAAGTTGGTGCTTCCCTGAAGACTCAGTCCTCTTGTACTCATGAGAGTTCATCTTTTTGTGGGGGAAGAGGGTGTGAGAGTCAAGTTTTTTGTTTTTGTTTTTGTTTTTTTTTACAGAGTTTTTGCTCTTGTCACCCAGGCTGGAGTGCAGTGGCACTATCTCGGCTCACCGCAACCTCCACCTCCCAGGTTCAAGCGGTTCTCCTGCCTCAGCCTCCCCAGCAGCTGGGACTACAGGCGTGCACTGCCACGGCCGGCTAATTTTTTGTATTTTTAGTAGAGACGGGGTTTCACTGTGTGAGCCAGCATGAGCCAACGCCCCCGATGAGAGTCAGGTTCTAACAGCCCCACTACTCAGTGAACACGCACGTTCTCACACTGGCCCGGATTAAAATCTAGCTCTGACAACACCACCGTCCCCCAGAACCTGGGGAAAGTTACCTCTTCACAAAGGGGGAAAAAACTCATAGGGCCCAGAATTGAGAGAGCATTGCACCTCTCAAAAAGTCAAGAGCTCACAGCAGGCCAGGCACGGTGGCTCACACCTGTCATCCCGGCACTTTGGGAGGCTGAGGTGGGAGGATCGCTTGGGCCCAGAAGTGTGAGAACAGCCTGGGCAACATAGTAAGACCTCACCTCTACAAAAAATACAAAAATTGGCCGGGCACGGTGACTCACGCCTATAATCCCAGCACTTTGGGAGGCCAAGGCAGCTGGATCACCTGAGGTCAGGAGTTCGAGACCAGCCTGGCCAACATGGTGAAACCCCATCTCTACTAAAAATACAAAAATTTGCTGGGCGTAGTGATGGGCGCCTATAATCCCAGCTACTTGGGAGGCTGAGGCAGGAGGATCACTTGAACCCAGGAGGCAGAGGTTGCAGTGGGCTGAGATCACGCCACTGCATTCCAGCCTGGGCAACAGAACGAGACTCCATCTGAAAAAAAAAAAAAAAAAAAAAAAAAGCTCCCAGCTGCTGCTCTGTTCAGTGACCTTGAAGAATTCACCCTGAGCTTATCCCTTCTATAAACAGAAAGACTGTTGGCCTCCTACGCTATCAGTGGGAGAGAAAGGGAAGCAAGGGCTTGGCCCTGAGACGGGGGCTCCTGGTTGACGTTTCCCATCTTCCTGTAAGCTCAGCAGTTTCCATCCCCCCTCAGCCAAGCCCACTATTGGCCTTTGCTGATAAGGTGTAGGCATGGCTGGGCATAGTGGCTCACAACTATAATCCCAGCACTTTGGGAAGCCAAGGCAGGCAGGAGGATTGCTTGAGCCCAGGAGTTTGTTTTTTGTTTTGTTTCTGAGATGGAGTCTCGCTCTGTTGTTCTGATCTCGTGATCCGCCCGCCTCGGCCTCCCAAAGTGCTGGGATTACAGGCGTGAGCCACCGTGCCTGGCTAGCCTGGGAGTTTGAGACCAGCCTGGGCAATATAGCAAGACCCCATTCCTACAAAAAATTAAAAAATTAGTCAGGTGTGGTGGTGCACACCTGTAGTCCCAGCTTCTCAGGAGGCTGAGAGCTGGGAGGATTGCCTAAGTCTAGGAGGTCAAGGCTGTAGTGAGCCAAGATCACGCCACTGCACTCTAGCTTGGGCTACAGAGCAAGACCTTGTCTCAAAAAAAAAAAAAAAATGCAAGTTGACAACCGCTCTGCTGTTTCCCAGCTAAGGCCATTTCTGCATAAATGGGAGGTGAGGAAGTCTAACCATGATGGGACAGCACAGCTCCCCGGCATACAGTAGGCACTCAATAGCAAGTGGATGAATAAGCTGCCTGTCCCTGCAGGTGGTCTCAGGGAAAGTCCAAGGATGCTGGGATGCGGCTGGCTTGTCCTGCCTCCAACCCAGGGATCACCTATTTCTGATGCTACAGACCCAGACACAAGCAGGTGGTACCCGAGGGTGGCCCTTCTGTAACCACTGGGCTGAAGCGGACATGGAGCACCTGAATACTTAATAAGCATCTATCTGCAGGGCGCGGTGGCTCACACCTGTAATCCCAGCACTTTGGGAGGCCGAGGCAGGCAGATCACCTGAGGTTGGGAGTTCGAGACCAGCCTGACCAACATGGAGAAACCCCATCTCTACTAAAAAGATAAAATTACCCAGGCATGGTGGTGCATGCCTGTAATCCCAGCTACTCGGGAGGCTGAGGCAGGAGAATCGCTTGAGCCCGAGAGGCGGAGGTTGCAGTGAGCCGAGATCGCACCATTGCACTCCAGCCTGGGCAACAAGAGCAACACTCTGTCTCAAAAAACTAAAAAAATAAGCATCTACCCTGTGCCAGGCTGCCTGCTGGGCACTGGACACAGCCACAAAGCAGGCAGCCTGTGCCCTGGTCCCAGCTGGGGAGACAAACAATAACCGATTAAGCCTCACACTTATCTGAAGGAGGGTGTTTTTTTTTTTTTTTTTGAGACAGAGCCTTGCTCTGTTGCCCAGGCTGGAGCGTGGTGGCACGATCTCGGCTCACTGCAACCTCTTGCCTCCCAGGTTCAAGTGATACTCGTGCCTCAGCCTCCCGAGTAGCTGAGATTATAGGAACTCACCATCACGCCTGGCTGATTTTTGAATTTTTAGTAGACACAGGGTTTCACCATGTTGGCCAGGCTGGTCTCGTACTCCTGATCTCAAGTGATCTGCACGCTTCGGCCTCCCAAAGTGCTGGGAGTAAGGCGTGAGCCACCACGCCTGGTCTGTGCCTCATTTTTTCATCCCAGGCTGTTATAGGTTGAATTATGGCCCCCTCAACCCCAAATTCTTATGTTGAAGTCCTGATCCCCAGGGGTAAGAATGTGGCTGTATTTAGAGACAGGGTCTTTAAAAAGCGGTGATTAAGGGAAACTGAGGTAGGGCACAGTGGCACACTCCTATAATTCTAGCACTTTGTGGGGCTGAGGCAGGAGGATTGCTTGAGCCCAAGAGTTGGAGACCGGCCTGGGCAATATGGCGAGACTCCGTCTTGACAAAAAGTACAAAAATTAGCCAGGCGTGGTGGATGCACCTAGTCCCAGCTACTCAGGAGGCTGAGGCAGGAGGATCTGTTGAGCCCAGGAGTCTGAGAACAGCCTGGGCAACATGGTGAAAACTCGTCTCTACAAAAAATTAAAAATAGCCAGGCATGGTGGTGCATGCCTGTGGTCCCAGCTACTTGGGAAGCTGAGATGGGAGGATCACTTGAGCCCAGGAGTTCAAGGCTGCAGTTGAGCCATGATCACACTACTGCACCCCACCCTGGGTGACAGAGTGAGAACCTGTCTCAAAAAAAAAATTTTTTTTTTTAATGTTAAGAGCCAACATTTGCTACAAGCCATGTGCTGTTCTGGGCCTTCAGGTGTTAACCCCAGGTCAGCATTGCCATTCTGTAGAAAAGAAAGTGGGACCCAGGCTGGGCCTGGTGGCTCATGTCTGTAATCCCAACACTTTGGGAGGCCAAGGCAGGTGGATCACCTGAGGTCGGGAGCTCGAGACCAGCCTGACCAACATGGTAAAACCCCATCTCTACTAAAAATACAAAAATTGGCCAGGTGTGGTGGCACATGTCTGTAATCCCAGCCACTCGGGAGGCTGAGGCGGGAGAATCGCTTGAACCTGGGAGGTGGAGGTTGCAGTGAGCTGAAACTGCACCAGTGCACTCCAGCCTGGGCAACAAGAGCGAAACTCCATCTTAAAAAAAAAAAGAGGGGGCCGGGCACAGTGGCTCATGCCTGTAATCCCAGCACTTTGGGAGGCCGAGGCGGGAGGATCACGAGGTCAAGAGATTGAGACCATCCTGGCCAACTTGGTGAAACCCCGTCTCTACTAAAAATACAAAAATTAGCTAGGCGTGGTGGCAGACGTCTGCAACCCCAGCTACTCAGCAGCCTGAGGCAGGAGAATCGCTGGAACCCGGAGGTGGAGGTTGCAGTGAGCCGAGATTGCACCACTGCACACCAGCCTGGCAACAGAGCAAGACCCCGTCTCAAAAAAAAAAAAAAAAAAAAAAAAGTGAGGCCCACAGAGGCAAAGTAACTTGTGTGAGGGCCACCCAGCTGCTGAGGGGCAGGACACAGTTTGGAACATGGTGTTTTTTTTGTTTTGTTGTTTTTGAGACAGAGTCTCGCTCTGTCGCCCAGGCTGGAGTGTAGTGGCGCGATCTCAGCTCACTGCAACCTCCGTCTCCTGGGTTCAAGTGATTCTCTTGCCTCAGCCTCCCGAGTAACTAGGACTACAGGCACACGCCACCACGCCAAGCTAATTTTTTTTTTTGTAGTTTTAGTAGAGATGGGGTTTCACTGTGTTTGCCAGGATGGTCTCGATCTCCTGACCTTGTGATCCGCCCACCTCAGCCTCCCAAAGTACTGGGATTACAGGCATGAGCCACCGCGCCTGGCCAGAATATGGTGTTTTTTTGGTTTTTTTTTTTTTTTTTGAGATGGAGTTTCACTCTTGCTGCCCAGGCTAGAGTGCAATGGCATGATCTCGGATCACTGCAACCTCCGCCTCCAGGGTTCAAGAAATTCTCCTGCCTCAGCCTCCCGAGTAGCTGGGATTACAGGCACCCGCTACCACACCCAGATAAATTTTGTATTTTTAGTAGAGACGGGGTTTCTCCATGTTGGTCAGGCTGGTCTCAAACTCCCAACCTCAGGTGATCCTCCCGCCTTGGCCTCCCAAAGTGCTGGGATTACAGGCATGAGCCACCGCGCCCGGCCAGGAACATGGTGTTTTGATGTTTTGACTTTCCTGCCGCCAACCTTTTCTGACTAATAAGTTATGGAGGTGGCAACATTCTGTGTAAAGGGCCACGTAACTAAGATTTTCAGTACTGTGGGTCACAGTCTCTGTCACAACTACTCAACCTTGCCATTGTAGGGTGAAAGCAGTCATAGACAATATGTAAATAAATGGGCATGGCTGTGTGCCAATAAAACTTTATTATAAAAACAAGTGGGCTGGGCACCGTGGCTCATTCCTATAATCCCAGCACTTTGAGAGGCTGAGGCAGCTGGATCACCTGAGGTCAGGAGTTCGAGACCAGCCCGGCCAACATGGTGAAACCCCATCTCTACTAAAAATACAAAAACTAGATGGGCATGGTTGCAGGCGCCTGTAATCTGGCTGGCTTTGCAATTATTCCTCCAGCTACCCTGTGGGGAGTGGATTCGGGGTGGGGATGGGAACCGACAGGAGAGGCAGCAGGGAGGATGCCATCAAGCTTGTCTAGTTAAGCTGGGACCAGCGCACTCCACACCCAGGTAGGTCCCTGTCTCGACAGAGCCCCTGAGGACGGACATCGTTACCTTCTCCGTGGGCTGCTGCAGGATGGGGAGGTTCTCCTCCAACTTGTCCAGCCCCCTGTGGGCGTATTCGCTGGCTGATGCAACTGCCAACAACAATTAAGACGCAAATGTGACTGCTGGAAGGTCACCTAGTAATGGTTCAGGGGGACAGGACCAAGAGCTGGGTAGACCCCCCTACTCCCCACCCAGGGAAATGACCAGGAGGGGAATTCAGTGCCCCCTGGGACTTCACCCACTCTGGGGCTCCAGCTTGGAGAGGATCGGCTGAGCCCCGCTGACAGCAGCCGCCGTGAGGGTCCTCACTCCCTTCTCTGCTGCGTCGCAGACAGTCTTGATGTGCGGGTAGCTCTCCTTGGTGGAGGCATAGGCTGCGGACACCATGTCGCAGGTGGAGCTGATCAGAGGCATGCTGGCCACACGGTCCACCACACTGGGCTACAGGAGAGAAGTGGCTCAGGCAAACTGGGTGGGGGAAGATGGGGAGCTCAGCCGGAAACTCAGGGTGCCCTGCAGTTTTGCTCTTACTCCTGGCCAGTGAAACGGCTCAGTTTACCCACACTTTGCATCCAGGCAGTTGCACAAGCCAGGAACCTTGGGGTTTCGCCACGTGCTTCCTTTATTTTTATTTTATTTTTGAAACGGAGTCTTGCACTGTTGCCCGGGCTGGAGTGCACTGATGCGATCTCAGCTCACTGCAACCTCCACCTCCCAGGTTCAAACGATTCTCCTGCCTCATCCTCCTGAGTAGCTGGGATTACGGGTGCCACCACGCCCAGCTAATTTTTTTGTATTTTTAGTAGAGATGGGGTTTCACCATGTTGGCCAGGCTGGTCTTGAACTCCTGACCTCGTGATTCGCCCACCTCAGCCTCCCAAAGTGCTGGGATTACAGGCGTGAGCCACCGCACTCAGCCCACGTGCTTCCTTGAACACAGGCTATTTACATGAGCCTGCACTTTATCCCAGCGATGTGCCAGGTGGTGATAAGGGACAACAGTTCCATTCTCATGGCAGTTAGGGTCTAAACCGGGGGCTGTAGACCACAGCCCATGGGTCACAGCCAGCGCACCACTTGATTTTTAAATTTTAATTATTTTTGGGGCCAGGAGCAGTGGCTCACGCCTGTAATCCGAGCACTTTGGGAGACCGAGGCGGGTGGGTCACTTTGGGTCAGGAGTTTGAGACTAGCCTGGCCAACATGGTGAAACTCCGTCTCTACTAAAAATACAAAAATTAGCCGGGCGTGGTGGCACATGCCTGTTACCCCAGCTACTTGGGAGGCTGAGGCAGGAGAATTGCTTGAACCCAGGAGGCAGAGGTTGCAGTGAGCCAAGATGTCACCACTGCACTCCAGGCTGGGCGACACAGCAAGGTTCCATCTCAAAAATATATACATAAAATAAAATCACCTGAGGATGAGAGATCTGGAATAGAAACTGGCCTCCTAGGACGTCCCTGAGAGAGCCTTCAGAGGTGAGGATGATTTGGCTCAGGGGTTGGGGAGGGCAGGTAGTTTCAGACAGAACCCTGCTCCCTCAGGCCCTCCAAGGGCCTTTGAGATTCCCCCCTCCCAACTGGGGACACCAGTGAGTGGTCCATACCCCACTGAGGAATAAATCCCTCTGGCTCCGTGAGCTGCCGGCAGATCCCTGGCTCCCTGCCAGGGCACCCTGGGGTGGGAAGCCTCCTTGCACGGGAATCACAGGGTCGGGGCAGTCCCTGGTCCCGGCCCTTCCTCACCTGCTGTACCGGTTCTTCCACTGTCACCTGGGTGCTGCCATCAGCCTCTGCCCCGTCGGCAGACATGGTCTCTGCAGCAGACGCTGAGGAGAGAGGAACAGTCAGGTACAGCCTGCCTGGCCCCACCTTCCAGGAGAAAGTCCAGGCCCACGCTGCAGCTGGAAGACAGGGTTCACACCTGCCCATGACTTACAGCTGTGTCTTTCAGTCCTTAGCAGGCACAAGAGTGACCTCTGGACTTTGTTCAATAGCAAGTGCTGATTCTAAAGCTTCGGGATGGGGCTCACCTGGCCCCCTATTTCTTTTTTTTTTTCTTTATTTTCTTTGGAGACAGTCTCACTCTGTCGCCCAGGATGGAGTGCAGTGGGGCAACCTGGGCTCACTGCAACCTCCGCCTCCTGGTTTCAAGCAATTCTCCTGCCTTAGCCTCCCGAGTAGCTGGATTACAGGCACCCACCACCACGCCCAGCTAATTTTTGTATTTTTAGTAGAGACGGGGTTTCACCATATTGGCCTGGCTAGTCTTGAACTCCTGACCTTGTGTTCCACCCACCTTGGCCTCCCAAAGTGCTGGGATTACAGGTGTGAGCCACCACACCTGATCCTTTCTTTTTTTTTTTTCTCATTAAAGACAGGGTCTTGCTCTGTCACCCAGGCTGGAGTACAGTGGTACAATCACAGCTCACTGCAGCCTCTAACTCCTGGGCTTAAGGGATCCTCCTGCCTCAGCTTCCCAAGTAACTAGGACTATAGGCACACACCACCACGCCTACTTAATTTTTTCTTTTTGGGTAGAGATGTTATCTTTTTTTTTTTTTTTTGAGACAGAGTCTTGCTCTGTCGCCAGGCTGGAGTGCAGTGGCACGATCTCGGCTCACTGTAACCTCCACCTCCCACGTTCAAGCAATTCCCCTGCCTCAGCCTTCCCAGTAGCTGGGACTACAGGCGTGTGCCACTACACCTGGCCAATTTTTTGTATTTTTTTAGTAGAAACGGGTTTTCACCATGTTGGCCAGGATGGTCTTGATCTCCTGACCTCGTGATCCGCCCGCCTCGGCCTCCCAAAGTGCTGGGATTATAGGTGTGAGCCATTGTGCCTGGCCAATGGTATCTTGCTATGTTGCCCAGGCTGGTCTCGAATTCCTGGTCTCAAACAATCCTCTTGCCTTGGACTCCCAAAGTTCTGGGATTACAGGAGTGAGCCACCATGCCCGGCCCTGACCCTGCATTTCTAAAAGGCTCCCAGGCAGTGTTGATGCAGCTGGTCCCTGGGACACACGTCAGGAAGCAAGGCTTGGGAACAGTCCCTTCAGGGCTCACCTGTACTCCAGCAAGCCAGGTATGACCTAAAACCTCTGTAGAGGACAATTTGCCAATAGCTGTCAAGTTCCAAGAGCCATCTTCCCCTTGACCCAGAAACCTCACTTCGGGGAAGAACCCACACCTGTGTTTCCACATGAGCAGAGCTGTGTGGACTTACTGGCCACAACATGACACTGGAAACAACCTGGATGCCCAGCAAAAGGGGAATAAGAAAACAACAAGTGTGGCCAGACACAGTGGCTCACGCCTGTAATCCCAGCACTTTGGGAGGCCGAGGTGGGTGGAACACGAGGTCAGGAGTTCGAGTCCAGCCTGGCCAACATAGTGAAACCCCGTCTCTACTAAAAATACAAACATTAGCCAGGCATGATGGTGGGCGCCTGTAATCCCAGCTACTCAGGAGGCTGAGGCAGGAGAATCGCTTGAACCCAGGAGGCGGAGGTTGCAGTGAGGTGAGATCGCGCCACTGCACTCCAGCCTGGGCAACAGAGTGAGACTCCGTCTCAAAACACAAAAACAAAAATAAGTGTATCCCAATGCAGTGGCTAAAGAATGAGATTTAAAGGCCGGGTGCGGTGGCTCACGCCTGTAATCCCAGCACTTTGGGAGGCCAAGGCGGGTGGATCACCTGAGGTCAGGAGTTCGAGACCAGCCTGACCAACATGGAGAAACCCCATCTCTACTAAAAATATAAAATTAGCCAGGCATGGTGGCGAATGCCTGTAATCCCAGCTATTCAGGAGGCTGAGGCAGGAGAGTTACTTGAACCCGGGAAGCGGAAGTTGCAGTGAGCCGAGATCGCGCCGCTGCACTCCAGCCTGGGCAACAGGAGCGAAACTCTGTCTCAAAAAAAAAAAAAAAAGAGATTTAAATGTAACTCACATGGGCCAGATGTGGTGGGTCACACCTCTAATCCCAGCACTTTGGGAGGCCGAGGCAGGAGGATCACCTGAGGTCAGGAGGTGGAGACCAGCCTGGCCAACATGGCAAAACCCCGTCTCTACTAAAAATACAAAAATTAGCCAGGCGTGGTGGTGCACGCCTCCATGTTTAGTTATCCCAGCTACTCAGGAGGCTGAGGCAGGAGAATCGCTTGAACCCAGGAGGTGGAGGTTGCAGTGACCTGGTATTGCACCACTGCACTCCAGCCTGGGTGACAGAGCGAGACTCCATCTCAAAAAAAAAAAAAAGAAAACAAAACAAAACAAACAAAAGACTAAATGTAACTGACATGACATGAACAAAGATCTAGTCAAGGGATAAAATGTGTTAAATAGGGCAAACTTTCTTCTCTTTCTTGAGACGGATTTCCGCTCTGTCGCCCAGGCTGCAGTGTAGTGGTGCGATCTTGGCTCACTGCAACCTCTGTCTCCTACGCTCAAGCAATTCTCCCACCTTGACCCTGCAAGTAGCTGGGACTACAGGCACGCACCACCACACCTGGCTAGTGTGTGTGTGTGTGTGTGTGTGTGTGTGTGTGTGTGTGTGTGTGTGTGTGTGGTTTTGTTTTTTTTTTTTGGACAGGGAGTCTTGCTCTGTCATCCAGGCTGGGGTGCAGTGGCGTGATTTCGGCTCACTGTAACCTCCGCCTTCTGGGTTCAAGCGATTCTCCTGCCTCAGCCTCCTGAGTAGCTGGGATTACAGGTGTGCACCACGTCTGGCTAATTTTTTGTATTTTTAGTAGAGATGGGGTTTCACTATGTTGGTCAGGCTGGTCTTGAACACCTGACCTCGTGATCCACCCGCCTCAGCCTCCCAAAGTGCTGGGATTACAGGATGAGTCACTGCACTCAGCCGTGGTTTGTTTTTTTTTTTGTTGTTGTTGTTGTTTTGTTTGTTTGTTTTTTAGTAGATGGGGTTTTGCCATGTTGCCCAGGTTGGTCTTGAACTCCTGAGCTCAAGGGATCTGCCCACCTTGGCCTCCCAAACTGCTAGGATTACAGCTGTGAGCCACCGCACCCAGCCAAAATTTAGGCTTTTTTTAAAAAGTGAGATAACATGCCTGCCTGCACCGCAGAGCTATGAAGTCCAGGTCAGGGGTGTGGGGAGGACGGGGTTCCCCAGGTGAGTCTATGTAAGCGGGATGAAGCCACAACTCCCTTTTCCTGGACTAGTGAAATGAAGCTGGGACACCATCATCAGAAGAGATTCTCAGGGGGAAGCCAGGAGTCCCAGCTCCACCTACGCTATGCTCCCTGGAGCAAGGCGCCTTCCCCTCCTCTGGCCTCGGTCATCTTACCTGTAATATGAGGCTAAAGGGTCGGGCATGGTGGCTCACACCTGTAATCCCAGCACGCTGGGAGGCTGAGGTGGGTGGATCATGAGGTCAGGAGTTCAAGAGCAGCCTGGCCAACATACTGAAACACTGTCTCTACTAAAAATACAAAAATTAGGTGCGGGTGTGGTGGCGGGCGCCTGTAGTCCCAGCTACTTGGGAGACTGAGGCAGGGGAATTGCTTCAACCTGGGAGGCGGAGGTTGCAGTAAGCCAAGACTGCGCCACTACACTCCAGCCTGGGTGACAGAGGAAGACTCCATCTCAAAGAAAAAAGAAAAAGCCAGGCATGGTAGCTCACGCCTGTAATCCCAGCACTTTGGGAGGCTGAGGCGGGCAGATCACCTAAGGTCGGGAGTTTGAGACCAGCCTGACCAACATGGTGAAACCCCATCTCTACTAAAAATACAAAAATTAGCCGTGTATTTTGGCTGACACCTGTAGTCCCAGCTACACAGGAGGCTGAGGCAGGAGAATTGCTTGAACCTGGGAGGTGGAGGTTGCAGTGAGTCGAGATCGCACCACTGCACTCCAGCCCGGGTGACAGAGGGAGACTCCGTTTCAAAAAAAAAAAAACATGGGGCTAAAGGTCATGCCTGTCTTATGGGCTGCTTTCCTGGGGAATTCTGGTGTGAGCCTAAGAACCTGTGGCCTTGAGTCTGAGCATCTTTTCCCAGAGGAATGAGGCCCCACCTCCTGGTGGCCTTGCTTCGATGTCCCCTAAGCAGAACCCAGCAAAATGATGATGTTTTGCAAGCACTAGATCTGGAGTCCAGATTGGGTTCTTTCCATTTTTTTTTTTTTGTTTTTTTTTTTGAGACGGAGTCTCGCCCTGTCGCCCACGCTGGAGTGCAGTGGCGCGATCTCAGCTCACTGCAAGCTCTGCCTCCCCGGTTCACGCCATTCTCCTGCCTCAGCCTCCCGAGTAGCTGGGACCACAGGCGCCCGCCACCACGCCTGGCTAATTGTTTGTATTTTTAGTAGAGATGGGATTTCACCATGTTAGCCAGGATCGTCTCGATCTCCTGACCTCATGATCCGCCCGCCTCGGCCTCCGAAAATGCTGGGATTACAGGCGTGAGCCACCATGCCCGGCCTTTTTTTTTTTTTGAGACAGAGTCTTGCTCTGTCGCCCAGGCTGGAATGCAGTGGCGTGATCTCAGTTCAGTGTAACCTCCATCTCCCAGGTTCAAGCGATTCTCCTGCCTCAGCCTCCAGAGTATCTGGGAATACAGGTGCCCGCCACCACGTCCGGCTAATTTTTATATTTTTAGTAGAGGTGGGGTTTCACCATGTTGGCCAGGCTGTTCTCCAACTCCTGACCTCAAATGATCCGCCCACCTCAGCCTCCCAAAGTGCTGGGATTATAGGCGTGAGTCATCCTGCCCAGCCCAGAATGGGTTCTAATCCCAGCTTGGCAACTCACTAGGAATAGGAGTTTGGGAAGGCAGCATCCCCTAGGAGTCTTGCTTGCCACATCTGTGAAATGTGTATAAGTGTTTCACAAGAGCCTGGAGTCCCTGTGGACTGGAGGAGACGCTGCTCCGGGGAAGCTCAGATCCGTGCCCGGCACATAGTAAGTGCTCCATAAACTATCTCACCGCACTCTGGCTTCCACGGACAAAGGGGTAAAGCCAGCCAGGAACCAGCTTCCTGCTAGGTACAAAAGTCCCCCAACTGGGAAGTCAGGTGAGAAGACATACCTACCTCCCAGTGATCATTGCCTAAATCTGTGCTTCTCCTCACCTCCTTTGGAGCCTGAGCTCACCTGGGCAGGGGGCCAGGTAGGCAGGCATCAAACTCCTGGCCTCGACCGATTCTCAAGTCCCACTTAGGACTCAGGCAGCTTCCTCCCGTCCCCTCTGTCCACCATGACTTCCTGGAACTGGTTTAAGCAAGGGTGGCCATGGCAGATGTCAACACCCTATGAAACCCCTGGGGGTCAGTGACCTGCCTTGCCGCTGGCTCCAGAAGGGGAGCTCCAGGCCAGACCCAGCCATCCAGCAACTTCAGAGCATGCTAAGACTGGACTTCCAAAATTCCAAGGGCCCCAGGTCCCACTGCCAGGCCTAGCCGGGACAAGAACCCCAAAGCAGTTAACGGATAGGCCTTCCTACTTTTAAGCCACCTCGTCGCCACGCCCACCCGAGGGAAGTGGGCAGGCTTTGCCCAAGACCTCCCCAGAATCAGTTGGGGGCGCCAGGAGCTGGGGCAACCCCCACCCCCACCCGTGGCAAAACCATCTGTAGGGGAGGGGGCTTTGCGGTGGCGGGGGGTGTCTCTGAAAACCCCAGAAGGGAGGGCGGAGATTCTGCCCGCAGGAGGAAACTTGCCTGCAAATGGCGTTTCCAAAAGCAAACTGTTCAAAATTTAGAGAAAACCTGGTGGGCGGGGGGCGGTATTTAGCCCACCCCCTTCAATATCACCCCTTCTACGGGGCTCTTTCGCCCCTCAAAAGTCCCAGGAAGTGAGAAGAGGGTTTCAAAGTCTGAGCTTCGTTGCAGAAGTTGGATTTTTCTGGGGGGAGGGGTGACCAGCCTGGGCTGAAGACCCCTCCCCAGGCCGCAGAGTCCAGCAAATCCCACCCCGAGAAAGGCCCTCCCCGACCCCTCCGGCCCCTGGGGTGCCCCAGGACTCCATGGACACCGCCCCCCAGCTCAACTGAGACGCCCCCGCCACTCACCGCGGTCAACCGGACGTCCCAGGAACAGCTGCCGCGACTTCAAAACCAGCTTGGAAACCGTCCGGGCCGAGGCGGGGGTGGCTTTTACTGCGTGGTAGGTTGGGGGCGCACTGGAGTGACGGGCGAGGGGACCAATCAGGTTGAGGGATTGCCCGCGCCAGGCCCGCCCCTCTCCTCCCTGCCCCGCCTCCACTAGGCCCCGCCCCTCGCCAAGTCATGAAGTCCGGGAAGGACTCCACGCCCTGCCCCTGAAGGGGAGGGAGCACTCTTGGACCACGCCTGTCCCAGCCACGGGACCCCCGCTCCGCAGCTGGGGACCCTGTGAAGTTGGCCCTGGGAGGTGAGTGCGATCGGGGGCGCCGCACAGGTGCTGGGATTCCCCAGGTCGCCCATTTCCCCTATGGCCAAACTGAGGCTGCGAGAACCCTGGGAGAGTTGCAGGGTGACCCTCGCCAGCGCGTCAGGGGCCACGCCCTCCACCATGGGCTCCGACTCAGCTATATGTACACACACACACACACACACACACACACACTTTTTTTTTTTTTTTGAGACACAGTCTCGCTCTGTCGCTAAGGCTGGAGTGCAGTGACGCGACCTTGGCTCACTGCAGCCTCCACCTCCTGGATTCAAGCGATTCTCCTGCCTCAGCCTCCTGAGTAGCTGGGATTACAGACACGTGCCACCACGCCCGGCTAATTTTTTGTATTTTTAGCAGAGACGGGGTTTCACCATGTTGGTCTTGAACTCCTGACCTCAAGTGATCTGCCCGCTTGGGCCTCCCAAATTGCTGGGATCACAGGTATGAGCCACCGCACCCGGCCCAACCCAGCTATATGAGTGACTTGAACCACCACGGGAACTTGTCCAGCCTCCGGCCTGATCTGCCCAACATCAGACCACTTCATCCTCCCAGCACTGTATTGTCTTTTTAATCATCCCTATTTTGCAGAGAAGGAAACTGAGGCCTGGAGAGGGTCAGCCAGGGGCAATGGAGGGGTCAGGCTCCAGGCTCTGTGACTGCTGGATCAACCTTTTCCTGAAGCTGCCCCCACTTGGATTTTACCCCGCCCCTCTCCACCTCCCAAATTATTTATCCTCTTGGTCTATAAACCAAGGTCTCAATCTCAGATGGTCCAGGGAGGAGGTGAATATTTCTGCTGAGGAGGTGGCAGTGATGCCCTGCTTAGAGGGGCAGGGGAGAGCAGTGCCCTATGGGAGACCCACCTGGAGAGTCACAGATCCACAGGAAGTTCAAGCTGTAGACATGTCCTGCCTGTTAGGGAACAATTGGACCAAATGAAACCCAACTGGGGCTTTGTCCAGCCCAGGGGCCACCAGTTTGCCACCTCTGCCAAATTATTTGAATAGAATGAAGCTTCTGGTAGCTTTAGAAAGAACATGGGAAAAATTGGGTGTCTGTGACTGCATTTTTTTGGGGGGGTGAGTGGGGACAGGGTCTATGCTAGCACTGTCCAATAGAACTTTCTGCAATTCTAGAATTGTGTGCCATCCAACATTGTAGCCAAAAGCACCACGTGGCTAATGCACAGTGAGAAGCTGAATGTTTAAATTTTTTTTTTTTTTTTGAGGCAGAGTCTCGCTCTGTCTCCCAGGCTGGAGTGCAATGGCGCGATCTCGACTCACTACAACCTCCACCTCCCGGGTTCAAGCGGTTCTCCTGCCTCAGCCTCCCAAGTAGCTGGGATTACAGGCGCGCGCCACCACACCCAGCTAATTTTTGTATTTTTAGTAGAGACGAGGACTAACCATATTGGCCAGGCTGGTCTCGAACTCCTGGCCTCAAGTGATCCACCTGCCTCGGCCTCCTAAAGTGCTGGGATTACAGGTGTGAGCTACCGCGCTTGGCCTGAATGTTTAAATTTAAGTAACTTCAGGCAGCTAGTGAGATTCTCAAGTGAATCTGAGACCCCATTCCATGACATTTGTAACAGGCTTTTTCCTTCTCATTCACTCATTCAACCATATTTATTGAGTCCTTGCGCTGGGGACAGCGGTGAGCTAAACAGATAAGAATTCCAGCCCTGGTGACACACACTACCCAGTGGGAGAGACGAACAAGGAACAACATAAGTGAGAGAACTTTACAATGTGTCACGTGGTAGGACAGCAAAGGACGAGATGAATGTGGGGGATGCGGGGATTTTGTTCTTGTTTTTTGTCAAAGAGTCTCACTCTGTCACCCAGGCTGGAGTGCAGTGGCACGATCTCGGCTCACTGCAACCTCCGCCTCCCAGGTTCAAGAAATTCTTGTTCCTCGACCTCCCAAGTGGCTGGGATTACAGGCCTGTGCCACCATGCCTGGCCAATTTTTGTATTTTTTTTTTTTTTAGTAGAGACGGGGCTTCACCATGTTGGCCAGGCTGGTCTCGAACTCCTGACCTCATGTGATCCACCAGCCCTGGCCTCTCAAGGTGCTGGGTTATAGGCATGAGCCACCACACCCGGTGGGGCCGCAGTTTTTAGTAGGGAGGTCAGAGGAGGCCTTTCTGAGTGACATCCAAGAAGAGAAGAGAGAGAGGCCAGGAGGGAACCATGTCCAGTTAGGGGGAACAGCATTCCAGGCAGCAGGCACAGTCCGTGCAAAGGCCCTGAGGCAGGACCACACCCTGCCTGTTAGAACAGTGAGGAGGCCCCAGTGGCTGGAGTACAGTGAGTGAGAGAGAGGGAGGAGGGGAGGGCTGGGATGGCTCAGAGAGGGGAAGTGACTCATCCAAGATTCAAGGTCAGTGGGAGATTTGCCTGTTAACCCTTAACTTCTTAGTGGCCTTGAGTAACAAAATAGCTCTGGTCTAGGGGATGAGCCCTGGTGATTTTGCCCCACACCGTTTTTTGTTGTTTTTTTTTTTTGAGACAGAGTCATCTCCCAGGCTTTTGGTTCTTCTTGATGGCAACATCTGCCCAGGAGTCCCCGCCTGGCCTCCCACAGCCCTAGGGTGAGAGGTAAGAAATAGCTACTGTTGGCTGGGCGCAGTGGCTCACGCCTATAATCCCAGCACTTTGGGAGGCCGAGGTGGGCGGATCACCTGAGGTCGGGAGTTTGAGACCAGCCTGACCAACATGGAGAAACCCCGTCCCTACTAAAAATACAAAATTAGCCAGGTGCGGTGGCGCATGCCTGTAATCCCAGCTAGTCAGGAGGCTGAGGCAGGAGAATCACTTGAACCTGGGAGGCAGATGTTGCAGTGAGCCAGATTGTGCCATTGCACTCCAGCCTGGGCAACAAGAGTGAAACTCTGTTTCAAAAAAAAAAAAAAAGAAAAGAAAAGAAAAAAAGAAATAGCTACTGTTGGCCGGTGGCTCACACCGGTAATCCCAGCACTTTGGGAAGCCAAGGCGGACAGATCACTTGAGCTCAGGAGTTCAAGACCAGCCTGGCCAATATGGCAAAATCCTGTCTCTACCAAAAATACAAAATTAACCGGGTATGGTGACGCATGCCTGTAATCCCAGCTTCTCCACAGGCTGAGGTGGAAGGATCGCTTGAGACTGGAGGGGTGGAGGTTGCAGTGAGCCAAGATTGCACCACTGCACTGCAGCCTGGGTAGCAGAGCAAGACCCTGTCTCAAAACCAAAAATGAGATAGCTGCTGTTTTCTGGGCTATTTCATTACATTATTCAGCAGCCTGATTCCCATTTTCTTTTATTATTTATTTATTTATTTATTTTCGAGATGGAGTTCTGCTCTGTCGCCCAGGCTAGAGTGTAGCCGTACGATCTCGGCTCACTGCAACCTCTGCCTCCCGGTTTCCAGCAATTCTCTGCCTCAGCCTCCCAAGTAGCTGGGATTACAGGAGCCCACCACCACGCCTGGCTAATTTTTTGAATTTTTAGTAGAGATGGGGTTTCACCATGTTGGCCAGGCTGATCTTGAACTCCTGACCTCGAGATCCACCCGCCTCTGCCTCCCAAAGTGTTGGGATTACAGGCGTGAGCCACAGCACGTGGCGCTATTTATTTATTTACTTCTTCTTATTATTATTATTTGAGTCGGAGTCTTGCTCTGTCACCCAGGCTGGAGTGCAGTGGCGCGATCTCAGCTTACTGAAAGCTCCGCCTCCCGGGTTCACGCCATTCTCCTGCCTCAGCCTCCCGAGTAGCTGGGACTACAGGCGCGTGCCACCACACCCAGCTAATTTTTGTATTTTTAGTAGAGATGAGGTTTCTCCATGTTGACCAGGCTGCTCTCAAACTCCTGACCTAAAGTGATCCGCCCACCTCAGCCTGCCAAGGTAAACCAACTGTGATTTCTGTTTTCTGGATCAGGAAACTAAGGATCAGAGAGGCAGAGTAACTTGCCCCAGGTCACACAGCCAGAAATTGCCAGCCCCAGGGTTTGAACCTTGAGTTATGTGTCTTTAAGGTCTTTGGTTTCTGTTTGTTTTGGGGTTTTTTTGTTTTGTTTTGTTTTTGAGAGAGTCTCACTTCGTCTGGAAGTGAGGCTGGAGTGCAGCGGTGGGATCTCAGCTCACTGCAACCTCCGCTTTCCAGGTTCAAGCAATTCTCCTGCCTCAGCCTCCTGAGTAGCTGGGATTACAGGTATGCGCCACCACACCCGGCTAATTTTTGTATTTTTAGTACAGACAGGGTTTTGCCATGTGGGCCAGGCTGGTCTCGAACTCCTGACCTCAGGTGATCCACCCACCTCTGCCTCCCAAAGTGCTGGGATTACAGGCATGAGCCACTGCGCCCAGCAGGTCTTTGTTTTTGACATTTTCTACTCTTTCTCTTCTTTCCTTCCCTCTGCATCCCCTCCCAATTCTAGGACTCCTAATTCTTTCTTTTTTTTTTTTTTTTTTTTTTTTTTTTTTTTTGAGACGGAGTCTCGCTCTGTCACCCAGACTGGAGTGCGGTGGCTGGATCTCTGCTCACTGCAAGCTCTGCCTCCCGGGTTCACACCATTCTCCTGCCTTAGGCTCCCAAGTAGCTGGGACTACAGGCGCCCGCCACCAAGCCCGGCTAATTTTTTGTATTTTTAGTAGAGACAGGGTTTCACCATGTTAACCAGGATGGTCTCAATTTCCTGACCTCCTGATCCACCCGCCTTGGCCCCTCAAAGTGCTCGGATTACAGGTGTGAGCCACCGCGCCCAGCCAGGACGCCTAGTTCTTTCTCACTGAGAAGAGGGGAACGGCGGTGAGCATGCTGCCACAAGGTGGCACTGCTGGTCCCAGATGGGTCCCTGCCTGGCACAGGTGTTCCCTGTCTCTCCTCTGACCCTTCCTTCCCTCCATCCATCCATCCGTTTTTAAGCATGTCCTATTGAGTGTGAGCCAGGCCAGCGATTCACTGGATATGCAGTCATTCAACAAACAATAATTAAGCACCTGCTGTGTGCCAAGCCTGTGCTGGGCAGCCCTGGAGACAGACACAGGATGGCAGGATTGCATTAAGACTTCTGGGGCCAGCTATGGTGGCTCACACCTGTAATCCCAGCACTTTGGGAGGCCGAGGATGGTGGATCACCTGAGGTCAGGAGTTTAAGAACAGCCTGGCCAACGGACAGAAACCCTGTCTCTATTAAAAATACAAAATTAGCCAGGCATGGTGGCGCATGCCTGTAATCCCAGCTAGTTGGGAGGCTGAGGCAGGAGAATCGCTTGAACCCGGGATGGTGAGGTGAGAATTGCTTGAATCCTCTCTGAGCCATCCCTGTCCTCCCCTCCTCCCTCCCTCTCGCTCACTCTTTGCACTCCAGCCTGAGCGACAAAAACGAAACTCTGTCTCAAAAAAAAAAAAAAAGACTTTTGCGGCCAGGCACGGTGGCTCAGCTCTTTGGGAGGTTGAGGCCAGAGGATCACTGGAGGCCAGGAGTTCGAGACCAGCCAGGCCACATAGCAAGACCCCGTCTCTGCACAAACTTAAAAAATGTAGCCAGGCATGATGGTGCCTGCCTGGGGCATCGGCTACTTCGAAGGTTGAGGAGGGAGGATTGCTTGAGCCCAAGAGTTCTAGTCTGCAGTGAGCTGTGATAGCACCACTGCACTCCAGTCTGGGCGACAGAGCAAGACCCTGACTCAAAACAAAAAACAAACAAACAAAGGCTTTTGGGGCTGGGCACAGTGGCTCATGCCTATAATTCCCAGAAGATTGGGAGTCTGAGGCAGAAGAATTACTTGAAGCCAGGAGGTTCTGTTTTGTTTTGTTTTCTTTTCTTTTGAGATGGAGTGTGACCAGGTGGATAAAATAGAGGGTTATCAGGGCTGTGATAGGGTGCACAAGTGTGATGGAGCCTGGGGTAGGTGCTGGACCTAGGTGGGTGAGAGTAGTTCTGGAGGACTTTCAGGATGAGGTGATGTCTAAGCTGAGCCCTGAGAAGTGAACAGCGATCAGGCAGGTAAAGGCACCAAAAAGCTGTTTCAGGCCAAGGGAACAGAGAGTGCTAAGACACAGAATAAGACTGGAGCGTAGAATGTGGTGGGGGTGGCATCAGGGGAAAAAAGATGAAGCTGGACAGAGTGGCCAGGGTCAGGCTGCCAGATCTAAGGGCACTGGGGAGCCACAGTAGGTTCCAGAGCAGGAGCAGCAAGGGCAAGTTGGAACATTTGAAAGATCTCTTGGGCCACCCTGTGGATAATGATTCAAAGGGAATAAGACTGGAGGATGAGGAATGGGAGGAGGAAAGGAACCAAATGCTTCAGGTAACTCTGGAAGAAAAAGTAGGACATACGTGGTGGCAAGGCCAGATATGGTGGCTCACGCCTGCAATCCCAGCACTTTGAGAGGCGGAGGTGGGAGGATCGCTTGAGCCCAGGAGTTCGAGACCAACCTGGGCAACATAGTGAGACCCTGTCTCTGTTTTGTTTGTTCGTTTTAGAGAAAGAAAATAAAAAGAAAGGTGGTATTGGAGAGGGAACAGTACAGAAGGACGTTCCAGTCACAGTAGCATTCATTCATTCATTCGGGGAATATTTATTTTTATTTTTATTTATTTATTTTTTTGAGACGGAGTCTCACTCTGTCACCCATGCTGGAGTTGGAGTGCAGTGGTGCGATCTCGGCTCACTGCAAGCTCCGCCTCCTGGGTTCACGCCATTCTCCTGCCTCAGCCTCCAGAGTAGCTGGGACTACAGGCGCCCACCACCATGCCCAGCTAATTTTTTTTTTTTTTTTTTAATAGAGACGGGGTTTCACCGTGTTAGCCAGGATGGTCTCAATCTCCTGACCTCATGATCCGCCCGCCTTGGCCTCCCAAAGTGCTGGGATTACAGGCATGATCCACCACGCCTGGCCTATTTTTATTATTATTATTATTTATTACTTTTTTTTTTGAGATGGAGTCTCGCTCTGTCGCCCAAGCTGGAGTGCAGTGGCGCGATCTCAGCTCACTGCAACCTCCGCCTCCCGGGTTCAAGGGATTCTCCTGCCTCAGCCTCCTGAGTAGCCGGGATTACAGGCACGTGCCACCACACCCAGCCAATTTTTTGTATTTTTAGTAGAGACGGGGTTTCACCGTGTTAGCCAGGATGGTCTCAATCTCCTGACCTCATGATCCGCCCACCTCGGCCTCCCAAAGTGCTGGGATTACAGGCATGAGCCACTATAAATAAAAAGAGACTTATTATTGTTATTTTTTAAGACGAAGTCTAGCTCTGTCACCCAGGCTGGAGTACAATGGCACGATCTTGGGTCACTGTAGCCCCCGCCTCCTGGGTTCAAGGGATTCTCCTGCCTCGGCCTGCTGAGCAGCTGGCGTTACAGGTGCATGTGACCATGCCCGGCTAATTTTTATATTTTAAATTTTTTTTAAGTTTTGTTTATTTATTTATTTGAGATTGAGTCTCATTCCATCACCTGAGCTGGAGTGCAGTGGCGCTATCTCAGCTCACTGCAACCTTCACCTCCTGGTTTCAAACGATTCTCCTGCCTTAGCCTCCCAAGTAGCTGGAATTATAGGCGCCCGCCAACATGCCCAGCCAATTTTTGTATTTTTAGTAGAGACGGGGTTTCACCATGTTGGCCAGGCTGGTCTCAAACTCCTGGCCTCAAGTGATCCACCCGCCTCGGCCTCCCACAGTGCTGGGATTACAGGCATGAGCCACCGCGCCTGGCCAGGGCCTGGTCTTTATCTTGGGAGCAATGGGCAGCAATGTTGGATTCAGAGCAGGGGAGGGCCCTCATCAGGCCTCTGGGGAAGGGAAGGGGCCTGTGAGATGCAGGGACTGGCAGGGGCCTGGGGGCTCTGGGAGGGCCAGTGGGAGGTGACGGTCCGCAGAGGGTCTGCAGGGGGTGCGGGCAGAGGAGAGAGAGACTGTAGACGGAAAGTGGACAGGTGAGGCTGACACAGGCCTCGGGTTGGGGGTTCCGGGGGCAGGGCCAACCTTGAGGCAGGGACCCAGCAGAGAAGCACGTTGGGGGATATGGATGAGGATGAGCTCAGCTTGCCTCTTCCAGAACCCCTGGCGTAAGGTTGCAGGGTTAGCAAATAAAAATACAGGACACCTGGTTAAATGCAAATCTCAGCTACACTTCTTTTTTTTTTTTTTTTTTTTTTTTTTTTTTACGGAGTCTCGCTCTGTCGCCCAGGCTGGAGTGCAGTGGCGTGATCTTGGCTCACTGCAAGCTCTGCCTCCCGGGTTCACGCCAATTCTCCTGCCTCAGCCTCCCAAGTAGCTGGGACTACAGACGCCCACCATGCCCGGCTAATTTTTTTTTGTATTTTTAGTAGAGATGGGGTTTCACCGTGTTAGCCAGGATGGTCTCGATCTCCTGACCTCATGATCTGCCTGCCTCGGCCTCCCAAAGTGTTGGGATTACAGGTGTGAGCCACTGCGCCCGGCCTTTGTTTTTCTTTTGAGACAGGGTCTTGCTCTGCTGCTCAGGCTGGAGTGCAGTGGTACAATCAGGGCTCACTGCAGCCTCGACATCCTGGACCTAAGCGATCCTCTTACCTCAGCCTCCCAAGTAGCTGGGAGTACAGGTGCATGCCACCACATCGGGCTAATTTTTGTATTTTTCATACAGGTGGGGGTCCCACCATGTTGCCCAGGCTGGTCTTAAACTCCTGGGCTCAAGTAATCCTCCCACCTTGGCCTCCCAAAGTGCTGGGATTACTAGTGTGAGCCACCACGCCTGGCCATGTGAATAATTTTTAGCGTAAGTATGTTCCAAATTATTTTGAGACATACTTATGCTAAACATTTTTCATTTAATGGAGTTCAGTGGCTCACGCCTATAATCCCGGTGCTTTCGGAGACAGAGGCAGGAAGATTGCTTGAGCCCAGGAGGTCAGGGCTGCCGTGAACTATGATGGCACCACTGTACTCCAGCCTGGGTGACAGAGCAAGACCTTGTCTCAAAATAATAATAATAATAATAATAATTCATTTTGGCCGGGCACAGTGGCTCACACCTGTAATCTCAGCATTTTGGGAGGCTGAGGTGGGCAGATCACTTGAGGTCAGGAGTTGGAGACCAGCCTTGCCAACATGGTGAAACCCCGTCTCTACTAAAAATACAAAAATCAGCTGGGTGTGGTGGCGTACGTTTGTAATCCCGGCTACTTCGGAGGCTGAGGCAGGAGAATCCCTTGAACCTGGGAGGCAGAGGTTCCTGTCAGCCAAGATCGCACCACCGCACTCCAGCCTGGGTGACAGAGGGAGAATCTGTCTCAAAAAATAATAATAATGGCCGGGTGCGACGGCTCACACCTGTCATCCCAGTACTTTGGGAGGCCGAGGGGGTGGAGTGGATCACCTGAGGTCAGGAGTTTGAGACCAGCCTGGCCAACATGGTGAAACCCCGTCTCTACTAAAAATACAAAAAATTAGCCGGATGTGGTGACATGTGCCTGTAATCTCTGCTGCTCAGGAAACTGAGGCAGGAGACTCACTTGAACCCAGGAGGCGGAGGTTGCAGTGAGCCAAGATCACGCCATTGCACTCCATCCTGGGCAACAAAAGCAAAACTCCGTCTCAAAATAAAAACAAAAACAAATACTAATAATAACAACAACAATAATTCGTTTAACTGCCTGTCTTGTAATTAACCTGGCAACTCAGCCAGACGTTGTCCACGTTGCCCCCCGCCACATTGTGGCTCCAGCGACCGGGTGGACACCTGACCAGCTGTGGCCCAACGGTGAGAAGGCAGAGGATTTTGTCTGGCAATTATTTGGGCTCGCTGCAGGAAGCCAGGGGTCTTTTAACATGCAGGCCCTGGCCTGTCCCCACCCCCAGGCCCTCATGGCGCCAGCTGCCCGCTGCCCCCTGCAAGGCGCTGGCGGGCGTGGGGGAGGGGAGCAGCTCTGAGACCCACTGTCCCCTCTCCTAGGCCAGGAGTGTCCTACTGGCTCGCATGCCCATCCGTGGAATGCCCGAGGGGACCCCGGGCCAGGCCTCCACCTGGCCATTGTCTCCTGCACCCTCCGTCCCTGGTGGCCCGTCCGGCTCTGAGCCAGACATTTACGACTTCTTGGGCCTCCCACAAGTCCTGCAGGCAGGCAGATTCCTTGTCCATGTCCGGGAAGGATGGAGGCCTGGGGCAGCTGCCTGGGAATCCGATCCCACGGGCCCCTGCAACTCCATTCCTTGGGGCCGCAGCCACCCCCACAGCCAATCCCTCCCTGGAGAACCGTGTCCAGGATGGCCAGGCCTGGCGGCTCTGGGCACGGCCCTCCCAGTGCCAGCTGCCAGGATGTGCCAGCCGCATTGGCGGGGAGAGAACAGGCCGTTCTTGGCTCTCCCGGCTGCCTCTTTGTTCCCTGGGCGGAGGTGGGGGGCTGTTGTCCTGGCAACCACCCCCTTTTCCCCAACACAGTCACACGAGGTGAAAACTGGGGGCGCCTCAGGCCTGGGGGTTCAGGTCAGGGAGGGTCCCCGGTCACCTAAGGTGGCCGAGGATCTCCCTCCTCCCCGCCAGCCCGGCTTCCTTGGAGTTCATATTTCCCGGACGACGAGGGAGGCCGGGTCACCCCCCGCACTTTTGGGGATTGGAATGTCGGAGGTGGTGGCAACAGGGGGTGGACGTTCCCAGCGGGGCAGGCACCGTGGTGGTGGCAGCTGCTAGTCCCCTGCCTGTCCCACGTCCCCCAAGTGGGAGGCCGCAGCTGGTGTGGGTGACTTTGGTTCCCGGGGCGGGGGAGGGTTATTTTGGGAGTAGGGACCAGGGAGAATGAGAGGCCCCTCCACGGGGGCAGGAAGTGGGGCGGCCCCAGCTGCATTCTCCCGTTGGCCCACCTGGCGTGGCGGGTACTGCTGCCGCTGCACAGGAAGTGTCCCCAACGCCCGCCTGTGTGGTCCACTGAGTCTAGGGCCTGGAAATGGGAGGCAGCTGGCAAGGAGGGGGCAGGGACCCGCTGGGGGTGCTGTACAGCAGATCAGAATCTTCCAGAAGAGTCCCGCTGGGGTAATGGTGGTGCCTATGGAGTGAGTGGTGACTTTGGTTCAGGCCATTTATATGCATTGGCTGGTTTAATCCAGTGTGTTCCGGAGGAAGATGCTAGGAATAAATCCCCCTTTTACACATGGGGAAACTGAGGCTCAGAAACAGAAGCGACTGGCCCAAAGTCATTCAGCAAATAAACAGCCGAGGCCAGGCGCGGTGGCTCAGACGCCTGTAATCCCAGCACTTCAGGAGGCCAAGGCGGGTGAATCACCTGAGGTCAGGAGTGTGAGACCAGCCTGGACCACACGGTGAAACCCTGTCTCTACTAAAAATATAAAAATCAGCCAGGTGTGGTGGCGGGTGCCTGTAATCCCAGCACTTCAGGAGGCTGAGGCCGGTGAATCACCTGAGGTCAGGGGTGTGAGACCAGCCTGGACAACACGGTGAAACCATGTATCTACTAAAAATACAAAAATCAGCCAGGTGTGGTGGCGGGTGCCTGTAATCCCAGCTACTTGGGAGGCCGAGGCATGAGAATTGCTTGAACCCAGGGCAGGGGTGGAGGTTGCGGTGAGCCAAGATGGCGCCACTGCATTCCAGCCTTGGCAAGACAGCAAGACTCTGTCCCAAAACAACAACAATAACAACAACAACACCAACAACAAAACAGCAGAGGCCGGGCGCCATGGCTCATGCTTATAATCCCAGCACTTTGGGAAGCTGAGGTGGGCAGATCGTTTGAGCCCAGGAGCTTGAGGTTGCAGTGAGCTATGATCGCGCCACTGCACTCCAGCCTGAGACTGGAGCGTGACTCCAACTCAAAACAAAATAATAATAATAATAATAATTAATAAACATCAGAAGTGGGATTCTCATGCATAGCATTTACTATCAGATATATTAACTCCACAGAGGCCTCCAAGTATATACTGTACAGTGTAGCTCTCAACCAGGGGTGAGTCTGTCCTTCAGGGCCCATGGGGTGATGTCTGGGGACATTTGTGGTTGTCATGACTGGGGGTTGCTCCTGATATGGAGGGGGTGGGGGCCGGGGATGCTGCTCAGCACTCTTCAGTACCCAGGATGGCCTTGCCGCAGAGAAGGAACCCACCCCTCATGTACAGTTATGCGCGGTGGCTCACGCCTGTAATCCCAGCACTTTGGGAGGCCGAGGCAGGCAGATCACTTGAGGTCAGGAGTTTGAGACCAGCCTGGCCAATATGGCGAAACCCTGTCTCTACTAAAAATATAAAAATTAGCCAGCCGTGGTGGCACGCGCCTGTAATCCCAGCCACTCAGGAGACCGAGCCAGGAGAATCGCTTGAACCTGGGAGATGGAGGTTGCAGTGAGCCGAGATCACACAACTGCACTCCACCCTTGTCGACAGAGTGAGACTCTGTCTCAAAAATACATACATACTATACATACATACATACATACATACATACATACATACATACATACATTTCCCATCCTGGGGTCGTTCATATCAGCCTAACTGTCAGAGTTTAGGCAAGCAGTGAGTATTCACAGTGGTTCACATCACCGGTTTGGTTGAACTGGTTTTGAGTCCTGGCTCTGCAGTGAGTTTGCTGTGTGACCTTGGGCAAATCAATGAACCTCTCTGATCCTCAGTTCCTGGGCATTGGTAGTGGTATCTTCCTCAGGGTTGCTGTCTGGACTACATGAGATGATGCAGGTAACTGGCTTAAGACAGTGTCATGCTCAAAGTGAGGGCCCAAGAAATGTGACCTAGATCACTATTGTTACTATTCAAGCCACAAACATTTCTTCCTTTTTTTTTTTTTGAGACAGAGTCTCGCTTTGTTGCCCAAGCCGGAGTGCAGAACCTCTGCCTCCTGGGTTCAAGCCATTCTCCTGCCTCAGCCTCCCAAGTAGCTGGGATTACAGACATGTACCACCACACCTGGCTAATTTTTGTTTTTGTTTTTGTTTTTCAATGTTTCCAGTTTCTTTTTTTTTTTATTATTATACTTTAAATTCTAGGGTACATGTGCACAACGTGCAGGTTTGTTACATATGTATACATGTGCCATGTTGGTGTGCTGCACCCATTAACTCGTCATTTACATTAGGTATACCTCCTAATGCTATCCCTCCCCCCTCCCCTCACCCCACGACAGGCCCGGGTGTGTGATGTTCCTCTTCCTGTGTCCACGTGTTCTCATTGTTCAATTCCCACCTATAATTTTTGTATTTTTAGTAGAAACGGGGTTTCACCATGTTGGCCAGGCTGTCCTGAACTCCCGACCTCAGGTGATCTGCCTGCCTCGGCTTCCCAAAGTGCTGGGATTACAGGCGTGAGCCACCTTGCCTGGCCTAGGAAATTTAAAATTAACATTTGTGGCCAGGTGTGGTGGCTCACACCTGTAATCCCAGCACTTTGGGAGGCCAAGATGGGAGCATCACTTGAGGTCAGGAGTTCAAAACCAGCCTGGACAACACAGTGAGACCCCCATCTCTATTTGAAAAAAATAAAATAAAAAATAAAATAAAATTACATTTGTGGCTCTCATGATCACTAGCATTGGCTTAGAGGAAGAAATAGACATGAATTGACTGAATGTGGTGGCTCTTGTCTGTAATCACAACAGTTTGGGAGGCTGAGGCAGGAGGATTGCTTGATCCCATGAGTTCAAGACTAGCCTGGGCAACATCGAAAGACCACATCTCTACAAGAAACTTTTCTTTTTTTTTTTGAGATGGAGTCTCGCTCTGTCACCCAGGCTGGCATGCAGTGGCACGATGTCGGCTCACTGCAACCTCCGCCTCCCAGGTTCAAGCAATTCTCCTGCCTCAGCCTCCCGAGTAGCTGGGACTACAGGTACCCACCACCATGCCCGGCTAATTTTTTGTATTTTTAGGAGAGACGGGATTTCACCATATTGGCCAGGCTGGTCTTGAACTCCTGACCTCGTGATCCGACAGCCTCGGCCACCCACAGTGCTGGGATTACAGGCGTGAGCCACCGCACCCGGCCATACAAGAAAAATTTAAAAAGAAGTAGATGCTGGGTGCCGTGGCTTACGCCTGTAATCCCAGCACTTTGGGAGGCAGAGGCGGAGGGATTATGAGGTCAGGAGTTCGAGACCAGCCTGGCCAATATGGTGAAACCCCGTCTCTACAAAAGATACAAAAATTAGCCAGGCGTGGTGGTGGGTGCCTGTAATCCCAGCTACTCAGGAGGCTGAGGCAGGAGAATCACTTGAACTGGGGAGGCAGAGGTTGCAGTGAGCCAAGAGCGAGCCACTGCATTCCACCCTGGGTGACAGAGCGAGACTCTGTCTCAAAACAAAAAAAAAGAGAGAGAGAGAGACATGAATCCGGTGGGGCGCAATGGCTTATGCCTGTAATCACAGCACTTTGGGAGGCCGAGGTGAGCAGATCACTTGAAGTCAGAAGGTTGAGACCAGCCTGGCCAACATGGCGAAACCCTGTCTCTACTGAAAATACAAAAATTAGGCGGGCATGGTGGCATCCACCTGTAATCCCAGCTACTCAGAAGACTGAGGCAGGAGAATCACTTGAACCCGGGAGGCGGAGGTTGCAGTGAGCCGAGATTGCGGCACTGCACTCTAGCCTGGGTAACAGAGCGAAACTCCATCTCAAAAAAAAACAAAAATGCAATTGTGGCTGGCGGCAGTGGCTCACACCTGTAATCCCAGCACTTTGGGAGGCTGAAGCGGGCGGATCACTTGAGGTCAGGAGTTTGAGACCAGCCTGGCTAATGTGGTGAAACGCCGTCTCTACCAAAAAATACAAAAATTAGCCAGGCAAGGTGGCTTGCACCTGTAATCCTAGCTACTAGCTACTAGGGAGGCTGAGGTGTGAGGACTGGATTGCTTGAACCTGGGGGGCGGAGGTTACAGTGAGCCAAGATCGTGCCACTCTACTCCAGCCTGGTCAACAGAGTGAGACCCTGTCTCAAAAAAAAAAAAAAAGGCAATTGTTATTAAACTTCGAGATCTTGAAAAAAGAAAAAAGAACAAAATGCAATTGTCATTACAGCAGTCTGTTTTCTTTTTGTTTTCTTTATCTTTTTTTTTTTTTGAGACGGAGTCTCACTCTGTTGCCCAGGCTGGAGGGCAGTGGTGTGATCTCAGCTCACTGCAAGCTCCGCCTCCCGGGTTCACTCCATTCTCCTGCCTCAGCCTCTGGAGTAGCTGGGATTACAGGCACCTGCCACTACAGCTGGCCAATTTTTTTGTATTTTTAGTAGAGACGGGGTTTTACCGTGTTAGCCAGGATGGTCTTGAACTGCTGACCTCATGATCCACCCACCTTGGCCTCCCAAAGTGCCGAGATTACAGGCATGAGCCACCGCGCCCGGCCAGCAGTCTTTTTTTTCTGTTTCTTTCTTTTTTTTTTTTTTTTTTTTGAGACGGAGTCTCGCTTTGTTGCCCAGGCTGGAGTGCAGTGGCGTGATCTCGGCTCACCGCAAGCTCCGCCTCCCGGGTTCACGCCATTCTTCTGCCTCAGCTTCTTGAGCAGCTGTATTTTTTGTATTTTTAGTAGAGACGGGGTTTCACCATGTTAGCCAGGATGGTCTTGAACTCCTGACCTCGTGATCCACCTGCCTCGGCCTCCCAAAGTGCTGAGATTACAGGTGTGAGCCACCGCACCTGGCCCAGCAGTCTCTTTTTTCAAAATCCCTCTGTGGGTGTCACCTGGCCCCAGGCTTGCTTCAGCGACACTAGTCTACTTTCAGTTCCATGCTCCTGTCATGTTCCCTTATATGCCAGGCCTTTGCACAGGCTGTTCCCTCTGCCTGGCACACTCTTCCCTGTTTTCTGCCTAGCCAACTGTGCGAATCCTTCAGATCTCATTTCAAGCACTGCTTCCTTAGGAAAGCTTTCGTGGAGCTCCGATAACGAGCCGCTATGCATCTGTCCAATGGGGAACGTGGCAGAGAAGCCTTTTGACACTTTATTGGTAGAATTTGTCGATTCATGTCTATTTCTTTTTTTTTGAGACGGAGTTTCACTCTTGTTGCCCAGGCTGGAGTGCAGTGACACGATCTTGGCTCACTGCAATCTCCGCTTCCCGGGTTCAAGCGATTCTCCTGCCTCAGCCTCCCGAGTAGCTGGGATTACAGGGCCTGCCACGACGCCCTGCTAATTTTTTGTATTTTTAGTAGGCACGGGGTTTCACCATGTTGGCCAGACTGGTCTCCAACTCCTGACCTCAGGTGATCCGCTGGTCTCAGCCTCCCAAAGTGCTGAGATTACAGGCGTGAGCCACCGCCCCCGGCATTTTTTTTTCTTTTTTTTTTTTGAGACAGTCTCTGTCACCCTGACTGGAGTGCAGTGGTGTGATTTCAGCTCACTGCAACCTTTGGCTACTGGGTTTAAGGGATTCTCGTGCCTCAGCCTCCTGAGTAGCTGGGATTACAGGCACCTGCCACCACGCCCAGCTAATTTTTGCATTTTTAGTAGAGATGGGGTTTCACCATGTTGGCGAGGCTGGTCTCACACTCCTGACCTCAAGTGATCCGATCGCTTCGGCCTCCCAAAGTGCTGGGCAACAGATCGAGATCCTGTCTGCAAGAAAACAGTACAACACAAAAAAACTAAGTGTCTTGGCTGGGTGCGGTGGCTCACACCTGTAATCCCAGCACTCTGGGAGGCCGAGGCCTGCAGACCATGTGAGGTCGGGAGTTTGAGACCAGCCTGACCAACATGGAGAAACCCCGTTTCTACTAAAAATACAAAATTAGCCTGGTGTGGTGGTGCATGCCTGTAATCCCAGCTACTCGCAAGGCTGAGGCAGGAGAATTGCTTGAACCCAGGAGGCAGAGGTTCTGGTGAGCCGAGATCATGCCATTGCACTCCAACCTGGGCAACAAGAGTGAAACTCCTTCTCAAAAACAAAAACAAAAAAGACTAGGCGTGGTGGCTCATGCCTGTAATCCCAACACTTTGGGAGGCTAAGGCAGGTGGATCACAAGGTCAGGAGATTGGGACCATCCTGGCCAACATGGTGAAACCCTGTCTCTACTGAAAATACAAAAATTAGCTGGGTGTGGTGGCAGGTGCCTGTGATCCCAACTACTAGGGAGGCTGAGGTAGGAGAATCGCTTGAACCCGGGAGGCGGAGGTTGCAGTGAGTCGAGATTTTACTACTGCACTCCAGCCTGGCAACACAGCAAGACTCTGTCTTAAATAAATAAATCAATAAAGTGTCTTAGTTGGTCCCACCCTATGGAGAGGCTGGGTTTTCCGGAATCTGCTGGAATGTGGCAGGGGCCACTAAATGCAAATGTGTCATGGCTGCAGGGTTGACAGACACCCTGCAGCAAGAGGGAGGGAGGTACCAGTATGTTGCAGTTCGAAGGTGGCTGGAGAAGTATTTCAGGGCCATTCCCCCAAGAAGACAAACCCTGGACCAGTCTTTTTAAAATTTAATTTAATTTAATTTTAGTATTATAAAGAAAAATTAAAAAACGGGCCGGGCGTGGTGGCTCATGCCTGTAATCCCAGCACTTTGGGAGGCCGAGGCGGGCGGATCACGAGGTCGGGAGATCGAGACCATCCTGGCTAACACGGTGAAACCCCGTCTCTACTAAAAATACAAAAATTAGCCGGGCATGGTGGCAGGCGCCTGTAATCCCAGCTACTCGGGAGGCTGAGGCAGGAGAATCGCTTGAACCCGGGAGGCGGAGGTTGCAGTGAGCCGACATTGCACTACTGCACTCCAGCCTGGCAACACAGCAAGACTCTGTCTTAAATAAATAAATCAATAAAGTGTCTTAGTTGGTCCCACCCTATGGAGAGGCTGGGTTTTCCGGAATCTGCTGGAATGTGGCAGGGGTCACTAAATGCAAATGTGTCATGGCTGCAGGGTTGACAGACACCCTGCAGCAAGAGGGAGGGAGGTACCAGTATGTTGCAGTTCGAAGGTGGCTGGAGAAGTATTTCAGGGCCATTCCCCCAAGAAGACAAACCCTGGATCAGTCTTTTTAAAATTTAATTTAATTTTAGTATTATAAAGAAAAATTTAAAAAACAGGCCGGGCGTGGTGGCTCATGCCTGTAATCCCAGCACTTTGGGAGGCCGAGGCGGGCGGATCACGAGGTCGGGAGATCGAGACCATCCTGGCTAACATGGTGAAACCCCGTCTCTACTAAAAATACAAAAAAAATTAGCCAGGCGTGGCGGCGGACACCTATAGTCCCAGCTATTCGGGAGACTGAGGCAGGAGAATGGTGTGAAACCGGGAGGCGGAGCTTGCAGTGAGCCGAGATCCCGCCACTGCACTCCAGCCTGTACGACAGAGCAAGACTCCGTCTCAAAAAAAAAAGACAAAGAAAAATTAAAAACTAGACACAGGGTCTCCCTATGTTGGCCAGGCTGGTCTCAAACTCCTAACCTCAAAGACATCTGCCCACCTTGGCCTCCCAAAGTGCTGGGATTACAGACACGAGCCACAGCGCCCAGCCTCAGCCGCTGTTTCATTTCAGCCATGCAGGGCCTTGCAGGCAAAGCCAGGCCTTTTGGATTTTACTTCAAATGCTGTAGGGACCTGATGGAGATTTTCAGTGAGGGAACAGGATGGCCTTTTTCATGCTGAGAGTTCTTTTGTTGCTCCAGGAATACAATTGACAGGTAAAATTCAGGATGCCCAATTAAATCAGAATTGCAGATAAACAATACATTTTTTTTGAGACAGAGTTTTGTGCACTGTCTCTCTCTCTCTCTCTCTCTCTCTCTCTCTCTCTCTCTATATATATATATATTTTTTTTTTTTTTTGAGACAGAGTTTTGCTCTTGTCATCTAGGCTGGAGTGCAGTGGTGCGACCTTGGCTCACTGCAATCTCCGCCTCCCGGGTTCAAGCAATTCTCCTGCCTCAGCCTCCCGAGTAGCTGGGATTACAGGCGCCCGCCACCATGCCCTGATAATTTTTTGTATTTTTAGTAGGCATGGTGTTTCACCATGTTGGCCAGACTGGTCTCCAACTCCTGACCTCAGGTGATCCACTCGTCTCAGCCTCCCAAAGTGCTGGGACTACAGGCGTGAGCCACCGCCCCCGGCATTTTTTTTTTTTTTTAAGACAGAGTCTCACTCTATTGCCCAAGCTGGAGTGCAGTGGCGTGATCTCAGCTCACTGCAACCTTCACCTCCCGAGTTCAAGCGATTCTCCTGCCTCAGCCTCCTGAGTAGCTGGGATTACAGGCATACGCCACCACGCCCAGCTAATTTTTGTATTTTTAGTAGAGACAGGGTTTCGCCATGTTGGCCAGGCTGGTCTCACACTCCTGACCTCAAGTGATCCGCCCACCTCGGCCTCCCAAAGTGCTGGGCGGCAGATCGAGATCCTGTTTCTAAGAAAACTAAAACAGTACAACACAAAAAAACTAAGTGTCTCAGCTGGGTGCGGTGGCTCACGCCTGTAATCCCAGCACTCTGGGAGGCCAAGGCCTGCAGACCATGTGAGGTCGGGAGTTCGAGACCAGCCTGACCAACATGGAGAAACCCCATTTCTACTAAAAGTACAAAATTAGCTAGGTGTGGTGGCACATGCCTTTAATACCAGCTACTTGGGAGGCTGAGGCAGCAGAATTGCTTCAACTGAGGAGGCGGAGGTTGTGGTGAGCCGAGATCACGCCATTGCACTCCAGCCTGGGCAACAAGAGCGAAATTCCATCTCAAAAAAAAAAAAAAAAAAGGTCCGGGCGCAGTCGCTCGTGCCTGTAATCCCAGCACTTTGGGAGCCTGAGGCAGGCAGATCACGAGGTCAGGAGATTGAGACCATCCTGGCCAACATGGTGAAACCCTGTCTCTACTGAAAATACAAAAATTAGCTGGGTGTGGTGGCAGGTGCCTGTGATCCCAACTACTAGGGAGGCTGAGGCAGGAGAATCGCTTGAACCCGGGAGGCGGAGGTTGCAGTGAGCCGAGATTTTACTACTGCACTCCAGCCTGGCAACACAGCAAGACTCTGTCTTAAATAAATAAATCAACAACGTGTCTTAGTTGGTCCCACCCTATGGAGAGGCTGGGTTTTCCGGAATCTGCTGGAATGTGGCAGGGGCCACTAAATGCAAATGTGTCATGGCTGCAGGGTTGACAGACACCCTGCAGCAAGGGGGAGGGAGGTACCAGTATGTTGCAGTTCCAAGGTGGCTGGAGAAGTATTTCAGGGCCATTCCCCCAAGAAGACAAACCCTGGATCAGTCTTTTTAAAATTTAATTTAATTTAATTTTAGTATTATAAAGAGAAATTAAAAAACAGGTCGGGCGTGGTGGCTCATGCCTGTAATCCCAGCACTTTGGGAGGCCGAGGCGGGTGGATCACGAGGTCGGGAGATCGAGACCATCCTGGCTAACACGGTGAAACCCTGTCTCTACTAAAAATACAAAAAAAATTAGCCAGGCGTGGTGGCAGGCGCCTGTAGTCCCAACTACTCAGGAGGCTGAGGCAGGAGAATGTCATGAACCCGGGAGACAGAGCTTGCATTGAGCCAAGATTGCGCCACTGCACTCTAGCCTGGGCGACAGAGTGAGACTCCGTCTCAAAAAAAAAAAAAAGAAAAAAGAAAGAAAAATTAAAAAATAGACACAGGGTCTCCCTATGTTGGCCAGGCTGGTCTCAAACTCCTAACCTCAAGACATCTGCCCATCTTGGCCTCCCAAAGTGCTGGGATTACAGGCACAAGCCGCCGTGCCCAGCCTCAGCCGCTGTTTCCTTTCAGCCATGCAGGGCCTTGCAGGCGAAGCCAGGACTTTTGGATTTTACTTCAAATGCTGTAGGGACCTGATGGAGGAACGGGATGGCCTGTTTGGTGTTGAGAGTCCTCTTGTTGCTCCAGGAATACAATTGCCAGGGAAAATCCAGGATGCCCAATTAAATCAGAATTGCAGATAAACAATACATTTTTTTTGAGATGGAGTTTTGCATGCTTTCTCTCTCTCTCCCTATATATGTATACATATATATTTTTTTGAGACGGAGTTTTCTTCTTGTCACCTAGGCTGGAGTGCAGTGGTGCGATCTTGGCTCACTGCAACCTCTGCCTACCAGGTTCAAGCGATTCTCCTGCCTTAGCCTCCCGAGTAGCTGGGATTACAGGTGCCCGCCACCATGCCCGGCTAATTTTTGTATTTTTTGTAGAGATGGGTTTTCTCCATGTTGGCCAGGAAGGTCTCGACCTCCTGACCTCAAGTGATCTACCTGCCTCAGCCTCCCGAAGTGCTGGGATTACAGATGTGAGCCACTGCGCCTGGCCATCAATGAATGATTTTTAAGCATAAGTATATCCCAAATATTGCATGGGATATACTTATACTAAATATTTCTATCTTTCCTCTAAAATCCAATTTAGGTCGGGCACGGTGTCCCAGGAGGCTGAGGCAGGAGAATCGCTTGAATCCAGGAGGTGGAGGCTGCAGTGAGCCAAGATCAAACCACTGCACTCCAGCCTGGGAGACAGAGGGAGACTCCGTCTCAGAAACAACACAAAACCAAAAAAGGTGGACAGAGAAGGGTAGAGGCAGGGGACGGGGAGAAGTGGGAGATTCTGGGCAGTGTGGAGACCGAGCCCCTCTGGCTTATTGATGGATTGCACATGGGCAGATGGCACAGGCTCATCACTAGGAAGACTTTGGCATTGATCCTAAGTGCGGGGGAGGAAGCCGAAGCTGCTGTAAGCAGAGGAGACACAGGATCTGACTCAGGTATGAGACCCACAAAGCAGCCCTGGGGCTCAATAGCAACCTCTGTGAATTACACCAGCACACAGTTTCTCCCCCTGTGTACTGTGATATTGTGGGTGGCTTTTTTTTTTATTTTTATTTTTTTGAGACAGTGTCTTGCTCTATCACCCAGGCCGGAGTGCAGTAGCACGATCATGGCTCACTTCAGCCTCGATCTCCCAGACTCAAGTGATCCTCCAGCCTCAGCCTCCCTAATAGCTGGGACTAAAGGTGTTTGCTGCTACAGCCAGCTAATTTTTCATATATATATATATACATATATATATTTAGACTGACTCTTGCACTGTCACCCAGGCTGGAGTGCAGTGAGGTGATCTCAGCTCACTGCAACCTCAGCCTCCCAGGTTCAAGAGATTCTCCTGCCTCAGACTCCCGAGTAGCTGGGATTACAGGTGCACACCATCACGCCTGGATAATTTTTCTTTTTTTTTTTTTTTTTGAGACGGAGTCTTGCACTATCACCCAGTCTGGAGTGCAGTGGCACGATCTCGGTTCACTGCAAGCTCCACCTCCCAGGTTCGCGCCATTCTCCTGCCTCAGCCTCCCAAGTAGCTGGGACTACAGGCATCCACCACCATGCCTGGCTAATTTTGTTTTCGTATTTTTAGTAGAGATGGGGTTTCACCGTGTTAGCCAGGATGGTCTTGCCTGACCTCGTGATCCGCCTGCCTTGGCCCCCCAAAGTGCTGGGCTGGGTGTGAGTCACCGTGCCCGGCCAGTTTTTCTTTTTCTCTTTTTTTTTTTTTTGTAGAGATGGGGGTCTCACAGTGTTGCCCAGGCTTGTCTCAAACTCCTGGTCTCAAGTGATCCTCCAGCCATGGCCTCCTAAAGTCCTGGGATTACAGGAATGAGCCACCATGCTCAGCCCCCTTGGTACTGTTGACATTCAGGATAAACAATTCCTGATTGTGGGGGCCGTCCTGGACACTGCAGGGTGCTGAACAGCGTCCCTGGCCTCCACCCTCTCCACGCCAATAAGACTCTTCTCCCCCGATCCCCTGCAGTTGTGACAGCCAATACAACCAGACATTAGCAGAGGGGAGAATTCTCCCCAAGTAGGACCCCTGGTCTTGGCACTGTGAGACCCCAGTAGGCTGGGGCAGACTCAGGGTGGAAAAGGCAGGTTATGCCGGGTTTGGGTCCTGGGAGACCTTCCCGGTTTCCTTTGTCCATTCCAGGCATTCAGTGATAGTTCTAGGGAGGGGAGACACAGATACCTAAACCGCTAGAGCTTGGGGAGGTTGCAGACAACCTGTTGCCCACTCCTCGACTCCTCTGAGAGTCACCTGTGCAAGAGAGAGGGCTTCCTCCTGGTAGAGACTAATAAAGCTTTTAATATTTAAAAGTTCGGGCACTTAATTCTGGTGATCTGGGTTCACGGGTAACACTCCGTCCTCTGACAGCTGGCAGATGGCAGAGTCCACTGAGGCGCTGGTGATGATGATGGGAACTTTGGCCTTGAGGCTGGTCAGGGACCAGGGCAGGTGCACGGTGGTGACCAGCTCGTAGCGAGTGTGCATGATCTCACCGTCCTGCGTGCTGCTGCTCACGGACAGCAGCAACGGCAGGTTGAAGGTGCTGACAACCTTGGTGGTGTTGAAGCGGGTCACGGGGGTGTTGGCCTCCTGCCTCAGAAGCTCGCTGCTGTCCAGCCGAGACCGCCGCTCTGCACTGGGCGTGAAGCCCTCGTACTGTATGTGGGCATACAGGGCGAATACGACCGTCTTGATGCATTTGCTGGTCTGGTTGTTGATCTCTGTTGTGAAGACGACCTTCTCTCCTGGCGTGAAGGTGTTCCTTTCCATCTGGATTTGCAAACAGACAGTGCCCTGGCGGCAGCAGTTGTAGGAGACTTTCTCCTCAGCCTCCACGAACAAGGGGTTCTAGGAGGATGTGGGGGAACAGACAACCGTGAGGGACCAGGACCACAAAATCCACTTGCCTGCCTGATCCACCCTGGGAACTCCTCAAAGTCTGTGGGGCTGGCTGGGCACGATAGCTCACGCCTATAATCCCAACACCTTGGGAGGCCGAGGCGGGAGGATCACCATGTCAGGAGTTCGAGACCAGCCTGGCCAACATGGCGAAACTCCATCTATACTAAAAATACAAAAATTAGCTGAGCGTGATGGAGCATCCCTGTAATCCCAGCTACTCAGGAGGCTGAGGCAGGAGAATCTCTTGAACCCGGGAGGTGGAGGTTGCAGTGAGCCGAGATTGTGTGATTGCACTTCAGCCAGGGCTACAGAGCAAAACTCCGTCTCAAAAAAAAAAAAAAGTCTCTGGGGCTTTGGGGGCTCTCCTAGGAAGAGGCATTAAGATGGAATCTGGAAGCCTAGGGATTTTGCAGTCAAAAACCTGGAGTCATCTCCCATCTCCCAGCATGTTTTGTTTTTTGTTTTTTGTATTTTTTTGGAGACAGAGTCTTGCTCTGTTGCCCAGGCTGGAGTGGAGTGGCGTGATCTCGGCTCAGTGCAACCTCCGCCTCCCGGGTTCAAGCGATTCTTCTGCCTCAGCCTCCTGAGTAGCTGGGATTACAGGCGCACGCCACCACACCCAGCTAATTTTTTGTGTATTTTTAGTAGAGACAGGGTTTCACTATGTTGGCCAGACTTGTCTTGAACTCCTGACCTTGTGATCCGCCTGCCTCGGCCTACCAAAGTGCTGGGATTACAGGCATGAGCCACTGCATCCAGCATTTTTTTTTTTTTTAATGCAGCCTGGAGTGCAGTGGTGCACTCATGGCTCACTGCAGACTTGACCTCCTGGACTCAAGTGATCCTCCTCCATCAGCCTCCCAAGTAGCAGGGACCACAGGCATGTGTGCCACCACACCCCAGCTTTTTTTTTTTGAAAGAAGGTCTCACTATGTTGTCCAGGCTAGTCTCAAACTCCTGGGCTCAAGCAGTCCTCCCACCTCAGCCTCCCAAAGTGCTGGGATTACAGGCATGAGCCACTGTGCCCAGCCTGCTTTTATTTTTAAAAAGTTGTTTGCAACATAGCAAATTGTTATTTCTGATATTTTTATTCTACTTGTTGCCTGTTCTGTTCTTTTATCTTAATATAAAAAAGTGGTTGCAACCTGCTAAATTGATTTTTTGTGATATTGCCTATTTAGATTCTTGCCTATTCTTTCATTTTATAAAAATATGGCCAGGCGCTCCCAGCATTTCAGGAGGCTGAGCGGGTGGATCATGAGGTCAAGAGATCAAGACCATCCTGGCCAACTTGGTGAAACCCCGTCTCTACTAAAAATACAAAAATTAGCCGGGCGTGGTGGCAGGCGTCGGCAATCCCAGCTACTCAGGAGGCTGAGGCGGGAGAATTGCTGGAATCTGGGAGGTGGAGGTTGAAGTTAGCTGAGATCGCGCCACTGCACTCCAGTCTGGCGAAAGAGCAAGACTCCGTCTCAAAAATAAATATATATATTATAATAATATAATATATATTATATTATTAGAATATATATAATATATTATTATATATAATATATTATAATAATATAACATATTATATATATATTATATATATATAGCCAGGCGCAGTGGCTCACACCTGTAATCCCAGCACTTTGGGGGGCCGAGGCAGGAGGATCACCTGAGGTCAGGAATTTGAGACCAGCCTGGCCAGCGTGGTGAAACCCCATCTCTACTAAAAATACAAAAGTTGGCCGGGTGTGATGGCACGCAACTGTAATCCCAGCTACTCAGGAGGCTGAGGCAGGAGAATCACTTGAACCTGGGAGACTGAGGTTGCAGTGAGGCTGAGATCCAGCCCTGCACTCCAGCCTGAGCAACAGAGTGAGACTCTGTCTCAAAAAAAAAAAGAAAAGAAAAGAAAAGAAAATGCTTGTATTCCACCAAATGGATTTTTGCAACCCACGACTGGGTTGTGACCTGTGATTTGAAAAACATTGCTGGCTGGGCATGGTGGCTCATGCCTGTAATCCCAGCACTTTGGGGAGGCCAAGGGGGGAGGATCACTGGAGCCCAGAAGTTCAAGACCAGCCTGGGCAACATAGTGAGACCCTGTCTCCAAAAAAAAAAAAAAAAAAAAAAACCAAAAAGGAAGGCCGGGTGCGGTGGCTCACCCCTGTAATCCCAGCACTTTGGGAGGCCGAGGTGGGTGGATCACGAGGTCAGGAGATTGAGACCATCCAGGCTAACAGGGTGAAACCCCATCTCTACTAAAAATACAAAAAAAAAAAAATAGCCAGGCGTGGTGGTGGGCACCTGTAGTCCCAGCTACTTGGGAGGCTGAGGCAGGAGAATGGCGTGAACCCAGGAGGCAGAGGTTACAGTGAGCCGAGATAGCGCCACTACACTCCAGCCTGGGCGACAGAGCAAGACTCTGCCTAAAAAAAAAAAAAAAAGAGGAGAAGAAGAAGAAAGAAGAAGAAGAAGACAGCCGGTGCGGTGGCTCACGCCTGTAATCCCAGCACTTTGGGAGGCTGATGCGGGTGGATCACGAGGTCAGGAGATTGAGACCATCCTGGCTAACACGGTGAAACCCCGTCTCTAATAAAAAATACAAAAAATTGGCCGGGCGCGGTGGCTCACGCCTGTAATCCCAGCACTTTGGGAGGCCGAGGCGGGCGGATCACAAGGTCAGGAGATCGAGACCATCCCGGCTAAAACGGTGAAACCCCGTCTCTACTAAAAATACAAAAAATTAGCCGGGCGTAGTGGCAGGCGCCTGTAGTCCCAGCTACTTGGGAGGCTGAGGCAGGAGAATGGCGTGAACCCGGGAGGTGGAGCTTGCAGTGAGCCGAGATCCCGCCACTGCACTCCAGCCTGGGCGACAGAGCGAGACTCCGTCTCAAAAAAAAAAAAAAAAAAAAAAAATTAGCCGGGCATGGTGGTGGGTGCCTGTAGTCCCAGCTACTCGGGAGGCTGAGGCAGGAGAATGGCATGAACCTGGGAGGCAGAGCTTGCAGTGAGCCGAGATCGCGCCACTGCCCTCCAGCCTGGGCGACAGAATGAGACTGTCTCAAAAAAAAAAAAAAGAAGAAGAAGGAGAAGGAGAAGGAGAAGAAGAAGAAGAGGAAGAGGAAGAGGAAGAGGAAGAAGAAGAAGAAGAAGAAAATCATACTGCAGGAAGTCAGGTATGTTTCCTTTTTGAGAACTCAGGCAGACCCTTGACCCCCTCTGACCTCACCTCCCACTTTTCTGCCTCTGGCTTCTCTTCAGCCTTTTCAGGAGCAGCTGGAGCTCCCCCTCCTCTCCTGAAGGTTAATTGAATCTGGTTACATTGTAAATCCCTGCAGTCTTATTCGAAAATTCGTAGCATGCGTTAGGACCCTGCAGGTGTGAAAGAACCTGCTGCCCTAACTCCAGACAAAGCTGGTATTTCTGTCCTGGTCCTGAAGGAGGTATCAGGAGGTGCCAAGAGCTACCAATGTCCCTTATTTCCAAATGAGCTATTACATTTTTTTTTTAATAGCGGTACCGGCTAGGAGCGGTGGCTAACGCCTGTAATCCCAGCACTTTGGGAGGCCTAGGCAGGCGGATCACCTGAAGTCAGGAGTTTAAGACCAGCCTGGCCAACATGTGGAAACTCCGTCTTTACTAAAAAATACAAAAATTAGCTGGGCGTGGTGGTGGGTACTTCTCATCCCAGCTACTCGGGAGGATGAGGCAGGAGAGTCACTTGAAGCTGGGAGGCAGAGGTTGTATTGAGCCAAGATTGCGCCACTGCACTCCCGCCTGGGTGACAAAGTGAGACTCCGTCTCAAAAAAAAAAAAAAAAAAAAAAAAAGAAAGAAAGAAAAAGGAAAAAAAATGCCAGCCCTCTGACATTTGTCGTCCTGTCCCAATGCTCTGATGACAAATGACTCCCTGGAGATGTGAAGTGACTTTGGCCAACGTCCCTCCTCCCACCTCGACTTCCGCCTCTGCACCTGGACTCGGGAAGGGATCCAGAACGAGTCCTTCACTCAGCCAAGCGGAGGCTGCACTGCCCGTCCTTCTCCTGGACTGAGGCCACCACCTCTATTGTCTGGGAGCTCCAAGGTCAGTGCTGGAGGGCCACTGAGTGTACATGCCTCTCTCCCACCCTGAGGGTCACCCTGTGGGGCCTTTTCTTGGCTTTTCCCCAGGGTCGTGTCTCCCTCTTGACAAGTGGACATTTGGGCCATTCTCCTGGGTGGGGCCGTCCTGGGCACTGCAGGGTGCTGAGCAGCGCCCCTGGCCTCCACCCACTCCATGCCAGGAGCACCCCCCAAGTTGAGACAACCACAGATGTCTCCAGACATTGCCAAATGTCCCTTATGGGGATAAAACAGCCACAGTTGAAAACCACTGGCTTAGTTCCTGCCCTTGTTTCTTTTCTAAAAAAAATGTTGGCCTGGCATGGTGGCTCACGCCTGTAATCCCAGCACTTTGGGAGGCCAAGGCAGGCGGATCACCTGAGGTCGGGAGTTTGAGACCAGCCTTGCCAACATGGCGAAACCCTGTCTCTACTAAAAATACAAAAATTAGCTGGGCATGGTGGTGCACATCTGTAATCCCAGTTACTCAGGAGGCTGAGGCAGGAGAATCGCTTGAACCTGGGAGGCGGAGGTTACAGTGAGCCGAGATCATGCCTCTGCACTTCAGCCTGGTGACAGAGCGAGACTGCATCTCAAAAAAAAAAAAAAAAATATATATATATATATATATTTTTTTTTTTTTACACACACACACACACACACACACACACACACACACACACACACATATATATAATTTTATTTTAGAGACAGGGTCTCACTCTGTCGCCCAGGCTGGAGTGCAGTGGTGCAAACATGGCTTACTGCAGCCTTGACCTCCAGCTGCCCTAAGGTTTCTGACTCACCTTTTGTGAAATCTCGGGGCCTGGGAAGCTGCCAACACCCTTCCCTTCTCCCCATGGGACCTTCTCTGTCCCCTGCCTGCCCACCTTCCCTCTTCCTCCTTGGAGCTTGGAGATTGTTCCCACCTCCACCTTTCCCCCATCGGTACCTGGAATGGGGTTTCTTTGTGGAAGGTGGAAGTTCCTTGAACCAATAAGTACATCCTCTTCTTGGCTAAAATGTGTTCCCTGCCCATGCAGGAAGCTTGTACGAAATAGAAGACATGGCCAAATTTGCTGGTGAAGGTAGAAGGAAGCCTGGGAGGTAAGTTGAAATGGAAGTCAAAGGTGTGGCTGCCTGCACTTAACCAATTATCTGAAAGCAAAACACACCGATGCCATCAGAAGGTTCTAGAATCTTTTTTCCTTCTTCTTCTTTTTTTTTTTGCTTTATTTTTATATTTATTTATTTTTGAGACACGGTCTCACTCTGTCACCCAGTCTGGAGTATAGTGGTGTGATCTCAGCTCACAGCAACCTCTGCCTCCTAGGTTCAAGCGATTCTCCTGCCTCAGCCTCCTGAGTAGCTGCGACTACAGGCGTGCACCACCACACCTGGCTAATTTTTATATTTTTGACAGAGATGGGGTTCTGTCATGTTGTCCATCCTGGTCTTGAACTCCTGGCCTCCGGCGATCCGCCCGTCTTGCCCTCCCAAAGTGCTGGGGTTACAGGCGTGAGCCACTGCACCTGGCCTTTTTTTGCTTGATTTATTGTTTTGGCATGGAGGTGGGTCCTGGGCTTGGCTTGTCTGTCCCTCCTGAGTTAAACTGAGCTCTATGCTTTTAGGACCTGCTGGGCCTATAAATATCAGGTCGCAGCTGGGCTGGAGTGGGATGCCCTGGGGTGGGTGACATGCCTGGAGTTGTCACCCGAAACCACTGAAGGGCTCTTGCATATCCCTGCCCTGAGCCTGAGAAAGTGGAAGTCAGGCCTTCAGGGTTCAACAAATATATCTTTTTTTTTCTTTTTGTAGGGACAAAGTCTGGCTCTGTTGCTTAGGCTGCAGTGCAGTGGTGTGATCATGGTCACTGCAGCCTCCAACTCCTGAGATCAAGTGATTCTCCCACCTCAGCCTCCAGAAGAGCTGGGACTACAGGCCCATGCCACCATGCCTGGCTAATTTTTAAATTTCTGGTAGAGACAGGGTCTTGCTATGTTTCCCAGGCTGGTCTTGAACTTCTGGCCACAAGCAGTCCTCCTGCCTCACTCTCCCAAAAGTGCTGGGATAATAGGCACAAACTGGCTGGGCCCAGTGGCTCACGCCTGCAATCCCAGCACTTTGGGAGGCCAAGGCGGGCGGATCACCTGAGGTCAGGAGTTTGAGACCAAGCTGGCCAAAATGGCGAAACCCAATCTCTACTAAAAATACAAAAATTAGCCGGGTGTGGTGGCACACACCTGTAGTTCCAGGTACTCAGGAGGCTGAGGTGGGAGGATAGCTTGAACGTGCGAGACGGAGGTTGCAGTGAGCCGAGATCATGCCACTGTACTCCAGCCTGGGTGACAGAGCGAGACGCCATCTCTAAAAATAAATAAATAAATAAACAAAGTAGTATGTGAGGCAGAGAAAACTTTCGCCCTCATAGAGCTTGACCTTCAGTGCATGGTATACAGTGGGTGCTTAATACATATTGATTGACCAACTGAGTGATGGTCTAGGAAGCAGACTCTCACACAACTGCCATTTCCATGACCTTTGTTTCATTTTCCTTCTTGCACTTCTCGAAAATCCTCTTAGCATTTTCTATCTTCTCTGGCCCATGGCAATCCCAAAGATACTAGGGACCCTGTCTCTTTCTTTCTTTTTTGTTTTTTTGAGACAGAATCTCACTCTGTCACCCAGGCTGGAGTGCAGTGGCGTGATCCTGGCTCACTGCAACCTCCGCCTCCTAGGTTCAAGCAATTCTCCTGCCTCAGCCTCCTGAGTAGCTGGAATTACAGGTGTGTACCACCATGCCTGGCTAATTTTTGTATTTTTAGTAGAGATGGGGTTTCACCATGTTGGCCAGGCTGGTCTCGAACTCCTGACCTCAGATAATCCACCTGCCTTGGCCTCCCAAAGGGCTGGGATTACAGGCATAAGCCATCAGGCGGGCTTGGCCTTTTTTTTTTTTTTTGAGACAGGGTCTCACTTTGTCACTCAGCCTGGACCTCTTGGGCTCAAGTGATCCTCTTGCCTCAGCGCCCCAAGTAGCTGGGACTACAGGCGCGTGTCACCACACCTGGCTAATTTTTGTATTTTTCATAGAGATGGGGTTTTGCCATGTTGGTCAGGCTGGTCTTGAACTTGTGACCTCAGGAGATCTGCCCACCCAGCCTCCCAAAGTGCTGGGACTACAGGCGTGAGCCACCGTGCCCGGCCCAGGCTGTGTTTTTTTCATCACTGCTGCATCCCCAGCACCTAGCACGGTGTTTGTGCACAGTAGGCACTCAATAAATGTTTATTAAATAAATGAAAAACCTGGAACAGGCATGGTGGCTCACACTTGTCATCCCAGCACTTTGGGAGGCCGAGGCGGGCAGATCACGAGGTCAGGAGATCGAGACCATCCTGGCAAACACGGTGAAACCCCGTCTGTAATAAACAAAATACAAAAAATTAGCTGGGCGTGGTGGCGGGTGCCTGTAGTCCCAGCTACTCGGGAGGCCAAGGCAGGAGAATGGCGTGAACCCGGGAGGCGGAGCTTGCAGTGAGCCGAGATCGCGCCACTGCACTCCAGCCTGGGCGACAGAGTGAGACTCCATCTCAAAAAAAAAATGTTTATTAAATAAATGAAAAACCTGGGATGGGCATGGTGGCTCATGCCTGTAATCCCAGCACTTTGGGAGGCTGAGGTGGGGCAGATCACCTGAGGTCAAAAGTTTGAGACCAGCCTGGCCAACATGGTGAAACCCTGTGTCTACTAAAAATACAAAAAATTAGTAGGGCATAGTGGCATGCGCCTGTAATCCCAGCTATGCAGGAGGCTGGGGCAGGAGAATTGCTTGAACCCAGGAGGTGGAGGTTGCAGTGAGCTGAGATCACGCCATGGCACTCCAGCCTGGGTGCCAGAGTAAAGACTGTCTCTTAAAAAAAGAACTAGCGGCCGGGCGCGGTGGCTCACGCCTGTAATCCCAGCACTCTGGGAGGCCGAGGCGGGTGGATCATGAGGTCAGGAGATCGAGACCATCCTGGTTAACACGGTGAAACCCCGTCTCTACAAAAAAAAAAAAAAAAAAAAAAAAATTAGCCAGGCGTGGTGGCGGGCACCTGTAGTCCCAGCTACTCAGGAGGCTGAGGCAGGAGAATGGCGAGAACCCGGGAGGCGGAGCTTGCAGTGAGCCAAGATTGCACCACTGCACTCCACGCTGGGCGACAGAGGAGACTCCGTCTCCAAAAAAGTAAATAAATAAAAGAAAAGAAAACAACTAGCAACATTTTTTTTTTCTGAGACTGAATCTCACTCTGTTGCCCAGGCTGGAGTGCAGTGGTGCAATCTTGGCTCACTGCAACCTCCGTCTCCCTTGGCCTCCCAAAGTGCCGAGATTACAGGCATGAGCCACCGCGCCCGGCCAGCAGTCTTTTTTTTCTGTTTCTTTCTTTTTTTTTTTTTTTTTTTTTTGAGACGGAGTCTCGCTTTGTTGCCCAGGCTGGAGTGCAGTGGCGTGATCTCGGCTCACCGCAAGCTCCGCCTCCCGGGTTCACGCCATTCTTCTGCCTCAGCTTCTTGAGCAGCTGTATTTTTTGTATTTTTAGTAGAGACGGGGTTTCACCATGTTGGCCAGGCTGGTCTTGAACTCTTGTCCTCTGGTGATCTGCCCACCTTGGCCTCCCAAAGTGCTGGGATAACACGTGTGAGCCACTGTGCCTGGCCAGAAATAGCAATTTTTAAGCATTTACTGTATACCTGGCATTATTCTAAGCGCTTTATGTGCCATTAAATCATTAAGTCCTTAACACAATCTTATGAAATAGGACCTCTTCCTACTCCCATTTTATAGATTGGTTAACTGAGAGCCAGAGAGGTCACATAATTGCTCAGTATTAGTGTCTGGTAAGTTGACATTTGTCCCCAGGATATTTGCATGGCTGGAGTCCCTCCTATCACTCAGTTCTGTGCTTGGTTGTTCCCTCTTTGCAGAGTACTCCTCTGGTGGAACAGACCATCTCATCTAAATTTTTAAAGTCTAAAATGGCCAGGTGTGGTGGCTCATGCCTGTAATCCCAGCACTTTGGGAGGCCAAGGTGGGCGGATCACCTGAGGTCGGGAGTTCAAGACCAGCCTGACCAACATGGAGAAACTCCGTCTCTACTAAAAATACAAAATTAGCTGGGAGTGGTGGCACACGCCTGTAGTGCCAGCTACTCGGGAGGCTGAGGCGGGACAATCGGTTGAACCCAGGAGGTGGAGGTTGCAGTGAGCCAAGATTACGCCACTGCACTCCAGCCTGGGCAACGAGTGAGATTCAGTCTCAAAAAAAAAAAAAATTGCTAGTTCTTTTTTTAAGAGACAGTCGTTTGAACCCAGGAGGTTGCGGTGAGCCGAGATTGCGCCATTGCACTCCAGCCTGGGCAGCAAGAGCAAAACTCCGTCTCAAAAAAACGAAAACAAAAAATAAACAAAAATTAGCCAAGCATGGTGCCATGTGCCTGTGGTCTCAGCTACTCAGGAGGCTGAGGTGAGAGGATCGCTTATGCCAGAGAGGCTGGGGCTGCAGTGAGTTTTGATCACACCACTGGCCTCTAGCCTGGGCAACAGAGCGAGGCCCTGTCTCAAAAATAAATACATAAGCCAGGCCTGGTGGCTCATGCCTGTAATCCCAGTACTTTGGGAGGCCGAGGTGGGCGAATCACGAGGTCAGGAGTTCGAGACCAGCCTGGCCAACGTGGTGAAACCCTGCCTCTACTAAAAATACCAAAAATTGCTGGGCATGGTGGCGGGTGCCTGTAATCCCAGCCACTCAGGAGGCTGAGGCAGGAGAATCGTTTGAACCCGGGAGGCGGAGCTTGCAGCGAGCCGAGATGGTGCCACTTCACTCCAGCCTGGGAAGCAGGGCGAGACTGTGTCTCAAAAAATAGATAAATAAATAAATAAGATACAAATAAATAAATACAGAAATAAATTAAATTAAATTACACTTTGTTCAGCCAAGTGTTGGCCACGTGTTCTGCTTGACTGCTTAATACCTGGGAATATCCCCACAAACACATTTTGCAATGGACATATAATTTCCCCGACAACTCAGCAGACTCTCTGACATTTGTTCAGATTTCAGATCTGACCTGGTGGAACTGGGGACTAGTTATTCCTTCTCTGGAAGGTCTCCCTTGCTCTTCTACCTCCACTATCTTTCTTTTTTTGAGAGGGAATCTCGCTCCGTCACCCAGGCTGGCGTGCTGTGGTGCGATCTCAGCTTACTGGAACCTCCCCTTCACGAGTTCAAGTGATTCTCTTGCTTCAGCCTCCCAAGTAGCTGAGATTACAGGCACGTGCCAGCACGCCCAGCTAATTTTTTGGTATTTTTTGGTAGAGATGGGGTTTCGCTATATTGGCCAGGCTGGTCTCAAACTCCTGACCTCAAGTGATCCACCTGCCTCGGCCTCTCAAAGTGCTGGAATTACAGGTATGAACCACTGTGCCTGGCCCACCTCCACTGTCTCTCCCCATGAATGCAGGACTGCCTACTTTGTCTCCTGGGGTTTTGCTGTCAGAGTGAAACTTATCTGTAAAAGAATAAGACTTCTCAGAGGCCTCTCAAAGGCAGTTGTTGGATTGAGCATTTTCCAAGGAGACTACTTTGAACCTTCATTTTGAATATCGGGGTTCCGATCAGCTCCTTATGTCTTGTTATTTTTGCGTTTTGTGTATCTGATGGTCATTGTTCTTCATGGCCTCCCTCCTAGGGAGAAATCAGGCCACTCCCTATTTCTGATAGCCCTAGAGTTTTGTTGATTGACTCTCGGATGTGTTTATTTTCCAGACCCAGGTTCCTGTCATGGCTAGGGGTGGCTGTTGGCCTCGTCCTTACCCTCCACTGGGAATGTCTTTGTCTTATGCACGTAGTCTGCCTTGTTGTTGCAAATAACATTTCTGCTATAATCACAGGATGCCCCGGCTTCTTCACTCCATTCGACGTAACCCCTTCCCACGAGCTCCACCTTCACTATGGGGTCCACCAGGGTGCTGTTCAGGGTTAAGATCACCTGCCCTTTTATGCTGGAGCCAGCCAGGTAGATTCTATCCTCGGGCAGCACTAATTCGATCGACTTCACCACAGACATGGGGGGTTGGGGGGTAGAGAGACATTCCTCTCTGTCCCCCATGTCCCTGAAATTCCCGGTTCGTTGGCCCTAGTGAGGTAATCCATCTATGACATCACTCAGCTCAGAGTTCCGGGAAGTGGGGACCCCAGTGGCCAGGAGGGGAGGCAAAACTGTTGTTTAGGGTGGGTGGTTGATTGGGAAACCTGTAGTCCTCACTGGTTCTTTTTTTTTTTTTTTGAGATGGAGTCTTACCCTGTAGCCCAGGCTGGAGTGCAGGGGTGCCATCTTGGCTCACTGCAACCTCCGCCTCATGGGTTCAAGCAATTCTCCTGCCTCAGCCTCCTGAGTAGCTGGGACCACGGGTGCATGCCAGCATGCCCAGCTAATTTTTTGGTAGAGACAGAGTTTCACTGTGTTGGCCAGGATGGTCTCGATCTCCTGACCTCGTGATCCACCCACCTCAGCCTCCCAAAGTGCTGGGATTGCAGGCGTGAGCCACTGCACCTGGGCTTTTTCTTTTTTTGAGACAAAGTCTCATTCTGTCACCCAGGCTGGAGTGTAGTGGCGCGATCTCGGCTCACTGCCACATCTGCCTCCCGGGTTCAAGCAATTCTCCTGCTTCAGCCTCCTGAGTAGCTGGAATTACAGGCATGCACCATCACCATGCTTTGCTAATTTTTTTTTGGTATTTTTATTTATTTTATTTTTATTTTTTGTGATGGTCTCACTCTGTCAGCCAGACTGGAGTGCAATGGTGTGATCTCGGCTCACTGCAACCTCTGCCTCCTGGGTTCCAGCGATTCTCCCACCTCAGCCCCCCAAGTACCTGAGATTACAGGCAAGTGCCACTGCAACTAGCTAATTTTTGTATTTTTAGTAGAGACGGGGTTTCACCATGTTGGCCAGGCTGGTCTCGAACTTGTGGCCTCACATGATTCGCCTGCCTTGGCCTCCCAAAGTGCTGGGATTACAGTTGTGAGCCACTGTGCCCAGGTGCATACACACTCATTTTCATCTTAAAGACTCTACATTTATATTGGTCTATATTGGAAAAAACATAGAGATATGGCCAGGACCTGAAATCTGGTGCGCACTGAAGTTGATCAGGGCAGTGTGTGCTTAATCTGAACATCGACACCATCAGGAAGCAGCAACTCCCTGCATGATTGACATTTCTCTTTTTTTTTGAGGTGGAATCTCACTCTGTTGCCCAGGCTGGAGTGCAGTGGCGTGATCTCGGCTCACTGCAACCTCTGCCCCCTGGGTTCAAGCGATTCTCCTGCCTCAGCCTCCCAAGTAGCTGGGATTACGGGCATGGGGGTTACAGGCACCTGCCCCCGTGCCCGGCTAATTTTTGTTCTTTTTGTTTTTGTTTTTGTTTTTTTTTTGAGATTGGAGTCTCACTTTGTCACCCAGGCTGGAGTGCAGTGGTGCGATCTCGGCTCACTGCAAGCTCCGCCTCCCGTGTTCATGCCATTCTCCTGCCTCAGCTTCCCGAGTAGCTGGGACTACAGGCGTCCGCCACAAATGCCTGGCTAATTTTTTGTATTTTTAGTAGAGACGGGGTTTCATCATGTTAGCCAGGATGGTCTCAATCTCCTGACCTCGTGATCCGCCCACCTTGGCCTCCCAAAGTGCTGGGATTACAGGCGTGAGCCACCGCACCCAGCCAATTTTTGTTATTTTTAGTAGAGACAGGGTTTCACCATCTTGGCCAGGCTGATCTTGAACTCCTGACCTCATGATCCACCCGCCTCACTTGGCCTCCCAAAGTGCTGGGATTACAGGCATGAGCTACCACGCCTGGCTGACATTTCTCTTTATGCCTGCATCTCCCCCATTGGATGGGAAGTCCCTCCAGGGTGAGACCTTGTCTAAGTGAACTTTGTGCCCATCAATGTCTGCGTGACCCAGGCAGGATCTGGCTCAGCCAGGAGTGGGTGTGGGGGGTGGAATCAATAAAAGTTTGTTGAATGACTTAATGACCTCTGAGAATGTATCATTTTGCAAAAGGGAAACTGAAGCCCTTTGCACTCTAACAATTATTCCTGGCACCTGATTTGCACATGGTCTGGTGCCTGAGAGGGAGGGACATTGAATCATAGGAGGGGCTAGGAAGTACCCATTCTCTAGCCTGGCAGGCCTTATTTCTTGTCTTGGCTGTATCTTGCATTATTTTATGTGATAGCTTTTGTGGGCATTGGCCTCTTATTTCCCTAAGTCAAGCTCATCCAACCCCTGACCCACGGGCCACATTTGGCCCAGGATGGAATATGGCTCAACACAAATTCGTAAACTTTCTTTTTTTTTTTTTTTTTTTTTTTTTTGAGACAGAGTCTTGCTCAGTCGCCCAGGCTGGAGTGCAGTGGTGTGATCTCGGCTCACTGCAAGCTCTGCCTCCCAGGTTCACGCCATTCTCCTGCCTCAGCCTCCCGAGTAGCTGGGACTACAGGCATGTGCCACCATGCCCGGCTAATTTTTTTTTGTATTTTTAGTAGAGATGGGGTTTCACCATGTTAGCCAGGATGGTCTCCATCTCCTGACCTCGTGATCCACCTGCCTCAGCCTCCCAAAGTGCTGGGATTACAGGTGTGAGCCACCACACCCGGCCACAAATTTGTAGTTTCTTAAAACATTATGAGATTTTTTTGCAATTTTTTTTTTAGCTCATCAGGTATTGTTAGTGTTAGTGTATTTTATTATTTATTTATTTATTTATTTATTTTTGAGATGGAGTTTTGCTCTTGTTGCCCAGGCTGGAGTTCAGTGGTGCAATCTCGGCTCACTGTAACCTCCGCCTCCTGGGTTCAAGCAATTCTTCTGCCTCTGCCTCCCGAGTAGCTGGGATTATAGGCACGTGCCACCACATCTGGCTAATTTTTGTATTTTTAGTAGAGACGGGGTTTCACCGTGTTAGCCAGGCTAGTCTTGATCTCCTGACCTCAGTGATCCGCCTGCCTTGGCCTCCCAAAGTTCTGGGATTACAGGCGTGAGCCACTGTGCCCGGCCAGTGTTAGTGTATTTTATGTGTGGCCCAAGACAATTCTTCTTCCAATGTGGCCCAGGGAAGCCAAAAGATTGGACACCCCTGCTCTAAGTGACTTGTGAGCTTTTTTTCTGAGACGCCTGGAATAGTTTGTTACTCATGTTTTTAAATGATTAACTTGAGCAATTATTACTATTTTTTGAGACAGAGTCTCCTTCTGTCACCCAGGCTAGAGTGCAGTGGCGCAAGCATGGCTCACTGTTGCCTTGATCTTCTGGGCTCAAGAGGTCCTCCTGCATCAGTGTCCTGAGTAGCTGGGACTACAGGTGCACACCACCATGCCTGGCTAATTTATTTTTATTTTTTGTAGAGAAGGGTTCTCACTACGTTGCCCAAGCTGGTCTCAAACTCCCGGGCGCAAGAGATCAGCCTTCCTCGGCCTCTCAAAGTGCTGGGATTGCAGGTGTGAGCCACTGCACCCAGCTGGACAATTAACCTGAGCTAATTTGAAAAATTTTGATGTTCTCAAGATGACTAGGGAACTGGAGCCCTCAATCAACAGTCCTCAGTATCTTTTCTGCAGGGAGGGCTAGATACCTCCTCTGTGACACTTAACTTCCATTATCCAAGGTGCTTAGGCTGTGCCCCTCACCACGTGTACATGAAGAATGCATGCCCAGCCAATCACAGTGGCTCATGCCTGTAATCCCAGCACTTTGGGAAGTCCAGGCGGGCAGATCACCTAAGGTCAGGAGTTTGAGACCAGCCTGGCCAATGTGGTGAAACCCCATCTCTACTAAAAATAAAAAATTAGCCGGACATGGTGGTGCGGACCTCTAGTTCCTGCTACTGGGGAGGCTGAGGCAGAAGAATTGCTTGAACCCAGGAGGTGGAGGTTGCGGAGAGCCAAGATCATACCACTGCACTGCAGGCTGGGCACCAAAGCAAGACTCCATCTCAAAAAGAAAAAGAAAAAAAGAAAAAGAAAAATGTATTCCCTCTTTCAGCCACGTTGAGTTTTCGCAACAGCGCTACAAACAGATGATGTGTTCTGATAGAAATAGGCTAGGTTCCTGCAGCAGGTGCTGTCATTTTGGAAGAGCTCAAGCCGTCTCACACCCTCAGGTGGGCCTGCTCATACCTGTGGTGTGGGTTCTACCTGGCTGATGGCTGAGGGTCTAGAATTGTGTGCAGTAGCGTTGATCGTGTACTGAGGTTGCAAACAGTGAACAGCACCATCTGGACATCGTGGATTAGAATGCAGGAGCTTCCCAAGGCTGCTATGACAAAGGACCACAAACTCAGTGGCTGCAAAACACACATTTATTTATTTGTTGATAGAGCCTTGCTCTGTCACCCAGGTGGGAGTACACTGGCTCGATCTTGGCTCACTGCAACCTCCGTCTCCTGGGTTCAAGTGATTCTCCTGCCTCAATCTCCTGAGTAGCTGGGATTATAGGCACACACCACCCTGCCCAGCTAATTTTTTTTTTTGAGACACAGTCTCGCTCTGTTGTCCAGGCTGAAGTGCAGTGGCACGATCTCTGCTCACTGGAACCTCCGCTTCCCAGGTTCAAGCAATTCTCTGCCTCAGCTTCCCGAGTAGCTGGGATTACAGGCGCCGGCCACCACACCTGGCTAATTTTTGTATTTTTAGTAGAGATGGGGTTTCACCATGTTGACCAGGCTAGTCTGGCGACTCCTGACCTCCAGTTATCTGCCTGCCTCGGCCTCCCAAAGTACTGGGATTACACGTGTGAGCCACCACGCCCGGCCCACACATTTATCATCTTACAGTTTGGGAGGTCAGAAGTCTGAAATAAATTTTAGGGGCAGGGCGGGTTCTAGGAGTCTTTCTTGCTTTTTCTAGCCACCAGAGGCTGCCCATCTTCCTTGCCTCTTGGCCTGATCTTTTTTTTTTTTTTTTTTTTTTTTTGAGACTGAGTTTTGCTTTTGTTGCCCAGGCTGGAGTGCAATGGCGCGATCTTGGCTCACCACAACCTCTGCCTCCTGGGTTCAAGCGATTCTCCTGCCTCAGCCTCCCGAGTAGCTGGGATTACAGACATGTGCCACCACGCCAGGCTAATTTTGTGTTTTTAGTAGAAACGGGGTTTCTCCATGTTAGTCAGGCTGGTCTCGAACTCCTGACCTCAGGTGATCTGCCTGCCTCGGCCTCCCAAAGTGCTGGGATTACAGGTGTGAGCCAACGCGCCCGGCCCTTGGCCTGATCATTGTAAAGCCTGCTTCCACTTTCCCATCTCCTTTGACTTTGACCTTTTGTATCCCTTTTTCACTTATTAGGACCTTTTAAGGACATTGTGCCCACCTGGATCACCCAGGAGACGCTCCCCAACTCAAAATCATTAACTGAATCACACCTGCAAAGTTGCAAAGTCCTTTTAGCTGTGTAAGGCACTGTATTCACAGATCCTGGGGGCGAGGACGTGGGGGTCTAGAGACGCATATCTTCGGGGGCCATGATCTGTCTCCTATATTAGGGACATAGCAGAAGTCCCACTGACCAGATAGAGGAGACTTAATAGAGTGACGAAGAAACTGTAAAAAGCTAAGTGGGAACTCAACATTTTTCTGCTCACAGCTCTCAAGGGAAAGACCAAAGTCCTCCCCGGTGGCCTTCAAGGTATTATATATCACCCCTCTGACCTCAACTCCCCCTCCCCTTTGCTCAGTGGGCCCCAACCACACCAGCCCCTTCCTGCTCCCTGGACACCTCTAAGCCTTTTCCGGCCTCTGGGTTTGACTTTCCCTCCTAGACCCATCTGTCCTTGGAGTCTCATCTCCGATTCCAGCTCAAATGTCATCTTCTCTGAGAGGCCCACCGCAGTGGCCCCAGTGAGAGAGTATCCTCTCTCCCCGCCTCCCACCACATGGCTGCTGGTCACTCTCCTATAAGGAATCATCTGAAATTATCTGCTTTAGTTATTCATTTCTTGCCTGTCTCCCCCAGATAGGAATTTTCCCTCCCTGAGACCACCAACTGGGTCTGCCATGTACACCGCTGGGTTCTGCAGCTCTGAGCAACCTGTCCGGCTGCTTTGTAGGTGCCCAGCACAGGTCACTCCTGTGCCCGCCAGGACTGGTCAGAGTGGAACAGACAGGGCGGAGGGGGCAGGGCAGCCCTGCCCGCCTGGACAGCCTGGAGAAGGCGGGAAAACGAGGCGGGAAAAGACAGCAAACAAGCCCTGCGGGTGGGTAGAGTGGGGAGCCCTGGCAGGCCCTGACGCCAGGCAGTGGGGCTTGGGGCGATCGGGCGAGCCATCAGGGTGCAGGTGGTCTCCTAGGGGCCCCCCACATTCCCTCGCAGTATTTACACATTGATTCCGGCCTTCTTAGACCTACTGGTCAATGCGTGCGAGTGGGGGGCTGCGAACGGACTTGGACTTAAGAGTTCAGGGGGTCTGTACCCTGGGGGTCCCCAAGGCTCCTGGGGTGTCCACGTGCGGGGGGTGACCAGGCCCTGCCACGCAGCCCCTTTGCACGCTGGGCGCGCCCAGCAGAGCGCGCAGGGCTGGGCGGAGCCGTGGCCCACTAGGCGGAGGCGCCGTGGACAGAGGCGGGGGCGCCCCCCACCCTCTTTCTCGCTTCCCGCCACTGCGTCGGCCAATCAGGAGGCAGGCGCCCGCCCCCGGCACGGCCTCCTGCGGCCCCGCAACTCCCAAATGCCGAGTTTTCGCGGGAAAAAAATCAGAGCAGCTGGCAGCGCGGCGGGCAGCGTTTGCCGAGCGGGCGCTCCGGGTCGCACGCAAGTCCGCGCGGGGTCCGGGCCACGCACGCGGTTTCATCGCCATCCCCAGCCGGGCCACGCGCGCAGGCAGACAAGCTGTTCGCGGCGACCGGAGAGGTGAGCGGGCGGGCCGGGTCGGGGTGCCAGCCCGGGCCGGGCGCACGGGGCTCGGGAACTTTGCAAAACTTTCCCGCGCGGCCAGCCCGGGCGCACGCATGTCCCGCACTCTGTCCCGGGATCCAGGGCCTCCCCTTCCACCTAACCCTCGGGAATCGTTCCCCGGCACACATCCGGCTGGAGCCGGGACCAGCGCTGCGTCCCCGGAGCCCGGCGGGGGGTCGAGCGCGCCGGGTGGGGGAGGGCCTGGCGAGCCGCCGGGGAGGATGTCAGGCTCCGCGCCTGCGCGCGGGGCGCCCCGCGATTCAATTGTCGCGCCCGAGCCCGATTTCGCGCGCCCTGAGTTCCCCGGGAGCATCTGGGCCAATGGGGAGCGAGCGGGGCGGGGCGGCCGGGTGCTGCGGAGCCAATAAGAGGCGGCTCAAGTGAAGGGGGGCGGGACTTGACGAGCGGGGGCCCCCTCTGTAGTCCCGGCGGCGGGGGTGGGCGTGGGCTCGCTGGCGCGACCCGCGCGGGCCAGTGGGAGTGCGGGAGGGACGCCGAGGGTCCAGGGTTTGGAGGGGCGCGAGCTGCCGGGGGTTGGAGGTCGAGGTGAGTCGCGGGGCGCGCGCGCTCGCGGGTGGCCGGGACGGGGCGGCCGGTTACCATGGCCACCGCGGGGCGGGCCCGGTCGCGCACGCGCGCGGGGGGGGCCGGCAAGGAGGGGGGGCGTGGGCACCGAGGGGTCCCGGGGTCCGCGGATCTCGGGTGGGGTTTTTCCCTCTCAGTGGCACTTGGTTGAGTTCCCCCGGGACTTCTGAAGTTCCGGCCCGCGCTGGACTTCTGGGATTCCCTCTTCCGTAAATAGGAATCCGAGGAATGAATGAATCAATGAATGAATGAATAAACGAACCAACTCGGCCACTTGGCCCGGGCCTCCTTTCTCCTCTGGTCGTGGGGAAGGAGGGATGGGTTGGACCTTCTGCTTTTCTTTCAATTCCCTCTTTTCATTCTCCTTCCTCCTCAATCTTCAACACTTGGCTAGTCGTTAATGCCTTAAGTGCTTAATTTGTTGTGTCTGGTCCTGGCCAGGGTCTGGCTGTACAGGAGGACTGGAAGGGCATCCTGGGAGTTTCCTGGTGTCCACAGGCCGGACAAAAGCAACCCCGACTCCTTAGAGCATGGCATGGCTCAGAGGTGCTGGTAAAACTGATGGGGGTTTTTGCTGTCCCTCCCCTCAGCGCCGACACCATGTGGATCCAGGTTCGGACCATGGACGGGAGGCAGACCCACACGGTGGACTCGCTGTCCAGGCTGACCAAGGTGGAGGAGCTGAGGCGGAAGATCCAGGAGCTGTTCCACGTGGAGCCAGGCCTGCAGAGGCTGTTCTACAGGGGCAAACAGGTACACCCGCCGCCAGCACCTTTGTTCTATGCCTGGTCCAGGCCTCGCGCCTCTGCAGCCACCAGCCGATACTTTCTCCCTCCCACCTCCCCCCCCAACAACCTCGTCCGGTCCCACTTCATCTCTCCCGGAAGGAGAAGTCCACAGAAACCTCAAATGCCTGCGAGAGGAAGGAACAAAGGGAGGACTCACAGATTGACACGCTGGGCTGGCGGCTGGCCCTCGAATCTATAGGGTCTGGGCTTTTAAACTTCTTTTTTCAAAGCTCCGCCTCAAAATAATGGCTAGAGAAAGAAGTTTTGGAGGTGGCCGATGGAAGGCTGAGGAATTTTCGAGAAAGGGCCCAGGACCATCTGGTAGCTAGGACGGAGGGGACCAGGTTTTCTTTTTTAAACATCCACCACCAATTGCTCTCAGCCTGTACCGGTTAAGCATCAGACCCTGCGAGTGTTTGTTTCTAAAAATTTGGATTAGCTTATTCAGAGTCTGGAGATGGCGCTTGCTAATCAGGAATTTCCGCCACCCTGAGCCTGCTGTGCTGCGGCTGCTGCTGACCTGGGGCGTGTGGTCCCCGAGGGGTCCACCGACCCTCGTCTCTTTCTCTGTTCTGTCTCCAGCCCCTCGTTGCATTTAAAATGTCCCCCTTTGATTTCATAGCTGCCACGTTTGGGGCGCTCCCTCCATTGGCACCTGGGGGTGGAGGTGCTACTTTGGTTGGTGTTTTTGTGGGGGACTGTGGGACCTACTGGGAGTGGGGTTTCCCGGCAGGATGAGACAGTGTGATCGAAGGTGTAGGTCCCATCTGCTGGAGTTGGTTGGACCGTGGGGACGGGCGTAGACTACTGGAACTGGATTAAAAGTCGTCAGTTGAGCTGCGTGTACCCCACTGTGTTGTTGTTGGATTTTGAACCGGGTACTGCTGCCATCTGGTGTCTAGGTTGGAAAATAAACACTGCGCCCGGCCAGGGGTTTTTGGGGGCTGGGAGGATCATGCCTGCTCACTCCAGATGAGACCTGATGATTAATTTCTCTGGCTTGCATGCCATAGGAGACCTTCATTAGCCCTCTTCCCGTAAGAGACGTGATGACTTGAGTCTTAAGAATCTGAGTTAACCCGCCCTGCCCCGGGAGGAGGCGATCTGGAGAACTTGGGGAGTTGACGGTGCAAGCCGCGTGTGTGCAGAGAAGAGGCAGGGCCGGGCTCGACAGAGGAGCTCCGCCTGGCGCTCTCTTCCTCCCTCCTCCTATGATGCGTGCTCCCTTTGTGGCATCCAAACTGATTTTGATTTGCCACTCAGCCTATTGGGTCAGCACAGAAGGCTTCATTTCACAAAGAGTTTCTGAAGCCTGCAAGGACCTTCTAAGTTCACAGCGTAGGTCAGTGGCGGGTTGGACTCTCATGCTCCCAAGTTCAGGAGAGGAGATAATGCTGAGTATCCACTCTATGCCAGCCACCGAGCTAGCATTTTAACTTTTGCATTTCAACCATGCAGGAATGGGAAAACACCTAGACACACCTGCCATGTAGATTTCACCATCGGTATTCTGACTTATTAGGTTTATCTTGAAGCGCTCTGTCTTTCTCTCTGCCCGCCAATCCATCTTTTTGGGATGCATTTCAAAGTAAGTTGCAGACACCAGTCCACCTTTCCCTTATTACTGCAGCACACCGTCAGTACCTAGAGCTCAGTATTTGTTTTTGGTTCTGTTTTCATTGATTTTTTTTGTTGTTGTTCCTATTTGAGACAGGATCTCACTCTGCCCAGGCTGTGTTGCAGTGGCACGATCACAGCTCACTATAGCCTCAGCTTCCTGGGCTCAAGCAATCCTCCAGCCTCAGCCTCCCAAGTAGCTAGGACTATAGGCATGCACCACCATGCCTGGCTAGTTTTTGTATCTTTTGTAGAGATGGGGTCTTATTATATTGCCCAGGGTGGTCTCCTGGGCTCAAGTGACCCTCCTGCCTTGGCCTCTCAAAGTTTTGGGGTTACAGGCGTGAGCTACAGTGCCGGACCTAAAAGCTTTGTCTATAGTGAAACAGATGTTAGACAGACTGAATAATTTTGACAAATGTCTACATCCATGCAACCCAAAACCCCTATCTCCCCTCATTTGTAACATAATACTTGAGTCATACAATAGTGTCTGTCACATTTCTAAGTTTAGTGTGACAATGACAGGAACACGTATGTTAATTAGACATGTACATTGTGCTTTTTTTTTTTTTTTTTTGAGATGGAGTTTCATTCTTGTTGCCCAGGCTGGAGTGCAGTGGCTCGATCTGGGCTCACTGCAACCTTCATCTCCCAAGTTCAAGCGATCCTCCTGCCTTAGCCTCCCAAGTAGCTGGGATTACAGTCACCCACCACCACGCCTGATTAATTTTTTGTATTTTTAGTAGAGACGGAGTTTCACCATGTTGGCCAGGCTGGTCTTGAACTCCTGACCTCAGGTGATCCACCTACCTCCGTCTCCCAAAGTGCTGGGATTACAGGTGTGAACCACTGCACCCAGCCACGTACATTGTGCTTTTAATTGTCAGGATGTCCGCAGTGATGACACCTGGCCCTAGCCTTGCCGGAACTCACCCGGACTGAACAGGGAGCTGGGATTGGAACCTGGGATTTTGGTTTCTGAGACTGGGCTCTCAACACTGAATTTCGTCTCCCAGGTCAGCTCTGGTAGTTATGAAAAGATTCAGTGTTCCTGTGTAACCTTCATAACCGCCTCTTAGTTCCCTTACCCTGTGGCTGTTTCCCATGCAGTAGCTTTTTTTTTTTTTTTTTTTTTTGGAGACAGTTTCGCTCTTATTGCCCAAGGTGGAGTGCAATTGCGTGATCTCGGCTTACCTCAACCTCCACCTCCTGGGTTCCAGCGATTCTTCTGCCTCAGCCTCCCGAGTAGCTGGGATTACAGGTGTGCGCCACCATGCGCAGCTAATTTTTTTTGTATTTTTAGTAGAGATGGGGTTTCTCCATGTTGGTCAGGCTGGTCTCGAACTCCCGACCTCAGGTGATTCACACCCCCCTCCCCCACCTTGGCCTCCCAAAGTGCTGGGATTAGAGGTGTGAACCGTCGCATCCGGCCCCCATGCAGTAGCTTTTAAGAGATCGTGTCGTTGCTTCTGTCTTCCGGGCCACAGAGAGGTGATGCAGTTTCCCCACTTGCATGGCTGGGAAAGTGAGCTGGCAGCAGGGAGGTTTGGACAGTGGCGGGAAGGCGGGACAGAGGCACACAGCAGCACCTCCCAGAGCGTGAAGTCTGCAGGCACCCAGGCTAACGTGATAGAAAGCAACACAGTTCCCGGTGGGCACAAATGGGCAGTTGTCCTTATAGAATGTTCTAGAGTGTTCACAGTCTTTTTTTTTCCCTGTTTAAAGAAACCTGGCCTAGCAGCCCAAGGTCTGCAGTGAAGTTGATGGAGACCCCAGAGCAGAACAGAGTTGGGTCTGTCTCGGAATATGGAGGATCTCGTGGTGGTCTCACTTGGGCTGAATAGGGTGACAGTGATGTCACTTGATGGGCGGGAACGCAGGGAGCTGATCGAGGGCAGTGACTTTGGGCAGACGGCCCAGCCTAGGCAACGGGAGAGGCATCTGCGGCCCCCACCCCTCAATCTTTTTTTTTTTTTTGGCTGCACATCAAAATAACAATAGCTGTCTTTTGCGGCACCTTTAACCTGCTCGGGTACAACGCTCTGCACTGTACATAATCTTTTCAGCATCCCTGGCCCGCGACTCGCCAGCTCCCACATCATCTTATTTTAGATAGGGCTAATACCCACCACGCTGCAGCGCAGTGCGAATTCAATGAGGTTGTGGATTTGAAGGGCGGAGTGAGCCCTGTGCCAGGCTCACAATGAAAGCGAAATCAATCTCTTAGCACAGGGCCTGTCCCGCTCTGCACTGTGGATGTTTGGGGCCAGGTCATCCTCTGGCTGGGACCGTCCTGGGCACTGCAGGGTGCGGAGCAGCGTCCCTGGCCTCCACCCACTCCATGCCAGAGCATCCTGCCCTACCAGTCATGACAACCACAAATATTCCCAGAGACTTCCATGCCTCAAAGGCAGGATTAAGGTCAGTCTGATGCCTCAGTTGAAATGGTGGCCCAGGAATGGCCTTGCAAGAGTCACTTGTCACAGTGATGCCTCAGGTGTCCCCACTGGACGGCCCCCTTGCAGAGACCTGCCCTTCTGTCTGCGGGAGGGAGGGTCCCCACCACCAGCTCCCACCCACTGCGGCATCCCTCCCCCAGGATGGCTCCCTGGTAGAGGGCGCGGCCTCTGTTAGGGTGACTCACCACTGCTGTTGTGGCCCCGAAGCAGCTGTAGACAATCTGTAAACCGGTGGGCGTGGCTTTGTTCCAATAAAACTTGATTTATAAAAACAGGTATGGCGGGGCCCAGTGGCTCATGATTGTAATCCCGGTGCTTTGGGAGGCCAAGGCAGGCGGATCACCTGAGGTCAGGAGTTCTAGAACAGCGTGCCAACATGGTGAAACCCCGTCTCTACTAAAAATACAAAAATTAGCCAGACGTGGTGGCGCATGTCTGTAGTTCCACTTAGGAGGCTGAGGCAGGAGAATCGCTTGAACCTGGGAGGTGGGAGGTTGCAGTGAGCTGAGATCCCACCACTGCACTCCAGCCTGGGCGACAGAGCAAGACTCCGTCTCAAAAAAAAAGCAAAACAAAAAACAAAACCAAAACAAAAGAGGTGCAGGCCAGAATTGTCCCCGTGGACATAGTTGGTCAATTAGATTGCATACTTTAATCCAGCCTCAGTTGGTGTGTCTGGGTTTTCTGGCTAGGAAGAATGCTGCTGTGGAATGTGCTGGAACAGATCCTTACGTGCGCTGTGTTGGAGTCTTTCCAGGTCAGGGGTTCTCAAACGGATTTCAGGACCCTTTACATCATCCAGAATGATCCAATAGCCCCAGGAGCCTGTGTCTGTGTGGATTATGTCTGCCGGCTGTTAGTGTGTTAGAAGTTGAGGCCAGGCATGGTAGCTCACACCTGTAATCCCAGCACTTTGGGAGGCTGAGGCGAGGATCGCTTGAGGTTGGGAGTTTGAGACCAGCCTGGGCCATGTAGCAAGACCCCGTCTCTACAAAAAATGAAAATTAGCCGGGCATGGTGGCGCATGCCTGTAGTCCTAGCTACTCGGGAGGCCAAGGTGGGAAGATCACTTGAGCCTGAAAGGTTGAGGCTGCAGTGAACCAAGATTGTACCACTGCATTCCAGCCTGGGAGACAGAGCGAGACTTTGTCTCAAAAAAAAAAAAAACCAAATAAATTGAAAGCTGAGAAATTCAGAGCACAAGAAGACAAGCGCGCCCCCTCTTTTAGCTGTCAACATGGCGGAGCCGTCCCTGGTGACGCAGCCTCCAAAGGCCTCCCTGTGCCCTCCTGAGACCGCAAGAGGGAAAGTGGCAGCGACAGTGATCGTGGTGTCTTTGTGGCGGTTGTGTTGACCTCACTGACCCCCGAAGTGCCGCTCTAGGGTCTGTCCTCAGCGGTGACCCGGCCGGGTCGAAGGGCAGAGTTCCGCTGTCACTAGCCCTCCACCCGTCCTGTGTGCTGGGATGCCCTCGCGGCGCCGTCCACGCCACCGCCGCCCCCTCTTGTGGGTTCTGTCTCCTCCGTGTCTAGGATCCTCCTGCATCCGTTTTTCCTTCCTCCCTTCTCTCCCTCCGTCTGTCTTGCCCGCACCTGAGGTTGTCGCAGAGGCGCTGAGACGGGCCAGCAGGAGCTGTGGCTGCCCCTCAGGAAGGCAGAGCAGTTTCTCACTTCCTTCCCCCCAGGTCCCGTCAGGCCCCTGCAGGCACTCTCTCTTCCGGCTGGAGGTCCCTCCTGATCGAGGCTTACACGGTCTTTGCTGAGCTCCTAAACTTCTGGTTTCTATCCCTAAAGTTGGAGAACCACTGCTCCCCAAACCCGGTGGCATTATCTGCCCTGCTGTGCCGCTAGGCAGTGTTCGGCACCCTGAAAGAGAGCCCCTGAATGTGGCACGAGGGGTAGGAAGTGGGCAGCTCGGTGGGGGGGGGGGGTGCAGTGAGCTTTTAGTCTTAAGTTTTCGTTTTTTTTTTTTTTTTTTTCTTTTTTATAGAGATGGGATCTCGCTTTTTTCACCAGGCTGGTCTTGAACCCCTGGCCTCAAGTGATCCTCCCATCTTGACTTCCCAAAGTACTGGGTTTACAGGCATGAGCCACCACACTCGGCCCTTTGTCTAAGTTTTCAAAAGGAATCAGCAAACTTAGTTATCAAGTTGTATTTGTATTTATCTGGACACTTTTTTTTCTTTTCTTTTTTTTGCCTTTAAGGGAGACAGGGTCCACAAGGCCGGGCGTGGTGGCTTACGCCTGTAATCCCAGCACTTTGGGAGGCTGAGGCAGGCGGATCACGAGGTCAAGAGATCGAGACCATGCTGGCCAACATGGTGAAACCCCATCTTTACTAAAGATACAAAAATTAGCTGGGGATGGTGGTGCACGTCTGTAGTCCCAGCTACTTGGGAGGCTGACGCAGGAGAATTGCTGGAACCCAGGAGGTGGAGGTTGCAGTGAGCCGAGATCACGCCACTGCACTCCAGCTTGGCAACAGAGCGAGACTCCGTCTCAAAAAAAAAAAAAAAAAAAAAAAAAGAGACAAGGTCTTGCTGTCGTCCAGGCTGGAGTGCAGCGGCGTGATCATGGCTTACTGCAACCTCTGTTTTCCAGGCTCAAGCAATCCTCCTACTTCAGCCTCCTGAGTAGCTGGGACTACAGGTGCCTGCCACCACACCCAATATTTAAATTTTTATTAATTGAAAAAACTTTTTTGCAGAGACAGGGTCTTGCCTGGTATCAAACTCCTGGGCTCAAGTGATCCTCCTGCCTCGGCCTTCTGAGTAGTTGGGACTACAAGCATGAGCTATTGGGCCTGGCCTAGCTTTTATACAATGCCCATGTTACAAAATTCCAAATGTCCAAAAAGCAAGGAGAATATCTTCCACTCTGCCTTGACCTTCAGTTTCCCCCCTGTAGTAACCTGTCTGCTTCCAGAAGTGCTTGAACATGTGTGCGTTTGCTATGGGTTTTTTTTTGTTTGTTTTGTTTTGTTTTTGAGATGGAGTCTCACTCTGTTGCCCAAGCTGGAGTGCAGTGGCGTGATCTTGGCTCACTGCAACCTCCACCTCCCAGGTTCAAGTGATTCTCCTGCCTCAGCCTCCCAAGTAGCTGGGGTTACAGGTGCACACCACCACGTCCGGCTAATTTTTTTGTATTTTTAGTAGAGACGGGGTTTCACCACGTTGGCCAGGTTGGTCTCAAACTCCTGACCTCAGGTGATCCACCCACCTTGGCCTCCCAAAATGCTGGGATTACAAGTATGAGTCACTGTGCCTGGCCTGTTTTTTTTTTTTTGAGACAGAGTCTTGCTCTGTCGCCAGGCTGGAGTGCGTTGGCTTGATGTCAGCTCACCGCAACCTCCACCTCCCGGGTTCAAGCAATTCTGCGTCAGCCTCCCGAGTAGCTGGGACTACAGGCATGCACCACCATGCCCGGCTAATTTTGTATTTTTAGTAGAGACGAGGTTTCTCCATATTGGTCAGGCTGGTCTCTAACTCCTGACCTCCAGTTATCTGCCGGCCTCAGCCTCCCAAAGTGCTGGGATTACAGGCGTGAGCTACTGTGCCCAGCTGGTTTTTTTTTTTTTTTTTTTTTTTTAGACAGGCTCTTGCTCTGTTGCCCAGGCTGGAGTACAGTGGCACGATCTTAGCTCACTGCAGCCTCGAATTCCTGAGCTCAAGTGATCCTCCTGCCTCAGCCTCGCAAGTAGCAGGGACTATAGGCTGTATACTACTATACCTGGCTGATTTTAAACATTTTTATAGAGATGGGTTCCTGCCATGTTACCCAGGCTGGTCTTGAACTCCTAGCCTCAAATGATCCTTCTGCCTCAGCTTCCCAAGGTGCTGGGATTATAGACCTGAGCCACTGCTCCTGACCTCATTTTTTTTTTTTTTTTTTTTGAGACAGTGTATCAGTGTCTCCCAGGCTGGAGTGCAGCGGCGCGATCTCGACTCACTGCAACCCCTGCCTCTTGGGCTCAAGCAATCCTCCCACCACAGCCTTCCAGGTAGTTGGGACTAGAGGTAAATTTTATAGTGATGGGTTTTGCCATGTTGCCCAGGTGATCTTCAACTCCTGGACTCAAGTGATCCTCCCGTCTTGGCCTCCCAAATCATACCTGAGATTACAGGCATGAGCCACTGCACACAGCCCCATTTTAACTTTTTTTTTTTTCTGAGGCAGAGTCTCGCTCTGTCACCCAGGCTAGAGTGCAGTGGCGTGGTCTTGGCTCACTGCAAGCTCCACCTCCTGGGTTCATGCCATTCTCCTGCCTCAGCCTCCCGAGTAGCTGGGACTACAGGTGCCCGCCACCTCGCCCAGCTAATTTTTTGTATTTTTAGTAGAGATGGAGTTTCACTGTGTTAGCCAGGATGGTTTCGATCTCCTGACCTCATGATCCACCCGCCTCCGCCTCCCAAAGTGCTGGGATTACAGGTGTGAGCCACCGCGCCTAGCCCATTTTATCTTTTCTGATAATGATTTTCCTTTTGCCAAAAACGGCAAGTGGGTTTTAGATTAAGTCACTCCTTTTACCAGGCACAGTAGGAGACCTTGAGTTAGGGCTGAGGTGGTGTCATTTAATAGGGACATTCAACTTCACTAGGTTCAATGATAGGAGACTTTACAAATTTCCATAATGGTAAATCTTCTTTCATTTAAATTATTATTATTGTTAATATTTTTTTTTTTGAGACAGAGTTTTGCTCTTGTTGCCCAAGCTGGAGTGCAGTGGCGTGATCTCAACTCACTGCACCCTCCGCCTCCCGGGTTCAAGCGATTCTCCTGCCTCAGCCTCCCGAGTAGCTGGGATTACAGGCACCCACCACCACGCCTGGCTAATTTTGTATTTTTAGTAGAGACGGAGTTTCTCCATGTTGGTCAGGCTGGTCTCGAACTCCTGACCTCAGCTGATCCGTCCGCCTTGGCCTCCCAAGGTGCTGGGATTACGGGCATGAGCCATCGCACCCGGCCAATCATTTAAATTATTAATGAAGAATAAAAAGAGGCTGGGCGCAGCGGCTCATGCTTGTAATTTCAGCACTTCGGGAGGCTGAGGCAGGCAGATCACCTGAGGTCGGGAGTTAGAGATCAGCCTGGCCAACATGGTGAAACCTCGTCTCTACCAAAGATACAAAGATTAGCTGGGTATGCTGGCATGTGCCTGTACTCTCAGCCATTCGGGAGGCTGAGGCAGGAGAATCGCTTGAACCCGGGAGACGGAGGTTGCAGTGAGCTGAGATTGCGCCACTGCAGTTCAGCCTGGGTGACAGTGAGACTCCGTCTCAAAAAAAAGAAAAAAAAAAGTAAGTCCCACGTAGCCATCACCCTCTGCAGTAGTCATCTGCTGTGTCTGATCTTGTTCATTTTGCTCATTTCTACCCTACCCACTTACCTCTACCTGACTGGATTGTTTAAGAGATGGGATCTTGCTGTGTTGATCAGGGTGGAGCACAGTGGCTATTCACAGATGTGATCATTTTGCATGAGAACCCCAAACTCCTGGGCTCCCCTGACCCTCCAGCCTCAGTCTGCCAAGCAGCTGGGACTACAGATGTGAGCCACTGTACTGGCTCCTACTGGATCATTTTGAAGTGAGTTACAGATGCCATAACTATAACACAGACATCATAGGTACAGGAATTTCAGTGCATCTTCCCCAGTGGCTCATGGATCACACAGATAGAAAATCGGTCAGGAGGGCCACGCGCGGTGGCTCACACCTGTAATCCCAGCACTTTGGGAGGCCAAGGCGGGTGGATCACGAGGTCAAGAGATCGAAACCATCCTGGCCAACATGGTGAAACCCTGTCTCTACTAAAAATACAAACATTAGCTGGGCGTGGTGGCATGCACCTGCAGTCCCAGCTACTCGGGAGGCTGAGGCAGGAGAATCGCTTGAACCCAGGAGGCGGAGGTCACAGTGAGTCAAGATCGTGCCACTGCACTCCAGCCTGGTGACAGAGGGAGACTCCGTCTCAAAAAAGAAAAAAAAAGAAAGAAAATCGGCCAGGATGCCGGGCACGGTGGCTCAGCCCTATAATTCCAGCACTTCGGGAGGCCAAGGCGGGTGGATCAACTGAGGTGGGGATTTCGAGACCAGCCTGACCAACATGGAGAAACCCCATCTCTACTAAAAATACAAAATTAGCCAGGTATGGTGGCGCATGTCTGTCATCGCAGCTACTCGGGAGGCTGAGGCAGGAGAATTGCTTGAACCTGGGAGGCGGAGGTTGCAGTGAGCCGAGATTACACCACTGCACTCCAGCCTGGGCAACAAGAGTGAAACTCCGTTTCAAAAAACAAACGAAAAAGGAAAGTTGGTCAGGATGCTGGGCACAGTGGCTGGGTCCTGTAATCCCAGCACTTTGGGAGGCTGAGTCAGAAGGATCAGTTGAGCCCAGGAATTTGAGACCAGCATGGGCAACATGGAGAAACCCTGTCTGTACAAAAAATACAAAAAACTTTCTGGACGTGATGGCCCATGCCTGTAGTCCCAGTTACTTGGAGGGGCCGAGGCGGGAGGGTTGCTTGAGCCCAGGAGGTCGAGGTTGCAGTGAGCCATGGTCGTGCCACTGCCCTCCAGCCTGGGCAACAGGGAGGGAGACCCTGTTTTAAGAAGAAAAAGAAAATTGATAAAGATGTAGATGATTTGAACAACACAAGTAACAGGGTTACCGTAATGACATGGATGGAATCTGAACCCAGCAAGAGAGAAAACACATTCTTCTCAGGCCACGAGGAGTGCTTAGGGAAACTGACCACATACAAGGCAAGTCTTAAAAACTCGATTTTTATTTTTATTTGTATTTACTTATTTTGTTTATTTATTTGAGACAGTCTCGCTCTGTCGCCTAGGCTGGAGTGCAATGGTGAGATTTCGGCTCACTGCCTCCCAGGTTCAAGCTATTCTCCTGCCTTAGCCTCCTGAGTAGCTGGAATTACAGGCGTGCGCCACCACACCCAGCTAATTTTTGTATTTTTAGTAGAGATGGAGTCTCACCATGTTGGCCAGGCTGGTCTCGAACTCCTGATCTCAAGTGATCTGCCTGCCTCGGCCTCCCAAAGTGCTGGGATTACAGGTGTGAGCCACCGGACCTGGGCTTTTGTTTTTTATGTTTTCATTTATTTATTTGTTTTTGAGATGGAGTCTTGCTCTGTTGCCCGGACTGGAGTGCAGTGGTGTGATCTCGGCTCACTGCAAACTCTGCCTCCTGGGTTCAAGCAATTCTTGTGCCACAGCCTCCCCAGTAGCTGGGACTACAGGCGCCCACCACCACGCCCGGGTAATTTTTTGTGTTTTCAGTAGAGATGGGGTTTTGCCATGTTGGCCAGGCTGGTCTCGAACTCCTGACCTCAGGTGATCCATCCGCCCTCGGCCTCCCCAAGTGCTGGGATTACAGGCGTGCACCACCGTGCCTGACCCTTTACAAATTTAGAACAATTACTGCCTTACTGACCATGTTTTCTCTCACCTGTGGGGTCAGAACTTAACAATAACTAAGCTTCCTCCTTCGCGCTTCGGGTTGTGCAAGCTTCCTCCTGCCTGCTTTGGGGCCTTTCTGCAATGTTCCAGAAGCGGCATCAGGAGGCTGCCCAGCCAGCTCGTGAGTTGTGTTCTGGAGTCAGAGTTTTGTGCCAGCCTGGGCCAGGCCCCATCCCCACTTCCCGCCCCATTTGCCCCTGTCTACATCATTGTACTGGGAGACACTTCCTGTCCCTCCTACGTAGCCCACGCTAAGCAGGGTGCTTCTATCCACCTCACCTTTCCGATGTGGGAAGGGCCGAAGTCATGGAGGGGCGACCCGTCAGGCCCAGCAAGGGTGGCACAGATGTTGTCCCTAGTAACAGATGAGAGGGGATGGGCTGGGACTGCAGGCCTGGCTCCCCAAGCTGCTCCTGCGGGTCAGGGGCTGCCCATTAGCCTGGCCAGGGCCCCTCATTGGATCCCTCCTGGCCGCCCAGACCACAGCCCTTGCCCCCCTGCCTACCCGCCACCAGTTCTCATTGGCCCTGCCTCCCTGCTTAACTCTGCCGCCTTGGCTTCCCCTCCTCGGTCTGTCTCCTCCCCGACTTGTCCTCTGTCTGAGTCTGGCAGGACAGAGTCCGACCGTCTGGCCCCCTCCTGGCTCCGTCTGCTCCTCCTGCCGCCTCCTGCTGTCGAGGTCACTTGGTTCTTGGCCTGTCTGGCCCCCAGCCACCCTGCTGGCTGCCTGCTCTCCAGGCAGCCCCTCGCCCAGGGCTGCACCTCCGACCTGTCCTCCGTCTTGGGTGGGGCTGGGACTGTATTTTCCATCCTCTGCAGTGGTCTGGTTTCCCTCGTGCGCTGAGGCCCCTCTGCTTGGCTGCCCCTGGCTGCCCCATGCAGCTGAGCCATGAGCGCGGCCTGTGTGCCCCTCTCCCGCTGGCTGGAGCTCAGGATGCTCACGCCGCTCTGGCAGATATCGCTGCTGCAAACATAGGAGGAGCAGCTGCCCCTCTGCGCACGTGGCCTTCGGACACATGTGAGGGCCGCTCTAGCTTGGGTGCTCACTGCGGGTGATTCCACCCTCCAGGGGACACTGGGGGATGTCTGGGGACATTCATGACTCGGGCGCTCCTGGCGTGGAGTAGGTGGAGGCCTGGAGTGCTGATTAGCACCCTGCAGGGCCCAGGAAGGCCCCACCCCAGAGAGTGATCAGACCCCAAATGTCAGCTTTGGCAAGAGCAGTGTGCCTGGCCACAGAGGTGCTGGCCCGGATGCAGATGAGTGCCCCATCCATCCCTCTGAGCGCCGTGTGGCTTGTCCCATGCTGCTTTTCCTGACCCAGTGATATTGGGGGCACTTGACTTCTCTCTTTTTAAGACGGAGTCTCATTCTGTCACCCACGCTGGAGTGCAGTGGCGAGATCCTGGCTCACTGCAACCTCCACCTCCCAGGTTCAAATGATTCTGTTGCCTTAGCCTCTTGAGTATTTGGGATTACAGGCACTAACCACCATGCCTGGCTAATTTTTTAATTAATTTTTAATTTTTTTATTTTTTTGAGACGGAGTCTCGCTCTGTCGCCCAGGCTGCAGTGCAGTGGCGTGATCTCGGCTCACGGCAAGCTCCGCCCCCCGGGTTCATGCCATTCTCCTGCCTCAGCCTCCCGAGTAGCTGGGACTACAGGTGCCCGCCACCACGCCTGGCTAATTTTTTGTATTTTTAGTAGAGATGGGGTTTCGCCGTGTTAGCCAGGATGGTCTTGATCTCCTGACTTCATGATCCACCCGCCTCGGCCTCCCAAAGTGCTGGGATTATAGGCGTGAGCCACCGCACCCGGCCAATTTTTGTATTTTTAGTGGAGACGGGGTTTGGCAATGTTGCCCAGGCTGGTCTCGAACTCCTGGCCTCAAGTGATCTGCCCACCTCGGCCTCCCAAAATGCTGGGATTACAGAGTAAGCCACTGTGCCCAGCCCCTTTTTTAGAAAAAATTAATAAACTTTATTTTCTAGAGCAGTTCTAGGTTCACAGCAAAATTGAGCAGAAGGTACGGAGTTCCTATAGACCCCCTGCCCCAACAGGCATAGCCGCCCCCACTGTCAGCCTCCCCCACAGAGCGGTGCATCGGTTACAGTTGATGGCCCGATGGCCCTCTGTGGAGTCATCTTCATCTCTGAGTCCACAGTCTACATACACCAAGGCTTGCCCTTGGTGTTAAGTTTTTTTTTTTTTTTTTTTGAGACAGTGTCTCACTTGTCGCCCAGGCTGGAATGTAGTGGCGTGATCTCGGCTCACTGTAACCTCTGCCTCCCAGGTTCAAGCGATTCTCCTGCTTCAGCCTCCTGAGTAGCTGGGACTACAGGCGCGTGCCACCACGCCTGGCTAATTTTTGTATTTTTAGTAGAGACGAGGTTTCACCATGTTGGCCAGGCTGGTCTCGAACTCCTGACTTCAAGTGATCCACCTGCCTTGGCCTCCCAGAGTGTTGAGATGACGGGCGTGAGCCACTGTGCCTGGCCTGCTTCATGTTTTAAATAACGGCTTTATTATATCCCTGCAGTTCACCCAGTTAAAGTACACAGTTGAGGTATATTCATAGTTGTGTAATCATCACTGCAGTCTATTTTAGAACATTTTGTCACCTTGAAAGGAAACCCTGAACCCTGTCCCAGCTACTGCTTCCTTTTTCTGCATCTCCTCCCGCAGCCCCTGGCACCCTCAAATCCCCTTCCTGCCTCTGTGGCTTGGCCTGTCCTGGAAATTTCATAGAAATGGGATCATGCACTGCGTGGCCTTTTGTGTCTGGTGTTTCTCACTGAGTGTGATGTCCTCAAGGTGCATCCACACTGTGGCCTGGGTCACAGCCTTGCTCCTTTTCATGGCTGAGTCGTATTTTATTTTGCCTTATATTTTATTTATTTTATTTTATTTCTTAAGACAGTCTTGCTCTGTTGCCCAGGCTGGAGTGCAATGGCACAATCTCTGCTTACTGCAACCTCCGTCTCCCAGGTTCAAGCAATTCTCCTGCCTCAGCCTCTGGAGTAGCTAGGATTACAGGCACCCGCCACCACGCCCAGTTAAGTTTTGTATCTTTAGTAGAGACGGGGTTTCACCATGTTGACCAGGGTGGTCTCAAACTCCTGACTTCAGGTGATCTGCCCTCGTTGGCCTCCCAAAGTGCTGGGATGACAGGCGTGAGCCACCGCACGCGGCCTGAGTCATATTTTGACACATGGATGGATGGCCACATTGTGTTGATCCTCTCACCTGTTTTTTCTTTTCTTTCTTTCTTTTTTTCTTTCTTTTTGAGACGGAGTTTTGCTCTTTTTGCCCAGGCTGGAGTGCAGTGGTGCAATCTCGGCTCACTGCAACTTCTACCTCCCAGGTTCAAGCAATTGTCCTTCCTCAGCCTCCCGAGTAGCTGGGATTACAGGCACCTGCCACTATGCCCGGCTAATTTTGTATTTTTAGTAGAGACAGGTTTCACCATGTTGGCCAGGCTGGTCTTGAACTCCTGACCTCGTGATCTGCCTGCCTCGGCCTCCCAAAGTGCTGGGATTACAGGCGTGAGCCACCGCACCCAGCCTCAATCCCCTCACCTGTTGATGGACACCTGGGTTGCTTCCACTCTCAGGCTGTTGCGAGTGATGCCGTGTGAACCTGCGTGTACAGGTTGACGTGCCTCTTCCTCTCCATCCGTGCCACCTCTCCCCAAAGCCAGCTGCTCTGTGCTGGAGAGCTGGCCCTGAGCCTCCTCCTGGCTCCCAGGCAGCGCCTAGCATGTCAGAGGCACTCACTTCTAGCTGGGAGAACAGAGGGGCTGAAGCGGATATTGGTGGGCCCTCGATGTCCACGGTGGGTTTCAGAGCAGCCCTTGAAACCCTTGTAGCTGTAGGTGGGTGTGTACATATTCAAACGGGTTTTTCTGATGCTGGTGGATCGCTTGCTTGAGCCCCGGAGTTCAAAACCAGCTTGGGCAAAGCAGCAAGACCTCATCTCTAAAAAAAATTAGCTGGGCATGGGTGATGTGTGCCTGTGGTCCCAGCCACTCAGGAGCCTGAGGCAGGAGGATTACTTGAGCCCAAGGTTCGATGCTGCAGTGAGCTACGATTGCACCACTGCCCTCCATCCTTGGCAACAGAGTGAGATCCTTTCTAAAGGAAAAAAAAAAAAAAGTCCGGGTGCAGTGGCTCACGCCTGTAATCCCGGCACTTTGGAAGGTTGAGGTGGGCGGATCACGAGGTCAGGAGATCGAGACCATTCTGGCTAACATGGTGAAACCCCACCTCTACTAAAAATACAAAAATTAGCCGGGCTTGGTGGCGGGTGCCTGTAATCCCCGCTACTTGGGAGGCTGAGGCAGGAGAATGGCGAACCTGGGAGGCGGAGCTTGCAGTGAGCCAAGATCGTGCCACTGCACTCCAGCCTGGGCGACAGAGCAAGATTCCGCCTCAAAACAAAAAACAAAACAAAACAAAACAAAAAAAAACAGGCCGGGTACTGTGGTTCATGCTGTAATCCCAGCTCTTTGGGAGGCCGAGGTGGGTGGATCCCTTCAGCGTAGGAGTTCAAAACCAGCCTGGCCAACATGGCGAGACCCTGTCTCTACTAAAAATACAAAAATTAGCTGGGTGTGATGGCTCATGCCTATAGTCCCAAGCTACTCAGGAGGCTGAGGCACAAGAATCGCTTGAACCTGGGAGGTGGAGATTGCAGTGAGCTGAGATCACACCCCTACACTCCACCCTGGGCGACAGAGTGAGACTCCATCTCAAAAAAAAAAAAAAAAAAAAAAATTTTTTTCTGGAAAAGATGAGTCAGCCTTTATCAGGTTCTTAGGTTTATGGTGAACAAAGAAAGAAAGCCTGCAGAGAAGGGCCTTGGCCTTCACTGTGACCCCCATGCTGTTTGCATTTGAACAGCCGTCAGGCCTTGGATCCCCAAGGGGCGAAAGGAGGAAGAGCTGACATTCTATGTATGTCTCTCTCCTCCCTTTTCCTAAGGTCTCTCTCCTCCCTTTTCCTAAGGATGCTCCTGAACCAGGGCATTTCTGCCTCTAGGGGACACATGGTGATGTCTGGGGGACATCGGTTGTTGTCATGACTGGTGGAGGCCAGGGCCGCTGCAGTGCCTCTGCAGTGCCCAGCACGGCCCCACGGTCCAGTGCCCAGAGGGGGAGACCCAGCCCATCCCAGAGTGGTCAGCCCTAATGTCAGCCATGCTTAGGTCGAGAAACCTGTATTAATTACATGGAAACCAACCGAGTCCAATCCTGCTCGCACCAGGCACGGGATAAACTCCTGACGGGGCAGACGTGGAAACCAGGGGGACCCCCAGCTCCTGGGATTCACCTCCTCTCTCCCTTCCCACTCAGTGTGTGGATTTTAATGCGTGCAGCCTCCTGGGACCTCAGTAGGGCACAGCATCATGGGATAAGGAGTTTCTTGGGGGCCTGTGGAATCCTTCACCAGGGGGTCTCACCCAGGGTGACTTCACACCCCCCCACCCCATACCGTATGATGTCTGGGGACATTTGTGGTCGTCACAACTACGGGGTGCTCCTGGCATGGAGTAGGTGGAGGCCAGGGACGCTGCTCAGCACCCTGCAGTGCCCAGGATGGCTCCGCCCCAGAGAATGGTCCAGGACCTGGCCCCAATGTCTGCAGTGCCGGGGGAGAGGAACTTGTTGCCTTGGGGGCATCTAGATGGCAAATCATCAGGAGGGGGGGGTCCTAGATGGCAAACCACCGGGAGAGGGTCCTTGTTGGGTGTTGGTGGAGTGTGAAGGGGCAGCTTCTGACAAAATGCCTCGGCTTCTCCAGCCCCCAGATACAGCTCAGGTGATGAGCTCCTCCTTGCATACCTGCTGAGTCAGGTGACCCGAGGGGCAGGCTGTGGAGCCAGGCCCCAGGGGTTGAGCGCATCAGGATAAAAGCGCACAAAGGGCGGGTGGAGCTGAGGGTCAGAGGAGGTGCCCTGGCAGGCGAGATTGGCGCTGGAGCCTTACCCAGGAAGCTCATAGGAAGCTCATGGATGCTGGCATGTGCCTCTTGCTGTTCAGGTGGGACAGGGTCTCTCTGTCTCGACACTGGACAGTGGGACCGTCCTGGGCACTGCAGGGTGCCGAGCAGCGTTCCTGGCCTCCACCCACTCCATGCTAGGAGCTTCTCCCAGTGGCGACAACCACAAATGTCCCAGACGTGGCCCAGCGTCCCCCGGGGTCTGAATCATGTTTGGTTGAGAAGCAGTGACAGAGGTGACACATGTTCACTGTCACAAAAGCTGCCGTAAGCACGAAGTATTAGGAAAAACTCCCAAGACCCCCATGTGTGCGTGGTGCCCCGTGATGATGTTTTGTGCTTCTGGGTGCTTCCTGCATGCAGTGCCAAAAGCCCTCGCTAGAGGGGCCTGAGACCCTGAGGGAAGGGACTGGGGTGCCGCTTGTGAGCGGGACAGCCCCCTGGCATGGCCCAGGTATCATGGCTCTTTACTCTGATGCAGATTGCCCCCCCCCCACAAGGGCTGGGACACAGTGTTTGGTTCATCACTGGTGCCCACAGATGCCCACTTGGCATTTGGTGGCTAAACAGCGTCTGCCTCTGGTGTCCCTGCAGATGGAGGACGGCCATACCCTCTTCGACTACGAGGTCCGCCTGAATGACACCATCCAGCTCCTGGTCCGCCAGAGCCTCGTGCTCCCCCACAGCACCAAGGAGCGGGACTCCGAGCTCTCCGACACCGACTCCGGCTGCTGCCTGGGCCAGAGTGAGTCAGACAAGTCCTCCACCCACGGTGAGGCGGCCGCCGAGACTGACAGCAGGCCAGCCGATGAGGACATGTGGGATGAGACGGAATTGGGGCTGTACAAGGTGAGCCTCCCCTCCGCAGCTGCTCTGGGGTTGGACGTTCTCCCTGCCATTCTGGTCTTTGCATACCCAGGGCTCACAGGAGGGGCTTCCCACGCGCCTCTCTAGCTCTGGCTGGGCAGAAATGGCCAAGGGGTGGTTTCCTGCACGTTCCTTGAGGGGAACATGGTACCCTGGGATTCCTTTGTGGACCTCTAGAGCAGAGTCCTGTTCGGGGCCTGCAGGTGTCTTCTCCGTGAAGCTTGCAGTGGCTGTGACGTTTCTGAACTTGCTGCTACCATGTAAGATCAGGAAATGTCACAGAAAGATCTGGGTTTCCAGCTTTTTTATTTTTTTATTTTTTTTTTGGCAGGGTCTCACTTTGTTGCCCAGCCTGGGGTGCAGCCGTGTGATCACAGCTCACTGTAGCCTCGAACTCCTGGGCTCAAGTGATCCTCCCACCTCAGCCTCCTGAGTAGCTGATGTTATAGGCATGTGCCACCACGCCCAGCTAATTTTATTTTATTTTATTACTTTTTTAATACATGGTCTCATTCTGTCGCCCAGGCTGGAGTACAGTGGTGCCATCTCGGCTCATTGCAACCTCCAACTCCTGGGTTCAAGCAATTCTCGTGCCTCAGCCTCCTGAGTAGCTGGGATTACAGGCATGTGCCACCACACCTGGCTAATTTTTGTATTTTTTGTAGAGACGGGATTTCGCCATGTTGGCCAGGCTAGTCTTGAACTCCTGGCCTCAAGTGATCTTCCCGCCGCAGCCTCCCAAAGTGCTGGAATTATAGGTGTGAGCCACTGCACCCAGTCTGTTTTATTTTTTAGTAGACACAGCGTCTTACCATGTTGCCCAGGCTAGTCTTGAATTCCGGGGCTCAAGCGATCCACCTGCCTCGGCCTCCCAAAGTGCTGGTATTCCAGGCGTGAGCCACGACGCCCTGCCTGGATTTCCAGCTTCTCTTGACAAATGGGCAGCTCTGGTCTCTCAGGGCCTCCCAGCAGCTGTGGCTGAAGCAGAGCCGCAGGGGCCTTTGTTAAGACAGTCCATGCCCCCTGGCCCCGCATCCCCGTCACCCCTGCCGGGGCTGGTTTCTCATGGTCAGCGGTTCCCAGCCAGGGAGGAGAAACCTCGCTGTGGGCATTCGAGTTTGCGCCCTGGTTCCAGAGCATCCCAGTGTCCGAGAACCAAGGTGGTCTCCCGTCAGTTTTCCTCACCCCGTTGGGATGCCAGACTTCCCTCATTCCTCACAGGTCAATGAGTACGTCGATGCTCGGGACACGAACATGGGGGCGTGGTTTGAGGCGCAGGTGGTCAGGGTGACGCGGAAGGCCCCCTCCCGGGACGAGCCCTGCAGCTCCACGTCCAGGCCGGCGCTGGAGGAGGACGTCATTTACCACGTGAAATACGACGAGTGAGTCATGGCAGGTGGGCGGGCCTGGGTATTCAGGCTCTGTGACGCGCATCCTTGGCTGCGGGTGTTCAGGCCAGAGCTTGGCACTGTCTCGAGATGGTGATCAGGATCTGGGGCCCCATCCTCGAATTCCTAACAGCATACGAGGCTGCCCACTTGGGGACTAGCCTGGGGACCCGAAGCCGGCTGCCCCCTCCTGTGTCTCCGCGGAGGGTTCTGCTCGATCAGTGGCTGAAACTGCCACCCCATCAGTTTTTCTGTTTTATTCCATCTTCCGGGTTTGTCATCTCTCCCTCATCCCCACCCCTAACGTCAGTCTCCAGTCTTTGCACAAGTGTTTACTGGGCACTTCCTACCTGCCAAGTTCGGGGTCCACACACCAGTGGACACAGATGGTGGCTGCGTCTGTCCGTGCTGCCATCGTGAGATTTCACAGACGGTGTGGCTTAAACACGGACATTGGTTGACTTGCTCACTGCAACCTCTGCCTCCTGGATTCAAGCGATTCTCCTGCCTCAGCCTCCTGAGTAGCTGGGACTACAGGTGCCCGCCACCACACCCAGCTAATGTTTGTATTTTTATTTTATTTTATTTTTATTTTATTTTTTCGAGACAGAGTCTTACTCTGTCACTCAGGCTAGAGTGCAATGGCGTGGTCTCAGCTCACTGCAACCTCCGCCTCCCAGGTTCAAGCGATTCTCCTGCCTCAGCCTCCCAAGTAGCTGGGATTACAGGTGTGTGGCCACCACGCCTGGCTAATTTTTGTATTTTCAGAAGAGATGGGGTTTCACTATGTAGGTGAGGCTGGTCTCAAACTTCTGACCTCGTGTTCCGCCCGCCTCAGCCTCCCAGAGTGTTGGGATTACAGGTGTGAGCCACTGTGCCCAGCTTATTTTATTTTTTTGAGACAGTTTCACTCTGTCCCCCAGGCTGGAGTGCAATGGTGTGATCTTGGCTCATTGCACCCTCCATCTCCCGGGTTCAAACGATTCTCCTGCCTCAGCCTCCCAAGTGGCTGGGACTACAGGCGTGCACCACTGCGCCCAGCTAATTTTTGTTTTTGTTTTGTTTTTGAGACAGAGTTTCACTCTTGTTGCCCAGGCTGGCGTCAATGGCGCGATCTCGGCTCACCGCAACCTCTGCCTCCCGGGTTCAAGCAATTCTGCCTCAGCCTCCCGAGTAGCTGGGATTACAGGCATGCGCCACCACGCCTGGCTAATTTTGTATTTTTAGTAGAGATGGGGTTTCTCCATGTTGGCTGGTCTCCAACTTCCGACCTCAGATGATCTGCCTGCCTCAGCCTCCCAAAGTGCTGGGATTACAGGCATGAGCCACCGTGCCCGGCCATGCCTGGCTAATTTTTGTATTTTTAGTAGAGGCAGGGTTTCACCGTGTTGGTCAGGCTGGTCTTGAACTCCTGACCTCAGGTGATCTTCCCGCTTCGGCCTCCCAAAGTGCTGGGATTACAGGCGTGGGCCACCTTGCCCGGCCTCTCCTCTTGTTCTAAAGACACCAGTCCTGTTGGATTGGGGCCCACCCTACTGCAGTGTGATCTCATCTTAATATGATTTCATCTGCAAAGGTTCTATCTACAAAGACCCTGTTTCCAAAAACAATCCTATTCGTGGGTACTGGGGATCAGCCTTTGAACATCTCTTTTTGCAGGGGACACGGGCAACCCATAACAATTTTGTACCTGGAATGTGCCTTAATATACCTGTGTGTTCTCAACACCAGCATATAAGCCTGTTGGGAGGGGCCTCTGCACACTGTCGGGAGGGGCCGTCCCACCTCGGCTCGTTTCCCATTGAGGGAAGGAGGCTTGGTCTTAGCACGGGGTCTAAGGCCCGGGCTTTCCTCCCAGCTACCCGGAGAACGGCGTGGTCCAGATGAACTCCAGGGACGTCCGAGCGCGCGCCCGCACCATCATCAAGTGGCAGGACCTGGAGGTGGGCCAGGTGGTCATGCTCAACTACAACCCCGACAACCCCAAGGAGCGGGGCTTCTGGTACGACGCGGAGATCTCCAGGAAGCGCGAGACCAGGACGGCGCGGGAACTCTACGCCAACGTGGTGCTGGGGTGAGCCTCGCGTCCTGGGGCGAGCCCTTCCTCTCTCCTTTCCTCCCCTCCCGGGGCCCCCGGACTGGCTTTGAAGCCGTCCAGCCAGCGCTGTGTGTGCGAGGCCCTTAGCCTCCGGCCTGGCCTTCCTGCCTCCCCTCTGGGGTCTGTTCCTGCTCACTGCTGAGCATCTTTCTAAGACCGACCACCTTGTGCCCCTGAGTGCCTCTGCCCAGGGAACTGTCTCTGACCCCCAGGCCCTGACAGGCAGAGTTGTCAAACTTCCTTTTTCTCATGGTGTTTTTTTTATCGCTCTGTTGCCCAGGCTGGAGTGCAGTGGTTCGATCTCGGTTCACTGCAAGCTCTGCCTCCTGGGTTCATGCCATTCTCCTGCCTCAGCCTCCCGAGTAGCTGGGACTACAGGCGTCTACCACCACACCTGGCTAATTTTTTTGTATTTTTAGTAGAGACGGGGTTTCACCGTTAACCAGGATGGTCTCGATCTCCTGACCTCGTGATCTGCCTGCCTCGGCCTCCCAAAGTGCTGGGATTGCAGGCAGTGAGCCACCGTGCCTGGCCTCAAGCTTTCTTTTTCTCTCTTGTTTGTTTCAAATTTGGTGAATAGGTCCCATTCACAGGGTCAAAATAGAAAGCACCCAAGACCACACATGAAGGTTCTCCCTCCTCTGCCTGGTCACCCAGTTCCCCTTTTTGGCGACATCACTGTTACCAACTTTCCAGGGACATTCTGTTCATAAACATACACGCCAAACCACACCGCTTAGGAGTTGGCAAACTGCAGTCCACAGGCCTGCTGTGGTCCGCTGCCGGCTTTGACTAATAGTTTTATTGGGACGTGGTCACACCCATTTTTATCTTATTACCTGTGGTTGCTTTTGTGTTATAAGAGCAGAGTTGTGTAGTTGCAACAGAGACTATGCGGCCTACAAAGCTGAAAATCCTTCCTATTTGGCCATTTGCAGAATCATTTTGCAAAGCCTGTTCTTTCTCCCTTGCCTCTTTGTGTGTGTGTGTGCGTGTGTGTGTGTGTGTGTGTGTGTGATAAAATGTATGTAACAGAAAATTTACCTTTTTTTTTTTTTTAAAAGACAGAGTCTCCCTCTGTCGCCCAGGCTGGGGTATAGTGGCATGATCTTGGCTCACTGCAGCCTCCGCCTTCCAGGTTCAGGTGATTCTCCTGCCTCAGCCTCCCAAGTAGTTGGGATTACAGGCGCCCGCCACCACGTCTGGCTAATTTTTGTATATATATATATATTTAGTAGAGTCTGGGTTTCACCATGTTGGCCAGGCTGGTCTCGAACTCCTGACCTCAAGTGATTCGCCCGCCTCAGCCTCCCACAGTGCTGGGATTACAGGCATGAGCCACTGCGCCCGGCCAAAAATTTACCATTGGAACCATGTTTAAGCGCACAGTTCGGTGGCATTAAACGCATTTACGTTGTTACGCAACCATCTCCAGCACTTTGTCCTCTTCCCAAACTGAAACTCTGACTCCATGAAACACTCACTCCCTAGCCCCTGACACCTCTGCATCCTACTTTCCATCTCTGTGAATCTGACAACTCGGGGGACCTCCTAGGAATGGGATCACACAGGATTTGTCCTTTGCATCTGTTCACTGACGTCACTGAGTGTGATGTCCTTGAGGTGCATCAGGCTGTAGCCTGGTCGGAATTTCCCTCCTTTTTGTGGCCGAGTGATAGTACGTGACGTGTTGTCTATAAACACGAGCATCTTGGCAACGGCGTTCCAAGTACAGGTACAGCAAGCACGCAGAGGTCCTGGGCTGGGACATTTATGGTGCATCTGTGGCCCGGTAGGGAGGTCAGTGAGCTGCGGGTGATGGAGGGGAGTGGCTGGGGCTGTGGGAGCCTCCTCACTGAGTCTGGGCCTTAAGCGCGTGGCTCGGGTGTGGTGTGGAATTGGTCTTTATTCTCTGCTAGGCGCATTTCTGAATCTGAGATTTTCTGAGAAACTATCTGGATTGTTATATGGAATCTGATTTTTAAATGCTGGTGACTAACTTTTTTTTTTTGAGACAGAGTCTTGCTCTGTCACCCAGGCTGGAATGCAGTGGCAGGATCTCTGCTTACTGCAACCTCCACCTCCCGGGTTCAAGGGATCCTCCTGCCTCACCCTCCTGAGTAGCTGGGACTATAGGTGCCCACCACCAGCTAATTTTTGTATTTTTAGTGGAGACAGAGTTTCACCATGCTGCCCAGGCTGGTCTTGAACTCCTGACCTCAGGCGATCCACCCACCTCAGCCCCTCAAAGTGCTGGGATTACAGGCGTGAGCCACCGCACCCAGCCTATCTGGTTTTATAAAGGGCAGTTCCCCTGCACACACTCCCTTGCCTGCCGCTGTGTAAGATGTGCCTGTGCTCGTTCACCTTCCACCATGATTGTGAGGCCTCCCCAGCCATGCGGAACTGTGAGTCCATTAAACCTCTTTCCTTTCTAAATTACCCAGTCTTTATTATTTAGTATGTCTTTATTAGCAACATGAGAACAGACTCATACAACCCCTTCCAAGCTCTTGTGGTGGCTGATATAATCCACTACTTTGCGGTTGAAGGATGGGGGCTTCATTTTTTTTTTTTTAACTTGGTTCTTGGAGGCCGCCTGCAGTTCCCAGGGCCCACCTGCAGTTCCTTGCCCCATGGGCTTCTCTGATGTGGCTACTGATGTCAAGCTAGCAAGGGAGGTCTTCAGCTAGTCGGCTAGTAAGATATAGAGCATCGTGTGATGTGTCATCGTCCCAGGAGTGACAGTCCGTCAGCTCTGCTGTATTTTATGGGTTAGGTTTAAGTGACAGCCCTGTCCATACTTTTATGGGGAGAAACGCCTACAAATGCGTGGTTGCCAGGAGGTGGGGGTTGTGGGGCCACCTTAGGCTCCATCCGCACCAGTTATACACCAGCTGCTGCCCGTTTACCCTGAGACAGATAACCTGCCCAGCCAGCACCCACGGGCTTCCTCCACCTCAGTCCCTCCCCTAGCAGAAGAAAACTGCATTTCTGCACATTGACTGTCACAAGGCAGGGGTGTCACCAGGCAGGGAAACGAAGATACCTGGCCGACCACACCTTGGGGTGTTTGGGTTCTTCGATTCATTCATGCTTGTGTCCCGAGCCCTCTGGGGATGCAGGAGGCACAGCGGGAAAGGGAACAGGTGCTCGGTCCAGGCGGCCTTGGGGCAGACACTGTCCCTTGCCAGCCCCATGGGAGCTTCCAGGGATGCAGTGAGAGGGTCACGCTGAGCCGAGTTGTGCCTCGCAATGAGTTTGTGATGTGTGCCCATCGTTAGCACCTTCGACTTCTATCATCTGCTGAGTCAGGCATCATACAAGATGAGACAGAGAAACGCGATTGCAGTCCCTGTCTTAGGAGGCACCCAGCCTGGTGTGGGAGACAGATCTGCAGATGACAGACCAGGGAGATGCGTGCTCTGAGACAACACGCGAGGATGGGTGGCAGAGATGGCCGAGTGGACTCTGGGATTGGGAGGCTCAGATAGGTGGCTGAGCCCCAGGTCCTGCTCTGGGCAGTGCTAGGAGCTACCAGCCTTTGCCAGGGCTGACTTCTAAATGCAAGCCCTCTACACTGGTGTCTCTGCAGTGTGGGGGGTCAATTCATTCATCATTCATTTTCATTAAATTTTACCTTGCATTGTAGATTCACATGCAGTTATAATGTAGAGATGGCTAGGCGCAGTGGCTCAGGCCTGTTGTCCCAGCACTTTGGGAGGCTGAGGTGGGAGGATCGCTTGAGCCTGGGAGGTTGAGGCTGCAGTGAGCCGTGATCACACCACTGCCCTCCAGCCTAGGCAACAGCAAGAGAGTCTGCAAAAAAAAAAAAAAAGTGAAAAGAAAAAAAAACAGGCTGTGTACCCTTTATTCAGTTTCCCCCAGTGGTAACAACTTATATTAATAAACTATACTGTGTTATCACAACTGGAATATTGACATTGATACAGTCAAAAGTGAGTTTCCTCCTCACAAAATCCTTCTCGTTACCCCTTTTATAGCCAAACCCACCTCCCCATCCCCACCTGGTCCCTGACCCCCGGCAAGCAATAATTTTTTTTTTTGTTGGAGACGGAGTCTCGCTCTCTTTTGTTCTCCATTCATACAATTTTGTAATTTCAAGGATTTTACAATTTCAACTTTGTAATAAGGATTCCCGTTATATAAATGGAATCACACAGTATGTAACCTTTTGGGATTGATTCTTTTTTTCCCGACTCTCCATAATTACAGATTAATTGAAGTTACCGCATATCAGTAGCTCATTCCTTTTCATCCCTGAGTAGTATTCTGTGGTATAGATGGGCCACTTTTTTTTTTTTTTTTTTTTAACGACCCATTGGATATCTGAGCTGCTTCCAGGATTTTTTGCTGTTTAAGATTTGTTTATTTTTTTGAGACACAGTCTTGCTCTGTTTCCCAGGCTGGAGTGCGGTGATGTGATCTTGGCTCACTGCAACCTCCGCCTCCTGGATTCAAACGATTCTCCTGCCTCAGCCTCTGGAGTAGCTGGGATTACAGGTGCGTATGCCAGCACACCCAGCTTATTTTTGTATTTTTAGTAGAGGTGGGGTTTCTCCATGTTGGCCAGGCTGATCTTGAACTCCTGACCTCAGGTGATCCGCCCGCCTTGGCCTCCCAAAGTGTTAGGATTATAGGCGTGAGCCACTTCGCCCGGCCAGTTTAGGATTTATTTGAGTAAGTTAATAAGAAACAGTGGTCTGCAATTCTCTTGTTTTGTATGGTCTTTGTTGGTTGGTCAATACCAGCCTTATAATGTGAGCTGGGAAATGTTTATTCCTTTTTCTGTTTTCTGGAAGAGATTGTGTAAAATTTACGTTAATTCTTCTTTAAAGGTTTGATAGAATTCTTTAACGAGACCATAGGCTGGGTGCAGTGGCCGATGCCTGTAATTTCAGCACTTGGAGAGGCGGAGGTGGGCGGATCACTTGAGGTTAGGAGTTTGAGAACAGCCTGGTCAACATGGTGTGAAATCCCCGTCTCTACTAAAAATACAAAAATTAGCTGGGCTTGGTGGTGTGCACCTGCAGCCCCAGCTACTTGGGAGGCTGAGGCAGGAGAATCGTTTGAACCTGGGAGGTGGAGGTTGCAGTGAGCTATGATCATGCCATTGCACTCCAGCCTGGATGACAGAGCAAGATTCCGTCTCGGTGGGGTGGGGGAGGAAGGGAAGCTTTACTGAGGCCATGGAGATCTGGAGATGTCTTCTGGAGGAGCTTTTATGAATTGAATTTCTTCTATGCTTATGTGACTGTCTGGACTATCTGTTTCATCATGTTTGAGCTGACATACTTTCTGGGTTTTGGGGAATTAGCCGGTTTCTCTGAGCATAAAGTCATTTGTATTATTTCCTTATTCTCTGATGCCTGAAGGATCTAGTGAGATCCCTGTTTTATTCTTGGTGTTGGTAATTTATGTTTTCTTTTTATTTTTGTCAGTCTTTACCAATTTTATTTTTGAGGATCTTAGACCTTTCCCTCCCTTCTCATTTATTTGTACAGCAAGAATAAGACAGTTTTTTTTTGTTTGTTTGTTTGTTTTGAGACAAGGTCTCACTCTGTCACCCATGCTGGAGTGCAGTGGCGTGATCTCAGCTCACTGCAACCCCCAGATCCTGGCTTCAAGCGATCCTGACCTCAGGTGATCCACTCGTCTCGGCCTCTCAAAGTGCTGGGACTACAGGCATGAGCCACTGCACCTGGCATAAGAGTTTTGTTTTGGTCAGGTTTTTTTTTTTTTTTTTTTTTTTTTTTTTTTGAGATAAGGTCTTGCTCTGTTGCCCAGGCTGGAGTGCAATGGCAAGCTCTCAGTTCACTGTAGCCCCAACCTCCTGGGCTCAAGCAATCCTCCAACCTCAGCCTCCCACGTAGCTGGGACCATAGGCGTGCACCACCATGCCTGACTAATTTTTTTTTTTGTTTTTTGATGAGACAAAGTCTCGCTCTGTCACCCATGGTGGAGTGCAGTGGCACGATCTTGGTTCCCTGCAACCTCCACCTCCCGGGTTCAAGCGATTCTCCTGCTTTAGCCTCCCGAGTAGCTGGGATTACAGGCGTGCTCCACTGCACCTGGCTCATTTTTTTTTGTATTTTCAGTAGAGACAGGGTTTCACCATGTTGGCCAGGCTGGTCTTGAACTCCTGACCTTAGATAATCCACCCGCCTCAGCCTCCCAAAGTGCTAGGATTACAGGCATGAGCCACTGCACCCGGCCATTTTTTTTTTTTTTTTTTTTTTAATTTTCGGTAGCAATGGGGGTCTGGCTAGATTGGTCTCGAACTTTTGAGTTCAAGTGATACTCCTGCCTCAGCCTCCCAAAAGGTGCTGGGATTATAGGTATGAGCCACTATACCCAGTCTTAGAATATGTTTTTCTTTCTTTTTTTTTGAGACGGAGTCTTGCTGTTTGCTGTCTCACCTAGGCTAGAGTGCAGTGGTGCAATCATAGCTCACTGCAGCCTTGAACTCCTGGGCTGAAGCAATTCTCCTGCCTTAGCCTCCTTTTCCTTAACACTTAATTTGTTGAGGAATCCTGGTCATTTGTCCCAGGAGTTCCAAATGGCTCTATCCAGACTGTAGAGATGACCAGGAGATGTCACTTGCTGTGTGCGTCTGTGCTACCTGTGAGCTGGTAGGTCAGTGTGTTCCCACACTGTCCCATAGCCAAGAGCCACCTGTGCTGTGCTTGAAATGTGGCCAGGAGGAACTGGAATGTACTGTGAGTGTAAAATACACATGGGTGCCAGGCGCAGTGGCTCATGCCTGTAATCCCAGTACTTTGGGGGGCCGAGGTGGGCGGATCACAAGGTCAGGAGATCGAGACCATCCTGGCAAACACGGTGAAACCCCGTCTCTACTAAAAATACAAAAAATTAGCCAGGCGTGGTGGCGGGTGCCTATAGTGCCAGCTACTCAGGAGGCTGAGGCAGGAGAGTGGCGTGAACCCGGGAGGTGGAGCTTGCAGTGAGCCGAGATCGTGCCACTGCACTCCAGCCTGGGCGACAGAGCGAGACTGTCTCAAAAAAAAAAAAAAAAACACATGGGCTTTCAGAGACCTGGTACAAAAGAAGAATGTAAAGTAGCTCATTAATAACTTTTTCATATTCATTCCATGTTGAAATAATCTTTTGTCTACACTGGGTTCTATGGAACATATTCCAATTACTTCCACCTATGTTTACCTCTCAAACGTGCTTATTAGGAAATTTAGAATTACATACACAGCGTGTGTTCAAGTGCTGTTTCCCTCGGACGTTGCTGATGGGGATGTCGGATTATTGATCTCGGGGGATCAGTTTCACTCACAGGAGTTCTTGTATTTTGATGTAGGCCATTGGATCAAGCGTTGCCTTTATGATTTTTTTTTTTTTTTTTTTTTTTTGAGATGGAGTCTTGCTCTGTCGCCCATGCTGGAGTGCAGTGGCGTGATCATCTCAGCTCCACAACCTCCATTTCCCAGGTTCAAGCGATTCTCCTGCCTCAGCCTCCCGAGTAGCTGGGATTACAGGCACGGGCCACCATGCCCAGCTAATTCTTGTATTCTTAGTAGAGACGGGGTTTCACTATGTTGGCCATGCTAGTCTCGAAGTCCTGACCCTCGTGATCCACCCACCTTGGCCTCCCAAAGTGCTGGAATTACAGATGTGAGCCACGGTGCCCAACTTGATTTATTTATATATTTTTTTGATGAGATGGAGTCTCACTCTGTCGCCCAGGCTGGAGTGCAGTGGCACGATCTTGGCTCACTTCAGCGTCTGCCTCCTGGGTTCAAGCAATTCTCCTGCCTCAGCCTCCTGGGTAGCTGGGATTACAGGTGCGCGCTACCATGCCCAGCTAATTTTTGCATTTTTAGTAGAGACAGGGTTTTACCATGTTGGCCAGGCTGGTCTCGAACTCCTGACCTCAGATGATCGGCCTGCCTCGGTCTCCCAAAGTGTTGGAATTACAGGTCTGAGCTACCATGCCCGGCCAACCTTTATGAGTCTTGCTTGTCGGTTCTTGTGGATTTGGTGCTCCTTAGCCAAAGGTTCAAACTCATTCTTCCCAGGGCATCCTGCAATGAAACTCTGGTTTCTGTGTTTTGTTTTTTTTTTTTTTTTTTTTTTTGAGACTGAGTCTTGCCCTGTCGCCCAGGCTGGAGTGCAGTGGCGCGATCTTGGCTCACTGCAACCTCTGCCTCCCGGGTTCAAGTGATTCTTCTGCCTCAGCCTCCCGAGTAGCTGGGATTACATGCGCGCTTCTCCAAGCTCAGCTAATTTTTGTATTTTCAGTGGAGGCGGGGGTTCACCATGTTGGCCAGGCTGGTCTCGAACTCCTGACCTCGGCCTCCCAGTGTTGGTATTACAGGCGTGAGCCACTGCGCCCTGTTCCGTTTCATGTTGCTTCTGTGAGTGCAGCTTTGATTGCTAGGGGGCGTAGCTGAGCTGTTGCCCCAGGCATCCCGAGAACCCGTGGTGTTCAAGTGCTGTGAGTAGATTTAGGGGCCTCGGCAGGCCAGAATGTTCCAGCGTCCTCGTTCCTTGCAGGGATGATTCTCTGAACGACTGTCGGATCATCTTCGTGGACGAAGTCTTCAAGATTGAGCGGCCGGGTGAAGGGAGCCCCATGGTTGACAACCCCATGAGACGTGAGTTCTGAGCCAGCCTTTCCCCATCTTCCGCGGTGGGCACGGGGCGGGGGCTCTTGTCCCGTCTCTGGCTTGGCCGGGCCCCGCCGGAGCTGACCCTGCCGCCCCGTGCCCAGGGAAGAGCGGGCCGTCCTGCAAGCACTGCAAGGACGACGTGAACAGACTCTGCCGGGTCTGCGCCTGCCACCTGTGCGGGGGCCGGCAGGACCCCGACAAGCAGCTCATGTGCGATGAGTGCGACATGGCCTTCCACATCTACTGCCTGGACCCGCCCCTCAGCAGTGTTCCCAGCGAGGACGAGTGGTGAGTGCGGCCCTGCCCGCCGCGGGGAGACCAGAGCGCCCCCTACAAATCCCCAGAGGGGCACTGAGGAGATACAGGAGAGGGGCAGGCGCGGGGGCTCACGCCTGCAATCCCAGTGCTTTGGGAGGCCGAGGCGGGAGGATCACTTGAGCTCAGGAGTTCAAGAGCAGCCTGGGCAACACAAGACCAGCCTGGGGGACGTAGAGACTCTGTTTCTTTTTTTGTTTGTTTTTTTGAGACGGAGTCTTTTTTCTTTTCTTTTTCTTTTCTTTTTTTTTTGCGGCGGAGTCTCGCTGTCTCCCAGGCTGGAGTGCAGTGGCGCGATCTCAGCTCACTGCAAGCTCCGCCTCTCGGGTTCACGCCATTCTCCTGCCTCAGCCTCCCGAGTAGCTGGGACTACAGGCGCCCGCCTCCACGCCTGGCTAATTTTTTGTATTTTTAGTAGAGATGGGGTTTCACCTTGTTAGCCAGGATGTTCTTGATCCCCTGACCTCGTGATCCGTCCGTTTCGGCCTCCCAAAGTGCTGGGATTATAGGCGTGAGCCACCTCGCCCAGCCTTGAGACGGAGTCTAATGGCACGATCTTGGCTCACTGCAACCTCTGCCTCCCGGGTTCAAGCAATTCTCGTGCCTCAGCCTCCCGAGTAGCTGGGATTACAGGTGCCTGCCACCACATCCGGCTAATTTTTGTATTTTTAGTAGAGACGGGGTTTCACCATCTTGGCCAGGCTGGTCTCTTAACTCCTGACCTTAAGTGATCTGCCTGCCTCAGCCTTCCAAAGTGCTGGGATTACAGGTGTGAGCCACCATGCCTGGCCTGGAGACCCCATTTCTACAAAAAATGTAAGAAAATTAGCTGGGCGTGGTGGTGCTCGCCTGTGGTCCCAGCCACTTGGGAGGCCGAGGTAAGAGGATCGGATCGCTGGAGCCCAGGAGGTCGAGGGTGCAGTGAACTGTGATCGCGCCACTGTACTCCAGCCTGGGTGATGGAAGTGAGACCCTATTTCTTTAGAAAAGTAAAAATGAGGTCAGGTGCAGTGGCTCATGCCTGTAATCCCAGGACTTTGGGAGGCTAAGGTGGGTGGATCACGAGGTCAGGAAATTGAGGCCAGCCTGGCCAAGATGGTGAAACCCCGTCTCTACTAAAAATACAAAAAAGTTAGCCAGGCGTGGTGCCACGCGCCTGTAATCCCAGCTACTCGGGAGGCTGAGGTAGGAGAATCGCTTGAACCTGGGAGGCGGAGGTTGCCGTGAACTGAGATCGCGCCACTGCACTCAAGCCTGGCGACAGAGTGAGACTAAGTCTCAAAAACAAAAAAAAAGGGGGGGTGGTGAGGAAATCTTCCCATGTTGCTTGAGTGGGTGAGACCTGCGGCCAGCCAGGGAACAGAGTGCAGGGGGCTTCACAGCTTCTGTGAGAGGAGGTTTCGTAGCCACTGTGTTCCTGGCGCACATAATGACAATTGCGGATGTGGATGGGGAGGTTGTGATGTGCTAGGCTCGGGTCTGAGGACCTGCCTGTGGTCATTCCTCCAGCACAGAAGTGGGTGTTGTTGTTGCCCTGCCCCCCCTCCCCACATCGTAGAGATGGGGAAACTGAGTCCACGGCAGTGAGAAGGCACTCATGGAATCTGCACGTGTATTTCCCACATCCCACATTGCGTTCACTCTCACTGTTGCAAGATCCGTGGAATTCTCCGTGGAAGGCCAACAGAGAACCTGCTTTCTTTTTTTTTTGAGATAGAGTCTTGCTCTGTCCTCCAGGCTGGAGTGCAGTGGTGCAACCTCGGCTCACTGCAACCTCTGCCTCCTGGTTTCAAGCGATTCTCCTGCCTCAGCCTCCCAAGTAGCTGGGATTACAGGTGCCCACCACCATGCCCGGCTAATTTTTGTATTTTTAGTAGAGATGGGGTTTCACCGTGTTGGCCAGGCTGGTCTTGAACTCCTGACCTCAGGTGATCTGCCCGCCTCGGCCTCCCAAAGTGCTGGGATTACAGGCGTGAGCCACTGTGCCTGGCTTAGTTCGAATGAATTTAAATGTAAACAGCCTCGTGTGCCAAGCGGCCTGCAATGTGGACAGGGCAGGATGGTAGTGGTGCCAGGCGGGGAGAGCCATGTCCGTGGTGTGTGGGCAGAGGGCACATGTTGGCTGAGACATCTGCCAGGCTAGGCGTGGGCAGTGACAATCCCGACCTCGCAGGTACTGCCCTGAGTGCCGGAATGATGCCAGCGAGGTGGTACTGGCGGGAGAGCGGCTGAGAGAGAGCAAGAAGAAGGCGAAGATGGCCTCGGCCACATCGTCCTCACAGCGGGACTGGGGCAAGGTGAGGCGGGTCCTTCCCACGTGCCCGTGGCCCCTCCCCGCCTGCCAGGGCTCACGCTGTTGTTCTTTGTGTCTGTGCCTGGGACAGGGCATGGCCTGTGTGGGCCGCACCAAGGAATGTACCATCGTCCCGTCCAACCACTACGGACCCATCCCGGGGATCCCCGTGGGCACCATGTGGCGGTTCCGAGTCCAGGTACCTGCAGCGTCCCGGGGCTCCAGGGGCCACGCGGGCTCATCCTGCTTTTCTGGGGGCAGTTTCTCCTGGCTTTGGCCAGCCAGGGGTCAGGGTGGTTACCAGTGGTGCCTCGGCTAGCCGAGGAGGGGTGTGGAAAGCCTGCAGGTTTGGGTTTACTCCTTATTTTACCAGGGACCTGCAATGAATCCTTGGGGGTGGGGGCTGCTGCTCTGCTCAGAGACACGTAAGGTCATTCCCAAAGCTCCTGTCCCAGGGAAGGGGTGGCATCTGCTAAGAGGGACCTGTCTCAGCGCTGGTTGTGATCTATCATTGGGGCAGCCCCTGCCTGTGACTGGGTGTTGACAGTGCTGGGCGCTGTCAGCTGTGGGCTGTGTGTCACGGCAGACGAGACACTTTGGCACTAGTGACATTGGAGCCAGATGGTTCTCTGGGGCGGGGCCATCCTGGGCACTGCAGGGTGCTGAGCAGCATCTCTGGCCCCCACCCACTCCATGTCCTCCCAAGTCATGACAACCAGAAACGTCTGCAGACATGAGTGTCCCCTTGGAGGCAGGATTGCCCCTGGGTGAGATGCACTGAGCTGGGTGGACAAGCTGGGCCTCATCATGGAGTTCATGGGGCCAGGCGTGCAGGGCTAGGAGCTCCTGGGGCAGCGCTGTATCCCTAGTGCTCAGCGGCCAGCCGGGGCCCCATGCTCAGGCCAGGGCCTCTCAAGGCATTTTGTGGAGTGAGTGGCAGGCTGCACCTCAACCGGCCTAATGAAGGCCGGCTTTTATATCATAACCTCATTTAGAACTCAGTCACCCCCACTTTTATTTTTTTTGAGACGGAGTCTTGCTCTGTTGCCCAGGCTGGAGTGCAGTGGTGCGGTCTTGGCTCACTGCAACCTCCCTCTCCTGGGTTCAAGCGATTCTCCTGCCTCAGCCTCCCCAATAGCTGGGATCACAGGGACATGCCACCACGCCCAGCTAATTTTTGTATTTTTGGTAGAGATGGGGTTTCACCTTGTTGGCCAGGCTGGTCTTGAACTCCTGACCTCAAGTGATCCACCCACCTCGGCCCCCGAAAGTGCTGGGATTACAGGTGTGAGCCACCGTGCCTGGCCGTCACCCCCCATTTTCTAGAGGCCGAAGAGGAGCATCGGAGATCAGCAGTGAGGATGCCCCGTGCACGCTTGATGGGGCTGGAATTCACGCCAGCTGGTTTTTTTTTTTTTTTTTCCATGGTGCAGCTCAACTCCGGCCGTCTCTAGCCGAGCAGCACACGTAGTAGGTGACTCGCAGGCCTGAGGAGTTTGGTGTAAAAGTGAGGCCGCTGGCTGCTCGGGGTAGGGAGGAGGAGGGCGGTGGAGCTTCTCTGCAGCAGTCATTGCAGAGGACACCATGTATATCTTGGTGGCATCCTCAGGTCAGCGAGTCGGGTGTCCATCGGCCCCACGTGGCTGGCATACACGGCCGGAGCAACGACGGAGCGTACTCCCTAGTCCTGGCGGGGGGCTATGAGGATGATGTGGTGAGTGTGTGTGTGGGAGGGGTGGGGGAGGGTTGCTCTAGTTTTTTGGATGGTGGTAAAATACATAGAACAAAATTTCCCATCCTAGCCGTTTTTAAATGCTTGGTTCCCGGTGGCGTGAAGTATATTCCCATTGCTATGCAACCATCACCACCACCATCTCCAGAACTTTCTCATCTTCCCAAACTGAAACGTTGTCTCCACGAAGCACTCACTCCCCACCCCCTCCCAGTCCCTGGCACCGCCCAACCTGGTTCCTGCCTCTGTGACTCTGACGACTCTGGAGACCTCCTGGGAGTGGAATCGCACGGCCTGCGTCCTTGCATGCCTGGCTCCTCTCACTGAGCCCGACGTCCTTGCTTTGTCCATGTTGTCGCATGTGTCCGGATTCCCCTTTTGTTCACGGCTGAGTCCTATTCTGCCGTGCGGAGGGACCATGCTGTGTTGATCTGTCTGTCCGTGGGCACTGGGGTTCCTTCCCCTTTCGACTGCTGTGAATAGATCTGCTACGAACACGGCTGTACAAGTATCTCCAGCCCCCGTTTTCCATTCTTTTGGGTGTATATCCAGAAGTGGAATTCAAGACTCCTGTGATAATTCCATGTTGAGTGTTGTTTTTTTTTTTTCTTTTTTTTGAGACCGAGTCTCATTCTGGCTGGAGTGCAGTGGTGTGATCACAGCTCACTACAGCCACTACCTCCTGGGCTCTAGTGATCCTCCCATGTCAGCCTCCCAAGAAGCTGGGACTACAGGCAGGCACTGCCACGCCAAACTAATTTTTGTATTTTTTTGTGGTGATGGGGTTTCGCCATGTTGCCCAGGCTGATCTCGAACTCCTGGGCTTAAGCGATCCTCCCGCTGCAGCCTCCCAAAGTGCTGGGATTACGGGTGTGAGCCACCATGCCCAGCCCTCTGTTTAAGTTTCTTGAGGACGCACCACACTGTTTGTATAGTCGCTTTGCCATTCTGTAGTCCCACCAACAGTTTACAAAGGGCTCCAATTTCCCCACATTCTCACCAACGCTTGTTATTTTCTGTTTCTTTGAAAGTAGCCATCCTGGGGAGTTTGCTTTCAATGCAGTCTCTTTTTTTTTTTTTGCCTCTGCAGAGGGTTCACCCAGCCTTCTTGTCTGTTTCAGGACCATGGGAATTTTTTCACATACACGGGTAGTGGTGGTCGAGATCTTTCCGGCAACAAGAGGACCGCGGAACAGTCTTGTGATCAGAAACTCACCAACACCAACAGGTTTGTGGAATCAGCCTTCTTATTTCCTTGCTGATGCATATCTGCCGAGTCTTGGTTCTGTTTTGGGCCTCATGTCCAGCAAGTGATAGTCTCATTAGGAGCGTGGTAGAACATAGCGAAGCCTGGCATTTGGTTCCTCCCTCTGTCTCCCAAAGTGCTGGGATTACAGGCGTGAGCCACTGCGCCTGGTCTGGTTCCTCCCGTATGTGTGCCACATACCGTGAGCCATTCAGATGGATGAAAGCAAACTTCCCTATAAAAGGCCAGATAATAGATATCTTTTTTTTTTTTTTTTTTTTTTTTTTTTTGGGCAGAGTCTCGCTCTGTTGCCCAGGCTAGAGTGCAGTGGTGCACTCTCTGCTCACTGCAACCTCTGCCTCCTGGGCTCAAGCGATTCTCATGCCTCAGCCTCCTGAGTAGCTGGGATTACAGGTGCTTGCCACCTCGCCTGGCTAATTTTTGTATTTTTAGTAGAGATGGGGTTTTGCCATGTTGGCCAGGCTGGTCTCGAACTCCTGACCTCAGGTGATCTTCCCTCCTCGGCCTCCCAATATTGGTATTACAGGCATGAGCCACTGCGCCTGGCTGATAGTAGGTATCTTAATGCTGGGCCTGGTGGCTCACGCCTGTAATTCTCGCGCTTCAGGAGGCCGAGGCTCGAGGATACCTTGAGTTCAGGAGTTCAAGACCAGCCTGGGCAAGGTAGTGAGACAACCCATCTACAAAAAGTAAAAATAAAAAAATTAGCTGGGTGTGTTAGCATGTGCCTATAGTCACAGCTAGTCAGGAGGCTGAGGCAGGAGGATCACTTGAGCCCAGGAGGTTGAGGCCGCAGTGGGCTGAGATTGCACCACTGCACTCCAGCTTGAGCAACAGACTGAGATCTTGTCAAAAAAAAAAAAAAAAAAACCCCTCCAAAATAGATTGCTTCAGCTATGCAGGTCACACAGTCTATTCAGAGAACCTCTTCAGCTCTTGTGTCGTAGCACAAAATCAGCCATAGACCATATGTAAGTGAGTGAGCATGGCTGTGTTTCAGTGAATTTTATTTGCAAAAGTATGTGATAGGCCAGAATTTGCTTGGCCCCTGATTACAGGATGGGGGCGGACTTTTCCAGCATAAAAACCATCATAAAGCCCAAAGGAAAAGACAGATTTGATTATCTAAACATTATAAATATATTACATAAATAAATCCTATAAATTAAAAGGCAGATGACTAGGAGGAGTTCTTGACATGACACATGATGATAGTGTCTTTATCATATAAAGAGCTGTTGCAAATCAACAAGAAACTCATAGAAGAGCTGGGTGCGGTGGCTCACGCCTGTAATCCCAGCACTTTGAGAGGCCGAGGTAGGTGGTGGATCACCTGAGGTCAGGAGTTCAAGACTAGCCTGGCCAACATGGTGAAACCCTGTCTCTACTAAAAATACAAAAATTAGCTGGGTGTGGTGGCAGGCACCTGTAATCCCAGCTACTTGGGAGGCTGAGGCAGAATTGCTTGAACCCAGGAGGCGGAGGATGCAGTGAGCCGAAATCATGCCATTGCACTCTTGCACTCTAGCCTGGGTAACAGGAGTGAGACTCTATCTCAAGAAAGAAAGAAACTCGTAGAAGAAAGCAAAGAGGCCAGGCGTGGTGGCTCACGCCTGTAATCCCAGCACTTTGGGAGGCTGAGGTGGGCGGATCACGATGTCAGGAGATCGAAACCATCCTGGCTAACATGGTGAAACCCCATCTCTACTAAGAATACAAAAAAAAAAAAAAAAAAAAAGCCTGGTATGGTGACAAGTGCCTATAGTCCCAGCTACTCGGGAGGCTGAGGCAGGAGAATGTCATGAACCTGGGAGGCGGAGCTTGCAGTGAGCCAAGATTGCTCCACTGCACTCCAGCCTGGGTGACAGAGCAAAAAAAAAAAAAGAGAATATGGAAATAATGCACAAAAGAAGTGCAAAGTTGTAATCAAATACAAACTGAGGCTGTGGTGAGATACTATTTGTTTCCCCTATAAAGTTGGCCAAAAATTCTAAAATGTTGACATAGGTCAGGGGTAAAATAGCATTCCACTGTTGGTAGAAATACAAATTGGAACCATCTTTCTGGAAATCTCTTCTGCCTGTTTGTATGAAGAGCTTTATAAATGATCTATTCTTGTCACTCTAACTCCGCTTTGAAAAATGTCTTTAGGAGACCTCTGGCTAGGTAAAAATGTAAGATGTAATGTTTTTCATACCATTATCTAAAACAATTGGCACATAGACACACACACACACACACACACACACACACACTCTCACAAAGTCAGTAACTAAGTACCTAAAAAAGACATGGGCCATGGGTGGTGTGTCACATGCCTGTCGTTCCAGTACTTTGGGAGGCTGAGGTGGGAGGATTGCTTGAGGCTAGGAGTTTGAGACCTACTTGTGCAACATAAAATTATGAAAAATTAAAATTACAAAAAAGAATTTCAAAAAAGTTAGCTGGTTATGGTCGTGTGGGCCTATAGTCCCAGCTTGGGAGCCGGAGGTGGGAGGATGGCTTGAGCCCAGGAGGCTGCAGTGAGTAAGGCGTGATCATGCCATTGCATTCCAGCCTGGGTGACAGAGTGAGACACCCTTTCTCTTTTTGTTTGTTTTTTTTTTATATGTGTGTGTGCTTTGTTTTGTTTTTTTTGAGGCAGGGTCTCCCTCTCTTGTCCAGGGTGGAGTGCAGCAGTGTGATCGTAGCTCATTGTAGCCTCCACCTCCTTGGGCTCCACTGATCCTCCCACCTCAGCCTCCAGAGTAGCTGGGACTATAGGTGCATGTTACCACGCCTGGCTATTTTTTTTTTTTTTTGTGGAGATGGGGTTTTGCCACGTTGGCCAGGCTGGTCTTGAACTCCTGGGCTCAGGCAATCCTCCTGCCTTGGCCTCCCAGAGTACTGGGATTAGAGGCGTGAGCCACGGCACCTAGCAACCCTGTCTCAAATAAATAGTAGGCTGGGTGTGGCCTATTTTATAAATTATACATATATAACTTTGAAATATTAAATTTTTTTTTTTTTTTGAGACAGAACCTCACTCTGTCACCCAGGCTGGAGTGCAGTGGCATAATCTCGGCTCACTGCAACCTCTGCCTCCCAGACTCAAGCGATTCTCCTGCCTCAGCCTCCTGAGTAGCTGGAATTACAGGCACGCGCCACCACGCCCGGCTAACTTTTGCATTTTTAGCAGAGACGGGGTTTCACCATGTTGGCCAGGCTGGTCTCGAACTCCTGACTTCAGGCGATCTGCCTACTTCAGCCTCCCAAAGTGCTGGGATTACAGGCCTGAGCCACCACTCCCGGCTCCTGTGTTTCCTTTTTTGGGGGGTACATCCTCACCTATAATGCGTGGGGTCCTGACTCTCCCTGCAGGGCGCTGGCTCTCAACTGCTTTGCTCCCATCAATGACCAAGAAGGGGCCGAGGCCAAGGACTGGCGGTCGGGGAAGCCGGTCAGGGTGGTGCGCAATGTCAAGGGTGGCAAGAATAGCAAGTACGCCCCCGCTGAGGGCAACCGCTACGATGGCATCTACAAGGTGAGTGCCCCTTGAGGAGGCCGGGGGCTCTGTCCCCGCCGGGGCTGCCTCTGATGGAGCTGACGCTGATGCCCGCTCTCTGCAGGTTGTGAAATACTGGCCCGAGAAGGGGAAGTCCGGGTTTCTCGTGTGGCGCTACCTTCTGCGGAGGGACGATGATGAGCCTGGCCCTTGGACGAAGGAGGGGAAGGACCGGATCAAGAAGCTGGGGCTGACCATGCAGGTGTGTCTGGGATGGGGGATGGCACTTTGGGAGGCCAAGGCGGATGGATCACTTACGTTAGGAGTTCAAGACCAGCCTGGCCAACATGGTGAAACCTCATCTCTACTAAAAATACAAAAATTAGCTGGGTATGGTGGCGGGTGCCTGTAATCCCAGCTACTGAGGTGGCTGAGGCAGGAGAATTGCTTGAACCCAGAAGGTGGAGGTTATAATGAGCTGAGATTGCGCCACTGCACTGCAGCCTGGGTGACAGAATGAGAGTCCATCTCAAAACAGGAGCACTGCCGGGCTCCATGACGGCTCTGACACTTCCCGCCTGGGCACCATGTGTCCTGCTTGGAGGCTGTCATCCTTGAAGGTCATTGTGGGTCACAGAATGGGCCCTGCCTGGGCTTGTGGTGCTCATGTTCTGGACCGCGCTGAACACTCCAGGAGGCCTCCCGTCTCGGGCCCATGCTTCCCTGGTTTCTCTCTGATCCAGAATAATTTCCAGGGCCCCAGCTGATGGCACCCCCCTAGCTGTCCCATATAAATCCTCCAGCCAGGGGGTGATGGGAACGCGCAGATGACATTTGCTTCTCCGCCTGCCGCATCTCAGAGTTGAAAACCAGACTTGCTTGTCTTCGTTCTGTTGGTAAAGGGATCGCTGCAGACCAGTCAGGCATCTGGTGTCTTCTGTTTTCACTTCTTGGCTCATCACAAAAAAAAAAAAAAAAAAGCAGAAACAAACCAACCAAATTGGTGGATTCCAGAGAGATCTGGACGGAAAAATGGGGAAGATGAATATCCCCGAGCCATCTCTCACCTCCCTGTGGCGATGGGAACTGCCGAGAACTTACTCAACAAGCGGCGCAGCATTTCAGCACCAGTTAGGATGTGGTCTGTCCATTGCAGGGAGAAGCTTTACAGCAGACGAATCGTGAGACTATTTAAGGAATCTTAATTGCTGTCGAGAGCCTGATGTCCTCTACCCGAGGGGGTCACTCAGGTTGTCTTTTGAATGGATTTGTACGGTGGGGAATTTCAGAAGCTGAGGAAGTAGAGAGAAAAATAGTAATGGGAGAGACAGCCTCAGCTTCTGTTGGGAGTAGGATTTTTTTTGTTTGTTTGTTTTGAGATGGAGTCTTGCTCTGTCGCCCAGGCTGGAGTGCAGTGGTGGGATCTCGGCTCTCTGCAACCTCTGCCTCCCAGGTTCAAGCCATACTCCTGCCTCAGCCTCCTGAGTAGCTGGGATTACAGGTGCCCACCACCACGCCTGGCTCAGTTTTTGTATTTTTAGTAGAGACGGGGTTTCACCATGTTGGTCAGGCTGGTCTTGAACTCCTGACCTCAGGTGATCCACCCGCCTCTGCCTCCCAAAGTGCTGGGATTACAGGCGTAAGCCACCGCTCCCAGCCTTTTTTTTTTTTTTTTTTTGGAGACAGAGTCTCACTCTGTCGCCCAGGCTGGAGTGCAGGCATGATCTCGGCTCATTGCAACCTCCACCTCCCAGGCTCAAGCGACTCTCTCATCTCAGCCTCCTGCATAGCTGGGATCACAGGTGTGTACCACCATGCCCAGCTATTTTTGTATTTCTAGTAGAGACGGGGTTTCGCCATGTTGGCCAGGCTGGTGACCTCAGGTGATCCACCTGCTTCCACCTCCCAAAGTGCTGGGATTACAGGTGTGAGCCGCTGACCCTGGCCAGGATTTTTTTTTTTTTTATGACTCTCATCTCCATTGTAACATAAAGAATGTGAAAGGAGCTCAAAGATTTCCTGAGACACTGGAGAGTCAGACGTGACTTATAGGTACCTTCGAAATGGAGCGATGATGCCCTGTGAGGACAGAGAGGGCCCGAGTCCTCAGAATCACCAGAGTTTGGCCAGCTAAGGCCCTGGGGTCAGGTGTTCGTAAGTGAAGTTTCTGGGGAAACAGTCATGCTCATTCACTGAAGTAGCCTGCTCTCAGCGCTTGCAGTCCAGACCCATAAGGCTTGAAAACATTCACCCTAGGGTCCCTGGAAGCAAAAGTTTGCCTGCCCTCATGGAAATCGTAAAGACAACGAGATCTTATTGGTGGGATGTGATGCTGAACACGTCACCCGCGTTCGCTCACATTAAATGCGCTTACCCCGACCCTGCCAGGTGGAGCTTGGCCGATTATCTCCTCTTAGTCTCCTCTTGTTCGTAGTGAAGCTTTGCGATTAGACAGGATTAGCCATTGGTCGAGGCTCCACAGTTAACGAAGAGCTGAATGCACAGGCGTCCCCCCCTTACCAGGGGGACACTTCGAAGGTCCTCAGCACATGCTTGAAACCAGAGAGTACCAAACCGTTGATGTATAATTTTTTTTCCATACGTTTGGACTGGTGATTAAGTTTAATCTATAAATTAGGCACAGTATGAGATTCACAACCTCTCTTTCGCATCTTAGGCTTCTCTTTAGCATTTCCAAATTGTCAGCATCCCTACTCTTGCACTTTGGGGCCATTATTTTTATTTTTGAGACCAGGTCTCGCTCTGTTGTCCAGGCTGGAGTGTAGTGGTGTGATCATAGCTCACTACAGCCTCAAACTCCTGGGCTCAAGTGATTCTCCTGCCTCAGGCTCCTAAGTAGCTGGGACTACAGATGCACACCACCAGGCTCGGCTAATTTTTTAAATTTTTTTGTAGAGAGGGGATCTTGCTATGTTGCCCAGGCTGGTCTCAAACTCCTGGGCTCAAGCGATCCCCCTGCCTTGGCTTCCCAAAGTGTTGGGCTTATTTAATAAAAATTAGAATGTTTAATATTAATATTTTATATTTAGCCTGTAATCCCAGCATTTTGGATGACTGAGGCAGGTGGATCACTTGAGGTCAGGAGTTCAAGACCAGCCTGGCCAACATGGTGAAGCCCCATCTCTACTAAAAATACAAAAATTAGCTGGGTGTGGTGGCGGGCACCTGTAATCCCAGCTACTCGGGAGGCTGAGGCAGGAGAATCGAGAAGCTGGACAAAGGGAAGGTTCACATCCCTGTGGGACGATGCAATGTTTCATCATGCAGTGTGCGTGATGTGAGGTGGCTGTAAAGGGGGAGGAAGGGGCCCCGAGCCGAGGGATGCAGCGCCTCTAGACGTTGGACACTTAGAACAGTGTGCAGTTTACAACTTAGGAATTGTTTCTAGAATATTTCATGTAACATTTTCAGTTGACTTTGGGTCACTGAAACCTCAGCAAAACTAGATAAGGGAGGACTACCCTGTGCTCTTCAGGGGGATTGGGGGTCAGGTGTGTCTGGAAACCCAGACCTGGCAAGGAGGCTGGAAGAGCGGGCTCTGCATAGCGTGTGGGCCCCAAGCCTGACTCACGGCTGTCCCTCTTCCTCCTGAAGTATCCAGAAGGCTACCTGGAAGCCCTGGCCAACCGAGAGCGAGAGAAGGAGAACAGCAAGAGGGAGGAGGAGGAGCAGCAGGAGGGGGGCTTCGCGTCCCCCAGGACGGGCAAGGGCAAGTGGAAGCGGAAGTCGGCAGGTGAGAATCTCGTGGGTGTGGGGTGAGCGTCTTGTGTGTGGGGGAGCAGGTGGGCATCTCGCGGGTGTGGGGTTGAGGTCGTGTGGACGTGGGAGCCGGTGGCTGTCTCTCCGGCAGCTCGGGCCACGCGCCCCTCCCTCACGCGCCCCACCCTCTTCCAGGAGGTGGCCCGAGCAGGGCCGGGTCCCCGCGCCGGACATCCAAGAAAACCAAGGTGGAGCCCTACAGTCTCACGGCCCAGCAGAGCAGCCTCATCAGAGAGGACAAGAGCAACGCCAAGCTGTGGAATGAGGTCCTGGCGTCACTCAAGGACCGGCCGGCGAGCGGCAGCCCGGTAGGCTCGCACGGCTCACTCGTCGCCCTGATTTGCGTTGACTGCGGTAAAATGTGTGGGGCTTGTTTCCCATGTTCCCCATTTTCAAGTGTACAGCTCAGTCGCACTGAGTACATTCTTGTGGTTGTGCAACCATCACCACCATCACCACCTCCAGAACTTTATCCTCTCCCCAGACTGAAACCCTGGCCCTGAAACTGTCACTCCCACCCCCTCCCAAGCCTTGGCACTCGCTCCCCAGCCCCGGCAACTGCTCCCCAGCCCCTGCACCCGCTCCCCAGCTCCGGCACCCCCTGCCATCCTACCTTCTGTCTCTGTCTCCCGGGGCTGTTGCAAAGTGACCCCAAGCCTAGGAGTGCAAAGCGACTCACATCTCACAGCTCTGGGGCTGGGAGCCCGACATGGGCCTTGCTGGGCTAAAGTCAGGGCAGGGATAGGGCTGGGCCCTCCTGGGGGCTCCAGGGGAGAACCAGATTTCTGCCTTTCCCAAGGTCTAGAGGCACTGTATCCCTCGGCTCGGGGCCCCTTCCTCCCCCTTTACAGCCACAGCGCATCTTCTTCCAGTCTCTGAGTCTCACTCTCCCGCCCTCTCTCGGGAGGACCTCGGGGTGACATCAGGCCCCCCGCCTCACCCAGGATGCTTTCCCAGCTCCAGGTCCTTCACTCAGTCCCACCTGCCATTTCTCCTCTGCTGTGGATGGTGACGTCTCAGGATGGTGCAGGTCTCAGGATTCAGCTGTGGCCGAGGCCATCTCAGTGGTCCCTCTCTTCCCATTTCCTTCAGGCCACATTCTTCCCAGGGCTTTCTCCCCAGCTCCCACCCTACGCTGGGGCAGCCCCTTGCCCCTAGACCTTCACTTGTGTCTCTTTGGTCCCCGCACTTAGCTCCAAGCAGGAGGAGGTGTCTTTCGAGTCATCCGAGGCTGGGCTCCTGGTGGCCCGTGTACTCAGTATGCATTGTGTCAGTGGACACCATGCCTCTAAATTTTTTTGGTGACAGGAGCTCACCCTGTCACCCAGGCTGGAGTGCGGTGGCATGGACAAAGGTCACTGCCTCCTTGAACTCCCAACTCCCAGGCCACGCCTATGTTTTTAATTTATTTTGTTTATTTTTATTATTTTTTTTTGAGATGGAGTTTTGCTCTCGTTGCCCGGGCTGGAGTGTGCAATGGCATGATCTTGGATCACTGCAACCTCCACCTTCCAGGTTCAAGTGAGTCTCCTGTCTCAGCCTCCCAAGTACCTGGGATTACAGGCACCCACCACGCCTGGCTAATCTTGTATTTTTAGTAGGGATGGGATTTCACCGTGTTGGTCAGGCTGGTCTCGAACTCCTGACCTTAGGTGATCTGCTCACCTCAGCCTCCCAAAGTACTGGGATTACAGGCGTGAGCCACCATGCCCGGCCTATTTTTTAATTTTTTGTAGAGATGGGGGTCTCACTGTATTGCCGGGCTGGTCTTGAACACCTGGCTCAAGCGATCCTCTTGTCTTGGCCTTCCAAAGTTCTGGGATGACAGGCGTGAGCTGCCGCTCCCAGCCAGGAACCTCTCCTAAAGCCCTGTCTTGACTCAGTGCAGGGTGTGCTTGGTGGTGCCAGCTGGTCATATCTGGGTCCTGCCCAGCATCATTGAGGCTGGCGCCCTTGTACTGGCTCCGCCTCATCCTCCCCACCTTGCCACTTGGGGTGTTGGGGACTTCAGGTGAGGCTCATGCCTGTTGGGCCTCTGTTTTTCTCAGAACGGGGACGATCATGGCCCCCGCCTCCTGGAGTGAAGGCTGGGGACAGAATTAGAGGACCCAGGTACATGCTCAGCAGGAAGCCACTGATCTGTGGGAGCCCTGGTCCCGGTGTCTTTGCCGGCCTCACACCCGCTTCCCTCTAGTTCCAGTTGTTCCTGAGTAAAGTGGAGGAGACGTTCCAGTGTATCTGCTGTCAGGAGCTGGTGTTCCGGCCCATCACGACCGTGTGCCAGCACAACGTGTGCAAGGTGAGTAGAGATGGCCGCGGGAGCCGGGTGGAAGGTTCTGGAAGGATGACCTGACCTCCCGTTCCCACATGCCTGCCACTACAGACAGAGGCTTGTTGGCTTTGCTCCGCTCACTCTGCAGCTTTTCTCGGGGCCCTGTTGACTGCTTTCTGGGCAGCCTGTATTACCACGGAGGCCTATAACATTCTCCCCCAAGTCCTGTATGGTCAAGGGGCCAGGGTGGGAGAGGATGGGCCACAGTCTTGGCCTAAGGTCTGGAGAGGAGGTGCACATCCCCTAGGGGTCAGGAAAGAAGGCTTCTTGGAGGAGGTGGTGTTACCAGGCAGCATCCCTTGTACCTGGGACAGCAGGTGAAGAAGCCTGGGTGGGAAGTCAGCAGCTGGGGCCTGCAGTGGCTCTGGGCACTGGGGTGGTGGCCTGCCATGGGCTTTAAACTCAGGACAAGTGGTCAGTCGTAGGAGGGACACAAGATCCCAGCTGATGGTTTTTTTTTTTTTTTTTTTTTTTTTTTCTGAGACAGAGTCTCGCTCTGTTGCCCATGCTGGAGTGCAGTGGCGCAGTCTCCACTCACTGCAAGCTCTGCCTCCCGGGTTCACGCCATTCTCCCACCTCAGCCTCCCGAGTAGCTGGGACTACAGGCGCCCGCCACCGTGCCCGGCTAATTTTTTGTATTTTTAGTAGAGATGGGGTTTCACCGTGTTAGCCAGGATGGTTTCGATCTCCTGACCTTGTCATCCACCCGCCTTGGCCTCCCAAAGTGCTGGGATTACAGGTGTAAGCCACCGCGCCCACCCCGCAGCTGATGGTTTTCAAACCGATTGGTTTGGGGCCAGGACAGGGTCTCTTCCCCCCTGTGCTGTGGGCCTTGGGGCTGGATCATTGTCTGGGGTGGGGCCGTCCTGGGCACTGCAGGGTGCTGAGCAGCATCCCCGGCCCCCACCCACTCCATGCCAGGAGCTCCCTGCCTAGTCGAGACAATCACAGACATCCCCAGACACCTTCCAGTGTCCCCTGGGGGCAGAACTGCCCAGGTGGGCAGTGTGGGTCTGGGTGATGGTTTCTCTGCTGCAACCTCTGGCCAGAGCCGGCAGTCCCGGTGGACAGGTGTGGAAGGGACTGACCCTGCCACCCCACGGATCTCCCCAGGCTTCTGAGTTGCTGGCGGTTTTCCTTCCAACTGCAGTCCCGCAGTCCTCTCAGCCATGGGCCACACCCCCGGGTCTCAGACCCCGTGTTTGTTTTCATGCCAGGAGGCAGCTCAGGGAAGGTCAGGAGATGGGGTGTTCCCAGTCATGCCCATGGCATCTCTGCCTCCTCGGGCCCCACCTGCCTCGCCCTGTGGCCTGAGTCCCTTCAGCTGTGTGGGCCTCCCTGAGTGCCCTGAGTGAGGTGGCAGAAGGGGTGAGAGGCCATGGTGTCTTTGGGGCTGGTGGTCCGGGTCTGGCCATCTGTCACCTCTCAGGCGTGCAGGCACTAATCCCTCCAAGCCTCAGTTGGCCACAGTGAGAAGGGGCCTGGTAACACTGTCCTGGATGCCAGGTTGTTGTGAAGGTCCCGGCTTAGCCTCTGGCAGGAAGGAGGTGCTCAGGAGGTGGGCACAGGCAGAGGGCTGGCTGTGGGGGGCTATTGGAAGAGGGAGGCCTGGGAGCCCCGTGGCGGTAGGAAGGACTGTGGGGACATTGGAAACCATCTGTCCTGTGCATCGGTGTGAAGGCGCGGAAGCGCTGAGGATGTGAAGGAAGGGGCTAACCAGCATCACGGTGTCCCCACAATCTGTCCTTGTTGCTCTGTTCCAACTTGGGAAGCTCAGCATCGGAGGGGTTCTGGGAAACAGGCTGTGACCTTCCACCTTGATCTTTTTAAATTATAAACTTGAGGCCAGCCGTGGTGGCTAATGCCTGTAATCCCAGCACTTGGGGAGGCTGAGGTGGGAGGATCACTTGAGGTCAGGAGTTTGAGACCAGCCCGGGCAACATGGTGAAACCCCATCTCTACTAAAAATTAAAACAAAATTAGCTGGGTGAGGTGACAGGTGCTACTCAGGAGACTGAGGTGGTAGAATCGCTTGAACCTGGGAGGTACAGGTTGCGGTGAGCTGAGATCGCGCCATTGTACTCCAGCCTGGGCGTCAGAGCAAGATTCTGTCTCAAAAAAAAAAAAAAAAAATTGAAAAAAACATTCAGAGACAGCATCTCACTCTGTCGCCCAGGCTGGAGTGCAGTGGTGCCATCATAGCTCATCGCAGCCTTGAACTCCTCGCGGGGCTAAAGAGATCCTCCTGCCTTAGCCTCCTGAGTAGCTGGGGCTACAGGCATACACCACCATGGCCAACATGATGAAACCCTGTCTCTACTAAAAATACAAAAATTAGCCAGGTGTGCTGGTGGGCGCCTGTAATCCCAGCTACTCAGGAGGCTGAGACACGAGAATCCCTTGAACCCGGGAGGTGGAGGTTGCAGTGAGCCAAGATCACGCCACTGCACTCCAGCCTGGGCGACAGAGCGAGACTCTATCTTAAAAAAAAACAACAAAAACAAAAGCCACAGGCTGCCTGGGGCAGGTGACTGTGCTGTGGTCACCAGGCCTCTCCCCCATGTGGTCACCGCCCTCGCCCAGCTGTGTGACGACATGCTGCAGACATGTGCCCCCTGCGTAGGCATCTGTGCACCTGTGTACGGCGTGTCACTCCTCCCTGGCGTGCAGCCAGCCCGGTGGCATCTTCCCTGTTTGTCTGCTTGGGAAGTGGAGACTCCAGGCCTCTCAGCTCTGTCTTCTCCTGGCTTTCTTCCCCAGGCACGACTTGGTTGATTGAGCTTGAAGTTAGGAATCTGAATCCACCAGACTTGGTTCCTTCCTCCTTTTCCCCTTTCTTCTCATTGACGTGTATGTTTATTTTTTATTTTTTTCGAGACAAGGTCTTGCTTTGTCGCTCAGGCTGGAGTGCAATGGCGTGATCATGGCTCACTGCAGCCTCAGCCTGCCTCCCTGGGTTCAGGTGATCCTCCCACTTCAGCCTCCGGAGTAGCCACGCCCGGCTAATTTTTTTGTTTTTGTTTTTTCTTTGAGACGCAGAGTCTTGCCCTGTCACCCAGGCTGGAGTGCAATGGCGTGATCTCAGCTCACTGCAACCTCCGCCTCCCGGGTTCAAGCCATTCTCTTGCCTTAGCCTCCCAGGTAGCTGGGATTACAGGCATGTGCCTGGCTAATTTTTGTATTTTTAGTAGAGACAGGGTTTCACCATGTTGGCCAGGCTGGTCTTGAACTCCTGACCTCAAGTGATCTGCCCCCCTCGGCCTCCCAGAGTGCTGGGATTACAGGCATGAGCCACGATGCTTGGCCTGATGTGTGTGTTTATTAAGCATCTACTGTATACACTGTGCTTGGTGTTGAGAGAGAACACAGCCTCAAAGCTCAGGGAGCATCTGCCCTGTTGTAGATAAGATAAGCACATTAATAATATATAACACGGCTCCACAGGTGGAAGGAGAGGTGCCGTCTTGAAGGCAGATGGGGTGAGGGGATGGGACTGCCTCTAGGGAGGTGTCAGGGAAGGCCCCATAAGGGAGGTGACTTGAGCTGAGCTGTGAGTGATGAGAGCCGGGGGACCGAGCTGTTAAGCTGCATGACCTGCCAGGGACAAAAGCCTGGAGGCCGGGTGAGCTTGGAATCTTTGAGGGCCCCTAGGGGGGCCAGGCTGGTGATGGGCAGCAGGTGGAAAGTGAGACTGAAGGTCAGAGGGGCCTCTGGACCTGGTGAGACTGTCCCCACAGTCCTGGGAGAGGTGGCCAGGAGCAAACCTGATGGTGTGGATGGCACTTCTCACGCGCCTGCTGTGTCTTACAGGACTGCCTGGACAGATCCTTTCGGGCACAGGTGTTCAGCTGCCCTGCCTGCCGCTACGACCTGGGCCGCAGCTATGCCATGCAGGTGAACCAGCCTCTGCAGACCGTCCTCAACCAGCTCTTCCCCGGCTACGGCAATGGCCGGTGATCTCCAAGCACTTCTCGACAGGCGTTTTGCTGAAAACGTGTCGGAGGGCTCGTTCATCGGCACTGATTTTGTTCTTAGTGGGCTTAACTTAAACAGGTAGTGTTTCCTCCGTTCCCTAAAAAGGTTTGTCTTCCTTTTTTTTTTTATTTTTATTTTTCAAATCTATACATTTTCAGGAATTTATGTATTCTGGCTAAAAGTTGGACTTCTCAGTATTGTGTTTAGTTCTTTGAAAACATAAAAGCCTGCAATTTCTCGACAAAACAACACAAGATTTTTTAAAGATGGAATCAGAAACTACGTGGTGTGGAGGCTGTTGATGTTTCTGGTGTCAAGTTCTCAGAAGTTGCTGCCACCAACTCTTTAAGAAGGCGACAGGATCAGTCCTTCTCTCGGGTTCTGGCCCCCAAGGTCAGAGCAAGCATCTTCCTGACAGCATTTTGTCATCTAAAGTCCAGTGACATGGTTCCCCGTGGTGGCCCGTGGCAGCCCGTGGCATGGCGTGGCTCAGCTGTCTGTTGAAGTTGTTGCAAGGAAAAGAGGAAACATCTCGGGCCTAGTTCAAACCTTTGCCTCAAAGCCATCCCCCACCAGACTGCTTAGCGTCTGAGATCCGCGTGAAAAGTCCTCTGCCCACGAGAGCAGGGAGTTGGGGCCACGCAGAAATGGCCTCAAGGGGACTCTGCTCCACGTGGGGCCAGGCGTGTGACTGACGCTGTCCGACGAAGGCGGCCACGGACGGACGCCAGCACACGAAGTCACGTGCAAGTGCCTTTGATTCGTTCCTTCTTTCTAAAGACGACAGTCTTTGTTGTTAGCACTGAATTATTGAAAATGTCAACCAGATTCTAGAAACTGCGGTCATCCAGTTCTTCCTGACACCGGATGGGTGCTTGGGAACCGTTTGAGCCTTATAGATCATTTACATTCAATTTTTTTAACTCAGCAAGTGAGAACTTACAAGAGGGTTTTTTTAAAATTTTTTTTTCTCTTAATGAACACATTTTCTAAATGAATTTTTTTTGTAGTTACTGTATATGTACCAAGAAAGATATAACGTTAGGGTTTGGTTGTTTTTGTTTTTGTATTTTTTTTCTTTTGAAAGGGTTTGTTAATTTTTCTAATTTTACCAAAGTTTGCAGCCTATACCTCAATAAAACAGGGATATTTTAAATCACATACCTGCAGACAAACTGGAGCAATGTTATTTTTAAAGGGTTTTTTTCACCTCCTTATTCTTAGATTATTAATGTATTAGGGAAGAATGAGACAATTTTGTGTAGGCTTTTTCTAAAGTCCAGTACTTTGTCCAGATTTTAGATTCTCAGAATAAATGTTTTTCACAGATAGACTTGATTGTGTCTTCCTATTTGCAAACTGCCTTTGGAGCTTTCTGTCTACTTTTGTGCACTATTTTACAAAAATCCCAGGAGAAACATGAGGCAGGTGGCTTCAGCCCCACTTTACAGATGAGAAAACTGAGACCCAGGAGATGACGGTGACGGGCTGAGGTCCTAACCGCAGCCTGGGAGGTGCTGGGCTGTTCACTTTGCAGCGTCAAGTTGCAGGGGTCAGCAAACGACAGCCAATGGGACCCAAGTCAGGACACTGCCTGTCTGTAAATAAAGTTTTATTGACACCACCACACCCATTTCTTTATGTATATAGTGGCGTTTACGCTACCATCAGCAGAACTGAGTAGGTACAGCAGAAACCATCTGGACCACAAAGCTGAAAAATACTCACTGCCTGGCCAGCAAAGCTTGCTGGTCTCTTCTCTTGGGAGGATGACTTGAGTGTAGGAGTCTGAGACCAGCCTGTAGACCCCAACTCTACAAATAAATAAAAATATTAGCCAGGTGTGGTGGTGTGTTTCTGTAGTCCCAGCTACTCAGGAGGTTGAGGCAGGAGGCTGATTGCTTGAGCCCCAGAGCTAGAGGCTGCAGTGAACTTTGATTGCACCACGGTACTCCAGCCTGGGCAACAGAATGAGATGCTGTCTTTAAAAACGTTTTAAAAAAAAAAAATCGGGACGGTAAAGGGGCTGCGTCTTGCAGATTAATTAATTCACATCAACCTATTACTGGTGCCTTTTATTGATGGTTAAGTAACCATATGGGCAGATTTGTTTTGTTTTTGAGACAGTCTTGCCCTGTTGTCCAGGCTGGAGTGCAATGGTGTGATCACAGCTCATTGCAGCCTCCAACTCCTGGGCTCAAGTGATCCTCCCATCTCAGCCTCCCGAGTAGCTGGTACCACAGGCATGCAGCACCATAACTGGCAAATTTAATTTTTTTTTTTTTTTTTTTGGAGAGACGGGATCTCATTCTGTTGCCCAGGCTGGTCTCCAACTCCTGTGATTAGGCGATCCTCCCATCTCAGCCTCCCAAAGTGCTGGGATTACAGACGTGAGCCACCACGTGCAGCCTGGAGTTTCTTTTTGAGGTGGTAAAAATGTTCTAAAATTGATGGTTGCACATGTCTGTGGATATACTAAAATCCACAGAATTGTGCACTTTATTTTTTATTTTTATTTTTTCCTTTTTTTTTTTTTGAGACGGAGTCTTGCTCTGTTGCCCAGGCTGGAGTGCAGTGGCGTGATCTCGGCTCACTGCAAGCTCCGCCTCCCGGGTTCACGCCATTCTTCTGCCTCAGCCTCCCAAGTAGCTGGGACTACAGGTGCCCGCCACCACACCCGGCTAATTTTTTTGTATTTTTAGTAAAGACAGGGTTTCACCGTGTTAGCCGGGATGGTCTCGATCTCCTGACCTCGTGATCCGCCCCCCTCGGCCTCCCAAAGTGCTGGGATTACAGGCGTGAGCCACCGCGCCCGGCCAGAATTGTGCACTTTAAGTGGGTGAATTGTATGGTATGTGGATTATACCAGAAATATGTCAAGTGTGAACGTGAAGATAAGATTCCCAGTTCTTGAAGGAAACTCCATAAATGTCCCCAGTGGGCCCTTCCTAGAAAACACTAAAGTGGGTTCATTGTTGAGATTGCTGCCTTCTTTTTGATTTTTCTCTCCCTTTAAAGAACAATGTCATGTTTAAAAAAATGAGCAAAACCCAGAAAAGTATTTGTGGAACTGTTTTGCCACCGACTCTAATCTTGGGCATATTTCTTTCCTGGTTCACTTAAAAAAATTTCTTTGGCCGGGTGCGATGGCTCACACCTGTAATCGCAGCACTTTAGGAGGCTGAGGTGGGCGGATCACCTGAGGTCAGGAGTTTGAGACCAGCCTGTCCAACATGGTGAAACCCCATCTCTACTAAAAATACAAAAATAAGCTGGGCATGATGGTATGAACCTGCAATCCCAGCTACTTGGGAGGCTGAGACAGGAGAATCGCTTGAACCCAGGAGGTGGAGTTTGCAGTGAGCCGAGATCACACCACTGCACTCCAGCCTGGGCAACAGAGCGAGACTCTGTCTCAAAAAAAAAAAAAAAAAAAAAAAAGTCTTTGATTCAAGATCTCACTTTGTCACCCAGGCTGGAGTACAGTGGTGGTGTCATCATAGCTCACTGCAGCCTCAAACTCCCATGCGCAAGCAATCCTCCTGCCTCAGCCTCCTGAGTAGCTGGGACTACTACAGGTGCAAACCACCATGCCTGGCTACTTTTTTAAAGAGAGAGATATATATTTTAGTAGAGAGAAGTCTCACTTTGTTGCCCAGGCTGGTCTGGAACTCCTGGTCTCAAGCCATCTTCCTGTCTGGGTCTCCCAAAGTGCTGGGATTACAGATGTGAACTACCATGCCCACCCTAAAAATCTTTAACAGCTCTATGGAGATAACAGTTCAGGTAATATAAAGGTCACCCTTTTAAAGCATACAGTTCAGTGGTTTTATTTTACTGTGTTGTTTTTGAGACAGTCTCGCTCTGTGGCCCAGGCTGGAGTGCAGTGGCAAGATCTCTGCTTACTGCAACCTCCCCCTCCCGAGTTCAAGTGATTCTTCTGCCTCGGCCTCCCAAGTAGCTGGGATTACAGGCATGCACCACCATGCCCGCCTAATTTTCATATTTTTAGTAGAGACAGGGTTTCACCATGTTGGTCAGGCTGGTCTCGAACTCCCGACCTCAGGTGATCCACTCGCCTCGGCCTCCCAAAGTGTTGGGATTACTGGTGTGAGCCACCATGCCTGGCCAGCTTAGTGGTTTTAGTATAGTCAATACAGTTATGCAGCCATCACCACCATCTAATTACAGAACTTTAACATCCACACAAAAAGAAACCTCACACCCTTCCGCAGTCTTGCCCTGTGTCCCTCCCCCAGGCCCTGCAAGCCACGAATCCTCTTTCTATCCTTATGGATTTGCCTGTCCTGGACATTTCATATAAATGGAATTATACTGTATTTTGTGTCTGGCTTCTGTCACTAAGGATGGAATTTTCGAGGTTCATCTGCATTGTAGCCTGTGTCAGAGCTTTATTCCTTTTCATGGCTGAGTAATATTCCACTGTACGGATGGGCCACCTTTCTATAATCCCCGTTTGACTTGTTTTAAGATGTAGTCTTGCTCTGTTGCCCAGGCTGGAGTGCAGTGGCATAATCTCGGCTCTACAACCTCCACCTCCTGGGTTCAAGTGATTCTCCTGCCTCAGCCTCCGGAGTAGTTGGGATTACAGGTGTGCACCACCATGCCTGGCTAATTTTTTTGTATTTTTGGTAGAGACGGTGTTTCACCATGTTGGCCAGGCTGGTCTCGAACTCCTGACCTCAAGTGATCTGCCCTCTTCGGTCTCCCAAAGTGCTGGGATTACAGGCGTGAGCCATGAAGCCCAGTCCCCAACTGCTTTTTTTTTTTTTTGGAGATAGTCTCCATGGCCCAGGCTGGAGTGCAGTGGTGTAATCTCAGCTCACTGCAGCTGCCTCCTCCTGGATTCAAGCAATTCTCGGGCTTCCCCTCTCTAGTAGATGGGACTACAGGCATGCACCACCACACCTGGCCGATTTTTGTACTTTTTGTAGAGATGGGGTTTTTGCCATGTTGGCCAGGCTGGTCTCGAACTCCCGGGCTCAAGTGATCCTCCTGCCTCAGCCTCCCAAAGTGCTGGGATTACAGCCACTGCACCTGGCCTCCCATTTCAATTTGTTAATGCAGCAGACCAACCCATAAGGGGAGGGGCATCTATTGAAGCATTGAACATTTTTGCGCTCCACACCTTGCCTGTCTAGAAAGATTGAGGGAGACCAGTCAGAAATTGAGCATTGGGCCTGCTAACTGGGGGTTCCTTGACGTCTGAAAGCCAAGCCAAGCCTCCTGGTCTTGTTTAGGGGGAGGTCCCCAAGCATTCCCTGCCCCAGTCCTTTGTGAGATTTGCATCTGACTGCAAAGGATGGAAGAAAACCAGGGCAATTAGGTGAGTGTTGCCTAAATTAATCTGCCCATTAAAATATTCTAAAGAGCATTTCCTTCCTTTTTGGAGGATGAGGACTTCTACTTATCTGACAGCAATTCTAGTGTGTTTTTAACATTTTAATATGAAGAGTTTCCAAAACTTGGAAAGAATCGGATTTGGAAAGAATCGGATGGTGAACCCTCAGACCTACCGTCTAGATTCTATGATCATGTTAAGTTTTTCTCATAAGAGATGGCATGAAAACTTTGTCTAAGCAAAATAAAGTGGAGAACCCATTTGGGTTCCTCGGTTAAAAACATTTATATTGTCTGTGAAATCTAAACACCCCCCACTGTCTCAGAGAATATACTTGGAAGTAGAACAAAAAGCCCTATGTATGTGGTACGTGGGGTGGGGACTCTTTCCCTTCATGATTGCACTTTTTTTTTTTTTTGAGACAGGGTCTCATTCTGTTGCCCAGGAGTGCAGTGGTGTGATCATGGCTCACTGCAGCCTCGACCTCCTGGGCTCAAGTGATCCTCCCTCAGCCCCCAGTGTAGCTGGGACCACAGGCATGTGCCCGCACAATCAACTCGGTTTTTATTTTTAGTAGAGAAGAGGTCTCGCTCTGTTGCCCAGGCTGGCCTGAAACTCCTGGGATCAAGTGATCCTCCCACCTTGGCCTCCCAAAGGGCTGGGATTACAGATGTGAGTCACTACACCCAGCCTGGGCAACAGCCTGTTTTTAAATTTTGTTTTTACTTTTTATTTTGAGACGGGGTTTGACTCTGTCACCCAGGCTGGAGTGCAGTGGTGTAATCAACGGCTCACTGCAGCCTCCACTTCCCCGGGCTCAGGTGATCCTTTCGCCTCAGCCCCCGAATAGCTGGGATTATAGGCGCGTGTCACCACGCCCAACTTTTGTAATTTTTTTGGTAGAGACGGAGTCTTGCTATATTGCCCAGCCTGTTCTCAAACTCGTGGGCTCAAGTGATCTGCCCATCTCAGCCTCCCAAAGTGCTGCGATTCCAGGCATGACCTGAAATTAAATCTCAACTCCATGTGGAATATATGAATATGGTCCCATAAGAATTTAAAACACCCAGAGCTTCTTAAATTCTCCTTTGACTTCTCTTTTTACCAGTGTGCAGCTTTCCTTCTCTCCCCAAGGATTAAGTTCGTTTCTTCAGTTTAGGAGTACCTTTTTCTGTGCATTGACAAGCTTGTGTGCTCTTAACCTCATGATACCGGTTTCTGTGTGTGTTTCCATATTTATTTTATTGAGTACAGGATTCTGGACCACTGTCCCTAGCTCAGCGGTTGGGAGATATTTCATGTTTGCAAACAGATCGGCCTTCTCTTTTTTCTTTTCTTTCCTTTTTTGAGACAGAGTCTCACCCTGTTGCCCAGGCTGAAGTGCAGTGATCTCGACTCACTGCAACCTCCGCCTCAGCCTCTGGAGTAGCTGGGATTACAGGCATGCGCCACCATGCCTGGCTAATTTTGTATTTGTTAATAGAGACAGGTTTTTGCCATGTTGGCCAGGCTGGTCTCGAACTCTGGACCTCAGGTGTTCCACCCGACTCGACCTCCCAAAGTGCTGGGATTACAGGTGTGAGTCGCCCGAGCCACAGCACCGGGCCTGGCCTCCTTTTCAATTGCTACATAGTAAGTATTCCAGAGTACTGATTGCTATTAAGTTACTTCTCTAATCCCCCACTGATGGATAGTTAGTGCAAAACATTGGAAACAGTTGCAGACAGCCCTGCCGCCGGCATTCTTGAATTGTGTAAGCTCCAGACCTTTTTTCTGGGTACATCACCTCCAGGAAGAACTGCTGGCTGGGTTATCGGGTGGTGGATGCACTTAGAATGTTATTAGAAAATGTCAAATTGCCCAATTTACACTCCTGCCACTCCAAATGGGGGCATGCCTCACACCCCTGCGTGGTCCAGTACACAATGAATGCTCATTTTGTGAAGTCACAGGGTCAAATCTTTCTCCGTGCCTCATCCCACTTAATCCTTGCAACATTCTCAAGAGGCGGGTAGACGGGGTGTGGCCACTACCATCATATCCATTGCACAGTTGGAAACAGACTCAGCGAGGTTACTTTGCTGGAGGTCAACCACAGTGAGGCATGGGGCCCGGCTTAGCTTTGAATCCAGGTCAGAAAGCACCAAAGCTCATTCTCTCCCATACATTTTAGGGAACTCGGGGAGAGGGACCCTAACTATTCCGAAGGCCTTGCCCCTTGGCAAAGGTTTGTTGATTGTGATGGGAATAGACCTACGGTGGCGGGGTGGAGGCTCTTGCTGCTTTACCCTATGTTCTCGGTTCTCCTCCTTTGCAAAACGGATCGCTATGTCTCCTTGCTTGGCACTTTGCAAATTGGGGAACGCTAAGCCCACATTCCGGCCACGGGTTTCGAACCTCCAGCCTGCACGTTCCCGGCCGGTGCTGATGCTGTGCTGGGTCTCACGTACTCAGCCGCCGCCTGATAACCAGGGCGGGGCCCGGAGCTTGCGGGCAGTGATTGGCACCTGCCCCAGCCTGTCCGCGCCTCGGGCTGGCCCCTCAAGCCAATACTGGCTCCTCTCTGTGCGGTCGTCGGGCGGGCCCTGAGGCTCCCTTGTCAATCCAAGGCCCAGCTGCCGTCGGGTTGGTCGCGGCAGCCTTGGCTGGCGTGCGCCCCCTCCAATGAGAACAGAGCCGGTCAGCGGGCACGTGGGTGGGCGCCGGCGTGTCCCCGCCGGTCTGCCAATGAAGAGGCGAGGCCGGCGTTTGTCCCCGCCCAATCGCGGCGCGCGGTGGGCGGGCCGTGCGGTGTTGATGGGCCCGGCGGAGGGGAGGGGCGGAGCTGTCAGCTCCGGCCAATGGGCGCTCGGGCGTGGATCCGGCAGCCAATGGCAGTCGGGGCGGAGCTGGCGCGCGGCCTTATAAGCCCCCCCGCGAGCGCTTGCGGAGGGCTCGGTCGCCAGCAACCGAGCGGGGCCCGGCCCGAGCGGGGCCTGGGGGTGCGACGCCGAGGGCGGGGGAGAGCGCGCCGCTGCTCCCGGACCGGGCCGCGCACGCCGCCTCAGGTGAGCCCACGGGGAGGCCGCCCGGCCGTGTCCGAGCGCGGACCCCGCCGCCATGGCCGCCCCCGCGTCGCGGCTCGGGGCTGCGGGCGCGCCCGGGACTCGAGGCCCAGGCCTCGGGCGCGGCCTGCTCGGGCCGGGCCTCGCGCTTTGTCCGGGCCGGCGGGGCGGTTGGGGCGTTAACCGCCCGGCCCGGGGGCGCCCGCTGGTTTTCGGGCGGGGGCGGCGGGGCCGGACAATGGCGGGGCGCGCCCAGGGGCGGGAGCGGGGGCCCCTTCCCGGGCCGGGGGCGCGCGGGGGCTGGGCACAGACGGCCCCGGCGCCCCGCACAAAAGATGACAGCGTGGGTGGCCCCGGCCGGGCCCTTTTATCACCCGGGACAAGCCTCGGCCTATTATTATTATTATTTTTGAAAGAAAGCAAGAAAAAGGAAAAAGACCCCAGCCCCTGGGTAACCCCCGCCTGCGTTTCTGGCCCTTTGGGCGCCAGGGGGGCTAAGGGGAAGCCCCCCAGCTGGACACCCAGGGATGCCCCCTAAATGCCTATCATTGCTCCTGCACTGCCCCCACCTCCGGTCAACCTGCTATGCCTTGGTAGCTTCCAAACTTGCCCCCCTGTACGTACCCGAAACCCCCACCCCGCCATAAGCATATGCAATCTGGATTTTAGAAAAAAATCATCTTGCTATGCAACGGCAGCCTCCACGAGTCTCTCCGTCCCTCCCCCTTCCAGCCTGATCGCCATCTCGAACGAAGCCCCTGCTCTAGAGAAATGAATTGAGGAGTTGCTTCCGCCGAGACCCCTTTTCTGTGTCCCCCGTGGACATCCCCCTGGGAGCTGGGGACGGACTCGCTCTGAAATCTGCTTGACCTGGGGTCTGCCAGGGCCCAGGTCTGCGCTCAGTGGTGGCCATGACAATCAGGCAGGACGGGGGACTCTGTCCACCTGGGCACGGTGGAAGGTTTTAAGGGGCATGTTTTCCGCCCCTGGGGGCAGTGGAGGCATGGACTGCTTTTGGGTGCATCCCATCTGTTTGCTTGGGGGAGGATGCTTCTGTTTTAATAATTTACCAGCACCCTGTGAGGAAGTGTTCCCCGAGTTGTGAAACTAGTGAGAAGGTGGTTCAGCTCCGTGGAGCCTAGTGATCCTGTCATATGTGAAGAGCGTCTTTTTCCATGTGTTTCTGGCTGGGGCGTGTATTCAGCAAGTTCCTTTGGGTCCCACCGGGTGCCTGCACTGTCTTGGGATCTCTGGATACTGGACTGAATTCAAGGGATCGGTGCCCTGCCCCAGTCCTCTGCCTCAATGGCCATTTATCAGAATGTCCCCGGGCTGGAGAATGCTCCTAAAAACAGCACCAGTCCTAAAGCAGGCTCATTAGACGACTCCTATGGGCTTTTATCACTGCCGTTATGGGAGCTAATGACTCCCCTAATTCTCCAATAATAGCTTCCTTATGAGCCACCAGGAGGGTTTGTCAACACACGGGGTCAGCCTTCTCCTGCAGCCCCTGCTGAAGCAGTGGGCATCCTCTCTCCGCTTTGCAGTTTATGTTTTGAAACCCTGAAGGTCGGAGCGTAAAGCCGTGGTAGAGTCAACTTCTGTCTGAGCCGAGGATTTCTGGGACTTGCCAGCCTCGTCTCCGTGTGTCTGATTGGACACCTGGCAGGTCCGGGCGCTCCCCCTCCTTGAGCCGGCGACACCAGGACGGGTCAGACTGTCCTGGCCTAGAGGAGGTCACCGCTGGGGAGGAAAAGGGGGTAACGGAGATTCTGCCGCACAGACGGGTGTCTGTGTACAGGCTGTTTTGGTGGAAGCGTCTACTGTGTCAGGAGCTGCGGGTGCCTGCGTGTGCACGTGTGTGTTTAGTTGCTGAGACCTGAAATATATATGTCTTAGTAACAATCCGTTTGCTCGCATTTTCTAACCCTTTCCTCTTTGGGGAGGGGGCTGCTAACAAGATGTTAACTGCTGGCGCTTAAAGGTATAGCTGATCAGCCACCGCACAGCACCCCGCCTGGCCTTTGTTGTACTTTTCTGTCTCGTGGAAGAGACCCTTCCTCAGCCTCCTGCCCTGTCTTCAGTCCCTGTCCCGTCCTGCAGGAGCCCTCTGGGGTGGCCAGGGGCCGTCCTCTGTGTCCTTCTCTCCCACCTGACCACTCTGCCTGTACTTTAATTCCTAATTTCTCTGTCTCCTCTGCTGGTTTCCTGCCCGTTTGTCCTATGCCCCACCCACTCCCTGATGAGCCGGGGAGGAGCCTCAGCTCTGGGGAAGCCATCTGTCCTCGGTTCCATCTGACACCTGTGGGGACGTGCCTTGGGGTCATGCGTTCACCTGGTCTGGGGCTGCTAGGTTTCCAGTGCCGAGTGCCATGCCGGGACAGGTTGGGAGGAGTCCCTGGCTCCTGTGGGTTTAGAGTGTAGTGGGGGAAAGGGTGAGCTGGCTGCCCAGGGCCTGGTCACAGCTGGAATGGTGGTGTGCAGTCCGCTGCCCTCGGGCCCAGCTCAGGGAGCAGGCAGGAGGAGGCGAGGCTGTTGAGGGCCTGAGGTGCATTTGTAGGTGGCTTTGTTCCCTGGATCGGGGAGCGGAATTGGGGGTTCAGAGCTGGGTGACCTTGACCCAGTCACTTGCTCAGTGACAAAGCAGATCGGGGGCACTAAATCTTTCGGAGCCCACTGGGCAGGAGGGGACGGAGAGCAGATGAACAGGGTGGGGGCTCGGGGCGGGGGGAGCTCCGCAGGCCTGCACTGGTCACCGCCATGACAGATCGGCCGTCCTCATCCACAGCCTCACCCTAGGCTCCTGGCTCAGCTCCAGGGACCTGCCATGAGGCAGCTCGATGGGGTCTTCAGATGCCACAGCCCTCCCCCTTCCTGCCCCAGGGGTCTCTGTTCCTGGCTTAGGATGCCGGACAGAAGAGCAGGGGCCCAGCCTGGGCTCCGTTCTCATCTGGTGGTCTTGACGACGTCTCTGGATCTCTGCCCTCTGTCCCATGCCCCACACAGGCTTCAGAGTTGGAGAGACCTGGATTCAGATCCCTCCTCTGAGGCAGTCACTTCCCCTCTCTGGGCCTTGCTTTCTTCTCTGTAAAATGGGTGTAATGGGAACACCTCCCTCCCAGGTGGTTGTGAGGATCAAAGCGGGTAAAAGGCGCTGAAGCTTGCAGGGTGCCAGGAGCTCTGAGTTCGGAGCCGGTTTATTACACAGCAAGGCCCTCTGCCCTGTCAGGGTCTCCCCACCTCTGCCCTATCCACGTTCTGGGCTGGGACATTCTGTGGCGGGGCTGTCCTGGGCACCGTAGGGTGAGTGTGAACAATATCCCTGACCACCACCCACCAGATGCTAGTAGCACCCTGTCCCCTAAGCGGTAGCAACCAAAAATGTCCCCTGGGAAGCACTGTCAACCCCGCAGTGAGAACCTTGGACTTGGCCTTCAGCCCTGCAGTAGCTCATGGTGTGCTGTGACCGTGATGGGCCTCAGCTCCCTTTCTTTCCTCCCCACTCACCCTTTAGCAGTGAGTGACTCCTATTTGCAAACTGTGTCCCGGACACACTCCTCACCTGGTTGTTCAGGTTCTCCGTGACTGTCCTTCTGCCCTTCCAGGGTGGCAGCTTCCACCTGAGAGGACAGGAGCCCCCACGGGGTCCCCTGCACGCCCTGCAATGAGGGGCAGCCCGGCATCTGTGGGGTCTTCTGGGCTGCTCTCTGGCCTCTGAGCTCCGGGTCTTCCTGGGCTGCTCTTTGGCCTCTGAGCTTTGGCAGGTCCTTGCCCAGGCTTGCTTGGCTGCCCCCAGGGGTGGCACTTCCACACCCTCCCAGTCACCATAGCCCTGACCTGTCGATTTGCCAGACAGTTTTCTTTAAGTCCATTTAAAAATGACTCACCTCTTTGATCTTGGCCTCTTCCTGAACAGTAATGTCCCCAGAGTTGTGGAACGTTAATGTGCTAGTTGCACATACTTTTATTTATTTATTTTGAGACAGAATCTCACTCTGTCACCCAGGCTGGAGTACAGTGGCTAGATCTCAGCTCACTGCAACCTCCGCCTCCCGGGTTCAAGTGATTCTCTGGCCTCAGCCTCCCGAGTAGCTGGGATTACAGGTGCCCGCCACCACACCCTGCTAACTTTTGTATTTTTAGTAGACACGGGGTTTCACCATGTTGACCAGGCTGGTCTCAAACTCCTGACCTCAAGTGATCCGCCTGCCTCGGCCTCCCAAAGTGCTGGGATTACAGGCATGAGCCACTATGCTCGGCCAAGTTGCACATACTTTTACTAATTCGCGTTCAAATGAGCTTAACCACTATATTAAAAAAAAGAAAATTTGTATCTTCCCAAATACTGAGGGGGGAGTGGATTGACGAATTGATGTTTCTTGGTTTTTGGACAAATTAATTTTCAAGCTCACTCCCTGCGTGACTGGCCTGTTCTAGGATGCTGGACTTGGTTAGATCTGGGTCCGTCTATTCCCTCCTGCTCCCTTGAGGAGCTCGGAAAATGGCCTTCCCTGTTGGGGCGGGGAACATGGGAAGTCTCTACCTCCTGCTTAGTTTTGCTGTGAACCTAAAACTGCTCTCTGAAACAAAGCATATTAAAAAAAAAAAAAAAAAAAAACTGGCTGGGTGCGGTGGCTCATGCCTGTAATCCCAGCACTTTGGGAGGCTGAGGCGGGCGGATCACCTGAGGTCAGGAGTTCGAGAACAGCCTGGCCAACATGGTGAAACCTCGTCTCTTCTAAAAATAAAAAAATTAACTGGGCGTGGCGGTGCACACCTGTAGTCCCAGCTACTTGGGAGACTGAGACAGGAGAATTGCACCGAGATCCTGCCACTGCACTCCAGCCTGGGTGACAGGGCAAGACTCCGTCTCAAAAAAATAAATAAGTGGCCGGGCGCAGTGGCTCACGCCTGTAAAGCCAGCACTTTGGGAGCCAAGGCGGGCAGATCACAAGGTCAGGAGATCGAGACCATCCTGGCTAACACCGTGAAACCCCGTCTCTACTAAAAATGCAAAAAAAATTACCCGGGCATGGTGGTGGCCGGTGCCTGTAGTCCCAGCTACTCGGGAGGCTGAGGCAGGAGAATGGTGTGAACCCGAGAGGCGGAGCTTGCAGTGAGTTGAGATCGCGCCACTGTACTCCAGCCTGGGCGACAGAGCGAGACTCCATCTCAAAAATAAATAAATAAGTAAGTAAGTAAGTAAATAAATACATAAAATAAAAAACTGGCCAGGTGTGGTGGCTCACGCCTGTAATCCCAGCACTTTGAGAGGCCGAGGCGGGAGGATCACCTGAGGTCAGGAGTTTGAGACCAGCCTGGCCAACATAGTGAAATCCCATCTCTACAAAAATACAAAAATCAGCCGGGCATGGTGGTGGGCGCCTGTAGTCCCAGCTACTCGGGATGTGGGGGCACGAGAATCTCTGGAACCTGGGAGGCAGAGGCTGCAGTGAGCCAAGATCACACCACTGCACTCCAGTCTGGGAGACAGAGCGAGACTCTGTCTCCAAAAAAAAAAAAAAGAAGGTAGTCAAAGGAGTAAAAACCAAAACAAACAAACAAACAAAAGATTTTCCCCTGCTCAGAACCTTCCGGTGACTTCCTGTTGCCCTTGGGAAAAATTCTGGGCCCTTTCGCGTGGCCCCTTCGCTCTGTCATCTGTGGCCTTGTCCTTCCTTCCTTTCCTCCCTTTCTTCCTCCTGCACCTGCTCCTTTCCTGGCACAGCCGCCTTCCCTGCCCGCCCTTCCCTGCCGCAGGACCTGTGCACTTGCTGTGCCCGCTGCCTGGTTCTCTTTCCACCCAGCCGGCTCCTTATCACTCTAGTCACTTCCCTTCCCTACTTCTCCTCCTTTGCATGTCACACGATCAGAGCTGGGTATTAGTCTGTTTGTGTATCTGTTTGTCTCATCTACTAGGGCAGGGGCTTTTTCTGGAAGGGCCGGAGAATAAATATTTTTGGCTTTGTAAGCCAGAGGTCATCTCTGTCCAGACCACTCTGCTTTGCCGTTGTAGCAAGAAAGCTCCCGTGGGCGAGTGTGCCTGTGTTTCAGTAAAACTTTATTTATGGACACAAACGTGAATTCCGTGCAATTTTTACATTATAAGACATTTTTCTTCTTTTGCTTTTTTTTTCCTCCAACGACTAAAAAATGTCAAAACCATTCTTAGACTGCAGGCTGTACAAAAACAGGTGGCGGGCAGGATTGAACCTGTGGGTTGTAGTTTGCAAATACCTGGCTAGGGTGTGAGGGCCACACTACGGAAAGCTATGGAAACCATGTCAGCCTCACGACCCCTAGAATGTACGGCAGCTCCTTAGACGTGGTGGGTGTTGAGTGGACATTCCTTGTTGAGTGAATGAATTTTTTTTTTTTTTTTTGAGACAGAGTTTTGCTCTGTGGCCCAGGCTGGGGCGCAGTGGGCTGATCTCGGCTCACTGCAACCTCCACCTCCCGGATTCAAGCGATTCTCCTACTTCAGCCTCTTGAGTAGCTGGGATTACAGGTGCATGCCACCACGCTCGACTAATTTTTGTATTTTTAGTAGAGATGGGATTGCGCCATGTTGGCCAGGCTGGTCTCCAACTCCTGACCTCAGGGCATCCGCCTGTCTTGGCCTCCCAAAGTGCTGGGATTACAGGCGTGACCCACCGTGCCCAGCCTGAGTGTGAATTTGTATCTTCCTAACTTCAAAGCATTTAGAGTCATATTCTAGCCTTAAAAAAAAAATGGGGCATGGCCGGGTGCGGTGGCTCACGCCTGTAATCCCAGCACTTTGAGAGGCCGAGGCGGGTGGATCACCTGAGGTCAGGAGTTCGAGACCATCCTGACCAATATGGAGAAATCCTGTCTCTACTAAAAATACAAAATTAGTTGGGCGTGGTGGTGTATGCCTGTAATCCCAGCTTGTTGGGAGGCTGAGGCAGGAGAATCGCTTGAACCCTGGAGGCAGGGGTTGCAGTGAGCTGAGATCACGTCACTGCACTCCAGCCTGGGCGACAAGAGGGAAACTCAGTCTCAAAAAAAAAAAAAAAAAAGGTCATGGGTCATTTCAAGGATCCTTAAAACTGCAGGAATGTGAGAAAATGCGATGCTGACATCCACCCAGACAGCCTCACCATAAAGGAGGGAAAAAACAGCTACAAACAGTGTAGGTGGGGGGAACGCTTCGCTGTTTGAGACGCCAGACTCTCTTGCTCTGGGATTCACGCGGCTGCCTTTCTGTTACAGCTCACCAAGCGTCAGAAGCACGTCGAGCCGTGTACTCGGCCCAAGGAGTTCAGTGTGACCTGGCAGGAACTGAGGGTTTGTTTAAAAGGAAGACAGCATTGCACAATTTCACAAGGCTTTTGTTTTGTAAGCATCGGAACTCTCCTCGTTACCAGTGCTAGCGCCCCCGATGGGAGGGGCAGGGGAGTCGCAGATGGTGGTTTCTGCTGTCCCTGAGCACAGAAAGCCTCATGAGGGAGGTGGCTTATCCAGTGCAGAGCTCAGCTTTGTAGAGTGAGTGGACAAGTGCCCGTCGGTGGCCATCGTGCGGTCAGTAGCCGAGTGGGGGACTGTGCCCGGCCACACTTCCTTTGTCTCACTCTTCTCCTGGCTGACAGGCATTTTCTGAGCCAAGTAGGTCTTTGGCATCTTAGATTTGGGCCTGTCCCAGGAACGTTCTGACTTGTCAAGAAATCGTACCGTTAATTTACGGTCATGCTTTCTTTCCTTGATTGAAATAAACAATCTGGAGAGGCTTGCTCAGAATTTCTTGGCTTTCAAAAGTTGCCTGTCTTTTTTTCTTTTTCTTTTTCTTTTCTGTTTTTTTTTTATTTTTGCTTGCCCCCTCTCTCTCCCTGCTTCTCTGGCTCTTCCTCCCTTCCCTCTTTCTTTTCTTTCTTTATCCACCTCAGTGATCTCAGCAAACACGAGGGGATGGATGACAAGTTTGCGTCCAGCCATCTCCGCCCTGCTGGCAGGCTGTGCCTCTTTGGCGGTGGCCGAGCGCGAAGTTGCTCTGTGGCTCTGGACTGGGATCGTGTTTGTTCAATGGACAAAGGCTGAGAATCCCGAGGCCGACTGCCCAGTGGCTGCTGCACCTCAAGACCCCGAGGGCTCTCAGGTGCACAGTGACAGTCACTCACGCAGACCTGGCCCCGTTTGCTGGTAGGCGCGACCACCGTTGTGTTTTTCAGACAAGCCTGGGTGACTTGCTGTGAAAACGTCAGCTGAGGGCACGGTGGCAGGATTTCCCCCTGCATAGACCTCCCGTCAGCATTCATAGCTGGACCCAAGTGCTGGCACCTTCCGAGCCGCCGGCAGTGGCGGTGGGCCTGTTTGCGTTTTTGCGGCTGCCCTAGTCTCCAGGGAGAGAGCGTGGAGACAGACGATTTGTATGAGATTAGCCGGCCGTGGATTCAGAATCGCTCTTTGTGTGATGGGTCCCAGGGGTTCCTTTTGACCACAGAGCCAGCCTGAAACTACCCACGGGTGCTGTGGACCCCTTGATCATGGCGGGATGGAAATGGGCTGTGCCCTCAGCCGGGACTCAGGACTGCAGCATGTCTGGGCAGCAGCCTGGAAGCTGGCCAGCCTCGGCGCCCTTGGGGACAGCCCTTGACACTCTGGCTCGGTGCCCTGAGTGAGGGGGCGCCACCCTGGGCTCCCTGGGATGCGAGCAGGACCCAAGCCAGGCTGCTGGACCGGGACAGTCGCGTCATGTTGCTGTTGTCCCCTTCCTGCAGCATCTCCATACTCTCCTAAAATCCCATCTGTCAGACAGTGTTGGCTGTAGGCAGAGCGGGCCTCCTGTCTTGCAGTCGGGCCGCGTGGATCTGATTGTCTTGCTCAGGAGAGAGAGAAGATTGCCGTCCCTAGCATGCACTTGAGTCAAGCCTCTGGAATTTCAACTCCTGCTCCCTGCTCTATTCCAACTGCTTCCCCCAGGAAGGGGGGACGAGGCGGAGGAAGTCGTTCTCTTGACACCCCTAGAACATAAGGCATCTTGGCCAGGCACAGTGGCTCACGCCTGTCATCCCAGCACTTTGGGAGGCTGAGGAGGGTGGATCACCTGGGGTCAGGAGTTCAAGACCAGCCTGGCCAACGTGGTGAAACCCCATCTCTACTAAAAATGCAAAACTTAGCCGGGCGCGGTGGCACGTGCCTGTAATCCCAGCTACTCGGGAGGCTGAGGGAGGAGAATCGCTTGAACCTGGGAGGTGGAGGTTGCAGTGAGCTGAGATCACGCCACTGCACTCCAGCCTGCACAATGGAGTGAGACTCTGTCTCAAAAAAAAAAAAAAAAAAAAAAAAAAAAAAAGAACATAAGGCATCTCATGTTACTGTCTGTCTGGGCTGGAATTGGTGGAAGCCACAGAATTTTTTTGGCCCCTCTAGCCACGGGTGTCCTGCGTACCCCAAAGGCAGAGCAGAGCCTGCTTCTCAGCTAGAGCCTGAAGGGCAGCTGCCGTTCATCAAAACAGCTCCTGTGCAATTCTGTGCCTGTCGCTGGCTCAGGGGCGCGGGAGGAGGGATGGGCTGCAGCGAGCGGGTGTGGTCAGGCCCAGGCTGGTGCGTGGTCACTGGGAGCTCGGGCAGCATGGCTGTCACTGTAGCCACACCCTGGGTCCCTCTGAGTGGGTTTGCATTGTCCAGCTCCGCGTGAGAGTTGTCAAGTTCATGCGTGCCTGGTCAGGGGCGCAGGGTGGCCAGATGACCAGTGTCTCCTGCCCGCAGGGCCTCTTGGTGGAAGGAGATGGAGAATAACTGCCAAGAGGGGTAGAAACCAAGCCTGGAGGCCGGATGGCTGTAACCCAGCACTGTGGGAGGCTGAGGTGGGAGGATCGGTGGAGGCCAGGAGTTCAAGACCAGCAAGGGCAACATGGCAAGACCCCATCTCTACAAAAACTAGAAAAAATTTGCCAGATGTGGTGGCTATGTCTGTAGTCCCAGCTACTCGGGAGGCTGAGGCGGGAGGATTGCTTGAGCCCAGGAGTTTGAGCCTACAGTGAGCCATGATTACACCACTGCACTCCAGCCTGGGCAACAGAGCAAGACCATGTCTCAAAAAAACCCCAAAAAACCAAGCCCAGGGAAGCACAGGGCAGTGCAGTGCGCCGGGAGGCTTCCCATAGGAACTGCTGTTTGCGCAGAGCCTTGTCCATTGTGGGAACTGTCACAGATGACTGTGAGCTTGAGAGCAGAGGAAGTAGCGAGAGGAACTTGGGGGTGTGGCCTGGGAGATCTGAGAGGGGATGGGGTCAGGGTGAAGCCCACCTGGCATGCTGGAGGCAGCTGGGCACCCAGGCTCTGGGGTGTCTCTGGAGGTGTTACCCGAACCAGTGTGATCATGGGGACATGAGGCAGCAGGCAGCCCCGTCCTCGAGGAGCTCAGAGTCTAGTTGGCAAGTCTAGAAGCCATTCCTGTCACCAGGGAGGGCCACCTCACAGTTGCCCAACTATTGGCGTCAGTGTGCTGGCCAGGTTCTGAATTTTCTAGGACAGCCTCCCTTAGAAATGATCCTGCCATTTTAAAAAATATATATTTTTATGGAGCTATCATTCACATACTATGAAATTCATCTTCTTAAAGTATACAATTCAGGCTGGGCACAGCGGCTCATGCCTGCAATCCTAGCACTTTGGGAGGCTGAGGTGGGCAGATCACTTGAGGTCAGGAGTTTGAGACCAGCCTGGGCAAAATGGTGAAACCCCATCTCTACTAACAATACAAAAGAATTAGCCAGGCATAGTGGTGCACGCCTGTAGTCCCAGCTACTTGGGAGGCTGGGGCATGAGAATCGCTTGAACCCAGGAGGCGGAGGCTGCAGTGAGCTGAGATCATGCCACTGCACTCCAGCCTGGGTGACAGAGCAAGACCTTTTCTCAAAAAAAAAAAGATACAATTTAGTGGTTTTTAGTACATTGACACAGTTGTGCAACCGTCACCACTATCAAATGTTAGAACCTTTCTATTATTACACAAAGGCACTCTGCCTCCACCAGTGGTCACTATCCATCCCCTCCCCCATCTGCTGGTACCCACACATCTCTTTCCTGTCTCTGGATTGGCCTGTCCTGAACATTTCATAGAGATGGAGTCACACACTGTGTGGCCTGTTGTGTCTGGCTTCTCTCAGTGGGCGTGATATTCTCAAGGTGTATCCACGCATGGCATGTGTCAGAGCCTTGTCCCTTTTCTTTCTTTTTTTTTTTTTTTTTTTTGAGATGGAGTCTTACTCTGCCACCCAGGCTGGAGTGCAGTGGCATGATCTCAGCTCACCTCAACCTCCGCCTCCTGGGTTCAAGTGATTCTCCTGCCTCAGCCTCCTGAGTAGCTGGGATTACAGGCACCTGCCACCACACCCGGCTAATTTTTGTATTTTTAGTAGAGATGGGGTTTCACCATGTTACATGGCCAGGCTGGTCTCGAACTCCTGGCCTCAAGTCATCTGCCTGCCTCGGCCTCCCAAAGTGCTGGGATGACAGGCGTGAGCCACCGCGCCCGGCCCACTTTGTCTCTTTACCTGGCTGCATCCTATTCCCCTGTGCGGGGGGTGTCCTGTTTTGTTTTCCATTCATCTCAGTGGGCATTTAAGTTGTTCTCATTTTTTCAGCCCCATCCTCTCCCCAGTCTGTGGCAGAGCTCAGGGATTCCTGTGCTGCACCATGCAGAATACAGGCCGAGATGGCCCCGGGGCAGACACAGCATAGAAACCATTTGTGGGGCTGGGGTGGGCGGGGTCAGCTTGGCGGATGCTGGGCTGCGGCTAGGCTTTGAGGTGCAGTGGCCCGGCGGGCCTGCAGGGGTGCAGAGGTACCCTGTGAGGCCACAGGGTCTAGGCTCCAGGTCATTAGTGGCGAGTCCGCGCCACGGGCCTCTTCTCTCAGCCTGAGCTGGCGTGCCTCAGCCAGTGGGGCCCTGGCAGGGACCTCTCTGTGCAGCCACAGGGCCCCTGTGTCTCCGCTCCATGGGGCAGCGTGGCCCCAGCTGACCACAGCTCTGACTTGCCCTTTGCTGTGTCCTGTAAGGTCACCCCTGGTGAGCAGGACCCCTGAGTCCACCACACCAGGGCCCGACGGCTGTCCTGTCCCCCTCGTCCTGTTTTTGGTGTCACCCCGCTGTCTGGTTAGCTGTGCCGGCCTCCCTGAGGGGCTTGTGAGAAGATGCCAGGGCCTTTCTTCCCCAGAGCTGCTCCCGCGAATCCAGCCTGGGGTTGGAGAGCACGCTGCTCCCTGGGTCACTTCCCTTTCCTGGTCCGGGGCCTGGTCCCAGCCCTGACAGGGTTGTGAGCCTTAGGAGGTGGCCATCAGGTTCTAAATGTGCCCCTGGGGCCCAGCAGCCTCCACCTGGACGTCCCCCCAGGAGGTTAAAGGGGTGAGTGGGAGCCCCCCCCACCACGCCGGGCCCCTTGGGAGTGCAGGTGGGTTCTCCAGGGGAGCAGGTGACACTGCCAGGCACCGGCGGTGCTGTACAGTCAGCCCAGTGCCAAGCCCCACCTCTTCCCACCTGCTCTGCAGTGCTCTCCCTGTGGGGACAGTGATGTGCCTGGGGACTGTCACCTGCTCTCCCCTGACAGAGGATGTGGGTTACCTGGGGTGCCCCATCAGTACCCCAGGGGCTGCTGATGAACATGGGAAGACCCCATGGCAGGGGGCGGTCACGTAACTAAACACTACCAAGTGTCATGTGGTGAAGGTGGACCCCTGCCTCACACCATGGCCAGAAGCCAACCCCACATGTAGCAGAGATGAGAACATGTTACTAAAACGATTACAAAACCTCTAGAAGAGCCAGGTGCAGTGGCTCATGCCTGTCATCCCAGCACTTTGGGAGGCTGAGGTGGGCAGATCACCTGAGGTCAGGAGTTTGAGACCAGCCTGGCCAACATGGCAAAACCCCGTCTCTACTAAAAAATACACAAAATTAGCCTGGTGTGTTGGTGCAGGCCTGTAATCCCAGCTACTTGGAGGCTGAGGCAGGAGAATCGCTTGAACCTGGGAGATGGAGGCTGCAGTGAGCCAAGATTGCACCACTGTACTCCAGCCTGGGCAGCACAGTGAGATTCTGTCTCCAAAAAAAAAAAAAGCCAGACGCAGTGGCACATGCCTGTAATCCCAGCTACTCAGGAGGCTGAGGTATAAGAATCTCTTGAACCTGAGAGGCGGAGGTTGCAGTGAGCCAAGATCGCACCACTGCGCTCCAGCCTGGGTGACAAGAGCAAGACTCCGTCTCAAAAAAAAAAAAAAAAAAAGCCTCTAGAAGAAAACCTGGATGTATATGTAAAATGTTGTATTTCCTTTTTTTAAAAAAATTTAAAATTATTTTTATTTCTATGTTTTTAATGGCTTGTCTGTATAACCAAAAGTGATGTTCTCTCTCTCTCTCTCTCTCTTTCTCTCTTTCTTTTTTTGTGGCGGAGTCTCACTGTGTCAACCAGGCTGGAGTGCAGTGGCGAGATCTCGGCTCACTGCAACCTCCACCTCCCGGGTTCAAGCGATTCTCCTGTCTCAGCCTCCTGAGTAGCTGGGACTACAGGCGCGTGCCACCACACCCAGCTAATTTTTGTATTTTTAGTAGAGACAGAGTTTCACTGTGTTGGCCAGGCTGGTCTCAAACTCCTGACCTCGTGATCTGCCTGCCTTGGCCTCTGAAAATGCTGGGATGACAGGTGTGAGTCACTGCACCTGGCCTAAAAGTGATGTATGTTTTAAGGCAGCGCTGTCCAGTGAGGATGCAGAACAAGCCCGTGTGTCTGAATTTTCTGGTAGCTGAGTTAAAAGGTGAAGAGAAATGGGGGAAATTAATTATTACAGTGTATTGTATTGAACCCAGTATACCCCCAGTTTTATCATTTCAGCATGTAATCATCATCTTCAAAACTGTTGGTGAGATGTTTCACACTGCTTTTTCTTTTCTTTTTTTTTTTTTTTTGGGTGCTGTCTTTGACATTCATTGTGTATTTCCCCTGAGAGCTGGCCCTACGTGGTTGATCATTTGGGGAGGGCCCTGGCCCCGGATGCACTGAGCGTGATGCCAGCCTGGTGCTATAGATGGGGTCCTGGTGCTTAGTGGACCAGGGCCCACGCTCCTTCCTCCCACCCTCCCAATCCTGCCCCCGCCTATCCCAGGCAGGACTTATGGCTCTGATGGTGTCTGGCTGGAGAGATGAGACACACCTGACATTCACCAGCAATGGCAGGACACGCTGCGACAGGTGCGGCTGAAGAAGAGCTAGGCTGTCTGGCGGTGGTCCTGGCCTATCTTCCCAGTGGGCTCTCGCCCACAGTCTCTCGCCTTTGCCAGGGAGCACTGAACCGTGGACTGGTCCTGGGGGCCAAGGGGTCCTGGCGGCCCAGCCTGGGCAGCGCCTCTGGCATCGCAGCTGGTGGGGAGGCGCAGGGCTGGTGGGGCTTAGGAGGCGCTTGGCACTGAGGAGGTGTTTCCGGGAAGAGAATGGCAGGAAGTTGGAATGCTTCTTTGGCTGTAGGAAAGCCCAGAAGAGAGACTTGTGGATCAGCACCGCCCAGGAATAACATCCTATAGCCACAGGCGGCTTCAAAGGGCTTGAGCTATCAGGGCAGGATTGCGGGAGGATTCGCAGCAGGGAGGATGGACACCCGGAGACCTGCTACCCATGCACGTAGCCTGCTGGGCTCAGATCCACCTCTCCTGGGTCTGTGTCTTTATTTCCAAAGTGGGGGTGGCTCTGCAGGTCCCGCTTCAAGGCTGGGTGAGGTTAACTGAATTACCACGCGAAAAGCCCTTGGTGAAGTAGTTCTCACCCCAGGGGCAATTCTGTCTCTTAAGGGACACCTGGCCACAGCTGGGGACATTTGTGATGGTCAGGATTTAGGAGTGCTCCTGGCGTGGGGTGGGTGGAGGGCAAGGACACTGCTCAGCACCCTGCAGTGCCCCGGGCGGCCTCATCCCAGGGAAGGCTCCAGGCCAGCATCCACCGAGCGGAGGCTGAGGCCCCAATCCAGAGTGGCGCTGGCCAGGTTGGGCCCCGGGAGGTCACAGGAATGATTTTTCTCTGGGCTTGTTTCTGCTCTTGACTGTGAATAGAGGTGCTGCACTAGAAGTTTCTAAAATCTTTTTCCATTCCAAGACAGCTTAGGGTTTATGCTGCTCTTCGTGTTTGTGCTGGAAAGGAAGTTAAGGAGCCGTGGAAGTGATCATAAAGCAACTTGAAAATAATAGTTTTTGCGGCCTCTTTATTATAATGGGGCAGCCAGGTGGGTTGGCCGGGGTTTTATGGGCCAGGAAGCAGGCGTGGGGGTTTCTGGGGGAAGCTGGACCCGAGGCAGCGTTGACCCCAAGACCAGGACTCCGCGTCTCTCCTGTTCCGGCCTGTTCCGTACGCCTCGTCAGGTTTTCTGCTCCGGTGAACTTGGAGTGTGTTGGGGACTGACAGATCCAGAGAACATGCCCCTCTGCTGCATGATGCCGCTGGGGCCCTCGGGAGGGCTTGGGGTGTGTCTGTGGGTCTTGCAAACACTCTCCTCTTGGTGAGAAGGATCTGGTTGCATTTTGTGCCCTTGGGCTGTCCCCTGGCTCGGACAGAGGTGTCCCTGCTGTAACCCCCACTTCGCAGGGTACCAGATGCCACTGCCCAGGAGTTACTAATGTACCTGGGGGTCTGGCACCTGCTCCGTGAAACCCGAGGTCTCCCTGTACTAATTAATTTGGCCTTTAGCCAAAGGGAGGGCTGCAGCCTTCGGGATCTGCTGGGTCACAGTGGGTGTTACCCTAACAAGTTTCCTAGAGGGATGTTCATTAGAAAAATAATTTATTTTATGGTATAAAAATTAGCAATGACAGGCTGGGCACGGTGGCTCCCGCCTGTAATCCTAGCACTTTGGGAGGCCAAGGCGGGCAGATCACCTTGAGGTCAGGAGTTTGAGACCAGCCTGGCCAACATGGTGAAACCCCTTCTCTACTAAAAATCCAAAAATTAGCCCAGCATGGTGGTGCACGCCCGCAGTCCCAGCTACTCGGGAGGCTGAGGCAGGAGAATCTCTTGAGCCTGTGAAGTGGAGGTTGCAGTGAGCCGAGATCGCGCCATTGCGCTCCAGCCTGGGCAACAGAGCGAGACTCCGTCTCTTAAAAAAAAAAATCAGCAATGACAGTGAAGTGGAAACAAAACAATACAAGCTGCCGTCATCTCCAGTGAGCTTCCGAGGTCTCTGCTCCATCCATGTGGATGTTTGGGAGGGGCCCTCCGTGGGCTCCAGGCGGCTGGTTTAGAGGTGGTAGAATGTTCTAGCTCTGTGAGGCTGGGATTCCCAAGTGGAGACCTGTGATGCTGCTGGGTGACAGGCAGAGGATCCTGCTGTGCAGGCTGGGGCTGCCATGGGAGGCTTGGAGCCCGAGGGTGGTGAGGATGGAATTAAGGGATCTGGCCCCGCGTGCTGTGCCGGGTGAGAGGCGGGTGTGAGCATGGCAGGAGGCTTTGGGGGCCGAATGTGCAGTGGAAGCCTGGATGGTGAGCGGATGAGCTGGTGCTGGAACCCAGACCCGCCTTCACTGCCCCCAGCGTTGGGCCAGGACCGCTCATCCTGTGGGCGGATGGTTTTGCTCTGAGCCTCAGCACCGGTTCCAGGAGCGCAGCCTGGGAGCGCGGATTGGGACTGTCTGTCTCTGGCCAAGGCTGTGTGTGTCTCAGGAAGCCTCCCCGGCGCCCAGCCCTCCACCTCTGTGTGTTCTGCACCGGCCGTCTCCCGGTTTTTCCCTCGCTGTCTGGGCCTGAAACAGCCCAGAAGAGAAATCGGATCTCTTCTCAGCCTGAGCTTCTCTTTTAGCCTGAGCTGAAAGAGATCATCTTGGGAAGGAGCTCCCCAGCCCGGCTTGGATTGGTCCCCTCTCTGGTGCCCCGGGGGAGTAGTGATGGATTCAGGACTTGGTCCTGGTCTGACCTGCCGTGGGGGCTGTGATGGGGTCCTGATGTGCCCCGTGTGCCATGGCGCTCGCCAAGGGCCAGCATGTCTGCGGCCTCACAGGGGCTTCACGAGCCACATTCGGGGCAGCGCTTGGTTTGGAGTCTAGAGCCAGAGCCTGGCGTGGGACCCGAGCTCGTGAACTCTGTCAGTGCCACTGACTTGGGGCAGTGTCTCCGTGTGCCTCCCTGTGGGGCGATGGCGGAGTAAACGGGTGATGGCCACTGAGCGCTGGCCGTGGGGACTCTTGGTCCTGGCTGCCAAGTAGAAGCTTCAGGGGTGCTCTTCACAGTCAGCTGACTCTGCTGTCCCTGATAGCAGAAGACAGCGAAGGCACCTGCCCCCTGCCATGGCAGGTCGGCGGGCACAGAGGAGGGCTCGGGAGGCTGTGTCCTCCAGCGTCTCCATGTTTACTGTGCCAGGCCAGGTGCTGAGGGGCCGGCGAGGAAGACGTGAGGACTGGAGAGAGCCTGGATTAGGGCCCTCGAGGGGCGGCGCTGCTTTAGCCGGGGGAACAGGGAGGGCCTCTCCCAGCAGGTGACATTCAGTCAGAGACCTCTGAGCGACTCACACCTGCCCACCTTTGCAGGATTTGGGACAAGAGTGCTCCAAAGAAGTGCAGGCAGCACGTGCGGAGGCCCCAAGGCGGAACGAGGCGCAGCTCACTGAGCTGGCAGGAGCAGAGAGGACTGCAGGGGCACAGAGGCCGGAGCAGCAGTGCCTGCTGCCTAGTCAGCCGTGAGGGCAAAGGCTGGAGGCACTGCTGTCAGAGGTTTATGCCTTTTTTTATTTTTATTTTATTTTATTTTTTTTTTTGTGAGACGGAGTCTTGCTCTGTCGCCTAGGCTGGAGCGTAGTGGCACAATCTCTCGGCTCACTGCAACCTCTGCCTACTGGGTTCAAGCGATTCTCCTGCCTCAGCCTCCTGAGTAGCTGGGATCACAGGCGCCCGCCACTACGCCTGGCTAATTTTTATATTTTTAGTAGAGATGGGGTTTCGCCATGTTGCCCAGTCTGGTCTCAAACTCCTGACCTCAGGTGATCTGCTCTCCTCGGCCTTGTAAGAGTTAAAGAAAGAGGAAAGAAACACAAAATGCAGCTGGCAGTTAAAGGCAAGTTTTCTTTAGTTAAAACCTGAGAGGCGCTCTTGGCCGATTGCGGTCAGGAGCGCTTTCTCTTATAGACTAAGAGTATATATTGGTTTTAGGGTGAAGGGGCTTATCACAAGCTTGGAACGTTTCTGTGTGTGGAGAAGTTTATGGCAGGGCTGGAATCTGTCTGGGAGGAGGGGAGGTTATCTTGGGGCAGACATCTTCCCGGCCGGAGGGGGGTTATCTCGGGGCTGGCATGTCTCTGGTTGGGGAGGAGTTTGCGATGTTTCTGGCTGGAGATGCTATTTGTGGTTTATGGTCATGCTGATCTTAGCTGTTAGGCTGATACCCTTTGGATTTAGCGGTCTTTTATTAAGGTGAACTTTTAGAATGAGGGGCTTGTCCGGGATGGCAATGCTTCTGCTGTCAGGCCTCCCAAAGTGCTGGGATGATGGGCGTGAGCCACTGCGCCCGGCCAGTATATGTGTTTTAAAGACCTCTCTGGTGGCTGTCAGGAGTGAAAGCAGGGGACCTGTCGGGAAACTCCAGGCGTCGCCCAGGTGATTCATGGCAATGGCTCAGGAGAAGGGGGTCTGGGCTGGGGCTGCGGCCTGGACTGGGGGTGGCTTTTGGAGGTAGACAGGATAGGCCTGGCTGGTGGGTTGAATGTGGAGTGGGGAGATCACTGCTACTCCCAGGGTGCAGCAGCTGGTTTCACGCCCCCAGCTCGGCCACTTCCTGCACAGCGATGTGGTCTTGGGCCTGAGAACGTGGGAATAACAAACTCAGTTTCTCCCAGGCTGTCAGAGCAGTCACAGATCCCTTCCAGCACACGCGAGCAAAGCGGTGCAGGGGCAGGAGCTGGGGCCCTCCGTTCAGTTCACTCCTACCTGGGGGCTGCATCGGGCAGGACAGGCTGCGGGCTCCTCCCCACGTACCTAACCCCACGGCCCATGCCAGTCACAAGCCCCAGGCTGTGTCCTGAGCTTCTGCTGGACGCGCTGGAAACCAGCCTTCTCATGAACCCTTCTTTTTTTTTCTTTTTTGAGACGGAGTCTTGTTGTGTTTCCCAGGCTGGAGTGCAGTGGTGCGATCTAGGCTCACTGCAAGCTCCGCCTCCTGGGTTCACGCCATTCTCCTGCCTCAGCCTCCGGAGTAGCTGGGACTACAGGTGCCCGCCACCACGCCCGGCTAATTTTTTGTATTTTTAGTAGAGACGGGGTTTCACCATGTTAGCCAGGATGGTCTCAATCTCCTGACCTCGTGATCCACCCGCCTCGGCTTCCCAAAGTGCTGGGATTACAGGCATGAGCCACCGTGCCCGGCCTCATGAACCCTTCTTTGAGCTTAATTTGCTAATGCACCTCTCAAAACTCAGGGGAGCTGTTACTTACGTTTACCAGCTTATTAGAAAGGATTTTACAAAGGAGGCAGATGAAGACATGTGTAGGGTGAGGGATGTGGGAAGGGGCACAGAGGGTTCCGTGCTCTCCCCGGGCTGTGACGTCTCCAGGAACCTCCACGCATTCATCTGTGGGGAAGCTTCCATCCCAGTCCTCCGGGTTTTACCTCAGCTTCCTCGCAGAGGCTTGGGTGACCTCACTGCATTGGCCTGGGTGATCAAGTCAGCCTTCAGCCACATGCCCCTCCCCTCCCGTCCAGCCTGGGTCTTTTCAGTGAGCAGCCCTATTCCCTCAGCTCCCGAGGGGCTGCCAAGCCCTTAGTCACCTCATTAGCACACTGGAGAATTCCGAGGATCTGGGGGAGTCGTAGGCCAGGAAACAGGACAAAATGTATTTCACAGTCTCACTGGGCCGGTCCCTTGCCTCCGCTTCCTTGTCTGTGATGAGAGGACGGGAGGGTGGCTGTCTGGACAGTGCTGAAGTGGTAGAGGTGAGTCGCTGCCGTGGAGGGCTTGGCAGGGTGCTCTGTGAAGGGCCCTGTGGCCTGGGGTGGAAGCCGCTTGCAGAGTGCTGGTTCTTTGCCTAAGGATGGTGGGGCAGGGGGGCCGTGTTCACACGTGCTGTTGGCTGTGTCTGCCAGTCTTCCTTTCTTTTTTCTGTTTCTGTTTCTTTTTCTTTGTTTTTTTTTGTTTGTTTGTTTGTTTTGAGACAGAGTCTTGCTCTGTCGCCCAGGCTGGAGTGCAGTGGCACGATCTTGGCTCACTGTAACCTCCGTCTCCCAGGTTCAAGCGATTCTCCTGCCTCAGCCTCCCCCAGTAGCTGGGATTACAGGCATGCACCACCACGCCCAGCTAATTTTTTTGTATTATTAGTAGAGACAGGGTTTTACCATGTTGGCCAGGCTAGTCTTGAACTCCTGACCTCAGGTGATCCGCCTGCCTCAGCCTCCCAAAGTGCTCGGATTACAGGCATGAGCCACCATGCCCAGTCTTCTTCTTCTTCTTCTTCTTTTTTTTTTGTGAGATGGAGTTTCACTTTGTTGTCCAGGCTGGAGTGCAAGGGCACGATTTTGGCTCACTGCAACCTCTGCCTTCTGGGTTCAAGCGATTCTCCTGCCTCAGCCTCCTAAGTAGCTGTGATTACAGGCATGCGCCACTGTGCCCGGCTAATTTTTGCATTTTTAGTAGAGATAGGGTTTCACCTTGTTCACCAGGCTGGTCTTGAACTCCTGACTTCAGGTGATCCACTCGCCTCGGCCTCTCCGAGTGCTGGGATTATAGGCGTGAGCCACGGTGTCTGACTCAGTCTTCCTTTTCATGTCATCCCTTGTTAATTTCCTTTAGAAACAGTTTGGGCCAGGTGCAGTGGGTGGCTTATGCCTGTCATCCAAGCGCTTTGGGGGGCTGAGGTGGGAGGATCACTTGAGGCCAGGAGTTCAAGACCAGGCTGGGCAACATAATGAGACCCAGTCTCTACAAAAAAATTAAAAGCTTAGCTGAGCATGGAGGTGGCACCTGTAATCCCAGCTACTTGGGAGGCTGAGGCAGAAGGATCGCTTGAACCCAGGAGGTTGAGGCTGCAGTGAGCCACGATTGCACCAGTGTGCTCCAGCCTGGGCAAAAGAGTGAGACCCTGTCCCCGCCCCACAAAAAGAGGGTCAGAACCTTGGTGTTAGAGCAGTTCACTTCCACCCAAAAACAGGGACTTAGAAAGGGAGACACTTGTGTGGAGCCCGAGGCAGACATGCCCTGACTTAGCAGTGCAGGTTTCTGTACTGGAATGAGGGCCTGGGGCAGGTGGCCTCTGGCAGGATGCATCTGTTACCTGAGTCTGAAGGCAGCGTGGCGAGGAGATGGGAGGGCTGTGCCTGGGATCCTGGGGCCGTGGAGAGCTCATCTAGAGGTCATGAGTATTGGGCAAAGCTCACATGCCGTGTTTTAATACTGTCATTATGGAAGTTGGCCTGGGGGTAATCCAGTGTCTCTTTTAGATCTGTGTTGTACAAACACTGAACTAGTTCTGGTCGCCTCTCCGGCCTTTGTTTTGGGGAGAATATTCGATGAGATGGCCCGTAATTCTAACACTGTGCATTTTGAAGGATATTTATAAACCCGGATGGATAAGGCCCTTCTTAGTGCTATTCTTGTGTTGGTTCCCTTTATTATTTTTTTTAAAAAACTTTATTATGGGCCGGGTATGATGGCTCACGCCTATAATCCCAGCACTTTGGGAGTCTGAGGTGGGCGGACCACCTGAGATCAGGAGTTCGAGACCAGCCTGACCAATATGGTGAAACCTCGTCTTTACTAAAAATACAAAAATTAGCTGGGCGTGATGGCGGGCGCCTGTAGTCCCAGCTACTAGGGAGGGGACAGGAGAATTGCTTGAACCCAGGAGGCGGAGGATGCAGTGAGCTGAGATTGTGCCGCTGCACTCCTGCCTGGGCGACAGAGTGAGACTCGGTCTCAAAAAATAGTAAAGCAAAAAATAAAAATAAAAACACTGTTATGGAGAATTTGACTACACAGAAAGGTAGACAACATGGAATAACGAGCCCCCCAGGCCCCTCACCCAGCCCCAAAACCATCAACCCATGGCAACCCCCCCTGCCCTACCCCCATCTGTGGTGAAATAGCCCTCATATTATTTTTGTTAACTTTTAATTTTTAAAGAATTACAGAGGCTGGGTGTGGTGGCTCACACCTGTCATCCAGGCACTTTGGGAGGCAGAGGTGGGAGGATCACTTGAGTCCAGTAGTTCGAGACCAGCCTGGGCAACACAGTGAGACCCTGTCGCTACAAAAGCAAAAATAAGAATGAATTATAGACTGCCAAGGTGTTGCAAAAATAATAAAGAGATTTCCCTAGGCTTCACCCTGCTGTCTCCAGTGGTAACATTTTACATAACTTTAGTGTCCCGTTAAAACTAGGAAATTGACACAGGACACTGTGGCTTCAGACCTTCCTCAGGCGTCCTCAGTGTTAGCACTGGCTCATTCTTTTGGTAGAGTCTTTGCGACATTCTGTTACCTGCACAGATTCCAGGAACCACCATTGCAATCAAGATACAGAACTGTTCTGTCAACACAAAGGAACGCTCTGCTTCTCCCTTCTGTCACCCCCAGGCCCTGGCGACGGCTGAGGATCTCTGCATCTCTGTAACCTTGCCCTTTTGAGAATGTTATGTAGATGGAATCACAGCGTATTTAACCTCTTGGGATTGGGTTTTTTCGCTTGCAATCTGTCGAAGTTGTTGTGTGTATCAGTAGTTACTTTCTTTTATTACTCAGTAGTTCTCCATACGGGTGTTGTTTTCTCATTCTGCTTATTTCTGTGAGACGGGTGGCAGTGGTAAGGTCCCATCTTTCATTCCCGATTTTAGCAATTTGAGTTCTCCAGAGATGGAGGACAAGATCCAAGGTTGCCAGGGCCTGGGGGCGACAGAGTGGAAGCAGAGTGAGTTCCTTTGTGTTGACGGAACAGCCCTGTATCTGATTGCAGTGGCGGTTCCAGGAATCTGTGCAGATAACAAAATGTCACGAAGACATTTACCTTCGACAGTTTTACTGGTCTTTTCAAGGGACCGACTTTTGGTTTCATTGGCTGTCTCTATTTTGTTTATTTTTGCTCGTTATCTTTGTTACGTACTGTGCTCCATCTGCCTTAGTTTCCGTGTGCTCTTCTTTTTCCAGTGTCTTAAGGGAGATGCTTAAATTAATATTTGAGATCTTCCTCTTTTTAAAAACTGTATAGGCAATTATAAATTTCCCTCTAAGTACTGCTTTAGCTGCAACCTGTACTTTTTTTTTTTCCTTGCGATAGGATCTTGCTCTGTTGCCCAGACTGGAGTGCAGTGGTGCAGTCACAAATCACTGCAGCCTTGACCTCCCGAGCTCAAGCAATCCTCCCACCTCAGCCCACCAAGTAGCTGGGACCAGAGGCATGTGCTACTATCCCTGGCTAATTTAAAAAATAATTTTGTGGAGAGGAGGTCTCACTATATTTCCCCAGGCTGGTCTCGTACTCCTGGGTTCAAGCATTCCTCTCACCTTGGCCTCCCAAAGTGCTGGGATTACAGGCATGAGCCACTGTGTCTGGCCATCCTATAAGTTTTACTTTGTTGTGAGTTCATTTTCATTCACCTCAAAATATTTTCTAATATTTTCTTCCTGTTCAACCCTGTGATTATTTAGGAGTATGTTGGTTAATTTCCATGTACTTGTGAATCCCCAAATTACTTTCTGTTGTTGATTTCTAATTTCCATTGTGGTTGGAGAACTTACTTTGGATGATCTGAATTCTTTTCAATTTAATGAGGCTTGTTTTATGGACTAACATATGGTTTATCCTGGAGAATGTTCCATATGTACTGAGAAGAGAATATGTTCTATAGATTCTTTTGGCTTATAGTGCTCAAGTCTCTCTCTTTGTTGCTCTTCTGCTAGTTGTGTTATCTTTTATTGAAAGTGAGGGTATGAGCCGGGCATGGGGGCTCATGCCTGTAATCTCAGCACTTTGGGAGGCCGAGGTGAGTGGATCACCTGAGGTCAGCAGTTTGAGACCAGCCTGGCCAACAAGGCAAAACCCTGTCTCTACTAAAAACACAAAAATTAGCCGAGTGTGGTGGCGCATGCCTGTATTCCAGCTACTCGGGAGGCTGAGGCACCAGAATCGCTTGAACCCGGGAGGCAGAGGTTGCAGTGAGCTGAGATCACCCCACTACCCTCCAGCCTGGGCGACAGAGTGAGACTCCATCTCAAGGGAAAAAAAAAAAAGAAAGTGAAGGTATTGACATCTCCAGCTATTGTTGAATTACTTCTCCTTTTATTTCTGTCATTTTTTGCTTCATGTATTTTGGGGCTCTGTTATTAGATGCATATATGTTTATAATTGCTGTATCTTGCTAATGGATTCACCTTTTTATCATTATAAAATGTCCCTCTTTATCTCTAGTAACTTTTTTGTTTGTTTTTTTTTTGAGATGGAGTCTTGCACTTTTGCCCAGTCTGGAGTGCAGTGTTGCGATCATGGCTCATTGCAGCCTCAGCCTCCTGGGCTCAAGTAATCCTCCTGCCTCAGCATCCTAAGTAGCTGGGACTACAGGTGTGTGTTGCCACGCCTGGCTAATTTTTTTGAATTTTAACAGAGGTGAGGTCTTACTATGTTGCCCAGGCTGGTGTCAAACTCCTGAACTCAAGTGATCCTCCCACCTTGGCCTCCTGAAGTGCTTGGATTACAGGCATGAGTCATTATACCACACCTGGCACATTTTTTTTTAAGTCTATTTTGTCTGATGTTAGTGTAGCCACTCCAGCTTTCTTATGGTTCCTGTTTGCATGTTACACGTTTAATTTTTATATTTTCAGCCTGTTTTTTTTTTTTTTTTTTTTTTGTTATTGTTGTTTTGTCTTTTTTGAGACAGGGTTTCGACCTCCCGGCATGCACCACCATACCTGGCTAATTTTTGTGTTTTTTCTGTAGAGACGGGTTTTGCCACATTGCCTAAGCTGATCTCGAACTCCTGGGCTCAAGCAGTTTGCCTGCCTAGGCCTCCCGAAGTGTTGGGATTACAGGTGTGAGCCACTGTGCCCAGCCTATTTTCAGCCTGTTCGTATCTTTGAATCTAAAGAGTGTCCCCTGGCTGGGCGCAGTGGCTCACGCCTGTAATCTCAGCACTTTGGGAGGCCGAGGCGGGTGGATCACCTGAGGTTGGGAGTTTGAGACCAGGCTGACCAACATGGAGAAACCTTGTCTCTACTAAAAATACACATGCGTGGTGGCGCATGCCTGTAGTCCCAGCTACTCAGGAGGCTGAGGCAGGAGAATCGCTTGAACCCGGGAGGTGGAGATTGCAGTGAGCCAAGATCATGCCATTGCACTCCAGCCTGGGCAACAAGAGTGAAACTCTGTCTCTCAAAAAAAAAAAAAAAAAAAAAAAAAAGTGTCCCCTGAAGACAGTATATAGTATAGTATATAGTTGGATCTTGTTTTTTAAATCCAGTCTGACAATTTCTGTCTTTTGATTGGATGTTTAATCCATTCATATTTAATGCCGTTATTGATATAGTTGGATTTGTACCTGCCATTTCCCTTTTTGTTTTCTATTTTGTTCCTTTATTCCTTCTTTGATGTTTTCTTTTGCATTAAGTGAATATTTTCTAGTGTAATATTTTAATTCTTTTCATGATTGTTAGCACTATATTTTTGGAAGTATTTTCTTAGTAGTTGCTGTCGGTCTTATAGGCATCTTAACTTCTCAGAATCGACTTCAGATCCCCAATATCATTTGAAGCAAGGCTGTGCTTACTCCTTTTGAACTGTGCTTAGCAATCAGGATTTCACTTAATCAGTTCAATGGCTTGGGTTTTCAAGGATGCTGATGTGTTTGTTTGCCTGAATGGTGCCTCTTCTTTTGCTCATTCCTCCTCACATTCAGTGAAATGAACACATCAAAGCCCTCTTAGGACCTGTGATCATCAAAACCATTTGGAGACCCCACTGTCTCGGGAGCAGGGCTTGGGAAGGACACCAGCTCCCCTGTCATCCCTCTCCTTGTGTTTCTGGCTTCTTTTCATCTCCCTTGCACCACTGAAACTGATGAGTTTGTAGCCCTGTTCCTGACACAAGACTCCAAATCTGTGTCAGTGGGTCTCACCCACTTGGAGGCAGGTCTTTTTTTTTTGAGATGGATTCTTACTCTGGGCAACAGAGCAAGAATCCTGGGTTCAAGCGATTCTCCTGCCTCAGCCTCCTGAGTAGCTGGGATTACAGGCACCCGCCACCACATCCAGCTAATTTTTGTGTTTTTAGTAGAGACGGAGTTTCTCCATGTTGGCCAGGCTGGTCTCGAACTCCTGACCTCAACCGATCTGCCTACCTTGGCCTCCCAAAGTGCTAGGATTACAGGCATGATCCTCTGTGCCTGGCCGAGGCTTGGCATTTTTAATTTGAATTGGTAGAGAGTGGGTGCCATCATCGTTTTGATGATCATTCAACCCCAGGAATATGCATCCCTTTCCTGAGAGGCACTCTCATCCTCTACGCAGAGCAGCCAGTGAGCTGCTGGAGGGACCTTGGGTCCCAGCACAGTATCCCAGGCTGGCTCCCTTTAAATACTCGTTGTTTTTATAAAAGGGATATGTAAGTATGGTTGGCGTGTGAACTACAAATGTCCCTGCATCCTGCGACCCTGAAATGGCCTGTCTTGGTGTTGGCGCTCCTGGTCGCCGCGGTGTCACGCGTAGATCTTTGCTTCTCAGTGGCTCTGCAGTCCTTTATTTTGGTACAGATATGTGTAATTTACTTACCCATTCTCCTACTAATGAGCACTTACTTTTCTCTCTCTCTTTCTTTCTTTTTAGACAGTGTCTCGCTCTGTCGCCCAGGCTGGCCTGCAGTGGTGTGATCTCAGCTCACCGCAGCCTCCTCCTCCCAGTTCAAGTGATTCTCCTGCCTCAGACTCCTGAGTAGCTGGGATTACAGGCATGTGCCACGACGCCTGGCTAATTTTTGTATTTTTGGTAGAGATGGGGTTTCTCCATGTTGGCCAGGCTGGTCTCAAACTCCTGACCTCAGGTGATCAGCCTACCTCAGCCTCCCAAAGCGTTGGGATTATAGGCGTGAGCTACTGCACCGAACTACTTTTTTCTCTTTTAAACAATGCTGCTGGCCACATCCTTGCTGCCAGCCCTTCTAGGTGGGGTTGCTCAGAGTGTGTGTGCCTGTTTTATTTTTATGTTTTTGAGAGGGGGACCTGCTCTGTCATCCAGGCTGGAGTGCAGTGGCATGATCACAGCTCCTTGCAGCCTCAGCCCCCTGGGCTCAAGCGATCTCTTGCCTCAGCCTCCCAAGTTGCTGGGGCCACATGTGTGCACTACCACATCTGGCTAATTTTTTTTTTTTTTTAGTAGTGACGCGGTCTCGCCATGTTGTCCAGGCTGGAGTTTATTTTGAAGCGTGTTGCTCAGCTGTCCCCTGAGGTGGTCTGAATTTGTGCCCCTGCACAGTCATTGTGGGACAGTCATTGTGTTGGGGACAGCTCTGGTCTCTGCCCCTCCTTATAACCTGTCTCCTCGTGCTGGTTCTTGTTTGAGTTGCCAGTTCATAGCCTTTGCCTGCTTGTTGATTTGGTATGTTTTTTTTCTTGACTTAAAAACAAAAAAACAAACCCAAAGCTTCTCAAATTCGGCACTCTTGCTATCTTGAGCTGGGTCCTTCTCTGGGGTGGGGCTGTCCTGGGCCCTGCAGGGTGCTGAGCAGCAGCCCTGGCCTCCACCCACTGCATGCCAGGAGCACCCCCTAGTCGTGACAACCACAGACAGCCCCAGACCTCCCAGTGTTCCCTGTGGGCACAGCTGCATGGTTGGGCAGTGTGGGTCTGGGTGAGTGGGTTCTTTGCATCCCTGGCCTCCACCCCCTCCACGCCAGCACCACCCTCAGTCGTGACAGCCATAAATGTCCCTAGACATCGGAAGGCATCCTCTGGGGGCACGATCAGCCTTGGTGGAGAACCCCTGTTTTGGAATAACCCTTTCTGTACCCGGGCTATTACCACCCTATTGTGTTACCTTTTTTCTCAGTTCCTCACTTATCTTTAGTTTTATTTTTGGTGCGTTGTTACATAGGATGTTTTCAAGTTGCCTGATGTGTCCTTCCCTTTAGGGCTTCCGAGTTTGTGTCCCACTTAGAGAGGTTTCCCCCGCCCTAGGAGTCCAGGAGCGTCGGCCCCTGGCTTCCACTGTGTCCTTCTGTGGTTCATGAGGACCTGCCATCTGGGGGCGGCGAGGTGGGCTGGGCTTTGTGTTTCCAACATGTCCACCCCAGCCGGCTGGGCCTGCGTACCCAGTGGGTGGCGCTCAGGTCTGCAGCTGCCTCCTTGGCTCCCCGGTTGTTAGCTGTGTGATCTAGGGTAGGCCACTTCCTGCCTGTGCCTCAGTTTCCTCTCCTGGGAAATGGGCTGGAATAGCTGTCCCTGCCTCCTCCGGTTGGTGGGCTGGTCAGCCATGCCAGGCACTCAGAGTCATCCCTGCCTCCTCGAGTTGGTGGGCTGGTCAGCCATGCCAGGCACTCAGAGTCATGCCTGCATGGGGGCTCCAGGACCTCGTCATCAGCCTCTTCATCCTTACTGTCTGGTCTGTTCCAAAGGCCGCAGGCCCCAGAAAGACGGTGACACTCCAGGAGGTTGCTAGACCTGGCGGGCCCCAGGGCCAGGAGTGAGGGGCGGACGTGCCACTCTGCACTGCTGTCCCTCTCCACCCAGGCCTTGGGGCTCCCAGACAACCATGAAATTACAAGGCAGGTTTGTAGATGCATAGATTATTTAGTTAATGATTATGGTTTTAAATGGTTAATTATGGAACATCAGATACCTATAAATAAGTGTGAAACATGGACTGGTCCTCTTGTGTCTGCCAGGGGTTGCCTCCTGACTGGGTGGGAGCCTGCTTGGGGGCCCAAGTCTGCTGGCATCCCCGCTCTGTGTGGCTCCATCCCCTCGCCTGGGGGCAGTGGACGGACAGGTGGCCTTTGCCCGTAGTGCTCCCCAGACCCTGTTGAGTGCCTGGCAAAGATGTAGGTGGGCTGCACCTCCCTTTGTGTGGAAGGTTCCAGAAGGAAGTGCCAGGTGACCAAGCCTGTGTCTGTCCTGGGTTTTCTTGGCTCTTCACCCAAACACTTCCCTTTTTTGTTGTTTTTGTTTTAATAAAATTTTTTTGGACATAATTTCAGACTGACCCCAAAATTGCAAGAATAATAGGAAGAATTCCCAGACACCTTTCACCCAGGACCCCCATGTGGCGACATTCCCTGCTTTGCCTTTAATCCTTTCCTCTCATTCTCTTTCCCTGCACTTCTTCCTAAACTGTCAGTGTGTGGCAGACATGACATCCCTTTACCTCTCCTTCAGTGTGTATTTCCCCCAGACAAGGAATTTTTGTATCAAGTTATCAAAATCAGAAATTCACGCTGATAAAATCAAATCTACAGACCCTATTCTGACTTTGCAGTAATGTCCTTAAGAGTCAGAAGAGAATCCAGGATCAACACAGCACTCAGTCGTCTTGCCTGTCGGTTCCTTTTAACCTGGGGCTGCTCCTGAGTCTGTCTCTGGGTTCTCTGACTCTGATGTTTTGGGGGCGTACAGGCCGTCATTCTGTTAAATGTCCCCCAGGTGGGTTTGTCTGATGGTTCCTCAGGACCAGATTCAGGCCACACACTTTTGGCAGGAAAGTCCTGGAGCCGACATTGGGTCCTTCTTAGTGCGCCCTATCAGGAGGCCCATCATGCTAATTTGTCCCATTTCTGGTGATGTTAACCTTGATCCTTTGGTTAAGGTGGGCCCGCCAGGTTTCCCCACCCTAACATTACTATTGTACCATTTGCATCTCATGGGGAGGCCAGTGTAAACACGCCGTTACTCCTCAAACGTTCACTGCTTGTTTCAGCAGACATTGATTCTTGCCGCATGGTGGTTGTCTAGTCCTGTCATTTCTTCTGCGTTTATTAGTTGATGTCTCCTATACAGGACAGCTGTCCCTTGTTCCTTTCTTATTTCTATCAGGGTGGGCTTGTGGATTCTTACTTTGTTCAATGGGTTATAATCCACTGCCATCACGATTGATCTGGTTGCTCAGATGGCTCCACATTTTTCCAGAAAGAGCCCGGTCGAGCTGGCTCCTGGGCCATTTGACATGTCCCCACCCTGCTCGGAGCACTTCCCAACTTTTTGGCACTGGGATGCTCCCAGCTCATCCTGTAGTCTCCCTCATGGTCGATCCCTGGGATTGACCAATCTCCAAGGAGCCCTGGTTCTGTTTGTGGAGAATGCCACTTAGAAACCGAGATCCAGGTGCTCCGTGTGCTCAGTGCTACTGGGGTGTCTTTGCTTCTAGGTCCTCTAATCAGACAGAGCTGGGAAGTAGATGTGTGTACATCTTACACACATGTACATTGTGTGTGTATATATGAATAGACATGTATACATACAGACACCTGACATTTGTATCCATCTCTGCATCCATCTATCCACCCACCCATCCACCCATTTACTCACCTATCCATCTATCCACCTGTCCACCCACCCACCCACCTGTCCATCTATCCATCTATCCATCCATCCATCCACCCACCCACCCATCTACCCATTTACTCACCTATCCATCTATCCACCCGTCCACCCACCCACCGACCCACCCACCTATCCATCTATCCATCCATCCATCCACCCACGCATCCACCCATTTACTCACCTATCCATCTATCCACCTGTCCACACACCGACCCACCCACCCACCTATCCATCCATCCACCCATTTACTCACCTATCCATCTATCCCCCTGTCCACCCACCCACCCACCAACCTATCCATCTATCCATCCATCCATCCACCCACCAATCCCATTTACTCACCTATCCATCTATCCACCTGTCCACCCACCCACCCACCTACCAACCTATCCATCTATCCATCCATCCAGCCACCCACCTATCCACCCATTTACTCACCTATCCATCTATCCACCTGTCCACCCACCCACCCACCCACCTATCTACCATCCATCCACCCACCCACCCATCCACCCACCTATCCATCCACCCACCCATCCATCCACCCATTCACATATCCGTCCATCCATCTATTCATTCACCGATCCATCTGTCCGTCTGTCCATCCATCCATCCACCCACCCATTCACCTATCCATCCATCCAACCGTCCATCTGTTCATTCACCTATCCATCCATCTGTCTGTCCATCCATCCATCCATCCGTACATCCATTTATTCATCCATCCATCCATCCATCCATCCCCATTAATGCCCATGAGTTCACACTGAAACCTCTAGTTCCAGCCCCACACCCAGGGTCCCTTACCATCTTTCCCCATCGTTATTTGTAACTCCCTTGGCTGACAGTGAGAATCCACCCACTGCCTACCATAAAAGCATCCTCCAGAGTAGGAGCCAATATTTCTTTTTTGTTTGTCTCAAAGACATACAGTCCCAAACTGTATTTAAAAGTTTACATGGATTAGTTCTTCCATTTTTTTCCCCCTTCTTTACTGTGGTTATATTGTTTGCTTGAAATAAGGTTTGGTTTACTTGTTTTTGTTTGTGTTTTGGACAAGGATTTTCCTCCTCAACTCTTGCTGATTTTAGTTGCCTGTTGATTGATTTCTTGATTCAACATACGTGATGTAGTGTATAGAACATTAGCATGGTTCCAGAGTCAGGACTGCACAAAAAGGCATGGGCGGAGAAGTGTCATCAACCCCCTTTCTCCTCCCCATTCCTGCCCACCCCCTGCAGGAAAGGAATCTCGTTAGTCTCTGGCTCAGCCTTTCAGGGCAGCTCAAAGAAGCAGATGTGTATTTTTTTAATGTCCCCTTCTTTTTTTTTTTTGAGACAGAGTCTTTCTCTGTTGCCCAGGCTGGAGTGCAGTGGTGTAATCACAGCTCGTTGCAGCCTTCACCTCCTGGGTTCAAGTGATCCTGCCACTTCGGCCTCCTGACTTAGCTGAGACCACAGGTGTGTGCCACCATGCCAAGCTAATTTTTTTATGTTTTTATAGAGAAATACAGGGTCTTGCTATGTTGCCCAGGCTGGTCTCAAACTCCCGGGCTCAAGTGGGCTCCCAAAGTGCTGGAATTACAGGTGTGAGCCACGGCGCCTGGCCTTATACCTTTTCTTTCGCACGTGAAAGTGGCGCTGTGCTCTGTTCATTTAGCTGTGTGTCCTGGAAACCACTTCATTGGCCAGGGAGCTCTTCCTGGCTCCCCTGCACAGCTGCGTAGTGTTCCTTGCAGGGATGCAGCGAAGTCCACCCAGTGTCTCTCCTGCATGTAGATATTTAGTTTGTTTCCAGGCTCTTACGGTGGCGAACTGTGCTGCCGTGAGTAACCTGGTGTATATGGATTTTCACATTGGTGGAAGGGTATCTTCATGGTAGATTTTCGTGAGTGGGATTGCTGGGTCAGAAGTGCAGACATATTTTGTTAGCTTTTATGCTAAACACCCATGTAAGTCCTGTTCCGCCAGCTGTGTCGTCTGGGAGGGCCTGGTTCCCCTGCCTCGCCAGCAGGGTGTGCTGTTTCATGTCTAAATACTTGCCAATCCCAGTGCTGAGAAATGGGGGCTCAGTGGAGTTCTAATGATTGTTCCTGTAGTTATGAGTGGTGATGAACATCTTGTTGTGATTAAAGCTGTTTTTGTATCTTTTCTGTGAGCTGTATCTTCATACTTTTCACTTGCTTTTTTCTATTGGATATTTGACTCTTTCCTCCTAACTTGAAACTCCAATATGTGAACCTCTGTGGTATGTATTGCAAATATTTCCTTTGTGTTTTTTTTTTCTTTTTTTTTCTTTTTGAGACTGAATCTTGTTCTGTTGCCCAGGCTGGAGTGCAGTGGCACAATCTCAGCTCATTGCAACCTCCGCCTCCCAGGTTCAAGCAATTCTCCTGCCTCAGCCTCCTGAGTAGCTGGGATTACAGGCGTGTGCCACCATGTCCAGCTAATTTTTATATTTTTAGTAGAGATAGGGTTTCGCCATGTTGGTCAGGCTGGTCTCAAAATCCTGACCTCAGGTGATTCACCGGCCTTGGCCTCCCAAAATGCCGGGATTATAGGCTTGAGTCACCTCACCCAGTGCAAATATTTTCCCTCGGTCTCTGGATTGCCTTTTGGCTTTGTTATTGGTGTTTGGTTTTCTTTTGCCCTGCAGAGTGTTTTTTTTTCTTTCTCCTTTCCTTTCCTTTCTCTCTCCTTTCTCTCTCCTTTCTCTCTACTTTCTCTCCCCTTTCTCTCTCCTTTCCTTTCCTTTCCTTTCCTTCTTTCTTTCCTTTCTTCTTTCTTTCTTTTCACTTTCTTTTTCTTTATTCTCTTTCTTTCAAGACGAGGTCTTACTATGTTGCCCACGCTGGTCTCAAACTCCTGGGCTCAAGCAGTCTTCCTGCCTTGGCCTCCCAAGCAGCTGAAATTACAGGTGTGAGCCTGTAATTAGCCACACCTGGCTAATTAAAAAAAATAGTTAGCTGGGCACGGTGGCTTACACCTGTAGTCCCCGGACTGTGGGAGGATCACTTGAGCCCAGGAGTTTGAGACCAGCCTGGGCAACATGGTGAGACCCCCATCTCTACAAAAAAGAAAAAAAAGTTAGCCAGGCATAGTGGTGTATGCCTGTGGTCCCACCTACTCAGGAGGCTGAGGTGGGAGGATTGCTTGAGCCCAGGAGTTCAAGGCTGCCATGAGCTATGATCACACCACTGTACTCCAGCCTGAGTGACAGAGCGAGACCCTGTCTCAACAAAAGTCACATTTCTGAGTCTTTACTTTCTTTGCCTCTTGATTAGAGCTGTGGTTGTAAAGCCCTTTCCGTCTCTGGGGCTGGAGAGGAGTTCACCTCGTTTTTTTCTGGCTCTCGTATGATTCCTCCTTTACACTCACGTTCCGATTCCACCGCCGTTCATTCTCGCAGAGGTGCGAGGTGGGGACCTCACTTTATTGTTTTCTGAATGGCTACCCTGTTGTCCCAGCTCCATTGATTAAAAAAATCCCTGCTTGGGCCGGGCATGGTGGCTCACGCCTGTGATCATAGCACTTTGGGCCCAGGCGGGCGGATCACCTGAGGTCAGGAGTTCGAGACCAGCCTGACTAACATGGAGAAACCCCATCTCTAATAAAAATTAGCTGGGTGTGGTGGCGCATGCCTGTAATCCCAGCTTCTCGGGAGGCTGAGGAAGGAGGATTGCTTGAACCCAGGAGGCGGAGGTTGTGGTGAGCCAAGATCGTGCCATTGCACTCCAGCCTGGGCAACAAGAGCAAGACTCTGTCTCAAAATAAACAAACAAACAAACAAACAAATAAATAAATCCCTGCTTGGCCAGGTGCAGTGGCTCACACCTGTAATCCTAGCACTTTGGGAGGGTGAGGTGGGTGGATCCCTAGAGGTCAGGAATTTGAGACCAGCCTGGCCAATATGGTGAAACCCCGTCTCTACTAAAAATACAAAAATTAGCTGGGCATGGTGGTGGGCGCCTGTAATCCCAGCTACTTGGGAGGCTGAGTTAGGAGAATCGCTTGAACCCGGGAGGTGGAGGTTGTAGTGAGCTGAGATTGTGCCACTGCCCTCCAGCCTGGGTGACGAGAGTGAGACCCCGTCTAAAAAAAAGGTCCCTGCTTACCCCACTGCCTTGGGGAACCCCCTCTGTCCCCCACACAGTCTCCGTATATGCCTGAGTCTGTGTTTGGTCTTCCTCGTCTCTCCACAGCAGGTCTGCCCCGTGGGTTGTTGGCCGCGGTCGGATGCTCAGCCGCTTGAGAATGCTGTCTCCTGCCTGGGTGCGTCTGGCTCCCCTCTGCGCGTCCTGTTTCGTGTTATTTTTTAGAGTTTGTGCATTTCTCTGTGTACTTTGGTACACAAATGCTTCTTTGAAGTTAATACGTGGCAGTAAAGCTGGCACTGGGGACGGCTAGGGCGGTGGATGGCGTGTGTCCTGGAGGGCGGGTGTGCTGGCAGAGACTTAAGGATGAGGTTAAGGATTCTCCTAAGTCCTTTTCTTCTGGGGGAAGGAGACTCGTGGGAACCCCTCCAGTGCAATGGCCTCGCCATTTCCACACGCCGGCCCCTGGCACTTTCCACCATTCGTGTGCTCGGCTCCCAGCTCTTGCCCTGCCACAGGCCCTCGCTCCCTCCTCACCCGGCCTGGAGTGCATGGCCCACAGTGGGCCTGTTCTCACCGCGCATCCCGCCAGCTCCTTGGCCCTTCTCAGCCCTTGCTGCCCCCCGGGCTCATACACCTCTACCCACGATCCAGAGACGGATCGTCAGGCCCACCCCAGCCCGGCAGCTTCCTAGAGCAATGCCCTCAGCCAGGCATGTTGTCTGGGGACGCTCGGCAGTGTCTAGACACAGCCAGTCCCTGTGACCCGGTGTGCATGTGTGCTGCCGTGCACGTTTCAGCTCCCCAGTTTCATGTAGTTGAGAACGCTTGACTGTGAGATGCACCACGGCTCTGTGCTCCCTGGGAGTCCCCGTACCCCCGTGCGGTGAGCGTGAGAAGTCACCCACAGAGGGGCAGGAAGGCGGTTATATTTTAATGGTCACAGGTGGGCAGTACCCCTGGGTGTTGGGCAGAGGCCACCCCTGCTCCCCTCCGGAATACACTCCCTACTGTCCAGGCAGCCCTCAGATTACAGCCCCCAGCCTGACCCCAGAGACATGCAAATATGGGACAGACGTAAGGCTTTGGTGCCGGAACCAGGAGCATCCCGGGCAAAGTGAGACGAGCTGGTCACCCCCTGCACAGTCTCCCACTTCCCCAGGCTTCATTCTCCCACCCCTGGAAGTGGTAACCCTTCTAGAGGTACCTGTGTAGCGTCTTCCTTTTCTGCGCGCTCTGTGTGTGCCGGCCTGTCCTGCGGCCGTCACCTGGCAGATAGCTGCTGTCCCAGGGATCCAGCACAAAGCTTGGAGATGCGTCTGTGCAGCCCACTCTGTGGCTGTGTGTGGAGTTGATGGTGGACTTCTGTCACCCCATGACATCTGAGGCTACAGGAGTGGCCTGTGGAGATGTTGGTGGCCAGGTGGCACAAGTATGGAGAACACAGATGCCCGGGGCAGCTGGCAAGAAGGGGCAGGTGCTTTTGAAAGATGTTACCAAACCGTCCTTCCCAGTGGTGCTGCCAGGCCACTGGGGCATAGATCAGTGTGGGCACCTGTTCCTCCATGGCCTCTGTGACCTGTCGTGTCATTGGACTTGCTGGTCAGCCTCCTGAGTGACAGGATGGTGACAGCTGCCACTTAGGGGACCTCATTGAGCTTCCTGAAGACCCCACGATGAGGGTGTTAACATGGGGAGCCCCCTTTACAGATGAGGAAACTGAGGCCCCAGAGGTGGGGGCCTCACCCTCCTCCGGGCCTCATGGTGGGTGGTGGGGGTTCACCTTCCTTTATTTGCATGTGGATATCAAGCAGTTGTCCCAGCACTGTTTGTTGAAACACCTTTTCTTTCTGCATTCAGTGGTCTTGGGACCAGGCCTTGGGGGACTGTGCTCTGTACCATGTCCTCACCCAGGACGTCCCTCTAAGATCGCTCTTAGAGGCTACAGGGCCACGGGGGAGAAGGTCCCCACCATTCTCCAGCGGCTGCCTCGCCACACAGCTGGGAGGGATGTGGGGTAGAGAGCCCCCTGCTTGGCACTGGCCCTGGGGGTCTAAGTGATATGAGGGGCAGGGGTCGCCCCTGCAGTCACCGCGTCCTCCTCTGGCGGAGGTGAGTGGTGATGCTGGGTCACAAGAGGTGGCTTCTCATCCCAGTGGTCTCGTGCTGCACTTCAGGGCCTCCATCACCTGATCTGGGGGCTGTGGGGGTCCTGGGAGAGGGCTCATGGGTAGGGGACAGTTTTTGATGTTCTCTTAGTGAAGGACAGAGAAGAAGGATGGGGGGCTGGTGGCGGCGGCAGGGAGCCAGGATGGTGCTGGTCCCGCCTCCCTTCCTTCCATCCCTGCTGCAGGCCTGCCCTCTTCATGCCTGGCTCCCCGCAGCCTCTCCCTGTCCCCGTCTGTCCCGCCACTACTGGAACCCCACCCTGCCTCTGGGTAGTGTGCACCCCATCCTCAGAGCGGAACCCCCATCCCCTGGGCTTGTGGGGGCTTCACTTCCTGCTGTTTCCCCGCAGCCCACGGCCATTCTCCTGCTCCTCCCACCCCTCCTCACTGTCCTTCCTGGCACTCCAGGCCCCTCCGCCGCATCTTTCTGACTCGTGTTGCCACATCATCTGCCCTGGCTGGGGTTTTATCTCCCTGGCAACTGGAAATGTGTTGGTTAAGATATGGTGAGTTAGGCCGGGTGCAGTGGCTCATGGCTGTAATCCCAGCACTCTGGGAGGCCGAGGCAGGTGGATCCCCTGAGGTCAGGAGTTCAAGACCAGCCTGGCAAACATGGTGAAACACCATTTCTACTAAAATTACAAAAATTAGCTGGGCATGGTGGCGCATGCCTGTCATCCCAGCTACTTTGGAGGCTGAGGCGGGAGAATTGCTTGAACCTGGGAAGCGGAGGCTGCAGTGACCTGAGATCATGCCGTTGCACTCCAGCCTGGGCAACAGAGCGAAACTCCATCTCAAAAAAAAAAAAAAAGATATGGTGAGTTAAGAGGGTAACCAGCCCTGGAGCTGACAGCCTGGGTTAGCACCTCTGGGACTTGGGACGGCCTCCATGTTCCGCTCTGTGAAGTGGGAGTGACAACAGTGCCTTTCCCATGGGGCTGCTGGGAAGTGACTCAACGAGGAGCACCAGCAAGGGGACACCAGAGCGGGCCCCAGCCACCTCCTGGCAGAAGCATGGGGCTCACGAGGCGGGGCGGGGGTGGTGAGGACCAGGCGCAGACCTGGGCAGGGACCTGGGCGGAACGGGGGAGGCGGAATCTTCTAGAAGGGCCTTGGGGGAGGGCCCTGTCCCCACCATCCCTCGTGAGCACCCCCTGCCAACCTCCATCTCCCATTTGAGAGTTGGGGAACGTAGCAAAGTTATCTCAGGACTGGAATATGAATGGCAGCTCTTGGCCAGGCTCTGCCATATTGGAGAGGTTTCTAGAAGGTCCTGGAAGCCCACTGGCTCCTCTGTCATTTTCGGCATGGTTTTGGCCTCTCCTCTTCTCCCTTGCTTCATTGCTGTGATGTCAAGCATCTCTTCCTGTGACTGTTGACTCTTTTTGTATCTTCTTTGGAGAAATGTCTGCTCCATCCTTTGCCCGTGTTTTCTGTTAGGTTGTTTGTCTTTTGTTGAGTTGCAAGAGTTGTTGACATATTCTGCATACAAGTTCCTTATCAGATAATGTTTTGCAAATATATGTTCTCCTGTTTTGTACATTGTCTTTTCACTTTCTCTCTCTCTTTTTTTTTTTTTTTTTTTTTGAGACAGAGTATTGTTCCATCTCCTAGGCTGGAGTGCAGTGGCACAAACATAGCTCACTGCAGCCTCCAACTCCCAGGCTCAAGCGATCCTCCCACCTCAGCCTCCCGAGTAGCTGGGACTGCAGGTGTGCACCACAATGCCTGGCTAATTTTTTTCTTCTTTATTTTTTGTGGAGATGGCATCTTGCTGTGTTGCCTAGTCTGGTCTTGAACTCCTGTGTTCAAGTGATCCTCCCACCTCTGCCTGCCAAAGTGCTGGGATTATAGACATGAGCTGCCATGACCAGCCAAGTCTTTTCACTTTCTTGAGGTCTTTGCAAACAACTTTTCTTTTTCCACATGCACTTTTGGTGTTTTAGCCAGAAATCTTGCCTGATCCAAAGCCACGAAGGTTTAATCCTATGGTTTTCCTAAGAGTTGGGTAGTTCTGAGCTGGGTATACTAGCTCACATCTATATGCCCAATGCTTTGGAAGGGTGGGTTGGGAGGATCGTTTGAGGCCAGGAGTTTGAGACCAGTGTGGGCAACATAGGAAGATACTGTTGGTACAAAAAGTTTTTAAAAAGAGTTTTGTAGTTTGGGCACTTACATTTAGATCTATGACCTATTTGGAATTAGTATAAATATATGGTGTGAGGTAAGGGTCCACCTTCATTTTTTGTGTGTGAATATCCAGCTGTCCCAGCACTATTTGTTGAAAAAACTGTTCTTTTTGCATTGAGTGGTCTTGGCACTGTTATTGAAAATCACCTGACTTTAAGCGTGTGGGTTTATTTCTGGACTCTCAGCTTTCTCCCGTTTATCTAATGTCTGTACTTATGCCAGTACCATGCTGTCTTGATTACTGTAGGTTCATAACCGTGAATTATTTTTTGTCTAGTCTTGAGTGTAGATGTTAAGGAAAAATAATATGGTTCTTACATTAACATATAGAGACCCAGATTAGCTGATGAGACTACAGCCTTCTTAGTTGAGATCCAGAAAACCCTGGCTGTTCCCTGCCTCCTTGTTTCTTCTTTTTCTTTTTCTTTTTTTTTTTTTTTTTGAGACAGAGTCTTACTCTGTCACCCAGACTGGAGTGCAGTGCCACAATCTCAATTCACGGTAACCTCTGCCTTCTGGGTTCAAGCGATTCTCCTGCTTCAGTCCCCTGATTAGCTGGGACTATAGGCATGTACCACCACACTTGGCTAATTTTTTTTTTTTTTTTAATATTTTTAGTAGAGACAGGTTTTCACCATACTGGCCAGGCTGGTATCGAACTCCTGACCTCGTGATCTGCCCGCCTTGGCCTCCCAAAGTGCTAGGATTATAGGCATGAGTGACCATGCCTGGCCCCTGCCTTTTTTTTTTTTTTTTTTTTTTTTTTAAAGACAGAGTTTCGCTGTGTTGCCCAGGCTGGAGTGCAGTGGCATGATCTCGGCTCAGGCAGCCTCTGCCTCCCAGGTTCAAGTAATTCTCCTGCCTCAGCTTCCTGAGTAGCTGGGACTACAGGTGGATGCCACCACGCTCAGCTAATTTTTGTATTTTTAGTAGAGATGGGGTTTTGCCATGTTGGTGAGGCTGGTCTCAAACTCCTGACCTCGAAAGATCTGCTCACCTTGGCCTCCCAAAGTGCTGGGATTCCAGGTGTGAGCCACCGCTCCCGGCCTATTCCCTGCTTCCTTTATTGAGCCATGCCACCTTCCTCAGTTGGATTTTGGTATCAATAAGGATATGAAGGTTTTGGTGACATATTTCTAAATAAGAGGCTGTTTCCCTAGGATGCAGAGGTTGGTGACAAATGTCAGCTTTTCAGTTCTTTCACTCAAGAAGGATCTGCAACTTGAATTCAGCAGGTTTGGTCTTCAGTGGGGCCTGGAAGTGGAAGGGATGTGGTGGTGTCCACTTGGTTTCTGATCACCTTGGCTCTTTCACGGCCTGACTCTCCTCTTCCAGTGAAAACCTGCTATGCCTTGAGCTTCAGAGGACAGAGGTCCAGGTGGTTGTTTGGTTTGGTCTTTTTAACTTTTTATTTTGAAATAATTTTAGACTCACTGAACTGTTGCAAAGATAGCACAGAGCGTTCCTGTGTACCTTTCACTCAGCCCCTAATGTGAGCATCTTATGTAACCACAGAATGCTCAGAAATTAGCCAATTCCATACTACCATGCAATTTACTCAACTATAGATTCTTTTTTTTTTTGAGTCAGAGCCTTGCTCTGTCTCCCAGGCTGGAGTGCAGGGGCGCCATCTTGGCTCACTGCAGCCACTGCCTCCCAGGTTCAAGCGATTCTCCTGCCTCAGCCTCCTGAGTAGCTGGGATTACAGGTGCCTTCCACTACGCCTGGCTAACTTTTGTATTTTTAGTAGACACAGGGTTTCACCATGTTGGCCAGGCTGGTCTCAAGCTCCTGACCTCAGGTGCTCTGCCTGCCTTGGCCTCCCAAAGTGCTGGGATTACAGGTGTGAGCCACTGCACCTGGCCTCAACTATAGATTCTATTAGAATATCACTAGTTGTCCCACCAATGTCCCTTTCCTGGTCTAGGACCTCGTCCAGGACCCCACTCACCATTTAGTCTCATAGGCTCCTCCAGGTGTGCCAAGGCCTCCATCTTGCCTTGACTTTCACGACCTTGGCACTTCCAAAGAGCACCAGGCAGATGTTTTGTAGAAGGAACTTCCCTTGGCTTTCAGACGTTTTCTCATGGTTAGCCTGGGCTCTGGACTTTTTAGAAGCATACCATAGGGCTCATGCTGCTCCTTCCCTGTGCAGTGTATCAGGAGGTGCGTGTGGCTGATGTGGCTGATGCGGCTCAGCGTGGTGGTGTTGACCGTGGCCGCCTGGCTGAGGCGTCGGTCAAGTTTCTCCACTGCAAAGTTACTCCTTTTCCCTTTGGGACTTTGAGCCTGTGAACATGTCCTGTTCCTTCAACTTTTGCTCACCAATTTTTACATTTCCGCGTGGCTCTTTCCTGCAGGAAATATTCCCGTGGTGTTGGACTGGTGATTTTATGTTATGCTTATTCCTTTGACACTTATGAAGGAGAATTCTTCTGTGGAGGAAAGCTGTCCCTCTTCCCCATTTATCAGTTGCATTTTATTTATTTATATATTTTTGAGACAGAGTCTCACTCTTTTGCCCAGGCTGGAATGCAGTGGCGCGATCTTCGCTCACTGCAACCTCCGCCTCCCAGGTTCAAGCAATTCTCCTGCCTCAGCCTCCCGAGTAGCTGGGATTACAGGTGCCCACCATCACACCTGGCTAATTTTTGTATTTTTAGTAGAGATGGGGTTTCACCATGTTGCACAGGCTGGTCTCGAACTCCTGACCGCAAGTGACCCACCTGCCTCGGCCTCCCAAAGTGCTGGGATTACAGGCGTGAGCCACTGCACCTGGCGCTCAATTGCATTTCACATGTTCTCTCAGGAAAGCCATCTGTGTGTTTGTTTTATCCTGTGGGTTGTAACATGATGCTGTCATTCATCCTGGTGCTGAGGTAGGTGGTCCTCGTTTTGGCCATCAGGAGCCCCTCGCATGTCCTTTCTGCCCGCTCCCATCCTGTCAAGCCTTCCCTTCCTCTCAGGTCCTGCAGGGCGATCTGGGCTCAGCTTGTATATTCTGCCCCAGCCCTGGAATTGACCACGTGTCCTGCAGGGCTCCCTGGTTCCTCACAGTGGAGAATGATGTTTACAAACTGTGGCCTGGGTGCTGGCCGTGCTCGATGCTGTTGGGGCATCATTGCTTCTAGGTTTTCTCTGCTGACAGGGCTTGGAAGTAGGAACGCTAACCCATGTGTATATGCACACCTGTATCCATCTCACTGTCTCTTTTCCAGAGCTCCTGAGTTCATACTCATAGGGTGCCAGAGCGTTCATGTCGTGGGCCCATCTGAGGCTTTGGGTGTCCACCCCCAACCTGTAAGGGGTACGCAGAGCCCCTGGAAAAAGGAGGACCTTCCTGTGGGGCTGAAGACTTGGGTGGGAGGCAGGAGATGGCATGTCCCTTTTGAAGGCCACCTGGGGCTTGTGGCCGTGGGAGAGGCAGGCAGGGCTGGGCCCTGGGCCATCCCGGCTCAGGCAACCTCGCCAGGCGTGCAGGTGAGAGGATCCCTTCTTTCTGGTTCAGAGACTCCTGTTTTTGGACCCGTGCTCAGACCCGGGAAAGAGGTGGGCAGTGTGGTCTGGTGCAGGCCCAACTTTCGGAACCCACCCGAGGGTCAGCCCTGGGGGCTCCGGTGACTGGCAGCCCCATGGCCAAGAGTACCTCCTTTTGGGGGGTTCTTGGGGGCCAAGTTCTGTGGTCCTCAGGCCTCTGTGCTGTGGTGCCACTGTCTCCTCCCTGATTCCCGCCAGTGGTCTCTTCTTCCGCCCCACCCGCGGGTCTTGGCGGAGGGGCTCACAGAGCCAGCACTGTATCTGAGGCTGCCCTCAGGGTCAGCACGTGCGGGGCAGTGGCTGTTACGTAATCGGTAGCTCGTGCTGTTTGGGGGCGTTGTCGTCCGATGCCTTGGGCTGTCACTGCAGGCTTCTGTCATGCTGCGGTGGGCTCCCCTTGCCAGTTCTATTCCTAGTGCCCAGATCTGCCTAGAAGCCGCAGCAGGGTTGACAGGCTGGGCCCGTGGCAGGGTGCAGTCAAACCTAAGCCACCTGGGTCTTCCCCTCCTGGCAGTTAATAGAACTTAGCTTTTGGAGCAGTTTTAGATTTACAGAGAATTTGGGCAAGTGGTAGTGAGAGTTCCCGTCTCTGCCTGCCACCCCCCACCCGTTTTCCTTGTGGGAACATCCTGCCTGTTGTGGCGCATTTGTCTCTTGATTAACACGTTGTTAATGACACTTCCCGCTTCATTCGGATTGCCTCTGCTTTCCCCTAATGGACTGTTTTCTGTCCCAGGGCCCCCCACACCGGGATTCCTCGTGGCCCGTAGCCGTCCCAGGATCCTTCGTGGCCCGTGGCAGTCCTGGGATCCCTCGTGGCCCATGGCCCTCTCCTCAGGCTCCTCTGGGCTGGGACCACTCCCGACACGTTCCCTGTGTTTTGTGCCTGGACAGTGTTGAGGGGGCTGGCCAGGCAGATGGTAGGGCGCCCCTCGATTGGGGTGTGTCTGGCATTTTGCTCAGGCTGGCACGCGGTGGAGGCTGTTGGGAGGACTTCAGAGGTAAGGGCTCTTCTCATCACATCCCGGTGAGCGTCAGGACGTGGGCCATCAGCAGGATGGGGTTGGAGCCGTGTGGCTGTTGCTGCTGCCCTGACGGCGTAGCTGCAGGGGTTCATCATCCTCTCCCCGGGATGCTGCCCCCGACTTTCCATTTGTGCACTGATGGAAGGAAGTCACCGCATAGCCCATGCGTAAGGAATAGGGAGCTGCCTGGGCCCCAACCCCTCGTCTTCCCTCCTGGAGGGGCAGTGGAGGCAGGCTAGCCCGGCCTCTCATCTATTGCGGATGGGGACCAGGGTGGACAGAGGCCTAGGCTCGGGCTGTGCCTTGAGAACTGGGGCCCGGCCTCAGCCCCAGAGCCTCCAGCCTCCCAGCTTGGAGTGGGCGCTTTTGGGGCCCCAGAGAGGGAGGGCAGAAGGACCCGTGGTCTTGGTAGCACCGGGCTGAGGTCTGTCCAGCTGAGAGCCTCAGGGTCTGGTGGCTTCCATGCCTTCTTGACCAAGTGCTGAGAGTGGGGGTGGCCCGTCGTGCAGCGGGGGAGAGAGCTGTACAAAGAGACAGTTACTTGTGGCAGGGGAGACCCAGGATCCCGTGGGGACCTGGTGGCAGCCAGGAGCAGCAGGTCACAGGGGAGAGGCCTGGGTGGCCCCTGGGAGTGGACAGGCCCTTGTCTCCGCTGAAGTCAGGGAGGTACCCTTTGCTGCTATGACAAATGGCCGCAGACACAGTGGCTGAAAACAGCACCCGTTCATTCTCTCCCATGCCTGGAGGAGAGAAGTCTGACATGGGCCTCCCTGGGCTAAAATCATGATGTGGGCAGGGCTGTTCCTTCTGGAGGCTCCCGGAGACAGTCCATTCCTTTCCTCTCCCAGCGTCTAGAGGTGTCCGCATCCCTCGGCTTGGGGCCCTTCCTCCCCCTTCACAGCCACAGCGCAGCGTTTTCCAGGCCTTGACTCTCACCCTCTGGCCTCCTCCCATGAGGAGGCTGTGAGGACATTCCGCCTCCCGGATCATCCCCTATCTCAAGATGCCTAACTCAGTCCCATCCGCAAAGCCCCTGTTGCCATGGAAGGTGAAATAGTCCCAGGGTCTGGGGGTTAGGATGGGGACATCTTTGGGAACCATTGTTCTGCTGCCCACAGCTGCGTGGAGGGATTCCGGTCCTCGGGTTCAGTTGGTGACAGTGTCGGGTAGGCCTGGGCAGGTGGGAGAGGTCGTGAAGCCCTTTGCAGGGCACTTGGCCGCTCATCTGGCACAGGGGAAGAGGCGCAGCCCGTGGCCCGGCAGTCCAGGACCTGCTGTTCCCTTCCTACCCGGGGCGGGGCCTGTGGGAAGATATGGAAGTCGGGTGAATGAGCCGTGCCCAGTGATTTTAAAAAGCAGATTAAAATAACATAGAAAATGTCAGAGCTCATTGCGTGCTCTAGGGCATTTGTGAAACTTGCATTATTTATTTTTTTGAGACAGGGTCTCGCTCTGTCGCCCAGGCTGCAGCCTTGAACTCCTGGGCTCATGCGATCCTCCTGAGGAGCTGGGACCACAGGCACATGCTACCACACCCGGCTAAGTGTTTTGTTTTGTTTTGTTTTTGAGACGGAGTCTGGCTCTGTTGCCCAGGCTGGGGTGCAGTGGCACGATCTCGGCTCGCTGCAAGCTCCACCTCCTGGGTTCACGCCATTCTCCTGCCTCAGCCTCCCGAGTAGCTGGGACTGCAGGCGCCCGCCACCACGCCTGGCTAATTTTTTGTATTTTTAGTAGAGACGGGGTTTCACTGTGTTAGCCAGGATGGTCCGATCTCCTGACCTTGTGATCCACCCGCCTCGGCCTCCCAAAGTGCTGGGATTACAGGCGTGAGCCACCGCGCCTGGCCTAAGTTTTAAATTTTTTGTAGAGACAGAGTCTCACTATGTTGGCCAGGCTGTTGAGACTCCTGGCCTCAAGTGATCCTCCCTCATCATCCTCCCAAAGTGCTGGCATTACAGGTGTGAGCCACTGTACTACTTGGTGTTATTTAAAAGTCCTGGTGAATTGTAAAAAGTGTACAACTTCGGGAGGCCGAGGTGGGTGGATTACAAGGTTAGGAGTTCGAGACCAGCTTGGCCAGCATGGTGAAACCCCGTCTCTACTAAAAATACAAAAAATTAGCCGGGCATGGTGGCGGGCGCCTGTAGTCCCAGCTATTCGGGAGGCTGAGGCAGGAGAATTGCTTGAACCCGGCAGGCGGAGGTTGCAGTGAGCCGAGATCGTGCCACTGCACTCCAGCCTGGGTGACAGAGCGAGAGTCCGTCTCAAAAAAAAAAAAAAAAGTACAACAAAACCAGGGCCCCAGGGGGCGAGCTCCTCTGCCCTGGAGGTTGGGCCTGCCGAGGGGACCTTAGAGTGCTTCTGAAGTGAGAGTTGGCATTAGCTGAGCAGAAGGAAGCAGAGGGCAGCCTGAGCTGAGAGCCAGCACCGGTGGAGCTCTGAGACGAGGGCTCGCAGGCCTGGGCACCCACCGAGCCCCAGGTGTGCCAAGTCCAGTGGGAGCTGCAGGTCAGGTTGTGAAAGTCCTTTTTTTTCCCTAGACGTAGTCTTGCTCTGTCACCCAGGTTGGAGTGCGTGCAATGGCATGATCTCGGCTCACTGTAACCTCTACCTCCCAGGTTCAAGTGATTCTCAAGCCTCAGCCTCCTGAGTAGCTGGGATTACAGGTGCACATCACCACGCCCGGCTAATTTTTGTGTTTGTAGTAGAGACGGGGTTTCACCATGTTGACCAGGCTGGTCTTGAACCCCTGACCTCAGCTGATCTGCCTGCCTCGGCCTCCCAAAGTGCTGGGATTCCAGATGTCAGCCACCTCGCCCCGCCATGAAAGTCTTGATATTGGCCGGCGTGGTGGCTTATGCCTGTAATCCCAGTACTTTGGGAACCCAAGGCAGGAGGATCACTTGAGGCCAGGAGCTCGAGACCAGCCTGGACGCTATAGTGAGACCCTGTCTCTTAAAAAAAATAAAAATAAAAAAGTCTTGGTGTCACATCCAAAGTTTGGAGTTCTGTTCCGCATCCATCCTACAAGTATCTGAGCGTCTTTGTGTCCAGGACTAAGTTCAACGCCTGGGCTGTGCCTTGGCCCCTGTGCGGTCGCAGCCCCTGCCCCCCTCTCTCCCCGTGCTCTGCCTCTTGGTGTTGGGAGGTGGGGGAAAAACTGGGTGCATTTTCTGCACTTTTCCCCTTGGAGGAAGCAAAACTTCTTGAAAATCTCTCAGTAGGTGTCTGCGTCTTAAGGCCTCCAGAAGCTTCTTTGGTTTCATTTGACTGTTCACGGATACTCCCGCTGCCTTGGCCCGTAGATTTTAGGAGCTAAGCTTAAAATGGGCCCTCATTGGAAAACTTGACTGGGTAAAGTGCTTATAGTTACGGATTTTTGTCTTGTTAAAAATTGACAAGAATGTGGAAAATCTGAATAAAGGCAAGCGTCCTCGGGCTGCGTACAGCTGGTGGGAGTCGAATTTAGAATTAAAACTTGAGCGTGCCATCAGTTTAGTTAATCATGCTTTTATTTGCATGTTTTAGGAACCATCACTGTTGCTGGAGGCACCTGACAAATCCTAGCGAATTTTTGGAGCATCTCCACCCAGGAACCTCGCCATCCAGAAGTAAGTAACACGGGCCTGGCCCCCAGGTGGCCCCACAGGACCAGGGACCGGAAGGCTGTGGCCTCTTCCCTGGGTGGCCCGCCAGGGAGAAGGTGGTGGCCTGACCGGCTCTGAATTCCCGGGACGTCCAGGCGCAAGCTGTGCTTAGACGGGAGCCTGCGGGCCATGGTAGGGAGGTTCTTCTGCAAGTTTCTTCATGAAGCCTGTCTGCTTTGGGCTTGCATCTCGCCCTTCGGCATCGAACCACCCGACTCTCACTTCTAGAAACTGGAAAAGCTGTGGCTCCTCCTGCATTTCGGGTGACACTGGGGTTTCCCAGGACCCACTACCCTGTCTGCATCGGCCCTGGGGACACCTGAGCTCAAGGGGCGTTCCCCCACACACTGTCAGAAGTGGGGAGCAGTTAGAGCAGGGCTCTCTAAAAATGGGAGACTCATTTTTAAATGCCTTTGAGGTAGTTCCATGGCCCAGCCGCCCCGGGTTTAGTTCCTTTTCTTGTGCCTTTCTTATAAGCCGGTGGCACAAAGAGGTGCCTCTGGTGGCAGCCCAGGGGGACCACTCAGGAGAAGAGAGAGAATGACCTCATCCCTTCTGGCCACACCCACAGGGCCCGGGTGACCCAGTGGAGGGTGTCAAGTGTGGGATGAGCAGTGCAGTGTCCTCCCGTCAAGGCAGAGGTGGCAGTGGCAGCGGCGGCCGGCAGAGCACCGGGGAAAGGCTGCCTTGTGCGGCGTCGCCCTTGGATTGTGTGCCGCTTCCCTGTGCAGAGGGAGGAAGGGGCCCATCCAGGGCCCCCTGTAGCTAATGAGGGCGAGTGTGGACTTGAGCTGGGGCCCTTGAGTCATTTGTGGGTGCCTTTTCTGTTCTACTACGATTAGGACCTTGAGGAGGGTGGTGGAGCCCAGCCTCTTTTGGGAAGTCATAAAGTGTAAGGGAAGAGGCTCTGGTCACGTGGTTGGCAAACTATGGCCCCTGGACCCAATCTGACCCCCTGTTTTTATAAATAAAGTTTTATTGGCACATGGCTGTGTCCATTTGCCTGAGCATTGTCCCTGGTTGCCTTCTCCTCACAGTGGGAGAAGTGACTAGCTGGAACAGAGGGCGTGGCCTGCGCATCTGGAGATATTTCCTGTTTGGGCCTGTGCAGAAAACCATGCGCCTCCTCTTGTCCAGGTTAACTTACTGCTGGCTGGAGCAGGATGGACGAGTCTCTTGGTGACTTGGTTTGGAAATTGGCAGGTCTGTCTGTGCCTCCTGAAATCTTGCTTTTACCCTTCAAGTTTGTGCTTCCTTACAAGATGGTCAATTTTCTAAAACTCAGCTGTTTTCTTTGTACCCAAATTAACACAGCATGAACCAAGTAAGCAACTTGCTCTGTCAGTTAGCTTTATTATTTATTTATTTATTTTTATTTTTTTTGAGACAGAGTCTCCCTCTGTCACCCAGGCTGGAGTGCAGTGGCGTGATCTCAGCTCACTGCAAGCTCCGCCTCCCGGGTTCACGCCATTCTCCTGCCTCAGCCTCCCTAGTAGCTGGGACTACACGAGCCTGCCACCACGCCCGGCTAATTTTTTGTATTTTCAGTAGAGATGGGGTTTCACCGTGTTAGCCAGGATGGTCTCCATTTCCTGACTCGTGATCCGCCCACCTTGGCCTCCCAAAGTGCTGGGATTACAGGCGTGAGCCACTGTGCCCAGCCAGTTAGCTTTATTTTTTTGAGGCAGGGTCTCACTCTGTCACCCAGGCTGGAGTGCAGTGGTGTGATCATAGCTCACTGCAGCCTCCACCTCCTGGGCTCAAGGGATCCTCCCGCCTCAGCCTCCTGAGTAGCCGGGACTACAGGCATGCACACCACACCTGGCTAATTTTTTTATTTTTTGTAGAGGCTATGTTGCCCAGGCTGGTCTCAAATTCCTGGCCTCAAATGATCCTCCCACCTCAACCTCCCAATGTGCTGGGGTCACAGGCGTGAGTCACCTCATCCTGCCGAAGTTCACCACATAGCCCTTGATAAACCCACTTTATATCTGAAGGTGCTGAGTGCAGCAACCAGGAGGTGCTAGAAAGTCCTCGGGGAGAGCACAGGAGACAGGAGTAAGGGAGCAGGGCTCCTGCTTCCGAAGGCCTGGAGCTGAAGGAGAGGAGGAGCTCAGGGCAAACCATGTGGGCTTGCTGTGGTTTGGCAGGTCCCCAGATAGGCTGCCTTCACTTTGTAAAAGTTAACTTTTACTGAGAGGAAATTCACATACATCATATTCACTCTTTAAAGGATACAGTTTGGAGGTCGTTGGTGCACTCACAGGGCTGGGCAGCATCACCACTCATTCCGGAGCATCTCATTGTCCCAGAGGAAGCTCTGTCCCCCTCAGCAGTTGCTCTTCATCCTGTCCCCCACACCCCAAAACCAGGCATCTCCTTCCTGCCTCTGTGGACTGGCCTGTCCTGGACATCTCATAGAAATGGGATCGCGCACTGTGTGGCCTTTTGTGCCTGGAGTCTCTCACTGAGTGGCCCATCCTCAGAGTTCATCCACTCCGTGGCCTGCGTCAGAGCCTTGCTCCATTTCATGGCTGAGTCGCGTTCTGCTGTGTGTGGTGCCGGGCGACCTGCTCCCCTGCTGATGGGCGCTCATGTGGCCTCCTCTCTGGCTATTGGGAGTCGTGCTGCTGTGGACATTGGTGTGCAGGTGTTGGTGTGGACGTTGGTGTGCAGGTGTTGGTGTGGACGTTGGTGTGCAGGTGCTGGTGTGGACGTTGGTGTGCAGGTGTTGGTGTGGGTGTTGGTGTGGATGTTGGTGTGCAGGTGTTGGTGTGGGTGTTGGTGTGCAGGTGCTGGTGTGGGTGTTGGTGTGGGTGTTGGTGTGCAGGTGCTGGTGTGGATGTTGGTGTGGGTGTTGGTGTGCACGTATTGGTGTGCAGGTGTTGGTGTGGATGTTGGTGTGGACATTGGTGTGCAGGTGTTGGTGTGGGTGTTGGTGTGGACGTTGGCGTGCAGGTGTTGGTGTGGGTGTTGGTGTGCAGGTGTTGGTGTGGACATTGGTGTGCAGGTGCTGGTGTGGATGTTGGTGTGCAGGTGCTGGTGTGGACGTTGGTGTGCGGGTGTTGGTGTGCGTGTTGGTGTGCAGGTGTGGGTGTTGGTGTTGGTGTGCAGGTGTTGGTGTGGATGTTGGTGTGGGTGTTGGTGTGCACGTATTGGTGTGCAGGTGTTGGTGTGCAGGTATTGGTGTGGATGTTGGTGTGCAGGTGTTGGTGTGCGGGTGTTGGTGTGGGTGTTCGTGTGGGGGTGTTGGTGTACAGGTGTTTGTGTGGACGTTGGTGTGCAGGTGTTGGCGTGGATGTTGGTGTGCAGGTGTTGGTGTGGGTGTTGGTGTGCAGGTGGTGTGCAGGTGTGGGTGTTGGTGTGGGTGTTGGTGTGCAGGTATTGGTGTGGACAGTGGTGTGCAGGTGCTGGTGTGGACGTTGGTGTGCAGGTGCTGCTGTGGACGGTGTGCAGATGTTGGTGTGGACGTTGGTGTGCAGGTGTCGGTGTGGGTGTGCAGGTGTTGGTGTGCAGGTGTTAGTGTGCAGGTGTTGGTGTGGATGTTGGTGTGGGTGTTGGTGTGCAGGTGTTAGTGTGCAGGTGTTAGTGTGCAGGTGTTGGTGTGGATGTTGGTGTGCAGGTGCTGCTGTGGACGGTGTGCAGGTGTTGGTGTGGACGTTGGTGTGCAGGTGTCGGTGTGGGTGTTGGTGTGCAGGTGTTGGTGTGGATGTTGGTGTGCAGGTGTTAGTGTGCAGGTGTTAGTGTGCAGGTGTTGGTGTGGATGTTGGTGTGCAGGTGTTGGTGTGGATGTTGGTGTGGGTGTTGGTGTGCAGGTGTTGGTGTGGATATTGGTGTGCAGGTGTTAGTGTGCAGGTGTTGTTGATGTTGGTGTGGGTGTTGGTGTACAGGTGTTGGTATGCAGATGGTGTAGATGTTGGTGTGCAGGTGTTGGTGTGGGTGTTGGTGTGCAGGTGTTGGTGTGTAGGTGTTGGTGTGCAGGTGCTGCTGTGGACATGCGTTTTTGTTTCCCTTGGGCCGACACATGGGTGTGGAATCGCGGGTCCAAGGGTACATTCTGTTTAGCCTTCTCAGGAATCGCCTGCCCGTCTCCACGGCGGCTGCACCCTTCAACATTCCCACCAGCCGTGCATGAGGGCTGCCTCTGGTCTTGGAAAAGACTCTCGGAATAGTTGCTCACTTTCTCCATTTCGACCCTGGAGCCGTCGCTTGGTGCCCAGAGGAAGCCAGGCCGCGGGCGCTGGGGGAAGGGGGTCCCACTGCAGCTGCAAGTCGGCCTCTCCTCCTGCCTGCTTCCCGTGCCTCGGCTGTTGGCTTATTTGAGTATTGAATCGTAATGGTTTCTTCCTCCTAAATAGAATGCTAGGTTTCCTTGTTCAGGCCTCGTAACTTTTCCTGACCTGTAAAAAAGCACACCTTGAACACTTCGCTTTCTGTCTGTGCACACGGATAGGTGTCAGCTGGGGGCTGATAGAAAACATCCCTGACTGGCCGGGTGTGGTGGCTCACGCCTGTCATACCAGCACTTTGGGAGGCTGAGGCAGGCGGATCACCTGAGGTCAGGAGTTCAAGACCAGCCTGGTTAACATGGTGAAACTCCGTCTCAACTAAAAATACAAAAATTAGCCGGACGTGGTGGCGTGTGCCTACAATCCCAGCTACTCGGGGGCTGAGGCAGGAGAATTGCTTGAACCTGGGGGCAGAGGTTGCAGTGAGCTGAGATCGCACCACTGCACTCCACCTGGGCGACAGAGTGAAACTGTCTCAAAAAAAAAAAAAAAAGAAAGAAAACACCCCTGGCTGCAGGCTTCGGGCGGCCCTGTGTCCTCCAGCTCTTGGGGTGGGGCCACTCTGACATCATGTGCTGTTTTGGGGAGTGTCATGACCAGGAGGGCATCTTTTGTTTTTTCTTTTAATTAAAACAAATACTAGGCTGGGCATGGCAGCTCATGCCTGTAACCCCAGCACTTTGGGAGGCCAAGGCGGGTGGCCTTGATTGCTTGAGGCCAGAAGTTCAAGACCAGCCTGGGCAGCATGGTGAGACCTGGTCTCTACAAAACAAATACAGAAAGTACTGGGTGTGGTGGCATGTACCTGTGGGGCGGGAGGATGGCTTGAGCCCGGGAGTTCCAGGCTGCAGTGAGCTGTGATTGTGCCACCGCACTCCAGCCTGGGCGATACAGCAAGACCCTGTTTCAAAAAATAAAATAAAAAACAAACACTGAAGGAAAAGAGTAGATAGAGTGCAGGCCTGGCACAGGTTTTTTTTTTTTTTTTTTTTGAGACAGTCTCGCTCTGTTGCCAGACTGGAGTGCAGTGGCGTGATCTTGGCTCACTGGAACCTCTGCCCCAGGTTCAAGCAATTTTCCTGCCTCAGCCTCCCGAGTAGCTGGGATTACAGGAGCGTGCCACCATGCCCGGCTAATTTTTGTATTTTTTTAGTAGAGACAGGGTTTCACGGTGTTGGCCAGGATGGTCTTGATCTGTTGACCTCGTGATCTGCCTGCCTCGTCCTCCCAAAGTGTTGGGATTACAGGCGTGAGCCACCATATCCAGCCAGATTTTTAATTTAAGAGACTTGGCACGCATTTTTTGTTTGCCTCTGTCTGCTTTCCGTAGGCCCCCAAGCAGGGGCAATGTGTGATCGTCCGTTTGTTTTCTCCTCTGCAGTTTGGGGGTCCTTGGGTAGAAGGACTGAGCATTGAGCTTGGATCAAACTGTTGGTTTTATGGACAGAGTCAAGTGGCCCGGAGGTGGTGACTTGGGCCATGTTCCTTGTGAGGGTTTTGTCTGTGGCTCATTCATTCAGCACAGGCGGGCCCTGTGGCCAGGTGCTGATAGTCCTATGTTCCCTCTGAGAGTGTGGCCCTGGTCCCTCATCTCCTGGGGATCAGTGGTAGGGCCAGGCCTGGCCCCAGGTGCTCTGGGTCTTGTGCCTGTCCTTCCTCACACCACCTCTCTTGGGTACGTAGGGCACAGGGCACAGGACCTCCGCCCGAGGGCCACCGTGCTGAGGTGTGGCTCACATCTCGTGGCTTCATCTTGAGGCTGGTCCGTCTGCTTGTCTCACCACACTTAGGCCTGAGTGTCTGAAGAAGTAATGAGCTGCAAACCTCATGACCTGGAAATCCCACCTGTCAGAGCCCAGGCCTCAGGAGGAGGCAACTGAGGACATTGGGAGTGCCAGCAACTGGAGCCCACTTCCACCTGCCTCACTTAGGCCACTGGCCACCCCCACGGATGGTCCCGGGAGTTAGCTCTGTGACCATGCGCGGCTGTTCCTGCTCCACCTCTTGGAGTGCCGCCTCTGTCTGTTGGTGTTGCAGGGGAGCTGGGTTGGGAGAGCTCACTCCCTTGTCTGATTTTCTGGAAACTGTGCTCCTGTCTGAGTGAGCGCAGGCAGAGGTGCTCAGTTTACCCGAGGTGTGCCGGGCAGGAGTGCTCTCCAGGTGGGGGGGCTTGGAGGGATGTGGGGGTTGGTACTTTTTTTTTTTGAAGTTTTAATTTGTAGTTTTTATGGGTACAAGGTATGCTTATTTCTTTGCATGGTACATTTCCCACATGGCAGTCGTGGTGGACTGAATGATGGTCCCCATGGATGTCCACATCTTAATCCCTGGAACCCATGAATATATTACCTTAAATGACAAAAGGGACTTTTCGCGGGTGGGACTGAGTGAAGGACCCTGAGCTGGGAGATGACCCTGGATGATCTGGGGAGCCCGATGTCCTCACCGGGTCCTCATGAGAGGAGGCAGGAGGGTGAGAGTCAGAGAGAGGCTGGAAGAGGCTGTGCTGTGGCTGCGGAGGTGGAGGAAGGGCCTTGAGCTGAGGGAACCTGGCACGCGCTGGTGCTCTCTGGAGTAGGACGAAGCAGAGAACGTTCTCGTGCCAAGGTTTTCTCTTTCCTGCCTGAGGGCCCTTTATGTAGATCAGACCAGAGACAAGTGAATCCCGGTCTTGCCAGGGGAGGCATTTGGAGCTGCTCGTGGGACGTGGTGATGCGGTGCCAGGCCACATGCCCGGGGCTGGGGCCGAGTGGCGTTCTCGTGCTGCCTCTGTGGCCAGGTTTCACTTGGGAACCTGGCTGCATCGCGGGTTCCTCCTGGGCCTTCTGGTGGCTTGGGGCTCCTCTGTCCTCGGTCCCTGCTGGGAACCGTGCTTTGGCAGCAGGAACCAGCGAGATGGCAGCACAGGGGCTGGAGGCCGGCTGGGACTCACTGGGGCCGCATGGGGCTTCACCTGATGCCCAGCCCTCCTGGGACAGGGACCAGTGGGAGCAGGAGGTGGGACAAGAGGACGAGGGCTCGAGGGAGCCCCCACACTTCCTACCCACAGAGGAGGGCCTGATACTTTTCAAAAACCATGCACTGTCTTTTTGAATTTTTTTTTTTTTTTTTTTTTTTTTGAGACAGGGTCTCACTCTGTCCCTGGCTGGAGTACAGTGGTGCAGTCTGGGCTCACTGCAGCCTCGATCTCCTGTGCTCAAGGAATCCTCCTGCCTCAGCCTCTAAGTAGCTGGGTGTGCACCACCACGCCTGGCTGATTTTTAAATTTTTTGTAGAGATGGGGTCTCGCTATGTTCAGGCTCATCCTGAACATCTAGCCCCAAGTGATCACCCACCTTGGCCTCCCACAGTGCTGGGGTCACAGGCGTGAGCCCCTGCCCCTGGCCTTCTTATTTTTAAACCGATTCTTTGTCATCAGTTTCTGCGTGTGGCCGCTGAGAGCCATCACCTGGCTGTTTCTTGGGTGTCCCTTGCGCCCACACCCCTGCATCCTGCCCCACCTTCAAGTTCTTCCATCCCAGAGTGGACTCTGGGGTCAAGGAGAGTCCTCAGATCTTGGGGACATGGGCAGTTGTGGGGCCTGGGGTCATGTGGACAGGATGCCGGCCCAGCCCCAGCAGTGCCAGTGCAGGTGGGGTGAAGGCCTGATGGGGTCAGCCAGACTGTCCCCACCTGAAGCCCCCTGCCAAGCCCCTGCATCTGAAGACTGAAGAGTGAGGGTGGCAGCCCGGGAGGGTATCCTTGGGCCCAGTGTGTCAGCGATCAGGAGAGCAGCCCAGGCTGGAGCGTGCGGCCCTGCTCAGCCGGGCCGGAAGCGTCCCTCACTTGTTCCTCCCCCAGGTTGCAGAGGAGCTGTCCAGGACAGCCGGGGTGGGGCCGCCCATAAGATGCAGCTGCTGGTCCCATGTCATGGTCACAGCAGGAGGGCTGAGGAGCCAGGCCTGGCCCGTGGTGTGCAGGGTCCCTGGAACAAACAGCTGCCCTAAAAAAAAAAAAGGCTTTAAGGCCAGGTGCAGTGGCTCATGCCTGTAATTCCAGCACTTTGGGAGGCCGAGGTGGGTGGATCATGAGGTCAGGAGTTGGAGACCAGCCTGACCAACATGGTGAAACCTCGTCCTACTAAAAATACAAAAATTAGCTGGACATGGTGGGGAGTGCCTGTAATCCCAGCTACTCAGAAGGCTCAAGCAGGAGAATTGCTTGAACCCGGGAAACGGAGGTTTCAGTGAGCTGAGATCGCGCCACTGCACTTCAGCCTGACTGACAAGAGCGAGACTCCGTCTCAAAAAACAAAAACAAAAAGGCTTTATTGAGATACAATTTGCGAACCATACAAGTCACCCATTTGAAGCATGTCATTCAGTGGTGTGTAGTTTACTCAGAAGGCTGCTCTTGGGCCTCAAAATGAGTAGAGGGGAGAAAGGGACCCTTTTTTTGTTGTTAGAGATTTTGAGAGCTGGGTTGGGTTAAGCGGCTTTCATGGTAAGCTGGAGGCCCAAGCCTGTCTTGAGCCCCGAATAAAGAAGAAACCTAGGGGTGGGGCGTGGTGGCTCACGCCTATAATCCCAGCACTTTGGGAGGCCGAGATGAGGGGATCGCTAAGCCCAGGAGTTTGCCCTGGTCTCCCAGCTTCCTCTGCGGTGCCCCAGCCAGGAGCAGCTGTAGACTCTGTGGACCGTATGTGAAATGAACCCACAGGGTTCCCGTGCTAAAACCATGGAGAGTCTTCAGGTGGGGCCAGCCGGGCCTTAAACTGTGTATCTAACTGAGTGGGGCCTGGGGTACCCATGGGGGTTGCATGCCCTGGAAGCCAGCCCTGCCTGCCATCCACTTCCCACAGCCAGAGAGAGCTTTCTAGAAATTTCGGTTGGATCGTGTCTCCTTGCTCTGAACCACCTGTCGGCTTCCCGTCCAACCCCACAGGAGGGCAGGCTCCTTCCAGCCCAGCCCCCAGGGCCCACCCTGGTCTAGCCTCGATCCTGCCGCCTCCTCTGCGCTCCCTGCCATCCGGCCTCTGGGGCCTTAGCTCTTCCCTGGCTTCGCTGGGTCCTTCCCTTTGCCTAGACTTTCCTCCTGCCCTGGACCGCCCAGAACTTGCACCCCTGCGTGTTTGACAATCACTTCCAGACGCAGCCCCGCTGCCACCCAGACCTCTCTGGTCCCAAACCAACTTCATTTGTCTTTTTCCTTTTTTTTAAATTTATTTATTTATTTTATTTTACTTATTAATTTTTTTTGAGACAGAGTTTCACTCGTTGCCCAGGCTGGAGTGCAATGGCACTATCTCGGCTCAATGCAACCTCTGCCTCCTGGGTTCAGGCAGTTGTCCTGCCTCAGTCTCCCAAGTAGCTGGGATTACAGGCGCATGCCACCACACCCAGCTAATGTTTGTATTTTTAGTAGAGATGGGAGTTTCACCATGTTGGCCATGTCTTGAGCCCCGAATAAAGAAGAAACCCAGGGACAGGGCGTGGTGGCTCACACCTATAATCCCAGCACTTTGGGAGGCCGAGGTGAGGATCGCTAAGCCCAGGAGTTTGCCCTGGTCTCCCAGCTTCCTCTGCGGTCCCCCAGCCAGGAGCAGCTGTAGAATCTGCAGACCCTATGTGTGCGGCCTCCCAAAGTGCTGGGATTACAGGCGTGAGCCACCACGCCCAGCCTTAAAATGTTTTTGAGATGATCTGGCTCTGTTGCCTGGGCTGGAGTGTAGTGATGTGATCACAGCTCACTGCGGCCTCAAACTCCTGAGCTCAATCGAGTGTCCCACTTCAGCCTCCCAGAGCACTGGGACCACAGGTGTGTGCTGCAGTGTCTGGCCTTCATTTGTCTTCGAAACTCTTGCTCGCCCCTCTGTGACGTTGTTAATTAGTAGTCTTCCAGATTGGGCCCCGTCTCGTCCCAGAACCGAAACTCTGCCTGGCACGTGGTGGGGCCTGCACATTTGCTCAGCGGAGGAGGATTCTGGGGCCCTGGGTTCCCGAGGCTGGCAAGTTGGCTCAGAGCTGCCCTTGGGATGGGTCAGGGTGGGGTAGGCTGGGGGCAGCACAGAGTGGGCACAAGGCAGTTTTGTGGTTTTGAAATTGAGTTTGTATCAAGAGCTTTACTGCTTTTGTAAAAACTTACTGGCATGGTACCAAGAGAAATTCAAACAATAGTTGGTAATAAAATCCCTCCCTACCCCTGCCCTGGTGTCCCCATAGGAGCTGACTGCCGCCCCCTTTCTGCAGCATTAGCTATTGTCTAGAATCTTCTACAAGGATGGGGCAGGGCGGTGGGAGCAGGGCCCGAGGGTCCCAGTTGTTGGGAACTATGTTGGCCTGGCTCCAGCCAGCTCACACCACGGGGCAGCCGAGGCCTCCTTTGGCCCAGCTGAGGCCTTCACGGCACCCCGAGGCCCAGAGTCCCGTGAGCGGGAGACAGAGAAAGGGGTCTCCAAGGAAGGGTGGGCCTGGCAGCAGCACTATGAGCAGCGGCAGGTGCAGGGTGCCACCAGGCAGAGGCCGGCAGAGGCAGAAGCCGGTACGGTTGCCCTGCGTCTGTTTCCACATCTGTGTATTTGTGCCAGGGCTGCTAAACATGCACAGCAGGCACTGTGGCGCCCACCCCAAATCACAGGAAGGATGTGTCTCTCTGTGACCGTGAAGCCCACCACCACTCCATAGTGTTGGCTCACACCCGGCTGTTTCCCACGCCTCCCCGCGTGTCCCCAAGACAAAAGGTCTGGGATGAAGCTGCCGTTTGCATGGCTGGGGATGTCTCCTTGTCCTCTCTCAGCTGAGAAGAGTGCCAGTTTCCTCTCTTCTTTTGCGAGTTCAGGAGAGCATTATTCTTTCTTCTTTCCATCATTCTTCCTCCCTCCCTTTCTTCTCTCTCTTTTCAGTTTTTTTTTTTTTTTTTGAGACGGAGTTTCTCGTCACCCAGGCTGGAGTGCAATGGCGCAATCTTGGCTCACTGCAACCTCTGCCTCCCGGGTTCAAGCAATTCTCTTGCCTCAGCCTCCTGAGTAGCTGGGGTTACAGGCACCCACCACCACACCCGGCTAATTTTCATATTTTTGAGTAGAGATGGGGTTCATGGTGCTGGCCAGGCTGGTCACGAACTCCTGACCTCAGGCAGTCTGCCCACCTTGGCCTCACAAAGTGCTGGGATTACAGGCGTGAGCCACCGCACCCAGCCTTCTTTTTAATTTTTTTGCTAAGAGCTTTATTAGATATAATTTGCACACTCATTTGTTCACCCATTTAAAGTGTCCAGTTCCACAGTTTTCAGTATATTCAAAAACTTGTGCAACTATCATCACAATTTGATTTTTATTCATTTACTTTTTAGAGACAGGGTCTTGCTCTGTTGCCCAGAGGCTGGAGTGCAGGGGTGCAGTCATAGCTCACTGCAGCCTCGAAATCCTGGCCTCAAGTGATACTCCTGCCTCAGCTTTTTGAGTAGTTGGCAGGCACGCACCACCATGCCTGGCTAATTTTTTATTTTAATTTTTAGTAGAGATGGGGTCTCCCTACGTTGCCTAGGCTGGTCTCGAACTCCTGGGCTAGAGCACCCCTCCCGCCTCAGCCCCCCAGAGTTCTGGGATTACAGGTGCGAGCCACTGCACTGGCCACAGTCAGTGGAGAACATTGGCATCCCCTACAGAGAAGCCCTGTAGCCTGGGGTGTAACACACGGCCTTTTGTGTCTGGCTTCTCTCACTGTGATGTCCTCAAGGTTCCTCCATGTGGCGCCTGTGTCAGAGCCTCGTTGCTTTTCATGGCTGTGTCGTATTCCACCGCATGGATGGGCCATGTTGTGTTGATTCATTCTTCTGTTGGTGGACACCTGGGTCGTTTCCACCTTTGGCTGTTGGGAATTGTGCTTCTGCAGACGTGGTGTACACGTTTCTGTGTGGATGGATGTTTTCATTTCTCTTGGGCAGATACGCAGGAGTGGAATTGCTGGGTCAAGTGTGATTTATGTGTGACATTTCCAGGAGCTGCCAAGCTGTCTTGCAGAGCAGCTGTCCCACGTCACCGTCCTGCCAGCCTGTGTTCGAGGGCCCCAATTTCTCCACATCCCTGCCCACAGTGTCACCGTCTGTCATTCTGATTCTGCCATCCTGGTGGGAGTGAGGTGGTGGCTCATTGTGGTTCTGATTTGCATTTCCCTGGTGCTGAGTGCTGCTGGGCACCTTTTCACGTGCTTGTTGGCCATTTGTCTACTTTGGAGAGCTGTCTGCCCAAGTCCTTGGCCTGTTTTTTGCTGGTTTTTTAGACATGGTTTCGCTCCTGTAGCCCAGGCTGGAAGGCTGGAGTGCAGTGGTGCAATCTTGGCTCACTGCAACCTCTGCCTTCCCAGCTCAAGCGATTCTCCTGCCTCACCCTCCCAAGTAGCTGGGAGTACAGGTGCAGACCGCCACACCTGGCTAATTTTTGTATTTTTTATAGAGACGGAGTCTCACTATGTTGCTTATGCTGATGTCAAACTCCTGGCCTCAAGTGATCTTCCTGCCTTGGCCTCCCAAAGTGCTGGGATTACAGGCATGAGCCACCGCGCCCACCAGCCTTGGCCCATTTTTACTGGGCTGTTTGTCTTTGCCTCTGAGTTGAGAGCCCCATTCCTTGGCGTGGCGCCGTTGTGAGCATGTTGCTGTTGCCGGGCAGCTCCTCTGGCTCTTCCAGGGTGTCTGATGCCCCCGAGTCATCCTGTGTCCTCTGTCTGCCACATTCCTGGTGACCTGGAAGGTCAGTCACAGGACTGCATTTCAGTAAATTCCCTCTTCCCTGTTTAGCTGTGTTGCACGTGCGTCAAGGTTATGGCGCGTGGGGATTGTGGACCATTTTAGTTTTCTCTGTATGATTTACTTCCTAAGCATGTCATTTCCAAAGGCACAAATGGCTGGGCATGATGGCTCATCCCTGTAATGCCAATACTTTGGGAGGCCAAGGCGGGAGGATCATTTCAGGCCAGGCGTTTATTAGCAGCCAGGGCAACATGGCAAGACCCCGTCTCTACAAAAAGTACAAAAATTAGCCAGGTGTGGTGGCACACACCTGTGGTCCCAGCTAGTTGGGAGGCTGAGGCGGGAGGATGGCTTGAGCCCAGGAGGTTGAGGCTGCAGTGAACCGTGACCGTGCCACTGCACTCCAGCCTGGGCGACAGAGCCAGATGCTGTCTCAAAAAACAATAGTTTCTTAAAAAGTGCACCAAGTTGCCCCTAGGGGGCGGTGGTGGGTGAAGTGCCTGAGTCCCTGTGCTGAGAGTGGCTCCCGGTGTCACGGCTCCACCTTCCAGATGGAAGGGCTGTCTGGGTCTCCCCAGCGTGGGTTTTGATGCGTAACCTGCCATGGGCTTTTGTCACCTGACACTGCAGGGTGTGCTGCTGGCAGCTGTGGCCACGTGCTTTCCAGACGAGCCCCCGCAACCCCACGAGGTGTGGGGAGCCCCCCTTTTTATTATTTATTTATTTATCTATTTTTTGAGACAGGATCACTGTCACCCAGGCTGGAGTGCAGTGGCGCAATCACAGCTCACTGAAGCCTCGACCTCCCAGGCTAGAGTGATCCTCCTGCCTCTACCTCCCATGTAGCTGGGACCACAGGTGTGTGCCACCGTGCCTAGCGCTTTCCTGTCGTACAGAGCACAAGTTTGAGGCATCCCTTGGGCCGTCCAGCCCTGCCCCAGGCCCTGTCCTTCCTGGGCCCAGCTGGTCTGGGGGACATGAGAGTGTGGCAGGCCCCATACTGCATAGGTCACCCTGTGGCCAGTCCTGTGGGGCAGGTGGGCTTTGATGACCTGGAGGTCAGAGCCTGCAGAGGGGGGTGGGCCAGCCCCTCACATGACTCTTACTTGAGGGCTTCCTGGGAGCTGATGGCCCTTGCAGTGGGTTACAGGGAGGCAGGAAGAGGCCATGTGTGCACCGGCCTGCAGAGAGGCAGCCAGGGACAGGGGCTGCTGGGTGCACGAGGGTCCCAGCGCCTCCACCAGCTGCCAAAGCGCAGGGGGAGACTCATGCGGTCATGGCAGTGCCCTGGCATAGCATGCAGCCCAGCTGTGTGCCGTGTGGCCTAGGCCCACAACTGCCCCTCGTGGGCCTCTGTGCCTCCTCAATAAGCTCAGTCGACCATGTCATCATCTGTGATGCACAGAGCAGGGCCAGGGACCCGGGAAGTGCTGATGTGGGGACCACTGTGGCCACCACCGCATCTGGGCACTGTTTGTGGCAGATCCAGGGATGGCCTCAGGCCTTTGGCCCGGCCTCTGAGGGCTGGGGACCAGTAGGAGGCCTGAGGTGACCGCGTTCTGCCACCCAGTCCTCCCAGAGGGCTGCCCTGACAGGTGCCTTGGCAGCTCCCATCGTGGCTACTGGCCCAGCTCAGGCCGGCACTGAGGGTCCCACAGTGGTCCAGCTGCGGCCTCTGCTCCCTCTGAGCCGGTGGCTCCCTGGGGACAGTGCGCAGGCCCTGGGTGAACACTACATGGCCACATCTGGGTGAGAGCGGGAGGGCAGGTGCAGCGTTGGGGGGATCCTGGGGCCTGTGGGGTTGGCGGGGTCGCAGGTGAGGATTGGGTACTGGGACCTGGCTGTGGGCGAGGGGCCCGCTGGGACAGTGTGGTGGCCTGGGAGGCCCCGCGCAGTCAGAGGCTGGTCTCTGGGCACAGGCAGCTCTGGTGACTGTGACAGGTGCCTTGCCTTGACACACACTGTGACCGTCTAGTCTACATTTCTAGGCTGCACGTGGTCACGTGCCGTGCACGGTGCACTTGGGGCCTCCTGTGCAGACACTGGCTTTGCGGCTGCCCCATGGGAGAAGCTGCGAGGACTCTGCACAGAGCAAGGGTGGCGGGCAGGGCCTCAGCCCACGTGGGCTTGGAGCTGTGCGGTTTTGTCAAACCCAGTGGGGGTCTCTCAGCAGCAGCCCAGCGCGGGGTGTGACGTCAGGGCTGGGGCTCAGCGCTGGGTATCAGCCCTGTGTGCTGCAGGCAGGGTATGGGGTGGACCCAAGGCAGTAGGTGGAGGCCAGGGGGCGACCTCGGCTTTGCTTTTGTCAGGATGGAGGGTTCTGGACACCAGTGCAAGCCTAGCTGGGGCCTCCCTGCCGTCCTGCTCAGATTCCTGGGTGCATGCTGCCCTCTAGTGCCCGCAGTGGGGAGTGCCTTCAGGAGCGGGTGGCTGCACCTTGGTGGCTGGGAACCCCACTCCCGGGACTGTCTGGGCGGCTCCCTGCCTTGTTTCCTTCACACTCTAGATCACTTTGGGGGTCACAGCGTGGGGAGGTGGATTTTGTTAAGTTTTTTCTAAGTTTTTGGGTTTGTGTGGACTTGGGTCCTTGTTTCCGAATCCTAGAGGGATTCTGTCGTCTTTCTGCCTTTGGAGATTGAACCTGCCAAGGAGGACCCTTCCCCAGAGTCTGTGATCAAAGTCCCTTCCTGGTCGGGGTGGGCTACCAGTTCCCACCCTGCAACACCTGGGACAGGAGGGAGCCGCTCCCGCCCGCAGCCTCCGTGGAGAGGACAGTCTGACTCCGATGTTTCCAGGCGGGTGCCGTCAGTGAATCACTTGGCCTGGTGCAATCCCCCATTCTGTACAGGGCTGGTGGGCTGGTTTATGACCCGCGTGACTCTGGGCAGCTATGATGGCAGGAAATGAGCCGTCTTGGGCGGGCCTGCTGCTCTCCTGGGTCAAGGTTCCTGCTAGGGCCTGAGTTCTGCTGGCAGCAGCCAGCCAGCCCCCCGTGACCCACAGGCCTGCTCCGAGGGGTGGGTCCCCCTGCCCTTGAGCGTGTGACCCTCACCCATGGCCGCCCTCACCTTCGAAAACCCGCAGATGCCGCGGTCTCTCGTGCGGATCAGGCTCAGAGCAGAGAGACTGATGTGCAGCGGACGCTGACACACCTGTGGCGTCCCTGATACGTAAACCTTTCTCTCCGAGGCCCCGCTTAAAATTAGCGCACTGGCTCCCGGTGTCGCCTCGGCCTTAGAAACTAGGACGCCTCTGCTTCTCGTTAGCTGCAGCCCTCGTGCCTTTTATGCTCAGCAGAGTGACGAGGCCGCTCGTGGTTTTCTCTTCTGCCCTCACTCAGCCGCGAGGGCCCAGCCGCCTTTGTCCTCCTGGTGGCCACGGTATTTTTAGCACGCTCCGTTCTGAGGGAGGACGGGCTCCAAGGGCTGGGCATGGCGGCACCGCTGGTTCACCCTCTCTCGTCTTCCTCCACAGGTGTGCTTCCCGCACAGCTGCAGCCATGGGGTCTGAGGACCACGGCGCCCAGAACCCCAGCTGTAAAATCATGACGTTTCGCCCAACCATGGAAGAATTTAAAGACTTCAACAAATACGTGGCCTACATAGAGTCGCAGGGAGCCCACCGGGCGGGCCTGGCCAAGGTGGGTGACATCCTGGCCCCAGCGCGGCCCTCCATCAGCCTGCGCCGCGGGCCTGCGGACATCCTGGGTCCCAGCTCAGCCAGCCCCACAGGCGTGGCCTGTGCACGTGGAATGTGTTTCGGGGCCACTCCCAGCTCGTTTACCAGCGCCTGTTTGTGGAGTTCCAACAATGTGCCAGGCACCATTCTAGGCACTGGAGTTGAGAAGTGGCCGGTGCAGGCCCTGGCTCCAGGGAGCTGGCAGGGGGTGGTGAGGACACACAGCCACACTGCAGTGAAGCCCAGGGGCAGTGGGCCACCAGGTTGTTCTGGCCGTGAGCTGACGTCTCACTGAGGGACGCCTTCCAGGGGTGTTCAGTGCCCAGGAAGGCCTTACTTTCCTAGTAAAACTTTTTTTTTTTAAGCTGGGTATGGTGGTGCATGCCTGTGGTCCCAGCTATTTGGGAGGGTGAGGCAGGAGGATTGCTTGAGCCCAGGAATTAGAGGCTGCAATGAGCTATGACCGTGCTACTGCGCTCCTGCCCCGGCAGCAGAGCAAGACCCTGTCTCAAAAACCAAGTCAGACCACACCAGAAACAATCTTTTTGAGATGGCAGAGTGACTGGGTCAGGAAAACTCAAACAGGGCGACAGCGCAGGTACATAGTGACCAGGAGCCTCCTCCCTGTCCCGACCCAGTCCCCCACCCTCTCCCTGGAAGCAGCACTGTTATTGGTTCTTCTCTCTCTCTCTCTCGGCATATTGTGCACGCGTGTACGTGAATACACACAGCAGACCCCCGAACCCCACATGCTGAGTATGTACAGTACCATTCTGCTCGTCTGGGCATGGTGGCCCAGGCCTGTAATCCCAGCATTTTGGGAGGCTGAGGCAGGGGGATTGCTTGAGGCCAGGAGTTCAAGACCAAGCTGGCCAACACAGTGAGATCCCATCTCTACTAAAAATACAAAAATGAGCCAGGCGTGGTGTTGGTACATGTCTGTGGTCCCAGCTACTCGGGAGGCTGAGGCGGGAGGATCACTTGAGCCAGGGAGGTTGAGGCTGCAGTGAGCTGAGATTGCACCACTGCACTCCAGCCTGGACGACAGAGGAAGATTCTGTCTCACAAAACAAAACAAACTTAAAAGTTGGTGCTGCACGTTTCACGGCTCTGAAGGTGGCTGCCGTGGTCCGTGAGTCTCTGTGTTCGGGTGTGGGCCTGTTCGAGCAGTGCTCACCCCTCAGTTTGGAAGATGAATCGTCGTTGCATTTTGGGTTCTTCCAGTTGCCTGCTGTTTGACTATCGCTGTTCTTCCTCAGTTAGGCCAGGGGTTGGCGGGCAGTCTCTACACACGGCCAGAGGGTGAACGCCTAGGCTCTGTGAGCCAGAAAGAGCAACCAGACGCCGTGTGAATGAAAGTGCACGGCCCTGTGCCAATACAACATTATTCCTGGATGCTGGAGGGCAAACGCGTATTGTTTTCACGTCTTCTGCTTTTTTCTTTTCCCCCAACCACTTAAAAATGAAAACAAACAAACAAAAGCCTTCATAACTCAAAGGCTATACAGAAGCAGGAAGGGGCTGATTCGGCCCGAGGGCCGCAGTTTGCTGAGCGCTGAGGCCTCCTGCCTTTCCGGGCCGCCTCCACCCTGCCCCTCCCTCCACTCCCTGGTTTTGGTGGATTTTGTCAGTAGCCTTCGTCTCTCTCCTAGTGATCCTTCGGTATCAGACTCGCATTGTTATTTCTTTGTCTCTGAGCTGTAGAGCGAGGGAAGCAGTCTCGCACCATCTTTTCTTCCCCTCCAAGATGGATGTTTTTTCTGTTTTGAGAGGGGGTCTGGCTCTGTCGCCCAGGCTGGGGTGCTGGGGTGCAGTGCTGCGATCACGGCTCACTGCAGCCTTGACCTCCTGGGCTCAAGCAGTCCTCCAGCCTCAGCTTCCCGAGTAGCTGGGACCACAGGTGTGCACCACCAAGCTGGATTTTTGATTGTAACACACCATGACGATGTGGGAATGATGGCACATCTGTGTCCGGGTCAGAACGGTGGGGGCTGCTGCCGTCCCGGCTTCAGTTCTGTCTTTAAAAGGCTTTGGTCCTCCTATCTCATCTCAGACCGTCTTCTCTGGCCCTCTAGGCCACAGGCTGCTATCCCAGGAAAGGCCCAGGTCCTCCTCTTCCTCCTCTCCCTGGTGCACATAGGGCAGGTGGGACAGGCGTCGCCTCCCTTTATCCTGGCACCGCATCTGCCTCTGTCTCCTGCCCTTGACCTACTTCCACATTTCCCAGGATGCAGCAGCCCTTTCTGGCTTGGGATCCAAGGCGTCCTGATGTCAGGACGTTGAGGGGAATCAGCATCTCAGACCGCCCTGCGCTCTTCCGAGGTGCCTTTAAATGCCCGCCCCGTCACTTCTTCCTCATCCCTCACCTCCCACCGGGCTCCATGCCCCGGTGTTTCCGGCTCTCTCTGCCCTCCACGTGGCGGCCTTGGGTGCAGCCTGGGTTCCCGGGTGGCCTGTCCTCCCCCGCGCTGGCACCTCCGCTTCGTCCCTCCCTCCCTCTGCCTCCTTGGCTGCCGCCTCTTTGAGCCCTCATGTCGCTGCTTCAGGTTTCTGCACTCCCCCCAGGCCAGTTCCCCCGAGATTCTTGGCACCGGCGTCTTAAGCCAGTGTGGGGAGTATGGTTTCCCTGCCTTGCGTTCTGCGTGTTCCTTCCCATGCCTCTGCAGCGGCAGCTCCCATGCTGCTTCTCCTTGCACCAGTGCAGAGAATCCTTTCTCAAACCCGTGGAGGGGGCTGGGCAGTAGGGGGCCGTCCGGGTCCCATGCTGTGGAGGGGCTGTGTGTGCACGTGTCTCTGTGTGTGTGTGTGTGTGCGCGCGCGCGCGCGCCTGCGCGCACAGGAGACTGAGGTGGGGAGGCAGCTCTCACACAGCCCAGAGAGCTTGGCAGCTGCAGAGTCACGTTGGCACCCGCATGTGGCACACGCACACCCCCTTCTGCAGCTCTGTGGGGACAGATGGGCTCAGGGAAGCATCTGCTCTGGCCCTGGGCAGCCCTGCGTCTTCCAAATGGGGGGCCCTTGGCTCGGGGCAGCCAGCCTCTTTGGAGAAGGAGCACAGTGCCCTGCTGGTTCTGAGCGAGCTGTGGGGGTGTTGGGGTCCCCCTCTCACCCTGGTCTGCCTGCCTTGACCACTGTGTGTGTGCGTGCATGTATGTGTGTGGTGGGGGAGCTGGGGGTTTCCTGGTTCCATCAAAACTGTGTTTGGTTATACATCGCCCCTGCCCCCAGCAGAGATCTGCAGGCCCGATGGAGCTCGGTGGGGGCGGGAGCTGCGGGCACAGCCCTGAGAGGGCCCTGGAGCTGGCGGTGCCCTGGGTGCAGGAAGCCTTCCACTGGAGTTGCTGGGCCCTCCACACGGGGTGTCCCCGACCACTTGGGAAGCACTGAGGTGAGAGGAGCCCTGGAAGGCCCCGTCGGGGGTCCTGTTGGGAGGGGTGGGAACTTCCAGTGCCCCTCCACCCCCACCAGCTGCCTCCCAGGCGGGTGCCAGCAGGGGAGGCCCTGGCTGCCCTCAGCTATACCACCCGCCGGCATCTGCCTCTCACTGTTGGCATGTGGCCGGTCGCCTTCCTGGCCTCAGCTGAATCTGGCCCCCCAGGAGCCCCGTGTGAGGCACTTTCAGGGGCCGCCGGAGGCCTGGAAGACCCGAGTGTGGCAGTAGGAATGTCCCGAGCGGCTTTCAGTGCCTCCTTTTCAACCCTCCCCGCCTGGAGCCCTCCTTCTGGATTTGCGTCTCGGCAGATTGTGGGATGTCACTTCTGTCCTCTTCCGCCCTGCGGGATTTTCCCAGAGCCTTCGGGTTTGAGCCCAGCTGGAAGTGGCCCTCGTTCACGCTGCCTGTCAGCACCTGCCTGGGCTGTGTCACCTAGAGTGTGGCTCCGTGTGTGCGGCGCAGACACCGTGGGGGTGTTTGGAGCTTCCTGCGTGGCTCCCAGATGTCTTTACTACACAGTGCCCGCCGTGGAAGGGACAGATGAGCAATGTAGCCCGAGGCGTTCTTTCAAGAGCAGAGGAATCGGGAGCGAAGTGTTTTTGTTCATTTAGCAGACTAGGATCATGGGCGAGTTTCCTCTAATAGCACTGAAGAGGCGAATTCACGGCTTCCCCTCGGCCAGCGGCTTTGGCGTGGATTTGGAGCCGGGCCAGGTTCATGGAACCCTCCTGCAGAAGCAGACTGGGGCTTCCTGGAGAGGGGGGACAGTGTCTGTGTGATTCAGAGCAGTGCTGGCCTGTGGGTCTCTGACCATACCACTCAGTTCTCTGTAGTAACATCTCGTGTCTGGGACACAGGCCCTTTTGTTTCTGTTTCTCGCCTTTCCACTCCTCAATGTCTTCGTGTCTCACTGACTCTTCAGCTGCTCCCCTGAAATCTAAGAGAACGGCAGCCCCGCAGCTGCCCCAGCACCCTGCCATCACACAGCCTGTGCCAGGGACAGGTGCCCCAGGCGCCTTTTGCACTGTGGCCATAGTGGACATGGAGAGTCTCCAGAAAGAGCCGGCGCTAAGCTGGACTGTCCTTTCCTTGGGACCGGCCTCATCTTGGTTTAACTCTAAATTAGTGTTTCTCTTCGCTTGGCACTGTGGACTTGGGGCCGCATCGTTCTCTGGGGTGGCGCCATCCTGGGCATTGCAGGGTGCTGAGCAGCTTCCCTGGCCTCCATCTACCTCATGCCAGGAGCACCCTCAGTCGTGAAAGCCACAGACATCCCCAGACATGGCCAGGTGTCCCCTGGGGGACAAGACCCCCCCTCAGTTGAGAGCCACCTGCTCGCTGCGGCTGCTGCTGCTGTTACTGCTTTTGCTAAAGAAACCTGTGCATGCCGGCCACGGAGGCAGCACCTTCCTGTCGTTAACAGGCACCTGGAGGATAAGTGTTTTCATTGCCAAGCAAAACAGTTTCTTCACTGATGTGATCGCTGGGTCCTTGGGGACAGTAAATGGATTTTAGCCGTTCTGGAAGCTGCCAGCGATGCAGGCGTCAACACACAGCTCTTCCCTTGGTGGCCCGGGGCGCGGAGGGGCAGCTTGCCAGATTCCTGGCAGATGAGCCGAAGCGGGTGGGTTAGTTCCTTCTCCCTGTGCAGTGGGTGGCCCGGTCGACTCCTGGAAGGAGGCGTGGGGCCTGCAGTGCCCACCCCAGGACTGGGTGTGGCAGCCCCGGAGCGGCTGGGAGGGCCTGCACAGAAGGGTGCCTGGCACCCAGAAGGCCCGTGGTGCCCACCGGCAGTCTAGAATCTGGTCTTGTCGGCCCATAGGCTCACCCCCACCAGAGGAGGGAACATGAGGCTGGGGACAAGGCCAGGAGCCCAGGGTGAGGCGTGTACTCCGGATAGCCCTGGTCCCTCAGCTCCTGGATGTCTCCAGAAAGAGCCGGCGCTAACCTGGACTGTCCTTTCCTTGGGACCAGCCTTGTCTCGGTTTAACTCTAAATTAGTGAAGGCACCGGGTTCCGGCTGCAGTGCCGCCTCTGACAGGTGCTGGTCCTTGTCTTCCTCTGCTGTCTTCTCCGCGTGTTCCAGTGTCTGAGGTGGCCCAGGACCTCTCTGGGGTGGAAGTCCACGTGGCCGCCAGGCTAGAGGTCCTGGGCCATAGTCTGTCTGCTCACCCCAGGGTGCCCCGGGCTGTGTTGTGGATCGCTGTGTGCCTCAGTTTCTTCAGCGGTCAGATGGGAGCTCTGCCATTCCTCCCACCCAGGAGATGGGTGCGCTGGGCCCCAGCACGCTCTGCACAGTGCCCAGCTCCGCACAGCTCCTGTCCTGCCTCACGGCCCCTGTCCCATGTGGTGCTGTCACCCTCCCTGCGCCTGCACTTCCTGTTGGCTCACTCCAGGCGGGGCGGAGGCCCATGGGGGCTGGATCTGTTTCCCAGTGTTTCCTAGCTCCTAGAACTTGGGTTGCCCCATAGTGGGTCTCAGCCAAGTGGAGCCACTGGGGATAGTGTCTGGGCTCCAACCCCTGTTCTCCAGGTGCATGTGGCCCCTGGTGGGCTCTTGGTAGCCAGTGGGTGCAGTTCTCACTTCCTGCTGCCAGAGGGCATTGTGAGCTGCAGCGCTTATGACCAAGCATGAAGATTCCCGTTTTGAAAAATGCCTTACCAGGGCGCAGTGGCTCACATCTGTGATCCCAGCACTTTGGGAGGCTGAGACAGGAGAATCACTTGAGGCCAGGAGTTTGAGACCAGCCTGTGCAACAAAATGAGACTCCATCTCTAGAGAAAATTAAAATTTTTTAAAAAAATTAGCTGGGCATGGTGGTGCAAGTCTGTGGTCCCCACTACTCGGGAGGCTGAGGTGGGAGGATCACGTGAGTCCAGGAGTTGGAGGCTGCAGTGAGCTATGATTGTGCCACTGCAGTCCAGCCTGAGTGACAGCAAGACCCTGTCTCAACAACAACAACAACAAATGCCTCAAAATACGAGTCTCTGAGCCTCAAGATGCCAGAACACACACACGCCCAGTGCCACCTATGTTTGCTGAGTCTAATCCTGCACACACGTGTCAGGGTTGGCCCTGGTGCTGGGGGGGTGCTGTACCCAGCTTCCCAGGCCTGGAGGATGGCTCTGCCCTAGCAGGTGAGGCCCTTGTTGGCTGCAGAGTCTTCTGGGGAGTTTGATAAGGCAAATGGGGGGGTTCCTCGTGCCCCTGGGGGGTGTCCCGAGGTGCAGATCTTGGGGGGTGCTGGTCTCTGGGGAGCCGGTGGCACAGTCTGCTCTCTGGCCCTGCCCTGAGGGTCTGAGGGTGCCACTGACTCCCATCTTGGTCTTGCAGATCATCCCCCCGAAGGAGTGGAAGCCGCGGCAGACGTATGATGACATCGACGACGTGGTGATCCCGGCGCCCATCCAGCAGGTGGTGACGGGCCAGTCGGGCCTCTTCACGCAGTACAATATCCAGAAGAAGGCCATGACAGTGGGCGAGTACCGCCGCCTGGCCAACAGCGAGAAGTACGCGGGGCGGGCAGGGCGGACCTGACCCCCGCCCCCGGGGGCACACCTGCTCATGGGGGCCCTGGGGGCAGAGAAGGTGCGGTACACGCAGCCCCCACAGCATGGCCGGCCTGCTCTGTGTGCCCCGTGTGGGCTGTGGCGACCCCTGCTCCCAGGGTGGATCTGGACCCTCTCCCGGCCTGGGCTGACCCACACCGCCCTCATCTCAGTTTCCCAGGGCTTCCCAGTGCATGTCGGGCGGTGTCCTGGTCCCCGGCCTGGGAGCACGTCCTCCACACCCTCCTGTGACACCTGGGCTTGTGGCCCCTCCTCAGAGAGGGCTCCCTGGCTCCACACGGGTACATGCACAGGCACACAGGAGGGCACAGACACAGAACACACGAGGGCACATGTAACACACATGGGTACACAGGGCACACGCACGTCCATACACAGGCACACACGGGTACACATGGCACACGCACGTTTCTACACAGGGACACACAGGCTCATGCACAGGTACACAGGCACATCCATGTGGGCACACCTATGGGCGCCTACCCAGGTACACATGGCACCTGCGTGTACCGGCAGTGTTCCGAGTACAGCTCCCTGGTTCAGCAGGCACAGCCACGTAGCCTCCGTGCTGCGCAGGCCTGTCCCGTCGCCGTGCCCTCCTCTCTGTCTGTGGCCTCCACCCTGTCTGTGGCCTCCACCCTGTTGCTCTCTGAGGTTCACGTGCCTTGTGGCTCTGGCACCAGAGCAGAGCCTGGTCTGTCCTGCTCACCCGGCCTTCCCAGCCCCCTAGTCTGTCGTCTGAGCTCAGTCTTTGCCACACAGGGATGACAAGAGCCTCCCAGGGCCTCTGTCCCCTGCCCACTCCCCCTGGCGTGTGTTCTGATGTGGGTGCCCCGGGCCAGGATAACTGAGGAGGGGTACGTGGGTTTGGGCCACTGCTCGCCCGTGGAAGTGCGCTGTCCCACCCGGAAGCAGGTTGCGTGGTACCCTAGGCGGGGCAGCGGGCAGTCGGAGCAGAGCCCCTCCCGCCTCTTTCATGGGTGCCCTGGGTTCCAGGTGGCTGAGGGTGGGCTGCGTAGCACCCAGGCCTCACCCTGAGCTGGTTTTGGGGTGTTTGTTCACCAGGTACTGTACCCCGCGGCACCAGGACTTTGATGACCTTGAACGCAAATACTGGAAGAACCTCACCTTTGTCTCCCCGATCTACGGGGCTGACATCAGCGGCTCTTTGTATGATGACGTAAGTATGAGGCTCCGGGGAAGAACAGGGACCAGCTTCCTGGTGGGTGGTGGTGGGAGGGCCCTGAACGGGACTCTGCCTTGGCAGATGAAGCTTCCAGGCAGGCAAGGTTAACCCCCTCGCCCAGGCTCTGGATGCGGGCCTCGCCCTGTGGTGACGAAAGAGGAAGCCAGGCTTTCTCTGATTTTTGCAGGGCCCCTCCTGCCTCACCCTGCAGCCCCCACCCTGAGCTCACCCTGGCCCCACCTCTGGCCTCAGCAGCCGGCCCACAGCGTGTTACAAACACGTGTACTTTCCCAGTCCCTGCCGCTCGTCTTCCTGGCACTGTGGAGCCTCGAGTCCTCAGCCCGCCAGGCCACCTGCTGGATTCGGCTCCAACCCGGTCCTGACTTGGGCTCAGGGCCCGGAGACACTGGGGTGAGGGGATCTCCCATCCCGAGCCTGGTCTGCTGGAGCGTCCTCTTGTCCACACAGCCTGGGCTCTCCATGAGGGCAGCTGGCCGGCATCCCCAGAGTCCCAGCCTCAGGCATAAGGTCCCCCAGGCCCCGCTGGACGCCAGAAGTGGGCCTGCGTGGCGGGTGTGTGTGGAACAGCAGCAGGAAGCTGTGACTGCCCTGAGGCCACGGCCAGCCTTGGCTCTGCCCTGCTTAGTGGACCTTGTCTGCGCTGTGGCCCGCAGGGGACTGGGTTTGCTCTCTGAGCCGAGGGCGCCGGTTTATGACACGGAGGATTCTGTTCAGGCTGGAAGTGAGCCCGCCCTGGAGAACCTGAGGGAGACGCCCCCGACATGGAGCCAGGCATAAGCCAGCCTTGCTTCCGGCCCCACCAGAAGCAAACATGAGACCAGAGTATTTCGAATTTGAGATTTTCTTTTTTTGAATATTTGCATATACATCCTGAGATATCTTGGAGATGGGCCCTAAGTCTGGATTAGTCTGTTCTTGCACTGCTATAAAGAAATAACTGAGGCTGGGCGTGGTGGCTGACGCCTGAATCCCAGCACTTTGGGAGACTGAGGTGGGCAGATCACTTGAGGTCAGGAGTTCAAGACCAGCTTGGCCAACATGGCAAAACCTGTCTCTACTAAAAATACAAAACTTAGCTGGGCATGGTGGTGTGTGCCTGTAATCCCGGCTACTCGGGAGGCTGAGGCAGGAGAATCGCTTGAACCCGGGAGGTGGAGGTTGCAGTGAGCCAAGATCGCGCCACTGCCCCGCAGCCTGGGCAAAAATGAGACTACGTCACAAGAAAAAAAAAAAAAAAGAAGGAAACAAACACCTGAGACTGGGTAGTGAATAAAGAAAAGGTTTAATTGGTTCACGTTTTTGCAGGCTCTGCAAGAAACATGGCTTGGGAGGCCTCAGGAAACTTAGAGTCGTGGCAAAGGTGAAGGAGGAGCTGATCCATCTTACACAGCAGGAGAGAGTGAGGGGGGGGGCGCCGTAGGCTTTTCAACAGCCAGGTTTCGCGAGCACTCACTGCCCTGAGGACAGCACCGCGGGGATGGCGCTGAACCATTCAGGAGACATGAGCAATCCACCCACGGTGCAGCCACCTCCCACCCGGCCCCACCGCCGACACCGGGACCTGCAGTTCCACAGACTCAAGTCTAAACACAAAATTCATCTGTATTTCGCGTACACTTTACACACGTAGCTTGAAGATAACTTTACACAAAGTTTTTAATAATTTTGTGCACGAAGCGAAGTTTTGACTGTGTCTTAACTGTGACCGGTCACATGAGGTCAGCTGTGAAAGTTTTCACTTGTGGCGTCGTTATCGGTACTCAGAACATTTGGGACCTTGGAGCTTTTTGGGTTTTGGATTTTTGGAGCGGGGGTGTCCCCCTTATCCCGCACGGCGTTTATCGGAGTGGGGTGTCCACCTTGTCCCGAGTGGTGTTTATCGGAGTGGGGGTGTCCACCTTATCCCGCGTGGTGTTTATTGGAGTGGGGTGTCCACCTTATCCCACTCTGTGTTTATCGGAGTGGGGTGTCCACCTTATCCCGTGCTGTGTTTATCGGAGTGGGGGTGTCCACCTTATCCCGTGCTGTGTTTATCGGAGTGGGGTGTCCACCTTATCCTGCGCAGCATTTATCGGAGTGGGGGTGTCCACCTTATCCCGCGTGGTGTTTATCGGAGTGGGGGGGTCCACCGTATCCTGCGTGGTGTTTATCGGAGTGGGGTGTCAACCTTATCCCGCGCTGTGTTTATCGGAGTGGGGGTGTCCACCTTATCCCGTGCTGTGTTTATCGGAGTGGGGGTGTCCACCATATCCTACGTGGTGTTTATCGGAGTGGGGTGTCCATCATATCCTGTGTGGTGTTTATCAGAGTGGGGGTGTCCACCATATCCTGCGTGGGGTTTATCAGAGTGGGGTGTCCACCATATCCTGCGTGGTGTTTATCGGAGTGGGGGTGTCCACCGTATCCTGCGTGGTGTTTATCGGAGTGCAGTGTCCGCCATATCCTGCGTGGTGTTTATCGGAGTGGGGGTGTCCACTGTATCCCGCGTGGTGGTTATCGGAGTGGGGTGTCCACCTTATCCCGCGTGGTGTTTATCAGAGTGGGGTGTCCACCTTATCCCACTCTGTGTTTATCGGAGTGGGGTGTCCACCTTATCCCGTGCTGTGTTTATCGGAGTGGGGGTGTCCACCTTATCCCGCGTGGTGTTTATCGGAGTGGGGGTGTCCACTGTATCCCGCGTGGTGGTTATCGGAGTGGGGGTGTCCACCTTATCCCGCGTGGTGTTTATCGGAGTGGGGTGTCCACCTTATCCCACGCGGTGTTTATCGGAGTGGGGGTGTCCACCTTATCCCGCGTGGTGTTTATCGGAGTGGGGGTGTCCACCTTATCCCGCGTGGTGTTTATCGGAGTGGGGTGTCCACCTTATCCCACGCGGTGTTTATCGGAGTGGGGTGTCCACCTTATCCCACGCGGTGTTTATCGGAGTGGGGGTGTCCACCTTATCCCGCGTGGTGTTTATCGGAGTGGGGTGTCCACCTTATCCCGCGTGGTGTTTATCGGAGTGGGGTGTCCACCTTATCCCACGCGGTGTTTATCGGAGTGGGGGTGTCCACCTTATCCCGCGTGGTGTTTATCGGAGTGGGGTGTCCACCTTATCCCGCGTGGTGTTTATCGGAGTGGGGTGTCCACCTTATCCCACGCGGTGTTTATCGGAGTGGGGGTGTCCACCTTATCCCGCGCAGTGTTGATCAGTTCATCCGCTGACGGACATTTGGGCTGTGTTCTCTTTTTGGCTATTTTGAATAATGGTGCTGTGAACGTTTCTTGTGTGTTTGTTTCTTTGTCTTTGAGACAGAGTCTTGCTCTGTCACCTAGGCTGCAGTGCAGTGGCGCAATCTCAGCTCTCTGCAACCTTGCCTCCTGGGTTCAAGCGATTCTCCTGCCTCAGCCTCCCGAGTAGCTGGGATTACAGTGTCACATGGAGTCATCCCACCACTCTAATGATCCCCTGAGCTCCCCCTCGTCATTCCTCCCTCTCCCCCATCCCTCTCCTGCGCCCCAGGCAACCACTGATGTCTCACTGTCTCCATAGCTCAGCCTTTTCCAGAATGCCGTGAGCTGGAATCCTACAGTCGGTAGCCTTTTCCCATTGGCCTCTTTGACCAAGCAATAGGTGTTCAAGTTTGCTCCATTTTTCATGGCTTGAGAGCTCATTTCTTTTCAGCGCTGAATAATACTCCATGGTCCGGGTGCACCACAGTGTGCCTGCTCATTCACCTATTAAAGGACCCTTCCAAGTTTGGTCAATGTGGGCAGAAGTTTTCATCTCCTTTGGGTAAATACCAAGGAGTACAGTTGCTGGACCACGTGGTGAGAGGACGTTTAGTTTTTTAAGACGCCACCAAACTGTCCTCCCGCCCACCTGTCCCACTGTGTGCTCCTAGCAGCAGCGAATGAACGTTCCCAGGGCCCCGCTTCCCCGCCCCCATCTGGAGTTGTCGGTGTTGTGCATCCTGGCCACCCTGGGAGGCGTGTTGCGCTGTCTCATTGCCATTTCAATCTGCATTCCCCCGATGGCTGCCTTCGCGGCGGGGCCCCTTTGCATGCCTGTTTGCCATCTGTGTGTTTCCTTGGTGAGCTCTCTTCATGTCTTTTGCCCAGTTTGTTGTTGTTGTTGTTGTTGTTTGAGATGGAGTCTCGCTCTGTTGCCCAGGTTGGAGTGCAGTGGCGTGATCTAGGCTCACTGCAACCTCCACTTCCTGGGTTCAATCATTTCTGTGCCTCAGCTTCCCAAGTAGCTGGGATTACATTACAGGCGCCCACCACCACACCCAGCTAATTTTCTTTCTTTTTTTTTTTTTGAGATGGAGTCTTGCTCTGTCACCAGGCTGGAACTACGGTGCCCACCACCACGCCCAGCTAATTTTTGAATTTTTAGTAGCGATGGGGTTTCACCATGTTGGCCAGGATGGTCTCAATCTCTTGACTTCGTGATCTGCCCGCCTTGGCCTCCCAAAGTGCCGGGATTTACAGGCATGAGCCACCATGTCCAGCCTAATTTTTGTATTTTTAGTAGAGACGAGGTGTTGTCATGTTGGCCAGGCTGGTCTCAAGCTCCTGACCTCAGGTGATCCACCTGCCTTGGCCTCCCAAAGTGCTGGGATTACAGGCGTGAGCTACCGCGCCTGGCCATCTTTTTCTGTTTTTTAACCATGCTGTTTGTTTTCTTCTGGTTAAATTTGAGAGTTTGCTGTGTATTTTGGTTATCAGTTGTGACTTGCAAGTATTTTCTTTCTGACTGGGGCTTGTCTTTCTCTTACGGATCCTGCCTGATTGTTTTCAAGTGAAAGTTCAGCCTCAGACTCCAGTGCATGAGAGCCTCTGGGTTGGCTGGCCTGCACTGCCTGCACTTGGCCTGTAGTGATGACCCGGGAGGGACTCTGCAGCCGCACGCAGGCTGTGCCAGCCCAGGCCGACCTGCCACAGGTGCCAGGGGAAGCTTCAGGGCTTCCTTGCCATGTGTTTGCCATGCCTAGCCTATGCACTAGCCTACTTTTACAGCGGGGGAAACAGCCCACAGCAGAGAAGCGACTTGCTGTGGTCCCAGGATGAATTTGCGCCCAGCTCAGCCTGTGCCTGGGGCCTCCCTCTGCCCCATCTGGGTCTCATCACTGCCTCCCTCCTCACCTCTTCTGGGCTCCTGCCAGGGCTCACCTTGCAAAGGAACCGCTGGTCTTGCCAAGTCTGAGGGCCGGTCGTGCAGGTGCAGGAACAGCTGGTGGGGGGTGGATTCAGGCTGTGAGAGCAGCTCACGTTCATGTGTGTCTGGGCTCCTCTCGGCCTCTCAGCAGGCCATGAGCCTCTCCGGGGACTGCAGTGACTAATGTGTATTTTATGAGCTCTTGGGACAGGACGGGGTTTGTTTGCTTGTGGCATTAAGAATAGATGTGCCTGGTGGGTGGGGATTCCGTCCTTGTTTGCCTAGTTCTGAAAACTGTCTTCGTCTCCTCGGTCAGAAGCTGTGGAAGGGCTGTCACTGGGCCTTGGCTCCGGTACCATCGCTGGGTTAGCCCCAAGTGGTGACTGTTTTTCTCCTTCCGTGTCATTGACTTAGAGGCGTGTTAATTATGCACTCCCAAACTGCAGGCTTCACAACAAGGCCTCCACCCAGCAGGAAGCACGCAGCTCAGTGGAATCTGACAGGCCCTGCCTGCCTGGTGCACGCTGGCATGTGCGATGGGGCCCTTCCTGGAAGGGCCAAGCTGGCGGTGAGCCCTTCAGAAAAGGTGTCTGGGCTGGGTATGGCGGCTCATGCCTGCAGCCCCAGCGCTTGGAGGGGCCAAAGTGGGAGGGACCATTGAGCCCAGGAGTTCGAGACCAGCCTGGGCAACAGAGTGAGACTTCATCTCTACACAGAAAAAAGTAAAAATTAGCCAGGTGTGGTTTCTCACGCCTATAGCCTATAGTCCCAGGTACTCAGGAGACTGAGGCTGGAGGATTACCTGAGCCTGGGAGGTTGAGGCTGCAGTGAGCTATGATTCTGCCACTGCACTCCAGCCTGGGCAAGAATCTCACACAGGTTAAGACCAGCCCCTGGTCTGCAGGGTATGACCGGCCCCTGGGGGGGCCGCAGATACTGGGGTGGAGGAGGATGGGCAGCGACCCCTGGGACTCTGGGGAGAATTAGCCTGCACCCCAGGGCTCGCAGGTTCTGGGGGTGGCCGGGCGGTTGCCGACGCTGCTCTGCCGCCCCACAGGACGTGGCCCAGTGGAACATCGGGAGCCTCCGGACCATCCTGGACATGGTGGAGCGCGAGTGCGGCACCATCATCGAGGGCGTGAACACGCCCTACCTGTACTTCGGCATGTGGAAGACCACCTTCGCCTGGCACACCGAGGACATGGACCTGTACAGCATCAACTACCTGCACTTTGGGGAGCCTAAGTCCTGGTGAGTGTCTGCACTGGCCCTGCCGCCGGCCGGACCGAGAGCCCCTCGGGAGGGAGTCAATCCCGGGTACACGGCTGGGCGCCGTGGCAGGGGCCCCACCAGGTGAGGCCGCAAAGGTCGGCCTATGACGGCTGGAGATCTTCCGGACCGCCTGGGGTCACCCACCAGCTTTGGGGTGGGGGATGTGCACCCCCAGAGCCGAAGCTCCCAGGCCCCTAGAGCTTGCGCTTTGTACCCCGGAGTGCCCCCCATTGAGCTGTGAGCGGCCCCAGGTGTCCCCATGGCCAGGAGCGTGGTCTTGAGCCTCCTGAGCTGCCCAGGCTGTGCTGCCTCACAGCCAAGTGGAGACGTTCCTGGTGAAGGGACACTGTCCATGCTGCCCAGAGGGGCCTGGCCAGGATGACCCTGCAGCCGCTCCCTCGCAGTCTCCGCCCTGGCACGTCTGGGCCAGGCCCTACAGTTAGGAGGGCAGGGCGTGGCGCTGCAGGCCTGTGTGCAGTGTGGTGGACCTGCCCCTGCCCGGGAGGTGCCGGGTGCAGCGTGGGCGCTGCTGTGGCGGGCTGAGTTCCAGGACCTTCTCCTGGCTCCCTGTGCACGTCGCAGCGAGGCCGTGTGGGGGTGTGTGTGAATGTGCACGTGTGCGCGCGCATGTGAGTGCGCACGTGAGTGAGTGTGAGTATGCATGCGTGTGTGTGCCCCTGTGTCACCGGGCTCTGCTTGTGACTGCGGAACCTGCTGGGTGCTCCGCGGGGCTGCCCTGCACTGTCCTCCAAGGGCCGCTAGGTGGCGCTCCCGCCCTTCCCGGGGCCGCGCTCATGCCTGGAATCTTCCCAGGCCGTCCTCGCGCTGGAGGAGGACGGAGCCTTTGCCTGGAGGGCGTGGGAGCTCCGCCTTGCCTGGCCCTTCCCTGGGTTGGAGTTGTAAGCGGGGAGAGGGGGGGGCGGGGGAGAATGCTGTACCTCTTCGTTAAAAAAAAGCACAATGAGCAGGAAGGGGCGAGCTGTGCGCATCCTCACCTGCGTCCGAAGCGCAGATGGAGCCCAAGGGAAAGGCCCTGTAGAGGACCCCGTGTGACTTGGGGCAAAGCGTGGCCTCCCAGGGGTGCGTGGGCAGCGGGACGCCCATGGTGTGACCGGGTTTGTGCCTCCATAGGGACCGTCTGCCCTGTGCAGAGAGCCCCTGTGGGGCGGGAAGTGGCGAGCAGCCGGCAAGGAGGCCCAGCCAGACAGAAGCAGGGGGGTCAGGGACATGGGAGGTGGGGGACCAGCCAGTGAGTCAGACGTGAGGACTTCAGTGCCAAGGACTGCAGTGCCAGCAGCTCGGTCTCCTGTGAGGGGCCCCGGGGGTTGCTGGCTGTCGTGGGAGCCTGGGCTGGGGGAGACCCTGGGGCTGGGGCTGCTATGGGTCAGATGCCAGGGCCGGGGGTGCCTGCTGCTAGGTCAGAGGGGCCTCTGCGGGAGGAGGCGACAGTGGCTCCCTGGAGGCGGCAGTGGGGCCCGGCCACAGGCCGTCGGAGGGACTGACAGGGATGCGCCAGGAGCCGAGGGCCTCTCCTGAGCTGGTTCATCCAGGACGCAGCCTCTGAGGGCATCCCGCACCTCTCCCCGAATGCCCCTCACTGCACCCCTCCTCTGCTTCGCCTGGTGCCGCAGGCGTCCAGCTGCCACTCCCATGTCTACCCTTCCCCATGACCCGTCGTGGGAGATGGCTCAGGGGAGACAGCTGGGGCGGGGCAGCGTTGAGTAGGCAACAGTTCTTTCGGGAAGGGAATTCCGGAAGCGCCCTGACCTTGGTCTTGGTTTTTGCCCAGGAAGGGGTGGGGATGGCAGGGGTGGGGCCTGGCATGAGGGGCCTGAGAGGAGCCACAGTGTAGGCTCTAGCTGCAGGGCATGCCCTCAACCCCCCAGAGCTCCCCACTCGCCCCCACAGTCAGCTCAGCCTGCTTAGCACGCAGGGCCCCTTCCCTGCTCTCTCACCAGGGCTGAGGCGGGGCCCCAGATGTTCCCACGACACCCCATGCCTGCGACAGGCATAGACCAGGTGACCCCAGCATTAGCCAACGTCTACTACGGGCTATCAGTCCTCCCCAGCAGATGGTAGGGGCCCTGGTCACCCCGTGTCCCAGCTCCCAGCAGGGGCCTGGCACAGAGAGGCTTGGTGACTTGCCGGAGCCTCTTGGATCCTCACTGTGTGCTGTGGGAGCTGACTACCCCTCCAGGCTGCCCTCCCAACTTGCAGGGGGGTGGGGACAAGGTAACTGGAAAGAGTGTCTGGCCTCTGGTCCCTGGGCTGGGGTTCAGGAAGCTACTCAGGCCCCTGGGAGATGCTTCCCCCCTCTCCCTTCCTCGGGCCCTTGGGGTAGGTAGGGCTCCCAGCCAAGAGATCACCAAGGCTGCGCCCCGTCTGTCTCCCTCATTACACTGTTCCGCTTGCATCTGCAGCCGCTTAATTGCAACCATTTCAGAGTATTCCAGTGGGATTTTAAAGAAAGTGTCAATGTACTCAGGTTTACAGCATTTTATTAAAGCTTTCTGGGTCTGTTGCTACTTTGGTAGCTTGATTTGTGTGTCAAAGTGACGTGAACAGCCTGGTGTCAATAACAGGCAGAAACATGCTTCAAAAGGCTGGCTTCTGTGGTGCTCTCAGGCAGCGGGGCTAAGAATATCTGAAGAGACTGAGCGCCTCAAAATCTCTTTGGCAATGCGGATTGAAACCAGAGCCAGCACCTGCAACTTCCCCCCGCCAACTTCCCGCAGCCCCTTCTGTCACCCAGGCCGGGGGGGCCGGAGTGCAGGTGGGTGTGGGGAGGGTCCGAGCTTTCCACTTGACCCTGTATTCCAGGGTCTTCCTGGGTGGGGTGGTGGCCTGGGGTCGGTGTCCTGAAGGCTGTGCCCCATAGAAGCCACTGTCCCAGGCCACACTCCTTGCCATAGATCAAGACTCTCCTGGGGCCAGGCGCGGTGGTTTGCGCCTGTAATCCCAGCACTTTGGGAGGCTGAGGCGGTTGGATCATGAGGTCAGGAAATCGAGACCATCTTGGCTAACACGGTGAAACCCCGTCTCTACTAAAAATACAAAAAATGAGCCGGGTGTGGTGGCAGGTGCCTATAATCCCAGCTACTCGGGAGGCTGAGGCAGGAGAATGGTGTGAACCCAGGAGGCGGAGCTTGCAGTGAGCGGAGATCACACCCCTGCACTCCAGCCTGGGCGACAGAGTGAGACTCCGTCTCAAAATAAATAAAAAATAAATAAATAAAAAGACCCTCCTGGAACCTGGGGTGGGGGTGGTTTAGCCGAGCTGACCCTCCAAGGCCGGTCCTGCGGCTGTTCCCCTCCAGGCATCCCCTCCCCAACCTGCACCTGTGGCAGCCCCTGCAGGGCCCACCCTCCTGAGCCGCCCGGGCCAGGCACGAAACACAGGCGTCGCCACGAGGCTGAGCGCAGTGTCGCCAGCAGCATCACATGCCACATGCCCCTAGAAGAGAGTTCCAGGCCGGGGTGGGAGGATGTTGGGTCTCGGCCAGCCCTGAGAGAGTTGCTGGTCCCAGGGCACTTCTGGGTCATTCGGATTGTGCTGTGCACCCCAAAGAAGAGAGTGGAGTGGCCATCCCCCCTCGAGGGCCCTGGCCCACGCTGCCTGGGAAAGTGCCCACTGTTCAGTCCTGTGCACCCATGTGCCGGGCTGGGACCTGGCCGAGGCTTCGGGTCCCCTTTTGCCCCCAACCCATCAGACACCCTGCAGGGCAGTGTTGGGGTGTTTAGGGGACTGTGGGCCACCGCCAAGAGCAGAAGCTTTGGCTCTCACTGCAGCAGGGAAGCCAGATGGGGGATCAGCATGTTCCTGGGGCTGCAGGGACTCCCGAGGACGTCGTGAGCTGATGGGACATGGTCAGCTGCTTGCACTGGCTCCAAGGCGGCGAGAGGAAGGCCCTCCTGAGGAGTGCCGCGGGGCCAGCGCAGGTGCGTGGCAGCCACAGAGGCCTCTGCTCAGGCTTAGGGAAGGGGGTGTCCCCCAGGGTCTCTGCAGCTCCGCTTGTCAGAAGGGGGGTCATCCTGCACCCAGGTGAAGCCCCCAAGAGCAGCGGGGCGAAGGAGCGCTTGCCCGGACTGCGACCTTGACCTGCCCATGACCCGCGGCAGTCTGGAAATCCCCCATTGCCCCAGGCAGGATGGGGGTCCCCCATGGTCTCATCTCTGGCTGTTTCCTCAGGGGATCGCTCCGCCCACCCTCTCCTGCCTCTGTTTACCTTGGACACACTCAGTCTCCGGTGCAGGTGTGGGAGGTGGGGGTCTCGGAGCTTGTGCTCCCGTGAAGGGCACGGAGCCCCCAGTTGCTCTTGGCCATCCTGGGCTGCTATGAGCCAGACCCTCCTGAGTGCTGCGGGGAGGGCTGCTGGGGAGGCCAGGGGAGAGGGGATTATCAGAAGACTCCACCAGCCTCCCTTGACCTTTAAGGAGCTGCAAGCCGAGAATTTTCCCTTTTGATTCAGCTACACCTTGAGTTTTCTCTCTGGCGTTTTCCCTCATGGGAATTTCACAGCATCTTTTCTTCTTGCTGCCAGGGAAACTTGAGTCCTAGCAGGCATAGCCGTCTTTTGCTTCATGGGTGTCCCTGGAGGTGTGCGTGCATGTGTGTGTGTGCATGGGCGCATGTGTGCACCGAGGAACCGTGCTCCAGACACTGGGGGTGGGGGTGGGGAGGGTGGGGGTGGGGAGGGTGGGTTCCAGGGCTGCAGGGGACCAGCCCGGGCTTCCTGCCCTGTGGCCGCAGGTGGGTGGAAGGCAGAGCCTGGGGTGGATGAGTCTGTCGCCCACCCAGGCCAAGCCAGGCTGTTCTTGGGGTGGAGGCTGCGGGCCTGCTCCCTTACCCCTCTGCTGCCCGCCTAACTGCCCCTCAGGACCTCCCTGGCCCACCCGCCTCCCAGCTCCATCTCCTGCTGGCAGCTCCTGCCTGGGGGCAGACACCTCCCTCCCTCCTGGGCTCCCTCAGTCTGGCTGCAGGTGGCACTGTCGGGCCCCACAATGGCCTCTGCCCTGTCCCTTGGAGTGGGACCCAGGAGTCTGGTGGGTGATGGAGCTGGCGAGCCCGTCCCAGGCAGCAGCCTGAAGGCCCATGGGGTAGCGCGCTGGCGCCCGGGGACCCTGGTGTGGGTTTGTACTGCTGCTGCTGGCGAGCCAACCACTGGGACTTCCAGCTTCTGAGCCCGGGACCCGGGGGGTCCCACCAGCAGTGGGGACCTAGGGTCCCAGTCTACTGACCGTAAGGCATGGCCCCCCTCAGTGACCTGGGGCATTCCTCCCAGCCGCTTTGCTCTGGCTGGGCCACCAGAGGTTGGGTGGCCGCAGAGACAGCTCTGGCGGAGATTGGTGTCCCGACAGGGGTGGCGTAGCCTGAGCTGAGCACTGGGTTGAAATGGAAATTGCCTGGAGCCTGACAGCTTCACAGATTGGTTTTAATAACTCAGCTTCCCCACACTGCACTCTGTCACCAGAACAAGATGCAGGAGCGAGATAGTTGCTCCCTCCTCTCCTTGCCACCCGAGGCCCAACCCTGGCGAGGGTGCCTAGGGACAGGGCTGCATTGGCAGCTCAGAGCCGCTGCGGTGCCCTGGGAGGTCAGACTGAGAAGACCCACCAGACTGATGGGGGCAGCCCGATGCGTGCCTCGCTCCCAGGCAGGGGACCGCAGCCAGGTCTCTTCCCAGCCACACACACTGAGCCAGGATGACAGAAATAGAAAAGGAAGAAGCGGTTTAGAACAGAGAGCTCCCACGGAGAGCAGATCAGACCAGTAGGGAGGCAGAGGGACCCTGGTCATTAGAAAATGATAAGGTGTCAGGAGCCAAGGCAGCTTGCTCAGGGCCCAGGTTCCTGCCCGCCAAGGCCTCAGCACTTCCTCCCTGGCTCACTGAGACCCGCTGCAGTGGCCCCAGCCCATGGTCCCTGGGAGCCGTATCCTTGTAGAGACAGCTGTCTAGCCTGCATGAGGTTATCTGGGGAGGCTCTTGATGAGGGGTGTCCCCTCTCTGCAGAAGGAACCTCTTTTTGAGAGAAGACAGTTGTTGTCACAAGCAAGTGAGGCCCCCAGGCCCAGTGCCCAGGCCAGCTGCTACGCCTGAGTAGTAGTTGCCACCAGCCCAGACCAGCCACTACCCCCCAGCAGCGCTCAGCACCAGCCCAGGGGCCCAGCGTCCCGGCTGACTGGCTCTGGGTCCACATGGGTTGCTGCGTGGCCAGGCACACCTGGTGCCCAGCTTCCCTGTTTGAGGAGCGTGGCCGTGGGCAGGCAGGAAGCTCCTTCGTGGTCACCTGTCCCAATCCTCTGCTTCTGATGGCGACTGTGGCCACAGCATCAGTGCAGCGGTTCTTTATTCCTGTGCGTGAGTGGGCCTCAGTGACCAGCTCAGCTCTCCTAGCTTTATTTATTTTATTTTAGATGAAGTCTTGCTCTGTCATCCAGGCTGGAGTGCAGTCGTATGATCACACCTCACTGCAACCTTAACCTCCTGGGCTCAGGTGATCCTCCCCCTTCAGCCTCCTAAATAGCTGGGACCACAGGCACGTGCACAACTGGCAAATTTTTAAATTTTTTGTAGAGACGGGGTCTCCCCGTGTTGCCTGGGCTGGTCTCGAACTCCTGGGATCAAATGATGCTCCTGCCTCAGCCTCCCAAAGTATTGGGATTGCAGGTGTGAGCCCAACCCTTTCCCAGTTTTAAAACTGGAAGTCCCATATCCTGGAACCTGCTCAGATCCAGTGAACTGTGATGCTGAGTCCCCTGAGAGAGAGAGAATGTGTGTGTGTGTGTGTGTGTGTGTGTGCGCGCGCATGCACATGCGTACACATGTACATGTGTTTGTTAGAGAAACAAGGGTCTCCAGTCACATAGTCTGTCTGGGAGGGAGTCTGGCCCCCTGGGACTCTGCCCAGAAGACGAGACCTGGGAGTCTGCTGGGTAACTGAGAACTGGACTTTACCCACTTAGCTGCGAGAACTCGGGCCAGGAGCTGAGCTGCCAGCAGGGCATTGCAGCCGTGTGGCCTAGAGCGTGGCGTGTGGCGCTGGTGCCGTGCTTGGGTAAGTGGTCCAGGCTGCGGCCAGGAGGGCCGGCACATGGGAGCTATGAATGGCAGCTGTGTTTTCCCTGGCCTGGTCCCCTCCCCAGCCCTCATCATCGAGCCCTCTGCCTCGCTCTTGTCACTACCACTCTGTCGGCCTGACGCCATCAGCCCAGGCCTGCTTATCAAGACTGGGGAGTGAACTGAGCACCAGAAGCTGGCTTTGGCGTTCAAAAAATTAACTCGTGATGCTGCAAAGACCTTTGAGCCTCACACTGGGGCGTCCACAGCGAGGCTGGGATTGCATCTCTGCGCCTGGCGTGTGGGGCACAGGTGCCAGAATCACAGCTTCTCCGGCTGGCCTGATCAGCCTCCTGCCAACCTCACTCACGTTAAGCAATTGCGGCCCGATTGTGCCCCCAGGACAGGCAGGGCTCTCAGCTGTGTCTCGTGATGGTGTCCCCAAGGACTGGGAGAACACCTCTCGGCCAGGGTGACCGGGAAACCCGGGGCACATCGGGGCACTCACCGGGGCTCCCACCGTACCTGTCAGTGGGATCTGTCCCAGCAGGCTGGCTCCTGGCTCTTGCTGGGAGCTGGCAGGGACAGACACAGACACACTTGGTGTTTGTTCGGGGACTGCAGAGCAATTTTCATATCGCCTTTTGCTGTGTGAAAATCGCACTCCAAGCTCTCCTCCAGAGCCGTGCCACTGAGCTGGGGACTTCCGGTGTTTGGATGGTCGATTGCCCTGTGTGTGTCTGGACAGCAGGCACCGTTGCCCATGGATTTGGGAAACTGGCTTCTTGGTGAGCAGAGATGGTGGCCGTGATGGGGGCCGGGTGGGCACCCCGCAGCAGGCGAGTGTCAGGCGGTGGGCCCGTGATGGGGGCTGGGAGGGCGCCCCGCAGCAGGCGAGTGTCGGGTGGTGGCCGTGATGGGGACTGGGAGGACACCCCACAGCAGGTGAGTGTCCTGCAGGTCCCTCTTCTCATTCTTGTCCCAGGCTTGTGCTTGTGTTTTTCATCCACTTTTTGGTGAAGTCTTCTCCCCCTTTCTCTCTCTTTAAATAGGTCTTTATTAGACCTGTTTTAGATTCACTGAAAAAGTGGGAAGGTAGTAACCACAGAGAGTTCCCCACCGGGTTCCCTGTTATGAGCATTCTATATCAATGTGGTACACTTGTGATCATTGATGGGCCAACACTGATGCGTTATGAACTAAGATCCATTCTCCAGATTTCCTCTGTCTTCCCCCGTTGTCTTTTCTGTCCCCTGAACCCATCCGGGTCCCACGTGATGTTGTCCCGTCTCCGTAGGGCCCTGGGCTATTACGGTGTGTTTGATGCCCTGGACAGTGTTGAGGAGGGCTGGCCAGGGAGTTTATAGAACGTCCCCTAATCTGTATGTCCCCTAATCAGCATGTCTGATGTTTTTCTTGTGGTTAGATTGGGGTGATGGGTTTTAGGGAGGAAGACCACAGGGGCGAAGGGCCCTCCCATCACATCCTACCAAGGGTCAAAGGCGCAGCCATCAGCGTGATGTCACTGCTGATGTTGGCCCTGGTCACCCGGCTTGGGTGTGGATGTCCAGTGTCTCCACTGCAGAGTGGCACTCCCCCGCTTTCCATGCTGTCATCTGTGAATGTCAGGCCCACCAGGATCATCTCCCTTTCTTTCTTTTTTTTTTTTTTTTTTGAGATGGAGTCTTGCTCTGTTGCCTAGGCTGGAGTGCTGTGGTGTAATCTCGGCTCACTGCAACCTCCACCTCCCAGGTTCAAGCGATTCTCCTGCCTCAGCCTCACGAGTAGCTGAGATTACAGGTGCGTGCTGCCACATTTGGCTGATTTTTGTATTTTTAGGAGAGATGGGGTTTCACCATGTTGGCTAGGCTGGTCTCGAATTCCTGACCTCAGGTGATCTGCCTGCCTTGGCCTCCCAAAGTGCTGGCGTTACAGACGTGTGTCACTGTGCCCAGCCACCTCCCTTTCTTAAGGTTAACTGATTTGGGACCTTTATCACATCTTCGAGACCCTCACGGCAGCAGCACGGGGCATGTGTCACTCGAGGAGTGTGGGAGCCCTGGGGCGGGGAGTCCTGGGGTGTCTAGAGCCCTGGGGTGGGGACCCTGGGGCGGGGAGTCCTGGGGCGGGGACGCTGGGGCGGGGAGTCCTGGGGCGGGGAGTCCTGGGGTGTCTAGAGCCCTGCCTGTCCCGGGGCTTCCCTTTTGTAGGCATTTCTTGCTGTGAAACATGATTTGGTACAGAAACGGACATAAAGCATGTAAGTACCAGATATATATGCGTGTGTGTGTGTGTGTGTGTGTGTGTGTGTGTGTGTGCGCGCGCGCGCGTATGTTAGCAAATGACTCTCCGGCTGTCCCCTGTGTACCTCGATGTCAGGACACGGCCCCCACCTGTGCCTCCTTTTCCCAGCCCCCTCTGCACACTGTGGTGGTGGCTTCCTCCCGGCTCTGCTGGCGGCGCCCTTGCCTCTCCCCTTTGCCAGGCCGCGTGTGCCTGTGGCCCGGGCAGTGAGGCTGTGTGTTGGCTGCATTGGAAGGTCTTACAAATGGGCTGATTTCCTTGCGTTTCTGCTCAATGGTGTGTGTGTAAGATTCATCCGGTTGTGTGTGGTGGCAGTGCACTCATTGTCATGGCTGTGAAATTCCCCACTGTATGGCTGGACTTTAGTCGACTTTTTCCATTCTGCCGTGGACGGACATTTGGGCTGTTTCCAGCATGAGGCTTCTGCGAAAGACCTATCATCTCTTCACCTGCTGCTCATGTAAGAAATTCATTTTGATCGTAAGCCTTGCTATCAGTAACTGTGACTGGGGCTGCATTTATGATGTTCCGTTCCTCATGCAGCAGCTTTGCCTGGAGTAACCCTTTGACTTGTGCCCCTGGCTCCACGTCCTTGTTCACGGACGAGGCACAGATTGAAGAGACGTCCGATCTGCCCTTGAAGCGCTGCCCTGTGGGATCAGGAGGGCAGCGGGTCCTGGGAGCAGGTGCCAGGACGATGTGCAGCCTTGAGGACAGGGTGTGTCCCAATTGGCGAGGGTGGCCTGAACCCGAAGGTGTGGGTGAGGAAGGAGCCATTTCTAATGGAGTCACCATATTAAGCCCTGCTTAGCCAAACTTGAAGGTGACAGTTTGTTGTGGGACATGGAGATGATGCAGGGATGCGGGGACCGAGGCCAGCATGTGTGGTGTCCAAGGTCGCCCTGGGTGCTGCTGTGTAGGTGAGGGAAGAGGGACTGATGGGCTGCTTAGGGGGCCATGTCTGAGGGCAGGGCCCACCACTTCTGCCCACACCTCATTGGCCAGCACCCAGTCACGTGGCCACACCTTGCATCAAGGGAGGCTGGGAAATGTAGTCTGACCACATGTCCAGCTGGGAAGGGGCAGGTGAGACTTCTCTTTCCTGCCATGTGGGTGCTGGGTGCCCTGCAGGGGCTCAGCCAACAGGGTCTTGAGGTTGAAGAGATGGATCTGCCCAAGCCCTGACGGAGTGCTCATGCCTGCTCAGGGCCCAGCATGAGCTGCGTCAGGAGCAGAAGCCATTGGGAAGGGCTTTTGGTGTGGCCGGGCAGCCAGACACTCCACGCGCAACCCCCAGAGCAGTGCCAGGCCCGGGAGCCCTTGGGATGGAGGCAGGGAGAATGGGGGGCTCTGAGGACTGAGGGAGGAGGGGAGCCCGGTGAGGGGAGGATGGGTGACCAGCTCAGGAGCAGGGGCGGGAAGGGGGCATAGAAGCTTCCTAAGCAGGGGAGCTACTACTCTTGGCCATGTTCCAGGAGGATGGAGTGGCTGTAGGAGCAGGCTTTCGGGCCAGGGCCTGGGTGTGGTGGGAGCCGGGGCTGGCTCTGGACCCTGCAGGGGCTGCCTTAGCCTCACGCTGTCTGACCAGCCCCTGCCTCACGTCGTGTGCTGAGTCCTGTCTGCGGCCCCTCGCTCACCCGCTGGCTTGGTCTGGCAGGAGCAGATGGCCTTCATTTTGGAGTCTTTTGTTCAAAGCGGGCGCTTCGGGTTGGAGTGGCAGTGCACACGCTGGCTCGTGTCGCTTGTGAGGCTGCAGGATTTTTGTTTTAGGGAGGTAGGAGCCAAACAAACCTGGCGCCCGCTTCCAGGCTGTGGCATGCCAGGCGAGTCACCGGCATCCTGTCCCTGCCCACCGCTTTAAGAAACTGTTAGTTCTGTTTGAAATGTCATCACTGGGCGTGAATTCCCATCTTCAGATAATCCCGCCAGGCGGTGTTTGGATGAGGAGTTTATTCAGGCTGTGGGGGTCTGTGCGTGCCCGCGGGTCCCTCCCACTGCAGCCGGCGAGGCTGGCCCTGACCCAGAGTCGCCCGCCCACCCAGTCTACGTAGGCATTAGAGGTTTGGGTTCTGAGCTCAGGGCCTGGTTTCCATGGCAAATTTCTCTCCCTTCGGCGAGGCTGCTGCCGGCGGGGTTCAGCTCCCCAGAAGGGAGATGGCAGCAAATCTGCGGGAGGAGAGTCTTCGTTATCTTTGCTTAAAAATTGGGCAGCGCATGGCTTCCTCCCCTCCACACTCGCCAGCAGCAGGGGACAGGAGCGCTGGCTGCCTTCTGATGAAACGGGGCGGGCGCAGGATGGGGCCGATGACAGCGATGCTAATGGCCCTCATTCAGCAGCCTCCCGCCGAGGGCTCGGGCCGCTTGTTCTCCCTGACCTGATTGCGAGCCAAGCAGACTTAACCCGTGTGTGAGCCAAACCCTCCCGGAGCTCCAGAGCCCAGCCCGGGTCCCCGAGGCCCAGGGAGGGACCCAGCATCCTGCGGCCTCTGCCCGTGGTGGGCACAGGCTGAGACTTAGGTCATAGGAACAGGAGCGCGTAGCCTCATGGCCATCGGCCTGTGTGTGAGACAGTTCAACTCCCGTGCTCTCCAAAGCTAGTCCCATCATTACACGCGCCATTTAGGACGCTCCAGGCCATCTCGGTCACCAGGGGCCTGGCGGTCACCGTGTTTCCTCATGAGGCTCAGTGGGTGCTGTGTGTCTGTGGGTGCCGGTGATGAAATAAATGTAAGCATAGAGGCATCAGAGCATTTTAATAGATGGGAGCCTCCACAGCCTGCAGGTATCCAGACGACGTTCTGCACACAGAGACTCAGACTCCCACCAGGGCCTCACGCCCCACTGCCTCTCCGGGATGCCTGCGTGTGGCTCACTCCCACCACGGGCACATCAGCCCTGGTGCCCAGCTGGCCTTCTGCAGAGCCTGGTGCTGGAGCAGCTTCTCGAATTCTCTGCTGCCTCCTCCCCACAGCCTTCCAGGGCCTCAGAGCTGCTGCCAGGCCAGCACCTCCTTGGGCCCGTGTTGAGGCCCCACGGGGCTGGGCTCATGTGGGAGCTGATCTTGGCCGGGTGATCCCTCACTGCTCTGGACAAAAGGGAGCCATGGGCCGGGCATGGTGGCTCACGCCTGTAATCCCAGCACTTTGGGAGGCCAAGGTGGGCGGATCACCTGAGGTCGGAGTTTGAGACCAGCCTGGCTAATGTGGTGAAACCCCGTCTCTATTAAAAATACAAAAATTAGCCGGGTGTTGTGGTGGGTGCCTGTAGTCCCAGCTACTCGGGAGGCTGAGACAGGAGAATGGCGTGAACCCGGGAGGTGGAGGTTGCAGTGAGCCAAGATTGTCCCATCCAGCCTGGGTGACGGAGGAAGACTCTGTCTCCAAAAAAAAAAAAAAAAAAAAAAAAAAAAAAGGGAGCCATGATTGTTCTCCAGCTGCAGTCCCTGTCTCTTCAGACCCTCTGTGCTCTTAGGAGACTGTCGTTGTTCTCTCCTTTTTAAACCATCCTGTGCCTTTTAACAGAATAAACGGCAAGGGGTCCCCACTGAGGTCGAATAATGCTGGAGGAGGGCCGTGGGTCCAGGCATGGTGGGGGCTGCCTCCTGGTTGTTGATGAGCAGAAATTCAGGCCGGTTTGACGGCAGGCACGTGAGGGAGGTTGCTGTGTGTCAGTGGCCCTGTGTCCCTGGCACTGTGTCCGAACCTGACAGCCGCCGCTGTGTCACTGGGCACCTGCCCTGCGCACCCTCCCCTGTGACGGGCACTCTCACAGCTTTCCTGGCGAGGCTGAGGGAAAAACATGGCAAACAACTCGCACATGACTTTGCGTTTTTGGCCTTGTCATATAATAAAAGTAATTTGTGGGCCTAAAATAAATCAGGGCTGGGGATCAGATGCCTCCAATCTGGCCTTTAATTGCAGGCGTGACATGGCTTGCCTCGGCGAGTCTGCTCCTAATTAAAGTGGGCTGGCGGTGTATGAAGTTCGCACGGATCCTCAGGGTGCTGACCCAGCCCCGGTTCCGGAGGGCCAGTGTGACGACACCTCGTGGCCCAGGAGAGCAGGGCGGGCCACCCATGGCCACCGTGCCAGGAATGGGGTCTTCTGGCTGGCCCTGCGAGAGCCGAGAGCTCTGTCTCCTCCGCCTGCTGCTCCGCTTTGTCGGGCATTCCTGTGGGCGGCTCTCCCCATCCCAGGCTCCCCATCTTCCCTGAGCCGAGGCTCCCAGGACTCTGCTGGTCTCCTGTGTGTCTCAATAAAAGGTCATTATTTGAAATCATTGTCACCACTGGTTTAAGATACCAAATTCCATCATCTCTTGTCCCGTAAAACGATCCATTAAAGATAAAGCCACTGCAGCTCAATAAGGCTGTTTCCTGGGAACAAGCCACCCTGCTCCCTGGCAGATCCTATCTCCCAAGCAAGTATTAGTATCTGCCACATAAAGGAGCCCCTGTGCTGGGGACAAATGAGGGAGGTGGCCTTTCCCCAGGATGAGGCTCCATGAAAGAAGATTTTTCCAGTAGAAACAGGCAGGTTGGCTCATGCCTGTAATTCCAGAGCTTTGGGCAGCTGAGGCCAGAGGATTGCTTGAGCCAGCCACTGGAGCTCGAGAACAGCCTGGGCAACATTGCAAGACTCCATCTCTACAAAAAAAGAAGAAAAAATCAGCTGGGTGTAGGGCGCACACCTGTCATCTTTTAGCTACATGGGAGGCTGAGGAGGGAGTATTGCTTGAGCCTGGGAATTTGAGGCTGCAGCAAAGACCCTGTCTCTTAAAAAAAAAAAACAAAAAACAACAACAAAAAACAACAACAAAAAAAAACAGAAGAAAGAAATAGGGTAGCTTTCCATCAGATATTGGAGGAGTTCTGTCATTGCCTTGGGAGGAGCCGTGCAGCCCAGGCTGGGCTCCATTTCTGCAGCGGTGGCATCTGGGGGAGCAGGGCTGGCCCCGCAGAATGCCAGGGCTGGAGCCTTCCCCATGGGGCCTGCACCTGCTCTGGGACTCCCGTTTCTCCTGTGAGTCTTTGCGAAAGGGTCTCACTCCTCCTCTTCCTGCCCTCTGTCCGGTCCCCTGTAATCTCTCCCTCCCAGCAGGCTGCGGTTGGTGACATCTCCTCTCCCTCTCTCTCAGCCAGGATATGGGACCTCAGTGCTCTTGGCAGTTCCCGGGCTGTCTGTGTGTCCTGGCCTGTGGATCCACTCCCTTGCCTGTGCAGGCACTTTTTCTAACATCTTTATCTCTCCAGACTGACCTGTGGGGCAGCTGCCTGTCCTGGGCGACCCATCCTCCTGGGGTGGCCATCGGTAGCATGCCTTTCCTGCTGCTGGCGACTACGTGATGAGCTCTGGCACCTGCCCTTCCTCCCGTCCGTCCCCATGCGCTGTTGCAGGGGTGTGGAGGGGTTTTACCCAGGGAGGCACTGGCTTCCCAGGTCAGAGCCTGTGAGTACAGCAGGCAAGTGCACTACCAGGTCTGTGTGTGGCCTTGTTTGTGGAGAGAATTCCTGCTCCACCCTAGACGAGGGACAGGTTTACCCTAGTGGGTTTAGAGTGTTCTGTTAATGTTCTTTCTGCTGTAGAGGAAACCCTCTTTTTGTTGACTTTTTTTTTTAATTAAAAATTCTGCCACCTTGCTGGGCTGTGTTTAATTCTATAGTTTTACCAGTTTCTTTGTTTGCTTAGATTTCCTAAGTAGAAACTTATGTTATAATTAAACTGTTTTTTTTTTTTTTTTTTTTTTAGAGATAGAGTTTCCCTCTGTTGCCTAGGTTGGAGTGCAGTGGTGCAGTCATGGCTCACTGCAGCCTCAACCTCTTGGACTCCAGTGATCCTCCTGCCTCAGCATTCTGAGGAGCTGGGAACACAGGCATGCACCATCACGCCTTACTTAGACGTTTATATTATGATTTTAAGAAGTTTGTCTTATCCCTTCTGCTTGGTAAACCCTTTGTCTTTTTCTTGATATATCACATTGGCTAGTGTCTCTAGTGCAGTGTGACGTGTGCTGTGATGATGGGCAGGTTGTGTCCTCTCCTGCCTCGCCATGAAGGTGGTAGTGGGAGAGTCCCTGCTAGTCCTGGTTGCCTGAGAATTTTTGTACCAAATGCTTTGGAATTTTTGATAGATATTAATTTTTGGAATGTCTTTGCAACCTTGGAGATAAACTCTTCTTGGTCTTGCAATAGCCTACTGTGCTTGACTCACTAATGCTGTATTTAGGATTTTTACATCCACGTGGGACTGGCTGATCATTTTCTTGCGTGTTCTTTGTTGGTGCTGGGGTTTCCCATTTGTTCATTTATTCATCCATTTGGAAAATATGCCGGATTCAGAAAACGAGCTCAGTAACGTCAGATATTCCCTACTGCTTGCCAACCATGTGTGTACATGGGCACTGTCCCTTTAGATGAAGGTCATCGGGCAGGATTCATTAAAACCACCTGGGCTGGTGCCTTTTCCAGAGAGGACATCTGTGACCTGGTCTCTTCAGGGTTTCTGGTGGGGCCTGTGTTGACTTGGTGGACACCCTGGGCTCCACAGTGCTGAAGATACTCTGAAGAGCCAAGTGCATCTGTGGCACTGAGCCCAGCAACGCAGGCAGGGACCGTGGCTCTCTGGTCCTTGTGTCCCCAGTGCGGTGAATAGGTCCTCAGGTTCCTGTGAACAGCTTTGTTTGTGGTGCAGTTTCCATAGCATACATAGAAGGCGCTCAGAGAACTTGGCCATTTCCGTGGACGGAGTTAACACGGCGCAGCACGGTGGCCACCACACAGACCTGTGTGTCCCTGGCCCGGTCACCATGCGGCTCTGAGGAGCAGAGCAGAGGAGCCACCCTGGCCCGGCTCGTCTTTAGCTGGCTCCGGGACTGCATGTCGGCTGAGGGGCTCGTGTGGATGTGGGGCTGAGACAGCAGCTCTCTGTTGGGTCTCGCAGGAAGCCCACCCTGTAGCCGGCTTGCTCTCCTTCCCGGCCTGTGCCAGCCACAGGGCAGTGCGCCAGAGCCATCTTGCTGGGTCACAGGCCGGGGCCACCATAGGGCTTTGTTGCGAGGGTGGCGGTCACCATGGCTTTTCCGTTCTGTTTGCAACTTGGGGTCCCGGGGGCGCCACTGGCGTTTGGATCTGCCGTGGCCCTCCTGGGCTTGCGTGGGTGGCTCACTCTGCCAGGTGGCCTCTGTCCAACCTGACACCTGGTCTCGGGTACTTCCAGCGTGACGTGCACGGGCTCTGCCTCCCTCATTCTGTGTCTGCGATGATAGCGCATTAAATGGCGAAGGCCCGTCTGCCCAGGCCTGTGCAGACACTGTGAAATTAACTTTCTCACCCTCCAGCACGCATTGGGCTGTGCCGACATCTCTGAAGGGCTCTTGGTCGGACCTCTGCTCTTGGCACACATTCCTCGGCGGCGGGGGTGGGGGGTAGGGAGGAGAGCGTTTTCATCCCTGGCACCTAATTGCCGAGAGCTTCCGCTGGCAGGAGCTGTCAGGCTGGGCCGTGGGTTGGATTCCAAGTGCCACTGTCACCTGGGAGAAAGCTACACGAATCTTAAAAAAACCTTACACTATGATGTCCCGTTGCCTGGTTCAGAGCCATCCACAGGGACCAAGCAAGATGGTGCCAGGCAGGGGCCACTGCCAGAGGTGAGGGCCACAGAGTCCTGGCTTGAGAGCCTCCAAGGAGCCCATTCCGCTTGCAGTAGGAGGGAGAGGGCGCTGGGAGTCACCTGGTCGCTCTGGAAGTGCCGCCCAGGTAGGGAGCCTGGGGCAGCCGGCAGGTGTGGTGGGGACATGTGTGGCCGGCACCAGCATCACACCCCTCATCCAGAGACTTTGCCCCGATCTCGGGTTTTCTGCCTGGTCTGAGAGGCAGCGGCCCTGCTGTCATTGCCTGCCCATGGCTGGCAAAGGCAGAGGCTGTGAGGGGACAGGATATTGGACCCCCACCTCCTCCGCCTCGGGTTCCGAGGTCAGGTGCGGTGTGCTTTGGCCGTGGCAGGCGGGGTCCCTGGGGGTGCTGGGGCGTCAGCCAGGCAGGCAGTGCCCACAGGCGAAGCAGGCAGCCCCACTGCGCAGCGTCACCTAGCACAGGAGGGGCCACAGCGCCTGCTTTGCAGAGACCAGTGGGGGCCACGCTTTCATGGAGCCACATGTGGGCCCGCCTCAGGCTGGGGCCCTGTGGGATGGTGCCCAGGGGTGGCCTGGGCCGTGTGACCCCAAGCCCGTCTGCTCACCGTCATCGTAGCTAAGGGCTCCCTGGCAGGTCCCAGCTGCCCAGGACGGCCTGTGTTCCCTTTCCTGACACACTCATTTAATTTTTAACTCAAAGGCATTTGCTTATTTATTTTCATTGTTCTTGATAATAATTCTAAGCCATTAGAGGGGAAAATTATATTCAAAAATGCTGTTTCACACTTTATTTGTTTGATGATTTAGAGCGATAGAAAATAGCACATTTGCTGGCTTTTATAGTCTGATAATTATTCACATCCATCAAGCCATTCCGGGGGAATAAACAAAACACCAAGAAATTACACTATTAATAGCATCCTCTGCGGTGGACAGAAAACTCTTTCCGGGGCCAGCGTGGCGGCGAGATGACAGTGGCCTGTCCGCTGGCTGGAGGGGAGCGCCTGCCTGCAGAGAACGCCTTTGCTTTCATTCCCTGGTTCCGGCTCCAGCTCCGGCTCCGGCTCATGAGCTGCCCGCCATCCATCCCCTCCTCTGCACGGCCGGGGGCTTCTGGGGCCCATGGCAAAGGTTCGCCCACCCGTCGCCAGGAGCCCCTGGGGAATGGCGCGAGCAGAAGAAGCAAGGCTGTCGGGGCCTCGCAGCATCCCCCGGGCAGCTCTGCCGCCAGCCCAGACTCAGGCCTGGTCTCAGCTCGCTGGCTGAGCCTGGTGGGGCATCCCCACCCTCTGGTCTCGGTGCTGAAACAGGGACATGCGGCTCGTTGCTGCCTACGTTGGGCCCAGTCCTTGGCTGCAGTCCTGACCTCCCGTGTGACCAGTGTCTCTGGACACCAGTCAGACTCATGTGTGTCAGGCCGCGGGGCTCAGCCTCAGTTGCTCTCTGCTTCTGGGTCCCAGCCCCTCGAGAGGTGGCCCGGCCCCCACTCTTGCCCAGTGGGTGGCTTTGAGGCTTTTAGCTTTGCCTTTCTTGGGTGGCAGTAAAGTGTAACGTTGGTGACATTCACTACTCAAAACACCTCAAAGTGTAAAAGAGAAGCTGGGAAGGTAGAGGGTCCGGGGGCTGCCCACCTGCCCGTGCCCACCCACCCACTGCCCCTGTGCCGGGGTGTCCTTCCTTCTGGATCTCATGTCCTTGTTGGCGCCTCACATGTGTCTCCCCATGGGCCTAGGAGGTCACTGTGCTGCCTCACATGTGTCTCCCCATGGGCCTAGGAGCTAGTACACTGCTGGACCATCATTTTGTTTGTTAACCATCATGTGACCTCACGTGTCTTGTGTCCCCAACTCCAGAGGGGCCACGTCCTAGCATTTGTCTCTCCCATTGTTTTATTTTCTCACCCACGCTGCTTTGGCTTGCACATGACTGACTTTCCGAAAGGGTGTCCGATGCCTGGGTTTGTTTCTTGACCTCCTGGTCACCACCACGTATGGCTCTCACGGAGCTTGTGGAGCCTTCTGCGGCCAGCACCAGACACCAAGGGTGGCTACCAGGTATATGGCTCCAGATCCCGGGCTGGAGATGCGGAGCCGAGTTTCTATGACTTTGTGGTTTACTGTCTTCCAGAAGGACTTGTGTACAGCATTCCAGAACAGAGGGAGTGGGTACGGGGGGCAGACAGCCAGGGCTTTGAGAACACGGAGATGGAGACCCCGCTGGGGGTGCTGTGGACAGTGGTGCAGAGGAGTGGCGATGCCCGGGTCCTGGGTCCTGGGTCCCGCGTCCTGCGTCCCGGCCGATGTGAGTCCTCAGACCTCCTAATAGCATTCGCCCTGATTTAGAACCAGATTCCTCCAGGCAAGGCCAGGGGCCTGCAGTGGGTGCACCTGAGGGACCTGTGCAGGCCACCCCTCCCTCCCGAAGGCTCCCCTGGCAGCCTCCTCAACAGTGCTGTCTTCAGCCCCCGCCCAGACATACCCCAGGGCACCTGCTCCGTGCTCGGAGAGCTTAGCTTGCTGCAAGAGTCCTTGTTGCACTGAGCTAAGTCTCCCCACCCCCTTAACATTTCTGACTCTGCCCTCTGAAGCCCCGTGGCTGTTCTGCCTTGCACAGACCCACGAGATTCCAGGAGTCGCTCTTCCTGCTTGCTTTGTCTTGACCTCTTCAGCTTCTTCCAGCAATCCCTGTGCGCTGGGCCGCAGACCCTCCGCACCCTGCCCCTGGCTTAGGGAGAGCTGATGGCTGCAGAGGGCTGGCCACACACAGCCCCAGTCCTGGGGACGTGCTCTGAAGATGGTAGAAGGGAGGGACACGTACAATGACCTGGCCTCCAGGGCTCTAGAGGGTGAGAGGTGGTCAGCCCTTGCGGGGTCCCGGGGAGGTTGACAGAGTCAGAGGACAGAGAGCTGGTGTGGGGGCCTTTGTGTCAGCAGGAGGTGGTGCTGGCATGGGGGAGGGAGGGGAGGGAGGGAATGCCAGGGGCTTGTGGGCAGGGCCCGTGCAGGTCATGGAGCCGGTAGCATCTCAGAGCTGGACAGAGGAGGTAGGCTGGGAGCAGGCCCGGTTGGGGACCAGTGGCCCCTGCACAGGAGCCAGAGGGCCTGGGCAGCTGTCTGTCCAGAAAGCATGCAAGACCCCGTGCCACCCGGGCACACAGGGCTGTCGTGTCTAGAAAGAGATCTCCTGGGGTCACGGGCAGGCAAAGCTGATTGATTTTGGCCGTGAAGTTTGACCTTGTGATGGAAACCGAGCTCCCAGGGAGTGAGACAAACTGCCTCCCCGTGTCAGTGGCCAATAAACCTGACTTGGTTTTACAGCCCCGAGAAATTGCTCACTAATAGCCAGACAGATGCTCCCCCTGCCTCGAGCTTTAGTGAACAAACATTTCCAAACCAAATAGCTGCTTTTGCCTTTTTTTTTTTTTTTCCCTCCAGAGCCAAGGCCAAATGTCAGGGATGCCCCAGCATGGCCCCGAGCAGGGACTATGAGGAGGGGGCCGTGCATTCTTCGCTCTTTGGGGGCCTGGGCGGAGGACCCTGCTGAGACGCCCCTCTGGGAGGCCCGAAGGCTCCCTGAGTCTCTTGTCCTGTGGTGACTGTGGGTCTCTGCCGTGCATCTGCTTCAGTCCGCCAGTTCCATGGCCCGCCCACCAGTGCCGTCGCAACCCCGTCCTTTGGACTGGGCTTTTCAGGACATCCGGAGAGCCTTGGTGTGAGAAGCAGGCCCCGAGGCTACCTTCTGGTCCCCCGTCCTGGGGTTGGTCCCCTAAGCGAACGCAAGCGTGCTTTCAGCCCTGTGTGGACGGAGCGTGGCGCCTCCAGCCTCACTCAGTTCTGTGTGTCCTAAGCCGTGTCCTGGCACTTTCTCTTGGAAACTGAGGTTTTTCTTCCGCCTGTGTCCTTGGGGGTGGCCGGGAGGCAGGTCTGCCAGCATCAGGTCTTCTGGTCCCCGAGGCCGTCGCTGGGTTGTTCCGAGTGGCGGGAGGTGCAGCTCGCTGTTGGGCACTGGCGGTGGCGGAGCCCAGAAGTCTCCGTGGCTGCCCGGCCTCTTGTCCAAGAGTCCTTTGTGATTTCTGTGGGGGCTGCTCCTCTGAACGCTGGGCCTGCGTCCCGCAGTCTGTGCTTTCTGATAACGCCAGAGCCACGTTCCAGTGTATTAAACTTTTAACATTCGCCAGATTCAATTAATCTTATCTTTACAACTCCCAATTACAGGCAGTAATTAAGTGGAGCAGCATTGTAGGCTGGGGATACGGCATTAATCATCGCAGCCTTGGAGCCATAAATTAGTTCCTTCCCGTCCCCAGCATCTTCCCAGAAGGAGCAGAGTGTTTCATTCCCTGTGCGGAGGGGTCTTTAATCCCACAAAGGTGCTTTGGATTGGGATTAAAATTTCTCATCTTTATGTAAATCATAAAAGCCCATTTAAAAAAGAGGAATGCACCCCTGTCTAGACAGTGGAAGACTCTCTGAGGACGACAGAGTTGAAGGTGCTGGGGTCGCCTTGGCTGGGGACCCTGGGAGCATGCCCAGAAATTAATTATTTGTGTCCTGTTAGATTAGAGGCTCCGTGATGTTCGCCTCTTCTCTGGCTCCTGCCCCCTCCTTATTTATTTTTATTTTTATTTTTATTTTTTTTAATTTTTTGAGACAGAGTCTTGCTCTGTTGCCCAGGCTGGAGTGCCGTGGCGCAATCTTGGTTCATTGCAACCTCCACTTCCTGGATTCAAGCAATTCTCCTGCCTCAGCCACCTGAGTAGCTGGGATTACAGGCGCCTGCCACCACGCCTGGCTAATTTTTGTATTTTTCGTAGAGGCGGGGTTTCACCATGTTGGTCAGGCTGGTCTCAAACTTCTGACCTCGTGATCCACCCGCCTCGGCCTCCCAAAGTGCTGGGATTAGACGTGAGCCACTGCACCCGGCCTGTTTGTTTGTTTGTTTGTTTGTTTTGAGACAGAGTCTCACTCTCTCGCCCAGGCTGGAGTGCAGTGGCACCATCTTGGCTCACTGCAGCCTTTGCCTCCCAGGTTCAAATGATTCTTTTGCGTCAGCCTCCCGAGTAGCTGGGATTACAGCCTCCTGAGTAGCTGGTATTTTGTATTTTTGGTAGAGGAGGGGTTTCACCATGTTGGCTAGGCTGGTCTTGAACTCCTGACCTCAGGTGATCTGCCCGCCTCAGCCTCCCAAAGTGCTGGGATGACAGGCATGAGCCACCGCGCCTGGCTTCTTTATTTCATTAAAAAACAAAGTGGCCTTTCAGCTGGAAGGGGCTGTAGTGGAGCAGGGGCCGTCTCCCACCCTCTGAGCTTTTCCTTGTCTTGCTTCTGCCCTGGGAGGGTCTCGGGGAGAGACCATATCATGTGTCCTCTCATCTGTGTGACTGTTCTAGAACGGGAGCTGTTGGCCTTGTTACTCTAGAGTTGGGGTCGAGGATGGGACTTGACCATCCTCAGCTGGCACTCAGCTGTGTGCCCTCAAGTCCCTGAGGCCCTGTCCTCGTCCCCTTCGCTTGGAAATTGAGGTTTTTGTTTTGCCGGAGGCCTTGGGAGTGGGCTGGGTGGTGTCCCCGTTGGCACTGGGGCTTCTCGCTCCCCCTCAAGGCTGCGGCTCCTGGTGCCCACCCTCCCTGATGGGAAGAGAGTCCCAACATCGCAGGTCTCCAGCTTCTGGTACGGCATGAGCGGGATGCCACCCCCACTTCGCTTCGTGTGTTTGCACACTTTCATCTTATGTCTTTCTTATTCATGATGGAGCCTTGGTGATCTTTCAAATGTAAAATGTGTAAAAATAAAACTTACAAAGTCGGTGACAAATGCAGCTTTTCTCATTTCCAAAGCTGCTTTTTCCCTGTTGGCTCCCAGTGCCGGGAAAGGGTGACGTGGGCCTGGAGACCGTGACGTGGGCCTGGAGAGCGGGCTGGCAGCTCCGGGGGCCCCAGATGCTTGCTGTTCCAGACTCGGCCCTCCCAGGGTCCCCTCGCCACCCGCAGTTCCAATCCAATACTTTTGTTTTTTGCCTTTTCAGCCTCCTCGAGGTGGAGTGCCGCTTAACCGGGAGCATCCCCACTCCTGGCTTTCTGAGTGTGTCACAAGCCACCGAGCCATGGTCCTCACTCCCCGCTCCTCCACCTGCCCCACCTCGCTTCCTTACGGATTCCGTCCTGAAAGCCCCCACCCCCGGCCATCCCCTCCACACAGTCCTGACCATGACTCCACTTTGCTTCTGCCCTGGGCACTGTCTGCGTCTCCCCAAGGCTGGTCCCACCAGGGACACCCCCTTGCGTGGCTGCCACCGATCTTGCCTCTGACGTGCCTCCCTTCTCTCGCAGGTACGCCATCCCACCAGAGCACGGCAAGCGCCTGGAGCGGCTGGCCATCGGTAGGTGCCTGCCCTGAGGGCCCCAGGGACCTGGGACCAGGTGGGAGGGGCCTGTGGGTGGGGAAGGGCAGCTGGCGTCCCCCGGGCTCTGCTGCGGTCTGGGTTTGGGTTTTGGGGAGTGGTGACATTCTTTGAGCCATTACTGTGTGATTTTTTCCATTTCCTCCCACCCTCGTGGTCAGATTCACGCCCTTCTGCCGCGCAGTTTGTCTCTTGTGAAATTCGCACAGAATGCCCAGACGCTCCTGTTTTCCAGTTTTCTTAGCGCAAACTTCTTGGGCCTGGTCAAAGGCTGCCAGGGCCCAGGGAGGGCAGCCTGTGTTCATTTTCCTCCCATCACCTGACCCCACACTGTGCCCTTGCTAATTCTGAGAAAGCCTAGGAAAGGAGACAATTCAGCCAGCAGTCCGCTTACCTGCGGGGGAGCAGACATGGTGGCCGCACGGCGTTTGCCCTTGTTCTGCTGGGACCCAACCTGGACACCTTTGGCAAATGTCCTCACTGGTGATGCCACCAGCTCGCGTTCATGTGCTCCCTGGGGACTCTTGGGAAAGAAGGGGTTTGTCATAGAGGGTCCCAGCATGTGCCTGAGGGAGTGCCAGATCCTCAGGTTGTGGGATACTTGGAAACAAGTCAGACAGCTGGAGACACCCGGGATGGGGCCACCCTGAGCTCCCCTGACCACCCAGCCCTGAGGCACTTGGGCAGGGTCCCCATGTCAGCGCCGGCATCACAGCACAACAGGGGTGCAAGTTTCATGACACCTCACTGCTCCTAAGTGCCTGGAGAGTCATGAAAAGACACAGCTGGCTAAAGCAGTTCCTCCCTCCCGCTGGTCCATTCCCAGCTGCTCAAGAGCTGGCTCCTCCGCATTGGCAGGTGGACAGCTTGGGGTGCGTGAGGGGTGAGGGTCAGTGAGGGCCCGTTGTTCCTCTGACAGCATTGAGAGGGCCCTGTCCGAGCACCCCGCCCTTCAAGGACGGCGTCAGGCAGCTCAGCAAGCGACAGCCACAGCTTTTCCAGGAGCTCTCACCCAGCCTCAGTACAGGCTCCCGGGACTGCCTGGTTGCTGTCCTCTGTCCCTTCCAAACCTTCGAGCCAAAGGACGCCCGCCACATGCTCTCTTCCCCCTTCCCATGGGCTTTTGGCTTTGGAGATGGGAACTGTCAGTCTTTCTAGGGAAATAAGGGTCTCCTGTCCCAGAGACTGCGCCAGGAGTCACGTGGCTGTGCAGGAAATGTTGCCCAAGCGCGGCAGATTCGGTGGTGGGGACGGAGGGGAAGGGAGTCCTTGGGGAGTGGGCTGGGCCCTCTCCTGGCATGTGCTCTCCTGGCTTCTGGACTGAGGGCTTTGCTCTTGGTATTTTTGAGCGTTTCTATTGGAAACCTGGACCCCTTTCTTAGGCACAGGTGAATCCTGGTCTTAGGAGCACGCTTCTGGTAGTAGAAATTCTGCAGTCACAGACAGGCCGTAGCAAAGGTCCAGCTCACTTACATACTAAAGCTGTGAAAGAAAAGCTAGATTAAAGCATTTCTCCCATTGTATGTTTTTAATACCAATTTCCAAAACAAATTTGAAGACATAAGCTAAAGAAACATTCCCCATGTTGTATTAGCATCCTGAGGCTCCTGTAACAAATGACCACAGAATTAATGGCTGAAAACAACACACGTTTATTCTCTCACCGTTCTGGAGGTCAGGAGTCTAAAATGCATGTTAAGGGGCTAAAACCCAGGTGCAGGCAGGGCCAGTTCCATCTGGAGGCACCAGGGGAGAACCCACTTCCCGCCTTTTCCAGTGTCTAGAGGCCGCCCGCATTCCTTGGCTCGGTCCCAGGGGAGAACCCGTTTCTGCCTTCCCTTCTCCAGCATCTAGAGGCCACCTGCATCCCTTGACTTGGGCCGCATCACTCCAGCCTCTGTCTCTGGTCTCCTCACTTTCCTCTGCTGTAACCAACAGTCCCTCTGCCTCGCTGTTCTGAGGACCCATGGAATGACATCGGATCACCCGGATAGCCAGGGTGCTCCCCCACCTCAAGATCCTTAACTCGATCCCATCTGCAAAGTCCCTTTCAGCATGGAAGGTACCACACTCACAGGTCCCAGGGGTTAGCATGTGGGTGCCTTGGAGTTCCATTTTTCAGCCAGCCACACTTAGAAAGCCACTGAAGAAAACCTCACTGAGCGGTCAGGGAGCACCTGTGGGCTCCTTGTCTGCTGCAGGCATGACACCCCACACCTCTGTCGTCCACACGGCAGTACCTCTCTACTGCCACAGGGCAGGGGATGCAGGCGCAGCCTGGGGAGAGCCAGCAGCCCCGGTGGGGAGCAGGCTCTAGGCTCCGCAGTCTGTACTGGAGCTGGGCTTCACCCAGGCGGGCCCCTCCTGGTGCTCTCTGGTGCCCAGATCGAGAGGGCCACCCCATCCTTGCCAGCCACTTCTCCCCCTCCATATTTAACTGAGACTACAGTTAGCCACTGTCCCCTCCCTTCTCACCCAGTGTGACTTTTGCATTAGAAAAGCAGAGGTTGACAGGAGCCTGCTGGAGAGGCCACAGGCAGGATCTGGTGAGGCCACCCCTGTCCCCAAGCACTGCCACATCCCCTCTCCCTGGAATGTGACCAGTTCTACCCTGAGGCCAGGCCAGGCACCTGGAGGGCTGGTTTGGTTTCTAAGTGTGCAGAGGGCTCAGTGCCTGGGCTGGGTGAGGGGGAGCCAGGGAAGAATTAGTTCTTGGTGGTGCTTTCACAGGGGTTCTTAGAAAGTATGGACTCTGGCCAGGTGCAGTAGCTCACACCTGGAATCCCAGTGCTTTGAGAGGCTGACGTCAGAGGATTGCTTGAGCCCAGGAGTTCAAGACCAGCCTCAGGAACATAGTGAGACTCTGTCTCTGTAAAAATTAGCTGGGCGTGGTGTTGTACATCTGTAGTCTCAGCTACTCAGGAGGCTGAGGCGGGAGGATAGCGTGAGCCTGGGAAGTCAAGGCTGCAGTGAGCTGTGATGGAGCCACTGCACTTCAGCCTGGGTGACAGAGTGAGACCCTAGTCACCCTTCAGCAGGGCAGAGCAGCTTCTAAAATTCTGGGAGCCAGCCTGGCTGTGAACCCCGAGGAGGGTCAGGAAGGTTGTGGGATGTGTCAGATGCCTGCAGCTGCGTGGAAACACCTTGAGTCCCCTGTGGCCTCTGGCTCAGGGCCCTGCCCTCCCCTCTGGAAGGCAGCTGGGGGCAGGATGGGGCACTAATGGGGAAAGCCTACCCGACCCCCCTTGTGTTCCTAGGTGCCCCTCCCAGACTCTTTTTGGGGCAGGCGATGTGTTCCATCGTTGGGACGGTGGAAGGGGTGTGCGAGTAATATGGAAAATGAATAGCTGTGCTCCAAATGGGCTCACCGGGAGAGTTGTGGAGCCTATGGAGAGAGCATTAATGTGCTGGCGCCTTATTGGTGCTAATCACTTAAAATGTGCGCCTTTGTTAGAGCTTTAATGAGAGCCACTTAAACTGTGCATTAAAAAGAGGAACTGCGGAGAGGCCGCCGGCAGGCCGGGCGGCAGGCAGTCATCATTCTCGTTGAAATGCTTTTAGTGTGGAGAAAAGTTGCTGGATTCGGCAAACCCCTGTACTTTGCAAAACCTCACCGTGGTGTCTGCGTGGCTGGGTGTCAGCAGAAGCACCGTGGCCCCGCTCTCCCGCCTCCCCGTGCGCCTGGGCCTCCGTGTGCTGGTGCTCTCGCACACAGCTGTGCCGCCTTCCACCAATGACCCAATGGGTGTGTGTCCCGTCCTGGAGGCGCTTGAGGTCTGTGCAGGCTTCTAGAAGGGCCCTCGGGCTGGCCGAGGCTGTTGGTCAGTCCTGGCAGGAGGTGGACGCCTGTGGGCTTCCTGTCTGCTGCAGGCGTGACACCCCACACCTCTGTCGTCCACATGGCAGTACCTCTCTACCGTCACAGGGCAGGGGACGCAGGCGCAGCCGGGAGAGAGCCGGCAGCCCTGTTGGGGAGCAGGTCCTAGTCTCCGCAGTCTGTGCTGGAGCCGGGCTTCACCCGGGAGTGCCCCTCCTGGTCCACATCTGACCCCCGTCCTCCTGCCTCCTGGGCCGGCCTCCTGCCCGTTGCCACTTGCAGAGTGGGTGGTGGAGCAGGAAGTGCCCGAGATGAGGCGGTAAGTCCCCTCCCTGAACTGCTCTTCCTGGCTTGGGCCCGTCTGGCTCCCCTGGTGTTGGTTCCGGGGGCCCGGCTGCTTCAGGGAAGTCCCTTTGGCACAGGGATTGTGTTGCACACTGAGGGGCGTGGGCCTCAGCAGCTGCTGCCGGGAAGCCGGGGCATCCTTACCTTACCCGCCAAATGCACGGGTCTTCACCTTGTGATTTGGAAACATTCCTGAACTGTGCTAATTAGGAAGCTTGGTTTATTTTTTATTTTTATTTTTATTTTTGTAGAGATGGGGTCTTGTGATGTTGGCCAGGCTGGTCTCCAACTCTTGGCCTCAAGAGATCCATCTACCTGCCTCGGCCTCCCAAAGTGCTGAGATTCCCTGTGTGAGCCACCGCGCCCAGCCTGGCTGTGAGGTTTGTGAAGGCGCCAAGCTGCTGGTGTGAGTGCCTGTTTCCCAGGCGCTGCTTTAAGTCAGCTGCAGAGCGCACTCCTAGACAGACAGCCCCACACACATGTACGCAGCCCACCATGCTGAGCACGGCCCAACAGGAAGAGGTTGTGAGCTCTGACCACAGCTCGGGGTCAGGCCCACTCTGCCACTTCCTGGTGGTGCTGGGGCCGAGGGTGAGTCAGTTGGTGGCCCGGGCCTCGATTTCCTCACCTGTGCAGTGACAGTGAGGACACCCGCTGTGCTGTGTGGGGGGGCAGGTGCACAGTCTCATTCATGGCCTTGAAAGCAGGTGCCCAAGGGGGAGGCAGCACTGCTAACTCCTCACCGTCCCTGGCTGGTCTGGTTCTAGAACATCAGCTCCGAGAGGAGAGCGGCCACACTGCGTCCTTTCCCCAGGGTCGTGCTCTCTCGTTGACTGAGTGACGAGAGCGGCCACACTGCGTCCTTTCCCCAGGGTCGTGCTCTCTCGTTGACCGAGTGACGAGAGCGGCCACACTGCATCCTTTCCCCAGGGTCGTGCTCTCTCGTTGACCGAGTGACGAGAGCGGCCACACTGCGTCCTTTCCCCAGGGTCGTGCTCTCTCGTTGACCGAGTGACGAGAGCGGCCACACTGCATCCTTTCCCCAGGGTCGTGCTCTCTCGTTGACTGAGTGACGAGAGCGGCCACACTGCATCCTTTCCCCAGGGTCGTGCTCTCTCGTTGACTGAGTGACGAGAGCGGCCACACTGCATCCTTTCCCCAGGGTCGTGCTCTCTCGTTGACTGAGTGACGAGAGCGGCCACACTGCGTCCTTTCCCCAGGGTCGTGCTCTCTCGTTGACTGAGTGACGAGAGCGGCCACACTGCATCCTTTCCCCAGGGTCGTGCTCTCTCGTTGACCGAGTGATGAGAGCGGCCACACTGCGTCCTTTCCCCAGGGTTGTGCTCTCTCGTTGACCGAGTGACGAGAGCGGCCACACTGCATCCTTTCCCCAGGGTCGTGCTCTCTCGTTGAATGAGTGATGAGAGCGGCCACACTGCGTCCTTTCCCCAGGGTTGTGCTCTCTCGTTGACCGAGTGACGAGGGCGGCCACCCTGTGTCCTTTCCCCAGGGTCGTGTTGTCTCGTTGACCGAGTGACGAGAGCGGCCACGCTGCGTCCTTTCCCCAGGGTCATGTTGTCTCGTTGACCGAGTGACGAGAGCGGCCACACCGTGTCCTCTCCCCAGGATCGTGCTCTCTCATTGACCGAGCGACTGTGTGGGCTGTGGTCTGGTGGATTTTGTCTGGGGAGGTCGGAGGAGAAGTCTCTGCATAGCCGTGCCCTGTGAGGGACCCAAGTGTATGCCATGGGTGGGCACCTTGTCACACAAGTAACCCTGGTCCTTCCCCTGGTGAGGAGGCCCTTGGCTGCCCCTGCTGCTGGGCAGAGACGAGACCAGGCATCTGCTCACATGGTCACTGCGCAGAGGCCAGAGGGTGTCACCACTGTCTGCCACCTGCAGAGCTCACAGCAGGGCACTATGGGGCGGCTCCTGCGCATCTCCTTCCCCCCGACCTGCAGGCACTGGGGCCCTGAGAACCAAGGGCAGATCTGGGCCGTGCTCTGTGCTCCCACACGCCCGCTCTCCATGGGAGGAAAGAGCCAGCCTGCCCAGAGGGCAGCATCCTCGCTGACCCCGGCCGGCTGTGGCCCAGGAGACTGACGTCTGTCTTTTCGGCCCTAGGCTTCTTCCCCGGGAGCTCGCAGGGCTGCGACGCCTTCCTGCGGCATAAGATGACCCTCATCTCGCCCATCATCCTGAAGAAGTACGGGATCCCCTTCAGCCGGGTGCGTACGGGTGGGGCCTGCACGCCTGTGGGTGAAGTGGGTACCGGGTCCAAGCCCAGGTGGCCGCACATACCCCAGGAGATAAGCTGTTTAACCCTGGAGAAGTTTCTAGAACAGTGATTAGCATGCCAGAGGAGGGCCGCATGGCTCAGCAGTTAGCCTCCAGCTCTTCCACGGGGAAGCGAAGATGGCAGAGCTTGAATCTGGCGGGGTGTTAACCTCCCCTCCCAAACCAAACCAAAACTTCCTCCTGGGTGTGGCCATCAGAGGCCCCTCCGCAGGGGCTGCAGGGGTGGAAGGGCAGGGGCAGGCCCTGCTGACCTGGCAGGAAGCTGCCAAAGAAACAGAGGGCAGGGCCCCTCGTCCCGTGCAAGGTGGGAACCTGGTTCCTACCGCCCCAGGCCACACCCTAAGTCTCAGGCACCCCCACGGCCCATGTCACCCGGCCGTGGAGAGAACTGCCTGTTTAGAAGTGACATTTCGGGCTCTCCTGCACCGTGAAGACTGTGAACTCATTCAGTTCACTGCTTCAGGGGCTGCTGGTGGAGGCTGTGATGGAGGAGACCTGAGGCCGGGGGGTGGGGCCTCCCTACACCTGATTTGATGGACAGCTGGGGTTTGGTGTCCCAGGAGCAGAGCAGGCTGTGCTCAGGGTCCAGCTCAGCAACTGCACCCACTCGAGGCAGTTCCTTCCCCATGGAGAAGCCTTTGTCCATGGGAGAGTCTAGGCCTGTGTCCCCAGCTCTGTCCAGGTGAGAGGCACGTGCCAAGAACCTGCAAGGCAGGTCTGGGCCGCAGCCCAGCTCATGAGGTTCCACGGGAAGAGTGATGTGCAGGCTCGGGAGCGTGCTCTGTGGTGAGGCCCTGAGTGTCAGCCAGCCGGAAATTGCTTGTGACATTTCAATCAAACCGCCAAAGCATCAGCTCACACATCGGGGATCCGCTCTTCCTGGCGGGGCTGCAACCCAGAGGCCGCCTCCCAGCCGCTGCAGGCATTCATCAGACAGCACAGATCTCGCTCGGAGAAGTGCGCATTTCCGGCCTTTCCTCTTCTCCCCCGTCTTCTGGTTGGAACATCATTCAGTACCAGCAAAACCAGACAGATCACGGCATTGCTCAGGGAAGTGAGAAGTACTGATTTTCTGGCTGGTTTGTCTAAAACCTTCTCCAAAGTGGTGCTTCCTGGAGGGGGGTGCCCATCGAAGGGGTGGGCAGGCAGTGAGTGGCCTGGACTCCCAGGTCAGCATCTGTATCGCACTGCAGTTTATCTGTAAAGTTCCTGAACCTGAGCCAAAGGTGGCTCACCACCAGCCTCAGAGCGGCTGCTGGCACCATGCATGGTAGCAGGCGGGGTCCAGGCAGTACGGCTGCGCTCCCCAACACCGCCAGCTGGTTGCTGGGGCCGGGCGCCAGTTTCTCCAGAGGCTGCCACAGTGAAGGCCCCTGTCCCACTGCAGCGAACAGCACCCTGTGCCGCCCGGCCTGGGGACCGTCCTTCAGCCTCTCAGACGCCATGGGCTTGAGATGAACGTCCCTTCCAGACAGCAGCGTGGGTCCCCTCATCTGAATTCCTGGCAGCCTTCAAACAAGTGACTCCCCACACTCCCCTTATAAATCTTTGTAATGGTATTTACTTCTAGGAGAAAAAGCCGATCAATAGCAGAGCTTTTTAATAATTAAAAGTGTGTACTTCTGTAATCTGCCATTGACTCCCTCATTTATTCTGCAAGAGCTCGCAGAGGAAACCGAGTTCCGGGCTTTCTCCGTGCCTGGTGTCTGGGGCCGCGTCCTGTCACCACTGATGACTTTGCCGCAAAGCCTATTCATCATCCCAACGCCTTCTAATTGATTGTTGGATAATGTTGACAGCAGTGACACAGGGGACAGACACCGTGAGTGTGGAACGAAGCCACCAGGATGCAGGTTTTCTCGCAGGAACATAATCTTCTTGTCCTAACCGAGCACATTTTCTCTTCTAGGCCTTGGTTCATAGGAGGGCTGGGGGAGTGAGGTCCTTACACTGTGAGAGCTTGGCTCTCTGCTGCCATCACCCCCATTCAATCTTGGCATTCCGGGGGCCCAGCTGGATCCCTGAAGGCTCTGAGTCTGATGTCTGCCTGACGCATGCCTGCAGGCCTGGTTCTCCAGGGGAGAGACAGGGAGCCGTCACTTGGCCTTAGAGCAGGTGGTCAGGGAAAAGCCTTTCCGAAGCCGGCTCAAATAGGATAAAGGAATCAGTAATGGCATTTACTTTACTTTCTTAACTTTTCTTTTTTTCTAGAGATGGGGTCTCACTCTGTTGTCCAGGCTGGTCTCAAGCTCCTGGGCATAAGTGTTTCTCTTGTCTTGGCCTCCCAAAATGCTGGGATTACAGGTGTGAGCACCATGCCCGGCCCAGTAATTAGGTTTTTTTTTAAAAAGCCCCAAACCTTAATTTTATTTGCCCCTCATTTCACGGAGCTCCCAGCGTAGTGGGGAGAAGCTGGCCCAGAGAACCCCACGTCCTGCACAGTGAGGGCCAGCCCTTGGGGACCCCATGTCCTGCACGGCGGGGGCCAGGCCCTGGGGCCACGTGTGTTCCCCCCCCACCCCTATTTTCTGCCGCGTGCTCGTTCTGCTGCACGTGGCTGTCACTTGAATGGGAATTTAAAAATATAACTTAATGCACACTGACTTCCCTTGATTGGTGCAATTAATTATTTGAAAAGAAAAATATCACAGTGTTCTTAAGGACTGGCATTTTTCCAAGCTGTGTCAGTTTTGATTGATGTCTGACGCCGTGGCTGGCTTCTGAAAGCCTCACCAGTTCTGATGGCTTATTGGCGACTTCAGTGTATCCAGCAATCTCTGCTCATCTTTCTGGGGGAATATATAATGATCAGCAGGCCTGAGAACTCCTACAAATCAGAGATAAGAAAACAAATGGCCCGATGAATTCGGCGTGAGGGGCTTGAGCAGACGCGTTACGAAGGAGCTGCAGGAACGAAAGCCATGGTTCAGTGCCCAGCATCGGTAGAAGTCAGAGGCAGCCAGCTGGGAGACACCGCCAGCCCCAGGACGGCCACGTCAGAACACCGCCACCAGATGCCAGTGAGGAGGGCGCAGCTGCACGCTGCTCCCAGCCGGGGTGGATGCAGGGCGGTGCCATGGCCATGGAAAACCGTTCGGCATTTTCTTGGAAACGGAAGCATGTACCCTGTGCCCCAGCGATGCCACTCTGTGCATATTTACTCAGGAGAAATGAAAACATATGTCTCCAGAAAGATTGGTACATAAGTGTTCTTAGCAGTTTTCTTCACGAGAGCCCCAAACTGGAAACAGCCCGCACGTCCATCAACAGGAGGATAGATAAATAAATAACCATAGATCCACGCGCAACCGAGTACTGTTTAGAAATGAAAAGGAGCGGTCGCCTGGTGCACAGGACAGTGGGAACAAATCTCAGAAACGCACGCCAGGTGGAAGACAACAGGCACGTGTCCCTGCCGTACAACGCCATTCATGTGAACCACTAGGAGGGAACGAGGTCTGTGGTGACTGAGAGCGCGTGCGTGGTTCGGTGGGGATGGCCTGGTAGAGGGCTGGTAGGAGGGGTGCCTGGGGGCCCGGCATGTTTTGTTCCTGTCTGGATCAGTGGTTACGCCCAGAACTCCGAGCAGCCTGTGATCCCTGCGTTTTACTGGATGTTAAATAAAGATGAGGAGCCCACTTGACTTCAAGGATTCTAGTTCATGAGCCTCAGTTTCCACGTCTGTGGATTGGGCCCACAGCCCCACCTCCTAGAAGCCCTTGGCCTGAGCCCCGGGGTGCAGCAGGTGGGAGCCATCACTCCAAATTTGTTGTTGATCTTTCTGGATGGTCGTCTTTCAAAGGCTTTATCAACGGGCTTAGCAGTGAGCAGGGAGTGGGGGTCAGTGTGGCCATCTCGAGTGTCCCCAGAGTGGGGAGGGTTCCTAGGGCACAAGGCTGTAGCCCCCCAGCCCTGGTAGGCAGCCCTGCCTTTTCTTCCAGACCTTGGGGTGGCTGTTGGGAAACCTTGGGTCTGGGGTCATTGTGGGCCCCACCCCAGCCACGCACGCCTCGGCTCCTCAGTTTAGGGGGTCCTGCTTCAGAGACCTGCAAAGTCGAATGGGCCGAACATCCGAATTGGACCTGGGTCTGGAAGCATTGGCCCGCTCTCCAGGGTGCTGATCTGTGGTGTCAGGTCATGCCCCCGGTGTGCAGATATTTCTGGATCTCCATGACTTCATGGAGATCCCCTTGTTGAGATACAATTGAAAGATGGCTTGGGATGGCGGCGTGTCGCAGGCCCCTTCCTGGCGTGTTTTGCGCGTGCAGTGGTGGTTCCTTTCTCATGCGAGGGCAGAAGGTGTCCTGAGCGCGTGCAGTGTCTTGTCTTCAGAGCACTCTAAAGCTGCTGTCAGCACCACCCGCCCCGAAACCAGCCCCAGCTGCTTCAGGACATGTCACAGTGACTGTGAGTGTGACTCAGCCACCTCCAAAGCAGGAGGCCCCCATCGCTCCCCATGAAGGTCCGGCTGGAGACACCCCCACGGGCATTGTGTCCAGCCACGGCTCCATCTGCGGTTCTCCCACTGGGGTGATGCTGACGGCCGCCTTGGGGCAGGGCAGGGGCTGCTGGGGCTGGAGGGGCCCGGCTGAGCCGAGTGGAGGTTGCAGAGCTGTGGCTGCGGCTGCTCACTATGTCCTTCATGAGCCGCGTGGGAAATGGGCTGGAGCCCTGGAGCCCCTGGAGCCGCTGGATCACCTTTGACTTTGTGAAACCCCCTTGGCTCATAAGCCAGGCTCCCTGGCACTTGCTGGGAAGTGCCCACGTCCCATCCCCTGGTGCGCCTCTGGTGGCCCTGCCCTCACCTGTCTCCTTTCCCTCTGCAGATCACGCAGGAGGCCGGGGAATTCATGATCACATTTCCCTACGGCTACCACGCCGGCTTCAATCACGGGTTCAACTGCGCAGAATCTACCAACTTCGCCACCCTGCGGTGGATTGACTACGGCAAAGTGGCCACTCAGGTAAAAGCTTGCCTGCTGGGAACGGGTCCCAGCAGGGCGGGAGGAGGCTCTTTTTTGCCTCTGCAGCCACACGCCCATAGCTGGTCCAGCAGCCGTTTCGCTCAGCCCAGGGCCTGGGCTCTCAACCAGGGTCTGATTCTGGGCTCCTCAGAGAGCTTTTGCCCAGAACGCTCCTTACCTCGAAGACTGGAGAGGAGGTGGGCAGGTCGGGTGGACGATGGTGGCCCAGGGCCCATCTCCAGCGAGTTCCATACACCAGTTATCCCTCGGCCTGCGTGGGCCTCCTGGGCATGGCCGGCTGCTCGGGTCTAGGGGTTGGGGTGTTTCCTCCACCAGCACCATTGTCCCCCCTGCTGGCTGGCTCCTGGGCATCTCCTGGCCATCATGGTCCTGGGGTTGGGTTGTTTGCTGACATCTCTCTCCTGGGGGCCGCTTGGCCAGGCAGGAGCCCACTCAGGCATCTGCCCCCCTCCCTCCCTGCTCCCCTGTCAGTGGCAGTCCCCCAGCTCCCAGTGCCTGGGTGCTTCCTGCTGGTGGGGTCCCTGGAGGTCACGGTGAGCTTAGCATGCCCGTGGGAAGACTCACAGTGAGTGGCCCTTGCTTGATTTTTTTCTGGTGATTCTCGTTCCTGGTCTCAGAAGGCCGATTATTGGCCAGCAATTGGCGTCTGAACTGAGCGCTTGTTCCCCACTCTCCTAACGCCACGTACAGCCATCTGTGTGGCTGTTCTCGACCATGCGGAGGGTGTGGGAGGCTACTGGATGGATAGGAAGCCCACAAGAGCTGCTGCTGGGCACGGGTGGGACGGGGTCGCCTTGGCTGGCCACCCCCTCCCCCATGGTCTCTGCCTTGGGGTCCCAGTGACGGGGACGTGGACGGGGCTTATGAATCCTAAGCCTCAGAAAGGGGAGTGTGGGACCCGGGAAGGGAAGCAGCTAGGAGGCCGTCTGGGCATCACAGGTCTAGCCCTTTCCTGGCTGCCTGTCTGGAGCTGGGGGCTGGGGAGCCTCCTCCCAGGGCTGTCCCTGAAGTCCCCTGCGTGCTTTTCCTGGCTGCCCCCAAGTAGGACTGAGCTGTCCCGGCAGGCCAGGCTCGGCCACGTGGCCCTGGCTCAGGGCTGCTGTTTCTGGGCAGCATTGAACAGCCCAGCTCCTCCCAGCCCCTCTGTCTTCCCCGCAGAGACAGCCTCAGCCTCAGCCCCTCCCGGCGTCTCCCTCTGGTTTGGGGTCATGTGGCTGCTCGTGATGCAGCAGGACGGGCAGCGGGCTGGCCAGGGTGAGAGCAGGTACTTCCTCCCATCGTCCCTCCCAGTGCAGAGCCTTCCAGTTCCTCCAGAGCCGGGGTCAGCACAAATGGCAGATTCTTCTCAGATCCAGATGTGGGGGAGGTGTGATAGGAGAGACCACAGGGCCAGATCCGGATTCTTTGACTCTCGCAGCATTTTCTAGATGTCAGACCTTGGCCTGGTGCGGTGGCTTATGCCTGTAATCCTAGCACTTTGGGAGGCAGAGGTGGGCGGATCATTTGAGGTCAGGAGTTTGAGACCAGCCTGGCCAACATGGTGAAACCCTGTCTCTACTAAAAACACAAAAATTATCCAGGCATGGTGGTGGGCACCTATAATCCCAGCTACTTGGGAGACTGAGGCAGGAGAATCACTTGAACCCGGGAGGTGGAGGTTGCAGTGAGCTGAGATTGTGCCCTGGTACTCCAGCCTGGGCAACAAGAGCGAAACTGTCTCAAAAAAAAATACGTATTTATATATTATATATGTAATTTATATGTTATATATAATTTATATATTATGTATAATTTATATATTGTATATAATTTATATATTGTATGTAATTTATATATTGTATATAATTTATATATTGTATATTTATATAAAATAAATTATATAAATTACATAATTTATATATATAAATATAAATTATATATGTTATAATAATTTATATATTATATATAAATATAAATTATATATGTTATAATTTATATATTATATATAAATATAAATTATATATGTTATTTATATATTATATATAATATATAAATTATATAAATTATATGTATTATATATAAATATAAATTATATAAATTATATATATAACATAATTTATATATATAAATTATATATGTATGTATAATTAAGATGGATTTTGGCCGGACATGATGGCTTCACGCCTATAATCTCAGCCCTTTGGGAGGCTGAGGCGGGAGGATCTCTTGAGCCCAGGAGGTCAAGGCATCCCTGAGCTATGATTGCACCACTGCACTCGAGCCTGGGCAACAGAGTGAGGACCCGTCTCAAAGAAAAAAAATGAATTTCACCTGTTTCATTTTACCCACCCTCCCCCGCCCGCCGCCCCGGCCCACCCTTTTATAGAGACAGGGTCTTAATATGTTGGCCAGGCTGGTCTGGAACTCCTGGGCTCAAGTGATCCACCCACCTCGGCCTCGAAAAGTGCTGGGATTACAGGCGCGAGCCACCACAGCACACCACCTCTTTTTGCTTTTTTCTCCTGGCTACTGGGAAAATGGAGGCAGCATAGGTGGCCTGTGTGACATCTCTCCTGGCCACGCCGGTCTGGACGAATGAGCTAACCTTTATTTTTCTGGCTGTTTCTCTGCCTTCAATCCAGTTTAGAAAAAGAACAGGGGTCTACAGCAGGGAAGGCTTGAGAGATGCCCCCAGGACTCAGTTCAGAAAGTCTCGAATGTCTCTAGTGAAGACTCTGGGCTTAGCTAAAGGAAGAGAGATCCAGAAGTTGGGATTTCAGCTTTTTGATCTAAAGGAGTAGTTAAGTATCTCAGGGCTGTTGCTGTGTTGAAAGGGCATGTGTCTGTGTGTTTGTGCTGCCGTGAGGACACCACGGGTGTTGTGACCAGCCCAGCAGCAGATTGAGCTGTAAGCCCCAGGCCTCGGGCTTGTCCTGGAGGTGCTGTCGGAGCTGAAACTGCAGCGGGGCGGTGGGGACTGCCCAGATATTAAAAGCAATTTGGGGTTCAGCCATGTGTTCACAAACAAGTTGGCATTTGGGAAGTGCAGACTTAGATTGGGCTCCACGCTTCCATTGTCAGGCGGCGTAGCAAGTGGCGTGCAGCGCTCGAAACACACCAGGGGTTCCAGGCAGGCGCCCAGGGCCTGGGCTTCCTCCTGGACCCCCCAGCCCCGCTGTCCCAGCCCCTGCTCAGGCACCCCTGGTGTAGTCAGGCCTGGCCTGGGCGGCGAGGGCCTTACGCAGGGAGTGTCATTAGCCACAAGGCCTCTGTGGCCGTCGGGGGGGTCGGTGGCTCTCAGGCTTCTTGGCGGGGCAGCCGGCCCCTGACTCTGGCAGGGTTTTCTCTCCCATAAGCAGCCCAGGCTGGAGAGTCTGTTAGAGCATCTCGCCGCACAGATGACAGAGGAGTGTTAGAAGGCAGGGAAACGGCCCAGGTCAGGTGGGGCTCGGGCCTTGTTCAGATCTTGTGTGCAGCCAGATTGGAGAGAAGGGGCAGCCCAGAACCCCCCTTTTCTGGTGTCCCTCTGGCCGGCCCAGCTCCCCTGTCCCATTTGCGTTTCGGGCCACTTTGTTTTGAGCACATTCTTCAGAAGAGAGCCAAAGAGGAGGCTTTCCACCCCCTCGATTTGCTTAGAGACATTTTTGCTTGTTGGCTGTTCACCTTCCTTGACCGCTAGGGACCCCTGCCCCCCCCCACCCCGTTGTCCCCTTTCTGTCATTTTTGTGCTCAGGAGCTGACAGGTGAAAAGCCACCCTCCTGCCCTGGCCGGGCCCTGTGAATTTTGGGTGTCTGTGTTCACGGGTTGGCAAGCTAGGGCTCGGATCTGGTAGGCCGACGCTGTGCCGTCTGCAAACTGAGCAGGGGGTTTACGTCTTCACAGGGTTGTGGGAGGAGGGCAATTAAAAGGATGTGTGACCTGTGACAGCCGGACGAAACTGAAATCTCACCCACAAATGAGCAGCCTGTGCACAGAGCCACACTCTGGCATGGAGGTGGCGTCTGCGTCTGCTTCGCCCCGCGGAGTTGAGTAGTTCCGAAAAGCCAAGAGGCGTGTGCTGCCTGGCCCTTGCAGGGGAAGCCTGTCTCCCCGTCTACAGATGCCAGCGGGGTTGCACAGCTCGCAGGACAGCCACCTCCTCCCCCCCCCAGCCCCCAGGGCCTCTGTGGGCAGAGGGGCTGCTCCGAAAGCAGGTTGGCCCCCACCGCCTCACCACACCTCGAGCCAGTGCAGCTCCCTCTGGAGTTCCGGATGGGCCTGCAGCAGCTACAGCCGTGAGCAGGCCAGACCACTGCCACAGATGTGCTGCCACCTGCCTGCGGAGCATCCCTGGCTGCCCCATGGCAGGCAGGAGGCCCAGCCCTCAGCCCAGGTCTGCCCCCACAGGGCAGAGCTCTCCAAGGTTCCCCCGGCTGTAAAATCCCAGAGAAATACGATCTCCCTGCAGCAGGTGGCTTACCTACTTACACAGCCTTGGACCAGAGCCTCCGGGTGGAGCTTCCAGGGCCCTGCGCGCACACACAGGAGGCAGCCTGGGGCTCTCCCCTCCCGTCTTCTGCAGAGCAGGGCTGGCGCCTGCCTGAGCTCACAGGTGGGATGGAGCAGCCCAGGCCGGCACTTGTGGCCTAAACACGGCCTCATTCACTCCCCATCAGCAGAATGCCGTGGGCACACGGAGGCCATTGTCAAGGAGGGGGTGGGATTTATTCCCGTGGGTGTCTTTCCTTTCTAGCTGGTCTGTGGGCATTCACCCTTGCCACCTGTCTGTGCAGCCAGTGACATAGTCATTGCCCCTCGGGGCAGGAGGAGGCCTGGTGGCCCTGTGTGTCTGTGTGGGGGAGGTACGGCTGTGTCCCCACCCCCGGCTCTCCACTCCTGCTCATCCCCTATGAAACCTGGTGTCATGGACCTGCTCCCCTCGGGGCTGGTGACCTTTGGACCCCAGTGGTGACAACCACAGAGGTCCCCAGACATCACCTGCAGCGTCCCTTGGAGGCAGGATTGGCCCCAGTGAGAGCTGCTGCCCAGGGCCACTTCCGAGGTCAGTCATCTCTTTCTGGGGGGTGGGGTAGGTAGTGCCAGTGTCATTTTTGACTCCCCTGCTGGTGTGGCCTTCTAGGCCCAGGTTTCCCAGCATCTCCCCTCTCCTGCTGAGGGCCCCCATCTCTGAGTATTCCATTTGAGCTGCTCATCTCTGTGCCACTTTTTCCCAACTTAAGGCGGCTGAGCTCTGCAGCGGTCTGCAGCCTCGGTGTGCGACGTTTCTTAAGCACACAGGTGTTAAGTATCTCAGAGCCATGAAACTCTCTGCCTTGCCTGACAGACTCCCACCTTGAGGATGGACCCTGGCTTTGGGGCTGGGATTTCATTCACTGCACTCGAGTCTCTGGACGGGGGCTGGGCTGTTCGGAGGGTTTGGGGAGTGAGGGCACCGGGCAGCACAGGTTTAAGTCTCCTGTGTAGGAATCTCACGTCTTTCGGGAGCTAAATGCCAGGCAGGAGGTTGCTTTCCCCTCAGAAACTAGAAGTTCTTATCCAACCTGCTCTTCACGCCCACCTGTGGGGAGAGAAGCCCATTCCTTGTGTTCACTGCCTGCCGGAGAGCAGGAGGGAGCCTGTTTCCTCGTGGGCGGGATGTGCCCCCCGACTCGGGTAGGCCCGAGCATCTGAGGGCCCCCAAGGGCCCATCGTTTTCAGGGTGACCGTCCACACCTGCAGGGGCAGGGAGTCGGCGGCTTAGCTTCCTCTGGAGCACGGTTCCATCAGCCAGATGCGCTCACATCCAGCTCTTAGCGGCTCCTGCAAAAACTCGCTCTGATCAAAGGGAGGTGAGTGTAAAAATGCGGCCCGGGCTTTGTCTCCAACTCCCCCCGTGATTCCTGGACCACGCAGGCCATATCACTCGGACACCACGGATACAAACCCTCACTCCCCTGGCCCCTAGAGCTGAGCAGAGCGCTGGGTTCGACTTCCATCTAGAGCAGAGGTCGATGGGGGGGAGGTTGCCCCTGCCCACAGCTCCACCCGTGATAAGTAGGCAGGCTTTTCCATAATTAATCAAAACCTAGGCCGTTCATCTGTGGGCCAGGGCTGAGCAGAGACCACCGGAGTCCCTGAGGGGGCCCCTGAGGCTGCAGGGGACAGGCCAGGCCCCCCCCCTCCCCCCCCCCGCAAAAGAGCAGGTTGTGGTTATAGGGGCAGGATGACAGTGGGAGATTTTGACATCCTCAAGAGGCAGAGGAGCAGGACGCCCCTGCCAGCTTCATCCGCACATCCCTTGGGGCAGATACAGAAGGAAGAATGTGCATTGTTGGAAACTGGGGAATACGGTAAACAAAGAGAAGTGGGAGCTGACCTTACCATCTCTGCCATCCGCTCAGCCATGAGAAGGAGCAAGGCCCAGCGTGGGTGAACCCTGAGGACACCCCGCTCAGTGAGAGAAGCCAGACCCAGAGGCTACACCGTGCGAGACCCCATTTCTATGAAATGTCCGGGACAAGCCAGTGCTCAGAGGCAGGAAGGGATGCTTGGGTGTGGGGGCTGGAGGGTGACAACGGATGGGGACGGGTTTTCTTTGGAGGATGAAAATGCTCTACCTTTGATGGCGAAGATGGTCTCCCCACTCTGTGAATACACAAGCTCCTGCGTCGCACACCTGGTGAATTGTAGGGCACACGAATCTCACTGAAACTGTCCAGAAACATCCTTCCCCCAGATCAGCTCTCAGCAAATCAGGAACAGTAATCCAGAATAAAAACTGGGCAGCCTTTCTGGAAGGCCGTCTGCCATGGGTTACACATGTGTCTCCTGTGGCCTAGCGGTTCTGTCTCTGGAACACGTGCATACCGGTTCCATGTCTAGGGATATCTGTAGCCCCGTTTGTTGTAGTGGAAAGTTCTATGACCAGGGGATGGGTTGAACCAGTGGAATGTTATGCAGCTGTGAAAATGGGTTTGCTCCATGAGGTTTGCTCTGTATCTTTGGGCATGGAGAGATGAGCGCGACAACTTTAAGGGAAAAAATAGGCTGTGGACTGGGACTCTTGTGATTCCCGTTTTTTGTGGGGATGTGGTTCTTGAACTGGGAAAGGGAGATTTGCCCAAGTATTGGTTGATATTAGTTTGATGTCATGGAATTTGGGATACCTTAAAAATATGCACTAACTTCTCAATATGGTTCTGTCTTTTTTTGTACTAAAAAAAAAAAAACCCACATACTCCTCTTTCCATAGTCAGAGGGGTGTAGCTCTGGGGAGGGAAGAGTGGGGTCCGCCATTCCTAGGTGCTTCTTGAGCAAGCACCCCACAGTTCCCAAGTGGAAAAGGTTTTTGTTGTTGTTGCTTCGTTGGTTTGTTTTCAGAATGGGAGTTAAAAACCAAACAAAAGGCCAAGCGCAGTGACTCATGCCTCTAATCCCAGCATTTAGGGAGGCCGAGGTAGGGTTGCATGATTCCAGAGGTTCAAGACCGGCCTGGGCAACATAGTGAGACCCCATTCTCCACAAAAAGGGGGAAACAAGACAAAAACACAAAAACTGTGAAGACCCCCAAAGCCTGGCCCCCTTCCTCCCTGCTGAGCAGGTGAGGCAGTGCTGGAAAGAGGACAGAGTGGAAGGTCCTGGAAGCCCAGCCCAGCATTGCTGAGCGCCTGCCGTGTGCAGGGGAGGGGTCCTAGCCCCTGGGTCTGCCAGGGAGAGGTGAGAGTGCAGAGGACAGCAGGCTTGCCTCCCTAGCCACACACCTCGCTGCATGCCCTGGCCTCGCCAGGCTGAGGCTTAGGGTGCAGTACCCGGTTCGTTTTGAGAAGTCTCTTTCTCAGCTAGAGCTGTCTCAGTGGTAACGTTCTCTCTCTCTCTCTCCTCATCTCTCTCTCCCCCCATATCTCTCCCCCTCTCTCTCTCTCTCCCCCTCTCCCCCTCTGTCTCTCTCTCCCCCATCTCTCTTCCCCCTCTCTCTCCGCCTCTTTCTCTCCCCCCCTCTCTTTCTCTCCCCCTCTCGCCCCCTCTCTCTCCCTCTCCCCCTCTTTCCCCGCTCCCCCTCTCTCTCTCCCCTTCTCTTTCCCCCTTGCTCTCTCCCCCTCTCCCCCCTCCCTCTCTTTCTCTCTCTCTCTCTGTCTCCCCGCTGCGCGCGTGCGCCCCCCTCCGGCCCCCCCTTCCCCCCACCGCCGACAGTACCACCCTCCATCAAGTGCCGACTCTGGGCCTTGTCACCTTGGGAGGACCAGAGTAGTGCAGTGACTTTGCCAAGGTCACACAGCAGGAGGCTGGGCCCAGCACACCCTAGACCTTCCTCTGCTTCCCTTGCCCCACTTGGAGGCACAGGCCGATGGGGCATCTGGGAGCCCACACCCTCCCTGCCCACCAGGTGTCTCCTGGGCCAGTGGCTTCGTGTCCTGGGCACGTGTCCTGTGCACAGCCCGGTGGGGGCAGCTGGAGGGGTCTCCAAGGCGGCGGCTTCCTGTCTCAGAGCAGGATCCCCCGGCATGTGCTCCAGCAGGCAGGCTTTGTAGTGGGATTACTAATGGGGCAGATCAAAAGGATGTTCCTATTTCACTCAAGGAAATAAAATGTGCACGCAGCCGCCTTTCTCACGCTGAACTCAAGTTAGTCCTACAAGCCTGCACGCCATGTTAGATTAGCTCAGCACGCGGCCGGGCTGGCCCCGAGGTGGGTGGTGCCTGGTGCTGGTAGATAAGGGTCTCTCCTCCAGAGCCCAGGACTCAGCGGCATCCCGAAACACCCTGCCACGGGGAGAGTTGACTGAGGATTAAACAGAGCGCGAGAGATGTGAAGCCTGGCTGGAAGGCTGGGGAGCCACTCACGCTCTCTTAACTGGTTCCCTGCCAGCTGTCTGTGGGTGAGGCCTGCTGTGTGCCAGCCTCCCCGGGGACATCTCGGGCTCTCTGGAGGTGTCTGGCAGGGAGAGCTTCTGCTGAGCTTGGGAAGGGGACGATGACTTGGATTCCCCAGAGGCGCCATTCCAGGAAACGGCCCACTCGGCACCACCCATCTCCTCCCACCTCCCCGCATCCAGGCTGGATGGGGGCTCCGGCAGGAACCAGGCCTCTCCTAAAACCCCAGCCCTGGGGTGTACTGAACTTAATTACTGTAAAATTCAAACCAAATTGTTTCTGCTGCCTGGGAGAACTGTGTGTTCCTTCTGTTTGGTAATGAGGCTGCCTGCTCCAGGTGATTAACCCGGAGCCCAGGGGGAGGGAGCCCAGGGGGAGGCGGCAGAAGGCAGGGGCTGGGGAAGGGTGGGAGGGAGGAGGGCCCACGGAGGTGCGGGAAACTCCAGCCACTCCTCTGACCCGCTGGAGCCCACGGCTGGCCTGTGCCCTGCCTTTGGCTTCCTGCCTCAGTGAGCCTCTGATTTATGGCGTTGTGGGGCTGGACGCATCGTGTGTGCCGCAAACTGCTGTGTGAAATATGTCTCCCTTGCTCTTCCCAGATCTTCCCTGTCACTCTGACCCTGGTGAGGCCTTTGGGGCCCCTTCCCATGTGTGGGCTTAGGGGGTGTCACAGTCACGCAGAAGCGTGGGGAGAATCTGCAGCTAAGACCAGGCGGAGCGGATCCCGGGCCGGGCCAGAATGAGTGGGTCCCATGCTGGCTCTTGGCCTAGTGTTTATGCTGCATGTCTGGAGGGTGATCTAGGAGAGGAGTGGTCTGGAAAGAAGGCCTCGTTTAGTCTCTCCCTCGGCACTGCGGACATTGGGGCCGTATCCTTCTCTGGGCTGGGGCCGTCCTGGGCACTGCACGGTGCTGAGCAGTGCCCCTGGCCTCCACCCACTCCATGCCAGGCACACCCCAACCCAGCTGTTTCAACCACAACATCGGCAGGCACATCCACTCCCATGGGGGCAGGGCCACCCATTGAAGACACCTGGGTCTCCAGGCTCCCTGCGGGCCCTTCCTTCCTTTCTCCCACTGCTCTCGGCTTTCGGGATCACGCCCTCTAATACCCCCGGTTCTGCTGCCCAGGAGCTCCGGGGGGGACACATCTCCCCAGAGGAGGGTCGGGGGCTTTTCTAGACCGAGGCTCGTGGTGTGGCTCGAGGGCCTTTGCCAGCTCGGCAGCCCCCAGTCTTCTCTACCATCCTTCATGGACAGAGCTGGTTCGGGGGCTGCAGCTGGTTGCTGCCTGGCATCAGAGGAGCGGGTCTGCTTACGGGGTCAGGCAGAGGCAGGACCCCCTCGAGGGGCACTGGCGAGGGAGCCCAGGGGTCAGCCGTCAGAGAAGCAGGAGAGTCAGAGGAGGGGGCTCGCAGGGCCTGGCCCTGAGTCAGAAATGGTGGAGTTCTCCCCTCTGCCATCTCAGGGCATCCCGGCTCATGGCTGTTCCTCAGCCGTCGTGGATGAGTCGTAACCTGGAGAGTGAGAGAGAACCTCCAGGGGCAACTGCTGGCAAGGAGGGATCAGGGGAGGCCGGGCCCCTGTACCCCTGACCACATGTCCTCTCCCCACCCAAGGTGTGACCCTTCATGGGGCCTGTGGTTCATACCTGGAGCTGTCTGCCTGGGTGCAGACCCTCCCCTCCTAGTGCTCTGCCTCAGTTTCCCTCCTAGGGCTGTTGGAAGTGACATGGAACAGCACTTGGGTGGTGCCTGGCACAGAAGCAGGACTGCTGTGGCTGTTGAGGCCCCTTCAGGGCAGCATGTGGAGGAGAAAGGCAGGTCCTGGTGGCCTGGGGTCAGGTGTGCAGCTGCCTGCTTGTCATGTCCCTGCAGGGGCTCACAACACTGATAGACTCGAGGCTACTTTCATTTAGGGAGGGCCAAAGGGGACATCGGAGCCTCCCCAGGCACCTGGTGGATGTGTGGGCAGCATGGAAGGCTGCGGAAGGCCATGGAAGGCCCGTGACCTTGCCTGGCCTGGCTGGCCGGGAGGGGCAGGGAGCCGCTTTCTGTGCTGCCAGGAATGGCCCCGCAGCCGAAGCCCAGGGAGCCCTGGGAGCCGGCGCCTAATTGTTTTGTTGACGCGGCTGCCGAGCACTTCCAGTAGGTTTCCTAATGAACTGGTTTGTTATCGGCCTCACTGCAGCGCTGATAATTACATCAGAAACAGGGGGCCCACTCGTCCTTCCCACGCGTTCTGTGAGCCATCAGCGCAGATGCGGGCGCCTCTGCCCCTTCCTCGGTGTTTAACGCTTTGTGTGCCAAGGCACCTGCCACCCACACCCACCCCAGACAGATGGTCGAGATGGCTGTGAGAGGAGTGTGACCGCCACTCGCCCCGGTTGGTGTCTGCTTGGCAGTGGTCACCGCGCAGGTCACTGTTCAGCTGCTGGGAAGGCAGTGGATGAGGCCATCGAGGTCCAGGGAGGAGACAGGACACGAACAAGGGTGGAAGGAGGAATTTCTGCTCCTAGAGAGGGTGCAGGGACGCTGCAGCTGCGGCCTGGTGTGTCTGCCACCTGGGTAGCCCAGTCCACAGCCCAGGCAGCTGAAAGCACCAGACATGTATCCTCTCTCAGTTCTGGAGGCAGAGGCTGAGATGGGTGTGTGGCGGGCCGAGCCCCCTCAGGGCGCCAGGGAGACCACCCTGCCTCTCCTGGCTTCAGGGCTGGCCGAGATCTCAGGGCTGCTTGGCTTGCAGGGGTGTCGCCCTCTCCTCTGCCCCATGGTCACGCGGCCCCTCCTCCCTGTCTTTGTGTCCTCTTGTCTGCTTCTAAGGGCACCAGGTGCTGACCCCCGGCAGGCCCTGATCCCATATGTGAATCATGCACTGATGACAGCTGCTACCACCCTGCTTCAGAAAAGCTCCTCTGTGAGGCCCCGGGTGCAGGATGCTGAGTAGCGCGGGGAACAGCACTGCTGGGGAGGAACGAAAATTGCGAGGTCCCTGAGCGGGGGACCTGGCAGAGGCCAAACGTCAGAGGTCGGGGGCTGCAGTAAGGGCCTTTGAAGTTAGATTTCATCACCATGTGCGGGGGGGAGGCACTGGGCATTTCAGCAAGGGAGAGGGGCCACTGGCTGGAGAAGGGACTATGGGAGAGATGGGGCAGGGAGCCCGGCGTGGATGGCCGCCGTCTAGACGGGCATGGGGTCTGTGGGCGTGGGAAGAAGGGGACAGCGTGTGCCTGTGTTTTAGGGGTGGTGCCTGTAGGACCTGGTGATAGGACAGAGGTGGGGGCACAGGGGAGGGGTGGGGACTTGGGCATGTAGGTGTGCGGTGGTGCTGGGAGCGCACAGAGGGACATGGAGGAGCCAGGACTGGGTGTGCTGTTGAGATGCGTCAGAGCCTGCCTTCCAGTGTGGGAGCCACGGGCCACACGTAGCACCGTATCCATTAACCAAAATGAAATAGGATGAACCCTCCACTCCTCAGTCAGGCCAGCCGCGGGTCAAGCCCTTTGCTAATAGCCGGGTGGGCTGGTGGCCGTGTCCTGGGCAGCGCAGGTGCAGGTCATCGCCGTCACCACAGACAGTCCTGTCACCGTGCAGCTGATGCGTCCTGTGGAGGGGTCTGCAGCTCGGGGGCGGCGCCGGGGGCGGGGCAGGGGCAGTGTGAGGGATGGGACGTGTTGAGCCATAGATGTCCTGTCGGCAGCTATGAGATGCTGTGCCCTCCCCACGCCAGGATCGCTGTTTCTAAGGCCCCTGCCCGTCCCCATCCCTGTCCACAGCAGGGCAAGCACCAGCCATGCAATGTCTGTCACCGTCGGCTGTAGAACCGCCCGCTGGTGGCTGGCATTGTCCTCAATGTTCCGCCCTGGTTCCTGGATCAGGGGGCTGGGAGTTGGCGCTGCAGCTGACGAGAGCATTCATGATCCCCGTGGTCAGATGCTATTTGGGTTGATGATTTTATCGGACCACATATAATCATTTTCTCATTAGGCCGGTGGCTGTGTCTTCTCTCTGCCACTCTACTGTTTTACATGAGCAGACTCTAGTATCTGTTCAGGCTTTTAAAAAAGAGATGGCCTCTGGTGAAAGCTCAGTGCTGTTTAAATCAGGAAAGGTGGCAGATGAGCCCCCTGGGCTCCAAGGCAGCAGTGGTAGCCCACTGTGTCTGCAGGTGGCCAGGGTCCTGTGATGATGCTGCCAGCCAGGCTGCTGCACACTGAGAGCTGGGGGCCCACGAGCCTCGGTGCTGGACGCCCCCACAGTGTGGATCAGATCGCAAGGGGCTGGCCAGGGCAGGGCAGAGCCTGCTAGGAGGAGGGAGAGGGCTGGGAGCAGCCAGGGTGGACCCCTCAACCTGGATCAGATCACAAGGGGCTGGCCAGGGCAGGGCAGAGCCTGCTAGGAGGAGGGAGAGGGCCCGGAGCAGCCAGGTCGGACTCCTCAACCTGGGGACCCTCCCCCAGCAGCTGCAGGCTTGAGTGTGTGCAGCACTTATGTGCGAGCATGTCGTTTGTGTGTGTGTTTCCCTGGGAATCAGACCCTGGCAGGGGCCCCCAGTCTATAGAGTGGGTGCTATGGACCCCAGCCGCTGTGAGGCAGAGTGTGCGCCCCACCAAGGGGCAGGCTGCCGAAAAGTCAGCTTCACAGGGAGCTTGTTTTAGGAGGAGGTCCTTGTGTTATGGAAATGTAGGCCACAGACTGAGGCGCACACAGGGCCGGTGTACAGTGTGGGGAATCTTTTTTTTTTTTTTTTTGAGGTGGAGTTTTGCACTGTCACCCAGGCTGGAGTGCAGTGGTGTGATCTCGGCTCACTGCAACCTCTGCCTCCCGGGCTCAAGCGAGTCTCCTGCCTCAGCCTCCCTGAGTAGCTGGGACTACAGGTGCGCCACCACACCTGGCTAATTTTTGTATTTTTAGTAGAGGTGGGGTTTCTCCATGTTGGCCAGGCTGGTCTGGAACTCCTGACCTCAAGTGATCCACCCGCCTTGGCCTCCCAGAGTACTGGGATTACAAGCGTGAGCCACCGCGCCTGGCCATGGCGTGGGGAATATTCACAACCCTACCCCATCCGGACTCCTGGCAGCATGGAGTGGTGTCACCTTGGATGGGGAGCACGGTCCCAGGTCTCCACGGGCTTGGGCAACCCCTGGGGTTCCTGCTGACCTCAGTGCCCCTGCCCAGACCCCAGTTTCTCACTTCCGTGCGATGTGGCATTTCTACACTGGAGTCGCTGGTGACATCAGTGGCGCCTGTTGCCGCGGTGCCCCCGGCGGTGTCGGTGGTGCGTGTTGCCATGGCGCCTGCCTGGTGGAGGAAGTGTCCCGCGGTGCCCCCGGCGGTGTCGGTGGCGCGTGTTGCCATGGCGCCTGCCTGGTGGAGGAAGTGTCCCGCGGTGCCCCCGGCGGTGTCGGTGGCGCGTGTTGCCGTGGCGCCTGCCTGGTGGAGGAGGTGTCCCGCGGTGCCCCCGGCGGTGTCGGTGGTGCGTGTTGCCGTGGCGCCTGCCTGGTGGAGGAAGTGTCCCTCCGTTTCTGGATTTGCCTTAATAGCTCAGAGAAGGCTGAGGGAAACCTGTGAGTGATTGTAAACATCCCATGCTAGGGAAGGGCTTGTGAGGCCACACAGGGTGGCTTCCACCAGAATCGACACTTTAAAGAGCACGGGCTGGCAGCATGTGTGGTGTGGAGTCAGCAGGGCGGGGAGAAAAGAACAAGGCACGTGCCCCATGGCCATCGGGTGATGGGGATGGTGCCTGTTCACGAAGAAGAGTCACCAAGGGAAGGAGGTGAATGGTAACCAAAGCCACCAAGATGTCAATCTCACCGTACACAGGATTCTTAAATATGTAGTAAAAGGCTGTAAAGCCCCACGTGGCGCATCAGTCGGCCATCCAGGCTTCGTGGTTTTGTTTTTTGTTTTGTTTCTTGAGACAGTCTCCAAAAACTCCAGATTGGAGTGCAGTGGTGCGATCATAGCTCACTGCAGCCTTGACCTCCTGAGATCAAGCAATCCTCCTACCTCAGCCTCCCGGGTAGCTGGGACTACAGGTATTGCACCACCATGCCCAGCTAATTTTTTGTAGTTTTTGTAGAGTTGGGGTCTCACTATGTTGTCCAGGCTGGCCTTGAACTCCTGAGCTCAAGGGATCCTCCTGCCTTGGCCTCCCAAAGCACTGAGATGACAGGCGTGAGCCGCCGCGCCTGGCCTGTGCAGGCCTTGGTGGAGCTGCTCCTTCGGTCCTGATGGGGAGCATTTCCCAAATGTGCCCCATGGAAAAGGCAAGGCGCAGAGCAGGGACCGTAGGATGTCATTGACATGAAAAGCAGAGGACCGCTGCCCTGTGTGTCGGGAGGCTGGGGCCTCAGGGCAGAGAGCGCGTTGGCCACCTTCCCTTTTGTTCTTCTGGAGCTGGGTACTGGGTGCAGTGTTGGCTGTTCCAGAAAGTCTATGAGTTCTGTCTCCGTTTTGGCTTGGAGTTCTCCTGTGGGAGGTGCCCAGCAAGGATGATTCCCCTCGGCCACCAGTGAGATGGGAACCCTCCTCCTCCTCAGCTCAGCAGAGCCGTCGTGGACCTGGGGCCCCCAGCTTCTTTGGATCTCAGGCATGGGGGGCGCAAATGTCAGTCGGGAGCTGTCAAGCTCTGTGGAAGGTTTCTGCATGTTTGCCCGAGCCCCACCAGGAGGGGCTTCAAAAGTGCTTGTCCAAGTGCAGAGCAAGGCAGGGCACAGAGGCAGAGGCAGACACAGCCCCCAGCTGGGCCAGGGCTGGTGGCCAAGGGGCTTCCTCAGTGTGTAGCCTCCGTGGCAGCCTCCATGTGTAGTACATGGTCAGTAGAAGCCCCATTAACAGCAGGGGGGACTCGGCCTCTGGGGAGCGGATTTCTTTTGCAATATGATGTTAAAGGAAGGTCTGGCATTCAGTATGTTTTTTATTTTATTTTTTATTACAGTTTACAAAAGCACTCCAGTTTCATTGGATTTCAGGCATTTTGCATGGGATCGTTATGGCTCAGAAGGCGTAATCTCAGGCATTAGATTAGAGTGACAGGCTTGGGAATTCAGACCGGAGAACAGCTGCCCTGCCTGTTCCCTTGTAGGTGACTGGCAGGTCTTGCTTTATAACAGGAAGTGCTCCCATGGTGGCCCTGACTTGCCCAGCCTGTGGGGTTTGCTTGTGTTACCTCATTTAAAACCCCTGGCAGCACGAGGTTGGTCCATCTAGTTCCCTAGAAAGGTGCCATGGACTGAAGGTCTGTGTCCCCTCAGAGTCATCTGTTGAGTGCTCATACCCCTCCCTAGGGTGATGGTATTAAGAGATGGGGCCTCTGGGAGGCGACGAGGGCATGAGGGTGATGCCCTCATTGATGGGATCAGTGCCCTTATGAAAGAGCCCCCAGAGAGCTCCCTCGCCCCCTCCATCATGGGAGGACTCAGTGAGAAGATGCCAAGAATCAGGAAGTCACCCTCACCAGACACCAGACCTGCCAGTGCCCTGATCTTGGACTTCCCAGCCTCCAGAACCATAAGAAATAAGCAATTTGCTTATGAGCCCCCAGCTTATGGTATTTTGTTTCAATAATGGACTAAGACAAAAGGTTCATTCCAGTCACTTCCTCACATGCCATTTCCCTCATCCCTGCCTCCAAGGAATGTGCAGGGTGGATTTCTGAGCCTTTAGTTGCTGCTTTCTTTCCTTTTGGCAGAGATACTTTCAGGGGAACCTGGTCACATAGAACAACCTCCGGTTCCAGTAGTGCTGGGCACACACTGGGTAGCAGTGGGCAGTGGAGAGGATTGCAGGGCACCAGAAGGCCCATTTGTTTCCTTTCTCTTTAAACATGATGAGCAGGTCTGTGCAAATACCCCAAAGTCCAAGGATGCTGAGAGGCCAAAGAAAGAAGCTGGCATTCAGTTTCTCAGAGAGAAACATTTAATAAGGATTTACAACGAGAAGCCATGTCTGTGTCTTGGGTGGCGGTAGTGAGACAAGACGGTGGATCCCTGCACCATCACCCCCAGACCCAGGGCTTATATACCATAGGGAAGGGTTGTTTTGGGATGTGCAAGACAATTGAAATATGGAAACCTCAAGGGCCATTTGACCAAAGGGCAAGATTTACAGTAAGTACCTGCTCTTATACAAGGAGCAGTAGATGAACTGGAAATCTCAGAGGCCTTCCCAGAATGGGGGTTAATCAAAAGCCAACATGGCAGGTTAGCATCCAAGATGGAGTTGCTTTGGCCTCCACACCTGCTGTGACCTCATTTCTGAGAGACATATGCTCCAGGGGCTTCTTGAGAAAGGAACACAGGCAGTAAAGTTTTGAGACTTTTCTCATTTGAAAACAGGGCCTGAGGGTGGCACCCTCATGGAGGAGATCAGAGCCCTTATAAAAGAGCCCCCAGAGAGCTCCCTCACCCCTTCTACCAGAGGAGGACACAGTGAGAAGGCACCATCTAAGAACCAGGAAGTGACCCTCACCAGACACCAAATCTGCCAGTGCTTTGATCTTGGACTTTCCAGCCTCCAGAACCTTGAGAAATAAGGAAAGGGCAGAATTTGAAAATGAAACCAAAAACTCCACAGGATGGTTAGGCAACAAAGTAGAAGAACTTGTGCAGGAGAAGCTGCTGTCTGGGTGGCGGATAGTTTGGCTGGGTATCGAAGTCCCTTCGAAGGCTGCACCCATCCGTGGTTCTCATTCAGTGCTGCTGGCACAAAGATGCTCCTCTGATTCCTCATCCTTGGTGTGGGACCTGTTTTTCTCCCTTCTGGAGGCTTATTGAACCCTTTTTGTGTCCCAAGTGTCCTGAAGTCCCCTCATTGGGTACCTGATACGTGTCTGATTTTTGTCACTTGCCCCTCCTTGGGCCTTTCCATCCATCTTTTCCAACCTTTCCCATGATTCTGGTAAACTTTCTTGAATGGTTTCATTGATTATTTGCTCTCCTGTCTTTCTTGTTTCTATTTCAAACTCCCATCACTCGCTATTGGGCTTTCAGAACTAGTGTTCCACTTTATCTTCCCCACCTCCGTTTTCTACGTTGTCTTTTTTGTTTTTGTTGTTGTTGTTGTTGTTGTTGTCTTCAAGACAGGATCTCACTCTGAAATGAGACAGAGTCTCAGCCTAGAGTGCAGTGGTGCAGTCATAGCTCACTGCAGCCTCAAACTCCTAGGCTCAAGTGATCCTCCTGCCTCAGCCTCCTGTGTAGCTCGGACTACAGGTGTGTGCCACCACACTGGCTAATTTTTTGTAGAGATGGGGTCTCGCCATGTTGCCCAGGCTAGTCTTGAACTGACCTCAAGTGATCCTCTCGCCTCGGCCTCTCAAAGTGCTGGGATTAAGGCGTGAGCCACCACACTTGGCCTCTTTGTCTTTTTTATTAATTTGTTTTCTGGAAGAGTTCCTCAGCTTCCTCACTTAACCTGTCTATTGATGTGTTTTTATTGGTGTTTTTCATTTCTGCCCTTTTTTGTCTTCTGAATATTCCTTTTGTTATAAGCCCCGTTCTTCTTTCATGATGTAGTATCTTTTATTTCTGAGGATATTGATTGACGATAGGTTTAAATTCTTTTTGAAAATGTCTTCTCTGGCTGGACACGGTGGCTCACACCTGTGATTCCAGCACTTTGGGAGGCTGAGGCGGGCGGATCACCTGAGGTCAGGAGTTCAAGACCAGCCTGGCCAACATGGTGAAACCCTGTCACTACTAAAAATACAAAAAATTAGCTGGGCATGGCGGTGGGTGCCTGTAATCCCAGCTACTGGGGAGGCTGAGGTAGGAGAATCACTTGAACCCAGGAGGCAGAAGTTGCAGTGAACCGAGGTTGTGCCATTGCGCTCCAACCTGGGCAACAAGAGCAAGACTCCGTCTCAAAAAAAAAAAAAAAAAAATCTTCTCTGTCCTCTGTTTCTTACCAGGTTTTTGTTTTTTTTTTGATAGTTTATTTTGATCTCTGGGGATCATAGTGCAGGCCCATCTCTCTGATGCTTGGGGGTAACGATCTAGTGTAATGATTACAAGTGAGGGACTAGGTGCAGTGGCTCATGCCTGTAGTGCAGCACTTTGGGAGGCTGAGGCAGGAGGATTGCTTGAGCCCAGGACTTCGGGGTCGGCAGTGAGCTGCTGTGATCACGCCACCACATTCCAGCTCCAGCCTGAGCAATAGAGTAAGACTGTCTGAAAAAAAAAAACAAAACCCCAAAACCCAAAAAACCCAAGTGGGCAATGGATGCTGGTGATGGGTTGGGATGCAAGGGGATAGCGGGGAGGGCCTCACTCGGTGCTTTACCCGGGGAGGTCTGGGTGGGCTGTGGATGCAGGGGAAGGGCGGGGAGGGCCTCACTTGTTGCTTTTCCTGGGGAGATCCGGGTGGGCTGTGGATGCAGGGGAAGGGCGGGGAGGGCCTCACTCGGTGCTTTTCCCGGGGATACCTGGGTGGGCTGTTATGGGGGAGCCCACATCAGGCCCTTTGGGTCTCTCCCCTTGGGCCAGCCGGATTGCACAGGGAGTAGCCCTCCAGCCTCCTGCCTGGGCTCCTAAGGGTGTCACCCACATCCTCCACTGTGCCCAGTGTCCCCAGCCCAGACACCCACCTTCTCTGGCCTCCCCAGTAAATGATCCTAGGGAGTCCAGCGAGGAGGGGCAGGCGGCCGCCAGGGTGCCAGGAGGGGTCGGGTGCTGCGGCAGTCCTCGCGCAGACCTCCGTTTTGAGCACCCCCACCCTTGTTTCCAGGGGACCCTGGGCCATGAGGCGTGGGGTGCGTGCCCGCCACCACCATCCGTGTCTCTGCTGGGAATGGCTCCCTGGTGGCCGTCCGTCTGCTCGCCACGTCCCACCCCCAGCCTGCTGTCGTCTCCTTTTCCATCCTCCCTGTCCTTGCAGGTGTGTCCTCCCTAAAGGCACTTTCTCGTGGCTTCAGGAGAGAGATGGGTGGCGTGGGCTTGCCAGCCTACCAAGGCATCACTTAGAGCCAGGAGCCATGAGCGTGGCCTCCTTCCTGCAGTTGCCTCTGGCTGCCCAGGAGGGATGTGGTGTTGCCTGGCAGGGAGTGGAGACAGTGAGGCCTTCTAGGGGTCCTCCCTTGAAGGGTCAGCAGACCAATGTGGAAGTCACCAAGGATGAAGGCCAGAGCCTGGGGGAGGGTGGAGCTGGACACCCCTGGGAAGTCTGGGAGAGGGGCTGAGCCTCCACAGGCCAGGGGAGCAGGGGAGGAATGGGGCCGGGGCCGGGGTGGCATCTGGGGCCACTCCCGGTCTCTTGCTGTTGGCGTTGGGAGGGATCTCGCACCACAGCAGGGAATCGAGGCCCCGGCTCCCCTCAGGCTCTCCCTTCACCGGCAATGGGCGGCGGGCGACGGGTGACGGGTGACGGGTGATGGGTGCAGCACCCGCCCCGCCCATAGGAGAGCCCTGGTCCACTGTGGCCTGTGGATGCCGCCCCTGACGTCAGCATCTCTCTCTGGCCTCCCTGGGAGCAGTCTCAGAGCAGTGAAGAGCTCTTCACGTCCGGTGCTGTGGCGATACTAAGTAATAAGATCTCCAGGTTTTATTGGGCATTAATATTTATTCCCATGAAAAGGTTAAATTTATTTCACTTTAAAGCCCTGGAGAGTGCAAGGTGGAGCCATAGTCGCCTCTCCTGGCAACGGCCCTGCCCACCACGTACCCACCTCTCCCACACAGGCCAGTCCTGGTGATGGCCTGCAGGACAGGGCAGATGTGTGGGGCAGTTGGGGGCACCCCCTTTTGGAAGGCACTGCTGCCAGTGGGGCCGGTGAGTGTGCAGAGCCCAGGGCCAATGTGTGCCTCCTGCAGGCACCGGGCAGCCCTGGCCACTCCTCAGCTCTCTGACCCCTTCCCCCGCTCTCTGCAGCAGGCACCACACGAGCCAATTTCGCTTGGCACGACGTCCTGAAGCAGGCCCTGGGCTCTGCGGCTGCTGGCTCTGAGCCCATCGACATTCTGATTTGTATTTTTTCATGCTTTGGAAAAAAGAAATCTATTTATCTCTGCGTCGGGTCCCGCTCTGCATAACCGGAGGCAAACCAGCAGCCCCGCCCGCTTTCTCATTTTCCTGGGAAGGTAGCAGCGGGTCCTCTGAGGCCTGCGTCAAGAATATCGGGCTGTCGGACGCGTCAGTCTTCAGGGGCAGGTGACGGCCGCACTGCTTCCAGCTCTTTGGCTTGGTGTTTGGGCACCAGCTGACGGGCCAGCCAGCAGCAGCGGTGCTGAGGTTAGTCCAGGTCCCCTGAACTCGACGGCCATCAATCCCGGGCCTGTCATTTGCAAGCAGCTGCAGCAGCTGGTCGAGCCTCCTGCTAGACCCTCTCTCCACCCCAGGTTTTTCTTAAGGGTCTGTGACGGTATCTGTCAGTGGAGACTCATGTTAGCCATGTCAGGAGGGCCTGTGTTGGAGAAGGATGGAGGGAACAGCCCCGAGCCCAGGGGGCCTGGCTTTTGCTCTGTGAGGCTCGCTCCACACCCTGTTCACTTCCTGATCCCCTTCCCCACCCTGCCTTGGTCCTTAAGGAGGTGAAGATGGGGCACGGGGGTGCACGGCCACCTCCTGTAGAACCAGGGCAGGCCAGCCACCTTCTGAGTAGCTTCCGAGCTCCTGAGGCTTGGCCACCCGCACATCATGGGGTGGGTGAGGAGCAGAAGGAGGGGCCCTCCCCACGGCTGCCTGCAGTCTGGCCCTCCCCTTTTTATCTGGGAAAAAGTGTCCTGTGGCTGCTGGGTGGGTGGCAGGGAGGCTGGCCGAATCCCTGGCCAATGAGTCCCGCTGGCAGGACCCCGAGAAGCAGAGGAGCTCGCTCCAGCTGGTGCCCCTCCACCCCGGCAGCAGCAGGACGAGCAGGCGTGCCAGCACAGCTCCTGGGCACCTGCCCCTTTCTGCTCCCGGGTCCCCTGGCTTCTCATATGTGCTTATTTTGTCTCCCAGTTACACTGTGAGCTGCTTCAGGGCAGGGCCCAGCGTTGCACGGTAAAACTACATTAATTCAGACTCATTAATTCAGAGCCTATAATAGTTCAGACATGGGAGACGTGACTCTTTTTGAGCTAAAAGTTGGAAACCGTTTTGCTCTGGGTTTTTATGGCCACAATTGCAGAACCTAATCTAAGATCAGTACCTTTTTTTTTTTTTTCCAGCAACTAAAATCTTGGGAAATTAAAGGTCCTTAAAACATGCTTTCAATTGTGAGCCAGACAGTTCTGAACCCGGCAAAGAGCAGGCACAGGGATGCTCTGTCTTGGAAGGGGGTTTTGTCTGGGAACGCCACTTCCAGGATTCAGACCTCATGTGTGTCCCTCGGGAGCTTCCAAAATAGGACTGCTTTTAGGTGGAGCGTATTGGAACTGATGTCAGTGAGAAAATGGACACCCTCACACCCCCCAAAAATTAGAAACAGAAGACCTCACTCCTCAGGCCGTGCCTCTTCTCTTCCCCAGACCCTGGGCAGGTCTCAGCAAACCCGGGAGAACCAGAGCCTGACTCCAGGTCCCAAAGTTGTCATTTCAGGGACCTGAATTGCTGTTTTCTCCCATGTATGAGTGTCTGGGCTCATTAAGATAACTGGGGCCATCCCAGCCGGAATGTGCAAAGTCCATGGGCTCCGGGAGTTTGGAGCTGGGTCAGGTGGTGAGGCCGGGAGAGTCGCACCCCCTGGGCTCCGTCCGGGCAGCAGGATCCAGGTCCCCATGAGGCTGAGGTGCAAATGGCCCCGCTCCCTGAGCTGCCCCTGAGTTCTGGGGGCAGCGTGCCCACAGTACATGGCTGGCTTGGGCTGATGGTGCAGAGGGCACAGGACCCAGAGCGGGGCAGAGCAGGAGGCCAGGACTCTCCATGCCTGGAGCCGGACTGCTTCCCGGCAGGGGCAGTCAGAGGCCCGGAAGCCGGTAGTGGGGCGCGCGCAGCTGCCACGCTCAGTACAAACTGGGACTGCTGCCCATGTCTGCAACAGACACACCTGCGATTGCTCCCAGAGTGTGCTGAAGCTGGTCTGTGGGACGTGGTGTTCACCCCGATGCTGTTACACTGCGAGTTACACTAGAAAAGTTACTTCATGACTTAAGTCAGGCTTCAGCAAGCTTTTTCTTTTGAGACAGGGTCTCAGTCTGTCGCCCGGGCTGGAGTGCTGTGGCATGATCACAGCTCACTGCAGCCTTGACCGCCTGGGCTCAGGTGATCCTCCCACCTCAGCCTCCCAAGTAGCTAAGACAGTAGGCGTGCACCACCACACTCACCTAATTTTAAAAATAAATTTTTGTGGAGACAGCGTCTTGCTATATTGCCCAGGGTGGTTTTGAACTCCTGGCCTCAAGCGATCCTCCTGCCTCAGCCTCCCAAAGTGCTGGGATTACAGGTGTGAGCCACCATTTGAGCCAGCCCAAACTTATTGTAAAGGACCTGATAGTGACTGTTTGCAGCTTTACAGGCCGTGCATTCCCCATCTTGAATGTTCAGCCCTGCCCTTGTAGCGTGAACACAGCTGTGGATGATACATAAATGAATGGGCCTGGCTATGTGCCAATAAAACTTTATTCACAAAAACAAGTGGCAGGCCAGATGTGGCCCATGGGCCCACCTTAGAGGATATGCCTTCTCAATAAAGAGATTTAGAGAAATAAGTAGCGCAGAAGTGTTTACTCCTACAATTGAAAGAACCACAGTTATTGTTTTGATACATTTCCCTGTCTTGAGAGAGCTCTGCCCATAATTGGGCTCTTGCTATATTCATGACCGTGCATTTTGTGTTTCTTCAGGTAACAGACACATCCTGAGGACGTTTCTGTCATTGAAAGCGTCCTGTAGACCGCATCTTGCCAGCGCACACCTCCCTGTTGTGTGTCGTTTATTTAGTCTGTCCACGATGGTTGAACGGTTTGGTTAGAGTCATTGTGTGTGTGTGTGTGTGCGCGCGCGTGCAAGCGTACTTGTCTTTCAGTACAAAAGCAAAGGACATCTTTGAATTCCTTCCTTCCTTAGGCGAGATCGCTAGCAGGGGGAGATTAGGGATGAGCTTGCCTGGAGTGTGCAAAGATCCACGTTGCACCCGTCATCTGCAGCTTGGAAGAGCTGCTCAGCTCCTCCTTGCATCCTCCTGAGGCCGCCAGGGTCTGCTCCATGCTCACTGGGGGCCGAGTAGGGGCCGTGATGCTGACGCACCCTCCTCCTCTGGGGGATTCCGCAGGACCCAGCAGCCACCCGGCAGCCACCCCTCCCTCTGCTGTCACTAGCTTTGGGCAGCGCGTGTCTCCTGCGTGCAGGAGCACTGTGAAGCCTCTGCTGATTCGCTGGCAAGCGGCACTGTCCAGGCCCCCAGAGGTGCACTTGGCAGGGTGGTCAGGCTGCCCCCTGACATGAGCACTGTCCAAGAACTGGGTTCTGCTTGGCATCTGGGGCACCAAGAGGGGGGGCCTTGCTTTGAGACCCTGCTCTGCGGGCCTTAGCCAGGAATGAGAAGAAGCTTATGGGTTCCAGCCCAGCCCAGAGCAGTGAGACCAGGATCTTAGGACTGGGGAGAACGGTGGGGGCAGAGAGCCTGCAGTTGGTGGGCCCAACCTGTAGATGAGAGGCTGACCCCAAGGCAGGGCAATCCAGGGCCGTGACCTGCAGAGAATGCGGCGTATTTGGGAACAAAGACCCTCAGTGGAGACTGGCAGTGGGACCCTGGCTTCATGCTCCGCGTTCCTCACCTGAGTCCCCACCTCCTGGTCTCGGACCTCCACCTGTCCCCAGAGGCTGTTCAGCACTGAGGGGGCACCGCCACCCTGCGTTGGCCAGATGCGCCCAGCTTCCCCGGCAGCTCTCAGGGCGGCCTCACCCATGCACACGGTTCTAGCGGCCATGTGTATCACACCACACGATGGGACACAGGCCCTGGGGCGTGCTCAGGCCTTTGGGGGCCGCGCAGACCTCCTCTTGCCCTGTTTGTGCCTGATTTCTCCATCAGAAACTAATGACACAGCCAGATTCCCCCGGATGGTGCCTTCCTTATCTGTCGCGAGTGCTGACAGAGGACCACCAAGTTGGGCAGCAGGAATTGGAGCGGGCGGGGCCTGTTCCCTCCAGTCACTCCTGCACAGCCTCACAGACACCCGTGTCCCAGAGAGTGGGGAGCTAGACAGGGCTGTGGTGAGAACAGTCAGGGGCCTGGCTAATGAAAATAGACAGCGAGGTCTGCCCTGCCGGAGGACTCTGTGGTGAGGCTCCCTCCGGCCTGCTCTGAACCCTTCCCAGCTGCAGTAGAACAGCCCACAGAAGTCCTCATGGGCCTGGCTCACCCTTTTCATGGGCACGTGGCTCCCACAGGCACGCAGCCGATCAGAAGAGGCCGGAGTTGGTGGCTCGCAGTGGGGGCTGGGCATGTTCAGCAGGAGGCTGCTGCTAAGGGGAGCTGGGTCTCCTCACCAGCCCTAGCGGGTTTCTCTCCCACACTGTGGCCCTGCTGAGCTGCCCAGCACTCAGAAGCGACTACCCTGTGTCCTCGAAGGCTGTGCTTCCCTCCCTGTGACCCACCGGCCTTGCCTCCTTCCTGCTGTTTGCTTCTTGGGTGTCCTGGCTCCCCAGCTCCCTGCAGAGCCACGTGGAGACTTGCAGGAATGCTCCCAGCCGCCACCTCCTTCCAGTCCAGCCGTGGGCAGCCTGGCACCAGCAGCTTTGTCCTGGCAGTGGCAGCCCCTGGAGCAGGGGATGCATCTGGAGCCGTGCCAGCCCCAGCCGGGCAAGGGGGCTCAGGCCGTGCTCCAGGCCGTGGCAGTGCACTCCGTGGAGCGTGTCTGCCTGTCCCCCCTCCACGGGTGCACACAGGTGCTTTTTTTAATTAAGGAAAAGCAATTGCAAAGCCGCTCAATACAAATCCCCTAAGCTGCTGTGGATGGGGATGCCGGGGCAGTCGGCCTGTCCAGGAGTCTGAAACGCCGGCACCATCTGTGTTCCTGCCACTCCATGGCCAAATGACACCACCAGCCTTTCTCTCCTGTGCTATCTTTCATTAAATGAATTGAGTTTGCTGGGAATTGCCCAGCCACAAATATTCCCTCCTGCTCAGCATGATAGGAATCTAACTGTTCCCAAGCCCCTGCTCCTGGATCCAGCAGAAGGTTCCATGGCCCCCCTGGGACTGGGTAAGGTGGGGGGAGGCACGAGCTGCAGGAAATTCCACAGGAAGGTTTCCGTCGTCCCCAACCCCGTCAGATTTGGGGTCGTAAATATGTGAGTGTCTCCAAGCAAAGTGTGGGCCACCTGGAAAGGTTTGTCAGGGCAAGGGAATAGTTGCGTTGAATTAAGTCTTTCCCTTCCCATTTCCTTCATCCCATTGAGCACGGGTGGTGACAGCAAGACAGGTACTTGAAATGGAAGAGTGTCTCACGATTTTTGGAAATGGGCTTCTTCTGTGCCTGTTTGATGGAGAGGCAGAAAGTTCCCTGTGGGCTTCTGAGGCTGAGATAAGGGTTGGCAGAGGTCGGGGCAGCCTGTGTCTGGCACGCGGTCCCTGGGCCCGCCTCTCCCCAGCAGGAGATGAGGTCTGTGCCCCGTTCAGACGGGGGCCCGTGCCTCTGCCCCCCACGCCCCGAGCTTCCGCATGGCCCTCCCCCATGCCTGTGGAGACTCCCAGGGGCTACTTTGTCCCCTAGAATCTAGACCAGCAATTTCCAAACTGCTGCCCGCAGGTCAACTCTGTCCCTGGCCTCTGTTTATTAATAAAGTTTTATTGACACACAGCCATGCGCATGCATGTGCCCATCATCCGTGATGCTTTAGAGGCACGGTGCAGAGTTTCTCGAAGCTGAAAACACTCAGCGTTTGGGCCTCTGTGACAGTTGGCCAGCCCTGCCCTTTCCCCCTTCCTCTTGAGGTTGGGGTTTTTCCAGCCCCATCTCAGCCTCATCCCAGTAGGTACGTGACAGACCAGAGCTTCCTGGCCGCCTCCTGGGATCTGAGTGCCATGGTGGTAATCGCCGCTTGGGCATCTGGGTTCATGCCCTCTGGGGCCTGGCTTCTCTGGCCCCAAGTCCCTGAAATGTTGAGCATCACCAGGTCACCTGCAGAACATCCTTCCCAGTGCCCAGTGTGACCAAAGTGACGCAGCGGCAGAGCCACCAAGAACAGTGACCTGGGAAGGGCTGAGGGCGTGAGAGCGGCAGGTCTGCCCGGCAGGCAGCTGGAGGGGACTTCAACTCATCCTTGCCACTCGCTTGACGTTCCCAAACACAAGGGGCCATCCTATTGGGTGTTTGCTCAATTCCCCCAAGACCCCAGGCAAGCCGGCTGCAGCACATGGCACGTTAATGTCCTTTCTTAGCCGCTGAGTCCCTGAGCCTCCCAGACCCTCAGCATCTTCTTCGTTAACATTGTCGTCCCTCCAGCCCTGCAAGCTGGAGGCAGTCAGGTGAGGCGTGCGGGAGCCTGTGGGCCACCGTCGCCCTCGTGAGGCCTCCTGAGGAGGGGCCGTTGTCACATTCCGGGATTCCTGTTGGTTCTCTCAGCTCTTTGGGGACTGCTGTTGTCTCCCTTCTTCCCAGCCCTCTTGGAACGATTGCTGTTATAAAATACTCCGTATCCATTTTTACCTACCTGGGGGCACCCGCGTCTGACGGGAGGGAGATTTTTGCCTGGACCAACAGGAGGCATCTGAACCTCAGCCTCGCTGGTCTCTGGACAGCTGTGCGTGGGGCAGTGCCCAGTCCTGAACCTCAGGCCCCTCACTGAGCTGCGCCCAGCCCCCATTTCTCTTGGGTGTTTGCTCAGTGGCCGTTCCAACTCCGTGGAGGCAAACCAGGGACTCACAACTGGGGGATGCCGTTTCCTGACTTGTGATAGAAGTTCTAGAAACAGAGCAGGAGTGCTGGTGCACACCTGTAATCCCAGGGTTTTGGGAGACTGAGGCAAGAGGATCACTTGAACCCAGGAGTTCAAGACTAGCCTGAGCAACATAGCGAGACCCCATCTCTAAAAATTCTCTTAAGAATTAGCCAGATGTGGTGGTGGGTGCCTGTATTCCCAGCTACTTGGGAGGCTGAGGCGGGAGAATCGCTTGAGCCTGAGAGGTCGAGGCTACAATGAGCCATGATTGCACCACTGCACTCCAGCCTGGGCGACAGAGTGAGACCGTGTCTCGAAAAGAAAAATGTTCTAGAAGCGGAATGCTCAGCGGTGGGATGGGGTGTGGGAGGCCCGGGCCGTGAGCCCTACCTGCTCTGGGGTGGGGTGTGTGGAGCCAGCCGTCCAGGTGTGGCGCGAGGGCTCAGACCGTGTCCCCTGCCGCAGTGCACGTGCCGGAAGGACATGGTCAAGATCTCCATGGACGTGTTCGTGCGCATCCTGCAGCCCGAGCGCTACGAGCTGTGGAAGCAGGGCAAGGACCTCACGGTGCTGGACCACACGCGGCCCACGGCGCTCACCAGCCCCGAGCTGAGCTCCTGGAGTGCATCCCGGGCCTCGCTGAAGGCCAAGCTCCTCCGCAGGTGAGTTGCCAAGGGACTGCCGCGTGACTGCCCAGCATCACGGGGGGTGGCCCTGCTGGGTGGCCCAGGCCCCTTCCCACTGGCAGGGGCTCCGGGCCGTGTCCCACTCCTCCCTTTCTTCCTATTCCCACCCCGCCTCCTCTTTCGTCCTCCTCCTCCTGTTCTGTTTCTCCTCCAGTCTGAGGCACAGTGTTTTCTCGAGGCCTCGCTTTGCTGGGGTGGGTGGGCTCTGCTCTGGCGGGCAGCGTCTGTGCCGTTCACACCCGCGGGCTCCCCATACTCCCTGTCATGTCCCCGCCAGGAGGCTGACCCTGGGTGGCCCCAGGCCCCGTGCCATTGCCTCAGCAGAGCCACCAGCCACATGGCTCCCTGTCCCTCTCACTCACCGCATTTCTGCTGTCCGGCTACTCGGGCCCCTCCCTGGCGCTGAGAGCAGTCGGGTTCCCTGCAAGGACTCAACGGGGCATCAGGTGGGGCTGCTTGGATTTGAGATCGTGGAGAGGATTTCAGAAGGCCGGCCCCGGGGCGTGACCCTGGATGCCCTCCTCCCACTCAGAACCCCTCCCTGCGTATCGCCGCACAGACCCTCCCAGCCAGGTATCTGGTGTCCGCCTGGAGGAGAGGCCAAAGCATCTGCAGCCTCTTGGCTTCTGACCACAAGAGGCCATGGGGACACGGAGGCAGGTCCCGGCCTAGGAGGAGATCCACTTCATGCCCAGAGTGAAGGCGAGCACCGGCCTCCCCAGCCCCTCCTCTGGGAAGTGTCCAGGCTTCCAGGGCTCTGAGCTGCCCTTGGCACAGTTGTCGACAGATCTCACTCCTGTTTGGTGCCCAAGGAACATTCAGGGAGCCCCTGAGCATGAGCTGGAGCCGGGAGGGACGGCACAGAGTGGGCTCAGCCAACTCCTCCGGGGAAGGGCCAGAGAGCAAACATTTGTGACTTGGCGACTTTGCAGGCCAGGCCTCCTGTGTCTCGACGTCTCGACTCCGCATGGCAACTCAAGACCCTTGCAGATGATAGACAGCGAAGAAATGCGCGTGGCTGTGTCCGTGAAGCTTTGTTTACAGACCCTGAAATCCAGATCTCATGATTTTTACATGCTACCAAATACGATAATTTTTCTGTTTTGAGCCACTTAAAAATGTGAACATTGGCCAGGCACGATCGCTCACACCTGTAATCTCTGCACTTTGGAGGCCAAGGAAGGAGGATTGCTTGAGTCCAGGGGTTTGAGACCAGCCTGGGCAACATATTGAGATGCCATCTCTACAAAAAATTTAAAAATCAGCTGGGTGTGGTGGTGTGCGCCTGTGGTCCCAACTACTGAGAAGGCTGAGGCAGGAAGATCACTTAAGCCCAGGAGGTCAAGGCTGCAGTGAGCCGAGATTGTACCACTGCACTCCAGCCTGAATGACAGAGCAAGACCTTGTCTCTCCAGGAAAACAAACAAACAAACAAAAAAACATGTAAACACTGTTCCTAGCTTGTGGGTCGTACCCAGACAGGCTGCTGGCAGGTCTGGTCTTTGAGCCAACAGTGGTGGCCTTGGTGTGGGGGCAGCCTCCCCCTTCCCTTTGAGCAGTGACCTTCCCTCTGCAGCCATCCAGTCTCTGCTGCCTTGATCTTGTCCCAGCTGGCGATGGATGGTGCCCACTCGAGACCCAGCCACTGAGCACCAAGGTTGGGGGCGGCTCAGCCTTGGCCCCCCACCACGCTCTGCAGAAACAGGCCTTGGAACTGGTTTCTGAAAAGTCACTTCTGGTCCAGAACCTTCTCCTCTAAATGGGCGCCTTCTTTTTCAACACGTCCATCTGTCTGTGAGTCTGGGACTCCTGGGCGGTCTGGGCATCTGTCTCGGCCTCCTCTGTCTTCCCCACCTCGCGGCCTCTCTCGGAGAATGTTCCCTCTGCCCCGAGTGTTTTCACAGCCCCTCCTGACAGCCCTGCCAAGGTGAATCTGTCTCTTCTGCTCTTGTTCTGTCCTTTTGATTTCCTGCCTCCTGTGTGCTCCTCATGAAGAGCTGCCTCCTGGTGAGGCTACTCCAGGCGGCCCCCGCAGCACAGAGCTCGTGCACCCCAGCTCCCAGGCCCAGCCAGACGTGCTATTTGCATAATGGTTAATTGATTGTGGCTCAGGCTAATTGGTCAACAGAGTGGATTGCCAATAAACCGGCACCACGTTCCAGGAGTGGAATGGGACTAGAGGCCGTCTAAATTGCCTGCCAGGAGGAGATGCGGAAGCCGCTGCGCTCACCGCTGCTTGGAACCTTCTTTGCACGCAGGAAGTGGACCCCCCAGAACCAGCCCTTGCGTGGCCTGGCCTGGCCTCCCTGCCCCGGCCACCCCCTCACTTCTAGTCACGACCTGCTCCTCCCAGGAGCCCCCTCCCGCCCTCTCCCGCGCCGCCATCCTGGGGGCTGCCTTCACCCAGCAGCAAGCCTGAATAACAAATGAAGTCAGCTTCCCAAGGATATAATTTTCTTGAAAGCCTTCAGTATGTAAAACAAGGCTGATTCACTTTTTTTTTTTTTTTTTAAAGTCATTGGGGGTGCTTTTCTCTGGAGAGGCAGATGGGTGACTCACGTTCCAAAGCCCAAGCTGCCCCTCCCTCCACCAGGGAGGTGGTCGGTTCCCCCCTGAGCAGTGCCCTCTCCACGTGGCCTGCCTTTTCCCCTGAGCCAGGCTCCCTCCCTGAGGGCATATCTTGGGGCCAGGGCAGCCCTGTCTGAGCATCTGTGGCTCAGGCTGGATCGGGAGACACAGTGGACTGGCTCTGTCTCCCAGACAAGGGGCTTGTGGACACAGGCGGGATCCTTCTCTGGTTGGGGGAGCATCCTGGGCCCTGCAGGGTAATGAGCAGTATCCCTGGCCTCCACCCACTCCATGCCAGGAGTGCCCCAAGTCGTGACAACCACAGATGTCCCTAGACATCGCCCAGTCCCCCGCGTGGGAACCCCTGCCCTAGACCAAGGGATGGCATCAGGGTGGGCGCCATGCCCTCACCCCCGTGCAGTCCAGCCTTCCCTGCCCTCGGCGTGGCTGTGGGATGGCCCTCATGTGTTTACCAGGTGCCCCATGGGGTGCGGATGGTTCGGCACAGCTGCCTGAGCTCAGAGGACACGGCCTACTCCCTGCTCGCCACCTTACATGGGTCTCTTCCAGAACTAAATCTCGTTGAGCGAGCGTTGGGGGCTGTTTGTATTCTTCCCCCTGATGGATGGGTCGCCTAAAACTGCAGCCTGGCTCCTGGCGGGTGCCCTCAGCCTCCCCACTCCCGGTGGCGCTGTGCGTTCTGGTGCCCTGCCTGAGCCGGAGCCCTCACAGTGCTCTCTGGCACCCACGCGACGCTCCTCCATGCAAACTCTTTCCACGCGAGAAGCGCCATGTGCACGTGCTCCAGCAGGTACGCGCTCCCTGCAGGACATCTGTGCACCCGCCTCACCACAGCCTCCCTGGCCCACTGCTGCTCTGTGAGCCCGGCTGGGCCCAGGCCTCGTCTCCCCTACCCCTCCGAGCTCGGTGCTGCCTGTCCCCTCCTGCTCTGCCTTGGCCTGTCGCCCCTGCGCCAGTGCAGGACACCGCCACGCCTCTGGCCCCGACTCCTGCCAGGGCTGCCACGGCTGCCACACCCCAGCTGCATTCCTGAGCCCTCCCCACCAACAGGGACCTCAGCCCTCAGGGACAGAACCTCACGAGCACAGGGACCTGCCAGCCCCTGCAGGGAGTGCGCAGCCTCAGGGACTCACTTGCTGTCTCCTGTCTCTTTCCTAGAGCTGCCCTTCATTTTCTCAAAGGTGAAATTCCTCAGCACAGGGTCTAGTCTTGGGGGTGGGGAGCACTGGGCCACTTTGGGTCGGGGGTGGGCGGCTCTGAGGGCTCAGCCTGGGGCCAGCCTCCCAGTCCTCCCCACCTTGTGAGAAGCCCTGAGCCAGCGCGGCACTGAATGCTGATGGTCCCACTCTGGGTGCTGCAGGTGCCCTGTGTTACTGGGTGACAGGGCCAGAGGCCGTCCACCCCGCCTCCTGCCATACAAGCTGCAAAGGACACCTGCTTCCACCTTGGAAATATTAGTGCAGTTATCTGGACTATGTCCCGACATTTGGCTCATAGGAATGAGCCCAGCGGCGTCCAGTTAAGCCTGGCAGGCTAAGTGCTTATTTATCTCCACTCTCTCCTGAAACGCCACTGAAACACCAGAGAGTGAAGTGCAGAGAACGGGAGAGGGGGCAGTGGCAGCTGAGCACGTCTCCAGGCTTTGAAAAGCAGGGAAGGGTGGGCAGGAGACCCCATGGGCCGGCAACCAGGAGGACAGCCAGCAGGGAGCAGCTGGGCTGCACCATGGGGCCACAGAAAGACACAGTGGGCAGACATGGGCAGCTCCTGGAGGGCTGCAGGGGGAATGTACCACGGGGCCTCAGAAAGACACAGCGGGCAAACATGGGCAGCCCCTGGGGGTGCTGGGGGGATGTGGGGGCAACCAGCAGAAGACAGTGGGTGGCTCTGGGCAGAAGGGAGGCGCCTTCCTGGGGTCAGCAGTGGGGCCCAGCTGCCAGCCTCACATCCCCCCAACCCCCAAGGCCAGGAGAGACAATAGAGGGGGTGGGGGTCCTCTGCCAGAGAACAAAGGGGCCCAGTGGAGCAAAGCCACATATGCTGATACTGGGGCTCTCCTAAAGTCACAGGCTCCTGCCCTCAGCAGCCCCTGCCACTGCCTTCACCAGGCCCAGCTCACACACGGCTTGGCACCGTGCACAGAGGGATCAACGGCCAGGGGACCCGACACATTGGAGGCTGCGCTCCCATGACAAAGGCAGGGCCTGCACAGCAAAGAAGGGCAGAGCTCCGAGGAAAGAGGATGCAGTGAGTGCAGGGCCCTGGAGTGGGCCGGGACTTTGCATTATGGAAAAAGAGCCATTGCTGTGAAGAAGAAACATTCCAGGAACGAGTGGCTCTCGGATGTTACCATCTAGAGAAGAGACAAGCCCACAGTGGATTGGGAGGCCCTTGAAGAATCCCCTCCCACAGCACTGACAGACAGAGCTGGAAGATAGGAAGGATCAGGAAGTCAGAGGCGTAGTCTAGGAAATCTAGCCCCTGATAGGAGTTTCAGAAAAAGAAAAGTGTCCCGGGACCCAAAGGCTTTGCATTTCCAGGTTAAAAAGTCCACCAGAAAGTCCGCCCAAGAATGGAAATTACCCAAACCACAATGCATCGCTGTGAAATTTCACAATTCCTGGATTAAACAAAGGCCCTGAAAGCTTCCAGAGCAAACAGATCACATAAACAGCTCACCAGACTGGGGCTGGGCATGGTAGCTCATGCCTGTGATCCCAGCACTATGGGAGGCCAAGGCAGGAGGATCACTTGAGGCCCAGAGTTCGAGGTCAGCCTGGGCAACATAGCAAGACCACATCTCTAAAAAAAAAAAAAAAAAAAAAAAAAAAATTATAAAGAATAGGAGACTCTGTTAGCATTGGATTTACAGTCATAATGCCACAAGCTAAAAGACAAAGGAAAAAGGCCTTCAAAAGTCAGAAGAGGAATAATTCTCCCCAAATCTTTTACCTAGCCAAATTGTCAAGAAATGTGTGAGGGGAATAAGGATCTTTTTAGACACACAGAGTCTCGTATTCCACCTCCTTTCTCAGGAAGCTGCTGCAGGATGTGCTCCAGCTAAACAAGGATGTAAATCGAGAAAGCCATGGGGTTGAGGAAACAAGATCTAACCCAGGAGAGTCAAGGGGAGTCTCAAGATCATGGGAGAAGGAACCAAGACCCCCAGGGGTGTCATGGAGAGAAGGGGACACCCTGCATAGGAGACCACAGCAGGAGTTTAAGAGCAATGGCAGGGAGCTCAGAGATACCAAGGAAGCTAGGCGTCCAAAGCAGGAGGCCAGTTCCAGACCCCAGGGTGGGGGCAGGGAATGCGGCCCGAGTTGCTCTGTGGCTCATGGATGCACAATGTTTATGGGGCATAAAAGCGTAAACGTGGAATTTGGCTGCAATGGAAGACGGTGGCAGGTGCAGGGAGAGAAGGGGACGGTCATGGAGGCGAGCAAGGATGGCCACACCCTCAACACCTGTGCCGGGAGCCAGACCCAGAAACAAGCATTGGGTGCAGAAACACGCGAAGGGGGATGAAGATGTCAGGGTCAGGAAGAGGCGTGCTCTTAGGACCCCACAGATGCCCCAAGTGATGGCTGCCCCTCTGCCGTGGGCTGTGCCCCCCTTGCTGTGTCTGTGCCGCCCTTGCTGTGTCTGTGCATTGAGCCCTACCCAGTTCCATGTAGTGTGGGACCCAGGGGTCTCAGCCTGGCACTACTGCAGGTAGGAAAGGGCTGGGCTGCAAGGATGAGGCCCCAGAGCTCTGGTTGGGCACCAGGACAGTTCTGGGGCCCTCTGGGGCAGACACAGTAAGGCTTGAAGGCCGTGGGGGTGCCCCTGGAAGGCTGCAGCAGGGGAGGGCCATGGTCGGAAGCGACCTCTAGGGTGAGTTTTCAGGGTGGGGGTGGAGGGAGGGACTGCAGTGGGTGGGAGAAGGGGCTGTGGAGCTGGGGGCAGCTGAGGCCAGGTGAGCGGCATGGGAGGGCGCCCTTCTGCTGGTGCTGTCTGGGACCAGGGCGGGTCCACTGTGGGATCCCGGCCCTACAGCCCTGGGGCATTCCCAGACCAGGAGGGCAGCCCACCTTGGGATGACAGTGGTGACAAGAGCCAGTTGCACCCCAGCGCCGGTCTGAAGCTTCCTCCTCCTGAGCCTGCTGTCTCCATCTGGGGCAGGCACCCAGCATTTGCCTAGCCCCCTAGTGGAGCCTGAGGCTGCCTTCCCAGAGCCGTCCTTGGGCTGCTGTTGTGGAGAACGTTCTCTGGAGGGCAGGGGCCACTCCCGTGTCCCCCATCCACCTCCTGCTCCCTGTGTTAGTGACTCTGGCCCCACGCCCGCCCCTGCCTGCCTCCCACCCCTGCCCGGCCACCCCGCAGCGACCTTGTGTGCACCATGCTGTGTGATGCCATGCCTCTGGTCCACCCGCTTTCTGCCTTGAGTCATTGTGGTGGGCCATGCTGCAGACATCGGGGAGCACTGATTCTAGCGAGTTAGGCAGCTGAGGAGCAAGGAGGGCCGGCAGTGACTAGTGTTCTAGGAAGGCTTCCTGGAGGAGGCGCCCCAGAAGCCAGCATGGAGCACAGGGCGGGCAGAGTGGCTGGGAGCAGCGGTGGGCAGGGGTCAGGTCCAAGTGTCCCGAGGGAGCATGGGCTGCTGCTGGCCCATGTGACAGCCTGGCTCAGGCAGAGGTGAGGAGGTCCTGGTAACAGAAGCCCCGGCAGCGGGCCCACCCCACCCCTGTCAGATGAGCCTGCCCCACCTTGGTGACCACTTGGTCCTTGGAGGGGCAGCTGCCACAGGGACCCCCGTGGGATTGAGGTGTCCGAGTCTGAGCCCATGGGGACAGGGGACACGGGAAGCACCCGGAAGCCGCAGCCGGCATTGGTGATTGTCCCGGAAACACTGGCGCTCCCAGCTCTGCCTGACTGCTGGCAGGCTTGACGTGGCTGGATCTCAACTGGGGAAGGGGAGAAAGGCCACTGGGGAGCCGGGCTGTGCGGCCTCGAGCTCATGGCCTAGAGAGGCCCCTGGCCAGGCCAGGGCTTAGGGCAGCTGCAGGGGGTGGGCCTGGAGGAGGTGCAGATATCACATGCCCAGGGGAGGCACTAGTGACCAGCCAGGCCTCGGCTTCTCTGCACTCCCGGCTTCTGCCTGAGCCCCCTGGGAACCACCCCCTCCGCATCTCCAAAAAGCTTTTGCTTCCTTCCTGGAAAGACCCTGGAGGTCCCTGGGGGAACCTGGTGTGAGGCCCTGGCCGCTCAGCTGCAGGGTCACCTGGCTGTCACTTTTCCTCCCTTTTTCAGCCCCTCTCTCTCATTTCTAAGAAGTCTCAGCTCAGCCAAGCCTGTAAGCCTCAGGTTGAATCCCTTACTTGGGGCTGGTGTGCAGGGACCGGGACCTCCCCGATGTACCCCAGGATTGTGGGTGTCCAGGTTGGGCATGCAGGATGCGCCTCCTCTTGGCCCACGCCTGCCCCGTGAGCAGATCCTGGGCTCAGGGCGCAGAGGAGGCCCTGGCAGGCCCTGGGGTGTGGGCACAGGTCAGAGCAGCGGAGTGTGAGCTGGGGCTCCCATGCACCTCATGGGCTGCAGAGAGAGGACCCAGGGAGTTGGGGACAGAGCCAGGTGGCCAGGACCAGGCGTCCTGGGGAGTTGAGCAGAAGTCCTAGAGAAAAAACCCGTGAAATTTACATTCTAGACAAATTAGTCTGAAAGAAAACAGACACTGGAGAAAGACTGAGGAGGAGAGGAAACCAAGTCTAGAAAGGAAGAAAGAGCAGACCAAAAGGCCGGGGCTGTCGTAAGTGTCTTTTTCGTTCCGTTTGTCGTCTAGGCATTTTCCATGAGCTGCTGTTTCCCTCGGAGCTCACACTCCCTGTGTCTCTGTCCCGTGGCACACGCGGCTCCTGCCGCCCCGTCCCGCCCGTCATCCCACCTGGTGTCAGTCGGCTTCCCATCTCCAGCTGTCATCAGCGTCCCCCGCTTGACACCGTCCCCGCCGTGTCCATTGCCCCGTCTCCCTTTGGTCTCTCCTCCCAACACGGCTCCTGCCCCGCAAGAGCAGAACCCCACCCAGGGTTCCCTTTACCCCCGGCCTCCAGCCAGGAGGCCCCCTGCTCATGGAGCGCTCTTCTGGGGGTGGGCGGGGGCTGCGTGCTGCCGGACAGAGTGCACAGACCTAGGGCTCTTCCCTCCCTGGTCTCCCCTCCTGCCTGATAAACCTCCCTCTCCAGGTCTCACCGGAAACGGAGCCAGCCCAAGAAGCCGAAGCCCGAAGACCCCAAGTTCCCTGGGGAGGGTACGGCTGGGGCAGCGCTCCTAGAGGAGGCTGGGGGCAGCGTGAAGGAGGAGGCTGGGCCGGAGGTTGACCCCGAGGAGGAGGAGGAGGAGCCGCAGCCACTGCCACACGGCCGGGAGGCCGAGGGCGCAGAAGGTCAGTCCCTGCCGGGCCAGGCCTGGCACCGCTGTTTTCCCACCCCCGTGGGCATCTCCTAGAAGGAACCAGTGCCTGCTACAGCCAGAGTCCCCGTTTTGTAAGAATCTGATTCAGTGGCTTTCTTGCCAGGGTGGGGCATTTCGTGAAAATAGACATCGTAAGGTGGAGGCCGTAAGAAAAGTGCCTCCGTCCCCAGAATTGAGAAGAGCAGTTACGAGAGGCCAGGCGCAGTGGCTCCCACCTGTAATCCTAGCACTTTGGGAGGCCAAGGTGGCAGGATCACTTGAGTCCAGGAGTTTGAGACCCTGTCTCTACTTATGATATAAAAAAAATTTAACCAGGCTTGGTGGCTTGCACCTATAGTCCCAGCTACTTGGGAAGCTGAGGTGGGAGGTTGAGGCCGTAGTGAGCCGTGTTTGCACCTCTGCACTCCAACCTGGGCAACAGAGCAAGACCCAGTATCACAAAAATAATAATAATAATAAAAGACCAGGATGCTGTATATGGCCCAGATGCTGGAACGTGCCTGCAGCAGCCACAGCCACTTGTGGGCAGAGGGCTGGTCCTGACTGTGAGCTGGGGCCCCCGTCAGCAGGTCTCCCACCTGCCCTCGGGCCTCCCCACTCTCCCGGGGCTGGCAAGACAGGGGGCAGCCGCCTTCCCACAGGAGTGTGAACCAGCAGTTGTGAACGGGGTGCGGGGGGCCGGGAGGCAGTCTCAGAAACATTACCTTCCCCAGGGGGAGGTTTTGGCTGTGGAACTCCCACCTGTGAGTGTGTAAAGGTTCCTATTCCAGGGTTGACAGCATTTTGTTTCTGGTGACTGGGTTTTATCTTCTCAGTTTAGAGCTTTAGCTGCTTGGGAGTCTGTGCAAAGTGGCTGTTCCCAGCTAGGGCTCCCCGCTGGGAGCCCTTCCCTCTCCCACCCTTTCCAGGTGCCATGCAGGGAGCAGGTTTGTGGGGTGTGCTGGCCAGCCTGCCTCCCACCAAGGGCTGCCCCCAGCCACAGTGCCTGAGGCCCAGGTCATGGGGGCCACATTCGCCGGAGGGTCCTAGTCCTCAGTTTCCCTCTGTATGAGCCCAACATGACCTGGTCTGCCTCTGAGGTGTCAGGTCTCCAGGACGCGCTGGTGCCCAAGGTGAATATTGTCCTTGGAACATGGCAAGAGGCCCAGCTGTGGTGCCATTCAGCAGATGTGAGGTCCCTCCCACCTGCCAGGGGCAGCCGTGGGGTGCCTGATCTGTGACGATGGGGTCGTGGCCCTCGCAGTACTCCAGGAGGCAGGCACGCCCCTGCCCTCCCCATATACATGGGGCAGATATTGAGGGTCACAGTTTGCCAGTGCCTGTGGGCCTGAGGCAAGAAAAGTGAGCATCCCTGGGGGAAAGAGCAGAGGCCGGGGGTGAGTTTGCCCCTGACGGACCACTTACTCGGTGGGGTACGTGGGCCCTGCGTCTGTTCAGCACGCCTCAGGAGGGTCTGCCGGCCTAGAGAGGCAAGACGAGGACAGAAAAGGCATCGTGGGTAGAAGAGAAAAGCACAGCTGTCGTGGCACTGTTATTATGTAGCGACAATTCTCTACTGAGAAGCAGCAAGCAAGTCTACAGGCAGCCGCCTGGTGACTCGGGGATCGAGCGGAGCTGCCAGAGATGAGCGACAGGCACAGAAACCCAATCTCGCCCCTCATCTGCGAGCCGCTCGCAGCAAACATGGCTCCCAAAGATGCCCCTTATGGTGCTAGCAACCAGAAATAATGGATCTTAGAATAAACCTAACCAAAAAAATGATCTTTATGGAGAAAATTAAGAGACTTTTTTTGGAAATAAGAAAGAATTCCTAAATAAACAGAAGGACCTACCAGGTGTTAGGAGAGCTCTTAAGCGGACAACTAACGGCTTCCCCCACATTCTCTGCAGGTTCAGTGCAGCTCCATTTGGGATCCCAGCAGGGTTTGCTGATTTAAATGCAGGCGGATGAAAGCCCAAGGCCTGTCAAGAGGCTGGGGCCACCCTTCCAGAAGGCAGGGCTTGCCACAGAGCTTGCAGGACCCAAGCAAAGATGGCAAAAGGTCTAGGAATAGGAATCCCGGAGCAGTGGACTTGGTGTGAGACCTCAGTCCCCTCCCTCCCCCTGTCCACGCTGCGGCCTCTGTGAGTGCCCTGGGGCCGCTGAAATGAAGGACCATGACCTTGGTGGCGTAAAACAACACACGCTCCTTGTCTCACAGCTCTGGAGGCCACCAGTCTGACAGGCCTCACTGGGCTAAAATCAAGCTGTGGGCAGGGCTGCTTCCTCCTGGGGGGCTCCAGGGGAGAACCTGTTTCCTGCCTGTCTCAGTGTCTAGAGGCGCCCACATCTCTTGGCTCAGAGCCCCTTCCTCCTCCTTCACAGCCACAGTGCAGCCTCTTCCGGTCTCTCTCTGACTCTTACCCTCCTACCTTCTACCCGGTGAGGACCCTGGGTTCCCAGGTCTCCCAGATGCTCTCCCATGTCAGGGTCCTTCACTGAGTCCCACCTGAATATTCCTTCTGCCACGGGAGGGGACAGATTCCCAGGCTCCAGGGATAAGGATGCAGATGCCTTTGGGGTCATTCCTCTGCCTGCCACATGCTTAGGCATTTCTGTCAAAAGAGAACTGGCAAACTGGAAACACAAAGCAGGAAAGTATATAACCCAAGGCTAAGTGATTGTTTATTAAAAAGCACAAACTAGAAAAATAAAGATGAACAAATTCAGTGACTCTCAAATCCACTGCTGTTTATCAAAGGATGAACCTTTAAGAAAGTGAGAAGACAAGCCGATAAGTAGGGAAGACACTCGCCACCCGTCACCGACCAAGAGCAGATAAGAATGCCTGAGGACCAGGAGGGGCTCAGCCCCCCAAGGAAGAGGGCACCAGAAGAGGAGATCCCTTAGGCTAATGAGCCCAGCCTGCTCTGGGAAGCGCTGCAGACACGCTGCTGTGTGCTCCTCGGACCACCAGAGGTGGAAACACCCACCGTGCCCAGCCCTGGAAGCCGGTGCAGCGGGCAGCCCAGTCCCCTGTTGCCTGGGACCTGCGTGAGTCCGGCTGCATTGGAGATGGACCTGGCCTTATCCAGAGAAGTGGAGCATTTGCAAACTGCACACCCAGAGCTGCCCTCAGGGCACGTTTCCTGGAGAGACCCCCTGCTGGTGGGGCACTAGGACTGTGCAGATGCAGGGACAGGCAAACTAACCAACCTCCATCGATGGAGAGGGACGGGGAACCAGCGCCTCCTGTCACCCTCGTCTGCCCTGGAGGCATGAGCGCTGGAGGCCACTGCTCCACGCCCTGTGGCTCTCGGACACGACCTCGCGTGGCACGGGGCTTCTCATATGCTGTGCTCCGTTTGTTTAAAGTCCACAGATGGGGCGGCTGAAATGGCTGAAATGTACAATCTCACACCTGTGGAAGCGGGAAGGTCACGGTCCAGGTGTCAGCCGGGCTGGCCCATTCCGAGGACCCAGGAGGACCTCTCCCAGGCCCCTTTCCTGGGCTTGGAGGCAGCACCTTTGTGTTCCCGTGTTCTCCCGGAGTGTGTCTGTCCAGATTCCCCCCTTCCTAAGGACACTGGCCACGCTGGGCCTGGCCCGCCCCAAGGGTCTCATCATAACTCATTCCGTCTGCAGTGACGCCCTTCCCAAACAAGGTGGCACCCCAGGTCCGGGGGCTAGGACTGCAGCACCATTCAACAGCACAGGGACTCAGCTCTGCAGCAGGCGAGGGGCTTCCTGCAGGGCAGGAGCAGGCACAGGTGCCCATTTGTGTTGTCATCCTGCAGGGCCTGTGTCTACACTGCAGGTCCTCTGGGGTTTGGGAAATCCTCAGAAATAATGCAGACTCCAGCAGGCAAGCTGGGCGCCTGAGCATGGGTCGTGCTGGTAGAGGATAAGTTCCTGGGCTGGCTGCGGTAGCCAGGCCTCCTGTTTTCTGAGCAGGAGTCTGTGTTTGATTCTGGAGACGGTGAGCCCCAGGCGAGGTCGGCAGGGGAGTGGGGGATGGGCGCAGTTCAGGTTCTATTCCAAGGGGGACTGTGGGATGTCGCTGGAGGGACTGGCGTGGGACAGGGAGGTGGCTGAGCCGTGACCATTCTCCCCACAGGATGGGCTGGCAGGGGTGGGCTGGGCTTGGGCTGGGGTCCCTGGGGGTGGGGGGCTGCGTGGGCCACCTTGAGCTTGGACCTTGTGAAGCTGCCCTTCTCACGAGTCAGAACGTGCTGGGGGCTGTGTGTGGTCTCACAGGAGATGGGTGAGTTATGGGAAAACAAGCAGGCAGAGAAAGATCCAGGCTTGGGTCTGGGGACCCGGGCCCACCCAAGCCCACCCGTTAACTGCCCATGTGACCCTGAGCTGGGACACCGCCTTGATGGACCCTTCAGGAGGGCAGAGATAAGAGGACACGCATCCTCCCCAGGCCGGCGCGGTGGGGGAAATCGGGCAGGCTGCTGCCGCCGCCGCTGCCACCTGTGGGTTCAGGCAGCGAGGAAAGTGGCCCAGTCCTGGGAAGGCTTTTACAGAGTGGAGCTGGCTGGTCAGAGTCTGTCCTGGGTTCTCAGTGGGGCCTCCTGGGAGGGGTCACAAGGATCCCCCGTACCATGGGTGTCTTCCTCCCTCTTGAGCAGACTCTAGGGGCTGGCCAGCCTCTGGCTGGAGGAAGGGCGGCCACCAGCTCCTGTGACTTGTTTTACCCAACTGGCTAGCAAAGGACTGTGGCTTCTTTTCCTTTTCCTTTCCTTTCCTGATGGAGTTCCGCTCTGTCACCCAGGCTGGAGTGCAGTGACGCAATCTCAGCTCATGCAACCTCTACCTCCCAGGTTCAAACGATTCTCCTGCGTCAGCCTCCCAAGTAGCTGGGATTACAGGCGCCCGCCACCATGCCCTGCTAATTTTTGTATTTTTAGTACAGACAGGGTTTCACCATGTCGGTCAGAATGGTCTCCAACTCCTGACCTCAGGTGATCCACTTGCCTCAGCCTCCCAAGGTGCTGGGATTACAGGCCCGAGCCACTATGCCCAGCCTTCTTTTCTTTTCTTTTTTTTTGAAACCGAGTCTTGCTGTGTCCCCCAGGTTGGAGGGCAGTGGTGCAGTCACGGCTCACTGCAGCCTTGGTTTCCTGGGCTCAAGCAGTTCTCCCACCTCAGCCTCCTCAGTAGCTGGGACTGTGGACGTGCACCGCAACTCCGCTCATTTTTCAAAATTTTTAGTAGACACGGGGTCTCGCTATGTTGCCCAAGCTGCTCCCGAACTCCTGGGCTCCGCCTCAGCCTCCCAAAGTGCTGGGATTACAGGTATGAGCCACTGTGCCCAGCTTTCTTTTCATTAATGTGACTAACTGTTATTTACTAATCTTCCCAAGCCCACTGACGAGACAGCCACACCCTCCCCAGCCCCGGCGTTACCTGCTCTCACTTGGGCCTCACCATGGCCTTGGCCTCCAAGAGACTCAGGTTCAGGGAGGTCCTGAACCAGGGGGTCCTGGTTCTCCTCTGGTCTCCCCTCCCCATGCGTGGTCCTGGCTGGATGGGCGGCTTTCCTCCCCTGACAGTGGCAGTTGCCCGCTGGAGAGAAGCCTACACCGCGTGGGAGGGAGGGGAAACCAATGGCTCGTCCAGCTGCCTGGCGTAGGTGAGGCCCTGGCCTGGTCACTCACCATCCTGTTTAAAGATGTACAGGGCAACTCGCTCCCTCCCGAGATCCCCGGGGGTCCACACGCCCGGTGCAGTGGTCACGGTGCCAGGAGGCTGGGCCTGGTGCATCTCTGAGGCCTGTGGCTTCCACGGGTCTCTGAAGGGATCAGCCCCCACAGAAAGGCCAGGGACCAGCGAGGAGGGTTAGGGGCTACGTTGGTGGCACGTCAGGGTCTCTGCCCAGGGAGGGCTCAGGACTGGTGCTGCCCACCCCCCGCCCCCCGCCCTGGACACCCTTATCTCTGTTCCACGACAGAGACTCCTGGGAAGGACCCAATCTGGCAGGGGTGGGCGTTTTCTTGGACACAGCCGTTTTCCCGGGAGCCCGAAGTCCCAGGAGCCTCTGGACGAGAGGTTTATCTCGAGAGAGCCTCATAAATGCATGTTCACAGTCAGGGGCACGACAGGAAATGCATGCCACAGTGCTGCGGGAAAGATTTCCTAAAGCGGTTTCTGGTCCTCCTTGAATGCCAGTTTCACGCCCCTAAAAGCTATGACGCTGAGGCACCTTTCAGGGCCTAGCAGTGGGGTGTGGGGTTTTGTGTTTTCATATGGAACAAGCTGGGAAGGGGCCAGAACCTGTTGCTCACAGGGGCCAGGGGGCATCAGCATCGGGGAGGAAGCCCCTCAGGAGGAGAGGTGCCTGGGGGGCGGTTGAGAGGCTGCTTCCCAGTGGCTGCTGGTGTCCCCTATCCCATTCTTACTGGCTGCTTCAAGGTCTGGGAAGAGCGGCCGCCCTATTGCCCAGCGCTAGGAGGGACTAGCAGCCCCACCAGCCAGCCCTAACCCCAGAACCAAGCAGAAAGCAGGAAGGCGGCCTCGTCCACCTCTCCTGAGCCTCCGGGGAGGCCCCGCCTCCTGGAAGAAGGCCTGCAGTGCAGGACACACAGGGTCAGGGGGCAGAGCCAGGATGGGGACCCAGGAGGGCTGGCATAGTGCCGTCCTGCCTCCCAGAGGGTGGAAAGGCTGCGGTGAGTGGGGCAGCCAGCCCCCAGCCCTTCCCCTCCCCTCGCCCCGGAGTGCTGCTCTCAGGAGAGGCCTCGTGGCTGGTGACTGGTTTTAGAACACGGAAAGCAAAGGCTGCCATGTCTGGAGGGCGGCCCCAGCTCATAGTGAGGGGCTGTGAGCTCAGCCCGGGGACCCGCCAGCACATCCCAGCTGGGCCTCTGGGACCGTCAGGCGCACCCGGCTGCGGGTTCAGCACGGGAGGGTGGCAGTGTTGAAGGGGGTGGCCAGAGAGCCCCTGAGACCGGGGCTGGTTGGCCCAGGCATGGAAGCCAAGCACGAAACTTGAGGGAGGGGCCCCATAAGCCAGGCCGAAGCTGGTGAGTTGATCTCGGCAGCCTCGGAGCAGGAACAGAGTGGTGTCCTTGGAAATGGGTGGTTTCTTGCCCCCTCCACAGGGCAGCCTGGGCCTCGGGCCTGTCTTGGGGTTTGCTGGAGGCTCTGGTGGAAACCCCGGCGCTGGGGAGGAGTGGCCTCGCCACCAGGCAGGCTAGTGAGCCCTGGTGGTGGGGTTTCCGCTGTGACACCTTCCCTCCACCCAAAAAGAGTGCTAGCAGGGCCTCAGCTGGCTGCCCTCGGGGGCCTGGGTGCATCCTGGGCCCCATCTGTACCATGGTCCCTGCTCTGTCCTGAAGCCCCTCACCCGCTTCCCTCCCTCAGGCCAGGCAGGTGAGGGGCGTGCCAAGGTCCCTGTGGAGTGTAGTCCCCATGGCAGGGACAGAGCCCCAAGGAATGGCCCACAGCAAGGACAGAGCCCCGAGGAATGGCTGCGGGGTGTGCCGCCGTCTTTCAGGGTGTCCTTCCTAGCCTTGGGCATCTCCCTCTAACAGGGTCCCCTGTGTGTCTGCCCGGGCTTCACTGAGCCTGGGAGCCGACAGGGAGAGGGCTGGAAACTTGTTCTTGTGAGTTTGAGAATCCAGGGCACCAGCAGGTGCGGGCTATGCGTGGAGTGCGTTGAGGCTGCCGCCATTGTCATTCACTGCTGTCTCCAGACAGGGGATGGGGTGGCACTCATCAGCCGGGCACCTGAGGCTCAAATTATGTCCCACTTTGTCTCCCATGCCTGGTCCCTCCGGGAGACAGAACCAGGCAGCCAACCAGGGAGGGCTGTGGGGAAGCGGGACTTGGGGCCATCCCTGTCCTTGGAGGAGGAGGGAGAGAGCCCTACAGTGTGGCCCTTGGTGAGAGGACAGCCCCCGGGAGGCCTAGGGGACGATGGTGGCCTCAGCTCCCCACCCAGCCTTGCCTCCCGAGCAGAACCAGGGCCTGGGGCGGTCACACCAGCCGCCCCTCAGCTCCCAGGAGGCCCCGTTGGTCGGGGGAGGATGCCAGCCCCTTAGAGAGGCGGGGACTCCCCAGGGACCCTCTGAGCAGGCACCTGTGGTCTCGTGAGGACAGCCCGGCTCTGTGTCTCTGGCCCCACAGCCCTGGCTGGAGTCCCCTGTGCACAGAGCTGCCTGTTGTGTGTGAGGACAGCCCAGCTCTGTGTCCCTGGCCCCACAGCCCCGGCTGGAGTCTCCTGTGTGCGGAGCTACCTGTTGTGTGTGAGGACAGCCCGGCTCTGTGTCCCTGGCCCCCACAGCCCCGGCTGGAGTCCCCTGTGTGCGGAGCTGCCTGTTGTGTGTGAGGGGTGGGTGGGGGTGCCGGCTGGGGACTCTGATGAGTGTTTCCTCCTCGCCTCCTTCCCCAATTCCTCATGTGTGCACTGAGTGGCCCTGCAGCTGGAGGCCGTGAGGCTGTGTCCTGGCATCTTCCTCCCTCTCCTGAGACCATCGATGCCCCAGGTGGGGCCCTCCTGGGCCAGATCCCACGCCAGCCCCTGCCCTTGAAGTTGAACCCGGCTTGGGAAGCCGGCCCAGCAGTGGGGGGCCTGAGTCCCAGTCCCCGGTGAGGCTGGATGGGCACCGCAGCCTGCAGTCCTGAGTGAGGCTGGGCAGGCGCTATCATGGACGAAGGAATATTGGATTTCCTTAGGGGAACAAAGCTGTTTGTCCTCAAGTGCCTTTTACACACGCAGGACAGTGGCTTTCCTGACAGGCGCTCGGGGTGAGGCGTGCGGCCTCTGCAGCCTCCCCGGGCTGCTCCAGCTTCCAGCCCTGGTGAAGCTTCCGGCCCCTCCCCTCTGCATCTCCACGCCTCTGCTCCCAGCCTCCCAGGGAGGGGGTGCCTCCCCTCTGGCATCGGCAGGGAAAAAGTATTTCTTCCCACGCCAGCCTGTCTGCTGTGTCCAGTGTTTACCTCCCCTGGCCAGATAACAGCTGAGGGGCCAGATAACAGTGGAGGCGGGGGGCGGGGGGGGGGGTCATATAACAGCGGGGGGCCCGGATACCAGCGGAGGGGAAGACTGCGCTCCCTGCAAGGCCAGACAGGACCTGGGGGTGTTCCAGGCTCCCCTGCCGGGGTGGAGGTCAGGGAGGAGCCCGGCCAGTGCCCCCAGTGCCCCAGAATGCTCAGGACTAGCAGGGGTGGGGGCCAGGGCAGTGGCGGGGGCTGCCTTCACCTTATGGCTGCTCGCCTGTCCTTCTTGAGAAACAGGTGGGCGTGTGCCTGCCAAGGACACCGTGGGCGGTCCCCCAAGCCTGCAGATGGAGCTGGGTAGGGTGTGGGGAGGAGAGCTGGAGCAGGGAGGGCAGGGCCGCCTCCACTCCTGGGGGAGGCTGTGGGCTGGGGGCCCCTTGTGGGAGTGTGTGGGGCAGTGTGGCTTCCTCCTGGCTGCAGGGTCTGTTGGGGGAGGGTCCTCACTTGACCCTTACTGGGGTCAGTGTGGGTCAAGGGTTAAGTGTCACCCTCGGCCCTTGGGAGCCTCATTGCTGAGGGTCTCAGCGCTTACCACTGGTCCTGGCATCACGGACTGTGGAGCTGGGGGCAGCCCGTGGTGGGTTTTATAGCAAGTGGTGAGATGTGGGCGCTGTGCTCCAAACCAGACCCCGTTAAGTGCCACATGGTCAACAGTTTAGTGTGCAGAAATGAATTTCCTTCTCTTAATTTTTCCTTATTTTTCCAGCCTGTTGGGGGAGGTGGAGGTGGTGAAATGTTAGCAGTGACCAGTTCATCCTGATCTGCTTGGGACCTTCCAGTTTTAGCACTGAAAGCCCCACAGCCCAAGAATCCCTTGGATATCAACCACGGTTCCTCCTTCCAGAATGTCCCAAGAGCCTTAGGGCCTGGAGACACACAGGTGGGGGCCTGAGCCCCTGTCCCCCTCCTCCAGATGGAGCAGGCAGGGCCCCAGGGCCCCAGGGCTCACGGTGTTCTGGGGTCCACAGTGTGCTGTGCGGCCAGGCTGGTCTTCCTCGAGGACAGGGCTCCAAGTTGCCGTGCCACAACTTACCCTGAGTGCGGCGGCCCTCAGAGGGATTGCCCCGGCACGAGCTTCCCACAGCCCGACACAGAGCGCCGCTGGGCTCACATGGAGCTGTGTGCAGGGACAGGCCCTCCTGGGCACTCCAGGACAGAAACCTTTCCCAGCATCTAGAGGCCCCTGCATCCCTCAGCTCGAGTCCCTTCCTCTCCCTTCACAGGCACAGCGCAGCCTCTTCCAGTCTCTCTCTGACTCTCACCCTCCCGCCTCATCTTGTGAGGGCCTTGTGAGGACATCGGGCCTCTTGGATCATCTAGGATCACCTCCCATTTCACTCAGTCCCACCCACAGAGTCCCCTCTGCCAGAGTCCCCCATGTCCCTCTGTCATGTCCCACATCCACATGTCCAGGAGAGTTGGGACCCGCACGCTTCTGGGGGCTGTGATTCAGCCAGCCAGGCTGCTCATCCCAGTTTTATTTTATTTACTGCAAACCCGTCCTGGCCCCAAAGTAAAATGCCACCAAACACATGAGTCAACTGTCCCCTCCCTGTCACCTGTCAGGAAATCTCCCCATTGCTGGCCCCGGGGAGTTCCACGCGGAAGGGTGTCGGGCCCCACAGGCCCATCTGACGCTTCCTGGTTCGCTCATGTGACCGCCAGGTTGGGGTTCGTTGATTAAGATTTTGTGCGTTGTTCAAGGTTTTACTTTCGTCAAAAGCAAAACCTTAACGTTTCTACATCAACAGTAGAAATGTACGTAATTCGGATACACGAGAACACAAAAAGTGCTTCTCCCCCACCTCCACCGGGAAAGTGCCATTTGGTACGGCCCACCCAGGTGGGAGCCCAGAAGACAGAGCAGCCTCCCCTGGCTGGGTTTGGTGACGCGTCTCCTCACCTCCCGTGACCCCAGAAGGCACATAGAGCAACACCTGGTGGGTCCTCACAGGCCTTGGCAGGCAAGTGCCGCTGCTGCGCCTGCGTTGTGGGGAGACCAAGGCCTGGGGGTGCCTGGCCAGGTGCCCCTGCGGTGATCTGAGGTGGCCCGAAGCCTGTGTTCTCTGCCCACCCATGTTCGTGTGGCCTCTCTGGGTGGAAGGAGCCCTCGACCATCCCAGTCAAAGTTGGGGGATTTCTGGGGAGCGTGGGACCAGCACTTGAGCCCGGGTTCTCCTCCCTGACCTCCCTCTCCTCTTCCCACAGAGGACGGGAGGGGCAAGCTGCGGCCAACCAAGGCCAAGAGCGAGCGGAAGAAGAAGAGCTTCGGCCTGCTGCCCCCACAGCTGCCGCCCCCGCCTGCTCACTTCCCCTCAGAGGAGGCGCTGTGGCTGCCATCCCCACTGGAGCCCCCGGTGCTGGGCCCAGGCCCTGCAGCCATGGAGGAGAGCCCCCTGCCGGCACCCCTTAATGTCGTGCCCCCTGAGGTGCCCAGTGAGGAGCTAGAGGCCAAGCCTCGGCCCATCATCCCCATGCTGTACGTGGTGCCGCGGCCGGGCAAGGCAGCCTTCAACCAGGAGCACGTGTCCTGCCAGCAGGCCTTTGAGCACTTTGCCCAGAAGGGTCCGACCTGGAAGGAACCAGTTTCCCCCATGGAGCTGACGGGGCCAGAGGACGGTGCAGCCAGCAGTGGGGCAGGTCGCATGGAGACCAAAGCCCGGGCCGGAGAGGGGCAGGTGGGGTGGAGCGGGGGAGGCAGGGAGGAGGGGGGCAGGTGGGGTGGGGCAGGGGAGGAGGGGGCAGGTGGGGCACAGGGGAGCTGGTGGCGGGGGAGGGGGCAGGGAGGAGGGGACAGGAGGGCTGACTGCTGGTTTCACAGGGAACTGTGGCTCTTCTCACAGGGTAGGTGGGGTGTCTGTACTTAGAGAACAGAGGAGCCCTGTGGTTCTTTGCTGGGACAGTCACCCCAGGAGAGGAGACTCAGGCCTCAGGCACGCCGAGCCCCTGTGTGGCTCCGAGGGAGCCCCACCCAGGGGTCTGTAGCGGGGCCCTCACTACAGCCTGTTGTGTGTTTCAGGCACCGTCCACATTTTCCAAATTGAAGATGGAGATCAAGAAGAGCCGGCGCCATCCCCTGGGCCGGCCGCCCACCCGGTCCCCACTGTCGGTGGTGAAGCAGGAGGCCTCAAGTGACGAGGGTGAGTGGGGGGTCCCCAGGTCGGCTCTCATCAGCCCTGCTCCGCGCTCTGCTGCTGCTGGAGGGGGGGCCTGGCTCCCCTGCGGCTTCCTTCCCCCACTTCCTGGGTCTCCTCCCCTGAACCCAGGCCTTTCTGTGGCTCTGCCGTAGCGACAGGCTGTCACTGGGGCAGGTGGTCGTGCGGGGAGGCAGCTGCTGTTAGAGATGCTCGGCTCTGCTCTGCTGGCTGGGCTGCCCATGATGGGCGGTTCAGGGCTGGGGAGCTTGTACCTCCCCATGGAAGATTCCTCCCAGGGCTGAGCACAGGCCTCTCCAGGACTTGGAGAGGTTGGAACAAAAGGCTCCCGCGAAGCTTTGAGTGGGAGGGGAGGAGATGGAATCTTCGATTTAACCCTCAGCCGAGAGCTGCTGTCTTGTGTGCAGAAGTCCTGCTAAGCCAGTTTTTCAACTTCTGCTTCGGCCTTTCATTGGGGATGCATGTAGAATCTGAAAATGGTCTGGATGGCGTCTTTCATCCTGCATGCAATTGGAGGGGTGGGGAGAGGAGGGTTCTAGAAGCGCGTGGGATCACAGGGCGGGAGCTCCCAGGAGTGGAGGAATCGGCACGGGGACAGAGGAATGACCAGGGGCCCCCGCGGGCTGGCTTGGGAAGGGGTCTTGCCTTCTACCCAGGTATCCTTCCAGAAGGCATCTCTGGGGCCTCCGTGGACTCCCCCACTCCCCACACCCCACTGTGACCCTTTGGTGAGACCGGAGCATTTGCCTGTGAGACCATCACGGCCCCAGAACCCCAGGCATTCTGGGGTTGTGAGTGACAGACGCAGCCAGTGGCTCTGTTCTCATCCCCAGGGCCTCGGGGCCGCTTAGGGCCTTCCCTGGGCTCCGCTGGCGGTACTGTCTGGTTTGGGTTTTCAGAGGAGTCTTGGCCTAAGGGCTTCCTGAGTCCACCATGGGAGACCTGGGCCTCCACCTCGGGGAGCCTGCCCTGCCCTGCCCTGCCCTCCTCTAGGTGAACCAGGGGCAGTGCCACAGCTGGGCTGATCCCAGGACCCCAGGCTCCCCTTTAGGTTGGGCTGAGGATTGGGCCACAGGAGTGGGCACCCCACTTCCTGGGGACAGCACCCCTGTGTCCACAGGAGATGCAGGGAGGGGACGTGGGGAGATTGGGGTGCGGCAGCTGGCAATGGAGGCCATTAGAGTTCAATGGGAACAGGCAACAGGTGGGAGAGAGACCGCCGCGGCTTCTCAGCAGCAGACCTGCCTTCCGGGAGAGTGTCCCCGTCACGCAGCTCTTCCTGGGGCGGGCTGCCTTGGCTTCCTAGCCCTGGTCACGGCCCCTCCTGACTCCCTGTCGCACTCCTCTGGCACCTCCCTTGAGTTCAGTGAGTCTGTGCCCACCTAAGACAGGAAGGACAGTGTCTCTGAGTCTCGGCTGGTCACTGCCGACGCCCCCACTCAGACTCAGACCCCAGGACGGGTGTAGGGCAGCCGGGGCAGGGCTGGGCACTGAGTTTGGCCAGTCCTTGGCCCAGAAGGCCCTGGGTGAGTGGACGGCTCTGGATGTCCAGGGAGAACCAGGTGTTGGGGGAGGGGCTCAGAGGAACCATGTTTGGGGGCTCTGGCCTCAGGTGGCAGTCAGCCGAGACAGACGTGTCCCCCTCCTGTTGATGGGATGGGACGCTGCAGTGTCAGCTTGATGGGCATTGTGGAGAATGGGGCAGCCAGGAGGCAGGTGGAGGGGGAGCTATGGGCCAGGGACCCTGTGGGCAGCCAGGGCTGTAGACCCGGGGCCATCCCCTGGGCAGTTGGGGTGATTCCTTGGACGAGTTTTTAGGGGGCTCAAGTGTCTCTCTCCCTCTCCCCTCTGTTCTTCTAGAGGCATCCCCTTTCTCCGGGGAGGAAGATGTGAGTGACCCGGACGCCTTGAGGCCGCTGCTGTCTCTGCAGTGGAAGAACAGGGCGGCCAGCTTCCAGGCCGAGAGGAAGTTCAACGCAGCGGCTGCGCGCACGGAGCCCTACTGCGCCATCTGCACGCTCTTCTACCCCTACTGCCAGGTGGGCAGGCGGGCCTCACGGGTCCCAGAGAACCCCAGGCAGGGGCGGTGGGAGAGGGCGAGGGACCGGGCACCCCACACGCCTCCCTCTCTCACGCAGGGCAGGGTGTTGGCCAGCACCCCGAGTTGTGAGGGCTTGTTCCTGACAGCCGTAGGCAGAGCCTGGTCTCTGGGTTTTATTGGAATGAAGCTTACTAACGTGCCCATGTGCAACATGAGCCATGGTGGATGGGGCAGAGGGAGGCTGCGGAGGCTCGGGGTCACTGCCCTCAGGGAGCGCCCGTGTCTGGTGGGCGCTGAGATGGGCCGGGTGGTGTGGGAGTGCAGTGAAGGCCCAGGTACACCACCTGGGTGGCCGGGCGGGGCTCCCGCAAACCCTGGCCTGTCTAGCTGAGCTGGGCACCTGGCTAAGGTCCTGTTTCTGGTGCTCTTTCCATGCTGGCCTCGCCTGTCCTCTGCACCCAGATGGGGAGCTGGCCTCTGCCCACGGCCATCCCAGGCATCAGCACCCAGCCCAGCCGTTTTCCTCGGATCTCTTAGATCCCCCCTTCTCTCTTCCCCTGGGCATGCAGCCTCCCCAGGACAGGACCTGGCCACATGCTTTGCACTCCCAGCTCCTAGCCCCATGCCAAGCATGTCCAGGCATCAGCAGAGCTGCCCTGGGTTGGGGACGTCACCCCCCAGGCCTGTGCGCCGGCCGGGTCTGGGTGGACAGAGCCAGGGAGAGTGCTGTGCCGAGGGTGGTGAGCCTGTCTTGGGGCTCTGCTGCTGGGAGCTGGATTTAGTGCTCTGGTTCCTGAGACAAACAAGACCTGACAGCCGACACCGTCTCCAGGCACTTGCTGTCCTTTGTGAGGCCAGAGAGGCTGCTGGGAGCCACAGGGCCTGGAATGCCACTTCAGACATGCGTCTTCCTAATTCCCCTTGCCAGGCAGAGTGTGGAGACTCGTTCATCACACACCACCCCCAGCATACCCCAGCGCCAGGGGCCACCCAGCACCAGGGGCCACACAGGCCAGCCTGAGCTCTGTGTCTGGATGCAACCCTCATGGGAAGGTCTTCGGCGGGTTGGGGACAGGGTCAGACAGTGTTTGGGGATCCTGACTTTCTGGAGGAGTGAGAAGAGGGGCCGAGGTGGCTCTGGCCATCTCCCCGACCTCCCCCTCCAGAGCCAGGGGGTGTCGAAGCCTGGGGCAGGTGCCCTGAGAGAGGTCCGCGCCGCCCGCCCGCCTGCCCCACACATGGCTCTGTCCCCTGAAGGTCGCCTCTCCCCTACAGGCCCTACAGACTGAGAAGGAGGCACCCATAGCCTCCCTCGGAGAGGGCTGCCCGGCCACATTACCCTCCAAAAGCCGTCAGAAGACCCGACCGCTCATCCCTGAGATGTGCTTCACCTCTGGCGGTGAGAACACGGAGCCGCTGCCTGCCAACTCCTACATCGGCGACGACGGGACCAGCCCCCTGATCGCCTGCGGCAAGTGCTGCCTGCAGGTCCATGCCAGTGAGTGCCACTGTGGGGCCCAGAGGAGCTGCGCCCTCCTTCAGGGTGTTGGTGGGGGTGCCGGTGGGGGCTCCATCCTCCCCTGCGGAGGGCCACACCGGCCCCTCTCCCCAGGCTGCACTTTCAGGGCCAGGGCAGGGGCCTCCCCCGGTGACTTCCTGCAATTTCTGACTTTCTCATCCTTCCCGTTGTGGTCCCACCATCTAGAGCAGGGGGAAAGGCTGTGGCCATGGAAGGGCTGGATGACCGCATGCCACCCTGGGGCAGGACAGGGCCTCCACCGCCCCCAGCATCCAGAAGATGCCAGTGCAGGCCCAGGTGCTGGCCTCTGGTGCCAGCCTCTGCGGAGGAAGCCTCTGCTCCAAGGGGCACTGGGCTCATCCCACCCTGTCCCTGACACCCAGAAGCTCACCCTAGGGCCAGAGCAAGAAATGGGCCAGGCACCCCGTCTCTCCGCAGGCTGTGTTCCCTGAGAATGGCTGTCTCTGCCAAGCAGCCTTTGGGGGCAAACATCCCTGCCCTTGACCTTGGCCCAGGCAGGGTTCCTCCTCACTGGCCCTCTGGACAGTTCTGCCGAGTCTTCTCCAAGGCCTGGGAGGCGACAGGAGGAACTCAGGCAGCCGCTACGCCTGTGATTTGTGGCTGTGGTTGAAACTGATGGTCACAGTGAGATTGCAGCGTGGTCAGGGCGTCTGATTTATCTCTGCTCTCAGGGACCCCTCCCCAGTCCTGAGGCTCGACCATGGTCACAGACAAGAAAATGGATGTCTGTCTCTTTCCCACGCACGGGGGGGCGGTGGCAGGAATTGGACTTTCAGGGAAGGAGGAGGGCTCTCTGGAGACGTTTAATTTTCTGTGCCCCTGGCAGCCATAGATCTGTGTCGGTTTCCTCCTGGCGGTGGCCTGCCTGGGGGCTCGCGTTGTCTCCTGGCTGGGAGGCTCTTCACTCTGCTTTGCTGGGCCTGGGTTTGAGATGTGCCCCCGGGGCAGATGGGCTCCCTGGGGGAAGGGTTGCCGAGGGTCCCAGGCCTGCCACAGCCGGGCCGCCCCAGCCAGGCTACCCCAGCAGACGCCCCCACCCCCAGCCGTGCCCACCACCCTGCTGCTCTGGAGGCAGTGAGGTCCCCGCCCCCAGCCTCTTCAGTGGGCCATCAGCACTGGCAGAGAGCCCCTTCCACACTGGGGGCAGTGATCCCCAGCAGAGGCAGAGCCCTGGGGGGCAGGCGGCACCCCTGCCCTCGCTCTGGGGGCATGATTCGGCCTTTTGTGCCCTTTCCCCATTTCCAGACCCAGGGCCACATCCCACAGTGAGTCTCCCTTGCGGCTTTGGCCTTTCTGGACATAGCAGGAGGAGCTGCTGTTGGGGGTGCAGACACCCAACAAGGAGGGGCCCTCAAGACACCACCAGGCTGAGCGCGGCAGACCCAGCTGGAGCTCAGGGTCCCTGCTTCCCCTCCTGCGTCCTCTTTCCACACAAGTAGCTTCCAGACCTTTCTCTCGCTCCACATGCAGTGGCCTGGATTGAAGCTCAGAGGGTGGGAACAGCACGCACCCTGAATGCTGCAGCTGCGTGCGGAGGCCTCGTCACTCCACATACGGACACTGGCCCCCAAGTTACCCGGCCCCTCCCCCTGAGTTTCACTCGGCTCCCCAAGTCTCACCTGCCCCCCAGATCTCAGCCAGCCCCCGCTGTCTTCCAGGTTGCTATGGCATCCGTCCCGAGCTGGTCAATGAAGGCTGGACGTGTTCCCGGTGCGCGGCCCACGCCTGGACTGCGGTAACTCGCTCCCCGCAGCGGGGGTGGTGCTCTGAGAGGCCTGGGCCCCGGCCCCACTCCAGTGGGGTGACTTTGGGGCGTAGTCTCCCCTCCGTGGGCCTGGGTTCCTTCACCTCTGCCCTGAGGGGGTGGAACCCAAGGGATTCCCACCCGTCACTTTGGTGGCTGCTAGGTTGAAATATAAGGGCCGTGGGCTGGGGACGGTTGGCAGATCAGGCCCCAAGCAGTGTGTGGGGAGCCTGCTCCGAGCCCTGCTCATCCAGGGCTGTCTGGTCTCCACAGGAGTGCTGCCTGTGCAACCTGCGAGGAGGTGCGCTGCAGATGACCACCGATAGGAGGTGGGTGGCACCGCGCGTTGGGGCTGGAGGGCCGGAGGGGAGCCTGCCCTGGGCTGAGGCTCTGCAGGGTGTGACCCCAGTGCCTAGGGGTTGACCATCACCTCCACATAACCGCCCTGTGTCATGGATGGGGTGGCCAGGGCTGAGGAGGAGCATACGCCTGCACCGACCTTCCTGAAGTTCCCCAGGCCCTGACCCAGCCGACAGCCACATCACGCCCAGCCCCTCTGTGACCAGCCCAGGTCCTCAGAGGCGCACCTGACCCCGCTGCACCTGCCCTCCCAGGTGGATCCACGTGATCTGTGCCATCGCAGTCCCCGAGGCGCGCTTCCTGAACGTGATTGAGCGCCACCCTGTGGACATCAGCGCCATCCCCGAGCAGCGGTGGAAGCTGGTAGGTCCTTGCGGTCGAGGCCCACCCTGCCCGTGCCTCTAGGGCTGCCGGCCATGCTCGGCTCCCCACCTGCGCGATCTGAAGCGGTCTTTCCTCCAAGCTCTGCGTCTCCATGGGGGTGGTGGGCAGCTTTCAGGAAGCCAGTGATCCCGACTTCAGCAGGTGTGTTATTTTTTGAATCCTTCCCCGAGGTGCAAGGTACAAAAATCAGAAGGCATCAAGGGTGGCAGAGATAAGCAGGCCCCGTCAGGTGTGGCCTTGGGGGCATCCTCTGCAGAATCGAGCACCCCATGCAGTTTCCACCTTCCCACAAAAGCAGAGGCACCGCACGTGCCCCGACACAACCGGGCTGTCTGATCTTTGCTGTTTTTCTAATAATTATAACAAGCCTGGGCAACACGATGAGACCCCATCTCTATAAAAAAAATAAAAAACACTAGCTGGGCGTGGTGGCACACACCTGTGGTCCCAGCTACTCGGGAGGCTGAGGTGGGAGGATCGCCTGAGCCCGGGATACCCAGGCTGCAGTGAGCTGTGATGGCACCATTACACTGCAGCCTAGACAACAGAGCCAGGCACTGTCTCAAAAAAAAACAAACAATTGTAACAATGCTTAGCGTGAGATCTGCCCTCTTAAGAAGCATCTGAGGTTCAGTACAGCATTCACCACGGGCCCAGTGGTGGGCAGCAGGGCTCTGCGGCCCGCTCACCCGTCCTGTATAACTGACACTTCACACGTGCTAAGCAGCAGCTCCCTCCGCCCACCCCAGCACCCAGCACTCTGCTTCTGTGTGTTTGCCTGTGTTATAGACCCCACGTGAGTGGGATTGTACAGTCTTTATTCTTCTGCGACCGGCTTCTTTCTTAAGAGACAGGGTCTCTCACTCTGTTACCCAGGCTGGAGTGCAGTGGTGTGATCACAGCTCTCTGCAGCCTCAAACTCCTGGGCTCAAGCGATCATCCCGCCTCAGCCTCCTGAGTAGCTGGGACCACAAGCACGTGCCAAAAAGTTAGGTTAACTCCCAATTTTTTTTTAAAAGATGGGGTCTCACTATGTTGCCCAGGCTGGTTTGGAACTCCTGGCCTTGAGATCTTCCTGCCTTGGCCTCCTGGGTAGCTGGGATTACAGGCGCGAGTGGTGTCTTTCATTTGGCATAGTTTCCTCAAGGTTCATCCACATTCATTCAACCCAAATATGGCAGGAGTTCCTTCTTTTCCTGGCTCAGTGATGTGCCACCATGTGGATGGACGACGTTGTGTTGATCCGGGCACCCGCCGATGTCTCTGCCTTCAGGCTGTTGTGGGTTGCGCCGCAGCGGATGTGGGAGTGTGGTTGTGGTTTGGAGATTCTGATGTCATTTCCTGTGGATACAGACCCAGCAGTGGGCTTGCTGGACCGTCGGGCAGCTCTGTTTTTAGCACTGGAGGAAACTGCTCTCCCTTGCGGCTGGACGGACTCCCATCCGCACCCCCCGGGTGCAGGGCTTTCCCCTTCCCCTCGTCCTCACTCACACCTACCTTTGACTTTTTTGTAGCAGCCGCCCTAGCAGGTGCGAGGTGGTCTCGCTATGGTTTGATTTGTGTTCTCCTGGCGGTCAGTGACGCTGGGCATCTTTGCACAGTCCTGTTGGCCATCTGCATGCCGTCTTTGGAGAAACGTCTGTTCTGCTCCTTCGCCCATTCCGTGCCTGGGTTGCTTGGCCTTTTGTGGTTGAGTTGGAGGATCTCTGCTGCTCCACTCTTGGTGCACATTGAGGCCCCCCGTAGATGCGCGCAGCCACCTTGGGCGTAGCGGGGCCTCATCGTGGGGGCTTGTGAAGCTTCCTCCTGCTCTCAGCAATGATGGCCCCCCTTTGGGGAACCCCTTGGAGCCACAGGGCAGTCAGGAGTGGTCAGTGCTGGCCACCAGCTGGCTGTGCACTTGGGACAGATTCCTCGACCTCTCTGTGCCTCGGCCGTCCCTTCTGTGCTGTGGGGTTGCCACAGTCCCCGCCATGCAGGGTTGCAGTGGTGTGAGCTGGGCCCACTCCCTAAAGCATGGACCACCCTGTCTGAGCACTAGCAGCTGCTCAGGGCTTGTCAAATCTGCAGCCTCGCTCCCCCAGGCCCCCAGTGTCACCTACTGCATTTGATCCACACAGTGAGAGCCTGTGGGGTCATCCTGCACTGTCTGTTCTGCAGGTGAGGAGCCTGGGGCCTGGAGGGGCTTGGCCGATCATGGCCTGGGCTGCAGCCCTGCAGGGCTGTCTGCTGCACACCCTGTAGCCCACCTGCGCACAAGGCACTTGGGGCTGTCCACGCCTGCTGGAAAATGACACTCAGCTGGCCCTTTAAATCAGCTTCCTGCAGAGCCTTGGGACCTGGCCCAGAAAGAAGATGAGGAGGCCAGGCCTGGTGGCTCATGCCTGTAATCCCAGCACTTTGGGAGGCCGAGGCGGGTCGATCTCCTGAGGTCAGGAGTTCGAGACCAGCCTGGCCAACATATGAAACCCCGTCTCTACTGAAAATGCAAAACTTAGCTCTGCATGGCGGGACGTGCCTGTGATCCCAGCTACTCGGGAGACTAAGGCGGGAGAATTGCTTGAACCTGGGCGGCGGAGGTTGCAGTGAGCTGAGATTGCGCCACTGCACTCCAGCCTGGGCGACAGAGTAAGACTCTGTCTCAAAAAAAAAAAGATGAGGAGAGCAAAATGCAGATGTTGCTGGGGCCGCGTCCCCACTAAGGGCTGTGCATGTGGCAGCGCTGATGGGGAGGACGCATTTGTCCCTGTGCACTCCGGCCTCTGCACACGTGTCTCGTGGGCCCCTGGAGGCTGGGCCCGCAGCCAGTAGCACCCAGCAGCGTCCTGCCTGCTTTTCCTGCCTGGTTTATCTTCCCAGCCGCGGACACAGTGCCTGGTGTTGACATTCAGGCTTGCGTGGAGGTGGGGCTGGAAGCAGACAGATCAGTCTGGCAGGGTGGGTCTGCTGGGGAGACCACAAGGGTGGGACTGATGCCGGCCACAAAGCCCGGGCTCCCATGCACTGGTGCGAGGTGCCCACGAGCCCGGCGGGCTTGGATGCCATGCTTGGAGCCCACAGGTGCTGGGCCACCTGGGCAGGGCTGTGCAGGCAGTCACAGAGGCTCATCTGGAAGGGGAGCCCTCTTTCCTTGTTCGTGGAGTGGAGTGTGCAGTGGGTCACGCCGGCCTGGCCGGGCACGGCCAGGCGATTAGGAAGCCGGCAGCCCGCGGGTGATGCTTCCGAGGCACCAGTGACTCAGTCCACAAACGTGGGCGTAAAAGGCCTCATGATTCAGGTGGAGTGATGGTGCGATGCGTGGTGCAGTGATAAGTCCTCCTGCCCGACGCCTTATGGATCATCTGACATTTCCAGAACGCAGCCTCTTCATTACCGGTGCTTGTAACGATGAATTAAAAATCCTTTTACACGAGGCCCGCTTGTACTGCTTAATGGGGCTTTGCAAGGAGGCGGCGGTTAATTCCTGCTCGCCCAACCGCCCAGCCACCTTCGCGGGCCACGGGCAGGCTGCAGGCATGGGGCACTCACTCCTGGTTACCCATCCGTCAGTTTGTCTCCAGGACTTCTCCAGCCACCGGCTCAGGGCTCCAGGCAGTCCTGGTGAGTCAGGGGGCTCCGGCTGGCCGCCCGCCTGGGCCAAGTTATCACCACGTTCTCAAGGCCGTGCTGCTGAGAAGCTTCTCACCTACCGGCTGGGCAGGTTCCTGGCAGCAGGCAAAAGCACCGGGAGCTCCCTGGAGGATCTGGGAGGTCTGGGAGGGGCTTGGGATGGGGGGAGGCGCCTCCAGGGCAGCAGGAGGGGTGGGCAGTTGCACCAGCTCTCTCCACTGCCCACAGTCCTGCCTGGAGGGGTAGGGCTCGGTCAGGAGGGAGGGGCTCTCTGCTCCTCAGGGGTTGGGGTTGTTTGCGAAAGCAGGTTGGTGGACAGCCACTGCGCCTCAGTGTGTGACAGGCTGAGGACACAGCTTCATGGGTGGTACCTAGCGGTGACCACCTGCTTCCTCCAGGCCGTGGTGCTCTGCAGACCTCTGAAGCCCACCCGCGTCGTCCTCACAGCCCTGTGGCCTCCGAGGAAGGACACCGAGCCGGGAACTTCGAACCAAACACCAGTGCCTGGGCCCTTCCAGGCCCCCCACGGGCCGTAGACCCTGACTCCCCGGCACACACTGGCCTGGGCCAGGCCAGCACTGGATGTGGGTCTTCAAACTGCGGCTCCCAGGAAGGGAGGTGACGGCCAAGAACGCCTGCCCGACCTCCTGTGGCCACAGCGCGTGGCGTGACTGGACCTCGCCTTAGTAGGGGTGGCTCTGGGCAACCTCGGCCCCAGGCACAGCTCCTGACAAATGGTCCCATGGGTCCGGGGGCACGCTTTTCACAACGTGGAGATGCAGGGTCATGGGCTGCCTGCTACCACGAGGCGGAAGGGGATGGTGCTGGGCACCAGCCTGCCCCGGGGCTGGGTTTCTCCTGGGCCTGGGCCGAGGGGTGGAGGCCTGTGGGTGACGTGTTCAAGACGGCTCAGCAACCCCACCTGACAGTGTCCAGGTGGGGCCTCTCCCCCACCCCCAGGCTCCCCAGGGAGCACAGCCTCCACTCCTACACACTGGCTACTCTGCCGGAGGGGGAGGCCGTGCTGGAGTGATGCCTGGCGCGTGTTGTGTGATGGGAGAATTGGGTATTTACAGTTTAATAACGAGATCTCGATGCCGTCGATCGGCCCTGCTCCAGGCCCTTGGCTTATCTGGCTTTTGAACGTGGTTTATAGAGTGGTGACGGTGCCGCTTATTAAATGCTTAGCTGGGCCTGGCGTGGGTGTGGCGGCCGCCAGGGCCCCGGTGCTGGCTCGGGCAGGTGTTGCAGCGGGAGCCTCAAGGGATGAAAGGTGGCTCTCCGGTGCTCCCTCCTCACCAAGGAGGCTTCTCTCAGGGCTTCTTATTAAAAGCCGATGTAAAGGACCTGCGCGATGGCTCACGCCTGTAATCCCAGCACTTTAGGAGGTCAAGGCGGGAGGATCCCTTGAGCTCAGGAGTTTGAGAGCAGCCTGGACAATATAGCAAGACTCCACCTCTACAAAAGTCAAAAATTAGCCAGGCATGATGGTTGCACCTGTGGTCCCAGCTACTCAGGAGGCTGAGGTGGGAGGATTGCTTGAGCCCAGGAGTTGGAGACCGCAGTGAGCTATGATCGCGCCGTGTGCTCCAGCCTGGGTGACAGAGCACCCAGGCTCAAAAAAAAAAAGAAAAAATCCTTCACTCTAACCATTCTAAAGTGTGCCACTCTATGTTTTTTAGTACATTCTGAGTTGTGCCAACTATCACACCGTCTAATTCCAGAACAGTTCATCACCCCATGAAGAATGGGCCCCATTACCAGTCGCTCCCATCCCCTACCCTGTGCCCACGAGCCCACTTCCTGTGTCTGGGGGTGGCCTGCCCTGGGGGTTGCAGAACACGGGGTCACATGGTCTGCACTCACCTCTGTGTCCCCAGGGCACATCTCTGTCGCCACGTGGTTCCTCTGGCTGAGCGACACCACGTGGGGCTCTTCAGTGTCTGTCCCAGCAGTCAGTGACACGCAGGGGGACGGGAGAGGACTCCCCGGGGGCTGATCTGTCCCAGCAGCCAGTGACATGCAGGGGGGATGGGAGAGGACTCCCCAGAGGCTGAGCAGCAGGAGGCTGGGTCAGTGGGTCTGGAGGGCTTGGCCAGGGAGGCTGCGGGCTCTGGGCTGTGGAGGGGAACCCTCACTGGGCAGAGCGCAGGGCCACTCCCGCGATGCCTCCCTTGAAGGCTGTGCCGGGAGGGGCCGGGGACTCCGTTCCAGGGTCCCTAGGGAAGCTCGAGCCCCATGCCCCTGCCTGTGTCCCCATCCCCAGAAATGCGTGTACTGCCGGAAGCGGATGAAGAAGGTGTCAGGTGCCTGTATCCAGTGCTCCTACGAGCACTGCTCCACGTCCTTCCACGTGACCTGCGCCCACGCCGCAGGCGTGCTCATGGAGCCGGACGACTGGCCCTATGTGGTCTCCATCACCTGCCTCAAGCACAAGTCGGGGGGTCACGCTGTGAGTGCCTGCCCGCCTCCTTGCCCCCAGCCCCTGGCTCCCGCCCCCACCGACACCCGCGCTGACCGCCCCCCACACCCTCCGCACCCTCCCAGGTCCAACTCCTGAGGGCCGTGTCCCTAGGCCAGGTGGTCATCACCAAGAACCGCAACGGGCTGTACTACCGCTGTCGCGTCATCGGTGCCGCCTCGCAGACCTGCTACGAAGTGAACTTCGACGATGGCTCCTACAGCGACAACCTGTACCCTGAGAGCATCACGGTGAGCTGTGGGGTGGGGCAGGGGGCGGGGGGAGGCTGGGAGCACAGCGACAACCTGTACCCTGAGAGCATCACGGTGAGCTGTGGGGGTGGGCGGGGGGAAGCTAGGAGTGGCCTGACTCCAGATCCCTTCATGGGGTCCCCTTGTCCTCAGGGCCCCAGGCCCCTTCAGGAAAAGCACCGCTCACTGTTCAGCAGAAAGCGACCCGCAGCCAGGGCTCTGCACCGCCCCGCTACCCCGGGCCCCCGCAGCCAGCTTTGGGGCTTCAGGCAGAGAACCTCACTTGCCAGCGCGGAGAGGGTCTAAAACCCAGCGACAGCCCCCAGCGTAGTGTGGCCAGGACCTCACCTCCCACCTCTTCTCCCTGCAGAGTAGGGACTGTGTCCAGCTGGGACCCCCTTCCGAGGGGGAGCTGGTGGAGCTCCGGTGGACTGACGGCAACCTCTACAAGGCCAAGTTCATCTCCTCCGTCACCAGCCACATCTACCAGGTAAGCGGGGGATCTGGCAGCCGCGCCATGCCTTCACCAAGCTCTTCTTGTAGGTGCGGGGACAGGAGGATCACACCCCTGGCCCAGGTGCCTTTGCCTGGGGCACTGGCGGGTGTGGGCCATGGTTAGTGAGGCCCGCAGGACCCAGCTGAGCCTTGGCTCGCCTGCCTAAGTTAGAAGCACAGGGCTTGTTTGTTTTCAAAGCTAAAGGGGCCTCCACTCGGGTGACATTTCCCTTTGAGACACCTTCTCAATTTTTCTTAACATAAGTTCTCCCTTTCACCGTTTTGGAGTGTACAGCTCAGTACCCCTGGGTTTTTTTTTTTTTAATCAAATTGGTAGTGAGTTTCTTCTCATGACTGTGGAAGAGGAATTATTTAAAAGTGTGGAATCTTAGACCGGGCACGGTGGCTCACCCCTGTAATCCCAACATTTTGGGAGGCCGAGGCAGGTGGATCACTTGAGGTCAGGAGTTCAAGACCAGCCTGGCCAACATGGTGAAACCCTGTCTCTACTAAAAATACAAAAATTAGCTGGGCTTAGTGACAGGCACCTGTAGTCCCAGCTGCTCGGGAGGCTGAGGCAGGAGAATCGCTTGAACCCGGGAGGCAGAGTTTGCAGTGAGCCGAGATCACACCACTGCACTCCACACTCCAGCCTGGGTGACAGAGCGAGACTCAGCCTCAAAAAATTAATTAATTAATTAAATGAAATAAAAGCGTGGAATTTTAGGAGGAGAGCTGCCCATATCCCAGCAGCTAGAAGCGTCGCTCCCAAGCCTGGTGCCGCACTTCCCTTGAGCTCCCCTGGCTCGAGGCTCCCGGGAGGAGGCGACAGCTTGTCTCTTCCAGTCACATCTGCCCCATTTGAGGAGTGGAAACGAAGCCTCACTCAGAGTCACCTCGGGTCACGCGGCGGGTCAGTCGGTGACGTCCTGGCCTTAGCTCGCACCCCGAGCCCCAAGTTCTTTGTAAACATCGGAGTTCAGCTCTTTACCACGTCGGTTAAGGTGAAAACCCTAACCCCTGCGATGGTCCCGAGGCCGCATTAAGGAAAGGTCCCGCCCGCATCTCCCGCCAGACCTGAATGAACTGAAATGATCGAGTGTCACTGAGTGCCCAGGACCACCCCTACCCCCCGCCGTGCAGGCCGGCCCCGCCCGGTCACCACTCTCGGACCTGTCACTGAGCATCCAGGACCCCCACCCCCGGCCGTGCAGGCCGACCCCGCCCAGTCACCACTCTCAACCTGTCACTGAGCATCCAGGACCGCCTTGCCATGCAGGCCGGCCCCGCCCGGTCACTGCTCTCGGACCTGTCACTGAGCATCCAGGACCCCCCCCGCTCCGCCGTGCAGGCCGGCCCCGCCCAGTCACCACTCTCGACCTGTCACTGAGCATCCAGGACCTCCTTGCCATGCAGGCTGGCCCCACCCGGTCACCACTCTCGGACCTTGCAGGGTCTTCCCTGCTCCTTGAGAAGGGGGTGGTTTCGGGGACAAGCCATCCCCATGGCCAGCCCTGTGGGAGCTACCACCAATCTCCAGACACTGTCACTTCTGCTCAGCTCCAGCCTTCCCTGGGGGGAGGCTCAGGCAGCTCCTTGGACTTCCTGATTGTGTTAGGCTTAGACCAAGGGCAAGGTCGATTTGCACCCCTTAGCCCATCCCAGGCAGCAGCAAAAGAGAATAATCCCTGCTCAGCTCACCTGGCAGCTCTTCTCTCAGGTTATGAGTTTCAGGTGGGCTGGGCGCGGTGGTTCACACCTGTAATCCCAGCACTTTGGGAGGCCGAGGCAGGAGGATCACTTGAGGCTAAGAGTTCGAGACCAGCCTGGGCAACAAAGTGAGACCCCCCCCCCCCCCACAATCTCTACAAAAAATTTTAAAAATTAGCTGGGCATGGTAGTGTGCGCGTGTAGTCTCAGCTACTCGGGATGCTGAGGTGGGAGGATCGCTTGAACCCAGGAGGTCGAGGATGCAGTGAGCTGTAATTGAGCCACTGTACTCCAGCTTGGGTGACACTGAGACCCTGTCTCCAAAAAAAAAAAAAAAAAAAAAAACAAAAACTCTGCTGGGAAGCATTCTGGTGCATCTAGTACACGGCAGGATGGGTGGGGTCTGTGTGACAGTGACAACACCCTCCGCCTGCCCCGGGAGCCTCAGAGTCTGGCCCAGGCAGGTCGGACTGGACTCCGAGGAGGGGAGGTTGAGCCAGGACCTCTAGAACACCATGGAAGTTTACTCCAGAGATCAGGCTGAGCATGTGCCAGTCTCTCTCCCTCCCTCAAGAAACCTATGGAGATGATAGAAAACACACAAATAGATAAATAGCCATTTATAACGTACACAGAGCACAACTGTGGTGGAAAATGACAAGGGAGACTCAGGGTGGGTCTTGACAACATCCCACAGAAGAGGCGCTGACGCAGCCCCCACCCTGGTGGCGAAGGAAGTGCTCCCAGGATCATTGTCATGTCACCAGAGCCCAGGCAGGGCCAGCGTCAGGGGAGCTCACCTCAAGGAAGCCGAGCTAATGAGACAGTCAGAAATGAGATGATGCCAGCCAGGCGCGGGGGCTCATGCTGTGATCGCAGCACTGTGGGAGGCTGAGGTGGGCAGAGCGCTTGAGCACAGGGGTTCGAGACCAGCCTGGGCAACGCAGCAAAACCCTGTCTCTACAAAAAAACAAAATTAGCTGGGCATGGTGGCACGCACCTTTAGTCCCAGCTACTTGGGAAGCTGAGGTGGGAGGATCACTTGAGCCTGGGAGGTTGAGGATTCAGTGATCCAAGATCGCGCCACTGCACTCCAACCCGGGTGATGAAACAAAGCCCTGTCTCAAAAAAAAAAAAAAAAAAAAGTCACATTTCCAGAGTGCTCGGGGCGGGGGGGCAGAGGCTGTGGAATCAGGAATGGGTGGTATCGGAAGCCAGCAAGCCACCGTGGAGTGCGCGCCTGCCTGCGAGGTGGCGGCAGGACCTCGATCACACAATCATGCAAACGCCCGCTGTGTGGTGGCCAAGGAGATGGGGCTGGAGCTGCCTGCCCCGAGGCCAAGGGCCTGGTCAGCGGGGCGGGTGGCTGGGGTGGGCCCAGGTGACAGCGAGGCCGAGTGGCTGAGACCCCCACATGCCAAGGCCCCAAGAGCCTCCCCGCCTGTCCGGAACACTTGGAACATGTTTCCCTCGCACGTGACCCCTCGAGATGCTTCTGAGACGTGCCGGGCAAGACGTCACCACAGGGAGCCCGGGCCGAGGCGCACGCCTCTGATTTCCTGTAGCTGCAAGTATATCCAGTTTTCTCAAAATGTTAAAAAGCAAACGCCGCCTTCAGAACTCGCCCTGTGGAGACTCATAGTGAAAGCACGTTCCAGGGAGGCCACTGGGAGGAAATCAGCCTGAGTCTCCAGTCAGCCCCCAGTTCCCAAATGACCCAGGCACAGAAGTTTCCCTGGAGCCCACTTGGACCCGGCAGTGTGAGCGCCATCCTCCTAGGCGGTTCTGTGCTCCTGAGAATCTGGGGCGGATCTCTGCAGTCTTCCTGACCCAGAAACCTGAGCCAGTTTCCACTGAGTTTCTAGAACGCGCCTTCCCCTCCTGGCAAGGCTGCTTCTGTGCCTGACTGAATCACTGTGTGCCACGCCTGCCAGAAGCCGAGAGGCCGAGTCGGGGCCGGGGAGCTGGGGAAAGGCAGCAGGTGGGCCCTGGGACTCCTGCAGTGGGAGCTCTAAAACCCGCTGCTGCCCGTGGCAAAGCGGAGCCTCCAAAACCCGCTGCTGCCCTTGGCAAAGCGGAGCCTCCAAAACCCGCTGCTGCCCGTGGCAAAGCGGAGCCTGGCCACGCCGGGGGTGGAAATCGCTTTCCGGGGTGCTGGGGCTCCGACACTAGGACTCCTTCACCCAGACTCTCCTCACCGGACAGACGCTGGGAAGGGGCCTTCTCCCGGTGGCTTTCCTCTACAAATGAGATGGGTAGGACGGGGCAGAGGGTGGCACCCATGTCCTTGGTTCCCAGCAGGCTCCTCCACACATCCCCGAGAGATGTGTGCTGTCGTCCCAGGACACGGCCCAGAGGCAACCGGCCATCTGAGAGTCCACACTGGGCACTCCCAGCCCTGCTTCTCCCGCCGCCTGCGCCGGCCAAGAGGCATGTGGAACCCACAGCAGACACTTGCTCCAGGGCCTACGTCTGTCTCCATCCCCACCCATCCCTGGAGGAGTCACAGGGACCGGCAGGCTTGGCTGCCCCAAGGCAGGGTCTGTGCTCCCTTGGAGAGGGAGGTGCTGCGATCCCGGGCCCCCCCGCTGCACACTACGTGGGGCGTCTAGCCCCAGACACACTTCCGCGATGGTCTTACTGTGTGACTTTTATACACTTCCGTCATGGTCTTAGTGTGTGACTTTTGTACGCTTCTGTGACAGTCTTATGTGTGCATTTTGTTCATTTTGAGACGGGGTCTTGATCTGTCACCCAGCCTGGAGTGCAGTGACATAATTAGAGCTCACTACAGCCTCCACCTCAGCCTCCTGGGTAGCTGGGACCACAGGCACATGCCACCATGCCTGGCTTGTTTTGAGTTTTTAAATGTGAAAAGCGAGCCCTCTGATATGGGAACCTTCTCCCCCTGGAGCAGAACGGCAGTCAGGCCCAGGGAGTGACCCCAGCACCTTTCCTGGCTTGGGAACACGGCGCCCATCGCAGTTATGAGGTGGGCCTGGAGACACGCCCCTCCCTGGCACGCCCTTCATGGGACAGTGTTGTGTTGCCAGAGGGCCCCTGAGAGAGTCTCCGCGAGCCTGAGCTGGCACCAAGCTTAACGAGGAGGAAGCGGGGTGCTCCCAGTGCCCCTCACCAGTCAGGCATCTGCCACCTGGAACAAGGCACCAGCTGGGGAGGCTGGAAGGGGGTGATTTTTCTCTGAGTTGAAGGGAAGAGGTGACTGAGCTGTTTTCAGAGGGCCACACATAAGCCAGGGACCCTGTCCTTCACCTTCTGGTTGGGGGCTCCTGAGCTCAGGCCCCTGAGTCCGCCTGTCCGGCCTCCCCTGCCTCCCAGGCCCTGTTAGGGCACTGCGCCTCCTGCCTGGCTCTGTGTCCACCAGTGACTCTGTCACCTTGTCCTGGGGCTGTGTCTTCATGGAGACAGATGTCTTTTGAGCTGGGAGGAGGTGAGGGGTGAGTGTTCTGTCTCCATGTGGAAGCTGCGGGGCCCTGCCTCTGCCCCAGGCTGTCCCGTCCTCCGTCATCCTTGCCCCGTGGTACGGGACCCTCAGCCTGATCCTTGTTTGCTGCAGGCGGTGTCAGAGGTGGACATGAGCTTCAGCTTGGCTGCATGTGGCCTCTAGCGGGCCCCATGCACCCAAGGGGGCTGGCCTCCCAGCTCTTGAGGCCGTGGCCTGCCTGGAGCACCTGCCATCCTGGCAGTGCCAGGCCCCTGAGAGCCACATCCCCCTGCAGGTGGAGTTTGAGGACGGGTCCCAGCTGACGGTGAAGCGTGGGGACATCTTCACCCTGGAGGAGGAGCTGCCCAAGAGGGTCCGCTCTCGGCTGGTGAGTGCGCGAGGCTGGCCTGGTGGCTCCGGGTGACTCAGGGAGCCCGTCTGGGACGAGGCAGGGCACAGACTGCGTCTTCCAATGGCGTGGACCACCCCCTCCTCTTGCACCTCTGCTGGAAGGGGGTCCCGGCCGCCCCAGCACAGCTGGTCCATGGGCTCCTGGCAGGAGACCCTTCCTTTGCCTTGACTCCTGGTGCCGCAGCTCCTGGGCGATGCCGTTAATGTGGGGAGGGAGGGTTGGAGAAGCCCCGCCCCTCCCCTTATCACGAATGCAGAACAGACCCTCCCAGCCCCCTGTGCCCTGCAGGACCCGCGCTGCCCCACCCTGCACAGGGCGGCCTCTGAACCATCACAGGTTTTGGGGTACAGGCGAAGTACGGGCACCCCAGTTGTCGGCTTAAAAAAGCTTTTCCTGAGGTTTTTCCTTATTAAACGGGAGCCTGAGTCCTGGAGGCAGCGGAGGCAGCTCCAGCTTTCGCTCCCCCAGCCCTCATGGGCTTCCTTTATTCTCTTTCTAATCGAGAGGCGAGAGGCGAGGTGTTGAGGGGCAGAGCCCGTGGGGGAGGTTCCTGGTCCTGGCCACAGCTGCTCAGCCGCAGAGGGGTCCCTCGGAAAACAGATGGGAGCTGCCAGATGGACGGTCCCAGCCCCAGCCAGGGTGCCCACCCCACTAGGGGGCCAGAGGCTGGGGCCGAGTGCAGGGCCCCTCTGCTGGCAGGATCAGGGGTTTACAAACACGAAAACAGGAGCCTGCTGAGCAGCCCCCACAGCAATCAGGGCTCTGTGTCCAGCCAGCTCCTCTCAGAGGCCATAGACAGTGGCTGGGGCCGCACAGAGTGTCTCCACCGTGCTAACCACTGTGCTTCCGCTCTCCCGCAGTCACTGAGCACGGGGGCACCGCAGGAGCCCGCCTTCTCGGGGGAGGAGGCCAAGGCCGCCAAGCGCCCGCGTGTGGGCACCCCGCTTGCCACGGAGGACTCCGGGCGGAGCCAGGACTACGTGGCCTTCGTGGAGAGCCTCCTGCAGGTGCAGGGCCGGCCCGGAGCCCCCTTCTAGGACAGCTGGCCGCTCAGGCGACCCTCAGCCCGGCGGGGAGGCCATGGCATGCCCCGGGCGTTCGCTTGCTGTGAATTCCTGTCCTCGTGTCCCCGACCCCCGAGAGGCCACCTCCAAGCCGCGGGTGCCCCCTAGGGCGACAGGAGCCAGCGGGACGCCGCACGCGGCCCCAGACTCAGGGAGCAGGGCCAGGCGGGCTCGGGGGCCGGCCAGGGGAGCACCCCACTCAACTACTCAGAATTTTAAACCATGTAAGCTCTCTTCTTCTCGAAAAGGTGCTACTGCAATGCCCTACTGAGCAACCTTTGAGATTGTCACTTCTGTACATAAACCACCTTTGTGAGGCTCTTTCTATAAATACATATTGTTTAAAAAAAAGCAAGAAAAAAAGGAAAACAAAGGAAAATATCCCCAAAGTTGTTTTCTAGATTTGTGGCTTTAAGAAAAACAAAACAAAACAAACACATTGTTTTTCTCAGAACCAGGATTCTCTGAGAGGTCAGAGCATCTCGCTGTTTTTTTGTTGTTGTTTTAAAATATTATGATTTGGCTACAGACCAGGCAGGGAAAGAGACCCGGTAATTGGAGGGTGAGCCTCGGGGGGGGGGCAGGACGCCCCGGTTTCGGCACAGCCCGGTCACTCACGGCCTCGCTCTCGCCTCACCCCGGCTCCTGGGCTTTGATGGTCTGGTGCCAGTGCCTGTGCCCACTCTGTGCCTGCTGGGAGGAGGCCCAGGCTCTCTGGTGGCCGCCCCTGTGCACCTGGCCAGGGGAAGCCCGGGGGTCTGGGGCCTCCCTCCGTCTGCGCCCACCTTTGCAGAATAAACTCTCTCCTGGGGTTTGTCTATCTTTGTTTCTCTCACCTGAGAGAAACGCAGGTGTTCCAGAGGCTTCCTTGCAGACAAAGCACCCCTGCACCTCCTATGGCTCAGGATGAGGGAGGCCCCCAGGCCCTTCTGGTTGGTAGTGAGTGTGGACAGCTTCCCAGCTCTTCGGGTACAACCCTGAGCAGGTCGGGGGACACAGGGCCGAGGCAGGCCTTCGGGGCCCCTTTCGCCTGCTTCCGGGCAGGGACGAGGCCTGGTGTCCTCGCTCCACCCACCCACGCTGCTGTCACCTGAGGGGAATCTGCTTCTTAGGAGTGGGTTGAGCTGATAGAGAAAAAACGGCCTTCAGCCCAGGCTGGGAAGCGCCTTCTCCAGGTGCCTCTCCCTCACCAGCTCTGCACCCCTCTGGGGAGCCTTCCCCACCTTAGCTGTCTCCTGCCCCAGGGAGGGATGGAGGAGATAATTTGCTTATATTAAAAACAAAAAATGGCTGAGGCAGGAGTTTGGGACCAGCCTGGGCTATATAGCAAGACCCCATCACTACAAATTTTTTACAAATTAGCTAGGTGTGGTGGTGCGCACCTGTGGTCCCAGCTACTCGGGAGGCTGTGGTGGGAGGATTGCTTGAGTCCAGGAGGTTGAGGCTGCAGTCAGCTCAGATTGCACCACTGCACTCCAGCCTGGGCAACAGAGCGAGACCCTGTCTCCAAAAAAAAAAAAAAGCAATGTTTATATTATAAAAGAGTGTCCTAACAGTCCCCGGGCTAGAGAGGACTAAGGAAAACAGAGAGAGTGTTACGCAGGAGCAAGCCTTTCATTTCCTTGGTGGGGGAGGGGGGCGGTTGCCCTGGAGAGGGCCGGGGTCGGGGAGGTTGGGGGGTGTCAGCCAAAACGTGGAGGTGTCCCTCTGCACGCAGCCCTCGCCCGGCGTGGCGCTGACACTGTATTCTTATGTTGTTTGAAAATGCTATTTATATTGTAAAGAAGCGGGCGGGTGCCCCTGCTGCCCTTGTCCCTTGGGGGTCACACCCATCCCCTGGTGGGCTCCTGGGCGGCCTGCGCAGATGGGCCACAGAAGGGCAGGCCGGAGCTGCACACTCTCCCCACGAAGGTATCTCTGTGTCTTACTCTGTGCAAAGACGCGGCAAAACCCAGTGCCCTGGTTTTTCCCCACCCGAGATGAAGGATACGCTGTATTTTTTGCCTAATGTCCCTGCCTCTAGGTTCATAATGAATTAAAGGTTCATGAACGCTGCGAAACCCCGTTCCATGCCCCGGCAAGTGTCTTCATTTCTGAGCCTGTGCTAGGGGGACTGATGTTGGGGCCTCCCTGGGGTGGGGCTGCCTGCGCCCCGTTCTCCCGGGAGAAGGTTTGCTTCCAGAGCTGGATGTCCCTCCCCTCCCACTCTCCAGGGTCCCCAACACACCCCCACACACCCAGGGGCAGCTGTCATGCCCCTCATGCTGTGGCCAGGCTGGGTGGCTGGGGCAGCGGACCCCATGATTCCCCCTCAGTTCTCTGGAGGCCTGGCCCTGGCCTCACTCGTCCCAGCCAGCAGCTGCCCTGTCCCTGTCCCCCATCCGGTTCTGGTTACATCTGAGCCCCGAGAGCATTGCTTGTGGTGGTGGTGGCTGGCAGACGTGCTAGGCGCTGGGGCTCACGGCCCTGGATGGCCACTGGGACCCAGCAGTCCTGGCCTGGGTCACTCAGTGCCCAGCCCCACCAGGCCTGGAGTCGGCAGAGGGGACACGGGAGACCTGAGCCTCCCTCAGGGAGGTGACCCTCCTGTGCCTGGTGTGCGGCAAGAACATGAAGAGGCCCCTGTGGCTGGAGCAGAGGGAGGCAGGGGAGAGGGGGAGGAGGGGAGGCAGGGTGTGCAGGCCCTTGTGGGTCTCGGGAAGGACTTGGGCTTTGACCCTGAGGGAGGTGGGAGCCATGGAGGGGTGTGGGCAGGGGAGGGATGGGCCCTGACTCAGGTGCTCACAGGCGCCCTCTGGTGATTGCTGTGGGGAGGAGACGGGGTAAGGGCAGAAGCTAGGGACCAGGGCAGGGGTCAGGTGTAGTGAGAAGTGGGTGGATTCTGGATGCATTTTCAGTGCAGAGCCAATAGGATTCGCAGATCACCCGAGCCCCTGGAAGGAGGCGTTGAGCTGGGAGGGGGTTGGATTTGAACACCAGACGTCCAGGTGAAGGTGCTGGGTCTGGGGAGGCCGCCCCAAGGCAGGTGGTCAGGGGCCGTCAGCTGGCAGGTGTTGGAACTAGAGGATGAAGTCACCTGCAGGGAGTGGGTGGAGGTGGGGTGGGACCCAGGACTGGGCCCTGGGTGTCTGTGGTGGGACGGGGGCTGGGACACCCGGAGAAACCCAGGCCCAGCAGCCAGGGCTCGGGGGGACGCGGCCAGGCCATCCCTCCCTGGGCCCCGGCGTTCCCTCTGCAGAAGGAGTGTCCACCTGCCTGCTGTGCCGAGGGCTTGTGTCCTGAACAGAGGGTGCCCTTGACAAAAAAGCTTCATCCACCTACTGCCCCCAGCACCGACTCTCCTTTCTGGGGCCCTCTCGCCTCCAGCATCCTCTCAACACCACCAGGACTCAGTTCCCCTGTGTGCTGCAGGTGGGGAGGAGGGATCCAGGGTGGGGTGAAGCCCGTGGCCACAGGAGGCTTGGATGCTCCACCTGCTGCGATTTCCCGACAAAGACTGTGTCCCTCTTTTCTCCATCTCGAAAGCCTTCCCTGTGTGCGGGGACAGACACAGCCTGAAACCAAAGCCTCTGGGGTGCCCCCCCGCCCGCCCTAGGCCCTGTGAGGTCAGCGTCCCTGGGCCTCCCCAAGCTGGCAGAGGGGCCGTGGCAGGAGCAGGTGGTGCCTGCAGCGTCCTTTCCATTGTTCTCCAAAACGCTCTAAAACGGGAAGGCTATTTGGGACAGGCTGTTGCTGTCTGCCGAGCAGAGTAAAGATGAGTGGATAGGTCCCCAAAAGTGTCACCGTGCGGAGCCGATGAGGTCTGCACTCGGGCCGGGGTGGGTGCCCCGATGCCGAGGTCTCGTATCTCGGGGCAGTGTGTGAGACTCCGTAATCAGCACCTGAGTTTGGTTCATTTATTCCAGCTGCAATATTTTTATGCAACCTCTGTGCCAGGCTCTGGGGACACTGCTGAGGAAAAGGGAGAAAAAAACAAAAATACATCTTTAATGCATGCTCTGAAAGACAAGAACGGGGTCAGAGATGGAGGGTAAGTGGTGGTCGGTCACAGACCACCAGAAGGGTGTCAGTGGACACCCTTTTTATTAAAGAGGGACTCTTAAACAGATATGACCCCCCGATGGGACGGCAGATCAGAGAATCAGGCTGTGGGTACATTGTGTTGAGAGCAGGCACCTTCTAGGGCAAGGCCTGGCAACCTACAGCCCTCCGACCAAATGCAGCCCGCCACCTGTTTTTGTCAATAAAGTTTTGTTGGCACATGGACATGCCCATTCATTTACATATGACAGCTGGCGCCCCGACAACAGCAGACCTGAAGAGTCACTGCAGAGCCCACCTGGCCTGCAAAGCCCAATGTATTTAGAATCTGGCCCTTTATGGGAAAGAATGTGCTCAGCCCTGACTTAGAAGAAGTGGGTGGTGGCAGCCTCCACCCTTTCTCTATGCCTGCAACAAAATGTTCTCCCATAGGGACAGCCCCTCAGTGCCCAGGTCCACCTTGGCTCTCAAAGGCTTCCAGTTAGATGGACAGTGGGCAGCCAACTGCCCCCGCTGCCACCCGCAGGAGCGGGTGGAAAAAGGAGGCTTTGACCAGGGACTTTGATTCATCTGTCCATCTGTCCGACCCACTGGGGGTGCTCTGCCCTCTACCCTTGGGCCACCTGCTGCCCAAGTGCTGGGGTCGGGGAGAGCCTGACACACTCAGCCTCCGACCCCTGCAGCTGCCCCCCACCAACCCCACCATTCACGGATTGGGCTCCCTCCCCTTCTGCAATGGAGAGTTCTGGCTCCCACTCCACCACGGTCAAGATTCACGGCTCCCATGACGGTGCTAAGATCCCGATGTGTCTCCCTCTCTCCCTGTGGCCACCGCCCCGACTCCTCCCACAACCTCAAATTGTCCCCTGGCCCCATGAGGCAGCTCTGGAACTCAAGAGTCACAGCCTGGTCATGATCATCAGGGAGAGAAGCTCCCAGGGACTCCCAGGGCCCCAGAGACGAGGCACAGAACACAAGGAAGCTGGGGGACACGCCTGGGGCCTTGGCACCAGCCCGGGGAGGGTTATTTACGGATTAGATTTACTCAGCGCTGCTGCTCTGTTAATGGAGAATATAAAAATTATTTGCTGCTGCAGGCAGTGTGAGGGGTGACAGCAGCCAGGAGGCGGGCGGAAGAGTGGGTGGCTCAGGGCATCCGTGCCTCCCAGCTAACTCGGTGACAGGGACAAATGCCTCCCTTCCCTGCAGCTTCCAGACGGAGGAGGGGGTCCTTGTGGCCACGACAGCCTCCACCCCCACCAGCCCCAGCAGCTGCTTTAGAAACACAAAGCCAGCCATGTACGGTGGCTCACGCCTATAATCCCAGCACTTTGGGAGGCTGAGGTGGGCGGATCACCTGAGTTCAGGAGTTTGAGACCAGCCTGGGCAACATGGAGAAACCCCGTTTCTACTAAAAATACAAAAAATTAGCCAGGCATGGTGGTGAGTGCCTGTAATCCCAGCTACTCGGGAGGCTGAGGCAGGAGAATCACTAGAAGCCAGGAGGCAGAGGTTGCAGTGAGCCAAGCGCGTGCCATTTCACTCCAGCCTGGACAACAAGAGCAAGACTCCATCTCAAAAAAAAAAAAAAAAAAAATAGAAAAAAAGAAACACAAAGCCCAAAGTATGGGTGCCAAACGGGAAGTTTGAAAAGAGTCTCTGTGTCCCCCACCCCTTCCCAGGGCCCCTGCTGGTTCCAGAACATCTGTTGCCCTCTCACCCCCGTACTCATCAGAGTGCTGCAAACTGGGGAGCTTCAACAGAGAATTATCCTCTCCCAGCCCTGGAGGCCAGAAGTCTGAGATCAAGGTGTCAGCAGGGCCACGCCCCCTCCCAAGAGTCCAGGGGGATCCTTCCCCACCTCTTCCAGCTTCTGGTGGCCCCAGGTGTTCCTGGGCTTGTGGCCAAATCACTGCAGTCTCTGCCTCTGGGGTTACACACCCGTCTCCTCCTCTTCTCCATGTCTGCTGTGTGTGTCTAATATAAGGACACTTGTAATGGGACTTAGGGTCCACCCACATAGTCCAGGATGATCTCCAAATCTCAAGATCCTTAATTACATCTGCACAGGCACTCTTCAAGGAAAAGGTCACAGCCCAGGGTTCTGGAGAAGAAGATGTGGACAGATCTTTTTGGGGGCCATTAGTCAAGCCACCACCGCAATGTCTGTTTCCCCATCACAGATCAATAGCCCCATCCCTAATTGCCTGGTCCTGTGACTGCCACCTCCCACCTCCCCTGAGAGGGTAAGGATATGGTCTTGGTCCCCAGGAAGTGGCAGGGGGTTCTGTGAGTCCTGGTGTTGGTGGAAGTCAGGCTCTGGAAGGACCCCGGAGGCGAAGGCTCTGGAGGGAGGACCCGACGGAAGGACAGGCATGAACTTGGCATGTGGATTCCCCATGGGTGGGTCTGAGAGCCATGGAGGATGATGTAGCAACTAGTACAGATGGCCCAGGACTTAGCCCAGGGTGGTCATGGCTGTCTCCCACACTCACCAACCGTGATCTTATGTCCAGAGTTGGTTCCTTCTGGTGGGTGCATGGTCTCGCTGACTTCAAGAATGAAGCCGCAGGCTGGGCGCAGTGGCTCAGGCCTGTAATCCCAGCACTTTGGGAGGCCGAGGCGGGCAGATCACAAGTTCAGGAGATTGAGACCATCCTGGCTAACACAGTGAAACCCCATCTCTGCTAAAAAATACAAAAAAAATTAGCCAGGTGTGGTGGCAGGCGCCTGTAGTCCCAGCTGCTCGGGAGGCTGAGGCAGGAGAATGGTGTGAACCTGGGAGGTGGATCTTGCAGTAAGCCGAGATCGCACCACTGCACTCCAGCCTGGGCGACAGAGCAAGACTGTGTCTCAAAAAAAATAATAAAATTAAAAAATGTTAAAATAAGAATGAAGCCGCGGACCTTCACAGTGAGTGTTACAGCTCTTAAAGGTGTCTTGGACCCAAAGAGTGAGGAGCAAGATTTATTGTGAAGAGCAAAAGAACAAAGCTTCCACAGCGTGGAAGGGGACCCGAGTGGGTTGCCGCTGCTGCCTGGGCTGGCCAATTTTTTCCCTTATTTGTCCCTGCCCATGTCCTGCTGATTGGTCCATTTTACAGAGTGCTGATTGATCCATTTTACAGAGTGCTGATTGGTGCATTTTACAAACCTCTAGCTACAGAGCGCTGATTGGTGCATTTTTACAGAGTGCTGATTGGTGCATTTTACAAACCTCTTGTAAGACAGAAAAGTTCTCCAAGTTCCCACTCAACCCAGGAAGTCCAGCTGACTTCATCTCTCAATCCCCCATCTAAACAGGACACCCCAACTGCTGTTGGGAATTGGGCGATGACCGCTCTAGCTACTTCCTGCTGGATAGGGGCGAAGAAGGGGCCCTGCAGTTGTGGTGTCCTCCAGAGGGGAACTCTTTAGGCCAGTGAAAGGGCCAGCAGGTTGGTCCAGGGGTCCTCAGTAGAAGTTGTTAGTTGAGCTCATTTGGGGTTCCATTTGTAAGATCATCTGTAGCTTGATGGCCTCAATCCTAGAGGAAACAAATTTGACAAGGAGGTTAAAAATACAGGGCCTGAAGGCAAGTAATAGCAAGATGGCTGTCACGGGACCTAGAAAGGGGAAAAGCCATGTCGCCCAATTCCAGAGGTTGTTATAAGAGTTTGAAAGGCATTGTCTGATTTCAGAAGCCTTTTCCTGTAAACGCCAGGCGGCGTCTCCTATTATCCCTGACTGATTAGCGGAAAAACAATGCTCTTCCCCTAAGAAGGTGCAAAATCCTCCTTTCTCAGCAGTGAGGAGGTCTAGACCTTGACGGTTTTGGAGTCACTGATGCCAAAGAGTCTATTTGGGATTGTAGAGTAAGGATAGATTTTGTTATTTCTTGCAAACTGTCTGAGAAATCCTTTGAGAGTGTGTGGTAGTAGGCTAGTGAAGTGGACAAACCTGCTATTCTGATTCCTGTAGCAGTGGCCATTCCTAACCCTGTAAGTAGGGGTATTAGTTGTATGGCTCTGTGCTGATGGAGTTGAGCTTTGAGGGGCACTGATAGGGTCTGATTTCCACAAGATTAGAAGTTAGGATAATACATGTTACACTGTTGTTAACTTTTAGCAAACTTTACTTTTGTTGAAAACCTTGTAAGTCTGGGATTTCAATTATTCTTTGCTATTAATAAGACCTCGTTCAGTCCATATTAACTTAGAATTGGTATAGATGGCTCCTTCCTGATTCTGTAAGTACTTTAAGGTTTGGCTGAGTGCAAACAGCTCTCACGTTTGAGCAGACCAATTATTAGGCAATTTTAATACCCATTGTATCTTTTTCCCTTAATCACCGGAGAGGAACCATCTATTGTCCTGTCCTGAAGGGAGTACCTTCTAGGTCTGGTCAGACCTTTGTATGGTAATTAGGATTTAGATCCCCTATTAGGAAACCTGCTGGGTTAAGGATTTTTGATAGGAAAGCTACAGGTTGTCAGTGGCCTCAGTGCTTTCAGGCTACGCCCCTGTTTACGCTGACAACAAGGTGGTATTGGAGTGTTACAGGGTCATGGAGAAGACCTCCAATTAACAATTGTAGGTTTTAAATTTACCCAGGCTTTTAAAGGCATAGGGTACACTGTTTTTTTCTTTACTACTTCTATCTCTTTCTTTCTCTCTTTCCTTCTCTCTTTGACTTTCTGTCTCTCTCTCTCTTTCTCTCTCTCTCTGACTCCCTCTTTGTCTCTGTCTCTTCCTCTCTTTCTCTCTTTCCTTCTTTCTTTGACTTTCTGTCTTTCCCCTCTCTCTCTCTCTCTTTCTCTCTTTGACTTTCTGTCTCTCTCTTTCTGTCTCTCTCTGACTCCCTCTTTGTCTCTGTCTCTTCCTCTCTTTCTCTCTTTCCTTCTTTCTTTGACTTTCTGTCTTTCCCCTCTCTCTCTTTCTTTCTTTCTTTGACTTTCTGTCTCTCTCTCTTTCCTCTCTGCTGGTCTTTCCCTGCCTCTCCTTCCCCTTTTTGATAGCTTCAGCAGTGTAAGACTGCCACCTCCTTGGGGTTTTTGCACTGCATGCAATAGCTCCATGATTTCCTTGTGGTATTTAATGGGGGTTCCCCCAGAGGTTAGGAACTCCTTTTCTTTCCATATTGCAGCATGGGCATGTAGGATTAGATAAACATACTCGCTATCTGTATACACGTTCTTTTTCCCTTTCCCAGTTCTAAGGCTCAGATAAGTGCCACTAGTTCTGCTAACTGAGCGCTGGTCCTTGGGGGAAGAGGCTTACTTTCAAGTACTGTTACATAACTATGGCATAACCTGCCCTTCATATCCCATTCTCCACAAGTGAACTTCCATTGGTATATGGATTAAGGTCAGGATTAGCTAAGCGGACTTCTAAGAGATCCTCTCAGGCGGCCTAAGTCTGGACTATAATTTGTTGGCAGTCATGCTTGATTGGTTTCCCATCCTCTGGGAGAAAAGTGGCAGGATTGAGGGGTGCACACATGCGTATTTGAAGGACCATTCCCTCAAGTAACACCTGGTATCTAAGCAGGCGGTTGTCTAATAGCCATAAACTTCCTTTGGCACCTAGTATGCCATTTACATCATGAGTAGTCTGGACAGTGAGATCCTTTCCTTATATTATTTTGATAGCTTCTGATACTAAGATGGCCATCGCCGCAACTACCTGTAAGCAGTGAGGCCAGGCTTTTGCTACTACGTCAATTTCCTTAGGTACACCACTAGTTGTAGGGTTGTCTCACGAGTCTGAGTAATGACTCCAAGAGCTATTCCTGCTCTCTGTGTGACGTATAAAGAGAGGTTTGTTCCTGTGGGAAGGCTTAAGGCTGGAGCTTGTAGTAGGGCCTGCTTTAAGGTTTTGAAGGCTGTTTCTGCCTCTGGTTCCCATTCTACTAGATGAGTATTTGCCCTCTGGGTCTCCATTCTACTAGATGAGTATTTGCCCTCTGGGTCTCCTTAGAGTGTATCTCGCTGTATCTGGGGATCCATAGTCGGCAAAAGCCAGTGATTCCAAGGAACCCCCACAACTGTTTTAATGTCTTAGGGCGAGGATAAGCCAGTATAGGCTGTATTCATTCCTTGCTGAGGGCCCTGGTTCCTCTGGCCAAGATTAGGCCTAGATATTTGACTTGTAGGCAGAGCTGGGCCTTTGATTTAGACATCTTGTACCCTTGATTAGCTAGAAAATTCAAGAGATCGAGAGTAGTCTGCTGGCATGAGTCTTCCAAACTGGTAGCCAAAAGTAAATCATCCACATATTGAAGGACCAGAGTGCCTGGACTTAAGAAGTGGCCTAAATCTTGGGCCAGTACCTGACCAAACAGATGAGGGCTATCCCTAAACCCTTGGGGCAAGACCTTCCATGTAAGTTGGGACCTGTGGTCTGTGGGATCCTCAAAAGCAAAGAGAAACTGGGAGTCAGAGTGCAGGGGAATACAGAAGAAGACATCCTTGAGGTCCAGAACAGTGAACCATTCTGCTTCCTCTGGTATTCAAGAGAGCAGGGTATAGGGGTTGGGTACAACTGGATATAGAGGAATTACTGCCTCATTGATTAGTCTAAGATCTTGCACTAGCCTCCACTGACCATTTGGTTTTTGTACTCCTAGAATTGGGGTGTTGCAGGGACTACTGCATTTTCTTAGTAAGCCTTGAGCTTTTAAATGTCTGACAGTATCCTGTAATCCTTTATGAGCTTCAGGCCCTAAGGGATATTGCCTTTGATAAGGAAAATTGATGGGATCTTTTAGCCTGATTTGGATGGGGCGGGCATTTTTTGCCCTTCCAAATTGTCCTTCCAATGCCCAGACTTCAGGGTTGATTCCCTCCTCAAGTAGGGGACAACAAATGGGTAATTTGTTCCCCATATTCAAGTAAATAATAGCTCCAGCTTTGGCTAATATGTCCCTCCCTAATAAGGGTGTGGGACTTTCAGGCATAACAAGAAAGGCATGTGAATAGAGCAAAGTCTCCCAATTACAACTGAGGAGGTGGGAGAAATACCTGGTTACAGGCTGTCCCAGGATTCCTCGGATGGTAATGGACCTTGAGGACAGCTGTCTGGGGCAGGAGATTAACACTGAGAAGGCTGCACCAGTATCCAGGAGGAAGTCAATTTCCTGGCCCTCATTGGTTAATCATACCCGGGGCTCAGTGAGAGTGATGACATGAGCTGGCGCTTGCCCCAGGCACCCTCAATCCTGTTGTTGGATCATCTGGTTGGGGGCTTCTGGCCCACAGAGCCTTTGCCCTCTGGGGCAGTGCACCTTCCAGTGATTGCCTCAGCATAGTGGACATGGGCTAGGGGGCAGCTTGTTTCTCATTGGACAATCTTTTTTAAAGTGTCCTTGCAAACCACACTGATAACAAGCCCTACTAGGTGATTGGCCTGTTCCATTTTCTGTCCTCTCTGAACCACCAAGGTTTGTTTGTCTGAGGGCCATGACTAAGGCTGTGGCCTTCCTCTGATCTCGCTTTTCCTTTTCGGCCTGTTTCTCTTGGTCCCTATTATAGAACACCGAGGTTGCCCGGTTTAACAATGCATCCAGATTTTGTTCAGGGCCCAGGGCTCACTTTTGGAGCTTTCTCCTGATATCTTCACTGATTGGGTAATAAAGTTATGTTTGAGGATCAGTTGACCCTCGAGAGAGTCAGGTGACAGGGGAGTATATTTTCTTAAGGCCTCCTATAGCCACTCGAGGAAGGCGGTAGGATTTTCTTCCTTTCCCTGAGTTGTGGTGGACATCATTGAATAATTCATGGGGTTTTTCCTAATTCTCCTTAGTCCTTCTAGAACACAGGTCAACAGATGTTTGCGACTCCAGTCCCCATGATCTGAGTCGAGGTCCCAGTGGGGATCCATACTGGGGATGGCTTGCTGACCAGTAGGGAATTTGTCCCTTTCTTCAGCTGTCATCCTATCATTTACTTGATTAAGATAAAAGGTATCTCCAAACTCTTGGGCTGCAGCTAAAGCTCCATTCTTTTCATTAAAGACCAGGGTTTGATCTAACAATAGCATGACATCTCTCCAAGTGAGGTCAAAGGTTTGCCCTAGACCCTATAGGACATCTGTATACCTATCAGGATCATCTGAAAACTTCCCCAGGTCTACCTTGATCTGCTTTAAATCGAGAGGGAGAAGGGACATGTACCCAGATTGGGCCAAAATCCCTACCCCTATAGCTTGAAGGGGACATAAATGATAGCCCAGGGGGTTTTGTGGTCCCTTGGAGATTTCTTTGCTTGTTTCCTTCTGGGTGGGGGAGATTAGACGAGGCTTATCCTTAATAGGAATGGGAGCTGTAGGAAGGCTAGGATATAGAGGTAAGCTGAGAGCTCCTCCTGTGGGATGTAAATTGCAAGCTTTGCATAGTTGTGGATTCTCCTTCAATGAAAAGAAAGCTTGGACATAAGGTATTTCACTCCATTTGCCTTCCCTCTTACAGAAAAAGTCAAGCTGCATGATAGTATTGTAATTTATACTTCCTTCAGGTGGCCATTTTTCCCCATCAGAGAGAGAATATTGGGGCAAGGCCATAGTGCAGAAAAAAAAAATGAGCCACCTCTTTTTCAGGGTTTCTGGGTCAAATTGGTCCCAGTGGCTTAGGATGCATTTCAAGGTTGAGCCTGTTGATGCCTGAGTGTTTCCCATGTGAAAGAAAAACTGCTCGCAGTTTTGGTTTGTTTTCCCCCCTCCCCCACCCAAGAACCTGCAACAGTCCCTGGACCCTGCTGATCGTAATAGTTGCGCTCACCGAAGCAGCAGCAGAAACACTAGTTTTCCTCCTAGACCACAAAGAGGACTGAGGAAGGTCAGATTTAGTGGCCCTTACTGATGCATTCTCGGAAACATGCATCCTTGCCTTTCCTCTTAGACCACAAAGAAGACTGAGAAAAAACAGATTTAGTGGCCCTTACCAACACATTCTCGAAGACCTGTTAGAGTCCTAAGCATTTTCTCCTGTTAGTATTGGGACCTTACCCTTGTTCTATAAAGATGTTATGTCTCAAAATGGAGTGAAGGGCCATACCCTGAGGGAGGGAAGGGATCTCTAGAGTGATGCCTTTTGTCCTCACTTCTCATCATGTGAATAGGAAGGATATCATTTCTGAGGCTCCCCATATCCTAGCTTTGGGAATAGCCTTTGTTAGGCCTGCTAGTCTGAGGAGGGATCCTAAAATTCCAGATAGTCTCCCCACTGACAGGGCTTTGGGCAAAGATTGTCTTTCTGATTGGTGAGCCCAGATGCCTAAAGAAAGGAACAGAGTCCTGAAATGTATACTAGAAGTCGTTCTTATAGGAGAAACTAGAAAAGCACCAGAGACAGGGAGTGGTTTTTAGAAACAGGACTAGCCTCGGAGAGGAGAGGTGGGAGGAAGTATGTCTGACAGGCATTAGGACCCAGGAGGCAAGGGTCAGGATAGATAGGATAAATGGGCAAGTCTCGCTTGGGTGACGTGACTTTGAGAGTTCCGCTCATGGCTGCAGGGTCAACCAACTTTTTGTCAGGGCCCTGGAGCTAAATGGCTTTCCTCTCTGTTGACACTTGGCTCAGTCCGGAAGTACAGGAAAAGTGGAAGCTGGTTCCAGGCAAACCAACGCTCCCAACTCCAAAGAGTTGGGGATTGTTAGAGAGCCCTTTCCCAGAAAGCCCGACACCAGTGTCTTTAGTCTGGTGGCCACGCTAGTTGCTTTTAACTGGCCGACAAGTGCCCGGTGTTTAGCCCCTGAATTCTAAGGAAAAATAGGACAGAATAGCAAGCAAAATGGGTCCGATGGTACTCACCAAAAGGCGATATCCCAGACAAGCCCCCAAGATGTGTCCAGAGTTGGTTCCTTCCAGTGGGTTCGTGGTCTCGCTGACTTCAAGAATGAAGCCGCGGACCTTCGTGGTGAGTGTTACAGCTCTTAAAGGTGGCACGGACCCAAAGAGTGAGCAGCAGCAAGATTTATTATGAAGACCAAAAGAACAAAGCTTCCACAGCGTGGAAGGGGACCCGAGCGGGTTGCTGCTGCTGGCTGGGGCGGCCAGCTTTTATTCCCTTATTTGTCCCTGCCCATGTCCTGCTGATTGGTCCATTTTACAGAGTGCTGATTGGTCCATTTTACAGAGCACTGATTGGTGCATTTTACAAACCTCTTGTAAGACAGAAAAGTTCTCCAAGTCCCCGCTCGACCCAGGAAGTCCAGTTGGCCTCACCTCTCAGTCTTATCAATTCTGCCAGCTGCTACTGAGCCCTTGCACTGTGCTAGTTTTTCCCAAGCCCACACACACACTGGGGAGCCAGACACTGAGGATACAGCAAGTTCTTGCCCCACAAAGCCCATGCCCTTTAGAGGAGACAGATGCCAGCATCAACATTACCAGGTGTTAAGAAAGTACCTGGGAATAGTCTGAGTCCTTCAAAAAGTTAAACACAGACCAGGCTTGGTGGCTCATGCCTATAATCCCAGCACTTTAGGAGTCCGAGGCGGGTGGATCACCTGAGGTCAGGAGTTCATGACCAGCCTGGCCAACATGGTAAAACTCCATCTCTACTAAAAATACAAAAATTAGCTGGGGGTGGTGGTGAGCTCCTGTTATCCCAGCTACTCGGGAGGCTGAGGCAGGAGAATCAATTGAACCCAGGAGGGTTGCAGTGAGCTGAGACCGCACCATTGCACTCCAGCCTGGGCGACAAGAGTGAAACTCCATTTCAAATAAAAAGTTAAACACAGAGTCACTGTATGACCCAGGAATCTGACTTCCAGGATACACCAAAAGAATTGGAAGCAGAGACTCAGATGTTTGCACACCATGGTCATAGCAACATGATTCACAGTGGCCAAAAGGTGGAAACAATCCAAGTGTCTGTTGTTTGATGGATGGGTAAACACAATGTGATCCATCCATACAATGGAATATCACTCAGCCATTAAAAGGAATGGGGGTCTGACACAGGCTACAGTAGTGTGGATGAACCTTGGCATCATGCTCAGTGAAAGAAGCCAGACACAAAAGGCCACACAGTGTGTGATCCCATATCTATGAAATGTCCAGGACAGGTCAATCTACAGAGACAGGAAGGGGATTGTAGGTTGCCAGCAGCTGGGGCCAGGGGAATGAGGAGTGGCTATTTAATGGGCATAGGGTCTTCTTTGGGGGTATTTGGGAATTAAAGAGAATTGGTGACTGCACAGCACTGAGTGTGTCAAATGTCACTGAATTGTTCACTTTCAAATGGCTAACTTTATGTGAATCTCACCTCAATGAAAAAGAAATACGGGAAGGATAGACAAGAAACTAAGGATGTTGGTTACCTACAGGGGCAGGTGGGAAATTATTTAAAAGAATTAGGGCAGTAGGCAAGGTGGCTCATGCCTGTAATCTCAGCACTTTAGGAGGCCAAGGTGGGAGGATTGCTTGAGGCCAGGATTTCGAGACCAGTCTAGGCAACATAGCAGGACCCTATCTCTGAAAAAAAAATTGTTTTTAATTAGCCAGACGTGGTGGTGCACACCTGTAGTCCCAGCTACTCAGGAAGCTGAGGTAGGGGGATCATTTGAGCCTAGGAGGTCAGGGATGCAATGACTCGTGATTGTGCTACTGCACTCCAGCCTGTGTGACAGAGCCAGATCCCATCTCTTAAAAAAAAAAAAAAAAAAAAAAAAGGCTAGGTGCGGAAGCTTATGCCTGTAATCCCAGCACTTTGGGGGCCAAGGCAGGTGGATCACGAGGTCAAGAGATCGAGACCATCCTGGCTAACACAGTGAAACCCCGTCTCTACTAAAAATACAAAAAATTAGCCAGGCGTGGTGGCGGGCGCCTGTAGTCCCAGCTACTCGGGAGGCTGAGGCAGGAGAATGGCGTGAACCCGGGAGGCGGAGCTTGCAGTGAGCCGAGATCGCGCCACTGCACTCCAGCCTGGGTAACAGAGGGAGACTCTGTTGCAAAAAAGGAAAAGAAAAAAAAAAAAGAGGCTGGAAGTGGTATGGGAAAAAGAGTAGCAGGAATGAAGAGGGAGTGCCCACTCTCTGAGAACCATTTGGTATAGCTCTGACTGAAAAATCATAGTCATGTTATACACACTTTAAAAGATAACTGATTAAAATCAAGGATATGATGTGTACTCCAAATGGAAAACAAATAGTAAAATATAAACTCAGCTGCACCACAAATGAAAATCAACCACACTGAAGAGCCAGGGGAAGAATGGAGTTGATCTCAGTAAATTTGGGAAACAATGTTTCCACTGGATACTGTTAGGCTAAAAATGAAAATACCTATACACCAACACTATACTCTAGTTCAAAAATCTAGTTCTCATGGCTTAGCCATCTGTACCTACTATATGTGAATATTGCAATTGAGCAAATGAGTGAATTAATTGTAGATGAGCTAGGTTTCTCTCTGTCAGCGAAAAAAGTTACGTCAAGGGTAAAGGAAGCGGCTAGAATGAACATTGTGCTGGTTGGAATCAGAAGTGTCAGTATAGGCTGGGCGCAGTGGCTCATGCCTGTAATCCCAGCACTTTGGGAGGCCAAGGTGGGTGGATCATGACGTCAGGAGATCGAGACCATCCTGGCTAACACAGTGAAACCCTGTCTCTACTAAAAACAAAAAAAAAATTAGCTGGGCGTGGTTGTGGGCGCCTGTAGTCCCAGCTACTCGGGAGGCTGAGGCAGGAAAATGGCATGAACCCAGGAGGCAGAGCTTGCAGTGAGCCGAGATTGCGCCACTGCACTCCAGCCTGGGTGACATAGCGAGACTCCGTCTCAAAAAAAAAAAAAAAAAGTGTCAGTATCAATCCATGATTTTCTAATATATATATATAGACAGATGTTATAGAAATATATAGTCAGTACATATAGATGCAGAAATAAATATGTAAGTATATATATTTATATTATGAATACAGGTGAAAGGGCTCAAACTTGTAATCCCAGCTATTTGGGAGACCAGGGTGGCTTGGGGAGAATCGCTTGAGGCTAGGAGTTCAAGACCAGCCTGGACAACATAGCACAGCCCCATCCCTACAAAAAGAAAAATGTTAAGAAGAAATAAATAAAGATGTGTGTACACATGGCTAATCTGATACCCCAATAGCAGTGAGCATACTAGCACCCCGATCTAAATACCATTCTCCAATAAAAGGAACCAGGGGAGGAATCACTGATTTTATGACTGGGACAGAGAAAACACAAGACAAGGTACAGGCACATACCGCTGTGCCCAGCTAATTTTTTATTTTTTTTGTAGAGATAGGGGTCTCACTTTGTCGCCCAGGCTGGTCTTAAAGTCCTGGGCTCAAGCGATCCTCCCGCCTTGGCCTCCCAAAGTTGGCCATACCCAGCCTACATGAATGATTCGATGGGGGTCTGGGCTCGGTGACTCATGCCTGTAATGCCAGCACTGTGGGAGGCTGAGGTGGGCAGATCACCTGAGGTCAGGAGTTCGAAACCAGCCTGGCCAACATCGCAAAAACCCATCTCTACTAAAAATACAAAAATTAGCTGGGCGTGGTGGTGGGCACCTGTAATCCAAGCTACTCGGGAGGCTGAGGCAGGAGAATCACATGAACCCAGGAGGTGAGCCGAGATCATGCCACTACACTCTAGCCTGAGCAATACAGCAAGACTCCATCTCAACAACAAAAAAAAAAAAAAAAAAGAGAGAGAGAGAGAGAGAAAGAAAAACAGAAAACACAAGATAAACCTGAAGCATCTTGTGTTCCCAGAAAATAAGGAAATGCTCAAAAAAGGGTATAGATATATAGAAAGGACACCAGACCCAACCGAAGCAGCTCCCAGTGGCTGAAGCTGAAACAATTTGAACAATAAAATTAGTGACAGTGTGGGATTATCACCTAGAGAATAAAATAAATATCCAAACTGCTATAAGTAATTGAATAAATACCTAAATGGAGGGAGAAGGGACAGATCTTCCTTACAGATGAGTCACATTACACGTAAGAGGGAGAAGTAATGGCTTAGTCCCTTTGTGCCACTACAAGAGAATATCATGGACTGGGTAATTTACAAAGATCATAGATTTATTTCTCGTGGTTCTGGAGGCTGGAAAGTCCAAGATCAAGGCTCCAGCCTCTGGTGAAGGCTGCTCTCAGCTTCCAGAATGATGTCTTGAATGCCACCTTCTCACATGTCAGAAGGCAGGATGGGAAAGGAGTCAAAATCTCCAGGAAACCTTTTATAATGGCACGAATCCTAAACACCTCCCCCAAAGGCCCCATCTCCCAACACTGTTGCATTGGAGAATCAGTTTCCAACACATGACTTTGGGGGGACCCATTCAGACCATAGCAAAGAGAAAGGAGTTTACATTCAGTCACTCAGAAAACACCTTCACTTTCCTGGTGTTATCCCAGGAGCTTGGGCCACACTGGGCAAATATGGGGAAAAAAAAGAAAAATCCCTGCCCACAGCAGCTCACAGCCCCTCGGGGAGACGGATGAGATAAATAACCAAATTGGGGAGCAGGTTAGAAGGTTGTACATGCTATGCGATAAAAGAAGAAGGAAGAAGAAGGAGGAGGAGAGAAAGGAGGAGGAGGAAAGAAGAAAAAGAAGGAAAAAGAAGAAAGAAGAAAACTAACGGTGATGGGAACAACTGTATTAGGTTGGTGCAAAAGTCATTGCAGCACACAATGACTTTTGCACTAAGCTAAATATATAGGTTGTTCAGGGTCCCACTGAGAAGGTGACATTTGAGCAGAGACCTGAAGGGAGAGAGTGAGTCAAGTGTATATTTGGAGGACGAGAGCTCCAGGCAGAGTGCACAGCCCATGCAAAGGTCCTGGGGCAGGACTGTGCCTGGTGTGCTGGAGGAACAGTGAGGAGGGCCCTGTGGCTGCAGCAGAGTGAGCCAGGGGAAGAGAGGAAGGAGGGGAGGGCAGCAAGGTGATGAACATGTCATGCAAGGCCTTGTGGACCTTAGGCTGTGACCCTGAGGAAGGTGGGAGCCATGGAGGGCTGTGGGCAGAGGAGGGACAGGACCTGACTCAGGTGCTCACAGGCGCCCTCTACTGGCTGCTGCAGGGAGGACAGGCTGTGGGTTGGTGGCGGTGGGGCAGTGAGGACGGGAACAGGTGGACCAGTGCAGAGAGGACTGGGCTGGTGCAGGGTGGAGGCAGAGGAGAAGAAGAGAAAGCAAACAAAAGGAGATGTAAAAGAAGCTGAGAAGGCTGGGCCACGGTGGCTCACGCCTGTAATCCCAGCACTTTGGGAGGTTGAGGCAGGTGGATCACCTGAGGTCAGGAGTTCGAGACCAGCCTGGCCAACATGGTGAAACCCCATCTCTACTAAAAATACAAAAATTAGCCAGGCGTGGTGGTGGGCGCCTGTAATCTCAGTTACTTGGGAGGCTGAGGCTGGAGAATCGCTGGAATCCAGGAGGTGGAGGTTGTAGTGAGCTGAGATCGCACCACTGCACTCCAGCCTGGGAGACAGAGTTAGACCTCTAACTGGGAACTGACTTGTTCCCAGTGGCTCCCAGTTATGGGTGAGCCACAGCAAAGCCGGCTTCTCTGTGCATGTTAGCATCTGCGTGTTTCTCTAGAACAATTTCCTGAAGAAACAAAAGGGGAGATTGCCAAATGGAAGTATCTGTAATTTTATTTTGTTTATTTATTTTTTTTTCTGAGAGTCTCACTTTGTTGCTCAGGCTGGAGAGCAGTAGCGTGATCAGGAGTTCCTGCAGCCTCAACCTTCTGGGCTCAAGCAATCCTCCCACCTCACCCTCCCAAGTAATTGAGACTACAGGCAGAGCCACCACACCCAGCTAATTTTTAAATTTTTTGTACAGATGGGGGGTCTCACTATGTTGCCCAGGCTGGTCTTGAACTCCTGGGCTCAAGCAATCCTCTCACCTCAGCCTCTCAAAGCACTGGGATTACAGCACAAGCCACAGTGCCTGGCCTGTAATTTTACTTCTAATCCTGCAGCCAGGTCACCCCAAATGCCTTGTGCACCCCCGATGTGTGGTAAAGGAGGGTGTGCACTTCCCGCTATCTACCCAGATGTAAGCTGTTACCACGTTTTTGTGATCTGTTTGATAAATCAAAAGTGATATCTGATTATGGCTTAAACATTCATTCCTCTTAGAACGAGCGAGGTTGAGTATACTCTCATTGGATTAAAAGCCTTTTGTCAGAACTGTCTTGAAACATACTATTTTTTAAATTCCACGATGGCCATTTCCCGTCAGTGAGAGGGTTGATTTGATGTTTAATCTTTTGCGTTTCTACATCCATCTAGCTCAGCGTCAGTTGCTGAGATCTGGGTCAGGGGTCACACCCAGCTTTTTCTTCTCTTACGTTTGATGTTGATAAATGAGAAAAACCAGGTCAGGTGTGCTGGCTCATGCCTGGCATTCCAACGGTTGAGGAAGCTGAGGCGGGAGGATCACTTGAGGCCAAGAGTTTAAGACCAGCCTGGGCAACAGAGTAAGACTTCGTCTCTACCAAAAAATCAAAAAGTGAGCTGGGCGTGGTGGTGGGCACCTGTAGTCTCAGCTACTCAGGAGGCTGAGATAAGAGGATCACTTGAGCCCAGGAGTTTGAGGCTGCAGTGAGCTACGATCACACCACTGCACTCCAGCCTGGGCGAAAGAATGAGACCCTGTCTTTAAAAAAAAAAAAAAAAAAAGGCCTCATGTCGTGGCACATGCCTGTAATCCCAGCACTTTGGGACGCCAAAGTGGGCAGATCGCCTGAGGTCAGGGGTTCAAAACCAGCCTGACCAACATAGTAAAACCCTGTCTCTACTAAAAATACAAAATTAGCCGGGTGTGGTGGCACATGCCTGTAATCCCAGCTACTTGGGAGGCTGAGGCAGGAGAATCGCTTGAACCTGGGAGGCAGATGTTGCAGTGAGCCCAGATTGCACCACTGCACCACTGCACTCCAGCCTGGGCAACAAGAGTGAGACTCCGTATCAAAAAAAAAAAAAAAAAAAAAAGAGAGAAAGAAAGCCGAGTGCGGTGGCTCACGCCTGTAATCCCAGCACTTTGGGAGGCTGAAGAGGGCAGATCACAAGGACAGGAGATGAGACCATCCTGGCTAACATGGTGAAACCCCGTCTCTACTAAAAATACAAAAAATTAGCCGGATGTGGTGGCGGGCGCCTGTAGTCCCAGCTACTTGGGAGGCTGAGGCAGGAGAATAGCTTGAACCCAGGAGGTGGAGGTTGCAATGAGCCAAGATCACGCCACTGCACTCCAGCCTGGATGACAGAGTGAGACTCCGTCTCCAAAAAAAAAGAGAGTGATGGGGCTCACACCTGTAACCCCAATACTTCACAGAGCTGAGGAGGGAGGATCACTTGAAGTCAGGAGGTTGAGGTCAGCCTGGGCAGCATAGCAAGACTGTCTGTACTAAATTTTTTTTAATTAGCTGAGCGTGATGGTGCATGCCTGAGTCCCAGCTACTTGGGAGGCTGAGGCGGGAGGATCGCTTGAGCCCAGGAGTTCAAGGCTGCAGTGAGCTATGATCACACCACTGCACTCCAGCCTGGGTGACAGAGCAAGATCCTGTCTTAAAATAAATAAAATAAAAATTTTCTAAATCCTGCAAATAATCTTATCGGAAGCATTTAGATCGAATTTTTAAATATACTCCACAGTGAATCATCCATTTCTGTCTCCAACAGGAAAAGAAAATCATGATGAATCAGCGAAAGGTCACACCCTTGGTGACTGAGCCATTTGTGCAAAAGCTTCATTCTTTTCCAGAAACCCCAGTTTGTCCTCAGAGTTAAGACTGTCAGCTCCAAAGGGATGGCCCCAGGCTGTGCTAGTAACTGAAAACCTCCCCACGACACAAGCCTGAAATAACCGCTGTGGGTGTGGGTGGTGTTATTGATGTCACAAAGAAATATCATCTCAAAACTCATGTTTCAAAAATGCTTGTGAGGGCTGGGTATGGTGGCTCAGGCTTGTAATCCCAGCACTCTGGGAGGCCAAGGGAGGTGGATCACTTGAGGTCAGGAGTTTGAGACCAGCCTGACCAGGTCAGGAGTTTGAGACCCAACATGGTGAAACCCCATCTGTACTAAAAATATAAAAATTAGCCGGGTGTGATGGCGCGTGCCTGCAATCCCACCTACTCAGGAGGCCGAGGCACGAGAATTGCTTGAACCTGGGAGGTGTGGGTTGCAGTGAGCAAAGATTGCCCCAGTGCACTCCAACCTGGGCAACAGAGCGAGACTCCATCTCAAAAGAAAAAAAAAAGACAAAAACAGGCCAGGAGCGGTGGCTCACGCCTGTAATCCCAGCACTTTGGGAGGCTGAGGCGGGCGGATCACGAGGTCAGGAGATCGAGACCATCCTGGCTAACACGGTAAAACCCCGTCTCTACTAAAAATACAAAAAATTAGCCGGGCGTGGTGGCGGGCACCTGTAGTCCCAGCCACTCGGGAGGCTGAGGCAGGAGAATGGCGTGAATCCAGGAGGCGGAGCTTGCAGTGAGCCGAGATTGAGCCACTGCACTCCAGCCTGGGCGAGACTCCGTCTAAAAAACAAACAAACAAACAAAACACGTATAAGCACCTTTTTCCAGGAATGCCAACATCCTTCCAAGGGAAAAGAGCAAAGTCTCGTCACCACGGTCCAGCTTGTCCTACAGCTGATGAGGGTGATGGAGCTGCTGTAATGTCTGTCGTTTTCTTCACTGGAAGATGAGAAGATAAATGTGGGCGGTCTTTGCTGAATAAAGCAGTGTGGGATTTGTGGTTCCCGAGCAAACTGTGTTTGGGTAGCAAGGGCCCTTTCTGGTTGCTCCCCAAGCTGGTCGCCTTTCTGGACTGACCCCACCCACCCTCCCCAAGTTACTCTGTGGCCCCCAAAACAAAGTTTTTTTGTTTTGTTTGAGACGGAATCGCACTCTTGTCGCCCAAGCTGGAGTACAGTGGCGCGATCTCGGCTCACTACTACCTCCGCTTCCCGGGTTCAAGTGATTCTCCTGCCTCAGCCTCCCAAGTAGCTGGGACTACAGGCACCCACCACCATACCCAGTTAAGTTTTGTATTTTTAGTACAGATGGAGTTTCACCATGTTGGCCAGGCTGGTCTCAAACTCCTGACCTCAGGCGATCCACCCGCCTTGGCCTCCCAAAGTGCTGGGATTACAGGCATGAGCCACTGTGCCCGGCACTTCTTCCATCTTTACCTGGTGGTCATTAGATGTTCAACCCTGGGGGTGTTGGGAGACACCCCCAGAGGGCAGGCCAGGGCCTGGCCTGCAGCTATTATTACAGGCTAAGTTAGCAATTGACAATTGAGGACTTACTATGTGGCAGCCACAGGTCCTTCCTTCCTTCCTTCCTTCCCTCCTTCCGTCCCTCTTTTCTTTTCTTTTCTTTCTCCCTCTGTCACCCAGGCTGGAGTGCAGTGGCACGATCTTGGCTCACTGCAGCCTCTGTCTCCCAGGTTCAAGTGATTCTTGTGCCTCAGCCTCCTGAGTAGCTGAGATTACAGGTGTGTGCTACCACACCTGGCTAATTTTTGTGTTTTTAGTAGACAAGGGATTTCACCATGTTGGCCAGGCTGGTCTTGAATTCCTGACCTCAAGCGATCCTCCCACCTCAGCCTCCCCAAGTGCTGGGATTACAGGCATGAGCCACTGTGCCCAGCCCATCTAATTTTTGTTTTTGTTTTTTGAGACAGAGTCTCACTCTGTCTTGCCCAGGTTAGAGTGCAGTAGCTCGATCTTGGCTCACTGCAGCCTCTGCCTCCTGGATTCAAGCGATTCTCCTGTCTCAGCCTCCAGAGTAGCTGGGATTATAGGTGCCTGCCACCACGCCTGGCTAATTTTTGTATTTTTAGTAGAGATGGGGTTTCACCATGTTGGCCAGGCTGGTCTCAAACTCCTGATCTCAGGTGATCCACCAACCTCAGCCTCCCAAAGTGCTGGGATTACTGGCGTGAGCCACCGTGCCTGGCCCATCTAATATTTTTTTAAATGTTTATTGAGACCTTATTTACATATCAGTCAATAAACATATCTTCAGTTGTATGGTTCAATAAGTTTGACAAATGCATACGCTCGCATAACCAAAACAAGATATAGGGCACTTCACTCCCTCCAGAATATTCCCTTGTCAACCCTCCACACTCAGTGGCAACTACGGATCTGTTTTCTCCAACTATCAGTGAGAATTACATGTTTAGCACTTCATATAAATGGAATTGTGCAGAATGTCACCATTTGTGTCTGGCTTCTTTCCCTTGGTGCAATGCATTTCAGATTCACCCCAAAACAGCCATGTTTCTTTCTTTTTTTTTTTTTTTTTTGAGACGGAGTCTCACTCTGTTGCCCAGGCTGGAGTGCAGTGGTGCAATCTCGGCTCACTGCAGGCTCTGCCTCCTGGGTTCACACCATTCTCCTGCCTCAGCCTCCTAAGTAGCTGGGACTACAGGCACCCACCACCACGCCCTGCTAATTTTTGTATTTTGGGTAGAGACGGGGTTTCACCTTGTTAGCCAGGATCGTCCCGATCTCTTGACCTTGTGATCCGCCCGCCTCGGCCTCCCAAAGTGCTGGGATTACCGGCATGAGCCACCACGCCCGGCCAACAACAGCCATGTTTCTAAAGTGCAGTCCTTTTTCATTGCTGTGTAGTATTCCATTGTATTGATGGGCCACAGTGTGTTTATACATTTACCAGTTGATGGACATTTGGCAATTGCAGTTGGAGCAACTGTGAACTCATTCATGCACACAGCTCTTTGTGGGTATCTTGTGATATTTTACCCTCCAATTTCACTCAGTCTCATGGAACTTTCTCCTACCAGGGACACCTATGGTAAGGTGATTTCCAGCATGGGAACTTTGCTAAAGAAAGGGGCAATTGGGCCGGGTGTGGTGGCTCACGCCTGTAATCCCAATACTTTGGGAGGCTGAGGCAGGCAGATCACGAGGTTAGGAGATCGAGACCATTCTAGCTAACACCATGAAACCCCATCTCCACTAAAAATACAAAAAATTAGCTGGGCGTGGTGGTGGTGGTGGTGCATGCCTGTAATCCTAGCTACTCAGGAGGCTGAGGCAGGAGAATCGCTTGAACCTGGGAGGCAGACATTGCAGTGAGCTGAGATTGCACAATTGCCCTCCAGCCTGGGCGACAGAGCAAGACTCTGTCTCAAAAAAAGAAAGAAAGTGGCAATCGGCCAGATGTGGTGGCTCACTCTTGTAATCCCAGCACTTTGGGAGGCTTGTAATCCCAGCACCTGGATCGCCTGAGTCCAGGAGTTTGAGACCAGCCTGGACAACATAATGAAACCCCATCTCTACCAAAAATACAAAACAAACAAACAAGAACAAAACAAAACAAAACAAAACAAAAACAGCCGGGCGTGGTGGCTCAGCACTTTGGGAGGCCGAGGCGGGCGGATCACCCGAGGTCAGGATTTCAAGACCAGCCTGGCCAACATGGGGAAACCCCGTCTGTACTAAAAGTGCACAAATTAGTCAGGCGTTGTGACACATGCCTGTAATACCAGCTACTCAGGAGGCTGAAGCAGGAGAATTGCTTGAGCCTGGGAGGCAGAGGTTGCAGTGAGCTGAGATCAGGCCACTGCACTCCAGCCTAGGCAACAAGAGCCAGACTCTGTCTCAAAAAAAAGAAAAAAAAATTAGCTGGGTGTATGGCATGGGTCTGTAGTCTCAGCTACTTGTGCAGCTGAGGCGAGAGGATCTCTTTAGCTCAGGAAGTCGAGGCTGCAGTGAGCTGAGATTGCACCATGGCACTCCAGCCTGGGTGACAAAATGAGACCCTGAAAACAAAAAAGAAAAGAAATAGAGAGGAAAGAAAGAAAGAAAGAAAGGAAAGAAGAAAGAAAGAAAGAAAAAGAGAAAGAGAAAGAAAGAGAGAGAAAGAAAAGAAAAGAAAAGAGTGGCAGTGGCTGTCCTTGTACCTAATCATAGGACAGAGGGGAGACCAGACCCAGCATAGGTGAGGGAAGCCGTCAGGGTCATTAGTGGCAGCTGGTGTGTCTGAAACAGCCATGGTAGGGCAGCAGGATGACCCAGACAGGACCTTCGGTTTATCACAGGGGACAGGAGTGGAAATCAAGAGACCCTAGAGGGCCTGGGGATCACTTGAAAAGGGTCACAATGATAGCATCAGGTGGGGCTCATGGTCCAGCCCTGCCCCCCTGGAGAAGGAGCACAGGGCAGCCTCTGAGCCCCGGCCTCGGCATCAGTGCGGTTGACACCGGGGCCATCACCATCTGATAATAGGTTCTGTTTGGAACAGCTGCCTGGTGACAAGTATAATAAAACGTATTAACGAGGCCATTATTACTCCCTAATTAAAAGCTAATAACTAAGAGTTAATTGCCTTTAAAAGATGAAGCAAGGCTGGGCTGGGACTTATCTCTGTTTTCCTTTGCTTGCCTGGATAGGCTGATATTTGGGAACTAATTAATTGAGTCGAATCTTACAGGAAACTAATATCTCCTCTGCCATTGCGGCTGTTGGATTAAAAAGCGTTTGCTGTGTGTCTGGGCATTTCTGTGGAAAGGTCTCCTGTGTCCACTGTTCTTGCCGGGGCGGGGGTGGTGGTGGTGAGGCTTCAAGGTGCGGCTATGGGGGGCTGCTTGTCCTCTCCTTTCCTGCTGATTCTCCCGCAATGGTAGCCCAAGCATCCATGCAATTTGTGAGTCAGAATGCTCAGATGCTGTTCCAGGGAACAGACGGGCCGAGCTTATATCACAGATCTATCGTCGTCATCATCATCACCGTCATTAAAAAAAAAAATCAGGCTAGGCTCTGTGGCTCATGCCTGTAATCCCAGCATTTTGGGAGGCCAAGGCAGGTGGATCCCCTGAGGTCAAGAATTCCAGACCAACCTGGCCAACGTGGCAAAACCCCCTCTCTACTAAAAATACAAAACTTAGGCAGGCATGGTGGCAGGTGCCTGTAATCCCAGCTACTCAGGAGGATGAAGCTTAAGAATCTCTTGAACCTGGGAGGCGGAGGTGGCAGTGAGCTGAGATAAGATGGCACCACTGCACTCCGGCCTGGACGACAGAGCTAGACTCCACCTCAAAAAACAAAACAAAACAAGACAGTGCTCTAACTGCAAGCATACAATTCGATGGCTTTTGTACATATAAACACTTCAGTTACCAACACTTTAACAAAATAGAACAAGGGTTAGCAAACTCTGGTCCCTGGGCCACATTCAGTCCACTGCCTGATTTTGTATGGCCCATAGACTAAAAATGTTTCTACGTTAAAACAATTTTTAATAATATTCAAGCTTTTGCTCATTCTTTCATTTATGCAATTTTCTTTGAGATGGAGTCTTGCTCTGTTGCCCAGGCTGGAGTGCAGTGACATGATCATAGCTCACTGTGGCCTGGACCTCCAAGGCTCAAGCAATCCTCCCACCTCAGCTTCCTGAGCAGCTGGGACTACAGGCAACCCCGCCCTCTCCTCCTGCATTCAGCTTGGATGTTGCTTCCTCCAGGAAGCCTTCCATGCCTCCTGATGCCCATCTCTCTGGGTGCCCTAGGTGCTAAGGACGGCTGCGATTATGCCACTGCACTCCAGCCTGAGCAACAGAGTGAGACCTGGTCTCTAAAAGGAAGAGACATCTTTCTCCATGAAGCCTCAAAGGATTTCAGGCATCTTTCCACACTTAACTGAAAACCTACTCCCAGACTGAGATTTAAGCAGCCTGTGTGGACTGGGAGGAAACTTTAAAGAGCTTTACAGGACAGGGCAGGGAAGGGCTGTCAGCAGAAGGCTCAGCCCAAGCGAAGGTTAGGATGCCGAGCTTGTCAGAGGGGGTTTGAGGAGGAACCGGTGTCGGCCTGGGCCCGGCCCACCTGGAGCCCTCGGCGCAGTGAACATCAGCTGTGCTGGTCACGTTGCCTCCATCATTCTGTGCATCTGTGCAGCGTGGCCATGTGCCAGCCAAGAGGACCCAGAGTGTAGCAAGAACAATTAGCCCATGACGGATGGCGCCTCGGTCCACCTTACTTTTGGCAAGGCTAATTGTTGAAGTAAAGCTTCCACCGGGGTCACTCGCTACTGCACTGGGCGGTGTTTCCCAAACCCCGTCTCCAGGAAACTGACATGGACCTGGGAGTTGTGGGAGGGGGTCCCCTGAGCTGGTTTGCTCTCAGCACTGGGGTCTCTGCAGAGTCTCCCAGGAAACCACCTGGGCTTGGCTTGGGTGTTTGTTGCTGGGAAGGTTTATCATGTATAAGACCACAGACCTCAGTCCATCCCCTCCCTCCCTCCCTCCCTCCTTTCCTTCCTTCCTCCCTCCCTCCCTTCTTCCCTCCCTCCCTCCCTCCCTTCTTCCCTTCCTTCCTTCCTTCCTACCTCCCTCCCTCCTTTCCTTCCTTCCTTTCTTTCTTTTTTTTTTTTCTTCAGGGTGTTGCTCTGTTGCCCAGGCTGTAATGCAGTGGTTCCATCTCAGCTCACTGGAGCTTCAACCTCCTGGGTTCAAGCAATTTTCCACCTCAGCCTCCCGCGTAGCTGCAACCACAGGCATGCACTGTCACAAGCAGCTAGCTTTTTACATTTTTAGTTGAGATATGGTCTTGCTATGTGTTGCCCAGGCTGGTCTTGAACTCCTGGGCTCAAATGATCCACCCGCCTTCGTCTCCCAAAGTATTGGGATTACGATGTGAGCCACTGTGCCCAGCTTCCTGTCCTTAAAAAAAAAAAAAAAAGGCCAGGTGCGGTGGCTCACTCCTGTAATCCCAGCACTTTAGTAGGCCGAGGCAGGTGGATCACGAGGTCAGGAGATCGAGACCATCCTGGCTAACACGGTGAAACCCCGTGTCTACTAAAAATACAAAAAATTAGCAGGGCGAGGTGGTGCACGCCTGTAGTCCCAGCTACTCGTGAGGCTGAGGCAGAAGAATGGCATGAACCTGAGAGGCGGATTTTGCAGTGAGCCGAGATCATGCCACTGCACTCCAGACTGGGGGAGAGAGCGAGACTCTGTCTCAAAAAAAAAAAAAACTTTTAATTTTGAAATGATTATAGATTCATGGGCAGTTGCAAAGGTAGTACAGACAGGATACTGTACACGCTTCACTCAGCTTCCCCCGATGGTTACATTTTATTACATGATCAAAACCAGGAAATTGATATGGATACAATGTATTCAGTTCTTTTTTTTTTTTTTTCTTTTTTGCTCGTTCTGTCACCCAGGCTGGAGTGTAGTGGCGTGATCTCCACTCACTGCAACCTCTGCCTCCCTGGTTCAAGTGATTCTCCTGCCCCAGCCTCCCAAGTAGCTGGGATTACAGGTGGGCGCCACCATGCCTGGCTAATTTTTGTATTTTTAGTAAAGACGGGGTTTCACCATGTTGGCCAGGATGGTCTCAATCTCTTGACCTCCTGATCCACCCGCCTCAGCCTCCCAAAGTGCAATGTATCTATTTCTATGTAATTGTATCACATGTATATATATATTTTTAAGAGAGACAGGGTCTTGGGGCCGGGCGCGGTGGCTCACGCCTGTAATTCCAGCACTTTGGGAGGCTGAGGCGGGCAGATCACAAGGTCAGGAGATTGAGACCATCCTGGCTAACATGGTGAAACCCCGTCTCTACTAAAAATACAAAAAATTAGCCGGGTGTGGTGGCGGGCACCTGTAGTCCCAGCTACTCGGGAGGCTGAGGCAGGAGAATGGCATGAACCCAGGAGGCGGAGCTGGCAGTGAGCCGAGATCGCGCCACTGCAGTCCAGCCTGGGCGAAGGAGCAAGACTCCGTCTCAAAAAAAAAAAAAAAAAAAAAAAAAAGAAAGACAGGGTGTCACTGTGTCACCCAGGCTGTAGTGCAGTGGTGTGATCATAGCTCACTGTAGCATTCAACTCCTGGGGTCAAGCAATCCTCCCACCTCAGTATCCTGAGTAGCTGGGACTACAGGCATGCACCACCGTGCCTTGCTGATTTTTTTAATAGAGAGGGGGTTTTGCTATGTTGCGCAATCTGATCCCAAATTCCTGGCCTCAATTGATCCTCCTGCCTCAGCCTCCCAAAGTGCTAGCATTACAGGTGCATACCACCACACTAGGCTTATTTTAAAATTTGTCTGTAGAGATGGGGTTTTGCTATGTTGCCCAGTCTGATCCCAGATTCCTAGCCTCAAGTGATCCTCCTGCCTCAGCTTCCCAAAGTGCTAGGATTACAGGTGTGCACCACCACACTAGGCTAATTTTTAAATTTGTCTGTAGAGATGGGGTTTTGCTATGTTGCCCAGGCTGGCCTCCAACTACTGGCCCCAAGTAATCCTCCTGCCTCAGCCTCCCAAGGCACTGGGATTACAGGCGTGAGCCACCATGCTCGGCTATCACACATAAATTCTTGTAACTAACCACAGATGAGATACAGAACTATTCGGTCCCCACAAAGATCTCTCTAAAGCTACTCCCTGGGAGTGACCCCCACCCCATTCCTAACCCTAGGCAACCCCTAATCTCTTCTCCAGTCTACAACTTTATTATTTCAAGAATATTATAGGACGGGTGTGGTGGCTCACACCCATAATCCCAGCACTTTGGGAGGCTGAGGCGGGTGGATCACTTGAGCCCCGGAGTTCAAGACCAGCCTGGCCAACACGGTGAAACCGCCTCTGTACTAAAAATATAAAAATTAGCCAGGCTTGGTGGTGGGCGCTTGTAATCCCAGCTACTGGGGAGGCTGAGGCAGGAGAATCTCTTGAACCCAGGAGGCAGAGGTTGCAGTGAGTCAAGATCGTGCCACTGCACTCCAGCCTGGGTGACAGAGCAAAATTCCATCTCAAAAAAAAAAAGGAAAGAAAAGAAAAGAAAATTATATATATATGTGATTAATGGAATCCAAACCTATGTTGCATTTTGAAATTGCCTTTTTTTTTCTGTGAACATTAGGCCCTTAGGAGCAGCCAGGGGGTATGTGGGGGTATCAGCAGTTCCTTCCTTTTTAGCCCTGCGTCGTATTCCGTGGTGTGGATGGACCACAGTTTGTTCAACGATCCACCTGTTGAAGGGTACCTGGGTGGAGTCCAGGTTTTGTCTGTTGGGAATAAAGCTGCTATGAACATTTGTAGACAGGTTTTTGCATAGACATACGTTCCCATTTTTCTAGGATGAATGCCAGGAGTGCAATTACTGGACGATGTGGAAAGTGTTTCGGGTTTTAAGAGTTTTCCCAGAGTGGCTATACCATGTTACATCCCCACCAGCAAAGGATGAGGGATCCAGTTTCCCTGTACTTAGAACGTCTTTTATCCCCATTCAGGCTCATCCTGGAAGCCACACATCCCAGCGTTTGCAGAGGCTCCTGGGTTTCACGGAGAGGTCTGGGAAGGGGAGAAAAATGCGAGCTTGTGGTTCTATTCTAGGAAATCGCCACAGGCTTCACTCTGGAGTTGGAAATCTCGCCTGTGGAGCTCAGAGCCTTCATAAGCTTGTGGGATCCAAGATGCCTCACGACTGCCAGACAGAGAATCCACACAGATCGGGCGCCAGAATTTGAAGCAACAGTCAGGCTCCAGCAGGATTTTATCTTAAAAAACAAAATAGGCAATTGGCTGGGCGCAGTGGCTCACACCTGGAATCCCAGCACTTTGGGAGGTCGAGGCAGGAGGATTGCTTGAGCTTGGGAGTTCAAGACCAGCCTGAGTGACATGGCAAATCCATGTCTCTACAAAAAATACAGAAAAATGAGCCGGGTGTGGTGGCGAGTGCCTGTAATCCCAGCTACTTGGAAGGCTGAGGCAGGAGGATCGCTTGAACCCAGGTGGTGGAGGTTGCAGTGAACCAAGATTGCTCCACTGCACTCCAGCCTGGGCAACAGAGTGAGGACCTGTCTCAAAAACAAAACAAAACAAAACAAAAACAAAAACAATTGCTTTACTTTATCTTATTGTCACTTCCATTTCATTTACCATTGCAACTGTGTGCAAATGCTTAGAATGAACAAAGAAATTATGAAGTGCCAGGGGGAAATATTGCCATATTTTTCTTCCCCCAAATTGCACGCTAGAACAATCCCACACCCTTCCCTGCCACTTTGATTTTGCACCACCAATAGTCATGGGGGACACTTTTACAAGAAGAAAAAAATAAAAATAAAAATAAGAAGGCCAGGCGCAGTGGCTCATGCCTTTAATTCCAGCACTTTGGGAGGCTGAGGTTGGAGATCACTTGAGCCCAGGAATTTGAGACCAGCCTGAGCAACATAGCAAGACTTCATCTCTACAAAAAATTACAAAATAAGCCAGGCGTGTTGGCACATGTGTGTAGTCCCAGCTACTCAGGAGGCTGAGGTGGGAAGATTGCTTGACTCCAGGAGGTTGAGGCTGCAGTGAGCTCTGATTGCACTCTGGGAGACAGAGCAAGACCCCGTCTCCAAAAAAAAGGAAAAAAAAGAAAAAAGAAAAGAATAAAATGAGGCTCTATTAGTTTCCCCAAGAGTCTCTTTTAATCCACTGCTAATCAAATCTCTCTCTTTTTGTTTTTTAACTTTTTGTTTTGGACTAATTATAGACTTACAAGAAGTTTCGGCCGGGCGCGGTGGCTCACTCCTATAATCCCAGCACTTTGGGAGGCCAAGGCGGGTGGATCACAAGGTCAAGAGATTGAGACCATCCTGGCTAATACGGTGAAACACCGTCTCTACTAAAAATACGAAAAATTAGCCAGGTGTGGTGGTGGGCGCCTGTAGTCCCAGCTACCCGGGAGGCTGAGGCAGGAGAATGGTGTGAACCCGGGAGGCGGAGCTTGCAATGAGCCGAGATGGCGCCACTGCACTCCAGCCTGGGCGACAGAGCGAGATTCTGTCTCAGAAAAAAAAAAAAAGAAGTTTCAAAAGTAGTACATAGTCTTAGATACCCTTCATCCAGCCTCCTCTAATGGTGACGTCTTATATGACCTTGGGGCAATATCAAATCCAGGAAATTGATGTTGGGATAACACTGGGAAATAGACAGATATACAAATTGTGATATTTTCTAAACCTGCATTCGTGTGTGTGCACGTGTGTGCAAACCTGCATTCGTGTGTGTGCACGTGTGTGCAAACCTGCATTTGTGTGTGTGCACGTGTGTGTAAACCTGCATTCGTGTGTGCACGTGTGTAAACCTGCATTCGTGTGTGTGCACGTGTGTGTAAACCTGCATTCGTGTGTGCACATGTGTGTAAACCTGCATTCATGTGTGCACGTGTGTGTAAACCTGCATTCGTGTGTGTGCATGTGTGTGCCCAGTTCTATGCAGTTTTATTCCATGTATAGATTAATGTAACCATCACCGCCATCAAGATACAGAACTGTTCCATCTTTACAAAGTAACTCCCTCATGCTACTTTTTTTTTTTTTTTTGAGATAGGGTCTTGCTCTGTTGCCCAGGCTGGAGTGCAGTGGTGCAATCTCAGCTCACTGCAACCGCCACTTCCTGGGCTCAAGTGATTCTCCAGTCTCAGCCTCCCGAGTAGCTGGGACTACAGGCACACACCACCACACCTGGCTAATTTTTGTAGTTTTTGTAGAAACAGGTTTTGCCTTGTTGCCCAGGCTGGTCTCAAAACACTCCTGAGCTCAAGCAATCCGGCCACCTCAGCCTCTCTCTCCAAGTCTGGGATCACAGGCGTGAGCCACTGCACCTGGTCACCCTCATGCTACCTCTTTATATTCAACATCCCACCTCCACTTCCCTGTCCCATCACAACCACTAATCTGTTCTCTATCTCTATGGTTTTGCCATTTTGAGAACATCATATAAATAAAATCAGAGAGCATGTACTCTTTGAGGTTGACTGCTTTTACTGTTTATGAGACAGAGTCTTGCTCTGTCAGCCAGGCTGGAGTGCAGTGGTGAGATCATAGCTCGCCGTAGCCTCAACCTCCCAGGTTCAAGCAATCCTCCCACCTCAGCCTCTTGAGTAGCTGGGACTACAGGCATGCACCACCACGCTCAGCTAATTTTATTTATTTATTTTTTTTAAAGATAGAGTCTCCCTCTGTCGCCCAGGCTGGAGTGCAATGGCACAATCTCGGCTCACTACAACCTCGGCCTCCCAGGTTCAAGTGATTCTCCTGCCTCAGCCTCCTGAGTAGCTGGGATTACAGGTGCGCGTCACCACGCCCAGCTAATTTTTGTATTTTTAGTAGAGACAGGGTTTCACCATGTTGGTCAGGCTGGTCTGGAACTCCTGACCTTATGATCCACCCACCTCAACCTCCCAAAGTGCTGGAATTTTATTTGTTTATTTATTTAGATGGAGTCCTGCTCTGTCACCCAGGCTGGAGTGCAGTGCCACAATCTTGGCTCACTGCAACCTCTGCCTCCTGGGTTCAGACGATTCTCCTGCCTCAGCTTCCTGAGTAGCTGGGACTACAGGTGCCCACCACCACGTCCAGCTAATTTTTATATTTTTAGTAGAGAGGGGGTTTCACCATGTTGGCCAGGCTGGTCTTGAACTCCCGACCTCAGGTGACCCGCCCACCTTGGCCTCGCAAAGTGCTGGGATTACAGGCATGAGCCACCACACCTGGCCAAATCTTTAAAAACTTTTTTTGTAGAGACGGGAGAATATCGCTATGTTGCCCAGGCTGGTCTTGAACTCCTGGCCCCAAGTGATCCTCCTACCTCAGCCTCCCCACAGGGCTGGGATTACTGGCGTGAGCCACTGTGCCTGGTCTGTTTTCACTTCATCATGCTCTTGAGGTCCATCCAGGTCTCAATCTTTTGTCCTTTTTTTTTTTTTTTTTTTTGCTGAGTAATATTCCAGGCATGGAATGGAGGTGCTGCCATATGTTCAACCATCCAACCACAGAAGGGCCTCTGGTTTCCAGTATTTTGCTATCATGAATAAAGCTGTTATGAATGTGTGTGTACTATTTTTTGCATGAACACATGTTCTCATTTCTCCAGGATTGGTGCCTGAATTGTATTCAATTGCCGGGTGGTATGCGAATTGCATGTTCCAGCTTTGGAGAAACTGCCAGACTGTTTCCACAGCGGCCACGCCCTCTTACATCCCCACCAGCACTGCGGGAGAGAGCCAGTTTCTCCACGTCCTCACCAGCATTTGGTGTTGTCATTATTTTTTACTGTTCTAATAGGTGTGAAGTGGTGTGTCATTCTAGTTTTAACTTACATTTCCTAATGGCTGATGCTGTTCAACATCTTTTCATGTATCAGATCTTTCTCTTTAAAAACAAAAAATTCATTCAGGCTTTCCATACAGGAAACAGTGGATTATTCCATTACACACACACACACACTCACACAGACACACACATAGACACACACACACATTCACACACATACATACTCACATATACACACACATACACACACATACACATACACACACACATACACACATACACACACACACAGATATAATTTTTTTTTTGAGATGGAGTTTCCCCCTTGTCACCCAGGCTGGAATAAAGTGGCACCATAGCTCACTGCAACCTCCACCTCCCGGGTTCAAGCAATTCTTCTGCCTCAGCCTCCCAAGTAGCTGGGACTACAAGCGCTGGCCACCACACCTGGCTAACTTTTGTGTTTTTAGTAGAGAGAGTGTTTCACCATGTTGGCCAGGCTGGTCTCGAACTCCTGACCTCAGGTGATCCACCTGCCTTGGCCTTGGCCTCCCACAGTGCTGGGACTACAGACGTGGGCCACCGTGCCCGCCCCCCACCTCTTTTTTTTTTTTTTTTGAGACAGGGTCTCTCTCAGTCACCCAGGCTGGAGTGCAGTGGTGCAATCATAGCTCACTGCAACCTCCACCTCCTGGGCTCAAGCAATCCTTCCACCTCAGTCTCTGAAGTAGCTGGGACTACAAGTGTGCAACACTATGCCTGGCTAATTTTGTTTGTTATAGACACAGGGGTCTCACTCTGTTGTCCAGGCTGATTTTGAATTCCTGGGTTCAAGTGATCCTCCCCCAGTGCTGGGATTACAGATGTGAGCCACCATACCCAGCCTCCAATGCACATCCTGGTGAATTTTTACATTCATATTGTGAGGGGTGAGTGAACGGTGGGCTTTGGGTGGGGGGTCAGAAACTCCCCAGCACCCCTAGTTCACCCTCACAGGGCTGAGCTTACTTCTGCAGGCAGAGCAAATCCCCCAGGCGGACTTTGCCGTTTGCAATCAGCAGTCATTAATTAGTGTGTTTAGGTGAACACAGCTGTTGTGATCAGGGCCTCTGCAGTATCCACTAATTTATTTTTATTTTATATTTTTTTGAGATGGAGTCTCGGTCTTGTTGCCCAGGCTGGAGTGCAAAGGTGCCATCTCGGCTCACTGCAACCTCCACCTCCTGAGTTCAAGCAATTCTCCTGCCTCAACGTCCCGAGTAGCTGGGATTACAGGCACCCTTCACCACGTCTAGCTAATTTTTGTATTTTTAGTGGAGATGGGGTTTCACCATGTTGGCCAGGCTAGTCTCGAACTCCTGACCTCAGGTGATCTGCCTACTTCAGCCTTCCAAAGTGTTGAGATTATAGGCGTGAGCCATGGCGCCCGGCTGTATCCACTAATTTAACAGTGACTGACTTATTTTCCAGGGCGTCCCACTGTTCTCAGGACACGCCCCTCAATGTGGCCCTCACAGCTCATGCTGAGGTTTGAAGGTGCCCCTTCCAAAATTCACATGTTGGGACTTAATGGCCAATGTGATGGGTATTAACAGGTGGAGCAGGTAGGAGGTGATTGGGGCCTGAGGACACCTTCCTGGTGAATGAGATTAAGGCCCTCATAAAAGAAGCACTGAGAACGGTCGGCTCTTTTTGCCCTTCCACCCTGTGAGGACAAAGCGTTCTTCCTCTCCAGAGGATGCGGCAACCAGGTCCCGTCCTGAAGCAGACCTCAGCCGTCACGAGCGACTGACCTGCCGGCACCTTGATCTTGGACTACCTGACATGCAGAACCGTAAGGAAATCAATTTCTGTTCTTTATAAATGACCCAGCCTGACGCATTTTATTAGAGCCATGAAAATGGATTGAGACAATCCTCCATCTCTTGCCTCTGCCTCTCCGAATTTGTTTCATGCAATATTCCCCACCCCCAAATTCCTCAAATGCACCAAGCCCCCATCCATCTTGCCAGCCTTTCTCTGGGCTGCTTCCCAGAACCACTTTCATCCTTCCTTCAGGCCAGCTCCTTCCTATTCATCCTTTTGAATCTTGGCTTAAACGCCACTTCCTCCAGGAAGCCTCCCCTGCTTGCTACCTTCCGGTCTGAGCCCCTGTTCCAGATCCTCACATCTCCCTGGGCTCGCCTTTGGAGAACTTCTCATGGCCATATTTATAACCATGATTTGCAGGCAATGTAGGGCTTCTCTTATCTGCCTTGATTTGCTTAAGGCCAGGGGTTTGAGACTGGCCTAGGTAACATGGCAAGACCCCCCCCCCCCGCCAACCCACCCACCACCCCATCTCTTCCCACGGGGCAGAAAATCCAGCCTTGCGGTATCCGAGACACTCAGCCTGGAGCCTGGTATACAGTAGGTGCTCAAGCAGAGAAACTCAGGAGGGGAGTGAAGCGCGGCCTAAATCACGTGGCTCAGCCCATTGCATATTTCCTGCTGTTTTCCACGTCCCCCGGGGGACCCACTGGCCCTCTACTCAGGACGCCAGGAATTGAAAGTAAGTGTTCCCTCCACAAGTTTCCCCCATCTACGTTCATCTTCTGCACGGGCTAATTTTATTAAAGTTCCTCAAAGAGAGAATTGTAAATTCATTAGCACGCATGTTAGACCAGACCTTCCTTTACGCCGGGTAGAAAAAGATTAGGAGTCAGCTGAGCCCGATGATAATGAAACAGAAGATGCTAAAACATCATTCTTAATTAAACTGTAATGAGATAAGAAGTTGTCGCCGGCTTGTGGGCCTGGCTTGAGTCGCTCATGTTCCCATCGTAAATCTATGATTTATGGTTCTCCTCCCTCACAGATGTAATTAGTTTTTTCCCCCTCTAAACAAAAAATCCTAAACACTACTTCGATTATATATATGTATAAAAAGCCTGGACCACAATTGGAGGTTGTTTTTATCTAGCTGGAATAATAACTTCAATTAGGAAAAAAAATAAATGCTGGAGGTTGAAAGAGGGAGAATTCAAGAGGAGGAGATGAAGGAAAGTTGGGGGGAAGTGCCCAGTTCCGTCCTGGCCCAGACTCTTGGACTCTGCCCAGGTGGTGCTTCTGCCAGGATAGCCCTTGGTCATTTTAGGGATCTGCGGACATTTTTCACTGTGGAAACCTTCCCCAGATCCCTGTGTCTCCCTGAGCCTCATAGCTGGTTTGTGGCAGGTTTTGTATCATGGTAGATCTCGCAGCTGCATGCTTCAAGAATATTTGGGGTCTAGGCTGGGTATGGTGGCTCACGCCTGTTATTCCAACACTTTGAGAGGCCAGAGCAGGAAATTTGCTTAAGGCCATGGGTTCGAGACCAGCCTGGTTAACATAGCGAGACCTCCATCTTTTAAAAAAAAAAAAAAAAAAAAAAGGCCAGGCGCGGTGGCTCACGCCTGTAATCCCAGCACTTTGGGAGGCCGAGGCGGGTGGATCACGAGGTCAGGAGATCGAGACCATCCTGGCTAACACGGTGAAACCCCGTCTCTACTAAAAATACCAAAAATTAGCCAGGCATGGTGGCGGGCGCCTGCAGTCCCAGCTACTCAGGAGGCTGAGGCAGGAGAATGGCGTGAACCCGGGGGGTGGAGCCTGCAGTGAGCCGAGATCGCGCCACTGCACTCCAGCCTGGGCGACAGAGTGAAACTCCGTCTCAAAAAAAAAAAAAAAAAAAACAGCCAGTTGTGGTGGTGCATGCCTGCAGCCCCAGCTACTAGGGAGGCTGAGCTGGCAGAACTGCTTGAGCCTGGAAGTTCGAGGTTGCAGTGAGCTATGATTGCACCACGCACTCCAGCCTGGGCAACCGAGCAAGACCCTGTCTGCCTTCCTGTTGTCTACCTCTCTTCCCCAAGAGGAACCAGGTGCCTGACTTTGGGGACTCCACAATCTCGGGGAGGGAAGCTGATGTTCATCAGATAACCACACACCAAAATGAGAGCTATGGTAGCTGGACAGGGTGGGAGGAGAGCTTTGGACGAAGGCCCAGAGGTGGGACAGCAAGGATGGGATGATGGGAAGCTGGGGAGTGAGGAGTTGGCCTTGGGAGGTCCTGGGAGGTTTAAAAGTCTGTTTTAAATTGAGATCATTTACATAGCATAAAAATCACCGCTTTAAAGTGGACAATTCAGTGTTGTTTTAGCACAAAGCGTGCAACCATCACACTATGTAATTCCACAACGTTCCAGCACCCCAAAAAGAAGCCCTGGCTGGGCGCGGTGGCTCACACCTGTAATCCCAGCACTTTGGGAGGCTGAGGCGGGTGGATCACCTGAGGTAAGGAGTTCCAGACCAGCCTGGCCCACATAGTAAAAGCCCATCTCTACTAAAGATACAAAAAATTAGCTGGGCGTGGTGGAGGGTGCCTGTAATCCCAGCTACTCGGGAGGCTGAGGCAGGAGAATGGCTTGAACTCAGGAGGTGGAGGTTGCAGTGAGCCAAGATTGCACTATTGCACTCCAGTCTGGGTGACAGGCTGAGACTCCGTCTCAAAAAAAAAAAAGCCCATCCCTATCAACAGTCACTCTCCCTCCCCTCCCCAACCCTGTGGTCAGCCACAAATCCCCTTCCTGTCTCTGTGGATTGGCCTGTCCCGGACATTTCATGGAAGTGAGATCATACACTGTGTGGCCTTTTGTGTCTGGCGCCACTCACTGAGTCTGAGGTCCTCAAGGTGCATCTGTGCTGTTTCCTGTGTCAGAGCCTCATTCCTTTTCATGGCTGAATAATATTCCATTTTACAGATAGACCCTGTTTTCTTTACCTATTCTTGTGTTGGATGTTCGGATTGGTTTCACATCGTGGCTGTTAAAAATCACACTGCTATAAACATTCAAGTAGAAATTTTGGTGCCAACATGGCCAGGCGTGGTGACTCACTTCTGTAATCCCAGCACTTTGGGAGGCCGAGGCAGGTGGATCACTTGAGGTCAGGAGTTTGAGACCAGCCTGGCCAACATGGTGAAACCTCATCTCTACTAAATACAAAAAAAAAAATTAGCCAGGCATGGTGGCAGGTGCCTGTAATCCCAGCTACTTGGGAGGCTGAGGCAGGAGAATTGCTTGAACCCGGGAGGCGGAGGTTGCAGTGAGCTGAGATCACGCCACTGCACTCCAGCCTGGGTGACAGAGCGAGATTCCACATTCTACCACAGTGTAGCCGCATCATTTTACCTCCCGCCGGCTGTGGACAAGGACTCCCGTATCTGCACACCCTTACCAGCGCTTGTGAGTGCACGTTTTTCTGTCTGTGTTTGCTTTTCGCTTGGATTCTAGCTCTCACAGTGGGTGGGAAGTGTGGGGTCGTGCAATAGCTGGTTCACCGAAAGGGATCGCGCTTGCGGGCGGCTCAAACTGGAGTGATGGTGCCAGGGAGGCCCGGGGACAGGATGCAATTTGCAATTCCCCGTAGCTCTCTGTCATCCTCCTGCCCAGGGTCCTATTTGAGGGCTCCCACAGTGGGAGTGTTTCAGGAATGGGGTTCCGATCCAGACCCTGAGAGAGAGGGTTCTTGGATCTCACACAGGAAAGAAGTCAGGGCAATTCCATAAAGTGAAAGCAAGTTTATTAAGAATTTAAAGGAGGCTGGGCGCAGTGGCTCATGCCTGTAATTCCAGCACTTTGGGAGGCCGAGGCGGGCGGATCACCTGAGGTCAGGAGTTCGAGACCAGCCTGGCCAACATGGCGAAACCCCTTTTCTACTAAAAATACGAAAATTAGCCGGGCATGTTGGCACTCGTCTGTAATCCCGGCTACTCAGGAGGCTGAGGTGGGAGAATCGCTTAAACCCAGGAGGCAGAGCTGATAGTGAGCCGAGATCGTGCCACTGCACTCCAACCTGGGCGACAGACTGAGACTGTGTCTCAAAAGACAGTAAAGGAATGAAGAATGGCTACTCCATAGACAGAGCAGCCCTGAGGGCTGCTGATTGCCCATTTTTAGGTTTTTTCTTGATGATATGCTAAACAAGGGGTGGATTATTCATGCCTCCCCTTTTTAGACCATGTGGGTAACTTCCTGGCGTTGCCATGGCATCTGTAAACTGTCATGGTGCTGGAGGGAGTGTAGCAGTGAGGACACCCAGAGGTCACTCTCGTGGCCATCTTGGTTTTGGTGGGATTTGACCAGCTTCTTTACTGCCACCTGTTTTATCAGCAAGGTCTTAGTGACCTGTATCTTATGCCAACCTCTTATCTCAATCTGTAAGTTAGAACATCCAACCTTTGGCTGGGTGCAGTGGCTGATGCCTGTAATCCCAGCCCTTTGGGGGGCCGAAGCGGGCGGATCACCTGAGGTCAGGAGTTCGAGACCAGCCTGACCAACATGGAAAAACCTCGTCTCTACTGAAAATACAAAACATTAGCTTGGCATGGTGGCACATGCCTGTAATCCCAGATACTCAGGAGGCTGAGGCAGGACAATCGCTTGAACCTGGGAGGTGGAGGTTGCAGTGAGCCGAGATGGCGCCATTGCACTCCAGCCTGGGCGACAAGAGTGAAACTCTATCTCAAAAAAAAAAAAGAATGTCTAACCGTCTGGGAATGTCACCCAGTGGGTCTCAGCCTCATTTTACCCAACTCCTATTCAAGATGGAGCTGCTCTGGTTCACACGCCTCTGACAGGAGGGAGGAGGGGGTTAAGCCGGCCCAGACATCTCAGAGCTGGGAAACTTCAGCTGGGCCCCCAAACACAGCGAGGCTGCCTATTCAGGGGAGCCATTCAGCCGTTGCCCTGTTTGAAAAGGCCAAGCCTCTGTGTGCAAAGCCTCAAGGCAAAGTGGCTTCGTGCCTTCCTTTGTGAGGTCCAGCTGCTGGCTCTTTGTCTGGGGGGCTGTGGGGGTGGGGGCAGGCCTGCCCTGGCCTCTCCTGAAACCCTCCCAGCTGCAGCCACCCCTTTGTCTGCCCTGATTGAAATGCGAAGAGAAAATTAGAATTCCCTGGCCTTCTCTCCTCCTCTTTCTTCTGGATTTTAATGAATTCAGCCCTTACAGGCTGCGCAGGTGAAGAAAATGGCTTTGGAGACTTTTTTGTTGTTGTTGAATTATTTTCATTTCCAGGACGATGTTCGCGTTCAACTTCATTCCGCAGAAGGTTCCCCTAAAGTGGTCTGGGCTGCTGCTTCCTGATTTCTGGCTGGTCGGCCAGAGTTCCAATCAGACTTTTTGTTTTGAATCCACAAAGAGACTTTCTAGAGCTTTATCTGATCTGTTCTAGGAGGCAGATAACCATAAATAAAATTAAATATGAAAGAAACAAAATTATGGTAATAAAAGTTTGCCTGCCCAAGGACTTGAACTTTAAGCCAATTGTCCTAATCACAGTGGTTTATGACTGTCATCCCAGCCCTTTGGGAGGCTGAGGCAGGAGGATCACTTGAGCCCAGGAGATGGAGGCTGCAGTGAGGCGTGTTTGTGCCACTGTACTCCAGCCTGGGAAACAGAGTGAGATTCTGTCTCTAAAATAAGTTTTTTTTTTTTTTTTTTTTTTTTTTTTTTGAGACGGAGTTTCGCTCTTGTCACCCCGGCTGGAGTGCAATGGCACGATCTCAGCTCACTGCAATCTCCACCTCCCGGGTTCAAGCGATTCTCCTGCCTCAGCCTCCCAAGTAGCTGGGATTACAGGCACCCACCATCATGCCTGGCTAATTTTTGTATTTTTAGTACAGACAGGGTTTCACCATGTTGGCCAGGCTGGTCTTGAACTCCTGACCTCAGTTGATCTGCCTGCCTCGGCTTCCCAAAGTGCTGGGATTATAGGCGTAAGCCACCACGCCCGGGCTTTAAAATAAGTTTTAAAAATATAAACCGTTGGCCGAGCATGGTGGCTCATGCCTGTAATCTCAGCACTTTGGAAGGGCCGAGGCAGGAATATTGCTTGAGCCCAGGAGTTTGAGACCAGCCTGGGCAACACAGCAAGACCGCGTCTCTTTAAAAAAAAAATAAAATAAAAATTATATAAACTAACCTTCAGAGGAGATGGCGCCTTATCAACCTGTCTGGGCTTCCCACCACATTAATAAAACTGGGGTGGATGGTGGGACCAGTGAGTTTGTAGCCATCTACACTGTCTTCAAATGGCACACTCTTGTCGCTGGTCCTCATGTGAGCTGTGGCTTCCTCTAGACACAGCCTTGCCCTGCACTCCCCCTCCCCTAGGAAGATCTTGGAATCTTATTCACTGTGCACCTTGAGAAAGCCGTTCCTGATGCCCTCCCACCGATGTACCCACAACCACTCATGCCCCACCTGGTAGAGCTCTTGGCACCAAGAATTGAAATTGCTGAAATTGTCTTCCCTGAGTCTCACTCAGCAACAAAACCCATGTAAGCAGGAAGTATGTCTGGTTCACTTTTTTTTTTTCCAAGACAAGGTCTCACTCTGTTGCCCAGTCTGGAGTGCAGTGGCACAATCTTGGCTCACTGCAGCCTCTGCCTCCTGGGTTCAAGTGATTCTCCTGCTTCAGCCTCCCGAGTAGCTGGGACTACAGGCGCCTGGCCTCATGCCTGGCTAATTTTTGTATTTTTTAGTAGAGACGGGGTTTCACCATGTTGGCCAGGGTGGCCTCAAACTACTGACCTCAGGTGATCCACCCACCTCGGCCTCCCAAACTGCTCAGATTATAGGCGTGAGCCACTGTGCCTAGCCTCTTGTTCACTATTGAATTTCCATGGCCTTGTGGCTTGTTGAGGGTAGGGAAGACTCTAGGGCCAGGAGGTCCAGGTTCACATCCTGGCTCTGCTATTTCCTGGCTGTGTGACCTTGGGCAAGTTATTTAACCTCTCTGTGCCAGTTTACTAATCTACAAAATGGGGATGATATTATATCAGAGGGCTGTGAAGTACTACGGGCAGTCACTCAATAAATGGAAGCTGTTTCTCATAAGATAGTGGCAGGACCCCGGGAAACAGCATAGTTAGCAAGATATAGCTCTGTCTCAGTCTTTCGTTTGTTTTTTGGGACCCAGGCTGGAGTGCAGTGGTGCAGTCATAGCTCACTGCAGCCTCGACCTCCTGGGCTCAGGAGATTCTCCTACTTCCCCGAATAGCTGGGACCACAGGCACATGCCACCACACCTGGCTAATTTTTTTACAGAGACAGGGTCTTGCTATGTTGCCCAGGCTGGTCTCCAACTCCTGGGCTCAAGTGATCCTCCCACCTTGGCCTCCCAAAGTGCTGGGATTCCAGGCATGAGCCACCATGTCTGGCCTCTGTCTCATTCTTGTGGCTGCTTCTCTCTGCCTGTGGTAAGCTGAGTCTATAACAGCAGAGATGGATGGAAGCATGTTCCTTTATGTTTTGTTTTATTTTTATTTCTTTATTTTTTTGAGATGGAGTCTTGTTCTGTCGTCAGGTTGGAGTGCGGTGGCACTATCTCGGCTCACTGCAATCTCCACCTCCTGGGTTCAAGTGATTCCCCTGCCTCAGCCTCCCAAGTAGCTGGGATTACAGGTGTGCACCACCATGCCTGGCTAATTTTTGTATTTTTAGAAAGGAGGTTTTGCCATGTTGGCCAGGCTGGTCTCTAGCTCCTGACCTCAAGTGATCTGCCTGTCTTGGCCTCCCAAAGTGCTGGGATTACAGGCCTGAGCCACTGTGCCTGGCTATGCTCCTTTATTTATTTATTTTTTTTCCGAGATGGAGTGCAGAGGCGTAATCTCAGCTCACTGCAACTTCCGTCTCCTGGGTTCAAGTGATTCTCCTGTCTCAGCCTCCCGAGTAGCTGGGATTATAGGCATCTGCCACCACGCCTGGCTGATTTTTATATTCTTAGTAGAGACGGGGTTTCACCGCGTTGGCCAGGCTGGCCTCGAACTCTTGACCTCGTGATCCGCCTGCCTCGGCCTCTCAAAGTGTTGGGATTACAGGCATGAGCCACAGCACCTGGCCCTGTTCCTTTATTTTTTAAATTTGTTTTTAATGACACAATTACGATATAAAAGCATTTTTCATAATAGAAATGGTGCCGTAAAAACTAAAGTTTCGTTCACTCCTCTTTAATCCTATGCTCACTGTGGCCCTCTGTGCTAATTTTATTTTATTCATTTTTTAAGAGACAGGGTTTCGCTATGTTGCTCAGGCTGTCCTTGAACTCCTGGGCTCAAGCGATCCTCTTGCCTCAGCCTCTCGAGTAGCTGGGACCACAAGTGTGCCCCACCAAACCTGGCTAATTTTTAGATTTTTTGTAGAGATGGGGTCTCCCCATGTTTCCCCAGGCCGATCTGAAACTCCTGGGCTCAAGCGATACTCCCACCTCGGCCTCCCAAAGTACTAGGATTGCAGGCGTGAGCCACTACGCCCTGCCCCTTGCCTCAGTATTGAATTTAGTGGCCATGGTCTGAGTAAATCCAGCCCACCACTGGTTTTGTAAATAAAGTATTATTGAAACACAGCCATGCCCATTCACTTTGTCTATGGCTTTTATACTTTACTGGCACAGGTGACCAGATGCAACAGAGACTTTTTGGCCTGCAGAGCTTAAAACATTTACCATCTGGTTCTTTACAGAAAAAGTTTGCCAACTTCTGTTCAAAAGCTTCAGCATTATCAAGTTAATGTCTCAAGTTGAGAAAATTCATTTCCTAGTTTGCTGAGTGTTTATTTTAAACATGCTTTAAAAAAAAATCAAATGCTGGGCTGGCACGGCGGTTCATGCCTGTAATCCCAGCACTTTTGGAGGCCGAGGCAGGAGGATCATTTGAGGCCAGGAGTTCGAGACCAGTCTGCCCAACATGGTGAAACCCTGTCTCTACTAAAAATAAAAAAGTTAGCCAGGCATGTTGGCAGGCACCTTATAATCCCAGCTGCTCGGGAGGCTGAGGCAGGAGAATCTCTCGAATCTGGGAGCTGGAGGTTGCAGTGAGCTGAGATCACGCCACTGTACTCCAGCCTGGGGGACAGAGTGAAACTCTGTCTCAAAATAAATAAATAAATAAAAAGAAATGTTGCCCCAAAGCATTTTAAAAATTGATTTATGGTATTTTTATTATGGAAAAATATTTCCACATATTTGTTATAATTTGTTACATTTTTATTATTTATTTTAATAAGTGATATAATGGGCTTGGCATGGTGGCTCACATCTGTAATCCCAGCACTCTGGGAGGCCGAGGCAGGGGGATCACTTGAGGTCAGGAGTTCAAGACCAGCATGGTAAATGTGGTGAAACCCCGTCTCTACTAAACATACAAAAATTAGCTGGGCGTGGTGGTGGGCGCCTGTAGTCCCAGCTACTTGGGAGGCCGAAGCGGGAGAATTGCTTGAACCCAGGAGGTGGAGGTTGCAGTGAGCCGAGATTGCGCCTCTGCATCCAGCCTGGGCGACAGAGCGAGACTCCATCTGGGGGAAAAAAAAAAAAAAAAAAGATAAAATGAACACCATATACTTAACACCCAACCAAAAAAATCAAACACTACACTTTTTTTTTTTTTTTTTTGAGCGGAGCCTCACTCTGTCACCCAGGCTGGAGTGCAGTGGCACAATCTTGGCTCACTCACTGCAAGCTCCGCCTCCTGGGTTCACGCCATTCTCCTGCCTCAGCCTCCCTAGTAGCTGGGACTACAGGCGCCTGCCACCATGCCCGCCAAATTTTTTTGTATTTTTAGTAGAGACAGGGTTTCACTGTGTTAGCCAGGATGGTCTTGATCTCCTGACTTCGTGATCTGCCGGCCTCGGCCTCCCAAAGTGCGGGGATTACAGGCGTGAGCCACCGCATCCAGCCAACAATACACATTTTATTGCATTTACCTATGTACCGTTTGCTGAATACATTCTCCTTCCTCCTGCACAGAAGGAACAATTACCCTGAATTTGTTTAAAGGTGAGCTTTTCTCTTTTTTTTTTTTTTTTTGTTTTTTGTTTTTTGTTTTTTGGACACAGCATCTTGCATTGTCTCCCAGGCTGGAGTGCAGCAGCGTGATCTCAGCTCACTGCAACCTCTGCCTCCTCAGTTCAATCGATTCTTGTGTCTCCCAAGTAGCTGGGATTACAGGCATGTACCCGCACACCCAGCTAATTTTTGTATTTTTAGTAGAGATGGGTTTTTACCATGTTGCTCAGGCTGGTATTGAACTCCTGAGCTCAGGTCATCTGCCTGCCTCGGCTCACCAAAGTGCTGGGATTACAGGCGTGAGCCATCACGCCCAGCCTCCTAAGACTTTTTAGCTTTTAGATTTTACATGTATTTTGAGTTACTATTTTGAGTTATTTTCATCTATTTTGAGTTACTTTTTGTATATGGTATGAAGTATATAGTTTCATACTTCGCATATAGATACCTAGGTGGTCCAGCAACATTTGTTGAAGAAGTTATTCTTTCCTAATTAAATGGTCTTGGTACCCTTGTCAAAAATCAACTGGCCAAGACTGGGATCACACCTGCAATCCCAGCACTTTGGGAGGCCAAGGCAGGAGGATCACTTGAGGCCAGGAGTTCGAGATCAGACTTGGCAACATAGCAAGATCCTGTCTCTACAAAAAAAAATTAAAAACTAGCTGGGTGCTGCTGGGTGCGGTGGCTCATGCTTGTAATCCCAGCATTTTGGGAGGTTGAGGCAGGCAGATCATGAGGTCAGGAGTTCGAGATCAGCCTGACTAACATGGCGAAACCCCGTCTGTAGTAAAACTACAAACATTGGCCAGGTGTGGTGGTGCACAGCTGTAATCCTAGCTACTCAGGAGGCTGGAGCAGGAGAACTGCTTGAACCCAGGAGGCGGAGGTTGCAGAGAGCCCAGATCACATCCCTGCACTCCAGCCTGGGAGACAGAGTGAGACTCTGTCTCAAAAAAATAATAATAGTAAAATAATAATACAATAAATTAGCTGGGTACTAATTGGTGGTGGTGTGGTGGTGCATATAGCTACTAGGGAGGCTGATGTGGGAGGATTACCTGAGCCTAGGATTTGACGGCTGCAGTGAACTCTGATTGCACCATTACACTCCAGTCTGGGCAACAGAGTGAGACCCTCCTTTTTTTTAAAAAAAAAAGTCCATTAGCCATAGATGTGTGGGCTTATTTCTGGATTCTCAATTTTATTCCATTGATCTGTGTGTCTGTCCTTACACCAGTACCACAGTGTTTTAATCATTGTAGCTTTGTAGTCAGTTCTGAAATGGAGAAATTTGGGTTTTCTAATGGTATTTTTTTCCTGCAAAATGATTTTGACTATATGGATTCTCTTGTAATTCATTATGAATTTGTGGAGTGGCTTTTCCATTTTTGCAAAAAAGTCTTTGGGATTTTGAGGGGGATTGCATTGAATCATAGAGTACGTGAGGTAGTATTGCCATCTAGATGAGTTTTTATATCTTTGCTGCTTATAGTGTTTCCCCCTAACTAATACGTGTTTGCTTTGTCAGTTTTAAAATGTTCTGTGATGAAATTGCACTGTAACTTTTCTTCCTGAAATCTGCTTGTTTTGCTCAGAATATTTCTGAGATTTGTTCAGGTCATGGTGTATAGTTTTAATGGCCTCATATTCGTTGCTGTATAGTATTCCATCGTGTGCCTGTATCATAATTTTTTTCTTTTTCTGAGATGAAGTCTCACTCTGTTGCCCAGGCTGGAGTGCAGTGGCACGATCTCAGCTCACTGCAACCTCCACCTCCCGGGTTCAAGCAATATTCCTGCCTCAACTTCCTGAGTAGCTGGCTTCACAGGCATCTGCCACCATGCCCAGCTAATTTTTTGTATTTTTGGTAGAGACGGGGTTTCATCATGTTGGCCAGGCTGGTCTCGAACTCCTGACCTCAGGTGATCCGCCCACCTGGGCCTCCCAAAGTGCTGGGATTATGGCGTGAGCCACCATGCCTGGCCTTTTTTTTTTTTTTTTTTTTTCTTGAGACAGGGTCTCACTCTGTTGCCCAGGCTGGAGTACAGTGGCACAATCTTGGCTCACTACAACATCTGCCTCCTGGGCTCAAGCAATCCTCCTACCTCAGCCTCCTGAGTAGCTGAGATTACAGGCAGATACCACCACATTCAACTAATTTTAAAACATTTTTTGTAGTGATGAGTTCTCACTATATGCCCAGGCTGCTCTCCAACTATTGGGCTCAAGTAATCCGCCAGCCTCAGCCGCCGAAAACACTGGGATTACAGGCATGAGCCACTGTGCCCAGACTTTCATAATTCTTTATACATTTTCCTGACGGCTATTTAGTTTGGTTCCAATATTTTAACGACAAATAATGCCACTCTCGACATATCTGTACATGTCCCCTTGGACATATCTGCAAGAGTCTCTGTCAGATGTATATCTAGGAATGGAATCGTTGACTGAAAAAGTTAGGTGCATCCTTAATTTACTAGATACTCTCAACTTGTCCTCCAAAAGCACCAATCTGTTCTCACTCAGAGTTTCTAAAGTCAAACTATCCTTGCATTCCATAAATCTGTCTGAGTCATAACATTGTATTCTTTTAATGAGATGTTAGATTTCCATTGCTGAAATTTTCTTGGCCTTTTTGCATCTAGGCACATAAGTGGAATGTGCTTTTTTCCTCCTTAGTTTGTCCTCGTACAGTTTAGGTACCATCTCTTTTTTCACCTCATAAGCTGACAGTTGACAAAAGGTGCAAATCATCTCTTCCTTGCGGATTTGGCAAAACTCACTTGGAAAACTATCTGGGAAGGTGCCTTGTATGGGGCATAGATCTTTACTATCACTTCACTATTTTCTTTCTCTCTCTCTCTTTTTTTTTTTTTTTTTTTTTTTGAGAAAGGTCTCTCCATCACCCAGGCTAGAGTACAGTGGAATGATCACAGTTCACTGCAGCCTTGATTTCCTGGGCTCAGGTGATTTTTCCACTTCAGCCTGCAGAGTAGCTGGGACTACAGGTGTGTGCTACCATGCCTGGCTAATTTTTTGTATTTTTGGTAGAGATGGAGCTTTGCCATGTTGCCCAGGCTGATCTTGAACTCCTGGGCTCAAGTGATCCGCCCACCTCAGCCCCCAAAGTGCTGGGATTACAGGCATGCACCACCACACCCTGCTAATGTTTGTATTTTTGGTAGAGATGGGATTTCACAATGTTGGCCAGGCTGGTCTTGAACCCCTGACCTCAGGTGATCCACCTGCCCCAACCTCCCAAAGTGCTTGGATTATAGGTGTGAGCCACTGCACCCAGCTTCCCCATCTTTTTCTCTCTTCACTGTCTGTTCTTACAACTATCCTATGGAGGGAGAGAAGGGGATTTTTTGCATACCAGTTCTGCTACCGGTAGCCTCCACTGCCCCTGTCTGTTTCCTCCTTGGCTCTCCCAATACTCATCTTACCAAAAAAAAGAAAAAAAAAAGGTTTCATCTCTAAAGTGTTCTATCCCCACTTTTCTGATATTATTTGTACTTTCTCTTTTTTATTATCTTTGCCTAAGGTTTTTGGAGTTTTCAAAGAAAAGGTTTTTGATCTTGTCAATGCAAAAGAGCCATATCAAAATGCCCAATTAAGAGTTATTTCCAGGCTGGGTGCAGGGGCGCACGCCTGTAATCCCAGCACTTTGGGAGGCCAAGGCGGGTGGATTACCTGAGGTCAGGAGTTCACCACCAGTCTGACTAACATGGTGAAACCCCATCTCTACTAAATACAAAAAAAATAGCCGGGCATGGTGATGGGTGCCTGTAATCCAAACTACCTGGGAGGCTGAGACAGGAGAATCACTCTTACCTGGCAGGTAGAGGTTGCAGTGAGCCGAGATCCACCATTGCACCCCAGCCTGGGCAACAAGAGTGAAACTCTTGTCTCAAAAAAAAAAAAAAAAAAAAGTTATTTCCATCTTTATCTTCATTTTTTTTTATTTGGGGTTTTTTTTTCTATTTGAGTTTATTTTCTAGTGATTTGATTGAAAACTTGGTTCATGAACTTTTTAAAGTTGACTTATTTTCAAAATTTCTTTTCTTATAAGTGTGTTAAAGAGGCCAGGCACAGTGGCTGGTGCCGGTAATCCCAGCACTTTGGGAGGCTGAGGTAGTAAGATTGTTTAAAGCCAGGAGTTCAAGACCAGCCTAAGCAACAAAGTGAGACCCTCCTACCTCAAAATAAAAAAAGGGTAAATGTGTTCAAGGCTATGAATTTTTCTCTGAGCACACCATTGGCTGCATCCCGCAGGTTATGCATTTCATGATGTACTATTTGAATTGTTCAATTTGAAACACTTTGTAACTTTCACATTGATTTTTTTTTTTTCAGAGGCAGTGTTTCCCTATGTTCACCCCAAAGTGCTGGGATGATAGGCATGAGTCACTGCGCCCGGATTACATTGATTTAACACATACCTTATTTAGAAATGTGTTTTAAGGCTGGGCACGGTGGCTAACACCTGTAATTCCAACACTTCGGTGGGAGGCCGAGGTGGGCGAATTACTTGAGGTCAGGAGTCTGAGACCAGCCTGGCCAACATGGTGAAACCCTGTAACCCTGTCTCTACTAAAAATACAAAAAAAAAAAAAAATTAGCTGGGTGTGGTGGTGGGCGCCTGTAGTGCTACATACTCAGGAGGCTGAGGCAGGAGAATCGCTTGAACCTGGGAGATGGAGGTTGCAGTGAGCTGAGATTCAGCCACTCCAGCCTGGGCAACAGAGCGAGACTCTGTCCCCCACCCACCTCCCCGCCAAAAAAAGTATTTTAAAATTTCCCTCCCCCTTCCAGGGGAGGCTAATTACTCTTCAGAGCCAAGATCAGGATACCTCATCTAATATTTGTTTCTTGGAATTTGTGAAGATCTCTGTTAATATTTTTTGTTTGTTTTTTTGAGATGAAGTCTTGCTCTGTCACCTGGGCTGGGGTGTAGAGGCGCGATCTCAGCTCACCGCAACCTCCTTCCTCCTGGGTTCAAGCGATTCTCCTGCCTCAGCCCACTGAGTAGCTGGGATTACAAGCGTGTGCCACCATACCCAGCTAATGTTTTTTATTTTTAGTAGAGACGGGGGGTTTCACCATGTTGGCCAAGCTGGTCTTGAACTCCTGACTTCAGGTAATCCTCCTGCCTCGGCCTCCCAAAGTGCTAAGATTACAGGCGTGAGCCACTGCACCCAGCCGATCTCTGTTAATTTTCACAAATGTTCCATGTGCGTTTGAGAATGTTAGAGTAGGAGGGGATAATAGGGTTTGTTAAATATTTTTGGCCAAGCTTATTAATGATGTTAGTCACATCTGTATTTTTTTGACTACCTGATCTGTTGCTTCTTTTTTTTTTTTTTTTTTTTTTTTTTTGAGACGGAGTCTTGCTCTGTCACCCAGGCTGGAGTACAGTGGTATGGTCTTGGCTCACTGCAACCTCTGCCTCCCAGGTTCAAGGGATTCTCCTGCCTCAGCCTCCCAAGTAGCTGAGAATACAGGCTCCTGCCACCATGCCCGGCTAGTTTTTTGTACTTTTAGTAGAGACGGTGTTTCACCATGTTGGCCAGGATGGTCTCCATCTCCTGACCTCGTGATCTGCCCGCCTCAGCCTCCCAAAGTGCTGGGATTATAGGCGTGAGCCACTGCGCCCGGCCTTGATCTGTTGGTTTCTAAGAGACATAGTCCTATTCTTCCCTGAGCTGGGTCCCTGGTGTCACTAAGATCACCCCTTCTCATTCCTGGAACTTCCCTGAGGTCATAGGGGGCTCTTTCATCCTATCTCTGGCTCCTGTGGGTGGCTTCTATGCCCAAGCAAGAAGTGACTCAGGCAAGGGTATAGATACAAAATGGCTCACTCTCCATCCCCAGGGATGTGATTCTGGCTCAGTGCATGGATCTGCTCATTGAGTGGCCTAGGGGTGGAGCAGAGTGTCCCCAACCTGTTGCTTCCCTCCACGGACTCAGTTCTTCCCCAGGGCACTTCGAGAAGGCAGCACCGTGTGATGCTCAGGGCTGCGGGTGAGATGGGCTGGGGTACGAATCCCAGCTCCACCTCAAACTCATTGTGTGCCCCTCCCTGAGCCTCAGTTTCCTAATATGTAAATGGGGATTTTTTTTTTTTTTTTTTTTTTTTTGGAGATGGGAGTCTCATTCTGTCGCCCAGGCTGGAGTGCAATGGCATGATCTCAGCTCACTGCAACCTCCGCCTCCTGGGTTCAAGTGATTCTCCTGCTCCAGCCTCCTGAGTAGCTGAGATTACAGGCAGGTGCCACCATGCTTGGCTAATTTTTGTGTTTTTAGCAGAGACAGGGTTTTGCCATGTCGGCTAGGCTGGTCTCGAACTCCCGATCTCAGGTGATCCATCTGCCTCGGCCTCCCAACGTGTTGGGATTACAGGCGTGAGCCACCGCGCCTGGCCAAGGGGCTGGTAACTTCTATCTCAGAGTGTCTGGCCCATGGTGAATTCTCAGTCATGGTCACTTATTAGAATGAGAACACGAGGCAGCCCCTACAGGACCAGGGCTTGGGTTCAAATCTTGGCCTGGCCACTTCATCGGTGTTTTGAGTTTTTTTTTTTTTTTTTTTTTTGAGACAGTCTTACTCTGTCACCCAGGTTGGAGTGCAATGGCATGATCTCAGCTCACTGCAACCTCTAACTCCTGGGTTCAAGCGATTCTCCTGCCTCAGCCTCCTGAGTAACTGGGATTACAGGCGCCCGCCACTGCGCCTGGCTAATTTTTGTATTTTTAGTAGAGTTGAGTTTCACCATGTTGGCCAGGCTGGGTTTCACCATGTTGGCCAGGCTGGTCTCAAACTCCTGACCTTGTGATCCACCCGCCTCAGCGGTGTGTGGTCTTGGACAAGCACCACCACCTCTCTGGGCCAACTCCTCCTCTGACTGTTCACACAAGGAAACGAGATCAGCTCTCCAGGACCCCACCGACCTCCACCCCAGGGATGAAACTGGACAGGCAGGGGCGCAACAAAGACTCCACAATGGGCCGGGGTCAGACGATCTTCCTTTAATACAAAGTCGATATATCTACATACACGGGGGTGGGAAAACCACCCGGCTGCTTCCGCTGGAATAAACAGTGTTGAAAGTAACCGCAGACCTGCCCTTGTACAAAGAGGAACAACTCGCTTGCTCAGGGTAGGCGGGTAGAGGGGGGCCTGTCCTTCTGGTTTTGCTCCCAAACTGCCCCACAGTCCCAGGGGGAAAGGGTCCCTGATGTGGGGCAGCACAGCCATACAGCCACTGTCCCCGAAGAAGTAGGATCCTCTCTGTCTCCTTGGGGGCGGGAGACGGGGAGACAGCTCAGGCTCTCAGAGGAGGACCACTGTCATCTCTCTCCTCTTACAGCAGCGTCCCCCTCAACCGCACCCAACGCCACTGGGTCCGAGCTCCCCCATGACCTTACCCTCAGAACTGTATTTGATATGTCTGAAAATTTAATTTATAAAAATGAAACAAAAAGGGGGAAAAAAAAAGCCAAGAAAGAAAAAAGGACATCCCATTCTTCTGTGAGCAAAGCACACTTTCTGATGGTAGGAAAAATTAAAAAAAAAAAAAAAAAAAAAAAAGCCAAGGTACAGCCATGGGCCTGGCGTGCGCGTTTGCGAACGTAACTATCACACAAGGACGCTTTCTACAGTGAAAAAATAGACTGTCTTTGAACAGAATATGAATAAGCCAAAGTTAGTTCTCTTTGAAAGTCATTGACTGGCGAGTCTTTTGTTTGTTTCTCTTAAAAAAAAAAATGGAAAAAAAAATACACTATTTAAAAAAAATGAAATGTCACGGGATACAGTTACACTGAGAGTTTTAAAAGAAAGCTGGATTCTGGTCCCAGCCCAGTGTCCCCAGGCTGCAGAGCGGGGAGGAGCCCCCCGGGTCCCCCTACCACCGCTGGGGGAGGACGAGGGGTCCGTCTATGGTCTGTGCCCCACCCTCCTCTGGTTCTGGGGAGCACTCCTATTTGCTCACCATCCCCCCACCCCCCACCCCGGAATCTGGTTTTGGAATTGGAAGGAAAGGAGGAATGTGCCAAGTATTTGAAGGCGGCGGCCGGTGCCAGGGAGGTCGCTGGGGCGGCCGGGGCCGGTGGGGGGGCTCGAGGGGCTGCGTCGTCCTCGGAAATGGTGCAGAAACACAGCTGCTGCCGCTGCCACCTCCTGCCCTGCCCACTGGGGGTCCAGGCCTCAGGAGGTCCGCCCGGGAGGGGCAGAGGCATCCGGGGCCAGTGGTGTCGGGCCTGGGGGGAACCATGGCTTTAGGTTGCATAGTGGTCAAAGCTTCCGAGGTACTCCAGTGCCGCCTGGTAACAGAACTGGTACTCATCCTGGGGGAGCAGAGGTGACCTGTTAGTACCTCCGCTGCTCTAACGCCTCCCAGGGCTCCCTATCGCCCTCAGGAGCAGGCCAAGCTCCTCAGCCTTGTGCGTGTCTCTTGCAGAAGGTCTCTTTGGCCCCCACGGCCCTCCCACAATGAAGTGAGCTATGCCACACCTCTCTGCCTAACACAGCCAGGCTCTTCACCCGGAACGCCCTCTCCTCCCGTCTGCCTGGAGGCCCTATTCATCTTTTCTTTTTTATTTATTTTGAGACGGAGTCTCGCTGTGTTGCCCAGGCTGGAGTGCAGTGGCGCCATCTTGGCTCCCTGCAACCTCTGTCTCCTGGGTTCAAGTGATTCTCCTGCCTGAGCCTCCCAAGTAGCTGGGATGACAGGCGTGTACCACCATGCCCAGCTGATTTTTGTATTTTTAGTAGAGACAGGGTTTCGCCATGTTGGCCAGGCTGGTCTCAAACTCCTGACCTCGGGTGATCTGCCTGCCTTGGCCTCCCAAAGTGCTGGGATTACAGGCATAAGCCACCACACCCAGCCTCATTTCTATTTTTTTTGTAGAGATGGGGTCTTTCTGTGTTGCCCAGGATGGGCTCAAGCGATCCTCCCACCTCAGCCTCCCAAAGTGCTGGGATTACAGGTGTGAGCTGCCACGCCGGGTCCCCTCTACTCATCTTTTAAGACATGGCTGCTGTTCAGAACCCCCTCCACTGGAACATTCCCCTTGAAGCTAGGAGTCTGGGCCTCAGTTTCCCCATCTGTACATTGGTTGGACTTGGGGGTCAGTGGTTCTTGGCAGGGTCCAGGCTGAGCCACAGACTTGCTGTGACTTGGGGACTGCAATGAGCCCATCTCTGTCCACTCCAAGGGCCACTTCTCGCCTTTGACCTTCAGCTGACTGTTGTGTTAAAAGGGTTACTGGTCCCCTTCCAGTGCGGGAGGGGTCTGTGGACCGTCTACCCACAGTGACCCAGAGAGTCCCAGGTGGCTGTACCCATCTCACAGAGGAGGAAACTGGAGCTTAGGGGCAGTCGGGGCGTGAGGCCAGGCTGCCTCCCCTCCCTGTCCCATCTTTACCTCTGTCTGCACCATGGCCGGCCGCTGGGTTCGTAGCATCTTCACCGTCTGAAAGATGTCCACCACGCCTTCATACCGCATCCGCTCCAGCACGATGCTAAGCGTGATGAAGACGCCCGTCCTGCCCACGCCGGCACTGGTGGCAGTAAAGTGAGCACAGCCATTCAGGGGCAGGTGCTGGGGAGCCCTGATCTGACCACCCGATTCCCCGAGGACTCTAACAGCCCAGATGGGACAGCCTAAGCTTGGGGCTGTCCCCACCAGGCCTCAGTTTCCCCAGCAGGGCCAAAAGCTGGGACACTCGAGGGAGCTCACCTGCAGTGGACAGAGATGGGGCCGTCCTGGCCAAACTGCTCCTTAGTCTTATGCACTTGGCCAATGAAGTCGATGAAGCCCTCCCCCGACTTTGGCACACCCTGTTCCGGCCAGTCTGTGAACTGGAACTGCCGGACAGTCCGGGACTGGCCATCCTAGAGTGCAGAGAGCCCAATCTTGTTATCAGGTCAGCAGCGGCCATGGGGGTTTTTCTCCATCCTCCCTATCTTCACCCCCATTTTTTGTTTGTTTGTTTGTTTTTGAGATGGAGTTTCACTCTTGTCGCCCAGGTTGGAGTGCAATGGCGTGATCTCGGCTCACTGCAACCTCCACCTCCAGTGATTCAAGTAATTCTCCTGCCTCAGCCTCCCGATTAGCTGGGATTACAGGCATGAGCCACCAGGCCCGGCCCTCACCCCCATTTTGTACACTCTCTGCCATTCATTTACCCTGACAACTTACCGTCCTTCACAATCCAATGGTACTGCTTTCCATAAGAGATGCTCCAACCTCATCCTCACCACTTCTTGCCACCCAGCTGTTCCTCTCCCCACATTTCCTGTATGACATCCAGCACCTCCATCCTCCATCCTTTGCCATCCCATAGTGCAACCAGCTCTGCCCTTCCCAGCTCCTATTCACCATGATCCTCTGTCATCTTCCACTCTGTGCCATTTCGGGGCCCTACAGCACAACTCAACTCCATCACTGTCCATAGCTCATCAATGATGACTCATCTTCTACAACCCAATGGTGCCATCATCTTTCATCGTCCACCATCCAACACCATCATCTTCCACCATCCAATAACAGTGCCACTGCTACCACCCACTGCTGGTAACTCACTACCTTCTGCCGTCCCGAGTTCCACCCAACACCATCATCTTCCATCATCCACCACCATCCCCTCTTGGTAACTCATCCTTAACCATTCAGTGATGGCATCTTCCACTGACTGTCTTCATTCCCCACTACTCAACCATTCCTCTTTGCAGTCTCCTTTCCTACCACCCAGTGGTGCCATCCAACCACATCATTCTCTGCCATCTTCCATCCTTCACAACTCAATGGTGCCATTTTCCACCATCCATCACTAACAATTCATCACTCTCCACCATCCAAGGGTACCATCTTCCACTGACATTCTCCATTCCCCATCATCTGCCTTGTTCTAATCCCATCCTCCACCATCAAAATGGTGCCATCCAAAATTGTTATCCTCTGCCACCATTTGCCATCCAATGTACCATCTTTCCCTGATGTTTTACATTTTCTAAAATCTCCTTTCCCAACCCCATCTTCCTCAATCTTGTACCACCCATTGGTTTATACCATTGACTATTGTTTACTGTCCTTTCTTAGTCCTAGTATTTCCCATTGATTTTCTCCACCCCCTGCTGGCCAAACATTTGCCCTTCTCCAATTCTGTCTTCCTCCATCCATCACTGATAAAGCATCACCCTTCACTGACCCAAACTACCACATTCCACTGACATTCTCCATCCTGTTATGCGAATGTTCTTCTCTCCAATTCCAGATTCCACCCCTCCAAGGGCACCATCTTGCACTGCTCACAGCACAATGCCCGGTGATTGCTGTTCATTCAGCAGCCTTCACCATCCTTTGGCATCATCTTGGCCAACATTCCCCATCCTCTATCATCCCCTCACTGCGTTCTCTACCATCGTCGATCTTCCACCACTAACTTTGATCCTTTGTCACCCAACAGGGCCACCTTCCACTATGAGTCTTCATCTGTTGCCACCTAATACCTGGCCTTTCTCCCTCCACCTGACACTGCAGTCCTTCATTGAGCCAACACCATCCATACTCATCTCTCCTCACCCAACGGTGCCAGTCCCCACCATCTGACTCTCCTTGTCCACCGTCTACCACCCCTCACCCTCAATCCCTCAAGTCCCTTTCAGCCCTTTAACATCATCCTCCACAGGTGGCTGCTTCCAGAGGAAAGCCCCATTCACTTCCTTGAATATCATCCCCTGGGGCCATGTTCCCTAGTGAGTGGAGACACTGCAGGGTCAGCACAGAGATAAGACCCTCTCTTCCACCTATGTGGCAGTAGAAGCAAGTGGCCAACTGGTCAGCTGACACTTCTCCTGATTCCCAATGCTTATGCCTAACCCTTGGCCTTTGTATCCATCACCAACCAGGGCAGCCCTTTCCAGATCACTAAGGCTCCAGCCCCTCCCGCCAGTCTGTCTCTTCACTCACCCGGGCATCTGTGACCTTGAACTCTCGCAGGATATACTGAGGCATGTTGTATTCTGCCATCGGATCTACCACAAAGTACTGGTAGCGGGCAGAGCGCTCGGCCGGCCAGTACTGGTGACACTTCTCCTGTGGAGGAGATGGCGGCCGTGGTCAGCGCTGTCTGAGCCACAGTCTGGCCCTCGCCCTTCCCTGCTGTGGCCCCTAGCTCACCCGGCCCATCTCCCGCAGCTTGGTCAGCATCACCACGATCGTCGAATTGTTCTCCCACAGCATGCGCCAGAAGTCTTCCGTGGTCTCCGCCAGCGGCCCCTGTGTCGCGATGTAGGCCTTCTGCTGCCTGCAGGCGTTGGGGGTATGAGCCCAGGGCCGGCAGGGAGACCCGGCGTGGTACTCACCTGATGCTGCCCGGGAGGGTCAGGACCAAGCCAGTGACAGCTACACCTACCACCCCACTGCCTGCCAGGAATGGCTGCTGGGTGCACCACTTCCCCTCCTGGTGATCCCATTTTGCATGTGGGGAAACCACCAGTCTCATGACAAATTCAAATCCCTTGACAAAGCTGCGGGACTATCCACTAACCTCTCCTGATTTCTTCCCTCCATCTCCTTCAAGGGCCACTGCCCTACTTTCAGTTGCTTGCGTGGGCCAAGCTCTCAGCCCCGGGCCTTTGCACATGTGGCACCCTCTGCCAGGAACACCCTCCCCTCCTTTGCCAGGATTTCTCAATCTCAGTGCTATTGACATTTGGCGCTGGATTGTTCTCTGAGACAAGCTGTTCTGTGTACTGTAGGATGCTGAGCAGCATGCCTGGTCCCCACCCAGGCAGTACCAGTAGTACTCATGAAAATAAGAAATATCCTCAGGGTGTCAGAATTACCCCAATTGAGAACCACTGATAGAACAGATGGAATCACATTATGGACAGCAGCCATCAGTTAAACACACACCCAAAGATTCACGGACAGCAGCCATCAGTTAAATATACATCTAAAGATGTGTATTTAAACAGCTCAGGGCTACCAGTATCTCCCCAGCTCTGTCTCCCACAAGACTGGAGGCCTCTTGAGAGTAGAGATGGGCTCCTTCTGGGGCCCTGAGGTGGGAAAGGCATGGCACCTACCTGTAGCCATCAATGAAGCTGGCGTTGATGTAGTCAGAGCCCTCCACACCCCGGATGGGTTGCAGACAGACCCGTGTGCTCTCATAGGGCATGATGTTCACCAGGCGGTTCTTGAACTTGTTACAAGGCAGATTGGCACTGATGAAGCGTGACGTGTGGGCCTTGGAGTTAGCCAGCCGCTGTGGGGAGGAGGAAGCCAGAGGCCACCATCAGGATGAGGAAGGCTATGCTTTCAGCTGGAGCACCAATGGTGGATAGGTAGGTAGGGGCACCCTGCCACCACCTTCTAGTCCCCATTGCTCGAGGCGGGCCTGATTTTCGGCTCTTTGGGCCTCCTCCCCACCCCGCCCACAGCAGCCTCCACCCCGCTGGCACCTTGAACTCGAGTTCCATGCCAGTGACGTGTTCGCCAGGCTCCACCTGGGCCAGCTTCTGGATGTAGGCATAGAGGCTGCGTGCGGGCACTTCTGTGTTGCCACAGCCCACGGCCTCCAGCAGGGCCTCGTGGATGAAGCTGTACTGGTCCTCCGTCTGCACCATGTAGTTGCGCTGGGACCTCATGAGCGTCACGTGGCCATAGACATCGACTGTCTTCTCTGGCTTGATCCGCTCAAGCATGGCGTCGATGACGATAAAGCAGCCTGTGCGGCCCACACCGGCACTGCAGGGACAGCCACGTGGCGTTCAGGGGCTGCTGGGCTGCGGGGACCGGGGGGAAGCGGATGGGGCAGAGTGGGGTGGACGTACCTGCAGTGAACCACGATGGGGCCGGCATCTGGCGGGTTGCAGGTCTTGACTCTCCGCAGGAAAGCCAGGAAGGGCGTTGGGTATTCGGGCACGCCATGGTCCGGCCACGCCGTAAACTGGAACTGGCGGACCTCGCGTTTCTCACTGGAGCCATTCTGGGGACCACAAGGATGTCACCTGTCACTCCGGCTCAACCTGCCACCCATGTGCTGAAGATGCCCAAGTGGCCGGGTGTGGTGGCTCATGCCTGTTATCCCAGCACTTTGGGAGGCCGAGGTGGGCGGATCACCTGAGGTCAGGAGTTCGAGACCAGCCTGACCAACATGGAGAAACCTCGTCTCAACTAAAAATACAAAATTAGCTAGGCATGGTGGTGCATGCCTGTAATCTCAGCTACTTGGGAGGCTGAGGCAGGAGAATTGCTTGAACCTGGGAGGTGGAGATTGCAGTGAGCTGAGATGGCGCCACTGTACTCCAGCCTGGGTGACAGAGTGAAACTCCATCTCAAAAAAAAAAACACCCATGTCTGCGCCTCCCAGTCACCATGTCCCCAAGTGCCTGACTTGGGCTCTAGCTGGCCCTGGACGGTTTCCAAGTAGAGTCTTGCGGACGCCTCACACACAACGTGGCCAACTGTATCTGGCCTTCTCCCCAAACCTGCTCCCCCGTCTTAGCTGAAGGTGGCTCCAACCTTCTGGGCACTCTGGCCACAGCTTGGGAGTCACCCTTAACTCTTCCCCTCTCACATCCAACACCTCACCCGGGACTGTCGGCTCTGCCTTCAAAGTCTATCCCAATCCACCTGCTCCATGTTCTCCATGCAGGCCAATCTGGTCTAGACCTATCACCACCCTCTTTGCCGCAGACCTTGGCTCCCACCCAAGCCCCCCAGTCTGTCCTCCCTGCAGCAGCCAGAGGGCACCTGAGTCAGATCTGGTACCTCCTCTGCCCACAGCCCTCCATGGCTCCTGCCTCCCACAGGGTCAAAGCCAAAGTCTTCCCCAAGGCCCACAGGATCCTGCATGACCAGGCACGGTCCTGCCCCAGGGCCTCTGCCCAGGCTGCACCCTCTTACCTGAAATGCTGTCCCCCCAAATCTCCCCATCATACCCTCTTCCAGGTCCCTAACACTGTTTTTCTCCTCCACTTTATTTTTCTCCTTTGACATGTAAGCTTTCTTGACATTTCATAGTTGTGGTCTGTGTCTTGTCTACTAGACTGTTAAATCCCCCAAGGGCAGAACGTTTTGTCTGTTTAGGTCCCTGTTGTGTGCTTGTGTCCAGGTTAGGGAGTGAGATATAACATATGCTTAATGTATAACATATGCTTAATGTGTGTGATTGAACCAAGAATTCTCACTCTTGTCCATGTACTCAGTTTTCTGGCACTTAGGTCAAGCAGGTGCCTGACGGTGAGATGACCTGGCTGGGTGTTGGGGATACATCACGGTGCCAGTAGCACCTCCCCTCCCCATCATGACAATAACAAATGTCTCCTGGATGGCAGAATTGTCCTAATTCAGAACCACAGATGGAGAAAAACAGATGGAACCGCACTATGGACAGCAGCCATCAGTTAAATACATATCTAAAAGATCTTCTCCATCCCAGTCCTGACTTTGCAGGGCTGCCAATATCTGTCCATCTCTGTCTGGAGACTCCTTGAAGGCAGGGCTGGGGCCCTGCTGAGGCCCCCATCATAGGCTCAAGCTGGGTGAGGCCAGAGGACAAGTGGGCAAAGAGGACCTGGGGCATGAGTAAAGGCAAGAAGAAATCAGGCTCATTGCTGAGTTGGGCTCTGCCGGCTTTGTTCTCCTGCCGTGGGTGGAAACAAGCAGTGTCCTCTCTGAGCCTCAGTTTCCCCCTCCACGGAAGTGGGTTCCATGAGAATGTAGTCAGCCTGGGTAGACACGCTCCGCTTTCTCTCTGTCCCATGGGGAGCTCCCTGGGTAGAAGCTGGGGCCCTCTGCCTCCCTTCCAACACATTCCTCCACCCTCAGCCCCCAGCCCCAGCCTGGGCCCCACCTTGTGCAGAGAGAATGTCCTGACGCAGAATGTGGCCAGCTCGATGGTATCTAGCAACGTGACCTGGATGAAGCCGTAGGTCTCCGTGCCTCTGTTGGGCCAATACTGATCACACTTGATCTGTATCGGGCAAGAGAACAGGTGTCAGCAGGGACAGGCTGACTGGCAGGGGCTTGAGGGCCGTGGGGTCCAAGGCTCACCCGTGACTTCTCCTCCAGCCGCGTCATCATGACGATGGTCGCCGACCGCTGCTCCCACACCATACGCCAGAAGTCCCCAAAGGTCTCAGGCAGCGGCCCCTGCGTGGCAATGTACGCGTTCTGACACCGGTAGCCGTCCACGTAGTTGGCATTGATGTAATCACTGCCCATGATGCCTGCAGCCAGGGCGAGAGGCCAGGGATCTGTGGGGGCTGTCTTGCTAGTTTGGCTCTGTGTGGCCAACCACTTCCTGGAAGTTCACTCTGACCGCTCCCAGATTGTCCCCAAGGTGACCATGGGACGTGTACTTCACAGTTTCTCCCCCTCAGCGCCATCACCATTTGGGGCCAGATCGCCCTCTGTGGCGGGGCCATTCTGGGCACTGCAGGGTGCTGAGCAGCATCCCTGGCCTCCGCCCACTCCACGCCAGCAACATTTCTTCCCTTCAAGTTGTGACAACCAAAGATGTCCCTGGACATTGCCAGATGTCCCCTGGGCAGCAAAACTGCTCTGATTGGTCACAACTGATGCAGAAGGACAGATGAAGCCATGTTAGAGAGAGCAGCCATCAGTTAAATACATATCTAAAGATGCCCAGTGGCCTCCAGTTGGAGCTGGACCAGGTCTATGACCAGAATCAGGCCTCAGTGGCCCAAGGGGAGACATGGGATCTAGCACTTTCCATGCAGTGGGGAAGGGCAGGTTAAGACCCGGGATCTCCGAACTACCTTCAATGGGCTGGAGGATGACACGGGAGTGGTCATAGGCGATGACGTTGGCATAGCGGTTCTTCGGCTTGTTCACTTCCAGGTTGGAATGTTCCCATGTGAACTGCTGTCCAGGGTCGATGGACTACAGAGGAAGGGGAGAGCGCGGGTGTCAGGGTAGGTGCCTGTGAGGCCGAGGTGATGAGGGTGGGAGGCGGGGGTGGGCTCACCTCATACTCCTGGGAGAGCTTGAGGCTGTCGTTGGCCTTGAGCCGCTCCGTGTGCTCCGCCATGTCTGCGATGGGAATTGGCGGGTGGCTAAGCATGCCTACAGGGTGGAGCAGACCCCGCCGGGGTTGGTCACTTGGGGGGCCAGCCGGGGACTCGGGGGAGGGGGGTGATCTACGTGTGAGTCTGCGATGGGTGAGCTGTGGTTAGAAGGGCATGGCCGGGGTGGGGCTTGGCAGGAGGGGAAGACTCAGGGTGGCTCATGAAGGGGCTGGGACCCCAGGCCTAGGGGACTCTAAAGGCAGCAGGTTTGAGGCCCTCTGCTCCGTGCAGAGGCTGACACCCCTGGAGGGGCCTGGATCACAGCATTGGCCCATCCTGTTTCCTTCCAACCAAGCTGGGGGTGCAGGGGCTGGCAGAAGGGTCACCCCAGAGGATGTCAAGCTCCCAGTGCCTCGAGCCAAGAAGCAAGTGTGTGGCACAGAAATTAAATTGCAGACGCAGCCGGCTGTGCTTTGGAAATACTGTCCTTGGGTGGGCGACTGACACCCCTTTCTGTCCCTCTGGGATCAGAGGCACGAAATCCGCTTCCAGGTAGAGGCGACAGACTAGGGAGGGGAAACAGTATGTGTGTGTGTACGTGAGAGGAGTGAGGGGTCCCCATCTGTCCCTGCGCTTGCTTGGGGCAGGAGCAGGTGCAAGAAGGCCCTGGCCTGAGAGCTCTTATCCTTTCAAGCCCCCTAGGATGGCTGCCGAAGGTGCTGGGTGTGGGCTCGGTTCTCCCTTCCCGATATCTGGGTCTGCAGAACCCTGACCTCTCCTGGGACCTGTGTACCGGATGTTCAGCTCTCAGGTGGTTTCCAGACCAGCTGGTAACATTTAATGTTCTGAGACTTCCATGTGTCCCTAGCTGTCCTGGGTGCCCCCCAAGAGCTCACATCTAAGGGGCCTGCCTGTCCTGTGGGCACGTCCTGGGTACATACGTGCCTCACCCACATCCCTGACACACACATACACACCACACACACAGCAGTCACACACAGCCACCTGAGGGCCCAATGGACCAACCCCCTGCCCTCTTCCAGGAGCCAGCACAAGACAGGTGGGCAAAGGCCGGTGATGGGTGGGCGTGTGGACAGAGACAGGAGACACGATGGAGAAACCAAAGAGGAAATGAACGGGGGCGGGGGCGAAAGGAAGCCAAAAACAGACACAAGAACTAACTTTCAAAGTGAAACCCCGGCTCCCTGAGGGGGCTCCTGAGGCCTGAATCTGCAAACAGCAAACAATAAATAAATGAAAACATGCAGGGGGTAGGGGGGGGTCCCACCTCTGCCTCCCCCACCCCTCACTGGCTGGCGGATGCAAAGGGCAGAGCAACGCGGACAACGGGGGGTATGTACAGCCACCTGGGCCCCCACCTGAGGACTCACGATAGCTGCTAACTGTGTACCCCTCTGGCTGGACACCAGTCAATCCTGGTCTTGACCCGTCACTCTGGAAGGACTCCAAAGTGCTAGGTTCTTCTGTCTACAGATCCCCTCCCCCAGACCAGCCTGGCCTTGGGTCCCCTCTGTTGAGGTCAGCAGAGGGCATTCTGAGGAAGGAGGATGCAGGATGGTGAAGGAGAAGCTGGGGGAGCAGGGAAAGGACATATGGGCCCATGCCATGAGCTTCAAGGAGGACAGCAACCATCAGTTAAATGCACATGTTGAAAATCCTTATTTGGATGGAAACACAACAGACATCAGCTAGTCCAGAGACAGAAATGAGATGGGAGCACATTAGCGGTGAATTGTGAGACTCTGCATGATCCCTTCAGGAGACTGCAGCCGTCAGTTACATGCACATTTAAAATTCTCATTTGGCTGAAAAACCAAAGCAACACGAATCAGTACAGAGGAAAGAAAGGGAAGAGAATACACGAGGGGTGATACATGAGGCCCTGCATGATCCCTTTATGAGGACAGCAGCCATCAGTTAAATACTAATGGTCAAACTCCTCATTTGGATGAAAACAGAAGTGACACAAGCCAGTCCAGAGACAAAAAAAAAGAAAGTACATCAGGAATGGCATGTGAGGCTATGCATGAGGCTTTAAGGAGGACTAAAGACATCAGTGAAATACAAATGTTTAAAATCTTCATTTGGTTGGAAAATAGAGTTGATATGAACCAGTTCAGAGATACGAAGTGGAGACCGGGTACAGTTGGAAGGACAGATGTAACTTGGCTGTGAACCCATAAGGAGAATAGCAGCCATCAGTAAAATGAAAAATTCCTTATTTGGTTAGAAGCAGCTGGCATGAGCCCATGAAGAGGGAGGAGATGGTAGAGTTTGTGAATCATACATGAAAATGATCAAGGATAAGGCCTTGATTCAGTTCTCCTGGACTGTCAGGTGACTTTAATCTACAGGGAACTATAAAGAGGCATGAACCCTGGCAGCCATGGTGGGAAGAGGTACAGGGCATTGGGCAGGTATAATTTCTGTACCTTGCTAGGGATATATCCCAAGGGAGTGTGGAAAATGGCTGAGGGCAAACCTCAACTCCCACCACCGAGGAACATTAAAACCAGAGACATAAACAGAAGAATAGCTCTTTCTGCCCAAAGAAATGAGGGGTTTATTTGTGTTTTCTCCATTTTTTAAACATCGTCTTTAGGCTCCTGAAGAGGACAGCAGCCATTGGTTAAATGTTAACTTTAAAAAAAAAAAAGCCTCACTTGGTTGTAAGCAGAACCAACCTATGAGTTCCAAGCCCAGATCCATGTAGGGTTGGAGGTATTTGGGAATCCAGAATGTGGCTGCACCAAGCATAGTTCAGAGGGGGCCAATGAGGGGCCCCCAGGGTGGCAGCTACTGCTTCTCCCCAGCTATCTCCCCTGTTGGTGGCATCCCTGGTACCAGGGATAAGTACATACCTGGAGTCTGGAAGTTAATGCGTCTCATTTCCACAGGGTCCTTGGGGTGGTGAGGGGCGAGGTCGGCATTGTTCAGGAGGCATTTGGTGCGGGGTTCTGAGTCCTTGCGTTTACTTTAGGAGAAGCAAGCGGAACAGTCCAGTTAGTAGTGGCACATGTTCATGTGTGAACACAATTCAGGCCCCAGGAATGCATGGTAAGAAAAGGACCATGGACCCGTATGACTAGGGTTTCCAGGACCAAGTACAGCTACGTGTACAAGCTGTGGGGGCAGCCGGGCATCCCCTCTCCTGTGGGCACACTATCAGCCCATTCCCTGTCCTCTTCCTCTTGCCTGAAGCCTCCACGGGGGAGGGCTGGTTCTTACCTGTCGGGTTTGCTGTTCCCGAAAGCAGACACAGGTGAGAAGGGGGAAAAAAAGAAGAAAGGTGAGGGTGTGCCGGCCATCAAGGGCTTGTTCTGTGACTCTCAGTGCCTTCCTTAACCTCTGTGAGCTTTGGTCTCCTCTGGAAAATGGTGCTCATATTTCCTGTTTGTCCCCCTGCCTATCGACACCACAAGGAGGCTTATCTCAGCCCTGGGATGTGCCCCATGGGGCCACTACAATTGCTATCCTCATTGAACTGGACACAGGCAGCCTCTACCCCAAATCTTGCTGAGTTGAAGATAGGGGTTAAGAGGAGAAGCCAAGCCACTGGCCTGCTTTGAGCCCTAGCTCTGCCATTCCCATGCTGTGTGACCTTGATCAAGTGGCTTAACCTCTCTGAACTTCGGTTTCCCCATGTGTACAACAGAGACCTTTAGTGATGATTCTCTGAGACAACTCCTCCCTCCTTTTCCAGGAAGCCCTCCCTGCTGTCAAGTCAAGTCGGGGAGGACATGGGGCTTACTTCTTGTAGAGCAGGATAGCAATGACAATGCAGATTATGAAGACCACGGCCAGCACAGGCCCGATCACCCAGATAAGCCCCTCCTCGCCATCCACGATGGGCTGGGGGTCCGGGTTATCCAGCTGGAAGGGGTCTGAGAAGGGACTGGCTGCAAAGGTCTGCAGGGAAAGGAGGGGGGTCTCCATCAGTGTCCACCCTCCTTGTAGTGGCCAGATGGGTCTTTCTCAAACATGAACCTACGTTTCTCCCCCGCTCTAGATCCTCCTATATTCCTAGAACCTTGACCCTGGTGGCCTATGTGACCTGGTCCCTGCCAATCTTTGCTCTCCCCATTCCCTTCTCTGCTCCAGCCACTCTCCTTTCTGTACCTCCAGACCTTTGCACATGCAAATCCTGGGATGCTTTTTCTTTGTTGAACTCCTACTCACCCCTCAACGCCCCAGCTCCAAGGTCTCTTCCTCTAAGAAACCTTCGTTTCAGGATCCCTCCGCTCCCAAGTCTTCCCCTCTGCCCAGCTCTGACCACAGGGAGCTGCCTGTGACTGACCACAGAGGTCAGGGCCCTGGGGAATGGGGTCTGCCTCATTCAGAGGTGTGTCTGGATGTGGGCGGACACCATTCAGGACTTACAGGCTCGCTCTTCTGAAGCACGGCAAGCACGAAGAGGACATAGCGGTGGCCGGGCTCCAGGCCCCGGTTATCGAAGCCGCCATACTGCTTCTGGTCGCCGGGATGGAACGTGGGTGGCAGCACAGAGAAGCGAGCTGCAATATAGGGCCGGGGCACCTCCAGCTGACGCGAGTGCCGCAGGCTGCGCCTCTGTAGCCGTGAGATGTCCTGGATGAGCTGCGGGAACAGAGTCATGGGTGGCTCAGAGCTCAGCTGGGAGCAACAGAGCACGTGAAAACTGGAATGCATCTGGGCCCTGCGGGTTGGGCCCCAGGCCCTCACCTCTTCCAGATCCATGTCCTCTGGGCTACCCAGCGGGGTCAGGAATTGGCCTCCACGAGACTTGCGCAGTGGCACCATCACAATGAAATAGCTCCTGTAGGGAGATGGGAAAGAGTCAGAGGGGCTGTCGATAGGGATGACCAAGGGATGCTTCATGGGGGCAAACGGGGGAAGCCGTTTCTCTGAGTCTTCCCTTCTGTTCATACAATGAGCCTATTCCCCTATGCCCCATCCACAAACGCCACAGTTGCTGACTCAGGCCTCCAGGCCTTGGATGATGCTGTACTTTCTGCGTAGAAGGCTTACTTCATGTAATGCTCATTGTTAAACTCCTATACATCCTTCAAAGCTCCAGCTTCAATGCCCACATAACCTTGTAGCCCTTAAATCTTCTCTGCCTCTGAGGCAGAGTGCTCCTCTCCCCACTGGGGACTCTCAGCTTTGCCTCCCCACTAGTTGGGAAGCCCAGAACCAAATCCTTTCAGGGGCCCTAGTAATACCCAGTGGAGGGTCAGGCATATGGGGTATCAGGAAATGCTAGAAGAGCAGACACAGGACACATTTAGTGACAATGACCCATGAGAAGCATTGAATCTTGGATGACCCCATGAACTAGGGCTGATAGGGTCTGTGTTTCATAGGCAAGGAAATTGAGGCACAGAGAGGGCACGTGGCTTGCCCCAGCCATATAGTAGGCTGATGGGGGTGACAAGGAACCCGGAGCATGGGGGTGAGCATACTGGACAGGCACGGGGCTCTGGCCGTCAGGAAGATACACCATGATGAAGCCGTCAGCATCAGGCTTGGGGGCGACGCTGGGCTTGCCGTTGAGCAGGTTGAAGGCAGTCCAGGCGGTGACCGTCTGCTGGAGGCCGCCCAGGCTGCTGCCGCGATTGGTCAGCACAAAGTTGTAGAAGGTGTGGGGCTTGAGGTGCGTGATGAGCTTCTTGGTGGTACGGCCATCCACATCCAGTGTGAGCCCATTGTACTGGATCTGCGGACCAGGGCTAGCTCAGCAGGGCCTGGTGGGCTCATGCCCATGGACTGAGCCCCAGCTCCAGGATGAGTCCCCCACCCTGACTGAGCCCTGATCCCACTGAATCCTGCCCTAGGCAGAAATCTAACACTGACTGATCCCTGATCCCAGGCTGAGTCCCCAACTCTGACTGAGCCCCAACCTCACTGAACCCTGACCCCAGACTGTGCCTAAATTCCAGCTGAGTCCTGATCCTAGGTAGAAGCCCACTTTGACTGAGCCCTGATCCCATGCTGAATTCCCAGTCCCGACTGAGCCCCAATCCCACTGAACCCTGAACCCAGACTGATCCTGAATTCCAGCTGAGCGCTGACCCTAGGTGGAAACCCACCTCTGAGACCTGATCCTAGACTGATTCCTGATCTCAGACTGAACCTCAATCCCAGGCTGACCCCCGATCCCAGACTTGGCACCAACTCCAGACTAAACTCTGACCTCAGGCTAAGTACCAACTCTGAGTCCCAATCCTGATTATGCCTCAGTCCCAGCTAAGCCATGATCTAAGGCTGAGCCCCAACTCTGATTTCCAATATGGACTAAATCTTAATCCCAGACTGAACCTCAATCCCAGCTAAGCCACAATCCAAGGCTGAGCCCAACATTGATCCCCAATATTGACTGAACCTCAGTTCCAGCTGATCTCCAATCCTAGGCTGGGCCCCAAGTCTGATTCCCAGTATTGACTAAGCCTCAATCCTAGCTGAGACCCATCTCTGACTGAGCCCTGATCCCTCACTTCACACCAACTCCAAACTGAGCCTTAAGCCCTGCTGAACTACAACCCCTGACCCTGCCTGCCTGCCTGCCTGCTGGCTGGGCAGTCGCACCTTGTAGGGTGTGGGTGAGTTGTAGTTGTCAGGGAACTCCCAGCTGAGCAGAACTGATGTCTTCATGATCATTTTCACCTTGAAGTTCTTGGGCGAGACTGCCGGGGAGGCGGCCGAGCAGGGAGAGAGCAGAAGAGAGGCCCCATGAGTGCCTGGCACTGGGTGGCGTGAAGCGGGGTGGGGTGGGGCGGCCCAGGCGCTCCCTGTCGTCCGCTGTGCCCATGCCCACGGCCTTCCTGCCTGGCCCTGGCCCGGCCCTGCCCTGTCCTGTCCCAAGTCCCTGCTTCGGGAGACGGCACGGGTGCAGAGGCTGCAGAAAGAAGGTGGAGGAGGAGGAAGAGGGGGGAGGGGAGCAAGGGGAGGGGGCAGTGGTGGGGGGCGGTGGTGCCACCGAGGCACGTCCCACCTTTGCCAACGCCGGAGCCTCGGGGTCCGGACTTGCCTTGAGTGACCACGAGGAAGCAGAAAAGTGAGCACTTACCTGGGCAGGGGAGAGGGAGGGGGCTGGGGTGGGGGTGGGCGCAAGGCCCGGTCCGGCTCTGGTGCAGGGGTCGCCGCGCGCCTACCTTGGTCCCGCAGGAACGTCCGGTAGCGGACGGGGGGGCTGAAGGGGCCAGGGCCCCGGCGCGTGTGGGCTCGCACTTGGAGGTCATAGGCCGTGTCGGGCTTCAGGCCCTGCAGCGTGAGCGCGTTCTCCGCGCCCGGCTCAGCCGCTGCCGGCAGCTCAGTCTCTCGGGCAGGGCCCAGGGCACCGGCCTCCCGCACGGCCACCGTGTATTTGACGATGGCCCCGTTGCGCTCGGCGGGCACGGGTGGCAGCCAGCGGAGAAGGACGGTCCCGGCCGAGGCGTTGCCGGCCGCCTCCAGAATCTGCGGGTGGCCACGGGGCGTGTCCTCCGGGATGCTCAGGACCTCGGCTGCCTCCTCGCCCAGGCCGCCGCGGCTCCGGGCCGCAAGCCGGAACACATACGTGGCCCCCTTGTGCACGCCTGATGCCGTGTAGCGGTCCTCGGAGGGCGGGAACTCCAGGGTGGCCAGGGGCGTCGAGTCCTCACGGCCAAACTGCAGGCGGTAGCCCAGCACCTGGTCCTCCGCGGTGCCAGCCGGGGGCTCCCAGCGTGCCAGCAGGCTGCCCTCGGGGGTCTGCTGCACCGACAGGGTTGGGCGGCCCAGCACTGCGGGGATACGGGGCAGGTGTCAGGGTCCCAGCGCCATCCGCCAGCCCAGAGGCACAAGGTGGGGTTGTATTTTTAATTCTTTTCCTTCAATATAACATTTTTTTGAGTTGGGGGGGGTCTTACTCTGTTGCCCAGCCTGGAGTGCAATGGTGAGATCACGGCTCACTGCAGCCTCGAACTCCTGGGCTCAAGTGAGCTTCCTGCCTCGGCCTCCCAAAGTGCTAGGATTATAAGGCCACTGCACCCAGCTGCGGTTGTGATTTTTTTTTTTTTTTTTTTTGAGACAGAATCTTGCTCTGTTGCCCAGGCTGAAGTGCAGTAGCCCCATCTCGGCTCACTACAAGCTCTGCCTCCCGGGTTCAAGGGATTCTCCTGCCTCAGCCTCCCGAGCAGCTGGGATTACAGGTACACACCACCACGCCTGGGTAATTTTGTATTTTTAGTAGAGATGGGGTTTCGCCATATTGGCCAGGCTGGTCTTGAACTCCTGACCTCAGGTGATCCACCCGCCTCAGCCTCCCAAAGTGCTGGGATTACAGGTGTGAGCCACCGTGCCCAGCCTGGGGTTGTGATTTTTAAAAGTGGATCTCAAGGCTGGGTGTGGTGGCTCACATCTGTAAGTAATCCCAGCACTTTGGGAGGCTGAGATGGGCAGATCATTTCAGGTCAGGAGTTCGAGACCAGCCTGGCCAACATGGTGAAACCCTGTCTCTACTAAAAATACAAAAATGAGCCGGGGGTGGTGGTGCACGCCTGTAATCCCAGCTACTCAGGAGGCTGTGGCAGGAAAATCACTTGAACCCAGGAGGCAGAGGTTGCAGGGAGCCAAGATCGTGCCACTGCACTCCAGCCCGGGCAACAGAGCAAGACTCCGTCTTAAAAATAAAAGTAGGTCTCAAGAAAGCCTCACTTAAGAAGCAAAGACTTGAAAGAAGAAAGAGAGGGAACCACGAGAAGATCTGGGGGAATCGTGCTCCAGGAAGAGGGAACGGCCCATGCAAAGGTGTAGAGCCGGCACTGGGCTAGGGGCGCATAAAGCACAGCAAGGAAGTGAGGACTCAGAGAACCCCTCCTCCTTCCATTAATAAGGCAACCATCTCCTGCCTTGTTGATTTGGCCCTTGCTCAATGCAGGCACCTGACCAATACCCATGGGACATAAAGAAATCCAAAATCCGCCCCTGCTCTTTGTTTCGCACAGCCTGGGTAGTAATCAATGTGCCGAGAGAGGTTCTGGGATCAGGCAAAGAAGGGGGAAAGCTGGGCTGTATACATGAAAATGGACTTCTCTACTGCAGGACTTATCAGGGCCTTGAATGGACTGCTATGAATACCCAGGGTGGTGGGGAGAGCAGCGTATGCAGTGGTTTCTGCTTAGCAAACACAGCTCTAATACAATGTCCCTGAGAGAGGAGGGAAGTGCCCTGCTGGCTAGAAGAAGGGAGGGAGAGATCACAGGAGGCTGCTTGGAGGAGGTGGCGTTAGAGCTGGATGCTGGAGGACGCAGACAAGGTGCGTGAAGGGAATAGTGTGGACAAGGGCAGGGGCTGTGTCCAGCTGGGAGGCCTGAAAGGTGGGGTACACAGTGGTGTGGCTACAAGGGTCCCCGAGGAGAGGGTGGGTGTGGGGACTGGGATGAAGGCCACAGAAGTCAGTCGATTGTTCCTGAAACACCCGAGCTTGTTCCGCCCACCACCACCACCACCACGCCCCACCCCCCAAGTCTTTTTCTGGGCTGTGCCCTCCGCCCGGTGTACCCTCCCCTTACATCTTCACGGCAGCCTCTTTTTCTTAATTCAGCTCCATTTTGGCTGGAAAAAAAAGCCAGCCCCTTGGGGACGATGGAAGGGACAATGGAGGGGCTAGAAGGGGAAACTGAGGCAGGGCCACCAAGAGAAAGGTGGCTTCCTGGTGCAGTAGGGGAAGACAGGTGCACCACCCTGAAATAACAACCTAGCCGGGGCGACCAGAGCCTGGATGGGGGAAGCACAGGAGACTAGGGGGCCCAGAAGGATCAAGATTATGGGATGAGGCAATCAGGGAAGGCTTTCCAGGGCCAGGTGTACCTTGAGCTGAGACCTAAAGGCAGAAGAGGAGCCAGCCAGCAGGGGAAGGGGTATCCTGGCAGAGGGAACAGCCCAAGTAAAGGTTGAGAGGGCAAAGGGGTCAGAGGTGGCTGTTAACTGTTTCTGTCTGGTGGGAGCCGGGGGGACAGGAAGTGAGTGACAAAGGAGGAGGCAGGGGCGGGGGGGGCCAAGCTGGGCCCTGGACACCCACCTGAGCAGCCCTCACACCTTTGTCTCACTGTTCCAGCTGCCTGGTGCACCCTCTGCCTGCCCTTGTGAGCTCAAGGACTCTGGAGTCACGCTCTGGTGCCAGTGGGGGCAAAGGGGCTGTTGGTGGGTGGGAGGAGGGCGGGTTGCATACCTGCTCCCTTGGTCACAACCACCTTGGGTTTGCTGCGAGCGCCATCGCCCTTCATGGTGTAGGCGGCTACCGTGATGGAGTACGCGGTCTCAGGCTGCAAGTTTGTGATGACCATCTCCTGCAGGCACGGCTGGGGGTCAGCACGACGGCTGGGGCTGGGAGCAGCCCCACCCACCCCCACTCCCCGTGCTGAGAACAAGCAAGGAGGATGCAGGGCCCGGATCAGGGGTGGAGACGTGCACATGAGCTCATGCAGAGACCACGACACGTGGCATGGCCATGCTCAGAGGGTACATGCAACAACCCAGCCGGACGAGCCCATTGTCGCTTGCCAGGACCAACTCGGTCCTCTCTGCTCCGCTCCCCTCACTCCTTGCCATCACCCCCGACAGTCTGTCCTCCCCACAGCAGCCAGAGGGCGCCTGTGAGCACTGGAGTCAGGGTCCGTCCCCGCTCTCCCCACAGCCCTCCATGGCTCCCACCTCTCTTGGGGTCAAAGCCCAAGTCTTCCCTGTGGCTCACAAAGGGCTCTCCTTGCTGTTCCTCCAATGCACCAGGCACAGCCTGCCTCAGGCCCTTTGGCACTGGCCTTCCCCCCTGTCTACACCCACTGGTGTGCTGGAGGTGCCCGGTACCAACTCATGAGAGCCGCTGGTTAAATTTTCAGGAATTTTGTGAGCCACTTATGAAACAGAGCTGTTATTAAAAATTAAACTGTACGAGGCTGGGCGCAGTGGCTGACGCCTGTAATCCCAGCACTTTGGGAGGCCAAGGCAGGAGGATCACTTAAGGTCAGGAGTTCCAGACCAGCCTGGCCAACATGGTGAAACTTCGTCTCTACTAAAAATACCAAAAAAAAAAAAAAAAAGCAAAAAAGCCAGGCGTGGTGGCACATGCCTGTAGTCCCAGCTACTGGGGTGGCTGAGGCAGGAGGATCACTTGAACCCAGGAGGCGGAGGTTGCAGTGAGCCAACATCGTGGCACTGTACTCCAGCCTGGGTGACAGAGCAAGACTGTCTCAAAAATAAATAAATAAACTGTATAAACTTACAATCAACTAAGTTATATTGAAAGCAAAGGCAATAAATACAGCAAATCTAGTTATTTCACTAGGGTTACTGTTCTCTGTGGGTATCTGTATGGTTACTGCTTTGAGATCATCTTGTCTATTGCATCTGTAGAGTAGGAATACATGATTATGGGCTACTGGGCACCTCCCCGGTAGCTTGAAATTGACATGGTGGGAAGTATTTACACCATGGAAACGGTCCAATGCTACAAAACAGGACTGCCCCCTCCTGCCCACCCAGAGAGCTGATTTTTACTCTTTTATCTTATTGAGACAGGGTCTCACCCTGTCGCCCAGGCTGGAGTGCAGGGTGTAATCATAGCTCACTGCAGCCTTGACCTCCTGAGCTCAAGTGATCCTCCCGCCTTAGCCTCCCAAGTAGCTGGGAATACAGACGTGCACCACCACATGCCTGGCTAATGATGTTTATATTTTTTGTAGAGATGGGATCTTGCCATGTTGCCCAGGCTGGTCTTAAACTTTGGGCTCAAGTGATCCGCCTGCCTCTGCCTCCCAAAGTGCTGGGATTACAGGCGTGAGCCACTGTGCCTGGCTGAGAGCTGATTTTTAAATGTTTATTTCACTGTCTAAACCCCATCCCCACCACAGCTGTAACAATTTTTTTTTTTTTTTTTGGACATAGAGTTTCGCTCTTGTTGCCCAGGCTGGAGTGCAATGGCATGGTCTCAGCTCACTGCAACCTCTGCCTCCCTAGTTCAAGCAATTCTCCTGCCTCAGCCTCCCGAGTAGCTAGGATTACAGGCATGCGCCACCACGCCTGGTTTTGTATTTTTAGTAGAGACAGGGTTTCACCATGTTGGTCAGGTTGGTCTCGAACTCCTGACTTCAGCTGATCCACCCGTCTTGGCCTCCCAAAGTGCTGGGATTACAGGCGTGAGCCACCATGCCCTGCCGATGTGTGTTTTGTTCCGATTAACATCCCTCTCACTGAGTATGACTGTTAGGGAGGAGGGGCTCTTGTCACCACCACATCCTCAGCATCTAGCACATAGTAGGTGCTCAATAAGTGAGTGCTCGTCCAATGAATGACAGCACAGAACACTCCCGGGCACGCGGACTTGCACAACACCTGTGCACACGATCACAGCATCATGTGTGCCCATGTCTGCAAGCACACACGCACCCCCCCAAGCACAGGCCGGCATGCCTGGGAACTGTGGGGTAGACCCAGGCCAAGGGGATAAGGAGGGGTGACGGGGATGCACAAACAGGGTCTCCTACCCCTGAGCCTCACAGTCCATCCCTCCCAGGGTCTCTGCGAGAAGAGCAGAGTTGAAGCCCAGGTGGGAACATTCCCTCTAGATCCAGTGTGGGTGAGAGATGGGAGGCATCAGAGCATGTGGGACCAGTGCCTGTTTGTTTGTTTATTAGAGACAGGATCAGCCAGGACCAGTGGCTCATGCCTGTAATCCCAGCCACTCGGGAGGCTGAGACAGGAGAATTGTTTGAACCCAGGAGGTGGAGGTTGCAGTGAGCCGAGATGGCGCCACTGTACTCCAGCCCGGGCGATAGTGTGAGACTCCGTCTGGAGAAAAAAAAAAAAAAAAGAGACAGGGTCTCCCTCTGCTGACCAGGCTGGACCGCAGTGGTGCCATTTTGGCTCACTGCAACCTCTGCCTCCCAGGTTCAAACGATTCTCCTGCCTCAGCCTCCCGAGTAGCTGGAATTACAGGTGCCTGCCACCACACCAGGCTGTTTCGTATTATTAGTAGAGAAGGGGTTTTGCCCTGTTGGCCAGGCTGGTCTTGAACTCCTGACCTCAGGTGAGCCACCTGCCTCAACCTCCCAAAGTGCTGGGACTACAGGCATGAGCCACCACGCCCAGCCAAGGGACCAGTGCCAATTTAATGTCAGACCTGGGGTTCTCAGCAGAGACTGGTACTCCCGTTTTAGGGGCAGAGAGGTAGTCCAGAGAGAGGTAGCAACTTGCCCCAAGTCACACAGCAATTCCTCTCTGGTTTAAAGCATTGTGGGGTTGTAACCAGGCTATCACAGACATCCTTCCCCACTCTGGCCCCGCTGACACCTCTCATCACCCGGGGGCCAGAATGAAGACGACAGCATATCCAGAGAGAGGCATTTCTAGGCCAGACAGGGCTGAATTGAGTGACAGTAAAGGGTGGGGCTGGGTCAACAGGAGAGGAGACATACTCACAGGAGAAATGACTACGGGCAGGAGAAGGACCCAGGAGGCTTAAGCCCCACCAATGGCAGGAGCCATCAGGGTGAGAGGATTCAGGGACGACCCTCAGGTCCTGTTGCTCAAGCCACCCTCGGGTCTGCCCCCTGGGGCGCACAGTGGTCCGAGTATCCCATTTCCCTGGTGCAAACATCGAGGCTGGGCGCTCCAAGAGGTAATGGGAGAGCGAGGGGCGCATGGGAGGGCCCAGAGGAGGAGACCGTTTTACTACTGATGATAAGGGGCGTGCAGGAGTCACAGCACAGCACGGCCCGCGGGAAGCGCACAGCAGTAGGTGGGTGGCCAGGGGCGCTACTTACATATTCGGCCGTGTCATCCGTCTCCCACTGAGCGCGGGAGGAGGCGGCAGGGGAGAGAGGAGGAAGGTGAGCGGGGGAGGCCAGAGATGGAGAAAGAGAAGCAGAGGTGGGGGGAGCGCAAGGGCCCGTCCCCGCCCGGAGCCCGTCCCCGGCCCCGCCCCGGCCCCCCGCCCACCTGGGCATCGGCCAGCATGACGTCCTTGATGCGCGGCGGCCCGCGGGCCTCGGCGCCCTCCATGCGCACGTAGTGGACCTGGTAGCCGCGGATCTGGCCGTGCTGCCGGCCGGGCGCGGGCGAGCGCCACAGCACGCGGATGGCCGTGGCGTTGAGCGCCTCCGCCTCCACCTTCCGCGGCGGCGCGCTGGGCACTGGCGGGCGGGAGGGGAGGGGAGGGGCGGGCGGAGCCGTTACCAGGGCGCCCGGCCCTGCCCCGGGCAGTGCCACTGTCCGATTCCAGGATGCCGAGTGGCTGCCGGTGAATAACTGGGCGCTCTTAGCGCTCACCACCGGGCGGGAGGACATGGCCTCCTGCACACCCCCCACAGCCCTGGGAGGGGCCCCTGAAGGTGCGCCCCATGGATCCAGGCTGCCCCCCCCCGAGTCTAAACCACCTTCCCAGGGCCTCCAGACACCCTCTTCTTCACCCTACACTGCTTCCATCCTCATCATAACCCTGCAAGATAGGGTCTCCTGTCATTCTCATTTTACATTTGGGGAAATTGAATCCTAGAGAGTTGATTCTGTGATCACAGCCTTAGCAAGAGGCAAAGCCAGGATTTGCACCAGGCAGTCCAGCTGTATGTTCCTAAATACCCAAGCAGGCAGGTGGCCCACTTGGCACTCAGGATCTTTTTCACCCACCCCAGGGTTTGGCATAAAGAAGAGCTGCTTCATTTCTTCTCTGGGCTTAGGACATAATGGGGCTGTCCAACGAAACAAAGGCAAATGGCTCAGAAAACGAATCAGGTTCCCAGGACCAAGAGGCTGAAATATTTTTGAGACAGGTTCTCTTACTCTGTCACCTAGGCTGGCATGCAGTGGCAGGATCACGGCTCACTGCAGCTTTGAACTCCTGGGCTTAAGCGATCCTCCCACCTCAGCCTCCCAAGTAGCTGCAACTACAGGCCTGTGCCACCATGCTCAGCTAATACGTTTTTGTAGAGATGGGGTCTCACTCTGTCACCCAGGCTGGAGTGCAGGGGTATGATCACAGCTCATTGCAGCCTCAAACTGCTATGCCCAGCAATCCCCGCACCTCAGCGTCTTGAGTAGCTGAGACTACATGTGCATGCCACCATGCTTGGCTATGTTTTAAAAATGTTTTTGGAGGAATGGGGTCTCACTATGTTGCCTAGGCTGGTCTCAAACTCCGAGACTCATATGATCCTCCTGCCTTGGCCTCTCAGAGTGCTGGGATTACAGGCATGAGCCACTGTGCTTGGCCAAGAAGTTGCAATTTTATTGGGAAAGGTGTCTGTCATTTCTCTCCATGATCTAGGCTTCGACCACGTGACTCCAAGCTAGGACCACTGCCTTGCTTTCCAGCTTCAAACTTGCTGCTAACTTGAAATGGGTGAGGACGGGAACATTTACACCATGGAAATTGGCCAATGCTACACAAACTGGTCTCCATCCACCCGGGGAGCTGGTTAACCATGATCAGCACATTGTTGTTGCAGGTGCTATTTGCCACTTCCTCCACCCCATTTCCAAAGGTTTCCACTGTTCCACCAAAATAGAGGGCAGCCAGCGAAACTGTCCAGGCACGAGGCTCTGGGAGCAGATGCTGCAGAGCTAAGCCTGCCCATGTCTAGAATCGCCAATTCCAAAGTCAAGGAGCCCCGGATTTCTCGGGGAGGCTGCTTGCTTCCCGACTTCCTCCGAGTGAGGCTTCCGCCCTTTGACCACCAGCCCAGGTTTCCAGATGGAAGGCTTCGAGGCGGGGGCCGGGCTGGGGCCTGCGGGGGGTCCCGGGCCTGGGGCAGGTACTTACCATCCTCGTCGGTGCGGACGACCACGGGCGAGCTCTCGGGCCCTGGTCCCACCTCTGTGTGAGCGACAGTCGTGATGCGGTACTGGGTCCACTTCTCCAAGGCCTCCAGCAGGATCTGAGTGGTGGTCGGGGGGATGCCGTTCACCTCCTTGGGTTCCGGGTCCTCTGAGCCCAGCGGTCGGTAGCGGACGCTGTAGCCCACCAGGGCCCCGTTGTGCGTTTCCGGCGGCGGCGGGCGCCAACTTACCAAAATGGCCGTGGAGCGCACGCTGACACATTTAACGTCTTGAGGGGGGGCTGACGGTTCTATTGGAGGGGGGGAGAACGTGGGGGGGTGGGGAAGGGAGGTGGGATGGGTGGGGAGGGGGGCGGGGAAACAAAAGATGGGAAAGAGAAAATAAAAAAGAAGATGATAACAAACAAAACAGAACCAAACCAAAGAGAAGTCGAACCCAAAAGAAGTGGGTGTCAACCAAAGGTGGGATGGGCGGGTGGATGGGCGGGCAGGTGGGATGGGGCTGGGAGGGCTGGCCAAGAACCCTGTGCTCACCAGGCTGCACCTACGTGGTGCACAGTAGGTCTTAGGCATTGGACAGCTATGGTCCCCATGCCAGAAACTGGGTGGGGGAATAGCAAGGGAAGCCCTTCTTACTAGGCACCTACTATGTGCTTGGCATCGTGCCAAGGGGAATAGCAACAGGAGCTCCATTTATTAGGCACCTACTATGTGCCAGCACCAAGGGCTTCACAAAATAGTAAAAGCATCTATTTGTTGAACATCTACTATGTGCCAGGCACCATGCCAAAGGGAACGGCAACAGAAGCTCCACTTATTAGGTACCTACTATGTGCCAGCACCAAGGGCTTCACAAAATAATAGTAAAATATCTATTTACTGAACACCTACTATGTGCCAGGCACCATGCCAAGGGGAACAGCAATAGAAGCTCCATTTATTAAAGGCTTATTATGTGCCAGGTACTGTGCCAAGGGAAACAGCAACAGAAGCTCCATTTATTAGGCACCTATTATGTGCCAGGCACCATACCAAGGGGAATGGCAGCAGAAGCTCTGTTTATTAGGCACCTCCTATGTGCCAGCAACAAGGGCTTCACAAATAGTAAAGCATCTATTTACTCAACACCTACTATGTACCAGGCACCATGCCAAGGGGAACAGCAATAGAAGCTCCATTTATTAAGCACTTATTATGCGCCAGGTACCGTGCCAAGGGGAACAGCAACAGAAGCTCCATTTATTAGGCACCTACTATGTGCCACCATACCAAGGGGAATGGCAACAGAAGCTCCATTCATTAAGCACCTACTATGTGCCAGGCATCATGCCAAGGGGAATGGCAACAGAAGCCCCATTAGGCACCTACTGTGTGCCAGGCACCATGCCAAGGGGAATAGCCATAGAAGCTCCAATTATTAGGCACCTACTAATAATTGTGGTAAGGCATTGTGCTGAGGACTCCATAGAATGATAGCAAAATAATCTATATGTCAAACACTTACTATGTGCCAGGCACCGTGGCAAGGGGAACAGCAACAGAGCTCTATTAAGCACCTACGATGTGCCAGCGCCAAGGGCTTCACAAAATAACAGTAAAAGCATCCATTTATTGAACACCTAGTATGTGCCTGGCGCCATGCCAAGGGGAGCGGCAACAGAAGCTCCATTTATTAAGCACCTACTATATGCCAGGCACCACGCCAAGGGAAGCAGCAACAAAAGCTCCAATTATTGGGTACCTAGTATGTGCCAGGAACCATGCCAAGGGGAATGGCAACAGAAGCTCCAATTATCAGGCACCTACTACGTGTCAAGCATTGTGCTAAGGCTTCATAGAATGGTAACAAAATAATCTATGTCGAACACCTATGTGCCAGGCACCGTGGCAAGGGGAACAGCAACAGAGCTCTATTAGACACCTACTATGTGCCAGCGCCAAGCACTTCACGAAATAATAGTAAAAGCATCTATTTATTGAACACCTACTATGTGCCAGGTACCATGCCAAGGGGAATGGCAATAGAAGCTCCATTAAGCACCTACTACGTGCCAGGTACCATGCCAAAGGGAACAGCAACAGAAGCTCCATTTATTAACTACCTACTATGTGCCAGGCACTGTGCCAAGGGGAATGGCAACAGAAGCTCCATTAGGCACCTACTATGTGCCAGCACCAAGGGCTTCACAAAATAATAGAGCATCTATTTACTGAATATCTAGTATGTGCCACGCATCATGCTAAGGGGAACAGCAATAGAAGCTCCACTTATCAGGTACCTACTGTGTGTCAAGCATTGTGCCAAGGGCTTCATAGAATAATAGCATAAGAATCTCGGCCGGGCGCAGTGGCTCACTCCTGTAATCCCAGCACTTTGGGAGGCCGAGGTGGGTGGATCACGAGGTCAGGAGTTAGAGAGACCAGCCTAGCCAACATGGTGAAACTCCGTCTCTACTACAAGATACAAAAAACTAGCCGGGCATGGTGGCGGGAGCCTGTAATCCCAGCTACTCGGGAGGCTGAGGCAGGAGAATCACTTGAACCTGGGAGGCGGAAGTTGCAGTGAGCCAAGATCGTGCCACTGTACTCCAGCCTGGGCAACAGGGCAAGACTCCATCTCCAAAAAAAAAAAAAAAAAAAAAAAAAAAAAAATCTATATGTCACACACTATGTGCCAGGCAACAGCAATAGAAGCCCCAATTATTAGCTACCTACCATGTGCCAGGTGTCATGCCAAGGGCTTCATACAATAACAGCAAATGCACTTATTTACTGGCCACCTACTGTAGGTCAGGCATGGTGCCAAGGGCTTCATAATAATTTACGGAAAATATGGTAAAATTTTTCTTGTAGTAAAAGCATTTATTTACTGAACACTTGTGCTACCAGGGACCCAAAGCCCATCCCAAAAGCTTACTTCAACTAGGACCATCCAATTGGCCTCACTTGAAAATAATGCCCATGTCTTGAGCACCTACTGTGTGCCAGATAGAATGTCAAGGGCTTTATCAAGTAATAATAAAAGTGCCTGTTTATTGGACACCTACTGGTGTCAGGTACCAGGCTCAGGACTTCATAGCTCATATTGAGCACCTACTGTGTGCCAAAATCTTTAAAGATCACAGCACTTCTGTGTTCAGTCCCAACTATGCACCTGGCACCACACTACATCTACTACTAACCTATCAACAGCAAGTCTCATTTATTGAACATCTACTATGGACTGGGTACGGTAACAGGTCTCTGAAGAGAAAAACAGCAGTTGTCATTTAAGCAGCACCTACTATGTGCCAGGCACTGTGCCAAAGGCTCTCTCAGAAAACAGTAGTAGTCCCTGCATATTAAACCCCTACTGCGTGCCAGGCACTGTGCTAAGGGCTGTATCAGAAAAGTTAATAGTCCCCATGTATTAGGCCCCTACTGTGTGCCAGGCACTGTGTTAAAGGCTTCATCAGAAAACGATAGTAGTCACCACATATTAAGCACCTATTGTGTGCCAGGTGCTGTGCTGGGGCTTACTGAAAAACAGTAAGTTTCCACATATGAAGCACCTACTATGTGTCAGGCAACTCTACTAAGGGCCTTACGGAATGTTAATAGTTTTCATTTCTTTCTTTCTTTTTTTTTTTTTTTTTGAGACAGTCTTGCTCTGTCGCCCAGGCTGGAGTGCAGTGGCGCGATCTCGGCTCACTGCAAGCTCTGCTGCTCGGGTTCACGCCATTCTCCTGTCTCAGCCTCCCGAGTAGCTGGGACTACAGGCGCCCGCCACCACGCTCGGCTAATTTTTTGTATTTTTAGGGGAGACGGATTTTCACCATGTTGGCCAGGATGGTCTCGATCTCCTGACCTCGTGATCCGCCCACCTCGGCCTCCCAAAGTGCTGGGATTACAGGCATGAGCCGCCGCGCCCGGCCAATAGTTTTCATTTCTTAAGCACCTACTGTGTGCCAAGCATCGTGCTAAGGGCTTTATTGGATAACTGTAACAGCACCTGGCACCGTGTGCCAGGCATTGCACTCAATACCTTATATAAAAATAGTAATAGTTCTTATTGAGCACCTACTATTTGCACACACTGTGCCAAGGGCTTTGCAGATAATAAGTGAATGTTTTCAGTAAAAACTGTGTAACCAGCCCTATCCCACACCCTTTCAAACTGATAATGGTGCCCATCTGAGCATCTACTACGTGCCTCACACTTAGGCCACCTCTTTATAGCAAGTGCCACTTATTGAGCACTTACTGTATGTCAGCCATTGTGCCAAGAGGTTTGCAGAACAATAATTGTTGCCACCCATGTTTTGAGTACCTACTGTGCGCCTGGCACTAGGCTAAGCTTGTTATAAACTGCTAATAGCTTCCATTTACTGAGTGCCAACTAGGTGCCCAGCACTGTGCCAATCCATATGTAGATTTAAAACAGTGGCTGTATTAATGGGGCACCTACTGTGTGCCAGGCAGTATGTTAAGGTCTTTGCTGAATAACACTGAGAGTTCCCGCATATTAAAGGGAACTGTCTGTGTGTTAAAGGCTTATGAATCAGTAAGTCTCTATGTGTTGCGTGCCTACTATGGCCAGACGCTGTGCTGAGGGCATTAGTGATAATAAACTTCATTTTCTGCACGCCTACTGCAGGTGCAGCACCCTCAGCCCATGTTTCATGTATTATCTCATTTAACGCATGTATCATCTCATTTAATGCATGCATTATCTCATTTAATTCTCACAACCCCTCAGGTGGTCAGAACTGTCACTCCCCACCCGCCACCCCGCGTCAACGGTGGGGAAACCAGATTCCAAAGTCTGCCTGCTGGGCTTTCTACAGTCACTGGTTGTGTACCGACTGTGGCCAGACCCCACCCTGGAAGCTTTTCATTATTTTGTATAACACCTCTCAATCTTGCCGAAAAACCAGAAGTGCAGCCCATTTTACAGGTGAGCCCATTTTACAGGTGAGGAAACTGAGGCTCAGAAACAGCAAGCTACCTGTCCAGGGGCATGCAGTGATGAGGTGGCAGAGCCAGGATTGGAACCCAGACTTGGCCGTGATTCACAGGCTGGCTTGGTTTGAGGTTGGCAGCTCAGATCTCAGCCTTGTGCTGGTTGGGTATGGCGGAAGCCACTCTCCCAAGTGCCCACGATTTTAGAATCTACGTCCCCTGGAGGGAGGCCCAGAGAGATTACTGGCCTTGCTCGTGGCAAGAGCATTAGAAACCCTCACCATCAGAGCAGCTTGCTTGGTGGCTGAGCACATGTTTACTGAGTACTTACTATGGACACTATCCTGCTAGCATCTGAAACCCAGAGACGAATCCTGTCCTCAGAGACACTGGGCTACCAGAGACTGCAGAGGCCACCCCAACAGCTTACTTCAACTAGAGAGACCCTCCGGCCTCACTTAAAGCAAAACATTAGAGGCCCCTCCTCCAAAACTAGACAAAGGGAACCCTTCCCCATTTCTTGACCAGCCACACCAACCAAAGGTGCCCGGGGGGTGCGGGGAATCAGGCAGGGAGCAGGGGGAAAAAAAAAAAAAAAACAACAATCAAGGAATGTGTCGGAAGGAATGGATTTGCTGAGAAAGGGGGAGAAAAAATAAAACCGAAACCATAATAAAATAAGAAACAACAGTGATGGTGATGATGATGAGAAAAACTTAATAAAAGAAAGAAAGACTCCTTCCAGAAAACGCCCAGTCTGGTTACCTACCTTCCACTCTTCAACTGCTAACTTAAAAGACTTTCTTACGAGAGAGGGAACGGCCGAGCGCTGAGCTACAAGGCCAGACCGAACTCTTGGTGGGTCTCAGGATGCCAGTGGCCCCGCAGCCCTGCTCCAGCCCCCAGCGTGCGCACGCTGAGGTTCCAGGCTGGAGGCAGGAAGGTGGCACGGTGTCTGGGGAGACCCACGGCTGAGTGGTCTGACCTGCACCTACCCTGTGTTCAGCCTAAGGAGCCCGCAGTCCCCGGGGGGATGGATACGCCTGGCCCTGAGTCTTTGCTGTCGGTTCTCCTGGGCCCCACCCGTCTCGGGGCAAGAAGCGGGGAGTCCCTTCTCCCCAACTCCCTGTCCTGGGCCGCCCCGGAGGTTCGCGTGGCTGGGCCGAAGCCGCTTTCTAGGTGACCGTGTAGGTCACGTCCTTCACAATCCGGCCCAACCTGCATGACATCTCGGGAAGGGATGTGTGCAAAGACGTGGATGTGCGTGCGTGGGCAGCGTGGCATGGTGGTGGCACGTGGTTTGGGAGAGTTTCTGGGGCCGAATTCGGGCCGTGGACTGTCCGTTCAGCCCAGAGTGGCTGGGGCAGGCGGGGGGGCACGCGGGGTGGGCCGTTTTTGTGAACCTGCTTGAGACCAGCGTGTACTCACCTTCAGGACACCTCAGCCAGTCTCTCAGGTGGCTGCCCAAGCCACAGGCCACCCTCACTGACTCCACCTCACACAGACGCGCCCAGACGCCTTGGAGCCGCCAGGTGCTCAGCTCGGCTTGGTTTGTGGGGAGCAGGAAGGAGGGAAGGGGGCCGGCGGGGGCAGGGGGGTTGTGTCTCCGAGGCGCCCCACCCCCCCGATCCCAGCGGCTCAGATGCCCCGGCTGGAGTTGATGTTAACCCTTCGACTGATCCGAGATGCCCCTGTGTACACACACCCAGGGCGGGCCTTGAAGGTTTGACCATCATGACTGATTCTGGAAGAAAGCCTGGGGTGGCTACGCCGTGACTGACTGGGTGAAGGGAGGGAAGAGGGGGAAGCAGGGGGAGGCCACGACAGAGAGACCACGCCGGTGGAGGCCACACCAGGGAAGGCCACGCTGGGCTGAGCGGAGCCAGGGAGGCAGGTGAGGTGGGGAGACGGCAGAAGGGGCCTGTCCAGCTCCGAGTTTAGAGAAGTCAGGGAGAGAGGGTGGCGGTGACCCACAGCCAACTGCCAGGTGAAGGGTGACTCGCTCCAAACAGGGAGGCCGGGCCGGCACAGCAGAGAACTCCAGAGATTTGAGCCCCGAGTGGGGACCTGCATGCCCCCACGAAACCTGGCCTCGGCTCCGATTCCACCCCCTCCCCACCCTCGGGAACTGGGACCTCGTCCTGGGGTCTTGAGAGCCAAGGCTCCCTGCCCGGGGGAGGAAGACCGACGGGGAAGGTGGGTTCGTCTCTGTGTCCTTTGCTCTGAGAATGATGGGGTGCGAGCCGTGACCACAGCCTCACGGTACCCTCAAAATGCCTGGGAAATGGGCACAACGTGGCCCTTCAATCAGCCCCCACTCCAGGATGGAAAGAGGAGAAAGAAGGCGTGGTCCCAGAACCTCTCCTACACCAGGGCCAAGATCAGCCACTTCTCCTTGACCCCAAGTCTCAACCCGGGTCACCAGGCCCAGGGGCACAGACAACCCCATGCTGAGACCCTCGCTGTGCTGATGGGGATACTGAGGCACAGCGCGGGTAGATGGATCCGAGGTCGGGGAACAAAGCGGAGACAGGCCGGGAGGCGCCCCCCACCCACTGCAGCAGGCCCCGCCTGGGTCCGTCTGCCGAGGGGCTGTCTGCGGTCAGGCCGTGGTCCCTCCCGCAGAGAAGGGCGGCCCCGCGAGACACCTACTGGACTGCAGCGTGCGCTGCCGCACCACGGGGGTGAAGGCGCCCAGGCCCTGCGGCGAGCGGGCCGCCAGGCGGAAGGCGTACTCCGTGTTGGGCTTCAGGTCCTCCACCACGTAGGAAGTCGTCGGGTCGAAGGTCCTTCCCACCTGGGGGCAGGGCAGAGAAGGACAGAGAGGGATGGGGGAGAGAGAGAGAGAGACAGAAACAAAGGGGAGAGAGAGAGAGACAGAAACAGAGGGGGGAGGGGGAGAGAGAGAGAGAGAGAGAGAGACAGAGAAATAGAGACAGGGGTGCGGCAGAGAGGGACAGAGAGGGATGAGGGAGAGAGGTAGAGGGGAGAGAGAGGTAGAGACAGAGATACAGACAGAAAAAGAGGGTACGGAGAGAGACAGAGACGGAGAGAGACAGAGACAGAGAGAAACAGGGGAGAGAGTCAGAGACAGAGGGACACAGAGACAGAGATAGAGACAGAGGGACACAGTGACAGAGATAGAGACAGAGAAACAAAGGAGAGAGACAGACACAGAGACAGAGATAAATGGGAGAGACAGAGACAGAGAGAGATACAGAGACAGACAGAAACAGGAGAGAGATACAGAGACAGAGGAATAGAGAAATTGAGAAGGAGACAGATACAGAGATAGACACACAGAGACAGAGAAATAGAGACAGAGACAGAAACACAGAGAAACAGGGGAGAGAGACAGACAGAAACGGAGGAGAGAGAGATTGAGACAGGGACAGAGAAAGAGAGGAGAGAGAGACAGAAATAGAGATAGAGACAGAAATAGAGAGAGAGGAGAAAGAAACAGATACAGAGACAGAGACAGAGAGACAGAAAGAGAGGCAGAGGGATAGAAACACAGAGACAGATGGAGACAGAAAAAAAACACACAGAAAACAGAGACAGAAAGAGAAACAGAGACAGAGACATAAACAGACAGAAACAGACCCGGAGGGATGGAGAGTGAGCGTCAGAGGCACCGGTGAAGACAAGACACAGAGAGAAGCACAGATCAAGAGAGATGGGGACGCCGATACATACGGAACCAGAGAGAGGCCGCCAGCAGCAGAGGAGAAAGACAAAGGAGATGAGACAGAGGAGAAAAAAGTGGAGGAAAGGCACAAAGGGACAGAGACGCAGGAGAAGCAGAAGGGGTGAGGAAGAGCAGAATCCGCAGCACACATAGGGACAAAGAGGGGGAAGAGACAAGGCGGGCAGCGTCAGAGAGCGCCGGGGAGGAGCCCAGGGCAGGCCAGCCCGTCCCCGCGCTGCCTCACCTCCCGGCCATGGTCGCCTTCCCGGAAGAGGAGCTCGTACTTGATGATACTCTCCTGCCGCGGGGGGCTCCAGGACAGCGTGATGCTGGTCTCCGACCTGGCCTCGGCCCGCAGGTTCATGGGCTGGCCCGGCACTGTGGGGGTGCAGGGAGACAACTAGGAGTCGGGGAGCGTCCACCCCACAAAGGGGGCCCCACCTGCTGAGTGTCCCCACTAAAAGATGCCAGCTCTGGGTGCTTCTAGAATGTTCTTTTATTTTCCTGGGGACCTCGCCCCCATCCCATTGTCACCTGTCCACCTCTGTTCCTCCATCCTCTCTTCTTCCAAAGGAAAAGAACCCATTTAAAAATCCCCCTTTCGGCCGGGCACGGTGGCTCACGCCTGTAATCCCAGCACTTTAGGAGGCCGAGGCGGGCAGATCACGAGATCAGGAGATCGAGACCATCCTGGCTAACATGGTGAAACCTCGTCTCTACTAAAAATACAAAAAATTAGCCGGGCGCGGTGGCGGGCACCTGTAGTCCCAGCTACTCGGGAGGCTGAGGCAGGAGAATGGTGCGAACCCGGGAGGCGGAGCTTGCAGTCAGCGGAGATCGCGCCACTGCACTCCAGCCTGGGCAACAGAGTGAGACTCTGTCTCAAAAATAAATAAATAAATAAATAAAAATAAAAAAAATAAAAATCCCCTTCATTTTTTTTTTTTTTTTTTGAGATGGAGTCTCACTCTGTCACCCAGGCTGGAGTGCAATGGCACGATCTCGGCTCACTGCAACCTCCGCCTCCAGGGTTCAAGTGATTCACCTGCCTTAGCCTCCCAAGTAGCTGGGATTACAGGCACCCGCCACCACGCCCGGCTAACTTTTGTATTTTTAGTAGAGACGGGATTTCACCAATTGGCCAGGCTGGTCTCAAACTCCTGACCTCAACTGATCCTCCTGCCTCGGCCTCCCAAAGTGCTGGAATTACAGGCGCGAACCACCACACCTGGCCTAAAAATCTCCCTTTCAAATCACCCCAGTGCCCTCGCTGGCTGCGAATTAGATGACAGAGAAATTAGCAGGGAGATATGTGTGCCTATTTTATTTCATTTTATTTTAGTTTTTGAAACGGGGTCTCACTGTGTCACCTAGGCTGGAGTGTAGTGGCACGATCATAGCTCACTACAGCCTCCAACTTCTGGGCTCAGGTGATCCTCTCGCCTCACCCTCCTAAGTAGCTGGGACCACAGGCACACACCACCACACTCAGCTAATTTTAAAATTTTTTGTACACATGAGGTCTTGCTATGTTGCCCAGGCTGGTCTTGAACTCCTGGCTTCAGGCAAACCTCCTGCCTCAGCCTCCCAAAGTGTCAGGATTACAGGTGTGAGCCACAGTGCCTGGCAAAGGGTGCCTATTTTAACATTTGGATCTCCATTCTGTATCCGCTCACAGACATGGACAGAGTGCCAACCGTCCCGGCCCTTTGCTTCAGTGGGTGCCTGAGTCTGCCCAGACTTTAGGTTTTGAAAGCCTGAGCCCCAAAGGAAAGGGTCAAACACTCCCAGAGAGCTGGGGTCCCCCATGCCTAAATGCCTCTTCCAAGTCCTGCCACCTGAGCAGGGAGGGAGACTGGCCCACTGCCTTAGGGGTGAGGCAGTTTTCTTTTATTTTTGAGACAGAGTTTCGCTCTTGTTGCCCAGACTGGAGTGCAGTGGCACGATCTCAGCTCACCACAACCTCCGCTTCCTGGGTCCAAGTGATTCACCTGCCTCAGCCTCTTGAGTAGCTGGGATTACAGACACACGCTATCATGCCCGGCTAATTTTGTATTTTTGGTAGAGATGGGGTTTCACCATTATTGGCCAGGCTGGTCTTGAACTCCTGACCTCGTGATCCACCTGCCTCAGCCTCCCAACGTGCTGGGATTACAGGCGTGGGCCACCACGCTGAGCCAGCAGTTTTCATTATTTCAGAAGCAGTGGCGCTGGTCCCTCTAATGAGAACAGATGAGGGAGGTTCTTAAAACTCAAATGCCAACAGGGGTGAGGAGTTAACAGAGAAGAGGGAAGGAAGCACACACAGCCCCCCTTGTCTCCCACACAGCCACTGGGATCTACCCGGGTGTTTGATCTTAGCCCTATGGGCTTGTCAAATCAGATTTTTTAAAGGGAAGCCAAAAATTTGGCTAGGATAACTGTCCAATTTTATTTTTTTTGAGCAGGGTCTCGCTCTGTTGCCCAGGCTGGAGGGCAGTGGTGACATTTTGGCTCACCGCCTCCCGAGTTCAAGTGATTCTCCTGCCTCAGCCTCCTGAGTAGCTGGAACTACAGGCGTGTGCCACCACGACTGGCTAATTTTTGTATTTTTTTTTTTTTTTTAGTAGAGATGAGGTTTTGTCATGTTGGCCAGGCTGTTCTCAAACTCCTGACCTCAGGTGATCCACCCGCCTCAGCCTCCTGAAGTGCTGGGATCACAGGCATAAGCCACCACACCCAGCCCTCTCCGATTTTATTTTAATGTTTGTTTTTGTTTTAGAGACAAGGTCTTGCTTTGTTGCCCAGGCTGGAGTGTAGTGGTGCTATCATAGCTCACTGCAGCTTTGAACTCCTGGGCTCCAGTGATCCTCTCATCTCAGCCTTGAGTAGCTGGGACTACAGGTGTGCACCATCACGCCTAGCTAATTTTTAATTTTTTGTGTGTGTAGAGATGGGGTCTAGCTACATTGTCCAGGCTGGCCTCAATAAATCCTCCTATCTTGGCCTCCCAAAGTGCTGAGATTACAGACATGAGCCACTACACTGGGTCCTATATATGTTTCTTAAGAAATGGGGTATTGCTATATTGTCCAGGCTGGACTGAAACTCCTGGGCTTAAGCCATCCTCCTGCGTCTGCCTCTTGAGTAGCTGGGACTACAGGCACATGCCACCAAGCCTGGCTAGCTCTCTTTTTTTTTTTTTTTAATTTAATTTTTTTGAGATGGCGTTTCACTTGTCGCCCAGGCTGGATGCAATGGTGCGATCTTGGCTCATTGCAAACTCTGCCCAGGTTCAAGTGATTCTCCTGCCTCAGCCTCCAGAGTAGCTGGGATTACAGGCACCCGCCACCACGGCCGGCTATTTTTCTTTTGTATTATTAACAGAAATGGGGTTTCACGGTGTTGGCCAGGCTGGTCTCAAACTCCTGACCTCAGGTAATCCACTCGCCTCCGACTCCCAAAATGCTGGGGTTACAGGTGTGAGCCACCGCCTCCGGCCTAGCTCCCCGATTTTAAATGCTAGCATGAAAATATATACATATATTTTTTAATTGTTTTTTTGAGGTGGAGTCTCACTCTCTCGCCCAGGCTGGAGTGCAGTGGCATGATCTCAGCTCACTGCAACCTCCACCTCCTGGGTTCAAGTGATTCTCCTGCCTCAGCCTCCCGAGTAGCTAGGATTACAAGCACAGGCCACCACGCCCGGCTAATTTTTAGTAGAGATGGGGTTTCACCATGTTGGCCATGCTGGTCTCGAACTCCTGACCTCCGGTGACCCGCCCGCCTTGGCCTCCCAAAGTACTGAGATTACAGGCGTAAACCACCACACCCGGCCTAAATGCTAGCATGAAAATATCTTAAAGCACCGTGCATAACCCACAAACCGCTCTGCGGCTTCCAGGGAGCATGCAAAGAACCAAGCCGCACGGCCGGGGCCCCGAGTCCTGCCGACCCCACGCCTCACCTCCCTGCTGCGTCTTGACCTGGATGGGGTCCGAGAGGGGCCCGTCGCCGACGGAGGTGAAGGCGAGCACCCGCACGGTGTAGGTCTCGTCCTCCAGCAGGCTGCCCACGGTGGTCAGCAGGCTGTCGTCCACGTTGTGCTTCTGCCAGTTGCCCACGGGGTGCTCCGGTTCCATGGTGTAGTAGACGCGGTAGCCGCGGATCAGGCCGTTGGGCTCCACCGGCTCCTCCCACTGCACAATCATGGTGGTCGCGCTGAGCATCCGGGCTTGCACGTTCCGCGGCGCGCTGGCCGGGGCCTGCTCGCCTGTGCGGGTGACCACGGACTCGCTGGGGGGCCCCTGGCCGATGGAGTTGACGGCCGACACCCAGATCTCGTACTCCGAGTTGGGGCTCAGGCCGCCGATGCTGTAACGTGTGGTGGTGATGTCCTCTTTAATCTGATACGGCCCGTCTTGGCTCTTGGATTTATATTCGATGACGTAATAGGACACAGGATCTGGGTTGCCCGAGTCCCACGTGATGGTGATGCTGGTGGCTGTGTTCTCAGTCACCATGGGAGTCCCGGGAGCTTTGGGGAGAGCTGTGGGCAGGAGGCAGCTGTGTCACGCATTGGGCACATTGGTTGAGGACCCTGAAGGCTGTGTGACTTTTCACCATTCAGTCGCCTTCTCTGAGCCTTGATTTGCCCAGCAGTAATCATGGGCCTCATGACTCCTGTCATCGTCTACAGCAAGGGGTAACAAACTATGGCCCAGGGTCCACCCAGTACCCATTTTCTTTTTTTAATTTTTCTTTGAGATGGAGTCTCACTCTGTCACCCACAGTGGCACGATCTCGGCTCACTGCAAGCTCCGTCTCCCGGGTTCACACAATTCTCCTGCCTCAGCCTCCCGAGTAGCTGGGACGACAGGCGCCTGCCACCACACTCAGCTAATTTTTTGTATTTTCAGTTGAGACGGGTTTCACTGTGTTAGCCAGGATGGTCTCGATCTCCTGACCTCGTGATCCGCCCGCCTCGGCCTCCCGAAGTGCTGGGATTACAGGTGTGAGCCACCGCACCCGGCCTTTTTTTTCTTTTTTCTTTTTTTTTTTTTTTAGACGGAGCCTTGCTCTGTCACCCAGGCTGGAGTGCAATGGCTCGATCTTGGCTCACTGCAACCTCCACCTCCCGGGTTCAAGTGATTCTCCTGCCTCAGCCTCCCGAGTAGCTGGGATTACAGATGTGCGCCACCACGCCCAGCTAATTTTTTTTTTTTTTTGTATTTTCAGTAGAGACAGGGTTTCACCATGTTGGCCAGGCTGGTCTCAAACTCCTGACCTCAGGTGATCTGCCCGCCTAGGCCTCCCAAAGTGCTGGGATTACAGGCGTGAGCCACCGCGCCTGGCCCATTTTATTTATTTTTAAAGACAGGGTCCGGCTCTGTTGCCCAGGCTGGACTGCAGTAGTGCGATCATAGCTCACTGCAGCCTTGAACTCCTGGGCTCAAGCAGTCCTCCTGCCTCAGCCTCCTGAGTAGCTGGGACTAAAGGCATGCACCACTGCACTTGGCTAAATGTTTCATTTTTTTGTGGTAGAGAAGGGGCCTGGCTATGTTGCCCAGGCTGGTCTCAAAGTCCTGGGCTCAAGCAAACCTCCTGCCTTGGCCTCCCAAAGTGCTGGGATTACAGGCGTGAATCACTGCGCCCAGCCAGGATCATTTATAACCAATAAATAATACCTGTTCAAAGAACAACCGTCCCCTTCCTAGCCATGAATGACTGAAGCCAAGAGGGTAACTCGGAGGTGCTCCCACGCTGCCTCCCACCTGTGCCTGAAGTCGGGGATCGACTCCAGCCTGCCCCTCCACCTACGAGCCCCATGGGCCCTGCTCACATTTCACCGTGATCTGAGCAACCGCCTCAATGACGCCCAGGCTGGACATGGCCACGCAGGTGTAGTTGGCCGAGTCCTTGACATCTGTGAGTTCCAGCACGTTCCGACCCACGGGCATGTCATCCTCGGGGGTCAGGTCCTCGGCCCCCTGCATCCACTTCACGTATGGCATGGGCGAGCCCACGGCCACGCAGGTGATGTTCACGTTGCCCCCTGGCATGATCTCGTGGCTCATGGGCAGGATGGAGAAGCGCGGGGCCACGCGGCGGACTGGGGAGGGGGCGGCAGTGGCGGCGGGAGGGAGATGCGAGGGGTGAGGTGGGGTGAGGTTGGGAGGGGAAGACAGGATGCGGAGGAGAAAAAGAAAAGCAGGAAGGAAGAAAGAAAGAAGGAAAGAAAGAAAAAAAGAAAAAAAAAGGAAAACCATTTAAATATAAACAGGGCTGGTTCTTTTCCCTCTGTTGATTTTTTTCCCCCAAATGAAAAGAAAACAAAAGAACCAAATTAAAAAACCAAATTCCAACACAAAGAAACCAAAACTTCAAAGGAAGGTACTTCACAAACAATATATAGAGAGATATATCAATATATAATAGACATGAAGCATTATCTCATAGCAACAGGGTTTCATAGACCAGGGTGGCTGGTCACAGCACAGATACGAACACAAAAATTTATCAGCGGTTTCTCATCTTTGCAGACAGCAGTGGCTTCAGGGAGCAGGTGGCCTCCGATCACTCCCGAATGGGGGCATCCCCTTCGGGGAGCGCTGGAAGATTCTGGCTGCCAAGTTTCGGGATGTGAGTGGGTTAGGAGAGGGGGCAACTTCCAACCCTCCCTGGTTCTCTGGGGATGTGGCGGTCATAGGACACTTGTTGAGGCCAGGAGACAGAGGGAGCCTGAGATGTCAGTCCCCCACTCCCCAGTGACCTGGGGCCCTGCCCACTTACCCGCCCCCTCCGACCGGGCCCTCCAGGAAAAGATGAGAAACTCTAATGAAATTTTTGTGGTTTTTGGGTATAGAAACCCTTCTAAAAGCTTCTGTCAGATCTGACAAGTTTCCATCAATAGATGCAGCTCTGAGTCACAAACATCATGCAAAATAGATTGAGAGAGAGAGAGAGAGAGAAAGAGAGAGCGAGCGAGAGACAGAGAGAGAAAGGAGGGAGGAACTGCAGGGGGAAGATCTGGATTTTGGGGATCTCTAGTGCACACTTACGTGACACCAGAGAGAGGAGACGAATGAATGGGGAGAAAGAGAGAAGAATAGAAAATAGGGACAGAGAGCGGGAGGGGCAGAGAAAGAAAGAAAGAAGGGGGGGCCCACTTCAATGCTGCATATTAATTCTAGCAGATGTGATCCAATGTGACATGCCACATTGTCACATCACAGCCCTGGCAGAATAATAAATAGTATATTAATAATAATAATAATAATAATAATTAATAATAATAAACAAGGGAATGAACTTGAACGTTGAGAGAACAGGGACATGTTCTGTGCGTTTCTTAGCGGGGAAGTGGATGCAACCTTCTCTCAAAGACCATGAAGGCAGCAGGATGCATTTCGGGGGCTCCGTTTTCGGAAGTCAGATGGGTTCCAGGACAGGGGGAAGGGGAGGAGGCCAGTGGGCACCTGAACTTGCAAAGAGCACTGCTGGCCCACGGGGGCTGTTTAACTGCTGTGGGAAGGACTCGGGTGAACCTAATAAATCCTTCTAGCAGGAAAAGGGGTTGTCCCTGGGTGACAGTCTCAGGTCCTAAAGAAGACACATGGGTGCGTCCCCAGCTTTGGATGGGTGAAGGAGTCTTGTTTCAACTGCACAGATGACGGACTGGAGGCTCAGTTAGGATCCCCATCAACACCTGCCTCTGATTTTCATACGGGATTGGGAGGTGCAGCCTCAGGGGGTGGTCTCAGGGGGTCTGGTCTACGATGCTGAGGAGGAGGTTCAAGGGGATAAAGGGAGGTGGCCCCAACTCCCTCCCTTCCAGCCTCGGTTCCTAGCTGGAAATCCCAACCCCTGCCTTCCTGAATCCGGGCGGGAGGCAAAGAGAAGGGGGGACGTCGGCAGGCGTGGGAGTGGGGTCCGGAAGCTGGCAGCCCTTCGGAAAAAGAAGCCCCACGAAAAGTCCAGAAGTCGCACTGGAGACAGGATGGAGGGAGTGGAGGGTACTGCTCCAGGGGAGGAGTCGGGGCATGGGGAGACAGAAGGGCCATGCACACAGAGTGGAGGTGAGGGGCGAGGTGCCGTGAGATGGGGGGGGCGGGTGGCTTTCTGGTAGGGCTGGGTGGAGGGTGGGGGTGTGGGGGGAGAATGGGGTCCGGCCAGCCAGCGGACGCGGTCCAGGCCAGCCGCCGGCACCCACAGCGAGGCACAGGTAAGATGCCAAGGCTGAGTTGTCATGGAAACAGAACACAATGGGGAAATGAGCGTGGGGGGAGCTAATTATTCAAGGACAGAAAAACGGTATCGACGTCCAAAACAAAACCAGGAAGAACAAATGAAATAACAAAGCAAAAGCAATTTAAAAAAAGAAAGAGAGAATCTAAAAAACAAACAAACGAAAAAACTCCCTCCAAAACAAAACACAACACCCAAAAGCAAGAAGAAAAAAAAAAAAATCATGGAATGGGTGTGGGGCTGAAAATCGGGGTCTGAAAGGAGGAGGACTGTGGCTTCCCCAGGGAGACGCCCTCCCCCTGGCAGAACACAGGATCCGGCCTCCCCATCCAGCACCCAAGAGTCTTGGCCACGGGTTTGGGGCGGCCACAGGGGTGGGAGCCTCGTGGACAAAAATCCTTCGGAACAAACCAACCCAGCCCGACTCAAGTCTCTCTCTCTAAAGCCCCTCTCAGTCCACTTCTCGACACCCTGCCTCTCTTAGGGCTGAGCAAGTTGGAGGTCCCAAAGCTGAAATCACAAAGCAAGGTGAACTCCTCAAGGTCTCTGAATCCCATAGTAAACCTCTCCAGGCAGACGTGGAGGAGCTGATGTGGCTGAATGAGCCCAGTGGCCTTGGGAAGGTCCCCCATCCTCCTGGAGCCTCAGTTTCCTCATCTGTAAAATGGAGGGAATTGGGTATCCTGCCGAGAAAGGCATTAACCTGACTCGGGCAGTGCCTGGCACAGCAGGTGCTAAACTCAGGCATGGAGCTGGTGAAGTTACCTTTCAGCCTCCCAGGGGCTGGGACGATCAAACAGCTTCTCTACCTTAAGGGAGTTCAGGGATGAATTATAAAAAGGAAATGGAGGCAGGCGCAGTGGCTCATGCCTGTGATCCCAGCACTTTGGGAGGCTGTGGCAGGTGGATCACCTGAGATCAAGAGTTGGAGACCAGCCTGGCCAACATGGCAAAATCCCATCTCTACTAAAAATACAAAAATTAGCCAGGCGTGGCGGCGGGCGCCTGTAATCCCAGTTACTCTGGAGGCTGAGGCAGGAGAACTGCCGGAACCCGGGAGGCAGAGGTTGCAGTGAACTGAGATCGTGCCACCGCACTCCAGCCTGGGTGACAGAGCGAGACTCCATCTCCAAATAAATAAATAAATAAACAAACAAACAAACAAACGAAATGGAAACAGTAAGAATTTCTACTGAATTCCCATCTTATTTCTTCCTTCTAACAATTTTGAGAGGCAAACGTCCTTATGCTCATTTTGCAGATGAGGGAACAGAGACTCAGAGAGGTGACAAGACTAGATGGAACTCACAGAAAGGAAGTAGTGTAGCCAGAGCTCAAAGCCAGGCCAGCCTGGTTGCTGCCTCTCAGAGAAAACAAGGCTTTTCTCACCATAGTGAGTAACGAGGATTACGGCCAAGTATCAATCCTTGGCATCTAGCTCTTTCAAACTTGTGTGTCCTGACCCACTGGGGACACCAAAGAGGAAAAAAGTACCCATCACCTATACCAAACTCCATGTAATGGCCAGTTGCCACTGGTTGAATAATATCCAGTAGCCATCATAATAAATGTCCAGAAGCCATCAGTAAAAGGCTTATACTCAAAGGAATTGTTGGAACGTCAAAGGGAGTAAGATCTAGCTTTAGGATCTAAAGGTTAAGTGCCAGGCCAATTTATCTATTCTGTAAGGGTCAACATCTTATCCAAAAGACCCTGTTCCTGTTTGATCTTATCTTAAAATATCTCTCCATAGGGATGTCATAATTTGCAAGGTACCTTTAACTTTTTTTAGAAGTAGAGACAAGGGGATACCTGTTGAATATGTAAAAGACTTGCAGTACAGGGTTAACTATAAATCAGTTTAATGTGGGAGGGCATTTATCAACAGCAGTAATTTTAGGGTTCACAATCCCCAACATGGCCGGCAACCATCAGTTAAATGGACCTGCCAATAAATTATAATGGCTCCTCTGACACCTAAGAAACTTGCCCACTTGCTTTCTCACCCGCCTCATTTGTTTCAAAGGGTGTGCTCTAGGAAGAGGGCTGGTTTGCCACGAGTTTAAGGGAGGATCATGCCCATTGGCACTAGGTGGTTCAGATCTCCCCCTCCCTGGCGGCCTTGTAAGGCCTCTGGGCATCCTCCCAGCTGGCAAGGGCGGGTGACTGACGCTGTGTTCTGCCCGGTTTGGTGCTGGCACCCACCCATGTCATCTTTCCACCCCCGGCTGCAAGCTTGAGGTGCAGGTTAGAAAGTAAGGTGGGCACGGTGCCCACGGGACGGAGAGGCCCCGCGGGACCCCCGCCCCCAATTACCGACCTGAATGGAGGGTCCAGGCAGGTTATAAGGGGACCACACCAGCCTTGGTCCTCAGCACGCTCCAGCTGGCTCTGGTTTCCAGCTCTTCTCGTCACCGAGTAGCCGGGGGGTCCCAGCGGGGGGACCCGCTTGGGCGAGGGGGTCGGGAGGGTGGGCGGTGGGGTGGGGGGGTGGCAGGTTGTGGGGGGTGGTCGCTTCAAACCCCGATTCACATGGAAAAACAACTCAAAAACCGTCAAAGCAACCAGGAGACGACCCCTCCCCCAGGCAGGAAGAGGCAGAAACACAAAAACCAAAAAAGGGGGTTGGGAGTGGGGGCGAGGGTAAAGGGGAGGAAGGAAACTCAAAAGTGAGGTGATCTGGTTGAAGCACTAGGTAGGGAACCCCGACAGTGTCAGACATCTCAACGATTCAGCAAGCCGCAGCTCCAAGGGGTGCGGGGGCGGCGGGGGGGGGGGGGGGGGCTCTGCTGGGCATTTTGGGGTGGGAGAAGATTCTAGATACTTCTCCAAACTCCAAAATGAATATGCGGATGGAGAGGGCAGGGGAGAGATGCCAAGAAATTGTGCAGCCTCCGGGGGGTTTATTTAAGCTTAGATTACACCTGTCGGGGGGGAAGGGAGGGGTTGGAAACATTCCTAATTCCATAGCCCACTTCTTGTCCTCTCCTTTGAACTCCAGCCTGTAGCCCAAGGAGGGTGGGCACCGCCCCTCAGCCCACCTGCGTATTTTCTGCTACCCTTCTCCATCATTTTGCTGTGCCTCCTTCCCTCCCTCCCGCCTCTCCCCCCCACCGCCAGCTCCCTCCGCCACTGAGGTAGCGTGCAAGGCCCGGAGGGACCTGGCTGGCTCCCTGGCCCACGGGCTGACCAGCGGCCTTGGCAAGTCATTGGTATTTTGAGCTGGACCTTTGGATGCGCTCTAGATACTTTTTTTTTTTTTTTTGGTACCCGCTCTCTCTTTCTCTCATTTCTTTTTGTTTTTCCCCCAGTTCTGGCCAATCCATGGACTTCCCTCACCACCCCCCCAACCTCGCTGTGGCCGCCGGAGACACGGGGCTTTCCAAATGACAAGGTGTAATCTAATATTCCCCTCACAAACCCCCTCCCCCAACAGAGGAAACAGCGAATGCAGAGGGTGTGAGGCAGGCAGCAGGCGAGAGGTGTTCAGAGCTCAGTGTTCCTGCAGAGTGACCCCCTCCTCGCCGCCCACCCTGGCCAAATGGAGGGACGCCTGCCTTCCCGCCCCTGGAGTCCCCTCTCCCCGATGTGATGAGGGTGGGATGAGAAGGTCTGGGTCTGATCTAACACTGCCTGCCCCTAGGGTTAAGCCAGCGGCCTTAGGTAGGGAGGCGTGGCCAGGTATAGTAAGCACAAACTAGGGAGCTGGCCAACACACCTCAACGCGAGGCTTTCTGGGAATACAGGAGGTGAGGGGTGTTCCAGCCCACCATCTATGTCTGTCCCTGTTTTGGGGGGCCAAGAGGTAAGGGGAACACCTGGGGTCACATCCATCAATTTTAGGGCTTGGGTATTGGAAATTTAATTTAAAAAACAATTTTTCCCCATAAATTTGCATAGATGGATTGATCTGAAAAGGCCTGGGGACAGGTCACAAATACTGAAAAAGAAGACCTGGGAATCGGGCAATCTAGGCCTTGCTGGTGTCACGCAGCAGGTACTGGTTTCTTAGCTTAGCACTCAAGACTCTGCGTTAAATTATGCCAGTCCCATCGGCCTCTTCCAAAACCTTGAAGATATCCTCAGACCCTTCAAGGTAGAACATTGCTCAACCGGCAGGGCACGGTGGCTCACTCCTGCAATCCCAGCACTTTGGGAGGCTGAGGTGGGTGAATCACCTGAGGTCAGGAGTTTGAGACCAGCCTGGCCAACATGGTGAAACCCTGTCTCTACCAGAAATACAAAAATTATCTGAGCGTGGTGCCAGGTGCCTGTAATCCCAGCTACTCAGGGGACTGAGGCAGGAGAATCACTTGAACCCAGGAGGCGGAGGTTGCAGTGAGCCGAGATTGCGCCACTGTACTTCAGCCTGGGCAACACAGTGAGATTCTGTCAAAAAAAAAAAAAAAAAAAAAAAGGCCGAGTGTGGTGGCTCACACCTGTAATCCCAGCACTTTTGGAGGCCGAGGCAGGTAGATTACCTGAGGTCAGGAGACCAGCCTGGCCAACATGGCAAAACCCTGTCTCTAATAAAAATACAAAAATTAGCCAGGCGTGGTGGAGGGCAACTGTAATCCCAGCTACTTGGGAGGCTGAGACAGGAGAATCATTGAACCCAGGAGGAGGAGGTTGCAGTGAGCCGAGATCACGTCAATGCACTCCAGCCTGAGTGACAAGAGTGAAACTCCATCTCAAAAAAAAAAAAAAAAAAAAAAAGTAAAAGAAAAAGAAAATTCCTCCTGATGTCTCCAGCTTTTTCCAAGTTCCCCTGGCATCAGAGGGTGGCAAACCATTTACATGGGTCCTGTGCACTACGTTTCAATAATGCTATGTTGCAAGACCAGGCAGTAAAGACACTACCTTTAGCCACTAACTCATACTCTAAAGGCTTAGAGTTTTAAAGAACCAGAAAAGAACATTCATAGTCAGGGAGAATATAATCTGATCATCTTCCCACCTTGTCAAAAGTCGGAGGAGGGAGAATTCAACTACAGCTGGGAGTGGAGCTGCCAGCTGTATTTTTAAAAATGGACACATTTTGACTTAAGCCCTTTGGATCCCAGAGATAAATTTCAGGAGGAGAAGGGCAAGCCTGAATATTTTACCCCCTGTACCACCCAGAGTCAGCCAAAGCTGGAGATCTGTCAGTTTAGAAAATAAATAAGAGTGAGATTAGGGGTTGCATTTTTTCCCCTTTTTGCAATTAATTCCTGTGACTGGCTGCTCTGGCAACAATGTAAATACTTGTAGCTTTCAGAACATGCCAGGTAGCCCATCTCTTCTGGTGGGCTGGTACTTATCTGCAAGGGTAGCCTTGTACTTAATATGGGCCTTTGTTGTCCCTTTCTGTGGCCACAGAACTTCCTAGGAAATGACAGTGGGGAAAATGAGAGCTATGGCTCTGGGTAGTCCGCTGATCTCATGGGGATGGGGCTGGAGCCAGGAGAAAATGAGATCATGAGATGAGCTCAGGAAAGCACTAGCGAAAAATGAGGTCTGAGCAAATGAATTAGCTTCTGCCCTACAATTATTTTTAAAAGTTTCCCATATGCCATCTTATTCAAACAGTGGACATGTGAAGTACATAACAGGGAAACTAAGACCCACAAAGAAGGGAAGTGACTTGCCCAGATCATTTGCTTGAATCCTTTATTTACAACAATCCTACTGGGAATGCTTGTTACACAGAGCACTTAGTTCAATGAAATCCTTTCACCTACCCTGTGATCAAGGTTCATTTATGATCTCTACTGTTCAGATGAGGAAGTGGGGACTCCAAGTGGTCAAATGACTAGTTCAAGGTCACGTAGCCAGGGAGGGGCACAGACAAAACTGGAATCCAGGTCTGCCAGAGTCCAGAGCCTATGCTCTCATCACTTTCTGGGCTGTACTGCCCAGAAAGTCCAAGTGGTCTTCAGAGACCCTCTGTTCACTCAGTTCCAATGCACCAGCACCTAGCTTTGGTGGAGGGGCTGGGAGACCCCTTTCTGCCATCTTTTGGCACTGCTCTGAGGGTCAGCCTGGCAGCTCGCATGCTGGGTTAATAAGCAAATCTTACTGCATCTAAAGTCCTCTTGCCAACTTGGTCCAGGATTTAATAATTGGTAAGTTTGGAGAAGGTGAGTGAGGGACAAGAGGGGGAAAAGGTGATTCCAAAGTCTGGCTTCTGTCCTCAACATCGTCTAAACGGGGTAGTCAGCTGGGGTTGGTGGTTAAAAATCTACACGGATATTTTATTGGGGGGTGTTTTTTATTGGGGGTTGGAGTAAGACTCTCAAGGGCGTGCCTTTTCTTGGGGAGGGGAGCAGAAGATGGGGGTGTGCATCTCTGAAGATTTGCAAGAGTGAGAGACACACAGAGAGAAAGAGAGTTGAAAAAGAGAAAGAGAAGCAGAGGGAGAGTTGGGGAGGCAGAGAGAGCAGGGGAGAGGCTGTGTCCAAGGTTCCCCTGGGCTTTTTCCAGAATTCCACAGCTCTGATGCTCAGGTACTCAGAAAGTGACCATGCTGTGTTGCTGGACAAAAGACGCCTGTGACCGGGCTCAGAGTCTGAGAGGGGATGGGGGAAGCAGCCAGTGCTGCCTGGGAGGCAGAGGCATAGTGTTCCAGGTCAGATAATTGGCCAAGTCTTTCTTCCAAAGTCTGTCAGGCTACATTTCCTAATGGGCACTTCTGGATTGGTACCCAGCCAGAATGCATACAGTCATCACAGCAGCTGCCATTTTGAGTGCCAATTACACACCGAGTATGCATGGTCCTGTGAAAATGGTGCTGTTATTGTCCTCTCCCCTCATTTAAAACTGACCATAATCCATGTTTGGATATGTCACTAAAATGAATAAGAACTCAAAATGCTAGTGCACATTCAGCAGTACTTCAAATGCCTGGGTTTGGGCTTATTTGGGAGCGCAGGAGGCAGTCTCATTCTGAGGTAGAAGGATGGGAACATGCCTGCTTAAGCTTCCTTCCAACATGGCTGCCTGGAGGCAGGGAGCTGAGTTACTACCTCTGGGGAAAGAGGAGCTGGCCAGTGAGGTCAGGAAAATTGGGCTGCTCTCTCCACACACCCCACCCATGTTCTGACCTCCTGCCATCTGTCTGTGCCACCTCCCTTGTGCCCTTGTGCCTAAGTGGTCACTTTCTGCCCTGGCATCCCAGCTGTGGGACCCCTTCTGCCCTCCTGGATGATAGCTGGGACAGGAACACTGGCTTTTAAATCACAATGCGTTTGGAGAACAACCACAGAACAGCTCAACCCAAGAAACCAAAACCAAATAGCACAGACACAAGACAGAACCAAAGACGAGTCGCTTTGGGGGAGAAGAGGACCAGGTGAAGGGAATGGGAGGGGAAAAAAGAACCATTTGATTTTTTCCCCCCAAAACGAAACAAAACCAAAGAAAAAAAGAAAAAAGAAAAAAAAAAGAAAAAGGAAAAAAGAAAACCAAAAGAGAAAAACAGAACAGAAGACGAGAAACACTCCAACAGAAGGCGTTGGGAATTCACCAAACCAAACCGACAAGAGAGGCATGCAGAGAAATTTTTACATTCTCCCAGCATGCATCAGGCCCAAGTTACCATGACGACGAGGAGTGCAAAAAACTTAGCAACAACATTACCAACGGATGCAGAGGCGACCATAATGCAAGCATCGCATGTGTGCGGCCGGCCCTAGGCCGGGCTGGGCGCGGCTGAGATTTTCGTGTCTTTCTGGGTTTTGCGCTCGCTTGGCGGTTTTTTGTTTAGTTTGCTTTGTGCTTATGATTCATATTCCATCTTTTAAAATTGTTGTTCATTTTTCTATTTTTTTTCCGTGTGTGTGTCAGCGTGTGTCCGTGTGGTGTCTACATGTGTTTTGTGTGTGTGCGTGTCATTTTCAGAATGTAAAAATGTGGGTAAAGAAAGTAAAAAAGAAAAAAACACACCAACCTTCTCGAAGCTCTGAGGGATGTAAAGGGGGTTTGATGCAGAACACAATGACATGGGAAGAAGAGAAAAAATAGGGGAGATACAGAGAGTAAAAAGAGGACTTCCCAAGGCTAAAAGCTGCAATAGTTTGTTGTTTTTTTTTTCTTTAAACCAAAAAAAAAAATTAAAATTAAAAAATAAAAAGAACAGCAATGACCTTTTTGTCTTCTCTCCACTCTGCCCTCAACATACAAGATCTACTACATTTGCCTTTCTCCATTCTTTTCTAAGCTTGATTCTGGAGCATCTAAGACCCAGGCAAAGATGGGGAAACAGAACCTCACCCCCTCAACTGTCCCCAAGAGGATGGAGGCTCATGCTGGGGACCCCACCTCTGGGGGATGAGGACACAGAAGCCCCCCTCCCTTCTTGCACCCTCACTAAAGGCCCCACCCGGCTCCCTGCCCCACACCCGCTGTCCACACTCTTTTGAGCCCTGCTGGATTTACAAACCCCCATCCCAGGTGTTGGCAGAGAAATAAGCAGGTTAGGTGAAGACCAGTCAGTTGGAGTCACGAACGCATTACAACTCACCAGAGGTGCCGTGACAGTGGATCAGACGTGCCCCTACCCACCACCCGTCCATACACCCACATCCCCATCCCCTCCCCCTCCATGCGACCTCCTCCTCAGAGACAAAATGCAAAACCCCAGGTCCAGGACCAAGGAATCACTTCAGGGCCAGCGGGTGCTGTGGATGGTAGGGACGAAGGTGGTGAGTGAGGGTCTGTGGGTAAGGGATGAGCCACACGGCCTCCTGGATGGAGAACAACTAGGGCTTGGTACTTCGCATGGGGGAAACTGAGGCCCAGAGAAGGATGTGATTGAGTCAATTACACAGCGCTAACTGGGGCAGCCCTAGGGATTGAAGGGCGCCCTGGCATCCTGGCAGAAGCTGTTTCTACCACAAATCTGATCAGAAACAGCGACTAGGAGGTGAAAGGGAGGAGGAGGAGGAAGACTACAACTTCTGAAAAGACCCAAGAGCCAACACACGAGATAAGAGGAGGCCAACGGAGGCATCTGGGGGCAAGGGAGCCCCCTGGCACCTTTGAGGCAGCACCAAGGGACCCACAAGGAAGTAAGCTTCCTTGGGGCAGGGGAGCGGGGAGGTGCTGGGGCGAGGCCCCCACGCTGCTGGGCATGACTGAGTGGGAATTGGAAACTGAGAGTAACAAGCTTCGCTGGGTGCCGTGCCTGCCCCAGCTCGGTGCAACTACCGAGCCCCCCGGGTGCCTGTGCCCGCTGTGGCTCCAGCCTCCCATCGGCCTGGACTGCCCTTCTCGGAGAGTCATTAGGAAGAGGCAGAAGGCGCCGGGCTCCGGACCAGCTGGTGGGGGGTGGGAGGGGCAGCCTCGAAGACCCCTCCTCAACTTCTAGATTGAGGGCCCTGGATTAGGGGGGGCAGTGAAGCGGGGAGCTACGAGGCCACAAAGTTGGGAGAAGCAAAGCCAGCACACAGCACGGGAAGGCACGACACACCACAGAAGCCAACTCGGGTGGGCAGGCAGGTGGGGTGGGGCGGGGCAGAGGCCTGCAGGCTCCCCTGGCCCTGTAGGCCCAAGACTGACCCCCTCACCCTGCCCCACGCCTTCCTACCCCACCATCACTGCCTCCCCAGAGCCTGCTGCCCACGGGGCATCTCTCGCAAGGCACGAGGAAGGGAATTTAAGCTGCCCCCATTCTACAGGCAAGGAAACTAAGGCCCAGAGAGGGACGCCGCCTCGGCCAAGGTCCCACCGCGACCGGGGAGGGGCCTTCCTGCTTGGGTGTGCAGGGGACGGGGGAGCCCGGAGGCGGTGAGCCCGAGGAGGGAGGGGGATGGGACGGGGCGGGTCCCTGCCTTTGACCTGGACGCGGCGTTCCCTACCTCGCACGTAGAGGTTGGCAGGTGAGGAGTAGCGCACGCCGGCGCTGTTGGTGGCCACACACTCATATTTGCCCTGGTCGGTTTCCTCACTGCTTTCAATCTGCAGGGCTCCTGTGGGAAGATGGGAAAAAGCTTGGTCTGTTAGAGGGGGGCCCAGGAGTGAACAGGGAAAGCTCCCCCACCAGAGTGCTCTCTGGCCTGTCTCCTGTGCTGGCTGGGCCAGAGAGGCAGATAAGAGGTGAGAAAACCTGGAAGCCCTAGCTTGGCCAGGCCTTGTATAACCTCCACCCCCACATCTAGCCCCACCAGGGCCTGGACACACCAGATTCCCCAGCAAATTCTCCACTCACAGTGGAAAAGCAGCTGGTCATGAGACTGCTGCCTCATGACTGCCAAGTTGAATTACAAAGATGGAGAAAAGTGTGTTTGAGAAAGCACTAAGTGATGCTCTCCTGGCCAGAAGGAAAGAGTGGGTTGGCATTCACAACTCATAACCATCATTTGATAGATCCAGGGACCTGAGGGGGCCCACCACAAATCATGTGAAAATTCAGGGAGCTGGTGGTTGCTTTGTTTCATTAGGTGCCCGTGAGTAAATGAACATGGGTCTGGGTTCCTCAGTTGTGTTTGGAATCCTAGTCCTCAAAGTCCTCAACGCCCCTAAGTAAATGGAGACGGGGTTGTACTTCTTCAGGTGTGTTTGAAATTTCAGGATTAGGTTATACCCTGAGGCAGCTAAAGTAAAAAAACGTTGATGCTGGTGTGTATCAAGTATGTTTGAGATCAAAGCCATGGATCCAAGCCTTCTGGCCTGAAACTGATTGAAGAGAAGTCAGAATTTCCCCAAGTATTTTAAGTCATCTAAATAAAAGTCTGAATTTACCTGCTTGTATTTAAAACCACAAGCCTGAAGTCAACATCCTGGTGCTCACGAGTAACTGAATGGACTTCTTCAAGTGTGTTTGAAATTATGGTCCTAGACCCAATTCTATGATGCTCATAGGTACCCAGGATTAGATTAAATTTTCAAAAGTGTTTGAAATCAGGGGTCTGATTGAAAGCCTCTCATACTCACAAGTAAAGTTGAGGCTAAAATGCCCCAAGCCTGGATCAAAGAATTTGTTGGTCATGAGTAAATAAAGATACAAAGAAGAGGGCAATTTTTCAAGCATATTTAAAACCACAGGCCCAAATCCAAGGTCTTGGTGCTCATGAGTAGATGAAAATAGGACTGATTTCCCCTCAATACATTTGAAATCACAGACCCAAATCAAAGACTTCACTTTCCATGAACCTATAAAAATGAATGAACCTTCTCAAGAATATCTGAAATCACAGGCCTTGATCAAACACTACTGTGCCCATGAGAAAATGAAAACGAGGCCAAGATTTCCCCAAAGATATCTGAAACCACATGCCTGAAACAAGTCCCTCATTTTCACCAGTAAATGAAGCTGAGTATATCTGAAATTATAGGCCTTGATAAAAACTTGAGTGCCCACAAATAAAAAATAAGGCAAAAGTTTCCACACGTATGTTTGTAATCACAGGCCTGGATCAAAGTCCTTATTTTCATAAGTAAATAAAACTTAGTGTAACATATCTAAGTATGTTTGAATCACAGGCCTGGACCCAAGTGCCTGTCGACCATGAGTAAATGAAGATGAGTGAATATCCCCAAATGTGTTTGAATCACAGGCTTCAATCACAGCCTATGGCACCAGGGGTCCAAAAATCCAGACTGAGCTTTCCAGCCTTGTTTGTGACTATCCCACAGAAATGACATGGACCCACAGATTGGGGGATTCTCTCTGGAGGTCATGGATAAAGACTCCGTCCCCATAGAGCACTGCCTATTCTCCCTGGACCTCGAGGTTCTGGGAAGCAGGCAGTATCTCCATCACTAAGGAGGCCCAGAGAGGGTCAGGAGACTGCTCTAGGTCACACAGCATTTGTAGCAAAGGTAGGGCTGGACACTGATTCTTCCCCAGGTTCCCACTCAGGCCTTCTCTTGGCTCTTCTCTGAGGCAAAAGTTGGGTAGGGGGAAAGGGATGGAGCCGACCGACCTGAGAGTGCATGTCTCTATGTGTCCTTGGGTTAGAACCTCCAGATCAGAAAGAACTGTGGAGCTGGAAGGCCCACTTTGCATGTTCGTTTTGTTTCTTTTTTTTTTTTTTTTTGAGGAGTCTCATTCTGTCACCCAGGCTGGAGTGCAGTGGCATGATCTTAGTGGCTCACTGCAACCTCTGCCTCCCAGGTTCAAGTGATTCTCCTGCCTCAGCCTCCTGAGTAGCTGGGATTACAGGCGCCCACCACCATGCCCGGCTAATTTTTGTGTTTTTAGTAGAGATGGGGTTTGACCATGCTGCCCAGGCTGGTCTTGAACTCCTGACCTCAGGTGATTCACCTGCCTCGGCCTCCCACAGTGCTGGGATTACAGGCGTGAACCACCGCGCCCGGCCTGCATGCTCATTTTAGAGGTGGCTAAACCACATGGGGCTCCCAGCACTCTGGGGGTCTTGCCAGGTAGGGTCCTTCCCAGAGGGGGAGAGAGCGCCCCCGCCTTCCACAGCCAGGTGACCTGAGGAGTCACCTCGGCCACATTCAGCCCCCTGGCCACAGACACAGACACAGACGCAGAGACCGGACTAACACTGGGTGGAACAAAGGTGGTGGCAGGGTGGACACGCATGGAAGGGGGCCTGGGGGCAGGCCCTGTGGAGCCTGAGGGGCTGAGTGGGCAGCAAGAGCGAGCGTGAGTGGGTGGGTGAGTGAGGAGCCTCTTACCTCGAATCGGAGTGCTTTCTGTAAGGGAAGCAGAGAGAACCAGGTGAATGTCACAAGGCGGTTGTTGGGGGGCCGGGGGGCCCCAGGGAAGCTGGGCTGGGCCGTAAGCCAGGCCTCAGCACTCTGCCCCAGGGAGGGGATCGAGCCAGCCCTGGGCATACGGACCCTGCGGGCTTTGCTGAGGAAGCTAGGAGAGGCCTCCTAGGAGCAGGGTGAGGTCTGAGGGCTTGTCAAAGCAGGAGGGTTTCCTGTAGAAGGCGGGAATCTCTGGGGGTGGAGGGATGGAGTCTAGAAGCCTCTCTGGATGGGTGAGGGGCGTCTCTATGCCCAGGGAAGGTCTGTCAGCCTGGCCCTTTGGTGGCCTTCCCTCTGGGCTGAGGGAGGGAGGTTCATCACCCCCCCTTCCTTCTTTCCGTCTTAGGGAGCCCAGCAAGAGACTGCTTTCAAGTCCAGACTAGGAGGGGACAAGGAGCAACAGGAATTATCTTGTTAGAGACAGGGGAGGTGGGTGGGGTTAGTGCCCCAGTGCCGGGCATTAATACAGCCAAGGAAGGGTGTCACAGACAGGCCGAGTAGGAGGGACAGGGAGAGCCTGGCAGCCTTCTTACCAAGAGGAAAAGAGGAAAGACCTGTTTATCTGGGCCTTGGAGGCAGGGATGGTTAACTGCAAAGCAGGAAAAGGCGGCTCGGGGCTGGAACGTTACTCCCTCTGCTCATGATCCAGGGAGAAGTTTTGGGCCCCCTTCTCTCTGCTGCTGATGGCCGATAACTTGATAACTCGGCTGGCTGGGGCCAAGAAGATCCCAAGACCTCGATCTGCCAGGAGTGGCCAGACACGTGAAAAAGCAGCTCCTTCTGCGTGGCCCAAACCCATTTTGCAGACGGGCCAACTGAGGCTCAGAGGGGAATCTCTGAGGTCCCATCATGAGGCAGGGGTGGGCACTGAGCCTAGCTCTCCAGCCTCCTGGGATGAGGAGCTTCTGGCCTGAACTTTTCGGAGTCCCTGAATTATCTTTCGAGGTGTTCTCGTGAGGCCACTCTGCACCCTTTAGAGGGGAGCAAACAGAAGTTTGCCTAAAGTTACACCCTGGAGAACTGGAATCCGAGTCAGCGGAAATCCAGGCTGGCCTTTGCTAGGACACTGGGATGACGATGGTGGAAGTCAGGGTTAAAGAAAGTCTTTTCAGGCCGGGCGTGGTGGCTCACGCCTGTAATCCTAGCACTTTGGGAAGCCGAGGCAGGTGGATCACCTGAGGTCAGGAGTTTGGGGTACCAGCCTGGCCAACATGGTGAAACCCCGTCTCTACTAAAAATACAAAAATTAGCCGGGTGTGGTGGTGGGTGCCTGTAATCCCTGCTACTCAGGAGACTGAGGCAGGAGAATTGCTTGAATCGGGGACGTGGAGGCTTTAGTGAGCCGAGATGGTGCCACTGCACTCCAGCCTGGGTGACAGATTAAGACTGTCTCAAAAAAAAAGAAGTCTTTTCAAGTTGGCCAAATCACTCAGGGCTATTCTATCAAGTGGAAACAATGTATCCCTTAGCCATTAAAAGGTGTTCCGCCTCCCACCCTGAGAGAGATGAAGGGACTGATAGCATAGGCTGATATCAGTCACTCTCACTTTAGTATGAATTAGTCCCACAACTGATTTCAGGAGATTCAGGCTGAATGCTGAGAAAAGTGGATGAGAAGTGCCCAGTAGCAGCTAGGCTGGAAAAATCTCCACTCCACGCCCAGCCCCAGCCCCCAAACTTCTGTAATTAAATCCTTTTCCAGCAGGGCTAAGGCCAAGAAAAAAGTGCGGGAGGAAATGTTGTTAGGTGCGAAGTTCCATGAGCCCGAGGATGCCTCTGAACCCCCCTCAGCCTGCATTTTGAGGTCTGCCTGGCCTTGTCTCTTTTCCTCTTTTCCTTTGGGTGGACTTGTCTCTTTTCCTCTTTTCCTTTGGGTTTCTTTCTCTGCCGCACACTAGTGCCAGCTGGGGAGGGCTGAGGGGCCGGTCGCGGGGAGGAGGGAGAGGGCGTTAGTAAACATACCAGGCAGAGTGGGTCACAGTTACCATCACGGTGGCTGTTAGTTTGGTGAGGAGAAGGGGAGCAGAAGGGGCACAAAGGGGATGGGGCGTTAGTTGTTGACGTGGTGATGAAATCAGACTTACCAAAGGTTTCTGAACGTTTACAACAGGAGGATAAGAAAAGAGAACAGGAACGTTAACGGGTGGTTACAAAGAATCCTATGTCCTCAGCGAGGAGGGGAGGGCGGGGGAGGGGAGGGGGACGCTCAGAATAATAATAACAACATTTCTTATGATTCCTAAAGTGGCTTATGTTCACTGAGCACCTAGCAGGCGCTAGACATTCCATCCTGGAGAGGTCACCAGAACACAAGGAAAATAGGCATGTTTTATGGGGAAACTGAGGCCACCGCTCCCCCTGCTTGCAGAGGCCTATGAGCTGCAAACATCCTCAGCCAGGCTGGGAGATAGGAGGCGATTTGTCCCCCCAGTGTGAGGTCTGAGTCTCTCCAAGGAAGACATTCTGGGCTCCACGTCTGATCTTTTTGGGGCTTGGTTTTCACTAAGGAGGAGGAGCAGAAAGCGGAGAACAGGTAGGTAGGCTCTTTGGTGGGGGGCAACGATGGGCAGTGAGTGAGGGGCGCTGGGGATGATTCGGGGAGGTACTGCTGCAAAGGGGGCTCCGTGGCGGGATCCTCGGAGGAAGGGGAGAGAGAAAGCAAAAAGAGGGGTGTGTGGAGGTGCAGGGTGATCTCAACAGTGACCTGAACGAAGGCAGGGCGTCAAGCCCGGCACAACTGAAAACAGTAAATCCGTGACACAGACAAACACGCATGTGCAGCCACACGTGTGCTCCCAATGTATGGAGACACATCCCCACCACGTGTGTCCCCACGCACGAGCACTAGGGAGGTGCAGGCTGAGAGGCGCGTGCGCGGATCACTGCCCTGTGTGCACAGGCACGGGAGTGACTGCAATGTGGGTGCACGTGTGGCCGAGATGCAGGCGGACACTTTGCTCCGGGCGGGGGAAGGGAGGCCCGTGTGTGACAGCAGCCAGGCCTGCACACCTGTGCCCACAGGCGGGAGGCAGGCCAGGCCGGCACAGGGAGCCCAGACATGCACACGTGGACATGTCGTGAAGCGGGGGGACAACACACACGCAGACACAGCCCCCCAGACAGATGGACCCACAGATGGGCCATGTGGGTGCTTTGTGGAGACACAATGGTGGAACCACCCGTCTCCAAGGCTCTGTCCCAAGGTCTCCCTAGCCCAGCCAGGGCCTGAACAGACAGGCTGGACTGCCCGTCTGTGCCCCCTTACAGACCTGAAGCCCCGCCATCACCTCTTACTGCTCAGCCTTGGAGAGACTCTCTCCCTGTAGTTTTCTATGGCTCCCCATCACCTTACTTGTCACCTCTGGACACCTGCCATTGCCTTACACAGCTTCCACTACTCCTGCCTGTCTGGGCCCCACTGTATTCTCACTGGACGTGCCTAATGCTTCTGTAGAGGATGCTCTCTGCCACCTTCCATAGCTCCCTATTACATACCCATTGAAGCTGGTCTCCCCTTGTCACCCTCCATGGCTCACTGACACTTCTGCCTGTCTGTCTCCCATTGCTTGGGCACTGCCGATACCCACCATCCTTGGCGGCTTTCTTTCTTTTCAGAGATGAGCGTCTTGCTACATTGCCCATGCTGGTCTCAAACTCCTGGCCTCAAGCAAGCCTTCTGCCTTGGCCTCCCAAAGAGCTCGGATTACAGGCATAAGCCACTGCGCCCAGCCCCCTCAGTGGCTTCCTATCACCCACAACTGTCTGTGGGTGACAGCTGTGATCTCACTGCCTGAGCATGGGAGACACTCTCCCCGCCCATGGCCCTATATAACTCCCCATCCTTGTGCATGTCTGCATCCATTATATCTTCATTGGCCAGGTGTTGAAGCACTATTCTTCTACCACCCTCTATAGCTCTCCAGTACTCATGCCCATCTGTGCCCCCTAATATCCTCAGTGTGCGGCTTTGAAGACATTTGCCCCCACTCCCCCAGAGCCAACGCCTGCCACGGCCACACACTGTCTCTGTCTGTCCTCCAGTAGTCCCCAGAACTTGGGCCCTGGAGATGCTCCCCACCCCCTGCTGCCCTCCAAGGCTCCCACGTCCTGTCAGCCACCCTCACTCACCTGATCGCAGCTGTTTGATGCGTCCATTGCTGGCACTAGGATCCACAGGCAGGAAGTCCTTGAACCAGGTGATCTCAGGGTCAGGGTTGCCGCTGGCTGCACAGAGCATGGTGGCTGTCCGTGTCCGCTCCACCACCTTCAACTGTGGGCCCATGTCGATGTTGGGGAAGCCAGAGGGCAGCTGGTCCTCTGAGGGCAGAGACGTGAGAGAAATGGGCATGGTTCTGAGCACTGCACAGCCACTCCTGAGCCTGGGGCTCAGGGACTGCCTGGCCACGGGTCCAGCTCCTCCCTGGCTGCGTGACCTCAGCCATGGGTGCCATCCTTTACAGCCAGTTCTCTCTCTTTTTTTGAGACAGGGTCTTGCTCTGTTGCCCAGGCTGGAGTACAGTGGCTCGATCATAGCTCACCGCAGTCTCAACAACCTGGGCTCAAGTGATCCTCCTGCCTCAGCCTCCTGAGTAGCCGGGACTACAAGCATGCGCCACCACGCCTGGCTAATTTTTAAAATTTTTGTAGAGAGGGGGTCTCGCTGTGTTGTCCAGGCGGGTCTCAAACTCCTGGCCCCAAGCAATCCTCCCACTTCTGCCTCCCAAAGCACTGGGATTGCAGGCATGAGCCACTGCACCTGGTTGGGTCCCTCTTCTGTACAAGGGGGAGGCTGGTGTCAGGGAGCTGAGCCAGGTAGAATGATATTTCTCACTGGGGGGTGACTCTGCTGCCCTGGGAGACACTGGGCGATGTCTGGGGATATCTGAGGTTGTCACAACTTGGGGGTCAGGACTTGGGGGTGGGTGCTCCTGGAATGGACTGGGTGGGGCTGAGAGATGCTCTACACCCTACTACATATAAGCACAAACCTGGCCCCAAGGTCCACAGTGCTGAGTGGGTTCATTTACAGCAGCCTGAGGACGCCTTTCTTTTTATCTTTTAAAAAATTTTTAAACAGAGAGATATATACATATAAATCAGCTGGACGCGGTGGCTCATGCCTGTAATCCCAGCACTTTGGGAGGCCGAGACAGGTGGATCACTTAAGGCTAGGAGTTTAAGACCCAGCCTGGCCCACATGGTGAAACACTGTCTCCATTAAAAACAAAAACTAGCCGGGCATGATGGTGCATGCTTGTAATCCCAGCTACCCGGGAGACTGAGGCAGAAAAATCACTTGAACCCGGGAGACGGAGGTTGTGGTGAGCCAAGATCACGCCACTGCACTCTAGCCTGGGCGACAGAGTGAGACTCGGTCTCAAAAAAAATCAAACTAAAAATAAAAATAAAATAAATAAAATATAGAGATAGGGTCTCACCATGTTGCCCAGATTGGTCTCGACCTCCTGGGCTCAAGGAATCCTCCCACCTTGACCTCCCAAAGCATTGGGATTACAGGTATTTTACAGGTATGAGCCACTGTGCCTGGCCCAGAGGACACCGTTTTTATTTTTTATTTATTTATTTTTTTTGAGATGGAGTCTCACTCGTCGGCCAGGCTGGAAGGCAGTGGCATGCACTCCACGCCCGGCTAATTTTTGTACTTTTAGTAGAGAAGGGGTTTTGCCATGTTGGCCAGGCTGGTCTCGAACTCCTGACCTCATCATCCACCTGCCGTGGCCTCCCAAAGTGCCTGGATTACAGGTGTGAGCCACAGCCCCACCTGCCTTTCTAAACATAAACCACACTGCTCCCCCGCTGTACACCCTTCTGTGGTCCGGCCACCCTCAGAAGGAACCCTGCCTGCTTGCCCGCTGCTGGCCCCTGCCACCTTCCCTCCTCTTTTTCTCTCTGGCCCAGTCACCCTGGCCTCCACGGCTCTCAAAGTCATCAAGCCCCCTCCCTCGGGTCACCTGTTCTGTTCCCTCAGCCTGGAATCCCCGTTCCCACATCTGTCTACTGATCGGAACACCACCTGGGACTAGCTCCAACTCCCTTGCTCTAAATGCCCCCACACTCCTCACTCTCCTCTGCAGCAGGGAATTCTATCTGTAACGGTGCATCTGTGTCACCACAGCATCCGTAGCACCCAGCGCAGAACCGGGCATACAGTAGGAGCTCAATCAATGAACAAACAACTCAATCCTGGTTGAGCACTCAATCCTCCAGCACCAGGTGAGTGAGTGGCACCAGGTCTCCAGCGCTCGGTATCCCTCTTGGGTGGTGAGGTTCTGGCTCCCCTCCATGGTAAATGGAGACCGGTGGTGATGTGGGGGCGGGGGGGAGCGGGGACAAGGAGGAGAAACTCAGGTCCCTGGAATCTCCTGGTCCCAGAGCTCCCTGAGCGGTGGGAACATGCTTCTGGGCTGAGGTGATGAGGTGAGCCAGCTAAGTGACGGGCTGCCTTGCATCCAGGGTGCTCTACAAACCAAGATGGGCCGGCCGTGGGGGCTCACACCTGTAATCCCAGCACTTTGGGAGGACGAAGCAGGTGGATCACCTGAGGTCAGGAGTTCGAGACCAGCCTGGCCAACATGGTGAAACCCCGTCTCTACTAAAAATACAGAAATTAGCCAGGCATGGTGGCGGACGCCTGTAATCCCAGTTCCTTGGGAGGCTGAGGCAGAAGAATCGCTTAAACCCAGGAGGTGGAGGTTGCAGTGAGCTGAGATCATGCTACTGCACTCCAGCCTGGGCGACAGAGCAAGACTGTCTCAAAAAAAAAAAAAAAAGAGATTAGGAAACAGCCACGTAGGGCAGACTAATAACCGTGCCCCCCCGCCCCCCCAACTCCACTCCAACGGACAAGTGACAAAAAAGTGACAAATCGCAGTGCTGTTAAGACCAAGAAATAGGCAGCTCCTCTGCATCTGGTAGGAATGCTGGAGTGGAGGGGGTAAAGGGCCGCAAAAACAGCCCTGTAGCTGTATTTATTAATAAAGTTTTATCAGCCGGGCACAGTGGGTCACGCCTATAATCCCAGCACTTTGAGAGGCCGAGGCAGGTGGATCACGAGGTCAGGAGATCGAGACCATCCTGGTGAACATGGTGAAACCCCGTCTCTACTAAACTACAAAGAAGATTAGCCGGGCTTGGTGACGGGCACCTGTAGTCCCAGCTACTCGGGAGGCTGAGGCAGGAGAATGGCGTGAAGCCGGGAGGCGGACTTTGCAGTGAGCAGAGATCGCGCCACTGCACTCCAGCCTGGGCGACAGAGCAAGACTCCATCTCAAAATAAATAAATAAATAAATTAATTAATTAATTAAATAAAGTTTTATTGGCACACAGCCACGCCCATTCGTTTCTCAGCTTTTCCAACACAATGGCAGAGTTTTGGGTTGTTGCTGCGACAGAGACCGTCCAGCCTGTAGAGCCAAAAATATTTACTTCCTGGTGGTCTGGAGAAAAAGTGTGCTGCTTCCTGGCGTAGACAATGTTTCTGTTTGTTTAAAGAATACACATGTATTTGCTTACAAAGGCCCAGATGGGACATGGGGCTCAGGGGTGGGTGGCCGTGGACAGAGGTGGGCAGGAGGCCACCATCTTGGGAGGAAACTGAGCCCCAGGCAAGCAGCAGGAGGGCAGGAGGCCAAGATGGGGCAAGGGAGAGGTGGGCAGGATCCAGGGAGGGGAAGCCAGAATCAATCCCTGCCTCCCCAGGATTACGAGAGAGCGGCAGTTCCAGCTCGGGGGTCACTGCTTGGATGGGAAAAGCCCCAGTGGAAAGCCCTGAGCACTAACAGCATCCCAGGCGCAGCGCAGGCAACGGAACCTGTGATCTCCTCCAAGCCTTTTCCATAGAGGGGGAAACGGAGGCACAGGCAGTCACACACTTGTCCCAGGTCATACAGCCAGCATGTAGCAAGGATTTGAACCCAGGCCTGGCTGAGCTCAGAAGAAGCTGAGCAGGACCGGCTGCAAAAGCCCTCCACTCAACCAGGTCTGAACCCATCGGGGCCCTGAAGGGGGCATGGCTGGATGCCGTCTGAGGCAGTTCAGGCCTCTTGTCCATCCTTCCTGGGCCAGGGACCTGGACGACCTTGAAAGTGGCTCTGATTGGCTACTGATGACATCATCGGAGATGAGGGCCAAAATGACTGGGCCTCACTCAATTGGTCTTGGTGCCCACAGCTGGGTCTGTCGGCATCCCCCTGTGTGTCTATGCATGCTCGTGTGCCTACGAGGGAACCCTGTATTTCATTCATGCGTGGGTACATGTGTGCCGCATGTATGTGCTCACGCTTGCCCGTGCCCACGTGTCCACACGTGAGCAATTCCCGTGTGTATGTGGCCCCGCAGGGGTCCCCATAAGCGTGTGTGGACAGCAGCCAGCCAGGGTGCAGGGGGAGGTCTCGGCCGCCTGACGCTACCGAGAACACCTAATTAAACAAAAACGTACATCGCGAACCACACTCTGCCCAGTTCCTCGGAGTTTAATTAAAACAACAGTGCAGGAGGCGTGTGTGGGGTCCACAATCAGATGGCAGAGGAGGAGGAAGGCAGGGAGTGGCCCTGGCAGTCCAGATGGTCCCCCACCAACTGCCAGGGACTGGCCGGAGGTGCCCGGAGCTCAGGGCTGGTGGCAAGGTGGGTGGGATCGGGTCAGGGTATCCAAGGCCCCGGGCCCCAGCAGGAAGAATGAGCTCCCAGCCCAAGCAGGCCCTTCCAGGCAGCCGGAGAGGAGAGAGAAAAAGGGTGTGGGCTCGGCACGGTGGCTGACGCCTATAATCCCAGCACTTTGGGAGGCTGAGGAGGTGGATCACCTGAGGTCAGGAGTTCAAGACCAGTCTGACCAACATGGCGAAACACTGTGTCTACTAAAAATACAAAAATTAGCTGGGCGTGCTAGTGGGCGCCTATAGTCCCAGCTACTCAGGAGGCTGAGCCAGGAGAATTGCCTGAACCCAGGAGGCGGAGGTTGCAGTGAGCCAAGATCACGCCATTGCACTCCAGCCTGGGTAACAAGAGCAAAACTCCATCTCAAAAAAAAAAAAAAAAAAAAAGAGTGTGGATGGGCGCAGGGGGCATTTTTTTCCCAGACTCCGGGGGACCGGGCAGTTGATGGCTTCACAGCTTGTCCTTTTAATACCCTGAGTGCTCAGAGTGCAGGCTGGCTTGGGGCAAGAGAAGGCAGGTTGTTCTGTCCCAGCCTGGGAAAGGTCAGGGCAAAATTATCTGCTAGGAAGAGCAGGGCGGGCCACGGTGGGCCTGACTCCGCCCCCGCTCCTTCCTCCATCCCCCAGCAGGATGGGATCCAGGACCCACGCAAATGAAATTGTGGGGTCTCTTGTTAGAAAAGTATTAAGACTTTCCAGACCACAATAGCGAGCTTTTATCTTTTCTTCCCCCTCCCCCCCACCCCCCTTTTAGAGACAGGGTCTTGCTCTGTCACCCAGACTGGGGTGCAGTAGCATGATCATAGCCCACTGTAGCCTTGAACTCCGAGGCTCAGGCGATCCTCCTGCCTCAGCCTCCTAAGTACTTGGGACTATAGGCAGGCCCCATTACACCAGGCTAAGTTTTACATTTTTCTTTTTGTAGAGACTTGGACAGTGAGGCATGGGGTCTCTATGTTGCCCAGACTAGTCTCAAACTCCTGGGCTCAAGTGATCCTCTTGACTTGGCCTCCCGAAGTGTTGGCATTACAGGTGTGAGCCACGGCATGTGGCCAGCAGCAGAGCTTTAAAAAGCACGGGGCCTTTCTTTTTTTTCTTTTGAGATGGAGTCTCCCTGTGTCACCCAGGCTGGAGTACAGTGGCGCAATCTCAGCTCACTGCAGCCTCCGCCTCCCGGGTTCAAGCAATCCTCCTACCTCAGCCTCCCAAGAATCCGGGAGCTAGGATGACAGGTGCACACCACCATGCCTGGCTAATTTTTGTATTTTTAGTAGATTTGGGGTTTCACCATGTTGGCCAGGCTGGTCTCAAACTCCTGACCTCAAGTTGTCCACTTGCCTCGGCCTCCCAAACTGCTGGGATTACAGGCCAAAGCACAGGGCCTGAGGGAGGGATCCTGGATGACTGTACAGGTCACTCGCCTGTGATGCCAGTCCCAGTTTCATGGGACCAGAGTCTGAAATCGAGTACTACTAGGGCCGCTGTGATAACCCCTCCCAGGGCTCCAAGCTGGTCACAGCTGGGCTGCCGTGGAGGACATTGGAATAGCCTCATCTTGGGAAGCCACATGCAGGGGTCACCTCCCAGCTAATGGCTGGCAGTGGCTCATATACATGACTGGGATGTCTCTGCAGGTGACAGGTGGAACCCACTCACCTGAGGGCTGCAGAAGGATTGGTAACAAGCATCTTACTAAACCAGAATCCTAACAGTGATGAACACAGTAACGGGGAAGTAGAATTGACCAAATATGGCATTGTGCTAATCTTGCTCCCTGTATCACTCACTCATCTGGTTCACGGAATTACCCCTTGTGGTGAGAACCATTATTACCCGATTTTTTTTTTTTTTTTTTCCCTGAGACGGAGTCTTGCCCTGGTCGCCCAGACTGGAGTGCGATGGCGTGATCTCGGCTCACTGCAACCTCCACCTCCCAGGTTCAAACGATCCTCTCCTGCCTCAGCCTCCCGAATAGCTGGGATTACAGGTGCCCACCATCACGTTCAGCTAATTTTTGTATTTTTAGTACAGACAGGGTTTCACCATGTTGGCCAGGCTGGTCTCTAAGTCCTGACCTCGCGATCTGCCCGCCTTGGCCTCCCAAAGTGCTGGGATTACCGGCGTGAGCTACCGCGCCCAGCCATTTCATTTTTATTCATTCATTCATTCATTCATTCATTTATTTTGAGACAGAGTTTCGCTCTTGTCGCCCAGGCTGGAGTGCAATGGTGTGATCTCAGCTCACTGCAACCTCCGCCTCTTGGGTTCAAGCAACTCTCCTGCCTCAGCCTCCTGAGCAGCTGGGATTACAGGTGCACGTCACCTCACCCACCTAATTTTTGTATTTTTAGTAGAGACGGGCTTTTACCATGTTGGCCAGGCTGGTCTTGAACTCCTTGACCTCAGGTGATTCACCCGCCTCGGCCTCCCAAAGTGCTGGGATTACAGATGTTTGAGTCCCTGTACTCAGCCCGACTTTAGAGATGAGAAAATTGCAGCTCAGACAAGTTCATTAACCTGCCCTAGGTCACACAGCAACCAAGTGGCAGCCAGGACTTGAGCTCCACAGGCTGGGCCCAGTGCTAAGACCAAACTGCAGTGGAGAAGGCAGCACAGAGTGGTTGGGCAAGGGTTTGTAGGCGGCTGTTTGAAATGATGCTGAACAAAAATTTGTTCACAAAATTGCTTCCTCATTATAAAACAGCATCACTCAGACAGCCCCCTATAAACCCCTTGCGACTTGTTCAAGAAATGCATTTAGGCTGCATGCAGTGGCTTATGCCTGTAATCCCAGCACTTTGGGAGGCTGAGGCAGGCGGATCACTTGAGGTCAGGAGTTTGAGACCACCCTGGCCAACATGGTGAAACCCTGTCTCTACTAAAAATACAAAAATTAGCTGGGCGTGGTGGCATGTGCCTGTAATCCCAGCTACTTGGGAGGCTGAGGCAGGAGAATCGCTTGAACCTGGGAGGTGGAGGTTGCAGTGAGCTGAGATAATGCCACTGTACTCTGGCCAGCGCAACAAAGCAAGACTGTCTCAAAAAAAAAAAAAAAAAAAAAAAAAAAAAAAAAAAAAAAAAAGAATTGCACCTAAACAAGACCAGCAAGCAGCACTGCAGGCCCGTGTGAATGTCTGGGGAAGTGGGGCAGCAGTTTCTGCCTACCTAGCATCCGTTCATCCTTTATTTTTTGTAGAGATGGGGTCTCGCTATGTTGCCCAGTCTAGTCTCACGTGTGATCCTCCCACCTCAGCCTCCCAAAGTGCTGGGATTGCAGGTGTGAGCCACCATGCCCAACCCTGTTTATCTTTATTCCTTTGGGGGAACCACACTCACTCTTGGCTCCAGGTAGGAGTCTAGCCAATCAGAGTGTTTGTTCCTCCTGAGCCACAGTGATTAGTTCAGGGAAGGGAATGGGATCCAAGTTCATTGGCAGTGGGGGAAGTCTCACTAAGGATATCATCAATACAGAAGGAAACAAAGCCAAGAGACAGAGAGTGAGCTCTGAGAAAATTCAATGAGCCCCTGGATCCAGCTGAACCTGAAGCCAGCCACTCCATGGAATTTTAATTCTGCACATCAATTACCTTTCTCGCTTGAACCCATCTGAGTTGGATCAGCCTTTTGTCATCAGAAGCACATGATGAAGATTATAAATTAGGATGATTCTAGTCTCTCAATTCCTTTCTTTCTTGCAAAGGCACAATAAATCCCCACCAGTAGGCGCTGGGCCCTGAGACTGTTACTGGTTGGATAAGGGAGATCAAGGTCCTCCCAAAAAACACAAAGCAGGAGGGTTTGGGGTAACTTTCATGTATTCCTTTTGTGCTTGTCCCCAAAGCCCAGGGCCCAGTTTATCCTCCGCCCGCCCTGAGGAGCCCAATACCTCGGAGGACAGTAAGCTTGGCATGGACTGTGATCTCCCCAACCGAGTTCTGGGCCACACACTCGTACACGTTTTCATCCCGCGGTGTCCTCAGCGGCTGGATCCTCAGCACTGCCCCTGCACTCTCATCAAACTCAATCGTCTGCCATGGGCAGGGGAAAAAAGAACAGAGTGAGGCTGGGGTCCCAGGAAGGTTCCTGTCTAGGCTGGGCTAGGCTGGGCTGTAGGGGAATGGCAGTCAGCCCCATGATCCTGGGGGTGACTGGGAGAATTGCTGCAGGCTGAATGTGCACGTGTGTCGGTGTCCAGTATAAATGCGCCGCAGACAGGGACCAGATTTGGGTACATATAAGAACAGGGTGTTGTGTGCATGTGTGAGGGTGACAAATGTCTGCAAGCCCATGTGACAGGCATGCAAAGGCATGTGAAGACATGCGGAATGTGTCAATGTGCACGTGTGATCATGGGCGTGTATTGAGAGTTGTAAAGTTCCTTCTGTGTGCAGTGGTGCTGTGTACACTGCACTGTGAAGAAGACTCAGAGAGGGCAGGGCTTTGCTTGAGGCCACACAGCATGGAGCTGGTAGAGCAAGTAAGGCGGGCAGGGCCCTGGCTGGAGGCTGCGCAGCCATGCTTGCTTGGCCACAGATGATGCTCCACCTGGGGAACGTGTCCACGAAGTCCACTGTGGCTGAGGTGCTGTGGCCCTGCCTTGGGGGAGCATTGACCCCAGGCTGCCTCCCCCTACCCCAACTCACCTCAAAGCGCTGAGAGTTGACCTTCTTGCCCTTCTTGTTCCAGGTCACTCGTGGCTTGGGGTCACCCGTGGCCTGACACACGAAAGAGGCCACACCCCCCGACACGCCGATCTGGTCCTTGGGTTCTTTGATAAACCTGGGGGGCTCTGGGGATACAGTGGAAAGAAGGGGGGGCGCTGATGGGTCCAGGCATCTGGCTAGGATACCAAGGAGCCACGAAAACCTGCATTCCATGCCCTGCCCACGGAAGTGCCATGTGGCCAATGAAGAGAGGAGGAGGAAAGCAAGGATGACAACAAACACCCTCCCACCTCGCCCCCCACCACGGCACCCATGGGCACCCAGGTGCCCACATATCCCCACTTCCACCTGCAACAGCCACACCTGCTCACACACAGTGGATACAACCTCACCTGGGCACACCTGCTCAGACACAGTGGATACAACCTCACCTGGGCACACCTGCTCAGACACAGTGCCACTGGGAAAGATGGAAGGGGAAACCTGTGAGATGCTGGGGTCCCTAAATTCAGCACCTGAACCCCCCCTCCATGGTGACCAGCCAAACCCTGGAGGGCCCTGAAAGCACTTGCCAGAATAACTTGGTCTAATTTCCTGGTGAGACATGTGGGGAAACTGAGGCACCCAGCATGGGGGCGGGGGGTGACCATGGGACATGAGGTCAGAGCCAGTATTTGAACCCAGAGCTCCAGCTTCTTGGGAGGCATCCAGGAGGTGGCTGGACACGAGGGGTCAGTGCCCAGGAGAGTGCTCTGAGCTGGAGGCAGGAGCTCAGAAAGGGGAAGTAATATTTAATATTTAACCTCTCCAACAGCATGGAGAGGCAGTGCCATCCTGATCGTCATTTTCTTTTCTTTTTTTTTTTTTTCCAGACAGTGTCTCACTCTGTCGCCCAAGCTGGAGTACAGTGGTGTGATCTCGGCTCACTGCAACTTCTGCCTCTCAGGTTCAAGCGATTCTCCTGCCTCAGCCTCCCGAGTAGCTGGGACTACAGGTGCCCACCACCATGCCCGGCTAACTTTTTGTATTTTTAGTAGAGATGGGGCTTTACCATGTTAACCAGGATGGTCTCGGTCTCCTGACCTCATGATCTGCCTGCCTTCGCCTCCCAAAGTGCTGGGATTACAGGCATGAGCCGCTGCACCCAGCCTTCTTTTCTTTTTCTTTTCTTTTTTTTTTTCCTGAGAGATAGGGATTCACTCTGTCACCCAGGCTGGAGTGCAGTGGCACGGTCTTGGCTCACTGCAGCCTAGACCTCCCAGGCTCAAGCAATCCTCCCACCTTGGCCTCCCAAGTAGCTGGGACTACAGGTGAAGGCCATCACATCTGTAACCCCAGCACTTTGGGAGGCTGAGGCCGGAGGATCACCTGAGGTCAGCAGTTCGAGACCAGCCTGACCAACATGGTGAAACCCCGTCTCTACTAAGGAAACAAACATTAGCCAGACATAGTGGTGGGCACCTGTAATCCCAACTACTTGGCAGGCTGAGGCAGAAGAATTGCTTGAACCTGGGAGATGGAGGCTGCAGTGAGCCAAGATCATGGCACCACACTTCAACCTGGGCGACAGAGTGAGACTCCGTCTCAAAAAACAAAAACAAAAACAAAAACCAGCCTGGGGTCTCACTATGTTGCCCAGGCTGGTCTGGAACTCCTGGCCTCAAGTGATCCTCCCACCTTGGCCTCCCAAGTAGCTATGTTGTCCAGCCTGGTCTCAAACTCCTAGCCTCGAGCAATCCTCCCACTTCAGCCTCCCAAGCTGCTGGATTTATAGGCGTCAACCACCATACCCAGCTCTGCCATCCCCATTTTACATGTGAGGAAACTGAGACACAAACCAGGCAAGGGACTTGCTTTGGCTGGACATGCACAGCCAGGCGGTGGCTGAGCTGAACGTGCTCCTTTGAACCAGCCTGGCTTTCACATCCACATTCTTCACCCTCCATGACGATCTGATGTATTCATTCAGTCTCTGCAATAAAGCCTGGAGTAGGAGTGTTTTTGTTTTTGTTTTTGTTTTTTGAGATGAAGTGTTGCTCTGTCACCAGGCCAGAGTGCAGTGGTGCCATCTCGGCTCAATGCAACCTCCGCCTCCCAGGTTCAAGTGATTCTCCTACCTCTAACTCCTAAGTAGCTGGGATTACAGGCACGCACCACCACGCCTGGCTAATTTTTGTATTTTTAGTAGAGATGGGGTTTCACCATGTTGGCCAGGGTGGTCTTGAACTCCTGACCTCAAGTGATCCACCTACCTTGGCCTCCCAAAGTGCTGGGATTACAGGTGTGAGCCACTGCGCCTGGCCTGGAGTACGTGTTTTTTTTTTGTTTTTGTTTTTTTTGAGACAGAATCTCACTCTGTTGCCCAGGCTGGAGTGCAGTGGTGCGATCTCGGCTCACTTCAAGCTCCGCCTCCCAGGTTCACACCATTCTCCTTCCTCAGCCTCCCAAGGAGCTGGGACTACAGATGCCCGCCACCATGCCCAGCTAATTTTTTTGTATTTTTAGTAGAGATGGGGGTTTCACCGTGTTAGCCAGGATGGTCTCGATCTCCTGACCTCGTGATCCGCCCGCCTCAGTCTCCCAAAGTGCTGGGATTACAGGCGTGAGCCACCAGGCAGGTGAGTATGCCTATTTTAACATCCTAGAGCAACCTCATCAAGCTGCACCTGGGACAGGCTACAGTATCTGTGGAGAATTCATTAACATTGTTTCCTTTTTATCGACTATTTTTACAGTAACCTTTGCATCTCCCAGAGGGACACTAGATTTCCGGTCACAGTACACAGTAATGTTACAATGTATCCCCTAAGATGAATGGAGCTACTGCTGAGTTTTGTGTTTTTTTTTTTTTTTTTTAAGAGACTGAGTCTCGCTCTGTCGCCCAGGCTGGAGTGCAGTGGCGCGATCTTGGCTCACGGCAAGCTCTGCCTCCTGGGTTCATGCCATTCTCCTGCCTCAGCCTCCCAAGTAGCTGGGACTACAGGTACCCACAGCCACGCCTGGCTAATTTTTTTATTTTTTTTCCCCGAGGGCTGCAACATACTTACAAGAGCCCTTAGGAAGCAGCCTATATATCCAATAAAAAGGAACTGATCAAGTGAATGCCAGGCTATCTATGCAGCAGAATACTACATAAGTATAAAAAGGGGGAAAAAGCCGGGTGCGGTGGCTCATGCCTGTAATCCCAGCACTCTGGGAGACTGAGGTGGGTGGATCACGAGGTCAGGAGATCGAGACCATCCTGGCTAACATGGTGAAAACCCCATCTCTACTAAAAATACAAAAAATTAGCTGGGCGAGGTGGCAGGCACCTGTAGTCCCAGCTACTCGGGAGGCTGAGGCAGGAGAATGGAGTGAACCCAGGAGGCGAAGCTTGCAGTGAGCCGAGATCGCGCCACCGCACTCCAGCCTGGGCGACAGAGTGAGACTCCATCTCAAAAAAAAAAAAAAGGAGGAAAAGCCTCCCTTCCTCGGCGCTGCCTAAGGAGGTGGCAGCCGTCTCCTCCTCAGCATCATGGCCGCCCTCAGACTCCTCATGAAGCCCAAGATCGTCAAAAAGAGGATCAAGGCGTTCATCCGGCACCAGTCAGACCAATATGTCAAAATTAAGCGTTAACTGGGGGAAACCCAGAGGTATTGACAACAGGGTTCGCAGAACGTTCAAGGGCCAGATCTTGATGCCCAACAGTGGTTACGGGAGCAACAAAAAACAAAGCACATGCTGCCCAGTGGCTTCCGGAAGTTCCTGGTCCCCAGCGTCAAGGAGCTGGAAGTGCTGATGTGCAACAAATCTCCCTGTGCTGAGATCGCTCACAGTGTTTCCTCCAAGAAACGCAAAACCAACGTGGAAAGGGCCGCCCAGCTGCCGTCAGAGTCACCAACCCCAATGCCAGGCTGCGCAGTGAAGAAAATGAGTAGACGGCTCGTGTGCATGTTTTGTGTTTAAATAAATGTAGAAACTGCCAAAAAAAAAAAAAAAAGGGAGTGGGGGGTGGGGGAAAGGATGCTTTTTTGTTTCAGACAGGGACTCGCTCTTCTGCCCAGGCTGGAGTGCAATGGCACGAACATACCTCACTGCAGCCTCAATCTCCCAGGCTCAAGCGATCCTCCCAACTCAGCCTCCTGAGTAACTGGGACTACAGTCACATGCCATCACGCCCAGCTAATTTTTGTACTGAGTTTTGCCATGTTGCCCAGGCTGGTCTCAAACTCCTGTCCTCAAGCGATCCTCTCACCTCGAGATGCTTTTTGATTACTTATTTATTTATTTATTTCTGCGGCAGGGTCTCACTCCGTCACCCAGGCTCAAGTGCAGGGCGCGATCTTGGCTCACTGCAACCTCCGCCTCCTGGGTTCAAGTGGACTCTTCTGCCTCAGCCGCCCAAGTAGCTGGGATTACAGGCACACATCACGCCCGGCTAATTTTTGTATTTTTAGTAGAGACAGGGTTTCCCCATGTTGGCCAGGCTGGTCTCAAACTCTTGGCCTCAGGTGATCCAACCACCTCAGCCTCCCAAAGTGCTGGGATTACAGGCGTGAGCCACCCTGCCCAGCCAGGATGCTTTTTAAAATAAACTACTAGGGTAGGAACAATAAGATATATTATTAAATGGAGGAGGTGTGTATAAGCAAGAGGTAATAAAGTGTCGCAAATGGTACCGTTGTACGATTTTTTAAAATGAAAAAAGGGGTTGGGCATGGTGGCTCATACCTGTAATCCCAGCACTTTGAGAGGCTGGGGCAGGCTCACTAGATCAGGAGTTTGAGGCCCGCCTGACCAACATGGTGAAACCCCGTCTCTTCTAAAAATACAAAAATCAGCCAGGCGTGGTGGTGCATGCCTGTAATCCCCGCTACTCAGGAGGCTGAGGCAGGAGAATCGCTTGAACCCGGGAGGTGGAGGCTGCAGTGAGCTCAGACCGCACCACTGCACTCCAGCCGGGGCAACAGACCAAAACTCTGTCTCAAAAAAAAAAGAAAAAAGGAAAAAGGGAAAGATTGTATGTATGTGTAGAAACAGTGCTGCCTCCAGGGAGCTAAGTGGCTGGACACAGGGACAGAGATTTCCACTTTGGTACCTTTTTACATGTAGAACTAAAGACAAATTGAAGAAGTTATTTTTATTTTTATTTTTATTTTATTTTTTCTTCTTCTTCTTATTTTTTTTTACAGAGACAGGGTCTCACTCTCACCCAAGGCTGGAGTGCGGTGGTGCAATCATAGCTCACTGCAGCCTCAAACTCCTGGGCTCCAGGGATCCTCTGGCCTCAGTCTCCTGAGTAATTGGAACCACAGGCGCTTGCTACCACATGCGGCTAATTTTTAATCTTTTGCAGAGACAGGGTCTCGCTATGTTTCCCAGGCTGGTCTGGAACTCCTGGGCTCAAGTGAACCTCCCATCTCGGTCTCCCAAAGCTCTGGGATTAGCAGTGTGAGCCACCGTGCCCAGCTGAAGTTATCTATTTTTATTTTTATTTTTTTGAGACAGAGTCTCACTGTGTCACCCAGGCGGGAGTGCTGTGGCGTGATCTCGGCTCACTGCAAGCTTCACCTCCCGGATTCACGCCATTCTCCTGCCTCAGCCTCCCGAGTAGCTGGGACTATAGGCGCCCGCCACCATGCCTGGCTAATTTTTTTGCATTTTTAGTAGAGACGGGGTTTCACCGTGTTAGCCAGGATGGTCTCGATCTCCTGACCTCGTGATCCACCCACCTTGGCCTCCCAAAGTGCTGGGATTACAGGCGTGAGCCACCACGCCCAGCCTGAAGTTATTTTAAAACATAAAATTGCTTAAATAAAAAAGTGAGCTGATTAAAGAAAAAATGGAGCAAAACTTTGTTTTAAGTAAAAGTTTGGGGTCTGAGGAGAGGCTGAGGTCTAACAACTCAAACTTGAGCAACGCTAGGACTTTGAGCCTCTACGACCAGCTAGAAAAGGGTAGAGTGAGTCCAGGGGCCACACAGGTTGACCAGAAAAGTTCTGGAAAGTTCCAGCTATTCAGAAGCCCAGAGAGGCCTTAAGAAGGCCCGAGGTTCCAAGGGTAGGTCCCTGTGGGCCCCAACGCCTACCCATCCATGGCTCAGGCTGGGCTTTAAACAAAACAGAGTTCCTGCCCCAGTGGCCTGACCAGCCTAACCTCCCTCACTCAAGGCTCTGCTCCTGTTGATATGACCGTATGTGTGTGCTTTGAGCATCTGTCCCAAAAGTCACTAGACCTGGCCGGGCGTGGTGGCTCATGCCTGTAATCCCAGCACTTTGGGAGGCTGAGGCGGATGGATTACCTGAGGTCAGGAGTTCAGGACCAGCCTGGCCAACATGATGAAACCCCGTCTCTACTAAAAAAATACAAAAATCAGCCAGGCGTGGTGGCGGGTGCCTGTAATCCCAGCTACTTGGGAGGCTGAGGCAGGAGAATCGTTTGAACCCAGGAGGCAGAGGGTGCAGTGGGCTGACATCCTGCCATTGCATTCCAGCCTGGGTGACAAAAGCAAAACTCTGTCTCCAAAACAAAACAAAACAAAAAAATCACTAGACCCACCATGTACAGGAATGCACAGCCTCCCTTAACTTTTTTTTTTTGTTTGTTTTTTGAGATGGAGTCTCGCTCTGTTGCCCAGGCTGGAATGCAGTGGCGTAATCTTGGCTCATTGCAACCTCCGCCTCCCAGGTTCAAGTGGTTCTCCTAACTCAGCCTCCCAAGTAGCTGGGATTACAGGAACCCACCACAACACCCAGCTGATTTTAGTATTTTTAGTAGAGAGGGGGTTTCAGCATGTTGGCCAGGCTGGTCGCGAACTCCTGACCTCAAATGATCCACCCACCTCAGCCTCCCAAAGTGCTGGGATTACAGGTATGAGGCGCCGCGCCTGGCCCCTCAACTCTTATTTATCCCTCTGTTGCAGCAACAGCCAATCCCACTGTACTGATTCAGGAATGTTAATGGGTTCACAGAGCTCAGAAGCTGGGCATGGTAGCTCACGCCTGTAATCCCAGCACTTTGGGAGGCCAAAGCGGGAGGATCAACTGAGGTCAGGAGTTCGAGACCAGCTTGAACAACATGGTGAAACCCCATCTCTACTAAAAATACAAAAATTAGCCCGGCATGGTGGCGCATGCCTGTAATCCCAGCTACTCGGGAGGCTGAGGCAGGAGAATTGCTTGAATCCAGGAGGCAGAGGTTGCAGTGAGCTGAGATCACGCCATTGCACTCCAGCCTGGGGGACAGGGCAAGACTCTGTCTCAAAAAACAAACCACCACAAAAAAGATCACAGAGTTCAGAAATAACAGCACTGGAATTTGAACCCGGGTTTCTGCCTCCAAAGCCGACATCTTACTGTCCCTTCCACATCCAGAACTTGAGCCTGATTAGGGCAGATGTTTTGCTCCACATTGAGGCTGGGGCTGCCCCCTCCTTCTGGCCTCAGGAATGGTGACCCGGGGCCATGCGTCCTCAGCCAAGGACATGAGGAAAAGTCACTGTGGCCGGGTCAAGAATGTTACTTCTGGTAAAAATCCCTCCCTCTGGAGCTGCTGGAAGGAAGGGCAGAAGCTGGCTGAGGGTAGAGACGCATCCAGCTGCCTGTCTGACCTAGAGCCAGAACACACCCCTTGCCCCCTCCAATCCAGCAAGCAAGACCGGGCGGGTGGGTGCTACAATCAGCCACTGTCTGTGCTGTTCCTTCCTCCCAGGGTCCCGTCCTCCTCCTCTCATCTGGCAGCTTCAACCTCAGCTCGGCCAGCACCTCCCCTGGGGAGCCTTCTTGGATTACTGCAGGCCCGGTCAGGAGTCCCTTATGCCCCCACCGCAGCCTGGGCGTCCCCAGAACACTGGGCTGAGATACCTGCTTATGTGGCTCTCAGCACAGAGGTCAAGGGACAGCCTTGGTTCCCTGGGACCTCAGACTTCTTCTCGGTGTGTGGTGACCCTTGAGAAAACGGAGCTCCCAACATCACTGCCTGCTCTCGGATTTGGAGGGGTTCTACCTCTCGGAAGCACCCCCATCACTGCAGAGCAGATACCCTCTCGGTCTTCTCCAGGCAGCTTTGGGATCTGAGCCAGCCTGGAAGAGCTGTCCCTGCCCACTGAGTCCCCCGTTAGAAAATGTCTTGCAAATGCTTGCAATCTCTCCTTTGGACGAAGCTTCCCCACCTTTTTCTCAGCAAAGGGGCAGAGACACAGGAAGGACACCTCTGGGGCTTGAGGGCGCCGCGCCTGCAGCTCGAGAGGCACAAAGACACGCCATGTGCTAAGCTTTATGCCTGTGGCCAGGAGGAGCAAAACAGGCTCAGAAAGGTGAAGAGGCCTGGCGCAGAGGCTCACACCTATAATCCCAGCACTTTGGGAAGCTGAGGCAGGCAGATCACCTGAGGTCAAGAGTTCAAGACCAGCCTGGCCAACATGGCAAAACCCCATCTCTACCAAAAATACAAAAATTAGCCAGGCCTGGTGGTACACGCCTGTAATCCCAGCTACTTGGAGGCTGAGGCAGGAGAACTGCTTGAACCTGGGAGGCAGAGGCTGCAGTGGGAGCCGAGATCGAGCCTGGGCAACAGGACAACAGAACAAGACTTCATCTCAAAAAAAAAAAAAAAAGAAGGGACCTGCCTTTGGTCACACGGCGTGTGATGGGCAGAGACAGGATTCCAACCCAGGCCTACCTGGCTCCAGTGCCTTGAAAATCACGCAGGCTGGATAAATGGGGTTGGGGGTCTTTATTGACCACAAGTACCGTGGATGTCCCTGTCTCTTAGATGAAGAGACAGAAGTTCATGTGGTATTGCCAATATCAAAAAAGCTGGAAAGGGAACCCAGCCCTCTCTGGAGGCAACGCGCCTGAGCCTCCCGCTCCGTGGCCTGGCTTGGCCCCATCTCTGTTTTTCCATTTCAGATTCTGCAGACAAGAATCCAGTGCCAGAGCTGGTGACCCACCCACCCTGTCCCCTCCAACCCTGCCCGGGGCCAGCCCCACGGCATCCTGGGAAGGCCCCACTGGACCTGAAGTGGTTTCTAGAGCAGAAATTGTTCCCCTATGCCTGTAACCCCAGCACTTTCTCCTGTCACCCCAGCACTTTCGCCTGTCACACCAGCACTTTCGCCTGTAATCCCAGCACTCTGGGAGACCGAGGTGGGCAGACCACCTGAGGTCAGGAGTTCGAGACCAGCCTGGCCAATGTGGTGAAACCCCATCTCTACTAAAAATACAAAAATTAGCAGGGCATGGTGGCGGGTGCCAGTAATCCCAGCTACTCGGGAGGCTGAGGCACGAGAATCACTTGGACCTGGGAGGTGGAGGTTGCAGTGAGCCGAGATCGCACCACTGTACTCCAGCCCAGGAGACAGAAGGAGACTCCGTCTCAAAAAAAAAACAAAAGAAAAGAAGAACTGAAAGGGGTCAGTACTGAAGGCCAGACATCCCCAATGCAGGTGAGACAGGCCAGGAAGACTCAGGCCCTGGAGGCAGCCAGACAGATCACAGTGCAGCTATACCTGGCTTCTGGTCCCTGAGGGAGTGTGGTCATTGGGAACTTGGCCTGTGGGACCAGGCAGCTCAGGTTCAAATGGCCACTTCTGGTTGGGCACAGTGGCTCACTCTTGTAATCCCAGCACTTTGGGAGGCTGAGTTGGGAGGATCGCTTAAATCTAGGAGTTTGAGACCAGCCTGGGCAACATAGTAAAAACTCCATCTCTGTAAGAAATTTAAAAACTTAGCCAGGCCAGGCACTGGGACTCACGCCTGTAATCCCAGTACTTTGGGAGGCTGAGGTGGGAGGATTGCTTAAGCTCACGAGTTTGAGACCAGTCCGGGCAACACAGTAAGAACTCCATCTCTACAAGAAATTTAAAAAATTAGCCAGGCCAGCCGGGCTCAGTGGCTCATGCCTGTAATCCCAGCACTTTGGGAGGCCGAGGCAGGAGGATCATGAGGTCAGGAGATTGAGACCACCCTGGCTAACATGGTGAAACCCCGTCTCTACTAAAAATACAAAAAATTAGCCGGGTGTGGTGGCTGGCACCTGTAATCCCAGCTACTCGGGAGGCTGAGGCAGGAGGATCGCTTGAATCTGGGAGGCGGAGGTTGCAGTGAGCCGAGACTGCGCCACCGCACTCCAGCCTGGGCGACAGAGTGAGACTCTGTCACAAAAAATTAATTAATTAAAATAAATAAATAAATAAATAAATAAATAAATAAATAAATAAAAATTAGCCAGGTCAGGCACAGTGGCTCATGCCTGCAATCCCAGCACTTTGGGAGGCCAAGGCGCTTCAGCCCATCTTTCTTTTTTTTCTGAGACAAGGTCTGGCTCTGTTGCCCAGGCTGAGTGCAGCGGTGCAATCAGTTTCCATAGTTGTACGACGGGGATGCTGATAATCGCATTCACCTCATCAGGGTGCGGTGGCTGATCTGAATGTATAGGGGCATTTACTAAAAAACAGCATGAGGCTGGATGCCGTGGCTGGCTCACACCTGTAATTCTAGCACTTTGGGAGGCAGAGGCAGGTGGATTGCTTGAGCTCAGGAGTTCGAGACCAGCCTGGGCAACACAGTGAAACCCCATCTCTACAAAAAATTAAAAAAATTAGCCAGGCATGGTGGCCCACGCCTGTAGTCCCAGCTACCTGGGAGGCTGAGGTGGGAGGATTGCTTGAGCCTGAGAAGTAGAGGTTGCAGTGAGCTGAGATGCTGCCACTGCACTCCAGCCTGGGTGACAGAGTGAGACCCCATCTCAAAAGGAAAAAACGACAATAAAAAAAGCAGCATGAAAATAAGAAAAAGCGCAAATGAATGAGGCAGGGGTGTATGTCTCCAGTTTGTTAACCAGCAGTAATACCTACGTTTGTGGTAACACAGGATTGCCGGCCTGCTATGTCCCTAGCAGCAGGCAGGGGCTTATGAAATGTCCACATCACAAGAATGCTGGATGTGGATAATGATATGAGCTCTGTGACAGTGGGTAAGGGAGGCTGAGCCACTAGCCCGGGGTTGTGCAGCAGGTTGGCAGCAGAGCCAGGATTCAAACCCAGCCTGACTGCAGAACCCAGTCTCTTGCCCTACTGCCCTCATCCCCTATGTCCTCATGGGCCTGAGTGATGCCTTCTCCAGGTCCTTCATGGTGGGGTGAGTCTTGGCATTGGGCCCCAGATGGACCCTCATCCTCTTCACATTACAGCCAGAAATGCTTCCTTGCCCATCTCTAAACTATACCAACCTCTTTCATCTGCAGGCCTTCCCGGGTGCTGTCATCCTGACGAGGAATGGCTTTTCTATCGGCGAACTCCTATACACCCACAAAACCCCAGTCCCAATGCCCTTTTTCCCAAGAAGCCTCCCCTGGCTCCACCTGAGACAGTTTGTCTGCCTGTGTGTCTGCCACCAGGTGTAGGTACTGCCCACAGCAAGGGAAGGTGAACTCTGTGGCTCACTAAGCAGTGATCTCAAATAAGTCCTTGCCTCGTTTTCCCTCATTGGGAAACGTGGAAGGTAACAGAACTGGCACACTGGGTTTTGTCAGGCTCAAGGGAGAGGAAGCAGGTAAAATTAGTGCTTAGCATGGAGCCTGGGGCTGAGTTGATGCTGGGGAAACAGACGCCGTCATCATCATTACGGTTATTACTTTATGAATACCAGCATTATTATTTATCTCTGAATCTCTTAGGGCTCAGCACACAGTCCTCAGCATTCAGCCTCATTTGTGGAGCATAAAAGTTCCATTTGGCAAAATGGAGGGCCCCAGGGAGGAGGTGGGGAGTGTGCCCACACACACACAGCCATAAATGCACACAGGTAAACAAACACGCAGACCCCTGCACATCCCGTGCCGGCTTCTTACCTTCTGCTGCACAGCCTCCAACGAGCAGGACCACAAGGAGGCCCATGGGACCAACCACAGACACCATGCCAGGGCCCCAGGTGGGCGCCATGCTTGGCAGCGACCTCCGATCTCCGCCCTGGAGGGGGATGGCCCCCCGGTCCCTCACAGAGAGGCCTCGAGCCGAGCGTCAGATGGGGCAACGTCTGCAGAGACAATGGAGGGCTGTGAGAGGCGAGTGGGGAAATCCAGGAGACCTTCATGGAGGAGGCAGAGGGAGGGTCACATGGAGCAGGGGAGGGTCCTGCGGGGGCTGGTCATGGGACAATGGGGAAGGATCATGGGGTGATGGGATGGAATGAAAGTGCTGGGCCCTTGCTATAGAATTAAGGTGTCTCCCCCACAAAAAATCATATGTTGAAACCTAGTCCCCACTATGATGGTAACAGGAGATGGAGTGTTTGGGAAGTGACTAGGTCATGAGAGCAGAGACCTCATGAACGGGATTAGTGTCATAAAGGATCTCCCAGAAAGCTCCCTTGCCCTTTCTGCCACGTGAGGACACAGGGAGAAGATGCCTTCCACGAACCAGAAGATAGCCCTCACCAGACACCAAATCTGTGTTGCCTTGATCTTGGACTTCCCAGCCTCTAGAACTGTGAGGTACCAATTTCTGTCATTTATAAGCCACTTGGTCTGTGGTATTTGGCTACAGCAGCCCAAATGGACTAAGACAGCCTCCAACCACCAGCTAAACCCCAACCCCAGCATGAGTCCCCAACCCAGGCTGGGCCCCTGACTCAGACCAAGCCCCACACCAGGACTGAGGACCTGAGCCCCTGACTCAGACCAAGCCCCACACCAGGACTGAGGGGTGCTGAGCCCCAGTTTTCTCCAACTCACAGGCTGCTTCTCAGGAAGGAGGGGACTCCAGACTATGCTGCTGTCTGGCTCTAAAACCTGATCCCCCAGGTTATAAGACAAATCTCTTCCACACACCTGCCTGTCCCTGCCCTGCTCTAAGACCTCCCATGGCTCCCAGAGCCCCCAGGGGAAGCCACTCTTGCTGACTTCACTGTTTCCTCTCGCTTGGAGGTACAGCCAGGCCAGCCAAGCTCAGTCCCACCTCCAAGCCTTTGCTTCTGCTGTGCCCTCTGCCTGGAATGCTGTCCCCACCACATGACAGGTCTCAGCTTAGCTGTCACTTCCTCAGGAAACCCTTCTCTGCCCCTCAAAGGTCAATTCCCCCTACATTCTACATCCCGGAGCATCAGATATGACTAAGGTTATCCTCCGTGGTATTCACCCTGGTTCCCAAACTAAATGAAAAGATGTTAATCATTCAGCACGTTTCTCCCACAAGAACCTCAACTCCTCCAGGGCAGAAGGGTCCCTCGTCACATACCTTGAACCCTGGAATGGCCCCCTCCCCATCTCCCCAATCTCCACTCTGTCCAGAGCCAGGTCAGAGGGCCAGGGAGGGGAAGGGAGAGGCCCAAGGATAAGATCTTTGTTGCCTAGTCAGGCTGGCACCCATGCCAGCCCATGCCCTGGGCGGGTCCAGGCCGTGACCACAGGAACTGGTGGCGCATAATAACGGGGCAGCCCCTGTGATTCTGACTCCCAAAATACCCAGCTGCGGTCACCTCGCCCAGCCCTGGGGCGGTCCCAGGGGAAGGATGGGCGGGTAGTGGCCGGGTCACAGCCTAGGGTGACGAACGGGATTCGGGGGGCCTCAGTGTACATAGTTAGGCCACAGGCATACAGTCAGACCAGCCACAGAGAACGATGCCTGCTAAATCACGCCACAGACATACACAGATGCACACAGTCAAACCACCGATACACACCGACACACAGTCAGACTGCAAGCGGTTGCATATCTGCAAGAGACACAGAAACAAATGCATTCACACAGTCAGGCAGCAGAGACGGGCACACACACACACACACACACACACACACACACACACACACACACAATCAGGCAAATAAAACTTGCACATAGTCAGACCACAAACACAGACAGGCCCAAAATCAGACCACAGACATACACCAAGCCAGAAAAGATACACATAAGGGGTCATGGTGGGGCAGGCAGTACACATACACAGTTGGGTTACAGGGAACTGCAAACATGCAATTAGATCAGAGATACCTACAGGTGCACAAGCCGGTCAAAGTCACACGCAGACACAGGTGCCGGCACACTGTCAGACTATAGATAGGCCAGTCAGTCAGCAGACCACAGGTGCATGTGCCAGCCAGCCAAATAGAGATATGCAAAGTCAGATTCCCTTCCTACACACATATGTGCACACAGGCAGGCTACACAGACATGCACACACACAGTCAGACTCTAGGTACACCTTGCACACAACCAGTTGGGGACTGGGAAGATGAAGGAAATAAAGCCTAGAGCACAGTCCCTTACTCTGAGTCCCTGCCCTAGCCCTTTAAGAGCAAAAGTTGCCAACGAGGAAGGCGGTGGCCCCAGATGGAGAAAACAGCCTGTGGCCAGCTGGGGCTAGGGTGACCACAGCGGCTGGCCCTGCCCAGAAATGCACATCTGCTTGGCCACACTGAGGGGGCGAGGTCAGTCCCAGACCACTTTGAGCAGCTGGGCAGGCCTGCAGAGAGCCTCTGGGGAAACTGAGGCAGCATAGCAAACCTGAAGCTCAGAGGGCATGGGTAGGAGTCACTTGCACAGAGAGCCCAGGTGGGGCACATATATGGAGGGCCCCAGCCACAGCTGGCTCTCCCACATCCCACGAGGACCTCAGGGCAGCATCAGCCACCTTCTAAACCAGGCAGCCCTAATTACACCCTGGCTCCCACGGCAGAAGCCATGTTGGGCCCACACCTCCCTGATGTCTGCGCAGGATGGGGCTGAGTCAGGCACAGACAGGCAGGGCCTGGCCATGGACTCCCCCCAGATCCGCCACTCCAGCCTGTCAGGGGCAGGGACGAGGGGCTACAGTAACAGGAGCATTTGGGGCATTGGATGATGTATCAGGAATAGGGTGGTGGGAGGGGCCCAGGGAGTGGGGTTCAGACACTACCAAAGACAAAACATCCCGGGGTCCCTTAGGTGCCAATCCTCCCTAGGAGAACCTCCCATGATGGGGATAGGACCCTGCACACCCACAATCCTCCCACCGACTCCTGCTTCCACGAAAACCCCAGGCGTGAGGTCCTCTGCGAGGATTTGGGAGAGAAGATCCCTAGGTCCCATCAGCTCTGCCTTCAGAATCTGTCCCCAACCTGCCCACTTCTTACTCATTCTTCTGCCTCCACTTCTTCCAGCCCCATTGTCACCGACCTGGACAGATGTCGTCACCTCCATCGTGGTCTCCCAGCTCCCGCCCTTGTCCCTTGATCTGTTCCACTCACAGAAACCAGAAAGCATCTGCAAGCACCCGAGTCAGGGCTCGTCCTTCCTCTGCCCACAGCCCTCCATGGCTCCCACCTGCCTCGGGGTCAAAGCCCAAGTCCTTCCTGAGGCCCACCAGGTCCTGCACGACCTGCCCTGTCCCCTCCGTGCCCTCCCCTCCTCCCTTTCTCCCCCTCCTCCCTCTGCTCCAGCCGCATGGGCCTCCTTGCTATTTCTCCAACACCCCAAGTGCAGTCCAGTCCTGCCCCCGGGCCTTTGCGTGGGCCATTCCTGGATTTAATATTGGCTGAGGACCAAAAGGTGAATGGGAATTGGGGGCAAGGGTGTCTCTGCACTACAAACAGCATGAGGAAGAGCAAGGGGGCAGCACTGAGAGGTCCTAGGAGGGAGAGGGGGAGAGATGAGGACAGAGAGGTGCACATAGACTAGACCCACAGAGCAGCCAGGAGCCCTACGTGGCCCTGGGCAGGGAGGGAAATGGCCAGGTTGGTGCCAGGCCAACCCTCCACCATGTCCTCTTGCAAAAGGCAGCCTGGGCCACCAGCCTTGCCACTGCCAAGAAAGGGAAATTAAGTCAGGTGCAGTAATCTGCAAGCTCCCAGTAAATGACACGGCTGTTAGGAAAAGCATGGCAGCCCATGGTGGCCAGCGAGGCTGAGCCAGGGCTAGGGAGAAGGAGAGGGAGTGACCGCTGGACGCTGAACCCATGTGGGGCTCAGGGAGGGTCTCTGCCCGCCCCACCTGGCTCTCAGGGGCTGCACTGCCCACCACTAGCTCACGGCAGCTGGTCAGAGGCAGGCGCTTGACTTTTACAGATGAGGAAACTGAGGCTCACAGAAAAACAGGGACTCAGCCAAGGCCCCCAGCTGGGGTGGGACTTGGGTCTAGAGCCCACGTTTAATCTTGTGACTGTGTCTTTCTCTGGCCACTGCGAGATCTCTGGACAACTCTCTCTGGGACTGGTAGAGCCCGCTGGCCGCCTCTGGGGGCTCCCCCGCGGTGCTAATGGGGGGCGAGTGGGCACTCATTCCAACCAGGCGCCGGGGCATGGGTCACGCGATCTGGGAGCCGGCTTTGTGTGCCCACGCGGTCCAGGAAGCATAAAGGGGTGATTATGACCCAGGCCGGGCAGCAAACAGGCTGTGTCACCCGCACGAGGCGGGGGCTCCTCGGGCCAGAGGAGGCTCCCGGTGCCTCTCCCAGCCCAGGCTCCAGCTGTAGAGTCCATGCTGCCCTGTCCTGGGGCGGGAGTCTGGGGGCCTAGTCCTAACCCTCAGGGGCCATCCCATGGCCCCAGGGCAGGAGAAGCTGAGGCTGATTATGCCAGCAGTGGGACTCAGGGGAAAGACCCCTGACCCTGCACAATCTCTCCACCTTCACATCCACCCCCCACCCACAGCTCTCCCGTGCCACCGCCTGGAACGTCATTTCCAGGACTGGACCCTGGCCTCCAGCCTCCCTGGACACCTGGGTCACTCCCACATCCACTCAAGCAGGGACAGGCAGCGAGGGCCCCCCTGGGCAGCAAGCACAGGCTCTGTGGCCACTGGTGGGCTCAAGTCAGCTCTGGCCAAGCCACTGTCCCTCCCAGGGCGCCATTATCTCCCTATCAGGAAATGGGCTCAGGGAGGGGCTGGGTGGGGCTGGCCCTTCCCGGAACTGAAGTCCGGGGACCTGGCTTTAATTGACTATTGATTTGTATTGGGACGACGTGAAGGCTCAGGGCACTGTCCCCAGGGGTCCTGGTGGCCAGGAGTGGATGGGTGGGGCAGACAGGGAACCAGGCCCAGCCCTGGAGAGGGAAATCATTAAAGTCCACTGGGTGCCTCTGGGGTGCTGAGCCCCATTAAATGTTCTCTGTGTTTTCTGCTGTTTAACGGATTAGGAAACCGAGGCTCACCAAGGGTCCTGCATGGAGGAGGGGGCTGGGCTGGGTTAGGATTTGAGGCCAGAGCCCGGCTCTCAGTCGAGCCCAGAGTCCACATCCTCTGGGCGCCCAGGCTGCCAAAATTGCCCGTCAGTGTGTCCCCCATGCTGGCTTCATGGAACAACTTGAGACGCCAAGATCTGGGGGTACCCCTGCTTCTGCTCACACACCCACGGGGGCTCCCAGCTCCTGTGCTCGCTGCTCTGGGCCCTTCTTGATGTGACTGCATCCATCGTCTTCCCTACCCCCTCTTCCCGAAAGGTCCTGCAGTTCTCAGAATACACTGCCTCAGGTCTCTGAGCCTCTTCGCATGCAGGTCCCCCACCTGGCACACCCTTCCCCAGCTGGCCCATGGTCAGTTCATCCTGTAAGCTGCAGCCACGAGATGCCTCCACTCCAAGCTGAGCCCCGTTCCTCCTCTGCTCTAAAACCCTCCATGGCTCCCATCAACACGTATTAAAACTCAGACTGCTACCTCAGCCTCCAGAGCTGCCAGCCCGGCCTCTGCTGACCTCATCACGCCACAACCCCCCATGCCAGGCTTCCCTTGACACCTTGATCCCCCCCACTTGTGGCCCCTGGCTCCCACAGGGGTATTTACACACACTGTTCCTTCCACCCAGCATACCCTTTCACATCCTCATCAAATCTCAGCCCTCATACTTGTCCTCAGGGCTCAGCTGAGCTGTCACCTCTTCCAAGAAGCCCTCCTGGATGCCCCAGGGTGGATCAAGACCCATTCTGAGCTACCCCATCACAGCTGTGCTCCCACTGTGGGTCTGTCAACCCCCTGGATGGAAGCCCTTTTCCCACCCCAGGAACGTGGCAAAGCCCCTGCATGCACTGGATGCCTGCTGCATAACCAGCTCCACCTGGCACTTTATCCACAGCATCCCTGGCGTCACCTGGGTTTCAGAGGTAGAAACTGAGACCATAGACAGAGACCACCCCAGGCAATGGAGACCGAGACGGGGACAGCCTCGCATCCACCCTAGGGGGTCTGGCAGAGACTTAAAGGGTGGGGGTGAGGCTCTGGAAGGAACAGACAGCTGAGGCCAGCCTGGGTTCTGCAGGAAGCCCCTTGGGGAGGGTCACCAAACTCTGTCAGCTCAGTACTTGGGTCCTGGAACGGCTTAGAGCCCAGGGACGGGAATGGGTAAAAGAAAGGTACGAGCTGCCCTGACCGTCTCAGAAGACAACACCACAGGCCCCTCCCTGAGGCCAAGCCCCCCAGTTTCTTAAAGCCCCCCAACAAAGCACAGAGGCAACGTGGGGTCCACAGGCCCGAGAGGAGCGGAAACAAATGGATGGAGGTAAACTTCCTGCGATTTTCGGGGGTGGCTAAGAGCAGGGATTCCTGCCATGCACCCCCCACCGCTACCTGCCCCCTCTGCGGTCCTGTTGCCTCCTCCGCCTTCTGCGAAGTCCCCAGTCACAGCTCCCCCGGGCTGGCAGCGAAGGCTGCCCCGCGCCTGGCTCCGCCCCCGGGAGGTGGGGGAGGAGAGGGGGTGGGGGGAGGAGGTCGGGCTGGGGGCCAGGCGGGGGAGGGGACCCTGCGGAGCATAACGGTCTGGAGTTTTCCAAAGTGCAAGCGACGGGCCTGAATGGGGGGGCGCCAGGCAGCAGCAGGCCCAAGCTGGCCCTGGAGGGCGGCCGGCACGGTCAGGCCCGCGCTGGGCTGTGGGGACCCCCGTGGTCCCCAGCCTCGGAGCCTGGAGGGGGCGCGACAAGAGAGACAAAGCCCGGGGCGGCCCGGGCCTCGGGGTGGAAGGGGGTCCCGGGCGCACTCACCCCGCGGCTCGGAGATCGGGCCCAGGCCCCGCGAGGCCTCCACAGGGCCCGCCGCAGCCGCTCCCCGCGTCCCTCGGTCCGCCCGGAGCGCGGCGCGCAGCGAAGACTCGGGAGAGGCCTCGGCCTGGGGAGCTCGGCCTGGGGGCGGGGCAAGGGGCGGGGCTGTAGGGGGCGGGGTTGCAGTGGGCGGGGCTGCAGGGGACGGGCCCCGAGGAGGGGGATTGGGGGGCAGGGCGGGGCCCCGGCCGGAAGTGGGGCGGGGGGACCAGAGGGGAGCCCCATCTGGAGGCGCGGAGAGCCTCCGCAGGAGTCCATGAAACACTGAGCGAAGGGGCGCCCCAGGGAGGGCACGACCCAAGACCCCTCCCTCCCGAAGACGTCTCACGGGGAGCCTCTACACTGCTCCTCGCTTCCCCAGCTCTGATCGTAGCCATGGCAACGCATGAGGAGGCTGGATGCCGGACAGGGCGGCGGAGGGCTCCCCAAACACACCCAACTACAGGAGGTCGGAGAAGGGGCAGAGTTCCCCTCCCAGTCTGGGTGGGACCGGAGGCACGGTGATGGGGGCGGGGGGCGTCCCCTCTTCCCCCTCTTAGACCAGAGGGTAGGGGAGAGGTGCGGGCGCAGAGGCTTCCCTCCCGCTGGGGGTCCAGGGGAATGAATGGGGGGACACCGTGGCAGAGGCCCCCACCCTCGCCACAAGCCTGAGGAGGGGGCGGAGAGCACAGGGCCAGATTGGAAACAGATGGGGCCGCCGTGCCAGGCCCGCGACACCGGAGCAGAGGGAGAGGAGGAGGGAGAGGGAGGGGCAGACCTGTCCGGGCGGCCAATCCGAGCCAGCGTTGCGCCCGGGGTGCGGGTTTGAAAACTCCACCGGAGGGGCCCGGAATGTAGAAGCCCAGCGGGACCTGGGGGTCTGGGGACGGGACAGGGGCAGAGGCCGGGATGGAGACCCAAGGGCTCCCGCGTCTGCTCCCATCCCTGGAAAAAACGCCTCTCTTCCCAGCATTCGCGCTGAGGACGAAGCCCGAACGCCAACGCCAACGGGATGTCCTGGGCGCTCAGCTGCCATCAGCTGTGCTTCCTCAGGCCACCGGCCACGGCTCTAGGAGGCAGACCCCACCATCACCCCCATTCTGCAAAGAACGGAGCCGAGAAAGAGAGAGAAACGGCTGCCCACGGCCGGGAAGAGCAGGAATTGGAACCAGGGTTTGGGTCCAGAGGAGGAGCTCTCACCACAGCGCTGCTGGAGGCCTGGGGCCCCCGGAACTGAGGATATATCATGAATAATTTCAAGCCCCTTGGGTTTATCTAGGTACAGGGCCATCCTGAAGACAGACGCCCCACTCTCTAGAAGCCATTACTCAGTGGGGCAAAGGACGTGGGCTTTGATGGGAGACACACAGGCGGCTGTGAGAGCCCAGCAGAAACAATTCCGCTCCCACGGCTCCCGTCCATGCCCTCCCACTGCTACCTCAGTGGCTGGCTCCCATCTCCTTCAAACATCGAATAAATGCCTCCCTCACTGGGGGATACCACACTGCCCCCTTCCCTTACCATGCCTCAGTTTCCCTCCTCTGCAAAATGGAGCATGGAATCGCCCCGCCCCATCTCCAACAATAGGTGGCCTAGTCCACAAAGCACCATGCACAGTAGGTGGTCTGTGAGTGTCTGCACACAGGCTCCCTGCCTGCCCCTTTGACACAGAGCACACAGGAGGTGCTAAACACAGGATGCCGTGACGTCCCCCGTCCCACGCAGCCCCATCCTCGACGAGGTACACAGTAGGTGCTTCATGGAGGAGGCTGCCTGGTGCCCCAGCATCACCAAAGGCACACAGGAGGTTCCCTGTGTCAATGTAGGCGTAGGAGCAACCAGCGTGACCTCCCCAACTTGGCTGGGCACACAGTGGGCCCTCAGGAGCAGAGTAGGCACCTTGCTTGTATCTGTGGCAAGGCACGGGGCTCATACAGACTCGAGTTTGAATCCAGGGATGCCCCGTGTGTCAAGAAAGCACCCGTACCTCTCGGGCCGACAGTTTCCCCATCTGCCACATAAGCCAAGCACTGAACAGGTGCTCAATGAATCCACACTGTCAGGAGGCTTGGGGCTGCATGACCTGCAGCATACAGGCCTGGCTCTGGGCTGCCCAGGACTCGGGACGGCAGACAAGGGCTTGCCAGCCGCTTCCCAGCCAGTCCTGCCCTCTCTGGGCCTCTTGTCCATGTCTCTGTGGAGGCAGACTCTTGCCCCTATTCCACAGTGGTGACTGCAGTTGGCAGGGGACACAGCCACCCCCGAGGGGCTGGGGGAGGTGGGCCAGGTGCCCTCCCCCTTGGCTGGGTGGCCCCATCAGCACAGAGCCCTACATGCGCCTAGTCCCCGGGTCTGCCTCTCCCACCAGACTGTGACCTCAGGAGGCAGAGCAGGATTTGTCTCGGTCACCCAGTGTCCCCAGCACCTAGCACAGGTCCACAGTACAAAGGAGGTTCTCAGCAAACATTTGCACAATCAGGCCCAGCCTCACCCAGGAGAGCCCCTCCGACCTTATTCTCCTCCAAAGGCCACACTGTGTGTGCCCTTGTCATAAAGCAGGCATCTTCACCTACCCTTTTTTCAAGACAGGGTCTCGCTCTGTTGCTCAGGCTGGAGTGCAGTGGCACCATCATGGCTCACTCTAGCCTCAACCTCCTGGGCTCAACCTCCTGGGCTCAAGTGATCCTCCCACCTCAGCCTCCTGAGTAGCTTGGACTACAGGCACATGCCACCACGTCTGGCTAATTTTTGGATTTTTTTGTAGACATGGGATCTCCCCATGTTGCCCCGACTGGTCTCGAACTCCTAGACTCAAGTGAACCTCCTGCCTCAGCCTCCCAAAGTGCTGGGATCACAGACATGAGCCCGTAATAAGGTTAAGCCCAGCCTACCCTTTTCTAAACAAACATTTCCAAGCCCCGATGCCAGGCACAATCCTAGACACACAGTGACCAAGACTGACAAAGATCCCTGCCCTCAGGGTGTGGATGCTCTAAAGAGGGTGACACATGAGAAACAAAAGAAATCAAATCCACTGTGGGTCAGATGGTGGTAAGGGCCCTGAGGATGATTGGGTTCAGGGTTGTAGGATGAGGAGGGAGGATCGCCTGAGGCCAGGAGTTTGAGACCAGCCTGGGCAATATAGCCCATCATCTCTACAAAAACTTTTAAAAATTAGCTGGGCCTGGTGGCGCATGACTGTGGTTCCAGCTACTTGGGAGGCTGAGGGCGGAAGCATCGCTTGAGGCCAGGAAGTTGAGGCTGCAGTGAGCTAGGATGGTGCCACTGCAGTCCAGCCTGGGCGACAGAGCGAGACTCTATCTCTAAAAAAATGTAAAATAAAATAAACACAGGATAGGAGAGAGGGGAGGTGACATGCGAACAAAGACCAGGAGAAGGTGAGAGAAAGTGAAAGAGGATTCCAGGCAGAGAGCTCAGTCCATGCAAAGGCCCCGGGGCAGCACTGCACCTGGCGTGTTGGAGGAATGGCGAGGAGGCCAGTGTTGCTGGAGCAGAGTGAGGAAGGGGAGACAAAGAGGAGGGGAGGGGAGGGAGGGGAGGGAAGGAATGGGGACAAGATGCGCACGGCCTCAGAGGCCTCCAGGAGGAATTGGGCTTTGACCCTGAGGAAGGTGGGAGCCATGGAGGGCTGTGGGTAGAGGAAGGCCCTGACTCAGGTACTCACAGACATGCTCAGCTGCTGTGGGGAGGGCAGACTGTGGGGGATGACTAGGCTGGGGCTGGACTGGGTAGAGGATGAGGGAGAAAGGCACATTCTAGGCAGACCCAATAGAATTTTCTAAACGGCTCATTTGGGGATGTACAGAAAAGAGGGGACTCAAGGATGACTTCTGGGTTTTTGGCCTGAGCACCCTAAAGGTTAAGGGTGGCCACCTCCAGGAAGCCCTCCCTGATTGCCCCGCCTACTCCGTGCCCTTGGGGGCTGACCCCTGGACCCCTCCAAAAACGTTCCATTGATATGTCCTCTGTATACACCCAGGAGGCGGCTGCCCTTGGGGAGGAACACGGGGCTGGATCACGTCAGCTCCCACAGCTGGGACGTTGGGGGGTAATTTTTTTCAAAATAACTTTTCTTCTAATTATAAAATAGGCGCGTGCAGCAGAAAATTAGGTAAAATCAGCATAAAGAAGAAAATAAAAGTTACCCACAATCCATCCCTCGCCTAGAGAGAAACTGTTTCATGCGGCCGTTCTCATTCATTCTTTCCCTGTACATGTGCTGAGCACCTACTGTGTGCTGTGCTGAGGACACAGTGGTAAGCATGATGGAACCAGCACTCCTGCCCCTGTTGGGGGGCACAGACTAGTTGCAGGGGGGATGGACACCCACAGAAAAACAAACACTGTCAATAACATAAGGCCGGGCAGTGCTAAGAGATGCCAAAAATAATTAAATAAACCACACTGCAAGGCTGCAAAAACTGGGGGGTCCCTGGGGGAGCCTCTTAGAAGTGGTGATAATTGCATTTACACCTGGAGGAAGAGAGCAAATCAGACATACAAACACCTATGACAACAGAGTTGCAGGCAGGAGGAACAGCAAATACGATGGCCCTGAGGCTAACCATTTCCTTCCAGTCTTTCTTTTCTTTTCTTTTTTTTTTTTTTTTTTTGAGACAGAGTCTCGTTCCATCGCCCAGGCTGGAGTGCAGTGGCACGATCTCGGCTCACTGCAACCTCTGCCTCCCGGGTTCACACAATTCTCCTGCCTCAGCCTCCTGAGTAGCTGGGATTACAGGCGCACACCACCACGCCCGGCTAATTTTTTGGGTATTTTTAGTAGAGACAGGGTTTCACTATGTTGGCCAGACTGGTCTCAAACTCCTGACCTCATGATCCGCCCGCCTCGGCCTCCCAAAGTGTTGGGATTACAGGCGTGAGCCACAGCGCCCGGCCTCCTTCCAGTCTTTCTTCTATGCATACGAATGGGTGCTTTTCTTTCGTTCGATGGGGATCACCATTAGCAGACCATGTTCCAGTGTCCGGGTCACAGAATTTAATCAATTCCCACTTGTTTATCCCATTATGTCCCTTATAAACAACACTGTGAGGGACATTCTTAGACACAGCTGTGTCCCTTCGTCTCCTGAAGAAACTTCCAAAGCAGGGGTGACTGCATTGGGATGTTCTCAAGCCTTTAAACCTTCCCTGATGGGGAACCCTCAGATAAAACCATACCCTTGACCGGGGCAGGACCCCCTCCCCCAGCCTGTCTGTCCCACCTCCTTCATATTTGGCACCAAAACCCCCAGACATTTCATTTAGGTACAAACTCTGTACTCTTGGCTGTGAGAGCCAGAGAGAAACTGGTTGGGCAGCTTCCTCTCAGCTTCCCTGCCCTGGTCTTGCCCATGCCCAAGGCTCCCGCCTCCTACCTAGCACAGCATTCATGACCCGGGGCATGGGCGGGTGCCAACCAGCCAGGAGCCCGCCTCACCCATGTTCACATCACAGCCCTGGCGCCGGGTCTACCCGCCAGCCGCACCGCAGCGGGCATGATGCCCACCACAGGCACGCCCCAGCTCCATGTCTGCCTTTTTCACCTGTCCGCCCCCGCAGGCCAGGCTACCTTCCCCTTCCTGGAAAATGTGTGACACCTTCAGGCATGGCTGGATCCAGCAAAGCCATTCCTCCCATGTCTTCCCCAACTCTGCTGATAGCAGCTCTGTCCTTCCAGGGGCTCAGGCTAGAACCTGGAAGCTGGCCCTCACTGCTTTTCCTCCCTCACCCCATATGGTGTTGGTCTGGAAATACTCTCACGTTTGTCTCCTAAATTTCTACTCACTTTGTCCATCTTTCTCCATATTCCCTTCCCAACCCATCCAGCCTGATCATTGCCTGCTCGGACCAGCACAGTCACCTCTGCCCTGGTCCCCAGCCTCCCACCCTCGCCCTCCAGTCTGTCCTCCCCACAGCACCCACTACATGGTGCCGGTGTGCACCTGAGTCAGGTCCCGTCCCTCCTCTGCCCACAGCCCTCCATGGCTCCCACCTCCCTCAGGGTCAAAGCCCAAGTCCTCCTGGTGGCCCACAAGGCCCTGCATGACCTGCTCCATCTCCTCCCTGCCCTCCATTCCTCCCTCTCTCCCCCTCACTCTGCTCCAGCTACATGGGCCTCCTCGCTGTTCCTCCAGCACCCCAAGTGCAGTCCTGCCTCAGGGCCTTTGCACAGGCTATGCCTCTGCCTGGAACACTGTTCCTCTACATTTTCTTGTCACTTTTCTTCTCACCCTTCCATTCTCCCTCAAGGATCACCTCCTCAGAAATGCCCTGGCTGACCACCTGGCTCAAGCAGCACCCATCACCCATTACCCATTATTTTACTGTCACCTGAAATTCTCTGTCTTTACTCACTGTCTGGGTCTGAGTTATCAAATACAAGAACCACTAGTGGCTGGGTGTGGTGGCTCACGCCTGTAATCCTAGCACTTTGGGAGGCCAAGATGGGTGGATCTTCTGAGGTCAGGAGTTTGAGACCAACCTGGCCAACACGGTGAAACCCCATCTCTACTAAAAATACAAAAATTAGCCGGGCATGGTGGTGCGCACCTGTAATCCCAGCTACTCGGGGCTGAGGCAGGAGAATCGCTTGAACCTGGGAGGCGGAGGTTGCAGTGAGCTGAGATCGCGCCATTGCACTCCAGCCTGGGCAACAAGAGTGAAACTCTGCTTCGAAATAAAATAAAATAAAGGAAAAGAAAAAGAAAAAGGACCACTAGCCACATGTGACTCATTAAACTTAAATGAAGAAAAATTAAATAGGCCGGGTGCCATGGCTCCCACCTGTAATCCCAGCATTTTGGGAGGCCAAAGTGGGTGGATTGCTTGATGCCAGGAGTTTGAGACCAGCCTGGACAACATGGCAAAACCCCATCTCTACTAAAAACACAAAAATTAGCTGAGTGTGGTGGTGCACACCTGTAGCCTTAGCTACATGGGAGGCTGAGGCATGAGAATTGCTAGAACCCAGGAGGTGGACACTGCAGTGACGTGAGATCATGCCACAGCACTACAGCCTGGGCAACGGGGCGAGACTCCATCTCAAAAAAAAAAAAAAGAAAAGAAAAAGAAAAATTAAATAAAATTTAAAATTCTGCTCCTCAAGTCACACCGGCCACATTTCCAGTGTGGCTCATGGTCAGAGTACTGAAACCCACATAGCACACTTCCATCACTGCAGAAAGTTCTGTGGCCAGCTCTCCCAGCAACAAAGGGGCCAGGTCAGTCTTGGTCACTGCCAGGGTCGAGTACACAGTATATGCTCAATAAATGCTTTCTAAATGAAGAAGTGGGGCGGGTGTGGTGGCTTACACCTGTAATCCCAACACTTTGGGAGGCCGAGGTGGACAGATGACTTGAGCCTGGGTTTTTGAGACCAGCCTGGGCAATATAGTGAGACCCCATCTCACCAAAAAATACCAAAATTAGCCGGGCATGGTGGTGCATGCCTGTAATCCCAGCTACTTGGGAGGCTGAGGCAGGATTGCTTGAGCCCAAGAGGCAGAGGTTGCAGTAAGCTGAAATTGTGCCACTGCACTCCAGCCTGGGTGATAGAACAAGACTCCGTCTCAAAAAAAAAAAAAAAAAAGAAAAGAAAAGAAAGAAAAAGCGGTAAAATATATATAACAAAAAAATTTCCATAAAAAATATAGACATGAAAGAGTGAAGACATCAATGGCTCAGAGGCCTTGCAGAGACTAGAGGTGCTGGCCAATAGCACAGAGGTCAGCAGGTGCCATCTGCAGCCACAGTACCCTGGCCACTCTCACTCCCTGGGCAGCCACGTTAGGGTATCCAAACTCTACATTTCCAACATAGTGACATGGAAAGCCAGAAAGCAAAAGCCACATTGCTGGGCTTTGAACCTGGATCTCCCTGGCTGGCCAGCAAAGCATCCTCTGGGAGCTCTTGCTCCAGCCCCAAGGGCAGAAACTTGGAAAAGGCTTCCAGGCCACAGCCGGAGTCAGCTCTGCAGCGCCAACATGCTGACTCAGCCAAAAGTGGAGGACGGGGGAGGGACAGAATGGCCGGTCCCCCCGCCAGGCCCCATTGCCAGCCTGGGCCCCTGCCAGGCCGTCTCCCACCTTGAGCCAGCGTCAAGTGTATTAAAGTTGTTGCTGTTTTTTTTTTTTTTTTGAGACAGAGTCTCGCTCTGTCACCCAGGCTGGAGTACAGTGGCACCATCTCGGCTCCCTGCACCCTCTGCCTCCCAGGTTCAATCGATTCTCCTGCCTCAGCCTCCCGATTAGCTGGGATTACAGGTGCCCACCACCATGCTTGGCTATTTTTTGTATTTTTAGTAGAGACAGGGTTTCACCATATTGGTCAGGCTGGTCTTGAACTCCTGACCTCAGGTGATCCACTCGCCTCAGCCTCCCAAAGTGCCAGGATTACATGCATGAGCCTCCACACCTGGCTGTAAATGCATTTAATGGATCTGGCCACATCCTCTCTGCAAGATGCCTGCTGGTCTCTCCTTCAAGCGCATCCTCCCCCTCTACACCCACCAGTCCCCAGGAAGGGTGATCACAGTCTCCCCCCAATCCTCCCCTCCTTGCTCATGACTCTGCCATGTCCCAATACCCCCCATTGATTGGATGATGGATGGAGTCTCACTCTGTCGCTCAGGCTGGAGTGTAGCGCGGCAATCTCAGCTCACTGCAACCTCCGCTTCCTGGGTTCAAGTGATTCTCCCACTTCAGCCTCCTGAGTAGCTGGGGTTACAGGTACATGCCACCACACCCAGCTAATTTCTGTATTTTTAGTAGAGACGGGGTTTCACCATGTTGGCAAGGCTGGTCTTGAACTCCTGACCTCAAATGATCCGCCTTGCCTTGGCCCTCCGAAGTGCTAGGATTACAGGTGTGAGCCACCACACTTGGCCCCCCGATTTAATCATTCATGTAGGCTGGGCACGGCCAGCCTTGGGAGGCCAAGGCAGGAGGATCGTTTGAGCCAGAACTTAAGATCAACCTGGGCAACAAAGAGAGACCCCCGTCTCTAAAAAAAATTAAAAATTAGCTGGGCATGGCAGTACATGTCTGTACTCCCAACTACTTGGGAGGCTGAGGCAGGAGGATTGCTTGTGACCAGGAGTTTGAGGTTGCAGGTGAGCTAAGATCCCGCCACTAAACACCAGCTTGGGTGACAGAGGGAGGCCCTGTCTAGAAACAACAACTTTCATGCCACTGTCTCCCGTCTTTTCCTTAAACCAATTTACTTAAGAAACTAATTCAACAGTATCGCATATCTCTAAGGAAGACCCAAAAGATTCTGCCCTGCCTTGAAAGTCACCAGAAACATTGTTACAATGAAAATAGTACCCAGTTATCCCATGGTCGCTGGATACTGTTGCGAACACCAGCAGCCGGATGGGATTTTGTTACAAAGAGATTGGCAGGTGTTAGTGTCTGAGATCACCCTGAATCTCCCTGGGCTTTCTTCCCTGACGTGTTAGGAGCTGAAAGGGAGTCATTGCTGGTGTGTGCAGCTCTGGGCTGCCGGATGCCTCCTCCAGAGGCCACCCCCAAACAGCCCCATGCCTAGGGGTACGTTCCTGACTTCAAAAACCATGGCTCGGCCAGGCGTGGTGGCTCACGCCTGTAATCCCAGCACTTTGGGAGGTTGAGGCGGGCGGATCACGAGGTCAGGAGATCGAGACGATCCTGGCTAACACAGTGAAACCCCATCTCTACTAAAAATACAAAAAAAAAAAAAAAAAAATTAGCCAGGTGTGGTGGCGGGCGCCTGTAGTCCCAGCTACTCGGGAGGCTGAGGCAGGAGAATGGTGTGAACCCAGGAGGCAGAGCTTGCAGTGAGCCGAGATGGCACCACTGCACTCCAGCCTGGGCGACAGAGAGAGACCCCGTCTCAAAAACAAAAACAAAAACAAAAAAAGACAACAACAACAAAAAACCGTGGCTCACAGGAGGCAGGAAGCCCAAGTTCTCTTCCCAAGGGAGCTGTGTGGGCCTGAACCAGTCCTCACCACTCTCTGGGACTCAGTTTCCCCATCTAAGCACCAGGGAAAATGGGCTCTTGGTGCCCGGGGCTGATTTTTGTGGGTCTGAAGTCTGTAAAGATCAAGGAAACCGAGGCACAAACCAGGGAGGTCTCCAAGGCAGGGCTTGGTGTAGCTCCTAATTCCTCCTGGTCCCCGTGCACAAGGGTGGGATCTGGTTTTGGTCACAGCTGAAACTCCAGCACCTACTGTGTGCTAGAGCTGTCTTGAGTGCTGGGGACACAGTACAGATCAAGGCAGATAACCTCTCAGGGCTTCTGTTCTGGGGAGACAGCGACAGATGGGGATAGAGGACAGGGGCAGAGGACACAGCACGTGTAAAGGCCCCGAGGTGGGAACGAACACACTAAGTTCTGGAAAAAGAGAGGGGGACTGGTGCAGAGAGGGGGGCTGGTCCAGAGAGCGGGCAGAGTGAGTGAGCAGGGGCAGGATTTGAGGGGTAATAGGAGTGAGGACCACGGTGGCTCACACCTGGAATCCCAGCACTTTGGGAGACCAAGGCAGGTGGATCACTTGAGGTCAGTAGTTCAAGACCAGCCTGGCCAACATGGTGAAACCCTGTCTCTACTAAAAATACAAAAAATTAGCTGGGTGTGGTGGTATGCGCCTGTAATCCCAGCTACTCAGGAGGCTGAGACAGGAGAATCGCTTGAACCCGGGATACGGAGGTTACTGTGAGCCAAGATCACACCACTGCACTCCAGCCTGGGTGACACAGCGAGACTCTGTCTCAAAAAATAATAATAACAATAAAATAAACAGAAGCGCGGAGGGCTATGGCCCTCCATGCCATGTCAGCATTTGAGGAATGAAAAACTGTCACACCCCAGTAATGATTCGTCTCTCAGCATCCCTCTAGCATTTATAAGGCACCTACTGTATACCAGGCTCTGGGCTGAGCACTAAGGACACAAGATGACTGTGGGAGGCAGACAGGGGGCCCTGGAAGTTAAAGGCCAGGTCTTGGCCAGGCGTGGTAGCTCACACTTGTAATCCTAACACATTGGGAGGCCGAGGCAGGCAGATCACAAGGTCAGGAGTTTGAGACCAGCCTGGCCAACATGGTGAAACCTCCATCTCTACTAAAAAAAATAAGAAATAAAAAAATAAAAATAGCCAGGCGTGGTGGCATATGCCTGTAATCCCAGCTACTTGGGAAGCTGAGGCAGGAGGATCGCTTGAATCCAGGAGGTAGAGGTTGCGAGCTGAGATCACACCATTGCACTCCAGCCTGGGCGAAAAGAAACTCTGTCTCAAAAAAATAAAATAAAAATACAAAAATTAGCCAGGCATGGTGGTGCACGCCTGTAGTCCCAGCTACTCAGGAAGCTAAGGTGAGAGAATCACTTGAACCCGGGAGGTGGAGGTTGCAGTGAGCTGCGATCATGCCACTGCTCTCCTGTCTGGGTGATAGGGGGAGACTCCGTTTCTAAAAACAAAAAGCAAACAAAAAGAGATCAGGGCTGTAATGGGGGATGTCGCAAGGCTTCCAGGAAGAGGTGATGTCTAAGATGAGAAGGATGGGAGAAATTGCGCTGGGCTGGGGCAGGGAGGTTGGGGAGTGGGAAGGGTGTCCCAGGTAGAAGGAACAGCATATGCCAAGGTCTGGAGGCAAGAGAGGTGTGGAAGAGGAAACCTAACTAGCCCTGAACAAAACAGAAAAGGAGAGGGTGGGGACCCTGGGCCAGGTCCCATCCCATGGGAGAGGCAACTGAGGGACATGGGGGGCTGGTGAGGGGGGGTGGGGTGGCAGAACTTCCCACTACCCCCCCAGAGCTCAGGTGGGGGCATGACCTCTCTAGGTGGCTCCCCAAGCTCTCAGGTCCTGGGTAGGAGAAGGTGGTCTCTCTGAACAGGTGTTAGGATCTACACCCAACCCCATCTCCCCAAGACATAAAAACCCCTATCAAGCACTTAGCAGGAGCAAAACACTCAGAACTGAGCTGGGCATACAGCAGGTGCTCAGTGAGCACATCAGCTATTATTCCAGGCTTTTCCCACCATCCAGGCACACTTACTAAATTCTCCTCAGAACAGCTATTATTTGCCGAGCATGGTGGCTCATGCCTGTGATCCCTGCACTTTGGGAGGCTGAGAAAGGAGGACCACTTGAGGCCAGGAGTTGAAGACCAACTTGGGCAACACAGCGAGACCCTGTCTCTACAAAAAAATACAAAAATTAGCCAGGCAGGGTGAGGCATGCCTGTGGTTGTAGCTACTCAGGAGGCTGAAGCAGGAGGATCACTTGAGCCTTGGAGGTCGAGGCTGCAGTGAGCTATAATAGTGCCACTGCACTCCAGCCTGGGTGACAGAGAATGAGACCCTATCTCAGACAAACAAACAAAAAAATCCTTGTGCCTAGAAGCTGGACACGGTGGCTCATGCCTCTAATCCCGGCACTTTGGGAGGCTGAAGTGGTAGGACAGCTTGAGCCCAGGAGTTTGAGGCTGCAGTGAGTGATGATCCTGCCACTGCACTCCAGCCTGGGTGACAGAGGGAGACCCCGTCTCTGAAAAATAAATAAATAAATATATATATATATATATATTTTTTTTTTAAAGGCAAATTCCAATTAGCCGGGCGTGGTGGCAGGCACCTGTGGTCCCAGCTACTTGGGAGGCTGAGGCAGGAGAATGGCGTGAACCCGGAAGGCGGAGGTTGCAGTAAGCCGAGATCGCGCCACTGCACTCCAGCCTGGGCGACAGAGCAAGACTCCGTCTCAAAAAAAAAAAAAAAAAAAAAAAAAAAAAAAGGGCGAATTCCTCATGCCTGGAACAGAGAGAACCAGCAGCACAATAGGTACAAATACTTGAGGAAGGGAGGGAGTCCCTCTAATGCTCCCCTGGAAGCAACCTCTGCCATTACCATCTATCTTTGTGTCTTTTTCTCATGAAGTTATTGATCAAAGGTAACTCTAGAATACAGGGTGATTTTTTTTTTTTTTGAGACGGAGTCTCACTCTGTCACCCAGGCTGGAGTACAGCGGCACAATCTCAGCTCACTGCAACCTCCGCTTCCTGGGTTCCAGTCATTCTCCTGCCTCAGCCTCCCGAGTAGCTGGGATCACAGGCGTGCGCCACCACGCCTGGCTAATTTTTGTATTTTTAGTAGAGACGGGGTTTCACCATGTTGGCCAGGCTGGTCTCATGCTCCTGACCTCAAGTGATACGCTGGCCTCGGCCTCCCAAAGTGCTGGGATTACAGGCATGAACTACCACACCTGGCCCAGGGTGATTTTTTTTTTGTATGTGAAAATGATATTCTGTTCGAATCATGGCTGTTCCTCACATGACTTGTAACTACTGAGCACACGCAGCCCAGGCCTCTTCTCGCCTGTGGTAGGATCTTCCGTGGCAAGGCTGTGCCTTGGGCGTTTATCACCCAATTCCCTGTGGACACTTCGGTTGCCTCCATTTTTTCCCAACCTCACCCAATGCCATGGTGAATCTCCATGCTGACATCTCCCAGGTCCCCTTGGGGAAGCATTTTTGTCTCTCACTGGTGTCCAGTGAAGGGCAGCTGGGGTGGAAGGTCGGGTTACAGCTTGTTCTAAACAAGCAGGTTCCCCTCCTACACAGTCGGAAATGAGTAGGTCCTAATAGTCCCCGAGGAGACAATTGGCTATTATCTTCCGAAGTTAAGTTTATACATTCCCTTTAGGCCTGATAACACCACCTCTAGAAATCTACCCGGCAGACACTTTCCCGTGAAATGACACGTGGAGAAAGTACTCACGGCAAAAGGCTTGAAGCAACCTGAATGTCTATCGATAGGAGATTGGTTAAGTAAAGAACAGTACAAGGGGGCCAGGCACAGTGGCTCACGCCTGCAATCCCAGCACTTTGGGAGGCTGAGGCAGGAAGATCACCTGAGGTCAAGAATTCGAGACCAGCCTGGCCAACATGGCAAAACTCTGTCTCTACTAAAAATACAAAAAAAATTAGCCAGGTGTGGTGGCCGGCACCTGTAATCCCAGCAACTCGGGATGCTGAGGCAGGAGAATTGCTTGAACTCAGGAGGCAGAGGCTATAGTGAGCTGAGATCATGCCATTGCACTCTAGCCTGGCCAATAAAAGCGAAACTCCATTTCAAAAATATAAATACATAAATGAATGAATGAATAAATAAATAAAAATAACAGTACAAGAGGTCAAATAATGATCGAAGAGATTAGTATCTTAGTGTTATGAGATCAGTATCTCTTAGTGTTATGAGATCAGTATCACAGCTGTGAAAAGGAATGAGAATACCAGATGTACAATTATAAAATTACTTTTAAGATACTATATTTTTAAGTGGGGGGGAAGAAAACAAGGTACAGAACAGCATGTAGAAGATGCTGCCATTTGGTTAAACAAGGGAATATAAATCCAGCCGCCTACTAAATGTTCACAGAAGATTTCTAGATAAACTGCGCTCTTCAAAACCGTAGCCACGAGCCGTATGTGGCTGTTTAAATTTAAACGGAATAAAATGGAATAAAATTTAAAATTCAGTTCCTCGGTTGCACTGGACACATTTCAAACGCTCAATAGCCACATTCGGCTCAGGGCGACTGTACCACGGTGCGTAGACGGAGACCATTTTTATCATCGCCATATCGGGGGCCAAATCCGGCCCACCGTTTGTTTTTATAAATAAAGCTTTATTGGCACATAGCCACGCCCACCAGTTTACGTGTTTGTCTATGGCTGCTTTCACGCTCCAATGGCGGGGTTGAGTAGTAGACAGAGATCATCCGGCCGGCAAAGCTGGAAAGATTTACAAGGTGGTCCTTTATGGAAAAACTCTACTGACCCTGTTCTGGGAAGAGACTGCTACTGGGGAAAGAGAGAGGGGAGAGGATCTGGAGATTCTCCACCATGCATTTTTCTCTGCATCCTCAATTGTATCCCATGTGTACGCATTCTCTGGCCAGAACAACATATTAAAAATAAAAGACGTGGTGTCACAGAGATGCCGATTTCTTCTCCTGCCAGCCACGCCCGGAGGGCCTGGTTCCCCTCGACGCTGCCACCCTGGATAATACCACACTTCAAACAGTTTTGCTAAATGGATGGGTGAGAAATGATATCTTGTTTTAATTTGCATCTCCTGGGCAGGAGATGGGAACTCTTTAACTATAGATAAATGCCCGTCTAATCATCCATCGTCCCCCCAGACTCCTTAAGGGCAAGGATTGTCTGCATCAGTCACTATAGTGTCCCCAGTCCCAGCATGGGGCCAAGCAAACAGCTGAAGCCCAGTACATCCACACGGAAGAGAGGGAATCAGGCCCAGGGCAGCAGCCACAGTGCAAGGCCTGGGCTAGTTGTGGCTGGTGGTGAGCATCGAGTGCCAAGCCAAGCTTCACCGACGCAGTCACAGGGGCAGACTCCATGCGGCAGAGGTGGCTGCCAGCCCCTCGGGGAACCTGCAGACTCACGTTCAGCAGTGGGGGAAGAGAGCAGGGTGGGCAGGGACCTGGCAGCCTTGGGGGTAGGGGAACTGTGGGCTCCAGGCGGGGAGAGAGATTATATATTCATCAGAATCTTAAACAAAAGCCCCGCAGCCGCCTGTCAGCCAGGCTATGGCTTTTATGGTAATCAGCAATGAATTACCCACAATGCCTGGCCAAGCGCAAGTGGTTCTTGGCCCGGATCCTAAACTAATTTTTGTATGTTCGTGTGTATATAATTTTGCTCGCTCCCTCCCGTTCCTCTCCCTTCATTACCAGGAGCACGGGTGGGGTACGGGGCAGGGAGGCAAAAGGAACCCTGGGTGTAGAAGTGGAGGATGCTCACCAAGACCCCCTGGCCCTACAGCCTGCCTGGCACTAGGCCCTGGGCTCAGAGTGTGTGGAGGTGGGAGGTGAGTGCCAAGTGGGAACTGAGGGGAGCCTGGAAACCACCAAAAACTGGAGCTGGCAGCTCCGGGGGTGGAGAGAGAAGGGAGGAAGGGGGGGTTGGCTGGCTCTGGTGGTGAGCAGAGTGTGCAGGCCCCTTAGTGGGGTTGAGCCTGTGCCACGTGCTGTGTGGCCTTGGGCAAGTGCCTTAACCTCTCTGGGCTTCAGCCCCCTGGTCTGCAAATTAGACCTCCCTTCCTGTCCTAACCTCTAGCCCCATCCAGCCCCAAGTGTGTAGCCCACAGCCCCTCCCAGGGCCCTGTCTATGCAGGCCACTCTCTAAGTGCTTGACGCATATTAACTCGTTTTGTTGTGCCAGTTATTTATCTCAGATGGGGAAACTGAGGCTGAGGATAGGATGTGCCTTGTCCAGAGCCAATGGCTTGCTTGTAGCACCTGAAAACCCGCTATGGGCTAAGTCAGGAGCTGCCAACTCCATGTCTCCAGGGAGAACCAGCCCACCACTTCCTGGGAACCTCCGCAGGCGTCCTGCTAATGGGGGCGTTTCCATGCCTGCCTCTCTCACCATCTTCGCCACCTCAGCTCATCTTCTCCGTCTTTACCGATGTTCAGGACAGAGGCCTGGGAGTCGTTCTTGACTCATCTCAACCCTACCCTGCAGCCAACCACTTGGAGAAGCCAGCCAACCCTTCTGCAAAATCCTTCTAGAATACAACCCCTCCTCTGCCCCTGCCTGGTCCACCCCCATCATCCCTGGCCTGGATCTGTGCCGTCCCCTCTGCTCTGGTCCCCCAGCGTCTGCACTCATCCCCCACAGTCTGTCCTTTCTGCAACAGCCAGGGGTCGCCTGTGAACACGTCGGTCAGGGCTGGTTCCTCCTTTGCCCATAGCCCTCCCTGGCTCCCACCTCCCTCAGAGTAAACGCCCAAGTCCTCCTGGTGCCCCACAAGGGCCTGCACAACCTGCTCTGTCCTCTCCCTGCTCTCCCCTCCCCTCCTCCCCCTCCTCACTCTGCTCCAGCCACACAGGCCTCCTCGCTGTTCCTCCAACATGCCAGGTGCGGTCCTGCCTCAGGGCCTTTGCACGGGCTGTGCCCTCTGCCTGGAACACCCTCCCCTCAGATGTCAGCAAACATCATTCTCTTATTCCTGTTGGTCTTACTGAAATGTCACCTCTTCTGTGAGGCCTGTCTTGATTCTGTAGCTAAAACAGCCCCTCCCTGCCACCAACCAATTCCTCTAGCTTTTTTCTTTTCTTTTTTTTTTTTTTTTTGAGATGGAGTCTTACTCTATCACCCAGGCTGGACTGCAGTGGCGCAATCTCGGCTCACTACAACCTCCGCTTCCCCCGTTCAAGCAATTCTCCTGCCTCAGCCTACCGAGTAGCTGGGATTACAGGCGCCCACCACCATACCCAGCTAATTTTTGTATTTTTAGTAGAGACAGGGTTTCACCATGTTGGCCAGGCTGGTTTCAAACTCCTGACCTCAAGTGATCTGCCCACCTCGGCCTCCCAAAGTGCTAAAATTGCAGGCATGAGCCACTGCGCCTGGCCAACTTTATTTTTCTTAAAGGCATGGCATACAGTCAATCCTTAACACATATTTAATCTATTGGCTTTATGGCTTTTGTTTTTTGGGTGTTTCTTGTTTTTGTTTTTTGAGGCAGGGTCTCACTCTGTCACCCAGGCTGGAGTGCAGTGACGCAATCTCAGCTCACTGCAGCCTTGAACTCCTCAGCTCAAGTGATCCTCCCACCTCAGCCTCCTGAGTAGCTGGGACTATAGGCTTGTACCACCACACCCGGCTAATTTTTGTATTTTTATTTATTATTATTATTATGAAACCAAGTCTCACTTTGTCTCCAGACTGGCGTGCAGTGGCGTGATCTCACTGCAACCTCTGCCTCCCTGGTTCAAGCGATTCCCCTGCCTCAGCCTCCCGAGTAGCTGGGACTATAGGTGCATGCCACCACGCCCAGCTAATTTTTTTTATTTAAGTAGAGACGGGGTTTTACCCTGTTGGCCAGGATGGTCTCGATCTCCTGACCTCGTGATCCACCTGACTCGGCCTCCCGAAGTGCTGGGATTACAGGCATGAGCCACTGTGCCCAGCCTTTTGTATTTTTAGTAGAGATGAGATTTCACCATGTTGGCCAGGCTGGTCTCGAACTCCTGACCTCAGGCGATCTGCCCGTCTTGGCCTCCTAAAGTGCTGGGATTATAGGCTGAGCCACTGCGCCCGGCCCCTATTTGTTCATTGTCCTTCTGATGCATTCCACGAGGGAAGGGTTTTTCCCTCTGTCTTCTCCGTCACTCTGTTCCCAACACCTGACCCTGTGAGGATCAGGGCCTGGTATATAGGAGGTGCTCAATAAGTATCCAGTGATGGAGCTCTAGGCCCCCAGCAGGGTCCTGGGCCCAGAAAGGACACGACGGTTGTTTTCTGAACACACAGAAGCTTTCCTTGGGGTCTGAAGGAAAATTTTAGACCTGAAACCATCCCCTGGGTGGAGGCTGGGGGTGGGGATATAAGTATCTTGGGAGCAGCCAAGGAAAGAAAAAGAACATTCCTGTCTCATCAAAGCTGTTCAGGGGAGACCCGAGCTCCCTGGCTGGCGGCTGGGGTGGAGATGGCAGATGCTCTCTGCAGGGTAACTGGGCGAGAGGGAGTGAATATTGAAATGTGCATCCCTTGGGCCGGGTGCGGTGGCTCACGCCTGTAATCCCAGCACTTTGGGAGGCTGAGGTGGGTGGATCACGAGGTCAGGAGATCGAGACCATCCTGGCTAACATGGTGAAACCCCGTCTCTACTAAAAATACAAAAAATTAGCCGGGCGGGGTGGCAGGCACCTGTAGTCCCAGCTACTGGGGAGGCTGAGGCAGGAGAATGGCGTGAACCCGGGAGGCGGAGCTTGCAGTGAGCCGAGATCGTGCGCCACTGCATTCCAGCCTGGGAGACACAGCGAGACTCCGTCTCAAAAAAAAAAAAAAGAAAGAAATACGCATCCCACATGACATCTCCTGGTTGTGCGTGAGGCCTGTGTGTGAACGAGCCCTGCAACACATCTCATAGGAAAGCAAAAGAGAGAGACAAATGGGCATGTCCGTCAGGAGGGGCTGGGCATGTAGATGGCATACTACACAGCCCTGAAAAAGAATGCATAGTACGCAGCCCTGAAAAAGACATCCCTGGCTGTGTGCGTCCTGGTACTGTCAGTGAAAGAGCATGGCAGGGACAGCGGGCATAGGATGTGTGGGACGAGAAGGTGAGCACAATATGCCAATATTTGCAAATGCTATAATAATAGCAGCAGGGCCAGGCATGGTGGCTCACACCTGTACCCTAGTGCTTTGGGAGGTTGAGGCAGGAGGATTGCTTGAGCCCAGGAGTTCGAGACCAGCCTGGCCAACATAATGAGACCTTACCTCTACAAAAAAATACAAAAATTAGCCAGGCGTGGTGGCGCATGCCTGTAGTCCCAGCCACTTGAGAGGCCAAGGCAGGAGGACTGCTTGAGCCTAGGAGATGGAGGCGGCAGTGAGCTATGATCACACCACTGCACTTCAGTCTGGGCGACAGAGCAAGACCCTGTCTCTAAAAAAATTAAAAATAAAAATAAAATAATAGCAATAGTAACAATAACTGCTAATATTTATAGGTCACATACTGCGTGCCAGGCATGGTTCAAAGTCTTTTACACATAATATCTCATTGAATTCGAATTGTCTCCATTTTACAGATGAGGCAACTGAGCATCGGAGAGGTCAAGACACTTGTCCAAGGTCACACAGCATGGCGGCAGCAGAGGGGGGACATGAGTCCAGGCTGCTGAGCCCCAAAACCTGGCCTAGGATTTATTTATTTATTTAGACAGAGTCTCACTCTGTCGCCCAGGCTGGAGTGCAGAGGCACGATCTCGGCTGACTGCAACCTCCACCTCCTGGGTTCAAGCGATTCTCCTGCCTCAGCCTCCCAAGTAGCTGGAATAACAGGCGCACGCCACCAACTCCAGCTAATTTTTTTGTATTTTTAGCAGAGACAGGGTTTCACCATGTTGGCCAGGCTGGTCTCAAACTCCTGGCCTCAGGTGATCCGCCCGACTCAGCCTCCCAAAGTGCTGGGATGACAGGCATGAGCCACCGTGCCCGGTCCTGGCCTGGGATTTGGTGACAACGCTCGCTGACAGCCTACGCCTGATCCCTGGTAAAAACAGCAGACGCCTAATAAGTGCCCTGGAGATGCTCAAGGGCAAAGTGAGCAGAGACAGGGGTGTACCCAGGAGGAGATGGTGAGACTTAAGAGAGTGGTCCATTGCACAGGGATGGGTTGGACAATGCTCTCTGGGGAATCCACGCAGTCAGCACACACGCATAGGAAACCGGGTGCTGGGGAGCGAGGCGGCTGGCTCGTCGGAAAACAAATCGCTGCCAGTCTCATTTCCTCCTGTGACAGAGATGGGCAGGCCTGGCCGGGGCCGACGGCTGGCACTGAGCCAGAGTCAACGGGGACCTCCCTACCTGTCTCCGTGTGATGTGTTTATCAAGAGGACGGGAAATGTCACGACCATCAAGGGCAGGCGGCAGGAGGGGCTGGTGTGGGCGCTTCTTAGATGGAGTGGGGAGGGCCTGGCCCAAGGTCAAGGTGGCCCCTGGAGAGCCTTTTCTCCTTCCTGCCTCAGCGGAACCAACCCACCGTTCAATCCATGCTTAAGAAGAAACCCTGCAACGTGGTTCTAAGACCACAGGTTTGCTGGGCACGCAGTGGCTCACACCTGTAATCCCAGCATTTTGGGAGCCTGAGGCAGGCGGACTGCTTGAGCCCAGCAGTTCAAGACCAGCCTGGGCAACACAGCAAGACTCTCTCTCTCTCTCCACAAATAATAATAATAATAATAATAATAATAATAAATAAAAGTAAAAAAATTAGCCAGGCATGGTGGCGTGTGTCTGTAGTCCCAGCTACTCAGTGGGCTAAGGTGGAAGGATCGCTTGAGCCCAGGAGGTCGAGGCTGCAGTGAGCTACAATCACAGCCACTGCATTCCAGCCTGGGCAACAGAGCAAGATCCTGTCTCTATCAATCAATCGAGACCACAGCTTCAGCTGAGTTCAGTGCCAGTCTCTGCTCCTTGAACACTGTGTGACCTTAAGCATGTCATTTCCCTTCCATGAACCTCAGTAAGATAGAGTCGTGACCTCCCTGACTTGGATCAACCTTCTGAGTCATGCTGAGCAGCACGAACTTTGGATTCAAAGCAACCCAGAGTCTGCATCATGATTTGGCCTCCTCTTAGCTGTGCAGCCTCAGGTATAAATGGCTCAATCTCTCTGGATCTGCTTATCTTGTTTGAGCCCCTGGATCCAACTATGCCTGAAGGTGGTCCATTCTAACATCAGCCTTTTTGGTTCAAGAGCCAATCAACTCCCCAGCTTTTCACTAATGTCAGTTTGATGTGGGTTTCTCCACCTTTCTTATTTATTTATTTATTTAAAAAAAAATTTTTTTTTTTTGAAACAGCATTTCACTATGTTGCCCAGGCTGGTCTTGAACTCCTAGGCTCATGTGATCCTCCTGCCTTGGCCTCCCAAAGTGCCTGGGATTACAGGCATGAATCACCACACCCAGCTGTTTCTCCACATTTCAAGTTGTTTCTCCACCTTTCAAGTCCACTTTGTGCCTGAGGACAGAGCCTTGTTAGTAGCCAGGGCAGAGAGCTGAAGATTCGAGACATCACAGGTTATCCCTGCTCAACAGGGGCTTCAGATCAGGGGCTTAGATCAGGGGCTTCAGATGAACCTCAAACCTCTGACCCTTGGATCATTCAGAACGTGGTTGCTGGAAAGCAACACCCACATGGCGTCATTCAGATTTGGGACTGAGGACAGTTCCCACCAACTGAATATCTACCATGATGCATTTAGCGAGCACCTACTATGCACTAGGCCCAGTGCAGGCCACAAAGTGAAACAACTGATGCTTCACAAAGACCTTGTGTGGGAAGCTTTTGCCCATGCTGTTCCATCTGCCTAGAACACACTTCCCTCCCCTCACTGCCCAGTTAACTCCTTCTCTACCTTCACTTCTTAGATCAGCCACCGCCACCTCCTCCAGGAAGCCTTCCCTGACTTTTCCTCCCATCACTCACGCCCAGAGCCTCCCATTCTCTATTCCCCTCCCTTATCAATCTCCAGCAATTTCCATATTTTATTGCAAAAGTAGAAATAAAAAACCCTGCCACTTAAATTGGTCTGAATTTTCTTTTCATGGAGAATTTTTATTTGAAAAGGGTTTTTTTTTTTTTTTTTTTTTTTTTTTTTTGAGACAGAGTCTCACTCCATCACCCAGGCTGGAATGCAGTGACACAATCATGGCTCACCACAGCCTTGACCTCCTGGCCTCAAGCAATTCTCTTGCCTCAGCCTCCCGAGTAGCTGTGGCCACAGGTGTACACCATCATACTTGGCTAATTTTTAAAATTTTTTTCAGAGATGGGGTCTTGCTATGTTGCCCTGCCTGATCTGGAACTCCAGGCCCCAAGCGATCCTCCCACCTCAGCCTCCTGAGTAGCTGGGACAATAGGCAAATGCCATCACACCTGGCTAGTTTTTTGCAGAGATGGCGTCTTGCTATGTTGCCCCACCTGATCTGGAACTCCTGGACCCAAGCAATCCTCCCATTTCAGCCTTCTGAGGAGCTCGGAACACAGGCACACGCCATCACACCTAGCTAATTTTTTTTTTAACTTTTTGCAGAGATGGGGTCTTGCTATGCTGCCCTGCCTGATCTGGAACTCCTGGCCCCAAGCGATCCTCCCACCTCAGCCTCCTGCGTAGCTGGGACCACAGCTGTACGCCATTACACCTAGTTAATTTTTTAAAAAATTTGCACAGATCTGGGGCCGGGGTGGGGGGTGGTCCTATCTTATCCTGCCTAGTCTAGAGCTCCTGGCCTCAAGCGATCCCTCCCACCTCAGCCTCCTCAGTAGCTGGGGCCACAGGCACACACCATCACACCTGGCTAATTTTTAAAATTTTCTGTAGAGACAGGGTCTTGCTATACTACCCCACCTGATGTGGAACTCCTGGCCCCAAGCAATCCTCCAGCCTCGGCCTCCCAAAGTGCTGGGATTACAGATTAGCCACTGTGAGAAAGGGCTTTTTAATACTCTTTTGGACACAGGTTTTGAACACTTTTCTTTCCTGAACTACATACGTAAATGGAAAATGTAAGTCAAATAAATGGTTCATGTTTCCTGAAAAGTCCTGTGTCCCGAGTCCAGCTCTCCTGAATGCCTCTTGCCCCAGATTTGCTGATTGGGTTTTTTTTTCTTTCTTTCTTTTTTCTTTTGAGACGGAGTCTCGCTCTGTCACCGAGGCTGGAGTGTGGTGCTGTGATCTTGGCTCACCGCAACCTCGGCCTCCCGGGTTCAAGCAATTCTCCTGCCTGAGCCTTCCAAGTAGTTGGGACCACAGACTCACGCCACCACGCCCGGCTAATTTTTTTATTTTTAGTAGAGAAGAGTTTTCACCATGTTGGCCAGGCCGGTCTCCAACTCCTGACCTCAACTGATCCACCCGCCTTGGCCTCCCAAAGTGCTGGGATTACAGGCATGAGCCACCGCGCCTGGCCTAATTTTCGTATTTTTAATGGAGGCGGGGTTTCACCAGGTTGGCCAGGCTGGTCTCGAACTCCTGAGCTCAGGTGATCCACCTGCCTCAGTCTCCCAAAGTGCTGGGATTACAGGCATGAGCCACCACACCCGGCTGTGATTTGGGGTTCTGGCACCCGGCTGTGATTTGGGGTTCTGCACACATAGCACTGTTGCTTGCACTCCCAGGCACCGGGGACCTGGCTTCTCCCACGGGCGGCTGCCCCACTGCCCCGGGATTTTCCTCCTAGCCACGCTGAGACGTCTGTTCTGAGGGATCCACGAAGGATACCAACTATAGCTGGGGCTCCTGCTCACCCTCCCATGGCCCAAACATCAGGGTTTGTCAACTCACACTTTGAGGGCTGGAGTGGCCATGGCGGGACATTAGGAAGAACCACTCTACCCAAAACAATGCCTCATGCATAGCAGGCACTGAGAAAATATTACTTGGGTAAACAAATAAATAGCTGAGCCTGGCCAGGCGCAGTGGCTCATGCCTATAATCTCGGCACTTTGGGAGGGAGAGGTGGGTGGATTACTTGAGGTCAAGAGTTCGAGACCAGCCCGGCCAACATGGGGAAACCCCATCTCTAGTAAAAATACAAAAATTAGCCAGGCGTGGTGGCACGCGCCTGTAATCCCAACTACTCGGGAGGCTGAGGCAGGAGAATCACTTGAACCTGGGAGGTGGAGGTTGCAGTGAGTCGAGATTGTGCCACTGCACCCCAGACTGGGAGACAGAGCAAGACTGTCTCAAAAACAAAAAACACAAAACATTGCACAGGAAATGAGCAATCAGAGAGGTTGGGCAATGGCCGCAAAATCACACAGCTAGGAAAGAGGTGACGGCAGGATTTGAATCCAGGACTAACAGAATCCTAGATTTTCCACTGGTCCAGGTGGCTACTGACAGCACAAATTTTCCTAAAATAGGACAGGGCAGGGCAGGGCCCAAGCAAACATCTCAAATAAGAGAACCCAAACTCACATAGATCTTTAAAGTAAGAGGGTGGGGTGTGTGGCCCACCTAGAAATTAGTAAGGGGCCAGGTGCAGTGGTTCATGCCTGTAATCCCAGCACTGAGGCTGAGACAGGTGGATCACCTGCACTCAGGAGTTCGGGACCACCCTGGCCAACATGGTGAAACCCCGTCTCCATTAAAAATATGAAAATTAGGCCAGGCGCAGTGGCTCACGCCTGCAATCCCAGCACGTTGGGATGCCGAGGCGGGCGGACCATGAGGTCAGGAGATCGAGACCATCCTGCTTCACACGGTGAAACCCCGTCTCTACTAAAAATACAAAAAATTAGCTGGGCATGGTGGCAGGTGCCTGTAGTCCCAGCTACTCAGGAGGCTGAGGCAGGAGAGTGACGTGAACCTAGGAGGTGGAGGTTGCAGTGAGCCGAGATCACGCCACTGCACTCCAGCCTAGGCAACAGAGCGAGACTCCGTCTCCAAAAAAAAAAAAAATGAAAATTAGCCAAGTGTGGTGGCGCTTGCCTGTAGTCCCAGCTACTCTAGAGGCTGAGGCAGGAAAATCGCTTGAACCCAGGAGGCGGAGGTTGCAGTGAGCAAGATTGTGCCACTGCATTCCAGCCTGGGCAACAAGGTGAGACTGTCTCAAAAAAAAAAAAAAGAAGAAGAAGAAATGATGGAATGATGACCGTGAAATGCTGCGAGACGGAATGAGGACAGGACAGAACAGGCTGCACCCCAGCTAGGTCCAACAGCAAGGCAGTCTGGCCATGCTGTGTGACCCTGGGCAGGTGACTCGACTCTCTAGGCCTCAGTTTCCTCATCTGTAAAATGGGTATAAAAGTCTCTTCCTCCCCTCACATGGCTGCTGTGAAGACTGAATCGAAAGGCACACAGAGCTGTTCACACCACCTGAGAAGCAGCTGATAGACTGCAGATATTATCTTGGTGGTGGTTGTTATTATTTGTTTTTATTTTGAAAGACAGGGTCTCGCTCTGTCACCCAGACTGGAGTACAATGGTGAGATCACAGCTCACTGCAGCCTCAAACTCCTGGGCTCAAGTGATCCTCCCGTCTCAACCTCCCAAAGTGCTGGGATTACAGGCATGAGCCATTGGGCCCAGCTGATGTTATTTTTAAAAAAGTTTTTCCTGGCCTAGGCTGTCAGGGTGTCTAGCACCCTATTCCCCTTGAATTGCTAAGTGAGAGGCCCACACTGCAATCTCTTGATCTGTTTGTATTCTCCATTTAACAGACAGTGAGTCCCTGGAGGGCAAGGGCCTGGCCTGCCCTCCCCTCCATATTTGTCCCTGAAATTCTGAGTTCTGGAAACTTCTAATGGAAGGATCGAAGAGAAAGCATCAGCTCAGCCTGGCCACTAACCCCAGACATGGAAAGAAAAAAAGGAGGGATACTCTACCTTCAAAAGCCATCCCAAGGCCGGGCGCAGTGGCTCACATCTGGGATCCCAGCACTTTGGGAAGCCAAGGTGGGCAGATCACCCGAGGTCAGGAGCTCGAGACCAGCCTGACCAACATGGCAAAACCCATCACTACTAAAAATTAAAAAATTAGCCATGCGTGGTGGTGTGCGCCTGTAGTTCCAGCTACTTGGGAGGCTGAGGTAGAAGGATCACTTGAGCCCAGGAGGTGGAGGTTGCAGTGAGCTAAGATTGCACTGCACCACTGCAGTCCAGCCTGGACGACAGAGCCAGACCTTGTCTTTTTTTTTTTTTTTTTTTTAAAAAGCTATCCCAAATCCACTTGCTTCTTCTCCCCACCACCCACCTTTGCCTTCACCTGGTCCATCCCTGGCATCAACCATGAGTATCTGAGTCAGGTCCTGTCCCTCCTCTGCCCACAGCCCTCCATAGCTCCCACCTCTCTAGGGCTCAAAGCCCAGGGTTCTCCCTGCAGCCCACAAGACCCTACATGACCTATTGCCTCCTCTCCCCTCCCCATCACTCACTGGGCTCCAGCCACACAGGCCTCCTCGCTGTTCCTCCAACACGCCAGGCGTGGTCCTGCCCCGGGGCCTTGGCACACGCTGTGCCGTCTGCCTGGAATGCTCTTCCCCCACGTTATCTGCTTGGTTCCTCCTCACCTCCATCAGGGCTTTGCTCAAACATCACCTCCTCAATGAAGCCGTCCCTACAGCCCCATTAAAAATGACAACCCTCATGCCTCCCTCCCGAGTCCCCTTTGTTCCTTTACTGCTTTCTCTGATCACCCCTGACGTGCTATATATCGTATTTTGCCTATCATCTCTCTCCCTGATCCACAAAGCCATCCCCTTTATTGCTTCAGGGTCCCGGCACAGAGCCTGGTGGACAGGAGGCATCTGAGAAATCCCCCCAGATGATGGAAAGCGCAAAATCGGAGGCAGTGGCTGCGGCCAAAGCAGCCGCTGAGACCCCGGAGGCTGACGGCGGAAGCCTCCACGCCTACTCCAGCCGGGGCCTTCCTGTCCCTGTTGGCAAGCCAGGCCCCTGCCCTCTGCCATCCGGCGGCTCAACACCTGTTGTGACACAGCAGGAAGCAGGGGCGGCAGCCAGTGCCCGTGGCCTTGGCTGGACAGGTCCCTCCGGCAGGTTTAATCCCTGCCCCAGTGGGAGAGGGGGTACACGGACCTTGAAGCCAAACACACAGGCTGACACAAGCACCATCCACTTGGCTTATCCGGCTCCCGGGAAGTGGCCAGTGTAGGGACAAGCCTGATAAACATCTAGCAAATAAATGGATTTTTTCTTTTTTAATTGAGACGGAGTTCGCTCTGTCCCCCAGGCTGGAGTGCAGTGGTGTGATCTTGGCTCACTGCAAACTCTGCCTCAAACGATTCTCCTGCCTCAGCCTCCCAAGTAGCTGGGATTACAGGTGCACGCCACCATGCTGGGCTCTCATTTTTGTATCTTTTTAGTAAAGATGGGGTTTCGCCATGTTGATCAGGCTGGTCTTGAACTCCTGACCTCAGGCGATCTGCTCACCTCAGCCTCCCAAAGTGCTGGGATTACAGGCGTGAGCCACCACGTCCGGCCTGGATTTCTTTACAATCGTCACACTGTCCTCATGCTGAGCCCAGCCCTGATTTGAGGGCTTCACCCTATGAACTCACTAGATCCTCCCAAGGGAGCCTGGATGGTTGAGGTTATCATTATCCTCATTTTCCAGATGAGGAAACTGAGGCCCAGAGAGGTGGAGTCATTGCTACTAAGGGACAGAGCCATCTGGCCCTAGAATCTGGTTTTGGCCACTAATCAACACAGTCTCAACGAATGAGAAGAATAAAACAAGGGCCCGGTGCTGGCTCATGCCTGTAATCCCAGCACTGTGGGAGGCTGAGGCAGGAGGACCACTTCAGCCCAGGAGTTCGAGACCAGCCTGGACAACATAACAAGACCTTGTCTCTACAAAAAATTAAACAACAACAAAAAAATTAGCCAGGCATGGTGGTGTGCACCTATAGTCCCAGCTGCTCAGGGGGCTGAGGCAGGAGGGTCAACTGAGCCTGGGAGGTTGAGGCTGCAGTGAGCTATGATCATGCCACTGTACTCCAGCCTGGGCAACAGAGCAAGACCCTGTCTCAACAAAGAAAAATAAAAAGAATAAATCAAGGTAACAGGGAAATGTGAGTCACGTCTACGGAGCATTCCGACCTGGGGAAAAGGGCAGCTATGCTTCATCTCCCTGATGTCTCCCGACCCAGTGACATGGGCCCATTTTAGGGATGAGGAAAACTGAGTCCCTCAAGGGGGAAGCGATTTCCTGAAGGATCTACCGCCTAGAAGTGGCAGGCTCAGAGCTAATGCTAAATTCACTAAACCCTGACCCAGATCGACTACAGGGTCATTTTGTAGAGGCCTCAGTGCTGTAAGGAGTTTGGCTCGTGCCTCGTGAGTACCCACTGTGTGCCAGGCCCAGAGTGGAGAAGCCTCAGATGTCTCATTTCCAGACAGGTAAACTGAGACTGAGAAGTTCAGCTATTTGCCCAAGCCCTGAGATGTCCCCATTTTACAAACAGGTAAACTGAGGCTCAGAGAAAGAACCATTTATCCAAGCGCCAAAATTGTCTCCATTTCCAGATGGGTAAACTGAGGCTGGGAAGTTCAGCTATTTGCCCAAGCCCTGAGATGTCCTCATTTTACAAACAGGTAAACCGAGGCTTGGAGAAATAGAACCATTTATCCAAGCCCCAAAACTGTCTTCATTTCCACATAGGTAAGCTGAGGCTGAGTTCAGCTATTTGCCCAAACCCTGAGATGTCCCCATTTCACAAATAAACTGAGGCTCAGAGAAATTTAACCATTTATCCAAACCCTGAAATTGTCCCCATTTCCATTTGGGTAAACTGAGGCTCAGAGAGGTTTCAACAGTTGCCAGAGGTCACACAGCCGGCAAGAGGCAGCACTGAGCCTCAAATCTGAGGTTTCCTGACCTGACAGGGAACTGCAGGCCCCACGGTCCCCGCCTGAGCTGGCGTGAGCCTTTAGCGGAAGCCCTCCCCAGCTCTGCACAGCAGACACCCTCGCGGCCGTGCCTTGCTGGAGTATCCACAGTGACACACAGCCCTGTTGGTGGCTGGGCTTTTTCAGGCTTAAAAGGGAGGTAATATCACCTAACACCAGCTATATTTTTAAAAACCCCACAGCACTCAGGAGGCTGGCCCGTCAGCGCAGCACCACGTCCGTGGGCAGGCAGAGGCCCCGGAACTCGAGGACGTGGCTATTTTAAAGGGGCTATTTCTGGAGGCTGAGGTGAGAATGCGGGGGTGGGAGGAAGAAGCAGCCGCGGGGACCGACTCGAGCCCGCCCCGACTGGCCGACTCCCGGGTTGGGGGTGGTTAAAAGCAAGAACGTGGAAGCCACCTGCTCCCCGCAAGCACTGCCTCCAGCCCGCAGAAAGACCTCAGGCGGCCGGGCGCGGTGCTCATGCCTGTCATCCCAGCACTTTAGGAGGCTGAGGCGGGCGGATCACCTGAGGCAGGGAGTTCGAGACCAGCCTGACCAACATGGTGAAACCCTGCCTCTACTAAAAATACAAAATTAGCCGGGCATGGTGGCGCACGCCTATAATCCCAGCTATTCGAGAGGCTGAGGCAGGAGAATCGCTTGAACCCGGGAGGTGGAGGTTGCAGTGAGCCAAGATCGTACCATTGCACTCAAGCCTGGGCAACAAGAGCAAAACTCCGTCTCAAAAAAAAAAAAAAAAAAAAAGAAGAAGAAGAAGAAGAAAAAGAAAAAACAGACCTCATGCATTTCAGAGCCTCATTTCTTCCCCTGGGAAGAGCTGCTTAGGCAAAATGTATGCCTGGAGCCCTACTGTGTGCAGATGCTGCCATGGACATGGTAGAGGAGGAGAGAAGCAGATAATGAGTATGAAGCATTCGAGGCTGGGAGAGGTGGCTCACGCCTCTAATCCTGGCACTTTGGGAGGCCGAGGAGGGCAGATCATTTGAGGTCAGGAGTTTGAGACCAGCCTGACCAACATGGCAAAACCCCATTTCTACTAAAAATACAGAAAAATTAGCTGGGCATGGTGGCACATGCCTGTAATCCCAGCTACTCAGGAGGCTGAGGCAGGAGAATTGCTTCAATCCGGGAGGCAGAGGTTGCATGAACCAAGATCACACCACTGCACTCCCGCCTGGGTGACAGAGTGAAACTCCGTCTCAAAAAAACAAACAAAAAAGCATTCAACAGAGAAATGGTGGCAAGGGCTTTGAGTCAAAGAGAGCAGAAGGGGGAAGACAGGAAACTAGGTGGTGGGGCAGGCTGCAAGTTTAAATAGGGTGATCGGGGAGGCCTCATTTAAAAGTGACCTGAGACGTGAAGGAAGTCAGGGAGGTTGCTGTTTGGGGAAAAGCATTCCAGGCAGAGGGCACAGACTGTGCAAAGGCCCTGGGGCGGGACCATGCCTGGTGTATTGGAGGAACAGCGAGGAGGCCCGTGTGGCTGGAACAGAGTGAGGACGGGGAGAGAGGAAGGAGGGGACGGCAGGGAAGGGATGGAGCAGGTTGTGCAAGGCCTGGTGGGCTACAGGGAGGACTTGGGGTTTTCCCCCAAGAGGTGAGAGCCATAGAGGGCTATAGGCAGAGGAGGGATGGGACCTGACTCAAGAACTGAAAGATGTCATTGTGGGAAGACAGACTGTGGGAATGAGGGCTGGGGTCACACCAGAGCAGAGGTGACCGTGTTGGTCCAGGTGATGATGGGAGCTGGACCAGGTGGAGGCAGAGGATAGAACAAAAATGAAAAAATGAAGGCCACGTGCAGTGGCTCATGCCTGTAATACCAGCACTTTGGGAGGCCAAGGTGGGTGGAATGCTTAAGCTCAGAAGTTCAAAACCAGCCTGGCCAACATGGTGAAACCCCATCTCTACAAAAAATACAAAAATCAGCCAGCATGGTGGCACGTGCCTGTCATTCCAGCTACTCGGGAGGCTGAGGCAGGAGAATCGCTTGAACCTGAGACAGAGGCTGTGGTGAGCCAAGATTATGCCACTGCACTCCAGCCTGGGAGACAGAGCGAAACCCTGCCTCAAAAAAAAAAAAAAAAAAAAAAAAAGAAAGAAAAAAAGGGAAAGCAAGCTGGCCTGTGTACAGTACTCAGCGCACAGTCCGGCACACAGCAAGTGCTCAGCATACATTGGCTTGTATTATTTTTAGGGTCTTAGGCTCTGTACTCTGAACCTGAAACCCGCTTCCCCTGGCAGGACCCAGGAGAAGACAGTGACCCCTGTGCCTGGGAGCATTTTGTGTATGGAAGGGGACACAGTTTTCACTCTCATGTCCCTATTGGCCTGTCCCAGGCTGGCGGCAGCTGATCAGACCAGGGCCAGATCTGATGGTTGCAATGGAGGAGGAGAGGAGAAGGAGGTAGTGACCCATGGGTTAAAGGGGGGAGGCCCCCAGGTGTGTCAGGATGCAGCCCTGCCACAAAGCGTGGGGTCAGCCCAATCCTAACTCAACTCTACTTGCTGTGTGACCCTGCACAAGTCACATCCCCTCTCTGAGCCTCGGTTTCCTTATCTGCGAAAGTGGGGCAGTGGTTGCAGGCTTCTCACAGGGCTGTGCAGATTCAACAGGACCACGAGGCACTCAGCTAGAGGTGGGATCCGTGTCAGCACCCATCATGCTTGGTCGTTCACCATCATCCCCATCCTCACACTGTTTGCAAAACTTCGAGTCTGGGGTCTCTGGAGCACAGGGGCAAGAAGAGCCACATCCCCAGGAGAGCCACATCCCCAGAAGGTGTCCCAAGGTTCATGTTCTGCCACCGTTTGGATCCAGTTGAATTGCAAATGCCAGAAAAAGCACAAATAAGGAATGATTTCTCTTTTCACCTAAGGGAAGCTGCCAGGTTGGCCATTCAGGGTTATTTTCCCCTCCCCGACAATCACTGGGGCCCAGGCCCCTTCCACCTCTTTGATCCCCCATTCTTATCTATGACACCTGCCTCATGGTCCAAAATGGCTGCCTGAGCACCTGCCATCATCTCCATATTCCAGCTGACAGGTAGAGAGGAGCATGTGCCACTTCTCTTGAAAGGCATTTCCAGAAAATCCTGCTTATTTACGCCATGGGTCAGCATTGAATCATATGGCACAGACAGCTGCAAGGTGCACTGAGAAATGTTTTCTTTCCCCCAGGTGGCCATGTGCCCAGATAAAAATTGTAAAGTTCAACTGCTACGGAGTCGGGGGATATGATGGGATATTGGGAGATCCCGCCACAATATCTCATGTGGGCCATGGGGCCAGGTCTTGGGTCTCAAACCAGCGCATCTGAGACATTTTAACCTGGAAAGAGAAGAGAGACGTCATCGGGGCCGGCCCCCTGCCTCCACACCACGACGGTTTCACTCATTCCAACATCCACCTCCCAAAAGACTCCAAGGTCAGAAGCAGTGGCCACGACCCAAGCACAGGCTCTGCCCAAGGCGTCCCCAAGGACAGGCCCCCACCGGCAATCTGTGCTCCCCAAGCACTGGGGCTGAGCCACCAAGCACCCCCATTCAGCCTCCTTCCTGCCTGCCGAGGACACCGGCCAATTCATCTCCTTCTCCTCAGTAAACAACTGTCAGGGAAAATAAATAGTTTTTAATAGGCTCATTAATTGAATTCAGGAAGAAATCACCTTCTCCCCAGGCCATGGGGAAGCAACGCTCAGTTCAAGAAATTCAGGCCGAAGGCAGAAGGGGCTCAGCCTCCCAGAAAGTCCAGGAGATGCCCCAAACAGTTGTAGTCACATTCAATAACACTGGGACAGGCATGGTGGCTCATGCCTGTAATCCCAGCACCTGGGGAGGCTGGGGCAGGCAGATCACTTGAGGTCAGGAGTTCGAAACCAGCCTGGCCAACATGGTGAAACGCTGTCACTACCAAAAATACAAAAATTAGCCGTATGTGGTGACACACGCCTGTAATCCCAGCATCTCGGGAGGCTGAGGCAGGAGAATCGCTTGAACCCGGGAGGTGGGGGTTGCAGTGAGCCGAGATCGGGCCATTGCACTCCAGCCTGGGCGACAGAGTGAGACTCCATCTCAAGAAAACAAAACAAAATACTGACTCAACCAGCAAGGGGGTCATTCTGTGCTGGGCTTAAGGCTAAAAGCCTCAGGTGGGTGCTAGGATGTCTTAAACACCTCAGGGGTGCTCAGGCTTCAGCTTTCAGCCTGGAACAGACAGAGGCAAAAGCAGCAAGAATTTAATGCCCTTGTTTTGCTCTCACCACATTTATTTTTAAGGTTGTACCTTCAAGGACATACCAGGTTTCCGTTCACAAGAGCAAGACAAAGTTTTCTCTTTTACGTTTTAAAAGAGAATGGGTTTAAACAAAACGTGTCAAGTACTGGCTGGGCACGGTGGCTCGTGCCTGTAATCCCAGCGCTTTGCGAGGCTGAGGCGGGAGGATCGCCTGAGCCCAGGAGCTTGGGGCTGCAGTGAGCTATGATCGTGCCACTGCACTCCAGCCTGGGTGACAGAGTGAGATGCTGTCAAAAGAAAAAGAAAGAAAAAAAAAAGAAACGAAGAAAAGAAAGGAAGAGAAGAGAAAGAGAAAATGAGGGAGAAGGAAGGAGAAAGAAGGGAAGAGAAGGAAGGAAGGAGGGAGGGAGGGAGGGAGGATAGAAGTAAAGAAAGAACAAGAGAGAAAGAAAGAAAAAGGAAGGAAGGAAGGAAAGAAGGAATGAAGCAAGCAAGCTAGCTAGTCCTTAGGCGATGGGGCAGCAAAACACCAGATATAGAGTCCAAAGACCCTGCAGAGTGACCTCGGCACAGACCTAGAGAGTCACAACTGACCCTCCACACCTGCTGAGGGTTCTGTCCACATTGACGTGACTCAGTTTCCCCACTGAGGCTGAGGTGGTCCAAGGGTAGCCCCGCTCGCACTCCCAGCCCAGCTCCTGCCAGCGTGGCAGCCTGCCCTGCGACTCGGTCTGCGCAGGGCTTGCCGTAGGTGCCCGCCAATCTGCTCTCCGCACTGCAGTGGGCACACTCCAAGCGCAACTCAATACCCCGGACACAGCGACTCCCCAGCGCCCCCAAGCCCCATATGCAGGTCCTGCGACCTTGCTTCCAGAGGGCACTGATCATCAAGCTGTATTTTATGATATCTTAGCCAGTTTGGGGCTTACTCCAAGCGTGTTTAGCATAGATCCTTCCAATACCAAGACCCTTCTACCCAAGAGACAGCCTCACCCCCATTTTGCAGACGAGAAAACTGAGGCCCTGGAGGGTGAAACCACTGCCCCAGGGTCACACTGAACAAGCAGCTCAGACATGATTCAAACTTGCACCATTCAAATGCTAAACCCGATCCCCCAAAGATCCCCTGGCCCATTCCTGGTGAGCTCCTCAGTAACTTCTCCACCTGTCTGGCCAGACACACAGGGTGCCCAACATCCATCAGGCCTGGCTCAGTTCTTTTTGTTTTTAGAGACAGGGTCTCGCTCTGTTACCCAGAGTGCAATGGGGCATGATCATAGCTCACTGCAGCCTCAAACTCCTGGGCTCAAGCAATCCTCCCACCTCAGCCTCCTGAGTAGCTGGGATTACAGGTGCACACCACCACACCCGGCTAATTTTTTTACTTTTTATAGAGATGGGGTCTTCCTATGTTGCCCAGGTTGGACTCGATCTCCTAGCCTCAAGCAATCCTCCCATCTCAGCCTCCCAAAGTATTGGGATTACAGCCATGAGTCACCATGCCCGGGTACTGGTTGACTCTTAAAATCATCTGGCCCAACCACTGTACACTTTCTGGGGGTCCCCAGACCCTTTGGGCCTCTCACCTTCTCCTCAGGAGACAAGAAATCTCACAGACTGTTTTAGAGTTCCCTGACCTCCTGACACTGGTCCTCAGACCCCTGGCTTGAAGCCAATTACTCAGAGACATCACCCTCAAAGCCATTCCTTACCACTTCTTTTGTTTTTTTTTGTTTTTGTTTTGAGACAGAGTCTCACTCTATTGCCCAGGCTGGAGTGCAATGGCACAATCTTGGCTCACTGCAACCTCTGCCTCCCGGGTTCAAGCGATTCTCCTGACTTAACCTCCTGAGTAGCTGGGATTACTGGCACACACCACCACGGCCAGCTGTATTTTTAGTAGAGACTGGGTTTCACCATGTTGGCCAGGTTGGTCTCAAACTCCTGACCTCAGGTGATCCACCAGTCTCGGCCTCCCAAAGCGCTGGGATTACAGGCGTGCACCACCACAGCTGGCTGTATTTTTAGTAGAAAAGGGGTTTCACCATGTTGCTCAGGCTGGTCTCGAACTCCTGACCTCAGGTGATCCACCTGCCTCAGCCTCCCAAAGTGTTGGGATTATAGGCGTGAACCACCGCGCCCGGCCCTTACCACTTCTTGCCAGACACTACGGATATTCATCAGCTCAGAGAGGGTGAGCAAGTAGCTGAGAGCACACAGCATTTCCGCTGGGAACCCAGTCTCCTGGCCTCCCTGCCCAAGGGCAGAGTGAGCTGAGCTTTAATCCCAGCACTTTGGGAGGCTGAGACAGGTGGATCACCTGAGGACAGGAGTTCAAGACCAGCCTGGCCAACATGGTGAAACCCAGTCTCTACTAAAAATACAGCCAGCCATGGTGGTGCGTGCCAGTAATCCCAGCTACTCAGGAGGTTGAGGTCACTGTGGCTGCCTCTCCCTGCAACATCACCCACTCCGAGTACTCTCAGAGCAGGACCAGGGGGCTCTTGCTGTGAGCTGCCGAGGCAGGGCTTTCCCCATCATTACCTGCCTGATCAAGGTCATTAGACGTGGCAATGCTGGTACACGCAGGCCAGGCGGTAGCTCCCAGGAGCCAGACGGGCTGATCTGGAGGGGCGGGTGAGGTGTGGCGGAGCTTAGGTCCTAAAGGGGTTGCAGACAGAGCGATATCGTGAGGGAAAACAAAACGGGGTGCGGGAGGCAATGGCGGGGTAGGGGTGGCCTGGCCAGAAACAGAGCTCCCGGCAGAGCAAGGACAAAGGCCTGGAGGTGGAAACAGGAGAAGGATAGGTCTACATGGAGTGGAACGGACAAAGGGGAGGGGAAGAGGAGGAGAGATGAGGCCAGCGGCCCACAGAGAGGAGTCTGAGGGTGCCATCCAGAGAGGGAAAGTGACTTCCCCGAAGTCACACAGCTCGTAAGGGGCAAAAACACATCCTGGCCGATAACATCTTTGCTCCCAGCCACTGTGGGAAGTGGCCTCTGGCTACATCGTAGCTAACAATCCAGCTACAGAATTGCAGCCCCCAGTGCAAAATGAAACCGTGGGGTTTTCCTTGTTTAAAAATTATTAAGGCCGGGCACAGTGGCTCACGCCTGGAATCCTAGCACTTTGGGAGGCTGAGGCGGGCAGATCACGAGGTCAGGAGATCAAGACCATCCTGGCTAACACAGTGAAACTCTGTCTCTACTAAAAATACAAAAAATTAGCCGGGTGTAATAGTGGGCGCCTGTAGTCCCAGCTATTGGGGAAGCTGAGGCAGGAGAATGGCGTGAACCCGGGAGGTGGAGCTGGCAGTGAGCTGAGATCATGCCACTGCACTCCAGCCTGGGCAACAGAGCAACACTCCATCTCCTAAAAAAAAAAAAAAATTAAGAATTTCCAGGTCGGGCATGGTGGCTCACGCCTGGGATCCCAGCACTTTGAGAGGCCGAGGTGTGTGGATCACCTGATCTCAGGAGTTCAACACCAGTCTGGCCAACATGCTGAAACTCTGTCTCTACCAAAAATACAAAAACTAGCCGCCGAGCATGGTGGCACATGCCTATAATCCCAGCTACCTGGAAGGCTGAGGCAGAATCTCTTGACCCCAGGAGGTGGAAGTTGCCGTGAGCCGAGATCACGCCATTGCACTCCAGCCTGGGTGACAGAGCAAGACTCTGTCTCAAAAAAAAAAAAAAAAAAAATTATTAAGAATTTCCAGACGGCATCAACAGAGCATCCATCTAAATGCAGCCCCTTCTGATCGTGGGCCCCCGAGTGACTGCAGGGCCCCCGTGAAGCTGGGCCTGGGTGCAGCCTCCAGGAGTGTAGAAACGACATCCTGTCCAGAAACAACGCCTCTGTAAACCTGAGAAAGGGCTTGTCATTCCCAGTTCTCACCCTTCCTTTGTGCCTCAGTTTCCCCATCCGCAAGACAAGGGGACACCTGCCACCTCTCAGGGCAGTTCTGAGGAGGAAATGAGAAAACACAGGGCCAGGCACACTGGTACTGGTGGCGGAGCATTAGCGGCCCCCACCACGGGGGACTTTCCGCCCGCTTGGGTTAGTTCTCCTCTGTTGCAGCTGTTTGGAGAATGTGGGTTTGAGGTTCCAACCTCATCACCCCTAACGGTTCACGAAGCTGTGGGGAGAGAGGGTAGACTCATCCAGCTCCTCCTGTGCACCTTGGGCTCCTGGCCCCGTTATCAATGTGACACCACTGAATTCCCAGTGATGCAGCAGGCAAGACTCGTCCCCATTTCACAGATGAGAAAACTGAGGCTCAGGGGAAGGAAATAATGAGGTCATCTCACACAGCCAGGGAGGGTCTTTGTCAGGATCCGAACCTGGGGCGTTCAGACCCCTAATGCCCTTCCCCAGCAGGGCCGGAGTCTGGGCTCCCAGGGCCAGATGGGGCCAAGAGAAAAAGTCCTGGGACCTGGCAGCCTCTCTGCACCCTGCTGATATCTGGGAGTTGAAGCCAGCACTGTTGCCGGAAACCCCGGCAGTTCACACTCTCTAGAATTCATCCGACAGGGGCAATTACCCACTTCCAATAATCAATGGGGCAGTGGAACCAGGACAGATGTGCAGAGGGAACCCATTAGCAATCTAAGCGTTCTGGCCCCGCGAGACGTCAGGGAGCGTGTTGGGTGGACGCTCAGGGACAAAGGCACCATCTGCCTGATTTCTCTCGCTGTCTTGGGTCTTCAGCATAAGTCAGGGCTTCTTTTTTTAAAAAAAAAAAAAAAAAAAAAAGAGAAGGCCTTGCTCTGTTGCCCAGGCTGGAGTGGAGTGATGCAATCATAGCTCACTGCAGCCTCAAACTCTTAGGCTCAAGCAATCCTCCCACCTCAGCCTCCCCAGTAGCTGGGACCGTACGTGTGCACCCCAACCCTCGGCTGATTTTTTTTTGTTTTTTGTAGAGATGAGGTCTCACTGTGTTGCCCAGTCTGATCTTGAACTCCTAGGCTCAAGCAATCCTCCCGCTTTAACCTCCCAAAGTGTTGGGATTATGGACGTGAGCCACCATGCCTGGCAAAATCAGGGTTTCTAAACCTCAGCACAGTGTACATGAGGGTGGGGTCATTATCTGGGATGGGGTCATCCTGGCCATTACACAGAGTTGAGCAGCATCTCTGGCTTCCACCTACTCCATACCAGCAGCACCCCCCTGGACATGACACCCAAAAATGTCCCCAGACGTTGCCAAGTGTGCCCAGGGGAGCAAAAGTGACCCCGGCTGAGAACCACAGCAGTACACTCAACGAGTAATACTGGTAACCCGGGTGCTCCAGCCCCAAGAGCAAACGACTGCGCTACAGAAAGAACGAGGGATGGAGAAGCAGGTCCTGCCGCCAGTAGATAATTCGCAGCCCTGCCCCGCGGGACAGCCGGCTTCCTTCTACGCAGTATTTAATTTAAGTCAAGTTTATCATTATGACCAATATTAATATAATCAGAGCCAACGTTTATCGAGCGCGGACGCTGGCCCAGGCCCTGTTCTCAGCACTCTCTGTAAGCTATCACACTGGTGCCTCTAAAGAACCGCAGAGGTGGCTGGGAGTCTTAAACCCATTTCACAGGCCTGGAAACTGAGGCCCGCGGACGGCAATGGAGGTGTCAGAAGTCACGCAACTTTTAATTGTTGGGGAAGGGGTCAAAGTCCACGGTGGCCCTGGATTTCTGTACTGTGCCATGTTAAGATGTTTCAACCCAAGGATGTTAAAATAGGGCAATTTTTTTTTTTTTTTAGACAGAGTCTCACTCTATCGCCCAGGCTGGAGTGCAAGTGGCATGATCTCAGCTCACTGCAACCTCCGCCTCCCAGGTTCAAGCGATTCTCCTGTCTCAGCCTCCCAAGTAGCTGCGATTACAGGTATGCACCACCATGCCCAGATTATTTTTGTATTTTTAGTAGAGGCGGGGTTTCACCATGTTGGCCAGGCTGGTCTCAAACTTCTGACCTTAGGTGATCTGCCTGCCTTGGTCTCCCAAAGTGCTGGGATTACAGGCGTGAGCCATCATGCCCAGCCAAAATTGGGCAATTTTACTTAAAATCTAGATTTCTGCTTTTCCTTGGAAAAACCAACAGATCTGGCCCTGGAGCCATTCAGGGCTTCCTTGGAGGTTGAAGAAGCCTTTTTGGCCCATACGACCCGCTGGAGTGGAGACTCCAGCCCTGACAGGCGTTATGGCTTGAGAATCACACACCCGCCATGGCTTCCTGCCTCGGTTTCTCCCTTTGGACTGGTGAAAGGGGTCCCTGTCCATCCTCCTGCGCAAGGCCCAGCAGCAGGCAGGCAGGCATGGCTGTGTGGTCTTGGGCAAGTTGCTCTCCCTCTCTGGGCCTTGGCCTGACAGATGTTCCAAGAAGCATTCCCAACATTCCAGGTTTTCTGTTGATCCTGATGTTGGCAGCCCAGCTCTGGGGGCTTTCAGAGAACTCTGACCGCACATCTAAAAAATGCAATTTGTTAGACGCGGTGGCTCACGCCTGTAATCCCGGCACTTTGGGAGGCCAAGGCAGGCGGATCACTTGATGTCAGGAGTTTGAGACCAGCCTGGCCAATGGGGTAAAACCCCATCTCTACCAAAAATACAGAAATTAGCCAGATGTGGTGGCGGGTGCCTGTAATCCCAGCTACTCGGGAGGCTGAGGCAGGAGAACCACTTGAACCCGGGAGGCGGAGATTGCAGTGAGCTGAGATCACGCCGTTGCACTCCAGCCTGGCGACAGAGCAAGACTGTCTCAAATAAATAAAATAAAATAAAAAATAAATAAAAAATGCCAATTCGCCAGGTGTGGTGGCTCACACCTGGAATCCCAGCATTTTCCGAGGCCAAGGCAGGCAGATAGCTTGAACCCAGGAGTTTGAGACCAGCCTGAGCAATATGGTGAAACCCATCTCTACAAAAAAAAAATAAATAAATAATAATAATAATAATAATAATAATACAAAAGTCAGCTGGGCGTGCTGGTGGATGCCTATAGTCCCCAGCTACTTGGGAGGCTGAGGTGGGAGGATTGCTTGAGCCCAGGAGTTAAGACACTGCAGTGAGCCATTATGGCATCACTGCACTCCAGCCTGAGCAACAGTGTGAGTCCTGTCACACACACACACACACACACACAATGCGATTCGAACTCCTTGGGGTGGGGGGTCCTGTGTGGTCTTCCCCAGCTAAAGTCAACTCTTCTCTTCTTGTTTCCGCCCCCCTCACCTCCAGCCACAAAGCAGCAGGTGCCACTCTCAGTCTCTGTCCTTGGTGCCCCCCACACCAGTTCATCTGTCTCCACTTATGATAGAGGCAATGTCAAAGCACCCATTTTACAGATCAGGAAACTGAGGCACAGAACAGCTTTATTACTAGCCCAAGCCCCACAGCTGCTTAGATTCTGGCTTCCAAGTTCCTTAGCAGCAGGTTTCCAGCAATCCTGATGGAATGAATGAATTAATGAACTGGTGAATATTCGAATGAATGCATGCATGCTCGCTCGCACACCATGCTTGTCAACCGATCACTTTCCTGAGTGCCCATCAAATGACTGCTGTTAAACCCCCAAATCCCCCCCAAACTCCCCCCTTTGGTGATCACTCGGGCCCACCAGGGGCTCTGGAAGTTGGGAGCCACATGTGGAGTCCCTGGAGTGCCTGGAGCTCCCAAGGCAGCCACGTGTCCTCCCTGTCCACCATCCAGGCCCCCTGTGGTTCAGCTCCCGCCAGTCGCCCAGTCCTGCCGCAGAAGTGGGGCGGCCTTGATTAAGCAGCCAGTGAAGGGGAACGCCCCAGTTTGCAGTGGCTGAGTCATCCTGACATCTCCCTGGTGCTGGACCCCATCGGGGGGCTGAGGGCGGGGTAGCGGGGCGCGGGTGGACACTGGAGAGCCCCTCTTGGGCAGGTCCTTCAACATATCAGTGTAGCTCCCATGTTGTCAAAAATAATAACAAAAACAGAATAGAGGTGGCAGCTACATTCTAGGTGCCGTTCTGAATCTGTGCTTACACACGTTAACTCATTTCTTCCTCCTAACAATCCCTCAAGGTGGGCACTGTTACTCTTCTCCATAGACAGATGAGGAAGACGGAAGCACAGAGAGGTTGAGCAACTTGCCCCAGGTCACACAGCCAACAAGTCGGCAGAGCCGGGATTTGAACCCCATGCAGCCTCAGTCCAGCATCCTTGCTCTTAACCTCTGAGAAAAGGCAGTCAAGAGCCCTGGGGTGTGTGTGTGCGGGGGGTGTCTCTGTAGCGATTCAGGTGGCCCCCGCAGCAGATGGACTGCTGTCCAAACAAACATCCCTGACAATCGGGCAGAGCTCCTTCCAGGCGTTAGGAATCCAGGTTGTGGCAGCCAACAGCTTGTGGGCTGTGTGAAGTGACCTCAGGCCAGTGAAGGCCCCTCCCTGTGCCTCAGTTTCCCTCTCTGCAAAATAGGGCTCAGATCACAGCAACTCCGCTGACAGGGGACGGCAGGTTGGAGGAGACAAGGATGCTACTGACTTGCTTACTTAGCAGAGGGCCTGGCACGGGGCGCCAACTCTAAATAGTCGGAGCAGCTGTTATTATCCCCCCGACATCCCCTCATTTGCTGATCACGGGGGTTAATTATAAGCGGCATTAAATTATACACACACAGACGCGCCAACCTCGCTTCCCCAGAACCCCTGAATTTCCGCAAACTCTCAATTACCCACGTGACAGCGCGACGATGGGCCATCCTCCCAGCCTCTCTCCCCACAGCCTGCCTCATCCGAGGGTCCCAGGCTTCCAGAGCCATGGCTTCTCCGCCCGCCGGATACCCCTCTGGGTGTCCAGGAGCGGAAGGAAGGATGCATGCGACTGACTGCGGACGCGTTGAGAGCCAGGGGAGGCATGTTTACCCACAGCATCTCATGTCAAGGCTCGCCGCGACGCAGACTGCGACTGTACTGATCTTAGAGATGAGAGAACACAGAGAGGTCAGGCAACCCGCCCTAGTTTGCACAGCTCAAGTGAGGAGGGTGGCTCAAGTCAGGGCTCTGACCTGGAACCCAGAGGGGTAACCTCATTCTGTAAGTGAGGAAGCTCCTGCACGGAGAACTGAAAGGGAAGAGGGGAAGTCATCCAGGAAGGAAGGAAGGCAGGCAGGCAGGTGAGATCTGGGAGAAAAAGGGGAATTTTCAGTTCTCCAGGTAGGGGGAACAGGAGACAGCTGGCCCTTCCTATAAGGGGCTTATGGCAAAGATCAAAAACAACTTAAAAGGAGCAAGGCCACCCAGATAACATAAAGAGTACGAGATGAAATCTGTCCCCATGAAACGGGACATTTGTGATCCAGCCCCAGTTACGGCGATGGGGACCGGAGGAGGGAGTCCCCATGATCCAAAAATCCAGGCTCTGAACCCCCAACCAGGGTGGGATCCGCGGGAATCAGAAGGAAACAGGAAGCCGCACAGAAACCTGGGTTTATTTTCAGATGTGGAATATCCCCTCGGCCTCTGCGGGGCGCAGAGGGTGCCTTGATTCCGGGGAACAGAAGAGGGGATTCCACGGCTAGCCCAGAATAGCACCAGCCCCAAGGTCCAGTCTGGCCAGGCCACGATGTTGGGGGACCGGCAGCTCCATGGAGGAGGAGGAGGAGGAAAAAAAAAAAAGAGAGAGACAAAAATAAAGCGATGTGAAAGTGGAGGGCCTGTCCGTGAATCACTCCTACCCGTTAATTTTCGCCTTTGGAGAAGTGTAAGCCAATTGATTTTTCAAATTCCCCACACACAACCCCCTCCCCAGCGCTTCTCAAATATCAGCCAGAGACAAGACAGAAATGGTACGTCGGGTTTTTTTTTTTCTTCCCTTTTTGGTTGAGAGTCTTTTCTTTCCTTAAAGGAAAAGGGGGGGGGGCGGGGGGGAAACCACACACTCCACACTCTTGAACCTCAGGGTTAGAGAGACCCAGGTGTCACCTGTTTCCTAGACATTTTGGGGCTGCCACTCTCTGCGTGAGACAACAGCCACCCTTTCCCTCGATCACATCCCCTACACTTCACTTCCTCTCTCCGTGTCCCCCTTCCTCAATTCAGAATGTCACCTGGTGATAAGATGACATGCATTTGAGCCTCAATCCCCTTCCAGCATCCCCTCTCCTCTGCCCCGCAAGCCACAAGCTGGCAGCTTTCCGATTCCAGAGCAAGGTAAGGTGTGAAAATGACAAAATTCACAGTTTAAAAAGCCCTTGAAACCTTCAAGCCCCGGATACGTGCCTTGGTCCGTGAATCCATGGTGAATTTTTGGTTTTTTTGTTTTGTTTTGTATCAGCTTGCCACACGAATCCTGCGAGGAACAGCAGTTATGTCTTAATCTCCTCTCCTCCTGTCCCCACCGGAGGCTGAGCCACTCTGCCTGGTGAGCGGTTGGAGGGTGGGGCGGCGGCGGGTGGTGGGGGGGAGGGTCTCTCTTCAAATTCCCCTCCCTGGGCATCTTTTGCCGCAGGGAAGGACGGAGGAAGGGCAACCTGCACAGGCTTTGCCCGAGAAGGGTTCTCATCCTCCTTGCAAATTCTAAGAGGACACCCACCCATTGGAAGGTGAGCCAGGAGCCTACCCTGGATGCAGAGGAGAGCTGGGGAGTGCCCCTTTCTGGGACCCCTGTCTCCTTCCAGAAAGTACGAGACCCTCCCAGAAGGGGGCTACAGCGGTCAGCACTGCGCCCGCCAAACCTAAAGCTCATCTCAAGATCTTCCCGTGGCTCCGACCGACTCTGCAAATGGAGCTTAATGGGTAGCAGGGGGAAGGAATTGCTCTCAGCCGAAAAACATTAAGCTTTGTCAATTATCCCCCAAACCCGCTGGGTTTATAAATATCCCTTTTTATTTTTAGGGTTTTCCCTCCCGCTCGCCCCCATCCCGAACTCTCTCCACGCCCCGCTTCTTCCCCCACGCACACGGCGGCTGCACCGTCACAGAAAGCAGGTGAACGCGGGGCCACGGGGCGCTCGGGTAGAAATGCCACGTCGCACCACCAAGTCACACCGTCCCTGCCCGTCCCTCTCCGGCCATCCCACTAACTATTGTATTGGGGCCATGCAGCCGCTGGAATAATCAGCGAAGCCACAGGTCTCCCCATCTTGGCAAGTGGAGGTGTGCGCTGCCCTCAGACATCTGTGAACCGCTGTTCAACGCCAACCCCGAAGGCAGAAGGGGAAACCAAGTCACCTCCCAGAAAGACGTTTGATGAGCAGAGATAGATTTGCCTCCAGACTGGTACCAGGTCTGGGGAAACCCAGGCAGAGCCCCAGGCTCTATGCGACCCAAAGAAGAAAAAAATGGGTGCACAGTGATGGCTCCAGGTCTCCCCACCCAGATGCTACCACGAAATCCCTGGCATCCACGAAGCTTCCCCCTGTTCCATGGTGGAAATTGGGGGAAAATGGACTTGTGTCTCCAAGCAGGGTCCATGGACACTGGACGATGCCTGAAATCCCCTGGGAGGCAGGGAAAAAAGGCGCACTGAACGCTCAACCGGGGTATAAGGAGTGATTTTTTTTTCTCTGCTGGCAGCAGGCAGGAACCTGGGGTTTGAATGTCCCCTTCTCTGTCGCCACCTCACGCAGACTTCAGAGGCTCTCAAGGTTTCCTGGAGAGGGGGAAATCGTCCCCGGAGCTGACCTGCCAACCAGTAGCACCCTCCAGCGCCTCAGCCGGGCCACGCCAAAATGACCTGTCACCCATCTCCCGCGGGGAGTGGGGAGCGGGCCAGTCCACCGCCTCTTGGGACGGCATCTCTGGACGGCCACTGACAGTACCAGTCTCTGTCACCCCCTGGGGGGTTAGGGGCAATGTCATCGGCCAGGGTGGCAGAAATAGAAAAGTGCGTGAGCTCACCAGGCAGCCTGGGTCTCCTGCGACGTTTTGTTTGCCTGAGCCCAATTAGAACAACTCTCAGGATGATGGAGTATGGCGGGCGGTGGCCCCCAGGGGGCTGGGAGGCCTAGCCCCCATGCAGAAGTGCACCGTCATGATGAGGGTGTCCCCCGGGCCTGGGGAACAGGGCAGGACCCTGCTTCCCGGAGGGAAATAATGAAGACTCCGCCAGCCTGCCAGCCAGAAAGAGATGCCCCACGGAAGGCTTTGTGGAGGGCAGCGGGGGGGTAGGGGAGGGATGCCCAGGTGGGGACTCAGTCAGGCCCAAGCTGGGGGGCTGTGGGATTTGAGGGCGGGAAGCAGCCGCCCCCAGCCCCAGCTGCCTGCCTTCCACCGCCAAAATATCAGCTGGCAAAGAAAGAAGAGCAGAGGGACAGAAGGCAGGCGCGATTGGCAGGGGGAGGGGGGCACAAAGGAAGGGACCCTGGGAGGGGGAGGGGACTTATGCAAATGGCAGATTCGACCAAGTCCCTGGGCCATTAATAAACGCTCCAGCAGCTGCCGCTGGTATCGCAGGAGCAGAGGAGCGGGATGGCTTCCTTCTCCCGGGCGAAAGGCGGCAGAAAGAGGGAAGAAGGGCGCCCCAGACAAAGAGGCGCCGTCACCCTCTGCACCCCAAGGACAGCAGCGATAGGGGGCCACCCAGAGGAGGCCAGAATCCCAGCAGCCAAAGTCCGGGTGGTGGCGGACGGGAGCCCGGAGCGTGTGGGTCCCTGTCCTTGGGACCCTAGGGGTCTCTTCCTGCCTCCTCCGGCTTCTAGGTATCATCCCTGCTGCTCAGCCGGGACTCCGACACCTCGGACACCCGCTTCACTAGCCGCGGCTGCCGGGATGTGTTTTTAGGGTCTCGGCCAGAGGCAGGAGGACCCCATGCTCAGAAGGGGGCTCCCCTAGATTGTGACGGGGGGGGACAGGGGAATCCCAGCTGAGCCCAGAAGGGGGAGGCAAGGCACCCCCAATGAGGCTCTGGGAGGTTTGTTAATTTGGGGGAATGAGGTCCCAGGAGGTGGCTGGATTTGAGGAAGGGTTGCAGAGGAAGGGGCGTTCTTGGAAGCTGCATATTTAGGGAGACGAGAAGACGATTTGAGACTGGGGAAAGAGGGTCAACCGAAGAAGGAGGTCCCAGATTTGGGGCGGGGGGTGTGGCTGAAAAAAAGATTCCCAGTTTGTGGGAAAGGTTCCCTGATTTGAGGATTCTGGAGAGAAAGCGGCCGAAGGGGAGTTCCCCAATTTGGGAAGGGGGGGAATTGGTGGGAAATGTCCAGGATTTGTAGGGGGAGGTCCGAAGGGGAGGATCTTAATTTTAGGAGAGATTCCCATAAAGAGAGGTGAACTTGGCCGCAACCTGGCCGAACCCTCGCACCCACGGCGCGGGCACTCTAACCTGGGGGGCTCCCCTCAGGGCACGCCCCGCGCCCCCTTTAACCCAGTGCCGACGGCCCCGCCCCCGGTATGACGTCACCTCCCCTCCCCCCGCAGCCCCCGGGGGCTCCCGGGGCGTGCGGAACCCGCGGGGCTGGCGGTTCCAGGGGCGGCTTCCCCACTCTCGGGATCCCCACGGGGCCCCCAGCGCGGAGGGGAGACTGGGGTGCTGGGCGTGCGCGTCTGCCTGCCAGAGCCCCTGGGGCTGGGGGCTGAGGCTCGCCCCTGGGTGGGGAGGCTGGAAGGGGGCGCCGAGGCCGCAGAAGGGTGGGGCAATGCCCGAGTGCCGGAGGGGCGACCTCCCATAAGGCAACGACAGGGCCCGGAGTGTTCCAGGGGAGACGGCGTAGACTAGGGGGTCTCCAGGGGAGGGAGACCCGGAGAGGGAAGGCGGCGGGCGCAGCAGCCCTGGAGCCACCCCGCCTGGAGCCACCCGTCCCGGCTCCTCTCCGCTCCGGGGCGCCCGCATGCCCCCCATCCCCCGGCACAGCGCCCCCTGCCTCCAGGACCCGCCCGGGGACCCGGGCCGGGCGCCGCCGGGGCCGGCACCGGCTCCGCACACACGCGCGCCCCCCTCCGCGCCTCTGCCCCGCCCGCAGCCCGGGGTGGTGCAGCCGGCGGCGCTGGGCAGCTTCCAATGCCGCGCTCTGGGCGCTTCCAGCCCAGCCCCCTCCCACGCCGCGGACGAAGCCCCCCCAGCACCCCCTGCCGAGCGCCCCCAGCGCGGCCCCGGCCCTGTCCCTCGGGGCATTGTCCGGGCGCAGCTACCGGGGCGCAGCGGCTGGGCGTGCAACTGGCTGCAGCCGAGCATCCTCCGAGCACAATGGCCGTGCAGGCTTCCCCGGCACAAAGCCGGCGCGCTGCCCACTCGGCTGCCTCCGAGACCCCCCTTGGAGCGCCTGCATTTTTTTTTCCTCTAATCCATGATTTTATTTTTTTTTTTGGCTTTACCTGGAGGCTGGCTGGGCTGGGCTCCCCCGGCTCTGCCCCGCTTCACATCGTGGCTGTTGCATGGGATCCGAGCGGAGCCCGAGCGCCAGCGGCTCGCGGCGTGCGCGCGCCGGCCGGGCTGCCGGGCGGGCGGCGCGAGGACACTCACTGCGGCTCGCGCTCCCCTAGCTCCCGCTCGCGCGCCCCCCCAGCCGGTGACGTCATCCCTTCCGCCAGCGCCGCCGCCGCCGCCGCCGGGTCGGGGGCAGGGCCGGCCCGTGCGCGTCACTGCGCAGCCGCGCGGCCGCCACGCCCCCCGGCCAATGGGACGGCGCAGCGCGGTCACGTGGCTCCGGGGTGTTTAAAGGGCCGCGGGAGCACGTGGGGCGCGGGGCTTCGCGGGACACGTGGGCGGCTGGGGTGGTGGTGGTGGTGGCGGCTGCGGCGGCGGCGGGAAGGGCCCCTGGGGCTACTGTCCGTGCGGGAGCCCCAGCGTCCTGGGTGCAAAGGGCATGGCACTTTCTGTGCGCTGCCCTAAACTGTGCCACGGCTCCCCAGTACCCTTGGAATAAAATCCCGCCTCCTCTCTGCAGCTCGCCGTTTCACATTAGCGCCCACTACCCTGTCCCCTCCCCCCCACCATGTCAATGATCCAGAAAAACCAGCTGCTCCTTCTTTGCTTTTTCAGAGATGGGGTCTGCCACCTGGGCCTCAGTACAGTGGTATGATCATAGCTCACTGCAGCTTCAAACTCCTGGGCTCAGGTGATCCTCCCGCCTCAGCCTCCTGAGTAGTTGGGCTCGGGTGATCCTCCCGCCTCAGCCAGCTTCTTACAGTTCCTCTAACTTGAGCATCCAAGAACTTCCCCTTCTCATCTTTCCAATTTCTGCTCAAATAAGCAGCGCCTGGGAGAAGCCCTCCCTGACAACAGCTACCAGCCACGCCCCACTCCACTCTATCCCATTATCCCGGTTTGTTGTTGTTGTTGTTGTTTGTTTGGTTTTGAGTCGGAGTCTCACTCTGTCGCCCAGGCTGGAATGCAGTGGCGTGATCGCGGCTCACTGTAACCTCCGCCTCCTGGATTCAAGCTATTCTCCTGTCTCAGCCTCCGGAGTAGCTGGAATTACAGGCGTGCTGTCACCACGCCTGGCTAATTTTTGTATTTTTGTTAGAGACAGTGTTTCACCATGTTGGCCAGGCTGGTCTTGAACTCCTGACCTCAGTGATCCGTCCACCTCGGCCTCCCAAAGTGCTGGGATTACAGGCGTGAGCCACCGCGCCTGGTCCCATTATCCCGTTTTTATTCTAGTTACACTACAGTGTGGCTCCAGAGATCCCTATTGTAGGTTGAACACATGAATGAATGGATGATGGAGCACTTCTTATAGAGTAAGCACTTTACACAGGTCTCACCTAATTACCATCCCCTGCTTCCCTGGAGTCAGGACGAGCCACAGTTGGAACCCAGCTAAAACACTGATTTGCTGTGTGAGGCCCGGAGCCTCACTTTCCCCATCTGTAGAATGGATTTGCCTCTGGATCTCAGCTCTCATCTGTAAAATGGGGCAAGGTAGCCCCTGCTCCTAAGGAGGGTGTGATGATGAATTGCTATAATGTGGCAGCCTGGCTGCCATTGGTGCCTGAAGATGGAATAATAAGAGAAAAGAGGCCGGGCCCGGTGACTCATGCCTGTAATCCCAGCACTTTGGGAAGCCAAGGTGGGCAGATCACTTGTCAGGAGTTCGAGACCAGGCTGGCCGACATGGCGAAACCCCATCTCTACTAAAAATACAAAAATTAGCCGAGCGTGGTGGCAGGTGCCTGTAGTCTCAGCTAGTTGGGAGGCTGAGGCAGGAGAAACTCTTGAACCCGGGAGGCGGAGGTTGCAGTGAACCAATATCACACCACTGCACACTCTAGCCTGGGCGACAGAGTGAGACTCTCAAAAATAAGGAAAAAAAACAGAGCGGAAGTAAATAAAAGGGGGATATTGACAAAGGTAAGGGGGTTGGAGGGCTCACAGCCACCAAGCAAGATTGCACATCAGTCCTTGTGTTTTGATCATGTCGAAAGCATTTATTTCCTCAAGGCACATATTTGGAGAAGGCCTGGTGCCCAACAGAGGAACTCAACTTTAGAATTGGTTTTTTTTTTCCTCCAAAATTGTTGATTCATTCATTCCAGGCCACAGATGCAGATAAACAAAAAGCATTAACCCGGGGAACAAAACGATAAGGCGGAAGTCATAAACAGGAGAAAAGAGAGGAGATAATGAATAATTTAACAAGGAACCTAATTTAAGCTTGGAGTTTCCCAGCGGCCAGTGCAGCAGCCACGTTTGCAGAGCCTACTTTGTTTTTCTTCCTGGTGGGGTGACCCTGATCTGACCGTTTACAATCTGGCCTCAGTTTTCTCATCCAAGCAATGGGAACACGATCCCATCTTGAAGGATCAAATGGGGTGGTCTGTGCACAAATGCTTAGCGTGGTTTCTCACGCACAGTGGGTGCTGAAGCCTTGGAGAATTGGTGGAGACACAGTAAAATGAGATGGCTGATCGTGGAGGGGCTGATCATGGCACGAACCCCAGCCCAGTGACCTGTTTGGGAGGTGACCTCAAACAAGTGGCCGCAACACTGTAAGCCTAGCTGTCCCCATCTAGAAAAGGGGGACAACCACTAGTACCTCTGAGGGATTTTGTGAGCAGTCAAAGAAAACAGATTAAATACATCAAAAACAGAATTAAAATACATTGTAGCAGCTGGGCGCGGTGGCTCATGCCAGTAATCCCAGCACTTTGAGAGGCCAGGGCGGGTGGATCACCTGAGGTCAGGAGTTCGAGACCAGCCTGGCCAACATGGCAAAACCCTGTCTCTGCTAAAAATACAAAAATTAGCCAGGTGTGATGGTGCATGCCTGTAGTCCCAGCTACTCATGAGGCTGAGGCAGGAGAATTGCTTGAACCTGGGAGGCAGAGGTTGCAGTGAGCTGAGATCACACCACTGCACTCCAGCTGGGCAACAGAGTGAGACTCCCTCTCAAACAAAAAATACGTTGGCCAGGTGCGGTGGCTCACGCCTGTAATCCCAGCACTTTGGGAAGCCAAGGCAGGTGGATTGCCTGAGCTCAGGAGTTTGAGACCAGCCTGGCTAACATGGTGAAACCCCATCTCTACTAAAAATACAGAAATTAGCTGGGCGTGGTGGCGCGTGCCTGTAGTCCCAGTTACTCAGAAGGCAGGAGAATCGCTTCTACCCGGGAGGCAGATGTTGTAAGTGAGCTGAGCGCCACTGCACTCCAGCCTGGCAACAGAGTGAGACTTTGTCTCAAAAAAAAAAAAAAATACATTCCAGCATGTGCTTGGGAAACCCATCTGTTCAGGCCATGCATCCGGCCCCGCTCCCAGGTTGTTTGAAGTGCTGTGGACAACAGAAGTAAACAAAACAGTCTTTAAAATCCCTGGAGTTGGCCAGGCACTTTGGCCCAGCACTTTAGGAGGCTGAGGCGGGAGGATGGCTTGAGCCCAGGTATTTGGGACTAGCCTGGGCAACATAGGGAGACCCCGTCTTTACAAAAAGTTTTAGAAGTTAGCTGGGCATGGTGGTACACATCTGTGATCCCAGCTACCTGGGAGGTTGAGGTAGGAGGATCGCTTGGATGTGAGAGTTTGAGGCTGCAGTGAACTCTAAGCACGCCACTGCACTCCAGCCTGGGCAACAGAGCAAAAATTCCTGGAGTCAACAGTGCTGGGAGGAGATAGGAAATATCTTATTTAGAGTAAAAGCTTAAGCTCTTCCCACAGCTCACCAAGCTCTGCATAACCTACCCCCTTCCCCGCCCTCTGTCACCCTCGCTCACTCTGCTCCCGCCACTCGGGCCTCCTTGCTGTGCCTCCAACACACCAGGTAAGGTCCTGCCACAGAGCCTTTGCACTGTCTGTTCCCTCTGACCAGGATGCTGTTCCTCCTGCTTTTCTCAAGGCCAATTGTTCCTCCTTGCTCTTCGAGTCTCTGGGAGACCCTCCCAGACCATCTCACTGAGGTGACCACATGATCATCTTTACTTCAGTATCAGATTATTTATCATGATTTGGAATGATTTTATATTTTGGCCGGTTTGTGTGTTTCCTGCGTGTCTCCCTACTCTAGCTGTGCCTCAGTTTGCCTGTCTGTAAATGGGGATAATAATAATCGTGGTCCCTGCCGGGCGTGGTGGCTCACGCCTATAATCCCAGCACTTTGGGAGGCCGAGGCGGGCGGATCAGGAGGTCAGGAGATCGAGACCATCCTAGCTAACATGGTGAAACCCCATCTCTACTAAAAATACAAAAAATTAGCGGGCGAGGTGGCAGGTGCCTGTAGTCCCAGCTACTCGGGAGGCTGAGGCAGGAGAATGGCGTGAACCCGGGAGGTGGAGCTTGCAGTGAACTGAGATCACACCACTGCACTCCTGCCTGGGCGACAGAGCAAGAGTCCGTCTCAAAAAAATAAAAAATAAAAAATAAATAATATTGGTCCCTTAGGGCTGTCTGGAGGGTGAAATGAATCACACTATGTCAACCACCTGCCACCAGGTGCAGACTCACAAAAGGATTTCTGGTAAGTGTGGTCACTGTAGGCTGGGCGCGGTGGCCCACGTCTGTCATCCTAGCACTTTGGGAGGCCGAGGTGGGCAGATCACCTGAGGCCAGGACTTCGAGACCAGCCTGGCCAACATGGCGAAACCCTGTGTCTACTAAAAATACAAAAAAATTAGCCAGGCGTGGTGGCGGGTGCCTATAATCCCAGCTACTTGGGAGGCTGGGGCAGAAGAATCGCTTGAAACTGGTGGGCAGAGGTTGCAGTAAGCCGAGATCGCGCCATTGCACTCCAGCCTGGGCAATAAGAAACAAAGTCCGTCTAAAGAAAAAAAAAAAAATGCGGTCACTGTAAATGAGAAAACTATGGTTGCCTAGCCAGAAACAAAAGATGATCCTACAAGTCGATACAACAAGAACAGAAAATTATAAAATTCTTTTTTTTTTTTTTCCAAGACAGGGCCTCACTCTGTTACCCAGGCTGGAGTGCAATGGCACAATCACAGCTCACTGCAGTCTCAACCTCTTGGGGCTCAAGTGATCCTCCCAGCTCAGCTACCCAGGTAGCTGGGACGAAAGGCACAGACCACTACACCTGGCTAATTTTTAAATTTTTTGTAGAGACAGGCTCTCCCTGTGTTACCCAGCCTGGTCTCGAACTCCTGGGCTTAAATGACCCTCCCACCTCCCCCTCCCAAAGTGCTGGGATTATAGGTGTGAGCCACTGTGTGCAGCCAAGCCAAGAACAGAACATTCTAGTCTGATGCTGTTGCAGCCTCTGGACAGCTCCAGGAAATTGACACGTGTTACAAAGGTGTTAAAGACGCAATAGCACCAAGCTAAGCCTTCCTGCAGGCCAAGGCTTGAAGAGAACAAAGGAGAGAATGTTGTCCCCAGGGGCATGCCTCAACCCTCCAAGTTCCACACTGTGAAAAACACTCAGACTGGGAGGTAGGACATGGTGGGTTCTGGGTCTCTTTCCTGTCTGCTGATCGTGGTGAGCTGGCACGCACACTGAGGGTGTGAGTCATTGTTGGGTGAAAAGTTCAGTCAATGAACATTCGCTGCTTCTTCAGGAGCGTTGTGGGGGAGGGGGCTCTTCCCACTCTCCCACCCTCCTCTTCCTTTTCTGCCAGACCAACCTCTGCCTAGGAGCCTCCCAGAACCTGGTAATTAGCTCCATTGTGGTTTTGTTGAGATAACTCCAGGGGAACCATCAGCCGCCCATCACTGTGTACAAACAGGACCCTTCATACCAAGTTCAGGATTGTCTGCAAAGAACTCAGCCTTAAATTCCTGCCAGACAGGTCCAAAACATCTCCCCTAAACTTTCCCTGTGCCAGAGATTCCACTATCGTTGCACGTTACTTCAAATTAAATGTTGTTCTCTCTGCTCCTCTCTCTGTCTCTTTCTCCTCACAAATTCGCTTCAAACGCCAAAGGGAAGAGGAGCAGATAGGAACATCCTATTTGCTGCACACCTGCTCTGTGCTGGGCTCCATGTGGGGTTCACTTGGGGGTCCCCTGATTTAGCTGATTTGGTAAGCGTTGGAGGATTTGGGGAGGCATGGGTTAGGAAAACACTCAACAACTAGGCACAGAATGAAGCTTTCTCAACCTAGTAAAAGGCATCTACAGTCAGTATCATACTTTATGGTGAAAGACTGGATGTTTTCCCCGTAAGATTAGGAACAAGATGAGAATGCTCCCTCCCACCACTTCTATTCAACATTGTACTGAAGCCTATAACCAGGCAACTAGGTGAGAAAATAACATAAAAGGCATTCATATTGGAAAGGAAGAAATTAAACTATCTCTATTTGCACATGACATCATTTTGCATGTAGAAAATCCTAAGGGATCCACTAAAGACCTATAAAACTAGTAAATGAATTCATCAAGGCGGCAAGATATGAAATCAATACACAAAAATCCATTGTATTTCCTATGCAGTGGCAATGAACAAACGAAATGAAATTAAGAAACCAATTCCATTTACAATTGATGAAAAAGAATAAAATACTTAGGAATATATTTCCAAAAGAAGTGCAAAGCTTATACTATAAAAAATAACAAAAGGTTGAAAGATTAAATTAAAGAAGACTTAACTAAATGGAAAGACATCCCATGCTCATGGATTGGAAGAATAATATTGTTAAGATGTCTATACTCCCCAAATTGATCTAAAGATTAAACCCAATCCCTATCAAAATTTCAGTTAGCTTCTTTGCAGAAATTGGCAAGCTGATCCTAAAATTCATGTGAAAATGTTCGAGGAACTTAGAACAGCCAAAACAATCTTGAAAAAGAACAAAGTTGGAGGACTCAGACTTCCCAATTTCAAAACTTATTACAACCTACTGTAACCAGGACAATGATGTACTGGCATAAGAATAGACATTCAGATCAATGGGGTAGAATTGAAAGTGCAGAAAAAACCCTCATATCTATGGTCAATTGATTTCCATCAAGTTGTCAATTCAGTGGGGAAAGAATAGTCTTTTCAACAAGTGGGGCCAGGACAATTCCATATTCACATGCTAAAGAATGAAGTTGAATCCCCACCTCACACCATATACAAAAATCAACTCAACATGGATGATAGACCTAAATGGAAGAGCTTAAACTATAAAACTCTTAGGAAAAAATGCAGAGGAATAAATCTTAATGATCTTGAATTAGGCAATGGATTCTTTTGAGGTTCCTTTCCAGGTGATTAAAATATTCTAAAATTAAAATGTTAAAAATGTTCTAAAATAAAATAAAAATGTTTAAAAATGTTCTAAAATGTGGATGATTGGTGATGATGATGTCCCTTATACAAAGGGGAAATTTGGACACAGAGACAGACCCATATAGAGGGGAGATGATGTGAAGAAGAGACACAGGGAGAAGGCGGCCGTCTGCAAGCCAAGGAGCGAGACCTCGGAAGTAACACATCCTGGCTGGGTGTGGTGGCTCATGCCTGTAATCCCAGCCCTTTGGGAGACCGAGGCGGGTGGATCACCTGAGGTAAGGAGTTTGAAACCAGCTTGGCCAACATGGAGAAACCCCATCTCTACTAAAAAAAAATACAAAAAATTAGCCAGGTGTGGGTAGTGGCAGGCACCTGTAATCCCAGCTACTCAGGAGGCTGAGGCAGGAGAATCGCTTGATCCTGGGAGGCGGAGGTCGCAGTGAGCGGAGATCATGTTATTGCACTCCAGCCTGGGCAGCAACAGTGAAACTCCATCTCCAAAAAAAAATTGTTTTTGCCATGTTGGCCAGGCTGGTCTTGAACTTCTGACCTCAGGTGATCCACCCACCTGGGCCTCTCAAAGTGCTGGGATTATAGGCATGAGCCACCACGCCTGCCCAGGATTGGTTACTTCTGAGACCTCACTCCTTGGCTTGCAGATGGGCCGCCTTCTCCTTGTATCTCTTCTTCACATCATTTCCCCTATATGTGGGTCTGTCTCTGTGTCCAGATTTCCCCTTTTTATAAGGACACCCATCATAAGGTGGATCATAGGGTGGATCGGGACCCACCCTAATGCCCTCATTTTAACTTTACTTCTGTGAAGACCCTATTTCCAAATAAGGTCACATTCTGAGGTCCTAGGGGTTAGGACTTCAACATCTCTTTTGGGGGAACGCAGTTCAACCCCATAAAAGACCCTTTCCCTGACAGTGGCTTCACTGATACCCCTCAAGGACTTTACCTACTCCTGGACAAGGAGCTTGACATCCCCATGACATATGACAAGAGATGCTAGACCCTAGCCCATAAATCATGAGCACCCTTTGTTGATTGCAATAAGATCCAGGTTTTGGGAGAGGCAAGGGGATGCCATGCAGCCAGCCTCCCAGCTCTAGGGCCTGGCTGGCACATGTAAAGATCAAGGGCTTTATTCTCCCACTCTCCCTGGGGGACGCAATGACAAATTCAGATCAGGCCTCCGTTGTCTCCTGCCAGCTGGCGGTGCAGACAGGGCCTCTTGGTTCATCCCTTCTCAAGGAGAAAGGCTTGGATTCTCCACCAGGTGGGGTCTGTGCTGGGTATTGTGTGTAGAGTCAGAGGGACATGCCTGGCAGTGTCATCTGGACCCCTGCCACAAGCCTCACCAAGCCAAGGGCCTTCCAGTGCCATCAGTGTGGGCCCTGAGTGTGGTACTTGAAACTTTGAGAGGCTACAACTTATTTATTATTGTTTTTTAAGACAGTCTCACTCTGTCACTCAGGCTGGAGTGTAGTTGCATGATCATAGCTCACTGCAGCCTCAAACTCCTATACTCAAACAATCCTCCCACCTCAGTCTCCAAGTAGCTGGGATTACAGGTGTGCACCAGCCCACCCGTCTCATTTCTGCTTTTTTTTTTTTTTTTTTTTTTGAGATGGAGTCTCGTTCTGTCAACAGGCTGGAGTGCAGTGGCACGATCTCGGCTCACTGCAACCTCTGCCTCCCGAGTTCAAGTGATTCTCCTGCCTTGGCCTCCCAAGTAGCTGGGACTACAGGTGCATGCCACCACGCCCAGCTAATTTTTGTATTTTTAGTAGAGACGAGGTTTCACCCTGTTGGCCAGAACGGTGTCAATCTCTTGACCTAATGATCCGCTCACTTCGGGCTCCCAAAATGCATTTTTGTATTTTTTTGTAGCAATGGGGGTTTCACCATGTTGCCCAGATTGGTCTGGAACTCCTGGGCTCAAGCGATCCTGACACCTCAGCCTCCTGAGTCGCTGGGACTATAGACATGTGCCACTATGCCCAGATAATTTAAAAAAAAATTTTTTTTTTTTGTAAACATGGGGTCTCATTGTGTTGCCCAGGCTGGTCTTGAACTCCTGGTCTCAAGTGGTCCTCCCTCCTCAGCCTCCTGGAGCCCTGGGATTATGGATGTGAGCCACCACACTGGCCTCACAAAGTGATTTTAAGTTCTACGCACTGAGCATGAAACACTATGGTATGGTCGCCTGCCAAAATTACTCACGTCTAAGAACAGATGATTCCCCTTGAGCTTGTTAATGTCCCTAGGATTTGTTAATATCATGGTTGGGTCTTTATTGTTTTTCTTTGTAACTTTTTTGTCTTCCTTATTCATTTGACTTGTTACATTGTTACTTGCGCTCGTGTTTTAATTCCACTGATACTTGCATCCAGCGCTGGACACATGACCTGAAGTTTCTTTAAACTGGGCGCGGTGGCTCACGCCTGTAATCCCAGCAATTTGGGAGGCCAAGGTGGGTGGATTGCCTGAACTCAGGAGTTCAAGACCAGCCTGGCTAACATGGTGAAATCCCATCTCTACTAAAAATACAAAAATTAGCCGGGTGTGGTGGCACATGCCTGTAATCCCAGCTAATTGGGAGGCTGAGGCAGGAGAATCACATGAACCTGGGAGGTGGAGGTTGCAGTGAGCTGAGATCATGCCACTGCACTCCAGCCTTCGACACTTCGACAGAGGAGACTCCATCTTAAAAAAAAAAAAAAGAGAGAGAGAGAGAGAAAAGAAGAAGAAAAAGAGACATTTAGGCCAGGTGTGGTGGCTCATACCTATAATCCCAGCACTTTGGGAGGCCGAGGCAGGCAGATCACCTGAGGTCAGGAGTTTGAGACCAGCCTGGCCAACACAGTGAAACCTCATCTCTACTAAAAATACAAAAATTAGCCGGGCGTGGCAATGCCCACCTTTAATCCCAGCTACTCCGGAAGCTGAGGCAGGAGAATCGCTTGAGCCCAGGAGGCGGAGATTGCAGTGAGCTGAGATTGCACCACTGCACTCCAGCCTGGGCGAAAGAGTGAGACCCTGTCTCAATAAATAAATAAAAAATAAAATGAGACATTTAGTTACTGTGTTAGTCCATTCTCACATTGCTATAAGGAAATACCGAAGGCTGGGTAATTTATAAATAAAAGAGCTTTAATTGACTCACAGTTCCACACGGCTGGGAAGGCCTCAGGAAACTTACAATCACGGTGGAAGGCACCTCTTCATAGGGTGGCAGAAGAGAGACTGAGAGAGGGAGAAACTTGCCAAACATTTATAAAACCATCAGATCTCGTGAGAACTCACTCACTATCAGGAGAACAGCGTGGGGAAACCATCCCCGTGATCCAATCACTTCCCACCAGGTGCCTCCCAGACAAATTGGGATTGTGGGGATTACAATTCAAGATGAGGTCAGGTAATGGCTCACACCTGTCATCCCAGCACTTTGGGAGGCTAAGGCAGATGGATCACCTGAGGTCAGGAGTTCAAGACCAGCCTGGCCAATATGGTGAAACCCTGTCTCTACCAAAACAAACAAACAAAAATTAGCTGGGCATGCTGGCGTGCACCTGTGGTCCCAGCTACTGGAGAGGCTGAGGTGGGAGAATTGCTTGAATCCAGGAGGTAGAGGTTGCAGTGAGCCGTGATCATGCCACTGAACTCCAGCCTGAGCGATGAAGTGAGACCCTGTATCAACACACACACACACACACACACACACATACACACACATATACACAATTCAAGATGAGATTTGAGTGGGGATATGGCCAAACCATATTAGTTACCTAAAAGCAAACAAGTGGATGTAAATAAAATATTAAGTAACTGATGGTATGCACAGCACAGGAGGAAGTTTTTTGAGGAGGACTAAAGTGAGGACAGGTTGAATCACCTCCTTGAAATGTGCTGACACCCAGGCAGCATGGGCTTTCATAGACCCATTTTACAGTGGAAGAAACTGAGGCTTGGGGTGGTGGAGTCACTGGCCCAGGGACATGTTTGGAACACAGGTCAGCCCTACTACAGAAGCTGTGCTCTTTCCTTCCCTGGCGGTCCTGCCTCTGGATGTTTTCTCGAACTGTTCCAACCAGCTGGCTTTTCCTCTGCCCATCTCTGCCACTTTTTGCCCCTGCCACCTCCAGGAAGCCCTCCTGACTCTTCCAGCCCATTGCCCCTGGGTCTTTCATCACTATGACAGCTGGGCTGGGGTCTGGCACAGGAAGGGGCTTATCTACCTGTCCCACAGAAGAGAGCACACCATGGAGCTGGCCGGATACCTGTTGAGTTTGTGAGACCTTGCATTGGTGTGAAAAGGGTTAACTCACTTCATTTGCATACTGTGCCCAGATTCGTCTTGGGAATACACTGCAGCATAATTGAAGAGAGGAAGGGGAGTTGCAGATACCCTGGAGGGGTGGATGAAGGGGAAAGGGCTTATTCTGAGCAAAACGAGAGGATCCTGAGCTGGGGGAGGGGAAAGGATGTAGGGCACAGATCACCCTAACTGTTGTGGGGCCACTGAGAATGATATTCTTCTTCCCAGGGCACACCAACTTCTTTTTTCCTGCATGTTTTCCATATTTTTCCCTCAGACTATAATAAGGTTAATCTTGGTTTACATAGTTCGGACACATAGCACATCCTTCTGAAAGTTGAGCAAACAGCAATCTTAATGGGCAATTCAACCCACTCCGTGTTAACCACTATGCAGACCAGCGTGTAAGTCAATCAATAAATATCCATGAGCGGCTTCTAGTTGAGTTTAATCACATGCAGTTCTTAGAGTAGCACACGGCACATAGCAGGCACTTAATAGATGTCACCATTTTTTTGGTTTGTTTTTAAGACGGAGTCTCGCTATTTCACCCAGGCTGGAGTGCAGTGGCGCGATCTTGGCTCCCTGCAACCTCCGCCTCCCGGGTTCAAGCGACTGTCCTGCCTCAGCCTCCCAAGTAGTTGGGACTACAGGGCCGCACCACCATGCCTGGCTAATTTTTGTATTTTTAGTAGAGATGAGGTTTTGCCATGTTGGCCAGGCTGGTCTCGAAGTCCTGACCTCAGGTGATCTGCCGGCCTTGGCCTCCTAAAGTGTTGGGATTACAAGCGTGAGCCACCGTGCCCGGCCGATATTGTTATTTCACACCTTCAGAGGAGACAGCAGGCGTGGATGTGAACTTAACCCTCCCGCTGCCACCCTTGCTGGCTCCCACCCACCCTGGCCCACAGGGAATGGCTTGGACCAGGAGGCTGAGACCATGAGACGGCGAGTGGGATCGTCCTGGCAGCGGAGATGTTGCTCAGGATAAAACGGGAAGGGCTAAATAAATCTGCTTGAGATGTGTCCCAATTACCCGCTCAAACTCCTCTGCCTGTGCCTGGCACTCTGGGGCCCTGGAGAGGGGAGTTTTTCTGATGCCCTAGAGGCTCGGGGCTGCTGCAGCATTTCAGATGCAGCACACCAGTCCCCCAGCCTGTGGTCCCTGTCCTTGTCCCCCAATATTGTCATAACTTTTTTTGGGGAGCGGAGGAACAGAAAGAAACCCAAATATTGGGATGTTTCTGAGCTGGGAAGGCCCCGACATAGAACAACAGAACCTTCCATTGGATGACCACTTGTTATGTGCTGTGGGCCAAGACCTTCCCAGGCAGCTGGGCAGCAAAAATCCACGCTATGAGATCAGACTGATTATTTTTGTTCCCTTTTTGCAGCTGAGCAAACTGAGGCTCAGAGAGGAAAGGGTGGTACTGACCCTCCAATAGCTTGGGAGAGGCAGGGCTGGGCTTCCGGCCTTAGGTCTGACTCCGGCTCATTCCTTAATTCATGAATGCAGCCAACGGATATTTATTGAGCAACTCCCAAGTGCCAGGTACTGTTCTAGGCACCAGGAAAAAGCAGGGAACAAAACAGGCCAATATCTCCAGCCCTCACGTGCTGACTTTTTTAATGGGGGAGATGAACCAGATTTAAAAAAAAAAAAATGTACCACGGGTCAGATGGGACATACCAGGGAGGAACATGGAACAGGAAACAGGAAGGGTTGGGGGTGTCATTATACATAGGTGGTCACAGAAGGCCTCACTGTGATGGGTTTTTTGTTTATTATTATTATTATTTCGAGACAGCATCTCACTCTGTCACCCAGGCTGGAGTGCAGTGGCACAATCTCAGCTCACTACAACCTTCACCTCCCGGGTTCAAGCAATTCTCCTGCCTCAGCCTCCTGAGTAGCTGGGATTCCAGGCATGCACCACCACACTGGCTAATTTTTGTATTTTTAGTAGAGACGGGGTTTCACCATGTTGGCCAGGCTGATCTTGAACTCATCGCCTCAAGCGATCTGCCCGCCTTGCCTCCCAAAGTGCTGGGATTACAGGCATGAGCCACTGCACCCGGCCCATCACTGTGATGTTTGAACAGAGGCCAGGATGAAGTGGGAGAAGAGCTTTCCAGGCAGATGGCACAGCCCATGCAAAGGCCCTGGGGCAGGACCGTGCCTGGCGTGTTGGAGGATCAGCAAGGAGGCCCATGTAGCTGGAGCAGAGTGAGGAGTGGGAAAGAGGGAGTAGAAAAGGCAGGAACAGGGCAGGGTGTGCAGGGCCTTCTTGGCCACAGGAAGACTTGGGCTTTTCCCCTGAGGGAGGCGGGAGCCATGGAGGGTCATAGGCAGAGGAGGGGCAGGACCTGATTCAGATGCTCACAGGTGCCCTCTGGCTGCTGTTGCGGGGAGGACAGACTGTGAGGAGGCAGGGTGGGACTCAAGGGACCAGGGTGGAGATGACTACACTGGCCCAGGTGGGCAATGCTGGGGCTGGATCCAGGGAGAGGCTGAGGGAGTGGGAGAAGTAGCCAGTCTGGGGACAGACAGAGACAGAGTGACCCTCAGCCAAGCTTCTGACCCGCTTGCAGGCTTTCTGGGGCCTGGACAACCTGCAGGCACCAATGAGGGCCACATGCTCATCATTAACCCAGATGATGGGGGTTCAGGGGGCTGCTGCCTGATCAGGATTTGACCCACGGGTGTGCACCAATCAGAGTTAGTACACAGAACTCCCAAGTCTCCTGGCCTCTCCAGCTGCTACCCCCAGGCCCTGTGCAGCAAGGTCGAGGAGGACACACCCCCACCCCCAGACCGGGCCGCCTGTGCCCCCAGTGACTCTGTGTATTGGCTCCTGTTCTACCCTTTTGCATAGCTGTGCATTCCCCTGAGCACTTTAGCAGGAGCCCCCAGAGGGCGGAGCAGGAGGCACCGGTGACATCATTCTCAGGGCCAGCCACTCCCAGTGTGCACCAGACCTGATCAAGATCCAAAGACGACCAGAGTTCCCAGATGACACTGGGGCTGCAGGCGGTGCCTGAAATAGCATTTCACAAGTGCAGCCTCTGTTCCAGGCACTGTTCCTGGGGCTTTGCAATGACCCCTGCCCTCGCAGTCCTAGGTCTGTGCTGTTACTGCCATATTTTATGGGCGAGACGCAGAAAGCCTGAGCACCAGCCCATGCCTGCACAACACAGCCAGGACTGGAAACTGTCTCTGGGCAAAGGCTGTCCCTAGGTCTCTGGTGGGAGCCCGCTCTGCCCTCAAATCAAGGGAAAGGTGAGGGGCCTGAGAGGTCAGTAATCAGTGGATTTCTCAGAGCAGAGATCCCTTCCCAATACGAACTAGACTTGCATACTTCCAGGGATGGGACCCTCACTCCCTGTACAGGAGAGGTGCCTTGGTTTTGGACAATGCTGAGAGTTAGACAATGTTTCCTTTCAGCCACTTGGGCTCCCTCTCCTTCTTTTAATCTCCCTCCTTTGACTCTGCTCCTCCTCTTCGGAAACTGCGCAGAAAAAAAATCGCCCTCTCCCCTCCTTTCCTCTCTTCTCCATCCTTCCTCTTTCTTTCCTCTCCCTCCACATCTTTCTCTACTTCCTCCCCCCCATCTCCCTTTCTCCTTCCTGTCCCTTTTTCCTCTCTCTTCTCCTCTCCATTCTCCCACCCCTTCCTCCCCTCCTCTCCTCTCCTCTTCCTCCATGAAATATTTTCAGCTGTTCCTCTGAGTATCAGAACTTGATAGAAAAGATGATTCCCCGAATTTGGAGTCAGACACTTCACTGCCTCAAAACTGTGTCGCCCTGGGCAAGTCATATCATCTCTTTGAGCCTCCATTTCCTCATCTGTTAAAAAAAAAAAAAAAAGTGATATTCCCTGTTTTGGTTTCCCCTGTAGCCTCAGTGACTAGCTCAGGGCCTGGGACACAGTAGTTGCTCAATAAGTGTTTGCCAAATGAATGAATGTTGGCACCCTTTCTTTTTCCTTTCACTTCTGGGCCCATTGATTATTCCTTGTGTGCCCCAAATCCAACCCTGCTCAAGAGAGGGCTTGGCTGGACCTTGTGACCAGTGTGGAACTGAAAAATTAGACAAAGTCTGCCTCCTGGCTTTCTTCCTCGTTGAACAATTTGCATTTAAATCATGAACTGTAATAGTTAGTTATGTCATTAGCTGCTTAACATGTCTTCCCACGCATTCTGTGTGCCAAGAGGGCAGGGCGGGGAGTTTTATTCACATTGTTCATGCTTGTAGTTCCAGCACCTCGGACAGCACCTGTCACACATTAGGTGCTCAATAAATGCCTGTGTGGTGGCTGAGGGGTGGGGTGGGAGGATGAACATAGCATGCTATAACCTTTTCTGCTTCCTTTTTCCTTATGCTCCAATCTATGAAGTTTTCTGAATCAAACACACTCCTCTTAGTGAGGTTCCAGGCAGAGAACGTGGCATGATCACCTCCCTTTTTTTGCGCTCCATACTCCTGTTAATGCAATCAGCACTTTTCTCCCTTTTTCTGCTTTTCTTCTTCAGGAGAGGAAAATGTTAAAAATGTGATGATGCAGTCGGAAGTGTTTTAAGCCTTCAGACAATTCAGACTTGAGAATCAAGTGATGGAGGAAGAGCTAAAAAAAAAATACATTCTCGTTTATTAGGAGGAGAAAGAAAGTGCCATCTCAAAAAGATCGAGGCTCGTTAATGCTGGAATATAAAGATAGACACTTCCTGTCCTCGACAGGCAAACTTCACCCACAGCTGTGGGCGCCAGGCCCTCAAGAGTGGCTGGGGCAGGACGGCTACAAAGAGAATTTGATTGCTCCGGAGTTGAAGCCCAACGTGTTCGAGGAGTCATGCCAAGATTCAGTGAAGGTCACACAGGATGCGAGCTGCTGTGGGGAGGGGTTGTCCTTGGGACTCTCCTAGGACACGGGAAGGCTCCACCTCCATGAGAAGAGGATTCATCTTCCTAGTCTGTTACATGCAAAGGTCTCGTCTGAGCCAAGTCTTGCACAGATGTCCCTTTTCCCGGGGAAGGAAGTTTCTAGCAAACACCCAGGTACTGACTGCATGACCTTGGGCACATGTCACCCTCTCGCTGGGCCTCAGTTTCCCCATCTGCCAAATGTAGAGAATATTTTAATACTTAACACGCTAATAGTAGCTATGATGGGTTGCTGTTATTATTAGCTGTTCTTACTCTTCTTATTGTTGCTTCCATAATACCCCTGCCAGGGTGTTTGTCCAGCCAGCGAGGATTTTCTTGACCCTCTGTCCCTTTGACACATCACTAGCTACCTCACTCACTGTGTGACCCCACCCTCTGGTCTCAACAGATTGGACCTGGGTGGCTATCACCACCCAGGTTATACAAACAGGCTGAGCCAATATGATTCTTTCTTTCTTTTCCTTCCTTTTTTTTTTTTCTTTCTTTCTTTCTTTCCTTCTTTCTTCTTCTTTCTTTCTCTCTCTTCTCTTTCTCTCCTTCCTTCCTTTCTTCCTTCCTCCCTCCCTCCCTTCCTTCCTTCTGTCTTTGTTTTTTGCTTTTTGTTGTTGTTGTTGTTTGTTTGTTTTTGAGACGGAATTTCGCTCTTCTCATCCAGGCTGGAGTGCAATGGCACAATCTCGGCTCATTGCAATCTCTGCCTCCTGGGTTCAAGCGATTCTCCTGCCTCAGCCTCCCCAGTAGCTGGGATTTCAGGCATCTGCCACCACGCCAGGTAAATTTTTTGTATTTTTAGTAGAGATGGGGTTTCACCATGTTGGCCAGGCTGGTCTGAACTCCTGACCTCGGGTGATGCACCTGCCTCAGCCTCCCAAAGTGCTGGGATTACAGGCATGAGCAACCACACCCGGCCCCAGAGGAATTTTTTAACAGGGAAGGGATTCCATGTCTGGCTTTAAAAGGTCGATCTAGCACATGAAGGAGCAACGTTTCCTGAAAAGTGAAAAGTCAGCCTATATTTATCCAATGACCCCGATGGCACAACCAGCTCATTGATGAGAAATATTTAATAGCTGTTTGGGGCTGCGTTGAGAAGGATTCTGAGCCTGTGGCTCAGTTCTGCAGGGAAAGGAGTGCTGCAATTTATTAGTGATGCCTGGGCCTTGACTCCCTGGGAAAGAGTTCTGTTATTGATTAGTGATGCCTGCCATGGACCATTGCATGGACCCTGGTGTTCTGTTTGTTATACATTTGCCTTCCCCGGGTTAAGTAGCTGCTGCTTCTCAGAGAAAATCCTCCACACCCTCCTACAGAGGACAGTAGGATGGCTCCAGACTCAGACAGTCAGGGGTTCCAGTCTTGGCTGGACTGCTTTCTCGCTGTGTGACTTTAGACATGTGGCTTCTCATCTCTGTGCTTCATGTTTTCTCCTCTGCAAAGCGGGAACAGAAATCTCACCCACACAGAGTTCTTTTGCAAATAGTTTTAAGTATCCGGCATGCCGTAGGGTTCTGCTGAGGTTGATATTGGCCTCTCCAGGGCCCCCTCACTGCAGCCCAAGGTCTGAAGGTAAATCAGTTTTATTTCCAGCTCCAGCTCCAAGGTGGGTTCCAACTCTGCCCTTGAGACCTGGCAGACACCCTCAGCTGCATCTTGCACCTGGGGTTTGTTCCCAGTGCTGCCACAGACATGCTCCCACTTGGTGGTGGCGTGCATGAAACAAGATGGACGCAGGGACCGTTTGGCTTGGAACTCTCCTGGGGAGGAGGTCCCCACACCTGGCGTCCACTCACCTCCCGGCAAGGGTGATTCTTGCCAGCCTGAGTGGGGACTGTTCCGTGCCTGGCTGCTTCCAGCACTTGGCCTGATGTCCCGCCATCAACATTTATGTCTGCAGGTGGCTGGGACCACTCTGCCTTCTCTGTGAATTGGCATGGACTGGAGGGACTTTGGGGAGCTGAGGGAGAAGTGGACGGCTCAGCAGCATCTTGCTGGTGCCTGACCGAGAGATGACTTTGGAGACTTTTCTCCAGAGACTTTTCTCTTTGGAGAACAATAAAAATACAGAGTGGCCTGGACGCGGTGGCTCACGCCTGTAATCCCAGCACTTTGGGGTATCGAGGTGGGTGGATCACAAGGTCAGGAGTTTAAGACCAACCTGGCCAATGTGGTGAAACCCCGTCTCTACTAAAAATACAAAAATTAGCCGGGCATGGTGGTGCACACCTGTAATCGTAGCTACTCAGGAGGCTGAGGCAGGAGAATTACTTGAACCCAGGAGGTGGAGGTTGCAGTGAGTCAAGATCGCGCCACTGCACTCCAGCCTCGGCGGCAGAGCAAGACTGTCTCAGAAAAAAAAAAAAAAGTACAGAGTGAGGCAGGGTTCACTCAGCCTCAGGACCAGGGGGGAGATGTACTCCTCCCAGACACCCCGGCCCCTTCCTGGCCCCCTGACTTTACTCCCACACCCCACTCGGACTTTGTACCCTCCACTCAGCAGCCAGAAGAAGATTTAAAAACACGAACGTGGCTGGACGCGGTGGCTCACGCCTGTAATCCCAGCACTCTGGGAGGCCGAGGTGGGCAGATCACCTGAGGTCAGGAGTTCAAGACCAGCCTGGCCAACATGGTGAAACCCCGTCTCTACTAAAAATACAAAAAATTAGCTGGGCGTGGTGGTGGGTGTCTGTAATTCCAGCTACTCGGGAGGCTGGAGCAGGAGAATCGCTTGAACCCAGGAGGTGGAGGTTGCGGTAAGCCGAGATTGCGCGACTGCAACCCAGCCTGGGTGACAGAGTGAGATTCTGTCTCAAAAACAAACAAACAAACAAACAACAACAACAACAACAAAACTGGAATCAGGTCAGGCCACCCCTTCTCCAGACCCTTCCACGGGCCTCCTCCAGTGCTCTCCCCATAAAGTTCATATTCCTCCCCAGACCCCCTGCCCATCTCTGAGCCTCAGTTTGTTCACCTGTCAAATGGGTCTATGAGCCATCAGACTGTGAGCCCACAATTGGCCATCTTGTTCCTTGCTGTATCCCCAGCACCTAGAACAGCACCAGACACACAGCAGGTGCCTAATAAATGAATGGAGGAATAAGCAAGCAAACCAATCAGCAAATTCATTCACACTTACAGGCTCAGCTCTGTCCTTCTGTGGCCTCAGTGACTCCTGCCTGGTCCACCTCTGGCTGCCTCTCTGAGCTCCGTCTTTCTGGGATTGATGAGTTGGGTCTAAGCAGAGGCCCAGGGTACAGATGTCACTGTGGCCTCTGTGTCCCCCACCTGTGTCCCCGCAGCTCCCGGGCTGCAGCCTGTGAGGGAAGACAGATGGGCTCATAATGTCCAATGAATCATAGCCACTGCATCCCAGCCTGGACACATGCCCAGCCCACTCATCCGCGGGTCTGTGACATGTAAGAGTTGGCGCTACTCTTCCCCTGTGTGTGCCAGACCCTGTGTGGCCACCTGGGTTGGTGTCATCCAGGGGAAATAACAGGCTTTGTTCTCCCCGCCCCATCTGACCGGTTTTCTCCTCTCTGCCACAAAAGTCAACATTCTGGACAAGGGTGGGAGGAAGTAGTGCTTCCACATTTCGCAGGAGGACTAACATTAATTAAGCACTTAATATGTAATGGGCACCATTTGGAGCCCTTTATTACAATTTCCACATTTAATCCTCCAACAATCCTATTACCAGCCCCATTTTACAGATGGGGAAACTGAGGCACAAGTGACTTGCCCAAGGCGCAGAGCCACCAAGAGTGCTTATGGCAGTATTGTCTCCAATAGCAAAAATGGAAGCAACCTAGATGTCCACCCATGGGGAATGATTAAAATACTCTGTTTTTTTGTTTTGTTTTGTTTTGTTTTGTTTTTTGAGATGGAGTCTAGCTCTGTCCCCCAGGCTGGAGCGCAGTGGTGCGATCTCGGCTCACTGCAAGCTCCACCTCCCGGGTTCTCGCCATTCTCCTGCCTCAGCCTCCCAAGTAGCTGGAACTACAGGCCCCCACCACCACGCCCGGCTAATTTTTGTGTTTTTGTAGAGACGGGGTTTCACCGTGTTAGCCAGGATGGTCTCCATCTCCTGACCTCATGATTCGCCTGTCTCAGCCTCCCAAAGTGCTGGGATTACAGGCGTGAGCCACCATGCCCAGCCAATACGCTGATTTTAATTAAAACATTAACCAGGTGTAGTGGCACACACCTGTAGTCCTGGTGACTCGAGAGGCTGAGGCATGAGGATCACTTGAGCCCAGGAGTTGGAGGGTACAGTGAGCTATGGTCACACCACTGCACTCCAGCCTGGGCAACAGAGCCAGATCCTGTCTCTAAACAAGAAAACAACAACAACAAAAAAATTAGACCAGGTGTGGTGGCTCACACCTGTTATCCTACCACTTTGGGAAGCTGAGGTGGGGGGGTTGTTTGAGGCCAGGAATTTGAGACCAGCCTGGGCAACATAGCAAGACCCCATCTTTAAAACAAATTAAAAGAAAATTAGCCAAGCACTGTGGCACACACCTGTGGTCCCAGCTACTCGGGAGGCTGAGGCGGGGGGATCACTTGAGCCTGGCGAGTGGAGGTTGTAGTGAGCAGAGAGTGACAAAGAAAGACCCTGTCTCAAAGCAAAAAGACAGAGAGAGGAAGAAAAAATTTAAAACCCAGTCTGGTTCCATAGAATACCAAAAAGAATTGCAAACAAGTGTTCAAACAAAAACTAGTACACACATATTCATAACAGCTTGATTCGCAATTTTCAGAAGCTGGAAACAACCTAACAGTCCGTCAACGGATGGATGAATAAGCAAAAGCGGTCCATGCATGCCGTGGAATATATTCAGCCATAAAAAGGAATGAAGTTCTGGCCGGGTGTGGTGGCTCACGCCTATAATCCCAGCACTTTGGGAGGCCGAGGCAGGCAGATGACTTGAGGTCAGGAGTTTGAGACCAGCCTGGCCAACATGGCGAAACCCTGTCTCTACTAAAAATACTAAAATTAGCCAGGCACGGTGGTGCATGCCTGTAATCCCAGCTACTTGGGAGGCTGAGGCAGGAGAATCGCTTGAACCCGGGAGGCAGAGGTTGCAATGAACCGAAATGGTGCCACTGCACTCCAGCCTGGGTGGAAGAGTGAGACTCTGTCTCAAAAAAAAAAAAAAAAAAAAGAAGAAGTTCTGATCCACACTGCAGTGTGGGTGAACCTTGGGAAGGTTATGCTCAGTGAGAGGAGCCAGACACAAAAGAACAGAGACTATATGATTCCAGTTATTGAAAATGTCTAGAATAGGCAAATTAATCAAGACAGACAGCAGTGTAGAGGCTCAGGAGAGGAAAGCGGGAAGGTATTGCTTCATGGGTACAGAGTTTGGATTGATAAAAATGTTTTGGAAGTAGATGGTGGTGATATTGAACAATATTGTGAATGCACTTTAATGCCATTGAACATTTTTATTTTTATTTTATTTTATTTTATTTTATTTTATTTTATTTATTTATTTATTACTTTTTGGGATAGAGTCTCACTCTGCTGCCCAGGCTGGAGGGCAGTGGCGTGATCTCAGCTCACTGCAACCTCTGTCTCCCGGATTCAAGCGATTCTCCTGCTTCAGCCTCCTGAGTAGCTGGGATTACAGGTGCTCACCACCACGCCTGGCTAATTTTTTTGTATTTTTGGTGGAGGCGGGGCTTCACCATGTTGGCCACCATACCCGGCCCCACTGAATATTTTTAAATGAATAAAGTAATAAAGTTTCTATTATGTGTGTAATTTACCACCATAAAAAATTAATAGTCTGGGCCAGACGCGGTGGCTCAAGCCTGTAATCCCAGCACTTTGGGAAGCCGAGGCGGGCGGATCACCTGAGGTCAGGAGTTCGAGAGCAGCCCAGCCAACATGGTGAAATCCTGTCTCTACTAATAATACAAAAGTTAGCCAGACATGGTGGTGGGCGCCTGTAATCCCAGCTACTCGGGAGGCTGAGGCAGGAGAATCACTTGAATCCGGGAGGCAGAGGTTGCAGTGAGCAGAGATCGCACAATTGGACTCCAGCCTGGGCAACAAGAGCTAAACTGTCTCAAAAAATAAGAAATAAATAAATAATAGTCTGCTTTATTCCCTCAGTGGAATACTATGCAGCTGTATAAGAATTGGGAGTCATTTTGTTGTGTTTTGAGAGAGGATCTCACTCTGTCGCCCAGGCTGGAATGCAGTGGCACAATCGTGGCTCCCTGCAGCCTTGACTTCCTGGGCTCAAGCGCTCCTCTCACCTCCACCTCCTGAGTAGCTGGGACTACAGGTGCACCACCATGCCTGGCTAATTTTTTATTTTTATTTTTAGTAGAGATGGGGGGGTCTCGCTATGTTGTCCAGAGTGGCCTCGAACCCCTGGCCTCAAGTGATCCTCCAGCCTCGGCCTCCCAACGTTCTGGGATGACAGGTGTGAGCCAGTGTGCTCAGCAGAAGTGAGAATCTTCGTGTACTGAAAAGAAATGATCTCGAAGGTGTCTTGTTAAGTCAGGAAGGTGCAGAACAGCTTGTGGGTACACATGCGTGTGTGTGAAAAAAGCAAGTAGGCAAGAAAAATATACACACAAGTGCTTGTGTGTACATACCCTGTCCCTGGAAGGGAGACAGGGGACATGGGATAACAACGGCTACCTCTGGGGATGGTTACTGGGTGATCAGGGCCAGGACAGGGAGGGGAATTTTGCCCCCCATACCTTGAAAGGCAAAAAAAAATGATAGTAAAATCCAGCTCTGGGCCAGTCGTGGTGGCCCACGCCTGTAATCCCAGTACTTTGGGAGGCCAAGGTGGGAGGATCCCCTGAGGTCAGGAGTTCACTACCAGCCTGGCCAACATGATAAAACCCTATCTCGACCAAAAATATAAACAAATTAGCTGGGTGTGGTGGCGCATGCCTGTGATCCCAGCTACTTGGGAGGCTGAGGCAGGAGAATCGCTTGAACCTGGGAGGCAGAGGTTGCAGTGAGCCGAGATCGCACCAATGCACTCCAGCCTGGGTGACAGAGTGAGACTCTGTCTCAAAATAAATAAATAAATAAATAAAATTAAAAAGCCAGCTCTGCCTTGAACAAGCTGTGTGACCTCAGGCAGGTCACTTCACCTCTCTGTGCCTTAGTGTCCTTATCTACAAAGCAAGCATGATGAATACCAGCTCAGAAGGATGAGGATGAGGCTGTACTGCATTAATACTAATAGGGTGCTGGAAGTAGGGTTTGGCATAACACAGGTGCCATCTAAGCATTTCTCTTGAGTTGGGTACTCTTTTCTGCCTTTATCTATCCAAACAAAGAAATGTCTAAAACTCAAGTTTTTGAATGCGGAACGAAGGGTGTATGGAGAGTGTTTAGCTCCTGGTGCCCAGCCCATGTTTGGCATCTGCAGCCTCTGGGCTGGTGAGCTCACCCCTTCTCTTCTCCACTCCTTCCCCGGACCATCCCCAGTAACCCAGCCTCAGAGCAAGTGATGCAACCTGGGGAAACCGAGTCCCTCTGGCCACGGGTGCTCCCACCACACCTTGCCTGCATGGAAGATGGAGGGCCTCCTAGCATTTTGTTCTCAGGGGATGTGGAACGAGGATGGGAAGTGCCTCCCAGTCACCTTAATTAGCATCTCAGAGGAGCTGGTTGCCATGACATCGGGAGGAAGTTGCTGGCCGGGGCGGAGCCTGGCCCAGGTTGCCCCAGGAGGGACCCCATTTCTCTCCACCCACCAGTGGCTGGCCTGGCCAAGTCCCTCAGCTCTGGACTCAGGCTAAGTTGGGTTTCCATCCAAGCTTTACTTCTCACCATCTGAGACTTTTCCTCTTCTGGGAAGTAGAAACTAATTTTAAAAAGTCTTCCTAGGAATATTGGGAGAATTTAATGGGATATAAAATGCCCAGTGCTGGGTTCGGAGACTTAACTATTGTTATTATTTCCTTTGGAGAAAGTGGTTTTAAATATGACCCCCAAACTTTTCTTCTTTCTCTTTCTCTCTCTTTCTTTCTTTCTTTTTTTTTTTTTTGAGACGGAGTCTCGCTCTTTCGCCCAGGCCGGAGTGCAGTGGCGCTATCTCGGCTCACTGCAAGCTCCGCCTCCCGGGTTCACTCCATTCTCCTGCCTCAGCCTCCCAAGTAGCTGGAACTACAGGCGCCCGCCACCACGCCCAGCTAATTTTTTGTATTTTTAGTGGAGACTGAGTTTCACCGTGTTAGCCAGGATGGTCTCGATCTCCTGACCTCGTGATCCGCCCGCCTCCGCCTCCCCAAGTGCTGGGATTACAGGCGTGAGCCACCGCGCCCGGCCTCTTTCTTTCTTTCTTTCCTTCTTTCTTCCTTCCTTTTTTCTTTCTCTTTCTTTCTTTCTTTCTCTCTCTTTCTTTCTTTTCTTTCTTTCTCGCTCTCTCTTTCTTCTTTCTTTATTTCTTCTTTTTTTTCTTGCTCCATCATGCAAGCTGGTGTGCAGTGGTGCGATCTCTGCTCACTGCAACCTCCGCCTCCTGGGTTCAAGTGATTCTCCTGCCTCAGCCTCCTGAGTAACTGGGATTACAGGAGGGCACTACCACGCCCGGCTAATTTTTTTTGTATTTTTTTTAGTAGAGTCGGGGTTTCACCATGTTGGCCAGGCTGGTCTTGAGCTCCTGACCTCAGGTGATCCACCCACCTCGGCCTCCCAAAGTGCTGGGATTACAGGTGTGAGCCACTGCGCCTGGCCCCCAAACCTTTTCTATGCGTAGAAAGATATCCCAAGAACACACTTCACAACGTTAGTAGTGGTTACGTCTAGGGGCTGGCGATATTAATAATAACTGACACATTTCATCCCCCCAATGACTCTGAGATGGGAGTGGTTGTGCCCATTGTATAGATAGGGAAACTGAGGCTCAGAGAGGGGATGCAGCCTGTCGACAGTAACTGGGATTTGAAGCCAGGTGGCCAACTCCCTGACACTCCAGACCACCACAGGACTGTGAATTACTCCTTTCTTTTCTTTTCTTTTTCTTTTTTGTTAATAGAGATGGGGTTTCACTATACTGCCCAGGCTGGGGTGTAGTGGTGCAATCATAGCTCACTGCAGACGCAAACTCCTGGGTTCAAGCGATCTTCTCTCCTCAGCCTCCTGAGTAGCTGAGACTATAGGTGCACAGAACCATGCCTGGAGAATTTTTAAAGTTTTTGTAGATATGAGGTCTCACTACATTGCTCAGGCTGGTCTCAAACTCCTGGCTGCAAGGGATCCTCTCGCCTCGGCATCTCAACAAACTGATATTACAGGCATGAGCCACTATGACTGGTCTGAATGACTCATTTCTAAGTTCATTGGTTGGTGGGGGGGTGGGTCTGGTCCACAAACACTTCCCAACCTGAGGATAAGGAGGCCACCCTCTAAGCAGTATCTGGGGGCCAGCCTATGAAGCAAGCACGTCTATATAACCTCCCCTCTCCACCCCTCCTCTCAAGGGAGGAAGCTGGGGGTGCTGAGGCCCAGAGAGAGGCTCTGCCTTAGGTTATGCAGCAAACCTCTGCAGTGGTCTCTACCTCTCCATCTATCTATCTCTGTCCAGGTCTCCAGGGAGGGTATGAGAAGTAGAAATAAGATGTAGTGATTTAAAAAAAATAAAAGCAAGATTGATGCTGCTGCTAAAGGATCTTCTGATTCAGGAGACATCAGAGAGCAGCATTTTGGGTGCAAGTGGAGGTTGGGTCCTCCAACCTTGCTCCAGGGCCAGATAAGCCCCCCCCGGAGGGACTTTTTTCAGCTGGTGTGAATGTTGTGGGCCCTGAGACTTGGACCCCATAAGAGTCCCTCAGAGAAAGGCTGTGTGGGCAGGAGCTCTGCCCCATTCAAGTACAACCACAGCCTGGGAGAGCAAGGGACAGCCTGACAGGCTCTGGTCCGTTCAACCAACTCAAGTTAGTGATGATGCTGGCGAGGCCATGTGTTGGCAGTAGGGGGAAGGAGGCTCAGGAAGAAACCAAGGAGGCAAACTGGGTAGTACCTTGAGGATCTCAAGGGAATGGCCAGAGGGGCAGGTGGATGTGGCAGCACAAACCTGGAGATAGAACAGAGCATAGGGTGTAGAATGTGTAGACACTGAAGGGATGGGGGGGAGAATGGATGTGTTAGAATTATTGGATGGGTGGATGGATGGAGACATAAATGGTTGGGTGGATGGGTTACAGATGGGTGATGAGTGCTGCCTCCTGGCTTCAGCTGCTATGGGTGGATGATAGATGATAGACGGGAGAACGGATGATGGATGGATGGATGAATGATTGATCAATGAATGGGTAAGTAGGTAGATACATGGATCAGCCAGTGGGTGGATGGGTTATAGATGGATGATAGATCATGGGTGAGCAATGGATGGATGAATGAGTAAGTGGATGAGTGACTGGTGGATGGATTATGGATGGATAATAGATCATGGATGGGTGATGGATGGATGACGGATGGATGGATAGGTAGGTGGATGAGTGGTTGGGTGGGTGGGTTATGGATGGATGATAGATGATAGATGGATGAATGGATGGATGAATGAGGGATAGATGGTTGGATAGATGGGTAGGTGGGTGAATGGTTGGATGGATGGGTTATGGAAGGATGATTGGCGATGTATGGATGAATGAGTAGATAAATGAATGAATGGATGGATGGGTTACGGATGAGTATAGATCATGGATGAGTGATAGATGAATATATGGATGAATGGATGGATTGATTCGTGGTTGGGTGGATGGGTTATGGTTGGATGATAGATGGTGGATAGACGGATGGATGAATGAATGATGGATCAATGAATGGGTAGGTAGGTATACAGATGGATGAAAGCATGGGTGAATGGATGAATGGATTGTTGGATAGATAAATGGGTAGCACTACTAACTGTAATGGCAACAGCCCAGTGATACCAGTTCTGCCTTACCAAGAAGAATATGTACTGAGCACATGACTTCACTAAATCCTCAGACTGACTGAGTGTGGGGTTGGCTGTGGCCCTGATGCTTTCACTCTACACTCGGGGTATCCGAGCTCTGATAACTGAATCCCTTCCTTAAAATCTTGGCGTTGTGGCCAGACACGGTGGCTCACGCCTGTAATCCCAGCACTTTGGGAGGCCGAGGCGGGCGGATCACGAGGTCAGGAGATCGAGACCATCCTGGCTAACACGGTGAAACCCCATCTCTACTAAAAATATGAAAACATTAGCTGGGCGTGGTGGCGGGCGCCTGTAGTCCCAGCTACCTGGGAGGCTGAGGCAGGAGAATGGCGTGAACCTGGGAGGCAGAGCTTGCAGTGAGCCGAGATCGTGCCACTGCACTCCAGCCTGGACAACAGAGCTAGACTCCGTCTCAAAAAAAAAAAAAAATCTCAGTGGTGGGCTCTTCCCAGTACTATTCTAAGATTTCCCTTGTCCAGGTGGCTTCCCAGTGTCCAAATCCAGTGATCACTTCTCAGCACCCATCCTCCTCATGCTCCTAGCAACATCTACCCTGGGTGGTCCCTCCTCCTGGGAGCATCATCTTCACGTGGCCCCCAGCGTCCCCACATTTGCCTGCATTCACCCTCCTCTCTGTTGGACTCTTCTCAGTCTCTCTGCAAGCTTCTCTCTGCAAGCTTCTCTCTTCTGCTCAGCTGCTAAACACAGGGTAGTCCTTGAGCATAGTCTCTGTCTCCTCTTCTCATTCATCCCCATGGACATGAATACATTCTAACACCATGGACTAACACCATGGACACGAATACATTCTAACACCATGGCTAGTAAAAGCTAGCTCTGGGCCAGGCGCGGTGGCCCACGCCTGTAATCCCAGTACCACGGACTGTCAGATTTATGCCTTCAGAAGGCATCTCTTCTGGGAACATCAGAATCTTATATCCAAATGGCCCGTCTGCATCTACATGTAGGTGCCCAAAAGGCAGCTCAAACTTAACAGGCCAAAGCCAAACCTTGGTCATCACCCCTCCCCATCCTGTGGCTCCTACCCCATCCTCTATCATCCATCCATAATATATCTACCCAACCATTCATTCACCCACTCATTCAACCATCCATTCATCCACTCATCCATCCCTCCATACACCCATCCATCCCTCCATACACCCATCCATCATCCATCTATTCATCCACCCATCCCCATCCATCCATTTATCCATCCATTATCTATTATCCATCCATGACCCATTAACCCAACCACTCACCCACCCACCTACCTATATATTCATCCATCCATCCATCCATCCATCCGTCACCCATTTATTCATCTATCCATCCATTCACTCATCCATCCATCACTTATTATCCATAACCGATCCACCCAACCACTCACTCATCCATCCATCCACCCATCCATCCATAATTTATTCATTCATTCATCATCTATATCCATCTATAACACATCAACCCGCTCACTTATCCATCCATCCATAATTCATTCATTCATCATCTATTATCCATCCGTAACACGTCCACCCACCCACTCTTCCATCCATCCATCCATCCATCCATCCATCCATCCTTATTCATCCATTTTCATCCTCCCCAAACTCATACTAATAGGTTGCACCTCTAACATCCAAGGGGCTCAAGTCAGAAACCCTGGAATCAATCTCAAGTCAACTCTTTTCCTCACATTTCACCATCAGTCCTTTAGAAAATCTTGTTGGCTCTGCCTTCAAATCTATTCACAACCTGCCTACTTCTCGCCCCTCTTTTACATCCCCAGGTCCAGCCCCATCATTGCCTGCCTGGACCAGTACAGTTGCTTCTGCCCTGGTCCTCACCTCCCCTGCTCACTAACCCATCAGACCGTTCCCCCCTCAGCAGCCAGAGGGCGCCTGTGAGCACCTGAGTCAGGTCCTGTCCCTCTTCTGCCCACAGCCCTCCATGGCTGTCACCTCCCTCAGAGTCAAAAAGCAAGTCCTCTCTGCGGCCCACAAGGCTCTGTGTGACCTGCCTTGACACCTCCTCCTCCGTCTCTTTCCCTTGCTCACTGTGCTCCAGCCACAGGGTTTTCCTCAATGTTTCTCCAACGCACCAGGTGGGGTCCTGCCTCAGGGCTTCCGCGTGGGCTGTGCCTTCTATCTCCCTCCCCCACCTCCACCTCCTTTGGTCTCTATTGAAATGGCGCTTCTCACAGAGACCTCCCCTGGCCACTTCCCCACATTTATCTCCGTCAGAGTCTGTTCTCCTTTACTGCTTGTTTCCAGCCCACCCCACCCCCCGCCCCTCACCCTTAGCTCTTACCACCATCTGACCCCCTGTATATTTTACTTGTGTGTGTGGTTTTCTTGTTTTTGTTTTTGTTTTTGAGACGGAGTCTCGCTCTGTCGCCCAGGCTGGAGTGCAGTGGCGCCATCTCGGCTCACTGCAAGCTCCGCCTCCCGGGTTCACGCCATTCTCCTGCCTCAGCCTCCCCAGTAGCTGGGACTACAGGCGCCCACCACCACGCCCGGCTAATTGTTCGCATTTTTAGTAGAGACGGGGTTTCACCGCGTTGGCCAGGTTGGTTTCAGTCTCCAGACCCCGTGATCCACCCGCCTCAGCCTCCCCAAGTGCTGGGATTACAAGTGTGAGCCACAGTGCCCGGCCACTTGTGTATTTTTGTCTTTTAGACAGAGTCTCCTCCTGTTGCCCAGGCTGAAGTGCAGTGGTGTCATCATAGCTCACTGCAGCCTCATACTCCTGGGCTCCAGCGATCCTCCCTCCTCAGCCTCCTAAGTACCTGGAACTATAGGCACACCACCATGCCCTGCTAATTTTTTTTTCAGAGATGGGATCTTGCTATGTTGCCCAGGCTGGTCTCAAACTCCTGGGCTCAAGTGATGCTCCTGCATCAGCCTCCCAAAGCATTGAGATCACATGAGTGAGCAGCTGTGCCCCACCTACTTGTGTGGGGGGGTTTTCTTTGTTAACATGTAACATCAGCTCTTCAAAACAGAGATCTTCATTCTGTCAAATTTGCTATTTCCTCTCAGTACCTAGAACAGTGTCTGACTCAGTTAATAGGTGTTGAATAATTAAATATCTAAAGTAAGCCCCAACCCATTCGTTGAGCACCCACTATTGCCAGATGCTGAAAAGCTTGTCCAGAAAAAGAGAAAGTGGCTAAACCCATGCAGAGACCACACCCCAAACCAGTTCAGAAAGGCGGATCACCTCCAAAATGTGGCAACAAGAAAGGAAGTCTGCCGGTTGCAGTGGCTCATGCCTGTAATCCCTGCGCTTTGGGAGGATGACACAGGAGGATCACTTGAGTCCAGGAGTTTGAGACCAGCCTGACCAACATAGCAAGACCCCATCTCTAAAAAAATTTTTAAAAATTAGCTGGGCATGGTGGTGCATACCTGTAATCCCAGCTGCTCGGGAGGCTGAGGTTGGAGGATCACTTGGGCCCAGGAGGTTGAGGCTGGAATGAGCTATGATCATACCACTACACTCCAGCCTAGGTGACAGAGTTAGACTCTGTTTCCAAAAAAAAAATCCCAAAAAACAAAAAAAGGAAGTCCTTTCCGTCTGGGCTTTCCTTGCCTCCTACTCTGAGCCACTAGTTTCTTCAGGCATCCTGAAGCGTGGACTTGCCTCCCGTTTGCTGCACACGGGCCCCCATCCCTGGCTCTGCTCCTTCTCTCACACCCTCAGTTCCCTAGTTTGAGGAAGTTTTTCTTCCGAGAACGTTCACGCAAGCCTTTCGCACCCTGGGCCAGCGACACGTGAGCCTAGAAAAAAGCTTAAAGGTCAATGTCTATAACTGAATTTTCCTCTATATAAAAATAGCATCTTTGTAATCGTTTAAATGGCTCTGAGGGAGGGAGAGAGGGAGCGAGAGAGAGAATGAGGGAGAGGACGAGAGGCACCGAGGGATGCTGTGTCTCCCAGCCAGCAGGTGCATGTGCGAGGGCATTTGTATGGATACGCGTGTGTGTACATGTGTCTATGTTTGTGTGTGCATGCACCTGTGCACATGAGCTCACGTTTGTGTGAATTGTGAGTATGCATATGTGCATTTCATGTGCATGTGCATGCATGTTCAAGTTTTGTGTGTGCATGTGTGCCTGTGTGCATGTGTGCCTGTCATTGTTCACGTGCATCTATGTGCACACATGTCTCTCTGTGTGTATGTCTGCCTACAGGCATGAGTATGTGAGCGTGCATCTGTGTGTGCAGGCATGTTCAATGCATGTGTGCACACATGTCTCTGTGTACACATGTGCCTAAGTGCGAGTGTGTGTATGTATACACATATGAGTCCATGTGTCCATGTTTGGGTGTGCATGTATATTTATGTTTGTGTGAATTGTGTGTGTGCATGCGTTCGTGAATATGCATGTGCGCACATGTGCTTATGTGCATCTGTGTGCATGTGTGGGTTTGCATGTATGTACATGTTTATGTGCTTGTGTGTCTCTTGTGTGTGCAGGTCTGCCTACATGCATGAGTGTGTGAGTGTGTATCTGTGTGTGCAGGCATGTTCAATGCATTGTGCACACATGTCTGTGAGCACATGTGCCTAAGTGCAAGCATATGCATGTATACACATGTGTGTCCATGTGTCCGTGCTTGTGTGTGCATGTATGTTCATGTTTGTGTGAATTGTGTGTGCATGCATTTGTGAATATGCATATGTGTGCATGTGTGCACATGTGCTTGTGTGCATGTGTGTGCCAGTTTGCATGTATGTGCATGTTCCTGTGCACATGCGTTCACATGTAATGATGTGCACATATGTCTCATGCGTGCATGTGTGTGCATGTATGTTCATATGAATGTGTGCACTCATGAGCATGTGCCACATGTCTCTGTGTGCATGTGTGCATGTATGCCTACCTGCATGTAGGCACCCGTGTTTGTGCATGAGTGTGTGCACAGGTTTGTTTTGTACACACTGTCTGGGACCTGCCTTAAGCTTCAGGTGTCCATTCCCCATTCCACCAGAGTGGCTGCCTACACTTGGAAAATGAACAGGATCTGGTCTCAAGCCTTCCTGAGCTCCAACCAGCCCTGCCTGAGCGACCTTGGGTGTATCATCTGTCCTGCTGAGCCTCACATTTTCCCCACGTAAACTGGCGTGTGGGGTGAGCACAGCCACAGAGAGCTCCTCTGGCTGAGTGCCGAGTCTGTGAGGAACCGGAGCTGGGGGTTCAGCTGCAGTTGGAGCTCGACCTGGATGAATGGATGGCACATGGAGGATGCTGGTGAGTGACCCAAGGAGGGGTGAGTGAGGTGGGTGTGGGCTTCTTCTCTGGGCCTCGGTTTCCCCTCCTTACCCTGGAGAGTTGGACTCAAGCCTCTCTTGATCCTTCTAGTGAAAAGATCCCACACTTGGCTGTATCGGGGTTCCTCCTTCTGTCCCGCATTCTCAAATCCCCCCACCTCATTCTTGAGTGTGGCCTGGGAGTGAATTGGAAAGGCTCTCTCTGGGCCTCAGTTTCCCCAGCCATAATAGAGAAAAGTCACTTAGATGGGTCCAGAGGACCATACCCCTCTAACATTCAGGAATGTCCTCATGGAAATACATTTCCTCCCTACTAACTTTCAACAGAGGAAAGTTTATCGTCATCTGACCTTGCCTTTTTGTTTCTGTTTTTGTTTTTTTGAGACAGGGTGTCACTCTGTTGCCCAGGCTGGAGTGCAGTGATGAGATCTGAGCCCATTGCAACCTCTGCCTCCTGGGTTAAGCGATCCTCCCACCTTTGCCTCCCAAGCAGCTGGATTACAGGCATGCACCACTACACTCATCTAATATTTGTATTTTTAGTACAGATGGGATTTCAGCATGTTGGTCAGGCAGGTCTTGAACTCCTGACCTCAAAGTGATCCACCCCCCTTTGCCTCCCAAAGTGCTGGGATTACAGGTGTGAGCCACTGTGCCTGACTGGAGTGCTTTTCTCCCAAGAGATCCACTTGAGTCCTCCCTTCTCCTCTTCAAATCTTTGCTCAAATGTCACCTCCTCAGAGAAGCCCTCCCTGACTACCCCAGCTAAAGAAACCATGTCTCCACCACTGTCTACACCCTCACCCTACATTATTTTTCTTCATAGCCCTTTCAAAACCATTCATTATCTTGTACCTCGATGAGTGACCATGCCTCATCAACTCGAAGGCAGCCATTTTTGCCTGTCTTTCTGTTGCAAATTCCAAAGCCTAGAACAGAACTTGGCACACAGTAGGTGCTCAAGAATACTTGTTGAATGAATGAATGAATGAACGAATAATGGAAGGTAGGAGGCTATGACTGCCCATTCACAGATATGGACACAGTGGTTCAGGAAACGAACGTCACTCAGTCCAAGTCCCACAATGGTCAGTGGCAAAAGTAGGGTTCAAGCCCAGCTGGCTCGTCCCTCCTGTTCTTCCTCCCACTCATGCCCCAGGTCTGAGGGGCTGCCCAGCTGCTGCTAGCAACCTGGCTTCGACCTCCAACCATTGATCCACCAGAGGCTGCTCTGTGGGATGCACTTCCTGATTTAGCTAAAACACCCTGCGCTGGCTACAGCGGGGTGATCGATGGCCCTACAGTCAGCTCAGGCACCCCCAACGCAGACACATACATTTGAGGCCTCTCTCTAGCCCTTGCCCCTGCAATCCCAGGCTGAGGTGGTCCTGCTGGCGGGAAGTGGATGGAGCACATGTCGTGTGGTTCTAGATGGCGGTGGCCACATCTCCTGGGCACCTGTATTCTACCAAGAGGAAGGGGAAAAGTTACTGCGGTCAAGGAAATGGAAAATCAAAACCAGAACAAGATCTTGCTTCACATTGATCAGATTGGGTAAATGAGGGGGAAAATGGATGAGATTAACTATTGATGAGGGTGAGGGAGATGGGACTCATGGACAGCTAGTGAGCCAAGGAATGGTGGGCAGCTTCGCAGCATCAAATAAAACTGCGTTGCAGCAACTCTACCCAGATCTCTAACCCAGAGAAGATCTACATGCGTGTGCAAAGACGCCTGTTTGCTAATGTGCTCTACGGAGTCATGGTGGATAAACTATAGAAGGTGCATCTTATGGAAACATATGCAGCTGTTAAAAAGAAAGAGGGCCCTTGCGTGGAGGCTCATGCCTTGTAATCCCAGTGCTTCAGGAGGCTGAGGTGAGAGGAAGGGTTAAGGCCAGGAGTTTGAGACCAGCCTAGGCAACATAGTGAGACTCCATCTCTGCTGGAAAAAAAAACAAAAAACAAAACTTTAAAAATTAGCCAGGCATGGTGGTGTGCACCTGTAGTCCCAGCTACTTGGGAGGCTGATGCATGAGGATTGCTTGAGCCTAGGAGTTGAAAGTTACAGTGAGCTATGATTGCACCACTGTACTCCAGCCTGAGTGACAGAGTGGGACCCTGTCTGAAAACAGAAGAACAAGAGGAAGAGGAAGAAAAAGAAGAAAGAGAAGGAGAAGGAGAGGGAGAGGGAGAGGGAGAAGGAGAGGAAGAGGAAGAAGAAGGAGAAGGAGAGGGAGAGGGAAAAGGAGAAGGAGAGGAAGAGGAAGGAGAAGGAGAAGAAGAAGGAGAGGGAGGAGGAGGAGCAGAGAAGAAGGAGAGGAAGAAGAAGAAGAAGAAGGAGGAGGAGGAGGAGGAGGAAGAAGAAGAAGGCTGATCCATGTATCCTGTCCTGGCAAGGGCTTTTTAGAGACAAGTACCAGAGGTCACCTAGGCTGGAATGCATTGGCGTGATCTTGGCTCACGACAGCCTCAAACTCCTGGACTCAAGTGATCCTCCCACCTCAGCCTCATAAGTAGCTGGAACTACCAGTGAACACCACCAGGCCTGGCTAATTTTTTTTTTTTTTTTTTTTTGACAGAGTCTTGCTCTGTCGCCCAGGTTGGAGTGCAGTGGTAGTAGCTGGGACTACAGGTGCGTGCCACCATGCCCGGCTAATTTTTTGCATTTTTAGTAGAAATAGGGTTTCACCATGTTAGCCAGGATGGTCTCAATCTCCTGACCTCGTGATATGCCTGCCTCGGCCTCCCAAAGTGCTGGGATTACAGGCGTGAGCCACCACGCCCAGCTCGGGCCTGGCTAATTTTTTATAGGGACAAGGTCTTACTATGTTGCCCAGGCTGATCTCGAACTCCTGGGCCCAAGCAATCCTCCCACCTCGGCCTCCCAAAATGTTGGGATGTCAGGCAAGAGTCACTGCACCTGGGCAGAATCACCAGTTCTTTGATGCCCATGTCTGCACTCCTACTCTCTCTGTCCTCATTTGTTCATTTATTCACTCAACAACCGTTGTGTGCATGGCCCCGTTCTAGACACTGAAGACTCAGCAGAGATCAAGAGAGACAATATTTCCTGTACTTCTGGAACTCATGGAAGCTGGAGAGAGACAGAATTTGCAAGTAAGCAAAATAAATCGATCATTTCATTGTTGTTGTTGTTGTTGAGATGGAATCTCACTCTGTCGCCCAGGCTAGAGGGCAGTGGCGCAGTCTTGGTTCACTGCAACCTCCACCTTCCAGGTTCAAGCGATTCTCCTGCCTCAGCCTCCTGAGTAGCTGGGACTACAGGCGTGCACAACTACGCCCAGCTAATTTTTGTGTTTTTAGTAGAGATGGGGTTTCACCACATTGGCCAGGCTGGTCTTGAACTCCTGATCTCAAGTGATTCGCCCACCTTGGCCTCCCAAAGTACTGGGATTACAGGCATGAGCCACTGCACCCCGCCAAAAATGATCATTTCAGACAGTGATAACTGATGAACAGAAGTGAAACTGGGTGAGGTGGAAAAAAGTGATAGGTTGGAGGGATGCAGTTTTAGCTGGGGTGGTCCGGGAGGGCCTGTCTGAGGAGGTGACATTTGAGATGAGACCTGAATGATCAGAAGGAGCCAGCTGTGAGAACATGTGGAGGAAGGGTGTTCCAAGTAGAGGGAACAGTCTGTGCAAAGGCCCTGAGGCAGGACAGTGCCTGGGGCATTGGAGGAACAGTGAAGAGGCCTGTGTGGCTGGAGCAGAGTGAGGAAGGGGAGAGAGGGAGAAGGGGAGGGCAGGGAAGGGGCAGGAGGACAGGTCATGCAGGGCCTTGTGGGTTGCAAAAAGGACTTGGGGCCGGGCACGGTGGTTCACGCCTGTAATTCTAGTACCTTGGGAGGCCAAGGTGGGTGGATCTCTTGAGATCAGGAGTTCAAGATCAGCCTGACCAACATGGTGAAACTCTGTCTCTACTAAAAATACAAAAATGAGCCAGGTGTGGTGGCAGGCACCTATAGTCCCAGCTACTCCTGAGGCTGAGGCAGGAGAATCGCTTGAACCCAGGAGGCGGAGGTTGCAGTGAGCCGAGACTGTACCACTGCACTCCAGCCTGGGTGACAGAGCGAGACTCCATGTCAAAAAAAAAAAAAAAGGGACTTGGGCTTTGACCCTGAGGAAGGTGGGAACCATGGGGGGCTGCGGGCAGAGGAGGGACAGGCCCTGACTCAGGTGCTCACAGGCACCCTCTGGTGGCTGCAATGGGGAGGACAGACTGCGGCAGGTAAGGGTAGGAGCCGGGGAATCAGGACTGAGGCAACTGCACGAGTCCAGGTGGGCAGTGATGGGGGCTGGACCTGGTGGAGACCACAGAAGGAGGAAGAGGATGAGGTTATACACATTCCACCTCACCTCCCTCCACCATGAGTGGCTCACCTGCAGGGCAGTGGCATGTCCCCAGCACCACCAGCACCACAAGCTCATGAATCCCCAGAGTCACTGCAGCTGCAAAACTCTTAGCTAGGAGTGCCCTCAGAGGCCCAGAGATGTCCAGTGTCACCCGCAGGTCGCCCGATGAACTGGATGCAGAGCCAGAACTTGTGCCCTTGGTGCCACCTCCCCTCTGGCTCAGCTGTGCTCTGCCATCTCTTCCAGGGACAAAGATTAGGAGTTTGTTTACTGATACTATTTTTATTGATCTTTTTTTAAAACAAGTGCTCAGCAAAAAAGATGCACTTAGCCAAACTGCTCCTATGATATCTGTGGGAATTCCTCTAAGCTGTCCCAGGCGTGGGGACTATTGGGTGGCAAAAGCACAGAACTTGATCTCTTCAGATTTCTTTTTAATTTATTATTATTATTATTATTATTATTATTTTTGAGACGGAGTTTTGCTCTTGTTGCCCAGGCTGGAGTGCGGTGGTGCCATCTCAGCTCACTGCAACCTCCAGCTCCTGGGTTCAAGCGATTCTCCTGCCTCAGCCTCCCGAGTAGCTGGGGTTACAGGAGCCCATCACCACTCCCAGGTAATTTTTTGTATTTTTAGTAGTGATGGGGTTTCATCATGTTGGCCAGACTGGTCTCTAACTCCTGACCTCAGGTGATCCACCCGCCTCGGCCTCCCAAAGTGCTGGGATTATAGGCGTGAACCACTGTGCGTGGCCCAGGTATTTTTTAAATTTTATTTTAAGTTCCAGGATATATGTGCAGGTTTGTTACATAGGTAAATGTGTGCCATGGTGGTTTGCTGCACCTATCAACCCATCATCTAGGTATTAAGCCCTGCATGCATTAACTATTTATCCTGATGCTCTCCCTCCCCCGATTCCCCCAACAGGCCTCAGGGTGTGTTGCTCCCCTCCCTGTGTCCATGTGTTCTCATTTTTCAGCTTCCACTTATAAGTGAGAACATGCAGTGTTTGGTTTTCTGTTCCGGTGTTAGTTTGCTGAGGATGATGGCTTCCAGCTCCATCTATGTCCCTGCAAAGGACATGATCTCGTTCCTTTTTATGGCTGCATAGTATTCCATGGTGTATGTGTACCACATTTTCTTTATCCAGTCTATCATTGATGGGCATTTGGGTTGATTCCATGTCTTTGCTATTGTGAATAGTGCTGCAAAGAATGTACACATGCATGTATCCTTATAATAGAATGATTTATATTCCTTTGGGTATATACCCAGTAATAGGATTGCTTGGTCAAATAGTATTTCCGATTCCAGATCCTTGAGGAATTGCCACACTGTCTTCCTCAATGGTTGAACGAATTTACATTCCTGCCAACAATGTGAAAGCGTTCCTATTTCTCCACAGCATCACCAGCATCTGTTGTTTCTTGACTTTTTAATAATCACTATTCTGACTGGCGTGAGATGGTATCTCATTGTGTGTGTGTTTTTTTGTTTGTTTGTTTTAGACGGAGTCTCACTCTGTCACCAGGCCAGAGTGCAGTGGTACGATCTCGGCTCACTGCAACCTCCAACTGGTTTTGATCTCCTGACCTCGTGATCCACCCGCCTCGGCCTCCCAAAGTGCTGGGATTACAGGCGTGAGCCACCGCACCTGGCCTCGCATTGTGGTTTTGATTAGATCTCTCCAGATTTTGTTTCCAGCTGTCATATAGGGTGATCAGCTCATCCAGGTTTGCCCAGGACTTTCCTGTTTTTAGCACCAAAATTCCCTCATCCTAGAGAACTCAGCTGCAAACCGATGGTTGGTTATGTTACGATCACAAGGAAACCATGTGAGATACTGAGTAGGTGGGATGGGGGTTCCTCAGATAGAGTTGGTAACAGTTTGTCCCTCATCCGGTTATGCAAAGAGTCATCGTGATAATGCATGTCCTGGTATATAGTAAGCAATTAATAAATGCTGGCTTTTGGAGGTTGAGGCTGCAGTGAGCTATGATTTTGTCACTGTGCTCCAGCCTGGGTGACACAGGGAGACCCCATCTCTTAAAAAGATTTTTTTTATTTAAAAAAATGGTGGCTCTTGCAAGGCAGGTGAGATGTTGAGGGCTTGTCATAAGGGCACCTATTTGTCGGAGGGAGTGTTTCAAGCCCCTTCTAAAAAGCAAAAAGTAGGCTGGGTGCAGTGGCTCATGCCTGTAATCCCAGTACTTTGGGAGGCCAAGGGGCAGAACATTTGAGCCCAGGAGTTCGACTCCAGCCTAAGCAACATGGTGAAACCCTGTCTCTACCAAAAATACAAAAATTAGTCAGGCATGGTGGCGCATGCCTGTAATCCCAGCTACTTGGGAGGCTGAGGCAGGAGGATTGCTTGGACCCAGAAGGCGGAGGTTGCAGCGAGCCGAGATCGCACCAGTGGGCTGCAGCCTGGGTGACAGAGCGAGACCCGGTCTAAAAAATAAAAATAAAAAATAAAAGCAAAAAGTGACCTTGGACAGTCCAGCTCAGGATAGAGGAATGACACTCACGCTAAGACCCAGTGTGTTTTCCTAATGTAATATGCAAGTCCTCTCTCGCTCTATAACATTCCATAGCTCCCACTGCCCTCTAGAGTAAATCCACCCCTCTCCCTTACAGACCCCAATAACCTGTGTGACTTTGTCCTACAACTCCTGAATTACCCTTAGCACCCACCCATATTCCCACCTCCAGACCTTTGAATGCAGTTTTCTCTACTGAGATACCCTTCCCTGCTTACCTGGAGGACTCATACAGAGCCCAAAAGCAGCCCTTTCCCTCCAGAAGTTGCTCCCACCAATAAACAACTATTCCTGGAGCACCTACTTCAGGGATCAGCAAACAACGGCCCTGTGGGCCAAATCTGTCCCCCTACTTGTTTTTGTAAATAAAGTTTTATTGGCACACAGCCATGTCCATTCATTAACCTGTTGTCTATGGCTGCTTTCTTGCTAATATGGCAGAGTTGAATAGTTGGGATGGAAACCATATGGCCTGCAAAATAAAAAATATTTACAGCCAGGTGCAGTAGCTCACACCTGTAATCCCAACAGTTTGGGAGGTTCGGGTGGGGGGATTGCTTGAGCCCGAGTTCAAGACCAACCTGGGCAACATAAAAAGACCCCATCTCTACAAATAATAGTAATAATAATAATAATAAATTAGCCCAGCATGTTGGCATGCATCTGTAGTCCAGCTACCCTGGAGGCTGACGTGGGGGGATAGCTTCAGCCTGAGAGGTTGAGATGACAGTGAGTCATGATCACTCCACTCCACCCCAGCCTGGGCGACAGTGAGATCCTGTCTCAAAAAAAAATTTTTTTTAAACAATCTGGCCCTTTTCAGAAAAAATTTACTGACCTCTGACCTACTAGGTACCTGGCCCTGTGCTCAGGACATCCAGGACACAATGGTGAAGGAGACAGACACAGCTCTGTATTCACAGGACTCATGGTTTAGTGGGGAAGACAGATGAAAAATAAAATTCATAGCTAGCCCACGAAATCAGATGAACGTGAAGTATGGCTACTTTATTTTATTTATTTATTTATTTATTTATTTATTTATTTATTTTTTGAGACAGACTATTGCTCTTGTTGCCTAGGCTGGAGTACAATGGCACGATCTCAGCTCACTGCAACCTCTGCCTCCTGGGTTCAAGCAATTCTTCTGCCTCAGCCTCCAAGTAGCTGGGATTACAGGCACCCGCCACCACTCCCGGCCAATTTTTTTTTGTATTTTAATAGAGACGGGGTTTCACCATGCTGGCCAGGCTGGTCTCGAACTCCTGACCTCAGGTGATCCACCTGCCTCAGCCTCCCAAAGTGATGGGATTACAGGCATGAGCCACCGCACCCAGCCAGCCACTTTATTTTCTATAATTTAACTTAATTTCAGATTCCGAGACCTTCATCCTTCCAGTATCTGTTTCTCTCAGGAGTTCACTAACTGAGACAGAGAGTAGAACATTGGTGACTGGAGACTGGGGGAGGGGGCGGAGAGTGTTTCATGGGGACAGAGTTTCAGTTTGGGAATATGAGAAAGTTTAGGAGATGGGTGGTGGTGATGGTTACACGACAATCTGAATGTGCTTAACACCACTGGGTGGCATGCTGAAAGATGGGTAAAGTGGCAAATCTCATTTTATGTATATTTTACCACAATAAAAGAAAAAAGACCTGGGGGGAAGAAACAAGTGACCAACTGAGAGATTATTGCCAAAACCATAACAAAGGATGTGAATATATAAAGAGCTCTTACAAATCAACAAGAAAAAATTAAAAATGGGCAAAGCACATGAACAGGCAATTCTTTTTTTTTTTTTTTTTTTTTGAGACGGAGTCTCGCTCTGTCACCCAGGCTGGAGTGCAGTGGTGTGATCTTGGCTTACTGCAACCTCTGCCTCCCAGGTTCACGCCATTCTCCTGCCTCAGCCTCCCGAGTAGCTGGGACTACAGGCGCCCGCCACCACACTCAGCTATTTTTTTGTATTTTTAGCACAGACGAGGTTTCACTGTGTTAGCCAGAATGGTCTTGATCTCCTGACCTCGTGATCCACCCACCTCGGCCTCCCAAAGTGCTGGGATGACAGGCGTGAGCCACCACACCCGGCCACAGTGAGATACTTTTAAAATGCATTAGACTGGGAAAAAAATCAGTTTGCCCATAGGCAGTGTTGAGAAGTCATGAGATGTGGATTCAATGTGGATGCTGAACAAACATCTTGCCTGTATTGATTCCCAAACTGAACATCTTCCCTAGGCTTCTCTGTTTGAGTAAATGGCACCCATTGTCTAAGCTCAAAACCTGGAGTTGTCTGTGCATCCTTCCTCTGCCTCCACTGCCAAAATATATTCTAGCCCCCTTCCTCTCTCTTTCCTCACTGCTACTGCACAGGTCCAAGCCTTCATCATTTGTCATCCATCCTAGTCTCCTATTCCACTTCTGCCCACTATGATCTATTTTCCCCATGGCCATCCTCAGTTCAAACCCTGCAATAGCTCCTGCTGTTAGCACAAAAGTATCCATTTCTTGCCACAGGCAAGATCCTTCAGGATCTACTTCATTCCCTCCATGTTAGCCTCCCGCTTCCCACTTTCCCCACCTGTCCTCTCCTCTCCAGCACTCAGATTTCCTCACTGCACTCTTATTATAATTATTATTAAGGTTTGTTTATTTAGTTATTATACTGGTAAAATGTACATAACATAAAATTTACCATTTTCACCACTTTTAACTATATCATTCAATGGAGTTAAGTACACTCACAATGTTGTGTAGCCATCACCACTATTTCCAGAACTTATCATCATTCCAAGCAGAAACTCTGTACCTGTTTAGCAATAACTCTCCATTCTCTTTTCCCCTCAACCTCGAGTAACTTCTCTTCTATTTTCTGTTTCTATGACTTTCTGTTGCTATGACTTTTTTTTTTTGAAGCAGAGTCTTGCTCTGTCACCCAGGCTGGAGTGCAGTGGCACGATCTCAGCTCACTGCAAGCTCTGCCTCCTGGGTTAACGCCATTTTTCTGCCTCAGCCTCCTGAGTAGCTGGGACTACAGGCGCCGCCACCACACCCGGCTATTTTTTTGTATTTTTAGTAGAGACGGGATTTCACCATGTTAGCCAGGATGGTCTCGATCTCCTGACCTTGTGATCTGCCCACCTCAGGCTCCCAAAGTGCTGGGATTACAGGCGTGAGCCACCGCTAATTACTCCAGGTACATCTTATAAATAGAATCATACAATATTTGTCCTTTTGTGTCTAGTTTCTCTCCCTTCCTTTCCTTCCTTCCTTCCTTCTTTCCCTCCCTCCTCCTCCTCCTTCTTCTTTTTCCTCCTCCTCCTTCTTCTTCCCCTCCTCCTCTTCTTCTTCTTCCTCTGTTTCTGTCTCTTTCTCTCTTTCTTCGTTTCCTTTCCTTTGTTTCTCTCTCTCTCTCTTTTCCTTCTTTTTTACTTGAGATGGGGTCTCACTCTGTCACCCAGGCTAGAGTGCAGTGGCATGATCATAGCTCACTGCAGCCAGCCTCCCAAGTAGCTGGGACTACAGGTGTGCACCACCACACCCAGCTAATGTTTTAATTTTTTGTAGAGATGGGGTTTTGCCATGTTGCCCAGGCTGGTGTTGAACTCCTGCGCTTAAATGATCCTCCCACCTTGGCTTCCCAAAGTGCTGGGATTACAGGCAGTAGCCACTGTGCCAGGCTAGCTTATTTTACTTAGCATGATATCCTCGAGGTTTGCCCATGTGTGGCATGTGTCAGAATCCCCTTCTATTTTAAGGCTGAATAATATCCCATTGTATGGATGGACCACATTGTGTTTATTCATTCACCCATCCATGAACATGGGCTGCTTCCACCTTTTGGCTGTTGGGAATCATGTTCGTATGAACATGGGTGTGCGAGTGTCTGTTAGAGTCTCTCTTTTTAGCCGGGTGCGGTGGCTCATGCCTGTAATCCCAGCACTCTGGGAGGCCAAGGCAGGCAGATCACGAGGTCAAGAGATCGAGACCATCCTGGCCAACATGGTGAAACCCCTTCTCTACTAAAAATACAAAAAATTAGTTGGGAGTGGTGGCAGGTGCCTGTAGTCCCAGCTACTCGGGAGGCTGAGGCAGGAGGATCGATTGAACCCAGGAGGCAGAGATTGCAGTGAGCCAAGATCAAGATCATGCCACTGCACGCCAGCCTGGCGACAAAGCAAGGCTCTGTCTCAAAAAAAAAAAAAAAAAACAGTCTCTCTTTTCATTGCTTTAGGGCACAAATCCTCAGGGTTTTTTTGTTGTTTGTTTGTTTTTTGAGATGAAGTTCCACTCTGTTGGCCAGGCTGGAGTGCAATGGCGTGATCTCTACCCACTGCAACCTCCACCTCTTCGGTTCAAGCAACTCTCCTTTCTCAGCCTCCTGTGTAGCTGGGACTACAGGCGCACACCACCACACCTGGCTAGTTTTTTTTTTTTTGTAATTTCAGTAGAGATGAGGTTTCACCATATTGGCCAGGCTGGTCTCGAACTCCTGACCTCAGATGATCTACCCACCTCGGCCTCCCAAAGTGCTGGAATTACAGACGTGAGTCTCCACACCTGGCCCCTCACTGTCCTTTGAACATACCAGGCATGGCCCCTGCCGCAGGGCCTTTGCTCTGGCTGTGCCCTCTGTCTGGAATGCTCTCTTCCAGATCTTTCCATAGATGGCTCCTTCTTATCTAACCGTGGTACCATCATGCTGACCCAGCCATCGCTCTCCACCAAGATACTGGACTCCTGCCACCGTGGACAGGACACATCATCACCTCCCTACCCAGAGAAATTTCACACTAGCCTGGCTGGGACAACCTCTATCATTCCAAGCCCCTCTGCATGCCCTTGAATCCTGCCTTTGGACCTGCTTCAGATGCCAGACACAGCCAAGGGGAAATCATAAGGAACACATCAATCAGGGTGGATGACAATTGACAATAACAAAAACAATAATTACACTAATGTCAACAGCAGTTATAAAACAAGGCGGTGGGACGGGCGTGGTGGCTCACGCCTGTAATCCCAGCATTATGAGAGGCTGAGGCGGGCGGATCACAAGGTCAGGAGTTTGACCTTGTGTCAGGCCTGGCCAACATGGTGAGATCCCGTCTCTACTAAAAATACAAAAAATTACCTGGGCATGGTGGCGGGCACCTGTAATCCCAGCTACTTGGGAGGCTGAGGCAAGAGAATCACTTGAACCCAGGAGAAGGAGGTTGCAGAGAGCTGAGATTGTGCCACCGCACTCCAGCGTGATAGACAGAGCCAGACTCCGTTTCAAAAAAAAAAAAAAAAAACACAAAACACAAGGCCGTGCACAGTGGCTCATGCTATAATCCCAGCACTTTGGGAGGCCAAGGTGGAGAGATCCCTTGAGCTCAAGAGTTCAAGACCAGCCTGGGCAACATGGTGAAACCCTATCTCCACAAAAAACAGAAAAAGTAGCTGAGTATGGCGGTGCACTCCTGTAATCCCAGATACTCAGGACGCTGAGGCGGGAGGATTGCTTGAGTCTGGAGGCAGAGGTTGCAGTGAGCGAAGATCATGCCATTGCACTCTAACCTGGGTGTCAGACCAAGACTCCATCAAAAAAAAGAAGAAAGAAAGAGAGAGAAAGAAAGGCAGGCAGGAAGGAAGGAAGGAAGGAAGGAAACAGACCAGGCGCGGTGGCTCATGCCTGTAATCCCAGCACTCTGGGAGGCCAAGGTGGGTTGATCACCTGAGGCCAGGAGTTCGAGACCAGCCTGACCAATGTGGAGAAACCCCATCTCTACTAAAAATACAAAACTAGCCGGGCGTGGTGGCACATGCCTGTAATCCCAGCTACTAGGGAGGCTGAGGCAGGAGAATCGCTTGAACCTGGGAGGCGGAGGTTGTGGTGAGCCAAGATCGCACCATTGCACTCCAACCTAGGCAGCAAGAGTGAAACTCCATCTCAAAAAAAAAGAAAGAAAAAAAAAAACAATTATAAAATAGCCACCGTGCATCACCTTTCTACCTTGTGCTGAGCATGGTGCTAGGTGCCTTATGTGTGACATCTTATTGAATCTGGAGAGATGAGGATTATCGGTGCACCATTTACAAATGAGGAAACTGAGGCTCAGCCAGAGGAAAGCACCTGCCTAAACTGGCAATACCAGGACTCGAACCCAGGTCAGTCTGCTGCATACCTACCAGGCAAGTGCTCCTAGCTCAAGTCCCCAGGGAATACAATTAAGCACAAATCCACATAGGGTGGGTTGTAAAGGCTGGAATGGGGCAGGTGCGTCCCACTGGCTTCCTGTGATTTGTCCACAGCAGCAAGTAATTAGTTTTTTTTGTTTTTCTTTTTACTTTTTTTTGAGACTGGGTCACCCAGGCTGGAGTGCAATGGTGTGATCTTGGCTCACTGCAACCTCCGCCTCCCAGGTTCAAGCGATTCTCCTGCCTCAGCCTCCCAAGTAGCTGAGACTACAGGCGCCCACCACCACGCCCAGCTAATTTTTGTATTTTTTAGTAGAGATGAGGTTTCACCGTGTTGGCCAGGCTGGTCTTGAACTCCTGACCTCAGGTGATCAGCCCGCTCAGCCTCCCAAATGCTGGGATTACAGGCGTGAGCCACTGAGCCCGGCCTAATTAGCTTCTTATTCCATCTCCTCCTTGGTTTCCATATCCGCCATGCAGGCGCCACACACATCCCCATTTTACAGATGAGAAGAATGAGGTTCAGCACGGAGAAATCTCTCGTTTGAGGTCTCCTAGGAGGATTCATGTCCGGACAGCCAAACTCTAGTCCCCAAGGCGGCACCACCTGGCCCTGTGCCTGGCTGCTCGGTGGCATTTTGCTTTATTATTTCCCAGGCGCCCTGTTAATCGTCCGCACCAAGCGATTAGCACGTCATTTATATATGGCCTGGTGTCTAATTGTCCAGACCGTGGAGCTGGTGGCTCAAAACCTCCCTTCCTAATTGTCTTCCCTGCACAATTAGTACCTTGTTATATACAGCTCTGTGGTCGTCTGCACTTCTGCAGTCTACCGGCCTCGCTTCTAATTGTCCAGGCTCTGTAATTAATGCCTCAGGATAGGGCTTCCTTTCTTCTCTATGCAGTTACAGCCATACTTATTCCTGCAGTAGGGCTGGGGAAGTGTCCAAGGGAGGAAAATGCAGCCCCTGACTCCAGGGAGGTCATTGTCAAGTGCGGAAGATGACAGGCCAAAAACACATGATGCCTGGGAGCTACAAATCCTGGTTGTAGAGTGGGGCACTGACCAAAGGTGCCCTCTGCTGGGAGAGAGGTAATGGAAGCTGGGCTTTGCAGGATGTATAGGAGTTTGTGAGGTGGAAAAGCATTCCAAGAAAAGGGAACAGCATATGCAAAGGTTCAGATGTTGGAAAGAGCTAAGTGTTTGAGTGGGTAAAACACAGTAATAAAGTCTGGCTGGAGTGTAGAACTGTAACAGGGGTAAATTTAGGGAGAAAGAAGGCATAGAAAGGGCTTTGAACACTACATTGAGGGGCTCTGATCTTATCTTCTGGGAATCTATGATGGGATTTAAGCAGGAAGAGAGACTTGATCATGGAAAATTTTTTTAAAAAGAAACAATCAGGCCGGGCACAGGGGCTCAAGCCTGTAATCCCAGTACTTTGGGAGGCTGAGATGGGCAGATTGCTTGAGCCCAGGAGTTTTGACACCAGCCTGAACAACATGGTGAAATCTTGTCTCTACAAAAAATAGAAAAATTAGCCAGGTGTGGTGGTGTACGTACACCTGTGGTCCCACCTACTCAGGAGGCTGAGGTGGGAGGATCGCTTGAGCCTGGGAGGCGGAGGTTACAGTGACCTGTGATCTTGCCACTTTTTGAAACCCTGTCTCAAAAAAGAAAGAAAAAGAAAGAAAGAAGGAAAGGAAAGGAAAGGAAGAAGGAAGGAAGGAAGGAAGGAAAGAAGGAAAGAAGGAAAAGAAAAGAAAGAAGAAAGAAAGAAAGAAGGAAGGAAGAAAGAAAGAAGAAAGAAAGAAAGAAGGAAGGAAGAAAAAAAGAAGAAAGAAAGAAAGAGAAAAGAAAAGAAAGAAAGAAAAATTAGCTAGGCGTGGTGGCACACACCTGTAGCCCCAGCTACTCTGGAGGCTGAGGTGGGTGGATCACCTGAGCCTGGGGTGGTTGAGACTGAAGTGAGCCGTGATTGCACCACTGCACTACAGCCTAGGTGACAGAGTGAGACCCTGTCTTGGAAAAGGAAGGGAAGGGGAGGGGAGGCGAGGGGAGGGGAGGGGAAGCGAGGGGAGGGGAGGGGAGGCGAGGGGAGGGGAGGGGAGGGGAGATGGGGAGGGGAGGGGAGTCGGGGAGGGGAGGGGAATCGGGCAGGGGAGGGGAGGCAAGGGGAGGGGAGGGGAAGGGAGGGGAAGGGAGGGAAGGGAAGGGAAAAGAGAAAGGACAAGGGCTCACCCTGGTTGCTGTAGGAAGGGTAAATTGGAAGAGGAGAGAACAGAGGCCATGAGACCAGGGAGGAGGTGATCCCTGTTGTCTAGAGCTGAATGTAAAGTGGACTGAAGGGATCAGAGGCCATGAAAATGGAAAGGAGCGGATGGATGATAGGAATGGGCAGAATGTGGGTACTGACCATTGATGGGTGACAATGAGGGAGGAGAGGCAGCTCACGCCCAGGTCTTTGAGCAAATGAGCCTCATTCTAGCAAATGTTGTCTTCTGATTTGGAGCACAGAAACCAGCTCAGGTTTAGGGTCACAGGTGTGAGAGCCATCCCTAAAACTGCAGGAATAAATGCGTCTGCCTAGAGAAAGATACAACAGGGACCTGTGAGCAAGAAACCAACATTTGGGCCAGCATGATGGCTCACACCTATAATCCCAGCACTTTGGGGGAGGCCGAGGTGGGTGGATCACCTGAGGTCAGGAGTTCGAGACCAGCCTGGCCAACAGGGCAGAACCCCATCTCTGCTAAAAATATTAAAAATTAGCCGGATGTGGTGGCACGCACCTGTAATCCCAGCTACTCAGGAGGCTGAGAATCACTTGAACCCAGGAAGTGGAGGTTGCGGTGAGCTGAAATTGCGCCACTGCACTCCAGCCTGGGTGACAGAGTCAGACTCTGTCTCAAAATAAAAAAAAAGAAAAAAAAAAAGAAACCAACATTTGTTGTGACAAGCCAATAAGATTCAGAATGATTTGTTATGTGGCATTAACACAGCGCTCGCTGACTGCTACAAGTCTCCATCAACTGATGGAGAGTTCCCCAAGGCCAGGCTCCTTTTGACAGATGAGAAAATGGAGGCCAGGGACATACTCAACACTTTTCATCCCGTCTGGACCAGACCCATCTACACATCTCTGAAATCTCCAGCTAGGCAGGAATCCGGACTCCCATAGCTGCTCTGTGAATTAAGAAACTCAAGGGGTTCCAATAGGTTCTGTGGTAAATTGCCCATGAAAGTACCAGAGAAAACCTTGCTCGGAGGGGAGAAGATCTGTGATGATATATCTACAGGAAGGAAAAAAAAAAAAAAAGATTTGGGAGCTCAGCAGCGGAATGTTCTATAAGAACCTTTTAAAAGCAAACACAGGAGACACGAGCAGTTTTTAAAATGACAGACAATACGAAGGAAGATAATATATTTAAAACCTATATCAGTTGTTAACAGACCATAAAAATACAGCTACATTAATCTGAGCTGTCTGTCATGGGCTCTCAGAGCAGCTGTGTGATTTTATAGTTTCGCTCCTACCAGTTTTCTTGACAGTTTCACAAATACATCTCAATTTATTTGGATAAGGACAATAGAAAAATATTGCTCCTGTTTTTTCATTCATTCTTTCTTTCTTCTCCCTCTTCTTCCTCTGCCACGCTCCAAACAGCTGGGAGATCTTACGGGGCTGGCCGTAAGGGCTGGTGGGGAGGGGGTCTCTTTTATTTTTATTTTCATTGTTTTATCCCATTGGGAGAAAAGTTTCTGTGGGGGTTTACCTTCCCCACTGAGTCTCAGGCTTGTGGGGAAATAGCCGGATTGGCAGCAATTGCTGCTGTGTGTCTGTGGCCCAGTGTCTCACCTTCTCTGAGGTTTGTTAGCAAAGAGTCTACACACACCTGCTCCTGATTTCAGTTTCTTTTTTTTTTTTTTTTTTCTTTGAGATGGAGTTTTGCTCTTGTTGCCCAGGCTGGAGTGCAATGGTGTGATCTCGGCTCACTGCAACCTCCACCTCCTGGGTTCAAGCGATTCCCCTGCCTCAGCCTCCCGAGTAGCCAGGATTACAGGCACCCACCACCATGCCTGGCTAATTTTTTTGTATTTTTAGTAGAGACGGGGTTTCACATGTTGGCCAGGCTGGGCTTGAACTCCTGACCTCAGGTGATCTGCCCGCCTCGGCCTCCCAAAGTGCTGGGATTACAGGTGTGAGCCACTGTGCCCAGCCCTGATCTGAGTTTCTATCTTCACAGAGAGGCCTCATCGCCAAGTTCTGCCCTCCTTAGTCATGGCAAAATCCATACCCTTTAGAATCCTCCATGTCCCCCCTACCCCACCCTGTCTTCCCTGCCCTCCCCCCTCTCCATCTCCCCATTACTCACTCTGCTGCAGCCACACAGACCTCCCTGCTGTTCCTCCAGCACTCCAGGTACGGTCCTGCCCAAGGGCTTTGGCACGTGTGGTGCCCTCCATCTGAAAGTCCTCCAGCCATCTCCAGGGCTGCTTTCTTTTCTGTTTCTTTCTTCCTTTTTTTTTTTTTTTTTGAGATGGAGTCTCCCTCTGTTGCTCAGGCTGGAGTGCAGTGGTACGATCTCTGCTCACAGCAACCTCCGCCTCCTGGGTTCAAGCGATTCTCCTGCCTCAGCCTCCTGAGTCGCTGGGATTACAGGTGCCCATCACCACGCCTGACTAATTTTGTGTTTGTATTTTTAGTAGAGATGGGGTTTCACCATGTTGGTCAGGCTGCTCTCAAACTCCTGACCTCATGATCCGCCCACCGCGGCCTCCCAAAGTGCTGGGATTACAGGCATGAGCCACCGCACCTGGCCCTCCTTTCTGTTTCATCTGTCAGCTCAAAAGACCACCACCTCCTCAAAGAGCCACCCTGCTGCAACCACCCTGGGCTAACGAAGCCTCCTGGGTCCCTCCATTCATATCACATCATCTTCTGTTGTCTGTCCCAGCACTTCACTAGTTAAAAATAGCTTAGGCCAGGCGTGGGGGCTCACGCTTATAATCTCAGCGCTTTGGAAGGCTGGGGTAGGAGGATTGCTTGAGCCCAGGAGTTCAAGACCAGCCTGGGCAACATATTGAGACTTCATCTCCACAAAAAATTAAAAAATTAGCCAGGTGTAGTGGTACACACCTGTAGTCCCAGCTACTGAGGAGGCTGAGGTGGGAGGATCCCTTGAGCCCAGGAGGCTGAGGCTGCAGTGAGCCGTGATTGCACCACTGCACTACAGCCTGGGCGACAGAGCATGACTCTGTCTCAAAAACAGAAAAGAAAAGAGGCCAGGTGTGGTGGCTCACGCCTGTAATCTCAGCACTTTGGGAGGCCAAGGTGGGTGGATCACTTGAGATGAGGAGTTTGAGACGAGCCTGGCCAACAGGTGAAACCTCATCTCTACTAAAAATACAAAAATTAGCCGGGTGTGGTGGCGGGCGCCTGTAATCCCAATTACTCAGGACGCTGAGGCAGGAGACTAGCTTGAATCTGGGAGGCGGAAGTTGCAGTGAGCTGAGATCACACCACTACACTTCAGCTCTGGGCAATAGAGCAAGACTCTGTTCCAAAAAAAGGAAAAAGAAAATAAATTAGCTTATTCATTTGTCTGACCCTCACACCAGACTGAGCCCTATAAACTCAGAGGTTTTTTTTTTTTTTCTTGGCTTCTTGTGTTTACTGGTACACAGCAGGTGCTCAATACATGCTTGTGAAGGGAAGAATTCAAGGGGAAGTGAAAGTGAACAGGACTCTCCTAGCGAGGGGCATGGCTGGGGTAAGGGCTTGGAGGTGGGGACTTGTGATGGGAACTTGTGAACTCCAAGCGTCTGAAGTGGGAGCCCAGCCTTCTCCCGTTCCATGGTAAGTTTTGAGTTTCCACGTCTCACCACTCAAGCATCACAGATCCCATCTCCAGCACCGTGTTGGCCACTCTGGGAACTGCTGCCTGTCCCCATGTGGCCCCCTCCCCGTGACAGCCTTCTGGCCAGAGACCACGGGTGCCTCCTTTGCTCCAGCCCTGCCTTCCTGCCTCTCCAGCGGAGGCATCCCAGACGATGCTGCTGCCACAGATGAAACTCACTTGATGCTGGGGAAGGCCCGGCACAGATGTCCCCAGAATGGAACATCTGGGCTGCATGTTGCTGGCAGCTGGTGGGAACCAGGACGCTGTGAAGTGCACCCACATCTCTGGGAGGCTGGGTGGCCCTGAGCCGCCTCCTGGTCCTGCCATCTGTCTGCGGCCAAAGATTCCCTGATGGTTTCTCTGGGTTAAGGACCCAGAGAAAGGACCCAGAACTGACTGTCATTTCTAATTTCTCCATCTCCCTCCCTCCCCACTTCCTTCCATCATCGAGACCTGGGGCTGTCACTCTTAATTATACCCTGGATCCAAGCATATTGCTCCAGCTCACTCCCACTGCCCTGCCCGAGCCAGACCAGCACCATCATTTGCCTGAACTAGTGCAATAGCACCTATTGGTTAGGTCTCAGCTACTTCCCTGACCTGGCCTCCTCTTGCTCTTCCTGCCTCACTAACTCTGTTCCAGCCACGCTGGTCTCTCTGCTGTTGTTTGAACATGCCAGGTATGCGGAAGCCTCAGAGGCTTCGCACTGGCTGTTCCCTCTGCCTAGAATGATCTGCTCCCCAGATCTCCCCATGGCTTGCTCCTCCTCATCCTCCAAATCTCTGTTCAAATATCACCTCCTCCAAGAAGCCCGCCTGATTTCCCTTGCACATTCAATCTCCATGGCCTCTCTGACCCCAACTTCTCCCTCTCTGCTCCAGCTGCACGGGCCTCCTTGCTGTTCCTTCGACACACCAGACACAGTCCTGTCCCAGGGCCTTTGCCTGGGCTGTGCCCTCTGCCCAGAACCCTCCTCTCTTTTGCCTGGGAAATTTCTGCTTATCTTCTTAGCCCCAGCTGCAATGTCCATCCCCCAGCTCCTCTCCCCAGACTCCCCCAGATCCCAAGGACCTGGGTGTGTCTGTGTCTGGCTGTGTCTCCACAGCAGCCTGGAACCCCCTAGGGGCCCCTTTGTACACAGCTGGTCACACAATGGCCATCTTAAACCATTTCCTGACCTGAATTCACTTTTCCTTTTCAGATGTCTCTCAGCCTGAGTTTCCTTCCAGAATTTCCATGAACCAGGGGGTTGGCTGCAGTGTCTGTTTGAAAGATGTGGCTGGGGGTATGAAGGGACTGCCTTGAAGCTGAGTTGACATGGCAGGCTCACCTTTTCAACTTGGATGGTCAGTTTCCTTGGTGTGGCTTTGGGGTTCCTGATGAAGGTTTTAAAGGGGTCAAAAGCCCCCCAAACCATCCCCTTGGCAGTGCCCATCTCCCCCTCTGGCTACCCAGGGTCTCATCCCTCTCTGGGTATCTCCTTCGTGGTCCCTGTTTCCTGCTCCCATCCCCCAGTGCAGACGTCACTTAAGGGGGTATTGAACTACATGGTCAGAGGCAAAGACAAGCCTGGTGGCTAACACTGATCCTGGAACCACGTGGCCTGGGTTCAGGTCCCAGGCTGCTGCTTTTGTTCATAGTTCACGATCTTGATCTCTCTGGGTCTCAGTTTCCCTATCTCTAAAATTGAGATAATGGAGGCCAGACACGCTGGCTCACACCCATGATCCCAGCACTTCGGGAGGCTGAGGCAGGAGGGTCACTTGAGCCCAGGAGTTCAAGACTAGCCTGGGCAATATAGTGAGATCCCTATCTCTATGAAAAAAAACATTTTTTTTTAAATTAGCTGGGTGCGGTGATACATGCCTGTGGTCCCAGCTACTCGGGAGGCTGAGGTGAGAGGATCGCTGAGTCTAGGGGGAAGAGGTTGAGGCAGCAGTGAGCTATGATTGAAGGACTGCACTCCAGCCTGGGCAACAGAGTGATACCTTGTCTCTAAAATAAATAAATACATAAATAAAATGGGCATAATGGTACCTTCCTGTTCACTTTATGTTAAAGGATTAAATGAGTTCATACGTGTGTGTACCTAAAACAGGGGGTTGCAAACCACTGAATTATCAGCTGCTGCTATTCTTACTATTTTTAATTTTTCCAATCTCCCAGGGCTCAACCCCAGCCACGCTGTCCTCTGCTCCTGAGTACAGGGTCTCGGCCCCTCAGCTCCTACTCTGAAGCAGCCACGGCTGCTGGAAGAAGGTTCTGGAAGAAAGGGGAGGGGCTGCCTGGCGGCTGCTCTCCGTGCCACATTTGCAGAGTGAGCCGAATGTATTTACTTAGAACAGAGGTTTTTGTTGTGGACTTTGGGGAGTTTGGCGGGGCGGGGGTGGGGGTGGGGAGAGGCTGAAGGTCCTCCCACCAAGAGAGCCCCTCTGACGGACTAGAGCCGCTCCAGCATCGCCAGGGACGAAGGAATTAAAAATCAAGACCCCATTCCAGACATGCCACTTCGCGTTGGGTGGCGGGGACCTTGAAGAAACCCCTAGAAGTGACCCCGGGGGTGACCTTTGCCTGTAGCCTCGCTCAGCCAATGAGGAAGCCCACTGTGGGTGCTTGGAAACCGTTTCCATGACACCCAGGAGCCGCCGGTCCCTGGAAGGGCCTGGTCTGAGGGTGAGGGGCTCGGATCGGGGGCGGGGGGCGAGATGCTTGCTCAGTAACCATGGCAACGCCAGCAGCTGCGGGAGGCAGGCCCAGCTGGCACGGAGGCGCCTGCCCCTCTTCCCTCCCCACCGTCCCGGCTCTCCTTCTGGCACAAACAGGAAGGCTGAGACCCAGGGACACCTGTCATCCGCTCCAGGTTGCCCTCCCGGAATGAGAACTGCACCCTATAGAGTGTTAACACTGGGGGCTCCGGTGGAGCCCGGTGGGGGCCGGGTCTTAGGAAGCAAAGCAATGGGGCCGGGCGCGTGGCGGCTCACACCTGTAATCCCAGCGCTTTTGGAGACCAAGGCGGGAGGATCGCTTGAGGCCCGGAGTTCAAGACCAGCCTGGGTAACATAGTGAGATCCCATCTCTACTAAAAATACAAAAAAAAAAAAAAAAAAAAAAAAAAAATTTAGCCAGTCGTGGTATCAGGCGCCTGTAATCCCAGCTTCTTGAGAGGCTGAGGCATAAGAATCACTTGAACCCGGGAGGCGGAGGTTGCGGTGAGCTGAGATTGTGCCACTGCATTCCAGCCTGGGACACAGAGCGAGACTCTGTCTCAAAAGAAAAAAAGAAAGCAATGGGGCCAGGCCTGGTGCGTCACGCCTGTCATCAGAGAGGAGGGCGGGGGGAGGAAGGGAGGAAGGAGAAAATAAAAAAGACAAGACGAGACAAGAAGAGGTCTGGAAGTCTTGACAGGGAAAATCTGGAGGGCTTCCTGATGGAGGTGAGCGTGTCCCAAGCTTCCTCAGCCAGCACCAGGGTGAGGGTGGCCACCACATCAGTGCCCCACCTGTTCCAAGATTTATTTAACATTTTCTTCCCAACTGAATCATGTCCTCGCTAGTGAGTGTATTTAAAAACAGCAGCTCTGCTTCCCTGAAAATGGAGAGCCGGTTGCACCTGCCACAAACAGAAGGTGGGTGGTAAAACTCACATGACAGAAACAAAACGCAGTTATTTCATTCTAGTGAGGTGTCGCTGCCTGCCCGAGGCTGGGAGCCTGCAGCCTGTGATTGCTTTGCCTAAAAAGAGGATTCGCGAGGGCTAGGAAAGGGTTAAACTCCCCTGATTACCCAGCAGAGACCCTGTCCTTTAAATCATCAGAAGGAAGGAAAGAGGACTGGAAAGGGGCTGGCTGTCTCACCCTGCCAGCTAATGCTATTTAGAAACTTGTTGGGGGACGATGTGAAATCACTCTGGGCCCTACTAGTGAGGGGAATCCTGACCTACAGAATAAGGATTTGGTTAGGAGGAGAGGAAAGGGGTTCCAGGAGTACAGTATAAGCAAAGGCTAGGAGGAAGGACTGAAGAGAAGACGTGCTGCTGGGAGAGATTTTCTCTGATGTTTTCCAACAAGGGAGGTGTTAGGGGGAAAGCCGATGAACAATGAGGTCTGAGTGAGCGGGGACCTGAGGCACCATCTGGGGCTGTCTGGGAGGAGGAAGTATTATCTGGGAGGTAGAGGAAGAAGGGGAGGGAAAGAGCAGCAAGAGAAGGAGCCAGTATGGGGGACATTGGTGAGCAGGTGACTGGCATGGGCACCCGGAACTTGATCCTGCTGGGTACTACTGTATGAGGCGTGATTCAGAGGTGTCCCAGCAGAGGGGCGAGGGAGCTGGGGTATTTATCCTCCAACACCAGCCAATCCTTGTCTGAGGGCTGCTCCTAGGGGCCAGTCCCTGGCACACATGGGTCCAGTGCAGTCCTGAGGACAGAGAATGCCAGTGGGTAGAGGGAAGCAGGTGCTGGCAGCTGGGACCCATCTGGGGACATGGGCAGGGTACCTGTGGCATCTGCCTCATCCCCTTTTACAGACGCATCCCCAAGGTCACTCAGCAATGTGAGGATTTGAACCCAGGCCTGTGACATCAAGTTCCCTGCTGTTTCCACATCACCACAGTGGCTGAATCTACTCCCTTGAGAAGTGTCTGAAAACGAAGGATTCCAGGCTCAGATAAGTTTAGGAAGGTACCTCCTTCCTCCCCAACCTTGGAGACTCAGATTTGTATAGTAAAGGCTCTGACAAGTCCTGCAGATAAAGGACACCTGTTGAACAGTTTCCCAGGTGAGCAGAAACATAGGCTCTTTTTTTTTCCTTCTTTTTTGAGACAGGGTCTGGCTCTGTCATCCAGGCTGGAGTACAGTGGTGTGATCATGGCTCGCTGCAGCCTCCACCTTCTGGGCTCAAGTGATCCTCCCATCTCAGCCTCCCAAGTAACTGGGATTACAGGGACGCACCACCATGACCGGCTAATTTTTGTATTTTTTAGTAGAGATGGGGTTTCACTCTGTTGGCCTGGCTGGTCTCAAACTCCTGACCTCAAGTGATCGGCCTGCCTCGGCCTCCCTCCCAAAGTGCTGGGATTACAGGCATGAGCCACCATGCCCAGCCTGGGCCCAGTGTCTTTTCTACCCTCTTCACAGCTAGAATATAGTGCCTGGCATGTGACAGATGTCCTGTGAGCTCAATTTCCTCAATGGATAAATGAATGAATGAGTGAGTGCAGATCCTCATACCCACCTTCTGGATAAGGAAGCTGAGGCACGGAGAGGTTAAGTTGCCTGGATGAAGAGCTGGGCTTTAGCCACCTGACACCCCAGAACGAAGGTTTTTAATCCTGATACTGAGCTCCCCAAGAGAGCCAGAGCGTAGGGAGTGAGAAGGGGAGTAGCAGTGAAGGAGTTAACTGCTCCCCCACTGGATTCATCAGGCCTTGGGTCACTTTGTGCCCGAATTCAAGAATTCACGTAGAGTTTCCCTCTCCCCTGGCTCACCCCGCCTCCAGGGGGAAGCATATTCGTTTCCATGGCAACCATGTTGTCGGCTGTCCGACTAGGTCTGAGTGACAGCTACTGGGGCCAGATGAAGTCACTCGCCACCCACACTGGAGACAGAGGAGCCGGCCCAGAAGTGCCAACACCAGAGACAGGCTTGAGGGGTTTACCTCGTTTGCCAGCAAGGCGGGGAGCTGGTCAGGGCGGGGGAAAATCTCCCTGCTGGCCGACATCCCACCATGATAACTCCGTGCCTTGGTGTCTTAAAGACTCTGCTGGCTCCAGGGCTTCCGAGAGAGCTTAGATCTTAGCTGTGTCTGCCTGAGTACCCTGAAGGAGAGATTGCATCTGATCTATTTTATAACACCCACTCCCAGCACTGAACCTGGTACACAGTAGGTGCCTAATAAATGCTTAGGACGCAAGGGAGGGAGGAATGGAGGGAGGGAGGAAGAGATGATCAGCCAAAGCACTTTAATTCTTACCTAACACTCAAGTTATCTTCCAACATTCCACTTATCAGGCAGGCTTCTCTTATCAGTTAACCTTTTAGTTATCAGCCTACACTTTAGTTGTCAGCTAACACCTAAGTTATCAGCTAACACTTTACTTATCAGCTAACACCTCAGCTAGCATCTTTGTCAGAAAATTTCAGGACAAGCTGAAAAATGGAGAACTGAGCCTCAGAAAGCAGGATTCTTGCTTTCAAATCCCTCCTCTTCTTCCCGCCTCCACCCCACTGACCCCCACGAGGCAGAAGGAACTGATTATGGCCAACACGGAAGGATTGGAGGCAGGGAAGGGCAGGTTCTGGGATCAGAGAGAATTCCAAAGTGAAAAATGCATGCTCAATTCTTAAGGAAGGATTTTTCAACACCTGTGGAACTGTCCAAAGCCTGAATGGATTGCCCTAAGTGGTAGTGAGGTCCCCATCACAGGAGGTAACCAAGACAATCTGTAAAACCATGCCAGGAAAATGATGCAGGAATTGGAGTAGGGGGATCCTGAGACTCCTTTCTTTCTGACTCTATGATTGGGTGGCAGTTCTAAGACTCTACACCTGGGATTCAGCAGCCATTCACAAGCTTCCACGATGCCACAGGTCTACGCCCTCATTCTAAGATCTCTCGATTAGTCCTAGGACTGACCAGTTTTGAAAACATTTATTGCCCACATGCTGTGAGCCAGGCCCTCTTCTAGGAGCTGGGCACCAAAACATAAAATGGGCCAGGCACAGTGGCTCATACCTGTAATTCCAGCACTTTGGGAGGCCAAGGTGGGTGGATCACTTGAGGTCAGGAGTTCGAGACCAGCCTGACCAACATGGTGAAACCCCGTCCCTACTAAAAAATAAAAATTAAAAAATGCAAAAATTAGCCAGGCGTGGTGGCATGCATCTGTTATCCCAGCTACTCGGGAGGCTGAGGCAGGAAAATCGCTTGAACCTGGGAGGCAGAGGCTACAGTGAGCCAAGATGGCACCATTGCACTCCAGCCTGGGTGACAGACCAAGACTCCATCTCAAAATAAAAGAAACAGTTACAATGATGGGTTATTCCATCCAGTGCCATGGGCAGAGAGCAAGCAGAGGAGGAGGGGCTCTGGGAGTGACTACAGGAGAAGGATTCTTTTTGTTTTTTTTTTTTTTTTTGAGATGGAGTCTCGCTCTGTCACCCAGGCTAGAGTGCAGCGGCGCAATCTCAGCTCACTGCCAGCTCTGCCTCCCCAGTTCATGCCATTCTCCTGCCTCAGCCTCCCGAGTAGCTGGGACTACAGGCACCCGCCACCACGCCCGGCTAATTTTTTGTATTTTTAGTAGAGACGGGGTTTCACCGTGTTAGCCAGGATGATCTCGATCCTCTGACCTCATGATCTACCTGCCTCGGCCTCCCAAAGTGCAGGGATTACAGGCATGAGCCACCGCTCCTGGCCAGGAGACTCTATAGGTGATCCAGACACTTGTGCTGAGACCTGAAGATGATGGAGCCATGTAACCAAAGGGTGTTCCTGGCTGAGGGGAAATCGCCAGGGCAAAAACCCCCGAGGCAGGAACATGCTGGGCATGCTTACAAAACAGCAAAGAGGCCAGGCCTGGTGGTTTATGCCTGTAATCCCAGCACTTTGGGAGGCCAAGGCAGGAGGATCACTTGAGGCCAGGAGTTTGAGACCAGCATGGTCAACATAGTGAGACTCTGTCTCAACAACAACAACAAAAAAATTTAGGCCAGGCGTGATGGCTCATGCCTATAATCCCAGCACTTTGAGAGGCTGAGGTGCATGGATCCCCTGAGGTCAGGAGTTCAGGACCAGCCTGGCCAACATGGTGAAACCCAATCTCTACTAAAAATACAAAAAAAAAAAAAAAAAATTGGCAGGGCGTGGTGGCGGGTACCTGTAATGCCAGCTACTTGGGAGGTGGAGGCATGAAAATCGTTTGAACCCGGGAGGCGGAGGTTGCAGTGAGCCAAAATCACACCACTGCACTCCAGCCTGGGGAACAGAGTGAGACTCTATCTCAAATAAATAAATAAATAGATAGATACTTTTTTTTTTTAAATTAGCCAGACCTGGTAGTGCACTCCAAGGCTGATGTGGGAGGATCACTTGAGCCCAGGAAGTCGAGGCTGCAGTGAGCTATGATCACGCCACTGTACTCCAGCCTGGGTGACAGAGCGAGACCCTGTCTCAAAAAACAAGACAAAAACAAAAACAGCAAGGAGACAGTAGAGGGGGATTGGAGGGTGTGACTGAGGAGGGGCCATCTGAGTTGAGAAGGAGCCAGAAGTGCAAAGCGCCAGGAGTTTCCAAGCAGAGAGGACAGCACGTACCAAGGACCAGTGGTGGGAATGAGCTTGGAGACACGGACACACAGAATCAGAGACAGACCGAAACAAAGAGACAGAGACAGGCGCTCAGGGACACCCTAACAGAGACAGACAGACAAAGAGACAAGGGTCTCTCATTGGCCGGCATTATGGGTTACATCGTCTCTCCCCCAAAAAACCTATATGCTGAAGTCCTCACCCCTCAGAACCTCCGAATGTACTGGAGGTGGTACAGATGTAACTGGAGTAGGGTGGGCTCTAATCTAATACGACTGATGACCTTATAAAAGGGGACAATGTGGTTCATGCCTGTAATCCCAGCACTTTGGGAGGCTGAGGCGGGGGGGATCACTTGAGGTCAGGAGTTCGAGACCAGCCTGGCCAACATGGCAAAACCCTGTCTCTACTAAAAATAGAAAAATTAGCTGGGTGTGGTCGTGGGCGCCTGTAATCCAAGCTACTCCAGAGGCTGAGGCAGGAGAATCCCTTGAACCTGGGAGGCGGAGGTTGCAGTGAGCTGAAATCGTGCCATTGCTCTCCAGCCTGGGCAACAGAGTGAGAAGATTCCTTCTCAAAACAAACAAAAAAACGAAGGGGCAGGGGGACAATGTGGGCACAGGTATGCGTGCAGGGAGAATGCTGTGTGAATATGAAGTTGCCATCTACAAACCAAGGAGAAAGGCCTGGGACAGACCCCTCCCTTACATCCCTCAAGAAGCAGCAGCCGGCCAGGCATGGTGGCTCCTGCCTGTGATCCCAGTGCTTTTCAGAGGCTGAGATGGGAGGATGCTTGAGGCCACGAGCTCAAGACCAGCCTGGGCAACAGAATGAGACCTCGTCTCTATTAAAAGTAAAAAAAAAAAAAAAAAAAAAAAATACCCAAGTGTGGTGGCACAGGCTTGTGGTCCCAGCTACTCAGGAAGGTGAGGTGGAGGATCACTTGAGCCCACGAGGTCGAGGCTGCAGTGAGCTGTGATTGCATCATTGCACTCCAGCCTGGGTGACAGAGCAAGACCTTGTCTCAGAAAACTGAAAGAAAGGGAAGGAAGGAAGGAAGGAAGGGAGGGACGAAGGGAAGGAGGGAGGGAGGGAAGGAGGAAGGAAGGAGGAAGAGAGGCAGGGAGGAAGGGAAGGAAGGAGGGCAGGAAGAAGGAAGAGAGGGTTGGGAGGAGGGAAGAAGGAAGAGGGGGGAGGGAGGCAGGGGGGAAGGAGGGAAGGAAGGAAGGAAAGAAGGAAGGAAGGAAAGAAGGGAGGGAGGAAAGGAAGGAGGAAGAGAAGGGAGGGAGGAAAGAAGGAAGGAAGGAAGGAAAAAAGAACCAGCCCTGCTGGCAACTTGGTTTCAGACTTCTAGCCTCCAGGACTGTGACATATTTCTGTTTTTTGTTGGTTTTTTTGTTGTTGTTGTTTGTTTTTTTGAGATGGAGTCTCGCTCTGTGGCCCAGGCTGGAGTGCAGTGGCGTGATCTCGGCTCACTGCAAGCTCCGCCTCCCGGGTTCACACCATTCTCCTGCCTCAGCCTCCCGAGTAGCTGGGACTACAGACGCCCGCCACCACGCCCGGCTAATTTTTTTGTATTTTTAGTAGAGACGGAGTTTCACCGCGTTAGCCAGGATGGTCTTGATCTCCTGACCTCATGATCCACCCGCCTCAGCCTCCCAAAGTTCTGGGATTACAGGCGTGAGCCACCGTGCCCAGCCGACACATTTCTGTTATTTAAGCCACCAGTTCGTGGTCACAGGAAACTCACACATCAGGTAAGCCAGTGAATTAACAAATGACTGCACTGTGGGAGTCAGAACAGTTTTGCAAAGCTCCATGTCAACTCAGGCCAACCTCACCTCTAAATGGGGGAACAGAATGCAGGGAATCCCCCAGTTCAGAGGCCCAAACCTTGCACTTGTTTCTCCAGAAGGAGAAAGAGCTGGAGATTGCTCACTAAGCTGAGAACTTTTCTATGTCCCATTGCACAGCATCCTCCCCACGACCGTGCAAAGTAGGAACTCACTATCCCTTTTACAGTTGAAGAGACTGAGGCTCAGAGTGGGCACTGTATTGGGCAGCTTACGAAGATGTCCTCATTTGATCCCACTTCTGGTACTCCTGCCCTTGTGGAATCTCTTCTCCTTCTTATAAAGGATAAAATACAGTTGGGCGTGGTGGCTTGCACCTGTAATTATGGCTTATTGGGAGGCTGAGGTAGGAGGATCTCATGAGCCCATGAATTTGAGGCTGCAGTGAGCTATGATACCATCATTGCACTCCAGCCTGGGTGACAGAGCAAAATCACATCTCTTTTTTTTTTTTTTTTTTTTTGAGACAGGGTCTCACTTTGTCACCCATGCTAGAGTGCAGTGGCATGATCACGGCTCACTGCAGCCTCAGTTCCCAGGCTCAGGTGATCCTCCTACCTCAGCCTCCTGAGTAGCTAGGACTATATGCATGTGTCACTATGCTCAGCTAATTTGTTTAAAAAATTTTTTTTGTAGAGATGGTGGAGGGAGGGTCTCACCCTATTTCCCAGGCTGGTCTCAAACTCCCGGCCTCAAGTGATCCTCCTGCCTTGGCCTCCCAAGGTGCTGGTATTACAGGCATGAGCCACTGTGCCCAGCCTCTTGCTAGCTTTGATGAAGCAGGCTGATGTGGTCAGGAGGCCCACATGGCGAGAACCTGGGTAGCCTCCGCCATCAAGGAACTAAGTATTGCTGACAACCATGTGAATGTGGAAGCAAATCCTACCCCGTTGAGCCTTCAGATGAGACTCTATTGCTGGCCAACACCTCGTGACAGCCTGAAGTACAGGACCCAGTCAAGCTATACCCAGATTCCTGATCTGCAGAAACTGAGATCATAAGTGAGTGTTGTTTTAAGCCACTAAGTTTTGGGGTAGTTTTTTACACAGCAATAGCTAACCAATACAAACAATCAGTTGCCTGAGGTCACGCAACAAAAATTAACAGAGTCAGGCTGGTTGCCGTGGCTCAGGCCTGTAATCCCAGCACTTTGGGAGGCCAAGGTAGGCAGATCACCTGAAGTCAGGAGTTTGAGACCAGCCTGGCCAACATGGGAAAACCCTGTCTCTACTAAAAATACAAAAATTAGCCAGGCTTGGTGGCACATGCCTGTAGTGCCAGCTACTCAGGAGGCTGAGGCAGGAGAATCACTTGAACCTAGGAGGTGGAGGTTGCAGGGAGCCAAGATCACATCACTGCACTCCAACCTGGATGACAGAGTAAGACTCTGTCTCAAAAAAGAAAGAAAGAAAGAAAGAACGAAAAAGAGAAAGAAAAGAAAGAAAGAGGAAAAGAAAAGGAAGAAGGGAGGGAGGGAGAGAGAGAGAGAGAAGAGCGCAACCAAGAGAGAGCGCAACCATTCTCCCTCACAGGGAAGACTGCTGGCTGCGGCAAAGGATGAGTGAGAAGGCCAAACCCTGGGGTTTCCTTTCCTCTCCTGGCACCAGGGCTGTGTCGCTGTCCGTGGTACTGAACGGTGCTGGTAGGAGCGGCTTAAGGGAGGGTGGAGCATCTCCTGTTCCCTGCTAGCAGCTCCTTGGTAGGGAGCCTGCACTGTCCACATGCAGGGCTGCGAAATTCGGGGCTTTCAGGAACTTGCATGGTTCTTTCACAGAACCACCTCCCTGGCTCCGAGCTTGGTGACTTCTGCTAGCTTGAGCCTCTCCTTCTGGGGAGGCTGGCCTCCCAAATCCCACCTGGCCCCAAACCCTACCTACCCACGTGAGAATTCAGGGGATCCTGGGTTGTTGGGGTAACAGACCCAATCAGTTCTCTGTCTCTCTGTCTCCTTGTCTCTGTCTTTGCAACTGTCTTTGTCTCTGCCTCTCTCTCTATTCTCTTTCTGATTTTTTATTTTTCTCTGTGGCTTTCTTTCTCTGCCCATCTCTGTGTCTTCCTATCTCTGTGTGTATCTGTCTCCCTGTCTCTATCTCTGTCTTGTCTCTCTGTCTTTATTCCTGTCTTTGTCTCTCTGTCTCTGTGTCTCTTTGTTTCTGCCTGTCTCTCTATTCTTTCTTTTTGTCTCTGTGTCTCTGCCCACCTCTGTCTCTCTGTCTCTATCTCTGTCTTTGTCTCTGCCCATCTCTCTATTCTCTTTCTATTTGTCTCTGTCTGTGTCTCTCTCCACCTCTGTACCTCTCTGTCTCTGTCCGCCTGTCTTTCTATGTCTCTTTCCGTCTCTCTGTGTGTGTCTCTGTCTCTTCCTCTCTTTCTGGCTTTGTGTCTCTGCATTTCTTTCCAGTTCTCTCTCTTGCTCTCCACCACTCTAAAAGCCACAAACCCTTCTGGCTGACCTGCAATGGGCCCAACTTTCTCCAGCCACCTGAGGAGAGGGAAAATGAAGCAAAGACCCCAGCCACTCACCCAGCCTGCATTCACCACTTATAAGCGACAGGGTTTTGGGGCATAAACGGCCCTTGAGGCTAACTCCTGCCCCAGTCCGCCTCTGCCTCCCATCATCCCTTGTCACCATCTACACAGTGACATGATTGATAGGAGATCTTTCACTGCCTCTGATTCCCAAGGGCCGCTCCCCGCTCCACACCTAAAAACAAACCTCATTAGCCCCCAAACACCTGGAAGCAGGGAACATGAGGGGTGTGAATAATTTATTTTGTGAGTCATTTTAATATTTTATAATAATTGCGAGGAGTCATTTGGTATTGTGTAGCTGTTTGAGTGTCATTAAGACAGAGCCAAGGCTGGGCGCGGTGGCTCATGCCTGTAATCCCAACACTTTGGGAGGCCGAGGTGGGTGCATCACTTGAGGTTAGGAGATCCAGACCAGCCTGGCTAACATGGTGAAATCTTGTCTCTACTAAAAACACAAAAAATTAGCCGGGTGTGGTGGCATGTGCCTGTAGTCCCAGCTATTCGGGAGACTGAGGCAAGAGAATCGCTTGAACCCGGGAGGCGGAGGTTGCAGTGACCTGAGATCATGCCACTGCACTCCAGCCTGGGTGACAGAGCAAGACTCCATCTCAAAAAAAAAAAAAAAAAAAAAAAGAGGAAGGGATGGGCCCTGCCACCAGGGTATCTTGGAATCTATCGAGGTGAGCCATCTCCAAGGGGGCATGTGGCTGGGGGCCAGGCTGAAGGAAGAAGGCAGCCTCAAAGCATATTGAGGGTGGCCGGATGCCACTTAGTAATCGGTGAGCAGTGAATGGGCCAAGACTGCAGCTCTGTCTTAGTCCTGTTTCATTCACTCATTCATTCATTCATGCACTCATTCAAACTCTCCCCCGGGGTCCTTTATTACACTTGAATCAAGCTCAAACCCTCCACCGTGGCCTAAAAGACCCCCCCAGGCTGGGTGCAGTGACTCATGCCTGTAATCCCAACACTTTGGAAGGCTGAGATGGGAGGATCGCTTGAGCCCAGGAATTCGAGACCAGCCTGAGAAACATAGCAAGACCCCTGTCTCTACAAAAACTACAAAAATTAGCTGGGCGTGGTGGTGCATGCCTGAAGTTTCAGCTACCTGGGAGGCTGAGGTGAAAGGATCACTTGAGCCTGGGAGATCAAGGCTGCAGTGAGCCATGATTTGCACCACTGTACTCCAGCCTGGGCGACACAGCAAGACCTCATCTCTAAAAATAAATAAATAAATAAATAAATAAATAAATAAATAAATAAATAAATAAATAAAATTATAAAAAGAATAAAAGGGCCGAGCGTGTTGGTTGATGCCTGTAATCCCAGAACTCTGGGAGACCAAGGCAGGTGGATCACTTGAGCCCAGGAGTTCAAGACCAGCTAAGCAACATGGTGAACCCCACCTCTATCTAAAATACAAGAAATTAGCCAGGCGTGGTGGCACGTGCCTGTCATTCCAGCTACTCGGGAGGCTGAGGTGGGAGGATCGCTTGAGACTGGGAGATGGAGGCTGCAGTGAGCTATGATCACACTGCTGCACTCCAGCCTGGGTGGCAGAGCAAGACCCCATCTCTAAAAACAAATAAAATTATAAAAAATAAAAGACCCCCTTTCCCTTCAAAATCCAGCCCCTTAAGCCTTCATCTCCTCTCCTGCGCCCCATTCTGCTCCAGCCACACTGGCCTCCTTGCCACTCCTCCAATGCACAAGCAACTTCCCACCCCTGAGCCTTTGCATTTGCAGCCCCCTCCTCCTAGCATGCCCTGCCCTGGACTCCTCCCGTGATGAGCTCCTTCTCATCCTTCAAGCCTCAGCTCACACATCGCCTCCCGGATCTCACAGTGGTAGGATTTAGAGAGGGGGCGTGGGGTAGGAGGGTGTGCTTGGCAGGGAGCTCCGTGTGGGCAAGGACTTGGTGCCAAGACGGTTGAGACTGAATCAGCTGAATATGAAGATGGGCAGGTGGAGAGGTGGGTGGGGCTGGGAAAACCGGGTTGAGGGAAAAGATGCCTGGAAGAAGAAGGAGAAAAAAAAAAAAAAAAAGGCTAGGGGCTGGGTTCCAGAGAGCCTCAAAGATGAGGATGAATAATCTGGGCTCCATCCCGGAAGAAAGGACTTGAGAACTATTCCTTATTTCTTCATGGAGCTGGGTCACGCTCCACCTTCACTGCTCATTCCTCCGCATGGTGGATTCCGCATTGTCTCAAGTCCCTCCATGCTCATGAGCCCAATTCTAGCCAGTCACTTGGGCCATTTCTTCCCTCTAGAGAACCTCATTATGACCCACACTGATGTGGCAGAAAACGTCTGGCATCCATTAAAAAAATCCATGCCTCACTTCCCACAACGTAGAGTTACCCTGGGAAGTGGCTGCCCACCCATGGACTACATTTCCCAGATGCCCTTGCATTAGGTATGATCATGTGACATGTTCTGACCAATGGGATGTGGGTGGAAAGGATAAGTATTATTCCCAAGTCAAATACGTCTTAGTTCCCCACAAATTACCATAAATGTAGTGACTTAAAACAACGCAAAATTATTATCCTAGAGTTCTGGAGATCAGAATTCTAAAATGTGGAAGGTTGTGTTTGCTCTGAAGACTCTAGGGGAGAAGCTGTTCCCTGGTCTTTTCCAGGTTCTAGGGGCTGACCACATTTCTAGGTTCACAGTCTCACATCCCTCTGACCTCTGCTTCTGGCTTTGCTCTTTGATGCTCCTGCTTTCCTCTTATAAGGGCCCCTGTGATGACGTTGGATTCACCTGGAATCTCCAAGAAAATCTCCCCATCTCAAGGTCTATAATTTAATCACACCTGCAAAATCTCTTTTGCCATATAAGGTAATAAATTCACAGTTGTGAGAGTTCTTTATGTATTCTAGGTACCTGTTCCTTATTAGATGTATGATTTACAAATATTTTCTTCCATCCTCTGGGTTGTCTATTCACTGTCTGGATGGTGTCCTTTGAAACACAGCATTTTAAAATTTTGATGAAGTCCTATTTATCTGGTATTTCTTTGGTTGTTTGCGCTCTTAGTGTCATGTCTAAGAAACTATTGCCAGTCCCAAGATCATGAAACCCCTTTGTTTTTTTTTCCAAGAGTTTTATTGTTTTAACTCTTACATTTAAGTCTATGATGTATTTTGAGTTAAGTTTTGTGCTTGGTGTGAGGTAGGGATTCAACTTTACCCTTTTGCATGTGGATATCCAGTTGTCCTGAAATCATTTGTTGAAAAGATTATTTGTTTCTCCATTGGATTGTCTTGGCCCTTGTTGAAAAGCAATTGACCATAAATGTCAGAGTTTATTTCTGGATTTTCAATTTTCTACCGTGGATCTAAAAGTCTATCATTGCGCCAGTACCCCATTGTTCTGCCTCCCAGGTTCACGCCATTCTCCTGCCTCACCCTCCCAAGTAGCTGGGACTACAGGCGCCCACCACCACACCCAGCTAATTTTTTGTATTTTTAGTAAAGACGGGGTTTCACCATGTTAGCCAGGATGGTCTGGATCTCCTGACCTCGTGATCCACCCACCTCAGCCTCCCAAAGTGCTGGGATTATAGGCGTGAGCCACTGTGCCTGGTTGATATAAGGTTTCTAATCAGAAAGTGTAAGTCCTTCAACTTCATTATTTCATTTCAAGATGATTTTGGATACTCTAAGTGCCTTGAATTTCCATATAAATTTTAGAATGATCAATTTCTAAAAAAAAAGCTGAGATTTTAATAGGGATTGTTTTGAATCTACAGATCGGTTAAGGAGTATTAACAATATTACATTTTCTAATCCATGAATATGAGAGGTTTTTATTTAGGTCTTAAATTTCTTTCAACAATATTTTATAGTGCTCAGAGTATAAATTTTGCACTTTTCTGTTAAATTTACTCCTAAGTATTTTGTTCTTTTTGATGCTATCATAAAGATAATGATTTTCCTAATTTCACTTTCAGATTGTTCATTTCTAATATATACAAATGCAATTAACTTTGTTTTCTCCTTTTTTTTAATTTTATTTTTCCAAATTTTTACACTTAAAAAAAAAATTGATTCTTGGCCTGGGAAGTCGAGGCTGCAGTGAGCTATGATCACATGATTGCACTCCAGCCTGGGCAACAGATAGAGACTCTGTCTCCAAAAAATAACATAACATAACATAACATAACATAACATAACATAACATAACATAACATAACATAACATAAAATAGTTCAGCAAAGTTGAAGGATACAAGACCACGACACAAAATTTGTTGCATTTGCTTGCTCAGATGATCTACAAAGGTAATTTTTTTAATTTTTAAGAATCAAGGCCAGGTGTGGTGGCTCACGCCTGTAATCCCAGCACTTTGGGAGGCCGAGGTGGGCAGATCATGAGGTCCAGAGGTCGAGATCATCCTGGTCAACATGGCGAAACCCCATCTCTACTAAAAATACAAAAATTTGCTTCCTGGGTTCAAGTGATTCTCCTGCCTCAGCCTCCCAAGTAGCTGGTACTACAGGTGGGCACCATCATGCCCGGCTAATTTTTGTATTTTGAGTAGAGACGGGGTTTCGTCATGTTAGCCAGGCTGTTCTTGACCTCCTAACCTCAAGTGATCCACCCATCTCGGCCTCCCAAAGCGCTGGGAGGAGTCACCGTGCCCGGCCTCTTTTTTTTTTTTTTTCTCTTTCTGAGACGGAGTCTCGCTCTGTCGCCCAGGCTGGAGTGCAGTGGCGCGATCTCACTGCAAGCTCTGCCTCCTGGGGTTCAGGCCATTTTCCTGCCTCAGCCTCCCGAGTAGCTGGGAATACAGGCGCCTGCCAACACGCCCGGCTAATTTTTTGTATTTTTAGTAGAGAGCGGGTTTCACTGTGTTAGCCAGGACGATCTCGATCCCCTGACCTCGTGATCCACCCACCTCGGCCTCCCAAAGTGCTGGAATTACAGGCGTGAGCCACCGCGCCCGGCCGTGCCTGGCCTTTTTTATGTTTTTATTTGAAATCCGTATATCCTCTTTGGCGAAGTGTTGTTCAAGTCATCTGCCTGTTTTTTGGTGTTTTTTTTTTTTTTTCCTCTTCTGTTTCGAGACAGAGTCTCACTCTGTCACCCCTGGAGTGCAGTGGTGTGAGGACAGCTCACTGTAACCTCAACGTCTTGCGCTCAAGCAATTCTCCCACCTCAGCTTCCCCAGTAGCTGGAACGGCAGACACGCCCCACTACGCCCAGCTAATTTTTTTTTTAAGAGGTCAGGTTTCACTATTTTGCCCTGGTTTGTCTTGAACTCCTGACCTCAAGCGATCCTCCCATCTCGGCCTCCCAAGTAGCTGGGACTTGAGGCGTTCACCACCACACCCAGCTAATTGATTAATTTTTTGTAGAGATGGAGTCTTCCTAGGTTCCCCTAGATGGTCTTGAACTCCTGGCCTCAAGCAATCCTCCCATCTCGGCCTTACAAAATGTTGAGATCACAGCTGTGAGCCACTGCACCAGATCACTTTTTAACTTTTTATTTATAGAAAAATGTACAATATGCAGTTGTAAAAATAATACAGAAAAACATGGCAGTAAATCGGGGTTTTTCTGTTTTTTGTTTGTTTGTTTGTTTGTTTGTTTGTTTTGAGATGGAGTTTCGCTCTTGTTGCCCAGGCTGGAGTATAATGGCACGATCTCGGCTCACTGCAACCTCTGCCTCCCGGATTCAAGCGATTCTCCTGCCTCAGCCTCCTGAGTAGCTGGGATTACAGGTGCTTGCCACCACGCCTGGCTAATTTTGTATTTTTAGTAGAGACGGGTGTTTCTCCATGTTGGTCAGGCTGGTCTCGAACTCCCGACCTCAGGTGATCCGCCTGTCTCGGCCTCCCAAAGTGCTGGAATTATAGGCATGAGCCACCATGCCCAGCTGGCAGTAAATCTTAATGACTTTGAATTAGGCAATTATATGATACCAAAAGCAGTAATAAAAGAAAAAACAGATTGATTGGATGACATCAAAATTAAAAACGTTTGTGTTGCCAACTGATACCATCGAAAAAGTAAAAGTACAATCTATAAATTGGGGAAAATAAACTTGTATGCAAATGTGAAAAGAACTCTCAAAACTCAAAAATAAAAAGATTAATAACCCAATTTTTTTTTTTAACGGATTCTCACTCTGTCGCCTAGGCTGGAAGGCTGGAGGGCAGTGGTGCGATCTTAGCTCACTGCAACCTCCCTCTCCTAGGTTCAAGCGATTCTCCTGCCCCAGCCTCCCGAGTAACTGGGACTACAGGTGCCTGCCACCACACCCAGCTAACTTTTGTATTTCTAGTAGAGACGGGGTTTCACCATTTTGGCCAGGCTGGTGTCAAACTTCCGGCCTCAAGTGATCTGCCCACCTCAGCCTCCCAAAATGCTGGAATTACAGACGTGAGCCACCACGCCAAGCCTAATAACCCAATTTTTGAAATGGGCAAGTGATCTCAGTAAACGTTTCTCCAAAGACAATATACAAATGGCCAATGGTCACATGAAAAGATGCTCAACTTCATTAGTCACTAGGAAAATGCAAATCAAAACCACAATGAGATACCACTTTACACCCACTAGGTTTGCTAAAATTAAAAAGACAGACAATAGGCCTGGTGGGGTGGCTCACGCCTGTAATCCCAGCACTTTGGGAGGCCAAGATGGGCAGATGACTTGAGGTCAGGAGTTCGAGACCAGCCTGGCCAACATGGCGAAACCCTGTCTCCACCAAAAACACAGAAATTAGCCGGGCATGGTGGTGCACACCTGTAATCCCAACTACTCGGGAGGCTGAGGCAGGAGAATCACTTGAACCCAGGAGGCGGAGGTTGCAGTGAGCCGAGATTGTGCCACTTCACTCCAGCCTGGGCAACAGAGTGAGACTCCGTCTCAAAAAAAAAAGTTAAAATAAAAAAATATGTGTATGCAAATCTTTTTTTCTTTTCTTTTTGAGACAGAGTCTTGCTCTGTCACCCAGGCTAGAGTGGAGTGATGTGATATCAGTTCCACCATGACCAGCTAATTTTTTGTATTTTTAGTAGAGGCAGGGTTTCACTGTGTTGGCCAGGTTGGTTTTGAACTCCAGACCTCAAGTGATCCTCCTGCTTCTGCCTCCCAAAGTGCTGTGATTATAGGCGTCAGCCACCACGCCTGACCCCATGCAAAATCTTAAGGATAAATGTTGATAGCAGTATTATTGATAACAATTCAAAAAGTGAAAACAATCTGACTCTCCATCAACTGATGAACAGAAAAGCCAAACGTGGTCCGTCCACACAATGGAATGTGTTTGGCCATGAAAAGGAATGAAGCCCTGGTATAGGTTACAACGTGGGTGAACCTTAAACACATCATGCTCTGTGAAAGAAACCAGACACAGGCCAGGCACGGTGGCTCACGCCTGGAATCCCAGCACTTTGGAAGGCCGAGGTGGGTGGATCAAGAGGTCAGGAGTTCAAGACCAGCCTGGCCAAGATGGTGAAACCCCCATCTCTACTAAAAATACAAAAATTAGCCGGGCGTGGTGGCAGGTGCCTGTAATCCCAGCTACTCGGGAGGCTGAGGCAGGAAAATCGCTTGAACCCGGGGGGTGGAGGCTGCAGTGAGCCGAGATCGTGCCACTGCACTCCAGCCTGGGCAGAGCAAGACTCTGTCTTAAAAAAAAAAAGAAAAGAAAAAGAAAGAAAAGAAAGAAAGAAACCAGACACAAAGGCCACATATTGTATGATCTTGCTCATATGGAATTTCCAGAACGGGCAAATCCAGACACAGAAAGTGGACTTGTGAGTCGTGGTGGCCAGGGGCTGGGGAAGAGATTGGGAGTGATTACTAATTTGGTTTCTTTTTTGTTTGTTTGTTTTGTTTTGTTTGTTTGTTTTGAGACAGAATCTCACTGTGTCGCCCAGGCTAGAGTGCTGTGACATGATCTCTGCTCACTGTAACCTCCGCTTCCTGGGTTCAAGCAATTGTCCTGCCTCAGCCTCCAAAGTAGCTGGGATTAAAGAACCCGCCACCATGCCTGGCTAATTTTGTATTTTTAGTAGACACGGGGTTTTGCCAATGTTGGCCAGGCTGGTCTTGAACTCCTGACCTCAGGTGATCTACCTGCCTCGTCCTCCTAAAGTGCTGTGATTACAGGCGTGAGCCACCGCGTCCAGCCTAATTGGTTTATTTCTTTCCCTTCCTTCCTTCCTTCCTTCCTTCCTTCCTTCCTTCCTTCCTTCCTTCCTTTCTTTCCTTTCTTTTCCTTCTTTCTTTCTTCTTTCTTTTTTACAGAGTCTCGCTCTGTCATCCAGGCTGGAGTGCAGTGACGCGATCTCGGCTCACGGCAACATCCGCCTCCCAGGTTCAAGTGATTCTCCTGCCTCAGCCTCCCGAATAGCTGGGACTTCAGGTGCGTGCCACCACACCCAGCTAATTTTTATATTTTTACTAAAGACAGGGTTTCACCATGTTGGCCAGGATGGTCTCGATCTCTTGACCTCATGATCTGCCCACCTTGGCCTCCCAAACTGCTGGGATTACAGGCGTGAGCCACTGTGCCCGGCCCTAATTGGTTTCTTTTAGGGTGACTAAAATATTCTAGGTCGGGCATGATAGCTCATGCCTGTAATTCCAGCACTTTGGGCGGCCAACGTGGGAAGATCACTTGGGGTCAAGAGTTCGAGACTAGACTAGCCAACATGGTGAAACCCTGTTTCACTAAAAATACAAAAATTAGCCGGGCGTGGTGGCGCGCGCCTGTAGTTACAGCCACTCGGGAGGCTGAATCGAGAGAATCACTTGAACCCGGGAGGCAGAGGTTGCAGTGAGCCAAGATCATGCCACTGCACTCCAGCCTGGGTGACAAGAGTGAGGCTCTGTCTCAATAAAGTATAACATAGAACATTCTAAGATTATATTGTAAAGATGGTTGCACATCATCTCAGCTCTGTGAATTTACTAAAAACCACTGAATTATATACTTCAAATGGGTGACTTGTATGATATGGGAATTATTTCAATAAAGATGTTTTTAAAAAAAGTAAAAAATGAGTACAGAGAGATCTCTTGTGCCTTTAACCAGCTTCCCCCAATGGTGACATCTTACAATATCATAAACGGGAAATGAACATTAACATAATCCATCAACCTTATTCAGACTTTGCTGGTTTATGTGCACTCATTTGTGTGTGTGTGTGTGTGTGTGTGTGTGTGTGTGTGTGTGTCCATGCAACATTTAGATGTGTAGTTTCACAATCAGGACACACAACACATTCCATTATGAGGATGTTCTGTGCTGCACTTTTTTTTACGTCACAACCATCTCTCTCTTCCTCCTACCTGAAAACCCTTACCATTCTTCATCTTATAATTCTGTCATTTCAGGAAGCCTGTATCAGTGGAACCGCATGCTCTGTAACCTTCAGCTTTTGTTGTTGTTGTTATGTATTTCTTTTTAATTACGTGGGTACATCGTGGTGTATATATATTTATGGGGTACATGAGCTATTTTGGTGCAGGCATGCAACGTGTAATAATCACATCATGAAAAACTGGGCATTCATCCCCTGAAGCATTTATCTTTCATGTTAGGAGCAATCCAATTATACCTTTATAGTTATTTTATTTTGTTTTATTTAATTTTATTTTGAGATGGAGTCTCACTCTGTTGTCCAGGCTGGAGTGCAGTGGCACAATCTGGGGTCACTGAAACCTCCTCCTTCCAGCTTCACACAATTCTCCTGCCTCAGCCTCCCAAGTAGCTGGGATTACAGGCACCTGCCACCACGTCCAGCTTATTTTTGTATTTTTAGAAGAGACAGGGTTTCGCCATGTCATCCATGCTGCTCTTGAGCTCCTGGGCTCAAGCGATCCTCCCACCTCTGCGTCCCAAAGTGCTGGGATTACAGGTGGGAGCCACCCCGCCTGGCCTCTTTTTGTCATTTTAAAATGTACAATTAAGTTATTATTGACTGGCTGGGCACGGTGGCTCAAGCGTGTAATCCCAACACTTTGGGAAGCTGAGGTGGGAGGATCACTTGAGCCCAGGAGTTCAAGACCAGCCTGGATGACATGGCAAAACCCCTTCTCTACCAAAATAACTACAAAAATTAGCCAGGTTTGGTGGTGCATGCCTGTAGTCTCAGCTACTCGGGAGGCTGAGGTGGAAGGATCACTTGAGCCTGGGAGACAGAGGTTGCAATGAATGGAGATCACGCCACTGCATTCCAGCCTGGACAACAGAGTGAGATCCTGTCTCAAAAAAATACATATATTATTGACTATAGTCCCCGCGTTGTGCTATCTTACTAGGTCTCTTACTCATTCATCCTTTTTTTCTTTTTTGGACCTATGAACCATCCGTTGGACCTCACCACTCCACTCCTCTATAACCTTTGAAGACTGGCTCTTGTCATTTCAGCACAGCTCCCGTGAGAGCCAACCTAAGTTGCTGCGTTTCTCAATAGTTCCTTCCTGTTCATTGCTAAGTAGAATTCCACGGTCTGGATGGAGCACAATTTGTTTAACCGTTCACCTGTTGAGGGCCATTTAGGTTGCTTCCAGCATTTGGCCATTTTAGAAGGAAGCTGCTCTGAACATTCACTTCTGGGTTTTTTTGTTTGTTTTTTGTTTTTTGAGACAGAGTCTCCCTCTGTCACCCAGGCTGGAGTGCAGTGATGTGATCTCAGCTCACTGCAACCTCCGCCTCCCAGGTTCAAGCAATCCTCTGCCTCAGAGTCTGGAGTAGCTAGGACTACAGGTGCCCGCCACCACGCCCAGCTAATTTTTGTATTTTTAGTAGAGACGGGGTTTCATCATGTTGGCCAGGCTGGTCTCGAACTCCTGACCTCAAGTGATCTGTCCGCCTCGGCTTCCCAAAGTGCTGGGATTACAGGCGTGAGCCACTGCTCCTGGCCCCACTTCTGGGTTTTTATATGAACATAAGTTTTCATTTCCCTGGGATATAAATGCCCAAGAATGTAATTCCAGGGTCATATGGTAAGTGCATGGTTTGTTTTGTACAACAAAACAAAACACAGTACAGCAAACAGAACAAAACGAAATCCTGCCACACTCTTTTTCCACAGTGGCTATACCATTTCACATCTCTGCCAGCAACATAGGACTGAGTGATCTATTTGGTCTTCATCCTTGCCAGCATTTGATGTGATCAACTTTTTTTTTTTTAATTTAGCCATTTTGATGGGTATGTAGTGATACCTCATTGTGGTTTGGATTTGCAGGTCCCTGGTGGCTAATAACTTTGAACATTCTTTCATGTACCCATTTGCCATCTGTATCTCCTCTTCAGTGAAATGTCAGTTTCCGTCTATGTCCATATTTTAATTGGGTTGTTTGTTGGTTTTTGTTTTTTTTTTCTGGAGATGGAGTCTCGCTCTGTTGCCCAGACTGGAGTGCAGTGGTGCTATCTCAGCTCACTGCAACCTCTGCCTCCCAGGTTCAAGCAATTCTCCTGACCTTAAGTGATCCGCCTGCCTCAGGCTCCCAAAGTGCTGGGATTACAGGCGTGAGCCACTGTGCCCAGCCTAGACCTCTTTATATATTCTAGATACAAATTCTGTGTTGGCTATGTGATTTGCAAGTAGACTCTTCCAAACCATAGCTTGTCTTTTCACCCTCTCTAACGGTATAGTCTTTTGCATAGAGCAGAAATCATTAATTTGGATGAAGTCCAATTCATCAGTTTCTTCCTTTATGGCTCATTCTTGGGTGTCATCCCTAAGAACTCTTTGCTTAACCTCATGTCTTAAAGATTTTATTTTGTTTTGTTTTAAGGAGCAGAGAGTTCAATAGGCAAGAAGGAAGAGGAAAGAAGGAAGCAGCTCCCTATAGAGACACAGCAGGAGGGGAGGCTCCAAAGCCAAGAGAGGAGACCCTATTGAAGATTTTTTTCTCATGTTTTCTTCTACATTTTACATGTAGACCTGTGTGATCCCTTTTTTTTTTTTTTTTTTTTTTTTTTTTTGAGACCGAGTCTCGCTCTGTCTCCCAGGCTGGAGTGCGGTGGTGTGATCTCAGCTCACTGCAACCTCCGCCTCCCGGGTTCAAGCGATTTTCCTGCCTCAGCCTCCTGAGTAGCTGGGATTACAGGCATGCATCACCACGCCTGGCTAATTTTTGTACTTTTAGTAGAGATGGGTTTTCACCATGCTGGCCAGGCTGGTCTTGAATTCCTGACCTCAAGTGATTCACCCACCTCGGCCTCCCGAAGTGCTGGGATTACAGGCCTGAGCCACCGTGCCTGGCCCCTGTGATCCGTTTTGAATTCCATTCTGAATGTAAAAAATAGCAGAAGCGGGTTTGATTCGGGGGACCCTAGGGAGCCAATGAGGGTTCTTGAGTGAGAGAAGATACAGTTGGCAAGAAGAATCAGGTGAGTAGACTCAAGTAGCCCATGACAGCCTCGCTCTCAGCCTCAGTCTCCCCCCACCGGCAAACTAACGAGACCAGAAGATCTCTAAAGTCCGCTGTCATCAAATGAGGCCACCTCCCTGGACGTTTGTCCCCATATTCCCTGCGCCTCTGGAGCAGACTCAGGTCAAACCCCAGCGCCTGCACAACGTGTGTGAGCCTCTGTGTCCCAGTGCTTTGATCTTAAGAGTGACTCAGTGGGACAGCGCCGAGAGCTCACTCGACCCCAAAAAACTGTGGCTCTTTTTTCTCTCAGACGGCAAAATCAGGTCATATTTCAATTCCAGTCATTCTCCTTCATATATAAAATGTGCCAAGAACCACTTTCCCGAAAATCTAAATTGAAAGTAAATAGCACGGGGGACAATTCTCGGTGATAAAACTGCGGATTCTGGAGCTTCTTGGGATAATATTTATTCTCCCTTCTTGCTAATGGCTCCAGCTGCCTCCCCAGGTTATTAAAGTAATGCGTTTGCTTAACCTGACTGGGGCCGCATCCCACCCTGGGCTGATTGGGCCCCGCGTGAAGCCCCCCGCCACCCCCCTCCACCGGACAATTATATTAACGGCTGCTGGTTTGCAATTACTATAAATCAGAAAGCGCGTCGGCCTGGGTTTGTTTTTCTTTATTGAAAATGTTTAAACCTCATGCATTGCAAATATCACCGCCTCAGACCGGGATTTAACTCTTTCCTTGAGACTTGGAGGTACAGCTCTGGAGGGCTTTGCTGGGGATAGTGCTAGGATAATCCCTGCTTTCTGAGATGAGGAAATTGAGGCTCAGAGAAGGAATGCCATTTGCCTGGGGTCACACAGCTGGTGGGTCACTGCACTGAAACGGCACTGAGTTTTTTGTTTGTTTTTTTCATGCCTGATGAAGTTACATTCTTTGTGGCAAATATTTAAAAATGTTGAGATCTGTTATCTCAGCAAAAACCACCCCCAGTTCTGCGGGGGTGGGTGGGTGTGTGGGTGGGATATATCCTTCCAGAGATTTTTTTTTCTATGCATATATATTCTGGCATGCACCAAATGAATGCAGGTTTAATGAATTATGCCTTCCATAAGCACCGAGGTGTTTATTGAGCACCTACTGTGTGCTGGGTGCTGTTTTATGTGCTGGGGATACAGGAAGCAAAACAGGCTTATCTGCCGGTAGTTTCAAGCATAGGGGACAGCCAGGGCAAGGACCCTGAGGCTGGCTCTTGCCTGGCACACAAAGGGGCGAATAAGCACAGGCGTGGAGAGTGCAAGGGGCAAAGGCAGGGAGGGTGAAAAGAGCATTCCGTGTGGAATCAGAGGGAGAGGAGAGGGCTTCATGGAGCTCTCCAAGGTAGAGTGCTGAGGTTTGCTGAGGATGTGGGTGGGAGGAAGAGGAGGCAGGGAGACCCCAAGATTCCCTCTGAGCAGCTACAAGGGCTGACCTCAGCTGAGATGGGGAGATGCAAGAAGAGCAGTTTAGGGGGTCCGGTGCAGCCCGACATGGCTGTGTTGAGTGTGAAATGCCCATCAAGGCCAAGTTTGGAGCTGGCGGAGGCCCAGACTGGAGACAGGACTGTGGGTATCAGTGGGTGTAGATGGGTTTAGAGCCCCGAGAGTTAATGAGGCCGACCTGGAAGGGTGTGGATAGAGGAGCAAAGAGGCCTGAGAACCCAGCCCTTGACCAGCAATGGACAGAGAGAGGGACAGAAGAGGGACCCAGAGAGGTAGAAGGAAAGGCCAGTGTTTCCAGGAGGGGCGGGGCACCAGCCGGTCAGACGCCGTCCAGAGGGACGAGGAATAGGATGGGGCGGGTCAACGCTGACTTCTGTCAGAGGCGTTTGAACCAGGACAACTCCATCTTGGATAGGGACTGGGTAAAATAAGGCTGAGACCTACTGGGCTGCATTCCCAGACAGTTAGGCATTCTAAGTCACAGGACGAGATAGCAGGTCGGCACAAGGTACAGGTCATAAAGACCTTGCTGATAAAACAGCTTGCAGTAAAGAAGCCGGCTAAAACCCACCAAAACCAAGATGGCGACAAGAGTGACCTCTGGTCTTCCTCACTGCTACACTCCCATCAGCACCATGACAGTTTACAGATGCCACGGCAACGCCAGAAATTTACCCTCTATGGTCTAAAAAGGCGAGGCATGAATAATCCACCCCTTGTTTAGCATATCATCAAGAAAGAACCATAAAAATGGGCAACCAGCAGCCCTCAGGGCTGCTCTGACTATGGAGTAGCCATTCTTTTATTCCTTTACTTTCTTAATAAACTTGCTTTCACTTTATGGATTCACCTTGAATTCTTTCTTGTGCGAGATCCAAGAACCCTCCCTTGGGACCTGGATCAGGACCCCTTCGGGTAACACTTTGACAAGGGCAGCTTCAGTGGCGGAAGGTGTGAGAGGCCAGGCTGATGGGTGGAGAAGGCTCAGGAGAAAGAAAGAGAACAGAAGTGCAGACAGTGAGTGTAGACAACTCAATCTCCAGGAGTTTGGCCATAAAAAGAGGCAAGGAGGTCGGGCGTGGTGGCTCACACCTGTAATCTCAGCACTTTGGGAGGCCAAGGTGGGTGGATCACCTGAGGTCAGGAGTTCAAGACCAGCCTGACCAACATGGTGAAACCCCGCCTCTACTTAAAAATACAAAAATTAGCTGGGCATGGTGGTGTGCGCCTGTAAGCCCAGCTACTCGGGAGGCTGAGGCAGGGGAATTGCTTGAACCAGGAGGCAGAGTTTGCAGTGACCCAAGATCACGCCACTGCACTCCAACCTGGACAACAGAGCAAGACTCCATCTCAAAAAACAAACAAAGAGGCAAGGATATGGTTGGTCACCGGAGGGGGATGTGGAAGTTTACTTTTTCCCTATAAGATGGGACCTGCCCAGCAGAGCCAGAAGATGTTACCGAAGAGAAAGGGCCAAGTGCTGAAGCCAAATCCTTGGGTGGGGACACAGAGCCTGTGTTTATCCTGCCTCTATTGCCTACTCTGTAAAACAGGCATAAGAACAGTATCCAGGCCGAGTGTGGTGGCTCACACCGGTAATCTCAGCGCTTTGGGAGGCTGAGGCGGGCAGATCGCCTGAGGTCAGGAGTTCGAGACCAGCCTGGCCAACATGGCGAAAACCCGTCTCTACTAAAAATACAAAAACTAGCTGGGTGTGGTGGTGGGCACCTGTAATCCCAGCTACTTGGGAGGCTGAGATAGGAGAATCACTTGAACCCGGGAGGTGGAGGTTGCAGTGAGCCGAGACCGTGCCTTTGTACTCCAGCCTGGGTAAAAAGACCGAAACTCCATCTCAAAAAAAAAAAAAAGAACAGTATCCATCACCCAGGCATGATCTAGGCACCCAGCAAAAGTCCAGGCTGATGACATGTCTCTCTCCCCTGTGGTGTGTCTATGAAGGGGTCACCCCCTGCTCCAGTTTGTGGCAGAATGCAGTTTCCCTCCTGACACCCACCCCCAAGGGAGATAGACAGTCTCCAGGAAAAACTCAGTGAGTTCCCCCTTTGAGAAAGGGCCCCACAAGTCAAAGTGCTTTTTCAAAAATAAATAGCCTGATTAGCATAAGGTATGCAAATGTATGCTAATGTGACAACTATTAAAAGATTTCAAATGTCATCGAGGGAAAACACACCGGGCCTGGCTGGAGGGGTGGGGGACGGGAGGAGAGGATGCAGCCAGGACTCTTGAGAAAGGTCGAGGGGCTCAACCGCAAGATCACCAGGATACACACTCGTACAGACACACACAAACTCACACTCACACCCGGGTCATTCCAGGGTGGCCTTAAGTCCTCTCCTGGGCAGAATCCCCAAAGCTCTGTCTCCAGGTGTGAGTATTAAGCTCCTGGAAACCCTCCTCCAAATCTTTCCCCCAACACACTCTAAGTGCCTGAAAAACTGTCCAGGGTGACAATGCGTCTCATTCCACCAAGAGCACACAGATTTGTTCTGCAAATAATCTCTGGGAAAAGCAGTAACAGCATGGGTGACAGACCCCAGAGCCTTTCCTGAGAATAGGTTAAAACGGTAGTCTCATCCATGACAAAAAAAAAAAAAAAAAAACTCCTAAGAACTGGTAAGAGATGGCTCCTATCCATAATAAATCCTCCCTCACTTCAGGGGAAAATTTTCATCCATATCCACTTTGTTTTCTGAGGCTGACAGACAAAAATCAGACCCAGAATGGGGAGAGACTTTTCCCAGGGTCACACAGCTGTGTGTGTGACCAAAACTATCACCAAACTAATCACCAAAACTATTTGGTGTGTTGTTGTTGTTTAGAGACAGGGTCTTGCTCCATTGCCCAGGCTGCAGTGCGATGCTGCTATCACAACTCACTGCGGCCTGAAACTTCTTGGCTCAAGCAATCTTCTTTGCGAGGATCTGGCCTGCAGACCCCAGCTTGCACGATGGATGAATAATGTACCCAGACACTGATATTCAGTGAAAGAGCAGCTACGGGTCGAGCCACTCACAGACACCACGGAAGGTGCTGTAAAGAGTCAGCAGCCACAGTCCCGACTAGCTGGCCCTGAGGGCATTTATTTAGCACAGTTTTGTTTGTTTGTTTGTTTGTTTGTTTGTTTGAGACGGAGTCTCGCTCTGTCGCTCAGGCTGGAGTGCAGTGGTGTGATCTCGGCTCACTGCAAGCTCCACCTCCCAGGTTCACGCCATTCTCCTGCCTCAGCCTCCCGAGTAGCTGGGACTACAGGCGCCCGCCACCACGCCTGGCTAATTTTTTTATTTTTGTATTTTTAATAGAGACGGGGTTTCACCATGTTAGCCAGGATGGTCTTGATCTCCTGACCTCATGATCCATCCGCCTCGGCCTCCCAAAGTGCTGAGATTACAGGTGTAAGCCACCACGCCCCCGGCCTGAGCACAGTTTTAACGACAAAGGCTTTGAGTCAACACACCTGTGGGTAATTAATCTGGTTGCTCCCACCCCGGGAGAGCCATCTTACCCATGAGTGATCAGTTAGTTTTAGGACTGAGTAAACAAGCGCGTTAGACAAACTCCTCTACATTCCTACGCATCTACGCCCTGAGCTTTTAAGAGAACTCAGCTGCCTTCAGCCAAGACTTTTGCTAAAGCTATGCAAACCTCTCGGCCTTCCAAGAAGGTCTGTGTTTATTTCCTCTAAAATCTTTTCCTCCACCCTGACTGAACCCCCACACCTCTTGCCTCAGCCTCCCGAGTAGCTGAGACTTACAGACATGTGCCACCACACCCAGGCTCATTATTTTTATTTTTGGAGAGATGGGGTCTTGCTATGCTCCACAGGCTAGTTTCCAACTCTTGGCCTCAAGTGATCCTCCCACCTTAGCGTCCCAAAGCACTGGGATTACAGACATGAGACACCATGCCTGGCCACCAAAACTCTTTGGTGAGACCAGAATTATTGAAATCATTTTCAGATGAGAAAACTGAAGATCAGAGATGTGAAATGATTTGCCCCAGCTCACACAGCAACTGTGAGGCAGGTCAGGTCAGCTGCTCAAACTTCAGCTGCCCAAATTTCAATCCATCTTACATCACCTTTCTACTACTTCTACTATTATTTCCTGAATATTTTTCTTCTAATGGACCCACTTCTTAAAACCTTAAATGTATTTAGAAGGAAATTGTTTATCATGACTGTAAATGAAAAGCCAGAATCACTGACCATAAGTAGAAACTAACTTAATGAGAATAAAATCATATTATTAATTTCTGACGAAAGATAGTTGCCTCTGAGCTCTGAGCTGGAGCCTGATCTCTCTCTTTGTCCAAAAAGGATATTTCACGTGTCCAAGAAGGTGTTAAAGACTGATTCACACCCAGTTAAGACTTTCTTCTTGCAAAAGACATGCAAAGGAAGAGCTCTCTCCCTATAAGAGTCCGTGGTGTTAAGACTGTTTCATGCATCACCTAAAACCGTCTCATGGCCACCAGGCTGGGCTCTATCTACCTGAAGGGCAGGAAGACTGTCCCAATACCTTAGAGTTCTAGAATTATGGCCAGGGATCTATTTGGGGGCTCATACTATCAGTGCCCACGGCCATTTCAGTGCAGCCCAAAGATGGAGAAGAGATGGCTTCACTGATAAACAGACTCACCTGTCCATCCACCTATCCATTCATCCACCTACCATCCATCCATTGACCCATCAATCCACCCACACATCCATCCATCCACCCACACATCCATCCATCCACCCACTCACCACCCCTCCACCCACTCCACCCACACATCCATCCATCCACTCATCCATCCATCTGCCCATCCATCCATCCATCCATCCATCCATCCACCATTCACCCATAACCCATCCACCATTCATCCACCCACCATCTGCCCAAACATCCATCCAACCATCCATCCATCCATCCACCCATCCACCACCCAATCATCCATCCATGCATCTACTATCCACCCACCACCCATCCATCTACCCATCCATTCACCCAAACATCCATCCATTCACCCAAACATCCATCCACCCACCCATCCATCTTCCCACTCAGCCATCCACTCACCTATTCAGTAAATATATATCCAGCAACTACTCTATGCCAGGCATTGTTCTAGAATATGGATACATAGTGGTGACCAAGACATACGTGGTCACCAACCCCTTGAGGCTTCTGAACCAGTGAGGACACTCTCCATCCCTCGAGCAACAACATGAGGCGGATTAGAGAATTTTTCTCCATTTTTTTTTGTGACAAGGGTCGTCTTGGTAGATATTTGTGGGTATTCCCTGACCTTCATTCTTCCCTCCACCTGTAGGACGCAGAAGCAACCTGGTTTCGCCGCTGCCTGGCTGCTCTCCAAACCCATTTCCTCCTTCTTCAGGGCACATAGCAAGGTGTTTCCCAGCATTCCTTGCAGTTGGGGCAGCCATGTGACTTAATTGAGCCAGTGGAAGGTGGGCAGAAGTGATGTGGCCATGACTTACGTTCTGGCCCAGGCTCTTTCTGCAACCTACACTTTAAAGATGGAGGAGGTACAAGACAGCGGGGCCTGATCCCTGAGTTACTAGGTGGAAACAAAGGAACACCTGTTTGCTCTTTATATGAGCAACAAACTTCTGTTGGGTCATTGAGGCTTGCCAGTTTATAATGGCAGGGAGTGTTACCTTAACCAATGCACACGTTTCCTCTTTTCCAACCCTGAGAGGGAATTGGTTCCACCTCTGGCTCCAGCCAATCACTGAAGCCTATTCCTGCTGACTTCCTGATTAGCTCAGCCTGGTCATGTGACTGAAGGACGCAGATGGCAATATTGGATGGGTTTCTAGGCATCATAGCTTGGAGGGCCACTGGGGTTGCTGGAACCAGGACACAGAACTCGAGAACTGGGCTTCTAACATTCGCCACTGGGAAAGAAAAAAAGAAATGTATTATTTATTGTTACTATTATTTTAATATCCTGCAATTGAAACTGGCCTATTTCCTGGATGATCCAAATTTAGGAACTTTTTCCTGCAGCTTTAATCATCCTGAAGATGCCCTGACTTCTGTCTCCACCCAGACTTGGCCCCAGATCTCTCTCCAGTTCCTCCTGGATGCCTCCTCTTGGAGGTCCAGCAGGTACATCCTACCCAACTCCCAATGCATCCTTTTTATCCCCCTCCAGCACCTCCTCCTGTAACCCCCTCCCTGATGGCCCCACTCTTTTTCTGGAAAGTTGTGAACAAGCCTCTCTATCTCCCTTTCTTATCAACAGCCGGCCCTGCCAATTTCACACTCACCAAGTCCTATTGATTTCAACATTACTGTCTCCATGGCAGCCCCACTCTGTACCCCTATCTGTGTTTTTCAATAGACACCATCAGCTCCTACAATAGCCTTCTTGATGGGCTCCTAGCATCCACACAGCAGCCAGGAGGATCGATCTTAAGTGTAAGTCTGACCCTTCCCCTCTCCCCTCTGTAACTCTCCATGGCTCCCCAGTGCCCTCAAGAGAAAGTCTAAACTTTATTTTCAAAATTCTTCATAGTCTAGCTACTTCATTCTTCCTTGCTCCACCCCTGCTTCTCCTTGTTCACCTAGCACCTGCTCATCTTTAAATGTCATCCCTCAGGGAAGCTTCACCTGACCCTGCTCTACAATGCTGAGAAAGGAGTCTTCCTGAGCTACCCCAGCTGCCTGAGCTTCCCTCATCACAGGCTGTAAATGCCTGGTTATGTGTCTTTGAATTCCTAGAGGGCAAGGGCTGGATCTATTTCACCACTGTCTCCAGCCCCCCAGCACAGCATCCAGTGTGAGCTTAATAAATATTTCTGAATGAATGAATGGTGATAAGAAATCGAGGCTTTGCGAATGCTACTGTGTGTAGCAGACGCTGTGGGCATCCCTACTGCACCCACATTTCAGCACCTGCCAACAGCATCCTTCTGCAGTCACCTGGGTGAGGGCCAGGCTGGAAGTGACAGAGAATTGATGTCTCAGGAAGCAGCCCTTCACCAGTGATGGACAGGCGCTGGTGGATAAATATCCCACCTCTCTCATTCTCTTGGGAAGAACAAGTGCATGCTATACACCATCTCCCAAGGGTATCCAGTGGGACTGAGCCCAGTTGCTCAGGGCAGTCACCTGCTCATAAGTGTTGGTTCTTTCCTTCCTTGTCTCACTTCCCCACTCTCCTGGGGCTTCCTGGATCACTTCCCACATAAACAACTTACCCCCAAATCCTTGTTTCAGGAGCTACTTCTGGGGTATCCAACTTAAGACACTGTAGTGAAAATGAGTCTATAATTTACTGGCTGCCGCTTCCAGGGAGAACTTTGATGTGTTTGGGAAAAAAAGAAAAACAATTGCCTCTTTCTCCCTGTCAGCTGTAGTCCTCACAGCCTCCAAGCAAAGACTGCCACATTTGCAGTTATGTATTAATTGCTTTTATTTTTTTTTTTCCCCGAGAACGGGATGCTCTCCTGCAATATGTGTGTGAGAGAGAGAGTGTGTGTGTTTAATAACTTTCTCATTTGAGATCTGGCCGGATAGCTTTTTGAAGAAAGTCTACCCAGAGCCTGGAACGTATAGAAAATTCTCCCGGCTTAATAGCACTCCCACCCGCCCATCCATCACAGACGCACTGTGGAATGAAAAACGAGCACATTGATTGGATCTATTTCTAATCGACAGCCTGAGATACTGTTTGAGGTCTGCCATTAGACGGAAGAAGTTGGTGTGGAAGTGGCTGTGTCTCTATTTCTCAAGGGCACGGGGTCTGGCGTGGGGGTTGAGGGGGACAGAAATAATCATGGTAGCATTTAGCAAGCATTTATTGAGTACCTACTGTGTGCCAGATCCTGCAATGGGTGCTGGTCATTGAGATAGACCCAGCTCCACCCTCCCAGTGGGGGAGATGTACAGGTCACTTGTGGCCCACAATCAGAACCATGATGGGGGAGATTCAGGCAGCTCTGGGGGCCCAGAGAAGGTGTCTGACCCAGCCTGGGAGATCAGGGAGGGCTTCCTGGAGGCAGGGACAGCTGAGCTGAAAGCTGAGGAGTCAACCAAATAAGAAATAGGGAAGAAGTTGGCTACCGTGGCTGATGCCTGTAATCCCAACACTTTGGGAGGCCGAGGCAGGATGATCCCTCAAGCTCAGGAGTTTGAGACCAGCCTGGGCAACATAGCAAGACCCCATCTCTATTTAAAAAAGAAATAGGTGTAGTGGTGCACACCTGTGGTCCCAGCTACTTGGGAGGCTGAGGTGGGAGAATTGCTTGAGGCCAGGAAGTCGAGGCTGTAGTAAGCTATGATTGCACCACTGCACTCCAGCCTGGGTGACAGAGCAGGTCCCTGTCTCTAAAACAAACCAACAGGGTGGGCGCGGTGGCTCACGCCTGTCATCCCAGCAATTTGGGAGGCCAAGGTGGGAGGATCACCTGAGGTCAGGAGTTTGAGACCAGCCTGGCCAACATGGTGAAACCCTGTCTCTATTAAAAATACAAAAATTAGCTAGGCATGATGGCGGGTGCCTATAATCCCAGGTACTCGGGAGGCTGAGGCATGAGAAGTGCTTGAACCTGGGAAGCAGAGGTTGCAGTGAGCTGAGATTGCACCATTGCACTGCAGCCCTGGGCAACAGAGCGAGACTCTGCTTCTAAATAAATAAATAAATAAATAAAACAAAACAAAACAAAACAAAACAAATGGGGAAGAGTGTTTTCAGGGAGGAAGAACAGCATGTGCGAAGGCCTGGGAGCAAGTGAAGGTTACTTAGTGTGGCTGCAGTATGCAGTGGGTGGGGAAGAGGAGGCGTAGGGGAGATGTGGAGGGAGAAGTTGGCAGTGCTTTGAGGCCCATGGGACAGGGTTTCCACTTTTCTGGGGACAATATGGAGCCACAGAAGGATTTAGAGCAGGAGAGTGAATGGCATTTGCTAAAAAAAAATCATTTTGACATAGAATGATCGTATGATTCAACAATTCCAAGCAGGGACTCACGTAGATCCTTGTACATGCATGTTCACAGAGCACGATTCACAACAGCCAAAGGCGGAAACAACCTAGAGTCCACGGATGGATGAATGGATGAACACAGTGTGGTCCATCCAAACAGTGGAATATTGCTCAGCCTTAAAAAGAAAAGAAGTTATGGCTGGGTGCGGTGACACACACCTGTGATCCGAACACTTTGGGAGGCCAAGGTGGGAGGATCTCTTGAGCACGGAAATTTGAGACCAGCCTGGGCAACATAGTGAGGCCCTGTCTCTATAAAAAAATAAAATAATAAAAATAAAAATAAAATAAAAATAAAAATAAAAATAAAAAATTTATCCGGGCATGGTGGCGTGCACCTGTAGTCCTAGTTACTTAGGAGGTGGAGACTGGAGGATCGCTTGAGCCTGGGAGGTTGAGGCTGCAGTGAGCTATGATAGCGCCACTGCAATCCAGTCTGGGTGACAGAGTGAGACACTGTTTCAAAAAAAGAAAAAAGAAAGAAATGGGCTTGGCATTGTGGTTCATGCCTGTAATCCCACCATTTGGGGGGCCGAGGTGGGCAGATCACCTGAGGTCAGGAGTTCGAGACCAGCCTGGTCAAAATGATGTCTCTACTAAAAATAAAAAAAATTAGCTGGGCATGGTGGTGTGTGCCTGTAATCTCAGCTACTCGGGAGGCTGAGGCAGGAGAATCCCTTGAACCTGGGAGGCGGCGGTGTCGGTGAGCCGAGATCATGCCACTGCACTCCAGCCTGGGTGATAGAGTGAGACTCTGTCTCAAAAAAGAAAAGAGGCTGGGCGTGGTGGCTCACGCCTGTAATCCCAGCACTTTGGGAGGCTGAGGCAGGCAGATCACAAGGTCAGGAGATCGAGATGATCCTGGCTAACATGGTGAAACCCCGTCTCTACTAAAAATACAAAAAATTAGCCGGGCGGGACGGCGTGCACCTGTAGTCTCAGCTACTCGGGAAGCTGAGGCAGGAGAATGGCGTGAACCCGGGAGGCGGAGCTTGCAGTGAGCCGAGATTGCGCCACTGCACTCCAGCCTGGGTGACAGAGCGAGACTCCGTCTCAAAAAAAAGAAAAAAAAGAAAAGAAAAGGAGTTCTGACATATGCTACAAGGTGGATGAACCTTGAAAACATTATGCTCAATGAAAGAAGCCTACTGTCTACAGAAGGACAAATACTGTATGATTCCACTTATATGAGATCCCTAGAGGAGGCAAATTCCTGGAGACAGGATGTAGAATCAAGGTTGCCGAGGGCAATGGGGAGTTATCGCTTAATGCTTACAGGGTTTCCTTTTGGGCTAATGAAAAATTTTTGGAAATAGTGGTGATGGTCGCACAACATTGTGAATGTACTTACTGCCACTGAATTGTACACTTCAAAATGGTTAAAATGGCTAGCCTGGGCAACATAACCAGAACCTGTCTCTACAAAAAAAAAAAAAAATTAAAATTTGGGCTGGGCACGGTTGCTCACACCTGTAATCCCATCACCTTGAAGGCTAAGGCAAGTGGATCAATTTGAGGCCGGAAGTTTGAGACCAGCCTGGCCAACATGGCGAAACCCCATTTCTGCTAAAAATACAAAAGATTTGCTGGGTGTGGCAGCGTATGCCTGTAATCCCAGCTACTTGGGAAGCTGAGGCACGAGAATCACTTGAGCCCCTGAGGCGGAGGTTGCAGCAAGCCTAGATCGTGCTACTGCACTCCAGCCTATGCAACACAGCAAGACTCTGTCTCAAAAACAAAACAAAACAAAAAAATAGCTGGGAGTGGTGACACACACCTGTAATCCCAGCTACTCGGGAGGCTGAGGTGGGAGGATCACTTGAGTCCAGGAGTTCAAGGGTGCAGTGAGCTATGATTGTACCACTGCACTCCAGCCTGGGTGACAGAGCAAGACTGTCTCTGAGAAAAATAAACATAAAAGTGGTTAAGATGGTGAATTTTATATTATGCATATTTTACCACAATTTTTTTTTAAAAGAGAGAGAGAAAAAAAAATGAATAGGCCGGGTGTGGTGGCTCAGGCCTGTAATCCCAGCACTTTGGGAGGCTGAGGTGGGTGGATCGCTCAAGGTCAGGAGTTCGAAACCAGCCTGGCCAACATAGTAAAACCCCGTCTCTACTAAAAATACAAAAATTAGCCATGCATGGTGGCAGGTGCCTGTAATCCCAGCTACTCAGGAGGCTGAGACAGGAGAATTGCTTGAACTTGGGAGGCAGAGGTTGCAGTGAGCTGAGATGACACCACTGCACTCCAGCCTGCGAGACAGAGCAAGACTCCATCTCAAGAAAAAAAAAAAAAAAAGGATGCAATCACTTTGGCTGCTGTAGGAGATCCAGGATAGAGTAAGTCCAGGAGGTGCTGGGGGTTCAGATCAGGATAAGGGCAAAGGCGAGGGTGAGAGGTGGGAGGTTGGGGGCGTGGTTGGGGTGTGGCTTGGGCATGGCTTGGAGGCGAGGCTAACAGGGCGCCAGGGAGAGATGAGAGTGAAATGGAAGATGAAAGATAAAGCAGGCAGCTGAGTTCCTGCACCCATTCTCTCGACGCCTAAGCACTCCAATTCACCTGCAAGTCTTCGTGGCCTGACGTCTCCAAACCCGCCACCCTTTATGGCTCAGCCTGGGGTGGCCCCTAACAAGGAGTCCCAAATGGGGATTGATGCCACTTCTTCAGTACAAAGAAAGATTAAAGCGACACTGGGTAAAAACACTCCATCCCGGCCGGGCGCGGTGGCTCACGCCTGTAATCCCAGCATTTTGGGAGGCCGAGGCCGGTGGATCACCTGAGGTCAGGAGTTCAAGCCCAGCCTGGCTAACATGGTGAAACCCCATCTCTACTAAAAAATACAAAAAATTAGCTGGGCATGGTGGCGGCTACTCCAGAGGGTGAGGCAGGAGAATCGCTTGAATACAGGAGGCGGAGGTTGCAGTGAGCCGAGATCGTGCCACTGCACTCCAGTCTGGGCAACAGAGCGAGACTCTGTCTCAAAAAAATAAAAAATAAAAAACAACACTCCATCCCGGCAGCCGTTCCTCCACGTGCATTCGCTTACAAGGTGCAGATGTAATACCTGCTTTTAAATTCAATTAAGTCAGAATCAGTTCTGCTCCTAGAATACATTACCCAGTTGGAGACAGCCGGGGGAAGAGGGAAAAAAAAAAAAAAAGATGGCAAACAAACAAACAAAAAAAAAACCCCACACACAAAACACAACGCAGACCTATTTAGAGATTTCCCTCTAAATGGATTTTAATTCTCTCGATTTATCAGAGGCCAGAGGAGCTGCTGACAGCCTGCATTTGGTGTCTGCAAACCCAGTTTCAGCCACAGGGAGGGGAGAGGAGGGATCGAGTTTATGTTGTCATTTTCCTCCAGTGCTGGAGGTCTGGGGTCGCCCAGAGATGGGTTCAAATCCCAGCTTTGCCATTTACTGGCTGCATGACCTTCAGCCAAGCACCGCATCCTCTCAGAGCTTTGACCTACTCATCTGGAAAATGGAGATAATGACAGGGTTTATTTCAGAAGAGCCTTGTGAATGATGGCCTGGATTATCCAAGAGGATTCAGGTTAAATCCTCAGCACAAGGCTTGGCACATAGTGAACGCTCAGTAACGCAGGGATGATGGTGATGGTGATGAAGGTCGTCGTTGTTGGTTTTTTTGTTTGTTCGTTTTTTGAGACGGAGTCTCACTCCGTCACCTAGGCTGGAGTGCAGAGGCGCCATCTTGGCTCACTGCAACTTCGGCCTCCCAGGTTCAAGAGATTCTTGTGCCTCAGCCTCCCAAGCAGCTGGGATTACAGGGGTGCACCACCACACCTGGCTAATTTTTGTATTTTTGGTACAGATGGGGGTTTCACCATGTTGGCTAGGCTGGTCACAAACTCCTGACCTCAAGTGATCCACCTGCCTAGGCCTCCCAAAGTGCTGGGATTACAGGCAGGAACCGCCACACCCAGCCCACTGTTGGTATTTTTTTCCAACCAGAGACCCAGCCCTGTGCTAGGTTACTGTAGGGAAAGAAAAAAGATGCATGAGGCTCAAGTCCTGCCTTTGGAGGCTGGGAGGCTTTGGGTAAGCAGGGAAGAAAGGGGTAGGATGGACACAGGCTCAGGACAGAGAAGGAGCCATCCTGAGGCTACACAGCTCAGAGCTGTCCCTTTGCAGGCCTGGATCCTACTCGTACTGGGTTCAGACTCTACCGTCTGACGTTGGGCGAGCACCCCACACTGGGCCTCAGTTGTACCATCTGTAGATGGGGAAGGAAAAGCGAAGTTTCCTGAGCCAAAAGGCTCATCTGTAGGGTCAGATCAGGGGGCGCTGGGACCCCCAGGAGGGTGTTTGTCTTCATAAGAGTCTAGCGAGGCCGGGCACGGTGGCTCACGCCTGTAGTCCCAGCACTTTGGGAGGCTGAGGCAGGCAGAGGCCGAGGCAGGCGGAGGCCAAGGCAGACGGATCCCAAGGTCAGGAGATCAAGATCATCCTGGCCATCATGGTGAAACCCCGTCTCTACTAAAAATACAAAAAAAAATTAGCTAGGCATGGTGGCAGGCGCCTGTAGTCCCAGCTACTCAGGAGGCTGAGGCAGGAGAATCGCTTGAACCCAGGAGGCAAAGGTTGCAGTAAGCCGAGATCACACCACTGCACTCCAGCCTGGCGACAGAGCGGGACACTCCGTCTCAAAAAAAAAAAAAAAAAAAAAAAAAAAAAAAAAATGCCTAGTGAGGGGGATTTTCACACCAGAATCAGAATCAGAAAGGGTTTTAGGACAAAAAGGGTCCTGGCCTGTAATGTCCCCTGGGGAGCTCAGGGGGGCCATAGTTGGCTCTCCTAAAGGGTTGCTTCATCCACAGAAGGCCTCCCTTCATCCCGGGCCCACGGCCCTCATCTGTGCCTGCCCTGAAAGGGCAACTGGGGAGGGTGGGAGGTGTCGAGGACACTCTAGTCCCAGAATCAGGGTTGGGGGGCAGAGGTCTGACACCACGGTTGGGAAGGCTAAAGAGAGGCGCAGTGGCTTATTCCTATAATCCCAGCACTTTGGGAGGCTGAGGCAGGTGGATCAATTGAGGTCAGGAGTTTGAGACCAGCCTGGGCAACATGGTGAAACCCAGTCTCTACTAAAAATACAAAAAATTAGCCAGCCGTGGTAGAGCTTGCCTGTCATCCCAGCTACTCAGGAGTCTGAGGCAGGAGAATCACTTGAAACCGGGAGGCGGAGGTTGCAATGAGCTGAGATCGCACCACTGCACTCCAGCCTGGGCATCAGAGCGAGACTCTGTCTCAAAAAAAGAAAAAAGTACAGTTATCCTTGAGAGGATCTAATTGCGAGGAGGCACCAAGGGAGCTTCTGAGGGTTGGAATGTTCTACGTCTTGCTGTGGTGGTAGCCAAGGGGGTCTATGTCCATGTCACGATTCCTCAAGCTACACACAAGATTTGAGCACTTTATAAGTTATACATCATTAAAAAAGAGGGAAGACTCAGAGAGGGGCAGAGACAGAGAGAAAGAGAGATGGAAACAGAGAAAAGAGGCCGGGTACGGTGGCTCACGCCTGTAATCCCAGCACTTTGGGAGGCCGATGCGGGCAGATCACGAGGTCAGGAGATCGAGACCATCCAGGCTAACACGGTGAAACTCCGTCTCTACTAAAAATACAAAAAAAAATTAGCCGGGTGTGGTGGCGGGCGCCTGCAGTCCCAGCTACTCAGGAGGCTGAGGCAGGAGAATGGCGTGAACCTGGGAGGCAGAGCTTGCAGTGAGCCGAGATCACATCACTGCACTCCAGCCTGGGCAAGACTCCGTCTCAAAAAAAAAAAAAAAAAAAAAGAAACAGAGAAAAGAGAGACAAAGAGATAAACAGAAACTGAGAGACATAGAGGAAACTGAAATATAGGAAGAGAGAGAGAGACAGAGGCAGAGAGACAGGAAGAGACAGAGAGAAGAAAAGAAGGAAAAGAAGGAGTTTCAAAGCAGAAAGGTGGGGAGAAATGAGGAAATTGGGAAGAAGAACTGAGGACTGGAGAAGAGAAAGCCAAAGAAGAGGGGGGGAAAGGAGGAGAAAATAGCAAATGGCCCAAGAAGTGGCGGGAGAGAGTGGCTGGGGAGGCCAGGAAGCCAGGAGCTGTCACAGGCGAACATGTCCTTAATTGTAATTACATGGGAACATTTAGTTTGTAGATGCAGCAGAAATGAAAACGCTGTGCTTTGCCCATTCATCTAATGGCTGTTAGTCAACCACTCTTCAAAAAGAACCCCCCACTTCTCCGCCCCGGGGCTGTGGTTGCATGGGGGGCAGCCTGCGGGGAGCTGATCAGAGGAGATGGTTTTAAACTAATGATGTCCTCAGGGATACCGAGAGGGACAGTTCTGGGAAGAATAGAATTTCCCCACCAAAAACCCATGGCTGGTGAATTTCTGAGCCCTGCAAACAGTTACCAGCCCGGAAGTCAGCAGCTGGCGAGTGGGAGTTCTAATCTGCAAGGCTAGATTAGGGGAGATACAATGTATCCAAGAGAGATCAAGGTTCTTTAACTCACCCTAGCGGGTGGGGGAAGCCTTCCTAGAAGGGCTGACATCTAAACTGTGCTTAAATGTATACTTTGAGGCAGGCAAGCAAAAAAGGAAGGAAGAAAGGCCTTCCAAAGAGAGAGAACAGCTTGTGCAAAGGTTGAGAAGGAATTACGCTTACAACCATGAGCGTGACTGGGTGGGAAGTGGGGCAGGGATGGGGATGGGGGTGTAGCTGGGGAAGTCAGCAGAGCCCAGACCACTTATAAGACATGCTGAGGAGATGGGACTTTGTCCTGAGGGCGATAGGGAGTCATGGAGGGTTCACAACAGGTGAACACAGTCCAGGATAATATTTTTTAAAAATTGGGGGCCATTCATATGATATTTCACTTACTCAAAAAGAGAGAGCTTCCTGGTCCTGGAGGCATGCAAAATAAGGTCACACTAACCACCCGGGGTACCCTGGGGGATTTCAATATCAGGTGGGGCTGAGGCTGGGACTGCAGAATTGGGGTTCTCAGGCAGGAGGGCGAGGTGCTGAGAGAGGTTTGATGTGTTACTAATCTCGCTTGGGGGGTACACTTGGCCCTCTGGCTTTGAGACAGTGAGGAGCAGGGGGTGTGGATGACTCAGGAGTACAGACGCCAGAGTGGGAGGTTTGAGTCAGCGCCTAGTGTATACCTCTCCCAGCCACTCTCAGCTGGAGGTGACTCACTCATTCATTTGGCCTTGAATGTAGAGGACTGGAGTAGGCAGTGGGGGAAGGAAAAGACCACCCAACTATCCCACTACTGTTTACCCCTCCTGCCACTGTGGGTCCAGTCCTGTGCAGGAACGACCGATCCACCTCCCCCACAACCCAATACTTCTAGAATGAAATCTGTTGGCTCCAAATAGACCTTGGTCTTGTCCTCTCCTCACTCCTCCTGTGGTTCCAGCCTTGACCTGGCACCATCGCTGCTTATCTGGATGAGCAGGGTCACCTCCATTCTGGTACCTGGCTCCCACCCCGCAGTCTCTCCTCCCCACAGCAAGCAGCCAGAGAGCTCCTATGAACCTCCTATGAGTCAGCGTCCATCCCTCCTCTACCCACAGCCCTCCATGGCTTCCATCTCCCTTGGGGTCAAAGCCCAAGTCCTTACGAAGTGCTTTTTAGCCCTGCACTACCTGCCCCATCCCTTCCCCACCCTCTGCTCCCCTCCTCCCTCTCTCCCCCTCCTCACTCTGCTCCAGCCACACAGGCCTCCTCGCTGTTCTGTCAGACTTAGCGCTGCCTCGGGACCTTTGCACGGGCTGGTTCCCTCCACCTGGAACTCTTCTCCCAGTTTTCCCCACAGCTTCTTTTTATTCTCCTTAAACATCACCTCCTCAGGAAAGCCCTCCTTGATTGCTGGTCTAAAGTAACATCCAACTCACTCTCCACCTCATGCCCTTGTTTTTATTTTCGTCATTTTTTTTTAGTTTGCTTGTATGGTCTTTTGAAATGACCCGCTGTATCTGTTTTTCCCCACCAGACCTCACCGTGGAGCCTGGGCCCAACTCGGTGGTGCCGTATCCCCAGCACCCCGTATGGGCAAGTGATTGTGCTTGTTCCTCGATTGAATGGATCTTCACAGCAGTCCTGGGATGTGGAGGCTTTTATCTACCCCATTTCACACAGGGAAAACTGAGGCTCAAAGACATGGAGCCCTCCCCCCCACCACTTGTGGGTGCTTCGAGGATGTCCGTGGACCATGCGCGCTCCCTGGAATTCTGTGGGAGGAATGCTGCGGTCTCGGGCAGCTCCACAAACGGAGGTGTGTTCTGAGTGGGGGTGGGTGCGTCTGTCCATGCTGCCTGGGGGACAATGTGTGTGTGTGTGCGCGCGCGCGCGTGCGGGGAGGGGAGGGGGAGGGAAGGGGGGGAAGGGGTGATAAAAGAGCCCTTGGGAGGGGAGCTGCTAATTTCGCTGGGGGAAGGGGACCCTCTCATTCCCCTTCTGCTCTTCCCACCCCTCCCCCTCCCCCACCAAGATGCCCAGGCGAGGGGACCTTCCTGGGAGGGGGACGACACGGAGTAGGGGGCAGCGTGGAGTTGGGAGACAGGGAGTAGGGGCGACACTCTTCCAAAGACCCCCTCACAGCCCCGCAGATATTGCAAATTCCCCATTTCCTGCACTCCCCCCTCGCTTCCCCTCCCCTCTCCTCCCCTTCCCCCCTTCCACAGGATCCTCCGGGGCTGGACCCTGCAACCCCTCCCGGGTCCCGGGAGCTCGCGCCCTGCTCCCGCCCACTGGACGCCCGCAGCCAATGGCCGCGCCGCTTGATGAGGTAATGCGCCCCCTCTGCGTCCCCATTGGCCAGCCTGGAGCCCATTCCCTTGTCCCCTGCAAGCAGTGGAGACCCAGCGGGGCGCGGGCGGGGTGTTCCCAGGGTGGCACCTGGGTACCTGCGTTCCCCCCATGCCCCTCTCTGTGAAACCCCCCACTTGCCCCTCCCCCTCTTCGGGCCCAGTAGGGTCCAGGGGCTGGACTTGGGGGACTCCTGCCCCCAGCGACGCCCAGTTCCTCCCATAGGAGCAAAAAGGACAAAAGACTCCCCCATGCCTCCAGTAGTCAAAGACCCCCGAGCTGCCCATCCCAGACACTCGCGCAGGTATGGAGCGCCTACTGTATGCCAGCCCCGAGACTCATTGGGGATGCAGCGGTGGCGACATCAGCCCCGGGTCCCTGTCCCCACGGGGCTCCCAGGATAATGGGGAAGAGAGGCAGGCCACCAGCCACGTCCTCCCCCTCCTAGTCGGTGCTGCGGATGAAGGGTGAGGAGGGTAGGCAGAGGCAGGAGGGGACAGCCCCCTCTTTTTTTTTTTTTTGAGACGGAGTCTCGCTCTGTCCCCCAGGCTGGAGTGCAGTGGAGCAATCTCAGCTCACCACAACCTCCGCCTCCCAGGTTCACACCATTCTCCTGCCTCAGCCTCCCGAGTAGCTGGGACTACAGGCACCTGCCACCACGCCCGGCTAATTTTTTGTAATTTTTAGAGACGGGGTTTCACCGTGTTAGCCAGGATGGTCTCGATCTCCTGACCTCGTGATCTGCCCGCCTCGGCCTCCCAAAGTGCTGGGATTACAGGCGTGAGCCACCGCGCCTGGCCAGGGACAGCCCCTCATAATGATCTTGTTCCCTTGTTTATTTACTGTGGCCTCCAGGAGACTTTGGGGGCCATATCTCCTCATCCACTGCTGTATTCATTCAGCAAATATGTCCTTAGTACCCCCTCCCCAGTCCACTGCCTCTTGTTTTGTATATTTCTTCTTTTTTCTCCCCCTTCTGTCCCCATAACCACTGGAATTGGCTTTTTTTTTTTTTTTTTTGACAGGGTCTGTCACCCAGGCTGGGGTGCAGTTGTGTGATCTCAGCTCACTGCAGCCTCAACCTTCTAGGCTCAGGTGATCCTGCCACCTCAGCTTCCCAAGTAGCTGGGACTACAGGTGAATGCCACCACAGCCGGCTAATTTTTAAATTTTTTCTAGAAATAAGGTCTCGCTATGTTTCCCAGGCTGGTCTCGAACTCCTGGCTTCAAACAATCCTCCTGCCTCGGCCTCCCAAAGTTCAGAATGGGCTTTAAAACAAAAAGCCTGTGTGTGTTCTTGAAACTGGTAAGGTTGTTTTGTCTGCCTGCGTTTGTTTTTTCTTTTCTTTTTTTTTCTTTTTAGACGGAGTTTTGCTCTTGTTGCCCAGGCTGGAGTGCAATGGCACGATCTCGGCTCACCGCAACCTCTGCCTCCCGGGTTCAAATGATTCTCCTGCCTCAGCCTCCCGAGTATCTGGGATTACAGGCATGCACCACCACGCCTGGCTAATTTTGTATTTTTAGTAGAGATCGGGTTTCTCCATGTTGGTCAGGCTGGTCTCAAACTCCCAACCTCAGGTGATCTGCACACCTTGGCCCTCCAAAGTGCTGGGATTACAAATGTGAGAAAGAAACGTGCCCAGCTGCGTTTCTTTTCTCTTAACTTTCTTATTGAGGTGAAACTTGGAAACCCCAAATGCAGAAATCTCAAGTGTACAAGCCAGGTGAATTTTGACCTAAACACACAGGGGTGCTTGTCACCAGCAGCCAGATGGAGATAAAGATTTAGGGCCCCCAACTAGTGGGAGGGGAGTAAGGTGAGTCTTGTAGCAGAACAAGGAATTCTCTTTTGTTTGTTTGTTTTTGATACAGAGTCTCATTCTGTTGTTCAGGCTGGAGTACAGTGGCATGATCTCAGTTCACTGTAACCTCCACCTCCCAGGCTTAAGCGATTCTCCTGCCTCAGCCTCCCGAATAGCTGGGATTATGGGCACCCGCCACCATGCCCGGCTAATTTTTGTATTTTTAGTAGAAACAGGATTTCACCATGTTGGCCAGGCTAATCTCAAACTCCTGACCTCAGGTGATCTGCCCGCCTTGGCCTCCCAAAATGCTGGGATTACAGGCGTGAGCCACTGCACCTGGCCGGAATTCTCTCTTTGTTAGCAAGATTGATGTTGTGTTCATCCTGGATTTTTTTTTTTTTTTTTTTTTTTTTGACAGGGTCTTACTCTGTCTCCCAAGCTGGAGTGCAGTGGCATGAGCTCAGCTCACTGCAACCTCCACCTCCAGGGTTCAAACGATTCTCCTGCATCAGCTTCCCAAGTAGCTGGGATTACAGGCATCCACCACCACGCCTGGCTAATTTTTGCATTTTTAGTAGAGACAGTGTTTCATCATGTTGGCCAGGCTGGTCTCGAACTCCTGACCTCAGGTCAGGATCTGCCCACCTCAGCCTCCCAAAGTGCTGGGATTACAGGCGTGAGCCACCGTGCCCGGCTCATCCCAGACTTTTTTCTTTTCTGCAACTTTTAAGTTCAGGGATACAGGTGCAGGTTTGCAACATAGGTAAGCATGTGCCGTGGTAGTTTGCTGCTAGGTATTAAACCCAGCATCCATTAGCTACTCTTCCTAATGCTCTCCCTCCCTCCCTCTTCCAACAGGCCCCAGTGTGTGTTGTTCCCCTCCCTGTATCCATGTATTCTCATCATTATTCAGCTCCCACTGTTAAGTGAGAATGTGCAGTGTTTGGTTTTTTGTTCCTGTGTTAGTTTGCTGAGGATAATGGCCTCCAACACCATCCATGACCATGCAAAGGACATGATCTCATTCCTTTTTATGGCTGCATAGTATTCCATGGTGTGTGTATATGTACCACATTTTCTTAATCCAGTCTATCATTGATGGGCCATCTGGATATTTTATTTGCATTAATTTTGATTTTTTTAAAAAAATATTGCAGTCAGCTGTGCACAGTGGCTCATGCCTATAATCCTATCATTTTGGGAGGCTGAGGCAGGAGGATCGCTTGAGCCCACAAGTTAGAGGCCAACCTGAACAACATAGCAAGACCCCATCTCTACAAAAAATGAAATAAATTAACCAGGCATGGTGGCGCATGCCTGTGATCTCAGCTATTCAGGAAGCTGAGGTGGGAGGATCACTTGAGCCCAGGAGATGCAGCCTGCAGTGAGCCGTGGTTGTGCCACTGCACTCCAGCCTGGGCAACAGAACAAGACCCGATCTGTTTAAAAAAAAAAAAAAAAAGAGCGAGGCGGGTGGATCGTTTGGGGTCAGGAGTTCGAAACCAGCCTGGCCAACATGGTGAAACTCCATCTCTACTAAAAATACAAAAATTAGCCAGTCATGGTGGCACACACCAGTAATCCCAGCTACTTGGGAAGCTGAGGCAGGAGAATTGCTTGAACCCGGGAGGCCGAGGTTGCGGTTAGCCAAGATCGTGCCACTGCACTCCAGCCTGGGTGACAGAGCAAGACTCCACCAAAAAATAAATTAATTTAAAAAAATAAAGAAGAGAGAGAGAGAGAAGGAGGGAAGGAAGGGAGGGAGGGAAAAAGGAAGAAAGAAAGAAAGGAATGAAAGGAAAGAAAGAAAGAGAAGGAAGGAAGAGAAAGGAAGAAAGAGAAAAAGAAAGAACAAAAGAAAAGGAAAGAAAGAAAAGAAAGAGAAAAAGAAAAAAGAAAGGAAAGAAAGAGAAAGAAAGAAAGGAAGAAAGAAAAGAAAGCAAGCAAGCAGAAAAAAAAGAAAAAAGAAAAGAAAAGAAAAGAAAAAGGTCGGGCACAGTAGCTCAGGCCTGTAATCCCAGCACTTTGGGAGGCCAAGGCAGTGGATCACCTGAGGTCAGGAGTTTGAGACCAGCCAGAACAATATGACAAAACTCCGTCTCTACTAAAAATGCAAAAATTAGCTGAGCATGGTGGCGTGTGCCTGTAATCCCAGCTACTCAGGAGGCTGAGGCAGGAAAATTGCTTGAACTCAGGAGGTGAAGGTTGCAGTGAGCTGAGATCACACCACTGTACTCCAGCCTGGGTGACAGAGCGAGACTCCATCTCAAAAAGAAAAGAGGAGAGAAGAGAATTGAAGAAAAGAGAATTGAAGAGACAAAAATTGAAGAGATGAGAATTAAGAGAAGAGAAAGAGAGAGAAGAGAAGAAGAGAAGATGCAGTCAGATGCTATTTAGCTTGATTGCTGAGTTTTTGTTGCTGTTGTTGAGTTTTTTGGTCCTCCCTTAAAGTTTGCTCCTGAGGAGAATCCCTCCACCACCTCACCCTAGCCCTGCCCTGGGGAAGAGCATTCTAGCACCCAAAAGATCTCTCAGACCCCTGTCATGAACTGCCCCTCTCCTCCCAGGTGCATCTTCCTACTCTCCATCACCACTGTTTCCTTTGCCTATTTTTAAAACTGATGTTTTGAATCTGGCATCTTCCACTCAGCATAGTTGCATTGGAGATTCATCCAAGCTGGTGCGTCTCTCCATAGTCCAACCCTTTTTATTGCTGAGTCGTATTCCAGCGCCTGGGTGGACCGCAGTCTGTTTACCGAGCCCCGAGCCACCAGCGGATAGGCATTTGGGTTTGTATCCTGTGTTTGGCTGTCACGAAGAAAGCTGCTACGAACATCCTCGCACATGTCTCCGGGTGGACATATGCTTCTGTTTCTCTCGGGGAAACACCTAGCAGTGGGTGCCTGGGTCGTATGGTAGGTGTCTGTTTAACTTTTTAAGGAACTGCCAAACCGTTTCCTAGAGTGGCTGTACCATTTTGCATTCCCTCCAGCAGTGGAGGAGCGCACCCGTGAGTGCGTATTTTTGGCATTCTTTTTTTTTTTTTTTTTTTTTTAGACGGAGTCTTGCTCTGTCGCCCAGGCTGGAGTACAGTGGCACGATCTCGGCTCACTGCAAGCTCCGCCTCCCGGGTTCACACCATTCTCCTGCCTCAGCCTCCCGAGTAGCTGAGACTACAGGCACCCGCCACCACGCCTGGCTAATTTTTTGTATTTTTTAGTACACATGGGGTTTCACCGTGTTAACCAGGATGGTCTCGATCTCCTGACTTCGTGATCCACCCTCCTTGGCCTCCCAAAGTGCTGGGATTACAGGCATGAGCCACCGCGCCCGGCCTTTCTTGGCATTCTTGTATCTTCCCTTTGGATCAGCTTTATGGAGGTGTAATTTAAGGATACAGTTCGATGAACTTTGACAAATGTATACACCTGTGTAGCCACTACCTCCTTCCAGATGTACAACATTTTTATCACCCCAGGAAGCTCCCTCAGGACATGTGTTGTTATTTTATTTATTTGTTTATTTATTTATTTATTTTGGGGATGGAGTCTTGCTCTGTCGCCCAGGCTGGAGGACAGTGGCGCAGTCTCGGCTCACTGCAACCTCCACCTCCTGGGTTCAAGCGATTCTCCTGCCTCAGCCCTCTGAGTAGCTGGGATTACAGGCATGTGCCACCACATCCGGCTAACTTTTTTTGTATTTTTAATAGAGACTCTGTCTGGGAGACAGAGTGAAACTCCATCTGTTGGCCAGGCTGGTTTCAAACTTCTGACCTCAAGTGATCCACCCCGCTCAGCCTCCCAAAGTGCTGGGATTACAGGCGTGAGCCACCACGCCTGGCCTGACCTTTGGATATTAATGCCTTTTATTTATGCCATTAACTATGAATATTCCCATTCTTTTTTTCTTTTCTTTTTTTTTCTTTTCTTTTTTTTTTTGAGACGGAGTCTTACTCTGGCGCCCAGGCTGGAGTGCAGTGGCGCCATCTCGGCTCACTGCAAGCTCCGCCTCCCGGATTCACACCATTCTCCTGCCTCAGCATCCCGAGTAGCTGGGACTACAGGCGCCCACCACCACGCCTGGCTAATTTTTTGTATTTTTTAGTAGAGACGGGGTTTCACCATGTTAGTCAGGATGGTCTCGATCTCCTGACCTCGTGATCTGCCTGCCTCGGCCTCCCAAAGTGCTGGGATTACAGGCGTGAGCCACCGTGCCCAGCCGAATATTCCCATCCTTGACAGCGTTTGATGGGGATGGGGATGAGTTACCCCGGGCCCTGCTGGGAGTGTTAAATAATCTATGCTGAGTGCATCTTATCAGCATCCTAAAATCTGGAACATTCTAGAGTTCTGAAATGCATCTGGCCCAAGGGTTTCAGGTGAGCTCAATTATTATTTATGGGGCCTACTGTGTGCATAAATTCTTTTTTTTTTTTTTGAGACAGGGTCACTCTGTTGCCCAGGCTGGAGTGCAGTGGTGCAATCTCGGCTCACTGCAATCTCCACCTCCCAGGCTCAAGCAATTCTCATCCCTCAGCCTCCCAAGTAGCTGGAATTATAGACTTGTGCCACCATGCCCAGCTAACTTTTGTATTTTTTTTTTTAGTAGAGACGGGGTTTCACCATGTTGCCCAGGCTGGGCTTGAACTTCTGGCCTCAAGTGATCTGCCCTCTTCAGATTCCCGAAGTGCTGAGATTACAGGCATGAGCCACCACGCCCAGCCAAATTCTTCTAAGCACTGGTGATTAGAACAGACCTGGCCCTTACGGGTTCACAGTCCAGCGAGGGAAGAAGGACACAGGGCATCATGTTTACAGCACTGGGTGTTTACAGCATCAGGGCCATGATGGGGGAGTCACAGGCACGGTGGGGCCCAGAGGGAGCACCTGACTCAGGCTGGGGCATCAGGGAGGCTTCCTGGAGGAAGTGATGCCTGAGCAAAGACCTGAAGGATAAGAAAGGGGTAGCGATGAGGTCAGGAGTTTGAGACCAGCCTGATCCACAAGGTGAAACCCTGTCTCTACTAAAAATACAAAAATTAGCTGGGTGTGGTGGCAGGCACCTGTAATCTCAGCTACTCAGGAGGCTGAGGAGGGAGGATCACTTGAACCCGGGAGGCAGAGGTTGTAGTGAGCTGAGATCATGCCACTGCACTCCAGCCTGGGTGACAAAGTGAGACTCCATCAGAAAGAAGGAAAAGGAGGGGAAGGGAGAGGAGAGAAGGGGAGAGGAGGGGAGGGGAGGGGAGGGGCTCCAGGCAGCAAGTATAGCTTGTGCAAAGGCCCTGAGGTGCTTGGAGGGCCTGACATCTGCCCCTCGGGGCTTCAAGTTATCCTGGTAGGTGGAAGAACACAGATGTCCACATTGGCTTTGTAACCTACCTGGTGAGGCCCAGAGCCCTCCTCTGACCCCAGGGCTCGATTGAGTCTTTGCAGCCAGCGGGTATCCAGGGGGCAATCACTGATCTCGTCTCCCCTGAGGTTTGCTGGGGGCTTGACCCTGCAGCCATCAGGATCCCCTCCCTCAAACTTCACCCTCATCCTTGATGCTGGGGTGGGGGCAGGGGAGACAGGTCGGGGAGGTCTCACTCCAGACAGACACACTCCCTGGGCCTTGGCAGCTGGCTCATCTGAGGCTGAAGAATTTGCTCTTTGAAAAAGGCTTCGCTCTGTGGAAATCTGACATCTTTGTGGATCAATTGTCCCTTTCTTCTGCTTCCCAGGCTTGAAACTCTGTTCTTTCCCTCCCCCAGTCCCCTCCATATAATCTATCAGCCATTCCAACACCTCTGCCTGCAGAGTCTATCCCAGATCCACCCACTTCTCCCCGCTCCTGTGTCTCCCTCTTGGTCCAGCCCCATCACTGCCCTCCCGGAGCAGGTGAGGCACCTCCACCCTGGCCCCTGCCACCCCCATCCCCACAGTCCTCTCTGAAGCAGCAAGAGGGCGCAGGTGAGAACCTGAATCAGGTCCCGTCCCTCCTCTGCCTATAGCCCTCCATGGCTCCCATCTTCCTCTGGGTCAAAGCCCAAGTCCTCACTGAAGCCCACAAGGCCCTGCATGACCTACCCTGTCCCTGCCCTGCCCTCCCCCTCCTCCCTGTCTCCCCCTTGCTCCCTCTGCTGCAGCCACATGGGCCTCCCGGCTGTTCCTCCAATACACCAAGTGCAGTCCTACCTCAGGGCCTTTACATGGGCTGAAATGCTCTTCCCCCAGCTGCAATAACTTCGTTTACTTCTTTTTCTTCTAAAACATGTTGGCCAGGTATGGTGGCTCATGCCTGTAATCCCAGCACTTTGGGAGGCCGAGGCAGGTGGATCACTTGAGACCAGGAGTTTGAGACCAGCCTGGCCAACATGGCAAAACCCCCGTCTCTACTAAAAACACAAAAAATTAGACGGGCGTGGTGGCATGGGCCTGTAATCCCAACTAGTCAGGAGGCTGAGGCAGGAGAACTGCTTGAACTCAGGAGGCAGGGGTTGCAGTGAGCTGAGTTTATGCCACTGTGCTCCAGCCTGGGCAACAGAGCGAGACTCCATCAAAAAAAAAAAAAAAAAGAAAAGAAAGGAAGGAAGGAAGGAAGGAAGGAAGGAAGGAAGGAAGGAAAACATTATGTCAAGGATGTGAGTTTCAAGAAGGCAGTGACTCCAGCACCATGCCTGGCACATAGTAGGTGCTCAATAAAGATTCCTTCTACAATGGAAGGATTAGTCATGAACCCTCAGGAAAAAAAAAAATAGCTTTGTGTTCCCAAGTCCTGCCTGGAAGCATCTGGCTGTGGACGCCAATAGAGATATTAGGGGGAGAAAAAAAAAAGGGTCCAAATTTTGGTTGCCTCCTCCTGCCTTTAATTATTTTGTCGACAAGGCTCACAATTCAGTAAGTCAAGGTGGCATTTGAGAGGGACGGTTCCCTTTAGCGTAGCTGACAGCTAATTTGTGGGAAGTTTAATTACAGGCAGCGTTAATTAACTGGCAGAGTACTGGGCAAGGAAGGCAGCCATCTGTTCCTAAAAACGTCCTCCCCTCCTGGGCCTGGCTGGGAGGCTGTGAGGGGTGGGCTAGAAAGAAGACAGGGTGAAGAGGCGGGGACAGAGGAGGAGGGAGGAGGGAGGACCAGGTGATGAATCACGGCCTTCTTCACACTGTCAGGGCTGAGATCTTTGGCAGCCAGCCTCCTCCAGTGGCCTCTGGGAGTGGCAGTAACAGTTTCTGGGAATCTGTCTCTCATTGGTTGTATCACGAGGAGCAGAGGGTGTGGGACAGAGGAGGTGAAGAGCCCACTATTCTTAGCCCATATTAGAGAGGGTTGGCACCTACCAAAGGAGGTTGGGAGAAGGAACTGGGACAGAGCCAGGGGTGAAGGACACACTCAGCAGTCTTGGCCTAAGAGGGACAGATCACTCTGTCCCTGTTCCACAATGAGCTCCTTCATTCTGACCATTCTTCATGGGGATGGTACAGAAATAGCAACAGCCTCTGGAGGTGGGTGCTTTTTTTTTTTCTTTTATAAAGACAGAGTCTCGCTCTGTCACCCAGGCTGGAGTGCAATGGTGCAATCATAGCTCACTACAGCCTCAACTCCCCGGGCTCAAGCAACAATCCTCTGGCCTCAGCCTCCCAAGTAGCTGGGACTACAGGTGCACGTCACCACACCCGGCTAATTGTTAAATTATTCGTAGAGATGAGGGTCTCTCTGTGTTGCCCAGGCTGGTCTCAAACTCCCGGGTTCAAGTGTTTCTCCCACCTCAGCGTCCCAAAACCAAGATTACGAAGCCGAGTTTGGGATTACAGGCACGACCCCCTGACTTACAGAGATGGGCTTTTGAAATTGAATCTTAGCTTTGTCCCTGCTGTTTGCCCTGGGGCAAGTCACTTAACCTCTCTGGGTTCAGTTTCCTCATCTGGAAAATGGGTTTGATTAGAACAGAACCTATTGCTATTTGTCTGTCTTTTTTTTTTTTTTTTTTTTTTTTTTTTGACACAGAACTTCACTTTGTTGCCCAGGCTGGAGTGCAGTGGCACAATCTCAGCTCACTGCAACCTCCGCCTCCCAGGTTCATGCAAGTCTCATGTCTCAGCCTCCTAAGTAACTGGGATTACAGGCGCCTGCTGCCACACCCTGCTGATTTTTTGTATTTTAGTAGAGACGGGGTTTCACCATGTTGCCCAGGCTGATCTCGTACTCCTGAGCTCAGGCAGTCTGCCCATCTCAGCCTCCCAAAGTGCTAGGATTACAGGCGTGAGCCACCATGCCCGGCCTGTCATTTATCTTTCTAGACTAATTAAGCCCAAGTATTTTCAGGCTACTGAAGAGATCTCTGTTATTACGAGAACTGTGTATGTGTATTCAAAGGTGCAAAGTGTTCAATAAGGTTGAGAACTCCTGTGCCTTCTGCAACTCTGGGCCCTCGCATATGCTGTTCCTTCCACCTGGAACACCCTTCCCACCCCTGCCCAGTGGCTTCGGTTTTACTTATGAGCCTTGACGTGGAAGCCTCCTCCCTGGGAAGCCTTCCCGGGCCCGCCAGGCTGGGGCAAGTGCCTCTCTGGTTGCCCGCAGGATCTGCGTGTCCTCCATCACAGCCCTAATCACCCTGTCCCCGCCTGGTCACACTCCGACTTCCCCACTGGACTGGAAGCCCCAGGCAGGCAGGGACTGGGTGCCCAGCACAGGCCTGAAGAAGTAGGTAGTCAGTGCTTGTGTGGACAAACAGCGAGAGCTATGACCCATACATTGCAAGGTAGAGGCCAGTGGAATTCAAAGTCAGAGCCGTTTAAAAATGGGCCAGGCCAGGTGCAGTGGCTCACACCTGTAATTCCAGCACTTTGGGAGGCCGAGGCAGGAGGAACACTTGAGGTTAGGAGTTCAAGAGCAGCCTGGCCAAGATGGTGAAACCCTGTCTCTACTAAATACACAAAAAATTAGCCGGGCAAGATGGCGGGTGCCTGTAATCCCAGCTACTTGGGAGGCTGAGGCAAGAGAATCACTTGAACCTGGGAGGTGGAGGTTGTAGTGAGCCGAGATGGCGCCACTGCACTCCAGCCTGGGTGACAGAGCGAGACTCTGTGTCAAAAAAGAAAAAAAAAAGATGGAACTGCTGTTCTTGAACATTTCAAGCCAAGCCACTAGGAGGGACCCCTCAGAGCTCTGATATCCTCACACAGTCAGGGCAGTCCTGGGGTCGGGGAGTCCTCAGAAATAAGTTCAAATCCTGGCTCTACCACTGCTCTGCTGTGCAACCTTGGCAAGTCGCTTTCCCTCTCTGGGCTCGGTTTTCTCAGCTGTCATTCGGATGTGCCTCGTTTCTGGCCCCTCCACATCTCAGCCGAGGGCTCTGCCTCCAGAACTGGCCCACTTTCACTCGTCCACGCCCACCCATCGGCTCCTGCCTGGATCAAGACCGTCACTTCCTCCCTCTCCACACCTCTCCACCCGTCACTCTCCGCATCAAACGAAGCCTTTAAAAGCATTAATCAGCTCCCTGTGGCAAAAGGCTTGAACTGCCACTTCACCAAAGAAGACACACAGATGGCAAAAAAAAAAAAAAAAAAGCACGTGCAAAGATGCTCAATGCCATTAGTCATTGGAGAAATGCAAATCCAAACCACAGTGAGATATCACTTCACACTTGCTAAAATGGCTAAAATTCTTTCAGCTGACAATACCAAGAGCGGGTGAGGATGGCGAGCATCCGAAGCTCTCCTACGCTGCCCATGGGAAGGCAAAACGGTGCAACCCCTTAACTCCTTATGAAGTTAGACATACATGCACCAAACCCCCCACAGCAATCCCACTCCAGGGAACTCCCCCAAGAGAGATGGAAACACACGTCCGTGCAAAAACCCGTACCTGGCAGTTTCTAACAGCTCTATTCCTAATCTCCCCAAACTGGAAGCGATCCAGCAGGTGTGTTTGCATAAACACACCGGGTCACCTCCACGCAGCGGAGTGCTATTCGGCAGTCATAAGGAAACAGCACCCGAGACACGCAACAATGTGGGTGATATTCAAATGCATTCTGCAGAGCGAAAGACGCCAGACACAAAAGGCCGCCCGCTGTATGCTCCCATTTATAATGATGTTCTGGAAATTGCTCTGGGAACCCCCGGGTGTGTCTTCTCCTCCAGGAAAAGGCTAGGGGCAGAGACTAGGGTGTGTGTGTGTTTGTTGGGGGGGGCGGGGGGAGGTGGAGGTGGGAGTTGGTTGGGACGGAGTCTTGCTCTGTTGCCCAGGCTTGAGTGCAGTGGCGTGATCTCGGCTCACTGCAACCTCCGTCTCCTGGGTTCAAGCGATTCTCCTGCCTCAGCCTCCCGAGTAGCTGGGATTACAGGCACCTGCCACCACGCCCAGCTAATTTTTGTGTTTTTAGTAGAGTGGGGTTTCACCATATTGGCCAGGCTGGTCTTGAACTCCTGACCTCAGGTGATCCACCTGCCTTGACCTCCCAGAGTGCTGGGAGTACAGGCATGAGCCACCGCGCCCAGCCTGTTTTTTGTTTGTTGAGACAGGGTCTTGCTCTGTTGCCCAGGCTGGAGTGCAATGGTGTGATCGTGGCTCACTGCAGCCTCAACCTTCTGGGCTCAAGCAGTCCTCCTGCCTCAGCCTCTCAAGTAGCTATGACCACAGGTGCACACCACCATGCCTGGTTTGTTTTTGTTTTTGTTTTTGTTTTGTTTTTTGTTTTTATTTTTGTTTTGTTTTTGTAGAGACGGGTCTCACCATGTTGCCCAAGCTGGTTTCAAACTCCTGGACTCAAGCGATCCTCCCACCTCAGCCTCTCAAAGTGCTGGGGTTACAGGCGTGAGCCACCATGCCTGGCCAAGACAGGTTTTGTCCACTGAAGCATTCCTGGTAGAGGACAAAGGGACATAAGGAAACATTTTAGGGAGATGGGACTGTTCTGTATCTTGATAGTGGTGGGGTTACGTGATTGTGCATTTGTCAAAATTCATAGACCTGTAGACTAAACATTAATGACCACTTCTCCTCTGCTCCCAGACGCAGTCTCCTCTGGCTACACTGCCCATTTTGACGTTTCCTGCCTGAGGACCTCTGCATTTGCTGTTCCCTCTGCCTGGAATGCTGTTCCCCATATCTCCCTTCATGTCTTTCTGTGGTTGAATCTTTCCAATCTATTTTTTTTTTTTTTTTTTTTGAGTTGGAGTTTTGCTCTGTCGCCAGGCTGGAGTGCAATGGAGCAATCTCAGCTTACTGCAACCTCCACCCACCTCCCAGGTTCAAGCGATTCTTCTGCCTCAGCCCCCCAAGTAGCTGAGACCACAGGTACATGCCACCATGTCCGGCTAATTTTTTGTATGTTTAGTAGAGACGGGGTTTCACCATATTAGCCAGGCAGGTCTCGAACTCCTGACCTCATGATCCACCCACCTCGGCCTCCCAAAGTGCTGGGATTACAGGCGTGAGCCACCACGCCTGGCCAAATCGTTCCCATCTTTTAGGTCTCTGCACATATGTCACCTCCTCAGGGAGGCCCTCCCTGATCACTCCTAACTAAATTCACCACCCCCCTCCATAACCCGCTATTCCATCACCATGTTGCACTAAAAAACAAAAACAAAAACAAAAAAACTGCAATTCATTAGATAATAAATTCCCTGAGAGTGGGGTCTCTCTTGGTCACAGCAGTGTCCCCAGCACAGCACTAGCGGATAGCAGGTGCTCATTAAATATGGATCAAGAGGCAGGAGTTTGAGATCAGCCTGCGCAACATGAAAAAACCCACTACAAAAATTAGCCAGGCATAGTGGCGCATGCCTGTAATCCCAGCTGATTAGGAGGCTGAGGTAGGAGAATCGCTTGAACCCGGGAGGTGGAGATTGTGGTGAGCCGAGACTGCACCACTGCACTCCAGCCTGGGCAACAGAGCAAGACTATGTCTCAAAAAAAAAAAAAAAAAGAGAGAGAGAGAGAGACAGTCGAGTGAAAGAGCAAAGCACACAGGGCTCTGTGAACCCGGGTTTGAATTCAGGCTTGGCCCCTGGTATGCTGTGTGGCTTCAGGTAAATCGAATCACCTCTCTGTTCCTCATCTGGAAGGTGGAATTAACATGCCTCTCTTGCAGGAGTGTGGGGAGGTTTAATCCAGCAGGCACCAGCCCTGAGCTCCCTGAGTCCTCCTGTGGGCAAAAGCCCCAGTCCTCATTTGCAGATGCCCTGGAACCTACCTAGCCTCGCCCAGCCAGGGTGCAGCCTCAGGGAATGCTTGCTGAATGGCAGAATAGACAAATCAGTGACAACACAAGCAAATGCCTTTTCCTGGTAATTAAGTTCACTTGGTAATTAAGTCCTCAAACATCCCAGCCCTCCCTCATCTTAGCCCTAAGGACTTATTTTGCAATTCTCCAAAATGCTCAGAATCAACTGCACCGCCCGTCCCTTCACACGGACTGTGAACCAGGCATCGCCTGGTGTGCTCTTTCCCCCAACTTCCACTTTTCTTGCCAAGTTCCTACTTGTCCTTCAAGTCCACTTGAAATCTCCCCTCCTCCAGGAAGCCTGCCCTGAACCCCATTATCTGGGCTCCCTCAGCCCTGGCTGTCTGGGTCCATCTCTTACCCAAGCCTGGGGCTCCTTGAGGGCTGGGCAGGGGCTGGAGAACTCTTGGAGTCCGCTGTGTTTCCCAGCGCAGATGTGGGCACCCAGTGGGGAACCCTAAATACTCAGTGAGTGCATTCATGGGGCCAGGGTTCAAATCCCAGCTCAGTCACTTTGCGGCTTTGTAGTCCTAGTGAGTCTGGTCCCCTGTCACAGACTCAGTTTCCCCCCTCTAGAAGATGGGGTGTCCACAGGAACCTGGCCCTGGATGCAGGGGGTCAGCGGAGTTTCCCGCAAGGCACGGTCACAGGCTGCAGGCTGCATTGCTCAGTGGCAGTGCTGGTGGCTCCTGCCATCCCCGAGTGCCCCCCTCCTCTGGGGCTCAGTTTCCCCATTTGGCCACACTCCCCCTTAGACAAACACAGACGGGGCGCCACCTGGCTGGGCAGGAGGGGGCCTCGGCAGCTTCTCACGAAGAACAGCAGCCAAGGTGGGGGCTGGCGGGGCTGGCACAGGCCGGCCTCGTTAAGCTGCCAGTCCTTGGCACCACTCTGCTTTCGTGGAGGCGTCTGGAGAAGGGCCCAGGCCTGGCTGTTGGGGGACTGAGGAAGCTGGGATGAAGCTGAGACCCTTTTTCAGAGGGGGCAGGCCCTGAGTGATGGCAAGGAGTTCTATGTTCACTTATTAAGCATCTACTGGATGCCAGACCAGGCTACTCAGGCAGGGCGTTTGCCCGTGCTGTTCTAGCTGCCAGGATCGCGTTTCCTGTTCATAGCACTATCCACTGCTCATTCTGATCTCAGTCTAGAAGACACCACCTCCAGGAAGCCTTCTAGATTCTCTAGAATAAGCCAGGTGCGGCCGGGCGCGGTGGCTCATGCCTGTAATCCCAGCACTTTGGGAGGCCGATGCGGGCGGATCACGAGGTCAGGAGATCGAGACCATCCTGGCTAATGCAGTGAAACCCCGTCTCTACTAAAAATACAAAAAATTAGCCGGGCATGGTGGTGGGCGCCTGTAGTCCCAGCTACTCGGGAGGCTGAGGCAGGAGAATGCCGTGAACCTGGGAGGCAGAGCTTGCAGGGAGCTGAGATGGTGCCACTGCACTCCAGCCTGGGCGACACAGCGAGACTCCGTCTCAAAAAAAAAAAAAAAAAAAAGAATAAGCCAGGTGCCTCCCTTTGGGTTGGCACGGTGCCTGAGTTTTCCCCATCACAGTTTGATCACTCAATATTTTATTTTTAGAGGTGGGGTCTTGCTCTGTGGCCCGCTGCTGGAGTGCCACAGCATGATCAGAGCTCACTGCAGCCTCAAACTCCCAGGCTCAAGCGATGTTCCCGCTTCAGCCTCCCGAGTAGCTGTGATCACCCAATATTATAACTGGGCTGTGGGCAGGTCACTTAGGCCATCAACAAATGCAAACAGAGCACTTCGTACGTGGTAGGCACTATGCTTAGCACCGTCCATGCTCAGCGAACCCCGCAGTGCAGGTGCTGATGCTGCCTCCTCTTTACAGAAGGGGCAACTGAGGCTCACAGTGGCTGAATGGTGGAGTGAAGCCACATGGCCTGGAGTCTGGTGCACAGAAGGGCCCGGGAAAAGCTCATTTCCATCCCCAGGGACAGTGAGCTCACTCACCACTGAAGGAGGCCTAAGCTGGAGGTGTGGGGATTCATTCATTCAACAAATATGTATTGGGCAGCCATTGAAGGCCAGGTTACTCAAGTGTGTCCGAGTGACAGGTGGTGTTGGACGCCTCCAACATCTGTTGTCTTGTCCTCCATAGTAATAGAAGCCCTGGTTTTCAGCTGCACAGTTGGCCATTCAGAATAAATACTACATTTCCCAGCAAGCTTTCTGCCAGGCATGGCCACGTGACTAATTCTGGCCAATGCAGTGTGAGCAGAAGTGGTGCCTGGGATTTCCAAGAAGTGTCCTTAAAGGGACAGGGTGAGCTCTTCCTCACTCTTTCCTCCTCATTGCCTGGGAGGCAGATGTGATGGCTGGAGCTCACGCACCTGCCTTGTCCCACGAGGAGGAGGCCATTTACTGAGGATATGGTGGATGGAAGGAGTCTGGGCTGCAGACACCCCAGCATCTCCATGCCATCCCAGGAATGACTACTCACATTCCACATTCAGAAGCAAATCAGCCCTGTACGCCTACACCGCTGTGGTTGGGTCTTGCTTACCACAGCCAACCCGAGCCTGACCGCTACATTTGTCCCTCTCTGCTTCTGTTTTTCCACTCTTGCCTCCTCTCATGCCTGCTGGACTGAAAAACCTGCCTCTGCTTGGTAGCACTGGGCTGCAAGGGCCATCCACAGTGGCCAAGGCAGTGGCCTCTAGATAGTGTGGCCTCCGTCTGTGGCAGTAGACAGAGCAGGGGCAGGAGTGCCACCAGGGGCCGGGCATGGTGGCTCACAAATGTAACCCCAGCACTTTGGGAGGCTGAGACTGGCAGATCACTTGAGGTCAGGAGTTCGAGACAAGCCTGGGCAACCTAGCAAAACCCCCGTTTCTATTAAGATACAAAAATTAGCCGGGCATGGCAGCATGTGCTCGTGGCCTCAACTGATCTGCCCGCCTCGGGCTCCTAAAGTGCTAGGATTACGGACATGAGCCACCATGCCCGGCCTTTTCTCCCTTTCTTAGAAGGAAAACCTCTGCAAAGATCTTATTTCCAAATAAGGTCCATTCACAGGGGTTGGTCAGAACCAGGGGTTAGGGGTTCAACATCTCTATTTGGGGCCCACCCACTACATGGTACAAGAGATTTGTGTGGGAGGTGATCTCAGAAGCTGTGGGAGGGGAGAGAAGTGGGTGGGGAAGGGAAGGAGACAGTAGCGGGCTCATTGACAAGACAGTACTGGGTTCGTTGACTTATGGAGCTCATTCGACTGGGGACCTCTAGGAGATATGGTAGAACATACTTCGATTTGTCCCATAAGAGGGACGAGGGAGTGGGGGCATTTATCTACCACCTCCCATCTGTCACTGGCTGAGGGCTGCTCTGAGAGGTATTAGGCCAACACAGAAAATCTAAAGACTAAGTAGTCAGCCTGGCAAAGTGAAGTTGAGGAGCAAGAATTCTGTTCCAGGCAGAGGGAACAGCATTTGCAAAATTCTAGAGGTGAACAAAGCAAGATGCCTCTGGGACATTGCAAATCATCCAGGCTTCAGAGATTGGCAGGCGCCCAACCACAGGGGTGCATGTAGGCCACAGAGAAGAGTGTGGGCTTTATCTGGAGGGCAATGGGGAGCCATGGGAGAGTTTAGAGCATGGGAAAGACTATGTTACAGGTCTGGAAGCTGAGGCCCAGAGAGGCTAAGGAATTTAGCTGATGTCATACAGCTTATGAATGGCAGAGACAGAAATCCGACTTGAGTGGGCTGCAGACAGATTGAGGGTGTGAAATTTGGGGGATGGGGACTGGGGAGGAGGTGAGGCTGATGCCCAGGGCTGAAGCTCAGGCAGGGGGCACAGTTGGAGACCCAGCTGGAGAGGCAATGCTATAGGGAGAGAGAATGAAGCTGGTGCAAGCCTGGAGGCCAACCTGGCGGTGCGGACTTGGGACCACTGACCCCCACCAGCCCCACCCTGACCCTGGCACTTGACTCTCCCTCCAAATCAAGTCCAGGAGGGCTCTGAGGATATATGGACTCAGACCTGAGTCCGGATAAAAGAGCCAGCTACGGAGAGAAAGGGCTTTCCAGGCAGGAGGCCCAGCCCATGCAAAGGCCCTGGGGCAGGATCCTGCCTGGTGTGTTGGAGGAACAGCAAGGAGATCTGTGTGGCTGGAGCAGAGTGAGGGATGGTGACAGGGGGTCAGGAATTTGGGTTTTAAGCACTGATCTCATTGTAGGGGGGCGTGGCTTGAACAAGTCTGGGTCACTCTTGGAGTCTCAGACAAGGGTAACATTGAACCTTCTACAGTGTGTTGCTAGGAACCTCCAGAAGCTGATGCTGGTAGCGTCTTCGCACAGTGAGGGCTGAATCTGCACTGCTGGGGGCCGGCAGCCCTTTTGAAGCATCCCTGGGCCTCCTTGGGTCCAAAGATACCCTGAGCCTTCAAGAAGTTATCTCAAAGCTTGCCCGGGTACCGGCAAATCACAGACCTAGGAATGATCCATTGGCCACAGGCCCAGGCAGCTGGCAGCTCCTGGGACAGAATGTAGCAGGGCGATGTCACAGAAGCTGGGGGCATCTAGAACCCTGGTGACTCCTGGTCTCCATGTCATCTGCCAGAAAGGCCACCTGCGCCAGCACCTCCTGAGACCGGCCTTCAAAGACACGACGCATGCCGCTCTGCCGTCCGGAGCACTTAATGCCTAGAGCCAGCAGGGTCCCAGTGGCCGCGTCACTGCCTCTGAGCCACGCGGTCATTCCAACTCAACTGCCCTCGCGTCCTGGCCACAGGCCCCCTGGGAGACCCCGGAGATGCCCAAAGGCCTCATGCCTGCCGCCTCCAGTGGGACCTAGCAGCACACAGACAGCGAAGCGGGTGACCATGGGGTGGCCACGGCCGGGCCGAGCCCTCGTGGCAGTCAAAGCCTTGCTGGTCTTGTCGCTGCTCCAGGTGCCCGCGCAGGCAGTGGTACGGGCCGTGCTGGAAGACAACTCGAGCTCGGTGGACTTTGCGGATCTGCCGGCGCTGTTCGGCGTCCCCCTGGCCCCCGAGGGCATACGGGGCTACCTGATGGAGGTCAAGCCAGCCAACGCGTGCCATCCCATCGAGGCCCCGCGACTGGGCAACCGCTCTCTGGGCGCCATCGTGCTGATCCGCCGCTACGACTGCACCTTCGACCTCAAGGTGCTGAACGCCCAGCGCGCCGGCTTCGAGGCGGCCATCGTGCACAACGTCCACTCCGACGACCTCGTGAGCATGACCCACGTCTACGAGGACTTGAGGGGCCAGATCGCCATCCCCTCAGTGTTCGTGAGCGAGGCCGCCTCGCAGGACCTGCGGGTCATCCTGGGCTGCAACAAGTCGGCCCACGCGCTGCTCCTGCCCGACGACCCACCGTGCCACGACCTGGGCTGTCACCCCGTGCTGACCGTGTCCTGGGTGCTGGGCTGTACCCTGGCCCTGGTCGTATCAGCCTTCTTTGTCCTGAACCACCTGTGGCTCTGGGCCCAGGCCTGCTGCAGCCACAGACGGCCGGTGAAGACGTCTACCTGCCAGAAGGCCCAGGTCCGCACCTTCACGTGGCACAACGACCTGTGTGCCATCTGCCTGGATGAGTATGAGGAGGGCGACCAACTCAAGATCCTGCCCTGCTCCCACACCTACCACTGCAAATGCATTGACCCCTGGTTCTCCCAAGCCCCCCGGCGCTCCTGCCCCGTGTGCAAACAGTCGGTGGCCGCCACAGAAGACAGCTTTGACTCCACCACCTACAGCTTCAGGGACGAGGACCCCTCCCTACCGGGCCACCGGCCCCCCATCTGGGCCATTCAAGTCCAGCTACGCTCCCGGAGGCTGGAGCTGCTGGGCCGCGCCAGTCCCCACTGCCACTGCAGCACCACGTCCCTGGAGGCAGAGTATACCACTGTCTCCTCAGCCCCTCCTGAGGCCCCTGGTCAGTAAAGATCTAGGGCAGGGAGGGGGGTGCAATGAGGAATGTTTCTGGTCTGAAAAGAATAAAGTGGGTTTGAAAGCGGATTCTCAGCCTCGCTGCTGTTGGGCCACCCGCCTCTGACTGGGGTTGGGGGACACCCATCCCCATCAAGCCTAAGGCCAATCCCCGTTTCTGCGGGCGGGAGAGCGAGGGGTGGTGAGGGCTGGGGGGCCTTTTTGGGGCGGCTGTGACCGTGGTGCCGGAGTGGCTTTGAGACGGGTCGTCTGTGCTTTGGTTCCAGTCCCGGGCACACGGGTCACTCATCCTGGATGGCCTTATTCTTCATTCACATTTTTTCTTTTAAAATAAACGTTTTATTTTGGAACTGGTTTAGATTTCCAGAAAAGTTGCAAAGGTGCCATAGAGTTCTCCAACCCCTTTTACTCCGTTTCCTCTTATGTCTCATGGGATCCCAGGTGTGATGGGATGGGAGGCCGAGGTGGGAGGTTCGCTCAAGGTTAGAGGTTTGAGACCAGCCTGGGCAACATAACAAGACCCCACCTCTACAAAAAAATTTTCTTAGGCCGGGCGTAGTGGCTTACGCCTGTAATCCCAGCACTTTAAGAAGCCAAGGCGGGCGGATCATGAGGTCAGGAGATCAAGACCATCCTGGCCAACATGGTGAAACCCTGTCTCTACTAAAAACTACAAAAATGAGCTGGGCGTGGTGGTGCGTGCCTGTAGTCCCAGCTGCTCGCTACTCAGGAGGCTGAGGCAGGAGAATTGCTTGAACCCAGGAGGTGGAGGTTGCAGTGAGTTGAGATCACGCCACTGCACTCCAGCCTAGCGACAGTGAGGCTCCGTCTCAAAAAAGAAAAAAAAATTCATTAGCCAAGTGTGGTGATACATGCCTGTAGTTCCAGCTACTTGGGAGGCTGAGGTGGGAGGATTGCTGGAGCCTGGGAGGTGAGCTATGATCACACCACTGCACTTCAGCTCGGGCAACAGAGTGAGACCCTGTCTCAAAAAAAAAAAAAAAAAATGCAAGGAGGCAAGGGAGTTTTCTGGGCAGTGAGGGGGCTGTTTGACCATGCTCCGACGAGAAATAGCTACTAGGTGAGGTCATAGGAGCAAAAGGGTCAAGGTCGCCTCTGAGACATTCCCTGGAACAGTGTGAATGTGAGAGTCACGTGCAAGATTCCGACTGAAGCCCAAGCAACCTCCAGAGAGCGCCCACTCTGTGCCAGACGCGGTTCCAGGCACACAGACACAGCAGTGAACAAAACAGGGGAAAGTCCCTGCTCTCCAGGGACTGCTATTCCAGGGTGGGGGATAGATACAAAGTATATAATTAAATAAATGAGCAGGGAGATGTCAGCACGAGATAAATCCTGGGGCTAAAACACAAGGGGGTCATGAGATGGAGAGAGCTTGGCGGATGATCAGGGAGATCACGGAGGAAACATGAGAACCGAGACTCAGGGCCGGGCACAGTGGCTCACGCCTGCACTCCCAGCACTTCGGGAGTCTGAGGTTAGCAAATCGCTTGAGTCTAGGAGTTCGAGACCAGCCTGGGCAACATAGTGAAACTCCATCTCTCCAAAAAAATACAAAAATTAGCGGGGTATGGTGGTGCACACCTATAGTCCCAGCTACTCAGGAGGCTGAGACGGGAGGATCACCTGAGCCCAGGAGCTCAAAGCTGCAGTGAGCTATGATTGCACCACTGCACTCCAACCTGGGTGACAGAGTGAGACCCTGTCTCAACAAAAACAAAAACAAAAAACACAAACTGAGACTGAAAGGGGAGGAAGGAGGCGTTAGTGCAGGAAGGATATTCCAGGCAGAGTGTACAGCCCATGCAAAGGCCCTGCGACAGGACTGCACCTGACATGTTGGAGGAACAGCCAGAAGCCCATATGGCAGCAGCAGAGTGAGTCAGAGGGGAGAGGGAGGAGCGTGGGAAGGGGATAGGGCAGGTCGTGCAGGCCCTCGTAGAGCTTAGTAAGGAACAGATTTTGGGCCAGGTGTGGTGGCTCACGCCTGTAATCCCAGTACTTTGGGAGGCCGAGGCGGGCAGATCACGAGGTCAGGAGATCAGGATTATCCTGGCCAACACGGTGAAACCCCATCTGTATTAAAAATACAAAAAATTAGCCAGGCGTGGTAGCGTGCACCTGTAACCCCGGGTACTCGGGAGGCTGAGGCAGGAGAATCGCTTGAACCTGGGAGGCGGAGGTTGCAGTGAGCTGAGATCGCGCCACTGCACTCCAGCCTGGGGACACAGAGACACTCCGTCTCAAAAAAAAAAAAAGAAAAAAGAAACGGATTTGTTCTGGGGTGCTGACTAAAACCACTGGAGGGTCTGGGATCAGTGGCTCACGCCTGTAATCCCAGCACTTTGGGAGGCCGAGGTGGGTGGATCACCTGAGGTCAGGAGTTCGAGACCAGCCTGGTCAACATGGCGACACCCCATTTCTACTAAAAATACAAACATTAGCTAGGCATGGTAGTGCGTGCCTGTAATCCCAGCTACTCGGGAGGCTGAGGCAGAGAATCACTTGAATCTGGGAAGCAGAAGTTACAGTGAGCCAAGATCACGCCACTGCACTCCAGCCTGGGTGACCGAGGGAGACTCTGTCTCAGTAAAACAAAGGAAAGAAAAGAAAAGAAAAGAAGAGACACAGAGACAAAGACACAGGGAAGACAGCCACGTGACAACGAAGGTAGAGATTGGAATGATGCAGCCACAAACTTGTTACCTCCTCTTTTTATGAAGACACCAGTCATACTGGATTAGGGTCCATCTTAATGACCTCATCTTAACTTGATTACGTCTGCAAAGATCCTATTTCCAAATACGGTCGCATTCCCAGATATCAGAGGTCAGGACTTCAGCATATTTTTTGAGAGGATGCAATTCAACCCATAACATAGGGGTGAGAGGGAAGGAGGCCCAGCTTTGGGGAATTGCCAGACCTGGATTTGAAGCTGGCTTTGCTGTTTCTGGCTTTCTTTGAGATGATGGGCATGGCCATTTCTCTCTCTGATCTCTACTTTATGGATATGGAAAATGGACATCCTAACAGCACGTACCTCATATTGTTCCTGGGAGATTTTAAAGAGGTACTTCATGCAAATACAATTTTTTTTTTTTTTTTGAGACTGAGCCTCGTCGCCCAGGGTGGAGTGCAGTGGCATGATCTTGGCTCACTGCAACCTCCACCTCCCAAGTTCAAGTGATTCTTCTGCCTCAGCCTCCCAAGTAGCTGGGATTACAGGCATGTACCACCACACCTGGTTAATTTTTGTGTTTTTGGTAGAGACGTGGTTTCACCATATTCGCTAGGCTGGTCTCGAACTCCTGACCTCAAGTGATCCTCCCGCCATGGCCTCCAAAAATGCGAGGATTACAGGTGTGAGCCACTGCGCCCAGCCGGCAAATACAAAATTTAATGTGCTTCCTCCACCTCTTTGATTGCCACAGTGCTGGGTCTCACTTCCACACCTTTGCACAGGCAGTTTTCTCTGCCCAGAGTGCCCTCCACATGCCTCGCTCAGCCTAGCTCAACATTACCATTCCTTCAGTCCCTTGCACACATCTACAAAAAGGATCCCAAATACGAGAGTCAAGAGTCCTGGGTTTAGGCCAGGCACGGTGGCTCACACCTGTAATCCTAGCACTTTGGGAAGCCACGGCAGGAAGATTTCTTGAGCCCAGGAGTTCAAGACCAGCCTGGGCAACATAGCGAGATCCCATCTCTACAAATAAATTTTTAAAAATTAGCCAGGCCTGGTAGTGCCTGACTGTAGTCCCAGCCACTTGGGAGGCTGAGGCAGGAGGATCACCTGAGCCCAGGAGGTCAAGGCTGCAGTGAGCTATGATCACACCACTGCATTCCAGCTTAGCTTGGGTGACACAGACAATCTCAAAAAAAAAAAAAAAAAGTCCTAGGTTCAAATTCCCAGCCCTGCTACTTACTGTGAAGCCCCCTGAGAATGCCACTACCCCCTCAGAGTCTTGACTTGCTCCTCTGTAAATGAGGATAACAGTGCTAGCTACCTATGGCAGACATGTATTTGGGGCCAGCAGCACGGTGCAGCTGTGGGAAACTACCTGTCTTCCATTCTGAGTACACGTGGCTGCAAGGAGTGGGGAGAAGAGACCTTCTTCCAGATTCTGGGTAGTCACATGACCCAGGCCTAGCCAATGAAAGGATTGCACCCTCTAAGCCACAGTGATTGGTTCAGGATGGGACATGTGATCCAAGCTGGGCCAATGAGAGCCAGCCCTGGGATTTGTCCAAGAAGGATCAAAAAGAAGACTCTTCTGGAGAGGCACTGGTGCACGTCTGTAATCCCAGCACTTTGGGAGGCCTAGGTGGCTGGAACACTTGACATCAGGAGTCCAAGACCAGCCTGGGCAACATGGTGAAACCCTCATCTCTACTAAAAATACAAAAATTAGCTGGGCGTGGTGGTGGACGCCTGTAATCCCAGCTACCTAGGAGGCTAAGGCAAGATAATCACTTCAACCCAGGAGGTGGAGGTTGCAGTGAGCCGAGGTGCCCATCACTTACTTCTCCTCTGTATTAGTTCATTCTCACGCTGCTATGAAGAAATACCTGAGACTGGGTAATTTATAAAGGAAAGAGGTTTAATTGACTCACAGTTCTGCATGGCTGGGGAGGCCTCAGGAAACTTATAATCATGGCAGAAGGGGAAGCAAACGCGTCCTTCTTCACATGGTGGCAGGAGAGAGAAGTGAAGAGGAGGAAGCTCTTTATAAAACCAGCTGATCTCATGAGAACTCACTCACTCTCACAAGAACAGCATGGGGGAAATGCCCCCATGATCTAATCACATCCTATGGGGTCCCTTGCCCAACATGTGGGGATTACAATTCAGATTACAATTCAAGATGAGATTTGGGTGGGGACACAGAGCCATCCAGACCATATCACCCCCTCAGCATCTCAGCTTCCTCAGCTGTCAAATGACAGTGACTCAAGGCAGAGACCACATACGTTTTCTGCACATAGTTGCCCATGAGCCCTCCTATCACCATTTGAGCTTGGGGGATGTGATGTTCCCCGTTTCTCCCAGGAGGAAGCTGGCATACAGACAGGGGACCACCCCTGCCCAAGTGCCACAGCTAAGGAGAAGCTGCACCAGGCCTCAGCATCCGCCCTTCCCCACGCCTGGCTCCCCAAACCTCCTGCCTCACTGGCTGTGTCCCAGCTTGGCCCCTGCCAGGCCAGATGTCCGGCTGCAAATTAAACAGATTTGCTGTCCGAAATCAGACTGCTTCTTTTGTCTTTTCTCCCGTCCTGCTCCAAGGTCTCAGGTTTTATGCCAGGATAGCTAAACTCTCAGAGACAGAAAACATTGCTGGGATGGAAGATCTGTCTGTACAGGGTGATATGTCTTGGGTTGGCACATGCTACACTGCCTTGTCCAGCAGCCCACATTCTGCCTGGGGCTCCTGGTGACTAGGGGTTGGAAGAAGAGAGAGAAACCCATGGGTGGAACACATTGGTGGGGATCAGACATTATTGCACTGTACCTTTTCATGGACAGGCAGAGAAATGTAGCCCAGAGAGAGGCGGGCCCAGCACATGCTCATCCAGTGTGTTGGGGACAAAGACAAGATTCAAATTCATGTCACCTGACTCCGGTGGGCTGGCACTTCCCTAAGTCTTGTCTGGGTAGCTCATGAGTCAACAAATAATTGGCGCGGCCAGGCCAATTGAGTGAGACCCAGCATGGTGTCTCACTCCTGTAATCCCAGAACTTTGGGAGGCTGAGGCAAGAGGATCACTTGAGCCCAGAAGTTTGAGACCAGCCTGGGCAACATATCTAGACCGTGTCTCTAGCAAAAAAAAACGAACAAAAAAATTAACCAGGTGTGGTGGTGCATGCCTGTAGTACCAGCTACTTGGGAGGCTGAGATGGGAGGGTCACTTGAGCCCAGGAGTTCGAGGCTGCAGTGAGCTGAGATTGTGCCACTGCACTCCAGCCTGAGCAACAGAGTGAGAACCTATCTCAAAAACAACACCACCAAAAAAAACCCCAAAAAACAAAAATAAAAACCAGACACACAGCCTTGGGGACCTGTCCTCGCACACCACTCCACTCCCACTACTCCCACACTCTGCGCTGGGTTTAGATTTTCTTCACTGGGGTGTTTTGCTGATCAGCTTTTAATTTTACTATAGTGAAATCGGCCAATTCGTTTTCTTTTAGGATTCTTGCTCCCTGTGTCCAAAGAAACCTTTGCCTACCCTGAAGCCACAAAAATATTGTTTTTATTCTCCTCTAAAATTTTTGTAATTCAAGCTTTCATGTTTCATCTATGATGCATCTTGAATTGATTTTTGTGTATGGTGTGAGGTAAGGGTTAGGGTTCTTTATTTCCCCACACAGGTAGCCAGTTGTTCCAGAGGCTTTTGTTGAAAATACTTGCCTTTTGTCACTGGATCATCTAAAAGCAAATGACCATGTATGTATATGTTGGGGGGGGGGGATGTCTTTTTCTGTGTTCTCTATTCTGTTTCATGGATCTATTTGTCAATCCTTATGCCAATACCCTTGCCTTGTTTACTGTAGCTTTATTAGACATAGACTTCCTTTCTTCTTTTCCTTCTCCTTCTTTCTTCTTCTTCTTCTTCTTCTTCTTCTTCTTCTTCTTCCTCTTCCTCTTCTTCTTCTTCCTCTTCTTCTTCCTCTTCTTTAGACAGAGTCTTGCTCTGTTGCCCAGGCCAGAGTGCAATGACACAATCACAGCTCACTGCAACCTTGACCTCCTGGGCTCAAGTGATCCTCCCACCTCAGCCTCCCAAGTAGCTGGGACTACAAGCATGTGCCAGAACGACTGGATAATTTATTTATTTTTTGTAGTGATGGGATCTTGCTATGTTGCCCAGACTGGTCTCAAACTCCTGGCCTCAAGCAATCCTCCTGCCTCGACCTCCCAAATTGCTGGGATTGCAGGCATGAGCCACTGTGCCCAGCCTGGACATAGATTTCAAAGAGCAAGATCCATGTGGTATCAGCTCCATATACAGACTTCCAGCAGGACCAAGGGAGCTGTTGGGAGATGGAAGCACTGGTGTTTTCTCCAGGGATTCATCCATGGATGAGCATTCCTCTAAAGTAGCATCTCATAGCATCTTTGCTCCTAGAACACACTTCATTCTTGAGCTGACACCCAATCATACTTCCTGAGCACCTGGGATTTGTTGATTGGTGTCATCTCATTTGTTTATTCATCACAAATTTGCTAAGCACCTTCTACGTGCCAGAGCCTGTGTTGGGCACTGGGACACAAAACTGACCACAACAAACCCAGCCCCCACCTTCGCAAATTCTGTCCAGTGGAGGAGGCAAATATTGAACTATGTTTGAACAACTGAACAAGAATGTTTCAAACAGTGGTGAGTCCCAGGAGAGAAATAAGGAGATAAGATAAAGCGTGTGAGAGGCAGGATCAATCAAAGAATGCTAGAATTACTGGGTGAAAGTTGAGGGAGAAAGAGGATATTTGCCCAGTCTCAAAGTAACTCTCTCATGATATTTATTCACTGGAAAAGAATAAAGATAACTTTCTGGGGGGAAATCTAGCTGGTACCACCTTAGCCAAGGGATCAAAATTAATGCCCCCAGCAACAAGACACATTGACAGTGTGTGCCTCCTGATCTGCTGTTCTGAGGGGACCACAGCACCATCTCAGTGGGATCTGGACAGAAATGCAGAATCCCCATCTAATCATGATTAGACACTAGAAAAGCCTGAATTGAGTGACCTTCTGTAAAACACCTGGCCAGTGCTCTTCAAAAGAGTCAAGGTTGACTGGGCATGGTGGCTCATGCCTGTAATCCTAGCACTTTTGGAGGCCAAGGCAGGAGGATTGCTTGAGACCAAGAGTTGGAGACCAGCCTGGACAACATAGTGAGACACCATCTCTACAAAGAAAAAATTAAAATTAGCTGGGTGTGGCCAGGCGCGGTGGCTCACACTTGTAATCCCAGCACTTTGGGAGGCCGAGGCAGGTGGATCACGAGGTCAGGAGATCGAGACCATCCTGGCTAACATGGTGAAACCCTGTCTCTACTAAAAAAACACAAAAAAGTTAGCCGGGCGTGGTGGCATGCACCTGTAGCCCCAGCTGCTCTGGAGGCTGAGGCAGGAGAATGGCTTGAACCTGGGAGGCGGAGGTTGCAGTGAGCTGAGATTGCGCCACTGCACTCCAGGCCGGGTGACAGAGCGAAACTCTGTCTCAACAAAAAATTAATTAATTAATTAATTAATTAAATAAAATTAGCTGGGTGTGGTGGTCCATGCTTGTAGACCCAGCTACTCGGGAGGCTGAGGCCGGAGGATCACTTGAAGCCAGAAGTTGCAGCCTGCAGTCAGCTATGATTACACCACTGCACTCCAGCCTGGGCAACAGAGCGAGACCCTATCTCTAACAAAAAGAGAGAGAGAAGGAGTCAGTGGCCGGCAGACAGGGTGGTTGGGAACGTCCTGTGTGAGTAGGAGGAATTTAAACTGAAGCGTGGAGAGTAAGGAGACAGGATGGGAGAAGATCGGAGTTGCAGGGGGTGGGAACAACATGAGCACATGTCCCATGGCAGGAGGGGTTGGTGTGTCAGAAGAGGAGAAGAGAGTGTGGCTGGTGTGGACGGCAGGAGTGAAGAGGTAATGGGGCTGATGATGAAGGGCCTTGTCAGCCACGATGAACAGTTTGCATTTTCTTGCCTGTGCAATTCAGAGCCTGTTCTATTTGAGTTCCCCCAAAGCAGCCCCCCAGACAAGGATTTCAGGACAAGTGGTGTATGTGGGAGATAAACCCAGGAAGCCCTAGGAAGCGTGTGGGAAGGTCCAAGAGGGAAGAGAAGCAGCAAACAGGGGTGCTTTTGTGAGCCAGGGGCAGGTGGAGTTCAGTCCCACTGGGGACCTTGGGGAGCCTGTGTTGACTGTGAAACTCAGAATTGCCCCACCTGGCCAGGTGCGGTGGCTCACACCTGTAATTCCAGCACTTTGGGAGGCCAGGGAAGGCAGATCCCTTGAGGTCAGGAGTTCGAAACCAGCCTGGCCAACATGGTAAAACTCCATCTCTACTAAAAATACAAAAATTAGCCAGGAGTGGTGGCGGGTGCCTGTAATCCCAGCTACTCAGGAGGCTGAAGCAGGAGAATCGCTTGAACCTGGGAGGCAGAGGTTGCAGTGGGCCGAGATAGCACCATTGCACTCTAGCCTGGGCGACAGAGTGAGACTCCGTCTCAAAAAAACAAAAACAAAAACAAAAAACAAACAAACAAAAAGAATTGCCCCACCCCAAGGACAAGGGATTTATGCAAAAGCCAGTGCACCATCGGTTGGGGGTTGCTGGGAGGAGTAGTGTGAATTCTGTGATACTTCCAGCCCACCACGGGCAATGTCAGAGCAGGCTTGGACAGACAGACCGAGTTGGAATCCCAGCCTGCACTTCCAGGAAACAGGGAGGACCCCAGGGATCTGAGCAGGAGGCCAATGGCGTCATGTCCAGAGTCCACAGAGCTTCACTGACCAATACGGGAGCTGCCGGCTACATGTGAATATTTAAAGTCATTCAAATGAAATAAAATTTAAAATGCAGGTCCTCACTCACACTGGCCACATTGCAAGCACCCTATAGCTGCATGGGGGTGGCTGTGTTGGCTGGCGTGGGTCTAGAACATTCCACGCATCCCAGAAAGTACTAATAAACAGCCCTGTGCTAGACAATGTTGATCAAGAGAGTGATACAATCCTATTTTGACTCTAAGAAGATCTCTCTCTTAAGAGAAAACAGCTAGTTGGGAGTGCAGGTGGAAGTTAGAAACCCGGAAAAGTGTCTGGGGCAGGTGTCCAGGCTGGAGGTGATAAAAGCTCAGACCAGTGCAGTAGTAGTAGGGGTGGGGCAAAGCCATTTGGAAGAAGCATCAACAGAAAGTCCTGCCCATTCAGACGTGAGGGGTAAGGGGAGAGGAGAAAGAGAAGGGGAAACCTGGACTCTGATGTGAGTGACAGGTGGAGATGGTCACCCAAGAGGAGAAGCAGATTTGGGGCAGATACTGAGCTGCTTCTGGGCCTTGCTGGGTCTGAGGGGTCAGAGGGAACTCCAGGAGGACGTGCAGTTGGCAGCTGGACTCTGATGGCGGAGACCTGGGCAGACATGAGAATCTGGGCCCACGGGGTATTTTGGCCACAGGCCCAGCTGGCAACCGCTGGGCTGTGATGTAACTTGTCAGGCGGAAGCCGAGCCCCGTCCCCAGGCTCAGAGGCACAGCTTGCCTAAATGCTAACAAGTTTTGCCTCCAAATGGTGGTGGGGTGTGCGTGTGTGTATGTGTGTGTTTAATTCTGGAATGAATTTAATTCTAATTCCGCCGACTTTGGGGATGGGAAACAGCTGTCTTAATGAGTTAACAGTGGGTTTAAAATAGCAAGCATCTGTTCGCTGTCTGAGCCAGCACCCGCTGAGGCCACTCCCAGGCTGCAGGGCTCAGTTTTGGGGGGGCCCTGGTTGCAGCTCTGGAGATAGTAGGGAACAGAGGGCTGGCAGTCCTGAGACCCCAGTGCCAGGCGAGTGTCCTGCCCCCTCCTGGGATTTCTGGTGCCTCGTTTGTGAAAACCGGGCCTGTTGAACCACCGTGCTTGAGCCAGAACCTGCGCAGGGGGCTATGAGCACCATGAGTGGGCCAGGCTGCTGCTGCGGGGGTGGCAGGTGGTAAGCCCGTCCCCACCCTCCTCAGATGCTTCCTGGCTGAGTGGCCAGAAATGCCTGTGCCTCAGTTTTCCCATCTGTGAATGGAGATGGTGTTAAGAAGTTTAGAGACATTAAGACATGTAAAGTGTGTGCTTATGACCGTGCCAGGCAGACAGTCAACACTGTGGGAATATGTAAAGAGTGTCTAAAAAGCAAATACAGGCTGGGTGCGGTGGCTCACGCCTGTAATCCTAGCACTTTGGGAACTGAGACGGGAGGATTGCCTGAGCCCGGGAATTCAAGGCCAGCCTGGGCAACACAGTAAGACCCTGTCTCTAAAAAAAATTAAAAATTTAGCCAATTGTGGCAGCACACACCTGTAGTCCCAGCTACTTGGGAGGCTGAGCTGGGAGGACATCTTGAGCCCGGGAGTTTGAGGCTGCAGTGAGCCGTGATCATGCCACTGCACTCCAGCCCAGGTGACAGAGCAAGACCCTGTTTCAAAACAAACAAACAAACAAACAAACAAACAAGACTGGGCACAGTGACGCATGCCTGTAATCCCAACACTTTGGGAGGCCGAGGCAGGAGGATCACTTGAGCTCAGGAGTTCAAGAACAGCCTGGGCAACATAGCAAGATCCCATCTCTACAAAAAAATTTAAAATTAGCTGGGCAGGCCGGGCACGGTGGCTCATGCCTGTAATCCCAGCACTTTGGGAGGCCAAGACGGGTGGGTCACCTGAGGTTAGGAGTTCAACACCAGCCTGACCAACATGGCAAAACCCCATCTCTACTAAAAATACAAAAAGTAGCCAGGCGTGGTGGCACATGCCTGTAGTCCCAGCTACTCAGGAGGCTGAGTCAGGAGAATCGTTTGAACCCCAGAGGCAGAGGTTGCAGTGAGCCAAGATGGCACCACTGTACTCCAGCCTGGGAACAGAGCAAGACAGTGTCTCAAAAAAAAAAAAAACAAAAAAAACTAGCTGGGCATGGTGGCACACGCCTGTGGTCCCAGCTACTTGAACCACACAAGGCTGAGGTGGGAGGATTGCTTGAGCCCAGGAGCTCAAGGCTGCAGTGAGCTATGATTGTGCCACTGCACTTCAGCCTGGGCAACCAAGTGAGACCCTTTCTCAAAAAAAAAAAAAAAAAAAACAGGCCGGGCGCGGTTGCTCACTCCTGTAATCTCAGCACTTTGGGAGGCCAAGGCGGGTGGACCAGGAGGTCAGGAGATTGAGACCAGCATGGCTAACACGGTGAAACCCCGTCTCTACTAAAAATACAAAAAATTAGCTGGGCGTGGTGGCGGGCACCTGTAGTCCCAGCTACTTGGGAGGCTGAGGCAGGAGAACGGCTTGAACCCGGGAGGCAGAGGTTGCAGTGAGCCGAGATAGCACCACTGCACTCCAGCCCGGGCAACACAGCGAGACTCCGTCTCAAAAAAAAAAAAAAAACAAAAAAAAACCAGAAAGTAAACGCAGCATCCGTCGCTTAATGATGGGGATACTCTCTGAGGAATGGGTGATCAGGTGATTTTGTCCTGTGTGAACATCACAGAATGTGCTTACACACTTCTAGATGGTAGAGCCTTCTGCACACCTACGCCATACGGTATGCTTGAGAGCCTAGTGCTCTCAAGCTATAAACCTGCAGAGCATGAGACTGCATTGAACACAGCAGGCAACTGTAACACAATGGTAAGTACTGTGTCTCTAAACATATCTAAGGGCCGCGCATGGTGGCTCACATCTATAATTCCAGCACTTTGGGAGGCCTAGGTGGGCGGATCACCTGAGATTGGGAGTTCGAGACCAGCCTAGCCAACACAGTGAAACTGTCTCTACTAAAAATACGAAAATTAGTCGGGTGTGGTGGTGCACGCCTGTAATCCCAGCTATTTGAGAGGCTGAGGCAGGAGAATCGCTTGAATCCGGGAGGCGGAGTTTGTAGAGAGCTGAGATGGTGCCACTGCACTCCAGCCTGGGTGACAGCACGAGACTCTGTCTCAAAAAAAAAAAAAAGAGAGAGAGAGAGAGAAGCTGAAGGTGTCCAGGTGCCCACAAATGCATCCAGCCTAGTGCTCACCTGCCTGAGGGGGTCTGGGGAAGGGGGGAGCCTTTGCCCCAGCAGAAGGAAGGAGTTGGTGTCCACGGCTGCACCTTCGCAAGGGGGCTGGCTGTGTAGGGGGAAAGTTGTCGGTGATAGGGGGTCTGAGTCCACGACTCAGCTCTTGGAGAATCCTGGAGACCCCCATATCATTAGAGAAAGTGGCCAGCACCCTCTCCTTTCTCAAAAGATTAACAGACACTCAGCTGTTCATTTGATAGTGTGGGGATTTACAGCCCAGTCTTGGGATCAGAGAGACCCGGGTCCAGTTCAGCCTCTGAAACTTCTTGACTGTGTGACCTTGGGTGAGTGTGTTTACCTCTCTGGACTTGGACAGTCCTGGGTTCAAGTCCCTGCTCATCAGCCACATGATCTGTCCTCAGTTTCCCCTTCTGAAAAGTGAAATGCCCATAGTCACTGAGCTGTCTAAAGCATAAAACAAGATAGCCCACCCCAGCCCTCCAGATGTGCTGTCATTGTGTTTATTATTTATTTATTCATTGATTGAGATGGAGTCTCGCTCTGTTGCCCAGGCTGGAGTGCAGTGACGCCATCTTGGCTCACTGCAACCTCCACCTCCCAGGTTCAAGCGATTCTCCTGCCTCAGCCTCCAGAGTAGCTGGGATTACAGGTGCCCGCCACTGCACCCAGAGAATTTTTGTATTTTTAGTAGAGGCGGGGTTTCACCATGTTGGCCAGGCTGATCTCAAACTCCTGACCTCAGGTGATCCGTCCACCTCCGCCTCCCGGAGTGCTGGGATTACAGGCCTGGACCATCGCGCCCGGCCTATCATTGTGTTTAAAGTCCACAGCTCCTAATTGCTGAAAAAGTCAAACACACGCTTCCCCTATGACCCAGCCACGCCTCTCCTAGGTATTTATTTACCCAAGAGAAACGATGCCTACATCCACACCAAGACTCGTACAGACTTGTTCAGAGCAGCTTTATGCATACCAGCCCCAAACTGGAAATAATCCAAATGTTTACCCACAGGTAAACAGATAAGCAAACAGTGGTCCATTCAGACCACAGTATTCTGTTCGGCCATAAAAAGGAAAAGGGCACTGATTGACCCAACAGCAGGGCTGAGCCTGGAAATCAGTAATGCTGAGGAATAAAAGTCAGACGTAAAAAGAGTACGCACTGGTGACATCCAGAAAATGCAGACTCATTTATAGGAACCCTAAGCAGACCAGTGGGTGCCTGGAAAGGGTTGGGGACAGGAAGGAGGGGAAGGAGGGGGAGGGGTTACAAAGGGAGTAATGTATTCATTTTGTTGGTGATGGACATGTTCACTGTTTCCATTATGCAGATGGCTTTATGGATATATGTGTCTAGATAATCCACTCCCCGCAAATGACTCCTGGCTGCCTGGCCACAACCGTCCTGTGCCTCATTTTCCTCATCTGTAAGCAGAGATGTTGTTAAAAAGTTTAGAGGCTGCCAGGCGCGGTGGCTCACACCTGTAATCTCAGCACTTTGGGAGGCTGAGGCGGGCAGATCACCAGAGGTCAGAAGTTCGAGACCAACCTGGCCAACATGGCGAAATCCCATCTCTACGAAAAGTACAAAAATTAGGCATGGTGGCGGGCACCTGTAATCCCAGCTACTCGGGAGGCTGAGGCTGGAGAATCGCTTGAACCTGGGAGGCAGAGGTTGCAGTGAGCCGAGATCCTGCCACTGCACTCCAGCCTGGGTGACAAGAGGGAGACTCCATCTCAAAAAAAAAAAAAATGTTTAGAGGCCACGCCTGTAATCCCAGCACTTTGGGAGGCTGAGGTGAGAGGATCACTTGAGGTCAGAAGTTCCACACCAGCCTGGGCAACGCAACAAAAAACAGTATCGCTACAAAAAACACAAAAATTTAATTAGCCAGGCATGGTGATGTGCACCTGTGGGCCTAGCTACTCAAGAGGCTGAGGTACGAGGATCACTTAAGCCCAGGAAGTCTAGGCTGCAGCGAGCCGTGATCGCGCCACAGCACTCCAGCCTGGACAACAGACTAACACCCTGTCTCAAAAAAAAAATTTTTTTAAAACCTCACTTTACCTCAGTAAAACTATAAACACACAATACAAGCTCTTCCTCCAAAAATACCTAGCCTGGCACCCATCATGCATGGGGTACCCACTGGATTGGGGACTTCATGACCTTAATGGAGACAGGGACCAGTGTGGGGTGGAGGAGAACTTAGGAGAAGCTCCCACTTCCTTTTTTTTTTTTTTTTTTTAAATTGAGACAGAGTCTCACTCTGTCACCCAGGCTGGAGTGCAGCGGCGCGATCTTGGCTCATGGCAACATCCGCCTCCCAAGTTCAAGCAATTCTCCCGCCTCAGCCTCCCAAGTAGCTGGGATTACAGGCACACACTGCCACGCCCGGCTTTTTTTTTTTTTTTTTTTTGAGACGGAGTCTTGCTCTGTCACCCATGCTGGAGTGCAGTGGTGTGATCTTGGCTCACTGCAACCTCTGCCTCCCAGGTTCAAGCGATTCTCTTGCCGCAGCCTCCCGAGTAGCTAGGATTATAGGCGCACACCACCACGCCCGGCCAATTTTTTGTATTTTTAGTAGGGACAGGGTTTCACCATGTTGGCCAAGGTGGTCTTGAACTCCTGACCTCAAGTGATCTGCCTGCCTTGGGCTCCCAAAGTGCTGGGATTACAGGTGTGAGCCACTGCACCCAGGCAGCTCCCACTTCTCGAATCACCCTCCCCCACATCTATACCCCACTACCCCGATCCCTGGGAAAAGGAATCTGGGCCCCGTCAGCCTTCGCCTCTCCCAGGCCACAACAAGTAATTTCTGAACGTTGTTCACTCTGCCAACAAGAGACAAGATTAATTATGGCCATAACACACCAGGCGCCGCCTAAATCTTTCATAGATCCATGCGCGCACTCACACACGCCTGCACACGCTCACACACAGCCTGCGGCTGGCTCTCTCATTCCTCTGGATTTTGCATTTCTTTGAAAGATGCTGCAGGTGGACACGAGGGGAGATGCCTCCTCTCCCTCCTTGTCTCTTTCACCTGCCTGAGCGGATCTTGGGGAGGAAGGGAGCTTTCGCCCCAGCGAGAGGAAGGAGTCAGTGTCCACGGGGGCATCTTTGCAAGGGGGTTGGCTGTGTAGGGAGGAAGTTATCAGTGATAGGGGGTCTGGGACCATGACCCGGCTCTTGGGGTAAACCTGGAGATCCCTGTGTCATTAGGGAAAGTGGCCAGCACCCTCTCCTTTCCCAAAAGATGAACAGACACTCATCTATTCATTTGACAGTGTGAGGGTTTACAGACCAGTCTTGGGACCAGAGAGACCAGGTCCCATTCAGCCTCTGAAACTTCTTGACTATGTTGTGTGATCTTGGGTGAATGTTTTTAACCTCTCTGGGCCTCAATTTTCTCATCTGCAAAATGGGGGTAATAATATTAATAGTATCCTATGTCGTGGGGTTGCTGTGAGGCCTAAAGCAGATCTAAATTCCTTAGAAAGTTCTCAGTGTAGGGCCAGGTATACAGTAGGAGTTCAATCAATTAGCTATCATGAGAGTTTTTTGTTTGTTTTTGACACGTAGTTTTGCTCTTGTCGCCCAGGCTGGAGTGCAGTGGCATGATCTCGGCTCACTGCAACCTCCACCTCCTGGGTTCAAGCAATTCTCCTGCCTCAGCCTCCTGAGTGGCTGGGATTACAGGCATGTGCCACCACGCCCAGCTAATTTTTGTATTTTTAGTAGAGACAGGGTTTTGCCATGTTGTCCAGGCTGGTCTTGAATTCCTGACCTCAGGTGATCCACTGCCTTGGCCTCCCAAAGTGCTGGGATTACAGGCGTGAGCCACCATGCCCAGCCAGGTTGGGGTTTAAGCATCGGGCCCTGAGCTCAGGAAAGGTCACCTCCTGTGCTCAGATCTTATTTCTTATTTTTTCATCCTTGCATTTTATATATGGAGGCTCAAAGCCATGAAAGGGCTTAGTGAGGGACTCATACACCAGGATGTGGCCAAAGGAATTCCGAGATGCCTCAGTGATCTTGAGACCTCTTCTGTTTGCCAGTGAGGAAACTGAGGCCCAGAGAGGGGCAGAGTTGACTCTCAGGCCTCTACTTCCCGGCTCAGTCCTGGGTCTCTTGAACTCCAGATATTCCCAGTCACATCCCTGCCTGTCCTTGGTACTGCAGCCGCAGAAGCTGCCTGCCTGCAATTTACCAAATGTGACAGCATCTTGGCCCCAGTAGTGCAACCCAAGCCAGTGGCATCTGCGGGGCTGTCACCTCCCATGCCAGGTCTGAGTGATGGTTGGAGGGGGTGAGAGACAAACACTTACTGTGTGCCCGAGCCCAGCTGGCTAGGTGCTTCTGCAGACTTGGCGGATGACTGAAGACACTCAGTGACCCCAAGGACAAGTGGCACATGACCCCATTAGGCAGATGTGGAAACTGAGGCTCCAGGATGGATGGAAACACTGCAGGATTCCTTCCCGCTGGTGGGCCCTGGACCGGGGGTTGCAGACTTAGCTGTGAGCAAAACAGACCTGGCCCCTACCCTCCTGGGCTCTCATGGCATGGGGAAGATGAGCCCTGAGCATTAACATTATAAATAGTTATTAGTGGCTCACCCCTGCAATCCCAGCACTTTGGGAGGCCGAGGTGGGCAGATCACCTGAGGTCAGGAGCTCAAGACCAGCCTGGCCAACATGGCGAAACCTCGTCTCTACTAAAAATACAAAAATTAGCCGGGCGTGGTGGTGCGCGCCTGTAATCCCAGCTACTCGGGAGGGTGAGGCAGAAGAATCACTTGAACTCGGGAGGCAGATGTTGCAGTGAGCCGATATTGTGCCACTGCACTCCAGCCTGGGTGACAGAGCAAGATTCTGTCTCAAAAAAAAAAGCTATGCAGTCTGCTGGGTAATGAATCCTATGAAAATTAAAGCAAGAAGGGGCATGGGGTGCCAGAGATTCCATGGAAGAAAGTGAAAGTTAGAAACTAAGGTGGGCAATGTGTCAGGGAGGCCTCACTGAGCAGGTGACATCTCAGCAGATACTTGAAAGAGGCAGGGAGGGAGCCGTGTGGTGACTGGAGAAGAGTGTTGGAAACAGAGGGCACAGCCCGTGCAAAGACCCTATGGCAGAACCTCGCCTGGCATGTTGGAGGAACAGCGAGGAGGCCCATGTGGCTGGAGCAGAGTGAGGAAGGGGAGACACGGAGGGAGGGAGGGGAGGGGAGGGAGGGGACGGGCCAAGTCATGCAGGGCTTTGCGGGCTGCAGAGAGGACTTGGGCTTTGACTCTGAGGGAGGCGGGAGCCATGGAGGGCTGTAGGCAGAGGAGGGACGGAACCTGATTCAGGTGTCCACAGAGTGAAGGTGGAGGAGGGTGGGCCACTTTAGCCCAGGTAGTCTGGGACGGCTACTCTAAAGAGGTGACCTTGGAGTTCCAGTTGAGTGGGGAGCAGCCTTGAGATGCTCTAGGGCAAGAAAGGGCATTCCAGGCTGGATTGCTTCTAAAAAGCTTGGCCTATTTGAAGAATGCCAGACAGACAGTGTGGCTGGAGTGAGCTGGGAGGAAAGCAGAGGAGAAGGACCTGATTGGGGGTTCTGGACCCCCCAGAACACTGAAGACAACAGTGACAGCTTTCATTATTATTTCTATTATTATTATTTTGTAGAAATGGGGTCTTGCTATGTTGCCCAGGCTGGTCTCGATCTCCTGGCCTCAAGCGATCCTCCCACCTCAGCCTCCTGAGTAGCTGGGACCTCAGGCACATGCCATCACACCCAGCTAATTTTTTTTTAATTTTTTGCAGAGATCGGATCTCGCTATGTTGCCCAGGCTGGTCTTGAACTCCTGGCCTCAAGCAATTCTCCTGCCTCAGCCTCCTGAAGTGCAGGGATTACAGGTGTGAACCACTGTGCCCTGCCAGAGCCCTAGAGTTTTAATCTTGATCTAAGGAAATAGCAAGTCATGGCAGGGCTTTCAGCAGGGGAGGGACAAAATCAGATGGACAGGGTGGTGCAGCAGACAGAACAATGCCGCCCAAAGATGTCCACATCCTAATTCTTAGAACAGAATCCTTAGACTGTATTATGTTACATGATGTAGTGGGTTGAAAAGCACACTCCTAGGCCGGGCATGGTGGCTCAGCCTGTAATCCCAGCACTTTAGGAAGCTGAGGTGGGGGCGGATCATGAGGTCAGGAGTTCGAGACCAGCCTGGCCAACGTGGCGAAACCCCGTCTCTACTAGAAATACAAAAATTAGCTGGGCATGGTGGCATGTGCCTGTAATCCCAGCTACTCAGGAGGCTGAGGCAGGAGAATTGGTTGAACCTCGGAGGCGGAGGTTGCAGTGAGCTGAGATCATGCCACTGCACTCCAGCCTGGGCAATGGAGCAAGATTCCGTCAAAAAAAGAAGGAAGGAAGGAAGGAAAGGAGGGAGGGAGGGAGGGAGGGAGAAGCACGCTCGTCTGCCCCATCAAATTCACGTCCATCCAAAATCTCAGAATGGCATTGTATTTAGAGATAGCATCTTTGCCAGCCTGGACAACACGGTGAAACCCTGTCTCTCCAAAAACTACAAAAATTAGCCGGGCATGGTGGCTCGCACCTTGTAGTCCCAGCTTACTCGGGAGGCTAAGGTGGGAGGTTTGCTTGAGCCTGGGAGTTTGAGGCTGCAGTGAGCTATGATTGCACCACTGCACTCCAGCCTGGGCGACAGAGCAAGACCCTGTCTCCAAAAAGAAAAAGAAAAAAAAAGAAATAGGGTCTTTGCAGATGAAATTATCCTGGATGTAGAGTGGCCCAAAATCTAACAACTGGTGCACTTATATAAGAAGAAGCGGGGCCAGGCACAGTGGCTCACACCTGTAATCCCAGCACTTTGGGAGGCCGAGGCGGGCAGATCGCTAGGTCAGGAGATCGAGACCATCCTAGCTAACACGGTGCAACCCCATCTCTACTAAAAATACAAAAAATTACCCGGATGTTATGGCGGGCGCCTGTAGTCCCAGCTACTCGGGAGGCTGAGGCAGGAGAATGGTGTGAACCCGGGAGGAGGAGCTTGCAGTGAACCAAGATTGCACCACTGCACTCCAGCCTGGGCGACAGAGCGAGACTCTGTCTCAAAAAAAAAAAGGAGAGGCGGCCGGGTGCGGTGGCTCACACCTGTAATCCCAGCACTTTGGGAGGCTGAGGGGAGAGGATCATTTGAGGCCAGGAGTTCAAGACCAGCCTGGACAACATAGCAAGACCTCCATCTCTAAAAATACATTTTTTAAAAGAATAAAATGAAGCAAAATAAACCCCCTGCCACAATCCTGTTCCCTGGGGTGACCCCCCTTGACGTTCTGGTGTGGATGCTTCTGGAATGTTCTCCGGTGTCATTCTGCTCTGTCCTCCGGCCCCCACCCACGTGTCCAGGATGTGAGTCCTCGTCCGCTACCACACCAGACCTCACCCTTCATCACGGCTGCATAGCCTTCCTTTTCAGGGATGATAGAGGTCACCTGCCCCCCAGTGACGGGTTTCTGGTCATTTCTGGTTATTTGTCTGTCAACGCTGAAGTGAAGGCTGCTGGACGCATCTCTCTGTTGCTCTAAAACCCTAACTTACAGAGGCCCAGTCTGGTTTATTTTTAATCTTTTCTTTTTTTCTTTTTCTTTTTCTTTTTCTTTCTTTTCTTTCTTTTTTTTTTTTTTTTTTTGAGACGGAGTCTCATTCTGTAGCCCAGGCTGGAGTGCAATGGCGTGATTTCAGCTCAATGCAACCTCCACCTCCCAGGTTCAAGCCATTCTCCTGCCTCAGCTCCCCCAAGTAGCTGGGACTACAAGCGCACGCCACCACACCTGGCTAATTTTTTTTTTTTTTTTTTTTTTTTAGTAGAGACATGTTTTTGCCATGTTGACCAGGCTGGTTTCAAACTCCTGACCTCAAGAGATCCACCCACCTTGGCCTCCCAAAGTGCTGGCATTACAGGCATGAGCCACTGCACCTGGCCTGCTTTCTTTGGAATGGTCTGCTTTATTTTGAATTTCAAGCGATTCTGCTGACACGAGGCGCAGACAGAGTTGGTTCTGAGTCCCCTGGCCCTTCGCCAGTGCCCTGAGCCAAGGGAGGGTACAGGGCTCTCTTCCTCCACCTCCAGGCCACCACTCTGCCCCCCTCCAACCCATTCCCCCAACACAGACAGTGGGATCTGTTTATTCATAAAGTAGATCACGTCCCTCTCCTACTCAAATCCCTCCCAGGGATCCCTAGTACCACTTGAATAAAACCCGAAGTCCTCCCCACAGCCCGTAAAGCCCTGCACACCTTGCCCTGTCCCTTCCCTACTTTGCCCTGTCCCCTCCCTGCCCTCTCCTCCTCCTCACCCCCTCCTCTCCCCCTCCTCACTCTGCTGCAGCCACACGAGCCCCCTCGCTGTTCCTCCAACACGCCAGGGTCTGTCCTGCCCCAGGGCCTTGGCACTGATGGTGCCTCCTGCTCACCCCCTTGTCCAGGCAAACGCCTCATTTTGCAAATCACAGCTCCAATATCATTTACTCATTCCATACTTACGGAGGAGAGAAAGAAAGAGAGAGAGGCTGGGGTGTCTGAGAGAGGATGTCGGAGGGGAAAAGCTAGGCAGGGGGCTGGAGGGGAGGGGCGGGGTGTGGACAGGCTTGCAGGGGGGCGTCTCGGAGGCTGATGAGGCAGCTGGGACAGAGGTGGGGGCGGCGGCCCCCGGATGTGTGCAGCCCCCTGCCGCCCACCCCCCCAGCAGCGCGCTGGCTGCTGCCCGTCAACACTCGCCAGAGATGCGGGAAATATTTTCTCTCCGGCTGACACTTTTGGCAAAATACAATTCCTCCAGCTTTTTTCCGTGCAAAAAACATGTCCATCAAACCCGTCCCTGCGGCGCCTGTGGAAGAGGGAGGCCGCTGGATTGGGTCCGGGAATTGCGGGAATGGCTCCGGGGAGAGATGGCAGCCTCCCCGCCCCGCTCTCTCTCGCTCTCTCTGCAGTCAGAAGGCGACATAAAAACAGTAAGAAAAATAGTTAAAAGCCCACCGCGTGTTCAGTCAGCGCTGGACTTTCTCCTATCTATGCCTGCTCCATGTGCCTGCACAACCCTACTGCTATTAGCCCCGGGTTTCCGATAAGAATGCTGAGCCCAGAGAGGGGAAGACGCTTCCCCAAGGTCACACAGCACAGTTGGGATTTGAATTCAGATCCTACATGACCTCCCCAGGGGTGCCTCGAAGAGCCTCTACTGAGGAGGGAGAGGAAAGGAAAAGCAACGGACACCAGAGGGATCAGCAGATGTAAGAGTTTCAAGCAGGCTTCATGCAATAGCTCCTGAAGCCCTCAGTTAAATCCTCTGTAGCCAGCAGCCCTCAGTTAAATCAAGATGTGACTGTGGCTTTCCCAACTGCCTGTATCATCCTTTCACATGCTAGTCCCCACAAACCCCTAAGCCAGGGACAACTGTGGCAACCACAGCAACTGGCTCAGAAGAAAAGAAATAAGAATAAAGTTTGGAAGCTGGCGACACCCAGATGTCCCCTCCTTTCTTACCCAGAGTAGGAAAAGAGGAGGCCTTCAGTAACAACGGTCTTAGACATGAGAGAGAACATCCACCACCATGGAGATTCAAATCCAAACTGCACCCCTCACCTCCTGGTACACTCAGCCCAACCATCTCAACTCTGGGAGCCTTGAGGGGTTGCAATGTAGATACCAGACATATAAAAGCTGCAGTGGGCCGTGCTTAAGTGGTCGAGAATGTCAAATGTGAGCCTAACAGCCCGGGGTTCGAATCCCAGCTCTGCTGCTTTCTCGCTGTGCAACCTTCAGCAAGTTGCTTGACCTCTCTGTGTCACTGTTTCCCTGTTGGTAAAAGGGACATAAAAATTCCTGCCTCCCAATTTTAAATATGTTGATGTTCCAAAAACACATGGGACGGAGCCTAGCCTACAACAGGTGCTTATACATGTGGGATATAATATTATTATTATTATTATTTTTGAGACAGTCTTGCTCTGTCACCCAGGCTGGAGGGCAGTGGCACAATCTCAACTTACTGCAACTTCTGCCTCCCAGGTTCAAGCGATTCTCCTGCCTCAGCCTCCCCAGTAGCTGGGATTACAGGCACCTGCCACCACGCCTGGCTAACATTTTGTATTTTTAGTAGAGACGTGGTTTCACCATGTTGCCCAAGCTGGTCTTGAACTCCTGGCCTCAAGTGATCCGCCTGCCTCGGCCTCCCAAAGTGCTGGGATTACAGGCGTGAGCCACCGTGCCCGGCCCACATGTGAGATATAATTAGATATGTGATTCCCAACCAGAGACAGGGAGAGCCGGGACGATGTCCTCCCTCCCCGCCCACCCAACCCAGGGAAGGGCAGCAGGGAGATGGCTCTGGTCCCAGAGCCCCAGCCACCGGCGGCTCCCTGGGCGAGGGATTGACTTTTCTAGAATGTTTTGCCCCTCCTCCCAGTTTCCATCAGGAGCCAGCGCGGCCGCATAAATCCCGCTTTACGGCTGTTATTGACGGGGGAGCAGAGAGAGCAGCCCCAGGAAGGCCCAATTAATTTTCCCACCTGGCATCTGTGCGCCAGACGAATTTCTGAACTGCTGCAGGGAGGGGCAGAGCGAGCTGGGGAAAGGCCAGGCTGAGGACAAGGTCGTGGGCAGGCCGGGATATCCTAGGCTCTTAGCTTCAGAGCACTGTTGAGGGAGTCCCAGGCTCTCTTGTCTGAAGGGTAGAAGTGGAGGGGGCTGTCAATTCTGAGTAGGGCTTGAAGCTTTCAGTTAGGATGCAGATGAGGGTTTCACTGAGGAGACACTGAAGCAAAGACACAAAGGAGGCTAGGGAGGCTGCCACATGGCTTTTGGAAGGAACAGCTTGCCAGCAGAGGGCACAGCCTGTGCAAAGGCCCTGAGGCAGGACCTCACCTGGGGTGTTGGAGGAACAACGAGGAGGCCCATGTGGCTGGAGCAGAGTGAGTGAGGGGGAGACAAGGAGGAGGAGAGGGCAGGGAGGGGCTGGGGCAGGTCGTGCAGGGCCTGGTAGGCCTCGGGGAGGACTTGGGCTTTGACCCTGAGGGAGGTGGGAGCCATTGAGGGCTGTGGGCAGAGGAGAGACGAGATCTGACTTAGGTGCTCACGGGCGCCCTCTGGCTGCTGTTCAGAGAACAGTTGTGGGATTCACAGGGAAAACAAAACCCAGTTACTAAATTCTCCCAGGTCCAGGTATTGGCTGGGATCTGTAAACCAGAGACCCCCTGGCACTTTAAAAGGAAAATCAAGGCTGGGCGCAGAGGTTCACGCCCATAATCCCAGCACTTTGGGAGGCCGAGGCGGGTAGATCACCTGAGGTCAAGAGTTCGAGACCAGCCTGGCCAACATGGAGAAACTCCATCACTATTTCCAAAACTTTCTCATCTTCCCAAATTGAAACTCCATCTCCATGAAACACTCACTCCCCACCCCCCTCCCCAGCCCCTGGCACTCCCCATCCTACGTTCTGTCTCTGTGAATCTGATGACTCTAGGGATCTCCTAGGAGTGGAGTCACACAAGATTTGTTCTTTTGTGTCTGGCTTCTCTCACTGAGTGTGATGTCCTCAAGGTTCATCAATGTCATCGCCTGTATCAGAATTTCCTTCCTTTTTAAGGCTGAGTAATATTCCATTTTATGCATAGATCACATTTTGCTCATCCATTCGTCTGATGAAACACTTGTGTTGTTTTTGGCTTTTGCCTATCGTGAATCATGCTGCTATGAATGTGAGTGTACAAGTATCTCTTTGAGACTCTGCTTTCTATCAAATTTTGTTTGATTTTAATTAATTTAATGTAAACAGCCACCCATGGCTAGTGACTGCCATATTGGACAGAGTGGCTCTGCAGAATGGAAAGAGAATAGAAGAGAATGAATTTTTTTCTTTCTTCAGTGTGATTGAATTCTCTGTCTGGGCCAACGAATGGCAGGCATCTCATGAGTCAATGACAGTTATAAGTGTCCCACACTAGAACCAATTGTCCAGGGCAGACACATCCCAAGAGCCAGGGCGACCATGGAAAAGCCCCTGCCTAGGATGAGGTCCCATGGTCCTGCTGCTTTCTTCTGCCCAAGGGCAGGTGGTCTGGATCCAACAGGCTTGGGGACAAGAGCCACCATGTCCTTAGCCACCCCTTTCTGGCTGTTGCTGCACAGCCCTGCTTACAAGAGACCCAAGGCAGCCACACCTCACCCCATGGCCATGGGCCTCATGAAGGTGGTGCCCAGGGAGATCGGGTGGGAGATCTGGGACTCCTTGGATTGCACCTGTGCTGTAGAAGAGCCTTGAAGGAAATGTTTAAATGGAGGTGTATCCATTAGCTATTGCTGTGTAACAAAGTACCCACAAACCTAGCAGCTTCAAGCAACACATTTATTATCTCACAGTTCCCATGGATTGGGAATCTGAGCATGGCTTAGCTGGGGCCCCTGCATTAGGGTTTCTTACAAGGTTACAGTTTTGGTGTCAACCAGGACTATGGTCTCATCAGAGGCTCGACTGGGGAAGGATCCATTTCTAAGCCTTCTCGGGTTGCTAGCAGGATTCATTTCCTTGTGGCTGCAGGATTGAGGTGCCTGGCTTCTTGCCATTGGCTGAATTCTGCTCTCAGCTTCAAGAGGCTGCCCACAGTTCCTTGCAATGTGGTCCCCACCCTGGGCTGTTCACAATGTGACCATGTGCCAGTAAGAGAGAAAAAGAGTAGTGAGATTGCTAGCCAGATAGAGTCTTATGTAAGGTAATATAATCATGGAAGCAACATTCTGTCACCTGTGCTATATACTGTTGATGAGAAACAAGTCACAGGTCATGCCCACACTCAAGAGTAGGGAATTATGCACAGGATGTGAACACCAGAAGGCAGGAATCATGGGAGCCACTTTAGGATCTGTCTGCCACAGGAGATAAAGAGAGCAAGAGTTTTCAATGGCTCTGGGCCCCAAGGGGTTTCTGGGAGACAGGGAAGGAAGAAAAGGAGGGGGGAAGGAGGAGCTGAGAGTAAGAGAGATTGGGAATTGGGAGGAAGGGAAAAAGAAAGACATTAAATTCCATCTATATCTGTGGTGCCCCACTTTTGCCCAGCCTTGTACCCAGAAAAGTACCAGCCCTGGATTTTTCTATGTCTAGCACAGATACTCCCAGCCTAGTCTGACATTTGCTGTGATAAGGGAGGTTGGAAAAGGTTCCTGATCCAATGTGGGGTTGGGAAAGGTATCCTGGAGGAGGCACTTTCTGTGCTGATCCCCAAGTTTGAGACAGAGCCAATGGGTGAGAAGGGGGAGTGGGTTCTTGCTGGAGAGACCAGCAAGAACAAAGGCCCAGAAGCATGAAGCAGAGATGTATGTTCACACCAGGAGAGCAGAGTGATAATACAAGAGGGTGGAGGAATGGGTCATTACTTTGCCTCTTAGGGAGGTGATGTTGTACCCATTGTACAGATGGGAAGACTGAGGCTCAGAGAGGTGAAACCACTTTCTCCAGGCCACAGGGCTAAGAAGCGGAGCAGCCTCATTCGTAAAATGGATGTTTGAGGTCCTCATTAGATCTCACATCCTGGCTCTGAGGCCTCCTTTGTGACTCGGGATCAAAAACAAGAATAATAATAATAGCAGCAGTATTTGTTGATCACTTTCTATGTGCTAAGTGCTCTTGTAAATGCTGTACTTCAGAAGTCAGCCAGGGACAAATACAGTCCAACACCTGTTTTTAATTTTTTTTTTTGAGACGGAGTCTCACTGTGTCACCCAGGCTGGAGTGCAGTGGTGCAATCTCAGCTCGCTGCCAGCTCCGCCTCCTGGGTTCACACCACTCTCCTGACTCAGCCTCCTGAGTAGCTGGGACCACAGGCACCTGCCACCATGCCCGACTAATTTTTTGTATTTTTAGTAGAGACGGGGTTTCACTGCGTCAGCCAGGATGGTCTCGATCTCCTGACCTCGTGATCCATCCACCTCGGCCTCCCGAAGTGCTGGGATTACAGGCGTGAGCCACTGCGCCCGGACAACTTTTTTAATAGTTGAAAAAATAAAATAATATTGTGGTGCTGAACACAGTGGCTCATGCCTGTAGTCATGTCAGTGTTTAGGGAGGTGAGGCGGGAGGATTGCTTGAGGCCAGGAGTTAGACACCAGCCTGAGCAACATAGCAAAACCCCATTTCCACCAAAAATTTAAAAATTACCTGGGTGTAGTGGTGTGAGCCTGTGGTCCCAGCTACTCAGGAAGCTGAGGGGAGAGGATCCCTTGAGCCCAGGAGTTCGAGGCTACAGTGAGCTATGATGGCACCACTGCGCTCCAGCCTGGGTGACAGAGCGAGACCCCGTCTCTAAAAAAAAGAAAATAGTAAACATAAAATAAAATAAAATAAAAACTTGTCTTTTGGGACACATGAAAATATGAAATTCCAATGTCAGCATCAACAAATAAAGTTTTACTGGCATGCAACCATGCTCATTTGCTCAGCTATCATCTATGACTGCTTTTACACGACTGGCAGAGTTGACTTTCTGGCCAAAACTTTTGACTTTCTGGCCCCTTACAGAAAAAGCTTGCCAGCCCCTGCTGTCATGTGTTCACTCTTTGCAACAGCCCCATGAGTTAGATGCTGTGTCTTCCTTCATTTATACAGATGGGGAAACTGAGGCATACAAGCTGAAGTGGCTCAGCTAAGGTTATAGTGGATAAGTGATCAAGCGGGGATTTGAACACAGGTCTGTTGGACTCCCCATAAGGTGCTCTCACTGCTGTGTCATGCCTTCTTGCCCAGCCCTTGGTGCTTAAGGCTGGGAGTGCCTGAGTCTAGCTCTTTCTCTCCCTAGCCTAGGATCCCTCCAGAGGGCTGGGCTCTGCACTGAGCCTTAGCAGAATCCCAGCATCCTTGGACCCGGGGAGGTGCGCCAGTCAGCAAAGTGCCCAAAGCAAGCTCCAGAATCCACCTTGCCCCCTCCTCCAGGGCCCATCCGGGAAGGCAGCCAGTTAAGCGCAAATCAATTAAACAAACTCCATGCTGCCTGCCGCCCTCATATTCTGACCTCAGCCAAGAGGCTCGCATTCCAGCCTGGCGGACTTGGGTCCAAGCAAATGCACTTGTGGGAGGATCTGAGAAGGGGCTGCAGGATCAGGAATCCATACAAAGAACTCCAGCCTGGCCCCCTGGGAGCCTGTGATACTTAGTTTGTATAATCTGATCCCCCTTGGGGAACATGGTGGGGAGGTACTGTGTGAGCAAACGCGGGGAGGGGGGAACCTGTGGAAACAAGAGCCTGTTCTGCAGAAGATGAGCTGCTCAGTGTGACGGAGAGTGCAAGGGAACAGTGAGAAAGAAGCCTATAATTTGCTCATTGTATGTGTCAATCAAGCGATAGAGGTTGCTGTTTCTTCGTTGCATGCTATCTGAGAGATTTGACACCTGAAAAGGAAGTATCAAAATGCAGGCTCTCCCTGCTGGACTCAAACCTACAGCCGTCTTGTAAGGGCCTGAAGACAGAGCAGAGACACTAAGAAAAGGGGGCTTCTGGATCCAGCCATTCCTGAAGTCCATATACCCCTGGACTTTTCACTTTACAACCTGACATTTATGTATATGGTGTCTGCATGGTAATTAATAGTGGTCTTGTCAAATATTTCTTGATCTTTACCTTCTGAAACATAGAAGACTAGATTATTCTTCAGCAAATTTCATTCAACCTCTTCCCAAAGTTTACGGGAGAAATGCCCTTCCCTGACCCACTGAGGCCATCCCAGCTACGTGACTTGCTTTGGTCAAGGCAATGTGAGGGAATGTGACAGTGTGCCAATTCTGCACTTAGGTCTTCAGAGTCACTGCATGTTTCTACATGACCTCTCCTGCTCCAACCTTTAGCCCTGGGTCAAAAATGCCTTGAAAAGCCACTAAGCCAAGGAAGATAAAAAAACACATGGACCCGGCCTGACCCAATTCACAGGGTAGAACTGAGCCCAGCTGATCTGCAGATGTGAGAAGGAGAAATAAATGCTGGTCAGGCACAGTGGCTCACACTTGCAGTCCTAGCACTTTGAGGGGCCAAGGTGAGAGGACTGCTTGAGGCCAGGAGTTTGAGACCAACCTGGGAAACACAGTGAGACCTTGTCTCTACAAGAAGATAAAAAATTAGCCAAGTGTGGTGGCACATGGCTGTAGTCCCAGGTACTTGGAAGGCCAAGGCAGGAGGATCATTTGAGCCTGGGAGATGAGGCTGCAGTGAGCTATGATGGCACCACTGCACTCCAGCCTGGGCAATGTAGCAAGACCCTGTCTCTACACACACACACACACACACAAATTTTTTTTTTGAGACAGAGTCTCGTTCTGTCGCCCAGTCTGGAGTACAGCTGCACAATCTCAGCTCATTGCAACCTCCACCTCCCGGGTTCAAGTGATTCTCCTGCCTCAGCCTCCTGAGTAGCTGGGATTACAGACACGTACTACCACGCCTGGCTAATTTTTGTATTTTGAGTAGAGACGGGGTTTCACCATGTTGATCAGGCTGGTCTCGAACTCCTGACCTCGTGATCTGCCTTCCTTGGCCTCCCAAAGTGCTGGGATTACAGGCGTGAGCCACCGTGCCTGGCCTATACAAAATTTTTAAAAATTAGCTGGGCATGGAGGTGTGCACCTCTGGTCCTAACTACTTGGGAGGCTGAAGCGGGAGGATCACTTGAGGCCGGGAGTTCGAGGCTGCAGTGAGCTATGATCACACCACTGCACTCCAGCCTGGGGGAACAGAGTAAGACCCTGTCTCTGGAAAAGAAAAAAAGAAGTGCTTAGGGTTGTATGTCAAAGAGATTTGGTGGATGTCATAGCTACGGCTATTACATGAGCACAGTTTGGGATTGAACTTCCTGGCTTCTGCAATGGGTTGGATTGAGTGGGAATGTAGGATGGGTTCTAGACAACATGGTGAAACCCTGTCTCTACTCAAAATACAACAATTAGCTGCTAATGAAATACCCTCCAGAACCCTGTTTTCTTCTGCCACAGAAATCAACAAGTTCCAGGCAGTGACTGCTCCATCAGCCAGGGTCCTGGAGGGAAGTGATAATCTTCAAGTCCCTGGCCCAAAAGGTCACAATTGCATATACAATGTGAGTGAGAAATAAACTTTGGATGTTCTTAGCCTCTGAGGCATAGGGGCTGTTTGATTACTGCAGCAAAACCAAGCCTATCCTAACAGATACAACAGGAATGGAGGCTTTTGATACCACAGAAAAAGGTGGCAGACAGTGGCATAGATCCTAGGCAAAAAGGAAGACTCCAGACCCTAACTGGTAACATTTATCAAGTCCTTGCTGTGGTCCAGGTGCTCTGCACAGCGCTTCTTTTGAGAGTTTACATGCTTACATTGAATTTGCACACTCATGCTATGGGGTAAGAGCTGATTTTTTTTTGAGACGGAATCTTACTCTGTTGCCCAGGCTGGAGTGCAGTGGCGCGATCTCAGCTCACTACAACCTCTGCCTCCTGGGTTAAAGCGATTTTCCTGCCTCAGCCTCCCGAGCAGCTGGGATTACAAGTGTGCACCACCACGCCTGGCTAATTTTTCTTATTTTTAGTACGAACGGGGTTTCACCATATTGGTCACGCTGGTCTCGAACTCCCGACCTTAGGTGATCCACCTGCCTTGGCCTCCCAAAGTGCTGGGATTACAGGCGTGTGCCACCATGCCCGGCCCCAAGAGCTGATATGGTCTCCATTCTACCAGCCAGGAAACTAGGCTCAGGGAGGGACATAATTCACTCAAGGTCACATAGCAGGGAATAGGTATAGCTGGAATTTCCTGCCAGACCTGTCTGATTGCAGAGTCTGCCTTTGCCCACAATCCACCTTCCTCCTGGCCATGATACGACGTTCCAAGGGTCTGCAGCCACATGGTTTATCATCTCCACCAACGGGACTTGAGACCACAAGAGAAACCACAAACCTCAAGCCCTAAAGCTTCTCAAACTCACCTGTTGGGATTTAAATCTTTCAAGGAGACCTAGTAGCTCCCCAGAGTAGCCTCATAGAGCCACCATCCCCATGCTTCCAGTTCCTTCTATGATCTCACCATTATTACATGGGGGAAGATTTCTCTCTCTCTTTTTTTTTTTTTTAAGAGACAAGGTCTTGCTCTGTCACCCAGGCTGGAGTAGTACAACGGCACGATCATAGCTCACTGAAGCCTCGAACTCCCAATCTCAAGTGATCCTCCTGCCTCAGCTTCCTGGGTCGCTGGGACTGCAGATGTGCACCACCATACCTGGCTAATTTTCTTTTTTTTTTTTTTTTTTTTTTTTTTAGACAGAGTCTCACTCTGTCGCCCAGGCTGGAGTGCAGTGGCGCAATCTCGACTCACTGCAAGCTCCACCTCCTGGGTTCACGCCATTCTCCTGCCTCAGCCTCCCAAGTAGCTGGGACTACAGGCGCCCGCCACCACACCAGCTAATTTTTTGTATTTTATATTTTTAATAGAGACAGGGTTTCACCGTGTTAGCCAGGATGGTCTCGATCTCCTGACCTCGTGATCCGCCCACCTCAGCCTCCCAAAGTGCTGGGATTATATTTATTTATGTATTTATTTATTTTTGAGATGGAGTCTTGCTCTGTCGCCCAGGCTGGAGTGCAGTGGCGCAATCTCGGCTCACTGCAAGTTCTGCCTCCCGGGTTCACACCATTCTCCAGCTTCAGCCTCCCGAGTAGCTGGGATCACAGGTGTGCACCACCACACCCAGCTAATTTTTGTATTTTCACGGAGATGAGGTTTCACCGTGTTGGCCAGGCTTATCTCAAACTCCTGACCTCAGGTGATCTGCCTGCCTCCGCCTCCCAAAGTGCTGGGATTACAGGCATGAGCCACCACGCCCGGCCTACCTGGCTAATGTTTAAATTTTTTGCAGAGATGTGTTCTGCCGGGAAAAAAAAAAAAGACACACCTTTACGTTGCCCAGGCTGGTTTCAAACTCCTGACCTGAAGTCATCCTTCCACTCAGCTTCCCAAAGTGCTGGGATTATAGGCACGAGCCGCTGTGTACTTGCCATCGTGGGGGGATTTTATATCCCAGACACCCAGAACTGCCCCTTAGCTTCTGTTTTTTTTTTTTGTTGTTGTTTTTTTTTTTTAGACACAGTCTTGCCCTGCACGTCAGGCTGGAGTGCAGTGGTGCCACCTCGGCTCACTGCAACCTCTGCTTCCCCGGTTCAAGCAATTCTCCTGCCTCAGCCTCCCAAGTAGCTGGGATCACAGGTGTGCACCACCACACCCAGCTAATTTTTGTATTTTCACAGAGATGAGGTTTCACCGTGTTGGCCAGGCTTGTCTCAAACTCCTGACCTCAGGTGATCTGCCTGCCTCCGCCTCCCAAAGTGTTGGGATTACAGGCGTGAGCCACTGCGCCCAGCCTGAAAGCATCATCTTTTCTTTTTTCCTTCCATAGCATTTCTCACCTTCTAACACACCCTGCCACATACCTACTTGTCACTGTATTCCACGGGCTCTGAGATGCCGTCAAATATAAGATGCACCTTTGGGTCAGGCACGGTGACTCACGCCTGTAATCCCAGCACTTTGGGAGGCCAAGGTGGGTGGATCACCTGAGGTTGGGAGTTCGAGACCAGCCTGACCAACATGGAGAAACCCCGTCTCTACTAAAACTACAAAATTAGCCGGGCATGGTGGCGCATGCCTGTAATCCCAGCTACTCGGGAGGTTGAGGCAGGAGAATTGCTTGAACCCGGGAGGCGGAGCTTGCAGTGAGCCGAGATTGCGCCACTGCACTCCAGCCTGGGCGACAGAGTGAGATTCTGTCTCAGAAAAAAAAAAAAAAAAACCATAAAAAATTTAAAAAACGTTTTCAATTGCTATCTCATTTCATCATCACCATCATCACGTTGTACAGATGGGGAAACTGAGGCCCCCAAAGGGACAGAGGGTTTTTCAAAGCCACCGATCAAGTCTGAAATCGACTCCCCTGTCCTGAGGTTTGTCTCCGCCCTGCAGCCTCCATCCCCCAGTTCCAAATCAGGGCACCCCGGACATTCCAGGACTGGCTTCACCCTGACATCGAGCTCTGGCCGAGCTCCCTCGTTTGGTGAAAATCTAATCACGCCAGCCTGAATGCTGACATCGAAATGACTGCCGAGCCCTTGACTCGGGGTAATTAGGAGCATTTTGGGATGCCTTGCTTGATTAAAAGCAGATCACCCGTTCAGAATGAAAATTCAGGAGGCAGATTGCTTTTGTTGTTGCCACGATGCTATTTTAAACCCACGCAGCTCTCCAGCTAATAAAGACCCGTCAATCGGCTGTCGGGGTGTTCAGGACGAACTGTCTGCAGGGTTCCCCCACTGCTGTTTACCACAGCACCACAGCCCAGAGGGACCCCTGTCAGGACATCAGAGCCAGCAGGGTGCAGGTTGACCTCAGTGTCACTCCCAAACCTCTCAGGGTTACTCCCCGTGTCTGCCTGGTCCCTGAACCAGAAAGTCAGATGTCGACCTGGTCTCTTCTCGCCCTCATCCCCTCCCCAGATCCTATCCCACCTGTCCCCAGGACCCCCTCCTGCCCGGATTCCAGTTCCTGGCTCCTCCCTGGCCTCTAGCCTCCCATCCGTCCTCCCCAGAAAGCTCCTTTTTTTTTTTTTTTTGAGACAGGGTCTCGTTCTGTCACCCATGCTGGAGTGCAGTGGCAAGATCTTGACTCACTGCAGCCTCGACCTCCTGGGCTCAGGTGATCCTCACACCTCAGCCTCCAGAGTAGCTGGGACCATAGGTGCATGTGCCACCATGCCTCATTTTTGTACCTTTTTGTATAGACAGGGTTTCACTATGTTGCCCAGGCTGGTCTCGAACTCCTGGGCTCAAGTGAGCCTCCTGCCTCAGCCTCCCAAAGTGCTGGGATTACAGGTGTGAGCCATCGCACCCAGCCCCAAGAAGGCTCCTTCTAAGGTTTGCTCAGCCTCCCTGTGCTTTGACTTCACCCAATGAACCACTTCTTATTCTTCCAGACTCAGTCACCTCCTCTGACCTCCAGGCTGGCCCAGAGACCCCCTCTTTTCTCTAATCACCCAGGTCGGAACCACCCTTTCCTGGGTCCGCCTCCTGCCTGGACTGTGAGCCATGTGTGGATGGGGTCAGGTCTGTGGTGCTCACTGATGGTTCTCCAGAGCCCAGCACAGGTTCGGGCACCAGGAAAGGGAGGTAAATATTGATGAATGTGGGTCCGGGCATGGTGGCTCACGCCTGTAATCCCAGCACTTTGGGAGGCCGAGGCGGGCAGATCACTTGAGGTCAGGAGTTCAAGACCAGCCTGGCCAATATAGCGAAACCCCATCTCTACTAAAAACACAAAAATTAGCCAGGCTTGGTGGCATGCACCTGTAATCCCAGCTACTCGGGAGGCTGAGACAGGAGAATCACTTGAGCCCAGGAGGCGGAGGTTGCACTGAGCTGAGATCGCGCCACTGCACTCCAGCCTGGGCAACAGAGACTCCAGTAAAAAAAATAAATAAATAAAAATAAAAATACTGATGAATGAAGGAATGAATGCATGCATGCATTGGGGTGGGAGGTACTAGGAACACCCTGGATCTCAAGGTATCGGGACCTCAAATGGCCCATCTCTCTGCCCTGAAGCACCCCCTTCTGCCAGTCTAGGTCCTGACCTGCACCCCAGCCAGGGGGAGGGACAGAGGCCTCCCTCAGAGACTCAGCCTTCAGCTCATGATTTCCCCAGCAGAGGAAGGGACAGGACAGCCCCTTAGCCTGACCCCTTCCCCACCCCAACCCCCAAAGACACCAATATGTCCACATCACATAGATGCAGGCATTCTGTCCGACCCCAGGAACAGATAATCCAATGCCGGGGAGAGGATGGGGGTGGGCTCCAGGGCTGGGCTCCCTGTTTTTCAGGGGCCAGTGGCTGGGCATGGAGTTGGACGACAGAGAAGGCCCTGGAGGCCAAGGGAAAGGATTCCAGCAGAAGATGCGGGGGAGGGCTGCAGTGGGAAGTCTGTCCTGTAGTCTAACCTTGGGCCGGGGAGTGATGTAACACAGCGGTTCTCCTTGTGGGTGATTCTGCCCCCCAAGGGACACTTGACCATGTCTGGGGGTATTTGTGCTTGTCACCTCTCCGTAGCGGGGGTGTGCTGCTGGTATCCAATGGGTGGAGGCCAGCGATGCTGTGGCACAACCTAAAACGCACAGGACACTCCCCACCTCAGAGAGTAACACAGCCCCAGATATCAGCCATGCCATCCGGGCGCGGTGGCTCACGCCTGTAATCCCAACACTTTGGGTGGCTGAGGTGGGAGGATGGCTTGAGCCCAGGAGTTTGCGACCAGCCTAGGCAACATGGTGAAACCACATCTCTACAAAAGGAAAAAAGTACAAAAAATTAGCTGGGTGTGGTGGTGCATGCCTGTGGTCCCAGCTACTCGGGAGGCTGAGGCAGGAGAATCGCTTGAACCCAGGAGGCGGAGGTTGCAGTGAGCTGAGATCATGCCACTGTACTCCAGCCTGGGCCACAGAGTGAGCCTCCATCTCAAAAAGAAAAAAGGCCGAAGGGGAGAGCATCTAATGTCAGCTAACACTTAGGGACACCCACTCTGGCCCAGGCTTTTCTGGGGGCTGCTTGACCACCCTAACTTCCCGTGAGGTGTGCATGAACATCATTCCATTTCCAGATGTGGAAAACCGAGGCCCACAGCAGCAAAGCCACAGCCCCAAGGTCGCACGGTGTGTTTGAAGGTCAGCCACACGGGGGCAAGGAATTTTGTTTCTGGCTAATTCACTGCTGGGTCCTTGGGGTCCTAGAATCAGGCCTGGCACATAGCAGGTGCTCAGGAAACACTGAATGAATGAATGAATGAATGAATGAATGAATGAATAGCAGAGCTGGGATTCAGACCCAAGCTGGTGGATGCCAGAGCCCCCCACTCGCAGCCCTGGGCTCGGAGGGGGGGACTTCTGCTGCCCTTTATGTCCCTGCAACCCCCTGGACTGCTGAGCCCCACGGGCCAGGCGCTGTCAGGATCCTGGAGGCCGCAGCTGATGTTTAAAGTCCCTATTGTGGTTCCTGAAAAAGGAGCAGGTGTTGGCAGCTTGGCTTCGCCAAGGAGGCCCTGCGGCCGGCGCCTTTGTCCCTTGAGCTGGTAAAATCCTCTGCTCGGCCGCTCCATTCAACCCACTCAATTCCACGTTCCACTTTCACCCCCGTCCACATTCTTCGCCTGCAAATCCCCCATTCTGAGCGGCTGGGCCCAAAAGGCGGGCGTCTTTGTTCGTCTTTTCTTGTCCTCCTCTGCCCGTTAATCTAATCGCTTCCTCTCTGAGATGCGGGAGGAAGGAGAAGGGAGGGAGGAAAATAAACAAATACTGAGGGTAAAAGAAAAGATTCGCCGAGGTTTCCATTGAAGGGGATTTCGCCTGCCACTTTGAGATATTGACAAAGGCTGGTGGGGGGCGAGGGGAGGCTTGCGGCGGGGAAGTCGGGCACTGGGCGGGTGGACCTGGCTCCCGGCGCTGCATTGAGATATTCAGAAAAACAAATTCATCTGGCCTGTCTTCCTGACAGTTTGACTGCCAGACACTGGTAAGTCCAGGCCAGGGGAGACAGCTGTCAACCATCCCGAGCTGAAGAGTTTGGGAAGGAAGGCAGAGACCAACGGGGCCCATTCCCCTCTCTCTCCCCGATTTGCTGTGTGACCTTGAGGGACATGCCTGCTGTCTCTGTGCCTTGTCACTAAGAAGCGGCCCTTTATGTCCCCACTTTGGAGGGATGGAGGATTCAGGGGTGCTCAGAGAGTGAAAGGTGTTTGCACAAGTTTACCCAATGCTGCCGAAGCAAACTCCTGGTTTAGGGCCCCTTCCCAGGACGAGGGAGGAGGGGAGAGGGCTAGAGGCTGGTCAGAGGGTCCAGATGGAGCTCAAAAGCCGTCAACCCAATGTCATCCCACAGGGATTCCCAGGTGACTGAGGGACCCTCTTCTGTCTGAGTCCTCGGCCTTTTCTGTATACTAATAATCTTGTTTTTCTTTTTCTTTTTTGAGATGGAGTCTCCCTCTGTCACCCAGGCTGAAGTGCAGTGGTGTGATCTCGGCTCACTGCAACCTCTGTCTCCTGGGTTCCAGCGATTCTCCTGCCTCAGCCTCCTGAGTAACTGGGCTTACAGGCACCTGCCACCACGCCTGGCTAATTTTTGTATTTTTAGTAGAGACAGGTTTTTGCCATGTTGGCCAGGCTGGTCTCAAATGCCTGGCCTCAAGTGATTTGCCTGCCTCGGACTCCCAAAGTGCTGGTGCTGGGATTACAGGCGTGAGCCACCACGTCCGGCCAAGACGCTATTTCTTTAAAAAAAAAAAAAAAATCAGCAGGTGTTGTGGTGTGTGCCTGTGGTACCAGTTACTCAGGAGGCTGAGGTGGGAGGATCACTTGAGCCTGGGAGGTCAAGACTGCAGTGAGCCATGATCGTGCTACTGCACTCCAGCCTAGGCAACAGAGTGAGACCTTGTCTCTATTTAAAAAAAAAAAAAATAGATGATGGCCAGGCACAGTAGCTCACTCCTGTAATACCAGCACTTTGGGAGGCCGAGGAGGGCTGATCTCTTGAGATCAGGAGTTTGAGACCAGCCTGGCCAACATAGTACAACCCCGTCTCTACTAAAACTACAAAAAAATTAGCCGGGCGTGGTGCCACACACCTGTAATCCCAGCTACTCAGGAGGCTGAGGCAGGAGAACAGCTTGAACCCCAGAGGCAGAGGTTGCAGTGAGCCGAGATCGCGCCACTGCACTCCAGCCTGGACAACAGGGCGAGACTCCATCTCAGAAAAAAAAAGAAAAAGAAAAAGGCCGGGTGCAGCAGCTGACGCCTGTAATCCCAGCACTTTGGGAGGCCGAGGTGGGCAGATCACCTGAGGTCAGGAGTTTGAGACCAGCCTGGCCAACATGGTGAAACCCCATCTCTACTAAAAATACAAAACTTAGCTGGGCGTGGTAGGGGGGTGGGCGTCTATAATCCCAGCTACTTGGGAGGCTGAGGCAGGAGAATCACTTGAACCCAGGAGGCAGAGGTTGCAGTAAGCCGAAATCACGCCATTGCACTCCAGCCTGGGCGACAAGAGCAAGACTCGGACTTAAAAAAAAAAAAAAATGCATGAAAAGCCCAAGGTTTGGTGCATAAAGAGATGGCAGAAATCAAAGTCTCAGAGATTTCGTGCAAAACTTGCCCCCAAAGGATCCTGCAATCCCACCCCTAGGCTTTTATTTTCTTTGATGATACACGTGCCTGTGTCCCTGGGTGGGGAATCTTGCTATTGTTAGGAAATGAAACGCCACCGCCTGAGCTTGATTGCGTTCTTCCCACCCCCGCTGCCCAGGATCCACTCACAATGGGGGACGGGGGACGTGGGGGGCACGGAAGCCCCAACACGGGAGGTGGAATTAATCACAGCACCATACATGGGAGGTGCCTCAATTGTTGCAATCTATGTAATGAGAGAAAAACAAAAATGACTGCTTCCCTGAGGAATTAGAGGGAGGCGTTTTCCATTAGGGTTTTGTTGATGAAAAAGGACACGATTAGAGAAAATCCTGTTGTTGGCAGGGCCCTGGTCCCGGGTTCGAGCCAGAGAGGGGCACTCCAAGGAAACGGTGTCTGGGGCCGGGAGCAGGGCTCACGCCTATAATTCCAGCACTTTGGGGGGCCGAGACGGGCGGATCACAAGGTTAGGAGTTTGAGAACAGCCTGGCCAACATAGTGAAATGCTGTCTCTACCAAAAATACAAAAATTAGCCAGGCGTGGTGGCGGGCGCCTGTAGTCCCAGCTACTCGAGAGGTTGAGGCAGGAGAATCTCTTGAACCTGGGAGGCAGAGGTTGCAGTGAGCTGAGATCGCGCCACTGCACTCCAGCCTGGGTGACAGAGCAAGACTCTGCCTCAAAAATAAATAAATACAAAAATACAAAAATTAGCTGGGCACGGTGGCTCACACCTGTAATCCCAGCACTTTGGGAGGTGGAGGCAGGCGGATCACTTGAGGTCAGGAGTTTGAGACTAGCCTGGCCAACATGGCGAAACCCCATCTCTACTGAAAATATAAAAATTAGTAGGGTGTGCTGGCACACACCTGTAATCCCAGCTACTCAGGAGGCTGAGTAGAATTGCTTGAACATGGGAGGTGGAGGTTGCAGTGAGCCAAGGTTGCGCCATTGCACTCCACCCTGGGTGACAGAGCGAGACTCTGTCTCCAATAAATAAATAAATAAAATAAAATAAGCAAACCCTTGCTGTTGTGGAAGAAGATGGAGCCAGGATCAAACAGGCTGAAAAATAGGGTGATAGAGCTGTCTGGGAGGTGCACAGGGCAAGAGGGATCATAGAAGGCTTCCTGGAGGAGGCGGCTCTGCAAAGACAGCGGAAGGAAGAGTTAGAAGAAGGAGCCAAGAGAAGAGATGTGGGGGAATGTTTTAAGCAGAGGTGGCAGCCTGGAGGTGAAACTGTGTGTGACTCCCTCAGGCAATCGGGGGGTACAGGAGAGAGGCTGGGAGACCAGGGAGGAGATCTGGGGTGGGAGTGGGGGACTAGCATTGGGGCAGAACTGGGAGGGGACAGATGGGAGGGAGGGCCTGGAGGTAGAGCAGGCAGGATGTGGGGACAGACAGGCTGTGATGGAGAGGGGAGAAGCTGGACAGAAGCCAGTGTCCAGGTCTCCAGTTCAGGGATGGGGGCCCAGTGGGACCACCGCTGAGATGGGGACCTAAGAGAAAGAGCCAGCTGAGGGGAGAGGCCGAGGCCAGGGTGGCCACTGAGGGTGGAAGTCCTGAAGGATGTTCAGGGGGGAACCCCAGGGTGATGGCTGGGCTCGCAGGAGGGACACTGAGCTACAGTCAGAGCTCTAGCATCCATGCAGCACTGCCGTTCCCTCTGCCCAGAACACCCTTCCCCATGCTCCACCTGACTACACTGTCCTCTCCCTCCAGGTCTCAACCTGGAAGGCACCTCCACCTTGGAGCCCCCCTGGGCTGTACATCCCCCATGACAGCCCCACTGTCACTGCCCGGTCACCGCGAGCTCTGTAGTGGTGGGGCTGCCTCCATCTCGTCTCTGCTGTGTCCCTAGCACACAGTCAGCACCCTAGGCCTGTCTGTTACCAGAGCAAACACATCTGTCATTTTCACCATCATGTACCCAGCACCCATCACGGCCCTTTGGTAACTCTCGCCAGTCATCTCATCTCACATGGCTCTTTGAGGGGCCACCACACAGAGGGAATCGCCAGAGGCCGGCCTTTCACATGCAAGTGAGAACCGGGCTGTTTCCAACTGCCCAGGTCCCAGAAGAAATAAAAAAAAGGAAGAAATGGGCCAGGCGTGGTGGCTCACACTTGTAATCCCAGCACTTTGGGAGGCCGAGGCAGGAGGATCACCTAAGGTCAAGAGTTCGAGACCAGCCTGGCCAACATGGTGAAACCTTGTCTCTACTAAAAATACAAAAATTAGCCGGACATGGTGGCGGGCACCTGTAATCCCAACTACTTGGGAGACTGAGGCAGGAGAATAGCTTGAATCCAGGAGGCAGAGGTTGCAGTGAGCCAAGATCGTACCACAGCACTCCAGCCTGGGTAACAGAGTGAGACTCCGCCTCAAAAAAAAAAAAAACAAAAAAACCCACAAAATCACGAAAGTAGGTGATGAAGTCAGGAAACTCAGAAGTGTTATTTAAGCTTAGGAAATCAGGAGGGCTTCCTGGAGGAGATGATATTGGAGGTGAGAGAATCAAAAGTTGAGATGGAGCTGGCCAGGTGGATACCTGGAGCAAGAGCACTCCAGGCAGAAGGCACAGCCCGTGCAAAGGCCCTGGGGCAGGACTGCGCCTGGGGTGTTGGAGGAACAGCGAAGAGGCCTGTGTGGCTGGAGTGGAGTGAGCAATGGGAGAGAAGGAGGAGGGAGGTCAGGGCAGGGACAGGCGTGCAGGGCCTGTGGGCCTTGGAGAGAACTTGGGCTTTGACCCCCAAGGGAGATGGTTGCCATGGAGGGTCTCCATAAACCTCTTCCTCCTGAGTCTCTGCGACTGTAGCTCCCACCACCTCATGTGGAGAGAACCTCAAAAGGAGACCTTTGATGCTCTCCGGGAAGATGAGATGATCCTCACCCCCGACGTAGCCCTGGCCATGGCTCCTCCTTCTTGAGCAAGTCCCAGCCTGGTCCCAGGTGGCTCAACTCACTGCTGCCCAGAACCCCAGCATGGCTGCCTCATCCTCAGCAGAATCAAGTCCCCACATCCCCACACTTGTCAGGCTTCTGCCCCACACATGAAGAGCTCCAACCAAAACCATTTAGGTCTGCCCCTCCCACCCCTATCGTTGTCTCCACCATCTCCCACCTGCCAGGGTTGGGGTGGGGGCTCCGGGAGAGAAGCCACGTGCCCTTGGTTTCCCCATCCAAGGCATGGCCACATCCGTCCCTGAAGGAGTTAAGGGTACAGGAACCGTAGTGGCCATCACTGTATCTGAAATTCCAGCATTAGGGCTCCATCCCTGCAGACCTTGTAGAAATCACTAGTGGAGTTGCTTATTCACTCAACAAACACCGACCCAGTGCCCACTTTCAGATAAGTCTAAACCAGGTGCAGCCCCAGCCCTGGGCTGACTGCAGCCGAGTCCCGGACCTGACCTGATCCTAACCATGGACTGAACCCAAATCCTGGCTGAGCTTGGACTGAATCTCAGACCCTGGGTTGAGCCAGGGTCAACCAGGGTCAGCCCCAACCGCAGACTGAGCTCCAGACTTGGACTAACCCTGCCTGAGCCCTGCTGACCCTGGCCTGAGCCCTAATATCGACAGAGCCCCAACCCCAGGCTGAGCCCCAATCCCAGCCCGAGCCCTAATATCGACAGAGCCCCAACCCCAGGCTGAGCCCCAATCCCAGCCCGAGCCCTAATATCGACAGAGCCCCAACCCCAGGCTGAGCCCCAATCCCAGCCCGAGCCCTAATATCGACAGAGCCCCAACCCCAGGCTGAGCCCCAATCCCAGCCCGAGCCCTAATATCGACAGAGCCCCAACCCCAGGCTGAGCCCCAATCCCAGCCCGAGCCCTAATATCGACAGAGCCCCAACCCCAGGCTGAGCCCCAATCCCAGCCCGAGCCCTAATATCGACAGAGCCCCAACCCCAGGCTGAGACCCAATCCCAGCCCGAGCCCTAATATCGACAGAGCCCCAACCCCAGGCTGAGACCCAATCCCAGCCCGAGCCCTAATATCGACAGAGCCCCAACCCCAGGCTGAGCCCCAATCCCAGCCTGAGCCCTAATATCAACAGAGCCCCAACCCCAGGCTGAGCCCCAATCCCAGCCTGAGCCCTGACTCTCGGCTGAGACTGTAGACACTGCCTGACTCTGAGTGTCAGATTCTTTTACCGCCCCTGGAGGAGGCTGAATCCCTCCCAGCTCGGCTACCTCTAAATCCTAAAGCCCACCCGGTAGCCTCAGCTGCACTGACCCACGCTGGCTCAGCCAGATCCAGAAGGTGGGAGGGTCTTGCCCCCCTTGCTCCCCTCAGAGACCCCAGGACTGGAAGTTTCCCAGTGGCCCAGCAGTGAGAGTGAGCGGGTTAAGGCCCCGGCTACAGTGGGTGGGCCTCAAATGCTCTAGCCTGGGAGGCCCTGCCAGGCGCTCCATCTCCTGCCCAGCGGGGGCCGCATTAGCCGCTCAAAACCCATTCGGGGAAATTAGAGCAGAGGCCTCTGCGACAATCACGGGTCATTCTCGTCTCCTGTTCCCAGGCTCTCCCGCAGCGATGACAGCCCAGCAATGGGGCTGGGGGGTGGGGACACAGGGAGATTGGGGGATCCCAGCCGGCCGGCTCAGGCTGAAGCCTTCTCCAAGTCAGCCAGGGAAAGAAAACTGTAATCACTGCGGGCTTTAAAGACATCACTTCTGTGCTCCAGTGCTTTCCATAGCTTCCAGCTGACAAAGATGTCCAAATGGTTCAATCCAACAAGCAACAGTGAGGTCATGGCAGCACCAGGGGAGAAGCCCATTCTGCCAGCTCTCCATCTTTCTGCCCACAGTGTGTGCATTTTACGAATGTCCTCCAGCCTCGGCAGGTCAGGAGGCAAAGTAGGTCAGGTTTACATTTAATTCAGAAATGAGGTGGACTTCAGGAATGGTTTGATCCAGCATTTTCAAGTGGTCTTCAAGAATCAAGGTTCAGCAGTACGCGGTGCCTCATGCCTGTAATCCCAGCACTTTGGGAGGCCAAGGCAGGTAGATCACCTGAGGTCAAAAGTTCAAGACCAGCCTAGCCAACATGGCAAAACCCCATCTCTACTAAAAATACAAAAATTAGCTGGGTGTGAGGGTGCTTGCTTGTCATCCCAGCTACTCAGGAGGCTGAGGCAGGAGAATCACTTGAACCCGGGAGACGGAGGTTGCAATGAGCCGAGATCACACCACTACACTCCAGCCTGGGTGACAGAGCAAGACTTTGTCTCAAAAAAAAAAAATAAAAAAATTAATTAAATAAATAATAAAAATTAGCTGGGCATGGTGGCAGGTGTCTGTAATCCCAGTCACTTGGGAGGCTGAGGCAGGAGAATCACTTTAACCCAGGAGGCAGAGGTTGCAGTGAGCAGAGATCGCACCATTGCACTCAAGGTTCAGCAGGGCTTGGTGGCTCATACCTGTAATCCCAGCACTGTGGGAGGCCATGACAGGAGGATTCCTTGAGCCCAGGAGTTCAAGATCAGCCTGGGCAATAGAGTGAGACCTCGTCTCTATAAAAACAACTTTGTTTAATATTAGCTGAGCGTGGTGGCACACGCCTGTAGCCCCAGCTACTTGGGAGGCTGAGGTGGGAGGATTGCTTGAGGCCGGGAAGTGGAGGTTGCAGTGAGACAAGACTGCACCACTGCACACCAGCCTGGGCAACAGAGTGAGACCCAGTCTCAAAAATAAATAAGTAAGTAAAAATAAGAATCAAGGTTCATTCTATCCTGAGAGATCTACTCCCAGCCTCTTCCCCAACATTCTGCAAGTTTTCCACCTCCAGGTTTTCACTCAAACAAGAGCCCTCACCTGACTGGCTGTTCCATGCCCACAGGTAGCACAGCAGTGCAGTTCCTGAAAAGGGGGTCAGGAAGCTGGCTACTACCCAAGCCAGGAATTCTCTGCCCTTTTCCAGGGGTAAGTTTCCCCACCTAGAAAATGAGAGGATTGGAATCCAGGATTCTTAGAATGTCTTTCAGCTCTAAGTCTCGGTGAATCAGAAGCCCCCACAGTGGGTAGTTTTCGGGGATTAGTCCTCTGGTAGCCATTTTAGTCAACAGGCAATATCAGTGCGCATTTGCTATCAGCTGTGCTAGGGCCTCTGGACTGTGATAACCTCTAATCTTCACCTCCTGTGTGAAGTAGGTACTGCTCCATTTTACAGAATAAGAAACTGAGGCTCAGGCAGATCCAGCCTCCTGCTAAACATCACACAGCTGTTTGGTGGTAGAGCCAAAACGTAGCCCCCCATGCTACAGCACCTCTAGTCCTCCTGGCCAGGATTTCTGGGTCCAAATCTTCAATTCTGGCAATGAGAGGGAAGGTGGAAGGAGGCTTTTTTCTCCCATGAATGCATCTCCAGGTTTGTCATGAAGGCAGTGGACTCAGTTTACTTCCTGGAACTCCCCCTTCCCCTGCAGGGTCTCCCACATTGCTGACAAATGCACCTCCTTCTTTCACAGATGTGGAAACTAGGGCTCATAAAGGAAAAGTGAGTCTCCTAAAGTCTTACTGCCAGGCAATGCAATGGTGTCTTCATCAGTCTGGATGGACTGCTACAGTAACAAAGAACCTCTTGGAGCCAGCCTCCAAGATGGCCCCAATGAGCCTTTGCCTCCTGGTATTCATGACCTTGTGGGGTCTCCTCCTCCACTGAATCGGGGCTGACTCGTGAGGCATATAAAAGTGACAGTGAGTGACTTCTAAGGCTGAGCCTTATATAAAAGGCACTTCAACTTCCTCCTTGGATCAACCCCTCTAGGAATGAGCCAGCAGCCATGTTGGAAGAACACTCAAGCAGTGCTATGGAAAATTCTGCATACAAAAGTGAAGGACAGGCTGGGTGTAGTGGCTCACACCTGTAATCCTAGCACTTTAGGAGGCCAAGGCAGATGGATCACTTGAGGCCAGAAGTTCAAGACCAGCCTGGCCAACATGGTGAAACCCTGTCTCTACTAAAAATACAAAAATTAGCCAGCTGTGGTGGCAAGCACCTGTAATCCCAGGTACTCCAGAGGCTGAGGCAGGAGAATTGCTTGAACCTGGGAGGTGGAGGTTGCAGTGAGCCAAGATGGTGACACTGCACTCCAGCCTCGGTAACATATTGAGAAAGAGGAAAGAAAGAAAGAGAGAGAGAGAGAAAGAAAGAAAGTAAGAAAGGAAGAGAGAAAGAGGGAGAGAGAGAGAGAAAGAGGGAGAGAGCGAGAGAAAGGGAGAAAGAAAGAGAAAGAAAGAGAGAAAGAGGGAGAGGGAGAGAAAGGGAGAGAGAAAGGGAAGGAGAAAGAAAGAGAAAGAAAGAAAGAGAGAAAGGGAGAAAGAGAGAAAGGAACTCCTACCCACAGCCATGTGGATGAGCTTGGAAGCAGCTCTTCCAGCCCCAGTCAAGCCTTCAGATGATACAGCCCCAGTCAACATCTTGACTGCAACCTTGTAAGAACTTCGGAGTCAGAATTGCCCAGCTAAGCTGCTCCCAAATTCCTGTCCCATAAAACCATGAGAGGTAATAAATTATTATTTTAAGCCACTAATTTTTCAGGTAATTTATACAACCACAGTAACTGGAACAAGCTCCTAAATCTTAGTGGCTCTAAAACAACCAAGGTTTATTTGTCATCCACACTATATGCCCAATACAGGTTGGCAGGGGGCCTCTGTGTCTGCCTCACTCAGGCATTGAGACAGATGGAGGAAACATCAGTGGTCTCTAAGAGAGGGGAAAGAATATGAAGAATGGGATACTGGATTTTAAAGGCTTTTACTGAAGGGGATTAACATGACTTCTACTCACATTTTATTGGCCAAAGCAAGTCATGAAGCCACACCTCACTTCAAACGGCAGCTATTGGTGGGGTGCAGTGATTTACACCTTTAATCCCAGCACTTTGGGAGGCTGGGACAGGAGGATCACTGGAAGCCAGGGGTTTGAAACCATCCTGGGCAACATAGGGAGACTCCATCTTTACAAAAATAATTTTTAAAAATAGCTGGGCATGATGCATACCTGTAGTTCTAGATACTTGGGAAGCTGAGGTGGGAGGATCACCTGAACCCAGGAGGTTGAGGCTGCAGTGAGCCATAATCACACCACTACACCCCAGCCTGGGCAACAGAGTGAGACCCTGTCTCAAATTAATACAAAAAAAAAAAAAAAAAAAAAGACAGGTGTATGATTTTGCTGGGGCTACCAAAACAAAATACCACGAAGTGAGTGGCTCAAACAACAGAAATGTATTTCCTCATAGTTTTGGGGTTTTTGTTGTTTGTTTGAGATGAAGTCGTGCTCTGTTGCCCAGGCTGGAGTGCAGTGGCACAATCTCGGCTCACTGCAACCTCCACCTCCCGGGTTCAAGCGATTCTCCTGACTCAGCCTCCTGAGTAGCTGGGAATACAGGTGCCCACCACCACGCCCAGCTAATTTTTTGTTTTTGTATTTTTAGTAGAGATGGAGTTTCACCATACTGGCCAGGCTGGTCTTGAACTCCTGACCTCGTGATTCACCCACTCGGCTTCCCAAAGTGCTGGGATTACAGGCGTGAGCCACCATGCTTGGCCTATTTCCTCATAGTTCTATAGGCCAGAAATTCAAGACCTACATGTAAGCAGGGCCATGCTCCCTCCAAAGGCTCTAGGGAAGGATCCATTCCGTGTTTTTCTGCTGGCTTCTGCTAGTTCCTTGGCTTGAGGTGGCATAACTTTAATCTTCACATGGCGTCCTCCATGTGAATCTTAGAATTTCTGCCTTCAACTTCTCTTCCCTTCTGCCTATTACATAGCATTTCCCCAGCTCCAAGCTTCCCCATATCCCTCCAAAGTCCAGAAAATCAAATAAGTTATTCTTTATCTCAGGAACTTCCAAATTTCACCTTTTCCCTCCTCTTGTCTGTTATTTGCCATGTCTAATAGAGCAAGGTTGCAATGTCACCTTTCACCAGAAGAGGCTGCTCACACACACACACCGTCTATCTTCCAGCTAAACACCATCCCTGCCTTGGTTTGTAGTAGATGAAGCTTGAAATTGCTTATGATCACTAGGAAGTCAGGGACACCTCAGCATAGAAACTCCCACAGTCATGGGCTTAACAAGGCTGGGCCCATAACAGTTGTTGGTTGTAAACCTGGGAGGCAGGTGGTATTGACCCCATTTTATAAATGGGAAGTCTGAGAAGCCCAGCGTTGCAGACCCACAGTCTTTTGGCTTCCATATGTGACCTGGCCCTATATTCTTTACTCATCTTTTATCACCTACCTGATATCTAATCCCTCAAATCCTGTCCTGTCTGCCTTCAAAACCTATCCAGAATCTGGCCACTCCTCTCTCTTCCTCTGCCTTCACCCTGGTCTGACATCTCATCGTCACTTGCCTGGAACCACACAGTCCCCTCTTCCCTGGTGCCCAGCTCCCGACTTCACCCCCCACAGTCTATCCTCCTCTCAGCAGCCACCAGGGGCACCTGTGAGCACCTGAGTCAGATCCTGTCCCTCCTCTGCCCATAGCCCTCCAAGAAGCATTCCCAGAGGAGATAATACATGGTCTAAGAATTCAATTCCACCAAATTAGCTGGAAAAGAAAGGCAGAGATTTGCTCCTGCACACCAGCCTCTCCCCACCTTCAGGACTTTACCCACACAGCCTCCTCCTTTGTCCAGAGAACCCTTCCCTTCCTCCTCACCTGGCCTACTTTGCCCAGTAAATTGGGGCAGAGCTGGGTGGGTATTCTGCATGCCCTTTCCAGGCAAAGTTGTTCCAGTTCCTCATGTCCTGCAGGGTGAGACATTGAGCTCCTTTCTCTTTGCTTGCTCATCCCAGAATCTCAGTTTTCTCATCTGATAAATGAAAATCAAAGAGACAATCTCTTGGGTCTGGCTCAAAGAGTATTCTGAATGCAAGTTAGTATAACCATCATTATTATTTATGACCAGAAGCTCCATAGTAACATTTGTCAAGACTCTTTTAAGCCACCGGCCTCAGTTCCAATCCCACTTCCTCAGAGAAGCTCCCTTGATATGGACTAAATGTTTGTGTCCCCCCCATCCAAATTCATAAATTAAAACCCTAACACCCCTCCCCAACTATGGGATGGTAATTGAAGGAAGGCTCATGATGGGATTAGTGCCCTTACAAGAAGAGACACCAGAGAGTTTGCTCTGTTTCTGCCATATGAGAACACAGCAAGAAGGTGGCCATCTGCAAGTCAGGAAGAGAGCCCTCACCAGGAGCTAAATTGGCTGGCGCTTTGCTCTGGGACTTCCCTGCCTCCAGAACTGTGAGAAAATGATCTTTTGTTTAAGCCACGCAGCCTGTGGTACAGACAGTCCCTGATTTACAGTAGTTCAACATAATTTTTTTATTTTTTGAGGGTGACAAAAGCAATATACATTTAGTATGCTACTCTAAGTCAAGTAGCAGTGAGGTGGAGGCTGGGCATGGTGGCTCACGCCTATAATCCCAGCACTTTGGGAGGCCAAGGCGGGCAGATCATGAGGTCAGGAGTTCGAGACCAGCCTGGCCAACATGGTGAAACCCCGTCTCTACTAAAAATACAAAAATTAGCCAGGCATGGTGGCACGCACCTGTAATCTCAGCTGCTCCGGAGGCTGAGGCAGGAGAATTGCTTGAACCCAGGAGGTGGAGGTTGTAGTGAGTTGAGATCGTGCCATTGTACTCCCGCCTGGGTGACAAGAGCAAGACTCTGTCTCAAAAAAAAAAAAAGACAATGAAGTGGCTTCCAGGTAAACCCATTATAAGCTGAAAATATTGTAAATCTAAAACGTATTTTGACTTATGATATTTTCAACTTTTGATGGGTTTATTGGGTAATGACCCCATTGTAAGTTAAGGAGCATCTTTGTTTAGTGATGGCAGCTGGAGCAGACTTCACTATCCTCACAGCCCCACCCCAACCAATCCCCGTTTTATCCCCTTCATTAACTTCTTTTTTTTTTTTTTTTTTTTTTTGAGACACAGAGTCTCTGTCACTCAGGCTGGAGTGCAGTGACGCAATCTTGGCTCACTGCAACCTCCACCTTCCTGGTTCAGGTGATTCTCGTGCCTCAGCCTCCCAAGCATCTGGGACTACAGATGCATGCCACCACGCCCAGCTAAGTTTTGTATTTTTAATAGAGACGGGGTTTCACCATGTTGGCCACGCTGGTCTCAAACTCCTGACCTCAAGTGATCCACCCACCTCGGCCTCCCAAAGTGCTGGGATTACAGGTGTGAGCCACTGCACCCGGCCTCCTTCACTGACTTCTGAATCCACCTTTGGTTTACCTACCTGCTCAACTCTCTACCTTGACTAGAAGTTAAACCACATGAGGGCAGGTGTTTTGTCCATCTTATTGGTGGCTGGATCCCCAATACCTAGAATGGTGCTTGATATACAGTAAGTGCTCAATATCTACTGGATGAATAGGCCCAGGACTCGCACCAGAGTCTCTGCACTGTCACAGAGGGCCTTGTCCCCCTGGACTTTGGAATAAACAGGACACAGGGTTCAGAAGCGAAGATGGGGGAAGAGATCAGGGTTCTCCAAACTGCCTTTCATGAATTGCCCTAAGGCAGAGTTTCCTATCTTTGCCACTGTGGGCATTTGAGGCTGAATCATTCTCTGGGCTGCGACCATCCTGGGCACTGCAGGGTGCTGAGCAGCACCCCTGGCCTTCACCCACTCCATGCCAGGAGCACCCCCCAAGTCATGACAACCAAAAATGTCCGCAGACATTGCCAGATGCCCCCAGAGCATGCAAAATCATCCCTGGTCAAGGCCACTGCCCTAAAGAAATGACTTCTTGGCTGGACACAGTGGCTCACACTTGTAATACCAGCACTTTGGGAGGCTGACGTAGGAGGATCACTTGAGGTTAGGAGTTGGAGACCACCCTGGCCTCCAACTCTATATGGCAACATAGCAAGAAGCCATCTCTATAAAAGAAAGAAAGAAAGAAATGGCTCGGGCCAGGCATGGTGGCTCATGCCTGTAATCCCAGCACTTTGGGAGGCCGAGGCAAGTGGATCACCTGAGGTCAGGAGTTCGAGACCAGCCTGGCCAATATGGTGAAACCCCATCTCTACTAAAAACACAAAAATTAGCCAGGCGTGGTGGCGGGCGCCTGTAATCCCAGCTGCTCAGGAGGCTGAGGCACGAGAATTGCTTGAACCTGGGAAGCAGAGATTGCAGTGAGCGAGTCGAGATCACGCCACTGTACTCCAGCCTAGGTGACAGAGCAAGACTCCATCTCAAAAAAATAAATAAATAAAAGAAATGGCTTGTTGCCCACCTTTCTGCCTCCCCGCCTGCCAAATACATCCACAGCACTTGTGGGAAGATCCGTCTGAGACCATGGATTCCAGGCTGGGCTGATGCCGGCACGCAGGAGGCCTCGCGCAAGACGGCTGGTCCCAGCCAGACCCAGAAAAATTAGATTAACTCGGAGAAGCTCGCCAAGACGATCCGTCAGGCCGCCTGAAGGACAGCGTATTGATTTCCACGTTGCGAAAAAATTAAATGATATCCCTTTTTGTTATTTAAAACGCTGCTTAAGCAATTCCCTAATGGAACGGCCCGGCCCGGGTCCAGGAACTCCCTGGCCCGGCCGGCAGCGTCTCCGGATCGGGTGGAGGACGAGGGAATGCGGACACGGCCCTGTCTTCCCCTCCGGGTAATTGATGACCTCAGGAGAACAGCTCCATTTTGCCTGCATGCAACGTGCACAGTTCTGATTTATTAAAGACATAACAATTATGAAAATAGCTGATTTATAATCAACTCGCCCGGACCCTAATTGATTTCCAGGGTGAAATTTAGAAGGGGAGGTATTGACACCTTGAGGACAGGGCGAGCCACCGGCCTTGGGGATGGACTGTGATGGGTGGCTGGGGTGGAGGGGGGAGGACGGGACAGGGAGACAGCGGCCTGAATCTAGTTGGGTTCTTTGTTGCTTCATGAGATGGGCTTTCTGCCCAGCGTTGCTGGAGAGGGTCAAGCCGTAATGGTTGCCACCATTTCCCAGTGACAGAGGCGGTCCCTGGCTCCAGCAGAGGCAACTGTGCCACATTGCAGACAAATCAGGCTGGGCCCAGTGGCTCATGCCTGGAATCCCAGCACTTTGGAAGGCCAAGGCAGGAGGATTGCTTGAGGCCAGGGTTCGAGACCAGCCTGGGCAACACAGCAAGACTCCGGTCTCTATTAAAATAAATAAAGTAATAATTTTTTTTTTTGAGATGGAGTGTCGCTCTGTCGCCCAGGCTGAAGTGCAGTGGCGCCATCTCGGCTCACTGCAACCTCCGCCTCCCAGGTTCACGCCATTCCCCCACCTCAGCCTCCCGAGTAGCTGGGACTACAGGGGCCTGCCACCAAGCCTGGCTAATTTTTTTGTATTTTTAGTAGAGACGGGGTTCCACCGTGTTAGCCAGGATGGTCCCAATCTCCTGACCTTGTGATCCACCCGCCTCAGCCTCCCAAGGTGCTGGGATTACAGGCGTGAGCCACCGTGCCCGGCCAAGTAATAATTTAAAAAAAAAAAAACAAATCTTCCAGCACTCTGTTGGGAAATCTCAACATTGTCCTCATAGCAGCCAGGACAACCTGATACTGTTGATACAAATGAGTCTGCCCCACAATGTCCAGAACCTTCTATCTCTCCAGAGCCTCATGCTCCGGTTGCCAGATGTGGCCAATAAAAATACAGGTTGCCAGCCAGGCACGGTGGCTCATGCCTGTAATCCCAGCACTTTGGGAGGCTGAGGCAGGTGGATCACTTGAGGTCAGAGGTCAGGAGTTCAAGACCAGCCGGGCCAACATGGTGAAACCCTGCCTTTACTAAAAATACAAAAATTAGCCGGGCATGGTGGTGTGTGCTTGTAATCCCAGCTGCTCAGGAGGCTGAGGCAGGAGAATTGCTTAAACCCAGGAGGTGGAGGTTGCATTGAGCCAAGATCGCACCATTGCACACCAGCCTGGGCGACAGAGTGAGACTCCGTCTGAAAGAAAAAAAAAAAAATACAGAATGCCGGGTTCAATCTGAGTTTCAGCCAAACAACAAGTGAGTTTTTAGTATAAGTATAGCCCATGCAATATTTGGGGTATACTCAGACTTTTTTTTTTTTTTTCTTAAAAAAGTATTTTCTGTTTATTTGAAATTCAAGTTGAACTGGGTGTCCTGTATCTTACCTCACAATCCTTCTGTGACGGGCAGGACTCCAGCTCCCAACAGCCCGTAAGGGACGAGACTGACTCCCATTCACCTGATGGGAAAATTGAGGCAAGAGGGGTCGGGCACGGTGGCTCACGCCTGTAATCCCAGCTCTTAGGGAGGCTGAGGCAGGTGGATCACAAGGTCAGGAGATCAAGACCATCCTGGCTAACACAGTGAAAACACGTCTTTACTAAAAATACAAAAAAAAAAAAAAATTAGCCAGGCTTGGTGGCGGGCACCTGTAGTCCCAGCTACTCGGGAGGCTGAGGCAGGAAAATGGCGTGAACCTGGGAGGTAGAACTTGCAGTGAGCCAAGGTTGCGCCACTGCACTCCAGCCTGGGCAACAGAGCGAGACTCCATCTCAAAAAAAAAAAAAAAAGGAAAAAGAAAAAAAAAAAGAAACAGAAACAGGGCTTTGTGTCTCTGGACCTCGGTCTCCACACTGCACAATGGGTGTGATGGTGGCCCCTCCATCACGCGGTGCTCAGGCTGAGGAAATGATTTGTGGATACCCACCAGCCCATGAGCACTCGATTCTTGGGTCTCCCCAGTGCCAACAAAGAGAGAGACAGAGGCAAAGACAGAGAGACAAAGAGAGAGACAAGAGAGAGGGATCTGGGCTGGTTCCGGAAGGGCGAGCCCCCTTTGCGGATGGGGTGGCCCAGGAGGGTGGGAATTCAGTTTGCAAATCAGAAGGTTCCAGACTTTTCTGTAAGGCAGGGAGACAGCTAAAGAGGAGCCTGCAGGCCGGGCGCGGTGGCTCATGCCTGTAATCCCGACACATTGAGATTGGGATCTGACCAAGGTGGGTGGATCATTTGAAGTCAGGAGTTTGAGACTAACCCGACCAACATGGTGAAAACCCATCTCTACTAAAAATGCAAAAAATTAGCCAGGCGTGGTGGTGCATGCCTGTAATCCCAGCTATTCAGGAGGCTGAAGCAGGAGAATCTCTTGAGCCTGGGAGGTGGAGGTTGCAGTGAGCTGACATCATGCCACTGCACTCCAGCCTGGGCGACAGAGCGAGACTCCGTCTCAAAAATAAATAAATAAATAAATAAATAAATAAATAAATAAAGGGGAGCCTGTAGGATGCAGAGACCCAGAGCACCTACCCACAGCTGCCAACGCCCAGTCCCCAAGATGGCCCTGCTGAGCAGTTTTAAGTATTGTTAAAGATAAAATAATTTTTCCTTCTCTGAGCCATCTGATTGACGTGGTAATGGGCCCCGCAGACAGGGAGAAGGTCAGGTTGCAATGTAATCAGTTTTTTCTAGAGTGACGTATAATCATGATAGCAGTGCACCTGGAAAAGGGGGAGGGACCTGCGACAGTCCCCAGACCCTCTGAGCTCTCCGTTGCAGGACACGACAGGGCCACAAGGACGGTGGGACCCAGGGAGGCTTCCTGGAGGAGGCGTAGCTGCAGCTGGGATTGGAAGGACATGGCATCACAAATGCAAAGTTGTGGAGGTTGGAACTGTCTCTTTGTGCCTCTTCCTGATCCCACTAGATCTTACTCTCCAGGGGAGAATCCAATTCCCACCTTTCCCAGCGTCTAGAGACATCCGCATCCCTTGGCTCAGGGCCCCCTCCTCCACCTTCACAGCCAGCAGTGGCTGGTCTAGTCCTTCTTTGGTTTTTTTGTTTGTTTGTTTGTTTGAGACAGAGTCTCACCCTGTAAGGCAGGAAGACAGCTAAAGAGGAGCCTGCAGGCCGGGCGCGGTGGCTCATGCCTGTAATCCCGACACTTTGAGATTGGGATCCGGCCGAGGTGGGTGGATCATTTGAAGTCAGGAGTTTGAGACCAGCCCGACTAACATGGTGAAACCCCGTCTCTACTAAAAATGCAAAAAATTAGCCGGACGTGGTGGTACATGTCTGTAATCCCAGCTATTCAGGAGGCTGAAGCAGGAGAATCTCTTGAACCTGAGAGGTGGAGGTGGAGCCCAGGCTGGAGTGCAGTGGCGCCATCTCTGCTAACTGCAACCTCTGCCTCCCGGGTTCAAGTGATTCTCCTGCCTCAGCCTCCCGAGTAGCTGAGATTACAGGCGCCCGTCACCACACCTGGCTAATTTTTGTATTTTTAGTAGAGATGGGGTTTCACCATGTTGGCCAGGCTGGCCTTGAACTCCTGACCTCAAGTGATCCTCCCGCCTCGGCCTCCCAAAATGCTGGGATTACAGGCGTGAGCTACCGCGCCCGGCCAGGCCTGGTCCTTCCTGTGTTGCTATCTGATTCTCTCTCTTCTGCCTCTGTCTTCCACTTTAAAAGACCCTTGCGATGATTTGGGCCCACCAGGTACTCCAGAATAATATCTTTCTCTCTCATCACTAGCTGCCTGGCAACCTTCATTCCACCTGCAACCCTAATTCTCCTTTGCCATTGAATCACATTCATGGGGTCTAAGATTAGGATGTGGACATCTTTGGGGGATCATTATTCTGCCAACTACAACAGCTGACTTGAACCACCAGGCAGACAGCACCACGTCCTACAGCTTGTTCTGTGGCCCAGGCTGGAGTGTAGTGGTGCGATCTTGGCTCACTGCCGCCTCCACCTCCCGGGTTCAAGCGATTATCCTGTCTCAGCCTCCCAAGTAGCCGCGATTACAGGCGTGTGTTACCATGCCTGGCCAATTTTTGCATTTTTAGTAGAGACAGGGTTTCACCATGTTGGCCAGGCTGGTCTTGAACTCCTGACCTCAAGTGATCCACCCGCCTTGGCCTCCCAAAGTGCTGGGATTATAGGTGTGAGCCACCGCGCCCGGCCACTAATTAGGTTTTTTGTTTTTGTTTTTTGTTTTTTCTGTTTTTTTGTTTTTTGTTTTTTGTTTTTGAGACAGAGTCTCACTCTGTCGCCCAGGCTGGAGTGCAGTGGTGCGATGTCGGCTCACTGCAAGCTCCGCCTCCCGGGTTCATGCCATTCTCCTGCCTCACCCTCCTGAGTAACCGGAACTACAGGCATGAGCCACTGCGCCTGGCCCGGTTTTTTTGTATTTTTTGTAGACAGGGTTTCACCATGTTGCCCAGGCTGGTCTTGAACTCCTGAGCTCAAGCGATCCTCCCAACTTGGCCTCCCAAAGTGCTGAGATTATGCACTTTCATGCATTGGGCATTGATTACACCCTGAGCGTGGAGTCATACACTTGACCCTCTTTGCCTCCCCAGCTCCTCCTCACAGGCTCCACCAGGGAAGAAAATACCACTGTACCTAATGCACTGATCAAAACATTGAGACTCAGTGACTGAACAACTTGCCAATGATCCCTCTTGCTCCATAAATTCCGAAGTTGGAATTTAAATGTATGCACATGTGATCGCAAAGCCCGTGGATCTTTTTTTTGTATTTGTATTTGTATTTTTGTATTTGTAACTACTTGTGATTTGTATAATTACTATTATGGTTGTATGGCTACTATCCTTCACTGAGCACCTATTTGTTGATCAGTCTCCAGAATTCACGCCCTAGCTGACTCCTCTGGAAAAGCATTTTACAAAGGAGAGAGCTCAGAGAGGTTGAAGGGCGTGTCCAAGGTCACCCAGTGGGCGGCAGAGCTAGAATTTGAACCCAAGTTCCCCTGGCTGCCGTCCACTGCCTTCCCTGCCTCTGGGAAGAAACCAGGGCTTTGCGGATGATCTACAGAGGCCACTCATCGAGACCCTGCTCGGGTTATTTGGCGGTTTCAGGGGCTCAGCACGCTTTTTTTTTCTTTTCGGCAGAGGCTGGTGGCGGTCCGGGAAGATGAGCCAAGTGCTGAGTCTGCAATGCGAAGTGTCTCTGCAAAAGCCACCAGCCACGTGGCCACAGAGGCCCAGGGCTGTGCAGATGATCAATGTCGCCCCATCCGTCGCTCTGCCATCCTCTCACCTCCGCCTCGGCGTCCTTTATCCCTCCCACTCCGGGTCGCTCTCCAGCTTCCTGGTGCAAAAAGACTGAGCGACACTGCAGAGCGTCCTGAAAATGATGGTGCAGAAATCGTTTAAGGACTGCCGAGGTGAGGAAGGGCAGCCCAGGCCACCATGGAGACACGCAAGGCCGGGTGCCGTGGCTCACGCCTGAAATCCCAGCACTTTGAGAGGCCGAAGTGGGAGGATTGCTTGAGCTCAGGAGTTCGAGGCCAGCCCGGGCAGCATAGCCAGACCCATGTTCCTACAAAAAAACTAGCAGGGCACGGTGGCCTGCACCTGTAGTCCCAGCTACTTGGGAGGCTGAGGCAGGAGAATTGCTTGAGCTTGGGAGGCTAAGGCTGCAATGAGCTGTGATCGTCCTACTGCACTCCAGCCTAGGCAACAGAGCGAGACCCTGTCTCAAGAAAAGAAGGAAGGTTTGGGATGCCAAGGCAGGTGGATTGCCTGAGGTCAGGAGTTCAAGACCAGCCTGGCCAACATGGTGAAACCCCGTATCTACTAAAATCCAAAAATTAGCTGGGCGTGGTGGTGCATGCCTGTAGTTCCAGCTACTAGGGAGGCTGAGGCAGGAGAATGGCGTGAACCTGGGAGGTGGAGCTTGCAGTGAGTCGAGATTGGGCCACTGCACTCCAGCCTGGGCGACAGAGTGAGACTCCGTCTCAAAAAAAAAAAAAAAAAAAAGAAAGAAAATACAAAATTAGCGGGGTATGGTGGCACATGCCTGTAATCCCAGCTACTCGGGAGGCTGAGGGAGGAGAATGGCTTGAATGTGGGAGGTAGAGGTTGTAGTGAGCCGAGATTGCGGCATTGCACTCCAGCCTGGGCAACAAGAGTGAAACTCTGTCTCAAAAAAAAAAAAAAAAAAATAGAGAGAGAGCAGATGAGGACACAGACACACACAGAGGGAAGACAATGTGAGGACACAGGAAAAATGTGGCCATTGAAAAGCCAAGAAGAGAGACCTCAGAAGAGATCAGCCCTGTCAACACCTTGTCTCAGGTGTCTTCCAGCCTCCAGAGTTGTGAGACAACACATTTCTATTGTTTAAGCCAACCAGCCTTTGTACTTCTTTTTGGCAGCCCTAACAAACTCATATAGTGCCCACGAGACCACCTTTACCAGCTCTTCAATAGCCAGGACTCTAAAAGTCACAAAAACAAAGAACAAACAGAAACACTTGATTTCAATTGACTTCAGCAAAAAGGGAGCTATTGTAAATAATAGTATGCCTTCAGGCACGGTTTGATCCAGGTGCTGAAGCCATGTCAAGACCATCTGCTTTCTTCTGAATTAACTTCATTCACAGGAGGCTTTTCCACGTGGTGATCAGATGGGTCCTAGGAGGACAAGGCATTTATCAGCTCAGCAACCCCTGAGGAAAATGTGTCTTCTTACCCCACAGCAGGACTTCACCCACAAGTCCACCAAATATTTAGGAGTTCTCTCTGATTGGGACAACATGGGTCATGGCCCTGAGATAATCACTGAGGCCAGAGGTGTAGCATCCTCTGATTGGCCAGCCCTGGGTATCTTTGATTGGACCTCCCTAGAAAGAGACTTTAAGGCAAGGATTTGTGGGGCAAGGAGTTTATCTAGAAGAAAGCATTCCGGGCCAGGTGCAGTGGCTCACACCTGTAATCCCAGCACTTTGGGAGGCCGAGGCGGGTGGATCATCTGAGGTCGGGAGTTTGAGACCAGCCTGACGAACATGGAGAAACCCTGTCTTTACTAAAAATACAAAAATTAGCCGGATGTGGTGGTGCGTGCCTGTAATCCCAGCTACTTGGGAGGCTGAGGCAGGAGAATCACTTGAACCTGGGAGGCAGAAGTTGTGGTGAGCCGAGATCATGCCATTGCACTCCAGCAAAACTCCATCTCAAAAAAAAAAAAAAAAAAAAAAAAAAAAGCATTCCAGGAATCACTGGGAGGGGAGAGGAAAGTGAGACAAGGGAGGGAAAGAGCCAACACAAGGGGTGTTAATGAGCAGGTGAATGTGCGGGAAACTGGGGCTCGGTCCCACTGGGAACCTCTGGGAGGTACAGAACCTGCTTGGAGTTATCCCAACAGATGGGTCAGGGAGCTGAAGTATTGATCCACCCACTCCCCATCTGTAAAGGTGGAAAGCTGCATTAGCTCTCCTGCCCTCTGGCCTGGCTTGCACAGGACCAAATGGCCTCCAACAGCCAGCAGGACACCATCAGACAGGAGATGTCACAGGTGTTAGCAGTATACAGCCTTCGCATGCAAAGGTGACCTCAAGGCCAGGTGTGGTGGCTCACGCTTGTAATCCCAGCACTTTGGGAGGCCAAGGTGGGCTAATCACCTGAGGTCAGGAGTTCAAGATCAGCCTGGCCAACATGGCAAAACCCCATCTCTACTAAAAATACAAAAAAATTAGCTTGGTGTGGTGGTGGGCACTGTAATCCAGCTACTTGCCAGGAGAATCACTTGAACCCAGGAGGCAGAGGTTGCAGTGAGCTGAGATCATGCCACTGCATTCCAGCCTGGGTGACAGAGCAGGACTCAGCCTTAAAAAAAAAAAAAAAAAAAAAAAGTGACCTCACGATCATAGGGGTAGGGTTGCACTGGGTCACAGCCTCCCTCCCTGGTTCCCAGGTTGAAGCTGACCCTGCCTGGACTTCAGGAACCAAAAGCAAGACAGGGAAGTTCCTCCCAGAAAAATCTAAGGTGCTGTTCCTGAAAAAGGAAGGGTGCAATGGTCTTACTAGAGTCACTTCTCCTTAATTATTCCCATGGATACCATATGTGCCCACTGGGTGCCTCTTGACATTGCCCTCAAGTTGTCCATGACCCTGAGCACCTTCTCAGTCTATAGGGCCGATCACCCTTTCCAACATCACACAGAGAGAGGACCAGATGGTACGATGGATGACACCAAGGCTGCTGTTATTTCTGTGGCTGCCACAAGGTGTTGCTGTTGAACAATAGTCTTGCACAGTCTGTTGCCTCCTTTTCCCTTTGCACTGGCCCCAGTGGAACCCCAACTGAGGTCCGCAAGGTTAGAGTCCTTTGATTTACATTCTTGAATGACTTCAGGCCCCAATCACCAAGCTAGACACAATAACAGGGAAAGTGAAGGAGGTAGAACTTCCAGACACATGTTGCGTTCAAAACCAGGTTTTCCTCCGTTCTCCTCCTCTGTCCCCCTTGAGACTAAGTTCCCACGTGACAGCACTAGGCTTCCTTTTCTGCCTTCAGGTGTCCCTCGGGGCCACTCCTGCCCATCAGAGAGAACCTCAGAAGCAAAAGAAACTGGATTGCAATTCCTTTGCTCCGGTGAATCCCACTTCAACACCACTAGTCAGCTCTGCACACGAAGGAGTTTGAGGAACGGCAGCCTTTGTCCAAGTACTGGTATTCATTACCTATTACTGTGCAACAGATTATCACAAACATAGCAGCTTGAAATAACTCATTTATTATCTCACAGTTTCTGGAAGTCACGCATCCAGAAACAACTTAGCTGGTCCTCTGTTCCAGGGTTTTCCCAAACAGCTACAATCAAGATGTTACCTGGGGCCACCGACATCTCAAGGTCACCAGAGAAAGATCTGCTTCCAAGTTCAAGTGGCCTTGCTCGCGGCTGCTCTTTGTTCTTCTTCCTCTTCTCTCTTCTTCTTCCTCTTCCTCTTCTCTTCTTCTCCTTCTTCTTCTTCTTCTCCTTCTTCTTCGACAGCCTCTTAGTTTGTTACCCAGGCTGGAGTACAGCAGCATGATCTCAGCTCACTGCAGCCTCAACCTCTCCAGCTCAAGCAATCCTCCTGCCTCAGCCTCCCAAGTAGATGGGGACTGGAGGCGCACACCACCATACCCAGCTAATTTTTTCTATATACATATTTTTAGGGACAGGGTCTTGCTATGTTGCCCAGGCTGCTCTTGAGTTCCTGGGCTCGAGCAGTGCTCCCACCTCAGCCTCCCACAGTGCTGGGGTTACAGGTGTGAACCTCTGTGTCCAGCCTGATGGTTGCTTCTTCTCACTCTCTTGCAGTCCCACTTCTATGGGAATAACCTCAGGCTGGTCTTTCAGAAATCAGAGGGCCCATGGAAGAGAGCCCAGTTATCCCAGCCAACCCCCTAACAAGAAAGGAAGCCCAACCAAGATCAGCAGAGCTGCCTATCCAACCCCAAGTTCACTGCAAATTCACTGCAGAGACAGGAATGAGCCCACTTGAGACTGGAAGAGTCAGATGGTTTTATCTGTAGACTTACGAACACAAATAAATGCTTAGGCCAGGAGCTGTGGCTTACACCTGGAATCCCAGCACTTTGGGAGGCTGCAGCAAGAGGATCACTTGAGGCCAGGAGTTCAGGACCAGCCTGGCCAACATAGTGAGGTGCCAGCTCTACAAAAAAAAAAAAAAAAAATTAGGAAAAAATTACCTGGGTGTGGTGGCGCACCTGTAGTCCCAGCTACTTGGAAGCAGAGGTAGGAGGATTACTTGAACCTCAGAGGTTGAGGCTGAAGTGAGCCATGATTGCACCACTGCACTCCAGCCTGGGCGACAAAGTGAGACCCCAACTCCACACTCTCTCTCACACACACACACACACACACACACACACACACACACACACAAATAAGATAAAATAAAAACGCTTAGTGCTTGAAGTCATTGGCTGCAGGGCTACTTGTTACGTACGCAGCAGTAGCTGACTGATCCAACCAGCAATAGCGTCATCATCACCATCCCCCACAATGGGCACCCACTTGCCTTCAATATGAATAAAACTAAGAGGAATCATTCAACTGATTCTCTCTAAATAAAGAAGTTCTGCTTCAAGGAGCTTAGCTGTCTCCACTGTACAAAGGAAAGGTGGCCGGCAGCGTCTGCTGATTAAAAAATGTTAAGTTCCACTTCACCAGGCATCCCAATACCCTCATTTTCCATCCACCCTCCCTGGAAGGTTGAGAAGCCAGGGAGTGCTCTTCCAGGCTTGCAGACCGGGTCACAGATTGGCCAGGGGCATTCAGGACCCTTTGGCTGCCATGAACAGGACCCCTCCCTGCCATCCAAGTCCCAGCTGCTTGCAGCTACGGAGGCTCCCTAGCTCTTCTATCCAACGAACTCGAGACCTTCTTATGGTCAGGCATGGTGGCTCAGGCCTCTAATCCCAGCACTTTGGGAGACCAAGGTGGGAGGAATACTTGAGCCCAGGAATTCAAGAACAGCCTGGGCAATATAGCAAGACCCCATCTCTATACAAAATTTAAAAATAAAAAATGCCCTGGGCACAGTGGTGCATGCCCGTAGTCCCAGGTACTCAGGAGGCTGAGGCATGAGGATTGTCTGTGCTCAGAAGGTCGAGGCTGCAGTGAGCTATGATTGCAATACTGCATTCCAGCGTGGGTGACAGTGAGACCCTGTCTCGAAAAAGAAAGAAAGAAAGAAAGAGAGAGAGAGCGAGCCAGGTGTGGTGGCTCACGCCTGTAATCCCAGCACTCTGGGAGGCCAAGGCAGGCGGATCACAAGGTCAGGAGATCGAGACCATCCTGGCTAACACGGTGAAACCCCATCTCTACTAAAAATACAAAAAATTAGCCAGGTGTGCTGGCGGGCACCTGTAGTCCCAACTACTTGGGAGGCTGAGGCAGGAGAATGGCGTGAACCCGGAAGGCGGAGCTTGCAGCGAGATTGCTCCACTGCATTCCAGCCTGGGTGACAGAGCAAGACTCTGTCTCAAAAAAAAAAAAAAAAAGGAAGAAAAAGAAAGAGAGAAGAAAAGAAAGAAAGAGAGAGAGAGAAAGAAAGAAAGGAGGAAGGAAGAAAGGAAGGAAGGAAGGAAAGGTTCTCAAGACGGGCAGTAAATTTTAGTAGAAAATGGCAGGACTGGCTTCAGAAAGGCTCACACTCTCAGTGTCAGTCGATCAGGAACAAGATGGCTTGTGTTTTGCCTTGACCATGGCCTAGTGCTTGGCAATGTCCAGAATTCTTTTTTTTTTTTTTTTTTTTTAAGATGGAATCTCACTCTGTCACTCAGGCTGAAGTGCAGTGGCACAATCTCAGCTCAATGCAACCTCCACCTCCCAGATTCAAGTGATTCTCCTGCCTCAGCCTCCCAAGTAGCTGGGATTACAGACATGCACCACCACGCCCAGCTAATATTTGTGTGGTATTTTTGTTTGTTTGTTATGTTGTTTGTTTGTTTGTTTTTGCTTTTTTTTCAGTAGAGACAGCGTTTCACCATATTGGCCAGGCTGGGTCCTGACCTCAGGTGATCCACCCACCTCGACCTCCCAAAGTGCTGGAATGACAGGCATGAGCCACCACACTCAGCCATGTCCAGGAATTCTTGATAAGCAGCTCTGGCTACAGGCACCAACTTGCACCTGCCAGGACCTTCCCTATAAGCCCTGGACCTCCCCAAGGTCCGGGCACTAACAGGGCTGCTGGGACCTGCTTCAGAACACTCATTCTCACTGGTCAATGCCACAAGTTGTATCTGTAGCTAATTTGCTTTTAAGAGATGGGGTCTTGCTATGTTGCCAAGGTCGGATGCGAACTCCTGACCTCAAGCAATCCTCCCACCTCAGCCTTCCAGGTGCTGAGATTACGAGCATGAACCATCATGCCTGGACTCTCTAAATTTTTTGTCTGAGAGAGTCTTACTCTGTCATCCAGGCTGGAGTGCGGTAGTGCAATCACAGCTCACTGCAGCCTCGACTTCCCAGGCTCAAGCAATCCTCTTACCTCGGTTTCCCAAGTAGCTGGAACCACAGGTGCACACCACCACAACCAGCTAACTAGAAAAATGTTTTTAGAGACAGGGCCTTGCTATGTTGCCCAGGCTTCTAAATATTTTTTATCATCACTCTGGAAAGCAAGAGTTCTTGGCCAAATAGCTTAGTAGTTAAGAATGTAAGCTCGGCTGGGCGCGGTGGCTCACGCCTGTGATCCCAGCACTTTGGGAGGCCGAGGTGGGCGGATCATGAGGTCAGGAGATCGAGACCATCCTGGCTAATACGGTGAAACCCCGTCTCTACTAAAATACAAAAAATTAGCCGGGCGTGGTGGCGGGTGCCTGTAGTCCCAGCTACTCGGGAGGCTGAGGCAGGAGAATGGCGTGAACCCAGGAGGCAGAGCTTGCAGTGAGCGGAGATCATGCCACTGCACTCCAGCCTGGGTGACAGAGCAAGACTCCATCTCAAAAAAAAAAAAAAAAAAGAATGTAAGCTCTAGGCCAGGTGCAGTGGCTCACACCTGTAATCCCAGTACTTTGGGAGGCCAAGACAAGAGAATCACTTGAGGCCAGGAGGCCAAGGCTGCAGTGAGCCATGTTTACACTACTGCACTCCAGCCTGGACGACAGAGCAAGACCTTGTCTCAAAAAAAAAAAAAAGTAAATAAAATATATATGTATGTTTCACTGTATTTGTAGAAATTATAGGAAGAGTCACAAGAAATTAATAGAATTCTCTCATAGTGGGAAGGTAGAAGCTGAGTGGAAAACAAGAGAGCCAGGCATAGTGATTCATGCATGAAGTCCTTGGGAGGCTGAGGCAAGAGGATCATCTTTGAAAACAAAAGACAGCTTAGACTGCTCCTGAGCCAGGTGGAGCTGCGGCATACCCCTGAGTGTCGCCAATCAAAGATAGCCTACATCAGCCCAACCCCAACCAGATCCCAGACACAGGAGCAATAACACATAACTGTAAGCCAGGGAGTTTTAGTTTGGCTTGTTACGCAGCAGTAGCTAACCATTACACTTCCAAAAGATAACACTGTCATGAACCCCATTTTATAGATGAGGAAATGGAGGCTCACGTTCATTCTCACTGGTCAGTGCCACATGCTGTATCTGTGGCTAATTTGTTGTGGCTTTTTGTTTTTGTTCCTTTTAACACAGAGTCTCATTCTGTTGCCCAGGCTAAAGTGCAGTGGCACAGTCTTGCTCACTTCAACCTCTGCCTCATGGGTTCAAGTGATTCTCGTGCCTCAGCCTCCCAAATAGCTTCAGGGGAAGCCTGAAGTTTCCCAGCTAATGAGTGATAAAGCCAGGATTCAATCTCAGATGCCCAAATTCTTAATCATTCTGTATCCTGCCCCTTAATCATTCTGTATGCTGTCTCCCTCCAGGCTAAGCCATTCCTTCTGAGTCTCTCCTGCCCAAGTCTTTACCTTTGAAAGGAATCACAGGCTCATAGAGACAGAAAGTAGGATGGGTGGAGGGTAGCAGAGGCTGGGGAGGGGGAGGGGAGTGAGTGTTTCATGGGGAAGAATTTGAGTCTGGGAAGATGAGAAGATTCTGGAGATGAAGGGTAGCAATGGTTGCACAACATTGTGAATGTACCTAATGCCACTGAATTGTATACTTTCAAATGGGTTAAGGCCATGCACGCCTATAATCCCAACGCTTTGAGAGGCCAAGGAGGGAGGATCACTTGAGCCCAGGAGCTTGAGATCACCCTGGGAAACATAGCAAGACTTTCTCTACAAAAAATACAAAAATCAGCCAGGCACGGTGGTGCACACCTGTAGTCCCAGCTACTCGGGAGGCTGAGGCAGGAGGATCACTTGAACCCGGGAGTTTGAGACTGCAGTGAGCCGTGCTCGCACCACTGCACTCCAGCCCAGGCGACAGAGTAAGAACTTGTCTCAGAAACCAAAAAGGGAGTTAAAATGGTAAATTTTATGTTATTTCTATTTTGCCTCAATTTTTTTTTTTTTTTGAGACAAAGTTTCACTCTTGTCACCCAGGCTGGGGTGTAATGGCATGATCTCGGCTCACGGCAACCTCTGCCTCCTGGGTTCAAGCAATTCTTCTGCTTCAGCCTCCAGAGTAGCTGGGATTACAGGCGCCCGCCACCACGCCTGGCTAGTTTTTGTAGTTTTGGTAGAGACGGGGTTTCACCATGTTGGCCAGGCTGGTCTGGAACTCCTGACCTCAGGTGATCCACCCGCCTCGGCCTCCCAAAGTGCTGGAATTACAGGCGTGAGCCGCCGCACCCGGCATTTGCCACAATTTTTAAAAGGGGAGAGGCAGAAGGAAGGTTTCAGCCTTCCTCACTTGGTGACCTCACTTTGTGCTTCTCACACTTCACCTCTTCACAATAGGCCTAGACGCAGTGCCAGGGACCGGTTTTGAGAAATTGAGACCCAGAGAGGGTGGAGAATTGTCCAAGACTACACAGCAAGTTGAAGGCACTGCCAGAACTTAGACTTCATCTACAAAGTCAAACTCGGCCTGAACGAATAAGACAACCCCAGGATCCCTCTCCAGGGAGTGAGCGATTTTGCTTAAGCTCCTGGTGGCAGGGGGAAGGAGAAAGGCAAGGAAGCAATTTTTCTGTTGCCTGAGCCCTGAGAATTTCCTCCCTGGGGAGAGGCACTCGCTGGTGAGGACGTGTCCGTGAAGCCTCCAATCACAAGATTAGGTGATTTCATTACTGTCTGAAAAGCTGCCGGGATGGGGACGGTTTGAGCTTACAAATAATCACCCCCGATGCAGGGTGCTGAAGATATCACAGATCCCAGAGGCTGCTCCGGTGGTGGGGCCCGAGTTGTCAGCACGTGGGGAGAGGGGCTCTGGAGTCAGAGAAAGAGAAGAACCTGTCCAAGGTCGCACGGCAAAAAGGGACAAGAGACTCCCCTACAGCCACCAGAGCACTTGTGGTTAAACCTGAGACAGGTGCCCTCCCTCCTCTGCCCACAACATTCCATGGCTCCCACCTTCCTCAGGGTAAAAGCCTAAGTTATCTCACAAAGCCCTTGGCCGGGCACGGTGGCTCACACCTGTAATCCCAGCACTTTGGGAAGCCAAGGCGGGCGGATCACAAGGTTAGGAGATCGAGTCCATCCTGGCTAACACGGTGAAACCCCATCTCTACTAAAAATACAAAAAAAACAGCCAGGCGTAGTGGCGGGTGCCTGTAGTCCTAGCTACTCGGGAGGCTGAGGCAGAAGAATGGCATGAACCCGGGAGGCGGAGCTTGCAGTGAGCCGAGATTGCACTACTGCACTCCAGCCTGAGCGACAGAGTGAGACTCTGCCTCAAAAAAAAAAAAAAAGCCCTGCATGACCTGCCCGCTACCCCCTCATCGCCTCAGTGCACTCTCCTCTTCCCTCTCTCCCCATCCCTCCCTCCACACTGTCCGTGTGGCTTCAGCCACATAGGTCTCCTCGCTGTTCCTCCAACGTGTCAGGCACAGTCCTACCCCAGGGCCTTTGCAGAGGCTGTTCCCTCTGCCTGGAACTCTCTTCCCCCACATCCGTCACTTAAACCAACGCATTTTCCTCCATCCTATTCCCAGGCTTCCATCTTCACCCCCACGACCTGTCCTCTCTTTGGCAGCCAGAGGGCGCCTGTGAGCCCCTGAGTCAGGTCCTGTCCCTCTTCTGTCCACAGCCCTCCATAGCTCCCACTTCCCTGGACGTAAAAGCCCAAGTCCTCCCAGCAGCCCACAAAGGCCTGCATGATTTGCCCCGTCCCCTCCCTGCCTCCCCTTCCTCCCTCTCTCCCACTCTTCACTCCGTCCCAGTCCCTGACACTCAAAAAAAGAAAACAACAACAAAAACAAACGAAAACAAAAATGGGGACTTTGCACACACCTAGGATCTGAAAGGAATTTTCAGTGCATAGCCCATGCCTGGACTCCTCCCTGAGTGAGGAGCTCACTGCCTCCCAACAGCTGTCCTTTTATCTATGAGCTGTGCCGGCCATGAGCCAGGTCAGCCTCTGCAAAATCTGGGCTGAGTGTGAAGTGCATGTGTGGAGGGAAGGGGTTAAAATGAGGTCAGGGGCCTGGCACGGTGGCTCACGCCTGTAATCCCAACACTTTGGGAGTCTGAGGCAGGTGGATCACCTGAGGTCAGGAGACCAGCCTGGCCAACATGGTGAAACCCCGTCTCTACCAAAAATACAAAAAATGAGCCGGGCATGGTGGCGGGTGCCTGTAATTCCAGCTACTTGGGAGCCTGAGGCAGGAGAATTGTTGAACCCGGGAGGCGGAGGTTGCAGTGAGTTGAGATCACGCCACTGCACTCCAGCCTGGGCAATAGAGCAAGATTCTGTCTCAAAAACAAAAGAGGTCAGGATCTTAGCAGGGAGGCTGCTGTTTTGCATAGGTTGGAAGTCCCCCTGAGGCCACGGGAGCTTGATTAATCCAGACCCTCCCTTCTCTGTCTTTGTCTCTCTCTTTCTGACAGTCTCTCCCTCTCTTTCTCCCTTGGTTTGTGTCTGTCTGCTTCTGTCTCTCCCCTCTTCTCTCTCACCTCTGTGTTTCTGTCTCTGGGTGTCCATGCTGTTAAAAGTCATACAGATATGAGACAGCGTTCAACCCCAACTGAAAATTGCCAGCCACCCCAGCAGTGGAATAATTGAATCGGCGGGCAGCAGGACTGAATCAAGTGAGGGTGGAAGGGGGCACATTCCCAGCTAAAAGTGGGGCCCTCGTTAGGGGGATGCAGTTTGCTGTTGGTAGCAGGAACATGAGTTTGCAGGGTGGCGAGGGGGGAGTGAACTCCCACTGGCAGGCCTGGCTCCCCAGGCTTCCCTGCTGAAGACAAGCTGAGTCCTGCAGAGAGAGGCTGAGGCCTGAGTCGCATCTATCCGCCCCCTCCCCCAACTTCAACACATGGAGTCTGCTTAATGCTCCGAGCCACTTGACAGGCCCCAGTTGAGGGTTTCACCAGGATCCACAGCCAGCCAAGCCCAGCTCATCAAAGTGGGGCTCCATTCTCCATCATCCGACCATTCACGTATCTGCCTTCTCCATCACGGATCCATCCTTCACCCATCCAGCCAACACCTACCCATCCATCCTTCCTTCCATTTCCCAAACCCCCATACACTCACCCATATACCCGCCCACCCATTCCCCATCGTCCGCCTTCCATCCCCCAACCTTCATATCCCATCCCCCTTTCACTCACCTACACACCCACCCATATACCCACCCCTACAATCCCCATTCACTCATCTACCCTTTCCTCCACCATCTACCTACAGGCCTATCCATCCTTACCTCCACTCAACCACCTACCCAAAAACCATCCATCCATCCACCCATCCATCCACTCACCATCCATTCATCCACTCATCCATCCATCAACCCAGCCATCCACCTGTCCATCAACACACCCAACCATTCACTCATCCATCCATCATCCATCCATTCACCCATCCACCCACCACCCACCCATCCATCCATGCAGCTATCCATCCATCCATCCATCCATCCATCCATCTATCCATCCATCCATCCATGCACCCATTCACCTATCCACCTACCCATCCATTTATCCATTCATGCATGCATCTACCCATCTATCCATCCATCCATTCATCCATTTATCCATCCATCCATTTATCCATCCATCCATTTATCCATCCATCCATCCATCCATCCATTTATCCATCCATCCATTTATCCATCCATCCATCCATCCTTCCATCCATCCATCCATCCATCCGCCCACCTACCCATCCACTCATCCATTCACCACCCACCCACCTAACCATCTACTCATTTATCCACCCATCCATCCATTTATCCATCCATCCTTCCATCCATCCATCCATCCATCCATCCACCCACCTACCCATCCATTCATCCATTCACCACCCACCCACCTAACCATCTACTCATTTATCCACCCATCCACCCATCCATCCATCCATCACACACTCATTCATCCACCCATCCATCTATCCATTCATACACACGCACACACACACACACACACACACACACACACACACCCTCCCATCCCCCACCCATCCACCTTTCATCCCCTATCCCTCCATCTCCCATCCCCTATTCAACCATCCCTCCACTCACCTTTCATCCATCTGCCCATCCATCCTCCCCTCCCTCACCCCACATTTCCCACCCACCCATCCATCCACCCATACACACACACCCACACACCCATTGATTCATTATTCAGCAAACGTTAGGCTCTTGCTGAGTGCCCATATCTACACTGGGTACTGAAGATACGGGAATTAAAACAGCCGAGGCCCCTGCTCGATTGGAGATTAGCACCTAGTTGGGAAGATAAATGTTAAGCAAACCCCGGCACACACAACTTCATTGTAGAAATTGTGGTGGTTCCTTGGGGAGACACTCAGGCCGCTCTGAGATGGGCAATGCTGGGAGGGGTTCGGGTAGGTTGGGGGGCATGGGAGAGCTCTGAGGGGGAAGGGTGTGGCAGGCAGAGGGAGCAGCATATGCAAAGGAGAGGCAGATGGAACTGCCCCTGGGGAGGGAACCTGGACAAGGAGTGGGTTTGGGGAGAAGTTGCTGCTGCCAGATTGGGTGCTGCTGTGTGTGAGAAGCCTGAGGGGAAGATAGGCAGCAGCCAGCCACAGGGGGTGGCCAGAGGGCAATGGAGAGGAGAAGGGATGGCCAGAGAGATGGGAGGGAAACCAGGATGGGTGGGGTCCTAAAGCCTAGGGGAGGGGCTGGGAATGATCGACGATCACTTCCCCTTGCTCAGATGGAGAATTTGACGTCCAGGGATCTGCATGGACCTGTCTCCCAGTCAAGATTCTGACCAACATCTCCCTGGGAGAGGCAGAGGCTGCAGTGAGCTCAGATCACGCCACTGCGCTCCAGCCTGGGTGACAGAACGAGACCGTGTCTCAAAAAAAAAAAAACTCCCTGGGAGGACCATGGAAGGAGTGCCCTTCTGTAGGTGGTTTCTTTTTATTTTATTTTATTTTATTTTATTTTTTGGCAGTTCACTGCAACCTCCCTAGTAGCTGGACCCAAGCCCAGCTAATTCTTGTATTTTTTGTAGAGATGGGGTCTCCCTATGTTGCCCTGGCTGGTCTCAAACTCCTGGCCTCGAGCGATCCTCCCACCTCAGCCTCCCAAAATGCCAGGATGACAGGCGTGGGCCACTGTGCCCAGCCCACAGCTGGCTTCTGATCCCAGCCGGGTCGGCTCTGGCTGGGGCTCCCTGGTCAGGCCACACATATGACGTAATAGCCTCCCTGTTCTGGGCTGTGAAATGGGAACAGTTCACCCACTCCATGAGGCAATGGGGAAGCACCAAGGGCAAGATGACCACAGTAGGACACTATGGAGTCCTCTACACCATGCTAGCATGGCCTCTTGGCCCCTGCATCATTCATTCATTCCTTCCTTCCTTCCTTCCTTCCTTCCTTCCTTCCTTCCTTCCTTCCTTCGTTGAATCCGGGAGGCAGAGGTTGCAGTGAGCCGAGATGGCGCCATTGCACTCCAACCTGGGCTACAGAGCAAGACTCCGTATTGATGAAGTGCCCAGGCACCGTTCTGGGTGTTGGGAAGACAGCTACGAACAAAACAGACCCACTCCCTCTGTCCTCACTGATATTAAAGTAGAGTGAGGCTGGGTGCGGTGGCTCACATCTGTAATCCCAGAACTTTGGAAGGCTGAGGGGGGTGGATCACTTGAGGTCAGGAGTTTGAAACCAGCCTGGCCAACATGGTGAAACCCTGTCTCTACTAAAAACACAAAGAAAAAAAATTAGCCGGGCGTTGTGGCAGGCGCCTATAATCCCAGCTACTTGGGAGGCTGAGGCAGGAGAATTGCTTGAACCCGGGAGGCCGAGGTTGCAGTGAGCCAAGATTGTGCCACTGTACTACACCCTAGGCGACAGGGTGAGACTCCGTCTCAAAATAAATAAATAAAATAAAAATAAAAATAGCGACAGAGTGAGACTCCGTCTCAAAATAAATAAAATAAAATAAAAATAAAAATAAATAGAGTGAGACAGATAATAACACACAAATGCATAATCTAATTTCAGGGAGTGGGAGGAATCCTAAAGCAAGAAGCGAAGCACAGGGCGCCACACCCTTGTAATCCCAGCTACTCAGGAGGCTGAGGCAAAAGGATCATTTAAAGCCCAGGAGTTCGAGACCAGCCTGGGCAACAAAGGGAGACCTCATCTCAAAGAATTCTAAAGCAAGGGAAAGCAGAAAAGAAGGACAAAAATAGAGTAATCAGGGAAGGCTTCTCTGAGGAGGTGACATATGCCCTGGAAGGAAGGCAGTCTGGCTAAGAGGTCTGAGGTAGGACCAAGTTTAGCATTTTAAGAATTGCTTAAGAATCAGGCACGGTGGTCACGCCTGTAATCCCAGCACTTTGGGAACCCAAGACGGGTGGATCACTTGAGCTCAGGAGTTTGAGGCCAGCCTGGGCAACATGGTGAAACCCTGTCTCTACTAAAAATACAAAAATTAGCTGGCCGGGCATGGTGGCACATGCCTGTAATCCCAGCTACTTGGGGGGCTGAAGTGGGAGGATCGCTTGAACCTGAGAGGCAGGAGGCTGCAGTGAGCCAAGATCGAAACACTGCACTCCAGCCTCAGTGACAGACTGAGACCCTGTTGAGGAAGAAAAAAGAAGAGAAGGAGAAGGAAAAGAAAGAAGAAAGAAAAATAAGAAGAAGAAAGGAGAAAGAAGGAAGAAGAAGAAAAAGAATCAGCTAGTTTTGAGGCAAGATGATCGCTTGAGCCCAGGAGTTTGAGATCAGCCTGAGCAACATGGCAAGACTCCATCTCTATTATTTTTTAAGTAAATAGGATTTTTTTTAAAAAAGATTCAGCTACTTTCTTTTGAGATGGAGTCTCACTCTGTCGCCCAGGCTGGAGTGCAGTGGTGTGAGCTCAGCTCACCGAAACCTCCGCCTCCCAGATTCAATCGATTCTCCTGCCTCAGCCTCCCAAGTAGCTGGGATTACAGGCACACACCACTACGCCCGGCTAATGTTTTTGTATTTTTAGTAGAGACAGGGTTTCACCATGTTGGCCAGGCTGGTCTTGAACTCCTGAACTGGAGTGATCCGCCCACCTCGGCCTCCCAAAGTGCTGGGATTACAGATGTGAGCCACCACATCCAGCCTAGAATCAGCTACTCTTTGTGGCTGGAACTGTGGGAGGGAGGAAGGGAGAGAGGGGTCCACACTGCCTGGAGCCTACCCTGGCACTTCCCGTCCCCCTTCCTGGCTTACTTCTCCGTTATGATTCAGGCTCTGTGACATGCTATACATTTTTCTTTTTTTTTTTTTTTGAGACGGAGTCTCACTCTGTCACCCAGGCTAGAGTGCAGTGGCGTGATCTCCGCTTACTGCAACCTCTGCCTCCCGGGTTCAAGCGATTCTCCTGTCTCAGCCTCCCCCGAGTAGCTGGGACTACAGGCATGCGCCACCATGCCCGGCTAATTTTTTGTATTTTTAGTAGAGACGGGGTTTCACCATGTTGGCCAGGACGGTCTCGATCTCCTGACCTTGTGATCCACCTGCCTCGGCCTCCCAAAGTGTTTGGATTACAGGCGTGAGCCACCGCGTCCAGCCTACATTTTTCTTATTTACGTTGCCTGCTTTCTCTCCCCTAGACTGCTGGCTCCGTAATGATGGGACTTCTTTCCTTCAGGCCTGCTTGTTCCTTGCTTTGCCTTCAGAAACTAAAACAGTGTCTGAAAATGTCTAAATGAATGAATGGACAAATGAACAGGCATCCTTCTCATCAGAAGGATGGGGTGGGAGGGTAATCAGCCTCTGGCCACTTCAAGAGGCCCCTTTAGGAGGTCAGAGCTAAGAGGTACAGGGTCAGGGCCCCCCTTGATTACTGAGATTCTAATTAACTCTGGGGCCGAGAGGGCCGCTCCGCTCTGAGGAATTATAGATAAGTTTGCACCCCAGTGTTTGAGCAGTGGCTCTGTGGGGGGCGGGCGGCAGCTCTCCCTCCCCTGCCCTCCCACCCACAGCCAGCTGGCCAGGGAGGCGGGCACAGAGAGAGGTCATTTGCATAGGCAGGTAATTGGTTTTGCAAATAAATCTGGTTCTTGAAATTTGTAGATTAGTAATAATACGTCTCCAGATGAGAGAGAAAGGTCACGGATGAATAAAACAACAATTAAACTTTCAGGAGATTATTAAACTAAACAGAAACCTGGCATGGGGTGGCCGAGGGAATAAGGAGCTGGGCTGGGAAGGTGGGGGTGATGGGAGTGGGGGCATCTGCTGCCTCCGCTCCCGCTCCCAGATCCTGCTTGCCAGGGTCTGGGCAGAGTAGAACGCCCCGTGATCCTCCCAGAATAGCTTTTAGGATTCCCATTTCTCAGTCTAGAAAACTGAGGTTGAAGAAGGAAGAGGAAGAGGCCCTAGGTCACCCAGTGAGGCCACACCCCAGGCAGGAGCTGAACCCAAGCCCATTAGCTTTGCGCTGTCCTGGGTGGCAGAGAACCTCATATTGGCAAAGGGATGGGCGCAATGGCTCACACCTGTAATCAAAACACTGTGGGAGACCAAGGCGGGAGCCGTGCTTGAAGCCAGCAGTTCGAGACCGGCCTTGGCAACATGGTGAGACCCTGTCTTTACAAAATAATAATATAGGCAAGGGAATGAGATGTAAGAAAGGGCTGGCATTGACAGATGCCAATTGACAGAGGGTTTGAAGTCTGGGTGTGGTGGCTCACGCCTGTAATCCCAGCACTTTGGGAGGCCGAGGCGGGCGGATCACCTGAGTTCAGGAGTTTGAGATGAGCCTGGCCAACATGGTGAAACCCCGTCTCTACTAAAAATTCAAAAAAATTAGCCGGGTGTGATGGCACACGCCTGTAATCCCAGCTACTGGGGAGGCTGAGACATGACAATCTCTTGAACCTGGGAGGCAGAGGTTGCAGTGAGCCAACATCACACCACTGCACTCCAGCCTGGGTGACAGAGTGAGACTCTATCACAAAACAAAACAAAACAAAACAAAAAAGCAGGCAAAGGGTTCGATTCCCCTCTCTGCACTTCTTGGCTGTGTGACCAGGACAATTCCATTCTCCCGCTGTGCCTCAGTCCTTCCATGCCTATGAAATTGAGGCGAAGCATTTTATGTGTGATGTTAAATTTGCAAATGTTATTATACTTGCGTGGCAATTCAATGTGACACAGCAGCTAATGGACCGGGCACCGTGCCTGGCATGGTGTAGGTGGCTGCTTTGGGCATGCTGGGTCCTTGGCTGCAAGCAACAGAAATGTGCTCCAGGAAACAAAAGCAGAACCAAAATGTATAGGTAACTCGGGGTGGAAGGCAAGGGTGAAGAAAGACGTCAGCCAATAGGGAGAAACTGAGGAAAGGCGCCAGGTAACAGCCATCTTTCGGCCGCCCTCTGGCATGTAACCTTGGGTGAGTCACCTTTCCCCTTGAGACCTCAGTCTCCATAGCTCTAAAAGAGGGAATAGTTGTGTCTACTTTGCTTATTCAGTTTCATCATTCAAAATATTGACTGAGCCCCAAGGCCGGGCGCGGTGGCTCACTCCTGTAATCCCAGCACTTTGGGAGGCCAAGGAGGGCAATCACAAGGTCAGGAATTCGAGACCAGCCTGGCCAACATAGTGAAACCCCGTCTCTACTAAAAATACAAAAAATTAGCTGGGCCTGGTGGTGGGCGCCTGTAATCCCAGCTATTCAGGAGGCTGAGGCAGGAGAATGGCTTGAACCTGGGAGGCGGAGGTTGCAGTAAGCCGAGATCACAGTGTTGCACTCCAGCCTGGGCGACAGAATGAGACTCCGTCTCAAAAAAAAAATTGACTGAGCCCCTAATGAGTTCCAAGCATTGTTCCAGGCACTGAAGATGCAGCAGAGAACAAAACAGGCAGAAATTTCTGTCTTGGAAGCGCTGGCAGCCTAGTTGGGCAGACAGACAACGAGCAAATAAATCAAGAACATCTATAGGGTTTTAGGGTCGAGCACGGTGGCTCACGCCTGTAATCCCAGCACTTTGGGAGGCCGAGGTGGGCGGATCACTTGAGGTCAGGAGTTTGAGACCAGCCTGGCCAACATGGTGAAACCCCGTCTCTACTCAAAATATAAAATTAGCTGGGCATGGTGGTGGGCACCTATAATCCCAGCTACTTGGGAGGCTGAGGCAGGAGAATCGCTTGAACCCAGGAGGTGGAGGTTGCAGTGAGCCAAGACTGTGCCACCGCACTCCAGCCTGGGCAACAGAGCGAGACTCCATCTCAAAAATATATATATATATATACACACGTGTGTGTGTATATATATACACGTGTGTATATATATATATATATACACACGTGTATATATATATACACACATATATGTGTATATATATATACGTGTATATATATATACACGTGTATATATACATGTGTGTATGTGCGTATATATATACAGGTGTGTATATATATGTGTATATATGTATATATATGTATATATGTGTATATATGTATATATGTATACATATATGTATACACACACACACACACACACACACACACACACACATATATATATATATATACACTGAGCCCCTAATGAGTGCCAAGCATTGTTCTAGGCACTGAAGACGCACCAAAGAAGGCAGAAATTTCTTTTTTTTTTTTTTTTTGAGATGGAGTCTTGCTCTGTCACCCAGGCTAGAGTGCAGTTGTGCGATTTCAGTTCACTGCCAGCTCCGCCTCCCAGGTTCACGCCATTCTCCTGCCTCAGCCTCCTGAGTAGCTGGGACTACAGGCGCCTGCCATCATGTCTGGCTAATTTTTTGTATTTTTAGTAGAGACGGGGTTTCACCGTGTTAGCCAGAATGGTCTCGATCTCCTGACCTCGTGATCCGCCTGCCTTGGCCTCCCAAAGTGCTGGGATTACAGGCGTGAGCCACCACACCCGGCCAGCAGGCAGAAATTTCTGTCCTGGAAGTGCTGGCAGCCTAGTTGGGCAGACAGACAATGAGCAAATAAATCCAGAAAATCTGTAGGGTTTTAGAGCATGCTAAGTGCTGTGAAGAAAATCAGAGCATGGAAAGTATCAGGAAGGGACAAGAATTGGAAAGGGAGGGCAGGTTGCAATTTTTTTTTAAGAGATGGCGTCTCTCTCTGTTGCCCAGGATGGAGTTCAGTGGTGCAATCACAGCTCACTGCAGTCTTGATTTCCTGGGCTCAAGCCATCCTCCCACCTCAGACTCTTGAGTAGCTGGGACTACAGGCGCACGCCACCACACCTGGCTAATTTTTTTTTTGAGACGGAGTCTCACTCTGTCGCCCAAGCTGGAGTGCAGTGGCATGATCTCAACTCAGCGCAACCTCTGCCTCCCAGATTCAAGCAATTCTCCTGCCTCAGCCTCCTGAGCAGCTGGGATTTACAGGCACAATTTTTGTATTTTTAGTAGAGTCAGTGTTTTGTCATGTCGGCCAGGCTGGTCTTGAACTCCTGACCTCAAATGATCCACCTGCCTTGGCCTCCCAAAGTGCTGGGATTACAGACATGAGCCACCATGCCCGGCCTAATTTTTATTTTTTATTTTGTAGAGATAGAGTCTCACTATGTTGCCCAGGCTGGCCGCAAACTCCTGAACTCCAGTGATCCTCCCAGTTGCAATTTTAAACAGGGTCATCAGGGAGGCCCTACTGAGAAGAAGATTTAGACCAGAGACCTGAAGGAGAGGAAGAAGGGAACCAAAGAGAGATCTAGGGTAAAAGCATTCCTGGCAGGAAGAACAGCCTGTGCAAAGGCCCTGAGGCAGGACTATGCCTGGTGTGTTGGAGGAACAGTGAGGAGGCCCATGTGGCTGGGGCAGAGCCAAGCAAGAGGCAGAGGGGAAGGAGATGAGGTCAGGGAAATGATGGAGGGTAGATTGCGCAGGGCCTTGGAAATGACAAAGAAGACTTTGGCTTATGCCCTGAGATGGAAGCCTCACGTTCTCACTTTAGCATCTCCCTGAGGTAGTCACTAAAATGGTGAAGAGTGTCCACTCCTTTTTCCCAACCCATTCAATGGCAGAGATTGTGGGTTGGCCTCTAACATCCATTCCCCACTTTCTCCTTTACAAATGAAACCTGCCCAGCTAAAGACTGTGTTGCCCGGCCTCTCTTGCAGGTCAGTGTGACTGTCTGACATATTGTGAACAACGGGACAGAAGCAGGTGTAACCTCAGAAGAAAATAACAGGCCTTCTTCTTCCTCTTCCCCCACTGCCCCCCACCTGTGTCTGGAAGGTGGCCACCATCACAGGGGCCGGAGTAGCCACTGTGGTCCACAAGATAGAAGTTGGGGGCTGAGGAGGCAGAGCAACAAGACCGAAGGAGCCCTGGGTCCCTGGTGATTGTGGAGCCTCTGCTGCAGCCTGGGTTGATGCCCAGGTTATGAGGACAGGAGTGATGAGTGTCACCCTTGTTTAAGCCATGGTCTTATGGGTTTCTGGCAACATAGATCATGAATAATCAAAAGTTGTTGTTTTTTTTTTCGAGACGGAGTCTCACTCTGTCACCCAGGCTGGAGTGCAGTGGTGTGATCTCCACTCACTGCAAGCTCTGCCTCCTGGGTTCACACCAGTCTCCTGCCTCAGCCTCATGAGTAGCTTGGACTACAGGTGCCCACCACCACACCCGGCTAATTTTTGGTATTCTTTAGTAGAGATGGGGTTTCACCATGTTAGCCAGGATGGTCTTGATCTCCTGACCTCATGATCCACCCGCCTTGGCCTCCCAAAGTGCTGGGATTACAGGTGCGAGCCACTGCGCCCAGCTGAATAATCAAAAGTTTTGAGCACTCTCACTGCCCCTATTGCAGATTTCAGAGTTTTTGTTGTTGTTGTTGTTTTGGAGACAGGGTCTTGCTCTGTTGCCAGGCTGGAGTGCGGTGGTTCCATCACAAGCTCACTGCAGCCTCGACCTCACAGGCTCAAGTGATCCTCCCACTCAGCCTTCTGAGTAGCTGGGATTACAGGTTTGAGCCACCTTTGATTTTTTTTTGTGGAGATGGGGTGTCGTTCTGTTACCCAGGCTGGAGTGCAGTGGTGCCATCATAGCTCACTGCAGCCTTGACCTCCCAGGCTTAAGTGATTCCCCAACCTCCACCTCCTGAGTAGCTGGGACTACAGGCATGCACCACCACACCTGGCTAATTTTTAAATTTTTTGAAGCAGTTAGCGGGGGGTCTCACTGTGTTGCCCAGGCTGATCCTGAACTCCTGGACTCAAGCGATCCTCCCGCCTCACCCTCCCAAAGTGATGCGAATACAGGCATGAACCACCATGCCCAGCCTTCCAGACTTTTGCTCTTCCGTGCTAACACTCCCCTGATGCAAAACGCCCATCCTCTCTCCTCTCCTCCTCCCAATCTTCCTTTGGCTCTTGGCCTCGTTCCTCCAACCTTGCTGCAACCAAGCTGTACCATGCTACAAGCTCCACCTTGTGGCCAGCCTGGTAACTGACCTTGGCTCTCCTCTTCCTGATGCTGTCCACTTAGTTTTTTTCCAAGACTTAGTTTTATTCCAAGATATGTTCAGGGACATCCATCCTCCCCTACATTCCTTCATCTTCATATCTCCCTCCCTCTCTCTTCCAAATTTGCAGTTCCTCTAGAACCAAGCTGGGTCCTTTCAACCCCTATGTTGTGCATTTGTGGTGATTCTGTAAGGCAGAAAGGGGACCAGAGAGGGTGAATGGGCTGGCTGGGTCACACAGCCAAGCCATCCTCTCCAGAGGAAGCTGAAGAGTGAGCCTGGTCAAGAGAGGATACAGGCTGGGCATGGTGGTTCACATCTGTAATCCCAGCACTGTGAGAGGCCAAGGCAGGCGATTACTTGAGCCCAGGAGTTCGAGACCAGCCTAGGCAACATCATCTCTACAAAAGATAAAAAAATTAGCCAGGTATGGTGGCGGGTGCCTGTAATCCCAGCTACCTAGGAGGCTGAGGTGGGAGGATCGCTTGAGGCCAGGAAGTGGAGGCTGTGGTCAGCTAATATTGTGCCAGGTATATATATATACCTGGGCATGGTGGTGCACATCTGTAATCCCAGCAACTCTGGAGGCTGAGGCACAAGAATCGCTTGAACCTGGGAGGCAGAGGTTGCAGTGAACTGAGGTCACTCCACTGCCCTCTGGCCTGGGTGACAGAGCAAGACACTGTTTCAAAAAAAAAAAAAAAAAAAAAAAAAAAAAAAGAAGATTGATGACAGAGACCATGAACCTTCTGGTCTGAGGACACAGGACAGCGGGGACCCTCAGACACAGGGCCCCCCATTAGTCTTCCAGGAAATCCTTCTATCAAAGCTCAATGATCTCATTCCTTCCTTTGTTCCACAAACACTTATTGAGCAACTGCTGTGTACCAAGTCCTATTTGGGGTGCTGGAAGCAAAACACACTTGCCCTCTTCCTCCCAGGCTAGTGTGGGAAGCATGGGTGAGGTCAGACTGTGATGAAGGCACCCAGAGGAGGCCCCTGACCTGGGCCTTGGGCTTCCCAGAGGAGGTGACGTGGAGGCTGAGATGTGAAAGATGAAGAGGAGAAAGTAGCATGGTCCATGCTGAGGGAACGGCAGGAGCAGAGGCTCCGAGGTGGGGTGGGGTGGGTTTGAGCCCCTAAGAGGCAGCCAGTTGTAATAGAGGCCAACGGCCTGCAGAGCTGGGGGCGAGAGCAGGGCCTTGATCTCAAGGGCAATAGGGAGCCAAGGAAGGATTTAGAGCAAGGGAGGAGTGAGATTGGATTTGCCTTTGAGGAAGATTCCAAAGAGGAAGGACCGGAGGGCACAAGGCTTGAATTCAGGGCCCAGGACGGGGCTGTGCCTCCTTCACCACGTCCTCTGCTGCGCCCGGGCGCAAGGAGGAAGGAGAGCCGGGAGGGCGTACCTGGCAGCCAAAAGCCCAGCCGCTAATGAGCCCGGTGCGGCGCGAGCTATTTTTAGCAGCTGCTCCTCGGGACGCCTAATCGCTCCGGCCGGCTCCCGCCAGGCTGCCATGGAAACGCTCGCGCCACCGCCAGGAGCTCCCTCCCGGTCCCGGCCGGCGCTGCCCGCCCCTCAGCCCGGGGCCAGGATGATGCGTGCTGCCCCCCGCCAGGAAGGAGCCCTGCCTGCCTTCCCAGCACTGTCACTGCACGGCTGTGCGATCCCGGGACATCTCTGCCCCTCTCTGGGCCTTAGAGGGCAAGAGAGGTAAAGGCGCGCACTGGAGGCTGAGAAGCACGTTTGAATCTCCGCTGGGCCAACGACTTGGGGTGCAAGGTCAGGAGTGTCCCAGAATCTGAGCCCTCTTTTTGTCATCTGAAAAGCAAGCCCCCGCCTCATTTAACTGCGGAGAGCACCCGGCCCCGAGGAATAAGTGATTTCAGAATTCCAAACACTCATTAAACACCTACTGCATGCCAGCCATTGCCCTAAGCTCTTTTTTTTTTTTTTTTTTTTTTTGAGACGGAGTGGAGTCTTACTCTGTCGCCCACGCTGGAGTGCAGTGGGACAATGTCAGCTCACTGCAACCTCCACTTCCTGGGTTCAAGCGATTCTCCTGCCTCAACCTCCCAAGTACCTGGGATTATAGGCATGAGCCACCATGCCTGGCCTTTTTTCTTTTTTTTCTTTTTTTTTTTTTTAAGAGACAGGGTCTCGCTCTGGAGTGCAGTGGTGCAATTGTGACTCACTGCAGCGTCAGCCTCACAGGCTCAGGTGATCCTCCCACCTCACTCTCTGGAGTAGCTGGGCCCACAGGCATGCACCACCACACCCAACTAATTTTTGTATTTTTTGTAGAGACGAGGTTTCACCTTGTTACCTAGGCTGATCTCAAACTCCTGGGCTCAAGTGATCCACCCGCCTCAGCCTCCCAAAGTGCTGGGATTATAGAGGTGAGCTACCACCCCCGGCCTAAATTTTTATTTTTATTTTTATTTTTGTAGAGGCAGAGTCTTGCTTTGTTGCCCAGGCTGGGTCTTGAACTCCTGGCCTCAGGCAATCCTCCTGCCTCGGCCTCCCAGAGTGCTGGGATCACAGGTGTGGGCCACAGCACCCAGCCTGCCCTAAGCTTTCTATGCATTCACTTGATTAATTAAATCCAGAGGCATGTTACAGGTTATGCATTCACAGATGAAGCCATTGCTGCCAGGAGGTTAACTGGCTCTCCGGATATGGAGGCAAGGAAGGGACCCAGGCTTACTGGATGGGGACGCAGAGGGTGAGAGGCTTCCCTCCTCCAGGGTGCAGGTAGGGACACTGAGGCAGAGACGAGGGTAGCAAGTTGCCCAATGCTGAGAGCCCTGGAGTTGGGCTCTCTCTCGCCCACCGAGGAAAGCTATTATAGAGGGGTCGTGGGCGGGTGGCGCGGGGCAGCCCGCCAACAACTGACACCAGGGGCTATTTCAGGAAGTGTCACTCAGTCAGTTGGGACAGGCTGAGGCCCAAGGAGGGAGGACAGGAAGAACAAAGCCCTGACCTGGGCCAGGACAGGGAGGTGGAGGCAGGAAGGCAGAGTGCATGAGACTGCAGCCATGTGACCTACGGCATGTCTGCTTTGCCGCTCCGGGCCTCAATTTCCCCATCTATAGAGATGAGGTCTTGCTATGTTGCCCAGGCTGTTCTCAAATTCATGGGCTGAAGCAATCCTCCTGCCTCAGCCTCTCAAGTAGCTGGGACCACACGCACACATCACCATACCAAGTTAATTTTTAATTTTTTGTGGGCACAGGGTCTCACAGCATAGCAAGACTCTATCTCTACAAAAGAAATGAAATGGGAGAAGGGGATTTAAAAAATTAAGTTACATTTTAAAACTGACCAGGAGCAATGGCTCATGTCTGTAATCCCAGCACTTTGCGAGGCTGAGGCAAGAGAATCACTTGAGGCCAGGAGTTCGAGACCAGCCTGGGCAACATAACAAGCAAAAGTTATTTATTTATATTTTTTATTTTTTCATTTTTTATTTTTTGAGATGGAGTCTCACACTCTTGCCCAGGCTGGAGTACAGCAGTATGACCTCGGCTCACTGCAACCTCTGCCTCCCAGTTTCAAGCGATTCTCCTGCCTCAGCCTCCCAAATAGCTGGGATTACAGGCACAAGCCACCGCATCCAGCTAATTTTTGTATTTTTGTAGAGACGGGGTTTCACCATGTTGGCCAGGCTGGTCTCAAACTCTTGACCTCAAGTGATTCGCCCACCTCAGCCTCCCAAAGTGCTGGGATTACAGGCACGAGCCACCACGCCCGGCCAAAATTTTTAATTTTTTAGATACAAAAAGTTTAAAAATTAACTGAGCATGGTCATCCCAGCTACTCAGGAGGCTGAGGTGGAAGGATCCCTTGAACCCAGGACTTCGAAGCTACAGTGAACTATGATTGTGCCACTGCACTCCAGCCTGGGCAACAGAGCGAGACCCTGTCTAAAAATAAATAAATAAATAAATAAAATACAGCAAGCCACGTGCTAAAAACAGTGCCAAGTGTCACGTGATGCTACTTTTCAGCTATTATGATTCACCGATCGCATCTGCCACGGGACATCAGGCCTCGGTGGGCTCACAGGGAAGGTGGCGGAAGAGCTGGCCTCATCCCAGGTCTGAGGGTCGACCCTGAACCACGAGAGAGAGGGAGAGAGAAAAAGGAGTCCCAAGGCTGGCACACAGCTGTCCTGAGCTGGCTTCCCCACTCCCGCTTCCCACCACCCTGCCTGGCCGGTGCCTGCATTTTCACCCTTAGGGCTGCCTCCATGGCACCTGCACCAGCCCCTGGGAGGAGATGCTGGAGCTGCCCAGAGCTGGGGGCCCGAGTGGAACACAAGCCCCCATCCTCCACTCTTCCCCAGTCACCCTGGCAGCGGGGAGGGGAGGGGAAGGGAGGGGAGGCCAAGGTTACAGAGCCCCTCCCCCTGCCTGGCTATAATTAGCCCCGAGATGAATTAAACATGAGGCTGGGCTTGTCTGCAGCAGCGGAGGCAGCAGCTTCGTCCCTGACACTATAATTGTTCCCGGGCAGCAGGCAGAGGACAGGGCTGATGTGTGAGGCTGGGGGAGGTGGGGACACACTCACTGGGCACGGCTGTGGGAACACAGCTGTGTGGGGCCTGTGGACGTCTTTGGCAGGTACACGCGTGTGCCCGCATGCACATGTGTGTGGTCCTCAGGACTCTCCAGGCACGAGGGGGAAGGGGTGGTCCTTGGGCCTGGAGAAGGCTCAAGGCTCAGGAACCCCGGGATGAAGGTAGCAGCCCCACAAGGGGCATGGAGGGGGCACTCTCCAGCCCCATCTCCAGCAGCCCTGCGGTGGGGGTGGGCGGCCACCATTAAAGCTGCCAACAGCCAGCACGGTGGTTCACGCCTGTAATCCCAGTACTTTGGGAGGCTGAGGAGGGAGGATCACTTGAGGCCAGGAGTTCAGGAACAGCCTGGGTAACATAGCAAGACCCCATTTCTACAAGAAGTTTAAACATTAACTGGGTGTGGTGGCACGCACCTGTAATCCCAGCTACTTAGGAGGCTAAGGCAGGAGGAACACTTGACCCTGAAAGGTGGAGGCTGCAGTGAGCCAAGATCATGCCACTGCCTGGGAGACAGAGTGAGACCCTGTCTAAAAAAAAAAAAAAACTGCCACCATCAGGATTCACACCTTCGTGGGAAGCCACCATTCCAACCTCCCGTCACGAAGTCCCAGACTCCCTCATCCACAGCGCTATCGGGCACTCGGGCACCGTAGCTGTGGTTCCAGCATTCCGGCCGCCACCAGCCACTGTCATGCTGATGGGAACCCATCAGTCCAGTCTGCAGTGAACATGCCTGTCTGGTTCTGTCTCTCCCAGGCTGGGAGCCCCCTCAGGGCTGGGTCTCTGGACCCCGCATGGCCCAGCTCAGGTGGGATTCCCATAATGGGGGAACACTTCTGGGGTCTTTGGAGTTTGGGGAGGTGGAGAGGCTGTGGATGAGGGAAGCATCCTTTAGGTCTAGAAACATCTGCAAATTGATGGACATCCTTGGGCCTCCTGGTCATCATCTTCCCACTCCAAAAACTATTATCCATCCATTTTATAAGGGAGGGAAACTGAGGCTGGGAGAGAGCCAGTGACCTGCCCAAGTGGCACAACGAGGAAGGCACAGAGCCTGGAGGTCTTAGTGGCTCCATTAAGACCATTAGCAGGGCCGGGTGCCGTGGCTCACGCCTGTAATCCCAGCACTTTGGGAGGCTGAGGTAGGTGGATCACAAGGTCAGGAGATTGAGACCATCCTGGCTAACACGGTGAAAACCCGTCTCTACTAAAAAATTTTTTTAAAAATTAGCCGGGCGTGGTGGCAGGTGCCTGTAGTCCCAGCTACTCAGGAGGCTGAGGCAGGAGAATGGCGTGAACCCAGGAGGCGGAGCTTGCAGTGAGCGGATATCGCACCACTGCACTCCAGCCTGGGGGACAGAGTGAGACTCCATCTTAAAAAAAAAAAAAAAAAAAAAAAAAAACACCATTATCAGGCTGGGTGCGGTGGATCACGCCTGTAATCCCAACACTTTGGGAGGCTGAGAAGGGAGGATCACTTGAGGCCAGGAGTTCAAGACCAGCCTGGGCAACATAGTGGGACCCTGTCTGTACAAAAAAATTAAAAAATTAGCTGAGCATGGGGGTGCATGGGTGTGGTCCCAGCTACTCGGGAGGCTGAGGCAGGAGGATCACTTGAGCCCACAAAGGTAGAGGCTGCAGTGAGCTATGATTGTACCACTGCACTCCAGCCCGGGCCAAAGACTGAGACCCTGCCTCAAAAAAAGAAAAAAGAAAAAAAAGACCACTATTAGTCACTCACACCTTCACGAATATGGCCAACTCCCTAGGAGAGAACCCTGGATTGGATTCCAGCTGGGTTCAAAACCCAGGCTGGAAGCATTATGAGGTCTTGGGCTTTTGGATGGGGTGAGAGAGAGAGGAGGGTGACCTCAGGCCTGCTCCTCTCCTCTCTGGGCCTCAGTCTTCCCATCCAGGAGATGGGACAATGGCGACTGGAGACAGTCTTGTTGGGGGCAGGGAAGACGGTGTCAGGATCTCATTCCGGGACGCCCGCCACCTGGCCCTGTACCAGTGAAATTCATTTCCCGGACCCTGGCCCAAGAAATGGTGAAATCTCTCCAGCAGCCTGCTGATAGCAACTTTAAGTCTTTCTGCAGAGAGGAAGGGAGGTGAGAGATGGGGAGAAGAGAGGGGAGTGAGAGGCAGGGGCCTCGGTCAGTCTCTCAGCTGTAAACACTCCCTCCCTCTACTAGGATCAGTGAGCTATGATTGTACCACAGCACTCCAGCCTGGGTGACACAATGAGACCCCCATCTCTAAAAAAAAAAATTAAAAATTAAAAAAAAATTTAAAAGGCCAGGCATGGTAGCTCATGCCTGTAATCCCAACACTTTAGGAGGCTGAGGTGGGAGGATCACCTGAGGTCAGGAGTTTGAGACTAGCCTGGCCAACATGGTGAAACCCCGTCTCTACTAAAAATACAAAATTAGCCAATTGTGGTGGTGCATGCCTGTAATCCCAGCTACTCGTGAGGCTGAGCCAGGAGAATTACCTGAATCTGGGAGGCAGAGGTTGCAGTGAGCCAAGATCATGCCACTGCACTCCAGCCTGGGCAGCAGAGCAAGACTCTGTCTCCAAAAAAAAAAAAAAGCCGGGTGCAGTGGCTCACGCCTGTAGTCCCAGCACTTTGGGAGGCCGAGGCAGGCTGATCACCTAAGGTCAGCAGTTTGAGACCAGCCTGGCCAACATGGTGAAACCTGGTCTCTACTAAAAATACAAAAATTACCTGGGCGTGGTGGTGCGTGCCTGTAATCCCAGCTACTTGGGAGGCTGAGGCAGGAGAATCGCTTGAGCCTGGGAGGCAGAGGTTGAAGTGAGCCAAGATCACACCACTACACTCCAGCCTGGGAGACAGAGCAAGAACCTGTCTCAAAAAAAAAAAAAAAAGAAAGAAGAAGAAGAAGAATGTTTTCCTCATTCACAGCCCCTCCACCTCCCCAGACTCGAAAGACCCCAGGAGTATCCCGCCATTATAGGATCCCACCCGAGCTGGGATATGCAGTGTTCAGAGACCCAGCCCTAGAGAGGCTCCCAGGCTGGGGGAGACAGAACCAGACAGAAACCTCACAGCCCAAACAACCAGGCCCTGTGCAGGGGGATCTGGTGGCTGAGTACACGGGGCCCCCTACAGACAAAGAGTGTTTACACGTGGTAAATAAAGACACTCCCGGTGAGGGGAACAGCCGAGGCAAACACATGGAGGCAAAAAGCAAAAAAAAAAAAAAATCCCAAACTTCCTTTGGGAAGCCAAGACAGACAGATCACTTGAGGTCAGGAATTCAAGACCAGCCTGGCCAATATGGTGAAACACCGTCTCTACTAAAAATACAAAAATTAGCCAGGCGTGGTGGCGGGCGCCTGTAATCCCAGCTACTTGGGAGGCTGAGGCAGGGGAATTGCTTGAACCCGGGAGGTGGAGGTTGCAGCGAGCCAAGATCATGCCACTGCACTCCAGCCTGGGTGGCACAGCAAGACTTCGTCTCAAAAATAAATAAATAAATAAATAAATAAATAAAAGTATATAGAAACCCACTCTGGGCCAGGTGCGGTGGCTCACGCCTGTAATCCCAGCACTTTGGGAGGCTGAGGCAGGTGGATCATGAGGTCAAGAGATCAAGACTATCCTGGCTAACACGGTGAAACCCCGTGTCTACTAAAAAATACAAAAAATTAGCCGGGCATTGGTGGCGGGCGCCTGTAGTCCCAGCTACTCGGGAGGCTGAAGCAGGAGAATGACCTGAACCCAGGAGGCGGAGCTTGCAGTGAGCCGAGATCGCGCCACTGCACTCCAGCTTGGGTGACAGAGCAAGATTCCGTCTCAAAAAAAAAAAAAAAAGAAAGAAAAGAAAGAAACCCACTCTGGTGTCTATGGTGCATTCAAAATGACAAATCCCACAGCCAGAAAGGCTCTTGCAAAGTAGGGGTGATTGAGAAGAGCTTACACCCCCCGCCCAGAGCTATTATAAGGATAAAATGAGATAAGGAGAGTGTGTAAACCCCCAGCACATACTCAGTGCTTGCAGAGCAGCTTTTGCAACCATGGCACCAATCAAGCCCGTGTAGATCATTTTTTTTTAACAGTTATATATTCATTTCAATGTATATATTCCCCCAAATTTATATACAGCATCTACTCTACTCAAAAAAGATGTATATCTGGGTTTTCATGGCAGGATATAAAGGGTGCATTTTAGAAATAGATATATTTTGTCGGAAAACAATGAGAGGAGGAGTCGGTTTAGAGAAAAATGATGGTGGGAATGAAGGAAGCCTGGAGTCAGGAACCGCTCAGAGTAATAGATTTCTCAGCCTGTTCCTGGGCCCAGTAATTAATCCTGAGGGGCTAATTAAATTCCAGCTTCCTCTCTAGCCACTCAGCAGCCTCCCTCCTGGCCTCCCTCTCCCCCAGGGAGGCCCGGCCTGGCCCGCCCCTGCCAGAGCCTCCCTCCTGCTGAACCGCCAGGCCCCCAGTTCCCTGGGCTTAATCATCAGGAATTAAGGTTTAATCAGAAGGTTGCCTGAGAGGAACAGCCTCCCAGGTGTACAGCCGCACCAGGAATAGGGTGAGCTCAGTGAGGCGGGCTCGAGCAAACGCAGGGTCAGAGCCTGTCATTCACTTCACACTTAGATATTTTGTTCATCGTCTATGTTTTCATAATCATCGTGACTTCTTTTTTTTTTGAGACAAGGTCTTACTCTGTCACCCAGGCTGCAGTGGAATGGCACTATCATGGCTCACTGCAGCCTCAACCTCCCTACCTCAAGTGATCCTCCTGCCTCAGCCTCCTGAGTAGCTGGGACCACAGGTGTGCACTACCACACCTGGCTAATTTTTGTATTTTTCGTAGAGACGGGAGTCTTGCTATGTTTCCTAGGCTGGGTCTTGAACTCCTGAAACCAAGCGATCCTTCCACCTTGGCCTCCCCAAATGCTGGGATTACAGGCATGAGCCATCCTGCCCAGTCTCCTCATGACTTTTTTTTTTTTTTTTTGAGACAGAGTCTTGCTCTGTTGCCCAGGCTGGAGTGGCGCGATCTCGACTCAGCATCTGCCTCCCAGGTTCAAGCAATTATTCTGGCCTCAGCCTCCTGAGTAGCTGGGATTACAGGCGCCCACCACCACGCCCGGCTAATTTTTGTATTTTTAGTACAGAGGAGGTTTAACCATGTTGACCAGGCTTGCCTGGAACTCCTGACCTCAAGTGATCAGTCTGCCTTAGCCTCCCAAAGTGCTGGCATTACAGGCGTGAGCCACCATGCCTGGCCCCTCATGACGTTTTTCAATGTTGCATCAAACTACTGTTTATCTTGGTGACTGAGTTGAACGGCACCTCCTTAAATTTTGCACTGAGGTGGGTGCCTTGCTCTCTTTACCCTAATTCTGGTCCCAACTCCTCCACGCATGCACAAAGCCAGCAACTCCTAAGCATCTTGAGACCTGAAGCTCATTTCAGCTTCACCGCTGTCTGAGGACAATCTGTTATTGGGCCCATTTTATGGATGAGAAACTGAGGCCCAGAAGGTCAAGTCACTGGCTTTGGGTTCCTTGGCTAAGGGGAGGCAGAGGCAGGATTTGAACCCAAGACGCCACTGAGATGGGGTTGCTGCCTGTCCTGAATCCAGAGACAATGCAACCCGCTTCAGAGCACCCTTTCTGAAGTGTTTTTGTTTTTGTTTTCTTGTTTGTTAGTTTGTTTTGAGACCAGGCTGGAGTGCAATGGTGCAATCTCGGCTCACTGCAAAGCAACCTCCACCTCCCGGGTTCAAGCAATTCTCATGCTTCAGCCTCCCAAGTAGCTGGGACTACAGGCACACACCACCATGCCCAGCTGATTTTTGTTTTTTGTGTTTTTTTGAGACGGAGTCTCATTCTTGTCACCCAGGCTGGAGTGCAGTGGTATGATCTTGGCTGACTGCAACCTCCACCTCCCGGGTTCGAGCTATTCTCCTGCCTCAGCCTCCCAAGTAGCTGGGACTACACGCATGCACCACCACACCTGGCTAATTTTTGTATTTTCAGCAGAGATGAAATTTCACCATGTTAGCCAGGCTGGTCTCGAACTCCTAGCCTTGAGTGATCCACCCACCTCGGCCTCCCAAAGTGCTGGGATTACAGGCGTGAGCCACCACACCCAGCCGATAAACTCCCTTTCATATATACATCTATCTTATTAGTTCTGTCCCTCTAGAGAACCTCTAGAGAACAAATACTTTAATATTAATCTATCAGGTATCCTTCCCCACTTTATACCACCCTTATCTAGTCTATGGGGGACACTACTAATCTATCAAGTAACCTTCCCCACTTCCTGCCACCCCCACCTGTATGTGGACTACAATAGAAAGAGAGACTTGAGGCTGAAGGAAGCCCAGCGTAGGTATGAGGACTTGTTCTGGGCTTTGACGCATCCATAGGAGTTTTCTAGGTATGAGTAGGGTCTGCTGAAAGGGCTTTACTGTGTATGCAAAAGCCTAGAGAAGTGAAGGAGAGTGTGACTCATTCATGGACTAATAAGTTTGTCTCCTTGAAGCTGGAGAGGCCTTGAAGGCCAGAAAAGGAGCCTGAACGTCATCCTGTTCATCCTGTTCACAGTGACACGGTCACCCAGGCTCAATTCCACTCCCCATCTTCCAGTTTCTCGGCTTCCTCCAACACCCGACCTAGCTCCCAGGTGTTAAGGTCAGAAGTGAATGCACCTGTGAATTAGTGAAGGAATGAGTGAGCAGAGGCAGCTGCTTCAAGGTTGTGTGGTGATACATCCTTCTGAACCCTGCCCCGGTGCTTCACGGTACAGGCTCCAGAGAGGACTCAGCCTGGGACCCTGCCCCCAAGGATCCCCAGGCTGGGACTGTGGGATGGAGCTGGACACAGACACCCAAGCTCTGCAGAGTCAGGGCTGGTGCTGAGCGACCTTGGAGGGGAGGACATTGGAGCTGCGTGCAAAGCTTTTTTTTTTTTTTTTTTTTTTTTGAGAGAGGGTCTGGCTCTGTAACCCAGGCTGGAGTGCAGTGGTGCAATCTCAGCTCACTGCAACCTCCACCTCCCGGACCCAAGTGATCCTCTCTCCCAACCCAGAAGGCGGAGGTTTCAGTGAGCCGAGATCGCACCATCGCACTCCAGCCTGGGCAACAAATATGGATGTGGGGGAATAGGCAAGCAGGTAGGTGGATGTGGCTGGCTGCGTGGAAAGAACAGGGGTGGTGGGGGCAGCCAAGGATCAATCAGGCACTGGTGAGAAGTTCTAGCTTCATCCCGAAGGCAATGGGAGCCATGGAGGGCTCTGGACAGAGGAGAGACATTGCCAGACCCAGGTGCTCACAGGAACCCTTCTGGGGGCTACAGCGGCAACAGATTGTGAAGGGAGGTGATTGCATTGGTCTGGGAAAGTGACGATCATGTACCTAAACCCGCGTTGTCCAACGTGGGAGCCACTGGCCACATGTAGCTATTGAGTACTTAAAATGTGACTATCGGATCGGGCACGGTGGCTCACGCCTGTCATTCCAGCACTTTGGGAGGCCGAGGCGGGTGGATCACTTGAGGTCAGGAGTTCGAGACCAGCCTGACCAACATGGTGAAACTCCGTCTCTACTAAAAATACAAAAATTAGCCAGGTGTGGTGGCACGTGCCTGTAATCCCAGCTACTTGGGAGGCTGAGGCAGGAGAATCGCTTGAACCTGGGAGATGGAGGTTTCAGTGAGCTGAGATCACACCATTGCACTTCAGCCTGGGTGACAAGAGTGAAACTCTGTCTCAGAACACACACACACACACACACACACACACCCCAGAAAAAATAGCTCATTCACAATTTTTTCTATAGATTGCATGCTTAAATGATAAAACACATTACTAAAACTAATTTCACCTGTTTCTTTTTACTATTTTTTATTTTTTGAGACGGAGTTTCGCTCATTGTTGCCCAAGCTGGAGTGCAATGGTGTGATCTCAGCTCACCGCAACCTCCACCTCCTGGGTGCAAGTGATTCTCCGGCCTTAGCCTCCCAATCAGCTGGGATTACAGGCGTGCACCACCACGCCCAGCTAATTTTGTATTTTTAGTAGAGACCAGGCTGGTCTCAAACTCCCGACCTCAGGAGGTCCGCCCGCCTCAGCCTCCCAAAGTGCTGGGATTAGAGGCGTGAGCCACTGCGCCCAGCCTTCTTTTTACTGTTTTTTTCTTGTGGCTACCAGGAAATCTTTAATTGCCCACGTTGATGGCATTTGCATTTCTAAAATGCTGCAGCCTTTGCACCGACCACCAGAGAGTGCTGTGCCCATGTGGCAGGATCAAGCAATCCGGAATCTGAAGGAAAAGAAAGTAGTTCAAGCTGACGATCAGTTAGATCAGTTCTTACAATGGAGACACGTTTACCATCTGGCATCTTTCAGCATCTAAGGGAGACAGATCTGCCTGGAGATAGGGAGTCTGCCGCTGATCCTCACACCATTTTATCCTGCTAGGTGGGGGACAGAATGAGGCCTGCAGTCAACTCACAGATTCTGCAGCTTTTTTTTTTTTTTTTTTTTTTTTTTTGAGACAGGATCTGGCTCTGTAACCCAGGCTGGAGTGCAATGGTGCAATGTCGGCTTACTGCAACCTCCACCTCCTGGACCCAAGTGATCCTCCCACCCCAGCCTCCCAAGTAGCTGGGACCACAGGTGTGCAACACCATACCAGGCTAATTTTTGTAGTTTTTATAGAGACAGGGTTTCACTATGTTGCCCGGGCTGGTCTTGAACTCCTGAGCTCCAGTGATGCCTGCCTTGGCCTCCCAAATTACTGGGATTAAAGGCGTGAGCTACAGCATTTATTAGATACCTACTGTCAGGCCTCTGAGCCCAGGCCAGGCCATCGCATCCCCTGTGACTGGCACGTATACATCCAGATGGCCTGAAGTAACTGAAGATCCACAAAAGAAGTAAAAACAGCCTTAACTGATGACATTCCACCATTGTGATTTGTTCCTGCCCCACCCTAACTGATCAATGTACTTTGTAGTCTCCCCCACCCTTAAGAAGGTTCTTTGTAATTCTCCCCACCCTTGAGAATGTACTTTGTGAGATCCACCCCTGCCCACCAGAGAGCAACCCCCTTTGACTGTAATTTTCCATTACCTTCCCAAATCCTATAAAACGGCCCCACCCGTATCTCCCTTCGCTGACTCTCTTTTCGGACTCAGCCGGCCTGCACCCAGGTGAAATAAACAGCCATGCTTCTCACACAAAGCCTGTTTGGTGGTCTCTTCACACAGACGCGCATGAAATTTGGTGCCGTGACTCGGATCGGGGGACCTCCCTTGGGAGGTCAATCCCCTGTCCTCCTGCTCTTTGCTCCGTGAGAAAGATCCACCTACCACCTCAGGTCCTCAGTCCAACCAGCCCAGGAAACATCCCACCAATTTCAAATCCGGTAAGCGGCCTCTTTTTACTCTCTTCTCCAACCTCCCTCACTATCCCTCAACCTCTTTCTCCTTTCAATCTTGGCGCCACATTTCAATCTCTCCCTTCTCTTAATTTCAATTCCTTTCATTTTCTGGTAGAGACAAAAGAGACATGTTTTATCCGTGAACCCAAAACTCCGGCGCCGGTCACGGACTGGGAAGGCAGCCTTCCCTTGGTGTTTAATCATTGCAGGGACGCCTCTCTGATTATACACTCACGTTTCAAGGGTGTCAGACCACGCAGGGACGCCCGCCTTGGTCCTTCACCCTTAGTGGCAAGTCCCGCTTTCCTGGGGCAGGGGCAAGTACCCCTCAACCCCTTCTCCTTCACCCTCAGTGGCAAGTCCCGCTTTCCTAGGGGGCAAGAAACCCCCAATCGCTTATTTCCGCACCCCAACCTCTTATATCTCTGCACCCCAATCCCTTATTTCCACACCCTGACCTCTTTGTGCCCCAATCCCTTACTTCCGTGCCCCAACCCCTTCTCTGCTTTTCTGGAGGGCGAGAACCCCCCACCCCTTCTCCGTGTCTCTACTCTTTTTTCTGGGCTTGCCTCCTTCACTATGGGTAAGCTTCCACCTTCCATTCCTCCTCCTTCTCCTTTAGCCTGTGTTCTCAAAAACTTAAAACCTCTTCAACTCACACCTGACCTAAAACCTAAATGCCTTATTTTCTTCTGCAATGCCGCTTGACTCCAATACAAGCTCGACAGTAGTTCCAAATAGCCGGAAAACGGCACTTTCAATTTTTCCATCCTACAAGATCTAAATAATTCTTGTCGTAAAATGGGCAAATGGTCTGAGGTGCCTGAAGTCCATCAGTCCCTTCCTACTCTCTGTGCCCAGTGCAACTCGTCCCAAATCTTCCTTCTTTCCCTCCCACCTGTCCCCTCAGTCCCAACCCCAAGCGTCGCTGAGTCTTTCTCATCTTCCTTTTCTACAGACCCATCTGACCTCTCCCCTCCTCGCCAGCCCAAGCTAAGTCCCAATTCTTCCTCAGCCTCTGCTCCTGCATCCTGTCATTTTTTTATCGCCTCCCCTCCTCACACCTGGTCCGGCTTACAGTTTCGTTCCGTGACTAGCCCTCCCCCTCCTGCCCAGCAATTTACTCTTAAAAAGGTGGCTGGAGCCAAAGGCATAGTCGAGGTTAATGCTCCTTTTTCTTTATCCCAAATCAGAAGCGTTTAGGCTCTTTTTCATCAAATATAAAAACCCAGCCCAGTTCATGACTTGTTTGGCAGTAACCCTGAGACACTTTACAGCCCTAGACCCTAAAAAGTCAAAAGGCCGTCTTATTCTCAAAATATATTTTATTACCCAATCTGCTCCCGACATTAAATAAAACTCCAAAAATTAAATTCCGGCCCTCAAACCCCACAACAGGACTTAATGAACCTCGCCTTCAAGGTGTACAATAATAGAAAAAAGTTGCAATTCCTTGCCTCCACTGTGAGACAAACCCCAGCCACATCTCCAGCACACAAGAACTTCCAAATGCCTGAACCGCAGCGGCCAGGCGTTCCTCCAGAACCTCCTCCCCCAGGAGCTTGCTACACGTGCCGGAAATCTGGCCACTGGGCCAAGGAATGCCCGCTGCCCGGGATTCCTCCTAAGCCGCGTCCCATCTGTGTGGGACCCCACTGAAAATCGGACTGTTCAACTCACCTGGCAGCCACTCCCAGAGCCCCTGGAACTCTGGCCCAAGGCTCTCTGACTGACTCCTTCCCAGATCTTCTCGGCTTAGCGGCTGAAGACTGACGCTGCCCGATCGCCTCGGAAGCCCCGTAGACCATCACGGACGCCGAGCTTCGGGTAACTCTCACAGTGGAAGGTAAGTCCGTCCCCTTCTTAATCAATACGGAGGCTACCCACTCCACATTATCTTCTTTTCAAGGGCCTGTTTCCCTTGCCTCCATAACTGTTGTGGGTATTGACGGCCAGGCTTCAAAACCCCTGAAAACTCCCCCACTCTGGTGCCAACTTAGACAACACTCTTTTATGCACTCTTTTTTAGTTATCCCCACCTGCCCAGTTCCCTTATTAGGCCGAGATACTTTAACCAAATTATCTGCTTCCCTGACTATTCCTGGACTACAGCCGCATCTCATTGCCGCCCTTCTCCCCAGCCCAAAGCTTCCTTCACGTCTTCCTCTCGTATCCCCCCACCTTAAGCCACAAGTATGGGACATCTCTACTCCTTCCCTGGCAACTGATCACATGCCCATTACCATCCCATTAAAACCTAATCACCCTTACCCCGCTCAACGCCAATATCCCATCCCACAGCATGCTTTAAAAGGATTAAAGCCTGTTATCACTCGCCTGCTATAGCATGGGCTTCTAAAACCTATAAACTCTCCTTACAATTCCCCCATTTTACCTGTCCGAAAACCGGATAAGTCTTACAGATTAGTTCAGGATCTGCGTCTTATCAACCAAATTGTTTTGCCATCCACCCTGTGGTGCCCAACCCGTACCCTCTTTTGTCCTCAATCCGTTCCTCCACAACTCACTATTCTGTTCTCCATCTTAAAGATGCTTTTTTCACTGTTCCCCTGCACCCCTCGTCCCAGCCTCTCTTTGCTTTCACTTAGACTGACCCTGACACCCATTAGGCTCAGCAAATTACCAAGGCTGTACTGCTGCAAAGCTTCACAGACAGCCCCCATTACTTCAATCAAGCACAAATTTCTTCCTCATCTGTTACCTATCTCGGCATAATTCTCAAAAACACACGTGCTTTCCCTGCCAATCGTGTCCGACTGACCTCTCAAACCCCAGCACCTACAAAACAACAACTCCTTTCCTTCCTAGGCATGGTTAGCGTGGTCGGAATTCTTACACAAGAGCCAGGACCACACCCTGTAGCCTTTCTGTCCAAACAACTTGACCTTACTGTTTTAACCTAGCCCTCATGTCTGCGTGCAGCGGCTGCTGCTGCTTTAATACTTTTAGAGGCCCTCAAAATCACAAACTTTATCAGTCCTCCAGGCCCAAGTTGACTCTTTAGCTGCAGTTGTCCTCCAAAACCACCGAGGCCTTGACTGACTTACTGCTGAAAAAGGAGGACTCTGCATATTCTTAAATGAGGAGTGTTGTTTTTACCTAAATCAATCTGGCCTGGTGTATGACAACATAAAAAAACTCAAGGATAGAGCCCAAAAACTTGCCAACCAAGAAAGTAATTACGCTGAACCCCCTTGGGCACTCTCTAATTGGATGTCCTGGGCCCTCCCAATTCTTAGTCCTTTAATACCCATTTTTCTCCTCCTTTTCTTCAGACCTTCTATCTTCCGTTTAGCTTCTCAGTTCATTGAAAACCGTATCCAGGCCATCACCAATCATTCTATACGACAAATGTTTCTTCTAACATCCCCACAATATCACCCCTTACCACAAGACCTCCCTTCAGCTTAATCTCTCCCACTCTAGGTTCCCACGCCGCCCCTAATCCCGCTCGAAGCAGCCCTGAGAAACATCGCCCGTTCTCTCTCCATACCACCCCCCAAAAATTTTCGCCGCTGCAACACTTCAACACTATTTTGTTTTATTTGTCTTATTAATATAAGAAGGCAGGAATGTCAGGCCTCTGAGCCCAGGCCAGGTCATCGCATCCCCTGTGACTTGCACGTATACATCCAGATGGCCTGAAGTAACTGCAGATCCACAAAAGAAGTAAAAACAGCCTTAACTGGTGATATTCCACCATTGTGATTTGTTCCTGCCCCACCCTAACTGATCAATGTACTTTGTAGTCTCCCCCACCCTTAAGAAGGTTCTTTGTAATTCTCCCCACTCTTGAGAATGTACTTTGTGAGATCCACCCCTGCCCACCAGAGAACAACCCCCTTTGACTGTAATTTTCCATTACCTTCCCAAATCCTATAAAACGGCCCCACCCCTATCTCCCTTCGCTGACTCTCTTTTCGGACTCAGCCGGCCTGCACCCAGGTGAAATAAACAGCCATGCTGCTCACACAAAGCCTGTTTGGTGGTCTCTTCACATGGACACGCATGAAACCTACTGTGTACTTTGCTTTCTTTGCTCTTGGTGATTCCCCAAAAAACTTATCTCAACATATAAGGATTTTTCTTTTCTTTTTTTTTTTTTGTTTGAGACGGAGTCTCGCTCTGTCGCCCAGGCTGGAGTACAGCGGCGCGATCTCGGCTCACTGCAAGCTCCGCCTCCCGGGTTCACGCCATTCTCCTGCCTCAGCCTCCGGAGTAGCTGGGACTACAGGCGCCCGCTGCCACGCCCGGCTAATTTTTTTGTATTTTTAGTAGAGATGGGTTTCACCGTGTTAGCCATAATGGTCTCAATCTCCTGACCTCATGATCCGCCTGCCTTGGCCTCCCAAAGTGCTGGGATTACAGGCGTGAGCCACCGCGCCCGGCTGTTTTTTTTTTTTTTTACTTGCCTTTTTCCAAATGAGAAAACCAAGGCTCAGAGAGGTCAGTGGTGCAATCTCGGCTCACAGCAACTTCCGCCTCCCGGGTTCAAGGGATTCTAGTGCCTCAGCCTCCCAAGTACCTGGGATCACAGGCATCCGCCATCACACCCAGCTAATTTTTGTATTTTTAGTAGAGACAGGGTTTCGCCATGTTGTCCAGGCTGGTCTCGAGCTCATGACCTCAGGTGATCCGCCCACCTTGGCATCCCAAACTGCTGGGGTAGGATTTTCTTTTTTACTTCCCTTTTTCCAAATGAGAAAACCAAGGCTCAGAGAGGAAGAGCGTGTTGCCCCAAGTGGCCCAGCAGAGCCACAGCCTTGCCCCCAGCAGCTCTGGCTCTAATGCATTCCAGACTCCTCCCATCAGCCAACTGCCTCCCATCCTCTAATAAACTTCTGAGAAGCGCTGGGCAGATGCAGTGGCGCCCACGCTCTTTATCTGCCCAGATCAGGCCGGCTCAGCAGAGCAGTCGATAATTAATTCTGAATTCTCCCCATTTATCACGGCGGCAGGAGCCAGAGTGCCTGGAATCCCAATCCCAAACCTCCGTGCCCCTTGGTCACCTGGACCAAGGCCCAGTGGTGGCAGGAACTATGGTGGAGAGGGGGCCTCATTGAGCCTGGGAAGGGAGCAAAGGTGTTCCTGGCTCCCCACCGCTCCCTGGCGCTGGGTTATTAAACGCTGTGTACTGCAGCAGTGACCAAACCAGACCTCTTCCCCGTCTTCATGGTGCCCACAGGCTAGTGGGGAAAACATACATTGAATGAATAATAATATAAATAATTAATGCTACAAAGGAAAAGAACAAGATGTTGTGAGAATACAAAACAACAGGAACATAACTTGTTTTGGGGGCCTCCCCAAGGAAGTGACATTGAACCTGCAAATCACAGGGTGAAAGGTGAAAGGTTGGGAGAGGGTATTTCATATACAGAAATAGCCCATGCAGGCTGGGTGCGGTGGCTCACAGCACTTTGGGAGGCCAAGGCGGGCGGATCACCTGAGGTCAGGAGTTGAAGACCAGCCTGGCCAACATGGTGAAACCCCGTCTCTACTAAAAATACAAAAATTAGCAGGGCATGGCGATGTGTGCCTGTAGTCCCAGCTACTCAGGAGGCTGAGACAGGATTCTCACCTCCTGGTTCGCTTGAACCCAGGAGGTGGAGGTTGCAGTGAGCTAAGATAGCGCCATTGCACTCCAGCCTGGGCAACAGAGCTAGACTCTGTCTCAAAAAAAGAAAAAAAAGAAAGAAAAGAAAAGAAATAGCCTGTGAAAAAAACCTTGTGGCTGGAGCCCAGCAAGGGGTTTAGTAGGTCTGAAGCTTAAAGCACAAGTGTGAGGTCAGTGCCAAGTCAGGGGACCTCAGGGCCAGGCCTGGAGCCCTCATAGTGAGGCCAGCAGCCTTCAGTGGATAGCCAGGGGCCACCAAGGAAAGAGATGGATAAGTTTCCGTGATGCTCCAAGGGGTGGTAGTGAGGCTGCTTCTGCCCCAGGTGCATCACCCTGCAAGGTCAGTGGTCGGCTCTGTGTTGTTTTTTTTTTTTTTTTTTGGTTTGTTTGTTTTTGAGACGGAGTCTCGCTCTGTTGCCAGGCTGGAGTGCGGTGGCGTGATCTTGGCTCACTGCAACCTCCGCCTCTCGGGTTCAAGCAATTCTGCCTCAGCCTCCCAAGTAGCTAGGACTACAGGCGCCTGCCACCACGCCTGGCTAATTTTTATATTTTTAGTAGAGACAGGGTTTAACCATGTCGGCCAGAATAGTCTCGATCTCTTGACTTCGTGATCTGCCCGCCTCAGCCTCCCAAAGTGCTGGGATTACAGGAGTGAGCCACTGCGCCTGGCCGGGTTTTTTTTTCTTTCTTATGACTGTTTTCCTTTTTGAGGGTTCTTTCAAATCCATTTGGGCACGGGGGTTAGTCAGGATTTGTCTGCCAGCAAACACCGAATGCCTGGCTATCCCAAACACTTCCCTTCTTGGGCAGGCAGGGAAACTGAGGCCCAGCGAGGGACAAAGAACACCCAAGGTCATTCAGAGGAAGGTTGTGTGTGGGAGAGGTTTCTGGGGAGTCTCAGGGGCCATGCGCTTGCCCTGCAGCTTCTGTGGCTTTTGTTGGGCCGTGAACTCCGTGGGGAGCTTGACTGGGTATCCTAGTCACCACGCTGTCCTCAGAGCCCTGCAAACTGGAGGTGCTTAATCAGTGATTGTGGAATGCATGATCCCAGCAGCTTCTGAAGACACCCCAGAGGTCATGCTTACGATATTGGAAGGAAAGGGGGTCTTTTTTTCTTTTTCTTTTTTTTTGAGATGGAGTCTTGCTCTGTTACTCAGGCTGGAGTGCAGTGGCACAATCTCGGCTCACTGCAAGCTCCGCCTCCCGGGTTCACGCCATTCTCCTGCCTTAGCCTCCCAAGTAGCTGGGACTACAGGTGTGCACCACCACCACGCCTGGCTATTTTTTTGTATTTTTAGTAGAGACAGGGTTTTGCCATGTTGCCCATGTCCAGGCTGGTCTCGAACTCCTAGCCTCCAGCAATCCTCTAGCCTTGACCTCCTAAAGTGCTAGGATTACAGGCATGAGCCACTGTGCCCAGCCAACTAATGTTTTCATTATTTATTTTTTAAATTTTAATGTTATATTTCTTAATTTTTTATTTTATTTTTATTTATTTATTTATTTATTTTTGAGATGGAGTCTTGCTCTGTCGCCCAGGCTGGAGTGTAGTGGCGCAATCTCGGCCCACTGCAAGCTCCACCTCCCGGGTTCACGCCATTCTCCTGCCTCAGCCTCTCGAGTAGCTGGGACTACAGGCACCCGCCACCACACCCAGCTAATTTTTCACTGTGTTAGCCAGGATGGTCTCAATCTCCTGACCTCGTGATCCGCCCGCCTCAGCCTCCCAAAGTGAGCCACCGCGCCCAGCCTATTTTTTCTTTTTTTTTTTTTTTCTAGAGACAGGGTCTCGTTCTGTCACCCAGTCTGGAGTGCAGTGGTATGGTTATAGCTCACCGTGGTCTCAAACTCCTGGGCTCAAGTGATCCTCCTGCCTCAGCCTCCCAAGTAGCTGGGACCACAGGGGCATGCCACCACACCTGGATAATTTTTAAATGCTTTTGTAAAGGCTGGGTCTCGCCATGTTTCCCAGGCTGGTTTCGAACTCCTAGGTTCAAGCAATCCTCCTGCCTCGGTCTCCCAAAGTGTTGGGATTATAGTCATGAGCCACTGAGCCTGGCCTAGGGAAAGAGGGGTCTTTTTCAATAGGAGATTTGAGAAAAAAATACAGAGACATGGAGAGAGACAGAGACTGAGATGCAGACGAACTGAGAAACGCAGAGAGAGAGATATTGAAGAGAGGGAGAGATAACGAGATACAAACAGAACCACAGACAGAAATGGAGCGACAGAGAGCAGATGAAAAAGAGGCCGGGCGCAGTGGCTGATGCCTGCAATCCCAGCACTTCGGGTGGCCGAGACGGGTAGATGGCTTGAGCCCAGGAGTTTGAGAACAGCCTGGGCAACATGGCGAAACCCCATCTCTACAAAAATTTAAAAATTAGCTGGGTGTGGTGGCGTGTGCCTAAAATCCCAGCTACTCAAGAGCCTGAGGCGGGAGGATCGCTTGAGCTGGGGAGGTTGAGGCTGCAGTGATCTGTGATTGTGCCACCGCACTCCAGCCTGGACAACAGAACAAGACCCTGTCTCAACAAAAATAAAATAAGAGACTGAGACACAGAGACAGATGAAGGGAGAGGAGAGAGAGAGAAAGAAAGATGGCAAGGTCAGAACCAGCACTAACTTGTATGGGAGCTGTTGGATGAATTACAAAGAAGGGCCCCTTCCTGGGGCCCTCTCACCTCTGCAGCTGGGTCCTCTTGTGCAGTGAACAACCTGCCCCACTGTCTGTGGCAGCCGGAGCAGCATCTGTCTTTATATCTCTCATTGAATGAATGCTCAGAGTTAGGAGAATGCCAGAGCCCAGCCTGGAGTCGCACAGAAAGAGAACAGAGAGATAGAGGCAGGGCAGGAAGGAAGTGGCAATTCCAGGTCCTGGCAGTTTCTGGCTAAACCGCTGACATCTCCTCTGGGAACCGCCTGGGCTCACTTGCCCCCTAGGAGAATTCCCTTGGACCTTCTTGGAGCACAAACTAGGTGGGCGGCCAAGACGGGAGGTGGCCCCTCCCCAGAACGCCGCGGGCCTTAGCGAGACGGCAGCTGCCAAGTCTCACCCGAAACTCCTCATAGCCCAGACTTGCTCAGGGTGGAGCCCAGAGTCTGAGAGGCCCTGGCGGGGAGCGAGCAGGATTCCCTGAGTTTCACAGCCCAGATATGGGAGGGGGCTGGCCTGGGGTCAACTGGAGTAACAGTGTCACCTGGAGTAACAGCGTCACCTGGAGTAACAGCATGTGCAAAGGCCTGGAGGGGAGTGAGAGGAAGGTAGAAGTAGAGCTCAGCCCAAAACCATAGATGGGGTAGAATGAAGCCCAAGAGAGCTCCAAGGCCAAGTTAGGAAGCTTAAACTCAATCTTGTTTTCAAACATGTAATCTTTTATTCAGTACACTCTCAAAACAGCATTTCTGTATCTAGTTCCAAGCTGGGTGATCCTGCGGCCCCAAAGGTAGTGATGACTCTGCTGGGAGGAGACACAGACCTCCCAGTTCAGTGGATCCCGAGTGAGTCAGAAGGTGAGACTGGAAGCAGCAGGGTCCTTGAGGGAAGTAGGCTCTCCTTGAAGGATAAGCAATGGCTGCATGAAGTAGCAGGTATTGAAGCTAGGGCTTTGAAGGATGAATAGGAGCTTGCCAAACAAAGAAGGTGGGACATGCAAACCAAGTGGAGGGACTGTGGCCCAAACTCAGGGATACATGGATGGAGTAGCAGGAGAAAAACAGACTGGGGGAGCAGGAAGAGTCAGTGTGAGCTTTCTCCAGATCCAAAATCAGCAGCCTGTCATTCAAGGCCAAGACATTCCACAATAGTTCCCCTTGGCCCTGTCAAGCCTATCAGGCCTGGAGCTTCCTCAAAGCAGCTCTGACAACTCCAGCCACTGTCATCTCCCCTCTTTGTGTCACGAGGACCATGCACTTTGGTGCATGGTGACATTCAGTGGGGGCTGCTTTCCTCGGTGTGGCTGTGGGACCTTAGGCCCATGCCTCAGTTTCCCAACCTGGAAAATGGGCTGCAGGAAGCCACTTTTGCAACTTATGTTTATCTCAGGCCAGGGAGGTCTTGGACAAATGATGTGAAGGAAGAAGAGAAAAATGGAAGATAGGGAGGGAGAGGAAAGGAAGGGGGCGAAGGAAGGGAGAACAGATGGGAAGGGAAGGGAAGGGAAGGGAAGACGGAGGAAGGAAAAGGCCGTGCACCTCCCGACCCAGGTCATCATCAAGGGACAGGTCCAACATTATTATTTCAGAACATGCCAGCGCTGTCGAGGCTTAAGAAATGGGTGGTGATTTGCATGCGATTTGCATGTGATTTGCATACTGTTTGTTAAATGTCAAAACACCCTGAAAATGCTTTCTCCCACCTCCACCCCCAGTGGAGAAGCGGGAAACCCTTCCCCACTTCCTCCACCAGCTCCCGGCATGGGTTGGGGACGCCTCAGTTCAGAGGGTGGTGACCTTGGGCAAGCCAAAAGCCATCTGTAAAATGGGCTGTTATCCTGGCCCCTGAGCAGTGAGGCTGTCAATCTTTTTTTTTTTTTTTTTTGAGACGGAGTCTCGCTCTGTCGCCCAGGCTGGAGTGCAGTGGCGTGATCTCAGCTCACTGCAACCTCTGCCTCCCGGGTTCCCGCCATTCTCCTGCCTCAGCCTACCAAGTAGCTGGGACTACAGGCGCCCGCCACCAGGCCCGGCTATTTTTTTTGTACTTTTAGTAGAGACGGGGTTTCACCGTGTTAGCCAGGATGGTCTCCATCTCCTGACCTCATGATCCGCCTGCCTCGTCCTCCCAAAGTGCTGGGATTACAGGCGTGAGCCACCGCGCCTGGCCGGCTGTCAATCAAGTGAGACAGGGCTCCAAAAAGATGTGCACAAGTCCTGGCATGGAGTAAGGACCAAGGAATGAAACTGGGGAGATTATTAAATGCCCCATTTTCTTGCCAAACCCTGACGAGGCATGTCCCTGAATATGCACAGGGAAATGAGGACAGAGGGGACCCAGGCTCTAGATACACGCATGTGGCCCAGCTGTTAGCAGAGGCCCAAACCACGCATGAGCAGGGATCTGGGCTGCCTCCCCCTGCTGTGTGTCCCTGACAACCTCCTTGGGCCTCAGGCTACCCTCTGCAGAACAGACAGCAGCAGACTCTGCTCTAGGAGGAGCTCCAGGGGGCACACAGTGGGTCTCTGGGGACAAAGTCCTGGGTTAGGCACCAAGGGGAGAGGTGGAGGGGGATAGGAAGACCCCCCTCCAGGCACACCCAGGGGCCAGCAAGACCCAAGTCATTCTGCAAAGCAGCTCCAGCAGGTCTGCCTGCCGGAGTGAAGTGGGGCTCCTCTCTCTTCCCCTCCTTCTCCCCCTCCTCTCAGCCAAGCGGGAATTGCAGGGTAGATGCCCGAAGTTTGGCAGATGCTCTGAAGGGAGGCGAGCAGGAGACCCCGGGCCAAGTGCTGTCCCCGAGCTAAGCAAACGCACAGTCTGGGCACGGCTGTCCCCGTGGTGGTGATTTACTATCCACCTGTCCATGCTCTGAGTCCTGCAGCCAACAGGACTCTTAACTAAAACATTATTTCTTCCCAGCCTCTGGCGCCTCCGCCCATGGTGCCTGGAGAGTGTACACGGCCCTCGAGGACATGCGTAGCCTCGGCACCCCCTCCCCAAAGACCCTCCCCAGGGGCTGCGCAACGATGACGTGGCTGCAGGTCAGAGGTGCAACGGAGGCCCGGCACACTGCCCTGAGGGTCTCCACCCGGAATTCCCACAACGCACTCCCTGCAATGCCCCGCGATGACCTCCCACAGCTAGGCCCAGTTCCCCACCCCCAGATCCTCGTCCTCTTGGCCAGAGTTCTTCAGAACCCCTTCCCCGCTGCCCCAAGACCCTATGCAAGACGAGGCATCCGGATTTAAGGGGAAGGGGGAAACAGCCCAGGGGGTGGGCACAGGTGCCTCCTGGGGAGGTATTTGGGGGTGGAAATGGGGCACAGTTGGAGGCCTGAGAAGGAGCTAGGATGTCCGCATCTCCCCGCTTAGTCATTGGAGAGTTCGGACACGACTGGCTGCACCCCCAGCCAGGGCTGTTCACTGCACAAAGGGCCTGTGGGGGCCCCAAAGAAGGCTAGGTGCTCTCTGGCTGGGAAGGAGGGAATCTGAGAAGACTTCCTGGAGGAGACTGCAATCCCAGGTGTATTGGAGCTGCAGAGAAGAGGTTGAAAAGTGCTCCAGGCAGGGGGCACGGCTTGGGCAAAGGTGTGGCTGGGAAAATGTCCTGGGCAAGAGCGGAAGTGCCTCTGAGTGTCTCTCCTGCCCCTTCTGTGCTTCTCTTCTTGCGATGCCCTCTGGCTGCCCATGGGAGCTTTCCAAGGTGGCACAGTGCTTTCCACTGAAGACAGGGCACCCAGGGCCCCAAGAGGGGAGCAACAACCTCAAAGTCACACAGCAGAGCTGAAAGGCTCAAGGCTCCCTCCCGATAGGCTGGGCAGGAGCAAAAATGTCCTAGGTCCTTGTCAGGGACTGGGGCTCCAGCAGGAGTGTCTGAAGCAGTGTGCATCAGCTGGTCAGGCCAGGGTTTCATGGTCCACCTGGGAGCCCAGACCCTGGAACAACAGGAGGGGAAGGGTAAACCCGTTTCAATCCAGGACCAGGGAAGGGTGAAACACCAGTTCTCCAGCCATTTGTCCTTTCCTTTTACCTAACATCCCTGACACGGACAGTGATCTGCAGTCATCCCCTCCTGTGGATGTCCCTTGTGTCCTTTAAGAGGAACAGGGATGGCCCCTGGTGAATTTGGCTGTTTTCTTTTTTCTTTCTTTTTTTTGAGACAGAGTCCTGCTCTGTCGCCAGGCTGGAGTGCAATGGCGTGATTTCGGCTCACTGTAACCTCTGACTCCTGGGTTCAAGCGATTCTCTTGGAACTTGGCTGTTTTCTGCCACCTGATGGCAGTCACAGGAATTGCAGGCAAAGAGTGCAGTAAAGCCAAATCAAAGCTCAATCCTTTATTGTAAGGAGACAGGTAACAGAGCCCAGAGAGGAGAAGCAATTTTCCCAAGGTCACCCAGCAAGTCAGGGGCAACACGGCTCTGGTCCACGTGTTAGTCCAAAAAGAAATGAGACACCAAGGCCATGTCCCTACCCTAGAGGCCAGAAGCATAAGTGTATGGAGGGGGATGATGGTCAATAACATCTGTCTCTTCTCCTCTCTGGGCCTCAGTTTCCCCATCTATGGTCTCCACAATCTCTAAGGTCCTTTCTCTTTCTCAACTACTACAATTACTTACCTGGAGTGAGATCTAGGCTCCCGGGAGGCAGGAGAAGTGCCTTCCAAAAGTGCCCTCTACCCCAGCCTATTCCTTCAGCCAGTACCCAGGTCCCCTTGGTCATGGCTCTGCCTCCTCCAACCCAGACTACCTGAAAGAGGGAGACAGAAAGACACAGGTTGCAGAAAAAACATAGCCCTTGCCTTGGCGTTCAAGGCTTCCCTATTCTGCCCACTGTCTGGCTGGTGCCTCTTCCTGCCCCTGCCAGGGCTCACCTCTGACCCAGAAATTCCCTCCCCTGCATCCAGGCACCGCTAGAGCTCCAGAAAAATATTCTGAGCAGCCCAATCCTTGCCTCTGCTCACGATTATGTTAGTGAGACAATACATCTCACTAACATTTATTAAGCACCTACTATGTGCCAGGCACTGAACTGGCAATCCAGCAGGGAACAAGATGGACGGCAGTACCCTCACAGAGTTTACAGTCTACTGCAGGAGACAGGTGAAAAAAATAAGTAAAACGTAGAGAAGTCGGCTGCTGACAAGTGATGGGGAAAGAGAGAAAGCAGGGATGGCGTGAAATAAAATTTTATTATTTATTTCTTTAGAGACGGAGTTTCACCCTGTCACCCAGACTAGAGTGTAATGGCACGATCTCAGCTCACTGCAACCTCCGCCTCCCAGACTCAAGCGATTCTCTTGCCTCAGCCTCCCCAGTAGCTGGGATTACAGGCATGCGCCATCATGCCCGGCTAATTTTTGTAGTTTTAGTAGAGATGGGGTTTCACCATGTTGGCCAGGCTGGTCTTGAACTCCTGGACTCAAGTGATCTGCTTGCCTCAGCCTCCCAAAGTGCTGGGATTGCGGGTGTGAGCCGCTGCGCCTCGCTGGAATGCAATTTTAAACAGGATGGTCAGGGAGGGCTGCAGGAAGAGAGGGAGTTGGGGACCTGAGGGAACAGCATTCCAGGCTGAAGGAACAGCCTGTCCAGAGGCTCTGAGGCAGCGAGGAGGCCTGTGTGGCTGGAGCAGAGTGAGGAAGGGGAAGAGAGGGAGGAGGAGCAAGCAGGGAGGGAATACAGCAGGTCATCCAGGGTCTTGCAAGCCTCAGGAAGGACTTGGGCTTTGACCCTGAGGGAGGTGGGAGCCATGGAGGGCTGCCGGCAGAGGAGGGACACGCCCCGACTCAGGGGCTCACAGGCGCCCTCTGGCACCTGCTACGGGGAGGACAGACTTGTAGGGGACAAGGGCAGGGGCTGCGGACCTTGGTGGGGGGCAACTGGGCTGGGCCAGGGGTTGAGAAGTGGGAGGATTATGGTTAGACTTTGAAGGCGGAGCTGATGGAACCAGCTGAAGGACAGATAGAGGGGCTTGGGAGGAAGAGAGGAATAGACTGATGTCAATAAAATCAGAATAATAACAACTGTTCCCACTAATGGAGCAGGGAGAAGGTTTAGTGATGAAGGGCGTGGCTTTAAAGCTGGGTTTAGACCCTGGCTCTGCCCCTTCCCAGCTTAATCTTACTCTGCCTCAGCTTCTCCACCTGTAAACCGCCAATGATAACGGCACCCGGCCAGGCACGGTGGCTCACGCGTGTAATCCCAGCACTTTGGGAGGCTGAGGTAGGCAGATCACCTGAGGTTAGGAGTTTGAGACCAGCCTGGCCAACATGGTGAAACGGTCTCTACTAAAAATACAAAAAAATTAGCCAGGCATGGTGGCGGGCGCCTGTAATCCCAGCTACTCAGGAGACTGAGGCAGGAGAATCGCTTGAACCCGGGAGGCAGAGGTTGCAGTGAGCCGAGATTGCGCCACTGCACTCCAGCCTGGGCGACAGAGCAAGACTCCCGTCTCAAAAATAATAAATAATAAATAAATAAAAGCATCCTCGCCAGGGGACAGCGGTAAGGCCACGTGAAAAGCCCCTAGCATCTCAAAGGCTCTCAAAGCATGACCATGACTCAGTGCCTGCTAGCTCCCGTGACAACCTGTCTCCCTGCAACGCTGCTGCCTCGAGGCAGAAAATGTTGTCACTACTGCATTTCACAGAGTGTAGAAACAGGAGGTGGCAAGAGAGGCTGGGGGAGGGAGAAGAGGGGGCCCTATCTACCCGGAAGTGAGAGAGGGCCTGGCAGGTTTGTCCCGAGCAGCCCACGCAGCTTCTCTCTCCCTAGGGTACCGTCTGCGCTGACAGGTCCCAAGTGTTTTTCTCATTTCTCACATGGGGAAGCTGAGGCCTCCCCGGCTGCTGCTGCACCATCCACTAGTAGCCCCTGCTCTGCCTCTAGAGGTCTGGGAGTGGTCTGGGGAGCTCAGAACCCATTTGATGCCCAGAGAGGGTGGGTTAGCTGCCTCGGGACACACAGCCAGTGAACAGCAAAGGCAGATAGGGGCCCCTGTCTGTTGGGGAAGACAAAGCTGGACTCTGCCATCAACCCCAGCTGTGTGTGTGGTCAGGGATGGGCAAGGGGCAGGGCATTAGGACAGGGTGGGAGCCCAGAGGAGGTTGAAACTCTCTCTTTTTTCTTTTGTTTTGAGACGGAGTCTCACTCTGTTGTCCAGGCTGGAGTGCAGAGGCACGATCTCAGCTCACTGCAACCTCCGCCTCCAGGTTCAAGCGATTCTCCTGCCTCAGCCTCCCAAGTAGCTGGGATTACAGGCGTATATCACTATGCCTGGCTAATGTTTGTATTTTTAGTAGAGACAGCGTTTCGCCATGTTGGCCAGGCTGGTCTCGAACTCTTGACTTCAGGTGATCCGCCCACCTTGGCCCCCCAAAGTGCTGGGATTGCAGGTGTGAACCATTGCGCCCAGCCAAAACTGTCTCCTCTGAAGGCTTCTGTTCTCTGCCTCCAGCATGGCTCACTGGGACCTCACCCTGGTCTCCTGTCTCCAGCCCTCCCCCCATCACAGTCTGTTCTCCCCGCTGCAGCCAGGGGTTGCCTGTGAGCATTGAGTCAGGTCCCGTCCCTCCTCTGCCCACAGCCCTCTATGGCTCCCACCTCCCTCGGAGTCAAGGCCCAAGTCCTCCCTGCAGTCCGCAAGGCCCTGCATGAACTGCCCTGGCCCCTCCCTGCCCTCCCTTCCTCCCTCTCTCCCCCTTGCTCCAGCCACACGGGCCTCCTCGCTGTTCCTCCAACATGCCAGGTGCAGTCCTGCCTCAGGGCCTTTGCACAGGCTGTTCCTACTGCCTGGAACACCCTTCCCTGACTCTCTGTTTAACCACCTCCTCCACATCATAGCCTGACATGTCACCTTTCCGGAGAGGCGTCCCCCAGTCACTGATCCCTCTCCACCTTCCCTGCATCCCCCACAGCGCCAATTGCGAGTTGACATTCTCCTGTGCTATTATTTGGCTCTAGGCTCTGTGAAGGCGAAATCTGGTCTCTCTGGGTCACTGCTGAATTTCAGTGTCCAGCATGGAGTCTGGCACACAGTAGGCACACAATAAATGCTGACTCTGTACTGCATAATTACAGTCTGGACGTCTGAGGGTCGTCCAGCCCCCAGACCTCATAGAAGGTACGCTGCCGAGAACACCCTCTCCTAGCCCCAAGCTCTGAACCTCCATCCCTCATCATCCTCTCAGCCTCCCCGTCCCCGCTAAGATCTTCCCTCAAGAGGGCCTGGGGAGGGGGCCTCTCCTGCCCCCATTGCAGCCCCAGACTCCTGCAACGGGGTGGCATCTGAGGCTCCTGCCCTCAAAACATCAACCCAGGCTCGGTGACTCAAGCCTCTAGAGGGCTGGTGAATGTGACCCCCATAAAATCCAGGGTAATTCACATGGCCCCCGTCCCTCTCCTGTTCAATGCTTCCAAGGAGGTGGTCCCAGGCTCTGAGACGAGGCCCCACCATCTTCACCACCTCTCGGCCATCCTCGACCCATTTCCCAGAGCTGCCCCAGGCCGGCAGTGAGCTGTTCCCGTGGCCCCAGCGCCCTTCTCTGCAGACCCCTCCTTGGGCCAGAAGACGCCCCACTTGAGGGTCGTCTTGGCCAGGGGACCTCTTTGGGGACCCAGATATCCAAGTGTGAGTGTGGGTAACGGACACTGGAGTGGGGCTGTGGGAAAGATAAGGCGGTAGGGAGAGACCAGAGAAGGAAGAGAGAGACAGAGCTTCAGAGACAGAGAAAAACAGCAGAGAAAAATGCAGAGACACCAGAGAGATAAAGAGACACAGACACACATGTTGAGACACAGCGAGAAAAAGAGCAGAGACCAAAATAACAGAGACAGAGACACAGAGAGAGAAATACACAGCGGGAAGAGACAGAAATGGACAGAGACACGCAGAGAAACAGAGAGACAAAAGAGACACACAGAGAGAAAAAGAGCAGAGACAGAAATGGAGAGAGACAGAGAAAGAGAGACAGAAATGGAGAGACACACAGAGGAAAGAAAGCAGAGACCAAAATGGGCAGAGACACAGAGAGAGACAGAGACAAAAGAGACAGAGACTCACAGAGACACAGAGAGAGATGCGCGCACACACAGACAGAACTGGACAGGGACACAGAGACAGAGACACAGAGAGACAGAGAGAAAAACAGCAGAGACAGAGACAAATGGACAAAGAGACAGAGAGACAGGGAGAGAGAGACACACACATACACAGACACAGAGAAAAACAGAGACAAAAATGGACAAAGAGACAAAAGAGACAGACACAGAGAGACACAAGGAGAAAAACAGCAGAGACAGAAATGGGCAGAGACACAAAGAGACAAAGGGGAAGAGAGACAGAGACACACACACAGAGGAAAAAAGCAGAGACCAAAATGGGGAGACAGAGACCAGAGAGGGAGACAGAAAAGAGAGAGGGAGACAGAGATGAGGGAGAAACAGGGAGGAAAACAGCAGAGAGAGAAGTGGGCAGAGACACAGAGTGACAGAGAAAAGAGAGACAGAGACAGAGACAATCACAGGCAACCAAATCATCAGGGAAAGAAATAAACAGAGGCAGAGATGGAGAGAGACACACAGAGAGGAAAAAACAGAGACCAAAATGGAGAGAGAGACAGAGACAAAGACAAAAGAGAGAGAGGTGAGGAGACAAAGATGAGAGACGCAGAGATAAAAGAGACAGAGACAAGAGACAGAAACAAGAGGGAGACAGAGATAAGAGATGGAGATGAGACAGCCACAAAAGAGATGAGAGAGACAAAGATGAAAGAGACAGAGATAAAAGAGAGACACAGACAAAAGAGAGAGATGAAAGAGACAAAGAGAGGCACAGAGATAAGAGTCAGAGACAAGAGACAGAAAGAAGAGGGAGAGAGATGAGAGACAGAGACAAAAGAAGAAGAGACAGAGATGAGAGACAGAGACGAGAGAGTGACAAAGATGAGAGTGACAGAGACAAAAGAGAGAGAGGCAGAAAAACAGCAGAGACAGAAACAGGCAGAGAAACAGGCACAGACAGAGAGCCCGAAAGCAAGACCTGACACCGGCAAGGCCGGGTCAGGAGAGAGGCCGGGCGGGCAGCGCGAGGTGGGAAAGCAGTGCCGGCCCGGGAGGCCGCCTTGGGCGCCCGCCTCCCCCGCCGCTCTCCAGGGGTCCCCGGCCGCCGCCCCCGCCCCACCCCACCCCGAGCCCCGCGGCCACCTGGGGTCGCTGACGAGCAGCAGCACCGAGCCGTCCTGCAGGCGCGCGTCGCGCACCGTCTGGTGGTCGTCCAGCCGCCGCGCGTTGTAGTAGAAGGCGCGCTTCCAGGAGCTCACGCCCTGGCCCACCAGCTGGGCGCGCAGGTCGCTGAGCGTGTCCCGCGGCCGCACGGTCAGCGGTAGCAGCAGCGCCTCGTCCGCCAGGTGCACCTTGATGTGGTAGCGCTTCCAGCGCGACAGCCCCCGCCGCAGCCCCTCCATGGCGCCCGCCCGGCTCCGGCTCCAGCTCTGGCCCCGGGCCCCGAGCGCCCCGCGCACCCGCCCGACTAGCCTGGCCGCCCGCCCCCGCCGCGCCCGCGCTCCGCCCGCCCGGACACGCCCGGCACGCAGTGGGCAGGCCCGGCCCGGCGGGGCGGGGCGGGTGCCACGGTCCCCTCAGGCGTCCGCTCCCCACTGCTGGCCCCAGAGTGCGCCCGGGGGTCTAGAGGCGGAGTGGCCACTCAGCACAGAGCCATCAGCGAGGTCATCCCAGCCAAGGAGACGCGCGAATGTCCAGGGGGTTACATGGTGGAGGCTCCAGGGAGGGAGGCTGGGAGGCCACTTTATTTGATCTTTTTAAGGACAGGCTGGAGCGCAGTGGCGCAATCATGGTTCGTTGCAGCCTTGACCTCCCGGGCTCAAGCGATCCTCCCGCCTCAGCCTCTCAAGTAGCTGGGACTACAGGCGCTGCCACCAAGCCCAGCTCACTTTTGTAGTTTTTGTAGAGATGGGGCCTGGCCGTGTTGCCCAGGCTGGTTTTGAACTCCTGACGTCAAGTGATTCTCCGCCTTGGCCTCCCAAAGCGGTGGGATTATAACCCTCAGCCACCACGCTCAGCCTACATTAAAAAAAAAATTTACTTTTAGGCCAGGTGCGGTGGCTCATGCCTGGAATCCCAGCACTTTGGGAGACTGAGGTGGGCGGATCACATGAGGTCAGGAGTTCGAGACCAACCTGGCCAACATGGTGAAACCCCGTCTCTACTATAAGTACAAAAATTAGCCAGGCGTGGTGGCACATGCCTGTAGTTCCAGCTACTCAGGAGGCTGAGGCAGAAGAATCGCTTGAACCCGCAGACAGAGGTTGCAGTGAGCCGAGATTGTGCCACTGCACTCCAGCCTGAGCCACAGAGCGAGACTTATCGCAAAAAAAAAAAAAAAAAAAAAAAAAAAAAAAATGGCCGGGTGTGGTGGCTCACGCCTGTAATCCCAGTACTTTGGGAGGCCCAGGTGGGCAGATCACAAGGTCAGGAGATCGAGACCATCCTGGCTAACGCGGTGAAACCCCCCCGTCTCTACCAAAAATACAAAAAATTAGCCGGGCGTGGTGGCGGGCGCCTGTAGTCCCAGCTACTCCGGAGGCTGAGGCAAGAGAATGGCGTGAACCTGGGAGGCGGAGCTTGCAGTGAGCCGAGATCGTGCGCCACTGCATTCCAGCCTGGGAGACACAGCGAGACTCCGTCTCAAAAAAAAAAAAAAAAAAGAAAGAAAGAAAGAAAGAAAGAGGGAGAGAGAGAGAAAGAGAAGAGGAAAGAAAGAATGAAAGAAAGAAAGAGAGAGAGAGAGGAAGAGAAGGAAAAAAAGAGAAGGGCTGGGTGCAGGGGCTAACGCCTGTAATCCCAACACTTTGGGAGGCCGAGGTGGGCAGATCACCTGAGGTTGGGAGATCGAGATCTACCTGACCAACACAGAGAAACCCCGTCTCTACAAAAAATACAAAAAAATTAGCCAGGCGTGGTGGTGGGTGCCTGTAATCCCAACTACTCAGGAGGCTGAGCCAGGAGAATCGCTTGAACCCAGGAGGTGGAGGTTGTGGTGAGCGGAGATCTGCCATTGCACTCTAGCCTGGGCAACAAGAGGGAAACTCCGTCTCAAAAAAGAAAAGAAAAGAAAAGAGCACCTGCTAAGTGACAGACAGTCTTCTAGGTACTTTATTGGGGTGGGGGAAGCATCTCTTACTTTTCTCATGACACTATGACTTCCCATTTTACAAGTGAGAAAACTGAGGCATAGAGAAGAAAAGAGATTTCCCAGAGGAAACAGAGAGAAAAGTGGCAGAGCTGGGATTCGAACCCAGGCCACCTAGCATTAGCAGTTTTGTTGTAATCCATTCATTACACAAACATCACTTTTTTTTTTTTTTTTTTTTTTGAGACAGAGTTTCACTCTTGTTGCCCAGGGTGGAGTACAATGGCACAATCTCGGCTCACCGCAACCTCCGCCTCCCAGGTGCAAGCAATTCTCCTGCCTCAGCCTTCCCGAGTAGCTGGGATTACAGGCATGCGCCACCAAGCCTGGCTAATTTTTTGTATTTTTAGTAGAGACGGGGTTTCTCCATGTTAGTCAGGCTGGTCTTGAACTCCCGATCTCAGGTGATCCACCCGCCTTGGCATCCCAAAGTGCTGGGATTACAGGTGGGAGCCACCTCGCCCAGCCCACAAACATCACTCTTACACAACCATGAGAGTTCAGATGGAGGTTTCTAGTTTTTATTATTATTATTACTATTTTTGAGATGGAGTCTCACTCTGTCACTCAGGCTGGAGTGCAGTGGCAATATCTCGGCTCACTGCAGCCTCCGCCTCCTGGGTTCAAGCGATTCTCCCGCCTCAGCCTCCTGAGTAGCTGGAATTACAGGCGTGCGCCACCACGCCAGGCTAATTTTTGTATTTTTAGTAGAGACAGGGTTTCACCATGTTAGCCAGGGTGGTCTCAAACTCCTGACCTCAAGTGATCTGCCTGCCTTGGCCTCCCAAATTGCTGGGATTACAGGCGTGAGCCACCACGTCCAGCCTTTTTTTTTTTTTTTTCAGATGGAGATTTTAAAGATAACTCAAACCAAATTAAATTCCAGATGGCCCCTTCAACCCTTGCCCCCAGCGAAATAAACTATACAAATATTAGGAGAAAACACAGGAGTTAAAAATAAAAATAATCTGGGCCAGGCGCGGTGGCTCATGCCTGTAATCCCAGCACTTTGGGAGGCTGAGGCGGGCAAATCAAGAGGTCAGGAGTTCGAGACCAGCCTGGCCAACATGGTGAAACCCCGTCTCTACTAAAAATACAAAAATTAGCCAGGTGTGGTGGTGCATGCCTGTAATCCCAGCTACTCAAGAGGCTGAGGCGGGAGAATCACTTGAACCCGGGAGGTGGAGCTGGCAGTGAGCCGAGACCACACCATTGCACTCCAGCCTGTGTGACAGAGTGATACTCCGTCTCAAAAAAATATAAAAATAAAATTAATCTTAACTGTGTTAAAGCATATTAAACCCAGAAACCTTTAATTAAAAGATTAATAACTGACTACAAATATAAAATTCCTACACACATATGCACATTAAAAAAATACTAGAAGATCAAAAGGCAACATCAAGGAAGAAAGTTTTCCAAAACACGACAGACAAAAGACTGATTTTCTTAATATGTAAAGAGCATCTGGAAATCAATAAGGATTAACAAGCAAATTGAAAAAGGGGTGAGAGACTGGGCACAGTGGCTCACTCCTGTAATCTCAGCACTTTGGGAGGCCAAGGTGGGTGGATCACCTGGGGTCAGGAGATCGAGACCAGCCTGGCCAACATGGTGAAACCCTGTCTCTACTAAAAATACAAAAATTAGCCAGGTGTGGTGGTGGGTGCCTATAATTCCAGCTACTTGGGAGGCTGAGGCAGGAGAATGGCTTCAACCCAGGAGGTTGAAGTACAATGCCCAGGGTGGAGTACAATGGCAACTGTGGAGTACACAGTTGCAGTGAGCCAAGATTGCACCACTGCACTCCAGCCTGGGTGACAGAGTGAGAGACTGTCTTAAGAAAAACAAAACAGGCCGGGCACGGTGGCTCACGCCTGTAATCCCAGCACTTTGGGAGGCTGAGGCAGGCGGATCCCCTGAGGTAGGGAGTTCGAGACCAGCCTGGCCAACATGGAGAAACCCTGTCTCTACTAAAAATTCAAAATTAGCTGGGTGTGGTGGTGCATGCCTGTAATGCCAGCTACTTGGGAGGCTGAGGCAGGAGAATCATTTGAACCCAGGAGGCAGTGGTTGCGGTGAGCCAACATCGCACCATTGCACTCCAGCCTGGGCAACAAGAGGGAAACTCCATCTCAAAAAAAAAAAGAAAAAAGAAAAACAAAACAAACAAATAAAAAATACTAGAAGATGAAGAGGCAACATCAAGGGGGAAAATCTTCCAAAACATGATAGACAAGAGACTGATATCCTTAATATGTAAAAAGCATCTAGAAATCAATATGGATTAACAAGCCAGTCCAAAAAAGGGTGAAAGACATGAATGGATTTTTGTTGTTGTTGTTTTGTTTTTGTTTTTGAGCAAACAGGGTCTTGCTGTTTCCCACACTGGAATGCAGTGACACAATCTTGGCTCACTGAAACTGTGTACCACCCCTCCCGGCTAATTTTCAGTATTTTTAGTAGAGACAGGGTTTCGCCATGTTGCCCAGGCTGGTCTCGAACTCCTGGGATTCAAGCAATCCTCCCACCTCAGCCTCCCAAAGTGCTGGGATTACAAGCATAAGCCACCACACATGAACGGTTTTCTGAAAAGGAAATACAAACGTCTTCTGGGCATAGGCAAGGGAGTTCATTCTCGCTCATGGTAACCTAAATATAAAAAAAAACTACCATGAAATATCTTTTTCTTCTTTTCATCTGTCTGGCTGGTAAAGATGAAAAAGTCTGAGCATTTGCTGTGTTTTCAGGGTTTTGGGAAAAGAGCAGCCTCATGCTGCTGGGGTTCAGAGTGTGAAATGGTGTAAGCTCTCTGACAATAGCTATTTGAAAAAGGTATAAGCCAGCAGTGTCCTTTCTGGGAAGGTATCCGTGTGCACAAAGAGAGATGATAACATAATACATGTGCCAAGAAATTTACATGTAACACAGCAAAGTAGGAGGCTGGCATGATCCCTGACCTCCTTGAACAAAGGAGGGAAACTGAGGCCCGGAGAGGAGTAGTGGCAGAATGAGAACCCAGGCTGGGCTGGTCACTCTCCGGGGAAGGTGGGCGGGCTGGCTTAACCTGAAGAACTAGGTCACCATGGCCCCAGCCACTTCCCTATTCAGGCTGAATTCCAGGCCTCGCCCATCATAATTGCTGGTGTCCAAGAAGGTCAAAGGGAGGCCTGGGGACACTCGGCTTTAACACGGGGAGGCCACGCTGAGCCCTGGGAGTGCTAGGTGCCACTTCCAGTTAATTCTGACTTTCTCATTAAGCTGTTAGGAAAAGCTCGGTGGCTGTGGGCGACCGGCCCCTGTGCCTGGGTCTGTGGATTAGAGGGATCATGGTTTTTGCCTCGAGACACTGTATTATCTGTTGCGGGCAATTATGGAAGACCCAGGCAGACAGTGATGAGCTCAGAGAATCCCTGAGCTCTGGAGTCTGGAGGCTCAGAATCGTGGGATCACTGAACATGTAGACACTTAGGATCTTAGAACAGCTGGTGTTCAGTCCTCCTGAACAATGTGGAATCTCAGAGCTCTCTAGTGGGTGGGTGGGGGCTCTGAGCGGTAATCACCATACATCCCCTCTGGCTGTCTTAGGGGAGAAAAAGCTGCAGTAGTAAGTTTTAATAAAGTTCAGCAGGAAGCAAGAGGAATAGGCTTTTTAAAATGGGCCAGAGTCCGGGCATGGTGGCTCTTGCCTGTAATCCCAGCACTTTGGGAGGCCGAGGCAGGAGGATCGCTTGAGGCCAGGATTTTAAGACTAGCCTAAGCCACATAGCAAGGCCCTGACTCTACAATTTTTTTTTTTTTTTTTGAGACGGAGTCTCACTCTTTCACGTAGGCTGGAGTGTCTTTTCACCTAGGCACGAACTCAGCTCACTGCAACCTCCACCTCCCAGGTTCAAGCGATTCTCCTGCCTCCTGAGTAGCTGAGGTTAGAGGCATGCGCCACCACGCCAGGCTAATTTTTATATTTTTAGTAGACACGGGGTTTCACCATGTTAGCCAGGCTGGTCTCGAACTCCTGATCTTAAGTGATCCGCCTGCCTCAGTCTCCCAAAGTGCTGGGATTACAGGTATGAGCCACCATGCCCGGCCAGAATTTTAAAATTAGCTGGGCGTGGTGGTGTGCGCCCCCGTAGTCCCAGCTACTCAGGAGACTGAGGCAAGTGGATCACCTGAGACCAGGAGTTGGAGGCTGCAGTGAGCTATGATTGCACCACTGCACTCCAGCCTGGGCAACAGAGCAAGACCCTCTCTCGAAAAAAAAAAAAAAAAAGAAAGAAAGAAATCTCTTCTACATTACAAGAGGCAAAGTATCTATAATTCCAGAATGTGGCAATGCTAAGGGCAGTGGATATGTTACAGATGGGGGCAAGTGGGCCTGGCACCCACCCTCCTTCCCTATTTGCCTACAGGATTGGTGGAATATGCAGCCCCCCCCAACCCACACTTCTCCCTGCTGCCCAGCCTCTGATGAACAGGCATTCTGGCCTATATTATTATTATTATTTATTTTTATTTATTTATTTATTTTTTTGAGACAGAGTCTTGCTCTGTTGCCCAGGCTGGAGTACAGTGGCACGATCTTGGCTCACTGCAAGCTCCGCCTCCCGGGTTCACGCCATTGTCCTGCCTCAGCCTCCCGAGTAGCTGGGACTACAGGCGCCCGCCACCATGCCCAGCTAATTTTTTGTATTTTTAGTAGAGACGGGGTTTCACCATGTTGGCCAGGATGGTCTTGATCTCCTGATCTCGTGATCCACCCGCCTCGGCCTCCCAAAGTGCTGGAATTACAGGCATTGAGCCACTGTGCCCGGCTGGCCTATGCTATTATTTTATTTTATCTTATTTTACTTTATGAAACAGGATCTTACTCTGTTGCCCAGGCTGGAGTACAGTGGCATGACCATGGCTCACTGCAGCCTCAACCTCCCAGGCTCAAGCGATCCTCCCACCTCAGCCTCCTGAGTAGCTGGGACTACAGGCACACACCTGTAATCCCGGTTGTGGTGGCGGGTGCCTGTAATCCCAGCTACTCTGGAGGCTAAGGCAGGAGAATCACTTGAACCTAGGAGGCGCAGGTTGCAGTGAGCCAAGATTGTACCACTGCACTCCAGCCTGGGCGACAAGAGCAAAACTCCATCTAAAGGAAGGAAGGAAGAGAGGGGGGAGGAAGGGAGGAGAGGAAGGAAAGAAGGAGGGAGGGAGAAAAGAAAGGAAGGAGGGAGGGAGGGAGGGAAGGAAGGAAGGAAGGAAGGAAGGAAGGAAGGAAGGAAGGAAGGAAGGGATTGATTGATTCACACGCAGGATGTTTGTTGGGCAAATGAAGGTTTATGGTGGTCCCTATTGGCAAGTTGTGTTTTTCTAGCCTCATTCTATTAGAAACAAAGGCTATCTGCCACCAACATGTTTAAACAAAGTAGCATTCCTCATATATAAAGAGTTGTTAGAAATCAATAAAAATAAAGCAACATGTGCAAAGAACGTGCATACACTTTGGACACACAAAAGACATAGGTGGGAAATTGTAAAAGACTTGAAAAAAGAATTTCACTGCTGGGCACGGTGGCTCATGCCTGTAATCCCAGCACTTTGGGAGGCTGAGACGGGTGGATCACCTGAGGTCGGGAGTTCGAGACCAACCTGACCAATATGGAGAAACCCTGTCTCTACTAAAAATACAAAATTAGCCGGGCATGGTGGCGCATGCCTGTAATCCCACCTACTCGGGAGGCTGAGGCAAGAGAAGTGCTTGAACCTGGGAGGTGGAGGTTGCGGTGAGCCGAGATTGTGCCATTGCACTCCAGCCTGGGCAACAAGAGTGAACTCCGTCTCAAAAAAAAAAAAAGAATTTCACCACTCTAATATTTGACAAAAAGATCCAATAATAGTTTTTGTGAAGGTACAAGGCAGTGAGCACTTGCATACATTGCTGGGATAAGTTAGTACCAAGTCCCATCTTTCTGGAGGGCGAAATGGCAAAGTATATTGAAAGTCTTTGATGGAAAATAACCATAATGACTCACATTTGTTGAGTGACAACCTCATTTATTATCTTTTCCCCATCAGAACAGAAACTCCCCAACGGCTATTTTGTCTGTTCTATTCACCGCTGAGTTCCCAATGTCTGAAACAACTCATGCCCCTGATTTTTATACCCAGCATGATCCCGTCTACTCAGTTTTCTGAAGTTTGAGAACCGCTGAGCTGAGCTAAAAGGAAAGTTTTTATGCAGACAGACGTCCAAGCATCCAATCTATTTAGGCCTTTTTGACAACCCTCAAGTTCTTAGCAGTGAGTGAAGAATTCTCAGGGGCTCCCCACTGACCCATAGGTTAATAGATGTGCTTGTAGTTATTAGAATTAAATGAGGTGATTTTTCCTTTTTTTTTTTTTTCTTTGAGGGAAGGTCTGGCTCTGTGTCACCCAGGCTGGAGCAGAGCGGCGTGATCTCAGCTCACTGCAACCTCCGCCTCCTGGGCTCAAGTGATCCTCCCACCTCAGCCTCCCGAGTAGCTGGGACTATAGGTGCACACCATCCCGCGTGGCTAATTATTGTATTATTATTATTATTGTTGTTATTGTTATTATTATTATAATTATTATTTTGTAGAGACAGGGTTTTGCCATGTTGCCCAGACTGGTCTCGAACTCCTGGGCTCAAAACTAATCTGCCCACCTTGGCCTCTCAAAGTGCTGGGATTCCAGGCGTGAGCCATCACACCCAGCCTGAGATAATTTATCACATTGAGTCTTTAGCATGCTCCAGGAGTGTTCAAGGTTTTATAAACCTCAACTCACCTCATAGCAATGCTATGAGATAGATGCTAATATCAAGCCCATTTTTTTTAACACAAACAATCCCATAGTATTTATTGCCATCTTGTAGTAACACAACGGTAATCAAAACAATATGAATAAATCTTCACATTGGACAAAGGACATCTAAAAACAAACTGTATCCTTCTCAACAATTTCTCACTTCATTGATCATTTCTAGTTGGAGACACTTTGCAGCAGAGTAATATTACCTCCTTTTAGCATGATCCGACCCAGTTGTTTTCTTGACTTTGTTTTAGAATGAATCTCTTCTGCATCATCTAATACAAGGTTCATATACTCATCAAAACCAATGATACAGCCTTCTATCCGCATATTCACTTGCTCATAGAGCCACACCTGAATCCGCGATCTATTTTGTAAGTATCTGAAGATGAGGCTGATGGGCTGCACCATAACCTTCTGCACTTTCTGGCCCTGGCCACGGTACGCCATGGTGGAATTTCACCCATTTTTTTTTTTTTTTTATAATTTATTTTGTTTTGTTTTGTTTTTTGAGACAGAGTCTCACTCTGTTGCCCAGGCTGGAGTGCAGTGGCGCGATCTCGGCTCGCTGCAGGCTCCGCCTCCCGGGTTCAGGCCATTCTCCTGCCTCAGCCCCCCAAGTAGCTGGGACTACAGGCGCCCGCCACCACGCCCAGCTATTTTTTTTTAGCAGAGACGGGGTTTCACCATGTTAGCCAGGATGGTCTCAATCTCCTGACCTCGTGATCTGCCTGCCTTGGCCTCCCAGAGTGCTGAGATTACAGGCGTGAGCTACCGCGCCTGGCCCTAATTTTTTGTACTTTTAGCAGAGACAGGGTTTCACCGTGTTAGCCAGGATGGTCTCGATCTCCTGACCTCGTGATCCGCCCGCCTCGGCCTCCCAGAGTGCTGGGATTATAGGCGTGAGCCACCGCGCCCGGCCCTAATTTTTTGTATTTTTAGTAGAGACGGGGTTTCACCGTATTAGCCAGGATGATCTCGATCTCCTGACCTTGTGATCCGCCCGCCTCGGCCTCCCAAAGTGCTGGGATTACAGGCATGAGCCACCGCGCCCGGCCGAATATCAGGCCCATTTTACAGATGAGGAAACTGAATGCATAGCATGAAGGCAGTACCCGAGCCAAGGCCTGGCACATAGTAGGTGCTTAGTTTGAGCAGGATCTAAATCTCGTTTGGTCAGACCCACAGACACACAGCTCCATGAACAGTCGCTCCTGTCTCTCCAGGGGACCCCAGGAAGCACTTCATAAATATTTCAGTTCTTGAATTCTTTGGTGACTCTATACAGAGCCGCCAGGAAAGGTGAGCAGGGGCGGGAGAGGCAGCTTTCCAAGGGGGGCGGAGACATGAGGCACACATCAAGTCACTCGCCAGCCCGGATACACCAAAATGTACACAGCATGAGGAGAAGTCAGTCACACAGAGACACAGACACACCCAAGGCAAATACAGCCATGATATGTAGCAAGAGAAAAATGAGACACGTAGTCACATGCGCAGAGACACATGCCCCCCAGAGCAAACACAGACACACACGGACACACGCCCCATGACAAACACAGATGCACACAGAGAGACACACGGCCTTAAGCCTCACACACGGAGATTCACCAGATCCACACCCCAAGACAGAAGCAGGCACGTCCACTCCTGAGACCAATACAAACTCACTCTAAGAGAAGCACAGACACAACCAGGGCCTTCGCCTACCGGGGGCCGGGTTGGGAGGCTCTGGAGACCCTCGACCCTTGAGGAAGCCCCCATTCCAGCCTCCACCTGCGCCTCCAGGGCCTCCCACAAAGGTGGTGTTGGGCCCGTGGGGGAAACGCTGGGCGGGCAGAGAGATGGGGGCTTCCGCGGCAGGAGGGGCCCAACCGGGTCGGCTGCGTTGCAGAGCGTGGCTCTTGGGCGCCACCTAGTGGGCACATGGAGTAGAGGGCCCGGCTGCCCCAAGTGCAGATCCACATCTGTGCAGGTCCTGGGTTCATCTGTTTCTGCTTTTGTCTATTTGCGTCCCTGTGTGTGTGCGTCTGTTTCACTCTGTGTCTCAGTCTCTGTCTCTCTTCTCCCTGAATCTCTCTTTTTCTGTGTCTCGGTGTCTTTATCTCTCCATCCCTCTTTTTTCTCCCCTTCCCTCCCCCACGGCTTCCCCCACCTCCAGAGCCTGAGGCTTCGTCAATAAGCAAGCCAGGCATCTCCAGTGACCCAGCACACCCCACTTATAGCCGCATCTCTTGGGTCCCGTCCCTCAACGGCGTCTTGGTCCCCATGAGTGTCCACCTGCTATGACTCAGCCAGGGGCTGAGTGAGTGGGGGTGTGATACCCAACGGACTCTCACTCTGTCGCCCAGGCTGGAGTGCAGTGGTGCAACATCAGCTCACTGCAACCTCCACCTCCCAGGTTCAAGAGATTCTCCTGCCTCAGCCTCCCGAGTAGCTGGGATTACAGGCATGCGCCACCATGCCCTGCTAATTTTTGTATTTCTAGTAGAGACAAGGTTTTGCCATGTTGACCAGGCTGATCTCGAACTCCTGACCTCAGGTGATCCACCCACCTCAGCCTCCCAAAGTGCTGGGATTACAGACATGAGCCACCGTGCCTGGCTAATTATATCTATTTTTTAATACAGAGTCTCGCTCTGTTGCCCAGACTGGAGTGCAGTGGTGTGATCTCAGCTCACTGTAACTTCCACCTCCCAGATTCAAGTGATTCTCCTGCCTCAGCCTCCCGAGTAGCTGGGATTACAGGCGTGCACCACCACACCTGGCTAATTTTTGTGTTTTTAGTAGAGATGGAGTTTCACCATGTTGACCAGGCTGGTCTCAAGTGATCTGCCTGCCTCGGCCTCCCAAAGTGCTTGGAGTACAGGTGTGAGGCACCATGCCCAGCTGTGCCCACCAGTTCTGCCAGCCTGCTTGCTCCTATGTTCTGGTCTTTGGAGCAGGGATCCCAAAACTGGAGGCGGCTTGTGGCCCCCCCTGCTGTGTCTTTGTCCAAACAGAGCCAGGGCCCTGAGTCCAGTGTGGCTCGCCCCTCCTTCCCCAGGGCTGGCTGGTTCTAGCTTCCTGGAGGTGAAAGTGGTCATGGCATGGGGAGACCGGGGACACGGGGACAGTGAGGATTTGGATCTCAAGCAAGGAAAGGCCTGAAGAGAGACATTTGAGTGTTACCCTCAAACCCTTCGAGGAGGGCTGGCTCTCTTCTTCTCAAGAAGAAGAAACCCTACAGGCTGGTGGTCCCATCCCTGATCAGCCACTGCGGCCCCAGGTCCCCATGTTCCTGCCTGCTCTGTTGCTCAAAGGTGCTAGGCCAGGTGCATGGCTCATGCCTGGAGTCCCAGCTGCTCAGGAGGCTGGGGCATGAGGATTACTTCCAGGAGCTCAAGGTTGCAGTGAGCTATGATCGCGCCGTTGTACTCCAGCCTGGGCAACAGAGCAAGATCCCATCGCTCCGAAAAACAAAAAAAAGGGTGGGAGGCGTGTCCTTTCCTTCCTGGGGGCTTCTGCACACCCTGTTTCTTCTTCTGGAAAGCCCTTCTGGGGCTCCTTCACTCCTCATGGCTTAGGTCTGTCCAGTCCCCTCCTCCAAGAAGCCAGTCTCATTCCACCCCCAGACAACAGGAACCTGCAGGCTTGTCTCAGTCATGGCTGCATCTCTGCCATGGAGCCCTGCTCGCAGTAAGTACCCAAGAAGCATTTGCTAAGCTAAATAAGCAAGAAAACAAAGGACTCAGAGCCCAGCTCTTGAGCCTGGATTTCATCTTGACTTGCTTGGCAGGGGGCCTTGGCCAAGTGGGTTTCCTTCCTGCTCTGTGCACTGTTTCCCCAGCAATGGGGACCTTTCCCGGACCACCTGTGAGATCCACCCTGCTGGGTTTCATTTCAGCTGAGTCTGTAAATATTTGGTCTGCTGTGGCCGGCAGCATACACGCAGGGGAAGCTTCAGTGCCTTTTACGAGCTCCCCGCGAGGCCTGATATGCGTTTTCTGTGGCTGGGTACACGGGGCACCCCAGTAGTTTCACAGCTCGTTGGCACGAGGTGGCTATGATTCCAAGACTGGAAGAAGCCGAGAGACACCATCAGTGGCTTCCAGCACTTAACTCCACAGCGTGCAGCATTTGAGAGGCCAAAGAGGGGCCTCTTGTTTTAAAAACTGTAATGCAACATTATAGATTACAGCTGCAGTAGAAATCGAGCCCAGCGATTCCCCTTCCCTAAGTCTATGGGCCACACTTAATTTCTTAAAGGGCAGAGGGGAGGGATTTCTGTTGGGCAAGGAGTGGGAAGCCCTGGTTTAGACCTGTCTCTTGCTAAAAAAATTCAAAGAACCACAACCACTTGCTATGCACCTACTGTATGCCAGATATTGCATAAAGCACTTTTTTATTTTTTTGAGATGGAGTCTCATTCTGTCTCCCAGGCTGGAGTGCAGTGGTGCGATCTTGACTCACTGCAACCTCCGCCTCCCAGGTTCAAGCGATTCTCCTGCCTCAGCCTCCTTAGTAGCTGGGATTACAGGCATGCGCCACCATGCCCAGCTAATTTTCATATTTTTAGTAGAGATGGGGTTTCACCATGTTGGCCAGGCTGGTCTCGAACTCCTGACCTCAGGTGATCTGCCCACCTCACCCTCCCAAAGTGCGGGGACTACTGGCGTGAGCTACCGTGCCCGGCCAAAACCTGCTTTTTTTTTTTTTTTTTATGGAGTCTCGCTCTGTCACACAGGCTGGAGTGCAGTGGTGCGACCTCAGCTCACTGCACCCTCCATCTCTGTGTTCAGGCGATTCTCCTGTCTCAGTCTCCTGAGTAGCTGGGACTACAGGTGCCTACCACCACACCCGGCTAATTTTTGTGTTTTTAGTACAGACGGGGTTTCACCATGTTGGCCAGGCTGGTCTCAAACTCCTGAGCTCAGGTGATCCACCCGCCTCACCCTCCCAAAGTGCTGGGATTACAGGCATGAGCCACCGCGCCCGGCCAAAACCTGTATTTTAAAAGGCTGTGCACTGGGGAGATGCAGATGCCTGCCCCAACGATGCTTATGTGGTGGAGAGTGCCGACAATAAACAATGCTTTAGCGAGTGGTCAGAGCCACGAGGACAGGCAGGTGTGACAAGGCAGAGGGTGATGAGGCGCTGCTGATCCAGTGGTCAGAGGAGACCTCTTGCAGGGGGCAGAATTTGAAGGGGCTGGGCATGTGTGGCTGGTCTCCTCAGTCACAGCCAGTGCCACGCTGTTCTTTTTTGAGACAGCCCTGTCGCCCAGGCTGGAGTGCAGTGGTGTGATCACAGCTCACTGCAGCCTCTGCCTCCTGAGCCCAAGTGATCCTCCCTCCTCAGCCTCGTGGGTAGCTGGGACTACAGGTGTACACCAGCAGCCCAGCCAATTTTATTTTTTTGTACAGATGGGGTCTTGCTACATTACCCACACTGCTCTCAAACTCCTGGGCTCCAGTGATCCTCCCACCTCAGCCTCCCAAAGTGCTGGGATTACAGGCATGAGCCACCGGGCCCTGGTTCACAGACCACCCAGGAAGCTCTCCCAGGAGGGCAATGTCTCGGGTCCTCAGTACCTTATGCTCCACTGAACCCGGCAGCTGCTGTGTCAATATTTGCAGGTGGAGGCAAACACAGGGCAGCTGCATCTCACGAGGATTTGAGGAGTACGGAGAAGCGGCTCTTGGTGCTCCCGGGAGTAATTTAGGGGCAGTTTCTGGCCCAGTATTGCTGTCTCTGGAAGCACTGTAGGACATGTAGAGTTATCCTTGGGGTCAACTCTAAAGGCCAAGCGCATGTGCAAAATTATGTACACACTCACGTACGCAGCTTGCTCACTGGTGCCCCAAACACCTATCCCTTCACCACCGTGTGACCGCGGCACGGGGTGCCCTGACAACCGGGGAGGCTGAGGAGAAGGGACCTCGGGCTGCAGCCTCAGCTCCATGGCTCGCTACCTCTGGGCGGGTCTCAGCCTCCCTCGGGCTCAGAACCTTCTTCTGCGCTTGACTTTCCCAGGAATTGACTCCAGTTTCCCAGGGAGCTGCACTGGGCTATGTCTGGGTTTGGTGATGTTGTGTGGCGTCCGTAGGTGTCCTCATATAAATTGGTGGCTGGCCAGGGGGACTAGAGATGTCTAACTTGCTTGACTGGTAAGCACATCAGGTGCTTCCCAAAGTGGATTCTGTTGTACACCAGGGTGACGGACAAGGATGCCCACGTCCTAATCCCTGGGACCTATGAACACATTGGTCTCCAAGACAAAGGGACCTTGCAGATGTGATTAAGGTGAAGGAATTCGTGGCTGGGTGTGGTGGCTCATGCCTGTCATCCCAGCACTTTGGGAAGCCAAGGCAGGAGAATCACCCGAGGCCACGAGTTTGAGACCAGCTTGGCCAACATGGGGAAACCCCATCTCTACTAAAAATACAAAAACTAGCCAGGCATGGTGGCAGGTACCTGTAATCCCAGCTACTTGGGAGGCTGAAGCAGGAGAATCGCTTGAACCCGGGAAGCGGAGGTTGCAGTGAGCCAAGATTGTGCCACTGCACTCCAGCCTGGGCAACACGGCACGGCTTCATCTCAAAAAACAAAGAGAAAAGCTCTCCTAGTCCACCCAGCTGACCAAAGAAATGGCTGAAGGGCTGAGGTCTGAACCCACCCAGCAGTGAGAGCAGAATCCGAACCCTGATTTGTCACCATCGTATGACCAGGTAGGAACAGCCTCACCTCTCCCGTGGGTCACTGGGACTCAAGGAAGCCCTGCCCCTCAATCCGGCAAACCTGTTAAAAGGCACGGCATCCCCGTTAAACGTCGACTTTATGGTTGTTGGGTTTTTTTGGAATCAAAAGGCCCTGTTCTAACTTTGCCTTTGAAATTATGTGACTAGGAGTCATGCATGCAATTTGAGACTGGCAATCATCGTGGAGGCTTGGGAGTTCCTTGGGAATAAGAAAATCTAACCTAGGAGCTGTTTTGAAATGTAATGAAATCTTTATGAATACAAAATTTAGCAATTGGTGAAGTTGACACATTTTGTAGCTGTGGAGACATTTCGTAAGGTCTTAATTCTACTTTTTCTTTCTTTTTTTTTTTTTTTTGAGATGGAGTTTCGCTCTTTCACCCGGGACTAGAGTGAAGTGGCGCGATCTCGGCTCACTGCAACCTCCGCCCCCCAGGGTTCAAGAAGTCTCCTGCCTCAGCCTCTCGAGTAGCTGGGATTACAGGCACCCACCACCATGCCTGGCTAATATTTGTATTTTTAGTAGAAATGGGGGTTTCCCCATGTTGGCCAGGCTGGTCTCGAACTCCTGACCACAGGTGACCTACCCGCCTCAGCCTCCAGAAGTGCTGGGATTCGAGGCATGAGCCACCGCGCCAGGCCATAAGGTCTTAATTCTGATTCTGCTGTTTTCTTTCTGTATGGCTGGAGCTGGTCATTTCCTCACCGGGACCCCCTCCAGACCTCTGGCATTGCATTTCGCCAGGGCCCCTGTGAAACATGAGCACCCGAGGCTCTATTCCTGTAGGGCTCCCCAGGGCCTGCCAACATGTATTAAGCATTTACTGTATGCCAAGCTTTTTATGTGGATTAACTAATCTTTGTAAAGATCCCATATGGCAACTACAATGATTACTCCCTCCTTCCAGTTAAAGCAGCTAAAGCAGACAGTAATGACCTGCCCGTGGGCAGGCAGGTAGTGAGAAGGCTGGGTGCCAGGCAGTTGGCTCCTAAACTTGCTCTCAAGAAGCTCCCTGTTTCTGCCCCAGTGGCTCTCATTCCCGTGATGCCCCCACAGCTCCCCCTCCCCTTTAAAAATGTCTTTAAAACGATGGGAAATGATACATAACAAAATTCACCACCAAATGGTATACCAAGGCCAGGCATGGTGGCTCATGCCTGTAGACCTAGCAACTTGGGAGGCCAAGGTGGGAGGATGGCTTGAGCTCTGGAGTTCGAGGCTGCAGTGAGCTATGATCGCGCCACTGCATTCCAGCCTGGGAGACACAGCGAGACCCTGTCTCGTAAAAAAGGGGAATTGGAATCTTCATATAGTGCTAGTAGGAATGTATAATGGTACCACCACTGTGGAAAAGTCTGGCTATACTTCCAGAAATAAAACACAGGGAGTTACAAAGTCAGCATAGGACCCAGCAATCCCAGTCCCAGGTATATACACAGGAGAATGGAAAACAGGTGTTCAAACACATACATATCCATAAATGCTCACGGCAGCGTGATTCACACACAACTGCCCAAAGGGGGGAACCACCCACACGTCCATCAGCATCTCCTTTTCATAACACGTATTTTGTTCCACCCACCTTTTCTCTCTTGAAATAAAAGTTGAGTTAATATAACGTACCTATGCTCAATTATTAAAGAAACAGGCCAGGCGCGGTGGCTCACGCCTGTAATCCCAGCACTTTGGGAGGCCGAGGTGGGCGGATCACTTGAGGTCAGGAGTTCGAGACCAGCCTGGCCAACATGGTGGAACCCCGTCTCTACTAAAAATACAAAAATTAGCTGGGCGTGGTGGCAGGCACCTGTAATCCCAGCTACTTGGGAGGCTGAGGCAGGAGAATCGTTTGAACCTGGGAAGCGGAGGCTGCAGTGAGCCCAGATCCTCGCCACTGCACTCCAGCAGTGACAGAGTGAGACTGTCTCCAAAAAAAAAAAAAAAAAAAAAGGAGGGGGGGGGGAACCAGGACACAAACACGCTTGCAGGAAGAAGGCCACATGATGAGGATGGAGGCCGAGACTGGGCAATGTTTTTACAAACCAAGGAATGCCCAGAGGTGCTCGGCAGCTGTCAGAAGCCAGGAGGCTCAGGACGGAGCCTGGGAAGGACACAGCCCTGCCCACACCCAGATCTCAGACTCCTGGCCTCAAGAACTGAGAGCCAATGAGCTTCCTTAGGCAGTCTATGGTGCTTTGTGACAGCCGTCCTGGTAACTCGAGTGCTTTGTTTCTGCGTGGAACAGAGCTGGTTCCAGGCCCGGCTCGTTGGAAAGGGCAGGGCTCTTCTGCCCCCATAGGATGTCCAGTGGGACTGGTTCCCTTTCCAGCTCCCATAGAGCAGCCTGGCAGTGGTTGAGCCCCTGCTTCATAGTTCAGGAGGCCACACCCACCTCCAGGAAGGGGTGCTCCGTGACATCTGAGACACCGAGGTCTGAAAACAGGGCCTGCTCCCAATCCCAGGCTGCCTCCTCAACGCAGGCTAAGCCTGCCTTTTATTGCCCAACAGGGAAGCTCTCAACCCCAATTTCTAGACTCTGGCTCGTCGGGGAGACAGGCAAGCCGCGAAGACCCCATGTGCAACACAGAGGCGGCGTGGCGCCCAGTCCACCTGCCACTGGAAAATGACTCCAGAAGCCGCCACCGTGGGGGAGGCTCCGGAATGCGTTCACGGCAGCTCAGGCCCAGACAGGACGCCGAGGGCCAGGGCCAACCTGCCTTTCATGCTCTGGTGTCTGTGGCAAGCTGGGCTGGATTTTAACATGGCTTTTTAAAAACTTAACTTCCCAGCGGGGGCGGGGGGAACTCCAGCAGAACCGGCAGTTGGAGGAGGGGCCTGCGGGTGGCTGTCCTAGATACGGAGGGGAGGAAAAGAGGTCCCCAGCAGGTGGCCCTGCCAGTTAACTCTCACCACACCACACCGGGCTGGGCTGCCCCTCCCGCCGAGAGGGCACTAGGCCAACCCCATGCACCATCCTCTGCCCCAAGATGCCTGCAGCCCCTACCCCTGGCCAGCACCAGCTCCGCTCATGCACCAGCAGTTCTGAACAGAACAGCTGTGCCTCACAGTGGCCGGCCCCTGGAGGGCCCTGGCACGGAGGGCTGCGCGCATGGGCCGGCAGCCTGCGGGCTACCCCGGCCAGCGAAGTGCCTCATCTGGCACAGTCTTTAAGGAAGAAAATGGGCATCACACTCAAATGCACTTTTGCAGACAAATGGACATTTCCAGAAGAACGGAGGGACCAGTTCTACCACGTGGGCCCATCACCGAGTCAGCGCCATCCCACTCCTAACCAGCTGCTGGCAGCAGACACTGAGCAGGACACACTTGGCAGCCAGGGGAGGGGCGGGCCCACCACACACGGACCCTCCCTGACAGAGCCCACCACACACCAGCATGGGACACAGCCCCAGACTGAGGTGGCAGGGGGAGGGCTCCCCAGGGCCTGGCACGCCCTCACCACTACCCACGCAGAGACAGGCTCGGGGTAAAGGGATTGGTCTGAGGGCCCTATGGTGCACAGCACCCCCTGAAGAATTCCTAGTTCCCATGGGCTGACTCCCCAGCCTCAGTTTCATCCCATGATGGGAACCCGGACAGCCCACTTCCTGAGGTGGTTATGACAACTCAGCAGGATGATGCAGGCAAAAGACTTTGGCAGCACCTGGCAGAGCCAACAGTCACCATGTGGTCACACCACTGCGCCCAGGGTTGGTCCCATCCCGAGCTCTACGGCCACCAGGACTCACGCATGTGCACGCGCACGCAAGACTGCGAATGGTAAACTTTATTAATGGAAAATGGAATGCCTCGTTAACAGAAACCTTGATTTAAAAATGGCAGAACAAGAACACATTTATTTAAAAAAAAAAAAAAAGTGAGTTCACATTGTATTGAGCTACAACATGGTGGCAGGATTTACTTTGCTTTTAAAAAGATCCCCCAAGTTCGAGGGAACCCTGGCTACCAGATTCAACAGTGCGTCTGCCCACCCGAAAACTCGCAGCGAGTGGGACTTAGTAGCGGCGGGTGAAGTGGGGGTACGGGGGGGGATGAGGGTGTGGGTGAGGGACTCTGCTGCCCCGGTCCTGGCTGGCCACTCCGCCACCTTCCAGTCCGCCACCTGGCACCACGTGGCCCTGGGAATGTCCACCTTGTGCAAAGCCGCCTCGCCTAGGAACAAAGTCAGACAATTTTTTTCCCCTTGAAGTGCTCAGCGTTTTCATCGTAACATGGGTTCAGTAACGGTCCCGCAGCCTTTAGAGCGCTTGGGTTTTTTTTCCAGGTGAGAAAAATCATCATCGCACATTGTATTCCAGGTAACTCAAGAGCGTTATTTGCATAAATTGCAAAGAGCTGCTTTTTGCTTTGTTTTCATAACATCCAACCCAGCCAGCTGATCAAACATGCAAAAAAGGGAGAGGAAGTGAGGAGCAGGAGTGAACCACCGTCCTCCACGGACGACACACCTTACCCCGCCACTCCACCGCGGCTTGCCATGTGCCCCGGCCCCGAGGGCCCAGACAGGCCCCTCTCGCCACCTAGAAGAGAAGAAGGGTCTGCAAACACTCCGTTCCTGGGGAAGCCCCTGGACACATGTGGGGGCCACAGCCACCCTCGTCCCTGGAGCCAGCCCCGTACCTTGCCACCTGGCGTGCTCCCGGCTAGCCGCGCCTGCGTCCATGGCACCCTGCCAGGCGCGTGCCTGGTGCTCCTCTAGCCGCTGGTTGTGCTCTCCCCAGTCACGGCCACCCCTTTGCCAAAAGAAAAAGACATGCAGCCATCTAATGAGCCTCCAGGGTTGTGTCGGCAGCAGGCGCACCCACCCTGACCTCAGCTGCATGGTGGGTCATGCCACACAACAAGGGCTGCATGTCAAGTGGGCAAATCAAGGGAAGGGACATTTCCCCAAAGACAGATGTGCTAGTAAGCACGTGAGAAGGTGCTCAACGCCACCCAGAAATGCCAATCCGAGCCACACCGAGATGCTACCTCCCCCTGGCTGGGATGCTAGAATCACACAATAACACACACCGTGGAGGGTGCGAGGAAAGGGAAGAACCCTTGTCCACTGCTGGTGGAAATGTAAAATGGTGTGGCCACTGTGGAAAAGTTTGGTGGTTCTTCAAAAAGTTAAGCGCAGAATTACCATGACCCAGCAAACCCATTCCTACCTGCCAGAAATGAAAACATGGCCAAAGACATCTGTGCATGAATGTTCCTAGCGGCAGGATTCCTAACAGCCAAAGGGAGAAGGACCCCAACACCCATGAACTGATGAGCAGATAACACTATGTAGTGTGTCTGGACCATGGAATGTTCAGCCCTAACTAGGAAGGAAGCGCTGGCCCAGGCAGCATGTGGAGATGAGCCCTGAATACCCAAGGCTTAGGGAGAAGCCAGGCCCAGCAGGCACACCGCGCAGGCCAAGAAATGACTCAAGACGGCAAATCCAGAGCCAGAAAGGGACCTGTGGCTACCAAGGGCAGGGGGGAGGGTGCAGCTGCTAAAAGGGGCAGGGTTTCTTTTGACGTGATGAAAATGCTTCAGAATCAGCCGTGGGGATGGCTAAACAGATCCACGTACACGCAAACCTCCACTGACTGCACACGTGAAACGGGAAGTGTGTGTCGTGTGAACTATACTTAAAGAAAGCTATTTGTTTAAAGTTTCAGACAAACTCTGGGAGATGAAAATCCGAGTCCAGTGTCCTGAGTCCCAAGTGGCCAAGCAGTCACAGTGGCCGTGCAGGAAAGCAGCCAGACCCATCTGCACGAGTGCCTGCCTGCTGTGGGTTGCCGGATGCAGTGACAGTCAGGCCAAGTGAGCCAGCCCACAGGCCCGAGAGGGGCCACCAGAGCCCCCAGCGCGCACTGCCAGGCAAGTGCAATACCGCCCTGGAGGGAGCGGAAAGCTCCCGTGTGGAACCTGCCCTCGGTGACCCGATGGCGCCCAGCCGCTGCTCACCATGGGTGAGTTTCCCGTTTACACTCCCGAGGTATTTACCATAACACCCAGCAAGCGACAGGACAGGAATGCTAATGAAGTCTCACAGGAGAGAACACTTCACACCAACTGATCAGAGCACTGCCACCGTCTGTGCTGCCCAGAGATTCAGGAGAAGCTTCGGGTGTCCTGGGACACTCGGCACAGCACCGAGTCAAAGTCCCTGGCAGAGCTGGAAGTGCCTCTCAGCGCGGAGGGAGGGATGGAACGGGGGAGCACAGGGGGCCAAAACCCACCCTGTGGCGCTGGGCAGGGTCCGAGGCAGCCCTGGGCCAGGGCTGGAGACAAGACAGGACACTCGGCTCACAGAGGAAAGCAGGGCAGCAGCCGCAAAGCAGTCCTGCCACCAGCCTCCTCACGGCCAGCCCAGACGGCAACAGGACAAACAGGCAGGGGTGACTGCAGCTGGCCAAAGAAACTAGAGAGGCACCCAGAGTCCTCCCAGACAAGCCCTGCCCCCCACCAATGCTGACAAGGCTCAGAACAGCACCCCCACTGCAGTGCTGGTGAAGGTGGCTTTGGACACCTGTGGAGGACCTGGCCCAGTGTCCTCAGCCCTGAGTCCTGGGTGGAGGGTCCTCCTAAGTGATTCTAATAGGCAGGATAGGGTTGAGAAGATCCACCCCAGACCAACTGGGGGTCAGAGAAAAAACCCGAGGAAGACACGTGTCAAGAGGCAACGTGGAGGCAGGGGCGAGGCTGCTCTACCACGGACGGGGCAGGACTAAGAGCTTCAGCGCTGTCTCTCCCAGTGTGTACGCAGCCCATGATCGAGACATTCACAACTGCAGGCGACCCCCAGCTCAAGAATGGGGATGGGCCATTCTGGGCGACCTGGACAGCTCCATCCCTGAAAGCCTGTTCTATGCTTTCTTCTTGAGAACCTGGACTTTCTGAGTCAGGGGTTTCAAATGGCAGGACCCCTGGTAGCCCATCCTAAAGCTCCCCTAGCTGAATCAAACCTTGGGGACGTGCCTGGCCAGGCACCAACCTTTTCCCAGGTTAGGACAGATGCTCCCCACCCGGCTGGGGCTCACCCACTAACCTGGGGGGAGGGGGCAGCCCCCGGCCTTCACTCAGCCTCTTGTCGGAGCCGTAGCCCCCCCAGCCATCACGGGAGTCCCGGCCGTGGCGCTCTGGGGGTCCTCCGTGGCCATGGCGGTCATCTCCATAGTGCTGGAAGGCAGGAGAGGAACAGGGTGACACTGACCATGTCACCCACATAGGCCCACCTTCCGGAAGGCCTGTCCACTGCAGGCCCCAGGGTGGCAGGTGGGGCGGAGCTGAGAGAGGACTGAAGGGTGCAGTCTCAGCCCTGCTGGGCCCTGCTTCACTGACCCTCTGCTCCCTGGCTCCCCTCCTCGCACCCCTACAGCTGCATCACTGCCCCACCTGAGCTGCCCCAGGAGCCAGGGCACCCTGGCATTACTGCCCTCAACAGCTCTGCTCAAGATCCACTAAGACGTCACCAAACCCTGTCTTCCCTGAGAAGTTGGGCGCCGCCTCCTTTCCGATAACAGGAGGGCCCTCGGGTGGGTCAGCCCCCCTGTGCTCTGGCAGGGCCACAATTCCGGCCTCCCTGGCCAACCAACTCTGCACGGAGCAGCCAGCAGCCAGGAAGCAGGCGGGTGCTGCCTGCTGTTACAGGCCATTACTCTGCCGCCCACCTCCCACCTCTCCACCAGGCTGCTGCTTTCTCAGAACTCACACCCTGCCACCACGCACGGGGCACCCGCATGGCACCACAGAGACTCAGGGACCATTCTTGTGGTCTTCAGCCCCCCGTGCCCACCAAGCACGGACTTGAAACATGGGGAAGCCCGGGCTCCCCCATCCCCCCGACCCTGGCACATGTGGGCTAAACGACAACCACCATTTGGGTTCTTGGGGGACCCCACAGGCACTAAGACCCAAAGGCTCCCTGAGCAAGTGGACAATGAAGAGACACATGAGGTTTCTACCGGATACAATGAAGAACAAGCCCAACATATTTGAAAATGACAGAAACTTGAGCATTACAAAACAATCAAATATTTGCGCTTTTTTTTTTTTTTTTTTTTTTTGAGACGGAGTCTTGCTCTTGTTGCCCAGGCTGGAGTGCAATGGTGCGACCTCGACTCACTGCAACCTCCGCCTCCCGGGTTCAAGCGATTCTCCTGCCTCAGCCTCCCGAGTAGCTGGGACTACAGGCACTCGCCACCATGCCTGGCTAATTTTTTGTATTTTTAGTAGAGACAGGGTTTCACCATGTCGGCCAGGCTGGTCTTGAACTCCTGACCTTGTGATCCACCCACCTCAGCTTCCCAAAGTGCTGGGATTACAGGCATGAGCCACCACGTCCGACTAAATATTTGTACTTCTAGTCGCTGGCCAGAACCCACACTTGCATACCCGCCACACGTGCTGACTTGGTTGCCACCTCTCTGGGATCAAGCGGCCGCCTGGCTAGAAATGGTCCGCTATGCCTGCACAGCAGTACAGTGGCCCCAGGGCTTGGCATCGGGGCTCTACTCACCTGCCCATCCCGGTGGTCTCCCATCATTGGCCTCGAACCCTCCCGCCTGCAAAAGGAAAAGATCCCGTTCAAACAGCACCAGGCACGACTACACATTTCTGCAGGTCAGGCAAGTTTCGCGACTGGGATACTTTTTCCATCCCATCACATAAAAACTATAACTGGCCTGGGAAAAAAGGAAAAAGCTAGCTCAAATCGAAAGGCTTTTCCCCGGGGGCAGAAACGAAGTTGGATCCTAAAGAGGTAGGAATAAAGATCTCACTGAACTAAAATTCCTCGGGGAGCTCTCAGTTAGGGGAACAGGGACAAACAGAGGCCTCCAATGATCCCTCATCTTTGGTCTGACCCAATGCGTGGGACTCATCAAAATTCACACCAACTCCACCCCAAACTCCAGCAGAATTAAGAGTGTGGCCTCTCAGCCTCCCTTTCCTGTTCTCCCCGCTCTGACATTCCGACTGAAGGAGCCAATGAATGGGGAAATGGGTCAGAGATGTGCAGCCGAGGGGAGCCCAAAGACAGGATTCTTACACTGGAAAACCAAGGGCTGCCTTTTTAATAAACTAGATGTATTCCTCATTTTAAAAGGCTAAAAAACCCACCCAGACCCTCGAAATACAAAACAGGCCTCATGAGAAATTTTGCACGTCCTCCATCAATTCTCTGGTAGCTCTTGGGCACAACCAGGTTGTGCTGACAAACACTGCTGCCTCACAAGAGAGCTCAGTGTAGATGGCCTGCACTCAGGCCCCTCCTGGCCCACCTATGAAAAGAGTCGGTGGATGGAATGAGCTCTGAGATGCCTTCCTCTGAGGTAAGCTGGGGATTCCAGCAACTCGCTCAAGTTCTGTGCAAGGCCAGAGTCATCCACTGTGGATCTCAGAAGTAAACGAGGCTTCAGAGCACACAGGAACCCCTGCACTGGGCTGAGAACGAGGTCAGCTGGATGCCCCGGTGCCCACAATGACTGTAGCTAAAGGAGGGGACAAGACCACTGACCTGTCGATGGCGTGGTCCTGGTACTGGCCCCGGTCTCGATGATCGAAGTCGTGAAAGCGGTGGTCTGGCCGGGGAAAGTCTGCACGATATCGGTCCTCCATTGCCACACGCTTTCCTTCTGGCCAATAGGCATCATCTCGTCTGTTGGTTTTTATTTTAAAAGAATACAAATTCCATTAATGAGAGAGGAGGAGGAAAAAAGGAGGAGGTGGAGGTGGGGAGGGGAGCTCTCTCCCCAGACCCAGTATCGTTTAAAATGTCCTGCAGGGCTAATCTCTAAACATTCGATCATCATTGCTTTGATCTGATAAATTAAAACCGCCATTAACAGCCGAGAGGCACACTTGTGTTCTCATCCAACAGTCCCAAAAGGAGCACTGCTGTGAGCTCATTGTCTCGTGAGGCTGTTATTACCTTGATCCCCCCTCATGAGCAACTGAAAAGAAATATTTGATTCTTCTGGAATAGCATTCGAGTTGCCACACTTTTACTTTCCCTGCCTTCCACGGGAGCCTGAATCTCCCTCTGAGTTTCTTGCAAAAGCAAAGAGAATTAGATGGGGTGATAGTGAACTACACACAGCTCTGGACGGCATCCAATTATCTTCTTCCTGATTTTTACCAGAAAACTAGGCTCACGGAGAGCGGGGTGAAGGGTGACTGTCAATTAAGCCGCCTGGGGTAGCTAGAGACCAATAAACCTACTTTCTAAATCAGAGGCAATTTCCTTTTCCACAGCGCCTGCTCTGCCTCTCTGTCTACAAGGACACATGAGACCGGCAGAGTCAGCGGTGGCCAACTTGGGCCTAACGGGCGTTCGGTTGTCTCGCAAGACAGAGAACAGCTATGCTCCACGGGTAAGTGGAGAGGAAAAGCATCACAAACCCTTCAGCAAGTGGCAGCCATCAAGTTTCCCAGAATAACTCAAGTTCAGGAAGATGCTACACAGCCTCCGGTGAGGACAGCGAACTAATAAACCTGCAGCAGCGCAGTGAGATCGGCGGGGGGTCCCCAAGGCGCATGCTCCATATCAAATTTCATTCTCCCCACCGACAGGGACGGAAGGGAAGCCGCTGTTCTGCTGGAAGGGTGAACACCGCTGCCACGCTGGTCTCCGTCCTGCCCACGCTCTGGGCGGGACTCACCGGTCCAGGTCGTAGGGCCTCCGCCCGGGCCGCCGCTCCTGCTCGTAACGCAGCTGCTCCTGCTGGCGCCGCAGCTCCTCGCGCTCGCGGTGGATGCGCTCCTGCTCCTTCCTGCGCTCACGCTCCACGCGCATGCGCTCGCGCTCCAGCCGCTCCCGCTCCATGCGCTCCCGCTCCAGCCGCTGGCGCTGGCACTCGAGCTGCAGGCGTTCCCGCTGTAGCCGGGCCTTCTCCTTCCGCTCATGGAAGGCCTCGAGGCGTTGCTCCCGCTCCCGCTGCTCGCGCTCCCTGCGGGGACAGGTGAGGCTGCCCTGAACTCCCTGCGTGAGCCTCCAAGGAGAAAGCCCGGTGCCCAAAACTGGGTGTGTATTGGAAGCAGAAAAAAAAAATGGATCCAAAAGCTCACCGGGCTTCCCTAAAGCTGCGCGTGCAGGGGGTTACCTTACTTAACAAAGCTACCTTAAGAAAAGCAAAGGCAGCACAGCTGGCAACATTTCTAGGTTTGCTCGAGAACATTTTCCAAATGCTGTGAGCACAGCTTTTGCTTTACTGAGCAATATTTGAGGAAAAGTGACAAGAGAACGCCGGGCATCCCGACATGAAAAGGCCGAATGTCAAGGCAGAGGGACAAGCCTCCTTCAAGACCACAGCCCAGAAGGGAGCCGCGGCAAAATGACAACTGGACTCTGCTTGCAGTTTCTGACCTTAGGTGAAAGGTTTCAACAGGGAAGACAGGCCTCAGCACCCAGGCACCATCCCATCCCATCAAAGCCACACACGGCTGGGCCTTCCACACGGGCCAAGGTCCAACATCAGAGGAGGGGCGAAAATAGACTTTGAGCCAGCAGAAGGCTCAGCCTGTAATCCAGCACTTAGGGAGGCTGACGCAGGAGGATCGCTTGGGCCCAGCAGTTATCAGCCTGGCAACATAGCCAAACCCCATATACTGTAAAGGGCTTTGATGACTTCTTTTTAAGAGACAGGGTCTCACTCTGTCACCCAGTCTGCAGTGCACTGTTGTGATCACAGCTCACTGCAGCCTTGAGCTTCTGGGCTCCAGCAATCCTCCCACCTCAACCTCCTGAGTAGCTGGGACTACAAGTGCACGCCACCATGCCCAGCTAATTTTTAAATATTTTGTAGAGGTGGGGTCTCGCTACATTGCCTAGGATGGTCTTGAACTCCTGGCTTCAGGGGATCCTCTGGCCCTGGCATCCCAAAGTGCTCGGATTACAGGTGTGAGCCACTGCACCTGGCCCTTTGATGACTTTCATGCCACCTGGCATGTCTGGCGGCTCACGTGTGAACAGGTGCTGGCCCCTGCCTCGAGGACCCAGGTTAAGCACGACACCCGCCAGCCCAGGCACTGGCTCTCGGGCACACAGACTGCGCACTCCAAGTACAGCTGGGAGAAGGACAGCCACCCCGAGAGGAAACCACCAGCCCACAGCCTCACCCAGCTCCACTCACCGCCGCCTCTCCGTTTCGCGGATCTCCCGTTCCCGCTGCCTCTGGCGCTCTCTCTCCCTTTGTTCTTTGATTTTATCAAACGACAAGATGTCTCTCTTTTCTTTGCTTTCTGACTTGCGATCCTGACTCTTGGAGCTCTGTTTACCAAAACTGGTTTATTAATGTCAGGAAAATGATTGCAACAAACAAACAATGGAGATTATGCACGTGTGCATGAGACTAAGATTCTCTGGCCCCACATGGTGTAGATGGAAGGCTGTGGTCTCCAGACCAGAGGCCCAGGCATAGGCTGCTTCCCTCCAAGTTTGCATTTTACTGCCTAATCCAGAATCCTGCTTTCAGATGTCAAGGGGCATTCATGGAAGAGAAGAGGTTGGCCCACGCCTCAGAAAACCTACAGGCACAGTTCTTCTAGCATAGCACAGCCAAGGACTCACATAATCCAAAGCAAACCTAGGCCTCTCAGAGCCACGGGCACATCCGCACAGGGCCACTGTGGCCATTAGTTCAGAGGGGACAGCAGTCAGGCCAGCTGTTTGGACAGCTGGAGGGCAGACTACATGTTTCACATCTCAACTGCTGGCTCAGGACTCAGGCAGACAGCTCTAAATAGAATATGCCAGGCCGGGCGCAGTGGCTCACACCTGTAATCCCAGCATTTCAGGAGGCCAAGGTGGGCGGATCACAACATCAGGAGTTCGAGACCAGCCTGACCAACATGGTGAAACCCCGTCTCAACTAAAAATACAAAAATTAGCTAGGCGTGGTGGCGCATGCCTGTAATCCCAGCTACTTAAGAGGCTGAAGCAGAAGAATCGCTTGAACCTGGGAAGCAGAGGTGGCAGTGAGCTGAGATTGCGCCACTGTACTCCAGCCTGGGTGACAGAGCGGGACTCCGTCTCAAATAAATAAAGAGAATATGCCAAAATGCTTTAATGCAAAACAGTGCTCCTAATAAGGTACAGAACACTAATAGCCAACTTCCGTAATTTATTTTTTGTAGGTTTTTTGGGTTTGAGACCCAGTCTTGTTCTGTTGTCCAGCCTGGAGTACAGTGGCTCAGTCACAGCTCACTGCAGGATCAAGTGATCCTCCCACCTCAGCCTCCTCAGTAGCTGAGACCACAGGTGCACACCACCATGCCTGACTAATTTTTCTATTTTTGTAGAGACAGGGTTTCGCCCTATTGTCCAGGCTGGTCTCAAACTCCTGAGCTCAAGTGATCTGCTGCTTCATCCTCCCAAAGTGCCGGGATTACAGGTGTGAGCCACCGCACCCAGCCTACATTCATCATTTTCTATCTGTGGCATAAAGCTCAGAGCTGTAACAACTGACTCCCATTTCCAAGGTTCTCCAGGGCCCCTCACCCAAACTGGCTACACATCAGACCCTCCCAGGAAGCTTTTAAACAACACAGAACCTGAGGCCTCCTGCTGATCCACACAGAATCTCTGGGGCAGGGGCCTGGGAAATGACATTTTTAAAAAGCTACTCAGTTTATTTCCCTAATTAGCCCCCATAGGAGAGAAAGAGCGAGCAATGAAAAACAAACCAACCCAACAGAAAGACAGGCAAAGGTCAAGATGAGACATTACACCAATTATTAATAAAATGCAGGCTGGGGAGAAAGGGGCACACAGACACAGGAGAGACACACATCACCCAGCACTTTGATGGCAAGCTTTGCCTACGAGACGGGCAGATGTCTTACACACACTGCAGTAGAATAAGGTGACAGATGCCCACATACCACCGCACAGTGGGCAGCACAGCAGGCAACAGTGTCAGCACGGGACTCCTGGGTTCTCAGGCCAGCTTAGCCACTTACTAGCGACCTGGCAGGTGCAACACACCCAGGAGATTTAAGTCCCCTCCACAACCTTTCTGAACAGCACTTTATTTCAAAATTTAAACGTTAAAAGAGGCTGGGAGTGGTGGCGCACACCTCTAATCCAGCAAGTTTGGAAGATCAAGGCGAGAGAATCACTTGAAGCCAGGCTAAGCAACAAAGTGAGACACTCCCACCCTTTATTTTTTTTAATAGGTAAATATCATGCATAAAATAAAAAATATATGTAAAAGCGAAAAGAAAAAAAAGCAAAAAGGAAAAAAGCCAAACCGTATGTGTCTGTATGTAGAGACCTCCAAGGCATATTACACAGAAAGTGCAAGCTCCAGCACATCCTCTGTCTGTGGTCCCATGGCAGGCACAGGGGACGTGTGTGCAGAGGAAGCCGAGGAGCCCAACTGGACACACGGAGGCTTTAGTATGCCCGTGCTGCATCTCCTCAAGCTGACCAGATGTTCTAATCATGCATGTGTCATCACTACTTGTTTTCAACATCACAGTTACATGGGGGTAAGAGTATGGGTCTTTTTCAATGTTCTACTCTACATTTCTCTGTATCTTATGATTTTCATGTGAAAAATGACATTAGGAACTGATACTTTATAAAATCCAAATGTTCATTTTAAAAACTAAGTCTTGGTTGGGCACGGTGGCTCAAGCCTGTAATCCCAGCACTTTGGGAGGCTGAGGCGGGTGGATCACTTGAGGTCAGGAGTTCGAGACCAGCCTGGCCAACGTGGCAAAATCCCGTCTCTACTAAAAGTAAAAAAATTAGCCTGGTGTGGTGATGTGTGCCTGTTGCCTGTAATCCCAGCTACTCGAGAGGCTGAGGCAGGAGTCGCTTGAACCCAGGAGGCAGTGGTTGCAGTGAGCAGAGATCACGCCACTGCACTCCAGCCTGAGTGACACAGCAAGACTCCATCTCAAAAAAAAAAAAAAAAAAAAGTTAAGTCTTAACAACACAAAGTGGTCCTGGCTGAATATGGTGAACTCCACATTCGTTAAAAAAGTACTGTCACCTCATGAATATCTTAGCTAGAACCTGCAGCTGGGAAGCAGAGGTTTTTATTGTTTCCCAGAGTGAAAAACGCAAATGAGACGCTATTTCGTCTAGTTGTGTGCACAACTCGAGAGGTACAGCTCTTGATCTGATAACATGACCAGCTCTCTGTCCTAGGTTGGTCTCTACCTTTTTGGTTAATTTAATAGGAGACTAAAAAACCAATGGAAGAAAGTAGCCTGCTATTAAGTCAACCAAAGAGTAGGACCTGCCTTCCGGCTCGAAAAGCCTGGGTCTGGCCCATCCCACCCTATGGTGAGCTGCCGTGTGAACCAATGCTCTGTCTGAAGGCGGCACATCCCGGTCAGGAGCCAGTAAGGGAAGCAAACACGGATGGGCACTGCTCTGCAGAAAGCACCAGGATTCATGTGTGTGTCTGTATCCGCAATCTACACAATTATCGCGCCTCCTACAAACTTCAATTTTAAAGGCAAAACAGTGCTGTTTTCATAATGCGGATCAAACGGGCCGTGGAGCCATCGTGAGAAACAGCTGGCCCTGAGATGGCAGAGGCAATACTCACTCTCTCTTTGGACCTGCTTGTGGTTTTCACGCTAATGACGGGCTCTCCTTTCGATTTATCCATCACGACCGTCCGCTCCATTCCTCTGCTTCCTTCAGGAAAAAACACAACAAACTATCAAAACCTGTGGACGCCCCAACTTCCCGCAGTAAACAGCACTCTGATGGACCCTGGGCTTTTGAACACACAAGGCGTGAGTCAAGTGACTGACACTAGCCTTGGGAGCCTCTAATTCTCATCTATTGTGAGCAACACGGTAACACGGGCACAGCATCATGGGGGTACCCTCACAGCTCTTTACACAACTAGAGGGACCTGTTCCCAACCTACAGCTTAAACCTGCAGCACGCACACAAGCACGGCCATCCTGCAGAGCCCTCCGTGACCCTCCACTCTAAACCCACACAGCTCCGGAGCTGGTCTATGCTGTCACTCCTCCCTGACATTCTGTGAAGCTCCGCAGTATCCAGCCTGTGCTAGGAATCACACTGCCACTCTGAGGGAGTGCCTTGCCAGACGGGTGGGCTTCCCTCCATTCATCTCCAGCAATAAAGGCTTCCAAACCAATTATCTCTCCTGACGACAGAACCACCAGGCATAAACCACTGGAACAATGACTTATTTGGGGAGATTTATAATACTTGAGGAACATTTTAAAAACACGTTCCTCGTGAGACTCAGGGTAAATTAGCCCGAGAGCTGAAGATCCAGCTTGTAATGTGCTGTACCAAATTTCAATGCTCCAGATGGTTGGGTTTTGTCTCTGTTTTTCTCTTCCTTGATGGGGGAGGTGGAGTTGGCTTATTTTTTTTTGCCACTAAACATTCTGAGTCTCATACAGATTCAAAGGTGTAAAGCACAATGAACCTTTATAAAATGACAACAGAAGTGGCATCGTCCAAACAGAACCACTTCAACAGATGCTTGGAGGTTTCATTTTTCTCTGTGTTTTTACTACCTCCAGCTTTAACATAATGTGGGAAAACTTTACTGCACACCTGCAAAATAGCATCAGGTTAGTTACAAGAAACTCGGACAACTCACTCTTGCAAATCCCACACTACAATCAGCCAAAGGCCCTGAAAAAGCCCAAACTCAGGCAGCTGAGTTCAGCAATACACATAAGCCCTGAGTCCCAGGCACTTCTGGATTCCCGATGTTGTATGGACACTCCTTTAAGCCATTTCATCAACAGACTCTTGTTTCTTTAACACTGCCATATGAACAGCGAAACAGCCATGTCACCAGAGCTTGCTGTCCTCACCTTCCCTCGGAACCCCCACTCCCCACCCGTGCCAGGCCTTCCCCTTCCACAGCTCTTAAAAGGCTCTCCTCACCTGATTTGGTGACTCTAGACCGATTTGTAGGTCCGGGTTTCAGCTCATCCTGGTCTTTTTCTTCCTTCTTAATGTCTTCAGGCTTTTTTTCCTCCTTCTTCTCAATCTTCTCTTCCTTCTTAATTACAGTTCTATTTAAAGACATGGTTATCAAATTTGAGTTCACAAGACTCTGTAACAGGAACGGCTCACCCAGAGCCTCGACTCACACATACTCAGACGTCCACACAAAACAAATCACCCCGGCAGCAATTAGGTGGGAAAAATTATTTGGAACCCATAGTAATAACAATACTCCTCTTTAGATACAGGCTGTATTCCCACTTCTAGTATGTGCTGAATTGAGGGATATGCACAATGAAATTCCTGGGGATGCGTTTCCAAAATGTCAGACAGGCTAGCACGCAAGAGTGGTGTGCAGGTGGACATGAGAAACACGCCAACTACATAAGAACACTTCTAAAAAGTTTAATGTTTCATCATGTATGTGTGGAACATTGTTTATAAGCTTTATAGGGAAAAGCATTTCTTCCCAATACAGCCTCAACGGGATGGAGGCACAGTGGCAGGACACCAAGCCCCCACTGCACAGAGCGGCAGGCCATTTACCCGTGAGGCCAACACCCCTCGACCGGTAACTGCTGCATACTTTTAGGGAGTTAAAATAATGTGTTATGTGCCAGTGAATACGGGAAGGTGTTAAGTGCCATTTCAACCAAAGGCAACTTTCTTCTAAGCAGTGAAATAAATCATCTTCGCCACTCAAACTCAGCTGCTGCGTTCCCTAATGCCATTTGTCTCAGGCAATTAAACTGCACACCGACTCAACACCAACGACATGCCAGGGTCCAGGCAGGAAAGTCAGGCCCCTGCAAGGCCCTCCAGCAAGCACCTGTTGGCCTCTCCTCCAACCGACCCAGGCAGGGTTCCCGGCAGAGCTCCAGCCATGCCAGGGAAGCCTCTCTGATTGCCCCGTCTCCTCTGCCCTTCTCAACCTCCACATCATGGAGTTGTCTTTAAAAAAAATATATATATACCATTTTGAGAAAAATTTTAAATACACACCATAGTAATTAATGGTACATCCCAGAACTGACTATTGTAAATCATCTCATCTCCTCTCCCTCATCCCTGCGACAACCACCAGGGTGGCCTTAGTGTCAATCACTGGGTCTGCCTGACCGCAGTAATCTACAGTGACATTTTGTAAGAATGTCTTAGGAGTGACACGAACGAGGCCATACTTCATACACTGCTTACTTTTGTCACCTCATGGTATGCTTTAAAGAAGGGTTTTTAGGCTGGTCGCGGTGGCTCATGCCTGTAATCCCAGCACTTTGGGAGACCAAGGTAGGCGGATCACAAGGTCAGGAGTTCGAGACCACCCTGGCCAACATTGTGAAACTCCGTCTCTACTAAAAATACAAAAAAATTTAGCCAGGCGTGGTGGCGCATGCCTGTAATCCCAGCCACTCGGGAGGCTAAGGCAGGAGAATTGCTTGAACCCAGGAGGTGGAGGTTGCAGTCAGCCGAGATGGCGCCACTGCACTCCAGCCTGGCAACAGAGAGAGACTCCATCTCAAAATAAATAAATAAATAAATAAATAAATAAATAAGAAGGACCTTTAGATCCTGAGACAGAACTTAGGGGGAATAAAAAGGGTCTGACTCCTTTCACCTGCTGCACAAAATTCTGTGTTTATTCATCTGCTTTCCTTCCAGTAGATAAATATATATGCTGGAAAAAAGACTGGAAGGATATCCAACAAAAAGCATCATCCCTAGGTGTTGGGATTACCCCTGACATTTACATGTGCTTTCTGTATAACAACTGTATAAAAACCACCACTCATCCAAGATGGCAAAGGCTAGCCCCTCTTCTTCCCCTCTTTGGAAAGCTTCTCTATTTCACAAGGCCAACCACTAATCTAGAAATCCTTCAAATGGAAGGGAAGGCTAATGAAGGTGTTAATTTGAAGAAAAAAATAAGGTCAAAACAAATTTTTAAATGCTCAACCTCCTAGGCAAACAACCTGCATGCAGTTTGGTCTTAAAGATCTTAAGTTCGCCGGGCGCGATGGCTCACACCTGTAATCCCAGCACTTTGGGAGGCTGAGGTGGGTGGATCACGAGGTCAGGAGATCAAGACCATCCTGGCTAACACAGTGAAACCCCGTCTCAACTAAAAAATACAAAAAAAATTAGCCGGGCGTGGTGGTAGGCGCCTATAGTCCCAGCTACTCGGGAGGCTGAGGCAGGAGAATGGCGTGAACCCGGGAGGCGGAGCTTGCAGTGAGCCAAGATTGCGCCACTGCACTCCAGCCTGGGTGACAGAGCGAGACTCTGTCTCAAAAAAAAAAAAAAAAAAAAAAAAAAATCTTAAGTCCATCACCCAGTTAAGAGCCATGGGGCTCCGAGCAAACTTCATAGGTTGAATCCCAGCCTTGCCGTTTCCCAGCAAACTCAGGCAGGGCGCGCTCCCCTCTCTAGGCCTGTATCCTCTCCTACATAGAGCAAGTGCCTCACAGGGCTACTACAAGGACCAAGGAAACTGCTGCATTCCCAGTGCTGGCCACAGGACCACACCATACTGTTAGCTAATTATTACCGCCTTTCCCACAAATACAGAAAAACAATTAATGAAACACGCAAGATACCAAGAACACCGCAAACCTGCAACAACAGTTCCCCATCTTCCACCAATACAGACATTTTTTTCTTAGCAATGCTGATGGGATGTGTCTTTTTGAAGTTGCTGATTAAATTAGAGGGCTCACCGCCCCCCCCACCCCCCTCCTCCAAGTTCATGAAGGCTCATCTGACACTCATTACTCAGGGGCCTACTGATTTCAATCTGGGGCCAGGTGCAGTGGCTCACACCTATAATCCCAGTCTTTTGTGGGGCCAAGGTGGGAAAATTGCTTGAGGCCAGGGTGGAAACCAACCTGAGCAAAAGAGCAAGACCCTGTCTCTATCAAAAATTTAAAAATTACCTGGGAGTGGTAGCCCACACCTGTAGCCCCAGCTACTAGGGAGGCTGAGGTGGGAGGTTCACTTGGGCTTGGGAAGTCGAGGCTGTAATGAGCCATGACTGCATCAATGCACTCCAGCCTGGGTGACCCGTCTCAAAAAGTAAAATGTTTTTTAAAAATAATAATTCCAATTAAAAATAATAATTCCAATTTGGCCATGATGTAAATTGGTAATTACATCTTCAAAAACCCAGTTCAACTATGTCCACAGACATGTTTACCCTCTAAACTGCGTTGACAACGTAAACTTAAGGCAGACACTCAGCCTTCTGAGACACTGCCATGATCAGATACAACACGGAAATCTACCTTCTCAAAAGAGAAGCCTACAATTGTGTTAAAAATATAAACAACCCACACCTCCCTTGAAAGATCTGTCCCTACCTCCATTTTGATTAAAGATATAAATCACCCCTTTATAAAAATAGAACCTCAGACCCATGGTTCCCAACTACTACGCCAAGGTACGCCAAGGTACCCCAAGGTGCCACCGTGAACTCACAGGGTGCCACCGTGAACTCACAGGGTGCCACCGTGAGAACTCACAGGGTGGCACTGTGAACTCACAGGGTGCCTTGGAATATTTTTAATTTTGAGGTAAACACAGCAATGCTTTTGCCATCTGTCAGACACAGCACCAACTGCTCACTCAAGGTCATTCACTGCAACACTAGACCAGGCTAAATTCCTTTGGATGATGCTTTATCTTTGAAAAACTGGGTGTATGACAGTTGCTGTGATTAATAAGTGAGAACTGCATGAAAATCAACGTGGATGAGGAAATGATTCCAAGGTCTGAGAGGCTGTACAAGGGACCAGAATATGGAAAATGACATTTTGTGTATACTGTTTTTTCAAAAGGCTAATCAGTTATCAGGAAACAAATACATGCTGAGGATCAACTGTATCCACTTCTTAAAGACATGGGCTACTTCGTTAAATAGCTTTACACAGAAAGCTGAAGACTGGCAGGGCGTGGTGGCTCACACCTGTAATCCTAGCACTTTGAGAGGCCAAGGCGGGCAAATCATGTGAACTCAGGAGTTTGAGACCAGCCTTGGTAACATGGCGAAACCGCGTCTCTATAAAAAGTAGCCTGGCTGGGTGGTGTACGCCTGCAGTAGTCCCAGTTACTTGGGAGGCTGAAGTAGGAGAATCACTTGAACCCGGAAGGTGGAGGCTGCAGTGCCACTGCACTCCAGCCTAGGCAACAGAGTGAGTCCCTGTCTCCAAAAAATAAATAAATAAAAGCTGAATATTAAAGTGGCAGCAGAACACAAAAATCAGCTGAGACTCCAGCAGGAAGCTGGCAAGGCTGCGTGGGTACAGGTGGGGACAGATGCGTGTTTTTCAAGGCCCATGGTGGCTGCCCGTGCCCTCCTCCCAGGGATTCCAAGAGGAGGTTTGAAAATTCACTTTACTTTTCAATTTTGATCTCCACAGAATGATGTCTGTCGACACTCGATAATTTTTCCTTCTTCACTTCGCACTCTTTTCTGTCGGAAAGCTTTTTCCCAGCAGGCTCATTTTTGGCCTAAAATATAATAGACAGAAATGATGTGTGGCCCAGAGCTTCTCACTTGCAAACTCCATTTGCGAGTTACCATAGACGAGAACTGCCTCACCTTCTCTACGGAGATCATTCGTCCATGCAGCTCAGTTCTGTGGAGATGGCTGATGCACTTGGTCGCCTCGTCAGATGTCGACATGGTGACGAATCCATAGCATCGAGCCCCCGGGCTGCGGGCGTTCGTTACCACTTTGGCCCCGACAACCTTCATGAAAAAGGGCACTCTTACTCTCTCATACAAATGACCACACAACTTGCTAAAGTTATTACCTGGCAATCAGAATCATTTTCACTATTTGTCACCTCTCCCCATATGGTAGTTTTCCATTTTAGTTACTGAATTGGTTCTAATTAATCCTGACCTATCCAAATACAATTGCTTTTTTTTTTTTTGAGACAGTTTCGCTCTGTCACCCAGGCTGGAGTGCAGTGTCGCGATCTCGGCTCACCGCGACCTCCGCCTCCTGGGTTCAAGCAATTCTCCCGCCTCAGCCTCCGAAGTAGCTGGGATTACAGGCGCCCGCCACCACGCCTGGCTAATTTTTGTGTTTTTAGTAGAGATGGGGTTTCTCCATGTTGGCCAGGCTGGTCTCCAACTCCTGACCTCAAGTGATCTACCCAAGTCGGCCTCCCAAAGTGCTGGGATTACAGGCATGAGACACCGCACCCAGCCACTAAATACAACTGCTTTTAATACAAGATAAGTCATCACAAGGAAAACACACAAACATGCAAGGTTATAAAACCATTAAACTTCATTACTCACAACTAATAACCAGAAGTCCTACCCATCCACATTGTTTTCTCTATTTCCACTGTGCCCACAAACAGCTGTGGGGCTACTAAGAAATGCACCCATCCACTCCAGCTGGGCCTGAGAAGAGCTCTGACACAGACATGGACTGTCAGAAATGTCCCCATGGGGAAAGGACTTCCACTTCTGGCTGAGATGGGAGAACTAAGCATTGTCTTCCTGCCTGAAACAACTAACAAATGTGATGAAACGTAGGCAACGACAGTTTTCAGATCCTGGACATCAGGCTGCCCAAGACAACAATCCCTGAGAGCTCCCTGACTGCCCCTGCTCACTGCCTAGATTCCCAGGCAATGGGGGATGGGTAAGACAGCACTGAGATTCTGAGACCAAGACAGAGAGAAATCACGGAACTGAGTATCAGAGAGGACACAGCCACACAGAGCCACGCAGAGCAAGCTGAAGAGACCCACAGAGGGTTCCTCCCACCCAGTGCACACGTGTGCGAGGAAACCAGAGGCTGGGACAGCACCACCCATAAGGAGCAGAGGGAACAATCAGGAGCAGAGGGAACAACCACTGGAGGGGCACTCAGGGCCACAAATGGTTTGCTCTTCCCAATAGCCAGGGTGGAAAGGCTGGTAATTCACGGGCCATCAGACCCACTACTCAGAGGGCACTGCCCAGTGGTGAGACAAAATCAGCCCAAACTGAAGGCTACTTTGGCCCTGCCTTAGTGTGTGTCCAGTACCTCAGCTGTGTCCCAGAAAAAAGCTCAAGGGTATTTGTAGAGATACAAGTATAACTAGCACCCAAAAAATACAATTCACAACATCCAGTAAAAAATTACCAGGCACAGGCTGGGCACAGTGGCTCATGCCTGTAATCCCAGCACTTTGTGAGGCCAAGGCAGGTAGATCACTTGAGGCCAGGTGTTCAAAACCAGCCTGGGCAACACAGAGAAACCACATCTGTACCAAAAATTTTAAAAATTAGCTGGGTGTAGTGGTACATGCCTGTGGTCTCAGCTACTCAGGAGGCTGAGGTGAGAGGATCGCTTGAGCCCGGGAGCTCGAGGCTGCAGTGAGCACCACTGTACTCCAGCCTGGGTGACACAGTGAGATCCTGTCTCTAAGGGAAAACAAAACAAAACAAAAAAACCAGAAGAAACTTAAAAGCAGCCACAGAAAAAGAGAGAGAAAAGACACAAATTGGTAACTGAAGGAACAAAGATTAAATTAACCTAGAATTCTATACCCAGTGAAAATTTATTTCAAAATGAAGACAAAGTAAAGACTTTTTCTGACATGCAAAAGAAACAAGAACGTATCACCAGCAAACCTGCACTACAGGAAACATTCAATTCCTTCAGGAGGGAGGAAGATGATCTCCGATGGGAACTTGGATATACAACAAAAAGCAACGAAGAGCACCTGGTGAGGTGAACATGATTTTTTCCTGTCATTTCTGGGTCTCTTTAAAATATAACTGTTTGGCTGGGCGTGGTGGCTCACGCCTGTAATCTCAGCACTTTGGGAGGCCGAGGTGGGAGGATCACGAGGTCAGGAGATCAAGACCATCCTGACTAACACAGTGAAACCCCATCTCTACTTAAAATACAAAAAATTAGCCAGGCCTGGTGGCGGGCACCTGTAGTTCCAGCTACTTGGGAGGCTGAGGCAGGAGAATGGCATGAACCCAGGAGGCAGAGCTTGCAGTGAGCCGAGATCGCGCCACTGCACTCCAGCCTAGGCGACAGAGCGAGACTCCGTCTCAAAAACAAACAAAAACAAAAACAAAAACAAAAAAAAACACAACTGTTCAAAGCAAAAAAGCCAAACCACAACAAGTCAAAGCCAATAAAATATTGGGTGACTTCTTAAAGAGAAGTAAACCGTATGACAATAACATCACAAAGATCGACGGGAGGGGAAATGCAAGTATATTCCCACAGAGTTCTTGCACTACGCTGAAACCAACAGAGCACCCCTTGCAGACAGACTGTAAGGGAAGATGTGTACTGTAATCCTACAGTAAACCACAATGACACAGAGTTAGAGCAAATAAGCCATCAGTCATAAAAAGGACTCGACCCACAAGAAGGCAGATAAATGGGAAAAAGAGATCAATAAACAAACATGAACAGAAAATAGAGAACAAGACAGTAGATCTAACGCCAAGCCCACCACCACTGGCGCGCAGAGTAAACATTTCCCCGGGACACAGGAGTCCTGGTCTCTGCCCTATCTCTGACTCAGGGCATCAACCTAAGCAAGGCATTCCCCGTCTCTGGACCTCATGGCCCCAACTGTGAAATGACAAGGTGGAACCCACAAGCTTGAGGTTCCCATCTGACGTCCTTGGTTTTGACCACACAAATGGAGGAGTCAAGGCTCTGCCTGAATCTGTCCAGGGCCAAAGGGACAGAAGACTCTCCTGAGAGAAACACAGATGCCACTTCCCATTCTACCTTCCCATCAAATTAATCATCCTTACAAGTATATCTCTTCTGATGACAGACAAAACCCAAATGAGAGCAGGCACCATACTAAGCTTGTATGTCCCTATCCCTGAGCTATGCCATCCGCCCTGGAGGCTCTGCATACTTCAGTCAAGTAGCTGAGTGGTGTCCTGCCCCTCTGGCCTTCCTACGTCCTTCTGTTTTTGTCCAGAGCTGAGCCCCACAGGTAAGGCCAACTCTGTCACTCACGCCTCAGCTGAATGTCACTTCTTCAGCGAGCTCTGCTGAAGCTGCCTCCCAAATCTAAACACGGCCTCCCCAACACACTGACGGCGTGCTCTAATATTCCTTAATACGCTCATCACAACACATCATATGTGTTTATTTCTTAAATGGTCTTTTTCCCGCCAGACTAAAAAATCTGTGATGACAGTGACCACGTATGTTTACCTCTGCTTAATCATCAGTGTCCGAGTGAAGTCAACAAAGTAACTGAATAAACAGGTTATTCATGGCTATAAGAATTTCCTAAGCCCTTGCTGAACACACAGACTGTTCAGAGAAAAATTGAACAGCACGCTTTCTCCGGGTCCTGTCCGCTTCTTAAGCAATGAAACATTAACCAACACCTGATCGGGTGACACAGACCTAGACAAAGGAACGGCTTCTGTAGCCAGAAAACTGTGTCAGACAGGGCCCACTCTGCCTGGAATCAGGGCACCCTCCAGACACTAAATGGTCCGAACCTTGTCCCTTGGAAGCCACTCCCCAGAGGCACCCAGGAGACCAGGGCAGTGCCAATTGCTTACCAGAAGACTCTTGGCTAGGCGCGGTGGCTCACGCCTGTAATCCCAGCATTTTGGGAGGCCAAGCAGGCAGATCACATAGGTCAGGAGTTGGAGACCAGTCTGGCCAACATGGCGAAACCCCATCTCTACTGAAAATACAAAAATTAGCCAGGCATGGTGGTGGGTGCCTGTAATCCCAGCTACTCGAGAAGCTAAGGCACGAGAATCACTTGAACCTGGGAGGGAGGCGGAGGCTGCAGTGAGCCAAGATCACACCACTGCACTTCAGCCTGGGCAACAGAGCGAGACGCAGTCTCAAAAAAAAAAAAAAAAAAAAAAAGAACAACAAACAAACAAAAAAAGAAGACTCTTAATTAATTTCAAACAGTGGAATCATTTTAAATTGTCCTCACCTTCCTTTGGAAAGCTGCTGAATTGTACTATTTTTCTCCCACCCCCATGAGCAGCATCTTAGTGATTTATTTTTGAACCACGATCATGTTCTAGTTATGAGACTATATACTTAAAATGCTAAATGATATGAAAGTCAATTATTCACTTCATTCTTTTTTTTTTTTTTTTTTTTTATGACATAGTCTCGCTCTGTTACCCAGGCTGGAGTGCAGTGGCACAATCTTGGCTCACTGCAACCTCTGCCTCCTGGGTTCAAGTGATTCTCCCACCTCAGCTTCCCGAGTAGCTGCGACTACAGGCACAGAACACCACGGCTGGCTGATTTTTGTATTTTTAGCAGAGACAGGGTTTCGCCATGTTGGCCAGGCTGGTCTCCAACTCCTGACTTTAGGTGATACGCCCGCCTCGGCCTCCCAAATTATTCTTAAGGGAAAAATCTCATCATGTAAGCTTTAAGTTTTGCACAAGACAAAAGACCACCAGTCTCTTTGAGACCAGTTAGAAAGAACCCCAAGAACATTGAGAGAGAAGCTGTTTATACAGCTGTTCTGAGCACTGTTGTGATATGACCAACCACCTGCCCTGCTCCGCACCCTAGTTACTGTGAGTCAGGAAACAAGGTGCACTGCACAAGACTGGGCGAGCTTCGCTGCTGTCGTTCCATTTTTTAGTAAACACAACATCTTGCTATGTTGCCCAGGCTGGTCTTGAACTCCTGGGCTCAAGCAATCCTCCTGCCTCAGCCTCCCAAACTGCTGGGATTATAGACGTGAACCACCGTGCCCAGCAGAGCTTCCTTTTTAACTCTGAATCACAGTGGATGGTATGAGGCAAGGGAAGGCATACCTTCCCATACTTGCTGAAAAGGTTCTTGAGATCCGTAGCGCGTGTTGTGGAGGACAGCCCGCTGACCCACAGGTTCCGACCAGAACCGCTGCCGACCCGACCTGGCACGAGAGGGAGATTCTTAGGCATCACCCCAAGGCCTAACAGGAAGCACAACCATTCTTAAGACCGCAGCCCTCTTTAAAAACCCTAACGACGCCCAATCCCAACTGCTGACTTAAGAATTTAACGCACACACACATGCCAACACACAGAAGGCTGAAAATCTGGACAGCAAAAACTGAGTTTCCTTACTCAAGGAATAATCATGCCCATGTCAGTTATGAACTGAAATGTCTTTTGATGATCAGATCTCATCCAAGACGGCAGTCTCTAAAATCCTTGAAACAGTCTTCAATGAGCAGAATTATTCCTTTCTTGTAATGTGCTTTTCACCATCCCATAGATGACAACCACAAGAGAAACATAAAATGCAGGTGCTTGCGAACTTCTAAAACTAGTCTCTCAAGAAACCATTAGGTGGTTGATTCCGGTAACCCATAACAAAACAAATTACTGAATCCAAAGTGTGTATATCTCCAGGCCCCTCCTCCCAAAATAAGGGAACCATACCTGGCTCCCTACCACGTTAAATTAAATCATACCTTTTTCATCTTTAATGATTGGCTTTATATCTTTTTCTTCCTTAAAAGAGCTAGAGACAAAAGTTAATGTTACTCATACAGGAAAAAAACGAAAGAGAACAAAACTAAAAATATGATTATGTGCTAAAACTGAATACCTACCAGAAAATTAGTCTGAAATAAAATTTTAACAGACACCTCTGCAAGCTTATATTGGAAAATCTGACCCCAAAAATACAATGTCAGATTTGTAAAAGTCAATTCGATTTAGCTGAAGATAACAATTAACAATTTAAGAACACAACCATGGTAGGTTGAGAAAAAGAAAAGGAATTGAATCACCCATTAAAAACACACAAAGAGAAACGAAACATTCTTTAGAAGCAAAACTACAATTTCGTCAGTCTGGCTGGCCAATTGCAGAAAAAAACAGCTTATGTGTGTCATTACATGACCAATGAAAAGGAGATAGCGTCTGGTCTAAAACTGAGAAAAAACAAACCTCATTTTCTGATCAGCGCCCTCACTGGTTGAGGACTCTTTAGGAGCCGGAGGGACTTCATTACAAGCGTCAAAATCAAACTTCCTCCCGTCTTCTTTGCTATCTCTGGCTTCTGGGCTTGGGGCTTCCGTGGGTGCTTCTGCGAGCTCCTCGCTAGAGGCCTCCGCGAGCTCGGAGGCCGCACTACTCTGCTCAACTGCCGGCTCTAGCCCTACAGGCTCACAGTCCGTCCTCTCGCCATCGCCTGGCTGCTCCGCGGGCTCCCTTTTCACTACCGCTAACAGGCTGTCTGCCTTGCTCGACTGAGCGTGTGCTGTTGACTCGCTGGCCAAATCTAAATCACCCTCTTCCGGATGGGCGCTGTCAAATAGGTCCTCTTCCTCCGCAAGCTTTCTGTCTGGCCCCACGCTACTTGTGTCCTGTGCAAATGGCTGCTCCAGCTCGGAACTTTCTTCTTTTACTGGCTCAGATTTACAAGTTTCCCCCAAAATGTCGAGTATTTTCTCATTTTCTACGGATTTAACAGGAATAGAATGGCACAAGGTTTAATTACCAGGGAAATAAAGCAATCACAAATGTGGAACTGGCACGGCTGCCACACTAACACGAAGAGAACTGCTAGCTACACAGAGATTGGAAAACCCGCGGGTACACAAAGTTATACTGGTTACACTACCTGCGCCGCGACCGCCTCTAGGTAAGCCTCTACGCTACACGGAAGAGAAAAGGCCCCCACAGATTTAAACACCTACAACCACGCGGCTGGTTCTCAATAGTCTTCTTCGAGTTTTTGTTCAAGTCTGGGTCTTCTGACTGATTTTCCAATGTCCAAGGTGCTGAACCGAATGCAATCACCATTCAATGACAGCTCAACTTCCAAATTTCTTTGAATTTCTTTTAACAGAACAATCCAATATGAAAATCAGAATCTCTTCTGACGGTGGGAGATAAACGCAGTCCGGAAGGGGAATAATATGTTGAAAATTTTCACGGAGAAACTCTGTTTCCTCTTCTGGAATCCAGTCACTTCTCAGGTGGTAAGTGCCCTGACAACAGCTTTATCCTGCCTTAACTGCGTTAATCAAAATGACTGCAGCAAAATATCACAAGATCTGTTTCATGTGTAGAAACACATGGAGGAATCACGGGGACGGGGGAATTAAATGCCACTCTACGTGGTTAGACATGAAAAGAATCACTACTACATTGCACCAAATGTATTTGACCTCAAGAAGCCAGAATGGCTCTTCCACAGATCTGGTGATACGAATGGGTTTCCAATCTCTGATCCTTGTATGATCTGGATTGTCCACCATTAGAGCAATTTACAAGATCATAACACAGCTTAAAATATAGACAGCTTTAAAATAATAGTGTGAAAACTTTCAAACCATAACTGTCGTGTTTCTCTTATCAGTACCTGGCTCCAAAAGGGATTCTTCAATGTCCTATTTAAAAAAGAAAAAGCAAATCCACAAGTCACTTTAAACACGGGGCACATACATTTCACCAGTAAATATGGCTTTCAATCATCTGTGAATAAATGCCTGTTTCCACAAAACTTTCTTGTCTCCAAAAAATGTATTCCATCCTACAATAACCTGATGAAAACCAGCTCATTTTAACAGTTTCCCTGGTAACAGCAGGTCCCTAGTGATAACAGTCTGTCCCATTCTCCCGAGTTTGGGCCCTGCCCTGCCATGCCACCCACCCCATGACCAAGCTGACCTAGTGGCTGCTGCAGCTGGCAAACACCCCCTTTGTCAGAGAAGAGGTCACAGTGGATTTAAGAAAAAAATACTTCTCCCAACATAAACTGATTTGTAACTGAAACCTGTCATAACAAAATGATCTCTCTACTCTGCTGAAAACCTTTTCCGACATCTGTCTCACTTAGGACAATAGGTCCAATCCTTCTGGTGGCCCAGACTCAGCGAGGCGGGCCCAGCTGCTCTGCAACACCTCTGGCTTCTATCCAACCCTGTGTGCTCCCCTCTCTCTTTTGCATCAGAGACACCACCCAAACTTTCTGCTCCAAATTCTTCTTTCCCTCTTCAACCTATCCGTCAGACCTCTGGGAAGAGTTCCAGGCACTTATGAAGTCCAACCACCAGAACTGCTCCCTCATCACACTTCTTTCTCCCTTCTGGTTACATATTTGGTTTGATCCCACTGCCCCTGCTAGATGGCCAGCCCTGAGACTGTTTCTCTTCTGCTAACCTCTTAACCCCAGCATCCAGCACAGTATCCAGTCATTTCCATACACATACACACTGCTCTTTCATTATGGAAAATCAACCACTCGATTAACATTTCCAGCGATGCAGAACCAGATGGTAACTTACCGGAGTTACTTTGAAGTTCAACGATGAAGTTTCCAAAGTGTTCTTAAATCCTTCCCCATCCACCTGAAAAACAAAATGGAAGATGACTTCGTGGAGGCTGGAGCTATGAAAACCAAGGCTGACACCTCGCTTAGGCAACTTGTGTGTCTATTTCCCTCACGGCACCTTTTGCCATCTGCAAGTCTACTGTTGGGTCATTCAGTTCAGCACCTGCCTCTCCGCCAGAACACACACTCCACGACTCTGCTCCACCAGCGTCTCTGGCAGTGGCCTGCAGGTGGGTATGCCCTGTCTGTACTGGGTGAATGAACGAATGAATTTCCCAGGCAGTTTCTAAGTACTGGTGATTACCACATACCCCTCCAATCACAGGATTTCCAAAGCAGAACTCAAAATGATAAAATGCACCCCTCCAATTTCACCTGGTAGCAATACTCTTAAGGTAACACTAACCGGGCACTTTCTCCTAGCCTACTTTATTCATTCATTCATTCACTCATTCATTTGAGACGGAGTGTCACTCCTTTTGCCCAGGCTGGAGTGCAATGGCGCCATCTCGGCTCATTGCAACCTCCACCTCCTGGGTTCAAGCAATTCTCCTGCCTCAGCCTCCCGAGGAGCTAGGATTACAGGCATGCACCACCACGCCCGGCTAATTTTTTGTATGTTTTAGTAGAGACGGGGTTTCACCATGTCCAGGCTGGTCTTGAACTCCTGACCTCAGGTGATCCGCCCACCTCAGCCTCCCGGAGTGTTGGGATTACAGGTGTGAGCCACCGCGCCTGGCCCGCCTAGCCTACTTTATTAAAAACAAACATCTAACTTGGTCAATTTCTCTCTTTACTACATGCCAAACAAAAGAAAAACTGTTAACACCAAGTTTTACTAAATCTGAAGCTCTTTTTAAGTGAACTACAAAAACAGCACTCCCAAATATTTTCTTTTTTCCTTTTCTCGATTTGAACTCATGACCTGGGATGCCTCCATTAACTGAGAAGTACACACTCTGAAAACAATAAGCACACAGCAGTACCAGACTGAGAAAGGCGGCTAACCAGTTGCTCAGTGCTGCCCTAGGTCAAAGGATGGTAAATTTGGAGGCAATGACTTTTGACCGTAAGGTTTAAGGTTCAGTCCTATGGAGGCATTTCCACCCCCAAGCTGAAAGCTGCAATGCCTTAAGGAAACAAAACAACCTACTGGGCACGTGACATCAGTCAGAGTACAATGAAGATCAGCTCGAAGACACTGACAGCTTGTGATATTTGAACAGCCTCACCAGAGAGCTCTACGCCAAAACACTAGAAGTGAAAAGCTGGGAAAGCCCTAACAGAGCAAAGTTCCTCCTTTACATACAAGGATGCTCACAGTCAGTCCTTTTGGGGAGCAGGGTTGATACTTGTCTTCACTGTACTTTACATCTTTTAATGTAACTGCTTAACCTTGCTTAAAACAACATTAACAGGCTAGGCGTGGTGACTCACCACTATAATCCCAGCACTTTGGGAGGCCGAGGCAGGCAGATCACTTGAGGTCAGGAGTTCGAGACCAGCTCAGCCAACATGATGAAACCCTATCTCTACCAAAAATATAAAAAATTAGTCAAGTGGCTGGGCGCAGTGGCTCAAGCCTGTAATCCCAGCACTTTGGGAGGCCAAGGCGGGCAGATCACGACGTCAGGAGATGGAGACCATCATGGCCAACATGGTGAAACCCCATCTCTACTAAAAATATAAAAAAATCAGCTGGGCGTGGTGGCGCATGCCTCTGGTCCCAGCTCCTCAGGAGGCTGAGGCAGGAGAATTGCTTGAATCAGGGAGGCGGAGGTTGCAGTGAGCCATAATCTTGCCACTGCACTCCAGCCTGGGTGACTGAGAGAGACTCTGTCTCAAAAACAAACAAACAAACAAAACACAACATTAGGAGGAATATCTACATGATGAGATTAGAAACCATTTTTGAGCTGGGCACGGTGGACCACACCTATAATCCCAGCACTCTGGGAGGCTGAGGCGGGAGGATTGCTTGAGCTCAGGGGTTCAAGATCAACCTGGGTAACCTAGTGAGATCCCGCCTCTAAAAAAAAAAAAATTTTTTTTTAATTAGCTGGGCGTGGTGGTTCACTGTGTAGTCTCAGTTATGCAGGGGGATTGCTTGAACCTGGGAGGCTGAGGCTGCAGTGAATTATGATGACCCCACTGCACTCCAGCCTGCACAACAGAGCAAGACCCTGTCTCTAAATAAATAAACCATCTTTGCTTCTTAAAACTGTATTTTAAAAGGAAAAAACTAAATGGGCACTGTGGCCTGTGCCAATAAGCCCAGGTAGTCAGGAGGATCGCTGGAGCCCAAGAGTTCAAGACCGGCCTGGGTAACAGTTGAGACCTCATCTCAGAAAAGAAAAATCTTTTATGTCAGAGCTTTCTATTTTATGACTCACCACATGCTTCGAATTATAAAAACACTCCCCAGTGCTACAGAAAAGCTATCTATGAGTAAATCCCTGAGCTACACAGCGTTTAAATGGACATGGTTTAACACCAGGGTGTAGAAGCAGAACTGTGTGTTCATGGCGGTTTAGCTGTGTTCTCCCTCACACGAGCAGCACGCGAGCACCAGGTGCCTCGGGGCTATGGGCACATCCTGCCGTGTCTCCAAGTTACCTACAGCATGCTCTGGGGGCTGAGCCGGGAGCTGTCTCAGCTGTGCAGCCACGTATTCTTTACTATCACAAAAGGAATCGAGAAGGCCGTCCGTGCCATCCTCCCCAAAATCTGGAGCACTGCTATTCGCCACTTCAGTTTCGTCTAGCACACTCATGTCCATCATGCCCATATTCTGCAGGTTCTCCAGACTTGCTTCCATGTCCTCCTGTAAAGAGGAAGAAGAATCGTTAACGACCACCTGGACCAGGACAGGGAGCTGCTGCTTGTCATCTCTACCCTGACATCACTTACCTGCCCGTCTCTGGAATCGTCTTCCAGGCCATTATCTTCTGTGCCTTCCTCCTCCATCTTCAGTCCTAATTACAGAATAATTGTTCAATCAGATAACACTCAAGTTCTACCTCATAATTAGTTTATGCAGAATAGATTTCAATCTTAGAACAGAACACATTACAAGATAAACTATAAGTCTCCCCTCTCCTGTCACACGTAATTTTGTCTCAATTTGTTTTCTTTTTTTTTTTTTTTTTTTTTTTTTTGAGATGGAGTCTCCCTGTGTCACCCAGGCTGGAGTGCAGCGGCACAATCTCGGCTCACTGCAATCTCCACCTCCTGGGTTCAAGCGATTCTCCTGCCTCAGCCTCCTCAGCAGCTGGGACTACAGGCGTGCATCACCATGCCCAGCTTATTTTTGTATTTTTAGTAGAGATGGGGTTTCACCATATTGGCCAGGCTGGTCTCAAACTCCTGACCTCGTGATCCACCAGCCTCGGTCTCCCAAAGTGCTGGGATTACAGGCATGAGCCATGGTGCCCGGCCTCAATTGGTGTTCTAAGTAAGCCATCAACAGGGAGATGAAAATCTAGGATTCCTCTTAGATTCAGAGTACTCTGATTTTCCACAAAATATCTAAAAGTTTCCAAATATTTCAAAAACACTCCAAACCTAAGAAAAAAAATCACAAAAAAATGAGCAAAGGATAAAAACAGGCATTTTCAACAAACCAACAAAAAAATGCAATACCCATCTAGTAACCAAAGAACTGCAACATAAAATAACATATTGAGTTAGTGATTTGCTGGCTCTCCCTATATTCCACCCATTTCAAGTAGGTCTTTGTCATTTTTTAGCTCAAGAACTTTTTTTTTTCCCCCAAGGCAAAAAGGCAAAGGCTGCCATAAAGTCGAGAATCATCCTGGGTTTTGTGACCACAAAATAACTATTTGATAGAATTCTGCTAGGAATTGCAAAAGGAGGCCAGAGGAGTTCAAGAGTGGAAACCTTGAGAAGAAACTTGAGGCTCTATATGTATCAAAAACCTTACAAATGTGCATACCCTTTGTTCCAGGAATTTGAGTCTTAGGATATCTGACAAGGAGTTCAAAACATAGATATCTGTCCTATTATACCTGTTAAACACCCAAAAGGGAAACAAATTACAGCATATTTTCATTCAGATATGGTTCACAACCGGGGGGAATGGCTGGCAATGTCTGGAGACATTGTTAGTGGTCATGACCTGGGGGAACGCCATTAGCATCAGTAGCTAGTGATGCTGGTCACGACCCTGCAATGCACAGGATACTCCCCAACCCCAGAGAATTCTTCGGCCCAAATTGTCAACAGTGCCAATGCTGAGAAACCCTGTGGGACACCATCCAATGTCTCACAATATTTAAAGAATGTATGCTTTTAAAGAATATTTAATGAAACAGAAAAAATGCCCACAGTGTAGGCACAGTGGTTCACGCCTGTAATCCCAGCATTTTGGGAGGCTAAGGCAGGTGGCTCGCTTGAGCCTAGGAATTAAGAGACAAGTTCGGGCAACAAAGTGAGACCCCCATCTCCACCAAAAATACAAAAATTAGCCAGGCATGGTGTTATGTACCTGTACTCTGAATTACCGGTGAGAATGAGGTGGGAGGATGCTCCGAGCCTGAGAGCTTGAGGCTGCCACGATCATGCCACTGCCCTCCGCTCTGGGCAACAGAGTAAGACCGAGTCTCTCTAACATACACACCGATAAAGAAAAATCAAACAGAAAAAAATACATACTTTCCCGTCTCTACTAAAAATAGAAAAACAGCCGGACGTGGTGGCGGGCGCCTGTAGTCTCAGCTACTCGGGAGGCTGAGGCAGGAGAATGGCCTGAAGCCGGGAGGCGGAGCTTGCAGTGAGCCGAGATTGCACCACTGTACTCCAGCCTGGGCAACAGAGCGAGACTCCGTCTCAAAAAAAAAAGAAAGAAAATTAAACATAAAAAACCTGCAGGGTCTACACCTCAAGAGTCTCACTCACCACTATTATCAATAATCACTCAAGAAATGCAGTTTAATTGCATGTCTCGCAACGTGAGCTTTTTCCAGTCTATCATTTAAGACGCCTAACAACGCTAGCAGGTTTTATTATCTGCATTTGACACGAGAATTTGGTTGAGCTCCAAAGCTGGCACTCTAAAACTCAGCTGTCCCACTTCGCATTATATCTAAACACAGCATATCCTTTTGAAATACGTTGTCTAAAAATGTTTGGTAATTGCACCCAATTTCTAGGCCCCTAAATAGTAGCCTGCAGTGCCCACATAGGCCGGAAATAGGAGAAATGCTGACCAAAAAGCATCACAGAAAAGCTAATGTGGCGCAGACAGGCGACGCCCCAATCCCCGGCACCTGGCATTGGCCAACGAAAAGCTGCCGCTGCTGGGGACACAGATGTAAGAAAATCCAACTTTAATCCCACATGGCATCTAAAACTTAAATTTTTAATCCAAGTTTTATTTTTTCCAAACCCACCTACAATGTTGCCTAGGACTCCTAATCTTGGTGAAGACCCTTACTCTGATTTATAATGAGGACACTTTTCCCTCAACAAGTTTGGCTACTTCAGTTTTTGCAAGGAAGCAGTTACTGGTGAGTTCCCAGAATGAGTCCAACTTTGGACTCAACTGAACACTGCTGCATAGTGCTTGAAACGAAAATTAACTGGTGAATTCCTCCTGATCTAACAGTTGTATGTAATCACAGGCCCTAACTGCAACCACAAAGTCCTAAGGCTCTTGTGCTTTATCCATTAGCCACGTGCCCCGACACCTCTAGAGAACATCACCAGCTCAGGATGGAAGATGAGGCCTGCAGGGCCTGAGCACCACCTGAAGACCTGGGCTCTCTCTGGGCTTGGTTACTTCTCTGAAAAAGGAATGGGAAGGGATCAGAAGCCCTTCTAACCCTCACTAGAGCTGAGGCTACAAAAGTCCTTTTTATAGCAACAGAAGAACTTTATCATCCAAGCTTTCCTGACAAAACACTAACTCCAAGTAGTTTTGAATCCACCTAAGCTTTAATCTAGACATTCAGGCAGGTCTTCAAAGCACTCAGCTAAAGTTTAGTTTTTCTAATGATGCAAAGATCATTAGAAATGATCCCTGCTAGGCCGGGCACAGTGGCTCATGCCTCTAATCCCAGCACTTTGGGAGGCCCAGGCGGGTGGATCACCTGAGGTGAGGAGTTCGAGACCAGCCTGGCCAACATGGATGGTGAAACCACGTTTCTACTAAAAATATAAAAAAGTAGCTGGGCGTGGCGACGGGCACCTGTAATCGCAGCTACTCAGGAGGCTGAGGCACAAGAATCACTTGAACCCGGGAGGCGGAGGTTGCAGTGAGCCAAGACCGCACCACTGCACTCCAGCCTGGGCAACAACAGCAAAACTCCATCGCAAAAAAAAAAAAAAAATCCCTGTTAAATTCCTGCTAAAAGCCAAGGATATTTTGAGTAGTAAGTCTTGAACTTTACAGTTTTAAAATGAGCACCTACATAAAAAACTTTTAAACTTTATTGTTAAGCAGTTTTCCCAACCACTAAAAAAAGAAAATTCACATCATGCATAAGTTAACACCTAAACAGAAGAGATAAACTATATTTCCTGCGTAGACCAGTCTCTCACATTCTGAATGTGCTCAGGCTGGGCCTTCTAGGTGAAATACGGACACTCACAAGAACAGCAAAAACGCATCCATGTGTCAAAATTAAACTTTAACTTAAAGCTCTTATGCAACCTAACTAAAAGATTTAATCTTTCAAACTACATGCACATGTTTTAAACAGTTAATGTGTTATGAAACACATTAAGAAGAAAAAGCTATTAAAAAAATGAAATTGTTAAAAATGCTACAATTTCTTTCTACTTTCTAAGCACTGATCCTCCACTGCCTGAATTTAGCACTTTTCCAAGAAAACAGGCCCCCTGCACAGGAAACCTAAATTATATTATCCTTATCACCATAAAACCTAACAATACCAACTGGGATAGTCAAAGCTTCAAAGTTTTATGGAATTCAATGCTTTCAAAAATAACTGGTATCAGCCATAAACAGGAATGAAGTATCAATACATGTTACAACACAGATGAACTTTAAGCATTATGCTACGTGAAAGCTGATGCAAATGGCCATATGTTGTACAATTCCATCTACATGAAATGTCCACAATAGGCAAATCTATGCGGACAGAACATGGATTAGTAGTTGCCAGGGGCTGGAGGGAGAAAAGTAAGGCGACTAACTTCTAATGAGGACCGGGTTTCCTTTTTGGGTGATGAAAATCCAGAAGGAGACGGTGGTGGTGGTGGCAGAGCCTTGTGTATACACTAGGAAGCACTGAATTGTACACCTTAACCTGATGAATTTAACGGTCTGTGAATTAAACCTTCACATTCAAAAACCGTAATAGTAAAAAATAGGCTGAGTGCAAATACCCCAACAATCTACTTTGGACCCTAGCAAAGCTGAGTTCTATTCGGTCTCAGGTTGGTGTCCTTTTCTTTGGGTTAAGACCTATTTTTTGAACCAGGAAGGAAGCCAAGTAGGTACATTTGGTTCCTCAGACCCGTAGAAGTAGCTTTAAGAGCTTGTCTTTCTCTAGTTGACTTTTAATCCCAATGGCAGAAGCTGAAACGTTTTTCGTATATTTTAATTGCACTTGGCACCTGTACATCTCTTTCCTCCTCCCTGTGCCCTTGACAGAGCTACCTGTTAGGTGGTGACGAGCAAAGCTAACTCTTAGTGGAGGGACACCGAGTACCAGAGAAATTCTCCCAGCCTAGAAGGCGGGAAGAGCACACTACACACCATTTCTCTAAATTCTCTGAACACTCAAGCCCCAAGCAGCATATGTACAATACCTTTAACACATCTCTTGGCTGACTTCTTGCTGGTGGCTTCTAACTCGATGCCAATTTCATCAGGATCTTGCCCCTCTTCTTTAACCGCCTATTAGGGAGAGATGAGTTTTACAACATCATTAAGAGCTGCAGGGCACACACTGTTCCTTACAAGTAACAACCTCCCATGAAACAAAGGCAAACCCGTCCTTGCAAAGAGCAACTCCGGGTCAGCTATCTGGGCCGCAAGCCCAAAAGGCGGAGGAGGAACCCCGCACAACTTGGGTCTCTCTGGGTCCAAATGACAAAGGAGAGGGAGGCTGTGAGCAGGAGCTCCAGAATTGGGGTCAAGGACCAGTTCCAAAATGGCAACTCAACTCGACAATGCCAAACCTTCGACTTTAAAGTTATATGATGGGACAAATTAGAACAGAGAGGCTGCACTTGGCCCGGCCTCGGTGAAGGGCTGGCCACCGCTGGTGAGGAGGAACAGCAGCCAGCCTGGGGAGATTCAACAGGTCCCTCAGTGCCTGCCACCTGCCGGGTCCAGGACTGGGTACCCACAAGCTCCCTCCCTATGCTCAAGTTGTTTGTTCCAGTTGCGGAAACAGACAATTCCCAACCCCTTAATATTTTGCATTTAGCCCCTGCTTTCAGCGAGGTGCGACACAAACGCAGGATGAGCTGGCAAGGAGGTGGGGCAGCGCATTAGGAAGGGCGCTCAGGAAGGTGATGTCTCAGGCAGACCCAAAATGACAACAAGGGGCCGGCCACGAGAAGATCTGGGGGACCCGGGTGGACAGCTTCGTAAAGGCCAAAGCCCTGGGGCAAGAACAAGCACCGCCCCCTTTCCTGTAAATGCTCTGGAGTCCGCCAGACACCCATTCTCCGGAGGAGGAAACTGAGGCACAGAGAGAAAGGCACCTGCCCAAGGTCACAGAGCCAAGGCTCGATCGGGAGCCCCAGGAGGGGTCCCGGGGCCACCCTGGTAGCGGAGAAGACCGCACGCTGAGCGCGCTTGAGGAGAAAAGGTGGAAAGAGGATAGGAAGGGAGGCACAGAGAGGAGCGGTGACGGGCCAAGGTCACACAGCCGGCCCCCTGGGTGCCCGACACCTCGAACCGGGGTCGGCCAAGACGCGGGGCGAACCCAGGGCGCCCCGGGTCCGGGAGCCGCGGTGACAGGTGCAGGCGGGGGCGTGCCCGGGCCTCCTGCGCCACCCCCGAGCCCCGCGCCGCCTCACCTTCTTGAGCCGCTCCATCAGGACGCTCTTGTTGCCGCCCGTGTCCAGGTTCCGCTTCTTCAGCTCCGCCCGCAGATCGATCACCCGCAGCTCGCTGAGCCGCCTCGTCCCAGTCTCCGCAACGCCCGGGCCGAGAGAAGCCGTGCCAGGGCCCGAGTCGCCCGACCCGGGCAGAGTCTCCGCCATCGTCGCGTTCCCGTCTTCGCCACCGACTCAGTCGCACACCGCCGGCAGCTATAGCGGCTCTGAACACAAAATGGCGCCGCCTAAGAGGAAAACGCACTCGTTTCCTCCCGCCCCGCTTTGCGGCCGCGCACGCGCACGCGCACCGCCCCCACTAGCGTACTTAGCAGCAAGGACGCTCGCGCGTCCACCAACCGCGGGTTCCCCGGCACAACGCGCAAGCGCTGAATCTGCAGCTCGCATGCGTCCCGGCAGTTCCCGGCGGGAGGCTGACGAGACGCAACGCGTCTGCGCACATCCCCGCGTTGTTCTCACTGCGCATGTGCAGTTGCAACCGGGATACTAGAACCTACGCTTGGTGCGCCTGCGCAGAAGCGAGGCGCGCTGGGGCGACTGGAGCGGTTCCCTCGCAGGCGGCGCCATTTTGTGCTAGGAGCCTGATAAAACCGGCCCGGTTCTGTGGAAAGTGGGCGGCGGAGCCAGGGTCCCTGGAATGGCGGAGACTCTGTCAGGCCTAGGTGATTCTGGAGCGGCGGGCGCGGCGGCTCTGAGCTCCGCCTCGTCAGAGACCGGGACGCGGCGCCTCAGCGACCTGCGAGTGATCGATCTGCGGGCGGAGCTGAGGAAACGGAATGTGGACTCGAGCGGCAACAAGAGCGTTTTGATGGAGCGGCTGAAGAAGGTGGATTTGGGGCCCCGAGGGCGGGCACAGGGTGGGTCTGGGGTCCTCTTGGCCGCGACGGTGGCTCGCGGGCCCTGGCGTCCGCCCCCGGCCGCGTTCGCGGCCTCGCCGGACCTGGCGCTCTCGCGTCCCCCGGCTCCTCCGAGGCCCCGGAGAGAGTTCCTTGGCCGGCTGGGCCTGGGTTCAAATCCTAACGCCGCAATGGGGCCAGGAGAACCACAAAAACGGCACGCGTGCAGGAGAAACGGTGACGGGTGACATCGTCCACTGAGAGGAGGGTTCTCCCCTCGTCTCGTCCCCTCCTCCGTACCTGGAGGGGAGACCCTGAAACCCTCACTTCCCAGGCGAGGGGAAGGGACTCGGCCAAGGTCACACGGCCGAGGACGGGCAGCGTCGGGATTTGAACCCAGGCCCTGGGATTCCTGATTCGGCTGCTTGGTTTCCCCAGGGAAGATGCTTTGTGACCCACAGGGGACCGACCAGCCTGAATCGGGGCTGATTTACAAAGGAAACACCCGTAGGACATACTCAAAGGGAAAAATAGAAAAAAACCCACCACAATCCAGTTTTCACGGTTTGCCGGTACTCGCTCGGTGAAGTAACGTGGCAGGAAGGAAAAGTGGTGTTGACGGTAGTGATCAGAAATGTGAAATGAGGGGAGACCCCGGGTGGACTTTAAAACCAGCCTCAGAACTGCCCGGGAGGCGGGCAGAGCCTGGGCTCCCCCAGCTCCGTCAGTCTCTCTGGACTTGGGGACCCTGCCAGCTCTCGGTGGCCTGATCTTGGGCATAGGAGACCTTGAACCCCTTCTGAGTCCTCTTTTCTATTCTTTTTTTTTTTTTTTCTCCTGTAAGAAGCAAAAAAGCAATAGGACTTTGATTTGGGGATTAAATAAGTTTGCGTGGAGCAGGCTTGGCGTGCTGCCTGGCGCATGTAAACACTCGGTGTGTGGTTGCCATCACGATTCGCTTTTCCTCTCTGTGCCACCACGAGTCCTCATTTGCAGATCGGGGGCTCTAACGCCTCCCTTGGGGGATTCAAAGGGATCCCTAGGAAAAGCAGAGAGGCAAGTAAAGGTTAGCCACCTGCGGTTTCCTTATTCCTGTAGCTTTTTTTCTCTGCCTTTTTTCCACCTGGCTACTCTGGGACCTCTCCCCTGTAGTTGCTCCGCCTGGCCGCCCACCCCCCAGCCCCTGCAGGCAGTGGGGCTGTTGACACATCCCACCATCCTGACTCCGGAACTACGGAGATCACAGGGCTTTATTATTAATTGGTGATGAGAAGAAGTAGGGATTTTTTTTTTTTTTTTTTTCCTGATGAGAAACCCTGGGCTCAAGGGTGGATAGTTGTCTCGGCCAGAGTCACATGGGCCTTTTAAAAGCTCAAGCTTGTGTTTCTTTTCACTATGGATTCTCTTTACTCAGATAAGGCAGGAAGCCCACTGATCTACATATTTACCCAGAGAAAATGCAGAGAGTGGAGATTGGCGGCTGGTCAGGTGTGGTGCCCCGCCACCAGGGCCTCCCATCAGCTAAGCCAAATTAAGAGGCTTTATCCTTTTTTTCTCCCTGGACGGTCCATAGGCCTGAAAAGCTGCTGTGATCTTCCTGTCAAGCTGGTGACTGAGACTTCCCATCACTCGCTGTCATCTCTGAGAGCACAGATTTGTTCCTTCTTCCTTCTCCTTTTCATTTTCTTCAAGATGTGGTCCCAAAACACGAATACCGCCAGCCCATATCCCTGTCTGCCACTCACCCAAGCCAGTCTGGAGTTCCTGATCTCATTCTCTTCCCGTTTCTGTCATCCTGTTGGTGTCCCTTTCTTGGTTTATTTTTCCAGGAAGGGCAAAAGAACAAAAAGGGGAAACAGGACACCTGCCTAGGGCATTGCTTCTCTTCTCCTGGTGGTGTTTCAGAATTGCCTGTCCCCGGGAAAAGGGTGAGGGACTTGGTGATTGTACTTTTCCTTGATCCCAGGAAAGAACTTCAGTCCCTTTTCTGGCTTCTGAGAGGAGAGATTTTTGTTGCTGCTGGTAAAGATGAGATGTGGAACCCCCAGGCCCTATCTCAATTCAGACTTACCCACCTGGGAAACTTGGAGGCTTCCAAACCTCTGCAGATAAAACATAGTACATGAAATGATGTAAACAAAACTTGTGCTCATGGGACTGGAGAGTAAAGACTGGAAAAGTTATCAGTAAAACTTGACCTGAAGCTAAGTTTCTAGGGACGTCATCGTGATTGACGTGTTCGGTACTGATGGCTTAGTTGATGCCAGGCACTGTGCTGAGGATGGGCATAGTTGAAGTGAGTGACAGAGTCCTGGGGTGGGAGGCTGGGCGTGCCAAGAAATTCTTATAATTCAATATCCGATGAGGCACAATCACCTAGTGGTTGAGAATGAGGTACTGGAGTCGGTTGTGAATGTACATGATGGGGATCGGATGAGGTCATGCATGTCGTGACGGGTCTCGTGCGTAACACATAGTAGGATCCCAGTCAGCGAGCATTAGTATTCTGTCCACACAGTACTGAGTACAGGCACGGCGTGGAGGGAGTCCCTGGAGGGTTAAAGAGTATTTTGTGAGTAAAGTCAGGGGAAATGGAGAGTGTGCCTTTCCCTTTTTGAGTTCTTCTGGGCTTAGGAAGGAGATGAACCAGATAAGCCTACTGTTTGTTGAGTGCTTCCTTTTCATGGCTAGTAGAGTCCTCACAACAGCCTTCCAGGGTAAGTACTGTATTATTATTAGCCGCATGTTCCAGAGGAAGAAGCAAAAACTGAGCACCTAAGTAAACCTGCCTGGGACCACCCAGCTAAGAACTGGTGGCGTCAGTCGGTCTCCAGTGTAGAGCGAGATAACAGATGAGTGGATGGGCCACAGGTCCTGGGTGGTGAGGGCGGCAGCAGCTTTTTGATCTTAAAAATACAGTTTCCTTGTCACCTGAGAGCTCTCTGAAAGCAGTGTGTGAGCTGACTTTTTGGATCAACTTTACTTTTCCCTTCTTTTTAGGCAATTGAAGATGAAGGTGGTAATCCTGACGAAATTGAAATTACCTCCGAGGGAAACAAGAAAACATCAAAGAGGTCTAGCAAAGGTATGGAGGATTTCATAAGCAAGTTTCATGTTAAGTGCTTTCTTCAAAACGAATACATTGCTAATGTGCCTCGTTTACTTGTCTGTGTGTTGGACTTGTGAACCACTCTGAACTGGGAGCCTTCAGCGAAGCTTTGCATTTTCTTTCAAGATCTCTCTACTGTGTTTTGTTTTCTTGGTATCTGGGAATTCCAATGGAGGATGGAAGGAGTATTTGTCCTTTATTCATTTTCCTCTGTAGATTGTCAGCGGTCCTTAAATAAGGAGTCTTTTGGGAGTCAGTCACAGTGGCGTGTGCCTGTAATTCCAGGCGACTCGGGGCTGTGGTAGGAGGATCACATGAGCCTGGGAGTTCAAGACCAGCCTGGGCAACATAGCAAAACCCAGCTCTACAAAAAAACTTTTAAAGGCCCGGTGTGGTGGCATGCATCTGTGGTCCCAGCTGCTTGGGAGGCTGAACCGGAAGGATTACTTGACCCCAGGAGGTTGAGATCAGCTTGGGCAACATAGGGAGACCCCCATCCCCACCAAAAAGAAATTAGCCAGGCATGATGGCATGCACCTGTGATCCCAGCTACTTGGGAGTTTTAGGAGGGGGATCACTTGAGCCCAGGAGCTCAAGCCTGCAATGACCTAATGATTGCACCACTGCACTCCAGCCTGGGTGACAGAGCAAGACCCAGTCTCTCTTAAAAAAAAGGGGGGTGGGGGCGGGGCACAGTGTCTCTCACCTGTAATCCCAACACTTTGGGAACCCAAGGCAGGAGAATGGTTTCAGTCTAGGAGTTTGAGACCAGCCTGGGCTGCCTCTATCCACTGCCAAAAAAAAAAAGTACCTAGGCGTCGAGGCACGCCTGTTTTCCTAGCTACTTGGGAGGCTAAGGCGGGAGGATCATTTGAACCCAGGAGTTCAGGGTTGCACTGAGCTATCATGGCACCACTGAACTCCAACATGGAGTCCAAAAAGTAGGACTGCCTGAGCCTCCTATTGCTTGGACTTGGAGAAAATAACATCCCTTATAAACAGCACTTGGCAAAAACAGAATTGTCACTTTAACATTTCTTTTAAAAGCAGCTTATACAGTAAAAGTCACATTCCACATGACATGACTCTCACCATCTTACCGAAATCTCTCTTGCCCATCCCCCACACCCTGTGCTTTAGTCAGGCCCCAAACACGTGATTTACTCTCCTGGTTCTCTGTGACTTCGCTCCGCCCACCCTTCCCCATCTGTCTGCCTTAGAGACCTAGTTCCTCAAAAGACAACTGATCCATCCCACCAATAGCAACTCGTCTCCTTGGGTCCTCTGTCCTCCCGTGGCATAGTTCCTTACCCCTTGGTTTAATATTTATGTCATCTTGCCTTCTGTCAAGAGCAGATTGATGAGGACTAGGGCTGTGTCTTGTTTATCTTTCTTTCCCCTTCAATGGTTTAACTTGGTAACACTCAACTATTGGCTTAAGAAAGAATCAGCTGAGGCAGGGCGCCGTGGCTCACACCTGTAATGCCAGCACTTTGGGAGGTTGAGGCGGACTGGTCACCTGAGGTCAGGAGTTCGAGACCAGCCTGGCCAACATGATGAAACCCCGTCTCTACTAAAAATATAAAAATTAGCCAGGTGTGGTGGCGGGCTCCTGTAATCCCAGCTACTCAGGAGGCTGAGGCAGGAGAATTGCCTGAACCCAGGAGGTGGAGGTTGCACTGAGCCCAGATCGCACCACTGCACTCCAGCCTGGGCGACCGCAAGACTCCATCCCCCTAAAAAAAAGAATCAGCTGAAGCTGGGCTTGTAGACCGAATGTTCTCTTGGTTCATGTAGAGTTTTCCCTATCTGAAATGCTTGGGACCAGAAGGGTTTCATTTTTTGGATTTTGTGCGGTATTTTCGTACGCATAATGAGATAATCTTGGGATTGGGGCCCAAATCTAAACAAGAAATTTGTTTCTTATACACCTGAAGATAATTTAATACCATATTTTTTATAATTTTGTGCATGAAACAAAACTTTCACTAATTCCACACATCAGGTGTGGAATTTTCTACTTGTGGCAATATGTCAGTGCTCAGAAGGTTTCAGTTTCAGATAGGGTTGCCCAACCTGTAATTGAAGGCCTGGTTCTCAGGGCCCAAAACTAAATGAGATAATAACTAATACTTGGTGGTGAAGTACTGGGTTTAAATATCTGAGAGTCAGGCCCCAGTGTCAGCCACAGTGTTTGGGGTAAGTGCTGGGAGAACAGCAGAATGAAGTCACTTCTGTGGCTCATGATACATTGCGTGTTTTTGCCTTTACTCAAGTATACTTCTGCCAAGGCAAAGAGTCCTGGAAAATCAATGGAGAAAGAAATAATAAAAGCAAAAAACAGAGCCTGTGGATCTCCTTTTTTGTTTTCCTTTTTCTTCTGATAAAAGCAAATACTTGTACTACAGGCTTTTGTTGCTGTTTTTGTTTTGTTTTTGAGGTGGGTTCTCACTCTGTCACTCAGATGGAGGGTAGTCGCGCAGTCATAGTTCGCTGCAGCCTTGAACTCCTGGCCTCAAGCAGTGCTTTCACCTCAGCCCCACAAAACGTTTAGATTTCAGTTGTGAGCCACTGCGCCCGGCAGGTTTTAAAATACGTGCATGGGAGTAAAAAGCAGAAGTTGTTCACAGTCGGGACAGCCCACTACTAAAAGTTAGGCATACTTCTCCAGACTGTGTGTGTATGTACAATGTTTAAAAGTAAACTTAGGCCTGGGTTACAGAGCAAGACCCTGTGTCTAGAAAAACAAAAAGTTAAATAAAAGTCAATGAGCTGGGCATGGTGGCACACACCTGTAGTCCCAGCTACTAGGGAGGCCAAGGTAGGAGGATTGCTTAAGCCCAAGAGGTCAAGGCTGCGGTGAGCCATGAGTGTGCTTCTACACTCCAGCTTGGGCACAGAGTGAGAGGGGGAAAAAAGTAAATATATAGGTATGTGCACACACCTGTATGCATATTTTTTTCATTAAAAAAACCCGTGATCTTGCTATACAAAATCTCACTGTTTTTTAACAGGCTAATAATCTTCTGTATGAATAAATACACAATTTAGCCCATCAGTCTTTTTATTACTAGACGTTTGGAGATTTTTATTTCCAATTATCACTCGGTACTTCCAACATTCAGTGTTTGCACGAACCAGAGATAAATACCTTTGTGTGGTCAAAGTAATATAATTTTTGATAACTTAGTGAAAGGAGAATTCTAGACTCCAAGGATATGGCCCTTTATTTTCACATAGCTAGTTTACAAATAGCTGTCCCGGCCAAGTTCAGTGGCTCACGCCTGTAATCCTAGCACTTTGGGAGGCTGAGGTGGGCGGATCAAAAGATCAGCCTGGCCAACATGGCAAAACCCCACGTCTACTAAAAATACAGAAATTTGCCAGGTGTGGTGGTGGGCGCCTGTAATCCAAGCTACTCAGGTGGCTAAGGCAAGAAGATAGCTTGAACCTGGGAGACTGAGGTTGCATTGAGCCAAGATAGTGCCACTGCACTCCAGCCTTGGCGACAGAGTGAGGCTGTCTCAAAAACAAAAACAAAAACAAAAAGCTGTCCCAGGTTGTACCCTACCAACAATGGGTGACGGTGCCTATTTCACTAAACTCAACATCAAACTTACCTTGTTTGCCTGTTACCTTGTTGCCTGTTATATAGAAGAAAAGTATTTCATTGTATTTATCTGCATTTTTCTGCAGGTGAGATTTTCGTTTGCATTTCTTCACAGATTATACTCTTCTGATAATTGGACATTTGTGTCGTCTGAATGGCCTTTTCATGCCCTTTGCCGATTTCTGTGCTGGGTTGTTTGTCTTATTGAGTTATAAAGACTCATATAAAATGTTTCTATTGTTTTAATCTGTCATTCAATTTAATCTGATTCGACTTGTGGTATTTTGATCACTAGGCTTCTAGATTTTATGTTACGCTTTAAAAGGACTTCTTTGCTTTTAAATTATTAAAAATATGACTGTAAGGCCAGGTGCGGTGGCACACGTCCGTAATCCCACGATGCAGGTGGATCACCTGAGGTCAGGAGTTCAACACCAGCCTGGCCAACATGGTGAAACCCTGTCTCTACTAAAAATACAAAAATTATCTGGGTGTGGTGGCAAGCGCCTGTAATCCTAGCTACTTGAGAGGCTGAGGCAGGAAAATCGCTTGAACCCGGGAAGCAGAGGTTGCAGTGAGCCGAGATCACGCCACTGCACTCCAGCCTGGGCGACGAGTGAAGCTTCGTCTCAAAAAAAAAAAAAACTATATGTATAACTCTGTTATATATAGAAAGAATAATATTTATGGTTTTATTTTTACATTTTACATTTGGAGGTTTAATTAATTTAGAATGTATTTTGCATGTGGTGTGAGGTAGGTAGGGATGAAAACATGAAACATTTAGGCTGGGCGTGGTGGCTCATGCCTGTAATCCCAGCACTTTGGGAGGCTGAGGCGGGCAGATCACCTGAGGTCAGGAGTTCGAGACCAGCCTGGCCAACATGGTGAAACCCCGTCTACTAAAAATACAAAAATTAGCTGGGCATGGTGGCGGATGCCTGTAATCCCAGCTACTCGGGAGACTGAGGCAGGAGAATCACTTGAGCCTGGGAGGCGGAGGTTGCAGTGAGCTGAGATCATGCTGCTGCACTCCAGCCTGGGCAACAGTGCAAGACTGTGTCTCAAAAAAAAAGAAAAGAAACATTTGTCATCAGAAAGATCACTTCTGCCCCTCCCAGTGCGTCTCCCCTCCCAGCCCCTGCAAAAATAAAAGTCGCTGTTGTGATTACTTCACCAGATATTAGTTTTACCCATTCTAGAACTTCATGTAAAATGGAGCCATGCAATACTAGCTCTTTTGTGTCTCATTTGTTGTTTTGTTTTGCTTCTTGTAATCAGTTTTATTCTAGAAATTTACAGTACATTTTGATATCTGATAGGGCAGGTCGGTAAGTTTTCTTGAATTATTTTCAACTACTTTATCAGTGGGTTTTATCAAGATTTTAACTGAAAATAGAGGGACTGCTGTAATGTGTGAATTCAAAATGCTTTAAAATTCCAGAAAGCATATCTCATGTAATCTCAGTTCTCCTCCTATTGCTTGGACTTGGAGAAAATGACATCCCTTTTAAACAGCACTTGGCCAAAACAGAATTGTCACTTTAACATTTTTTTTAAAAACTGCTTATACAGCAAAAGTCACATTCCACATGACGTGACTCTCACCATCTTAGCAGACTCTCAAAATAATTATCAGGGGCTGTGCGAGATGGCTCTCGTCTGTAAGCCCAACAGTTTGGGACACCGACGCGGAAGGATGACTTGAGCCCAGGAGTTGGAGAGCAGCCTGGGTGACATAGTGAGACCCCATCTCTCCAAAAAATTAGAAAAATTAGTCAGATGTGATGGCGTGCATCTGTAGTCCCAGCTACTCAGGAGACTGAGGTGGGAGGATCACGTGAGTCCAGGAATTTGAGGTTGCAGTGAACCATGATTGGGCTGTGATTGCTCTCCAACCTGGTAACAGGGCAAGACTCTGTCTCGAAAAAATAAAATAATTACCAGGAAACTAAATTTATTTGTAGTGTCATCACAAAGTACAAATTAATAGGATGTTTTATGGTGTTTGAGAATGTTTTGTAACTGGAGATGCAAAGTTGGCCTGTTTGCTTGGTTAAGTATTACCCAATCCTTTGCTGCTGGCTTGTTTTGTTCAGTTTTTGTTCATTTTGGCAATTTCATACTTAAGTTGCAAGAATAATGCAAGGAATTCCCATATACCCTTTACCCAGAGTCCCCAAATATTGCCATCTGACTACATTTGCCTTGTCCTTTTCTCTCCTTGTATGTATGTTTTTACTAGACCGCATGGTAAGTTGCAAGGCGCATATGCCCCTTTGCCCTACGTACTGCAGTAAAGTAAGGATATTACCTAACTGTAGATGTCCAGATCAGGAAATTAACATTGATACAATACTGCCACCTCGTCTTAGTCCTCATTTAGATTCAGTAGTTTGTTCCAATAATATTCTCTATAACTCAGACAAAAAATGTCCAGAGTCATGCATTGCATCAGGTTGTCATGTTTCCTTAGTTTTCTTTAATCTTGAACACTTACACTTATTTTGTAGTTTATTTTTCTATTTGAATTGTTTTGGGTTCTCCCCGCCCCATAATAAGGATCAAGTTATACGCTTGTCAGAAATACACCAGACATGTTGTATTCCTGTTTTTTGTTTTGTTTTGGTTTGAAACCGGGTCTTGCCCTGTTACCCAGGCCAGAGTGCAATGGTGCAATTGTAGGTCACTGCAACCCTGAATTGCTGTGCTCAAGCGATCCTCCCACCTTGGCCTCCCAAAGAGTTGGGATTACAGACATGAGCCACCACGCCCAGCCTATATTGTCATCAGAGTATACTATCCAGAGGCACATGCTGTCAGTTTGAGCCATTATTGGCCATGTTAGCTGACTTCAAATGCTATTGGCCAGGTTTCTCCACTGGAAAGTTACTGTCTTCCTTTTCACAGTTACATTTGTGGGGAAGATACTCTGAGACTTTGTAAATATCCTGCTCATCGTCCATTAGTTTTAGCAACCACCAGTTCCTGTCTATTCATTTATTCTGGTAGTTGCCAAATGGTGATTTTTTAATTTTGTTATTGTTTGTTTATTACTTGGTTTACTGACATAAGGAATAGCTTGCCCTTTGCCCTCATTTATCTGTGTGAACTTAGATTATTTTATTCCATAGGTTGAAAGCCTTTATGCTTATTTACTACAATGTGCAAAACGTTCCATTGGGAACCCTGTCAGACAGGCTCCCCTGTCATTTCCACATGTTCATGCCATTCTTGGGATACTTTTTTACCTTCTGGAATGGCAGGGTACGTGAGTCTCATCTTATGCTTTTCCTGCCCTTTCCCCGGAATCAGCCATTTCTTCCAGGTGCCCTGGGCCCTTTTGAGGAGAGCTATTAGAAACCAGGGTCTGCAGCCAGGCGCGGTGGCTCACGCCTGTAATCCCAGCACTTTGGGAGGCCGAGGCAGGCGGATCATGAGGTCGGGAGATCGAGACCATCCTGGCTAACACGGTGAAACCCCATCTCTACTAAAAATACAAAAAATTAGGCAGGCGTGGTGGCGGGCGCCTGTAGTCCCAGCTACTCGGGAGGCTGAGGCAGGAGAATGGCGTGAACCCGGGAGGTGGAGCTTGCAGTGAGCCGAGATTGCGCCACTGCACTCCAGCCTGGGCGACAGAGCGAGACTCCGTCTCAAAAAAAAAAAAAGAAAAAAGAAACCAGGGTCTTGGAACTTAGATGTACTTCTGTAACTAGGATGTCAACTCCTGGGCCAGTACTTGGTTTGTGAGAGCTACTGGGCTGATTGTACCTCAGGAAATTAAGTACTGTTAAAGCAATCCGAAGCAAGCCAAAGACAGCTTAAGAAAGGTGACAAAGCCCTCATGAACAGTTTGGCAAACTTGCTAGCTGGTTAAAATTGTTAATCACTTCTCCAGGATTTTTTAGGTGACAGTTATATCATTAGTGAATCAAAGAATTAAGCATGTTGCCAGATTGACATTGAAATGTACATAACATTCTTAAATAGTAAATAGAATTAACAGGAAATTTTCAAGTCCTGCGAAATCACTAATTAGAGAAAAATTTCCTAGATGTGATGACTTTTTAGCAGAGAAAATTTTCCTAGATATGATGACTTTTTATCAGAAAATTGTCACTTTTCTCCACAGTAACCTAAAAGGAAATTTTATAATGTGTTCCATAATAGTCTAAAAAGAAAATGCACAAGAATAACTAAAATTCTGGGCGGGGGGGAATACAGGGATTTCCTCTAATTTTGATGATAGGATATTGCAAACAACAGAAAGTTTGAGGGTTTGTTCATTTGATGGTGGGGGAAAGCTCTAATCTTATCTCTTCTTGTGTAAAATAGAAATTCCAGCTAGTTTAATACTTTTTATAATATAGTAATAAGAAAGACCTGAAGTAAGAATAAAACTGAGAAACAACAAAGAAAGAGAAATTTGGCTACATAAAAGTTTTAACTCTCTGTTAAGAAAGGTATGCAACAGTCTGGGAGAAAATATTATAGCACAGAATAAGGAAGAAACTCATATCCAGAAAGCATTGAATGTTCTGACAAATCAGTAAGGAAAACAGGCAACCCAGTCAACAAGGAGCAGAGACTATGAACAGGCAATTTACAAATAAATGAAAAAGCAGATGTGGCCTAGAGACCAAAAGATTCCCTTGCTGGTAGTTGCAGAATAGCAAATTTTGAAATGACATAAGATTTTTGCCTATCAAACTGGTAAAAATTTACACAGTTCCGCAAGGTGCGGTGACTCAAACCTGTAATCCTAGCACTTTGGGAGGCTGAGGTGGGCGGGTCACTCTAGGTAAAGAGTTTGAGACCAGCCTGGCCAACATGGAGAAACCTTGTCTCTACAAAAAAATACAAAATTAACCGGGTGTGGTGGCACGTGCCGGTAATCCCAGCTACTCGGGAGGCTGAGGCAGGAGAATCACTTGAACCCAGGAGGCGGAGGTTCCGGTGAGCCGAGATCACGCCATTGCACTCCAGCCTGGGCAACAAGAGCGAAACTCCATCTCAAAAAAAAATTTTTTTTACACAGTTCCTGTTCTCCTACATTGGCAAGGGTATTGGGGAAGGTGTAGGTGTTGGAGACAATAAATTGCTACAGCCTTTTTGAGAAGGCAGCTAACGTGGGGAACTGCCGTAGCATGGAGTCAAAGATGGAGGTGGATCAATACGCAGTACATAAAAATGTCCAAGGCCTGTTAGTAGTTTCTGTAACTTGTGTCATTGCTCACTAACAATAAGATTTCATCTCATCACAAGCTTATTTCCATATGTATCATATAATGTATGTAGATGCAAGATGATGTCCTGAGGCACCACCAAGCTGGGAACGTTGGTAACCTCTTAAGAGGACAGTAGGGAAAAGGGAAGGTATTATAGCTTTATACTTCCTATACTTAGGAGGATGAATCTTCTGTTACTGCAGTAAAGTTTAATACGTATATTTGCATAATTAGGGAAGTGTGTTTGTGTAATCAAATCAGAAAGTAATGAACCACCCACATGCAGCCCTGGGTACTATGGGAGCATCCCAGCAGAAGTCCAGGGCAGCAGAGTCAGCAGTGAGATTGGACAGTCTCTGAGGCAGAAGCTTAACAGAAGGCAAGAGATGGAATCCCAGGCAGGGAGCTACGAGCAGGCGATAGAGGCGATGACGGTCATGCCCATAGCTGAGACCACAAACTAGGGTGAAGAGCTGAGGTAGAAGGATTCAAGGGGCACATTGGCCTTGATACTAAAGACAAATCAATGGCTCTTCAGTTTTTGCCAGAGAGTTATACTTTTCCCATTTGCATTCATTTTTGGTTTTTTTAGACGTTTTTCTTCTCTGGAGAATACTGTCTTTCCTCAAGTCGTGATGATTAATAAACATTCCAGTCAGGGATGTGCTTTATACGTTGAAGATTAAACATTTTGAAGATTGCATGTTCTCTCGACATTTCCAGTCACATTTTACCTCGGGGGAGCTTTCCCCTGAGAAGGATTTGGCTGCAGTGTACCTGTACATACTGCTTGGGAGAAAAGTGGTCATAGAAGTGGAAAACCCTGATTCTGTTTGATGAAAATCTAGTACCCCTCCTGAGGAAGAGAGAACACCGTATGGAGGGCAGCAAGTTTCTGATAAGTTAGTAGATTTTTCCTATTATCTGGAATAGGATTGGACAGAAACCAACGTACGTATCATAGAATTGTAGCAACTTTATCAAATGTAATCATTCTGTGGCAATGCTCTGGTATCTCTTCCCAGCATGTTTACAGAGACCACTGGGTTGAGTTCCAGCTGTTTTTTAGACCTCGAGGCATGTTTTGCCAAAGAAATAATGGTATAAAATGGGGATGGATTTCCCAGCCAACTGACCAAAATATCATGTATTGAATTCTGTTATCAGTTTGATAGTCCCCTATCTTTGTAAATAAGGTAATTCTAAAAATATGAATGAAATTAGAATATTTAAACGTCAATTACAGTACAAATAATTAGGTTTGGAATTTTTGTCTTTGGCTTTTCTTTTTTTCTCCCCCCAGGATGTTACATATTTATCCAGTTACAAGAATAGTTTCCAGTATAGACAAATTAATTGTCTTTTCTTTTTTCTTTGAGACAGGGTCTGACTCTGTCACCCAGGCTGAGTGCAGTGGCACAATCTCAGCTCACCGCAACCTCCACCTCCTGGGTTCAAGTGATTTTCCTGTCTCAGCCTCCCGAGTAGCTGGGATTACAGGTGCCTGACACCACACCTGGCTAATTTTTATATTTTTAGTAGAGACAGGGTCTCACCGTGTTGACCAGGCTGGTCTCAAACTCCTGACCTCAAGTGATCCACCCACCTCGGCCTCCCAAAGTGCTGGGATTATAGGTGTGAGCCACAGTGTCAGACCTTGTTTCCTTAATACTGCTTGAAACAACACTTAGCCTTAAAACAATTGATTTTCGGCCGGGCGTGGTGGCTCACGCCTGTAATCCTAGCACTTCGGGAGGCCGAGGCGGGTGGATCACGAGGTCAGGAGATCGAGACCATCCTGGCTAACACGGTGAAACCCCGTCTCTACTAAAAATACAAAAAATAAGCCGGGCGTGATGGCGGGTGCCTGTAGTCCCAGCTACTCGGGAGGCTGAGGCAGGAGAATGGCGTGAACCCGGGAGGTGGAGCTTGCAGTGAGCCAAGATCGTGCCACTGCTCTCCAGCCTGGGCTACAGAGCCAGACTCCATCTCAAAAAAAAAAAAAAAAAATTGATTTTCAGGCTGGATGTGGTGACTCGTGCCTGTAATCCCAGCACTTTGAGAGGCCCAAGCAGGAGACTCACTTGAGAGCCTAGGAGTTCAAGACCAGCCTGGGCAACATAGTGAGACCCCACTGCTACATAAAATACAAAAATTAGCCAAGCATGGTGGCACGTGCCTGTAGTTCCAGCTACTCGGGAGACTGAGGTGGGAGGATCCCTTGAGGATCCCTTGATGCTGGGAGGCAGAGGCTGCAGTGAGCCAAGACATGCCACTGCACTCCAGCCTTGGTGACGGGGTCAGACCCTGTCTCCAAAAAAAAATAGACTATTCTTCACACTGGGAAAGAGGCCTGGCAGGAAGTAGTTTTCCCAAAGTTGTGTGTTTGATCAGCTTTTCTCCCATGTTCTTCAAAAAGCTGAGCACCGCCTTCTATAAGGAATGCTAGGAAGCTGTGCTGGCAGTAGCTCTAAAACATGAAATGATGCTACATTATGCCTTGCCTTTGAGATGTGGTCTTCCAGAGTCTATTTCATGGATTTCATGCATGTGATTTTATTCTTCACATGGAAGACAGTCAAAGAGTTTAATTTGAGCATGCCTATTCCTGACACCAGAAATTTCATTTTTGCCATGCCTAATGACTTCCATTTTTGCTTCAGTTCTGTTATTTCTGGTATCATCGTTTACATTTTTCTATTCTCTACTCATTTTATCATTTGTATGAAAAAGCAAATGACTATATAAATACTGCTGTTTGGATGAAGGTGCCAGCATGCCTGCCCTTGTGAACTGTTGCAAATGTTATAAATCATCAATTAGTAAGAAAAATTGGGAGGTTGCACAAGGGGAGTTGGGGAAATGACTTCCCTGTTCTTAGCATTGTTGGCTGACAGGAGAAGTATGAACCTAAGAAGGTATGCAGCCTCTTGATGTTTTTCACATTTTTTAAAATTACTAAACTCTTTTTATTTTATTTATTTTGAGATGGAGTCTGTCTCTGTCACCCACACCAGAGTGCAGTGGCTCAATCTCATCTCACTGCAACCTCTGCCTCCTGGGTTCAAGCGATTCTCCTGCGTCAACCCCCCCACCGAGTAGCTGGGATTACAGGCACCTGCCACCATGTCCTTCTAATTTTTGTATTTTTAGTAGAGCTGGGGTTTCACCATGTTGGCCAGGCTGGTCTCAAACTCCTGACCTCAGGTGACCCACCCACCTCGACCTCCCAAAGTGCTGAGATTACAGGTGTGAGCCACCACGCCCAGCCTAAAATTACTAAACTCTTGAAGAAAAACCTGGAGTTAAGCCATACCTTCCAATCGTTTTTTAGTTTCTTTTTTTTTATACTTAATCTTAGTCTTTTTTTTTTTTTTTTTTTTTTAAAGACAGTCTGTCTTGCTCTGTCACCCAGGCTGGAGTGCAGTAGTGTGTTCTCGCCTCATTGCAATTTCCACTTCCCGGGTTCAAGCGATTCTCCTGCCTCATCCTCCCCAAGCTGGGATTACAGGCGCCTGCCACCACGCCTGGCTAATTTTTTTGTATTTTTAGTAGAGACGCGGTTTTGCCATGTTGGCCAGGCTGTTCTCAAACTCTTCTCTTGACCTCAGATGATCCACCCGCCTTGGCCTCCCAAAGTGGTGGGATTATAGGCATGAGCCACCACGCCTGGCAAGTATTTTCTATTTAGAAAAACATGGTAATGCCACATATCTAAAACTGGAACAAAAATAACAGATCAGTGGAAGAGAATGGAAACAAGTAATCCCAGACATAAATACAAATATAATATTGCGGAAGCCAACATTTCAAATTGGTCGGGGGCAAGTACTATTTAGTCAGTGGTGCTGGGAAATCAGTTTCCAAATGGGACAACTATTGGGAAAATAGTCTCACTCAACATGAAACTGAGAGAATAAATGTTTAAAACTTCAAAAGAACTAAATACAGGTGTATATTATTTAGCCTTCAGTATGGAGGAGGACATCCAAGCATGAAGGTATAAACCACTTACATTTTAAAAACAATTAATAGCTTGGCCACATAAGAGTGAAATGGGCCAGGGCGCGGTGGCTCATGTCTGTAATCCCAGCACTTTGGGAGGCTGAGGCAGGTGGATCACCTGAGGTCAGGAGTTTGAGACCAGCCTGGCCAACATGGTGAAACCCCATCTCTACTAAAAATACAAAAATTAACTGGGTGTAGTGGCAGGCGCCTGTAATCCCAGCTACTCAGGCGGCTGAGGCAGGAGAATCACTTGAACCCAGGAGGCAGAGGTTGCAGTGAGCTGAGATCAGGCCACTGCACTCCAGCCTGGGTGACAGAGCAAGACTCCGTCCCAAAAAAAAAAAAAAAGAACAGTGAAGTGTACTCAAAACCTGTAAACAAAATTTAAAAACTGGTAAAGAACTGGGAAAATATGTTTTGTACATATGATATATAAACTTCAAATGATGGGGGATGGAGCCGAAGTGTTTTGTTTGTTTGTTTTGTTTTGTTTTTGAGATGGAGTTTTGCTTTTGTTGCCCAGGCTGGAGTGCAACGGCAGGATCTCGGCTCACCGCAACCTCCACCCCCTGGGTTCAAGCGATTCTCCTGCCTCAGCCTCCCAAGTAGCTGGGATTACAGTCATGCCCCACCACACCTGGCTAATTTTGTTTTTTGTTTTTTTGGTTTTTTTTAGTAGAGACAGGGTTTCTCCATGTCAGTCAGGCTAGTCCCGAAATCCTGACCTCAGGTGATCCGCCTGCCTCGGCCTCCCAAGTGCTGGGATTACAGGCGTGAGCCACCGCGCCTGGCTGGAGCCGAAGTTTTTAAATAGTGGGGTGTAAATCAGAAATTTTTAGAAAAGTACAGGTGATCAACAACAAAAAGCAAATGATTCAAAGCAATTTGAGTAGTCAGGAGATAAATTCGTGTTAAAACAGTATTCCTTTTCTTACCTAGCATATTGGCAAAGATAAAGAAAAATAGCAAATTTTTAACAGAGATTCAAGAAAGATTGGCTTTTTTTTTTTTTTTTTTTTTTTCTGGAGATGGAGTCTCGCTCTGTTGCCAGACTGGAGTGCAGTGGTGTGATCTCGGCTAACTGCAACCTCTGCCTCCCGGATTCAAGCGATTCTCCTGCCTCAGCCTCCCGAGTGGCTGGGACTACAAGTGCACGAGATTGGCACTTTTTAATTCGCTGTTGATGGAAATGTATAAGTTAAAAAAAAACCTTCCTCTGCAATTTTTGTTTTGTTTTGTTTTGTTTTTGAGACAGAGTCTTGCTCTGTCATCCAGGCTGGAGTGCAGCGGCACGATCTCAGCTCACTGCAACCTAAACCTCCAGAGTTCAAGCGATTTTCCTGCCTCCGCCTCCTGAGTAGCTGAGATTACTGGCAACCGCCACCACAACCAGCTAGTTTTTTGTATTTTTAGTTGAGACAGGGTTTCGTCAGGTTGGCCAGGCTGGTGTCAAACTCCTGACCTCAAGTGATCCACCTGTCTCGGCCTCCTAATGTGCTGGACTTAACAGGCATGAGCCACCGTGCCCAGCCCCTCTGGAGTATCTTGATAGTATGTGGGTTTTTTGTTTTTCTTTTTTTTTTTTTTTTAACCGAGTTTCGCTCTTGTTGCCCAGGCTGGAGTGCAGTGGCGCAGTCTCGGCTCAGTGCAACCTCCGCCTCCTGGGTTCAAGTGATTGTCCTGTATTTTTAGTAGAGACGGGGTTTCACCATGTTTTCCAGGCTGGTCTCGAACTCCTGACCTCAGGTGATCCGCCCGCCTAGGCCTCCCAAAGTGCTGGGATTACAGGCGTAAGCCATCGCATCCGGCCCTTCTTTTTTCTTTTTAAGCATTAAAAATGTGCATACTCGGGCATGCGCAGTTTCTGTGGGAAAACATGTTCCTTAACTAAAAGGCAGCACATTTGCAACAAATAATTTTTCCCTCAAACAAGGACACTTGGGATAGGAAGAAGGGCAGAGCTGAGGACAGGTCTGATCCTGTTCAACTTTACTAAGAACCTGTTTTCTGCACTTCTACTTCCACAGCTCAGACAAGAACAGAACCTCTTCTGCTTGGGGGTGGGGCAGGGCTGTCTTGTGCGGAATGGCCTCATTCCTGGATTAGGAAGTGTTCCTAAGTAGTGAGGTGTCTCAGATGTTTATAAAGTGACCACTTGTGTAGTGCTCAGGGCATTGTTGCTTCTGTAAAGTGCGTATCATTTGATCTCATGCTGTAAATGATTCTGTCTTCAGGGCGCAAACCAGAAGAAGAGGGTGTGGAAGATAACGGGCTGGAGGAAAACTCTGGGGATGGACAGGTATGTGCAGCCTTGCGAGTGAGTAGCGTGGTGGATGGACCAGTGGCGGTCACATGATGGTTCGGTCTGGTTGTGTCACAGGAGGATGTTGAGACCAGTCTGGAGAACTTGCAGGACATCGACATCATGGATATCAGTGTGTTGGATGAAGCAGAAATTGATAATGGAAGCGTTGCAGATTGTGTCGAAGACGATGATGCTGATAACCTCCAGGAGTCCCTGTCGGATAGTAGAGAGCTAGTCGAGGGGGAAATGAAAGAGCTTCCGGAGCAGCTTCAGGAACATGCTGTAGGTAACCGGCAATGTCTCTAGAATGTGCCCTGAATGTATCAGTTCCACAATTAAAATAGGTGATCAGTTTCATATTGGGAAGTAAGTTGTTCTGTAATGCCAGTTCAGTAGAATAAGGGTCAGTTGGTTCAGATGATTCTGAACCAATTTGTTTTGTTGAAAGGTGATGTCTTATAACATTTCATATGTACTTGCTATCCATTTGCGGCATACAGTATGAGACATTTTGAGGACAACCATTCAGACTCTTCCTGTTGCCGGACTTGATCTGTGGTGTTATGGCCTAGGTACCTTGAAAGCATTGAACTAGGAAGAGGTTAGAAGTTGGTGTTTTCCTGTTAAGAAGCAATTGTTGAGCTGGGTGCCTTGATGCACTCATGTAATCCGGTAACTCAGAAAGCTGAGGTGGAAGGAGCAGCCCAGGAGTTCAAGGCTGTACTAAGCTATGATTGTGCAATTGAAGTCCAGCCTGGGTGGCAGAGTCTGACAGAACCCTATCTCTTGTTTAAAACAAACAAACAAAAAAAAAAACACAGCCAGTTGATACCTATCTTAAGAGTTAACCTCAAGTATTAACCTGGATGTTGTTTTTAAACCTAAATTTTTTTCCTGTTAGAAACATATCAAATGGATAGTAAGATTATAGTGGGTAGTATTTCCTGAATACTACCTACCAGGCATTGGCATTATGCCCTTCCTTTCTTTTTTTTTTTTTTTTTTTTTTTTTTCTGAGACAGAGTTTTGCTGTTGTTGCCCAGGCTGGAGTGCAGTGGCGCGATCTCAGCTCACTGCAACCTCTGCCCCCTGGGTTCAAGTGATCTCCTCCCTCAGCCTCCCAAGTGAGTAGCTGGGATTATAGGCGCCCACCACCAAGCCCGACTAATTTTCTTGTATCTTTAGTAGAGACGGTTTTCACCATGTTGGCCAGGCTGGTTTTGAACTCTTGACCTCAGGTGATCCGCCTGCCTCAGACTCCCAAAGTGCTGAGATTACAGGTGTGAGCCACCGCGCCCAGCATGTGCCCTTTAATTCTTCTAATAGCAACATGAGGTGCTGTTGTCCCCATTTTCAGTTGAGGAAATTGGGAAGGCAAGAACTAAAAAACATCTCCAGATGACACACAGCTCATAACAGAATAAGAACTAAGATCAGGCTAATTCCAGAGGCCATGTACTTAACTTATGTACGATGTTGTCTTGGTGCCATTAATTTGATATTAATTTCATTTACCTGATGATTAATGTTTGTCAGACAGAAAAAGTGATGCATATGAGAAGCTGTGGGGCCCTTTCTGTGTTGGCTCGTGGGGGGCCCTGTTCTTGTCCTGGTCCTTAGGTCTTCCGCAGTGAGTGCTTCTCAAGCAGTCTTGGTGGACAGAAACCTTGTTGTATGCCAGTCAATCCGCTTCTGCATTTCTTCAGAATATTTTTGCATTTCCTCTTGGAACTGATTCCAAGTATCCTTAGAGGTAGCAGATTGTCATATTTGAATGGAGGATTTGAGTCTGAGAAGTGGCTGAGAGTTATTCTGATACAAATAGGGTGTGCAATTTTTGGTGAGTCCCATTCATCAGCTTCTAAAAAGGAGTAGCAGAAACACTTGCACAGCAGCAGGAGTTACTTACCCTTCCTGAATGGCTGCATCTTCTTAAGGCTGTTTTTTTCCCTCCTAAGCAGAAAATCATACATTCTGCAACAAAAGCTGGAAACATCCTAAATGCCTGGAAGCAGTTTAGTTTTAAGGGTTGAGGCCAGGTGCGGTGGCTTGGCTGGGCACAGTGGCTCACACCTGTAATCCCAGCTACTCAGGAGGCTGAGGCAGGAGAATCACTTGGACCAGGGAGGTGGAGGTTGCAGTGAGCCAGGATTGTGCCACTGCACTCCAGCCTGGGCGGCAGAGTGAGACTCTCAAAAAAAAAAAAAAAGAGTTCAGAGGTAGATTCTGGAGATGGATCAATTTCTGTGTGTCCCTGGACAAACTCCTTAACCTCTGCTCCTCACTTGCAAGAGGTTTTCGGAAGATTCAATGGATGGATGTTTATTATACACTTAAAGCAGAAGTCATCAAGTTGGCTGTCACCTGGGTTGTTTTTGTTTTGTTTTGTTTTTGTTTTGGGGTTTTTTTGTTTTTGCTTTGTTTTGCTTTTTTTCAAGACAGGGTCTCATGGTGTAAATGAAGTTTTCTGAGAGCACAACCACACCTATTGATACTGTTGTCTATGGCTGCTTTTGTGCTTTAGTGTCAGAGAGGAGTCCTGACTCATCTGTTCTACAATTCCTGAAGAATTTACTAGGCAGCTCCAACAAAGTGTTTCCCAGCCTAGTTCAATGCCTAGCATCTAGAAAGCACCGTAGAGTTATGAAATGTACCACCACGAATACAGTTTTTACTGCAGTGTAACCATCAAAATGAATTAAGCACATCTGTGTGAACTCAAACAATCTCCAAAAGAGAAGTGACACTTGGGGAGGGTTCAGAATGATGTGCTGCCCCTGGTGCAGATGTCTAAGGGGAGATGGTCTTTGGCACTTAAACACGTGTGTAGCATATGCGATGACCACTGCATGGCAGGAAGAAAGGAGTAGTGGAGAGTGGTTTTCAGTGAATGGGCTTTTGTACCTTTTGAGTCTTCTGATCGTGTGCGTGTCTTTCCTAGTGAAATATAGTGATAAAAATACATGCTGGTTATAAAATATCTGAAAACGTCTCCCCCTAAGTATATCTCAAATTTCAGGGCTTTAGAGCAGATGGCCAAAATTGGTTTCAGTCACAAATTATCTGAACCCCCTTTCTTTGTTTGGGGAATCCTTTGCCTTATTGGGCAGAGCCTACTTCTTAGAATAAAAGCTATTCTTCCCCTGCAAGTAGGGCATAGGATATTGCCAGTCTCGAGCTCCTGTCCTCACCCTCATGCTGGGAGATGCTGTTCCATTGAGGGAGGTACCTACCCCAGGGGCAGCAGGTCCCACATCCTCAGCATCCAGGCTGGGCGAGCAGCGGTGGCTGAAGGCTCCACTTCAGCAGGACTCTAGCCATTGCTCCTGGAAGAACAGCCCTCACCCTGTGCTCAGATCCACTTAGAGGCTGTGCACTCATTTTCATCTCTTTTCTGTTTGACTTAGACTTTTTTTCTTTCTTTTGCATCTTAAAACCTACATAGCTACCATATTAGTAGATTTCCTAGTCTATGTGCAGGTGGACATTTACATACAACTTTTTTTTCAGTTTAGCTGCAATTATACTATAATAGTGTTTTGATTTCTGCCCTGGGTTTAAAATTTTGTTGTGAATTATTTTCATAGCTGTTCACTTTTCATTGTACAGATGTACCATTATGTTACGTTATTGTTGGTGTGATGAACTGTATTTTCTCCATTTATTTTACAGATAGAGGACAAAGAAACTATAAACAATTTAGATACTTCATCATCTGACTTCACTATATTACAGGTAAACTGTTGTATGTCTCAGTACTTTTAGAATGAAAGGTCAGACCACAATTTCTGGAATCCATTTCAGACACCATATGCCAGTTCCAGCTAATAATCACCACAAGGGTTGTTTCCTTTGTCAGGATCGTTAATGGGTGTTTGCTTTCTGCTTTCCTCCAAATATAATGTACGCATTGCCAGGGACTTAACTCTAGGCTTCGACGAGTGGCCTCCAAGCGCTGTGGCTTACCAGCAGTCATTAGAGTCATGTTTTGTGGCATTCTTAATTTCATTGCTTGTGGCAGGGGAAGGCAGCCTGTCTCATCTACCCTGGGTGGCATCCCCTGCAGAAAGATGATTTGATGAGACAGCAAGAGGGCATGGCTACCTGGGAAAGATGAGTAGGGCCCAGATGGGGATTGAGGGTTGACAGAGCCCTGTTGGGGAAGGTGGGGTCTCAGGGGTTCTGGTCTTGTCTTTGGGAAGTTTTTTTTGTTTTGTTTTGTTTTGTTTTTGTTTTGTTTTTTCTGAAATTGCCCAGATTTCATTTAATGACTGTATCATCCTACCTGTTTCATTGGCATCTCTGTAAATATTAAATCTTAGATGAGAACAGATGAGTTGAGAATTTCCAGGTATGATTTTTATATTTGTGGGTCTTGAGTTTCCTTTTTTTTTCCAGCCTACATAGATACAAATTGTTAGAACACACTTACCTAGGTAGCTGGCTAATTCTTAGGAGAACTTTTTGTGGAGAAATGAAGATCGAGCCAGCTTTTGCCCAGCCTTTTTATTTATTTATTTTTTTTCCCGTCTTCTTTTTAAATGTCATCTATGTTATTGTAATTAGAAATCCCCTTTTGGAAAAGATCTCCATTTGCTTCTGCCATGCAAGGGCAAGGGAGATACTGGAAAGCCAGAGCTCCAACCTTGAGGAGGGCACAAATCTCAAGAAAACGTGGTGAAACCCAGTTCGCTTTTAGAGCTGCCGTCTCTCCACCTGCAAATTGACACGGCCATTCCCGACTCAGAAAGGAGAGGAGGAGCCGGATCTTGTCACTTTCCCCTGGCTCTTTCTTGGTCACAGTCTCCCATGTTAAAATGGGAAACCTACAGTCTCTCCTAAACAAATAGGAATGTATTTGCTTCTCTTTAGAGAAAATGAGGAAGAATTATTCTGCCAACATTGATGATTTGCTTCAGTCCTATGGTCAGAATTCCCAGCATGGGGTAGGGTACATGGGGAAAAAACTGATTAAAAATAAGTGAAAGCATGAGGAAAGTGTACAGTTTCATAGAGCATCCTGGAATGGCAGGGCAGTTCCCAGGGGAAGTTATAATTCAGTCACACCTACTTATTGGGTATATGTGAATCCCCTGTGATGTGTCAGGTGTGGCATTAACTACCAGCATTACATAGATGAATGAGAAGGAAGGGTGGTCCCCATGCTCGTGGGGCCTGGCCTGATGGTTAACAGTGCAGACTCACACTCATACACGGCCTTTGCTCAGAGCCTGTCTCTGCTTCCCACCTGCTGTGTGTCCTTGGGCAAGTTACTCAGTCTGTCTGGTCACAGTCTGTTACTCTGTAAAAAGAAGGGTGCTACCATTAGGACCAACCTCCTGCAACCGATGACGAGTCTGTGTGTATGTAAGGTGCTTACATTTGTGCCTGGAACCTAGTCAGTGCCCATCAGTTGACTGGAATTCCAGAGGAGTGTACCTTGTGTGCACAGGAAACATAAAGGCTGGGGGATCACATCATGTGGAAAAAGCTCCTTTGCTTAGTGGGGCACAGCTGGAGTTGGGTTAGAGGGAAATAGGGAAAGCCTTCCTGAAAGGAGATGCCACTGAGCTGGATACTGAGGGATGTGGATGACTTGGCTGGACGGGGCAGGGGAGGGCTGGGCCTGTCAGGGAGGGAGGTGGCATAGGGATCCATTGGCTGAAGGCTGAAGGCCACAGAGGGACATGAGCTTACTGTGGACACAAGGTGCAGAGAGATGGGATGGGGATAATACAACCAGATGCCACAGTAGGCAAGGATGGCACCAGCCTGAGTGGACAGGGCTTCCTGGGAAGAGTCTGAATGACTTCTAGAACTGGCCTGGTGGGAACACTGATTGGAAGAGGAGATGAAGGAGGGAGGGTATTTACAAAGTTTTTCATGCTGGCACCACCATGCCAAGTAAGAGCAGGAGTCATACCACCTGGGCCCATATTCCCTCAGTCTTTCGAATATCAGAAAGTTGTCGTAGCTTCATTGAGTGAAAAAGTGACTGTTAATGTGCCATGCATTCCTCTAGATGCTAACAGTAGAAAAATGAAAACACTGCTCTCCTTGAATTTGAGAGTTCAATCTAGAGGGTCAGGCGTGCTTATGATGAGTGCCTCACCATGAAGTGAGACCAGTTCCAGGCTCCTGCAGGGGAGACTGAATGGAGGGTGGGCTGAGTGAAGTGGATGCCAGTCTTATGGAGCCATTCCTAGAACAAGCAGGTTCTCCACCTCTTGAGTTTGTGAGTTTCCCTCCCTGGATTTTTAAAATTCCCTCTTTAGTTATTCTGGGTTTTCATTTAAATAAACTGTAGGTGTCATTCATCTGGCACAGTCTTATTTACGTTTTTTCTTGCAGGAAATTGAAGAGCCATCCCTGGAGCCAGGTACTGTTAAATGAAAAACTTACCAGCGGGGGTTTGGAACCATTCTAGTTTTCCACCTTCTCTAATTTGAATTCTTTGATTTTTAAAAGTTACCTTACTATAGTATACATTGTTCTAAAGGTTTACAATCCAAAACCTACCAGGATCATAGAGATTGGAAACCCAGCCATATCACCAGATCTGTGAAAGTGGCTCACTTCTCATTTTACAAAATGTATTGGTGAGATGAAAGTATCTCATGCCTTTTTGAATATCAACAGCATTGAATCATACATAGAGAAAGAGTTCCAGATGCCTCTCTTGAGAGCTAATACCTCTGCACCCACAAAACAGATCTTGTGATATTGGGCAGTAGCTTAATTTTGTTGTTTTTAATTGAGGCAGCTCAGGTAGTGGTAGGGAGATACATTTTAAAACATAAATTTGAGACATAACTGGATTCCAGAAGAGGAAAGAGTGTCTTCATGAGAATTCCAAACACTGTTCACTTTCTGGACTGCAAATATCTCAGAGCACGGATGGAAGAGATTCTGGTTTTCATGTTGGACTGTTCTGTTAAAAGAAATTCAAAGAAATTTGGAAATTGAGCTGTTCAGTGAATGGTGATACATTCAGTTAAGCAACTTGGACTTTGGAAGCTAAATTTGGAAGAGTCATATCTAAACGACGACAGAATGAAGACTGTCAAGAATCAGCCAGAAGGTTTTGGGGGTTAAATCTCTGGGATGCTTTTCTCTTCCGTGTAGCGTAGAGGCTTACCTAGAGGCGGTCGCGGCGCAGGTAGTGTAACCAGTATAACTTTGTGTACCCGCGGGTTTTCCAATCTCTGTGTAGCTAGCAGTTCTCTTCGTGTTAGTGTGGCAGCCGTGCCAGTTCCACATTTGTGATTGCTTTATTTCCCTGGTAATTAAACCTTGTGCCATTCTATTCCTGTTAAATCCGTAGAAAATGAGAAAATACTCGACATTTTGGGGGAAACTTGTAAATCTGAGCCAGTAAAAGAAGAAAGTTCCGAGCTGGAGCAGCCATTTGCACAGGACACAAGTAGCGTGGGGCCAGACAGAAAGCTTGCGGAGGAAGAGGACCTATTTGACAGCGCCCATCCGGAAGAGGGTGATTTAGATTTGGCCAGCGAGTCAACAGCACACGCTCAGTCGAGCAAGGCAGACAGCCTGTTAGCGGTAGTGAAAAGGGAGCCCGCGGAGCAGCCAGGCGATGGCGAGAGGACGGACTGTGAGCCTGTAGGGCTAGAGCCGGCAGTTGAGCAGAGTAGTGCGGCCTCCGAGCTCGCGGAGGCCTCTAGCGAGGAGCTCGCAGAAGCACCCACGGAAGCCCCAAGCCCAGAAGCCAGAGATAGCAAAGAAGACGGGAGGAAGTTTGATTTTGACGCTTGTAATGAAGTCCCTCCGGCTCCTAAAGAGTCCTCAACCAGTGAGGGCGCTGATCAGAAAATGAGGTTTGTTTTTTCTCAGTTTTAGACCAGACGCTATCTCCTTTTCATTGGTCATGTAATGACACACATAAGCTGTTTTTTTCTGCAATTGGCCAGCCAGACTGACGAAATTGTAGTTTTGCTTCTAAAGAATGTTTCGTTTCTCTTTGTGTGTTTTTAATGGGTGATTCAATTCCTTTTCTTTTTCTCAACCTACCATGGTTGTGTTCTTAAATTCTTCCTAATTACCTTTAGCCCAGCAGAATTAATTAACTCCTGTGGGTCTGAAATCTTATGGTTAGGTCAGATTTTCAATACAAGTTTGTCGGGGTATCATTTTTTCAGAACTAAATTTCGGGTAGGTATGCAACCTCAGCACGAATTTTATGGTTTTGAGTTTGTTTCCTCCATGCTGCTTCCTTGTGGAGTGACATTGTCTTTTGTCTCTAGTTCTCCCGAAGATGACTCGGATACAAAAAGGCTTTCCAAAGAGGAAAAGGGTAGGTCACCTCGGCGACACCAGTCCCTTGGAGCATGTATGGCCTGGGCAGTGGCGGGTATTTGATTCTGGTTCATCGCGTGCTATGCTCCTTACCCAGGAGACTCCTGAGACGTTTGTGCAGTCTTTCTCCTTCTCTGCTGTTACCGCTACAGGTTCTGGGTTGTAGGAAGCATACCAGGTCCTAAGAGTTAACAGGCTGATTTGGTGCAGATCCTTGTGTTGGGAGCACATTCATCCTGTAACCCTTCATTAAATGCATTAACTGAGAAATAATTTTACCCTACCAAATTCCTTCTTAATCAGTGTTCTAAAGGAGTAAAAACATGGGATAGATACAGAGCTATACGTGGAAAGAGAAACAGTGCATTGTTGACACCAAGGTTGACTGTTCTGCTACATGGCCGTTGCACACTGCACTTCCTCCTGTAATTAAGCGATCGCTAACTTTTTTTGAGACAGAGTCTTGTTCTGTTGCCCAGGCTGGAGTGCAGTGGCGCGATCTCAGCTCACTGCAACCTCTGACTCCCGGGTTCTAGAGATTCTCCTGCCTCAGCCTCCTGAGTAGCTGGGATTATAAGCGCCCGCCACCACACCCAGCTGATTTTTTGTATTTTTAGTAGACATGGGGTTTCACCATGTTGGCCAGGCTGGTCTCGAACTCTTGACCTCGTGATTCGCCCACCTCAGCCTCCCAAAGTGCTGGGATTACAGGCGTGAGCCACCACACCCGGCCCGCAATTGCTAACTTTCTTAGGAAACCTCACATTGTCCCAATAGCCCCACTCAGTATTGTGACGGGCCCTGTGGTAGTGCTGCTGGGCCTGGTGTTGCACTGGAGGCTCTTGGTGAGGATAGTGGTCAGGCCCACAGCCCCATTTGGCTTTTAGTGCTGCCACTGCCTCAGGAAAAATGGGAACCATGTCTCTTTTGGAAAGGTTGTCTCTAAGACTCAAGATCTTGTGGGTATTTGGGTTTTTACTAGAATTTTCTTTTGAAATAGGTCGCAGCAGTTGTGGTAGAAATTTCTGGGTTAGTGGACTCTCTTCTACAACCAGAGCTACAGATTTGAAGAATCTTTTCAGCAAATATGGGAAGGTAAGTGCCAGAGCTTTTCTGGAGAAGATACTTTGAAACCAGCGTTGTGTGGCCTTTACATGGAGGTCCTCTCCCCTCAGTGAGTTCTTTGAGAGATACCAAGGAGCTTACACTTGCTAATGGCTGGGGAGGGTCTGCCCGTCCACAGGTAGAGGTGAGAGTGGTGTGGAAGCTTCCAGAGCCCACATCACCACTGTATTTCCCTCCCTTCTCTGCGAGCTTGCCCCCTTCCCTGTGATGGCTCGTGGATCCATTTCTGTGTCCTCAGGACGTCGCACTCAGGCTGGGCTGCCAGGGTTGGCTGGTGGGGTGCTGGTCAGCATGTCTGGGAGACAGCAGTGTTCTTAGAACAGTGTTCGTGATGCTGGAACTCAGAACTCAGAACAGGGACCCTGGAGTCTGATGATAGGGGTCCTCACCACGGGTGTCTTGGGTCCATTGACTGAACCTCACCTCAGCAGCTGGGGGCTCTCAAAGTTGCTGCCTCAGTTCACCACTGGGGGCAGTTCTAGTGGCCTCTTGTCTGCAGCACCTGCCTTTCCTGAGCCCGTGAAGGTGGGGCTGGTGGCACCAGCCCCCTACCTGCAGTGCCCAGCGCAGCCGCCTGGCCCTCCTCCCTGTGCTTTCTCACTCCCTTCCTCCCTGGTGTTTCCCAGACTTGCCTCCCAAACAGCCTCCTGCATTCAGGGCTCCTCGTCTCTCTCAGAGTCGGTTTCGGGGACTACCAAAGGAAGGAGTCCAATCCTTTGTGTTACACAGTGAGGGTTCAACACATTGCAATATAGAAAACCAAGTGTTTTCCCTGATACTGACTTCGAAGAACTTAAAAGAGGATAAAACAGGCTGGGTGTGGTGGCTCACGCCTGTAATTCCAGCACTTTGGGAGGCCGAGGTGGGTGGATCACGAGGTCAGGAGTTTGAGACCAGCTTGGCCAGTATGGTGAAGCCTGTCTCTGCTAAAAGTACAGAAATTAGCCGGGCGTGGTGGCGCATGCCTGTAATCCCAGGTACTTGGGACGCTAAGGCAGGATAACAACTTGAACCCAGGAGGTGGAGGTTGCAGTGACCCGAGACCGTGCCACTGCACTCCAGCCTGGGACAGAGCAAGACTCCATCTTAAAAAAAGAAAAAAAAAAAGGATAAAACTAATTATGTCATTATTACGGACATAACTAAGGGCTTCTTGAGCCTCAGTGATACAAGGTGTGTGGCTGGCAACACCTGCGCCAAGTCTCCCCTACTAGACCCCCTTTCCTGACTCCATGGCGTCCCCCAGCGGGTGGGTGTGCTCAGTGGGGAAGTGTTGCCCTGGAGACTGTAGTGTCTTGAGCGCAGCAGGCCTGATGTGGGTTAATTAGAGGACCGGGCCTCTCTGAGAATGTCCTCTGGGACTAGGATTCCATGTGGCATGATGAGCATGATTACCAGCCTCGGCCACTGGCTGCTGCAGGGCTTTTCCTGAGCCATGGTGTCTTCTGCCGTCAAAGGGCGACCCTAACTGCATCCTGCTGGAGTCGAGAAAACCAGGTAGACTGGAAAGGATGTGTCTACAGTAACTGAAACACATCACTGCGTTTTGTTACAGTCAATGATAGGGCAGATCTGAGTTCCAGAGCACGGCTCACAGACCTTTCCTTGCATCAGTCTGTGCCGAAGTCTTTTTTTTTTCTTTTTTCTTTTTTTGCCCACATTACATCACTTCATAATTTACCACCTACGTAGCATGACTGTATATTTGGAATCATTTCTTCACAAGTTTTAGACCATATTAAAGGAACACTGGCAGAACCCTGTTTGATTTCCCTTTCGTCTGTTCCCCTACATTGCCCTCCTGGCCCCCTTGAGGAACTAGATGAGCGATTAGAACTGGCCAGAGGTCCTTGGAGGAACAACAGCGAAACAGAAGCATTAGTAGCATTGTCCTCCCCAGTCTAACACTTGTCGGACCCCTGATGAGCAGACTTCCCTGTGGGGTGTTCATATCCCCATGCCCCGCTCAGTGGGCTTCATGTCTGAGTCATATTTGCCTGCTTTCCTTTGAGGTGGTGGGCGCCAAGGTTGTGACAAATGCCCGGAGTCCTGGAGCTCGCTGTTACGGTTTTGTCACGATGTCCACAGCAGAAGAGGCCACAAAATGCATTAACCACCTGCACAAGACGGAGCTCCACGGAAAGATGATCTCCGTGGAGAAAGTGAGTGGCCGTTTTCTTCCCAGGATATAGCCCACATTAGGAAATGGGGGTAATACTTGATTCTCTTTTTCAGGCCAAAAATGAACCTGTGGGAAAGAAAACCTCTGACAAAAGAGACAGTGACGGGAAAAAGGAGAAGTCGAGCAACAGTGACAGGTACCCCTCCTTCCTGGCTAAATTAAAGGGGCAGGGTGTTTTTTGTTGTTGTTGTTTTGTTTTTGAGATGGAGTCGCGCTCTGTCGCCCAGACTGGAGTGCAGTGGTGTGATCTCGGCTCACCTCAACTCCACCTCCTGGGTTCAAGCAATTCTCCTGCCTCAGCCTCCTGAGTATCTGGGACTAAGGTGTGCACCACCACACCCGGCTAATTTTTGTATTTTCAGTAGAGATGGGGTTTCACCATATTGGCCAGGCTGGTCTTGAACTCCTGACCTTGTGATCCGCCTGCCTCGGCCTCCCAAAGTGCTCGGATTACAGGCGTGAGCCACCATGCCTGGCCGGGGCAGGGTGTTTTAAACAGAATCTCACTCTGTTGCCCAGGCTGGTGTGCAGTGGCAAGATCTCTTTTCATTGAACCTCCACCTCCCTGGCTCAACCAATTCTCATGCCTCAGCCTCCCGATTTGCTTGGATTATAGCCATGCCCATTTGTGGTTTTAGTAGAGATGGGGTTTCACCATGTTGGCCAGGCTGGTCTCGAACTCCCGGTCTCATGTGATCCGCCCGCCTCATCCCCCCAAAGTGCTGGGAATACAGGCATGAGCCACCACGCCCAGCCAACATGTCTGTTTTTTATAGATCTACAAACCTTAAGAGGGATGATAAATGTGACAGAAAAGATGATGCTAAGAAGGGTGACGACGGAAGTGGAGAAAAGAGTAAGGACCAAGATGATCAGAAACCTGGCCCCTCAGAGCGATCTCGAGCCACAAAGTCAGGTGGGCAGCTCATGAGCCCAGGAGATTCTGTCTTGTTTCTGTGCCTAGTGGAGTTTGTTAGTTTGCTGTGATTAGCTGGCAACGGAAACTGGATTCATGTTGCAGAGGGTTTTTCTCATCTGGGTATTCTTGGTTTTCCACTTACACTTTCCCCGTCTTTTCTGTAGGAAGTCGAGGGACCGAACGGACTGTAGTAATGGATAAATCCAAAGGGGTGCCTGTGATTAGTGTAAAAACGTCCGGGTCCAAAGAGAGAGTGAGTATTAATTTTCTAACTAGGGTATTTTGCTCTTCTTTTCAGTTTGTATTTCTGTGTGCGTCTTAGGGAATTACTAAGCTTCATTTGAAAAAAGCTTTTGTCGGCCGTTTCGAAAATGTAGAAATCTCAAACTATTTTTTTTGAGACAGGTTCTCACTCTGTTGCCCAGACTAGAGTGCAGTGGTGCGATCTTGGCTCACTCCAACCTCCGCCTCCCAGGCTCAAGCGATTCTCCTGCCTCAGCCTCCCGAGTAGCTGGGATTACAGGCGCACACCATTATCTTTTTAGTAGAAACAAGGTTTCACCATGTTGGCCAGGCTGGCCTCGAACTCCTCACCTCAGGTGATCCGCCCGCCTCGGCCTCCCAAAAGTGCTGGGATTACAGGCATGAGCCACTGCGCCCAGCCTCAAATTATTTTAAGAAATGCAGAAAGCTTTCCTTTATCCTTACTTTTGCTCTGATAACTGTTAACTTATTTTCTAAAGCTAACTTTAAAATTTACATATGGGACTGTTGGCTTTTCCCTGAGTCGGTGTGTGGCAGTCCACGTTCCCTGTCTACCCTGAAAGTGTCAGCACCTCCCCGTGATGCATTCCTACACCCAGCAGTGTGGAGCATGCCATGGTGACCTGGCCCATCTCGCCAGCCTCCCTCTAGCCTGCTCTCCACCTTGACCCCTTCCTGTACTCTTATCTTCTTGCTGGGCTGCAGTGTGAGCTGAGCATGGTGGCTCATGCCTGTAATCCCAGCAGTTTGGTATGCTGAGCTGGGAGGATACTTGAGCCCAGGAGATGGATACCACCTTGGGCAACATAGTAAGACCCCATCTTCACAAGAAATTTAAAAATTAGGCAGGCTCGGTGGTATGCATCTGTGGTCCCAGCTACTCAAAAGGCTGAGGTGGGAGAATGCCACTTAAACCTGGGAGGTCAAGACTGTAGTGAGCCACGTTCATTGCACTGCACTCTAGCCTGGGAGAGAGAGTGAGACCCCATCTCAAAAAAAAAAAAAAAAAAAAACACACACCTATTATTTGCATGGTCTGTGCACACCGAGCCACCCTTACTGGTTAACTGTCAACTGGGGACACTCTGAGAGCCAACTTCCCAGTTGCCAGCCAAGGACCAATCTTGGCAGCAGCCCCTCCTTAAGGAAGGAGAGGGACCTTGGACCCGCCTGGTCAACCCTCAGCTGCACGGAGGAGGAACCATTTCACTTGGTGAATGGAGCGGATTGCTTAGGAGCTTTCAGTCTCTGTGTGCCAGTATTATAATATGTCATAGCCTTTTACCCTTGTTCTATAAAACACCTTTGGAAAACGGAAAAAGGAAAGTGTGGGTTCTAGGGATAAAATGAGAAGGTCTCTTAACAATGTCATTGGCACAAATAAGGTACTTGTCAAGTGTACCGGAAGTGCTTCATTTGGGAACTCATTGTGTGTTTAATTATTGAAGGAAAAAGGAAAATTAAGAAATTTATTTTTGAAGCAAAAGACATAAAAAATTGGTGTTTTGATCTTATATGAAGTTTTCGGGGGCAATACTCATTTCCATTTTTTCTCTATTAAATGTACTGTTAGATCATATTTTAGCATTAAATGTTGATGAAATTCTGTGTCTTTCAATTATGATAAGCAAAATGTAAGGCTTGTTTGGATTAAACAGCTCATCTGTTTTTCACTAAAAGTTATTCATCACATAGGACCTCCACATCTGATGGTTAGGCATGGATATATATACCTGATTCTTCCTGTTCCCCTATCACACCTACTTTTAACTTTTTTCATTTTTTTATTTTATTATTTATTTTTTATTTGTTATTATTATTTTTTAGACAGTCTGACTCTGTGGCCCAGGCTGGAATACAGTGGCACAATCTCAGCTCACTGCAACCTCCACCTCCCGGGGGTTTTTAAGTGATTCTCCTGCCTCACCCTCTTGAGTAGCTGGGATTACAGGCACCTGCCACTATGCCCGGCTAATTTTTGTACTTCTAGTAGAGACAGGATTTCTCCATGTTGGTCAGGCTGGTCTCAAACTCCTGACTTCAAGTGATCCACCCGTCCCGGCCTCCCAAAGTGGTAGGATTATAGGCGTGAGCCACTGCGCCAGCAATTTTTTTTTTTTTTTTTTTTTGTCAGAGTATCGCTCTGTCGCCCACACTGGAGTGTAGTGGCGCGTCCTCGGTTCACTGCAACTACTGCCTCCCAGGTTCAAGGGATCCTCCCACCTCATCCTCCAAAGTAACTGAGATTACAAGCATGCGCCACCATGCCCAGCTAATTTTTATTTTTTATTTATTTATTTATTTTTATTTATTTATTTTTTGAGACGGAGTCTCAGTCAGTCACTCAGGCTGGAGTCGAGTGGCTCGATCTTGGCTCACTGCAAGCTCTGCCTCCCGGGTTCACGCCATTCTCCTGCTTCAGCCTCCCAAGTAGCTGGGACTACAAGCTCCCACCACTATGCCCGGCTAATTTTTTTGTATTTTTAGTAGAGACGGGGTTTCACCGTGTTAGCCAAGATGGTCTCAATCTCCTGACCTCGTGATCTGTCCGTCTCAGCCTCCCAAAGTGTTGGGATTACAGGTGTGAGCCACTGCGCCCGGCAATTTTTATATTTTTAGTAGAGTCAAGGTTTCACCATGTTGGCCAGGCTGGTCTCAAATTCCCAATCTCAAGTGATCCACCCGCCCTGAACTTTGAAAGTGCTTGGATTACAGGCATAAGCCTCCGTGCCTGGCCTCTGCTTTAACTTTTTAATGTTCTTTGGTGAACTAGGCTTCCAAAAGCCAGGATCGCAAATCAGCCAGCAGAGAGAAGCGGTCCGTCGTGTCCTTTGATAAGGTCAAGGAGCCTCGGAAGTCAAGAGACTCAGAGTCCCATAGGTGAGTAGGGATCCAGGAACGGTTTGGTGTTTTTCCTAGAATGTGGTCATGACTGTCTTCTGGAAGGATGTTTGCAGAGTTCCCTGGGGTGGGATAGAGCTGTGAACCTTTTTGCTCCTTCAGCTTTCAGTTCATAGACTTGTTATGTTTTAACTTTCATCCTACGGCTCTTTTCTTTTCTTTTCTTTTTTCTTTTTGGAGACAGAGTCTTGCTGTGTCGCGCCCAGGCTGGAGAGTGCAGTGGCGTGACCTCGGCTCACTGCAACCTCCGCCTCCAAGCAATTCTCCAGCCTCAGCCTCCTGAGTAGCTGGGACTATAGGCGTGCGCCACCACACCTGGCTAATTTTTGTATTTTTAGTAGAGACGGGGTTTCACCATGTTGGCTAGGCTGGTCTGAAACTCCTGACCTCAGGTGATCCACCTGCCTTGGCCTCCCAAAGTGCCAGGATTACAGACGTGAGCCACTGCACCCGGCCTACTTACAGCTCTTTTCAAATAAGTCTCTTCCCAAAGATTGTAGAAGGTAACAAAGGCAGGGAGATGGAATGCCTTCCAGCGTCAGTAGTGCTCGTCAACAAAAAATACCAAATTTGCTCCAGAAGATGTGAAAGCAGGAAGAGAGACAGTGAGGTAGACCCAGCGAGGGCACTGAGAGGGCTTCCTTTTTTTTTGAGATGGAGTCTGTGTCGCCCAGGGTGGAGTGCAGTGGCATGATCTCAGCTCACCGCAGCCTCCACCTCCCCTGTTCAAGCAGTTCTCCTGCCTCAGCCTCCCAAGTAGCTGGGACTACAGGCGCAAGCCACCACACCCGGCTCATTTTTGTATTTTTAGTAGAGATGGGGTTTGGCCATGTTGGCCAGGCTGGTTTCAAACTCCTGACCTCAAGTGATCTGCCTGCCTCGGCCTCCCAAAGTGCAGGGATTACAGGCATGAGCCACTGCTCCAAGGACTGACAGGGCCTCATTCTTAAATAAGTCAAGAAGTAAACACAAACGTTATTGGCGAATTACAGCTAATTTATTTTTTCTATGAAATACTTCGTTAACTTTAGTTTTAAAAGTAAGGACCCCCCTGGGCGCAGTGTCTCACATCTCAGCACTTCGGGAGGCCGAGGCTGGTGGATCACCTGAGGTCAGGAGTTCGAGACCAGCCTGACCAACATAGTGAAACGCAGTCTCTACTAAAAATACAAAATTAGCTGGGCATGTAGGCCAGGCGCGGTGGCTCAAGCCTGTAATCCCAGCACTGTGGGAGGCCGACCGAGGCTGGCGGATCACGAGGTCAGGAGATCGAGACCATCCTGGCTAACACGGTGAAACCCTGTCTCTACTAAAAATACAAAAAATGAACTGGGCGTGGTGGCGGGCGCCTGTAGTCCCAGCTACTCGGTAGGCTGAGGCAGGAGAATGGCGTGAACCCGGGAGGCAGAGCTTGTGGTGAGCCAAGATCGCGCCACTGCACTCCAGCCTGGGCGACAGAGCAAGACTCCATCTCAAAAAAAAAGGGGGGGTCGGGGGGCCGGGCGCGGTGGCTCACGCCTGTAATCCCAGCACTTTGGGAGGCCGAGGTGGGCGGATCACAAGGTCAGGAGTTCAAGACCAGCCTGGCCAACGTGGTGAAACCCCATCTCTACTAAAAATACAAAAATTAGCCAGGTATGGTGGTGCGTGCCTGTAATCCCAGCTACTTGGGCTGAGGCAGGAGAATCACTTGAACCCAGGAGGTGGAGGTTGCAGTGAGCCGAGATTGCGCCACTGCACTCCAACCTGGGTGACAGAGCGAGACTCCGTCTCAAAAAAAAAAAAAATCAGCTGGGCGTGGTAGTGCATGTCTGTAATCCCATATACTTGGGAGGCTGAGGCGGGAGAATCGTTTGAACCCAGGGGGTGGAGGTTGCAGTGAGCCAAGATTCCACCATTGCACTCCAGCCTGGGCAACAAGAGCAAAACGCTGTCTCAAATAAGAAATAAGGACAATTAGTTTAAAAGGAGGGGGAGAGGGCACTGCTCTGCCTATAAAGTTATCACCCTTTTATTCCCTTTTTTTTTTCCGAGACGGAATCTTGCTCTGTCTCCCAGGCTGGAGTACAGTGGCACGATCTCAGCTCACTGCAAGCTCCGTCCCCTGGGTTCACACCATTCTCCTGCCTCAGCCTCCCTAGTAACTGGGACTACAGGCGCCTGCCATCATGCCCAGCTAATTTTTTGTATTTTTAGTAGAGACGGGGTTTCACCGTGTTAGCCAGGATGGTCTCGATCTCCTGACCTCGTGATCCACCCGCATCGGCCTCCCAAAGTGCTGGAATTACAGGCGTGAGCCACTGCGCCCAGCCTATTCCTTTAAAAAGAAAAAAAAAAAAAACAAAGTCTCCCATAGTCCTGTGAGTGCAGGCATTGGCAGGTGGCATTTCTGCTGGGGGAGTAATGAACACGGGCAGCCTGGGGGGCCCCCACAGGAGCCTGCCGTGCTAAACACTAGAGTGTTCCAGACCCTAGGCCCCTCTCCATATCTGGCGTAGAGGAACCTATGAACAAGGAAGTGTGGGCTTGGGTATCCCGTCAGGTTGTGAGCATTTGGACACAACTGAAAAGTTCCCATAAACCGCAGCCCTTTCATACTAGGGGCTCCTCCGGAAGGTGCTGAGATCCACAGAGGCAGGTGTGGGCGGATCCAAGACATGTTGGGTGAACTAAGGAGGTTGCAGTCATTTGAGTCCAGAACACTATGAGGCAAGATTATACATTTCTGCTGGGACAGAAACACACAGTTGTCCCAGAAACGACTGGCCTCAGTACCCTTGTGGATACCAAAATTTGCAGAGGATCAAGTTTCTGATATAAAACTGTGTGGTATTTCTGCATATAACCCATGTACATCCTCCTGTACACTTTAAATCACTTCTAGATAACTTCTAATACAATGAAAATGCTGTGTCAGTAGTTGGTATACTGCACTGAGGTGCTTTTTTTTTTTAAGTAGCTCCCTGCACACACCTTTTTTTTTTTTTTTTTTTTTTTTTTTGGAGACAGGGTCTCACTCTTTCACCCAGGCTGGAGTTAAGTGGTGCAATCATAGTTCACTGCAGCCTCTACCTCCTGGTTTCAAGTGATTGATCCTCCCACCTCTGCCTCCCAAGTAGCTACCACGCCTGGCTAATATTATTTTTTCTGGAGACGGGGTCTCACTATATTGTCCAGGCTGTATATCTATAACTGTGTAGGTAAAGGATCGAAAGAAGAAAATCTGAGCCTGGGCACAGTGGTTCATGCCTATAATCCCAGCACTTTGGGAGGTGGAGGCGGGCAGATTGTTTTGAGCTCAGGAGTTCGAGAACAGCCTGGGCAACCATCTCTACCAAAAAAAAAAAAAAAAAAAAAAAAGACAGCCTGGCTCCTGTCTGTTCTGTTTTATATACAAAGACTGGAGAAATGCACTAAAATGTCATCTGTATCCAAAAGATACAGCTGCTAATGTCCTTACACTTGGGGGGCCTGCTAGCCCCACCTCACAAAGACTCATTTCATCCTGTGGTCTAGGGAGTGAAGGTTCCAATTCACACTCACTCGCTATGAAGCATATACTCTGTGGCTTTTTTTTTTTTTTTTTTTTTTTTTTCTGTTGCCGGGCTGGAGTGCAGTGGCTCACTGCAACCTCTGCCTCACGGGCTCCAGTGATTTTCCTGCCTCAGCCTCCGGAGTAGCTGGGACTACAGGTGCGTGCGTGCCACCATGCCCAGCTAATTTTTGTATTTTTAGTAGAGACAAGAGTTTCACCATGTTGGCCAGGCTGGTCTCGATCTCTTGACCTCATGATCCACCCACCTCAGCCTCCCAAAGTGCTGGCATTACAGATGTGAGCCACCGCGCCCGGCCTGTTGCTTATTTTTGACTGGCTGTTTCCTGAAATCACTTGTCAAGCTCCAGGAAATGTTGGAGAAAGGAGGCCCAGTTCTGATCACACACACACAGCCTGGGCCTCACTCCTGAGATCTTCCTGGGCTGCTCCTGTGGGCCCGAGAAGCCTTCTTCCCGCTGGAGTGTACGGTTCTGCAGACCACGTAGTGGACGCACAGCCCTGGAGTCTGTGCGACCCAGCGTCTTACTTAAAGTCAGCCCTGGGACCTGGCTGGGGGTGTCTAGGTCCCCTTCTGCAGCTCTACTGTTGTGCAGCAGGGTGCGTGAACGCAGTGAACGCGAACAACGCATGCAGGCGCAGTGGGAGCGCGAGGAGCGTGAGCGGCTGGAGATTGCCCGAGAGAGGCTGGCCTTCCAGCGCCAGCGGCTGGAGCGGGAGCGCATGGAGCGGGAACGGCTGGAGCGCGAACGCATGCACGTGGAGCACGAGCGCAGGCGCGAGCAGGAGCGCATCCACCGTGAGCGCGAGGAGCTGAGGCGCCAGCAGGAACTGCGCTATGAGCAGGAGCGGCGGCCCGCGGTGCGGCGGCCCTACGACCTGGACCGGTAAGCAGATCCATGCTGCCCTTAGCACGTGGCGTTCAGAATCGTGTTAGGGACCTCACAGTCCAGTTAGCTTGAGATTTTTTTTTTTTTTTTTGAGACGGAGTCTTGCTTTGTCGCGGAGGCTGGAGTGCAGTGACCCGATCTTGGCTCACTGCAAGCTCTGCCTCCCGGGTTCACACCATTCTCCTGCCTCAGCCTCCCGAGTAGCTGGGACTACAGGCGTTTGCCACCTCTCCCGGCTAATTTTTTTGTATTTTCAGTAGAGACGGGGTTTCACTGTGTTAGCCAGGATGGTCTCTATCTCCTGACCTCGTGATCCACCTGCCTCGGCCTCCCAAAATGCTGGGATTACAGCTGTGAGCCACCGCGACCGGCCAGCTTGAGATCTTTCATTCAAAGGAAGCATAGGCCGGGTGCGCTAGTTCACGCCTGTAATCCTAACATTTTGGGAGGCCAGGGTGGGCGGATTGCCTTAGCTCAGGAGTTGAAGACCAGCCTGGCCAACATGGCAGAACCCCGTCTCTACTAAAATACAAAAAATTGGTCGTGGTGACAGGCGCCTGTAATCCCAGCTACTGGGGAGGTTGAGGCAGGAAAATCGCGTGTACCCAGGAGGCAGAGGTTGCAGTGAGCCAAGATCGTGCCACTGCACTCCAGCCTGGGCAATAGAGTGAGACTCGGTCTCAAAAAAAAAAAATTAGAGACAGGAGGCTGGATAAAGTAGTGCTGGTTAACTAACCAGGTTCAAGGGTGGCACAGACCTCCTGAGGAGGGAAGCTCAGGCACGTAGAGAGCGCCACACGTGCCCTACTGCACCTCCTTTAAGGCCCTTTCCTTTTTTTTTTTTTTTGAGATAGAGTCTCGCTCTGTTGCCCAGGCTGGAGTGCAATGGCGCGATCGCTGCTCACTGCAACCTCCACCTCCTGGGTTCAAGCGATTCTCCTGCCTCAGCCTCCCTAGTATTCGAGATTACAGGCACCCACCACCACACCCGGCTAATTTTTGTTTTTTTTAGTAGAGATGGGGTTTTGCCATGTTGGTCAGGCTGATCTCAAACTCCTGACCTCAGGTGATCCACCCACCTCAGACTCCCAAAGTGCTGGGATTACAGGCGTAAGCCACCACCCCCGGCCTTGTCCTGGCTTTTTAAATCCATTGTAATTTGTTTTTGCTTATTCTAGAAATAAAGAATTAAAAAAAAATTTTTTTTTGAGACGGAGTTTTGCTTTCGTTGCCCAGGCTGGAGTGCAATGGCGTGATCTCAGCTCACTGCAGCTTCCGCCTCCTGGGTTCAAGCAATTCTCCTGCTTCACTCTCCCAAGTAGCTAGGATTATAGGCATGTGCTACCACACCCGGCTAATTTTTTGCATTTTTAGTAGATACCGGGTTTCACCATGTTGGCCAGGCTGTCAAACTCCTGACCTCAGGTGATCCACCCACCTTGGCCTCCCAAAGTGCTGGGATTACAGGCATGAGCCACTACGCCCGGCAGTAAGATTAATTTTAATTTCTCAAACATACTGAAGAGGAGGTATGAACACAAAATGCTGAGCATGGCTGCTGTGAGGAGTCAGGTGTGTAATTCCAGCAGTGATTGTGTCAGGCTTTACACGTGCACTGCAACCTGGCAAAAATTGCTGTTTGTTGTTTCTTTCTATTGCATGGGTTGAAGAGGAGCCCAGGTCATATATACAATGCAACTTCTATAAAGGGCCTTGTAAACTGTTCTAGGATCTATTATGCTTTGGTACGAAATCCTTCTGATGACAGTTCATTATGGTCATCTGTGTATTGCAGCAGTACATGGCCAGGGCTGCTGGCAGGGCAGGAGGTCAGCTTTGGGGCGAGAGAGATGGCAGGTGCACTTGACAGAGCCCCTCGGGGTGGAGGCTCACGTGGTCTTCCTGAGCGGAGGTGGCTGTGTAGGGCTCCAGAAGCCATCTGCAGGCAGCCCATAGGACTGACTGCTTAACTAATGGCTCCCTCTTTGGAAAACCGAGGCCGCTTTTCATCAGGGGAGGTGGGTGCATGGGACAAAACAAAACAACTGTGCAGTCACTGGGGTCAAATCAGACCTTGCCTCCTATAGGAGAGAACACTCTTGGTGAAAGTCATCCTGGTTCTGTGAAGTGCTAGGGGCCAGCTCCCACAAAGGTGATAGATACATTTGGGGTGGGGGATCCCTCTATCTCTGTCTCATGTCCCCTCACAGGCGAGATGATGCCTATTGGCCGGAAGCCAAGCGGGCCGCCCTGGATGAGCGCTACCATTCTGACTTTAACCGCCAGGACCGCTTCCACGACTTTGACCACAGGGACCGCGGCCGCTACCCCGACCACTCGGTGGACAGGTCAGTTGGGCCCCTGCTGGGCGTGCGGGTTTTCTTTTTCCTGGCTCATTCTGACTGAGAACAAGGACTCCTGGGCTCTCTGAACCCACTCCGTTCATCAGATGTATGCTGAGTCAGACCCGCAGGTCTCCTGCCTTCAGTTAGGGAAATTATGCTTTTCATTGGGGGCCTGATGGTCCTCTCTTTGTGAACAAGCCTCTTCTTCCCCTTACGGTTTGATTTAAATTGCCTTTTCAGGAGAGAAGGTTCAAGGTCAATGATGGGAGAACGAGAAGGACAGGTAAGTCTGAAGCTACAGTGGTAGCCACAGAATTTCCCATAGAATGGGTTCTTTTCCCTTCAGCGTGCCTTCTTCCTGCCCTTTCTTTGAGCAAGAGGCAAAATGAGGAAAGAGAAAAGTAAAGCACTAGAAAAGTCTAGGTTTGTGGAATGGAAATTTGGGATTATTTGGGGTTAGTCTTGGCTGTCAGTCCAAACAGTTACTCTGAAGCTGTTTTTAGCCTTGACCCTGGGGTTCTGTGTGCCACACTCACCACACATGTGCAACAGTGCCAGGGAACCTTGGGATGTGACCTGGCTCTGCTGGGAAGTGTCTAGTGAGCCGCACAGCTGACTCAGACAGGTGCATCTGGGGAGGCTGTGGTTGCTGTGTCTGTCCTCGAGTGCCTGCCCTCTTTTGAAAGTAAGGACATCCTTCATCACCCCAGGGCCCAGCTTAGCCTTGGAAAACAACTAGATCTGTGGTCTGTGCTCATTCTCTTCGGGGGCTAGCACATTAGAACAATAAGCTCCATTTTCTCCTTCCATCTTACATTGAGACTGAGACTTCCCAGGAGAGCCTTGGACCTCTAGTGGCTTTCCCTATAAACTTGGGGGCAGCACATTGCTGTGTGGAAGATGCCTCCTCTCTGAGGACTCCACTCATGAGCCCTTCCTCCTCCTGCCAGCATTTTCTGGACTCCACCATAAGCTTCCCGCTTCTGTCCCCCTTGGTTCCTTAATGTGGCTGAGCATAGCCAAGTACTCAGCTCTGTCTCGGGATCCTCAGGAATTCCATCAGCCTCGTGGGGTTCCTTTTTCCCTGCTCCTGGAGGCAAATTATATGCAGCAAAACGTAGAACTAGTCTTGTGGATTTTCTTTGGTGGAGGAGCATACACCAATGGTTCCATGTAAAGGCTCCAGAATCAGAACTGGCGTCACACCTTGGTGTCACCCCTTCCTGCTGAGCCTGTCTCCCCAGGAGTGAAATGAGGGTAATATTCCTCCTACAAAGGGTGCGGTGGTGGGGGTTTACATGAGGTGGGCGCATCTGTACAAACGTGTTTATCATTGCCAGCTACTTTTTTTTTTTTTTAATAGAGACGGGATCTCACTATGTTGCCCAGGCCAGTTTTGAACTCCTGAGCTCAAGTGATCCTCCTACCTCGGCCTCCCAAAGTGCTAGGATTACAGATGTGAGCCAGCACACCTGGCCACCAGCTGCTTTCATGAAGGTGTTAGATATGCTCTCCTAACAGTGGAACGCGGTTTGATCCCTTCTCCTCACATACACAGTCATAAATGAGTCGTCAGAGTTACCCCAAAGGGAAATGGTAACATCTCCCTACAGAGAAAACTAGCACAGAACTTATGGGCCTCATTGAACAGTTACGTGGGTTGGTTGGACAGAAAAATGTTGGTTCAATTTTCAAATACTAAGGAGAGCTTATTTCAGGAGTCCCTTTTCTTACTTTGTTGAGGGGAGGCATCAGAGCACATGCTGGGAGGATAGGCCAGGAAGCAGGCAGTGGTAACGTGGGACATCGTGCACGTGGTGGAGCATGCCGCCATCTCTCCCTTCACCCTGGCAGAGCTCTCCGTTGAACGGGGAGGTGAACTTGGACATGGACAACAACCAGCCTGTGTCAAGGGGGTTTCCTTACCAGGACTCCTTTCTAGTTTCCTTTCACCTACAATGTGGTCATGGGGCAAAAACCCCAGAGACCACATATGTATTGGTGGAAAGAGAAAAAACAGGACTGTGGAGCCAAAGCTACCTCACTAGCTTTTGTGAAAGTCAGGCTGGAAAGTGCTTCCAGCCACAGAAATAGGCTGTGGGTGTAAATATTAACCTTGGCCATCAAATAAGTAGGCATAGAGTGTGACTCGCCCTCTCTTGGTCTTCCCTGAAACAGCAGGGTCAAGAACTCCTGGTCTGTGTTAGCCACGTGGCTTACAAAAACAATGACACAGAAGAGGGAAAGGTGGGACTAGCCAAGTGGAAGGCCAGCCGTTTATCTCTCAGTGTCCTGTGTCTTATATCCTGAGCAGAGCAAGGTGCAAGACCCTGGACTGGGCATCCAGCAGAAACTTCCGAGAAACTTGACTGTGAGGAAGGATGCTTGCCTAGCAATTGGTCGGATGAAGGGCTCCATTTGATACTTCCTTCACTGTGGAAGGAAGAAATTTGTAAAAATTATTTCCAGAATATGCACACATTAAAGGTTTATAAACCTGACCTTTCTTTAGTAGAAGACAGTAAGAGAATACTGTTGGCTCTGGGAACTAACCATTTGAGCTGTGGGACCCAGGGAATCTCTCTTGTAAGCATCATCTTTAGTGGGTGACTCCTGGTGGCCCTCCCAGCTCTGGTGGTGCTGTGGGGACCTGCCTTGGAGATGCCTTGGTACTAGTACCTTTTTTGTACCAGGCCATGAGCCTAGGGCACAGGGCCTCTGGCCTGCAGATTTCAGGAAGGCAGCTGTGTTGTGTGAACCGATACAGCCTGCCAGCACTTCTGTCCCGAGTGACTGTCGTTGTCATCGTTAGCATGTTGCCTGAAAAGCCTTGGGGTCTGGGCGCTGACACTGAAGCTTTTTTTTCCCTTCTGGCTCTGTGATGTCCAGCATTACCCAGAACGCCATGGAGGACCAGAGCGCCACGGCCGGGACTCCCGCGATGGCTGGGGGGGCTATGGCTCTGACAAGAGGATGAGCGAGGGCCGGGGGCTGCCTCCTCCCCCCAGGTTTGTGTCCCACACCCGACAGTACCTGACCCCCCCCCCGCCCACAAGGGGGCCCGCAAGTCGCTGGGATGTGGGCACAGGGTGGGAAACACAGAGGGATTCACTCTCCAGAAGCCGCCACAGTTATTAGCACAAGAGCCAGAGATGGGGGCAATCCAAATCAGAGATGTCTCTCTTTCAAGGGGCAGACGTGACTGGGGGGACCATGGCCGAAGAGAGGATGACCGGTCATGGCAGGGCACGGCCGACGGGGGCATGATGGACAGGGATCACAAGAGGTGGCAAGGTGAGGAGCAGCTCTGGGCTGGGACCAGGATGTGCTGGGGAGTGATGGAAAGATGGAGGCCGCGCCTTCTCTCCTTGGGGGAGCACAGGAGGTGCTCTGCTCTCAGTGCTGGAATGAGGAATGAAGAGCACTCCAGACACCGCCTGCTCTCTGGTGGTCTGGCCCAGGAGTTGGACAGTGGGCGTTCCCGAGTTCTCTCTGCTGGGAGGAAGCTGGACGTCTATGGTCCCTGTGCCCAGGTGTCTTCCTGGGACCCGCTAGTTGTGGGTACCTGGGGGCCTCACCAAAGGGAGTGGAGTGGGCTAAATGTGCCGTGGGTTCCACGCCGTGTGCGCAAGTTCCCTGTGTGAAAGCACGTCTGTCTTCCAGGTGGCGAGAGAAGCATGTCCGGTCACTCCGGGCCTGGCCACATGATGAACCGAGGAGGAATGTCAGGGTAAGGCATGCTGGGGGCGGCGCCCCTTCCCCCTGCTTTGCATATTGGCCTACCTTGCTGGAGGCTTAACAACCAAGTCCTTCCAGCTAGTGCCCCTCCCCCCAAGGGTGACGTGAGGCCAGGCATGGGGTACTGTGGAGGCTGCTGCCACTCAGGAGGGGAGGGCATTAGGAAGGGGCCCTGCCTGCAGGCAACACTCAGGGAAGCTGTGCAGGCTGGGATGGGCCGGGGAGCAGGAGGACTTCGCAGTCAAACCAATGTGAATTTGTTCCTAGGCGCGGCAGCTTTGCCCCAGGCGGGGCCTCCCGGGGCCACCCCATCCCACACGGTGGCATGCAGGGCGGGTTTGGAGGCCAGAGCCGGGGGAGCAGGCCCAGCGATGCCCGCTTCACTCGCCGCTACTGAGTACTTGGAATCCTGTGTCCTGTCTCGTGGCAACAAGGCTATGTTCTGTTAGGAGTTACCTTAAACTGTGTAAAAATATTTTTTTTTAATCTGCTGCCATATTGTAGCTCAATACAATGTGAATTTGTTTTTCGTTTTGGGGTTTTTTTTTTTTGTAATAAATGTGTTTCCGTTCACATACCCTTTATTTAAAGTGTCATTTCTTTATTTCTGCCTCTTTAAATGAAACGAAATTAGACTTTTAGTTGTATTGATATACACTGATTGTTCCTTTTTTTAATTATTATTATTATTTTTTTTTTTTTTTGAGATGGAGTCTCGCTCCGCCACCCAGGCCTGAGAGTGCAGTGGCGCGATCTTGGCTCACTGCAGCCTCCACCTCCAGGGTTCAAGTGATTCTTCTGCCTCAGCCTCCCGAGTAGCTGGGACTACAGGCGCCTGCCACCACACCCGGCTAATTTTTATATTTTTAGTAGAGACGGGGTTTCGCCATATTCGTCAGGCTGGTCTTGAACTCCTGACCTCATGATCTGCCCGCCTTGGCCTCCCAAAGTGGTAGGATTACAGGCGTGAACCACCACGCCAGGCCGACTCTGTTTATTTTTAAATATGTGTGAAACCTCTGGGAAGGCATCCGGGTGTGGAAGAGGCTTTCCAGTGAGACAGTGATTGGTTTTCGCATAATGGGCCTGTGCGGTGCAGGTTTTGCCTGACTTCTCAAGTCACCGAGTTCTCCTTTAATGTTAGCACAGACCGGGCTGCTTTGCTCTTGGGTACTGGGTGGCATCCCTGTCAGGGTGTGGGGGTCTCAAACCCTGTTGATGGACACTGGCGGATGCTTCCCCTGCGGATCACACTCGAACCAAGCCTGCGAAGATTTCCAGCTGCCACTCTCCACACTGACTTGCCAAAGCCCAGGCACCATCATCATGTGGATGCTTCCGCATTACCTTTTTACTCAGAGGACAAACTATTTTCACGGCAGAGTCGGGTGGAAGCAGTGAAGGCTGAAGGTCATCAGCAGCATCTCAGGCCCGAGGCGTGCTTGTGCACAGGCTCAGCCCCCTCGTGCCAGGATGGGGCTCTGACCAGCCCAGGGCTGGCCTCTGTGTCAGCCGGAAGGGACGAGCCCAACGCCAACCCTCCACACACCAGCAGCAAGCTGGAGCCACGGCATCTGGGATCCAGCACCTGTCCTAATCCAGGAAGCCAGGCCAGACTTGGGACATACCTCAAACTGTGAAGCAAGTGCCTCCCCCATTTTGTAAGCCTCACTGTAGTGGAGAGCGGGGAGGAAGCAGTGTCCAGCAGAGAGGAAGACGGCGGAGCCCCAGTAACGCTCTAGGGTCCCTTCAGCTGCAAAGGACAGATGACCCCACCAATACCAGTGGTGGCTTAGATGGTAAAGGGGGGCCCTTTCCTGCCTTAACGGGAAGTTTGTAGGTAGGCAGTTCCCGGGGCTCACTGCAGCCCACCTCAGGCTCTGTTTCTCTGAGGATTTTGGGACTCTCATGGATGATGGATGGCTGAAACAGCTCCAAAAATCCTATCCACCCACAGTGTGGGCATCATCGGGGCTATCCAGCAGGAGAAGGAAGGGCAGGAACGGGGACTTGAACTCACAGGCCTCTTGGCAAACTTACCCCTGAGGCTCCTTAGCCAGAACTCGGTCCTGTGCTCGCCTTTCTTGCAACCCGTCCCTGGCGAAGACGGAATGTTTCTCTTCAGAAGGGATGTGACATCCGGGAAGGAACCCAGTGGTAACCCCCAGCAACCACGTTCTCAGCCTTCCCCTCGTACCTTTTTTTTTTTTTTTAAATTCAAGCTGTTCACATTCTCTGTACTTTTTTTTTTTTTTTGAGACAGAGTCTCCCTCTGTCTCCCAGGCTGGAGAGTGCAGTGGTGCGATCTCAGCTCACTGCAGCCTCTCTCTCCTGGGTTCAAACAATTCTGCTACCTCAGCCTCCTGAGTAGCTGGGACTACAGGCGCCCACCACCATGCCCAGCTAATTTTTGCATTTTTAGTAGAGACGGGTTTTCACCACATTGGGCAGGCTGGTCTCAAGCTCCTGACCTCAGGTGATCTGCCTGCCTTGACCTCCCAAAGTGCTGGGATTACAGGTGTGAGCCACTGCACTCGGCCCCATTTTTTTTTTGAGCCATATGCAGTTGTGCATGCCAGTAATCAATCCCAGCTACTTGGGAGGCCAAGGCAGAAAGATTGCTTAAGGCCAGGAGTTAAAGTCCAGCCTGGACAGTATACCAAGACCCCATTTCTTTGGGTTTTAGGGGGTATTTTTTGAAATAAGAAATGACGGGCTGGGTGCGGTGGCTCCGGCCTGTAATCCCAGCACTTTGGGAGGCCAAGGTGGGTGGATCACCTGAGGTCAGGATTTTGAGACCAGTCTGGCCAACATGGTGAAACACTGGCTCTACTAAAAATACAAAAATTAGCTGGGTGTGGTGGTGCACGCCTCTAGTCCCAGCTACTCAGGAGGCTGAGGCAGGATAATCATTTTAACCCAGGAGGTGGAGGTTGCAGAGCCAAGATCGCACCATCACACACTGCAGCCTGGGCAACAGAGCAAGACTTCGTCTCAAAAAAAAAAAAAAGAAATGAAAGAAAGAAATGACAGATTCCACTAGCAGAGAGAGATGAGGTCTGTGAACATCTGGGGCATGTCCCTACAGACTCTTTTTTTTTTTTTTTTTTTTTTTTTTTTTTTTTTTGAGGCGGAGTCTCGCTCTGTTGCCCAGGCTGGAGTGCAGTGGCGCGATCTCAGCTCACTGCAAGCTCCGCCTCCCAGGTTCACGCCATTCTCCTGCCTCAGCTTCCCAAGTAGCTGGGACTACAGGCACCCGCCACCATGCCCAGCTAAATTTTTGTATTTTTAGTAGAGATGGGGTTTCACCGTATTAGTCAGGATGGTCTCTATCTCCTGACCTCGTGATCCTCCTCCCTCGGCCTCCCAAAGTGCTGGGATTACAGGCATGAGCCACTGCACCTGGCCCAGACTCCCATTTAACTGCTTTACATGGCCTCATACATTCCTCCCAGGTGTCATTATCAGCCCCAGTTAACAGAAGAGAAAACTGAGGGCACAGATTGGACACTGTACCTGTAAGAACCAAATGCCCACAGCAATGATTCTAAACCCTAACTGCATCACCTACATGGACCTACGAATCAGAATCTATGGCAGTTATGGAGTTCTCTAGGGCCGCTGTAACAAATTGCTACAAGCTTTTTGTGTGTGAGAGACAGTCTCCTGTCACCCAGGTTGGAGTGCAGTGGTGCAATCATAGCTCACTGCAGTCTCCATTTCCTGGGCTCAAGCGATCCTCCCACCTCAGCCTGCCCAGTAGCTGGGACTACAGGTGGGTGACACCACACCTGGCTAATTTTTGTATCTTTTGTAGAGATGGGGTTTCATCATGCCCAGGCTGGTCTTGAATTCCTGGGCTCAAGCAGTCCGCCTGCCTTGGCCTCCCAATGTGCTAGGATTCCAGGCACGAGGCAACGCAGGCAGCCCAGTCTCCTAGGCAGGAGAGATGCCTCGGAGTGCTTCTCCCCGGCCACAGTCTTGAGTCATTTGCATGGGATGTTCTACTTCTAATGCCCAGGCAGCACCCTTGCTGTCCTGCTACACAGGGAAGGACGGGGATTCAGCCCTGCTGTCAGCCAGGCACTGAGCTGTACCTGCTCTTCCCCACCATCCTCAATATAACCCCGGGAGGCTGTACAACCCCATTTTGCAGACAGGAAAACTGATGCCTAGCAGGGTGAACTGACGAGTGAGGACAATCAACTGGCAGTGGAAAAGATCCAAGCTTCGAACCACCCATTCATTCAACTCCCATTTCCACAGCCCGCCTCTCAAGCAGGGTCCCCGGCACTGACCAGATGTGTTCACACAACAGACCCAATCAGTGCCTGCCCTCAAGGTGGGCACACGTGCATGTGGTGAGCTTATGAAGTGCAGCTTAGGCCAGGCGCAGTAGCTCACACCTGTAATCCCAGCACGTTGGGAGGCCAAGGCAGGCGGATCACAAGGTCAGGAGTTCGAGACCACCCTGGCCAATATGGTGAAACCCCGCTTCTACTAAAAATAGAAAAAATTAGCCAGGCACAGTGGTGGGCACCTGTAATCCCAGCTACTCAGGAGGCTGAGGCAGGAGAATCGCTTGAACCCGGGAAGCGGAGGTTGCAGTGAGCCGAGATCATGCCACTGCACGCCGGCCTGGGCAACAGAGCAAAACTCCATCTCGAAAAAATAAAAAAGGCCAGGTGCGGTAGCTCACACCTGTAATCCCAGCACTTCAGGAGGCTGAGGCAGGCAGATCACTTGAGGTCAGGAGGTTGAGACCAGCCTGACCAACATGGTAAAACCCCATCTCTACTAAAAATACAAAAATTAGCCAGGAGTGGTGGCCCGCGCCTGTAATCCCAGATACTCAGGAGGCTGAGGCAGGAGAATCGCTTGAACCCAGGAGGTGGAGGTTGCAGTAAGCCAAGATCACGCCATTGCACTCCAGCCTGGGGGAGAAGCGCAAGACTCCATCTCAATAAAAGGAAGTGCAGCTTCATGGTACAGGTTGCCCTGGCCACAGAAGGAATGGAGGCGTTTCCTGGCTGGGGGAACACACTGAAGGCTCTGAGGCCAACAGGAGCAAACTTGTGGGAGAAACTGCCAGAAGGCTGTGGGGGAAGAGGGGAATGGCCACAGGGGACAGCACCATGTATTTTTAACACTCTGGGAGTGAAAAGTCTCTGGCCATGGGCTACTTGGTGGTCTCTTGAGGTTGTTCTATACAGTAAGAGGAGTCTTTTCCCTCCAAATCTGGTCCCCATCCTTACACGTGTCTCCAGGAAGCAGCTGAAGCCCAGGTCCCAGAGGGATAGACCTTGCCCTTAGTTTCAGCACGGCAACGTACATGAGTGTCCACTTCGGCCTGCACCTCAGCCAGGGAAACGTCTTCATTGTTGGCCGTGCCTCTAGTGGCAGCCAGCCCAACAATGCTAGGCTCTCCCCAACAGCAGGCCTTCACTGGCAAGACTCTCTGAACCAAGATGGACCATTGCTTTGTGGGTAAGTGGAGTAGACAAACCAGTCCTCATACATCCATCCACCAGCGCATTCACCCACCCACCCATCCATCCACCCATCTACCCACCCACCCATCCATCTATCCACCCACCTACCTACCCACCCACCCATCCATCCACCCACCTACCCACCCACCCATCCATCCATCCTTCATCTAATCCATTCATCTGTCTACCTACCTAACCACCCACCCAACCACCCATCCGTCCATCCACCTACCCACCTACCCATCCATCTATCCACCCACCCACCCATCCACCCACTCGTCTACCCACCACCCATCCATCCACCCGTCTACCCACCACCCATCCATCCTCCATCTAACCCATGCATCCTCCATCTAACCCATGCATACCTATCCATCCATCCACCCAATCATCCAACCACCCACCCATCCATCCATCCTCCATCTAACCCATGCATCCTCCATCTAACCCATGCATACCTATCCATCCATCCACCCAATCATCCAACCACCCACCCATCCATCCATCCATTCATCCATCCATCCACATACCCATCCATTCATCATCCATCCACTCACCCACCCCATCCATCTACCCCATTCATCCACCTATCTATCCATCCATTCATCCACCCACCCAGTCATCCATCCATCCATCCACCCACCCACCTATCCACCCAATCCACCTACCCACCCATCTACCCCATCATCCATCTACGCACTCACCCATGAATGCATGCATCTACCCATCTAACCACTCATCCCATCCACTCATTAATCCATCAAGCCATTGACTATACTCATCCATTAATTCATCCATGCTTACTAATCATCATCTTTTTATTATTTTTTTCTTTTTTTTTTTTTTCGAGACAGAGTCTCACACTGTCGCCCAGGCTGGAGTGCAGTGGCACGATCTCGGCTCACTGCAACCTCCACCTCCTGGGTTCATGACATTCTCCCGCCCCAGCCTCCCGAGTAGCTGGGACTACAGGTGCCTGCCACCACGCCTGGCTAATTTTATGTATTTTTAGTAGAGACGGGGTTTCACCGTGTTAGCCAGGATGGTCTAGATCTCCTGACCTTGTGATCTGCCCGCCTCGGCCTCCCAAAGTGCTGGGATTACAGGCATGAGCCACCGCGCCCGGCCTCTTCTTATTATTAGTATTATTTAGTTTTGAGATGAAGTTTTACTCTGTCACCCAGGCTGGAGTACAGTGGCACAATCTCGGCTCACTGCAACCTCTGCCTCAAGTGATTCTCCTGCTTCAGCCTCCCCAGTAGCTGGGACTACAGGCGTGTGCCATCACGCCCGGCTAATTTTTGTATTTTTTTTAGTAGAGACGGGGTTCTGCCATGTTGGCCAGGCTGGTCTGGAACTCCTGACCTCAGGTGATCCACCCATCTCGGCCTCTCAAAGTGCTGGGATTACAGGCATGAGCCACTGCGCCCAGCCCATGCTTACTAATCATCTTCCATACCCCAGGCTCTATGCTGGGGTTTGGGAACACGCCTACTATTAACATATGGTCCCTTCCCTCAGGGAGCCTGCATCCTGTTGAGCTAAGTCACACAAACGCAAACTGTGGTGCCCAAGGAGAAGAAAAGGTGCTGAACTGTGCCTCAGAACAGGGGCATGGTGACCCTGCCTGTAGGAGAGGAGTCTGCCAGGATGAGGACGGGAGGGGTCTTACTCTCCTGCAAGGTGAGATGAGGCAGGGTGTGCAGGGACCTGGTGCCCCTGGAATGCAGAGATGGTGTGGGGGTTGAGGCCTGGAAGTTCTCTCCCAGCCTCAGCCTCAGCCTCAGCCTCAAGGAAACCACCCCTCCCCTTGGCCTGCCTCTTCCTTCTTCCAGAGACCACCCCTGGGGATGAAGGACACCAGCCCTCCGGTGGCATCAGTGCCACCAGAGGCCAGCAGAGGGGTCAGAGCACAGGGCTTCCACTGTTGCCTCTGCCATCGCCTGCCTCCAGGTAAGTTCTTGCAGTTTTCTGAGCCTCCGTTTGCTGACCTGTAAAATGAGGCTACTGAGCTGCTCTTAGGATTTCGGGATGAAGGCGCCATCACAGAACTGCATTCCCTCTCCCTCCAGCTCCAAAAACTGAATTCCGCCAAGGCGTAGAGCAGCTCTTAAGCCCAAGTTCACTGGGATCACTACTGAAAGTGACAGGAGGCAGCCAAGTGTCTAGGCAGATAGGGACAGGTCCCAGTGAAACCCCACCTTCAAGCCAAAAATAGCCCAAAAGCTGAAAGACCAGACTGCTGGTCCTGGAGGAAACCCACCACCCAGAGTGAGAACTTCTGTTCCTGTTTGCCCACCCTTTCCTGGTTGATTCTTTCTGAACAATGCCTTTTAACCAGTCGAATGTTGCCCTTTCTGATACTATCTATGGCCTGCCCCTCCCCTATTCTGAGCCTATAAAATCCTACATGTCTACTGACAGCAAACTCATTTCCAGGACCATGTTAGATGGGAAGACGCGTGGCTGTCAGCTGCTTCGGTTGTCACCTTGTCCTTTCAGATTTAATTAAAACTGGCTGCTCAGCACTCAGCCCACACGGGGAGAAGCCAGGTTGCCGCTGGCCCGTATGGCACCGGATGGATGGGGCCAAAGGTGGGCTGAACATGCTCTGGGCTGGTACCATGGAGACCCTGAGCCCAGCATCCCCCCAGTCAGGGTTGGGGACCCTCAGGGCTCACGTTGCTCCTGGTTACCTTGGCTTTATTATTAAGAGACAGGGTCTCACTGTGTCACCCAGGCTGGAGTGCGGTGGTGGAGTCATGGCTCACTGCAGACTCAATGTCCCAGTGATCCTCCTGCCTCAGCCGGGGCTACAGGCACATGCCACCGCACCCAGCTAATCACCTCCATTTCTGCTGCACCCACCATTCCTTGGGATGGCGAGTTAGCACTCACTCCAGGCCAGGGCCGGGCAAAGTGCGCTCAAGGCTGGAGCGGGACCACGGGCAGCTGTGGTGACAGCTGAAAGGAAGGGCAGCCACTCGGTGTCCCCCACGCCCCAGCCCCAGCTGGCCTCCGCCTATGGACTCCCCCTGCTCTCTCTTCTAGCTCTGCCCAGCCCACATCGTGATGGGCTAGCTTTCCCTGGACTCCGTTCCTAGCCCGTCCTGCTTCCAGCTATCGAGTGACCCCAGCTGTCAAATGGCACTGTGCCACATGCCAGCCTTGCCTTGCTCTGTGGTCTTGGCTGTGGGTGTGGTCAGGTGTTTCCCCAGCCCCTTCCCGCCTTCCCAAAGTCACCCCTAGACCTGCCTCAGCCACCTCTGCTTTCTGGAGCTCCACTTCCATGGCCCCCCAACTCCCCTGACCCCAGGCATGTTCTTGCACACAGGTGCCAGTGGATGGGTGAGGACGAACTCATGGGATAAAGCCTGTGACCCCAGGGAAGAACTAAGCCACATTCGTGGAGCTGCAGGACCCGGCCGCCTGGATGGAGGGGAGGGGCCAGAAAGCAGCTGCTCACTGGCCTCGTCCAGTCCTTCCCCTCTAACAGTGACGGTAACAGGTGTGAGGCTGCAGAGGCCTCCTGGAGCGGACGGACGCCCTCTGGCCCAGCCATGGCATCACAGCACCGAGTGCAAACCCCTCCTGTCCTCACAGGCTGGGGCTGGGGCTGGGGCTGGGTGCCTGGGTGCGAGGCGACTAGAAATTCTGCATCCCCTGCGAGGGTTTGTGGTGAACAGCCTGGGCTCCGGACAGGCTGGGCAGACAGAACTGTCTGTCTGTGCAAGTTTCTTCGTCTGTAAAATGGGCCTGCAGTCTGCTCCTTCCTGGGCCTTCGGGAAGGACTTGGTGGACAGTGTCAGGGGACAGTGAGTGCGTGGGTGCTCCGGCGAGCACCGGCTTCCTCCTGCAGCACTGAGGGTCAGTGATGCTCCCCTGCCCTGCTCATCCCTCCCTCACCCTAGACCTGCCCCCACCACTGCTAAGGCCCAGTAAGGACAGGGGCATATCAGATGTGGGGGACCTGTCCCGGGACCACGCTCCTGGGGGGAATGGGGTGGGCAGGCCCTGTGGACTCCCCTTCTACCAGACTAGGCCGCTGCTCCCAGCCACACCCCTCCTACGCCCTGCTCAGGCCAGTGGCTTCTCCTCTCTGAGTGGGACAGTGGGGGAGATGCCCCGGCCTCTAGTCTCTGCTCCTCTCCTCTGTAACAGCTGTCCCCTCCTAAGCTCAGTTCCCTATACCAAGCAACATAAACCCCTGAACTCATGGGAACGGGGACCCTGTCCCAGCTCGGTGAGCATCACCTGTCTGCTCCCTGCTCCCAGGGCAGCATCCTACGGAGGCCTCTGGCCCCACCCAAGCTCCCCACCACCCCCATGTGTCTGGAGCCACCAGACTGGTTTCTGGGCACAGGCCTCTTGCCATCACCCAACCCCGTGGATCGCCCTCTGTGGCTGGGTGCTGGGAGCCTCCCAGGGCTCATGCCTGATGCGGGGGAACCATGCAGGCTGCCAGGTAGCCTGGCCAGTGTGCGGCAGGGGTGTCAGGGAAGGCGTCCCAGGGGAGAGGCAATGTCCGGGAGACCCTCTGAATGGCAACAAACACCTGGATTTCCTTCAATGACCAGGATTCCCCTGCTAGGGTTGTCGGGAGAGGGTGGAATGAGGGTGGAGTCCGGCCAAGGAAGGGCCGGGACAGGACTGCGGACAGGAGCTGAGGAGGGCAGGAACCAGTGGCCCTGGGGGCTCCTGCCCTGTGTCCCGCAGGGAAGCAGACCCCACTTCTATCCACTCTGGCTCTTCCACTGTCCTACCCTGGTCTCAGCCCTCCAAAACCAAGACCCTCCACAACCCAGGCTTGGCCAAAGCACTTTCCTGGCCCCAGAGCACAGCCTCTGGAGCACCGGGAGCAGCCGCTCTGACCTCTGACTCCCCGCACCAGAGCAGACGGCAAAGGGGAGTGCTATGGCCTGTGGTCAAGGTCAAGCCCTGACAAGCCATCAGGAGCCAGAAGCCCAGGCCTCGGTGCTCTGGGCACCACCAGGCCAACCCTGTGCTCCCTGGGGCCAGCACACGGGTCAGGGAACACTTCTGAAGTCCTTTATTGGGCCGGCAAGGCCGGGAGCTGCCCTCGGAGTGGGGTCCCAGTCCGGAGTCTTCAGGTCAGTGGCAGCCCTGCCCGTTCTGGCCGGGGCAGGCGGCCCCTGCTGACTCGCTACTTGGTGCGCGCCTTCACATACTCCCAGCCCTCCTTGGAGTACTCGCGGGCCTTGGAGGGGGCCACCGACAGAGCTGACATCACCGTCATGATGCCTGTGGGAAAGGGACGGCCACTGGTGATACTCCCCTCCCAGCCTCACCCAGCCTCCAACCCCTGGGAAACTCTAGAGTTTGTTTTGGGCGGTGGGGGGTGGGTGGGGGGCGGGGATGGAGTCTCACTCTGTCTCCCAGGCTGGAGTGCAGTAGTGCAATCTCGGCTCACTGCAACCTTCGCCTCCTGGGTTCAAGCGATTCTCTTGCCTCAGCCTCCCAAGTAGCTGGGACTACAAGTGCGCCACCATACCAGGCTAATTTTTGTATTTTATTTTTTTGAGATGGAGTCTCGCCCTGTCGCCCAGGCTGGAGTGCAGTGGTGCAACCTCGGCTCACTGCAACCTCTGCCTCCTGGGTTCAAGCAATTCTCCTGCTTCAGCCTCTCAAGCAGCAGCTGGGATTACAGGTGTGCACCACCACGCACGGTTAATTTTTGTATTTTTAGTAGAGATGGGGTTTCACCATGTTGCCCAGGCTGGTCTCGAACTCCTGACTTCAGATGATCCGCCCACCTCAGCCTCCCAAAGTGCTGGGATTACAGGCGTGAGCCACTGTGCTCGGCCTCCTTTCCCTTTTAGATCCCTAAGAGACACGTGTCGGGCAGGAAGGAGGATGGACAGAAAGGAATGGCCAGGAAGTGGGGAGAGGGGCTAGACTGGGGTGTCTCCCTCCAAGCAAAGAAACTGGGTGCCTTACCTGCATTCCAGGAGTCACGGATGGGAAAGTAAATCTTTGGAGGGGCTGGGAGCTGGGAAAAAGAGATGGGCAGAAAGAACTGGTGAAAAGGCTCAGCAGCCCATCCCCAGAGGCGGAGGGAGGAGGACAGGCCGGAGAATCAGGTCAGCATCAATATGGAGGACAACATCGTGCAGGGCTGGAGGGACCTCCCAGAGCTGACCACCCGCCAAACCCTGGCCTCGTTCCCGGCCCGTAGTACCTGGGGTATCTGCAGGCCTGTCTGCTGACACACGTACTGGCTGAACTGGTACATGGCGGGGGGGACCACCTCCCCAGCCTTCTGTAGGGCTGCCTGGCTCTTGTCGCTGGGCCCCAGCAGCTCCTGGTCGTACACCAGGTAGACGGCGCCCCCAGCCACACTTCCCTTGATGAGGAACCTGCGGGCAGGGACGGGAGGAGCAGAAGCTCAGCGGACACTGACAGCCACCCTCAGGGGCCAAGGCCCACGGGGAGAGTGAGACCCTCCTGAGGGCTCACCGTCCACAGGGTGACACTCTGTAGTGCAGCACCGTCGACCCAGACCCCTATTATATACAGCACTCGTTTTACAACGTGCAAGGCAGGGCGGCTGGACGCCACTTGAACTGATGAACTGAAACCCAGAGGGGGAGAGTGGGTCACTCAAAGTCCCACAGTGAGCAGGGGCAGTGAAGACGTAAGATCTTGACCTTCTAGAAGCCTTCCAGCCCTGGAGAAACCAAGTGTCCCTGGGCGCCTCCTGCCCGCTGTCACTCGCAGCTCCGAGCACGCATTCACTTCTCATCCACGCCAGCGGCAGGATTCACCGGCATTCCCACCTCACAGAGAAGACAACTGAGGCTCGGAGGCGGAGGCTGACACCGCGAACTGAACGCCAAGGGCTCGCTGGGAAGCAGGAGGGAGGGGATTGGCGACCTCGGGAAGCCCCGCCCCTCTGAAGCCTCAGTTTCCCTATCTGGCCCATAGGCGGGGAACGAAGGGGAAGTGACTCTAAGGGAAGCGAAGAGCAGATCGGGACCAGACTGGAGACAGGGATGCCCACAAAAATGGACTTTTTCGGGGACTCGGGTCCCCTCCGGCGCCCCCACGCACCTCATCAGCGACCACACCCGGGCCACCATGGTCGCTCGGATCCACGCGCAAGGACACTCGGCTCGCCCGCCGCTTCCTGTCGCGGCGCCGCAGAGGCCTCTGGAAGGTGTAGTCTTTCTTGCCCGACGCAAGGTCCTCTGGGAGTCGTGGTGTCTTGCGGCTCTGAGACTCCAGAGAAGGGCTGCGGTCTCGCAGCGGAGGGCCGCTGGGAAATGGACGCTTTAAGGCCCGGGCCGCCGCAAGGCTGTCTGGGAAATGTAGTCAGCACGGCGCTGTTTGCACCTGGCCGCGGAGCCTCCTGGGAAATGTAGTTCGGCCCGGCCCTGGCACCGTGAGGGGAAAGAGGCGTCAGGTGCCTGGCTGAAGCCTGAAGGTGACCCGAAAACAAGTCAGAGCCCGAGAGATCCACCCGCGCCCGCGCGGGGGACCAAGGGCCCGGATTTAAGAAGAGTGTGCCTACAAGGCGGTTGTCACGGCAACGAGAGGGCGGGATTGTTCGAGCGCTGCGGCCCCCTCACGTGATCGATTCGGAGGCGGGGCGTCCGCCCAGTGGGCGGGGCCGGGCCCCTGCTGGGAGGCGAAGACCAGGCGGGCACTGTTGCCCGGCGACGCTCCGGCGCTGGGTCCCCGAGGCCCGGCCCCTCCCCGGGAGGAGGTGGGCTTCGAGTCACGTGACCCGTGCCCTACGGGAGGGGGTGCGGTCGGGGACCCGGCAGGAGGCGGCCGAGAAGAGAGGACCGTGGGGGCGTTCGCGTGGCTCCCAGCCCGGGACCCCACCCCCGCTGGACAGTGGGGGAAACTGAGGCCTGAGCGGGTGAGTGCACGGTTTAGGGGTGCGCAGAGGGTCACACGCCCGCTTTGTTCAGAGGGGAAGCTAAGGCCCGCCGAGGTCAAGAAGGGGCCGATGCGTTCTGCAGGGCTTCCCCCCATTTCTCCCGCATTTCGGCCGGGCTGCTTCAACCGTTCATCTGCCCATCCATCCATCTGTCCCCCACCCGTCTATCCATCTGGCCATCCACCCATCTATCCTTCCATCTATCCATCCACACTTCCGTTCATCCATCTGTCCGCCCATCCATTCATCCATCTGCTCCCCCCATCCTTCCACTCATCCATCTGTCCACCCATCCATCTATTTATCTGGCCACCCACTCATCTATCCGTCCATCCATCCATCCATCCATCCATCCATCCATGCATCCGTCCGTCCATCCATCCATCCATCCATCCATCCATTTATGTGTTCCCATTTATCCATTCATACATCCATCCACTCATCCATCTATCCACCCATACATCTCTCCGTCCATCATCCATCCATCCACCCATCCATCTATTCATCTGGCCATCCACCCATCCATCCTTCTATCTATGCATCCATACATGCATCTGTCCATCTATCCATTCATCCATCCACCCATCCGTCCACCCGTCAGTCCATCTGGTCCCACTTCCCCCTGCCGGGCTGCTGCAGTCAGTGTAGAGCTGGGGGTGGAAAGAGGGATGAGCAGAGGAGCTTCATGGGCTGTCCCTGGAAGGGGAAAAGGTGGAAGCTCGTTTCTTGCTGTGGGCATGCCTGGTGTGTCTGGGAAAGGTGAGGAGTTCATTATTTTGAGAACTGAACGATTCATAGATGGGGCCGTGGGAGAGAAGGATAGACAGGTAGTCAGGGGCTATACCTGCAGGGCCTCATGGGGTGCAGTGAGGAGCCTGGTTTCCATCAGTTGCAGTGGGGACCCCTGAGAGGGTTTGGAGCAGGAAGGGCCATGGCCATGTTGCTTTTGACACAGACGCCTTTGGCTGCATTGACAGAAGAGGCAGGGAGAGAATGAGTATGGACATGGGGAAGCCAGTGTGGAGGTGGGGGAGACCAAATCGGAGATGGAAGGGAGGCCAAAGGAAAGATGGGGGTGGTCAGGCCCGGGGTAGGGTCTAGGAGGGAGGTGACAATCTGGGAGTCCTGGAGAGAGAGAGGAAGGGACAGCTGGGGAGAGACTGGAGAGGGAGAACTGATAAGATCTGAAAACCATGAGCTCGTGGGGGTGAAAGGATAGAAGGAGGTGAGGACAATACCTGGGTCTCCCATTTAGGGACAGGGGATAGTGGGGCTATTTCTGTGATGGTGAGCTGGGAAGAGAAGCAGGTATGGGGTGACATGCTGAGCCTGGATTGGGTCCTGCTGGTTCTAAGGGGCCTGGAGGTTGTCAGGAGGAGACACCCAGAAGACAGCAGAGGCAAAGAACCTAGGGCTGGACCTACAGATGGGAGATTTAGGGACTCCTCAATGATCCGCTCCATCTGGTCTGTCTCAGCTTCCTGGTTCTGGAAGTCCCCTTCCCCTTGTCCCATTGACTTTTTTTTTTTTTTTTTTTTTTTTTTAGACAGAGTCTCACTCTGTTGCCCAGGCTGGAATGCAGTGGGGCGATCTCAGCTCACTGCAATCTCCACCCCGCTGGGTTCAAGCAATTCTCCTGCCTCAGCAGGAGACCCCATCTCTACAAAAAATACGATGATTAGTTGGGCGTGCTGGTGCACCCACTTGTAGTCCTAGCTGCTCCATTGGCTGGGATCACAGGCATGTGCCAGCATGCCCAGCTAATTTAGTATTTTTAGTAGAGACTGGGTTTCTCCATGTTGGTCAGGCTGGTCTCGAACTCCCAGCCTCAAGTGATCCGCCCACCTCGGCCTCCCAAAATGCTGGGATTACAAAGTGTAATCCCAGCCTGTGCAACAAGAGTGAAACTCAGTCTCAAAAAAAAAAAAAAAAAAAAAGAACCTGGACTGTTTCTCTCTTTCACCTTCTCCCTGGAATTAGTGAATCAGCTCCCATAGCTGAAATCATAAATCATATCTTCATCTGGATGACGCAGGCACCTCTGTCTCCAACCCAGCCCCATGTGTCAAATGCCTTCTGGGTGTCTCCAGAGAGCGAGCTGTCTCTTGGCTTCCTCACCTCTCGCCTCCCACGTGCCTCATATCACTCCATGATCAATCTGGTACCTATTGAGCACCTACTGTGTACCTGGCACAGTTTTGGGCCCTGAAGACCCAATAGGGAACAAAGTAGAAGATTTCCATTTCCTTCCTGCCCTTATGGAGCTGATGGTCTACAGGGAGAGAAGGATGGTGGAACGAGTAACAAATGGTCCTTGGGCTGGGCACGGTGGTTCACACCTGTAATCCCAGCACTTTGGGAGGCTGAGGCGGGAGGATCACTTGAGCCCAGGAGTTCAAAATCAGCCTGGGCAGCATAGTGAGACCCCATCCCTACAAAAAATACGATGATTAGTTGGGTGTGCTGGTGCGCCCACCTGTAGTCCCAGCTGCTCCATTGGCTGAGGCAAGAGGATTGCTTGAGCCCAAGAGGTCCAGGCTGCAGTGAGCTATGGTCGCACCACTGCACTCCAGCCTGAGCAACAGAGTGAGACTCTGCCTCAAAAATAAAAAAAAATAAAAATAAAAAAATAAATAATAAAAAAAGGAGGCCCTCACTTGAAGGAGGTCACTGTTCTTTTTTTGTTTGTTTGTTTGTTTTTGATACGGAGTTTCGCTCTTGTTGCCTAGGCTGGAGTGCAATGGCAAATCTCGGCACACTACAACTTCTGCCTCCCAGGTTCAAGCGATTCTCCTGCCTCAGCCTCCCAAATATCTGGATTACAGGCATGTGCGTGCCTCAGCCCCCTGAGTAGCTGGGATTACAGGCGCCTGCCACCGCGCCCGGCTAATTTTTGTATTTTTAATAGAGATGGGGTTTCACCATGTTGGCCAGGCTGGTCTCGAACTCCTGATCTCAAGTGATTTGCCCGCCTCAGCCTCCCAAAGTGCTGGGATTCCAGGCATGAGCCACCACATCCAGCTGAAGGAGGTCACTTTTGCACTGAGACTTGAAAGAAGTGAGAGAGCAAGCCATTGGGTTATATCCGGGAACAGCATTCTAGGCAGTAGGAACAGCCCACGAGAAGGCCCTGAGGCAGGATAGTGACTGGCTGGTTTCAAGGAACAGCGAAGGGTCTGTTTTAGTGGAGCGGAGTGAGCAAGGAGGACAGGTCCACACAGGGCGTTTGTAGCCACCAAGGAGTCTGGTTTTTATTCTAACTGGAACAGGAAGGATTTTCAGTCCAGGAGAGGCAAGGTGTGCAGATGGAGAGGGCTGAGAAGGGTGGAGGGGGAGGGTGCAGGTGCGGTGGTTCATGGAGCCGCGGTGGTTCATGGAGCCACCGTGGTGGCCTGGACAGGTGGTGGCTGTGGAGGTGGATAGGAAGGCGTGGATCCAAGGCGGTGGCATCACCAAACACCCACCAAACACGGGTGGCTGTGGGCCAGGCCTGTGCCGGCCACCTCTGTCCCCTGTCCCTCTGCAGGCCCACACAGGACCATGAAGGTGCTTCTCCTCACAGGGCTGGGGGCCCTGTTCTTCGCCTATTATTGGGATGACAACTTCGACCCAGGTGAGCACCTGGGGTTGAGGGAGGGAGAAACCGGGCCAGCTGTCCTGTCCTCCGCCCAGAGTGACCACCCCGGCTATGGCCAGCCAGCCTCCAGGGAGCGCGAGTGCTGCTGACAGGGGCCAACGCTGGTGTTGGTGAGGAGCTGGCCTATCACTACGCGCGTCTGGGCTCCCACCTGGTGCTCACTGCCCACACTGAGGCTCTCCTGCAGAAGGTGAGCCACCCCATGTCTAGATGAATGGTGGGGGTGCTCATGGGGGGTGGGAAGAGAGCCTGGGTTTAATCCCTGCAATGATCCAGGCTTCCCGTGTGACCTTGGGCAAGTCGCCTAACCTCTCTGAGCCTCTCAGTTTCCTCATTTGCAAAACGGGGACAATAAAACCACTTTCTGGCCAGGCACGGTGGCTCACGCTTGTAGTCAGCACTTTGGGAGGCCGAGGAAAGTGGATCACCTGAGGTCAGGAGTTCAAGACCAGCCTGGCCAACATGGCGAAACCTGGTCTCTACTAAGAAGACAAAAATTAGGCCAGGCATGGTGGCTCATGCCTGTAATCCTAGCACTTTGGGAGGCCAAGGCGGATGGATCACTTGAGGTCAGGAGTTCAAAACCAGCCTGGCCAACATGGTGAAACCCTGTCTCTACTAAAAATACAAAAAATAAAAATAAAATAAATAAATAAAAAATTAGCCGGCGTGGTGTCAGGCACCTGTAATCCCAGCTACTGGGGAGGCTGAGGCGGGAGAATTGCTGGAACCCGGGAGGTGGAGGTTGCAGTGAGCTGAGATCGCGCCACTGCACTCCAGCCTGGGTGACAGAGCGATACTCCATCTCAAAAAAAAGAAAAAAAAAAATTAGGGCATGGTGGCGCGAGCATGTAGTCCCAGCTACATGGGAGGCTGAGTCAGGAGAATCACTTGAACCCCGGAGGCAGAGGTTGCAGTGAGCCGAGATCGCACTACTGCACTCCAGCCTGGGCAACAAAGTGAGACTCTGTCTCAAACAAACAAACAAAAAAACCCACCTTCTCATGGGTTAGGATGTTGTGCCAATGCAGTGAGACGGTGACTAGAAGATGCAGTGTTTCTTAACAAATGAGAGTATTGAGTGTCCAGGCCTGTGCTGATAGCCAGGGTTCTTAAACTCGAAGGGAAGGATGGGCACTTCTTAGCAACAAGCAGTCCATTGCTACTTCAAGGAAGGGTATGGCTCTTGGGCACAAACCTTTCAATATTTCAAGAGAAGCTAGCAATCAGGAAATTGTAGATGAAATGTCCTGTTTTAGATGTTGGTGATTGACTAACCACCAAATTGGCCAGCATTCTGGCCCGCGGGCCTCCACTTTGCGCCCCTCAAGCAGTGGTAAATTTTTGGGAATGATGTTGAATGGGTCCCGAGGCTCAGAGTAGGGGGGGGTTTTCAGGCGGGGGCCTCCCTATGGCCAGCAGGTGCGGTGGAGGGGGAAGCGCTGCTGTAGAGGAGAGGCCCACGGGCAGCTCTGGCCCCCCCCAGGTGGTAGGGAACTGCCGGAAGCTGGGCGCCCCCAAGGTCTTCTACATCGCGGCGGACATGGCCTCCCCTGAGGCGCCCGAGAGCGTGGTGCAGTTTGCGCTGGACAAGCTGGGTGAGGGGCTGGGCCTGAAGCCTGGAGTCCGGGACCGTGGCCTAGGCCTTAGGGACAGGACCAGAATTGGGCTGTGGGTGTGGCCACAGTAACAGGTGTCTCAGGGCGGAGACAAATGGGGACTGGGGGCGTGGGCGGGGTGGAGTCTCATTGCGTCTGGGGGAAGAGCTCTGAACGGGGCCTCGTTGAATGGGAACCAAACCTTGCTAGATCCAGGGTGTAAGGCCAAGGCTGGGTGTCTTTGATCGTAGTGGGAGTTACCTGGGGCGGAGCTCGCTGGACCAGCGCTCTGGGTGGAGCTAAGCTCGGGGGCGGGGTTTGATCGTTTCCTTGGGGAGGGGCCTCCGGGGCTGACCGGCGTTTCTGGGCCAGGCGGGCTGGACTACCTCGTGCTGAACCACATCGGCGGCGCCCCGGCCGGCACGCGAGCCCGCAGCCCCCAGGCAACTCGCTGGCTCATGCAGGTGCTCCGCTCCTCCGCGGCCCCGGCCCGCCCCTCTATCTCAGGGACCGGTGGTCCGTTCCCTTCGCGGTCCGGGTTCTGCCTTCTCCAGGGAGGGCTCTCCACCCGTCCCGCCCCAGCCACGCCCCTCCTAGCCCAAGCCCCTGCTCCGGCCTTGACCCCGCCCTCGGACCCGCCTTCCGGGTTTCTGGCCCCGTCTCTGACCCGGCCCTGGCCCCGCCCTCTGGGTTTCTGGCCCCGCCCTGCCCCTGGGCTCCGCCTCTGCCGGTGACTCGCGAGTGCCGCCTGCAGGTAAACTTTGTGAGCTACGTGCAACTGACGTCGCGGGCGCTGCCCAGCCTGACGGACAGCAAGGGCTCCCTGGTGGTGGTGTCCTCGCTGCTCGGTGCGTGCACCCGGCCCCGGCTCTGCGGGACGGGGAGTGGGGAGCTCGATGCGGGTGAGCCTGGAGGGTCTGGGCAGGCTTCCCGGACGAGGGGGAGCCACTCAGCCGCTGCCGTCCGCGCCCCCAGGCCGCGTGCCCACGTCGTTCTCCACTCCCTACTCGGCGGCCAAGTTTGCGCTGGACGGCTTCTTCGGCTCCCTGCGGCGGGAGCTGGACGTGCAGGACGTGAACGTGGCCATCACCATGTGCGTCCTGGGCCTCCGAGATCGCGCCTCCGCCGCCGAGGCAGTCAGGTGAGGCCCGGACAAGCTGGGGGCTGGGCTGGGGGCCATGGCCCAGCCCCAGCCGCAGTCCCCACCGTGCCCTCCTGTCCCCAGGGGAGTCACGAGGGTCAAGGCGGCCCCGGGGCCCAAGGCAGCCCTGGCCGTGATCCGCGGCGGCGCCACGCGCGCGGCCGGCGTCTTCTACCCGTGGCGTTTCCGCCTGCTGTGCTTGCTCCGGCGCTGGCTACCGCGCCCGCGGGCCTGGTTTATCCGCCAGGAGCTCAACGTCACGGCCGCGGCAGCCTGAGCACCGGGGGGTGCCCCTCCAGTCCCAGACGGCAATGTTCCTCCCTCCAACTGTCCCTGGAGCCAGAACACTCACAGAGACACCCCTGAGAGGGTGGCCACAGCCCAAGATGAAGTCATCAAGACAGAAAAGCAAAACCGAGAAAAACGACGGGCACCTGGAACCAGTCACGGCTTGGGAGGTGCAGGTGCCCCGTGTTAGGCGCCTTTGTCGGGGACTTGCAAGGCCTCACCTGTTTGGCCATGATTGATGACGTGACTGCTTCCATTTTGCAGATGAGGAAACTAAGGCTCAGAGAGGCCACGCCACCCTTGAGCCACCCATGGACCCCTCTCCATCTCCTGCCTGCGCCTTTAAGTCCCTGATTTATTCTTTCCATTCATTCCATCTGGGAGGAACCCCCCCAACTCCTGCCAGCTTCCCCTAGCTGGGGTCTCTGGTACTCTTCACACCTGCAGGGGCGTCTACACTGTTCGTCTACCTGGTGGCAGGGTCTGAGCGGGAGGAGGAGGGAAAGAGTGTGTTCTGAGCTGGACCCAGCCTCTTGTTCGAGAATAAAAACTCTTCTTCTCTTGCATATCTGTTGTTCAAATTCCTTGGTAATTCCAATTTGCTAGCAGCCAGCGGGCAGCGGGAGGGGGTGTGTGTATCAGGGGCCTTGACTCTCAATCCCATTTCACAGGTGGGGAAATGGAGGCTGAGAGGGCCAGGAGCAGTGGCTCACGCCTATAATCCCAGCACTTTGAGAGGTCAAGGTGGGCAGATCACTTGAGGTCAGGAGTTTGAGACCAGCCTGGCCAACATGGTGAAACCCTGTCTTTATTTATTTATTTATTAGACGGAGTCTCACTCTATCGCCCAGGCTGGAGTGCAGTGGTGCGATCTAGGCTCACTGCAACCTCTGCCTCCGGGGTTCAAGCGATTCTTGTGCCTCAGCCTCCCAAATAGTTCAGATTACAGGTGTGGGTCACAACGCCTGACTTTTTGTATTTTTAGTAGAGACGGGGTTTTACCATGTCGGCCAGGCTGGTCTCGAACTCCTAGCCTTAGGTGATCCCCCTGTCTCGGCCTCTCAAAGTGCTGGGATTACAGGTGTCAGCCACTGCACCCGGCCACAAACAAATATTTTAATTAAAAAATTAGCCAGGCGTGGTGGCATGTGCCTGTGGTCCCAGCTAAGGAGGCTAAGGCAGGAGGATCACTTGAGCCCTGGAAGTCAAGGCTACAATAAGCTATGATTACAGCAGTGCACTCTAGCCTGGGCGACAGAGCAAGACCCTGTCTGGAAAAAACATGAAAGCGCTAACCCTAATTAGAGCAGCCCTAAATTGAGACTCTCTTCTTGTATATTAGTAGCATTAAAGGAGAAAAACTGGAAACTTGTGTGTTTCTGCCACCCGATTCAGTTATTTAGCGTCCCGTCCCTACACCACCTAAATTACATCAGATGTCCGCAAGGGGCACTATTACACGTTGCTGTATTCAGACCTAGTCTAGAGCTTGACCAATTGATAACAAAACCAATACCTTTTTTTTTAAATGGAGTTTCGCTCTGTCGCCCAGGCTGGAGTGCAGTGGTGCGATCTCGGCTCACTGCAACCTCTGCCTCTTGGGCTCAAGCAATTCTCCTGCCTCAGCCTCCTGCGTAGCTGGGATTACAGGAGCATGCCACCACGCCTGGCTATTTATTTATTTATTTATTTATTTATTTATTTATTGAGACGGAGTCTTGCTCTGTCGCCCAGGCTGGAGTGCAGTGGCACGATCTCGGCTCACTGCAAGCTCTGCCTCCTGGGTTCACGCCATTCTCCTGCCTCGGCCTCCCGAGTAGCTGGGACTACAGGTGCCCACCACCACGCCTGGCTAATTTTTTGTATTTTTAGTAGAGACGGGGTTTCACCGTATTAGGCTGGTCTCGAGCTCCTGACCTCGTGATCCACATGCCTCGACCTCCCAAAGTGCTGAGATTACAGGCGTGAGCCACCGCGCCCGGCCTAATGGGCGTTTTAACAGTTCATACAGTTTGGTATTATTATTCCCGCTCTACAAGTGAAGAAATTCTGAGAGGTGATGTCGTCGATGCAGGGTCGGCCCGAAATAGGCGGAGTTGGGATTCGAACTCATTTCACAGGCAGAGGGAGGAGAGCAGCCATAGCCACCTCCACTGGTTCCGACTCCAGCTCCCGGGCTCGCAGGAGTAAACGCGCATGCTCAGGGAGCTCGGTCGCGCATGCTCAGCGCAACGGCGGGGAAGACTCCAGCCGCCAGGGGGAGCGCGTGCCGTTCTTGCCTCTCTGGCCTGCGCCTCCTGAGCCGAGTAGATATCCCGGAGTTCCGCGCGGCGCCAGCCCTTCCGCCACGGCCGTCTCTGGAGAGCAGCAGGTAAGTGGTTTCCCGCACTGCCGGTATCCGCCGCCATCCGGACTCCCGGGTCCTCTGTGCAGGTTGGAGGATGGTTGGTTGTGGCGAGCGAGGCTGAAGGAGCCGGGACGCGGGGCTCTGGGCCTCGGGAACTGAGCCGGTACTCACCTCCGCCCCTTCTCCCCGTCGCTGTCCGCAGCCATGGCCCTACGCTACCCTATGGCCGTGGGCCTCAACAAGGGCCACAAAGTGACCAAGAACGTGAGCAAGCCCAGGCACAGCCGACGCCGCGGGGTGAGTGCGGGTGCCGCGCGGAGGTTGTCGGGGGTTTCTTGGAGGGCGGAGGGCATGGCTTGGGCAAAGGCTCTCGACCTGAAAGAACGCGCGTTCGGGCGCAGAACTAAGGGGGGCTTGAATGGAAGAGATGGGGTGGGGGAGTGGGACTTCCTGCCTGGTGCTCGAAGGCGGGCACCCATCTGGGTTTTTCCCAACCGTGCAATCCACGCTGGGGCAGAGGGAGCACCTTGAGAGCGGCGCGGGGCAGCGGGTTTGGGGTTCTGACGCAGGAGTAGGAGTTCGCTCATGGAGCTGGCCCGAGGTTGCGGTGTGTGAGGTTGAGGGATTTCAGGTGTGTCAGTGTATTGGGCGCCTTTATTAAGCGGGCAGCGGGTTTGGGGTTCTGACGCAGGAGTAAGGAGTTCGCTCATGGAGCTGGCCCGAGGTTGCGGTGTGTGAGGTTGAGGGATTTCAGGTGTGTCAGTGTATTGGGCGCCTTTATTCAGCAGGCAGCCCAGACTCCAGGTGCGTCCTGCCAGTGTTGCGGAGACTGGGACTTAGGGAGGATGGGAGCTGCTCCGGGCGCGGCGAAAAGCGCTAGGCGTTAATACCTTGGTTCTCACAGCTACCCACAGAGGGGAGGAAGTAGCCAGGGAAATCGCGGCAGCGCGAGAGAAGCTGCTTAACTAGAATGCAGGGATCCCCCTACCCTGACGGCCGCCCCTTTCCCCCCTAGCGTCTGACCAAACACACCAAGTTCGTGCGGGACATGATTCGGGAGGTGTGTGGCTTTGCCCCGTACGAGCGGCGCGCCATGGAGTTACTGAAGGTCTCCAAGGACAAACGGGCCCTCAAATTTATCAAGAAAAGGGTAGGTGGGCGCTGCCGGCCGAGGGGCGGGGTGGGATGGGAGTCAGGGCCGGGCTGACGGCGGCCTCGTCCCTGGCAGGTGGGGACGCACATCCGCGCCAAGAGGAAGCGGGAGGAGCTGAGCAACGTACTGGCCGCCATGAGGAAAGCTGCTGCCAAGAAAGACTGAGCCCCTCCCCTGCCCTCTCCCTGAAATAAAGAACAGCTTGACAGAAGCCCTGGCTCTCCTGCTGTCCGTGGGTGGGTGTGGGTGTGTCGGGGGCCCGCAGTCCCCTGTCTGGTGCCCGCTCTGAGCCACACCCTCTCCGGGTGCTGCCTGGTCGTGAATCAAAAGCCGTGGCCCGCCCACCCTTCCCGGGGCAGCAGGTGAGGAAGCCGCCGTACTGCAAATGACTTTAATCATTAAATAGCTTCTATGCCACACTCTGATTAAGCCGACTGAGGTCCCTGGGATCTGGGTCACTGGACCGAGCTGCTCGCTCGGTGGCTCCACTGCCAGGTCCGGGCGCGCTCCCCACAGCGCTCAGTTCTGGCCCAGACAGGGCCTGACATCCGCCGCCTGCAGTCCCGGGGTGGCCGTCACCGTTCCACGGCCAGCGCCTCTGCCTGCTCGTCCGGGAAGGCGATGTCGAAGATCTCCCGGTAGTGTTCCACGAAGTGCACCTCCAGGCCCTCGGTGATGAAGGCTGCCAGGTCGTAGAAGTCCTTCTTGTTCTCGGCTGGCAGGACGATGCACGTCACCCCTGCGCGCTTGGCCTGGGGGCAGAGTCAGGGTCAGCCCTGCCTGGGCCTGTGGGAGGGCAGCAGGTGTGCTAACCTCCAGGAACGAAAGGGCTTCCTGGGGACCGGCGATACACAGTGATGCCGGGTTCTAAGCAGTAAGTCCCAAAACCCACCAGGGTCCCCGTCTCCCACGGGGAAACAGGCTCAAGGCAAAACCACTGGCCTTGGCTCCAACAGCCTGAGAGCAGGAGCCAGGGCCTCCCCACCCCCTTATCTAGGAAGTCTGGCCGTGCGGTGGGAGCAGTCTCAGGGCTCTGGATGAGCCACACACCCACGGCCTCACATCCAGAGGTCAGGCAGTGTCTGGGGCCTGAACAGGGTTCCTGTGAGCATCTGCATCTCTGCCCCCAGGCCCTGCGTCACCCCCCTCACCTCCGGAGGCTACACATATCTGGAGTAGATGCCAGGCACAGCCCCACCACAGCCCCTTGAAAGGACAGCAGTTCCCACTGTCACCGCACACTGACTCCATGGACAGTGAGCCTCCCAATTTGCCTCCACCATTTTATCATCTAGGAAGTCTGTGCCTGGTGTCCAATTCAAGGTGGTCACAGCCACTTGACCATGCCTCCCTCGTGGTGGCATCTCCTGACTGACTGCACCAGGCTTCCTAGACACATGGCAAGTGTGGTCCAGTCTGGGGACAGGCAGGGATGGGAGGGAAGAGTGGGGACAGTGGCGCTCCAACCTGCTCAGCACCCTTGGAAGAGGCCAGCCCCTGGCCAGGGGCTCCAAACACCCCCGCCACCAGTAATCCTAAACGTCGTCCCCATCTCTAGCCTCTCCCTTGGCGCTGGGCTGCCTGGGAAGAGAAGCAGGAGCCACCCCCCCAATCCTACTGGGGAAGCCAGTGGAGGCTCAGAATGTTCTCCACAAGACTTGCTGTGGAGAAGGCAGCTAGGGCGGTGAGCTTAAGGCCAGCTCCAGGCCAGAGAGACCTGCTTCCAAAGCCCAGGGCTTCCCTCTCCTTGGCCCAGGCAGAGGTTGCATGGCGGGGACTGGGCCTGTCCCGTGGTGGTGTGGGCCCTGCCAGTGCTGTGGGGTGGGTACAGGGACACTCACCGCAATGGTCTTCTCCTTGATGCCACCAACAGGCAGGATCTTGCCCGTGAGGGAGACTTCGCCAGTCATGGCCAGATTCTGCCGGACAGGCCTGCCCATGGCCAGGGACAGCAGGGCCGTGACGATGGTGCAGCCTGCGCTTGGGCCGTCCTTGGGGGTGGCGCCCTGTGGAGGCATGTGGGGATAGTGGGTGAGCAGGTGGCCAGCAGCCCAGGGACTGGGCGGGAGCAGGTGGGAGCGGATGGCGCGGTCACCTCGGGCACATGCAGGTGGATGTGTGAGGTCACCAGGTAGTCATTGGCGGGGGCGTGCTGCATGAGGAAGGCTCTGGCGAAGGTGTAGGCTATGCGGGCGCTCTCCTTCATCACCTCCCCCAGCTGGCCTGTCACCTCCAGGCTGCCATCCTTGTCACCCTTGGCATCCTTGTCCTGTGGCCGTCTCAGGGATGTCTCCACAAACAGCGTGGAGCCTCCTGAAACAGGTGTGGAGCTGTGAACACGGGAGGCCTCGGAGCCCAGGCCGGTGCTCACTCCACCCCTCGGGGCCACTCTGACCGCTCCTGCCCCAGTTTAGCATCTTGGTGCCCCTGGGCAGGGGTTGGTGTCCCATCGTGAGCCAACGCTGGCCTCTACGTTTGCTGCGTTGCGGGTTCCTGGCTCTGTACGCCCCACAGGGCAGCCCCCAGCAGCTGCCAGCCACAGAGGACACGCCCAGGGCTACAAGGCCCAGCTGCCGCTGCCCTGCAGACAGACACAAGCCCTTCTCCAGCCCCTCCCGCACCATCCCCTTTGCCCTCTCGCCTCCTTTGTGCGTGGTGGCCCCAAGGCCCATCTGGATGAGCTTGTCCTTACCTGTAAGCCTATCAAAGTGGCACCCAAATCCATAAGGCCCATGGTGTGCTGCCACCCCCATGTGTCACAGCCTTCCCCTCCCTCAGCCCAGACCCCCTGGGCTCCCAGCACACCACCCCCCGCCAGAGGCCGTTCAGAGCCACCTGAGGCCCACTGCACAGGTGTACAAGGTGGGACCTGCTTGTTCTCGGGTAGAAATGGGAATGGCTTTGGGGTCTTCTCCCGCCACCACGCTCACCCATTGCGGTCCAGGCCAGCCCCATGACCACGCCGGGCGGTGTCACGTCATACATGCGCTCCACGGTGAACACGGGCTTCCCCACGAAGTCCTGCAGGTTCTCGGGCGTCACCTCCACGGACTCGGCCTCGCCGCTGACAATCTTGTAGGCCGATTTCCGTAACACCTGGGCGGTCAGGGCAACACAATGGGCACGGGAAGGTGGGGTGACAGGTGCGGGGTGGTGGGGTGACGGGCACAGAAAGGTGTGACGGGCGCGGGGTGGTGGGGTGATGGGCGCAGGAAAGTGGGATGATGGGCATGGAAAGGTGGGGTGATCAGCGTGGGATGGTGAGGTGGGCGGCAGGTGCCAGGAGGGCGGGCTGGCCGCTCACCTTCTCCACTTGCTTCTGCAGGTTGCGGACACCGCTCTCGCGGCAGTACTGCTTGATGAGCAGCGTCAGCACGTCCGATGACAGCTTGGCCTTGCTCTCATCCAAGCCACACAGGGCGCGAGCCTGGGGCACCAGGTAGCGCTGCAAGGGCAACCGTCAGGGTTGGGTCTGGAGGGACCTTGCCCACCAGCTCAGTCTAGAACCTGGGAGCCAATGCCTCTCCCATGGCCCCCAGACCCTGGCCTGGGAACGAGGTCCCTGATGGTGAAACCAGGGCCTGGACACCCCGCCCTGCCACCCACCATGCCCAGAGGCCCCAGGCCTTTGCTTGTGCTGCGTCCTCTGCTTGGATCCACTTCCTATCCCCCAATGGTATCTTAGATGCCGCTTCCTCCAGGAAGGCCTCCTGGTTGCCCCATGGGCTGGCCCCATACACAGACCCAGGGCCTGTAGGGTGGCTGACTGGTTACGTGGCTGCTGCCCTCAGCACATGAGGAAGGGGACTGGGTCAGGGGCTCCAGGGTCACCCACAGCCCCACACAATTCTTGCCACAGTTCTGAGCTCTAATGGCATGGGGGAGGGCATCTGTGAGACGGACAGAGCCATGCAAGCCACTCTACATCTGCCACTGATACTGGGGGGCACTCCTGATGCCCTGAGGGGTCCCCATGCCCCCCAGTCCTGTCCCCAGGAACTACAGGCCCGTCCCTTGGAGAAGTCAGGCTGGGAACTGGGCCCAGCAGTGGGCATTGAAGCCCCCAGGGGACACGAGGATGCTGGGAGGGCCTCAAGGGCAGGGACCAGTGCCCACCACTGGCTGTCAAAGGGCTCCTAGGGGAGAAATGCACTCAGCACCTTTGCAGAAAAAAAAACACATGAGAAATATGGGCCCCTGCATGCTCCTCACTGAAACCACTTCTCCTCCAAGCCTCATTCTGGGTGGGAGCCACAGGCCCCACTGCTTCCGGCTGCCAGAAACCTTCCCTACACTCTGGGCCAGGTGGGGGCCCCACCATGGGGCAGCCTGGAGGCCCCGGGAGACAGAGTGTGTGGCCTGACGGTGGTGGGCGGTGTTTTGGACAGTCCCAGGCCCTAAACCCTGCGCCCACTCGCGCCACCTGCAGCTGCTCGCAAGCGTCTGGTGTGTCTCTCACGGCCCCATCTGCTCCTCGGCCGCAGGTCCCACCTGTCTCTCCCGGGCCCAGGAGCTCCCAGAGGCACGGCCTCTGCAGGCTCTGGGGGGCGCCCCCTGCTCTGGGAAGGGGACAGCAGTGGGGAGGGGCTGGGCTTACCTCCGCAATGGCCAGCTTCTCCTGGGCCACGTAGCCCGACACGTTGATCATCTCCATACGGTCTCGCAGCGGCTCGGGGATGGTGTCCGTGACGTTGGCCGTGCAGATGAACAGCACCTGGGGGCGGCGGCAAGGTGCTGGGGGACTGGCCGCTTACCCTCCCCAGCAAGCCCAGGCCCCAGACAGGCCCCCCACCTTGGACAAGTCCACGGGCACGTCCAGGTAGTGGTCCAGGAAGTTGGCATTCTGCTCTGGGTCCAGCAGCTCCAGCAGTGCCGACGACGGGTCCCCCTGGTAGCCTCGGCCGATCTTGTCCACCTGGGGCAGCAGACAGCAGGTGGTGCCCCTCGCCGTGCCCCTGGCCAGCCCGCCCAGTGGGGAGACCCCAGGGTCAGGGCTGGGGAGACCCCGAGTGAGAGCGGCACCCACACCCTGCCTTGGACGGGCAGCCTGCTGGGCGTGGCTGTGGGTGGGAGGGACCCGTCCGTGCCATCAGGGCCAGCATCACGGCGATGGCCCCTGAGTTGGCTCGGGGATCCTAGGACCCGGAAGGCTCGGCTTCATCTTGCACACGGCATTGCCGGGTTAGGGGGTCTCCGGGCCTCTCCGCACGCACCTCGTCGATGAGGATCAGGGGGTTCTCCGTCTTGGTCTTCTTCAAACACTGGATGATCTTCCCGGGCATGGCGCCCACGTAGGTCCGCCTGTGGGTGCACAGCGGGGTCAGAGGTCACTTGGTAGCCTGGCTCGGCCACAACGACACCATGCACCCTCCAGGGCCACAGGGGAGAGGCCACCTGGAGCCCCACAAGATGTGGCCATGATGTGGGAGGCGGAAATGCTGGCAGCCGCCGGATGTGTGGCACCTGCAGGCACGCTGGTCACTTGCCCTGACTCGCCAGCTCAGATTCTGGGGTCACTGATTCAAAGCCAGATCTCCCTCAGTCCCATCCCTCAGCTGACACCATGGTGAAAGCCAGACAGGCGCTGGCAGCAGAAGGCCCCCACTCCTCACTGAGGGACGCCAGGCACGCCTCAGCCCTCAAGGGCTGGGGTGATACTAGCCATGGCCAGCACTGGCTCTCAGGAGGGCTTCCTGCAAGCTCTGTGCTCTGCCCCAGCACAGGGGCCCGGCCCGCGACAGGGACAGAAGAATCCCAGGCCCCACGAGAGACAGTGAGGAAGGCTCTGTCTGTGGGATGAAGACACAGGGAGGCAGGGATGGAGGGACTGAGATGCCACTGGGATGTGTGTGACACTTTAAGTGTGCAGGGGGGTAAGGAGTGTCTTAGGGAGAGGCCCCGAGCAACGCACGTGAGGAGAGAGCCACGTGAGGGTCTGAGAGATGTGTTCCAGGCCCAGGACACAGCCCGTGCAAAGGCCCTGAAACAGGACCACGCCTGGTGTGTTAGAAGAACAGTGAGGAGGCCATGAGGCTGAGGCAGAGGGAGGAGGGGGGGAGAGAAGAGGGAGGAGAGGGGGAAGAGGGAGGAGATGGAGAGGGAAGGGGGTAGAGGGAGGGGGAGGAAGAAGAGAGGGAGAGAGAGGAGGGGGTGGGGCAGGTCATGCGGGGTCCTGTGGGCTGCAGTGAGAACTTGGGCTTTGACCGAGGAACGTGGGAGCCCTGGAGAGCTGGGGGCAAAGGAGGGTTTTGCTGCTGTTAATAACAACGATCCATCGCCCCGCAGCCAGTCTCCTGTCCTTGTCCTTGTCTCAGGAACCCAGAGACGTCAGCAGACGCCTGCCCTCCCCGCAGCCCCGCTACCTGGTGACTCCCTCCCAAGGCCAGAGGTGACCCAGGCTTGTTCAGAACCCCGCCAGGGTCTCTCCTCCGGCCCGCACCTCCAGCCATCCCTGAACCAGGCTCCAAGAGGCTTCGCGACCACTTCAAACCGCTTGCCCAGGAAGGACTGGGTGCCCCCCACCCCCACCCCTCCACCTTCACCCAGCTGCTCCTTCCTGCTCAGACCCCAGCCCAACCAAGGGCCTGCAGAACAGGTCCCCTGTCCTCCCCCTCACACCCCCCACCCCCTAGTCAATCTGGGACTCCCCAAAGCTGCACTGGCCCCACCTCCTCCAGCTCCTCCCAACTCCCGGCTGGTCAGAGTGGCCGCCCCCTGGGGACTGGACACTGCGCGGGCCAGCATGCTGTCACCCTTGCAGCGGGCGGGCAGATGCTAGGAAGGCCTGAGCCGGGAGGTCGGGAGCTGGGGATGTTTTTAGAGAAGGCAGAAATGTTCACTTTAAACCTGGACTCAAGTGAATGCCTTGCAGGATGGAAACACGTGGTGGACTCAGCAGATGCCTCACACTCGGCTCTCACTGAGGCTACGGTTTCCAAAGAACCGCTGTCTACAGAGGCTGGCGAGGAGGGAAGCCCCAGAAAAGCCGCGCCCGGCTGCCCACCCAAAGGGTCAGGTGGGAGGGCGCTGAACTCTGAGGGCCGTGGCCCCTGCTTCTGGGCCTGAGGCTGGCCGGGACGAGTGAGCCCACAGAGGCGCCAAGGTTTCTCTGGTGTGCGCGGCCCGGTCCTCACTGGAGACCGTCTCTCCTGACTCCAGCCCACAGGCTTCGGGGTGGGGGGTGGAGCCGACCCCACCCCTAGTCCTGGGGCATCAGCCACAGCCCACATAGACCAGCATCTGCACGGCAAACGCCGGCCCTGCAGCTCTGGCCCGGGCATTGCAGGTCCTATGCTGGAACTACCGGGGGTGTCTGCTGAGGGCCGGCCCGAGAAGTCTCTCTCCCAGGGGTCAAGCCATGGAGGTTCCTGCCAGCGCTGTTTGAGCACCTGGAATCAGCTGGGCCTGAAGTCCGCCACATGGCTGGACTTTTCAGTTACTCCAGCATGAGTGGAATCGGTTGCCCACAACCCGGATTGCTCTACCAGATGTTAAAGGGTGACCGGAGAAGACGAAGCCCGGCAGCACAGCTGAGGGGAGTGCGTGGGGAGAGCTGTCAGGCCAGGCCTACCTGTGGCCCTTGATCTCAGCCACGTCAGTCATGCCCCCGACGCTGAAGCGGAAGTACTCTCGGTTCAGGGCGCGGGCGATGGAGCGAGCAATGCTGGTCTTACCCACGCCAGGGGGGCCATAGAAGCAGAGGATCTTGCCCTGGGTGGAGCCGCGGAGCTGGCTAACGGCAATGAACTCCTGCAGACAGAGGCAGGTTCAGTGGGCACGTGAGCTGGGGAAGCCGGGGACCCGCGCATGACTCTCGCCACCTGCACACTGCCTTTCAGACGTCTGAGGGCTGCGAGAAGGGACCAGGATTGTCCGGGAGGCTGAGCACATCAGAGCTGCCACTGGCCACGGGGAGGGGCAGCCTGTGACAAGGGCTCCATTTAACAATTTAACACCAAAGGACAACTAGGTGCTAGGAGACCGCGGCCACCCGGCAGTGCCAGGCCCGTTCAGCAGTTCCCGGGACCCTGAAGACCGCAAATGCTCCACTCTCTCCGGTCCAACCCAGAGAAGCAGTCCACCAATGCCTCTGGCTCCTGTTTTTTTTTTTTTTTTTTTTGAGATGGAGTCTTGCTCTGTGGCCCAGGCTAGAGTGTACTGGTGCGATCTCATCTCACTGCAACCTCAGCCTCCTGGGTTCAAGCAATTCTCCTGCCTCAGCCTCCTGAGTAGCTGGGATTACAGGTGTGAGTCACCATGCCTGGCTACTTTTTTTGTATTTTTAGTAGAGGCGAGGTTTCACCATGTTGGTCAGGCTGGTCTCGAACTCCTGACCTTGTGATCCACCCGCCTCGGCCTCCCCAAGTGCTGGGATTACAGGTGTGAGCCACCATGCCCAGGCTCTGACTCCTGTTTTTTAACCTTTGACTCCCACCTGCCTGCCTGGTTTCCAATGTCTCAGGAGTGATATTTTAAAAATTAATTTAAAATTAATTAATTTTCAGACAAGGTCTCGCTCTGTCACCCAGGCTGGAGTGTAGTGGTGCATCACAGCTCACTGCAGCCTCCACCTCCCGGGCTCAAGCAGTCCTCCCACCTCAGCCTCCCAAGTAGCTGGGACTGCAGACACGCAACATCACACCAGGCTAATTAAAAAAAATTTTTTTTCCTTTTTGAGACGGAGTTTCACTCTTGTTGCCCAGGCTGGAGTGCAATGGCACGATCTGGGCTCACTGCAACCTCTGGCTCCTGGGTTCAAGCGATTCTCCTGCCTCAGCCTCCCAAGTAGCTGGGATTACAGGCATGCGCCACCACGCCTAACTAATTTTGTATTTTTAGTATAGATGGGGTTTCTCCATGTTGGTCAGGCTGGTCTTCAACTCCCGACCTCAGGTGATCTGCATGCCTCAGCCTCCCAAAGTGCTGGGATTACAGGCATGAGCCACAGCGCCCAGCCGCAATTTTAAAATTTTTTGTAGAGATGGGGGTCTCACTCTGTCACCCAACCTGATGTGCAGTGGCATGATCACAGCTCACCACAGCCTCAACTTCCTGGGCTCAAGTGATCCTCCCGCCTCAGCCTCCTGAGTAACTGGGACTACAAGCAGCCCCACCATGCCCGGCCCGTCAGGCATGACTTCAGTCCACCTGGGAAATCCTCGAGCCCTCGGGGGCAGGGCAGGATGCTACCTCCGCCGGGATCCCCCCGACCAGCACCCCCAGGCCTACGAATTCACCAGGGGGCTCCTTTGAAATCTCAACCCACAGCACACAAGAGTCCTGGGCCCGGGCACCCACATGCAAATCCACAACAGGCCAGACACTGGGCTCACCAGGATGCGTTTCTTGACGTCCTCCATGCCGTAGTGGTCTTCCTCCAGCACTGCCTGTGCCCGCGCCAGGTCCAGGTTCTCGTTGCTGTACTTGCCCCAAGGGATGGACGTGAGCCAGTCTAGGTAGTTGCGGGTGACACTGCCAGGGGACAGATGGAGAGATGCTGAGTGGAGCTCACGAGCTGCCTGTCTCTCTGCTGGACTTGGCTGGGTGGTTGCAAGGGGCTTGAAACCCATGTGTGGGGCTGAGCGCGGTGGCTCACGCCTGTAATCCCAGCTCTTTGGGAGGCCCAGGTGGGAGGATCACTTGAGCCCAGGAGTTCAAGACCAGCCTGAGCAACTCAGCAAGACCCCATCTCTATAAAACAATTTACAGGCCAGGCACAGTGGCTCACGCCTGTAATCCCAGAATTTTGGGAGGCCGAGGCAGGCGGATCACAAGGTCAGGAGATCGAGACCATCCTGGCTAGCACGGTGAAACCCTGTCTCTACTAAAAATACAAAAAATGCTTCTGCCTCTGCCTCTGCCCTCTGCCTCTCCCCTTTCCACGGTCTCCCCTTTCCCTCTTTCCATGGTCTCCCTCTGATGCCGAGCCGAGGCTGGACTGTGTGCTGCCATCTTGGCTCACTGCAACCTCCCTGCCTGGTTCTCCTGCCTGAGCCTGCCGAGTGCCTGCGATTGCAGGCGCGCGCCGCCACGCCTGACTGGTTTTCCTATTTTTTTGGTGGAGACGGGGTTTCACTGTGTTGGCCGGGCTGGTCTCCAGGTCCTAACCGCGAGTGGTCCGCCGGCCTCGGCCTCCCGAGGTGCCGGGATTGCAGACGGAGTCTCGTTCACTCAGTGCTCAATGGTGCCCAGGCTGGAGTGCAGTGGCGTGATCTCGGCTCGCTACAACCTCCACCTCCCAGCCGCCTGCCTTAGCCTCCCAAAGTGCCGAGATTGCAGCCTCTGCCCGGCCGCCACCCTGTCTGGGAAGTGAGGAGCGTCTCTGCCTGGCCGCCCATCGTCTGGGATGTGAGGAGCCCCTCTGCCTGGCTGCCCAGTCTGGAAGGTGAGGAGCGTCTCTGCCCGGCCGCCCATCATCTGAGATGTGGGGAGCGCCTCTGCCCCGCCGCCCTGTCTGGGATATGAGGAGCGCCTCTGCCCGGCCGCGACCCCGTCTGGGAGGGGAAGAGCGTCTCTGCCCGGCAGCCCTGAGAAGTGAGGAGACCCTCTGCCTGGCAACCGACCCGTCTGAGAAGTGAGGAGCGTCTCCGCCCAGCAGCCACCCCGTCCGGGAGGGAGGTGGGGGGGTCAGCCCCCCACCCGGCCAGCCGCCCCGTCCGGGAGGTGAGGGGCGCCTCTGCCCGGCCGCCCCTACTGGGAAGTGAGGAGCCCCTCTGCCCGGCCAGCCGCCCCCTCCGGGAGGGAGGAGTGGGGGTCAGCCCCCCGCCCGGCTAGCCGCCCCGTCTGGGAGGGAGGTTGGGGGGGGGGTCAGCCCCCCACCAGGCCAGCTGCCCCATCCGGGAGGGAGGTGGAGGCGTCAGCCCCCCGCCCAGCCAGCCGCCCCGTCCGGGAGGGAGGTGGGGGGGTCAGCCCCCCGCCCGGCCAGCCGCCCCGTCCGGGAGGTGAGGGGCGCCTCTGCCCGGCCGCCCCTACTGGGAAGTGAGGAGCCCCTCTGCCTGGCCAGCCGCCCCCTCTGGGAGGGAGGAGTGGGGGTCAGCCCCCCGCCCGGCCAGCCGCCCCATCTGGGAGGTGTACCCAACAGCTCATTGAGAACGGGCCATGATGACAATGGCAGTTTTGTGGAATAGAAAAGGGGGAAAGGATTGAGAAATCGGATGGTTGCCGTGTCTGTGTAGAAAGAAGTAGACATGAGAGACTTTTCATTTTGTTCTGTACTAAGAAAAATTCTTCTGCCTTGGGATCCTGTTGATCGGTGACCTTACCCCCAACCCTGTGCTCTCTGAAACATGTGCTGTGTCCACTCAGGGTTAAATGGATTAAGGGCGGTGCAAGATGTGCTTTGTTAAACAGATGCTTGAAGGCAGCATGCTGGTTAAGAGTCATCACCACTCCCTAATCTCAAGTACCCAGGGACACAAACACTGCGGAAGGCCGCAGGGTCCTCTGCCTAGGAAAACCAGAGACCCTTGTTCACTTGTTTATCTGCTGACCCTCCCTCCACTATTGTCCTATGACCCTGCCAAATCCCCCTCTGCGAGAAACACCCAAGAATGATCAATAAAAAAAAAAAAAAAAATTAGCTGGGCGTGGCAGCGGACACCTGTAGTTCCAGCTACTCGGGAGGCTGAGGCAGGAGAATGGCATGAACCCGAGAGGCGGAGCTTGCAGTGAGCCGAGATCGTGCCACTGCACTCCAGCCTGGGCAACAGAGTGAGACTCCATCTCAAAAAAAAAAAAAAAAAAAAATTTACAAACTGCCCTGTCCAAAGCACCCAGTGCAGGAAGGAGGAGATGGCCGGAGGTCCACTGCTGACTCATCAGGAGAGCCAAGACGGCACTGGCTTCTGCCCAGGGCTGAGTGAGCAGAACCACAGAGGGGACGAGGCTTAGAAAATGGGACAAGGCCTGACCCAGGGCAGGTGGGGAAATGGAGGCCAGGTCCCCTGCCGGGAGAGTGACGCTGAAGGTTGGGAGGGCAACTCCATATTGGTCCCCAAGTTGGGAGCCGTGCAGCAGTGAGCAGCGGCCACTATGGGCCAGGAGCAAGTCAGTGAGGGCTGCAAGAGCACACGGCAGGATTGGGGAAGAGGATGAAGAGGAGGACGGCTTCCGAGGAAGGGCCAGGCGGCCCCACGAGCAGACACCGTCAGGGCGCACTGCCACCCAACGGGCATACGAGACGCACCGGGACAGGCCAGCTGGGCCACACGGATGCTGGAGTTTAGAGACACATGAAGTCACTGTGGAAGTGACACAGGCAGTGACACTTTGCGGAGAGCATTCTGGGTGGGAGAGGTAGCTGGCAGCCTGCTGCAGGCATCTTGGTGACACGCAGGTACTGAGGGCTTGTCCCCCGTGACTTCCCAGGACCTGAGGACAGAACCCGCCTTACAGACCCCCTCAGCTCCTGGGGGAAGGAGCTATCTGCTTCTGCAGGACAAGGCCCGGTCTGAGCAGGTACTTCCACCAGCCCAAGGGCAGCTGAGGCACTCGCTGGGAGACAGAAGAACCCCGAAAACATCTACGTTCTCCCCCCACAGGAGGCGGCGGCACAGGCCTCTCACATGGCAGCAGGGAACTGCAGATGGGGCTGAGTGAAGGTCCCCGAGACAGGAGAGCATTCTGGGTGACCCAGGGGGCCCAGGTTCCTCACCAGGTCCTCACGACAGGCGGTGGGAGGTGAGAGACTGACTGGAAGAGGCTGCGCTGTGGCTGTGAAGGAGGAAGGGGCCCCGAGCCGAGGGATGCGGGCGCCTCCAGATACTGGGAAAGGCAGGAAACGGATTCTCCTCTGGAGCCTCTGGGAGGGACGGGCCCGGCCCACAGCGGGATCTCAGGGCTCGGCATTGTGTAAGGCACTAAGTTGTGGCACCGTCGGAGCAGCCATGGGAGCTCACAGGCCACTCACCGAAATCGGGGCGTGCTGGGAGGGGAAGCCACAGCCTTCGCGCGCAACCAGTGCCTCTCAGGGCCCTGGGGGAGAGACTCCGGCGACCGTGACATTCAAATCTGAGGCGGGGTCCTGGGCCAGCAGCCAGGAAAGAAACTCATGCCTTCCCTCTAAGCGCTGTCCTACGGCCTGCCCAGCCCTGCCCCGGGGACTTCTGCCTAGAAGCTGCCCTGGCGTGACAACTGGTTCCTGGGCTGAAAACAGAGCATGCTGCATGGGAAGTGGCCAGGTGGGTTCTGTCCTGGCTGGACATGGGCATGGCTGAAAGGATCTCAGAGGTACCTGAGGCCCTCAAACCTGGGGCGGCCACCCTGACTCATGGCATGCTCAGGACAGTGGCCCCCGGGCAAGGCCAGTGCTGCGGGAAGGCATGGTCACTTCCTGGCTGACTCTCGAAGGGGCAACAGAAGCCAGGGGTAGCCTTGCAAAGACAGCCATGGGGACTCCTGGTCCTGGCGAGAAGGCCTGGCTTAGGCCAGGCGTGGTGGCTCATGCCTGTAATCCCAGCACTTTGGGAGGGCAAGGTGGGCGGATCCCTTGAGGTCAGGAGTTTGAGACCAACCTGGCCAACATGGCAAAACCCCATCTCTACTAAAAATACTAAAAATTAGCTGGGTGTGGTGGCACATGCCTGTAATCCCAGCTACTCAGGAAGTTGAGGCAGTAGAATCGTTTCAACCTGGGAGGTGGAGGTTGCAGTGAACCAACATTGCACCACTGTACTCCAGCCTGGACAACAGAGCAAGACTCTGTCTTAAAAAAAAAAAAAAGCCAGGCATGGTGGCTCGCGCCTGTAATCCTAGCACTTTGGCAGGTCAAGGCAGCCGGATCATTTGAGGTCAGGAGTTCGAGACCAGCCTGAACAACATGGTGAAACCCCATGTCTCCTAAAAATACAAAAAATTAACCAGGCGTGGTGGTGCATGCCTATAGTCCCAGATACTTGGGGGACTGAAGCAGGAGAATTGCTTGAACCCGCAAAGCGGAAGTTGCAGTGAGCCAAGATTGTGCCACTGCACTCCAGTCTGGACAACTGAGCGAGACTCCATTTCAAAAAAAAAAAAAAAAAAAAGCAGCCCTGGCTTAGAGCCAGGCGTCCCTGGGCTCAAATCCGTGGCACCACCTGCCAATTCACAGGCCCTGGCCACCAGCTCAACAGCCCCGAGCCTCGATTTCCTTGTAGAATGGAGATGGTGATGATGTGTCCTGCCCAGAACAGGGCTGATACTCGCTGGATGCCTCCCAGCCCGCACCTGCCACACCAAGAAGGTGCCACGGGGCTCCCCGCTGGGTCCCCTGGCCTGCCTAAGATGGGGGCTGAGGAGGGGTCACCTGAGGGCTGGGCCGCCCCGGGCCTGGCACTCACTTGAACTCCGAGGAGTGGTTGTCCAGCAGGCCCAGCTTGCTCAGCTCCTCGTCCACAACATCCATGACGTGCTTGGGGACCACGAGCTCCTTCAGGCGCTCCCGGAACTTCTCCTCGATGGCATCCTTGTCGTCCTTCTCCAGGCCCAGCTCCTTCTTGATGATCTTTAGCTGCTCCTGCAGCAGGTACTTACGGTGGGTCTGCTTGATCTTCTCCTCCACCTGTGGGGTGAGGTGCTGCCATCAGGCCCTGGCTCCGGGAAGCTGGGTGGGTGGGTGCGTCCCCAGACGAAGGGGGACCCTCTGCTCCCCCAGGACTCAGAGAGAAAAGAAACGAAACCCAGAGCACGAAGCCTTTGGTTCCTTCCATCTTCTTTTGTTTTTGAGACAGGGTCTACCTGTGTTACCCAGGCTGGAGTGCAAAGGCACCATCATAGCTCACCGTAGCCTCCACCTCCTGGGCTCAAGCGATCCTCCTGCCTTAGCCTCCTGAGTAACTGGGACCACAGGCACCTGCCACACCTGGCTCTAATTTTAAAATTTTTTGTAGAGATGGGGCCAGGCGCGGTGGCTCACGCCTGTAATCCTAGCACTTTGGGAGGCTGAAGCGGGCGGATCACTTGAGGCCAGGAGTTCAAGACCAGCCTGGCCAACATGGTGAAACCCTGTCTCTACTAAAATACAAAAATTAGCCGGTGTGGTATTGCACGCCTGTAATCCCAGCTACTCGGGAGGCTGAGGTGGGAGGATCACTTGAGCCCTGGAGGTGGAGGCTGTAGTGAGCTGAGATTGCGCCATTGCACTCCAGCCTAGGTGGCCGACTGAGACCCTGTCTTAAAGTAAAAAATTCTGAAAAATGCTACGACCGTGAGGTGACCGGCCATCAGGCAGGCTGTGATCTGCCGAAAATCATGACAGCGAGCCTCAATGGCTGGGTCTTAAGAAACAGCATCTTCACTTTTCCCAGGCTGCTTTCCAATTTCCAACACTGTCCCCAAGATTACAAAGGCAAAGGAATTCTTCCCTTAATGTTGGACGGTCCTGAGACTGCTCCACCCTGGGCTCATTACACTGGGACCAGCTTTAAGCTTCCCTGTTCAACGCGGAGAGTTCCACAGCCCAGGACGACAGAGCAGATGATGGCACGAAGCCCTCAAAACCCAGACAGGCCTTCTTGGCTTGCCCTGGCCGATGCCACCGGTCCCTCCGTGTGCTCCAGAGCCTGACTGATGTCACGTGGCCCGAGGGGAAGGCCCCCAAGAGTGGCTGCGCCTCAGCCGCGGGCTCACCTCCCGCCCCAGGCGCTGCTGCAGCTTGCTCAGTTCAAATTCCTTCTTCAGCAGGGAGAGGGCCTTGTACAGCCGCTTAGGAATCTGCCGAGACAGGGAGGACAGAAAGGATGAGCAGAAGTCGGCATCTGTGTGTGTAGGGCCGAGGTTGGGGGAAAATGCGCACCCTGAGAGATGCTGCCGGGAGGACCTGGCCATGCTGTACCCAGCACAGAGGCATGTGTGCCCTCTGCCCCAACAAATCCCGTGCTGGAAACGCATCCTACGGATACTTCACAGGCCCTCCAGCTGCGTGCATGGGGACGCGCTCAGGAGTGCTGCTCACAACAGCAAAAGACTGGCAACGCCCCGGGTACACGGCCCAGAGGATCCCACTGAACCCGCAACGGTGACTCCCAACCGAAGGCTATGAAGCCACCGAAAGGCGGATGGATGTGGACCAAGACACGCAGCGGGAAATCATCTCAAAAACAGAGCCAGGGACACACAGCTGGGTGTGGATGGTGCACGGTGGAGGGACAAGGGCAGCCAGGCATGGGGGAGCTGAGGAGGAACGGGGGCAGCCGGGCGTGGGCGGAGCATAGTGGAGGTGGGGTGCAGCCAGGCGTGGGGGGCTGTGGAGGTGACGAGCACTCACATTGGTCTCTTCCAGGACGTCCTGCAGCTCATGGGACTCGGCCCCGGTGAGCGCGGCGCCCATGTCGCTCAGGTAGATGGGGTTGTCCACCACCCGCTGGCCAGCCTGCATCATCTGCAGCACTGACTCCCTGGGGGACAAAGGGAGCTGCCTCGGTGGCCAGGGCCTCACGCTCTGCTGCAGTGCAGCCCCCAAACGGGGACCCGGTCCTCAGGGTCCCTGTCCCCTGTAGCTATGGGCACGGTCTAGGGGTGCTCGCTGGGAGCCAGCTCTGCTGCTTGTTCTCCAGAGTTCAGGGCCCACCCGTCCTGGGCTGGAAAGGCATGCAGCATCCTCACGTGCAGCCACCACGGGAGCCGTGCAGTGACCTCACCTCAGCAGTCTGCTCCCCACTCCCCCAGCCAATGCCACCAACAGCTTCCGGCCTCAGCAGAAGGGGACAAAGAAACTGGGCCTGCTGAGTCGGCCCCGGGCCTCCCACCTGCCCCATGCCCCAGTGGGCAACGGGCTCCTCCACACAGGCCACTCCTTGGGGCAGGCAAGGTTTCCTCCCAGGAGGACGCTGAGGAAGCCCCCTACCCACCCAGCTGCAGAAAGAGCTGCAGAGATGCCCCCGCCTGGCCAGCTGCCCGCACAGAGGCCCACCTGTAGAGAGGGTTCAAGGCAATGATGTCCCGGATGGTCTTCACGATCTCTGCAGTCAGGGCCTGCCAAGTATGGGGCAGGGTCGCTGGGGCCCAGCAGTGCTCCAGCAGGGGGTGGGCTGGGTGGGAGCATGGCCCTGGGAGCCCCACCCACCAGCTCCATCAACTCCCTCCCCTCCGCCAACTGGCCCTGGCCACGGACGGCCTGGGAGATGGAGGAGTGCAGTCCCTGGTGGACTCACCAGTCCCAGGGACACAGGACCAAGAGAGTCAAAACTAAAACCAAACCCTGTCTCCTTACCCCTCAGAGCCTTGTCCTTAGGATAAGCTATCTCAGGGGAAAAAAAGAGACTGTGTTTTCTTTCCTCCATTTTTTAAGAGACCAAGTCTTGGCCGGGCGTGGTGGCTCACGCCTGTAATCCAAGCACTTTGGGAGGCCGAGGCGGGTGGATCATGAGGTCAGGAGATCGAGACCCTCCTGGCTAACACAGTGAAACCCCGTCTCTACCAAAAAATACAAAAATTAGGCGGGCGTGATGGCGGGCGCCTGTAGTCCCAGCTACTCGGGAGGCTGAGGCAGGAGAATGGCGTGAACCCAGGAGATGGAGCTTGCAGTGAGCCGAGATCGCGCCACTGCACTCCAACCTGGGCGAAAGAGCGAGACTCTGTCTCAAAAAAAAAAAAAAAAAAAAAAGACCAAGTCTTGCTCTGTCACCCAGGCTGGCGTGCAGGGCTGCAATCATGACTCACTGCAGCCTTGAATTCTTGGGCTCAAGCGATCCTCCCCGCTCATTTTCCGGAGTAGCTGGGACCACGGGCATAAGCAACTGCACCTGCCTACAACCAAATTTTAATCACCTGGTCTTGGCCGGGCGCGGTGGCTCACACCTGTAACACCAACACTTTGGGAGGCAGAGTTAGGTGGGTCACTTGAGGCCAGGAGCTCAAGACCAGCCTGGCCAACACGGTGAAACCCCATCTCCACTAAAAATACCAAAAAAAAAAAAAAAATTAGCCAGGTACTTTGGTGGGTGACTGTAATCCCAGCTACTAAGGAGGCCGAGGCAGGAGAATCACTTGAACCCAGGAGGCGGAGGTTGCCATGAGCCAAGATTGCGCCAGTGCACTCCAGTCTGAGTGACAGGGTGAGACTCTGTCTCCAAAGAAACCGTAATCACCTGGTCTCTAGTCTTTGGCTTTGACGCTGAACTGTCTGAGCTGACCCTGGTAGAAGGCACCAGAACAGGCCCACTGGAGGTCCGGGGCACTTGCTTTAAGAATAAGTTCAGCTGGGCACAGTGGCTCACGCCTGTAACCCCAGCACTTTGGGATGCTAAGGCGGGCGGATCACGAGGTCAGGAGATCCAGACCATCCTGGCTAACACGGTGAAACCCCGTCTCTACTAAAAAATACACAAAAAATTAGCCGGGTGTGGTGGCGGGCACCTGTAGTCCCAGCTACTGGGGAGGCTGAGGCAGGAGAATGGTGTGAACCCGGGAGGTGGAGCTTGCGGTGAGCCGAGATCACGCCACTGCACTCCAGCCTGGGCGACAGAGGCTCCATCTCAAAAAAAAAAAAAAAAAAAAAAAAAAAGAACAAGTTCGCTGCCCCTAAGGGGTCTTGCCAGTTCTAATCACATTTGTAAGTTTGGTCGCTGTCTTCCCCCTGTTGCAAGATTCTCACAGGGAATGCCCCAATGCTGAGCTGCCCAGGACAGTGTAGCCGCTGGTGGCTGTCTGAATTTTTTTTTTTTTTTTTTGAGACAGAGTTTTGCTCTTGTTGCCCAGGCTGGAATGCAATAGTGCAATCTCGGCTCACCGCAACCTCTGCCTCCCAGGTTCAAGCAATTCTCCCGCCTCAGTAATCCCGAGTAGCTGGGATTACAGGCATAAGCCACCACACCTGGCTAATTTTTTTTTGTATTTTTAGTAGACACGGGGTTTCTCCATGTTGGTCAGGCTGGTCTCAAACTCCTGACCTCAGGTGATCCGCCCACCTCGGCCTCCCAAAGTGCTGGGATTACAGGCGTGAGCCCACCGTGCCCGGCCTGAATTTTTTTATTTTAATTTTTAGATACAGGGTCTCACTCTGTTGCCCAGGCTGGAGTGCAGTGATGCGATCACAGCTCACTGCAGCCTCAATCTCCTGGGCTCAAGCGATCCTCCCACAGGTTAGACCACTGGTGTGTGCGACCATGCCCAGGGATTTTATTTTTTTTGTGGAGACAGGGGTCTCAATATTGCCCAGGCTGGTTTTGAACTCCAGGGCTCAAGTGATCCTCCTTCCTTGGCCTCCAAAAGTGTTGGGATGACAGGCATGAGACACTGTACCCAGCCAATAAAATGTTCCATTCTGTTCCTTGGCCACAGCAGCTCTACTTCAAGTGCTCAATACTCACAGGTGGCCGGGCACAGTGGCTCACGACTATAATCCCAGCATTTTGGGAGGCTGAGGTGGGCGGATCACCCGAGGTCAGGAGTTTGAGACTAGCCCGGCCAACATGGTAAAACCTCGTCTCTACTAAAAATACAAAAATTAGCCGTGTGTGGTGGCACGTGCCTGCAATCCCAGTTACTTGGGAGGCTGAGGCATGAGAATCACTTGAACCTGGGAGGTGGAAATTGCAGTGAGCTGAGATCGTTCCATTGCACTCCAGCCTGGGTTGACAGAGCCAGACTCTGTCTCAAAAAAAGAAAGAAAAAAAAAAACCTCGCAGGGGTAGTGGGGCAGGATAGAAGTGCTGACCTCAAGAACCCAGGTGGGCCTGTGGACAGGACTTTCCACCCCTGCCAGCGCCCACAGCAGACATCACCAGTTGCTCACAGCACTTCCCCCTAGGCCCTGCAGCAGCCTGGGGAAGAGGCTGATGACACCAGGCACACAGGTAAGGAGCTGACACGCTTCAGGCCTTTGGTTAGCTTCGCTGACTGTCCCTACAGCGGGAGGGCAGGTGGCACCGCCAAGAGCCTGCCCACCTCGGAAGCTGACTCCTTGTGCCACCAGGCAGGCAGGACGGCCTAGGTTGGGGGATCAGGGTGGCCAACAGGCTGTTTCCTGTCCTGCAACCACTGGTACCAACCTCCCAGGCTTGGTGGGAAGAAGCCAGGGCTGGAAGGTGTCTTGGTAACCGCTGGAGGCTTTGGCACAGGGGACACGGGCTGGGGCTGGACCTGGGTTCCAACCCTGTCTCCTTCCTGAGCAGCTACAGGCTCCAGCGAATTTCCTGTGCCTCTCCCATCCCAGAGTCTTCCGAAGACCTCTGGGAGGAAAAGCACCCTCTATGTTCCATTAGAATTGAGTTCCAGACAGGCCAGACCCTTCCTAAGGGGCTCAGGGTGGGAGATGACTCTTCGGAGAGGCCGCAGGAACGGCTCAAGGGAGCCCGTGGGGGAGGCAGCTGTGGCCGCCCTGCGTGACGCACGGACTCACTTTCACCTCCTCCGTGACCTGGAAGTCCTCGTGGACAACGTTCTCTACCTCCACCATGAGCACCTCAGCCGGGAGCTCAGGGGTGGGCTCCATCGCCAGCTCCGCCGGGTGCCTGGCGCTCAGCTCGTCCTCCGCCTCCTTCTTGCCCCGCTTTGACTTCCTGCGGGGCTTGTGCTTGTTCTCCGCCTCCGGCTCCTCGGGCTCCACCTCCAGCTGTCTGCTGATATGGACTCTGACACGGGAGCAAGGCAGGTGTGAATCAGCCGCTGAGGCTGGGAGCTGGACCCGGCTGAGGCCTCCCTGGTGGCACAGGTGGTCCAAGGGTCCCGCTGAGCCCAGACCTCTGGAGCCACAGGGTGGCTACAGGGTCCTCAAGCTGGAGACGTGAGCCGCTTTCTCGGGGCCTCCCAACCAGTGTCCCCTCCACCCCTTAGACTCCAGCCAGATTCAGGCATTCCCTGCATCCCACGCCAATGCATCACTGTCCCCATCCTAAGTATCGTGGATAAGCTGCAGTGACAAGCCCCAGGGCCTCCTGTCGAAAACGGTGTCAGCCTGGCCGGGCACAGGCTGGTCTCCAAGACTCTGTGCCCTGGACTCAGCTCATAGCAGCTCCTTCCTGTTGTTCAGGTCTCGATTTCAAGGACACCATCGCAAAGACTGTCCCCAAGCACTTCACAAAAGCTACCCACCTCCACCTCTCACGCTGTCTGCGTCTCCCCTCAGAGCACCTGGCACCACCTGAACTCAGGGTCTCGCTCTGTTGCCCAGGCTGGAGTGCAGTGGTGTGATCATAGCTCACTGCAGCCTTTACCTCCTGGGCTCAAGCAATCCTCCTGCCTCAGCCTCCCAAGTAGCTGGGACTACAGGAACACGCCGTCACATCTAACTTTTTATTATTTTTTATAGAAACAGGGTCTTGCTGTGTTGCCCAGGCTGGTCTCAAACTCCTGGGCTTAAGCGATCCTCCCACCTCAGCCTCTTGCGTAGCTGTGACCACAGGCATGAGCCACCACATCCAGCTAATTTTTCTACATTTTTTGCAGAGATGGGATCTCGCTACGTTGCCCAGGCTGGACTCAAACTCCGGGCTCAAGCGATCCAATTGCCTTGACATCCCAAAGTGCTGGAATTCCAGGCAGGAGTCACCATGCCTGGCCCTGCAGCTCACCCCTTTCTGAGACAGGAGGGGTCCAGAGGTGACATGTCTCACTCTCACCCCCAGCTCTGGCCTCAGTGCTAGTGAGAAAGCCGCTGGGCTGACGGACAGGGCAGAGGCTGATGCTGGGGCATAAGGCATCCTGGCTGGTCTCCCGCGTGGTACTCTGCCCCCACCTCCCACTGTCCCCCGCCAGCCACCCACCTTCTGTGTCCCATGACGATCATGCGCAGCTTGTCCCCAAGGTCCTGCATCTCATGGATCTGGGCAAACGTCCCCGTGTGGTAGATTTCATCCAGGCTCTCGACCACATCCGACTCATTGCTGTGGGAGAAGAGCACAGAGGAATGTTGGAACATGGCTTTCATGCTAGGCAGGATGTCTCTGGCTGAGATGGAGGAGGGAGAGAAAAGAAACGCCCCTACCAAATGCTACTGAAAACCAAGAGCGGCCTCCTTGGCTCCCGCAGGAGCTCCAGAGCCTAGGGGAGCTTCTGCCAGGCCAGGGCTGCCCCAGTGGTCACAGGACCGGGTGGGTGGCTCCTCGCTAAGTCAGCCACAAAGACATGGTCCAGGTGGGACTTTGATGAGTCTCTTCTATGCTATCACAGAGCCTGCTTCGAATGCATGCATGGAACTCTTTTTTTCTTGAGATGGAGTTTCGCTCTTGTTGCCCAGGCTGGAGAGCAATGGTGTAATCTCAGCTCACTGCAACCTCCACTTACTAGGTTCAACCGATTCTCCTTCCTCAGCCTCCTGAGTAGCTGGGATTACAGGTACCTGCCACCACGCCTGGCTAATGTTTTGTATTTTTAGTAAAGACGAGGTTTCATCATGTCAGCCAGACTGCTTTGGAACTCCTGACCTCAGGTGATCCACATGCCTCAGCCTCCCAAAGTGCTGGGATTACAGGTGTGCGACCCCACGCCCGGCCCATGGAACTCATTTCTACATGGAGCCACATCTCCGAGCAGCTAGCTCGACTTTCAGGTAGCCTCATGGAGCATTTCATCACTAAGAGTCCCTGAAGTTAATTTCCCCCGTATCTTAACAATGCATGAAGTTTAGTACTACAAGCTGAGTTCTCAGCCCAGGCTGAAAAGGTAGCCTGCGTGGCTTCTGGCCTTTATTCTGGAGGTCTTCCCTGGTTTCCTCGGGGTCAGGGGTCAAAGGTGCAAAGTACAGAGTAGGACTTGTGGTGAGCTGGACTCTAGGGCACCGTCAACAAGGGAATGAAGGAAAAATCACACTTACCTGTCATCTCTCTTTAGAAAGACGCCGACATAAGGCTGGGCGAGACGAACTTTCCTTCTCAGCAGCTCAACCAACTTCTTATTTTTAACCTAGCATGACAATGACCCCAAAGTGAAATGCAGAGTAGATTTTTTTTTTGAGACAGAGTCTCATTCTGTTGCCCTGGCTGGAATGTAATGGCGTGATCTCAGCTCACTGCAACCTCCACCCCCACTGAGTTCAAGGGATTCTCCTGCCTCAGCCTCCTGAGTAGCTGGGATTACAGGCATGCACCACCACACCTGGCTAATTTTTTTATTTTTAGTAGAGATGGGGTTTCACCATATTGGCCAGGTTGGTCTCGAACTCCTGACCTCAGGTGATCCACCCACCTCAGCCTCCCAAAATGCCGGGATTATAGGCGTGAGCCACCAAACGCAGCACAGGGTAGCTTTTCTTTTTTTTTTTTTTTTCTGAGACGGAGTCTCGCTCTGTCACCCAGGCTGGAGTGCAGTGGCATGATCTCAGCTCACTGCAACCTCCGCCTCCCGGGATCAAGCAATTCTCTGCCTCAGCCTCCTGAGTAGCTGGGATTACAGGCGCCCGCCACCAGGTCCGGCTGATTGTTTTGTATTTTTAGTAGAGATGGGGTTTCACCATCTTGGCCAGGATGGTCTTTAACTCCTGACCTCGTGATCCACCCACCTCAGCCTCCCAAAGTGCTGGGATTATAGGCGTAAACTACCACGCCCGGCCTCCCAGGGTAGCTTTTGTAGCTGACATTTTTTGACAGCAGAGCCGCTCTAACGCTGTGTAGATTATTCTCTGGGGACATGCTGATCCGCATCCTGGATACTAATCAACATGGTTTGGGAACGCCTAAACAAAAAAAAAAAAAAAAAAAAAAAAGTGCTGGAGGCCAGGAGGCTGTGGTGGTGAATACAGTGAGCAGAACTGACCAGCTGGATTCTTCTTAGCGGTTTCCCCACTCCCAAAGGAAATTCAAAGTAGACGAATGGTCAGAACCCAGAAATTGATTTAACATCCAGCTTCAAAGGGGATGTCCAGGGCAAACTGTCTTGGTTTGAAAATCAAAACCATTCTGCTTTTATTAATGTCAGAATAAACATAAGTAATTTAAATGTGACCCACTCCAGAGATTGATAACTTCCTTTTTTTTTTTTTTTTAATAAAGTTTCAGGCTGGGCGCGGTGGCTCACGCCTGTAATCCCAGCACTTTGGGAGGCCGAGGCGGGCAGATCACAAGGTCAGGAGATCGAGACCATCCTGGCTAACACGGTGAAACCCCGTCTCTACTAAAAATACAAAAATTAGCCGGGCGTGGTGGCGGGCACCTGTAGTCCCAGCTACTCGGGAGGCTGAGGCAGGAGAATGGCGTGAACCCGGGAGGCGGAGCATGCAGTGAGCCAAGATCACGCCACTGCACTCCAGCCTGGGCGACAGAGTGAGACTCTGTCTCATAAAAAAAAAAAAAAAAAAAAAAAAAAAAAAAAAAAAGAAAGTTTCACTCTGCCACCCAGGCTGGAGTGCACTGGTGCAATCTCGGCTCACTGCAACCTCCACCTCCCAGGTTCAAGCGATTCTTCCAACTCATCCTACCACATAGCTGGGGTTACAAGCACACGCCACTGCACTCGCTAATTTTTGTATTATTAGTAGAGACGGAGTTTCGCCATGAGCCACCATGCCTGGTTCCTCCAATTTTCATTGACAGTTACTTCCTTATCACATCATATGCTGTTCATTAATGATCAAGACCCCCAGGATCACAGCACATTCTCAACGGCAGGTTCAGGGCTAATGATGTCTTCTAAGAAGCATTTGAAGGCGCAAGGAGCTCACCTGATTTCTTTCAAGCCTTTGTTAATTCACTGGACAGACCCTGATTAAAGGTAATGGCCTGGCTAGCCTGGTAATGGTAGCTCATGCCTGTAATCCCAGCACTTTGCGGGGCTGAGGTGGGAGGATCGCTTGAGCCCAGGAGTTTGAGACCAGCCTGGGTAACACAGTGAGACCCCATCTCTATTTTCTTTTTGAAGTTTTTAATTCTTTATTATATAATAAAGTTAAAATATACATATATATATATATATATATATATATATATATATATATATAGTAATGGCCCTCAAACTTTTGCAGGCACCAGGATGACCTGAAGGACTTTAAGCAGCTCACTGCTGGGCCCCACCCTTGGAGTTTTTGATTCAGTTCTAGGGTGGGTCCAAAAATCTGCATTTCAAACAAAAGAGCATCACATGATGCCGATGCTGCTGGTCCACAACCATCCTTTGAGAGCCAGTGTTTTGACTCACTCCCTAACACAGGCTCTTAACTTGTGGTCCAGAAATTCCTGACACTATAGATACATAATTTTTTTTTTTTCTGTTCCCAGAAAAAAAAAAGTCAGTAACATCTGACAGGAGGGTGTGTGACCCACTGTTATAAGTAAAATGTTTGTTTAGAGACAGAACGCTTGTACCTCTGTACTGTAAGGAAAAATTAGCATTTGGACAAAAAGTTTTCTTAGCAAGACAATTTTACTTTCTGAAGAAAGGGTGCTCCTCGCAGATGGAACAATGGCGAGAGCAGAGCACACCTGAACAAAGGAGGGAAGCAATTTTTTTTTAAGACAGAGTCTTGCTCTGTCGCCCAGGCTAGAGCGCAGTGGAGCGATCTCAGCTCACTGCAAGCTCCGCCTCCTGGGTTCACACCATTCTCCTGCCTCAGCCTCCCGAGTAGCTGGGACTACGGGCGCCCACCACCACTCCAGGCTAATTTTTTTGTATTTTTAGTAGAGACGGGGTTTCACCTTGTTAGCCAGTATGGTCTCGATCTCCTGACCTCGTGATCCGCCCACCTCAGCCTCCCAAAGTGCTGGGATTGCAGGCGTGAGCCACCGCGCCCAGCCCACGAAGTTAGTTTTTAAAAGAAACTAATACTTCTAACACTTATGATTTATTCTTTAATACCCACCAAAAATTAAGAGCCATTGTTCCTTACTCAAAAGTTGCTAATAGGAGAGAAGCTTCTAGAGCAAGTTGGCCAGACAAGTCAAGTACAAACTGAAGAGTAAATCAAGCTTTGCTAACAATTTCAGAAACATTTATTGGGTCCCAAAGAAGTTGCCTCCCAATTTCCCCTCTGCCAACAGCTGATAGCTGCATCCTTGGCATCTGCCTCCTGGCCTTGGCAGGATCCATTTTTATGATTTACAATGCATCATCAACCAGAAATACAATGAGAACCACCTGCCAGTCTCCCAAATACTATCTGCAGCCACTCATTTAACTCTCCTGGCTAGCTCCACGTGGGCCGTCTGAACTCTCTTAGAAGAATCATCTCTCTGCTCAGGCACCGGGAGCAAGGGGCATCTGTCGCTCTGCAGAACGGAGGGGACCAGGCCTGATGAACACCATCCTGGGCCCAGAAACCTGGGAGGGTAAAGAGAACTGCCAGGGGTGAAGTCAAGGATGGGAAAAAGGCCTCCGGGGCAGAGTCCTGAAATGTCAGAAGTACACCAAAGAGGAAACAGCATCACGTTATTGCTGAGGCAGGGCCTCATTCTGTTGCCCAGGCTGCAGTGCAGTGGTGACACCATGGCTCACTGCAGCCTTGATCTCCCAGTTTCAAGTGATCCTCCTGCCTCAGCCTTCCAAGTAGCTGGGAAGACAGGTGCATGCCACTGTGCCCGGCTTTTCTTTCTTTCTTTTTTTTTTTTTTTTTGTAGAGACAGGGTCTATGTTGACCATACTGGTTTCAAATTATGCTCCTGCCTCAGCCTCCCAAAGTGCTGGGATTAAACATGTGAGACACCGTGCCCAGCCCACATGGCCTCATTTAAATCCCACAACAACTCTAATAAGACACTAATATGTCCAGGTCACAGATGAGAAGAGGGAAGCCAAAGGAATAACTTGCTGAAGGTTATGGAGCTAGGATAGGACCCCACAAGGTCTTGCTCTGGGGGCCTGCATCAGTAACCAGTACTCAACATCAAGGAAAGGCCTTGGGGCCGGGCGCAGTGACTCGCACCTGCAATCCCAGCACTTTGGGAGGCTGAGGCGGGTGAATCACTTGAGGTCAGGAGTTCGAGACGAGCGTGGGCAACATGGTGAAACCCTGTCTCTTCTAAAAATAGAAAAATTAGCCAGCCACGGTGGCGGGCGCCTGTAATCCCAGCTACTCAGGGGGCTGAGGCAGGAGAATCACTTGAACCCGGGAGGCAGAGGTTGCAGTGAGCTGAAATCGCGCCACTGCACTTTAGCCTAGATGACAGAGTGCAACTTGGTCTCAAAAAAAAAAAAAAAAAAATCTTGGAGCAGCGTTGGAGAAGCTCCCTCTGTCCCCTCTCTACTGGCTGCTGCCCCTCTGAAATGGCCTTTCCCTTCCCAACAGATCCTTGAGATTTGTTTAGAAGAGTCTGGAGAGTGAGCGCAGAGGCTGACTCACTGCGTGACCTTGCTCTGCCAGTTAGGAGATAACCTTCCCATAGATGCCACTTTCCACATCAGTAGTTTTTTTTTTTAAGGGAAGGGGAGCTGGGGGAGAAGGCTTTTGGGGCCTTCCTACTGTAAAAGCTCAAGTTCCTTACACTCACTGCTTTCTCTCTATTACATCATCCTGCTCCCTCCCCACCCCCAAGGCTCTTAGTCTGAAATGATCTAATTTCTACCACCGGAATGACTTGTTCTCTACAGTATTCTCAGAACTTGCTACGTGGTAGGAGGTCAAGAACACACTGAATAACCCACCTCTTCCCACCCTCCTAAGCCTCCTGTCCCATCCATGCTCTACTATTTCTCGTAATTATTGCCTTCTAATACAATATCGTTACTAAACATCTTTATTGCCTGTCTCATCCTGCCAAAATGTAAGCTCCAAGGCAGATTTATTTTTTAAGAGACAGGGTCTCGCCATGTTGACCAGGCTGGACTCCAGGTTTCCAACAATCCTTCCACCTCAGCCGCCAGAGTAGCTGGGAGTACAGCGCGCGCCACCATGCCCAGCTTCAAAGGCAGAAATTTTTGTCTGTTTTGTTCACTGCCATATCCCCAGAACCTAGAACACTCTCTGGCAAATAATAAGCAATCAAGAAGTATTTGTCTAAGAAAGGAATGAATTCTGATCCCAGTGAGGCTCGTAACCAGACGGCAGAGCGCCTGGGGCGAGGAGGTATTACAAAACTCGTGCCAAGTAAGGAGAAAACTAACAGCGCCGTAACACTACTCAGGTCCCTCCCGGCCCCGGATTTCTATGACCGGCGTTCTAAAGTGGATAATCCTAGGCTCATCGGGTTCAACTCCTCTCATCTAACGGATCCTAAGAAATCCGAAAGGGAGAGGACTTTGGCTCAAGGTTCCCAAGCTAGTGGTGAGCAGACAAGGATTCGAACTGCACCCTTCGAGAAACTTCATGTCTGAAAAAGTTGCGAAACACAAGGGCGCTCAAGTGATCCCACGGTTCAGCCCGCTGCTTGCACAGGTGGGAAACCTGAGGCCGAGGCGGGGACTCCCATTACCTCGATAATCTTGATAAAGCGCGGGAACACCGGGTTGCGGGTGATGGCGATGAGCGGCAGGTGCGGAAACACATCGGGGATCGTCATGGGCGTGAGCGCCGTTATGACCGGGCCTTCCCCGGCGCCCGCGCTGCCCCCCGCGCCGCCGGCTCCTTCCTCCGCGCCGCCCTCGGAGGCGTCCTCGCCCCCCGAGAATGCGCCTCCGCCGCGGCTGCTCGCTTCCCAAAACCCCCGCCATTGGCCCCCAATTGCCGGGCCTCGGCCCCACAGTGCCCAAGGAGGAGAGGCGTCGCAGGTCCGCTGGCCTCGGAGCAACCACGCTCCTGCTGCAGTGGGAACCCGCCCCCCGGCGGCGGCCAGCATCGGCCGCCGCAGCACCCAGCACCGCGCCGCTCCCCACAGTCGCACGTAGCCAGTGCTCGCCGCCATAGCCCGGCCATACTGGCGGCTCACACAACTCGCGTCATTTCCGCTCGCCGCGAAACGCACGTGACGCCCGGCGCGTGCCTCGGTACCCGATGGGCGCGTGGCTCGAAACAGCCGCTTCAGGGAGCTGGGCCTACGCGGAGAAGAGGGGGCGGAGTTCGAGCATCGGATCGTCTCCGCCTCTTCCGGTCTCCCACTTTATGCGCTGAAGGCCTTTTCCGGTCACGTGGAAGGCTGTGAGCAGGCGCCAGCGCCCGTACAAAACACTGGTAGTGTTGCAAACGCAACGTTTAGGAACTCATGAGCAGCCTGTGCACATGCTTAGGCGCGCGGACAACATGCGCATGCTCAGACTCTAGACTGGCCACGGGTGGCCGGGTGCGCATACTCAGGCTCTGAGCGCACTTTGGGGTGCGCGGATTCGGGCTTCCCGGGATTCGTCTGCGCATGCTCAAGATTCAGGCGGAGCGCCGGGCTGCAGTGCGCGGAGGCCCGCTCCCGGGACTCATTGATGCGCATGCGCAGGGCTTCAGCCTGCACGTACTCGGATTGTGCAGCGACTCCCCGTGGCGGTTGAGGGGCAGTGGTGGCGGCGGAAGCCCAAGTCGATGCTGATGTTGATGCTGGTGGCGGCTGTGACCATGTGGCTCCGACCGCTGGTCACAGCTCAGCTCTGTCGGTGGGGCTGCCAGGACTCCTGGGGCTGGGGTGCTGCCGGGGGTCGGGAGGGTGCTGGTTCATCTTGGAGCCGAGGCCTGCTCCCCAACCTCACTGAGGCTCCCCTTTTACTCTTTTTAGGAATCGAACTTGACGCCTCGCTCACCCTACTCCACCCCATCCTCCCAGCCCGATATTAAGCTCTCCTACCTCTTTTTTTTTTTTTTTTTGAGACGGAGTCTCGCTCTGTCGCCCAGGCTGCAGTGCAGTGGCGCGATCTCGGCTCACTGCAAGCTCCGCCTCCCGGATTCACGCCATTCTCCTGCCTCAGCCTCCTGAGTAGCTGGGACTACAGGCGCCTGCCACCACGCCCGGCTAATTTTTTTTTGTATTTTTAGTAAAGACGGGGGTTTCACCGTATTAGCCAGGATGGTCCCGATCTCCTGACCTCGTGACCCGCCTGCCTCGGCCTCCCAAAGTGCTGGGATTACAGGCGTGAGCCACCACGCCGGGCCTAGCCCTCCCACTTCTTTTTCTTTTTGGAGCCGGAGTTTTTGCTCTGTTTCCCAGGGTGGAGTGCAGTGGCGCGATCTCTGCTCACTGCAACCCCCGCCTCCCAAAGTGCTGGGATTGCAGGCGTGAGCCACCGCGCCCAGCCTTACCCAGCACATTTTGAAATTTCAGTAAATGTTAGGTTAGTGCATACTCCAACCTGCCATGGGGACCAGTTGCTGAAACTCCGTTCCTGCCCTCAGGGAACTCCCATCTGGACTAAACTGTCACATTCAGTAGGGACCTGTGAGCTGTATTCTTAGGGTGTATGGCCTCATTTGATGTTTACAGGAAGATTCATAATGATTCCTTAACCTTATTTTATTTTATTTATTATTATTTTTTGTACAGATGGGGTCTCACTGGCTGGGTGCAGTGGCTCACGCCTGTAATCCCAACACTTTGAGAGGTAGAGGTGGGCAGATCACTCACTTGAGGTCAAGAGTTCCAGACCAGCCTGGCCAACATGATGAAACCTCGTCTCTACTAAAAATACAAAAATTAGCCAGGCTTGGTGGCAGGTGCCTGTAATCCCAGCTACTTGGGAGGCTGAGGCAGAAAAATCGCTTGAATTCAGGAGGTGGAGGTTGCAGTGAGCTGAGATCGCACTCCAGCCTGGGTGACAAAGGGAGACTCTGTCTCAAAGGAAAAAAAAAAAAAAAGAGATGGGGTCTCACTGTTTTGCCCAGGCTGGTCTTGAACTCCTAGGCTCCAGTGATCCTCCTGCCTCAGCCTCCCAAAGTGTTGGGATTACAGGCATGAGCCACCCATGCCCAGCCATACCCTTATTTTATTTTTTTGAGATGGAGTCTTGTTCTCGTCGCCCAGGCTGGAGTACAATGTCACGGTCTCGGCTCACTGCAACCTCCGCCTCCCAAGTTCAAGCAATTCTCCTGCCTCAGCCTCCAGAGTAGTTGGGATTATGGGCGCCTGCCACCACGTGCAGCTAATTTTTTGTGTTTTTAGTAGAGACAGGGTTCCACCATGTTGCCCAGGTTGGTCTCGAACTCCTGACCTCGTGATTCACTTGCCTCGGCCTCCCAACGTGCTGGGCTTACAGGCGTGTGCCACCGCGCCCGGCCAACACCCTTATTTTATAGATACGAAAGCATACTTAGGAAAGTTAAAGACACACTTGCCTAACAACACATACCTAGTAAGTGGGAGAAACATTTTCCAGTGAAATTTACTAATAGGATTTGTCTCGAGTTCTGAAAATGTGGGTTATATCCAGTTCTCTCATTTCCCCACACAGGCTCTCAAAGAATGGTCCCTGGACCAGCAGCATCAAGATCACCTGGAATTTATTATAATTGGTTAGAAATGCAGTTCCCTGGACCTACTGAGTCGGGGACTTGGCAGTGGGACCCAGCAAACGGTGGTTTATCAAGACCCCCCCCCCCGCAACCCCGGTGATTCTGATGCATATTCAAGATTGAGCACCTCTGCTGTAAACTATACCATCCTTCCAGTCACCACACACTCCCTTAAGGAGCCCCGAATACCTTGTTGCAGGACTTCATAATTTTCCTCAGCTGGGGTCTGTGAAGGAGCCTTTAGAAATTCTTGGCCGGGCGCGGGGGCTCACGCCTGTAATCCCAGCACTTTGGGAGGTGGAGGCGGGCGGATCACGAGGTCAGGAGATCGAGACCATCCTGGCTAACACGGTGAAACCTCGTCTCTACCAAAAATACAAAAAATTAGTCGGTGTGGTGGCGGGCGCTTGTAGTCCCAGCTACTCGGGAGGCTGAGGCAGGAGAATGGCGTGAACCCGGGAGGTGGAGCTTGCAGTGAGCTGAGATCGCGCCACTGCACTCCAGCCTGGGCGACGGAGCGAGATTCTGTCTCAAAAAAAAAAAAAAGAAAAAGAAAAAGAAAAAAGAAATTTTCAGAAATCATTTCTACATTTTGTGTGTACTTATGTCTGTTTCTGGGAGAGGAGTTTCATACAAATTTTATTTTTTGACGGAGGCTTGCTCTGTCGCCCAGGCTGGAGTGCAGTGTGGCAAGAGCTCAACTCACTGCAACCTCTGCCTCCAAGGTTCAAGCGATTCTAGTGCCTCAGCCCTCAGCCTCCTGAGTATCTGGGATAACAGGCGCCCGCCACCCTGCCCAGCTAATTTTTTTTTTTTTTTTTTTTTTTTGAGACGGAGTCTCGCTCTGTTGCCCAGGCTGGAGTGCAATGGCGCCATCTCGGCTCACTGCAAGCTCTGCCTTCTGGGTTCACACCATTCTCCTGCCTCAGCCTCCCGAGTAGCTGGGACTACAGGTGCCGCAACCACGCCCGGCTAATTTTTTTGTGTTTTTAGTAGAGACGGGGTTTCACCGTGTTAGCCAGGATGGTCTCGATCTCCTGACTTCGTGATCCACCCGCCTCGGCCTCCTAAAGTGCTGGGATTAACAGGCGTGAGCCACCACACCTAGCCTGTTTTGTTTTGTTTTTGTTTTTTTTTTTGAGATGGAGTTTCACTCTTGTTGCCCGGGCTGGAGTGCAATGGTGCAATCTCAGCTCACCATAACCTCCGCCTCCCGGGTTCAAGCGATTCTCCTGCCTCAGCCTCCTGAGTAGCTGGGATTACAGGCATGCGCCACCACACGCTAATTTTGTATATTACAGGCTAATTTTGTATATTTAGTAGAGACAGGGTTTCTCCGTGTTGCTCAGGCTGGTCTCGAAGTCCCAACCTCAGGTGATCCACCCGCTTTGGCCTCCCAAAGTGCTGGGATTACAGGTGTGAGCCACCGTGCCTAACTTTTTTGTATTTTTAGTAGAGACGAGATTTCACGATGTTGGCCAGGCTGATCTCGAACTCCTGACCTCAGCTGATCCACCCACCTTGACCTCCCAAAGCGCTGGGATTACAGGTGTGAGCCACCGCACCTGGCTCTAATTTTCGTATTTTCAGTAGAGATGGGGTTTCACCAAGTTGGCCAGGTTGGTCTTGAACTGCTGACCTCAAGTGATCCACCTGCCTCGGCCTCCCAAAGTGCTGGGATTAAAGACATAAGCCACCACGCCCAGCCTCATCCAATTTTCTAGGGCCTCCTATAACCCGAAAAGCATCAGGAACAGATACTTGGCTGGGCGCAGTGGCTCACGCCTGTAATCCCAACACTTCGGGAGGCCAAGGCAGGCAGATCACGAGGTCAGGAGTTCAGGACCAGCCTGGCCAATGTGGTGAAACCCTATCTCTACTAAAAATATAAAAAATTAGCTAGGTGTTGTGGCGCGCGCCTGTAATCCCAGCTACTCTGGCGGCTGAGGCAGGAGAAACACTTGAATCTGGGAGGCGGAGGTTGCAGTGAGCCAAGATCTTGCCACTGCACTCCAGCCTGGGCGACAGAGTGAGACTCCGTCCCCCCCAAAAAAGAACAGATACTTTAGGGTTAACCCTGAGTTGGCTGAGTAGGAGGATTCATGCTGAATATTCAATAAAAATTGACAGATGGTCTTTCTTGTCACTTCTAGTTCTCGCACAGTGAGGACAGGAAAAGTGTTTAATCTGATACAGGACGTTCAAGGGGTATGTGGCTCCATGCTTAAATTCATCCTTCACTTTTGTCTAAGTACAGGATCAGAGGTAACACTTCCTGGTATTTCTTGGGTGCCCGTGTTGTCAAGCATTTAAGATCATTACTTTATTCAGTCTTTACAGTTCTTTCCCCTTTGAAATAGGGATTAATCTTTCCCATTTCACTGAGAAACAAGTTTAGAGAGATCAAGTCATCTGAACAACGCCAAGAGGAAGAAGTGGGAATAGAACTAAGATGGTCTGAGTTTTTATCGAGTGTTCTGTTTACTTCTCTCTCAGATAGGAGATTTTATTTTTTGAGACAGGGTCTTGCACTGTTGCCCAGGTTGGAGTGCAGTGGCGCAATCTCGGCTCACCGCAACCTCTGCCTCCCCAGCTCAAGCGATTCTCATGCCTCACCCTCCCTAGTAGCTGGGATTATAGGTGTGTGCCACCATGCGCAGCTAATTTTTGTATTTTTGTAGAGATGAGGTTTTGCCATGTTGCCCAGGCTGGTCTCGAGCTCCTGGACTTAAGTAACCTACCTGCCTCAGCCTCCCAAAGTGCTGGGATTACAGACGTTCACCACCGTGCCCAGCCTTGATGGGAGATTTTAAAATGCATAGTAACAGTAGAAGCAAACCCTGTTACTTTGTTTACCTCATGTAATGTCACAGGAAATGTCAGTTTACTTCATGCTTAAAATGCATGAAGAAAAAATATTCTGTCAGTTCAAATTCGTTTCCTATTGACAAAATTGCATAATTTTGGCCAGGTGAGGTGGCTTATGCCTGTAATCCCAGCACTTTGGGAGGCCGAGGCGGGCGGATCCCTGAGGTCAGGAGTTCAAGACCAGCCTGGCCAATATGGTGAAACCCCGTCTCTACTAGAAATACAGAAATTAGCCAGGTACGGTGGCGCATGCCTGTAATCCCAGCTATCGGGAGGCTGAGTCAGGAGAACTGCTTGAACCCAGGAGGCAGAGGTTACAGTGAACCAAGATCGTGCCACTGCACTCCAGCCTGGGGCGACAGAGCCAAAAAAGATGCATAATTTCAAAATGGTGTCAGCATTTTGAAACAATCTTCAAGTGACTGGTTTCTAACATGTTAATATTCATCATTCTCTGGACTTTCAAATAACTAATCATCTGTAAACAAATAGTAACATGAATAGGTATGAGATGTGATATGAATAATTACCCTGTTAATTTTTTTTTTTTTTTTCCTGAGATGGAGTCTTGCTCTGTCACCCAGGCTGGAGTGCCGTGGCACAATCTTGGCTCACTGCAACCTCCTTCTCCTGGGTTTAAGCCATTCTCCTGCCTCAGCCTCCCAAGTAGCTGGGATTACAGGCGTGCGCCACCACACCCACCTAATTTTTGTATTTTTAGTAGAGACGGGGTTTCACCATGTTGGCCCTGCTGGTCTCAAACTCCCTCCTGACCTCATGATCTGCCCACCTCGGCCTCCCAAAGTGCTGGGATTACAGGGGTGAGCCACTGTGTTTGGCCTGAATTTTTTTAATTTTTAAATTATCATTTCTTTTAGGGACAGTGTATCTCTTTATTGCCCAGGATGTAGTGCAGTGCTGAGATCATAGCTCACTGCAGTCTAAAACTCCTGGGCTCAAGCCATCCTTCTGCCTCAGGCTCCCCAGTAGTTGGGACTACAGGCATGCACTACCATGCCCAGCCAATTTTTATGTTTTTTGTAGAGATGTGGTCTTGCTATGCTGCTTAGGCTGGTCTCGAACTCCTGGCCTCAAGAAATCCTCCTGCCTCAGCCTCCCAAAGTGTTGGGATTACAGACGTGAGCCACCGCACCTGGCCCACCCTGTGAATTAAAAAAACTGTTTATTTGGACATAATTATAGATTTACAGCAAGTTGCAAAAACAGTACAGGGAGGTCCCAAGCCCTTCTGCCAGCTTCCCCCAGCAGTCACATCTGACATGATCATAGTACGAGGTCAAAACAGGAAAATGACATTGGTACATTCCACCTACCTAATTCAGATTTCACCCTTTATGTTGATAATAGTGCGTATTAAAAATTATTTCTGGCCGGACGTGGTGGCTCACGCCTGTAATCCCAGCACTTTGGGAGGCCAAGGCAGGTGGATCACAAGGTCAGGAGATCGAGACCATCCTGGCTAACATGGTGAAACCCTGTCTCTACAAAAAAAATAGAAAAAACCAGCCGGGCATGGTGGCGGGCGCCTGTAGTCCCAGCTACTCGGGAGGCTGAGGCAGGAGAATGGTGTGAACCTGGGAGGCGGAGCTTGCAGTGAGCCAAGATTGTGCAACTGCACTCCAGCCTGGGCAACAGAGCGAGACTCTTGTCTCAAAAAAAAAAATTATTTCTATCAGCTGTTTATGGTTATTGATATTATTAAGATTTTGTGATTATCTCTCTAGGACCGCCTGTATTTTCATCCTACAACAACACGCTTGATTAAACATCCTTGCGAGAAAAATATAGCACTATATCTAGGGTAAGTGGCAATTTTATGTACTGTTACCTTCCTTTTAAATTAAATCTTTAGATTTGCCCCATTCATTCGTTCAACAAACAGTAAAGAAGATGGCTCTGCCGTGTGTTGCTAGTTGCTGGCCTGTAGGGAGTCCATAGTCAGGGGCTGGAATTGGAGGAAGGGAAATGAAGAGATCAGCCAGTAACTAAAACAACTGCAGTATAGTGTGGTACCACCTGTCAAAGATGCTTGGTATAAGCACTGTTGGGATGCCTCAGGAAAAAATGCCTAGGAAGTTTCCACTGGGGAGTTGATGACAAAACTGGGTTTTGAAGGATGAATAGGAGTTCACTGGGATGGTGGGAGCAACCAGATGTGTATGGGCTTAGAGCAGAGCATTCAAAGGAATAAAAACACCATGCTTAGCATGCACGTGAGTTCGTAAGGGTAGCAGGTTAGGAAACCAGGTATGTCCACCATGCCAGGATGCTTACCCTCACCCTGAGGGTAGTGGAGGATGTGGGGCTGCATGACTCCTGTTTGTATTCAAGACATCAGTCTGGCAGCATCAAAAAGGGGACTGGAGGCCAGGTGCAGTGACTCATGCCTATAGTACCAGCACTTTGGGAGGCCAAGGCAGGAGGATCGCTGGAGGATCGCTGGAAGCTAGGAATTCAAGACCAGCCTGGGAATATAGCAAGATCCCAGTATCTACAAAAAAAAAAAAAAAAATACAGAAAATTAGCTGGGGGTGGGCCAGGCGCAGTGGCTAACCTCTGTAATCCCAGCACTTTGGGAGGCCGAGGTGGGGGGATCACGAGGTCAAGAGATTGAGACCAGCCTGGCCAACATGGTGAAACCCCGTCTCTACTAAAAATACAAAAATTAGCTGGGCGTGATGGCGCCCGCCTGTAGTCCCAGCTACTCGGGAGGCTGAGGCAGGAGAATCACTTGAACCCAGGAGTCGGAGGTTGCAGTGAGCTGAGATCGCACCACTGCACTCCAGCCTGGCGACAGAGCGAGACTCTGTCTCAAAAAAAAAAAAAAAAAAGAAAAAGAAAAGAAAAGAAAGAAAAAGAAAATTAGCTGGGGGTGGCAGTGTGCACCTGTAGTCCCAGCTACTTGGGAGGCTGAGGTAGGAGGTTTACTTGAGCACAGGAGTTCGAGGGGGTACAGTGAGCCATGAGCACACCATTGTACCCCGTCTGGATGTCTGGATGACAGAGACCGTCTCTGTCATCAACAGCTCTTTTATAAATCAGCCATGACCAATTATAAAACATAATTATGGCTGGGAGGCTGAGGCAGGAGGATCACTTGAGCCCAGGAGTTGAAAACCAGCCTGGATAACATAGCAAGACCCATCTCTCTCTCTCTCTCTCTTTTTTTTTTTGAGACAGAGTCTTGTTCTGTCACCCAGGCTGCAATGCAGTGGCGCAATCTCGGCTCACTGCAACCTCCGCCTCCTGGGTTCCAGCAATTCTTCTGCCTCAGCCTCCTAAGTAGCTGGGACTACAGGTGTGCACCACCACGCCTGACTAATTTTTGTATTTTTAGTAAAGACAGAGTTTTTACCATGCTGGCCAGGCTGGTCTCGAACTCCTGACCTCAGGTGATCCACCCACCTGGGTCTCCCAAAGTGCTGGGATTACAGGCATGAGCCACCACACCTGGCCATCCATCTCTCTCTCTCTCTCTTTTTTAAAGGCTATTATGAGAAATGCCATTCATGATGGCAACAAAAACTTTAAAAGGAATAGGAATTAACTCAGTAAATCTTTTTTTTTTTGAGACAATGTTTCACTCTTGTCGCCCAGGCTGGCGTGCAGTGGCATGATCTTGGCTCACTGCAACCTCTGCCTCCCAGGTTCAGGCGATTCTCCTGCCTCAGCCTCCCAAGTAGCTGGGATTACAGGTGTGCACCACCATGCCAGGCTAATTTTTATGTGTGTTTTTAGTAGAGATGGGGTTTCAACATGTTGGCCAGGCTGGTCTCGAACTCTTGACCTCAGGTGATCTGCCTGCCTTGGCTTCCAAAGTGCTGGGATTACAGGCATGAGCCATCACACCTGGCCAACTCAGTAATTCTTTTCTGTTGAAAACCATAAAATTTACTGGGGAGTTGGGGAAGGAGATCTGGATAATGAAATGATATACCATGTTCATGGATGGCCTTTTCCTATTTAAAAGTTTCCCATATGAAGGAACAAATTGTTTATTTCTTATATACACATTCCTGGTCTAAAACTATTTACGTTAGTGGAACTAGAGCCATATAAATTATAAAACTGAAGTCCATCCTGCCACTCAATGTACATTTTATATAGTTTTATATTTGATGTATTCACACATTTAAACTATTATTTCTGGAAGTCAAACACCTGGACTGTAGAGGTTTATTTATGCAAAATAAGTAAATTATATCTAAATGACTCCTGGTTACAATACAAATTTTGTTTGAATGGAGACATTTTAGAGTACCTCTATTGTCTTTTTTCTTTCCTTGTGTGACATTATCCTAATTTAACTTATTTATTGTTTATTTCAGGAAACAAGTTTTTTTCACAATGGATAACTTTGAGACTAGTCTCCTTCCATTTACCATCCCTACATCAATGCAGGTAGTTATTTTACTGAGTGATCTGAAGGATGCTAGTATAAGTAATATTTGGGGGAAAATACAGTTCAGAAATATCAGACTGGTCTGTTTTTATTAGTTTAGAGGTTTATTTTACAATGTACCTCTTCAAGACATTAAGGGCAATTTCTAAGCCTAAAGAAGGGCTGGTTTTATTCTGCCCCTACTACCAAAATAGACTTTCTATTCCTGAAAAAGAAAAAAAGAGTGGATGTAGGTCCTCTTCCTTACATTGGTTATATTATAAATAGATAGATGGGATGGTATCTTACTTTATATGCAGTAATTTCAAGACCTCCCTTGGTCAGGTAAGTGGCTCACACCTGTAATCCCAGCACTTTGGGAGGCTGAGGCGGGCAGATCACAAGGTCAAGAGACTGAGACCATCCTGGCCAACATGGTGAAACCCCGTCTCTACTAAAAATACAAAAATTACCCGGGCGTGGTGGCACGGGCCTGTAGTCCCAGCTACTTGGGAGGCTGAGGCAGGAGAATCACTCGAACCCAGGAGGTGGAGGTTGTAGTGGCCTGAGATCGAGGCACTGCACTCCAGCCTGGGCAACAGAGGGAGACTCTGTCTTAAAAAATAATAATAAAATAAAATAAATAAATAAATAATAGATAGGTGGGATGGTATCTTACTTTACATGCAGTAATTTCAAGACTCCCTCAGTCAGGTACAGTGGCTGATGCCTGTAATCCCTGCACATTGATTGGCCAAGACAGGAGGCTCACTTGAGTCCAGGAGTTCAATACCACCAGCCTGGGCGGCTGGGCACGGTGGCTCACGCCTGTAATCCCAGCACTTTGGGAGGCCGAGGCAGGCGCATCAGGAGGTCAGGAGATTAAGACCACGGTGAAACCCTGTCTCTACTAAAAATACAAAAAAATTAGCTGGGCGTGGTGGCAGGTGCTTGTAGTCGCAGCTACTTGGGAGGCTGAGGCAGGAGAATGGCTTGAACTTGGGAGGCGGAGCTTGCAGTGAGCCGAGATCGCGCCACTGCACTCCAACCCCAGCTATTCGGGAGGCTGAGGCAGGAGAATGGCATGAACCCAGGAGGCGGAGCTTGTAGTGAGCCGTGATCGCACCACTGCACTCCAGCCTGGGTGACAGAGCGAGACTCCGTCTCAAAAAAAAAAAAAAAAAGAGCCCCCCAAATTGTCCTAAACCAAAGCACACCCTTAGTGAATATTTGAGAAATTATACCATCGACACCTATGCTAAATAAAGTTTTGGGCTGGACATGGTGGTTCACGCCTGTAACCCCAGCACTTTAAGAGGCTGAGGTGGGCAGATTGCTTGACCCTAGGAGTTCAGGACTACCCAGGGCAACACAACGAAACTCCAACTCTATATGAAATTAGCCGAGTGTGGTGGTGTGGTGGTGTGGTGGTGCGTGCCTGTTGTTCCAGCAACTCAGGAGCCTGAGGTGGGAAGATTGCTTGAGCCGGGAGCTAGAGGTTGCAGTGAGCTATGATTGTGCCACCGCACTCCAGCTTGAGTGGCAGCTTGAGACTATCTCAAAATAAATAAATAAAAATAAAGTTTTGTCAATTATCGAAAATACCAATATTTCTCCTAAAAGCGACACTTAACAGTTTTTTTTTTTTTTTTTTTTTTTTTTGAGACGGAGTCTCGCTCTGTCACCCAGGCCGGACTGCGGACTGCAGTGGCGCAATCTCGGCTCACTGCAAGCTCCGCTTCCCGGGTTCACGCCATTCTCCTGCCTCAGCCTCCCGAGTAGCTGGGACTACAGGCGCCCGCCACCGCGCCCGGCTAATTTTTTGTATTTTTAGTAGAGACGGGGTTTCACCTTGTTAGCCAGGATGGTCTCGATCTCCTGACCTCATGATCCACCCGCCTCGGCCTCCCAAAGAGCTGGGATTACAGGCGTGAGCCACCGCGCCCGGCCTACTTAACAGTTAATGCTAGTCATTCATCATTTATACTTTAGGCTTTGTCATCCAAGAAGGTTTTGTTTTGTTTTGTTTTGTTTGTTTATTTGATTTTGTGGTTTTTGTTTTTTGAGATGGAGTCTCCCTCTGTCACCCAGGCTGGAGGGCAGTGGCACGATCTCAGCTCATTGCAACCTCCACCTCCTGGGTTCAAGCGATTCTCCTGCCTCAGCCTCCTGAGTAGCTGGAATTACCCCCAAAATTAGCCACCACGCCTGGCTAATTTTTGTATTTTTTAGTAGAGACAGTGTTTCACTATGTTGGCCAGACTGGTCTCAAACTCCTGACCTCAGGTGATCCGTCTTGTTCTCCCAGAGTGCTAGGATTACAGGCATGAGCCACCACGCCCAGCTTCAGGGAAGGTTTTTATAAAGGAAGAGGAGATGGAATGAATTGAGGTATCTCAGGGCACCCAAGACCAGCTTCAACTTGGTTCTAGCTGGCCCCAAGATACACAGTTCTCAGTATCTAAGAACCAACCAACTATTGCTGGCATACATGGTGTTTTTTGTTTGTTTGTTTTTGTTTTTTTTGAGACGGAGTCTCACTCTGTCGCCTAGGCTGGAGTGCAGTGGCGTGATCTCAGCTCACTGCAACCTCCACCTCCCGAGTTCACACCATTCTCCTCCCTCAGCCTCCCGAGTAGCTGGGACTACAGGCGCCCGCCACCACGCCCGGCTAATTTTTTGTATTTTTAGTAGAGACGGGGTTTCACCATGTCAGCCAGGATGGAAAATGGTGTTTTTTGTTTTGTTTTGTTTTGTTTTGTTTTTGGTTTTTGAGACCGAGTCTCTGTCACCCAGGCTGGAGTGCAGTGGTGCAATCTCGGCTCACTGCAACCTCTGCCTCCTGGGTTCAAGCGATTCTCGTGCCTCAGACTCCTGAGTAACTGGGATTACAGGCAGGCACCACCATGCCTAGCTAATTTTTTTGTATTTTTAGTAGAGATGGGGTTTTGTTATGTTGGCCAGCTGGTATTGAACTCTTAACCTTGAGTGATCCGCCTGCCTTGGCTTCCTGAAGTGTTGGTATTACAGGCGTGAGCCACCATGCTCGGCCATAAATGTTTTTTTTCTTTTCTTTCTTTTTCTTTTTTTTTTCAAGACGGAGTTTCACCCTTGTTGCCCAAGCTGTAGTGCAATCTCGGCTCACCGCAACCTCCACCTCCTGGGTTCAAGCAATTCTCCTGTCTCAGCCTCCCGAGTAGCTGGGACTATAGGCACCTGCCACCATACTCAGCTAATTTTTGTATTTTTAATAGAGGCAGGGTTTCACCATGTTGGCCAGGCTGGTCTTGAAATCCTCACCTCAGGTGATTCACCTGCCTTGGCCTCCCAAAATGCTGGGATTATAGGTGTAAGCCACTGCGCCTGGTCTCTTTCTTTTTCTTTTTCTTTCTTTCTTTCTTTCTTTCTTTCCTTTCTTTCTTTCTTCCTTCCTTCCCTCCTTCCTTCCTTCCCTCCCTCTCTGCCTCCTTCCTTCCTTTCTTCTCCTTCCTTCCTTCCTTCCTTCCTCCTTTCTTTCTTTCTTTCTCTCTCTCTCTATTTCTTTTCTTTCTTTCTTTCCCAGAGTTTTGCTCTTGTCACCAGGCTGGAGTGACCCAGTCTCAGCTCACTGCAACCTCCACCTCCTAGGATCAAGCGATTCTCCTGCCTCAGCCTCTCAAGTAGCTCGGATTACAGGCACCTGCTGCCACAACTGGCTAATTTTCGTATTTTTAGTAGAGACGGGGTTTCACTATGTTGGCCAGGCTGGTCTCAAACTCCTGACCTCGGTGATCTACCCGCCTTGGCCTCCCAAAGTGCTGGGATTACAAGCGAGGGCCACCGCGCCCGTCCATACATTTTTTTTTTTTCAATGCATGTCTAGAAGTCTGCGTTTCTGAATCAATGTTTGAAAAGATGCTCTCATTGATATCATCCATATGATAACTTTTAGGTCGGCGTACCAGAAGTGACATCAGCACATTTTGCTGGTTCGTTATTGCTGTTAGTAGTGGATCAAAAAGTCTATATTTATGATTATGAAAATAATTCTTGGAGCATGTCTTTAGGTATGTACATTTTGTATTTTTAAATTTTGTTTGAGTGTAGTCAACATGAGAGAAGAGGGTATTAGTGTTGGAAGTATAAGCGATGCTCCTACTTGGATGTCAACCCCAGGACATTACTTTGTCCTTTCCAACCAAAATGAAAATTGGCCTGAGTCCCCATCCGTAGACTGGGAACCTAGTGTTCCCATCATGGATTGTAGTCACAAGCCACAAAAGCTACTTGGGCTTATTGAAACAAACAAGAGGCATTGGCCGGGTGCGCTGGCTCACGCCTGTGATCCCAGCAATTTGGGAGTCTGCGGTAGGCAGATCATCTGAGGTCAGGAGTTCGAGACCAGCCTGACCAACATGGCGAAACCCGGTCTCTACTAAAAATACAAAAATTAGGCTGAGTGCCGTGGCTCACGCCTGTAATCCCAGCACTTTGGGAGACTGAGGCGGGCGGATCATCTGAGGTCAGGAGTTCGAGACCAGCCTGACCAACATGGGGAAACCCCGTCCCTACTAAAAATACAAAATTAGCTGGGCGTGGTGGTGCATGCCTGTAATCCCAGCTACTCGGGAGGCTGAGGCAGGAGAATCGCTTGAACCTGGGAGGTGGAGGTTGCGGTGAGCCGAGATTGTGCCACTGCATTCCAGCCTGGGCAACAAGAGCAAAACTCTGTCTCAAAAAAAAAAAAATTAGCTGGGTGTGGTGGTGTGTGCCTGTAATCCCAGCTTACTCTGGAGCCCGAGGCAGGAGGATCCCTTGAGCCCAGGAAGTGGAGGTTGCAGTGAGCTGAGATTGGGCCACTGCACCCCAGCCTGGATGACAGAGTGAGACTCTGTCTAAAAAAAAAAAAAAATCGAGGGACATCAGCGGGTCTTGGTGATGGACTGGTGTCCGGGGAGGACCAGGGAAAACTGAGGATGACCAGTAGATGTCTGGTAACCAAGCTGGATTATGAGCATTGTCCCTCCCACACACTTCTCACGAGGGCTAGGGGACGGTAGAGAAGGTGAGCTTTATGAAGAGGGAGAAAGATGAGGACTCTGATGCAGGAGGAAAGAGGATGTGAAAAGTGAAGATGAGGCAAATGTTAGCTTTAGAAAAGAAGAGGATCGCCTGAGCCCAGGAGTTCAAGTCCACCCTAGGCAACAGAGCAGAATGCCATCTTTACAAAAAACCTTACTTTTCTTTTTCTGGAGACAGAGTCTCACTCGGTCACCCAGGCTGGAGTACAGTGGCCCAGTCTTGGCTCACTGCAACCTCTGCCTCCTGGGTTCAAGCGATTCTCCTGCCTTAGCTTCCTGAGTAGCTGGGGTCACAGGCACCCGCCACCACGCCTGGCTAATTTTTTGTTTGTTAGTTTGTTTTGAGATGGAGTTTCGCTGTTGTTGCCCAGGCTGGAGTGCGATCGCACGATCTCAGCTCATTGCACCCTCTGCCTCTCGGGTTCAAGCGATTCTCCTGCCTTACCCTCCCGAGTAGCTGGGATTACAGGCATGTGCCACCACGCCCAGCTAATTTTTTTTTTTTTTTTGACGGAGTCTCGCTCTGTCACTAGGATGGAGTGCAGTGGCACAATCTCGGCTCACTGCAACCTCCACCTCCCAGGTTCAAGTGATCCTCCTGCCTCAGCCTCCCGAGTAGCTAGGACTACAGGCGTGTGCCACCACACCCAGCTAATTTTTGTATGTTTTTAGTATAGATGGGGTTCCACCATGTTGGCCAGGATGATCTCGATCTATTTACCTCGTGATCCTGTCACCTCGGCCTCCCAAAGTGCTGGGATTACAGGCGTGAGCCACCATGCCCGGCTAATTTTTTTTTTTTTTTTTTTTGAGACGGCGTCTTGCTCTGTCACCCAGGCTGGATGGCGTGCAGTGGCGCGATCTCGGCTCACTGCAAGCTCCGCCTCCTGGGTTCATGCCATTCTTCTGCCTCAGCCTCTTGAGTAGCTGGGACTACAGGCACCTGCCACCATGCCTAGCTAATTTTTTGTATTTTTAGTAGAGATGGGGTTTCACGGTGTTAGCCAGGATGGTCTTGATCTGACCTCATGATCCGCCCGCTTCAGCCTCCCAAAGTGCTGGGATTACAGGCATAAGCCACTGTGCCCGGCCTAATTTTGTATTTTTAATAGAGACAGGGTTTCTCCATTTTGGCCAGGCTGGTCTTGAACTCCCGACCTCAGGAGATCCGCCCACCTCTGCCTCCCAAAGTGCTAGGATTACAGGTGTGAACCACCGAGTCGGGCCAACTGGGGGCAGTTCTGTCCCCCAAGAGGACACTTGGCAATGTCTGGAGACATTTTTGGTGTCAAGACTAGAGGAAGGTGCTACTGGCATTGAGTGGTGGGTAGAGATACAGATGCTAAAAAGCATCCTACAATGCATAGGAAACTCCTCGCAAGTGAGAACCATCTGCTCCCAAATTTCAGTAGTGTTGAGGCTGAGAAACCCTGTTCTGAACTTTTCTCCAGGCTGGGCGCGGTGGCTCATGCCTGTAATCCCAGCACTTTGGGAGGCCGAGGCGGGTGGATCACTCGAGGTCAGGAGTTTGAGACCAGCCTGGCCACCGTGGCGAAACTCCGTCTCTACTAAAAATGCAAAAATTAGCCAGGCATGGTGGTGGGCACCTGTAATTCCAGCTTGAGAGGCTGAGGCAGGAGAATCGTTTGAACCTGGGAGGTGGAGGTGGCAGTGAGCCACCACTGCACTCTAGCCTAGACGACAGAGATTGCACCACTGGCACTCCAGCCTGGATGACAGAGGGGGACTCTCTCTCAAATAAATAAATAAGTAAATAAATAAACTTTTCTAGGCCAGGTGTGGTGGCTCACGCCTGTAATCCCAGCACTTTGGGAGGCCGAGGTGGGTGGATGACAAGGTCAGGAGATCGAAACCATCCTGGCTAACACAGTGAAACCCTGTCTCTACTAAAAATACAAAAAATTAGCCGGGCGTGGTGGTGGGTGCCTGTAGTCCCAGCTACTCAGGAGGCTGAGGCAGGAGAATGGCATGAACCCGGGAGGTGGAGCTTGCAGTGAGCCAGGATCACGCCACTGCACTTCAGCCTGGGCGACAGAGCAAGACTCTGTCTCAAAAACAAAACAAAAAACAAAAAACTTTTCTCCAAACTTCAGGGAACTCATAAACATTTCAAAATTATATTTTCCTTTCAGGTATAAAACACCCTGTTACACATGTCTCTGGTGATAATTGTTGTTATACTGGAAGTTTGTTTTGTGTGGTAAGTATAAGTGTATAATTGTTCATTTTTTTTTGCTCTCCTCTGAACACAAATAATCATGAGTAGACATAAAGGCTGGGCGTGGTGGCTCATACCTGTAATCCCAGCACTTTGGGAGGCCGAGGCAAGAGGATTGCTGAAGCCCAGGAGTTTGAGACCAGCCTGGGCAACATAGTGAAACCCCATCTCTACAAAACAATAAAATAATTAGCTTGGTGTGGTGACATGTGCCTGTAGTCCCAGCCACAGCAGGAGGATTGCTTGAGCCCAGGAGATCGAGGCTGCAATGAGCCGTGATTACACCACTGCACTCCAGCCTGGGCAACTAGCAAGACTCTGTCAAAAAAAAAAAAAAAAAAAAAGACTGGGCATGGTGGCTCATGCCTGTAGTAATCTAGCATTTTGGGAGGCCGAGGTGGAATCACCTGAGGCCAGGAGCTCGAGACCAGCCTGGCCAACATGGCAAAACCCTGTCTCTACTAAAAATACAAAAAATTAGCCAGGCATGGTGGCGTGTGCCTGTAATCCCAGCTACTCAGGAGGCTGAGGCAGGAGAATCCCTTGAGCCTGGGAGGCGGAGGCTGCAGCGAGCTGAGATTGCACCATTGCACTCCAGCCTGGGCAACAAGAGTGAAACTCCATCTCAAAAAAAAAAAAAAGAAAAAAGATAAAGAAATAAGGACAGTGTAAGGCTTGAGACTGGGTCTCAAGAACTTGGTCAGTGTTATTTCCCATGGGCTCAGAGCACAGTTGGGAGATGGAAAAGGTTTTGGGGACGTTTTCAGATCCACCGGCTGACACTATAAATACATCCATCTATAGTTGACCTTTGAACAACGTATAGGTTAGAGGTACCACCCTCCACCCCACACAGTTGAAAATCCACAGGTAACTTTCGACTTCCCCAAAACTTAATTACTGTCCAGGCGTGGTGGTTCATGCCTGTAATCCCAGCAGTTTGGGAGGCTGAGGCGGGCAGATCACAAGGTCAGGAGTTCGAGACCAGCCTGGCCAACATAGTGAAACCCCGTCTCTACTAAAAATACAAAAAATTAGCCAGGCGTGCTGGCAGTCACCTGTAATCCCAGCTTACAAATTCGAGGCTAATATGGGCAACATGGTGAGACCTTGTCTCTACTCAAAATACAAAAAAAAAAAAAAAAAAGAAAAGAAAAAAATAGCTAGATATGGTGGTGAGCACCTATAGTCCCAGTTACTCAGGTCGCTGGGGTGGGAGGATGGCTTGAGCCCAGAAGGCGCAGGTTATAGTGAGCTGAGATCATGCCACTGCACTCGGCTGGGGCAATAGAGCCAGAACTTGTCTCGAAACAAAAACAAACCAAAAAACAAACTTAATTACTAATAGCCTACTGTTGCCTGGAAGCCTCACTAATAACATAAACAGTCTATGACTGTCACCCAGGGTAGAGTGCAGTGGCGCAATCTCGGCTCATTGCAACCTCCGCCTCCCAGGCTTCAGTGATTCCCCTGGCTCAGCCTCCTGAGTAGCTGGGACTACAGGTACACAGCACCACGCCTGGCTAATTTTTAGTACAGGTGGGGTTTCACCATGTTGGCCAGACTGGTCTCAAACTCCTGGCCTCAAGTGATCCACCTGCCTCAGCCTCCCAAAGTGCTGGGATTACAGGCGTGAGCCAACACGCCCGGCCTGTTTTTGTTTTTGTTTTTGTTTTTGTTTTTTTTAAGAGACAGGGTTTCATTATGTTGGTCAGGCTGGTCTTGAACTCCTGGCGTCAACTGATCCGCCCGCCTCAGCCTCCCAAAGTGCTGGGATTACAGTTGTGAGCCACCACGCCCAGCCTAACTTTGGTATTTTTTAGGAGAGATGGGGTTTCATTATGTTGGCCAAGCTGGTCTTGAACTCCTGGTCTCAAGTGATCTGCCTGCCTCGGCCTCCCAGAGTGCTGGGATTACAGGCGTGAGCCACCGCACCTGGCGTGTATCCACTTTTTGGCTATCAGAAACAGCCCCATCGAACAGTCACGTCCAGACATCCAGGTTTTTTTCAGTCATGAGTTTTCATTTCTCTGGGATAAACGTTCAGGAACGTACTTGCTGGCATCTTTCTTTCATTCTTTCTTTCTTTTTTTTTTTTATAGCATGTCAGTAATTTGGTTTTTGCATATTTCCGTGGAGATCAGATATCCCAGACTTATATATATTATTCAAATACTGGGGGATTCAGTTTTTGGAAGTATCACTATGACAGACAGGTATGTTAAATTTGGTAAGAATGTGAAAATAAATACATATGTACCTTGTGATTGTAGTAATTGCTGTCAATGGGTGCGTGAGGGTGTTTTCCTCTTTAAGAGTCCAACTGGGACAGGAGTGGTGGCTCATGCCTGTAATCCCAGCACTTTGGGAGGCTGAGGCAGGAGGATAGCTTGAGCCCAGGAGTTTGAGACCGGCCTGGGTGACATGGCAAGACCCCATCTCTACAAAAAATAAAAAAAATAAATAAATTAGTCAGGTGTGGTGGCGTGTGTTTTAGTCCTAGCTACTTGGAAGGCTGAGGTGGGAGGGTCACTGGAGTCTGGGAGATTGAGGCTGTGGTGACTATGATCACAGCTCTGCTCTCCAGCTTGAGTGACAGAGCGAGACCTCATCTCAAAAAAAAAAAAAAAGTCCACTGGCTGGGAGGTTAGGGAAAATTCCAGGTCAATGGAGCCAGCTCAGGAGCCTAGGAAGTTAGAGACAAAAAGTTTTAGGTCAGGCAAAATCATGGCACCATTTATGCCATTTAAGTAGTACTTATAAAAAGCTAGTGACAGGCCAGGTGCGGTGCCTCACGCATGTAATCTGAGCACTTTGGGAGGCCGAGGTGGGCAGATCACCTGAGGTTGGGAGTTCAAGACCAGCCTGACTAACATGGAGAAACCCCGTCTCTACTAAAAGTACAAAATGGGCTGGGCGTGGTGGCACATGCTTGTAATCTCAGCTACTCGGGAGGCTGAGGCAGGAGAATCGCTTGAACCCGGGAGGCAGAGGTTGCGGTGAGCCAAGATCACACCATTGCACTCCAGCCTGGGCAACAAGAGCAAAACAGTGTCTCAAAAAAATAAAATAAAATAAAATAAGCTGGGCGCAGTGGCTCACGCCTGTAATTCCAGCAATTTGGGAGGCCGAGGTGGGTGGATCACCTGAGGTCAGGAGTTCGAGACCAGCCTGACCAACATGGAGAAACCCCATCTCTACTAAAAATACAAAATTAGCTGGGCGTGGTGCCTCATGCCTGTAATCCCAGCTACCCGGGAGGCTGAGGCCGGAGAATCACTTGAACCCAGGAGGCGGAGGTTGCAGTGAGCCGAGATCGCACCAGTGCACTCCAGCCTGGGCAACAAGAGCGAAACTCCATCTCAAAATAAATAAATAAAATAAAATACAAAAACTGGCTGGGTGTATTGGCGGACGCCTGTAATCCCAGCTATCGGGAGGCTGAGGCAGGAGAATCGCTTGAACCCGGGAGGCAGAAGTTGCTTGAGCCAAGATTGCGGCACTGCACTCCAGCCTGGGCAACAGAGAAACTCCGTCTCAAAAAAAAAAAAAAAAAAAAAAAAGCTAGCGCCCAGCCGTGTAGGGACATGGTGGCTCACACTTGTAACCCCAGCACTTTGGGAGGCTGAAGCAGGTGGATCGCTTGAGTCCAGTAGTTAAATACCAGCCTGGGCAATACGGGGAAACCCTGTCTCTACCAAAAATATAACAATTAGCCGGGCATGGTGGTGCATGCCTGTAGTCTCAGCTACTTGGGAGGCTGAGGCAGGAGGATTGTTTGAGCCTGGGATGTGGAGGTTGCAGTGAGCTGAGACAACGCCATTGCACTGCAGTCTGGATGACAGAGTGAGACCCTGTCTTAAAAAAAAGAAAAGAAAAGAAAAAAGCTAATGCCCTAGTAAAGGCAACACATTAACTTATGACACACCCACATGCCCACCTGAAGATTGGTACTATCAGGTTCATCATCATGCTCACTTTACAGATGAGAAAACTGTAGCGGGTTGAACCAATGTCCCCCCAAAATTTATGTCAACCTGGAACTTCAGACTCTAACTGTCTTTGGCATTTTTGCTGCTGTAACAAAATATCTGAGACCGAGTAATTTATAAGGAACAGAAGTTTACTTGTCATGGTTCTGGAGGTTGGGAAGTCCAAGATCAAGACGCCAGCAAGGTTGTTTTCTGGTGAAGGCTGCAATCTGCTCCCAAGATGGTGCCTATGTTGGGGGGTCCTCTGGAGGGGCAAGAGCCACGTCCTCACACAGCAGAAGGCAGAAGAACCAACGAACAGTGCTCTCTTCAACGTAGAGCTCTTTTATAAGGATGCTCATCCCAAAGACCATACATTGATAGTACATTGGGGATTTCAGCATGAATTTTGGAGGGGAAACCATCATTCAAACCATAGCAGGAAACTGACTTGGAAGTAGGGCCTTTGCAGATGTAATCAGTTAAGCTAGAATGAGGTCACATTGAAATCAGGTGGCCTTCAAATCAAATGACCGCTGTCCAGGCGCGGTGCCTCAGCCTGTAATCCCAGCACTTTGGGATGCTGAAGGCGGGGGGGGGGGGGTGGTGTGGATCACTTGAGGTCAGGAGTTCAAGACCAGCCAAGCCAACTTGGTGAAACCCCGTCTCTACTGAAAAATGCAAAAATTAGCTGGGTGTGGCGGCTGGCGTGCCTGTAATCCCAGCTACTTGGGAGGCTGAGGCAGGCGAGTCACTTGAACTTGGGAGGTGGAGGAGGTTGCAGTAAGCCCAGATCGTGCCACTGCACTCCAGCCTGGGTGACAGAGTGAAACTCTGTCTCAAGGAAAAAAAAAAAGAACAAACAAAAAAAACAAAAAAGGAAACCTAGCATCACTAAAATTCCCAATTATTACTAAAATAGCGTTTGTGTGTGCGTGTGTGCGCGTGTGTACGTGTGTGAACGTGTGTGTGCGTGTGTGTATGTATGTGAACGTGTGTGCGTGTACATGTGTGCATGTGTGTACATGTGTGTGCGTGTGTGTACGTATGTGAATGTGTGTGGGTGTGCGTGTGCATGTGTGTACGTGTGTGTGCGTGTGTACGTATGTGAATGTGTGTGTGGGTGTGCGTGTGCATGTGTGTACATGTGTGTGTGTGCATGTATGTTTGTGCGTGTGGCAGTGGAATTGTTTTTATCACGGACATTTCAAGAGGAGAGGTTACCGCAGAGAATAGTTGAGCTCTCAGCACTGCTACAGCCAGGACAAGAGTCAGCCCCTATTGCTATCAATTGTATATATTGACGGCTGGGTACAGTGGCTCTCACCTGTAATCCCAGCACTTTGGGAGGCCGAGGAAGGAGGATCACTTGAGCTCAGGAGTTCAAGACCAGCCTGGGGAACATAGTGAGACCCACCCCCCACCATATCTACAAAAAATTGAAAAAGAAATGAGCTGGGAATGGTGGTAGGTACCTGTGGTCCCAGCTACTCAGGGGGCTGGAGGATTGCTTGAGCCTGGGAGACTGACGCTACAGTGGGGTGTGATCGTGCCACTGCACTCTAGCCTGGGGGACGGAGAGATATCCTGTTGCAAAAAAAGAAAAAGAAAAGAAACTGGTTGGAGTGATGGAGCAGGATCTAGAGTCCCTTCCAGGGGCAGATGGATCCCATAATTGCCTAATGGGATAGGTGGAGGGAGGGTCTTGAAGGCAGGTAGAATAATAGACCCCCAAAGGTGTCCACATCCTAATTCCTGGAACCTGTGAATATGGTTCCTGACATGGCAAAAGGAACTTTGCAGGTGGGATTAAATTAAGGATCTTGAGGCTGGGCTCGATGGCTCACGCCTGTAATCCCAGCACTTTGGGAGGACAAGGCAGGTGGATCACGAGGTCAAGAGTTCAAGACCAGCCTGGCCAAGATGGTGAAACCTCATCTCTACTAAAAATACAGAAAATTAGCCAGGTGTGGTGGCAGGCGCCTGTAATCCCAGCTACTCGGGAGGCTGAGGCAGGAGAATCGATTGAACCCAGGAGGCGGAGGTTGCAGTGAGCTGAGATCACACCATTGCACTCCAGCCTGGGCGACAAGAGTGTAACTCTGTCTCAAAAACAAACAAGGCCAGGCACTGTGGCTGATGGCTGTAATCCCAGCACTTTGGGAGGCCGAGGTGGGCGGATCACCTGAGGTCAGGAGTTTGAGACCAGCCTGGCCAACATGGCGAAACCCCGTTTCTACTAAAAAAACAGAAATTAGCCAAATATGGTGGCAGGTGCCTGTAGTCCCAGCTACTTGAGATGGGGAGGCAGGGAGGATTGCTTGAACCCAGGAGACAGAGGTTGCAGTGAGCCGAGGCTGTGCCACTGCACTCCAGCCTGGGCAACAGAGTGAGACTCCATCTCAAAAAAAGAAAAAAAGAAAAAAGATAGCAGTCTTAGTCTCTCTGTCTCTGTCTCTCTCTCTCTCTCTTCCTCTCTCTCTCTCTTCCTCTCTCTCTCTCTCTCTCTCTCTGTCTCTGTCTCTGTCTCTGTCTCTGCAAGATGTGGGAGGTAGCCAGCTGGGCTGCTATGGAAATCTGTCTCACTATCCCTAGGTGGGGCCCTTGATTCCTGTTCCAAGTCAGCTGCTAGACACTTTGCTGTCCAGCTAACAATCAGGAATGAGGACTCCCAGGCAGGAATGAAAGACTCAGGCAGCCTTCTAGCAGTCTGGGTCATATCATTTTCTCCAAACACCCAAACCAAAGCTGTCTTCTTTCAAGTTTTTGCCCCAAGTGTCACATTTCTTTTCTTTTCTTTTTTGAGACAAGGTCTCACTCTGTCACCCATGCTGGAGGGCAGTGGCATGATTGTGGCTCACTGCAACCTCTGCCTCCCGGGTTCAAGTGATTCTCCTGCCTCAGCCTCCTGAGTAGCTGGGATTACAGGCGCCTACCACCACACCCGGCTAATTTTTGTATTTTTAGTAGAGATGGGGTTTCACCATGTTGACCAGGCTGGTCTCGAACTGCTGACCTCAGGTGATCCACCCGCCTCAGCCACCCAAAGTGCTGGGATGACAGGCGTGAACCACCGCACCCAATTGAGTGCCATATTTCCACAGAGGGCATTATTTGTTTTTCTAAAAAAGACTTTCCTTCATTGTAACTTATTAGATAATCTGAAGTTAAACCGACAAACACATGTGTATTAAGATTTATTCATCTGAAGTCTTTTCTGTTTGTTTCATAGGCAGAAATCATTGGGTCTTTAGGCGGAATCTTCCACTTTTTTTCTTTGTCACAGGTTGCGATGCTTGTAGTGAATCAAGGGAAGGTAAGTAACTGCAGAGGGAAGAACTACTCAGAGGACCTTTGCCCAAGCCCAGGTTTTTGTTACAACTCGCACATTTTTAAACATTTATTTATTTATTTAATTTTTTTTTAGACAGAGTCTCGCTCTGTCAGCCAGGCCGGAGTGCAGTGGCGCAATCTCAGCTCACTGCAACCTCCACCTTTCAACTTCAAGCAATTCTCCTGCCTCAGCCTCCCGAGTAGCTGGGACTATGGGCTCGTGCCACCGCGCCTGGCTAATTTTTGTATTTTTAGTAGAGATAGGGTTTCACCATGTTGGCCAGGCTGGTCTCGAACTCCTGAGCTCAAGTGATCCACCCACCTTGGCCTCCCAAAGGCCTGGGATTACAGGTGTAAGCCACGGCGCCCGGCATCGATAATGTATTTTTGTTTAACCATTTTAAAATAGTATCTTTTCTTTTTTTATTTATGTGAGACTGATTCTCACTGTGTCACCCAGGCTGGAGTGCAGTGGTGTAATCTGGGCTCACTGCAACCTCTGCCTCCCGGGCTCAAGTGATTCTTGTGCTTCAGCCTCCTGAATAGCTGGGATTACAGGTGCCTGCCACCATGCCCAGGTAATTTTTGTATTTTCAGTAGTGACAGGGTTTCACCATATTGGCCAGGCTGGTCTCAAACTCCTGACCTCAAGTAACCCCCACCCTCCGCCGCCGCGGCCTCCCCCAGTGCTGAGATTACAGGTGTGAGCCACTGCGCCTGGCCCAATGGTACCATTTCAGTATGTAATCAATATAAACAACTCATGGATGAGATAGTTTACATTTTTCTGTACTACATCTTCAAAATGAGGCCGGGTGCAGTGGCTCACGCCTGTAATCCTAGCACTTTGGAAGTCCGAGGCGGGCAGATCATTTGGGGTCAGGAGTTTGAAACCAGCCTGGCCAAGATGGTGAAACCCCGTCTCTGCTAAAAACACAAAAAAATTAGCCCGGCACGGTGTCAGGCACCTGTAATCACAGCTACTTGGGAGGCTGAGGCAGGAGAATCACTTGGACCTGGGAGATGGAGGTGGCAGTGAGCCGAGATCGTGCCACTGCACTCCAGCCTGGGCAACAGAGCCAGACTCCACCTCAAAAATAAAATAAAATAAAATAAAATAAATCTTCAAAATGCATTGTGCATTTGACACTTAGAGTAATTCTCTATTCAGAACTAAATTTTCAATGGTTAAACTGAAATGTAACCCTAGCAAAACAATAAAGTTGTATTTAATAAAAATAAAAAAAGAAAGGCAGACTTGTGGCTTCTTTGCTTTCTTTGCTTTCCCCTGCACCTGCTAGCCAGACTCCTCTTCCCTCATTAGGACTCAGTGGGACTCCACAGTAGGGTTTGGGGAGAGGCTGAATGGTGTCTTTTTCTCCCAGGGCATGTTCAAGTACTCAGATCACCCCCTCAACCGGAGTTTCGGGCTGTCTTTTGACTATAATGGGACTCTAGACATCCTCATCGCCCCCGGCCAGAGAGGCATCCTGCTCCTATGGTTTGAGAACAGCCTGTTGTTTTCCCATAATGCAGGTGAGCCCAGGGGCCCAGGGTGGGGCTGCCGCCTGGTGGCCTCCTCCAGAGGGGCCGAGTACAGCCTGGATAAGGGGAGGGGAAGGAGCAACCCCTCGACCACTCGGTTATTTTTTCTCTTCCATGTTCAGAGTGGACCACAAGCCCATAATCATTTAGTGGATCTCTCTGCATCCTCCCTAGCTTCCTGGCTTGCAGGATACTTAGGGCCAGGTAGACAGTGACAACTGAAATAAGTGACGGTGACAAGAGTCTCCGTCATGGAGGTTTATTCCGCCAGCTTTAGGTCGCGTCTGGGAAAAACGCCAGTCAGACAACTCTGAGGCTGCTTTTCCAGAGTTCCAGGAGGCTTCGTATTTAACATTTCTTTCTCTTTTTTTTTTGAGACGGAGTCTCACTCTGTCGCCCAGGCTAGAGTGCAGTGGCGCGATCTTGGCCCACTGCAAGCTCCGCCTCCCGGGTTCACACCATTCTCTGGCTTCAGCCTCCCTAGTAGCTGGGACTACAGGCGCCCAGCACCATGCCCGGCTAATTTTTTTTTTTGTATTTTTAGTAGAGACGGGGTTTCACCGTGTTAGCCAGGATGGTCTCCATCTCCTGACCGCGTAATCCACCTGCCTCGGCCTCCCAAAGTGCTGGGATTACAGGCGTGAGCCACCACGCCCAGCCATTTCTTTAACATGTGGGAAGGCTAATGGTTGTATTCCTGGGAGACTTTAGTTCATGCACAGTAAAGTTCCTGTTTTTCTTTTTTTTTTGGAGACAGTGTCTCACTCTGTGGAGGCGGAAGCTGTGCCGAGTCCTGATTGTACTTCTGCACCCAGGCTGGAATGCAGTGGTGCAATCATGGCTCACTGCAGCCTCCACCTTCCCTGGGCTCAAACGATCCTCCCATCTCAGCCTCCCAAGTAGCTGGCTACAGGCATGTGCCACCATGCCTGGCTGATTTTTTTGTATTTTTTGTAGAGACTGGGTCCTCCTGTGTTGCCCAGGCTGGTCTCAAACTCCTGGCTTCAAGCAATCCTCCTGCCTTGGCCTCCCGAAGTCTGGATATTACAGCTCTGAGCCGCTGTACTCAACCTGTTTTATCCTCACAATGGTTTCCCTTTTTTTTTTTTTTTTTTTTTGGGACACAGTTTCACTCTGTCATCGAGACTGGAGTGCAATGGTGCAATCGTGGCTCACTGCAGCCTCCCCACCTCTCAGGCTCAAGTGATCCTCCTGCTTCAGCCTCCCAGTAACTGGGACTACAGGTGCGCCACCATGCATAACTAACTTATTTTTTGTAGAGACGGGGTTTCACCCTGTTGCCCGGGCTGGTCTCAAACTCCTGGGTTCAAGCAATCCTCTGGCCTCAGCCTCCCAAAGTTCTGGGATTACAGATGAGAGCCACCAAACCCGGCCTGTTTTATTCCTTATAGTGGTCACCTGTATTAGAAGACATTCCATTGTGTTCAAGCCCCTGGTTGACAAAAAACTCAATGGCCATCCCTCTGAGCTTGCTTATAGAGAAGATTAACGGGGATCTGGTTTTCTTTTTTCTTTTCTTTTTTTTTTTTTTTTTTTTGAGATGGAGTCTGGCTCTGTCGCCCAGGCTGGAGTACAGTGGCGCAATCTCGGCTCACTGCAACCTCCACCTCTGGGTTCAAGCAATTCTCCTGCCTCAGTCTCCCAAGTAGCTGGGATTACAGGTGCGTGCAACCATGCTCAGTTAATTTTTGTATTTTTAGTAGAGACAAGGTTTTGCCATGTTGGCCAGCCTGATCTCGAACTCCTGACTTCAAGCGATCTGCCCACCTCAGCCTCCCAAAGTACTGGGATTACAGGTGTGCACCCCCGCGCCTGGCAGAAGGGTTAGGTTTTCTTAAACCGAAGCATATTCCTTGTCATGCTTAACAAAATTGTGTTTCAGTGCTGTATTCTCCTTGATTCATTCTCCTTTGAATAGCAAACCTCTCAAAAGCTATAAGGAACATCGAAAGAGCCACTGGCCGGGTGGGTTGGGTGGTGGCAGGGGTGGCTGTGGTCCCAGTAGTAGACATCCCCTTTCCCAGGATGTACACGGGGCCTCATGCACCTGTCCTGTTACCTCCTAGGTCAGCTCGTCGACACCGTCCGGGTGAAAAAAGGAGACCAGACCTTGTTTTCTTCCATTTTTGAAGCCAAGATCACCATCCACAACATTGCTGTCAGTGCGTAGCCGACCCACTGCTAGCCAAGAAATATTTAGACCTGGCTTATTAACCGTAGGCCTGCCAGACCCAACCCAGCCAAAACACGAAATCAGCTGGGCGCGGTGGCTCATGCCTGTAATTCCAGCACTTTGGGAGGCCGAGGCGGGTGGATCACCTGAGGTCAGGAGTTCGAGACCAGCCTGGCCAACATGGTGAAACCCCCTCTCTACTAAAAATACAAAAATAAGCTGGGCGTGGTGGTGGGCGACTATAATCCCAGCTACTCAGGAGGCTGAGGCAGGAGAATCGCTGGAACCCGGGAGGTGGAGTGAGCAGTGAGCAGATCGCACCATGGCACTCCAGCCTGGGCGACACAGTGAGACTCCAAAAAAAAAAAAAAAAAAAGCTTCAACTCTGTATTTTTTTCATATTGCTTGGCATTTCCACATGAATTTTGTGATTATAACCAGAAAATAGCTGTCATATTATTCTTTTTTTTTTTTTTTTTTTTGAGATGGAGTTTCAATCTTGTTACCCAGGCTGGAGTAGTGGCGTGATCTCTGCTCAGTGTAACCTCTGCCTCCTGGGTTAAATGATTCTCCTGCCTCAGCCTCCTGAGTAGCTGGGACTACAGGCGCGCACCACCATGCCCGGCTCATTTTTGTATTTTTAGTAGAAAAAGAGGATTCACCATGTTGGCCAGGCTGGTCTCAAACTCCTGGCCTCAAGTGATCCACCCCCCTCGGCCTCTCAAAGTGTTGGAATTACAGGCGTGAGCCACTGCACCCAACCACACTTATGTTTTTGTCCACAGAAATGACCAGCATTTCAATTTTTGTTTTGTCTTGTTTTGTTTTTCCCAGCTGAAAATGAACTGGCAGTTATAACTCGGGAGGATAATTTGTATTATGGCAATCTGGGCATCGTGCCAAGTTCCATAATCAAAGTAGGTAAAAAGAAAGTGGGGTTATGGGCTGGGCACGGTGGTTCACGCCTGTCATCCCAGCACTTTGGGAGGCTGAGGTGGAAGGATCACCTGAGGTCAGGAGTTCAAGACCAGCCTTGCCAACATGGTGAAACCCTGTCTCTACTAAAAATACAAAAATTAGCCGAGCCTGGTGGTGGGCACCTGTAATTCCAGTTACACGGGAGGCTGAGGCAGGAGAATCGCTTGAGCCTGGAAGGCAGAGTAAGACTCTGTCTCAACAACAACAACGACAACAGAAAGTGGGGTTATGAATTAGTTGGTAAGGAATAATGGTCTTGTTCACAAACTTCTGAACCTTTTTTCGAAGGCTAGAAATCACTCTAGTTAGTAAAACAACAACAACAACAGCAGCTAAAAGGGGAAGAGTATTTAAAATACTATAGGTGCTGGTCTAGGCACCTTCGTGTATTACATTATTTAACCTTGACCATCATCTTAGGAAGCTCCTCATATCGTCCCTATTTGACAGATGGAAAAACTGAGGCACAGAGACCTAAGTCGTCTGTCCAGGCTCAAAGTGGTACTAAGTGGTGGTGCAGGTGTCATCTGACATCCTCTTGTGCATTATGCCTATCTAATTTTTTTTTTTTTTTTTTGAGATGGAGTCTCACTCTGTCGCCTAGCTTGGAATGCCACAGCACAATCTTGGCTCACTACAACCTCCACCTCTCAGGTTCAAGCAATTCTCCTGCCTCAGCCTCCCGAGTAGCTGGGATTACAGGCGCATGCCACCACACCAGGCTAAGTTTTGTAATTTTAGTGGAGTCAGGGTTTCACCATATTGTCCAGGCTGGTCTTCAACTCCTGACCTCAGGTGATCCACCCGCCTAGGCCTCCCAAAGTGCTGGGATTACAGTCGTGAGCCACCGCGCCCGGCCGAAACTCTGTTTCTTAAAAATAATAATAAAACTAACAAAAATTTAAAATAAAAGAATTATTTTGGCCGGGCGTGGTGGCTCACGCCTGTAATCCCAGCACCTTGGGTGGCCAAGGTGGGCGGATCACGAGTTCAGGAGATCGTGACCATCCTGGCTAACACGGTGAAACCCCGTCTCTACTAAAAAAAATACGAAAAAATTAGCCGGGCGTGGTGGCGGCACCTGTAGTCCCAGCTACTCGGGAGGCTGAGGCAGGAGAATGGCGTGAATCCAGGAGGCGGAGCTTGCAGTGAGCAGAGATCAAGCCACTGCACTCTAGCCTGGGTGACTGAGCGAGACTCTGTCTCAAAAAAAAAAAAAAAAAAAAAAAGGAATTATTTTGGCCAGGCACAGTGGCTCCTTCCTGCAATCCCAGCACTTTGGTTCCAGGAGTTCATGACCAGCATGGGCAACATAGTGAGACCCCGTCTCTACTAAAAATATGAAAATTAGCTGGGCATGGTGGTGCATGCCTGTAATCCCAGCTACTCGTGAGGCAGGAGAATGGCTTGAACCCGGGAGACGGAGGTTGCAGTGAGCCGAGATCGTGCCACTGCACTCCAGCCTGGGCGACAGAGTGAGGCTCCATCTCAAAAAAAGAAAAAAATAATAATTACCAAAGGATGAATGAAGCTGAAGAGAAGTTAGATCACAAGTTGTCCTTATGACTGTGTTTCCTCCCTCCCCCAGCCCTCTCTCCCTTCTTTCCTTTCTTCCTTCCTTTCTCTTTCTCTCTTCCTTTCTCTTTTCTTTTTCTTTCTTCCCTCTACCTTCTTTCAATCTGCATCATGGCCGGGCGTGGTGGCTCATGCCTGTAATCCCAGCACTTTTGGGAGGCCGAGGCAGGTGGATCACGAGGTCAGGAGTTCAAGACCAGCCTGATCAACATGGTGAAACTCGTCTCTACTAAAAATACAAAAATTAGCCGGGCATGGTGGTGCGACTGTGATCCCAGTGACTCAGGAGAATCGCTTGAACCCGGGAGGCGGAGGTTGCCGTGGGCTGAGATTGCGCCACTGCACTCCAGCCCAGGCGACAGAACAAGATTCCGTCTCAAAAAAAAAAAAAAAAAAAAAAAAAAAAAAAAAAAAAAAAAAAAAGGCCTGGCGCGGTGGCTCACGCCTGTAATCCCAGCACTTTCAGAGGCCGAGGCGGGCGGATCACGAGGTCAGGAGATCGACACCATCCTGGCTAACACAGTGAAACCCTGTCCCTACTAAAAAATACAAAGAAAAAAAAAATTAGCCGGGTGTGGTGGCTGCGCGTCTGTAGTCCCAGCTACTCGGGAGGCTGAGGCAGGAGAATGGCGTGAACCCGGGAGGCGGAGCTTGCAGTGAACCGAGATGGCGCCACTGCACTCCAGCCTGGGAGACAGAGTGAGACTCCATCAAAAAAAAAAAAAAAAAAAAAAAAAAAAAAAAAAAAATCTGCATCATGAAATAAAATTTAAACCTCCAGAAAAACAATTACAATGATTAGATCTCAGGAATCATTTTCTTCTTAGTTTGCAGACCAATACATCTGGTCAGAAGACGTGGCCCTGATGTTCAGGAGCCCAGGGACTCTGGAAATACTGACCCCACTGCGTGACACAGCCTTTCCAGCTTTTGATTTCCAGAAGTGCCTCGTGAATATCCAGGCGCTTCTCATGGACCCTGAACTCCACGTTGGAAAGTGCAAGGTATGTGATCCTAACTGTTTTGATCAATGTTCAATGTAGTTTTTAAAGACAAATTCAACCTGGGCATGGTGGTGCACGCCTGTAGCCCCAGTTGCTCAGGAGGCTGAGGCTGGAGGGTTGTTTGAGGCCAGGAGTTCAAGACCAGCCTGGGCAACATACACCCATTTCTAAAACAAAAAAAAATTTTTTTTTAAAGCTGGGCGTTGGCCAGGTACGGTGGGAGACTTTGGAGACTGAGTCTTTGGGAGACTGAGGCAGGTGGATCACTTGAGGTCAGGAGTTCCAGACCAGCCTGGCCAACATGGTGACACCCCATCTCTACTAAAAATACGAAAATTAGCTTGGTGTGGTGGCGGGCGCCTGTAATCCCACCTACTTCGAGTGCTGAGGCATGAGAATCTCTTTAACCTGGGAGGCAGAGGTTGCAATGAGCCGAGATCACACCACTGCACTCCAGCCTGGGTGACAGAGCGAGACTTCGTCTCAAATAATAAATAAATAAATAAATAAGTTGGGCATGGTGGTGTGTACTCTCAGTTACTTGGGAGGCTGAGGTGTGGGGATCACTTGAGCCCAGGAGTTCGAGGCTGCAGTGAGCTATGATGGAGTCACTGCACTCCAGCCTGGGTGACAAAATGAGATCCTCGTTTCTAAAACACTAATTTAAAAAAAGAGAAATTAACAAAATAAGAGACAACAAGATAGTATTCGTCACCAATAAGAGATCAATCACATCACCCATTGACCACTGCCAACACGATCAAACTCAATCTCATGAGGCAAGCATCAATCCAGCTGCAAATTTGCCAGAAATACAAAAGACAGAGGAATGGGTTCACCTGCACCAGGGAAATCCAGATTTTGAGAAATGCTGCGGGCCCAACAGCGTGGGGACTTCCAAAATCCATGGAAAGGAAAAGGGGGCCGGGCGTGGTGGCTCATTCCTGTAATCCTAACACTTTGGGAGGCCGAGGCGGGCGGATCACCTGAGGTCAGGGGTTCGAGAGCAGCCTGGCCAACATGGCGAAACCCCGTCTCTACTAAAAATACAAAAATTAGATGGGCGTGCTGGCACATGCTTGTAATCCCAGCTACTCAGGAGGCTGAGGCAGGAGAATCGCTTGAACCTGGGAGGCAGAGGTTGCAGTGAGCCGAAACCAAGCCACTGCACTCCAGCCTGGGTGATGGAGTGAGACTCCATGTCAAAAAAAAAAAAAAAAAGTAGATTTTGTAGAGACAGGAGTCTCCCTGTGTGGTCCAGGTTGGTCTCAAACCCCTGAACTTAAGTGATTCTCTACCCCTCAGGATTACAGGTGTGAGCCACTAAACCCAGCCAACAAACCTGTAGATTGAAAGAGGATTAAAAGACATACCTGTGTTGGGAAACGGGCAAGACTGAGTGATGATCTTCAGATGCATACTAGGGCAGCTCTACTCTAAAGAAACAGAAAGAGGGGGCGGGCGCGGTGGCTCACGCCTGTAATCCCAGCGCTTTGGGAGGCTAAGGTGGGTGGATCACAAGGTCAGGAGATCGAGACCTTCCTGGCTAACAGTGAAACCCCATCTCTACCAAAAATACAAAAAAAAAATTAGCTGGGCGTGGTGGTGGGCGCCTATAGTCTCAGCTACTTGGGAGACTGAGGCAGGAGAATGGCATGAACCCCGGAGGCAGAGCTTGCAGTGAGCCGAGATTACGCCACTGCACCCCAACCTGGGCGACAGAGCCAGACTCTGTCTCAAAAAAAAAAAAAGAAACAGAAAGAGGTCAGGCGCAGTGGCTCACAACTGTAACCTCAAGCACTTTGGGAGGCCGAGATGGGAGGATCACTTGTGCCCAGGAATTTGGGACCAGCGTGGCAACATAGTAAGCCCTTGTCTCTATTAAAAAAAAAAAATTGAATTAGCCGGGCATGGTGGTGCACGCCTGTAGTCCTGGCTACTTGGGAGGCTGAGGGAAGAGGATTGCTTGATCCTGGGAGGTCAAGGCTGCAGTGAGCCATGATCAAACCACTGCACTCCAGCCTGGGCGACAGAGCGAGACCCTGTCTCAAAAAAAAAAGAAAGGAACAGAAAGAAGCAATTACTGCGCATGTCAGGGTTGGGGAATACTTCTGGAGAGGAGGGAGGGGCTGGCATTGTGCCCATCTCGAGACCCTTCTGGAAATACAGAGTCTAGTGGGGAAGACAGAGGCACAAGTGGAGATTCAGGCTGCAGGACCAGGAGGGTCCCTTCCTCCTTCCCACCTCCTTGCCCTTTCTTTATGGGAACAGGAGCATGATTATCTTTCTTCTTCGCCTTTTTAACTAGATAGAGTTTCTGACAGGAGAATTTATATACAGGATGTATACCATTGACATGCACAGCCAGCTGGAATTGACTGCTTCGTTGATACCCCAGCCAGGCACATCCCTGATTCCTCTGGTAAGTACATCTTAATGTTTCTGCTATCTGGGATTCTCAGCCACATGCCTGGTGCCCACTCCCAGATTCTGGAAATCCCCTGGCATCCCCCACAAGGAGAGACGCTACTCGCACACTCACAATTCTGCATAGAAATTGTCTCTGTGTCTTTTTTTTTTTTTTTTTTTTTTTGAGACAGAACCTCGCTCTGTCCATTAGGCTGGAGTGCAGTGGCGTGATCTCGGCTCACTGCAGCCTCCACCTCCTGGGCTCAAGCAATTCTCCTGCCTCAGCCTCCCGAGTAGCTGGGATTACCAGCATGTGCCACCACGCCTGGCTAATTTTGTATTTTTAGTGGAGACGGGGTTCCCCCATGTTGGTCAGGCTGGTCTTGAACTCCTGGTCTCAAGTGATCTGCTCACCTCGGACTCCCAAAATGTTGGGGTTACAGGCATGAGCCACCATGCCCAGCCATTTCTATGTGTCTTCCCCCTCGACGTGCCTCTGCATGTCTGGGCGTGATGAGGCTGTGGCTGTCCAGCTGGCCGCCTGGCCGCCCTTGTGCTGTCTCTGTGCCTCCTCCATCCTTCTGAGCTGCCCATACATTCATTTTCTTCTTCTTCTTTTTTTTTTTTTTTGAGACAGAGTTTTGCTCTGTCGCCCAGGCTGGAGTGCAATGGCACGATCTCGGCTCACTGTAACCTCTGCCTCCCGGGTTCAAGCCATTCTCCTGCCTCAGCCTCCCAAGTAGCTGGGATTACAGGTGCCTGCCATCATGCCTGGCTAAGTTTTGTATTTTTAGTAAGATGGGGTTTTGCCATGTTGGTCAGACTGGTCTTGAACTCCTGACCTCAGGTGATCCACCCACCTCGGACTCCCAAAGTGCTGGGATTACAGGCGTGAGCCACCATGCTGGCCTCATTTTCTTAACTCAGCCTGAGTTGGCTTCTCTTGCTAGCAGCTAAGAGCCCTGACCCCTATGGCCTTCCCCCACCCAGCAGGAAGTGTTTGGATGTTTCTCGATCCAAAATCCAAGTGTCTAAGCCTAGGCATTAGCTGCAAGTACAGATGGTCCCACAATTTTTTGACTTTACAATGGCACAAAACCGATTATACTCAGACTATTGAGTATTATACTCAATATATTATACTCAAAATATTGAGTATACAAAAACTATTATACTCAATAGAAACTGTATTTCCAGTACTGATACAGCCTTTCTGTTTTTCACTATTAGTATAGTATTCAATAAATTACATGAGGGCCGGGCGCGGTGGCTCCCGCCCGTAATTTCAGTACTTCAGGAGGCTGAGGTGGGAAGATCGCTTGAACCCAGGAGCTCGAGACTAGCCTGGGCAACATAGTGAGACTCCATCTGTACAAAAAACATAAAAATTATTAGCCGGGTGTGGTGGCGCATGCCTGTAATCCCAGCTACTGGAGAGGCTGAGGCAGGAGAATCTCTTGAACCCAGGAGGCGGAGGTTGCGGTGAGCCAAGATCGTGCCATTGCACTCCAGCCTGGGCAACAAGAGCGAGACTCTGTCTCAATAAATAAATAAATAAATAAATAAAAATAAATTAAAAAAATAAAAATTAGCCAGGTGTAGTGGCATGCACCTGTAGTCCCAGCTACTTGGGGCTAAGGCAGGAGGCTGAGGCAGGAGGATCACTTGAGCCCAGGAGGTTGAGGCTGCAGTGAGCTATACTCATGCCATTGCACTCCAGCCTGGGTAACAGAGTAAAACCTCATCTCTTAAAAAATAAAAAAATTGTCCAGGCGCGGTGGCTCACGCCTGTAATCCCAGCACTTTGGGAGGCCAAGGCGGGCAGATTGCCTGAGGCCAGGAGTTCAAGATCAGCCTGGCCAACATAGTGAAACCCCATTTCTACTAAAAATACAAAAATTAGCCGGGTGTGGTGGCACATGCCTGTAATCCCCGCTACTCAGGAGGCTGACGTGGGAGAATCACTTGAATCTGGGAGGTGGAGGTTGCAGTGAGCTGAGACCATGCCACTGCACTCTAGCCTGGGTGACAGAGTGAGACTCCCTCTCAAAGAAAAAAAAAAATTAAATAAATAAATAAAAATAAAAAATTTAAAAGTAGGTAAATTATTGCTTCATGAGGACAGAGTTTCCATTTGGGACTATGCGAAAGTTTTGGAAACAGATGGCAGTGATGGTTGCACGATATTGTGAATCTACCGAAAGCCACTGAATTATACACTAAAGGTGGGTAAATTCATCCACATGTATTATCTATTTGTACAAACATTCAGGAAAGCTGGACCCCTGAAATGTCAACATCGTGATCCAAGGGGTGGAAGGGCGAGTGGGTTTTGTTCTCCTTTTAGTATTGCTTGGTTTATTCTCAATTTAAAGTAGGCTGGGCTAACTTCCAATGCTTGGTAGGTTAGGTATATTAAATGCATTTTCAGGCCAGGCACGGTGGCTCACACCTGTAATCCCAGCACTTTGGGAGGCCGAGGTGGGGGGATTGCCTAAGCTCGGGAGTTTGAGACCAGCCTGTGCAACATGGTGAAACCTCGTCTCTACTAAAAACACAAAAATTAGCTGGGTGTGGTAGCGTGCTTGGAATCCCAGCTACTCGGGAGGCTGACACATGAGAATCGCTTGAACCCAGGAGGCAGAGGTTGCAGTGAGCCAAGATCTCACCACTGCACTGCAGCCTGGGTGACAGAGCAAGACTCTGCCTCCAAAAAAAATAAAAATAAATAAATAGGCCAGGTGCGGTGGCTCACGCCTGTAATCCCAGCACTTTAGGAGGCCGACACAGGCATATCATATGAAGTCAGGAGTTCCAGACCAGCCTGGCCAATATGGTGAAACCCCATCTCTGCTAAAAATACAAAAATTAGCTGGGTGTGTTGGCGCATGCCTGTAATCCCAACTACTTGGGAGGCTGAAGTAAGAGAATCACTGGAACCCAGGAGGCAGAGGTTGCAGTGAGCTGAGTTTGCAGGACTGCACTCCAGCCTGGGTGACAGAGTGAGACTCCATCTCAAAAATAAAGAAAGAAAGAAAATAATAAATAAATGCATTTTCAACTTCTTTTTTTTTTTTTTTTTGAGACGGAATCTTGCTCTTGTTACCCAGGCGGGAGTACAATGGCGTGATCTCAGCTCACCGCAACTTTTGCCTCCTGGGTTCAAGCGATTCTCTTGCCTCGGGCTCCCGAGTAGCTGGGATTACAGGCATGCACCACCATGCCTGGCTAATTTTGTATTTTTAGTAGAGATGGGGTTTCTCCATGTTGGTCAGGCTGGTCTCAAACTCCCGACCTCAGGTGATCCACCTGCCTCGGCCTCCCAAAGTGCTGGAAGTACAGGCGTGAGCCACCGCGCCTGGCCAAATTTTTTTTTTTTTTTTTTTTTTGTAGAGACAGGATCTCTCTGTGTTGCCCAGGCTCGTCTTGAACTCCTGGGCTCAAGCAGTCTTCTCACCTTGGTCTCCCAAAGTGCTGGGATTACAGATATGAGCCACTACACCCAGCCCTGATTTTTCATTTGAAGGTGTGCTGGGCTCACTGTGGGGGTTTGTCACCCCGTCCTGCCTGCTGGCTCCGTACAGCCTGAGCTTCTCTCCCCCACTCCCAGGTGATGGTGAGCAACCCCCACTCCCTGGGGTTCCAGGCCACCTTCTACGAGAACGGTTACACATCAGATGGGAACACCAAGTACAAACTGGTGAGCCGCGTCCCCACCAAACCCTGTCGCCTGTCCCTTGAGAGGCCCCCTCTTCCTCCTTCCCTTATCAGCATAAAAATTTAGGAGTTTCCAGGGTACATAGCCCGTGGCCGTGCCCCGCGGTGGGAAGATGATCAGGCAGCCGTCAACCACACGCTTGACCTCATTAAAGTGTCACACGGGAGAGACCCGGATGGCATGACAGGGAGGAGCCTAACCCAGCCCGGGGAGGGTAGCCGGAGATCTGAGTTAGTTGGGTAAACTGAGGCATGAGGATTGCGTGGGGGCAGTTTCCACAGGGCAGGGGCCTGACCAGGTGCAAGTTGGTGACAGCAAACTCCTTTAACCAGGCTCGTCACATCACATCCAGGTGAGTGAGAAAACAGTCACTCCTCACTGTGGGTCCCCAGAACTCAGGGAGCAAGGGAATAGGAGCCATCATATTGGGGCCGTTGTTTCTGTGAGCTTCCAGAAGCCTTTCACAGGCGGTGGGACTAGAACAGAGCAGGGCTTGGCTGGGCGCAGTGGCTCACGCCTGGAATCCCAGCACTTTGAGAGGCCAAGGTGGGTGGATCACTTGAGGTCAGGAGTTTGAGACCAGCCTGGCCAACATGGTGAAACCCCGTCTCTACTAAAAATACAAAAAAAAAAAAAAAAAAAATTAGCCGGGTGTGGTGGCGGGCACCTGTAGTCCCAGCTACTCGGGAGGCTGAGGCAGGAGAATGGCGTGAACCCAGGAGGCAGAGCTGGCAGTGAGCCGAGATCGTGTCACTGCACTCCAGCCTGGGCGACAGAGCGAGACTCAGTCTTAAAAAAAAAAGAGAAGAAAAAAAAGGCAAACATTAGCCAGGCATGGTAACGCTCACCTGTAGTTCCAGCTACTTGGGAGGATGAGGCAGGAGAATCACTTGAACCAGGGAGGTGGAGGTTGCAGTGAGCCAAGATCGTGCTAATGCACTCCAGCCTGGGCAACAGAGAGAGACTCCATCTCAAAAAAAAAAAAAAAAAAAAAAAGGAACAGAGTGGGGCTAAGCGGCTTCCAGGTTCGTCCCCCCATGTCCCCTCCAACACCCCATCTCTCCCAATGTCCTGAGTTGGGGATGCCCATGGTGTTCCACGGATACACTTGGGATTTTCTCTCTTGACCCCACAGGATATTTTCCTAAAACAGCAGCAGCACTGGGGCAGGACCGACTCCAACTTCACTTCCAGGTATGTTGTCTCCTGGGAGAGGCGGGGACTGGGCTGCCTACAGGGGTTTCCTTAGCAGGAGCGAAGAGAAGCAGGTCTGAGATCAGACCCCCAGCTCCAGAACAGTAAAACAAGGCGATTACAACACTTTACAAGAGCTGGGCGCGGTGGCTCACGCCTGCAATCCCAGTACTTTGGGAGGCAGAGGTGGGTGGATCACCTGAGGTCAGGAGTTCGAAACCAGCCTAGCCAACACGGTGAAACCCCGTCTCTACTAAAAAATAAAAAAAAATTAGCTAGGCGTAGTGGCAGGCACCTGTAATTTCAGCTACTCGGGAGGCTGAGGCAGGAGAATTGCTTGAATCCAGGAGGCAGAGGGTGCAGTGAGCCGAGATCGTGCCATTGCACTGTAGCCTGGGCGACAAACATGAAACTCCAGCTCCAAAAAAAAAAAAAAAAAAAGCAAAAATAAGCCAAGTGTAGTGGCGGGCGCCTATAATCCCAGCTACTCAGGGAGATATTTGCACACCTGTGCTCACAGCAGCGTGATTCACAACAGTCAAAAGGCAAAAATCAACCCACCGGTCCATCACCAGATGAAAGGATGAACACAGCGTGGTCCATCCGCACATCGCAATATGACTCAGACTTAAGAAGGAAGGGAGTCCCGGGCCGGGCGCGGTGGCTCACACCTGTAATCCCAGCACTCTGGGAGGTCAAGGCGGGCAGATCACCTGAGGTCAGGAGTTCGAGACCAGCCTGGCCAACATGGTGAAACCCCCATCTCTACTAAAAATACAAAAATTAGCCGGGCATGGTGGTATGCGCCTGTAATCCCAGGTATTCAGGAGGCTTTGGCAGAATTGCTTGAACCCAGGAGGTGGAGCTTGCAGTGAGCCGAGATTGTGGCACTGCACTCCAGCCTGGGTGACAGAGTGAGACTCCATCTCAAAAAAAAAAAAAAAAAAAAAAAAGGCCGGGGGCTGTGGCCCACAACACTTTGGGAGGCTGAGGCAGGTGGAATCCCAACACTGTGGGAGGCTGAGGCGGACAGCTCACAAGGTCAAGAGATCGAGACCAGCCTGGCCAACATGGTGAAACTCTGTCTCTACTAAAAATACAAAAATTAGCCAGGCATGGTGACAGGCGCCTGTAGTCTCAGCTACTCGGGAGGCTGAGGCAGGAGAATCGCTTGAACCCGGGAGGCAGAGGTTTCAGTGAGCCGAGATTGCGCCACTGAACTCCATGCTAGGTGATAGAGCAAAACTCGTTCTCAAAAAAAAAAAAAAGTAAGGGAATCCTGACGCAAGATACAGGCTAGATTGGATGCACCTTGAGGACAACATGCTCAGTGCAATAAGCCGGATACAAAAGGACAAATCCTGTGTGATTCCACTCCTAGGAGGACCCTAGAGTGGTCTGAGTCACAGAGACAGGAAGTAGGATGGGGGGTGCCAGGGGCTGGGGAGGGGGATGGGGAGTGAGTGTTTCATGAGGACCAAGTTTCAGTTGGGGAAGATGAGAAACTTCTGGAGATGGATGGTGGTGATGGTTGCACAACTCTGTGAATGTAGTTAATATTGATGAATGGTGCACTTAAAATGGTTAAGATGGAAAATTTGGGGCCCGGTGTGACGGCTCACGCCTATAATCACAGCAACTCAGGAGATCCATAGCAACTCAGGAGACTGAGGCAGGAGGATTGCTTGAGCTCAGGAGTTTCAGGTTGTAGTAAGTTATGGGCATGACAATGTACTCCAGCCTGGGCAATAGAGCAAGACCCTGACCCTGGGCGACAGAGCGAGACCCCCATCTCAAAAAAAAAAAAAATTTCTGAATGCTGACTGAAAGCCTTCTATCGAGTTTTCACTGCTTCTTGAGTCAGTTTTGTGAAGTTTTTTTTATTTGTTTTGTTTTTGTTTTTTTTTTTGAGACGAAGTTTCACTCTTGTTGCCCAGGCTGGAGTGCAATGGCATAATCTTGGCTCACTGCAACCTCCGCCTCCTGGGTTCAAGCCATTCTCCTGCCTTAGCAGTGGCATGATCTCGGCTCACTGCAATCTCTGCCTCCTGGGTTCAAATGATTCTCTTGCCTCAGCCTCTCGAGTAGCTGGGATTATAGGCATGTGCCACCACGCCCAGCTAATTTCTGTATTTTTACTAGAGACGGGGTTTCACCATGTTAGCCAGGCTGGTCTTGAACTCCTGACCTCAGGTGGTCCGTCCGCGTCAGCCTCCCAAAGTGCTAGAATTACAGGCATGAACCACCGCACCCGGCCAGTGTTCAGAAATTAATGGATGGATGGATGGATGGATGGATGGCTGGCTGGCTGCCTGGCTGGCTGGATGGTGTATTAGTCTGTTTTCACAGTTTTCAGAACTATCTGAGATTGGGTAATTTATAAAGAAAAGAGGTTTAATTGACTCACAGTTCCTCAGGCTTAACAGGAAGCACGACTTGGGGGTCTTAGGAAACTTACAATCATGGCGGAAGGCGAAGGGGAAACAAGGCATGTCTTCTCATGGCGGCAGAAGAGAGAGAGAGAGAGAGAATGAGAGAGAGAGAAACTATCATACATTCTTTTTTTTTTTTTTCTGAGATGGAGCTTCGCTCTTGTTGCCCAAGCTGGAGTGCAATGGCACGATCTCGGCTCACTGCAATCTCCACCTCCTGGGTTCAAGCGGTTCTCCTGCCTCAGCCTCCCAAGTAGCTGGGACTATAGTTCCCGAGTAGCTGGGACTACAGGCGTGTGCCACCACGCCCGGCTAATTTTTGTTGTTGTTGTTGTATTTTTAGTAGAAATGGGGTTTCACCATATTGGCAAGGCTGGTCTTGAACTCCTGATCTCAGGTGATGTGCCCGCCTTGGCCTCCCAAAGTGCTGGGATTACAGGTGAGAGCCACTGCGCCTGGCCTGCCATATATATATATATATATTTTTTTTTTTTTTTTTTTTTTTGAGACACAGTTTCACTCTGTCGCCCAGGCTGGAGTGCAGTGGTGTGATCACTGGTCACTGCAACCTCCACTTCCTGAGTTCAAGTGATTCTTGTGTCTTGGCCTCCCAGGTAGCTGAGATTACAGACACACGCCACCATGCCTGGCTAATTTTTGTATTATTAGTAGAGACAGGGTTTCGCCATGTTGGCCAGAATGGTCTCGAACTCCTTACCTCAGGTGATCTGCCCACCTCGGCCTCCCAAAGTGCTGAGATTACAGGCATGACCCACTGAGGCCAGCCCCATACACTTTTAAACTATCAGATATTGTGAGAATTCACTCACTATCACAAGAACACCAAGGGGGAAACTGCCACCATGATCCAATCACCTCCCACCAGGTCCCTCCCCTGACATGTGAGGATTACAATTTGAGATGAGATTTGGGTGGGGACATAGAACCAAACCATATCAGAAGGATAAATGGGTAGACAGATGAGTGGATAGATGGATAGAGAGATGGACGGATGGTTGGGTGGATGGGTGGATGGGTGGGTGGATGGATGGATGGATGGATGGATGGATAAATGGATAGATGGATGAGTGAATAGATGGATGGATGGGTGGGTGGATGGAATGGATCGATAAGTGGGTAGATGGATGAGTGGATGGATAGAGAGATGGATGGGTGGATGGATGGATGGATAGGTGGGTGGGTGGAATGAATGGATGGAAGGATGGATGAGATAGATGGATGGATGGATAAATGGATAGATGGATGAGTGGATGGATGGATGGATAGGTGGATGGAATGGATGGATAAATGGGTAGATGGATGATTGGATGGATAGAGAGATGAATAGATAGATGGATGGATGAATAAGTGGATAGATGGATGAGTGGATGGATGGATGGGTGGGTGGATGGAATGGATGGATAAATGCGTAGATGGATGAGTGGATGGGTAGAGAGATGGAAGGGTGGATGGATGGATGAATGGATGGATGGGTGGGTGGAATGAATGGATGGAAGGATGGATGAGATGGATGGATGGATGCACGGATGACTGAATGGACTGAAGGATGAATGGAATGCAGCTGTGTCGTTTACAGGGGTGCTATTCTCTAATAACACAGGTTCCGTTGCCTTGCAGTTTAAAGAAAGCCACCATGTCTACCTTAACTGTGGACATAGCAAACAAGGAAATTTCATGTGTGGATATCAAGCCACTGGTAGGTCCCAAATCTTTGCTGTCCCATATTCGGTGTCATAAGTGTTAAGACTCATGGAAGCTGGCCCTGAGGTTGCAATGAGCTGAGATAGTGCCACTGCACTCCAACCTGGGTGCAAGAGAGTGAAACTCTGCCTCAAAAACTAAAAAAATTAAAAATAAAAATAAACATTGATGGCATAAAAAAATTTATGGATGCATGCTTCCACATGGATGAACCTCGAGGAGATCCCACACAGTGAGAGAAGCCAGGCACGAAAGGACAAATCCTGTGTGATTCCGCTCTTAGGAGGTCCCTAGAGTCATCAGATTCATAGGGACAGAAAGTAGGATGGGGGGTGTCAGGAGCTGAGGAAGGGGATGATTGAAGCAGTTGAAAGCAGGCAGTCACCATGTTGGCCAGGCTGGTCTTGAACTTTTGATCTTGGATGATCTGCCCGCCTTGGTCTCCCAAAGCTCCCACACTTACAGGCGTGAGCCACTGTGCCTGGGCCATTTTTGTATTTTTAGTAGAGATGGAGTGTCACCATGTTGGCCAGGCTGGTCTTGAACTCCTTTTTTTTTTTTTTTTTTGACATGGAGTCTTACTCTGTCGCCCAGACTGGAATGCAGTGGTGCGATCTCAGCTCATTGTAACCTCCATCTCCCGGATTCAAGCAATTCTCCTAACCTCAGCCTCCCGAGTAGCGGGGATTACAAGCATGTGCCACCATGCCCAGCTAATTTTTGTATTTTTAGAAGAAACTGGGTTTTACCATGTTGGCCAGGCTGGTCTTGAACTCCTGACCTTAAGTGATCTGCCCACCTTGGCCTCCCAAAGTGCTGGGATCACAGGCATGAGCCACTGCGCCCAACCTGGTCTTGAACTCCTGGTCTTGTGATCCTCCTGCCTCAGCCTCCCAAAGTGCTGGGATTACAGGCATGAGCCCCTGCACCTGGCCAATTTTTTTTTTTTTAAGATATGAATCTTGCATTCTGTTCTAAGGTAAATCCATGTTTGTCTTGCTTTTTGGTTTGCTTTATTTATTTTTTTTATTTTTTGAGACGGAGTCTCACTCTGTCGCCCAGGTTGGAGTGCAGTGGTGCGATCTCGGCTCACTGCAAGCTCCACCTCCCGGGTTCACGCCATTCTTCTGCCTCAGCCTCCCGTGTAGCTGGGACTACAGGCGCCTGCCACCATGCCTGGCTAATTTTTTTTGTATTTTTAGTAGAGACAGGGTTTCACCGTGTTAGCCAGGATGGTCTCGATCTCCTGACCTCGTGATCCGCCCGCCTCAGCTTCCCAAAGTGCTGGGATTACAGGCGTGAGCCACTGCGCCCGGCCATTTATTTATTTATTTTTGAGACGGAGTTTACTCTTGTTGTTCAGGCTGGAGTGCAGTGGCGCAATCTTGGCTCACTGTAACCTCCACCTCCTGGGTTCAAGCAATTCTGCTTCAGCCTCCCGAGTAGCTGGGATTACAGGCAAGCCCCACCATGCCGAGCTAATTTTTTGTATTTTTAATAGAAATGGGGTTTCACCACATTGGCCAGGCTGGTCTTGAACTCCTGACCTCAGGCAATTTGCCCGCCTTGGCCTCCCAAAGTGCTGGGATTACAGGTGTGAGCCACAGCACCTGGCTGTTTTTTATTTGTAGGTACAGGGTCTCACTCTGTCTCCCAGGCTGCCGCACAGTAGCACAATCAAGGCTCACTGCAGCCTCAACCTTCTAGGCTCAAGTGATCTTCCTGCCTCAGCCTCTCAAGTAGCTGGGATTACAGGCGTGCACCACCACACCTGGCTAAGTTTTATTTTTCATAGAGATGAGGTGTCACTATGTTGCCCAGACTGGTCTCTAACTCCTGGCCTCAAGCAATCCTACTGGCTCAGCCTCTCAAAGTGCTGGGATTAAAGGCGTGAGCCACTGCGCCTGGCCCATGTTTGTCTTAATACAAAACAGTTTTCAAATACTAAAAGTCCCTTGGTCCTGTGGCTTTTAGACTCCATTGTATAACTCTGAGGGTGCCGTGCACTGCAGTTTGAGAAGCATGTCCCTAAGGCTGTAGAGTAACCCCCAATTGCTCTCTCTGTCTTCTTTCTCCTTTTTGTTTATTCATTCTAGGCCATTGATTTATTCATTCATTCATTCATTCATTCATTCATTCATTCATTCATTCATTCATACATGCATGCGTGCATTTTTTTCCCCATGCTCTCTGTGTACCAGGGATCATGCTGGGCTCATAAATTAGTTCTGGGCCTGGCATGGTGGCTCACATCTGTATTCCTAGCACTTTGGGAGGCCCAGGCGGGTGGATCACCTGAGGTCAAGAGTTGGAGACCAGCCTGGCCAACATGATGAAACCCCGTCTCTACTAAAAATACAAAAATTAGCCGGGTGTGCTGGTAGGCGCCTGTAATCCCAGCTACTTGGGAAGCTGAGGCAGGAGAATCGCTTGAACCCAGGGGGAGGATGTTGCAGTGAGCTGAGACTGGGCCACTGCACTCCAGCCTGGGTGACAGAGCAAAAACTCTGTCTCAAAAAATAATTAATTAATTAAAAGAAAAAGTTAATTCTGGTCTCCGTGAAGCCACTAATAGCTCCTCAGGCGACACCAGGAGTTTAGCCATACCCCAGGCTCTCAGAGCTTAAGCTCCGCGGGGCCAGCTGCAGTTACGGTGCATCCCAGGCATCCAGGGACACGCTGTTGGGATCCAGGCCACATGGTTTCCAAACCATTCCCACAGGAGTGTGTCCCTGTATAGGGTTCACTGTGTCCGGGTGACCCTCACTGACCTGGGTCCATATTTCTGTCTCTCTCCTCTGCAGTCGACACTGATTTCAGTTGGCTGCGACCTGGATAAAAAGATCGTCATCCAGAAGTAAGTATGTTGAGGCCGGGCACCATGGCTCATTCCTGTGATCCCAGCACTTTGGGAGGCCGAGGTGGGCAGATCACTTCAGGTCAGGAGTTCAAGACCAGCCTGGCCAACATGGCGAAACCCCGTCTCTACTGAAAAAAAAAAAAAAAATTAGGCGTGGTGGCAGACACCTGCAATCTCGGCTACTTGGGAGGCTGAGGCTGGAGGATCACTTGAACCTGGGAGGTGGAGGCTACAGTGAGCTGAGATTGAGCCACTGCACTCTGCACTCCAGCCTGGCTGACACAGCAAGACTCTCGTCTTGAAAAAAAAAAAAAAGTAAGTATGTTGATATTGGAGTGGAGTGAGGAGAGGGGAGGAGAGTAGTTGACAGGGCACGATTAGCCACATGGTAACAATTGCTGAGGTGGATGACTTTCGATTATTTAGTTTTGTATATATTTACTATTTCCATAATAAAAAGTTAAATGATTCACCCTAATAGGTTAAGTTTGTTTCCAGCATGTTGGCCTCCCCTCCTTCACCTGTTGGTGATATCCACATTTTTTTTTTTTTGAGATGGAGTCTCGCCCTGTCACCCAGGCTGGAGTGCAGTGGCACGATCTTGACTCACTGCAACCTCCGCCTCCCAGGTTCAAGTGATTCTCCTGCCTCAGCCTCCCAAGTAGCTGAGATTACAGGCGCCCGCTACCATGCCTGGCTAATTTTTGTATTTTTAGTAGAAACGGGGTTTCACCATGTTGGCCAGGCTGGTCTCCAAATCCTGACCTCAAGTGATTTGCCCGCCTCAGCCTCTCAAAGTGCTGGGATTACAGGCATGAGCCACCGCAATTGGCCTAACACAATTTTTAAAATAAATTTTTTAAAAAGCCAGACCAGTGGCCGGGCACGGTGGCTCACGCCTGTAATCCCAGCACTTTGGGAGGCCGAGGCGGGTGGATCACGAGGTCAGGAGATTGAGACCATCCTGGCTAACACAGTGAAACCCCGTCTCTACTAAAAATACAAAAAATTAGCCGGGCGCATTGGCGGGTGCCTGTAGTCCCAGCTACTCGGGAGGCTGAGGCAGGAGAATGGCGTGAACCCAGGAGGCGGAACTTGAAGTGAGCCGAGATCGTGCCACTGCACTCCAGCCTGGTTGACAGAGCGAGACTCTGTCTCAAAAAAAAAAAAAAAAAAGCCAGACCAGCTACACCTCTAACGGCAAAGTGCAGAGCCATTTCCTGCCATGCCCCTCCCAGAGCTGGGGTCTCTCAGGTTTTTTTTTTTTTCCATATCTGCTCATTTGGCAACTGCTCATGCATTAGACGCAAAGGTGTGCCCTCCCTTTTATATATTATTATTATTATTGAGACGGAGTCTTGCTCTGTCGCCCAGGCTGGAGTGCAGTGGCATGATCTCGGCTCACTACAAGCTCCGCCTCCCTGGTTCATGCCATTCTCCTGCCTCAGCCTCCGAGTAGCTGGGACTACAGGCGCCCGCCACCATGCCCAGCTAATTTTTTTGTATTTTTAGTAGAGACGGGGTTTCACCGTGTTAGCCAGGATGGCCTCGGCCTCCCAAAGTGCTGGGATTACAGGCATGAGCCACCGCGCCTGGCCTGCCCTCCCTTTTTTATTTGTTTTATTATTTTATTTTAATTTTTATCGATTTATTTTTGAGACAGAGTCTTGCTCTGTCACCCAGGCAGGAGTGCAATGGTGCAATCTCAGCTCATTGCAACCTCCGCCTCCCAGGTTCAAGTGATTCTCCTGCCTCAGCCTCCCAAGAAGCTGCGATTAGAGGCGCGTGATGCCACGCCTGGCTAACTTTTTGTATCTTTAGTAGAGACGGGGTTTCCTCATGTTGGCCAGGCTGGTCTCCAACTCCTGACCTCAGGTGATCCGCCCGCCTCAGCTCCCAAAGTGCTGGGCCTGAGCCACCACGCCCAGCCCCTCCCTTTCTGTCCCATCCATAATGGTTTGGTTCTTTGTGAGGTCATGCCATTGCTCAATGTCCACTTTTGCTTGCAGCAAAGTTTCCGCCTGTTCCATGGGCATCCTGGACCCCTTGACCCTGCAAGACAATTACAGCTTCATCATCGAGAAGTAAGCCAGCGTCCCCCCGCAACACCTGACACCCAAGGCGACCATTGGGCCTGCAAAAGCCAAGAGCAAATTAGGAATTTTATTTATTTATTTATTTATTTATTATTATTATTGAGATGGAGTCTCGCCTGTCGCCCAGGCTGGAGTGCAGTGGCGCGATCTCGGCTCACTGCAAGCTCCACCTCCCGGGTTCACACCATTCTCCCGCCTCAGCCTCCTGAGTAGTTGGGACTACAGGTTCCCGCCACCAGGCACGGCTAATTTGTTTTATTTTTAGTAGAGATGAGGTTTCACTGTGTTAGCCAGGTTGGTCTCAATCTCCTGATCTCGTGATCCGCCCACCTCAGCCTCCCAAAGTGCTGGGATTACAGGCATGAGCCACCGCGCCCGGCCTATTATTATTTTTTAAGAGATAGGGTCTGGCCCTGTGGCCCAGGCTGGAGTGCAGCGATGCGATCATAGCTCACCACAGCCTCGACCTCCTGGGCTCAAGTGATCCTCTTCCCTCAGCTGGCTGGTCCCACATGCTGTCCGGCTCAGTGAGCATGTACTGCCACGCCCATACGAGAGTCTGGGCCTCAGTCAATTTGTGCTGCTTTAAAAGACTACCTGAGGCTGGGTGATTTATAAAGAAGAGTTATGGCCGGGCCCGGTGGCTCACGCCTGTAATCCCTGCCGAGGTAGGCGGATCACTTGAGCTCAGGAGTTCGAGACCAGCCTGGCCAACATGGCAAAACCCCATCTCTACTAAAAATACGAAAATTAGCCAGGCATGGTGGTGGGCACCTGTAATGCCAGCTACTCGGGAGGCTGAGGCAGGAGAGTTGCTTGAAACTGGGAGGCAGAGGTTGCAGTGAGCCAAGATTGAGCCACTGCACTCCAGACTGGGCAACAGAGCAAGACTCTGTCTCAAAAAAAAAAGAGAGAGAGAGAGAGGAGGGAGGAGGCTGGGTGCAGTGGCTCACACCTGTAATCCCAACACTTTGGAAGGCTGAGGCAGGAGGATTGCTTGAGGCCAGGAGTTTGAGACCAGCCTGGGCAACCTAGAGACAAAAAAAAAAAAAAAAAAAAAGAGGGTGGTGGGATGGGGGGAGGAGGTGCCAGGCTCTTAAACAAGCAGTTCTCATGGAAGCTGAGAATGAAAACCCACTCAGTACCATAAATATGGCTCCAAGCCATTCATAGCTCTGCCGTTGTGGCCTAAACACCTCTGACTAGGCTCCCACTCCAACACTAGGGATCCAGTTTCAGCAGGAGCTTTGGAAGGGACAAATATCCAAACCATACGAAGACCCCTCATTGCACCCAGCATGAGGGAGCTCCTTGCCACGCGAGTGCACACTTCCATGTGATTTGTAAGACCTGAGCCCTCAAATGCAAGTCAAGAGTCAGTTACCCATTTAGAGCTGAGGCCTAAACTAGTGCTTCTGGGCTGCTAAGGGGCAGTGACTTTGGAACCTGCGGAGGACACAGAGGGGAGTGTCATCTTAGTCTATGTGGGCTGTATTGCAAAATGCCTTAAACTGGGTAATTTATTAGTTGGTGCAAAAGTAATTACGGTTTTGGCCGGGCAGGGTGGCTCATGCCTGTAATCCCAGCACTTTGGGAGGCCGAGACAGGTGGATCACTTGAGGTCAGGAGTTTGAGAGCAGTCTGGCCAACATGGTGAAATCCCGTCTCTACTAAAAATACAAAAATTAGCCAGGCGTGGTGGCACATGCCTGTAGTCCCAGCTACTCAGGAGGCTGAGGTGGGAGAATTTCTTCAACCCGGGAGGCGGAGGTTGCAGTGAGCTGAGATCACGCCACTGCACTCCAGCCTGGGCAACAGAGCGAGACTCTGTCTCAAAAAAAAAAAAAAAAAGTAATTACGGTTTTTGCCATTGAAAGTAATGGCAAAAACCGGCCGGGCGCAGTGGGTCACCCCTGTAATCCCTGCACTTTGGGAGGCTGAAGTGGGTGGATCACCTGAAGTCAGGAGTTCAAGACCAGCCCAGCCAACATGATGAAACCCACATCTCTACTAAAAACACAAAAAATTAGCCGGGCGTGGTGGTGGGCACTTGTATTCCCAGCTTCTCAGGAGGCTGAGGCAAGAGAATCACTTGAACCCGGGAGAGAGAGGTTGCAGTGAGCTGAGATTGCACCACTGTGCTCCAGCCTGGGCAACAAGAATGAAACTCCGTCTCAAAAAAAAAAAAAAAAGGCAAAAACCTCGATTACTTTTGCACTGATCTAATTTAAGGAGCAGAAATTTTGCTGGGCTTGGTGGCTTATACCTGTAATCCCAGCACTTTGGGAGGCTGAGGTGAGGGAATCACTTGAGGCCAGGAGTTTGAGACCAGCCTGGGCAACACAGCAAGACCTCATCTCTACAAAAATTTAAAATATTAACCATGCGTGGTGGTGCGTGCCTGTAATCCCAGCCACTCGGGAGGCTGAGGTGAGAGGATTGCTTGGGCCCAGGAGGTGGAGGTTGCAGTGAGTCATGACTGCATTACTATGCTCCAGCCAAAAAATTAACTAGAACAGAAGTTCCAATATCATCTGGTCCATGGCTCTCAATCGCCCACCTCAGATGCCACCTCCTGCCACTCTCATGGACGATCCCCATTTGCAAAAAAGAAACTGCGGCTGTGAAGGGTTGGCAGACTGGGCAGGAACTCACAGACTCCCCATCTCTGCTTCTTGGTGTCTTGAAGGGAATTCTACGACCCCGGCTTCCAGGGGCAGCAGTCCTCCGAGGACCTGCACGTGTTTTACTCCTACCAGCAGCTGGGCTGTCCTCTCCTCGTCTACTATGACACCCTATGGAAGCCCGTGGTGGAGCTGTAAGACCCCAGGGGGGTGCTGCAGGGTGGGGACGGTGGCAGGGCCTCATGCTCCCTGGCCCTGGGGTACCAGCCTGGCCCTCCAGGCTCCCCTAGATCCCTCAAAATGATGATGGTCACTGTTTCCCACCGTGCTCCTGCCCCAGCCCCACTGGCCCCCAGGGCCCTCTCCCTGGAACACCTTTTCTTTTTTTGAGACAGGGTCTTGCTCTGTCGCCTAGGATGGAGTGCAGTGGCATGATCTCAGCTCACTGCAGCCTCTGTCCCTTGGGCTCAAGCGATCCTCCCACCTCAGCCTCCCAGGTAGCTGGGACCACAGGTGCCCACCACCACACCCAGCTAATTAGCAGAGATTTGGTTTCACCATGTTGGGCAGGCTGGTCTTGAACTCCTGACCTCAGATGATCCGCCTGCCTTGGCCTCTCAAAGTGTTGGAATTACAGGCATGAGCCACTGCGCCCGGCCGATGGGCTTTTCTTTATGCCTGTGCACTCCTGCTGTCTTCCTGTTCTTTTTTTTTTTTTTTTCCACTCTGTCACCCAGGCTGGAGTGCAATGACATGATCTTGGCTTACTGCAACCTCCACCTCCAGGGTTCAAGCGATTCTCCTGCCTCAGCCTCCCGAGTATCTGGGATTACAGGCGCGTGCCACCATGCCTGGCTAGTTTTTGTATTTTTAGTAGAGATGGGGTTTTACCATGTTGGTCAGGCTGGTCTCGAACTCCTGACTTCGTGATCCACCTGCCTCAGCTTTCCAGAGTGCTGGGATAACAGGCGTGAGCCACCATACCTGGCCATCTTCCTGTTCTTATAAGGACACCAGTCTTATCAGATCAGGGCCCACCCTACATCCTATGACCTCATATAGCTTTTCTTTTTCTTTTCTTTTTTCTTTTTTTCTTTTCTTTTCCTCCCTTTCCTCCCCTCCCTTCCTTCCTTCATTTCCTTCCTTTCTTTCTCTCTCTCTGTTTCCTTTTTTCTTTTTTTTTTTTTGTGTTGGCGTCTTGCTCTGTTGCCCAGGCTGGAGTCCAGTGGCATGAACACAGTTCATTGCAGCCTTAACCTCCCAGGCTCAAGCGGTCCTCCTGCCTCAGCCTCCCAAGTAGCTGGGACTGCAGTTGCATACCACAATGCCCGGTTAATTTTTTTTTTTTTTTTTTTTTTTTTTTTTTTGAGACAGAGTCTCGCTCTGTCGCCCAGGCTGGAGTGCAGCGGTGTGATCTTGGCTCACCGCAAGCTCTGCCTCCCGGGTTCACGCCATTCTCCTGCCTCAGCCTCCCGAGTAGCTGGGATTACAGGCGCCCGCCACTGCGCCCGGCTAATTTTTTTTATTTTTAGTAGAGATAGGGTTTCACCGTGTTAGCCAAGATGGTCTCGATCTCCTGACCTCGTGATCCTCCCGCTTCAGCCTCCCAAAGTGCTGAGATTACGGGCGTGAGCCGCCGCGCCTAGCTCCGAGCAGACTTTTCCTTCCACCCTGTTATCAATGCTCAGTGCTGGCTGCTGCCCATCTCCCCATGCACCCAGCTCTTTCTCCTGGCCTCCCCGCAGCCCACACACGGCATCCTCAGCTGGGAGCGGCAGGCGTCCTTTGGTTTCCTCTCTGTCACCTCCCACCCCCCAAGCGGTTTTGCAGCCGTCCAGGTGGCTGTGGCCCGGGTCTTCCTGGGTTGTCCCTGCTCCCTGCACAGCCCTGCCCCGTGCCTGTGTCCTAGGTGGCGAAAAGACAGTTTCCAGGAGGTCATCGACGCCGAGTATGTGTTACTGGAGGTGAACGGGCAGTTCTCATACTCCTATTCCCTGACGGCCCAGTCGGCCATGTGTACCTCCCAGCCGCAGAACTGGACCACCATGATAAAGGAATTCGGGGGGCCCTTCTTCTGGAACAGAGAGGTAACAGGACCCTAGGATCGTTTCCAGAAGAATCAGCAGCCCACCAGGGGGTGGGAGAGTGCGTGAGGACACCGTGCGGCCATGGAACTGAGTATGGAATGAAAGAGTTGGGGCGCGGTGGCTCACGCCTGTAATCCCAGCACTTTGGGAGGCTGAGGCAGGTGGATCATGAGGTCAGGAGTTTGAGACCAGCCTGGCTAACATGGCAAAAGCCCGTCTCTACTAAAAATACAAAAATCAGTCGGGCATGGTGGCGGACACCTGTACTCCCAGCTACTCAGGAGAATCACTTGAGCCTGGGAGGCAGAGGTTGCAGTGAGCACAGATCACGACTGCAAAAGACTCGAAGGTCCTTTAGGGGATCTAGCAGGAACCCCAATTCCTTTTAGGGGTGTACAAGGCCTTTGAGGATTTAAGGAACTGACCGAAGGACGGGAAATGCAGGCACCAAGGTGTTCAGGGGGCTTTGCTGATGATGAGAAATGCCTGGGACCATCCCAATGCTTGCTACTGAGGGATGGATGGAATTCCCGGGCTGTCTTACTCAGTGTGCATCTGTTTTATTTTTATTTCTTTTAGGCAGGGTCTCACTCTGTCTCCCAGGCTGGAGTGCAGTGGTGCAATCTCAGCTCACTGAAGACTCAAGCCTCAAGTGATCCTCCCACTTCAGCCTCCCAATTAGCTGGGACTACAGGTGTGTGCCACCATGCCCAGCTAATTTTTGTATCTTTTTTTTTTTTTTTTTGTAGAGGCAGGGCTTCAGTATGTTACACAGGCTGGCTTTGAACTCCTGGGCTGAAGCGATCCTCCCATGGATTATAGGTATAAGTCACCACGCTCAGCCTCAGTGTGTATTTCTATCATACGAGTGATGTCCTGTCCCTACAAAGAGATTGCATCAGTCCACGTGTATCTTCCCGGGACACAATGTTTTGTATCAGGAATGCAGTGCATGCAGCAAAGCCACCAGCAGATGGTGTCCTGGCTCTTTTTTTGCATTTGCTTTTTTTTTTTTTTTTTGAGACGGAGCCTCACTGTGTCCCCCAGGCTGGAGTGCAGTGGCGCAATCTCAGCTCACTGCAACCTCCACCTCCCGAGTTCAAGCAATTCTCCCGCCTCAGCCTCCTGAGTAGCTGGACTTACAAGCACCTGCCACCACGCCCGGTTAATTTTTGTATTTTTAGTAGAGACGGGGTTTCACCGTGTTGCCCAGGCTGGTCTTGAACTCCTGACCTTGTGATCCGCCCGCCTCGGCCTCCCAAAGTGCTGGGATTATAGGCGTGAGCCACTGCGCCCGGTCGGCTCTGTTGGTATTTCTATATGCATTCTTCATATGGGCTGTCTCATTGCAAATTGCATGAGTGCATTTAAGAGATGGCCCCATTACTATTTTTTTTCCATCAGCTGTGGTGAGTGGCTGCTTTTGTAGAACATGAAGTTTTCCTGGACAGGCACAGTGGCTCACGCCTGTAATCCCAGCACTTTGGGAGGCCAAGGTGGGCAGATTACTTGAGGACAGGAGTTCAAGACCAGCTTAACATGGCAAAACCCCGTCTCTACTAAAAATACAAAAATTACCTGGGCATAGTGGTGCACGCCTGTAATCCCAGTTACTGGGGAGCTTGAGGCAAGAGAATCGCTTGAACCTAGGAGGTGAAGGTTGCAGTGAGCCGAAACTGCACCACTGCACTCCGGCCTGGGCAACAGAGCGAGGCTGTTTCTCAAAAAAGTAACATAAAATAAAATTTAAAAATAAATAAATAAAGAGTGGCCAGGTACTGTGGCTCACGCCTGTAATCCCAGCACTTTGGGAGGCCGAGGTGGATGGATCACTTGAGGTCAGGAGTTAGAGACCAGCCTGACCAACATGGTGAAACCCCGTCTCTACTAAAAGTACAAAAATTAGCAGGGCATGATGGTACCCACCTGTAGTTCCCGCTACTTGGAAAGCTGAGGCAGGAGAATTGCTTGAACCTGGGAGGTAGACATCGCGGTGATCCCAGATGACACCACTGCACTCCAGCCTGGGGGACAGCAGAAGAAAATGTCTCAAAATAAAAAAGTCATTGGAAGCGCCTGACTCTCACCCAGGCTAAGTTATTAAGCCTCCAGCCTCCACAGCCCAGGAAGGCCTGAAAGCAGGCATGTGGCAGACTGCCACGGTTACTACTTGAGACGGTCACTACAACAGTTACTACTGCTACTACTTGAGACCTTCGTTACAAGACTGAAGGAAGGGGGAACGAATGTAGAAATGAAAACTTAAGACAAAAGAAACTGTTTTAAAGAAGAGGCATGGGGAAGAAGAGAGCTCCCCGCTTCTAGTGAGTAAAGGCAGTCCCTCAAGCTTCCACAGACCTGCGTATTTATTGAGTAGAAACAGCAGGGAGGGGCCAGGCGAGGTGGCCACGCCTGTAATCCCAGCACTTTGGGAGGCTGAGGTGGGTAGATCACAAGGTCAGGAGATTGAGACCATCCTGGCTTACATGGTGAAACCCCATCTCTACTAAAAATACAAAAAAAAAAAAAAAAAATTTGCTGGCCACGGTGGCGGGCACCTGTAGTCCCAGCTACTCGGGAGGCTGAGGCAGGAGAATTGCATGCATCCGGGAGGCAGAGCTTGCAGTAAGCCGAGATCGCGCCACTGCACTCCAGCCTGGGCAACAGAGTGAAACCCCATCTCAAAAAAAAAAAAAAAAAAAGAAAGAAAAGAAAGAAAGAAAGAGCAGGGAGGAGCAGGTAACGATTGGTCAGCTGGTTAATTGATTACAGGTTCATATTATTACTAATAGGCTTCAGATGTACCAAATCAGAAGAAACACTGTGCCTGGCTCGTGACCGCCCTCAGCATTCCTTCTGGGCGGCAGACGCAGTTTGTCAGTTTGCCAACATTCTGCTTTTATGAGAAAGTTTGCTGTTTACTCATATGGCCTCCAGTGGTATACGGAGTTGATCACCACCCTCAATCTTTCGGCCTCCAACAGAGGCAGGTGAGATGGAGGCTGAGCAGCCTCCATCCACTCTTCTCTGCAGGGAGCATGAACCTGCCCACACCATGGGCACTTGGCCCCAGAGTCCCACCCATGCGTGCCTAATGAGGACTGGGGTGGGTGCAGGGCCTCCGCAGGGAGGAGGGAGGCTCAGGGCCCCCTCCCCAGTCCCTAGGGCCAGTGGGCATGTCTCTGTCCCCCACAGAACTATGTGAGCTGCCACGACCCCAACAACAATGCCCCTTTGAGGTGGCCAGACGTCCAGTATCAGATCTTGGGCGGCCGGACAGCAAACCAGATCATTTTCGGCCACAATGGCTTTTATGTCTTCTACATTTCGATCGTGGATCCGTACTACAGGTGAGTGGGCCCATCTGCCCCTACGACAGGGGACGCCTGGTGCCCCTGGGGGCAGGTCACCCGTTTCGGGGGACATGCAGGTCCTGGCTAAACCTGAATTCCCCCAACAGCCCAGGCCGTCCCCAGGACAAGTGATGTTTTAAGTTCTGGGTGACATTTGTTCCCATGTGAACTAAATACTCATTTCAGAGTCCTGCACTGAGTGCTGGGGGAACAGCAGTGACCAGAGGCTGTGCCGCTGCCCTGGCGCACCTGAGTCGCCCTCTCCTACTCCCCATGGCTAGAGTGTGCTGATGGCTGTGGGCCAGAGCTGGCTCAAACTGGCTCACCAGGAGTAGACTCTCAAATATTCAGGAATCTTCAGCCTGGCCAACCTGGTGAAACCCCGTCTCTACTGAAAATACAAAAATTAGCCGGCTGTGGTGGCAGGTGCCTTTAATCTCAGCTACTCGGGAGGCTGAGGCAGGAGAATCGCTTGAACCCGGGAGGCAGAGGTTGCAGTGAGCTGAGATTGCGCCACTCACTGGCCTCTAGCCTGGGTAACAGAGCGAGACTCCATCTCAAAAAAAAAAAAAAAAATTCAGGAATCTTACACCAATCAATTTCATGTCAGTGGCTTCGAATCAGCCACAGTGGAAATATTTACACTACGGGAATTGGCAGACACTACCCAGGAGGCCTTTCCCCTCTGAGAGCCAGTTGTTAAATATTTAGCACTGACAGGTGCTGAGGAGATTATAAAGCCACATCGAAGCCATGCCATGTGGATCAGTGTGTCCCTTTGGAAGGGGGACACCAGGTGGAAATCTTCCTCATATCCTCACCCCTACTGGAAGTCATTGTCACTTATCACCTGTCCTCTCCAGTAGGATGAAAGTTCACCCCCTGAAAAAAAAACACGTGGAGGTCCTGCCTTCTCTAGAGGCCCCAGACTAGGAGGATCAGCTCCGGGGTGGCAGCAGGTGGAAGGCACTGGGTAGGGTGAGGATGTCCACCAGAGAGAGGAGACATGTGTGGGACTCTCCCGTGCCACAGGTGCTCCCTGCATCACGTGACCTGCACTGTCCCCCTCCCTGCCGTGGATTCTGTGACACCCCTGAACCTTTCCTGCCCTGACCTAGCCTCCACTGTCACCCACCACTTCCTAGTTGTTGATGGACCATTTAGTTAATTTGCCCCTTCCGCCCTCTCTAGCCAGAGCCTGGGCATTGGGGGAGAATAGGGATCCTGGTGACAGCTGCCAGAGGGCATGGAGAGGATGGCTGACTCAGAACCCATAAAAGTCGGCCTGGCACAATAGCTTACGCCTGTAATCCCAACACTTTGGGAGGCCAGGACAGGTGGATCACTTGAAGTCAGGAGTTCGAGACAAGCCTGGCCAACATGGAGAAGCTCCGTCTCTACTAAAAATTAGCCAGGTGTGATGGTGGGCGCCTGTAATCCCAGCTACTCGGGAGGCTGAGGCAGGAGAATCGCTTGAACCCGGGAGGCAGAGATTGTAGTGGGCCGAGATTGCACCACTGCACTCCAGCCTGGGTAATAGAGCCAGATTCCACCGTTTCAAAAAACAAACAAAACAAAACAAAACAAAAACCCATAAAAGTCAAAGTGGGCCAGGTGCAGTGGCTCACACCTGTAATCCCAGCATTTTGGGAGGCAGAGGCGGGCGGATCACTTGAGGTCAGGAGTTCGAGACCAGCCTGGCCGAGGTGAAACCCCATCTCTACCAAAAATACAAAAATTAGCCAGGCATGGTTGGCAGGTGCCTGTAATCCCAGATACTTGGGAGGCTGAGGCAGGAGAATTGCTTGAATTCAGGAGGCGGAGGTTGCAATGAGCCGAGATCGTGCCACTGCACTCCAGCCTGGGTGACAAGAGAGGGACTCCGACTCAAAAAAAAAAAAAAAAAGGCATAGTGGATGGAAACAGAAGTGGGTATACCCGGTCACTGCTGTGGGCCTGGTTCTCCCTCCTGTGGGTCTGAACACCTTTGCCAGAGATAAGGCGAAGTCCCCCAAAGGCAATGCCCAACAGCCTCTCCCCGCCTCCCCCCACCGCAGCTACTGTCAACTGGAGACCATCTTTAGCATCTACGTGTATGGAGCATTCCCCGTGCAGCTGGTCTCTGCTGGAGTCGTCATCCTACTGATCATCTCCAGCATCCTGGGGTCCGTTTGGCTGGCCTACAAGACCCCCAAGCTGCTACGCACAGCACGCGGCCGCAGGATCAAGAAGTGTGCGACACAGCTGTGTAGGAGATGCAAGACGGTCTGCCAGTTCAGGGCCTCAGCCACAGCCAGGGCAGGCACAGAGCCCCCGGGACGCCACCGCACTCCTCACGGAGGCAGGTCTGACCACTGAGGCCGGTCCACAGGGTCCCAACCCCTTGTCTTCAAATAAAGTATAATGTAACATAGCAGGAAGCAGTATGTATTCACCATTTTTTTTGTTTTTTGTTTGTTTTTGAAACGGAGTCTCGCTCTGTCGCCCAGGCTGGAGTGCAGTGACGCGATCTCGGCTCACTGCAACCTTCGCCTCTCAGGTTCATGCCATTCTCCTGCCTCAGCCTCCCAAGTAGCTGGGACTACAGGCGCCCGCCACCACGCCCAGCTAATTTTTTTGCATTTTTAGTAGAGACAGGGTTTCATCGTGTTAGCCAGGATGGTCTCGATCTCCTGACCTTCGTGATCCGCCCAGCTCGGCCTCCCAAAGTGCTGGGATTGCAGGCATGAGCCACCATGCCTGGCTTTTTTTTTTTTTTTTTTTTTTTTTTTTTTTAAGTATCAGTGTGGTCTCATTGTGTTGCCCAGGCTGAGAGTGCGGTGGTGTGATCACAGCTCACTGCAGCCTCAAACTCCCAGGCTTAAGTGATCCTCCCTCCTCAGCCTCCTGAGTAGCTGGGACTACAGGAACCACCACCACACATGGCTAATTTTACTTTTAGTTTTTGTAGAGACAGGGTCTCACTTTGTTGCCCAAGTTGGTCTCGAACTCCTGGACTCAAGCGATCCTCCTGCCTCAGCCTCTCAAAGTACTGGGATTATGGATGGGCCAGTGCTCTAGGGTTAGCCATCTCTCTGAGTGAGATGGAGTCTCACTCTGTTGCCCAGGCCGGAGTGCAGTGGTGTGATCTCAGCTCACTGCAACCTCTGCCTCCCAGATTCAAGCAACTCTCCTGCCTAAGCCTCCTGAGTAGCTGCGATTACAGACGCCTGCCACCATGCCTGGCTAATTTTTGTATTTTTGGTAAAGGCAGGGTTTCACCATGTTGGCCAGGCTGGTCTCAAACTCCTGACCTCATGATCTGCCCACCTCGGCCTTCCAAAGTGCTGGGATTACAGGCGTCAGCCACCGTGCCCGCCCCACCCCCGACCTTTTTTTTTTTTTTTTTTCGGAGACAGATTCTTGCTCCTTTGTCCTGGAGTGCAGTGGTGTGATTTTGGCTTACTGCAACTTCTGCCTCCTGGGCTCAAGTGATCCTCCCACCTCAGCCTCCCAAGTAGCTGGGACTACAAGTCCACGCCAGCATGCCTGGGTAATTTTGTTTTTTTACTATTTTTTTTTGTAGAGATGGGGTTTTGACATATTGCCCAGGCTGGTCTCAAACTCCTGAGCTCAAGCGATCCTCCTGCCTCAGCCTCCCAAAGTGCTGGGATTCTCAGTGAACCACTGCACCAGGGTCAGCCATCTCCTTTTAAGTGAAAATTTGGTCAGTCTCATGACTTCCGATTACTCTTTGGTTAAAAAAATATATATATAAAATATACATACATAAAAAATACATATATAAAATATATATATTAAAAATACATATAAAAATATGTATAAATACATATATATATTAAAAATACATATATATAAATACATATATAAATATATATTAAAATACATATATAAAAATATATATATTAAAAAATACATATATATATTCTGTGATCATTTTAAATTGCCCCACATAGCTACAACAGGCTGGGGCAGGGGGATCACTTGAGGCCAGGAGTTCAAGATCAGCCTGGACAACATAGCAAGACCCCCCATCTCTACAAAAAAATTTTTTTAGACATTAGCTGAGTGTGGTGGTGCATGCCTGTAGTTCCAGCTACTTGGGAGGCTGAGGTGGGAGGATCGCTTGAGCCCAGGAGGTCGAGGCTGCAGTAAGCCATGATCACGGCGCTATACTCCAGCCTGGGCAACGTAGCGAGACCCTGTCTCAGAAAGAAAAAAAAAAGCTACTGCTTGGGTCCTTGCAGACATCCACTGTGTGACCCTCACTCCACATTAATCTTCAAGAAAAGTGATCCAGGTCCTTGCCCCACTTCCTCATCAGCCAGGACCTCCCCGACACTTGGGATACCTGGTTTTAGTTTCAGAGATACCCCTAATGAGGCTTCGGGGAGAAGGAGTTGAAAAGCAGCTGAGAAAAGTGGGCTTGGGGCTGGGCGCGGTGGCTCACGCCTGTCATCCCAGCACTTTGGTAGGCTGAGGCGGGCGGATCCCCTGAGGTTAGGAGATCGAGACCAGCCTGACCAACATGGTGAAATCCCGTCTCTACTAAAAATACAATTAACCAGGTGTGGTGGTGCACACCTGTAATCCCAGCTACTCGGGAGGCTGAGGCAGGCAGGAGAGTCACTTGAACTCGGGAGGCGGAGGTTGCAGTGAGCCGAGATCACGCCATTGCACTCCAGCTTGGGCAACAAGAGCGAAACTCTGCCTCAAAAAAACAAAAGTGCACTTGGAGTCTCTCCCAGCCTGTGTCCCCACGGGTCAAACAGTGATGAATGGGGATCACTGCAGATGCCAGGAGGGCACATGGCACAGTCCCTGGGACAGGGGGACCCTGTCTTGAGGGCCACAGCTGCATGGCCCCGAGACACTACCCGGAGTTGTTTTTGTTTTTTGAAATGGAGTCTTGCTCTATTGCCCAGGGTGGAGTGCAGTGATGTGATCTCGGCTCACTACAACCTCTGCCTCCCGGGCTCAAGCAATTCTTGTGCCTTAGTCTCCTGAGTAGCTGGGATTACAGGCGCCTGCCACCATACCCAGATAATTTTTGCATTTTCTTTTTTTTTTTGAGACGGAGTCTCACTCTGTCGCCCAGGCTGGAGTGCAGTGGTGCAATCTTGGCTCACTGCAAGCTCCGCCTCCTGGGTTCACGCCATTCTCCTGCCTCAGCCTCCCGAGTAGCTGGGACTACAGGCACCCGCCACCACACCCAGCTAATTTTTTTGTATTTTTAGTAGAGCTGGGGTTTCATCGTGTTTGCCAGGATGGTCTCAATCTCCTGATCTCGTGATCTGCCTGCCTTGGCCTCCCGAAGTACTGGGATTACAGGCGTGAGAAGCTGCGCCCGGCCAATTTTTGTATTTTCAGTAGAGACAGGGTTTCACCATTTTGGCCAAGCTGGTCTCGAACTCCTGACCTCAAGTGATCTGCCCGCCTCGGCCTCCCAAAGTGCTGAGATTACAGGTGTTTGCCACTGCACCTGGCCTCCTCCTGAGTTTTTTGAATAAGGGTTTCCGGGAGAGTAGCTCCAGAGAGCAGCAGGCACAGTGCCCTACACAGAGCCGGGACCATGGTCTCTGCTCGGCCTCCAAACACCCATCAGCCTCCTGGACTCTAGGTGAGCCTCCCAGGGCCTCCCCAAGCAGAGGCCTTGAAACCCAAACTCCGGAGACCCAGGAGATCCAGCCCGCAGCCTGGGGAAGGGGTAGGCTGAAGGTTCCCATCCCAGAGGGGTGTCCTCATCCCAGGAGGCGCTGGATGGCACTCGACCTCCTGTTTCCTTATGTGTCCCTGGGGGAATGGGGTCAGCCTCTCCAGGGCCACCATGAGCGTTTCAGGGGAGGAGGGTACAGGTGGCCACTGCCTGGACCCCCAGGAGGGCTCTCGAGACCCTGATGTGGGTAAGCAGTGACGGGAACCAGCACCCGGAGGTCGTTCTTCCGAGGCTGGGCCCATCCCATTTTGGAACGAGTAGCCAGGCTGTCCCTGCCACCCCGGACCCCGAAGTGTGGCCGGGTGGGGCCCCTGACCCTCTCCTGGGCTCCAGGTGCTGTCTCCTGTCTCCATCTTGGGTGCACATGCCAGGCCCCCTGGGTGCCGTGTGCTCCCCACCCCTTCACGCGTGGGCACTGTCTCATCCCTGCCCCAGCCCCCACCCTCAGACCATCAGGTGAAGCCCCTGCACCCACCTGTCTGTCTGAACAAGAGCGTGGCCCTTCCCGCCCTGCCTGCAGTGGCTGTGGCTTCCTGGGGACAGGAGGCAGCTGGGTGGGGATCTGGAGGATGCTCCTCAAGCCCTGCCCTGATGGCTGTGTGTCTCCAAGGAAGTTCCTGCTGCTCTGGGCAGCCTTGCTTTCCCCCACCAAACAAAGGGGTGAAAACCCTTAGAACGCGTTGAGTCTGGGGGTCAGCTCCCTCGTGCCCCAGGAGGCCCCTGCCTCTGCCAGAGGAGTCTGATGTTCCAGGGCTGGGACTCAAGGAGTTTAGGGTGTCCTGTGATTCCGGGGCTCCCCTGCTAAGAGGCCTCACTGTGAGGCCGGGGGCGCTGCCTTGCCAGTCCGCGGGATGATGGGGTGAGGGGCCAGGCGTGCATCTCCAGCCCCCTCCCCATCCCCAAGGCCCCCACGTGGACATGGAGCTGAAAGGTCAAATGTGCTTTAATGCGGGGTGGCTCCCAGGTCCTCCCTGGGCCCCGGGGGAGTGGCGCTGGCTGGGCCTGCCGGCTGCCTGGCCTTCCTTCCCGGCTTTCCCTTCTTGGCCGTCGAGGCCTTTCTCTTGCCAGACAGAATGGGGGCCGGGGTGTTGGTGGCAGGGGGCCCCGGGTGGGGCGGCTGCTCCTCGTCGAGCGCCTTGAAGTTGAAGAAGTAGTCAACGTTGGACACGGTGTCCAGGATCTCAGGCACGCTGTAGTCAAAGGACAGCAGCTCCTCGGGCAGGCACAGCGAGCGGATGTCATCGGCTGAGTTCCCACCACTGCTGTCAGGCAGGGCCGGCCCAGGGACCTCGCACAGGGTACCCTCAGGCTCAGAGGCGCCTGGCAGGCAGTCGAAGAGCTTCATGGCGTCCTCCAGCAGAACCTTGTCAGGCAGTGCCAAAGCTCTGGCCGTCTTGGGGGCCTTGGCCTTGCCTGCTCCCAGCAGGGCCCCCTCCTTGACCTCGGCCACCTTGAGCTCGCTGAGGCCCGGTGGGTACAGGGGCACCCCAGGTCGGGCCCCACTGCCCTGCAGCTCCTTGACGGGGAAGGCCAGGGGTTCGGGCCCAGGGAAGTGGCCGAGGTGACCCTGGAGGTGGCTGTAGGCGTCTGGGGGCAGTGTGGGCTCTGCAGGCAGCGTGATGAGTACAGGGGGCGGCTTGTTCTCCTTGGGGGGTGGGGGTGGCAGCGGGGCCGGGCCTTCCTCTAGGGGCGGTAGGGGCAGCTCCACGAAGGCGGCGGGCCCTGCGTCCCCCACAAAACCCAGAGCCTCTGGCCCGGGGCCCTCAGGCGGGAAGTAGGGCAAGAGAAACTGGGGCCCCCCGGGTGCCTGCTGGTAGTGGGGGTATGGAGGCAGCCCCGGGGCCTTGAGGTAGGGCTGAGGCTCCAGGAGGTAGCTGCCTGGGGCGGAGGGGACCCCCGCTGGCCCCCCGCTGCTTGCTGCCAGCTTATACAGGGCTGACTGGCCCAGGTCGGGGGTGGTCCACTCGATCCGATAGATGCGGGGGTCGAAGAAGCACCCGCATGGGGCCATCTGGAAACCTGTGGGCGGCAGGCGGGTGCCCTGAGAGCAGCTGCTGCCTGAGGGGCCCAGCCCAAGCCTGGGGGCCTGTTTGGGAGATGCCACAAGAACCTTGCCATTGGGGGGCCCCTTTGGGGGACGACATAGATATTGCTTTGGGGCCCTGGCTGGGTGATGGATGACACAGAGCTTGTCTTTGGGGCTCATCTGGGGGACCTGTGTGAAGCATGGGGAGCAGAGGCCATGCCTTCAGGCTCCCACTTAGGGACGGGGCAGGGGCAAGATGGGCCTGCACACTCAAACCCACTCCCAGCCTCGTCAAGGGCTCAGGGGAGGCCGGTACCTGCTGGTGGGGCTGGAAACACCTCTTTCTCTGGGTCTGGGGGATGATACAGGTTCAAGGAGCCTGTGGACAAAGGTGCCCAGGTGGGTAGGGCCCTTAGGCGGGTGGGCCCCTGAACCCTCTCCAGCAGGTGCTCCCACCCACCCGATCGTACCCATAGCGGGAGGAGGCTCGGCACAGGTGGGAGCAGGCTGGTTGCCCAGCACCTCAGCCCCCTCCAGACTCTGCGGGCTGAAACCTTCCTGGGGAGCTGCAGGGGCACAGAACGGTTTGGGGTGCTGCATGGGGCAGCGGGGGGCCCGGTCCAGACAGGCCAGGAGGGCGGCAGTGGGAGTGCAAGTGGCCCAACCGGAGAACAGGCTGAGAACCTGGTGGGGTTCTGTTTGCCTGGTTACTCGGGGCAGCGGGTTCCAGCCTGCAGCGCGCCCACTGGTTGGGGTTCTGGGTGTTGGGGGCAAGCAGGGGCAGACGTTGGCAGACATGGTCATCACCATGGGAGGGAGGATTCTGGGCCAGGCCTTTGCCTCTTCCAGCAACACCCCCCTAACAGCTTTGAGGCCGCCTCCTCCAGGCAGGCTGCCCTGATCCACACCCACACAGGCTGAGGCCCCCCGGGTCCTCAACCCGCTACCTTCTTGGGGGTCAAGGCCTCTCTGGGCACCAGCAGCACCCAGCTTGGGGCAGGGCCCATGGAGGCAGCTAAGAGGTTTGGGGAAGGTGGGGGCCGAGGAGGGGCTGCTTCAGGGTCACAGAAAGGCCTGGATTTTAAAAGAATAAAATTTATTGTACTCTCCTCGCCCCAGGGTGCCCCTGGGAAAGCCTGAGGCTACTTGTACGCGTTGGCCTTGTGCTTCGGCAAGAAGGCGAAGCTGGGGGGCACTGGCCCAAGGAGCATCTCGCTGTGGGAGAGCAGGTGGAAAGCGAGGTCAGGCCCAGGACCTGCAAAGTACCCTCCGTGACCCCGGGCCCCCGACTGCAGCTCCCCAACTCCAGCCCACCCAGGCACCTGATGCGGATCCAGTCGGCTGCCTTCTGGCTGGCCATCAGCGTCTCCAGGTAGTCGCGGCCCAGGTAGTAGGGCGGCCGCTCGTTGATCCTCTGTGGGAGCCGCTCCAGCAGCCCCACGGGCACGTACCTGCGGCGGGTGGGCGGGCAGGACAGGCTTGAGTCAGCTCTAACCAGCCGCGGCCCACGCGCCGCCCACCCCAGCCAGCCCCGGTGCCCACCGGCACAGGAAGGACAGCCACTCGAGCAGAAAGCGCCGGGTCTTCTCCACGCCCTGCGTGTCCGAGCCCCAGTGCTCCAGGCCGTAGTTGGTGAAGTCCCGCAGGATGTCCAGGCGCTCGGACGACGAGATGTCCCAGTGCCGCTGCTCCTTGATCTCCGTGAAGAGCCACGGCTTGAGCAGGGCGCCACTGTGGGACGGGTGACGATCAGTGGGCCCAGCCACCAGCCTGCCTGGGATCGTGTGGCCTCTGCTTCCATGGCCTGGCCTGAGCCGGAGCCCAGACCACAAAACCTACAAGCCTAGTAAGCCTCCCAGCTGCATGCACACAACCTTCAAAGCACAGGACTTTCTTTTGTTTTTTCTGAGACGGAGTCTGGCTCTGTCGCCCAGGCTGGGGTGCAGTGGTAAGATCTCGGCTCACTGTTCAACCTCCGTCTCCCAGGTTCAGGCAATTGTCCTGCCTCAGCCTCCCTAGTAGTTGGGATTACAGGCGTGTACCACTACACCTGGCTAATTTTTGTATTTTTAATAGAGATGTTTCACCATGTTGGTCAGGCTAGTCTTGAACCTCCGACCTCAAATGATCGGCGTGCCTTGGCCTCCCAAAGTGCTGGGATTACAGGCGTGAGCCACACACCTGGCCAAAGCCCAGGACTTTCAACCCACAATCATCAGATCCCACAGCAGCAGCAATTTCCAGTCCCCTCTGCCGCAACGCAGCTGCAACTCCTGACATCGCTCTCTGCTCCTCCCATCTTGGGACCAACAGCCCACCACAGAACAGGGGTGGGTGACGGCGTGTTGGGTTCAGGGCACTGCTGCTGTGCATGAAGCTGGATCTCTAACATCCCTGGGCACTTACCGGGCAATCATGATCCCGGTGACACCAGTCTGCATGGCGCGGTTGGCATCCTCAAATGACAAGATGTCCCCATTTCCTGAGGAGACAGAGGCTGGGGTCTCAGGGAGACATGGGCAGGTGGGACCCTGGAGTTCTGCTCACCAGCCCTTCAGGAGTTTTGGCTGACCCAGTGGCTCCCATCAGGGTGGTACGAGGGGGTCCCAAGTGGGAAGGCGAACAGCCCAGAGGTGTGAGTGACCAAGGGTGGTAGGGGAGAGGGAGGTGGCTTCCCGGAACACCCACCGAACAGGGGCATGGGGCTGGCGGCCTGCACGCACTCCTCGATGTACTGCCAGTCGGCTAGCTTGGTGTAGCGCTGCTCCCGAGAGCGGCCGTGGAGCTGGGGGAGAAGCCGCCACGCAGGGTAGGAGGCAGAGAGTGAGACGCAGAGAGGAAGAGACCAAGAGAGCCAGGCTGAGAGAGACAGAGAGAGACACAGGCGGAGACAGAGGGAGGTGTGGAGGTGAAGAGGGAGGGATGGGAGGAGAGGAGCCATTAGGAAGGGACGCGGGGTCGACCGCGAGGCCCCAATGCCCGAGGCGTCCCAAGACCCACCGTGACGAGTGCCACGCCCCAGTCCCGCAGCTCGGGCAGCAGGCGGTGCGCCAGGTTCACACGCTCCTGGACGCCTGTGCGGATCTTCACAGTCAGCGGCACATCCAGCACCTACAGGACGGTGGTGGGAGGTGGTGGGAGATGGTGGGAGGTGGTGGGAGACGGTGGGAGGTGGTGGGAGACAGGGCCCGGGGGAGTTGTTTGGGAGCCAGTGCGAGGATGTGGCTGGCCGTACCTGGTTCATGCCACGGACGATCTGCTGGAACTTGGTGGAGCGATTCATGAGGGCACAGCCCCCACCCTGGAAGAGACAGGCGGGTGGAGGGAGGGCAGGACGTGGGCTGACCCAAGACCCCTCACCCCTGCTGCCCGGAGGCCCCCACCAGGAGACGCCGACCTGCAGGAAAGGCAGGGACTCCAGGGCCACACTTGAGCCCAAACCCCTGACCCTCCACCGAGACATCGCCGGCTGGGTCAGTGCCTCCCTGCCCAGATGGGGAAACCGAGGCACACGTCCAGGGCCGCTACCTTCTTGTACACGAGGTCGATGGGGCAGCCGACGTTGATGTCCACAAAGTCCACCTCCACGGTGCGGCTCAGCAGCTCGGCACACTTGGTCATGGTGTCGGGGAAGGCGCCCTCCAGCTGTAGGTGGGTAGTGGCAGAACAGGAGGGTGAGGGGAGAGTCCGAACTGTCCCCACTTGGCCGTTCCCTCCCCACTGGGGGGCCCTGAGCCAGTGGCCTCCTCTCTCGGGGCCTCCCCGGAAGGAGCCAAGGTCTGTCTGCGAGGCACCGGTCCCCGGCCACGGCCATCAGCCCCCAGAGGTGGATCAGGGCATCACCCCCACTCCACAGCTGAGGCCAGGGGGTCAGGGAGGCAACCAGGGCAGACCTGGAACCTGGCTCTGAGACAGGACGGCCGAGGGCCCCTCCACTCTCCCTCCCTCGGGGTGGGCACTGACCTGGACGCCAAAGATGTCCTCACACTGGTGGCGTTTGAGTAGGGCCCACTCGGACATCTGGCCCTGCAGCAGGTTGGTGCAGACGGCCATCTCTCCACATGTCACATCCGCCCCGAAGCGCTTGCAGATCCGTCGGAAGGGCAGGTTCCCACACTGCGGGGGGAGCAGGACAGACACACATGCTCTTGCACGCGCACACACACACACACACAGCAGAACCCTGAATATGCGCCCCAGCCCCACAATCCAGTAGGTGGGGACAGACACTAAGCCCTGTTGGAATGACCACACTGCCACCCTGCCACCCGACCAGCCACCTGACCCAGGTCCTACCGTGGTGAGGGGGGCCAGGTAAAGTTTGCCACGGATGTCCAGCTGGAGGGAAAAAAATACACACAAGTGGAGCTTGGCCTCCACCCCAGCTGCTGAGGCCCTGGAGCCTCCCTTCTACCCACAGTCTAGGACACACTTGGCCCAAATGGTCTGGCTCCTTTGCTGGGCCTCTGCATGTGCCAATCAATCCCTTCATCAGGAATGTTCCTTTCCTCATCGTCTCCTCCACTGGAGAGCTTCTACTTAACCATCCAAACCCAGTCCCAATGCCCCCTCTTCCAGGAAGCCTCCCACATTTGTCCCCCGCTGCCCGACCCTGACCCTCTGAGACTTAGAGTGTGTCCAGCTCTTTTTTTTTTTTTTTTTTTGAGATAGAGTCTTGCTCTGTTGCCCAGGCTGGAGTGCGGTGGCACAATCTTGGCTCACTGCAACATCCGCCTCCTGGGTTCAAGTGATTCTCCTGCCTCAGCCTCCTGAGTGGCTGGAATTACAGGTGCCCGCCACCAGGCCCGGCTAATTTTTGTATTTTTAGTAGAGATAGGGTTTCACCATGATGGCTAGGCTGGTTTTGAACTCCCGACTTCAAATGATCTGCCTGCCTCAGCCTCCCAAAGTGCTGGGATTACAGGCGTGAGCCACCGCCCCCGGCCCTGTCCAGCTCTTTCTGTCCCCACCTCCTGAGGGCTGGGCCCAGGACAGAGCACAGAGAGGGAGACTCAGCCAGGAGCTCCCTCAAGGCACACAGCCTCTGACTCCCAGGCAGCTAGAACAGGAACGTGGACACAGCTGGTATTTAATAGACGCACACCAGATGGACAGATCTGCTACTGACGTTGTCCTCAACACGTACCCGCTTCTTCTCACAGGGCCGCAGCCTGACCACGTCCTCATCCGTCAGGGGCCCGCAGGTCCGCACGGGGCTGCTGGGAGGGGTGCTAGTGCCCGGCCCTGCGGGGACCTGCTGGGCACCACAGTTTTCCTGCCTGGGAGCGCCCTCGGCTGCCGTGCCCTCGGGGACAGCGGCAGCGGGTGTGGGGCCCTGGCTGAACCGGCGCAGGGCCTGCTCAGCTCGCTCGAAGCGGACCTCGCGCTTCCGCAGCTGCTGCTGCAGGGCTTTGTCCAGGCCGTTGCGGATGGACGGGGGCTGGGTCCCGCGGGCCGCCAACTCCTCCTGCACCAGGTTCTGTCCCTCGGGCCTCAGGTGGGCCCCAGCGAAGCGGCAGGTCACGCCGTAGGGGCACCGGCCGAAGGTCTCGAAGAGCACGCAGCGGGGGCCCAGGTCGGCCGGCTTGGTCTCCAGGTAGCGCCCCACGTCGTGCAGAAAGCGGCAGCGATCACCGAAGAAACACTTAGCAGCCGACTCCTGCGAGGAAACAGGGAAGCAGTGAGGGAGGACAGGGAGACCCCGGGGCAGCCCAGCAGCCAGGGTTCAAACTCTAGATCACCCCTCCTGGCTCTTGTGTCCCTGAGCAAGTCAGGCACCTCACCGTGCCTCTGCATCTCCATTTATACAATGAGAACAATGACAAGCCCTACAATGTATCCCGAGGAGAATGAAGACGGAATGGCATCAGAGCAAGCTCACTGCTCGTTGCTGAAGGCCCAGGAGCTTTCTAACAATTACCCGCTGCCAGGAAACACACCCTGCTCCTGCCTGCCCCGGCAGGAATGCTCACGTGGCCGCACTTGCCTGGATTAGGGAGGGACACAGCCTGTTCTTGTCGTAGTTCGTGGGCTTCACATGGGGCCGGCCCTTGTTTTGTCCCCGGGCCCTCTTCTGAGTCTGTAGCTGCTCCCCGGGCTCTGCTGCCTCCTCCGTCTGCCCGTCCGCCGTCTGTCCATCCTCCAGTCGGATCCGCTTAGCCTCAGGCTCAGCCAGCTCATTGCCAGCAGGGTCTCCTACCTCGGTTTCCCGGCAAGTCTTCTCCTGCCCTTTGGCTTCCAGGAATTGGTGAAACTGCTCCTTGGTGGTGAGGTATCTGCCGACAGAAAGGGAAAGGAAAACCCTCCGAACATAGTCAATAAACACTGGGGAAAGGAGGCTAGAAACACTTGCACGTCCTTAAATCCTTCTGCTGATGGGGAGCTCACTACTTAAGAACCAGCCAGCTCCCAGCCTGGGAGCCCCTCACGGCCTCAAAAAAGACCTATTTTGTCCCTGGGTCCTCACTGTCCAAAGTGTTGCGCGAAACTATTATCAGGTTCAGTCAAGAACGTCCCTGCGCACGTTAGGCTGCGAAAAACTACAATTCCCAGCATGCCTTGAAGCGGAGTCTAAGCCACCACATTTCCCAGCACGCCTTTCGGCCCTTCAAACACCGCAGGCCCCAGCACGCCCCGCGGCACTCGCTTCAACCCCAAGACCCGCCAGTAACGGCCGCTGGCAGAGCACATGCGCCGTACGTCCATATGCAGGGACTACAATCCCCAGTATGCAGCGCGGGCCTGGCCTCAAATCCCACCTGCCCTAGCATGCACGTGGTGTCCTTCGCGCATGTGACAGGCCCCAACGTGCACGATCTCAGGTACCTCCGCTGACCACCCTGCAGGCGGAAGAACGGCCCGGAATGAAGAGCCGGTGGCTTCTCGCCCTCAGCCGCTGCCTAATCTCCCGGCATGCACAGCTCGGACCGCGCTATGGGTGCCGGAAAAGGCCCTTCAGCTTCCCTCCTGCCCCGGCGACTCACTGACGCTTAATGGGCGCCACTCCTCGTTCCAAAGCTCCGGCTCCCGAGTCGCCACCACCACCATTCTCTAGAGGAGCCTCCGCCGTTCCCTCCGCCATCGGCGCCCCTCACATCCGCTCTGGAGTGTGGCGGGAAGACCTTCCGGGTCACGCGTGTCTTCCCTGATTGTGCTGGGGAAGTGCGCATGCTCATGTCGTTCCAATGACGCCATTGCTCGCTCGTGACGCCACGGGGGCGGTGCCTGCACATGGGTGGAGCCTCAGGTCCTATATAAACTAGAGCCTGGCCAATTGCGAACTGGACTGCAATCAGCTTCTGGACTGAGGAAATTTAACTGTTAGGGTGTTTTGGAGGTTTTTGTCTTTGTTGTTCTGTTGAAACGGTTTCGTTCTGTCGCCCAGGCTGGAGTGCAGCGGTACGATCACGACTCACCGCAGCCTCGTCCTGGGCTCAAGCTATCCTCCCACCTCAGCCTCCCAAGTAGCTGCGTCTACAGACATGCACCAATAGGCCTGGATAATTTTTAAATTTTTTGTAGAGACGAGGTCTTGCCAGGTTGCCCAGGCTGATCTTGAACTCTTGGGCTCAAGCGATTCTCCCACTTTGGCCTCCCAAGCATTGGGATTACAGGCGTGAGCCATGGTTCCCGGCCCCTGCTAGGGTTTTTAAAAATGTAAATTAGGGGTCGGGAGCGGTGGCTCACGCCTGTAATCCCAGCACTTTGGGAAGCCGAAGCGGGCGGATCACTTGAGGTCAGCAGTTTGAGACCAGCCTGGCCAACATGGTGAAACCCCGTCTCCACTAAAAATATAAAAAATTAGCTGGGCGTTGTGGCACATACCTGTAATCCCAGCTACTTGGGAGGCTGAGGCAGGAGAATCGCTTGAACCCGGGAGGTGGAGGTTGCAGTGAGCTGAGATCACGCCATTGCACTCCAGCCTGAGGGACAGAGCGAGACTGTCTCTAAATAAATAAATAAATAAGGCCGGGTGTGGTGGCTCACGCCTGTAATCCCAGCACTTTGGGAGGCCGAGGTGGGCACGTCAGGAGTTCGAGACCAGCCTGGCCAACATGGCGAAACCCCGTCTCTACTAAAAATACAAAAATTAGCCAGGCATGGTGATGGGCGCCTGTAATCCCAGCTACTCAGGAGGCTGACGCAGGAGAATCGCTTGAACCTGGGAGGCGGAGGTTACGGTGAGCCGAGATCGGCCGTTTCACTCCAGCCTGGGCGACAGAGCAAGACTCCATCTCAAAAAAAAAAAAAAAAAGTAAATTACACTACTTTTATGCAGGACATTAGTTTCAACAAATAATTAGTTGAGCATCTGTATGCCAGATGCTGTGCTAGATGCTGGGGGCGTGGTAGTAAACAAAACGGAGAAATCATTACCTTTAAGAGCTAACTTGGGAGTCGGAAACACAGACGAAAAACATAATACTCCTCGGAATTTTGGAGATTGGTTCCAAGACCGCATATACCAAAATCCGCGTATACTCGTCCCCCAGTTGCCCAACAGAATCCCTGTATAGGAAAAATCCGCCCTTTGTATCCGCAGGTTTCCCATCCTGCCTCCGCATTTGGTAGGGGTTAAAGAACCCGCGGATACGGATGGCCAACTGTATTTTATTTTTCGAAGGCCACTTATAAGTGGATGGATGCAATTCAAACCCGCGTTGTTCGCGGGTCAACTGTACATAAGTAAATTAAACCGTAAGTGAGTAGGTAATAAAGCAGTAAGGTGGATTGGGAATGCCACCCTTGGCTGTTGGAATTTTTTTCTTTTTTTTTTTTTTAAGAGGAAGTCTCGCTCTGTCACCCAGGCTGCAGTGCAGTGGCGCGATCTCGGCTCACTGCAACCTCCACCTTTCCGGTTCAAGCGATTCTCCTTTCTCTGCCTCCCAGGTAGCTGGGATTACAGACGCCCACTACTATGCCTGGCTAAATTTTGTATTTTTAGTACAGATGGGGTTTCATCATGTTGGCCAGGCTGGTCTTAAACTCCTGGCCTCAAGTGATCCACCTGCCTTGAGTGTGAGTCACCGCACCCAGCCACATTTTAATTGTTTTTGAGAGACAGAGTTTATTTATTTATTTAAATTTATTTATTTACTTATTTATTTTTAAAAATAGACTTATTTATTTATTTTTTGAGACAGAATCTTGCTCTGTTGCCCAGGCTGGAGTACAGTGGCGCAATTATAGCTCACTGCTGCAGTTGCAGTTGTTAACAGGCTGGCAAGGGAAGGCTTCCTGGGGAAGGTCATGTTTGAGAGTATTTGGAAGAGCTGTGGGAGAGAGTTGTAGGGATATCAGAGGGAAAAGTGTCCCAGGTGGAGGCAACAGCCAGTGCAAAGGCCCTGAGGCAGGAGGAAACGTCCTGGCATGTTGGAGGAACATTGAGGAGGCCCATGTGGTTGGAGCAGAGAGTCCAAGGAGGACAGAAGGAGGAGGCCAGGGGAGGGAGGTGAAAAGGTGCAGGTTTTGCAGGACCCAGTGCACTTTGAGAAGGACTTGGTCTTCTTCTACGTGAGTGAAATGAGAGCCACGGAAGGCTGTGCGCCAAGGAAAGCTGGATCTACTCAGCATTTCCCAGCGTCCCCACCAAGCCCTGCTGTGCCCCCTAAAACTCCCTATTCCTGGAGAAGCTTTGGTGTGCACAGGAAATTCAGGGTTCTGGACTCAGCCAAGTTTGAATCCCCGCCCCTCCACTTACCAGCTGGAAACATTGGGCATCTCATTTAGCCCCCTCATACCCCAGTCACCTCATCAATAAAATGGGCCAGATAAAAGTATCTCCCTTAGGCTGGGCGCGGTGGCTCACGCCTGTAATCCCAGCACTTTTGGAGGGCGAGGCGGGCGGATCACGAGGTCAAGAGATCGAGACCAGCCTGGCCAACATGGTGAAACCCCGTCTCTACTAAAAATACAAAAATTAGCTGGGTGTGGTGGCACACGCCTGTAATCCCAGCTACTTGTGAGGCTGAGGCAGGAGAATCGCTTGAACATGGGAGGTGGAGCTTGCAGTGAGCCAAGATCGCGCGACTGCACTCCAGCCTGGTGACAGAGAGAGACTCTGTCTCAAAAAAAAAAAAAAAAAAAGAAACAAAAACAGATGGGGAAACTGAGGCCCAAAGAGGGAAGGGATTTGCCCGAGGCCACAACAGGCTTGGAACCTGCTTTTACAGGACCTGGGAGAAAGTTGAGGGGAGAGCGGGCAGTTTGTCTTCCATCTCTGGCCTTGGCTGCCCTCTGTAGGACAACCTGGGAATAAAACGGTGGAACCCGGGAATCTAAAAGTGCAAAAGGCCGGGCACCTTGGCTTAATGCTGTAATCCTAGCCCTTTGGAGACAGGAGGATCGCTTGAGGCCAGCAGTTCCAGACCAGCAGCCTTGGCCACTTAGAGAGGAGACCCCTTCTCTGCAAAAAAAATGGAAAAACTAGCTGGGCAAGGTGGCATGCACCTGTGGATCTAGCTACTTGGGAGGCTGAGGCAGGATTGCTTGAGCCTGGAAGGTCGATGCTGCAGTGAGCTACGATTGTGCCACTGCACTCCAGCCTGGGCAACAAAGTGAGACCCTGTCTCTAAAAATAAATAAATAAATGGCTAGGTGTGGTGGCTTATGTAATCCCAGTACTTTGGGAAACCGAAGCGGTTGAGTCACTTGAGGTCAGGAGTTCAAGACCAGCCTGGGCAACATGTTGAAACCCTGTCTCTACTAACAATACACAAAAATTAGCCGGGTGTGGTGGCAGGTGCTTGTAATCCCAGCTACTGGAGAGGCTGAGGCATGAGAATCACTTGAACCCGGGAGGCGGAGGTTGCAGTGAGCTGAGATCGTGCCACTCCACTCCAGCTTGGACAACAGAGTGAGCTCCCGTCTCAAAAAAATATATATATACACATAATAAAAATTAAAAATAAATCAATAAAACCAGAAGAAACCAAAGCAGTCAGGGTGAGACTTTTTTTTTTTTTTTTGAGATTAAGTCTCGCTCTTGTTGCCCAGGCTAGAGTGCAATGGCACGATCTCAGCTCACTGCGACCTCCGCCTCCTGGGTTCAAGCCATTCTCCTGCCTCCGCCTCCTGAGTAGCTGGGATTACAGGCACCCGCCACCATGCCTGGCTAATTTTGTATTTTTAGTAGAGATGGGGTTTCACCATATTGGCCAGGCTGGTCTCGAACTCCTGACCTCAGGCAATCCACCCATCTTGGCCTCCCAAAGTGCTGGGATTACAGGTGTGAGTCACCGCGCCTGGCCGGGGTGAGACTTCTTGTCCAGCTGGGCTTGTCCACCATCCAGGGATGGGTACTCCTCCCTCCAGGGGTGCCTTTCCGTTCCCCTCTGAGGTTCTCCCACTTTTCTTTCTTATCATGTCACTACTACCCCAGACAGCTTTGAGGAGACAATTGTCAGATGGCAGAAACTGAGGCCCACAAAAGGCAACCTGAGGAATGTGGCCTCTCTCTGGGCCTCAGCCTTGAAGAAGAGATCTCCCAGGGCTGCCTGGCTGTGCCGTGTGATAACTCCACCTCCTCAGTGTAAGGCAATCCCAGAAGGCTTCCTGTAGGAGGAGGGCTGTGGATTGGCCAATTTTTAAGTATGATATTAATATGAATAAAATAACATCAACTGTTTACTAATATATATAATTTATTATTATTGTTATTATTATTATTATTATTATTATTATATTGTTGTTATTATTTTTGAGACAGAGTCTCACTCTGTTGCCCAGGCTGGTGTGCAGTGGCCCGATCTCAGCTCACTGCAACCTCCGCCTGCCGGGTTCAAGCAATTCTGCCTCAGCCTCCCGAGTAGCTGAGACTGCAGGCGCATGCCACCATGCTTGGCTAATTTTTTGTATTTTTAGTAGAGACAGGGTTTCACCACGCTGGACAGGCTTGTCTGGAACTCCTGACCTCGTGACCCACCTGCTTCAGCCTCCCAAAGTGCTGGGATTACAGGTGTGAGCCACCGCGCCTGGCCATTATTATATTATTGTAGTGGTATAATATTGTTTACCAGTAGCTGAACAATTACTGAACACTTTCTGGGTACCAGGCCCCATTCTAAGCCGTCTTCTTCTTCTTCTTCTTCTTCTTCTTCTTCTTCTTCTTCTTCTTCTTCTTCTTCTTCTTCTTCTTCTTCTCCTCCTTCTCCTCCTTCTCCTCCTTCTCCTCCTTCTCCTCCTTCTCCTCCTTCTCCTCCTTCTCCTCCTTCTCCTCCTTCTCCTCCTCCTCCTCCTCCTCCTCCTCCTCCTCCTCCTCCTCCTCCTCCTCCTCCTCCTCCTCCTCCTCCTCCTTTCTTCTTCTTCTTCTTCTTCTTCTTCTTTTTTTTTCAGAGACAGGGCCCAGGCTGGAGTGGGATCATAGCTTACTGCAGCCTCGAACTCCCAGGGTTAAGTGATCTTCCTGTCTTAGGGTTAAATGATCTTCCTGTCTTAGCCTCCCAAGTAGCTCAGACTACAGGCTCATGCCACTTTGCCTGGCTAAATTTTCTATTTTTCCTATAGATGGGTTCTTGCTGTGTTGCCCGGGGTGGTCTTGAACTTCTGGCCTCAAGCAATCAAGCAGAAAGAGTTGGAGGCCGGAGCCAGGCGCGGTGGCTCATGCCTGTAATCCCAGCACTTTGGGAGGTCGAGGTGAGCGGATCATGCGGTCAGGAGTTCGAGACCAGCCTGGCCAACATGGCAAAACCCTGTCTCTACTAAAAATAGAAAAATTAGCCGGGCATGGTGGTACGCACCTGTAGTCCCAGCTACTCAAGAGGCTGAGAGAGGAGAATCCCTTGAACCTGGGAGGTGCAGGTTGCAATGAGCCGAGATTATGCCATTGCACTCCAGCCTGGGCAACAGAGCAAGACTCCCTCTCAAAAAAAAAAAAAAAAAAAGTTGGAGGCTGGGTGTGGTGGCTCACGCCTGTAATACCAGCACTTTGGGAGGCCAAGGCAGGCAGATCACAAGGTCAGGAGTTCGAGACCAGCCTGGCCAACATAGTGAAACGCTGTCTCTACTAAAAATACAAAAATTAGCCGGGCATGTTGGCGTGCACCTGTAGTCCTAGATACTTGGGCAGCTGAGGTAGGAGAATCACTAGAACCTGGGAGGCAGAGGTTGTGGTGAGCCAAGATCATGCCACTGCACTCCAGCCTGGGCAACAGAGCAAGACTCCGTCTCAAACACACACACACACACACACACACACGCAAGACTCCGTCTCAAACACACACACACACACACACACACACACACGACAAAAATTAGCCGAGCGTGGTGGCACACCCCTGTAATCCCAGCTATTTGGGAGGCTGAGGCATGAGAATCACTTGAACCTGGGAGGTGGAGGCTGCAGTGAGCTGAGATCGGGCCACCGCACTCCAGCCTGGGTGACAGAGCTAGACTATGTATTGAAAAAAAAAAAAATACCTCCCTGACTGTCCCCTGCTCAGGGTGGGTTCAGTACCCACTTTGGGCTCTGCAGCTTTCTTTCTTTTTCTTTTTTTTTTTTTTTTTTTTTAGACAGAGTCTCACTCTGTTGCCTAGGCTGGAGTGCGGTGGTGCAATCTCAGCTCGCTGCAGCCTCTGCCAACCAGGTTCAAGTGATTCTCCTGCCTCAGCTTCCCTAGTAGCTGGGATTACAGGTGCATACCACCACGCCCAGCTAATTTTTGTATTTTTAGTAGAGATGGGGTTTCACCATGTTGGCCGGGCTGGTCTCCAATTCCTGGCCTCACATGATCCGCCCACCTCGGCCTCTCAAAGTGCTGGGATTACAGGCATGAGCCACCGCGCGTGGCCTGGGCTCTGCAGCTTTCTGAATGGCCCCCCATCAGGGCCCCGGCAGGACTGGGGATGCCTGGCCACATGCCCGTCTTTCCCACTGGACGATGAGCCCAGAGAGGGTGGGAAACGGGCTTAGCTTAGTCCCTCTGTGTCCCTAGCGCCCAGCACAGGGTCTGGTACACAGGAGGTGCTCCGTGGACACTTGCCGAGTGAATGCGTCTTACCATGACTGGGGAAACTGAGGCACAGGGGTGCAGAGCCTGCCCTAGAGAATCCCACCTTCACTGAGGCTGAGGGAGGGGGCTGAGGGCTTCCCAAGGGCCCTGGCTCAAGCTATTGGTGTCACTGTACAGTGTGTGGGGACACTGAGGAATATGCCCCCCGATCCTGGACCAGGCCTGGACTGTCCTTGACTAACCTGGAGGAGGCAGGATGGAGGTTGGTGGTCCTGGGGCCCCTGAGCAGGTGGGGAGACTGAGGCACCCAGGTAGGGGTGGAGCAGGGCCTGGGGACTCAACTGGTGGTTCTTTGTTTAGTCGCCAGCTGGTTGTTCTTTGTCTCTCTTTCTCTCTCTCTCTCCCCCTTATCCTTCCTTCCTTCCCTCCCTCCCTCCTTTCTTTTCCTTCCTTCCTTCCTTCCTTCCTTCCTTCTTTCTTTCTTATTATTATTACTATTTTTCGAGACGGAGTCTCGCTCCATCGCCCAGGCTGGAGTGCAGTGCCGTGATCTCGGCTCACTACAACCTCCTCCTCCCAGGTTTAAGCGATTCTCCTGCCTCAGCCTTCTAAGTAGCTGGGCTGACAGGTGCCCGCCACCACGCCCAGGTAATTTTTTGTAGTTTTAGTAGAGATGAAGTTTCACCATGTTGGCCAGGCTGGTCTCAAACTCCTGACCTCAAGTGATCCACCCACTTCGGCCTCCTAAAGTGCTAGGATTACAAGCATGAGCCGCCGTGCCCGGCCACTGTTTCTCTCTTTTTTTTTAGAGACAGGATCTTGTTCTTCCACCCAGGCTGGAGTGCAGTGGCATGATCTCGGCTCAATGCAGCCTCAACCTCCTGGGCTCAAGTAATCCTCCCGCCTCAGCCTCCCAAGTCGCTGGGACCGCAGGCGCCCACCATCATGCCTGGCTAATTTCTGTATTTTTTGTGGAGATAGGGTCTCGCCATGCTGTCCTGGCTGGTCTCAAACTCCTGGGTTCAAGCAATCCTCCCACCTCAGCCTCCCAAACTGCTGGGATTACAGGCATGAGCCACTGTGCTCAACCTATTCTTCCTGTTTCTAACTCAGAAAACATTTCTAGTTCTTTCTGTATTTCCTTCTCTCTGTGACCCTCTCGAATCTCTCGAATTTTTCTCTGCATCTCTCCCTCTCTCTCTCTCTAGTTCCCCCTCCCTCCATGCTCCTCAGTCTCTCCCCCACTCTGTGTCCCCCTCTTGCCCTCTCCGCAGCCCTCTCGCCCAGGCCGGATGGGGGTGGCAGCAGCAGGGCAGGTGCGGCCCCGGGCTCAGTGCCCGATGCTGCCGCGGCCGCCCCGGATTTGTGGCTGCGACTCCTTTATCTGTGGCTGCAGCTGCTCCTTATCTCCTGGCTTCAGGACAGGAGCCTGGGATTAGGGCAGCCCGGGCCAAGGACGCGAGATGGCAGGGCAGGCGGGTGGGCGGGAGGTGGCAGAGAGCGGGGGAGCCGGGTGCGAGCGCATGTCCCTGAGTGTGTGTGCATGTGGGAGCCAGACTGCCGTGGATGCATGACTTGGGGGAGGCCTGTGTGTGTGCCATTGTGTGTCTGCGTGATTGTGTGTCTGTCTAGTGTGTTATGAAGGTGCATGAGGGATTGTGTATATACCTTGGTGGCTGTGGCCTATGTATGACTCTGTATGTGTGTGTCTGTGTGTTTGTGTGTGGGTATGCATGAATGTTGGTGCCACTGTGAGTTCCTGAGAAGAGCCACTCAGCCACTGCTATGTCCCACACGAGACCGCACAACCCCAGCCCAGCTCCCTGCTTGCACAACCTTGCTCCTGAGACTCTATTCCCCTGCCCTGGCCTCCTTGGTGGGCCTGATGGTTTTCCCACCTTGCTGACCTAAGGCCCCCAGGGACGGGCCCCTTGACCTGCGACCTGTGGCTGTAAATGGTCCTGTGGGGACAGCTGCTGGCCCTGTTTTCACCATCCTCACCTGGAACGGGCCGGCCCCTTCCTGCCACCCACAGGCCTTGTGGGTCCCATCCCCGCCTGGCGGGCTCCTAACCCAGCTCCCGGGGACCTTGCTCCGGGCCAGCCTGACCCCCGCCCGGGAGTGTGTCTCCAGCTCTGTGTCCTCTGCCTGAGCTGAGGCCTCTGTGTGTGCTCGGCATGGGTTGGGCCTGGGGTGAGAGTGACCGTTGAATCAGTAGCCCCAAAACATCGTTTCTGGGGAGCCCTCAGCTGTCCCAGTGTCCTGGGTAAGTCCCTTTCCCTCTCCACGGGAGAATGACAGCACCCACCTCTGGTAACATATTACATGCCCAGTGCTGGGCACAGAACAAACGTGGGAGCCATTTGGCAGATGGGGAAACAGACCCCATAAGCTCAGTCACCAACACACTGGAGGCTGGGGTGGTGCCCAGTGTGCTGGGATGGCCAGTGCTCCAGCCAGGGGACACAGTGGGCATCCAGCCACCTCCACCCCCACAGGGCTGGTCCCCGGGGGTCCTGAGGTGCAGCCCAAGCCCCCAGAACCTGGCCCAACTCCTGGCGCTAAGATGGAAACTTCTCCAGCAGCCAAGTCTGAGTCTTGGCCAGCGGCCCCCGGCCTCCCAGAACCTCTGCCCTGGAGTCTCCACCCAAGAACAGATCACTCCCTTTGGGAGCAGTGGCCTCCTGGGGAGGGCAGGGGGCCAGCCTCCGGGAGGACAGGGGTGGAGCGTGGTACAGTCATCCAGCCCCACTTTGCAGCTTTTTCCTTACTTGTGACCTTAGGTTAGTGGCTTGACCTCTCTGATCCCTGAGTTTCACAACCACCACGTGGGCAGAGAGCAGGTGGAGGTGGGGTGAGTGTTGCAGGGAGTGGAGGCAGTGAACGAGCAGAACTAATTTCCAGGCAAACACCAGAAAGGGCAGGCAGGCTTTGGGATATGGTTTTCAGCCACCGCTGCACGGTTCCACCCCTGCCTCGGCCTTGACCCTGATGCCAGCAGGCTTGAATCAGTCAAAGAGGTCAGCTGCCTGGGCCAGACACGGTGGCTCATGCCTGTAATCCGAGCACTTTGGGAGGCTGAGGTGGGAGGATTGCTTCAGCCCAGGATTTGGAGACCAGCCTGGGCAACACAGCAAGACCCCATCTCTCTAAAAAATTAAGAAATTAACTGGGTGCGGTGGTGCACATCTGTAGTCCCAGCTACACGGAGGCTGAGGTAGGAGGATCGCTTCAGCCCAGGAGGTCAAGGCTGCAGTGAGCTATGATGGCGCCACTGCACGTCGGCCTGGGTGACAAAGTGAGACCCTGTATCCAGAAAGAAAGAAAGAAAACAAAAGGTCAGGTGCCTTCCTGCTCCTCTCTGAGCCTCAGTTTCCCCATATCTGTGCTCTGGGAAGACCACAGATCCTACACACAGGCTGCACTTGAAGAAAGAGAGGCTCAGTACTTGGCGACATCCGGCCCGCCCTGCGGCAGCCCAAGTCTGGGACAAAAAAGATTTAAAAATAAAGCATTGTAAATACCCTTGTTTCCTGCAAATAGAGCCAGCCTCTGAGTTCCCTGGCCTCCCGGGCAGCCAAGCCCAGACAGTTTCTTGGAAAGGGGTGGAATTCAGAGGGCTGTTTTTTGTTTTTTTTTTGGGGGGGGGGGATCAGGGTCTCGCTCTGTCACCCATGCTGGAGTGCAGTGGTATGATCATAGCTCACTGCAGCCTTGACCTCCTGGGTTGGGGTCCTTCTGCCCCAGCCTCCCAAATAGCTGGAAATATAGGCGTGCACCACCACGCCCAGCTAATTTGAAAAAAGTTTTATTTTGTAAAGATGGGGGTCTCCGGATGTTGCCCAGGTTGGTCTCGAACTCCTGGCCTCCATTGATCCTCCTGCCTCAGCCTCCTAAAGCCCTGGGATTTCAGGCATGAGCCACTGCACCTAGCTCACAGAGGGGTGTTAATGGAGAGTCCTGGTCCCTGGGTTCCTTTCTGGGATAGGGGGTGGAGGGATCCTGGAGGGGCCCGTGTGTCCCTGTGCACCTCAGTTCCCGGCTTTGGTGTGGGTCAGCGAGTGTGACAGGGTGTCTGTCACCGCCTGTCACAGGGGGTGAGATAGCATGTGGGTTGGTGACAGAGAGAGTGTGCGGGTGATTTGGGAGGGTGTCAGGATGGAAGGAACTGTGTTCCTGGTGTGACCACATGGGGCTGAGCAAGGCAGGGTCTCCGTGTCCCCCGGTGCGACGGGGTCTCCAACCACGTGTGTGGTTGTTTCAGCGTGTGTGTCCCTGAGTGGAATGGCTGTAGCTGGGCGTAGGTCCTCGCGTCCCCACCTCCTGCGCCCCGCCCCGCCCCCTACCTTGGACACGCCCCTAGCGTCTCCCCCCAATCCCAGAGGAAGAACCAACTCTTTCAAGTCGCTGTTGCCGGGGCAACCGTTTTACAAGCGTCCACATGGTGGGCACATGTGTGTGTGTCCTGCGCCCCATGTGTCTGCTCGGCCCCCGCCCCCATGGCCCCCAGCCGCGGCGGGGAGGGGGCACAGGCGGTGTGGGGTGAGCGGGAGGCAGTGGAGGGGCAGCTGGTGACAGCTTAATGATGGAGGGCTGGGGTGGGGGTGGGCTCCTGGCCCTGCTGTGTGTGTGCAGGGGTGGCTGTGCCTTCCAGACGGGGCCCGGGGTGTATGTGTGTGTCTGTGTGTGTGTGTGGGTGTGTGTGTGTGTACTAACCAGTGCCAGGCAGCGTGGGGGTGTGTAAGGATCTGCTGAGAGTGTGTGTGTGTGTGTGTGTGTGTGTGTGTGTCGGGCTGAGTGAACCCCGGGTCTGTGGGCATGAGTGCATTCAGAAGGGCGTGGGGTAAGGAAGGACCCCCGCAGGAGAGTGTACGCGTGACCTTGTGAGATACTCGTGGAGGGGTTGTGTCAGCGTGTGTCTGCGTGTGAGGACCCGGGGGTGGGGCGGGGTGTGACAGTGCAGGAGTGTCTGTGCTCACTAGGGCGTCTAGGTTTGTGTGAGAAGGAAAGATAGGCCGGGCGCGGTGGCTCACGCCTCTAATCCCAGCACTTCGGGAGGCCGAAGCGGGCGGATCACGAGGTTAAGAGATCGAGACCATCCTGACCAACATGGTGAAACCCCTTCTCTACTAAACTGGGCGTGGTGGCGCGCGCCTGTAGTCCCAGCTACTTGGGAAGCTGAGGCAGGAGAATCACATGAACCCAGGAGGCGAAGGTTGCAGTGAGCCGAGATTATGCCATTGCACTCCAGCCTGGGCAACAGAGCAAGACTCCGTCTCAAAAAAAAAAAAAAAAAAAAGAGAGATGGCAGGGGGGGTGACCCCACCGGGAATAAAGGTTTGAGGGTGTGTGTTTGAGGTTAGGGTATGTGTGTCACTGGGAGTGGGTTTCTGGGAGTGAACATTTGGGAACACTAGTAATGGCAGACATTGGGACATCACCCCCAACTTGCCAGGCTTACTCACTTACTTATTCACATTTACTCATTACTTATACAAGCTTGTTCACACTCATTCAGTCCTTACTAGAACACAGTGAAGATCTACTAGTAATACCCTGTTACAAGTGGGGAAACTGAGGCACGGGGGGGAAGGCCCAAGGCCACACAGAACACAGATCCCTGTTAACTTCCATCCTAGATCTGGGAACAGGCTGCCACTTCTCTGACATAGGTCCGTTCTCTCGTCCCCCCACCCACAACTCACATTCCAGCACGCACCCCGCGCACGTGCACAGCACCGCGTGCATCAGCCCGCGTGCAGCAGGAGGCGAGGCTGCGTGAGTGTCCCCATCACCGCGCGCACTGCGCGGCCCCGCAAGTTTTACAGGCGCTTTGTGGGGACGTGCATATGTTGGGGTTAGGGATCTTCTAGGAAGGCCTAATCTGCATGCGAACCCCCAGGCTGCTGGAATCAGAAACATGCAGGCAGCCAGGGCCGGAGTGAGGAGGAGGCCCCAAGAACCTCAGCGGCGGGAGCGAGAAACCAGAGCACGGGGGCTCCAAGAACGCAGGCGGCGCGGGGAGGAGTCTGCAGGGCGGGAGTTTTTCGGTCACCCCGCGGGGCGGGGGCGGGGCCGCAGCAGTCCCAGCCCAGCTCAGCCATCCCAGTCCCGTCCCCGAGTTAGCCCGGCGCCGCCAGGGAGCGCTGTGGGAGCGCGGAGCCGTCGGGGAGGAGCCCGGGTGGGTTTGGGCTCCCCTGCCCGTGAGCCTTGGTGCCAGGAGGGGGCGCCGGCGGGAGCTAGGAGCGAGAAATCCCCTGCAGGGCTCTGAGGCCGCACTGGGGGACTTACTGCTTGATGGGGGGCGCTGAGGACAGCGGGTGTCGTCATCCGTCCGAGGGGAAGACTTTGCGTCTCAGTTCCCTGGAAGAGCTTTCTTGGGAGGGGGCTTCTTCAGCTTCTGGGGAAGGAGAACCTGGGACGAGATTGGAGGGGGACACCCCAATCCTCAGTGGGGTGGGGGGAGCTGTATGCGGGGGCCACAGCTGTTGGGGTGTGGGCCATGGGTCTTAGTTCGCCAGAAGGGGTCGGGGGAGCGTCTTGGAGCTCCGGATTTAGGCAAGAGGAGCCGTCAGGGGTCCCCGGAGTGAGGATGGGAAACAGCTAGTTTGAGGGGGGCGCCGCTCTGGGGGCTTCCCTTGAGGGGCTTCTTTAGTGAAGGGACTTCTTGGCGCCTTGTTCTCTGGAAGGGGACCTGGGACAGGTTTGGGAGGTCTGGCAGAAAGGTCAGATCCTCGATAGAATGTGGGGGGCGCCAAGGGCCACAGGCACTGGCGTCGGGACAGCTGCGGCTCTTAGACACCTTCGGAGGGGGTGTCTTGGGGTCCCGGCTCTCCCGAAGGGGAGCCGTCGGAGTCCCCGGGGCCGGGGGAGAAAGCCGTCTAAAGGGGGCTCTGTGGTTGGTTCCCGCGCCTCTGCCACCTGCGCTCCTCCGGTCCCCTCCGGCGGGGGCGGGGAGGGCGGGGAGGGCCGGGGAAACCCGAGCCACCGCCCCCAGCCCCGCCCCCGGCCCCGCCCCCGGCCCCGCGCCGGCCGAGCCGTCCGCGGCGGGACGGGCGGAGGCGGCGGGAGAGCGCGCCCTGAAGCCGCTCCGAGTGCCCAGGTCCCTCTCGCCGCCGCCCCGGAGCCCCGTGCTGCGCGCCGAGGCCGCCTGCGCCGTCCGTGCGCCCCCGCGCCCCGCGCCCTCTGAGCCGCCGGCCGTCCAGGGCACCCACCCCCAGCCCCAGCCCCCGCCGGCCCGGGATGGCCGCAGCCCGCGGCTAAGCGAGCCCGGGGGGCCCCATGGGCCGGCCCGCGCCGCACCCCGCCCGCGGCCGCCCCCTCCGGCCCGGGCCCCCCCCGGGCACCGCGGGCCCAGGCGGCCCGGATGGCGGTCGCGGCGGCTGGGGCAGGGGCTGGGGCCGCGCGGCCGCCACTGACGGGTAGTCCGGCGCCCACAGCAGGTAAGCAAGGGGCAGGCGGGGCAGGTGGGGGGGCAGCAGGGTACGACGGGGACGACCTGCCCCATGGACGGGGCATGGAGGGTGCTGAGGACTCCGAGTAGACCAGGGGATTCCCTCCTGCAGCAGAACCAGCGGGTGTATGAGGGTGGGGTCAGAGGGACGACAGGTCAGCGCGTGGGGAGGGGCGGGGGCGTGAAGCCAGATCCTAAGCGGCTCTCCAAGCCCGAATCCAGCCGCGGTGTCCCTGTCCGACGGGGCGGGCGCACTCCTGTCTCCTAAAACCTCCAAGTGTGCATCTGAGGAACGCACGGTGCCCTCCCCAGAATCCCCTTAGCCTCTAGGAGGGCGAGACCCAGACAGCCCTTTAGCCATGTGGTCTCCAAGGGGCCGTTGGGGGGCTTCCGGATCCTGCAGAGCCCGGGCGGGGGGCTGCCGTCGCGGTCCAGCTGCGCACAGAAGTAAACATCTGTCAGTGGCGCGTTCCCTGCTCGCCGCCGCCGCCGCCGGGGACACGGTGTCCTCCGGTGAGGGCCGGGCCCTCTCGGCTCCTGGAGCAGCCCGTTCAGCCACCAGAGGGCGTGAAACCCTTTGGTGTTGGGGGTGGGGGTCCCTTAAGGGCAAAGCCTGGATGTGAAGTGGCGGGAGGCTGTGCCTGCCTTTCCTGCTTTTTATAAAAGGTGTCTCCTGCACGGGGATAGCCCCGAATTGTCCCAGGAGGTGGTTTGTGGATTAGGAGTTATTAGGCCCAAGGGGGCTGCAGACAGATTAGTGGGGAGGGGGGTGTGCTGGAGAGAGAAATGGCTCTCCCAGGGTGAATGCCACCACTGTCCCCTCCCCAGAACGCATCCGACCTGCCCACAGGCCTGTGATTACCTGCAGGGCTCGTCATTGGTCCAGATTTGGGGAGTGGGGCCAGGGGCTTAAAGCAGGGGGGTGCAGGAGGCCGGACCCCTGACTTTCCTCCCTCTTGCCTGTCTCCCCTGCCCTTTCCCTGTTCTCTACATCCTTGTCCCTGTTCCATGGCCCTCTTTGTCTGTCTCTGAGTGCCCCGGGCTGAGGAAGCCTGGGTGGGGTGTGACCAGCCTCAGAGGATGTCAGTGAGGGGCAGGATCCCACCCACACTGCCAGCTTCTCCCACCCCCAGCTTCTTGCCTTGGGGCCCTTTGGACACCCCTCCCTCCTCCCTTCATCCTAAGACTCCCGAGGTTCATAGCTCCGGCACCGACTCCACCCCCAGGGAGCTACAGAAAGCTTCTTCCAGGGGTGCAGGGAAGAAAATAAAACATTCCCCTCTTCAGCTGGGTACTGCATCTGAAACTCCACCATCAGCACTGGCCCCTCGGCGTTTCAGGTCCCAGTTTTCAGGGAGCGAACAGAGGAGACAGCTTTCAAGAGCTGGGCAGAAGGGACTCAAAAAGTTTGCAGCCGGGCACAACACAATCAAAAGATTGTTTCGACAAATGTGTGTCGATGGCAACCGCGTGGTTGACTGGTGTCAGGGTTGTTGGGTGCTGTCCTTCAAGGGAGGCAGATTTAGACCCAGGGACACAGGGCTGGGGAAGCTCAGAGTGGGGATGGAGGGCTCTACCTCAGGGTAGGAATGTCAGAGAAGACTTCCTGGAGGAAGGGCCTCAGAGGTGGGGCTGTGAAGGATGAGTAGGAGTTTTCTAAGTGGGAAAGGAAAAGGCATTCCAGGTGGCTGTGCATGCAAAGATCTGGAGGCATGGAATAGTCAAGGCACCTTGGTGAGTGTGGGAGAGACTGTTCTAGAAGGTTGGCAGAGGAAGAACTGGGCTGGGGCACTCAAGGTTGCATCCCTGGAGGTAGGGGCTGAATACGCAGATCAGAGAGGTGCAAGTTGTTAATGTATCTGGAGTCACTGGGCTGGACTATCTTTGCTGGGGGGCTGTGGGCTTCCTCCGCTGATGCATCTCCCTGGTCCTCCAAGTTGAGGCAGAGGCTCTGGGGCCTCAAGGTGGAGGTGGTGGCCGGGGGTTGGGGTCGGGAGATGGACAGGAGGCTCCCAAACCAGCCTTGCACTTGCAGGGCTGATAATGGCCTTGAAGGAAGCCTGAAGAAAGAGTGGATATGAATGGGGCATGCCTGCAGGAAGGGTGTCTCGGAGATGATGATGTTGGAATGGAGGGGTCTCCCTGTCAAATCCAAATGAAATCAGGCTTCAGGTGAGCCCTGGAAGAAATCAGACAGCAGGCCCAGCTTACAGCATGTGGCCCTCACTTCCCAAGTGGGGAAACTAAGGCCCAGAGAGAGGGCACTGTTCGTGCTTAAATAGCGCAGTGTGTCAGGAACCAAGGTACAATTTGAATTTGGGGAGATGGAAAAGATGATGGCCAGGTGCAGTGGCTCATGCCTGTAATCCCAACACTTTGGGAGGCCAAGGCAGGTGGATCCTTTGAGCCCAGGAGTTCCAGACTAGCCTGGGAAACATAGCAAGACCCCCTCTCTACCAAAAATGCAAAAATTAGCCAGGTGTGGTGGCATCCCCCTCTGGTCCCAGCTACTCAGGAGGCTGGAGTGGGAGAACTTCTTGAGCCCAGGAGGTCGAGGCCGCTGTGAGCTGAGATCGCACCACTGCACTCCAGCCTGGGTGACAGAGTGAGACCCCGTCTCAAAAGAAGAAAGACAAGATGATTGAGCTGACCTGTTTCCCGGGAAACTGAAGAGTGGTTCCCAGTCTCACCCAGTGTTAGGGTTTAACCTTCATCTGGGGTCTGTGCCTCAGTTTCTCTTTCCATCAGATGGCCAGCATCTTGTGGTGTCCTGGCCGCTCCCGGAGGACCCATGTCGCTCAAGCCACCCGCTGGGACCTGTGCCAGCTGCTTAGCCATGCCAGGCCTCATTAGGCTGATCCTGTCATCCCACCCCGGGGACCCCCCTCCTGCCAGCTCCAGATGCCTCCGAGGCCAGCCCTGGGGCAGCCTGGCCAGCCCCAAGAGACTGGTGTGGTCAAGGTGGCAACTTTATAGCCCAACCACAGAGGGCCGGGGCCAGAAATGGTGGGTCTAAGAAGCTGGCACACACACGCTCCCTAGCCTCCCTCCCCAGACACAGCTGGGTGGCGGGTACAGGAAGAGAGAGCTCCAGGTGCCGGTGGGGGACTGCGGGGCACTGACCCTGCAGGCCACAGGGCCCTCGTTACTTCCCGCCTCATCTCCCTGCATTGTCCCCTGGCTCCTGGCACTCCAGCCACGCTGGTCATCTCGAACAGGCACGGTCCTGCCTCCGAGCCTTTATACGTGCAGCTCCCTCCGCCTGGAACACTCTTTCCAGATCTTCAATGGTGGCTTTTTTTTTTTTTTTTTTGAGACAGTCTCGCTCTGTCACCCAGGTTGGAGTGCAGTGGTGCGATCTCGGCTCACTGCAAGCTCCGCCTCCCGGGTTCACACCATTCTCCTGCCTCAGCCTCCCGAGTAGCTGGGACTACAGGCGCCCACCACCACGCCCGGCTAATTTTTTGTATTTTTAGTAAGGACGGGGTTTCACTGTGTTAGCCAGGATGGTCTTGATCTCCTGACCTCATGATCCTCCCGCCTCGGCCTCCCAAAGTGCTGGGATTACAGGTGTGAGCCACTGCGCCCGTCCAATGGTGGCATCTTTACTGTCATCCAGGCGTCAGCTCAAATGCTTTCTCCTCTGAGAAGCCCTCCTTGACTCCCCAGTCTAGAAGCAGCCTCCAGTCACTATGGCTTCATCCTGAGTTTTTTTTTTTTTTTTTTCTGAGACGGTGTTGCTCTGTCGCCCAGACTAGAGTGCAGTGGCGCAATCATAGCTCATTGCAGCCTCCACCTCCTGGACTCAAGCGATCCTCTTGCGTCAGCTTCCTGAGTAGCTGGGACTACAGGTACATGCCACCAAGCCCAGCTAATTTTAAAATTTTTTGTAGAGACGGGGGTCTCGCTATGTTGCCCAGGCTGGTCTCAAAACCCTGGGCTCAACTGATCCTCCCGCCTCAGCCTCCCAAAGTGCTGGGATTCCAAGCATGAGCCACTCTGCACCCAGCCCCATCCTGGTTTTTTTTTTGTTGTTGTTTACATGCTCTTGACATCTAATTACCTTATTTCACATTTATTATCTGTCTCCCCGACTGGATGGTGAGTTTGTCGGGGAGGGGCCCAGGGTGGCCTTGGTTACCACCGAGTCCCTGGTCCCCAGCCAGGCCCTGGCACACAGTAGGCGCTCAATAAGTGTTTGTCAGGTTAATTCGTGTGCTGGAGGCGGAACCCAGCCGGGCACTCTGGGCTTTCTGCCACTGGGGCCTTTTACTGGCTGGATCTGCTCTGCTGTGTGTCTTTAAGAAAATCTCGTACCTCCCTGGGTCTCAGCGCCACTGTTCTCTCAAACAGCAGGTCCTACGCCCCTCTCTCACCTCTCCTCTTTTCCTCTTGTTAACACAGGCCAGCGGGTTCCCAGGCAGTAGTTGTGGAGTCCGGGAGAGAACAAGTTTGGAGTTGGATCCAGGTTCCAATCCCAGCTCAGACACTTGTTACTTTTAATTAAAAACATTTTTTTTTGGCCAGGTGTGGTGGCTCATGCCTATAATCCCAGCACTTTGGGAGGCCGAGGCTGGCGGATCACGAGGTCAGGAGATCAAGACCATCCTAGCTAACATGGCGAAACCCCGTCTCTACTAAAAATACAAAAAAAATTAGCTGGGCATGGTGGCAGGCACCTGTAGTCCCAGCTACTCGGGAGGCCGAGGCAGGAGAATGGCGTGAACCCGGAAGGCAGAGCTTGTAGTGAGCCGAGATCGCGCCACTGCACTCCAGCCTGGGGACAGAGCAAGACTCTGTCTCAAAAAAAAAAAAAAAAAAATTTTTTTTTGTAAAGACAGAGTCTTGCTATGTTGGCCAGGCTGGTGTTGAACTCCTGGTCTCAAGCAGTCCTCCCACCTTCGCCTCCCGACATGCTGTGATTATAGGCATGAGCCACCACAACCGGCCTCAGCTGCTTACTTGCTGTGTGCCCTTGAATAAGTCACTTAACTTCTCTTAGCCTCAGTTTCCCTACGTGGAAAACAGGGCTAATAATAATAACATGTTTTTCAGGGACTGTGGGAGAATTAAATGTAGAGGAAAGCACTCATCACAGTGTCTGCCTCTAAATAATGGAATAGCCAACATTGCTGGTGTTGTTATTGTTGTTAGGCCAGAAAGCACGTGGTTAAGAATATGGAGGTTACAGCCGGGCGCAGTGGCTCGTGCCTGTAATCCCAGCACTTTGGGAGGCCGAGGCGGGCGGATCACGAGGTCAGATCAAGACCACCCTGGCCAACATGGTGAAACCCCATCTCTACTAAAAATACAAAAATTAGCTGGACATGGTGGCTCGTGCCTGTAATCCCAGCTACTTGGGAGGCTGAGACAGGAGAATCGCTTGAACCCAGGAGGCAGAGGTTGCACTGAGCTGAGATCGCTCCACTGCACTCCAGCCTGGCAACAGAGCGAGACTCCATCTCAAAAAAAAAAAAGAATATATAGGTTATAGGCTGGGCACGGTTGTCACACCTGTAATCCCAGCTCTTTGGGAGTCTGAGGCAGGAGGATCACTTGAGGTCAGGAGTTCAAGACCAGCCTGGCCAACATGGTGAAACCCCGTCTCTACTAAAAATACAAAAAAATTAGCTGGGTGTAGTGGCGTGCACCTGTAATCCCAGCTACTCAGGAGGCTGAGGCAGGAGAACCGCTTGAACCCCAGAGGTGGGGTTGCAGTGAGCCGAGATCGTGCAACTGCACTCCACAGCGAGACTTTTGTCTTGAAAAAAAGAAAAAAATAGAGGTTTTGCAGCCATTGATTGGATAATAAAAGAAAAAAGAATATGGAGGGAGGAGTGTTGGAAGTGAGTCTTTGAGGAATGAGTAGGAGTTTGCTGACCACCTGTGTTCAAATCCCAGCTCAGCCACTTAGGTTGTTTGAATCTGAGCAAGTTACTTCACTTCTCTGGACCTCAGTTTTCCACCTACCAAATGGGGATAAAATAGTCCATACCTTGATACAAGTTACTACATGTAAAGTGCTTAGAATGGCACTAATAGTGTTGTTCATGAGTGTTAGTTTCAGTTATTATTACTATTATTATTAGAGACGGAGTCTCGCCCTGTCGCCTAGGCTGGAGTGCACTGGCGCGATCTTGGCTCACTGCAACCTCCATGTCCTTGGTTCAAGTGATTCTCCTGCCTGATCCTCCTGAGTAGCTGGGACTGGTGGAGTGCACCACCACACCCGGCTAATTTGTTTTTTGTTTTTTTTTTTTGTATTTTCAGTAGAGATGGAGTTTCACCATGTTAGCCAGGCTGGTCTCGAACTCCTGGCCTAAAGTGATCCACCTGCCTTGGCCTCCCAAAGTGCTGGGATTACAGCTGTGAGCCACCGCACCCGGCCCAGTTATTATTATTATTATTTTATTTATTTATTTTTTTGAGACAGAGTTCGCTCTGTTGCCCAGGCTGGAGTACAGTGGCGCGATCTTGGCCCACTGCAAGCTCCGCCTCTTGGGTTCACGCCATTCTCCTGCCTCAGCCTCCCAAGTAGCTGGGACTACAGGCGCCCAATACCACGCCCAGCCAATTTTTTTTGTATTTTTAGTAGAGACAGGGTTTCACCATGTTATCCAAGATGGTCTCGATCTCCTGACCTCGTGATCCACCCGCCTCGGCCTCCTAAGTGCTGGGATTACAGGTGTGAGCCACCGTGCCGGGCCCAGTTATTATTATTATTATTATTATTTTACCACTATTATTATCATGAAGGAGCCACCATACTCCTCCCCAGAAACCACTATCCCTGACCATCCATCCCTCAGCTTCACTTTGGCAAAGACAGACCCAGAGTCCCTCAAGACAAGCTCATGTGCTGGGACTTGATGCCCAGGGTAGCAGGAAGCCAGCGATAGTTCTAGCAGTTGGGCAGCACTCAGCTTCTGTGCTGGGGGAAGAAGAGGAGAGGCTGGACCTCTTTCTCCGGCAGACCTGGAAGGGGCGGCTGGGGGTGTCTGTGTCTGCACCCCCTGACACATGAAGCCACCCCTAGGTTGGCCTCTGGCCCCCGCAGACGCAGTATCGGAACCAGCTGTGCTTGCCAGATGTTCCTGGTTTGCCCCCAGATGTGTGTCGCCAGTTCGAGGCTGTCCTGGCTGCCTCATCCCTCCCATGGGGTGGGCCCAGGCCCTGGGGCCCTCTGAGGGAGGGGGCACATTTTTGTGGGCTGTGGAATTTGTTTTGTGTTTTGCAGAATCACTGAGTCTTGCCTTGAGAGGCCCAGACCCCTGGCCAAGTCTTGCCCCTCATGGGGCCTCAGTTTCTCCACCAGTGGAACCTCAGGGAACTCCTAGGGGCGATCTAGGAACAGGAGACCAGGAGGCTGCCCTAGGAACAGGCCCAGCTGTGAGCCCTCGAGCTATCAGCACTTGGGGAAAACAGAGGCACAGGCGCGCGAACACATGTATGCCGCGGCGTTCACACACACAGGCACTTCCCCACTGGCATGTTCTGGCTTCACGGCCTGGCATCCTCTACCCATGGGCAGTGGCAAGAGCACAAGAGCCACTTGGTCAAGCTCTTCCAGGTCCTCTCTGGCTTTCCTACAGTGCTGGGTGGCACCCTTCGTGCCCTATTGAAGATGGGAGGCCAGGCATGGTGGCTCACACCTGTAATCACAGCACTTTGGGAGGCAAAGAAGGGAGGATCGCTTGAGGCCAGGAGTTCGAGACCAGCCTGGGTAACATGGCGAGACTTTGTCTCTATTAAAAAAAATTTTTTTTAATTTAAAAAAAAAAACAGATGGAGGCTGGGCACAGTGGTTCATGCCTATAATTCCAGCACTTTGGGAGGCAGAGGCGGGCGGATCACCTGAAGTGAGGAGTTTGAGACCAGCCTGGCCAACATGGTGAAACCCTGTCTCTACTAAAAAATATAAAAGTTTGGCCAGGCGCGGTGGCTCACGCCTGTAATCCCAGCACTTTGGGAGGCCGAAGCGAGCGGATCACTTGAGGTCAGGAGTTTTAGACCAGTCTGGCCAACATGGTGGAACCTCGTTTCTAATAAAAATACAAAAAAATTAACCAGGCATGGTGGCTTATGGCTGTAATCCTACCTACTCGGGAGGCTGAGGCAGGAAAATTGCTTGAACCTGGGAGGCGGAGGTTGCAGTGAGCTGTGATCATGCCACTGCACTCCAGCCTCCAGCTTGGGCAACAGAGCAAGACTCCGTCTGAAAAAAAAAAAAAGCCAGGCATGGTGGCGCACACCTGTAGTCCCAGTTACTCGGGAGGCTGAGACAGGAGAATCGCTTGAACTCGGGAGCCAGAGGTTGCAGTGAGCTGAGATCGCACTGCTGCACTCCAACCTGTGTGACAGAGTGAGACTCTGTCTCAAAAGACAAAATACAAAAATTAGCCAGGCATGGTGACAGGCATCTGTAGTCCCAGCTGCTTGGGAGGCTGAGGCAGGAGAATGGCTTGAACCTGAGAAGCAGAGGTTGCAATCAGCTGAGATAACACCATTGCGCTCCAGCCTGGGCAACAGAGCCAGACTCCGTCTCAAAAAATATATATATATATGGGGAAACTGAGTCACAGGAGGACCAGGAGTGAAACGGAGAGGAAGGAGAAGTGTATGCAGGGCAGCACCCCCACAGGCAAAAGTGTGCAGACTTGGGATCTGCAGCAAGCTCACCCCTCTGTAAACTGAATTCTCAAAGTCAGCCCTGTGCCCTGCAAAAACTCAGCCGAAGATGTCCCTCTAGAAACTCCCATCCAGCAAAGACAGTCATGGGCACAGACACCACGCTTACAGGGCTGGGCAAGAGGAAGGCACCCATGGCTGGGGGTGGCCAAGATGGGTAGCAGGGAAGGGTTTCTGGTGGAGGGGCTGTAGGAGCTAGGGCTTTCAGGGTAGAGTAGGAGTTTGCCAAATTAAGATAGGCCCCAATTCCAGGCCTCCCCAAGATTAGAAGAGATGCCTACATGGAGAGAGGGTCCCCCTCCCTTTCTTCATCTCTCAGGTGCTACTCTTTGAGATCGGGAGTTCTGTAGGACAGAGGCTTTTATCCCTGGGACTGGGTGTGCCCGGCAGGTGTCCCCTGGGGAGTTCGGTGGGAAGGGGAGTGGGGGTGCCAGGGCGTTGCCTGTGCATAAAGATAATGAGCAACATTTCCTGGCATCACCAAGGAAGGTGCCAGAAACACACACCCTTGCGCTGGCTGTCTGTTGCTTTGGTTGATTGGAAGGGCCTGCCTAGCTGTGTGACGTTGGGCTGCTCTTTGCCTCTCTCTGAGTCCATTTCCCTTCTTTCCCCTTCCTTCCCCAGCTGTGGGGATTGTGTGGCCTCCAGCTAAAAGTGGAGGTCTGTCCTAGGTCCTTCTTGCTGCACCTCACACTGCTACGCTCCCAGCCCCTCCAGGAAGGAAGGAGGCTTCCCTCCCTCCAGGCAATGCAGGTTCTCCAGGATTTCTACGTTTTCTCCAGGACTGGGAAGGGATCTCTAGCCAGGCCCTGCACAGGCAATGTAGACGGCACCTGGGATCCCTGCAGGGGTGGACACGGGCAGTGGTCAGGGCGGGGCCGTTCCCTCCTGAGTCCCCCGGCCCCATCTGCTTCCCCTCCTCTCACTCTCCTCCCACCGTGTCTGTGCGCCCTGGAATCTTTGCAGCTGTGGGCGTTGGTGGCGTGTTCACCTGTGCACCCCTGTGTGTGTGTGTGGCCAGGAGGAGGGTCTTGGGGACCTTGGCCAGAGCACAAATGACAATGGATGCTCTTGTGTGTGTCTCTGTGAGACCGGATTACCACGTGTGAGTGGGGAAAACCTGTGTGTGTAAGTGGGATCATGCTTGAGTGTGAGTGTGAAAACACCCTGGTTTTTCACTGTGGGGTTGTTCAAGTGTGTGTGTGTGTGTGCAAACACCAGCACGTGGATATAACGTTTCACCACAAGTGTGAAAGCACTCAAGTGTGTGAGTGTGATTTTTTTTTTTTTTTTTTTTTGGAGACGAAGTCTCGGTCTGTCACCCAGGCTGGAGTACAGTGGCGCGATCTCGGCTCACTGCAACCTCCACCCCTTGGGTTCAAGCAATTCTCCTGCCTTACTCACTCTCCCTAATAGCTGGGATTACAGGCGTGCACTACCACACCCGGCTAATTTTTGTATTTTTAGTAGAGACGGGGTTTCGCCATGTTGGCCAGGCTGGTCTCAAATTCCTGACCTCCAGGGATCCGCCTGCCTCAGCCTTCCAAAGTGCTGGGATTACAGACGTGAGCCACCGCGCCCGGCCTGTTTTTTTTTTTTTTTTTTTCTTTTTGAAACAGAGACTCACTCTATTGCCCAGGCTGGAGTGCAATGGTGCGATCTCGACTCACTGCAACCTCCTTCTCCCGGGTTCAAGCAATTCTTCTGCCTCAGCCTCCTGAGTAGTTGGGATTACAGGTGCCTGTCACCGTGCCTGGCTAATTTTTGTATTTTTAGTAGAGATGGGGTTTTGCCATGTTGGCCAGGCTGGTCTCGAACTCCTGACTTCAAGTGATCCACCCGCCTTGGCCTCTCGAAGTGCTGGGATTACAGGCGTGAGCCACTGTGCCTGGCCGATGGTGTCTTTTAAAAATTTATTATTTTCTATTTTTGTAGAGATGGGGTCTTACTATGTTATCCAGGCTGGTCTCGAACTTCCAGGCTCAGGCGAACTCCCCGCCTCAGCCTCCCAAAGTGCTGGGATTATAGGCGTGAGCCACTGAGCCTGGCCGAGTTTCACCAGTATTTCTGCTAACGTCCTTTCTCTGTCCCAGGGTCCATCCAGGATCCCAGATGACATTTAGCCATCCCCTTTCCTTTGGCCCCTCCAATCTGAGACTCCTCCTCCATCTGTCTTTGTCCTTCATGACCTTGACTCTTTTTGTCTTTTCTCTTCTCATCTTCTTTTCTTTTCTTTTTTCATTTTTGAGACGGAGTCTTGCTCTGTCGTCCAGGCTGGAATGCAGTGGTGCAGTCTCGGCTCGCTGCAACCTCCGCCTCCCAGGTTCAAGCGATTCTCCTGCTTCAGCCTCCTGAGTAGCTGGGATGACAGGCATCTGCCACCATGACTGGCTAATTTTTTTTGTATTTTTAGTAGAGACGGGGTTTCACCATGTTGGTCAGACTGGTCTCAAACTCCTGACCTCAAATGATCTGCCTGCCTTGGCCTCCCAAAGTGCTGGGATTACAGACGTGAGCCACCGTGCCCCGTCTTGTCTTCTTTTCTTTTCTGAGACAGGGTCTCCCTATATTGCCCAGGTTGGTCTCAAACTCCTGGCCTCAAGCAATCCTCCTGCCTTGGCCTCCCAAAGTGCTGGGATCAAAGGCATGAGCCACCTTGCCCAGCCAGTGAGTGTTTTGAATGAAGGTGGAAGCGTCCAAGTGTGTGAGTGTGGTCATGTTTGAGTGTGACTGTGAAAACGCCCTAGCATGTGAGCACGACGTATTCAAATGTGAGTGTGAGAACACACTAGTGGATTCATGCGGTGGTGTTCTGGTGTGTGGATGTGATTGTGTTAGAATATGTGAGCCTGGAAACATCTGAGTATGCATGGGATCATGTTTGGGTGTAAGTATGAAAATACTGGCTGGGTGCAGTGGATCACACCTGGAATCCCAGTGCTTTGGGAGGCTGAGGCGGGAGGATTGCTTGAGGCCAAGAGTTTGAGACCGCCTGAGCAACACAGTGAAACCCAGTTTCTACCAAAAAACAAAAACAAAAACAAAAACAAAAATATAGCGAGGCATGGTGGCACACACCTGTGGTCCCAGCTACTTGGGAGGCTGAGGCAGGAGGATCACTTGAGCCCAGGACTCAGAGGTTGCAGTGAGCCGAGGTTGCGCCACTGCACTCCAGCCTGGGCAACAGAGCAAGATTCTATCAAAGAAAGAGAGAGAGAGGGAAGGAAGGAGGGAGGAAAGGAGTGAGGGAGGGAGGGAAAGAGAGAGGGAGAGAGAGAAAGAGAGAAAGGAAGGAAGGAAGGGAAAGAGAGAAAGAGAGGAAGGAAGGAAGGGAAAGAGAGAGAGAAAGGAAGGAAGGGAGGGAGGGAGAGAGAGAGGAAGAAAAAGAAAGAGAAAGGAAATAGGAAGGAAGGAAGGGAGGGAGGGAGGGAGGGAAAGAGAGGAAGGAAGGGAGGGAGAGAGAGAGAAAGAAAAAGAAGAAGGCAGGCAGGCAGGCAGGCAGGCGTGTGAGTGTCATCATGGTCAAATGTGTGATTGTGTTTCAATGCGTGTGAAAAAGTCCAAGTGTGTGTGAGTGTGAGGACAACCCAGGATGTGTGTGTAACCCTGTTTGAGTGTGGAAATGTGAAAACAGTGAATGTGGGAGTGTTTTGTTTTGTTTCGTTTCCAGACGGAGTCTTGCTCTGTCACCAAGGCTGGAGTGCAGTGGTGTGATCTCAGCTCACTGCAACCTCTGCCTCCCGGGTTCAAGCGATTCTCCTGCCTCAGCCTCCCGAGTAGCTGGGATTACAGGCGCACACTGCCACACCCGGCTAATTTTTTTTCTTTTTTGAGATGGAGTCTCGCTCTGTCGCTCAGGCTGGAGTGCAGTGGGGAGATCTCAGCTCACTGCAACCTCCACCTCCCAGGTTCAAGTGAGTCTCCTGCCTCAGCTTCCCGAGTAGCTGAGATTACAGGCGCCCACCACCACACCCGGCTAATTTTTGTATTTTTAGTAGAGACAGGGTTTCACCATGTTGGCCAGGTTGGTCTCGAACTCCTGACCTCAGGTGATCCAACCGCCTCAGCCTCCCAAAGTGCTGGGATTACAGGTGTGAGCCACTGCACCCAGCCAAATGTGGGAGCGTTTGAGCACGCAAGTGTGCTCGAGTGAGAATGCTTGAGCATGTGAGTGTGATCGTGTGTGGGCAGTGTGTGAGTGTGTGAGTGTGTGTATACGAGTATGAAAGAACCTGAGTGTGAGGATATGAGATGGCTGGGTGTGAATGAGTGTGAGTGGGCACACAAGTGTAAGCCTGACAGTGTGCTGTGTGAGATGGGGCATCTCGCTATGTTGCCCAGGCTGGTCTTGAACTCCTGGGCTCTGGCAGCTGTGGGTGCTGGCAGCGTGTTCACCTGTGTACCCCTGTGTGTGTGGCCAGGATGAGGGGTCTCAGGGCACAGATGATAACCTGAGCTAGATTGCAAATGACAGTGGGCACTCCTGTACCTACAAATGTGTGTCTCTATGCAGTTGGACAGGTACAGATGCCTCCCTAGGTTAGGGCCTCCGGGACACAGGAACACGCATTGTGCACACCCAGCCCCCTCCCCGTGCCCTCCGCCACACCCACATCACCCCCACCTGGTCGCGTCCGTGCCAGAGACAAACCAGTTAGGTGGCCCCCGAGAACAGAGAGGCCCATTGTTCATGGCTGCTAATCAGCCCTGCCTGCTGGGCCCCCTCCGCCAATGGCCCCCCGATTTCCTGCCCTCCACCAGAGCTCTAGGTGGGGAGAGTCTGAAGCTCCAAGGCCTCCAGGGGGTCCTGTGACCAGGCCATGCTGGGGCTAGGCCCTTGGTAGAAACAGACCACCACAGCCCAAGACTTGTTCCAATCCAATGGGGAAACTGAGTCACACCACTCCAAGACTTGAATGTGTGGGCAAGCAGGGTGGAGGGGGTCCAGAGAGGTCCGGGGCCCGGGTAGGTTTCCTGCCTGTCTCCCCCTCCTACCACCAGCATTCAAATGCTGGCTCTATGACCTTGGACAAGTCACTTCCCACCTCTGGACCTGTTTCCCATTCATGCAGTGGGGATAAGGGTATTACTTGCAGCCAGGCGCAGTGGCTCATGCCTGTAATCCCAGCACTTTGGGAAGCCAAGGCAGGAGGCTCGCTTGAGCCCAGGAGTTCAAGACCAGCCTGGGCAACATGATGAGACATCGTCTCTACAAAAAATATAAAAATTGGTCAGGTGTGGTGGCTCACGCCTGTAATCCCAGCACTTGGGGAGGCCAAAGCGGGTGGATCACCTGAGGTCAGGAGTTCAAGACTAACCTGACCAACATGGTGAAACCCCATCTCTACTAAAAATACAAAAAATTAGCCAGGCGTGGTGGCACATGCCTGTAGTCCCAGCTACTTGGGAGGCTGAAGCAGGAGAATTGCTTGAACTTGGGAGGTGGAGGTTGCAGTGAGCCGAGATCATGTCATTGCACTCCAGCCTGGGCAACAAGAGCAAAATTCCATCTCAAAAATAAATAAAAATTTTAAAAAATAAATAAAAATTGGCTGGGTGTGGTGGTGCATGCCTGTGGTCCCAGTTACTTGGGAGGCTGAGGTGGGAGGATCACCTGAGCTGGGTAGGTTGAGGCTGCAGTGGGCGCTGTGATTGCACCACTGTACTCCAGCCTGGGCAACAGAGTGAGATCCTGTCTCAAGAAAGAAAAAAAAAAGTGGGGGTATTACCTGCTTCTTAGGACGCTTGTAAGGTTGGAATGACTATATCTGTGTTAAGTTTGTAAAATGGGGTTGGACATAAAGTAGGTGATCATTAAGAATAAAGGGGATGATGGCCAGGCACGGTGGCTCTCGCCTGTAATCCCAGCACTTTGGGAGGCTGAGGCGGGTGGATCACAAGGTCAGGAGATCGAGACCATCCTGGCTAACATGGTGAAACCCTGTCTCTACTAAAAATACAAAAATTTAGCTGGGCGTGGTGGCAGACGCCTGTAGTCCCAGCTACTCAGGAGGCTGAGGCAGGAGAATGGCGTGAACCTGGGAGGCGGAGGTTGCAGTGAGCCAAGATTGTGCCACTGCACTCCAGCCTGGGCGACAGAGCAAGACTCCGTCTCAAAAAAAAAAAAAAAAAATTGCCGGGCACGGTGGCTCACGCCTGTAATCCCAGCACTTTTGGAGGCTGAGGTGGGTATATCACAAGGTGAGGAGATCAAGACCATCCTGGCTAACACGGTGAAACCCTGTCTCTACTAAAAATACAAAAAATTAGCTGGGTGTGGTGGCGGGCGCCTGTAGTCCCAGCTACTCTGGAGGCTGAGGCAGGAGAATCGCTTGAACCCAGGAGGCGGAGGTTGCAGTGAGCCGAGATCGCGCCACTACACTCAGCCTGGGCGACAGAGTGAGACTCCGTCTCAAAAAAAAAAAAAAATTACTTAGACATGGTGGCACATTCGTTTAATCCCAGCTACTTGGGAGGCTGAGGCAGGAGAATCGCTTGAACCCAGGAGGTGGAGGTTACAGTGAGCCGAGATCGCACCACTGTGCTCCACACTCCAGCCTGGGCAACAGAGTGAAACTCTGTCTCAAGAAAAAAAAAAAAAAAAAAAAAAAAAAAAAGGAATAAAGGGGATGGGTTTGACATCTGACAAAATGCTGCTGCTGCCATCCGCTTCTGCAAAACCTCAAGAATGAAATGTCCTTCCCATGGCCCACACGAGGCCCTGCACGAGCTGCTTCATCCCCTTCCAAACCTCCTCTCCTCTCTCTTCCCCTCCTCACTCTGCTCAGACACACGGGCCTCCTCACTGTTCCTCCAACACGCCACGTGTGGTCTGCCCCAGGGCCTTTGCACAGGCCATGCCTCTGCCTGGAACACCTGCCCCCAGATTCTCCTATGGCTGACTTCTCACACTTGGGTCTTAGTGCATGCATCACCTCCTCAGGGAGGGCCCCCTGCCCACCCCCAGTGAATCTAGCCCCATTCAGGACAGTCATCTTTATTATGCACTGATTGTATACTAAGCCCAGAGACTTCAACTGTGGTTTCTTTTTCATCCTCCCAATAAATCCATCCATCCATCCGTTCACTCAGACATGAAATTCTGGACCCTCCAATTCAGGATCTGGGCCACCCAGTGCCTAGCTTTTTTTTTTTTTTTTTTTTTTTTTTTTGCGACAGAGTTTCATTCTGTCACCCAGGCTGGAGTGCAGTGGTGCAATCTCAGCTCACTGCAACCTCCGCCTCCCGGGTTCAAGCGATTCTCCTGCCTCAGCCTCCCGAGTAGCTGGGATTACAGGTGTGCCACCACGCCCGGCTAATTTTTGTATTTGTAGTAGAGACGGGGTTTCACCATATTGGCCAGACTGGTCTTGAACACCTGACCTCAGGTGATCTGCCCTCCTCAGCCTCCCAAAGTGCTGGGATTACTACAGGCATGAGCCACTGCACCCGTCAGCCTAGCTTCTTTGTGTTCATTCATTCATTCATTCATCATTCAGCAAATGTCTATGAGCGCCTACTCTGAGCCACTGAACCAGCTGGGCTGGCCCTGGGGGAGAATCGACTTCCCCTGCAAATTCACTCTCATCAGATCCCCAGGCTGGTCTAGGATTTGTTTAGATGCCCTCACGTTGGGGAACTCATTCCTTACTAAGAATAACCACCACCAATACCAAACAGTCTCAAGTACCACCAATAGTGCTGAGTTCTCAGGGTGACTACAGCATCTGCTCCCAAGCCCAGCCCAGCCCATATGGTGTGTGCTGTGTCAAAGAACCTGGGTTCAAATCCCATGTCCTTTTCTAACCCTTGGACAAGCCCCTACCCATTTTGTGCCTCGGTTTCCCTAGCTGTAAAATGGAGATAGTAGTGCCTCTCTTGTGGGCTCAGCACCAGGCCTGTTACACAGCTGGTGCTTAATAAATGTGTCCTGTTACTTAAGGTCTGATATGTGTAGCTCCTGTCGTCGCCGTCCATGGGGGTGAGTGGGGTGGGGAAGGGGTGGTTTGAGTTTCTGCACATCAGGACACGAGGCGCGGTCCATGCAAATGAAATGCAAATCCCATGCAAATAAATCTCTGGGTGGTGCAGGGCAGCGTGCAAGGCTGGAGGTACAAGGTGCACGCATTTGGGGGGCGCCTGGGAACCCCATGAGCCGAGCCCAGGCCCGGAGGTGCTGACCCGCATCCAGCCCGGCTTTCAGTGCTCGGTGTAAATGTTTACACCTGGCCGGCCGCCAGGCTCCACGCCGCCCCACACTAGGCAGCCGGGAGGGGGAATGTAAACTCGGGCTGGGGGCCGCGGGACGCTCGGGAGGAGCCCAGACGGCGTCGAGTGTGGTGGGCGTGTACACGTGAGTTATTAAACACCGACTGTATGCAGTGAGGAGGATGCCACCAGGCACTCACAGCACCAAGTAACTGGTGCCCGAATGGGTAAAGCTCAGGGCATTCCTGGGGGCCCACTAGCGCCCCTGCACCAGCCAGAGGTTGAAGTGAATAGGGTAGGCAGCCATGGAAGGCTCCCTGGAGGAGGCACCCTCCAAGCTGAGATTGCAAGGGGAGTGAGAGCTAGGTACAGTGACTCACGCCTGTAATCCCAGCTCTTTGGGAGGCCAAAGTGGAAGGATAGCTTGAGCCCAGGAGTTTGAGACCAGCCTGGGCAACGTTGTGAGATTCCCCTCTCTATTAAACAAAAACAAAAACAAAAAAAATTAAAAATTAGCCAGGCACGGTGGCTCATGCCTGTAGTCAGTCCTAGCTACTTGGGAGGCTGAGGTGGGAGGATCGCTTGAGCCTAGGAGGTGGAGGCTGCAGTGAGCTGTGATCACACCACTGCACTCCAGCCTGGGTGACAGAGCAAGACCCTGTCTCAAAAAAAAAGAAAGAGAGAGAGAGAAAGAAAGAAAGGAAAGAAAGGAAGAGAAAAAGAAAGAGAGAAGAAAGAAAGAAAAAGGAAAGAAAGAAAGAGAAAGAGAGAGAGGAGGCTGGGTGCGGTGGCTCATGCCTGTAATCCCAGCACTTTGGGAGGCCAAGGTGGGCGGATCACTTGAGTTCAGGAGCTTGAGACCAGCATAGCTAACAGGGAGAAACCCTGTCTCTATTAAAAATACAAAAATTAGCCAGTCATGCTGGCAGGTGCCTGTAATCCCAGCTACTCGGGGGGCTGAGGCAGGAGAATCGCTTGAACCCGGGAGGCAGAGGTTGCAGTGAGCTGAGATTGCGCCACTGCACTCCAGCCTGAGGGACAAGAGTGAGACTCCATCTCCAAAAGAAAAAAAGAAAAAGAGAAAGAAAGGGGAGTGGGAGTGGGGAGGGAGGGAAGAAGTGTTCTCCATGCAAGGACCTATCTGTGCAAAAGCCCAGAGCTGGGACTCCATGTCCAGGGCAGCTCTGGTCCATTGCTGCCCACTTCTGGGCCTGCTTATCCATCTGGATGGGAAACAGGCTCAGAGAGGGGCAGAGTCAATGGAGGACACCAGCATGTAGGGAACAGTGTCAGCCCCAGATTCCTGCCTCCAGACTGTCCTAAACACCACCCTCCCCGCGCCTTTGTCCCACACTGCCACCTGCCGGGAATGACCTCTCCTCCTTTCACTCTTCCCCCTGGCTCCTCAGCTGCAGCCGCTCCGGCCTCCTTGCTGTTCCTGGGATACGCCACACTCAGTCTGGCCTCGGGGCCTTTGCACTGGCTGTGTCCCCTGCCTGTGATGCCATTCTCCTCTGCCTGGCCAACTCCTACGTTTATTCAAGTCTGGACCTTGTCATCGGCTCCTCAGGAAGGCACTCCGGGACCCCCAGATGGGGGCGGTTCCCTGTGACTCCTGGCACGGAGGCCAACCCCTTCCTTGTTCAATGGTTCCTTGAGGGACCATTCCCATGTGATTATCGACCATTCGGCAGGCGTTCAAAGTCAAAGGCCCCACACTGAGTCCTGGCCCAGCGCCCTGTGCCCGTTGGCTGCTGGAGGGACAGACGGGGCGTGCGGCTGACCATCCCGTGCCCGCAGGCTGAGGATGCAGCGCTGGAAGGCGGCGGCCTTGGCCTCAGTGCTCTGCAGCTCCGTGCTGTCCATCTGGATGTGTCGAGAGGGCCTGCTTCTCAGCCACCGCCTCGGACCTGCGCTGGTCCCCCTGCACCGCCTGCCTCGAACCCTGGACGCCCGGATTGCCCGCCTGGCCCAGTGTAAGCTCCTCCTCTGTGTGGGGTCAGATACCCCCAACGTAAGGGGTAGAATTTCAGGCAGTGGAGTGGGAGGTGGTGGGGGGGTGTCATAGGTTTTTTAAAGATAGGGCCAGCCAGCCCCCTTGCAGGGAGGCAGGGACAGACATCCTAAAAGATTATTCAGGGCAAGGCATGGTGGCGCCTGCCTATAATCCCAGCACTTTGGGAGGCTGAGACAGGAGGATCTCTTGAGCCCAGGAGTTCATGACCAGCCAGGGCAATGTAGCGAGACCGCCATCTCTACAAAAAACTTCAGAAATTAGCCAGGTGTAGTGGCGCACGCCTGTAGTTCCAGCTACTTGGGAGGCTGAGGTGGGAGGATCACTTGAGCCCAAGAGTTCAAGGCTGCATTGAGCTATGATTGCACCACTATACTCCAGCCTGAGCAACAGAGCAAGATTCTGTCTCAAAACATTATAATAATAAATACATTTTCTAAAAAAAGATGGGGTGGAGGGAGGTTGCAAATTCCCCCAATGGCCTGGTGGAGCTAGGGTGACTTCTGGGAACTGGGGTCTTTCGGCTCAGCTGTCACAAGGAATTAGGCTCTGCCCTGAGGTCCCGTGGGGGCCAGATGGAGATTAGACCTGGGCATTCGCCTGGTTGGCCCCCGCGGCGCAGCAGGGGGGGCGGTGGGAGGAGAGAGAGGCTGGATCTGAGGTCCCAGTGACCTGCCCCAGGGGACAGGGACCAAGGGGAGGCGGGAGATGGAGCAGGAGCTAAAAACCGGAAGAAAGGCCCAGAGATTCGAAGGGGTGAGGAGGGGTGGAGAGAGGAGAGACGGGGCTGGGGGCACAGACACGGGCAAAAGTGCTGCTATAGGGACACAGAAATGCCCACCCTGAGGGCAAGACCCTCGCCCAACTCCCCACCAATCCCTAATGCCTGCCCCACCGCAGGTGCTGTGGGGTGAGGGTGGTGCGTGGGCCCTGACCCCTGTGCCCACGCACATGTCCATGCGTGCGCCTGCGCGGGCATCTGAGGCGTGGATGCCGGCAGGGTGCGTGTGCAGCGCCTTTGGGTGTGGGCCACGAGTACGCCCATGTGCGCGTCTGCGCCCGCCCCTGCCAGCCCACACAATCCTCTTTTCTTGTCCTTACAATGCACAAGGGTGGCCTCCAGCACGAGCTCCACTTCTGTCCTCCCACCACTTCCCTCTCTGCAAGCGGCGTGAAGTCCTTCCTAGGACTCTGGGACAGAGACCCGGGCGGGACCCCCAAAATCCAGTGCTCCAGGACTTGGGGTGCGGGGGGCAAAGCACGAATGGAGGAATTTCAGGCACTGCGGAGGGTCAGGGCCCATGGGCGGGTGCCTGTCTGCCCTACTGCAAAAAGCGAGTGGCCACTGACTCCCCAAGTCCCCATGTTCTAGGCTCCTGGTGGAATTTCAGGCTGGGGACCTTGTGTTCTAGCCCCTGTGCAAGCAGCCAGCCCCGCTGCAGGGAGGCAGGGACAGACATCCTAAAAGATGATTCATTGTTGCCAGGTGCGGTGGCTCACGCCTGTGATCCCAGCACTTTGGGAGGCCGAGGTGGGCGGATCACGAGGTCAGGAGATGGAGACCATTCTGGCTAACACTGTGAAACCCTGTCTCTACTAAAATTACAAAAAAATTAGCCGGGCGTGGTGGCGGGCGCCTGTAGTCCCAGCTACTCGGGAGGCTGAGGCGGGAGAATGGCGTGAACCCGGGAGGCGGAGCTTGCAGTGAGCCGAGATCGCGCCACTGCACTCCAGCCTGGGCGACAGAGCGAGACTCCGTCTCAAAAAAAAAAAAAAGATTATTCATTGTTTATATGGAATTCAGATTTAGCCGGGCACCTGTATTGTATCGGGCAAGCCCACAAATGTCTGCTTCGATGCACCCCTCTGGGGTTGGGTGTGCCCCCTAACCCCCCAGCACAGTCCTGGCCACTCCAGTCCTGCTCCGGGGCTTAAAGAACACGGACTAGGTTGCTCAGTCATCGCCCACCCCCCGCACCGATTTCCCACCCTCTCAGCCCCGGCCAAGACAGAGATCATGGAAGCTTCATGGGACAGACAGGGAAACTGAGGCCTGAGGTTGCAAGTGGCGAAAGTGGCAGAGTCATGCTCTGAGGCTGGGTTTGTCTCGTTTCTGAGACCCCCTGTGGGAACAGACATCTCCTCCCCCACCAAACCCCAGGAGACAGACAGCCCCTCCTTCCCCAGGGCCACCCAGAGGCTCATTCTTTTGACAGCCAGGTGCACCAGCCCGGGGGGCAGGTGGGGACTAAAGATTTCCTCTCCCAACCACAAGCGTGACTGCCACCTGCTCTGGGGCTGGGAGTCCCCTGCCTGCAGGTCCGCCAGCAGCGCTGCCTGTCATTCCAGCGTCTGCAGTTCTCTCCCGGGGCTTCCGAGTTTGGGGGTGGAGCCACCGCTTGGGTAATAAATTTAGGCTGCCAGGCCCTGGGAATCGGTGACTTGGGCACCTCCTGGCGAGTGTGGGAGAAAGCGGCTGGACCTGGGCCAAACTTGGGTGAACGATGAAGGCAGGAAGAATGACCTTTAAGCCCGCCTCTGTCGCTCTCTCTCGGCCACCTGCTAATGATGTGACCTTGGGATGGTCCGTTTTGTCACCTGTCACATGGGGGTGGCCTTGACAGTAGCTGCTGCCACTCCATGGAGTGGGGTCCCCACACAGGCTTCGGATGCAGTAGGCTGCGGTACCTGCTGCTCCTCTGCATTCTGAGAAACCCAAACACCCCGATTCATTTCTTGGATAGGGAAACTGAGGCTCCACTGCACAGCGGGGCAGTGGGGATGGAGGGAGTCTGAAAAGCCCGGGGCCTCAGAGCAGACGTCGGGGCCTGAAGAGGGGGCTCTAGAGACCTATGACAACCTCACTAAAGAGGGATAGGGCATGGGAAGCAGCCCCCCAGTGCTGCCCAGAGAGGATGCACCAGTGTCCTGGGGCAGCCCAGCATAGGGGCGGGGTCCAGATAGATTTGCGATGGAGGACGAGGAGAATGGAGCAGCAATGGGGTGAGAGAGGGGCCCAGAGGAGGTGAGTTAGAGACCCCGGTCAGCTCAGCTCAAGGTGAGACGGGCTGGAAAGCGGCCCAGAAAGGATGGACCAGGTTCTGGGCAGCCAATATAGGCTCAGGGTTCAGAAAGGGGTTTTGGACCAGCGTAGGGGTGTGAGTGTGTACGTGCCCCCCAGTGCCGCCCAGAGAGGGTGCATGAGCAGCTCAGCAAGAGGGTGGGGAAATTTGGGACCTGGGAGTGAGACGAGAAGCCGTCTAGGCCTGGCGTCCCAGCAAGGGTCTTCGTTTGCAGGGGTACAGAGAGGGTAGGGGGCTCCCTCCCACCCCCTGCACCCACTGACCCCCCCTCCTTTCTCTTCCTCCCCTCGCAGACCGTGCACTCCTGCAGGGGGCCCCGGATGCGATGGAGCTGCGCGAGCTGACGCCCTGGGCTGGGCGGCCCCCAGGTCCGCGCCGTCGGGCGGGGCCCCGGCGGCGGCGCGCGCGTGCGCGGTTGGGGGCGCGGCCTTGCGGGCTGCGCGAGCTGGAGGTGCGCGTGAGCGAGCTGGGCCTGGGCTACGCGTCCGACGAGACGGTGCTGTTCCGCTACTGCGCAGGCGCCTGCGAGGCTGCCGCGCGCGTCTACGACCTCGGGCTGCGACGACTGCGCCAGCGGCGGCGCCTGCGGCGGGAGCGGGTGCGCGCGCAGCCCTGCTGCCGCCCGACGGCCTACGAGGACGAGGTGTCCTTCCTGGACGCGCACAGCCGCTACCACACGGTGCACGAGCTGTCGGCGCGCGAGTGCGCCTGCGTGTGACCCTACCTCACTCGGCCGGCGCGGCGGCCACTCCCCCCGCCTCGACGGCACCACTGGCCGGCCCCGCGAAAGACTGCGCGTGCGTAGAGCACGCCGGCGCGGCCCCGGGACTCTCGCGATAACTGTACTGAGATAAAGTGTGGCAACTCGAGCTGGCTGGTGATTCATCCTCGGCGAGGGGCTCGCGTGTGGGCCACGTCGCCGTCTCCACCGGGAAAGCGGGGACCAGTGGGGGGGGCCCAGCTGCAGGGTAGTGGGAGGATGCTGTTTGCTTTGGGGGAAGGGTAGATGCAAAGTGGGTCCAGTTTATGGCGGACAAAAAGGAAAATGGGGTGAATGGGGCTATGTTGGCAGGGACCGTCCTTCCTGCCTCCCTACGGGTCCCTCTGCCCGTCCCGAGCGTGTTCCGGTCCGCACCTCTTCGCTGTGTGGGCTTCTGGGGAGGGGAAAGGGAAGCTACGCTCGGATGAAGAGACCGAGGTCTAGGTGGACCCCGTTTCCCCAGCTTGTTCCCTTCCGCACCTCTCCGCGGTGCGGGCTTCTGGGATGAAGACACTGAAGTCTAGGTGGGCCCAGTTTCCCCAGATTGTCGCTGACTGCACCTCTCGCTTCTGGGATGAAGAGACTGAGGTCTAGGTGGACCCAGTTTCCCCAGCTTGTTCCTGACTGCACCTCTCTGCTGTGTGGACTTCTGGAGAGGGGGAAAGGGGGAGACACTGTGGGTGAGGAGCCTGAGATCCAGGTGGAATCAGTTCCCCAGCGTCTCCCTGTCCGCACTGATCCCGCTATGTGGGTTTCTAGGAAGGGGGAGCCACTCTGGGGGTGAGGAGAGTGAGGTCCAGGTGGACCTGGGCCTCCCTTATCCGACGGCCTCCTCGGGCCGGTCTTCGCCCACCAGGGTGAGCTGAAAGCCACTATCTCCTTCCACCAGCTACTAAAAATACCCGCACGCTGCCCACCTCCCGGCGGGGAGAGGCCTGGGGCGGGCGCCAGCCCCATCCAGCCCGAAGCCGGCGCCTGCTGGTGTAGAGCTGGGTCCCCAGAGACCTGGGTCCTCGGCCCATAAAAGCCCTGGCCGGGCCTCCACGGGGGGGATTTACGACGAGCCCCTGCGGAGTATGGAAAAAGCCCGGCTCGGTGTTTAGATTTCCCCACGGTGTCACCTTGATGCTTGGCAGGCCTCGGGTGTTGGGTTGCCAGAGCGCGGGAGGGGTCGGCGGGTCCCACGGTCGGTCTGAGGGGCGGGGAAGGGGCGGGCACTGCGAGCCCAGAGCAGGCACCGGCGAGGCGAGACTCCTCCCCTCCTGCCCCTCAGACTGGGGGTTCCCAAGGCTACAACCCTTCTCCTTAGCTGGGCCCCCTCCCCTCCTTCCCACACGTCTGCCCTTAGGACCACCCTCTAACCACAGTGTCCCTTCCCAGGCTCAGCCCGCATCCCCCCACCCCCCGCAAAGCTGGAGGGCGCAGATCGGAAACCGCCCCCAGGGAGAATCACCCAGCCATGAAGGAACATCCCTAGCCCCTGGCTCCCGGGGACCCACAGCTACAGCTGGAGACACTCAAGGCGGCTAATCAGCAGGACTTCCAGGGAGCCCTGAGAGCAGGGCTTGGCGGCCAGGCGGGTGATCTGCTTGGGAAGCAGTTTCAGGGCTGCCGCTGGCTGGGGTCCCCGCCTACCCCCGCAGTCTTCTGACTCTGAGGTTTAAGGTGGTGGATTCCTCCACCCTTTGGGCCGACTCAGCCCGGCCTCCGCAGAGAGGCCGGAGTTCCCAGACGCTGCGGAAGCCCAAGTGACGCTTACTCCGAGCCTCAGTTTCCCCATCCTAGATGGCCTGGCCTCAGAGAGGAGTGTTGTTCAGCCCAGGACACACAGCGAGAAAGCTGACCATCAGGGGTCTGCCGCCCCCCCGAAGCTCCCCTGCCACAGTGTGCATGTGTGTGTGAGTGTTGCCCACCCTCCGGGGCCTCCCGGACCTCGGCCTTCCTGTCTCCCACCCAGATCCAGCGTCCCAACCACAGGGCGCGGGCCCAGCCCACCAGGGAATTGGAACATAAATAAACCGAGAAGCCCCTGCAGTTCCCTGGGGCTGCGGTTGTCATCAGCGCATCGGCACACCGGATGAGGGTCTCTCTCACACACACACACAAGCACACTCACAAGACACAGAGATCACCACCCATAAGGGCTCAGCAGGCAGGACCCATGATCCTACACAGTCACCTTCCACACAGAATTGCACACTCAGAAAGGGACACTCCCCCCTTTTTTTTTTTTTCTTGAGACAGTCTCACTGTGTCGCCCAGGTTGGAGTGCAGTGGTGCGATCATGGCTCCCTACAACATCTGCCTCCTGGGTTCAAGCGATTCTTGTGTCTCAGCCACCTGGGTAGCTGGGATTACAGGCACCGGCCACCGCACCCAGCTAATTTTTTTTTTTTTTTTTTTTTTTTTTGAGACAGAGTCTCGCTCTGTCGCCAGGCTGGAGTGCAGTGGCGCGATCTCGGCTTACTGCAACCTCCGACTCTCTGGTTCAAGCGATTCTCCTGCCTCAGCTTCCCAAGTAGCTGGGATTACAGGCATGCACCACCACGCCCGGCAAATTTTTGTATTTTTAGTAGAGACGGGTTTCACCATATTGGCCAGGATGGTCTCGATCTCCTGACCTTGTGATCCGCCTGCCTCGGCCTCCCAAAGTGCTGGGATTACAGGTGTGAGCCACCGCACCCGGCCTCATCATCGGTTTTCTTTGCAGTATTACATCTGGAAACGGTGCGGTGATTATCTCTCTGCACCCCTCACAGGCGGCTAACAACATCACAAACAAATCAGCCAGAACCATCACTCATGGGTGGGGCCCCATGGGTGCCAGTTCCCAGGGCCCAGTGCCCTCCAGGGTGAGGTCCCCAGCAGGTGAGGCTCCTAGCAGGTGAGATTCAGTGTGGAAGGTCTCTGGGAGCAGGTCCCAGCAGGTAAAGTCCCCAACAGCCGAGGTCCCCAGTAGGCAAAGTCCCCAGGAGACATCCCCAGCAGGCCAGGCTTCCGCAGGGGACGCTCCTGGAAGCCAGCATGTGAAATCCCAGGTAAGGGACATACCTGGCCACCGAAGACTCCAGCAGGTGAGGCCCCAGGAAAGTGAGGACCCAGGTAGGTGAATCCCCAGGCAGGTGAAGCTGCAACAGGTGACCGTCCCAGGCAGGTGAGTCCTCAGGCAGGTGAAGCTTCAGGCAAACGAGTCCTTAGGTAGATGAGGCCCCCACTCAGGTGAGGCCCCAGGAAAATGAGGTTCCTGGCAGCCCAGGCCCCACACCAGCCTCTCAGGTGAACCAAGCCGCTATGCCGCGTGTCTGGTACCTGGATTCCTCCTGCAGTTTCCAGCAGGCCTTGCAGAAAGCGAGTGCCCAGCTGAAGGAGCGAGGCCGCAGCGTCTCCCGCCAGCGAAAGTAGCTCAGGTAGCGGGCGTGGTCCTTGTCCAGCTCCTGCAGGTACCGGGCCAGGTCCTTGGGGCTCTGGAAGTCGTCCACGTGGATGAAGGCGTCGGGTGGCAGGAACCTCTCGTAGTTGCTTCTGCTGGGGCCCAGCACCACGGGCACGGCCCAGGCCTCCAGGGCGTTCCTCCACAGCTTCTCGGTGATGTAGTCGGGGTGCAAGGAGTTCTCGAAGGCCAGATAGAACTTGTACCGGGACAGCGTCTCCATCATGGTTCCCTGGGGCAGGGGCTTGTGGGAGCGTCCGTACACGTCCACCTTGAGATGGGCCTGCAGGCTCTGGTAGTAGCGCACCCTGGCGGAGTTTGGCCCCCAGTTGGACACTGCCCAGGCCACCAGCTCGGTCTTGGCCGAGAGGTTGAGCGGTGGGTGGGCAGGCTGGCCGGACCACGGCTCCAGCCAGCCGTAGGGCGTGAAGATGTCGGAGTCGCTGCGGTAGGACATGGTGAGATTGAAGTATCCGTCCATGGCTTTCAGCTGCCAGCAGTGGCTTGGGGACTCCATGCTGAACCAGATCCATCGCTGCCCCTGCCGCCTCGGGGAGCGTGGGAGCTGGGCACTGGGGTTGTACATGACCTCTCGGTGGTGCACGATGACCGCGTCTGCCTGTGGATACACCTTGCGGTCGGCAGTGATGTTGCAGTCAGCCGTGCCAGGCACCATCTCTGAGCAGCGGGGCAGAGCTATGGGTTTGTTAAAAGGCCACGTCCACAGCAGGATCAGGGGGATGGAGTGGGCGGGGGTCCCTGTGCTGTCTGGGAAGCGGGACCCATTAGGGTACACAGTGGGATCGTCTTGAGACACACGCAGATAGGAGAAGAAACACACAGCCATCAGCAGCTGAAACAGCAGCGTGGTCAGACAGCAGCGCCACGACCACTGTGGCTTGGCCGGGCCCAGGGGATCCATGGGTCAGAGTATCTGGGAAGTGGGGAGAGAGGAGTGAGGGTCATTGATGACAATCTCCTGCTTACCAAAGCTCCAGGCCATGAGTCCTGAGAAGAGCTGTTATTATTCCTGTTACACAGATGAGAAAACTGAGACCAAGTGACTCACAGCAAAAGTCAGCACAGCTGGTGTTTGAACAAAGGGAGCTTGGCCCAGAGTCCACTTCCTCCCACCCATTAGACAACAGGCCCTTTCTACATGGGCAAGGGTCCCTGGGGAAGTTGGGAGAGGCCCCAAGGGCCCTCAGGTCCCACCTTGATCCTGTCCTTTTCTGGTGTGTCCCCAGACTCTTCCTCAATCTGGAGAGAAGACACAGCCGATCATAAATGCCCCCCAGTGCCCCTGAGTCGAGGCTTGAACCCATGACTCTGCTGGGGAAGGGCACAATGGGATTGGGTTTTGGAGGTAATATAAGAGCTCACCAGATAGAGTAGACCTGTGGGAAAGGGTGCTCCTGGCAGAGGAAACCACCATTGCCAAGGCCTAGTGGGGAGAGACCCCTGAGCAGTTTGCAGAGAAAGCAAAGGAAGTACTCAGGGCTGCCAGTGTCGAGTTCATATTAGATTGGTGCAAAAGTAATTGCTGTTTTTACCATTGAAAGTAATGGCAGCCATGCGCGGTGGTTCATGCCTGTAATCCCAGCACTTTGGGAAGCCGAGGCGGGCAGATCACGAGGTCAAGAGACCAGCCTGGCCAACGTGGTGAAACCCCATCTCTACTAAAAATGCAAAAATTGGCCGGGCGTGGTGGCGTGTGCCTGTAATCCCAGCTACTTGAGAGGCTGAGGCAGGAGAATTGCTTGAACCTGGGGGGTGGAGGTTGCAGTGAGCCGAGATCGCACCGCTGCACTCCAGCCTGGGCAATGGAATTCTATCTTGGAAAAAAAAAAAAAAAGAAATATTAACTTGGGTCAAGCACGGTGGCTCATGCCTATAATCCTAGCACTTTGGGAGGCTGAAGGTGGATCACTTGAGGTCAGGAGTTCGAGGCCAGCCTGGCCAACGTGGTGAAACCCATCTTTACTAAAAATACAAAAATTAGCTGGGCGTGGTGGCGGGCACCTGTAATCCCAGCTACTTAGGAGCCTGAGGCAGGAGAATCACTTGAACCCGGGAGGAGGAGGTTGCAGGGAGCCAAGATGGCACCACTGCACTCCAGCCTGGGACACAGAATGAGATTCCATCTCCAAAAAAAAAAAAAAGAAAGAAATATTCACTCGGGGTTTCATTCAATAAGCACTCAGGGCCGGGTGCATTGGCTCACGACTGTATTCCCAGCACTTTGGAAGGCAGAGGAGGGCGGATAACTTGAGGTCAAGAGTTTGAGACCAGCGTGGTCAACATGGAGAACCCACATGTCTACTAAAAATACAACAATTAGCTGGGCATGGTGGCACATGCCTGTAGTCCCAGCTACTCGGGAGACAGAGACATGAGCATCACTTGAACCTGGGAAGCAGAGGTTGCATTGAGCCAAGATCACACCATTGCACTCCAACCTGGGTGACAGAGCGAGACCCTGTCTCAAAAAGAAAAAAAAAAGAGAGAATAGAAATATTCACTCAGGGTTTCTTTCAACAAGCACCCAAAGGTTACTCCTCTGGTAGGCTGACGCTGGGGGAGAGGTGGGGACAGATAGGAGGGAGAATAGGCAGGCGTGGGGACCGATAGGAGGGAGAATAGGCAGGCGTGGGGACTCACATGCTGACCAGGAGGGCAGTGGGGCCACCCAGAGACATGGGGAACCCCCAGGAGAGAAGCAGGCTTTGGTGGAACTTGCTGAGCCTGGCCCGTCCTGGAGATACCCAGCAGCGGACTGGCCCCAGGGGGCTGGAGGGAGACAGGGGAGGGCCCAAATCCCCCGGAGTGTGGGCACTGGGTCTGGGAAGCCAGAGAAAGAGAAACCTTCAGGCCGGGTGTGGTGGCTCACGCCTGTAATCCCAGCACTTTGGGAGGTCGAGGCGGGTGGACCGCTTGAGGTCACGAATTCGAGACCAGCCTGACCAATATGGTGAAACCCCGTCTCTACTAAAAATACAAAAATTAGCTGGGCGTGGTGGCATGCGCGCCTGTATTCTCAGCTACTTGGGAAGCTGAGCCATGAGAATCGCTTGAACCCGGGAGGCGGAAGTAGTGAGCCACCTGGATCACACCACTGCACTCCAGCAGCCTGGGCAGCAGAGTGAGACGCTGTCTCAACAGCAACAACAAAAAAAACAAAAACAGGAGGAAACCTTCAAAGAGATGGTGCTGTGGAGGAGGTGGCGGGAAACCGGGGCCACCTTTTTTCATGTATGGGGTGAGACTTGGAGGCTGGGAGGGACCCTTGGACCATGATAAGGACCTGCTGCCGCTCCCTGGACACTGCTGCGTCTGACACCTTCTGGGAGATGCTAGAGGGACTCGGGGATCTGGAGACAGGCCTTTCTTCTAAAAGAGGATGCACTGGATCCCGTCTGGATGCCCGTGACACTGCAAAAAGCCAGAGACATAAGGGGACTGTGTCCGTGAACCTCAACAGAGCCTGGCCACTGAGCCTCAGCTTTGAAGGTCTGAAGGTCTGGCCAATCTCACTCCATTCCTAGGTCCTTCCCGCCCCCATAGGGTGTCACAGAGTCCTCCAGACCCCAGATCCTGACCTCGGGAACAGAAATCCAAGACCCCAGCCCTGCCCCTCTCTGTTCCTTGCAGCCCTACAGCTGTCCATTCTACAGATGAGGAAACTAAGGCTCAGAGAGACACCTATGTGTCCTGCTGAGTACACACAACTAGAGCCATTTTGATCCAGACCCCAAAGTCTCCCCACCTTAATGTCACCCCAAACTCCTCTAGGACTTTGCAGATGGAGCTGACATCTCCCGAATAACCTTGTCCCACAGAACTTTCTGTGATGATGGGCCGGGCTTGGTGGCTCATGCTTGTAATCCCAGTACTTTGGGAGGCTGAGGTGGGCGGATTACCTGAGGTCAGGAGTTCAAGACCAGCCTGGCCAACATGTCTCTACTAAAAATACAAAAATTAGTCAGGTATGGTGGCAGGAGCCTGTAATGCCAGCTACTCGGGAGGCTGAGACAAGAGAATTGCTTGAACCTGGGAGACAGAGGTTGCAGTGAGCCGAGATTGCACCATTGCCCTCCAGCCTGGGTGATGAGAGTGAAACTCCGTCTCAACAAAAACAAAGCAACTTTCTGTGATGACGGAAATGTTCTCTACATGCAGCATCAAAATTGGTGGCCAATGAGCCCTTCAAAAGTGACCATGCTGTCGGAAAAACAGAATAGTTAATGCTAATTTTTTTTTTCATACGGAGTCTTGCTCTGTCGCCCAGACTGGAGTGCAGTGGTGTGATCTTGGCTCACTGCAACTTCTACATCCTGAGATCAAGTGATTGTCGTGCCTCAGCCTCTCGAGTAGCTGGGACTACAAGTGTGCACCATCATGCCTGGCTAGTTTTTGTATTTTTAGTAGAGACGGAGTTTCACTATGTTGGCCAGGCTGGTCTTGAACTCCTAACCTCAGGTGATCCACCTGCCTCGCCTCAGCCTCCCAAAGTGCTGAGATTACATCTGTGAGCCACTGTGCCCGGCCTGGCTAATGTTAATTTTCTTTTCTTTTCTTTTCTTTTTTGAGACGGAGTTTCACTTTTGTTGCCCAGGCTGGAGTGCAATGGCACGATCTCAGCTCACTGCAACCTCCGCCTCCCGGGTTCAAGCGATTCTCTTGCCTCAGCCTCCTGAGTAGCTGGGATTAGAGGCACGTGCCATCATGCCTGGCTAATTTTTGTATTTTTAGTAGAGATGGGGTTTCACCATGTTGTCCAGGCTGGTCTTGAACTCCTGACCTCAGGTGATCTGCCTGCCTCGGCCTCCCAAAGTGCTAGGATTACAGGCGTGCACCACGGCGCCCGGCCCAATGCTAATTTAAACTTAAAAATAGATACTGGCCGGGAGTAATGGCTTACACCTATAATCCCAATGCTTTGGGCGGCTGAGGTGGGAGGATCGCTTGATTCCAAGAGTTTGAGACCAGCCTGAGCAGCATAGCAAGACCTCAAGACCTCATCTCTACAACGAATTTTATTATTTATTATTATTATTTTGCCAGACATGGTGGCCTGTAGTCTCAGCTACTCAGGATGCTGAGGCAGGAGGATTTCTGGAGCCCAGAAGTTCAAGGCTGCTGTAAGCCATGGTTGCACTATTGCACTTCTGCTTAGACAATAGAATGAGACCGTGTCTCAAAATAAATAAATAAATAAATAACAACAAAAAATAAAAACACAGAAAACAAAAACCACAAAAAAGCACACAAGAAACAGATACTCAAAAAGAAAAAAAGCAATGACTGGTATTACAGGCAGTAATTGGGAAACTTTTGAGTACCTTCAGAACATCTTGGATGGGCAAATCTACTTCTTCACCTGTACTTTTTATGTTTGTTTGTTTGTTCTGAGATGGAATCTTGCTCTGTCACCCAGGCTGGAGCACAGTGGCGTGATCTTGGCTCACTGCAACCTCTAGCTCCCGGGCTAAAGTGATTTTCCTGCCTCAGCCTCCCAAGTAGCTGGGATTACAGGCGCCCCCCACCACACCCAGGTAATTTCTGTCTTTTTAGTAGAGATGGAGTTTCACCATGTTGGCCAGGCTGGTCTCGAACTCCTGACCTCAATTGACCCGCCCACCTCAGCCTCCCAAAGTGCTGGGGTTACAGGCATGAGTCACCACGCCCAGCCTCATTTTATGGAAACTAAATACAGATTGAGTAGTTATGACAGACATTGAATGTCTGAATTGTCTTCTGAGGGTAAAATGCACACTAGATTGCCAAGATTTAGGATGAAAAACAGAATGTCAGATATCTCAATAAAACTTTTTAAAGGCCAGGCACGGTGGCTCATGCCTGTAGTCCCAGCACTTTGAGAGGTGGAGGCGGGCGAATCACCTGAGGTCAGGAGTTAGAGACTGTCCTGACCAACATGGTGAAACCCCGTCTCTACTAAAAATACAAAAAATTAGCCAGGCGCGGTGGCGGGCACCTGTAGTCCCAGCTACTCGGGAGGCTGAGGCAGGAAAATGGTGTGAACCCGGGAGGCGGAGCTTGCAGTGAGCCAAGGTCGCGCCACTGCACTCCAGCCTGGGCAACAGAGCGAGACTCTGTCTCAAAAAAATAAAATAAAATAAAATAAAATAAATAAACTGAGTTGGTCTAAACCTTATGGTGCATAGCGGAGCTCCAGGCATGGTGACCTAGGTGTGATGAGAAGGGATTGAGAGCACAAGCGCATACCAAAGTTCTGGAAAAAGACTCAAGAGACAGCCCTCGAGGGACACTCAGAGCCCGGACTGGGAGGGAGGTTGAATTTTAACCAAGTATTCCTTTGTGCTGTCGGGCTCTTGGGCTGCCAGTGAAAGGTTAATGTTTAGAGATACATTTAATATTAATATATTATCATGTGGCCCCTGGGTTTATGGCGACCTCTTCCTAGGAGACAGTGAAGTCTTTGCCGGTGACCTTCAGGAGGGGAGATTGGGGGAAACGGGGAACGGGAGTCCAGGAGAGAGATCTCACCCAAGGTACTTTCCCTGGAAAATGATCGATCCACGCCACAAAGATCAGGATGCAAAAAAACAAAGCCAGAAAGCAAACCGCATTCTAAGCCCTCTTTTACCACCGGGAGTGGCAGAGGCAGAGAAAATCCGGGGCCAGGAAGGATGAAGGGGTGTAGGCTGCTGATGGGGTCGGGGGGCACGGGATTCTACCGCAGAGCTCTGCAAGAGAGACAGACAGACACCCACTTCCTCCTGGTTTGGCAAATCAGCCAGACCTCCCATATCCTCAGCCCACCTCGGTGCATCCAGAAAGACCCCTGCCTGCGACTAGGGGCTGCTGGCCAAATGCCAGGCCACTGCACAGCCTGCAGACCCTCCCCCAGGGATCTTGTGCCAGCCCACCCGCACTCTGAATTACAGCAGACAGGACTGAGGCTGAGGGGAGGAGGCTCGGAGCCAGGAGGCCTTTCCCTGGACCCATGCGATCCGGGTTGGGGGTGAAAGTGGGACAAGAGGCCTTACCTGGGGGGGCCAGTGTGCAGAGGGCCCTAGAGCTGAGAGGCCGCGGACGGAGTAACAGCTGGATTCTGAGGACGTGGAAGAGGCCACACCACGCAGCAGAAGGAAGGAGGAAGTGTACCCGGAGCTGAAACCAGGCCCTTTCCAACCACCACACCTGTCATCAGGTGACCCAGGGCATCCTGTCCTGGAGCCCGGACATCCTTTGAAAACAAATCGTGGGGCTCCCCTAATCCCCGTTGCAGAACCAAACAGGGTGAAGGGATTTGGAGACTCAGGTCATGCATGACCTTGCCCCACCTGTGGCTTCAATGCGATGTGGCTTTGAGTACAAAGTGAAAAGGCTGACCTGAACCACCGGTTCCCAAAGCGGGTTCCACAGGGACACCAGGGGTTCCTTGGGAGGTGGGAATGAGGAAGTGAGCAGAATTTCTACCTTTCCGCTTTCCTTCCCACCAGATCCCACCTTCTCACTCAGTTGGCCCATCACCAAATATTTCCTGAGCACTAAGTGCCAGGCCAAGGGATCTTGCAGGAAACCGGTGGGCAAGTCAGGCAACTCATGAACCTTGGAAGGGAACTTTCTTCAATTAAAATTGCAGCCTTTTGAATAAAAAAGGGATGGAAGGGCATTCCAGTTACAAGGAACAACCTTCGCAAAGGCCCTGAGGCAGCAGAAATGCAGGCATGTTGAGGAACTGCAGGAGGAGTCTCAGCAGGCTGGGTCTTCACCACTGGAGAGGAGGCAGAGCTGTTGCAGAGGCTGGGCCACGGTCAGCCATAGGGTGTTCAGCACCAAGGCAATAGGGAGCCATGTGAGGCTTCAAGCAGAGGGGTTACCATGTCGATACATGTTTTCAGATGCTCTCTTCTGGTAGGCTGGGCACAGGTCCCATATTGGTGGCAGAAGCTTCCTCCGGTGGCCTCAACAAGCCCCTCTGTGTGCCTCAAAGCCACTTCCTTTCCCCACCCACTCCTGCAGGGCAGTGCAAAGCAGAAGTCCAGGGAGCTATGCAAACTTCCTGGAATGGAGAGAAATGATCTGGAATACTGGTTTTGAGGGAGGATGACCTTAAACTCTCTCACTCCCAAGCTGGGTGCAAAGGTGACCGAGCTCAAAGCCCAGCCTCCAAGTATCACGACTGCCCTGTTCTAGAAATCATTTCTGGGAGGCTGCATCATGCTGCCTGAGTTCTACTATCTCAGTGCCCAGCCACGCCCAGACCAGTGAGGTTCTGGGAGGTAGGGATGGGCCAGGGGGTTGGGGTCTCCCAGAGCTCCAGAAGTGGCAACCTAATTCCACTCATGTCTCATTCCTTGACTGGTGAGGTTGACTGTAACTTATTAAAAAAATGACTTCTGGGGGCCGGGCGTGGTGGCTCACGCCTGTAATCCCAACACTTTGGGAGGCCGAGGTGGGCAGATCACGAGATCAGAAGATCAAGACCATCCATCCTGACTAACATGGTGAAACCCTGTCTCTACTAAAAATACAAAAAAATTAGCCAGGCGTGGTAGTGGGTGCCTGTAGTCCCAGCTACTTGGGAGGCTGAGGCAGGAGAATGGTGTGAACCCGGGAGGCGGAGCTTGCAGTGAGCCTAGATTGAGCCACTGCACTCCAGCCTGGGCGACAGTGCAAGACTCTGTCTCAAAAAAAAAAAAAAAAAAAAAAAAGACTTCTGAGGCCATGCACAGTGACTCACACCTGTAATCCCAACAGTTTGGGAAGGAGAGGCAGGAAGATCGCTTGAGCCCAGGAGTCTGAGACCAGCCTAGGGAAAACAGAGATACCCCTATCTCTCTCTTTTTTTTGAGATGGAATCTTGCTCTGTCACTCGGGCTGGAGTGCAGTGGCACAGTCTCAGTTTACTGTAACCTATGCCTCCCGGGCTCAAGCGATTCTCATGCCCCAGCCTCCCGAGTAGCTGGGACTACAGGCGCGTGACACGGCACTGGGTAACTTTCGTATTTTTTTAATAGAGCTGGTTTTCGCCATGTTAGCCAGGCTGATCTTGACCTCCTGACTTCAGGTGATCTGTCTGCCTCAGCCTCCTAAAGTACTGGGATTAGAGGCCAGGCATGAGCCACTCCGCCCAGCTGGGTTTTTTTTCTTTTTTTTTTTTGAGACAGAGTCTCGCTCTGTGGCCCAGGCTGGAGTGCAGTGGCACGATCTCGGCTCATGGCAAGCTCTGCCTCCTGGGTTCACGCCATTCTCCTGCCCCAAGTAGCTGGGACTACAGGCGTCCGCCATCACGCCCAGCTAATTTTTTTTTTTTTTTTTGTATTTTTAGTAGAGACATGTTAGCCAGGATGGTCTCGATCTCCTGACCTTGTGATCCGCCCGCCTCGGCCTCCCAAAGTGCTGGGATTACAGGCGTGAGCCACCACGCCCCGCCCCCAGCTGGGTTGTTTCTTAAGGATTCAAAATCCAAAGGTAGGTCTCTAGTGAGGGACAGTAGGGCTCTAGTCATTCCATCGATGTGATCGCTGGGCAAAGGGAGGGTGGAGGACCTTGGGCTGACCTCAGGGATGGTGCCAGAGAGAACGTGTGCTCATCCTGAAACTGCTGTGTGACTTGAGAGGTTTCCTGGTCCTCTCTGAGCAGGGCTCACCATACCAGTGCCAGGTGGGACCTCCCTGCCAAGGAGCTGAGCCCAGAGCCCAGAGTAGGGTATCATGAGGACCTCTTCCCTCAGGCTCAGGGCAAGCTAGGACCTGCTTGAGGCTTGCAGGGGCAGTTAGGCCATCTGTGCACCTCGTTGGGGTCTTGGCCCTCATTGGACCCTCCAGTGCCTTCCCTGGCCAGGGCTGGGTGGGAGATGGAGCTGCCAGCCTGCTGGAAATTTTTCTCCCCCTGGGGCCCAGGGCTGGGAGCCAAGGGCAGCTGGTGCCCAGGAGGAGGGAGAAGGCCCCACGGGCTGGGCGTGCCATGAACCACATGTGAGATCCGGGGCATACAGGGAGGCAATGGGGGTTTGAGGGCAGTGCTGGGGTTCCAGAGGGGGCAGGCCAGAGCCCCCCAACATCGGCCAGGTGGCTGGGCCTCTGCCCTCGTGGGACCCAGGGAGGGTTTCCATGTCCCTCTAAGCCTCAGAGGAAATTCCAGAGGCAGAGAAAGAGAAGTTGGGAAAGGGAGCTCTTCACTCTGACATCAGCTGAGGTAGAGGCGGAGACCACAGGGGCTCCAGGGGCGTCAGAGGACAGAGCAGCCTGTCCCCACACCTCTTACCCCCTGGGGACTGGGCCTGCCCCAGCCTGTTAGGAAGCCCTGGCCTGGCCTGCCGAGGGCCCCGTCCCCCTCCCAGGACCCGTGGCTTGCAGCCAGGTGGTGGGGAGAGGGGCCCAGGTGTGTGGTGTGGGTGGCAGGTGAGTGATGGGCCCAGCAAGGCTGGCTCAGGCCCGGGGTCACCAGAGGGTTTGGTAGAGACTCTTCAGGCCCCCCACACCCTCCCCACCCTATGCCCCTCCACCCTCCCACCTGGGCCTCAGGGAGGCATCACAGGCACCTCTGCACCTCCACTGTACAGATGGGGAAACTGAGGCTCAGAGAGCACCTGGGATTCACCACCACCACCCACGTCTTGGTCTCCCCTGGCAATTTTATTTTACTTTATTTTATTTTATATATATATATTTTTTTTGAGACGGAGTCTTGCTCTGTCACCCAGGCTAGAATGCAGTGGTGCAATCTTGGCTCACTGCAACCTCCACCTCCTGGGTTCAAGTGATTCTCGTACCTCAGCCTCCCAAGTAGCTGGGATTACAGGCGCATGTCACCACGCCAGGCTAATTTTTGTATTTTTAGTAGAGACGGGGTTTCACCATGTTGGCCAGGCTGGTCTCCAACTCCTGACCTCAGGTGATCTGCCCGCCTCCACCTCCTAAAGTGCTGAGATTACAGGCGTGACCCATTGCACCTGGCCTATTATTATTGTTATTTTTGAGATGGAGTCTCACTGTGTCGCCCAAACCGGAGTGCAGTGGCGCCATCTCAGCTCACTGCAAGCTCCACCTCCTGGGTTCACGCCATCCTCCTGCCTCAGCCTCTGGAGCAGCTGGGACCACAGGCACCCGCCATGACACCTGGCTAATTTTTTGTATTTTTAGTAGAGACGGGGTTTCACCGTGTTAGCCAGGATGGTCTCGATCTCCTGACCTCGTGATCCACCCTCCTCGGCCTCCCAAAGTGCTGAGATTACAGGCGTGAGCCACCGTGCCTGGCCGGCCTATTATTTTTTATTTAGAGACGTGGTCTTGCTATATTGACCAGGCTGGTCTTTAACTCTTGGCCTCAATCAATCCTCCTACCTCAGCCTCCCAAAGTGCTGGGATTACAGGCGTGAGCCACAGCGCCTGTCCACCCTTGGCATTTTGTAGACAGCAGCAATTTCCCTCAACCCCAGAATATTTGGAATGTTCCAGAAGTCCTCATTTACAGTCGATCCCACCTGTACCCTATAAGTGGTGGTCCTGGGCTTGAACTTGGACCTGTCTGAACTCTGAGCTCTTAACCCCTGAGGTGAGAACCTGGGGTGAGCTCTTAACCCATGGGACCAACCCCTCTAGAGTGAGGAGACACGTCATCATTTTTCCTTGCAGTATTACATCTGGAAACCGTGCCGTGATGATCTCTCTGCACCCCTCACAGGCGGCTAACAACATCACAAACAAATCAGCCAGAACCATCACTCCCGGGTGGGGCCCCAAGTAAGCCAGTTCCCCAGGGCCCAGGGCCCTCCAGGGTGAGGTCCCCAGCAGGTGAGATTCAGTGTGGCAAGGTCTCTGGGAGCAGGTCCCAGCAGGTAAAGTCCCCGACCGCCGACATCCTCAGTAGGTGCAGCCTCCAGCAGCCAAGGTCCCCAGCAGGTGAGGTCCCCAGCAGGTGAGGTCCCCAACAGGCGAGGTCCCCAGCAGGCGAGGTCCCTAGCAGGCAAGTCTTCTGGAGGGGAGAGGCTCCTGGCAGCCGTGAAGCCCAGCGTGTGAGGTCCCAGGTAAGAGAGAGGGTTGGCCACAAAGGACTCCAGCAGGTGAGGCCCCAGGCAGATGAGGTTCCCGGCAGCCCAGGCACCATGCCGGCCTCTCAGGTGAACCAAGCCGCTATGCTGCGCACCGTCTGGTACCTGGATTCCTGCTGCAGTTTCCAGCAGGCCTTGCAGAAATCCAGTGCCCAGCTGAAGGAGCGAGGCCGCAGCGTCTCCCGCCAGCGAAAGTAGCTCAGGTAGCGGGCGTGGTCCTTGTCCAGCTCCTGCAGGTACCGGGCCAGGTCCTTGGGGCTCTGGAAGTCGTCCACGTGGATGAAGGCGTCGGGTGGCAGGAACCTCTCGTAGTTGCTTCTGCTGGGGCCCAGCACCACGGGCACGGCCCAGGCCTCCAGGGCGTTCCTCCACAGCTTCTCGGTGATGTAGTCGGGGTGCAAGGAGTTCTCGAAGGCCAGGTAGAACTTGTACCGGGACAGCGTCTCCATCATGGTCCCCTTGGGCAGGGGCTTGTGGGAGCGTCCGTACACGTCCACCTTGAGATGAGCCTGCAGGCTCTGGTAGTAGCGCACCCTGGCTGAGTCCGGCTTCCAGTTGGACACCGCCCAGGCCACCAGCTCGGTCTTGGCCGAGAGGTTGAGCGGTGGGTGGGCAGGCTGGCCGGACCACGGCTCCAGCCAGCCGTAGGGCGTGAAGATGTCGGAGTCGCTGCGGTAGGACATGGTGAGATTGAAGTATCTGTCCAGGGCTTCCAGGTGCTGGCAGTTAGGGGGTGGCTCCAAGTTGAACCAGATCCAGCGCTGCCCCTGCGGCCTCGGGGAAGGTGGGAGGCGTGACTTAGGGTTGGACATGATATCCCAGTGGTGCACGATGACCATGTCTGCCTGTGGGTACACCTTGCGGTCGGCAGTGATGTGGCAGTCGGCTGTGCCGGGCACCATCTCTGAACAGCGGGACAGAGCCACAGGGATGTGGAAAGGCCATGTCCGTAGCAGGATCAGGAGGGTGGGGCGGGTGGGAGTGGTGTCCTGTCGGGAGGACCCACTGGGAGCCCTAGGGGATCCAGTGGCATCGTCTCGGGACACACGCAGGTAGGAGAAGAAACACACAGCCACCAGCAGCTGAAATAGCAGTGCGGCCAGACAGCGGCGCCATGGCCATTGTGGCTTGGCTGCACCCAGGGGATCCATGGGTCAGAGTATCTGGGAAGAGAGGAGAGAGGAGTGAGGGTCATTGATGACAATCTCCTGCTTACCAAAGCTCCGGGCCATGAGTCCTGAGAGGAGCTGCTATTATTCCTGTTTCACAGATGAGAAAACTGAGACCAAGTGACTCACAGCAAAAATCAGCACAGCTGGTGTTTGAACAAAGGGACCTTGTCCCAGAGTCCACTTCCTTCTACCTATTAGACAAGACCTTTCCTGGAATCCCCGAAGTCTTCCCCAGTCTACTGAAATACAAGTGCCCTGGAGGCAGGGGAGAAGGCATAGCCGGTCATCATTGCTTCCCATGTCACTGAGGCAAGGCTTGAATCCATGACTCAGCCAGAGAAAGGTACAATGGGACTGGGTTTTGCAGGTAATATATGAGCTGACCGGCCGAGCAGAGTGGCTCACACCTGTAGTCCCAGCACTTTGGGAGGCCGAGGTGAGCAGATCACCTGAGGTCAGGAATTTAAGACCAGCCTGGCCAACATGATGAAACCCCATTTCTACTAAAAATACAAAAATTAGCTGGGTGTGGTGGTGCACACCTGTAGTCCCAGCTACTTGGGAGGCTGAGGCACGAGAATCACTTGAACCCAGGAGGCGGAGGTTGCAGTGAGCCAAGATGACACCACTGCATTCCAGCCTGGGTGACAGAGGGAGATTGTGTCTCAAAAATAAATAAATAAATAATAGCCGGGTTTGGTGGCTCATGCCTGTAATCCCAGCACTTTGGGAGGCTGAGGCAGGTGGATCACTTGAGGTCAGGAGTTTGAGACCAGCCTGGCCAACATGGTGAAACCCTGTTTCTACCAAAAATACAAAAATAAGCCGAGTGTGGTGGCTCATGCCTGTAATCCCAGCTGCTCGGGAGGCTGAGGCATGAGAATCACTTGAACCTGGGAGGCAGAGGTTGCAGTAAGCTGAGATCATGCCACTGCACTCCAGCCTGGGTGACAGAGCAAGATTCCATCTCAAAAATAAATAAATAAATAATTTTTTTAAAAAAAGACCAGCCTGGGCAACATGGCAAAATCCCAACTCTACTAAAAATACAAAAATTTGCCGGGCAAGGTGGCATGCGCCTGTAGTCCCAGCTACTTGGGGGAATTGCTTTAGTCTGGAAGTTTGAGGCTGCAGCAAGCTGTGATCATGCCACTTAACCCCAGCCTGGGTGATGGAGCAAGACCTTGTCTTAAAAAAATAAAATAAAAGGCTGGGCTCGGTGGCTCACACCTGTAATCCCAGCACTTTGGGAGGCTGAGGTGGGCAGATCCCAAGGTCAGGAGATCGAGACCATCCTGGCTAACATGGTAAAACCCCGTCTCTACTAAAAATACAAAAAATTAGCCAAGCGTGATGGCGGGCGCCTGTTGTCCCAGCTACTACTGGGGAGGCTGAGGCAGGAGAATGGCGTGAACCCGGGAGGCGGAGCTTGCAGTGAGCCGAGATAGTGCCACTGCATTCCAGACTGGGGGACAGAGCGAGACTCCATCTCAAAATAAATAAATAAATAAATAAATAAATAAATAAACATAAGGTAATACACGAAAAACTTTTGACTTACACACCTTAAATGGATTCACTGTATGGGTTGCGAATTATATCCCGATGAAACTGTTTTCAAATGACATGGTGGTTGCCTGCTTTCTCTGTTGGACCGAACTGGTCTAAGCCTTGCAGTGTCGAGCGGAGCTCCCTGTAGGTCACCTGAGTGTGACGAAAAGGGATCCCGACGCCAAGACCTAAGTTCACACCAAGGTTCTGGAAAGAGACTCAAAACACAGGCCCTCAGGGGACAGCCTGAGCCCAGAGTGGGAGGGAAGTTGAACTTTGACCAATTACTGCTTTGCACCCTTGGGCTCTGGGGCCTCAGGCACGAGGTAAATTTTTATAATGTAACTGATATTAAGATGGAATTACGTCAGCCCTGGATATATGGCAGCCTCTCCTAGGAGACAATGAAGTCTTTGTCAGTGACCTTCAGGAGGGTAGATTGGGGGAAACAGGTGATTGGTGGGGGCGATTTTCAGGCCTCTGAGCCCAAGCTAAGCCATCATATCCCCTACGACCGGCTCATATACGTTCAAATGGCCTGAAGCAACTGAAGATCTACAAAAGAAGTGAAAATAGCCTTAGCTGATGACATTCCACCATTGTGATCTGTTTCTGCCCCACCCTAACTGATCAATATACTTTGTAATCTCCCCCACCCTTAAGAAGGTTCTTTGTAGGCCGGGCACGGTGGCCCAAGCCTGTAATCCTAGCTCTTTGGGAGGCCGAGGCGGGCAGATCACGAGGTCAGAAGATCAAGACCATCCTGGCTAACACGGTGAAACCCTGTCTCTACTAAAAATACAAAAAAAAATTAGCTGGGCGTAGTGGCGGGCGCCTGTGGTCCCAGCTACTCCGGAGGCTGAGGCAGGAGAATGGCTTGAACTCGGGAGGCGGAGCTTGCAGTGAGCCGAGAAAGAGCCACTGCACTCCAGCCTGGGCGACAGAGCCAGACTCCGTCTCAAAAAAAAAAAAAAAAAGGTTCTTTGTAATTCTCCCCACCCTTGAGAATGTACTTTGTGAGATCCACCCCTGCCCACAGAACATTGCTCCTAACTCCACCGCCTATCCCAAAACCTATAAGAACCAATGATAATCCCACTACCCTTTGATGACTCTCTTTTTGGACTCAGCCCGCCTGCACCCAGGTGAAATAAACAGCCTCGTTGCTCACACAAAGCCTGTTTGGTGGTCTCTTCACACGGACGCATGAGACATTTGGTGCCGAAGACCCGGGTCAGCGGGACTCCTTCGGGACAGCAGTCCCCTGTCCTCACCTTCACTCCCTGAAGAGATCCACCTACAACCTCAGGTCCGCAGACCAACCAGCCCAAGGAACATCTCACTGATTTTAAATTGGGTAAGTGGCCTCTTTTACTCCTTCTCCAACCTCTCTCACTATCCCTCAACCTCTTTCTCCTTTCAATCTTGGCACCATCCTTCAATCTCTCCCTTCTCTTAATTTAAATTCCTTTCATTTTCTGGTATAGACAAAGGAGACACATTTTATCCGTGGACCCAAAACTCTGGCGCCGGTCACGGACTTGGGAAGGCAGCCTTCCCTTGGTGTTTAATCATTGTGGGGACGACTGCCTGATTATTCACCCACATTCCATTTGTGTCTGATCTCCGCGGGGACACCTGCCTTGGTCATTCACCCACATCCCTTGGTGGCAAGTCAATTGCAGGGACGCCTGCTTTGGCTGCTCACCTTACCCCTTCTCTCCGTGTCTCTACCCCTTCTCTACTTTCCTGAGGGGCAAGCACCCCCCACCCCGTTTCCATTTTCCTGGGGGGCAAGCACCTCCCATCCCTTCTCCACTTTCCTGGGGGATAAGCATCCCCCACCCCTTCTCTCCGTGTCTCTACCCTTCTCTTTAAACTTGCCTACTTCACTATGGGCAACCTTCCACCCTCCATTCCTCCTTCCTCTCCCTTAGCCTGTGTTCTCAAGAACTTAAAACCTCTTCAACTCTCGCCTGACCTAAAACCTAAATGTCTTATTTTCTTCTGCAATGCCGCTTGACCCCAATACAAACCAGACAGTGGTTCCAAATAGCCAAAAAATGGCACTTTCAATTTTTCCATCCTACAAGATCTAAATAATTCTTGTCATAAAATGGGCAAATGGTCTGAGGTGCCTGACGTTCAGGCATTCTTTTATACATCGGTCCCTCCCTAGTCTCTGTTCCCAATGCAGTTCATCCCAAATCTTCCTTCTTTCCCTCCTGCCTGTCCCCTCAGTTCCAACCCCAAGCGTTGCTGAGTCTTGAATCTTCCTTTTCTACAAACCCATCTGACTTCTCCCCTCCTTCCCAGGCTGCTCCTCACCAGGCCGAGCTAGGTCCCAATTCTTCCTCAGCCTCTGCTCCTCCACCCTATAATCCTTTTATTACCTCCCCTCCTCACACCCAGTCCAGCTTACAGTTTCTTTCCGTGACTAGCCCTCCTCCATCTGCCCAACAGTTTCCTCTTAAAGAGGTGGCTGGAGCTAAAGGCACAGTCAAGGTTAATGCTCCTTTTTCTTTATCCGACCTCTCCCAGATCAGTTAGCGTTTAGGCTCTTTTTCATCAAATATAAAACCCAGCCCAGTTCATGGCCCATTTGGCAGCAATCCTGAGATGTTTTACAGCCCTAGACCCTGAAAGGTCACAATGCCGTCTTATTCTCAAAATGCATTTTATTTTATTACCCAATCTGCTCCTGACATTAAATAAAGCTCCAAAAATTAAATTCCGGCCCTCATACCCCACAACAGGACTTAATTAACCTCGCCTTCAAGGTGTACAATAATAAGAGTAGAGGCAGCCACGTAGCAATGTATTTCTGAGTTGCAATTCCTTGCCTCCACCGTGAGACAAACCCCAGCCACATCTCCAGAACACAAGAACTCCAAACGCCTGAACCGCAGCTGCCAGGGGTTCCTCCAGAACCTCCTCCCCCAGGAGCTTGCTACAAGTTTTGGAAATCTGGCCACCGGGCCAAGGAATGCCCGCAGCCCGGGATTCCTCCTAAGCCATGTCCCATCTGTGAAGGACCCCCAATGAAAATCAGACTGTTCAACTCACCTGGCAGCCACTCTTTTGTTTAGTTTCTCAGTTCATACAAAACCGCATCCAGGCCATCACCAATAATTCTATACGACAAACACTCCTTCTAACAACCCCACAATATCACCCCTTACCCCAAAATCTTCCTTCAGCTTAATCTCTCCCACTCTAGGTTCCCACACCAACCCCTAATCCCGCTCGAAGCAGCCCTGAGAAACATCGCCCATTATCTCTCCATACCACCCCAAAAAATTGTTGCCACCCCAACACTTTACCACTATTTCGTTTTATTTTTCTTATTAATATAAGAAGACAGGAATGTCAGGCCTCTGAGCCCAAGCTAAGCCATCATATCCCCAGTGACCTGCTCGTATACATCTAGATGGCCTGAAGCAACTGAAGATCCACAAAAAAAGTGAAAATAGCCTTAACTGATGACATTCCACCATTGATTTGTTTCTGCCCTACCCTAACTGATCAATGTACTTTGTAATCTCCCCCCAACCCTTAAGAAGGTTCTCTGTAATTCTCCCCACCCTTGAGAATGTACTTTATGAGATTCACCCTCTGCCTGCAAAACATTGCTCCTAACTCCACTGCCTATCCCAAAACCTATAAGAACAATGATAATCCCACCACCGTTGCTGACTCCTTTTTCGGACTCAGCCTGCCTGCACCCAGGTGAAATAAACAGCCTTGTTGCTCACACAAAGCCTGTTTGGTGGTCTCTTCACACAGACATGTGAGATCGCGATGAGGACTGAGATCCCACCCCAGTTGAACCCAAGATATTTTTTCCTAGAAAAAGATTAAAAAATGCTACTCTGCTGAGACATCACAAAGATCAGGAAGCAAAAAGCAAAAAAATAGCTGGGCGTGGTGGCTCATGCCTGTAATCCCAGTAGTTTCGGAGAGTGAGGTGGGCAGATCTCTTGAGCCCAGGAATTCAAGACCTGCCTGATTGGCCGGGTGCAATGGCTCATGGCTGTAATGCCAGTACTTGCGGAGGCTGAGGTGGGCAGGTCACCTGAGGTCAAGAGTTTGAGACCACCCTTGGCAACATGGTGAAATCTTGTCTCTACTAAAAATAAAAAATTAGCCAGGTGTGGTGGCAGGCACCTTAATCCCAGCTACTCAGGAGGCTGAGGCACAAGAATTGCTTGAACGAGGGAGGCAGAGGTTGCAATAAGCCGAGATCATGCCACTGTACCCCAGCCTGGGCGACACAGCAAGACTCTGTCTCAAAAAAAAAAAAAAAAAAAAAAAAAAAAGTCCTGCCTGAGCAACATAGTGAGACCCCATCTCTACAAAAGAAAAAAAAATTAAAAAGTATCCAGGTGAGGTGGCACACACCTGTAGTCCCAGCTACTCCAGAGCCTGAGGCAGGAGGGTCACTCGAGCCCAGGAGTCTGAGGCTGCAGTGAGCCATGATTGCATCACTGCACTCCAGCCTGGGCAACAGACCAAGATTCTGTCTCAAAGAAAAAGAAAAAAAAAATGCATCTTAAGTCCACCCCAGGCAGGGCAGGGCCAGAGAGAATCCAAGGCCAGAAAAGATGAGTGGGGGGAGGCTGTTGATGGGGTTGGGGTGCAGAGGGGACTCCACTCCAGAGCTCTGCCAGAGAGAGAGACAAACGTCACTCTTTCCTTCCGGTTTGGCAAATCACCCAGAACCTTCCATGTCCTCCCCAACGGTGGTGCATGCCACACCCAGAAAGACCCCTGCCTGTGACTAGGGGGTGCTGGCCACATTCCAGGTCATGGACAGTTTGGTGACTCTCCACCGGGATTTTGTGCCAGCCCAGCCACATCATGAATCAGGGCCCATAGGATGGGGGCCGAGGGGAGGAGGGACGGAGCCAGGAAGCCTTTCCTGGGAGGTCTCCCAGGCATTCTGGGTGGGGGGAAAAGGTAGAATGGGATAACTTACCTGGAGAGGCAGCGAGCAGTGGATGAGGACAGCTCACCAGGAGGCCATGGCAGGTTTCCTGGGGCGGGGAGGAAGTGGGAACAGAGAAGAGGAGGAACAAGTACGTGTACATTGCAGCACACACCTGTCACCAGGTGACCTAGGGTGTTCTCCCCTGCAGCAGGGATATTGTCTGGAAGCCAGTTTCCGGGGTGTCCTAATCTCGCCTGTGAGACCGGATAAGGGTGCAGGAACTTGGAGGCCCGGGACGTGACCCGGGCTCCATCTGTAGCCTGAAGGCTGCCTGGCTTTGGGTGCACAGCTGGTCCATCCATAAAGTGAAAACGCTGGTCTAAAGCTTTGATTCTCAAAGTGGGTCCCACGGGGGCCCCATGGGTTTCTCGGGAGATGGTAAAGGGAGAGAAGTGAGCAGAATTTTAACCATCCCACCCATTCAGTCAGTCAATCAACAAACATTGCTTATGCACCTATTGCATACCAGACCCAGGGAGAGTGCAGGGAGCAAGTGGGTGAATCAGACAATACATGACTTTTGTAAGGGAACAATTCTTCAGGCCTCTGAGCCCAAGCTAAGCCACCATCTCCCCTGTGACCTGCACGTGTACATCCAGATGGCCTGAAGCAACTGAAGATCCAGAAAAAAAGTGAAAATAGCCAGTTCCTGCCTTAACTGATGACATTCCACCATTGCGATTTGTTCCTGCCTCACCCTAACTGATCAATTGACTTTGTGACAATACACCACCCCCTTGCAATAATGTACTTTGTGATATTCCCCCGCCCTTGTGAACATACTTTGTACAATATACCCTCGTCACCCTTGAGAAGGTGCTTTGTAATATCCTCCTCCCTGCCCTTAAGAAGGCACTTTGTAATATTCTCCCCCTCCAGCCCTTAAGAAGATACTTTGTAATATTCTCCTCACCCTTGAGAATGTACTTTGTAAGATCTACCACCTGCCCGCAAAAAATTGCTCCTAACTCCACTGCCTATCCCAAACCTATAAGAACTAATGATAATCCCACCACCCTTTGCTAACTCTCTTTTCGGACTCAGCCCGCCTGCACCCAGGTGATTAAAAAGCTTTATTGCTCACACGAAGCCTGTTTGGTAGACTCTCTTCACACGGGCGAGTGTGACATTTGGTGCCGAAGACCCAGGACAGGAGGACTCCTTTGGGAGACCGGTCTCCTGTCCTCGCCCTCACTCCGTGAGGAGATCCACCTGCAACCTCAGGTCCTCAGACCAACCAGCCGAAGGAACATCTCACCAATTTCAAATGGGGTAAGCAGTCTTTTCACTCTCTTCTCCAGCCTCTCTCGCTACGCTTCAATCTCCCTGTCCTTCCAATTCCAGTTATTTTTCCTCTGTAGTAGAGACAAAGGAGACACATTTTATCCGTGAACCCAAAACTCCGGCGCTGGTCACGGACTTGGAAAGACGGTCTTCCCTTGGTGTTTAATCACTGCAGGGACGCCTGCCCTGATCATTCACCCACATTCCATTGGTGTCTGATCACCGCGGGGGACGCCTGCCTTGCTCATCACCCACATTCCCTTGGTGGCAAGTCAATTGCGGGGACACCTGCTTTGGCTGCTCACCCCCCAAAGCCCCACTTCTCCGTGTCTCTACCTTTCTACGGGCAACCTTCCGCCCTCCATTCCCCCTTCTCCCTTAGCCTGTGTTCTCAAGAACTTAAAACCTGTTCAACTCACACCTGACCTAAAAACCTAACTGCCTTATTTTGCAATACTGCTAGGCCCCAATACAAACTCGACAACGGTTCCAAATGGCCAGAAAACGGCACTTTTGATTTCTCCACTTTACAAGACCTAGATGATTTTTGTTGAAACATGGGCAAATGGTCCGAGGTGCCTGACGTCCAGGCATTCTTTTTTTTTTTTTTGAGACGGAGTCTCGCTCTGTCACCCAGGCTGGAGTGCAGTGGCGCGATCTCGGCTCACTGCAAGCTCCGCCTCCCGGGTTCACGCCATTCTCCTGCCTCAGCCTCCTGAGTAGCTGGGACTACAGGCGCCCGCCACCATGCCCAGCTAATTTTTTTTATTTTTAGTAGAGACGGGGTTTCACTGTGTTAGCCAGGATGGTCTCGATCTCCTGACCTTGTGATCCGCCCACCTTGGCCTCCCAAAGTGCTGGGATTACAGGTGTGAGCCGCCATGCCCGGCCGCGTCCAGGCATTCTTTTACACACTGGTCCCTCCCTAGTCTCTGCTCCCAATGCGACTCGTCCCAAATCTTTCTTCTTTCTCTCCTGTCTGTTCCTTCAGTCTGCACCCCAAGCTCTGAGTCCTTTGAATCCTCCTTTTCTACGAACCCATCTGACCTCTCCCCTCCTCCCCAGGCTGCTCCTTGCCAGGCAGAGCCAGGTCCCAATTCTTCCTCAACCTCCGCTCCCCCACCCTATAATCCTTCTATCACCTCCCCTCCTCACACCCGGTCTGGCTTACAGTTTCGTTCCGTGACACAGCCCTCCCCCACCTGCCCAACAATTTCCTCTTAGAGAGGTGGCTGGAGCTGAAGGCATAGGCAAGGTTAATGCTCCTTTTTCTTTAGCTGACCTCTCTCAAATCAGTTAGCATTTAGGCTCTTTTCCATCAAATATAAAAACCCGGCCCAGTTCATGGCCCATTTGGCAACAACCCTGAGATGCTTTACCACCCTAGACCCAGAGGGACCAGAAGACCGTCTTATTCTCAATATGCAGTTTATCACTCAATCCGCTCCTAACATTAGAAAAAACTCCAAAAATTAGATTCCAGCCCTCGAACCCCACAACAGGACTTAATTAACCTTGCCTTCAAGGTATACAATAATAAAAAAGATACAGCCAAGTGGCAACGTATTTCTGAGTTGTAATTACTTGCCTCCGCTGAGAGAGAAACGCCAGCCACATCTCCAGAACATGAGAACTTCAAAACGCCTAAACCACATCTGCCAGGCATTCCTCCAGGACCTCCTGCCCCAGGATCTTGCTTCAAGTGCCGGAAATCTGGCCACTGGGCCAAGGAATGCCCGCAGCCTGGGATTCCTCCTAAGCCGTGTCCCATCTGTGCAGGACCCCACTGGAAATCAGACCGTCCAACTAGCCTGGCAGCCACTCCCAGAGCCCCTGGAACTCTGGCCCCAGGCTCTCTGACTGACTCCTTTTCAGATCTTCTCAGCTTAGCGGCTGAAGACTGATGCTGCCTGGTCGCCTCGGAAGCCCCCTGGACCATCATGGACGCCGAGCTTCGGGTAACTCTCACAGTGGAGGGTAAGGCCATCCCCTGTTTAATTGATATGGGAGCTACCCATCCACATTACCTTTCTTTTTTTTTTGAGACAGAGTCTCTCTCTGTCACCCAGGCTGGAGTGCAACGGAGCAATCTCGGCTCACTGCAACCTCCACCTCCCGGGTTCAAGGGATTCTCCTGCCTCAGCCTCTCGAGTAGCTGGGATTACAGATGCCCGCCACCACACCCGGCTAATTTTTGTATTTTTAGTAGAGATGGGGTTTCACCTTGTTGGCCAGGCTGGTCTCGAACTCCTGACCTCAGGTGATCTGCCCGCCTCGGCCTCCCAAAGTGCTGGGATTACAGGCGTGAGATACCACACCCAGCCCACATTACCTTTCTTTCAAGGGCCTGTTTCCCTTGCCCCCATAACTGTTGTGGGTATTGACAGCCAAGATTCAAAACCCCTTAAAACTCCCCCACTCTGGTGCCAACTTGGACAACATTCATTTATGCACTCTTTCTTAGTTATCCCCACCTGCCCAGTTCTGTTATTAGGCCGAGACATTTTAACCAAATTGTCTTCTTCCCTGACCATTCCTGGACTATAGCCACATCTCATTGCCGCCCTTCTTCCCAAACCAAAGCGTCCTTCGTGTCTTCCTCTTGTATCCCTCCCACCTTCACCCACAGGGAGGGGACACCCCTACTCCCTCCCCGGCAACCAATCACACGCCCGTTACTATCCCATTAAAACCTAATCACCCTTACCCCGCTCAATGCCAGTATCCCATCCCACAACAGGCTTTAAGGGAACTAAAGCCTATTATCCCTCGCCTGCTACAGCATGGGCTTCTAAAGCCTATAAACTCTCCTTACAATTCCCCCATTTTACCTGTCCAAAAACTGGTCAAGTCTTACAGGTTAGTTCAGGATCTGCACCTTATCAACAAAATTGTTTTTCCTATCCACCCTGTGGGGACCAACCCGTACACTCTTTTGTCCTCAATACCTTCCTACACAACTCACTATTCAGTTCTTGATCTTAAAGATGCTTTTTTCACCATTCCCCTGCACCCCTCATCCCAGCCTCTTTTTGCTTTTACCTGGGCTGACCCTGACACCCATCAGTCCCAGCAGCTTACCTGGGCTGTACTGCCACAAGGCTTCAGAGACAGCCCTCATTACTTCAGCCAAGCTCTTTCTCATGATTTACTTTCTTTCCACCCCTTTGCTTCTCACCTTATTCAATATTTTGATGACCTTCTACTTTATAGCCCCTCCTGCAAATCTTCCCAACAGGACACCCTCCTGCTCCTCCAACATCTATTCTTAAAGGGATATTGCGTATCCCCCTCCAAAGCCCTGATTTCTTCCTCATCCGTTACCTACCTCAGCATAATTCTTCATGAAAACACACGTGTTCTCCCTGCCGATCATGTCCGGCTGATCTCTCAAACCCCAACCCCTCCTACAAAGCAAAAACTCTTTCCTTCCTGGGCATGGTTGGGTACTTTTGCCTTTGGATACCTGGTTTTGCCATCCTAACAAAACCATTATATAAACTCACAAAGGGAAATCTAGCTGATCCCATAGATCCTAAATCCTTTCCCCACTCCTCTTTCCGTTCCTTGAAAACAGCTATAGAGACTGCTCCCACACTAGCTCTCCCTGACTTAGCCCAACCCTTTTTCCTTACACACAGCCGAAGTGCTGGGCTGTGTGGTCAGAATTCTTATACAAGAGCCAAGACTGTGCCCTGCAGCCTTTCTATCCAAACGACCTGACCTTACTGTTTTAGGCTGGCCCTCATGTCTACATGTGGCAGCAGCCACCACTTTAATACTTCTGGAAGCCCTCAAAATCACAGGCCAGGCTCCACTTGCCCTCTACAGTTCTCACAACCTTCAAGCGTTAATATCCTCCTCACACCTTTCACACCTACTGTCTGCCCCTCGACTCCTCCAGCTCTGTTCACTGTTTACTGAAACCCCAACAGTAACTATTGCCTATGGGCCCGATTTCAACCCAGCTTCTCACTTAACACCCAACACAAGTCCTGAACCACATGACTGTGTTTCCCTAATACACATAGCATCTTCCCCCTTTCCTCAGATTTCTATTCTTCCAATTCCAAACCCAGGCCACACTTGGTTTATCGATGGCAGTGCTTCTAAACCCAATCAATTTTCACCAGCTAAAGCTGGATATGATGTCTTGTCCCACACCTTTATTATCGAAGCTGCTGCACTTCCTCCCTCCACCACTTCCCAACAAGCCAAACTAATTGCTTTAACTCGTGCGCTCTCTCTTGCTAACAGAATGCACATTAACATTTACACTGACTCCAATATGCTTTCCACATCCTCCATAACCATGCTGCCCTCTGGGCTGAAAGAGGCTTCCTTACCACACAAGGCTCTTCCATGATCAATGCCTCCCTAATAAAGGCCCTCCTTAAGGTTGCTCTCCCGCCGGCCATGGCTGCAGTCATTCATTGTAAAGGACACCAGAAACCTACTGATCTTATTGCAAAAGGAAATGCCTATGTCGACAGGACAGCAAAAGAAATAGCCAATGCCTCCACACCTGCCAATATTCCAGCCCCCGCTCCAGAGGGCCAGTATTTTTCCACAAAAGAAGTGAAAATAGCCAGTTCCTGCCTTAACTGATGACATCCCACCATTGTGATTGGTTCCTGCCTCACCCTAATTGATCAATTGACTTTGTGACAATACACCCTCCCTGCCCTTAAGAAGGTACTTTGTAATATCCTCCCCCTGCCCTTAAGAAGGTACTTTGTAATATTCTCCCCGCCCATGAGAATGTACTTCGTAAGATCCAACCCCTGCCCGCAAAAAATTCCTCCTAACTCCACCGCCTATCCCAACCCTATAAGAACTAATGATAATCCCACCACCCTTTGCTAACTCTCTTTTCGGACTCAGCCCGCCTGCACCCAGGTGATTAAAAAGCTTTATTGCTCACACACAGCCTGTTTGGTGACTTTCTTCGCACCGACGTGCGTGACACAATGTTTGCAGAATATGAAGGTGGCTGTCACGTGGTCTGGGCTTCCTGGAGGTTTGAGCTGGGAGCTGAAGCCCCGTAGGAGTTCTGTAAGTCAAAAGGGAAGAGAAGAGCATTCCACGTAGAGAAAAGAATCTGTGCTCCAGGCGCGGTGGCTCACGATTGTAATCTCAGCACTTGGTGTCAGGCCTCTGAGCCCAGGCTAAGCCATTGTATATCCCCCGTGACCTGCATGTATACATCCAGATGGCCTGAAGCAGCTGAAGAACCACAAGAGAAGTGAAAATAGCCAGTTCCTGCCTTAACTGATGTCATTCCACCATTGTGATTTGTTCCTGTCCCACCTTTACTGATCAATTAACTTTGTGACATTTCTTCTCCTGGACAATGAGTCTCATGATCTCCCTACCCAGCACCTTGTGACCCCTGCCCCTGCCCGCAAGAGATAACCATCTTTAACTGTAACTTTCCACTACCTACCTAAATCCTGTAAAAACTGACCCACCCCCTATCTCCCTTTGCTGACTCCTTTTTCGGACTCAGCCCGCCTGCACCCAGGTGATTAAAAAGCTTTATTGTTCACATGAAGCCTGTTTGGTGGTCTCTTCACACAGACACGCATGACATTTTGGGAGGCTGAGGCGGGTGGATCACCTGTAGTCAGGAGTTTGAGACCAGCCTGGCCAACATGGTGAAACCCTGTCTCTACTAAAAATACAAAAATTAGCCGGGCGCAGTGGTGGGCACCTGTAATCCCAGCTACTCAGTAGGCTGAGGCAAGAGAATCGCTTGAATCCAGGAGGAGGAGATTGCAGTGAGCCGAGATCATGCCACTGCCATCCAGCCTGGGTGACAGAGACGCTGTCTCAAAAAAAAAGAATCTGTGCAAAGCAGAGGTCCAGGCGCATTAGAGGAGCTGAAGGAAACTCTAGGCTGGGTCTTCACAAGCGGAAGATGAGACAGTGCTGCTTCTGGGGCTGAGCCACATCCAGCCATGGTCAATGGTGGCATGTTTAGCACCAGGGTGATAGGAAGCCGTGCAAAGCTTCAAGCAGTGGGGTTGCTTTTTTTTTTTTTTTTTGACACAGAATCTCACTCTGTCGCCCAGGCTGGAACTGCAATGGCATGACCATGACTCGCTGCAGCCTCCACCTCCCAGGCTCAAGCGATCCTCCTGCCTCAGGCTCCCGAGTAGCTAGGGCTACAGCCATGTGCCACTATGCCTGGCTAATATGGTTTATTTTTTGTAGAGACGAGGTCTCGCTATGTTGCCCAGGCTGGTTTCAAACTCCTGAGCTCAAGCAATCTGCCCGCCTCAGCCTCCCAAAGCACTGGGATTACAGGCGTGAGCCACTGCGCTCGGCCATTTTTCTTTTCTTTTTTTTTTTTTTTTGAGACAAGGTCTCACTCTCATCCAGGCTACAGTTCAGTGTGGCGATCATAGCTCACTGCAGCCTCTAACTCCTGGGCTCAAATGATCCTCCTGCCTTAGCCTCCCTGGTTGCTAGCAGTACAGGCGTGCACCACCACGTTAATTTTTAATTTTTTTTTTTTGAGATGGAGTCTTGCTCTGTCTTCCAGGCTAGAGTACAGTGGTGCAATATTGGCTCCTCCGCCTCCTGGGTTCAAGCGATTCTCCTGCCTCAGCCTCTTGAGTAGCTGGGACTACAGGCACATGCAACCACGCCTGGCTAATTTTTGTATTTTTAGTAGAGATGGGGTTTCACCATGTTGGCCAGGCTGGTCTTGAACTCCTGGCTTCAAGTGATCCTCCCACCTCAATCTCCCAAATCCCTGGGATTACAAGCGTGAGCCACCGCACCCAGCCAGGTTACCATATTAATATGTGGTTTGAGATGCTTTATCAGGACATGCTGGGCACAGGCCATCGGGACAGAGCAGAGGAGAGCGGGGAGGAAGAGGAGGCTGTTTTCAGGTGTCCTGGCAAGCGGTGAGGGTCCTCTGCCCCAGAGCGGTGGCCTCACCAAGGCCCTCTGTGTGCCTCAAAAGCACTCCTTTGGCCGGGCACGGTGGCTCACGCCTGTAATCCCAGCACTTTGAGAGGCCGAGGCGGGTGGATCATGAGGTCAAGAGTTCGAGACCAGCCTGGCCAACATGGTGAAACCCCATCCCCACCAAAAAAAAAAAAAAAAAAATACAAAAATTAGCCAGGTGCGGTAGCAGGAACCTGTAATTCCAGCTACTTGGGAGGCTAAGACAGGAGAATCACTTGAGACCGGGAGGCGGGGGTTGTAGTGAGCCAAGATTGCGCCACTGCACTCTAGCCTGGGAGACAGAGCAAGACTCCGTCTCACAAAAACAAAACAAAACAAAAAACAAAAGCCCTCCCTTTCCCCACCCTCTCCTGTAAATCACAGGAGAAGTCCAGGGAGCCAGATAAGCTTCCTGGAATGGAGAAGAGAAATGATCTGGAAGGCTGTCCTTGAGACAGGATGGCCTTCAACTCTGTCAGTCCCAAACTGGGTGCAGGGGCGACCGAATCTAAGGTCCAGCCTCCATGTATGATGTCTTCCCTGTTCTAGAAATCATTTCCAGGAGGCTGCTTCACGCTGCCTGGGGTTCCACCATCTCAGTGCCCAGCCAGGCCCAAGACAGTGGGGAAGATTGAGGGGACAGGGCTGGGCCAGGGACTGGAGTCTCCCAGGCAGGCCATTTCCAGAAGGGGTGACCTAAGTCTGCTCTCTGCTCATGTCCTCGCTGGGGGCATTCTCTGTGACTGATTAAAACAACTTGTGGGGTTATCAGTCTTGGTATCACTTTGTCCTGGTGTTAGAGGAAAGGGGTTCCAATCAGACCCCAAGAGAGGGTTCTGGGATCTCACGTAAGAAACAATTCAGGGCTAGTCCCTAGAGTAAAGTGAAAGCAAGTTTATTAGGAAAGTAAAGGAATAAAAGAATGGCTACTCCATAGAGTAGCCCTGAGGGCCGCTGGTTGCCCGTTTATGGTTATTTCTTTTTTTCTTTTTTTGAGACGGAGTCTCACTCTATCGCCCAGGCTGGCTGGAGTGCAGTGGTAGGATCTCAGCTCACTGCAACCTCCACCTCCTGGGTTGAAGCGATTCTCGTGCCTCAGACTCCTGAGTAGCTGGGACTACAGGCGTGCGCCACCTCGCCCAGCTAATTTTTGTATTTTTAGTAGAGATGGGGTTTCACCATGTTGGCCAGGCTGGTCTCGAACTCCTGACCTCAGGTAATCCACCCACCTTGGCTTCCCAAAGTGCTGGAATTACAGGAGTGAGCAACCACACCTGGCCTGAACCACCGTGCCCAGCTGGTTATTTCTTGATGATATGCTAAACAACGGGGAGATTACTCATGCCTCCCCTTTTTAGACCACATAGGGTAACTTCCTGATGTTGCCATGGCATCTGTAAACTGTCCTGGTGCTGCTGGGAGTGTGGCAGTGAGGATGCCCTGAGGTCACTCTCATCACCATCTTGGTTTGGGTGGGCTTTGAGGATGCCCTGAGGTCACTCTCATCACCATCTTGGTTTGGGTGGGCTTTGAGGATGCCCTGAGGTCACTCTCATCGCCATCTTGGTTTGGGTGGGCTTTGAGGATGCCCTGAGGTCACTCTCATCGCCATCTTGGTTTGGGTGGGCTTTCACCGGCTTCTCAACTGCAACCTGTTTTACCACCAAGGGCTTTATGACCTGTATCTTGCGCCGACCTCCTGTCTCATCCTGTGACTTAGAATGACTTAACCACCTGGGAATTCAGCCCAGTGGGTCTGAGCCTCATTTTACCCAGCTCCTATTCAAGATGGAGTTGCTCTGGTTCACATGCCTCCGAGAGTGGAGCCCCAGCCAAGCCCGGATGGGCAAGGCTTCCGCCCCACACAGCTGTCCTGTGGATGTGAAGACAGGTCCTGAGAGAGGGTGTTCATTGCTGAGTCACTTGGAGTTTCCAAGGTAGCAGGCTGTCTCCAGCTGGACAACTGCGCTCTCTGCCCCCTGCCTCCTGCCTAGTTCCCGTTCTTCAGGGCTTAGGTGCAGACAGCTCCCCTAGGAAGCCTCCACAGATAGCGGCCCTCTTCCAGCCAGATCAATTCCTTCCACTGGCTCCTGCAACTGCCTCTGTCTCCCCTGTCCTAGCTCAGGCCACACTGTGTCCCTTCTTTCCCCTGCTGGGCTGGCAGCCTCGTGAGGACAGAAAACCTAGAAGAGCAAGAGATGAGGGAAGCTGGAGTGAGAAACCCGAGGGTAGGTCTCTAGCGGAGGGCCACAGGACTCTGCCCATTCCACAGTTGTGATCACCAGGCAATGGGAGGCTGGGCTGGCTGAGGCAATGGTGCTCCTCCTGCCTCAGGCAATGGCAATGGGGGCCAAGTCCACACTCCAGGCTGAGCTCCAATCACACCTGAGGCCAGACTCTGCCTAAGCCCCAACAGCAAGAAAGTAGAGGTTGGTAAATGCTTTCTTGGGTCATTTTTTTTTTTTTTTTTTTTGAGACAGTTTTGCTCTGTCGCCCAGGCTGGAGTGCAGTGGCACGATCTTGGCTCACTGCAAGCTCCGTCTCCCGGGATCACGCCATTCTCCTGCCTCAGCCTCCCAAGTAGCTGGGACTACAGGCGCCCGCCACCACACCTGGCTAATTTTTTGTATTTTTTTGTAATAGAGACGGGGTTTCACCGTGTTAGCCAGGATGGTCTCCATCTCCTGACCTCGTGATCCATCCGCCTTGGCCTTCCAAAGTGCTGGGATTACAGGCGTGAGCCACTGCGCCCGGCCTACTTTATTGGGTCATTAAGGAATCGTGGTCAATTTGGCCACATCTGCCCTTTCCTGCGTGTCCTGTCCCTCTACAGGGACTGGAAATGAATCCCATGCTTTTTTTTTTTTTTTTGGACAGAGTCTCGCACTGTTGGAGTGCCGTCGCCCAGTCTCAGCTCACTGCAATCTCTGCCTCCCAGGTTCAAGTGATCCTCCTGCCTCAGCCCCCCAAGGAGCTGGGACTACAGGCACATGCCACCACGTCCGGCTAATTTTTGTAATTTTAGTAGACACGGAGTTTCTCCATGTTGGTCAGGCTGGTCTCAAACTCCTGACCTCAAGTGATCCGCCCACCTCAGCCTTCCAAAGTGCTGGGATTACAGGTATGAGCCACCGTGCCCGGCCACATGCTCCTTTTGACAGAGCAGGGCAGAAGACAGATTCCTGGTGAGGTCACCCCACCCCACTCAAATGTGGTCATTACCGCACTGGCACTGTCACCCGTGGAGCCCCTGCCCTGTCCCCAAGATCCGCCCTGGCAGCTCACGGCCCACATCTGATTGGCCCTCACCCTGAATCACTTCTTGTGTCCTTTGAACTGGTTCCCTCCTCCTGTAACATCCAACCCCAGTCCACCTTGTTCATGTAGCCAGGAGTTGGGAGGGCTGCGGGTGGGGATTGGGATTGCAACCCAGGCCCCTTGGCCATCAGATCCACAACTGGACTAGCCTCCAGCCACTGAGATCTGGAAGAGGAGCTGCGGCGAATTGCCAGAGACAGTGTGTGCTTATCTTGAAATTGCTGTGTGACCTGAGAGATTCCCTGGCCCTCTCTGAGCAGGGCTCATCAGGCTAGTGCCAGGTGAGGTCTCCCTGTCAAACAGCTGAGCCCAGAGCCCAGATTGGGGGATCACGAGGACCTCCTCGTTGGGGTCTCTGCCCTCATCAGACCCCCCAGCTCCTCCCTCAGCCTGGGCTGGGTGGGTGATGGAGCAGCTGCCAGCCTGCTGGAAATTTTTCTCCCCGTGGGGCCCAGGGCTGGGAGCCAAGGGCAGCTGCCGCTCAGAAGGAGGGAGAAGGCCCCACGGGCTGAGCTGGGTGCGCCATGAACCACATGTGAGATCCGGGGCATACAGGGAGGCAATGGGGGTTGGGAGCCATCCTGGGGTTCCAGAGTGGGCAGGCCAGGGTCCCCCAACGTTGGCCAGGTGGCTGGGCCTCTGCCCTTGTGGGACCCAAGGAGGGTTTCCATGTCCCTCTAAGTCTCAGAGGAAATTCCAGAGGGAGAGAAAGAGAAGTTGGGAAAGGGAGCTGTTCACTCTGACATCAGCTCAGGTAGAGGTGGAGACCATGGGGGCTCCAGGGGCGTCAGGGGACAGAGCAGCCTGTCCCCACTCCAACTCCTTACCCCCAGCGGACTGGCCCCACACCACCCTGTTAGGAAGACCTGGCCTGGCCTCCCGTGAGCCCCTGATCCCCTCCTGGGACCCCTGACTTGCAGCCAGGCAGTGGAGAGAGGGGCCCAGGTGTGTGGTGTGGGTGGCAGGTGAGTGATGGGCCCATCGAGGCTGGCTCAGGCCCGGAGTCACAAGGGGGTTTGACAGAGACTCTCCAGTCCCCTCACACCTTCCCCACCCTATGCCCCTCCACCCTCCCACCTGGGCCTGGGGGAGCCATCACAGGCACCTCTGAGGCATGTCCACTGTGCAGATGGGGAAAGTGAGGCTCAGATAGCACCGGGGAGTCACCACCACCCTCCACCACCAGGTCCCCCATGGCATTCTCCAGAGAGCAGCAATTTCCCCCAAGCCCAGAATGTTCCAGAATGTTCTGGAATGTTCCAGACGTCCTCATTTACAGTCAGAAGCCACCTGCAGCCCCTAAGTGGTGGAGCAGGGCTCTATGCAGGGCTTGCCAGATTTTGGAGTTCTTGACCTGAGATCTTCAGAAAACCGACTTTCGCCTCTGGCAGCTGTGTGGCCTTGGGTGAGTTCCTCAACTTCTCTGGGCATCAGCCACCTCCTCTACAGAGTGGAGCCACTGCCGGCACCTTCTTCAGGAGGCTGAGGTCATGCTGATCCTCCCACCACCCCCGCAGGGTCTCTGCGTACCCCCCTGCAGGGAGGAATGTTTGGCCTGGGTCCCTGGCCCTCTGTGGGCCTCAGTTTCCCCTCCTGTAATACTTTTAAGAAGCCCACCTCTCCCTGCCCATCCACAAGGCCACACACACGGTCACAGCCACTTGCAGACACAGCTTAAGAGTCCCACATGTGTCCCCACACAGCCCACTTCACCACACCCAAGGACACAGGTCCATGCAGACACAGCCTTGCGCAGTTACACAGAGACACACACAGACTTGGAGAGCCCAGCACACTCAGAGGGGCCGCTGCTCCGTCCAACACTCAAAGCCTCACTCCCAGGCCACACATTCCGTCTCACACTCACAATCACCGCCACCTACGAGCACCCACATAGAGCCACAGGCAGGCATCGAGACACATCTGCAGGCACTATCAGAGTCACGCTGAGGTCACAGCCACAGTGATGCGTTGGTGACACCCACCCGCTGGCGGTCACACCGAGTGTCCCCCAGCCAAGTGCACACCACTGCTGACGGTCACACACATACCCTTTGCCCTCCTCCTTAGGGGACCCTGCCCTTCCCTGACCTGCCCTGCACACCTTGGGCAACACATCCAGCTCCCCTGGACCCCGTACCCTGGGCAGAGAGGGTCCCTTTATCCCAGCCCTGCCCACCTTCACTCCTGGAGAGCGTGGGCCCCACTCCTCAGCCCTCAGAGCCTGCATGTCCACTGTGCAAATGGGGAGATTGAGGCTCAGAGAGCACCTGGAATTCACTACCACCTTCCACCACCAGGTTCCCCTTGGCATTCTCCAGAGAGCAGCAATTTCCCCCAAGGCCAGAATGTTCCAGAATGTTCTGGAATATTCTGGACATCCTCATTTACAGTCAGAAACCACCTGCAGCCCCTAAGTCATGGAGCAGGGCTCTATGCAGGGCTTGCCTGACTTTGGAGTTCTTGACCTGAGACCTTCAGAAAAAAGACTTTCACTTCTGGGTGGGTGCCAGAGCCCACCCCAGGGAGCCAGCTGAAGGAGAGGACCCCCGAGGGATCTGAACGCCTCCCCCAAGAGGCTTGACCTCCAGGGTCATAGAAAGTTCTAGAACAGGGTTTTCTGCCCCTGGACATTTGGAACCATCATTGTTGGTTGTAAGGGCCCCGACTCGTGCATTGTAGGGGGTTTGGAGTAACCCTGGCCTCTACCCACTAGGTGACCTCATCCTCCTCCCCTGGTTGTGACAACTGAAAATGTCTCCAGACATTGCCAAGTGCCCTTGGGGACAGAATCGCCCTGCGTGAGAACCACTGTTCTAGAGTGAGGGGGGACACAGGAGCTTTCCTTGAAGCATTCTCGCCTGAAAATGTTAACAGCATTATCTGTTTGCACCCCTCATGGGTGGTTAACAACAGCAATAAAACCACAAGCAAACCAGCCTGCACCATCGCCCGGGGGCAGGGCCTCAAGGGCACCCGTTCTCAGGGCCCAGTGCCCTCCAGGGTGAGGCATCGCAACACATCCACAGGCACTATCAGAGTCACGCCGAGGTCACACCCATAGTGATGCATTTGTGACACCCATCCGCTGGCGGTCAAACCGAGTGTCCCCCAGCCATGTGCACACCACTGCTGATGGTCACACACATACCCTTCGCCCTCCTCCTTAGGGGACCCTGCCCTTCCCTGACCTGCCCTGCACACCTTGGGCAACACATCCAGCTCCCTTGGGCCCTGTGCCTCCCAGCGGGTGAGGCTCCTAGCAGGTGACATTCAGTGTGGCAAGGTCTCTGGGAGCAGGTCCCAGCAGGTAAAGTCCCCAACAGCCGAGATCCTCAGTAGGTGCAGCCTCCAGAAAGCAAGGTCCCCAGTAGGCACCATCCCCAGCCCCAGCTGGCAAGGTCCCCAGCAGGGGAGGCTCCTGGCAGTGAAGCCCGGCAAGTGAAATCCCAGGTAAGTCACATGCCTGGCCACCAAAGACTCCAGCAGGTGAGGCCCCAGGCAGGTGAGACCCCAGGCAGCCGAGGCCCCAGGCAGCCGAGGCCCCAGGTAGGTAAATCCCCCGACTAGTGAGACCCTAGGTAGGTGAGGCCCTGGGAAAGTGAGGTCCCGGCAGCCCAGGCCCCATGCCGGCCTCTCAGGTGAACCAAGCCGCTATGCTGCGCACCGTCTGGTACCTAGATTCCTGCTGCAGCTTCCAGCAGGCCTTGCAGAAAGCCAGTGCCCAGCTGAAGGAGCGAGGCCGCAGCGTCTCCCGCCAGTGAAAGTAGCTCAGGTAGCGGGCGTGGTCCTTGTCCAGCTCCTGCAGGTACCGGGCCAGGTCCTTGGGGCTCTGGAAGTCGTCCACGTGGATGAAGGCGTCGGGTGGCAGGAACCTCTCGTAGTTGCTTCTGCTGGGGCCCAGCACCACGGGCACGGCCCAGGCCTCCAGGGCGTTCCTCCACAGCTTCTCGGTGATGTAGTCGGGGTGCAAGGAGTTCTCGAAGGCCAGATAGAACTTGTACCGGGACAGCGTCTCCATCATGGTCCCCTTGGGCAGGGGCTTGTGGGAGCGTCCGTACACGTCCACCTTGAGATGAGCCTGCAGGCTCTGGTAGTAGCGCACCCTGGCCGAGTCCGGCTTCCAGTTGGACACCGCCCAGGCCACCAGCTCGGTCTTGGCCGAGAGGTTGAGCGGTGGGTGGGCAGGCTGGCCGGACCACGGCTCCAGCCAGCCGTAGGGCGTGAAGATGTCGGAGTCGCTGCGGTAGGACATGGTGAGATTGAAGTATCCGTCCAGGGCTTCCAGGTGCCGGCAGTTGCTGGGGGACTCCATGCTGAACCAGATCCAGCGCTGCCCCTGCGGCCTGGTGGGGGGCGGGAGGTTGGCACTGGGGTTGTACATGATATCCCAGTGGTGCACGATGACCGCGTCTGCCTGTGGGTACACACTGGAGTCGGCAGTGATGTTGCAGTCGGCCGCGCCGGGCACCATCTCTGAGCAGCGGGGCAGAGCCACGGGTGTGTTAAAAGGCCACGTCCACAGCAGGATCAGTAGGGTGGGGTGGGCAGGGGTCGCCATGCTGTCCTGGCAGCGGGACCCATTGGGAGCCCCGGTGACAGGTTCCACTGCCATAAGCCCTGGCCTAGGGGATCCAGTGGCATCGTCTCGGGACACACGCAGGTAGGAGAAGAAACACACAGCCACCAGCAGCTGAAACAGCAGCCCGGCCAGACAGCGGCGCCACAGCCACTGTGGCTTGGCTGGGCCCAGGGGATCCATGGGTCAGAGTAGCTGGGAAGAGAGGAGAGAGGAGTGAGGGTCATTAAGGAAGATCACCCACTTCCTGGCCACGTGTCCTGAGAGAAGCTGTTATAATTTATGACACAGCTTGTCATAAATGCCCCCAGTACCCCTGAGTTGAGGATTGAATTTATAACTCTGACAGGGAAGGGTACGATGGGATTAGGTTTTGCAGGTAACATAAGAGTTCTCCAGATAAGGTAGGAGTTGAGGGAAAGGGTGTCCGTTGGATGAGGAAAGAGCCAGTGCCAAAGCCTGGCGGGGTGAGACACCTGAGCAGTTTGCAGACAAAGAAAAGGAAGTGCTCAGGGCTTCCAGTTTAGGCTTGATTTTCTATTCACTTGGTCTTTCAATCAACAGACACTCAAAGTTAACCCCTCTGGCCCTCAGACACACTGTCCCCGTCCTGGGGGAGAGGCTGAGGCTGGGGAGAGGTGGGGAGGATAGGAGGGAGAATGGGCAGGTGTGAAGACTCAGGAGAGGCAGGGGCTGACCAGGCAGGGAGTGGGGGGATCTGGGGCCCCAGGGAGGAGCAGGCTTTCAGGGAAGACATGGAACCCCGCTTGTTCTGGAGACACCCAGCACGGAACTGGAGGGAGCCCAGGGCCCTCAGAGTGTAGGCACTGGGTCTGGGAAGCCTGAGAAGAAAAACCTTCAAAGAGGCTAAGAGGGCGACCGGAGGAGGAGGAGGGAACCCGAACCATGCTTTGTGATGGGTGAGGTGAGGCTTGGATGCCAGGGTGGACTGTTTACAGTTTTAAATGTACATCTAAAAACTGAACAGCATATTTAAAAAAAATTTTATAGGCCAGGCGTGAGGGCTCATGCCTGTAATCCCAGCATTTTGGGAGGCCAAGGCGGGCAGATCACCTGAGGTCAGGAGTTCAAGACCAGCCTGGCCAACATGGCAAGACTCTGTCTCTACTAAAAAATACAAAAATTAGCCGGATGTGGTGGTGGTGCCTGTAATCCCAGCTACTTGGGAGGCTGAGGCAGGAAAATCACTTGAAATGAGCGGAGATCACACCACTGAACGCCAGCCTGGGTGACAGAATGAGACTCTGTCTCAAATAATAACAATAATAAATTTATAACACAGCATCTTCCTCTGTCACCCAGGCTGGAGTGCAGTAGCATGATCTCAGCTTACTGAAGCCTCAACCTCCCAGGTTCAAATGATCCTCCCACCTCAGCCTCCAGAAGAGCTGGGATTACAGGCAAGCGCCACCATGCCCAGCTAATTTTTTTTTTTTTAGACGGAGTCTCCCTCTGTCGCCCAGGCTAGAGTGCAGTGGCATGATCTCGGCTCACTGCAAGCTCCACCTCCCGGGTTCATGCCATTCTCCTGCCTCAGCCTCCCAAGTAGCTGGGACTACAGGTGCCCGCTACCATGCCCGGCTAATTTTTTTTTGTTTTTAGTAGAGATGGGGTTTCACCATGTTAGCCAGGATAGTCTCCATCTGACCTCGTGATCCGCCTGCCTGGGCCTCCCAAAGTGCTGGGATTACAGGTGTGAGCCACCATGCCCAGCCTTTTTTTTTTTTTTTTTTTTTTAAATTTACTTTTGAGACTTGGCTCACTGCAACCTCTGCCTCCCAGATTCAAGTGATTCTTGTCCCTCAGCCTCCTGAGTAGCTGGGATGACAGGTGGGTACCACCATGCCCGGCTAATTTTTGTATTTTTAGTAGAGACAGGGTTTCACTATGTTGGTCAGACTGGTCTTGAACTCCTGGCCTCAAATGATCCACCTGCCTCGGCCTCCCAAAGTGCTGGGATTACAGGTGTGAGCCACCACACCCGGCCTAAATAAATTTTTTTTTCCCACCAAACACAACAGTATTGTTTTGGTAGAAACCATGTCACCATTGCTACCCAAAATTTAGTGCCTAAAAAGAGAGGTGCTTATGGTGTCAAATTTCCATACGATTGTTATTTCTTAGTATGAAAGAAAGGATGTGAAGTAGCTCATTAATGATTTTCTACATTAATTACATATTGAAATAACGCTTTGGATGTATTGGGTGAAATAAAATATATCATTAAAATTAAATTGGCCGGATGTGGTGCCTCACGTCTGTAATACCAGCAATATTGGGTGGATCACCTGAGGTCAGGAGTTCGAGGCCAGCCTGGCTAACATGGCGAAACCCTGTTTCTACTAAAAATACAAAAAATTAGCCAGGTGCTGGCACATGCCTATAATCCCAGCTACTCGGGAGGCTGAGGCAGAATTGCTTGAACCCGGGAGGCGGGGGTTGCAGTGAGCTGAGATTGCGCCACTGCACTCCAGCTTGGACAACAAAAGCTAAACTCCATCTCAAAAAAAAAAAAAAAAAAAAAGAAAAAGAAAAACATTAAATTTCCTGGTATTCTTTTTTAATGTGGTTGCTGGGAAGTTTTCTTTCTTTCTTTCTTTTTAAAATTATTATTATTTTTTGAGATGGAGTCACCGTGAGCCACTGTGCCTGGCCTATTGCTGGGAAATTGTAAATTACATTCGGGGTAGAAAACAGTTTGGTGCTTCCTTGAAAAGCCTGAGAGATACTTATCACATCACCAGCAATCTCCCTCCTAGGTAGAAGCCCCAAAGAATTAACAACAAAAGGACGCAAACAGATACTTGTACACCCATGGTCACAGCAGCCTGACTCACAACAGAACAAACAGCCCAAAGGTAGAAACTACCCAGATGTCCATCAATAGAAGAACAAATATACCTAGTGTGATCCATCCACACAATGGAATATCACTCAGCCATGAAAAGGCTGGGCGAGGTGGCTCATGTCTGTAATCCCAGCACTTTGGGAGGCCGAGGCAGGTAGATCACGAGGTCAGGAGATCAAGACCATCCTGGCTAACACGGTGAAACCCAGTCTCTATGGAAAATACAAAAAAATTAGCTGGGCATGGTGGTGGGCGCCAGTAGTCCCAGCTACTTGGGAAGCTGAGGCAGGAGAATGGTGTGAACCCAGGAGGCGGAACTGGCAGTGGGCCGAGATTGTGCCACTGCACTCCAGCCTGGGTGACAGAGTGAGGCTCCGTCTCAAAAAAAAAGAGAAAACCTGTCTCTACTAAAGATATAAAAAAAAGAGCCGGCATGGTGGCACATGCCTGTAATCCCAGCTACTTGGGAGGCTGAGGCAGGAGAATTGCTTGAACCCGGGAGGCAGAGCTTATAGTGAACCAAGATTGCGCCACTGCACTCCAGCCTGGGCAACAGGGCAAGACTCTGTCTCAAAAAAAAGAAAAGGAGCGAGGCTCCCACACAGGCCACAGCGTGGATGAAGGCTGAGGACATCACATTCAATGACAGAAGCCAGACACAAAATGCCACACAGTGTGTGATCCCATTTCTGGGAAATGTCCAGGACGAGCCGATCCACAGAGACAGGAAGTAGAACAGAGGTGACTGGAGGCTGGAGAGGGGAGAATGTTTGTTTAACGGGTCCAGAGTTTCTGTTTGGGGTGATGAAAGTTTTGGAAAGATGCTGGAGTGATGGTTGCACAACACTGCACGCGATGCCACTGAATTGTATGCTTAAAAATGCCTAAATGCGCCAGGTGCGGTGGCTCACGCCTGTCATCCCAGCACTTTGGGAGGCTGAGGCGGGAGGATCACCTGAGGTCAGGAGTTCGAGACAAGCCTGGCCAACATGGTGAAACCCCGTCTCTACTAAAAATATAAAAATTAGCTGGGCATGGTGGTGCACACCTGTAATCCCAGCTACTCAAGAGGCTGAGGCAGAAGACTCACTTCAACCCAGGAGGCAGAGGCTGCAGTGAGCAACAAGAGCAAAACTCTCTCTCATAAAAAAAAAAAAAAAGCCTAAATGGTGAAGTTTATGTTATACATATATGTATGGATATATGGAATTACAATTTAAAAATAAGGTGGCTGGGCGCGGTGGCTCACACCTGTAATCCCAGCACTTTGGGAGGCCAAGGCGGGCGGATCACCAGGTCAGGAGATTGAGACCATCCTGACTAACATGGTGAAACCCCACCTCTACTAAAAATACAAAAAGAAATTAGCCAGGCGTGGTGGCGGGCGCCTGTAGTCCCAGCTACTTGAGAGGCTGAGGCAGGAGAATGGTGTGAACCCGGGAGGCGGAGCTTGCAGTGAGCTGAGATAGCACCACTGCACTCCAGCCTGGGCGACAGAGTGAGACTCCGTCTCAAAAAAAAAAAAAGGTAACACACCAAAAACCATTGACTTATTTACTTGTACACCTTAAGTTGGCTCACTGTATGGTATGTGAATTACATCCTGATGAAACCGTTTATTTATTTTTGAGACTGAGTCTTGCTCTGTTGCCCAGGCTGGAGTGCAGTGGCACAATCTCAGTTCACTGCAACCTCCACCTCTGCGTTCAAGTGATTCTCCTGCCTTAGCCTCTCAAGTAGCTGGGATTACAGACACACACCACAATGCCCAGCTAATTTTTGTATTTTTAGTAGAGACGGGGTTTCACCACGTTAGCCAGGCTGGTCTCGAACTCCTGACCTAAAGTGATCCACCCGCCTTGGCCTCCCAAAGTGCTGGGATTACAGGCATAAGCCACCACGCCCAGCCGATGAAGCTGTTTTAAAATGATGTAGGGTTGCCAGCTTTCTCTGTTGGGCCAAGTTGGTCTTAACCTTGCAGCAGGTGACCTGGGTGTGATGAAGTGATCCAGACACCCAGTCCCAAGCTCATGCCAAGGTTCTGGAAAGAGATTCAAAACACAAGCCCTCAGGGCACAGTCCGAGCCCAGAGTGGGAGGGAGGTTGAACTTTGACCAATTACTGCTTTGTACCATTGGACTCTAGAGCCTCAGGCACAGGTTAATTTTTATTTTTAAGACGGAGTCTCGCTCTGTTGCCCAGGCTGGAGTGCAGTGGCACTATCTTGGCTCACTGCAAGCTCCGCCTCCTGGGTTCACGCCATTCTCCTGCCTCAGCCTCCCGAGTAGCTGGGACTACAGGGCCCGGCTAATTTTTTGTATTTTAGTAGAGACGGGATTTCACCGTGTTAGCCAGGATGCTCTTGATCTCCTGACCTCATGATCCGCCCGCCTCGGCCTCCCAAAGTGCTAGGATTACAGGTGTGAGCCACTGCGCCCAGCCAGGCACAGGTTAATTTTTATAAAGTAATTGATATTAAGATGGAATTACATGGGCCCTGGGTTCATGGCAGCCCCTCTTAGGAGACAGTGAAGTATATTTTAACGAGGTATAGAAGGGTAGATTGGGGCCAGGTGTGGTGGGTCACACCTGTAATCCTAGCACTTTGGGAGGCCAAGGACAGAGAATTGCTTGAACTTGGGAGGTGGAGGTTGCAGTGAGCTGAGATCACACCACTGCACAGGAGCCTGGGCAACAGAGCGAGACGACATCTCAATTTTAAAAAAAAAAAAAAAAAAAAAAAAAAAAAGAAGGGTAGATTGGGGAAAATGGGTAATTCAGGGGTGGTCAGGGCTGAGGTCCCACCCAAGTTGAACCCAAGATATTTTTTTCTAGAAAAAGAATGCCTGGGCTGGACACAGTGGCTCATGCCTGTAATCCCAGCACTTTGGGAGGCTGAGGCGGGTGGACCACCTGAGGTCAGGAGTTCAAGACCAGCCTGGCCAACATGGTGAAACCCCGTCTTTACTAAAAATAAAAAAAAAAATTAGCCAGGCATGGTGGTGGGCACCTGTAATCCCAGCTACTCAGGAAGCTGAGGCCAGAGAATTGCTTGAATCAGGGAGGTGGAGGTTGCAGTGAGCCAAGATGGCGCCACTGTACTCCAACCTGGGTGACAGAGTGAGACTCCGTCCCCCCCAAAAAAAGCATGCCCAGTTCCTCCTGGTTTGGCGAATCAGCCAGAACCTTCCATCCCCTCCTCCATCCCACTACATGCAGCACCCAGAAAGACCCCTGCCTGCGACTAGGGCCTGCTGGCCAAATTCCAGGCCACTGCACAGCCTGCAGACCCTTCTCCGGGGATTCTGTGCCCATCCAGCTGCATCCTGAATCACAGCAGACAGGACCGGCGCTGAGGTGGGAACAAACGGAGCCAGGACGCCTTTCCTACGAGGTCTCCCGTGATTTCTGGGTTGGGGATAAAGGTGCCCCAAGACTCTCTCCCTGGATGGCGGGGGCAGCATGCCCAGGATGAGAGCACCTCCCAGGAGGCTGAGGACAGAGTACCAGCTGGATTCTCAGGACGTGGAAGAGGCCAGACCAGGTAGCAGCAGGAAGGAGGAAGTATACCTGGAGCTGAAGCCAGGCTCTGTCCAACCACTGCACCTGCCATCAGGTGACCCAGTGTGTCCTGTCCTGGAGCTGGGACATCCTCTGAAAGCAAATTGTGTGTCTCCTCTAATCCCTGCTGTAGAATTGGAAAGGGTGCAGGGATTTGGAGGCCTAGGTCATGACCCTGGTCCTACCGGTGGCCTCAATGCAATGCGGCTTTGAGCACAAAGGGAAAAGGCTGACCTGAACCACTGGTTCCCAAAGTGGGTTCCATAGGGACACCAGGGGTTCCTTGGGAGGTGGGAATGGGGAAGTGAGCAGAATTTCCACCTTCCCGCCTTCCTTCCCACCAGATCCCACCTCCCACTTAGTTCATCAGCAAATATTTCCTGAAGGCCAGGCACAGTGGCTCACACCTGTAATCCCAGCACTTTGGGAGGCCGAGGCAGGCGGATCACCTGAGGTCAGGAGTTCAAGACCAGCCTGGGCAACATGGTGAAACCCCATGTCTACTAAAAAAAAAAAAAAAAAAATTAGCCGGGCATGGTGGTGCATGCCTGTAATCCCAGGTACTCAGGAGGCTGAGGCATGAGAATCACTTGAACCCAGGAGGCAAAGGCTGCAGTGAGCTGAGATCAAGCCACTGCACTCCAGCCTGGGCAACAGAGCAAGACTCTGTCTCACAAAAAAAACACAGAACCACAAATATTTCCTAAGCACTTACTAAGTGCCAGGCCAAGCACTCCTGCAAGGAGCTGGAGGGTGAGTCACCGACAATACGCGAGCCTTATAAGGGAACTAACAATTAAAACTGTGGCCTTCTAAACAAAACGGGGAGGGAAAAGCATTCTGGGTAGAGGGAACAACCTATGCAAAGGCCCCGAGGGAGCAGAGGTCCAGGCACGTTGGAGGAACTGGGGGGAGTCTCAGCAGGCTGGGTCTTCACCATGGGAGAAGAGGCAGAGCTGTCGCAGAGGCCAGGCCACGGTCAGCCATGGGGTGTTCAGCACCAGGGCAATAGGGAGCCATTGGAGGCTTCAAGCAGAGGGGTTACCATGTTGATGTGTGGTTTGAGATGCTCTCTTTTCTTTTTTGAGATAGCCTTGCTCTGTTGCCCAGGCTGGAGTGCAGGTTGGCGTGCAGTGGCATGATCTTGGCTCACTGTAGCCTCTGCCTCCTGGGTTCAAGAGATTCACCTGTCTCAGCCTCAGGAGCAGGGATTACAAGTACCCGCCACCATGCCCACCTAATTTTTGTATTTTTACTAGAGATGGGGATTCACCATGTTGGCCAGGCTGGTCTCGAACTCCTGACCTCAAGTGATCAGCCCACCTCAGCCTCCCAAAGTGCTGGGATTACAGGCGGGAGCCCCCACACCCGTCCTGAGATGCTCTCTTCTGACACACTAGGCACAGGCCCCACTCTGGTGGCCTCACCAAGCCCTTCTGTGTGCCTCAAAGCCACTCCCTTTCCCCGCCCACTCCTGCAGGGCAGTGTAGAAGTCCAAGGAGCCAGGTAAGTTTCCTGGAATGCAGAAGAGAAAGGATGTGGAAGGATGTCTTTGACAGAGGATGTCCTTAAACTCTGTCACTCCCAAGCTGGGTACAGAGGTGACAGAGCCCACATTTCACCTTCAGGTATCACGACTTCCCTGTTCTAGAAATAATTTCCAGGAGGCCGTTTCATGCTGCCCCAGACTTTCACCGTCTCAGTTCCCAGCCAGGCCCAGGCCAGTGGGGAGGATCGACTGGCCAGGGCTGGGCCAGGGACTGCGGTCTCCCAGGCAAGCCATTTCCAGAAGGGATGACCTGAGTCTGTTCTCTGTTCATGTCCTCGCTGGGGGCATTGTCTGTGACTGATTAAAACATAACTCATAGAAGTTGGGTATAGTGGCTCACACTCATAATTCCAGCACTTTGGGAGGCCGAGGTGAGCAGATCACCTGAGGTCAGGAGTTTGAGACCAGCCTGGCCAACATGGTGAAACCTCGTCTCTGCTAAAAATACAAAAATTAGCCGGGTGTGGTGGTGCACACCTGTAATCCCAGCTACTCTGGAAGCTGAGGCGGGAGAATCACTTGAACCCGGGAGGCAGAGGTTTGCAGTGAGCTAAGATTGGGTCACTGCACTCCAGCCTGGGTGACAGAGTGAGACTCCATCACAAAAAGAAAAAAACCCAAAAAAACATAACTCATGGGGCTCTCAGTCTTGGTGTGACTTTGTCCTGGAGCCCCAGCCAAGCCTGGACCGGCAACGCTTCCATCCCACACAGCTGTCCTGTGGATGTGAAGACAGGTCCTGAGAGAGGGCGCTCACTACTCAAGTCACTGGGAGTCTCAATCGCACCAGGCTGTCTTCAGTTGGACAGCTGTACTCTCTGCCCCCTGCCTCCTGCTTAATTCCCAGTCATCCTTCAGGGCTCGGTGAAAACAGCTCCTCCAGGGAGCCTCCCCAGATAGGGGCTCTCTTGCCCTCCCAGCCAGATCATCCTTTCTACTGGCTCCTCCAACCACCCGTGCCCCTGATTCTAGGCTCAGGCCGCGAGGATCTCTTCCCTCTGGCTCAGATGAGCTGAGACTTGCTTGGGGGGTGCGGTGAGGCCATCTGTGCCCCTCGTTGGGGTCCTGGTCTTCATTGGACACCCCAGCTCCTCCCTCAGCCTGGGCTGGGTGGGTGATAAAGCTGTCAGCCTGCTGGAAATTTCTCTCCCCTTGGGGCCTAAGGGCTGGGAGCCAAGGGCAGCTGCCGCTCAGGAGGAGGGAGAAGGCCCCATAGGCTGGGCTGGGTGCACCATGAACCACATGTGAGATCTGGGGCACATGGGGAGACAATGGGGGGTTGAGGGCAGTGCTGGTGTTCCAGAGGGGGCAGGCCAGGGTCCCCCAATGTTGGCCAGGTGGCTGGTCTTCTGCCCTTGTGGAACCCAAGGAGGGTTTCCATGTCCCTCTAAGCCTCAGAGGAAATTCCAGAGGGAGAGAAAGAGAAGTTGGGAAAGGGAGCTGTTCACTCTGACATCAGCTCAGGGAGAGGCGGAGACCACGGGGGCTCCAGGGGCATCAGGGGACAGAGCAGCCTGTCCCCACACCTCTTACCCCCTGGGGACTGGGCCTGCCCCAGCCTGTTAGGAAGCCCTGGCCTGGCCTGCCGAGGGCCCCATCCCCCTCCCAGGACCCCTGGCTTGCAGCCAGGTGGTGGGGAGAGGGGCCCAGGTGGGTGGTGTGTGTGGCAGGTGAGTGATGGGCCCAGCAAGGCTGGCTCAGGCCCGGAGTCACCAGGGGGCTTAGCAGAGACTCTTCAGGCCCCCCACACCTTCCCCACCCTATGCCCCTCCACCCTTCTACCTGGGCCTGGGGGAGCCATCACAGGCACCTCTGCATGTCCACTGTACAGATGGGGAAACCGAGGCTTAGATAGCACCTGGGAGTCACCACCACCCTGCACCACCAGGTCCCCCATGGCATTCTCCAGAGAGCAGCAATTTCCCCCAACACTAGAATGTTCCAGATATCCTCACTTACAGTCAGAAGCCACCTGCAGCCCCTAAGTGGTGGAGCAGGGCTCTATGGGGGACTTGCCTGACTTTGGAGTTCTTGACCCTGAGATCTTCAGAAAACCGACTTTCACCTCTGGCAGCTGTGTGGCCTTGGATGAGTTCCTCAACTTCTCTGGGCGTCAGCCACCTCCTCTGTAGAGTGGAGCCACTGCCGGCACCTTCTTCAGGAGGTTGAGGTGACCTGGAAGGTCACGCTGATCCTCCCACCGCCCCACAGGGTCTCTGCGTACCCCCTCTACAGGCTGGAATGTTTGGCCTGGGTCCCTGGCCCTCTGCGGGCCTCGGTTTCCCCTCCTGTAATACTTGTAAGAACTCAGCCTCTCCCTGCTCATCTACATGGTGCTGGGGCCACTAAACAGACAGGGAGTGCGGGAAGCCCCAGGTGACGGTGACAGAAACCTGGCACCCCCTAGAAACCTGACCCTGGCCTCACCCCCGGGTCCCCTGGCACCAACACGCTGAGGTCTGCCCACCCCTGGTACCCAGGCCCAGCTGGGTTCATGCAGCTTAAATTTCAGCCTGTGGTGGGTGAAGAGGCGGGGGCTGGACACGCTTCATTTTCCAATTTCTAGAAATAAAAGCTGTGGGGCCATCTATTGTGGAGTGGAAATAAAGCCCATTGCAAAACCTTGTGTGTGAAAAAATAACAATAGCATTTACCTCCCTGCCCGGGGAGAGAAAATTCCAGGGAATACATGGGGCCGGGGAACAAAGAGGCCTTTCTCTCATTCTGGAAAGGTTTTGTGAAGTGTGCGAGTGGCAATTTTAGAATCAGAAAAGCTAATGGAGGTATTTTCTTTCTTTCTTTCTTTCTGAGACTGAGTCTTGCTCCATCGCCCAGGCTGGAGTGCTGTGGTGCGATCTCGACTCACTGCAACCTCCCACTACCGAGTTCAAGCAATTCTCATGCCTCAGCCTCCCGAGTAGCTGGGATTACAGATGCCCGCCACCACGCCCAGCTAAATTTTGTATTTTAAGTAGAGATGGTGTTTCACTATGTTGGCCAGGCTGTTCTCGAACTCCGGACCTCAAGTGATCTGCCCGCCTCGGCATCCCAAAGTGCTGAGATTACAGGCGTGAGCCACCACACCCGGCCCAATGAAGGTATTTCCGAGAACGAAAACGGTTAGGAGGTGGTCTGTTGGAACCTGGAGGTGAAAAGTATAATTTTCTTTCCTTTTTTTTTTTTTTTCCAGACGGAGTCTCCCTCTGTCGCCTGCCCAGGCTGGAGTGCAGTGGCACAATCTCAGCCCACTGCAACCTCCGCCTCCTGGGTTCAAGTGATTCTCCTGTCTCAGCCTCCCGAGTAGCTGGAATTACAGGCACGCGCCACGACGCCTAGCTAATTTTTTGTATTTTTAGTAGAGATGGGGTTTCACCGTGTTAGCCAGGATGGTCTCAATCTCCTGACCTCGTGATCAGTCTGTCTTGGCCTCCCAAAGTGCTAGGATTACAGCAGTGAGCCACCGCACCGGGCCAAAAAGCATAATTTTCTTGGTTTGTTTTCAGGCGATGTTTTCAAGGTTTCTAAGCACCTGTCTCTCCATCGGCAAAAATTACAGCCAGTAGAGCCAGCGACCTGGGCACCTGGGCCAGCCCTGCAGGGAGTGTATGGAGATGCCACTCACCTTGGGAAGATGCACCAGGAGTTACGGTCCACTCTGTCCCTGTTGGCGTTCTCTGAAGAGTAGAAATTTTCCCCTACCCAGACTCTGAGAATGTTCCAAAGACCTCAATTTATATTTGGTATCCACCTGCAGCCACTCAGTCCCTCAGCCCAGCTGTAGCCTCTGGTCACTCCCCCTCCCAGAGGGAGACAGTGTTGAGATTTGACTTCAGAACAAGGGCAGAGCCTTACAAAAAATGAGCTGGGCATGGTGGTGGGTGCCTGTAATCCCAGCTACTCATGAGGATGAGGCAGGAGAATCACCTGAACCCAGGAGGTGGAGGTTGGAGGTGGAGGTTGCAGTAAGATGAGATCACGCCACTGCTCTCCAGTCTGGGCGACGGAGCAAAACTCTGTCTCACTCACTCACTCAATAAATAAATAAATAAGCGAAAATAAATAGGCCAGGCACAGGGGCTCACGCCTGTAATCCCAGCACTTTGGGAGGCTGAGGTGGGTGGATCACGAGGTAAGGAGTTCGAGACCAGTCTGGCCAACACAGTGAAACCCTGTCTCTACTCAAAATAGAAAAATTAGCTGGGCGGGATGGTGAGCGCCTGTAATCCCAGCTACTTGGGAGGCTGAGGCTCAAGAATTGCACGAACCTGGGAGGCGGAGGTTGCAGTGAGCTGAGATCGCGCCACTGCACTACAGCCTGGGCAAGAGACTCCGTCTCAAAAAAAAAAAAAAAAAAAAAATTGGTGAGGCGCGGTGGCTCAGGCCTATAATCCCAGCACTTTGGGAGGTCAAGGTGGGGGGACTTCCTGAAGTTGGGAGTTTGAGACCAGTTGAGGTCTTTGGAACATTCTGAGACTCCGGGTAGGGAAAAATTTCTATCCTCCAGGGTACTCCAACAGGGAGGGAGAGGACTGCAAATTCTGGCGCATCTCTTCCCAAGGTGGCGTCTCCATACACTCCCCGCAACATGGAGAAACCCTCTCTCTACTAAAAATACAAAATTAGCCGGGCGTGGTGGTGCACGCCTGTAATCCCAGCTACTCAGGAGACTGAGGCAGGAGAATCACTTGAACCCGGGAGGTGGAGGTTGTGGTGAGCCGAGATTGTGCCATTGCACTCCAGCCTGGGCAACAAGAGTGAAATTCCGTCTCAAAAAAAAAAAAGATCTTGTTTATTTCTTGGTTTGTCAGTGTCTTCCCCAGATTGGGCGGCTCATGGGGCAGGGCTTGGGTCCCCAGTATGACCTGGCACCCAGTAGGCACTCAGTAAACAGGTGCTGAATAAATGTCCTTGTCTGTGATGGAAGCTTGAACTCCCACTTGGAGAATTATAAACGAAGACTGAAGATCTTTGGACTCTGGGGCAGGAGTGACCCTCCCCCTGCCCCTTCCCCACCCCCCACCGACCACCCCAGAGATTACAGCCTGCCTCAGGGGAATCTGCAGGTGAGGTAGTCCTCACCCCCAGTGACACAGGGCAGGACCTCGCAGGGCTGGAGATGGAGGAGGCCGGGTGGCAGGCACAGGCAGGCAAAGAATGCTGCCGCAGACGAGAATGAATAAACAGGCTCCTTGGATGTCAGAGGCTGGGGGTGGGGGGACACTTTGAACCTCACGCCTGGCTGGGGATGTTTGGACAAGGCAGGCGGCCAGCGGGTGTCATCAGGGCTAAAATTAACCTCCACTTCCCGCTCAGCCCCTCCCCCTGGGCCAGGAGGGAGGCTGGGGCCCCGGCCATCACTTAAGTGAGCGCTGTATGCCGGACAAAGCTCCTTGAAGAAATCAATGCACGTGGTCCTCTCAACAACCCCGACAGCTGCTATCAGTAATGGCATTGTGATTTATCCCCATTTTGCAGGTGAGGAAACCAAGGCACCGAGAAAAAGGGAGGCTGATAGCCACAAAACTCAAAAGCAGCAGAGTCAGGACTCGAACCTGGGATTCAGGGAGTGTGTTCTCACCTGGAGGTCTCCCTGAAAGCCAGGGGAGATGAAAGAGACCCTGAGCGATGAGTCCTTGGCGGAGGCGGGCATGCGGCCCCTCATTCACTCTCCCCTAGGGACCTCTCCAGAGGTTTCCAGAGTTACAGTAACTTTGGGTCTTTTTGTGCAAATTCCAAGAGATGCCTGCTGTGCCAGTGACCTGCTGGGGACCTAAAACACCCTCATTGAGCCAGGGAAGGGTCAAGGAGGGGGCGGGGACAGGGCTGGTGGGCTGTGGAAACCTCGTGCAGATGGTGAGATATTAAAATACATCCACTCCACAAAAATTAGCTGGGCGTGGTGACGTGCATCTGTAATCCCAGCTACTCAGGAGGCTGAGGTAGAAGAATCACTTGAACCCGGGAGGCAGAGGTTGCAGTGAGCTGAGATTGTGCCTCTGCACTCCAGCCTGGGCGACAGAGCGAGACTCTGTCTCAAAAAAATTAAAAAAAAAAATTAAAAAAAAGATCCACTCCAGACCAGTGCAGTTGCTCATGCCTATAATCCCAGCACTTTGGGAGGCTGAGGCATGAGAATCGCTTGAACCTGGGAGGTGGAGGTTGCAGTGAGCCAGGATCGCGCCACCGGACTCCAGCATGGGCAACAGAACAAAACTCCATCTCAAAAAAAAAAAAAAAAAAAAGGAATGAATGATGCTGTAAGTATATCCCAAGAATTGCATGGGATATACTTACGCCAAGCCGTGATTCATGATCTATCTGAAATCCAAACTTAACTGGATGTCTTGGATTTTTATTTGCTAACTCTGATGACTTCAGCTGGGTGGGGGTGGGGGGCAGTCCCTGTAGCGGGCAGGTGCTAAGAGCAAAGGCAGGCATTAAGGAGGTGAAATCAGAGCCACACCAGGCGCTCAGGTGGCTTCCAGGACGCGACGCCTTCCTAATGGGCTTCCCAGGTGCCTCCGGGACCAGCCAGATGGAGGAGGCTTCGGGGCCTCCCTGGCCCTCACCCGCTGGGCCAGCCCCTCATCACCACCTCCCAGGTCCCTCCTGCCAGGCTCATTATTCATCTTTAACGGTCACTCGGCAGGGGGAGTGTGGGCTGGGAACACCTGGGACTCCCAGGCTTGCAGTGGGCGGCCTCACTAATGGGGGTGAGGCCCCCATTAGAGAGGCAGTAATGGGTGGGAAAGGGGTCCCGGCCCACCAAGGAGCTGGCCTGGGGCAGGAAGCATCCAATTTGGGGCAGGGGCGGGAAACAGACTTCTGCCACCCCCACCCTGCCATTTCCTTTCCTGTCGAGGCAGGAGTCCAGGGAAGCACCTCTGGATGCCTTCACCCTTCCCAATCTCCACCTGGACGGGGTCCTGCTGGGCCCCCCAGACGCAGAGGGGGCTGCTCTGGCACTCCTGCCTCCCCATATCCAGGCAGGGGTAGGATGGATGCCCCAGCCTTGACCTTCCAGCTTCCCATCTGCCAGACTTGCTCAAGAGAGTGGCTCACGGCTAAGGAGTGGAAACTGACACCCAGAGAAGGATCTAGAACCTCGTACTCTTCCATGCTCTTAGCCACTCCCCTTTCTGTCTCTCCTCTGAGCTATCACACATGTTGTTCCTCTCTCTTGGGCACTCTAGCCTGGATGACAAAGGGGGATCCTGTCTCTTAAAAAACAAACAAACAGACAAGGCTGGGTGCGGTGACTAACATCTGTAATCCCAGCACTTTGGGAGGCCAAGGCGGGCAGATCACGAGGTCAAGAGATCGAGACCATCCTGGCCAAACTGGAAAAACCCCATCTCTACTAAAAATACAAAAATTAACTGGGTGTGATGGCACACACCTGTAGTCCCAGCTACTCAGGAGGTGGAGGTTGCAGTGAGCCGAGATCACGCCATTGCACTCCGGCCTGGTCAACAGAGTGAGATTCTGCCTCAAAAAAGAAAAAAAAAGAAAAAAAAAGAAAAAAAGAAACGGCCAGGTATGATGGCTCACGCCTGTAATCCCAGCACTTTGGGAAGCTGAGACGGGCAGATCACCTGAGGTCGGGAGTTTGAGACCAGCCTGACCAACATGGAGAAACACCATCTCTACTAAAAAATACAAAATTAGCCAGGCATGGTGGCGCATGCCTGTAATCCCAGCTACTCACGAGTCTGAGGCAGGAGAATCGCTTGAACCCAGGAGGCAGAGGTTGCGGTGAGCTGAGATCGCACCATTGCACTCCAGCCTGGGCGACAAGAATGAAACTCTGTCTCAAAAAAGAAAAAAAAAAAAAGAAAAAAAATGTCCCTACACCCCTATTAGAATGGCCAAATCCAAAGCCCTGCCAACAGCAACCCCAAATGCCCCGAACCCCTGAGGACAGGGAGCAACAGGGAGTGTCATTCATTGCCGGTGAGAATGCAGAATGGTACAGCCGCTTTGGAACAGTTTGGCAGTTTCTTATAAAACTAAACATACTCTTAGGATGAGACCTAGAAATGGTACTCCTAGGTATTTACCCAAAGGAGCTGAAAACCTAACATCCACACAAAAACCTGCACACAGATGTTTACAGCAGCATTATTCACAGTTGCCAAGATTGGGAAGCAGCCAAGATGTCCTTCAGCAGGAGAATGGGTAAGAACACTGTGGTGTGCTCAGATGACAAAATTTTATTCAGGCTGGGCACGGTGGCTCACGGCTGTAATCCTAGCACTTTGGGAGGCAGGGGCGGGCAGATTACCTAAGGTCAGGAGTTCGAGACCAGCCTGGTCAACATGGGGAAACCCTGTCTCTACTAAAAATACAAAAATTAGCTGGGCGTGGCGGCACGAACCTGTAGTCCCAGCTATTCAGGAGGCAGGAGAATCTCTTGAACCCAAGCAGACATTGCAGTGAGCTGAGATCGCGCCACTGCACTCCAGCCTGGGTGAAAGAGGAAGACTCCATCTATATCTATATCTATATATCTATATCTATATCTATATAAAATATAAAATTCAGTGCTAAAAAGAAATGAGCTGTCAAGCCATGAAAAGACACAGAGGAACCTTAAATGCATTTTTTTTTTGAGACGGAGTTTCGCTCTTGTTGCCCAGGCTGGAGTGCAGTGGCACAATCTTGGCTCACTGCAAACTCTCCCCCACTCCCTGGGTTCAAGCGATTCTCCTGCCTCAACCTCCTGAGTAGCTGAGATAACAGGCGCTGGCCACCACACCTGGCTAATTTTTGTATATTTAGTAGAGATGGGGTTTTATCATCTTGGCCAGGCTGGTCTCAAACTCCTGACTTCAGGCCTCCCTCCGCCTGCCAAGGTGCTGGGATTACAGGCGTGAGCCAACACGCCCAGCCCTTCAATGCATATTACTGAGTGAAAGAAGCCCATTTGAAAAGGTGACACACTGTATGATTCTAGCTACAGAATATTCCCGAAAGAGGAAAACTATGGAGACGGTGAAAAGGTCAGTGGCTGTCAGGGGCTGGGGGAGGAAGGGACGAACAGGCAGAGCACAGTGGATTTTTAGGGTAGTGAAACTACTCTGCATGATACTGTTAAATGGTAGACATATGTCATTACACATTCATCCAAACCCACAGAACATATGCATACAACACCAAGAGTGAACCCTCATGTCAACTATGAACTTTTTTTTTTTTTTTAGATGGAGTTTTGCTCTGTCGCCCAGGCTGGAGTGCAATGGCCTGATCTCAGCTCACTGCAACCTCCACCTCCCAGGTTCAAGTGATTCTTCTGTTTCAGCCTCCCAAGTAGCTGGGATTACAGGCATGCGCCACCATGCCCGGCTAATTTTTTGTATTTTTAGTAGAGATGGGGTTTCACCACATTGGCCAGGTTGGTCTCAAACTCCTGAGCTCAGGTGATCTGCCCACCTTGGCCTCCCAAAGTGCTGGGATTACAGGCGTGAGCCACCACATCCAGCCAAAAATGACATTTATTACAATTTCTTGGCTGGGCTCGGTGGCTCATGCCTGTAATCCCAGCACTTTGGGAGGCCGAGGCAGGCGGATCACAAGGTCAGGAGATCGAGACCATCCTGGCTAACACGGTGAAACCCCGTCTCTACTAAAAATACAAAAAATTAGCTGGGCGTGGTGGAGGCACCTGTAGTCCCAGCTACTCGGGAGGCTGAGGCAGGACGATGGTGTGAACAGGGAAGGCGGAGCTTGCAGTGAGCCAAGATTGTGCCACTGCACTCCAGCCTGGGTGACAGAGTGAGACTCCGTCTCAAAAAAAAAAAAAAAAATTTCTTCATTGCTGCCCGGTGTATAGTAGCAGAAGACTGGAGGCCAGGACATGTGCTTTCACCAGAACAATGGTCCAGCCTCAAGATGGAATATTACACTGTCCTTACAAAAGAGGGGGAAGTTCTGCACTCGAAGAAAAGATCCGAGATGCATTGTTAGGAGTCAACTACGCTGAGCTGCAAGAAAGTACGGGGAGTGTGATGTTGTTTCCGTGGGGAAAAGAAAATATACAGACATGCTTGTTTTGGCGTGGAACATGGCTGGAAGGAGAAACAAGAAACCGACTAATGGCCTCTGGGGATGGCGTGGGGCTTGGGGAGTGGCTGGTATTTATTCTAAACACCCTCTAGAATCTTTTGAATTCTATGGCATGCGTCTGTCTTACCTCTAAAAGAAGGAGGATAAACTGTAAAATGCATTTTAGAAAGCATACTGAGAAAGGCCGGGCGCGGTGGCTCATGCCTGTAATCCCAGCACTTTGGGAGGCCGAGGCCGGAGGATCATGAGGTCAGGAGATCAAGACCATCCTGGCTAACACAGTGAAACCCCGTCTCTACTAAAAATACAAAAAAATTGGCCGGGCTTGGTGCGGGCGCCTGTAGTCCCACCTACTCGGGAGGCTGAAGCAGGAGAATGGCGTGAACCCGGGAGGCAAAGCTTGCAGTGAGCCGAGATGGCGCCACTGCACTCCAGCCTGGGCGACAGAGCGAGACTCCGTCTCAAAAAAAAAAAAGTGCTGAGAAAAAAAAAATGGACAAAATAGAAGACTTTGGATGGGTTTGAAAAGGCTGGGGTGGCAGGGGTGGTGGCTCTAGATTTCAGGCCAGGCCATCGCTCTGCCTGCTGCCCCTCAGTTTGGGCTGAATCCCCCACCAGGCCCCCCAACGAGGCCCCCCAGAGCCCTGCTCTTGTCCTGGCTCACACCTTTCCTACTCTGGTTCAGCGAGGGTTCAGACCAGTGGGGACCCCTGGAAGGTGAGATGTGGGCTGGGCTGGGGCCAGGGACAGGGCCAGGCCTGCCGGAGCCCCTTGCAGCTCGGCCCGACCACCCAGCTTTCCAGGAAGCCCGAGGGGAGGCTTGGCTGGCTCAGAGGAAGGACCTGTGTGCGCCAATGGTGGGGCTGGGGGCCAAACCAGGCCCCTCTGAGCGCCCACGCTCTGAGGAGGACCACAGCAAGTGGAGGGAGGCTGGCTAGAAAAGAGATACACAGGGAGGAAGGCCCGAGCTTCCCTATGCCTCAGTTTCCCCATAGGCCAAATGGCTCGCTGGCTGTGTGGCCCTTGTGGACACAGGGGATGCCTGAGATGATGTGGGACCAGGGAACTATGGCTCCACTGGGTCCTAGCCTTGGACGCCAAGCCAGATAGGATAAGGGGGGGCAAGTCCCGCCCTGACTTCTGGAGCCCTGAAGTAATGACTAACCCGGCTTTAGGCTTTAAGGCTGGGGCCTCCTACCAGAACACAGCCAGGAGAGAGTCACGTCCTCTTTCCTAAGATCTCTACCCCTGTCTACTCCCTCTTCCTCCCTCTGTGCTCTGCTGGGGACCCTGTGGGTACAGGGATGTGGCACCCCCAAGGCATTCAGGGCTCTGGGCCTCTCTTTTTTTAGAGACAGGGTCTCGCTCTGTCACCCAGGCTGGAGTGCGGTGGCAGGATCATAGCTTACTGCAGCCTCGAACTCCTGGGCTCAAGCGATTCTCCTACCTTAGCCTCCTAAGTAGCTGGGACTACAGGTGTGTACCACCATGCCTGGCTCCAGCCCCCTTTTTGGCTCTTTTGGGGGTACCCTAGTGGGCCAGTGTTGGTCCCAGGGGTCTTTGTCAGGACAAGGGAAATGTTTGGCCCAGAAGTGCCTGTCTATGGTTTAAGCAAGATCTGCAGCTGGCCACAGTGACTCCCGCCTGTAATCCCAGCACTTTGGGAGGCTGAAGCAGGAGGGTCACTTGAGGCCGGGAGTTCAAGACCAGCCTGGACAACACAGTGAGACTCCATCTCTACAAAAAATTTAGAAATTAGCCAGGTGTGTTGGTGCATGCCTGTAGTCCCAGCTTCTTGGAAGCTGAGGCAGAAGAATCGTTTGAGCCCAGGAGTTTGAGGTTGCAGTAAGCTATGATCTCACCACTGCACTCCAATCTGGGCAACAGGGCAAGACCTTGTCTTCTTCTTATTTTTTGAGATGGAGTTTTGCTCTTGTCACTCAGGCTGGAGTGCAGTGGCTCGATCTCAGCTCACTGCAACCTCCACCTCCTGGGTTCAAGTGTTTCTCCTGCCTTAGTCTCCTGAGTAGCTGGTATTACAGGCTCACACCACGATGCCTAGCTGATTTTCATTTATTTATTTATTTATTTTGTTTATTTTTTTTTGGAGATGGAGTCTTGCTCTATCACTCAGGCTGGAGTGCAGTGACGCAATCTCGGCTCACTGCAACCTCCGCCTCTCAGGTTCAAGCGATTCTCATGTCTCAGCCTCCCAAGTAGCTGGGATTACAGGCACCTGCCACCACGCCTAATTTTTGCATTTTTAGTAGAGACCGGGTTTTGCCATGTTGGCCAGGCTGGTCTCGAACTCCTGGCCTCAAGTGATCTGCCAATCTCAGCCTCCCAAAGTGCTGAGATTACAGGTGTCAGCCACTGCGCCTGGCTAAGACCCTGTCTTTCTTTTTCTTTCTCTTTTTTTTTTGAGATGGAGTCTCACTCTGTGGCCCAGGCTGGAGCGCAGTGGCGCGATCTCGGCTCACTGCAAGCTCCGCCTCCCAGGTTCACGCCATTCTCTCGCCTCAGCCTCCCGAGCAGCTGGAACTACAGGCGCCCGCCACCACACCCCGCTGAATTTTTTTTGTATTTTTTAGTAGAGACAGGGTTTTTCTCCATGCTAGCCAGGATGGTCTCGATCTCCTGACCTCGTGATCCGCCCACCTCGGCCTCCCAAAGTACTGGGATTACAGGCGTGAGCCACCACGCCCGGCCAAGACCCTTTCTTAAAAAAAAAAAAAAAAAATACACACACACACACACAGTAGTTGCTTCATGATGGGTGTATGTTTGGAGAAATTCGTCATTAGATGATTTTGTCATGCACAAACATCCCAGCGTACACACGCCTAGATGGTAGAACGTACTGCACACCAGGCTTCATGGTACTGTCTACTGCTCCCAGGCTATAAACCTGCAGAGCATGTGACTGTACAGAATACTGTGGGCAACTGTAACATGATGACAAATATTTGTCTCTAAACATCCACAAACAGAAAAGGTACAATAAAAATATGGTATAAAATCTTATGGGAGCCGGGTGCGGTGGCTCACACTTGTATTCCCAGCACTTTGGGAGGCCGAGGCGGGCAGATCACTTAAGGTCAGGAGTTTGAGACCAGCCTGGCCAACTTGATGAAACCCCATCTCTACTACAAATACAAAAGAATTAGGCGGATGTGGTGGCGGGAGCCTGTAATCCCAGCTACTCGGGAGGCTGAGGCAGAGAATTGCTTGAACCCAGGAGGTGGAGGTTGCAGTGAGCCGAGATCTCCCCACTGCACTCCAACCTGAGTGACAGAGTGAAACTCCATCTCAGAAAAAAAAAACAAAAACAGGCCGGGCGCAGTGGCTCATGCCTGTAATCCCAGCACTTTGGGAGGCCGAGGCGGGCGGATCACGAGGTCAGGAGATTGAGACCATCCTGGCTAACACGGTGAAACCCGGTCTCTACTAAAAATACAAAAAAATTAGCCGGGCGTGGCAGTGGGCGCCTGTAGTCCCAGCTACTCAGGAGGCTGAGGCAGGAGAATGGCGTCAACCTGGGAGGCGGAGCTTGCAGTGAGCCACTGCACTCCAGCCTGGGTGACAATGTGAGAGAGCAAGACTCTGTCTCAAAAAACCAAACTAAACAAAAAAAAAGAAAAGAAAAAAAAAGAAACAAAAACAAAAACAAAAAACAACAAATTAACTGAGTGTGGTGGTGGGCACCTGTAATCCCAGATACTCGGGAGGCTGAGGCTGGAGAATCGCTTGAACCCCTAGGCGGCAGAGACTCAGTGTCAAAAAAAAAAAAAAAAAAAAAGTCTCATGGGACTCCCTTCACATATGTGGTCCGTCAGTGACCGAAATGCTGTTATACTGCACATGACTGTTTGCTGAATGAACTCTGAGTCTTGCCCCCGGGTCTGGAGGGCTTCTCTTCCCGTGCCTTCCCGCACTCCACTGCAGCCATCATCTCATGTGGGGAGAGTGAGAAGGACCCTGATCCCCCTCCGAGAGCCTATACCACCCAGGCAGCAAAGCAGGGCCAGGCAGGGTGCACAGCCACCCCCAAGTGGTTCTCAGGCCCCACCTCTGGACCTCCTACCCTTTGCAGACCTGGAGATTCATTCATTTGTTTATCCATTCATTCATTCCACACATAGTTCTGGAGCCCTGCTGCGTTCCTCGGCTGGGTGCCGGGGTGTAGGCAGAGGATATAACAGCCAGGATACGTCCCAGTCCTCAAGGAGGTGCACATAAATAACACACGTGATGGTGACGTGGGACTTAGAAACTGGCAGGGGCTACGGGCAAAACTAGAAGGCAAATGAGTGTGGAGTGCTGGTGGCCTGGGGACGGGGGATGAGGAGGTGGCTTGTGAGCTGAGAATTGAAGGAGGTGAGGGGTGAGCTTGGGGACATCTAGGGGACAGGCATTGCAGGCAGAGGGTATGGACTATGCAAAGGCCCTAGGGCAGGACTGTGCCAGGGGTTTTGGAGGAAGAGTGAGGAGGCTGGTGGGGCTGGAGCAGTGAAGAGGGGAGGGGAGGAGAGGGAGGGGAGGGAGAGGAGGGGTCGGGACACACAGGGCATAGTGGGCTGTAGAGAGGATTTGGGCTTTTCCCCCAAGTGGGGTGGGAGCCATGGAGGACTGTGGGCAGGGGAGGGGCGGGACCTGACTTAGGGGCTCACAGGCGCCTTCTGGCTCAGGGGGTAGCCGGGTGACCAGGGCAGAGGGGACTACGCTTGTCGTGATGATGGAATCAGACTAGAGGCAGATCTGGGACAGATTCTGAAGGCAAAGGGGCTCGAGATGCGGGGAGGGCGGGAGCAGCTCTTCAGTCCCAGGAGGGGCACACATCAGCCCCGTGGGGTCTTCTCAGCTGTGTCCCACCCCAATCATGTCAAACACATTTATAGGAGCCCACAGCCCACACTCAACACAAGTTTAAAGGAGTACAGTTGTGCTCAAGTTGGCAGCGAAAACACCTTCCTTTCTCAGTGAGGTATTTTCTTTTTTTTTTTTTTTGAGACGGAGTCTCACTCTGTCGCCCAAGCTGGAGTGCAGTGGCGTGATCTTGGCTCACTGCAAGCTCCGCCTCCCGGGTTCACGCCATTCTCGTGCCTCAGCCTCCCGAGTAGCTGGGACTACAGACGCCCGCCACCATGCCAGACTGTTTTTGTATTCTTAGTAGAGACAGGGTTTCACCGTGTTAGTCAGGATGGTCTCAATCTCCTGACCTTGTGATCCGCCCGCCTCGGCCTCCCAAAGTGCTGGGATTACAGGCGTGAGCCACCGCGCCCAGCCCTTAGTGGGGTGTTTTCGCTCCAATCTCCAAGACCACTAAGAAAGTCTTAAAGGAACAAATTGCCATTTTCCAAACAATAGCTATTCTTAGGAGAAGTAACACTTCTTTTAGCTACTGCCAGGCCCTGGGAAGTCACCTCCCGGGCCTCAGTTTCCTCATCTGTAAAATAGGACTAATGCCTAACAGAGCTCACGCACGGCTGCGCAGACTAAAATGAGCCAAAAATAATAATAACAACTGCACCTGCCTGGCAGGTGGGAAAAGCTTGATGTTCCCCACCCCCACCCCCCTTTTTTTTGTCTTGTGAATGTTTTCTTGGCTCACCCAAGAGCTTAGAGACCCCCGGCGGCGGGGCCTGGGTCAGCGCCAGCCCAGGCCAGCGTTATTTATTTATTTATTTTTGATACAAAGTCTCGCTCACTGTCTCCCAGGCTGGAGTACAGTGACATGATCTCGGCTCACTGCAACCTCCACCTCCCAGGTTCAAGGGATTCTCATGCCTCAGCCTCCCAAGTAGCTGGGATTACAGGTGCCTGCCACCACACCTGGCTTATTTTTGTATAGTAGAGACAGGGTTTCACTGTGTTGGCCAGGGTGGTCTGAAACTCCTGACCTCAAGTGATCCCCCAGCCTCGGCCTCCCAAAGTACTGGGATTACAGGCCTGAGCCACGGCGCAGGGCCAGGCCGGTGTTCTTGGAGCCTTGTCTCTGCTGGGGATGTGTCTCCAGGGATGGATTCTCGGGAAGCAAGTGTGTGCCCTGCAGCCCCCAGGCACCTCTCCTGGACCAGGAGGCCCCTGATCGCCCACTGCTCTCCCTCACAGCAGGCCTCTGCTGTTGCTGTGTGCTCTGCCTGGACCAGCCTCCCGCTGGGTACACATGGAAAAGCCTCTTCATCCTTGGGCCCTCTCTGCTGTGCCGCCTCCTCCTCTAGGAAGCCCTCCTAGCTCCCCAGGGAGGCTCTGCCCCTCCTCAGTTCCAGCCCTGACTGCCTGGGGCTGGGAAGGGCTCCATGAAGTTCAAGGTAAACTCAGGAAGGGTCCCCCACAGCCCCTCAGGGAGCCTGCTGGGACCGATGTTCCAGACGGGGGCCCTCTTGTGTGTGGGGTGGGAGTGACGTCAGCCCTCCACAACCTAGTAAATGTTTATGGGCCGGGGGGCCTCGGCTTTGGGGTTCCCTGGAGCCCAGCAAGAGACCACCCCCTCGTGTTCCATTCTGGGGGGCCCGTCCTGCAGGCGAGGTGGGGGCGCCTGGCAGGCCTGCGCCAACCCTGGCGGCTAGCCCGGAATGGGCTGGGTGGGCGGCGAGCACAGCTCCTGGTCTGAGCCGTCGGCTCCCTTGAACACAGGGAGGCACCTGGGGCTGGGAGGTGCGAAGGGGCGTGCGGCCTTTAAATTTCAAGCTCCACTACCCAGGGTGGGCCTCAGCGCGCGCATCCGTGGAAGAGGGCTAAGAGATCTGGTACAGGGTTTGGGCCGCACACGGGCCTGGAGGGCCGGGGAAGGGCTTGCAGGGGGCGGAGGCCTGCGTGGAACCAGTCCCAGAAGCGGCCATGGTGCAGGGCTGAGGGTGACCGTCGTGGGGACGTGGACTAGTCTTTCCTCCTGTCCAGCCTTCGGTGTCCTTGGCTGGAGGTTTGGGGCTGTATTGCCCATTCCTAGAAGCCATCACTTCCCGGCTGCGGTGGGCAGGATGCATGGGAAGGAAGGGGGATGAGGGACAGACAAGGCCTGGAGTGCGGAGGAAGGGATGGAATCTGACGCCTGTGGTCACCGCGGGGCTGGGGGCCTGGGGATGACCGCCCGGGTCCACACTGCCCAGCAGGCCGTGCTGTGGTGGGCGCTGCCCCCTGCCGGCCGCAGTAGAGACAGAGGCCGGTGCCCTCGAGTGGATGCGATGCCCGTGAGTGGATGGGATGCCTGCAGGGAGGTGGAATCGTCTTTCTTTGTGGGGCATCTCTGAGGGGCCCTTATTCCCATTTACCAGGTGGGAAAGCTGAGGCCTGGGTGCTGCCGTCCTCTGAGGACAGAACAAGGAAAGAATCAAGTTCTGGGGTTCGAACCCAGAGTGTTTAACAATGACTCTATTAGGGCTTGGACAGGTGTCAGGGCCCCTGCCCCTCTGGGTGCGGGGTGGGTGTGTCCGCCCTTTCTCAGGGAGCCCGAGGCCCGGGCACCCAGCTCCGGAAGTGGACGTGACCCTGAGCTGTTGCATGCCCCCCTTGTGCTGGAACACGCGTGGACATCTGTGCTCTCTCCAGAGAGGACTTCGAGGCAGGCGCTGGAAGAAGGGACCCAGAATCTCTGTACACAGTGGCTCATGCCTATAATCCCAGCACTCTGGGAGGCTGAGGTGTGAGGACTGCTCGAGGCCAGGAGTTTGAGACCAGCCTGCACAACACAGTGAGATCCTGTCTCTACAAAAAATAAAAATAAAAACAATTAGCTGGCTGTAGTGGTGCACACCTGCAGTCCCAGCTACCAGGGAGGCTGAGATGAGAGAGTCGCATAAGCCAGGAAGGTCAAGGTTCCAGTGAGCCATGATCCTGCCACTGCCCTCCAGCTTGAGAGACAGAGCAAGACTATGTCTCAAAAAGACGAATTTTTGGTAGAGACAGGGTCTCACTGCGTTGCCCAGGCTGGTTCCAAGCTCCTGGCCTCAAGCAATCCTCCCACCTCAACCTCCAAAAGTGCTGAGATTACAGGCTCAAACCACCAGGCCCAGCCTACAACATTTTTTAAAAAAATTAACCAGGCATAGTGGCGGTGGCCATAGTCCTGGCTACTCGGGAGGCTGAGGTGGGAGGATTGCTTGGGCCCGGGAGTTCCAGGCTGAGTTACTACTCGGGGGTGGACAGAGAAGGATATGAGGCTGAAAGTGAAGTTTGGCTTTTCACATCTAGGCCCCGCGGATGGGCTTGAGAAAAGGGAAGAGATGGGGCCGGATACGGGTCAGGAGGGCCATAGCCAGCCCTGCCGGTTCCTGCTGTCCCCGGCCCACCAGCAGGGCCCAGATCCATCCCAGCCAGGGCTGTGCACAGCTCCGCTCCCCTGGGTGGAGCCTGGAGCGCCCTAATTTGCAGCCCACCGCAGCATGTGGGAGCTTGCAGGCTTCCTCTCCAGCTGCCAGGGAGCATGAGCCAGTTCTGGAGAAGGGGCCCGGGGTGGTGCCAGCATTCCAGGGCCACCTAAATCACTGGCCTGACAGGTGGCAGGAAGGGATCGCAATTCTTTCCCTTGTCGCTGCCACCAGCCAGGTGCTGAGGGGGGTCCTGTCCCGCTCTGCCCTAGCCCCAGGGGCTGCGAGTGACCTGCCGGATGGGGACGGCTGCTGGACCAGCCTGTCCGGGGCTCTCCGCTCCAGTGCCCAGGAATTTGGAGACAGGGCCTGGGCGTGTTTTCCACATGTTGTTGGCTTTGGGGACAGGCCCAGAGAAAGGATGGCTCAAGATCTGCAGGGGGGTTGTGACCAGAGCCCACAGCGCTGAGGGAAGGGCTGTGGGCGGCAGGGCCCATTTTCCACTTGCTGGCAGGTCACTGGCACGCTCCTGCCCTGCCCTGGGAACTGGGGGAAGCAGAGGCTGGGGCGCATCCCAGCCGTCTCCCCTCCTGGGCTCCCGATGGCCCCAGCCTGATGCACTACCAGTTCTGTGGGGCCAGGCTGGTACCCTTGGCAGGGACGGCAGGCGGCAGGCAGGCGCGTGTGCAGGGGGCCTTATCTTATCTCCCTTCCTCACTCCCTCCCAGATCCGCCCTCACCGGCTGCTGTGTCGCCGTCATCAAGCCCTCCGGACACTGACACACACACAGACACAGAATTTATTTCTGGACGCATTCTGCAGGCTGGAGGTCCCGGCAGGCACAGGGCTCACACCTTGGGTTTTGCAAACACCTCCCAGCCCTCCAGCCGGCCCATCTTGACCAGGGAGGCCGCTATGCCAAAGTACACGCAGGCGGCGGCGCCAATCCCGTAGTTGTGCGCTGTGGGAGTGGGGAGGTGATGTCAGGCCCGGGTGGGGCTCGGCCGGACCAAGACGCTCCACGCCCTGGCCGGTGCCCACCCTGGGAGCCAGACTGAGACCCCTGACAGGACACTCTCTTCAGGGATTAAGTCACTCAGGAAGAGGGCCCTAGACTCTGGAGATGTGGAAACTGATGCACAGAGGGAGGCCGGAGTCCAGGTTGCTTCCCAGCAGGAACCCAGGCTGTGGGTCCTCATCCCGCCCCACACTGACTTCCCCCTGCGAGGACACCGTGCTGCCCCCAGCTGGGGCTGGGGCAAGGCTGGGCACCGGGCCATGGTGACACATCGGTGTGTCTCAGTCTCTCCTTTGCCCATGGATGCCAGGGCCAGGCCACGCATCTGTCCCGTGGTCTGTGTACCGAGGAGCCCCGACAGTGCCCCCACTTCTCCAGGCTCTCCTGCTCCGAAGCCTCCGGGCCAGAGGAGGAAGGAGGTGTGTCCCCACACACCAGGACCTAAAGGGACTCACACTCTTTGAAGAGAGACAGGGAGGCTGGCTTGGGGACAGGGAGCAGTTCCAGCCTGAGCTGGGCTACAGTCAAGACCTCAACCCACCTGCAACCTCTGACCAGTTCCAGTGGGAGCTGGGGAGGGACAAGGCCTCCCCAAGGTCTTGACGCAGAGACAGCAGTGACGGCGTACGCCCTGCCCTCGCACCCTCCCTCTCTGCCTGCCTGGAACCTGCCATTCATCACTCCCAACATGCCAGGCCAGAGCGGCTGAGCTGCAAGAGGGCTCGTTCACTCCTCCCGCTGGCCCTGAGGGCCCGAGCCTTGGCGGGCTGGGGGTAGGCCAGGGGCACAGGCGGGCACTGACGCTGAGCCCGGGCCCATGGGAGGGCAGGAGTGATGTCTGGCTCATGCTCCAGACGGGCTCCCCTGTGCCAAGCGTGGCCTTCTCCACCAGGGCTGCACCCTCTGATGGCTGCAAAGAAGGCCACTTGCTCCTCCAGGTGACCTCGGGCCACTTAATTCCCTCCCTGAGCCCTAATACCCTTTTCTGTAAAGTGAAGGTTGCGGGGGCAGCTCCCCTGCAGGGCTCCAGGTGCAGGGAGAGAGATGGCAGGGCGAGACTCCATCCATCCTCCTCTCTGACTCACAGGCCAGTGGCAGAGACAGGGGGTGACCTTGGTGACCTGTGTCCTCTGACAAGGCACACAGAAGGAAGGCGGCACAGAGCGAGGGCGGCGGGGATGCTGGCTTGTACACAGGGTGGTCAGGACAGTGAGGGGAACAGCATTCCACGCAGTGCACTGCCCATGCAAAGGCCCTGGGGCAGGACTGTACCTGGCATGTGGGAGGAGCAGTGAGGAGGCCCGTGTGGCTGGAGCAGAGTGAGGAGGGGAGGGTGGGGAGGGGACAGGGCAGGTCAGGGAGGGCCACAGTAGGTGCTTAAGCAGCAGCAGCAGCTGTCGCTATGACTGAAATGGCTGGTGTTCAAGAAGGCTGCTTTACTTCTTGTCCGGGATGGAACAGAGAGGGTGGAGGATGAGCAGAGGTCAGGGGTCATTCTGCCAGGCTGGGAGGAGGGTGGGGGTGGGGAGGGGGCCACTCACTGCGTGCTCCCAGAGTCAGGCCTCCGGCGCAGCCACCGAGGAAGTAGTTCAGGGGGTCGTCGGGCTTCTCGCGGACATGGGCGCTGATGCAGGTGGTGAGGCCAAACACGGCCCCGACAGCAGCTGCGGGGTAGACGGGAAGAGCAAGGGCCTCGAGACGGGCACAGCAGGAGCCTCTTGGGCGCTCACTGCCAGTGTCTGGATGGAGAGAGATGCCACGAGTCGGCTGCTCGCTGTGCATGGCAGCCTCCTGGCCCCAGTCCTGGAGCTGTTCTCCTGGGCCTCCCCACCCTACATGTATTCCTGATAAAGGAACACCCCACTTTCTCCGGATGGCCAGCACTGTGGACACGGGCTGGGGAGTCAGAGAGAAGAGGCAGCCGTCAAATGTGCTCTGAGAGCTGGGGCTGTGCCAGGAGAGGGCCCAGCCATGCCCAGCCCAGCGTGCTCACCTGCAGTGAACGTGTATTGTCCAACCTTAGCCACTCCTTCAAGGAAGGTGCCCGGAGGATTGAGTGTGACTCTGTAGGCAGCGGCGGTCAGGCCTGCGAGACAGAGGAGGGAGGCTGTTCAGACCCCACTGCTGCTAAGCCCTTGCTTGGCCGGGCACCCCACTGGGTGGTCTCCCTCCCTCAGTCCTCACGATGCCCCCCTTCTTTGCCCATAGTGTCCCCGGCTGCTGAGTGGCAGAGCTGGATTTGAACTCGGGTTTGCTGCTCCAAAACTGGGGGGCCTCTCACTTCCTTCCCCACTCCCCGCCAGGCCTTCCTTGGCCACTTTCTCAAGCCTGACCAGTACTGGCTCCTGCAGAGCACCTGCTGGGCGCCCATCAGCCATGCTGGCCCTGGCAGGGCACCGGCCGGCAGACGGAGACTCATCCACGTGGTGGACACAAGAACAGGCCTGAGACCTCAGTTCTGCGGCTGCTTCCAGCCTCACACCGCCAGCTCAGCGGCGCCCCCCACGGGCCCTGGCACCAGGGCCCCAGCTCCAGGTTCCCATCAATGGCTCTATTCTCCTGTGGGGCCCGGGGCTCCTGGGCCTAATCCCCCTTGGCAGTGGCTCTGCTTCCCTGCCTGGCTGCCAACGCCTCCTCCTTGCCACTCTCGACCCCCTCCTGCTGGCAGCTCGGGCCTGGGCTCGTCCTGCACACCTGGCTGTCTGGCTGCCGCCCCCGCCACCCAGCCTCGCCACTCCGGTCAGCTTTTCCATCTCTGCCATTTCCCAGGCCGCCTGGCCCCTGACATTGGCTTCTATGCATGAGGAGCTTGGGCCGGGGCCGGGCCCAGAACTCAGGGCCAGGTAGGTGGTGGGGACGGAGGTTTGATCCCAGCCCACCGTCCCTGCTGGGTGCCTAGGGGCGTCCTGAGTGAGGCTGGGCAGTCCCTTGGGCCACGTCCTCCCAGAGCCCGCCCAGCTTCACCAGCCCCTCTATGGTGGATGGGCAGATTGAGCCAGCCCGAGCCGGGGCTCCCCAATCCTCTGCCTGACTGCTCAGGGCAAACAAGCACCCCCCTCTCCCTACAGCCTCGAAACATAGCCCAGTTGCAGGCAGGGACCTCCTCGGGCCAGCCCATCCCAGAGAAAACAGAACTGCCAGGGATGGGCCACAAGGGCCCTCATCCTTCTCGGGGCCCGATGGGCTCAGTCCCGTTATCCCCTCCTTCACGGGAGGTGAAGGGACCTCCGAGATGTAAAGCAATTCTCCAGAGGTCACCCAGCACAGCGAGCCTGGACGCCAGGCAGGTCTGACCACAGCCTATGCTTCACCCACCACGACTGCCCCAGGGGAGTGGGCTCCACCCCAGTTCCCCATCCAGCTTCAAGGGACCCATGGGACATGCCAGGCCTGGCAGTGACCCCCCCCAACAGCACCCTAGCCTCAGATCCAATTCAGCTCATGTTGGTTCTGTCCCTCAAGAGCGACTGAGGGGACTCTCACATCCAGCAGTGGGGTGAGCACATATTCAGAGCAGCCCATAGGAGGGACCATCTGCTCCCCACAAGCACAGATGGGGAAACTGAGACCCAGGATGCAGAGAAAGGGACCACATATAAAGAGTACCTTGTGGATCTGGTTTCTCCTAATCCTACACCAACCCCTGGGATTCCTGCTCGACCTCAGAAAGGTGGATGGAGGACCAGGCGCAGTGGCTCACGCCTGTAATCCCAGCACTTTAAGAGGCCAAGGTGGGCGGATCATTTGAGGTTAGGAGTTTGAGACCAGCCTGACCGACATGGTGAAATCCCTTCTCTACTAAAAATACAAAAATTAGCCAGGCATGGTGGTACACATCTGTAGTCCCAGCTACTTGGGAGGCTGAGTCAGGAGAACCACTTGAACCCAGGAAGCGGAGGCTGCAGTGAGCCAAGATTGCGCCACTGCACTCCAGCCTGGGGGACAGAGTGAGACTCCGTCTCAAAATAAAAAAAAAAAAAAAAAAGAAAGAAAGGTGGATGGAGCGGAGTGCCAGGTCTGGGGGCTGTGGCAGGAAAGGGGGTTGCTACTGCATCCACGGTAAGGGACTGGAGTCCAGTACAGCCGTCCCCCCAGGACTCCCCACCTGCTCCTGGCCCAGCAGCCCCATCCTCAGTCACACTTCAGTCAGTGCACACACACACACACACACATCCCCCCCTTCCAAATTCTTTTATGTATTTACTAATTGAAAGAGAGCTGGAGTCTATGAAGATTCTTTTTTTTTTTTTTTTCTTGAGATAGAGTCTCGCTCTGTCGCCCAGGCTGGAGTGCAGTGGCGCTATCTCGGCTCACTGCAAGCCCCGCCTCCTGGGTTCACACCATTCTCCTGCCTCAGCCTCCCGAGTAGCTGGGACTACAGGCGCCCGCCACCACGCCTGGCTAATTTTTTGTATTTTTAGTAGAGACGGGGTTTCACCGTGTTAGCCAGGATGGTCTCCATCTCCTGACCTCGTGATCCGCCCGCCTCGGCCTCCCAAAAGTGCTGAGATTACAGGCGTGAGCCACCGCGCCCGGACTCTTTTTTTTTTTTTTTTTTTTTTTGAGACAGTCTTGCTCTGTTGCCCAGGCTAGAGTGCAGTGGTGCAAACTTGGCTCACTGCAACCTCTGCCTCCTTGGTTCAATTTTCCCACCTCAGCCTCCTGAGTAGCTGGGATTACAGGCGCCTGCCACCATGCCCAGCTAATTATTATTATTATTATTTTTTGTATTTTTAGTAGAGACGGGGTTTTACCATGTTGGCCAGGCTGGTCTCAAACTCCTGACCTTAGGTGATCCACCCACCTCAGCCTCCCAAAGTGCTGGGATTAAAGGCCTGAGCAACCATGCCCGGACTTGAAGATTCTTAATGGGAGGGGACTGCCAGCCCTGCCTGGGACCTGAAAAGTCCTGATCCAGGGCTGGGCCAGCCATGACAGTCTTATAACCCTCTCATCTCAAGAGGGAACCACCGACAAGACTCAGTGACGCCCCCAGAACTGTCACCGAGGGACTCCTGGGCGGAACCTCCTTACACCACCCCCACATGCCAGCTGTCCTGACCAAGGGACCCCTAGCTCATGGAGCACACCTGACACGGTGAGTGCGCCCACCATCCTCCATCCCTTCCAAAGTCCTTGAACTGGGAGTGGACGAGCTGGGACCCCCTGATTATCCCATAGAGGTCAAGGACTGCCCCACCCCAACTCTGCCCCAGCTGTCATCCAGCTGTGGTGTCCTGCCATATCCACCCCTCCAGGAGCCCCCAGCGCCCTTCAAAAGGCCCCCTTCCCTCTGAAGGGAAACTGCTGGTTTCCTCTGAGCCTCCCACAGTGACCGCCAGACCCAGTGTGAATTCATTCATTCATTCAGCTACTGCCACTCATTCATTCATTCACAAAGTTACCGAGTACCTAACAAGGTGCCACATTCACTCATTCATTCACTCACAAATGGTGCCCACAAGATGCTTCATTCATTCATTCATTCATTCATCCATAGTTATCATGTGCCCACAGGTCCTGGGCTCTGCTGAGTATAGTCTCCCCGCCGTCCAGGGTCCCCAACTCAGGGAAGCCAGCCAGGAAACAATTTATCTCCCTCAGATGAGAAGTGAGGGGAGCCCCGGAATGAAGTGAGTGGGGCAGTGAGGGGAGGACCCAGAAACACGTTTCAGCAAGTTCTGCACAATGAGTGGAGCTGGTCACTGAAGAATTTAGGGAGAAGGGTGGGTGCAGTGGCTCACGCCTGTAATCCCAGCACTTTGGGAGGCCAAGGCGGGCGGATCACCTGAGGTCAGGAGGTTGAGACCGGCCTGGCCAACATGGCGAAACCTTGTCTCTACTAAAAATACAAAAATTAGCCAGGCACGGTGGCAGGCACCTGTAATCCCAGCTACTTGGGAGGCTGAGACACAAGAATTGCTGGGAGGCAGAGGTTGCAGTAAGCCAAGATCGCACCACTGCACTCCAGCCTGGGTGACAGAATGAGACTCCGTCTCAAAAAAAAAAAAAAAAAGAAAAAAGAAAAAAGAAAAATTTAGGGAGAATGAATGTCACTCTCAAAGACCCCGGGGCACCCTTGGAGGGCTCACAGAAGCCACTGAGCACCCCTAAATCTAAATCTGATGCCATCAGCGATCTCCTGACATGGCAACTCTGTCAAAAGTTCTGACCTCCCCTTCTAAGACCCTCTGGGGAGCACCCCCGGTCTCAGAGGCCCTTCACTCAGCAGCACCACACCCCGAGACAAGCTGTCTCCTCCAAAGGCCTCCTGAGACCGCAGCCCACTCATTTTGTATTCACACATGAGGAATGCACACACTCTCTCACATGAACACCAACATACGCGTCTTTCTCAGTTTCAGATCCTATCCCCTGGGTGGCCCCCTTCAGCCCTTTCTCTTGAAGACCCTCGATAAGGACCTGATGGGAACATTCCTTGCTTCAGAGACCCCTAGGAGCAGGTCAGCCGACCTGGACTTGCAGCCCAGCTTCAAATGACCCTGGAGCAGTTAATATGCTTCTCCAACCTTCAGTCCCTACCTGTAAGAAATGGAGACACAATAACGTCTGTCTTACTATTAATAAATATGCAAAATATGGGAGTGATGATTAGGTCTGCCCTAATTCAAATGCCTCCCAATGGAGCCGCAACTTTGGCCGGGCCCTGTTTCACATATGCTGGAAATACAGAGTTGACCAAATTGATTCCTCAGCTTATAGACACACCAGGTTGTAAAGACTGTTTCTTTGGGTTTTTTTTTTTTTTTCTTTTTGAGACGGAGTCTTGCTCTGTCGCCCAGGCTGGAGTGCAGAGGCGCAATCTCGGCTCACTGCAAGCTCCGCCTCCCAGGTTCACGCCATTCTCCTTCCTCAGCCTCCTGAGTATCTGGGACTACAGGTGTCCACCACCACGCCCGGCTAATTTTTTTTGTATTTTTAGTAGAGACGGGTTTTCACCGTGTTAGCCAGGATGGTCTCGATCTCCTGACCTCGTGATCCACCTGCCTCGGCCTCCCAAAGTGCTGGGACTACAGGCGTGAGCCACCGCGCCCGGCTGGTTTTGTTTTGTTTTGTTTTTTGAGACAGCGTCTCACTCTGTCGCCCAGGCTGGAGTGCAGTGGCACAATCTCGGCTCACTGCAACCTCTGCCTCCTGGATTCACGCCATTCTCCTGCCTCAGCCTCCCAAGTAGCTGGGACTACAGGCACCCGCCATCATGCCTGGCTGATTTTTTGTATTTTTAGTAGAGACGGGGTTTCACCGTGTTAGCCAGGATGGTCTCAATCTCCTGACCTCATGATCCGCCTCCCAAAGTGCTGGGATTACAGGTGTGAGCCACCATGCCCGGCCTATTATTTTTATTTTTTGAGACAAGGTCTCGCTCTGTCGCCCAGGCTGGGGTGCAGTGGTGCAAACATAGCTCACTAGAGCCTTGAACTCCTGGTTTCAAGTGATCCTCTTGTCTCAGCCTCCTGAGTAGCTGGGACTACAGGTACGCACCATCATGCCCAGCTAATTGTTTTACTTTTTTGCAGAGATGGGGATCTTGCTATTTTGCCCAGGCTGGTCTGGAACTCCTGGCCTCAAGCGATCCTCCCACTTTGGCCTCCTGAGCGCCGGATTACAGGTGTGAGCCACCGCGCCTGGCCCAGTTTGTAAAGATTCTTCATCAGAGGGAAGAGGACTTCCAGCTCCATCTGGGACCTGATGAGTCCCAACCTGTGGCTGAGAATTAAAGGGCATGATGCCCATGAAACGCTCAGGCTGGAAGGGGCAAGACTCAGATTTACTCTATAAGAGAATGCCAGGGCCGGCCGGGCATGGTGGCTCACGCCTGTAATCCCAGCACTTTGGGAGCCCGAGATGGGCGGATGGCCTGAGACCAGGAGTTCCAGATCAGTCTGGCCAACACGGTGAAACCCCGTCTCTACTAAAAATACAAAATAATTAGCCAGGCGCGGTGGCGTGAGCCCGTAATCCCAGCTACTTGGGAGGCTGAGGCAAGGGAATTGCTCGAACCAGGGACGTGAAGGTTGCAGTGAGCCGAGATCTCGCCACTGCAGTCCAGCCCGGGCGACAGAGCAAGGCTCTGTCTCAAAAAAAAAAAAAAAAAAGGAGAATGCCAGGGCTTGCGGGTCCCCTTCATTCCCCTGCAAGGCTACCCTCATAGTAGCTCCTGATCCACCTCACCTAGGACCTCTCTGGCGGTCCCAGTAAAAGCTTCAGGTGTCCCTAACCACCCAGCACCCCCTGACCACAGAAAGACCTCATCCCACCCCAAAACTTTCTCAAACATCTGTACCGCCCTCAGATGCCCCAATCATGACTCATGATCCCCTCTAACAATCTCTACCCCGTTGGAAAGTCTCGTGGTCCCTTAGCTCCTTGGACCTGATAATAGCCCTGTCTCACTCCACAATTTCCCCGAGCCTGGCGATAGCTTGGGACCGCCTCAGATGACCCCAGGGACTAGCTTGTCGCATGTCACGACCTCCCAGTGCTCCCCAACCCTGCTGGACCCCCTACCAACATCCATTTCACACAAGATCCCCCCCTACGACCGCCCAAGACACCCCGATGACAACCACGTGCGTACCCGCGAGACTCCCAGACCCGTTCGATCCAAACAGCCCCCAGTAACCCCACGACCTCCCTGCGGCCTCGGCCCTCCACCCTCGGGGCCCGGCCGGCGCTCACCAGCGACGCTGGCAATACTGGTGGTGCTGTAGGCTTTGCGGTGGCAATCGGTGCCATCGGGGATATCCCAGTACTGACGAAAAACCTTCGGCGCCATAGCCCGCAATCTCGATCCCGCACCACGGACCCCGCCAGCTCGGGAAGCGCAAGGGCAGCCGCGGCTGGCTATCGCGAGACTTCTCGGGCTGCGCGCGCAACCTTTCGGGCTAGCGGGCCGGCAACAAGTGAGCAACTTTATTGATAGGCGCGGACATGGACATGGATCGCGCGCACGCGCCGGGGACCGGCCTGGAGGAAGAGAGTAGCACGTGCATCCCCAGGCCGATTCCTAGAGGGTGAAACTGAGGACGACTGCGATCAGTGCAGACAGATTTCGCTAGTCCCAGCTCAGGGAGTCCTAGGTTAGGGACTACTAGAGGCGGGGACTATCTACTAGGGGAGGGGCCGGGCTCAGACTGGGACGGGCGGGACTCCAGTTGATAGGAGCAAGACATGACGAAACAATGACTGGGGGGCGGGGCATGGCGGGGATGTGGCCACACCCAGTGTCAGAATCTGCATAGCGAGTGGTCATGCCCTGTGGTCAGTCACCAAGCTGGAGTCTGAGCAGCGTGCTACTGTTTTGGGCCGTGGACAGGATCAGGGGCGGGGATTATCGGGAAAGTGACCAATGACAATACGAGAAGCTCAGCGGGACGTGGCCTCTGTTCACCCCGCGGCTGTCCCACGCCCTAGGCCGGATGAAGTACACAGGCGCTTGACTTGGGGGCGTGGCTAGAATTGGAGGCATAACCTAAAAGGGACTTGACCAATCTGAGACTGTATAAGGGATGAAGGGGCGAGGCCGTGCCTGGATCTACCCCTGACAGGCCACAGGTTCGGGGGGCGTGGTCAGGCTTGCTGTTTCGCGGAGTCCGGGCCAATCCTGGTGTTAGCTTCCAAGTAGGGAGGGGACAGTATCGAAGGTGTGACCAATCTTGTTTCCAGAGCCTGAGTTGCGCGAGCCGCCAAAGGATGTGGCCAGCCTGGGGGCGTGGCTGTCAAGATCTTGTCCAATCCTAGAGTGAGCCCAAACTCAGGGGCGGAGTTTCATGATCCCGGAACCGGTGGTAGTGTTTGGGTTTGAGGAGAGCACGACCCAGCCCTCTGGGGTGGGGTCTAGCGGGGTCAGCGACCAATCGCGCCGAGGTCTAGTGGGGCGGGGCCCTCCCGGGGGCGGGGCCTGTGCCAGTTCCGGGCCGCCTGGGGGCGTGGCCGGGCCTGTACAGCAGCCTGGGCCATGTCGGCGCCGCCGGCCCTGCAGATCCGGGAGGCAAACGCACACCTGGCAGCCGTGCACCGGCGCGCAGCGGAGCTGGAGGCGCGGCTGGACGCGGCGGAGCGCACGGTGCACGCCCAAGCCGAGCGCCTGGCCCTCCACGACCAGCAGCTGCGCGCCGCCCTAGACGAACTGGGTCGCGCCAAGGACCGGTGAGGCCCGGGGCCGGCCAGGTGGACTTCACCGAGGCGGTAGGCGGAGGCAGAGCCGAGGCTGGAAAGCGAGGAAGGGCAGGGGGAACCGTGTGCACTTGTATAGACGCTAGACTGAGTATCGGATTGATAAAAACACCAAAAAACTCGAATTAGTAATCAGTATGTAAAGTTGCGAGAAGTGACACAGGTGTGGACCTCTAACTTCAAACAGGCCCACTTTCCCACAGGTGCTGAGCGACGCAGGGACCACAGACCGCCCAGCGTAGGCATTGGGAGCCATAGCAGGCTCTTCAGCAGGGGAGGAGGGGATCATATCAGCATTTTAACTTTTAAAATTTATTATTATTTTTTTGAGACGGAGTTTCGCTCTTGTCGCCTAGGCTGGAGTGCAGTGGCGTGATCTCAGCTCACTGCAACCTCCACCTCCCAGATTCAAGCGATTCTCCTGCCTCAGCCTCCCGTGTAGCTGGGATTACAGGCGCCCGCCACCACGCCCGGTCGATTTTTTGTATTTCTAGTAGAGACTGGTTTTCGTCACGTTGTGCAGGCTGGTCTCTAACTCCTGACCTCAGGTGATCCGCCCGCCTCAGCCTCCTAAAAGTGCTGGGATTACAGGGGTGAGCCACCGCACCCGGCCTAAATTTATTATTTTTGAGGCAGGGCCTCACTCCTATGCCCAGGCTGGAGTGCACCTCGACCTCCGGAGCTCAGGTGATTCTCCCACCTCAGTCTCCCAAGCAGCTGGGACTACAGGCGTCCACCACCACGCATGGCTTATTTTTTGTATTTTTTTGTAGAGACAGTTTTGCCCTGTTGCCCAGTTTGGTCTTGAACTCCTGGGCTCAAGCAGTCCTCCCACCTCACCCTTCCAAAGTGCTGGGATTACAGGCTAAGCCACCATGCCTATCTATTATTTTTGAGAGAGGGTCTTGCTCTGTTGCCCAGGCTGGAATGCAGTGGTGCGATCTCGACTCACTGCAGTCTCACCCTCCCTCCTCAGCCTCTCAAGTAGCTGGGATTACAGGCGTGCGACAGCACACCTGGCTGATTTAAAAAAAAAAATCCTTTAGAAATGGGGTCAGACTATGTTGCCTAGGCTGGCCTTGAACTCCTGGGCTCAAGTGATCCTCCTGCCTCAGCCTCCCGAAGTGCTGGGATTATAGGCACGAGCCACCATGCTGGCCCATATCAGCATTGTTGAAGAGTCCCTCTGACAGCTGAGGATGAAAGAGATGAGACAGGCACCCAGGGAGGTGGGAGGAGCTGGGTCCCAGGTGGGAACTATTACTTCAGAGCTAATTGGACATATTCATTTTTACCGAGCACCTGCTCTGTGCCAGGCACTCATTCATTCGTCTTCATTGAGCACCTACTGTGTGTCAGGCATTCTGCTGAGTACTGGAGCACATCAGTAAGACTTAGCCTTGCCCATTGGGTATCCACAGTCCAGTGGAGAGACAGACATGTCACTGGGCAGTTACATCATTGGTGGCCAGCGGCCATGATGGAGGGGCATATGGGGCTCTGAGGGATCTCAGAGTGAAGGCTTCCCAGAGGAAGAGCCTACTAAGAATAGGTGGGAAAAGATAATGGAAAGGAACGAACTGCAGGAAGAGTGAGGGGACGAAATGAGGGTTCTCATAAGAAAATGCCATAAACTGGCTGGGTGGTGGCTCACGCCTGTAATCCCAGCACTTTGGAAGGCTGAGGCAGGCAGATCACCTGAGGTCAGGAGTTCGAGACCAGCCTGGCCAACATGGCGAAACCCTGTCTCTACTAAAAATACAAAAAAATTAGCTGGGTGTGGTGGCACACGCCTGTAGTCCCAGCTACTCGGGAGGTTGAGGCACGAGAATCGCTTGAACCCAGGAGGCGGAAGTTGCAGTGAGCCGAAATTGTGCCACTGCACTCCAGCCTGGGCAACAGAGAGAGACTCTGTCTCAAACAAACAAAAAAACAAAATGCCATAAATTAAGTGGCTTAAACAAGAGGTTTGTTTCTCAGCGTTCTGGAGGCTGGACGTCCGAGAGCAGGGTGCCAGCATGGTCAGGTTATGGGAGGGCCCTCTTCCGGGCTTGCAGATTTCTGGCTTCTCTCTGTGTCCTCACAGGGCAGAGAGAGCCAGGGAGTTCTTTTGTATCTCTTCATATAAGCACACTAATCCCATCATAGAGACCCCCACCCTGACAACCTCATCTAACCCTAATCACCTCCAAAAAGCTCCATCTCTAAATACCCTTCTGCTATGGTTAGACTTTGTGTTTCCACCCAAATGTCAGCTTGAATTGTAATCCCATAATGCCCACGTGGTGTGGAAGGAACTGGTGGGAGGTAAATGAATCATGGGGGATGGTTTCCCCTTCATGCTATTCTCATGATAGTGAGTGAGTTCTCATGAGATCTGATGGCTGGGCGCAATGGCTCACGCCTATACTCTCAGCACTTTGGGAGGCCGAAGCGGTCAGATCACCTGAGGTCAAGAATTTGAGACCAGCCTGGCCAACATGGTGAAACCCTGTCTCTACTAAAAAAAAAAAAAAAAAAAAAAAAAATTAGCTGGGCATGGTGGCACACGCCTGCAGTCCCAGCTACTGGGGAGGCTGAGGAGGCAGAATTGCTTGAACTCGGGAGGCGGAGGTTGCAGTGAGCCGAGATCACACCACTGCACTCCAGCCTGGATGACAGAGCTAGATTCCGTCTCAATCAATAAGGGAGATCTGATGGTTTTATAAGGGATTCCCCCTTTGCTGGTCTCTCACTGTCTCTCCTGCTGCCCTATAAAGAGGTTCCTTCCATCATGATTGTAAGTTTCCCGAGGCCACCCCCAGCCATGTGGAAATGTGAGTCAATTACACCTCTTTATAAATCACCCAGTATCAGGTATGTCCTTAGAGCATCGTGAGAATGGACTAATACACCTCCCATTGGGGTTAGGACTTCATCATATGAATTTTGGGGAGACAGAAAGATGCAGTTCAGGCTGGGTACAGTGGCTCAGCCTGTAATCCCAGTACTTTGGGAGGCCAAGGCGGGTGGATCACTTGAGGTCAGGAGTTTAAGACCAGTCTGGCCAACATGGCAAAACCTTGTCTCTACTAAAAATACAAAAATCAGTCAGGCATGGTGGCGCATGCCTGTAAACCCAGCTACTCGGGAGGTTGAGGAGGACAGTTTGAACCTGGGAGGCAGAGGTTGCACTGAACTCCAGCCTGGGCAACAGAGCGAGACTGTCTCAGAAATTATAATAATAGGCTGGGCGTGGTGGCTCACGCCTGTAATCCCAGCACTTTGAGAGGCCATGGCGGGTGGATCACGTGGTCAGGAGTTCGAGACCAGCCTGGCCAGCATGGTGAAACCCCATCTCTACTGAAGATACAAAAAACTAGCCGGGCATAGTGGTGGGCACCTGTAATCCCAGCTACTAGGGAGGCTGAGGCAGGAGAATTGCTTGAACCCTGGAGCCGGAAGTTGCAGTGAGCTGAGATTGCACCATTGCACTCCAGCCTGGGCGACAGAGCTAGACTTCGTCTCAAAAAAAAATAATAATAAAATAAAATATAATAATAATAATAAAAACAAAGAAACATTCTGTTCATAACCAGGGAGGACCCTGAGGCAGTGGTGAGGAATGCGGGCTTTATCCCAAAGGTGATGGGGAACCTCTTGCGGGTCCAGAGCAGGGAGGAGCAGGTGCTGTGGTCCTCAGTTCTGTAATCACCTCCTCTTGCCTTCCTGCCAGTGAGATTGCCACACTCCAGGAGCAGCTGATGACCTCAGAAGCCACTGTCCACAGCCTGCAGGCCACCGTGCACCAGAGGGACGAGCTCATTAGGCAGTTGCAGCCCCGGGCTGAGCTGCTGCAGGACATCTGCCGCCGCCGGCCACCCCTGGCTGGGCTGCTGGATGCCCTGGCTGAGGCTGAGCGCCTGGGGCCCCTGCCGGCCAGTGACCCCGGCCACCCACCCCCCGGTGGGCCTGGTCCACCCCTTGACAACAGCACTGGGGAAGAGGCGGACAGGGACCACCTCCAGCCTGCAGTGTTTGGGACCACAGTGTGAGCCCGGAATGCAGATTACAGAATGGAGACAGAAAGCCACTGCTGTCAGTGTCCTTGGGAGTCACCAGCACCCTGCAGGGGGACCCTACGGCAGAGCCAAAGTCCTGTCTAAGCATCAGAACAGGCTGAACAGTCAAAAAGTTTTCAAATAGGCCCACAGGCCAGGTGCAGACGTTTAACCCAGACAGAAGTGTTCTTGTTTGTTTTTAAGCTTTGAATCAGTCACCCTTGCTAAAAACCTGGCAATGCAAACACAAAGATCTGGATTTCTGGCAAGACTTGGCCAAGCTTGCCTGGAGTTCAGGGCACCCTCTTTAGCCAGGGTGTGAGTTTCTGTTTTTTGTTTTTTTTTTTTTAAGACAGAGTCCCACTCTGTCGCCCTGGCTGGGGTGCAGTGGTGCGATTTTGGCTAACTGCAACCTCCGCCTCCCAGGTTCAAGCGATTCTCCTGTCTCATCCTTCAGAGTAGCTGGGATTACAGGCGCCCACCACCACACCCGGATATTTTATATTTTTGGTAGAGACCGGGGAGGGGAGGGGGTTTCACCATGTTGACCAGGCTGGTCTCAAACTCCTGACCTTAGGTGATCCACCCGCCTCGGCCTTCGAAAGTGCTGCAGTTATAGGTGTAAGCCACCGCGCCCGGCCCTAGCCTAGCTTTTGTAGCATGCAACTGTCTCCTTTTTATACGCCCTAAAGAATATATTTTTGAACTCCTTGTTTCTGCGCTGTCCTTCTTAGCCCAGGACATTCAGGGTGCTTTGCTTGTTGTCAAACCAGGGAAAGGAGAAAACTCCTGTGCCTTTCTGGGCCAGCCTGTCACCCTGGCCTGGTCGGCAGCCATTCCCCTACCTCCTCACTCAGGAACTGTCACACCAGGAACCGGCGAGGGGCACAGCCTGTTTCAGACCAGAAAGGTCGGAGGCCACCCACGGCCTTCAGGATGGCGCCCGCCTGCCTGCCTGGCAACAGTGACCCCTCAGTGCAGTAACAATGGGCCCATTTTCTCCTCTGGATGAACAAGGAGGGGGGTTGTTTGTACAAAGGAAAGGCAGGCTGGGGCCTGTCTGTGCTCAAGAATAAACCGGATGATTTCCTGGCCTGGGGGCAAGAGGGAGGCCCTCTGTGTTATTTGTGCCTCCTGGTAGGGTCCTGCTGGGCCAGGTAGAATCTAGGGAGTGTAGGCCAAGCACTCTCTACAGCGATTGCATCTAATCTTCGAGTTTCCCTGTAGACACAGGCTTTGTCCTCATTTTACAGCTGTGGAAAGTGAGGCCCAGGCCGGGCGCGGTGTCTCACGCCTGTAATCCCAGCACTTTGGGATGCGGGTGGATCACCTGAGGTCAGGAGTTCGAGACCACCCTGGCCAACATGGTGAAACCCCGTCTCTACTAAAAATACTAAAATTAGCCGGGCTTGGTGGCGGGTGCCTGTAATCCCAGCTACTGAACCCGGGAGGCGGAGGTTGCAGTGAGTGGAGATTGCACCACTGCACTCCAGCCTGGGAGACAGAGTGAGACTCAGTCTCAAAGAAAACAACAACAACAACAACAACAACAACAACAACAACAAACAGAGGCCCAGAGGTGTGAAGGGAACACACTCCGGGTCTGGAGGGCCAGGGCCACTTCCAATTCTGGGGGAAGTTATTGCTGAAATTCTGTTTTCTTTCTTTCTTTCTTTTTTTTTTAAAGAGACAAAGTCTCACTGTTGCCCAGGCTGGAGTGCAATGGTGTGATCACAACTCACTGCAGCCTCAAAATCCTGGTCTTGGCTGGGCCAGTGGCTCACACCTATAATCTCAGCACTTTGGGAGGCCAAGGCAGGTGGATCACCTGAGGCCAGGAGTTCAAGACCAGCCTGACCAACATGGTGAAACTCCGTCTCTACTAAAAACACAAAAATTAACCGGGTGTGGTGGCGCGTGCCTGTAATCCCAGATACTCGGGAGGTTGAGGCAGGAGAATCACTTGAACCCGGGAGATGGAGGCTGTAGTGAGCCGAGATTGTACCACTGCACTCCAGCTTGGGCGACAGAGGGAGACTCCGTCTCAAAAAAAAATCCTGGGATCAAGCTATCATGCTACCTCAGCCTGCCAAGTAGCTGGGACCATGGGCATATGCCACCATGCCTGGCTGCGTTTTTGCATTTTTTCTAGAGATAAGGTCTCATTACATTGCCCAGGCTGGTCTTGAACTCCTGGCCTCAAGTGATCCTCCCGCATTGGCCTCCCAAGAAATTCTTACTAAACATTTACAAATGAGATGCCAAAACAGCACTTCAGTAATAGTGGTTATATTTTATAGTTCTCTACACAGAAAAAAAAATGCTGCTTGTAACACTCATAGACATGAAAGTATTTCTCTGCCTATTTAAATAATTCTGGATTGCAGTGAGCCACCAGGATTTTGGCAGCCAGATGTCACCATGATTTCTCATAAAACTGATGATGTTACATCAGTGGTGGCCTGAATCAAGATGCTGGGATGCCTGTAACCTACAGATTGGTTTCAGACTCCAAAGGCAACTTTTTTTTTTTTTTTTTTTTGAGACGGAGTCTGGCTCTGCCACCCTGCCACCCAGGCTGAAGTACAGTGGTGTGATCTAGGCTCACTGCAACCTCTGCCTCCAGGGTTCAAGTGATTCTCCTGCCTTGGCCTCCTGAGTAGCTGGGATTACAGGCATGCACCACCATGCCCAGCTATTTATTTTTTTTAGTAGAGATGGGGTTTCAAAATGTTGGCCAGGCTGGTCTTGAACTCCTGACCTCAAGTGATCCGCCCACCTCAGCCTCCCAAAGTGCTGGGATTACAGCTGTGAGCCACCGCGCCCAGCCCTGGCCTCTTTTTTTAAGTTATTTATTTATTTTTGAGACAGAGTCTCACTCTGTCGCCCAGGCTGTGGTGCAGTGGCATGGTCTTGGTTCACTGCAACCTCTGCCTCCTGGGTTCAAGTGATTCTCCTGCCTCAGCCTCTGGAGTAGGTGGGATTACAGGCACCCGCCACCATACCTGGCTAATTTTCTTTTTTTTTTTTTGAGACAAAGTCTTGCTCTTGTCCCCCAGTCTGGAGTGCAATGGCACGATCTCGGCTCACTGCAACCTCCGCTTCCCAGGTTCATGCAATTCTCCTGCCTCAGCCTCCCGAGTAGCTGGGATTACAGGCACATACCACCACGCCCAGCTAGTTTTTCGTATTTTAAGTAGAGACAGGGTTTCACCATGTTGGCCAGGCTGGTCTCAAACTCCTGACCTCAGGTGATCTGTCTGCCTCGGCCTCCCAAAGTGCTGTGATTACAGGCATGAGCCACCGCACCCGGCTGACTAATTTTTGTATTTATAGTAGAGACAGGGTTTCACCATGTTGGCCAGGCTGGTCTCGAACTGCTGACCTCATGATCTGCCCGCCTCGGCCTCCCAAAGTGCTGGGATTACAGGCGTGAGCCACCGTGCCCGGCCAGTTTATTTACTTATTTTTAAGAGGCGGGCGTCTTGCTCTGTAACCCAGGCTGGAGTGCAGTGGTGCGATCATAGCTCACTGCAGCCTCCAACTCCCGGGCTCAAGTGATCCTCCTGCCTCAGCCTTCCAAGTAGGTGGGATTACAGGAACACACCACCATGCCTGGCTAATTTTTTGTAGTTTTTGTAGAGATGGGGGGGTCTCACTATGTTGCACAGGCGGGTCTCAAACTCCTGGGCTCAAGTGATCTTCCTGCCCTGGCTTCCCAAAGTGTTGGGATTACAGGCATGAGCCACCGCGCTCAGGCAAGGCAACTTCTGACAATATAATTGTGCTGTGAGCGAGGTAAAGCCAGGCTTGGAGAAGGCTCCGATTGATGATCCTTGGGTCGGGGCGAACAGTGGGTCCTCAAACAGGGCCCACGTTTCAAGTCCTGGAAAACCCACCTATCTTAGCGGGCAGGTATATCCGATGTCTCCGTTGAAGGCCTTCAGTGAGGTGGCTTCGTCTCTTGAGGTTTATGTCCAGGATCAGGGCTGCTCTTCCACTCGGGGTCACAACCTCTGGCTCACCACCTTGTCAGGAGCCAGCCCACTAAGTCACGTTTCAGGCCTGAAAACCAACAACAAAAGATCCGTAAAGACAGAAATCCTGGGACTGGCTCCTAACAACGGCCAGTGACAAGCTTTGTGGCAGTGAGCAGAGGTGTCCCTCAGGCTCAGCTCAGTCTCTGTGGGTTGCAGGACCTGCCCTTGGAGGTGGGCCTGGGTGGGAGGTCTTAGGGCCCCAGGACCTGGGCCACCTGGGGCTTTTTTTTTTTTTTTCTTTTTGAGATGGAGTCTTGCTCTGTCGCCCAGACTGGAGTGCAGTGGTGCAATCTTGGCTCACTGCAAGCTCCACCTCCTGGGTTCAAGCGATTCTCCTGCCTCAGCTTCCTAAGTAGCTCGGATTACAGGCGCCCACCATCATGCACGGCTAATTTTTGTATTTTTAGTAGAGGCGGGGTTTCACCATGTTGGTCAGGCTGGTCTCAAACTCCTCACCTTGTGATCTGCCCACCTCGGCCTCCCAAAGTGCTGGGATTACAGGCATGAGCCACCGCGCCCAGCCCACCTGGGGCATTTTTGTTGCTGTACAATAGAAACAAGTTCTCTATATGTTCCCCAGGCTGGTCCAAACTCCTGGGCTCAAGTGATCCTCCCACCTAGACCTCCCAAAGTGCTGGGATTTCAGGCATGAGCCGCAGTGGCCGGTCAGAACCTGGGGCCCTTTTGAACTTTGATTCCTCAGCAATTTTGTCAGCCCTGGCTCGGGCTGAGAAGCCCCTGTGAAGCCAGAGAGGGAAAGGGACCTGTCCAGGGTCACACAGGAATCATGCGTCAAGCCTCCCCAGCCACGGACTTGTCTCCATCCAGGGCATTTCAGCCCCTGCAGGGCAGTGGCCTGCCCCTCCTCCTTGGAGCCAGGAAGGGATGCAGTGCCACAGGGATCTGGCTCTGTCCCAGGCCCTGTGGGGCTGGCAGTTGAGTAAGCAGTCAGGCTGGGCGCACCCATCCCTCCCCCACTCCCCACTGCCCAGCACAGTGCATTCATGCAGCTGGGCCCCACCCCATCTCCAGAGGCACCTTCCACTAGCAACAGTCTCCCCAGGCACAACACAGCTAACACAAGGCCCCGCAGGCAGGACTCTGGGACAGACGCAGGCCAGGTGAGCATCTGAACAAGGGGCAGTCGGCCAGGGTGGGCTTGCGGGAGTCCCCACCTTGACCTCTCTCCCTTCCAGCTGCCCAGAGCCCAGACCAAGCATGGACGCCGTGGATGCCACCATGGAGAAACTCCGGGCACAGTGCCTGTCCCGCGGGGCCTCGGGCATCCAGGGCCTGGCCAGGTGAGCTGTCCCCTCTCACCTTCCTGACCCCGGCCCCTGAGACCACTGTTCCAACCGTGTCCCCTGCCTCCAGGTTTTTCCGCCAACTAGACCGGGACGGGAGCAGATCCCTGGACGCTGATGAGTTCCGGCAGGGTCTGGCCAAACTCGGGCTGGTGCTGGACCAGGCGGAGGCAGAGGGTGTGTGCAGGAAGTGGGACCGCAATGGCAGCGGGACGCTGGATCTGGAGGAGTTCCTTCGGGCGCTGCGGGTGAGCCCCCACCTCACAGTCAAGGCGTGTGCCCTGGGCATGGGGCGACAGAGGATGCTGAGATGCGGAGACGGGGACTCCTCCCTAAGAGCTGCTGTTAAGAGGCGCCTGCTGGGGCATACAGCCCCAGTGCTCTGCACAGCGTCTTGGGGGTTTGGGTGTGCTACCCACCACCCCCAGTCACCACCTCCTGTCCCAGCCCCCCATGTCCCAGGCCCGGGAGGCTGTCATCGCAGCTGCATTTGCCAAGCTGGACCGCAGTGGGGACGGCGTCGTGACGGTGGACGACCTCCGCGGGGTGTACAGTGGCCGTGCCCACCCCAAGGTGCGCAGTGGGGAGTGGACCGAGGACGAGGTGCTGCGCCGCTTCCTGGACAACTTCGACTCCTCTGAGAAGGACGGGCAGGTGGGTGGCTGCGCGGGGGGCCCCCTCCCCAGGCAGTTCCTCGGCCGTGCCCCCTCACGGCCCTCTGTTCCCAGGTCACACTGGCGGAATTCCAGGACTACTACAGCGGCGTGAGTGCCTCCATGAACACGGATGAGGAGTTCGTGGCCATGATGACCAGTGCCTGGCAGCTGTGAGCAGCTCCGGCTCAGCCCTGCTGCCCTGGCCTGTCACTCCCCACCCCTGCCGGAGACCTCCCTTCCCTGGGCCCCTTCTCTCCTGGGCAGCCACACCACAGAGCGGGGAGGGGCAGGTGGGGGAATGGAGGCTGCAGGACTGGCTAGACCAGGTCCCTGCCGGTCCACCAGGCGGAGGTGGGACAAAGGTCCTAACAGGAGTCACTGGCTCAGGACCCCAGGGAGAAACGCTCTCCCCACCCACGCCATGCTGACCAGAGATCTTGCAGCCCCTGTGGATGCCCCCGCCGAGGTCCCCCGATCCCCGCACCCGGACTGCTGCTCCCTGCCCCTCCCTTGCGGGTCCCCCAGGAAGCCAGGTGACCCCAGGTGGGAGGCTGTGTGTGGAGGCCATCCTGGAAGGAAGTTTAGACCTGCCCAGGTGTGGAGCGAGGGGCACAGGGGCATCCTAACCTCAGAAACTGAAATAAAGCCTTTGAAAAAAAAATCTGTAAAACATCAACCCCCAATCAGAAGATGGCAAATGGGGAATAAAAATAGCAGGTAACATGTCCAGCGGGCCCAGTATCTACATTCTGGTGAGCGGCCCGAGGCTGGGAGCTCTGGGCGGGGGCAGACCGGCGGGGCCTTGCAGCAGGGGTGGGGGTAAAGTGCGGGTGGTGGTGGAGAGAACAGGGCTGTGGCTGGACCCCAGCACTGGTGACACGCTGGGTGGGAGCATGAGGCCCCAGGCTGCTGGAGGTCCTCGCCCGGGGAGGTGGAGGCCGTTCCTGGTCAGGGGCTTCCTGAGGCCCCTGGGGCATGCAGAGGCCAGGGTTTTAGTTAAAAGTTTAATGTAGTTCCCAAATACATTTCATATGACAATCTTACATAAATGTTCCAAAACACATGGGCGTTATCTCGTTGTACTCGTCACTAGCTGGCTAAGGCTTAAAGCAGAGACGTGTGACTGGGTCTCTCGGGAGGGCCTCTGGTTCTTCCCGGGCTCAGGCTTGCTGGGGGCTGGGGGCCAGGGCTCTGGCGACCTAGAGGTGTGGACGGCACAGCTGCAGGAGGCCTTCTCTTAACCCTCCGAGAGTGGGACTGGGAGATTTCCTCTGAAGTCCCAAAGAGGCCCTGTGCCCAGGGGACCTCCTCCTCGGCCTCCCAGGTGGGTGGTGCAAGCTGGCTCTTGGCCATGCTCCAGGCTCGGGTGGGCACAGGCGTCCACTCCAGTGTGCTGCGTGCTTGTGAGACTGCCTGTTCTGGGACCAGCCCCTGGGCTCTTCCACCAAGATTTGGTGAGGGTCCCCCTCTGCCTCTCACAGAAGCCCCTGGCCCTGGACTGTCCTGGGGGCAGGGACACCTGTGGCTGGGGAAGGGATGGCCAACAGCGGGAAGCAGTTTGCGCCTGGTGCCTGATGATGGTGAACCACGTGACAGATGGAGACGGGAGTCAGGGGACCCTGGGGACCCTTCCAGGTCCAGTGACCTTTTCCCAGACAGGCACTCTCCAGGCCTAGGACAGACAGGGCCCCAACTCCTCATCACCCCATGACTTGGCCTGGAGGAACCTGGGGTGGGAAACAAGTAGTCCCCCAACCTCAGAGGCCAGAACCACAGGTGGGGGACAGGGACCTCGACAGAGCTGTGCCTGCTCAACGCTCGAGAGCATCTTAACCTAAGAAACCAAAACAAAGCCTTCGAAAATAAAAAGAAAAAAAGATGTAAAATATACACCCCCAATCAGAGAGGGGAAGTGGGAAATGAAGATAGTAGTTAACAGCACGTCCAATGGGCCCAGTGTCTACACTCGTACGAGCAGCCCCCCAAGCTGGGCGGGGGTCCCAGGCCTATAGTTGGGGAGCCCTGGGCAGGGGCAGAGGGCTGGCTGCTCCCCACAAAGGCAGGGCCCCACAGCAGGGTGGGAAGGGTGTGGGTGGCGGAGAAGCCAGGGGCTCTGGCTGGACCCAGAGGCTGGCGACACGCGGGGTGAAGGAACGAGGTCTCCAGTCCCAGTGAGAAGCCGTGACAAGTCTTAATGTGCCATTTCAATTCAAAGGAGGGGAGGGAGGAAATGTTCTTGTTTGTTCGCTCATCAATATGATGAGGTCTCGTGTCCCAAACCACATTCAGGCAGTTCCCGAGTCTGCTTTTGAACAGGACGTGCGGGTCCAGACTGTGGCCGGCCCAGTGGGGTGTGTGGTTCCCGGCCCCGCACCTGGACGCTGCCGGTGGGGTGGGGGCGGGTGGGCGGGTGGATAGACGGACAAAGCAGCAGCCTGGTGTGCAGCCGGGCTCCCGGCCGCTATGTGCTCCCGGTCGTCTGCCCGTCCCCTTCGTCACCAGCACCTGCAGGGAAGCAGCAGCCCCGCATCAGGATGGAGCCCGCACTTCCCAGGTCTGGCCACCCCCGCCAGGAGATCAGCACTGGATCAAGGATGGCGGGCAGCTCTTTCTATCCCCCCCAGGGTAGGGACCACCCGACTCACCAGCTGCGGTGGCCCCTGAAGGAGCCAGGACATCGTCATCGTCGCTGTCGTCCTCCTCGTTGGATGGGGCTGCCCCAGGCTCAGGCGCGGGCATCTTGGCCTCCTGCTCCTGCTCCACGCGGCTGCGCAGGGCCAGGATGCGGTGGTGCAGGGCTGCATACAACTGACCTGTGTCCTTGGAGCTGGCCTGGGAAGGGAGGAGGGTATGAGACCCCCGGACCCCAGTCCTACCCCCTCCTGCCTTCTGCAGAACACAAGTGCCAAGTCCCAAGGTTCAGAGGTGACACTGCCACAAGGCCTTGTGGGGAGGCCATTGGCCCTGGGCCTGCCGGCCTCTCCCCGAAAGGATGCCACCACTCCCAGGTGGCTGGGAATATCCCAGAGGTCAGGGTTGGTGGACTCGACTGTGACACCATGACATAGGAGAGAGGTGACCGCCCCACAGGGCTGTTAGCCCTGAACACATCACAACCCCTCAGCCAAACCCCAGCGGCTTCTCTGGGTTGAGAAGAGGACAAGGACCATGATCTCTATTCCTGAAGGCTGGGACTGGCGGGTCCCATAGTGCTTCTTGTGTCCCAGGAAGCAACTGAAGCCCCTCCCCCCTCCCCTCCCCACCGTCCTGCCTGATCTGTGTGCCCAGGAACCCCCACAGGGCTGGCAGGATGAGGGGTCCCAGATGCACCCGCGTGGCTGGCTCACCGAGATCAGGAAGACCTTCACGCCCTGGTCCTCGGTGTCCATGGCTGTGATGCGAATGCTCTTCTCGCTGGCCTTGTCGATCTGCATCTGGGCCCACAGCTTGGTGTTGAGGATCAGTCGCAGGCTCCCCTGGGTCCGCATCACTACAACCAACAAGGCCACTCAGCCCTGGCCCCCACACCGGCCCCCTCACAAACAGCCAGCTCCAAGAGCCAACACAGTCCAGATGGAAAGCGACATCACCGCGCAAAAGCCCATGATCCTCCCAGGACCCACCCACAGAGCAAGACTTCTCCCTGAGGCCAGCCCTGGCACACCTGCTCCCGGGGCGGGGCTCCTCCTCCCCAAGCCTGGACCACTGAAGGCCACAACTGCAGGTGGCTGCACAGGCTGGTGCTGCAGATCAGTGACCAGAGGCCACATGCAGCTTGTGGGAGGTTGTGTTTGGTCCACACAGGTGGGCACCAGGATGGCAGTTCCCTTGGAGAAGGGGGGATTAGAGAGGAGTACGGGGTGGGCTGCGGGAGGCAGGGGCTGACACTCAAGGTGCATGCGCTTTCTGTGTGTGTGAGACATCGGCCTCCATGGGAGTCCACGTCCTCCTGACTGGCCTCCCCTGAGTGGGCCAGCCCTGCCCTCTGGTTTCCTTAGGAGAAGGCAGAGTAGGACCGCAGCTTAGCGCTTCCATGGAGAGGAGACGAGAGGACTGTGGGCAGCAGATTACGGAGGAAAATGGGAGGGCCCTGACTCTTCTAGAGGATGCAACACCCCTGCGCCTGGCCTGGGCCCACCCCGTGGACTCAGCCAAGCCCCTACCTTCCTGCCAGCCGCCTCTCCCCACTGGAGCAGGCCTGGAGACGGTCAGAAACTTGTCCCCCTGCCCTGGCCCAGCGAACAGACCTCCCTGAGCCCAGGTGCCCACCTCAGAGGCCGAGTGGGAGAAAGACAGAGGTGATTTTGCTCTCCCTGAAGCTGGGGAGGGTACTGCTGCCACGGGGCTACAGGCTGATGACCCAGGCAGAGGGGATGACCTGGGGGCTCAGGGCTCTATGCCCTCTCTTTCCATGGACATTTGAACATTTCCACGAGACAAAAGGAAAAACACAAGAAGACGTCCATAAGGCTGGGCACAGTGGCTCAAGCCTGTAATTCCAGGACTTTGGGAGGCCTAGGTGGGCAGATCACCTGAGGTCAGGAGTTCGAGACAAGCCTGACCAATGTGGAGAAACCCTGTCTCTACTTAAAGTATAAAAAAATTAGCCAGGCTTGGTGGCGGGTGCCTATAAGCCCAGCTGCTCGGGAGGCCGAGGCAGGAGAATCGCGTGAACCTGGGAGGTGGAGGCTGCGGTGGGCCGAAACGAAGCCACTGCACTCCAGACTGGGCAACAAGGGCAAAACTCCGTCTCAAAAAAAAAAAAAAAAGACGTCCATGGGGAACAAAAGAGCAGTCCCAGCCTGCAGGGACATCCCCTGTCTGTTCTGACCAGAGCAGTGTTTCTGATTGAAGTGCATGAACACTACCCTTCAAGGGGGCTGCTTGAGTTACTGCTGGGCCTGAAACCCATATTTATGAAAAGGCCAGAAGACACTTTGATTTGGGAAGATAAAACAAAAAGATGGTCCCAGCGCAGTGGCCCACGCCTGTAATTCCAGCGCTTTGGGAGGCTGAGGTGGGAGGACTGTTTGATGCCAGGAGCTCAAGACCAGCCTGGGCAACACAGGGAGACCTGTCTTTATAAAGACAAAAATAAAAACATTAGCCAGACGTGGTGGTGCATCTGTAGTCCCAGCTACTCAGGAGGCTGAGGTGGGAGGATCACTTGAGCCCAGGAATTTGAGGCGATGATCACACTGTATTCCAGCCTGGGTGATGGAGTGAAATCAGCTTTAGAAGGAAAAAAAAGACACGCCCACATTTCAAATGTGCACACACACAGGCTGATTTCCTTAAGTGGGTGTGTGTATGCAGGTACTCCAAGCTAAATGTCCACCAATAGGGAAAAGTCCATTGACTGTCAATGGAATATTAACATGAAAGCTTTTCAAAAACAGTATATTTTATTTTTTTTTGAGATGGAGTCTTGGTCTGTCGCCCAGGCTGGAGTGCAGTGGCTCAATCTCGGCTCACTGCAATCTCCGTCTCCCAAGTTCACGCAATTCTCCTGCCTCAGCCTCCCGAGTAGCTGGGATTACAGACATGTATCACCATGCCCGGCTAATTTTTGTATTTTTAGTAGAGACAGGGTTTTGCCATGTTGGCCAGGCTGGTCTTGAACTCCTGACCTCAGGTGATCCGCCCACCTTGGCCTCCCAAAGTGCTGGGGTTACAGGCGTGAGCCACTGCGCCTGGCCAAAATTTGTCTTTATCAAGAGATTAGACTTGATGTTTGATTTCATTTTCCTTTCTATCATAAACCTGCCACTTTGTCAGAAAATCAGCTTAAAAACTTCCATAGACTTTTGTCCATTTTGACACTAAGAGGGTCACGGACGAGCTGGCAGCTGGAGCCAGTGTGTGAGGGTGGTGTTGAGGGCTGGGTGCAGGGAGGGGGTTTGGGGGGCGGCTCTCATGGGAGACCGACTCTGTGCCTTGACTCTCACAAGGGTAGGGTCAGGATCTCCCCCGCTTCATTCCCTTTGGAATTGCATAGTCCCCAGCCCTCCCCATGGGGACCCGGCCACAGCCCCCGCCGTCGGCAGCTCACCTAGTCGGGACTGTAGTGTGCCGTCATCGGTGGACGCCATGTCATTGAGTCTGAGCAGCCCCCGGCCTCTCTCCACCCAGGACTGTGAGGTCTTGTCAAAGACAAACAGCTTGCACTGCATCTGGAACACAGTGGCCGCCGGTAAGCAGGGACCCCAGCTGGTGTCCTGCTGCAGCCACACCCTGAGAGTCGCCCTTTAGCCTGTGGGGACTGCCAGGGCCAGCCAACGACGGCCTGGGGGCCACCTTGGTCAGTTTTTTGTCCTGCCCTCAAGCTAGAACAGGCTTTACATTGTATAAGGGGTATCTGAAATTAAAAGAATCACTAAGGAAATGAAAAGCAAAACAACGGTGAGAAGCCTCTCTGCGCACTCTAGGACGGCTATACCCATGTGGGGAAGCTGGAACCCTCACACACTGCTGGCGGGAAGGCCGCATGGTGCCACTGCTGTGGAAGAGTCTGGCGGCTCCTCAAACTGCTTAACAAGGAATTACCACATGCCCAAGCAATTCCATTCCTCGGTATGTACCCAAGAGAAATGGAACATTTGTTCGTGTTCACACACAGATCGCACATGAACGTGCACAGCACCATCATTCACGGTAGCCAAGTCTCAAGGAGGAATGGAGTGACACACATGGTCCGCCCCTACAGCGCATCTCACTCAGTCTTAATAAAGAACAAGGCTCCGACCCCCGCTGCAACGTGGATGAACCTCTGGCTCAGCGAGAGAAGCCAGACACGAAAGGCCACATAGTGCGTTGATGCCATTTATATGAAATGTCAAGGACAGGCAAAAAACAGAGACAGGAAGTGGATCTGTGGCTGCCAGGGGCTGGGGAGGGAGGAGGAGTTACTGCGAATGGACAATGCTCTTTCTGGGGGAATGGGACAGTGTTCTTTTTGGGGGCAGAAATGTTGTACGTTAGATTCTGGTGAAAGTTGTCTGACTCTGTGAATATACTAGAAACCACGGAATTGTATGCTTTAAAAGGATGGATTATATAGCATTTGTACTATATTTCAATACAGCAGTTTTGTATATATAAACAAAGAAAAATACGAGACAGACACCCCTACATGGCTTTCCACATACCCCCTAAGTCAATCTCTTTCAACATGAACAGATGACAAAGTGGTAAGTGGGAAAAAAGAACAGTGCTCTTAAGAACGCCACGATACGCCACCCGGTTTACAGACACAGACACCTGCTTATGTGCCACGGGAGAGGAAGCACATGGATGCTGCCCAAGCCGGGTGGTGCGGCCTGAGGAGCAGGAATGGGGGATGCCAGGAGGGGACGGTGGGGTGGAACCTCTGGCCGCACCTGATCTTTTCCCTACGAAGACACCACAGGATGCCAGGTGACAAATAATACAGTTGCCAGCTCTGGGCGACAAGAGAATATGTTTGGTATGACAGTCTTTGTCATTCCCTGAACCATCAAAAATGTCTCGGGCTGGGCGTGGTGGCTCACGCCTGTCATCCCAGCACTTTGGGAGGCCGAGGCGGGTGGATCACATGAGGTCAGGAGTTTGAGACCAGCCTGGCCAACATGGGGAAACCCCGTCTCTACTAAAAATACAAAAATTAGCCTGGCGTGGTGGTGCACACCTGTAATCCCAGCTACTCAGGCGACTGAGGCACAAGAATCCCTTGAACCCAGGAAGCAGAGGTTGCAGTGAGCCGAGACTGTGCCACTGTACTCCAGCCTGGGTGACAGAGTAAGACATTGTCTCAAAAAAAATTAAAACAAAACAAAGAATGTCTCAAACAGATCCTCCTCCTCTGAAACCAAAGACATGCAAGAAGCCCCTGAGCCTAAGCTCTCTCTACAAACGCCACCAACAAAGTCCCAGAGCGTGGGGCCAGTGGCCCCTCCGTCATCTCAGGGGCAGGCCTGTGTGCTCAGAGGATGTGGGCCCAGCCCTTGCGGTTGGACCCCCAGGTGCATGGAAGACCCAGGGCCACCGAGGAGGGGCCGGCCCCTCACCTGTAACACATTGCTCTCCGCCTCCTCCCCGGTGATGACTTCCACTTTTTCCAACAAACACTTCCGCGCTGTTGCCTTGGTGTAGGCGGCTGCCGACTCAGCCAGGGACTCTGAAAAGTTATTGGCCAAAAAGACTGACTGATTATTTGGCGAGAGGAGAGCCATCTCCCCTCATCCGACAGGAGATGAGAGGGTTGGTTCTGGTCTCAAGGACGCCTGCTGCCCCTGGCAGGCCTGCCCCGGCAACCCAAGTGGACCCTAGACACAGCCAGAGCATATGGCCTCAGAAGCTGCAGGGAGACCATCTGGGGGCCAAGTGTGGCCCCAGACTCTCGTGTTCGTGCCGAGCAGTCGACGGGGGGACAGTGAGGGACTCCTCCACGCCTGCTGCCTGCGCCTCCCCACCCTCCCCACGGCCACAAGGCGACACAGGCCCTCGAGTTCTTTATCACAAACCCTTGCTCACTGCAAGGCAGGGCCCTGGAGCTGGTTCACATGTGGTTGTTACTGCTGCGGGAGTCGGGCCCCTTATCCCTCCCGGCTGGGGGTGTGAATGGACCCAGCATCCCCCAAGATGACCTACCATGAGCCCCATGCTGTGGTGGGACGCTAACATACCTTTCTCAGGGGTGGCCTCCTGGGACGAGGACTCAGACCCTGACTCGGCAGCTGCATTTTCCCTGTTGGCATCTGAACTGACCTCGTTTAATTTTGGGGGGCTCTGCAGGGACACAAAAGCATACAAGGAAGAGGGCACTTGTGTGGTCCTTCAGCAGCAGCTCTGAGCACCTCTCTGCCTGGCCCCCAACACTACGCTGCCCCCAGCACTCCTGCCCACTCCCGGTGACACCCTGAACTGCCTGGGAGCTCCCCACGTGGTCCCTCAGGCATCACTACGGGGTGAGTGCCACCAGCCGACAGTCCCCTCGAGCCACACTGGTCACTCCGTCTGGGTGAGGCAAGACTTTGAACATTTCATTGAAATAGAAAAAGCACAGCGTGGCCACGAAGGAAGAGAAGCTGCAGAGTACTTAATGCAGCCTAACTCCAGACAGAGCTAGAGTGACCAGGCGGCTCAGGACAGGCCCTCACGCAGTCGCAATGGAGCTGGGTGGAATCAGGAAGAAAAAGGAACATGTGTAAAGAGGTAGGCAAACCATTCTAGAACCCTCTCCCAGGCTGGCTGGGCTCCTGGGAACGGAGATGGGCCTTTCGTGCACCCAAGGCCTTGGCCGCGGTTATGCTCACAGGAGCAGGGAGGCCAGCAACCCTGTCCACCAGCACGGCTGGCTCCGTCCCACAGGACTTTTGTCAGTTGGCCTGGTGGGGAGGAACCATGGACCCCGACTGCCAGCAGGACCCTGCAGCCTCCAGGGAAGCCCATCTTGGGATGAAGTTGGCCCTGGTCAGCACGGAGGAGCCGGGAAAAGCGAATGCCAGTTCGTAGGCAGCCAGTGGCCCTGGCCAGTTTTCAGGCTGAGTCTGAGCAGGGTCTTCCCTCTCTCACTTGCTACTGAAGGCATCCCCATCTCACATAGGACGACACAGCAGCCCTGCTCTCCATGTCCCCTTGACCTGTGGCTGGCGCCGAGAGCCTCTGGTCCCTGAGAACATTCCCAACACAGCCACTCACCAAAACTCGCTCGCTCATGTTCTGGCCAAATACAAATTTGTTGCTGGAGGCGTCGGCACTATTGGTTGAGTTCTCTAAACTGAAGAGAAGATGTGCAATGAGTGTGGGGCGTCACGTGGGAACGTGGCCAGGCAAATGTATGGGTACCCATGGAGCACACACTGACACAGAGGGCACAGTGGAGGGGCCTCCGCCACTGTGCACGGGGTGGCGTGTCAGAGGCAGGAAGCCACACACCTCCCTGTGCCATTGAAAACATTAACCCTTAGCTCGCCCTGATGGAGGGGCCCCACAGCATGAGGGAAGCCACCTTCCACCTGCTCTACCCGCCCATCTCCCAGTCGGGACACGCTTTCTTCTGAGACACCTGGAGGGGCAGCTGGTCCGTGGGTAGCATTACCCCCAGCCATGTCAGTCAAGGACATGATGAGGTCTTTGCCCCAGGTGCCCAAACCCAGAATAAGGGGGCGCCTGAGTCGCCTCTGGCCTGCTCTGTTCTGCTCTGGGCATGAGGTCCACAAGACAGAGGGCACACTCCAAGGGCTGGGCTGTAGCCTCCATGGGCCCCTGGACAACCCCACAGAACTCTGGTCCTGTCTCAGGCGTCCAGTGAATCCCAGGACAAGGCCCACCACCCTGGCCCACCCAAGGTTGTGCCCAGAGTGGGGAATGAGAGAGAGGGGCCTGAGAGCAACCTGGATTCTGGGCCTGAGTCGGGCACGGGGACCACAGACCCCTCTCTGGCAGAAGCCCTCGCGGCCACCTGCATCGCCATGCCAGGCTGGCCGCTGACACCGAGACACACACCTGGAACTGATATACTGGAGGAAATAGTTCGTTGCGGTTGGCGTGTCTGCGCTGGGGTGTCCAGCATTCTCCATGTCGGCTTCGTCCACGCTCTCATTTATCAGCTGGGAATGAGACGGAGCGCTCAGTAATCGGGGGTGGGGGGGTGCCTGGAGTTCCACAGCTCAGTGTCTGCAGACCCCCTGAGCTGCATGGAGCTGCTCGGAGCCATGAACCCTCTCCTGTACCCGCCTGTGTGTGTGCGCGTGCATGTGCTGGGGGGCAGGGCTATAATCAACTCCATCACCTTTTGCTTTAACAGTTAGGATGGAAAGAGAGCTCATGAAGCTCCAAGGAGCCTTTTCCACCTTGTTACAAAACCACGCCTTGTTATAAAACCACGCCTAAGCTGGCCTCTCGGTCAATGCTTCATACCAATAACACAACGTTACAAAGCTGACGTTTTGGGGGGTTTACTATGAACATGATAGAAGCAGAATTTCTTGAGGGCCTCTTTCCTACCAGCTGCTATGCTGAGTCTGTCAAATGCACGATCTGCTTTAATCCTCACGAGGCCTGGGAGGGGGATGTTAGGGACCCTGTTTGACCAACAAGGAAGCAGAGGCTCAGAGGGTTAAGAAACCATGGCTCTGGCTGGGCGCGGTGGCTCGTGCCTGTAATACCAGCACTTTGGGAGGCTGAGGCGGCGGGGAATCACTTGAGGTCAGGAATTCGAGACCAGCCTGGCCAACATGGAGAAATCCCCACCTCTACTAAAAATACAAAAAATTAGCTGGATGTGGCAGTGGGCGCCTGTAATCCCAGATATTTGGGAGGCTGAGGCAGGAGAATCGCTTGAACCCAGGAGGTGGAGGTTGCAGTGAGCAGAGATCATGCCACTGCACTCCAGCCTGGGCGACACAGCAAGACTTCGTGTCCAAAGAAAAAAAAAGAATCCATGGCTCAAGTTTGCCCTGGAAGGAGAGGCTGGGATTTGACTGAGACTGCGAAGTGCACGTAAGCCTCTGACTTCTGCAAGAAGCCAACCCCACCAAATTCAAAGCAGCTGTCTCCCCAGACTCAAGGCAGAGATTCCACAGGGCCTGAACTCCACAGGCCAAGCCCTTCCCCGCCTCTTGCCCTCCCTCCTTGGAGGGAACAGCCCCTGAGGGACTCATTATTTTGCCTAAAGCCATGGCAACAGCAACATCAACTTTCCACGTTTCTCGACTTGGGCTTCTGTTGGACGGTGAGTAACAGAAAGGAAAGCAGAAAACACAAGCCGGTGCTTTCTGCATGCTAGAGAGGTTTTTGTTTATTTCAGGGCCCTCCCCGTCGACACTACTGACATGTTGACACTGGGCCCAGAACATTCCCTGTGGTGTGGCTATCCTGGGCACTGCAAGGGGCGGAGTGGCATCCCTGACCTCCAGAAGTACCTCCCAGTTGTGACAACCACAAAAGTCTCTAGACACAGCCACCGATACCGCCTCTCGAGCTTTGAAAGAAGCTTCTTGCCAGTGGAGCTGCTAGAGATGCCGTAGCACATTCCATGTCTGTGGCTGGGAAAGGTGGTGCTGGCTGACCCTGGTCTTCCTAGAGTCCCAGTGCATGGTCCAGGGCCACTGTTTCCAACCACTGCCATCCCTTCCCCACCACACAATCTCCAAACTAGGACCACATGTCTGGAGGGCAGCCAAGAGGTGGCAGACGCTTTGCTCCCTTTCAGGAGAGAAGACAGTGTTGTCACCCCACCCTGCCCCACTTAAAAAAAAATAAGGTGACAGTTCTTAATGGGGGCGATTCTACTCCACAGGGAATACTGGCCACGTCTGGGGACATTTGTGGTTGTCAGATGTCAGGAGCATTGGGTGGGTGGAGGCCAGTGATGCTGCTCAGCACCCTGCAGTGCCCAGGGCGACTCCTCAGAAACTAAGAATGGTCCAGCCGTAATGCTGCTAGTGCTGAAACAGAGAAACCCTGAAATACGGGAACAGAAACCTCTGGGCAGAGCTGAGAACACTGGACCGTGCTGTCTTTCTTCTCTGCTATGAAAGCCTGAGGCCTCAGGTTCAGTCACCTTCCCTGTCCCCGCTACCATGAGAACCAGGGACCCTGACTTGAGAAGTCACTGCAGGTGAGGGCTCCGAAGCCTGGGCTGCTGGTGGGGAAGTGCCAGGGCCCAGCACACGCACACCAGCAGCAGACTGTGCCGTGAGCCATGGGGCTGCCTCGCTAACACCTTCTTTGTCCCACGCTCCCCTCCCCTGTTAAAAGGAAAATCTACCTACTTGCCTGCTGTTGAACCTGGGGAAGGCATAAAAAGTCAATGTGCTGGTTCAACAGCTCACATACCTTAACTCTGTCCCTCAAGTTCTGCCCAAATACAAAGGCTTGCTGTGTGGCGGGGTCTTTTTTCTCACAGGCTTCCTCTTCAGAGGCATTGCTGGACTCATTTTTCTGGGGCTCTTTCTCCTATCAAAAACCAAAACAAAACAGAGTAATCAAAACCAGTGCCACACTTGGCCCAGACGGATGCCCAGCAATCCCACACCAGATCATGTACTCCACACGTCTCCTCTGCATGTGCCTGCACTCCCAGCTACTCAGAAGGCTGAGACAGGAGGACTGCTTGAGCCTGGGAGTTGTAGTGAGCTGAGATCACACCACTGCACTCCAGCCTGGGTGACAGAGCAAAAACCTGTCTCCAAACAACAAGAAACACCTGTGCCCTGCAGAAGCCTTAGTGCCGGCAGAGGACAGGAAATAACCTGGTTGCTCATCATTGGCCAAGGAATGAAATAATTTACAATAGAAAATATGGGGGAAAAAAAGTACAGCACAGCTATTACCACCGAGAGGGAGGTAGGCCTCTGACATGCCCACAATACATGGATCAGAGAAGAGAGCAGCTTGTGGGACACGGAAGTGCGATTCCATTTCTGTTAAAGCCAATCCAGTCCCGTGTGTGTGGTGTGTGTGTGTGTGTATGTGTGGTGTGTATGTGTGTTGAGGAATGCCCAGGAAAATAAGTCGGGAGAGAGAATTCAAACTACTGACGGAGGTTACCCGGGAACCTCTTAGCTGGAGGGTGGCTCCTGCTTGTTACTTTCTAGGATTTCCATTTTGTGTAAATATTTTCAACATGTAGGCATGACTTTTTTGTAACTAAATATCCTAAGACCAAATGCATTTATCTTGAGATAATGGAATATGGAGTTGCTAGTAATTTGTATATGTCTTTCCTATACCACATGATGAAAAAGGTGTTGTAGAATTTGAAAAGAAATTTTAAAAGGCTTTTGGCAGATCTTTGGAGTCTCTGGCGATGTGTACAGTGGACATGAACGTGAGGCAGGGAGTGTTTTCCTGGGAGATGTCGTGAAGGGACCTGACAACCGTGAACTCGGAGGTGAGAAAGGCTGCAGGCAGCTTCTGACTGGCTCAGCGTGTCCAGCGGGCAGGGAAGCCTGGAGTTACAATGCCAGGCCCAGAATCAGCGGATCACAGCGCTGAGGGCACTTTCTGGTCCAACTGTGAAGGAAGTGAAAAGTGTAAATGTTTCTCTACTGTGCTCCCTAGAAATTCTGCTACTGCTGACTTCACGCTGCATCCTTGTGCCTGTGCAAGAGTGAACGTGGCTTTTTAAAATTAAACACACAACGTGTTTGGCGACCTGGAAGTCCTCAGAGGATGGGCTAATCCCCAGCCCCACTGGGGCCGCCTGCATCCCGTCCAGCAGAAACACTCCCTGGCTCTTGGCTTTCTGCGCTGTGTGCCCCCTGCTCACACCGACTGGTGCTAATCCCGGGTGGGTGGAGCCCACAGAGTCACCTGAGATGGGGCAGGCAAACAGCAAAATGTTTCTGACTACAGGGTATGTCTATGACCTGGCGGAGCCTGCTTAGAGGATTCGCTTAAACTGATAAACGAATCCCGAGGCCTGTAACCAGTCTGAGACTCTGTGTGTGTGTGGGGCGGGAGGGGAAGCCTCTTCCCCACTTTCCCAAAGACGGTACCAGGAGTTCCCCCATGGGTCGCCCCCAACATCTAAGCCCTCCTTAGAGGAGATGCCTCATAGCTCACGTTCCCGATGAGCAGTGTGTGCCATGTTCATGGGCGGCTTGGAAAAGCTCGGACTCCTGCTGTAGGGCCAGAGAAGGATACACACAGCGAGCCTGGCGAATCTCAACAGTACTGGGTGTGGTCAGAGGGCAGCGTGGGTGTGGCCGCATGGCTCCACCCCAGACCCACATGGAGCAGTGGCTTTGGAGCCAGACGCAGGAGCTGGGAATGGCAGCCAGCACATCACAACTTCTGAGCTCAACCATTTGGGAACAAGCTGTGTGCACTGCTGAGAAGGGGCTGGAACCGGCAGGAAGACGGACTCCGTCCCCTGGGATGGGACACAGCAAGGCCTCTCCAGTGAGGAACAAGCTCTCGGTAGCGGGTGCTACCAGGTCAGCCTGTGCACTCACCATCGGGGACAATCAGAGACACTGGGAGATGGCGGGACGGGCTGGGTCACTTCTAAGTCCTTCTCCAACTCAGAACTGCACACCTGATCTGCTCAGGAGACCTCAGCAGTCAAAGCTTCCAAGCCGCAGAATGCGGTGGAAATGATCCCTATTTCCAATTCAGCAAACTCGTTTGAAAAAGGGCGTGAGGATGTTTTCAAATTTAATTGTGGACAGCCATTTTCACCCTTTGAGCCAGAACATCTACTGGGGATGGAGGGTATAAAACTGCAGGCCATGGACACAGAGCGGAAAATAAACACAAAGATCCAATCTGGCTTTTACACAGAAGATACCACATGGTGTTACCCTAATTCTGACTTCAAACCCATCTCTGCCAACTTCAAAGGAGGCTCTTCATCAAAGGCCCTTATTTCACAGTGGCTGTGAAACACAAAGCTTTTGGCCCATATAATCCAAACCATACCCCCGCTTAAATGGAACTATTTCTTTTTTTAAGGCAGGGTCTGGCTCTGTCGTCCAGGCTGGAATGCAGTGGTGTGACCTCGGCTCACAGCAGCCTCCCCTTCCCGGGCTCAAGCAATCCTCCAGCCTCAGCATCCTGAGTAGCTGGGACTACAGGTACATGCTACCATGCCTGGCTAATCTGTGTATTTTTTGTAGAGACAGAGTCTTGCTATGTTGCCCAGGGTGGTTTTGAACTCCTGGCCTCAAGCAATCCACCTGCCGCGGCCTCCCAAAGTGCTGAGATTGCAGGTGTGAGCTACCGTGTCCGGCCTAAACAAACTATTTCTGAGATGACTCCCAAAGAAAAATTTTCAACTGGAACCACACAGATAGGAGTCTCTGAGGGGTGGTTTGGGTGTGGACACAGAGAGGGGAGACATTCCTCATGTTAAACATTGCAAGACACCCATCAGTGACAGCCGTTCCTCGGGCCCTAGTGACTCCTCAGAGTGCAGTGGTTCAGGTCCTCCCTCAAGGATCACTCCCGTGAGACATGTGGCGGTCAGCCTTGGGTAACAGGCCCTTCCGGCAGAACTCTGGGCAACAGGTCCTTCCGGCAGAGCTTGCTTGGGAGACACTCTTCTTCTGCCTGACCAGCAAGACCACCCTTGGGAATCTAGATCTGGTTTGTCAGGTACTGTTATTTAGAGCCTACTGAGCAAATCCAGAGAGCCTTACAATAGGCCCACGTGGAAACTGCTTGGAACAGGTGACAGCGTGTGGACTCCACAGCATGCTGGGAAGGCTGCCCTCCCGCTCCCAAGGGGCCTAGCATGCAGCGCTTCCCTGCCTCAGGACCCACTGACCTCAAGTGCACACACCTCATCGGCAGCTTCGGAAGGACTTCTCCATGCAGCAGTGTCAGGGGATGCTGCGGGCACTGCCCCCGTGCAGTCTGCTGGGAGGCTGACCCCGTTGGTGCCACTGCTGGGGACTGTGGGAGGGAAGGAGAGTGGGGAATCACAGGTGCTTGGCGGCCCTCCCACCCCCACTCACATAGCTGAGGGGCTGGGCCACGTCTAGTCTAGGGCCCCTCCCATGGTAAAGCCCACAGCACATGTCTCCTTTTTAAGGAAGGACCTGGTATCTCTACAAAGAGCCAAAATTCTTGGATTTAAAAAAAAACAAGAGAAACAAACAAAAAAGAGAAACCTGCCGGGCACAGTGGCTCATGTCTGTGGTCCCAGTGCTTTGGGAGGCTGAAGCGGGGAGAATGCTTGGGGCCAGGAGTTTGAGACCAGCCTGGGCAACACAGCAAGTCCTCGTTTCTAAAATAAGATAAAACAAACTGGCTGGGTGTGGTGGTGCACACTTGTGGTCCCAGCTACTTGGGAGGCTGAGGTGGGAGGATCGCTTGAGCCCAGGAGTTCGAGGCTGCAGTGAGCTATGATTGCACCAGTGCACTCCAGTCTGGGTGACAGAGCAAGACCCCATCTCCAAAATAAATAAATAAATAAATAAATAAAATGACCTTTCAAGTTTTTAAAGATAACCTGTGAAAATTGAGGCTGAAATTCTATCTGCAAACACACAGGGATAAATCTCATTCCCAGGAGCCGGCCTGCTTTTATGAAGACAGTGAATGAACAAAGCAGGTTTCACCCACACAGTCACACTCAGCCGAGAGCTGTGAGGAAGCTGTGGAGCCGCCTCTCCCTTCTCCGTTGCCAGGGCTCAGGAGGCTTGGGGCTGGAGACGGCTGGGGGGTGATTTAAAGGATCATCTTCCCTGATCTCTCTGTATTTCTGGTGCATTCAGCAGTCACCTCTGTCGCAACACTGCTGTCCCGGGTGCGACTTCGGGAACGCTCTACCCTGCCGTCTGGGCCTGGGCGCCAGGGCTGCTGTTTCTTACCAGTCTGGGACAGCGCCTTTGGCTGCGGAGCTTGTAACACTGCCGGGCGAAGCACGCTCCGCTGCTGCTCCTTGGGCTTCTGGCTTGGCAGACCTAGGAACAGAAGGCGGCCTTCCCAGTGCCCGTGGACCCCTGCCTGCCCCCAGGCGCTTCAGAGACTGACCCCTGGCATCCCATTTCATGCCCCTTGCAGGCTAGACTTTGCAGGGAAGCACTTTTTTAAAAACTTGAGGTCTTTTTTTAACAGCTGGCCAGGAGATCTGGCTACTGTTATTTTTACATGTGATTACATGAAACTCCCAGTGACCGACGCCTGTGAATTAATCCAGTTAGCACAGTAACGTGGCGGGGCGCCGGCAGACTCAACAGTCAAGTGGAGACTGTGGGAGGAGAGCAGTGCATTCACAGGCAGCTACCTGGAGGCTCAGGACTCGGTGTGGGGTCACGTACAGGCACATTTTGCACCTGTTTTTCAAAACAGCCATGCTGAGGAAGTCCCTCTGCCAAAGGCAGATGGGACAAGGACCCTTGCATGTGCCCTGCCCTGTGCAGCATCCCCGGCAGCCTCACTAGCAGCCGGCTCACTAGCAGCGCGCCGCTGGAATGCAGCCACCCTGCTAACTGGGGCGAACACTGTGGTATGTGGGGGCCAGAACATGAAGGACAGACAGGCTGAACCAAGTGCGCTACTGCTGGGCATGGAGCCCGCCCGATGCACCCCGCCTAGCCTGCTCCCGTGCCACCACTGCCCACTTTTCTGAACACACGACGCTCACAGTCAGGGGTCCCAACCTCCCTGCTCAGACAGCCTCTCTTTAAAGGAACTTTCCAGGGCTCGTGGGTCAAGTTACAAGTGATCTTTCTAGAAAGCAGGCTGAGCCCGCGGTGCCCTGGTGTGGCCTAGCAGAGGTCTGAAAAACGTCAGAGAGCCACCCCCCGCCCCAGGGAGGTAGACGACCTACCTGCGCTGGGGGCTTGGCCGTGGATCAGCGTTGGTGGCTTCAACCGGAAGCCACTGCTCCTTTCCTCTAAAAGCACAAGACAAAATATCAACAGCAGGCCTGCCTGGGCTGGGGCTGGGCCTGGGGGGCAAGGGCAGGAGAGGACTATGGTCTTGGCCTCAGTGACTTCGGGCCTGGAGAACCAGGGAGAACATTTCCAAATTACAACAGAAGTCTCGTCCGATCAGCAGGCCTGGAAGGCGCCTGGAGGAGGGGAGAGACAAGGGCAGGAGGAACGATGGCTCTTGGGCCAGCTGCTGACCATGGGGGCAGGTGGGGCGTCAGCCGCCCTCCCAGCTGTCTATGACCTGCTGCAGGCTCAGGAGCCGAGCTGCTCAGCGGCCCTGTACCTGGCTCTGGAGAATGTCAGGGAGCCACGGAACACAGGCGCTCAGGCCCCACTTCCCTTTCCTAGAAGGCTTGTCTGTCAGAGGATGCGGCTGTGGCCAGGAAGAACCTTGGCACCACTACAGATGTCTGGGAAGTGAGACAGGTTTTTGTGATGAAAAGGTCAAAGGTGGCACACAGTGAGCCTGCCTCCCCTTTCCAGATGTGCCTGCGGAGCTTCCCGTCTCAGTGAGGGGGCACTCCTGGCCACCGTGGAGGAGGCCAGCTCCCCCTGGGCCAGAGTCCGGGCTGACAAATTCACAAAACTAGAGGGAAAGGTGAATGCCCACGAGCTCCTGGGATGGCTCGAGAGCCCAGCCTCGCCCAGCCACCTGTCCACATGGACCCCTTCATCTGTGTGTCTTGGCAACTGTGCCCATACAGGGAGTGGGGATGGTGGTCTAATCTGATCCACAACAGGAAGGATTGTCATAAAAGGCCTGTGACTCAGGCAGGCAAGCCTGTTCCTGGGCAAGGCACAGAGACTGTGGCATTATGGCTCCTGGAGGTAGCCCTGCGTTTGTGCTAAGCTTCACCCCCTTGTCAAGCTACAGGACACAAGATCAATATACAAAAATCGATTGTGTTTCTAACACTAGCAGTGAATGACCCAAAAGCAAAATTAAGAAAATAATTCCATTTACAATAACACCAAAAGGAATAAAATACTTGGGAATACATTTCACAAGATAAAACTATAAAACAATGTTAGGGCCGGGTGCAGTGGCTCATGCCTGTAATCCCAGTGCTTTGGGAGGCTGAGGCAGGAGGACTGCATGAGCCCAAGAGTTTGAGATCAGCCTGGGCAACACTGCAAGACCCTAACTCTACAAAAAATTAAAAACTTAGCCAGGCATGGTGGTACATGCCTGTAGTCCCAGCTACTCAGGAGGCAGAGGTGGGAAGATCACTTGAGCCTGGGAGCTTGAGGTTACAGTTGAGTTACGACTGTACCACTGCACTCCAGCCTGGGCGACAGAGTGAGACCTTGTCTCAAACAAAACAAAAACATTGTTGGAAGAAATTAAAGGTGTAAATCAAAAGAAAAACACCCCCTCATGCTGTCTGATTGCATTTCTGTGAAATGCCAGACTAAGCAGAAAGGAGCTGAGCGGTTACCAGGGCTCAAGGGAGGGGGTTGGGGGCAGGCTGTGACTAACAGGGATGAGGTTTCTTTTTGGGATGATGGAAATGTTCTAAAATTAATCACGTGATGGTCGCACAACTCTGTGGATGTACTAAAACCACTCAATTGTACACTAAAACGATGACAACAAAACCCAAAACACCTTGTCAGCCCAAATTTTCAGACTCCAAATCAAGATTCAGCAGGCCAAGGAAGACCCCTCTCCCGCTGTGCCCCGGAGGCGCCGCTGTGCCTGGGCAGCAAGAGGATTGCAGCAACCCTTCTTACTATAATAGTTGTATGAGGGAGTCCAGCCCCAGGGGCTTCTGGCAGCCTGTGTTAGCAGAGCTGGTGCCTCTCCCGTAACAGACTGGTCATAAAAAAACAAACTCAGGAGAGCCAGATCCTGCAGGATGCGGGGGTGAGCCGCCAGATGTTCCTTTTCCGAAGGAAACACTCAATTACATTTCCAAAGCACGGAGCTATGCAGAAGACGACTGGCAATTTAGATACATTTTTAAAAGGTCAAATTCACAATTTAGATAGTTTTTAGCAAGCTCTTCAAGCTGGCTCTCCACGCTGATGTTTTGGTCACAGACTGACTACTGCCCTTCCACACTCCGCTCCGTGCAGCGCTGGCGCTAACGCTGAGGGGAGCCTGGGGGCTGGCCCGAGCTGCCAAGCGGAAGCAGGAGACTTGGATAATCCCTGCCACCGACCTGCCACTAGTGCTAGGCCCAGAGCGTGGCCCTCTCCAGAGCTGCAGACAGACAAGGCGTGCTCCAGGGGTAGCCAAAATCTGGAGGTCCCTGTCACAGGCCCTGCTCCACGAAAACAAGGGTGGTCTCTTCTCATTCCTTCCAGAAATTTTCTTCTGCAACACAGGTCGCAACACAAGCTGCTGAATCATGGCCAGAGCCCGACGCCTGCCACATACCCAAAGGGTGTGGGCCTGTAGAGGATGCTGCACCAGTCTCTGAGGGATGCGCATCACTCCAGAGAGGAAGAGGACCCCTCCCGCCGGCAGCCTTTGCCCTCCTGGGAAGCTGGCAGGCTCCCTGTCTGAGGGTGCTTTTCGCCTGCCTCAGAGAGCCCCAAGTGATGTCTGTGGGAAGCCATGCTTGCCCCCCAGGGAGCCCCGATTTAACCAGGGAAGGGATGGGAATGAGACTGTGTGCATCAAATGCTGAGAAGGCAGCCTGGCTGGAGCTGGGGTCTGTGCGTGGACGGCGCTGGTGCAGGGTGGGGAGGAGGCTCAGCCATGCGGTGGGCAGGGAGTGATGCCTGATGCACAGAGGACAGAGGGTGCCGGTTTCTTAGTGCCAGAAGAGGGAGGAATATACCAAGGGAGGCACCCACGTGCCCCTGGCGTCATCTCCACATGCAGGCAGGCAGGCAGAAAGTAAGAGATCATGTGGACAAAGGTGTGTCCCCAGCTCTGTCCGTCATCTCCACATGCAGGCAGGCAGGCAGGCAGAGAGTAAGAGATCATGTGGACAAAGGTGTGTCCCCAGCTCTGTCCGCGGAGGGCCGGGAGCAGGGCTACACCTGAGTCAGTGAGATCGCAGTACCGCACGGAGTGATTTCAGACCTTGGTTTCTAAAGACCATGTTCCCTGAAGAACCAGCGTGCCTCTGAGAAATGCAGATTCCAGGACTGGGATGAGAAAAGAGGCTGAGCCGGGAGGCTCTTGTTGTGACAAAGTAAGGGCAGTGCTCAAATGAACAACGGGGACCTGCCTGACAGGGCTTCCACTGGCCAAATCTGGGACAACCTGAACATTAAATAAAAACCAGTAACCATAGACGGTCACCCACTGATGCCAACAGAAGCTCGCCTGTCTATGTTGACACAATCGATCAAGGAACAAGCACGTGGGGAGAAGGGCAAGCTCCTCCTTCCAGTGAACACCACTAATCAACGCGGCAGGGATGGTGCTCAGAGTATCCCACGGGTGGTGAGTGCCTGTAATCCCAGCTACTTGAGAGGCTGAGGCTTGAGAATCTCTTGAGCTCAGGAGGCAGAGGGTGCAGTGAGCCAAGATTGTGCCACTGCACTCCAGCCTGGGCAACAGAGCAAGACTCTGTCTCCAAAAAAAAAAAAAAAAAAAAAAAAAAAAGGAAGAAAATCCCATGGGGCAGTCGTCAGCGGGAAACATCACTCTAAAGACATCACTGGGCGCGAACACTGGAGGGCAGGAGTGTGATGAGGTACACACAGTCCCAGAGTCTAAAGTGTCTCTCAGAAACCATCCAGCACAAAGGGGAAAGTAGCTTTACAGTGGTGAAACCTGGCAGACAGCACCCTGATCGAGGAGCACGGCCACCCCGTGCTGGTAAGGGGACAAGTGAGTACTGTGCATGGCTTCTGTGACATTCTCATCCAAGATGCCACACCTGGGTCTCACCACCAGGACATACTGGACAGGCCCCAACTGAGACACTTCTACCCAACAGCTGACCTGTAATCCTCAAGGTCATGAAAGTCAAGGGAAGCCTGAAGACCTGTTCCCGATAAAAGTGGAGGTATGTGTGGTAGGACCAGGGTCTCAGTCCTTTTTTCTAATGGACTCATGGAGCTGACTGGAGAAAGCTAAATGGGGTCTTCAGACAAAAGGGACAGAGAAATTCTTCTGTAAGTGTTAAAGCTTTTCAAAATTAAAGCTAAAAAACAGAAGGCAGGCAGACAAGGATGTGAAGTTGGGTTTGCAGAACTGATGTGTGGCTGATATGACTGCCTTTTCATGCGTGAGGGCACTGGGGCTTTAAACCATGCCGCGTCGGGGCCTGCGAAACAGCTGCCCTGCTCGAGGCTGGAGGGGAAAGGTCTGTGGGGAGAGAGACAGGAGGGAGGCCGTTGCTCACAGACCTCAGAAGCGATCATGAGATTTGTAACAGAGCTCAGCAGCACAAATGGGTCCAGACACACGGCTTTAGTAACTGATCACCTAAAGCAGAACCTGCCTCACCGTGGCAGGCTCTGTGCCCCCATCCAGACCACCACCTGCTAAGCGACACCCCAGGAATAACCAACATCGTGCCCTTCCTGAGGACCCTGAAACACCAAGCCCCTCTGCAGGATGAGACCAGGTGGTCGGCTCAAAACAGTTTGCTTTTAGAGTCAAAATGCCTTGTTGAAACGGGGCCATCAACTCAATGCTGAGAGTTATAAGAACCCACCTCTTCCCTTGACACGGACATCACGCCAGCAGCTAACTTATCTCACAATGCTTTTGAAGTCGGCAATGAATTTATATATGGTAGGTTGGGTTACAGAATTCAGGTTGTTAAACTCGCTTGTTAAATCTTTTATGAGGAATTTCAGCCACGTGGGAGAAACTTTCAGGAAACCTTGGAGTTGGTTCTCCAGTGAAAGACCAAAAAGGCAGGCTCCATATTCTTCAGAAAGGGGGAGCGGCTTTCCTTAAAATTTTAAAGCTGGGGGCCAGACGTGGTGGCTCACGCCTGTAATCCTAGCACTTTGGGAGGCTGAGGCGGGAAGCTCGCTTGAGGTCAGGAGTTCGAGACCAGCCTGGCCAACACGGTGAAACCCTCGTCTCTACTAAAAATACAAAACATTAGCTGGGCATGGTGGCACATGCCTGTAATCCCAGCTACTTGGGAGGCTGAGGCAGGAGAATTGCTTGAACCCAGGAGGCAGAGGTTGCAGTGAGCCAAGATCGCCCCATTGCACTCCAGCCTGGGGGACAAGAGTGAAACTCCGTCTCCAAAACACACAAAAAGTTTTGAAGCTGTGATTAAACATATTTATCTAGGTAGGTCTGAGCAAAATTAATGTGAGAATGCACAAAAAAGAGGTCTAGAAATTCACCAACTTCACAGGCGTTACCTTTGGGATGGCAGGGTGAGTGGGGAAGGGGCAGGGATTCTTTTTAGTTGAAATATTTCTGATTTACTTTAAAGAAAAAACAATTATGGGCCAGGTGCGGTGGCTCATGCCTGTAATTCCAGTACTTTGGGAGGCCGAGACAGGTGCATCACCTGAGGTCAGGAGTTGGAGACCAGCCTGGCCAACAGGTGAAACCCTGTCTCTACTAAAAAAATACAAAATTACCCCGGCATTGTGGTGTGCGCCTGTAATCCCAGCTACTCGGGAAGCTGAGGCAGCAGAATCACTTGAACCCGGGAGGCGGAGGTTGCAGTGAGTTGAGATCACACCACTGCACTCCAGCCTGGGCAAAAAGAGTGAAAGTCTGTCTAAAAAACCAAAAAACCCCAATTATGAATGCATTACTTGTATAAAATTTTGAAAAATGAGTGATACATTTCTTCACAGGTTGTTTTTAGAGGACTTAGAGCTCCATGCAACCAGGCCCTGCTTGCAGAAACAAACATGAGGGCTTATGAAGCCTCATCTCACGCCAGATCCCCAGACTATGAGCTGAAGAGTTGGGGGAAAAATTTTAACAGCTGAAGAAGAACTGACTTTAAATGCCCGCTGAAGATCTGATTTTCCCACACCAATTGCTTTTCCTCCCAGGAGAACCCCCAGGCCGGGCGGGAAGGCAGAGGGGCCGGGGCTCACTTGGCTCTGAGTCGGAATTGCCTGCAGATGGCTCGCAGAAGCTTGATGGCATAAAAACATTGTTTTTTGAAACTGTTGACAAGGAGGTGCAGGCGGGGGAGGGAACAAGAGGAAAAACAGCATGAATGGGTGGGGTGGACGCTCAGAGATCACCTCTCCCACCTGAGGGGTGGATTCTCACGTCCCACGGGAGGAGACGGAACAGCACGCAAACAGGGCATTCAGTCTTTCCCGAGAACAGCAAACCCCAAGACTCTTTACAGCACTACGAGGGTCTCCAGCCCGACGGCCTTGATCTGTCTGATGACTACAGTCAACTCTGGTCAACTGGGGGCACCCCCTTGTCCCTGCACCTCTGCAGGGGCAGCCGGCAGGGGAGATATCAGATGCTCCAGGCCACATTGGAGGCCCTGACTCCTCCTCACCTGTCAAGGCTTGTCCATGGGGTTCCCCCTCCCCCACCTAAGATCTTCCTTCACCAGGGCAACTGCTTCCCAGGGTGTGGGCCAGCCAACAGGTTTCCACAAATGAAGTGGAATTCGTAGGGGAAGAACTCACTCTACGCAGAATGGAACCAAAGACAACACTGTTCAAATTATTGGTGCCCCTCACGCCTCCAGTTACCCTGGAGAGCTGAGTGTCTCTTGGGGGCTGCTGCGCTGGACGGGAGGTGATTTGAAGAGGGCCGGGGAGAAGAATGGTGGTCCCTCGCCTCTTTAGCCTACATTCACAGCCCAAACACCTCCTCTTCTCTATGCTGGTTTTCGATACAGCAAGCATGGTTCAGCAGTGGGCAGTGAGGGGGAAGGAATAAAATCAACGAGCAGGAAGTGGAGCTCCCTCATTCCACAGAACACCTATCCACAGGTGCAAAGATCCTTAAATTAAAAGGATGCCAACTGCAGCCTGGACTGCAAGCCATCTGGACAGTTCCGCAATATCCAGTCAGCAGATGACAGTGTAATAGCACTGGAAAACCTAATGCAGCTGTGCAAAAAGACGCGGCCATGTCCAAAACCAACGTGATGGGAAAAGGGCATGAAAACAAGGGTGTGGAGGGGTGACTTGGGAAGGACCCTGGCTTCCTACGCTGTGTGTTCCTGTAACGCATGCGTGACTTCTGTAAGCAGAAACAACTTGACATCCTGAAGGTTCAGGACTGTAAAATGATTTACATGAACTTTCCAGGAATGGATTTCAGTTGGGTAACCAGAGAACCTGTCTAAACACTCATGTATGTCCAAGTTGGCACTACAGACAGCTAAGACAGAGGCCACGAGACAATGCCAGAGTGGGAAGTCAAGACGGGGACGAGAGAATAGCCCTGCAGTGGCATTTACCCTCAAATCTGCAGAGTTGTGCCCATGGCAGGAGGCCGGGCTTTCTGAGTGTTATATTAAGTAGTGCTGACGGCATTATCTGCCTCAGGAACCTCTCTCCTGTACCAGCCTGCATGAGTCCCCAGGCCGACCTCCAGGCCTGTGCTCAGACCAGGCCTCACGTCCAGGGCCTTCAAGCCCTTTAGCCTGCCCTGCTCCACAGTCCGAGCCTGGCCCACCCTTCCAGGCCCCCGCAAGCTCCTCTCCTCTGGGAGTTCACAGCATCACACACGGGCCTCTGCTGGGGCCTCCTGGCTTGCTGGTTACCGTGTGTGTGTGCATGCTTGTGTGTACATGCGTGTGTGTGTCTGGGCTACTGCACTGGACTGCCCGTGCTGGGCATGCAGCTGAGGGGTTGGGAGAACACCCCACCCCTAAACCCCCAGTCTGTGTCCAGCCTTGGAAAGAGGAGATGTAATTAACAGGCAGAGGCCCCAACAGGGCTCTCAGTAGTCAACCCCTTTCCTCCATTTCAGAGGGACGATCTCTTCACAGTCTTCCTCAGGCCACCAAGTCTCACCATGCCGTCAGTGTCACTGATTCGAGACGAGGACCCCTGATGCTGCACTCTGGACAAGCTCTCACCTCACTCCTGACAGAGCCCGAGCCTCAGATCGACTCTAACCGGAGCTGGGCAGGAAGGACACAGCAGACGGATGCGCGGCACTGAGGGGAATGGCGGGTTTGTAAGCATAAACGCTTTCACCATTCCGTAAGTTTGCATATTTTACCTGACTGTGAGGGTGGGAACTGGGTTAAAGAGGATGTTCTTTCTCGCTTGACAGGAGGGCAGTAATTTCCATCTTCTCTGTCAGAATCTACAGAAAATGATGAGAAGAGGAGGAGAAAAATCAGGTTGCTTCTGTCTTTAAAACTGAAGATGGTCAAAGGTGTTAGAGAGCTCCTTACCTTCTCCGCCTTCAGGACTGGAGCCGCCAGCTGACCTCTGAAACAAGGAGCACACAGCCGGGGTCAGAGGGCATCAGGCTCACGGCAGCCGAGCAACTCTCGGGGCCGTAACAAATATCCCAACATGCACCACGGGCAGCTAGTTCCCAGAGCCCAGCACCCGAATGAGAGCCAGGATTTTAGCCTAAAGCTCAAACATCCCCCCGATGAACCTCTGCACCCAGCTTCACAAACACATGCCAAGGAATCCTCTCAGTGGCTGGGAAAGCATCCGCAGCACCCAGATCAGTTTCTTGTTTCTCCACAGGTTACGCTAACTGGCCTGCCACCCCTAAACTCAAACACAGCCGAACCTCATCTGGCCCCCGTTCATTCTGCCAAGAGCTGAAAAGCGACCCTCTCCACCCTTGAGGGCAGCGGACTTGTGTAAAATGGTCACATCACACCGGATAGGAGCGATTTCCCTTCCTTGCCCTGGAACATTCTACCATGCACATGCTTGTCTCAGGGTCGGCTGTTATTCCCAGAGCAAGCAAGAGCTTGGATGTTTTGGACCAAAGCCCACTTGCGAAGTGTTTAGAACAGAACCATCAAAGACAAAGCCCAGTCACAGGCTGAGGGAAGGCTCCTGAAGAATTCCCTATTCCACAAACTTTAGCTTTAGAGTGTGAACAACCAGCAACCAAGACTTAAAATGGGCTCATGACCAGCCTGACCAACATGGTGAAACCCTGTCTCCACTAAAAATACAAAAAAAAGTAGCTGGGCGTGGTGGTGCACGCCTGTAATCTCAGCTACAGGCTGAGGCACAAGAATCGCTTGAGCCCGGTAGGCGGAGCTTGCAGTGAGCCGAGATCACACCACTGCACTCCAGCCTGGGCGACACAGCGAGACTCTGTCTCAAAAAAAAAAAAAAAAAAAACAAAAGGACTTAAAATGGACTGGGTGCAGTGGCTCATGCCTGTAATCCCAGCACTTTGGGAAGCTGAGGCAGAAGGATCGCTTGAGCCCAGGAGTTTGAGACCAGCCTGGGAAACATGGTGAGACTCTGTCTTTATAAAAAACCCAACCACATAAAAATCAGCTGGGCAGGGGGGTGAATGCCTGTAGCCCCAGCTCCCAGGGAGGCTGAGGCAGGAGGATCACCTGAGCCCGGGGTCTGAGGCTGCAGTGAGCTATGACCATGCCACTGCACCCCAGCCTGAAGGACACATCTCATCTCAAAACACAAACAAACTCAAAACTTAACATGAGGAGTGTTTATCCTCTCCCCCAACACAATCCCTCATTTATGTCCTGTCTCAGAATTTAGCAGCCCAAAGCGCACCGATGAGTGAGGGCCGCTCCTCCTGGCGCGCTCCCTGCAAGAGCAAGCAGAAAAGCCAATTTTCTTATTTTCTAAAATGCTCCTCAGAGGTCAAGTTTAGCCAAATGAGGCCCGCCTGCCTCGACGAGCTGCTGGGGCTTAGGGGAGGTGATGCATGTGAAAGTGCTTTGCAAACTGCAGAGTGGCCTGGGAAAGCAAACTGCAATAAATAAAACTGAGGAGCACAGGAGCCAAGGCAGACCCCCCTCAAGTCAGGGCGATGCATTTTCCCATAAAGGGCCAGACTGTCGGTACTGCTGGCTTTGTGGGCCACATTTGGTCTCTGTCATATATTCTTGTTTTTGCTTTTATAATCCTTTAAAAATGTAAACATCATCTTAGCTTACAGGCCCAGGCCTGGAGCTTGTGGCAGTGAGAGCCCAGAGAAGGTAGGAAGTTGACTTGAAGTCACATAGCTCGTTCACGACGGTCAGAAAAAAAGCTACCCTGGACTTTCTCCTCCCGTGTGAGCTGACAACATGGGTTTGTGTGGGAAAAGCAAGCCTGGGCTTCTTGCTTGAGGCCCGTGTTCTGAGGGGGCTTTGGAAATGCTCCCAAGGGACTGTACGAGTGAGGGCTGATTATCACTATCCCCACGAGATGACATCATCAAAGTGTGTGGGAAACACAAAATCCTTGTAACACAACAGTGGGTTCTATTAGTCACTGGGGCAATTGTGAAAATACCACTGAGTCCAAAACGCAATGCCATCAAGCAGCCAGGCCCTAGAGTCAGTACCAACTCCGGCCAGGCCAAAAGCACGAGGGGTGCAGAGGCTGCCTGGTCCCTGCTGCCTCTTGAAGGCCGGAAGAACTCAGTGTATTCCGGCTCTGCCATTTTCTACGGGTGAAACCTTACCTTGCCCAGCCTTCGGTCTCCTCACCTGGAAAACAGGGATGCGTGAGGTGACAGGCAGGGCAGGTAAGGTGCTCAGCCCAGTGCCCTGCACGCTGGGAGCAGATGATTATAATGCTCGTGACCCACACCTGATGAGATCAAACTCCCAACCGATGTAAAATCTGGAGGCTACGCTGGGGGCAGGGCTTTAGAGCTCAAGGCAGGCATGAATAGGGAGTCAGGGGTGTGGAGTGAGTCCTGGGTGCAGCCAGGAGGCGAGGGACCTGGACTGGGAACCTTTCTAGAAATGCCAGAGCCTGGGGTTGCATCTGATAGTGCTGAGCTGTCACCACCTTGTCATCCCTTTTCTTGGGTGACATCTGTGGGGTGGGTACAGGCTCCAGCTATCGCTTGCCCTCATACTTAGCAAAGGTGACAGAAGTACAGAGAAGCAGCATCTGCCCACCCGGGCAGCCAAAACCTTTGCTCATCCAGCCAAGCCTGGGCATCTCATGCCTGGGGCAGCTACTGCCCTCGACGGGCCCTTACATCAGCCTCCCAGCACAGGCAGCTGTGAGAAACAACACCTGACACAGCCTCCTTGCCCTCTGGGTAACCCATGCCCTCCAGAGCCCTGTAGGCTGGCTTTGGCCTCCAAATGCTCTGTGCAGGTCACTGTCTGAGGCCAGCAGCCTCTGCACAGCCCGATCTCCTCGGACACCGCACTGCTCGCCTCACCTCTGGCTTCCCTGGCCTCACCAGTCCTCCCATCCATTCCTAACAGCAGGCCCAGGACATCCCCACCCCCAAGTCCCATCCTGTGGCTCTAGACTTTTCTCTCCCCTTTTAATCCAACGAGCCTTTCAACTGTACCAAAACCCTTACACGGTGTCCTCCCTGGTCCTGGGGGATCTGTCCCTTCCTAAATGACTTCTGGGACCAGGAGATGGCCATACCCTCTCTGGCCTCTGTAGACGACCTGCTCTCTCATCCAGTGACGCCCTCCTTTTCCCTCAAGCGAGAATGAACCCCTTGGTGAGGTGACCTCCAGGCCCCTTATACTCTTTCTCTGTGGCTTATTCTGATCCTGGGAGTTGTGTCAGGGACTCCACTAGACTTAGGAAGGAACTGGACCTCACAGTAGAAGCCCGTTTAGCATTTGTTCAACAAAAGACACTGCATCCCAGGCCCCTTGCAGGCCACGGAGAAGCCGAAGACCTGAGTCCGGCCTTACAGAAGGAACTGGTCCCCGAGCTCCCTCGTGTCTCCTCACCCCTGCACGGGATGTTTCTCCTGACATCTCCACACCTAACTCTCTGGCTCAGTGGTTATCTAGGTTAATTTCCACATGTGTCAATTTCCTAGTTTCCGTTTTTGATTTCCAATTTTATCTCCTTGTGGTTGGAGCACATACTCCATATTTTGATCCTTTAAAATTTGAGATGTGTTTGGTGACCTAACAAATGGCCCCCCATGGAGAATTTTCCATGTGCACTTGAGAAGGCTGTGTACCCCACTGTTTGGGTGGGGTGACCTATATGTCTGTTAGGTCTGCTTGGTTTTTGTGTTGCTGAAGTCCTGTTTCCTTACTGATCTTGTCTAGATGTTCTATCCATTACTCAAAGTGTGGTACCGAAGCCTCCAACTCTTACGGTTGACTCGACTATTTCTCCCTTCAGTTCTGTCCGTTTTTGCTTTGCGTATTTTGGGGGCTCTTTTGACGATACCCATGCCTCTCAGGGATCATGGATGCCATGGATGCTCTCCCCAGAGCAGCATGTCCAGGTCAAGAGTGTGGCTCCGGGGCTCCCAACAGTCTCTTGGGGTCTACTCGTGGCTCTAGAAGCAGCCCCGGGAACACTGTGGTGCCCCCAGGCATTCTGCACTCATCCTCCCCTTCACCCACCACCTCCAACCTGCCAGCAAGTCCCATTAGCTCTAGCCCCCCGAGAACGTACCTTTCCCTCCTGCCTCGGTGGCCTCCTCAGGCACAGGGTCCCCTCTGCCACCAGGCTCTGGCCATGTGGCCTCCTGTTTTCTGAACATGTTGGCTGCTCCTGCCTCACTGAGTGTTGCTCCTCCGTGGGCGCCCTCCCTCCAGGTCCCTGCGTGTCTGAGATGCTGTGAGCACCACCTCTAGGGTAAGTTCATGCTCACTCCCTATCCCAGCCCCTCTCGGGAGCTACCCTGTTTTGTTCTATCACATAGGGAAATGATCTCAGAGGTGTCTCCTACAACACAGTTCATTCACGCGACACCCGGGACACCTGCACAGAAGGCACTTGCTGAGGACTTGCTGCGTGGGTGGAGTCCGTGTCCTCCACCATGTCCCCTTCAGTGACCTTGAGAAGAATGGGTGCCTAGGCAGACAAGATTCAGATGCTGCCTGACCCCTGATCTCAGGAGACCCTCAAATCCGTGCCCCAAATATCTTCTAAGAGCCTGCCTGCAACAAAGTGGGGGGCCTCTTGGTCCTGGAAAGGCTGGGAAGCCAAGGCTTGGGAAGAACAACACAGGAAGATTCGACAGGGGAACCTCCTGCCAGCAACTCTCCACTAAGACCCAGCGGAGGGAAGCAAGAAGACAGAACGCGTGCCTGTGGACAGAGCTCTTCTAGAATCCTAACCCGCTGGCCACGTGAGGTGCCGCCTGCCCTCTGCCCCAATCCAGGCCTCCACACCCTGCACCTTGCTGGGATGGAGGGCCTCTCCTCTCAGGAGACGTTGGAACTTGCTGTCCAGCTGGCTTGTGCTGCCTTCTCCAAAGCAGGAAATGGTTTGGGGTGAAGGAACCTTTAAGCCACCCAGCCCTGCACACAGCCAATGCCAGCTCCACATTTTCCATTTCCTAGACTCAGCAGCCCAGGAGTCTGGACCTGTTTGGTGTCAAGGCAGTCTGGGGCCACCCCTCACCCCAAACAAGGCAGTGGGTCCTCAGGGGTTGGTCCCGAACAATGCCTGGGACACACTCAGGGTCAGCCCCCAGAGGTCTGCAACCAGAGCTCAGGAGGATTTTAAGAGCAAGCTCCAGGCCGGGCACGGTGGCTCATGCCTGTAATCCCAGCACTTTGGGAGGCCTGGGCGGGTGGATCACCTGAGGTCAGGGGTTCGAGACCAGCCTGGCCAACATGGAGAAACCCCGTCTCTACTAAAAATACAAAAATTAGCCAGGCATGGTGGTGCATGCCTGTAATCCCAGCTACTCGGGAGGCTGAGTCAGGAGAATCGCTTGAACCCAGGAGGTGGAGCTTGCAGTGAGCCCAGATGGCGCCACTGCTCTTCAGCCTGGGCAACAGAGGGAGACTCTGTCTCAAAAAAAAAAAAAAAGAAAGAAAAGAAAAGAAAAAAGAAAGAAACAAAAACAAAAAGAGCAAGCTCCGAAGACTCGAGCTTAGTGGGGAGGAGCGAGGACAGAAGCAGGACATAAGAGCCCCATTTCCTCCTCCTCCTCCACTTTTCCCAAACTAGACTCTACTGCTGCGAGGCGCAGGGCTTCAGGATGACACCGGGGAATGCTGGGTCAGCATCCATTTCAACACCATGATGACAACATCCCAGAGTAATAATAAGGAAGCAGAAGAGAAAGAAGACCAGAGGGCCCTTTGACTTGTCTCTCTGGCACTGGGACAGCAGGAGTGAACAGAGCAGGCTCAGAAAAGATGAAGCAGCCCTCCCGCGGCTTGGGCTGCAGGCTGGTCGGGAGCGAGCACTGTGAGTGCTGATCATGTGCCCCACGTCCCTGCCGGCGGGGTGGGGGCTGGTGGCGCAACAAGCTCCCCACCGGCAGCCATAGGGAGCTTGTGGGAAGTAACTCAATTCTGTGAGGCGCATGAGTCCCTGTCACTAAATACAAGACAGAGGGGCACATCCCATCTGGAATGGGAATGCAGGGGTGGGAAGCTTGTTCTTTGCCTAAGGAATGAAACAGTGAAAATCATGGTTGTCACATTTATTAAGAATTGCCCTGTCCAAAAAACATGGGTCTTGTCAGACTGTCTGGTGTGTCCTCGGTGCCAAGGCGGCCCAGGGAAAGGGACAAAGCTTTCAGAAGCCGACTCCACAGACACAAAGACGAACAAGGAAGAAGCAGGAAGGAATGGCACTGTTTACCTGGTCCCCTAGGAAAGGCCAGAAAGCAAGGCCATGTCAGATAAATTCCCTCTAGATGGCTGGGCGTGGTGGCTCACGCCTGTAATCCCAGCACTTTGGGAGGCCGAGGTCGGCGGATCACAAGGTCAGGAGATTGAGACCATCCTGGCTAACACGGTGAAACCCTGTCACTACCAAAAATACAAAAAAAATTAGCTGGGCATGGTGGCGGGCGCCTGCAGTCCCAGCTACTCAGGAGGCTGAGGCAGGAGAACGGCGTGAACCCCAGGAGGCGGAGCTTGCAGTGAGCAGAGATCGGGCCACTGCACTCCAGCCTGGGCGACAGAGCGAGACTCCATGTCAAAAAAAAAAAAAAAAGATAAATTCCCCCTAGAAAACTGGCAACCAAGCGGTGTACCAGGGCCTCAGTGAGTCTGGCAAGTTAGAAAACCTGGCTGGTCATGGCTGGATACCTGGGATACAAAATAAATGATGGGCCAGTTCAATGCTTTTTATTCTGTGGCAGAGGCAACCAGCTCAGAAATTCTTGTCAAAAGGGCAGGCCCTGAGAAAAGCAAGTGAGAGGTGGCTTCCAAAGTTGAGGGGTGCTGAGGGTCAAATCCTGTGCAGGGGCTGGAAGGTGGGGGGAAGCTGTCTGGCCAGAGGGATTCATTCCAGAACCTCCTTAAGCTCCCTGGTGGGTCTAATAAACATATCTGAAGCTCGGCAGGTCCTTGGCAGGGAGCTTCAGTCCAGTACAATTCCACCAGGCTCGCAGTGAGTGCCCAGAGCTGCCTGCTTTCTCCACATCAAACAGAGAACTTAATCGGGATGTGGTTTGGTCTTCTTCAGACTGTCTTCTGAAAGCCAGGAAGTCTGATATATAGAGACTTTTTCCTGGTACTGACTCTTCCATGGCCAGGGTTCTGACGAGACTAAAAGATGGTAAGGGCCCTTTACAAGTAACAATTCAGCGCACCACTGTTTATCATCAAGAACTCTCAGCTTTATATTCCCCCCAGGGACCATGGAATAAAGTGAACAGACTAGATGTGACGGATGAGACCTGCCGGGTAACATGGGGGTGGTTTCCTGAACACCAGTGTGATACAGAGTGAGACCCAAATTTCTTCTGATGCAAACGAAAACGGTCTGAGTTCACACACACGAAAAAGGCTCAGGCCAAGAAGCAGTTGGCATCGGGTTCCATCTGACTTGATCTATGGCCTAACTAACCTAAAATAAAGTTTACTTTGCTCTGAGCAGGCCCGATTAGTAGAGAAAGCCAATTAACAGGAGCCCTTAGCAACCAGTCAGGGTGTTCTCTGCAGACAGCCTGAGGGAAGAGCCCTGGTCAGCTCAGAGCTGTCACAAGGGGCTTGACAATGGCTCTCCTGGGGCTCCTGAAAGTGGGTGTCCAAAAGTTACGAGTGCTAAAACTACAAGGTGCATGTTATGCACATGGCCACCAGAGCTACATTGGAACATTTACATACTGCTCTATGCAGCCTCCAATCCTGGCTCTCCCACGGTGCCCACAAGCTCATCCCAAGGCTCCCTGCCATACAGCTTCACCTTCCACCTGCCAGTGTGGGGGACTGCTTGAATTTCTCAGGATCAGAGCCTCAGACCCAAAGTCCATGAGAATCAGGATGCTGAGATCTACCTGGGCTGGCCAGGCCAAAGAGATGAACATGTGGACGAGGTGAGGCCCCTCCAGACACTCCAACATGGGCCTCTGTGAGAAGTACGCAGGGCACAGAACAGCGCGTGTGCTCTTGAAGAGCACCTGCTGTCACAAAAACTCTGTGATGCACTTGTTTGCTACTCTCATTCTAGAACCTGTCACCTCTGCAGCTGGAGAGTCCTATGTGGGCTGCATTTTTCAAACCCAGGCACCTGCAGAAGGCCTCTGGGGGGGACCCTAAAGACCATCTGTTCCCAGACAGCTGAAGACGGAAACCTGAGAACACCATTTCCTGTGCTCTCAAAGACCAGAGGTGCAGTAACTCACCATACCTGACTCAGGAGAAGTTTCCGGCAGCCACTCTGCCAACAAAAGAAGGACGCAGCCACCTCCTAATTCTTGCTCTGGCGGCAGTCACGTGCGCTCATGGGAGGGCTGTACTCCCAGTGCACTGTGGGTCAAGTGCCTCCTGGCTGGACTCCTTCCCGCGGCTCCCGTGTCTCACTACCCCAAACCCACTTTTGTGCCACGAAGGCCACTACTGCCGTTACCTCCCCCACACCCATAGCCTATGGCACAAGTAAAGACTGTTGCTTCTTTTTCCATCACACACTGACTCCTCCAAAATGTTAACACAGGACTCCAACCCACCCCTGGCTGAACAGTGCTTCCTAAGTGTCCTGAGGTTTGGTGGCTGTAGCTGAATGTTAACAGTTTCCTTAAAAACCGGGGACTGTTGTGTGCTAGAAAGAACGCTGAGGTCCGGGATAAGGTTTGGGACCGTACCAGCCTGGAAGGCTGCCTGGTGCTCAGGCGGTAGAGCTGGGTCCCTTCTTTTCTTGTTAAGAGTCCTTTTTCCCTGTCCTGAGAATAGGGGTCTTCTGTCATGAGTTACCTACAGGATGGAGTTTTCAATCCTGAATGTAGGATAATGTTTACCTTTCCCAATTTATCAAACTTCAAAAACCCAAGACATTTCTTGTTCTTGAGAGTTCACAATCTTCTCCACCTATAATCTTCAAAAGGCTTCTTAATACAAAGATAAAGGGCTCAGGGGATTCCTTCTGGGTTCAAAGGAAGAGTCTTTTCTTCTTCCTGCTTTGATTGAAGACAATCAGTTCACTGCCTTAACCACAGTCCAAACACAATCAGTCTTGCAAAGCAATCTGTGTTGGAGAGTGCCTCTTCCTAGATATCAAAGGAAGCCTTAGCTTCTTGGGTTTCTAAGACGCTAAACTTGAATGCCCGCATTCAGGGAAACAAGAAGGAAAAATGGAAGGAGGGTGAAGGGGTCAAATTAGGTTTGGAAGGTTCTACTTCACATGACTCAATTCCTCCTGACCCCTCGTGTCTTTTTTGGGAAACAGGATTCACCTCTTGCTGTGGGTATATATTCCCACGGCAATTTAGAAAAGGCTAAAAGGGGATTCGATCTTCCCTGACTTTTCAGCAGCATGAATTAAAGCGAGCTGGAAGAAATCCTTGTCATCTTTTAAGTTACCATTAGCTGCTTACAATTAGCTAGGGCCAGGATCTGAGGGACCCGAAGGGAAAGTGGCTGGTCTGGGTTGGGCTCCCCCTGGGCGGTAGGAGTGCCGGGTAGGTGTGGACTTACCCCTGCCAGTTCTCGCGGAAAAGGAGGAAGCTGGGCTTCAGGAGCGGGAGGCGGAGGAGTGCTGGCTGAGGCGCCAGCAGGGGCAGGAGGTTCTAGGGCATGCTCGCCAGCTGACTCGGGGTGACCCGTGCCATGGTGGGGGGCCTCAGCCTCCCCCCGAGGCTCCTCTCCCGAATCCGACAAGTTTTTTTGCTCTGCAGGGGACTGGGAGCAAAAAAGACAATTTTCCTTCAATGTGAATAAAGGCTGCATCACACAGCAGGAAGGGCGGGCAGGGGTCAGAGGCTGGAGCTGGCTCAGCTTGCAGCAGCTCCTGCGCCTGGGAGGAAGATGGGGAGAGCAGGCACCTGCTTCTGGGTTCTGCTCAACAAAACCGGCTCTCCGGCTGACGGAAGGGAAGTGAGAGTGGACTAGGTGCCATGTGACTTTGCAGGGAGCTCTACAGTGTATGAGAAGCAGGACCCTCGTTTCCAAAACTATGGGCTGCCTGGCAAGGAGCTACTTGGCTTACGGGCCTTGGTGATCAAGGGACAGGGACGATCATGCAAAATATTAAAACCCCTTCAGGATCTCAAAAATACTGAAGTGGGGGAGCTGGCCATCAGCACCATTTCTGTGCTTTAGGAAAGAGGGAGGTGGCTGGAACCCCAAAGTTAGGGAGAAACCAGGGAGGCCAGGGTCAAGGGCTTCTGCCTCTCGCCGGGGTCAAGGGCTTCTGCCTCTCACTACAGTTCTTCTAGCACTTTCCATTTGTTCTGCTTACACCCAGGATCCAGAAAGTGCTTTCCCACCTCGGTGAGTGCAAGTGTGGGGTGACATGGACACTGAGAGCTGGTTTTTGCATCAGTGGCAGGCGGGTAGTTCAGATGAAGGAGGGGGGCAAATCCACAGAGCCCCTCAGCCTAGGATTCTCCCAGGTGCATCCTCAACACCCCAGGCAAGGGCTCATTTGGAAAGCTGCCAAGGTGAGAGCAGCCGGTTCCAGAAGTCTTCCTCCCCACAGTACAACACCCAGCATCCTTTAAGGTGGTTCCTGGGACTCCAGCAGGGCTTCCATGGGCTGAGAGCTCTGTGGCCGTAACTCCAAGACTTTTCTTGAGAAATGGGTTAAACACCTGGTGTCCTAAAACAGACTCCAGTCCCCAAACCTCCCTCTTGGCATCGTCCAACGACATGGAGCCATTTCTCGCACTCGGTGACCTACATGACTACAGGGCTGCCCCGTCTCCCCGTGGACGTGGCTGTGCTTCTTCTTGGGTGTGAAGTGGCTGACCTCTTTAGACGGGGTTTGGGCACTACTTAAAAAGCAGTGATCCGGGAGGAGGAAAGGAGCTACAGAAAGAGGATGTAAGAGAATGTACACAAATTCCTAGGAAAGCAAAAGCAATCTTCACTCAAAAGTAATCAAGGGGACACTGTCGCCTCTTCGTATCCAGGGCAGAGCCACGGACCAGCCGCTCTCTAAACCTGGCTCTCTAAACCTGCACAGGGCACCGTGGTTCGTCCAGCCACCCATGTCTGTTGCTACTTGATGGTGAGAGACTTAACACCTCACAAGAGAAAAATTAAACCCAGAGCTCTGTGGGGGACTGCCTATCTCTAATTAGAACCACTTGAATTTTTTGTAATCCCTGCTTTTGAAATGTAAATATTCAAACATCCTCATGGTAATTCAAAATGCTAAACAGGAGGACCAAGAAGTAAGTCATAAACATGGAAACCAAGACATCAAAACAGGATCAAATTCGTCATCTTTGGTTAAGATGAATGATTTGTATAAGTGTTGAGAAGTATTACATCACTTCCTCTCTCAGATGGGAGAATTAACAATGTCATTCCAGCATTTTCTACTCAGGTCCTAGCATTTCTCCTGGGCAGGAATCGTAAGCTCTAAAGAACTAAGGTGAAGCCTGGAGTTTTTCAACATGTCTGGTAAAATCAGACATCAAGAGTTTGCCAGCCTTTGACCTCATCCTAAAATACACATGGCTGGCAAAAACCACGTGCACCAGGGCTAAGCTCATCACACCAACGGTAAGCCTCAAAAGCAGGTCTAAACACCCTACGACCACATTTTCAGTGATACTGTACTTTCTGCTAAATAGCATTTCTGTAACTGCCTTCTTTTTACCAAATGGCCATTATTCTGCTAGTACAACCTCAAAGCCTCCCCACTTCAGATTAACAAATGCTCTGGAGAGAGAGCAACTGAAAGAAATGTTTAGTCTTTACAAAGAATGGAACAGCCTACATAAGGATATTTAAATTCTCTTCACATTAAAAAGAAAAAGAAAGAACTCTATCTCCATCCAAGGCAGTTAAGAAAGAAAGGTTTCATTTTTGCCCCGGAAACAATGGTGCATGTAAACGCAGGCGTTTCGATGAGACAGCACGCCCCTCCCCAGGAAGCGCAGGCATGGGAAGGGAGTAACATCCCTGTGCTGCCAATCTGACCATGGCTTCGTTTTAGGCCCTAGGACTACAATTAAAACCACACATGGCTTTTTCTATCCTGGAACGATAGGATTTGGCAACCTCACCCAAGGCTAAGTGATGCCACCGGCACCCACACGCAGGCCACGGTCCCAATCCGTAGTGTGCTGAAGTGCAATCTGACACATCAACGGGACCCACAGAAAACCGCTGTGTGGCTTTGCCACTGAACAAAAACAAAAAATTCCTCGGCTGGCAGCTTCATGTCTTTCTTTTCAACTCCAAATCATGCTGAATCATGATTCAGCAATAAAACCTGAGCATAAAGAGCTGTCTCCTTTGAATGGCGTGAGAGGGATGGTGGAGACGAAGGGGCTCTTTTACTTGCACCCCATCGGGTGTGGTCTGAGATCTCGTTTACTGAAAGGTAAGTCAGCTGGTCCCACAGTTGATGAGACTTCTTGATCTTTGAGGATCAAGAAGTTGTTAAAGTCACTATAAGTGACATCTGAGGGGCAATTAGGACAATTTAAAACATGGACTATATACTGGAGGATATTACTGAATTAACATTTTCGTAGGAGTAACATGGTGGTAAGGCCATGCAGGAGAATGGCCTCATCCCTATGAGACACCCGTGGAAGAATTTAGGGCAGAAATGTCACATGGGCTTAACTTCCGGTATGAGAGGTGAGGGCAGCAATGCTAACAGAGAGGGCAGGGGCAGGATACCCAAGTGTTTGCAGTGTCACTCTTTTCCAAGGATTTGAAAATTTTCAGAATAAAATGTTGAAGCAAAAAGGGTGGGGCGGGGGGAACCTCCTCGGAAAAACAATGGCAGCAGCTCTAAAAGCTCGGTCCCAGCTCGGCTTCTGGAGAGCAAGACAGGGATGGGTTGATGGCCTCCGCAAGAGAGAATGAAACCATAAAGGCTCTCAAACCCTCACTTCTGACACACACTGCAGCTGCTCCCTGCAGGCCCTGAACCAGAAAGCCAAGGAGAAACAAAGCCAGCCGCCCGCCCTGTGTGTTTACTTTCCACCTCACTCCCCAGTGGCAGAAAGGACTCTAGGGCCATGTGGACACTGTCCTCCGACAGCGAAGCAAACACGCTCCTCCTGCTCCTGGCCTCAGCACAGAGGTTTCCCACATGCCTCTTCAGCGACGGTGCCACAGAAGTGCGAGTGACAGAAGTGGGCAGCCCAACTCCCAAGGCTGGAGGGCAGTTATTTTTAGAAGTCCATTTAGAATTGGCTGTGAGCCAATATTTTGATAAGAACTATACTTGGCATTTTATTTTTAATTTTTATTTTTAATTTTTTTTGAGATGGAGTCTCACTCTGTCGCCCAGGCTGGAGTGCAGTGGTGCGATCTCAGCTCACTGTAACCTCCAGTCCCGGGTTCAAGCGATTCTCCTGCCTCAGCCTCCTGAGTAGCTGGGATTACAGGCATCTGCCACCACAGTAGAGATGGGGTTTCACCATGTTGGTCAGGCTGGTTGAACTCCTGACCTTGTGATCTGCCCACCTCGGCCTCCCAAAGTGCTGGGATTACAGGTGTGAGCCACCGTGTCTGGCCTACTTGCATTTTTAAAAATGCCTTCCTGGCTAGCCTTCTGGTTCAACTCCAACATGTTTATGTAATTGGCATAGACCCCTTGAAGGTCATACATGCAAATTAGCCTGCAAATCACAAAGCAACAAAACCCCCTCAGCTGTGAAAACAGTACTGACACAGCAGCTAGTGACTTTAAAAGCACTTTAAATTCATCTGAGCAAATATTACACATTACTGTTCCATCTTGCTGGTTGCCTTAAAGTCTTCAGATTTAAAGAATTACTGATTCCTATTGTTTGTTTTAAACCAGGGGTTGGCAAACTGTTTTCTGCAAAGGGTCAGATACTAAATATCTTAAGGCTCTGCAAGCCACACGGTCTCTGTCCAAATACTACTGCTGTAGCAGCCACAGGCAACCGCAAAGGGGATAGTTGTGGCTCTGTTCTTGTTGGCTCATGCCCACAATCCCAGCACTTTGGGAGGCTGAGGCAGGAGAAATGATTAAAGCCATAAGTTCGAGACCAGCTTGGGCAACACAGCAAGACACCATCTCTAAAAAAAATTTTTTTTTTTCAAATTAGCCAGGTGTGGTGGTGGTGCCTGTAGTCCCAGCTACTCAGAAGGCTGAGGCGGGAGATTGCTTGAAGCCAGGAGTTCAAGACTGCAGTGAATTATGATCACGATCCTGCACTCCAGCCTAGGCCAAAGAGTGAGGCTCCGTCTCTCAAAGATAAAAACATAAACAAATAAAACAACAGCAAAAAACAAAACAAAAAAACACAGGTGGCAGTGCTGTGCCTTAATTTGCTAACCTTTGTTTTAAACTAAAAATGGTTCAAAAGATAATAAAATGCAAAATTCTAGAAAATCCTGATTTTACTGAACACCTGAGGAATGACTATAACATCTCCAACATAGCTCTAACACACCCAACTCCTGAGGCTTCACTATTCTCTAAAACTAGAGAAATGCACCAGTCCTTTCGTACTGATGGAACCTCCAAAAGACAAATCATAAAGCCACGTCATTAAGCTGTACTTGTCAGGGCCCAAGGGAGAGGAGATAGCAGAGGCAGATTTATCTTGGAAATACCTGGAGAACCAAAACAAAACTAGAAGAAAGTTTTCATGTTTCTGGATTGCTTCTTCAGCAAAAAAAGTAACAATGGGAAAGTTTCATGAGTTAAAGTTACAAGCTTAGTAGATAAGTCCAGGCTAACACACAGGTATCCTGGGAGGGGTGTGCTGGGGGAGGTTTAGAACAACCATTTTCCCCTCCTCCCCAACCCCTACAAACACACACACCCGATCCCCACAGAGCACTTCAACATTGCTCAGGAAAACCGGGCCACATCAAGATAAATGCTGGCTTTGGGACAGGACCTAAGACCAGCAGCTGAGTCCCAGATCATGAGAGCGGCTTCCAGCCTGGGAGCCGGTCACCTGTGAGGGGACAGAAGCCACAGGAGAATGGAGTTGATGAGATTCTCAAATCCTGTTATTACCAACAAGATGCAGACATCCTCAAAATGCACCGAATTCAGCACAACACTTGGTCACTCTAAAATGTTGCAGCGGGTATGAGGTGGGGAGTGCCGCCGCTGGGCATCAGTGGGACTGCTGCAGCGGGTATGAGGTGGGGAGTGCCGCCGCTGGGCATCAGTGGGACTGTTGCAGCGGGTATGAGGTGGGGAGTGCCGTCGCTGGGCATCAGTGGGGAGGGACCACACATTATTTCTGGATAAACAGTGAGGGTCCCCATGCAAGCTGAGGAGTCACTGCCACACAGCACCAACTAACTTCTGACAAAACTCTGACCATCCACACCGATCTGTCAGGGAGAGAAGCCGATGGCTTCAAGGTAAATAGCACCCATCGTTGTCTTATCACAGAACCCTGTTGCCACACCAATCAGACCTTCCACAGGCTGCCAGCTCATCGCCATGAATCAGGCGAGGTACTTCCAACCACACTGCGACCCAGACACCCTGAATCCAAGGGAGAAGCAGCCTCATGGACACGGGATAAATATATAATGCAAACAAATGAACAATTACTCTAAATGCACGTACGCCCAGCTCGTTAGGGCCAATAAATCCAGGCTTAAAGGTCTTGTTTCCCCTGTAACCACCATTGCTCTCCTCCTTCCCCTCCCTCCCTCCCTCCCTGACTCCCTCCCCACCTTCCCTCCTCCCTTTGCCCCCTACTGTCCCTCTGCTGTTGGTTTTCCTAAGGTACAGTGGCATTTCTCAAACAAATCATCAGGAATTAGGAAGAAGCTTTCTAATACCGTTTCAACAAACTGTACTCTCTGAGCCCTTTCCACAACAGACCCATCCTAACCTCTCTCCACGGTAACCTAAAGCCACCAAGCCTTTTCCCTCCAAGCTCAACGTGAAAGTGTAAAGGCCTCTGCTTAGGTCTCCCCGTCTGTGGGCAGAAGTGGCCTTGGCAATGCGACCTGGAAAAGAGACTCTCAGTAAAGAGAGAACAAATTAGAGTAACGAAGTGAAGAGAGAACGTACCGGCCCCTTACCTTTTGTCCTTTATCCTTCTGAAACACAAAGACGGGCGGAGCAATGGCAGGCTTTTCTGCAAAAAGAAAAATTAGTTTTTTTCCCCCCAACACTATATGCATACAGTAAACAAAGCTACACTTGTTTGTAATATGTTAAACATATATATAAATGAAACTAGTAACTCCAGAGAACATCAAATCACTTAGAACAGCGTCTTGACTCGGATGCCTGGAGGCACAGGTGTGCTGGGTTTGTGAAATGCACCCAGAATGATGTGACGTGTGCCCTCTGCTGTATGCATTTATCATCAATAAGGAGTTTTCAAGACTCACTGAGAGCGGGCGTGTAAATGGGAGTGGGAGAGCAGCGGAGAGTGTGGCAGCGCTATTTGGCGCCATGAACTGTGACCTTGCAGGAATGTGGCACCTCCTGAATTGCAAATGTTAGAGACTAATTTAGCTTTTTAAAGTTTACAGGCCAGAGGGCAAAAAAAAGGGCCACCGCTCGCGCTGTTTGCAGACAGTTCTGGTAGAAGAATCCTAACGCTCAACCTGGATCTCTAAGTGAGTGCTGGTTGGGAGGAAAGGATGTCTGGAGTTGCTAGAGGCCTGAGAGTCCATCTTGCACAGCGGCTGAAGGAAGAAACACTCTGGGGTGTTCTGTCACTTGATGGGACAAGAGCAAGGCGGCCTGTAATGCCCACGCAACACCATCTGTCTCCTACCCAGGGGCAGCCAGATCCACAGCCCTGTGCCACTCAGCCCCGGAGTGGGTGGCAGCCCAGGAGGCCCTGCTGCCCGCACAGGAAGCACAGATGAGGACTGCCTCGACCCCACGAGGAGGCGCAGACCACACCTGCCTCATGGCCTTGGGCCTGCATGCACTTTGATGAACTCTGGGGGTGCTCCCAGGGCCTCTTTCACCATTCAGGGCACTGAGGGCCTAGCGTGGAGGCCAAGCAAGAGCAGCTGTGACTCTGGTGAATGCCTGCTGTGGGCTGCGGGCTGCGCACTGGTGCCTCCGCGTTGAGCAGGGTTTGGGAAGAGCCCTGCCTTCGCAGGCCCCCCGACCCCGGTCGTGGGGAGCCAGGCATTACCCAGGAAGCATGTGCTGCCCATGATCACGACGAAGGCACTCTGCTTGGGCATTGACCTGGTCTGCTCTGGAGTCCAGGGGAGGTCCCTGAGAAGAGGGGGCTGTGCTGGGGTCTCAAGAAGAGCTGGAAGGGAGAGCAGCAGCAGCTTGAAGTCACAGCTTGCGGGGTGATGGGGCCAGGGGCAGGCGGTGGGCATGCTGACTTGCTGGGGAAATGTCATAAAAGGCAAGGGGATGCCTGGGGTTGGTTTAGGTTGAAAGCAAACAGTTTGGGGAAGGGAGTGAGAGTGGCTGTGGGGAGACCAGGTGGGTAGTGACTGAGGTGGAGAGAAAGGGACAGCACCAAGATGACCAAACAGACACCATCCCACTCCTGCAGACGCAGGACAGACTCTGGTCTTGACCTTGGGGCATCAGTCCACAGCCAGGCAGCCCACTGATGGTGACATTCCCCCCACCATGCTCCCCGAAGCCTCGGCACACCAGGGTCTGATTCACCGTGTACAGCCAAGGCAAACACTGGAGTGAGTGGCGTGCGCGAGACCCAGGGGCTACAAGGGAGCAGGGGAGGTCAGAGGGGTCTCCAACCAGACTTCCAGGTTTCCCTAAGCAGACTTCTTGCCAACACAGCACACAGGTGCTGCTTGACAAACGTGAATGAATGCACCTATGCCAGGCAATAAATGATGTCAAAGGAATGCTGGGGGACTCTGGGACAGAGCAGCAGCGTATCCACACCATGTGTGCCACCAGGATCCTAGAGGTCTTCCGGTGCCACGCCTGTACCCCACAAGCCCAGCCCTGACCTCTGCATTTGCCTCCCTGCCAGCTGCCAGGTGACAAGATGCACAGGAAGGAGCCAGGGTTTGAGCCAGCTTGGCACTCTCCAACCCCATTTTCTTTAGGGAGCTACCCACCCCTCGTCCCCCTGTCCCCCAGTTCAGATGGAGCCAAGCTCAGCCCCAGCTCCAGGCCTGACAAGAAGAGTCCCGCATGCATCGTCTAACACATGGCACATGAACAAGGCCAGGCCTTTCGCTGGAGATCCTGGGGCTGCTGAGCTGCTGGTGAATGACCCTGAGGCTGCCAGCAATCCCATGTCACCGAGAGGGGCCTTGGACCAGAGCCAACCAGAGGTAGCAGAGTCACAGAGGGAGGGGGAAGACTAAATCTGGCCTGTGTTCGGCCCTGAGTCAAGCTTGGCCCAAAGCTAACTCTGCCCCCAGACTTTTCAGTGAAGCCAATCAGTGCTGATTTTTGCTTAAGCCAGTTTGAGCTCGATTTCTGCCCCTTGTCGCTAACAGACTCTGGCCTGAGAGAGGCGCGGTCCAGCCACTGCAGACTGAATTACACACATGCTGCACTCCAGCATCTGTGGAAGAGACCTTGGACAGGCCTCAAAGTGACGCTAAGATGCTTTCTTTCTCTTCACAGCAAGTGTCACTGCCTGATCCACTCCATATTGATGGGTTTATGGTCTGTCTCACCCATTAAGATATAAACTCCATAAGATCCGAGACTGCTTTGTTCCCCTGGGTACCCCATGGCCTGAGAACAGTACTTGGCACACTTTATGGATTCAACAAACACTTCATGAAGGGGGAGGGAAGGAGGACATTAGTGAAAATGTGAGGCGAAGACACTTGGTGCCAGGCTAGTAAGGAAGGGCTAGAAGAGAGAGAACCATTTGGATGGGAGAGGAGTGCGCGCTGGTGTTGAGAACCGTGTCGGTGGATCTGCAGGTGCACGGAAGGGACTGCAGCTATTTGAGTAACTATGGGAGGCCTGGGCAGGCTGTGGTGCCAAGGTGCTGCCCGGAGCCTTCTGGACACACGGCAGGGCTGAGGGGCATGGGCCAGGAGAGGGCCCCTCTGATGGAGCAACCCTGTCCTGTGCCTGGACATGTGACCCAGCTGGAGACAGAGGGAGGCTATGGAAGGGGACGTGAGGGTCAAGCTCTGAAAGGAGCCACCCAGAGAACAGAAAGCCAGGGTGGAGTCCAATCAGATCCTCCACAATTGCCTCCCATCTCTTGTTCCTGTACCCACCCCTGCCACCATTCAGCCCTCCTTTCCTTCTCTGCCTCTACTCTCACTCCCTTAGATCTGGCCTCCACAGAGCAGCCAGAAGCACTATCATGAAACACACACTTAAAACTGCAGTGTTGGCCGGGCGCGGTGGCTCACACCTGTAATCCCAGCACTTTGGGAGGCCGAGGTGGGGGGATCACGAGGTCAGGAGATTGAGACCATCCTGGCTAACACGGTGAAACCCTGTCTCTACTAAAAATACAAAAAATTAGCCGGGCGTGGTGGCAGGTGCCTTTAGTCCCAGCAACTCGGGAGGCTGAGCTTGCAGTGAGCCAAGGTTGCGCCACTGCACTCCAGCCTGGGTGACAGAGCGAGATTCCATCTCAAAACAAAACAAAACAAAACAAAACAAAAACTGCAGTGTCGGCCGGGCACAGTGGCTCATGCCTGTAATCCCAGCATTTTGGGAGGCCGAGGCGGGAGGATCACCTGAGGTCGGGAGTTCGAGACCAGCCTGATCAACATGGAGAAACCCCTTCTCTACTAAAAATACAAAAACTGAGCCAGGCGTGGTGGCGCAACCTGTAAGCCCAGCTACTCAAGAGGCTGAGGCAGGAGAATCACTTGAACCTGGGACGCAGAGGTTGCAGTGAGCTGAGATGGTGCCATTGCACTCCAGCCTGGGCAACAAGAGTGAAACTCTGTCTCAAAACAAAACAAAACAAAACAAAACAAAACAAAACTGCAGTGTCTCCCACAGACTAGAGGCTGAGCACCTTGAGACAGGCCACATCCAGCCACTCACCCTCCACCTCCCACTGTGGTGGCACTGAAAAGCCCGCTGTCGCTGCACGTCCCACACTTAGGGTGCACTTCTGGACTTCTGCTTGGTTTAGTCCCACTACCAAGAGCGCGTGGTTCCCCTTGTTTTCCATGGCCAGTGCTTACTCCTGCACAGACACCATCTCCTTCAGGAAGCTCCCACTGTGAGAGGCGTGCCTGCCCTGCTGCACTCCCTCCCGAGCAGGCCTTATATCCTGCCACGGGGCACGCGGAGACCACGGCCACAGCAGCTGAAACAGCCTATCACCCAGCGTACACCGCATCAACACCCTGCAATGAGTGTTTGAACTAGGCCCTCTCTCTGTCATTCATCTACACAACACCAGCTGCTACGTACTCACAAATATTTACTAAGCCCTCATTCTGTGCAGGGCGCCACAGGAAGAGTGGAGAACAGGAAGCTGAGGGCAGACGCTTCAGGAGAAAACATCTGACTGAAAGGGAGGGGCGTGTTTGCACTTGGTGACCAGGCACTGTGGAGCCCTGGCACTCCCAGAGGGGTGTGTGGTGACAGCATCTACCCCTAGATGTAAGTTCTAGAAAGTGGGGCCTCGTCTGTTCCGTTTCTCTCTGTATTCTCAGTGCCAAACACAGAGCCTCACACTTAACAGGCACTCAACCGGCAGTTAGAGGGTGAATGAAATGTCACACGCCGCAAGGACAAGGACCCAGGGAGCCATGGTCAGGGCTCTCCAGAGGAACGGAACCAAGAGGATACAGCAATAGGAGATGAACTTGGCCCATCTCGGCCCATTGGGACCCCTGCTGATGGCAGGTCTGGCATTCATGACTGACCCAGCCACTGCACTAACATGTAGAAATGAGCTTTAGTCACATCTGCACCCAAAACACAGAGCGTCAGTTACTCACGCTGCATTTCTACTCAGGCCAAAGGTTGATCAACTGCAAATCAGCACGGCTATCGCAAACAGACAAGACACACAAGCCCCATTCCAGGCAGGACCGCCCCACTGCCCCCGACCACCAGACACACGGGTTGCTGTTCGTAGCCATTCCCTATCACCAGGCTGATTCTGGCTATACCAGTGAGGAAGCAGCGTGTGAACACCGCTACCTCCAACTCAAGTTTGGGGAATGGACAGGCGGCCAGAAGTAGGGAGGCTTCAACAACCTGCTTCAATTCCTAGCCCAGCTTTTCTTTCACAGGTCAAGGGAAGATCACCACTGCAGATTTCTAGAGACCCACCATGAAGACCTTTAATATTAAAATAGGAGTCAAATGCAGACTATTTGACCCAGAATCTGTCAACCAAGTGGTTGGGTTTTTTGTTTTTGTTTTTGGTCCTGTAACATGCTCCCTGTTGAAACCTAGTTTGTAAAAAATGCAGTCTGTCTGGAGATTGACTTTACACATCCGTATATTAAGAGATTAGAAAACCAATACGAGGCACAGTGGCTCATGTTTGTAATCCCAGCACTTGGGAGGGTGACGAGGGAGGATCACTTGAGCCCAGGAGTTGAAGACCTGTCTGGGCAACATAATGAGACCCTATTTCTACAAAAAACAAACAAATAGCCAGGCATGGTGGCGCACTCCTGTAGTCCCAGCTACTTGGGAGGCCGAGGTGGGAGGACTGCTTGAGCCCAGGAGTTAGAGGCTGCAGTGAGCCATGATCGTGCCACTGCACTCCAGGCTGGGTGACAGAGTGAGACCTTGTCTCAAAAACAGAGAGAAAGGAAAGAAACTCATTTGACCAGACGCTTCTCAAAGTTATTTGACTAGGGAGTCCCCCCCATTTCCAGGGACATCCACAATGAGGCCTGAGAATGACGTTTCAAGGACCACTGTGGACAACACTGGTGTGTGAAGCGGGGGAGATTCTGAGCCCCTCTTCCTTGGACACAAGTCACCTCAAACAATGTGTGAAGTGCTCTGGCCCACCACATACTTCTTCTCTGGCCTCACCATGGCCTTCAGGGGCACTGTGCACCAAGTCCCACATGGCTGCTGCTGAATTCAGAACCCTCGTCCCATCTAGCATCCTCTACCCTGCGAACCTCCTCAGCTCACATGCCCAGACAGCACCCAGCCTGAGCCCAACAATTGTGATCCTGTGATGATCACAGACCCAGGCCAGGGAGAGTCCCCTGCTGCCCCCTGGTACCCCAGGAAAACAGCAAGGGAAGATGGCCTGGCCAGAAACTGAAAGGAGTGAGCCCCTGCTGGCATCCGGGCCCACGGTGCTGGCTCTCCCTCCCATCCCCTGCTACCCTCAACCCACTTGTGAGGCTCCGATGCAAAATGGGACCAGCTGGGATTCCCCAGGACAGGGCCGGTGTCCTGGTCCTGGTCTTTGCAGCCCCAGCGATGAGCACAGACAGGCTAAGAAGCAAGCCAGCCCCAGCACAGGAAGCTTGGCCATCTCTGCTCTCCTTTCCAACTTCTGCCAGATGTTGGGAACCCCTTAGACCTGCTTGGCCTGCCCCCCCACCTCCACCCAGTCATCCTCACGTGGCTATGGCTGTCAGGGTGCTCTGTCCCACCTAGTTGAGCCTGGGAACCACTCTGCCAGCTGCACAGAGGATGAAAAGATTCAATCCTAATATTCCCTCAGCAATTCCACACATCCCAGCACCCACTGTGCACTAAGCACTGCGTCGGCCTCTGGAGACACGTCCCTGTCTGTCTAGAGCACCCATCACACCTTATCTGAACATATGACACAGGGGAGGCACAGCAGGCCCTGGGAACATAGAGCTGGGGCTTCCAACCCAGTGAGGCTGTGAAGGGAGTGAATCAGGGAATGCTGCTGGGAGAGGGGCTGTCTGGACAGAAGGACAAGCAGCATTTGGCCACATGACCGGGAAGCACACGGCAGCAGAGTGAGGAGTGCTGGAGGAACCAGGTCAGGGTGGCACATGCAGTGGGCCTAGTACTGTGCTAATGCTTGGGACACGCCTTGGGGACAGACTGGAAAACAGGGCAGCCTGGGGGAAGAGGAGCTAAGTGGAGGTGGTAGGGTGGGGGGGGGGGTGGCACGGTGGGGGGTCACCTCCGCCCTTCCCTGGGGTCTGAGGTCTGCACATTTATACCTGCATGTGTCAGTGTAGAAGCTCCTAGGAAGGAAACTCCAATCAAATTGAAGCAGTTCCTATGACAGCTTTTTTGAGGAAAGAGCCAAAGATCTCTGCGATGAAGGTGGGGATCCTGGTGGAAGGGGGTCTCTTCCCCTGGTGGGATACAGGCTTCCTCCTGACCCTAGAGGAACTGTTCTCCTTGCAGGGGGCAGTAGGTCTCTGAGGAGGTGGGGGGCTTGAGGAGGTGGGCCCTTCCTCTAAAGCAGAAATGACCAATCTGGGACCCAGGTGGCTTGGGGGTGTGTGTGCGAAGTCCATAAAACCCTCACCCTGAACCCTGATGAAGTCACCTCTGTAATTTGGTGGACAGCATCTTTATCTAGGGAAAGGGCCCAGATACTGCCTCTTCAAAGAGTAAGGAGGGTGAAAGGAGGAGGGCGGTTTCAACAGCCCACATGTGAGAGTTAAATAGCAGGCTTCCTGGTAGCACCTCTACAAGCAGCCTCCAGGGACCAGGACTCAAAAAGGTTTTATCTGTATTTTTTCTGCCAAGAGACTGACTGGTGGCAAAACTTTGATGACAAAATGAATTCTGTGTCTATTTCAGAGGCAGCAAGGAGGGGAGAGGGTGCTGTAGAGCCCCTTGGGACAGGGTGGGTGGTGGGGGCTTCCCAGACTTAAGGAAAGGAGTGAGGTCTCTGCAGCCTACTGCAAGCAAGGAAAGGAGAAAGCAAGGAGCTGGGCTGAACCCCAGCGGTGGCCCAGGGGAGAAAGGTGAGTTTCCCAACGCTCCAGGTGAAGAAGGGTTGTAGAATCCTGTTTTACCTCTTAGACTTATCTTAGTTTCTGCCATGATATGCACAGCAAAGGCATCCACAAATGGGGTCTCCCAGACGCGTGATGGTTTCATATACGTGGCCAGCGTTCTTCGAGCACTTCTTTATGTGTTAGGTTTTATCTGCATCATGTCACCTAATCTCCACAACCACCTTAGGAGGTGGCTTACACCAACATCCTTTCACAGGAAAGGAAACGGATAATCAGGTCAAGCGACCTGTCGGAGGTGGGCCCGGGTCTTCGGGCCAGGTGGGCCGACTCTGAAGCCCCGGCCCATGCTCCTGAGTGCCACGCTCCACTCCGCTGCTGGCCAAGAACTACGTGTGCAAAAGGGAGGAGTTACCTGGACTCCAGTTTGCTTCCTCTCACCTTTTCTGTGCAGGTAGGCCTCAGAGCTACAACACATACACTCTTCCCTTTAGAGAAATGACAGCAGGAATAAAGTAGCTGTCAGTTGCTGTTCTGGATAAGCACCTATGGAGGAGCACGAACCAAACTAGGGGGCTAGTCATGAGTTCCGGGGTCAGTGAAAGGCTTCCCACAGGTCACATGACCACCTGCCTCAGCCAACACAGTGTGTGATTATCCCAATGGCTGATCCCCGACAAGACTGCAATCCTTTAAGGTTGTCAAGACAAGGATCAAAGACACATTCCAAGGCACACACTCAATGGTGACACAAGCTGCTTTCTGTCTTCATCTGTCAAATGTTCGGCCCTGGAATGCTTTGCGTAATATATTCAGAATCTAAGCTGACAACACACACACTCTCGCCTCCGCCTCTCTCCTCTTCCGTATAAACTTTCTTTCCTCACTGCTGCAGAGAATAATTTACAAAGAAGCAAGGGCAGCCCTGCCTTACAGTAAGCTTTGCTTCCCCACCAGCCCATGGCTGTCTCCAGCCTGTCATGGAGGATCTCCCGCTAAAACTAAATAGAAGAAACTACGTAGGCCTGGGAAAACACATATAAGAGAGAATCTGGAATATCTTTGCTTTTTCTGTTTATTCGCCTCCTGACTGATGACTCCAATACCTGCCAAGAAAATGCCCTCATCTAGAAAGCAATTGAGAACTCCTGACCAAACTGTCAGCAAGGTACTTGCATAAAATTAGCTTTAATCCTGGGCTGATATGTCTTAATCTTCTTACCTGTGAAAAAAATATGGAAAGCATCTCGCCAACACAAATAACAGTCTATTAAAATGTGGCAACTCCTGTAATCTGGTGACACGATCACAACCCTTCAAGTCATTTATTTTTTCAGAAATTATTATAAACAGTTCTGTGCCACAGCACAAAGGTAAATCTGTCACTGACGTGTCAGGTCTGTCCTCCAACTGATTCTTTGGTACGGAATGGAACTGATCTCAAACATGCAGTTGCTAGGTGATGCCTCTGCGGATCTCCGTGTATAGCATGCTCGGGTTCTCCAGCCCAGCTAGTGGAAGGCGGTGGGACCCTGGATGACTCCGTTCTTTTCTCAATACTCGAATATATTTCTATAACTTTCAACTGGTCTCATGGAGATTATGGGGACACACTTTTTGGAGCTGATGATATCCTACATTTTATGTACTTCTTTCTGGAATGCTCATCATCTTGGCATTACCTTCAACTACCGAACTCCAAGCCAACTTCCAACCACTCTCATCTCACCACCAGATACTTACACTTCCAACAAGCATTGCAGGGGCAACAGGCATTTGTTAAAAGGCCTTTACTGGACTCCGAGGTAGGTACTTTACATATCTAGTCTCATTCATCATAGACGCATCCCCATGACATCCTCCTCATATCCCACTCCACCCCATGAGGGCCAAGCCACATTCTGCCTTCTTTATTTCTACCTTTATCAGCCCTGCAGCCAAACCCTTCTAAGCTTCCACTCCTGCGCCACCCAGACCGTAAGCCCCGGGGGGCAGAACTTGCACTTCTGAACAGAAACCCCATAAAGTTATACAAAGTCAGCAACTCTGCCTACAACTGTATGGATGGCTGGGTTCAGTGGCTCATGCCTGTAATCCCAGCACGTTGGGAGGCCGAGGCATGTGGATCACTTGAGGAAAGGAGTTTGAGACCAGCCTGGGCAACATGGTGAAATCGTGTCTCTACCCAAAATACAAAAATTAGCTGGGCCTGGTGGGATATGTAATCCCAGCTACTCGGGAGGCTGAGACCCAAGCATCACTTGAACCCAGGAGGTGGAGGTTGCAGTGAGCTGAGATAGCACCACTGCACTCCAGCCTGGGCGACAGAGTGAGACTCTGTCTCCAAAAAAAAAGAAAAGAAAGAAAAAAGAAAAAACTGCGTGGAGAGATGGAGGATCCAGCTTTAACGGCACTTTTCTGTTCCGCCACTAGGTGGTGTGACACCAACACAGCTGAGGCAACATGCAAGTGGCTGAAGACTCGGGAAAGTTCCAGTAGAGACAACAGGAATCCCCTCCTCTCTACACGGAAGCTTACAGGAAGGAAATCCAAGAACTACAGAATTTATGCTGAGGCAGCAGAGCAAAACTGATGATACTGGAGAGCGCGGGCTCTGGTCTTTGTGTGTGTTCAAACCTGCCCTGGCCACTTACTTGCGGTTGGGATCCCAGATAAGACAATGTACCTCTGGCACAATGTCTTCATTTGCATATCAGGGCTGTTATTTCACCCCAGGCAGCTTCGGCAAGGATGAAATGAAATGCTGCACATGCCGTGTTTGGGGAAGTGGTTGGCACACAGGATGATTCCACACTGGCACTGGTAGCATTATTATGCTCGGAAGATTGCAAACATATTGATGCCACCTTAAAGCATAGGCCTTGGATTCAAGGACAGCTGCCAGTGCCCGGCAACGACAAATGCGTCAGAGTCTGACCCCTTTTAGGGGGTGGAATGGTTGGATCCAAGAGCTGCCTGGACGCCTGGGACACTCAAGGCAAACGCTCAGGTGCTCGGAATGCCTGAGCCCTTCTGAGGTCACAGGAAACAGGTGGGATCTGAAGGCAGGCCGAGCCGAGCAGCCAAGCCTTGCTCTCACCAGCAGGATCTACCAAGCACAGACTTGTGCTAGGCACCGAGCTTGCCACTGGAGACAGGAAAGAAATGGCAGACAAGGCCGCAGCTCTCTACTGGGAAAGAGAAAACAAACAAGTACCTGCTGTGTGCAGAGATAACTGGGTAGTTCTGGAGCTGGGTGCTGCAGAGAAAATACCACAGGATGGTGGGAGAGAGTGAGTGAATGGGTAAGGCCTCGCTGAAGCTCACACATGAAGGGTGAGCAGGGATGAGCCAGGTGAAGGCAGGGGATCCCAGGCAGAGGGGACCCCAAGTCAAAGGTTCTAAGGAAAGGAAGAGCCTGGAGGCCCATGTTTGGAGGGGAGGAGAACGGGAAGGGCTGGGTGGAGCCCACAGGACGTTCAGCCTTGCAGGCCATGCTGACAAATCTGGATTTATCCAGTGTAAAGGTTGGGGCCCAGGCTCTGGACTCTTAGGACCCAGTGGCCATCACCATCAATGCTGCAAAACATCCTCTCTCCTCTGAGCAGAGGGTAACTGCCTGTTTTCTCACCCTCTCCCCCAGAGAAAGGCAAGTTCTCAAGGACCGTTTCCACTCACGCTCTGCTCTCACAGATGCAACGCAGGAATTAATTCTGGGTAAATAAGTTCCCAAAATTCTCTGTGGCAAACCTGGGGGAGTTTAATTTAGCAAAGGCATTTTAAACTTACTGCAAAAGGCAAGGCCTGCCTTCTAAACATGTGTATGGAGTAACTACTACTGTCTCTAGAATTTCCTCCCTTTCTTTGAACACCATAAACAGCGACAGCGAAATGCAGTGCCCTACGCGGGTCAGTTTTCAGGGGTGAACGAGTGCCCATTACCTAGAGTTTACTGACTCACCGGGAAGGACAAGCATGAACTCCTAGACTCCATGGCTGGAGACAGGCGCACTGGCCCTAGCCAGCCCTACCTGCTTCCATGGCCTCGGGCTTCAGCCCCTGTGAAATGGTGCAGCCAGGACTCAGGCATCCCTGAAGGTTCTTCCCAGCCCTTACATTCTGTCAGGTCCTCACCCTGGACCAGAGGCAGTGTTAAAGGTCAAGGAAAAGACTGTTCTTCCTGAAGAGGGATATGATGTCCATTGAGGCCTACTCAGCTGCCAAAAGGCCAGAATAGAAAAATAAGGTTGGGAGGAAGGGCCTTAAACTCTAGCTGGCAATTAATTTATTCCTGGGTAGGTTCCTTTGATCCTATGACCAGTGGTTCTCACCCAGGAGTAACTTCATCTCCCTGGAGACACTGGTCAAAATCTGGAGACATTGTGACTGTCATGTTTGTGGGGGTGTGGAGGAAACTGTTACAGACATCTAGTGGATGGAGACCAGGGATGCTGACCAACATCCTAGGAGGCTCAGAACAGTGCCCTACCAGCAAGTGACCCAAGTCCAAATGTCAACTGAGCTGAGGGCAAGAAACCTTGCATTAATCTTGGGCAAAAAAATTGAGCTGGATCTCTAACTCACATTATACACCAAAATAAATCCCCAATAGATTAGATGGCACAAACCAGGGTGACCCCCCACCCTGGCTTCTGGGATTCACCGCCTCTCTCCCTCCCCACTCAGACTGTGGCTTTAAATGTGTACAGGCTCCTACGACCTCAGTAGGTTAGATAACTATGGAACACAAAGTCTCTTGGGTGTCAATGAAATCCCATAACCCAATGGTTCTCAAGTGGGGGCAATTCTGACATTAAGGGGACACTGGACAGTGTCTGGAGACCTTTTATCTTCTCATGACTGGGAGTGGATGGGTGGGATGACTGGGTGCTATGGCATCACATGAGTAGAGGCTAGAGGGGCTACCCAACATCCTCCAAAGCACAAGATGGCCACCACCAGCCCCAATGTCAAGAATACTGAGGTGGAAAAACCCTGGTATAACTCACAGGGTGCTTTCTCTCTACTCAGGCATCCAATTAGGAGAATCACAGCTAGAAGTAACTGACATGTATCTCCACATTCCAGTAGGTCAATTACCAGAAGTATATTCTCTCTCACACCACAATCCTCAGACTTGCGTATCATCGTTCCCATTTTACAGATGCAAGAGCTAAGGTCAGACAACTTGCCCATGTTTCTAGGGCAGAAGGCAAGACACAAACCAAGGACAGCCAATCCAGGTGCTTCCAACCATGCCACAAGTTGCCAATGGGAACCTGCTGGTCAGCTCTGGTTTAGAATTCTCCCGATGTTGGCAAGGCAGCGGAGAAACCCACACTGTACACTGAGGCTCTGCTAGCACATGCCAGTGGTTCTCAAATTTCCTGGTCTCGGGACCCTTTTCCACGCTTGTCAATGACTGAACATCCCCAAGAGCTTTTGGAAATGTGGGATGTAGCTACTACTGACACCATATTAGAAATGAAACCTAAGACAATTTCAAAATACTTAAGATTATAATAAACTCCAGAAAGGTTTAGTTAAATAACATATTTTTATGAAAAATAAGTATTTAAAAAAATCTGAGAAGAGTGGCATTATTTTACATTTTGACAAATGTCTTTAACGTCTGACTTAATAGAAGATAGCTGAATTCTCTCTCTTTTTTTTTTATTAAAGAGAGGGGCTTTGTTGCCCAGGCTGGCTTTGAACTCCTGGGCTCAAGAGATCCTCCCACCTCAGCCTCCCAAGTAGCTGGGACTGCAGGTGTTTGCCACTGTGCCCGGCCTGAATTCTCTTATCTGCTTCTATAGTTCATCTGTTGGCATATCACACATCCAATAACCTCTGGAAAAAAACTCCACTGTCCATTTTCAAGTGAATAAGAGTGAAAAAAGAGCAGATAGTGTCTTTGTGTTGTTATGAAATAGTTTTGAACTTGCAGTCCCCTTGAAAAGGTCTTGGGGACTGCAGGGCCCCGGACCATCTTTGAGAACTGCTGCCATATGCTATCTGAGTTCTAGCATTCCAAGGACACTAAATCCTAAATTACAGACCATGAGGTGCTTTATGCTAAGGTTCTAGCTAAAGAGCACTCTAAGTGTAGAGAATGCAGAGTCTAGGAGTCTGTATAATAGGATTGAAACCCAAATACCAACCAAGGTCACAGGCACTGGAAGAGAAGGAAGTGGGCTAGGCCCCAAGTAACATGGCGGAGACCACAATATCCAATCTAATCTATCCACAGGCGCAGCTGTTCCTTAGCACTGAAAAATCACTGCTGTGCAAGAATGCAGGCCAAGGGTGGTTGCTGTTTTCTGAGAGAAATCAGAAATACAATTTTTTTCCCCTCTGAAATCTCAGAATTTTAAGTGTTGGCTCCTAATTACAAACAAAAACCTAAATGGGCCAAATTAAATATGTCTGCTTGCCCTTCAGGCAAGTTTGCAACTTCTGCCTGTGGTTTTCAACTCTGGCTTCATGTTGTTAAACATCTGTGGAGCTCTTTAAAACCACAGACACCCTAGAACTCCTGGAACCATCTCCAATGGTGCAGCCCAGGCAGCAGTTTTGATTTTCCCTGACAACCTCCTTAAACAAGTGTGAAGCCCATCCAGGGCTGAGATCCATAGCTAGTGCTGTGTGGCAGCTCTAAGTGCCAAGACTACTGAGGAGGAAGCAAACTGTGGACATGTGGAAGGTGGTGGTGAGGAGCTTTACCCTGATGTCCCAGGCCACGTTATTCTCTACTGCGTAGGGCAGAGTCAAACAGAACACCGCTCCACCAGGACCCCCTAAAACAAAGAAAACATCACCACCAGACCCTGAATAGATAATGATGCAAGCCCAACTGCCTCACGATTGCTTCAAAGTACCATGGAGAGCTACCAAATGCCCAGCCAAGCCAATACCAGCCATCTCGGCAGTTTTGTGGTCCTCTGGTAAGTTTTGAGGAACGGCGCTCTCTTCTCAGATTCCCCAAATGCATCTCAACTTTCCCCAAATGGCCTTCGTCTCCCACTACACCCAGGCCTATTCACTGTCTGAACTCACGTAGGAGGGCAGAATTCAACCCCCCTTCTCCACCCCAAGCTCCTCCAAATGCCACTCGAAGCTCACCCCATTCCTGCTGCTTCTGCTCACTCTGACCACCTCAGAGGAGGAGCACACACCAGACCCAGGTTGACCCTAACACCTAATGAATGCACGAGGGTGCCGGGAAAATCCCATTTTCTGGTAAACGGAGAGGCAGGCTGAAGGCTTGTTTGAAACATTTTGCAGAAGCCCAGTGAGGGCTTTTCTGTCTATACGCAGGATCCTGGGCAAAATGGAAAGTCTCTTCAAAGAGTATAAAGATTTTGCAGCCTGGATACCCCTTGGGTACCATCAGGCCCCTTCTGCTACAGATACAGGAGGCACAGTGGAGGTGAAAGCACACATTCTGCTCTAAGCAAAAATCCCAGAATTAGTTTTTATAATAAATTCACGAGAAACTTTCCAAAAGTTGTTTAAGATAGGTTCCAACTATTTCAGTTCTAGCTAACCAATAAAAATTCAGTTGCATCTCACCCTCTCAGGGGCTAGGTTTTAAGTCAACAAGGTGCAAGCTGAGAGAAGCCAAACCACCCTCAAAAATCTCTCGACTCATACCTGGTCAGGCTTTTAAATCAGTAGTTCTCAACTGAAAGCAACTCTGCCCCCGGGGGGACACTGGGACGGAGACATTTCCACTGTCATGACTGGCGGGGATGAGGAGGGGGATGTGCTATTAGCATTTAGTGGGGTAGAGGCCAGGGATCCTCATTAAGATCCTACAGTGCACAGCGCAATCGCCCACAACAGAGAATTACCTGGCCCCAGATGTCTGTAGTGCTCAGGCTGGGATCCCTGAGATCACTAAGTGACAGGCAGGACAGAACTTAGGAGGACCCAGAGCCCAGGCCCTGCTGGTCTTCTGCCAGGGGCTCAGCCCAGGGCCAACTCTGAGTGGGGCAGGTTCACCCACACAATGGAGACTTTGCTGAACCCTTCAGCTGAATGTGTCCAGAGCAGAGTGCACTGTAGTAAAAACAGTGACCTGAGTGTTTATTACTATGAGCAGAGACTGGTGCTAAACAATGTATGTGCACTCATTCCTTCAATGCTCACAGCAACCACGAGGTGGGTGTGGTTACCATTATTCCCATTTTATTGGTGTGGAAACGGGGGGCTCAAAGAGGTTAAGAAATTTGCCCCAAATGACTCAGAGTGGACAGCGGAGTTAAAACACAAACCCAGCTCTCTGAGGACCAAAGCCTGTGTCCCCACCATCGATACCAGTGAGTCTCTCACCTGGGGGCGATTCTGCAGCCTCCCCACCCCCACTCCCCAGGGGCTGTGTCAGGAGACTTCTTCTGTTGTCATGACGACCCCGCGAGTGAGGGGAGGTGTGTGCTACTGGCATCTAGTGAGTAGGTCCAAGGATGCTACCGTGCTGCTAAGGATCCTGCAACGCACAGGACAGCCCCTCCCGCCAAAGAGAGCCATCAAAACGTCAACTGCACCACACAAAGGTGAGAGCCCTGCTTCACACTGTCTCCCGGGTTTCCACCACGCATGTCCACAGGCCAACAGGGCCTTTCATGTCAGGATCTAGAATCCAAGATTCCCTGGAGTTCAAATGTGCTTTGCTCACCCTCTTTCCAGTCTTCTTTACCTTTGCCAGGGACAAAACTCTGCCTTCAAATCCTGATGTCAGCCTACAATGCAGCATAACCCTAGAGACAGGATGAGTAATGAGTCTGGGAGGTATCAATGGGGAAATGCCAAGCAGGGGAGACTTATCCCTGGATGCAAGGGTGAAACATGCACACACACTGTCTGAGAGGAAAAGCACTCAGGTGGACTTTAAAAGTCCCAGACCACAGGAAGGGCTGTGAGAGTTGCTGTCACCATCCATGAGGCGTTCACCATGGTGACGAGGGCCAACAAGATGCTTTACACAACAGAAAACATTTCCTCGTATACAAGCAGAGGACACCTACCCTCTACTACTCAAACCAGCGGGTCTCAACCCTGCCTGCACATGAGAATCACCTGTGCTGCCACCTGTACAGAGGCCCAGAACCCACCCAACACCAGAGAGAATCGGAATCTGCAGGGCGTGGCGACTGAGCATCTGCGGTTTCAGGAAAGTTCCCCAGGGGGTACTGATGCCCAGCCGGGTGGACAGCCGCTGCTCAGCCTGACACAGAGGTGGGACTGGCCCAGAGAAGAGAGATGGCAAATGGATGGAGGAGGGACTGGGTGTGAGGGTGGAGCAACTTATGATCTCAGTCTGGAAAGGCAGAAGCCAAGAGGGCATTTGACTAGAGCTTAAACAGCAAGAACAAACACGTGACCATGGGGCAGCCCCTAAAGCTTCAAAAGGCACAGGCAAGGAGGCCCCACTTTACACAGTGAATAACAAATTAAACATCCTGGCAGGCTGTACAAGCCAAAACCAGAAATGGAGTGTTCAAGAAACACACAATGACTGATTGAAGGACGGCAGGGATATATGAGGCACAAAGTCCACCAAGATTTGATTTCCTGAGGACAGTTATCCCAGAACTAGCGTCAGGGACAACGTGCTAGGTGAGTGTGGCACTTACTAGGGAAAAAAAGTGAAGTTCAAAACATTCCATTTCTCTCTTTGGCCCTTACCAGTTCAACTATCCCATTTACAACCAATAGCTCATGTGGACAGCATATGCTAGAAACAGTATCCCCTGGAAAAGGGCAAGCCATAATTTCCCCTTTGTGCTCAAATGTATTCCTCACAACAGGGTCCTCACTGGTGAATTCATTCATTCATGCATTCATTCATTCAACCAATATTTCCTGTGTACCTACTCTGTGCCAGGCACCGTTCTAGATGCAAGGGGGCAATCAGTGATCATAACATAAAAATCCCTGACCTCATGGAGCTTACATGGGGCAAACATGCATGTAATATCTAGCATGCCGGATTGTTAAGAGCTATACAGGAAAATCAAGCAGGGTGAACGGAATAGAGAACATGGATTTAATTTGAAATAGGTGGCCAGAGAAGCTCTCATTAATAAAGTAACATATATGAGTAAAAACCAGAAGAAGTGAGCCATGGGGGTATCTGGGGGAAAACTGTTTCAGTTAGAGGAATCAGCAGGAGAAAAGGCTAAAAGCGGGGAGTGTATGCAACATTCAAGGAAAACTGAAAAAGCCAGAGTAGTTAGCACAGAGCAAGGCAGCAGAGAGTGGCGAGAGAGAAGGACAGGGACATATTGGGGCCCACTATGGGCTGAGAAGTTCTCAGATGGGTAAGGGTGGAGGGAACGGGGGCTAAGCATTGACGGTGTTGGTGGGGAGAAGTGGTGGTCCCCCTTTGGGAATAATTTTAAGGTAGAAATGATAGTATTTGCTGTGCAGTATGAGAAAGAGGGAAACCAGGGGTGACTTCAAGGTTTGGGGCCAGAAGAATTCAAAGAATGGACCTGCCTAACTAACTACAATGGGTGAAAGACCATGGGATGGGCAGGTGTAGTGGGGGAGATAAGGATTTTGTTTTGGAAACGCTCTAGACTTACCTATGACACATCCAAATGGAGATGTCGAAATGTGATGCTGGACATGAGTCCTGAGTTCAAGAAGCTATGTGGGCTCAGGATGTAAATACATAAAATATGTCATACTGATTCCCACTTACCCAGTCCCTCTGTAACTAGATCTCATGAGTTGGAATGCTGCAACCCTCCATGGGCTCCTTTATCTTAAAAAAAGAGATGTAGCAGCCGGGTGCGGTGGCTCACGCCTGTAATCCCAGCACTTTGGGAGGCCGAGGCGGGCAGATCACGAGGTCAGGAGATGGAGACCATCCTGGCCAACATGGTGAAACCCCGTCTGTACTAAAAACACAAAAATTAGCTGGGTGTGGTGGTGCGCGCCTGTAATCCCAGCTACTCGGGAGGCTGAGGCAGGAGAATCACCTGAACCCGGGAGGCGGAGATTGCAGTGAGCCGAGATGGCGCCACTGCACTCCAGCCTGGCTACAGAGCTAGACTCCGTCCCAAAAAATAAAATAGAATAAAATGGCCAAGAATCAGGGAGAGAACCTGTGCTGCTGCCTGTACAGATGCCCAGCGCCCGCCCAACACCACACAGAATCAGAATCTGCAGGGACTGAGCACCCGTGGTCTGGCATCTGAAGCCAGGCCATCTTGGTTCACATCCCTGCTCCTTCCCAGCTGTGTGACACGCCTTGGATAAGCGACTTAACCACGTTGACTCAGTCTCCTCATCAAGTGAATGGGGCTAACAGTATCTATACCTCCTACCAGGGAAAACAGTATGTCAAGACTTTGCACCACACCTGGTAACTACCCTAAATGCTCCACAAGACCAAGCACTTCCTATCATCATTCATTCATTACTGCAATTCGGTAGGGAAAACCCTCCAGTCACAGGGAGCACCGAATGGGGGAATCAGAGCCAGACAGGTAGAGAGCTTGCCTGCATTTGTGCAACTAGAAAAGGGGGGGAGCTAAAAATAGGCCTCAGAAGTCTTGAAGCTACAGCGATGGCAACACGACTATGGATGGAAGCAGACATCAGCCTTATGGTGCCTTCTCGGGGGATCTGGAAGTGTAACCTTGTCAAAAACACTCAGGTGGGCTGTCAGCGCTCCACAGAGGAGGGACTCGCACGGTCTCTTGTCTGGAAGTGCAGCAAAAAGGGCCAAAGAGCAGCCAGGGTTTTCGGCGGCCCAGATCCTGCGGCGGGGCCTAAATGAGGGGGAGACGAAGCGCCCCGAAGGATCCGGGGGGAACTGGCGGGAAGTGGGGGCCGAAGTTCGGGGCGGGGACGGGGTGAAAACGGCCTGGGCTTCCTCCGTCCGCGGTGTGCGGCTGGCCCGCGGAGGACGAGGGCCTCACGGGCTTAGGAGATAGGCAGCCAGGCCGGGGAAGGGGAGATGCCGGGTGGCGGAGGACGAGGGGGCGGGGAGGGAGCGTGGCGCGCTCCGGGCCACAACCAGGCCCTAAGGTCTATTTACATCCGTGGCCGAAGCACTGGGGCCGCGCCTCCCGCCCCCTTCAGCCCCGAGCTTGGCTGCGACGCAGAGGGGCCTTAGGGCTGCGATCCCGATGGCCACCCGGCTCCTCTAGCCAGACGGCTGCAGTGGCTGGGGTTGCCGGGAGTGATGGGCCGGGCCGGTGAGCCCGGCCTGAGGGGACGCAATAGGGGGCGGCTGCAAGGCCCGCCACGGCGCTAGCCTGGAGCGGACGAAACCCTTGCACTCTGCGGTGCTCCCCCCAAGGGCTTGTGGCCCCTAGTCCTCCCGCCGCCCGTTCCCCGGCCGCCAGCCGGTCCCCAACGGCGCCTCCCCTACCTTCGTTCGCCAGGTCCGCCATTTTACTTCCTTAAGCCCTCCCACAAGGCCCCGCGCCGGCCCAGGCTCGCCTGCTTTCTGCCAGAAACTCCCGCGCGTGCGCACTTAACAAGCCGACTCCGTGTGAGGCGGCCAGCTCGCGCCTGCGCGCTGAATGCCGCGCGGAGGCGAGCCCCGGATCGCCTGCCCTGCAGAGCAGCCTGCCCTGACGAGCCGCGCTCCTAGCACGCACCTGCGCACGAGCCATCTCCCGCCTCCTTTTCCCGCCGACTGAGAGGGCGGGGAAAGGGCCGGGAAGGGCGCATGCGCAGTGGCAGCGACTAAGGTTTAGTGAGGCGGCACCGCGCGGCCCGAGGCGGGTCTTGAAGCACTCGTTTTCCCACTCGTTTTCCGGGGTTCCCCCGCGGTGGGACAGTGAGCAGTTCAGGGCGCCGCAGCCGAGGCCTTCCTCCAGGTAAATCGCCGGGCCTGCGGGGGCTTCCCACACGCGCGGGCGGGAGACGCGTTGCCTCCTACCTCAGTTTACCCGCCTTAGGAGCCGGTACCTTCGGCAAACGCTTTCCTGAAACCACGGGGGAAGTGGCGAGAGGGCGCGGGGTGCTTGGGATTGGGGGGTAAATCAGAGCTCATCGGCGGGGGCGGGGGTCGTGGTCAGGCTCTAGGAGGGGGCGCAGCCCTGGGACCCAGGTGCTGGCGTTGGGGGCGGGGGGAGCCGGCGCGAGGGACTCGACCCCTCGGAGCTACGAGAATCAACTTCACAAGCTCATGGGAGGGGAACCGCGCGCCTCCAGGTTACCCATCTGTAAAATGGGACCATCAGCCTCACTCACAAGGCTCATGGGAGGGTCCTGGACACCCTGGAGTTGTTCTCTACTCACCTGCTATGAATCTCTCAGCAAATCCTTCGGACTTGGCCTTGCCTCCAAAATACAGCCCAGAGCCACCCATTGTCACCCCCAGGCTGTCACCACCCTAGGCCACATCGTCCGTATCTATCTCATGGAAGACTTGGACAGCGGCCTCTCTGCTATCCTTTGCTGCATTCTTTTGAAGCCCCAGGCTTGGTTCTGCACATGGCCGCAGGCTGAGGAGTCTTTGAAAAATATAATCAGCCAGACGCGGTAGCTCACCCCTGGAATCCCAGCACTGCGGGAGGCCAAGGTGGGAGGATCGCTTGAGCTCAGTTCAAAACCAGCCTAGGCAACAGAGCAAGACCCCATCTCTACAAAAACACAAAAATTACCCGGATGTGGTGGTGCAAGCCTGTGGTCCCAGCTACTTGGGAGGCTGAGGCAGGAGGATCACTTGAGCCCAGGAGGTTGAGGCTGCAGTGAGCTGTGACAGTGCCACTGCCACCATCCTAGGGACACAGCAAGAACCTCCCCCATATATATACACATATATACTTTGTTTTTATCTATATATATACACACAGATATATACATACACGTGTGCATATATATGTGTGTGTGTGTATATATATATATATACACATAGACTGAAAATGGAAATATCAAGGCCACTCAGTGCTTCCAGAGGGCTCTCAGCTGAACTTGGAATATCCTAAACCTTGTATTCAGGTTTATGAAGTCCCCTGAACTTGGCTCCCATGCCCTGCTTTGTTCCCCCTTGCTCATTGCTGTTCAGCCGCGTGGGTCTTTCCATCCTTGGAGCACAAGCTCATTCCAACCTAAGGGTCTTTGCACTTGGTCGTCTCTCTGCCTGGGACCTTGTGTTTCAGGTCTTACCTAGGTTGGAGTCCCAGCTCTGCACCTTTTTGAGTATGATCTAAAAGAGAGCGAGGAGTACTACAATCTGTGGGCCAGATATAGTCTATGAGCTAAAAATGGTTCCTCCCTCCCTCCCCTTGTTCCCTCCCTCCCTTTCCTTCCCTTCCCTTTCTTTTATTTATTTTGGAATCTAACTCTGTTGCCCACGCTGGAGTGCAGTGGTACAATTTCGACTCACTACAACCTCCGCCTCCCGGGTTGAAGTGATTCTCCTGCCTCAGCCTTCTGAGTAGCTGGCATTACAGCTGTGTACTACTATACCCAGCTAGTTTTTGTGTTTTTTTGTGGAGACAGGGTTTCACCATGTTGGCCAGGCTGCTCTCGAACTTCTGACCTCAGGTGCTCTGCCCACCTTGGCTTCCCAAAGTGCTGGGATTACAGGCATGAGCCACCGCGCCTGCCGATTTTTTTACATTTTTAGCTGGTTGGGAAAAAAAATACCAAAAGAAGAATATCTATTGATGTGAAAATGGTGTGAAATTTACATTTCAGTGTCTGTAAATAAAGTTTTATTTGAAAACAGCCAATGCTTACTCATTTATATATTGTCTCTGGCTACTTTTGAGCTGTGACATTAGAGCTAATTTTTTTTTTTAACAGAAACTTTTTGGCCAACAAAACTTAAAGCATTTACTGTTTGTGTCTTTACAGAAAAAGTTTGCCAGTTCCTAATCCAGGACACATGTATTTACATGGTTGTTAAACTTTTCTGAACAGCCAGTGGGATGTGGTAAATATTTAACAGCAGCTTCTCTGGAAGAGAATGTATTCGTTAGTATGTATTTATGTGTGTGTATATAGTTTATTGTAAATTTTACTTATTTTTCTATCACTTTCTTAAGACCACAAGACAATTAATAAAACAAATTGAACCCTGTTTTGTAGCGTCTGCTGATTTTCTGGGTGTGAATCCTTCAGCCATGGCCTATATTGTTACTAATGGGATGTCACTAGCACCAGAGTTGGGAGGACATGCGCAGTAGTAGCACACCAGATTCTTTTTTTTTTTTTTTTTTTTCTTTTGAGGCAGAGTCTCGCTTTGTTGCCCAGGCTGGAGTGCAGTGGCGCGATCTCAGCTCACTGCAACCTCTGCCTCCCGGGTTCAAGCGATTCTCCTGCCTTAGCGTCCCCAGTAGCTGGGATTACAGGCGCTCACCACCATGCCTGGCTAATCTTTGTATTTTCAGTAGAGACTGGGTTTCACCATGTTGGCCAGGCTGGTTTCGAACTCCTGACCTCAAGTGATCCACCCACCTCGACCTCCCAAAGTGTTGGGATTACAGGTGTGAGCCACTGTGCCCGGCCACACACCAGATTTTTTTCAAGAACCTGACTTTCAGCCGGGCGCGGTGGCTCACGCCTGTAATCCCAGCACTTTGTGAGGCTGAGGCAGGTGGATCACGAGATCAGGAGTTCAAAATCAGCCTGGCCAGCACAGTGAAGCCCCGTCTCTACTAAAAATACAAAAAATTAGCCGGGTGTGGTGGCAGGCGCCTGCAATCCAGCTACTCGGGAGGCTGAGGCAGGAGAATCACTCGAACCCGAGAGGTGGAGGTTTCAGCGAGCTGAGATCGCACCACTGCACTCCAGCCTGGGCAACAGATGAGACTCTGTCTCAACAACAACAACAACAACAAAAACCTGCTACTTTCTCAGTGTGTCCCCACACCAGCAGCATCAGCATGACCTGGAAGCTTATTAGAAATACACAATCTGGGCTGGGTGCGGTAGCTCACGCCTGTAATCCCAGGACTTTGGGAGGCCAAGGCGGGTGAATACTTGAGGTCAGGAGTTCAAGACCAGCCTGACCAACATGGTGAAACCCCGTCTGTACTAAAAAAATAAGAAATTAGCCAGGTGTGGTGGTACACGTCTGTAATCCCAGCTACTTGGGAGACTGAGGCAGGAGAATTGCTTGAACCCAGGAGGCGGAGGTTGCAGTGAGCCAAGATCACACCATTGCACTCCAGCCTGGGCGACAGAGTGAGACTGTCTCAAAAAAAAAAAAAAAAAAAATACACAATATGGCCAGGCGTGGTGGCTTACACCTGTAATCCCATCACTTTGGGAGGCTGAAGTGGGCAGATTGCTTGAGCCCAGGAGTTCAAGACCAGTCTGGGCAACATGGTGAGATCCTGTCTCTGCAAAAAATTAGCTAGTTGTGGTGGTGTTCACGTGTAGTCCCCAGCTACTCAGGAGGATGAAGTGGGAGGATGGCTTGAGCCCAGGCGTTGCAGGCTGCAGTGAGGTAGGATGGCACGACTGCACTCCAGGCTGGGCTACGGATTGTGACCTTGTCTCTAAAGAAAACGGTTAATTTGAAACTTCACACCTGTAATCCCAGCACTTCGGGAGGCTGAGGCAGGCAGATCACATGAGCCCAGGAGTTCAAGACCAGCCTGAGTGGGCAACATGGCAAAACCCTGTCTCTGCCAAAAATAGAAAAAATTAGCCAGGCGTGGTGGCACACACCTGTAGTCCCAGCTACTCAGGAGGCTGAGGTGGGAGGATTGCTTGAGTGCGGGAGACGGTGGCTGGAGTGAGCTGAGATCACGCCGCTGCATTCCAGCCTGGGCAACAGAGTGAGACTGCGTCTCGAAAAAAACCAAAGAAAGAAATTCTCTAAGAGTAGCTCGAATGTCAGTCCCCCTGGTCACCCACAGTGTGTAGAATTCAGGTCATCTGTCATTCCTGGGGTGTTGGTTTCATTATTTTCAGGTTTCCCCAAACTTCTCTTGGGTAGGTCTTCTCAGCCTTTACCATATCTGCACGGTGTGACCTTTCATGAACTTGATACTTTTCTTTTTTTTTTTTTTTTTTTTTTTGAGACGGAGTCTCGCTCTGTCGCCCAGGCTGGAGTGCAGTGGCGGGATCTCGGCTCACTGCAAGCTCCGCCTCCCGGGTTCACGCCATTCTCCTGCCTCAGCCTCCCAAGTAGCTGGGACTACAGGCGCCCGCCACTACGCCCGGCTAATTTTTTGTATTTTTAGTAGAGACAGGGTTTCACCGTTTTAGCCGGGATGGTCTCGATCTCCTGACCTCGTGATCCGCCCGCCTCGGCCTCCCAAAGTGCTGGGATTACAGGCATGAGCCACCGCGCCCGGCCGATACTTTTCTTTTGGTTTAAATTTACATTAAACAGATACTTCGTATCACCGTTTAAAATGGAAAACCACTAAGCCATGAGTAGACCATTGTAAAAGCAAACATGAAAATGAAACAATGTTTTCACATTCAAAGTAGATACTGTCGCCTGCCAAGGTGTTGGGCCTGCTTTTTCTTTGATACAAAGGGAGATTAGCAAAGTATTAGAGCGTTATTGAAGAGGCTTCAGCACTTGGCGGAAACTTCCTTCCTGATGTGATGAGAAGGAGTGAAAGAGAATTGAAAACGGGCTAACATAATCTATGTTATTCATTGTCGTTTAACGCCATGTCTACATGTCGCCTAAAGTCATGTCACACACCACATTCATCCCACACTTTGGGAAACTCGCAGCACCATGTCATCACTTGCTAAATAGAATCCAGTCGTGGCTTTTCAGGGGACACTGAGACACGCAAAACCTGTCAGGCTGATGAGCCAAGGACGTTTCCAGTGGTTTCGCAAGCCTCCTCCAAGTGTTGATGGCTGCCAGCTTTCCTCATCTGGCCTCTCGTAGCAAATTAACTTAGTCAACATTCACTTACACAAATATTTGTCAGTTGCCTACTGTGGTAGCTTTAAAATATGGCCCCAAATTCGTTGACCCTTTTCCCAGCAAGAGAGGAGGGTGCAGCTCCCTTCCCTTGAATGTAGGTGGGCTTGCTGATCAATAGAGCACACAGGAAATGACACCGTGTAACTGACGACGCTAGGACATAACGGACAGAGATGCAGCTTCTGCAGCATTGCTGGAACAGTCTCTCTGAAAGCTTTTGGCCACCATGTGAGCAGTCCAACTGCCCTGCGGCTGCCATGCTGTAAGGAAGCTGAAACACAGATCTCATGGCAAGGCCCTGGCCAAGAGATGCCCAGCCAAACCCCAACAGCTCCTGCGGCAGCCGCTGACTGTAATTGCATGAGAGACCCTGAGCCCCGTCAGAACCACCCAGCCTAGCCCTTCCCATTCCTCACCCACAGAAACTACGAAAGATAAAGAATTGCCATTATCAGCCACTAAGCTTTAGGGATGTTCATTACACAGTAGTATGTATCCACCACACCTATGAGGCATCAGGCACATGTTGGATTCCCGGGATGAACTAGACAGGCCCTGACTTCACGGAGATTTGCAGCCTTTTGTGGGGAGACTAACAGTAGACAGGTAAGCAAAATAATTTGAGATAGTGATGGGTGCTACAAAGAAAATAAAACAGCATGCTATGACACAGTGACAGAAAGAGGGAATACTTTTTGTTTGCTTGTTTGTTTTGAGATGGAGTCTCACTGTGTCTCCCAAGCTGGAGTGCAGTGGCAGGATCTCGGCTCGCTGCAACCTCTGCCTCCCGGGTTCAAGCGATTCTCCTGCCTCAGCCTCCCGAGTAGCTGGGATTACAGGCGCCTACCACCATGCCCAGCTAATGTTTGTATTTTTAGTAGAGACGGGGTTTCACCATGTTGGCCAGGCTGGTCTCAAACTCCTGACCTCAAGTGATCCTCCTGCCTCAGCCTCCCAAAGTGCTGGGATTACAGGCGTGAGCCACCACGCCCAGCTGAGGGAATAATTTCACATGGTAAGGAGCTCGGTGTGGCTAGAGCCGAGTGACCAAAAAGAGAGGTGGTGGAGATGAGCTCAGGGAGGGAGCGTGCAGGGCCTTGGAGGCTGCAGTGAGGAGTTAGGGTTTTCTCCTAATTGCAGGGGTTGGAGGCAGGAAATGGGAGGGCTTCAAATGACTTGCCCTTAACTGCTGATTGGCCTCTGTGCTGTCAGCTTCCTCCTTGGCTCACCAGGATACAGGTCTCTGAGGAGCCTCTGAACCCAGGCTGAGCTCTGAAGACTTATGTCCCTCTCTCCTCTGCAGCCAAAGAGGACGATGGCTTCTGCAGCTGGGCTTCAGGAAAAGGGGTCTTCACAGCTGCAATTAAGTTTTCATCTTCCCATCATGGGCAGGGAGCCAGCATGTGTTTTTATGGAGCAAAAGGAGCTTTGCTGTCTGACGCGCTAGGAGCCAATGCTAGGACATGGGTTTGTGAGAAAAGCTTTTTATTGCAAGTTGACTAACAAGCAGATGGGAGTCCAACTCAAAGCTGTCTCCCCGTGCTAGCTTTAAGACCATACTTTTTGCGTGTGTGGAGATGGGGTCTGGCTATGTTGCCCAGGCTGGTCTCAAACTCTTGGCATCGAGCAATCCTCTTCCCTCTGCCTCCCAAAGGGCTGGGATTGTAGGCCTGAGACACCACGCCCACCCTAAGGCAGTCAATACCTTTATTAGAAGAGGTGTAGGGGGTAGACTGTGGCATTAGTAGGTAGGTGACTGGTAGAAAGGAATAGGAAGTCTGGAAAGTCCTCTGGCATGCGCAGTTATCTCTTCATCCCTCATGGAGCGCATGTGCAAGTTCGGGGGGCATTAGTCTAAACCATGCGGTAGAAATTGAGGCTATGACATCAGCAAGCTCGTTCTGTGCAAACTCCAGTCCGCCATATTGTTCCAACTGACTTCAGCCAGTTTTGTTATCTTACAAGCAGAGGGAGTTTCAGTAAGTTGTTTCTTTTCTTATCCAGCAAACTCAGGAATTTCTATTAGTCATAGGTTTCTTTAACTCCTGGGGCAGTGCTTCAGTGCCTGCTCTGTGCCCAGCCCACACTGAGGTTGAGTACCCAGAGATCAATCAAGTATAATTCCTGCCCTTAAGGAGCTTGGAGCCAGGTGGGGTTGGAGGGACTTCATCATGAATGCGTTATTAGTTCATCTGCCTTCCCCGTTCTCCCTCAACCCACGGCCTCAAGTTCCTGACAACAGGATGTCGGATGTGACCAATGGTGGCCCCTTGCCCATGATGGCAGGAACCCCTGACCCAAACTAGGCACATCAGCCAGGGATTTGGGACTGGAATTGCTTCTCTCTGGAAGAAAGCTGGGCTGGATCCTGTTAACATGGGGTAGGGCCACATTCTCCTTCACATGACCTGATCTGCAACCAGGTCAGCCGTGCTGAGAGGTGGAGAGCCCAGAGTGCCACAGCCGGGTTCCCAAGCCTTCACTTTGCTCGGTGACACATTCCTATCTCCTGATCAACTCTGCTTTTTCTCCTCCTCCTCCTCCTCCTCCTCCTCCTTCTTTTGTTGAGATGGAGTCTCCCTCTGTCACCCAGGCTGGAGTGCAGTGGCATAATCTCTGCTCACTGCAACCTCCACCTCCCGGGTTCAAGCAATTCTCCTGCCTCAGTATCCCGAGTAGCTGGGATTACAGGTGCCCGCCACCACGCCCGGCTAATTTTTGTATTTTTAGTAGAGACTGGGTTTCACTATGTTGGTCACGCTGGTCTTGAACTCCTGACCTAAAGTGATCTGCCCACCTTGGCCAGGCTGGTCTCGAACTCCTGACCTCAAGTGATCTGCCCGCCCAAAGTGCTGGGATTACAGGCATGAGTCGCGGCACCCAGCCTCTTTATTTTAAATTAAATAAATTAAATTTTACAATAAATACATTTGAAATAAATTCAGACTTAAAAAAAGTTGCAAAAATAGTACAAAGAGTTCCATATAGCCTCCATCAGCTTCCTCAGATATTCACATCCTGATCAAAATCAGGACATTCGCACTGATACAGTACTATTCACTAATGTGCAAGCCTTATTCACATTTCCTCTGTTCAGCTCTAGTGTCCCTTTTCTGTTCCAGGATTTAGTCCTGGATCCTGTCTTGCATGTAGGTATTTCTCCTTAGTTTCCTTTAGTCTGGATCATTTCCTCCATTTTTTATATACCTTTTCTTGACAACGACATTTCTAACGAGTACTGCCCAATCATTTGGTAGAATGCCCCTTAACTTTGGGTTTGTTTGATGTTTCCTCACAGTGAAACTCAGGTTAAGTGTTTTTGGCAGGGATTACGCAGAAGCGATGTGTGTCTGTGTCAATGCATCCTAGCAAGGGCACATGATGGCGATTTATACCTTTTTTTTTTTTTTTTTTTTTTTGAGACAGAGTCTCTCACTGTTGCCCAGGCTGGAGTGCAATGGTGCAATCTTGGCTCACTGCAACCTCTGCCTACCAGGTTCAAGCGATTCTCATGCATCAGCCTCCTGAGTAGCTGGGACTACAGGTGCGCACCACCACGCCAGGCCAATTTTTGTATTATTAGTAGAGATGGAGTTTCACCATGTTGGCCAGGCTGGTCTTGAACTTGTGACCTCAAGTGATCTGCCTGCCTTGGCCTCCCAAAGTGTTGAGATTACAGACGTGAGCCACCGCGCCCGTCCAATCGCTTGCTTTAAATGGTATCTGCCAGGTGACTTTTTCCCATTGTTATGTTGGGGGGATATTTTGGGCCTTTGTAAACAAATAGGAAATATTCGAGGAAGAGAAGGGGAGGAGGAGAAGGGAAGGAAGGAAATTAGCTCACTCACTCACTTGTTTTTGATCTTTCTTATCATGCATCGTTGCAAATAAGTAAACAAATCAGCCAGGCTTCTGGGCAAAATCCAACTTTGTGTCCCCTGTGAAAAGGAAAACGCTGTGTCACAGAGTGACCACTGGGGGGCAGCAGAGACTTGAGAGGAATCAAAACAACTCCAGGAAAAAGGGCAGTTGGCTACCTTCTGGGAAACTAAACTTACCGGTAAGCTCCGCATCTGCTGGGGTTCTGGTGTCTTCCATGAGCCAGGTCGTGGAAGTGGAGGTAGGGAGTCTTAGTTGCACCTCGCTCCCAGCCTGCTGCTGCTGTTGCCAAGCCGTATGGATGCCCCACCTTGAAAACTGGGGCTGTCACCTCGGGAGGGCTTCACGAGGTCTGAGAATCCCCTTCTGAGACTGGCTAGAAAATTCCTGGGTGCTGAGGGTGTACCTGTTTGGAGACTGATTGCAACCCCCCGAAAGCAGTTCTGGAAGATGTAAGCCAAGGGGGAATTTACTGGAAGGTTATGAGGATATTCATGAGATCAAAAAGAAAGGAGAAGCAACCAGCAGTTTCAACAGGTCTTAGAAGCAAAAATCACTGAGGACAATGCGCCGGGTGTCTCCCCCAGGATGCCTGATCTTTGACTGCTTTCAGTCTCACCCTTCAACGCAGGGTTCAGAGTCTAAGGAGAAAGTGTTGGATGGGGTCAGCAGGGTACGGTACGTTAATTTGTGCTCACCCCCAATCAAATTCATTCCTCCATAAATATTTTCTTTCTTTTTTTTTTTTGAGACGGAATCTCACTCTGTTGCCCAGGCTGGAGTGCAGTGGTACGATCTTGGCTCACTGCAACCTCTGCCTCCCGGATTCAAGCGATTCTACTGCCTCAGCCTCCTAAGGAGCTGGGATTTATAGGCACCGCCACCATGTCCAACTAATTTTTGTATTTTTAGTAGAGAAGGGGGTTTCACCATGTTGGCCAGGCTAGACTTGAACTCCTGACCTCAGGTGATCTGCCTGCCTTGGCCTCCCAAAGTGCTGGGATGACAGGCTTGAGGCACCGTGCCTGGCCCTTCCATCAAATATTTATTGAGCAACAAATACATATTGGGCTCTGTGTGCCCAGCCAGTGGTATGAGATGCCATTTGAGACATCCAAGTGGAGGCAGCCAGTGGAATCCCAGCTCCTCCCCGGGACCTAGGAAGCCCCCATCCCATGACTCTGCAGCCTTCCTCAACCTCCTGCCCTGCCATTCACTCTGTGCCCATGACACCAGCCTCCTCACTGCTCCCCCCACCCCCAACACACTGAGCTCATTTGCTCCCTTCCCACCTGGAACCGCCTCACTCAATATGTGAGAGCCACCCACACAGAGACAGTATTTAAAGCCACAAAAGGACGGTCACTCTTCCAAGAGAATCAGGGTGTTATTCCAAAAGAAGGCAGGATGGATGCTGGACAGCAAAACCCCACAAAATGTCCATGACAGGATTCCAGGAGGGGCCCATGATCTCACAATAAGCTGAGAACAACTCTCAGCCCTCCTGAGAGCCTCTGTGTGAGTGCACGTATACTCATGCATATATGATACTGTGGCTTTGGAGACCTATGCATATGCATTTTACATTGCAGCCCAATACCATAAATGCATGTGTATATGTGCACTCACACATACACTGAAATGAAAATTTTGCAAAGCTATATTTATCCTTATTACACCATCACTCCTGATGTTTTAGTTAGATTTTTATCCTGGTTCATTAGAAAAAGAAAGAGAAAAAAAAAGCCAAGCGCAATGGCTCATGCCTGTAATCCCAGCACTTTGGGAGGCTGAGGTGAGCGGATCACCTGAAGTCAGGAGTTTGAGACCAGTCTGGCCAACATGGTAACATCCTATCTCTATTAAAAATACAAAAATTAGCCAGGCACGGTGACACACTCCTGTAATCCCAGCTACTCAGGAGGCTGAGGGGGAGAATCGATTAAACCCAGGAGGTGGAGGTTGCAGTGAGCTGAGATTGTGCCACTGCACTCCAGCCTGGGCAACAGCAAGACTCTGTCTCAAACAAAGCAAAGCAAAACAAAACAAAACACCAAACCACACACACAAAAAACAAACCAAATCGGGTATAACTCACCAATTTGATCTCCACAGGGCTCCTGTGTGCCCCTGCTCCACCCCACAGCCACAACTCTCCCCCTCACTTGTACGATTTTAACAAGCACCTAATTGACCCCCCTGCTTCTGTTTCTTCCTGTGAATCCACCCTGCCCGAATACATCTTTCTAAAGCCCAGCTTTGATTACATCAAAAACCTCTGGTGGCCTCCTGCCTGAATTCCAGTTTCTTTGGAATTCCTTGTCACTCCTCTGGATATTTTTCTCTCCTCCATGGCACAGCACCTTCCTTCCCAACATCACCGTAAAAAACGCCTTCTCTGGGAGGCCCTCCTCACTCCCTCACACCCTCAATATTTGCTGAGCATGCCCGGTGATAGATTTGGGAAGTCCATTTCAACAAGGCAAATGATAGCTACTCACTCGCAGAGCTTATGGGAAAGACAGATTTGCAAACAATGACTATAAAGTATGGTAGGGGAAGTTGGGTCTAAGTGACCCTAATCTACCCAGAGAGCATCCAGGAAGGCTTCCCGAAAGAAGTGCCAATCAAGGTGAGTGCTAAAGAGGAAGGTGTCTCCCAGGCGACACTGGCAGTGTCCAGAGACATTTTTGCTTGTTAGGATTGGGCTGTAGTGCTCCTGGCAGGGAGTGGGTGGAGGCCAGGGATGCTGCTCAGCACCCTGCAGTGCCCAGTACGGGCCCCCCCAGAGAATTATCTGATCCCCCACCATCTGCGGTATCTGCAGTGCCGAGGGGTAGAAACAGCTCTTGAAGGCTTAGTCCCGTGCTTTCTGTATGTTGACCTTCTTTCTCACAACACCGTGAGGTATTTTTAATGTCTCTTTTCCAGTGGGAGAAACCGATGAAGGTAATTTACTTGAGGGCACAGTGAATGACCGTGGAGCTGATTCTCAAACCTGTGCAGTCTAATCCCTGCCACTCTGCCTCTCCCGGCCGAGGAGGAGCTGGGGAGTAGCAAAGAGGAAGGGGAGAAGCGCTCAGTTGGCGGCCATTTTGAGGAGCAGGGCCAAGGGGCGGGGCGGGGCAATGCGGGGACGGACGGTGCTGCCAAGGCTGTGATGGAGACTTGGGGAGGAGGTCTGGACGGCCAGATGCCGGAATGCTGTCTTGCTCTGCCGAGGGCCAGGCACCCAGGAGCTCTGGGCAGAGGTGAAGTCAGCAGCTCCTGGAGGGTGTTTCCATTGTGGGAGTGGCTGAGGTGACTGAGGGGGTAGAAGGAGGAGAGGAGTGGGCAGGACCCAGGCGCAGAGGGGCAGCAGCCAGAGGCAGGAGGAAAACAGGGGTGGCGGCGGTTGGCGGGGGTGGGGGGCACTCCAGCTGGAGCATCTCCCCTTTCTTTTTTTTTTTTTTTTTTGTTTTTTTGAGACGGAGTCTCGCTCTGTCACCCAGGCTGGAGTGTAGTGACGTGATCTTGGCTTACTGCAAGCTCCTCCTCCTGGGTTCAAGCGATTCTCCTGCCTCAGCCTCCCCAGTAGCTGGGACTACAGGAGTGTGCCATCACACCCGGCTAATTTTTGTATTTTTAGTAGAGATGGGGTTTCACCATGTTAGCCAGGATGGTCTCAATCTCCTGACCTCGTGATCCACCCGCCTCGGCCTCCCAAAGTGCTGGGATTACAGGGGTGAGCCACCGCGCCTGGCCCACATCTGCCCCATCTTAGCACGCTGGCAGTTGCAGTGTCTGGGGTCCCCTCCCATCTTGCAAGGGAGTTCCTGCCACCAGAAAGTTTGTGAAGGCAGGGACATCTCTGGGCCTCCCCACCCCTCCTTGCTGACGTCTGTCTGGAGGTCAGGGCTGTAATGGCAGTTCCATCATCACCAGGGACCCAGGCTCCTTCTGACTCATTGCTTTTCCATCCTTATCATGGGGCTTCCACCTTGAGGTCCACTGTGGCTGCCGTGCTCCAGCCATCACATCTGCATTCCAGCCAGAAGCCTTGCTTTTCCCATGTGTACAATGGGGATTACATCTACCTTAGGTCATCAAAAATAGGAGATGGGATAGAAGTGTCTAGTGTGGAGCCTGCTGTGATTATGGCCAGTACCCCCTAGAGGTGCTTGGTAAGACCAAGGTTCCCCTTTTTTTTTTTCTGAGGCGGCTGCACCCTGGGGACCTACCCAGAGGGCTTTGGAGGCACATGATGGCCTGCGGACCTCAAGCGGGCTCCTCTTTCCTGGGGCGCCATCCCCCATGCTCTGAGCTCCCGCTCTCCCCAGCCTCTCAGGCCCCATGGGCAGGGCTCGGGCCTCCTACTCTGGGCCCTGCAGTCCACACTGGGCCTGGCTCTTCAGGGGCTGGGGAGGTGGGTGAGTTGGCACTTGCCTAATTTGGCTCAGGGGTCTCAGCTGGAGGAATGTCTGAAATTGTGACCCAGCAGGGGGTGGGGCGAGTGGATTTCCTGGCTGATGTTGGCACCGTCAGGACACAGTGGGGTCCTGGAGTCCCAGCCCAGGGAAGTGAGAGGCGATTCTAGTGTCACCTGAGACAGAGAGGCCTGGGCTGGGGCAAAGGCCGAGTGTCCCTGGGAGCATACGGGGCACTGGCCTGGCACTCGGGAAACTGGCCTGGCTGACCAGCAACTGTACTAGCCTCTGTGGGCCACCCTCCCTCCCGCAGGTGGGCCCTGCCTGGTTCCTGAGCCCATTGCTCTCCTCTGTAGGGTTTCTTCAAAGTCCTATAGCCCCGCACCACAGTCCCCTGAGAGGGAATGGCAGCAACAACACGCTTCCTGGCTCCTACCCGAATCTCACCGAGTCATGCTCCTTGTGAAATGGGTCCAGGAATCGGCCATTTTTGAGCAAGCTCATGCACTGATTCTCAATGATTCTGAAGTTTGGCCCGAGTAAACCCTGCGGACAACCAGGGGTTCGCATCCGAGACTGGCACACCCGCTTCCTCCGCTAGATCCGAGTGGGTCTAGCCTGTAACAAATGTAAACAGGAGGCTGGGGCGGTGGCTCACGCCTGTAATCTCAGCACACTGGGAGGCCAAGGTGGGAGGATCGCTTGAGCCAAGGAGTTTGAGTCCAGCCTGGGCAACACAGGAAGACCCCCATCTCTAAAAAAAAAAAAAAAAAAAATTAGCTGGATGTGGTGGCGCACGCCTATAGTCCCACCTACTTGGGGAGGCTGAGGTGGGAGGATCACCTGAGCTCAAGAGGTTGAGGGTGTAGTGAGCTATGATAGTGCCACTGCACGCCAGCCGAGGTGATAGAATGAGACCGTCTCTTAAAAAAACAAACAAACAACAGAAAAAAACCCAAAGTGTAAACAGGAGCCATTGACCATCCTGGACAAAGAACGGTTTCTGCGCCATCACTGGCTCAGGATAGGCCTTGCTAAGGAAGTAAGGGGCCCAGGCTCCTTCCGGAAGGCACTAGAACATCCCCAGGGAGCCCGCAGGCAAGTGCAGGGGGCACCTCTGTGGTTTCCCCTCTGGGTCTTGAGTGGGGCAGGCCCGGCAGGCTGGTGTCCCACGGCGGGGGGACAGGGCCTAGAGTGTGGACAGTGAGTCCAAAAATGGGCACGCTCAGTGTGTTTACTGCTATGAAAAATGAGACCAGGCCTGAGAGGCTTGTGGCTTCGCTGCCACCTCTGTTCCTCCTCGTGGATCGGAAAGACAGGCCAGAGCCTAAGGCAGAAACCAGCTTGTATTGGTTACCAGGAGTGAGGAAAAGCCGGGCATTACAATCCGTTAACTGTGAGCTTCAGTGTCTCCAAGGAGAGGAGATGTATATTTTAAAGACATTCTTTCTGTCTGATTTCAACTAAGGTTTGGGCTATACGACCAGACAAACAGTGTGATTATTCCCAGCTTTTCGTTTCTAAAGTGAGCACGCGTCTTTGTCTTCCTGCACCCCTCACTCTGGCGCAGGCCCAGCGATGCTCTGAGCTCCTGCGGGCGGGGAAGTAGGTTTTTAAAGGCCACGTGAGCTGACATTAGTACCTTCTGTGTGAATGAGAACAAAACATTTGGGACTGAATATACTGCAATGTACACATTCATAAGAAACGTTCTAATAACAATTAGCGCACAAAACTATTGGTATAAACATTTTTCCAAAAAGAGAAAACTATTGCATTTCGTTAGAAATCGCGTCCTGGGCCGAGGCTCGTCTTTCTTCTCTGCAGTTGGTTTGGGGACAGAACTCCAGCACGCAGCTGTCCAACTGCAGCGGCTACGTGTTTCCATGGAGACAAACTTGGTGTCTCAAGTTCAGGGCTTCGAAAGTCCCGAATATTTGTTTGTCCCGAGAGAAGAGTTTTGACTTTGAAGAGGTCCAGGTGGGACTCGCTGGGGGTGGGGTGCTCCGGGATTAGTTCAGAGGGAGGTGTTCTGGAAGACTCCGTGGAGCGGGACGCAGGCACTGCTGTTTGGACGACACGCGGGATGGCTGCTTTCTGAAGTTGTGGCTGTGACACTGACCCTGTTGGACAAACTCCTTCCACAGCCAGTGGCTTGATGGTGACGGTGAACTTGGACAGAGTCCCACATCCTTCCTGCTGCTGATAAAACTTCTGGTTTTGATTTTTTGAAAGACACTGCTGTGTCCTGGCACGAGCGAGCCCGTTTCTGTGGCTTGTTCTTTTTCGAGCTGCGGATCTGCCGGGACACAGCGATTGTCAGCTGCCCCTCAAGTCCTTTGGCATCTGGAGATGGGTTCCTGCAGCACAGCCGGCCTCCCGCCTCGGGGCATCCGGCAGGGAGGTCTGGATCTAAAAGGCCACAGGGCGCTGCGCCCAGCTGGGTCCCTCCCACATGGTGCTACCAGACAAGGGCACTCCACTTTCCATTCCTGAGGGGACTCCAGGGACGCTGGCGAGCTCTGTGCCTCCCCAGCGGTGGCAGGTAGGAGGGGAGAGGCCGTCCCTTTCTAGTCGGGCTCTGCCAGGTTTTTTTAATTTTTAAAATCATGGTGAAAATTGGTTCCAGTTGAGTGCAGAGGCCAGTGCTCTCAGCACAGCCCTTTCAGCTCTTAAAGGGACTGGGGCCAAAGTCCAGGGTTCCAGCAGAGGAGGGTTTGTCCAGAATAAGGAACCCATGGTCTGGTGGGGCCCTGGTGGCTGCGCAGGGACCTGGGGACCCAGAGCACAGCTACAGCCAGTGGGAGCCCTGGCCTGGGCTTCTGTAGCTTCAACAACTGCTTTCCTTCTTGAACACTGACCCCGGGAGCCCCCGCTTGAGTCAAAGTAAACATCACATCATCTAAGAGGCACTAATTTGGTGGAGCCGGTGAAATCCAGGTTCCCAGAGTGACCAGGCGGCATCTTTTGGAACCTCGAGGAGGCGCCGGCCGGGGCTGCTAGATGCCCTGCAGGGAGTGGTTGGGGTCACTGCGCTCCCGCTTTACCAGGGGCTCACCCAGGCTGCGGGCGTCTGGGCCCGCCTCGCTGCCACGCTGCTCATCGCCCATGTCATCTGCGGAGGGAGGGGTAGGGTCAGTGTCCATCATCAGGAGGGCACGAGAGGGAGAGAAGGAAGTGCACGTTCCGAGAACTGCTCCGGCACGCCAGGCAGGGCACCGAGGATACATGGCAGCCTGTGGACCCCACCTCGGCCTCTGCTCCAGGCTGACCTGTCCTCCCCACCTGCCGTTACCCAGAGGTGCCCCCAGCTCGGGCCAGGCGAAAGAGCCTCTGCCCTGTGCCTCCCTTTCCCAGCGCCGACGGGCCTGGGGCCTGCTCCCCACAGGGCTGGGGCCTCTGGGGTCCTCCCACCCGCATGGGACAGAGACGGGGCCCGGGGGTCCCTCTGGCCTGCCTGTCCCACTCTCCTGCTGGGCGTGGGCGCAGGAGACCAGGGGCTGCCTAGTCTGGGCCTGGTGCTGAGGTCCCTGGGCAGCGGCTACCCAGAGGCCAGCGGCAGTCTGAGCCCCAGCCGAGCCAGTCTGCAGTGTCACCTGCTGCTCAGGCATCACCCACTGTCCGGATGACAGATCCCAGGGCCCTCACCCCCCAAGGGGCTGCCCGCATTTCCACCTGTTCATCATGAGATGGGGCAGACAGGCCACGGCCAGGAGTACCACCCTCCTGGGAGGGTCGTGGTGGGAAAGCCGCAGACGCACCTACCTTTGTCGAGCAGCGTCAGCGACAGAGAGGCGAGATCGTTGAACTGAAAGAGAAACCTGGAGTCAGGGGCGCCTGCAGAGGGGCGGCAGTTGCTGTTTGGGGGCTCGGGGGATGCCGGCCCAACCTTGCCTTGAGCCACGTCCTCCATTCACAGTGAAGCAGCTGGGGCCTGCCCTGAAATGTGGCTCTGATGCTGCCAGGTGTCTGGGTGGGTCCCTGTGCCCTGTCCAGGCCGCCTCTGGGAGCTGCTGGGGGTGGAGGGTGCTGACTACTCGGGGCAGCGAGGGGACAGCAGCTGGCTCCCAAAGTCCCCTGGGTGCGGCTGCTCCGGGTTTTAAGGTGGCATGGAAGAGCCGTGGGCCAAATTATCTTTGCTCCCTGAAGTCTGTACACAGCAGGAAAACCACTCCTTGGCTGCCCCAAAGCCCGGCGTTCACGCCAATGTGCAGAGAACAGGCGGCTTCCACAGTTTCTGTACACGTTGCGGGGCCCTGGCCACCGACTCTTAGAGTGCTGTGGCTTCTGGGTAGTAAGAGTGCAGGGACCCCGCCATTCATCAAGCATCATCTCGTTTCTTCCTGGAGGCCATCCCACGCAGCCCAGCAAGTCCACTCCAAGGTGTGGACCCCGAAGAACTGAACACAGGAGTGCACACAAACACCCGCCCACACACGCCCACGCAGCCCCGTTCACGACGGCCACAGAGAGGGAGCGACCGTGCAGCACGGAGGGACGAGCGGTCAGCACAGCGCGGCCAGCCACGCACCGGAACACAACTCAGCCAGGAGAGGAACCAGGCTTTGACCCGGGCCGCAGCGCGGATGTCATGTTCCGTGACAGACGCCGGACACAAAAGGCCACACAGTGTGTGATCCCATTTCTATGAAGTGTCCAGGACAGGCCGATCCACAGAGGCAGGAGGGGGCTGCGTGGGTGCTGTGCTGCAGGAGGAGCTTGGGAATGACTGCTCCTGGGGACGGGGTTTCCTTTTGGGGTGACGGAATGTTCTGGAACTGGACAGAGGTGCCAGCTGCACGTTGTGGATGTGCTAAGCGCCACTTGATTGTGCGCTTTCACGTGGAAATCTCTCCCTATGTGTGTGTTACCACAATAAACAGAAAACTCTGGGTGGTGTGTCCGAGGCCTCCCCTGTGTGGCGGGACGCCCAAGGACAACCTCCTTCCAGAGCCAGCGGTGCGATGGGGACTGTGAACTTGGACAGAGCCCCAAATCCTTCCCAGTGCTGATAAAACTTGTGGTTTTGATGTTTTGAGACACTGCTGTGTCCTGGCACGGGTGGGCCCGTTTCTGTGGCTTGTTCTTTATCGAGCTGCAGCTCTGTCCGGGCGGCAGAGCAGTGGGACCTGCGAGTGTCCTCTCTCTGGGCTGCTCAGAGCACACCGCCCTCTCCCCACAGGCCCGGCCAAGCCCCGGCCGTCCCACCCAGGAGGGTCCTCACCTCTCCCATCACAGCGATCGGCGTCTCTCCGGTGGCCTCCGCGACGCGGTGCTCCACCAGGTAGAACATGTACTCGTCGTAGAGCAGGCGGATGAGGTGGAAGGAGCCGAAGCTGGCAGCGCTGCGCAGGGTCAGGTCCCGGATCACCATGGAGCTGGGGACAAGCGGACAGAGGCTGGGGACCCTCAGGGGAGCATGGAACCCGGGCCCCAGGCCAGACTTCATGGCAGCAACACACCCCCTGCTCTACGTTCCCTGGGGAACCCAGAGGCTGAGTGATCCTAAGACGTGCAGGCCTACGCGGGGGCTGACGGGCTGCCGAGACCCTGGGCCCACGTGACGGACAGGTGGGGCCGGCCTGCGCGCTCAGTTCCAGAGACCACCTGGGGAACAGGAGAGGGAGATGGGCAGTCAGCCCCAAAGCGACAGGCTGCGGGAAACAACTGTGGCTGGTGCTAGCGCAGGCGCTAGATGGGATCTTAGCTGGTGAGTCTTTCTAGTGACATTTCGGACTCCGAATCAGAGCACAGGCTGGCAGCTGGTGCCTGTCTCCCCAGCAGGAGGCGCCTTTCCCCACCTTCCCCGTATCCTTGCCACCTCCCGCCATTCCTCAGCCTGTGGTTTCAGGCACCTAAAAACAAGACAAAAAGCCAGGGTGCTTTAGTCTCTGTCAGCGAAAGCAGGGGTTTCAGAGACTTCAGCCCAGATCCAGTCCGCGTCCAGCCCTCAGCCTGTGTGCTGACAATGCTTTACATTTTGAAATGGTTGGAAAAAGTCAAAAGAATAATTATATTCGGTGGCACGTGGAAATTACATGAAATTCACATTTTGGTGTCCACAGACAGTTTCACTGGCACGCGTCATGCCCGTTCCTATGTTGTCTTTCCTAGGATGGCTGCAAATACTACCTGGTTCTTTCTGGGAGAGGCGGCCCCTGACCTAAAGGATCAGTATAAGACCAAAGGGGGCTAGGCACGGTCGCTCACACCTGTAATCCCAGCACTTTGGGAGGCCAGGGCGGGCAGATCACTTGGGGTCAGGAGTTCTAGACCAGCCTGGCCAACATGGTGAAACGCCATCTCTACTAAGAATACAAAAATTAGTGAGGCATGGTGGCACATGCCTGTAATCCCAGCTACTCGGGAGGCTAAGGCAGGAAAATTGCTTGAACCTGGGAGGCGGAGGCTGCAGTGAGCCGAGATCATGTCGCTGCACTCTAGCCTGGGTGACAGAGCAACACTCCATCTCAAAAAAAAAGAATGAAGTGGAACAATGTCTCAGTCCTCCTATAAGACCTAAAGGACTTATATACAGTGGCACCTGATTAAAAACTTTGGCCTACAAGCCAGGCGGCCCCCAATGCCCAACTGCCCCGGCTCGAAGTATACTTTCATAAACTCTGTTACGTCTAATCGGTATCGAGCGATAAAAAGAAGACACAGGCTTGAGAAAGGCAAAGACAGCCGCACTATGAAGACCACCAAAGCTGTCTATCCTTAAGTGTCAAGCATAGCTGCAAAGCCCCCAGCCCCCTCCTGTTCCTCCGGGCCCACCCAGGTTGGCTTCCAAGCCCCCTTTCCCCAAAGGCCTCCCCCACGCAGATGAGGTGCTGGCACTCTGCAACCAGCTTCCCCACAGCCCCGGTGTCTGGTGCGATGCTTCAGTCCAAAGTATTTCCAGAACATCGCCTGCGGTCACCCCGGTATCTCTGGGTTCCCAAATGGGCTCGCAGCTCCCAGAGAGTAGGAGCATCGGCCGACCACCACCAAGGGAGGCCCAGCCAGAGCTTGGGGATGACCAGCCAAGGCCTCAGTCCACATGCTACCATTTTCTAGTGGGTGCTACAGAAATAAATCCCGTAAACCTAATTTTTATTTTTTATGACTGCACTGCACGTGCATAAGAATGAAGTCAGACCAGGCGTGGTGGCTCATGACTGGAATCGCAGCACTTTGGGAGGCTGAGGCAGGTGGATCACCTGAGGTCAGGAGTTTGAGAGCAGCCCGGCCAACATGGCAAAACCCCGTCTCTACTAAAAATACAAAAATCAGCCAGGCCTGGTGGTGGGCACCTGTAATCCCAGCTATTCAGGAGGCTGAGGCACGAGAAGTGCTTGAACCCGGGAAGGGGAGGTTGCAGTGAGCCGAGATCGCACCATTGCACTCCAGCCTGGTGACAGAGCGAGACTCTGTCTCAAAAAACAAGCAAACAAGAGAATGAAGTGGAACAGTGTCTCGGTCTCCCTTGTGAAGAGCACCCCCACCTTGCAGACGTGACCCCGATCCCCTCCAGCTCTGAGCTGTGCTCTTCTCTGGCTGGCAGGCACCTCAGTCCTGCGCTCACTCTGCTCTTCTCAATTCTTCCGCTTGCAACCTTCCCTCTGTCCATGGAGACTGGCATCGGCATCCCTACGCTGTCTCTTCCCTTGCTCTTCCTCCCTCATTATCCCAGTGTGGCTTTATTGTAATTTCTGGCTACACTGGTGTTTCTGTTATGTGGCAGTGGTGTGCTAGGTCCATGGCAGAGCCGCATAGTCTATTAGGCGTGTGGTTCCTCTCATTCATTCACTGAGCCAGCATTTAAACAGAAGTGAGGTCCCGGCACTCGGGTAGCGTGCCTGATCATGCAGGAGACAGACAACAGACAAGTGAACAGATGACAGGTGACGGTCAATGCCAGGAGAAAGGCAGGGCATGGGGCATGCAAAGTGGGAAAGAATGGGCCGTCTTATTTACAGAGGCTGGGGGTGAGGGATTTCTCTGCGGATGATGGGTTTCTCTGTGTGGCTGTCTGGGGGAAAGATGTTCCAGGCAAGGGGGGCAGGTGCAAAGGCCCTGAGGCAGCGTGGCCAGGGGAGTGTGTAAGGAGACAGCTGAGAACAGGGGTGCTGGCTGGCCAGCTGAGGGGTCAGCAAACTTGTTCTTATTTTTTTTTTTTTTCTTGAGATGGAGTTTGGCTCCTGTTGCCCAGGCTGGAGTGAAATAGCACGGTCTTGGCTCATTGCAACCTCTGCCTCCCGGATTCAAGTGATTCTCCTGCTGCAGCCTCCCAAGTAGCTGGGATTTCAGGTGCCCACCACCACGCCTGACTAATTTTTATATTTTTAGTAGAGATGGGGTTTCGCCATGTTGGCCAGTCTGGTCTTGAACTTCTGACCCCAAGTGATCCACCTGCCTCAGCCTCCCAAAGTGTGGGGATTACAGGCATGAGCCACTGCGCCCGGCCAGGCAAACTCGTTTTCACGCTTGCCAGATAGTAAATATTTTCAGCTTTGTAGCCAACAGTCAAACTGTTTTGTTTGCATTGACAGCTGTAGCTGATCTGTGAATTAATGCATGTGGCTGAGGTTCCAATAAAACTTTATTTGCACAATGGGCTGGGGCAGTGATATGGTTTGGCTCTGTGTCCCCACCCAAATCTCACCTTGAATTGTAATGATCCCCATGTGTTGTGGGAGGGACCTGGTGGGAGGTAATTGAATCATGGAGACAGATGTTTCCTGTGCTGTTCTCTTGAGAGTGAATAAGTCTCATGAGATGTGATGGTTTTATAAAGGCGAGTTCCCCTGCACATGCTCTCTTGCCTGCCGCCATGGAAGATGTGCCTTTGCTCTTCCTTGGCCTTCCGCCATGCTTGTGAGGCCTCCCCAGCCAGGTGGAACTGTGAGTCCATTCAACCTATTTTTCTTTATAAATTACCCAGTGTTGGGTATGTCTGTATCAGCAGCATGAGAATGGACTAATAATACAGGTGGGGATAACAATTTGGCCCTGTGGCCATAGCTCATCCATGCGCTGGGTCACGTGGGGCCTGTCAGCCACAGAACAGCTTTGTTTTTTCCTGGGGTAATAACTGGCTCTTTTTTTAAAAATGCACATTTTCCATGTACTCAGGGAGACTAAAACTCCTTGACAGAACTGCAGGAGGCATCTTGGTGCCTTTCCTGGGGACAATCCCTCTGGAAGCCTTGGCTCCCCTGCCCTGGTCTGCACAGGTTAGGTCTGTAGCTTGGAAATGATTTCCCTTCAGAGCTCTCAGGACATCGCTCTACTGCCTTCTGGGTTTCTGCACATTGTTCGGAAGTCTAATGCTGCTCCCATCCCCAGCCTGTTTCTTTCTCTCTGGAAGCTTTTATGGTTGTTTCTCAAACTTGGTGTTTCGATATTTCACCAGGAGCCTCCTTGTGCCCTTCAGTTCTGAGATAGCTTTGTTCCCCCCTTAGAGATGGGGTCTTGCTCTGTCACTCAGGCTAGGGTACAGTGGTGCAATCTTGGCTCACTGCAGCCTGGACCGCCTGGGCTCAAGGATCCTTCCACCTCAGCCTCACAAGTATCTGGGACCACAGGCACATGCCACCACGTCCAGCTAAGTTTTTTTACTTTTTGTAGAGGTCCTGATATTTTCCCCAGGGTCGTCTCAAATTTCTGGTCTCAAGCCATCCTCCTGCCTTGGCCTCCCAAAGTGGTGGGATTATAAGTATGAGCCACCATGCCCAGCCCTCAGTGATGATTTCTGTCTGCAGAACTTGCAACTTAGTATTTAGGCCACGGTGGCCTTCTGGGCCTGCCCCTGGGAGCCGCTGGTCATGAGTGAGGCCCCCAGCCAGGTAGTTGTTTTTTGCGGGTTCAGACACTGCTGCAACTCTGCTGAGCCCTGTTTTGCTCTGAGCTCACCAGCCGAGCCCCCTACCCTCTAGAAGTTTCTCTCAGAGCCCCCCACCCGCCAGAATTCTCTCGGAGGTCTGGTGGGACTAACCTGTAAAAGGACCATTTCAGCAAGAACTGCCGGGCGGCCTTGGGGAAGCTGGGGCTGCCGGCATGCTGCTTCAGGACCTGGGTGACCACACTGTCCAGCCAGCTGGCCCACTGGTCCAGGGAGCTCTGCTGCTGCAGGGTCAGCTTGAAATCCTGCTCCAGCCGCTGCACCACACTCTCCTCGCACTGGCACACCCACGAGGCCTGCTCCTGTGGGCAGGGCAGAGGCCAGTGTCAGCAATGTGGACCCCCAGCCACGGCAGCCCTCCCTGGACCTAGCCATGCTCAGGGCGGGACATCGTGCTGTGCTTGAGCCTTCTCGCCCTTGACCTTGACAGCTGCAAGCCAAGTCCTGTGTCTCCCGTCACAGGGGCAGAATAGAGAGCTGAGGGGGATCGTACCCGGCTTCCGGGGACTCATACCCAGGTCTTTCTGGATCAAAGCTCATGCTATATGAGGTCTTTGTTTAGCTTTGTTTCAAAGGGGTCACTTCTAAATGTATGTGTGTGCGTTTATTTATTTAATGGATAGACGCAGGGCCTGAAATAAGCATAGCTCGGAAGCTGCTGTGGGCCGACACTTTGCCAAGCCCAGGGGACAGAGCCAGGAAAATGGCCACAGGGAGGTCAACGTGGTGCCACGATCCTGGAAGCTGGGGGCCTTTGTGAGGAAAATGAGCAGAAGTGTTGGCCACAGCGCCTGGACGCCAGAGGGCCCTGAGAGATGATGGAGTGGAGAGAGCTGGGGGCTGTGGGTGGGCTTTGGCCTGGGACCCGTGTCATGCAACAGAACCGTGGCCAGGCTCGGGGCAGGGGCCAGGTTGTGCCACGGGCTCCACTTGGTGGGTTTGCTGGTTTTGCTGGAGGGCGGGAAGCCCGGGCCCTGGGGACGGTGTGGAGGAAGTCACCTGCACGTTGGCAAAGTCCACGCGGTTGAGGTCGCTGAGCATCTGGTTGATCTGGGACGTGTTCTGCAGCACCGCCCGGGCCGCCTGCGCCAGGTGGTTGAGGGACGTGTAGCGCCGCAGCGTCTGGGCGAAGGCACTGACGACGCCCACCTGTAAGCCAGGGCTCGTGGTGAGCAGGGGTTCGCAGGGAGAGCCTGTTCCGCTGCGCTCCTTGCAGGGGTGTGTGGGCTCAGGGACAACACAGGGAGGAGGGAGCAGGAAACAGCAACCTGGGCAGGGAAGAGGGAACCTCCTGCTATTCTTAAGGACCCAGTGTGTGAGAATCAGTGAAGAGGAGACCTCGCCGGCACATCACACACGTCGCTAACTGAGGCCTGCGTGCTGCTGAGTTAGAATTCACAACTGTCGCCATGCCCACTTCTAGAGTCCCTGTGGTTCTCTGGAGGGGCTGTTGAGACCACAGACTCCTGAGTGCTACAGGATCAGACTTTTAGTGGGTGTGGCCTGGGAATCTTATTTTTTTTAAGAGATGGGGTCTTGCTTGTTGTTGCCCAGGCTGGTCTCAAACTCGTGGCATCAAATGATCCTCCAGTCTCTGTCTCCCAAAGTGCTGGGATTACAGGTGTGAGCCACTGCACCGGCCCTGAATGTGACTTTTTAACAATGACCTGATCAATGCTTGCATCACTGCCTAACAGATCAATTCCGAAGAGCAGGCGGGTGCCCTGCAGCTGCCTCCTCTCACCCAAGAGCCCTTCAGGAAATGCTCATGATGGCTGGGTGAGGTGGCTCACACCTGTAATCCCGGTACTTTGGGAGGCCAAGGCAGGTGGATCGCCTGAGGTCAGGAGTTCGAGACCAGCCTGGCCAACATGGCGAAACCCTGTCTCTACTAAAAATACAAAAAAATTAGCCAGGTGTGGTGGCGGGCACCTGTAATCCCAGCTATTCGGGAGGCTGAGGCAGGAGAATCGCTTGAACCCGGGAGGCAGACGTTGCAGTGAGCTGAGATAACACCATTGCACTCCAGCCTGGGCGACAGAGTGAGACTCTGTCTCAAAAAAAAAAAAAAAAAAAAAAAAAAAAAAGAAATGCTTGTGAGAACGGTGGGTAATCACTCTCTTTTCCACAAGTCGGCCAAGGTTCTACATTTCAAATTCGACTGATTTGTGGCCAAGATTGCAGCAATAAGGGTCACAGCAAGGAGATTAAATTTCCCGAATAAGATGAGCACAGAAACACGCAATCTGTTCTGAATTGACCCAAAGATGTGACATCAAATGACATCTTCTGTTGTTCCCCTTCCTGCCAGCACTGACGCGTCACCGGCAGTGTGCTCAGGGCTTCCTGAAGGGATCGGTTACTCTCATGACGCAGGGAAGAAGCCAGCGCTCTCTGGGACACAGTGGTCCTCATGCTGTCCTGGACTGGAGCCCCTCCCAGCCATCGTTGGGGAGCCCAGGCCCCACCCCGGACGCACCTTGGTCTGGATGACCTGTTGTGGGAAGTCACTCATGGCATTTGTCAACCAGCCTTCCAAGCTCTTGGCAAAGTTACGGATGGCCTGTGTCAAGGTACCTGGGGGATACAGACCATGATATTACCAGGGAGAAAGGCAGTGACTGGACCCTGGAAATCAGCATTCAGTGTAAGAGCTGGCCCAAGTGCGATGAAAATGACCACCATGAAGAACGAGCCACACAGGCGACGGGGAACCGAGGACACTTAGAAACGGGAAGAACCAGGCATGGCCCAGCGCTGCTGGTCACCACCCACTGCCTATGCGGGTCTCACAGGGGCGATTCTGCCCCAGGGGACACTGGGCAATGTCTGGGGACGTTAATGGTGGTCATGACTGCAGGGTGCCTCAGGCATGGAGTGGGTGGAGGCTAGGGATGCTCCTCAGCACCCCACAGTGCCCAGGAGGGCCCCACCCCAGACAACGATCCAGCCCCAGATATCAACAGTGCCAAGGGAAAGAGGCCTTGACACAAACACACACACACACGTAAATACATTCTACCAACTTCCTAATTTATTTTAAAGTGGGTTAGAATAAGAAGCAAATGATCAGACTGTTAAAAAAAAAAAAAACCAAAAAACAAAAACAGAAAAAGGCCAGGTGTGGTGGCTGACGCCTGTAGTCCCAGCACTTTGGGAGGCCGAGGTGGGCGGATCACCTGAGGTCCGGAGTTCGAGACCAGCCTGGCCAACATGGTGAAACCCTATCTCTACTAAAAATACAAAAATGATCTGGACGTGGCGGTGGGTGCCTGTAGTCCCAGCTATTTGGGAGGCTGAGGCAGGAGAATCACTTGAACCCAGGAGGCAAAGACTGCAGTGAGCCTCCTGCAATCCAGCCTGAGTGACAAGAGCAAAACTCTGTCTTAAAAAAAACCAGAAAAATATTTTAAAATGCAAAAGGAAAGATACCCCAAACTCCCACCATAACATAGAAACTCAGACGAGGCATTGCCCTGAACAGTTTTCAGGCAGACAGGCAAGGCCAGGCCAAATGAGAAATGCAATACTTTTGCTGTTTCCCATCTTCCAGCAAAGGGAGCATAGAGTTTACTCAACAGGACGGAGAGCTGCCTGGTACTAACGGGCATGCATATTTGTGGATGGCCTGAGGGGCACGGTCCATGGGCCCGGATGTTTGTGGATGGACTGCGGGGCATGGCCTGTGGTCCTGATGCTGTGATTTATGAAGAGAGGCCTCTGTGCCCAGCTTCCTTGACGACCCCCAGGGTTTTGGGGAGCTTGGCACGGGCCTGGCCCGAGGGCTCCCTCGTGGTGGGTGCTGTCATTGCCTCAGGAGCTGGAGGCCCTGGGAGGTCTCCAAGGGCACGAGTGATCTCTGCCGTGGGCCTAGCTTCCTTCCTCACTGTGCCTGTCACTCTCTCCCCACCCCACCAAGTCCTGTGGGAAATCACAGGGTGGGGCGCTGGGGTGTAAATGTCTCCTGGAATCCCACGGTGCTGGGAAGTGGGGTCTGGCTGGGGGTTAAAGGTCAGCCTCTACCCTAACAGGCTGCAGGAGTCCAGGGCCATGTCCCAGCTTCTTCTTCTGAGTTTATGTCCCTGCCCCTCCTACAGGGGTGGCACTCAGGATGTGTCACAGTGGGGCTTAAGGGAGGCTGGAGGAAGGTGGCTGGTGGTCGTCTGCAAGACCAGGGTGCGCAGCAACCCCACATGGCCCTGGGCCAAGGCCTCCCGCACAGTGACGGCTCCAGGGCTGCACACAGGCTACTCCCAGAGGCCGGCCTGCATGCCCCCAGTGAACCTTCTAGAAAGCACCGAGCCCAGCCCAGCTACTCTTGGCTGTGTCCTGACAGCAGGTAGAGCTCACCAGAGCCACTGTGACCTTCCCCTCGAGTCAGAGACAAGGACAAATAACGCATGCCAGAGGGGACACATTCTACGGCCCACAGCGGCTCTCACTTAGGGATTTTTTTTGAGACAGGGTCTTGCTCTGTTGCCCAGGCTGGAGTGCAGTGGTGCGATCATAGCTTACTGCAGCCTCGACCTCTTGGGCTCAGGTGATCCTCCTGCCTCAGCCTCCTGGGTCGCTGGACTGCAGGCATGCAACACCACACCAGCTAATTTTTGTATTTTTTTTAGAAATGGGGTCTCACTATGTTGCCCAGGCTGGTCTCAAACTCCTGGGCTCAAGTGATCCTTCTGCTTCAGCCTCCAGAGTAGCTAGGGCTACAGGCACACACCACCATGCCCAGCTCATTTTTTTTTTTTTTTTTTTTTTGAGACAGAGTCAAGCTGAGTGCAGTGGTGTGATCTCGGCTCACTGCAACCTCTTCCTCCTGGGTTAAAGCTATTCTCCTGGCTCGGCCTCCCTAGTAGCTGGGACTACAGGCGTGTGCCACCATGCCCGGCTAAATCTTTGTATTTTTAGTAGAGATGGTTTTCAGCATGTTGGTCACACTGGTCTCAAACTCCTGACCTCAAATGATCTGCCCGCCTCAGCCTCCCAAAGTGCTGGGATTACAGACGTGAGCAACCTTGCCTGGCCCCAGATAAATTTTTTTTTTTTTTTTTAGAGACAGGGTCTCACTATGCTGCCCAGGCTGGTCTCAAACTCCTGGGCTCAGCGATTTGTCTGCCTCAGCCTCCCATAGTGTGGGGATCACTGGCATGAGCCACCGCGCCCGGCCACTTTTGGGTTTTCTGTGAAAGCGATGGTCTGAGGTGGCTGAAGACGTACATGTAAGAAAGGACAGAGGAGGCAGGAAGAGAGGATGGAGCAGCGCCGGGCGGGGCCGTGGGTCACTTACTGGGGACCGGCCTCAGCACGTCGGGGATGAGAATCTCCACCAGCGCCTGGTAGAGGATGTGGTCGCAGCTCCTCATCCACCTGAGGATGGGGTCGCACTGACACAGGGAGATAAGCTTGTCCTTGGGCAGGACGGCGCCCTCGGGGTCTTCGTCACTGTGGAGGGAGGGGGGACAGGTGAGCTGTGGCCTGGCCCAGGTGGGCTCACTCAGCCACGGGAGCGAGCAGAGAGCCGGGCTGCGGGACTTTTGCCCAACAGTGGGGCTGGGGTTTTGCTCCCCATCCCTGAGCCTCGATGGGTCCCCTCCCTCCATGTTGCTCCCGGCGCCTCCGTGTTTCCCCCTGTCCCTCACTGTCCACGCTGTCCCTCCCCTGCCAGTGGTCATACTGTCATACTGCGTCTCACTGCAGCTATGGGTTGGGGTCACTTCTACTTGGGATTGCATCATGGTCACCTCTAAAATCCTCCCTATTCAAACAGTCTGACCCTGCAAAGGGGCGGATGGCAATGTGAATTTCAAGTCAACTCTACCAAGTCTAAAAATTACAGGGATGGAGGCAGAGGGGTCTGAACCCTGATTCTTGGAGAGCTGAGGCTTTCGTTTGTGGGTTACCTGTGGACGTCAGCAGGGGGTTAAGTCTGGGGTGGCTGTGAACCCAGCCAGGGTGTGGCAGTCACCTGGCAGGAAGAGAGGTGGGGCCGTCGCTGGAGGAGGCCTTAGAGTTCCAGAAGGAGAGCCACAGCTTCTCGATGTAGTGGAACTGGAGGTTCATCACCACATCTACAGTTGCCTAGGAATGAAGGGACCGGTGAGACAGACGGGTGCGTGCGCCCATCACGTGCACTCAGCACACGTCAAGTGAGCAGCCGTGATCCGGGCTACAGCGGGGTGCCCTGGAATCCCAAGGGAGGCCACAGAGAGGAGAGGAGCAGGCGATGGACATGGATGCGGAGGGGCTGCTGCTTCAGAGAGGATGCTTGTTGGGGGGCTCGGGGCTCCAGCTCCTCAGCGTCACCCGGGGACGCCTGGCCTGAGCGCTGGCGGTTCCCGGGAGGGACACGCAGGAGCTGCCTGCCTGGGCTGGGGCGGTCACCTCGCAGTGCCGTCTGTACACCAGCTGCAGGGCCTTGACGTCGTGCAGTGTGACGCCGTCCTGCAGCAGGAAGCTGCCCAGGTCGGGCGCTGGGAACTCGGGGAAGACGTGGGAGACATCTGGGGGAGGAACACGGGAACATCAGAAATGGCGAGGCTCTTAGGACACCGTGGACAACTGGAAGGCCACGGTGGATGGGGGCCCAGAAACAGATGTTCTGCCCCACCCCATGCAGTCAGGGAATTTGTTTTTTCTTTCTTTTTCTTTTTCTTTTTTTTTTTTTTGGAGACAGGGCCTTGCTCTGTTGCCCAGGCTGGAGTGCAGTGGCACGATCTCGGTTCACTGCAACCTCCAGCTCCTGGGATCAAGCGATTCTTCTGCTTCAACCGCCCGAGTAACTGGGATTACAGGTGGGCGCCACGATGCCAGCTAATTTTTGCATTTTTTAGTAGAGACAGGATTTCGCCTTGTTTTGGCCAGGCTGGTCTCGAACTCCTGACCTCAGGTGATCTGCCCACCTCGGCCTCCCAGAATGCTGGGATTACAGGCGTGAGCCACCATGCCCGGCCATTTTTTTTTTTTTTTTTTTTGAGATGGAGTCTCGCTCTGTCACCCAGGCTGGAGTGCAGTGGCACGATCTTGGCTTACTGCAACCTCCTCCTCCTGGGTTCAAGTGATTCTCCTGTCTCAGCCTCTTGAGTATTTGGGATTACAGGCACGTGCCACCACGCCTGGCTAAGTTTGTATTTTTTTTGGTAGAGATGGGGTTTCGCCATGTTGGCCAAGTTGGTCTCAAACTCCCAACCTCAAGTGATCTGCCTGCCTTGGCTTCTCAAAGTGCTGGGATGGCAGGCGTGAGCCACCGTGCCCAGTACAGTCAGGGAATTTCTAAGCATCAGTTTTCTCAGGTAGAAAATGGAGAGGATATTGTCACCTCCCAGGAACATTAAATATGCAGACACAGAGAAAGCCCTGAGCCCAGGCCCTGGCACACAGCAAGTACCCACAGAGCCAGCTCAGGGCAGCACATCTCGGGGAGAAGGCCAGCCACGGTGTCCCTGCAGTGACCTCCTGGAGATGGGCCTGACCCCACCTCAATCTCTGCCGAAGACTCAACCCAGGAGGGTTCTGTTTGGGCTCAAAAAAGATCATAAACGACATGGAAGCCACTGAGTGTGTACAGAGCCCACCTGAATCATGACATGCCAGTGAGCCTTCCTTGGCCGCCCCCCACCCCCCTGCCCTCCCTCATGGCAGGCTCTGAGTTAGGGCCTTCCCGGGGCAGAGATGGCACCACCACTAAGCCAGCTGGGGAAGAACGCTGTCCCTTGAGCAGCCCCCAGGGAAGAGGCCAAGACTGCCTCATGTTGGGGAACCAGAAGCACCCCAAAAGCTCCAGGCAAGAAGGAAGAAAGCCCAGATAGCAGGCAAATCCTGGTGCACCCTGAGTAGAGAATATCTAGCGTTCTTTCTTTTTTTTTTTCTTTAATTTTAAAGGCAGAGTCTCGCTCTGTCACCCAGGTTGGAGAGTAGTGGCGTGATCATGGCTCACTGCAGCCTCGAACTTCTGGGCTCAAGTGATCCTCCTGCCTCAGCCTCCTGAGTAGGTGGGACCACAGGAGCTTGCTACTATGCCTGGCTAATTTTTTAAGTTTTTAGTATGTTGCCTAGGCTGGTCTTGAACTCCTGAGCTCAAGTGATCCTCCCGCCTTGGCCTCCCAAGGTGTTGGGATCACGGGCATGAGCCGCCTGTCCTCTAGTGTTCTTTCTGATGGTCATTTGATTTTATTTTCTCATTTTTCTGATGGTCATTTTATATATTAATTTTTTTGGCATGTGCTGATTATTCTAAAGTCTCAGGGATGTCAGAAAGAAGGTTTATCGAAAACTTTCTATTTGTCCGAAAAGGTGTCTCGTAAGAAAACTGTCGGAAGCAGACGCTTAGACACCACTGGTTCTGCTGGTGTTGAAACCCAGGAGTGTGGCGAGCAGATGGGAGCCCCGCCCCCGGGCCTGACCGGGCCTCTCACCTATGTACTGCTGGTGGTGCTGGCTCTGCACGGCCATGGTCTGTTCCGGAGTGCTGTGCAGGCCGCTGTGGGAGCCGCTGTCCCCGAGGCTGTCCGTCTTCTGGGCTGGCCGGTACCTAGGCCAGGAACACGCATACCATCATGAGGCCCAGCAGCCCTGCTGCGGGTGGGCCCAAAGACTGGGGGGCTGGGCAGGATTCAGTCAGGCATGTGTGTGTGATGTTTACAAGTTGCGGTCAAATACACATAACACAAAAGCTACCATCGGAACCATCTTGAGTGCACAGCTCAGCAGCATTAAGCACATTCACTGGTTGTGCAACCCTCACCGTCGTCATCTCCAGAACTTGATCATCTTCCCACACTGAAGCTCTGTCTCCATAAAACGCTCACTCCCCATCCCTGTCCCCAGCCCCTGGCACCCCTGATCTGACTTCCCGTCTCTGTGAATCTGACGACTCTAGGGACCTCCTAGGAGTGGGGTCACACAGGATTTGTCCTTTTGCAACTGGTCTCTCTCACTGAGCGTTATGTCCTCAAGGTCCACCGAGTTGTAGCCTGTGTTGGAATTTCCTCCTTTTTAAGGCTGAATAATATTCCATCATATGGATGAACCACAGTTTGTTAATGGACACTTGAGAAAATAGATATATATTTTCCCCCTAACATTTCTCTCTTAGAAAAAAAAGTGAAATTCTTGGCCGGGCGCAGGGGCTCACGCCTGTAATCCCAGTGCTTTGGGAGGCCGAGGCAGGTGGATCATCTGAGGTCGGGAGTTCGAGACCAGCCTGACCAACATGGAGTAACCCCGTCTCTACTAAAAATACAAAATTAGCTGGGCGTGGTGGCGCATGCCTTTAATCCCAGCGACTCAGGAGGCTGAGGCAGGAGAATCACTTGAACCTGGGAGGCAGAGGTTGCAGTGAGCCGAGTTCACGCCATTGCACTCCAGCCTGGGCGACAAAAGCGAAACTCGGTCTCAAAAAAAATAAATAAATTAATTAAAATAAAATAAAATAAAATAAAATAAAAGGGAGATTCTTTGCGTGAATCACAAACATCTTATTATTGGTGCAATCTTAGAAGTTCTGAGACTTTCATTTTGAGCCAGATGGTGGTGGCCAGCCTGTGCAGGCAGTGCTGAGAAACACTCAGCACTTTCCAGGCGCTGGACTCCTCAGGGCCCGGTGTGTGGTGTGGTGGGGGCAGGGAGGGAGCCGGCTTGAGCTGGAGCATCTCCAGCGGACCTCCCTCCTCAAATACGAAGCGGGGCCAGGCCTACAGGGAGGCGGGAGACCATGCTGGCGAGGTGTGTGTAAACCACCTGGCTCAGGGCAGGCCGTGGGCATCACACAGACACAGGCTCAGGCTGTGGCTTCCAAATGCAAATGGCATCAGCCTGTCCCCCTGAAATGTGTGTCGCTGCTCCTAAAATGACACACTGCCTGGAGCACAGGTTCACAGCTGTCTGCCAGGGGCCCAAATTGAACAACAGCAGTGAGCTCCAGAGTCCATGTCTGCAGACAACGAGGTACAGAAGGAATGCTCTGGAAACTCTCTCCTGGAACCTCCAACTCCTGGGAGTGGCTGTGTGGTCAGGAGTCAATGGGTTACGCAGAGCAGCTGGAATGGGTTTTTGAGCCACACACATACACGGGTGGCTCTGTGCAGAGGGTCCAGCACCAGGTGTAAAGGTGCCACGTGGGGCTATTGCAATGTGGCCCCTGCCCTCAGGGGGGGCACTTGTGGAGGCACACTGGGAGGCAGTGATATTTGAATGGGCCCTAAACCAGGGGCCAGCAAACTATGGCCTGAGGGCCAATTCTGCTGTTTGTTTTTATAAATAAAGTTTTACTGGCACACAGCCATGCCCATCATCCTCATGCTGTCTGTGGCTGCTTTCAGGATGTAGCCAAATTGAACAGTCATGACAGAGACTGTCTGGCCTGCAAGGCTAAGATATTTGCTCTCTGGCTCTTTACAGGAAAGGTTTGCTGGCTCCTGCCTTAGAAGATGAGAAAGTTTGTGATGGATGGAGAAGAGGATCTTCCAGAAAATAACCAGGGCTTTCCAGCCACTGGATCCAAAGGTGAAGAAGAAGTCGTGACTTGAGCACATCTGCTTCTTTCTCCTGGCTTCTTGGGTTATTTGCAGTGTCCTCTCTCTCTTTACTTCCTAAGCTTTAAAAATTAAAGGTCTGTGATTCCAACTATATGACACTGGGGAACGGGGAAACTGTGGGGATGGCAGAAGGATTAGAGGTTGCTGCAGACTGGGGTGGGGAGGGAAAGCTGGGTAGGCAGAACATGGAGGATGTGTAGGACTGTGAAAGGACTCTGCGTGACACTGTGATGGGGGACACATGTCATTATAGGTTTGTCCAAACTGTCGAATGTACAACACCAAGAGTGAGCCCTGATGTTGACTGTGGACTCTGGGGGGTGATGCTGGCTCCGCGGAGGGTCACGGGTCATGAGCAATGCACCGCTGTGTGGGGGAGGTGAATGGTGGGAGAGGCGGTGGGGAGCGGGGCTGGGGGTGTAGAACAACTCTCTGTACTTTCTACTCAATTTTGCTGTGAACCTAGAATGGCTCTAAAAAATGAAGTCTGTTAAAAACAGTTTTAAACGGTTTTAAAAAAAGTCTGAAAAGTTAGCTGGAGGAGGTTGCATCCCAGCCTCCTGTGTCTCCTGCTAGACTCACCTCAGTCTCAGCAGAGGGGGATACCTTGGCTTTCCCAGGATGCTGGAGACTGGGGAGTTATGATGAGTTTGTTTCGTGTTGGAGAAACACCCACCCCTCCATGCTCCAGGGGAGAGCCAGCTCCTCCCAGCTCGGCCCGGCACCCACCTGGGCTTCTGGTGCATGGGCTGCTGCCGCATGGCCATGTACTGCGTGTCCTCCTGCAGCCGGTTCAGTGGTGAGTCCGGCTTCAGACGAATCCCATAGTAATGGTACTTCGAGTTGCCCCTGGAAACCAAACATCCCAGGGTCAGCTCCCTTTGCAGATGTCCTGAACAACAAGACAGGTTGGGATTCTTTTTCTTTCTTTCTTCTTTTTTTTTTTTGAGACAGAATCTCATTCTGTCGCCCAGGCTGGAGTACAGCAGTGCCATCTCGGCTCACTGCAATCTCCGCCTCCCGGGTTTAAGAGATTCTCCTGCCTCAGCCTCCCAAGTAGCTGGGATGACAGGCGTGAGCCATAATGCCTAGCTTATTTTTGTATTTTTAGTGGAGACGGGGTTTTGCCATGTTGGCCAGGCTGGTCTCAAACTCCTGGGCTCAAGTGATCCTCCTGCCTTGGCCTCCCAAAGTGCTGGGATTACAGGCGTGAGCCACTGCGCCTGGCCTCTTCTCTCTTTTTTTTTTTTTTCAGAAACAGGGTCTCACTCTGTCACCCAGGCTGGAGTGCAGTTGTGCAATCACAGCTCACTATCAGGAGGTCACTACCAGGAGGTCACTATCACTTGACCTCCTGGGATCAAGTGATCCTCCTGCCTCAGCCTCTGAGTAGCTGGGACAGCTGGCGTGTGCCAACACACTCGGATGGTAGAAGTGATCCTCCTGCTGCAGCCTCTGAGTAGCTGACGTGTGCCACCACACTCGGATCTTGACCTTTCACTTTGGCCTCTCTGGTTCAGCATTTCCTGAACTGTGTGAGGAATGTGATCAAGGAATTCTGTACATAATGCCGTTGTCATAGAGAGTCCTCTCTCACAGGCTAGTATAATAAAGGCTCGGACAAGTCCTGTGCTGAGAACACCAGGTCAGCTTTGTTGAGCTCCACATGGCTTATCTCCATTATTATTACCATTATTATTAACAACTCTTCCCCACCCCCTTCAATCATCTAGTAACACGTTTTGGAATAAGGCACTGTTTGGGAACCATTACATTAGTTTATTACGGGAGAATGATGATCAGAGGGCTTTAAACAATTTAGTTCAGAAAACAGCTCACAGAGTCCTTACAGGAGGGAAGCATTAACCCACAGACATGGCTGTGGAGACACCCAGCTCACAGGATGCCATTTCTCCAGAGCTGGCAACAGGGACATGCAGGAAGCACCTGGGTCCTTTCTTTTTCTTTCTTTCTTTTTCTCTTATTATTATATTTTTGAGACAGTCTCACTCTGTTGCCCAGGCTGGAGTGCAGTAGTGCGATCTCGGCTCACTGCAACCTCCCTCTCTCCCAGGTTCAAGAAATTCTCCAGCCTCAGCCTCCCCGATTAGCTGGGATTACAGGTATGTGACACCATGCCTGGCTAATTTTTTTGTATTTTTAGTAGGGACGGGGATTCACCATGTTGGCCAGGCTGATTTTGAACTCCTGACCTCAAGTGATCCTCCTGCCTTGGCCTCCCAATGTGCTAGGATTACAGGCGTGAGCAACCATGCCCGGCCCTTCTTTTCCTTTTTAAATTTCATTGCAATAGCAGACAGCCTGGGCCCTTTCTAGATGAGGTACATGTTTAGCCAGGTGCTCGGAGGAGGGAAAACGGGGGGAAATCAGCCTTAATCCTGAAGCCAGCAGCTGGGATACTCTGCAGGGGAGGCCCCTCCAGGAGCAGGGGCTGTGTCCCCAGAGACCAGGCTTCCCTGTGGCTTCCTCCCGCTTCTGTCCCTCCTCTACGCATCCACATTCCCTAAGGACATTCCCTGTGAAGGATGAAAAAGTGTCAGAGAATAAGGGACTCTGGTCCTCGTGGATCCACCGCCACGCCGTTTATAGACAGCCAGGACACCGGCTTTGAGAGCACGTGAGTCAGCCCCAACCCCACAAAAGCAGATGCCAAGCCTCGCTGGCCACAGGATCACAGCCTCAGCAGGCAGCAGCCTACTGCACTCTCTGGGCCACCAGCTTTGGGTTGGAGGTGCTGCTGTTTCTTTCTGTTAGAGGAGAGTTGGCATAATTGCCTGTGATAAGTCTGTGGCCTGTGATGTCCCGGGGCTGCCATAGGCCAAGAGAAGGCGGGGTGGATTGGTCCAGGTACAGCAAAAGACACCAAGAGGCCGGGCACAGTGACTCACACCTGTAATCCCAGAACTTTGGGAGGCTGAGGCAGGCAGATCACTTGAGGCCAAGAGTTTGAGACCAGCCTGGCCACCATGTCGAAACCCTGTCTCTACTAAAAATATAAAAATTAGCCAGGCGTGCTGGTGGGGGCCCGTAAATCCCAGCTACTTGGGAGGCTGAGGCAGGAGAATTGGTTGAACCCAGGAGGTGGAGGCTGCAGTGAGCCGAGATGACGCCACTGCACTCCAGCCTGGGTGACAGAGCAAGGCTGTGTCTCAAAAACAAAACACTGAGAAATGGTAAATCCAGCTCTGCTGGATAAACCAGAGGCTACATTTTGTTTGTTTGTTTGTTTGACACAGGGTCTTGCTCTGTCACCCAGGCTGGAGTGCAGTGGTGCAATCGTGGCTCACCGCAGCCTCAACCTCCTGGGCTCAAGTGCTCCTCCCCTCTCAGTCTCCCAAATAGGTGAAATTACAGGTGTGCAAATACGTGTGCACCACTATGCCTGGCTAATTTTTAATTTTTTTGTAGAGATGAGGTCTTGCTATGTTGCCCAGGCTGGTCTTGAACTCCTAGTCTCAAGTGATCCTCTTGCCTCGGCCTCCCAAACTGTTGGGATTTCAGGTGTGCACCACCACACCTGGCCCAGAGGCTGCTCTAAAACAAAAAAAGAAAAGTATTGTTTGGGAAATTTCAAAAGGAGAGAGAAAACCAGAGTGATCCCCACGTCCTATCACCGGCTTCTAAAGCCGACACCGTGGGCTACACCTGGCCACAGCCAAGGCTGCCGCCAATTGAAAGTAACTGCAAGCACTCCAGAGGTGGCTGCGAATCAGGCCACCTGGAAAGGAGGAGGAAGCCTCGCATTTTCCCAAAAGCTCCATTTCTTGGGAAAGGAAGAGGAAGAACAGGTGGGCTGGGGATCGTCTACCCACCTGGTGCCCAGCCGCCGCGTTCTCAGCCCCATAAACACAGAACGGATCAGTTTCCCGAAGGAGGCGGCGTTCACTGGGTCTAGCTTGTGCTCCTGGCAGTGCCGAAGGTAGTGGTTGTAAAGAGAACTTCTGGGGAGACTCACACCTTCCGCTGTTTCATAATTATCCAACAGCCACTGGAGCTGTAAAAAGAAAGACACGTCTGCGTTTGTCAGAAGCCTGAGGAACGCTAACATGCCAACGTGGACTCATTAAGAGAATTACTTGCGTTCCCTGTGTTACCAAATGGGATGAGGAAATCCATCTTTTCTTTCTTTTTGAGGCGGAGTCTTGCTCTGTCACCCAGTCTGGAGTACAGTGGCGCAATCTCGGCTCACTGCAGCCTCTGTCTCCTGGGTTCAAGCAATTTTCCTCCCTCAGCCTCCCAGGTAGCTGGGATTACAGGTGTCCGACACCACATCTGGCTAGTTTTTGTATTTTTAGTAGAGACGGGGTTTCACCATGTTGCCCAGGCTGGTCTCAAACTACTGACCTCAGGTGATCCGCCTGCCTCAGCCTCCCAAAGTGCTGGGATTACAGGCGTGAGCCACCGTGCCTGGCCAGAAATCCATCTTTATGGTCACTGATTTGAGTTCTCTAAGCAGATTAATGAATCCCTCATTTTCTTTTGCTTATTGATTCTTTCATGTTTAGCCTGGTTTTCAGGTTCCTGGACTTAATTTGTAAACATCTGGGTGTGATCAGGAACTATTAGCTTCTGTCTTCAGTCCCTTAAATGAAATACCCACACACCACACAGGCTTTAACACCAAATCGCTCCCCAACATACAGGAATGGAGAGAAATTCTGTTGCTGAACAGGAAGATTGAAGAAGACTCGGGGGCCCCACAGCCCTGTGTTCTGTAGTGAGCAGTGAGCTAACATGTACTGAGATCCCTTATTGAGGGAGGTACAAATGGAAATTCAGTAAAATACACAAATGCTTATATGCACGGTTTTGTGTCTAAGTCAAAAGGCAGGACATAGCTACTTGGGAGGCTGAGGTGGGAGGATTGCTTGAGCCCAGGAGGTTGAGGCTGCAGTGAGCTAGGGTCGCGCCACACTGTACTCCAGCCTGGGCGACAGGGCAAGACTTCGTCTCTTTCAAAAAACGAAACAAAACAAAAAGATGGGCTAAATGAGTCCCGAGCCAAGGACTATGCCTCGAGAGGTGAACATCCAGTTAGAAGGGCTGCGAGAACTGTCCACACGAAGAGCTCAGTCCCCACACTGGGCATGGACGCAAAGGTGGCCTGCCCACCAACTGATGCCCTCACCCAGGTGCCTTAAAGACTGCGGCTTAATTCTGGTTTCCACCTCTCCCTCTGCTATCGTCTGTCCCCTGATCCAGAGAGGTCTGCTATGTGAATACAAAAGGCTTGCACTGATGCCTGCGATTTGCAGAAAGACAGGAATTCCACGCACAGAAGCGAGGCCCGAGTCCAGATCCCATGTCAAGAGCGTCGGGGGAAACCAGCTGTCTCTACCTGGTCCCCTTTGTGCGAGGCTGTCAGCTGCTTTGTCTAGGCTGAGCCCCGCTTCCAGAGCTCCGAAGGGCTCCTGCTGCCTGGGCCCTTCAGAGTGGGCAGTGCTGGGTCCTCAGCCCTCCCCCACCGGGCATGTTGGGCTCCTGCACAGCCCTTGGCCTGGGAAGCCCTTGTCCCTGTGCCCCGCACACCCCACAAGACACAAAGTAGGCGTGTCCCCTGGGAAATATCTGTCCACTCACCACAGCGTACCCATGGCACCCCCCCGCCCCACTGTCACGTTTGCCTGTCTGTTTGCCCCATCCCCACCCCCCCAACTCAGCATTAGAAGCTGGGGAGGAAGAAAGCATTCATCTCCCTTTAATTATTTATTTATTGAAATGGAGTCTCACTCTGTCACCCAGGCTGGAGGTGCAGTGGCGCAATCTTGGCACACTGCAACCTCCACTTCCAGGCTTCAAGTGATTCTTCTGCCTCAGCCTCCTGAGTAGCTGGCATTATAGGCATGCACCACCACATCTGGCTTATGTTTTTTGTATTTTTAGTAGAGATGGGATTTTGCCATGTTGGCCTCGAATTCCTGACCTCAGGTGATCCACCCGCCTTGGCCTCCCAAAGTGCTGGGATTACAGGCGTGAGCCACCGCGCCCGGCCTTCATCTCCTTTTTATGAAATAGTGCTATGGGGTGGTTCTGACGAGCCCTGCACCAGCGACCAGCACCTCAGAACCCCTTTTATCTCATCTAAGACCCACTCGATCCAGCCTGTCCTGGCCCCTCCAGCCCTAACAGGGGTTGACCCAGGGCCACAGTGGAGTGAGGACCTGCCCTGGGTTCTGGAACGTTTCACAGGAGGACAAACAGGTCAAAGGTTCAGGTGAAGGGGTGTGTGGGGCCTGAACGCGGAGGTCTCTTAAGCCGAATTGCAGGTGAGCTGCGGGGCTGAGTTCCATTTTAGGAAGGGGGAAGTTAAGTCTTGGGCTGGAGTTCAGGGTAGAGATTGGGACCAGATGTGTTACTTTGGAACCAAAGAGCTGAGGACAAAACCTCCAAGGGGTGGGAAGAGTCAGTCACCCAGCAGGGGCACTGCCCACGTGGGTGTTGAGGATGAAGAGGAGCAAAGCGTAAGCCTCGAAGTGTGGGTCCAACCTCACGTCCTGCCTCTGGGGCAAGCCAGGAGGGCTTCAGACCTCCTGACCACAAGCTCCCCTCCAGCTCTGCTCCTGCAGGTAAGTCCCGTGGCCAAACATCCCTCCTTACCAAAGGGACAGGAGTGGTTCCTGCCACAATCCCTGAGCTTGGATTCCGGTTCCCTGGCCGCCCCTGAATCACTCAAGTAGCCTATCACCTCCTCCTCAGCACCAGGGACCCCTCGCCCTCTTGCTACCACAAAGTCTGCCTCCTGCCGCCTGCAGGGCCCTGTGTGAAGTGCAGTGTCCCCCACCCCCCCGCCATGAGTGCAGGTGATCGTTAGCAGTTGCCATCGTTAGCAGGTGCCAATTTCATCCGTCCAGCATTGGGTGCCATGTGCTTGGCTGTGCCCATAACCACAGGGAGGGACCCCCGCCCTCTTGTCCTTTGAATAAGGGGCAGTTAAAACAAAGGACCCTGAGAAGGGCCCGGAGTGGAGACTTCATCTCTTCCTCACTTGCCTCTTTGGGAAAAGGGACATCAGAGTTTTCACTTTCCATCAAGTCATTCACACCCTTCATCTTCCGACTTTCTGGACTGGACTTTTTCCAATACAATGGAGGCAGTGTTGCTTTTTTCTCCTCCAAAGTCCGGCTCTGGCAGAGTGCTTGGACCCTTAAGAGCTTAAGAGCTCCGGAGTCTTCCCTGTATTTAATGCTATGAATACTATGAACCACAACCTTGATGTTGAAGTTAGTGTGTGAGTATGTGTGTGTGTGTGTGTGTGTGTGTGTGTGTGTATATACTTTTATATACTTTTTTTTTTTTTTAGAGACAGGGATATATATATATATATATATTTAGAGATAGGGTCTCATCCTGTCACCACCCCAGGCTGGAGCGCAGTGGTGCAATCATGGCTCATGCAGCCTCCAACTCCCGGGCTCAAGTGATCCTCCTGCCTCAGCTTCCAGAAGTGTTGGGATGACAGTCGGGAGCTGCAGTGTGGGCCCTGAAGCTTTTCTTCCCAGTGGCTTCACCGTCCGGATTTGTCATGTGTGCTGATTGATTTATCGCCTGTTCCCCGCAGACTATGCTCTCCCTGAGGGTGGAGACGGAGCCAGGTTTGCCCATGTGAGCATCTGCAGGATCCTGGAGATGTCTCAAGCCTGGCAGCAGAGAAAGACTGTCCAAGGAGGTAGATGGGGAGCAACAGAGGGTGTCTGGGTGAAGAAGCCAGAGGCTTCCCTTGGTCATTCTGAGGCTGGGGGCACAGGTGCCACTTCTTAGACTGTCCTCCACAGGCAGCAGGAGCCAAGGCCAGTGACACCACATCTCAAGGAGCCAAATGACGATGCGGATTTTCAGGCTAAAACTGTGAGGCCAGATTTTGCGGGCGGTGAGCTGGAAGGAGCACTGGACTAGGAGTCCTGAGAGGTTAGAGTATAAGACTCCATCCACCAGGAGGACATACTGGCTCACACATAAAAAGAAAGTTTTGGAACAGATGATCCTTCTGCTGTTTACCCCCGAACCCCCAGGCTATTTAAGAGTAGAATCCTTTGCTTGGGTAATTACGTTGACATTGACACTAAAAGGATGCATAGTTGTCTTGACAGCAAGTCCTTCTTGCTCAACATCAAGAAACCACAGAGAAGACTGAAGCGGCTGGAACAGTCGCGTCTATTTCCTCCCTCTTCTGTGTTGATGAACTTCTGGGAGGAGAATGGGGTTAGAACCGAAGTATGGCTTGCAGACTCTGTTCAGGGTCTACGCCTCACCAGCAGGCTGGGAGCCACTTATGCACCGGGCCTTCCCATCCCTCGGTGCTGGAGCCCACACCTGGCGGCACGTCAGACTGCGGCAAGCATCACAGGTCAGTTCCGTGAAACCGACCACGAGGGTCCAGCCGCTCCAACCACACTCGCCCACCTCCCCTGCTCTTGAGGGCTCGGGTACCTTCATGCCAGGAAAGGCAGCAGCTGGACGGAGTCACCTTTCTGGTTTGGGCATGTTCTGCAGTCTGCTTTGTCTGCTGATATTTGCATTCTTTCTGTGTCAATATCAAACACAAATAAGCAGAACGCTTTCCAAGGAAATGTACATGTGTACCCACATTTGCCACAATCTGTCAGGACAGCACACTTCTTGATGAAATGGATCAAATCATTCCTTTTAAGGAAAAAAAATCCCGAAATGCCAGCGCCTCCCTCTCCCCGGCCCCCCAACAAAGGCCTGTGGTTCTGGGCTCTTTGCAGGCACAGCCCCTGTGGACAGATATCCTCACCTGCCGGTGGGAAGGCAGGGATCATGCCCACCTACCTGGCCCCCTTTGTCTCCTAAGATACTTGTTTCTATTCCTGGGGGCAAATTTGCCTGACACTGGCTCCTGGTGGTGAGTTAGAGTCTCACCGGGCCATACACTAGCAGCTCGGGCAGCTATTCCAACCGTCCAGGTGTGCCCTGTGTTGACATAATCCGACTTGGAACATCCACCTTTTCACCCATTCCACAAATATTTACGAGAGCTGGCTCTATGCCAGGCCTTGTTTAGGTGCTGGGGATGCAACGGCGAATAAAAGACAAAAACCCCTGCCCCCTGGAAGCGTCCGTTCTTGTCTGGCAGAGACCCACAATAAATAAGTAAAATGAACCGAATGAGGGCTGATGCCGAGTGCCGTCAGAGAAATTCACCTGGGAAAGGGGATGGGGTCGCCGCCACGGAGGGACTGGAGGGAGGACTGCAACGGTATAGTAAGTTGAGGTGGGGTGGGGGTGTCAGGCAGGGCTCACTGAGAAAGTGCCCACTGAGTGAAGACTCAGAGGAGGTGAGGGGGAGCCTGGGGAAGAGAGCTTCAGGCAGAGGGCCCCACAGTGCAAAGGCCCTGGGGCAGGTCCGAGCCTGGTGCATTGGAGGAATAGCGAGGAGGCCCGTGTGGCTGGAGCACAGTGAGGAGTGGGAGAGAGCGGGTCCTGCAGGGCCTTGTGGGCCATTTTGACAACACTCGGTTCTACTTGGAGGGCCAAGGGGAGCCCTGGAGGCTTCCAAGCAGAGCAGTGTGGCGATCTGACCTGGGTTTTAGCAGGATCACTCTGGTGGCTGCTGTGAGAAGGGGCTGGAGGCTGGGTAGGGGTGGGTGCTGACGGCTGGCTAGGAGGTGGCCGAAAGAATCCACAGGGACAGTGGCGGCTCGGGAAGTAGTCGAAGTGGAGGAGGTGGGGGGTGCCACCTGGTTCTGGATCTTTCTTGAAGGTGAGGTTGAAGAGCATCTGGGGGTGGGCATGAGAGGAGCAAGGAGGCGAGGACGCAGTGGGGTTGGGGGCCGAGCGCCTGGAAGATTGGCTGCCCCTGCCTCAGATGGGACCGTGGGCGGGAGGCGCAGGGGTTGTGGGAGGCGCAGGGGTTGTTGAGGGTGGAGGCCACGCACTGAGCTAAGACACTAATCCGAGGCAGGCAGGAATTCCAAGGGAAAACAGCGGCACTTCTGGACAGAGGCCCCTTCTGAGGAGCTGCCGGCTCTAGCAACCCCACTGTGGCCTGCAGGACAGCACGGCCATCGTGCCAGGCTACACAGGTCACCAGCTGAAGGCTAAATGACCTTTGACAATGTGTGTTTCTTGATTTCAAAGCAAAAAGTCACATAACCCAAATACGACTCTTCCACACGCAGCTCTCTCCCGCAGGGTGTGCAAGTGATGTGTTTACTTTAGCAGACAGCGCCACCTCATGGTGACAGAGACTCGGTGAACCTGCTACGGGGTCCCGGTCGGCTGGTAGCCTGAGGGCAGCCCGGTGGCCCCCAGGGGCTGAGGCCGCCTCTTCTGCTCAAGTCGGTGGCCTGCCACACCCGGTCGGGTGAAGACATGTTTCATCCCCAGCCCCGGCTCCGTCCCCTTCCCTCTGGAAGAGCTAATCCCCATTTTCACGGCGCCATATCATGCCCTTTTCCAGTTTGGACACTGCTAGGGGGCCTCCTCCTCCCTGGGAGTTTCCACGCCAGGCTGACCATCAGCTGGCTGGAAGGTTCTTCCAATGTGCAGACCTCCAGGCCCTGCAGACCCCCTGGGTCCAAGCCCCTAGAGGGGAGGCCTGGGAAGCTCCTGTTGACCGGCTGGGTCTGGACAATGCTGTCTCGTTTTACCAGGCTCCCAGCACCTGAATACACCTTCCCTCCTGAGACAGCGCAGAGGAGGGAACCAGCTCCGCGGAACACGTGGCCAGCTCCGCTCAGAGATGTCTGTGAGGGGTTCCCTAGGTGGGTTTCCCACGTCTTCCACCTTCTGCCCTCAAATGCTAAGCTCCCTGGAGTGACTTTTCCTCCTTTTTTACTCCCTATGTTCGGCACTGACCTGGCCAGAACCCTGCACACGGTAGACGGTGGTCTGACGTCACCAGCTGGCAGCAAGGAAGAGGCGCACAGGCCCTGCTGCTGGGGCGACCTGCCTGGGGCTGTCTGAGAAGGGAGGTCTGGGAGGCCACTGGGAAAATGGGTCTCCAGGGCCCAGCTGCTCCCACACACTTGGCTTATCTGCCACAGGGTCAGGCTGGCAGGGGAGGTGGCACTGTGGCTGTGCCCCCGCCTGACCTGCAGAAGGCCGCTGCCCACCACGACCTCAGTCTCAGCCACAGGCAGCCCTGGGGACAATCGTTGCAAGGGCACGTCACCCCGTCCATCAGCAGATCACGTGCTTTAACTCCTCTCTTCCTCTCTGGCTCTCACATTTGCCAAAACAAGATCTAAGTTTATTCTGCCCGTGTGTGTGGTGAACTTTTTAGAAAGATCTTATTTTACTTCCTTTGCTTCGAGTCACCAAGCCCGGAATCTTACTGATCACAGCTCATGACAGAAGGAAACAACTCAACAGCGAATCATCAGTGAGTAAAAGAAACGAGAGATTTTACCTTCAGCTCGGGAATACGAATCTTCATCGGGGAAGCGACCTGAGAAAGTCTGCCTTTCGGATGAAGTGTTAGAAAGCAGGAAGGATCCCAGCAGCCAGAGACAAGCGGCTCATGCATTTTCCCATAGACATTTTTTCTTTTTTTTTTTTGAGATGGAGTCTCGCTCTGTCTCCCAGGCTGGAGTGCAGTGGCGCAATCTCAGCTCACTGCAACCTCCGTCTCCCAGGTTCAAGCGATTCTCCTGTCTCAGCCTCCAGAGTAGCTGGGACTACAGGCATGTGCCACCACGCCCGGCTAATATTTGTATTTTTGGTAGAGATGGGGTTTCGTCATGTTGGTCAGGCTGGTCTGGAACTCCTGACCTCAAGTGGTACACCCGCCTTGGTCTCCCAAACTGCTGGGATTACAGGCGTGAGCCACCGTGCCCAGCCCATTTTCCCATAGACATTTTAACTCTCCCGTGGACTTGCTGCCTGTCCAGGCTCTGCACCCCCATCCTGCCTGGGTCACGCAGCCCTCTCGCCCAGGGCTGATACCCTGGACCCGCATGGGTTTGCGTTCAGGCTGAAGATGGCCTGATCCTTGCTGAATGGGGAATGGTATTCTGCACATTTTCCCATGTATGTGCTCTGAGTTTAAGACTGGGGGCTGGGGAGATCCTCTCTCCAAGCACGTGTGGAAGACTCCCTTCTCCCTGAGTTCATCTACAGGGAGGATGTCATCCAGCAGTGACAGATGACAGGATGACCATGTCCTACCCAGCCTGGAGAGGGGCGGGGCACTGAGCAGGGGTCTGGCATGGTGTTTGTTTTGTTTTGTCTTTTTTGCTTCAAGACAATCGGCAGAAGGAAATATTTCTGCCATTTCTTCTAGTGACCAGCCCCCTGAGGCAAAGGGCAGAGGCCTCGTCAGGGGCTGCGGTGAGCAGGTGACCACACCTGTACCTAACCCATAACCCAGGTTTCTGGACCTGTCCTACATCACTTTCTGCCCCCAGAATCACTCACTGCCTTTTGATAACGCCTCATTTTACACATCGGCCAGCACAGAAGTCAGGATGGAATCACAGTGAGGACGGGAGTGAGGACGGGATCACGGTGAGGACGGGAGTGAGGACGGGATCACGGTGAGGACGGGAGTGAGGACGGGATCACGGTGAGGACGGGAGTGAGGACGGGATCACGGTGAGGACGGGAGTGAGGACGGGATCACGGTGAGGACGGGAGTGAGGACGGGATCACGGTGAGGACGGGAGTCAGGACGGGATCACGGTGAGGACGGGAGTCAGGACGGGATCACGGTGAGGACGGGAGTCAGGACGGGATCACGGTGATGACTGGGGTCCACTGAAGGGGACTTCTTCTCTGATGTCTGAATTCTCAAGAGAATGTCAGAGCCCAGTTTAAGTGCTAGAGAGCAACTACTAGAAGGACATTCTGACTTCGATGGCCCGTCCCAGTGTTAAGATGCCGAACACATTTCCAGCTATGTGCAAAACCGAATCAAGAGCGTTTGGGGAGAAGTGAAAGCGATGAGTCTGAGGGGGCCAGAGCTTTCCTTCTCTGTTGTCCCTGGAAATAAAGACGGAGCCTGCCACGTCCCCCAGTCCCATCCTGCTACAGGGCTGTGCAGAGCTGAGATGCCCCCAACCTCCTGTCATGGGGACTGTGATCACGGTCTTCTCCCAAGAGACAAGGGGAGGAGAAAAATCCTAGACGCTAAAATCTGTATGAATTAGCTGCTTTATGCTTTTCTCAAATTACTGTTTCTTTCCAAGAGAGGATCCCAAGAAAATTAGCTAAGAGTCTAAGGCATTCCCGATCCTATGTCATTTTCTCTCTTTTTTGTTGCTGTTGCTGATTTTTGTATTGTTTTTATTTTTCATATATAACTATACTGCTTATCACCTGCCAGGTATTGTTGAAAGTATTTTACGTACATTAAATAATTTACTCCCTATGACAACCCGAGGAGGTAGGTGTTGTTATTATCTACCTTTTACAAATAAAGAATCTGTCTTGATTTCTCCTTCATTGCTGAAGGGTATTTTTTGCTGGATGTAGGATTCTAGATTGGCTTCCCCTCAACCACCTTTCACAAATGACACTTTAAAGGTGTCATTTTATTGTCTTCTTCTTTTTTTTTTTTTTTTTTTGAGATGGAGTCTCACTCTGTTGCCCAGGCTGGACTGCAGTGGCGTGATCTCGGCTCACTGCAACCTCTGCCTCCCGGGTTCAAGCGATTCTCCTGCCTCAGCCTCCCAAGTAGCTGGGATTACAGGCGCCCACCACCATGCCCAGCTAATTTTTCTATTTTAATAGAGACGGGGTTTCACCATGTTGGCCAGGCTGGTCTCAAACTCCTGACTTCAAGTGATCCACCCGCCTTGGCCTCCCAAAGTGCTGGGATTACAGGTGTGAGCCACCGCACCTGGTTGCCTTCATTTGTCTTAAAAATGTCTATGCAGGTTACAAGCAGAGCAGGGACAGGTTGCCAGGTCAGACGCACACTTACATGGCTGTTGAGTAAACCGCTTTTGTGTGATGTGATTCCTTCGCTTTTTTGGAGGTTTTCAATCGCCATTTCAAGCTAAAGAAAATGTGTGCAGAAACAAAACAAAACAAAATGGAAAAAAAAAAAAAGGAAATCAGATGGTTAGCATCAGCCAAGATTTGTTTTTATTAATATCCAAATAATGATTCGAGCTCCTACAAAATAAAAATGAGGCTCCACGCAGGCAGGGCGGGGGTGAGTTAAATTGTGCATGAAAGCTGCGGTAGGGAGTGTTGCTTCGCACACGTAGGTAAGCCCGAGAGCCCGTCCAACAGAAGCAGCAGAAATCATGTTGTAAAAACTTGCTACTGAACTTTAACCTGGCATATGTGTGTGCACGCCGTAGCATTAATATGCAGCCACTGCATCCATTCCAGTGTCAGCCAAGCCAGCATCATAGTCACCTGCTCCTTTCCCCACGCCACATCGATGGGGAACCAGAATGAAAGCAAGGAGAGATGGCAGCCTTGACTCCCCAGCCAGGCTGTCCTGTCGCAAATCCCAGGGTCTCCCCGCTGCTGGAGGCTTTGGGAAAATAGCAGCGAGGCCAAAGACTCAGACCCTGCCACCAGGAGGCCGTAGGATCCAGGGCCACTGGACACTGTCTGGCGAATGTTTACCCAGTGGGAGCTGTGCGAAGAAGATTTTTGGAAAAGAGAAAAGAGTTTTGGAAGAAAGAGTTGGGCAGCTAACAGCAGAACTTCCTGGAGGAAGGGGCTTTTGAGTTGGATCCTGAAGGACCTGATGGAGGTGGGGAGGGAGGTGGGCGGCAGGTCCACGCGATGGAGGAGGCACACAGCTGTGCGTGGCCACTAAGGCATTCGCACGCATTTGGTTTGTCCTAGACTCGCACACGGAAAACAGCGACGTAAAATCTGCTGCAGCCCACCCTGACGACCAGAGGACTGAAGCGGGAGGAGATGAACTTGAAGTATATGCTTCCTTTCTTAAGGAGGCCAAAGACTTGACACTTCTGCAAAGAGCAGGTTGAGTGTGTATTTCAGAGAGCAGGCGAGCGGAGCTGAGTTCAAGAATGAGAGGGTAACTGCTTCTCCCACGGCCTCCGACCACGGTGGTTCTGCCTTCTCTCATTAGCTACCCTTGCTTCAAGCCAAGGAGGACGTCAGGGTCACCTTTAAGAAGTGCAGAAGGTACACTGGAGGACCAGGGGAAAGTAGGATGGTGAGACCTCTCCCACCCATCAGCCTCAGGGTGCAGGCGATGAGAAGGCAATCGCCACCTCTATGATAGAAAAAACACACATGCCACCCCCATGTCTTGGGGCCATTCTGATCTGCAGCTTGGGCAGCCACGTGAGTACTGCCCTGTGGCACCTTCCCTGTGGGACATCGCTCACCTATGGGTGCCGGGAGAGCAGAGTGCATGACCTCTGGAAGTCTGCCCTAATCTCAGGGGGCCTTGTCCAGTGCCCAGCAGACTGGGAAGGAGAAGAAAACACTGTCTCTCCAACATAGTGGGTCTCAATCATTTGGTCTATTAAAAAATACACTATTACAAAATTTTGAGATTTCACCACCCACCCCTGAAAAAGAGCTTTATTTACTTATCTTTTTCTTGAGCCAGAGTCTTACTCTGTTTCCCAGGCTGGAGTGCAGTGATGTGATCTCGGCTCAGGGCCACCTCTGCCTCCTAGGCTCAAGTGATTCTCATGCCTCAGCCTCCTGAGTAGCTGGGATTATAGGCATGTGCCACCACACCCAGCTAATTTTTGTATTTTTTAGCAGAGACGGGATTTCTCTACGTTGGCCAAGCTGGTCTTGAACTCCTGGCCTCAAGTGATCCGCCCACCTCGGCCTCCCAAAGTTCTGGGATTACAGGCATAAGCTACCACACCCTGCCTGCTTTTGTTTTTAAAAGTTAAATGTATTATTTCCCTTATTAGAAATCAAAATAGATAATTTTTAAAAAGATGTATTAATTCATTAAAAAATAATAAACCCATTATAGGTTAACACTTGAAGAATAGGTACACTTTCCAAATTAAAAAAAAAAACAACAAAACCAAAAGAAGAGTGGAATGATTCCGCATCTTCACAAATCTGTAGAGTGCGTGACTTACAGAAGACAACTCTACACATCTACTTCTGTATCTCCATCTGTTATTGTATACTGTTTTAGTTGAAGTACATTGAAAAAACTTGGCCTCACACAGATATATAGTTGGAAAAGGAGCACTGTTTTAATAGCCTTTTCAGATAACTGGGGATATTTTTACTTGATACTATAGCAACACTTGACAGCTGGTAATTTCTTAAAGGTTAGCTGCAATGTGGAATCTGAAACCATATCAACGAGCTTTTCATCCTCAGTTACATTAAAATCCATTAATCTTGAGCTGACATCCATGACAATGGCAGAGTAAGGAACTCTAGAACCCATCCCTTCACAAAAGCAGTCAAAAAATGGGCAAAAATTGTCAGAATCGACTTTATCAGAACTCTGGAAATGAATTAAAAGATTATGGCAAACAGGTGAACCCTTAATTAAAAAAAAAAAAGATGAAACTTGGCATTTAAGGAAATTTTCGTCAGATCACTAGCTGACCACTAAGGTAACTGAATAGAGATTTTGGCCGGGCACGGTGGCTCACGCCTATAATCCCAGCACTTCGGGAGGCTGAGGCATGTGGATTGCTTGAGGCCAGGAGTTCAAGACCAGCCTGGCTAACATGGTGAAACCCTGTCTCTACTAAAAATACCAAAAAAAATTAGGTGGGTGTGGTGGCACATGCCTGTAATCCCAGCTTCTGGGGAGGCTGAGGCAGAAGGATCGCTTGAATCCGGGAAGCAGAGATTGCAGTGAGCCAAGATCACACCATTGCACTCCAGCCTGGCCAACAGAGTGAGACTGTCTCAAAAAAAAAAAAAAATGCAGATTTTACAAAATTAGTTCAGAAAGGTCATGAAACAAACGATCAACAACACCTATAAGCAGCAACAGCAAACCCTGGGGAGAACAGAAGAATCCAATATTCAGCGTCACCATGTTAAACTATTCAAAATATCCAGTTTTCCACAAAAATTATGAGGCACGCAAAAAAAAAAAAAGAAAGTATGGCCCATATGTAGAAATAAATAAATAGGACTATCTCTGAGAAAATCGAGCCACTGGACTTATGAAACAAAGAGTTTAAATCAACTATATAAAATATACTTAAAGAGCTAAAGGAAATCATGTACAAAGCACTATAAAAAACCATGACAGGCTGGGTGTGGTGGCTCACACCTGTAATCCCAGCACTTTGGGAGGGTGAGTTGGGTGGATCACTTAAAGTCAGGAGTTCAGGGACCAGCCTGGCCAACATGGTGAAACCCTGTCTCTACTAAAAATACAAAAATTAGCTAGGCGTGGTGGTGGGCGTCTGTAATTCCAGCTACTTGAAAGGCTGAGGCCTGAGAACTGTTGAGCCTGGGAGGCGGGGTTTGTAGTGAACTGAGATCACGCCACTGCACTCCAACCTGGGTGACAGAGTGAGATTCCATATCAAAACAAAAACAAAACAAAACAACAAAAAAACACATGAGAGTGATGTTTCACCAGTAGAATATCAATAAGGAGACAGAAATTGTAAAAAGGAACCAAATAAAATTTCTGGAGTTGAAAGTATAATAGCTGGAATGAAAACTTCACTAGGGGAGGTTCAACAGCAGATTTGAGCAGGCAGAAGAAAGAATCAGGGAACTTGAAGATGGGTCAATTGAGATTACCCAGTCTGAGGAGCGGAAAGAAAAAAGAATGAAGAAAAATGAGCTGAGCCTAAGAAACTTGTGGGACACCACCAAGCTTACCAACAAACACACAATAGGAGTCCCAGAAAGAGAGGAGAGGGAGAAAGTGGTAAAGTCTATTTGAATAAGTAATGGCTGAAAACTTCCCAAATTTGATGAAAGGCATGAATCTATACACTCTAAACTAAATCTATACACTCAACAAACTTTAAGTGGCATAAACTCAAAGAAATCCACACCAAAGACACATTATAATCAAACTGTTGAAAGGCAAAGACAAAGAGAGAATCCTAGAAGCAGTAGGAGAGAAGTGGCGTCACAAACAAAGAATCCAGAATATGAGTAATGGCTGATTTCTCAACAGAAACCATGGAGGCCAGAGGGCAGTGAAACGACTTAATCAAAGTGCCAGAAAGCGGAAAAACCCACATGTCAATGAGCAGATGAATGGATAAACAAAATGTGGTCCATCCATACAATGGAATAATTTAGCCACACACAAAAAAATAAGGTTCTGACACAGGCTACAACATGGATGAGCCTCATGCAAAAGACTATATATTATATAATTCCTTTTACATAAAATATGTAGAATTGGCAAATCCCTAGAGACAGAAAGCAGATTAGTGGCTGTCAGGAGATGGAAGAAGGGACAATGGAGAGTGGCTGCTAGTGGGGATGGGGTTTCCTTTCAGGGTGATGACGATATTCTGGAACTAGATAATGGTGATTGTACCACACTGTGAATGTATTAAATGCCACTGAACTGTCCACTGCAAAATGGTGAATTTTATGTTACATACATTCTATCTCAATAAAAAATATACATATAACTAATTTCAAAAAGTAATTTTAGTCTCCCTTGCAACTTGAATGAGTATTTTACTAATGGGTATGGTTTTGTAACATCATATACTGGTCACTTGAAAAACATGAGTTTACTGAGTTTGCAGATCTTCCAGACATTGCCACATTTCATTACATAGTGTCAAGAAATCACATTCATTAATATCACCACCAACCTCATCAGAAAAGTCACTAACTTTGAGAAGTTGTCAGGTTCCTGGTTGGCAGACACAACTCCAAAATTTTCATTTCTTTGTTTAAAAACTTGAATTTTATCATTGGCCACAAAAACCTGCCAGCTGTTTTTCTTAATATGTCAGGCTTTGTTCATTTTTGGAAACATGTCTGCCAAATACCTGAGTCCGAATAATCATAGTTTGTCATTCTTTCAAGCAGAAATGGAGTTTTAGGAAAACCATGGCTAGTTCTGCCCACACGTCAATCAAGCACACACAGGCTTTTCTTGGAGGTGGTCATTGTACTCTGGTGGACTTCCCATCTCATCACACACAATAGTAAAGAGATGTGTGCTCAAGAGTTGAAATTTAATAAAATTAATAATTTTTACTGCTTCATCAAGGACATTCTTAAATGAAACTAGTATTTCCTTTCTTTCTTCTCCTTCCCTTTTTTTTTTTTTTTTTTTTTTTTGAGATCGAGTCTCACTCTGTTGCCCAGGCTGGAGTGCAGTGTTGCGATCTTGGCTCACTGCAACCTTCACCACCCAGGTTCAAGCAATTCTCCTGCCTCAGCCTCCCGAGCAGCTGGGATTACAGGTGCCCGCCACCATGCTCAGCTCATTTTTGTATTTTTAGTCGAGGTGGGGTTTCACCATGTTGGCCAGGCTGGTCTTGAACTCCTGACCTCAAGTGATCCACCCGCCTTGGCCTCCCAAAGCGCTGGGGTTGCAGGTGTGAGCCACTGCACCCAGCCTCTTTCTCTCCTCTCTTAAAAACATCTTTTAGAATGTGAGCATGTGGTGATGAAAAATACAGTGACTTCTAGGACAGTTTGATGCCTCTGCATTCTTTTTTAAAAAAGAGGTGGGGTCTCTCTCTGCTGCCCAGGCTGGAGTGCAGTGGCATGATCATAGCTCATTCTGGAGCTAGAAGTGGCCATGGTGTAGGGAGGGAGAGGAGGTCATTCCCCAAAAACCCAAATATGGAGACACGAGACAGAGAGGGCCACTCCCAAACCTGCTGTAGTTAATTCACCCTCTGTTCTAAAACAGAACTTAGACATGTTACCATAGAAGGAGCCAATTCAAGTTAAAATGCTAACAACCCTTTGGGGTCTTTATAGAGAATGCAGATTGTTTTTATTTTATTATTATTATTATTTTTTGAGATGGAGTCTTGCTTTGTCGCCATACTGCAGTGCAGTGGCGCGATCTCGGCTCACTGCAACCTCTGCCTCCCAGGTTCAAGCGATTCCCCTGCCTCAGCCTCCTGGGTAGCTGAGACTACAGGTGCGTGCCACCCCGTCCAGCTAATTTTTTTGTTGTTGTTGTATTTTAGTAGAGACAGGGTTTCACCATGTTGGCCAGGATGGTCTCGATCTCCTGACCTTGTGATCCACCTGCCTTTGCCTCCCAAAGTGCTGGGATTACAGGCGTGAGCTACTGCGCCTGGCCCAAGAATGCAGATTGTTTTTAAAAGGGAAAAGCAGAATGACTGGAATTTTGAAGGCAGAGTGGTAAATCATAGAATTAGGCCTGGAGAAGGGAAAAGCCCAACGCTGTGGTCCAGGCAGAGGAGGCCAGCAGGGCTGAGAGGCTGGGGGAGGGAGATGGGGCATTTTAATCCCTTTGTCTGTTCCTCCCAACTCCCACTTGGCAGGGGGAGCCCCCACCAATATCTCTGTGCACGTCCTTTGTGGGGCATGAGATCACATTCACACTTGCTTTAATTATTTTCCCTCAGTCTCTATTTAGTTCTGCAACTTGTGTTTGTTACTTAATATTTTGTGGCTATCTTTCTGAACCAATTCTGTTGTTTGTTTCTTTGTTTTGAGACAGGGTCTCCTTCTGTCACCCAGGCTGGAGTGCAGTGGCACGATCACAGCTCACTACAGCCTTGACCTCCTGGGCTCAGGCCATCCTCCCACCTCAGTCTCCCAAGTAGCTGAACATACAGGCATGTGCCACCACAACCAGGGAATTTTTGTATTTTTTGTAGAGATGGGGTTTCGCAATGTTGCCCAGGCTTGTCTTGAACTCCTGGGCTGAAGCAGTCCCACTTGCTTCCACCTCCCAAAGTGCTGGGATGACCAGTGTGAGCCACCGCGCCCAGCAGGACCGATTCTTAGAGCCACTGGGATGACAGGCATCAGCCACCACACTCAGCAGGACCGATTCTTACAGAGCCACTGCGCACTCTTAACTTCAACACTCTTAACTAATCCACGGACGTTATAGAATATGATCCATTTTCTCACTAATGTCCTTCCTCTGGACCAGGACCCAATCTGGGATCACATACTGTGATCATTTTGCATACGGTGCCATGAAAGAAAACAGGAAAATAAGAAATGGGTCAACACTCAAGAGATCCATCAGTAGCTAATCGATTATTAGATCAATGATCAATTTGTCCCTGGTTGTCTTAACAGCTTGTCAAGTGAGGTTATGTCACTTCAGACAAAGAAGGATGACTTGTCTGGTAAATCAATTGAAATGCTTCAGAATAAGTGAAAAATAGTGCTTTTTGTATGACAGTCTTTAATCTTGTCACTACAGGCAAATCTGAGACTAAATCTTCAAACATATCTTTCAAAGGGTTACTTGTAAGTGTGAACCTGGGTACTTTTCCCACCTTTGCAAAAAAAAAAAAAAAAAAAAACCCTATAAAACCAGCTTTGAAAGTGAAGATAGGATCACACACTTGCCAGAACCCATGGAACGCATACCACCAAGAGTGAACCCTAATGTGAACGGGACTGTAGTCAACAATAATGTATCAATATTGGATCATCAGCTGCAACAAATGTAACAAACAAACAACTTCAAACTGCACCACAAAGGGAACTCTATGAAGTTTTAAAAAAAAGTGGTGATAAATATCATAGTGAGAGAAAAAGCAGATGTGCCATTGGTGACATTCCTTTATCAAACAGTATCTTGAGTGTGGGAATGTCAAAGGCAGGCAGTGGGAAGAGCGATTATCATCATGTGTGTTGGCTGGCAAATAATTCGCTCTGATCATTGGACAAAAGCTCTGCTATGCAGGGGCTGAGCAGGCTTCTGGCAGATGGTAGGAGTACCCAAGTGATTTATTTTTATTTATTTATTTAGAGACAGAGTCTTGCTCTGTCACCCAGGCTGGAGTGCAGTGGCACCATCACGGCTCACTGCAGCCTCAACCTCCCCCAGCTCAGGTGATCCTCCCACCTCAGCCTCCTTAGTAGCTGGGACTACAGACACACACTGCTAATTTTTTTTTTTTTTTTTTTTGAGACGGAGTCTCATTCTGTTACCAGGCTGGAGTGCAGTGGCACAATCTTGGCTCACTGCAACCTCCGCCTCCCGGGTTCAAGTGATTCTGCTGCCTCAGCCTCCCGATGAGCTGGGACTACAGGTGCGCACCACCACACCTAGCTAATTTTTGCATTTTTAGTAGAGACGGGGTTTCACCATGTTGGCCAGGATTGTCTCCATCTCTTGACCTTGTGATCCACCCGCCTCAGCCTCCCAAAGTGCTGGGATTACAGGCATGAGCCACCATACCAGCCCAATTTTTAAGTTTTTTGTAGAGATGGGGTCTCACTATGTTGCCTAAGCTGGTCTTGAACTCCCGGGCTCAGGTGATCCTCCCACCTTAGCTTCCCAAAGTGCTAGTATTACAGGCATGAGCCACTGTGCCCAGGTGACTTTTCATTCTACATCTTCACTGAAGAGCCAGGCTACAGAAGAAGAGATGTGTGTGACTCCTGATTCTGTCATGAGCTGTGCCACTGCGTGGAGGTGCCATGGGCCTCTGCGAGCCACCTCCATGGACCACCAGGAAGGGGTGCTCTCTGAACCTTTTCTAGTTCTGAGGGCTGCCTGACTGGAGAGTTGTTCTTTGCTCAGATAGACTCTTGTTTAATTTACCGAAAATTTCTCTTTTAATGGTATTATGTATCGGGTATCATAAGACACCCTTCTTGGGCAAAAAGAAAGCTGTCAAAGGCAGAATATTTAGCTTGTTAAACTAATAAAGTACAGTAGGACATTTTAACTTCAGCTGCAATTAAAATCCATTAGACTTTTTTGATCTTCTGCTGTATTAGTCAGATTTAAACTAATAAAATGAGAAAAGATGCATTAAAGTATGAGAAAAATTTTAAAAAAGATAAAAAAGATAAAGACTTTTTGTCTTCGTCAGGGCCCACCGTGTGACCCTCAGAGGCTGTGTGTTTTCACAGCATGGCCTCATGTGGCCTCTGGGTCTTGCAGGAGGAAGGGCCCACTGAGGGCTGCTCCCAGGGTGGAGGGGTCTCTTTCTTGTTCCCCCTTGAGTGACCTTCAGCCTCCCCTGGACACAACCCAAACAGTAAAAAAGGAGGTTCCACTTGGGCAGAAAGGACAAGAATAAAACTCCCACTTTAGTTTCCCTGCTCCACGCAGTGAAAAAAAGCACAATAGAAAACGTGTGTATCAAAAACTCACCATTTGGGCAACTAATTTTTAAGATTTATAATATGGATGACATTTTAACCAGAAATAAATACTCGAGAAAATTGGTCACCAAGAGTCTGGAATCACTCGTCGAGGCTACCAGTGAGGACTTGCTTCAGTGTTTGTGCTCTGTCTTTAGGACTAAGCGAAAGTCCCGAGAAACAAAACTCTGACATGAACGAACTGGTAGACATCCAATGTTGGGTCCAGCAGCTGTATTTCTGTTGCAATTTCAGGGCCATGGTTGTTCTTGGCTCTTGGAAAGTCTCGAATTTCTGTGGCATCCTTGTTGGATGTTCTTATGCCAACAACAAGCCAATAAACAACAGCAGAGCAGTCAGAAGCCAGGAATCAGATTCGTATCCAAGATGATGACTCCCCCAGAGCTTGGTGGGGGGTGTGTGTGTGTGTGTGTGTGTGTGTGTGTGTGTGTGTGAAAACATAGCCTATTCACGGATTTCTAATTGATTTAATAATTTAGTTCTTCCAGAGCAACCCACATAACAAACCACAGCTCCAGGGTGGTGGCCCAGGGTCTGAGCAGTATGTTTGCTGCAATGAGGTAATTCTGAATCCACAGAGAACATGATTGTTTCTCAGTAAATTTGTGACTTGCAATCCTAGTCTATTTTACTGTTATAAGTTGATGCCGTTTGCTAAGTCAAATGTGCCACATTCGTGACAATTACTGTAGTCTGCGAGGAAAGCTTTCTGTTCCATAACAACTAAACCTAGTTCCACCCAGCCAATCCCAGGCGGGAGAAGTATGTCTGGTCTGCTGGGGCTGCCTGGCCTGGGGTGCTAATGGCACCGAGGCACTAAGTGGCTAGGGGTAGAAGCAGCAGACACTACCCTACAATTTCACAGCCTCTAGAAAGCAAGTGACTCCTCCCGAGAAGAGAGGGAGGAGGCATGGGGCACTACGCCTGTCCTCAAAGCCAGGGCCTGGGGGTCACTCTGGACAAAGGAAGAGAGAGGACAGCAAGATTCATGGGGCCTCTCTGATGCCAGGGTGACCCCAGAACACACCAGAACCAAAAACAAACAAACAAAAACACAGAGACAAGGCTAAACCACCACCTTCTATCTCAGGAGATGAGCCTTACACCAAAATAAGAAGTTATTGTGTAATTGAAAGTCAATCAATGCAATTCATTATATTAACACCCCAATGAAGACAAAAATATGCTGATGCTTACATATGTAAAAAAACGTTTGACAGAATTCAACATCTATTTATCATAGAGACTTCCAGAAAACTAGAAAAAGAAGGGAACTTCCTCAACCTGAAAAAGGGCATCTGTGAAAAACCCACAGCTAACATCACATACTTAGCAGTGACAGACTGACGGCTTTTCCCTTAAGACTGGGAAAAAGGCAAGGATGTCCATTCTTGCCACCCCTGTTCAACATTTCACTGCAAGTGCTAGCCAGTGCAAAAAGGCAAGAAAAAGAAATGAAATTTCTTTTTGTCCATATTGGAAAGAAAGAAATAAAGCAGTTATATTTGCAGGCAACAAGAAGCTCCTAGAACCAAAAAATGAGTTCAGGCTGGGAAGGGTGGCTCACACCTGTAATCCCAGCACTTTGGGAGGCCGAGGCAGGCAGATCACGAGGTCAGGAGATGGAGACCATCCTGGTTAACATGGTGAAACTCCGTCTCTACTAAAAATACAAAAAATTAGCCGGGAGTGGTGGCAGACACCTGTAGTCCCAGCTACTCGGGAGGCTGAGGCAGGAGAATGATGTGAACCTGGGAGGCGGAGCTTGCAGTGAGCCCAGATTGCGCCACTGCACTCCAGCCTGGGCGACAGAGAGAGACTCTGTCTCAAAAAGAAAAAAAAAAAAAAAAGTGAGTTCAGCAAGATTACAGGATACAAGATAAAGAGCCAAAAATCAACCATTTTTTAAATCCTAGAAATGAACAGTTGGAAACAGAAATTTAAAGATCAATGCCAAGAAAACCCACAATGCCATTTACAATAGCTCTCCAAACATGAAATACTTTGATATAAATCTAACAAAACATGTACAGAATTTTGTATAAGTTACAAAATGCTGATGAAAGAAGATCTAAACAAATGGAGAAAACGTACCATGTTCATGGATTGGAAGCCTTAACATAGTAAAGATGGGAATTCTCCCCAAGTTGGTTCAGTGCAAATTAGTCAAAATCTCAGTAGCATTTCTTTGTAGATATAGATAAATTGATCTAAACTTATACAGAAACTTTGAGTTTATATAAATAGTCAACGCAATACTGAAGAATAAAGTGGGAGGAACCATCCTCTTCAATTTTAGACTTACTATAAAGCTATAGTAATTAAGACTATGCTACTTGTAAAGGGATAGGCAGACAGACCAATGGGATGGAATAGGACACTCTGAAATAAACCCACACACATATGGCCAACTGATTTTTGACAAAGGTGTTAAAGCAATCCAATGGAGAAAGGGTAGTCTTTTTAACAAATGAGGCTAGAACAACACATTGTTTCATAAGCAAAAAAAAATGAACCTCAACTTAAACCTTACATTATACAAATGTTAACTTGATAGGAAGCAGATCTAAATGTAAAATGTAAAACTATGGTCAGGCGCGGTGGCTCACGCCTGTAATCCCAGCACTTTGGGAGGCCGAGGTGAGCAGATCACTTGAGGTCAGGCATTCGAGACCAGCCTGGCCAACATGGTAAAACCCTGTCTGTACTGAAAACACAAAAACTAGCCGGGTGTGGTGGTACACACCTGTAATTCCAGCTACTCGGGAGGCTGAGGCAGGAGAATCGCTTGAACCCGGGAGGTGGAGGTTGCAGTGAGCCAAGATGGTGCCACTGCACTCCAGCCTGAGTCACAGAGCAAGACTCCGTCTCAGAAAAAAAAAAAAAAAAAAAAAAAACCCAAAACAAAAGTAAAACTATAAAACTTTTCAAAGAAAACAGGAGAAAATCTTCATAATGTGCAAATAGGCAAAGAGTTCTTAGACATGACATTGAAAGCATGAGCCACAGAAGAAAAATTGATAAGTTGGATTTCATCAAAATTAAAATTTTTTTTTTCTCTGCAAAGGACACTTTTTAGAGAATGAAAAGACACACTAAAGACTGGGGAAAATATTTGCAAGTCACATATCTGACAGGAGACTTGTATCCAGAATACATAAAGAATTCTCAAAACTCAACCATAAGAAAACAACCAACCTAGTTAAAAAAGAAGCAAATGACTTGAAGTGACACCTGACCAGAGCATCTACACTCACATGAAAAGCTGCTACCATCATTAGCTATAAAGAAAATGCAAGTTGCAACCACAATGAGGTACCACCACACATCTATTAGAATGGCCAAAACCAAGAGCACCAGCAGCATCAAATGCTGCTGACGGAGAGGAGCAAGAGGAACTCTTGTATGTTGCTGGTGGGAATGCAAAATGGTGCAACCACTTGGGAAACTGGTGGTTTCTGATAAAGTTAAACATACACTTTCTGTATGAGCCAGCAGCAATTCCACTTGTAGGTATATATCCAAAAGAAAGAAAACATATGTCCTTACAAAAGCCTGCATGTGAAACTTAGAGCTTCTTTATTCATAATCACCCCAAACTGGAAACCATCCAAATGGCCCTCAACTAGTGAATGAATAAACAAACTGTAGTGTAATAGAATATTACTCAGTAACAAAAAAAAGCAACTCGGATTCATGCAGCAACTTGACTGAATCTCAAAGGCACCAGAATGAGTAAAAGAAGCCTGTCTGAAAAGGTCACAATCTGTACGATTCCATTTATACACCACGCTAGTAAAGATGAAACTACAGCAATAGGGAACAGATCAGCAGTTGCCAAGGGCTGGGGATGGGGGAGGTTGTGACTGCCAAGAAATACCACGAGGGGGTTTTCAGGGCAATGCACTGTTCTGTGACCTGATTATACACAAATCTACCCATGTCAAAACTCACAAGGCTGTACACCAAAAAGTTGATTTTACTTTGTGTTAATTTAAGAAGGAAAATAAATGAAAAGTAAACACGGGTAATCGAGTTTTAAATGTAGAGACTCTGGAAAAGCAGATAAGTCGTTATTTTGCATCGGGGCATGGCAGCGAGAACTCGGCAGAGGCTGCAGGGAAACTTCCCCTGCTTGATTCAGTCCAGGTGTCTCATGGATGGATTGATCCACGCCTCTAAAAGCTTGATAGTAACAACGATAACAATAATAAGAGCAAAGGAGGCTGCAGCATCCACCAGTGGAGAGATGCTTGACTCATTCCCTTTTCACAACAGCCCATGACGCATGGCTTGTCCTCCTCTTTATACCAATGGCCAACTGAAGTTCAAAGAACTCTGCAGGCCTGCCTATGGTTGCGTGGCCCGTCTGAGGCTGGCCCGACTCCATCGTGGGGCCGCCTGGGCCCAGAGCAGACGACAGCCCCTCCGGGCCTCCGGCTGCCTCTTACTCACCATCCCTGCTGCCGCTGCTTCGAGAATACTCATGGCCTACCCTGCTGGTCCCAAGAGCCTCCTACATACCGTGGCGGGCGATGAGCGGGAGGTGTGGGCCAGGGAGTGTCTGGTGCTGTCCATCCCCCCGTGGATGAGATAGGCTCCCGCGCTGGAGACGATGGGGCTCCCCCCGACATCCATGGTGATGCCCACCATGCTGTGGGAGGGGACCGCTGGCGGGGACGAGGCTGCCACGGTCACCTGGGCACCGCCTGGGGCCTCGAAGTAAGAAGCCGTGCTGCTGGGGGCGTACATCTGAGGCTCGGGGTTGTAGGTGTAGGCTGTTCGTCTGTTAGAAAGAGAGAAGTCACGCATGGGACGCTGTCCCATTTAAATGCCTTGTCTGAGTTCACAGATATCCAGCCAAACATCACGTAAAAGCTGCAACCCAGAGAGGCCAGACATATGGAGCAATTCGGACGTGGCATATGACACTCAAATGCAGCGCAAGTTCACAGCCACCATGTTGCAAAATCTTTAGGACCACAGGCTGACTTATCAAAAAGTGACCACTTAAAAATTCTAGGCCAGGCGTGGTGGCTCACGCCTGTAATCCCAGCACTTTGGGAGGCTAAGGTGGGAAAATTGCTTGAGGTCAGAAGTTTGAGACCAGCCTGGGCAACATAGAGAGAACCATCTCTACAAAAAATAAAAGATTTAGCCAGGTGTGGTGGTGCGTGCCGGTAGTCCCAGCTACTCAGGAGGCTGAGGTGGGAGGACTGCTTGAGCCCAGGACTTTGAGGTTACAGTGAGCTGTGACTGCACCATTGCACTTTAGCCTGGGCAACAGAGCAAGACCCTATCTCTTAAAAAAAATAAATACAAATAAAACTTAAAATTGTAAGTGGATAAATGGGTCACATGAGGGAGCTCCTGTGTGGAGATGGAGCAGTTCTGTATCTTGATGGTGGTATTGTTACACAAATCTACACATGGGCTAAAAATGCAAAGAAATAGACACGCACGCACATGCAAGGGTACACACATGAACATGCAAAGCCACATGTACTCCACATGCAAGCACACACGCAAAAGCACGTGCATACAGACTGGTAGAACTGAATAAGGCCTGTGGGCTAGTTAACAGTTTTACCCCAATGTCAATTTCCAGGGGTTTTTTTGTTTTGTTTTTTTGAGACAGGGTCTCCTTCTGTAGCCCAGACTTGAGTGCAGTGGCAAAATCATAGCTCACTGCAGCCTCAGCCTCCTGAGCTCAAGTGATCCTCCTGCTTCAGCCTCTGAATATGGGTGTGCACCGCCACAGTAGCTGGGGTGATGGGTGTGCACCGCCACAGTGGCTGGGGTTAGAATCATACAACTCCACCAATCACAACCCTGAAGTCACAGCCAGGTTCTCATGTACAGCCCCTGCACTTGTGAGGGGAGCCATCCAGGCCAAATGGAAACAGACAAGCAGGCGAAAGGACTCACGTCTAAAGTAAAGTGAGCTGCACGGGAGATGCATACTTTCCTACCCCAAGCATCACACAGTTACAGAGCAGAAAACTCTAGACATCCTTGCAACATGGAAAATCAAGTTCTATCAACATTATACAAAGCTGGAGTTTAACAGAGGCGAGGGGAAAACACACAGGGGTGGATGGTTTCTGGATCTCAAAGACTGAGACTTCAGAATGAAGAGTTAGGATTAGCCTTTTTTTTTTTTTTTCCAAGACTATCTTTTCTAAAAGTAAAAAGTACAAAAGTCTGTGATTTCTGAAATCTCCACAGGGTTATGATGTCCTAATCCCTCAGCTCCCACCCCGCTCCTTTTTTTTTTGGACAGGGTGTTGCTCCATCAGTCAGGCGTGATCATAGCTCACTGCAGCCTCCAACTCCTGGGCTCATGCGATCCTCCCACCTTGGCCTCCTGATTACCTGGGAGGGACTCTAGGCACTTGTCACCATGTCTGGCTAATTTTAAAATTTTTTGTAGAGATATTGCCCAGTTTCCTAATAGCATTTTAACAGTATTTAGTGAACACATCGCCAAAAGCATAAGGGAGAGGAATTTGCTTGATGCCTCCCCAGGTGGCAAAGGCTGGAGTCAGGGAGAGGGTTCCGGGTGTGGCCCGCGGGAGAAGCACGCACATGGCTCCATTGGTGTAGACGGCGTCTCCCCCTTCCACGTACTGCACCTGGGCAGGATACACGTGCTGCACCGGCTGCACCTGAAACATCGGATACGCTGCGTTACCGCCAGTCACGCCCTCGTGAGTTGCCTGCAGATTATTCAAGCTAGACGTGTCTTCTATTGCCTTTATGAACATTTAGTACCAAATGACAATGTTCCCGCCCACAGTCGGCACGCCTAGAAAGACACTGAGGAGACAGTAATGTACAGACGACATATTCCAAACGGGCCCACACAGTTCAGGGAGCTGCGACTGATCCCCAGAGCTCTGCTAGCGTGTCTGTGCGCCCTGGCTCCTCTGTATACGTGGGGGCGGGACCAGGAGAATGACAACGCTCCTCCAGTGCAGTGGAAACTAGAGTTGTGGACAGAGGCCCAGCCTTGGCTCACAGGACTGTCCCTGGTTTCTGTTTTTTTTTTTTGTTTGTTTGTTTGTTTTTTTGCGACAGGGTCTCCCTCTGTAGCTCAAGCTGGCGTGCAGGCTGCAGTGCACAGGGGGCTGAGCAGATTAGACTCTACATGGCCCCAACACCCCCCGTGGGTGGCCCTGGTGCCCCTTCCCTGGCAGAGAGGAGGGGAGAGAATGTGATGGTCTGAACAGAGTGGGAAGGAGCGGCATGCCTGGAGAGATGGGGCAATGGGGGGACCCCAGCACACCCCCGCTGCCCTGCCCTCCCCTCTCTGAAACATCAGTTCAGAGCCTCGGCTGACAGGCCCCGAGGGACTCTAGTCCGAGCAGTGGAAGCCAAACGCTTTGCACATGGGACTTCAAACTCTCACCCCAGAGGGCATCTTAGTGGCTGTCTACATCCACTGAATTTTGGGGTGAGAAGATGGAGGGCCACAGAAGTGGGCTTGTTCGGGTGTCATGGTGTCATGGTGACCTTCCTCTTGTGCTTGAAGCTGCAGGATGGGGCTGACCTGCCCCTCCTTGGACCACTGAGCATGGTATGCACTTGTCCAACGCACCACCCCCAGAATCACAAGTTCCAGGGGTTAACATCTGTTGGGTGATGCCCCAGGGGTGGAAGTCAAATGTCGAATTCTGGGGTCCAAGTGAAATGCAGAAGTTACAGAAAGAGCTGGGGCAGGCCCAGCACCAGAAAAGTGGTGGAAGCTTCTGGAATCTCCTCTCCTTGGTGTCTCTGGGGAGTGCCTTGACAGACAGCAGCTAAGACAGAGCCACTGGCCTGAGGCCCTGCGTCCCCGCTGGGCCTGTCTGGAGCCTTTTCCTTCCTGTGATCCTGCAAACCTTCCTAGTTCTCATGGACACAGTCACCTGACAAATGCCTGTGAACAGACTGCCAATCTAGGCAGGACCCTCCTGAAGAGCGGTGCATTCTCTAGGGCCTCAGGGCTCCTTTTAGGGAGGAGCCTGAGTTAACTTTAATTCAGGATTCTGCAGGGCACAGTTGGCAAACTCCGGCCCTGAGGGCCAAATCTGGCCCACTGCCTGTTTTTGTAAATAAAGTTTTATTGGCACACAGCCACACCCATTTGGTTGCATATCATTTATGGCTGCTTTTGCGATACAATGGCAGAATTGAGTGGTTGTTCCAGAGACTGCCTGGACCACAAACCCCCAAAAATGTATAATTTGGCCTTTTCTGGAAACAGTTTGCTAACCATGCTTCTAGAGTGTCCCCAAGCTGATGATCTGTGTTGCTACTTGGCTGGTCAGCCGTGCTTTCAAACTTTGTTCTTAGATAATTGAAATCATAAGAAGCATTTCCTCTGTTGTGCCCGCATCTGAGGGTATGGCACTCACTAGCAGATGGTTCCTCCAGTCCAGAGCCCTTTGTTTCTGTCTGCATTTCTACCTGAGCTCCACCCAGCAGGTGCGGGGTGCTCACTGGTTCCCCAAATGCTTGCTGAATTTCTGAATGAACGAAAGATCACCAGCTTTCTTGGCTTTCTGCAAAACTATCTGCAGTAAATGATTTTTTTAAAATTGCACAGCTTCTGGAAAAGTCTTTTGGCTAAGAAACTGAAGCTTACAACAAGGAACAGCAGCCACAGAAAAGGATGCATCCTTCAGAGATTGTTCTGGATTGCTGAGTGCTAACTGCGCCCCGGTTTGCACGGTGCTGCGGTGCTTGTCATTACCTGCTGGGGTACCTGCTGAACTCTGGGGAGGGAGATCGGCTGCATCTGGGCCCCTTTGGGATTGGAGCTGGCTGCCTGGACCAACACCCTCTAAAAGGGAAGGGAGAGAAGGCCAGTTAGACTTGTCAGAGGTCAGTGCTGAGGATACACACAGAATGTAAGATGCTGTTTGTCTGTTCATGTGCTTTTTATTAAAACATAGGCAGGACTGATCAGAGGCGACGGCGGGGTGATGGTCAGACTTGCACACTCACACCGACCTGGGCAGACACACGGCAGGTACGTGCAGGCACACAAACAATGCACATACATACACAAGTGTGCACATACACTCAGCCCATGCACCACACATATGCACGAATTGTGGGCACACACACACGTATGCACACACACATACACGGAAGCACATGCACCTTCACCCGCCCAGGCAGCTTTGCCTCTGTGGGTCTGTAGTCTGCAGCAAGGTGACACTGATCGTCCCTAGTACAGAGGGGACTGCTGGGGCCCTCTGGATAGCCATCCGCACCACTGCGTGGGAGAGCACTCTGTGGCGCCCCTCGCTTCTGCAGTATAACCCGGACTTGTTTCCATTTTCTGATGAGGTTAATGAAGCCAGAGGGCTCAAGTGCTGCCTCTGGCTACAGAATACTCGAGTCCAGGTGCCCTGTGTCTGGGTCCCTCGCTCTCTGACCCCACTGCTCTCCAGCCTCCTAAGTCAAATCTGCACAGTGTGGCTTTGCTATTTTTCTGGGAGTACCGATTGGCCACACAAAGCTATCAAAATGGGAAGGGTCAAAGTGAACTCGAGTCGAGGGAGGAACAGGAGTGTTTTGTGTGTTTATTGAGAGCTGGGGCTTTCGGAGTCATTGGCTGCAGTGCTGTGATTTCCCGGCATGAACCCTGAATGTCACAGGTAGCAGTGACTGCCATATATACATCACGAGGGGTGATGGGTGAGGACACGCCATCCCCTGTGTTGCAGGAGTGGAGCTAAGGATGAAGATGGTGCTAATAAGGATGCCAGCGCAAGGGCATTCTGATTCCAGGTGAGCTGGGCGCCGTGTGCTTGGAGAATTCACAGGGTCCTGGCAAGTCCTCAGAGAGGGACCACAGTGATGAAACCTGGGACACACATGGTGGCCGTGAGTGGCACTGAGACCTGTCCATGGTGGCTGCTGCAGAGGAAGGCAGAGTCCACCTAGGCCTGGGAGAGCCTGAGAGAGGGGCTTGGCAGGAAGACCTGAGGGCTGACTCCTCTTGGACAATTTCAAGTGGGCACGGAAACATATCAATTAGGCCACAACTGCTGGCAGGGCGACGGCGTCTGATCCTCACCTCAGATGGGCTTCCAAGACGCCCTCCCCACTGCCATATGTGCAAGAAATAAAAGCTAAAGATGTCTGACCATACACACTACATCAAATAAACCGCTTCACTGTCTGCCTTTTTGTTTTTGCGGAATTGTGTTTTTTTGTTTTTGTTTTTTTGTGTTTTTTGGGACGGATTTTTGCTCTTGTCGCCCAGGCTGAAGTGCGATGGCACGATCTCGGCTCACTATAACCTCTGCCTCCTGGGTTCAAGCGATTCTCCTGCCTCAGCTTCCCGAGTAGCTGGGATTACAAGCATGTGCCACAATGCTCGGCTAATTTATTATTATTATTATTTTTTGTATTTAGTAGACACAGGGTTTCACCATGTTACTCAGACTGGTCTCAAACTCCTGACCTCAGGTGATCCACCCACCTTGGCCTCCCAAAGTGCTGGGATTACAGGCATGTGCCACCATGCCTGGCCCTGAATTGTGTGTTTTAAAACCATAATCATTTCTTTTTGCTGTGCTCCTAACTTTTAGATTCCAGATCGAGGTGGTCACACGGCCACAGTGGACCTCTGCACACTGTGATGAGCCTCCAGCCTGTTTCATGTGGCCGGTGCCATTCGCTTTGTATTTCTGTCTTCTTTATGGCTTATTTCATTCCACGGTAGAAATCCAGGAGCAGAGAAAGCCTGAATGTGAAAATTCTCTCTCTGCGAATTTTAAAGAATATGTTCATTCAGGTGCTAGATTCTATTTTGAACAAAATCTTAAGAATTCTAACTCATCTAGGCTGGGCGTGGTGGCTCACGCCTGTAATCCCAGCACTTTGGGAGGCTGAGGCGGGCAGATCACCTGAGGTCAGGAGTTCGAGACCAGCCTGGCCAACATGGTGAAACCTCGTCTCTACTAAAAATACAAAAATTAGCCGGGCGTGGTAGTACACGCCTGTAATCCCAGCTACTCGGGAGGCTAAGACAGGAGAATCACTTGAACCTGGGAGATCGTGCCACTGCACTCCAGCCTGGGCGACAGAGCGAGACTCCGTCCCCCCCCAAAAAAAAAAAAAAATTCTAACTCATCTTTTGCCTTTTTGCCTTTTTTTTTTTTTTTTTTTTTTTTTTGTCACTTAGGTTGGAGAGCAGTGGTATGATTACAGCTCACTGCAGCCTCAAACCACTGGGCTCAAGCAATCCTTCCACCATAGCCTCCTGAGTAGCTGGGACCACAGGACGTGCACCACTATGCCTGGCTAAATTTTTTATTTTTTATTTCTTAAAGACAAGGTCTCTGTCACCCAGGCTGGAGTGTAGTGTCACAATCATGGCTTACTGCAGCCTCAACCTCCCAGGCTCAGGTGATCCTCCCATCTCAGCCTCCTAAGGAACTGGGACTACAGGTGCAGCCCACCACGCTTGGCTAATTTTTTTTTTTTTTTTTTAGAGAAAGGGTCTGGCTATGTTGCCTAGGTTGGTCTCAAACTCCTGGCCTCAAGTAATCTGCCAGTCTCAGTCTCCCAAAGTGCTGGGATTACCTGTGTGAGCCACTGCACCCGGCCTTACTTCTTAATTCTTAATAAAGCATTTCTGTGTAAAAGGGTCATTTCCAAGTACAAGAAAACCTCCACTGAAAGCTAAGAAGAGATCAAGTCAGATTTGGGAGAGTGGTTTCTTTTCCATTCATGTCATTGTTTCCTTGATGGGATCTTTTTAACAAATATTGAAAAAGCCAAATACAGTTAAGGAAATTGTGCCTATTTCAACAGCAGCAGCACTGGGACTGAGAAGTCCATTCAGAAAAATACAGATTCCTCTCTTTGCAGATCTGAGCAGCTTTCAAACCCATAGAGATCGCGTCCACACTGTGGCCACCCTGTTGTTGCTGAGAGGCGCGCGTTACCTGCGGGGAGGCTGGCACAGGCGGGGCTGCCGCCGAGGGACGCAGAGCCACGGACGCTGGCGAATCCGCTCCACCCTCGGAATTCTGCATGCTCAGGTCTAAAGAAAGGCGGAGAGAGATTGGGTGGGCAAGGGCTGCAAGCACTGAAATCCGAAGAGGCAACTAACAAGTTCAAGGGAGGGAAGGAGTAACCAGCTACATTCTTCAAAGTCGAAAGGCAGAGACCCTGGTGGTACTGCCTAAGTGAGGAGCTGCGGAAACAGGCTGCACAACTGTCCCACAGAAGGAGAGAGGGGCCAGAGAAAGTTTTCCAAATATAAAACCCAAAAAGGGCTCTGTCAGCGCACAATGGCAGGAATTCCTCAACAGAAGGCCGGGACACTGGCTCTGTGCCCAAGTCTGAGCAGGTTGAACTATTTTGAAGGGCTCAATTGTTTCCTCATTTACCCAGAAATCAAAAGCTCTGGGTGGGTGACTGCCATTTGGGAAGCTACTGCACCCCAAACGACAACGGGAGAAACTCTAAGGCTGGGTTTCCCCACTGTGGCACCGTTGACATTTGAGCTGGATACTTCTTTGCTGTTGGAGGCCCATTCTGGGCACGGCAGGGTGCTGAGCAGCACCCCTGGCCTCCACCCATTCCATGCCAGGAGCGCCCCCTCCCCAAGCTGTGGCAATCACAAATGTGTTCAGATATTGCCAAGTGACCCCTGGAGGGCAGTGTGAGAACCACTGGCTAGGGAGAGAAAAGGTGACCTGCAGAGGGAGCAAAGAAACAGTACATTTTATCCTGGGCTGGATAAAAGTCCTCACGAATTTTGGCAGTAAGTAAAAACTGCCTTCTGTTCAAAGCCATCTTTGCCCACAAGAAAGTATAAACATATATTTCTTTGCTGTCAGAGGCATACATCTTTCAAATAGGTAGTTTTACAATTCTATATAAAACCACTCATTTAATATCGTGGCAGATGATACAAATTTGTTCCATGAAAATGCTAAAAGTCGAACAGTCTTCACTTTTAAATAAACAATCGGCTATGTTGAGCATTTGAGACATAGTTAAGTACACACACTTAGGTAGGGAGGTGGCTTTGTGATCAGGCACACCAGTCCCCCGTCCTGGCACCAGCTTTGAGCATGTCACCCTCCCAGTGTGGGGTCTCCATGGCTCCTGCCTGCTGGGGGTGGTGAGGACTGAACCTCAGACATACATCGCGGTGCCCACGACATCGTCAGAACACAATAGACATTTGCTAGAACTTTTACGTTTCTCTATCACCCCCAGAGGTTTTATCTCTTATAATGAGTGAAAAAAATTTTAAGCTTTTTAAAAATGAAAAGTCAAACTTACAATAAATTAATTTACCTAAGGAAAGCAGAAAGGGATATGTGTGTTTGAATTCGAGTGTGCTGGATTAATCCCATCTGTATTGTTGGGGACTATTCCCCGACCACCACCGCTCCCCGGCCCCCGCCCCCGTCCCCTCCCAAACGCCTTCGATGCCACCCAGAGCCCCACGGCCAGTGCCTGGGGATTTTTCTGTTCTGTGTGAGCCTGACTCACTTCTCACCACTAGATGGCCCCAGAGCCACACGGTGATTGGCTGGGGCGTTAACTAAACCTTACACAGCCCGCACCTCCTACCTTCTACTCTTTCAAAAGATTGTAAATTTCCCATAGTGTATTTCCTGAGTCCTCAACTCACTCTCTGTCTTTGACAGAACTGACCTTTGGAATTTTTCTGTTACAAGCTGCTTGTATTTACAGTTTCCTTTAAATGTTTAAATCAGTCATTTGCACACCATCCACCATGCTGTTCCCGTCTGAAGCCAAGCGGGTAGCATCAGTGATACTAGGAGATAATTTGACTAGAACTCTTTGTGAAAGGAGTCCACCAGTGATAAAGTCAGAATGCTGACTTGACTAAGACCAGTTCCTTGTTCCGCAGGTGGAAATAATTTTGCTCCAAACTCCAGACCTTATTTAAGTAAGAAGAGGCCATGAGAGTGTTGGGGATAAATGGCGAGACCGTGGTCTGTCCACCATGGCCAGAATGCACCTTCCAGAAAGCAAGTTGTTCCACATCACAGGCATTTACACATGAATGTGTTCCCCTAATTTATTTTTATTAATTATTATTATTGTTTTTTGAGACGAAGTCTTGCTCTGTCACCCAGGCTGGAGTGCAATGGCATGATCTTGGCTCTGCCTCCTGGGTTCAAGTGATTCTCCCACCTCAGTCCCCTGAATAGACGAGATTACAGGCACCCACCATCATGCCTGGCTAATTTTTGTATTTTTATAGAAACGGGGCTTCACCATGTTGGTCAGGCTGGTCTCAAACTCCTGGCCTCATGTGATCTGCCTGCCTCAGCCTCCCAAAGTGCTGGGATTACAGGCATAAGCCACCGTGCCCAGCCTGTTCCCCTAATTTAACACACTATTTACCATGTGTTGTCTTATAGGTCAGACCAATGAGTCTGTGGCTTTTTGCCTGTGGGCATGCCCCAGTCCACAAATGCTTGGGTGCCAGAAAGCATCAGCCTCGTTATCCTGAAGGGTCAGAGGACAGAGTTCTGAATGCTGGGGTGTGGAGATTCTGGAAGAGAGAGAGCCACAGAAGGGGTGAGCCCTCAAATCTTCCTACAAAATACACCTGAATCTTTGGCTAAGCAACTACACCACAAAGGTGTGGGGGAGATACCAGGGGTCTTGGGGAAAAACCAGCAGTGCAAAGATAAAAAAATTAAGTGAAGATTTCAGCTGCTGCCTGTTGCAGGAGGGAGAGTTTGAATCTAGCCAAGTCACTTGCCTTCAGGGGAACTCAGATGAACCTACAGATTCTACAATACATCATTAATGATGTCCAGGACCCAGTAAAAACCATGAGCTATGAAAAGAAACAGGAAAGTGTAACATACACTCAAAAGAAAGAGTAACAAATAAAAAGAAAAAAGAAAAGCAGTTAATTATAACCAAACGCAAGATAACCCAGATGATACAGATAGCATTCAAGGACTAAAGCAGCTACTAAAAATAACTTCAAGAACTTAAAGGAAGTTATATACATAATGAATGAACATATGGGAATCTCAATCAAGAAACAAAGTATAAAAGGAGAACCAAATAGAAATTCTAGAGCAATAACTGAAACAAAAACTTAACTGGATGCACTCAACAGCTGGTTAAAGATAATGGAAAGAGTTAGTGAACTTAACAATAGATAAAAAGCATTTACCCAATCTGAAGAATGAAGAGAAAATATATGAAGAAACATGAATAGAACAAACTGTCTAATATATATGTAACGAGAGTCCCAGAAGAGAAAAAGAGAATGTAAGAGAAAAAAATATTGAAAAATGGCCAAACACCTCTACATTGGGTGATGGATATCAACTTAGAGGTCCAAAAATCTCAACAAACCCTAAAAAGAATACAAAGAAAGCCAAGATAGGTATGTCATGGTTAAACTGTTAAAAGAAGCAGTCAGAGAAAAACTACATATTATATTCGGAGAACAAGGGCACAGATGATGACTGGCTTCTCATCAATAACAATGGCAACCAGAAGACAATGGAGTGACATTTTTAATATGCTGGGGGGGAAAACCCTATCAGCCCAGAATTCTATCTCCAGCAAAACTATTCTTAAAAACTGAAGGTGGAATAAAGACATTTTTTGCATAAACAAAACCTGATAAAATTTTCTGCCTACCATGAGAAATGCTAATGGAAGTTCTTCAGAATGAAAGGAATTAATACCAGATGGTAAATTTGGATCTATTAGGAGTAAATATCACTTAAAATGATAAATACGCAGGTAATTATAAAAAACCGTATTTTTATATATTTTATATTTTTCCTTTTCTTCTCTTAATTTATTTTAAATACATAAAACTATTTAACAAAAACTTTATAACACTCCATTGTGGGGTTTATATCATATGTAGATGTTCTCCATGACAGTTGTAACACAGAGGATGGGGACAAATTAAGTTATACATTCAAGGTTCTTTTATTTTACCTAAAGTAGTAACATGTTAACTCTATAAATTGTGATAAATTAACAATGCACATTGTAACCTCTGAAGCATCCACTAACCAAAAAAATATATATACAAAAAGGTATAGCTAAAAAGCTAATAGAGAAATCAAATGAAATCCTACTTAACATATTTGATTATCTAAATAAAGGCAAGAAATAAAGAACAGAGAAACAAACAAACAAACAGATGGCACAAATAGAAAGCAAATGGCAGAATTGCTTTGCTAAATCTAGACATATTAATAATATATTAAGTGTAAATAGACTAAATTCTTGAATGAAAAGGCAGAAATGATCAGCCTGGATAACAATCAAGATCCCATTATATGGTCCCTAAAAGAAACCCTCCTTAAAAATAAAGGCACACATAGGTTGAAAGTAATAGAATAAAAAGAGATCCACTGTGCAAACTCTGATCTTTTATTTTTATTTATTTATTTTTTTGAGATGGAGTCTCGCTCTGTTGCCCAGGCTGGAGTGCAGTGCCACAGTCTCAGCTCACTGCAAGCTCCACCTCCCAGGTTCACGCCATTCTCCTGCCTCAGCCTCCCGAGTAGCTGGGACTACAGGTGCCCGCCATCACACCAGGCTAATATTTGTATTTTTAGTAGAGACGGGGTTTCACCTTGTTAGCCAGGATGGTCTCCATCTCCTGACCTCTTGATCCACCCACCTCGGCCTCCCAAAGTGCTGGGATTACAGGTGTGAGCGCCACACTCAGCCTGCAAACTCTGATCTTAAGAAAGCTGGAGCGGCTGTAATAATCAGACAAAATAGACTCTGAGATGAGAAATATTACTAGCAATACTAGAGACATTGACAAGACAAGGAATATTACTGCAGATAAAATTTCATCATAAGATGATCAATTTATCAGTATGACATATTGATTACAGATATGTATGTACCTAGTAATACAGCTTCAAGATACGTAAAGTAAAAATTAACAAAACTAAAGGAGGAAATAAACAATCATAATCGGAGATTTTAAACATCCTTCATTCAGTAATTTTGATTACTGAATCAAAATTAGAAGAACTAAGCAGAAATATTACTAAGGATACAGAATATCTGAATTATATTATCAACCACATTGATGTAATTGACATTTAGAGAACACTACAATCAAAACCTGCACATTCTTTTCAAATGCACATGGAATATTCACTGTGATGGGTCATGTTCTGGGCCATAAAATAAGCCTCAATACATTTCAAAATACCATAATTATACAGAGCATGTATGCACTTTGACCACAGTGGAGTAAATTAGAAATCAGTAAGAAGGTTAGAAAAATGCCAAATATTTAGAAAACTTAAAATACACCTTCAAAATAATCCATGGGTCAAATAATAAACCCCAAAGAAAAATAGAAAATATTTTGAACTGAATTATAATGTAAACACTTTGTATCAAAATTTGTGGGCACTGGTACAAATATTGTGGGTGAAAAAAAGAAGTAAAATTATTAAGAAAAAAAAGTGGGCACACCTAAAGCAGTGCTTAGAAAGAGATGTTTAGCTTTATATGCTTATGTTAGAAAGATTTAAGAACGTTTTCAACCTTAAAAAGCTATATAGAAAGACAAACAAACTAAACTTAATAGAAAGAAGGAAAAACAATAAAGAACAAAATTAATGAAATTAGAAACTCCACAAACAATGGAGAAAATGAACAAAAGCAATATTTCTTCAAAACTGAAATTTTTTCAGAAGAAGAAAGGAGCTATCAAGCCATGAAAAGACATGGAAGAAATTTAAACACATACTATGAAGTGAAAGAAGCCAGTCTGAAAAGGCTACATACTGTATGATTCTAATTAAACAACATTTTGGAAAAGGCAAAACTATGAAGACAATGAAAAGATCAGTGGTTGCCAGGTATCAGAGAGAGGGATGAGTAGGCAAAGCACAGAGGATTTTTAGGACACTGGAACTGTTCTGTATGGCACTATAATGGTGGACACATGTCATTATACATTTGTCCAAACCATAGAATGTACAACACCAACAGTGAACTCTCGAGGAAACTATGGACTTTGGGTGAAAATGCTGTGTTAATGCAGATTTCATCAACTGTAACAAATGTACAACTCTGGTGGGTGATGGTGATAATGAGGGAAGCTGTGCATGTGTGGAGGTATGGGGTATATGGGAAATCTCTGTATTTTCCTGTCAATTTTGCTGTGAACCTAAAACTGCTCTTTAAAAAAGCAAGTCTTGGCCAGGCATGGTGGCTCATGCCTGTAATCCCAGCACTTTGGGAGGCCGAGGGCGGGTGGATCACCTGAGGTCAGGAGTTTGAGACCAGCCTGGCCAACATGGTGAAACTCTGTCTCTACTAAAAACACAAAAATGAGCCATGTGTAATGGCGGGCACCTGTAATTCCAGCTACTCAGGAGGCTGAGGTGGGAGAATTGCTTGAACCAAGGAGGCAGAGGTTGCAGTGAGCTGAGATTGCACTACTGCACTCCAGCCTGGGTGACAGAGCAAGACTCTATCTCAAAAAAAAAAAAAAAAAAAAAGCAAGTATTTAAAAAAAGTTAATTAACAACTTCTCCTGGAAAGACTGATAAGAAAAGAAAACCCAAATTGCCAATATCAGGAATGAAATGAAATATATCACTAGAGATTCTACAGAAATCAAAATGATAATAGAGAACTATTACAAACAACTTTAGCCCATAAATTCAATAACATATAAAATGAACACTTTTTTAAAAACACAACATAACAAAACTGACACAGATGAAATAAAAAAATGTGAATGTAATACATATAACAAAAAAATTGAATATGTTATTGGAAACTTCCCTACACAGAAAACTTCAGGCACATATAGTTTTACTGGTGAATGCTATCAAATACTGAAAAAGGAATTATTACACAAATGCCATCAGAAAATAAAAAAAGAATACTTCACAACTCATTTTATGAGGTCAGTAAACCCTGACACCAAAACTTAACAAATATATTACAAGGAAAGTGTTTAGACTAATATCTCTTATGCACATATATGCAAAAATAATTTAAAATATTAATAAATCAAATTCAACAATATATAAATAATATAACCCACACTTAGATTATCAATTGATTTTTTTTTCTAATGGAGCCTCAGCTCTTTTCTTCCTCAACTGGATTTTCACAAAGGTGTCAAGGCAATTCAACAGAGAAAGAAGTCTTTTAAACAAATGGTGATGGATCAACAGAATATCCATATTGGGGAAAATAAATGAACCTTGACCCCTACCTCACACCATACATAAAAATGATTTCAAGTTAGAACATGAACTTACTTACACACAAAAGCTAAAACTATAAGACTTCTCAGAGAGAACATAGGAGGTTAGACAAAGGTTTCTTAGAATGCACAAATCAGCATAAAAGAAAAACTTGAGAAATTAGATTTCACCAAAATTTAAAACCTCTGCTCATTAAAAGATTTTGCTAAGAATATGAATAGGTAAGCCACAGCCTGGGAGAAATATTTGCAAAACATGTATCTCATAAAGGGCTTTGATCCTAATATATCTACATCTATATCTATATATATAAACTCCTACAATTCAATATAAGATGACAAATAACTTAAAAAAATGGTACTTCACAAAGCAAGATATACAGATGCCCAAAAGTACATGAATAGTGGTCAGCCTCATTAGTCACTAGGGAAATGCAAATTCAAACTATATCAAGATATCACTAAATACTCACTAGAATGGCTAAACCTGACAAGTCTGACAACATCCAATGTTGTAAGTACATGGAGCAACTAAAACTCTCACACACCCCCATGTGTAGATATGAATGATATGACCACACTGGAAAGAGGTTTGGCAGTTTTCTAGAAAGTTAAACCTGCCCTTTAACCCAGAATTCCTCTTGTAGTTTTTATCCAAGAGACATGAAGACATATCTCTTCAAAAAAATAATAACAACTTGTATAAGCATGTTCATAGCAGCTTTTTGTTTGTTGGTTTTTGTTTTTTGTTTTTGAGACAGGGTCTCCCTCAGGATAAAGTACAGTGGCACAATCACAGCTCACTGCATCCTCAACCTCCCAGGCTCAAGCGATTCTCCCACTTCAGCCTCCTAAGTAGCTGGGACTACAGGCACGCAGCACCATACCCGGCTAATTTTTGTATTTTGGGTAGAGACAGGGTTTCACCATGTTGCCCAGGCTGGTCTCAAACTCCTGGGCTCAAATGATCTGCCCACCTCAGCCTTATTCATAGCAGTTTGATTCAGTCACCAAAAAGTAAAAATAACCCAAATGTTCCTCATCAGGAGAGTGGACGAGAAATTGCAGATTATGATGATTTAAAGATTCATATTGAAAACCCTAAAACAACCACTAAAAATGGAAAAGAAGAGCATAGCTAAAAAGCTAATAGAGGAATACTACTGGAATACTCTTCATGAATAGAAAGGAATTAATTACTGAAATTCACAATGCATGGATGAATCTCAAAATCATTACGCTGAGTGAAAGAAGTTGAGTCCAAAAGAGTAGATGAGTAGAGTGGATTAAAACTAAAGTTAAAAAAAAATCATAATAGTGGGTGGGGGGGCAGGTGGCGGTGGGCGAGAGTGACTGGAAAGGGACAGGAGGGGACACTCCAGTGAGATGGACGCATTCTGTATGATAATACAGTGTGCGGTTACATGGAGTCGTGATTTGTCAAAATTAGCCAGCTAAGGTTTGTGCACTTACTGTATGTGAATTTTAACAATGACAACGAAGCCTGTAAAAATACAAGGGTGGAGAGGAGGACGGAGAGTGGGTACAGGTATCCAGGTGTTATAAGAATGGCAGGACCCTGACACCCTGTAGAGGGTGGTGGCTTCATAAGTTTCATTGCATTGTGTATTTACTTTGTGGATGTTTGAAATTTCCATGATAAGGAGTTAAACAAACACACACACAAGACACCAGCGATGAGCAGGAGTGGCTCATGATCCTGGCGGTGCTTCCAGGTAAGCGCAGTAGCTCACATGGTCCTCCCAGAAGGGGTGATGCTGGATCCTGAGTAACTCCTCCACCTGGCAGAGGAGAGCGCAGCAGAGAGTGGGCAGAGGGCAGGGCCCCGAGGGCGTGGGTGTACTCAAGGTAAAGTCCACAGGGCACAGGGACGCACACTGTGGAGCACCTTTGCAGCACCCAGTTTGGGAACCCCTCAATCCAGTGCAAGACAGTAGATGTGAGTGAGTGGAGGCCATGCTTCTTCTCTGAACCTGAATCTGCTGTGGGAACTTGGACCCATTCAGTGACTGCCCTGCCGTCCTTGCTTTCTCGCGTTCCTTTGTCCTCTCTTCTGTTTTTCTTCCTGTGGCGAGGACCTGGGCAGTCTTACTTTGACTGCCTTCCCCTGTGTCCTCTTAGACTGGGTTACAGGAGCCTCGGAACAGCCAATATAAAGGGGAGGGGCCGCAACACGACCTGTCACCCAGCCTGGCCCTGCCTGGCCAACGGGCTTGGCTGGCCCAAAGCTCCCTCCCTCGTGCCTCAGAAATATGCCCGGAGTGCTGTTTATAAGCTGAGCACGTTTCATTTACCATCTGGTCCAAGATCAGGGCGGGCATGAAATAAAGGGGAAAAGCACAGAACCAGCGGCGCAATTTCCCCTCCTTGGCCGGCACCAGCCTTTGGAATCCACGAAACGCTCATTTGACCTTGAACGAACATTCAAGTGAACCAGATGCGCACTTGACCTTTTGGAGCCACTGCTGAGTCAAACGCGCCAGTGGGAACATCTCCCGTGGCTTCCTGACTTCATGTGAGGGGGCACAGGAGAGACGCAGCTAGAAGCAGCCCTGGACTACGGCCGTGATGAATGAATCTGCCTGGGCACAAAGGGAAGAGGCTTCTGTTTACAGAAAAATACTCCCATCACCTAGTAACCAGCAATGTCAGGAAAGGAAATGCAGAAAACGCTGAGAGCAATTTCTGGGCCCGTTCCTGGCTGAGCCGCTGACTCACTGCGACCTTAAGCAATCTCTCTTCTATTCCTGTTCCTCCATATGCCAAATGGAGCTGTCACCTGCCTCACATAGTTCAGATCAGTATTTAGACAATGTTTTGTCATCTTTGGTGATAATTGGGGCAGAGTTAGCTGAGTGGTTTTAGTTACCTTCATTCTGATTGGCTGATGAGCCTCGGTGTTTGGGAGGCACGTGGCCTCCTCCGGCCATCAGCTCCTCCTCTCCTGGTACTCGCTGGCCTCCAGATGGTACCAGAGTTCATCTGCCCTAAGAAAGCAATTAATTTCCTCCCTCTGAACAAGAAGGAACAAGCCCGGAGTGCTCTCAGGAGTACCAGTTGCTTCAAAGCCCAGATTCTGTCCTGGTAGCTTGTCTTAACACTCCCAGTGTCATTAGGCTGCCCAGAAAAGTCTTGTCCGTTTCCTTCTCCCGGCTCCCCTCTGAGGGCCAGGTCCTCGGAGTAAGTGATGCGTGTTTTAAGATTCTGTCCTCACTGTTCAGGCTTGTGTGGCCTGGCCCCACGCACAGGGAGGACACCTCCAAGCCATCTCCTTGCCGAAAAGTGGATTCTCGAACCCTCCTTGATGGTGGAACCATGTCCTTTCTGGCACCAGGATTACTCCCTGTGGACCCAGTTGGTTCTCAGTGCCAAGAGTTATTACTCTGCCCTGATAATCACCAAAGATGACAGTGTGTGTCCCCACTTGGCACTGTGGACATTGGGGACGGATCCATCTCTGGGCTGGGGCCGTCCTGAGCACTGCAGGGTGCTGAGCAGCATCCCTGGCCTCCGCTCACTCCATGCCAAGAGCACCCCCAGTTGTGACAACCACAGATGTTCCCAGACATTGCCCAGTGTCCCCTGGGGCGCAGAAGGACCTCTGTTCAAAATGGATTTGTGATGTCTAAGAAGGGGTCTGGACAAACAGCCCCCGAGTAAAACAGGCCTGTAGACAGGGTGAGAACAGGAAGATGAAAAAGGAGAGTAGGCAGGATGCAAAATCATGACAATTCAGCCAGGCAAGGAGTGTGAAATAAATGAACAGGACCCTCTGAAGGCTACCCACACATTCCAGAGCAGCAGGCTTCAATGCACACCAAGGGCAACCATCGTTCCCTCCGTGCCTAAGCCACGGGGGTGCCCGTCATTCCTCACTTTTGGGTTTTTTTTTTTTCTCCTCTTGTAGCAATGGGCTTTCAAGGACTGGAGCTGGCTCCGAGCTTCTCTGAAATCAAGTATCTTCAGAATTCAAATTCCTTTTTCTTTTCGTAAGAATTGGGCTTCTGTTCCTGTTTTCTTCTCAGGAGCCAAACTTTCCCTCCTTTCTCTAGAAAAGGATCAGAACCAAGCCCTTGACAACTGGCCTGAGAAAGGGCTGTTTGCAGACTGGAAGGGGGATGGGGGAGTGCAGACACCCAGTAGGCCCTTAAGTCGCAGGTTCTAATCTTCAGAGGCTGAGAGCAGGCTGCGCTGACAAGGCCTCCCCTAAGCCAGGGACCCCCGTCTTAACAGTGGAAACACCCGTTCCTTCCCCTTTAGAAACCTGACTTTTTTTTTTTTCAGACAGAGTCTTGCTCTGTCACCCAGACTAGAGTGCAGTGATGCGATCATAGTTCACTACAGCCTCGACCTCCCTGGCTCAAGTGACCCTCCCGCCTTAGCCAACCGAGTAGCTGGAACTATAGGTGAGCACCAGCACGCCCGGCTAATTTTTAATTTTTTGTAGAGACAGGGGTCTTGCTATGTTGCCCAGAATGATCTCGAACTCCTGGACTGAAGCAATCCTCCCACCTCGGCCTCCCAAAGTGCTGGGATTACAGGTGTGAGCCATCACGCCTGGCCTTGATTTGACTATTAATATAAAAATTGTCCAAACTAAAGTATGGTTACCTCATCTCTGATGTGGTCTGATTTTAACTGCCATCAATAATATACCAAATTCAGGGTGAATTTTGAATTAAAAAACCACCAAGTCTTCATGACACTTTCACCCAGCAAATACTCTTTTGGCAGGCAACCTGATTCCACTGCTTCTAGCAATAACTTCAACACCACAAAACTTGGTTTCTAGGAAATGGAAATTCTCCTTAGGTTATGGGGTGCCCTAAAGTCCAACACATTGGAGTGAAAGGTAACTGGATACCAAGCTAGAGGCCGAGCAGCAGCTGGTGCTCTGTCCCCCAGGAGTGGATATCTGTCCCCCAGGAGTGGACATGAGAGTGTCACACACACACAGACGCATGTATACACTCCCCACGTATGCATATACACAAATATACATGGACATACACATATACACAAACACACACACACAAACACATGTACATACATGTATACACAAAAGTACACATGCAGACACACATACATGCACACACATACACCACCTGACGCAGGATAATATGAGAAGAATGGCCAAAACCACTCAGAAGACACGTCATTTTCTTACTCCATACATTTTTCTATTAAATTGAATGTTGACTCCTCCCACTAGACAAAAACAACGATTCTTGTAGTAAAAAGTGATGGGGGGGAGCCTGTGTTCACACATCCACACACATGCCTTTGGGAGAAAGCCTCAAAGTACATTTTTTTCTCTGTACTTTTCTCCTTGCAAGATTCCATTCTAAAATTGCAACTCTTTTGTCCCCCTTTTCTGACACCGCCTCTGCACCTCCTGGCTCTCAGCCATGCCCCTGCCATGCTGTCTCTTCCACTTCCTTCTACCCCACAACTCCTTCCCTGTGCTGACCTCCCCCCACTATCTCACATCCAGACTGTCTACATCCAGTTCCTTGCATCTTCAACTCCCATTTTCCCATTATCTATGATGGCTTTTGTGCTCCAACAGCAGAGGCGAGGAGCTGAGACAGACCCCAGCAGAAGCCTAAAATATGTACTCTCTGGTCCTTTACAGGAAAAGGCTGCTGGCCCCCTTCCTGAAGGTTCTAGAGCCTTCCGTCTCCCTCCAAGGACCCACCGATCAAGCCTGCAATCTGGCTTCTGCACAGGCTCCATTCTTTCAGCTTATAGACAAGCTCACATCACACCCATTTGAGGAGAACATCCACTGCCACTGAAACCCTGCTCTTTATCCTTTATCTTCTCTTGAGATATGGATTCTTTTTTATTTGTAAGTCCAGACTCTCAGGAGGGAGCCTCTGTCGTCTTCTCTCTGCATTCTCATGTCTGCCCACTGTTCTTCTTGAGGTCCTCACGGGGCAGTTTTCGGGCCTCCTCTGAACTTGTACTCTCTGCAGTGTTTCGTGTCGCTCCTCGAAGCTCTGTCCTCCCTCGTGTCTGGGTGCTGTTGTCATCTGGTTTCATTTTTCCCCCTAATGATACCTTCTCAGTCCCCTGCACTGGTCCCTGCTTGTCTCCCACCCTCGGCCTCCACCCTTGTGCCCCTCCCCTGTCACACTCAATGTGGACGACCTCCCGGCACCAGGACTCCCAGCACCACCCAAATCACCTGACTCCGGCTCCCTTCTCCAGCTGCCTCCCAGACCTCTCTGCCTGGGCGCCCCTCAGGTGCCTCAACAAGTCCAAGGGAAACTCTCCCCCCGCCAAAATTGCTCCTCTTGCGTTTCCTAAGCCAGGGGGCTGTTCAAGGCACTGGGCATCTCCCTGCGCCCCGGGACACGTGTCGCTGGTGACTCAGCCTGCTGTCTCCACCTGATACCATCTCTGCCTCCCCCTTCCTTCCGCTCCTGCTGCTACTATTTCAGTGAGCCCCTGCCTCCCTATCTCCTACCTGGAACCACCACATCCGCCTCCTAATTGGTCTCCCTGCTTCCAGCCTCTGCCCTCTCCCAGCCAATTTTCTTTCACATTGGGGTGATTCAAAAGATAACAATGTCTTCTCATTCCCTGGCTCAAAAAATCCTCCCAAGAATTTTCACCGCATAGACAGTGTGTGTGCTAAATCAAGGGATTAACTACCAAGGTGGGGGTTCCAGACCATTTCGATGTCGAAAAGGTCTGCTGTCTGTAGGATCCCTTCTTTAGAGGGTTGGAGCCTACCCTTCACACTTACAAGTCTGGCTGATCAAGACCTTGTCACCTGAAGACTGTCCGTAGGCAGGCAGAGAGCCCTGCCCCACAGAATGCATCCAAAGAAACGGAACATTTGGTTCCCTTCCTACTCCCGGCCCCGCCTCTGGATCTTACTGGGGAGTCGGCTGCAGCCGGGGGAAAAAGACTTTGCAACCTCCATTATTTATATAAATAAGAACAAATGCCAAGGGGAATGCCGAGTGGCTGGGAAGGAGGTATGACCACCCGGAGCAGAGGGAGGAGGCCAGGCTTCAGGTTCAAGTCCCAGGCTTGTCACTCGCTTACTGACTGTGGCAGTGGCCTTGGTTTCTTCATCTGAGAAAGGGGCTGGGAGGGGGAAGGGAATGATATAGCTGATGTGCCCACCCCGAGTGTGGATCCCAGCAGGTGCCTGATCAATGAAATATGTCCTAGGCAGGGGCGGGAGGATCCATTGAACCCAGGAGTTCGAGACCAGCCTGGGCAACATAGCGAGGCCCCATCTCTACAAACAAACAAACAAACAACAACAACAACAAACTGGGGGCCGGGGAAGGTGGCTGATGTCTGTAATTCCAGCACTTTGGGAGGTTGAGGCCAGAGGATTATTGAGGTCAGGAATTTGAGGTTGAAGTAAGCTGACTGCACTACTGCACTCCAGCCTGGGAGACAGAGGAAGACCCTGTCTCTAAAAAGAATAAACAAGTAACAAAACAAAACAATGAAAAACAACCAAAAAACCAAACTAGCCGAAAGAAAGAGGGACACAACCCCAAGGACAACAGCAGCGGCAGTAGCTGGTGGCCAGACCGAGCCCCAGACTGCGGGCAAAGCTGGTATACGTGGGGGCTGACTGACTCTGAGGAAGCCGTGACCACATCACCTCTGCTCTAGACACAACACACACGCAACTGAGGCTCAGAAAGGGCGAGCCATGAGCTGAAGGTCACAAAGCAGGAAGAGGCAGGCTAGACTGGAACTGGCTTTGGCTTGGGTTTGGCTAAGTCACTCCTTTAGGAGGAGGAAGCACATGTTTTTATGACTAGAGCCTCCGGAGCCACAGCTTCCCGACCTACGTGGAGCTTCCGTCTCTTTTCTGTATATAAATCGCTTCCCCAACCCCATGCCAAAGAGAACTCCAAATAACAACACAAGCTTAGCTTTTGCTTTAGAAGTTTCTAGAATTTAGTTGATGCTATTGGAGCTATCATGAACTGATACAGTCCCCGTGGGGAGTGACTGTATGAGCTCGAACTGGACTTGGACATTTCTCCAGCCCTCTGTGGTTCCAGTTGAGAAGTAAGTGCTCTTCATTCATTCTCAGTAACCAGGAGGAAAAGGTAAATCAGCGTGACTTAGAATGATCGTTCCCTCTGTCTATCCCCACAAGCAGTTCCCTGTGCGTTTAAAGCAGTGGGTTTTTCAGAATGTAAAGATCTGGGGGTCGCTCCCTGGCCAGTCGCGCATATTCAATATCTGCTCGTCCTTTCCCTCCCCTTCCAGAGACCAATGTCACCTGTCTGTCCTTTTCTGGTGCCTGGCCCTTGCTGGGGTCACCCACATCCCCTCCCGTGAGCTGCTGTGTCTCGTATCCCTCCTGTCCTGCCGCTCTCGCTCTTGCTCCTAGGCCGCCTTCTCCCTCATGCATCCAGCTACTTGGTTTGAAACTCTCCCCTGGCGCCTGCTCTGTGGGGAAAGCCGGGCTTCCTCTGATTCCGGATGGAGTGTTTAAATGAGATGTCCACACAACCCCCAAGGACCCTCTGATTCCAACGGAATTGGAGCCTACGCCTGCCAGACCCCCAGGCCTGAGCGCCAGCCCTTCACTGATCAGCTAGCCTCTGCCTGCAAGTCTAAGGTCTGCAGAATCGAGGGAGGCCAGCATGGCACACAGCGGTCCAGACTCGCAGTGACAAGGTGGCTGCAGTGCATGGAGGGCCACCGGAGGCTGGCACTGGTGTCTCCTGCACACAACGCAGGGAGGGTGAGGATGGGGTCCATGCACCTGCCAGGGTGGGGATGGACAAGACCCCTCCAGCAGGGCCAGGCAGGCTGGGCAGCCCTCTGTCCCTCAAAGTCCACCCGCCCATGACAGCTAAGATTAAAGTGACTGCTGCGTTGAAGAAGGAGGGAGGCAGAGAGACAGCAGCCAGCAGCTCCAAAGGGGATCCCAGGCAAGTGATGAGCAGTGGGGAAACCCTCTCTCCAGTCAGCTTGTCATGTCATACAGGCTTTCCTGACCTCAGCAATGCGGATATGAGGGGCAGGAATACACTCTGGGGTGGGGCCGTCCTGGGCACCGCAGGGTGCTGGGCAGCATCCCTGGCCTCCACCCACTCCATGCCAGGAAACCCCCCGACCCCTGTCTGACAGCCACAAATGTCTCCAGACATCGCCCAGTGTCCCCTGGGGGCAGGACCACCCCCATGGAGAACCACACGTCTAAGGCCACACCTTTACTCCACACAGCATTTCCAGATTCACCAAACCACTCTCCGTGCTTGTCCCCTCAGATTACTTCATGTCATGCAGCTGTTCACATCTGGCTTCTTGGCCAGCCAGCCCTTCTTGAGAAAACAAAGTCTGGATCTATGTCATCTCAGCAGCCCCCTCACAGATCCCTCACCCCAACCCCAGACCCTACGTAGCACATTGCCTGCAAAGATGCTCAAGACGTGTTTTGCAATGAACAAGAGAATGAGCAGCCCGCCTGCTCCGGGCTGCTCACCTGTTCTAGCCACCTTCACCATGTTGGCCTCCAGCTCCCGTCTTCAGCTGAGCACAGGGGCCTGTCCCAGGATTCTTGGAAGCGGCTTCCTAAGGCATCATGCTTTTGTGTTCTCCTTCTCTTACCAGCCTTTCTTTCCCTCTCACGTTTCTCTCCCTTTCTGACCATGAGCAGGGCTGCAGTGCAGCTGCTGATGGTCAAGATGAAGATGGGGAATGTGCCAGTGAAAACCTGGCATGCGGAGGCCTCACCTCACTCACCCTCTCCTGTCCCAGCTTCAAAATCTTTCAGAGCGACTCATGCTGCCAGAGGGTGGAGGAGTGGACCTTGAAATGACAAGTGACAGTTCCTCAGCAGTAGCATCTCCTGCTTTCTCAGCCTGGTGACCTGACCCGGCAGCACGCCCACTGGGCACCTGTGCCCACCTGGGGATGGGGTCTCGTCCTGCCTGTGTGACCCTTCCTCCTGACAGCCATCTCTAGAGACAGCCAGTGAGGGCAGGGCAACAGGCAGTGCATGTTCTTTCCACATCTCCATGACTGATTCTGGCCAGGAGGAGGCTGGCTTTCTGGATCCCACCAACATCACATAGGGGACCTTTTCAATCTACCTCCTACCTCCCCTCCAGTCGTGATTTGATTCTGGAATTTAAGAAGCGGAGAAAGAGCCTAGTTCAAATTCAAGAATTTCCATCTAAAACCACAGCATGGAGAGGCCCCTTTAAAAACCACCTAACCCAGCTCTTTCATCAAACAGATGAAGAAACTTACCTAAAGATGTTAAGTGGTTTGCCCAAATTGCAAAGCCTGATATATGGGAAAATACTTCCATGGGAAATAAGAAAATGATAAATTTAAAAAAAATTTTAAATGAGGCTCTAATTCCTGAAAAATGACTTACTTAAACTGGGGACTGGGCAGAAAATAATATTGTAGAAGGTAGAACAGCATTTCTTTGGGAGGATTTATCTTTTTAAGTATATAGTGGTCTTCTACCACTATCCTACAACAGGTTGCAGGACAAATAATGTATTTTAATCTTTGGGGGAGTCTTTGTGTAAGTCAGACCTTATTCATTTTCATTCCAACAACACTCGCAGCCATTGGATCCTAATTATCACATCTAATAAGGCTGATGGCTAATCAGCTTGCCTTTTTAAGAAAAAAAGGCCGGGCACGGTGGCTTATGCCTGTAATCCCAGCACTTTGGGAGGCCGAGGCAGGTGGATCATGAGGTCAGAAGATCGAGACCATCCTGGCTAACACGGTGAAACCCCGTCTCTACTACAAATACAAAAAAATTAGCCGGGTGCGGTGGCGGGCGCCTGTAGTCCCAGCTACTCGGGAGGCTGAGGCGGAAGAATGGCGTGAACCCGGGAGGCGGAGCTTCCTGGGCGACAGAACGAGACTCTGTCTCCAAAAAAAACACAAATGACATTCCATTATAAGTTTCTGCTGCAAAAGAAAGTTGGGAAATTTGTTTAGATACTTTAAATAGTCCTAAGATTAGCTGAAATGCCGGTAACAAACGTGCAATGAACATTTTCTTGGGGGCATTCAGCAACAAAGTGAATCGTCCTTAAAAAAAATCCATACAACTAAAGCGAGTCTCACCACGGGAACCACAGGAGCTGTTTTAGTGAGGGGCTGGAGTGTCTGTTACAGGCGGCACTTTTGCGGCTGTTGCTGCATTAGTCAGATTGCACTCGAGATGAATGAGGAAGAATAAAGTCTTCACCAAAAACCTGTCTTGGCTAACAGTTCTGAATTTATAGCCCTGGCAGTGGGGGCGGGGGCTGGGGGCGGGGCTGGGAGGAGGGGAAGAAATGTGTCACCCGCTCTGAATGAAGTTCAGGGGTGGTGTTTACCTAAGCAACAAACCCTTGTCAACAATCGCTATCTCTGGCTTGCCAGCGGAGGAGGTGGGGGAGTGAGGCTGTTTTGATCAAAATCCAACCTGTGGCTGCAAAGTGCCCATCAACAGGGCACTTTGTTAGTGGGAACGTGCGACCTCTCTTAATAAACATAACATACACATCCCACTGAGGGCCACGGGTGGACCCAACTTCTTAACAGGAACATTGAGCACATGAAACCAGAAGGTGCTGGGTCCAATTTCCACCCTCAGCCAACCCTATCTGTGAATGTCTCTACATGTGAGCCAGCCAGGGCTCAACTCTTTGCTCTTCTGAAATTCTTAGGCAGCAGAAATGAAGGCATCGTGCTGAAAAGCGCTCCAGAAATTGCGGATTTATCAGTGATGTACGGTAGTAGGTTGGACAAGTAATGATTTTCTGAACACCAGGAATTAGATCAAAAAAGAAATTCCACTTAAGACTAAAATAAGTCTCCAGTTGAGAGCAGTCTAGGACATATTCGAATGGCCAGAAGTTTGTTTCAATGGGGCCTCTGCGTTTGTGCAGCCTGGGAGTCAACATTACAATATTGGTTCTTTCAAGCAGATCCCGAGTGGATCCATGTCTGCCTGTTGTGGCAAATCAAACTCAAATTTAATCAGAGAAAAATATATGCAGATGTTCAATTAAAACCTGGAGTCCGCAGTCTTGGCACTGTTTGCCCGGCCCTCATTGTTTGCTAAGTAACAACGGTTGCCAGGGGCAACGCAGTCCACTCCCGTTTCCAAGAGCCTGTTGCTGGGCAACCGGGAGAATACTTCCCAAACCAAACAATGTCATCCCGGAGCAACCCCCTCTATCTCACATTAACCAGATCTAAAAAAAACCCTCTCAAATATGTAATCTATTATTTTCAGAAGCCCTAAGAGAAAGGCAAATAATCTCTTCTCTATAGTAACTGAGGGGAAAACAGTTTACCATATTTGTTCTGAAATAACAAAACCCAAGGAGGAACAACTCTCTCTGAGGTAAGAGGGCATCACAGGAGGGATTTCAATCCTTCCTAGTACTGGGAGGAGAAAGTGCCCTTTTCTCCAAGAGGAAAGAATCTATTTATCATCAAACAAACAATGTGGGAGAGTTCATAGCTGCACAAGTGTTTTCTGGGCGAAGTAAAATGAATCATGGATTAAGCTATTTGGAAAAAAGTGTGAAAACAGAGGAGTTGATACCAAATTAAAACGACTTTTGGAAATATCATGTACGTATGGAACAAGTGCAAAGGGAACCACTGACTCAGCGTCAGAAATGCCTTGTGGGGCTTTGCCGGGAGGGACTTACAGTATATCTTTGACATCACTGCGCCGGCTCTTCCCTCCCTACCCGGAGAGAGGAAGACTTTTCTAAGAGGAAGCCAGGCCACATCAGATGCCCCCAGATGGCAGGACACACAAGGGACACATATCTCCGGAAAGAGGAGGCACATGGTTGGGCAATCTCGACCCATGAAGGGGGAAAAGAAAAGGGCTAAACTGAAGCTAGTGCAGCTTTTGTTCTGCCTGGAGCAGTTCAGGCTGAGCATGGCTTCTCTGAGGCTTTGGGACCAGGAGAGGGTGAAGTGGCACCACCACCTTTCAAGGGGAACACAGAGCTCTAAGCAGTGCTCTTGTTTTTGGTGGGCCCAGCCAAGGATCTTAAAACATTTTGATAGAATGAGCAACATGTAGCTGCAGCCTCGATGGGTCAACATTTTGGATGATAAAAGCACACAATGCTGATAGATTTGTGCATGACCAAGCATACCTTTCAAGGAGCTCTCAGCGGAGGTTTGCCCTTTGAGACAGACACAGTCAGTGCACAGAAACTGTTTTTTTAAGATATCATCCAGGAGTCATTCCTAGAATAGGAATGGAATAGACATGCCTCCCTGAGAAGAAAGGAAGACAGATTCTATACTGTTAGAATTTGAATCTGTGTTGCAGGGAGATGAGGAATTTGAAGCCAGACTCTTGGGCTGTTAATGTATGGCTAAGTGGTGATGTGGTGACAACCTTGAATGCTAGTCCTGGAGGTCAAATCACCAGCAGCTGGTGCCATGGGAGGCTTTGCTTAGGGGACACGGCTGGGTTCTGCCTGGATGCTGCATCCCAAGGGAGGCATTGAGGTGCGGCTGTGAGGACTCCAAACCCCATGTCCAGAAGGATGAGTAACAGAGATCCTGTGTCATTCATTGATTTCAATAAAATATTTATTGGATCCATAGCATGGGCCTGGCATTGACCAGTCATCAAAACACAATTCCCTGCCCTCATGGAGTTTCTATTCTAGACCATGCGGGAGGATAGGAGCATATGGACAGTAAACAAGGTAAGTGAGAAAAATATGTCGTACGTCAGATGACACCCTATATCATATGGTGACAAGTACCAGGGGGAAAAGGAAGCAGACAGAAGGAGTGCTGGGATAGGAAGGGGTTGCAATTTTTAAAGCGTTGTCAAATGCTTCCCTGGGTGGGCTCATTAAAGAGATGAGGAAGGTGTGGGACGGAGCTGTCCAGATATCCTGGGGAAGAGCGTTCCTAATGGAGGGAAAAGCCAGTACAAAGGCCCCGAGGTGGGACAATGCCTGGCTTGAAACTGGAGCTGAGTGAACCAGAAGGCAAGGAGAAAGGCCCACACAGGCCATTGTAGGGGCTCTGGCTTTTGCTTGGGGTAAATGGAAGCCATCACAAGGTTTGAGCCCAGGAATGGCCTGGTTTGACTTGCATTTTAACCAGGCCCCTCTGGCTGCTGGGTTGAGAATAGGGGAAGAAGGAAAAGGGTGGGAGCAGAGAGAGCAATCTGGAGGCTAATGTGATAATCTGGGCAAGGGAGGGGGGCCTGGCTGTGAGCCATGGAGGGGCAAAGCCGTCAGACTCTGGATAAACATAGGAGGTAGAGTCAGCCAGATCTGCTGACGGGTCAAGGGTACCTCCAAGGTTTTTGGCAACTAAAAGGATGAGGTCAGGAAAATTACCCAAGAAAAAGGCCTGGAGAGCACTTGGGAGTTGAGTTCTGAAGGTGTAAAGTGTGAGAGGCTCCTAGACACCCAGGTTGAGATGCTGAGAAAGCAGGCAGATTACATAAGTCTCAGGCTGAGGGGTGAGCTGGAGCCATCAGTGTATAGAGAATGCAGGCTGGAGCCATCAGTGTATAGAATATATGAACTAGAGCCATCAATGTATAGATAACATAGCTGGAACCATCAGTGTGTAGGGGACATGACCTAGAGCCACCAGTGTCTAGAGGATGTGGGCTGAAGCCATCAGTGTATAGAGAACATGGGATGGGGCCATCAGTGTATAGATGACATGGCTGGAGCCATCAGTGTATAGAGAACATGAGCTAGAGCCACCAGTGTATACAGGATGTAGGCTGGAGTCATCAGTGTATAAATGACCTAGTTAAAACCATAAGACTATCTGGGCTCACCAAGGAAGAGCAGAGAGAAGAGGCCTAGGGCTGAGTTCTGGGGCTGTCTACCATTTAGAGATCCCAAAGAAGCAGGAGCCTGAAAAGAGGCCAAAGAAGTATAAGCAAGTGGTGTCCTGAGAACCAAGTGACTCTGGGGCTGAGTGGTGATCACTGGAATCAGCAAAGTGGAGGTCACCAGTGATTGTGACAGAGGAGCTCCAGGGGAAAAGTGTGTGCAAAAGCCACAGAGGTTGGAGCAGGTTCAAGAGAGCCCCAAGTGGAGCAGAACTGGAGACAGGAGGACCAGATGGCTCTTTTGAGGAATTTTTGCTAGAAAGATAGGAAGAGGAATGGGGAGGCAGCTGGAAGAGGAAACTGAGAGCGGGTTTCTGAAAATGAAAGAAATAATAGCAGGTAGGACCTACCAGGAGGGAACTGGGATAGGAGAAAGAAGGGAGACTTGCAAGTGGATGTTCTTTCATGGATGGGATGGGATGGGATGTGGATGGGATGGGATGGGATGTGGATAGGATGGGATGGGATGGGATGGGATGGGATGGGATGGGATGTGGATGGGATGGGATGGGATGTGGATGGGATGGGATGGGATGGGATGGGATGGGATGTGGATGGGATGGGATGGGATGTGGATGGGATGGGATGTGAATGGGATGGGATGGGATGGGATGGGATGTGGATGGGATGGGATGGGATGGGATGGGATGGGATGGGATGGGATGTGGATGGGATGGAATGGGATGTCCTGCAGAACACAGGTGGGCTTGGCCAGGGCTAGGTGCATGGATATGCATCCACCAGTACAGGAGAGAAGACAGAGTGTCCACCCTGGAAGGTGACACCAAGTCATAGTCCTTCTGGAGGGGGGTCCTGGTCCCCAGTCCCATTCTTCATCCATGGAATCCCTGTGTTTACTCCTCGCCAGCCTCAATAGCTGGCTGCTGGGGGCCTCCACTCTCAGCAGGGTGGACGGGCTTGAAGCCACACGATAGGGCCTGGGTATAAAGTATGATGACCTAGGTCCACAGACCTCACATCAGAGCCTCCAGCAGACCCTGGGTTCATAGTCACATATGGGCTCCATGTGACCAATACTTGCCCCCACCCCATGGTCCCACCTCAATGCCTGACAGAAGCCCCACTCCTCAGGTTTATGCACATGATTTGCCTTTTTCACTGCTTTCTTTTTCTTTTCTAGACACAGGGTCTTGCTCTGTCACCCAGGCTGGAGTACAGTGGTTGGATCATAGCTCACTGCAGCCTCAAACTCCTGGGCCCTCAGCCCAGTGATTGTCCTGCCTTAGCCTCCCATGTAGCTAGGACTACAGGTGCACACCACCACGCCTGGCTACTTAAAACAAACAAACAAACAAATTGTAGTAGCAAGGTCCTACTATGTTGTCCAGGCTGGTCCTGAACTCTTGGCCTCAAGCAGTCTTCCCACCTCAGCCTCCCAAAGTGTGGGACTGCAGGCGTGAGCCCCCGTGCCTGGCCCTCACTGCTTTCCTTATGGTTACTCCATACCTCTTTTCAAATTTGCCAAATGGCTAATCTTTCCACACTCGAGTATTATTAGAAATGAGTTTTAATATACCTATTTTTCTTGCTATGTCAACGTACAAACATGCATCCTTAAATAAGAAAGTGTTAGAGTCACATATTAAAAATGCATTTCTTGCTAAGTCATGCTCGAATTATGCAAGATTGCAAGGAAATTTAATGCAAGACAAATGAGTGAGGCCAGGAATCTTGCTGTGAGAGTTTGGGAAGCAGAGCTCCCTGGCTCCAGACAAGGAATGGACTCAGCCTGACGGGAGGAGGTCTCGCCTGTCTTTGGGAGGGAAAGATCCTGTCGGTACTTTTAAGTGATCGTCTATCTTTGAGGCACAGACATATCTCAATTGGCCCGGGACAGAAAATCAAGCCAAGTCAGAGATCCCCTCAGCAAGACCCAGGGATCTCTGAAGAAATGAAAATGAAGCGAAGAAAGACAAAATTAGAAATATTTATTCCATCCGTCATCTCTTTGCTTGTCTCAAATGCCACCATCCAACCCAATGAGAACGACAAAAGGACATTCTATTTCTGTCCCCATGAAAGTTTCAACCCCAAAGCAAAACCTCAGTGTGCGCTGAGAAGATGCAGCAAAAGGGTCTTTTTGTTAAACTCATTATTAGAATTAAACCCAAAGAGGGAAATGTTGGAGGTATTTTAGGTTTTTAAACTAAATTAGTCCCAATTAATTCTAAGAAGATACACTAAAATCAATTCTGTTTTAGAAAGGCAATTTAATACAAAAGCTTGAGGGGAAATGTTATTTTTAAAATGTAAAAAGGCACCTTAAAACCTGTAAAATATTTTAAATGGCTTTCCTATTCCATCAAGTTTTGAGAGGGGTTTTCATTTTTCTCAGGAAACATTTTCTCCCGGTGTGGGGTTGGGGATGACTTCAGACAGGGCCTGAAAGCAGCGAGCAACTCACGCTGTCCAGGAGGGGCGAGAACAAACCCTCAGCTTTGTCTGGTTCTGTTTTTGGTGTCTCCATTCCCAGCTCCGTATTAAGTCAGTTCCCAAATCCGAGCAAAAGATAATTTTGGATAAAAAAATGGAATGTTCTAACTCCGCCTGAGAGATGGAAAGAGAAACAGAGATGAGTCTGATGAAACAGAACTCAAATCACCCTCTTCCTGACCCACCGCTTCTCTTCTGATTCAACTGTAGATTTGGACAAATTGCCACCTTTCAGACCTTTCCATGTTCCAATATTCTTTCCATTTGTCCTGGCTTCCAGAAGCCTTGGCGGCCCAAGTATCCACCTGGGTGCTGGGTGACCCTGCCTGTTGCTGCTCTTGGAAAGCATGTTTCACTTCTGCATACATTTTAAAAGATAAATATTTGGGCCAGGAGCAGTGGCTCATGTCTGTAATCCCAGCGCTCTGAGAGGCTGAGGTGGGAGAATTGCCTGAGGCCAGGAGTTTGAGAACAGCCTGGGTAACAAAGCGAGACCTCGTCTCTAGAGAAAAAAAATTAAAAATTATTCGGGTAAGGTGGGTGTGCCTGCGGTCCCAGCTACTCAGGAGGCTGAGGCAGGAGGACTGCTTGAGGCCAGGAGGTGGAGGATGCAGTGAGCAATGATTATACCACTGCACTCCAGCCTGGGCGACAGAGAGAGATCCTGTCTCTCAAAAAAGAAACATGAAGTCTTCCTTCCAAGGACATAACAAAGAAAAAAGAGAAAAAAAAGGCCCCTCTCTCTTCAGTGCTGCCTACGGAGGTGGCAGCTGTCTCCTCCTCAGCATCATGGCCGCCCTCAGACCCCTCGTGAAGCCCAAGATCGTCAAAAAGAGAACCAAGGAGTTCATCTGGCACCAGTCAGACCAACATGTCAAAATTAAGTGTAACTGGAGGAAACCCAGAGGTATTGACAATAGGGTTTGCAGAAGGTTCAAGGACCAGATATTTTTTTTTCTTTTTTGAGACAGAGTCTCACTCTGTTGTGCAGGCTGCAGTGCAGTGGTGCGATCTCAGCTCACTGCAACCTCCGCCTTCCGGGTTGAAGCAATTCTCATGCCTCAGCCTCCAGAGTAGCTGGGATTACAGGCTCCCACCACCATGCCTGGCTAGTTTTTGTATTTTTATTAGAGACGGGGTTTCACCATGTTGGCCAGGCTGGTCTCAAACTCCTGACCTCAGGTGATCCACCCTCCTCAGCCTCCCAAAGTGCTGGGATTACAGACATGAGCCACCGCGCCTGCAAGGGCCAGATCTTGATGCCCAACACTGGTCATGGGAGCAACAAAAAACAAAGCACATGCTGCCCAGTGGCTTCCGGAAGTTCCTGGTCCCCAGCGTCAAGGAGCTGGAAGTGCTGATGTGCAACAAATCTCCCTGTGCTGAGATCGCTCACAGTGTTTCCTCCAAGAAACAAAACCATCGTGGAAAGGGCCGCCCAGCTGCCGTCAGAGTCACCAACCCCAATGCCAGGCTGCGCAGTGAAGAAAATGAGTAGACGGCTCATGTGCATGTTTTGTGTTTAAATAAAACCATAAAAACTGCAAAAAGATATATAAAAACAAAAAATAAATATTTGAAATATTTCCATCCAAATGGAATTTCAAAACAATTAAAGATGGAAAGAAGGAAGGCTGAATGGATGAAAGCCCTCTGAAGCTTACTGTAGAGTGGAACGATGAAGACACAGTTGCATTTCTGTGTAAGTCAAATTCTCTTTTTTACCGTGCAAATTTCATGGTTAAGATGAGGTTGAATGCGGACGGCTAATACCAGTAATTTGGGCTAAGCGCTCCTCTTCCGGGAGTCTGAGCCATCTGAATTGGCTGTTTACCCAGCTCATACTGATCAGGAAGTATCTGAGAGGGTGAATGCACCAATAAAAAGCCACCCAGACCCTCCTCTCCAGCAAGTGGAAAGTGTGTGTCTCGTCCTCACACAGGAATGACTGTAGAGGACCACAGGGCGACTTCTAGGCAGCCCCCAGACAGGCCGGCCCTGGGTAGCAGGAACTCGTTCTGCCCCAGCTGAGGTTCTGGGCCTCATCACTAATGACCCACAGCAGCCAAGGTCAGCCCTCGGGAAGATGGAAAATGAATGAAGGGCAGCTCTGCCCAAAGCGGCGGACCAGGTGGGCAAACAGAGAGCCGGGGTTTTGTAGCAGGGGTGGGGGTGCGGTACAGGAACAGATCTGGAGCTTGTGGCAGGAGTTCAGGTGGAACATCAGGCGGGGTACAGATGCCACAGTGTGGAGGAAGCTCCTCCTCTCATCCCAAGCTAGCCCCTTCCTAACCTCAAGTCAACGAGAAGAGAAGGTGGGCTAGAACCTTTCCACCTTCCTCTTAGCACCCGGCCTGTGCCGGTGCATCTCCTCACCCCACACAGTGCCCTGGGTACAGGGGCTGGGGCTTGAAGGGTGCCCATAACACACTCCCTCAGAGCCTGGACACTCAGCCATCGTTCATTCATTCAACAAACACAGTCTGAGCATCTGCCATGTGCCGGCTTCAAGTGCTGAGGACACAGCAGGGAATGAAACAGATTGAGTCCCTGACCATGTGGGGCTGACCCCTCAGGGAGAGACAGACGACACCATGGACACAGAACAGCAGGAGGTGACAAATGCTCTGAAGAAAAATACACTCAAATGCACAAGTGGAGTGCGGCATGGGCCAGGGGCAACAAGGTGACCTGGGGCAGTGACAGGACAGAGGCAGAGTGAGGTGAGGAAAGTGTCGCCGCTGAGAAGGCTCTGCCAGGGATGGTGCTCGGCAAGGCTGAGGCACACGGGACATGTGGGGTCACACGGGTCACGTGAGGAGGCCACCAGAGGGAGCTGGGGGAATGCTGGGGGTTGAATGTTGTGTCCCCTTAAATTCCTATGCTGAACTCCTCACCCCAAGGCAGTAGCTTTAGGAGGTGGGGCCTTTGGGAGGTGATTAGGTCATGAGGGTGGGATCATGCCCTCCCTTATGGAAGGGACCCCAGAGAGCTCTCTCTGGCTTCCCACCATGTGATGTGAGGACACAGCAAGAAGACAGCCATCTGCATCCCAGAGGGAAGCCCTCACCAGAACCTGACCCTGCTGGCACCCTCTTCTCAGACTTCCCACCTCCAGGGCTGAGAGATGTGTGTCTGTTGTTTACAGCCACCCAGTCTATGGCCTTTTGCTGAAACAGCCCAAACAGATTAAGACAGGAGGAGAAGGAGGAAGAGGAGAAAGAAGAGGAGGAGAAGGTGGAGGAGGAGGAGGAGGAGGAGGAGAAGATGGACTTAGAGACACAAGGAGGCCACAGTGGAGTGTTTGGCTTTCGCTCTGAGTGTGCTGGGAAGCTACTGGAAGGTTTAGGGCACAGGGACACAATCTGACAGATATTTTGGAAGTATCAACGGTCAATGGAAGCAAACGTCAGGGCTGGACAACCAGGTCAGAGGTGACAAAGACTTACGTGATAGCAGTGCTCTCATTTGGGAGACACCTGAAGACAGAGCCAGCCAGGTTTGCTGACGGGTTTGACATAAAGGGTGAAAGAAAGAGAGGAGTCGAGGCTGACTTAAGGCTTGGGGCTGGCCTGAGCACCTAGAGAATGGAGCTGCCCGGTGCTGAGCTGGGGAAGCCCGTGGTCTGGGGAGAGACAAGTGTGAGGTCGAATCAGGCACCCAGTTTTGGGTGACAGAAGCCTCAGATGCCCATCAGATGACACCCACATGCAGCTGCCACCTAGGCAGCTAGGTACACAAGTCCAGGATTCGGGGAGTGAGCCAGGCTGCAGACACTAGGACACTGGAGGTTCTAAGATGCATTTCAACTCTTGTACCTCGGTGAGATCACCAGGAAAGCAGGTGTAGATAAAGCAGAAAAGAGGTCCCTTCTCAAGTTCAAAGGTCATGAACAGTTGGAGGATCTGGCATAGGGGACAGAGGAGAGGAAGAAAGCAGAGGGAATATCGAGCTCTGAAATACACAGCGTCACCCCTTTACTTGGCTTTCGGAGCTTGGTGTTCACAAAAAATTAGAAACGAGGTTGGGGGCGGTGGCTCATGCCTGTAATCCCAGCACATTTTGGGAGGCCAAGGTGGGCAGATCACTTGAGGTCATGAGTTCGAGAGCAGCCTGGCCAACATGGCGAAACCCCATCTCTACTAAAAAATAATACAAAAATTAGCCATGCGTGGTGGTGCATGCCTGTAATCCCAGCTACTTGGGAGGCTGAGGCAGGAGAATCGCCTGAACCCGGGAGGCTGAGGTTGCAGTGAGCCGAGATGGTGCCACTGTACTCCAGCCTGGGTGACAGAGAGAGACTCTGTCTCAAAATAAATAAATACATAAATAAGAAACAAACGTTCATCAACTGGAATACCATTAACTACCTTACGGTGCATCCTAGCTCTAAAACAGGAGGCTAGGCGAGGGTGCCTGGGTCCGGTGCCTGGGTCCAGTTCCTGGGTCCTCCAGTTTCTAGCTGGGTGACCTCAGCCAGGGACTTAAATCTTTCTGCACTTCCATTTCTTTGTCCATAAACGGAGAAAATACTTCTATCTGTGTTGGGTGGTTGTGTTAAATGAGAGGAGTCCTACAAAGTGTGGAGTTTAATGGCCAGCCCAGCACACGGAAAATGCCCATAAATGTTCATTAGCGTCATCGTTGTAATTCACACCATTATAACGTAACCCACATAATTTACTGATTTTTTGCAGATTTAAATATCTGAAACTAAAAGCAGTTATGCTGTTTGCTATTTGTGATTTCAAAAACTCTTCGCTATTTGTGATGTTGCTAAGCCCTTTAGGGAGTGCCTCCTGCTATGAGCTATATTCATTCCAGGGCATATTTGTGGGGTTTGTCATTTTAACCAAGTACTTAATACTTGTTTCTCTCCCAGCATCTTGCCAAATGTGGCAGCTCTCCTTCTAGATGAACACTACTGCATTACTGTTATAGAAATGATATTTTAACATCAACTCCCTTTTCCCTTTTCTTCCCTAGAAATCCAGTCCTTCCATGAGACCTCGGTACACACAGAACTCCTCCTACCACGTGCAACCTTATTCTCGGCTGAGCAACTCATAAATCGCATAACAAAAACAGTGATTGATGCGGACTGTGTTTAGTGCCATCCTTGCCGGTGAGAGGGAGTGAGCCAGCAAGCTTCCTTAAATCTCTTTAGTTCTCCAAAAGGAGAGGCCATTTGCCTTCTCATCTATGCCGCAAGTTTCTGGGGCTTGCATCATTAACCTGGTGGCTTTGCCAATTCCTTCGCCAGTGCTGGGTCAAAGACAGGCAAGGGCACCAGGGTTAGCCATGAGTGTGTGCCAGGGGCTGAATGCAAAACCCGGGAGCACTGGTGGCTGGGGCAGGTGGGCTGGGCTCTGCCACTGCCTCCCCCAGCCCACCCAAGAGGGGCGTGTGCCTCTGCAGGAAATGGCCTCCAAGCATTTCTCAAGACTTACGAGATGTTCAAACCTACACAGTCAGAGACAAAGAGCTAGCTATAAGTGGGGTCTTTTTCCCCTCCTCAAAATTCATCCTGCAGAAGTAGACATGTGCTAAACAGTGCATGGCCACACAAATGCTTGGATACCAATGTTCACAGCAGCGTTGTCCTAATGGCCCCAAAGTAGCAACAGCCCAAATGTTTGTCAACTGATGGATGGATAAACGAAGGCGGCCGGGCGCGGTGGCTCACACCTGTAATCCCAGCACTTTGGGAGGCTGAGGCGGGTGGATCACCTGAGGTCAGGAGTTTGAGACCAGCCTGACCAACATGGAGAAACCCTGTCTCTATTAAAATACAAAATTAGCCGGGCGTGGTGGCACATGCCTGTAATCCCAGCTACTTGGGAGGCTGAGGCAGGAGAATCGCTTGAACCCGGGAGGCGGAGGTTGCAGTGAGCCAAGATCGCGCCATTGCACTCCAGCCTGGGCAACAAGAGCAAAATTCCATCTCAAAAAAAAAAAAAAAAAAAAGGAACGAGGCACTGGCACATGCTGTAAACGGATGGACAGTGGACCCTGAAAACATTATGTTACGTGGAAGAAGCCAGTCACAAAAGGCCACATAGTGTGTGATTCTGTTTATATGAAAGGTTCAAAACAGGCAAATCCACAGAGACAGAAAGTGGATTCACAGTTGCCCGGGGCTGGGAGGAGGAAGGGCAAGTGGCTGTTCATGGCAGGTTCAGGGTTTCTTCTTCTTTTCGGAGTGATGAAAATGTTCTGTGAAGATAGTATACTAAGACCCACTGAACCATACACTTCAAATGGGTGAGCTTTACGGTATGTAAAACAGATCTCAGCACAGCTGTAAAAAAAAAAAAAAAAAAGGTATATTGACGACCTGTCCCCAGTGGCATTAGTTTAAGTCATAAAAATTTAGAAACAAATGTTCATCAACAGGAAAATCATTAAGTACCTTATGGTGCATCCTAGCTCTAAAACTATGCTGCCATTAAAAAGAAGAGGTACCGTCTCCAAGAAAGAAAGCCAACATCTGCAGTGCCTGGCACACAGTAGGCTCTCAAATATTTGCAGAATAAATTTATGTTGAAAAAACCCCAGCTATACATACTATAAAATAGGTAAAGGGGCCTTAAAAAGATCTAGAAGGACACAAGTTATATGACTAACAGTGCTTACCTCATATGAGGTGGGATAGACAGAAAGACGAAAAGAGAAATTTTCATTTCTGAATCTCCTGCTGTAGATGGTGGTCCTTCCCAGGAGAATGTTACTTGTATTACTTGCATATCATTTTATTTTTTGAGATGGAATCTTGCTCTGTCTCCCAGGCTGGGGTGCAGTGCACAATCTCAGCTCACTGCAACCTCCACCTCCCGGGTTCAAACTATTCTAGTGCCTCAGCCTCCCAAGTAGCTGGGATTACAGGCACATGCCACCATGCCCAGCTAATTTTTGTATTTTTAGTAGAGACGGGGTTTCACCATGTTGGCCAGGCTGGTCTCGAACTCCTGACCTCAAGAGAGCCACCTGCCTCGGCCTCCCAAAGTGCTGGAATTATAGGCGTGAGCCACGGCGCCCGGCCATTACTTGCATATCATTTTAAAAGTTGTAATTCATTGGTAAACATTCTAAGACATGCAGGTTCCTGTAAATTACCAAACTGTAATCCTGTAAATTACCAAACAGAATGGCTGTTTGTGCAGGGAGTATCACTGCGATTTAGTGTACTTGGTCTAGAGTATGCTGTCGCTCTTACAACCAGAGGTTTTCATGTTAATTCAACATCCATCATGAAGAGAAAATATACCAGACAAACAAACTGTGGTAGGATCACACAAGGACTGTGCTCCAGCAATAAAAGGAACAAACGACTGACACACGCAATGACAGAATGAATCCCAGAGGCATTTATGCCAAGTGAATGTAGCCAGTCTCAAAAGCTGCACAATGTATGTTTCCATTTATACGACATTCTGGAAAAGGCAGAGCTATAGAAAGGGACAGCAGATGGTGGCCAGAGGCTAAGAATGGGGCCAGGGTCTGACTACAGAGAGAGGTTGGACTTGCTCTCCATCCTGTTTGAGATGGAGGTTATAAGAATCTGTGCAAGTGGGCTGGGTGTGGTGGCTCACGCCTGTAATCCTAGCACTTTGGAAGGCTGAGGTGGGTGGATCACGAGGTCAGGAGATCGAGACCATCCTGGCCAACATGGTGAAACTCCGTCTCTACTAAAAATACAAAAATTAGCTGGGCATGGTGGCTCGTGCCTGTAGTCCCAGCTACTTGGGAGGCCGATGCAGGAAAATCACTTGAACCAGGGAGCCGGAGGTTGCAGTGAGCTGAGATTGCACCATTGCACTCCAGCCTGGCAACAAAGCAAGACTCTGTCTCAAAAAAAAAAAAAAAAAAGTATGCAAGTGTGAAAAACCATAGAACAGCAAACCTAAAAAGGCAAACACGACTGTATGTAGATTTAAAATATAAATTAAAAAAAAAAAAAGAAAAACCAGGTGCATCTACTGAGTGCCCAGCCCCATTCTAGGCTCTGAGGATTCTGTTTTTTTAGGGATGGGTCTTGCTCTGTTGCCTAGGCTGGAGAGTGCAGTGGCAAGATCACAACTCACTGTAGCCTCTAACTCCAGGGCTAAAGCATTCCTCCTGCCTCAGCCTCCTGTGAGTAGCTGGGACCACAGGCACATGCCTGGTTAATGTGTGTGTGTGTGTGTGTGTGTGTGTGTGTGTGTGTATGTGAGAGAGAGACAGAGAGAGAGAGAGAGAGAAGGTGAGGTCTTGCTTTGTTGCCCAGGCTGGTTTCGAACTTTCAGCTTCAAGCAATCCTCCCACTTTGGCCTCCCAAAATGCTGGGATTAAAACGTGAGCCACGACACCCAGCCTGAGGATTCTAAGGTGAGCAGGTCAGATGAAAGTGCTGCTCTCAGGGTGCCAGTATCCTTGTCAGGCAAGAATACACAAGGTTCCAGATACACAAGGTTGTTCAGTAGAGATCCGGGCTGTGGTGCAAGGTGATTGCAGAGGGATAGAGCCAGGGGTGGTGGTGGAGAGGGCTCCCCTCTTGATAGCCAGTTATGGGTGGCACTAAGGATGGCACTGAGCTGGGACCTGACAGCTGCAAAGAAGGGGCCAACCTTGGGAGGATGTGGGAGAGAGCAGCCTGGGCAAGAGGAATAGCTGTGCAAAGGTCTTGCAGCAGCAGAGGCCCTGGACAAGGTCAGATGTCTGGAGTTTTAAAATTCCAATTGCTGTCGGGGCTCAGTGGCTTATGCTTGTAATCCCAGCATTTTGGGAGGCTGAGGTGGGTGGATCATGAAGTCAGGAGTTTGAGACCAGCCTGGCCAACCTGGTGAAACCCCATCTCTACTAAAAATACAAAAATTAGCTGGGTGTGGTGATGCACGCCTGTAGTCCCAGTTACTTGGGAGGCTGAGGCAGGAGAATCACTTGAACCTGGGAGGTGAAGGTTGCAGTGAGTCAAAATCATGCCATTGCATACCAGCCTGGGCAACAGAACAAGACTCCATCTCAAAAAAAAAAAAAAAAAAAATCCAATTGCTAAGGGAAGCCCCAGGAGGCTCAACCCACAGGCACAATATAATCTGACTTACATCTTTTAAAAGAGCACTCTTCTTAGATTATAGACAGAAAGAGTGAATGCAGGAAAACCAAGACAAAGACATTCACTACTTTAAAAAAGTTCATAATAAGTCTGCTTCCCGGCCGGGTATGGTGGCTCACCCCTGTAATCCTAGCACTTTGGGAGGCCAAGGTGAGAGGATTGATTGAGGCCAACCAGGCCGAAAAGGAAGACCCTGTCTCTATTTTAAACAAATAAAAAGAATAATTAATTATGCTTCTAAGACCTGTCTGTGGAACCGGGGAAGGAATCATATCATTTTATAAACAAACCAAGTAACACTAAGCCCATTGCATGAAGGATTAAATAATTAAGCATTTAGTTAACATGAAAGTAAATGATGGCTTCTATACATTTTTAATGCAGGTAATTATACTCTCAGTAAATCATCACAGCACACAAACATTAGCATGCTTATTAATTCAGTGTTAATTGCTATTGGCTTACATGTACCATTATCCAAAAATTAAATAATTTGAGTGTACACTCACTTTTTTAAACAGGTACATATAAAGGTAGATGGAGGGCTGGGCGCGGCGGCTCATGCCTGGAATGCCAGCACTTTCAGAGGTCGAGGAGGGTGGATCACCTGAGGTCGGGAGTTGAAGACCAGCCTGGTCAACATGGTGAAACACCGTCTCTACTAAAAATACAAAAATTGGCCGGGCGCGTTGGCTCACGCTTGTAATCCCAGCACTCTGGGAGGCCGAGGCGGGCAGATCATGAGGTCAGGAGATCAAGACCATCCTGGTTAACACAGTGAAACCCCATCTCTACTAAAAAATACAAAAAATTAGCTGGGTGTACTGGTGGGCACCTGTAGTCCCAGCTACTCTGGAGGCTGAGGCAGGAGAATGGCGTGAACCTGGAGGCGGAGCTTGCAGTGAGCTGAGATCATGCCACTGCACTCCAGCACTCTAGCCTAGGCGACAGAGTGAGACTCCGTCTCAAAAACAAAACAAAATAAAACAAAAACAAAAACAAAAATTATCTGGGTGTGGTGGTGCACACCTGTAATCCCAGCTACTAGGGAGGCTACTAGGGAGGCTGAGGCAGGAGAATCATTTGAACCAAGGAGGCAGAGGTTGCAGTGAGCTGAGATCGTTCCATTGCATTCCAGCCTGGGCAACAGAGTAAGACCCTGTCTCAAAAAAAAAAAAAAAAAAAATGGTAGACAGGGGAAATGGACCAGATGTTGAATCTAGTTTGGTTATAGTCATTGCTGGGGATTAATATAGTAAGAGGAGGGTCCTTCTCTCCTGAATTGATGTCTATCAGGGGTTGGAAAGTTTTCTTTTTTTCTTTGAGACAGAGCCTTTCTCTGTCACACAGGCTGGAGTGCAGTGGCGCGATCACAGCTCACTTCATCCTCTAACTCCTGGGCTCAAGCCATCCTCCCACCACAGCCTCCCGTGTAGCTAGGACCACAGGCGTGCACCACCACTCTCAGCTAGTTTTTGTATTTTTTGTAGAGATGAGGTTTTGCCATGTTGCCCAGACTGGTCTTGAACTCCAGGGCTCATGGGATCCGCCCACTTTGGCCTCCCAAAGTGTTGGGATTACAGGTGTTAGCCACTGGAAAACTTTCTATAAGGGCCAGAAAATACACATTTTTGGCTTTGCAGGTCTCTGTTGAGACTACTCAACTCTGCCTCTGGACAGTAGGAGGAGTGAGTGTGGCCGCTGCACTCAGCGCTTTTCAGAGCCATGCTAGAGCCTGGGGCAAAGAGGAAAAAGAAGCAGCAGTGCTGATCCTGTCTTTATGTAAAATTTCAACATTTTGCTCATCATGGAATTTTTTTCCCATTATTTTTTTGAGACAGGGTCTCATTCTGTTGCCCAGGCTGCAGTGGCACAAACACGGCTCGCTGCAGCCTCAACCTCCCTGGGCTCAGGGAGTACGGGCACGTGCCACTACCCCCAGCTAATTTTTGTATTGTTTGTAGAGACGGGGTTTCACCCTGTTGTCCAGGCTGGTCTTGAACTCCTGGCCTCAAGTGATCCACCCGCCTTGGCTTCCTAGAGTGCTAGAATTACAGGCATGAGCCACTGTGCCCGGCCTTCATCATGAAATTTTTTGGCATTTATTTTGATTTTTTAAAATACTGCATTAAAACATTGTGTATCTTGATGACTGTGGATTTTTGTAGGCACTGCCTTAAATTTTGCATCCCAGGCGAGGGCCTCACTGCCTCATGCTAGTTCTGACCCTGGTGCTGGTGCTGTTCCAATAAATCTTTATTTATGGACACTGAAATTTAATTTCATATCATTTTCATGTGTCACAAAATATTTTGTCTTGTTTCCAATCATTTAAAAACGCAAAAAATATTCTCAACTCGTGGAAACTAAAAACAAAAATAAAAACCCACAGTAGTGTGCTAGATGTAGTCTGCTGACCCGTTTTTTTTTTTTTTAATTTTTATTCATTTATTTATTTATTCTGAGGCCGGGTCTTGCTCTGTCATCCAGGCTGGAGTGCAGTGGTGCAAACATGGCTCACTGCAGCCTCCACTTCCAGAGCTCAAGTGATCCTCCTGCTCAGCTTCCCCAGAAGCTGAGACCACAGGTATGTGCCACCATGCCCGGGTAATTTTTTAATTTTTTGTACAGATGGGGTCTCACCATCTTGCCCAGGCTGTGACCCCTATCTTGGATGGCCTTTGGGGGAACATGTCTTACTCATAATTATAGGCAGCGGAAAATGCCTGCTAGCGAGTAGGCACTCAAACGTGTCTGAATAATTTAGTCCCATTTTCTCCATTCTTAAATTACTGTTTAGGTTGCTTTACATTCTCTTCCCAGCCCCAGATCTCCAAATACAGGAGATGAGCACACGTGTCCAGGGCACCCCAGACCTCTTGGGCAGGGAGAATTCTCGGCAGAGAAGACCGGATATGGGAGTGTGGTGTGGGAATCGTCTGTGAGTGCTAAAGAACCGGTCCTCCACCTGCCCCAAGCTTTCCATTAGGCTCAAAAGCAGAGTTAGCCCAGTTAAGCGCATGGAAACTAAATGAGTTCGCTGTGCATTGTTCAGCTATACATGACCACAGGCAAGATAAATATTTAGGGTCTTTATTAAAGCTGTGATCCTCTGCTTTAGCAGGACAGCGTAGGGACTTACTAGAGGCAAACCATAAAAAGCATATGCCTCCTAGTAAAGTAATGCTGGGAAATATGACGAGTCAATTACTCTTTATCATTAATTGTGGTAAAATGTGCATAATGTACAATTTACCATTTTAACCATGTTTAATATACAGTTCAGTAGCATTAAGCACACTCACACTGTTGTGCAACCATCACCTCCATCCATCTCCAGAACATTCTCATCTTCCCAAATTGAAACTTTGTCCCCATGAAACACTCACTCCCTACCCCCTCCCCAGCCCCTGGCACCCACCATTCTACTTTCTGTCGCTATGGATCTGATGACTCTAGGGACCTCCTAGGGGTGGAATCACACTGGATTTGTCCTTTTTTTTCTTTCTTTCTTTCTTTTTTTTGAGACAGAATCTCGCTCTTGTTGCCCAGGCAGGAGTGCAGTGGTGCGATCTTGGCTCTCTGCAACCTCTGCCTCCTGGGTTCAAGTGATTCTCCTGCTGCAGCCTCCCAAGTAGCTGGGATTACAGGTGCCTGCCACCACGCCCGGCTAATTTTATATTTTTAGTAGAGGCTGGGTTTCACCATGTTGGCCAGGCTGGTCTCAAACTCCTGACCTCAGGTGATCCACCACCCACCTTGGCCTCCCAGAGTGCTGGGATTAGAGGTGTGAGCCACTGCGCCCGGCTGGATTTGTCCTTTTGTGTCTGATTTCTTTCACTGAGCATGATGTCCTTAAGCATAATGCATAATGTCCATGTTGCAGCCTGTGTCAGAATTTCCTTCCTTTTTCAAGGCTGAATAGTATTCCATTGTATAGATGGATCACATTTTATTTATCCATTCATTTGTTGGTGGACACTTGAGTTGCTGCCACATTTTAGCTATTGTAAATCATGCTGCTATGAACATGAGTGTACAAATCCCTGTCTGAGTGTACAAATACTGTTTTCCAAAGCAGCTACACTATTTTGCACACCTACCAACAGTTCACATGGGTTCAGTTCCAATTTTTCCATATTCTTATCAACATTTTTCTGTCTTTCTTCTTTTGGGTAACAGTCATCGTAATGGGTGTGAAGTGGTATCTTATTAGGGTTTTGATTTGCATTTCTGCAATGATAACTGGTATGAAGCACCTTTCCAACTGCTTATTGGCCATCTGAATATCTTCTTTGAAGAAAGAGAAATATCTACTCAAGTCCTCTGCCCATTAAAAAATTTTTTTGCTGAGTTACAGAAATTCTTTATCTATTTTGAATATTAACCTCTTATTAGAAATGATTTGGAAACATTTTCTTCCATTCCTTGGGTTGTCTTTTTACTCTGTTGCTACTGTTCTTTGATGCACAAAAGTTTTGAACGCTGATGGCCTAATCCTTCTGTTTTTCCTTTTGTCGTGAGTGCTTTTGATGTCCTATCCAAGAAATCATTGCCAGATCCAGTGTCATAAAGATGTCTCCCTATGTTTTCTGCTAAGAATTTTACAGTTTTAGCTCTTATGTTTAGGTCTTTGATCCATTTTGAGTTAATTTTTGTGTATGTTATAAAATAAAAGTCCTGGCTGGGCACAGTGGCTCACGCCTGTAATCCCAGCACTTTGGGAGGGTGAGGTGGGAGGATTGCCTGAGGCCAGGAGTTCAAGACCAGCCTGGGCAACATAGTGAGACCTCGTCTCTATAAAAAATTTAAAAATTAGCCTGGCATGGTGGCATATGCCTGTGGTCCCAGCTAGTTGGGAGGCAGAAGCAGGAGGATCTCTTGAGCCCAGGAGGCCGAGGCTGCAGTGAGCCATGATTGTACCACTGCACTCCAGCCTGGGTGATAGAACAAGATCCTGTCTCAAAAAAAAAAAAAAAAAAAAAAAGGCAGGGGAGATCCAATTTCATTCTTTTGAATGTGGAAACCCAGTTTTCCCAGCATCATTTATTGGAAAGACTGTATTTACCCCATCGAATGATCTTGGCACCCTTGCAGGAGTAAAATACGGCCATGAGTCGCTTCCTGACAGGGATACGTTCTCAGCAATGCAACCTCAGGCAATTTCATCATTGTGCGAATATCACAGAGTGATACTTACAGAAACCTAGACGCTACAACCTACGTAGCACACCTGGGCTGTATGGTATAACCTATTGCTCCCAGGCTACAAACCTGTCTAGCATGTGACTGCAGTGAACAGTGCAGGCAATTGTAACACAGTGGTAAGTATTTGTATCTCCAAACATGGCTAAGCATAGAAAAGGTACAGGAAAAATACAGCATTATAATCTTATGGGATCACTTGTATATGTGGTCTGCTGTTGACGGAAATGTTATGCATGGCATGACTGCATTATAAGCAAATAATTAAAGTTAAGTAATAACACACAAGAATCTAATCTTGCCGGAAAGGGCACTGTAAAAGTGAATTGCAAGAGAAGCTCACAGGAATTAGATGACTTCTGTGTCTCCCCTTTGACAGTAATGGATGCATCCACGCACACGGCTCATTCCTGTTTTCAGTGATGCGCTTCCTTACTATTATTTGCAAAGGGAATTTGTCTGTTCTGACCACACAACTCTACAGAGATACAAACATCACATGGGCACCTCTGCCTTTTCTGTTTACTACTAACGTAGATTGTCATGTAATTTTTGCCCTTCCATGCCTGTTCTTCTGAGGAGAAATTCCCAGTGTTGAGCAGATTTTGAAAGAGATCCAGACTGATGAAAGATTAAAAACCACTGGGCTACAGCAGTATGTCTTTTTTTTTTTAATCTTTTAAAACTTAAATTCACAAATTTGAGGACTCCAATTCAGACGAGCTTCGTTGTATAAACCAGGCAGATCTGTGGTCTTTAGAAGAAAGTGACAGAATCAGTTCACTTCCTGGGTGGGGACTGAGCACAGGCAGATGGTCGCAGCGGGTCAGAAGCCACAAGCTGCAGAGACAGACTCATGATAGACAGGGCGACAGGCATAACCTTCACAGGGGCGAAGCGAGACGCACACCCGTCTCCAGCAGGGAGCCACAGTCCACAGGTGGCTACTCCTCCCTCCCACTGCCCTGTATTTAGGAATTCAAACAGCCTGGGAAGGGACTGTGCTGATAATTGGCTCTGCTTTCAAAGAACACTTAGGAGATAATTAACCCACAGTCCACCAAGCCCAGGAATTGAGGATCGAGGATCAGAGGAAGCCCAGGAGGGAGATGCCTGCCAGAGGCGAGTAAAGGGACTTAGAGAGAAGTGCAGTTTTTTCTAGCATCCACCCATCCAACCCAAGGAAGCCCATCTGATTTACCACATCTAGCCAGTGACCTTGATCAGTTCCACAGCCAGGCATTAAGGCGAGTCCCCACTAACTTTCTCACCTCAGAGAAGCCCGATTCCAATTCTAGCCCCTCCCTGGACTCTGTCAGTAATTCCTAGCAATGCCTTCACTCTAAAAAATCCAGCTACAACAAAAGATTCAGATGCTGCAGAATTTATTTTGATTTGGAGGTTTCAGCTCCAAATCAAAGGGCTGATATCATGGAAATAGCTTTTTTGACAGCTAAACAGAAATTATTTTCCTTGATTAGCCATGGCACATTCGCCCTTCTTAGGTGGACAGCGTGTTTTGATACGAAGGTGATGGGTTACAGGTGCTGGGTTTCTCCACATGGGCAGTTTCTCCCCAGGAGTCTCACTCCTTACATCATCATCTAGAGCAGTAATTAATTTCAGAAACCACTCCTGGCTGCCATAAGCTGCACACCCACTTCCAGAACTGGCTTAACCCGCCAGGAAGCCACAGTCCTCAAGGGACAGTCACCCAGAGCTGCATGTTGGTGAGTCAGAGACGAGAACAAAGAGGAAGCAATGACCCCTGAACACAGAGCCCTTCCCAGCCCAGAGTGCTGCTCTAAGCCTAACCCAGGCTGGCCAGGGCCTGAAAGACAAAGAAGAATGCCACAGAGAAGGGCCAGGGCACTACAGCTTTTTTTTTTTTTTTTTTTTTTTTTGAGACGGAGTTTCACTTTTGTTGCCCAGGCTGGACAGCAGTGGCGTGATCTCGGCTCACTGCAACCTCCGCCTCCCGCGATTCTCCTGCCTCAGCCTCCTGAGTGGCTAGTATTACAGGCATGTGCCACCATGCCCCGCTAATTCTGTATTTTTAGTAGAGATGGGGTTTCTCCCTGTTGGTCAGACTGGTCTCGAACTCTCGACCTCAGGTGATCCACCCGCCTCAGCCTCCCAAAGTGCTGGGATTCCAGGCTTGAGTCACCATGCCAGCCCAGCATTTTTTTTTAAAGGCACAGTTCTCATAGGTATAAGAAGGCAACGAAATTCATCCTGCAAGATGGATGTAGCCAAAGACTCTTCTTTAATTACAACAAACTGGAGAAGATAACAAAGTAAATATTATTCCTCTCTCTCTTAGAGAAAGCAAAAATATGTTAAACACCATTGAAGAGCCTAAGGGGTTTTATAAACCTCAAAATCAGCATCACATTCATATACACATGAGTACTAGTCACATATAGCCAAGTAATGTGCGTTAGACCAGGGGGTGGCAAGCTTTTTTTGTAAAATGTGGAATAGTAAATATTTTAGGTTTTGCAGGTCAAGCGCTCGCTGTCAAGATGACTCAACCCCATCCATTGTAGGGTGAAATGACTGTGGCTGTGTGCCAATAAAACTTTATTTATGGTTCCAGTTTTAGTATATTTGCTGCTGAAGCAAGCACAATTTATGGACACTGAAATGTGAATTTCAGATAATTTTGTATGTCCTAAAATATTCTTCTTTTGATTTTTCCAACTACTTAAAAATGTAGGAAAAAAGCATTCTTAGTTCATGGGCTGTACAAAAACAGGCAGTGAGTTGGATTTAGCCCATGGGCTAGTTTGCCCACTCTGTATTAGACTCAGATGTTTGGACTCATGTCTTTAAAACAGAGCCTAAAATAACTCCAAATAAATAAAAGGGCAGGTATCAAATAGCCCATGTAATGACAAATAACCACGCTAGAAATCTGCGTCCAGCAGGTCAGGGACACTCTGGGGGTGAAGACCAACACTCCTGTCCTGTCTCCATCTCAGTGGCGGAGGATGTGGGGTTTTGGGCAGTCTCTGAAAAGGGAGTGTGCACGGGCAGGAGCTGGAGCAATGTCACAGGGAAGGGGGAGGCCAGCCCTCATGTCCTCTGGATTCTGACCCTGTGCTATGGTTGGAATGTTGTGTCCCCCCAAAACTCACATGTTGAAACCTAACCCCCAATATGACGGCATCTGGAGGTGGGGCCTTTGGGAGATGATTAGGTCATGAGCATGGCACCCACAGGAATGGGATTAGGGTCCTTGCAAAAGAGGCCCCAGAGACCTCCCCTGCCCCTTCCATCACGTGAGGACACAGCTAGAAGGCAGAAGCCGAACCAGAAAGCAGGCCCTCCCCAGACACTGAATCTGCCAGTGCCTTGATCTTGGACTTCCCAGCCTCCAGAGCTGACTGCAACACATTCCTGTTGTTTAGAAGCCAGCCAGTCTCTAATATTTTTGTTGTAGCATCTGAATGAACTGTCACCCTCCCTTCCCTCCACCACCCTGTGTAGCTCTTACATGTGCTGGGGACCTTCATGATTCAGGGTCTTTGGGCATTTCACAGAGGAACAGAAACTTGTGGATTAGAGAAAATTATTATATGAGATAACATCTTTGGATTGTTTGTATAAGATAACATCTTTGGATTGTTTGTTTGTTTGTTTTGAGACAGGTTCTCGCTTTTGTCACTCAGGCTGGAGTACAGTGGCATGTACATCGCTCACTGCAGCCTCAACGTCCCAGGCTCAAGAGGTCCTCCCACCTCACCCTCTGGAGTAGTTGAGACCAGAGGCCCACACCACCACACCTGGCTATTTTTGCATTTTGAATTTTTCATAGAGACAGGGTTTCACCATGTTGCCCAGGCTGGTCTTGAACTACTGAGCTCAAGTGATCTTCCTGCATCAGCCTCCCAAAGTGCTGAGATTACAAGCATGAGCCACCATGCCAGCCCAGATAACACCTTTGAATACAAATTTCTCAGCCGGGTGAGGTTGCAGTGAGCCAAGATCACGCCATTGCACTACAGCCTGGGTGACATAGTGAGACTCTGTCTCAAAAAAAAAAAAAAAAAAGAATACACATTTCTCCAAAGAAGAGCTATAGACAGATGAAAGCACATGAAAAGAGGCTCAGCATCATCAGTCATTACAGAAACACAAATAAGAACCACCATGAAACACCACTTCACACCTACGAGGCTGGTTATACTAAAAACAGGGAAAAATAAAAGTGTTGGTGAGGATGTGGAGAAACTGGAGCCCTCACTCCCTGCCGGTGGGACTGTGAAAGGACAATTTGGCAGTTAACTTGCAGTTACCATACGACTCAGCAACTCCACTCCTAGGTATATTCCCTGAAGAAATGAAGCTATATGTCCAGGCAAAAGCTTGTCCACAAATATTCATAGCAGCACTATTCGTAATAGTCAAAAGGTAGAAACAACCCAAATGCCCATCAAGGGATGAATGCATAAACAGATGTGGTCCACCCATGGAGTGGAATACTATTCAGCCATAAAAAAGAATGAAGCTCTGACACAGGCTACAATGTGGATGAACTGCAAAACAATATTACCCAACCTTCCAGGGCTTAAATATATATTTATATACACACAAGTGAAAGAAGTCAGTCACGAAAAAGGTCACATATTGTATGATTCTATTTACAGGAAATATTCAGAATAGGAAAACCCACATAGACAAGAAGCAGACTTGGTGTTTGCCAGGGGCTGGGAGTAGGGGACTGTGATCGACTTCTAATAGGTATGGAGTTTCTTTTCACGGTGATGGAAATGTTCTGGAATTAGAGAGTGATGATGGCTTCACAACACTGTGAAAATCCTAAAATCCACCAAATGAAAACCATTTTAAAGTGGTTAAAATGGTAAATTTTGGGCTGGGTGTGGTGGCGCATGCCTGTAAACCCAGCACTTTGGGAGGCTGAGGCTGGGGATTGCTTGAATCCCGGAGTTTGAGACCAGCCTGGGCAACATAGTGAGACCTTGTCTCTACAAAAAATTAGCCAGGCATGGTGGCGTGCACCTATAGTCCCAGCCCAGAAGGTGGAGGCTGCAATAAGCCATGATCGCACCACCCCACTGCAGCCTGGGCGACAGAGCAAGACCCTATCTTCAAAAAAAAAAAAAAGGTGAATTGTATGTGAATTTTATCACAATTGAAAAAAGAAGATGACGCTGAGTGCTGGCAAATGCCAGCCACGAAGAGAAACAATGATATAGAGACTAAAAGCATTCCTGCATTCCTCACCTCAGGAGAAGTAAAATGCAATATTCTCATAATTATGAGAAAATTAGGCACGAGAACGTACAAAGTACAATTCGAACATTTTCAGAAATAAACTTCAGTAACAAACAACAATATCTGTTGGACACGATCCCTAACAGACTGTTTGTGAAAATCTCGAGTGATGGGAGAGAAGTAGGTGTGGGGAAATCTGTTTCAGGAACTCTGAGTCTAAGCCGCAAAACGTGTTTACATGAGACCCATCAACAGAATAAGCCGAGGGACTGAATGAGGAATGAACTGCGGGAGGTAGGCATTTTACAATCAGGAATCTGAAATGAGACTATGTCCCAGTTTGGGAGTCAGAGAATTGTAGACTTTCTGGGCCAAGCCCTCAGTGAACATTAACCCTGGAGAATAAAGGAGCAGGGAGTTTCTAGAAGATTCTACATCCGGGAGTGGGGGGAGGAAAACTGTGGAGGTTGGTGTCTCAGAAATCTTAAAGGATGTTAAAAAAGAAAACCATGATTCACTGAATTTAAAATAGGAGAAAAGCTCAGATTAAGAATGAATAACTTTATCGAGGATTAGGTCACAGGAATTCTGGTTTTAAATTGTTTACGTAGAGTTAAAGAGAAAGAATTTGTACCATAAGAAGAAGCCAACTATAACAGCAAGGAAGACATTCAAGAACAGGATCTAGTGGCTGCACAACTGAGCTCCCTCCTCGGGCTGGAGAGAGCAGGGGCTCAAGTCCCTAAACCCGGGCCATGGCAGCAGGGGGTCAATGACCCAAGAAAGCAGCTTGGGACGGAGGGTGGCCCCGCAGGCTGCATGCTGGGCTGCTGGAAGGAAGGTCTTCCGCTGAGAAGGCAGAAGAACGAGTGCTCTGCTGGAGAATAAAGGTAGCAGAGTTTACAGCCACGCGTCCAGAGGGAATTCAGAGGGGCGGGGCAGGCCGTTGCTAGGCTCGAGTCCGCGCAGGAGTCAAGGGCGACAAGCATGAGCTTGTGGCTGCGCAAACCAGCCCAGCAGCCAGGCCTCCCCAAGAGGCACACGCGAGCATGGGCGCAGCTCACGGTGACAGAATGAGGCTGAGTCAGTCACACGTGGACTGTAGGATAGGCAGAGCTAAGCTGACAGGGAACACGTTCCAGAGGAGGGGCCGGGGGAGGGAGAGGCTGCCAGGGGGTTTGAGCACCTCCTAAGTGGCCCACAGAACACTGTGGGTGAGTTCAGTGTGCATTCTCCTGGAGGGTGGGGACACAAGTTTTCACGAGGCTGTCAAAGGGTCCGGGACCTGCTACTCTGAAATGTTAAGAAGCTAAAGAGTTTGTGTTGGCCTGAGAGGCAAGGAGTGGGACGGGGACTTAGGGCAACGGACACGCATGTGGTAAAAAAAAGGCCCTGTGGTGTCGGGGAGGCGAGGAGGTGGCCCCGGTCCTGCTGGAGGCGGCGTAGTTTCAGGAGAGGACAAAAGTGGAAAGTCACCTTTATAGTAGGAATGGAGCGCAGATGTAAGTGGCGGCAAGCTAACGCCAAGGGGAGGAAGTCCATCAGGCTCAGCAATTTCCCTGCCGCGAGTGGGCAAACATCTCACACGTGTACACAAATATATTTGGACACGGGTGCTTACTGCAGCATTGGCGGTAAAGTGGAAGGTATAACCAAAATGCCTATAAATAAATAACTAAGGCCGGGTGCGGTGGTTCATGCCTGCAGTCCTAGCACTTTGAGAGGTTGAGTGGGGCAGATTGCCTGAGCTCAGGAGTTCGAGGCCAGCCTGGCCAACATGGTGAAACCCCGTCTCTACTAAAATACAAAAAATTTGCCGGGCGTGGTGGCACATGCCTGTAATCCCAGCTACTCTGGAGGCTGAGGCACGAGAATTGCTTGAACCCGGGAGGCAGAGGTTGCAGTGAGCCGGGATTGTGCCACTGCACTCCAGCCTGGGCGACAGAGCAAGACTCTGTCTCAAAAAAATAAAATAAAATAGAATAAAAGGCTAAGTAAGTACTTAGGACAGGAGTGGAATATCAGACCATTAGTAGAAAGAATGAAGCACAAACACAGTAGAAAGTGATAAGGAAAGATACAGGCTAAATATTAGGTAAAAGAGCAGGTGGCAGAAAAGTGAGAAAAATAAGATCTCTTTTTTGAAGAAGAAAAAAAAAACACACAAAAAAACCCTATTAGTCCAGCCATGAAAAGGAATGAAGCACCAACACGTGGTACAAGGTGGATGAACCTTGAGAACATCATGCTAAAAACAGCCAGTCACAAAAGGCTACTTACTATATGATTCCATTTTCATGAAGTTTCCAGAACAGGCAAATCCACAAAGACAGAAAGTGGCTTAGTGGCTGCCAGGGGCTGGGGAAGGGAGGTGGGGAGTGACTGCTTAATGGGGACAGGGTGTCTTTTTGGGGTGATGACTCTGGAATTAGATGGTGGTGATGGTTGCATAACCTTGTGAATATACTGAAAGCCACTAAATTGTACACATTAAGAGCCTGAATTCTGCGGCATGTGAATTACATCCCAATGCAAAAAACACTAAAGAATTCGTATGTATGTTTTACAGGCCTGTGAAATATCTGAAACCATCCACACCAAACTTTTCTTAGTGGTGGGAGGGGCAGAGGAGAGAGGAAGAAGCAGCCAGAGGCTCTTTTTTTCTTTTTTACAATTTGGATTTTTTTTTAATGATGAAAACGTAAGACTTTTATAATGTAAAAGAGAAGCAGTCAGAATTATGGGGACTACACACAGGATCCCAAAGTCCTGAAATGGTCACTAGGGAATTCTGGGGACAGATCACTCAGGTGGCTTGGAGGGCACCACCTGTGTTTCAAAGTCCAGTGATGATCACTTTAGAAAATGGACAACGCTGAGGTCAGGTGGACCCACGCTACTCAGACTTTGTCAGTGACCTTATGTTTTCACGGCTATGAAGTATCTGCACGCCAGTAAGTAGCCAATATAGTGGTCACCTTTTAAAAGGAAGAGTTGACTTAAAACTTGTGCCTGCTTTGACTTTAACACCTTTACCTGTGCAGTCGGTATAGAAGCCAGGGCCACACGTGGCTGCTGAGCACCTGAAATGGGGCTGGTCCGAACTAACATTTCTAAGACTTAGCACACAAAAAAGAATGTGAAATATCTCGACAATAATTTTTCATATAGGTTATATATTGAAATGAATATTTTCAATACAGTTCATTGGATGAAATGTATTATTAAATTACTTTCACTTGTCTCTTTTTACTTTTTAAAATGCAGCTACTAGGCCAGGTGCAGTGGCTCATGCCTGTAATCCTAGCCCTTTGGGAGGCTGAGGCGGGTGGATCACGAGGTCAGGAGATTGAGACCATCCTGGCTAACATGGTGAAACCCCGTCTCTACTAAAAATACAAAAAATTAGCCAGGCATGGTCCCAGTTACTCGGGAGGCTGAGGCAGGAGAATGGTGTGAACCCAGGAGGCAGAGCTTGCAGTGAGCCGAGATCGCGCCACCGCACTCCAGCCTGGGCGACAGAGCAAGACTCCATCTCAAATAAATAAATAAATAAAAACAAATAAATAAAATGCGGCTACTAGAAAATTGCAAATTTCACACGTGGCTTGTGTTATGTTTCTTTATTGGCCGGTAATGATCTAGAAGACACTTAGAATAAATCATCTCAGGATAAGTTTAAGAATTCACAAATATTTTAAGAGATTCTATTTTACTAGAAAGTAAGCAAAATGATTTTTAGATGTAGATGTGATCTCTATCTAGTAAGAACTCATGTAATTTTGACAAATAATTACTCTATTTGGTGTCCCACAAATACAGTTAGACATGGCCTCTATCCTCAAGGGTTTTGCATGGATGGGGTGAGAAAGAAAAGGAGACATACACAGATAATTCCTTACGTGGCAAAAGGTAACAGGTGCAGACTCCAGATGGAACAGGGTACCATAAACAATGGGGCAGGGGAGTCTGGGCAGCATCCCGTCCTGGACCCTGCTGGAGGTGGGGTAGGGAAAATCAGGCAGAGGTGTAAACAAGGGGAGGGTGTGTGGGGCAGGGAAGGGGTCAAGAGACCAAGCTGGGTGGAGCTCGGGGAATAAAGGGGGAAATAGGATGGACCACTTGGAGAAAGTCTACGAATGCGAGTCAGAGCCCCTGGACTGCACCACAGGGGCAGAGGTCAGGAAACTACCGCCCACCACCCAAATCTGGCCCAGCCGCTAGCCTGTTTGTGTATGGCCCATGAGCTAAGAATGGCTTTTACATTTTGAAGTGGTTAGAAAAAAATCAAAATCAAAATATTCTGTGATGCATGAAAATTACATGAAATTCACATTTCAGCATCCATAAATAAAGTTTGATTGGCACACGGCCAGGCCCAAGCTCTCACATGTTGTCTACATCTGCTTTCAAGCTCCATCGGGAGAGCTGAGTAGTTGAGATAGTGACCATCTGGGCCTCAAAAGCTAAAACATTTACTATCTAGCCCTTTATAGAGAATGTTTGCTGATCCCCACTTCCTTGGAATACTAAAACATCCTGTGGGCTTCCTTTGCTCAAATAAAATAAAGGCACTGCTCAAATAAAATAATGGCACTTGCGCCAATCTGCAGAAATATTTATTGAATAGGTTCCTCGAATTTAAAACATTTTCCCTACCAATATTTCTTAAACCCTTGGTAGATATTTCCTCTTATTTGCTAATGAAGAGTAGCCAACAACAAAACAAAAACTAATGTGATACCCTGCAGGTTTCACATTATTGGGAAGCCCTGTACCAGTCTGTCTCACCCAATCAACAGCAGTTTTAAAGAATGTATGCTCATAGTTGATACTGCGCACACTCTCGTTTTTGTTTTTTGTTTTGTTTTGTTTTGTTTTGTTTTGTTTTGAGATGGAGTCTTGCTCTGTCTCCCAGGCTGGAGTGCAGTGGCGCGATCTCGGCTCACTGCAAGCTCCGCCCCCCGGGTTCATGCCATTCTCCTGCCTCAGCCTCCCGAGTAGCTGGGACTACAGGCGCCCACCACCATGCCCGACTAATTTTTTATATTTTTAGTAGAGACGGGGTTTCACCATGTTAGCCAGGATGGTCTCGATCTCCTGACCTCGTGATCCGCCCACCTTGGCCTCCCAAAGTGCTGGGATTACAGGCGTAAGGCACTGCACCTGGCCTCGTTTCTTATAATTTAATCATGTTGCATTAATAAAATATGAGTTCACATGATTTAATTCAACGCACTCCTGGTATTCCATGATGTTCCACCATATCATGTGGTCTCCCCCTCCCAGGGTCCCCCACCATCTTAAGGCCATTGTTGAGGGCAGCTGGAAGCACCAGATTTGGAAGAACACAGAACAAGAGGACCAGCACCATACCCTTCATCTAAGGGAAGAAATCGGAAGTTTACTTTAACAGTCCTGCATGAGAGGGTCTGAACTGGAACAGTATAATCAGAAACAGAAAGGGAAGAATCAATACAAGACCAGTTTGGGTGGTGGGACCTATAGGAAGTAGTGAGTAGAAAAGAGGGCAGTGGGTTAGTGGGGGTGAAGCAGAGTGGGGAGAGGATGAGATGACCCCTAGCCTTCAACACTGGGCAACAGAGGAGACAGCTCCATCTACAGCCTTGGACTAGACCCTGGGGAGGAAGAACGAGCGGTCCAGGCTACTCGGGTTTCTGGCAAGAGCAGGGTGCCCAGGCTGGGACCCACACATCTCTCTTTCACTTGGGCCTTGCCTTTCTTCCTAGACCCTGGGCCCAACCCTTTCTGAAGCAACAAAGAGGGGAAGCAACTAAGGAGAAAGGCAAATTGCATGGAGTTTAGCGGCAGGAAAGATTCCTCAGCTACCTGCCCAAAGGACTGAGACATGCATTAAGATATCTTTACCCTTCTGAGGGCGTGATCATCATTCCAATTCCACCGGGCTTTTACAAGGATTAGAAGTAATACATGTAATACACCAGGCACATAGTATGTACCCATGGGTAACATCATGGCAACCCTTTATTATTATTAATTATTATTATTATTTTAGAGACAGGTCTCACCCTCTCACCCAGGCTGGAGTGCAGTGGTGCAAACACGGCTCAAGTAACTCGTGGGCTCAAGTAATCCTTCCACCTCAGCCTCCTGAGTAGCTGGGACTACAAGTGTGCACCACCAGGCCCAGCTAATTAATTTTTTGTGTGTGGAGACAGAGTCTTGTTATGTTGCCCAGGCTGGTCTTGAATTCCTGGCCTCAAGCTATCCTCCTACCTCAGCCTCCCAAAGTGTTGGGATTACAGGCATGAGCCACTGTGCCAGGTTCCCTTTATTTTTAAAACATAACCTTGGTGATCTAACAGGCACTACTTTTAAAGTCTGGCTACTCCTTACTGAGGGCTGCTTTTTTTGCCCATTTGCTTGATTCTGTGGCCAACGTAACACTCTCTGCTGTTCTTGAAAAACCCTCTTTCTTCTTTTCTTATACAAGAATCAAAAATGTTATCACACAGCATTGAACATTCTTATATAGATCAGAGAAGGTGAATGACTCGATAAATGACGTCATACATGATTTTATCTATGAGCTTTGTAACCAGACAACTAAATGTATAATTTATTCCAGAGTGTCTATTTGGAAACAATAAAAGAACTTTGCTACCCCTGAAGTTTATCCCAGCCTCAGTGGTTTATATTTTGACTTGCATTAAAAACGACCTCTCCTCCTGATGAGAACTGTTACTGGTCTAACTAGAAATGTGGGGCTACATTGCGGGAACTTGAGAAATGGGGGCTCTCCCTGCACCGAGACAGCGCAGTGGGTGCTTGGCTGATAATAACACCTGTAAAGAGGCCGCAAGATAGAGACTTCAGTGAGATGCGTTTTCGTCCAAGTTCGTCAGAGCCACCTGGGCAATGATCTTGAGTCAGTGTCTCTTTGGTGGTTTTAGCACATTCCAGGACCACCAATACTACCATTTACTATTTTTCTTTAACACTCAGCTCTCAAGTTTTGAAGTCTGTTCTTCGTTAAACGTGAGAGGTCAGGAGTGTTATAGAGGGGTTAAAGATACCTTAACACCCACGAGAGACTTTCTCCTCAGCCTACTGGGAAGGCCTAAAAAAGAACTGGAAAAAAAAAAGAGGATTCTGCTTTGGCAGATCCAGTGGTAGCAGATCCACGTGTTGGGAAATGCTTTTGAGCTGGGGAACAAAGCTGGGGAAATAGATCTTTAAGAAAGGGAGCCAAGGTTAGAAATATTTGCCTACAAAGTGAGTAAATTTTATGTAACTCTGTTAATTCTCTGTAACTGCTTCCTCTGCCACTGCTCGTGGCCCAGGGCTGACTTTTTGGGGTGACCCCAAATGTATGCAGCTTTCAAATCTTTCACAAACTGCTTGAACCACAAAAAAAAAAAAAAAAAAAAAAAAAAAAGCTAAGGGTTAAAATACAACTTGCCCTATAACCTTGCTTTCCCTCAGAGCAAAAAGGAGAATTCATTGGTTCAACAAATGCTGAGTGCCACATTTCGTTGCTGAAACAATTCTAATAGACATAACAGCTCTATATTTGTTCCAAATTGACTTTTTAACAGAGTGAAATCTTTGAAAAGTTCCAAAGCAAAACAAGAGACAAATCAAGCCACTGCAATGGGCTGGGACATAGAATTCGGGATTTCATATTCTCCACTGTGTACTCAGCTCCTAGCAATGAGACTCAGCAGCAGCTCTGTTATAAAACCCCTCCCCGCTCCCCGAACTTTCTGGAAAAAGAACTTCATTTGCAATTTTGGCTGGGTAAAAAGGGAAATTAATTAACAGTAGGGGTCTTTGATTAAAATTTCTTTTGAAATTTGGTAAAGGAAAAGTACATATTGAAAGAGCTGGAATGTTAATTGAGATCAAATCGAAAACATGGAGTTTGAAGGTTATTGGATCTCAGGCACGGGCTGCGTGATTTTTTTTTTTTTAAGAACTGAAGGTTTACCATCTTGATGTAGGCCTTGCCGTCCTGAAGAGCACTCGGGCTCATGTGTTTCATTCACTCACATGTTAAATATGAAGCCCTATGTACAACATAGCCTGTGGGAACTGTGGCAGGGGTAGCTGTCTCCATCCTCCAGAACCTTGTCACAATCAAGAATAGGAAATGAGACGCACAAATCACTACCACCTGTCGAAGTGGCCTTGCAGTGCTAAATCTAAGTGCTGAGGCAATTTGCCTGCAGTCCTTGCCACTTCTTGTTGATTAGTCCAGCAGCCCCCAGCTGGGAGGCAATTCTGTTCACCCTCACTCCCACCTCAGGACATCTGGCAATGTCTGGAAACAGTTGGTTGTCACCACTTGGGGAAAGGGGAGTGTGCTTTTGGCAGGTAGAGGCCTGGGAGGCTGCTCCACATCCTACAGTGCACAGAACAGTCTCCCCAACCAAGAATAATCTGGCCCCAAATGTCAATAGTGCCAGGGTAGAGACTCAGCTCTAGTTTATATTTTCCAACTTAGCTCCTCAATGAAAATCTCAAGTTTCCATGGCAAGAGGGGATTAAAGAAGGGTCTTGAGGGAAGAGTAGGATTTTCTTCAGTAGAAATGACATTCCAGAGAAGGGATAAGAAAGTACAAGACCCGTTTAAAGTATGGCAAGCTCATTTGGAGTAGTGAAAGGGAGGCAACGAAAAGGGAGATGGGGCTGGACTGAAGGAAGCCTTGAATGTGTGGTTACAACAAAGGGGAGGGGACAGTTTGTCCGTTTGGCTAACAAAAGTAGTAAGAAAGTGCCCTTCCGTTCCTCCTGACATAGCTCAAAGAGACATGACAAGGCGGTTGGGAGAAGAGGAAGAGATCAGTAAGAATCCAGAGACGACAGAGCCCAAGGTCTGTGCAAAGAGCCGCAGGGAGACAATACAGGAAGTGATTAGGCAGGAGGCTTTGGCGGCGACCGGAAGGCTGGAGAATTATTGCCTCTGTAACAGGAGAGGAGGGCTACTTCCAGTAAGAAGGACCAAGACTCCAGAGGCCACTGGCACTAGAATAAGAAGAGAAGTAGGCTCATGCAGGCCCACGTAAATCGGAGGAAGGTGGAAGTTTCCTGACCGGAAGTCTAGGTGGGAGGCGCCATGTTGCGGCCCAGCCGCTGCTACTGACTCCACCATCCGGCAGTTCGTGAAATTAAATAACTGCAAATTGATGAGTCTTTTCTTTTGCATGCTGAGTCTCTCCAATGAGCACACTCATCAGTGTGAACCAAGGCTGGCAATTAATTGAATTATATTGATTTAATTGAATTAATTAATTGAATTATATTGATTTAATTGAATTAATTAATTGAATTAATTAATCATATCCATTTCCAGAAGTAATTTTTACTCACCCGCGTCTGTCATTTTAAAGGTCTGCAGTAAAAATACCAGGATTTACACAAAAGATTTGCTCCTGAGACATATCCTGCTTTTAACTTAGGCTCTGAATATCAGTTGCCAATGGTTTCTAACAATTTTAAATTTGTCTAGTGCCTTCTCCCCTCTCAACTGTCCACATGACGATATATTAATACACGTAAATGCTTAACTAATTATAAGCTCCTCAGATGTTTGATATTTCAGGCCCACAAATATTTTCTAAAGAAATGGATGGAGACCCCAGAGAGCTCCTCACTGAAGTCCCTAGTAGGGTGAATTCTTCAAGAAAACGAATAATTCCTTTTAAAATCAGAAGCACATCTTTTAGTCTGTTTTCAGTGGGTCTGGAATTCCAAATATATTTTTTCTCAAGGCAGGCTACATCTGTCTGTATGTATTCTGAGAAGGACAGGAGAGGTGGGAAAAAGGCCTTCGTGTTATTTTCTTTGGGTTTCCACTGGCCTGGGTGGAGCCCGCATACATTTTTGTGGGCTGGTAATTTTTTTGGAAACTGCTTCTAAGGCCTTTCCCCACAGATCACCTTTTGGACAGAAATGTATCCTTGGAAACATGGCACAGTTTCTAAAAGATAAACAGTTTGCATTTTTAAAAAAGTATAATTAAGTGCTGTTGCAGCTTTAGGAATGGACTTCTATATCATTGGTATAATTTCAACAGTTTTCCAGGAGACAGGCGTTCATGAGTCAAGCCTTCTGCCTTTCTGTGGGGACCCAATCCTTTTTCACATGGGACTTGGGCAAGTCTAATCTTTCTGGTTGCCATTGGATCTCACTCTTCATGGTGCTCAGTTCTTGAAGTTATTTCCTCCTTTGCCTTTTGAGCCTCTGTCCAGGTTCTCCCTCTACCTAAGAGTCCCTTTGAGATCTCTGCTTAGCATGGTTCACAATAGCTGTAAGGTGGAAACCACCCAAGTGTTCATCCATGGATGAATGGGGAAACACAATGTGGCATATCCATGCAATGGAATATTCTTTAGCCTTAAAAAGGAAGGAAATTCTGATGCATGCTACAGCATGGATAAGCCTTGAAGACATTGTGCTAAGTGAAATAATCCAGTCACGGAAACACAAATACTCTATGATTCCACTTATATAGTGTATAGTCATCACATTCACGGGGACATGAAAACATGGGCCGCCCAGTCCTGAAAACATGGCCACACCCCTCTCCCCCATCTGCTGCCTGCAGAACACTATTCTCAAGATGCAGTTCAGATCCACATCCTCTTTTCAGACCTTTCCTCAGCTCCAGGGACAGCTGGCCTCCCCACTTTGTCTGCCCTCTGTGCCCTGTAGAAACATCTAGCAAAGCCTATTTGATACTGACTCCTCTTCCTTGTTGGTCTTTGGTCTTTGTAACTGGATAGGATAGCACTTTACTCAAAATAGGCAATGAATAAATGAATGAAGGATGAATGAATGAAGATTGTATGAATGAATGATGAACAAATGTCAGGAGTCTGAAAAGCAGGTCTTCCGGTAAATGACTGGACACCTTTGATCTGACAGGTACCGGCTGATGTGAACTCTACCAATGATCCAGTTTATACTTCGAATAGCATCCAAACTTTGCCCATGGCCTCCAAGGCCCTGCAGGTTGCCCCTGCCTCTTCTGCCTCTCCTTGCTTTGCTCGCCAGGCATCAGCCACACAACTGCAGGACCTTTGTACCTGCTGCCCCCTTCCTGGAAGGCTCTTCCTTCTGAACCCCACAGCGCTGGTTCCCTCTCCTCATTTCAGTCTCAGCTCAACTGTCACCTCCTTAAAAACTGCTGGACGCCAGGAGCCCAGTCCGCATCACACGGCCTTGCTTTTTTGTCTCTACTGTTCAATTTTTCAGCCAAGTTCAAATACAAGAAGCCTCTTATGGCCAGGCACAGTGGCTCACATCTATAATCTCAGCTACTTGAGAGGCTGAGGCAGGAGGATTGCTTGAGCCCAGGAGTTTGAGGCTGCACTCCAGCCTGGACAAGAGAGCGAGACTTCATCTCGTTTTTTATTATGAATTACCCATCCCCCAGTCTCAGACATATACACAAACACATGCACACACGTCCAAAAAAACTGCAGAGATCTTAGTAGAAATAGGCTTACCATATATAGCACATCTGGGCTTCATTATGTAATAAATGACAAATAATCACTATATTGGACCATTACATGTAAGTTCTACATATTTTTAATGGCTTTTCAGCTTTTTCTCCACTTTGAAACATGGACTGTAGCAGGTGTAAATGGACTGACAGCATTTAAAATCTATCTGCTTTATGTATCATCTACAGGCAGTGGCAAGTCAACTGTACTTTTTAGAAAGTCATGGAATTCACAAACATTAAAAATAAGAATAAGGAATTGCCAGGGCATACAACAGGGTTTTCAAACATGCAAGACCTATGTATCATAAAACAGGAATGCACTTTCAGGAAAAAACAACTGAGGTGCAGCAAGGCCAGGCCGTCTGCTCCTAAGGGCCCAACTCAAGTCCTGGCACGAAGACCAGGCCAGTCCCCGGCTCCAAGTGGCTCATTTCCAGACTCTGACTGTGTTGGCATCCAAGAGCCAGTGATAACAGAGAAGGGAAACCAGTCTTAAAATGTTCTCATCTGTAGAGCTGGCCACTCCCCAAAACTCATCATAAATGTGATGTTTGGGGAGTCATTTCAGAGGGACCCATGCCACAACCAAGATGTAGGACTCCAACAACTTTTCGTGCTGTTTTTGTTCTTACGAAGCACTTATGTTTGCAGAGGGACATATTAGTACCCATGAGTTTCTAGGTTAATTTAAGGGAATTTCCTACCCTAAAACAGACAGCATGAGGCCGACCACTCAGTCAAGCAAGATGTATGTACTAAACGCCTCCTTAGCATTTGGTCCTGGTCAGGAAACCACAGTAAAAAACTGATCATCCCAGGCCACTTACTACTTATTTGCTTCATCCTAATAATAATAATAATAACAACAGTTACTTTTTTCTGAGCACCTATTAGATGCCAGCCCCTGTGCTAAATAGCTTATAGAAATTATTTCTAATATAGCAACCACACGAGCTATTATTATCGATTTCACAGATGTCAAACCTTGCCCCAGAGCCACTAAGCTAATAAACGGTGGCACCACAATTTAACTCCTTCTCTGCTGTGCCCCAAAGCCCTGGTCTGCAACACCCAGCACTATGACCTGCAACTTTTCCTTTCCTCTTTCCCCTGCCCCATTCATCCAGATTCATCCAATTTGGGCTCTACTGACTCAGAGATGGCAATATGAACTTAAGGTACCTATGAGCAATTCTTAATTTAAAAAAAATTTTTTTGGCCGGGTGCGGTGGTTCACGCCTGTAATCCCAGCACTTTGGGAGGCTGAGGTGGGCGGATCATGAGGTCAGGAGATCGAGACCATCCTGGCTAACACGGTGAAACCCCGTCTCTACTAAAAATACAAAAAATTAGCCAGTTGTGGTGGTGGATGCCTGTAGTCCCAGCTACTCGGGAGGCTGAGGCAGGAGAATGGCCTGAACCTGGGAGGTGGAGCTTGCAGTGAGCTGAGATGGTGCCACTGCACTCCAGCCTGGGCAACAGAGTGAGACTCCATCTCAAAAAAAAAAAAAAAATTTTTAAGGGCAGGGTGTCGCTATGTTGCCCAGGCTGGTCTCAAACTCCTGGGTTCAAGCGATCCTCCTGCCCTAGCCTCCCAGGTAGCTGAGATTGCAGGTGTGAGCCACCACACCCAATGCAGCTCTCAACTCTTCATTTCTACATATGCTTTCCCCATAAGTGTCAAGGAAACCATTTGTTTATTCATTTCACAAATATTTCTCAATTGCCTACTCAGCACCAAAATTCTTCTCAGCCCTGGGGATATAGAAGTTAATAAAACAGCTCATGCCTGTAATCCCAGCACTTTGGGAGGCCGAGGTGGGCAGATCATGAGGTCAGGAGATCGAGACCATCTTGGCCAGCATGGTGAAACCCTGTCTCTACTAAAAATACAACAATTAGCTGAGCGTTGTGGCACGTGCCTGTAATCCCAGCTACTCAGGAGGCTGAGGCAGAAAAATTGCTTGAACCTGGGTGTCAGAGGTTGCAGTGAGCCGAGATTGCACCACTACACTCCAGCCTGGTGACAGAGTGAGACTCCGTCTCACAAAAAAAAAAAAAAAAGAAGTTAATAAAACAGAAGTTCCTGCCCTTACTGAGCTGACATTCTAACAAGAGGACAGTGATAATACAATAAATACGTATAACTTATGGTGTGTTATATAGGAATAAATGCTAAGGAGACAGAGAAAGCAGGGAAGGAGGCTGAGAGCACCCATTCTCAAGTGGGTGGCCTGGTGACATCTGAGAAAAGGCCTGAAGAAAGTCGGAGAGCCAGCCCTCCAAATACCTGGGCAAAGAGCTTTCCAGGCAGAGCTGGAATGAGCTTCCAGAGGCCAGCAGGGTGGAAGTGCAGTGAGGGAAGGCATCTAGCTTGGCGATGAGGTCAAAGAGGTATTAGGCTTGGCGGGGAGTGGAGTTAGGGGTGACTTTGGCTTTTGCTGCAGATGAGATGGGAGCCATCGGAGGGTTTCGAGCTGAGGGGTATGAAGTAGAACTTAACATGACGCCGCCTCTCCCAGGGTTAACAGGCCCCGTCTGGCTGCTGGGCTGAGAGACTGCCGAGCACCAGTGGTGGAATCATCCGGGCTAGATGCTGGTGGCTGGGACCAGAGGGGCTGGCAGTGGAGGTGGCGAGGCATGGTCAGGTTCTGGGGAACTACTGAAGGTGGAGTCAACAGGATTTGCTGATGGCTTGGGAGAGAGGAGTCAAGGACAGTCCTGAGGTTTGGCCTGAGTAATGGGAAGAAGTGAGTTGATATGTACCAACGAGTTTGGGGGGTGCTTTGGGAGGAGTAGATCTGGGGGGACTATGACAGGCTCAGCTTGGCCACCTTAAGTTTAAGGTGCCTGTCAGAATCCACCTGGATGTACCCAGCAGGCAGCTGGATAGATGTTTTCTGCAGAGAAGAGCTTAGAATCCTAAGCCAGTCCAGAGCTTCCCAGGCTCCAGTTCCCTATAGGCCTGTTAGGGCCTCTCTCTGGACCTTTTGCCACTCCTCCTTCACCTACCCTTATCCCTTTCGCCCACTTCATTCTGGGTCTTCCCCTATATTTTTTTTCCTGGGAGAATCCTTTTGCTGATCTTAGAGTTTCCAAGAAGCAAGTAGGTGGTTTTCAGTTTTTTCTCTAATTCCCAGTGTATATTCCATCGGCCTGCCCATCCATCCATCCATCCATCCATCCATCCATCCATCCAACAAAATAAGACCTTTCACTACACCAGGCATATGTCTACATGAGAGAACATGAGAACATGACCAGCAGAGGAGCTAATTGCCATTTAAATTCTAGAGACGGAGTCAAAACATCTTTTTAAAAAATACATAAGCCCACAACCCCTTACAACAATACTGAAATCCAGGAAACTCTGAAAACTGGCAATTTTTTTGTAAATTTGGCATGGACTCACTTGGTGACAAAAGCTGGCCTGAATTGACATGAAGTTACTTATGGTCCTTCTCTTCCCCACTTCGGGTGAATATTCATATAGTTCAGTTCAGAAATACGGCTGTGTTTAGTGGGAATGCCCTGGACCCATAGTTTCAGAGACAGGCCCACAGACTCGCATTCTCCTCCCCTGCAGTTTAGTGAGTGTCCTGACAAGCAAGATGAGAACTTCCCTTGGTTTTTCAAAAGTTTCCTATTTTACAAGTAAGTGGGTACCTATGGGGGTATACTGTTTAAATGTTTGTAAATATTTAAATATATTTGTTTTATATTTAACATATATTTATATTTAAATTTTATTATATTTAAATATATAAGTATATATTATATATACATGTTTTAATATTTCAATATATATTTTAAAAATATTTAAATATTTAATAAATAGATGTCAACTTTAGAAACAAATATATATTATAAGATGTGGTTCCTTCTGGCCCCAGCATTTTATGAGCAAAACAATCACTAGCTACTATAAAAATCCACAGGTGCCGGCCGGGCGCGGTGGCTCACGCCTATAATCCCAGCACTTTGGGAGGCCAAGGTGGGCGGATCACATGGTCAGGAGATCGAGACCATCCTGGCTAACACAGTGAAACCCCGTCTCTACTAAAAAATACGAAAAATTAGCCGGGCGTGGTGGCAGGCGCCTGTAGTCCCAGCTATTCGGGAGGCTGAGGCAGGAGAATGGTGTAAACCTCGGGGGTGGAGCTTGCAGTGAGCCGAGATGGTGCCACTGCACTCCAGCCTGGGAGACAGAGCAAGACTCTGTCTCAAACAAACAAACAAACAAACAAAAATCCACAGGTGCAGGGGCCGGGTTTGGTGGCTTACGCCTGTAATCCCAGCACTTTGGGAGGCCAAGGCGGTTGGATCATTTGAGGTCAAGAGTTTGAGACTAGCCTGGCCAACATAGTGAAACCCCATCCCTACTAAAAATACAAAAATTAGCCGGGTGTGGGGGTGCATGCCTGTAATCCCAGCTATTCAGGAGGCTGAGACAGGTGAATCCCTTGAGCCTGGGAGGTGCATGTTAAGGTGAGCTGAGATCTTGCCACTGCACTCCAGTCTGGGTGACAGAGTGAGACCCTGTCTCAAAAAAAAAAAAAAAAAAAAAAAAAAAATCCACAGGTGCATTTAAAATTTTGACTCGATTATAATATTAAAGTTAAGCCAATTTAATATTTTTATTAATTATAATGCTAATGTAAAACTAAACAATTAGATCTAAGGAATAAGACCCAGATAAACAATTCCCCAGCACCTGCATTTCTGGTGGACAGAACCATCCTTAGCAGTACTTCAATGATAAACAATGTTAAAAGATGAGTATTTACATTTAAATATACATCACATACACATTATATTATATTGTTGTATTTAAATATACATCACACATACATTAAGGTAATGCGTGCCCTTCACGCAGAAAGCAAAGATCAAGTGATTTCAAAGAACTTGTCCTGTTATTGAGGTAATAACTGTCTCTCTCTTCTCAGATTCAGTGGTTTATAAGAAAGAACTTAAAAAACTAAAATATTTCAGTATTGCTTTTCCTGCAGGAGCAAACTATTTCAGAACTCATTCCCAACCCAAGTCCGTTGAACTGTCACAGAATCACAGAACAGTGATCTTTCCCATCATACATTATAAGTTGCCTTCCGTACCACGCCTGTTGATGAAGAAGCCCTAGTAATTCAAGAACTTAAATTCTTTTCCTAGGGAGGTTACCATAAACTCTTACTTCTCTGGTCAGAGTAGGTGAGTTGTCGTTTCTAAGGTTATTTTAGAGTCAGTTCAAGTCTTTAAACTAGAGCAGGAGAAAGCACAGATGCCCCCCTCCTCCTTATCCAGAAGGACGGGAGGTAAGGATCTTTCCATAAGCAAACAATGTTTCAGGGCACGATGTAAAAAGATAAAATACATGTCAACAATATGTACAGGCAAAAATTTTTTTAAAAAGTCTTTGTTGTTTTGTGTCATTATTATTATTACTGTTACTTTGTTGGGGAACTCTTAGTTGAAACAGAGAATGAAGCTTGTACAAGGTTTGATACAGAGATGAAGCTGACTGAGAGGGAAAAGAACTCATCGAAGCCTGCGCTGGTCATTTATGATACAAAGCAGGAAAATAATTGCAGGGAGGCACAATGCTAACAACACCCCAAAGTAGGAATGAAGCCTGGGGGGGCGGGGGTAAGGCAGCCAGCCCTGGGTCCCGAGCTCCATCTTGCCCTCTCCCCTCCCCATTCTTGCCGCACAACCAGGAGGTTAAAATAGGAAGATGAACCGCGCCGGCAGCCGCCAGAATGGCCCGGGCGCTTGGGGCCCTCGGGGGCCCTTGAAATAGCCACTAGGATCGGGAAATCCAACTTTCCCAGCGGTGCAGCGAGGAAAACCAAAAGGAACGGAGCCGGAGGCTGGTGGCGAGGGAGCGCGGAGGCTTCTCGGAGGGAGGAAAAAGAAAGAAATGAGCATTTGGGGTGTGAGTGAGTGTGTGTGTGTGAGTGTGTGTGTGCGCCCGCGAGCGCGCTGGTGGGCGGTGGGGGCAGGGGGTGGAGTTTAAATCCACAAACACACACACGCACTCGCACTACCTCGGAGAAAATGCCTGGAGCAGTTTAGGTTCTTTAACAAAATAAATAAATTGAAAAAAAAAAAAAGTTTCACTCGCGTTGGTGAAACTTTTCTCCCTTCCAGATCAGTCCTAAGAGGAGAGCTGCGGACGTGCGGAGGGGCATCTTGGGGGCACGTGGAAAGACTGGCGGACGCACGAACCCCTATACTCAGGAATATGGGGTCACAGGGAGAAGGGGAGGGGGTGTCCGAGGCGACCTGAACGCGAGGATTTGGGGCAAAAAGGTGAGAAACAGTTCCCGGGGAAGCTCGCTCGGGGAGTTTGGGATGAAAAGGTGAGAAGGGCAAGAGGGGTTCTCCCCAGGGCAGACGCACCAGCTTTTAGTTAAGGAATGAGAAAAAGGTTCCAGGGGTGCCCCCAAATTCAGTATGTCTGGGAGTCCATTAAAAAGGGGGTCCCCGGGACAAGTCAGATCTAGGAATTTGGGGTAAAAATGAGAAGGGAGTCTTCGAGGTCCCCCCGATGCAAGAAGTTTGCGACTAAGAGTGACAGAAGGGCTCTGGGGTCACCCCAATTTCGGAGGTTTGGGGAGTAAAGTAAGAAGAGGGCCCCAGGTGGCCCCAATTCAGGGAGTTTGAGGGTATGAGTAAAAGAGGGGTCCCCGGGTGTCCCCATCTCAGAGATCTGGGGAGTAAAAGTGAGGAGAGGGTCCCCAAGCGCCCCCAATTCAGAGAATTCGAGGGTTTGAGTAAAAGAAGGGTCCCTGGGTGCCCCCAACTCAGAGATCTGGGGAGTAAACGTGAGAAGAGGGTCCCCTGGCGCCCCCAATTCAGAAAATTCGAGGGTATGAGTAAAAGAGGGGTCCTTGGGTGCCCCCAACTCAGAGATCTAGGGGGTTAAGGTGAGAAGAGGGTCCCCAAGCGCCCCCAATTCAGGGAGTTTGAGGAGTTTGAGAGACGTTCCCGGGGCGCCCCCAACTCAGCGAGTTTGAAGGTAAGCGTGAGAAAGGGGTCCCCGGACGCCCCAACCTCAGGAAGTTTTGTAAAAAGTGAGGCGACGGCACCGCACCTCCCCCGCGTTCAGTCAATAAGGAAAGTGGGGACGTCGCCAGGGTCCCCCCAAACTCCGCCGCGCGCGCGGACGGGGTGGCGGAGGCGGGTCCCGCGGGCGCACCACCCGGACGTTTGGGGTGAGCGGCGGGGACGTGCTGCCCGCCCCCCGGCCCCCGAACGGGGTCCCCGCCGCCCCCCACACTCCCCGGCCGGGCTGGGCCCGGGGCGGTCGCATCGGTCACCTGGAGTTCGGGCCGGGAGTTCGGGCAGCGGCTCCCGCGGCGGCGGCAGCGGCTGCTGCGTGTTGGTCCCCGTTGGTAAGTAACAGTCTCCACGGCTACAGTCTCTATGGCGGCGGCGGTGGCGGCGGCGGCCGCTCCTCCTCCGGCTCCCGCCGCCAGCCAGCCTCGCGCAGCCCGCCCGCCCGACGGGGCGGGGCGTTGTTACCGGCAACGGTTACCAGGCTCCGCGCCCCACCTTCCTAACGGCCCGCCCACGCTCGCCTCCAACGGGCCCCCAAGAGGGCGGGGCGCGAGACCCTACGGCGTTCCATTGGCTGTCTGCAGAGTCTGTCGGAAGGAGGAGGCGTTCCCCCTTGAAAAAGAGTGCGAGACTCGGCCAATGGCCGCGAAGAGGGGCGGGTCTTGGCGGGAGGCGCGCGCGGCTCAGAGGGTTGGCGAACCGGTCGCGCGCGCGGCGCCGTGGGTTGGTGGCGCGTTTTGGGAAAGTCCAGTTTTAGGGGACCCAAGGGACTCCGTTTACCCCACAGGAGGAGTGTGGGACATGTGGGAACAGTCTGATCAGGGGTCAGCAAACTCTCGCTCGCCGCCTGTTTTTCACGGACCCCCAGCTGAAAATTTAAATATATATATATTTTTTACATGGTTAAAAGAAACTATCGGCCGGGCGCGGTGGCTCACGCCTGTAATCCCAGCACTTTGGGAGGCTAAGGCGGGTGGATCACGGAGTCAGGAGATCGAGACCATCCTGACTAACACGGTGAAACCCCGTCTCTACTAAAAATACAAAAAATTAGCCGGGCGTGGTGGCAGGCGCCTGTAGTCCCAGCTACTTGGGAGGCTGAGGCAGGAGAATGGTGCGAACCTGGGAGGCGGAGCTTGCAGTGAGCCGAGATCGCACCACTGCACTCCAGCCTGGGCGACAGAGCGAGACTCCGTCTCAAAAAAAAAAAAAAGAAAGAAAGAAAAAAAAAGAAACTATCAAAAGGAGCTTTTGTGGGGTGTGAACCTGATAGGAGACTCTCTTTTATTGTATTGGGCCCAGTATTTTGAACTAGTTTAAAGATTGGCAAACTGCGGCCTGCGGGTCAAATTCTGCCTGCTTGGGTTTGTAAATAAAGCTTTATTGGAACATAGCCACGCCCATTTCCTTGAACAGCTTGGAAGGCTGCTTTGACACTACAGGGGCGGAGTGGAGTAGTTGCGCAAAGACGGCATGTCCCACGCGAAGCCTAAGATATTTACTATACGGTCCTTTACAGAAAATGTTTGCCAAACTCACCAGCCCTCCTCTCAAGCTGGTAGATTCAGCTACGAGTAGGACAGAAACAGACAGATCCTCATAGAACTTTTATTCTAGTGAGGGAACATTGACAGCAAACAGAATAAAGAGGTAAACATATAGTTATTCGAGACAAGGGGCTGGAAGAATAGGAGAAAACAACTTGTACTGAGAAAAGGCAGGAGATTAGGCTTCAGCCCCACTCATTCATTCAACAAGAAATCATATTAGTGAGCACTGATTAAATTGCTATGTGCCTGAAAGTGATCTAAGCATTTTTTAAATATGCAAACTCATTAAATCTTACAATCGCATCTTTAGAAAGATGCTAGGCATTATCCCCGTTTTTATTTGTTTTGTTTTTTCTTTTTTTTTTTTTGAGACAGAGTCTCTCTCTGTCACCCAGACTGGAGTGCAGTGGTGCGATCTGGCTCGCTCACTGCAACCTCTGTCTCCCGGGTTCAAGTGATTCTCCTGCCTCAGCCTCTCAAGTAGCTGGGACTACAGGCGCCCGCCACCACGCTCAGCTAATTTTTGTATTTTTAGTAGAGACGGGGTTTCACCATGTTGGCCAGGCTGGCCTGGAACTCCTGACCTCAAGTGATCCGCCCGCCTTGGACTCTCAAAGTGCTAGGATTACAGGCATGAGCCACCATGCCCGGCCTTTCCCCATTTTTCAGATCAGGAAGCTGAGGCCCAGAAAGAATGAGTGAATTTGCCCAGTGTCAAACAGCTTGTGAGGGATCGGAACCCTAGTAGTCTAGTGCCAAAGTCCATGCTCTTGATCACTAGATGGGTGGTTTTCAAACATTTTTGACCACAGCATACAGCAGGAAATACATTTTACCTAGGGGCTCAGTCCACACAAACATATCTATAACTAAAACAAATGATACTGTAACTAAAGTACCGTGAAATGATACTTTAACGCACTCTGATATTTCCTGTTCTGTTTCATTTTAATTAAAATGTTGACGGTGATTTGCTAAATTGATTTCATCATCTTCTAATTTTTTTTTTTTTCTTGAGACAGAGTCTCTGTCGCCCAGGCTGGAGTGCAGTGGCATGATCTCGGCTCACTGCAACCTCCGCCTCCCGAGTTCAAGTGATTCTCCTGTTTCAGTCTCCCGAGTAGCTGGCGTTACAGGCACGCGCCACCACGCCTGGCTAATTTTTGTATTTTTAGTAGAGACGGGGTTTCACCGTGTTGGCCAGGCTGGTCTCAAACTCCTGATCTCAAGTGATCCACCCGCCTCAGCCTCCCAAAGTCCTGGGATTACAGGCAGGAGCCACTGCGCCTGGCCATGTGACAGATTCTTAAGCTCAAGTGGTCTACAGTAATCAGTCCCTTTCATTCAATTATTAATTTAGTCAAAAATATTTATTGAGGTCCAAGTGCAGTGACTCAGCAGGAGGATCGTCTGAGGCCAGGGGTTCAAGACCAGCCTGGGCAACATAGTGAGACCTTATCTCTATAAAAATAAAATAAATTAGCCAGGCGCAGTGGTGCACACCTATAGTCCCAGCTGCTCAGGAGGCTGAGGTGGGAGGATCGCTTGAGCCCAGGAGTTCTAGGCTGTGGTGAGCTATGACTGTGCCTCTGAACTCCAGCTTGGTAGACAGAGCAAGAACCTGTCTCTAATATATATATATATACATTTATATATATACACACACATATATACACACACATATATGTGTGTATATATATAGTATATGATGATAGATAGATAGGTAGATAGATAGATAGATAGATAGATAGATAGATAGCGCCTACTATTTGCTAGGTGCTAGGGACACAGGTGTAAATAAAATAGATAAAATTCCCATGGCCATAGGAAAAGTGATACAGTAGTGGCTTGGTGGGAGAAGTGGGTGGGTGGGGCTTACCTTAGATAGAGCAGCCAGAGATGATCTCCCTGGGATATCCAACAATCCTGCTTGGCCCAAGACTAAGGGGTTTCCCAGGATATGGGAATTTCAGTGCTAAAACCGGGAAATCCCCAAAGCGGGAAGAGTTGGTCACCCTGGGTCTCTCTAAGGAGCTGACATTTGAGGCAACGTTGGAGTAACGAGGAACAAAGGAAAATAGTTTGGAATTCGAAATCCCTGGGGTGAAAGCTGATGTGGAAGAAACAGAAAGCAGGTCCTTGGGCACAGCTGGAGCCAATGAAAGGGGAAGAGCAGTGAGTGGGTGGGGTGAGTGAGTCAGGGGATGATATGATGGCCATCATTTTATTGGAGGCCGTAGGGAAGAAGTCACGATCAGACTGGGAAACCAATGGAGGGTGTCTTTTGTTGTTGTTGTTGTTGTTTGTTTTTGAGCTGGAGTCTTGCTGTATCGCCCAGGCCCACGCTGGAGTGCAGTGGTGCGATCTCAAGTTGTAGCCTCGGGGAGTAAGGTGACCGCCTGTCCTGGAACTGCTGGTCAACCCGTTTAGCTAAGCTAGACCTCTTCCCGCTCCCAGCCCTGGCCAGAGGCGGAAACTGTGGCCCCAGTTATCTCAAAAGACAAGCACAGAGTAGCAAAAGACAAGCCAACAGGTGGCAAATTCTTAGAGTCCTGCTTTTGTGCGGCACATTTTTGTAAATTAAGGTGACATTTACATACCATAAAATGAGCCATTTTAAAAGGAAACAGTTCAGTGGCATTTAGTACATTCACTATGTTGTACAACCACCACCTATATCTAATTCCAAAGCATTTTCTTTTTTAATTTGTTTTTTTTTTTATGATGGAGTCGCCTGTCACCCAGGCTGGAGTGCAGTGGCACGATCTCACCTCACTACAACCTTCGCCTCCTGGATTCAAGCGATTCTCTTGCCTCAGCCTCCCGAGTAGCTGGGATTACAGGTGCACGCCACCATGCCCAGCTAATTTTTGTATTTTTAGTAGACATGGGGTTTCACCATGTTGGTCAGGCTGGTCTCAAACTCTTGACTTCAAGTGATCCGGCCCCCTTGGCCTCCCAAAGTGCTGGGATTACAGGCGTAAGCCACCTTGCCCGGCCCCCATGGAGGGTTTTAAGCAGGGGTGTGTGCGGGGACAGGTGGGGTGGGGAGTGGGTGGAATGTCACCCGATCTGTGATTTTATTTTATTTTGTCAATTAATTATTTTTTTAAGAGACTCTTGCCGGGCGCGGTGGCTCACGCCTGTCATCCCAGCACTTTGGGAGGCCGAGGTGGGCGGATCACGAGGTCAGGGGATCGAGACCATCCTGGCTAACACGGTGAAACCCCGTCTCTACTAAAAATACAAAAAATTAGCCGGGTGTGGTGGTGGGCGCCTGTAGTCCCAGATACTCGGGAGGCTGAGGCAGGAGAATGGCGTGAACCCGGGAGGCGGAGCTTGCAGTGAGCCGAGATCGGTGCCACTGCACTCCAGCCTGGGCGACAAAGTGAGACTCCGTCTCAAAAAAAAAAAAGACTCTTACTCTATCGCCCAGGGTGGAGTGAAGTGACACGATCACAGCTCACTGCACCCTCAGACTCTTGGGTTCAAGGGATTCTCCCACCTCAGCCACCCAAGTAGCTAGGACTATAGGCATGTGCCACCAAGGCTGGCTAAATACAAGAATTTTTTTTTTTTTTGTAGAGACAGGGTCTTGATCTCCTGATGTCAAGTGATCCTCCTTCCTTGGCATCCCAGAGTACTGGGGCTACAGGGATGAGCCACCATGCATAGCCTAAACTATAATTTTAAAAGCTCAGTTGAGGCCAGGCCCAGTGGCTCATGCCTGTAATCCCAGCACTTTGGGAGGCCTAGAGGGGTGGATTACTTGAGGTCAGCCTGGCCAACATGGTGAAACCCGGTCTCTATTAAAAACCCAAAAATGAGCTGGGTATGATGGCAGGCACCTGTAGTCCCAGCTACTCTGGAGACTGAGGCAGGAGAGTAGCTTGAATCTGGGAGGTAGAGGTTGCAGTGAGCCAAGATCGCACCACTGCACCCCAGACTGGGCAACAGAGAGAGACACCATCTCAAAAAACAGAAATGAAAATAAAAATAAAAATGAAAGCTCAGTTGAGCCACCTCATGGGGAATAGATTGTAGGAGACAAAAGGGACAGAGAGAGATCCTAGGAGTCTGTCCCAGTTCTCCTGGGTGGGAAAGTATGGTGGCTTGGTTTAGGGACCTGGTAGTGGAGGCGGACATGAGTGGGTGGACTGAGGGTACATTTGGAAGAACACTCTAGTGGACTAGATGTGGGGAGTGAAGGATAACGTTTTAGGGTGTGACAGGAGGTGCCTTGTAGCTGGTTTGTACACTCCGTTCTGCTAGAATGCTTGTCTTTGAAATGTCAGTTAGTCCCAAAGTGGTGGATATAATAGGAAACAATTTGAGCACAATGTGGATTTTGCCTTCCTTATGCACAATTTTGTCTGCAAGAAACACTAGGTAAATAGAAAACTGCACCTGTCTGGACCAAATCGTGTAGGACTGCACAAAATATGCATAAGCACACATCTGAAATATCTACCAGCCACCTCAGCTTCCTGTGAATTATGAGCCACATTTATCTATGCCTAGCATTACAACTTTCCATCTGATTACAGATGACTTTTCTACCTTTTCACAATAACTCACAAGCTGCAATCCTTCAATAGCAACTTCCTCAAGCAAACTTCAGCCCTTTTTCATGGCAATGTGGCATATTTACTATAGTATTTATATATTTCTTAACTAACCAAAATGTGTAAAACTCTTCAATCTCAAAGAAGAAATCATGAGGGAAATTAGAAAATACATTAAGGGCCAGGCACAGTGGCTCACACCTGTAATCCCAGCAATTGGGGAGGCTGAGGCAGGTGGATCACCTGAGGTCAGGAGTTTGAGACCAACCTGGCCAACACAGTGAGATCTCATCTCTACAAAAATTAATTTTAAAAACTTAGCAGGGCGTGGTGGCATGTGCCTGTGGTCCCAGCTACTTGGGGGGCTGAGGCAGGAGGATCGCTTGAGGCCAGGAGATGGAGGCTGCAGTGAGCTATGATCACGCCACTGTACTCCAGCCTGGGTGACAGAGAGAGACCCTGTCTCTTAATAAGAAAAGAAAAGAGAAATTGCTGAAGTGCCACATTCCTGTTGACATAGGACACCCAGGGCAGACAGCGAGGAGACAGATGAAGCTTAATTCTTGAATGAATGGAGGTAAGGCTGATATTTTCTCCTAGTGGACTCTGGTCCAGTTCATTCCAGAGACAAAGCTTTGCCTCCTTAAAGTAGCCACTTGAACCATGTTGGAGGACCTTGTTGGGCACAGCTTGGAGAGGAAATAGCAGAGCTGAAGTCTGCAGCAGAAGAAGCCACAGGAGTGGATAACCAGGCAGTGGTAGAGGGAAAGGGGTGTGCACAAGGCAACACCTGACTCCCTTGCTCCTCTTACCTAAGGCCCAAGGGCAAGTGACACCAAGGAGGAATCATTTTCAGGATGGCCAACTCATCCTGGTTTCCTTGGGACTTTCCCACTTCTAAAACTCAAAGTTGCAGTTCCCCAAAATGTAAAAAGTGGAATTCCCATGGGATCCAGCAATTCCACTCCTAGGTGTCTGCCCACAGGAAGTGAAAACTTAGGTCTTCACAAAAACTTCTACATGAATATTCCTAGCAGCATTAGCTCATAAAGCCAGAAAATGCACACAACTCCAGTGTCCATCCATGGAGGAACAAATAAACAAAATGTGATCTAGGCCGGGCGCAGTGGCTCACGACTGTAATTCCAGCACTTTGGGAGGCCAAAGTGGGAGGATCACTTGAGGCCAGGAGCTTGAGACCAGCCTGGGCAACAAAGTGAGACCTCCATTTCTAAAAAAAAATTTAAAATATTAGCCAGGCATGGTTGCACACATCTGTAGTCCCAGCTACTTGGGAGGCTGAGGCAGGAGGACTGAGCTCATGAATATGAGGCTACAGTGAGCTGTGATTTCACTACTGTATTCTAGCCTGGGCAACAGAGGCTCTGTCAATGAAGGAAAAAAAAAGAAAGGAAGGAAGGAAGGAAGGAAGAGGAAAGAAAGGAAGGGAGAGAGAAAAAGAGAGAGAGAAAGAGAAAGGGGGAAGAAGGGAAGAGAGGGGGAAAGGAAGGGAAGGAGGGAGGGAGGAGGAAGGGAAGAAAGAAAAGAAAAAGGAAGGAAGGAAGGAAGGAAAGAAAGAAAGAACAAAAGAAAGAAAAAGGAAATTACCTAGGTGTATTCCCAAATTTTTGGCTGTGAAATGAATTCTTTGCCTCACATCACCCCATAATAAAGCTGTGGTAAAGCTTCAGTTCCCATGGAAGGCTAGTGAGGAGGGTTAGGTGTCTAGAGACCTGGGTTTGGAGTTAAACAGGTGAAAATGGAGCTGTTTTGAAGGCAAGGGGCACAACAGAGTGTTTGCATGCCCAGAATCACCGATTTGAAACCCCAGCATCAAATGATTCCAAGGATGGGTCTCTGTCACCTCAAATAGTCTGTGAGTAAAAAACATAATTTAAGATGAGGCATTGAGAAAAAGTGGATGACAAAAACCTGGAAACACCCTAAACAGCCTACAATAAAGCACTGATTACCCAAAGCAGCATTCAGCTAAACAATGAAATATTATGCAGCAATGAAAAAGAATAAGATGCAACTATCCGAGCAGTATAGGAGAATGGCTACAATCTACTTATTAAACAAAAAAAGTAAATGCAGTACAGTGTTCACAGTGCACTCCTATTTGTGTTTTTAAAGAAAGATATTTATTTAAAAAGAGTACCCTTTAAAGTAGTACCTTTTAAAGTAGTAACCTTTAAAGTGTATATCTACCAGCCAGGCATGGTGGTTCATGCCTGTAATCCCAGCACTTTGGGAGGCCAAGGCAGGTGGATCACTTCAGGCCAGGAGTTTGAAATCAGCCTGGCCAACATGGGGAAACCCTGTCTCTACTAAAAAATACAAAAATTACCCCAGAAATGGTGGTGCATGCCTGTACTCCAGCTACTTGGGAGGCTGAGGCAGGAGGATTGCTTGAACCTGGGAGGTGGAGGTTGCAGTGAGCCAAGATGGCGTCACTGCACTCCAACCTGGGTGACGAGCAAGACCTTGCCTCAAAAAAATAAATAAAAATAAATTAAAAATAAAAATAAAAATAAAATAAAGTATATGTCTACCTACAGTGTGTGTGTGTGTGTGTGTGTGTGTGTGTGTGTATGTCTTATAGTAGATATCTATCTATATCTGTTACCCTTTAAAGTCAATATACAAACATTTATTGTTTACTATGTGCTTAATAGTTTCTCCATCATTTTGCCATAAGAACTCATTTTATCTTCATGATAATTTTTGCATTATTAGTCCCATTTACATATAAGGGAACTGAATGTATTCACTATCTACTGCTGTGTAACAAATTACCCCAAAGATCAGTAGCTTAAAACAAGCATTCATGATCTCACATAGTTTTTGTGGGTCAGGAATCTGGGTGCAGTTTAGCTGAGTGGTTCTGGCTCCATGTCTCTCAGGAGATTGTGGCCAAACTGTCAGCTGGGGCTGCAGGCTCATCTGAAGGCTCAACTGGGAAAATTATTCTTCTTTCCTTCCTTCCTTCCTTCCTTCCTTACTTCCTCCCTCCCTTCCTCCCTTCCCTTCCTTTCCCTTTCTTTCCTCCCTCCCTTCCTCCCTCCCTCCTTCCCTCCCTTCTTTCCTTCCTTCCCTCCCTCCCTTCTTTCCCTCCCTCCCTCCTTTCCCTCCCTCCCTCCTTCCCTCCATTCCTTCTTCCTTCCTTCCTTCCTCCCTCCCTCCCTCTCCTCTCCTCTCCATTCCTCTCCTCTCTTCTCCTCTCCTCTCCTCTTCCCTTCTTTCTCTTTTGAGACAGGGTCTTGCTCTGTCTCCCAGGCTGCTGTGCAGCGGTGTGACCATGGCTCACTGCAGCCTTGACCTCCCAGGCTCAAGTGATCCTCCCACCTAAGCCTCCTGAGTAGCTGGGACCACAAGGGCATGCCACCGTGCCCTGCAATTTTTTTCATGTTTTGTAGAGATGGGGTCTCCTTATGTTGCCCAGGCTGGTCTCAAATTTCTGGGCTCAAGTAATCCTCCCACCTCAGCCTTTGAAAGTATTGGGATTATGAGTATGAATCACCACACCTGGCCTATTCACTCTTTCTTCCTTCCTTACCTTTCTCTGTCCCCTTCTCCCTCCTTCCTTCCACCCCTTTCTCTCTCTCTTTCTTTCTCTTCTTTCTTCTTTCTTCTTTCTTTTTTCTCTTTCTTCTTTTTCTTTCTTTCTTCTTTCTCTCTCCCCTTTTTCTTCTTTCTTTCTCTTTTTCTTTCTTGTAAGAACACTTAACATGAGATGTAGCCTCTTACATTTTGATGTGCACAGCACGGTATTATTAACTCTAGGCATAATATTGTGCTGCATATCTTAGAACTTATTCCTCTCATATAGCTGAAACTTCATACCTGTTGAACAGCAACTCCCTATGGGAGAGGATTCACTTCTAAGCTCACTCACATGGTTGCCAGCAGGCTTGAGTGCCAGCTCAAGAGCTATTGGCTAGAGATTTCATTTCCTTACCATGTAAGCTTTTCAACAACATGCTTGAGTGTCCTTGTGACATGGCAGCTAGGACCTGGCAGCTGGCTTCCCCTAGGCACTCAAGACAGAAACCACAGTCTTTTTATAGCCCAATATCAGGAGTGACATCCTATCACTTCTGACTTATTTGTCAGAAGTAAGTCAGTGAGTAGGCCAGGCACGGTGGCTCACGCCTGTAATCCCAGCACTTTGGGAGGCCAAGGCGGGTGGATCATGAGGTCAGGAGTTCAAGATCAGCCTGGCAAAGATGGTGAAACCCCGTCTCTACTAAAAATACAAAAATTAGCCAAGCGTGGTGGTGGGTACCTGTAATACCAGCTACTCGGGAGTCTGAGCCACAGAATTGCTTGAACCCAGGAGGCGGAGGTTGCAGTGAGCCAAGATCATGCCACTGCACTCCAGGCTGGGTGACAGAGTGAGACTCCATCTCAAAAAAAAAAAAAAGAAGTAAGTCAGTGAGACTGGATGCAGTGGCTCACGCCTGTAATCCCAACACTTTGGGAGGCCGAGGTGGGCGGATCACTTGAGGTCAGGACTTCTAGACTAGCCTGACCAGTCTCTACTAAAAATACAAAAATTAGCTAGGTGTGGTGGCGCACGCCTGTAATCCCAGCTACTTGGGAGGCTGAGGCAGGAGAATGGCTTGAACCTGGGAGGCGGAGATTGCGGTGAGCTGAGATTGTCACGCCACTGCATTCCAGCCTGGGCGACAGAGCAAGACTCCATCCCACATTCAAGGGAAGGATTAGATAAGGGTGTGAACAGGAGACAATGGGGGCCCTGGGGGCCCATGTAGGGGCTGCCCCACCACACTGGGGTACAGAAGGGGTCAGTCACTTGTCCACACTTACAGAGCTGGCTAGCAAATTGCAAAGTTGGGATTCGAGCCCAAGCAGCACGTCTCTAAAATCTGAGTTCTTCACCTCCACCCTGTACCATGCCTCCTCTGCGCCCTTTTGCAGCATGCTTGTATATGCAGATATTATTTCTGGAAAGATAAAAAAATACACTACGGATATACATAACAGTAGAAGGGAGGCTTAACTTTCATCGAAGAACCTTTCATGTTGTTGAGTCTGTCTGCATTGTTTTTATGTGTGTTTACCAAGCACAGATATTATTTTTCAATCTTTTTTTTGCCATAGAACTCGAACGGCATGATAAAATAAAAAGATATTTTTCTGCTAAAATACAAAATAAAATCAAACAAAATTATTTATTTATTTATTCATTTATTTTAAAGATGAGGTCTGGCTCTGTCACCCAGGCTGGAGTACAGTGGTATGGTCACAGCTCACTGCAGCCTCAAACTCCTGGGTTCAAGGGATCCTCCCACCTCAGCCTCCAGAGTAGCTGGGACTACAGGCACCTGCCACCACCAAACCCAGCTAATTTAAAAAAAAAAAAATTTTAAGAGACGAGGTATTGCCATCCTGCCCAGGCTGGTCTCAAACTCCTGCGCTCAAGTTATCCTCTGGCCTCAGCCTCCCAAAGTTCTGAGATTACAATCATGAGCCACCCTTCCCTGCCTCAAACAAAAACATTTAGACAGCACGCTTACAAGGAAAGAATTAGTAAAACCACAGGGCCAGTGAAAACGAGTTTGGGTATGAGAACGGTACAAAAACTGCCTCCTTCCTGGGACATTTCCAGGTCTGCTTGAGAGAATTTACCCTTGGTGATTGTTAAAACTATTTTTTTTTCTCCCAGACGAGCTTCTCCCTAATTGATTGTTTTTATTTAACTGATGACTGTTAATTAACCAGCTCTATTAGAACTTTACAGGCCATTCACGCACTGATGCGTAGTTTTAACAGCCTCTTACTTGGTACAAACCTGAGTCTGAGCATCTGATCCTTTCAAGAGTAGCATAAAAGGACAATTTCCATAATGATGGGGCTTCTGAATAGCGGATTTTGTGTAAAAAGCACCTGAGTACCGCAGAGATCTTTTATTTGTCTCGCGGCTTTCTGGCCATCCGCTGCCACATTTCTCTGGAACACGGAATCATTTCCATAGCAAATACCTGTGACCCCGAACAGCCATCGAAGGGGCAAGCTGAATACACACCAAGCACATTTAAAAGAAAAAATAATTTTTTTTTTCAGCCAAAGGTATTAGCCACTTCTAGGCAACCGGGAAGCAGAAGGATAGAATGGCTGTGCATGCCCGTGTTCCATATTAACTTCAAAGGCAAGGAAGAAGGAAAGGAAAGAGGAAAAAGAGAAATAGAAGGAGGAAAAAAGAATTTGGAGAGAAAATAAAAGGGGTAACCGGGCATGGTGGCTCACGCTTGTAATCCCAGCACTTTGGGAGGCCCAGGTGGGTGAATCACTTGAGGTCAGGAGTTCGAGACCAGCCTAGCCAACATGGCAAAAACCCCATCTCTACTAAAAACAAAAAATTAGGCCGGGCATGGTGACTCACGCCTGTAATCCCAGCACTTTGGGAAGCTGAGGCGGGTGGATCACGAGGTCAGGAGACCAAGACCATCCTGGCAAACATGGTGAAACCCTGTCTGTACTAAAAATACAAAAAATTAGCCGGGTGTGGCGGTGGGCGCCTGTAGTCCCAGTTACTCTGGAGGCTGAGGCAGGAGAATGGCGTGAACCCGGGAGGCAGAGCTTGCAGTGAGCTGAGATGGCGCCACTGCACTCCAGCCTGGGCAGCAGAGTGAGACTCCATCTCAAAAAAAAAAAAAAAAATTAGCCCGTGTGGTGGCGGCGCCTGTTAATCCCATCTACTCGGGAGGCTGAGGCACAAAAATCTCTTGAACTCGGGAGGTGGAGGCTGCAGTGAGCTGAGATCGTGCCAGTGCACTCAAGCCTGGGCGACAGAGCAAGATCCTGTCTCAGGAAAAAAAAAAAAAAAAAAAAAAAAAACGGTGAGGAATGAGAAGGAAAGAGGTTTATAAAAAACAGAGAAACAAAAAATTTCAGTAACAGAAGCTGTCAAGCATACTAGCTGCCTTCTTTATGAAAATAGAGATAAAAATGTTCAATTCTGGGCGGGCACAGTGGCTCCTGCCTGTAATACCCGCACTCTGGGAGACCAAGGCAGGACGATCGTTTGAGGCCAGGAGTTTGAGACCAGTCTGGCCAACAAAGCGAGACTTCATCTCTACAAAAACATAAATAAAATCAGGCTGGGCACAGTGGCTCACACTTGTAATCCCAGTACTTTGGGAGGCTGAGGCGGGTGGATCACTTGAGGCCAGGAGTTTGAGACCAGCCTGGCCAACATGGTGAAACCCTGTCTCTACTAAAAATACAAAAATTAGCCAGGCGTGCTGGCAGGCGCCTGTAATCCCAGCTACTCGGGAGGCTGCGGCAGGAGAATCGCTTGAATCCAGGAGGCAGAGGTTGCAGTGCACTGAGATTGCACCACTGCTCTCCAGCCTGGGTGACACAGCAAGATTCCATCTCAATCAATCAATCAATCAATCAATCAATCAATCAAATCAACTGGGCATGGCGATGCGGACCTATAGTCTCAGCTATCTGGGAGGCTGAGGTGAAAGAATTGCTTGAGCCTGGGGAGGTTGAGATTGTAGTGAGCGGAGATTGGGCCATTGTATGATAGGCAACAGAGCAAGACCCTGTCTCAAAATAATAAGAACTCAAAAAAGAGAATGTTCAATGTTTAGCTTAATTACGACTAAGCTGTAACGGTAACATAGTGCGTTGACTGGTCTAGGTTCTGTGCCTGAATGTTACCAACTTTTCAGGATTGATACAAAGATTTACCTTACAACTTGGCAAGGCAATCTAACGAAAGGGACAGTGGGGGCTTTGCGACTAGTTCCCATCTTTATAAACGACATTGGCTTCATCTGCATTATTTTAAGGACATCACTGTGTGAACTGTACCGCTTTTATTATTATGACTGTTTTAATAGACACAGGAGGCTGGGCACTGTGGCTCATGCCCGTAATCCCAGACTTTGGGAGGCTGAGGTGGGAGGATCACCTGAGCTGAGGGAGGTTGAGGCTGTAGTGAACGACAATTGTGCCACTGCACTCCATTCTAAACAACAGAGTGACACCCTGTCTCAAAACAAAACAAAACAAAAACAAATTGAGATGTAACTTACAGATGTCAAAGTGCATAATTCTTAATTGTTTACATATGTGTGACTTTTTACGTGTGTGTGTGTGTGTGTGTGTGTGTGTGTGTGTGTGTGTGTGTGTGTGTGAATCCTTACCACCAGCACCTGGATCAAGGTATGGAACATTTCCTTCTCCCCAGAAGGTTCTCTCTTGTCCTTTTCCAGTTAATACCTCTACCCCATTTTTCTGACTTCTACCACCACGTGTATTTTGCTTACTCTTTTATTTTAATTTTTTAGACAAGTCACCCAGGCTGGAGTGCAGGGGCGCGATCTTGGCTCACTGCAATCACCATCTCCTGGTTCAAGCGATTCTCCTGCCTCAGCCTCCCAAGTAGCTGGGACTACAGGTGCACACCACCATGCCCAGCTAATTTTTTGTATTTTTAGTAGAGATGGAGTTTCACCATGTTGGCAAGGCTTGTCTTGAACTCCTGACCTCAAGTGATCCACCTGCCTCAACCTCCCAAAGTGCTGGGATTACAGGCGTCAGCCACCGCGCCTGGCCTTTTCTGGCTTCTTTAGCATATTATATCTGTGAAGTTCATTCATATTGTTGAATGCATCAGTTGTTCATTCTTTTAAAAAAAATCTGAGTGGTATTTCATTATAAAAATATATCACTATTTATAGGTTTATTCTTTTGTTGACAGACATTTGGTTTGCTTCTAATATTTTTTAAAAAAAATTTTTTTTGAGACAGAGTCTTGCTCTGTCTTCCAGGCTGGAGTGCAGTGGTGAGATCTTGGCTCACTGCAACCTCTGCCTCCCAGTTTCAAGTGATTCTCCTGCTTCAGCCTACCGAGTAGCTGGGATTACAGGCATCCATCACCACTCCCGTCTAATTTTTGTATTTTTAGTAGAGACAGGGTTTCACCATGTTCGCCATGTTGGTCTTGAACTCCTGACCTTGGGTGATCTGCCTACCTCGGCCTCCCAAAGTGTTGGGATTACAGGCATGAGCCACTGTGCCCGGCCCCTCAAATTTTTAATAGACACAATTGGCAAGAAACGTCACGTGCACAAGCAAGTGGTAAGAAACTTCAAACCATTTTCTACAAGCCTTTAAAAAATTATAACAGGTGAAATTATGTCTAAGGACCCCAACTTCTTTATTCATTAACAAATATAAGTTTCAAAAATTGTTGTAATGATGTAAATGGCTTTTTGAATCCAGTTGAGTGTTTTCCCATCAGGCACTTCAAATGATAATGATGCTCTAATTTGCATGCATTGTTGGAGGAGTCATCCAGTTGCTGGCTTGATCCCTGCTAAAAGAGCATACCAGCTGCAAATTGACAGAAGAATCTGATACACGTGAAGATGGGGACTTGGAGGCTTTATCTGGAGCTGCAGCTACCAGGAGCCCCCTTCTGGTCTTCTCCAAGAACTGCACCTTGGCTTCATGGCCTTACCTTGGCACCTGGAACATGGACTCCTTCAGTATCTTCCAGTACCTGGATCCACAGTGACACAGGATGTTCGTGGTGGACAGCGAGTGTCAGACGTAGGGATCAAAGACACACCTCCAGACCTCACTCCATACTGGCCACCCCGACAGGAGCCTTGGATGAGGCTGCTCATGGCTGTAGATGACACACCAAGGAACTAGAGCTTTTCAGATGCCACCTGGCCACTCCTGTTCTCGGCCATAGCAGTGTTACTTGGTACTGTCAATGTCCACTGCATTCTGTCAAATGTGTGTCATTTAAAGACCACAAGACATAACAAAAATTAATTCGTTAAAACTTATTGTATTTTATTTTTTAAACTGAGATAGGGTCTCTCTCTGTTGCCCAGGCTAGAGTGCAGTGGTGCAATCACAGCTCACTGCAACCTCAAACTCCTGGGATCAAACAATCTTCCCGCTTCAGCCTCCCAAGTAGCTGGGACTACAGGTACGTGTCACCACATCGCGTTAATTTTCAAATTTTTAGGAGAGATGAGGTCTCACTATGTTGCTCAGGCTGGCCTCAAACTCTTGACCTCAAGCGATCCCCCCGTGTTGGCCTTCCAAAATGCTGGAATTACAGGTGTGAGCCACCATGCCTGGCCTAATTTTGCTTACACACACACACACACACACACAAGAAAATTGCAATTTCAGGAGCCATGACTTATGACATCATTGATTCCTGATGGGGCAGCTCAAAAAAAACAAAACAAAACAGGACCATAAGATGGCAGTATTGCATAACAAGCTTTACTGCACGGCACTTAGATAGGTTTGCATGCGGGGAATGTCCCTTCCAGCAGGACTCCTTCCAGAGGAACTCCTGGGACAGAGGAGAGTTAGAGGCAGGGCTTAAGTGTCTAGGTGATGTCATTGAGTAGCAAGGTGGGGAGAGTCTGCATCATAGAACTCTGAAAGGCAACAATAATTTGGGGTTTCTTATGGCTGTAAGATTTTTCTTCTCTGTGATTAATAGGTGTTGTTGGGTGCAATTTTATGGGGTATGCAAAGCAGGTGGGCTCTAAATGACTAAACATATGCTTATTTGTGCAATATTTATAGCAATGGATTGTGTGAGAATTTGAGCTTGGTGCTGGTGGGCTTTGAGCTGAGAGGTCCCTGCCTGCCTGCTGTAAAGAAATAAATGAGATAGGGCTGATAGAAAGACACTGTCTTTGGCTCACTTATACAGCAAGTGACAACCAATTTAGTTCAGACCTTTCTTGCTTCTAGACCTGCACCATCCACTCTTATCCACTTCTCATTCTTCCTGGAAGCTGCCACGGAACATGCAGACCCCCGTATCCACTTTTGCCAGTAGGGACACCCACTTTTGAAAAGCCACGGACCCCTGGCAACGCAGCTGCAGACATACCATTTAACTCACCCTGCCTGGAAAAGGAAAGTAAATGTTTTCTTCCCAATTTTTGCTAGGGAAATCCAGGCACATATATGTATTCAGTAACTCAATGATATAAATTTCAGGGCTTGTGTCTGTGTGTTATTGGAAAAGCATTTGAGGCTGGCTGTCATGGTTCATGGCTGCAATCTCAACACTTTGGAGGCTGAGGCAGGAGGCTCACTTGAGGCCAGGAGTTCCAGACCAGGCTGGACAACTCTACCTCTACAAAAAAATAAAATAATAAGCCCCGCATGGTGGTGCACACCTGTAGTTCTAGCTACTCAGGAGGCTGAGGTGGGAGGATTGCTTGAGCCCAGGAATTCAAGGCTACACTGAGCTATGATCACACCACTGGGCCTGGGCAATGGAGTGAGATTCTGTCTCTAAAAAAAAAATGCATTTGAGAATTTTAGCAAATCTAAGTACATTTGGAGTCTGCTAATATTACTGTATATGGGATTTTGGTGGGACCATCCCTAAGGATTTAATAATAAAATGTCCCTTTATATTGTTGAGAATTTTAAATAATTCTTTAAAGCAGTTATGTTCTGATAAATATTTAATAACTGGCTCTTGAGTGGCATGGGGCGCTGATTTGCAGTGTTTGCCAATTCCTGTGGTGTAAATACTCCCACTGTGGCTGATTTCAAGGTACAGATGTGATACCACTGAATGTGAAGCTGAGAAGAGATGCATGCAATTGGCTCTGACTCATGCGGTTGATACATGCCAGCTCCAGCACATCATGACTTCAAGCTGTCCCAGATGTGCCCTGTCTGAATTTCTGACCTACAAAAACCACGAGAGATGATGAGTGATTATCAATGTTTTAAGCTGCTAAGTTTTTGAGTAATTTCTTGCATGCTGGAATACTATACAGCTGTGAAAAAGAATGAGAAAGGGCTATATCGTAGCTATGTTATCTATGAGGGATATATTATAGATATGTCATCTAATTCTTTTTTACAGCTGTATAGTATCCCAGCTGTGAAATAGAATACTATACAGCTGTGAAAAAGAATGAGAAAAAGACAAATACCTATTATAGCAATTTGACCTCACCCAACGGTGAGAGTTCATTATGTAATAATATCGGACCAATCCAGTTCAATTTTTATGTAACAAAGTTGTGAGTTGTCTTCCAGTTGCCATGGACCCCAGGTTGCAAGCTACATAATCAGAACATGTCCAGATGAGCTAAAAAGTCAACCACAGGTGGAACCTAAGTGCTCAGACAAAGGAGCAGAATTGAATTAAGAAACAGACGCCACATGGCAATGATCCAGTATCCAATCAGCTCGAGCCCTGGCATCACACCATCGCAAGAGCCAATCAGATAATGCCTCATTACCCTGTGACTATAAAACCTGCCCCAACTCCCAGTTCAAAGAGACAGATTTGAGTGTTTTCTCCCATTTTCTTGCCAATTGGCTCACATTAAACCTTTCTCACTGCAAAAACATAGTGCTTTGCTGGTTGATGTTCCCTTGCATATAGGCAAATTGATCCAGTTTGGTTTGTAACAGTTACATATGAGGCTTTGACTCTGTATCTCATGTTGTTGGAGCTTTTTTTTTTTTTTTTTTTTTCTGAGATGGATTCTCGCTCTGTCGCCCAGGCTGGAGTGCAGTGGCGTGATCTCGGCTCACTGCAACCTCCACCTGCTGGGTTCAAGCAATTCTCCTGCCTCAGCCTCCCAAGTAGCTGGGACTACAGGCACACGTCACCACGCCCGGCTAATTTTTGCATTTTTAGTAGAGACAGGGTTTCACCATGTTCGCCAGGCTGGTCTTGAACTCCTGACCTCATGATCCACCCAACTCAGCCTCCCAAAGTGCTGGGATAACAGGCGCGAGCCACCACGCCCGGCCTCAAGTCAGTCTTTCTTCCCTGCTTCTGTTCAATTCATTCTGACCTCCTCCACCCACCCAGGCAGTGAATGCTGCTTACTGATGGAGAGGGGGCCAGAAACAGAAATGATAAGGATACCAGAACTGTGGAGTCATGTTGGAGGGAGGCTGGTCCCAAGAGAAACCTTTGGATTGGGTGCAATGGCTCACGCCTGTAATCCTAGCACTTTGGGAGGCCGGGGCAGGTGGATCGCTTGAGGTCAGAAGTTTGAGACCAGCCTGGCCAACATGATGAAACCTCGTCTCTACTAAAAATACAACAATTAGCTTGGCATGGTGATGCATGCCTGTAACCCCAGCTACTTGGGAAGCTGAGACAGGAGAATTGCTTGTACCCAAGAGGTGGAGGTTGCAGTGAGCTGAGATCGTACCATTGCACTCTAGCCTGGGTGACAGAGCAAGACTTTGTCTAAATAAATAAAGCAGTAAACAAAAGAGGGGTGTTGAAATTCCTCCCATGAGTAATCCATTGGATATGTGAATATATTTTATTAAGTTTTTTTTTTTTTTTTTGAGACAGAGTCTTGCTCTGTTGCCCAGGCTGGAATGCAGTGGCTCGATCTCGGCTCACTGCAGCCTCTGCCTCCCAGGTTCAAGCAATTTTCCTGCCTCAGCCTCCCGAGTAGTTGGGATTACAGGTACTTGCCACCATGCCCAACTAATTTTTTTGTATTTTTGGTAAAGATGGGGTTTCACCATGTTGGCCAGGCTGGTCTCGAACTCCTTACTTGAACTCCCACCTCTGCCTCCCAAAGTGCTGGGATGACAGGTGTGAGCCACCACACCCAGCTCTATTTTTATTTTTAATATGGCAAAATACGTATAACACTAAACTTACTACCTTAACCATTTTTAAGTGTATAGTCATAAAAATTTTAATTTAAATACTCACATAGGCTTGTAGCTACTATATTGGACAGGGTCAATTTCCAATTTTTTCCCTGAGTTAGTAAGTCACCTCGTCCATGCGTAATTCATCACTCTTTTATCAGCTGGACTTTTGAGACTTAGAAACAATGACTTTTTTTTTTTTTGCTGCTGTATTACATTGAGGCGTATAATATTTGATCAAATTATGTTGTTAGGGTCTGGCGCGGTGGCTCATGCCTGTAATCCCACCACTTTGGGAGGCCGAGGTGGGTGGATCACCTGAGGTCAGGAGTTCGAGGCTAGCCTGGCCAACATAGTGAAACCCCGTCTCTACTAAACATACAAAAATTAGCCTGGTGTGGTGGTTGGCGCCTGTAATCCCAGCTACTCGGGAGGCTGAGGCAGGAGAATCACTTGAACCTGGGAGGCAGAGGTTGCAGTGAGCCGTGATGGCGCCATTGCACTCCAGCCTGGGCAACAGAGCGAGACTCTGTCTCAAAAAATAAAATTAAAAATAAAAGAAAAGAAAATAGAATAATAAAATAAAATAAAATAAAATATAGTTGTTAGAATAAGAAGCACAACTGGCATAAACAGGTTTGGGAATACACAGCTTGCACTCAGTGAGCACACAGCGAGCCTGGTATGGAAGTGGATGCATGTACATTTCAGAGCAACCCTGCAAGGTTTCCGTATGAACCAGCGACCATGCATCCTCTGTGGGGGATAGACCTTGGGTTCATGGATGAGTTGGTTAATTGGGTGTCTTGGAGGTTGGCTGAGAGCTCCCACTGTTCTTGACTCTTAAGACAAGATGGCACATGAGGTGAAAGCAGGTGCCCCAGTGGAGGATCCTAGAACCAGCCAAGTAGTGAGGATCCAACCGCCCCCTTGCCCAGAGAGGCACCAGTGGAGGACGCACAGGTGACTCACACTGCCAGCTGAGTCCCCCCTTCCCCATTTCCAGTGTAAACACCTGGATTCTTTTACAGAGTTACCCTTGAGTTCACTTTGCCCTTGGCTCTGGGGGAAGAGAGAGTCTCCTGGGGTCTGCTGGATTAGGAGATGAATGTTGCCAAATGAATGCTTCTCTTTCCGCAGCTGTTGCCTTTATGCAATGCCATTTCTATCTTCAGTTCTTTCTCCATTAAAATGTGAGCCATGGCCTGGAATGAACTTCATCCCTCTGTGTGGAGGAAGTGTCCTCAGCTGCCCAGACAGGCTCAGCTTCGGGTCTGTGTAGGAAGAACCCGTGGAAGGGAGTGGGGAGTCGAGCTCAAAGACTAACAGCCAAGACTCTGGGAGAGTGGTCAGCTCAGAGTCCTCAGGGGAGGGGGTGTGGGGATGAGAGTCCACGTTATTATGTTACCTGGGGCAGGTGGGATAAAGGTAAGAGAAGGTAAGTGGAGGGATTTTAGTGGCATACAACGACTGCTTTTGTTGCAGAGAGCTTATTAGGAAGCAGATGAGAGGAACTGAGCTTGCAAAAGGTTTGTTTAGAGGGGACCCACCCTTGGGATGGATACTGGTGGAAGGGAAAGGGAAGGGAAGGGAAACAAACAGGATTGGGGGAGACAGAGAGACACAGAGAGAGAGAGAGAGCATGAGAAGTCCAGCTGCCCCCAGCTCTGTAGCTGGGATGGTCCCTGAGTTGTCCTGAGATTTGGGGAGAGGGGCCCGAGATTTTATGCCTCCATACAGATGTTGGTGGCCCGGGGAAGGGAACAAGACCCTGGATGAGGACGTGCCATTTGGCAGATGCTGACCTGAAGGGGTGGACAGCAGAGGTCTGCTTCCAGCAACATTCCTAGAGGCTGGGGCACACATCTTTCATCACTGAAAAGATCTGGGTAGCACAGCAGCGTCCTCATCCTTGCTGAAACTTGTCTGGGATAGCTATGGACAGATTTTCTCCAAGGAGATTTACTTTTCCACGGTGAGAGGGTGTGTGTGTATGTGATTATGTGTCTCTATGAAGGTGTGAGTGCATATGTGTGTGTCATACTCTATGTAACTGTGTACATGTGCATGCGTGTAATTATGTGCACATGTGTGACTGTGCGTCTATATGAAGGTGTATGTGAGTGTATACGTGTGTGTCATACTGTATGTAACTGTGTATGTGTGCCTGTGTGAATTAAGTGCACGTGTGATTGTGCATCTATATGAAGGTGTATGTGAGTGCATATGTGTAAGTGTGTGCCATACTGTGTGTGTATGTAACTGTGTCTGTACGAGTATGTGTGTGTGAATGTATGGTGACTGTATGTGCAACCGTGTGTCAGCATGAGGGTGTGTGTGCATATCTTTGGGAGTATGTGTATGTGTCTGTGTGTGTCTGTATGAGAGTGTATATGAGTGCATATGTGTGTCATAATGTATGTGTGTATGTAACTGTGTGTATGAGGTTGTGTGTGAGTCTGAGCAAGTGTGTGCATGTGTGTGCGAGTGTATATATGTAATTGGGTATCTGAGGGTGTGTGAGGATGTGGGGTGTGCAAGTGTGTGCAGGTGTGAGGACATGTGACTGTATATGTGACTGTATCTGCATGAGGGTGTGTGTGCCTGTGTGTATTTGTCTGCATGAGGGCACACAGGAGTGTGTGTGTGAGATTATGATTATGTGTATAATTAGGTGTCTATCAGTGCATACGTGTGTGAGTGTATGTAACTGTGTGTCTGTATGAGGGTGTGTGAGTGTGAGAATGTGTGTGCATATGTGAATGGGTGTGCGTATATAATTGTGTGTGTATGAGGGTGTGTGAGTGAGAATGTGTGTGCATATGTGAGTGGGTTTGCGTATATAATTGTGTGTCTGTATGAGGGTGTGTGAGTGTGAGAATGTGTGTGCATATGTGAGTGGGTGTGCGTATATAATTGTGTGTCTGTATGAGGCTGTGTAACCATGTGTGTGCATATACGTGTGTGGGAATGAATATATGTAGTCATGTGTCCATATGAGGGTGTGTGTGAGCACGTGCGTGCATATGTGTGTGTAATTGTGTGTCTGTATGAGGGTGTGTGAGAGTGTGAGCATGTGTGTGCATATGTATGTGTCTTGGAGGTTGGCTGGCAGCGCCCACATATGTATGTGAGTGTAGGAGTGTGGGAGTGTGTGTAATTGTGTGTCCGTACGAGGCTGTGTGACCACGCATGTCCATATATGTGTGAGTGTGGGAATGCATATATATAATTGTGTCTGTACGAGGGTGAGAGTGTGAGCAAGTGTGTGCATATGTATGTGAATGTGTGAGTGTGGGTGTGTAATTGTGTGTCTGTATGAGGGTGTGTGTGACCATGTGTGTCCATATGTGTGTGTGCATGTAATTGTGCGTATGAGGGCCTGAGCAATGTGACTGTGTGACTGTCACACATTGTGTGTCTGACAGTGTACATGTGTACGAAATGGGATGTCTCTATAATGAGGCACGTGTGTGACTGCATATGTGCATGACTGTGGATGAGTGTGCATGCATGTAATCATGTGTCTGATAGTACATGTGACTGTGTGTGCGCATGTGTGTGTGTGCGTGCCTGCCAGTTTGTGTCTGTATGAAAGTATTTGAATTGTGTGAACAGGTGTGATTGTGGGAGCATGTTATGAGTGTGAGTGTATGTGAGTGTGCTTGTGATTGTGTGCCCATGGGAAGGTCTGTTTGTGTGTGAGTACCTGTGCACGTGAGAGTGTCTGAGCGAGCGAGCGAGCGTGTGTGCAACTTGCATAAATCTGTCTGGCACCAGCAAAGTGGCTCAACTGTCTTTAGAGACAGAGGTCCCTTCCCTCCTGTTGGGGACCTCTTGACCTGCTCCCTCCCCTCCAGCTTCACCCCTGTCCAAGGAGGCTGCTCCTGATCCCAGGATTCTACTGGATGGGGGGTTGGGGAAGGGTGTCACCTCCTTTCCTTTATAGGCATGACCAGGCATGGCCCCCACCACTTATGCCCACATCCCACAGGGCAGGATGTAGTCACATGGACACGCCATGCAGTCAGGGGGCCTGGGAAACATTCTCTCTCTTTAGGTGAGAGCTCTGGGGAAGAAGGGCTGAATGGACATTGGTGGACACTGGCTGTCCTGGCACAGCTGCCCAGGTGCTCTGCAGAGTAGATATTTGTGAAACATTAAGAAGGCCCTGGTGGCCAGGTGCGGTGGCTACACCTGTAATCCCAGCACCATGGAAGGTTGAGGCGGGTGGATCACCTGAGGCCACGAGGTGGAGACCAGCCTGGCCAACATGGTGAAAACCCATCTCTACTAAAAATACAGAAAATTAGTCGGGAGTGGTGGTGCATGCCTGTAACCTCAGCTACTTGGGAGGCTGAGGCAGGAGAATCGCTTGAACCCGGGAGGCAGAGGTTGCAGTGAGCCAAGATCACGCTATTGCACTCCAGTCTGGGCAACAAGAGCCAAACTCCGTCTCTCTCTCTCTCTCACACACACACACAAAAGGCCCTGGAGACAAAGGAACACTCCTTGTCCTTTTCTCCTGGCACAGCACAAGATTCTGTTGCTACATCTTTATTTACTGAGCATCTAGTATGTGCTGCACCTGGCACTGTTTTGTCTTTTTTGTTTTGAGACAAGGTCTTGCTCTGTAGGCCTGGCTGGAGTGCCATGGTACCATCACAGCTCACTGCAGCCTGGAACTCCTGGGCTCAAACAATCCCCCCACCTCAGCCTCCCTACTAGCTGTGGTTACACTTGCGCACCACCACGCCCGGCTAATTTTTTAAATTTTTCTGTAGAGACGGGGTCTTACTACATTGCCCAGGCTGGTTTTGAACTCCTGGCCTCAAGTGATGCTACGGACTTGGCCTCCCAAAGTGCTGGGATTCCAGGCACAAGCCACTGTGCCTGGTAGTGGACATTGTTAGCAGTGACTAAAGCAGAGAACGAGAAGGGGGAGGCCGCTGTAAACACATGAAGACAGGCAGCGTAAGAGAAAGTCACGAGGGCAGGAATAACATCCAGGCATACTTCAGATCCCAGCTCAAGAAACCACTCCCAGGCCAGGCGCGGTGGCTCACGCCTGTCATCTCAGCACTTTGGGAGGCCAAGGCGGGCGGATCACAAGGTCAGGAGTTTGAGACCAGCCTGGCCAACATGGCGAAACCCCGTCTGTACTAAAAATACAAAAGATTAGCCGGGCGTGGTGGCGGGCGCCTGTAATCCCAGCTACTCGGGAGGCTGAGGCAGGAGAATCGCTTGAACCTGGGAGGCAGACGTTGCAGTGAACTGAGATCGCACCATTGCACTCCAGCCTGGGTGACAGAGCAAGACTCCCGTCTCAAAAAACGAAAGAAAAGAAAGAAACCACTCCCAGACTCCCTGCCTGGGCGGGATCCTTTGATCAAGCCCTCAACATGCCTTGGGGCTCTCTTCACAATGGTAAGTTTGCATTTGTTTGTGTGATTCTAGGCCTCCTCTTATTTTCTTGAACAGGCCTCATCTGGCTTTGTTCATCTTTATGTCTCCAGCATCCAGCACAATCCCTGCCATTAGGGTCATGGCTTCATAAAAACGTCACGAATGCAACGCAGAAGTGCATGCATGCATGAATAAATGAATGATGCATGAAAAGAGCAATCTCCCTGTCCTGGAAGCAGCTTCCCCTAGGGGTGGGGGTGGGGTGCGGAGGCAGGGGCAGCCAGTGATGTCACAAGAGGTGGCTGGGATGGAACGTTCTGGAAGGTTGAATGGGGTAGAAGGCCTGTTGTGGAGGGAAACCACCCATCCTCCTGCCTCCCACCACCACCATCATCCTGGCTGGACGGAGAGGGTGACGGGGGCTGGGAAGGGGCAGCTCATGTTCAGGTTTCCAGGAGGGGCTACCTGTTGACTGTCTTTGCAGGAAGAAGAAAACACCTGAGTGACCAGATGTCCCAGCTCCAGGTGCCTTGCCAGATGGCCAGAACCACACCTCTTGAAGAGTGACAGGTGCCAGTGGTATGGGAGAAGGGCATGCGTTTTCTTTTCTTTTTTTTTTGAGACAGGGTCTCACTCTTTTGCCCAGGCTATAGTGCAGTGGCACGATCTCAGCTCACTGCAACCTCTGCCTCCCAGGCTCAAGTGATACTCCCACCTCAACCTCCCAAGTAGCTGAGATTACAGGCGCCTGCCACCATGTCCAGCTAATTTTTTTTTTTTTTTTGAGACAGAGTCTTGCTCTGTTGCCCAGGCGCAATCTCGGCTCACTGCAAGCTTCGCCTCCCAGGTTCACACCATTCTCCTGCCTCAGCCTCCTGAGTAGCTGGGACTACAGGTGCCTGCCACCATGCCCGGCTAATTTTTTGTATTTTTTAGTAGAGATGGGGTTTCACCACATTAGCCAGGATAGTCTCAATCTCCTGACCTCGTGATCCACCCGCCTTGGCCTCCCAAAGTGCTGGGATTACAGGCGTGAGCCGCCATACTCGGCCTAATTTTTATATTTTTAGTAGAGATGGGGTTTCGCCATACCAGCCAGGCTGGTCTTGAACTTCTGACCTCAGGTGATCCACCCGCCTCGACCTCTCAAAGTGCTGGGATTATAGGCACGCGCCACCATGCCCAGCTAATTTTTGTATTTTTAGTAGAGATGGGGTTTCACCATGCCAGCCAGGCTGGTCTCGAACTCCTGGCCTCAAGCGATCCACCCGACTCAGCCTCCCAAAGTGCTGGGATTACAGGTGTGAGTCACCACATCTGAACCCTACATGGCCTTTTAAAATTGTGAAACATATAATGCATATAAAATAACACAAAGCATATCTGTACGATTTAATGAATAACGATAAATATCTGTGTGCCCTTTTCACTTCGTGAAATCGAATATTACTAGTAACTTACAAGTCCTCTGTAGAGAACTCCTGAGCTCAAGTGATCCACCTGCCACGGCCTCCCAAAGTGCTGGGATCACAGGTGTGAGCCTCCGCACCCGGCCGATCGTGTGATTTTTAACGTGCAGTTCCCTGATGACCAAAGCTACTGAGCATCTTGTCCAGGATTTGTAGCCCTTTCCAGGCTCCTTTTTTGTGAACTGCCTGTTTACATTTTTCATCATAAAACACTGGGTTGTTTACATTTGTCTTTTAAATCCAGAGTTCTTTTCATACTCCGGATACTAATTTTATTTGCCCATTTTGCATTGCCATAAAGTAATACCTGAAGATGGGCAATTTATAAAGAAAAGAGGGGCCTGGTGTGGTGGCTCACACCTGCAAATCCCAGCACTTTGGGAGGCCGAGGTGGCGGGGTTGGGGGGGGGGGGGGGGCTTGCTTGAGGCCAGGAGTTCAAGACCGGCCTGGGCAATATAGCGAGGCCCCCAGCTCTACAAAAATAAAAATAAAAATAAATTAGCCAGGCGTAGTGGCATGCTTCTGTAGTCCCAGCTATCTGAGGGGAAGAGAGTTCCAGGCAGAGGGCACAGCCCGTACGAAGGCCCCAAGGAAGGACTGCACCTGGTGAGTTGGAAGAACAGTGAGGAGGCCCACGTGGCTGCAGCAGAGTGAGGAGGGGGAGGGAGGAAGGAGGAGAGCACAGGGAGGTGCAGGGCCTTGTGGACCGTGGGGAGAACTTGCGCTTTTACCTGGAGGGAGGTGGGAGCCATGGAGGGCTGCAGGCAGAGGAGAGACAGGGTTGGGCCAGCATTTCACTTTTTTATTTTTATTTATTTATTTATGTATTTATGTATTTATTTATTTATTTATTTTTGAGATGGAGTTTCACTCTTATCTCCCAGGCTGGGGTGCAGGGCGAGATCTCTGCTCACTGCAACCTCTGCCTCTTGGGTTCAAGCAATTCTCCCACCTCAACCTCCTGAGTAGCTGGGATTACAGGTGCCTGCCGCCGTGCCTGGCTAATTTTTGTGTTTTTAGTAGAGACAGGGTTTCACCGTGTGAACCATGGCCAGGCTGGTCTCGAACTCCTGACCTCAGGTGATCCACCCGCCTCGGCCTCCCAAAGCACTGGGATTACAGGCATGAGCCACCATGCTTGGCATTCATTTTTATTTGTAAACACTTTTATCGTGGAAAGTTTCAAACACAAAAGTAGAGCTGATCATAACATAAGCCCCCAGCTACCTATCACTCGGCTCCAACTTAAAGTCAGCCTTGGTCATTTCTGTGTCACCCCACTCCTCGTGGGTAGTTTTAAAGCAAGCACCAGACAGTGTGTTCTTTCATGCATGAATCCTTTGGCAACAAGGATTCCTTTCTCTAACTTCACCCCAAAGCAATTATCATACTTTAAGGAAGTAAACATCCCCTCTTCATTTCTTCATGTCGTCTGAGACACAGTCAGTGGTGGAGTTCTTGGCGGCCTCGTGCACATCTTGTTTGAATTGAGATCTAGCAGAACCCACAATGCGCCTGGGTGATGGGCCTCTCACGTGACCAGGACCTCTCAGGCTCCTGGGAGGAAGCTTAGGTCCAGGCAGGCGGAGAGAGTGGATCCCATTTTGAAGGCTGAGCTGATGGAATTAGCTAATGAGTCAATGTGCTAGGAAGAGAGAGGGAGAGAGAGAGGGGAAGGGGGAAGGGGGAGGGAGGGAGGGAAAGAGGAAGGAGGAAAAGGAAGGAAGGGGAGGGAGGGAGGGAGGAAGGAAGGAAAGAAGGGAGGGAGGGAAGGAAAGAGGGAAGAGAGAGGGAGGAAGGAAGGAAGGAAGGGGAGGAAGAAAGAAAGGAAGGGAAGGGAAGAAGGAAGAAAGAAAAGGCAGGGACGGAGGGAGGAAGGAAGAGAGGGGAAGAACGAAGGGAGGAAAGAAGGAAGGGAGGGAGAGAGGAAGGGTAGGAGAATGGGAAAAAGGAAGGAAGGGGAGGGAAGAAGGAAGTAGAAAGGAGGGAAGAAAGGGAAGAAGCAAAGGGAGGAAGGAGGGAGGGAAGGAAGCAAGTCAAAGGTGAATTAAGGATGACTTTGAGGTTCTGGGCCAGATCCAGCTGCTCCAGAGGGGCCTTGGGCTTCCTCCTCATTTCTTCTTGGGCCGCACACTCCGTGCATGTTTTTCATGCATATCTGTAGCTTGGTCTGGATCTGCTGTTTTGGGCTGCTCGCTTTGTCCTGCTGATTGATCTACTTTGTGTGTGTAAACTCCGTAGGCTCATTCAAGTTCACTTTACTTATTTTTAAAATTAAACTTATTTTTTTTTTTTTGAGATACAGTTTTGCTCTGTCACCCAGGCTGGAGTCCAATGGTGCTATCTTGGCTCACTACAACCTTCACCTCCCAGGTTCAAGGGATTCTCCTGACTCGACCTCCCAAGTAGTTGGAACTACAGGTGTCTGCCACCATGCCTGGCTAATTTTTTTTGTATTTTTAATAGAGACAGGGTTTCACCATGTTGGCCAGACTGGTCTTGAACTCCTGACCTTAGGTGATCTGCCAGCCTCGGCCTTCCAAAGTGCTGGGATTACAGGCGTGAGCCACCGCACCTGGCCTCAAGTTCAACTTAGAACATGGCCTTTTAGCCACCTGTTTTCACTGAAATACAAAATCAGTTTTTGCTGGTGTAAGAATCACGTGCATGTTACAGGGCTTCATTCACCAGAGGGTTTACTCAAGTTTTCACCTGCTGTGTTCCTGCACTCACTGATGGAAACTTTTAGAGTTCATAAAACATTACTGCAAATCTAGAATCCAGAACAACTGCTTGATTCTTGTGTCAAGCACGCTCTTTATCATGAACAAAATCGTACAATTTTCCTCCCTGAAAGCCACTAGAAAAATCAGTTTCAATAAATGTTGACCAACAATTTGGCCTCCACTTCCCCCAGGGGACAAAGTTGACAATATCTGGAGACATTTTTGATTGGAATAAATTTATATTTAGAATTTGTGATTTTAGGCCAGGTGTGGTGGCTCACACCTGTAATCCCAGCACTTTGGGAGGCCGAGGCAGGCAGATCACCTGAGGTCGGGAGTCTGAGACCAGCCTGACCAACATGGAGAAACTCTGTCTCTACTAAAAATACAAAATTAGCCAGGCATAGGCTGGGTGCGGTGGCTCACGCCTGTCATCCCAGTACTTTGGGAGGCCGAGGCGGGCAGATCACGAGGTCAGGAGATCGAGACCATCCTGGCAAACACGGTGAAACCCAGTCTCTACTAAAAATACAAAAAAAATTAGCTGGGCGTGGTGGTGGGCACCTGTGGTCCCAGCTACTCAGGAGGCTGAGGCAGGAGAATGGCGTGAACCCAGAAGGTGGAGCTTGCAGTGAGCCGAGATCGAGCCACTGCACTCCAGCCTGGGCGACAGAGCAAGACTCCGTCTCAAAAAAAAAAAAAAAGGAATTAACACACTGAGAATTAAACAACCTGAAGGAGTGGTGGTACAAACACCACTCCAAAGCCCTCAAACAGTAGAGTCCAATTAATGACTATGCAAAAACCCAGGGTAGCCCCGGAATCCTGTCCGCTACTGATGGGTTAAAGACCATGTGATCTCGGCCAGGCGCAATGGCTTACGCCTGTAATGCCAGCACTTTGAGAGGCTGAGGCGGGCGGATCACTTGAGCTTGGGAGTTCGAAACCAACCTGGCTAATGTGGTGAACCCTTGTTTCTACTAAAAGAATATTTTTAAAAATTAGCTGGGTACGGTGGCCTGTAATCCCTGCTACTCCGGAGGCTGAGGCACGAGAATTGCTTGAACCTGGGAGGTGGAGGCTGCAGTGAGCCGAGATTGTGTCACTGCACTCCAGCCTAGGCGACAAAACCAAACCAAACCCCATGTGATCTTAAGTCTGATTACTGATAAGTGTTTTCGAAAGAGGTGGCATTGATTTTTACCACGATGAATGAGAGCACCTGTTTTCCCACATTTTCATAATAGACAATATTGTCAGCTTTTTTGATCTTACTTAACCTGAAAGGTGAAAACTGCATCATATTTTCTGTTGTATTTCTCATAGGACTGAGTTTGAGCATGTTTACTTCTTTTTAAAAGTCATTTTTCAGTTTCAGATAATTATCTATTCATGTCCTTTGCCCGCTTTCCCATTGGGTTTTGGTCTTTTTCTGATTAATTCCTCAGGGTTCTTTACATATGAGGGAAATCAAGCTTTTATACTTTGGATGTATTGTCCACATCTTTCCCCAATTTGTTGTTGATCTCTTGATTTTTGTTTGTGGTATTCTTGGCCATGTGGAAAATTTAAAAATTTTATGTAGCAAGACTTATCCTGTTTCTCCTTTAGGCCCTTTGAGTTTTCATGTTAATATTACCTTTAAGAGAAGATAAATGTGTGGTCCCATGAGAGTTTCTTTCCCCTGGGAGGCTTCAAAATATTTTCTCACCCACAGAATTGTGTATAGACCCAGACTTTATATTCTAACAATTTAAGAGACTCTTCTGTAAACTCACAGATTGAATACCCTCTGGGTTTTACAAATGCTCTATTATCTGGCATGCCGGCCACTCTCCTCTCCTCCCAGGCCCAGGACAGGCATGACCAATGGATCCTAGGATTCTAGGCAGACATGACCAGTGGATGGAAGAGTTGGCCTCATCCCTACAGCCCCTTTGCCAATCCTGTTAAACTCCCTGCTTTTTTGCTTTGCAGTGCTGTGGAGCATGGTTTCTGCACACCTGGAATGACTGGAACCCCAAAGACTCAAGAAGGAGCTAAAGATCTTGAAGTAGACATGAATAAAACAGAAGGTATATTGCACTAAAGAGTACGTGGGAGAGAGAGTGGCACATTGATTCCACAAAGGCTCTTTGCAGAGGAGTCTGGATCTAGAAAGATGTAGCCATTCCTTGCCTGACCCTGCTGACCCCGACCCCCCACCCTTTTGTTTTGAGACAGGGTCTTGCTCTGTCACCCAGGCTGGAGTGCAGTGGTGCAGTCATAGCTCACTGCAGCCTTGACCTTCCAGGCTCAAGTGATCCTCCTGCCTCAGCCCTCCAAGTAGCTGGGACTACAGGTGCACACCACCATGCCCAGCTCTGTATTTTTTTTGTAGAGACAGGGTTTCGCTATGTTCCCCAGGCTGGTCTTGAACTCCTGGGCTCTAGCAATCCTCCCACCTTGGCCTCCCAAAGTGCTGGAATTACAGGTGTGGGCCACCGTGCCCAGCCTAGGGCCTATTTTCTATTCTTGATAGGTTGTTGAGGTAGCAGGGCAAGTTGTTCACATAATTCAGAGCTCTGCTCTACTGGTGATGTGACACTGGGCAAGTCACTTGCTCTTTGGAGGCCTCATTTGCATATCTGAATGATGGGGGCATTGATAACAGCACCTCCCTGTCAGGTTGGTGAGCCCGAGTGGATAAAGTACCCAGGAATCATCCATGTAGATAGGGTGCGGATATGATCATAGTGATTTATTAACATTAGGCTATAATCATTTTACTGTCAGAGCTAAAGTCAAGGGACATGGTGACATCATAGACAGCTCTGATACCAGTGGGTTGGGGGAGGTCCCCAAACGCCGGTGGGACCTCGAACCCAGCCATTATCCAGGCTCTTGACACCATCGAGAGTGAATTCAAGAAACAAGTCAGAAAATAGTGAAAGTGGGCCGGGTGCGGTGGCTCACACCCGTAATCCCAGCACTGTGGGAGGCCGAGACAGGCGGATCACGAGGTCAGGAGATCGAGACCATCCTGACTAAGATGGTGAAACCCCGTCTCTACTAAAAAATACAAAAAATTAGCCAGGTGTGGTGGCGGGTGCCTATAGTCCCAGCTATTCAGGAGGCTGAGGCAGGAGAATGGCGTGAACCCGGGAGGTAGAGCTTGCAGTGAGCCGAGATCATGCCACTGCACTCCAGCCTGGGTGACAGAGCGAGACTCTGTCTCAAAAAAAAAAAAAAAATAGTGAAAGTACTGAGGTTTATGGCAAATAAAAGTACTTGCATTGCAAAGTACACATTCAAGGAGAGGGAGTGCAGGCGTGCTTGAAAGATAGCATCACACACAAAGGAGTTTGGGGATGCTACCTTTATGGGTCCAAAGGGTGGAATATTCATCTAAATCCCTAGAAAACTGGCCGGGCACAGTTCACATCTGTAGTTTCAGCACTTTGGGAAGCTGAGGCGGGCAGATTGCTTGAGGCCAGGAATTCAAGACCAGCCTGGCCAACATGACAAAACCCTGTCTCTCTTAAAACTACAAAAATTAGCCAGGTGTGGTGGCACATGCCTGGATTATAGTGAGTCTCAACTTATTGCAACCTCTGCCTCCCAGGCTCAAGCGATTCTCATGCCTCGGCCACCCAAACAGCTGGCATTACAGTCATGCACCACCGTGCCTGGCTAATTTTTTTTTTTTAACAAAGCGCCCCAAAGTGGGTGTCTGAAACAGCAGAAATGTATTGTCTCACAATTCTGGAGGCCAGATTACTGAGATGAAGGTGTGGGTAGTGAGGTTGCAGTGAGCCAAGATCACACCACTGCATTCCAGCCTGGGCAACAGAGTGAGACTCTGTCTCAAAAAAACAAAAACAAAAACAAAAACAAAAACAAACACCAGTCATTGGATTTAGGGATCACCCTAAATCCAAGATGATGCCATGATGTCATCTCAAGATCCTTCACTAAATCCACCTACAAAAACCCTGTTTCCAAATACGGTCACAGTCTGAAATTCTGGGTGGACATGAATTTTGGAGGTTCACCATGTAACCCACTACAGTCATTAAAATATCCCACAAGTGTCCAGGTGACACCTCCATGTTTTTGTCCAATTTAAAGCATCTCCACTCCCCCCTGCTTCAGGCTGGGGTCAGGAAGGCATGATAAGGTGCTCTTTGAGTTCCTAGATGCTCTTCTCCTCATCACCCCCATCTCCCCAGGTGGTTTCTTTGTGAGCTGGTGCTGACTCCCAGAGCTGATTAGCTCGGGAAAGTGGGGTTGAAGGGGGCCTGTATGAACTAGGCTTCCCTTGTTGTAAGTTGTTATGAGATTAATTGTGCATCTCCAATTCCTTTGTGGAAGTCCTAACCCCCAGGTGCTCAGAATGTAACCTTGTTTGGGAATAGGATCATTGAAGTAATTTGGTTTTTTTGTTGTTGTTTGGTTTTGTTGTTGTTTTTTTGTTAGTTAGTTTGTTTGTTTGGTTTTTGAGATGGAGTCTCGCTCTGTTGCCCAGGCTGGAGTGCAGTGGTGCGATCTTGGCTCACTGCAATCTCCACCTCCCGGGTTCAAGCGATTCTCCTGCCTCAGCCTCCAGAGTAGCTGGGACAACAGGCGCGTGCCACCACGCCTGGCTAATTTTTGTATTTTTAGTAGATACAGGGTTTCGCCATGTTAGCGAGGATGGTCTCGAACTTCTGATTTGAAGTGATCCACCTGCCTCGGCCTCCCAAAGTGCTGGAATTACAGGCACAAGCCACTGCACCCAGCCTACTGAAGTAATTAGTTAAAATGACGTCATGAGGTTAGGTCCCAATCCAATGTGACCAGTGTCTTTATAAAAGGAGGAAATAGAGACGAACCTGCACACACGGAGAATGTCATGTGAGGATCGAAGCAGAGTTTGCAGTGATGCACCTACAAGCCAAGGAATGTCAAGGATTGCCGGCAACCGCAGCTAGGAGAAAGTCATTGGTCAGATTCTCTCCCACAGCCTCAGAAGGAACCAGTGCTGCCTGCACCTTGATCTCAGACTTGTGGCCTCCAGAATTGTGAGACAATACATTTCTGTTGTTTCAGACACCCGGTCTGGGGCACTTTGTTATTGCAGTCCTAGCTAATTAATATATCAGTCATACCAGTGTCTGTTTTTTTTGTTGTTTTTTTCTTTTTCTTTTTTTTTCTTTGAGACAGAGTCTCACTCTGTCACCCAGGCTGGAGTGCAGTGGCACAATCTTGGCTCACTGCAACCTCTGCCTCCCGGGTTCAAGTGATTCTCCTGCCTCAGCCTCCTGAGTAGCTGGAATTACAGGTGCCCTCCAACCACGCCTGACTAAATTTTGTATTTTTAATAGAGACGAGGTTTCACTATGTTGGCCAGGCTGGTCTCGAACTCCTGACCTCAAGTGATCTGCCGGCGTCGGCCTCCCAAAAGTGTTGGGATTACAGGCATGAACCAGCCTGCTGTCTGTTGATGACTATCTGAACATACATCTCCAGTCCTTGGGTCCTACTACTGGCACCAAGCCAAGAGCCTTTAGAAGCCCATCTATGAGGCCCATGTCTAGTCAAGGGGAAAAAGTAGCATCCCGGCCGGGCGCGGTGGCTCATGCCTGTAATCCCAGCACTTTGGGAAGCCGAGGCAGGCGGATCACAAGGTGAGGAGATCGAGACCATCTTAGCCAACATGGTGAAACTCATCTCTACTAAAAATACAAAAATTAGCTGGGTGTGGTGGTGCCCACCTGTAATCCCCGCTACTTGAGAGGCTGAGGCAGGGGAATCACATGATCCCAGGAGGTGGAGGTTGCGGTGAGCTCGCATGATCCCAGGAGGCGGAGGCTGCAGTGAACTGAGATTGTGCCACTGCACTCCAGCCTGGAGATAGAGCAAGACTCCATCTCAAAAAAAAAAAAAAAAAGTAGCATCCCATCATAGGTGGATGTGCAATTTCCTTCCAACACAGCTGCCTACTCTACCATTGCCATCTACCACCTCCCCAGTAGACCAGGTTCAGTTGAACAAACGCAAGGTTACACACCCAATTCTCCAAGAGGGTCTCTTGGACTTTCTCTCACTTGCCCGTTACTGGGTGGTAGTGAGAAACACACAACAAACCAACAACTGTCTCCAGAGGAAACCCTGTTCTCTTCTTTCTCAGTGTCAACCCTTACTCATCCCCAAAAGAAGTGATAGATACAGGACCCCAAAACTGGTTTTGAATTGGTCCCTTTGCTAGTTCCATTTGGCTGATCTGGGTGATGTCGCTGTGACAGGCAACCCCCTCAACAACCCCCTCAACAACCTCAATGGCTTAACACAACACAAGTGTGTTTCTTACTCATGTTGTGTGTCTGGCATTGGGGGAGAGGGGCTACTTCTTCACATTTGCTCCACCATTTTTGTGACAGGACAATGGACGATGGGGAATTATGCACCGGGTCTTAAATCTTCTCCCCATGAACGACACACATAACTCACTTCTTATGTTTCATTGGCCAAAGCATACATAGTCCACTGCATGTACATTTTACCTTTAAAAAAATCTCCGTAAATAATATTAAATATGTGACTCTTGTTAATGATTTACATGCAAGGGTGTTTAAGGGTAAATGGATGAATAGCTTTGGCTCACTTGGAAATGCATCAAAAAATCAGATGGAGCCAGGCGCGGTGGCTCATGCCTGTAATCCCGGCACTTTGGGAGGCCGAGGCAGGTGGATCACTTGACGTCAGGAGTTCGAGACCAGCCTGGGCTACATGGTGAAACCCCATCTCTACTAAAAATACAAAAATTAGCCAGATGTGGTGGCGGGTGCCTGTAATCCCAGCTACTCGGCAGGTTGAGGCAGAAGAATCGCTTGAACCTGGGAGGTGTAGGTCGGGGTGAGCCAAGATCACGCCACTGCACTCCAGCCTGGGCAAAAGAGTGAGACTCCGTCTCAAAAAATAATAATAGGCCAGGCGCGGTGGCTCATGCCTGTAATCCCAGCACTTTGGGAGGCCAAGGCGGGCGGATCACCTGAAGTCGGGAGTTCGAGACCAGCCTGACCAACATGGAGAAACTCCATCTCTACTAAAAATATAAAATTAGCGAGGCGTGGTGGTGCATGCCTGTAATCCCAGCTACTCGGGAGGCTGAGGCAGGAAAAACGCTTGAACCCGGGAGGCGGAGGTTGCAGTGAGCCAAGATCGTGCCATTGTACTCCAACCTGGGCAAGAAAAGCAAAGCTCCGTCTCAAAAACAAAAACAAAACAAAACAAAATAATAATAAAAAAAATAAGATGGGGCCAGGTGCGGTGGCTCATGCCTGTAATCCCAGCACTTTGAGAAACTAAGGGAGGAGGATTGTTTGAGCCCAGGAGTTTGAGATCAGCCTCGGAAACACAGTAGAACCCCATCTCTACAAAACATTAAAAAATAAATTAGCTAGGCATGGTGGTGTTTGCCTGTAGTTCCAGTTATTTGGGAGGCTGAGGTGGGAGGATGGCTTGAGCCTAGGAGGTCAAGGTTGCAGTGAGCTGTGATTGTGCCAGTGCACTCCAGCCTGCTGACAGAGCAAGACCGTGTCTCCAGAAAAAAAGAAAGAAAGAAAAAAAAAATGGACATAACAAAGACAGCAGGATAGATGTGTGATAAAATATGGTAAAACGCTAGCAGTTGTAGAATCTAGGTGTTGGATAAGAAAGTATTTGGTATACAATCCTTTTGACTATTAAAATTTGGCGGGGCGGGGAATGAAAAAATAAATAAAGAGAAAGGAAGCTTGTCTTGCCAGTGTTGACCACATAACTTCACCCTAGAAGGGGATTAATTCAACTCTCAGCACCTTAGGTCCAAAAAGACACCAACCGCCCCCCGTCCAAAGTTATTAAATAAATAAAAACATTTGCCACCCAACTCTGGTGACTATTTGCAGTTACTCCCAGGCTGTGGACCACCTGTCGAGATGGAGAAGTCCTTCTGAGGCTATCCAAACACGGACCAGGCCATGAGACCCCGATGACCATCCCTGAATTTTTTCGAGAGTCAGTCAACCGATTTGGAACTTATCCAGCCCTCGCATCCAAGAATGGCAAAAAGTGGGAAATTCTGAATTTCAACCAGTACTATGAGGCTTGTCGGAAGGCTGCAAAATCCTTGATCAAGGTAAGATTCATTCATTCATTCTCCTTTGTTCAACCATTCATTCTGAATAGGTAACAGACATACATACATGTGGTACAAAATTCACAAGGCACCAAAAGATACAAAGGTTAATTGGCGAAAATTTCCCTCTGATTCATGAGCCTCAGCCACTCAGTTCCTCTCTGTGGAAGCGGTCACCATTGTCAGTTTTTTGTGTGTCCTTTTGGGAAATAAATTATGCATAAATATAAAATGAAATTTTTATATATGCAAATTTTTTACACACATAATAGCCTACTACACCCATGGTTCTGCATCTTGCATTTGTCCCTAACATACTATCTCTATGTTTTTGTTAGTTGCTGCTGCATAACAAATTATCCCAAAATATAGTGACTTGAAATGACAAACATTTATCATCTCACAGTTTCTGTGGATTGAGAATTTAGGAGCTACTTTGAAATTGGGTTCTTCTGGCTCCAGGTCTCTCATGAGGTTGCAGCCAAGCTATCAGCTGGGGCTATCTCATCTGAAGGCTCAACTGGGGCTGGAGGCTTCACTTCCAAGCTTACTTACCTAGATGACTGGTTGTTGGCAGGAAGTCTCAGCTCCTCATTCCATGGCCTTCTCCACAGAATTGCTTGAGTGTCTTCACGGCATGGTTGCCAGTCACCCCTAGAATGAATGAAGCAAAAGAAAGAGGGAACAAGGCTGGGGTCAGTGGCTCATGTCTGTAATCCTAGTGCTTTGGGACATCGAGGCAGGAGGATCACTGAGCCCAGGAGTTCAAGACCAGCCTGGGTAACATAGTGAGACCCCAGTCTCAATGAAAAATTTAAAAAGTAGCCAGATGCAGTGGCACATGCCTGTAGTCCCAGCTATCAGGAGGCTGAGGTGGGAGGATCACTTGAGCCTCGGAGGTCGAGGCTGCAATGACCTGTGATTGCACCATTGCACTCTAGCTGGGCAACAGAGTGAGATGGTGTCATAAAGAAAAAAAAAAAAAAAGAGAACCATGTGCTTGGGCTGGGTTTCTTCTTGGGGGCCCCACCTTCATACTATGTTGCTGTGGCTAGTTCATCTCTCCTGAAAGATGGTCTCCTTTAGCCATGTTCTTAGTTCCGTGGAGTTAAAGGTCCCCCTCCTCCCGTAAATCTTGGACACCTGACTGAGCACGGTGGCTCATGCCTGTAATCCCAGCACTTTGGGAGGCCAAGGTGGGCGGATCAAGGTCAAGAGGTCAAGAGTTTGAGACCAGCCTGGCCCACATGGTGAAACCCCATCTACACTAAAAATACAAAAATTAGCCAGGTGTGGTGGTGCACACCTGTAATCCCAGCTACTCAGGAAGCTGAGGCAGGAGAATCGCTTGAACCCGGGAGGCAGAGGTTGCAGTGAGCCGAGATTGTGCCACTGCACTCCAGCCTGGGTGAAACTCCATCTCAAAAAACAAACAAACAAACAAAACTTGGAGACCGAAGTAGAAACAAAACCAAAAATAAAAACAAACAAAACTACTTGGAGACCCAAGTAGAAATTAGTCGGTGTAACTAGGCATTAATAAAAACACACTCTGTCCACAATAAAGCCAGCCTTTTGGTTACTGAAATACTTGGCATCTCATTCTGAAGGACCAGCAGGCAAATGCCTTCCAAATGGTTCCTTTTCCCCCAAGAACAGCAGATCATTGCCAGCCGTGATCCCGTATGACTAAAAGAGCCAACAACGTTGGTTGGCAGTACCCAGAACAAAGAGGGAGTTTTCCCCTAAGGATGCTCACTTTTGTTTCTGAGTTTCCTGGTTCATTCTCACCCACATTCAGAACAAGTCTGTACCTTTACATGTGCAACTTTTTTTTTTTTTTTTTTTTTTAGACAGAGTCTCACTCTGTTGCCCAGGCTGGAGTGCAGTGGCACGATCTTGGCTCACTGCAGCCTCAGCCTCCAGGTTCAAGCAATTCTCCTGCCTCAGCTTCCCAAGTAGCTGGGACTACAGGCAGGTGCTGCCACGCCCGGCTAATTTTTTGTATATTTAGTAGAGACGGGGTTTCATCTTGTGGGCCAGGCTGGTCTCGAACTTCTGACCTGAAGAGATCCACGTGCCTTGGCCTCCCAAAGTGCTGGGATTACAGGTGTGAGCCACCACACCTGGCCTCAAGAGATCCACCCACCTCGGCCTCCCAAAGTGCTGGGATTACAGGCGTGAGCCACCACACCTGGCCTCAAGAGATCCACCTACCTCGGCCTCCCAAAGTGCTGGGATTACAGGCGTGAGCCACCACGCCTGTAATTTTTTTTAAATTAGACTCAGTGGAGCAGGCCCATAGTCCCAGCTACTCGGGAGGGTGAGGCGGGAGGATTGCTGGAGCCTGGGAAGTTGAAGCTGCAGTGAGCTATGATCACCCACTGCACTCCAGCCTGGGTGACAGAGCGAGACAAAAAATAATAATAATAAAATAAAATAAAATAAAATAAATTCACACCTTTCAAGATAGCTATTCTTTAAAAAATAGCAAAACACAACACGTGTTGGGGAGGATATGGAGAAGCTGGAACCCTTGTGCAGTGCTGGTGGAAATGTAAAATGGTGCCGCCACTGTGGAAAAGTCTGGCGATTTCTAAAAAAAGAAAAAATGTAAACAGAGAATTGCCATATGATTCAGCAGTCTCACTCCTGGATATTTAACAAAAAAAAAAAAAAAAAAGGAAAGCCAGAGACATGAAGAGTTATTTGTAGACTCAGGGTCATAGCGGCGTTATTCACAAGAGACAGAGGGTGGAAGCAGCCCGTGTGTCCATCAATGGAAGAATGGATAAACACGATGTGGTCCGCCCATACAAGGGAATATGATTCAGCCACAAAAAGGAAGGAAATTCTGACACATGCTACAACATGGATGAATCTTGAGGACATCATACTCGGTGAAATAAGCCAGACACAAAAGGGCAAATCCCGTATGGTTTCTTTCCTAGGAGGTCCCTAGAGTCGTTAGACTCATAGAGACAGAAAGTAGAATGGGAGGTGCCAGGGGCTGGGGAAGGGGATAGAGAGTGAGTGTTTTATACAGAGAGTTTCAGTTTAGAAAGAGGAGAAAGTTCTAGAGATGAACAGTGGTGACGGTTGTACAACCATGTGGATGTGTTTAATGCCACTAAACTACACTCTTAAAAATGGTCAAAACGGGCTGCGTGTGGTGGATTACAGGCGTGAGCACTTTGGGAGGCTGAGGCGGGAGGATTGCTTGAGGTCAGGGGTTCGAGACCAGCCTGGCCAACATGGTGAAACGCTGACTCTACTAAAAAAACAAAAATTAGCCAGGCGTGGTGGCGCGTGTCTGTAATTCCAGCTACTTCGGAGGCTGAGGCAGGAGAATCGCTTGAACCCAGGAGACGGAGGTTGCAGTGAGCCGAGATCGCACTGCTGGACTCCAGCCTTGGCAACAGAGTGAGACTCTGTCTCAAAAAAAAAAAAAAAAGAAAATGGTAAAATCCATGTTATAGATATTTTACCACAATAAATGAAACAAAACATAAAAATAAAAATAATAAATGGTGTGTTATGTAGAGGGAGGTAAACAAACCTCCCGTAGTCATAAAAATTAAAAATATTACACCTCAGATTTTAGGCTCAATGCTGTCTCCCACCCCGTGTGGCTACTTTTGTTTTGTTTTGAAACAGGGTCTCAATCTGTTGCCCAGGATGGAGTGCAGTGGTGCAATCATAGCTCACTGCAGCCTCGAACTCTAGGGCTCAAGTGATCCTCCTGCCTCAGCTACCCAAGTAGCCGGGACGACAAGTGTGTACCACCATGCCCGGCGAACTTTTCCACTTTTTTTGTAAAGACAGGGGTCTCACTGTGTTGCCCAGGCTGGTCTCGAACTTCTGGCCTCAAGCAATTCTCCCACCTCAACCTCCCAAAGTGCTAGGATTACAGGTGTGAGCCACTGCGCCTGGCCTCCATGTGACTACCTTTGATTCTGTCGTCACATATCCTAATGATATAACATCTCTGTGTTTATGTTTTGTTTTTCTGTTTGCTTTTTCCTTCCCAGCTGGGTTTGGAGCGTTTCCACGGAGTTGGTATCCTGGGGTTTAACTCTGCAGAGTGGTTTATCACTGCTGTTGGTGCCATCCTAGCCGGGTAAGGTCATTGGCTTGGTTCATGGTGAGGGTTAAGGAGCCGCTACCCTGGGCCTGGGACCCCTGGGCTTGTCCAGTGTGAGATGCAAACAGGAATTTTGGATGAACGCCCTAGTTAGCAGGCAGGATAGATGCACGAACAAATCATTCTGATCACAGGTCATACGCAATAACACCCATTAGACTAGCAGTCTCAGACCTCTCGATTTTCTTCAGCTGAAGAACTTTTTGCAGACAAAATAATAATTGTAGATAGCATTTAGAGGTTTCTGATTATGTGCAGAAGCATTGTGCTCCACGTGTATGATCCTGTAAAACCTCACGACAGCAATGTGAAGTGGGTCCTATCATCCCCTATCTACAGATGAGGAAACTGAGGCTCACACAGCCAGTGGGCAGCCTTGAAGTCTTGGGCTCATGCGATCCTCCCAACTCGGCCTCCAGGGTAACTGGGACTATGAGCACACACCACCACACCCAGCTAATTTTTTTTTTTTTTTTTTTTTTGAGACGGAGTCTCGCTCTGTCGCCCAGGCCGGACTGCGGACTGCAGTGGCGCAATCTCGGCTCACTGCAAGCTCCGCTTCCCGGGTTCACGCCATTCTCCTGCCTCAGGCTCCCGAGTAGCTGGGACTACAGGCGCCCGCCACCGCGCCCGGCTAATTTTTTGTATTTTTAGTAGAGACGGGGTTTCACCTTGTTAGCCAGGATGGTCTCGATCTCCTGACCTCATGATCCACCCGCCTCGGCCTCCCAATTTTTTTTTTTTTTTTTTTGTAGAGATGGTTTCTTGCTATGTTGCCCAGGCTGTAATCGTGAAAAAAACAAAAGTAAAAATAAAATACTGATTTCTTCTTGAGCTTGTAATTCTACCTTTGGGAGTTTTACTTAAAGAAACAAAACCAAAACATGAATATATTTTGGCTTATGCACAAAGATACTTCTTGGAAGTGTTATTAGTGATGGCAAAAAGTCGGGGACAACCTAAGTGTCCCACAGCTGTGGATTAAACCATGAGATGCCTTCTGGATGGGATTCTCGGTAATATTTTGAAATGATGGCTCTGAAGAGCACATTTTAAGCATTTTTGATGTCAGAGGTGACAAAGCAGGTATCAAAATCTTTATACACTGTATGGTTACAACTATGCTTAAAATTTAAATATCAGGCCGGGTGTGGTGGCTCACGCCTGTAATCCCAGCACTGTGGGAGGCCAAGGCAGGCGGATCACAAGGTCAGGAGATCCAGACCATCCTGGCTAACATGCTGAAACCCCATCTCTACTAAAAATACCAAAAAAATCAGCCAGGCGTGGTGGCAGGTGCCTGTTAGTCCCAGCTACGCGGGAGGCTGAGGCAGGAGAATGGCGTGAACCCAGGAGGCCGAGCCTGCAGTGAGCCGAGATCGCGCCACTGCACTCCAGCCTGGGCGACAGAGCGAGACTCCATCTCAAAAAAACAAAACAAAACAAAAAAATTTAAAATACCAACCATTAATATACCAATTATTGCTGGTCACTCTTACCTATATGATATCATTGACTGCTCATGGTAGCCCTTTGAGGTAGGTGCCATCATGATCCCAAGTAATAATGATGGTGACGATAATCTGGGACCAATAGAGGTTAAGTGTCTTCCCCAGAATCATGCTGTGGTTGGATAAAGACCCTGAGATCTGAACTCGTTTGTTCGACTCAAGATTAATAATAACAACAGCAACGACAGCAGCAGCAGCAGCCACGGCCATGACAAAATTGAGCGGCTGGGCACAGTGACTCATGCCTGTAATCTCAGCACTTTGGGAGGCTGAGATGGGAAGACTGCCTTAGCCCAAGAGTTCAAGACCAGCCTGGACAACATCGCAAGATTCTGTCTCTAAAAAATAAAATAAAAGTGTTTTTAAAATTAGCCAGGCATGGTGGTGTGTGCCTGTAGTCCCAACTACTTGGGAGGCAGAGGTGGGAGGATGGCTTCAGCCCAAGAAGTTGAGACTGCAGTGAATTATGATCATACCACTGCACTCCAGCCTGGGCAACAGAGTGAGACCCTGTCTGGAAAATAAAAGTAAAGAAAAGAAAAGAAAAGAAAAGGAAAAGAAAAAAGAAAAGAAGGAAAAGAAAAAAGAAAAGAAAAGAAGGAAGGAAGGAAAAGAAAAGAGAAAAGAGAGAGAAAAAAATTGAGGGTGGTGACTAGAAATAAATATTAACATTAGTTATATCTCATCATCGAGACTAACACCACCCTAATATGTTATATTCTATTTTCCAAATTTTTATGAGCATATACTACCCCTGTCTTACAGTGAGTTGAAATATATATATATTTTGAGGCCGGGTGCAGTGGCTCATGCCTGTAATTCCAACACTTTGGGAGTGGAACACCTGAGGTCGGGAGTTTGAGACCAGCCTGACCAGCATGTAGAAACTCTATCTCTACTAAAAAAAACCCCAAAAAATTAGCCAGGCGTAGTGGCACATGCCTGTAATCCCAGCTACTTGGAGGGCTGAGGCAGGAGAATCACTTGAACCCGGGACGCAGAGGTTGCAGTGAGCCGAGATCATGCCATTGCAATCCAGCTTGGGCAACAAGAGCAAAACTCCGTCTCAAAAAGAGAGAGAGAGAGAGAGAGAGAGAGAGAGAAAATTATTATTATATATATAAAATATATAATACATATAATAAATAATATATAATACATATAATAATATATAATATATTATATTATCTATATAGAGAGAGGTGGAGTCTCACTCTGTTGCCCAGGCTGCAGTGCAGTGGTGTGATCTTGGCTCACTGCAACATCTGCCTCCCGGGTTCAAGTGATTCTCCTGCCTCAGCCTCCCAAGTAGCTGGGACTACAGGCGTGCGCCACCATGGCTGGCTAAATTTTGTATTTTTGGTAAAGATGGGGTTTCTCCATGTTGGCCAGGCTGGTCTCAAACTCCTGACCTCAGGTAATCCACCTGCCTCAGCCTCCCAAAGTGCTGGGATTACAGGTGTGAGCCACTGTGCCCAGCCCAGAATAAATTTTAATGAAGAGATCTGTCCCCATTTTAGGACTGAATGGTAAGACAGTGTCATGCAGTGATTGGGCTCTGGTGCCACATCAGACCCAAATTCAAATCTTGGGTTGTCTGCTATTTTGTATTCTGTATGAATGAGCAGGAAAGCACACATCTCCATGCCTCACAGGGCTGTTATAAAGATTCAATAAGAGGATGCTTCATAAACCCTTAGCACAGTGCTTAGCAAATAGTATGTGCTTAAGAATGGTGATGAGAGTAACCATCTCAAATAATTATAATGTGCCTCATTCCCTGCCATATTAAAAGCACAACAACTAGATCAACAGAGCAGAGAGCCCAGAAATAGCTCCATGCATACATGGTCACTGGCTTCCAACAAAGGCAGCAGAGTAGTTCAGTGGTGCTGGACCAACTGGATATTTGTATGGAAAAATAAATCAGCCCTGATCCCTACCTCACATCATATGCAAAAATTAAATTGAGATGGATTACAGACTAAATCATGCAAGTTAAATTCTAAAGCTTCTAGAAAAAGAAAAGCACGGAATGGTTTCACAACCTGGGGGTAGTCAAAGATTTCTTAGACAGGACACAGAGAGCAAAAAGCATAAGAGAAAAAGTTGCCAAATAGGACTTTATTAGCATTAAAAACTTCTGCTTATTAAAAGACACCAACAAGATGAACAGTTGTCGAACATGGTGGCTCACGCCTGGAATCCCAGCACTTTGGGAGGCAGGGGTGGGTGGGTCACTGGAGTCCAGGAGTTTGAGACCAGCCTGGGCAACATGGTGAAACACCTTCTCTACAAAAAATACAAAAATTAGCCAGGTGTGGTGGTGCATACCTGTAATCCCAGCTACTCAGGAGGCTGAGGCATGAGAATTGCTTGAATCCAGGAGGTTGAGGTTGCAGTGAGCTGAGATTGCACCACTGCAGGCCAGCCTGGGTGACCGAGCTAGACCCTGTCTCAAAAAAAAAAAAAAAAAAATGGTGAACAGGCAAACTGCATACTTGGAGAAAATATTCTTAAAACTCGAATTTCTAACAAAGGACTGGTATCTAAGATAGATAAAGAAATTCTGTAACTCAGTAATAAAAAGGCAAAAAAAAAAAAAATTGAAAGGGGCAAAAGATTTCAACAGAAATGCCACAAAGGAAAGTAGCCAAAAGGCACATGTAAAGGTGCTCAATGTCATTATCCATTGGGAAATGCAAATTAAAAGCAAAAGAGGATGCACCCTGCAAGCACAAAAGGCTGTGAATGATGGGAACAGAGGCTGAGTCAGGAGTTCAGATCCTAGGTCTAACACCTACTTGCTGTGTAATCTTGAGTGACTTCACTGCTGGGCCCCTGTTTTTCTCATCTATAAAATGCGGTGTTCTAAGTGTTCCATGACCTGTTGTCATAGTGACATCATAGGAGCTGTCACTTATCATCATTGTCATTTTTGTTGTCTTCATCATTGTTAAGTTGGGGAGGAAGGGAAGCTGGTGCTGTGGCTGCAAACTTAAGAACTTGCCTGCAAACCTTTCCTCTCTTTTGACCTTCCAGACCATTCTGCCTTTAAGGTGTGTGTGGATGCACACACGAATTTGTTTTCTTTTCCCAGGGGTCTTTGTGTTGGTATTTATGCCACCAACTCTGCCGAGGTTTGTCAATATGTCATCACTCATGCCAAAGTGAACATCTTGCTGGTTGAGAATGATCAACAGTTACAGAAAATCCTTTCGGTAAACCCCTACCCAGCACTGCCTGCCAAAGTCACCCAGGGGTACCTCAGGGCTCTGGGCAGGTGTTCTTTTTTTCCCAGGTAAATTCTAATGATAAGATAGGGCCATGCATCTGTTCAGCGAGTCCTCCATGACCTCATTAGTATATGTGGTGAAGCTATTTTTGGAGAAGCAGACTGAAATAGAGGAGTTTGATTTCCAATTCATATTAACTTAGTTTAATACTCAGCCTCCATTTTTTTTTTTTTTTCGAGACAGGGTCTCACTCTGTCCCCAGGCTGGAGTGCAATGTCGTGATTGTAGCTCACTGTAGCCTTGAACTCCTGGTCTCAACTGATCCTTCTGCCTCAGTCCTCCAAGTAGCTGGGACTACGAGCGTGTACCACCATGTCAGGCTAACTTTTTTTTTTTCCGAGACAGAGTCTCGCTCTGTCGCCCAAGCTGGAGTGCAGTGGGCTGAACTCGGCTCACTGCAAGCTCTGCCTCCTGGGTTCATGCCATTCTCCTGCCTCAGCCTCCCAAGTAGCTGGGACTACAAGTGCCCACCATCACGCCTGGCTAATTTTTTTGTATGTTTTAGTAGAAACGGGGTTTCACCGTGTTAGCCAGGATGGTCTTGATCTCCTGACCTCGTGATCCGCCCGCCTTGGCCTCCCAAAGTGCTGGGATTACAGGCGTGAGCCACCGCCCCGAGCCCGGGCTAACTTTTAAAACATTTTTTGGGCCAGGTGTGGTGGTTCATGCTTGTAATCCGGGCACTTTGGGAGGCCAAGGCAGGCAGAACACCTGAGGTCAGGAGTTTGAGACCAGTGTGGCCAACATGGTGAAACTCCATCTCTACCAAAAAATACAAAATTTAGCCGGGTGTGGTGGCATGCACCTGTAGTCCCAGCTACTGGGGAGGCTGAGGCTGAGGTGGCAGGATCGCTTGAACCTGGGAGGTGGAGGTTGCAGTGAGCCAAGACTGAGCCACTGCACTCCAGCCTGGGTGACAGAGAGAGACCCTGTCTCAAAACAAACAAACAAACAAAAACCATTTTTTTTTTGTAGAGACAGAGTCTTGCTATGTTGCCCAGGCTGCTGTTGAACTTCTGGCCTCAATTGATCTTCCTGCCTCAGCCTCCCAAAGTGCTGGGATTATAGGCATGAGCCCCCATGCCCAACCTTAAGCCCCCACTTAAGTAAAAGTATTAATATATTTATGTATTATTTTATATACATCCCACTGCTAATTATTTTTTCTTTTAGAAGTGTGATGATTTCAAGCCCATGCTACTATATAATTTTCTTCATTTCTTGTCATTGTCTTCATTTCTAGATGCTTTTGTTGTTCTCTTCTATTTCTTGCCTAAGTTCTATCCCTTCCTGTTTCATTTTTTTCTAGTGTCCTGCTGTCTCTTCCCTGAGTGCTTGTATGTTTGCTTTGTGTTCTTCCTTTCTAGCTGTGTTTGCTTCATTACATTTTTAGTTTTATGTTGGAATGTTTGGTTACAATTTTCTTTTTTTTTCTTTTTTTTTTTTTGAGACAGAGTCTCGCTCTGTCGCCCAGGTTGGAGTGCAGTGGCACAATCTCAGCTCACTGCAACCTCTGCCTCCCAGGTTCACGTCATTCTCCTGCCTCAGCCTCCCGAGTAGCTGGGACTACAGGTGCCTGCCACCATGTCCAGCTAATTTTTTGTATTTTTTTAGTAGAGACAGGGTTTCACCATGTTAGCCAGGATGGTCTCGATCTCCTGACCTCGTGATCTGCCCGCCTCGGTCTCCCAAAGTGCTGGGATTACAGGCATGAGATACTGCACCTGGCCTTGGTTACAATTTTCTTTTGCATTGTGTTGAAATTATCCAGTGAGTTTTATTTGTGTACAGTGAAATTTAGCTGCTGTCTTACGTTTTTTTTTTTTTTTCATTGTAGTGTCTTTGTATGGCTATTGTCGAAACTTTAAATTTCCTACATGTTTGAATGAGCTGCAGTTTGCTGTATCAGCTTTTGGCAGGAGGGTCCTGGAGAGGAGGGGAGTCCCTGGGAGGGGTGAGCCTAGATGGCTAGGTTCATTTCAGCTCAAGGACCACTGTGACTGTTTCTTGAATACATGATTTCATGACTCTGAGTCACTCATTTCTTCACTTTTTCACATCTCTGGAGTCGAGATGTGTCTTTTCATTGATGGCATTCTCTGATCACTACTGGCCATATGTTTTCTCACATTTTATTCTCTCCGAAATTTGGGTACAGTTTCCAGATTCAATGAAATCCTAGCTAGACTCAGTGAAATACAACACTTTCTCCTGCCTGGCTTCCTTTGACTCCTAATTCCTGACTTGGTTCAGGAAGGACAGACCTCCACCTCTGGCCTAGAGCTTTTAAAAATTCTTTTCTTTTTTCTTTTTCTTTTCTTTTCTTTTTTTGTTTGTTTTTTTCTTTTTTTGAGACTGTCTCACTTTGTCGTCCAGTCTGGAGAGCAGTGGCGCCATCTTGGCTCACTGCAACCTCCACCTCCCAGGTTCAAGTGATTCTCATGCTTCAGTCTCCCAAGTAGCTGGGACTACAGGTGCACACCACCACACCGGGCTAATTTTTGCATTTTTTGTCAAGACTGGATTTCGCCATGTTAGCCAGACTGCTCTTGAACTCCTGGCCTCAAGTGATCCAATGGCCTTGGCCTCCCAAAGTGCTGGGATTACAGGCATGAACCACTGCTCACAAAATTACTTTCTTAAGTGATGCATCGGTGGTTCCCAAAACTCATGTCATACCTGTTTGTCCTCTTCCTAGCAGAACACACTATGGGGTGGGTGCTGGTGGGTGGGTGGGGTCCTTCTTCCAGCTGGGAATGCTGGCTTAATTTGAGTTTTCCATAACTGGAAAATGCCACATACACAACCTTCCCCTCTACACCCACCTGGCTGCTGTGGATTTCTGTCCTGGTTCTAGCAGGTCCAGCATTAAGTGAATAAAGCAATATCTGAATTATTTCTGACTCCTAGTTTCATTGAAGGTGAAGTCTGTGGAGGATTTATTGTTCCAGTTGCTAGGTCTAGAAGATTCAAAACCAGGTTCCTGACATGCTTCTCCCAAATTGGATGCCCAGCTCCACTTGGAGATCTTTATTTGGGGGAGTAATCACAGATCCTCCTCTGCTTATAATCCTCTAATTCTCTAGCGGTTTTCTGTTGGAGTTAAATAAACTCCAAACTCCTCATCTTTGCCTCCAAGGCTCCGCTGATCTGGGCCTCACCATTCTTTCATGCCCCCTCCCCTATCATACTCTCTTGGGTCCCCACTCTGGCCATCCTGGACTTTTTGTATCCCTCAGACATCCCAAGCTGTTGCCTGCCCCAGGCTCCTTGAATGTCTGTTTCTTCTTCTCTCTGGAAAACTCCTGTCCAGCTGCTATACGGGCTTCTGCCATCTTTTCTCTCCAATGCATGCCAGAGGCGTGGTTATGATTAGCAAAATGGATGTTGCAAGTAACTTTTTCATTGGATTGGCTAGAAGTGTCATAGAGAGACCCCATCCCGCTTTCTTTGGCATGAACAGAGTATAAAAATCTCGCAGGGGCCGGGCGTGGTGGCTCATGCCTGTAATCCCAGCACTTTGGGAGGCTGAGGTGGGCGGATCACGAGGTCAGGAGATCGAGACCATCCTGGCTAACACAGTGAAACCCCATCTCTACTAAAACTACAAAAAATTAGCCAAGCATGGTGGCGGGCGCCTGTAGTCCCAGCTACTCGGGAGGCTGAGGCAGGAGAATGGCATGAACCCAGGAGGCGGAGCTTGGAGTGAGCTGAGATAGCGCCACTGCACTCTAGCCTAGGTGACTGAGTGAGACTCCGTCTCAAAAAAAAAAAAAAAGAAAGAAAGAAAAGAAAAAAGAATCCCGCAGGTCACCTGAACCTTACCGTGCTAGGTATGGGTAGAGGGCTCTGCACTTGTCCAGGTTCCAGCCAACTTCATGAAGGATTTTTATTGCCTGACTCCGAGTAAAAGGTTAGCTAAATCTGGGCTGCAAGGTGCAAAGTCCTGGAAAAGGAAGAGCCATGAGGGACTTCTTTTAGCTCATCAACCAAGATCCACAATTCTGTGTAGCATAATTTGGTCAGAGATGTGTTGTCTCGGGCAGACTATTGTCATCCTCTACCGACACTGTTGGAAGCTACTGATATGGACTACAAAGAATCCAGGAGTCCTGAAACCAAGTCATTTGGAGTCAGTCAAGACCAATAGCAGCATTTTATAGTGTGGGCAGGGGAAGAAAAGAGGCTGGAGGCTGGGCACAGTGGCTCACGCCTGTAATCCCAGCACTTTGGGAGGCCGAGGCGGGGGGATCACCTGGGGTCAGGAGTTCGAGACCAGCCTGGCCAATACGGTGAAACCCCGGCTCTACTAAAAATACAAAAATTAGCTGGGCATGGTGGCACATGCCTGCAATCCCAGATACTCAGGAGGCTGAGGTGGGAGAATGGCTTCAACCCGGGAGGCGGAGGTTGCAGTGAGCCGAGATTGGGCCAATGCACTCCAGCCTGGGCGACAGAGCAAGACTGTGTCTCAAAAAAAAAAAAAGAGGCTAGAGTTGCTGGAGAGAGCTTACTTAGGACATCTAACCCAGCTTTAGTCTTTCCCAGGGCTGGGTTGCCATGAAGCCCACAGGGAACTTTCTTTCAGATTCCACAGAGCAGCCTAGAGCCCCTAAAAGCGATCATCCAGTACAGACTGCCAATGAAGAAGAACAACAACTTGTACTCTGTAAGTGTGGGAGGTGGGCACTGGGGAAAGGGGAGGGCGGGGCCTTGCAAGAAAAGTGGGCGTGGCCTAAGTGGAAGGTGAGCAGAGGGAGGAGGTCGGACCTGGCAAGGGTGGGAACTCTCAAAGGAAGTAGGTGGGGACTCTCAAAGGAAGTGAAAGGTGAGGAAAGGAAGTGGGTGGGGCCTTGTGAGGAAAGTGGGTGTGACCTTTCAAAGGACGTGAAATGTGAGCAGAGGGAGGGGGTGTGACCTTACAAGGGAAGTGGGTGTGGCCTTTCAAAGAAAGTGGGAGGTAAGCAGAGATGGAATGGGGCCTCACAAATGTGGTAGGTGGGGGTTTGCAAAGGGATGTGGGTGGGGCTTCATAAATGTAGTGGGTGGGGCTTTGCAAAGGGAAGTGGATGTGGCCTTTGCAAAGGGAAATGGGAGGTGAGCAATGCGTGGGGGCCTAGCAAAAGGACGTAGGCGGGACCTTTGGGACGCATTTTTCCCTTCTGGCATGAAGGGACTGATTAATGAACAGTGTCTGTTCTGGCTAATTACTGCTGGGCAACAAATCACCACCAAAACTGGTGGCTAAAAAAAATCAGTCATTTTGTTATTAATTTTTTCCCAAGAACATTAAGATAATTAAACAATATACTAAAAAGTTGAAAATTATGTTAAAACTAACAACATTAAGTTTAAATATTTTATTTATACCCAAGCCAAAATTTGTTATAACAATGACTAAGACAACCAATTAGAATTGCAGACTTCTCAGGAGATCGAGACCATCCTGGTCAACATGGTGAAACACCGTCTCTACTAAAAATACAAAAATTAGCTGGGCATGGTGGTACGTGCCTGTAGTCCCAGCTACTCAGGAGGTTGAGGCAGGAGAATCGCTTGAACCCGGGAGGCGGAGGTTCCAGTGAGCCGAGATCACACCACTGCACTCCAGCCTGGCAACAGAGTGAGACTCTGTCTCAAAAAAAAAAAAAAAAAAAGGCCGGGCGCCAGTGGCTCACACCTGTAATCCCAGCACTTTGGGAGGCCGAGGCAGGCGGATCACGAGGTCAGAAGATCGAGACCATCCTGGCTAACACGGTGAAACCCCGTCTCTATTGAAAATACAAAAAAATTATCCAGGCGTGGTGGTGGGCGCCTGTAGTCCCAGCTACTCGGGAGGCTGAGACAGGAGAATGGCGTGAACCCAGGAGGCGGAGCTTGCAGTGAGCTGAGATCGCGCCACTGCACTCCAGCCTGGGCAACAGAGCAAGACTCCGTCTCAAAAAAAAAAAAAAAAAAAAAATTACAAACTTTTTAGAGGTTCAAAGTGACCACTACAGCAACAGTCTTAAGTCTCGGATAACTTAAAAGACTACTTTGTTAGCAATAACACTTACAGCAGGGTTTCTCAACCTCCTTGCTGTTGACATTTGGGGCAGGTAATTCTCTAAGGAGCTGTCCGACGCCCTGTAGGATGTTGAGCTGCATTGCTGGCCTCCACTCACTGGATGCCAGGAATATATCCCCTGCCTCCCACTTGAAACAACCAAAAGTGTCTCCAGACACTGCCTAATATACCCTGGTGGGGGGAGGGTGGGCGGTGGTGGAGTAGTATCACCCCTGGTTGAAGACGCTAATTTATAGGGGAGAGTCACATAGAAGGGCATCTACTCCTCTGCAAGGGAGAGTAGAACCTACCATTTTAAGATTCTGTTTAGGCTGGGCACAGTAGCTCATGCCTGTAATTGGGAGGCTGAGGTGGACAAATAACCTGAGGTCAAGAGTTCGAGACTAGCCTGGCCAACATGGAGAAACCCTGTCTCTACTAAAAATACAAATAATAATAATAATAATAATAATAATAATAATAATAATAATAATCGCCCAAGCACAGTGGCTCACACCTGTAATCCCAGCACTTTGGGAGGCTGAGGCGGGCAGATCATGAGGTCAGGAGGTACAGACCATCCTGGCCAACATGGTGAAACCCCGTCTCTACTAAAAAATACAAAAAATTAGCTGGGCATGGTGGCATGCGCCTGTAGTCCCAGCTGCTCAGGAGGCTGAGGCAGGGGAATCACTTGAACCCGGGAAGCGGAGGTTGCAGTGAGCCGAGATAGTGCCACTGCACTCAAGCCTGGCGAAAGAGCGAGACTCCATCTAAAAAAAAAAAGGCTGGGTGTGGTGGCTCATGCCTGTAATCCCAGCACTTTGGGAAGCCGAGGTGGGTGGATAACCTGAGGTCAGGAGTTCGAGACCATCCTGACCAATATGGTGAAACCCCACCTCTACTAAAAATACAAAAATTAGCCGGGCGTGGTGGCACGCACCTGTAGTCTCAGCTACTCAGGAGGCTGAGAGAGGAGAATCACTTGATCCCAAGAGGCAGAGGTTGCAGTGAGCCAAGAGCAGTGAGCGGAGATCACGCCACTGCACTCCAGCCTGGGCGACAGAGCAAGACTCTGTCTCCAAATAAACAAATAAATAAAATAAAATACAAAAAAAAAAAAAAAAAACAGCCAGGCGTGGTGGTGCATGCCTGTCCAAGCTACTCGGGAGGCTAAAGAGGATCACTTGAACCTGGGAGGTGGAGGTTGCAGTGAGCTGAGATCACGCCATTGCACTCCAGCCTGGGTGACAGAGCAAGACTCTTGTCTCAAAAGAAAAAAGAAAGAAAGAAAGAAAAAGATTTAGTTTAGGACCCAGAAATGAGCAAAAACGAATGAGACTGAGAAAGTGGACTGTGACATTTGGGAAGGAAAATGGCCGAGTAAGACAATGAACTGTGCCAGTTGTGATGCTTGGCATCTGTGTGCCCAACAGACTGAGGACCAACCCAGATCTCCAAGACAGGGGATTGGATTGGACCAGCATGGGTCTGGTGCCCATCCCAATCCAGTCATTTGTGGCTGTGGAAGCCGGGGGTCTTCTACCGGCCTTTGAAGGAACACCCTTTGTAGGGAGACCTAGGGGCATCTCTGAGAAAGGACAGGTTCCCCCAGAGGGCTTGTGTGTGCTCTTCCTCTCACCCTTGCCCTACCTTGTTACAGATTATCTGGGCAAAGGGCTTTGCCTGCTCAGATGAAGCCAGCATCACCCTGGGCAGGTTTCAGGCAACACTGGCCATCTGTAGAGGACTTTGAGGGGCCTTTTTTTTTTTTTTTTGAGATGGAGTTTCACTCTGTTGCCCAGGCTGGAGTGCAGTGGCGTGATCTTGGCTCACTGCAATCTCCACCTCCCCATTTCAAGCGATTCTCCTGCCTCAGCATCCTGAGGAGCTGGGATTACAGGCGCCTGCCACCACACCCGGCTAATTTTTGTATTTTTAGTAGAGATGGGGTTTCACCATGCTGGCCATGTTGGTCTTGAACTCCTGACCTCGTGATCCGCCCACCTCAGCCTCCCAGTGCTGGGATTACAGGTGTGAGCCACCGTGCCTGGCCGAGGGGCCTCCATCTTTAAGTCAGCGCATCACCCTCATCCAGTGCTTTGTTGGGGGTTCAATGGTAGAATTTCTGCAGATCCCATGTGATGCTCAGTCGATACAACCCAAGAGTTCACTTTGCGGCACCGAATTCTGTCATAGTTAAGAGCACAGGCTCTGGAGTCAGACCTTGGGTTTGAATGCTAGCTCCTCTCTTCACTTGCCTTAAGTAATCTGCCTTGGGCAAGTAATCTACCACCCCTGAGCCTCAGCTTCTTCACCTGCCAGAGTGAGGCAATGCATCAATTATCAATAAGGATGCCTTTGGTCGTAAGTGACAAAAGTCTGACCCCAAATGGCTTAAGCAACAAACAAACAAAAAGATAATCTGTTGGACCATGCAACTACAGTTCAGGGCGTGGATTTCAGGCATGGCTGGAACCAGGGGCTCAAAGAATGTGCCCAGGCTCTATTTTCCTTTCTCTATTTCTTGGCTCCGCTCCAGCCTTGCTTTCTCACATAGTCCTGAGATGGTTCAGCAGCTCCTAGAGCTACATCTTGACTCATTCACATACACAGTCTGTGTCTCAGAATTCCCAGGTAAAGTCTTCATCTTCATTATGATTGGACCACTTGAGGTCACATGTCCAGACTTGATCCAATCACCATAACCCAGGCTGATAGAACAGTTTGAGCCAATTAGGGTTGACTTCCAGATCTGTGGGTGAAGTCAGCCCCATCCAATTGGTGACTAAGAAGTAGAGTGGGGAGTGGAATTTGGGAAGGCAGCGAACAAATAATACCTAACTCCGTAGAACACTTACCACCTGCCAACTACTATTCTGAGCACTTTGCATATATTAACTCTCTTACTGCTTAGAACAACCCAAGGAGTTGCGTCCTGACATCATTCCCATTTTACAAATGAGGAAACTGAGGCACAGGGAGCTTAAGTGGCTTGGTGACGCTGCGAGGAAGTGGCAGAACTGGAAGCAGAGATCTTGGGACTTTTGTAAGAGGTGCCAGGACTGGCACATCCTAAGCCCTTCCACCTGCTGAGGATCATTCTTTAGGAAAAGCTGATAGGACGAGGTCTGGCTGGGTGAGAGGACTCCCGACTGCCTTCTCATCCTCCGCTTGTCTTTTCTGTCCACAGTGGGATGATTTCATGGAACTTGGCAGAAGTATCCCTGACACCCAACTGGAGCAGGTCATCGAGAGCCAGAAGGCGAATCAATGCGCAGTGCTCATCTACACTTCAGGGACCACAGGCATACCCAAGGGAGTGATGCTCAGTCATGACAACGTACGCCAAAGTCCCTTTGCTCTGGAGTGGTGGCCTTTGGGCTGTTTCTCTTGTTGGCTTCCAGGGGCAGGGTGGCATTCCAGGGTCTAGTACGCAGTGTGGCTCCTTCACCATTGGGGGTTAGAGAGTAGCGTAGTTGCTTCACTAGGGGGCAGCAGAGTGCAGTGATTGAGATCAAGGAATGCTGGCCATGTCAAAAGCAGAAAAATGTCTGGCAGGGTATGCACCCAGCAGACAATGATTCCTCTGTGTGAGTCAGGAAGGTTGTGTGTGTGTGTGTGTGTGTGTGTGTGTGTGTGTGTGTGTGTGTGTGTGTTTTGAGATGGGGTCTCCCTCTGTCGCCCAGGCTGGAGTGCAGTGGCGCAATCTTGGCTCACTGCAACCTCTGCCTCCGTTCAAGTGATTTTCCTGCCTCAGCCTCCCAGGTAGCTGGGATTACAGGCACCCGCCACCATGCCTGGCTAATTTTTGTATGTTTATTAGAGACAGGGTTTCACCAAGTTGGCCAGGCTGGTCTTGAACTCCTGACCTCAGGTGATCCACCGCCTTGGCCTCCCAAAGTGCTGGGATTACAGGCATGAGCCACCACGCCCAGCCTACTTTATTTTTCAGTTGTGTGTGTGTTTTGTTTTGTTTTGCTTTTTGAGACCGAGTCTGGCTCTGTGCCCCAGGCTGGAGTACAGTGGCACTCCACTCACTGCAACCACTGCCTCCTGGGTTCAAGCAATTCTCGTGCCTCAGCCTCCTGAGTATCTGGGACTACAAGCCAGTGCCACCACATCCAACTAATTTTTTGTATTTTGGGTAGAGATGGAGTTTCACCACGTTGACCAGGCTGGTCTCAAACTCCTGACCTCAAGTGATCTGCCTGCCTCGGCCTCCCAAAGTGTTGGGATTACAGGCGTGAGCCACAGCACCTGGTCTGTTTTTACACTGTTTTTAGAGATGGGTTCTTACCATGTTGCCCAGGCTGGAGTGCAGTGACTACTCACAGGCACAATCATCATGCACTTAAGCTTCAGACTCAACAGGCTCAAGTGATCCTTCTGCCTCAGCCTCCCAAGTAGCTGGGTCTACAGGTGCATGCAATCACACCTGGCCTGCTGGTTTTTAAATGAAGAATTTCTATAAAAGCATTCTTATAAATGCTTCCCTGCCCCCCCTCAGCCTAGGGTAATAGTTACCAGCACACACTGGTGTCTGACCACCTCAGTGTTGGAATCCTGGCTTTGCTACTTGTAAGTAACCATGTAAGCTGGTGTGACATTGGTCATATGACATCACCAAACTGTGTGTCAGTTTGCCCAACTGTAAAATGGGGAGAGTAGAGGGCCCAATTCTGGCAGAGGGCCTGGCCCATGGAAGGTCAGCAATGGAAGATTGCAAAAGTCAGCCTCCACTCCCTTAATACACTGTCTCAGCTAGTGCTGTATAGCAAGGTGTGGAGCTAGGATCATCCCCCTGGGTCTGGAGGTCCCGATCCTAGATCCACACCCTGGAAATCTTCTCTGAATTTCTCATTTTAACATGAATCCAAATCTTTTGCCAACACTGTCTCCTTCAGCAGAACTCCTTTCCTCCTCCTGCATCTTAGCTCAAGGCCTCTTAGAAGTTTTCTGATTTTTCTACAACTATGGTTTTTACTCTCCCACACTGTCTGTCTGAGCAATATCACGGGCCCAGGACTAAGGTCTATATGTAAATTAAAACTTGGCTTCCTGTAAAATTTGATGCATAAATATATTTTGCTATAACAACAAGGAAAGCAGGCTTCAAGTTTGGCAATAAATCACGGGAGTACAAATTAAAAGTTCAGACATTACAGAAGCCCTTGGACTCAATTGTATGATGCATGATAGAGAAAAATTATTTTTGGCCCAGTCTCCATCATCGCTCCCCTGGACCTGTGTGGTTGCTTCCACCCCATCCGGTTACCCGCCTCCCACCCAACTCCCACCCTCACCCCCACCCCCAGTCTATCCTCTCTACAGCCACCAGAGAGTGCCTGTGAGCACCTGAGTCAAGTCCCAATCCTCCTCTGTCTGCAGCCCTCCATGGCTCCCACTTCCCTCCAGGTAAAAGCCCAAGTCTCCTGAGGCCCACAAGGCACTGCAAGCCTAGCCCCATCTCCCTTCTCCTCTCCTCTCCTCCCTCTCTCCCCCTTGCTCACTCTGTTCTAGCCACATGGTCCTCCTTGCTGTTCCTCCAACACACCAGACACGTCCTGCCTCTTGGTCTTTGCATGAGCTCCGTGGGAAGTATTTTTCCACACAGCTTGTTCCCTCCCCTCCTTCGGGTGGGTCTCTGCTCAGTGTCACTTCCTCAGTGAAGCCCTCCCTAACTTCCATGTTTGAAATAGCAAACAATAAACCACCCCATTACTACCTAATTCCCATTTGGCTACTTTTTTTCTTCCTTAGAAAATTTTGACACTGTCATATTATATGCTCATTTGTTTATCAGGAACATCAGCTCCTTGAGGTCAGGGGTTTTCTGTCTTATTCACTACTGTAACTGCAGTGCCTGATGAGCAGGAGGACTCAATCCACTTTTGGGAAATGAATGAATGAGGGAAATCTGATTAAACAGGATATTCCCCTCTATGCTGGCTAGTATTTATGCTCCTAGTGGCTGCATGTGTGGTAAGACATTCTCCTAGCACAGGCATTATGAGCATAGATCCTGGAGCAAGACTGCCCACTTTTTAAAGGGGCTGGTTTTTTTCTTATTAAGTTCCTTATAGATTCTGAATATTAGTCCTTTTTTATTTTTATTTTTTTTGAAACAGAGTCTTGCTCTGTCATCCAGGCTGGAGTACAGTGACACTATCGCGGCACACTGCAATGTCCACCTCCCAGGTTTAAACAATTCTCCTGCCTCAGCCTCCCAAGCAGCTGGGATTACAGGCACCCACCACCACACCTGGCTAATTTTTGTATTTTTAGAAGAGGTGGGGCTTCGCTATGTTGGGCAGGCTGGTCTCGAACTCCTGACTTCAAGTGATCCACCCACCTCAGCCTCCCAAAGTGTTGGAATTACAGGCGTGAGCCATGGCGCCTGGCCAATATTAGTCCTTTAATTGATGCACAGTTGCAAATATTTTCTCCTATTCTGTAGGTTGTCTTTACTCTGTTAATTGTTTCTTTTGCTGTGCAGAAGCTCTTAAGTCCCAATTGTCCATGTTTGGTTTTGTTGTATTTGTTTTTGTGGTCTTAGTCATAAATTCTCTGCCTAGCCCAATGTCCAGAAGAATTTTTCCTAGGTTTTCTTCTAGTTTCTTCATTCTTCTGCACATGGCTAGCCAGTTTTCCCAGCACCACTTAGTGAATAGGATGTCCTTCCCCATTGTTTATTTTTGTTGACTTTGTCAAAAATCAGTTGGTTGTGTGTGGCTTAATTTTTGAGTTCTCTATTCTGTTCCATTGATCTCTGTGCCTATTTTTGTACCAGTACCATGCTGTTTTAGTTACTATAGCCTTGTAGTATAATTTGAAGTCAGATAATGTGATGCCTCTAGCTGTGTTCTTTTTGCTTAGGATTGCTCTATTTGGGCTTTCTGGTTCCATATAAATTTTAGAATTGTTTTATATAATTATGTGAAAAATCATATTGGTAATTTGATAGGAATTGTGATGAATCTGTAGATTGCTTTGGGCAGTATGGTCATGTTAACAATGTTGATTCTTCCTGTCAATGAGCATGGAATGCTTTTCCATTTGTGTCATCTGTGATTTCTTTCATCAATGTTTTGAAAAGTTATTCTCGTAGAAGTCTTTCATCTCCTTGGTTAAATGTGTCTGTGGGTATTTTATTTTTTGTGTAGCTACTGTAAATGGGATTGAATTCTTGATTTGGTTTTCAACTTTAAGAATATTGGTATATAGAAATGCTACTGATTTTTGTACATTGATTTTGTATCCTGAAACTTTATTGAAGTCATTTATCTAGGAGTGTTTTGGAGGAATCTTTAGGGTTTTCTAGATGTAGAATCATATCATTGGTGAACAGAGATAATTTGACTTCCTCTGTTCCTATTTTCCTATTCATACATCTTTTATTTCTTGCTTGTGCCTGATTGCTCTGGCTAGGACTTCTAGTACTATGTTGAATAGCAGTGGTGAAAGTGGATATCCTTGTCTTGTTTCAGTTCTTAGAGGGAATGCTTCCAACTTTTCCCCTTCAGTATGATGTTTGCTGCAGGTTTGTCATAGACAGCTCTTATTATTTTGGGGTATATTCCTTGATGCCTAGTTTGTTGAGGGTTCTTATCATAAAGAATGTTGGATTTTGTCAAATGCTTTTTCTGCAGCCATTGAGATGATCATATGGCTTTTGATTTTAATTCTGTGTATGTGATGAATCACATTTATTGATTTGTGTATGTTGAACCATCCTTGCATCCCAGGAATAAAGCCCACTTAAAAAGTATCTTTATTTTCATTTGTTTCAAAGATTGTTTTTATTGCTTCTTTAATTTGTTTACCCAAAAGTCATTAAGGAGCAAGTTGCTTAGTTTCCATGTATTTGTGTGGTTTTGAGGGTTCCTCTTGGTATTGATTTCTAATTGTATTCCACTGTGGTCTGAGAAGATGCTTGGTATGATTTTGATTTTTTTAAATTTATTAAGACTTTCATTGTGGCCTAGCATGTGGTTAATCTTAGAGAACGTTCCATGTGCAGATGAGAAAAATGTATATTCAGAGGCCACTGGGTAGAGTATTCTGAAGATGTCTATTAGGTCCATTTGGTCAACTGTCCAATTTAGTCTAGTATTTCTTTATTTTCTGCCTCAATGTTCTGTCTGTCAGTGGGGTGTTGAAGTCCCTCACAATTATTGTATGGCTATCTCTTAAGTCTAGTAGTACTTGTCTTATAAATCTGGGGGCTCTGATGTTGGGAGGGTGGTTAGATCTTCTGGTTGAATTTAACCCTTTATCATTATATAATGCCTTTCTTTGTCTTTTTTTTTTTCTTAACTGTCATTAGTTTACAATCTGTTTTATTGGATAAAACAGTAGCACCCTCTCATCTTATTTGTTTTCTGTTTGCATGATAGATCTTTCTCCATCCCTTTACTTTGAGCCTCTGAGTGTCATTACATGTGAGATGGGTCTCTTGAAGGCAGCAGCAGGTTGGGTCTTATTTATTATTATTTTTTATCAAATTTGTCACTCTATGTCTTTTAAGTGCTGTATTTAGGATGTTTATGTTCAAGGTTAATATTGATATGTGAGGTTTTGTTCCTGTCATGTGTTTTTGCTTTGTATTCTTGATTGTTTAGTTGCTTTATAGGGTCTGTGGGCTTTGTGCTTACATGTACTTTTATGGTAGCAAGTATTGTTCTTTTGTTCTCATGTTTAGAACTCCTTTGGGCATTTCTTTTCGGGCTGATCTAGTGATGACAAATTCCTTTACATTTGCTTATCTGAGAAATATTTTATTTCCCATTTATGAAACTTAGTTTAGTGGGATATAAAATTATTGGCTGGCATTTATTTTTCTTTAAGAAGGCTAAAAATGGGCCCTCAATCTCTTCTGGCTTGTGAGGTTTCTGCTAAGAAATCCACTGTACGTCTGATGGAATTTCCTTTATATGTAATTTGGCCCTTTTCTCTAGATGCCTTTAAGATTTATTTTTTTTCTACATTGACCTTGGTCTGATGACTATATGCCTCGGGGGTGGCCATATTGTGTAGCATCTCACAGGAGTTCTCTGGATTTCTCATATCTAGATGTTGACCTCTCTGGCAAGATTAGGTAAATTTTCCTGTATTACTCCCTCAAATATGTTTTCCAAGTTGCTTAATTTTTCTTCTTTTCTCTCAGGAATGCATTTAAGTCACAGGTTTGGTTGCTTTACATAATCCCACATTTCTCAAATACTTTGGGTTTTTTATTTCTTTTTTCTTTACTTTTGTCTGAGTTGTTTGAAAGACCATTCTTCAAGCTCTGAAATTCTTTCTTCTGCTTGGTCTAGTCTAACTATATTTTTAAATTTCTATAGTGAAATTTTCAATTCCAGAAGTTCAATTTGGTTTTTTCTTAATATATCTATGTTGTATTTCATATATTGAAGTGTTCTTCTAGTTTCCTTATATTGGTTTCCAACTTTCTCTTGGATCTCATTAAGTTTCCTTCCAATTCATATTTTGAATTCTTTATATGTCATTTCAAACATTTCAGTCTGATGAGGACCCATTGCTAGAGAACTGGTGAGATTCTTTGGAGGTGTTGAAACACTCTGGCTTTTTCTACTGCCAGATTTCTTGCACTGATTCCTTCTTATCTGAGGGAGCTGTCACTTCTTGTTTTTGAATCTTCTATTGTTTGGATGGGGCTTTTGTATTTTTTAATTCTAGTTTCCCTTGAGGGTATGGCTGTGGTGTATGTTGTGTGTGATTGTATGGCCTTGCTTCTGAGTGCTTTTGGGGGCCAAAGGTCTGTATGGGTTCCACGGTTGTGGACAGCTTCTGTGCAGTGGCTAAGGTCTGTACGGGTTCCATGGTTGTGGACAGCTTCTGTGCAGTGGCTAAGGTCTGTATGGGTTCCATGGTTGTGGACAGCTTCTATGCAGTGGCTTTCTCAGATGCTGCTTGTTGTAATGATGTAATGGACATAACAGCCAACACTATCTCCTGCAGGACTGAGGGTGTGGAGGTCTCAGGAGGCTTATCTCATGCACTGTCAATAAACCCTTCCAGTAGCAAGATTTTTGTTTGGTGGTGCAGTGCAGGATGCAGTCCAGTAGATCGCACTTAAAAGTTAGAACCAGCAGGTAGGCTGGTGCCAAGTAGGCATGCATACCCTGATGGAGGTAGCAGGAAGAGATCATGATGGGGTGCACTGAGGTCTCAGGGGTAGGGGCAGGGAATGCACCAGCTCCTTGTCCTCAGCCAGCAGGAATGCAGTCCGCTTCTCTATCACACCCCTGTCATGGGGCTCACAATCTTCTGTTTATAAAGGCTTCATCCTTTAGTTCCTGGCAGCAGTGTGGGGTGGGAGGGCAGGTGGGAAATGACCCCTTCTCCATGTCTTTTCCCAGGCATGGGTGCTGCCCACTCCAGTGGTTTGTGCCACACCCACATTTCCTTTGTCCCAAGGGGGGCTTTGGTGGGCTGCATTCTCCTCCTCCTTTAGGGGTTACCCATGCCAAGGGTTAGATCTTCAGGGATCCTGCGGCCCCCCAGAGGCTCACTGGTCCCTTGTGCTTGCCAAAGTCACAGCGCGTTGTGGGGTATGTTTGTGGGGAATCTGGTGGTGCAGTGGGTCAAGGGCAGAGAATCCCCAGGCAGGGCAGTGGCACCACAGGTGCACAACCAGTGTGGTGCCTGCTGTCTCAGTTCAGGTCTGAGGGGAGTGTGGGCATGCCTGTGTGAACTGACCACCTGGTTCTCTGTCCCTGGGAAGTTCTCTAATCAGCACCGATGGTGTTGGCCTGGGTTGCAAGGGCAGAGGAGCTCCCTGAGAGTTTAGTGACCAGGATATTGTCAAAGGCGAGTGGGAAGCAAAGAAGCACTCCCACCTATCCTTTCCATGGGGCTCTGAGTTCCTCAGGAGCTGATCTTTGACAGGCCCTTGCAGCTTTCCTTTCCTACGCCGCAGCTTCTTCCTGTGGGCACTCCAAGAGGTCCTGCCTCTCCTTCCTCCATTTTCAGTTCAAAACTTATCCATTTACCAGTAATTTTGATCTTCTTCCTGAAAACTGACATCTGATGTCCGTTGTCAGCCATCACGTATCAATACACTGTTAGCAAGTGGCAGATTCTCATTCATATCCTTCTGGTTCCAAACCACAAGGCTTTCCACAATAGGGAAGATGACACTTGTCAGCCACGCTGAGCCCAAGCCACAGGGCTCTGGGCAGGGTCATGCTGTCTGTGGGTAGCTTACAGGACCAACATGAGGACATCACTCTTGAACTATTTTTTTTTTTTTTTTTTGAGACAGAGTCTGCTCTGTCGCTCAGGTTGGAGAGCAGTGGCACAATCTCGACTCACTGCAACCTCTGCCTCCCAATTTCAAGCGATTCCCCCACCTCAGCCTCCTGAGTAGCAGGGATTACAGACGTGTGCCAACACACCCATCTAATTTTTGTATTATTAGTAGAGATGGGGTTTCACCACGTTGGCCAGGCTGGTCTCGAACTCCTGACCTCAGGTGATCCACCCGCCTTGGCCTCCCAAAGTGCTGGGACTACAAACATGAGCCACCACGCTTGGCCATCACTCTTGAACTTCTTAACCTGGTGGCTGACTCTCCCAACAGCAAGTGGTCCCAAAGATTTGTCAGTCCCAGAATTTCCACAGCATCCCTTCTGCTCCTTTCTGTCAGTCAAAACAAATCACTGGACCAATTCTGTCTCAAAGGAAAGAGAAACAAATTCCACCTCAGAATGGGAGGAGTAGCAGAGAATCTGCAGCTCTGTTTAATCTACCACATATACATAAAATGCTTAGAACAATGCCTGGCATACAGGAAGCCATGTCAAGGATAGCTATTAATATTGTATTTGGCTGGGTGCAGTGGCTTATGTATGTAATCCCAGCACTTTGGGAGGCCGAGACAGGAGGATTGCTTGAAGCCAGGATTGTTTGAGAGAAGGCTGGGAAACACAGCAAGACCTCATCTCTACAAAAATGTTTTAAAAATTAGCTGGGCATGGTGGCACATGCCTGTAGTCCCAGCTACTCGGGAGGCTGAAGTGAGACGATCCCTTGAGCCCAGGAGTTCGAGGCTGCAGTGAGCTATGATGCTGCCACTGCACTCCAGCCTGGGTGACAGAGTGAGGCCCTGTCTCATCATCATCTTTACAGCAAGAAGTTAAAGGTAGCCTTAGATTCTTGCCAGATGTCTACAGCTCAGTGTTTCTCCCGTGTAGGGAACACTATGTTCAGTGCTAAGATAAACACATTTTAACTCCCCACTAAAACCCCACGAGGAAAATTTTGTCACTAACCCTTTTACAGATGAGAAAACTGAGGCTCAGACAGAGGAAATTACTTGGTCAAGATCACAGAGCAAGGGAAGCTCTGAACTGAGATCTGAACCAGGAGTGTCTAAACCATTGTACATCATAGACTATACACAACAAGCCCCTTCTCTCAACAAGTGTGCTAGGTTCCTTGAACCCTGGACTGTGCATGACAAGGTTTATGGGAGCCTTCATCCTGAGCCCAGGGAAAGAAGTGGAACTAGCCTTGAGGGATATTTTGGGCTGACTGCTTTATGTCCTTTACTGCAGTTAACCATTCCTTCTATTTCCTCATTCATTCAAGAAAAATTCATTGAGCACCTAGTATGTACTGGGGAATATTCCAGGAGCAGGGGAAACAGCAGCAAACAAGACAGACTCAATCTGGACCTTGGGAACAGATAAGAAATGAACAAATGAAAACATTCAGTTTGTGTGACATGGTACGTACAGACTTAGGCAGTCAATGGCACTTTCACCTTAGATGGTGTGAGATGGCCCTTCTAAGGAAGTGACATTTCAGCTGAGACTTAATGTTCAAGAAGTAGCCAGCCATGGGGGTGGGGGACGGTGAGGGAAAAGGCTGAAGAAAGAGCATTCCAAGCAGGGGGAATAGCCAGTCCAAAGGCCCTGAGGCTGGACCATGCCTGATGCATTGGAGCAACAGCGAGGAGGTCTGGGTGGCTGGATTAATGAAGTAACTATTCACCAGAGATTTATGACACTAGTGAGAAATATAAGTGACAAAATTATAGGTACACTAAAACTTTACATCTACATATGCATTGGAGAAAGAAAAATGCTAATAATGCTAATTACTGGGGTGTTTATATGATGGGATTATGGGTAGCCTTTTTGTTTGTTTGACCATGTTGGTTCCATAGTTCTATATTGGACCTGAGAAGCCTCTGTCCCCACTTTAAAGAAGAGGCAATAAAAGCCACGAGGGATTTTAAGGAAATAGCCCAAATGTCTAGCAAACAGTGGAGTCAGGGTTTGACTCTGGGACACTTGCTGAATCCAGTTTTCTGAGTTCTGTCGTTGGACCCAAGGAAGTCTGCAACCTCCCTACTCCTAAAGCTGCCTGCTAAATTTTGCAACTCCTCCTAACTTCAGGCAAGTTAGTTAAGGACTCTGTGCTTCTGTTTTCACATAATTCTCCCTGATTAAAAAAACCGTTAGACCTAGGGCTTTACCCAAAAAAATCTGTCGAATGATTAACAACCATCTACTCACCTGGGCTACCCAAGAGGCTGAAGTGGGGGCCCCAGGTCCTTACTCGATCTTACCTTGAGAGCATCTGCTTGAGCAAAGTATGTGAGCGCCCCAATCTTTATGGGTACCCAGATGTCCATCATCTGTGCTGCAATATGGCTGAGTGGGAGGTAGCTGACCACCATCTCATGCTTGTCTGTCAGTTGAAAGTCCTTTGCCACTGCTCCTGCCATCCACGTGATCTGTAACATAAGGGACAATCCAAGGTGCCTTATACTGACTTATGAAAAAACAACACACACACACACACGCACTCAGCCAGACTGCAGCACAGACAATGGACATCTGGGTACCCATAAAGATCGGGGCACTCACATACTTTAGGCTTAAGCACATGCTCTCAAGGTAAGATCGAATAAGGACCTAGGGCCCCCACTTCATCCTCTTGGGCAGCCCAGATGAGTAGATGGTTGTTAATCATTCGACAGATTTTTTGGGTGAAGCTCCAAAAATTTTGGGAGAATTATAGTTACCAACCCCCAGGTGTTATGATGATTAAATGACTTGGTGTTTGTAAAGTATGAAGACAGTGTCTTGGTCATAGTAGGTGCTTTATAAGTGTTTACTTAATTAGTTTATTTATTTAGCTAAATACATTTAAAATCGCCCTCCAGGCTGGGCATGGTCGCTCACATCTGTAAACCTAGCACTTTGGGAGGCTGAGGCGGGAGGTCGCTGGAGGCCAGGAGTTTGAGGCCAAGCTGGAAAACATAGTGAGACCCCCTCTCTACAAAAAAAGTTAAAAAAAAATTAGCTGGGTGTGGTGGTGTGTGCCTATAGTACCAGTTACTCAGGAGGCTGAGATGGGAAGATTCCTTGAACCCAGGAGTTTGAGGCTGCAGTGAGCTGTGATCACACCACTGCACTCCAGTCTGGGTGAGCCCTGTCTGAAAAATAAATAAAAATTTAAAAATAAAATGGCCCTTCTATGAGGGTGAGGCACCTTGGATTGTCCCTTATGTTACAGATCACGTGGATTGCAGGAGCAGTGACAAAGGACTTTAAACTGACAGACAAGCATGAGACGGTGGTTAGCTACCTCCCACTCAGCCATATTGCAGCACAGATGATGGACATCTGGGTACCCATAAAGATTGGGGCGCTCACATACTTTGCTCAAGCAGATGCTCTCAAGGTAAGATTGAGTAAGGACCTGGGGCTCCGACTTCATCCTCTTGGGCAGCCCAGGTGAGTAGATGGTTGTTAATCATTCGACAGATTTTTTGGGTGAAGCCCCATGTCTAACGGTTTTATCTCTGCCCTCATCTTAATGCTCTATTTAGAAGCATTAAAAACAAGACCAGGCACAGTGGCTCAATCTGTAATCCCGGCACTCTGGGAGGCCAAGACGGGCAGATTGCTTGAGCTCAGGAGTTGAGACCAGCCTGAGCAAGATGGCGAAACCCTATCTCTACAAAAACCAATAATAATAGTAAATTTTTCTAAAAAACAAAAAACACCTGACCAAATAAAACAACTTTTTTTTTTTTTTAACCAGCTGGCTACATTCTCCTAGTTTTTATCTTTATCCAAGTCAGGGCATCCATGTATGGTTATGTAGATTGAACACTGAACAACCCAAGACAAAGATGTACTTGGTACTGAAAGTAAAGAGTGTGTGTGTGTGTGTGTGTGTGTGTGTGTGTGTGTGTGTTTATAAGTCAGTATTCCCAAATCTAAAAAGCTCCAAAAAACAGGAGTTTTTGGCAGCAAAGTCTGATCTGAATTGATAAGATGTTGTTTGTGGTCTTCATTTTATTCCACTTACTGGGATTATGCATATATTTGTAGAATTTTTATACCACCTTTTCTTGACTTATACCCTTTAAGTATTATCTTTTGCCTTTCTATTGTGGTGAGGATTTAGCTCCCTTCCTCTCCCGTCTTCTCATTTCTCCTTCCCCATTCTCTCAACATAAATTATTCTTAGTTAACTGAGCCAAGTAGTTTATCATATGATTCCACTTCCTGCTTGGTACAACTTTTTGTTTTTCCCAGAATTAAGTTGCCTTTCTTTTCCAGTTTGGTGAAGTTTTTGCATACATGTCCAGTTGCTCCATCTGATCTGTCACATGCTTATCAATAGTCTCCAAATGTTCAAATATTCATTGCATTATTATTATTATTATTATTATTTGAGATAGAGTCTTGCTCTGTTGCCCAGGCTGGAGTTACAGTGCCATGATCTCGGCCCACTGCAACCTCTGTCTTCCGGGTTCAAGCAATTCTCGTGCCTTAGCCTCCCAAGTAGCTGGAACTGCAGGCCTGTGCCACCATGCCTGGCTGATTTTTGTATTTTTAGTAGAGATGGGGTTTCACAATTTTGGCCAGACTGGTCTCAAACTCCTGACCTCAGGTGAGCCTTGGCCTCCCAAAGTGCTGGGATTACAGGCATGAGCCACTGCACCCAGCTCCATTGCATTATTTTTTTCCTCCATCCTTTTGCACTTAGCTGGACTGTTGTTTTAGGTTGTCTTAGGTTGGGTACCCTAGAAGCAAAATCTGAGTTGGAGATCTTTGTGATTTATCAATGGGGAGCTCTCAGGTGAAAACCAAAAGGAAGTGAGGAGAGAAGGATAGGCTGGGGGAAAAAACAAGAAAGGACACACATTCAGCTGGATTGTAACTTCAGACTGATCCCATAGGAAGCTCTGAGGCATGAACGACACCAGAGTTGTTCCACTTTGAGGCAAGGAGGCTGTGCTTTTGTAACCCCAACTCAGATAGTCATTGGCTGTGGGCTCAGGCATCCATGTGGGATAGGGAGCATAACTTCCCAGTTATTTCTAAGTAAGGGCGGTTTTCTGGAAAAGAGGGAACTGTGGGCCACTAGAGATCTGATAGGACATCAACAGCATCTTCTACAAGCTGCCATACAGGGATATCCCTTTTTCCCACTCCTGGGTTGGATCCCCTATTTTCTGGGGTCTTTGCCTTCTTTTTTGGATTATTCCTTGATTTAGCTGGATATCATTCATTGGTAGGTTTTGCAAAGTAGTTATGTGAAAGAACACTTTGATTTCTTTTCTAAATTTTTTTTTTTTTTTTTTTTTTTAGAGACAAGGTCGTGCTCTGTTACCCAGCCTGGAATGCAGTGGCATGATCATAGCTTACTGCAGCCTTAAATTCCTGGGCTCAAAGGATCCTCCCACCTCAGCCTCCCCTGTAGCCAGAACTACAGGCATGTGCCACCATGCCTGACTAATTTGTTTTACAGTGATTTTCTACATGTCTAGACTTTGCAAACGGAGCCAGAAAAGAACTCTGACATTTTCCCCAAGTTACATTCTCTGAATTAGTTTCCTGTTAATGCCACAACAAATGAACAGAAACTTAGTGACTTAAAACAATATTTATTTATTTATTTAGAAATGGAGTCTCGTTCTGTCACCCAGGCTGGAGTGCAGTGGCAGTGGCATGATCTCAACTCACTGCAACCTCCACCTCCGGGTTAAACGATTCTCATGTCTCAGTCTCCCAAGCCGGGATTACAGGCGTGCACCACCACGCCCAGCTAATTTTTGTATTTTTAGTAGAGACGGGATTTCACCATGTTGGCAAGGCTGGTCCTGAACTCTTGAACTCAAGTGATCTGCTTGCCTCAGCCTCCCAAAATGCTGGGATTACAGGCATAAGCAAGCGCGCCTGGTCCATTTATTATCTTATAGTTCTGGTGGTCAGAAGTTTGAAAATGGTCTCACTGGGCTAAAATCAATATGTCATCAGGGCTGCATTCCTTCTAGAGGCTCTTGGGGACCTTTTCCAGCTTCTAGAGGCCACCTATGTTCCTTATCTCAGGGCCCCTTCCTCCATCTTCACAGCCAGCAGTGCAGCCTCTTCCCCTCTCCTGCTTCCCTCTTATAAGGACCCTGTGATGACATTGGGCCACCCAGATCATCCAGGATGATCTCCCATCTCAAGATTCTTAACTTAATCCCATCTACAAAGTCCCTTTTGCCATGAAAGATTACATATTCACAGGTCCCAGGAGTTAGAACGTGGACATCTTTAGGGGGCCATTATTTTGCCTCCCACACTCTCCATCAAGCAGGCTAAATCTTAGGGCCTTTGCACGTGCTTCTAGAAGGTTCTTTCTCTTGTTCTTTGCAGGGCTGACTCTTCTTTGTCACTTAGCTCTCTGCTAAATATTTCCTTGGCCCCTCTCAATCCCTCTCATATGCCCCATGCTCAGTGCCTGAGATGTGTTAGGTCTTCAATACATATTTCCTTTCTTGGCTGAATACATAATACATACACATTTACCTACAGGACCTGAGAAGTTCCCATTTTCCCACATCCTTACCAACTCCTAATATTGTCAAAATGTTTACAACTTGTCAATCTGAATAGTGACAAAAGTGTCTTAATATTTTCAGAAATTTCCAGATTGTTTTCTGAAGTACGTGCACCAGAAATGTGCGAAGGTTACAGTTTCTCTACATCTTCACTAACGCATGTTACTATCTGTTTTATTATTATTATTGCCATTCTAATTTGCATTTCCTTGGTGATTAATGATAGTGAGCATCTCTTCATGTGTTTATTGACCATTTACATATCTTCTTTGGAAAAAGAAATCTGTTCAAATAGTTTGCCCATATAAAAATGTGGTTGCTCTTTCTGTGCTAGCATGACTAGTAAAAAGAAAAGTAAAAGCCAGGCACGGCGGCTCACGCCTGTAATCCCAGTACTTTGGGAGGCCAAGGCAGGCAGATTGCTTAAGGTCAAGAGTTTAAGACCAGCCTGGCCAACATGGTGAAACTCCGTCTCCTCCGTCTCTACTAAAAAAAAAAAAAAAAAAGAAAAAGAAAAATTAGCCAGGCGTGGTGGTGTGCACCTGTAAGCCCAGCTACTCAGGAGGCTGAGACAGGAGAATAGCTCAAACCTGGGAGGCAAAGGCTGCAGTGAGCCGAGATGGTACCACTGGACTCCAACCGGGGCAACAGAGGGAGACTGTGTCAAAAAAAAAAAAAAAAAAAGGAAAGGAAAGGAAGGCAAGGGAAGAGAAGGGAGGGGAAGGGAGGGGAGGGGAGGGGAGAAAGAAGGAAAGAAAGGAAGGAGGGAGGAAAAAAGAGGAAGGAAGGAAGGAAGAAAGAAAAAGAAAGAAAGGAGAAAGGAAAAAAATTAAAAATGAAAAAAATTGGTTGCATATCTAATCTCATTGTTGAGTGTTAAGGGTTCTTTATATATTCTGGTTACAAATCCTTTACCAAATTTGTGGTTTGCAAATACTTTCTCCCAGTTCTATGGCTTGTTGTTTCCTCAATAATCTTTTGAAGAGGAAAAAGTGTTTAAGTTGGATGAAGTTTGATTTATCTATTTTCTTTTATGCTTTTGGTATCATATCTAGGAAATCTTTGCCTACTCTAAAGTCACAGGGATTTTCTTCTACGTTTTCTTCCAAAAGGTTTTTAGTTTGAGCTCTTACATTTAGGGCTATAATGCATTTTGAGGTAATTTTCATGTTTGGTGAGAAATAAGGCTCTAACCCTAAATTTTGTGGAAGCGTTTGTTTGTTTTATTTTGTTTTGCATTTGAATAGTCCCCACCCGCCCCCCCCCCCAACGAAATTTCCTTGGCATTTTGTTGAAAATCAACTGAGCATAAATTTAAGGTTTTATTTCTGGATCTTCTATTTTGTTCCACTGATCTGCATCTCTGTCTTTACGCCAAAGCCTCACTGACTTATTACACTAGCTTGATAGCAGGATGGCTAACGTTTCCTGGTTTGCCTGGGACTTCCCCAGTTTTAAAACAGAAAGTTTCACATTTCAGATATTCCTGCAGTTCTGGGTAAACCAGGACGGTTGTTCACCCTACTTTAGAATAAATTTTAAAATCAGGTAGTAAGTCCTCCAATTTTGTCTTTCTTTTCCAAAATTGCTTGGGCTATTCTAGGTCCTCTGCATTTCTATATAAATTTTAAAGTCAGCTTGTCAATTTGTATTTAAAAAAAAAAAAACTTGCCTAGATTTCGATAGGGGTTGCATTGAACCTATAGGTCTCTTTGGGGGAGAATCTTGCATCCTTTTTTAACAGTTGTGTAATATTCCACTGCATGCTTGGACCACAGTTTCTTTAGCCAACCCTTTGTCATTGAACCTGTAAGCTGTTTCCATTCTGTTACAAAACAGTGTTGCAAAGAACGTCTTGAACGTGTTTCTTTGTGTGCCTGAGTCTTTCCTTCAGCTGAATTCCTTCACCCACAGAAGTGAAGTTGACAGGTTGCACTTAAAATGTTAATAGAACTGTCATGTTACCTTCCAAAAATATTTTACCAGTTTATGCCTCTCATCAAATCCCTAGACAGAGTGCAAAAATCTGACTGGCCAACCCAGCTAATGGGTTGTCTCCTTTTGGTTGGGAGTCCTGCGTAATCTGATCAGTGAAGGAATGTTCTCTTGGGCAAAGTTGGGTGGATCAGGAGAGATGGACATCCCTGGTGCACGGAAGGCCCTGCTGTGGCTAACCTAGCTTCGTTCCATACAGGGCACCTTGGTAAGTACTCTAAAGGAGGTAAAACCTACTGTCTTCATTGGAGTGCCTCAAATTTGGGAGAAGATACATGAGATGGTGAAGAAAAATAGTGCCAAGTCCATGGGCTTGAAGAAGAAGGCATTCGTGTGGGCAAGAAACATTGGCTTCAAGGTCAACTCAAAAAAGATGTTGGGGTAGGTGGAGCATCCAGAGGGCTGGGAGGGTAGTTGGTGAGGAGGCTCAGCCTTCTCCAGTGGGTCCCATCAGCCCTTCTCCACTTGACGGCATTCTTATTCACAGGAAATATAATACTCCCGTGAGCTACCGCATGGCTAAGACTCTCGTGTTCAGCAAAGTCAAGACATCCCTTGGCTTGGATCACTGTCACTCTTTTATCAGTGGGACTGCGCCCCTCAACCAAGAGACTGCCGAGTTCTTTCTAAGCTTGGACATACCTATAGGCGAGTTGTATGGGTTGAGTGAGAGCTCGGGACCCCACACGATATCCAACCAGAATAACTACAGGCTTCTAAGGTACCAGCCCCCGGGGCAGACCCCTGCTCCTCCCATAACATGGGGTCAAGAGGGGGAAGGTGGGTGGATAGATGGGCCTCTGGGTTAAGAGGAATCCTGACGTGGTGTCTCCAGAATGATCCTGTTCTCCAGCCTCCAAGTCCTAACTCCGCATGACCGTGGGAAACCCTGGATGGTAAGAGAGCCCACAGATAAGGGGGATGGCTCTCTGAACATTCCATGGTCTCCCCGTTTGTCACTTGTGAGTTCTGCCTTCAAGGTCACCGCCTGTGACCTCAGCACCTTTCATCCCCATGATCCTCCATCTCAAAACACCTCCATGGCCGATTCCTGGCTTTCTCCCAAGCTCAGCTTGCCCTAGGCTGCAAGGTTGAACCCAATGATAAGAAAACTTTAAGAATACCAAATTGAGGTTCAACTCCCCATCTGAGAGCTGTCAGTCATAGAATCTTCTGGTTGTGTCTCTCCCTGACTCCCTCCTTTTAGCATGGGTGAGGTTTGAAAAAATCTTTTCATACATGTGTTTATTTATTAAATTTTAATTAGAGATAGGGTCTCACTTTGTTGCCCAGGCTGGAGTGCAATGGTACAATCATAGATCACTGTAACCTTGAACTTCTGGATTCAAGCATTCCTCCTGCCTCAGCCTCCCAACTAGCTAGGACTACACGCATGAGCCTCCATGCTTGGCAATTCTGTAAAAGTTTTTTTGTAGAGATGGGGTCTTGCCATGTTGCCTAGGCTGGCCTTGAATTCCTGGACTCAAGCAATCCTCAGCCTCCCAAAGCGCTGGGATTACAGGCATGAACCACCATGCCCAGCATTGCCATACATTTAAAAGTCATTTGTACTTCCTTTCCTATGAGCTGTCTGTCCATATTATCTGCCTGTTTTAAAAATTAGATTATTGGTCCCTTTATTATTGGTTTGTTGGCACTCTTTACATATTAGGAAAATCAGCCCTTTGTCTTTCATATGAGTTACAAATATTTTATCCCCTGGCTTGTCATTGGTATTTTGATTTTAGTTAAGATGTTTTTTACTGTGCAGAAATTTGTGGTCACAAATTTAGATGGTTGAACTTATCGATCTCTTATGGCTTCTGGATTTTTCTATATACCTAAAAAGGCTTCAGTGGGGGAAATCATAAGGCAGCTCTTTGTAAGTTTTAAATTTCTCAGGTCTGTCTTCATTTTTTCTTTTGCTAACCAGGGGAATACCTACATTTAACCCTGGGACCATTGGCCTTGCTAACTGTTAATCAAAGAGATCTCAGCAACACACGGAGAAAATATTTCCTTTCCTGCATCCTAGAACTGCACTGGCCAGTGCTATCTCTAGGAAAAAAAAAAAAAAAGACAAAGAACCCAGATTTCAAATAGTGCTACTCTGTTTTATGAAAGTAACTTTTACCTCTAAAGAGATTGTAGTTGGTTGCCGTACTTAAAATTAGCTGTCCTAATCACTGCAGAGAGGTCTACCTGTTTTCTTTAAAATGAGGGTTTTGTTCCTATCTTTAAGCCAAAGGCATTTTTTTCTTTGCCGGCATATGTGGAGATGAAAAAAAAAAAAAAAAAAAAAAAAAAAAAAAAAAAAAAAACGAAAAACAGCCTGCAATGCTGCTGGATTTTCTTTCATTTTTTGTTTTTGTTTTTGTTTTTGTTTTTTGAGACAGAGTCTTGCTCTGTCGCCCAGGCTGGAGTACAGTGGCGTGATCACTACTCACTGCAGCCTTGACCTCCTGGGCTCAGGTGATTCTCCCACCTCAGCCTCCCAAGTAGCTGGGACCACAGGTATGTACCACCATGCCCAACTTTTATTTTTTATTATTTTTGTAGAGACGGGGTCTCCGTATGTTGCCCAGGTTGGTCTTGGAACTCCTGGGCTCGAGCAATATTCCCTCCTCGGCTTTCCAAAGTGTTAAGATTACAGGTGTGAGCCACCACACCTGGCCACTGCTAGGTTTCCCAGTTCACAAAGCCTTTGGGAATCTGACACGCTGGATTAAACACTGCAGCAAACACCTCCTTCTGTGCGCTGGGGTGCATATCCAGCCTGCTCTAGCTGAGCAGAGTATTAGGCACCTAGGCTGAAGATCCAGGCAGAGCTGGGTGGCTGACTTTGTCCCTATGAGCCTGTTTCTCTGCTTCTGTCCCCTGGCAGCTGTGGCAAGATCTTGACTGGGTGTAAGAATATGCTGTTCCAGCAGAACAAGGATGGCATTGGGGAGATCTGCCTCTGGGGTAGGCACATCTTCATGGGCTATCTGGAAAGTGAGACTGAAACTACAGAGGCCATCGATGATGAAGGCTGGCTACACTCTGGGGATCTGGGCCAGCTGGACGGTCTGGGTTTCCTCTATGTCACCGGCCACATCAAAGGTACCAGGGGCTGAGCTCTTTGGGAATCTCCTGCAAGCAGGCCCACCCTGAACATTTAAGGGCCCAGGGTACCAGCACGAAGGCCACCCCCAGTTCCTCACCTTCCAAGAGGAGCTGTGCAGAAACTCCTCAGTCTGTACAACCCAGCTCTATCCTCCTGTCCAGCAAACAGTTACCCCTTGGTCACTTGGTATCCCGTGGTCCACCCTCAGGAGGATGGACCTGCAAAAGACAAGCCTTGGAACCTCCTGAAGCCCCTTTCAGAATAGCACCAGCCCAGAGGAAAACTCAGTAAGAGAAGGATAAAGAAATTCCTTGTGACATCATTTTGGCACCTGGATCCAGCCATATCTGAAAGCCAAAGACCTTTTGAACTTTTCAGTTATATTGAGCCAACAGTTTTACTTTTTTTTTTTTTTAACTCAAACTCATTCAAGCTGGTTCAAATGGGCTTGAGTAAAAAAGTGCCATCTTCTCCTGCATTTTAAGAGGATAATAATCGACAGAGTTGTAAGGATTGAAGAAAGTATAGAACAAGGATAAGCCAACTTTTCCTGAAGAGGGCCCTTTAGTAAATATTTTTGGGTTCACAAAACATGTGTCTCTGTTGTAGCTTCTCAACTCTGTGATTTGTAGCACAAAAACAGCTGTTGACAACACATAAAGAATGGGTGTGGCCAGCTGCCAATATGAATATCATAATTTTTATGTGTCAAAAAAAATTCTTCTTTTGACTTCCAACAACTTAAAAATGTAAAATTCATTTTTAGCTTTTGGTTATACAAAATTGAATAGTGGCCTGGATTTGGCCACTATGGGCCATAGTTTGCCAAAATCTGATGGAGAACACTTAGTGCTTTTTTACTCAAACCCATTTAAGATGGGTTTAAATAGGTTTGAGGAAAAAAATAAAAAGCAAAACTGTTGACTCAACGTAACTGAAAAGGTCAGTTGGCCAAAAGGTCAGCTGGCTTCAGGCATGGCTGGATCTGGGTGCCAAAATGAGGTCATAAGGAATTTTAAAATTCTTTTCTTGAGTTTTCCTCTGTGCTGGTACTATTTTATTTTTCAGAGAAGGTCTCGCTCTGTTGGCCAGGCTGGAATGCAGTGGTCCAATTATGACTCACTGTGGCCTCAACTTCCCAGGCTCAGGTGATTCTCCCACCTCAGCCTCCTGAGTAACTAGGACTACAGGCGTGTGCCACCACACCCGGCTATTTTTTTGCAGAGACCCAATTTCACTGTGTTGCCCAGGTTGGTCTAGCACTTGTGGGCTCAAGTGATCTGCCCACCTCAGCCTCCCAAAGTGGCAGGATTACAGGTGTGAGCCACTGTGCCTGGCCACTAGGTTTTTTTTTTTTTTTTTTTGAGATGGTGTTTCACTCTTGTTGCCCAGGTTGGAGTGCGGTGGCATGATCTCAGCTCACTGCAACCTCCGCCTCCCAGGTTCAAGTGATTCTCCTGCCTCAACCTCCCGAGTAGCTGGGATTACAGGTGCACACCACCAAACCTGGCTAATTTTTGTATATTTAGTAGAGACGGGGTTTCACCATGTTGGCCAGGCTGGTCTCAAACTGGGGGTTCCACGTTGTCATGGCTGGACATGTACCAAGCCAAGCTCTGTTCCAGAAATCCTTATCACTGCTGGTGGTGAAAATGTGCCCCCCATTCCTGTTGAGACCTTGGTTAAGAAGAAGATCCCCATCATCAGTAACGCCATGTTAGTAGGAGATAAACTGAAGTTTCTGAGCATGTTGCTGACGCTGAAGGTAACATGGGTTTGCTGTCATTGGGGGAAGTCTCTGCAGCCGGTCTTGGGTTCCCTGGCCCCACCCCAGGGTCAAGAGGATGCATCTGTGGGTTCAAGACCCACTTCTTGGTCTGTGGGCCTGGGGAGGGGTGCTGGTCAAGGAGCATGGGTGGTGACAGAGGTGTCTGGGGGCAGTGTGAGATGAATCAGATGAGCGGAGAACCTCTGGACAAGCTGAACTTCGAGGCCATCAACTTCTGTCGGGGTCTGGGCAGCCAGGCATCCACCGTGACTGAGATTGTGAAGCAGCAAGACCCCCTGGTCTACAAGGCCATCCAGCAAGGCATCAATGCTGTGAACCAGGAAGCCATGAACAATGCACAGAGGATTGAAAAGTGGGTCATCTTGGAGAAGGACTTTTCCATCTATGGTGGAGAGCTAGGTGAGTGGCCATGACATTTGGAGGCTGGTCCCTTGTTAGCATCTGGGACTGTGTGGGCTCTGAAGAGACAGGTCCTTTTCTGAAGGTCAGAGGGTCTATGAAACCAGCCAGGGACCAGGAGAGGGAGGCTGCCACCTTCAGCTAACTGGTCCCCAGCTCCTCATCTTGGAAATAAAATCCAACCTCCTTACTATAGCTCTATACAATCTCTCGCCTGCTGACCTTTCATTCACTCTGCACCAACTCTATGGGCTTTCTTGATGTTCCTGCAGCTCTCTGGGCTTTGTCCAACTATAGGGCCTTTGCACCTGCCAGTCTGCCTCCCTGGGAATACCCTTCCCCCTCAATTCCTTGCCTGGATGGCTTCTTCTCATTGTCCAGGTCTCACCCTACAGGCCTCTTCCCCCTCAGAGCAGCCTTGTTACAGGACCCCCAGGTTTGTATGCCCACTGCACAGTAATATACCAATACACTGAGACAGCAGGGGATGCAGCAAAGACAGAGTTTAATTATGGCCAGGCACAGTGGCTCACGCCTGTAATCCCAACACTTTGGGAGGCTGAGTTGGGCAGACTGCTTGAGCCCAGGAGTTTGAGACCAACCTGGGCAACATGGTGAAATCCTAACTCTACACAAAATACAAAAATTAGCTGGGTATGGTAGCGGTGCCCAGCTACTCAGGAGACTGAGAGGATCGCTTGAGCCCAGGGAGGTCAAGGCTGCAGTGAGCCACAATCATGCCAGTGCACTCCAGCCTAGGCAATGCAGTGAGACCCTGTCTCAAAAACAAAAAACAAACAAACAAAAATAAAAAAGGAAATTAAATTCCCTTGCAGGGAAGCCAACCGAGATGGAAGGAACCCTCAAATCTCTCTTTGAGGAATTCTGGGCTGGGGTTTTAAGGGGATCTTTGGGGGTGAAGGGCTGGAAAATTAGAGTCATTGATTGGTTGAGGTAAAGGGGATGAAATCATCGGATGTGGAAGCTGCATTCTTTGGTAAGTCAGCTCCCGTGGGGTCCTTCAGATCAGTGGGCATCAGTAGTTTCACTGGTATGCAGGACTTGAAAGGATATCTCAGATGGAAAACTTGACCTTTCACAATGCTTAATATGTTATCTGTAGAGCAGTTAAGGGGAACTATATCTTGTGATTGGGTTTTTTGTGTGTGTGTGATTCTGGGGCAATAGGCAAACAGCTAGCTATGAGGAAGGGGTTAGAGAGCAAACTGACCTAATGATGAATGTTGAGTGTGCTGTAAGTGTGGCTGATTTTAGTTTGTCCCCCTCCCTTCTTCTCTGATTAATATTATAAAGTTTTCAGGGATGGTTTCAGCCCTCCCTGACCATGCTGGCTAAAGTGGCTTGCCATCGTCCTTAATATTTCACCCAGTAGCTTGCTGCCACCCCCATTATACCACCCTGTCTTCTTTAAAGCATCAGAACATGAAATTAGTCTCTGTATGTTTTATTTTTGCCTCTCTTCCCCCATGAGGGAAGGGCTCACTCCAGAGTGGGGATACTGGATTCTACTAATGTACTTTCATTTGCGAGTTTGCTGTCAGCGCTCGGCTGTAATCTGACGGTGTGGATGGAAGAATCAGAGCAAGTATGTGGCAATGAACAACCTGGGTTCAAATCCTGTCCCCTCTACACAGGGAAGTGACTTGTCCCACTGAGTCTTGTTTTTTTTTTGTTTGTTTTGAGACAGAGTCTTGCTCTGTTACCCAGGTTGGAGTACGATGGCACAATCACAGCTTGCTGCTGCAGCCTTGAACTCCCAGGCTCAAGCGATCCTCCCACCTCAGCCTCCTGAGTAGCTGGGATGAGTGCGCGCCACCATGCGTGGCTATTTTCTTTCTTTCTTTCTTTCTTTTTTTTTTTTGAGACGGAGTTTTACTCTGTCGCCAGGCTGGAGTGCAGTGGCGCAATCTCGGCTCACTGCAACCTCCACTTCCCAGGTTCAAGCGATTTTCCTGCCTCAGCCTCCCGAGTAGCTGGGACTACAGGTGCGTGCCACCACGTCCAGCTAATTTTTTGTATTTTTAGTAGAGACAGGGTTTCACCATTTTGGCCAGGATGGTCTTGATCTCTTGACCTCGTGATCAACCCGCCTTGGCCTCCCAAAGTGCTGGGATTACAGGCGTGAGCCACCGTGCCTGGCCGCTATCCTCTTTTTGTTTTGTAGAGATGGTGTTTTGCCATGTTGTCCAGGCTGGTGGTCTTCTCATCTATAAGTTGAAAACACAGTCCTTGTGGGGTTGCTTGAGACACCCAGAGGGGCTTCAATGCCCCTGGTGACTCAGAGGCTTTCAATGAAAGTCCTGGGCTCAGGGAGCAGACAACTCCCAGTTTGAGACTTGATTCTGCCGTGCACTTGCTGGCTGACCTCAGAGGAACTGGTCCTCTCTATGCCCCAGTTTCCTCACCTGTAAAATGGGGATAGGGGTATGGTTTGAGATGATGATATCCCTCCTCCATTGGGTGCACAGTCCACATCAGGCACAGAATGCACCATGCTCTTCACCTTCCAGCTCACAGAATCCTCACCACAGCTGAAGGATCACATGGAAGTTTTATCATCCCCATACAGATGGCAAAAGTTACACACCCTGAAAGTCAATGGCACAGCCAGCCACCCAGCCTAGCCCCAGGCATGGGACTCTGTTGCCTGGTCATGCATGGGTGTGTGTAATTTTCTTTTATCTCCACAACTCAATTGATTTCTCCTTTCTCGATAGGTCCAATGATGAAACTTAAGAGACATTTTGTAGCCCAGAAATACAAAAAACAAATTGATCACATGTACCACTGACTGCTTTGATGGAGCTGCTCTCAGCTGTTCTGATGGTGAGATTCAGTTGCTTGGCTTTGCTGGGCTATGCATTCAGAGTCCAAGAGAGGGCTCCACTGTGTGGCAGGCAGATCTGTGACTGGAACTGCAGAAAACACACACATACACACATACATACACACACACACACACACACACACACACACACACACACACTCTTAGTTGCAGTGGATTCTGAGTAGCAGGCTTCAACTCATGCTGTCTCTACTCTACCAGGGTCATGGTAGGGTGTGTAAACTCCTTCAGCTGGCCACCAATGTTGTTAGCTGTGCTTCCTGCCTTTTCTATTTGTTTCTAGAAAGTAGGAGGCAATGAATCCCAAATGTCTCATTGGGTCTTATTTGGAGAAGGCCTTTGTCAGAAACTTTAGTGGAGAAAGTTCTACTTGCCAGGAACTCAAGGAATGAGGTGTGTTGGCCCATTACACAGATAATAAGGGATGGAGGCTTGAACTTCCACTATCCACCGTTTATCCTCTCTTTTCCCCAAGACATGTGCAGAGGGAGCCTCCATGACACCATGAATCACTGATAGTTATTGAGGTGTTTTTTTTTTTTTTCTTCACTAGATGCACAGTGCAGGCAGAAAGTAGAATGCATCTTCAATTGTCCTATAGGCTGCCTGTAACCTTTTCATGGGCAACTTGTTCTAATGCCACCAGCCAACCCATGTTTTAGTTTGCTGGGGCTACATTACAAAGTACCACAGACTGGAGGGCTTAAACAACATAAACTTATTGTCTCACAGATCTGGAGGCTAAAAGTGTGAGATTGAGAGGCTGGCTGGCTTGGTTCCTTCTGAGGGCTGTGAGGGGAGGATCCATTCCAGACTTCTCTCCTTGGCTTGCTGATGGCTGTCTTCTCTCTCTGTCTTCACATCATCTTCCCTCTGGGTGTCACTGTGTTCAAATTTCCCTTTTATAGGGACAGGTTAGTAAGATTAGGGCCCACCCTTATGACCTCGTTTTAACTTCTATAATGATCTAGTTTCCAAATAAGTTACACCCTGAAGTACTAAAGGTTAGGACTTCAACATGTGAATTGTGGAGGGATACAACTCAGCTTGTAACTCATCATATCCATTGTCCTTTGTTCAACGTTAACTGGTTTAACCCTTCCACACCTTCATTTGTTGATGTCTTGTGGGTGGGCCCAGCAGTTCAACGTACCACATTCATAATTCTTCATCTTTCACAAGATTTCCAATTTCACTTTCCAGTTGAATGAGAAACCATTGGACATTGATGTGGGAGTGAGAGATGGACCCTCTTACACCAGTGCTGTCCAATATGGCAGCCACTGGCCACTATGTGGTCTGTCCAAACCAAGATGTGCTGTAATACATAAAACACACTGGGCTTCAAAAGCACAGCACCAAAAAAAAAAAAAAAAAAAAAAAAATAGAATATACAATATCTCATCAGTATTTTAAAATTTTGATTACATGTTGAGATGATATTTTGGAATACCGGGTTACGTAAAATATTTATTATTAAAAGTAATTTTACCAGTTTTAAATTTTTATTTACTTTTTAGAGACAGGGTCTTGCTCTGTTGCTCAGGCTAGAGTGCAGTGGTGCATTCATACCTAATGTTTTAAATGTTTTTGTAGAGATGAGGTATTTCTATGTTGCCCAGGTTGGTCTCAAACTCCTGGCCTCAAGCGATCCTCCTGCTTCAGCTTCACAAAGTGCTGTGATTACAAGTGTGAGCCACTGTGCCTGGCCAAGTTCCTTTTTTAAAAATGTAGCTGCTATACATTGTTAAATTGCATAGGTGGCTCCAGTAATGTTTCTTGTGGATAGTGCCACTCTAAAGTTCATTGTGGGGAGATTTTGGGTGACAGCCAATTTATAAATGGATCGATTCACTCGGGAATATTTTCATCATATGGTGACTGTGGGATCTTGGAGACTGAATGCACATATTACGAGAATCCCCATGTGATAACTTGTGTTTCTCCTCTTTGCAGCCTTCAGCAGGAAGACCTCATTGCAATAAGTGAAATGCTGCTCTAGGTAGAAGCTCTCCCTGCTGTTTTTAAGAAGCCACATTCCTCATTGGTCAGTTTCTTGATTGTTCGTCTGTTGGAGAGGTGCTCCCTAGAAGAACCTGCCATACGTTTCAAAGCAATAAAATCACTGTATATCTTTCTAAGGACCTTCAAGTCATGACTCCAGGGAAGCCTATTGGGAAGTCTACTAAAAACTGCCTGATTTACAAGAAAGACCTGAACTTGTGGGCTCCCATTTGATTTTTTTCTCCTCAGGGGACTCAGACATTAGAAAGAAAAAGCCTCACAGATTTGAAGAACTGGACCCCCAAATCAACTCACCTGCCTGGAAGCAACTGGGAAACCCTTCCAATAAGTCCTGATAATAAAGCACTTCAGGGTCCCATGTCTTGATTTTTGGCTTGATAGAAATACTTTGTCCTTTATTTAGTGTGATGGGGAGGGCTTGGACTCTGAAATCAGTTCTGGGTTCAAATTGTGACCAGCTGTGATTTCAACTGTCTGAGGCTCGGAGATTTTAAACCTGGAAAGTAGATCCCCATCTCGGAGGGTGGCCATGGAAGTTCATGGAGATGATGTACAGGGAATGCAGTATCTAACTCCAGAAAGTCCTCGGTTTGAGTTAATGGTTATCATCAACACAGTCACTCTTGGTTAACTCAAGAGTCAAGGTATGACTCTTGACTAATTCCGTCATTAGGGAGGAGTTTTCTGTTGTAGTAAGTTAAGTAAACTTAAAGAAGATAGTTTATTCCTCTCCCATCCAACAGTCATATTATAAGCAGACCAGAGCTGATAAAGCATATTCATAGTGTGTCTCCGAAATATTAGTAGGGAGAGTGGGAGAGGGAACATCTCCCAGCCTGGACAGAAACAGCATATCAGGAGCAACAAAACTCCCAGTGTCTCTTAAGCTTCTAGATACTCAGAGGCAGGCCAGAGACCCTTTTGAGTTCCATTTTTTAAATACACCAGAAATTTAAAATGACATTCTCCTTGCAAAAAAAAAAAATTAATGCAATGCCGATAAGGCTAATGTCATATTTGATTGCTGTACTAGGCCATTATTGCACTGTTATAAAGAAATACCTGAGATGGGGTCATTTATAAAGAAAAGAGGTTTAATTAATTAGCTCATGGTTCTACAGGCTTTATAGAAAGTATGGTGCTGGTGCCTGTTCAGCTTCTGGTGAAGCCTCAGGGAGCTCACAATCATAGCGGAGGGCAAAAGGGGAGCAGGCATGTCGCATGGCGAAAGCAGTTGCAAGCCAGAGGGAGTGCCACACATTTTTAAATGACCAGATCTTTTGAGAACACACTATCGTGAAGACAGCCCCAAGCCATGAGGGATCCGCCCCCCTGCCATGACCCAAACACCTCCACCAGGCCCCACCTCCAGCACAGGGGATTACAGTGCAACATGAGATTTGGGCAGGGACAAATATCCAAACCACATCAATGGCCCTCCTCAACTATTTGGCGGGCTTTTACTTTTTAATGAGTTAGTACAGTTGGTCCTCACTATCTGCCAATTCCATATTTGCAAATTTGCCTCATCGCTAGAATTTGCTTGTAAACCCCAAATCAATAGTTATGGCACTTTAGAGGTCATTCCAGGACATACACAGGAGTGAAAAATTTGAGTGGCCAACTGTACATTCCCAGCTGAGGTTGAACAAGGCAACACTCTGGCTTCCTGTTTCAGCTCTCACACTGTAAACAGTGCCCTTTCTGAGGTATATCTCATGCCACATTTTCTGCATTTTCATGTTTCTGTTAGTAAACCTTTTTGAGTTTTTTAAAAATAGAGACAGGGCCTCACTCTGTCACCCAGGCTGGAGTGCACTGGTGTGATCTCAGCTCACTGTAACTTCAAATTCCTGGGCTCAAGGGATCCTCTCCTGTCTTGGCCTCCCAAAGCACTGGGGTTACAGGTATGAGCCACTGAACTCAGCCAAACCCTTCTAATTTTATCCATGACTACACTGTACAATTTTTGGTCAATATAATTCTATTTTATAGTTTTTGTTTCTACTGTCCATGTGATCTCCCCACTTGTAGGTTTTCTAGGTAGTTAATGTTGGTATATGGAAGTGCTGTTGATTTTTGTATGTTAATATTATATCTAGACACCTCACTGCTAACCTATTTCTCAAAATGTGTAAGCTTTTTACAGAGATGTGCATATCTTTTGCAAATATTTTTTTACTTCCTTTTCAATATTGATTCCTCATCAAGGAAATACAAATGGTTGATCATGTCAAGTGAGGGAAGCTCGAATACAGGAGAGGAATGTATGTATTTTCTATAATGATTCTCACCCTGGTCTCACTGTTCTCTTAATGTTCTCTCAATGTTTTTTGAGAAACGACAAGAATCTACTAATGTCAGGAAGGCTTTTAAAATTTAACTGTGGTAAAATATATGTAACATAAAATGTGTCATTTTAACCCTTTTTTAGTACACAGTTCGGTGGCATTAAGCACATTCACATTGTTGTACAACCATCAACACGACGCATTTCTAGAAGTTTCATCTCTTCAAACTGAAACTTTATATCCATCAAACAATTCCCCATTTCCCCTTCCCCTGAAAGCTATCATTCTATTTTCTGTCTCTTGAATTTTACTACTTTAAGCACCTTAAAAGTGAAATTGTCGGCCGGGCATGGTGGCTCATGCCTGTAATCCCAGCACTCTGAGAAGCCGAGGCGGGTGGATCATGAGGTCAGGAGTTCGAGACCAGCCCAGCCAATACGGCGAAACCCCGTCTCTACAAAAAATACAAAAATTAGCTGGGCGTGGTGGTGCATGCCTGTAGTCCCAGCTGCTCAGGAGGCTGAGGCAGAACAATCACTTGAACCTGGGAGGTGGAGGTTGCAGTGAGCTGAGATCATGCCACTGCACTCCAGCCTCGGGAACAGAGCAAGACTCCATCTCAAAAAAAAAAAAAAAAAGTGATAATGTAAGAATATTTGCCATTTTCTGACTGGCTTATTTAACTGAGGATAATGTCTTCAAGGGTCATCCTTTTTTAAAGTTTTTTCAATTTTTTTAACAATTTTTTAAAAATAGAGACAGGGTCTCCCTATGTTGCCCAGGCTGGTCTTGAACTCCTGGCCTCAACTGATCCTCCCATCTCAGCCCCTCAAAGTGTTGGGATCACAGGTGTGAGCCACCACACCTGGCCTCATCCATGTTTAGCATGTGTTAAAATTTCTTTTTTCAGGCTGAATATTTCATCATGTATGTACACATGTGTGTGTGTGTATGTACACATATATACGTGGATAAATTTATCCATTCATCCATCAATAGACACTTGGGTTGCTTCCACCTTTTGGCTCTTGTGAATCATGCTTCTATGTATATGGGTCCATGGCATGGTTCAGGGTCCATGGCAAAAACGCACTCAACGCCCAGAAAAGAAACCATGGGTGTATAAATATCTCTTCACGCCCCTGCTTTCAATTATGCTTGGTGGGCAAATGAATTCATAAACCCCCAGGCACAGTGACTCAAAGTCCTTCTCTAACTCAACCTTCTGGGAGCCCAGGGCTCTGCTTCCTTGACCTCGATGATGCCCACACCTTATTTACCTCCTCCATCTCACCACTCTTCTTCCAGCTCCCTTGGGAACTCTCTCACTCAACCTCAACAATGTAGAACAGTGACTCTGGAATCCCTCCTGCTGCCAGACTTGCCCCTGGCTCCTCCCTGGGGACTGTCACCTTGCAGACCACTGGCTTGTCAGGGCAGTGAAGGGCCTTCTTGGGTAGACCCTCCCTGCCCGCTAAAACTGGCCTCTACAAAGAGGCAATGGGCCATGTCCCCATCATGGCTCTGGGCCACGGGATACACAGTGATGGCACCAGGCTGGCCATGGACAGGAACATTCTGGATGTCTGGTCTAGGGACCACTGTCCCCCTGTGGCTAGAACGGGGGGAGTGATCAAGCTGATAAAAAGGTAGAGTCCAGAGGCCGGGCATGGTGGCTCATGCCTTTAATCCCAGCACTTTAGGAGGCTGAGGTGGGTGGATCACGAGGTCAGGAGGTTGAGACCATCCTGGCTAACACGGTGAAACCCTGTCTCTACTAAAAATACAAAAAATTAGCCGGGCATGGTGGCGGGCGCTTGTAGTCCCAGCTACTTGGGAGGCTGAGGCAGGAGAATGGTGTGAACCCGGGAGGCGGAGCTTGCAGTGAGCCAAGATTGCGCCACTGCACTCCAGCCTGGGCGACAGAGCTAGACTCTGTCTCAAAAAAAAAAAAGGTAGAGTCCAGAGGCCGGGCATGGTGGCTCATGCCTGTAATCCCAGCACTTTGGGAGGCTGAGGCGGGTGGATCACGAGGTCAGGAGGTTGACACCATCCTGGCTAACACAGTGAAACCCCATCTCTACTAAAAATACAAAAAATTAGCCGGGCATGGTGGCGGGCGCCTGTAGTCCCAGCTACTCGGGAGGCTGAGGCAGGAGAATGGAGTGAACCCGGGAGGCGGAGCTTGCAGTGAGCCGAGATCACGCCACTGTACTCCAGCCTAGGCGACAGAGCGAGACTCTGTCTCAAAAAAAAAAAAAAAAAAAAAAAAAAAAAGAAGGTAGAGCCCAGAGTGGGCACTGCCTTCCCAATGACAGGGGCATGAAAATATGTTGTGGATGGGAGGGAGGGACTGGGAGCCCACATACCTCAGCTCCTCCTGGGGATGAACTAGGCTGCACACCAGGTGGGGAATGTGTGTGGTAGGTTCATTTCCTTCTATGCTCCTCCTTCTCTTCACTCCAGCCCCCAACCCCCCCCTTTTTTTTTTTTTTTTTTTTTTTTTTTTTTTGGAGACAGAGTCTCCCTCTGTTCCCCAGGCTGGAGTACAGAGGTGCGATCTCTGTTCACTGCAACCTCCACCTCCCAGGCTGAAATGATTCTCCTGCCTCAGCCTCCCGAGTAGCTGGGATTACAGGTGCCCGACACGATGCCTGGCTAATTTTTGTATTTTTAGTAGAGATGGGGTTTCACCACGTTGGCCAGGCCTCAAGTGATCCGCCCACCTTGGCCTCCCAAAGTGCTGAGATTACAGGCATGAGCCACCGCACCCAGCCTGTTATCTCTCTTTTTTTTTTTTTTTTTTTGAGATGGAGTCTCACTATGTCACCCAGGCTGGAGTACAGTGCCGCGATCTCGGCTCACTGCAACCTCCGCCTCCTGGGTTCAAGCAATTCTCCTGCTTCAGCCTCCAGAGTAGCTGGGACTCCAAGTGCGCGCCACCACGCCCGGCTAATTTTTGCATTTTTTAGTAGAGACGGTTTCACCATATTGGACAAGCTGGTCTCAAACTCCTGACCTCGTGATCCGCCCACCTCGGCCTCCCAAAGTGCTGGGATTACAGGCATGACCCCACGTCTGGCTGCCTGTTACCTCTTTTAAGATGCTTCTCCCTCCCTCCTTTGCCTGGTCAGTGTCTACCCATTGTTCAGAGAAGCCTTCCCTGGCCACCCCCATAACTCGGTGGGAATCCTGTGCCTCCCTGCTGGACCCTCCCACCCCTGCTGCCCACTGTAATTTCGTTTGAAGATCTGTCTGCCCAAGCCCAGCAAACTAGATGCCCCCAGACAGTGACAAGGAAAACAAAGATACTTTGAAGACCATGTCCTCGGACAGATTCAGAGTCCACGACAGAAAGGCACTCAACACCCAGGAAAGAAAAACAGAGTTTGGGGCTCCTTGGCTCCTGGGTGAGGGTAGTGGTGTTCCCAGAGAAGCCAGTTTGAGAGTGGGGATCTAGCGCTTCAGGGCTGGCCAAGGCCGTTCAGCCAGTGTTGGGATCCTTTAGGGTTCAATCTATCTCTTCAGAAGTTGCCTGATGGGATGCGGGCATGGAGAGCACCACCATAGGGTGCCCGGCTGGGTGTATGGGGGTTTGGGGGTGCAGGTGGTTAGCAGTTGTCAGAAGTGTCTGGTCCCGCCGGGCGTGGTGGCTCATGCCTGTAATCCCAGCACTTTGGGAGGCCGAGGTGGGTGGATCACCTGAGGTCAGGAGTTCGAGACCAGCCTGACCAACATGTTGAAACCCCGTCTCTACTAAAAATACAAAATTAGCTGGGTGTGGGGGCGCATGCCTGTAATCCCAGGTACTTGGGAGGCTGAGGCAGAAGAATCGCTTAAACCCAGGAGGCAGAGTTCGCAGTGAGCTGAGATCATGCCATTGCACTCCAGCCTGAGAAACAAGAGTGAAACTCCATCTCAAAAAAGAAAAAAAAAAAAAAAAAGAAGTGTCTGGTCCCTGGGGAGGAGACGGCGCCCGGCAGGGACAGTGGGCCTACAGCTGACCTGTCTGCTTGCTGGTGGGTTTCCTGCTGAACTCCTCTCTGGGTCAGTGCGTCTCACTGTCCACCTGTCCCTGCATCCCCTTCTGTGCCTCGCTGGTCATCTTTCTCCCTTGGCAATCCACTTCATACACCACGCCTCCTCCGTCTGCCATCTCTCAGTGCCACGCTCCTGCCTGTGCTCCCATCTCTCCCTGGTTTTGCCCCTGACACGCCACCTGCTCGCCTCTCTCTAGGTCCATCTGGGGGTCTCCGGCCGCCGCTGACCCGCCTGTCCGCAGGCTGAGCTACTCGGACCACGGAGCGCGACGGGGAGGCGCGACTGCGGCTCAGCAAGGACTAAGTTAGCAACAAGACACTCCTCACTGTGCACGACATGGTCGCGAGCACGGCCATCAAGTACGCCAACAACATCGCGCCCGGCTCCAACAGCTGCCACCTGCTCACCTACATCGAGTACCACCAGCAGTGTCTCGGCGTCGAGAAGTCTTTCTTCAAAGTACCGCCAGGCGGTCCGCGCCTGCGCGCCCCTCCCGCCCCTCCTGCGCCTGCGCGCCTCTTCTGCACCCACCCTCTTGCGCCTGCGCGCCACTTATTTCACCTCCTGCGCCAGCGCAGCGCTCCAGGGCCTTTCTTCCCCCGCCCCTCCCCGCGTCCTGCGCCTGCGCGCCTTTCTTCCCCCGGTAAGCCTGCGCGCCGCTCCGGCCCACTTGCTTCTGCGCCTGCGCGCCGCTGCAGGGCCTTCCTCCCCCATCTCCCCCCGCCTCCTACGCCTGCGCGCCACTACATCCCTTCTGCGCCTGCGCAGTGTTACTCTCCTGTGACTGCCACTTGTCTGACTCGCATGTTTGTTTTAACGGATTCCCTGAGGCTGCCTGAGAGCCAGAAATGAAAAGCTGCAGACTTAGGGGCCCTGGTTCAGATCCCAGAGCAGCCATTAGCTACGTTTTCTTGCACGAAAACTTTGTGCCTTTGTGCCTCTGTTTCCCTATATGAAAACTTTACATATAAATATATATATATATATAAAGGCCAGGCGCGGTGGCTCACGCCTTAATCCTAGCACTTTGGGTGTCCGAGGCAGGCAGATCACTTGAGGTCAGGAGTTCGAGACCAGCCTGGCCAACATGGTGAAACCCTGTCTTTACGAAAAATACAAAAATTAGCCAGGCATGGTGGTGCATGCCTGTAATCCCAGCTACTTGGGAGGCTGGAGGCAGGAGAATCACTCCAACCCGGGAGGCAGAGGCAGTGAGCCCAGATGGTGCCACTGCACTCCAGCCTGGGCAACAGCAGAGCAAGACTGTCTCAAAAAAAAAAAAAAAAAGAAAAGTCATTCCAATACCCATAGTAAACTGGATCCTCCGGTAAAAATAAAGTTAAAAAAATAAAAAAGTAAACATATAAAAATATGTATTATTATATATACATTTAAAGTATAGTTTTTATAAATGTACAGTATATAAAACGTCTGTTTATGGATAAATTTTATGCGTGCTACACTTTTATTTATTTATTTATTTATTTTTGAGACGGAGTCTTGCTCTGTTGCCCAGGCTGGAGTGCAGTGGCGCGATCTCAGCTCACTGCAAGCTCTGCCTCCCGGGTTCACGCCATTCTCCTGCCTCAGCCTCCTGAGTAGCTGGGACTACAGGCGCCCACCACCACGCCCGGCTAATTTTTTGTATTTTTGGTAGAGACAGGGTTCACCGTGTCAGCCAGGATGGTCTCGATCTCCTGACCTTGTGATCCGCCCTCCTTGGCCTCCCAAAGTGCTGGGATTACAGGTGTGAGCCACCGTGCCCGGCCCTTTTATGTTAAATTTAATATAAAATATTTTCTTTTATATCAGCATTTTTATGTAAATATATAAAATATAACAGCAGCTAGCTCACAGCTTTGCTGCATGGATTCAGTGAGTTTACACACATCGAATAGCTCTGGCACACACAAAGCATTGCACCAGCATTCACTATTTATTATTTTTATGGTTTTGTTTGTTTGAGACGGAGTCTTGCTCTGTCACTCAGGCTGGAGTGCAGTGGCCCAATCTTGGCTCACTGCAAGCTCCGCCTCCCGGGTTCACGCCATTCTCCTGCCTCAGCCTCCCCAGTAGCTGGGACTACAGGCGCCCGCCACCACACCTGGCTAATTTTTTGTATTTTTAGTAGAGACGGGGTTTCACCGTGTTAGCCAAGATGGTCTCCATCTCCTGACCTCGTGATCCACCGGCCTCGGCCTCCCAAAGTGCTGGGATTACAGGCATAAGCCACCGCGCCTGGCCTCTTTTTTGTTTTTGTTTTTGTTTTTGAGACAGTCTCTCACTGTCGCCAGGGCTGGAGTGCAGTGGTGCGATCTTGGCTCACTGCAACCTCCGCCTCCCGGGTTCAAGCAATTCTCCTGCCTCAGTCTCCTGAGTAGCTGGGGTTACAGGTGCCTGCCACCACATCCAGCTAATTTTTTGTATTTTTAGTAAAGACGGGGGTTTCACCATGTTGGCCAGGCTGGTCTCAAACTCCTGACCTCGTGATTCACCCACCTCGGCCTCCCAAAGTGCTGAGATTACAGGCATGAGCCACTGTGCCTGGCCATTATTATGGTTTTTACTGTGTCTCTTCTCCAGTGGCATTTCCTCAGCGAGGTCTTTCCTTGCTACCCTGGTTCCCCGAACCTGCCCTCTTCCCCCTCTCTGTGACAGCCCCTTTAAAAGTTGTCTGCCCAGGGCCAGGCACGGTGGCTCACGCCTGTAATCCCAGCACTTTGGGAGGTTGAGATGGGTGGATCACTTGAGGTCAGGAGTTTGAGACCAACCTGGGCAACATGGTGAAACCCTGTCTCTATTAAACATACAAAAAAAATTAGCCAGGCATGGTGGCACACCTGTAATCCCAGCTACTGGGAGGTGGAGGTTGTAGTGAGCCGAGATCATGCCACTGCACTCCAGCCTGGGCGACAGAGCAAGACTCTGTCACAAAAAAATATTCTTCCCAGTTTTCATCATCATGGCTACAAGTTACCAAGGTCATTTGTTTATTTGGTCATTTCCTTGAGGGCGAGAGGCCAGATTGCCTTGTTGTTGTACCAGCGCCAACCCTCTGATGTTTGTTGAATTAATGAACACCCATTTTTCAGATCAGGAAAGGGGATAAGAGACCTCCTGTGACTTGTTCTGTCAATGTAATAAACAAGTAAATTATGCAATAGGTAAGACAGTGTTCAGTGATTCAGAGGAATCCAAAGCACGTAAAGGAGTAAACTGTTGAGGTGGGGGCAGAATTTAAAAGTATGGCGGCTAGCCAGGTGCAGTGCCTCACACCTGTAATCCCAGCACTTTGGGAGGCAGAGGAGGGCAGATCACTTGAGGTCAGGAGTTCGAGACCAGCCTCACCAATATGGTGAAACCCCGTCTCTACTAAAAATACAAAAATTAGCTGGGTATGGTAGTGCATGCCTGTAATCCCAGCTACTTGGGAGGCTGAGGCAGAAGAATCACTTGAACCCGGGAGCCAGAGGTTGCAGTGAGCCGAGATCACGCCACTGCACTCCAGCCTGGGCAACAGAGTGAGACTCTGTCTCAAAAAAAAAAGAAAGAAAGAAAGAAAAAGGTGGCTAAGGAGAGCCTCACTGAGAGAAAGTGATATTTCAACAAAGACTTCAATGAAGAGAAAAGATCTATGGGATGGTGTTCCAGGTCAAGGGGAGTTTGTGCAAAGGCCCTGAGGCAGGACAGTGCCTGCTGTGTTGAAGGAGCAGTGAGGAGGAGGCCCCTGTGGCTGGAGCAGAGTGAGGGAGGGAGGGGGTGGGGAAGGTTGAGAAGTGCCTGGTGGGCCTTGTGGGGGACTTGGCTTTTACCCGAGGGGAGGGGGAGTGGGAGCCATGGAGGCAGAGGAGGGATATGCCCTGACTCAGGTGCTCACGGCGCTCTCTGGCTACTGTGGGGAGGACAGACTGAGGGGAAAGAGACCAGCTGAGATTGAGATGATGATAGTTTGGACCAAGATGTAGCAGGAGAGAGGGTGAGAAGCGTTCGGATTCTGAAAGCAGAGCCCACAGAATTTGTTGGTGTCTCAGCAAAACCCGCTGAGAATGACCAAAGTTTTCTGGTCAGTGCCACTTGAAGGATGGAGCTGCTGTTGTCTGAGATTATGGTAGGTTGGAGTGGAGGGAGGAGATTTAGGGATGAGGGCTGTGGGTAACATCCCTCCCCTAGCTGGGCTGTTTGGGTTTGAGATGCGTGTTAGACGAGGAAATGAGGGGTGGGCAGTTGTATCCAAGAGTCTGGAGTGGTGGGGAGGGGCTCCACCTGGATCCGATGGACTCACCTGAGTGAATGGAACCAAGAGAGTTACACCATCTTAAATTGTCAAGTCGATCCATATGTCGGCACAGATAATCACAGTGCATAGGCAAAGCTTGAGCTACCAGGGCGTTCGCCCCAACATTTTATCTAATAAAAGTGAAACCAGGCTGGGCATGGTGGCTTATACCAGCCTGGACAACATAGTGAGACCGCCATCTCTAAAAAATATGAAAATTAGCCGGGCGTGGTGGTGCATGTGTAGTCCCAACTACTCAGAAGCCTGAGGCAGGAGGATTGCTTAAGCCAAGGAGGTCGAGGCTGCCATGAGCCATGAACGCACCATTGCACTCCAGCCTTGGGTGACAGAGCAAGACCTTGTCTCTCTTTTTTTTTTTTGAGATGGAGTCACGCTCTGTCACCCAGGCTGGAGTGCAGTGGTGCGCGGTCTCGGCTCACTGCAAGCTCCGCCTCCCGGGTTCACGCCATTCTCCTGCTTCAGCCTCCCGAGTAGCTGGGACTACAGACACCTGCCACCACGCCCGGCTAATTTTTTGTATTTTTCATAGAGATGGGGTTTCACCGTGTTAGCCAGGATGGTCTTGATCTCCTGACCTCATGATGCGCCCGCCTTGGCTTCCCAAAGTGCTGGGATTACAGGCGTGAGCCACTGTGTCCAGCCAAAACCCTGTCTCATTAAAAAAAAAAAAAAAAAGTGAAAACAACAACAAAAAAACCCAGCAGCCAGAGCCTACATAAGTATCAGCCAATACGGGGGATGATTAAATCATGTCATCTCTATACTAGATGATATTATGTTAGATTTGATATTGCAGAGAAATATTTAAAGACTGGGGAAAACAGTCAAGATGAATGGTTTTGTGAACAAAGGCAGGTCTTGATAACGTACATGTAGTATTGCCCTGGCTCTGTAAAGTATGCATGCTTAAAAATGTCAGGAAGGTATTTTGTTTGTATTTTTTTTTTTTTTTCCGGGATTTCTCAATCTCAGGGCCGTTGTCCTTAGGGGCCGAATCATTCTTTGTGGTGGAGAATGTCCTGTGAGTATCTAGTTTCCATCAATGCCAGTGGCGTTTCATTCCCCGAGCTATGACAACCCCAAATGTCTCCAAGTATTTCCAAATGTCCCCTGAGGAACAGAGTCACCCCCTGGCTGAGAGCCCCAGTTCTAGATGAAAGTGTGGTTGCTTGTCATGAGGGGGATGGGTTATTTTATCAGAGAAAACAACAGAAGAAACAGGACAAGAGAGGTGTCTGTAATCCCAGTGCTTTGGGAGGCCAAGGCGAGTGGATCGCTTGAACCCAGGAGTACAAGACCAGCCTGGGTGACATAGTGAGATCCCATCTCTACAAAAAAATTAAAAATTAAAAAATTAGCCAGGGGTGGTGGTGTACACCTGTAGTCCCAGCTACTTGGGGGACTGAGGCGGGAGGATTGCTGGGGCTGGGGGAGGTTGAGACTGCAGTGAGCCATGATTGCGCTATTGCATTCCAGCCTGGGCAACAGAGCAAGACCTTGTTTCAGAAAAAAAAAAAAAAAAAAAAAAAGAAGAAGAAGAAAGAAAAAGAAGAAACAGGCGACAGAGAAAAGGGAGCCAAAGGTTCTCAGCCTGAGGCTCCCGGGCAGGTGGGGCGGGGATGGCTGAGCCTCCTAGTGCCTCACGAGGACCTCCCTCCCCTAGCTGGGCCTGGAGCGCTTCCACAGCGTGGGAATCATGGGTCTCAACTCAGAAGAGTGGGTCATCGCCAGCATTGGTGCCATCATGGCAGGGTAAAGGGCACGCGGCCTCTCCCCGGAGTGTTTTGCGGGCAGGAAGCCACCAGCCCACCTTCTATGGGATCCCAAGGAAGAGTCCTCAGGACAGGGAGCTGACAAGAGCTCCCACTTAAGTCTACGCTTAGTGGGATTTTTCAATGGCCCAGTCCTGAGCATGCTCAGCTCACCTTTCCAGACAGTCTCTATCTAGTGAACTCATATACATCCTGTGAATCCCCGCATTCATGTCCCCTCTTCCAGAAAGCCCTCCCCACTTCTTGAGGCTCTCCAGCACTGAGCCCTCTCTCCACCCATCCAGAACATTGGGGAACCCCTTGAGAGCAAGATCCAAGCCTGAACTGTCCCTGAATTCCACCTCCCAACAGGGTATGTTGTGAGTGTCAGGTACTGGGGATTCCCAGGAACCTTGCACTCACCCAGCAGGGAGTAGCTGGGATTACAGGCATGCGCCACCAGATCCGGCTAATTTTTTTTGCATTTTTAGTAGAGACAGGGTATCATCATGTTGTCCAGGCTGGTCTCGAACTCCTGGCCTCAAGTGATCCGCCCGCTTCAGCCTCCCAAAGTGCTAGGATTACAGGCATGAGCCACCACGCCTGGCTGATATCAATTTTAAATAATAATATGCTAAGAGCTCTAATGGAAAAAGCAGACAGAACTTACAACAGGTGGGTTCTTGTAAGCAGAGATGGAAACTCTAAGAAATCAAAAGGAAATGTTGGTCATCAAAAACACTGACATAAAAAAAGCATGCTTCCAATGGGCTCGGCAGTGGACTGAATACAGCCAAGGAAATCTTGAGTGAGCCTGAAGCTAGGTCAATAGAAACATCCCATGCTGAAAATCTTAAAGAAAAAAAGAGGCCAGGCACGGTGGCTCATGCCTATAGTCCCAGCACTTTAGGAGGCTGAGTGGGGAGGACTGCCTGAGCCCAGGCACTCAAGGCCAGCCTGAGAAACTTAGCAAGACCTTGCCTCTATTTAAAAAAAAAAAATTAATTAAGAAGAAAAAAGAAAAGACAAAAACACAATGAAATGAAATGAACAAATGGAAAAGAACCGCGGGACAATACAGAAAGTGTAACATACACATAATGAGAGTTGGTTACAGATCTGAGGCCGAGGCCGGTGGATCACCTGAGGTCAGGAGTTTGAGACCAGCCTGGCCAACATGGTGAAACCCTGTCTCTACTGAAAATACAAAAATAGCCAGGCATGGTGGCAGACACCTGTAATCCCAGCTACTTGGGAGGCTGAGGCAAGAGAGTCACCTGAACCTGGGAGGCGGAGGATGCAGTGAGCCGAGACCGCACGACTGCACTCCAGCCTGGGCAACAAGAGCGAAACTCCATGTGAAAAAAAAGAGAAAGAAAGAAAAAAGAAAAAATCACTGAGAATTCTCCAGGAACTCACAAGTATCAACAAGGAGACGTTTAAAAAAAATTAAGGCCAGGTGCAGTGGCTCACTCCTGTAATCCCAGCACTTTGGGAGGCCAAGGTGGGAGGATCGCTTGAGCCCAGAAGTTCAACACCAGCCTGGGCAACATATCGAGACCTCATCTTTACAAAAATTAAAAAACAAACAAACAAAATTAGCTGAGCCTGATGGCATGTGCTTGTGGCCCCAGCTACTCTGGAAGCCATCGTGGGAGGATTGCTTGAGCCTGGGAGGGTGAGGCTGCAGTGAGCCGTGATAGCGCCACCCCATGCCAGCCTGGGTGACAGAATGAGACCCCGCCTCAAAAAACAAAACAAATGGGCAGGGTGCGGTGGCTCACGCCTGTAATCCCAGCACTTTGGGAGGCCAAAGCGGGCAGATCACCTGAGGTCAGGAGTTCAGAACCAGCCTGGCCAACATGGTGAAAGCCCCTCTCTAAAAAAATACAAAAATTAGTCGGGCATGATGGCGGGTGCCTGTAATCCCAGATATTTGGGAGGCTGAAGTGGCAGAATCACTTGAATCCAGAAGGCAGAGGTTGTAGTGAGCCAAGATTGTGCCATTACACTCCAGCCTGGGTGACAGAGCGAGACTCCGTCTAAAACAAAAACAAATTAAAATTAAAACGTCAGAACAACAGATAAAAATATTCTGAAACATAAGCGGATTCATTTATATGAAGAAAAAAGCATGCAAGAATATCTGGGAAAATTCTGAAGCAGAATTATAAAGGGAAACTACCACTACCAGACTTTTTTTTTTTTTCAGACGGAGTTTCACTCTTGTTGCCCAGGCTGGAGTGCAATGGCTTGATCTCGGCTCAACGCAACCTCCACCTCCCGGGTTCAAGCGATTCTCCTACCTCAGCCTCCCGAGTAGCTGGGATTACAGGTATGCGCCACCACACCCGGCTAATTTTGTATTTTTAGTAGAGACAGGGTTTCTCCATATTGGTCAGGCTGGTCTCGAACTCCCGACCTCAGGTGATCTGCCCGCCTCGGCCTCCCAAAGTGCTGGGAGTACAGGCGTGAGCCACTGCGTCCGGGCACACTACCAGATATTAATTAGGTCACACAGTGGCAGAAATGTAAAGGTGAGTACTGTGCATATGAGGGAAGCCAGAGAGAGACACAAACGTATGCAGGAATTGAAAAATGCAACCAAAGACGGCATCTCAAATAAGTGAAGACAGGTTATTCAATAAATGGGGTGGATCGCCTTGCATAGCTATTGGGGAAATAGAGCTGGGGCCCTACCTCATGGCTGAATAAATTCCAGATGGAACAAATTGAAATGTGAGAAAGAAAGAGGGAAGGGAGGCAGGAAAAGGGGGAAGAAGAATTGAATTCCTAGGAGAAATCATGGGAGAACTTAAAATAAAAACATCCTAAATAATAAACAATAACAGCCCAAAAACCATTTCAAGGAAAACTTGATCACTTGATAATGGATCACTTGAGGATAGGAGTTCCAGACCAGCCTGGGTGAGAGTGATAGTCCATCTCAAAAAAAAAAAAAGAAAGAAAAAGAGCCAAGCGCAGTGGCTTACGCCTGTAATCCCAACACTTTGGGAGGCCGAGGTGGGTGGATCATGAGGTCAGGAGTTCAAGACCAGCCTGGCCAAGATGGCGAAACCCCGTCTCTACCCAAAATACAAAAATTACCAGGGTGTGGTGGTGAGCTCGTGTAATCCCAGCTACTCAGGAGGCTGAGGCAGGAGAATGGATTGAACCCGGGAGGCGGAGGTTGTGGTCAGCTGAGCTCGCACCACTACACTCCAGCCTGGGTGACAGAGCGAGACTCCATCTCAAAAAAGTTAAAATTAAAAATTAGAAAAAATCCTGGGCAACTCGGCTTGCTGAGGCAGTTTCTTTATCTGTAGACAGGGATGAAGCAGTGCCCACCTCACGGAGTGCTTGTGAAGAGTCCATGAGACAACTCTTAGGGAAAGCCTGACTACATTTTTTTTTTTTTTGAGTTGGAGTTTCGCTCTTGTTGCCCAGGCTGGAGTGCAATGGTGTGATCTTGGCTCACCGCAACCTCTGCCTCCTGGGTTCAAGCAATTCTCCTGCCTCAGCCTCCCGAGTAGCTGGGATTATAGGTGCCTGCCAGCACGCCCAGCTAATTTTTCCTATTTTTAGTAGAGACAGCCTTCACCATGTTGGTTAGGCTGGTCTCAAACTCCTGACTTCAGGTGATCCACCCGCCTTGGCCTCCCAAAGTGCTGGGATTAGAGGCGTGAGCCACCTCGCCCAGATTTTTTTTCTTTTTTTTTAGTACAGGGTCTCTCCTGTCGCCCAGGCTGGAGTGCAGTGCAGTGGTGCAATCTCGGCTCACTGCAACCTCTGCCTCCTGGGTTCAAGAGATTCTTGTGACTCAGCCTCCCAAGTAGCTGGGTCTACAGGTGTGCACTGTACTTTAGGCTAATTTTTGTGTTTTTACTAGAGACAGGGTTTCGCCATGTTGCCCAGGCTGGTCTTGAACTCCTGGCCTCAAATGATCCACCCGCCTCGGCCTCCTAAAGTGCTGGGATTATAGGTGTGAGCCACCATGCCTGGCCAGAAAGCCCTACCACGTTTTTACACATCCATAGTCCTTCCACTGCACCTTGGAGGGTCTGGGAACCCTGAAGGAACCACTGTAGACCTTCTTTCACTCCATATTCTTACTTTAGGAGCTCAGACCCAAAACCATACCCCGAAGGCCTAAAAGAACCTTTCTCTGGTAAGGCACGGGGCAGGGAAAGCCACACTCTGATGCTGGGAATGGATCTTTTGGTTCCAGAGTAGAAGGGAGAAGACATGCTCCAGAGTCCCCAGCGCTAAGCTGAGCCCAGCTGAGTCCCCAGCTGCTGCCTGCTGACAAAAGTGATCTCAATCAGTGGCTGCCACGGTGATCCTGTAATGTGGGCTGCTCAGGAATGGAACTCCTGCTCCTCTGGGTGGAGCTGGAGCTGGAGCACAGAGGGGACAGATCTGCTCAAATGGGGCCAGTGACAGCTTTGTCTCCTGGAGGTTCACTGAGCTCTGCCACACTGAGGCCAGAGAAAAACCCACCAGAGGGAAACTGGGAGATGGCACGCTGGCTCCTGGGAAAAAATGTCTTTGCCTACATTTTTATTTCCGTCCATCCAACCATCCATCCATCCATCCATCCATCCATCCATCCATCCATCCATCCACGCATCCATCCTTCCTTCCTTCCATCCACCCATTAACCCATCCATTGATCCACCCATCCATTCATTCTTCCATCCACTCACCCATCTATCCATCCTTCCTACCATCCATCCTTTCCATCCATCCACCCATCTGCCCTTCCTTCCCTCCTTCCGTCCTTCCCTCCCTCCTTTCCTCCTTTCCTTCCTTCCTTCCATCCACCCATCGATCCATCCATCCTTCCATCCTTTCTTCCACCCACCCACCCATCTATTCATCCATGGTCCACCCAACCAATCATCCACTCATCCATCAAACCACCCATCCACTCACCCACCCATCTGTTCATCCATCATCCATGCATCCACCTTATGAAACCAAGTTTTCTTCTCAACCCAAACCTTGCTGTCTGCTTCCAAGTAGAGAGCACAGCATCAGAAGCAGGATGTGAGCCGAATTCTCTGCCCTCTTGAATTGCTGGTAGCATCGTCTCCAGCCTTGCTCACACTCCCCACCCCCACCAGGCTTGGTCCCAACCCTCCTTCTCTGTTTTGGTCACTGATCTGGGGGCACTGGGACACGTAGTCGGGGCAGGGGGCCCCAGGCTACCTCGCAAGCCTGCCCACTGACTGGACAGGAGGAACCAGGCAGATGCATGCGTCTGCTTTCCCATCTGACTTTATTTCACTTTTTTTTTCTATAAAACTCCTCCATAATTTCACAATTTAACAAAAGTTTAAAATCCAGGAAAGAAACAATCCTGTAACTCGTTACAAACACGATTCTCCTTATTCCTTTTATCCAGGAGTTGGTCTCGGGCCGATGAGTGTCCTAGTTCCTAGTGAGACACGTTCTTTGTAAAAACCCTTATGGGCAAGAAAGGTATTCGATACCATTTGCTTTCCGGCGTCGGTTTACATTTTTGTTCAGGAGAGAGCAAAACACAGAGATTTGCACTGGGGGCAGGCGGCTTAACAGGAAACACGTGGCAATCACAAAGTGCCAGGCCCCTTTCCTATGGAAGTGTCCCCAGAGCCCTCGTGGGCCCAGCCGCCGGGCAGCTGGGGTGGGGTGGGAGAGCAGCTGGGGATGCTGCCTTGGGAGCCCATGCTGCCCAGCACGTCCATCAGGTGGTCACGGAGCCAGCCCTGGGCCCAGAGCAGCTCTGGAGGACAACGTGAGGCCTTCCGGCCAGAGGAGGTAACTGAGAACTGGGTTGGTGCTTCCGGAGGCCTTGGAAACGGCAGGAAGGGCCAGACGCCACCACCGAGAGCAGGCGGGGGAGCCCGACCCTCCTCTGGCTGAGTGGAAGGCTGCTCGAGTCGCTGTGTGGATTTTGGGGGACTCCTGCGAAGGAGAAAGGCCAGCACCCTGGGCTGAGGTTCCTGTCCGTGACCCCGGCGGCCTCTTGTGCGTAGAGCTCCCAGCAGCACGGGCCCCCGGTCAGCCCCCCTCAGGCCAGTTCCTTCAGTCCAATGTCTTAGTTTCCAGAGAAGAAAGGAAGCGCCCCATGGTGGAGTATTGTTGGCCGCCCTGGGAAGGGGAGAGGGGGCACAGGGGCCTGCCCTCTTCCTGATACCTGAAGGCAGTGGGGCCGGGAGAGAAACAGAGCAGGTGGCGAGGAGTCCCGGAGGCTTCCTCCGAAGGTTCTCGGGCCTTTCCCCGAGAGTTCTGGGGAGTTTCCCCAGGACAGCTGGCATTGGGGGCAGCCTTGGAGGCATGGGTCCCCACCAAGGAGTGTTCAGGATCTGCTGACAGAATCAGAGCAGGGACAAGATGAGGGACCTCAGGGAGGGACAGATGGAGCCCCCCAAGTCTGAACTCATAGGCTGGGGAGGAGGAGACATCTAGGTGGGTTCGAGGGGGTGCGAGCCCACCTCCAGGCCCTCAGCCCTCTTTTCCTCATAACTTGGTCAGGGCACAAGGACTTGAAAGGACTTGAAAGTCAGGGGGTTGAGAGGACTGGAGGCGCCTCGAGTCAATGTCTGGGAAACAGAGGCTAACCAGGCAGGCCTCCAGCCCCTGGGACCCCCAGCCACGATGGGCTGGCTCCGCGGGAGCGTCCTGGCCCTGGAAGAGTGGGCCGGGAAGGAGGACCGGCTTGGCCCCTGGAGAATCTCAGGCATACCAGGAGTGGGGCTGCGGGCGCGGCACCAGCATGAATTGCGGCGGTGGAGGCCGGGGCGGGCCAGGCCGCGACCAGAGAGAAAGGCAGCCTGGGAGGGCCAGCCCGGCCAACCCACCGGGCCTGCTGATGGCCGAGCCCACGCTCGAGGGGCTGACCAGAGTTCAATGCGCCTCAGAAAACTCCATAAACTATCCCGTCTTATTTGGCAAAAGCTCATATTTTTTTCAAAGTTTGAAGACTTGAATGAAAGAGAGGAAGAGGAGCCTATGGGAGGAGGCCGAGCCCCAGGGCGGCTGATGCGAGTCTGTCCGCGGAGACTGTTGGCGCTAGTCTGAGTAGAGCCCGAGAGCAGACTGGTGGCTCCCGGGCGCCCTGAGGACTCGCTGCCCTTTGTAGTGTTGGCTGACCCCCCCGGGAGCCCCGGTAGGAGGCGGCGGCATCCTTGGAACGGCAAAGGGAGAATTCCTCCATGCGCCTGGAGAGGGCCAGCTGCCGTGCCTGGCTCGGCCTCCAGCCCCACACCACCGCAGAGACATCTTAACCTACAAGCCCCACCGTACGCACCCCCCACCCACCCCACGTGCACTGCTGCCACAGAAACGCACATGGACACTGCTCTTGACCAGACAGTGCACACACATATATAATAGAGAGAACTATACAGCACAGACCCCAGCGCAGCGCGAGCCGGGGAGGAGCCGGCGCTAGGTCTACACGGAGGACGACGCAGACACACAGGCAGGGCCTTCTGAGGTCCAGGGTGGGCGGAGGGTGTGTTCTGAACCATTCGGGAGGCTGGAGATGCCCCCCAGCCGTCGATCCGCTGCTCAGAAAGGCTGGGGCAGCGACGCCGCACAGCCCGCCGAGCAGTGGGGGCTGGTCCCAAGGCTGGGCGAGGGGCCCCCGGCCCTGTCTCTGCCCAGAGCTGCCTTCAACACCAGCCGCTCTCTGAGGGGAGCCCAGAGAGCCCGGGGGGCGGCTCCCGTGTGGCCCAGCCCGGCCCCAGGGCTCCTGGCGATGGAGCGGGGAGAGTGGGCAGGGAGCCGCCGAGGAAAGTGCAGCGGGCTGTGCGGGCGAGGACAGGGCTGTCGCTAAGGCAGTGCTGCGGGCAGGCGAGACGGGAGAGGAGGGCAGGCGAGGCCTGGCTGCAGCCTCCCAGGACCCCGGCGGTGGGGGCCCGGCACGCGGCCCAGGGTCATGTGGCCACGGCCTCCAGGCAGCTCTGCAGTTTGCGCACGGTGGTCTCGTCCAGGGAGAAGAGGTCGAAGTCGAAGGTGGTGTTGGTGACATTGAAGTGGCCAGTCTCCTCGATCAGATTCACAATCTGTAAGGTGGTGGCAGGTGGCTTCAGGGGCAGGGGGCCAAGGGTGGGGTTGCCCTGTTCCCTAACAGAGGTAGGGGCTCCTGGGGCAGCACCAGGGGCCCCCGCAGCCCACACTCCTCACAGGCACCCCGACCTCTGCCGGGCAGGACCCTCAGGGGGGCGATACCTGCTGCAGCACGTTGCGCTCCCGCAGCGCCATCAGCCTCCGGTGTAGCTCCACCAGCTCATCCGTGTAGGCCTGGGGAGGGGGGGCAGGTCTCAGCAGCGTGTGGGGGCCCTGGACCCTTCCTGCTCCCATGCCCAGCCCCACCCATGACCCAGTCCATCCCAGCACAGGACAGAGGTAGCCACATCCAAACCAAGGAAGGCCCAAGGCTGCAGGGGCAGCCCCTCAGCTCCAAGGCCACACCGGGAGGGGAGGAAGGACTGTCCCTGCTCCTGCCCAGGAAGAGTCCAACTGTGGGGTGTTGGGGGGCTCTGGGGTCCTCCACTGGCTGCAACTCCCACCACCCACCCCTCCGTAGCCTCCCCGCCTTGTCGTAGGTGCCCCCCCACCTTGTCGTAGGTGCCCTTCTTGAGGATCTTCTCAGGCTTGCTGCAGGACTCGGGGCTCCTCCGGCCTGACACCTGCAGGGAACCCAGGTCTCTGCTGAGCTGTGGCCCACACCCTCCCCAGCCCCGAAGGCCCCACAAACCCTCCTAGGACAGCCCGGCCCAGGGCTAAGCCCGGCCTCTGGTGCACCCCCTGCCTGCAGGCCCCAGGCTCACCTTGCTGTTGGGCGGGGGTGGCTTCTGGGGGGGTGGGGGCTCACGGCTGGGCAGGGAGGAGTCGGCGCTGTTGTCACTCTCGCTGTCGCTGAAGCTCAACCTGAACCGACACACGGGGGCGCATCAGGCCCCTGCCGCCACCACGGCCCCCACCCCACCCCCAGGCTCAAGCCTCTGCCCCGCACGGAGTCGGTGCCTGAGCCCACACACCCCCAACAGCTCCATTCACCTCTGCGCAGGAACCTCAACTTAAAAATACTGTGTGTGGCCACCAAGAGGAAAGAACCCCAAGGAAACCAGGCCACCCAGAGGCCCTTTGGGGGCCGCCCGAGCAGGCCAAGAGTGCTCCGGGATACCCGGGACACAAAGCCCCCCAGCCAATGGGCCTTGCTGGGCTGTGGTCCTCTGACTTGGTTCTGTGGCTTTAACAAGGGGAGGAGGAGCTGCCTGCTGAAAACCTGCCCTCTTCTCCCAGCACTGCCCTAGGGCTTCCATGGCCGCCCGTCCCTCCGATGCTCCCCTGGCCGCCTGACCCTGGTTTGCTCTGGACAGCAGGCCTCCATCAGTCACATCGGCCCCCCTGACCCTAGAGGGTGTGGTCCTAAACAGGGGTATCTGGTGGTGGGGAGAGGTCCAAGCTCTCAACCTCCCCTACCCTGGGGGGCAGGTCTTTGACCTCTGCCTCAGTTTCCCCATCTGTGAAAGGAGGCTGCTATGACCACACACAGAGCCTGGGCCCATTTTTCTCTCACTCTGCGTGCCTGGGGTCCCGCTCTGCCAGGGATATTTTGGGCTTGATCCAGTGAGAGGGGCCCCTGACAACCATCACTTCACAACACGTTTAAAACACAGCAAACCCCAGGCCTCCTAGTGAACAAGGAGGTGCCAGAAGCGGCTCGAGCACACCGGACTTCCCGGTGGGCAGCACAGCCATTGTCCCTGTTCCTGGCCTGCTCCTGCCCCGGCGCAGGCTCCGTTCATCTCTTAAACTTGCCCCTCAGTGGCCTCAGGCTGGGGCCACTCTCTGCAGCTGCCTCCCGGCTCTGGCAGCTCCAGGTCTGGCTCACGTTGCCCAGGCGACGCCCCTGCCTGTGCTCCTGCCGGCCTCTGCCCCGCATCCCACAGGTGACTGGGATGACGGCTGGGCACCGCTGCAGACTGGGCTTCCCAGGCAGCAGACCAGGGTGTGCAGAAGCTCCGACGGTGTGGCCTGGGCGCTCCCTGCCCCGGCAACGCAGGGACAAGGCCGGCAAGCCCTCACCCAGGGCCCACACAAACGTTCCGGGAGGAATCAAAAGGCGCTTCGCGTGTGGCTCGGTCCCTGTGCCGTGCCTGCCAGCCCCTCTAGAACCGAACCTTCCGTCAGCCTCTCTGCGCTCACGGCTCTTGGCGCAAGCAGAATCCACCCTGAATGTCACCGAACGAGGCGGGAGCCTGCTTCCAGGTCCTGTCCCAGGGACGCCACAGCCCTCCTCGTGTCTAGAGTCTAAGTCCCTGTCGGAGTCGTGGGCCCGGACCTCCCACCAGCGGCTCCCCCGCAGTGAGCCACTGCTCCTGCTCTGTCTGCGGTGGGTGGGAATCCCGCCATGTGCCTGCTGGCCTGGCGCGCTGCACACGGGGAACCAAGCAGAACCTGCTGCCCAGCTTGCGTGAAGGTGGCTTTAGTGAACAACACACCTGCAGGCGTCTGTGAGGCTCCCATGCACCTTGCTGGGTGCAGGGTGATAACCAGCCCTGTCTCCAGTAGGAGCCACTGAGGCCTGGAGGCCTCAGCCTCACGGGAGGAGGGGCTGACTGCCGGCTCTGCTACAGCTTTGGAAAAGCCTGGACCCCCGCCCGCTGAAGCCTGTGTGCCCGGGGCCAAGGCCAGCACGTTCTCCACTGTCGCTGGGTTGGAGGCCGAGCGCATGGAGCTCTCCCAGGTGGGGTCACGCCAAGGGTCCTGCATATCCCAAGGATGTGCCTCGGCACCCCTGTGCCTCCTGGGGAAAAGGCCACAGGCAGCCAAAGCTGCTCCCACACTGGGTGTCCGCTGCCCCAGGACGGGCTCTCCATGGATCCTCGCCCCATGTAAGGCAGGTGGGAAAGGACTGGGAGTCTCCTGGCCCAAGAGCAGAGAAACAGGCCTGCTCCCCTCCCCCCACCTCCAGCCTGGGCTCCCTCCTGCACCCCTCCCTGCCAGATAGCCCACACCTGCCAGTGACCACGAGGAGGGATGCCACCCAAGGCCCCAGATGGGGGCAGCCCTTGAGGCCCTCAGCCTCAGGGACCAGGAGAGGACACACAGCCCCAGGCCCACCCCAAGGCCCAGGCTGGACTGGGGCCACCTGGGGATGGATCCCTGCTTTGGCCCTCCCAGGGGACCCTCCAGTCCCAACCCCACCTGCAGCCCCACAATCACTGCAGACCCAGCCGGAGTCGCCCCGGGTGGCCGCCTCCGCCCCCTGGCTCCCACCGGGCCGTCACCTGGAGTCCCTCCCCGGGTTGGTCTTGCCGGCAGCCTCCTCGCCTGACGAAGAGTCGTCCTCGTCGGACTCCTCGGACTGCAGGTCCTCCACCATGGAGCGCAGGGGTCCTGGGGAGGCGGGGCAGGGAGGGAGGGGAGACAAGGGCAGGGCTCCACTGAGCCTCCAGGGCCCCTCGCCCATGAGGCCACGCAGAGCTTCTTGACACTGGTGACCCCCAAATGCACACGCCCGTCCACCTGGGGGTCCCTGTGCCCATCTCTAAGAACTGCCCCCACACCGGCAGCCACCCGCTTCCCCTAGAACGCCCTGGCTCCCCCACCCCTCCCTACCTTCCTGGCCCTGCTCGCAGGCCTCAGGGGACTGGCCGGCAGTGGGCGCGCAGGGCCCCTCCATTGCTGCAGCCGGAGGAGAACCCCTCCTCTGCTCGGGGCACAGAGATCAGAAGCTCTGCCGAGAGCCCAGGGAGGGCGAGGGAGCCACAGCCTGGCTGGGAAGCTGGGCCTGGGGTCACAGATCTCTCTTCCTGCACCCTACGCCGGCCTGCCCACCCCCTCGGTAATCCCCTCTGCTGCTCCCAGTCCACCGTCCTCCCCTTTCTCCAGAGGCACACGGTTCCAGTCCCCTACAGACGGCATCTTGGTTTATATTCCTGTTACCAAGGCAACAGAGGGACACAAAGCCCTCAATTACCTTAGTCACATGATCCCGCTTCAGTAGGTCCCCCTCCCTTCCCGGCAGATAAGAACACTTGGAGCGAGTGTAGGCTTCAAGGGCCCCATCCCCCAGCCCCCTCGGCAACTGCACGGCTGAATTCCAGGCCAGACTCCCTCCACAACCCCGCACACTCCTCTCCCCCAGCCCCCCTGCAAAGGATTCCAGGCCAAGGGGGAAGGAGGCTCTTGTTCCAATCCAGGAGTGGAAACGCTTTTTGCCTGGGAGTGGGTGCTGGGGTCTGGACTGGGGCCGGGGGCTCAGGGCAGCTCTCCCACTGTGTCCTGCAGGCTGCCTGGTCCCCAGGGCCCTCCCCACTCTGGGGCAGGCTGGTGCAGCCAATGGGCCTATGTCCTTTCCCCAAAAAGCCGCCCCTACTCAGGGTGGCCTGCCTGGAGAGGGAGAGGGCACTCCAAACACTCCGGCAGCAGGAGACCCCGGCCGTCCACAGGCAGCCAGTGCCTCGCTGGCCCTGGGGAGCGGGTGGGATGGGCGGAGGAGGTGACGCCGTCCGTCCATGGTCCCCAGCAGCACAGGGAGAGTTCTGGCCATGGGCAGGGCCCTCACCAGAAGCCCCTCACCAGCCTGGCTCCAGGCACGGGGTGCATGCCAACAGCCACCACAAGGAACAGTGCCCCCGGGCCTGACTGGAGGTCTGGTGACTTGTTCCTGCTTTGCTTTTAAATATAGACTCCCCCAGGCCACCAAAACCCTCCATGTACAGATCTGCAGGGCCCAGCCTGTGCAGGCAGTGGACGCTGAGGAATGCCCATGTGGCCTGAGCTCCAGGCCCTCCCCGGCCCCATCCGTGCCCCCCAGCTGCTCTCCATACACACCTTGGCTGTGGTTCTGGGATGGCTCGAAGTCTGAGTCTGAGCTGGAGTCTGAGCTGGAGCTGGAGTTGGACGGGCTTGACTGGGCAGACTTCACCCAATGGTGGGATGGGCAGGGAGGGGAGAAAGGGAGAGCTGTCACCTTTCAGCAGAGACAAAGGGGGCCCCCTGGCAGCAGCTACGCTGAGTGGGTCTCCCCCAGACACCCCTAGGGTCCCAAGGGTACCCACGTGTGCCGCTGAGAACCCACTAAGGAGCCAGCGGCCAGGCCATGCGCAGCCTATAGCCTCCCGTGCCAGCCCTAGGACACCCGTGGATGTCTGGGTTTCCGGTAGCGCCAGGAGACCGTGTGGACCACGTGGGCTCTCCTGTCTACCCAGGCAGGTGCACAGGGTACTGGGAGGGAGGCTGGGGCAGGGGCTTGAAGTCCCACAGGTGGGTGGGCCTTGCCTTCGTCCAAGAGGGCAGGCATTGACTGGTGTCGCAAAAATGTCTGGAACAGGAAAGCTGGGTGTGGACACTTCTTGTTCTGACCCAGTGCTGTCCGGGGCTCAGGGGTGGCAGAGAGCTCTGTATCCCCACCCATTCGCTGCTCCTACCGCCAGCTGCCCAAGACACTGAAGAGCGTGCGTGCACAGGGGACAGAAGCCATGGGCAAGCCCGGCCCCACCCGCCTCCTCCTCCTGCAGCTGTCCTTCCAGGCTCAGCCACCAGGGGGCAGTAAAAGCCACAACAAGGACACAAGGGGTGGGATGCCAGGACAGAGGGTGACAGTGCAGGGCAGGCGTGTATGGGGCAGAGGCGTAGCTCCTGGGTGGACGGGAGGCAGGCACTGCAGACACCTGCACGGGGAGGGGCCCATTGTTCTGGGCCCACATTTCTGCCAATGAGCTCATCCCAAGGGGTGTGCCAGAGGACATGGCGGGCCCAGGGCAGCCCCCTCACCTTGGGGGCCCGTCTGGTGGAACTAGGTGGCTTGAGCCCCTCAGACCAGTCCCCTCCAGGGTCCTCCCTCCATCAGGAGGAGGCAGCTGGTCTGCTGGATTCTGGCAGGGGCCGCTGCAGCCGCCAGCCATGCAAGGGAAGCCGTGAACGGAGTACTGAGCTGGTGGGACTCAGGACCTTGAGTGCCTGGGAGCCCCCGGCCCCTCCCCTAGCATGTGGAGGAGACAGCCTCCACCCTGCAGAAGGGTCCCCACGAAAGCCCAAGGCCTCCCCAAGCAGCAGGTCCAGACTCACCCGTGCCTGAGAGGGAAGAGGGACTTCCCAAGGGTTTACTGCAGCCCAACCCAGCCCCCTCCTGCCCCTCAAACCAGCCCCTGCCAGCGCCCCTTCCCACCAACACATGGCGCTCCCTGATGAATCATCACTGGGAAAGCCTGCCGTGGTGCCCATCAGTCACTGCCCACTCAGGCTACCTGAGTCCCGGACACATACCCCAGAGCGTCCAGGACCCCTGGCTGGGCCTGCCTGGAGCTGGGTGATGCACAGCCTGGACTTCTGTTCTTGGGGGCCAGGGGTGAGTAAGAGGTGACCGAGAGATGGCCTATTTAACCCCAGCCTTCTAACCAGCAGGCCTTGCTACTCAGAACAAGGCCGTCCTATGTCAGCCTCAGTTTTCCCAGCACCGCCAGCTGCCTGCACACCGAGGCCAAGGCTAGTCCTCCCTTGACCTCCGGATGGAATCCCTGGGGCAGAGGGGTGGGCACCAACCTGGAGGGAGGTGGACTGGAGAAGTATCCAAGGTCCTGGCCCCATATCCCATGCACTTTCTCACTAAAGGTGGAGAGGGGGCAGTTCAGGCGGCCAAAGGAGGCTGCACAAGGTCAGCAGGGATGGAAGCAGAGAGGATGCTGAGCCCCGAGAGGCCCCCAAGCCTGTCCTGGCGCCGTGCCAGACAGAGGAAAGCCAGTCAGGCACACGCATCCCCTTTCCTTCCGCCCAAATCCAAGGGGCAGGGAGGAAAAGAATCCGGAAATGGTCTCAGCCAGAAGAGCCCTAAGGTGGTGTGATCAGAAGGGCCACCGGAGCACGCCCGGGGCTCAGAGGGAGGGCGGAGCAGACTGGGTCCACGACTGACTCCAGATCCCCAAGGGCCAGGGAGACCCCAAGGCAGCAGCTGGAGGACGTGGGAGCTCGGCTCGGGGACTCGGCCCAAAGAGTGGCCCTACGAGGGTGGGCGTGGGCCAGACCCCAGCTGGTGCAGATTCTTCCGATGGCCGGTTCTGGTAGCACAGCCACACACAGCCTCTGGGGAGGAGCAGCCCAAGACGGCCAAGGGGAAGCCAAGGGGCCAGTGGTCTGGAAGGCCGATGTGCTTCTTCACCATAGCAGCCTGGGCTTCGGTGAAGCCCCCGGGGGAAGAGGCGTCAGGGACTCTGTGCTGTTGGGGCCTGGGTCTCACTCCCGCACAGACCTCGGGGCGCTAAGCCGCATTGCTCAAAAGCCTCTCAGCACGCGGGGCGCTCTTCTTCGGCCAGGAGGAAGTCCCAAAGCCTCCTCCAGCAACTCCAGCCTCAAGGCCACCCAGCCACTCTAAGCAGCGGCGTCCGAGGTGGCAGGAAGCTCCCCACAAAATATTCCAGCTGTTTCACAACACTGGTGGCGGGAGCCAGGAGCCAACTCACTCACTGCCGGGGGCCAGGCCGGGTGAGCAGAGCGGAGTGGAGCGGGCCGTGGAGCTGCCTTGCCGCTGCCCAGCGTGCTGCACACCCAGCCCCAGGTACCAGAAGACCTCGCCTGGAGATGCCTGGCCTGGGACTGCATGTCACTCAGTACCTATCCCCAACCCTGGGGTAGAAGGGAGGGGACAAGCGCCTGCCCAGGGCTGTGGTTGCTGCACAGGCAGAGAAGGGGTCAGGCTCGGTGCCCAGCAGGCACCGCCAGGCCCTCCCACAGCTGGGAGGGCTACTGAGATGGGCCGGGACTTCTGGAAGGTGGCACCGGCCCCCCCACCGCCTCAGGGTCATAGCAGATGGTGCCGTCTTCAGCCACTGCCAAGCCATGGGAGCACCGGGCACTCAGCCTTGCCAGCCCATGTGTCTATGAGCCAGGATGCACTGTTACCCAGAGGCTGGACCGTCACCCCCAGCCAGCCCCACCACCTCCATGAGGGCCCTGGGGGCAATGAGCGCTGCCCACATAACCCCCTCGGGCTTTGTGGCTGGGACCTGCATTCAAAGCCCCAGCGGCTTTTCAAAGCCTCAGCAACCCAGAGGCAAAGCTTCCTTGAGGGCAAGCCGGACCCACAAAAGGCCCCTGAGGGCTGGGGCTGGCAACAGAGGTAAATGGCCCAACCCTCATCCATCCATTCATTCATTTTTACCGGGCCCAGTGTCTGTTGTCTAAATGCCAAGTGCCAGATAATAGCGCTGGAAGACACCACCGCCGTCCCAGGCCCCAAACAGGGTCTGGCCACAAGACCATGAGGTGGCTACCAGCTCTTGCGGCTCAAGTCATGTCTGATGCAGTCCTCTGAGAATGTCCGGACGCTGTGCTGTGGGACAAGCCAGCAGCCTCTCATGGTGACAAGGCCGGTCCCTGACAGGGGTCCTCGTTCCAAGCTCAGACACTGGTGGGGCCAGATGTGAGTATCCCCAAGTCACAGCTGTGTGCGATGGGTGTGGGCAGGAGGGATGCTCTTGACCCCACCAGCCACCTAAATAGGGAGCCGGGCACGGACCTGTTGCTCCTCATGGCTAGGGGCTGTCTGAAGCCCTCATCATTAACCTCCAGACAAGGGTGAGTCTCCCAGATGCCCTATTGGCAGAGCTCCAGGCCGGGCTGACCACGCCATGGTCAGAGCAACCATGAGACACGCTTGCCCACTGGCACCAGAGCGGCCAAGACCCGGGCCCATGCAGGGGGCTGCTGGAGGAGGGGAGCTCAGAACCTCAGGACCACACCATCATGCTTTACCAGAGCCACCCACAAATGCCACCGAGGAGGCGAGGAGGGACTCCTCACGAGGCAGACTTTATCACCTGACAGACAGGGAAACCGAAGCCTAGTGAGGCGTGGAGGCCCCAGGTTACAAGAAGCCAGTGGGAGGAGCAGCTGGTGAGACCTGAGGTCCTGGCTCAGATCCCACCTCCTTCCGCTGTTCCAGAAGGGAGGCGGGTCCCACCACACTGCCTGCACCTGGCTGCCCTGCCCCCAGCACTCACTCACCTCGGACTTGAAGGAGGCCTCGTCCTCTGAGTTGGACTCCTCCACCTCCAGGGCCTTTTTGGCCTCCCGGGGCTCACTCTCGGCCTTCACCTTCTCCCCTCTGGTGCTGCTCTTGTCCTTGGCCGGCTTCTTGTCCGAGAAGGAGGAGGAGGAGGAGGTGCGGGGCGAGGTGCCTGGAGCACTCCGGGACCCCTTCGAGCTGCTCTTCTTCTGCTTCTTGGCGCTGGGCTTTGGCGAGTCGGCGGTGGCCGGCCGCTTGCTGGAAGCCCGGGGTGGGGGTGGGGGTGGGGGTGGGGGCCCACCCTTGGGGGACGTGCTTTCCAGCTTGGTCTCTTTCAGGGCCATCTTGGGTTCCTTGAAGGCAGCCTTGGGCGGTGGCGCCTTCTCCTCCTTGGGCAGCCGGCCCTCGCCCAGCTTCCGCGAGGTGTCCTTGGAGCTTTTGGCCTGCTCACGCTCCAGCTCCTTGGAGGAGCTCTTGCTCTCGGAGTCTTTGCGGGGCCGCTCCCGGTGCTCCTTGGTCACCTTGTGTGGCTTGGAGGTCTTGCTGCTCTCCTTGTTGGCGTCCTGCAAGGCCAAGAGCAGGGAGGGCAAGGGGAGAGACAAGGTCACGTGGCATTGCGGGGCGCCCTGCTCCGCCACCCCTGACCCCTACAAAGCATAATCCACCTGATTCAGCCTCAGCTAGAGAAACTCTTCCATAAAGCAAAAAGGTAAGGCAGTAGGTGAGAGTTTTACATGGAGCTGTCCCTTTAAACTACTAGGAAGTGTCAGCTGGTCCCCGGCAGCTGCAGGCTAAGATTCCCCTCAGAATTGAACTGACATTCCCTGAGGGATTCAAGAAGAGCACAGGGTGAGTCAGGCAGAGCATGGCCACTTCGCCCGCACCCGCCCGCCCTAACACCTCACAGCTGGGCCTGGGCAAGTCAGAGGCTGCGCTGGCACTGCGGGGTGCTGGCGGGCACTGGACGCAGCCCTGCCCCTCATCTCAGCCTCCTTCGCCCAGCACTCATGCTACGTGCGGGAAGCTCAGTGCTTCCTGCTCGGTCACTCACGGGCTTCCTTTCTGAGCCCCGTCGGCCCCTCTCCCCAGGACTCCACACCCCCAGGGTCCAGCCAGCTCAGGCCTGGCTTCGGGAAGCCAACTGCTGAGCGCCCACTGGGTCCCTGGGTCCCAGGTACCGCACGGAGCAAACAGCTCCCGGGCTTCTCAGAAGGGAAACCGCCTGGGTCGCTTTCCTAAAACACCGAGGACATTCCTAGGTCTCTGCCTCGGAAACCCCGGGGGTTTAGGGTGGAGCTGGACTCGGGGGCTGATCCCATTGAGGACAGAGGTAAGATGATGGCAGAGAGCAGCAGGACACAGGCCCAGGAGTGAGCCCAGCTCTGTGACCTGCACACCACAGGACCCAGGCAGAAAACCGAAGCCATCTGTGCCTGCTTCCTCGAGGAAGGGCAAGGCCACCACCTCACTGGGCAATGGCACAGGCCAGGCTGGCAGCGAGCACACAGTGTGGGGGCTGCCAGCACCATGGCTGAGTTGGCTCAGCCCGCGGCCAGCCTGGGCGCTGCTGCTTGTATGCTGTATGTTTCTGCCCTACACCCCATCCGATAGGCACACTGCCAGCACTCCCCACGGTGGGAGCCACGCCTTCACCTTCCCTACAGAGACCCTGTATCACCCCACGCACCCAGGAGCACTGAGCAGGCTTCTCTGCTGTTAGCCACCAGGGGCTCCACCCTTGCTAGGAAAGGAGCAGCGGCCAGCAGGTGCACGGCGGCCCCAGAGCCTGTCCAGACAATTGTGTACCTGGCCTCCCGGCACAGAAGCCAGCAGCAGCCAGATCCCGAAGGCCCTGGGGAGGGGCTCCGGGAGCAGTGAGAGTACCAGGGAGGAGGGGGGCCACGCTTCACAGATCCCCCAAAGACATGCGGGAGGGGCAGGCTGGGTAGAGGCCTCTGAAAACCACCTGAGTGTCCAGGGACAGACTCCTCCCAGCAAAAAACCACAGGGCAGACACAGCTGCTGCCCCATGGCCAGTCTCCTGGGCTGGCCATCTTCTTGCAAAGCCACAGCCCACATTCAGTGTCAAAGGCTCAGGAACAGTACCAGTGGCTGTGAGGCCTCTGCCACCTCCTTGGAGAAAGGGCAAGCCCTGTGCCCAGCCTGGCTCTTCCACCTGGGACAGCGGGAGTGCCCCCAGAATCCCCCCAGCTGGCCTGGGCCATGCAGGGCTATCAGGGGGTGTCCCCTTGGGAGCTGGGGTGTGGAATGGGGCTGTGCTCCACAGCAAGCTACTACCCAAGGAGGGAGGTGTGAGAGACTGCAATGCCACCTGCCACCCTGGCCTCTTCCAGCAGGGGACACACGCCCAGCTGGGCTGCAGGAGCTCAGCCGGGGTCACAGCCACCAAGGGCAGAATGAGAGCAAACTCCAAAGGCACGTCAGAGGCCCCTAACACAGGTCTCACTGTGTGCCCCTGGCCTGGAGTCAGCTGAGCCGCCATTGCCACCAGGGCCTGCCTGGCTAGAAGGAGTCTTCCCACACAGGAGCACAGGCACCCGACACCACAGGTTCTGAAATTAGGCACTACGATTTTTTTGTTTGTTTGTTTGTTTGCTTTTGTTTTGAGACGGAGTCTTGTTATGTCGCCCAGGCTGGAGTGCAGTGGTGCGATCTCGGCTCACTGCAAGCTCCGCCTCCCGGGTTCATGCCATTCTCCTGCCTCAGCCTCCCGAGTAGCTGGGATTACAGGCGCCCGCCACCACGCCCGGCTAACTTTTTGTATTTTTAGTAGAGACGGGGTTTCACCGTGTTAGCCAGGATGGTCTCCATCTCCTGACCTCGTGATCCGAATTAGGCACTAAATTTTAAGCATAACATGAGCACTCTCCAGGGTGAGAAGCCATCAAAATCACGTTTGCAAGGTTGTCTGCGAACCTCCACGGGAAAGAGCAACCAGGCCAAGTACCTGACATTACATGGGTGACACCTGGCTCCCTGCAGCTGCTGCCAGGCAAGGCTGTGAGAGGGTCCTGCCCCCTCTATGAGGCTGTGGTTCCTGCCTGCCACGCCACTCTTGGGTGGTGGCTGTGAAGTGGGGACAAAACCCCAGGACTGAGTCCCCTAAAGCTGCCGCAGCTGCACTCACCAGCAGTCCCCCGGCCTGGGGATTCTGATGGGCAAGGCCCCAAAAGGCCCACCTATCCCATCTCTCTGGGCTCAGGGAGCCCTGCTGAGGCCCCTCTGCTTGGAGCACATGGCCCGGCCACTCACTCTCCAGGCAGAGAGCCAGTGACCAAAGGAGGTCGCTCAGCTGGGGAAGAGGCCGGTTCATGGGCCTGTGCCACCCAGGGCTCCATGGTGGGGCCGACAGCTCATTCGCCAGGCTAGGGCTCGGGGCAGAGGGGCTTTCTCAGAATGCCCTCAGCAGACAAGTGCCTCGGCAGGACCCCATGCTGCCCGATGCTCCCCACAGATGCCGCCTACATCTCTCCACCCGGTAGCTGGAGAAGCCTCCAGGGACGGAGAGGGTGGAGCCCACAGGCCTCCTAAGCCTGGTGGATAAACTCACCAGCTGGGGCCTCCAGGGGTCTCAGAGACACTCCGGCAAAAGATACCACCAGCAGCCCCAGCAGACGCAGCCCCGCCAGCCCCAGGGAGGGCACCTCTCCAACCAAGAAGTCCTTTCTACGCAGGGTTTTAGGTGGCTTGAAGTGACCCGTACAGAAGAAATCTTGTTGTGGTAGCTGAGAGGGACACTGCCAAGATCCCCAGCAAGAGCTTTTCCTTCATTGAGCCTCCACAAGGCTCAGGGAGAGATAGGCCAGGAGGCCGAGTGGGGAGACCCCAGGGTTCCGTTTCCTACTCAGAGAATCTGGCAAGTCTGACGATTTCTAAGACCTGCTGGCCTTGGGGAAAGAGCCAGAAAGACCTGCCTGGGTGCTGCGGTTCTTCTCCCGCATGGCTGACGGTGAGTCTGTGAGGCAGCTGGAGAGCCCTGCCTGTCCTGCCTGGGATGGCTGGGCCCACACGCAGGGCCTGGCAGACAAGTGAGGTGAGGAGAAAGGAGAGGACCGGTGGAGAGATGTGTGGGTGGCAGGCACCGGGCAGCTGCCCCGAGGGCCCGTGCCGCTCAGCCTCCAGGAACGGCTGTGCTGAGTGGGCAGCTACAGAGGACTGGGGCGTGCTCAGGGGTTAAAGGGACACTGTGATGCCATCAAAGGGCTTTCTAGCTTGTCTTCTGAATTGCTGCTCAGGGATGGTTTAGAGAGAGAAGCCTCAGAAAGGCCGAGTGCCACCCACCTGACCGACTGGGCCGAGATGAGACCGTAAAAAGTTTCTTCCACACTGAAATTCAGCTGGCACCCACCTGGCTTCCCCTGCCCTTCCCCCACGAAACTCTGCAGTGAGCCATAGCCCGAGATGCAAAGCCTGGCATAGCCAAGGGCAGAAGTAGCCCCAGCTGCCCTCAGGAGGGTTGAAGAGGTGGGTAGCTGCAGCCTAGACAGAGACACTCTACCCAGCGGCCGCCCCAACAGCCTTCGGCGAAGGTCTCAGGGCTTCAGGCCGAGCAGTCCTGGGGCCCTGCCATCACTTGGCAGAACGGGAGAGGACTAGGCAGGGTCTCTGGCCTCAAGATGAACAGGGCAAAGAGCCCATGATCACGGGCTTATTCCTGAAATCCTAGGGAAGCGGCAGTGCGCAGCGAGGGGTGTGCAGAGAGCTCAAAGAGGAAGACGCCAAGGGAGCGAGCAGGTGCGGAAGGCCCAGCCCAGTGGAGGGAGGGCGCCGGGGCCAGACCCACCACAGCTGGGCCCCGGCGCTCCCACGCGACTGGGCCTTCCGCCTCACTAACCTTGGAGCCGTGGGATGGTTTGGTCTTCTTGGGGTCAGAGAAGGCAGAGAGTGGAATTGTGGGTAACATGGGGTAGTCGGGACTGGGCCTGGACACCGTGTCTGCTCCTTCGGGCATTACCATCACCTAGTGACAGAGAAGAGACAGTCATTATCGATGGGCAGGGGGCAGGGGGCCCACACGGGCCGGGCTGAAGGTGGTGGGGCTTCCCTCTGCAGGAGGGGAGAAGGGAGAGCCTGAGCGCTTTCCCGAAAGAATCCCAGGTGCTTCCCTGCTGGGGACTGGGTGCTGAGCACGCAGAAGAAGCAGGCATGGGTGGGGAGCGAAGAAAAGCCCAGGGTCCCAGGATGGCTGGGACCAGGTGGGGCCACGCGGCCTTCCGGGAACAGTGGACCGGAGGGCTGGCCCAAGAAGACTTGCGGAGCACACTGAGAATCATGAGAAGGCAGCTGCGGCCGAAGCCTGACCTACGCGCTTAGGTTTAGGGGGAACAGCTCAGAAGTGTGAGAGGCCAGCCAGATGCCTGCGAAAGGCAGGCAGCAACTTCCCGGGGTGCACATGGGTGCAACTCCAGTGGGTCCCACGTGCCCGGAGAATGAGCCGTCCTTGGTGTGCGGTGACTGCAGCGGACCCGAACAGGGCAAGAGCACCCAGGCTGAGGCCGAGACCAAGGCAGACGACCTGTGCCTACTGGGGGGGTCTCTCTGCAAAGCAGGCCCGAGTGAGCCAGCGAGCCTGCAGCATGGGGCACCTGCTCCTGCGCTCCATCAGAGGCTACGGATGACGAAAGTTCTGGGGTCCTTCCAGGAGGGCTCCCAGGAAACACCTGCTGTGCAGGGGGAAGCTCGGAGCAAGGTCTTGAGATATCAACACTGCGAGTTAAGGAATGCCACCACCACAGAGAAAAGCCTCCCAGATGGCCGCAAGAGAGAACAAAAGAAGAAAATACACTTCAAAAAAAAAGTATTGAAGTCGGTAGAAGAAGCACTGCTAACAGCCTTGAGCACCTGCAGTTCCCGGCCAGCCAAGCCTTTCATCTAAGGACACTGATGTCATGCGGCCATGGGGACATTGGCTGAAAAGAGGCCATGGGCCCCTAGGGTCCCTGCTCTGAGCTGCTTCTCAGAGCCTGTCTGACCATGATAGCTCAGCACTGACAGCATGTGTGCCCCAGCCGTCCCTGAAAACACGCCACGGGAGGCCCTCCACACTCTGGAGCACGCACATCACGCAAGCTCACGGAGGAGCCACAGAAGGCTGCCATGCACAGACGGGCTTGCCAGGAGGCTGAGCCCCATTCGCTCTCAGGCCCATTCCTTCGACTCTCATGGTAATTTACCTTCTTTCCCCTCAAAACAATGCCCTAGACTGACTGTTTCAGGATCACGCAGTGTCTCGCTCTAGCACAGACCGTTGAGAAAAAGGAACTGGGAACTGAACACGCAGATGACTCCCACCTCCAACAAGTGCTGCCAGGAGGACCAGGCTCCCCGGCGGAAACACAGACCCTCAGCCATGGGGGCAGAGACAAGACACGGTCCTAAGGGGCACAAGGCTGGAACGGCGGAAAGTCCTACCCTCTCTCCCATTACCGATCTCCAAGCAACCCCCAGTGAGAGGAGCAGAGAAAGCAGCGCTCGCTGACACAGAAACCAGCCCCTCCTCCCGGGTCTCCCAGCACCCACGGCGGGGGGCTGGGGTCACCTGCTGCTAGACGGCCACTGCCTGGTCCCGGGAAGCCCCGAGAGGAGCCCCTGCCACCGAGGCCTCCGGCTGCTCCTAAGGCTGAGAGCCCCACTCCAGGGCAAGCCCTGGAGGCCTGGAAAGTTCCTGCCCAGACAGCCAGCTCCCCAGACAGCCCACCCTCAGAGGGCAGAGCGCCCAGCGCCTGGGGCAGAGACCCCCCACGGCGCCTGCTTCAGCCTGCGCGTCTCTCTGTGGAGCCAGCGCTCCCTCCTGACTGGCCCTTCCTCCCAGCCTTGCCCCGCGCCTCCTCCCCGCCCCTGGCTTTTATGTGTTGAGACGATGCCCTCAGAGCCTTCATCGCTGTGGAGCAAAGGAAGCCGCCTCCCACAGGGAGCCAGGTCCTGGCTGCAGCCCAGAGCGGCCCAGGGAACGCCACTTCCCACAGCCACGCCACCACGGAACCTCCGGGGACGCCCAAAAACACCTACTGCAAACGTGGTGAAAACACCTGGCCATGAAAGAAGGTGGAAAAGCGGAGCCAGGAGGGCGCTGGGACCCAGCCCTCACATCCTCAGGCCACCCAGCACTCAGCCACGCCATCCACATAGGCCCACGCCGGCACTGCCCTCCCCGGATCAGAACCACAAGCAGGGCTTCACAAGGATCACAGCAGGACTCACTCAAGCTTCTACATGGACAGACGCCTCCTTCTTCTTAGGAGAACGACGGCCACCAAGGACCTGACCATGCCCCATGAGGAGGAAGGAGGACTCCCCAGCCTGACACCCACAGCCACGGTGCCCCAAATCCACTCAGGAGGCGACCCACCCCACCCGCATACCCCACACGTCATACATGCCACATACACACCTGACACATTCACATACTCCCCATAACACACGTCACACCATACGTGCGTGACACACCACACACTTCCCGCAAGTGACACGACACACACGCCATGCACACACCATACATGACACAGCAGACAGCGTATGTACATACCACACAACACACACACACGCCCCACACCCGTGACACCACACACCACACCCCTACATGCCACACATGCCACACACTGTACATGCCACACCCCACACATACACACGACACACACCCCATACCACACATGCCACTCACACCATACACGAGACACATGCCACACACAACACACGTACATACACATGACACACCACACACCGCACACGACACACAACACGCCACCCCAGCCCGCTCCATCACAGGCTCAGGCTGGCACCCAGGCAAAGGCTCTGTGGCCCTGGGCCCTGAAGGTGGCATTGCTGTTCTGTGACCAGGCCTCAGCCTGCACGTCCCTCCCTCCACGCCCCCCTCCTCCATAACCACCACCAGCCCTGCGCCCACCCTGTTGCCAAGAGCCCTCGTGGGGAACTCTGAGCCCCCACAGGGTCCGGAGGGCTCGACTCCAGCCACCGCATGGGGGTCCCGGCCACACGACTCCTGGAGAGCCCTGGTCCCAGAGCTGGCACTGTCGTCTGGCCTCCCGAAGTCAGAGGTGATGGCGATGCGCACGGCAGGGGCCCTGTGCGGAGGCCCTGCCCAGCTAGTTACAAGCCAGCTCCAGGCCCAGCCACGCGGTCAGACCAGCCTCGCGCCCATCCCTTCCCAGCACTTCCTGCAGGAAGGTGCTAATTACCCATGGCCACCCAGAAGCACAGGGTGACCAGCAACGAGTCACCTGCAGCCACCACGCCCCGGCACAGGTTGTGGAGCTCCCAGGTCCCCTCCAGCTCTGCTGGGTGCTGCCGTGTGACCTGCGCCTTGGGTCTCGGCCCCCAGCACCGACACCTCTGGCTGGGCACAGACGGCCGCAGCAAAGTAGCCTCGGTGGAGCGGCCCCTTGGCGGGCAGGGGCGGGGCACACTCACCCCGCCGGCCCGCAGGAGCTTGTACCGGAACTCCGTGGTGGGGTTGTTGAAGGTGAGCTTCTCGCAGCGCAGGTGGTTCACGGGCGGGTTGCCTTCCAGGTTCAGGAACAGGTCGTAGGTGAAGCAGACCTTCCTCGGCTCCTCCTGAAACAGAGAAAACAAGAAAGTCTGCATCAGAGGGTGGCCGTGGTGCAGGGACACAGCTCCCCATTGGCCCTGGTCCTCCCCTCTCCCTCACTGGGCCTCTGTTCCCCTCCCTCCGATTTGCGCCCACTTCTCTCTCAGGGCACCTCCTGCCCTGCCCTTATTCAAAATCGACCAGCTTACTATGTGCAGCTAACTGGGTCTTGCAGGCCCCATGGCAGAAAGAAAGCTCATTCATAGCCATGCTCTCGGACTGTTATGGGAAACATGTACCCCCTTCAACCCTCACAGCGCCACTGACAGACAGGGAAACCGACGCACAGACACCAACTAACACGTGGCAGCACTGAGACCTGCCCCAGGCCTCTGAGGCCCACAATCTCACCACCTCTATTCCCCACTTCCTTTGCAGCCAGGGCCAAGCCCGACAGACGCAGGACACAGGACACAGACTCAAACGACAGCACAGCACCCAGAGGGGGCAAAAGTACAAGGTCACGACCCAGTTTCCAGGAGGCTCTGTCCACTTTGGGTGCCGCCCCGCACCCTCGCCACCCCAGAAGACAGGGACGCTCGCCTGGCATGGGGCAGGCGCTGATGGATTTTCCGCACGAAGGTGTGAGGAGTTGACAGGGTGGCCTGGAAAAGGGCTGTGAGTGAGGGGCTGTGATGAATACAGAAAGGCCAGGAGGGCTCAGGGCAGGCAGGCTTGCAGGAAGGAGCTGTCTGCACGGGCTCCTGTGGAGGCCTAGCCACATGTGCAGGGGCTGTGTTTCTGTGAACCTTGAAATTTCGAAGCAAGACATTTTTTTTTTTGAGATGGAGTCTTGCTCTGTTGCCCAGGCTGGAGTGCAGTGGCGCGATCTCGGCTCACTGCAAGCTCCACCTCCCTGGTTCATGCCTGGAGCCTCCCAAGCAGCTGGGACTACAGGCGCCCGCCACCACGTCTGGCTAATTTTTTGTATTTTCAGTAAAGACGGGGTTTCACCATGTTAACCAGGATGGTCTCCATCTCCTGACCTCGTGACCCACCCGCCTCAGCCTCCCAAAGTGCTGGGATTACAGGTGTGAGCCACCGCGCCCAGCTGAAGCAAGACAATTTCATCTGCTTTTCCTTAAGAACCCTGCCCCATCCCAAATGATGTAAGCCACAGGTCCCAGGGGAGTGTGGGAAAACCGCACTATGACAAGCACGAATGTCACACGGAAGAAGGGAGGTTTTCATGGAAACAACGTGCATGGGCCGGGCGCGGTGGCTCACGCCTGTAACCCAGAACTCTGGGAGGTTGAGGCAGACAGATCACTTGAGGTCAGGAGTTTGAGACCAGCCTGGGCTACGTGGCGAAACCCTGTCTCCACTAAAAATACAAAAATTAGCCGAGCATGGTGGTAGGAGCCTGTAATCCCAGCTACTCGGGAGACTGAGGCAGGAGAATCACTTGAATCCGGTAGGCGGAGGTTGCAGTGAGCTAAGATTGCACCACTGCACTCCAGCCTGGGCGACAGAGAAAGACTCTGTCTGAAAAACAAACAAACAAACAAACAAGCAAACAAACATGCAGGCTCATGTCCTAACATTATGGGCAGCTGGTGCTTGACAAGGGTGACGACACCACTCAATGGGGACTGAGGAGTCTCTTCAACCAATGGTGCTGGGACAACTGGATACCCACCCGGGGGAGAATGGTGGTGGCCCTACTCCACCCACACACAGAAAACAACTCAAAATGGATCAGAGACCTGGACGTAAGCACTAACGCCACATAGCTCTCAGAAGAAAATACAGGTATCAATCACGACACTGCATTAGGCAATTGTTTCTTATAATACAACACCAAAAGCACAGGCAACTAAGGAAAATTAGATCACGTGAACTTCGGAAACATTTCAAAATTTTGGCCCAGGCATCGTGGTTTATGCCTGCAATCCCAGCACTTTGGGAGGCTGAGGCAAATGCAGAGACATGGATGAGTTGGTACCTTGGCGGGTGGGAAGTGCAGGAGTGGCTCTAACAGACACAGGGTTTCTTTTGGGGGTGATGAAAATATGCTGGAATTTAAAACTTGTGATGATTGCACAACACTGTGAATGTACTAAAACCACCACATCTGTACACTTTAAAAGGCTGAATTTTATGGTAGGTGAATCACAACGCACTTTGTTAAAATGCAGTCCACCGGGATAAAAATAACTAAGAGGATGGGCGTCCCGTGAAGGCTTCTGAGTTGGGGAACACTGCTGAGAAGCTCGAGACATCACACCGGCTCAGTCAGCAGTGGGGACGCAAGGCAGAGCTCTGGGCCCGGCGTCCTCTGCACCCTCTTTATTCTCAGCCCTTTCCCCAGCAGCCTAAGCTCGCAGGTGTACGGCCACACCCTCAGTCCTGGTGAGAGGGGACAGACCAAGGGGCTCGAGGTGCTGCAGAGTGCCGTCTCTCCCCAGCCTGCCTGCAGTGCCGGACGGCTCACACGGGTGGCACCAGGCTCCGCAAGCTCCGGGGACAGGCGCCTCCTGGGAGTCGGGGCCCAGCTAGTAACACAGTTGGCAGCGGCAGCTCCTGCGGCCGCCCAGGAGTCCCAAGTGCACCTGCATGGGAAGGAGCCTCCAGAACCACGAGTCCGGTCAGAGCAGACAAGTGAACATGAACAGGTTCCCGATCCAAGGCCAGCGGGTGTGGCCGACAGTGACCTTGTGTGGGGAAAGCCCTGATCTCAGAAAAGTGGGTCTCTGCCCCAGCCCCAGGCGGGGAGGTGTGACCTGTCTGGGCCAGGCTAGGGCTCCCTCCCCTTGTCCGAGGGGACATGTGACAGGCTTGGGTAAGGACATGGAAGGGAGGGCGGCCTAGGGAGGGCTTTCCTTCCCAAGTCATAAACAAAACTGCAGGGACAAAGTTTCTCACCACCTCTCTTTGTCCTGCCAAAACGCGAGAGGTGGTGCCTGTGGGGGCGGCTTCCACCACAGGACTATGTGGAGGGATGCCAGGCCCTGGCGCCTCTTGCCTTCTTGTCCTGTAAGAAGACCAGCCCCTACAGGAAGCCCCTGCTACACAGCTGGTCCGAGCAACTGAATGTATCCCTAACCGACACGCCCCCCGCCAAGTCCACACTTCCCCTACGCAGCTTTCCTTGAGGACTCAAATGTGGCCACGTGCCCCTCCTCTGTGGCCCCTGCCTTTAAGGAGACACTTGTCCCAGTGGGTCCCTGCCAAACTGGGAACCTGGGGCTGTGAGGACTCCTCTCCTGTCTTCCCCCGAGGTACGCAGCTGGCCTAGTTCCAAGTGAGCCAACTGAGTGAGATGCTAGGGCAGACTGGAGGGGGGATGGTCCAGCAGCAGGGGTGGGAGGGGCTGGGAAGGCTCCCTGGAGGCTGTGGTGGGGCTGAAGGATGGCCAGGAGCTGGTTGGCTCAAGAAGGGTAAGAGGTGGACGGGTGCCCAGGCTGGACCGCCAGGAGCACGCGTGGCCTCACACAGGAAACAGTGGCATGGACTGCGGTGTCCTCGCGGGACCCCCGGGCTCCAGCACAGCTGTGGTGGAGACAGGTGGTGACGCCGACCCTGGGGAGAAGGGCCTTGGCCGCCCCTGCGGAGGGGGAGCCCTGTCCGGAGGTGGAGGAGGGTTTTCAGCTCAGGAACAACGGTCACATCCATGTCTCAGGAAGCCACACCCTCCGGCCTATGGCGCAAAGGCACTTCTGGGCACAGGGCTGGCTGGAACCTGGCAGATAAAGGGGAACGAGGTGGGGGAGGAGAGCTCTTGTCCTGCCTTTCCTACAGAAGTGACACCACTAGGTGAACCCGGAGAAGGCAAGCAGCTAACCTGCACAGACTGTCCTAGCTGACCCAAGAAGGACCACGAGAGCATCCTAGCACCTCACCATCCACTTGGCCGACAGCAGAGACGTGGGCAGCCACACAGAGAGACCAAGCCTCCAGATTCAGGCCCCCAAGACACGGACACACGAGTCAGAGGGCGATCCTGAGTGCCACTGCATGTCCACAAGCAGCAAAAACCAGATGGTACCAAGCTCTGTGGGACACATGGTCCTGACTCTTCACCAAATACATAGCAAAGCAAAAAAAGAGTGCTTGAATGAAAAGGGGGCGGGAGAATCTAGAAAGGAATTTAAGAGACAAACCAAAGAATCACAGCGTGTGGATCTCATCAATGTCCTGATTCAAACAAACAAACAAAAAAAAAAAACAAGACTTTAAACACTGGCATATTGAGAGACTAAGGGATTATTAATCATCAATTAATATAACCAAGTAACATGGTAACATAAGAGATGACTAATTCATGGGTATGGTCCTGGTAGCACTGTCTTGTTAGAGGCCCCTTTTGAAATATTTACACATGAAATGAGGATGTCTGGGATTTGCTCCAGAATGACCAGGAGGGCAGCGCAGGCTGGAACGGGCTTGGCTGTGCAGGGACCACCTTTGGGTGGGTGACGGCTACGAGGGGGTTTGTTGCATCTGCCTCTGTAAATGCTTCCAACTTTCCCTGGTAACTTCTGAGTGGACGCTGGCAGCACGGCTGTGCAGAGGATGAACGTGGCTGGGGGGCATCCTCGTGCAGAAAGCCTGGGGCCTGAGGGACACCAGCAGGAGCCTGGCCACGGTCCTGCCTCCTAGGCCTCAGGTTCCTCACGGGCAGCATGGGGGGATTCGCTGCAATGCCACAGCCACAGTGCTCAGCACCCTGCCTATCACCCACAGAAGCCGTGAGTGCCCCCACAAAGCAGCCTGGGCTAAGAAGGGCACCTGGGGAGGCGCAGCCAGACGGTACCAAAGCACTGGGATGCCCCAGGGACGCTCCCTAGCTCTGCCCACTGCCTGGCACAGGGCACCCTGGGGCTCGGAACTGGGTCCTCTCCTCTCCACACTCCTGGCCACAGCTGTGCACCCTGGCTGCACAGCGAGTCCAGCCGCTTCTCCCAAGCTCCTCAGCCAGCCCCTCTCTCCTGGACCACCTGCCTCCTAACCGTCACCCGCTTCCACCACAGCCCCCTTTCAGGCACGGTATCTCCATGGGCTCAGGGCTCACCCTAGCCCACCAATGGCCTCGATGAGCCTGGAGGAGGCTCCACATCCTCGGTGCAGCCAGAGGGACATGCTGCCTTCTTCCACGCCTCCTCCACCCAGCTCACCCCTTCCTGACCCCCACCCGCCCTTATCCCGGCCTGCTGCTGTCCCCAGGCACAGAGCACAGCTCACTCTCTGCCAGCTCTCCTTACAGTCCAAAGCATGTCTGTCTTCTGTCCCAGCATCCCACTGACCCATGAACACCACACACAATGGGACTGTCCTGTTTTGTTCCTGATGGGCCTGGTGCTGGACTAGCACCCTGTCTGCTGAACATCCCTAAATACTCATGTATCCACCAAAAATGCCACAGGCGCCTACCATAAGATCCCAGCAGGGATCACAAGAGAGAAGAGGTCTCTAATCTTACGGATAGTCAGAGCACAAAGGCGAAACAGCCACGCAGCAGTGACACCAGTGTGACACCAACTGTACCGTGTCACAGTGTCTGCAGAGCGCTGATGGTGACCAGGCACTTTCTAAGCACTCAGCGGATACGAATGCTTCACAGCCCCAAACCCAGGGGTTCCTGGTGTCCCCCCGTCACAGATGAAGATGCTGAATCAGACAGGGGATCTGGGCAGCAGCAGAGCCAGCGCACCCCGGCAGAGGTTCTTGGGAAGCCCCAGGTCTTGGAGAGGTTCCTGTTGCCCACACAAACCAAACAGGGAAGGCAGCCACGACGAGGAGACCCGGCATGTTCACAACTGCAGAGAGGGGCAGCACCGAAAAGCAAGGAAGGCACCCCCTGCCGGCCAGGTAGAGGTCACGCCCCGAAGCACCCTGCGGCCAGCACCCTGGGATTGAGATTGGCTGCTGGAAGCGGCCAGTGAGTCACGGGCACTGGGAATGACTAAACGGCATGCCCTCTACACGAGACCTGGGCCTACAAAGCTTAGGAGCATCCCAGGGGGCTGCGGACCCCTTCCTGGCTACCCCTGGAAACCAGCCTCCTGGGAGATGTTGGGATAGCAGCTCCTTCATGCCCCTGAGGCCTGGCAGCAGGCTCCGTGAGCAATGGCAAAGTCAAAGGTGGCTGGCCAACCAGCCCAGGTGGGACACCCTTAGCGACTCCAGCCGGACTGTGCTGTGACCCACTAATGTCAGTAGCCTCCTAGAGTCACGTGTTCTTGGGCCGGGCCAGGTCGCGAGCAGCTCCCCACTCCCAGGCTGCTGGCCACGAGCCAGCGTCTCTCTGGCCTCGGGAAACTAAGATGCAGACGAACTGGCCAAACAGGTGCCTGTGCCAAAGGCTGCAGCATGCACCATCCCGTGCCCGGGGTGGGGAGTCCAGGCAGCGAGCCCGCCACGCCTGCTGGTGCTCCTTGGGATGAGGATCACAGGCGCCGAGTGGCCAGGCTGGCCTTGGCACGAGGCACAGCAAGGCAAAGGCCCTGTGGCCGGCGGGCCATGCGTGGAGCGCCTGCTGCTGCCACCACCTCTGAGAGGCCACACTCCCTCTGCCCCACACCCCACCTGGAGGACACCCAGCCTTCCCTCCCAATCCTGGATGTGAGGGGAGAGCAACCAGCCCTCCTGCAAGGTCTTCCCGCTCCTGCCGACCCTGGCTGTCTCCTGGCCATCTCTGCCCCGCCAAGCTTGTCCAGCGGCTGCTCAGCATTCCCCTCTGAGGCCCCAGGGTTCACAGACACATGCTGGGCTTAAAAAAACATTTTGGCCAGGCGCGGTGGCTCACGCCTGTAATCCCATCACTTTGGGAGGCCGAGGCAGGTGGATCACAAGGTCAGGAGATCGAGACCATCCTGGCTAACACAGTGAAACCCCATCTCTACTAAAAATACAAAAAAAAAAAAAAAAAATTAGCTGGGCGTGGTGGCGGACGCCTGTAGTCCCAGCTACTCGGGAGGCTGAGGCAGGAGAATGGCATGAACCCAGGAGGCGGAGCTTGCAATGATGGAGATTGAGCCACTCCAGCCTGGGCGACTAAGTGAGACTCTTGTCTCAAAAAAAAAAAAAAAAAAAGATGCTTAAGAGACGAAGCAATCAAGAGAAATGCTTGGGCCTGGCACAATGGCTCATGCCTGCAATCCCGGCACTTTGGGAGGCTGAAGTGGGAGGATCGCTTTGAGGTCGGAAGTTTGAGTCCAGCCTCATGCACACAGTGAGATCTCATCTCTACAAAAAAAATTTTTTTTAATTAGCTGAGTGTAGTAGTGCACCTGTAGCACCAGCTACTCAGGAGGCTGAGGCAGAAGGATCCCTTAAGCCCAGGAGTTCGAGGTTGCAATGAGCTATGATCAGGCCACTGCATGCAACCTAGGCAAGAGTGAGACCCTGACTTAAAGAGGGAAAGACAGAGAGAAGCTCCAACCTTACTTGAATCCTGACATGAACACGTTAATTTTAAAAGACGTATGTCCACACACACAGAGCTTCCCTCAGTTTTTGCAGGGAACTAGCTGCAGGCTCTAGAGAGCTGACTGTGTGTGTGAGAGATGATAGGGGAAACTGATGGTATTGGGCATGTGATAATGTTAAAGAATTACTAATTTACCAATTTCTAGCCAGAATGATATTGTGGTTAGGGTTTTTGTTTTAAGAATCTTATCTTACAGGCACAGCAGGAAATATTAGCAGATTAGTAGACGTGATGTCTAGGACCTGATTCAAAACAACCCTTGCGGGGAGAGAGGAGAAAGCACCCCATGCAGGCTGGCGGCTGTGGGAGCCGGAGGTGGGGGGCGGCTGCTCTGCCATTCTCTCTGCTTCTGTGTATGCTTTTTACGTCATCTATATTAGAAAGGAGAATTAAATAGATAAGCTTGGCTTGGCCCCCAGCCTGCCTCACAGCTCTCAATTTGAATTCAACACCACCTGTGTCCCTTCCACCCTGCCCCTGTCCTGGAGCTGGGAAGACAGTGGGGAACCAGGCAAGTCCCCGCCATGGAGCCCAGATGGAGCCCTCCGCCAGGGCCTTCTCCAGCCAGCAGCAAACACCTTCTCCGCCAGGGCCTTCTCCGGCCAGCAGCAAACGCCTTCTCCACCAGGGCCTTCTCCGGCCAGCAGCCAAACGCCTCCTCCGCCAGGGCCTTCTCCGGCCAGCAGCAAACGCCTTGCTCTGCTTCAGGCGGCTACCTTGGAACTAGGCAGCGAGCCCTGTGGGGCTGGGTGTGGGGCCACAGGCCTTACCCCGCCACGCCTTAGTCAGTCCACACCAACACTCCAGGAGGGCATCACTCTCTCACCAGCTGCTAGGAGAGGAAGCTCAGGTTTCGTGGCATCTGGCCATTTACCGAAGCCTCACAGAACCAGTAAGTGCCAAACCCACTAGTCCACACATGAAAAGCCTCTCGCGTCCACAGAGCCCTGCCCCTCCTCTGGACACAGCTGTAAGGCACTAGGCTCTCGCGTTCACCGGTCCACGGCATACTGGAATGGGGCTGACACACAGTCCGGCAAGAAAGCAAGGGAAGACAGAAATGTGGAAAAAAGACGCCCAAGAGGCAAACAACCTCATCCCTGAAATCCCACGTCCAGGATGCGATCCGACCGAAATACCCACAGAGTATAAACCAACGTACGAGGGGTCACCGAGGCACCCCTGCAGAGGGAGACCCGGAGATGCCAAATGTCCCCCCTAGTCAGATAAATGACAGCTGACACAAATGCCAGGGAACACGACATGGACCCTGGCCAGAACCAGGCACAGCGGCCTGTGCTGACGCCGGAGGGCCACGGGCAGGGAGTTCAGAGGTGTGAGTCACACTCACGCCCACACATGCACACACGCATGCGTACACACACCCACACTTACCCACATGCACACCTGTGTACTCACACATGCACATGCACACACCCACCCACACACCCATGTACACACACTCATACACGTCCATACTCATCCCTCACCTACCTGTGTACAAACACACACACAAACACACCCGTGTACACACACACCCCCACACTCATACACTCAGACTTACACACACACCTATGTACATATACACACCCACTCACATCCACACACCTGTACACATACACACTCACATGCACACTCAGACTCACGCACACAGAGAACTGTTTTGGCAGGACAAACATTGCTTATCATGGAGAGGATTTCAATTCCTTGTAATCTGCATATATCACCTTGGCTTTGTCATCAAAAGAAAAACTTTTTTTTTTTTAAGGCTTAGGTAAAACAGCACCATGTGGGCTGAAAACCTCTGACCAGGAGTCAGAGGACTCCTGGATGCTGAAGCGGCTCAGCACTGGCTCACTGTGTGACCCTGGACGGGCTGCTGCACCTCTCTGAGCCTCAGAGAGAGGCAGGAATCAAACAGGAAAGAGGCAGAAAGGCCACCGGTGCCTCTGGCTGGGAGGACAGTGTGGGCAGCATTAGCCCAGGCCCCTTCACGCCTGCCTGACCGCTCAGCCTGGGAGGCCAGGGAGACCCCAGAGGCCCCGCCCCCTCCCACACATGTGCTCAGGGCCTGCAGCCCCATGTGAAACAGCGAAAGCCAGCCACCTACAGGCCTGCCTGGAAGAGGCTGGCCCTGGTCAGGGGAGGCGGGGGAGTTTTCTTCTTGTACCCCTGAACTTCAAACTCCACTGTGGAGCACGCTGCCGCCACTGGAAGGAGCTCGACAGACACAGCAGGTGACGCAGAGGGCGGGCTCCAAGCGGAGCTGGCACCCGGCGCAGGTGACGTTGCCCATCTGTGCTCAGCGTCCTCACCTGTGAAGTGGGAAAGGCAGAACCCACCCCATATACAGGCACTCAAGTGCTACTCCTCATCACACGCTGGCCCAGAGACCCCCGGGATACACCGTTGGGAGAAGAAAGCAAACCACGAGACTGAGAGCACCACGGAACCCTACAGCTCTCAGATTCAAAAGCGCTGTGGGGGTGATGTCAGACGCACAGGGAGAGACTGGACCCCACACTCAGCTACGAACCTCCCGAGACAGCAGGAGAATTCAGGGGCAGAGGGAAGGAAAAGGGAGGAGCTCCAGTTCCTACCCTGCGTCCTTCTGTGCTTCGCATTTCCGATAACCAGAATCAATTCCTGCATCGATGAGCAATTAGAAACCAAAAGGAGGAGGCAGAAATGCAGACACCACATTTTAAAATGCTCTCCATGGAAACAGACGTTTTTAGACTTAAAGTTTGGCTTCTATTAACTGGAAGCCAAACTTAATGATTTCTCCTCAGTCTGACACCAGAAAAGGCAGAAAGCAGCCAGCAACGTAAACACCTGTAAAATGGCAGTTTGAAATCTGGACCATAACAAATGAAGACAGGAGGAGGTATCCCCAAGATGAGCCCATGAAAGTCACCGGCCCAATGCTGCCAGGCTGAGAGCAGCTGAGCTGAGACCTGCGAGTGGTCAGTCCCGGGGCCTCCTGCCTCCCTCATGCCCAGTATGAGGACAGCCTCTCTCTACCCTGAACTGAGGCCGCCGGAACCCACAGCTCCTAGACCCCCGCCCCATCCCGAGAGCCCGTGTCCCCCAAGCCACTGCCAGGCAGAGTCCAGCTGGAGGCAGGGTCCATTCAGGGCTCCAGGGCGCCAGGCCCCTAGCACCCCCGCTGGACAGCACCTTCCCTGCTCTGGGAGCCACAGGGCAGATGCCTTCGTCCTGTACAGGAGGCACAAACAGTCGGAAAGATGGCCTCAGAGAAGCCAGGAAAGAATTTTATCAGGTACATGCCGAGATAGGAAATTGGGGAACATAATGGGCGCTTTCAATGCCCAGCCAATTCTTCCAGCCCCTTCTCTAGGGACCCAGGAGAAGGCATTCTGGGCCTCTGGGCCGTCCCACCGTCCCAGCCTTGGAGGTCCTGGGGTGGCCGTGGCGGGCGCAGGGTTGCGCAGCACCTCCTCTCTCCCTGCAGCGATGGGCACCTTCGTTCTTTCCTTGTGCTTCTCTGCCCGGCTCCAGACCCGCCCTCTAGGAAACACAGATGCATCTGGGGACCCACTTCAGGGAACAGAAGGATGCTCTGGGGAAAGACAGACTGCGCCACAGCTGGCACGCATCCATGCGGCTTGTCACAACGCGGCAGCTCGGCCCTGCCCTGGGTCCCCGCACACAATGTGGCTTCTGTTCTGGCTCCCTCGGCAATCCACCAGCCAAGGCCTCCCCCTCGGCCACATCAACCGGCCGATTGTCCCTGGCGGAGCGCTCTATGGGCTCACCAGAGGGGCTGCCCGCCTCCTGAACTCTGCAAGGCCCTGGGAGCCTGGGAGCCAGGGAGGGAGTTGCTTGCAGAAGCGTTGCTCCGCTTCTGCGCCAGCAGGTCAGGGGCAAGGGGAGAAGACAATGGGGGCTCAGAGGGGGCTCCCTGCCTCCCAGCCTCCCTGCCTCAAGACCTGCTCTCCCCAGTCTCAAACTGAGCGCACGCAGGGGCAGCCCAAGTGGAACCCATATAGGGCAGCATTTGCAGCTAAGAGCCATCTCCACTCTACAGAGGGTGGCGGCTATGGAGGGCACCCCGGCTTGGTGTCCTTGGAACCTCCCCTGTCATGTGCGACTGCCTAGGGCCCCCCAACACAAGCCACCCAGGATGTGTCAGGAAGATGCCTCTGAGGGTCTTAAGGCTATGAGGCCAGTGCGGTTTAACTTACTTTTAAAACTCTCCACGTAATGCCCTTCCTGTGCCCTCGGACATCTGCGTGTGGGAGGCCACGGTGGACTGGTGATGGCTGTGGCTCCCTGTCCAATGACAGCTTGTTGCAGGGGTTGGGGAGGAGGTCTAATATTAGTGGCAAATAACCAAAATAAACTTCTTTTTCACACTTGGCCATTTCTAACACTGGACTGTCTCTCACAATCAGTGTGTACCCCTCATGTGCTTTCTCTCCTGCTCTCAGGACGGGTTCCTTCAATTGAAGTCACGGGAGACTTAGACTGAAGGAAGAGGAATCTGGCGTCAGGGGCAGGGCAAGTTTTACCGCCCCAAACAGCCACACTCCCCTTTCCTGGTGCTGTTGGTACCGGGTTCAATAGAAACAAGTGCCCCGGCCAGCATCCCCTCATGTGACTGCATCTACAGGGCACCTGGGGGGCTGCGAGCCGACACCGGCCACAGGAGAGGAAAGCAGGCCACTGTCATCTCAGATGACCCCTCTCCCCATCTGACAGCAGCTCTCTCTGCCCCTCTCGGTTTTGCCAAGCACACCAAGCCAGAAACGCAGGACTACTTGGCAGCCAGCACTGGCATGAAAGCGACAAAGGTGAGAGCTAAAAGGATTGCCAAGGAAATTAAGTCACATCAAATGATGCCTCAGAGAAGAGCTCCTGAGTCCAGCTGCTGATCTTGGCTAATGCCTCAAAACAAAGCAAGACAAAAATCAACCATGCTAAAGTCTGCTGGGAACGTAAAGCGGGAACGTGGCGGGGTCACCAAGCGGTAAAGCTGAAAGAGACCCCGAGAGCCAGTCCCAGCCCGAGCAGGGCCATGCATGTCAGTGGGGGCCCCCACCCCGGGAAGGCTCGGGGAGGCCGGCAGCCCCCGGCCCCTGCCCTGCCCAGGACCAGGGCATCAAAGCCTCCCAGGTCAGCTCTGCAGCCCCTCCCGAGGCCCTCACCCTGCCTCCTAACTGACTCCAGGGCACAGACAAGCACTTCCTGTTTGGCAGCCACTGAATTCCTTCTGGGAGAGATGGAGCCAGGTCTGCATTATAATGTCACTGACCTACTCCAGAACATCATGGGACAGGCGTGGGACAGGCACCTGGCTGGGGCTTCTGAAGCCACGGCCACAGAGCTTACGCCCAAAGAGGCAGGTGAACCCAGAGGACTCGACCCCTTATGCAGGATCTAACAGCAAATGCCACCATGTCACCCCCAGCGGATGAGCAGCTCTGCCCACCCAGCTCACCTCCCTCACACTCGCCCCAGCCCCGCTTCATCACCTGGACTCTGCCTTTCAAACAGCTGCCCCTCCCCCTAGAAGGGACCACCCCATCCTCTCAGCCTCACATAAGAAGAAGTCAATCGGCCGGGCACGGTGGCTCACGCCTGTAATCCCAGCACTTTGGGAGACCGAGGCAGGTGGATCACGAGGTCAGGAAACCGAGACCATCCTGGCTAACACGGTGAAACCCCCTCTCTACTAAAAATACAAAAAAATTAGCCAGGCATGGTGGCGGGCGCCTGTAGTCCCAGCCACTCGGGAGGCTGAGGTAGGAGAAAGGTGTGAACCCAGGAGGCAGGGCTTGCAGTGAGCCGAGATCACGCCACTGCACTCCAGCCTGGGTGACAGAGCAAGACTCCACCTCAAAAAAAAAAAAAAAAAAAAAAGAAGTCAATCTCGCTTCTTAAGAGAACCCAACCGACCCTTTCTAACTGGGTCCCCGTGACACACTCATAGCACCCAGCCCCTGGGCTTCCTGGAACTCATTCTGATGGGTCACTTCCTCTCCCGTGTGTCTGCCGTCTCTTGCCCTGTCAGTCTGTGAACTCCACAAGAGAGGGGAACGTGTTCACTTGGTCTTCACTGGGCCTAGACTTGGTAAATATCTGACACATGAAGAAATCCATGAAACTCCAGCAAAGAATGGAAGAAAAGCAATTCCTCCTCCTCACTGTAAACGAACATTAAAAAAAAAAAAACCCTCATTTGCGAAGAATAAATGACAAGGGCCTCCCTTACTAGATACCCACTACCCTTTGACAGTCTCCCCCGCCTCTCTCAACAGTGGGCTTGGTGCATGCCGCCAGCGGACAGCGAAAACAGAGGCATGGGCCTCAAGTGTGGCAAAGGGTTTCAGACACAAAACCAGAAGCACTCGCCAGAAAAACAACAGTAAGACGTCCATCAAAATAAAAAACGTTTGCTAGACAAAAATATACTATTAAGAGAATGAGAAGATAAGCCACAGACTTGGAGAAAATATTTGCAACTCATATACCAAGTACAGGACTTGTATCCAGAGTATATACAGAACTCTTAAAACTCAACAACAAGAAAACAGCTAACCCAATTTTTTTTAATGAGAGGGAAGGGCAAAATTCTGAACAGATACTTTACCAAAGAGAATATATGGGTTGCAAATAAGCACATGAAAACGATGCTCATTACCGTCGGCCGTCAGGGAGATGCAAATCAAAACCTAACCAGGTACCACTTCACACCCACTAGGACAGACGGCTATAATCAAAAAGGCAGAAAATGAGTTGCTGGTGAGGATGTAGAAAAATCAGAACCCTCATACCCGGCTGGGGGGGAATGTAAAATGGCACAGCTGCTGAAAAACAGTCTGGCAGTTACTCAAAAAGTTAAATAAAGAACGGGGCCAGGTGTGTTGGCTCACGCCTATAATCTCAACACTCTGGGAGGCTGAGGCAGGAGGATCACTTGAGGCTGGGGGTTTGAGCTCAGCCTTAGCAACATAGTGAGACTCTCTAACAAAAAAAAATTTTTTTAAATCTTTTCTTTTTTTCCTTTCTTTCTTTCTTTCTTTCTTTCTTCCATCTTTCCTTTCTTTCTTTCTTTTTTTTTTTTTTTAAAGAGATGGGGTTTCACCATGTTGCCCAGGCTGGTCTCAACCTCCTGAGCTCAAACAATCCTTCCACCTCGGCCTCCCAAAGTGCTGGGATTACAGGTATAAGCCGCCGTGCCCAGCCCTTAAAAAAGTTTTTTTAATAACTCACCGGATGTGAGGGCCGGGCACAGTGGCTCACGCCTGTAAACTCAGCACTTTGGGAGGCCGAGGTGGGCGGATCACGAGGTCAGGAGATCGAGACCATCCTGGCTAACATGGTGAAACCCCGTCTCTACTAAAAATACAAAAAAATTAGCCGGGCATGCTGGCAGGCACCTGTAGTCCCAGCTACTTGGGAGGCTGAGGCAGGAGAATGGCATGAACACGGGAGGCAGAGTTTGCAGTGAGCCAAGATTGTGCCACTGCACTCCAGCCTCGGCGACAGAGCGAGACTCCGTCTCAAAAAATAAACAAATAAAATTTTTTTTTAAAAAGAAAAACTCACTGGGTGTGGTGGCATGCACCTGTAGTCCCAGCTACTTGGGAGGCTAAGGCAGGAGGACTGCTTAAGTCCAGGAGACAGAGCTGTGTGAGCTGTGACTGCACCACTGCACCCCATCCAGCCTAAGCGACACAGTAAGGCCCTGTCTCAAAACAGACAAACAAAAAACCCAAAAAGTTGGCCGGTCACAGTGGCTCATGCCTGTAATCCCAGCTACTTGAGAGGCTGAGGCAGGAGAATCGCTTGAACTCAGGAGGTGGAGGTTGTAGTGGGCTGATATCGCACCTTTGCACTCCAGCCTGGGCAATAAGAGCAAAACTCCACCTCAAAAAGAAAATAAAAAGAAAACAAAGAGAAAAAAAAAAAAAGGAAAACAACCTGACCATATTCAAGGGCTGGCGAAGATTTGGAGCAACGGGAACTCTTCCTGCTGATGAGGCTGCAAAATGGCACAGCCCCTTTAGAAGAAAACCACTGGGCAGTTTCTTAAAAAGTTAAATAGACCCATATCATGTGACCTAGCAATCTCCACTCATTTACCCAAATGAACTGAAAACGTGGTCACACAAAAAACCCGTATGCAAATGTTTAGGGCAGCCTTATTCATAATCACAAGAGCTGGAAACAACACAGACGTCCTTCAACAGGTGAACGAATAAACAAACCGTAAGGCACCCATGCAGCGGAACACTCCTCGAAAAAACACAACAAAACACGAAGATTCATTCATATGGCAACATGGACAAATCTAAGTGCGCTTTGCTAAGTGAAAGAAACCAGATACAAAAGGGCTACATATTGTCTGAGTCTTATGACAATCTGGAAAAGGTAAACTACAAGAATGGCAAACAGATGAGCGGTTGTAAGGGCTGGGGGTGGGGAGGGGGACTGACTTCAAAGGGACAGCAAGTGGGAATCGGAGTGGGGGAGGCAGAGTCCCGGTAGATACACGACTCTCTGCATGTTGAACCCAGAGTAAACGTCACGGAATACAAATTAAGAAATCAGTAACTAATAACCGGATGGGCAGAGGGGGCAGACCCAAGATGAAATGCAACTGAGACTGACGAAGCTAACTGTATTACAAATGCATGACATGACCACCCCAGGGAAAGGGCTGCCACAAATAACCTTGTACCCTTGCAGCGTTCCTACTTGACAGAAAGAGCTGCACGCCAATGCTGAGCCCTAGCTGCCAACACAGGAGGGCTGGCTGTTGATGCTGAAACTACTTTCCGGGTATCCTGGAATTAAACGGGTAAACAAACACAGTACAGATATCGGGAGCCAGGTTTCCCCCTTCAGAGACAGCTACAAGGCAGCAACTGGGGAAGGCGTGAATGAGCCCGCTGGTGCTGGATGGAGTTGGCAGCCTCAGAGGAACGTACGTTTGTTTTCATATTACACAGATAGATACAGAACTAAACACAGATGTAAAGGGTGGGGGTGGTTTCCTAGCTCTGTCATATGAGAGAACCTAAACGCAGTGACAACTAAGCAGCAGTGAGCACACTTAGCTCCCAGATCTTGGCTTTTAAATACCATTTTCCAGCAACAGGAACTAAGGCTCCTGGGAGCAGCGGAAGATTCTAGGGCTGGGGCAGGGAAATACACGGTGAGCCTGTGGTGCCAGAATGTGAAAGCACCCCCAAAACCATGGGAACATGAAATGACAGGCCCGAATGCGAGAACAATTTCAATAACAAACAGGTAACAACAGACTGGATTATGACCCCAAAGAAAAACCAAATACCTATGAATCCATCCGTGTTGATACAAATAACTGAATACATAAATGGAAGAGAAGGGACGGCTCTTCCTTACTGAAAAATTCCAGTTAATAAATGTAGAAAGGAAGGAGGAAATTAAAACTACCAGTAGGCCACCACTGGGGGAGGCTAAAATTAGTGGGTGGTACTATGGGTTAAGTAGCCCTCATCCAAAATGCTTGGGATCAGAAATGTTTTGGATTTCAGATCTTTTTTTGGATTTTCAAATGTCTGCATTATTCTTACTGGTTCAGCATCCCTAATCTGAAAATCTGCAATTTAAAATGCTCCAGTGAGCAGTTCCTTTGAGTGTCCTGTTGGTGCTCAGAGTTTCAGATTTTGGAGCATTTTGGTGTTTTGTTTGTTTGTTTGTTTGTTTGTTTTTTGTGAGACAGAGTCTCACTCTGTGACCCAGGCTGGAGTGCAGTGGTGTGATCTCAGCTCACTGCAACCTCTTCCTCCTGGGCTTAAGCAATTCTTGTGCCTCAGCCTCCCAGGTAGCTGGAACTACAGGCGTGCGCCACCACGCCCTGCTAATTTTTGTATTTTTAGCAGAGACGGGGTGCCATGTTGGCCAGGCTGGTCTTGAACTCCTGACCTCAGGTGATTCACTCGCCTTCGCCTCCCAAAGTGCTGGGATTACAAGAATGAGCCACTGTGCCCAGCCTGAGATTTTGGAGCATTTTTTATTTTGGATTTCTGGATTAGGGATACTCCATCTGTATTTTTAAAAACAGACAAAACAAAACAGGTTATCTGCACAGCTTCAAAGTATCTCTCCCAAAATGGGTATTAGTAACTGTAGTGTTTTTAACCTACGCCCACCAGGATGGAGGGGTTAATTCCTCTCCCTTGAGTGTGGGCTGGACTTAGTGACCTGCTTCTTCTAAGCAACAACCAGTGGAGAAACCTGGCAGATGCCACTTAACCAGGAGATCAAGGTCAACCTCGGCTGTTAACCATGGATCATGTTAATATCTGGCACTTCCTAATATGATGGAAGAGGAAGTGCATTTACCTCTGTGGTCTTCTTATGGAACTCTATAGCCACGGACTAGCCATGAGAAAACGGCAAGTAGAGGGAGAGTCTACATAATACCCCACTAGCACATTTCAAAGATATCAAGGTCATGAAAGACTGAGGAAAGAGACACAGGCAACAGTGCAGCATCCTGGGGTGGGTTCCACAACAGAAAAAGAACATGAATTGAAAACTGGGAAACCCAAGGCAAGTCCCTAGTTTAGTTCACGGCGATTGTACTGATGCTACTGTCTTGGTTTTGATCACTGGACCATGGTTATGTGAGATGTTAACATTAAGGGAGGTTGGGTTGTGGGGGAGGTCCTATGGGAATTCTCTGTACTATCTTTGCAGCTCTTCTGTGTCTAAAATTATTTCCAAATTAAAAAAATCGTAACTATGAGAGATTCCCAGTCAGGAACCATACTCGGTTCAGTAACGAAGATTTTTATGCGTCTGGAGCAGCTTGGGTGTGTGAATCTACTTCTTTGTTCAACTGTGAATTTTATGGACTCTAAATACAGATCAAGCCTTTCTGATGACGTTTCCATATCCAAATTGAGACGTGCAGCAAGTATAATAAACAGACTGAATTTCAAAGACTTGGTATGAAAAAAGAATGTAAAATCTCTCAATACTTAAAAAATATTGATTACATGTTGAAATAATGTTTTAGATACACTGAGTTAACCCAATTACTAAAATTAATTTCACCTGTTTCTTTTGAACTTTTTTAACGCGGCTAAAAAATAATAATAATAATAATTAAGATTTCTACTGGACAGCCCGGGGTCTGAGATGTTACTCACTCACTAGAACAGGAAGGGCTTTAAATATCTCTGACCACTTCCAGGACAACAAACAGATACAAAGAGAGCATTTAAACAAGACTCCCTCATCTGACTGGGCCAAGTGCACTGAGGAACCGATTTATTCATCCGGGCCACTGCCTTGTCCCGGGGCAGCCCCAGCATGTCCTCCCAGCCCACAGTCAAGGCCACTTTCCAAAAGAACAGTTCAGCCGCAGCATGCAGAAGCCTCGAGGCCGCATGTGATGGGAGGGAGGCCACCCGGATCCCCCCTTGAAGAGCTGGAGCCCCCAGCTCAGGGAAGTTCCCATCACACATCCAGTCTGCCCAGCAAGCGCTTTACTGTCAATGCTTAAAAATAGGCACTTATCCAGAAGATATAAAGGACCCGGTCAAGCAAAGTGGCTCGCGCCTGTAATCCCAGCACTTTGGGAAGTCTAGGTGGGCGGATCGCTTGAGCTCAGAAGTTCAAGACCAGCCTGGGCAACATGGCAAGACCTCATCTCTACAAAAATACAAAAATTAGCCAGGTATGGTGGTGCACACCTGTGGTCCCAGTCACTCAGAAGGCTGAGGTGGGAGGATTGCTTGAGGGGAGAGGTGGAGTCTGCAATGAGCTGTTATTACACCACTGTTCTCCAGCCTGGGTGACAGAGTGAGACCCTGTTTCAAAAAAAAACAAAAACAAAGACAAAAAACTCTTACAACTCAAAAAGAAAAACAACCCAAATCAAATACGGGCAAAGAGCTTGAATAGACGTATCTTCAAAACAGGATATACAAATGGCCAATAAGCACATGAAAAGATGCTCAACTTCATTAATCATCAGGGAAAGGTGAATCAAAACCACCTACAAATACCATTTCACACCCACAGGGATGGCTATCAGTAAAAACAGACAAAAAACAGGAGATAACAAATGTTGCTGAGGATGTAGAGAAATTGGAATGCTTGTGTGTTGCTAGTGGCAATATAAAATGGTTTGGCTGCTGTGAAAACAGTTTGGCACTCCCTCAAAGAAATTAAACATAGAATTACCATATGACCCAGCAATTCCACTCTAAGGTATACAGTCATCCCTCAGAACTGTGAGGGATTGGTTCCAGGACACCCTCTGGATACCAAAGTCTGCAGAGGCTCAAATCTCTTTATATAAAATAGCAGCATTTGCAGATAACCTATGCACACCCTCCCATATACTTGAAATCATCTCTAGATCACTCATCATGCCGAATACAATGCCTACACATCACTGCATTCACGTGGATTCAACGGCCCCTGGCAGATTCACGTTTTGCCTTTTAGAACTCTGTGGATTTTTTTTCCAAATGCTTTCTGTTTGTGGTTGGTTGAATTCATGGATACGGAGCCCATGGATATGGAGGGCCAACTGTATACCCAAAGGAATTGAAACCTGGTACTCAAACACATACACGCACAGCCATGTTCAAAGCCGTACTTATTCACAATAGCCAAGAGGTGGGAACAGCCTGCATGGCCGTCAATGGATGAATGGATAAAGTGTGGGACAGCCATACAGCAGAATGTTACTTGGCCGTGAAAAGGAATGCAGTTCTTATACATGCAACAACACGGATGAACTCACAAATACGGCAGAAAGAAGGAAAGAAGCGAGACACAAACGTCACGTACTATATGACTCCATTTATATGAAACTGCCAGAATAGGCCCATCCACCAAGACACAATATAGATGAGTAGCTGCCAGGAACAGTGGCGATGGGGGGAACGGGAAACAGCTGCTTACTGGCACAAGGTTTCCTTCCGGGGTGATGAAACTGCTCTGGAACTAGAAGGAGACGGCAGTAGTACAACCCTGTGAATGTACTAAATGCCACTTTACTTACTGTTTGCTTTAAAATCGTTAATTTCATCTCGTGAATTTCACCTCCATTCTTAAAAAGGTTGGGGGGATGGGGGTGCGGCGGCACTTATTCACTGGTTGTGCCAGGAGGTTTTCTGATATTTGGACATACAACGGCTAGCCCCCTCTGGAATGAATCTGGTTCATCCATTTAGTATTCATTTAATAAATATTTAGCAAGTGCTACCTCCATGCTAGACGCCAGACGAGAACAAAAGCAGAGCCCTGGTCCTGAGCTTACTTTCGGGTGGTAGAGACACACAGACAAGTAAACACACATCCACATATGTGCTACAAAAAAGAAAGGAACAGTGAGTTAGAAAAAAGAATAAAGAAGAACCAAACTCAGATGACAGGCTTTGGTTAATTTTAGATGTCAACTTGACTGAATTAAGAAATACCTAGAGGACCTGGCACAGTGGCTCATGCCTATAATCCCAGCACTTTGGGAGGCCAAGGCGGGAGGATCGCTTGAGCCCAGGAGTTCGAGACCAGCCTGAGCAACATGACAAAACCCCATCTCTACCTCCCACCAAAAAAAAAAAAAGAAAGAAAGAATGAACGAATGAATAGCTGGGCATGGTGACATGCACCTGTGGTCCCAGCCACTCGGAAAGCTGAAGTGGGAGGATCACCTGAGCCCAAGGAGGTCAAGGCTGCAGTGAGCTGAGATTGTACCACTGCACTCCAGTCTAGGTGACAGAGCGAGACTCCACCACAAAGAAAAAAGAAAAAAAGAACCTAGAGACCCGGTAAGGCATTATTTCTGGGTGTGTCTATGAGGGTGTTTCCAGAGGACACTGGCATGTAAGTCGGGCCGAGGAGGGAAGACTCGCCCTCAGTGTGGACCAGCACCATCCAACTGGTTGGGTTGCAGATGGGACAAAAAACAGAGAAATGGCCATCTGTCTCTAAAGGGACAAAAAGTCAGGGAGGGCAATCTCTCCATCTGCCTCTCTCCCTCTGTGGCCTTAGGACTCTGGCCTCACACCCTCAGTACCAGGCTTTCGACCTCAGACTGACAATTACAGCAGGGTTTCTCTGCTGCGGAGGCGTCTGAGCTTGAGGGGAGCTGTGCTGCCGGCAACCCAGATCTCCAGCTTGCAGGTGGCCTGTCACGGGACTTCTCGGCCTCCACAATCACGTGAGCCTATTCCCCCAATAAGTTCCCTCTCGTATCTGGGTATCTATCTATCTGTCTCTCCTATTGATTTTGTCTGGAGAAAAAACCCCAACAAATACAACAACCAATGGGTCAAAGAAGAAATCACTGGGAGAATTAGAAGATACTTTTGAGATAATGAAAACAAAACACAATATATCGAAACATATGGAATACAGTGTACACAGTGCTCAGAGCGAAATGTACAGCTGTAAACACCTACATTCAAAAATAAGAGTGACATCAAATCAATGACTCCTTCTACACCCTAAGGAATTAGAAAAAGAACTAAACTCAAAGCTAACAGAAGGAAAAGAACAGAAATAAAATACGCAATAAAAGGCATAGAGTGAATCAATAAAATCAAGTTTTTTCTTTGAAGAGATCAACTAAATTGACAAACCTTTGGCTAGTATTTAAAAAAAAGAACATAAATAACCCACATCAGAAATAAAAGTGGGAACTACCAATCTTATAGAAATTAAAAGAATTATGAGAATACTATAGACAACTATATGCCAGCTAGATAATGTAAATAAGACATAACCTTAGAAGCAAATTACTAAAATTGAATCAAGAAGTAGGGCTGGGCATGGTGGCTCACGACTGTAATCCCAGCACTTTGGGAGACCGAAGTGGGCGGATCATGAAGTCAGGAGATCGAGACCATCCTGGCTAACATGGTGAAACCCTGTCTCTACTAAAAATACAAAAAAAAATTAGCCAGGTATGGTGGGCACACCCGTAGTCCCAGCTACTCGGGAGGCTGAAGCAAGAGAATGGCATGAACCCGGGAGGCAGAGCTTGCAGTGAGCCAAGATTGCGCCACTGCACTCCAGCCTGGGCGACAGAGCGAGACCCCATCTCAAAAAAAAAAAAAAAAAAAAAAAAAAAAAAGAAGTGGAGAATCTCAACACATTGATATCAAGAGACGGAATCAGAAATCAAATACTTCCCACAAAGAAAAGTCCAAGACCAGAGAGTTCACTGAACTCCATGGAACATTCAAAGAACAAACACCACTCCTGCTCAAACTCTACCAAAACTTAGAAGAGGAGGGAATACCTCCTAACTCACTTTATGAGGGCGGCATTACCCTGATACTAAAGCCAGACAAAGATACCACAAGAAAACCACACAGCAATGTTCCTTATGAATACAGACACAAAAATCCTTAACAAAATACTAGCAAACCCAATCCAACAGCACACTAAAAAGATTATATACCATAACCAAGAGGGATTTATCCCAGGAATGCAAGGCGGCAGGGGGTTCCTACATAAAAATCCATCAGCGTAATACAGCACATTAATAAAAGGAAGAAAAAATCTACATGATTTTCTCATTAGAGACAGATAAGAGCATGTGACAAAACTCAACACCTATTCATGATTTAGAAAAACGTCATTCAGCAAACTAGAAAAAGAAGGTGTGACACGGTAAGAAATATATATATTTGGTCTCTGCTCCTAGTCCTGGCACCGAGCTGCTAAAACACTTTCTGAGAGATGGTGGTGATAGAAGCCTGTTTTGTTTTAATATTGGGTCTTAGTCCTGGGTTCCTGACACAAAGGCCTCTAAGATCCTTGAAATCTTGGAAGTGATACGAGCATCTTTTCGTTCGTTCATGAGGTGTCTGCTGACTGAATGCCCCTAGATAGCTTCAGGATGGGGGCTGGTTGCCAGGGGAACCAATCATGTGATAGGTGGCTGGAATTTTCAGCCCCACCCCCTGACCTCTTAGGGAGGGCAAAGGGGCTGGAAATTTAGTTTAATCACCAATGGCCAATGGTTTAATCAATCATGCCCACACAATGGAGTCTCCATAAACACCTTACACAAAGGGGTTCCGAGAGCTTCCAGGCTGGCCCGTCTGAGGGCATGGAACGTCAGCACCCTTCCCACATAGCCTGCCCCATGCAGCAAGGTTTGGCCATTACTGAATCGCACTCTTTACAACAAACCAGTAATGGAAGTAAAATGTTTTCCTGAGTTCTGTGAGCCGTTATAGAGAACTGTTGAACATAAGGAGGGGCAACACCCGATTTATGGCCGGTTGAGTACAGGTGGCAGTCTGGGACTCGCGACTGGCATCTGAAGTGGGGGCTGTCCTGTGAAACTGGGCTCTTAACCTGGGAGCTTGCGCTAACTCCAGGTCGTGGATGACATCACTGAATTCAACTGCAGGACCCCCAAGTGGTGTCTGTGGAGAACTGGAGAACTGTAATGTCTGGGAAACCCACACAGTTGGTGTCAGAAATGTTGTGAGTGGAGAACAGGTTTTTCCTTCTTCTATAAGGGAATTTCCTTAACCTGATAAAGGGCATTTACAGAAAGTTCACAGCTGACATCACACTCAATGGAAAAAGGCTGGAAACTCTTCCCCTGAGATCAGGAACCACGCGGGATGCCCACCCTCTCCACTGCTATTCAACACTGTGCTGCATGTTCTAGCCAGGGCAGTAAAGCAAGGAAAAGACTTTGACGAAAGACATCCAAACTGGAACCTCTATTTGCAGATGACATGATTCCATATACAGAAAATCCCAAAGAAGCCACACACAAAAAAAAAAATCAACAAAAGAAAAAAAAAAAACAACACCCTACTAAAGCTAATAATAAATTCATTAAAGCTGCAGGGTACAAGATCAATACACAAAAATTGTTTGTGCTGTCCAGAGAGGAGGTCTACAGGAAAAACAAAAACAAAATCAGCTGTGCTTCTATACACCTGCAATGAAGAATCCAAAAAGGGAATTAGGAAAGAATTCCATTTACAATAGCATTCCAAAGAATAAAATACCTAGGAATAAGGCCAGGCACAGTGGCTCATGCCTGTAATCCCAGCACTTTGGGAGGCCGAGGTGGGCGGATCACTTGATATCAGGAGTTTGAGACCAGCCTGGCCAACATGGCAAAACCTCATCTCTACTAAAAATACAAAAATTAGCTGGGCGTGGTGGCACACGTCCGTAATTCCAGCTACTCGGGAGGCTGAGGCAGGAGAATCGCTTGAATCCAGGAGGCAGAGGTTGCAGTGAGCCAAGATCGTGCCACTGCACTCCAGCCTAGGTGATGGACAGACTCTGTCTCAAAACAAAACAAGGCAAAAAAACCTAGGAATAAATTTAAGCACACAGGTAAAAGACTTATGTATACTGAAAACTATAAAATATTGCTGAAAGAACCTAAAGACTTAATTAAGTGGAAAGACATTCCTTGTTCATGGACTGAAAACTTAATATTGTTAAGATGTTTCAAAAATGACTAGATACAATAGAATCCCTATCAAAATTCCAATATAATTTTTTGCAAAAATGGAAAAGTCAAACCTCAAGTTCATATGGAATCACAAGGGGCACAGAATAACCAAACTCATATGGAAGAGGGAAAAACAAAACACAGAGTTAGAGGACTCACACTTGCCAATTTCAAAACTTCCTACAAGGCTGGGCGCGCTGACTCACACCTGTAATTCCAGCATTTTCGGGGCCCAAGGCGAAAGGATCGCTTAAGGCCAGGAGTTCAAGACCAGCCTGGGCCAAGCACGGTGGCTCACACCTGTAATCCCAGCACTTTGGGAGGCCGAGGCAGGTAGATCACCTGAGGTCAGTTCGAGACCAGCCTGGCCAATGTGGTGAAACCCCATCTCTACTAAAAATGCAAAAAATTAGCCAGACACGGTGGCAGGCACCTGTAATCCCAGCTATTCAGGAGGCTGAGGCAGGAGAATCGCTTGAACCTGGGAGGCAGAGGTTGCGATGAGCCAGGATCGTGCCACTGCACTCCAGCCTGGACAAGAGCGAAACTCTGTCTCAAAAAGATAAATAAATAAATAAATAAATAAATAAATAAATAAAAAGACCAGCCTGGGCAACACAATGGGACCCCATCTCTACAAAAATAATAAAATTAGCTGGATGTGGTGGTGCAGGCCCGTGGTTCCAGCTACCTGGGAGGCTGAGGTGGGAGGACTGCCTGAGCCCAAGAGGTCAAAGCTACAGTGAGCCATGATTGCACCACTGCACTCCAGCCTGGGTGATAGAGCAAGACTCTGACAAAAAAAGAAAAAAAAGGCGGGGCACGGTGGCTCACGCCTGTAATCTCAGCACTTTGGGAGGCCGAGGTGGGTGGATCATGAGGTCAGGAGATCGAGACCATCCTGGCTAACACGGTGAAACCTGGTCTCTACTACAAATACAAAAAATTAGCCAGGCGTGGTGGCGGGCACCTGTAGTCCCAGCTACTCGGGAGGCTGAGGCAGGAGAATGGTGTGAACCCGGGAGGCGGAGCTTGCAGTGAGCCGAGATGGCGCCACTGCACTCTAGCCTGGGCGACAGAGCCAGACTCCGTCTCAAAATAAAATAAAATAAAATAAAAATAACCTTCCTATACAACTACAGTCATCAAAACAGTATGGCCAGCATAAGCACAGACACGTAGACCAATGAAATAGAATTCAGAGTCCAGTTTTAAACCCCAAATCTATGGCCAGCTGATTTTCAACAACGCTCTAACACCACTCGATGGCGAAAGAACAGTCTCTTCAGTGAACGGTGCTGGGACACCTGGAAAACCACATGCAAAAGAATACTGTTAGACCCCCACTTCACTTCATATATGAAAGTTCACTCGAAAATGGATCAACTCTCTACGTATAAGGACTACAACTATGAAACTGGTGTAAATAAACATGGGGCAAATCTTCATGACCTCATTTGGCAATGGAGTCACAGATTTGACACCAAAGGTGTGAGCGACAAGAGAAAACAGATAAATAGAATTTCATAAACATTTAAAACATTCATGCAACAAGGGACATTATCAGGGCTGGGTGCGGCAGCTCACGCCTGTGATCCCAGCTAGTTGGGAGGCTGGGGTGGGAGGACTGCTTGAGCCTAGGAAGTCAGGGTTACAGTGAACCAAGATCACACTACTGCACTCCAGCCTGGGCAACAGAGTGAGACCCTGCTCAAAAAGCAGACATTATGAAGAATGTAAAAAAAAAAAAAAACACCTAAAAAAGGGGAAAAGATATTTGAAATCACATACCCAAAATATTTAAAAAACTTCTATAACACAACAACAAAAACAAACAACCTAATTCAAAAATGGACAACGGGCTGGGCATGGTGGCTCACGCCTGTAATCCCAGCACTTTGGGAGGCCAAGACAGATGGATCACTTGAGATTGGGAGTTTGAGACCAGCCTCGCAAACATGGCGCAACCCCATCAGTACTAAAAATACAAAAATTAGCTGGGCGTGGCAGCGGGAGTCTATAATTCCAGCTACTCGGGAGGCTGAGGGAGGAAAATCACTTGAACCCAGGAGGCAGAGGTTGTAGTGAGCCGAGATGGCGCCACTGCACTCCAGCCTGGCCAAAAGAGTGAGACTCCATCTCGGAAAAAAACAAACAAAAATGGGCAATGGATATATCTAGACATTTCTCGAGAAAGAGATACGTGCAGCCAGCAAGCATGTGAAAAGACGTGAAACATCACGGGTCATCAAGGAAATGCAAATAAAAACCTCAACAGTTACCGCTCTATACCCTAGAGGATGGCTATAATTTTTAAGAAACAGAAAACAAGCATTGCTGAGGATCTGGAGAAACAGGAACCCTCACACATTGCTGGTGGACCTATGACAGGATACAGCCACTGGAAAACGGCTTAGCAGTTCCTCAGAAAGCTAAACAGAAAATTATTGTATGAGCCTGCAATTCCATTCCTAGGTGTATACACCCAGAGGAACTGAAAACGGGCACTCAAACAAGTACAAACACACACTCACACACGTTCACAGCAGCACTATTCCCCATAGCAAATGGGTAGAAACAGCCCAAACGTCTATCCACAGATGAATGGATAAACAGAAAATGGTATAGCTGTCCGTCATTCTGTGTAGATTCCATACTTTTGAATTTACCTCCTCACTGAAGTTCATTTGCAACCCCAAACTGATACTGTCAGCTTTCACAGTCATTTGCAGACATGCCCAGAACAGCAGAAAGGTTGAGCTGCCCAACACGCATGTTCCCAGCAGATGTCAAGCAAGGCAACGCTGTCGTCTTGCTTCGGAAAAACTTCTTCACAACACACATGTATTACTTTGCAATCAGATGAGGCCTTCCAAATTCTTTTTCCTTGAGAGAAAGGAGTGATTTTTCTGTAAAAGGACATCCTACCAACAGGTCAAACAAAATGCGGCCTCAGTTACGTTCTAATGCCTAACACTGCATAAAGCACAATTCCTTCATTATACAGGCGATGCCATATTCAAGGTCAAGTGCACTCGCTGAAAAACCCTCATGCTTATACAAGAATAGAGCTGTCGGAGAAAGCACCTTTTCTGCTCCGGTCTTAGAGCCACACTCGCCGGCGAAGCCAAACAACATCTTTTTCATCGCAGGACCCTCAACCTCCTTTGGGCCCTCTGAGGTCTGAGGCTCCCTTTCTCCACTGAACTTCCTTGCCCAGACTGACTGGAAGGAGCCGATACCATCTCAACAATGAAAGGATGAAATGCCTACTATGTGCCACGCGCCGGGCCAAGTGCTACACCTGCTGTCTCCCTCTTAATCTTCCTGATGCCTGAGAAGCAGACGCAGCCAGAAACCCCATCTTATGGATAGACAAACTGAGGCCCAGAGGAGTGTCCCACTCACGGTGACACAGCCAGGCTCTGAGATTGAACGCTGGCGTGTCCACCTCCAAACTGCGGTCTCCGCAGCTCTCTCCCTACCCAGTCTGGACACACCAGCGCCTCCCCAAACCCACCCCGTCACCAACCTCTGTTTACTCCTTATTCCACTTACCTGACCTCCCACCGAGGAGTAAGCCATGGCTAACCACCAAACGCGAGCCCTGGCTACACCAGGTAGAAAAACCACCAGCAAACCCATGCACTATGACCCTGTCCCTAATCGTGTTCCAAATCCTGCAGCCATGACACACTCCTATCCCTGGCACCAAAACTCATCAAGCACTGTCATTCTAGGTCATGCCTGTCTCAGGTATTTGGACAACTGGTGTGTGTTTACAAAGAGCTGGTTCCAATCCTAGCTCTGCCAACTTCTGAGGCTTGACCAAGTGACTCGGGATCCAGGATCTCCTCCACCTGTGGACAGCACACACACCACTGCCGCTGTGAGGAGGACCTGCATCCCTGGACCTTGCCGTGGGGCCACTGGTACTCCCGGTGTAGGACCCTCTACAACCACCCCAGGAAGAGAGGGTTCCCAGGCAATCGGGCACATGGTACACTGAAGCGGCTGGCCTCTGTCCTGAGAGAGAGGGAGCGCTGCGATTCTCAGCACAGGCTCATGGCAGAACTCCGGGCCCAGCTACGCGGCTTCTGCAGGAATTATTCAGACAAATAAACACCAAGAAACATGACTTAAAAAAAAAAAAAAAAAAAAACAGAAAAACTGGCCATCCTCCAAAAGGGCTCAATGAAAGCACATGCTGAGATTTGAAAAACCTGCTACATCTAAAATGGGAGAATTTTACTATATGTAAATTATACCTCGACAAACTAGACTTAAAGAAAACATCTTAACCCAACTATGTTACCATGGGTTGCTGGAAGTGCACATGCTCCTGCTGAAGGGCACCGAGGGAGCTGGCACCACGCTTGGGGCCTTCCAGAGGAACCAGGCAACAGGAGCTCTAGAGGAACATGGGGTCCCATGCCCCCCATGCAACTACATGCCCCCACACCCTAAATGAAGCCCCCAGGATCCCAAAAGAGCAGGCAGGGATTCAGAGAGGGCTCTCTGCCCTCTCGACACCCCCACACAGGGGAGGATGCTGGGCCCAGTAGTGACAATCCTATGGTCAAAGGGCCCCCGGCTCCCTTTATCTACAGGGCCAGGATGCAAGGGTGGAGCTTCAGGAAGTCAGGACAGAAACAGCCCTGGAGTCTGCATTTCAGACTCAGTTGAGTGCTGCAGGACACAGCAGGTAGGGGCACCTGAGTGGCAGCCACTTAGGGCCCCTGCTGCACTGGGTACAGTGGCACCACACAGTATGGGTTTCTGCCACACTTGGGAGCGGCTGGCCTGCATCTCGCCTGAAGTTGCCCCTACTAAGCAAGGATGACAAGCAGCAAACAGCACTGGCCAGGCCCTGCCCCACCTGCCTCCGAATCCACGGGCAGCCCACGGCGGAGCCAGGCAGCAGCCGGAGCCCCTTGCCTGAGGGCACTAGGAAGTAGAATGGATGCCACCAGTCCCCAGGTGGCTGAAGGCCGTGTCAGGGACCAGACAGGTGTCTGGGAACACAGAAAACCTCACTGAGCTTGGGCACAGTGGCAAGTGCCTGTAGTCCCAGCTACTTGGGAGGCTGAGGTGGGAGGATCGCTTGAGCCTGGTAGGTTGAGGATACAGTGAGCTATGATTGCACCACTGCGCTCCAGCCTGGGCAAAAGAGCAAGACCTTGTCTCTAAAAACAAAACAAAAAATGCCTTGCTGGCCCAAACTGCTTCTGAACCTCAGAGGACCTTAATCTAAGTCACCCCAGAGGCGAGTTTAAACTGCCCATACAGATGGTGGTCCCACAGCCCACCCGCTAGAATACCAGTGCCTGGGCTGTGGAGCACCTTTGCAGATGGGCTCGAGCAATCCCCTCAACCGCCCCAAGAGGGGGCTGCTGTTCTCATTCCCCTTCCATACGCTCACCGGATACAGCTGGGGAGACTGGGAGCCCGGGCACACACCTGGCAGAGGGGTGGCCCCATAGGCCCAAAGGCAGGGACCACTCACCCCTCAGGAGGCCCACTTGCAGGCAGGTTCGGCTCTTCTCCCAGCGGGGCCTCAATTCCAACAAAGCCTCAGAATGACCTAGGTTTCTGTGAACTGGACCCCGCGCGAGGCCTTGCATCTGAAATCGGCCAAGCTGCACCGGCTGAAACGTCACCCGGCTCCTAGGACGGCCGCACGCCAAATGCCTCTCCTCAAGGCCCTTCGTGCCAGAGGGTTTGTGGAAAAGTGGAATGGCAGCCACGCAGCCCGGCACCGCCAGGTACAAACCGGGGACTCAGTAACCAAGCGGGGCGGCATCCACAGGCCTCCCAGGGACACCTCCTTCCCCAGCGTTGCCTCCATGCCGGGCCAGCTGCACTTGTGGGAAAGCAGCCGGCCATGGACAAGCCACAAGCCAGGAAATGTCACCGCTGGCCCTGTGGTGACACCTGGGAGGAGGAGCAGGGGCAGGCTCTGAGTTGTTTTAATCATTAGGCCAAAAAAAAAAAAAAAAAGTGAAAAACTACAGATGAAAGAAAAGAAAAGAAAACCCCCTGGACTCCCACCACCCAGATGACCCGCGCCAACATTCTGGATAGAGATAACTCCTTTTTCCTTCAAGTATTATATATGTAGCTTGCTTCGTTAATTCTGAAGGTCATCAAAGATTCTGCCCAGAAGACGCATCGTAATCGGACTGTAATCAGATATTTATGCTATTTCCTGATCTCAGTCACTACACACGGCCCGGTTATTAACCCTCTAGGACCGTCGAGGAAGCTGGCCCTGACAGGGGATGTCACTGCTGGCACATTTTCTAGGCAACTGGACAGGAGGTGGCCCAGCAGCTCCCCTAGAGAAGCAGACCAAGGGACACGCCCACCTGCTGTCATGAAACCAGCCGTGTCCTGGCCCCCGACGTCCCCAGGAATGGAGATGGTGACCAGCACCCCCCGCAGCACTCACTGGAATGTCTGTGCATGGGCAGCGGCCAGTTCTCTGGCCTGTTTTGTGAACTGCCGTGGCACCCGGAGCAGGGGTCCCCACAGAGAGGCATCCTGCTTGCTCCCCTCAGGGATCCTACCTTGTTTTTGAAGTGCACCTCGATGGGCATGATGAAGCCAGCGTACCCCGACTCCTCTACTTTGTAGGGGGGCTCCTTGCACACTAAAAAGAAAAGGAAGAAACACACCCATCAGCCTCCTGCCTGTTTCAGGCCCAGCTGCCAGCGGCAGTACCGCACCCCTCAACCCCACCACCTCCTCACAGGGGCTTGGCTGGCCTCTCGGGGGTGGCTTTTCAGGAGGTTAAGCCCCCGACAGGATTGACTTCCACGGCAAAGTTATCTTAGGAATAAAACAGCAGGGAAGAAGAGGAGAAAGGAGACTTGGCCACCGGCATGGTCAGCAGAGAGTGAGAAGGAACGTTAGCCTGTCATCGGGATACTTGCTCCTGCAGAGGATGAGGAGGCTGAGGCCAGAGAAGGCTGCACAAGTTTGCCCGACTCAGGTGGATGTCGGTAAGCGTGACCTGGGTGAGGTGTGAAACCCAGCAGGGAGGGCCACACACTCTACTGTCACCACCTCCAGCACGGGGGCTGAGCACCTGCTGCACCACGGACACATGCACTGGGAGACAGGGGAGCCCCAGGTGGCTGGGACCCTCCTCCTGGGTTCTAGTTTAGCACCTAATAAGAGCATTCCCAAGTGACGCAAACAAAACCCCATTGACCCCAGAGATTAAAAAAGAAAAAAAAAAGGCCGGACACGGTGGCTCACACCTGTAATCCCAGCACTTTGGGAGGCCAAGGCAGGCGGATCACTTCAAGTCAGGAGTTCGAGACCAGCCTGGCCAACATGATGAAACTCCGTCTCTAATAAAAACACAAAAATTAGCTGGGCGTGGTGGCACACACCTGTAATCCCAGCTACTCAGGAAGCTGAAGCAGGAGAATCGCTTGAACCCCAGAGGCAGAGGTTGCAGTAAGCGGAGATTGTGCCACTGCACTCCAGCCTGGGTAACAGAGCGAGACTCCATTTAAAAAATTAATAAATAAACAAAGTGCAGCATGAGGCCAGGCACCTGAATACTTAATCTGAACCTGGGGAGGAAAGCGGAGGCAGAACAGAGGAAGGGTGGCCTGTCCCCAGCAGAGGAGGCACGGGCATGGGCAGTGGCCTGGGATTTGCTCTCAGACTCCACCCATGCCTCGTCTTCTCCCCACTCGCCCATAGTCTGAATCCCACCCAGCCACAAAGGCCCACAGCAGGGCCACCTCCTTCGAGAAACAGACCCCATGTCCCTCTGCCTCTGACCTCCAGGTCACGTGCTTCCCAAATCGACTGTCACATCTTATCTCATGGTCCCCACGCCTTCAAGAAGGAATCCTGTCCTGTGACGGGTACTCCAAGCCTGAAGAACTTCTATCCCCCCAGACAGCGCCAAGAGGGATGGCAGTTGGCCGAGTGCTTCAATTCAACCAGGGGAGAACAGGGAGACGCACCGGCCCACTCTCCTGCCTGAGAGCCCACAGGAAGCAAGAGGACAGGAATAAGGCCGTGAGAGTGAAGGCAGGAGGGAGGAGATTCAAGCCACCTGCCAGTTTCTGAAAGGCAGAAGTCGGACGAGGACACGATGGGCAAGGGGCAGGACAAGGAGGCGACGGCTCAGAGTCTGCCATGGGGGCGCCGCAGGGCAGGGACAGCCACTGGTGCCAGAAGGCTGAAGGTCCTGGACTGGCTGAGCGGAGGGCAGGAGTGAGGATGAAAGCTGGGGGAGGGAAAGGGAGCACGGTGGGGGAGGAGGGTGGGAGCAGGGGAGCGACTGCCACTGCGGGGCCTGAGCTTCTCCCTGGGGTGACAGCAATGTTCTGGAATTAGACAGCAGTGATGGAATCAGTGGTCATGGCCGCACAACTATGTGAATATACTGAAAACGCTAACTGTACACATTACAAGAGTGAATTTTATGATGTGTAAATTACATCTCCATAAAGCGGTTATTAAAAAAAAACAAAAGGGCAAACTGAAAGGCTGTGTTGGGCACAGGAGCCCTGGGATCCCTCCCTCCTGCCCATCCTCCTTCCCGCCCATTCCCCCTCCACCCCTCCCCACCCCAGGAAGTTTCAGGTTTCCCTCTGGAGAAATTGAGATGGTTCTGTGTCTCAAGGAGCCAACTATCAGGGGGAAGCTGAAACTTGCAGCGTGGAAACCAGACCCCGAGGAAGGCCTTACTCATTAGGAAATCAGGAGGCCCGTGAGCCTTCAGGCCTGTGGATAGGCAGAACCCACCCTCCCATCACATAACGCTCAGGAGCTCCCACCAGGAGGAAAGAGCCCGAGCAAACAAATAATTTGGAGACCACAGAGAGTTTGACAAAAAGAAAGAAAAAAAATAAAAACCAAGAGTCAATGTCCTCAGATTCAAGGAGATATATATCCAACAAATAAAAATAAGATACTTCTAAAAGGGGAAATTACAGCCAGGCACCACAGCTCACACCTGTAATCCTAGGCACTCTGGGAGGCCGAGGTGGGAGGATCACTTGACACCAGGAGTTCAAGGCCAACCTGGATGACATTCTCTACTAAAAATACAAAAAATTAGCCAGGCGTGGTGGTGCGCACCTGTAATCCCAGCTACTTGGGAGGCTGAGGCACGAGAATCACTTGCACCCAGGCGGTGGAGGTTGCAGTGAGCCAAGATAGTGCCACTGCCCTCCAGCCTAGGTGACTGAGCGAAACTCTGTTAAAAAAAAAAAAAAAAAAAAATGAGGATCCCAGAAAGAAAAAAAGAGAGGAAATAAACAGATGGAAGGAAACTGTCAAATAAATAGAAGGAAACTTTCAGAGCTAAAATGAAAGACACTCAAATGTCACAAAACATAGTGAACAGCAAAAAAAAAACAAAAAAACAAAAAAACAAAAAAAAACATGATGTCATAAAGCAAGCGTCCTAAAAACATAAAAACATCCTAAATGTTTCCACAGAAAAAAACAGGTCACATATAATGGGATGAGGACCGAATGGCATCAGACTTTCCAGAAGATACTAACACAACGCCTTCATAGCACTAAGTGATATATACTCCCAAAATGTTTGGGAGCAGGAGTGTTGTGAATTTGGGATTTTTCAGACTTTGGAATATTCGCATTCCTCTGGTTCAGCATCCCAAAAATCCAAAATCTAAAATGCTCCAGTGAGCATTTTCTGAGCATCATGTCAGCACTCAAAAAGTTTTGGATCGGCTGGGTGCAGTGGCTCCCGCCTGTAATCCCAGTACTTTGGGAGGCTGAGGAAGGCGAATCACCTGAAGTCAGGAGTTCAAGACCAGCCTGACCAACATGGAGAAACCCCATCTCTAATAAAAATACAAAATTAGCAAGGTGAGGTGGTGCACGCCTGTAATCCCAGCTACTCGGGAGGCTGAGGCAGGGGAATAGCTTGAACCTGGGAGGCGGAGGTTGCAGTGAGCCAAGATCGCGCCATTGCACTCCAGCCTGGGCAACAAGAGTGAAACTCTGTTTCAACAACAACAACAAAAGTTTTGGATCTTGGCCAGGTGCAATGGCTCATGCCTGTAATCTCAGCACTTTGGGAGGCTGCAGCAGGCGGATCACGAGGTTAACAGATTGAGGCCATCCTGACCAACATGGTGAAACCCTGTCTCTACTAAAAATACAAAAATTAGCCAAGGGTGGTGGTGGGGGCTTGTAGTCCTAGCTACTCAGGAGGCTGAGGCAGGAGAATCGCTTGAACCCGGGAGGCGGAGGTTGCAGTGAGCCGAGAACGCGCCACTGCACTCCAGCCTGGGCGACAGAGTGAGACTCTGTTTCAAAAAAAGTTTTGGATCTTAAGCCGGGCATGGTGGCTCACGCCGGTAATCCCAGCATTTTGGGAGGCCAAGGCGGGAAGATTTTAAGCCCAAGAGTTCAAGACCAACTTGGGCAACATGGTGAAATCCCGTCTCTGCAAAAAATAAAAAAGTTAGCTGGGTATGGTGGCGGGCCAGTAGTCTCAGCTACTTGGGAGGCTGAGGCAGGAGGACTGCTTCAGCCCAAAGGTCAAGGCTGCAGTAAGCTGTGATCACAACACTGCACTCCAGTCTGGGTGGCAGAATGAGATTCTGTCTCCAAAAAAAAAAAAAAAAAAAAAGTTTTGGATTTCGGATTTTCAGCTTAGGGATTCTTGACCTGTAATTCCCAAACCACAAAACTACACCCAACCAACCATTCTACTGTGAGAAGAGAATAATGGCATTTTCAAACATGCTAGGACTCAAAGGGTTTACTGCCCACGTCTTATAAATTTTTTTTGTTTGTTTGTTTTTTTGAGACAGAGTTTCTCTCTGTCACCCAGGCTGGAGTGCAGTGGTACGACCTCAGCTCACTGCAACCTCTGCCTCCCAGGTTCAAGCGATTTTCCTGCCTCGGCCTCCCGAGTAGCTGGGATTACAGGCATCCTCACTGCCCCTGGCTAACTTTTTGTAATTTTAGTAGAGATGGGGTTTCACCATGTTGGCCAGACTGGTCTTGAACTCCTGATCTCAGGTGATCCGCCTGCCTCAGCCTCCCAAAGTTCTGGGATTACAGGCATGAGCCACTGCGCCCAGCCAGAAATGTCTGAAGTAATCTCTTGGAATATTACTTGAGACACTGCTCTACCAAAACAAGAAAATAAACCAAAACACAGGCCGATAAACAAACCTCAGGAGAACAGGAGAGAAAAGGCCCAGGGTAGTGGCTAAAGGGGTGGCTGGATAAGAGTCCGTTGTGATTAGAGAAGGAAGGCACAGAGAACCAGCATGAAACACTCAGAGGACTTTACAAACAAGCCAGAAAGCCAGGTAAGGCGGCTGACACCTGTAAACTCAGCTACTCCTGAAGCAGAGGCGGGAGGACTGCTTGAGCCCAAGGAGTTGGAGTTCAGTCTGGGCAACACAGCGACACCCCCATCTCTAAAAGAATTTTTTTTTTTGAGACATAGTTTCGCTCTGTCGCCCAGGCCGGAGTGCACTGGCATGATCTCGGCTCACTGCAACCTCTGCATCCTGGGTTCAAGCGATTCTCCTGCCTCAGCTTCCCGAGTAGCTGGGACTAAAGGCATGCGCCACCACAGCCGGCTAATTTTTTTGTATTTTTAGTAGAGACCGAGTTTCAGCATATTGGCCAGGCTGGTCTTGAATTCTTGACCTCAGGTGATCCACCCGTCTCGGCCTCCCAAAGTGCTGGCATGAACCACCGCACCCGGCCAAAAAATTAAAAAAAAAAAAAAATTCCACAGAATAAATGAAATGACTGAGAGAATGGGGGGAAAATGAAGGTATGCTAAAGACACAATGCAAAAAGGAGAAGTAAGGGGGTATTCCAAAAGCCACAGACCAAATGTGAAGCAAGCTAAAATAGGGCCAAATTTTAACCAAAAATGACCAAAAAGAACCCGTTTCACACAGACCTGACTTTGAGCCTTCTCTCTGGAGTGGCCCAGAGTTCAGGACATGGGAAACAGAAGCTGAATGAAGTCCTGCCGTCCCAACCAGCCTGATGGTGACAGCGTCAAACATGTCAACGCCGCCTACTGCTAGTTCCCAACTCTTACAGTCAATCTATAATCGGGGAGCGAAGGTCTTGGTCTTCGTCAATAAGCTTAACAACGTCCATTGTAGCCTCAAAAAGAGGGGTGCAGCAGGGTCAAAAAGAGACAGGGTACTGGTGGCCTTGCCCTCCTCAGTGGAGAGTCAGAAAACACTAACAAAAGCTGACCAGGTGCAAGGGTCCATCCAGTCATCAAACACTTAGTAAGCACCTACTGTATCCCTGCAGGCACCGAACATGTAGCAGCAAACAAAACTGACAGAAACCTCTGACTTGGGGTGGGGAGAGGGATGGACAAGATGAAGAAGTCATATGTACGAGATGTTAAGATGGTGCTAAGGAGAAAACCAAAGCAGAAAACAAAAAGGCTAAGAAGCATATGGCTGTGTGGGTGTATTGGGCAACGAAACCGCGATTGAGCCCAGGCAGCCAGAGGACTCCCTAAAAAGGGTGACGTGGGACTCTTCTGTGAAGGATCCCAAAGGTAAACAGGCTCACATCATCATTCAAAGTCACAAAGACAACCAACGCAAAAGCGAGTCACTGGACTATTAAAAACTTAGAGAAGACAGTGGATAAAAGGGGTACTTTGGGATAAATTCTAACCCTTCAAGCTGGTAAATCAGTAAGTATTGTCTACATTTAAAAAATCAAGAAATAAGAAGCAAATGAGCTGGTATTAAGAGGAGTCCAGAGAGGGCTAGGAAGACAGCCCCGGGGAGGGAGGACTAAGGAGGCCAGGAACAGCAACTTTGTACCTTACATGTTTCTACCCTATTTGATTTGTGATAATGTAAGCTGGGGCGGAAGTAAAAGATACTTTTTAAGTACCTCAAGTATCAATCCAGAGGCTGGAGTGCTCTAAGAGGTTCACTCCCTCTCTAAAGTTTTATTCAATGCCACAGAGTGTGAGCTGGAAATTTACTTTCTGATACATTTGATGGGGCCGCTATCTGCCTCCAGGCCCCACAGACAGACAGCAACAAACAGGGCTCAGCTACTAATTTAAAGGCCGCCTGCAAACTGACACTGAAGCCTGGCATGGTGGCACATGCCTGCCAGGAGCTCAAGACAAGCCTGGGCAACACGACAAACAAAAAACAAAACAAAACAAAAAACTAAAAACTAACCCTTAAGAGTGAGCCCCACTCACTACCCCACCTTCCAGGTACTTGGAGAAGGTGCCATGTCAACGTGGTGGGGAACAAAGGTGAAATCAACAGCCTCAAAGTGGATGGAAATCAGCGTCCGGGGCCCATCCCTGTGCTCCAGGGACAGAGAAAAGGGGAGGGGTGAGGGGGTTGGTGAAGAAGTGGAGTGGATGCCACCAGAGAAAGGAAAGAGGGCCTGGTGCAGGAGGGGCAGCCAGGCTCCTGCTCTGCCAACGTGGCACAAAAGCAGCCACAGGCAACACCTATGCGGGCGGGCATGGCCGTGCACCAATAAAAACAGGCTGCACTGGCAGTGGCCAGACCCAGCCCACAGGCCAGCCTGCCCACCCTGCTCTAAGCACAGGTAGCGGCCTGCCCCCTGGACCCGTCTCCCCGTCTGCAGAAGAGGGCTGTGGCGAGAAGAAAACGCGATCCTGCGCACGAAGCGCTGGCCAGGAAGTGCTCGATAGATGGCATGTGTCCCCACGATTAGGAAGCGGTTTATAAACATCTGCCGCTGTCAGGAGCCTCCGCGGCCATCCTCTAAGAGGCTTAGAGAGGGAGGAAGGAAAAGGGGAAAAGGTGAAGACTCAGGAAAGGAGAAATGCAGAGGGAAAGAGAAGCCGCAGGCTGAGGGAATCGCAGGTGGGCATCCCTTCAGAATGACAAGCCTCTACTGCTGTCAACGCCCATCACTTCCCCACTAGGCTGCAAACCACTTACAGGCTCAGGGCCAGGGTCCTGGGTCCCGGGTCCCGGGAAGCTCTTGCTTCAACCTAAGCACACCCACGCTTGTGCACGGCTCACCTCCCGTGGCCCCTGGAGCTCCCGGGACCCCCGTATTGCAGGGTAGAGGGGTCACCAGCCCAGCCAGGGCTCTTCCCACCCTGAAGTGCTTCCTACAGAAAGTCCCTCATTCCTTTATCAAGACATCACCCAAGAAGCATTTATCGAACCCCTGTGATGTGCCGGGCTCCGGGCTTCACACTGGCGACTCAGCGGTAAGAAAAGTAGACGCGGCCCCAGCCCTGATGGCGCTCACCAGACCACCACCTCACTCTCCGATTCCCCACCACAGCCTTTCCCTAGGGCTCACTTCCCCAGGAGGGCATCCCTGATCATAAACTGGGTGACTTCCTGCCTGTGCCCCGTCACACTGCACCCTCCAGGAAGGCCAGGGCCCCCACGCCACAGGTGGAGACGCTGACAGAATACACGACTGAGGCACTCGTGCTGAATCAATGACGGCCTGAGGCTTGAAGGGAGAGGGAAGACACGGAAAAGACAGTGGTGACATGAGCTCCGGCATTCTTTCTGCCCCAAATATTGGGAATTCTTCACATGGCACACAAACAAACATAGGCCCGGTCGGCAACTTCCTGATCACTCACCAGCCGGCTGACTTCACCTGTCCCACCCATGCCAACCTGGCTGTGCTCCCTGGCTGCTTCCCAGAGCCCGGGTCTAAATCACGACACAACAGACCGCCACCACCTCCTTCGGTTCTTCCTACGACTAACTCAACAGCTGGAGGTGACACGGCTCCAGTGCCCCCACGCCGAGGGACGCAAGCTGGAACCTCATGGTTGGAGGGGTCCTGCTGCTCCTGAGGGAGGGGTGGAGCCTGGCCTTGGGAGGAGTGAAGACAGATGGGTCCGTGCTGTGGGCACTCAGGGCTTGAGGCCACTCACCGCGTCTGGGCTTGGGGAAGCTGTCGTGCAGCCAGAAGACCACCTTCTCCACGAAGTGCTGGATGTCACATTGCTCGGGGCCGCGGACAAACACCATCCAGTCGTGAGTGAACCCCTCCGTGGTGGGCTTCTTGCGCAGTTGGGCGCGATGCCCCAGCTCTAACCTCACCTGGACGGTGCACTGGAGGAGAGAGAGGTGGGGAGATGAAGTCAGCACACGCCTCCAAGCAGGGGACTGTCCCCTTACCCACAGAGAACTTTCGATAAAGACCCCCAGCAGTGCAATACGCTCTCAACCCAGTGAGCAGCACACAGACGGCTTCCTATCGCGCCAGCACCTTGCCGCAGACGTCCCGTGCCTTCTCCCCTCCGTACTCCCACACAGACCCCGTGTCTCCTCTCATCCACCGCCTCATCCTCAATTCCACCCGCACAGCCTCCTCACCGGTCCCCAGCTCAGCCCAGCTCACTCCTGCCTCGGGGCCACCACACTGGCCTAGGATCCTCTGCTCCTGAGACTTCCCACACTGGCGCCTCTTGTCACTGGGCTCTCAGCTTGACTGTCCCTCTGCAGGGAAGCCTCCCCTGACCACCGATCCAAAAGCATCCACCACCGCTCCCATCACTCTATCATAGAGGATGCTCTTCCGAGCACTTTCACTATCAAAAGTCATCTTGCTGATGGCTGTCGGTGTCTCTGCCACCTAAGCTTGTTGACTCCAGCATTTTCATTCCCAAGCACGCATCACAGCGCCTCCCGGAGGCCCCTCTCCTTTCCCTAAGTCATCAGCTACAACACTGGCTTTCAGTTTCAAAAGCAGAATGGGAGGTTCCCAAGAAGAAGGCAGAGGCCAGCCTGCGGCCCCCTGGTGACCGGTCCCAGGTGGACCCGTGGCCTGGGCAGCCCAGCTCCCTCCGCTGAGCACATGTCGTGTCTGACACTTTGCTCTGAAATACAAGGCAGCTCAGGCCAGTTCCATGCCACTGAACACAAAGTTGCATGCCTTCAAAGCACTCTTCATACCTAGGTTGGCCAAAACCACCAACAGGGAACCTACAGTAAATATCCACCCTGCTTTGTAAAAACCTCCCCAGACTTTTCACAGATACGGCCCTGACACCCGCTATCAAATACAAGAATGTTACAAAATAAAGCAGCAGCCAAGCGCACACTTGCTTCTAAGTGCTGAGATAGCCGGGAGCCAGCCAGACCATGGCCTGAGTCCCACACCCTCCCCTGACAGAGCCGCCCTCCCGGGCCCCAGACCAGACAGCTCCCATCTGCGCCTTTCCACGCCATCGCTCGGCAACTGGCCAGGTGTGTCCCAGTGGCTGCAATCCCTCCAGTACCTGTCTCTTCTTTGGCATTTCGAGGCCCCGTTCAGACCCCGCCACCTGGCTGAGTGCCCCGGCGCCTGGCCGGCTTCCCTCCCTCTCCGTCCCCCTCTGAGCTCTCAGTTGTCACGCGATGGAGCCGCTGGGGCAGGCAGATCCTATCGCCCCCACCCCCGCCCGCCATGTTAAAGCTTTCCACGGCTTGTCACTCCCTCAGAAGGAAGCCCGAGCCCCGCGCACGTCTTCCACGCGTGTATTTCCTCAAGTCTGAGACGCTCGTCTCTTTTCATGTCCTAACCCTTTTGAAGTCAGAGTCCAGCCTGCACACAGGCGCACACGTGCACACACAGACACAGAAGCTGCTCCTGAGTTGGTGGCGCTGTCCTGGTATCTCAGAGTCCCAGAACTGAGGAAATGCAGGAAACGCGCACATTCCAGCTCAATCCTACAGCCAGCCCCAGACACACCAGGAACAGCCACCCTATCTCTCTTCATCTCTTCTAGTGCCGCAGCCTGGGTGCCCTAAGCTCGTTTCAAAACCCTACTCATCTCAAGTCCTGGCTCACACGCTGCCCTGTCCAGGGCCCTTTCTGGTAGCCACGCTGGAGACCAACCTTGAGTCCCCACAGAAGCCTGTGGACAGCTCCACGGGAGCCCCTTCATCCCATCCCCCGCTCCTGGGTTGCTGACGCAGCCCCCAGGGCCCCTGTGAACTCTCTGAGAGCAGGGACTACATCTTGTTCGTCCTCTTAGCCTCTATCTTGAAACCACGGGACAGGAGGCCTGGACGATGCTGGATTAATTAAACCAGAGAGCCTCTCAGGTCAGGGAGTTCTAAATGCTGCTTTTGGAGACGGCAGGGCCATGGTGGCAGATAAGGACAGGCCAGTTCCAGCATGTGGAAGAACTGGCCAGAGAGGCTGAGGGTCTGTGCGCACAGCAAGCCAGGTATAAGAAATGAGGCGGAGGCGTGCAATTTCTATTTGGCAACTTAAAAAGTAAACTGAAACATGTACATGATACAGATGTACAATTTTTATTTGTCAACTAAAAATTAATTTTTAAAAGGAAAGGGGGCAGAGGGGATTCCCTTGGCTCAGGACGACTGTCCCTCTGGAGTTCCCTGGGAAAAGAGGGCAGGGACTCCCTAGGGACCAGGCACACTGCAGGGGGTGCCTGGGATCAGGCCGGAGACAAAAGAAATAACCCGTCGTCATAAGTGGCTGACAGATATGGGAAACGGTCTCGGAGTCAAAAGCCCCCGGCCCTCTGTGTAAGGCCTGGGGTGCAGGCAGAAAAGGGCGAATGGCAAACTAACAGCAACCCCAGCCCATGAGGAGGCAACCAGAAGGAGTGGCTGGAAAAAGGGGTGAACACAGCCCAAAGCCACAGAACTGACAGGACCCGAGGGTGGAGGACATTCAGGTAACCCCAAGATCCGGGCAGCAGGGACATTCACGACCCCAGTGTGGGAAGAAAGTGGGGATGGACGGAAGATCAGGCGCACTCATAAACCCCCGGCGCTGCGGATTCATGAGGATCTCAGGTAAAAGTACCCCCACCAAACACACGAGGTGAGGGCTGAGCACCGGCATGGCAATACTCAGGCCAAGCACGAGTGTCTGCCTGAACACCACCGCATTCCAACAAACCCAAAACAACACTGACATTAGCCCCGAGCGGCCATGACCACCCTCTATGCTTACACGCCTGCGCCTCTGCCTTTTTCGCTAGAAAACAGGAAGGCAACCCCTGTCCCGCTGGGAGCATTACAGGTGAAAACTAAATGTACATATACATCATGGGAACAGCACCAGGATGCGGGAGAACGACCCCTGCTTCTGTGGAGCTGACTCCCACACAATGACAGTGTCTCCTCGGAATCGCTTATTCACTGACCCGGCCACTCAGACCTCGGCCGACTTCCCGGCATTTCTGATGACAGGGAGTTCCTACCCAGGGCACGCAGGCGGCAGAGCAGTTATTGTGAAAGAGTGAAAGACCGCGGTTCCACTGGAGAGGGGGAGGATGGAAGCACCAGAACTCCACCGCAGTGGCCAAAGTAAACAGGAAGGTTCCGAGGCAGCGATGGGTAATCTTTGCAGCCGGCAGGCCGGGCCCAAAGTGCTGCCCAGGCGACACTGATGCCCTGGGGGCTGGCGCCAACTTGAGCCTCAACACCCACTGTTAAGGACACACCCCAGACTTGGCCAACAGATGCGAAGTTCGGGTGCCCGGCCTGCTGCACCCAGGGGACTGTGGAGCGCTGAGGGGGGCACTCCCCGGAAGGGTGGAATAACAGAGTCTCTGCTGTTGTAGTAAAAAAGGAATCACAGATTCAGTAAGACGCTCAAGCCACGTCAACGGGAGGCAAGAAGTGGAGCCCCGGCCAACGCGTTTGACTTGTCAGGTCATGATAATTTATTAGCACAGCTAAGCCAATTCCATAGCCAAGGGTAACCACCCCCCTTCCCCCACACCACCTGGACTCTTTCCTTGGCCATTAGGACCAAAGAATTGAAGCTAATCAATTAGCTGTCTCTCTAGGAAGGGTGCCTGGCTGCAGAGGTTAAGTGACAGGCTCTCCAGAATGTCTTAGAGTGAATAATCTGATTGGTCAGTGGCTCTCCCCCAACTTTATCCCAGCAAGTTCCTTCAAGGCACCAGGAATGCCTGCTGCTGGGAGGCCACTTTTTTGGAACCTCTGGAATAGACGGCTGGAAATGAGCCGGGGGGCTGTGGTCTCAGGGATTTCCACTTCCCTGCACCTCTGGGACCACCCTGACACCCACTCCCCAACAAAAGCCCAGGATAAAGGGGAACCTTCCAGGACTGTCCCGGAAAGAGCTGTCCGTCTCACTTCTGGGAAACCATCTGAAAGACAGCGGACGGAGGGATGGGCACGAGCGCTCCAAGGGCCATCTGGGGACAGTTAGGCTTGGGCAGAGGGCCTCAGCTGGGACACTGCCCTCTCTCCAGGCCAGCTGGCAGAGGGCACTTGGAACCAAAGGGCCAAAATCCCAAATCAGGCAAACCAGGCAGCCTCTCGAGGGCAGCTTCCCCGGGGCTTTCTCAACGCAGCGTGCGGTTCTCCCCAGGTGTGGGCTACAGCGGCCGCCGCCTGGCAAAGAGCCGCGAGCCAGCCTTGTTCCAACAGCTTCACACAATTCCTTCAGCCAATGTACCCCACTTCCTGCAAGCCCTGAAGGCAGGTCTTCAACAACCAGTTCATCTGAAGATTTCCCCTGGTCTTCTGGTGGGAATTCTCAATAGATGCCCTTCCTCTGGGAACTTGGACTTCGCCCAGTGGTGGAATTACACCTGGAGTTCGGCTACTGCATCTAATTCCCTCGGAGGCAACGATCCCCTCCCATCCCAGGAGAGGAGAACACTGAGGAGTCGTTTCCCCCTTCAGCCTAAATTGATTTTGAGGTCCTCCTGGGCTGAACACGTGCACGTGTGTGAGCCACACATGCACAAACAGGAAGAGGTGACGAGGCTTGGGCGATCCCATGGAGCGACGGCAACATGAGACCCAATAAAACCCCCTGCGGAATCTTCTCCCGCCAAGCCCAGTCGGGGCCCTCAGTGGTAACCACTGAATTAGAATGTAAGAGATGGGGAAAGACAGGTGCCCCTCTGTGACAGTCCTCTGAAGCGGAGAGCTGCCCACCCAGAAGGCAGGGGCCTCTCACTAACAGGTACACCGGGTCCTGGTCCCCTGACTGCTGGCACACTGGGGCTAGGGGCCAGCACCTCCACCCCTCTTCTGGCTCCATCTGTCCTCGTCCCTCTGACCCAAGGCACAATGACAAAGCGATGAGAAGGCACTCAATGAATTTCTCTCTGGAAACTCTCTAAGAGTGGTGTGTAGACCACCTGGAAATGCAAGTTCCCCTTTATAGGGTCTGCAGATTCCTGGTAAGACTGACTCTCTGACCACATTGTCAGGGGAGGCCTGGGACAGAGTATTTACGAACCAGGGGCCCACAGACGTGTAGACAGTGTACCGGCTATCTCCCACGTTCTCCAGGGGGGAGGGGGAGGAGCCTTGGTGGACTTTTTGAATGTGCACAACCCCAATACAGGCATCTGTCACCAGACCAGGTGGGCCTGGCTGCAAAGGGACTGATTCCTAGTTACTTGTATTTAACCAGCAGCTGGCAAAGCTGAGTGCAAAACCTCCCATTACGAACCACAACGGGCATAAAGGGAAATGGGACTCTGGTCCCTGCCCTCAACTGCTTCACAATATAATCACTTTAGGACAAAAAAACTGGCAGGTCAGCTTTCCAGGGAGTAGCTTCAGAGCTGGGAGCAGGTGAGGAATCTGTCACACCTCAGCCAGCAACCTGGGTAATTCGGAGCTTTTCGGGCAGGTTTGGGGAGCAGCCGAGTTGCAGGAGGAAGAGTCTACCCACCCTTGCCTGCTGGTAGGACTTCTGAGCCTGCATTTCCACATCTGTGAAATGGGCCCCTGGCATCAGAAACAAACTTTCCCCGCTGAAGAACATCGTTGTGAGGCAGCTGCTCTCAAACCCAAACCTAGGAGAGCATCTGCAGGACCAGCAAGCAGCAATTCGAGCGTGGGGGTGCTCCCTGGTCCTTTTGAAGAACGTGACCGCCCAGATGCTGACACCACCTCCCAGCTCCCTAGGCAGCCCCAGTCCCCGTGACCTGCTCTCAGGCCCTTTCCCAATCTCTTTTCGGCATCTGCTCAGCCTTATCCTTGTCACGTCCCAGTCCCCTCCCCCCGGCCCCAGCCCAGGAAACAAACCACACTCCTTCCAGACATAACCCTTAAGTGAGCAGGGAACTCGCTCATCCCCCTGCCAAAAAAAATACAAATACCACAGACAACACCAGCACAGACTTGGGGCGGAGGGGGAATCAAACATGCGGGTTACGGTTGGGGCAAAGAGAACCAGAAAGGCATTTTCCTGGCCATAAGGAAAAGATGTCAATGCTGAGAAGCTGGGAGCCCAGAGCACAGTGGGAAATCCTGCTTCTTAGGGGGGTCTGAAAGTCCTAGAGAGTAAAAGAGGAAGGCAAAAAGAGAATCAAAGCCTCCCAAAGCCAGCGACTGGGCGGAAAGCTGTGCTGTTTCCCACTATAATGAGGCACTAACATTTTGTGGCATCTGGGGGGCTAGTGGGAGCGGAAGCCCGGGTTCTGCTCGATTCAAAGCATTTTCCCTGTGCCAAGAGTCCCGCAGGGACACTGACCACCAACTCACCTACTTGAGTAAAAGATACCATTCTCTCCTGTTTCCCCAGGGGCCTCCGGCTCTGTGAGGAAGGGACAGAACCCTTGGGCCTCTCTCAAATTTGCATGAAAGCTTTGCTGGGGAAGCTAGAATCAGACTTTGGGTCCAAACACACTTCCCTCCAGGAGCAGCTTCCCTTGCAAACACTTCTGCAAGGAGGGAGACCATCACCATCGACGGAACTTTCTGCGATGATGGAAATGCATCTGCATTGCCCGACAGGGTGGTCAGTAGCTCAGTAGCTCAGTAATGGTGGTTACTGAGTGCTTAAAATGTGGCTGGTGCGATGGAGGAACTGAAGTTGTCATTCGAGTTAGTTTAAATGTAAATCAGCCACAGATGCTGGTGACTGTGGTACCGGGCAGTGCAAAGCCAGCTCTCTCCCACACCTGTCCACCTGAGTGAGACCTTTATCTCCCTCTGTCGCAGACCAGGAATGCCACCCATTTCCACCATCCCACTTACATAAGTGACAGCCACCCAGACCTCCAGGGTTCCACACATCACAAGGGGAACAGACACGCTTCGGCCTAGGACATCTCCCCCAGGGACTAAGGAAGGAGGAAAGGGGCCATACCCTATGCCTCTGTGTGCCCAGCGGGACTTGCCTGGAGGTGGGCTTCATTGAAAGTGGACACTAAAGGTATATTTCATTTGGGTTTTTAACTCAATACAGATTGGAAGCAACAAGCTCTGTCCCTTCAACGGAAATCAACTCACACCACGCCGTGGAAATCCACCAATCAACTGCTGCAAACTCTTCCTTACCTCTTAAGAAGAAGGCAGCAACACCCAAACCAGATGGGAAGCCATGGGAACTGGGTGCCAGAAGCATGAGACACCTGTCTCCATGACCCTGTGCCACAGGCGCCGAGATGGGCAGGAGGGAGGATTCTTGCCCCCCACCCATGAAACCACACAGACAGTGCCACTTCAGTGGCGCCAGCAGCCAGGGACGCCCCAACCTGCCCTCTCTAACGGCGGAGATTTTGGCTGCCACCCCCACAGCCCCACAACACCTTTCCTGGCCTGGTGCCCCTGAAAGCCAGGGCAGCAGAGGAGGAGGAAGAAATGATCCCATGTTGGGGGCCAGCAATGCTTCTGGGCTTGAGGAAGAGGGGTAGGGGCTTGGGTATTGGAGAAGAGGCAGCGCAGAGTTGGGTAAAGGGGGTGCCAGGGTGCAGGAAGGCCTCGTGTTTATGAGAACCAACACAGACCAATGGGGAGGGGCCGTCCAGAGCGTTTAGGGAGGTTGGGGAACCCACCCACCCACCCTGGGTTTCAACTGAGGCTCTAAGATCCTGGGGGAAAAAAACAGAAAATGAGGTGGAAGGAGGGAGAGGGTAGTGGCTGAAAGAGACATCAGGACTCATCAGGCTGATGGGCGTTAGATGAAGTGGGAGATCCTGAAGGCAAAGGTTGTACAGGAGACTGCAGGACTGTGACGTGACCAACCAGCCTGGGAGGGAGATCTGGACTGGGGTCAAGTGTGGGGAAGCCTAAATCAGGATCCCAGGGGCGGAGAGGGCCCAAGCTGAGGGGAACAGCAGGCCATCAGTGACTCAAAGGTCTGGGGAATCCAGGTCAGAGAAGAAACTGCTCCTGGTCCTGGTCTCAGAGCAGAGGGTCTGAAGGTGAAAGAGACAGCCCCGCCGGGTCCGAGGGAGAGTGACCAGGGCCTGAAACTAGAAGGGGGCTGAGGCGGCAGGGTGGGTCAAAGAAAGAAGTCTGAAAAAGCAAGTACAAAGAGAGGGGACACTCCAAACAGGCCTGAGTCCCTGCAGCAGAAGACCGAAGGCCAGGGTCCTAGGGAGTCAGAGGAGCTCAGGCCAGGGCTGGGGTTGGGAGAGAAAGGGATGCCCTGGCTGCAGCCGGGGCAGGATCAGACGGGAGAGAAGGCTCAGGTCCAGGTAGGGGATGGGTGGAGATAAAGCTTAGGCTGGGCCGGGGTTCAAGGAAGAGAGACGCCGCAGAGCAGGGTCCCAGGGGGCCGGGGACGCCTCATATCTGAGCTGAGGTTGAAGGGAAGACAGACAGCAGGTTGGGGACTCTGGGAGTTTGAGGCGACTCGGGGACAAGGGTCCAGACAGGAAAGGAGACAGTGACTGGCCCTGGACCTAGAGACGGAAAGGTCTACTGGGCAGATCCGAGGGGCCCCGGGAGGGGTCTGAACAGGGCCCAGATCCCAGGAAGTGCCTGGAAGGAGCTCTGGGCCAGGCTGAAGTCCCGAGAGCTGTCTTGAGGTCCCTAAGCCGGGCTGGGGTCCCCAGGGGCGTCCCAGGTGGATGCAGGTCGGACTGGCGTTCCGAGGGGTCTCCCGGGGGTCTCCGAGCCAGGCTGGGGGGTCACCAGGGGCGTCCCAAGGGGCTCCGGGCCCGGCCCGGGTCCCGAAGGGTGTCCGAGGCGCCCTGGCCGGGGTCGCGGATGGGGGAGGGGCGCCCCCGCCCCACATAAAGGCCCGAGGAGCGGCGGGCGCGCACAAAGCGGGCGGGCGGGCGCGGAGCGGGGAGGCCGGGACCGGGGAGGGCCGGGCGGGCCGGCGGGCGGGAGGGGGCCGGGCGGGCTGCGCAGGGGCGGCGCGGCCGCTCCTCACCTGATTGTCCATGGCTGGCGCCCCGCCCCGCCCCCGGGCCCCGCGTCGCTCGCCGCCGCCGCCGCCGCCGCCGCCGCTCAACGCCGCCCCGCCGCCCTCATTGTCTGTCAAGCGCCGCCGCCGCCGCCGCCGCCGCCGATCCCGGCCGCCCGCTCGCCCGCCAGCCCCGCGGAACCGGAAACCACCGCCAGCCCGGGTCGCGCACCGATCACGGGCCCCCGCCGCCGACTAGGGCCCGCCGCATCGACTGACAGCCACCTGGGCCAATCGACGGCGCGGACGGCCGCTTGTGGCGCGGGACTTCCTGCCTGGCGGGGGCCTGCCGGGCTGCGGCCGGAGGGACGAAGCCCGCAGCCAATGGGAGGCCGGGACCGGAGGGGCGGGAGGAGGGAGGGAGGGAGGCGCGAGGCGAGCCTGGCGGAGGGGAGCGCGAGGTGTGCGCCGCACGTGGAGGGGGGCGGGGGCGGGACGGGCGCGCGGCGCCTGCGCGCTGCGGCCCGCAGGGGGCGCTGCCTCGTGGCTGGAGCCTCCAGGGCGGGAGCGTCCCGGGGGCTGGAACTGAGGTTACGGGTTCGAGCCCTGTGGAGGGATCCCCCAGCCCCCCCGGTAGGGACACTTTTGTTTCCTGACCTCATGATGCTGCTATGTAATGGAACGAGCCCTGGGCTCTGGAACTGGAGATTAATTTTCTTTTCTTTTTTTTTTTTATGAGACACGTCTCGCTCTGTGGCCTAGGCTAGAGTGTACTAGCACGATCTCAGCTCACTGCAACCTCCACCTCCCAGGTTCAAGAGATTCTACTGCCTCAGCCTCCCGAGTAGCTGGGATTACAGGAGCTCGCCATTATGCCCAGCTAATTTTTGTATTTTTAGTAGAGACGGGGTTTTGCCATGTTGGCCAGGCTGGTCTCGAACTCCTGACCTCAAGTGATCCGCCTGCCTCAACCTCCCAAAGTGGAGATTAATTTTCTAATCTTGCATAATCCTTGGCAAACCTGGTCAGCCCCTTCTTCACCTTTCCCTGAGTCTCAGTTTGTGCATCTGTGAAATAGGTTGAAGAACAGTACTGTGTGATTCTTCATGCTAATTTGAATGATACAAATTTGAAATCGTGCTACATTCAAATGACCCAAGAGAGTCACATGTTTTCAGTTAGACACGAAGAATAAGTTCTGGCGATCCATCACACAGCAAGGTGACTACATAATAATGTAATTTTATATTTTAAAATTGCTAAAAGCGGCCAGATGCGGTGGCTCACGCCTGTAATCCCAACACTTTGGGAGGCTGAGGGGGGCGGATCACCTGAGGTCAGAAGTTCAAGACCAGCCTGGCCAACATGGTGAAATCCCATCTCTACTAAAAAAATACAAAAATTAGCCGGGCGTGGTGGTGTGTGCCTGTAATTCTAGCTACTCAGGAGGCTGAGGCAGGAGAATCGCCTGAACCAGGGAGGCAGAGGTTGCAGTGAGATGAGATCATGCCACTGCACTCCAGCCTGAGTGACAGAGCAAGACTCTGTCTCAAAAAAGAGAAAAAAAAGAAAAAAAATGCTAAAAGTGGATTTTGAATGTTCTCACCATAAATAATTGATAAGTATATGTGGTGATGGATATGTCAATTAGCCTGATTTGTTTATTCCATAATGTATACATGTACCAAAGCATCAAGGTGTACCCCATACATATATACAGTTATTATTTGTCAATAAAGATTTTTTTTTTGAGATGAGGTCTCTGCTGGAGTGCAGTGGCACAATCGTGGCGCACTGTAACCTAGACCTCCTGGGTTCAAACAATTCTCCCACCTCAGCCTCTCAAGCAACTAGGACTGACTGCAGGCTCATGTCACCACGCCCGGCTAGTTTGGTTATTTATTTATTTATAGAAAGAGCGATCTCACTATGTTGCCCAAGCTGGTCTCCAACTCCTGGCCTCAGGCAATCCTCCTGCCATGGCCTCCCAAAGTGCTAGGACTATAGGCATGAGCCACTGCGCCCTGAACAAAGATATAATTTTTAAAGAGAGAATCTCATGTTATCCACAAAATTTTAAATAATACCCATCTCTCAAAAAACTGTTTTGATTTATTGAGGATCACAAAATTTTACAATGACCTGTAAACTGTGTTTATGTGGGAAATAGGCATAACCCCATTTTTTCAGGACTTTATAAGCCACTTGTCTCTTGGACATTAGGACTTCTGCCTGTGATTTGGGGATCCTTGTGCAGTTATTTTAATTCCTTCTTGTCATTAAAAATCGGGTTGTCATTTACAAGAAAGAAACAAACCACCCCATTAAAAAGTGGGCAAAGGACATGAACAGACACTTCTCAAAAGAAGACATACATGCGGCCAATAAGCATATGAAAAACGCTCAACATCACTGATCATTAGAGAAATGCAAATCAAAACCACAATGAGATACCATCTGACACCAGTCGGAATGGCGATTATTAAAAAGTCAAAAAACAACAGATGTTGTCAAGGTTGCAGAGAAAAAGGAGCACTTTTACACTGTTGATGGGAGTATAAATTAGTTCGACCACTGTGGAAGACAGTGTGACGATTCCTTAAAGACCTAGAGGCATGAATAATGTTCAACCCAGCAATCCCATTACTGGGTATATACCCAGAGGAATATAAATAATTTTATTATAAAGACACATGCACGCGTATGTTCACGGCAGCATTATTGACAATAGCAAAGACGTGAAATCAACCTAAATGCCCATCAGTTATAGACTGGATAAAGAAAATATGGTATATATACACCATGGAATACTATGCAGCCATAAAAAGGAATCAGATCATGTCCTTTGCAGGGACATGGATGGAGTTAGAAGCCGTCATCCTCAGCAAACTAACGCAGGAACAGAAAATCCAACACCACATGTTCTCATGTATAAGTGGGAGCTTAATGATGAGAACACATGGTAACATAGTGGGGAACAAAACACACTGGGGCCTGTCAGGGGGTGTGGTGGGGGGAGGGACAGCATCAGGAAGAACAGCTAACAAAGGCCGGGCTTAATACCTAGGTGATGGGATGATCTGTGCAGCAAACTGCCATGGCACACGTTTACCTATGTAACAAACCTGCATATCCTGCACATGTATCCCTGAACTTAAAAGTTGGATTAAAAATAAATAACCCCTCTTTAAAAAATCAGATTGTTGGGGCACACGTTGTTGGGATCTCCTGTGAGCTGTGTCATGGGCAAAAAGTGATAAAATTGTTTAAAAACGAAGAAAAAATTGAGGCGGGAGGATCACCTGAGGTCAGGAGTTCGAGACCAGCCTGGCCAACGTAGTGAAACCCCGTCTTTACTAATAATACAAAAATTAGCCTGGCATGATGGTGGGTGCCCATAATCCCAGCTACTCAGGAGGCTGAGGCAGGAGGATCGCTTGAACCCAGGAGATGGAGGTTGCAGTGAGCCGAGATTGCGCCACTGCACTCCAGCCTGGGCGACAAGAGCAAAACTCTGTCTCAAAAAAAAAAAAAAAAGAAAAGGGAAAAGAAAGAAACAGATTGTTTTCTCACTTAAGTGTCAGTCAAACATTTATTAGCTAGTGGGGCCAGTGTTTGCACTGAAGAACAAATAGCACCAGAAAATGAGTAACTTTGGAATGAAAGTAAGTCCAGATAAAAACTCTAAAGAAGGTCAGGTTGCTGTCATGGTAATACCACCATGCTTTTTAATCAAGGGCAGGTGGTGCTGGAAAGAAAAAAAAATGGAGATCATGCTGAGAAAATAAGCAGTGATTTAATGTTGATAATTTTTTTTTTTTTTTTTGAGACAGGGTCTTGCTCTGTCACCCAGGCTGGAGTGCAGTGGTACAAACACAGCTCACTGCAGCCTTAACCTCCTGGGCTGAAGCGGTTCTCCCACTCAGCCTCTCATGTAGCTGGGAACACAGGCATGCACCTATTTAGATATGCCTATTTCCCACATAAACACCACGCCCAGCTAACTTTTAAAATTTTTTGTAGATGGCCAGGTGCAGTGGCTCACACTTGTAATCCCAGCACTTTGGGAGTCCAAGACAGGCGGGTCACATGAGGTCAGGAGTTTGAGACCAGCCTGGCCAACATGGTGAAAACCCATCCCTACTAAAAATATAAAAATTAGCTGGGTGTGGTGGCATGTGCCTGTAATCCCAGCTACTCGGGAGGCTGAGACATAAGAATTGCTTAAACCCGGGAGGCAGAAGTTGCAGTGAGCTCGGAGCCAGATTGTGCCGCTGCACTCCAGCCTGGGCAACAGAGTGAGACTGTGTCTCAAAAAAAAAAAAAACAAAAAAACCGTCTTGCCCAGGCTGGTCTCAAACTCCTGGGTTCAAGCAATCCTGCTGCCTCAGCCTCCCAAAGTTCTGGGATGATAGGTATAAGCCACTACACCGGGCCGTAACGGACTCTCGCTCTGTCGCCCAGGCTAGAGTGCAGTGGCACAATCTCTGCTCACTGCAAGCTCCGCCTCCTGGGTTCAAGCCATTCTCCTGCCTCAGCCTCCTGAGTAGCTGGGATTACAGGCATTCGCCACGACGCCCGGCTAGTTTTTTTGTATTTTTGGTAGAGACAGGGTGTCAACATTTGGCCAGGCTGGTCTCAAACTCCTGACCTTGTGATCCTCCTGCCTCGGCTTCCCAAAGTGCTGGGATTACAGGCGTGAGCCACCGTGCCTGGCCAAAAAATAAAATTTTTTTTAATCCTATCACTGGATGTAAGTAGATCAGTTGCTCTAAGTAGTCCCCAAAGCAGCAGTGTGAGCATCACTTGGGTATGTTGCTATAAATGCACATTCTGGTCTTCCCCCACCCTTGTTTATGGAACCAGAAATTCTAAGTGTTTGGACAGCAGTGGCTTAACCAACCCTACAGATGGTTCCAAGGCTCACCTAACTTTCAGAATCACTGTCCCAGGTAAAGGGACAAAATGGGAGTCAGGGGTAGCCATCTATCTTTTTTTTTTTTTTCTTTTTTTTTTTTTTGAGACAGAGTTTTGCTCTGTTGTCCAGGCTGGAGTCCAGTGGCAGTCTCAATTCACTGCAACCTCCACCTCCCAGGCTCAAGTGTTCCTCCTGCCTCAGTCTCCCAAGTAGCCAAGAATAAAGGCTCATACCACCATGCTCAGCTAATTTTTGTATTTTCTTTTTTTTGTGGAGACAGAGTCTTGTTATGTTTCTGAGTCTGGTCTTGAATTCCTGGGCTCAAGTGATCCACCTGCCTCAGCCTCCCAAAGTGCTGAGATTACAGGCATGAGTTACCATGCCTGGCCAGCATCTGTCTTTGAAGAAAGCTTGCAGGAAAGAACCTTTAGTCTACACTTGCTACAAATATGAGCTTCTGGAACTCAATCCCCTCCCCCTTATTCAGTTGGGAAATTACTGTTCACTTAGGTTCTAAATTGTTGGGAATTTTCAAAACTGCATCCCCTGGGCTCCCACTGGCTGAGGTGGAATACTTTGAACATCGAAAAGAATAATGGGGAAGGGCCGGGTGTGGTGGCTCACGCCTGTAATCCCAGCCCTTTGGGAGGCTGAAGAGGGCGGATCACGAGGTTAGGAGATTGAGACCATCCGGGCTAACACAGTGAAACCCCGTCTCTACTAAAAATACAAAACAAACAAACAAACAAACAAAAAAAAAACAATTAGCCGGGTGTGGTGGCGGGCGCCTGTAGTCCCAGCTACTCAGGAGGCTGAGGCCGGGGAATGGCATGAACCCGGGAGGCAGAGCTTGCAGTGAGCCAAGATTGCACCACTGCACTTCAGCCTGGGCGACAGAGTGAGACTCTGTCTCAAAAAAAAAAGAAAAAAAAAGAATAATGAGGAAGGAACTGAATGTCTACTGACACATGAGCGGATAAACTAAACATGGTTTATCCATGCAATAGAAGCTTATTCAACCTTAGAAAGGAAGAAAATAGGGTGTAGTGGTGTGCACCTGTAGTCCCAGCTACTTAGAAGGCTGAGACAGGAGGATTGCTTGAGCGCAGGAGTTTGAGGCTGCAGTGGGCTATGATTGCACTGATGGCAGTGGCTGGCCATCTGGACTGGCCACCACCATCTTACTAGCTGCAGCACAGAGGAATGGCCAGGACTGCATGTTCCATAGATCTGGCAGAAGCTGGTGACAAGTGGGAGCCCCGCCCCTTCTGCATTGGGGTGGGAGCTCCCTGGGTGGTGCTGCAGCCACTAAAGCCATGGCTACAGACCTGGGCATTACTGGGCTCTCAGGCCCAGAGGCAGGCAGGAGCCCCACCCTCCCAGGTGCAGCTGCAGCTGTCCAAACTGCAGCTGCAGATTAGGAGTCCCTGCACTCCTAGGGGCCCGGGAAGGTTCCCCCTGCCCTTGCAGGCTCAGAAATGTCTGCTTCCACTGCTTGGCTTCTCCCTGCTGTTGGTGCCCACTCCATCTCAAAGCAAAGTTGGGGCTGAGCCCCAGAGCTGTTGCAGCCAGGCAGGGTGTGCACAAACTTGGGGCAGCACAGACACACCAGCCCCCTGCTACCTCAGCCCCATCTGGACTTCGGGCACCAACGAGCATAGGAGGGAAGCCAAAGGGGGGGCTGAGGGCAGCTCAGTGCTGACCTGCATGCGCCCCTTGGCACCTATAGCCTGGGCACCATCAACAGCAGCAGGAGGTAGACAGGTTCCTGGATGGAAGGGGATGGGTCCCTGGTGAGGCCCCACCTTCAGGCCAGGGAGGGCCTGAAGGCTAGGGGCTGGGCTACCAGCCCCATGGACTGGAGTGGAAACATGTGATGCCTTTTCCAGGCCTGCTCATGGACCAATCAGCATGCATTTTTTCCCCTCTGAGGCCCATAAAAGCCCTGGGCTCAGCCAAAGCTGGGCAGATATCGGGATGACCAGCTTCAGAGAGCAGCTACCAACTCCAGGGCCTCCTCTCTGCTGAGAGCTGCAGAGACGTCGGGACTACCAGCTGCAGAGAGGAGCAACTCACTCTAAGGCCTCTTCTTTGCTAAGAGCTGGGATGAACATGGGATGACCTGCCTGCAGAGAGAAGCAACTCACCCCAGGGCCTCCTTCTGCTGAGAGCTGCAGGGAATGATGGCACAACCTGCTTGCAGAGAGGAGCTACCCACTCCAGGGCCTCCCCTCTGCTGAAAGCTGGGCAAGCAATGGGACAACCTGCCCGCAGAGAGAAGCTACCCACTCCAGGGCCTCCTCTTCACTGAGAGCCACAGAAAATGACAGGATGGACTGCCTGCAGAGAGGAGCTACCCAATCCAAGGCCTCCTCTGAGCTACTCTGTCGCTCAATAAAGCTCCTGTTCACCTTGCTCACCCTCCACTTGTCCACATACCTCATTCTTCTTGGGCACAGGACAAGAATTCAGGAACTGCTAAACAGCAGGGCTGAAAGAGCTATAAAACCCACAGGGCTGAAACATGCGCCTTGCCATGTTGTGGGTGAAGAGAAGGAGAGAAGAGCTGTGGCCCTTCAGGGACCTAGGAGCTCCCTGAGCCAGGGCTGTGACTCCCTCTTTGGACCCCAGTGTTTCCTATAGTCTCCAAGCTTCTGAGTGCCACTGCATTCCCTGGTGGCAGCTGTGGAAGCTGCTTATGGTGCACCTGGTCTGGCCGCAGCCTCTCAGAGAGCCAGGGCCCCTGCCAGCACCTGGAGCTGTCTGCTCTGCTGCAGCAGCTGGTGTGCCTGGCTGCATGCAGTGGCCGGACCTCATGCTTGCTTGCTTGCTCACACACCCCTCGCCCCTCCATGCCTGGCTTGCCCTTGGCAAGTGTGAGATCCAGGCTAGTAGTGTGAGCTGAGCACAGCCTGCCAGGCCGTGTGGGTGGAATGAGCCCAGTGGGCCCGAGCAAAACTCAGGCAAAGGTGCCACCAGCCACAGAGGTTTCCAACCAGAAATCAACACCCCAAGGATCCTGCAACATTTTTGAGGGCTCGTCCAGGATCTGCAGAAGGGTGAGTGAAAGGGTGAGTAAAAGCAGATCTGCTCTTTCTGTCCCTTTTTAGGAGTCCCTAAACTCAACAATAGCTAAAATGAAAGAAAAACACCAGGCCTCTATTAGCCAGTTAAAATTAACTAGCAGAGATGCTGGACTTAAAACATGGATGATAGCCTTGCTGGGGAGGACACTGTCAATCCCTCATCATCCTCAAGTGTTGAGAATGTTGGGTTTGTTTCAATCCCGTTTCCTTCCATGAGGTCTACCTGTTACATGGGACCAGAAGGAGGTCCTGGGGCAACTGAGGGTATCTGGCTGAGGCTATGCCTCAGTGTTATCCAAAGGCCCCTGGACTAACTCCTGAAACTCAAGTCCCTAAGCGCCCATTAGGGTGTTGTTGGCACTAGGACCTCCAGTCTCCTATCTTTCTTTCTTTCATGGTTGTCAAGGTTCTTATCTCTTCTTTTTTTTTTTTTTTTTTGAGATGGAGTCTTGCTCTGTCGCCCAGGCTGGAGTGCAGTGGCATGGCATGATCTTGACTCCTGACCTTAGGTGATCCACCCACCTTGACCTCCCAAAGTGTTGAGATTACAGGCATGAGCCACTGCACCCAGCTCCTATCTCTTCTTTATATACAACATTAAATTTCTGTGCGCACGCGTGTGTGTGTGTGTGTGTGTGTGTGTGTGTTTGAGACAGAGCCTTGCTCTGTCGCCCAGGCTGGAGTGCAGTGGTGTGATCTTATCTCACTGCAACATCTGCCTCCAAAGTAGTTGGGATTTCAGGCATGCACCACCATGCCTGGCTAATTTTTGTATTTTAATAGAGATGGGGTTTCACCATGTTGGGCAGGCTTGTCTTGAACACCTGACCTCAGGTCATCCACCTGCCTCGCCCTCCCAAAGGGCTGGGATTACAGGTATGAGCCACCGCATCCAGCCTACAATGTTAAATGTTAAGAATGTTGCTGCAAAACAGAGAAATTACTGGATAGAATGAGCATTTGGCTTAGTCATCAAAAGTATAAAATGGAAGGTTAAGAGTAGCACAGATGAGCAAAGTGTGCCTTGGTATCTGTACATAATTTTGTGGGAAAAATGTTATTGTCATTTCCTTGGTTGCCATCTTGGTGCAAGGCACCTTGAGGCACAGAACAGAAGCATGGCCTCAGGAAGGAAGCTTTTCTGTAAACACAAGGGCAAATAAATGGTCCAAGGTCCCATACATGCAGGCCTTCTTTGCCTTGCAGGGTAATCTGGACCTTTGCCAACATTGTAGGATTGATTCAGCTGTCCTAATGGCCTTCTCAGGAGAAGCTGCAAGGGGTAATCCCAGAGAAATAGGGAAGCATACCCCAGAGGTACCTCCAGCAGGGGAATCAATCCCCTCAACTCCTCCCTATCCAGGTTCTCTCTCAAGCTTGCCCCGGCATAGTAATCCTTGTTTAAGGCAGGTCCCAGTCTCAACTGCCCAAAAACAGATGCCTGGTGAATATGGTCCCATTGAAGTTCAGTTTTCCTTTTCTCTATAGAACTTAAGGCAAATTTAAGGGGAGATCTTGGCAAGTTTTCAGATGGCCCTCACAGGTATATAGAGAGTTTCCAGAACTTAACCCAAGTATTTGAGCTCTCCTGGAAAGATGTCATGTTACTCTTGTTTTTGTTTTTGTTTGAGATGGGGTCTCACTCTGTCATCCAGGCTGGAGTGCAGTGGCACTCTCTTGGCTCACTGCAACCTCCACCTCCCAGGTTCAAGTGATTCTCCTGCCGCAGCCTCCCAAGTAGCTGGGACTACAGGCATGCACCACCACACTGGCTAATTTTTATATTTTTAGTAGACATGGGGTTTTACCATATTGGCCAGGCTGGTCTCAAACTCTTGACCTCAAGTGATCTGCCCACCTTGGTATCCCAAAGTGCTGGAATTACAGCCATGAGCTGCACCCGGCTTCATGTTACTTTTGAATCAAACCCTGACCACCACTGAAAAGCAGGCCACCCTGAAAGTGGCACAGAATTTTGGGGATGAGCTTTATATCTTATATAGGGCCAGGGAAGGGGATGAGACTTATCTGATTGGAAGAATAGCAGTACCACTGAAGAACCCTAAATGGGACCTCAATGATGAGACAAAAGAATGGGGCCAGGCGTGGTGGCTCACACCTGTAATCCCAGAACTTTGGGAGGCTGAGATGGGCGGATCATGAAGTCAGGAGATCAAGACCATCTTGCCCAACATGGTGAAACCCCATCTCTACTAAAATACAAAAAAAATAGCCAGGCATGGTGGTGCACACCTGTAGTCCCAGCTACTTGGGAGGCTGAGGCAGGGAATCACTTGAGCCTGGGAGGCAGAGATTGCAGTGAGCTGAGATCATGCCACTGCACTCCAGCCTGATGACAGAGCAAGACTCTGTCTCAAAAAAAAAAAAAAAAAAGAAAATGGAAAAGGAGGCCAGGCACGGTGGCTCACACCTGTAATCCCAGCACTTTGGAAGGCCGAGGTGGGCAGATCACGAGGTCGGGAGTTCTAGACCAGCCTGACCAACATGGTGAAACCCCATCTCTACTAAAAATACAAAAATGAATTAGCCAGATGTGGTGGCACATGCCTGTAATCCCAGCTACTCAGGAGGCTGAGGCAGGAGAATAACTTGAACTTGGGAGGTGGAGGTTGCAGTGAGCCGAGATCATGCCACTGCACTCCAGCCTCGGCGACAGAGCAAGACACCATCTCAAAAAAAAAAAAAAGAATGGAAGAGGAAACACTTTCAGGTGTGCATACCAGAGGGCATACGAAGGACTAGGACAAAGCCTCTCAATTACACTAAGCTATCCATGGTAGACAGGGATTAAGCGTGAGTCCCACTGCCTTCCTGGAAAGGCTAAGAGAGGCCTTGGTAAAACACACCTAAGTCCTGATTGAGGAGAGGGACATCTGATCCTAGAGGATGAGTTTATGACACAGTCAGGCCCTGATGTCAGGAGGGAGCTTCAGAAACAGGCTGCAGGGCCAGATGGTACTTTGGAGGGCCTCCTGGGAGTGGTCACCTTAGACTTTGCTGTGGGAACTTGGAGGAAGTCCAGAAAAGAGAGAGGAGATACGGAAAAAAAGGCAAAAGCTCTAATACCTGCCCTGAAGCTTCACGGACTCCATAGTCCCTGAGATGCACCCGTTGTCTGCTGCAAATGTGGCAGGCCAGGCCACTTCAGGAGAGACTGTCTGGGCAGTGCGGGGAGGCCACCTCAACCCTGTCTGGTTTGCAGTGGGAACCATTGTAGGGGCAGCCTGTCCCTGGAGACACAGGTTGCCGGGTCCAGGACCAGACTTCCAGATGGTCCAGAAGGACAGATGGATTCTAGGGCTCCTTTCCCAAGCTCTGATGGTTCAGACCACTATTACCATCCAGGAGCCCTGGGTTGAAGGGAGGAAGGTAGCCACCTCCTGGACTCTGGAGCAGGCCTTTCAGTTCTCCTCCCCAACCCAGGCCCCCTTCCTCTCTTAGCACGACTGTAAGCAGCATCTCAGGTCTTCTTCCCCACCACGCCAGGAGTCAACATAGTCTTGTGACTACAGGGAGCTTTTCTCTGTGGGGTTACTTTTGTTTCCGTTAGGGAGTGTATTAGTTCGTTTTCATGTTGCTGATAAAGACATACCCAAGCCTGGGAAGGAAAATAGGTTTAACGGACTCACAGTTCCACATCATGAGGAGATTCTCCAGAGTCTGAGGGTCAAAGGCGTTCCAGTGATTTATTTATTTATTTATTTTTTAAGACAGAGACACGCTCTGTCACCCAGGCTGGAGTACTGTGGCACAATCTCAACTCACTGCAACCTCACAATCATGGCAGAAGGAGAAAGGCACTTCTTACATGGCAGAAGCAAGAGAGAATGAGGAAGAAGTGAAAGCAGAAACCCTTTATGAAACCATCAGATCTCATGAGACTTATTCACTACCATGAGAACAGTATGGGGGAAACCATCCCCATGATTCAATGACCTCCCACTGAGTCTCTCCCACAACATGTGGGAATTATGAGAGTATAATTTAAGATGAGATTTGGGTGGAGACACAGAGCCAAACTGTATCAGGGAGGCACCTTATTAGGTCAGGTCCCCAATTTCTGGGACTCCCTTTCTCTCCCTTGTTTGAGGAGGACCTGGCCTCACGGCTTCACCTGCTTATGATAGAGAGGCAGTAGAGGAGCAGCCCCCTCCAGTTGCTATCTGCAATTTGGCGAGGGCCACATGGGACTAATTTAATGGGTCCATAGACCCATCTGAGTCACCTTTTTTGTCCCAAGCTTCACTTTAAAGTCCTGAAATGGGACATTAGACCTGAGGCAGATGACAGCAGGAGTTGAGAGGCACAGCCCAGGTGAGCATGACTAATTCCTGCCAGTTAGCCCTCCTGCTTCATGGATGGAAGCATAGATAAGGTCTAGGGAACCCAAAGGTTACCAACAGCAGAAGGATAGGGTGGTATGTAGGTAAGTGCGAATATTCCTACCCACTAGGCCTTCCCGCTGCATGGGTGAAGGTTGCACTCGCAGCTATGAGTGGCACCTGCAAAGGTCACTGGGACTCAAGGATATAAGGTTGGAAGAGGAAAAAGAGATGCCTTTTTAAAAAAATCTCCATCACGTACCCCAGGTATTCACTGGAAAGAGAGGAACAAAGGGATGTCTTTCCCCTCTTTCCAGATGGGTAAGCAACCAATCATTTTCAGCCTGCACTCCTCTCAAGTGCATTCTAAATTACTGGAACGCAGCCGGGTGTGGTGGCTCATGCATGTAATCCCAGCACTTTGGGAGGCCAAGGTGGGTGGATGACTTGAGGCCAAGACTTTGAGACCAGCCTGACCAACATGGCAAAACCCCATCTCTACCGAAAATACAAAAAATTAGCTGGGCATGGTGGCACATGTGCCTGTAATCCCAGCTACTTGGGAGGCTGAGGCAGGAGAATCACCTGAACCCAGGAGGCAGAGGTTGCAGTGATCTGAGATTGTGCCACAGTACTCCAGCCTGGGTGACAGAGCATGACTCTGCCAAAAAAAAAAAAAAAAAGAAGAAGAAAAGAAAAAAGACACTGGAACTCCTTTGACCCTCAGACTCTGGAGAAAAAAACATTTTTCCTTTATTCCTCCTCTGTTCTCTCTTCACAGATGGGTAATCACACCTCTGTACCACAGGATACTCCCCTGGGATCCATCCCGCAAACTAGGAAGAGTTTAATTTCCCCAAGCGTTAAACTGCTTGGCAATTTCTTGAGGAGGGACAACTTCTCTTTGGCTGTTCCCCTTCACAGGACTCCAGGGTCAATAGGGCTCCATGGCTCAGGGGAATGGAACCCAGAAGCCTGACATGCTGACAAAAGGGTAAGAGTTTTTAGCAGTTGGACTTCTGGCTTCTCTCTCTCTGTGCAAGCTGGTTGTAGGAATGACAAAAACTGTATTCTCTGCCCCTCCATGAGTTCAAAAGTCAGAAGTATTGGCCATTTGGCATGGCTAAGGTCAGGTAGTAACATATTTTAAAAGATTTCCTTTTTTTTTTTGAGACAGAGTCTTGTTCTATTGGCCAGGCTGGAGTACAGTGGTGCAATCTCAGCTCACTGCAACCTCCGTCTCCCAGGCTCCAGCAATTCTCCTGCCTCAGCCTTCCAAGTAGCTGGGATTACAGGCATGTGCCACCATGCCCGGCTAATTTTTGTAATTTTTAGTGGAGACAGGGTTTCACCATTTGGCCAGACTGGTCTCGAATTCCTAACTGCAGGTGATCCACCTGCCTCAGTCTCCCAAAATGCTGGGATTATAGGCATGAGCCACTGCGCCTGGCCAGGACTTCTTAAAAAGGAAGTGCTATGGTTGGCCAGGTGTGATGGCTTGCACCTGTAATCCCAGCACTTTGGGAGGCCGAGGCGGGCAGATCACAAGGTAAGAAGATCGAGACCATTCTGGCTGACATGGTGAAACACCGTCTCCACTAAAAATACAAAAAAAATTATCCAGGTGTGGTGGTGGACACCTGTAGTCCCAGCTACTCAGGAGGCTGAGGCAAAAGAATGGCATGAACCCATGAGGCGGAGCTTGCAGTGAGCTGATATCAAGCCACTGCACTCCAGCCTGGGCAACAGAGCAAGACTCTGTCTCAAAAAAAAAAAAAAAAAAAAGGAAATGTGATGGTTAAAAGTCAGCTTAATTAAAGATGGAGGATATCCAAACTATAGGTATATTTAAAAGGCCTTTATGTCGTTTATCGTTGTAGATTTTGTTTTTCTGGAAAAAGGTGTTTTCTTTTCGGTCAACTGAACAATTTTTCTCCATTTTTGTCTTGCCACTCTTAATGCACACATGAGGGGTTCCAGGATGACTTCTGGTGGCCTGGGACTCCTTGGGAAAAACAGAGGAGGCGCCACTGATCCGTTTTGGGAAAAACCTCTGTTTTCCTCAGGAACTTCAGGAATTACGGGCAGATGGATCCCTCTCAAAATCTATTTTTGTCTTCCAGCTATGCCTACTTATTAAGCCTTAGAAACTACATGTTTTCCTAGCCCTGGTTCTCGAAGGGCTCCACCCCCCGGCCAGTAATCCAATTAAGAAATTGGCACAAGAGGCTGGGCACGGTGGCTCACACCTGTAATCCAAGCACTTTGGGAGGCCAAGGTGGGAGATTCACCTGAGGCCAGGAGTTCGAGACCAGCCTGGCAGCATAGCAAAACCCCATCTCTACTAAAAATACAAAAACTAGCCAGGTGAGTTGGCGGGCGCCTGTAATCCCAGCTACTTGGGAGGCAGAGGCAGGAAAATCGCTTGAACTCAGGAGGTAAAGGTTGCAGCGAGCCAAGATCATGCCACTTGGACAACAGAGTGAGACTCTACATTCCAGCTTGGACAACAGAGTGAGACTCTGTCTAAAAAAAAAAAAAAAGAAAAAGGAAAAAAGAAAAATCTTACAACTACTAGTGGATCTCCTGTCTGTCATATAGTTATATATGTGTTGTATGTGTGATGTTTATATAAAAGAACTCTAACTGATTAGCTTAAGGAAAAATAAGCACTTAGGTCAAATATTCTTGAAGAAAAATAGAAACTGCAATGCCTTTTAGTTCTCATGACTTAATCTTAGAGAAATAAAAATAGTCTTAAAGATTATTGGTAAAATAAAAATGACTTCAAAATGTAGACATGTGGTCCAAATTATGCAGCTCAGATATTAGGTTTGCTAAATGCTTTAAAGTCATAAACTGCTTCTTTGGCTTTTGAAAACTGTTTGACTTGCCTGCTTTATGGTTTGGTAAGGACTAGGGACATAGGGAGCTAATCACACCCCTAGATATGCTGGAAATATTCAGATCTTATCTGCACCTAGGACATAATTAAAATAACTTACTAGGTTTTCTTTTTTTTTTTTAACTAGGTTTTCTTTTTACCAAAAATAAGAATTGCTAAGAGTTACCATTATAACATGTAATTGAGACTCCTGAAAATAGACTTACATGCAAAGTATATAAGGAAAGTAAACTGTGTCTTTAGTTAAAGAATATAAGAAGGCATGGGAATGTAAATTTTTGCCAAATTTAGAAATTTAAAGGATTGTTTTAAATTAGATAAGATAAAGCTAAGGGTTTAAACAAGTTATAGAAGGTTTGTAAAAATTAATCTTATAAAAGGAATTGTGTGTGTGAATATATTGACTAAATTCTTTTTTTTTTTTTTTTTTTTTTTGAGATCACTATGTCACCCAGGCTGGAGTGCAGTGGCACAATCTTGGCTCACTGCAACCTCCACCTCCCAGGTTCAAGCGATTCTTCTGCCTCAGCCTCCCTAGTAGCTGAGATTACAGGTGCATGCCACCACTCCTGGCTAACTTTTGTATTTTTAGTAGAGATGAGGTTTTGCCATGTTGTCCAGGCTGGTCTCGAACTCCTGACCTCAAGTGATCTGCCCACCTCAACTCCCCAAAGTGCTGGGATTACAAGCATGAGCTACCATGCTCAGTCCATATTGACTAAATTCAAAAGGGTATTATTTGGTTTTCCTGTAAGTTGAACATTGGAATGGAAGCACGATCTGCTATTCTTAGGGCACTGATCTGCGGTTTCATAATAAATGTTATAAGCCTTTAGTATGTTTGATAGGCTTCCCGAAATCACATTTCAACTTCAAAATTGTCTTTTCTAACCCCTAGCTTTTGGATGCTACAGAGGATCCCTGGAGTGTCCAGGGAAGAAGTAGACAGGATGATTTGACATGTTTAGCTACATAGGATTGCCAAAATAAGGTGGTGTTTGGTCTCCGGTGGGTTGCATTTCAGTGAATAATGTTAATGTGTATTCCAAAATTGTATGGGATTTCTAAAGTTCTGACGTCTGAGAAAGTGTTATGAATCATAATTAGGGTTATTATGTTAGGTTATTGTAGACCACAGTGGTTACCAAATTTCTTTGTCAATCATGATTTTGACTGTGACTACCCTAGGACATTTTGACATTCATAGGCAATTGTTGTCTTGTTTTTTATGTTTGTTTGTTTTTGAGATGGAGTCTCGCTCTGTTGCCCAGGCTGGAGTGCAGTGGCGTGATCTTGGCTCACTGCAAGCTCCGCCTCCCGGGTTCACGCCATTCTCCTGCCTCCCTCTCCCGAGTAGGTGGGACTACAGGCGTCCGCCACCATGCCTGGCTAATTTTTTGTATTTTTAGTAGAGACGGGGTTTCACCGTGTTAGCCAGGATGGTCTCAATCTCCTGACCTCATGATCCGCCCACCTTAGCCTCCCAAAGTGCTGGGATTACAGGCGTGAGCCACCACGCCCGGCTGTTGTCTTGTTTTGATCTTCTTCAAAGGGTGGATTATAGACCTCAAGTGCAGGTTTCTGATAACTTTGGAGATTGTGAACAGGAGTTGACTGGGTGAATTGAACTAATGGAAGACCAAAGTAATCATTCTTGATTTTTTGCTTGGAACATTGCTGATCCCTTGTTTTGTTTTTCAGAATCAAGGAAGCTTTTCTTTCCAGCTATTGTAGCTTTTGACATTTGTAGGAGTGAACCAATCAGTGATCTCTGACTGCAGCTCAGAAGAAACTAAAGGGACAGACTGTCAAACTCCAAATGGTGATGCAAATGGAGCCTCAGACGATGACTCCCTTTTACTGGGAGCCCTTAGATAGGCCCCCGAGGGAAAATCTGACTGCCATTTTTCTGAAAACAATGCCCCCTGTCAGCATGAAGCAGTTAAGAATGACCATCATCCAGCCAGGCTCGGTGGCTCACGCCTGTAATCCCAGCACTTTGGGAGGCCGAGGCAGGTGGATCACGAGGTCAGGAATTCAAGACCAGCTTGGCCAACATGGTGATTCCCCGTCTCTACTAAAAATACAAAAATTAACCGGGTGTGGTGTCACGCGCCTGTAGTCCCAGCTACTTGGGTAGCTGAGGTGGGAGAGTTGCTTGAACCCGGGAGGCAGAGATTGCAGTGAGCCAAGATTGCACCACTGCACTTCAGCCTGGGCAACAAGAGTGAAACTCCGAAAAAAAAAAAAAAAGAATAGTCATCATCCCTACCCTAACAGCAGTTAGACGTACCTCTTCAGAGGGGAGTTTGATGGCTGTGGCAGGGCCAAGCAGGAGTCCCGCCCCTCCTGAGTTGGGATGAGATCTCTCCAGGTGCAGCTGCAGCTGCCCAAACCACAGCTGCAGAGCCGGGCCTCCCACTCCACAGAGTAAACAGGAGTCGCACACACCCCCAATGCAGCTGCAGCCACCCAAACAGAGGCTGTGTACCCAGGCATCCCTGCACTCTTGGGGTCCCAGGAAGGTTTCCCTGCCCTCGCAGGCTTGGAAATGCCTGCTCCCACTGCCTGGCTTCTCCCTGCTGTTGGCACCCATTCCAGTCTCAGAGCAAAGTTGGGGCCAAGCCCAGGCACTGTCACAGCCCAGCTGGGTGTGCACATGCTTGGGGCAGTGGTGACACTCCAGTCCCCTGCTGCCTCAGCCCCCTCTGGACCTTGGGTGCTGATGAGCATAGGAAGGAAGCTGAGGGAGGGGTTGAGGGCAGCTTGGTGCTGACCTGCAGGTGCCCCTTGGCATCTATAGCCTCATCACCACGAACAGCAGCAGGAGGCAGACAGGTTCCTGGGTGGAAGGGGGTGGATCCCCGGTGAGGTCCCACCTTCAAGCCAGGGAGGCCCTGAAGCCTGGGGGCCAGGCTGCCAGTCCCACAGACCAGAGTGGGAACTTGTGGTGCCTTTTCCAGGCTGCCCATGGACCAATCAGCATGGACTTCCTCCCCTCTGAGGCCCATCAAAGCCCTGGGCTCAGCCATAGCTAGACAGATATAGGGATGACCAGCTGCAAAGAGAAGCAACCCACTCCAGGGCCTCCTCTCTGCTGAGAGCTGAGCACTTGACATGACGACTAGCTACAGAGAGGATCTACCCACTCCAGGGCCTTTTTTTTTTTTTTTCTGAGCTATTCTGTTGCTCAATAAAGCTCCTCTTCACCTTGCTCACCCTCCACTTGTCCGTGTACCTCATTCTTCTTGGGCGCAGGACAAGAGCTTGGGACCTGCCGAATGGCAGGACTGGAAGAGCTATAACACAAACAGGGCTGAAACACGCCCCTTGCTTGCCGTGTTGATGGTAATGAGAAGGAGAGAAGAGCTCCAGCCCTTCAGAAAGCCTAGACCTGGGAGCTCCCTGAGCCAGGGCAGTGACTCCCTCTTTGAGGCCCAGCATGAAGCTTGGAGTCTCCAAGCTTCTGGGCTCCACCATGGTCCCTGGTGGCAGCCATGGACGCTACTTGTGGTGCACCTGGCCAAGCCGCAGCCTTGCAGAGAGCCAGTGCCCATGCCGGCACCTGGAGCTGCTCACCCTGCTGCAGCAGCCGGTGTGTCTGACTGTGCACAGGGGCTAGACCCCATGCTTGCTTGAACACACACCCCTTGCCACTCCACACCTGGCACACCCTTGGCAGGTGTGGGATCCAGGCTGGTAGCAAGAGCCGAGTGTAGCCTGCCAGGTCAAGTGGGCAGAATGAGCCCAGTGGGCCTGAGCAAAACTCAGGCAAAGATGCCACCAGCCACAGAGGTTTACAGCCAGAAAAGTGACACCATCCCAAGAATTCTGCAATGGCACCACTGCACTCCAGGCTGGGTAATAGAGCAAGACCTTGTATCTATGAACCCTGAAGACATTATGCTAAGTGAAATAAGCCAGACACAAAAGGACAAATCCTGTGTGATTCCACTCCTCTCCTAGGAGTCAACAGAGGTCCCTCAAGTCAACAGATTCATAGAAACAGAAAATAGGCTGGTGGATGCCAGGAGCAGGGGAGGGTGCTGGGGAGTGAGTGTTTCATGGGGACAGTTTCATGCTGGGAAGATGAGAAAGTTCTGGAGATGGATGAAAGAAAGTCAAATGCTATACATTCTCACTTATAAGTGGTATCTAAATAATGTGTACACATGGGTGTAGAGTGTAGAATGATAGACATTGGGTGGGCGGGGGGGGTGGATGGAAGGAGAGAAAGTGATGAAAAATTGTATAACAGATACAAAGTATATTATTCAGGTGATGGATACACGAAAAGCCAAGACCACCATTATGCAATATATGCATGTGACAAACTGTACTTGTAGCCCTTCAACTTTTTAGATTTTTTTTTTTTTTTGAGACGGAGTCTCGCTCTGTCACCCAGGCTGGAGTGCAGTGGCGCGATCTCGGCTCACTGCAAGCTCCACCTCCCAGGTTCACGCCATTGTCTTGCCTCAGCTTCCCGAGTAGCTGGAACTACAGGCGCCCGCCACTACGCCCAGCTAATTTTTTGTATTTTTAGTAGAGATGGGGTTTCACCATGTTAGCCAGAATGGTCTTGATCTCCTGACCTCGTGATCCTCCCGCCTCGGCCTCCCAAAGTGCTGGGATTACAGGCGTGAGCCACCACGCCCAGCCTAGATTTTTAAATCTAGTCACCCAGGCTAGAGTGCAATGGCGCAATCATAGCTCACTGCAGCCTCAACCTCCCGGGCTCAAGCAATCCTCCCACCTCAGCCTCCCCAGTAGCTGGGACCACAGGCATGTGCCACCACATCCAGCTAATTTTTAAAATTTTTTTTTGTAGAGATAGGGTCTCCCTATGTTGCCCAGGCTGGTCTTGAACTCCAAAGAAAGTAACATTTTGGATGTTCTGGTCTTGCTTTTGGTCCATAACGGAACTGTTACTGTTAATACGTTAAGTCTCTACCGCCCTCTAGTGGTTCACTTTATTTGCACCCCGGGAACAACGTTGAGTGTTCCCTTTTTATTTTGCCTAGTAGACGGTCCAGCCCTCTTTTGGGTACTTTTTGGAATTCCTTTTGGCCTCCAACCTGTTTCCTGTAAGCTCCCAGTTTGCTGCCTGCCACAAAAGTACACACACAGCCACCTGTTGCAATACACATACATAAGTATATATTTTTTTGAGATGGAGTCTGGCTCTGTCGCCCAGTCTGGAGTGCAGTGGTGTGATCTCGGCTCACTGCAACCTCCGCCTCCTGGGTTCAAGCGATTCTCCTGCCTCAGCCTCCCGAGTAGCTGGGATTACAGGTGCCCACCACCATGCCCGGCTAAACTTTGTATTCTTAGTAGAGATGGGGTTTCACCATGTTGGCCAGGCTGGTTTTGCACTCCTAACCTCAGGTGATCCGCCAACCTTGACCTCCCAAAGTGTGGTGAATACAGTTGTGAGCCACTGTGCCTGACCAGTGATTTTCATTTCCCTAACAACAATGATATTGAGCATCTTCATGTGTGCCTGGAGCTGCTATTATTATTATTATTATTATTATTATTATTATTATTATTATTTTGACAGAGTTTTGCTCTTGTCACCCAGGCTGGAATGCAGTGGCGTGATCTCAGCTCACTGCAACCTCTGCCTCCTGGGTTCAAGTGATTCTCCTGCCTCAGCCTCCTGAATAGCTGGGATTACAAGTGTGTGCCACCACACCCGGCTAATTTTTTGTATTTTTAGTGGAGACAGGGTTTCACCATGTTGGCCAGACTGGTCTCGAACTCTTGACCTCAGGTGGTCTGCCCGCTTTGTCCTCCCAAAGTGCTGGGATTATAGGCATAAGCCCACTGCACCCAGCATTTTTTTTTTTGAGACAGTTTCACTCTGTCGTCCAGTTTGGAGGGCAGTGGTACAATCTCAGCTTACTGCAACCTCCGCCAATTGGGTTCAAGCGATTCTTCTGCCCTAGTCTCCCGAGTAGCTGGAATCACAAGTGTGTGACACCATGCCCAGCTAATTTTTTGTATTTTAGTAGAGATGGGGTTTCACTATGTTGCCCAGGCTGGTCTCGAACTCCTTATCTCAGGCAATCTACTCACCTTGGCCTTTCAAAGTGCTAGGATTACAAGCGTGAGCCACTGCTCCAGCCCTTTTTTCTTTTTCTTTTTTTTTTTTTTTTTTCAGACAGGGTCTCACTCTGTCACTCAGGCTGGAGTGCAGTGGTGTGATCATGGCTCACTGCAGCCTCAACCTCCCTGGCTCATGAAGCGATCCTCCTGCCTCAGCCTCCCAAGTAGCTAAGACCACAGGTGTACACCACCATGCTTGGCTAATTCTTAATTTGTTTGTAGAGACAGGTTCTCGCTATGTTGCCCAGGCTGGTCTCAAAAAATCCTCTCACCTCGGTCTCCCAAAACACTGGGATTACAGGCATGAGCCACCAAGCCCAGCCTGTGCTTGGAGCTTTTGAGTTCACTTTTAAACTTGGAAAGAAGGCAGCCTAGCCCTCCTGGTGGCCGCTCCCACCCATGAAGCCAGCCAGAGGGACGAAGAGAGCCTGGCCCTGGTGACATCATTTGAAGCCTGGACCCAGCCAGGTCTGCAGCCTGGGGCTGAACTTCAAAAGTAGATATGCTGGCCAGGCACAGTGGCTCACGCCTATAATCCCAGCACTTTGGGAGGCTGAGGTGGGCAGATCACCTGAGCTCAGGAGTTCCAGATCAGCCTGGGCAACATGGTTAAACCCCACCTCTACTAAAAATACAAAAATTAGCTGGCATGCTTGCATGCACCTGCAGTCCCAGCTACTTAGGAGGCTGAGGCAGAAGAATTGTTTGAACCCAGAAGGTAGAGGTTGCAGTGAGCCGAGATTGTGCCACTGCACTCCAGCCTGGGTGACAGAGCAAGACTCTGTCTCAAATAAACAAACAAAAGTACATATTGCTGATTGTCCGTTTGTGATTTCAGTCAGTTGGGGTTGAATATTTTGTCCTTTTTCACCAACAGACCTTCCTGATTAAGCGGATCACCTGAGGTCAGGAGTTCAAAACCAGCCTGGCCAACATGGTAAAACCCTGTCTCTATTAAAAATACAAAAATTACCCGGGTATGGTGGTGGGTGCCTGTCATCCCAGCTGCTTCGGGGGCTGAGGCATGAGAATTGCTTGAACCCAGGAGGTGGAGGTTGCAGTGAGCCAAGATCGCACCACTGCACTCCAGTCTAGGCAACAGAGATCCTGTCTCAAAAAAAAAAAAAAGTATATATGCTGATTGTCCATTTGTGATTTCAGGCAGTTGGGGTTGAATATTTTGTCCTTTGTCACCAAGAGACCTTCCCTGATGGAGACTAGGATGTGCAAGGGTCATGTAGCTTGTTAGAATTATAGACTGGAGGCTGGGCACGGTGGCTCACGCCTGTAATCCCAGCACTTTGGGAGGCCGAGGCAGGTGGATCACTAGGTCAGTAGATCGAGACCATCTGGCTAACACGGTGAAACCTGTCTCTACTAAAAATACAAAAAATTAGTCGGGCGTGGTGGCGGGCGCCTGTAGTCCCAGCTACATAGGAGGCTGAGGCAGGAGAATAGCGTGAACCCGGGAGGTGGAGCTTGCAGTGAACCGAGATCACGCCACTGCACTCCAGCCTGGGCTACAAAGTGAGATTGCGTCTCAAAAAAAAAAAAAAAAAAAGAGTTACAGACTGGATTGGGAGGCCGAGGTGGGCAGATCATGAGGTCAGGAGTTCGAGACCACCCTGGCCAATATGGTGAAACCCCGTCTCTACTGAAAATACAAAAATTAGCCAGGCGTGGTGGCACGTGCCTGTAATCCCAGCTACTCAGGAGGCTGAGGCACAAGACTCGCTTGAACCGGGAGGCAGAGGTTACCCAGGCCTCTTGCTCATCGGCTACGTTCATGCCCCAAGAGGAGGCTGTGAGGAGGGGCCAGCAGGAGCCAGAGGACAGATACTGGGGATAGAGCGGGATTTTTTTTTAAATGATTTTGCACTCGGGCCACATAAGCTGGCAAAGAAGAGGAAGAGCCACGGGGTCAGGGGAGGAGGCAGGCGCTTCTCTATCCTCCTCCCTCAGAAGATTTTGTTTGTTGATTCTTTTTTTTTTTTTTTTTGAGACAGAGTCTTGCTCTGTTGCCCAGGCTGGAGTGCAGTGGCGCAATCTTGGCTCACTGCAACCTCTGTCTCCCGGGTTCAAGCAGTTTTCCTGCCTCAGCCTCCCGAGTAGCTGGGACTACAGGCACGTGCCACCAAGCCTGGCTAATTTTTTTTTTTTTTTGAGACGCAGTCTCGCTGTATCGCCCAGGCTGGAGTGCAGTGGGGTGATCTCGGCTCACTGCAAGCTCTGCCTCCCAGGTTCACGCCATTCCCCTGCCTCAGCCTCCTGAGTAGCTGGAACTACAGGCGCCGGCCACCATGCCTGCCTCATTTTTTATATTTTTAGTAGAGATGGGGTTTCACCACGTTAGCCAGGATGGTCTCCATCTGCTGACCTCGAGATCTGCCCACCTCAGCCTCCCAAGGTGCTGGGATTACAGGCGTGAGCCACTGTGCTCAGCCACCCTCCCCAAGAAGATTTTTAACTGAGGTTCTCAACTCTTTGGGTGGTCAAACACCTCTTCAGGGGCTGTCACGGAATCACAGCTCCTCTCCCCCAAATACACCAAGACACACAACATTTTGCAGATGATTTTACAAGTTTACAGACATCCTCAACCCCACCTCTTCCTACCACCATGATCCATCCTGGAGCCACAAGTGAAAAACCTCTGGCTTCTAGAACAAGAAAGGAAGAAGGACTCGGAAGCAGATGACCAGGAATCCAAGTTCAGTCCCACTACTGTCTCACTGTAGTGCAAAGAGCTTTGGAAAAGGACGGACTGGGTTCAAGTCCACGATGTGTGGCCTTAGGCAAGTCACTTGCCCTCTCTGAGCCACATCTATAAAATGAGAGTATTCTCATTTATCTAAAGTGATGCACTCCAGGCACCTAGATTGTATGCCCAAACACCCATCTTTTGCACACAATGTCAAGTGGTCTGTGGACGCTGAAACCCATCCAGGGACCCCAGATAAGAACCTCTTACTATGTGTCTAGGCTGGAATGCAGTGGCACAACCTCCACTTTCTGGACTCAAGCCATCCTCCACCTCAGCCTCCCAAGTAGCTGGGACTACAGGCTCATGCCACCACACCCAGCTAATTTTTTTTAAATTTTTCATAGAGAGGAGGTTTTGCTGTGTTGCTCATGCTGGTCTTGAACTCCTGGGCTCAAGCAATCCTCCCACCTCAGCCTCCCAAAATGTTGGGATTACAGGCATGAGACACTGAGCCTGGCCAAAAGTCTTTGCTGTTGCTCCAGCTTGAAAGCTCATTCCCATCCCAGGGGTTTCACACAGCCATTCCCTCTGTCCAGAATGGACTTGCCCTGGCTTTTGGTATCGTTGGTTCCCTCTTGTCATTAAGGGCTCAACTGCAAAGTGCACTCCCTGGACCACCCATGTGATAGTGCTGCTCCCAGAACCATCATCTTCCAGAATATTATTGTATTTTATCTTTTTTAGCGCCTATCAATGGCTGGAAGTGCTTTGTGTGTGTGTGTTTTTATTTGTTTAATATCTATATCCTTCATTAGGGCAAGGACGTTGTATGTCTTTGTTGTCTTGGATCCCCAGAGGCTAGCATCTGATATATAGCAGGAGCCCAATATATGTATGTGTGTTGAATGGGTGAATGAATGAGTAGTTGAAAAGTAGATGAATGAAAGGATGGTTGAATGATTTGGATGGATAAATGAATGGACAAACGAATGGCTAAATGTGGGCGAATGGATGGATGGATGGATGGATGTAGGGTAAGGTGATGGATAAATAATTGGGTAAATTAATGGATAAATGGCTTAATAGGTGGATGAATGAAAGGATAATAAATGATGGATGATGATGAATAATTGATAATGGATGGATGGATGAATGGATAGTTTGATGGATGATTCAATGGATGGATAGATACATTAATGAATGAATAGGTGGATTAAAGGATAGATAATAGAAGAAAGGCGGAATCGTTGGATAAATTACTGGATGGGCAAATTAAAGGATGAATAGATGATAGTTCAATGGAGAGTTCAATAGATGAATGGATGGATGGATGGATAAATTAGTGGTGGCTGGATGAATGGATAAAGTATTGGATGGGTGAATTAACGGGTGGATGGAAGGATGGAGAAATTAATGTGTGGATGAATTAAAAGATAGGTAGATGGATAAACTAATGGGTAGATAAATTAAAGGATGGGTAGGTGGATGGTTAGATGGATAAATTAATGGATGGATGAATCAAAGGATGGGTGGATGATGAATGGATAGAGGAATAAATTAATGGGTAGATGAATTAAAGGGTGGGTGGATGAATGAATAAATTAATGGTAGATGAATGAATGAATGGATGAATAAATTATGGGGCAGATGAATTAAAGGATGAGTGGGTGGCTGGATGTTTGTCAAACTCTATGCTAAGGACTTCACACACATTCATTTGTTTTAACCACACAAAAACCCCCACAAGACAAGGAATATTATTTCTGTTTTACAGACAATGTCCTTGAGCTTCTGAGGCAGGAAAAATCACTTCCCCAAGATTGTACAACTAGAAAATGGTGGAGCAGGAATTCTAACTTAGGTCTGCCTGACTCCAGGCCCCGTGCTCTTAACCACCATGAAAACAGACCTTCCCCACCACTCCACCACTGCTTTAGAGACTATCCTGGCTACCCTCGCTCCTCTCTCATGTCCACATGCCCCCAAAGCACCCAGACTGCCCAGTCTGGGACTCTGCTGTTCTCAGCTGTGAACCTGAGGACCTCACAAGTCCGTGGGAGGAGATGAGTGGGTCTGCATGTAACATCTCCACATGCACATGTGGATGTAGAATGAGGTGCCTGGAAGTCATGTTCATTCTCTGGGGTGTCCCCCAAGAGCCAGGGACATTGCCATGGCCAGAGACAGATGAGGGAGTCTGGTAGTGACCACCAATATTTAGAAGCTAATATTTATTTATTTATTTATTATTTTTTGAGATGGAGTCTCTCTCTTGTTGCCCAGGCTGGAGTGCAATGGCATGATCTCAGCTCACTGCAACCTCTGCCTCCTGGGTTCAAGCGATTCTCCTGCCTCAGCCTCCCAAGTAGCTGAGATTACAGGCATGCACCACCACGCCCGGCTAATTTTTGTATTTTTAGTAGAGGCGGGGTTTTGCCATGTTGGCCAGGCTAGTCTTGAACTTCTGACCTCAGGTGATCCACCCACCTCGGCCTCCCAAAGTGCTGGGATTATAGGCGTGAGCCACCGTTCCCAGCCTAGAAGCTAATATTTAGATGCCACATCCTTCAGTCACCCCAGTACCTGGTGACACAGTCCCACCAGCTCATGTGACAATGGTCACTGGGAGGCTGTGGACACAGAGGAGGAAATGAAAGAGGATGGGGGGGGTCATGGAGGGGAGATGCACGAGACAGCCCCCCACAGTCACCAGGCTGCTGCTCAGAGATGTCACAAAGTCCATCATCTGCCTCAAGGCAGGGCAGCGCAGGACAAGGAGGACACGGAAGGGGAAACAGAGGAAGGAACCACGAGTGTCCCGCAGGTGCAAGTCCTGACCGGGGCTATCTTCTCAAGACACAGGCAAGTTGTTGGGTGGTTGGATAGTCAAGAGGCTGGCAGGTCTCAGCAGTCCTTGTCATCACCCCGGATTTCCACGTAGGGCAGCCCCACGGGCCAACTGTCCCGAGGCCAGTAGCGGACTTTGAGGGTTTCACCTGGCATCTCATAGTTGGCATCCACCAAGGCCATGGTGACCATGCCATAAGGGAAGGTGATGCTGATGAGCACATGCCTGTGGAGTGCAGGGCGAAGGTGGCGAGGGCACAAGATACCCACAGCCTCACGCCGGCCCTCTTTTTACTTCTCATGGCTCTTGACCATCCATCCAGGGGAGCCTTCTGGGTCTGGCCCCGTGACTGCAGCCTTCCCCTACCGCCAGGTCCCAGTGTCTGGCTCTCCTCTCTCTGCTTCTCCAACCCCAGCCCCCAGGTGCCTACTCCGAGCTTTGGCATCTAAGATTCTCTGACTCTGGGCCCCCCACAGCCTCAGAGCATGTGCTTACCAGATGCTGTGCAGATAGAAGAAATGAATCCTCTGCCAGAAGCTGCAAAGCAGACGGTCACTGATCCAGCTGGTCAGAGCAACAGCCCATAAAACCACGGAGACCTCAATCAGGTGCCGAAGCTCCTTATTGCTGGTCCTAGAGAGGGGAGAGGGGGACCAGGGGCTGGCTCGGAGAGCAGCACCTGATGGGGCTGATGGGAAATTCCTCCTTCCACAGTGATGAGGCTCAGAGGTTGGGAGAAGGGAAAGAGCAGGAATTGAGGGTGCAAGCAGAGGGGGCCCAATCTCGTGCTTAGAACTAACACAGCATTTCCAGCACAACAGGTGCAGTTCCAAATGTCCTTCAAGCCAGGCATAGTAGCTCATGCCTGTAATCCCAGCACTTTGGGAGGCTGAGGTTGGGAGGATCGCTTGAGCCCTGGAGTTTAAGACCAGCCTGGGCAAAATAGCAAGACCCCATCTCTAAAAAAAAAAAAAAAAGTTAAAATTAGCCAGGCATGATGGTGCATGCCTGCAGTTCCGGTTACTCGGGAGGCTGAGGCAAGAGGATCATTTGAGCCCAGGAGTGCAAGGCTGCAGTGAGCCGTGATTGCGCCGCTGCACTCCGGCCTGGGTGACAGAGTAAGACCCTGTCTTAAAAAACAATAATAGGCCGGGCGTGATGGCTCACACCTGTAATCCCAGAAGTCTGGGAGGCTGAGGCAGGTGAATCACTTCAGGCCAGAAGTTTGAGACCAGCTTGGCCAACATGGTGAAACTCTGACTCTACTAAAAATACAAAAAAAAAATTAGCCGGCCATGGTGGTGGCCGCCTGTAATCCCAGCTACTTGGGAGGCTGAGCCACTTGAACCCAAGAGGCGGAGGTTGCAATGAGCCGGGATTGCGCCACTGCACGCCAGCCTGGGTGACAGAGTGAGACTCCATCTTAAATAAATAAATAAATAAATAAAAACAAGTAACAATAATAAATTAAACACCTTCGAATATTAACTCAGTCAGCTGGGCGCGGCGGCTCAAGCCTGTAATCCCAGCACTTTGGGAGGCCGAGGCGGGCAGATCATCTGAGGTTAGGAGTTCGAGACCAGCCTGGCCAACATGGCGAAACTCTGTCTCTACTAAAAATACAAAAATTAGCCGGGCGTGGTGGCGTGTGTCTGTAATTTCAGCTACTCAGGAGGCTAAGGCACAAGAGTCGCTTGAACCCAGGAGGTGGAGATTGCAGTGAGCCGGGATCGCACCATTGCACTCCAGCCTGGGCGACAAGAGTGAGACTCCGTCTCAAAAAAAAAAAAAAAAAAAAGATATTAACTCAGTCCTCACAAGGACTTTGTAGAGGAGTAAATTGAGGCACAGGGATTGCACTATGCCCCACCCCACCCCATGGTTACACAGCTGGTAAGTGGCAGAGCTGGGATCTAAACCAAGTTTTTCTGACTGCATAGTATTTATTCTTAACCAACAAGCCCTTTGGTGCTTGTATGTTTTGGGGTAGAGGTATGTGTGCCTCAAGCTCTCAAAGTGCTGGGATTACAGGCATGAGCCATCATGCCCAGCAAGAATAATATATTTTTTGTAATCAGGGGAGTTAAATTATAAAAAAAAATTAGGGGTGAAATTGTATGAAATCTGGGAGAAATATGTAACAGATTGACAAAATGTGGGTGGTTGTTGTGGCTGGTTAGTGGGCGTGGGGAGGTTTGTGGGGCTATTTTCTCTGCTTGCATGTCTGTTTCTGGGTTTCATCATAAAAAGGACAAACTCTGCTGGGCACAGTGGCTCACGCCTGTAATCTCAACACTTTGGGAGGCCGAGGTGGGCAGATCACCTGAGGTCAGGAGTTTGAGACCAGCCTGGCCAACATGACGAAACTCCGTCTCTACTAAAAATACAAAAATTAGCCGAGCATGGTGGCATACACCTGTACTCCCAGCTGCTCGGGAGGCTGAGGCAGGAGAATCCTTGAACCCGGGAGGCAGAGTTTGCAGTGAGCTGAGATTACACCACTGCACTCCAGCCTGGAAGACAGAGAGAGACTCTGTCTCAAAAATAAATAAATAAATAAATAAAATAAAGATAATGTAGGGTGGATGCAGTGGCTCACACCTGTAATCCCAGCACTTTGGGAGGCTGAGGTGGGTGGATCGCTTGAGCCCAGGAGTTCAAGACCAGATTGGGCAACATGACGAAACCCTGTTTCTACAAAGAAAAATACAAAAATTATCCTGGCATGATGGCATACGCCTCTAGTCCCAGCTACTTGGGAGGCTGGAGTGGGAGGATTGCTTGAGCCTGGGAGGTGGAGGTTGCAGTGAGCCAAGATCACGCCCCTGCACTCCAGCCTGGGCAACAGAGCGAGGATCCGTCTCAAGAAAAAAAATAATAATAAGGACAAACTCTGCAGTCAGTCAGGTTCAAATCCTGGCCCTGCTACTTGTTAGTGGGTGATCTTGGAGAAGGGACGTCCCCTCCGCGAGCCTGGAGTCAGGGGTGCTAGGAGGGGGATGGGAGCCTCCTGCCCAGGCACCTGCAGCCTTCACTCACTTCCTGTACTCCTGGCACACGATGTAGAGAATGTGCAGGGCAATGCTGTTGAGGGCGTAGGCGTTGACCGTGGGCCGCAGGAAGGACAGAAGGGTGCTGACCACAGTGGTGATGAAGACCAGGCGGATGAACTGGGACCTGGGGAGGAAGGGGCTCAGCTGTAGGCGGGAAGGGAGGTCCTGGGATTGTAGGCATGGTCACTTGGAGATCCCGTGGCCCAGGTGGGTGAGAAAAGGACAGGATTCTGGGGAGCCCAGATAGGCTCAGAAAAGGGTCCTAGCCAGGCAGGGCACGGTGGCTCATGTCTGTAATCCCAGCACCTTGGGAGGCTGAGGTGGGCGGATCACCTGAGGTCAGGAGTTTGAGACCAGCCTGGTCAACATGGTGAAACCCCATTTCTTTTTTTTTTGAGACGGAGTCTCGCTCTGTCGCCCAGGCTGGAGTGCAGCAGTGCGATCTGGGCTCGCTGCAAGCTCCACCTCCCAGGTTCACGCCATTCTCCTGCCTCAGCCTCCCAAGTAGCTGGGACTACAGGCGCCCGCCACCACGCCCGGCTCATTTTTTATATTTTTACTAGAGACGGGGTTTCACCATGTTAGCCAGGATGGTCTCAATCTCCTGACCTCGTGATCCGCCCGCCTCGGCCTCCCAAAGTGCTAGGATTACCGGCATGAGTCACTGCGCCTGGCCCTGGTGAAATCCCATTTCTGCTAAAAATACAAAATTTAGCCAGGTGTGGTAGCAGATGCCTGTAATCCCAGCTACTCAGGAGGCTGAGGCACGAGAATTGCTTGAACCAGGAGGCAGAGGTTTCAGTGGGCCAAGATCACGCCACGGCACTCCAGCCTGGGTGACAGAGGGAGATTCTGTCTCAAAAACGACAACAAGAAAAAGGGTCCTAGCCCGGCACGGTGGCTCGTGACTGTAATCCCAGCAATTTGGGAGGCTGAGGTGGGAGGATTGCTTGAGCTCAGGAGTTCGAGACCAGCCTGGGCAACATGGCAAAACCCTGTCTCTACCAAAAATACAAAAAACTAGCTGGATGTGGTGGCATGTGCCTGTAATCTCAGCTACTAAAGAGGCTGAGGCAGGGATCGCTTGAGCCTGGGAATTGGAGGTTGCAGCAAGCTAAGATTGCGCCACTGCACTCCAGCCTGGGGGACACAGCGAGACTTCATCTAAAAAAAAAAAAAAAAAGAAGAAGGAGAAGGAGAAGAAGAAGGTCCTGAGGCTCCCAAGTGGACTCAGCAGAAAGTCTCAGGGAGCCCAGGTGAGCCCAGGCAGCGTCTAAAGGGGGATCCCAGGGAGGACTCAGTAGGATGAGAAGAGGGTCCCAGGGAGCCTGGGAGAGCGTGATGGTTTCCAGGGCCCAGGTGAGGTCAGGCAAGGAGTTCAGGGGATCCCAGCTGGGCTGAGAAGAGGGATCCCTGGGTCCGGGTGAATTTAAGAGATGTCAGACAGTGGCTCTCCAGGACCCAGTAGGGATAAAGGAAAGATGACAGGGGTCCCAGAGGTCAATAGGGTGGGCTGGGGGGGTCCTGGAGGGCTCAGGTGGGTTAAGCCGGGTTAGAAGAGAATTTCACTTGCCTGTAATCCCAGCACTTTGGGAGGCCAAGGCAGGTGGATCACTTGAGATCAGGAGATCGAGACCAGCCTGGCCAACATGGTGAAACCGTCTCTACTAAAAATACAAAAATTAGCCGGGTGTGGTGGCAGGTGCCTGTAATCCCAGCTACTCGGGAGGCTGAGGCAGGAGGATCACTTGAACCCTGAAGGCAGAGGCTGCAGTGAGCCGAGATCGCACCACTGCACTCCAGTGTGGGTGACAGAGCGAGACTCTGTCTCAAAAAGGAAGAAGAAGGAGGAGGAGGAGGAGGAAGAAAAAGAAGAAGGAGGAGGCGGAGAAGAAGAAGGAGAAGGAGAAGGAGGAGGAGGAGAAGAAGAAGAAGAAGGAGAAGGAGGAGGAGAAGGAGGAGGAGAAGGAGGAGGAGGTGGAAAAGTAGAAGGAGAAGGAGATTATTTCACAGGGGTCAAGGGTGGGAGTGGGGATCAATTAGATCAAGAGAGGGACCCAGGGGGTCTAAGCAGATCAGATGAAAGATGCCAGGAACGCCAGGTGAGAGGCTCGGGGAGGAGTCCCTCAGGCCCAGGTAAGTGTAGACATGAGGTCCTGGAACTCCTGTTGGCTGCAACAGATTCTGGAGGAAGTCCCAGGTTATCAAAGTAGGATCAAGGGAGGGATTCCAAGAAACCAGGTAAGCTCAGGGGAGGGGTCTCCAGAAGCCCAAGTGAGTCAGGCAGGGTCAGGAGAAAACCCGAAGTGGTCAGGGGAGGAATTCCAAGGGCCCCAAAGAGGGTCAAGGGTGGGGACCCAGGGGACTCAGGTGAGCTCATGTAGAGTCAACTGAAGACTCAGACCCCACCCTGTCCAGATGGCCAGCCCCTGACCCACCTGTTCCCCCCAAGGAAGGAGGGGAAATAGCAGCGGGGCATCCATATGCTATAGCCACTGCCCAGGAGCCACAGGATGGCGATCTCGTCCAGCAGCTGGCCCAGGAAGCTGAGCGTCATGTGGAAATACATGGAGAACAGGCCTGCAGCGGCAAGGGCAGGCGGTCAGTGGGGTCCGCCACCTCCTAAACCCCCACTGCCTCCCGACTGTCACAGACCTGAACCACACCTCCCTACCTATGATCATGAAGAGGACCCAGACAACGTAAATGTAGCGGGAGCGCTTCTGGGCATACGGGTGCATCAGGAGCATCATCAGTGGCCCGAAGATGAAGAAGGGGATATTGGAGAACTGGAGCAGAGAGAGCCATAGGGAGGAGCTCGTCAGATAGGGGAGACGGAGGAGGCTGCCCTCTGTCCAGACACTCAGTCACCAGCCAGTCGGTTACCTGCTGCATTTCAGGCAATGCATCAACCCAGGATTTGTCAATCACTCACCTGTCAACCTTTCAGCCGACCCTTTTTTTTTTTTTTTTTTTAGATGGAGTCTTGGAGTCTTGCTCTGTCACTCAGGCTGGAGCGCAGTGGTGCCATCTCAGCTCACTGCAACCTCCACCTCCCAGGTTCGAGCGATTCTCCTGTCTCAGACTCCCGAGTAGCTGGGATTAAAGGCACGTGCCACCACGCCCAGCTAATTTTTTATATTTTTGGTAGAGACAGGGTTTCACCATGTTGGCCAGGCTGCTCTTGAACTCCTGACCTCAGGTGATCCGCCCATCTTGGCCTCCCCAAAGTGGTGGGATTACAGGTGTGAGCCACCGCACCTAGCCACTTTTCAGCTGATCTTGACCATCAGCTGGTCATCCATAGATCAATTTCTCGATCCGTTATTGGTTCATTCATTCATTCAGTGAGTGTGGCAAAGACTATCCACTAAACTTCCATATATATTCTCCTTCTCTTTTACTTTTTCTATTTATTTATTTTACAGTCAGGATCTTGCTGTCTGCTGCCAGGCTGGAGTGCAGTGGTGGGATCATGGCTCATTGCAGCCTCAATCAGCTGAGCTCAGAGGATCCTCCTGCCTCAGCCTCCCGAGTAGCTGGGACTACAGGTGCCCGCCACCCCACCTGGCTAATTTTCTTTTATTTTTTGTAGAGAAGGGGTCTCACTATGTCACCCAGGCTGGTTGCAAGCTCCCAGCCTCAAGTGATCCTCCCACCATAGCCTAAAGTGTTGAAATTACAGGTATGAACCACTGCACCCAGCCCCTTTTCCTGTAAAAATAGTATCTCCCAAGTTTGAACTGGGCACACAGCTTACCCAGTGAAAGACTACATTTCCCAGCCTTCGCTGCAGTTCACTGTGGCCTTGTGGCCTTTTGACCTGCTCTGGCCAATGAGATAAGAATGTAAATGACATCTACTACTTCCAGGTCAGTCCTTTCAAAAACCACGTAAGGAAAGCTTGCCCCCTTTCCTCTTCCTGTGGGCTGAAATGTGGCCATGGATGTCATGAGTTGACCTTGCCCTTGCAGACAAGGAAAGACGATGCAGTACCTTTTTGACAAACAGCATGAAGCAGAAATGATACTGTGTGACTTCTGAGGTTAGGTCATAAAAGGAACTGTGGCTTCCACCTTTCTCTATCTCATAGGACAAGACGTCCAGATCCTAGGCCACCACACAAGAAGACTGGCTACCCTTGAAGCCACCACGCTGGAGAAACCATGTGTAGAGACCACACTGAGATGGAGAGAGATGCCAGAGGAGGGCCAGTGGTTCAATTCTTCCCTATACAGTCATCAGACACATGAGTGAATGAAACTTCAGGTGATGGCCGGGCATGGTGGCTCACGCCTGTAATCCCAGCACTTTGGGAGGCTGAGGCAGGTAGATCACCTGAGGTCAGGCGTTCAAGGCCAGCCCAAAAAACATAGTGAAACTCTACAAAACAGTATGTAAATATATATTGTGAATATATATATATATATAATATGTGAATATATATTTCACAATAATGTAAAACAATACAAAAATTGGCCAGGTGCAGTGGATCACACCTGTAATCCTAGCACTTTGGGAGGCTGAGGCAGGCAGATCACTTGAGGTCAGGAGTTTGAAACCAGCCAGGGCAACATGGTGAAATCCCATCTCTACTAAAATACAAAAAAATAGCTGGGTGTAGTGGTGGGTGCCTGTAATCCCAGCTACTTGGGAGGCTGAGGTGGGAGAATTGCTTAAACTCAGGAGGCAGAGGTGGTAGTGAGCCGAGATCACGCCATCGCACTCCAGCCTGGGCAACAGACTAAGACTTCACCTCAAAAAAAAAAAAAAAAGGTCACAAGAACATTTGCACCCAAAATTAAATGACTCAAGACCCCGACGTGCTGACATCAGACTTTGACTCCCCACAAAGTGTCTCCCTGATATGTCTGAGCCGCGACAAGTCTCTCATATGACAAATACTTATATAATATGGGTGGAAATGTAAATGGGTACAACCTCTACGGAAAACAGTATGCAGAATTTTCAAAGAACTAAAATTAGGACTACCATTTGATCCAGCAATCCCGCTACTGAGTATCTACCCAAAGGAAACGAAATCATTATACTAAAATATACCTGCGTTCATATGTTTATTGCAGCACTGTTCACACAGGTGAAGATATGAAATCAACCCAATGATTGGATAAAGAAGATGTGGTATATATACACAATGGAATTTTATTTATTTATTTATTTATTTATTTATTTATTTTTGAGATGGAGTATTGCTCTGTCGCCCAGGCTGGAGTGCAGTGGCGCGATCTCAGCTCACTGCAAGCTCCGCCTCCTGGGTTCACACCATTCTCCTGCCTCAGCCTCCTGAGTAGCTGGGACTGCAGGTGCCTGCCACCACGCCCAGCTAATTATTTTTTTGTAGTTTTAGTAGAGACGGGGTTTCACCGTGGTCTCAATCTCCTGACCCCATGATCCGCCCGCCTCGGCCTCCCAAAGTGCTGGGATTACAGGTGTGAGCCACTGCACCCGGCCTTATTTATTTATATTTATTTATTTATTTATTTATTTATTGAGACAGGGTCTCTCTCTGTTGCCGAGGCTGGAATGCAGTGACACGATCATGGGTCACTGCAGCTTCGACATCCCAGGTTCAAGTAATCCTCCCACCTCAGCCCTCCAAGTAGCTGGGACTACAAGCATGCACCACCATGTCCAGCTAATTTTTGTTTTGTTTTGTTTTGTTTTTTGAGACAGAGTCTCACTCCGTCGCCCAGGCTGGAGTACAGTGGCGCGATCTCGGCTCACTGCAAGCTCCGCCTCCCGGGTTCATGCCATTCTCCTGACTCAGCCTCCCCAGCAGCTGGGACTACAGGTGCACGCCGCCACACCTGGCTAATTTTTTGTATTTTTAGTAGAGGCGGAGTTTCACCGTGTTAGTCAGGATGGTCTCGATCTCCTGATCCTGTGATCCACCCTCCTCGGCTTCCCAAAGTGCTGGGATTACAGGCTTGAGCCACCACGGCCAGCCTAATTTTTGTATTTTTTGTACAGATGGGATTTGGCCATGTGGCCCAGGCTGGTCTCTAACTCCAGGACTCAAGCAATCCACCCGCCTTGGCCTCCCAAACTGCTGGGATTACAGGCATGAGCCACCACACCTGGCCTGGAATACTATTTAGCCATTAAAAAAAGAATGAGCCCAGGTGTGGTGACTCACACCTGTAATCTCAGCACTTGGGGAGGTTGAGACAGGCAAATCACGAAGTCAGGAATTCGAGACCAGCCTGGCCAACATGGTGAAACCCCATCTCTACAAAAAATACAAGAATTAGCCAGGCATGGTGGTGTGTGCCTGTGAGTCCAGCTACTCGGGAGGCTGAGGCAGGAGAATCACTTGAATCTGGGAGACAGAGGTTGCAGTGAGCTGAGATTGTTGCACTGCACTCCAGCCTGGGTGAGAGAACGAGACTCCGTCTCAAAAAAAGAAAAAAGAATGAAATAGGCCAGGTGTGATGGTTCATGCCTGTGATTCCAGCAATTTGGGAGGCTGAGGCAGGAGAATTGCCTGAGGACAAGAGTTCGCAACCAGCCTGGGCAACATAGTGAGACCCCACCTCCATAAAAAATAAATTTAGAAAATTAGCCAAACATACTGGCATGTGCCTGTAGTCTTAACTACTTGAGAGGCTGAGGAGGAAAGATTGCTTGAGCACAGGAGTTGGAGGCTGCAGGAGCTGTGATTGTGCCACTTCACTCCAACCTGGGTGACAGAGTGAAACCCTGTCTCACACACACACACAAAGAATGAAATGCCTTTGCGGCAACATGGATGGAACCGGAGGACATGATCTTAAGTGAAACAACTCAGAAACAGAAAATCAAATATCGGGCCGGGCGCGGTGGCTTGCACCTGTAATCCCAGCACTTTGGGAGGTGGAGGTGAGTGGATCATGAGACCAAGAGTTCGAGACCAGCCTGGCCAACATGGTGAAACCTTGCCTCTACTAAAGATACAAAAAATTAGCCGAGCATGGTGGTGCATGCCTATAATCCCAGCTACTCCAGAGGCTGAGACAGGACAATCGCTTGAATCCAGGAGGCAGAGGTTGCAATGAGCCGAGATCGCACCACTGCACACCAGTCTGGGCGACAGAGCGAGACTCCCTCTCAAAAAAAAAAAAAAAAGAGGTCAGACTTCACCACCACACAATACATACATGTAACAAAACTGCACTTGTACTTCTTCAATTTATACAAACAAAAGAAAAACATGAAACTGTCACATGAGCTCAGAAACAAGTCTCTTTCCCTCCCCATCTTTTTTTTTTTTTTTTTTTTTCTGAGATGGAGTCTCACTCTGTCACCCAGGCTGGAGTGCAGTGGTGCAATCTCGGTTCACTGCAACCTCCGCATCCTGGGTTCAAGCGATTCTCCTGCCTCAGCCTCCCAAGTAGCTGGGACTACAGGCGCGTGCCACCATACCCGGCTAACTTTTGTATTTTTAGTAGAGACGGGGTTTCACCATGTTGGCCAGGCTGTTTTCAAACTCCTGACCTCAAGTGATCTACCCACCTTGGCCTCCCAAAGTGCTGGGATTACAGGCGTGAGCCACTGCACCCAGCCCCAGTTATTCCTTTATAGCAACACAAACTGAACTAAGACAGGTGTGGAAAGAAAAACAAGTGATTGATATGAAATGGACAATGTCAGTAAACAGATTACGACTACAGTTCTGGACTGCAAGCGCTTCTCTTCAGTGGTCCAAGGACAGATGGGACAGGGGCCATGCCAACGCCTCCATGCGCCTCTTCTCAGCCCGTGGCCCTAGTTCAGTTGCCTCCATTTGTGCTGATGCACACATACTCCCAAACAAACACAATGTTCCCTCTGCCTCCAACCAAACACCAGCCCTTGAATATCAACGCGTGCCTGAAGATACTGACCCAACCAGTCTCCCAGATTCAAAAGCATCCATTAAAACGTGTCTGGGCCTTCAATAAATAAAGTCTAAACTCTTAAACTTGGCGTATAAATTCCTTCCATAACTCATCTCTCTCCAACTTTTTTTGTTGTTGTTTTGTTTTTTGTTTGTTAGTTTTGTTTTTGTGTTTTTTTTCTTTTTGAGACAGAGTCTTGCTCTATCACCCAGGCTGGAATCCAGTGGGGCAATCTTGGCTCACTGCAACCTCCACCGCCCGGGTTCAAGCAATTCTCCTGCCTCAGCCTCCCGAGTAGCAGGGATTACAGGCACTCACCACCATGTATGTCTAATTTTTGTATTTTTAGTAGAGGCAGGGTTTCATCATATTGCCCAGGCTGGTCTCGAACTCCTGAACAAAGCAGATCCACTCACCTCAGCCTCTAAAAATCTCCATTTAAAACATGTTCAGGCTGGGCGCGGTGGCTCACACCTGTAATCCCAGCACTTTGTGAGGGTGAGGCGGGCAGATCATGAGGTCAGGAGATCGAGACCATCCTGGCTAACACGGTGAAACCCCGTCCTAAAAAAAACAAAAAAAAAGTACAAAAAATTAGCCGGGCATGGATTACAGCTCACGCCTGTAATCCCAGCACTTTGGGAGGCCGAGGTGGGCCGATCACCTGAAGTCGGGAGTTCGAGACCAGCCTGGCCAACATGGAGAAACCCCATCTCTACTAAAAATACAAAATTAGCCAGGTGCGGTGGCGCATGCCTGTAATCCCAGCTACTCAGGAGGCTGAGGTAGGAGAATCGCTTGAACCTGGGAGGCAGAGGTTGCAGTGAGCTGAGATCACACGATTGCATTCCAGCCTGGGTGACATAGTGAGACTCTGTCCCCCCAAAATAAATAAAAAATAAAAAATAGGCCAGGCACAGTGGCTCATGCCTGTAATTCCAGCACTTTGGAAAGCTCAGGCAGGCGGATCATGAGGTCACGAGATCGAGACCATCCTGGCTAACACAGTGAAACACCGTCTCTACTAAAAATACAAAAAAAAAAAAAAAATAGCTGGGTGTGGTGGCAGGCGCCTGTAGTCCCAGCTACTTGGGAGGCTGAGGCAGAAGAATGGCGTGAACCCGGGAGGCGGAGGTTGCAGTGAGCTGAGATCGTGCCACTGCACTCCAGCCTGCGCAACAGAGCAAGACTCCGTTTCAAAAAAAATAAATAAATAAATAAAAATAAAATTATTCCTAACTCATCTCTCTCCAACTCAAAAAGAAAAAGAAAAAAAAAAGAAAACAAAGATGGAAAGACTAGACGGGTGGTGGTGATTAAGAGGGTGCTCCCCTGCTGCCTGGCCCTGTGACTAATGCCTCTTGGTTTCTCTTCGCTTGTATCAGTAAAAGCAGGACACATCATCAATGGTACCTTGCAGGCTGATGCGGGCCATGCACAAGATGAGGCATTGCAGAAGTGCATTGCCCAGGATGTGGTATGAGCTCAAAAAATAGCTGGGGCTGCTGCTGTTGTTATTGTTGAAGGAGATAATAATAATAACAGGCCTGTTATGGGTATCGTTATTCCAAGCTTAGGGGCCAGCAGAGTCCAGCCAGGAGTTATCAACAGTGTCCCTAAGCGCTCAGAAGGAGGACAGAGACTGTGGGTGGAGATACTGACTAATGGGGGACCCCGACTAATGGAGTTTCCGATAACATCGGAAACTGCCTGGATGCCAGGGTCTCCCTCCCTGCCTTCCGGGGCTCAGCCCCCACGTTCCCTGCTTCTCATCCCACCCAGGCTCTGCCAGGCGGGGGAGACACCTGTCTGGGATCCCATCCAAAGCCAGCCCAGTCCTGAACTCTGGACACAAGTGAGCTGGACCTTCTTGGTCCCAGCTCCAGCAGGTGACATCACCTCCCTCCCTTCCTTCATTCATTCGTTCATTCATTCATTCATTCATTTGTCCAAGCATCCCTTGAGTACCTACTATGTGCTCAAGGACCATACCAGTGTCTGAAAACAAAGTCCCTGCCTTCTCGGGGTGTATACAGTCAGGACAGCAGGGGACCTCCTGTGCCTGGTTTTCCTGCTCCTACTTCCAGAGGCTGCTGTGAGGATTACAGAGTTAAGTGCCACGGGACCAGGGAGCTCTGTGTGTTTTGCCCCCTCCCCACCCTGTATCTAGAACACTCTCTGGCACACAGTAGGCGCCTAATACATTTTAGTAGAAAAGAATACACATAAATAATACAGAAGGGGCCAGGCGCAGTGGCTCATGTCTGTAATCCCAGCACTTTGGAAGGCTGAGGTGGGCAGATCACTTGAGGTCAGGAGTTCAAGACCAGCCTGGCCGACATGGAGAAACCCTGTCTTTACTAAAAATACAAAATTAGCCGGTGTGGTGGTGGATGCCTGTAGTGCCAGCTACTCAGGAGGCTGAAACAGGAGAATCGCTTGAACGTGGAGGCTGCAGTGAGCTGAGATCGCACCATTGCACTCCAACCCCTGTGACAGAGAGAGATTCTGTCTCAAAAAAAAAAAAAAAAAAGGAAAGAAAGAAAAGTTTGTTGAATACATCTCCAACATCTCCTCATTCTTCGTCCTCATTGCCAAAGCTCAAACTCCCTCCCACCAGCAACACCTGGCCTCTGTCTCCAGTTGAGGACAGCCACCTGCATTCATTCCAAGTGTGCCTGCTAATGTTGGAGGGACGAAGTGTGCACCGGCCACAGCACAAGACTTAATTGCATGAATTAAAATGCGTATATCTCACTCTGTCACCCAGGCTGGAGTGTAGCGGCGCGATCTCGGCTCACTGCAACCTCTGCCTCCCAGGTTCAAGCAATTCTCCTGCCTCAGCCTCCTGAGTAGCTGGGACTACAGGTGTGTGCCACCACACCTGGCTAATTTTTGTATTTTTAGTAGAGACGGGGTTTCGCTATATTGGCCATGCTGGTCTGAAACTCCTGACCTCAGGTTATCCGCCTGCCTCAGCCTCCCAAAGTGCTGGGATTACAGGTGTGAGCCGCTGTGCCATCCAAAATGCACACAATTAATTCCTAATCACCAGTAATTAAGTGGTCTCACAGCACCATGGTTAAGGGAGAGATTCTAGGACCAGGCTCTTTAAGAAGCTGCAACTTTTGTGCAATTGTAATTTGCATACTGTGTGGCCCTAGGAAAGAAATATACCCTCTCTGAGCCTTGATTTCCCCATCTGTAAAATGGGGAGCATAATTGTACCTACTTCATAGGATTTTATGAGGATTACAGTTGGTGCTAATTATTCAATGAAATGAATAAATACCTAATAAAATTAATGAATGTCACTTTGACATCTCTGGGTGCTGTATTCACTCGTAATAAGAATAGCTACAATGTATTCAGTGCTTAGGATGTGCCAAGAGCTGTGGGTTGTTTTTTTTTTTTTAACATCCCTATTTTTAAAATCAAGACATAAATCACATACTATAAAATTCACTCTTTTAAACTATGCAATTCAGTGGGTTTCAGTATATTCATAAGGCATGCAACCATCACACTAGCTAATTCCAGAAAATTTTCTTTCTTTTTTTTTTTTTGAGACCAAGTCTCACTCTGTCGCCCAGGCTGGAGTGCAGTGGCATGATCTTGGCTCACTGCAACCTCCGCCTCTTGGGTTCAAGCGATTCTCCTGCCTCAGCCACCTGAGTAGCTGGGATTACAGGAGCCCATCACCATGCTTGTCTATTTATTTATTTGTATTTTTAGTAGAGATGGGGCTTTGCCATCTTGGCAAGACTAGTCTTGAACTCCTGGCCTCAACTGATCCACCTGTCTCAGCCTCCCAAAGTGCTGGGATTACAGGTGTGAGCCACCCCATCTGGCCGAAATACATTCTTTAAAAAAAGAGAGTGAATGCATGAGTTTTTCTTCCTTGGCACATCCCACCGCCTGGCATCTTGTAGCCTTGACTTTGGCTTATTTTCTTCTTCTCCATCCCCAGAACATCAGCCCCACCAGGGCAAGGAGTTTCTTGTATTTTTTTCTTTGTTTGTTTTGTTTTGTTTTGTTTGAGACAGAGTCTCACTCTGTTGCCCAGGCTGGGGTTCAGTGCGCAATCTCAGCTCACTGCAACCTCCGCCTTCTGGGTTCAAGCGATTCTTCTGCCTCAGCCTCCCAAGTAGCTGGGACTACAGACACGTGCCACCACATCTGGTTAATTTTTAAAATTATTTTTAGTAGAGACGGGGTTTCACCATGTTGGCCAGGCTGGTCTCGAACTCCTGACCTCAGGTCATCTGCCCACCACGGCCTCCCAAAGTACTGGGATGACAGGTATGAGCCACTGCACCCGGCCGGCAGGGAGTTTTGGTGCTTGGATCACTGCTGTGTCCTCAGAGCCTGGAGCAGAGCCTGGTGCTCCTGCAATTCTTGTTGAATAAAGAAGAAATTGTTGTCCCAACAACTCAAACCCCTCCATCAGCCCCAGGATGCTTGCAGGGAAGGGTCACCAACACCTGTTTTCTTCAAAGGAGAAAGGAGGTCCAGAGGAACCTATCTTGCCTGGGAGTATCATGGGCTAGATCACTGGTTTCATGCATGTAATTATCCAACTTACGGCATCTGCCTTCCCTGGGTCAACAAGATTTATATACAAATTCATCCCTAAGTCATTTGTAATTGCAATAAAAAATGAATAAATAAAATAGAAACTGTAACACTGTCACCCAGGTGCGTGGGGCTGAATACATTCTAGTGAAATATTATGCAGCTATTTAAAAGGATGCTTTTGATCTAAAGATGTAAATGAAAGACAAAATATGTAGCAGAAATATGTAGCAGCTCCTATTTGACTTCCAGGACTCGAGCACATCTTCTTCTTCTCTTCTGCTGTCTTTCCCCAAACTCCTACCCCACTTGGCAAACTCCTATTCATCTTTCAAAACCCAACCCTGGGTGCCCTTTTCCATGAAGCCTCCCAACACCTGGGCTGACTCCTCGGGTGTTTTCTTCTCCTGTAGCCACAACCATGAGTGTCTGGGCTCTGCAACCTCAACCCCAGACTCAGCTCCTTGCAAACAGAGCAACAAGAAAGCAAAAGATTCTTCTTTGGAGAATGATATGATTTGGCTGTGTCCCCACCCAAATGTCATCTTAAATTGTAACTCCCACAATTCCCGTGTGATTGAATTATCGGGGTGGGTCTGTCCTGCTCTGTTCTCCTAATAGCGAATGAGTCTCATGAGATCTCATGGTTTTAAAAACAGGAGTTTCAGCCGGGCGTGGTGGCTAATGCCTGTAATCCCAGCACTTTGGGAGAACAAGGTGGGTGGATCACCTGAGGTCGGGAGTTCAAGAACAGCCTGACCAACATGGAGAAACCCCATCTCTACTGAAAATACAAAAAATTAGCCAGGTGTGGTGGTGCACACCTGTAAGCCCAGCTACTCAGGAGGCTGAGGGAGGAGAATAGCTTGAACCAGGGAGGCAGAGGTTTCGGTGAACGGAGATCACGCCATTGCACTCCAGCCTGGGCAACAAGAGTGAAACTCTGTCTCAAAACAAACAAACAAAAAACAAAACAGGCAGGGCGCAGTGGTTCACACCTGTAATCCCAGCACTTTGGGAGGCCAAGGCAGGCAGATCACGAAGTCAGGAGATAGAGACCATCATGGCTAACACAGTGAAACCCCATCTCTACTAAAAATACAAAAAATTAGCTGGGCGAGGTGGCGGGTGCCTGTAGTCCCAGCTACTTGGGAGGCTGAGGCAGGAGAATGGTGTGAACCCTAGGGGGCAGAGCCTGCAGTGAGCAGAGATCACGCCACTGCACTCCAGCCTGGGTGACAGCGAGACTCCGTCTCAAAAAAAAAAAAGAAAAAAAGAAAAAAAAATGGGAGTTTCCCTGCACAAGCTCTTTCTCTTTGCCTGCTGCCATCCACGTAAGATGTGACTTGCTCCTCCTTGCCTTCCACCATGATTGTGAGGCCTCCCCAGCCACGTGGAACTGTAAGTCCATTAAACTTCTTTCTTTTGTAAATTGCCTAGTCTCTTTTTCTTCTTTTGCAAACTGCCCAGACATAAAGGTAAGTCTTTATTAGCAGAGTGAAAATGAACTAATACAGAGAAGTATTTTCCTGCCCTCCCATCTTGCTTTTGGTAGGGCCTGGCACACCAGAGGCGTCCAGTAATTAATTGTTTTTGCTGTGGATATTGATAAGAAGGACAGCAGAAGAGGGAGGCATGAGTGGATCTCACATCCATACTTGTAATTTAGAGCTTATGAGACCTGCCATTGTGTGTAGCTCAGAGAGGGGCAGGTCTCCTCCTGGGTCACACAGCATTCAGGGGAGAGCTGGGACTGGAATCCCACTGCAGAAGCCAGCCTCAAGGAGACTCAGGAGAGGAGGTGAGGAGAGTGTTGGAGATGGCAGCACTGCAGACTATCTCCCCTCCACCCCCTTCCGACTCTGATCTCCTCATTTCTCTCTTTTTATTTTTATTTTTTGAGACCAAGTCTCGCTGTGTCACCCAGGCTGGAGTGCAGTGGTGTGATCTCAGCTCACTGCAATCTCCACCTCCCAGCTTCAAGCGATTCTCCTGCCTCACCCTCCTAAGTAGCTGGGATTATAGGTGTGAGCCACCACGCCTGGCTATTTTTGTATTTTTTGTAGAGATGGGGTTTCACCATGTTGGCCAGGCTGGTCTGGAACTGCTGACCTCAAGTGATCTCCCTGCCTTGGCCTCCCACAGTGCTGGGATTACAGGCATGAGCCACCGCACTTGGCCTCTTTTTAATTTTTTTTTAGACACAGGGTCTCACTCTGTTGCCCAGGCTGGAGTGCAGTGAAGTGATCATAACTCACTGCCTCCAGGACCTGGGGGACCTTGAAACTTCCACCTGCACCATTTGAAACTCTCTGCCAGGCGAGGTGGCTCATGCCTGTAATCCCAGCACTTTGGGAGGCCGAGGCGGGCAGATCACCTGAGGTCGGGAGTTCAAGACCAACCTGACCAACATGGAGAAACCCCATCTCTACTAAAAAAAAAAAAATACAAAATTAACCGGGCGTGGTGGCACGTGCCTGTAATTCCAGCTACTTGGGAGGCTGAGGCAGGAGAATTTCTTGAACCCGGGAGGCAGAGATTGCACTGTTGCACTTTAGTCTGGGCAACAAGAGCGAAACTCCATCTCAAAACAAAATAAAATAAAGAAAGAAAGAGAAAGAGAGAGAAGAGAGAAGAAAGAAAGAGAAAGAAGGAGAGAAGGAAAGGAAGGAAGGAAGGAAGGAAAGAGAGAGAGAGAAAGGAAGGAAGGAAGGAAGGAAGGAAGGAAGGAAGGAAGGAAGGAAGGAAGGAGGAAGGAAGGAAACTCTCCTAAGTTGTCATCAACCCAGAAGAAGGCTGCACCTGGAGGCCACCAGGCCAATGCAAGCAGGAGCAAACTGACGGAGCCCACACCTGGACCTCTTCCCCTTCCCTACTCGAGCCGCCCCTCCCACACTGCTGACTTCTGTTCCTGTTGGATGACCCTTCCTGGCTCTCTCTGCCCATCTGCCAAATGCCACCGGTTGCCCCAGCTGACCCCACATCATGACTCTCCTCTGTTCAAAAGCCACCCCATGGCTCCCCAGGGCTCTCAGGACAGAGCACACAGTCCTCAGCCTGACATTCCCAATTTGGCCCCTGAAAACCTTTCCAGTCCTTTCTCTCACCCTTCAGTCTCTCCCCCATCGACTGGGGAGACTCCCCCTGGGCTCCGCTTCAAGCTGCTCACTATTTCCTGCCAGGCTGTGCTGTTCCACCTCAAGACCTTGGCCGGGTGCAGTGGCTCACGCCTGTTATCCCAGCACTTTGGGAGGCTGAGGTGGGTGGATCACTTGAGGTCAGGAGTTCAAGACCAGGCTGACCAACAAAGTGAAACCCTGTCTCTATTAAAAATACAAAAAATTAGCCAGCCATGGTGGCAGGTGCTATAATCCCAGCTACTTGGGAGGCTGAGGCAGGAGAATCACTTGAACCTGGGAGGCAGAGGTTGCAGTGAGCCAAGATCGTGCCACTGCACTACAGCCTGGGTGACAAAGCCAGACTCCGCCTCAAAACAAGAACAACAACAAAGACCTTTACATATGCTATTCCCTTTGCCTCCAAACCCTTGAGCTGGGCGTGGTGGCTCATGCCTGTAATCCCAGCTACTCTGGGGGCTGAGACGGGAGGACTGCTGGAGCCCAGGAGTTCAAGGCTGCAGTGAGCTATGATCACACCGCTGTACTCCAGGCAGGGCAACAGAGCAAGACCCTGTCACTAAAACAAACAAACAAAATTCAAAGCCTTAGAGGACATCTACTCATTCTTTTTAGATTTGGTTTCCATGGTATTGTTTGTTTTTCATTGTTGTTTTTGTTTTTGTTTTATTTTGAGGCAGGGTCTGGTTTTGTCCCTCAGGCTGGAGTGAAGTGGTGTGATCATAGCTCACTGCAGCCTTGAACTCCTGGGCTCAAGCGATTCTTCTGCCTCAGCCTCCGGAGTAGCTGGGACCACAAGTGTGCACCACCATGCTCAGCTATTTTTTTTTTTTTTTTTTTTTTAAAGACGGAGTCTCGCTCTGTAGCCCAGGCTGGAGTGCAGTGGCACCATCTCGGCTCACTGCAAGCTCCGCCTCCTGGGTTCACCCGCCACTCTCCTGCCTCAGCCTCCCGAGTAGCTGGGACCACAGGCGCCCACCACAATGCCCGGCTAATTTTTATATTTTTAGTAGAGACGGGGTTTCACCGTGTTAGCCAGGATGGTCTCGATCTCCTGACCTTGTGATCCGCCGGCCTCGGCCTCCCAAGGTGTTGGGATTACAGGCGTGAGCCACTGCGCCCGGCCTATTTTTTTTTTAATCTTTTGTAGTGATGGGGTCTTGCTATATTGCCCAGGCTGGTCTGAAACTCCTGAGCTCAAGTGATCCTCCTGCCTCGGCCTCCTAAAGTGCTGGGGTTACAGGTGTAAGCCACCACACTTGCCCCCCAGAGCATTGTTGATGTTCTTTCCCCATTCAGCAAGCAGAGACCTTATGCCCCATTCCTCTGACACCCCGTTTCTGGCACCCCCTTCCTCTCTCCGCCTCAAGCTAACCATGGGGCTGAAGAAATCTGTTTCTAATTCTGGGTCTCTTACAACCTGGGGACACCGAGCCTCCTCCCTGGAATCCCAGGATCATCCAGCAGCGGTGGGTTTATAGCATTTTGATTGAATAAATGAATGAGTCCATCAGTGAACACAGGATACGTTTCCAACATTCTAACCAAGCATGCGAACCGTTACGTCTTCATCTCTCCCCACATTGTAGCTACAGGAACATACTTTCTCCTTTCTCAATCTGACCAGCTCTTCTTTGACTTCCAGAACTGAGCACATCTTTCCCTGCTCTCCTGCTATCCTTCCCCACTTGGCAAACTCCTATTCATCTTTCAAAACCCAACTCCTACATGTCCTTTTCTATGAAGTCTCCAAACACCTGGGGTGAGTTCTTGGGTGTTTCCTGTTTCTGTAACCCTGACCATGAGCTGCTGGGCTCTGCATGCTCCCAAACAGAGCAGCAAGAAAGCAGGCTGGGTGCAGTGGCTCATGCCTATAATGCCAGCACTTTTAGAGATTGAGGCAGGCAGATCGCCTGAGGTCAGGAGTTTGAGAGCAACCTGGATGACCTGGTGAAACCCTGTCTCTGCAAAAAATACAAAAATTAGCTGGGGATGGTGGTGCACACCTATAATCCCAGCACTTTGGGAGGCTGAGGCAGGCGGATCACAAAGTCAGGAGATCGAGACCATCCTGGCTAACACGGTGAAACCCCGTCTCTACTAAAAATACAAAAAATTAGCCAGGGGTGGTGACGGGCGTCTGTAGTCCCAGCTACTCGGGAGGCTGAGGCAGGAGAATGGTGTGAACCCGGGAGGCGGAGCTTGCAGTGAGCCGAGATCAGGCCACTGCACTCCAGCCTGGGCGGCAGAGCGAGACTCCGTCTCAAAATAAATAAATAAATAAATAATAATAAAATAAAAATAAAATAAAATAAAATAAAATAAATAAACACTCTTTGGCCTGTGGGCAAAGTTCAGCCCACTGCCTTGTATCATGTGTCCCACAAGCTAAGAATCATGTTTACATTTTCAAATGATTGAAAAATTAAAAGATTATTTTGTGACATGTGAAAATTATATGAAATGCACATTTCAGTGTCAATAAAAAAAAAATTGGCCAGGCACGGTGGCTTGTGCCTGTAATCCCAGCACTTTGGGAGGCCGAGGTGGGTGGATCACGAGGTCAGGGGTTCGAGACCAGCCTGGCCAACATGGTGAAACCCCATCTCTACTAAAAATAACAAAAAATAGCTGGGCATGGTGGTGCTCATCTATAATCCCAGCTACTCGGGAGGTTGAGACAGGAGAATTGCTTGAACCTGGGAGGCAGAGGTTGTGGTGAGCCAAGATTGCACCACTGCACTCCAGCCTGGGCGACAGAGTGAGACTCCATCTCAAAAAAAAAAAAAAATTATTGGCATACAGCCACACCCATTTATTTATCTATTATCTATGGCTGGTTTTCAGCTACAGTGGCATAGTTGCGTAGTTGAGACAGAGTCTGGATGGCCCAGAAAGCCAAAAATATTGGCCAGGCGTGGTGGCTCATGGCTGTAATCCCAGTACTTTGGGAGGCCAAGGAGGGTGGATCACCTGAGGTCAGGAGTTCAAGACCAGCCTGAGCAACAAGGTGAAACCCCATCTCTACTAAAAATACAAAAATTAGCCGGGAGTGGTGGCAGGTGCCTGTAGTCCCAGCTACTTGGGAGGCTGAGACAGGAAAATTGCTTGAACCAGGGAGGTGGAGGTTGCAGTGAGCCAAGATCGAGATTGTACCAGTGCACTCCAGCCTGGGCAACAGACTGAGACTCCATCTCAAAAAAAAAAAAAAAAAAAAAAAAAGTCAAAAATATTTACTAGCTAGCCCTGTACAGAAAAGGTTGGCCCTGGGTGCAGTGGCTTATGTCTGTAATCCTATCACTTTGGGAAGTGAAGGCACAAGGATTACTTGAGCCCAGCCTGGCAGCATAGCAAGACCCCATCTCTATACAAAACAATGTTTTTTTAGACAGAGTCTCACTCTTTCGCACAGGCTGGAGTGCAGTGGCACCATCTCCACTCACTGCAACCTCCACCTCCCAGGTTCAAGCAATTCTCCTGCCTCAGTCTTCCAAGTAGCTGGAACTACGGATGCATGCCACCATGCCTGGCTAATTTTTTTTTTTTTGTAATTTTGATAGAGATGGGGTTTCATCGTGTTTTCCAGGCTGGTCTTGAACTCCTGAGCGCAAGTGATTGGCCCACCTCGGCCTTCCAAAGTGCTGGGATTACATGTGTGAGCCACTGTGCCCAGCACCCATCTGTATAAAAATTTAAAAATTAGCTGTGTTTGGTGGCATGCTCTTGTGGTTCCAGCTACTTTGAAGGCTGGGGCAGGAGGATCACTTAAGTCCAGGAGGTCAAGGCTGCAGTGAGCTATGATGGCACCACTCCATCCCAGGCTGGGCAATAGAGTGAGACTGTGTCTCTAAAACAGGTAAAATAAAAATAAAATAAAATAAACACGAAAAGAAAAAATTTGCCACCCACTCCACCCTTTTGAACTGTATGATTTATTAGCTATGGGTTTGGGATACTCAGAAGCGTTTTGGAGGAGAAGGTCTTGGGGAAGCCCTTTCTCACATAACTCTGATTCTATTCCTCATCCCCTGACCTGTTTGGAGAGAGGCTTTTTGATATAGAATAGAATAGAATAGAATAGAATAGAATAGAATAGAATAGAATAGAATAGATCCAGGTGTGTTTGTACCAGGGAAGGGTAAGTCTCGTTTTGTGCAACTTTTGTTTCTGTATGATACACATCTGGAAAGGCAGGTACAGGATGATGATGATGTAAAATTTCTTTCATAATAGGTGTTCTGATCAGAGGAGTTTGACAACTGCAGCCTTACCCGGTAGCTACAGGTGGCTCAATTTATTTTATCTGGGGACAGGCTACAGCAGAATCCAGTGGAGGACAATTTTGCCTGAGATAAGAACACACAGCTATACTCAGGCTCAGGACACACTTGAATCAGCCCTTTCTAGGTGCTTTTTATTTTTTAGAGACAGGATATTACTCTGTTGCCCAGGCCGGAATACGGTGGTGCAGTAACAGGTTACTGCAGCTTCAAACTCCTGAACTCAAGCAATCCTCCTGCCTTAGCCTACCAGCTAGTTTTTATTTTTATTTTATTTTTAATTTTTTAATTTTTAATTTTTTTTTTTTTGAGATGGAGTCTTGCTCTGTCACCCAGGTTGGAGTGCAGTGGCGTGATCTCAGCTCACTGCAAGTTCCACCTACCGGGTTCACATAATTCTCCTGCCTCAGCCTCCCGAGTAGCTGGGACCACAGGCGCCCGCCACCACGCCCAGCTAATTTTTTTGTATTTTTAGCAGAGACGGGGTTTCACCGTGTTAGCCAGGATGGTCTCGATTTCTTGACCTCGTGATCTGCCCGCCTCGGCCTCCCAAAGTGCTGGGATTACAGGCGTGAGCCACCACGCCCGGCTAATTTTTAATCTTTTGAGATGGAGTCTTGCTCTGTCACCCAGGCTGGAGTGCAATGGCGTGATCTCGGCTCACTGCAACCTCCACCTCCCAGATTCAAGTGATTGTCGTGCCTCAGCCTCCCCAGTAGCAGGGATTATAGGCATGCGCCACCATGCCCAGCTAATTTTTGTATTTTTAGTAGAGATGGGGTTTCACCATGTTGTCCAGGCTGGTCTCAAATTCCTGACCTCAAATGATCTACCTGCCTCGGCCTCCCAAAGTGCTGGGATTACAGGCATAAGCCAGTGGTGCCCAGCCCACAGCTAGTTTTTAAATTTTGTGTAGGGACTGGGTCTTGCTATGTTGCTTAGGCTGGTCTTGAACTTCTGGCCTCAAGTGATCCTCCTGTCTCGACCTTCCAAAGTACTAGGATTAAAGGTGAGAGCCACCATACCCAGCCTCTCAGTGCCTTCTGCAAGGGCTCTCATCTGGGTGCAGGATGAAAACAGAACACTGGACCACAGTGGCTGCTGGGGATTCCAGAGAGAAGAGCTCTAGAGCCCTTACCCATCATCTCAGCCTCGTAGGACCAATCATTCAGCTCCCTCCCATGTTAGAGGTGGGACTACTGAGGACCGGGAACCATATCTCTGGCTAAGGAAGAGCAAGAATCAGTGAGACCGTGAGGATCCTGGAGTCTCATAATCCCACTTCCCAGGTATGGGAAGCCCCGGGGTGAAAGGCAACAGGGTCAGAGCAACCTGAGCCTCGGACTCTCCTCCCAGAAAAGTCTCCTGGACTCACCAAGTTTAAATCCTGGCTCTAATAACCAGGGTGACCCTGGGCACAGCCTTCAAACTCCTTGAACACCTGTTTTATCACCTGGAAAATGGGATGAAGTCTGTATCATATAGATTGCATCTAACTCCCCATGTCACTGTGCAGATTAAAGGAGGTGTTTCACGTAAAATGTTTAGGGTCATGCCTGGTACACAGCAAGCACTTTTTTTTTTTTTTTGAGATGAGGTCTCGCTCTGTCACCAGGCTGGAGTGCAGTGACACAATCTTGGCTCACTGCAACCTCTGCCTCCCGGGTTCAAGTGATTCTCCTGCCTTAGCCTCCTGAGTAGCTGGGACTACAGGCGCCCGGCACCATGCCTGGCTAATTTTTTGTATTTTTAGCACAGACGGCATTTCACCACGTTGGCCAGGATGGTCTTGACCTCTTGACCTCATGATCCACCCCCCTCGGCCTCCCAAAGTGCTGGGATTACAGGCGTGAGCCATAGCACCCAGCCAGCAAGCACTCTTCTGCTCACTGAGCAAGGCCTATGTGCAGGGCATAGAACTAAGCACTACGAGGCCGGGCGCCGTGGCTCACGCCTGTAATCCCAGCACTTTGGGAGGCTGAGGTGGGCGGATCACCTGAGGTCGGGAGTTCAAGACCAGCCTGGCCAACATGGTGAAACCCTGTCTCTACTAAAAATACAAAAATTAGCCAGGCGTGGTGGTGGGAACCTGTTATCCCAACTACTCGGGAAGCTGAGGCAGCAGAATGGCTTGAACGCGGGAGGCAGAGGTTGCAGTGAGCCGAGATCGCGCCATTACATTCCAGCCTAGGTGACAAAGCGAGACTCCGTTTCAAAACAAACAAACAAACAAACAAAAGAACTAAGCACTATGCCTGGATCCCATCATTCCCAGGGCTCCAGGCAAACACCTCTGTGTTCCCAGCACCCAGTATGGGCATGGCATAGCTGCACTGATCTTTGGCTTTAAGCTTTGGCTAAATGCCGTGATCATTTGTGCATTCCTATTTTTTTTTTTTTTTTTGAGACGAAGTCTCGCTCTTGTCCCTCAGGCTGGAGTGCAATGGTGCGATCTCGGCTCATTGAAACCTCCGCCTCCTGGGTTCAAGCCATTCTCTTGCCTCAGCCTCCCAAGCAGCTGGGATTACAGGTGCCTGCCACCAAACCTGGCTAATTTTTGTATTTTTAGTAGAGATGGGGTTTCACCATGTTGGCCAGGCTGGTCTCGAACTCCTGACCTCAGGTGATCCACTCACCTTGGCCTCGCAAAGTGCTGTGATTACAGGCGTGAGCCTCCGCGCCCGGCCTTTTTTTTTTTTTTTTTTTTTTGAGACAGGGTCTCCCTCTGTCACCCAGGCTGGAGTGCAGTGGTATGACCTCAGCTCACTGCATCCTCCACTTCTTGGGTTCAAGAAATCCTCCCCCCTCAGCCTCCCAAGTAGCTGGAACTACAAGCACACACCACCACACCCAGCTAATTTTTAAAAACTTTTTGTAGAGACAGGGTCTTGCTATGTTGCCCAGGCTGGTCTGGAACTCCTGGGCTCAAGCGATCTTCCTGCCTCTGCGTTCCAAATTGCTGGGGTTACAGGCATGAGCCATGGTGCTAGGTACATCCATGATTTTTTAGCACTTCCCATGTGGTGTTTTAACAGGGAAAGAGAAGACCACCTCAGAATGTCCAGAACTGAGGAGTTTCTCAGGAGGTGGGACTTTTTTTCTTCTTTTTTTGAGACAGTCTCGCTTTTTCACCCAGGCTGGAGTGCAGTGGCACAATCTCAGCTCACTGCAACCTCCGCCTCCTGGGTTCAAGCGATTCTCATGCCGTAGCCTCCTGAGTAGCTTGGACTACAGATGCCTGACACCGTACCCAGCTAATTTTTTATTTTAGTAGAGATGGGCTTTCACCACGTTGCCCAGGGCGATCTCCAACTCCTGAGCTCAGGCAATCCACCCACCTTGGCCTTCCAAAGTGCTAGGATTACAGACGTGAGCCACCGCGCCCAGCCAAGAGGTGAAACTTTTTAAATACTGAAACCAGGATAGTCCCAGGCACACTGGGACAAGTTGGTCAGTGGGTACAGCTGCAAACAAGACAGACACAATCACCTCTTCCAGGAAGCCTTTCCTGATTGGCCCACCCCCTCTAGCTCAGGGGCACCCTCTGCCTCCCCCTACCACAGCTGCCTCTGTGCCCTCCAAGAAGGCACCATCGCTCCCGGTTGCAAATGCCTGCAGTCACATCAGAGTTAGCTTAGGGAAGGCAGAGACCGGTTCTTTTCCTGGCCACCAATGTGTCTCCAAAACCTACCACAGAGCTTGGCATCAAGTAAAGACAAGTAAATGAATGAAAGCTGGCACTCTTTGGCTAACAGATGAGAAAACTAGGGCTGAGACAGGTGAACCACTCCAGCAAGATTCCCCAGTAAGGCTGTATGGGGAGGAACCGGGATTCGAACCGGCATCTGGCGAGACTCCTTCACACACCCACGCACTCACCGTGTTGTAGAACTCGGCCACCAGCTCCGAGTACTGGAAGTTGCTCTCACACCAGTCCACCTCGGAGCTCTGATAGGCGAAGATGCTAGGCATCTTGTCTCAGTGGCCACCACCAGCCGGCTGCGCCCGGCAGAGAGAAGGCGAGCTTGGGAAGGCTGGGCCCTGATGAGGCGGGGAGAGGACAGCCCGGTGCCCCGCGGCAGGCAGACTGGGAGGAAAAACCTGCTGGGCCGCTCCCCAGTTGCACCAGGGCAGCCTGGCTGTGCAGTGACAGCAGCCCTGAGCATAAGCCGTGGGACTGGCACTGTCCAGGCAGGGCAGGGGGCAGAAGTAGGCAGGGAAGAGGCCTCCCATCCAGATTACCCAGGAATAGGAATCGGGGTGGGGGCAGTGGAGGGAACTGTTTTTATCTTTTATGTATGTATGTATTTATTTATTAGAGTCAGGGCCTTGCTCTGTTGCTCAGGCTGGGGTACAGTGGCATCATCATAGCTCACCGCAGCCTCAAACTCCCAGGCTCAAGCAATACTCCTGCCTCAGCCTCTGAAGTAGCCAGGACCACAGGCACATGCTGCCACCATGCCTAGCTAATTGTTTTTTTTTTTGGAGACAGAGTCGCTCTGTTGCCCAGGCTGGAGTGCAGTGGCATGATCTCAGCTCACTGCAAGCTCTGCCTCCCGTGTTCACGCCATTCTCCCGCCTCAGCCTCCCGAGTAGCTGGGACTACAGGCGCCCACCGCCACGACCGGCTAATTTTTTGTATTTTTAATAGAGATGGAGTTTCACTGTGTTAGCCAGGATGGTCTCGATCTCCTGACCTCGTGATCCACCTGCCTTGGCCTCCCAAAGTGCTGGGATTATAGGTGTGCGTGAGCCACCGTGCCCGGCCTTTTTTTTTAAAATTGAGATGCAGTCTGGCTCTGTCACCCAGGCTGGAGTGTAGTGGCGCAATGTCAGCTCACTGCAACCTCCACCTCCTGGGTTCAAGCGATTCTCCTACCTCAGCCTCCCAAGTAGCTGGGATGACTGGCACCTGCCACCATGCCCAGCTAATTTTTTTTGTATTTTAGTAGAGATAGGATTTCACCATGTTGGTCAAGCTGGTCTCGAACTCCTGACCTCAGGTGATCTGCCCACCTTGGCCTCCCAAGGTGCCGGGATTATACGCATGAGCCACCTCACCTGGCCTGAGTTCCTCTACTTTAAGCTGTGTGACCTTGGGCAAGTGAATTTACCTCTCTGATCCTCTGTTTGCTCACCTGTCATATGGAGACGATGGTGACAGAGCCAACTGTAACAAAGGAAGACAGAGATAAAGCATGTACAAAGGCTTAGCCCACTGCCTATGCTAGAGTAGGCACTTGATGGATGGTAATGGGTTTTCTTTTTTTTTTTGAGATGGAGTCTTGCTCTGTCCCAAAGTGCTGGGATTACAGGGTTTTCTTACTGAAGCTGACCTTGAACTTTAAGTCAACTTTGTGGGAATAATAATAATTATTATTATTATAATAAAAGAGCCTGGCCTTAGCAAGCGGTTAGCAAGTGTGCATAACAATAATAATATAATTATTTATTATATAATAGCAATATTATATTAAAATATAAAATTATTATATTAAAAATACTATTGTTATATAATATTTTAAATATTTTAGTATATTATTTTAATGTGATTAATATAATTTAATATAATAATTAATATTATATATTATATAATTTTTCTTTTTTTAAGTGCTTGATTTTCAGTATTATCTCATTTAACGTTCTTTTTTTTTTTTTTTTTTGAGATGGAGCCTCACTCTGTCTCCCAGGCTGGAGTGCAGTGGCATGATCTTGGCTCACTGCAACCTCCACCTCCCTAGTTCAAGCAATTCTCCTGCCTCAGCCTCCTGAGTAACTGGGACTACAGGCACCTGCCACCATGCCCAGCTAATTTTTGTATTTTTAGTAGAGACGGGGTTTCACCATATTGACCAGGCTGGCCTCAAACTCCTGACCTTGTGATCTGCCCGTCTCGACTTCCCAAAGTGCTGGGATTACAGGCGTGAGCCACTGTGCCCGGCCTTCATTTAATGTTCTTAACAATCCTACCCCGGGTGCTGTGGCTCACGCCTGTAATCCTAGTGCTTTGGGAGACCAAGGCGGGAGGATCACAAGGTCAGGAGATTGAGACCATCCTGGCTAACACAGTGAAACCCCATTTCTACTAAAAATACAAAAAAGGTAGCTGGGCGTGATGGTGGGTGCCCATAGTCCCAGCTACTCAGGAGGCTGAGGCAGGAGAATGGCATGAACCCAGGAGACGGAGCTTGCAGCGAGCCAAAATTGCACCACTGCACTCCAGCCTGGGTGACAGAGAAAGACTCTGTCTAAAAAAAAAAGAAAAAATCCTAAGCGCCAGGAACTATTGTTATCCCTTTTCTTTTTCTTTTTTTTCTTTTTCTTTTCTTTTTTTTTTTGAAATAGAGTTTCACTCTTGTCACCCAGGCTGGAGTGCAATGGCATGATCTCAGCTCACTGCAACCTCTGCCTCCCAGGTTCCAGCGATTCCCCTGCCTCAGCCTCCCAAGTAGCTGGATTTACAGGCACCCGCCAGCATGCCCGGCTAATTTTTGTATTTTTAGTAGAGACGGGGTTTCACCATGTTGGCCAGGCTAGTCTCGAACTCGTGACTTCTGGTGATCCACCTGTCTCGGCTTCCCAAAGTGCTGGGATTACAGGCTTGAGCCACTGTGCCTGGCCTCTTTTTCTCTTTTGAGACAGGGTCTTGCTCTGTTGCCCAAGCTGGAGTGCAGTGGCGCAATCATAGTTCAATGCAGCCTTGCTTGATCTCCTGAGCTCATGCGATCCTATCTCCTGCTAGTAATCACTAGCAAGGAAACTAAAGCCCAGAGAAGTTAAGGAACTTACCATAGGTCACACAGTTAGGAAGTGATAGAGACAGGCAAGGAACACCACCTCTATGATGCCTCAGTTTCCTCACCTGTAAGGTGGTGAAAATGATAATGGTACTGCCCTCTCAAGCCTGTTGTGAAGAGTTAGTGAGCTGACACGATGTTTCCATAAAAAGATAAATTGTGGGCTGGGCACGGTGGCTCATGCCTGTAATCCCAGCACTTTAGGAAGCCAAGGCAGGCGGATCACGAGGTCAGGAGATCAAGACCATCCTGGTTAACATGGTGAAACCCCGTCTCTACTAAAAATATAAAAACCTAGCCAGGCATGGTGGCGGGCGCCTGTAGTCCCAGCTACTTGGGAGGCTGAGGCAGGAAAATCGCTTGAACCTGGGAGGTGGAGGTAGTAGTGAGCCGAGATCACGCCACTGCACTTCAGCCCGGGCGACAGATCGAGACCCCGACTCAAAAAAAAAAAAAAAAAAGAAAAAGAAAGATAAATTGTGGTGCTATGTTGCCCTGCATTCCAAATCACTGAACTGGCCGGGCATGGTGGCTCACCCCTGTAATCCCAGCACTCTGGGAGGCTGAGGCAGGTGGAGCACTTGAGGTCAGGAGTTCAAGACTAGCCTGGCCAAAATGGTGAAACCCCGTCTCTACTAAAAATACAAAAATTAGCCTGGTGTGGTGGCACGCGCCTGTAATCTCAGCTACTCAGGAGACTGAGGCAGGAGAATAGCTTGAACCCAGAAAACGGAGGTTGCAGTGAGCCGAGATTGCACCACTGCACTCCAGCCTGGGCGACAGGGTGAGACTCCCTCTCAAAAAAAAAAAAAAAATCACTGTGGTGTCTGAAAGTAATCAACTTTTTCAATTTCCAATATTTGGAGAAGAGAGGCTCAGTCAGTGCTAATATGTTCTATGTCTCTTAACACTTAATGACTTTGACAAAAAAGAAAAGAAAAGCCCTTCATTAGGCAACAATATTCTGTTAGAATTTAGTAACATGATTTGTTTACATTGTATTTATTTTTTGATAAGCTTGTATTCATGGTAAGCCAAATCTACTTTCCATTCACGGTAGGGTTACAAAGTTTCCTTTTTTTTTCTTTTTTTTTTTGAGATGGCGTTTGCTCTGTCCCCCAGGCTGGAGTGCAATGGCATGATCTCGGCTCACTGCAACCTCCACCTCCCAGGTTCAAACGATTCTCTTGCCTGAGCCTTCTGAGTAGCTGGGATTACAGGCGTGGACCACCCTGCCTGGCCAAAGTTTTCTTTTTCTTTTTCTTTTCTTTTCTTTCTTTCTTTCTTTTTTTTTTTTTTTTTTTTTTTTTTTTTTTTGAGATGGAGTCTTGCTCTGTCGCCCAGGCTGGAGTGCAGTGGCTCGATCTTGGCTCACTGCAAGCTCCGCCTCCTGGGTTCATGCCATTCTCCTGCCTCAGCCTCCCGAGTAGCTGGGACTGCAGGCACCCACCACCAACGCCTGGCTAATTTTTTTGTATTTTTAGTAGGGACAGGGTTTCACCATGTTAGCCAGGATGGTCTCGATCTCCCGACCTCGTGATCCACCCACCTCGGCCTCCCAAAGTGCTGGGACTACAGGCGTGAGCCACCGCGCCCAGCCCCAGAATTTTCTTTTTAAAATAATATTTTGGCCCAGTGCAGTGGCTTACACCTCTAATTCCACCGCTGCACTCTAACCTGGGCAAAAAGAGGGAAACCCTGTCTCAAAAAAAAATAGTTAATTAAATAAAATAAAAATAAAATAATAAAATAAATATGTATTTTTTAAGAGATGGAGTCTTGCTCCGTTTCCTAGGCTGGAGGGCAGTGGTAAAATCCTAGCTCACAGCAATGTCAATTTCCTGGGCTCAAGCAATCTTCTCACCTTCGCCTCCCAAGTTGCTGGGAGTACAGGTATGAGCTACTGTGCCCTGGCCAAAATAAATGTAAGTGTTACAATTGTGGTTGTGTTTGCACAGATCTATACATGTGATATTATTGCATAGATTTGCTCCCATTTTTCTGAGAAAATGAAAAGAAAATTGTCTAACACATGAATGCATGGGAAAAGCTGTTGAAATCTGAATATGGTCTATAGGTCATATTTATATCACCTTTCTGGTTGTGAAAATGTATAGTTATAAAAGAGGTACCACTGGGAGAAACTGGATGAAGATTACCTGGGATTCTTCTATATTATTATTGCAGGTTCCTGCAAGTTTATAATTATTCCATTTTTTTTAATGTGTTTGATAGAGGGTCTCACTCTGCTGCCAGGCTTGAGTGCAGTGGTGCAATCACAGGCCACTGCAGCCTCAACCTCCTGGGCTCAAGTGATCCTCACACCTTAGCCTCCCAAGTAGCTGGGACTACAGGCCAGGCAAATTTTTTCTATTTTTTGTAGAGACAGGTTCTCACTATGTCTCCCAGACTGCTCTCTAATTCCCGAGCTCAAGCGATCCTTCCACCTCAGCCTCCCAAAGTGCTAGAATTACATGTGTGAGCCACCGCACCTGGCCTTAAAATCTTTTTTTTTTTTTAAGACCGAGTCTCTTCCTGTCATCCAGGCTAGAGTGCAATGGTGCAATCTCGGCTCACTGCAACCTCCGCCTCCTGGGTTCAAATGATTCTCCTGCTTCAGCCTCCCGATAGCTGGGATTACAGGCGCCCACCACCACGTCGGGCTAATTTTTACATTTTTAGTAGAGATGGGGTTTCAGCATGTTAGCCAGGCTGGTTTGGAACTCCTGACCTCAGGTGATCCGCCTGCCTCAGCCTCCCAAAGTGCTGAGATTACAGGCATGAGCCACCGCACCCAGCCTAAAAATCTCTTTTTATAAAGGGATTGATTTAGATTTTTAATTAATACATGAATGGATAAACACAATGTGTGTGGTTCATCCATACCGTGGAATATTATTCAGCCCTGAAAAAGGAAGGAAATTCTGATACAGGCAACAACGTGGATGGACTTTGAGGACATCAAGCTGGGTGAAATAAGCCAGACATAAAAGGACAAATCCTGTGTGATCCCACTCCTAGGAGGTCCCCAAAGTCCTCAGAGTCACAGAGACAGGAAGTAGAACGGGGGGTATGAGGGGCTGGGGAGGGGGATAGGGAGTGAGTGTTTCTTGGGGACAGAGTTTCAGTTTGGAAAGATGAGAAAGTTCTGGAGGGGATGGTGGTGATGGCTGCATAGACATGCGAATGTGCTTAATGCCGCTGAACTATGCATTTGATGATTAAAATGATCAGTTTCGTGTTATGTATCTTTTACCACAATTTTACAAAGTAATGATTTAGGGTTTTTGTTTTTGTTTTTTGTTTTTTGAGATGGAGTCTCTCTCTGTTGCCCAGGCTGGAGTGCAGTGGTGCGATCTCGGCTCACTGCAAGCTCCGCCTCCCGGGTTCACGCCATTCTCCTGCCTCAGCCTCCCGATGGGACTACAGGCGCCCGCCACCACACCCGGCTAAGTTTTTTTTGTATTTTTAGTAGAGACGGGGTTTCACCGTGTTAGCCAGGATGGTCTTGATCTCCTGACCTCATGATCCGCCCGCCTCAGCCTCCTAAAGTGCTGGGATTACAGGCGTGAGCCACCACGCCTGGCCTGATTTAGGTTTTTAAAAGAGGGGTTTGGGGCTGGGCGTGGTGGCTCACACATGTAATCCCAGCATTTTGGGAGACTGAGGCAGGTGGATCACTTGAGGTCAGGGTTCAAGACCAGCCTGGCCAACATGGTGAGACACCGTCTCTACTAAAAATAAAAAAAATAAAATTAGCCAGGCGTGGTGGTGCGTGCCTGTAATCCCAGCTACTCGGGAGGCTGAGGTACGAGAATCACTTGAGCCTGGGAGGTGGAGGTTGTAGTCAGCCAAGATCGCGCCACTACACTCCAGCCTGGGCATAGAGCAAGACTCTGTCTCCAAAAAAAGAAAGAAGGAAGGAAGGAAGGAAGGAAGGAAGGAAGGAAGGAAGGAAGGAAGGAAGGAAGGAAGGAAGGAAGGAAGGAAGGAAGGAAGAAAAACAGAACTAAAGCTTGACCTGACTCTGTATAGCACCCCTCCACAAACATACACCATTTAGCTACAGCCCTAGCCCCCAAATCCGCTTCCCAGGTGGACCAGGAGGGCAAACAGACACCACCACTGCCACCCCAGCTCCCCAGTAGCGACCCTGACTCCTTCCCCATGGAGTAATTTTGAAACAGTCTCTGCTCTGTGTGTGGGTGGAGCAGATGGTCTCTGAGGCCCCTTTCTGCTCATAGCTGGAACAGGACCCAGCTGCTGAGATCCTGAATCTTGGCGAGGGTTTAATAGCAGGCAGTAAGGTAGTGACTGGCACCCACGCCCAGCCCAGACCGGAGAACTTGAGTGATCATGGTGCTGACTAGGGAGGACAGAGCAGCCAGGAAGGTGGGTGGGAGCCGGGGGAGAGCTCTTCCCCCGCTAGGGGGAGAGAAGGGGCTAGAGAGAGGGTGACAAACAGAGGCGTGTGAGCTCTCAGCGGTTATTGTAACAAATGCCACCAATGTAATGGCTTAGAACAGCACACACTTATCATCTTACCTTTCTACAGGTCAGGACTCTGAAATGAGTCTTATAGGCTAAAGGTGTCATCACAGCTGTGTTCCTGGTGGAGGCTCCAGGAGAGACCTCGTTTCCTGCCCCGTCCAGTGTCTAGAGGCAACCCATGTCCTGTTCTCCACCTTCACAGCCACAGTGCAGCCTCTTCCAGTCTCTCTCTGACTTTGTTCTTTTCTTTTGAGACGGAGTCTTGCTCTGTTGCCCAGGCTGGAGTGCACTGGCGCGATCTCGGCTCACTGTAACCTCCACCTCCAGGGTTCAAGCAATTCTTGTGGCAGGAGAATCGCTTGAACCCAGGAGGTGGAGGTTGCAGTGAGCCAAGATTTCGCCACTGCAAACCAGCCTGGGCAACAGAGCGAGACTCCATCTCAAAAAAAACAACAACAAAAAACCAGTCTAGGCAACATAGGGGACCCTGTTTCTACAAAACATTAAAAAGTTAGCCAGTGGGGGTACACACGTGTGGTCTTAACTTCTCAGGAAGCTGAGATGGGAAGATTGCTTGAGCCTAAAGGTCGAAGTTGCAGTGAGCTATGTGTGCACCACTGCACTCCAACCTGGGCCACAGAGCAAGACCTTGTCTCAAAAAAAAAAAAAAGAAAAAAAAAGAAAAAGAAAAAGAAAAAAGGAACTATACCCATCTTAGCATTGGGCTTTTTTTTGTTTTCTTTTGTTTTGTTTTGTTTTGTTTTTCTTTTTGTTTTGAGATGGAGTCTTGCTCTGTCACCTAGGCTGGAGTACAATGGTGCAGCAGCCTCCACTCACCACAACCTCTGACTACTGGGTTCAAGCGATTCTCCTACCCCAGCCTCCCAAATAGCTGGGATTACAGGCACCCGCCACCATGCCCGGCTAATTTTTTTTATTTTTAGTAGAGACGCGGGTTTCACCAGGTTGGCCAGGCTGGTCTTGAACTCCTGACCTCATAATCTGCCTGCCTTGGCCTCCCAAAGTGCTAGGATTACAGGCGTGAGCCACTGCACCCAGCAGTGTTGGTTTTAATACTTGCTTTCTATTTATTTAGTAGCTTTCCATGTAGTGGAGCAATATAAAATTTCCTTTTGAAGTAAAGATATGCATTAATATTTGGAAAGTGTTTTTGGAAAATGAACTTGTTTAAAGACAGTGTTTAAGTCAATAATGGTTACCGTACAGATGGGGAAAATTTTAGTCTAACAATGCCCAAAGTCACAAAGGACATTATTGGGTAATTGGTGAAATTTGCACATGGAATATAAAGTAGATAATAGTATTGTGTCCATATTTATTTTCTGAAGTAGATAAATGAATTCTGGTTGTGTAAGAGAGTATCCTAGTTCTTTTTTTTTTTTTTTTTTTTTAAGATGGAGTTTCACTCTGTTGCCCAGGCTGGAGTGCAGTGGCTTGATCTTGGCTCACTGCAATTTCTGTTTGAGTTCGAGACCAGCCTGGGCAACATAGGCAGACTGTGTCTCTAAAAAAAAATAATAATAATCCATTTTAAAAACAAACTATTTCAGACCGGGAGTGGTGGCTCACACCTGTAATCCCAGCACTTTGGGAGGCTGAGGCGGGCGGATCACGAGGTCAGGAGATTGAGACCATCCTGGCTAACATGGTGAAACCCCGTCTCTACTAAAAATACAAAAAATTAGCCAGGCGTGGTGGCGGGCGCCTGTAGTCCCAGTTACTCAGGAGGCTGAGGCAGGAGAATGGCGTGAACCCAGGAGGTGGAGCTTGCAGTGAGCCAAGATCGTGCCACTGCACTCCAGTCTGAGCAACAGAGCAAGACTCAATCTCAAAAAAATAAATAAATAAATACAATAAAATAAAAACAAACTATTTCAAGATAAAAAGTTGTGGGTTTGTTTGTTTTGAGACGGAGTTTTGCTCTTGTTGCCCAGGCTGGAGTCCAATGGCATGATCTCGGCTCACTGCAACCTCCACCTCCCGAGATCAAGTGATTCTCCTGCCTCATCCTCCCGAATAGCTGGGATTACAGGCACCCGCCACTGTGCCCGGCTAATTTTGTATCTTTAGTAGAGACAGGGTTTCTCCATGTTGGTCAGGCTGGTCTCGAACTCCCGACCTCAGGTGATCCGCCCACCTTGGCCTCCCAAAGTGCTGGGATTACAGGCGTGAGTCACCGCACCCAGCCAAAAGTTTTTTCTTTAACTTGCCGATTCCGAGTACTGGTGAGGATGGGAAGTGGGGGAGTGGTGGAAATATGAAGAGGCCAACCACTTTGGAAAATAATTTGACATTACCTGAAGCATTACTGGGTACAGTAGTTCAACTGTTAGAACAAGACAATTCCACAAATATCAGTGTCCTAAAAGTTTACATCTCACATAAGCAAAGAGTATGGAGGGTGAAGCTGTCCCAGAAGGCTCAGGCAAGTGGGAATTTAGCAATCCAGGCCCCTTCCTTCCTTCTCATGATGCCTCCATCCCAGCATGTGGCCTCCATCCCAACACGTGACCTCCATCTCAACATGTGGCCTCCACTCCCAATATGTGGCCTCCACTTTCAACATGTGGCCTCCATACCCATCAAGTGGCATCCATCTCAACGTGGGGCCTCCACTCACAAAATGTGGGCTTCCTCCCAACTTGTGGCTCTAAATCCCAAAATGTGCCCTTTGCTCCCAACATGTGGCCTCCATACCCATCATGTGGCCCCCACCTCAACATGTGGCCTCCACTAACAAAATGTGGGCTTCCTCCCAACTTGTGGCTCTCAATCCCAACATGGCTTTGGTGTACCTCTATTGGTCAGAACTAGTCACATGACCTCCACTAGATGAAAGGGTTGCTGGGAAATGTAATCTGTAGCACAGCAGCCACTTCCTGGTATCCACTTTACCCTGTGGGAAGGGAGCCTGAATCTTTAAACCACAACAGGCTGCCTCCATCACATTCAGTAAAGGTGCAAATGAACATGTCCTACAACCAGCAACTCATCTCCTGGATTTATGTCCCCCTGAGAAACTCCCACAAATGGACCCAGGATTCTGGTACAAGATTATTCAGAGCAGCCCTGCCTGCAATAGCAAAACCATGGAACTATTCACAAACATCCCTGAGTTAAAGACTTGATAAGTAGGCCGGGCATGGCAGCTCATGCCTGTAATCCCAGGAGCTCAAGACAGGTGGATCACCTGATGTCAGGAGTTCGAGACCAGCCTAGTCAACATAGTAAAACCCTGTCTCTACTAAAAATACAAAATATTAGCCAGGCGACGGGAGGCTGAGGCAGGAGAATGGCCCGAACCCAGGAGGTGGAGCTTGCAGTGAGCCGAGATTGCGCCACTGCACTCCAGCCTGGGCGACAGAGCGAGACTCCGTCTAAAAATATATATATAAATATATATATATTAGCCAGGCATGGTGGGGCACCTTTAATTCCAGCTACTCAGGAGGCTGAGGCATGAGAAGCGCTTGAACCCAGGAGGCAGAGGTTGCAGTGAGCCAAGATTGTGCCATTGCACTCCATCTTGGGCAACAAGAGCAAAACTCCATCTCAATAAATAAATAAATTTATTTATTTATTAAATAAAGACTCGTTAAGTAAATAGTGGATTCTCCTGCCTCAGCCTCCCTAGTAGCTCGGACTACAGGCACCCACAACCATACCTGGCTAATTTATTGTATTTTTAGTAGAGACAAGGTTTCACCATGTTGGCCAGGCTGGTCCTGAACTCCTGACCTCAAGTGATCCGCCTGCCTCAGCCTCCTAAAGTGCTGGGATTACAAGCGTGAGCCACCGCACCTGGCCTGTGTGGGTATAAGTTTTCAATGCATCTAGGTAAATACAAGGGGGCACAATTGTTGGATTATTTTGTTGTTTTTTTCTTTAAACCATATATGTATGTTATATATCCTCTTGTGAAGATATATTTCACAACAATCAATTTATTTTATTTTATTTTATTTTATTTTATTTATTTATTTGTTTATTTTTTTGAGATGGAGTCTCGTTCTGTCATCCAGGCTGGAGTGCAGTGGCACGATCTCGGCTCACTGCAACCTCCGCCTCCCGGGTTCACACCATTCTCCTGCCTCAGCCTTCCAAGTATCTGGGACTACAGGTGCCCGCCACCACACCTGGCTAATTTTTTGTATTTTTAGTAGAGACGGGGTTTCACCACGTTGGCCAGGATGGTCTTGATCTCCTGGCTGGTCAAGGCTGGTCTCAAACTCCTGACCTCAGGTGATCCACTGGCCTCTGCCACCCAAAGTGCTGGGATTACAGGCGTGAGCCACCGTGCCCGGCCTCCGTGTGTTGTTTGTAAATGAAGTTATGTGGATAAATTTTTATTGGCACACGGTCACACCCATTTGTTTGTAAGTTGTCTATGGCTACTTTTATGCTATAATGCAGCAATCTGCAAGCTTTTTGTCACCCAGGACCAGTTTTGTGCAAGACAATTTTATCACGGAGGTGTGGAATGGTTTCAGGATGATTCAAGCACATTACATTTATTGTTCACTATTTCTATTAGTATTACACTGTAATATATAATGAACTAATTATACAGCTCACATAATGTAGAATCAGGGAAAGCCCTCCCCTTGTTTTCCTGAAACTAGACTGTCCCAGCTGGGGGTGATGGGAGACAGTGACAGATCATCAGGTATTAGATTCTTTTTTTTTTTTTTTTTCAAATGGAGTCTCACTCTGTCACCCAGGCTGGAGTGCAGTGGTACGATCTCAGCTCACTGAAATCTCGGCCTCCTGGGTTCAAGCGATTCTCTTGCCTCAGCCTCCTGAGTCGCTGGGATTACAGGCGCGCACGACCATGCCCAGCTAATTTTTGTATTTTTTGTAAAGACAGGGTTTTACCATGTTGCCCAGACTGGTCTCCAACTCCTGACCTCAGATGATCCACCTGCCTTGGCCTCCCAAAGTGCTGGGATGACAGGCATGAGCCACCATGCCTGGCATCATCCAGCTAATTTTATTATAATAATAATAATAATTATTATTATTGGAAATGGGGTCTCCCTATATTGCCCAGGCTGCTTTCAAACACCCAGGCTCAAGTGATCCTCCCACCTCAGCCTCCCAAGCTGCTGGGATTCCAGGCGTGAGCCACTGTGCCTGACCATCACATCATCTTCCAAGGTGGGTTAATTCCATGACTTACTAGAAGAAGGGTTGCCAGATAAAATACAGGACACCCAGTTAAATCAGAATTTCAGATTAACGATGGATAAGTTTTTGGCATAAATATGTTCCAAATATTGCATATGATCGGATTATCCTAAAAATTATTCTTCATGTATCTGAAATTCAAATTTAAATGAGCCTCCTGTATTTTTATGTGCTAAATCTGGAGACTCTAATCTGGAAGTATCTCTTCAACTGAGCCTGTCTCATTCCTTCCTCCAAAAAAAAGTTCGAGAAAAGTTTTCATTAAGTGGCATTATGTCATTTCTACTGCCTCCTCTACCTAAATCCAATAACCTCAAATGGGTATTCTAAGGTTATTGGTTATTAACCTTTTATTTCACTCATTCTTTTCTCCTCCTCCTCCTCCTCCCCCTCCTCTTCCTCCTCCTTCTTCTTCTCCTTCTTCTTCTTCTTTTTTTTCTTTTCTTTTTTTTTTTTTTTGAGACAGGGTCTTGCTCTGTCACCCAGGCTGGAGTGCAGTGCTGCAATCATAGCTCACTGCAGCCTCAATCTCCTGGCTGGAGCAATCATCACACCTTGGCCTCCCAAAATGCTAGGATAATCCTGGGGCCTCTCTCCTTGGCTTCTAGATGGCTGTCCACCAGCCATCTACATCTGGTGGTCAGCCACCACCCCCAGCCGCTGTTTTCCATCAGTCCATTCTAAGGTTCAAAGGTTTAAAATCTGTCCATCTAGCTCAGAACTCAGATGTATTTTCTTCAACATCACAGCGGAGATTACTCTGGTCCAGCGGGGAGGAGGTTCTCTGCCCACCCCCTTCTTTCCTTCCTTCTTGAAGGCTGAGACCGAGGAGGGAAAAAAGGAAAGATAAAGAGGGATCTTACTGTTATGGCTTGAATTGTATTCTCTAAAAAGATGTGTTGCAGACAGGGCATGGTGACTCACATCTATAATCTCCGCACTTTGGGAGGCCAAGGAGGGAGTATCGCTTGAGGTCAGGAGTTTGAGACCACCCTGGCCAACACCACGAGTCCCTGTCTCTACAAAAAAAAAAAATATATATATATATATATATATAAAATAATAATAAAAGATAAGTTACAGACCCCCTCGTCCCTCAGAATGTGACCTTGCTTGGAAATAGTCTCTTTTTCTTTTCTTTTCTTTTTCTTTTTTTTTTTTTTGAGACAGAATCTCACTTTGTCATCCAGACTGGAGTACAGTGGTGCAATCATAGCTCACTGCAGCCTCAACCTCCTGGGTTCAAGCCATCCTCCCACCTCAGCCTCGTTAGTGGTGACGACAGGTGTGCACCACCACACTCAGCTAATGTTTCTGAATTTTTTGTAGAGATGAGGTTTCGCCATGTTACCCAAGCTGGCCTTGAACTCTTGGGCTTAGGTGATCTGCCCACCATGGCCTCCCAAAGTGCTGGGATTATAGGTACGAGCCACTGTGTGGAAACAGGGTCTTTAGAAAGGTAATGGAGTTAAAATGATGGCCGGGCGTGGTGGTTCACGCCTGTTATCCCAGCACTTTGGGAGGCCGAAGTGGGTGGATTACCTGGCGTCAGGAGTTCAAGACCAGCCTGACCAACATGGCAAAAGCCTGTCTCTACTAAAAATACAAAAATTAGCCGGGCGTGGTGGCAGGTGCCTGTAATTCCGGCTACTCGGGAGGCTGAGGCAGGAGAATCGCTTGAACCCAGGAGGTGGAGGCTGCAGTGAGTCCAGATCATGCCATTGCACTCCAGCCCGGAAAAGAAGAGCAAATCTAAACAACAACAACAACAAATAAGTTATTAGGGCAGGTCCTTGTCCTCCATGACTAGTGTCCTTATAAAAAGGGAAAATGGCTAGGCACAGTGGCTCATGCCTGTAATCCCAGCACGTTGGGAGGCCAAGGTGGGGGGCGGATCACCTGAGGTTGGGAGTTTGAGACCAGCCTGGCCTCCCAACGTGCTGGGATTGCAGGCTTGAGCCACAGTGCCTGACTAGAAGTGTTAATTTTGAGGAGTGAGACATCTAGGTGGGTAAGACAAAGCTGGGAGGCATCCAGGTACCTACACACGTATTTAAAGCCATGCAGCTGGATGACATTTCTGAGGGGTCGTGGATAAAGAAGAACAGGCTGGGTGCAATGGCTCACATCTGTAATCCCAGCACTTTGGGAGGCCGAGGCGGGTGGATCACCTAAGGTCAGGAGTTTGAGACCAGCCTGGCCAACATGGTGAAACCCTGTCTCTACTAAAAATACAAAAATTAGCTGGGTGTGGTGGCACGCGCCTGTAATCTCAGCTACTCTGGAGGCTGAGACAGGAGAATTGCTTGAACCCGGGAAGTGGAGGTTGCAGTGAGCCAAGATCTCACGACTGCACTCCAGCCTGGGTGGTAGAGTGAGACTCCATCTGGAAAAAAAAAAAAAAAAAAAGAAGATTAAAGACTGAGCCCTGGGGCTCTCTAAGACAGAAGGGTCTCTTAAAGGACCAATCTGATGAGAGGGAAAAAATCTTTCGTCACAAAGAAAACATCCATTTACAGGAGACTAGTTAACTAAATTATGGGTTTTGATATCGACATGGAATGCTCCACAGGCATTAAAAAAAAAGATGACAAAAGCTCTGAGTCACCATTTGGATTCTCCAGAACAGATCCTGAGAAATAATTTGGGGTGTGAGATTTTTATTGGGAATTCACAGTTGTCAAAGAAAGAAGCACGGCAGGCTGGGCATGGTGGCTCAAGCCTGTAATCCCAGCACTTTGGGAGGCCGAGGCGGGTGGATCATGAGATCAGGAGTTTGAGACTAGCCTGGCCAATATGGTGAAAACCTGTCTCTACTAAAAATACAAAAATTAGCTGGGTATGGTGGCGGGTGCCTGTAGTCCCAGCTACTCCAGAGGCTGAGGCAGAAAAATTGCTTGAACCCAGGAGGCGCGGGTTGCAGTGAGCTGAGATAGCACCACTGCACTCCAGCCTGGGCAACAGAGCGAGACTCCATCAAGAAGAAGAAGGAGAAGAAGAAGGAGGAGGAGGAAGAAAGAAGAAGAGGAAGAAGAGGAGGAGGAGGAGGAAGAGGAAGAAGAAGAAGAAAGAAAGAAGGAAGAAGGAAGAAGAAGAAGAAGGAGGAGGAGGAGGAGGAGAGCTAGGCTTGGTGGCTCATGTCTGTAATCCCAGCGCTTTGAGAAGCAGAGGCAGGTGGATGGCTTGAGCCTAGAGTTTGAGATCAGCCTGGGCAACATAGGGAGCCCCCATCTCTACAAAATAAAAGAAAGAAAGAGAGAGAGAGAAAGAAGAAAGGAAAAGAGGGAGGGACAGAAGGAGGGAGGGAAGGAAGGAGGGAGGGAGGGAGAGAAGGAAGGAAAGAAGGAAGGAAGGAAAGAAGGAAGGGAGGAAAGAAGGAAGGAAGGAAGGAAAGAAGGAAGGAAGGAGGGAGGGAAGGAAGGAAGGAAGGAAAGAAGGAAGGAAGGAAAGGAAGGGAGGGAGGAAGGGCAGACAGAACTGGGCAAAGGGAGAAGTTAAAGTGGTATTGAGCATGGACAAAGCCTTGGCTAATCGGCGAGGGACTCTGGAGCCAGTGAGCCCCATCAGAGCATCCCACATGAAGTCAGAATACCCAGGCCTTTATTCCTCTGCCTCACCCAGTCACTGGCTGTGGGCTGCCCTGGGACAGATGAGACTCTGAGGGAGGTGGCTCTCTGCACCTGAAGGTGATCCTAAACATGGAAGCTGGAGGTTTCTGCTCACCATACATCCCTTGGCTGGGCAGTAAGTCCCTTCTTAAAAGGGGATCTGGGGGCTGGGCATGGTGGTTGGCGCCTGTAATCCCAATACTTTGGGAAGCCGAGATGGAACAATCACTTGACCCCAGGAGTTCAAGACCAGCTCAGGCAACATAGCAAGACCTCGTCTCTACCAAAAATACAAAAAGTAGCCCAGTGCGGTGGTGCATGCCTGTGGTCCCAGCTATTCTGGAGGCTAAGGCAGGAGGATCGCTTGAGTCCAGGAGTTTGAGGCTGCAGTGAGCCATGACTGCACTACCGCACTCCAGCCTGGGTGACAAAGTGAGACCCTGCCCTGTGTCAAAAGAAAAAGGAAAGAAGGGAAGGGAAGGAGAGGGGAGGGGAGGGAAGGGTCCGGGCGTGGTGGCTCATGCCTGTAATCCCAGCACTTTGGGAGGCTGAGGCAGGTGGATCACAAGGTCAAGAGATCGAGACCATCCTGGCCAACATGGTGAAACCCCGTCTCAACTAAAAATATAAAAAATTAGCTGGCACCAACATGGCACATGTATACATATGTAACAAACCTGCACGTTGTGCACATGTACCCTAAAACTTAAAGTATAATAATAATAAAATTAAAAAAAATTAGCTGGGCATGGTGGCGCATGCCTGTAATCCCAGGTACTCGGGAGGCTGAGGCAGGAGAATCACTTGAACCTGGGAGGCGGAGGTTGCAGTGAGCCGAGATCGTGCCGCTGCACTCCAGCCTGGGTGACAGAGCAAGACTCCGTCTCAAGAAAAAAGAAAGAAGAGAAAAGAAAGGAAGGAAGGAGGGAGGGAGGGAGGGAAGGAGGGAGGGAGAGAGGGAGGGAGGCAGGGAGGGAAGGATGGAAGGAAGGAAGGAAGGAGAAGAAAAAAGAGGATGTGGGTGCTGCAGAAGGAACACTCCATGAAAGCGGGGGTTGTTCTCTGTTTTCTTTGCATTTGTTTGCTTTCTTTTATAGGAACAAAAACAACAGGAGCTGTACCCCAATGCTGTGTACATAGTAAATGCTCAGTAAATATCAATGGAATAAATAAACAAATTTCCTGGCTCCTCGGCAGCCAGGTGTGGCCATGTGAGCAGATCTGAGCCAATAGAGAATTTGTGTGTCAGAATCACCCTACCAACTCTGGATGCCAACCTCCAGACTGTGACTGGGAGAGAAAGTCATGTCTATCTTGTCAGTCATTGGTATTTCTCTCCCTCACAGTCATACCTAACTATATAATTAAACCAGTGAAGGCACTCAATAAATATGAGTTATAGGCCGGGTGTGGTGGCTCACGCCTGTAATCTCAGCACTTTGGGAGGCTGAGGCGGGCGGATCACGAGGTCAAGAGATCGAGACCATCCTGGCCAACATGATGAAGCCCCGTCTCTACTAAAAATACAAAAAATTAGCCGGGCCTGGTGGCGGGCACCTGTTGTCCCAGCTACGCAGGAGTCTGAGGCAGGAGAATCACTTGAACCTGGGAGGTGGGGGTTGCAGTGAGCCGAGATTGCGCCATTGCATTCCAGCCTGGGCAAAAAGAGTGAAACTCCGTCTCAAAAAATAAAAATAATAATAATAATAAATAAATAAGAGTTACAATCCATAATATGGATACTTGATAATTTGGCTTAAAATTTGGCCAGGCGTGGTGGCTCATGCCTGTAATCCCAGCACTTTGAGAGGCTGAGGCAGGAGGATCGTTTGAGATCAGGAGTTTGAGTTCTGCCTGGACAACATAGCAAGACCCGGCCCTTACCAAAAAAAAAAAAGAAATTAGCCAGGTGTATTGTATGCACATGTGGTCCCAGCTACTCAGGAGGCTGACGCAGGAAGATCGCTTGAGCCTGGGAGGTCAAGACTGCAGTGAGCTGTGATTGCGCTACTGCACTCCAGCCTGGGTGACAGAGTGAGATGCTGTCTCCAAAAATTAAATAATAAAATAATTTTAAAATTTAAACCCTTAGGCCGGGTGTGGTGGCTCATGCCTGTAATCCCAGCACTTTGGGAGGCCGAGGCGGGTGGATCACAACGCCAGGAGATCAAGACCATCCTGGCTAACACGGTGAAACCCCATCTGTACTAAACATACCAAAAATTAGCCGGGCTTGGTGGTGGGCGCCTGTCGTCCCAGCTACTCGGGAGGCTGAGGCAGGAGAATGGCGTGAACCTGGGTGGCGGAGCTTGCAGTGAGCCGAGATCACACCACTGCACTCCAGCCTGGGCGACAGGGCAAGACTCCATCTCAAAAAAAAAAAAAAAAAATTCAAGCCATTTAAGTAGTCCCCTCTTACAAGGCATTTATTTGCAATTCTTTGCTAACGTGGCCATGAGAGACTATCTCCAGAGACAGCCGCCATCACTTTCCATCCTGTTATGCCCCTGCCACTCCTCCGCCGAGTCTATTTCATCTCCTCTTCCCCTTGAATTTGGGTTGGGCTATGTGACTTGCTCTGACCAATGGAATGTGGCAGAAGAGCTACCATGTGACTTCCAAGCCAAGCATTTAAGAAGACAAGTAGCTTTTGCTAACTCTCTCTGAAGTCAGTTGCCATATGGGGAATAAAGACCACCATACCATGAGGGAGCCCAAACAGCCATGTGGAGAGAGAGATGACTCACTGGGGCTCCAGATATGTGAGTGGAGAATGTTCCACTTGTGGATATTCCAGCCCCAGAAAATCCTAGCTGAGCCCAGTGCAGATTCTCAAATTATGAGAAATGATAAGCTGTGGTTGTTTCAAACTCCTAAGTTTAGGGGCGGTTTGTTACACAGCACTAACTAACTGAAACACAGGTGTATGAACAACTCTGCCATAAGCTACTTTGGGGTCAAATCTTAGTGCACAGGTGCACACCTTTGATCATTTCCTAAAAACAAATAACTGGAAGTGGGTTCTGTGAATTTGAAATTTGGTGTCAACTTTGTTCCCAGAGAAGCTGTAGCAATGTCCATGAGCCATTCATTGGTGCATCCAGCATTTCATCCACAGCCTCTTCAGCACTGAGAGTTTCCTTTTCTTTTCCTAATTTTCAATTTCTATCATTTCAATAGGCCCATTTGCATTCATTCCAGAGAAGGTAACAGTGATGACAGCTTCTCTCTGATCATGGAGTGATAACCAAAAACCAGTAGGGCAGGTTGATTTGGAGCCAAGAGCCAAAATACTCATTCATTCAGAACTTACTGAGCAAGGTTTGGAGGAATGAAAACAACACATTAAATATTTATGGAGTCCTGGTGTGGTGGCTCACATCTGTAATCCCAGCACCAAGAGGCCGAGGCAGGTGTGAGGATCATTTGAGGCCATGAGTTCAACACCAGCTTGGACAACATAAGAGAAATTCTGTCTCTATAAAAACAGAAACAAAAATTAGCTGGGCGTGGTGGCTTGCGCCTATAGTCTCAGCTGCTTGGCAAGCTAAGGTGGGAGGATTGCTTGAACCCAGGAGGTCAAGGCTGCAGTGAGCCATGTTCACACCACTGTACTCTAGTCTGAGTGACAAGGCAAGACTCTACTTCAAAAAAAAAAGGAGACAAACTCACCTTCAACTCTTTCCCTCTGTTGACATCTCAGCGCTTTGGGAGGCCAAGGTAAGAGGGTTGCTTGACTCCAGGAATTTGAAACCAGCCTGGACAGCATAGTGAGACTCTGCCTCTACAAAATAAAAATAAATAAATAAAGTTGTTTTTCTTCTATTTCAGATCACTATCCACTTTAAGTCGTGGTTCTTGGCTGGGCATGGTGGCTCACACCTGTAATCCCAGCACTTTGGGAGGCAGAGGCAGGTGGATCACCTGAGGTCAGGAGTTCAAGACCAGCTTGACCAACATGCTGAAACCCCATCTCTACTAAAAATACAAAATTAGCCTGGCGTGGTGGCACGTGCATGTAATCCCAGCTACTTGGGAGGCTGAGGCAGGAGAATTGCTTGAACCTGCAAGGGAGAGGTGGCAGTGAGCTCAGATCACACCATTGCACTCCGGCCTAGGCAACAAGAGCGAAACCCCATCTCATAAAATAAAATAAATACAATAAAATAATAAAATAAAATAAAATAAATAAAATAAAATAAAACAGTGGTTCTCAGGCCAGCTGTGATGGCTCACACCTGTAATCTCAGCACTTTGGGAGGCCGAGGTGGGCAAATCACCTGAGGTCAGGAGTTTGAGACCAGCCTGGCCAACACGGTGGAACCCCATCTCTACTAAAAATACAAAAATTAGCCAGGCATGGTGGTTCATGCCTGTAGTCCCAGCTACTCAGGAGTTTGAGGCAGGAGAATCACTTGAACCCAGGAGGTGGAGGCTGCAGTGAGCCAAGATCACACCACTGCACCCCAGCCTGGACAACAGAGCAAGAGACCATCTCAAAAATAAAATAAAATAAAATAAAATAAATAAGTAAATAAATAAATAAATAGTGATTCTCAGCTGGGAGCGACTCTGCCCCCTGGAGGATACTTGGCAATGTCTGAGATACTTTTTACTGTTAGGGGGGCATTTTTTTTAATTGATGGGGGTAGGGGTGGGGGTGCTCCTGTTATCGAGTGGGTGGAGGCCAGAGATGCTGCTCAGCACCCTACAGTGGCCTGGGTGGCCTTTTGTACTTTCAAAGAATTCTCCAACTCAGATTTTCAATCGTGCCAAAGTTGAAAAACCCTACTTTAAGTGAAATGCAATAGAACAGGATCAAATAGAATAGAAAATATCAAAGGACATTGCTCAAATAATAAGTTTCATTTTATAAGACTTTTGTATTTTTGTGTACTCAGACACTATGTAAGATATGTTTCTCCTTGTGAGCCCTAATCAAAAAGGTTTAATGGGCTGAGTGCAGTGGCTCACGCCTGTAATCCCAGCACTTTGGGAGGCCAAGGCAGGAGGATTGCTCAAGCTCAGGAATTTGAGACCAGCCTCAGCAACATATCGATACCTTGTCTCTACAACAAAAACTTTAAAAACAGGAGAAGTGTCACTCCCTCTCCCTCTCCCTCTCCCCCCTCTCCCTTTCCCCACGGTCTCCCTCTCCCTCTCTTTCCACGGTCTCCCACTGATGCCGAGCCGAAGCTGGACTGTACTGCTGCCATCTCGGCTCACTGCAGCCTCCCTGCCTGATTCTCCTGCCTCAGCCTGCCGAGTGCCTGTGATTGCAGGCGCGCGCCACCACGCCTGACTGGTTTTCGTATTTTTTTGGTGGAGACGGGGTTTCGCTGTGTTGGCCGGGCTGGTCTCCAGCTCCTAAGTGCGAGTGATCCGCCAGCCTCGGCCTCCAGAGGTGCCGGGATTGCAGACGGAGTCTGGTTCACTCAGTGCTCAATGGTGCCCAGGCTGGAGTGCAGTGGCGTGATCTCGGCTTGCTACAACCTCCACCTCCCAGCCGCCTGCCTTGGCCTCCCAAAGTGCCGAGATTGCAGCCTCTGCCCGGCCGCCACCCTGTCTGGGAAGTGAGGAGCGTCTCTGCCTGGCCGCCCATCGTCTGGGACGTGAGGAGCCCCTCTGCCTGGCTACCCAGTCTGGAAAGTGAGGAGCGTCTCTGCCTGGCCACCACCCCATCTAGGAAGTGAGGAGCGCCTCTTCCCGGCCGCGACCCCATCTGGGAGGTGAGGAGCGTCTCTGCCCAGCCGCCCCGTCTGAGAAGTGAGGAGACCCTCCGCCTGGCAACCGCCCCATATGAGAAGTGAGGAGCCCCTCTGCCCAGCAGCCACCCCGTCTGGGAAATGAGGAGCGTCTCTGCCCGACAGCCACCCCACCCGGGAGGGAGGTGGGGGTCAGCCCCGCCAGGCCAGCCGCCCCGTCCGGGAGGGAGGTGGGGGGGGTCAGCCCCCCGCCCGGCCAGCCGCCCCGTCCGGGAGGTGAGGGGCGCCTCTGCCCGGCCACCCCTACTGGGAAGTGAGGAGCCCCTCTGCCCGGCCAGCCGCCCCGTCCAGGAGGGAGGTGGGGGGGTCAGCCCCCCACCCGGCCAGCCGCCCCGTCCGGGAGGGAGGTGGGGGGTTCAGCCCCCCGCCCGGCCAGCCGCTCCATCCGGGAGGGAGGTGGGGGGGTCAGCCCCCCGCCCGGCCAGCCGCCTCGGTCCGGGAGGTGAGGGGCGCCTCTGCCCGGCCACCCCTACTGGGAAGTGAGGAGCCCCTCTGCCCAGCCACCACCCCGTCTGGGAGGTGTACCCAATAGCTCATTGAGAACGGGCCATGATGACAATGGCGGTTTGGTGGAATAGAAAGGGGGGAAAGGCGGGGAAAGGATTGAGAAATCGGATGGTTGCCATGTCTGTGTAGAAAGAGGTAGACACGGGAGACTTTTCATTTTGTTCTGTACTAAGAAAAATTCTTCTGCCTTGGGATCCTGTTGATCGGTGACCTTACCCCCAACCCTGTGCTCTCTGAAACATGTGCTGTGTCCACTCAGGGTTAAATGGATTAAGGGCGGTGCAAGATGTGCTTTGTTAAACAGATGCTTGAAGGCAGCATGCTGGTTAAGAGTCATCACCACTCCCTAATCTCAAGTACCCAGGGACACAAACACTGCGGAAGGCCGCAGGGTCCTCTGCCTAGGAAAACCAGAGACCCTTGTTCACTTGTTTATCTGCTGACCCTCCCTCCACTATTGTCCTATGACCCTGCCAAATCCCCCTCTGCGAGAAACACCCAAGAATGATCAATAAAAAAATAAATAAAATAAATAAATAAATAAATAGACTGGACACCCTACTACCCATACCCAGTTTAAGATACAGATTACAACCAACACCGTTAAAGCCCTTTTGCATGCCCTTCTCCATCCCAGCCCCCTCCTAAATTTTGTTTATAATGATCTCGCTTTTCTTCATAATTTTACCTCCAAAATATGCATCTGTAAACAATATGCTGTTTTTGCAAGCTTTTGAACATTATATAAAATAAATCATACTGCATGTAAAAAAAAAAAAAAACTTTAAAAACATTAGCAGGTCCTGTTGGCGTGTGCCTGTGGTCCCAGCTACTTGGTAGACTGAGGTTGGGAGGATTCACCTGAGTCCAGAAGTATGAGGCTGCAGTGAGCTATGCACCAGAGCCAAACAAGATAGCAGAATGTTCTGCAGACAATAGAAAAAGAAACAAATGAATTAATGCAATTGTTTATGATGAAAGTCACACCAAGATGAAAATTAAACAAGGCAAATGTTCTAGAGTGCCTGGGATATTAGCAAAGGTGTTCAGGGAAGGCTTCTCTCAGGGATGACATCTGAGCTGAGACTTTTTTTTTTTTTTTTTTTTGAGATGGAGTCTCGCTCTGTCGCCCAGGCTGGAGTGCAATGGTGTAATCTTGGCTCACTGCAACTTCTGCCTCCCGGGTTCAAGCGATTCTCCTGCCTCAGTCTCTCCCAAGTAGCTGGGACTACAGGCGCAGGCCACCATGCCTGGCTAATTTTTGTATTTTTAGTTGAGACGGGGTTTCACCACGTTGGTCAGGCTGGTCTTGAACTCCTGACCTCAGGTGAGCCGCCCGCCTCCGCCTCCCAAAGTACTGGGATTACGGCCGTGAGCCACTCTGCCTGGCTTGACTCCAAGCAGAGTAAAGCAGAGGCTTTGTGGCTGGATTGAGCTTGATGTGTTTGGGGTGTGAAAAGCAGACCAGGGTAGGGAAGGAGATAAGGGGGGTCAGCAGGGGGGACGGGGAACCGCAGTTCAATTTAGGTTTCTCAGCCAAGCGCGGTGGTTCACACCTGTAATCTGAGGACTTTGGGAGGCTGACGCACATGGATCATTTGAGGTCAGGAGTTCGAGACCAGCCTGGCCAACATGGTGAAACCCCATCTCTACTAAAAATACAAAACTTATCTGGGCGTGATGGTGGGTGCCAGCTACTCAGGAGGTCGAGGCCCGAGAATCGCTTGAACCGGAGAGGCAGAGGCTTCAGTGAGCCGAGATCGCTTCACTGCACTCCAGCCTGGATGACAGAGTGAGACCCCGTCTCAAAAAAAAAAAAAAATTAGCTTTTTTGGGGATCTCTTAGAGTGAAGAATAGTGAAGAAGAGACAGTAGGTCACAGTGACGTGGGTGATACTGGAGCACCTGTTAGGGAGCTATTAACAATGAAGAAGGTGAAAAGCAGTTGCAATGGGGAGAAGTGAAGCTGATTAAACAAAGGGAGACAGGGAACACATCTAAGAGGACCCCGCCATCCCACGTCAGAGGCAGGGCAGGCAGGGGGTGCAGGGCAGCGTCCGGAGGAGTGAAGGAGTGGAGGAGTGGAGGAGTGGCTGCAGGGATGGTGGCAGCTGTTGTCCTGGCCCTTCTCCCCAGGGCGGGGGCAGGAGCTGCAGCCCTGGGGCAACCGGCCGGGCAGGGCCACCCACCTGACTCACAGCAGAAACTGGGACAGCAGCTGCCCTCCTACCTCCTCAATCCCAGCTGGAAATAAAAGTAAGATTCCAGACCTCTGGCCAACACCCTCTGAGCCCAAATGCCGGCTTTCCACCGTGAGGCCCTGCCTGCCAGCGCTGGCTGCCATGTGGGCTTTCTGCTTTGCGGACCTGCAAGGTATTCTCCTAACTCTGTCACCTTCAACTCCCTCCCTCTGTCTTACTCCTGATTCTACAAAACTGGGAGTGTCTGTGTCCCCTTCTATCTCCCCATCGGACTGCAGTCCCCTCGAGGTTACAGAGGGCACAAAATTATTCTTATCTAGGGTACCCAGCATCAAGTTTAAGAGTCCAGTGTCCCAGCTACTTGGGAGGCCGAGGCAGGAGAATGGCGTGAACCTGGGAGGCGGAGCTTGCAGTGAGCCGAGACCGCACCACTGCACTCCAGCCTGGGCGACAGAGCGAGACTCCATCTCAAAAAAAAAAAAAAAAGAGTCCAGTGGCCGGGCGCAGTGGCTCACGCCTGTAATCCCAGCACTTTGGGAGGCTGAGGCGGGTGGATCACCTGAGGTCGCGAGTTCGAGACTAGCCTGACCAACATGGAGAAACCCCGTCTCTACTTAAAATACAAAATTAGCTGGGCGTGGTGGTGGGCGCCTGTAATCCCAGCTACTCGGGAGGCTAAGGCAGAAGAATTGCTTGAACCTGGGAGGCGGAGGTTGTGGTGAGCCGAGATTGTGCCATTGCACTCCAGCCTGGGCAACAAGAGCAAAACTCTGTCTCAAAAAAAAAAAAAAAAAGAGTCCAGCTGGGCATGATGGTTCATGTCTCAGCAGTTTGGAAGGCTGAGGCAGGAGGATCACTTAAGTCCAGGAGTTCAAGACCAGCCTGGGCAACATAGGGAGACCCTGTCTCTACAAAAAATTTTAAAATTAGCCAGATGTGGTGACATGCACCTCTAGTCCTAGCTACTTGGGAGGCTGAGGTGAGAGGATAGCTTGAGCCCAGAGGTTCAAGGCTGCAGTGAGCTCTGATCACACCACTGTGCTCCAGCCTGGGTGACAGAGCGAGACACTGACTCAAAACAAAAAAAGAGTCTACCGCTTACTGCTTGGTAAACTTCTTATACATCAAAATCCACTTCAGGAGTCTCTCTGAATCTGCTGTGATTTTTTTTTTTTTTTTGAGATAGAGTTTTGCTCTTGTTGCCCAGGCTGGAGTACAGTGGTGTGATCTCGGCTCTCTGCAACCTCTGCCTCCTGGGTTCAAGTGATTCTCCTGACTCAGCCTCCCAAGTAGCTGGGATTACAGGCATTCACCACCATGCCGAGATAATTTTGTATTTTTAATAGAGACGGAGTTTCACTGTGTTGGTCAGGCTGGTCTCAAACCCCTGTCCTTAGGTGATCCACATGTCTTGGGCTCCCAAAGTGCTGGGATTGCAGGCATGAGCCACCACAACACCTCGCCTGAATCTGCTGTGATTCGAAGGACTGCCCCGGGAAAAAAAAGAAAAAAACACTTCAAGTAGACTCCCATGTGGGAGGACCTGAAGACTTCTCAGACTTCCATGGTCCCTGATCTAACACAGCAATAAATCATTCAAACTGAGCACTTTTTACACATTTTTGGACCCTTTCTGAGGACTTTCTGCACAAACCTAGGAGGTAGGTTATCATTATCCCCACTCTGCAGATGCCTCCAAAGCCCTCTACCTACCTCCTTTATCACCTCTTCATCTCTTGGTTCAATGTGTATTTAATGAGCACCTACTGTGTGTCAGGCACTATTCTAGACTTTGGGGATGAAGCAGTGGGCACCTCTTAGATAGTGACATTGAACTGAATGATGAAAAAGAATCTGGCTTGAGAAGGTGTGGCAAAAAAGAGAAGTCCCAACATTACCAGCAATCTTCCTACTTCCACCATTTTGCCCATTCTTTTTCCTCTGCTGGAAATGCCTTTCCCCAGCTAACAAACTCCTACTTATCCTGCAAAGCCCAATTCCAATACCTGCTTCTCCTAGGAATGCTTTCCGGTCTGATCTCCAGGAAGAATCCACAACACCCTTCTCTGGGCTCCCACAATCTACTCCACAGGTGGCCAAAAAATGAATGAGGAGGTCTCAGTAGAAGTCGGCCACACCAGGCTGGAAGCTCTTCAAGGCCAAGACCCAGGCTAAGTCCTCTCTGGGACCCCTCTTCCAAGATGAGCTGTGGGAACACTGCAGCTTTTTTTTTTTTTTTTGAGACGGTGTCTGGCTCTGTCGCCCAGGCTGGAGTGCAGAGGCGCCATCTCAGCTCACTGCAAGCTCCACCTCCCAGGTTCACACCATTTTCCTGCCTCAGTCTCCTGAGTAGCTGGGACTACAGGTGCCCGTCACCTCGCCCGGCTAATTTTTTGTATTTTTAGTAGAGACGCGGTTTCACCGTGTTAGCCAGGATGGTTTCGATCTCCTGACCTCGTGATCCGCCCACCTCAGCCTCCCAAAGTGCTAAGATTACAGGCGTGAGCCACTGTGCCCGGCCCTGCAGCTATTTTTAAAATAAGGAATAAGTGGGGTGTGGTGGCTCATGCCTGTAGTCCCAGCACTTTGGGAGGCAAAGGTGGGAGGATCACTTGAGGCCAGGAGTTTGAGACCAGCCTGGGCGACATAGTAAGACCCCATCTCTAATACATATATATATATATTTGCCAGATGTGGTAGCACACAACTGTAGTCCCAGCTACTCTGGAGAGCAAGGTGGGAGGGAGGGTTGCTTGGGCCCAGAAATTTGAGGCCACATTGAGCTAGGATGGCGCCACTGCACTCCAGCCTGGGCCACAGAGTGAGATTCTGTCTCAAAAAAATAAAAATAAATAAAGCAGAAACAGTAGAAAACGAAGACGAGGCCGGGCGCGGTGGCTCACGCCTGTAATCCCAGTACTTTGGGAGGCCGAGGTGGGAAGATCACGAGGTCAGGAGTTCAAGACCAGCCTGGCCAAGGTGAAACCCATCTCTACTAAAAATAACAAAATTAACCGGGTGCAGTGGTGTGCATCTGTAATCCCAGCTACTGGGGCAGCTGAGCCAGGAGAATGGCTTGAACCCAGAAGGCAGAGGTTGCAGTGACCCAACATCGTGCCACCGCACTCCAGCCTGGGTGACAGAGCAAGACTCCGTCTCAAAAAAAAAAAAAAAAGAAGACGAATTGGTCGGTAAGGGGACTCGAACTGGAGACTCTAAAACTTCTCCAGCCCTGCCCACTCAATTTACTTCATTGGCTCCTCCCTTTCAGGCTCCGTCCCTATCCCCGCCTCACCCTTAATGGCGCCCGCCCAGACTCCTGGAAGTGAGCGGCCTAGCGAGCGAGCTCCCAGGCGCAAAGCACGCCGGAAGCTGTAGTTCCGCCATCGGACGGAAGCCGACCGGGGCGTGCGGAGGGATGTGGCCCGGAATATTGGTAGGGGGGGCCCGGGTGGCGTCATGCAGGTACCCCGCGCTGGGGCCTCGCCTCGCCGCTCACTTTCCAGCGCAGCGGCCGCCGCAGCGGACACTCCAGAACGGCCTGGCCCTGCAGCGGTGCCTGCACGCGACGGCGACCCGGGCTCTCCCGCTCATTCCCATCGTGGTGGAGCAGACGGTACGGCGGCCGGGCGGGGACACGGTTCGGGGGCTCCGGGCTGGGTGGGGATCGGCTGGCTGCCCCGGCCCCTCACCTCCATCTTTCTACCCCCAGGGTCGCGGCGAGCGCGCCTATGACATCTACTCGCGGCTGCTGCGGGAGCGCATCGTGTGCGTCATGGGCCCGGTGAGCGCCCCGCGCCGGGACCCTCCCCAGGACTCTCCCAAGCGCCTGCCGACACTCCCTGCGCCCCTCCTTCCCTGGCCCCAGACTTTCCCTCAGGCTCCGCTCCCCTTCTAACCCCCTTCCCTCCCCTTCTGACTCCCCTCCTGGCTCCCGGTCCCCCAACCCGCTCCTCACCCCTTCTCTGCTCCTCGGCTCTTAATCTCCGACTTCCTTCCTGACACCTGGCACCGCTCCCCTCATTCCTACGCTCAAGACTCTCCCCAGCCATTCTCACCCCTTCCTTTCCTGTGTCCCTAGCCCCCTGACTCCCCCCTTCCTGTGCTCCAAACCCCCTGGGTCCTCTCCACTACTCTCTCCCCATCCCCTTCTGGGGCCTAAATTCTTCCCCATCCCTTTTACTTTGGGCTCTGGTCCCCCTTCCTGGTTCCCTGACCCATCCCCAGCCTCCCTTAAAACTCTCTCCCCACCCCGAATCTGGGGACACCCCTGCCCTCTCCACCTGCAGATCGATGACAGCGTTGCCAGCCTTGTTATCGCACAGCTCCTCTTCCTGCAATCCGAGAGCAACAAGAAGCCCATCCACATGTACATCAACAGCCCTGGTGAGCAGGGTCTTTCCTGGGTGCCAGGGGCACTCGTCAGGGCACACGGGTGACTCAGGGGACCAGAATCCCGGGTCAGGGATGTTCTCTCTCTGGGAAAGGGTGCAGAGCGTCAGAGTTCCAGAAGTGGCTTTAAACCACCAAAAGGTGCCTGTTGCTGGCTTTTGAGCCTCGGTTCACAAGTCAGGATGTGGCCTCTTTGATCCTGCACATACTGTTCTGCCAACCTGACCCGGCTGACATTTAAAAATTGGTAGATTTTAGGCCGGGCACAGTGGCTCACACCGGTAATCCCAACACTTTGGGAGGCTGAGGCGGGCGGATTGCTCGAGCTCAGGAGTTCAAGACCAGCCTGGGTAACGTAGTGAGACCCCATCTCTACAAAAAAAGTACAAAGATTAGCCGGGCAATGTGGCGTGTGCCTGTAGTCCCAGCAACTCGGAAGGCTGAGGGAGAAGGATCACTTGAGCCCAGGAGGTCGAGGCTGTAGTGAGCCCATCTCAAAAATAATCATAATTGGTAGATTTTTTCCCCCTCCCCAAAAAAAGTAGTCAATTTTGATTGAGCACTTATGATGGAGGCATTTTTTTTTTTTTTTATTGAGATGGAGTCTCGTTCTGTCACCCAGGCTGGAGTGCAGTGTTGCAATCTCAGCTCACTGCAACCTCTGCCTCCTTGGGTTCAAGCGATTCTCCAGCTTCAGCCTCTCAAGTAGCTGGGGATTACAGGCATGTGCCACCATGCCTGTCTAATTTTTTGTATTTCGTAGAGATGATGTTTCACCATGTTAGGCTGGTCTTGAACTCCTGACCTCAAGTGATCCACCCGCCTCAGCCTCCCAAAGTGCTGGGATTACAGGCATGAGCCACCACGCCTGGCCTGATTTCTAGTTTCTCTTGGAAATTTAGTAGATCTGATCCCATGGTCCACTGGCACATCTGGCAAGAGTCAGCTGACTGTAAAGCAAGCGCTCTGCCTTTTGCCTGCACCTGGGCCGTGTCACTTGTTTTTGTCACCTCCCAACCCCTGGAAGCATTTGTGTTTGTGAACCCTGCTTTAAAGAGCTGCTTCTAGACCGGACGCAGTGGCTTACGCTTGTCATTCCAGCACTTTGGGAGGCTGAAGTGGGCTGATCACTTGAGGTCAGGAGTTTGAGAGCAGCCTGGCCAACGTGGTGAAATCCCATCTCTACTAAAAATACAAAAATTAGCCGGGCATGGTGGTGTACTTGTAATCCAGCTACTCGGGAGGCTGAGGCAGGAGAATTGCATAAACCCGGGAGGTGGAGGTTGCAGTGAGCTGAGATCGCGCTACTGCACTCCAGCCTACGTGACAGTGAGACTCAGTCTCAAAAAAAAAAAAATAGCTGCTTCTGGCTGGGCATGGTGGCTCACACGTGTAATCCCAACACTTTGGGAGGATTGCTTGAGCCCAGGAGTTCGAGATCAGCCTGGGCAACATAGTGAAAGCAGTGAAACCCAGTCTTAATTTTTTTTTTTTTTTTTTGAGATGGAGTCTCGTTCTGTCGCCCAGGCTGGAGTGCGGTGGCGCTATCTCGGCTCACTGCAACCTCCGCCTCCCGGGTTCACGCCATTCTGCTGCCTCAGCCTCCGGAATAGCTGGGACTACAGGCACCCGCCACCACGCCCGGCTAATTTTTTGTATATTTAGTAGAGACGGGGTTTCACTGTGTTAGCCAGGATGGTCTTGATTTCCTGACCTTGTGATCCGCCTGCCTCAGCCTCCCAAAGTGCTGGGATTGCAGGCATGAGCCACAGCGCCCAGTCATATTAATTTTTAAAAAAGGAGGGGGGCTGCATCTGTTCCACCCTCCCCAGGTTTAGGAGATGGAATAGGGAAAGGGTCGGGGGGAGCTGGTCCAGCCCCTCACTTGCTCCCCCGCCCACAGGTGGTGTGGTGACCGCGGGCCTGGCCATCTACGACACGATGCAGTACATCCTCAACCCGATCTGCACCTGGTGCGTGGGCCAGGCCGCCAGCATGGGCTCCCTGCTTCTCGCCGCCGGCACCCCAGGCATGCGCCACTCGCTCCCCAACTCCCGTATCATGATCCACCAGCCCTCAGGAGGCGCCCGGGTGAGTGCCAGACACGCGAGCTGCTGTTGGGAATCAGGACAGGGTCTAGACAGAAGGACTGACTGGGCGGAAGTCAAGCGTGGGAGGGGATGTTTTTTTTTTTTTTTGAGATGGAGTCTCACTTTGTCGCCCAGGCTGGAGTGCAGTGGTGCGATCTCGGCTCACTGCAAGCTCCGCCTCCTGGGTTCACGCCATTCTTCTGCCTGAGCCTCCTGAGTAGCTGGGACTACAGGCGCCCGCCACCACGCTCGGCTTTTTGTATTTTTAGTGGAGACGGGGTTTCACCATGTTAGCCAGGATGGTCTCGATCTCCTGACCTCGTGATCCGCCCACATTGGCCTCCCAAAGTGCTGGAATTACAGGCGTGAGCCACCGCGCTGGGCCAGCCGGGAGTGGATGTCTTAAAATGTGCAGGCCAGGCTGGGTGTGGTGGCTCACGCCTGTAATCCTAGCACTTCGGGAGACAGAGGCGGGAGGATCACGTGAGCTCAGGAGTTCGAGGCCAGCCAGGGGAACATAATGAGACCTTGTCTCTATTAAAGAAAAAAAAAAAAAAGGCCAGGCATGGTGGCTCACGCCTGTAAATCTTGACACTTTGGGAAGCTGGAGCAGGTGGATCATTTGAGGTCAGGAATTCTAAACCAGCCTGGCCAACATGATGAAACCCCGTCTCTACTAAAAATACAAAAATTAGCTGGGCATGGTGGTGCGTGCCCATAATCCCAGCTGTTTTGGGAGGCTGAGATAGGAGAATCACTTGAACCCAGGAGGTGGAAGTGAGCTGAGATTGCGCCACTGCACTCAAGCCTGGATGACAGAGCAAGACTCTGTCTCAAAACAACAAAGGGAAAAAAAGAAAATGCACTGAGGAGTTGTTTGCTGTCTCTTGAGAATTAGCTTCAGCTGGGCACAGTGGCTCACATCTGTAATCCCAGCACTTTGGGAGGCCAAGGCAGGAGGATCACTTGAGGCCAAGAGTTTAAGACCAGCCTGGGCAATGGTGAGACCCCATCTCTACCAAATATTTAAAATGACTCGGGCATGGTTATGCTTGCCTCTGGTCCCAGCTACTCAGGAGGCTGAGGTGGGAGGATTGCTTGAGCCTGTGAGGTGAAGGCTGCAATGAGCTGTCTTGTACCACTGCATTCCAGCCCCAGCAACAGAGGAAGACCCTGTCTCAAAAAAAAAAAAAGGCGGCCAGGCATGGTGGCTCATGCCTGTAATCCCAGCACTTTGGGAGGCCGAGACAGGAGGATCACTTGAGGCCGGGAGTTTGAGACCAGTCTGGGCAACATAGCAAGACCCCATCTCTAAAAAAAAAAAACAAAAAACAAACAAAAAAAAGGCTTAGCTAATGCTGAGACAGAGAGACACTGTTCCTCCCAGTCTGCAAGGCTTCAGATGCAGAAAATAACATATACTTAATCCAGTCAGAAAGCCTTCCTGGTAGTGGCAAGACTGAAGCAGGATATCGGGGGATTTACACAACCCCAGCCCACCAGCCTCAAACCGGAAGCCCAAAGCCCAGGGAAGCTCCTGAGTGCCACCTCCAGCCTCCCTGTGAGGGGCTGACGCCGATACCAACCTTTACCCCCTCACTCCCTTGGACGTCCCTCAGGGCCAAGCCACAGACATTGCCATCCAGGCAGAGGAGATCATGAAGCTCAAGAAGCAGCTCTATAACATCTACGCCAAGCACACCAAACAGAGCCTGCAGGTGATCGGTAAGCACCCTCCTTTATTTCATCCTGGTCCGTGCACAGACGGACCAGGCGTTGCTCTAAGCCAGGGCTTCTCCACCTGGCCCCTGCGGACTTTCAGGGCTGGATCGTTCTCTGGGATGGGGGGACCATCCCAGAGGTCAGCCTGGCCAACATGGTGAAATCCCATCTCTACTAAAAATACTAAAAATGGTGTACTTGTAATCCAGTTACTCGGGAGGCTGAGGCAGGAGAATCTGTGGAATATGAGAGTTTGAGGTTACAGTGAGCTAATTTTTTTGTTTGTTTGTTTTTTTGAGACAAGGTCTGGCTCTGTCGCTCAGGCTGGAATGCAGTGGCATGATCTCGGCTCATTGCAACCTCTGCCTCCTGGGCTCAAGCAATTCTCCTGCCTCAGCCTCCTCAGTAGCTGGGACTACAGGGATGCACCACCATGCCTGGCTAATTTTTTGTAGAGACGTGGTTTCACCATGTTGCCCAGGCTGGTCTCAAACTCGTGAGCTCAAGTGATCCAGCTGCCTCAGCCTCCCAAAGTTCTGGGATTACAAGTGTGAGCCACCACGCCCAGCCATAATTTTATTAAAATCAAAAAGTGAGGCCAGGTGTGGTGGCTCACACCTGTAATCCCAGCACTTTGGGAGGCTGAAGTGGGAGGATCACTTGAGTTCAGGAGTTCAAGACCAGCCTGGGCAATATAGTGAAACCCCATTTCATAGAAAAGAAAAAAAAATTTTAGCTGGGCACCATGGCTCACGCCTGTAGTACCAGCACTTTGGGAGGCCGAGGTGGGCGGATCACGAGGTCAGGAGTTCAAGACCAGCCTGACCAACATGGTGAAACCCCGTCTCTACCAAAAATACAAAAACTAGCCAGGTGTGTTGGCACACGCCTGTAATCCCAGCTACTGAGGAGGCTGAGGCATGAGAATCGCTTGAACCTGAGAGGCGGAGGTTGTAGTGAGTCGAGATTGCACCACTGCACTCCAGCCTGGGTGACAAAGTGAGACCCTGTCTCAAAAAAAAAAAAAAAAAAAAAGTGAATGTTCCACAGCATCACAGATGAATTTTGCAAATATGTTGCATGAAAGAAGAATAAACACTCTGTGATTCCATTTATTTAAACTATAAAAACAAGGAGAGCTAATTTATGCTGTTAGAGGAGTGGTTGCTTTGGGGTATGGGGAGGGGGTGGCAAGGATTAGTGACTGTCGTGGGCCCAAGTGGGGTTTCAGGGGTGCTGGCATTATTCCATCTCTTGGTCTGGGTGCTGGTCCTGTAGGGTATGTTCAGTCTGAAAATCCATCCCACCAGACATTTACGAATCATGCCCTTTCCTGGGTGTATATTATACATCAATAACAATTTTTTTTTTTTTTTGAGATGGAGTCTTGCTTTGTTGCCCAGGCTGGAGTGCAGTGGTGCAGTCTCCACCTCCCAGATTTAAGTGATTCTCATACCTCAGCCTCCCTAGTAGCTGGGATTACAGGCGTGTGCCACCACACCTGGCTCATTTTTGTATTTTTAGTAGAGACAGGGTTTCACCATGTTGGCCATGGTGAAACTTTGAAGGCCAATGGTGAAACATGAGGCCAAACTCCTGGCCTCAAGTGGTCCACCCACCTCTGCCTCCCAAAGTGCTGGGATTACAAGTGTGAGCCACCGTGCCTGGCCCAATAACAATTTTTTAAAAAACAAAATTGAAATTGGTATTTTACTGATACCTAGGGGAAACTGAGGCACTGCAGAATGAGGACATGTCTCAGTCAGCTTGAGCTGCTTAACAAAACACCACAGACCTCAACAGAGATTTATGTCTCACAGTTCTGGGGGCTGGGAAGTCCAAGGTCAGGGTGCCAGCTGATTCGGTTCTTGGTGAGTGCTCTCTTCCTGGCTTGCAGACGGCCGCCTTCTCGCTGTGTCTTCACATGGTGGAGAGAGAGCAAGTGCACTGGTGTCTCCTCTTATAAGGCCACTAATCCCATCAAGGGGCCCCTGACCCCATCTCTCCTAATGACTTCCCAAGGACCCCATCTCCAAATCCCATCCCACTAGGGGATGGGGCTTCAACATATGAACTTGGGGTGGTGGGCACAAACATTCAGGCCAAAACAGGACCCAGACCTGGCCCTGGGTCTCTGCTCTTACCCTAATGTGTCTCACCTCCTGCTTCCCCACCAGAGTCCGCCATGGAGAGGGACCGCTACATGAGCCCCATGGAGGCCCAGGAGTTTGGCATCTTAGACAAGGTTCTGGTCCACCCTCCCCAGGACGGTGAGGATGAGCCCACGCTGGTGCAGAAGGAGCCTGTAGAAGCAGCGCCGGCAGCAGAACCTGTCCCAGCTAGCACCTGAGAGCTGGGCCTCCTCTCCAGAATCATGTGGAGGGGCCAGAGGCCTGCCAGACCCCCAGCTGGGCCCTGCTCACCCCTTGTTGCTGGGCTTGGAGGGGCCTCTTGAGGAACTTTTAATTTGCAGGGGTGCCCGCTATGGACGGGGCATTCCAGCTGAGACACTGTGATTTTAAATTAAATCTTTGTGGTCTTTGCTCTGCGTCTGGGACACCCTCCCTTCTGCACCATGACAGCGTGTACACATCTGTGTTTCACAGGCCCCTTCTGCTTTTGTCCTGACCCCAAGAGGCAAGCCATGTCTTCCTTCAACAGATTCTCCTGATCATATCCTATATTCCAGGCAGTGTTCTTTTGTGAAGAAGACACAAGAAACCCTCCTCAAAAGAGCTCCATTCTTGTGGCAGTAGACAGTTACTAAAAAAAACAAAACAGGCCAGGCGCGCTGGCTCACGCCTGTAATCCCAGCACTTTGGGAGCCCGAGGCAGGCGGATCATGAGGTCAGGAGATCGAGAACATCCTGGCTAACATGGTGAAACCCCATTTCTACTAAAAATACAAAAATTAGCCGAGCGTGGTGCACCTGTAATCCCAGCTACTCCGGAGGCTGAGGCAGAAGAATTGCTTGAACTTAGGAGGTGGAGGTTGCAGTGAGCAGGATCACGCCACTGCCCTTTAGCCTGGGCAACAGAGCAAGGCTCTGTCTCAAAAAAAAAAAAAAACAAAAACAGGAAAGGTGGCATGCAAGTGTGAGGGTAAGCGTGTTACAGTTTTTTATGGGGTAATCAGGGAAGCCCTCACTGAGAAGGTGGTGGTTGAGCAAAGCCTCAAAGGAGGTGAGGGGTGGAGCCTGTGTCCAGGCAGAGGGCACAGCCAGTGCAAAGGCCCTGTGACAGGACTGTACCTGGCATGTGAGGACCTATGAGGAGGCCCGTGGCTGAGGGAAGGTGGAAGAGAGGAGATCAAAAAGTAGAGGTGAAAATTAGCCAGGCGTGATGGTGCACTTGAACCCGGGAGGCAGAGGTTGCAGTGAGCCAAGATCACGCCACTGCACTCCAGCCTGGGCAACAAAGCGAGATTCTGTCTCCAAAAAAAAAAAAGTGGAGGTGATTGAGAATAGATCATAAAAGGCCTGACATCTAAAAGGAGGGATGTGAACCATGGAGGGTTTTGAGAAGAGGAAGGAAAATAAGGATGACTATGACTCCTGAGGAGTGCACCATGAGCAGAAACTGGAGAGCAGTTAGGATAGTTGGAGTAATCTAGACGAAAGCTGATGGCAGCCCTGGCCGAGTGATGAGAAAAAGTCAGATTCTAGCTAGGTGGGATGTGACAGAGAGCAGTTTCCAGAAACTCCGAGCTGATGGCCCAAAGCAGGAAGATGGAGACCTGTCGCCTGAGATGGGAAGTGTAGGCAAAGGAACAGGCTTGGGGAGGGATCAGGAGTTGATTTTGGATATATTATACCTGATGTTTTGATATGTCCCTCGACATCAGGGTCAAGAGGTTGAAATAAAAACGTAGGTGTCATCGGCCGGGCGCGGTGGCTCACGCCTGTAATCCCAGCACTCTGGGAGACCGAGGCGGGCGGATCACGAGGTCAGGAGATCAAGACCATCCTGGCTAACAGTGAAACCCCGTGTCTACTAAAAATACAAAAAATTAGCTGGGCGTGGTGGCAGGCGCCTGTAGTCCCAGCTACTCGGGAGGCTGAGGCGGCAGAATGGCGTGAACCTGGGAAGCGGAGCTTGCAGTGAGCGGAGCTTGCAGTGAGCGGAGATCGCGCCACTGCACTCCAGCCTGGGCGACAAAGCGAGACTCTGTCTCAAAAAAAACAAAATGTAGGCGGCATCAGCATGTAGGCTCATTAACAGTCAGACTGAGACCTGGCTATTGGATTCGGCATTGTGGATGTCACTGGTGGCCTTAAATCAGGCCTTTTCTGGTGCTGTGGGAGCCAAAAGCCAGGCTGGAGTGGATCCAGAAAGGATAGGAGGAAACATATCAGACATAGACAAGTCTTTCGAGGAATTACACTATCAAGGGGAGCAGAGGGTGGGGGGGCAGATGTAGCTGGAGGGAGAAATGGGGTCAATATTTTTCAAAATGCAAGCATTCGGGCCGGGGTCGGGGGGGCGCTACGCTCAGCAGTTACAGTGTTGCAGTTTGCATTATGCACATTTAAAATACATACAAAAGTACCCAGAGCTTTGAGAGGCTGAGGGGAGAGGATCACCTGAGCCCAAGAGTTCCAGGCTGCAGTGAGCTATGATCGTGCCCTTGCACTCCAGCCTGGGCAATAGAGGGAGAAAATAATAAAATAAAGGCCGGGCATGGTGGCTCAGGCCTATAATCCCAGCACTTTGGGAGGCCGAGGCAGACGGGTCACCTGAGATCAGGAGTTTGAGATCAGCCTGGCCAATGTGGTGAAACCCTGTCTCTACTAAAAATACAAAAAATTAGCCGGGCGTGGTGGCAGGCGCCTGTAGTCCCAGCTACTCGGGAGGCTGAGGCAGGAGAATGGTGTGAACCCGGGAGGCAGAGCTTGCAGTGAGCCAAGATCCCGCCACTGCACTTCAGCCTGGGTGACAGAGCGAGACTGTGTGTCAAAAAAAAAAAAACCCAAAAACCAAAAAAATAAAAAACAAAAATTAGTTGGGCGTGGTGGCAGCTTCCCGTAATCCCAGCTACTCGGGAGGCTGAGGCAGGAGAATCGCTTGAACCCGGAAGGCAGAGGTTGCAGTGAGCCAAGACCGCACCATTGCACTCCAGCCTGAGTGACAAGAGCGAAATTCGGTCTCAAAAACAAACAAAACAAAAAAGCTGGGCATGATGGTTCGTTGCCTGTAATCCCAGCTACTCGGGAGGCTGAGGCATGAGAATCACTTAAACCCCAGAGGCAGCGGTTGCAAATCTTCAGGGCCTGAGATCGTGCCACTGCGCTCCAGGTTGGGCGACAGAGTGAGACTCTGTCTCAAAAATAAACAAATAAAAATAAATATAAACAAAAGTAGAGAAAACAGGGTAATGAGACCCCACGTACTTATCACACCAATTCAACAATTAATTCACGGTCAAAGATGATTCTTCCCTACCCGCCCCCTCCCTGCCCCCACAGCCTGGATTTATGTGGAAGCAAATCCCAGAGATCTTTTTTCTGTAAATATTTTTTTTTCAGTTTGCGTTTGTAAAAAACGATGACTCTTTTTTTTTTTTTTGAGACAATGTTTTGCTGTGTCGCCCAGGCTGGAGTGCAGTGGCGGGATCTCTGTTCACTGCAACCTCCGCCTCCTGGGTTCAAGCAATTCTCCTGCCTCAGCCTCCTGAGTCGCTGGGATTACAGGCACGCGCGCCACCAAGCTCGGCTCATTTTTTGTATTTTCAGTAGAGACGGGTTTTCACCATGCTGGCCAGGCTGGTCTCGAACTCCTGACCTCAGGTGATCCACCCGCCTCGGCCTCCCGAAGTGCTGGGATTACAGGCGTGAGCCACCACGCCCGGCCGAGGAATCAAAAAGACAACCATAATGCCATTTTCAAACCTAAAGTAATAGTGATACGGAGACGGGGAAATGAATGATACCTCGCTCTGACCTTTGACCATAAGCCCTAACTCTGGATAGCTGGCCCCACCACACACATAATCGTGGCCTTGACGTCAGTCCCCTGACCCCGGACCCTTATCTCGGCCTGACTGTACTCTGCCCTTAACCTCTAGCCCTAGTCGACTCCATAACCGTGGCCTTGGCCCCAGTCCCCCTGACTTCCGGACTTCAGACCAGATACTGCCCATATCCCCTTATGAAGTCTTGGCCAGGCAACCCCTAGGGTGTACGTTTTCTAATGATTAAAGAGGCGGTGCTAAGCTGCAGACGGACTTGCGACTCAGCCACTGGTGTAAGTCAGGCGGGAGGTGGCGCCCAATAAGCTCAAGAGAGGAGGCGGGTTCTGGAAAAAGGCCAATAGCCTGTGAAGGCGAGTCTAGCAGCAACCAATAGCTATGAGCGAGAGGCGGGACTCTGAGGGAAGTCAATCGCTGCCGCAGGTACCGCCAATGGCTTTTGGCGGGGGCGTTCCCCAACCCTGCCCTCTCTCATGACCCCGCTCCGGGATTATGGCCGGGACTGGGCTGCTGGCGCTGCGGACGCTGCCAGGGCCCAGCTGGGTGCGAGGCTCGGGCCCTTCCGTGCTGAGCCGCCTGCAGGACGCGGCCGTGGTGCGGCCTGGCTTCCTGAGCACGGCAGAGGAGGAGACGCTGAGCCGAGAACTGGAGCCCGAGCTGCGCCGCCGCCGCTACGAATACGATCACTGGGACGCGGTGAGACCGGCAGCGCCGGGGGCGAGGGACGGGGGCTCGTCGGGGGCGCGGCCTGGGGACGTGGAGCATCAGATGGGGCGGGGACACGCTGGGGGCGGTACCTAGAGCGGGGATTTGGAGCGGGGACAGAGGAGACGAGCGCCGGGACCGGGCAGGGCCACACTGGGGGCGGTTACAGTACCGTTTAGCGTGGGGGCGGGGCTACGGTGCTGGGGTTGTGGGGCCAGGGGGGTCGGGCGCAGGGATGGGGCGGGGCCACGCTGGGGCGGGGACAAAGGAGACAGCGCAGGGATGGGGCGGGGGCACTCTGGGGGCGGGACAGGAGGCGAGCGTAGGGACGGGGCGTGGCCACGCTGGGGGCGGGGACAGTGGGGACCAGTGCTGGGATGGGGCGTGGCCACGCTTGGGGGCGGTTACAGCGCAGTCGAGCGTGGGGGTGGGGCCAGGGAGTCGGGTGTAGGGTTGGGGTGCGATTACGCTGCTAGCAGTTACAGTGCAGAAGAACGTGGCGGCTGGGATTGGGGCGTGGTCAGGTCGTCGAGCGCATGGATGGGGCGGGGCCAAGCTTGGGGCGGGGTCCGTGGAGTCAAGCGCCGGGATGGGTTGGGGCCATGCTGTGGGGGGGACGGGGAAGTCGAGGTTTAGAGAGGGCAGAACCACGCTGGGGGCGGAGATAGGGGAGACACATGCTGGGATGGGGCAGGGCCTTTTTGGGGTCGGTAGCTATTGCAGGGATTTGGGAGCTGGGCTATGGTGGGGGCTGGGCTGAAACTCTGGCTGTGGGAGGGGCGGGACCTGGGGGATGAGGACCTTGGGGTCAGGGAGAGCACTTTTGCGACCTGGGACCAAGGTTAGGGGCGGAAACGGATGTGGAGCCAGATGATGTTGAGAGACAGAGACAGGACACTTGGGTGGGGTCAAGTTGTAGGGAGATTCAGCCAATTGAATGCTGGGGCCGGGCCAGCATTGGGGACCTGGAATTGTAGCCTCAGGGTGAGTACTAAGGACTGAGGTCACACCTAGGTAGGGCCATAGTTGAGGGGCTAGGGGAGTTTGAGTTGAGGGCAGGGTCAAGAGTCACATAGGGAAACCAGCCCCTTGCCGTTTTCTGCCCCTCCTTGCCTCAGTTTCCTTGTTCCCTCTGGGAGCTCCCAGGCTTAACCGAGCTCTCTGTGCAGGCCATCCACGGCTTCCGAGAGACAGAGAAGTCGCGCTGGTCAGAAGCCAGCCGGGCCATCCTGCAGCGCGTGCAGGCGGCCGCCTTTGGCCCCGGCCAGACCCTGCTCTCCTCCGTGCACGTGCTGGACCTGGAAGCCCGCGGCTACATCAAGCCCCACGTGGACAGCATCAAGGTGGGCAGAGGACGGTGCCTTGGCACTCCCAGCCAGGGGGTAGGCAGGCCCGGTTAGATCCTGACCCATCCCCACGCCTCTTTTGCAGTTCTGCGGGGCCACCATCGCCGGCCTGTCTCTCCTGTCTCCCAGCGTTATGCGGCTGGTGCACACCCAGGAGCCGGGGGAGTGGCTGGAACTCTTGCTGGAGCCGGGCTCCCTCTACATCCTTAGGTACCTCCATCCAGGCAGCACCCACCCCTCCAAGAATGTGCCATCCGCCCACCCTGTGCCCTGGGTACTTTCCCTCAATCCAGCCCTCCCCGAAGACGCCTTTACCCCAGGGTCTGTGTGGGAGGCAGCAGGGGGCTGGAATCCAGGAGGCTGGAATCCAGGTCTGCCTGGAGCAGGGGCTGCCCTCCTTGCACCCAGTCACAGCCTGTTTCTTCCTGCAGGGGCTCAGCCCGTTATGACTTCTCCCATGAGATCCTTCGGGATGAAGAGTCCTTCTTTGGGGAACGCCGGATTCCCCGGGGCCGGCGCATCTCCGTGATCTGCCGCTCCCTCCCTGAGGGCATGGGGCCAGGGGAGTCTGGACAGCCGCCCCCAGCCTGCTGACCCCCAGCTTTCTACAGACACCAGATTTGTGAATAAAGTTGGGGAATGGACAGCCTAACTGGGACATTGCAGTGGCTGCTTGCTGGGGCCGGGATTTGCAGGGGAACCCAGGATGGCACTGGCCCATAGGGAGCTCCAGGTGTGGCTGGCTGGACACATGGTCAAAGTCACAAGGCCGGGAGAGTGGTGTCCTTTATTGCACTCACTGCTGGTCGCCCCAGCCCACTCCCCTCCTCGTTGTCTCTGCATCCAGGTCTCCAATAAATAAGTCAGCCGAGCTCCCCCAGCACTGCAGCTTCTGGGTGCCAGGCCGGGCACCCTCAGCCACCACAGCCGCAGGCAGCCGCCGAGAGCTGGGGCAGCCGCTGCCAGCGGTGGCGGTCATCGAGGAAGGCCACGTCGGTGTAGCGAGTGGGCCGGCAGCAGGGCCCGCCGTGGGCTCGGCCCTGGCCCTGCAGCCGGGCCAGCGCCAGGCCATGCTGGGTGCGGGCACCACGGGGGCAGCTGCCGGCGCAGTAGCGGAAGATGACCTTCTCCTCTGAGGCGTAGCCCAGGCCTAGCTCTGCCACGGACAGGGTCAGGCTCCACAGCTGGCATGGACCAGACAGGGCTCGGCGCAGGCGGGCAAGGGGGCGGTGGGTGCCTGTGGGAGGGAAGGGCGCTGACAGTGAGCAGGGTCAGGGCTGGGGAAAGTTGGGAAGTCACAGAGGGTCCCTGGAAGTCCTTACCCAGCCAGGTCCCTCCAGCCTTTGCCACCTGTTCAGACGAGAACTCTCCATCGGCCACGGGAACCCCACGGGCATCGGGGCCCCAGCCCTGTCCCAGCTGCAGGGACAGGAGCAGCAGGGAGCCCAGCAGGAACTTCCCTACGGCCATTGTGACGGGCAGGTCCTGAGAGTGGGAGCTGTGCCCCAAATTTATGCCCTGCCTGGGCTGGGAGCTAACCTCTTCACTGCCGGCCCCTGCAGCCAGGAGGCCCCACGTCTGCACCAGCCCATCTCCTGCACCCTCGAATCCAGGCATCTGCTCCTTCTGCCCCACACCCCACCCTTCTAAGAGTTAAGGGCTCACCCCCAGCCTACCCCACCCCGACATTCCACACAGCCATTTCCGACGCCCCAGACACCCCCTGATTTACGAGTGCTGTGCTGGCGGCCAGGGCAGGCAACTGGTGTTCCCCCGACCTGCTGCCTGGAGTGGAAGTCAGGGGGCTTCATGGGACCCCGGTGGGGTCCCTCCCCACTAAGTCAGGGTGCTGGGGCTCAGGAGCCCCCACGTGTATCATGTGCCAGGTGGAGCATATGTGAGTGCTGGGAAAGGTGGCTTGGCAGGGGACTGAGTCCACGGGAACCCTCCATGGTGGCTCCCGCCTGGAGGATTAGGACATCATGCCCCTGTCTCCGGGCCTGGCTGAGCCAGCATCAAAACAGGAAAAGGGAGAGGCCTGGGGACAGCCAAGGGTGGGGACACAAGGGGACAGGGACGCCTGTCTCGGGAAGGCCAACCTGAGACCCCTATAACTGCAGCCCCATCCTGGGATCTGAGCATGTCAGAGCCCCCGGGGCGATGGAGGCTGTCCAGGTCATGGTAACGTCTAGCACGATGCAGACAGATAAGGGCTCTCGAGGCTTCCATACCCAGCCCCGTGTGAGCCCAGTCCCCTCACCGGTACAGGGGAGCTCCTCAGAACCCCTCCTACTCGGCTTGGTGAGGAAAGAGATGGGCACTTAGAGTGTAAGGCAGTGCCCGTAGCTTCGAATGCAAAAACAAGCAAACAGCTTGTGATTGTCCGAAGGGGTGCTTGACTCTAAGCACCCACAAGATTGGGGAAAATCAGAAAACCCTCACACACAACCCGTGTGACCCAGGTGCACCCTGTGCTGTTGGTGGGGGTGTAAATTGCTAGCAGCTCTTTGGATGAGCAGCTGCTACTGGGGAATTGTAAATTACACCCTCTGCCCCAGGAGCCCTGTTTGCGGGGTTCCTCCCACACAGGCAAGTGAAACAGCCAGCACAGGGACATCTGATGCCTTCTTCATATTAGGAAAGTCTGGAAGTGGCCTCAACTCCATCCGTGAGGGATTGCTTCGATGATTATGTTGTGGTTTTTCTTACTGAAGTGCTTATTGAGATGATAATTTTCCGATGGAAAGAAAAGCCTGGGCTTGGCGTGGTGGCTCATGCCTCGGGAGGCTGAGGCGGGTGGATTACCTGAGGTCAGGAGTTTGAGACCAGCTTGACCAACATGGTGAAATCCATCTCTATTAAAAATACAAAAATTAGCTGGGCATGGTGGTGGGCGCCTGTAATCCCAGCTACTCGGGAGGCTGAGGCAGGAGAATTGCTTGAACCTGAGAGGTGGAGGTTGCAGTGAGCTGAGATTGTGCCATTGCACTCAAACCTGGGCGACAGAGCGATACTGTCTCAAAAAAGCCTGGCGGGGCCCAGTGGCTCATGCCTATAATCCCAGCACTTTGGGAGGGTGAGGTGGGAGGATCACTTGAGGTCGGGAGTTTGAGACCAGCCAGGCCAACATGGTGAATCCCTGTCTCTAACGAAAATACAAAAATTAGGCGAGGCACAGTGGCTCACGCCTGTAATCCCAGCACTTTGGGAGGCCGAGGTGGGCAGATCACCTGAGGTCAGTTCAAGACCAGCCTGGTCAACATGGTGAAACTCCGTCTCTATTAAAAAATTAGCTGGGTGTAGTCCCAGCTACTCGGGAGGCTGAGGCAGGAGAATCGCTTGGAACCCAGGAGGCAGAGGCTGCAGTGAGCCAAGATTGCACCACTGCACTCCAGCCTGGGCAGCAGCATGAAACTCCGTCTCAGAAACCCAAAAAACAAATTAGCTGGACCGTGGTGGGGCGTGCCTGTCATCCCAGCTACTCAGGAGACTGAGGTAGAATTGCTTGAACCCAGGAGGCGGAGGCTGCAGTGAGCGGAGATCATGTCACTGCACTCCAGCCTGGGCGACAGAGCGAGACCCCATCTCAAAAAAAAAAAAAAAAAAGCCTGAAGTCACCCAGAATTAAGCAACGGTCCTGGTATTTGAACCCAGGTCCTCCGTGAATGCAAAACCCCTGCTCCTCACCACAGGGCCTCACCACCCAGCCTCCTTACATGAAGGCCCAGGCAGTGGGGGTGGCTGGGGCGAAACTGCTGAGGCAGCGGCTCCCTCCAGAGCTGCCTCCCTGCTGCCCAAGAAGGCCTGGTGGGAGAAGGGGGAGGGAGGTTGGCCTGAACTGGGACATTCCGAGGAATTAGCCAGACATCTCAGGCATTCCTGCTCGGCAGCCAAGGGCTGCAGAACTGGGTGGGGAAGACTTCCACCTGCAAGTTTCCAACCACCGGCAAGACAGAAGGGATTGCCCGGAAGATGGGTTCAAAAGTAGTGGCTGCAGGCAAATTCCATTTCCAGCCATATTAATGTTTCCAGCCACATTTTCCAGTTCCATTTCCAGGAACTGGAAAAGCCCTCCCTTACAGAATGCCTGGCAACGCCAGATCAAATATATGCATGACCGAGCTTGTAAGAAGGGAGAAGCCCCCCGAAACATCACCGGGAACCTCAAACATAGGGACCCACAATCGGGGCAGTGGGGGGGGTTGGCTTTGGTGGCCACCTGCAAGCTGAGAACCACACACAAAATGGGCTGGGGCTGGCGCTCCTGGGTAGCTAGCGAAAGCCAAGGCTGAACCATCTGGAAGGACTGCCTGCAAAGTAGGCCACCCCGGATTCCCACAGAGCCCCCAGCTGGCCATGAGCATCCAATCCCAAATCACAAGAAAATCTATCACTAAGGGGAGTCAGAAGAAACAAAAGGATGCCCGGGAACTTCAGCTTCTAGGATTGTCAGACCTCAGTCAGGATGAGTAAAATAAAAACATCAGCCAGGCGTGGGTGGGTGCAGTGGCTCACGCCTGTAATCCCAGTACTTTGGGAGGACGAGGCAGGCAGATCACCTATGGCCAGGAGTTCGAGACCAGCCTGGCCAACATGCTGAAACACCGTCTCTACTAAAAATACAAAAATTAGCCAGGCGCGGTGGCGGGCGCCCGTAATCCCAGCTACTCGGGAGGCTGAGGCAGGAGAACTGCTTGAGCCCAGGAACCAGAGGTCGCAGTAAGCCGAGATTGTACCACTGCACTCTAGCCTGGGCAACAAGAGTGAAACTCTGTCTCAAACAAAAACAAAAACAAAACACATTAGCCAGGCATTTAATGGTACACGCCTGTGGTCCCAGCTACTCAGGAGGCTGAGGTGGGAGGATTGCTTGAGCCCATGAGTTCAAGACTGACCTGGGCAATACAGTGAGACCTCACCTCTACAAAAAATTAAAAAATTAGCTGGGCGTGGTGGTGTGCACTACTTGAAAGGTTAAGGTGGGAGGATCGCTTCAGCCCAAGAGGTGGAGGTTGCAGGGAGCCAAGACGGTGGACACTGCAATCCAGCCTGGTGAACAGAGCAAGACCCTGTCTCAAAACCTAAAATATAAATAAAAATAAAACCATGAAAGATGGGACCAAAACATAAGGAATAAGACATTATCCAAACAGAGTAGCAGATCTAAAAAGGAAACAAAGAAATCTGAGCAATTTATTATTATTTTTTATTTATTGAGACAGAGTCTCACTGTCACCCAGGCTGGAGTGCAGTGGCGTGGTGTCAGCTCACAGCAACCTCCACCTCCCAGGTTCAAGTGAATCTCGTGCCTCAGCCTACGGAACAGCTGGGACAACAGGCTCCCGCCACCATGCCTGGCTACTTTTTTTTTTTTTTTGTGCCAGGATTTCATTCTGTCACCCAGGCTGGAATGCAGTGGCACCATCATAGTTCACTGCAGCCTTGAACTGGGCTTAGCCTCCCAAGTAGCTGGGACTGCAGGCGCTCACCATCATGCCCAGCCAAAACTGAAGACTTACTGGGCTATGTGGTGGATAAGTCACAGCTGAAGAGAGACTTAGGGAAGTGGAAGGGAGAACTGTAGAAGTTACCCAGTGGGCAGCACAGGCCCTTGGTCAGTGTGAGGGAGGCCGAGCCAGGAGGAGGAGGACAATAAGAAGGCCTAACAGGCATCTGAAGATTCCAGAAGGAAGGGCCAGAGGAGGAGATGGCTTAACTTTTCCAGAATTGCTAACTACGGGGCCCTGGGAGTCAGGGAGCAAGCAGGATGTCGAAGGGTCACTGAGAGCCTGAAGTTCTGGAGGGCAGAGCCATGTATTGGACAGAGCCTCACTCTAGGATGGCGAAGGGGCAGTGAGAGCCTTAAGTTCTGGGGGGCAGAGCCATGTATTGGACCAAGCCTCACTCCTTGAGGGAGAAGTGCATTTTGTCGTTGATCATCTTGCGCTCGGGGTTGAGTCGCTTGAGGATCTGGGCCAACACGTTCACTGTCTGCTCGCTGCTCAGCCCTGTCTTCTTGGTCTGGAACTTTTTCAGCAGGTCCTTAGTGGTCATGGGCTTCCGTGTCAGGTAGCGGCGCACGGCATCCTCAGTCACCTGCACGTCGCTGAGGATGGGAGGACGGGGAAGGTGGCATCAGTGAGATTGTCCCCAGTAGCCCTTGCCCTGCCCCCTGCTGTCCTCGTCAACTTACCCGCTGTTGGGTGTTGTCTTGCCTGATGGTGGCTGGGGTGTCGACTTCCCAGACAGGCTCTGGGGTCCCGTGTCCAGCCGCAACCGCTTGGCTGCAGGCATCTCGCTCACCCGCTTCCCTGTGGGAGTGGGGTCAGGGCTGAGTCTTGCAGGCAGGAGGCAGAACCCCTGGGCAGGACCCCAGGCTGGGCAGTGCCAGGATTAGGGTTCAAGGGGATCAGGGAGAGACAGGCCTCCACCCGCATCTCCATCCCCTCTCTGTCCTGAGCCCCAACAGAGGTCAGGAGGCTGTGGCTGTGGCTGTGGGGAGCGGGGAGGCCACGGGCACTCACCTTGCTCGAGTTTGCTGGCAGCCGCCCGCAGGGTGGAGGAGGTGCTGCCACCCTCTGCGCTGGGCGTGCCTGGGCGGCTGTTGCCCCTTGAGCTCCCTCCCGACGGCTTCCGCTCTCTCTTGGGTGGCGTCTTCTTCTTCTGCAGAGGTCAGGGTTGGGAGGTGGGTGAGTCTGCAAACAGACGCCCAGGCCTCCCCCGCCACCGGGCTGGGCCTTACCGCCATGAAGAGGGCTGAGGAGGCCTCGCTGTCAATGTCGCTCTCCTCTGAGCTGTCCGACTCCTCGCTGCTGTCTGCGGGGCACAGGAAAGGGGTCAGGGCCAGAGCAACCCCGGGACCCGGTGCCCACTGGTGCCTCCACTGCAGATGAGGGAGGCCTGCAGGGGAGAGGGGAGGAGGTGGCAGGGCGCCAGGGCCCGACCCAAGCCTCCAATATGGGGGCCACATGCGCCGCACCTTTCCTGCGCTTCTTCTCCTGCGGGGTGGGTGCCTTCTTCTCCTCCTCCTCCTCCTTGTCCTCCTCAGGCGGCTTCTCCTCCTCACTCTCCTCACTACTGTCGCTCTGCTCATCGACACCTGGGAGGGGCAGGGTATGAGCAAGAGCAGGGAAGCACCGCCCCCATCTCCCCGGCCCGCCCAGCCATCGCCTACCCTTGGGCCCCTCCTCCTGCTGCGGCGCCTTGGCCTTGCTCTCAGGCTCTTCTTGGGAGCTACTGTAAGACGGGGATGGCAAAGGATGAGCGCGCGCTCGCGAGGCTGCATGGGGTCTCGCAGGCGCCTCCCGTCGGCCTCACCTGGAGCCGTCTGACATGTAGTCCACCTCTTGGCCCTCGAAGTCCCCATCATCGCTGTCCTCGAAGGCCTCGTCGTCTGAACCCTTCTTCTTCTTCTTTTTCCTGCCGCCCTTGGCCAGCGGCGCCTTCTTCTTGGCCTTGGGGACTCTGCCCCCTGGGAAGGGAGGAAAGGAAGGAAAGGAGGGAAAGTGAGGAGGAAGGCAGTGGGTATTTATTGTGTTTTTCACATTTTGTGCAGTTTTGACATCCTGGGGGGCCTCACTGACTGGGGAGACTACACCTCCAGGGCCAGCCCAGGAGCTCAGCTCTCCTAAACAAACTCCCGGCAGACCCCACACCCCCACCCACCTTCTCTAGCGCTCACAGACCACTCCCCCTCTCCCAGACCACCCGGGCGAGGCACCTGATAACCAGGGACACAGCCCCTACAGCCCGGAGCGCACAGGAGTTATTGAAACTGGTCAACCTAGAGTTGCAGTTTCTCATAGGAACCCCCGTAAAGGCCACAGCCAGGCCAGGTGCAGTGGCTCATGCCTGTCATCCCAGCACTTTGGCAGGCTGAGGCGGGAGGATGGCTTGAGCCCAGGAGTTTCAGACCATCCTGGGCAACACAGTGAGTGAGACCCCAGTCTCTACAAAAAACACAAAAATTAGGCCGGGCGTGGTGGCTCACGCCTGTAATCCCAGCACTTTAGGAGGCCGAGACAGGCAGATTACCTGAGGTCGGGAGTTTGAGACCAGTCTGGCCAACATGGTGAAACCCCATCTCTACTAAAAATACAAAAATTAGCCAGCATGGTGGTGCATGCCTGTAGTCCCAGCTACTTGGGAGGCTGAGGCAGGAGAATCACTTGAACCTGGGAGGCAGAGGTTGCAGTGAGCCGAGATTGCGCCATTGCACTCCAGCCTGGGCAACAGAGCAAGACTCTGTCTCCAAAAAAAAAAAAAAAAATTAGCCGGGTGTGGTGGTGCACGCCTGTAGTCCCAGCTACTCAGGAGGCTGAGGTGGGAGGATCGTTTGACCCTCGGAGGTCAAGGCTGCAGTAAGCTGTGATTGTACCACTACACTCCAGCCCATGTGAGAGAGAGAGAGATCCTGTCTCAAAAAAAAAAAAAAAAAAAAGAAGGGCCATGGCTCAGCTCTCCCGGGCTCTGGCCTTGCCTCCTGACTGACATCACTGCTCCTCCAGGCGGCCTCGCCTGACTCTCATTCTTTTTTCTCTGAGACGGAGTCTCTCTCTGTTGCCCAGGCTGGAGTCCAGTGGCGTGATCTCGGCTCAACACAACCTCTATCTCACGGGTTCAAGCAATTCTCCTGCCTCAGTCTCCCGAGTAGCTGGCACTAGAGGCATGCACCACCATGCCCAGCTAATTTTTGTGTTTTCAGTAGAGACACGGTCTCACTGTGTTGGCCAGGCTGGTCTCAAACTCCTGATCTCAGGTGATCTGCCTGCCTCAGCCTCTCAAAGTGCTGGGATGACAGGCGTGAGCCACTGTGCCCGGCCCCACTTGCCTCTCATTCTAGGGCCACTGTGAGCGATGGTAGACTTTGCCTTCACTGGCACTGCCTGAGCAGGCACCTCTGTGACCTAATGCCCAGGCGCCCGTACTCACCCTCCTCACCACTGGCATCACTGGCATCGGACGACATCTCCAGGTCGTCCTCCAGGTCGTGGATGCGCAGCTCGCTCGCCTTCCTGCGGCCACGTTTCTCCTTCTCCTCCTCATCCTCGTCCTGGTCCTGATCCTTGAGCCGCCGCTGCTGCATGATGCTGAAGTGGTTCAGCACCTTGTTCCTCCTGCGGGCCAGGCACAGGGGGGCTCATGCCGGGCCTGGCACCACCCTGCATCTGTGCTTGCAGGGGGCGAGCCCCAGGGCACCACCCACATAGCCTTCAAGGTGATGTGGCCCCCGGGGACTTGGGCTGTGGCACAGGACTCCCTGAAACCACACGGATAGAGCCAGCCCTTCCTGCCTTCCCGTTCTGCCCCGAGTCCCTCAAAGAGCAGGTCCCCATGTGCTGCTGGAGTCTCAGCACCTCCCTCGGACTCAGAGTCTGGCCCCAATCCAGTCACACTGGTTTCTTGCTATTTTTTATTATTATTTTTTTATTTTCTGAGACAGAGTATCGCTCTGTCGCCCAGACTGGAGTGCAGTGATGTGATCTCGGCTCACTGCAACCTCCGCCTCCTGGCTTCAAGCAATTCTCCTGACTCAGCCTCCCAGATAGCCGGGGTTCCAGGCGCCTGCCACCACGCCCAGCTAATTTTTTTTTTTTTTTGTATTTTTAGTAGAGACAGGGTTTCACCATGTTGGACAGGCTGGTCTCGAACTCCTGACCTCATGATCCACCTTGGCCTCCCAAAGTGCTGGGATTACAGGTGTGAGCCACCGTGCCCAGCCAGATCTTTTGTTATCTTAATTTATAGATGTATTTTTCTTTAATGACAAAACATACTGTTTCCATTGGAACAATGTAACGTTGTCTCATTGCTCAGGGAAGCTTTAAAAAACAGGACTGCAGGCCAGGTTGGGCGCGGTGGCTCACGCCTGTAATCCCAGCACTTTGGGAGGCCGAGGCAAGTGGATCACCTGAGGTCAGGAGTTTGAGAACAGCCTGAACAACATGGTGAAACCTCATCCCTACAAAAAATTAAAAAATTAGCCGGGCGTGGTGGCATGTGCCTGTAGTCCTGACTACTCAGGAGGCTGAGGGAGGAGAATCAATTGAACCCAGGAGGCAGAGGTTGCAGTAAGCTAAGATTGCCCCACAGCACTCCAGCCTCGGTGACAGAGTAAGAATCTGTCTCCAAAAAAAAAAAAAGGACTGCATTTAATAGGAATGCATCTAACATGGGCAAGGCCCAGGCTGGTGTGAAAGATAATGAAACTGCTGCTTAACACTGTGAGTGGCTTTACCACACTGAGCCATGCACCAAAAAACAGTGACAGTTTGGTGCAGTGGCTCAAGCCTGTCATCCCAGCACTTTGGGAGGGGAGGCCGAGGCTGGAGGCTCGCTTGAACCCAGGAGTTTGAGACCAGCCTGAGCAACATGGCGAGACACCATCACCATTTGTTCTTTTCTTTTCTTTTCTTTTCTTTTGAGTTGGAGTCTTGATCTGTCACCGAGACTGGAGTGCAATGGTGTGATCTCGGCTCACCACAACCTCCACCTCCCGGGTTCAAGCAATTCTCCTGCCTCAGCCTCCCGAGTAGCTGGGATTACAGGTGCCCGCCACCATGCCTGGCTAATTTCTGTATTTTTAGTAGAGATGGCATTTCACCAAATTGGCCAGGCTGGTCTCTTGGCCAGGCTGGTCTCGAACTCTTGACCTTGCGATCCGCTCTCCACGTGCCCAGCCTGAACAGTTCTTAGCTAAGTAGATTTAACATCTGATCAAGAGATGGCATTCTGGCCGGGCACCATGGCTCACACCTGTAATCCCAGCATATTGGGATGCCAAAGCGGGCAGATCACTTGAGGCCAGGAGTTGGAGACCAGCCTGGGCAATATGCTGAAACCCCTTCTCTACTAAAAGTACAAAAATTAGCCAGGTGGGGAGGTGCACGTGTGTAGTCCCAGCTACTCGCAAGGCTGAGGCAGAATCGCTTAAACCCAGGAGGTCGAGGTTGCAATGAGCCAGTGAGCTGAGATGGTACCACTGCACTCCAGCCTGGGTGACAGTGAGACTGTCTCAAAAAAAAAAAAAAAAAAAAAAAAAAAGAGATGGCATTTCTCCTTTGGTTAACATCCAGGTTTTACACAATTCTATAAAATGCCAAATTCTTCTCCCTAAAACTTACAAAGCAGATTCTAAGGAAAATACAGCAAAAGCGAACCTGCCCCCCCAGCAATGATTGATCGACTGATTTTACAGTGGAGCCCCAGGAACTCAACCAAAGTGGAGCAGGCAGGCAGACCTGGGGGCTGTTGTTCCAGGGGAGCAGGGGTACAGAAACTGCCCCACAGGCTCGGAGGCTCATGACCTGGTGGGGAGGACGCTCTGACTTCGTGCCATTTACCGGGGTTGCTTTTGGAGCTGAGCCAACCTATGACTCTTCAGAAATTTTAAAACCAAAGAAAATGATTAAAAACTAAAGCAGGGGCTGGGCATGGTGGCTCACGCCTGTAATCCCAGCACTTTGGGAGGCCGAGGCAGGCAGATCACGAGGTCAGGAGATCGAGACCACGGTGAAACCCCATCTGTACCAAAAAAATAGAAAAAAATTAGCCGGGCATGGTGGCAGGCGCCTGTAGTCCCAGCTACCCAGGAGGCTGAGGCCAGAGAATGGCATGAACCCGGGAGGCGGAGCTTGCAGTGAGCTGAGATCGCGCCACTGCACTCCAGCCTGGGTGACAGAGCGAGATTCGGTCTCAAAAAAACAAAACAACAAAACTAAAACAGGCCGGGCGTGGTGGCTCACGGATGTAATCCCCACACTTAGGGAGGCTGAGGGGGGCAGATCACCTGAGGTTAGGAGTTTGAGACCACCTGGCCAACATGGTGAAACCCTGTCTCTACAAAAAATACAAAGTTAGCCAGGCGTGGTGGTGCATGCCTGTAATCCCATTTCTCTACTTGGGAGGCTGAGGCAGGAGAATTGCTTGAACCTAGGAGTCGGAGGTTGCAGTGAGCTGAGATTGCGCCACTGCAGTCCAGCCTGGGCAACAAGAGCGAAACTCAGTTCAAAAAAAAACACACAAACAAACAAACAAACAAAAAAACACCAAAGAGGGAAAAAGGTGTTTTATTTGTTTTGTTTTGAGACGGAGTCTCGCTCTGTCGCCCAGGCTGGAGTGCACTGGCAACATCTAGGATCACTGCAAGCTCCGCCTCCCAGTTCACGCCATTCTCCTGCCTCAGCCTCCCGAGTACTGGGACTACAGGCGCCCGCCACCATGCCCGGCTAATTTTTTGTATTTTTAGTAGAGACGGGGTTTCACCGTGTTAGCCAGGATGGTCTCGATCTCCTGACCTCGTGATCCGCCTGCCTTGGCCTCCCAATGTGCTGGGATTACAGGCGTGAGCCACCACACCCAGCCGAAAAAGGTGTTTTTTTAACCTTTGGGAGCCATCGACTCTTTGAGCATCTGCTCATCTGTGACCTGTGCAAATGCCATTTGTAGATGCGTCCAGAGTGCCCTCCCCACCATCTGCAAGCACCCTAGGGTGGTGGTGGCCCTACGGTCTCATCCAAAGCCATACATCCAAGACCAAGTGCTCTGGGCCCCCAGCCTCGTCCCCCTGCCCACAGTCACTCTGCACTGGCCTCATGCACTGTGTCCCTCCACAGCCCTTAACTGCACCCGCCCCACCTCTGAGGCCGATGTCACTGCTAGAGAAACCCTCCTCGGGTGCCCTGCCTGGAGCTGCTGCCCTGCAGTGGATCAGGCTGTGTGACCTGCAGCCTGCGGAAAGCCAAGGGGGCAGTTAGACCCCACCCTGCTCTGCCAATTTGAGCTCCGGGTCACAGACTCTGGCTCTGGCAGCACCCTCTGGGGTGCCCCATTGTGGCCCTAAGGCCTCCTATCTGTTTCCTCCTGAACTGACAGCTCTGAGACGGCCGAGTGGGGTCTGCCCTGGTTACCCCTGAGTCCCCAGCTCCCAGCACAGGGCCTGGTGATATATCCATGGCAAGGCACCCCATTTCCCTCACTTCTGTCCCCAGCCACCACCCAGCCCACTCACCTCTCCCACTCCTCCTCGGCCTCCTCGGCAGTGAGCGTGCGATGCCGGGCCAGCGGTGTGAAATTGTACCAGTTGTGCACGGGGAAGGCCTCGAAGGCCCCGTCGGGGCACTGGGTGAAGATGTAGTAGGACGTGTTCTCTGTTACGCCTCCCTTCTTGATGCCCTTGAACCTGCAGGGAGCCACGGTCATGGCCTGGCCCATAGGGACCAGCCCCAGCCCCCCCGTGTCCCCCCGGGGCCTGCCTCCTTTATGGCACTTGCCATAGGAGGAAGACCAAGAAATGCCCATGAGGCCTGGGCAGGCCCTTCAACCACCTGGGCCTCGTCAATTTCCACATCTGGGGAACAGGGCCGGCGCACCTACCCTGCAAAGTGCTGGGCGTGTGCACATCGGGATCATTTCTGGAAAGACTGTGTGAGATTATCTCAGGAGAGCCCAACCCTGCAGTCAAACTGTCTACATTTGCCTCCAGCTCTGCTATCTGTGGGCCACACCCGGGAAACTGAGGAGCCAAGTGAGAAGATGGGGCGGGAAGGCATGGCCAAATTTTTTTTTTTGAGATGGAGTCTCGCTCTGGCACCCAGGCTGGAGTGCAGTGGCACCATCTCAGCTCACTGCAACCTCCACCTCCCGGGTTCAAGCAATTCTCATGCCTCAGCCTCCCGAGTAGCTGGGATTACAGGTGTCTGCCACCACACCCAGCTAATTTTTGTAGTTTTAGTAGAGACAGGGTTTCACCATGTTGGCCAGGCTAGTTTCGAACCCCTGACCCCACGTAATCCGCCCGCCTCTGCCTCCCAAAGGGCTAGGATTACAGGCGTGAGCCACCGCGCCCAGCCATGGCATGGCCAAATCTGAAGTGGACACCTGGCCCGGGCCACCATTTCCTCAAGCCTAAACAACTGCCCAGCCTCCTTGAGGCCTCTACCTCATTCTTTTCTACCCCAAAGTTCCGGACAGTCTGGGTGAGTGCCTCTTCCCTGCCTACAGCTTTCCAAGGCTCCGCTGGACCCAGCACATCCTGGCACCCACTGCCCTGTGTGAGCTGCCTGTGTCTGTCACTATCACCCAACTGCTGTGCCTGGAGCACCCTTCATCAACCTAACCTGGACCCCTCCTGTTCTGCCCTCAGTCTGCCCCCTCTGAGAGGTCATCTCAAGTGTCATGAGCTCCCAGGGCTGGCCACCTAAGCTTCCTGCATTGTGGCACTCAGAGCTGCCTCAGAGCCAGGCACAAGCACCAACTCAGTGAACTGTCTTCAAAAACACAACCCCAGGGCCTGGGCAGTGGCTCATACCTATAATCCCAGCACTTTGGGAGACCAAGGTAGGAGGATCACTTGACCCCAGGAGTTCAAGACCAGCTTGAGCAACGCAGCAAGACCCCATCTCTACCAAAAATACAAAAATTAGCCAGGCATGGTGGGGCGTGCCTATAGTCCCAGCTACTCAGGATGCTGAGGTGGGAAGATCTCGAGCCCAGGAGTTGGAGCCTGCAGTGAGCTACGATCGCACCACTGCACTCCAGCCTGGGCAACGGAGTGAGACCCTGTCTCAAAATAAATAAGTAGGCTGGGCACGGTGGCTCACGCCTGTAATCCCAGCACTACGGGAGGCCGAGGCGGGAGGATCGCCAAGTTCGAGACCAGCCTGACCAATATGGTGAAACCCTGTCTCTACTAAAAATACAAAAATTAGCTGGGCGTGGTGGTGGCAGGCACCTGTAATCCCAGCTACTCAGGAGGCTCAGGCAGGAGAATAACTTGAACCTGGGAGGTGTGGGTTGCAGTGAGCCAAGATCGTGCTACTGCACTCCAGCCTGGGCGACAGAGCAAGACTCTGTCTCAAAAAAATACAAGTAAGTAAAATAAGATAACATAAATAAATAAATAAATAAATAAATAATAAAATCCTACAGGGATGGAAGTGCCAGCACTTCCACTGCAGCAGTGGGAATCTGAGGTTCAGAGAGGGTACCCCACAAAGTATGTAAGTTGAGGCCTGGGGATGTGGACTGGTCACTAAGCCGGCACCGCCACCGCCCCACCACTTACTTCCTGCCTGATTTGCCGTTGACCCGGAGCAGCCAGGGCTGGTCCTCGGGCCGGAACTCCTTGAGGACGATGCCGTACTTCTTCCTCCGAGCCTCCTCCCGAAGCTTGCGGTTGAACTCACTGCCCGCGCCCGATTCGGGCATCTCCTCCTCTTGGTAGATTTTCTTGTTGCTCAAGTCCCGCTCCAGCCGAGCCTAGGGGAGCAGGAAGCAAAGCCTCTCAGGGTCCCTGGCTTTGCTTGCGCAGTGCCCCCCTCCAGGAACGCCCTTCCTTGCCCTAGGCCAAGCTCTAGATTCTCAAAACCAACTTACCACTTGGCAACAAGGGAGGAGAACGGTAGCCTTTGACAAATCTGGGTAAAGGGAATTTGGGCGAGCCTTGCGCTCTATTTTTGCAACTTAAAAGCTTGAAATTATTTCCAAATTAAAATTAAAGAGAAAAAGACCACCTGGTGACCATCAAGCAGGCCATCGGAGGCAAAATTCCTTATCTGAGGAATGTAGAAGTAATTAATTAGACTTCCCTATTATCTACAGCAGGCATCTGGTTCCAGGATTCTTTTCAAAAAATGTCTAAGTACCTAGAATTTCCACACATCTCTCCAGAATGCATGCATATCGAAACTCATTGTGCTGTGGCTCACACCTGTAATCCCAGAACTTTGGGAGGCCAAGGCAGAAGGATCACTTGAGCTCAGGAGTTTAAGACCAGCCTGGCATCAGAATGGCTTGAACCTGGGAGGCGGAGGTTGCAGTGAGCCGAGATCATGCCACTGCACTCCAGCCTGGGTGATAGAGTGACACTCTGTCTTAAGAAAAAAAAGGCCAGGCGCGGTGGCTCACGCCTGTAATCCCAGCACTTCGGGAGGCCAAGGCAGGTGGATCACGAGGTCAGGAGATTGAGACCATCCTGGCTAACACGGTGAAACCCCGTCTCTACTAAAAATACAAAAAATAAGCCGGGCATGATGGCAGGCGCCTATAATCCCAGCTACTTGGGAGGCTGAGGCAGGAGAATGGCGTGAACCCGGGAGGCGGAGCTTGCAGTGAGCCGAGATCCTGGCGCTGCACTCCAGTCTGGGCGACAAAGCAAGACTCAGTCCCCAAAAAAAAAAAAAAAAAAAAAAAAGACCAGCCTGGGCAACATAGTGAGATCCTATATCTATTTCCTAAAAATAAAAAGGCTGGGCATGGTGGAAGGCTGAGGCGGGTGGATCACTTGAGGTCAGGAGTTCAAGACCAGCCTGACCAACATGGCGAAACTTCGTCTCTACTAAAAATACAAAAATTAGCTAGGCGTGGTGGTGGGCGCCTGTAATCCCAGCTACTTGGGAGGCTGAGGCAGGAGAATGGCTTGAACCTGGGAGGTGGAGGTTGCAGTGAGCCCAGGTCGCGCCACTGCACTCCAGCCTGGATGACAAGAGACTCCATCACAAAAAAATAAAATAAAATAAATAAAAAGAAACTCATTGTGCAACACTTGCTGACATTAAGGCACCAAAATCTCTACAAATTAACAATTTATCGTGACCTACATGGCTAATGTGATCCGAATTACCCTTAAGCTCTTGATTTAAGGTCCATATATACCATTTCCAAAACACTCTAGAATCAGCCACATCTCATAACCTCCACTGCCTCCAGTGCCCTGCCAGGACTCACCTAGACCAGTCCAGTTGCTTCTACCTTGGTCTCCGTTTATTTGCCCTCAAACCCACAGTTTGTCTCCCCATAGCAGCCAGATCACACACACTACAACTTCCCAATTGAAGATGCTTTAATGGCTCCCAAAGTCCTTTCTAGAGCCTCTGATGGCAGGGGCTCTGGGAAAGCCCCCAGCCCAGTCCCCTCCCTTGCCCAGATAAACCATGGCCAAAAATGTCCAACAGTGGGCACAGCTTCTAAATGTTCTCCTTTAAGGAGAGGCCTCTGGTGGGCCTACCAAACCTAACTTACAGGGACACCCAGGAGCTAGGCCTGGGCCTTTGCCATTTCCGTTTTTTTTTTTTTTTTTTTTTTTTTTTTTTTGAGGCAGGGTCTTGCTCTGTTATCCAGGCTGGAGTGCAGTCGTACAATCATAGCTCACTGCAGCCTTGAACCCCTGGGCTCAAGCGATCCTCCTACCTCAGCCTCCTATGTAGGACTACAGACCCACGCTATCAGCCCCAACTAACTTTTTAATTTTTTTGTAGAGTTGGGGTCTTGCTATTGTATTGCCCAGGCTGGTCTCAAACTCCTGGCCTTAAGCAAGCTTCCTGCCTCAGCCTCCCAAAGTGCTGGGATTACAGGTGTGAACTACTGCACCCAACCCTTTGTCATCTATCTTTTCTTCACTTGGAGAAAAGTGAGAAAATTAAGACTTAGTGACTATGACAGTTAAGCAACTATCACAACCACCAAGGTCAGGGTCAAGTTCTCTCACCACCCCAGCCCCTGACCCCCAGGACTCAGAGACTTACCTGATTCCACGTAGCAAAGTTGACTTTGTCGGCTGCATTAAAAGCCATGATGTTATATTTTTTGGTTGTATTCCTGGAGTGGATGAGAAGAGGTAGTGTCAATCCAATACAGCAATTCAATCATTAATTTAATCAGTCAATGCTATTGAACCATTAATTCAATCAACCACCCAACTGGATCGTTAATTCAATCAAATCATTACTTTAATTCAATCACTCAATTCAATTGAACCATTAATTCAATTCAATCATTCCATTCAATTGAATCATTAATTCAATTCAATTCACTCAACAAACCCACCCAGCTTCATTCAGCCTGTTTTGCCTGGCAACACTGGATACGGAAGACTCCAAGGATTCCCAGTCTGCCAGAGAAGCTAGACCCATCCTCTCCTGACCCCAGGCAGAAGAAGAGCAGATGGAGGGACGAAGATTTGGGGGAACCCAAGATGTGGAGATTATTGTGAACTCAGCCTTGGGGAGGAGGGAGGACAGGCAGGGAGTATTTCCTGGAGGAGGAAGATACTGGAGTTGAGTTTTGCAGAATCATCAAGAATTCACCCAGCAGAGTCACAGTTTAGGGGTTGAGGGGAGGCACTCATGGCAGAGGAACAGGATGTACAAAGGCCTGGAAAGGAAAGACAGCCTGACCACTTTGAAACAGGACGAGGAATATGTCCTTACAGCTGGCCTGGGCATCATGGGACCATATACTCCTCGAAGGTTAGGCCAGGGGGCTGGATCACCGTGTATTAATGCACTCATTCATTCATTCGTTCAAAAAAGCAGTGTTGTCCCCAGAGAAGCCTCAGCTTAATCCCAGCCCTGCCCTCCAAGTCTCTCCCGGTCTGGAGGGAGAACCACAGACAGGGCCAGAAATGGCTGGCTAAGAAGATCGTGAAGGTTTTCATTTTTGGGGGGTGGAGAGGAGTGGGAGATGGGGCTGGGGACTTACTTAGGAACTCGAACGACGTATTCAGTGACATTCTGGCTGCTAGGGCCCTGCGGAAAGAGGAAGCGGTGAGTGAGGGGTCGCCGAGGTCGCCGTCGGAACCCCCGAACCCCGCCAAATCCACACTCACTAGGGCCGCCATGGGCAATGGTCAGTGGTTCCGATCTGGTCCGACCCGGGTTCCTTTCGTCTCCTCTGGCGTGCGCGTCCCTCGATCCCGGGGAAGCCGCCGCTCGGTGTCGGGTCTCTGTGCCTGAGCGAGGACCCCAACCCTAGGCGCCTCTGGCGCTGGGAAAAGGTAACCGGAAGAGGCGCTCAAGCTACTCGGTCTACGCTTCTGCGGCCGCCTAACCCGGAAGCGAAACCCTCGAGCAGCCGCGTCGCGATGGCAACCTTCTTAGCGACTGTGGCCACCTCAGTGCGCAGTCACTTATGCTCCTCGGCGGCTATGGTCACCTCAAAAGGTCCACCGCGGTCCCTTTTTAGACTCAGCAAACCTAGGCCGAGTCTGAGATAAACTAACGGGCCTCTGTCGCTGGCGCTCTTGTATATAACGCGGTTAACTTCATCAAATGGGGGACCGCCCTCTCTCGTGACGTCAGCACCCAAGGACCGTGGGGCATCCTGGGTGGGAAGAGGGAGACGAATCCCCCTTGCGGGCTCCCAGGCACTTTGCGCATGCGCCTTGCCGCTCTGGACCTGGGGGGCCCAGAAGGCCGCGTCACCATAGCAACCGAGGCCTACTCGGGTCGGGTCGAACCGCCGCTTGGCTCCCCATGGGTCTGTTTGGGGTTCATTTCCTCCCCCTACCCCGAAGGGGTGGACCCCGTCATTCCCGCAAAATGACCGGGGCGGGGACCCTTGTGACGTTGAGCCGAGCCAGGAGGGGTCAGAGCCTGGGCGGGGTCGGGGCGCGACCACCCCAAGAGCTGCTGGCCGGATGGGTCTTTGCAAGTCCAAGCTGCCCGAGATGGGCAGGGCTCTGAGGCCCCAGGAGAAGGGTAACGTCGCGGGGGCGGCTGGCTGGCTTCCTGGGGGGAAGGGAAGGAAGCTGCCGAGAACAGGAGGGAGATGCAGGATCCCCTACCCCGTTCCAGGCATGCACACATCCCCCGAATCATGGCAGTAACACAACTGCGCATGCTCACGGCGCAACCATTCATTGCTCCACTTCGCAAATACTCCAGCACCTCCTGGGTTCGGGGCCCCGCAAGGTGAATCTGTCAAACCAGCTCCCCACGGAGGATTACAGTGTCCTCTCGAGGGTTACAGTGTCGTGGAAGAGACAGAGTCACAGCATGGGAATCTACAACCCAGGAAGGAGCAGGAGAAGCACAGCGGGGCTCTGAGGGCTCAGAGAAGAGGGGAGGTTTCAGTTGGGCACTGAGGGATGCATAGGAGTTGGCTAAGCAAAGGGAAGGCGGGCAAGACACAAAAGTTGGGCCATGAACTACAGACACCGTCGATGTGTCTGTTTTCATTTATTTCTCATCCACCACTAAATGTCAGGAACCGCCAACCCCTAGGAATATAGGAATGAGGGAGGCAGAAATAGTCCTTGCCCTCATGGAGTGTCTGGCTTGGGGGAGACAAGAACGAGTAAACGGCTGGGCACGGTGGCTCATGCCTGTAATCCCAGCACTTTGGGAGGCCGAGGCGGGCGGATCACCTGAGGTTGAGAGTTCGAGACCAGCCTGACCAACGTGGAGAAACCCCGTCTCTACTAAAAATACAAGATTAGCCGGGCGTGGTAGCACATGCCTGTAATCCCAGCTACTCGGGAGGCTGAGACAGGAGAATCGCTTGAACCTGGGAGGCAGAGGTTGTGGTGAGCCGAGATCGCGCCATTGCCCTCCAGTCTGGGCAACAAGAGCGAAACTCCGTCTCAAAAAAAAAAAAAAAAAAAAAAGAAGGAAAAGAAGGAAAAAAAAAGAACGAGTAAACAGAGAAGATCATGACAGACTGTGGCCATTGCTGTGGAGGAAATAGGTGTCTCAGACAAGGAGTGATGGGGGGAAGCTCTAGATGGAGGCTAGAGAAGGCCAGATGGAAGTTGTGGCCAGAAGGAACTGGGGCAGGCAGGGATTTTCCAAGCAGAGGAAACAGCAAGGGAGAAGTGAGTTTCAAATTCAAAGAACTGAAGCCCCCTGGGGCTGGGACAAAGAGAAGGGGAGTATGGGTTGGGGCTGGGACAGAGGGAAGGGGAGTAGGATATGGGGCTGGAACAGAGAGAAGGGGAGTATGGGATGAGACTGGGAGCGTGGGCAAGTCCCTGCCTCTCACTGAACCTCGGTTCCCTCCACTGTAAAATGGGATGATAGAGTCCTCAGGATGCTTTAAGGAGATGCCGTGTGTGAAGGGCCTGGCCTGCTCAAGTTCACGTCTTTGTTTTTTTTTATTTTATTTTTTTGAGACGGAGTCTCGCTCTGTCGCCCAGGCTAGAGTGCAGTGGCACGATCTCGGCTCACTGCAAGCTCTGCCTCCCGGGTTCACGCCATTCTCCTTCCTCAGCCTCCCAAGTAGCTAGGCCTACAGGTGCCCATCACCACGCCCAGCTAATTTTTTGTATTTTTAATAGAGACAGGTTTTCACCGTGTTACCCAAGATGGTCTCGATCTCCTGACCTGAAGTGATCTGCCCACCTCGGCCTCCCAAAGTGCTAGGATTACAGTGCTAGGCATGAGCCCACCGCACCTGGCCACATCATTTTTTTTTTTAAATGGAGTCTTGCTTTGTTGCCCAGTCTGGAGTGCAGTGGCACAATCTCGGCTCACTGCAACCTTTGGCTCCTGGGTTCAAGCGATTCTCCTGCTTCAGCCTCACGAATAGGTGTGCACCACCACACCCAGCTAATTTTTTTTGTATTTTTAGTAGTGATGGGGTTTCACCCTGTTGGCCAGGCTGGTCTCAAACTCCTGACATCAAGGGATCCACCCGCCTCGGCCTCCCAAAGTGCAGGGATTATAGGCGTGAGCCACCACACCTGGCCTCAAGTTCACATCTTCATCCAAAGCGGCACAAACACACAACGTGCCTGGCTATGCCCTTGAGAACAGAACCATACCCCTAAGAGGCCGGGCGCGGTGGCTCACGCCTGTAATCCCAGCACTTTGGGAGGCCGAGGCGGGCAGATCATGAGGTCAGGAGATCGAGACCATCCTGGCTAACATGGTGAAACCCCGTCTCTGCTAAAAACACAAAGAAAATTAGCCGGGCGCGGTGGCGGGTGCCTGTAGTCCCAGCTACTCAGGAGGCTGAGGCAGGAGAATGGCATGAACCCGGGAGGCGGAGCTTGCAGTGAGCCGAGATAGCGCCATTGCACTCCAGCCTGGGCGACAGAGCAAGACTCTGCCTCAAAAAAAAAAAAAAAAAAAAAAAGAACCATACCCCTAAGATGCCACCCTACAGCAAGAGTATGCCAAGAGACTTTGTCCAATGTCACTCAGGGACACCTGTGCCCCTACAGGCACTAACCCATCTCCCTCACTCTTCCTGGGCACCACAGACATTCTCAAGTCCCCCCTGGATGGGGGGCCCGGGCTGTGGCAAAGGGACACAGTGCAAGAATATGGCGACCAAGTACGGCTTCTGCCATGTGGGGCTGGACCAGCTACTGAGACAGGAGGCTCAAAGGAGCACGCAGCGGGGCCGGCAGATCCGTGACATCACGCTGCAGGGGCTCCTGGTGCCCGCGGTAGGAGCTCATGGGAGGGGTTAGGGCGGAAGGGGTACCTTGGGACAACCACCCACCAGGAGGGCTCACGGGACCCAGAAGGTTGCAACTTCCCATGTGGCCATTGCCTTGCTGCACTGAACCTTCATTTCCTTATCTGTGAAAAGGGGAGATCCCATCAAAAGGCCGTAGGGGTCTGGCCCAGTGGCTCACGCCTGTAATTCCAGCACTTTGGGAGGCCAAGGCAGGTGGGTCACCTGAGTTCGGGAGTTCAAGAGCAGCCTGACCAACATGGAGAAATCCCATCTCTACTAAAAATACAAAATTAGCCGGGCATGGTGGCGCATACCTGTAATCCCAGCTACTCAGGAGGCTGAGGCAGGAGAATCACTTGAACCCGGGAGGCGGAGGTTGTGGTGAGCTGAGATCATGCCATTACACTACTCCAGCCTGGGCAACAAGAGGAAAACCCCGTCTAAAAAAAAAAAAAAATCACTCACTAGGGAAGCGCTCACTGTTTGGTGAAATGGAGGGTGCCCCATTCATGAATTGCAAATAAAGATCAATTTGAGCTAAAAAAAATCACTCAAGGACAGGCACAGTGGCTCACGCCTGTATTCCCAACACTTTGGGAGGCCAAGGTCTGAGCATTGCTTGAGCCCAGGAGTTTGAGACCAGCCTGGGCAACATAGCAAGCCCTGTCTCTTAAAAAAAATAAATTTATTTATTTGAGATGGAGTTTCACTCTTGTCGTCCAGGCTGCAGTGCAATGGCGTGATCTCGGCTCACTGCAACCTCCACCTCCCTGGTTCAAGCGATTCTCCTGCCTCAGCCTCCCAAGTAGCTGGGATTACAGGCACACACCACCATGCCCTGCTAATTTCTGTATTTTTAGTAGAAACAGGGTTTCACCATGTTGCCCAGGCTGGTCTTGAACTCCTGACGTCAGGTGATTCACTCGCCTCGGCCTCCTAAAGTGCTGGGATTACAGGCATGAGCCACTGTGCCTGGACTAAATTATCCATTAACTAATTTATTTATTGACACGAGTCTCACTCTCTTACCCCAGGCTGGACAGCAATGGCATGATTTCGGCTCACTGTAACTTCTGCCTCCCGAGTTTAAGTGATTCTCATGCCTCAGCCTCTTGAGTAGCTGGGACTACATGCGTGCGCCACCATGCCCAGCTAATTTTTGTATTTTTAGTAGAGATGGGGTTTCCCCATATTGCCCAAACTGCTCTTGAACTCCTGATGTCAAGTGATCCACCCACCTTGGCCTCCCAAAGTGCAAGGATGACAGGTGTGAGCCACCGTGCCTGGTCAAAACAATAAATTTTTGTTTGTTTGTTTGTTTGTTTTTTGAGACGGAGTCACTGTGTCGCCCAGGCTGGAGTGCAGTGGCCCAATCTCGACTCACTGCAAGCTCCACCTCCCGGGTTCACGCCATTCTCCTGCCGCAGCCTCCTGAGTAGCTGGGACTACAGGCGCCCGCCACCATGCCCGGCTAATTTTTTTGTATTTTTAGTAGAGATGGGGTTTCACCATTTTAGCCAGGATGGTCTCGATCTCCTGACCTCGTGATCCGCCCACCTTGGCCTCCCAAAGTGCTGGGACCGTGCCCGGCCCAAAACAATACATTTTAAAAAGTTAGCTGGTACTGCAGGAAAAAGGCATATAATAAAAATGAACCAAGAAAAATTTTAAAAGAAAAAATTTAGCTGGGCATGGTGGCATGAATCTATATTCCAGCTACCTGGAGGCTGAAGTGAGAGGATTCCTTGAGCCCAGGAAGTCGAGGCTGCAGTGAGCCGTGACTGCACCACTGCTCTCCAGCCGGGAAGACAGAGCAAGACCCTGTCTCACCCAGGCGCGGTGGCTCATACCTATAATCCCAGCACTTTGGAGGCCAAGACGGGTGGATCACGAGGTCAGGAGTTCGAGACCAGCCTGGCCAACGTGGTGAAGCCTCTTCTCTACTGAAAATACAGAAATTATCCGGGCATGGTGGTAGGCGCCTATAATCCCAGCTACTCGGGAGCCTGAGGCAGTAGAATCGCTTGAACCCGGGAGATGGAGGTTGCGGTGAGCCGAGATCATGCTACTGCACTCCAGCCTGGGCAATAGACCCAGACTCAGTTAAAAAAAAAAAAAAAAAAAAGGCTGAGTGCAGTGGCTCACGCCTGTAATCCCAACACTTTAGGAGGCCAAGGCGGGTGAATCACTTGAGGTCAGGAGTTCAAGACCAGCCTGGCCAACATGGTGAAACCCCATTTCTACTAAAAGTACAAACAAACAAACAAAAAATCAAAATTAGCTGGGCATGGTGGCATGCACCTGTAATCCCCAGCTACTCGGGAGGCTGAGGCAGGAGAATCGCTTGGACCCGGGAGGTGGAGGTTGCAGTGGGCTGAGCTCACACCATTGCACTCCAGCCTGGGCAACAGAGCGAGAGTCTGTCTCAAGAAAATAAAAAATGGCTAGGTGTGGTGGCTCATGCCTGTACTCCCAGCACTTTGGGAGGCCGGATCACCTGAGGCCAGGAGTTCGAGACCAGCCTGGCCAACATATAGTGAAACCCCGTCTCTACTAAAAAATACAAAAATTAGCTGGGCATGATGGTGCACACCTGCAATCCCAGCTACTTGGGAAGCTGAGGAAAGAGGATCGCTTCAACCCCGGACGCGGAGGTTGCAGTGAGCTGAGATTGTGCCACTGCACTCCAGCCTGGGCAACAGAGTGAGACTCCATCTCTTTAAAAAACAAAAACAAACCAAAAAAATCACTCAACAGAATTAGCTAGTATTTATTTCCTTTGTCACCCCGTGAAGCCACTTCCTCACCCGAAAAATGAAGGGGACCCCAGTACCTGCCTCATAACATGGTGATGATTAAGGTACAAGCCCAGCACTGGCATGCCTCCTTTTCAGAAGCAGGTTTTTGTTTTGTTTTGTTTTGCTTTGTTTGAGGAGTCTCACTCTGTTACCCAGGCCGGAGTGCCATGGCACCGTCTTTGCTCACTGCAGCCTCTGCCTCCCGGGTTCAAGTGATTTTTGTGCCTTAGTCTCTCGGGTAGCTGGGATTACAGGTGTGCACCACCATGCCTGGCTAATTTTTGTATTTTTCGTGGAGACAGGGTTTCACCATGTTGGCCAGGCTGGTCTTGAACTCCTGACCTCAGGTGATCTGCCCGCCTCAGCCTCTCAGAGTGCTAGGATTACAGGCATGAGCCACTGCTCCCAGCGTAGTTTTTGGATTTTTAGTAGAGACAGGGTTTCACCATGTTGGCCAGGCTGGTCTTGAACTCCTGACCTCAGGTGGTCCATCTACTTTGGCCTCCCAAAGTGTTGGGATTAGAGGCGTGAGCCACCGCACCCAGTGAAGAAGCAATTTCTTTAGAGCATTGTAGCAGACTCAGAATCCAGGGCGCCAAGCAGGGTATAGTCACCCTGTCTTCACCTAAAGTCCAGATGGAGGAATAGAACTTGACAGGGAGAGCCACCTTAGAAACTGATCTCCCCAGGGTGATTCGGCGGGGAAAGAAGGGCTCCCGGGTGCTGAATTCACCCACTCCCTTCCCAGGGCATCATCCCAGATATGGTCAGTGACAACATGTTGTCCCGCCCGGAGAGCCGGGGCTTCCTCATCGATGGCTTTCCCCAGGAGGTGAAGCAGGCCATGGAGTTTGAGCGCATCGTGAGTGGCCCTGAAGTGTGGGTGTGGGTGTGTGCGTGTCTGTGTGCATGTGTGGAGGTGTGAGGCCATCCCTCCCCGCCCACCTTGGATAAGGCTGCACAGACTAGAGATAAGAAAGGCTGAGATACAAGGAGAGAGGAGATGCTGAGAGGGAAATGGAGTTTTTTTGTTATTTATTTATTTATTTATTTATTTATTTATTTATTTTTTAGGCAGAGTCTCCTTCTGTCGCCCAGGCTGGAGTGCAATGGTGCAATCTTGGTTCACCACAACCTCTGCCTCCTGGGTTCAAGCGATCCTCGTGCCTCAGCCTCCTGAGTAGCTGGGACTACAGTAAGCACCCGCCACCACGCAGGGCTAATTTTTGTATTTTTGGTAGAGATGGGGTTTCATCATGTTGGCCACACTGGTCTTGAACTCCTGACCTCAAGTGATTTGCCTGCCTCGGCCTCCTAAAGTACTGAGATTACAGGCGTGAGCCACCATGCCGGCCTGTTTTTTTTGGGTGTTGAGGACAGGGTCTCACTCTGTTGCCCAGTCTGGAGTGCTGTGGTGCGATCATAGCTCACTGCAGCATTAAACTCCTCCCACTTCAGCCCCCCAAGTACCTAATTTTTTTTTTTTTCTTTAAGACAGAGTCTCTCTCTGTTGCCCAGGCTGGAGTGCAATGGCGTGATCTCGGCTCACGGCAACCTCTGCCTCCCGGGTTCAAGCGATTCTCCTGCCTTAGCCCCCTGAGTAGTTGGGATTACAGGTGCCTGCCACCACACCCGGCTAATTTTTTTTTTTTTTTTTTTTTTTTTTTGTATTTTTAGTAGAGACAGGGTTTTCTCCATGTTGGCCAGGCTGGTCTCGAACTCCTGACCTCAGGTGATCCACCCACCTCGGCCTCCCAAAGTGCTTGGATTATAGGCATGAGCCACCGTGCCCAGCCAAGTACCTTTTTTGTTTGTTTGTTTGTTTGTAGACATAGGTTTCCTCTATGTTGCTCAGGCTGGTTTCTAACTCCTGGCCTCAAGCAATCCCCCCACTTCAACCTCCCAATGTGCCGGGAGTATGGGCATGAGACCCTGCACCTGCCTGGGAAACAGAGTGTTCTATTATCAAGGGAAAGTCAGGGTGTTGGAAGTTTCTAGAACCCAGATGAGGAGCTAGGGAGCTCTCTGAGGGCAGGGAGGAAGTCATTTCAGTATCTTCCTGCCCAGTTCCTGGCATGTGGTGGGTGAACCATTTGCCCACTGAATAGCGTGTGGGTTTAGCATCCTCCCTAGGCCATAGAGAGAGATTCGTGTTGTTCATTCATCTGTTTATGCAACCACCTGTCCCCGAAGTGTTCTTAGAGAAAGCCCTGCCCTCGGGGCTGGGGATACAGAGTTTACAAGATGCCGACATCAGAGTGAGAAAGAGAGGCACGAAGTCATGCAAAACAAAGACATTTCTGGGCTGGGCGCAGCGGCTCATGCCTGTAATCCCAGCATTTTGGGAGTCCGAGGTGGGTGGATCACCTGAGGTCGGGAGTTTGAGACCAGCCTGGCGAACATGGTGAAACCCCCTCTCTACTAAAAATACAAAAAAAATTAGCCAGTCACGGTGGTGCGCGCCTGTAATCCCAGCTACTGGGGAGGCTGAGCTACGAGGATCACTTGAACCCGGGAGGTGGAGGTTGCAGTGAGCTGAGATTGTGTCACTGCACTCCAGCTTGGTGACAGATGGAGACTCTGTCTCAAAACAAACAAACAAATAAAACCTACAAAGACATTTATAATAGCAGTTAAGTGCGGCGAAGAACAGAAAACAGAATGACATTTGGGAGGAACGAGAGTGTGCTCTTTTGGGCTGGGTGGGCTGGGTGGGCTGGATGGTGGCCTCCCTGACGTGGATACACTGGGGCCCTGAGTGGAGGATGAGGAGCTGGTGCTGGGAAGGTTGGAGGGAATTTCTTCAGGTGATTTTCACACTTCCGCGTGGCTTTTGTGCAAGCAGCTGTCTGAACACGTGAACAGTGACGATACTGTGGACTGAACAAGGAGGGATCTTTTTGATTCTGTTTGGAAACAGTTGAGCAGGAAAAGAGAGGCCGGGTGCAGTGGCTCACGCCTGTAATCCCAGGACTTTGGGAGGCCAAGGAGGGCAGATCGCTTGAGCCCAGGAGTTCGAGACCAGCCTGGGCAACATAACAAGACCTCTGTGTCTACAAAAAAAATTTAAAAATGAGCCAGGCGTGGTGGTGCATGCCTGTAGTCCCAGCTATTTAGGAGGCTGAGGTGGGAGAATCACTTGAGCCCAGGAAGTCAATGCTACAGTGAGATATAATTACACCACTGCACTCCAGCCTGGGTGACAGAGCAAGACACTGTCTCTAAACAAACAAACAAAACATAAAAAAACAGGAAGGAAAAGAGAAGAGAAACTGTCTGTCAGGCTACAGACCTTGAGGCTTCTCTGAGGCTTGTTGGATTCCACTTAAAATACCTTTCGATTCCAGACCAGCCTGACCAACATGGAGAAATCCTAACTCTACTAAAAATACAAAATTAGCCAGGCATGGTGGCGCATGCCTGAAATCCCAGCTACTTGGGAGACTGAGGCAGGAGAATGGCTTGAACCCGGGAGGCGGAGGTTGTAGTGAGCCAAGACTGCACCCTTGCACTCCAGCCTGGGCAACAAGAGCGAAACTCCGTCTCAAAAAAAAAAAAAAAACCTTTTGAAGAAGCACTTTGATGGAATCAAAGGTCATGGGCGCCAGGGCAGCTGTTCCCACATGCAGGTGGGGGCCCTGCCCTTTGTTCACACCTACATTCAAGGAATTCTGTTGGGCTCATAATTCGTTGTGATGGGGTTAAAGGACAAATCTCAGGCCCCCGCCTCAGGACTGGGAGTTCTCCGAGGGCAAAGGTCGGGCTCATTCATTTCTATGCCTGCCCCAGCCTCAGGCCAGTGCCCGGAAGAAAGCAGGTCCCCAGCTCCACCAGTGGCTTCTAGGTCTCAGAACAGAGGCTACAGACCGTGGCATGGGCCCCTTTGGGTCCACCAAAGTGTTCGGTTTGGACTTTACAGCATTTTGCATTTTCCTTTTTGGGTTCACGGCCAACATTCGACAACAGGGAGCTTCCACATCAAAACTCCCAGCTTCTCTTGAAAACCGACTGACTTGGCAACGCAGGGCCTGCACGTCCCCATGGCAACAGCTGCGTGAACGCTTCCTGAGCTTTTATTGAGCCCAGCACTGTTCTCAACACTCTGCATGGATGAACTCATCTTCCGGAACGTTCCAGGCATTAGCATCCCGATGTTTTGCAGAGCGATCGGGGAGCTGCAATAGGGTCACACAATGTAGGTGGGGAAGGCAGGGCAGAAGCCCAGGCAACCCCACTCCTTGGGCCCATATTTTTTAACTTTTTATTTTAGTATAGAGATGGGGGCCAGACGTGGTGGCTCACGCCTGTAATCCCAGCACTTTGGGAGGCCCAGGTGGGTGGATCACCTGAGGTCAGGAGTTTGAGACCAGCCTGGTGTGATGGCCAACATGGTGAAACCTCGTCTCTACTAAAATACAAAAATTAGCCGGGCGTGATGGTGAGCGCCTGTAATCCCAGCTACTCCTGAGGCTAAGGCAGGAGAATCACTTGAACCCGGGAGGCAGAGGTTGTAGTGAGCTGAGATCACACCACTGCACTCCAGCCTGGGCGACAGAGCGAGACTCCCTCTCAAAAAAATCAAAATAAAAATTAGCTGGGCTTGGTGGCGCAAGCCTGTAATCCCAGCTACTCAGGAGGCTGAAGCAGGAGAATCTCTTGAACCTGGGAGGCGGAGGTTGCAGTGAGCAGAGATCGCATCACTGCACTCCAGCCTGGGTGACAGAGCAAGACTCTGTCTCAAAAAATAAATAAATAAATAAATAAATAAATAAATAAATAGGGTCTTGCTGTGTTGCCCAGGCTGGTCCTGAACTCCTGGCCTCAAGCTCCCACCTCAGCCTCCCAAAGTTCTGGGATTACAGGCGTGAGCCACCACGCCCAGCCTCCAAGGCCCCAATTTTAATTCCTTTACTGTGCAACTGACTTTGTCACGGTCACTCCTAGAGGCATTTGAGTCTGCAGTGTCCCTGCCTTAGAGTCTGTCCAGAGGTTCCTAGTAGCACAGCATCCCTGGAGCCTGAAACACAGACCATGCCTAGCCCCATCTGGGACCCCAGCTGGCTCATGCGTCTTTGTTTGGTGCATTTTGGTGAAGCAGGTCTGGCTTGATGATGGATCCCCAGGATGGAGATCTCTATGCACAAGAACACAATGTGCAGGAAGGGTGTGGTGATTCCCCTTATGATTCCCACTGTCCTGTATACTCCAGACACCATGGGGGGCCGTCCTGGGTGAACCCACTGAAATCCATGGGAAGCCAAGGTTGGACACAGCCTCAGCATTCCAGGGAGACTCTCGCCCCTATTTTACAGATGGGGAAACCAAGGCCCAAGGAGGAAGGGTTGCCTCCTCTTAATTTTTAGGGCTGGGTGAGGTGGCTCATGCCTGTAATCCCAGCATTTTGGGAGGCAGACGCGGGTGGATTGCTTGAGCCCAGAAGTTCCAGACCAGCCTGGGCAACACGACAAAACCCCATCTGTACAAAAAAAAAAAAAAAAATACAAAAAAATTAGCTAGGTGCAGTGGCAAGCACCTGTGGTCCCAGCTACTAGGGAGGCTGAGGTGGGAGAACTGCTTGAGAACCAGGAGCGTTCAGTGAGCTGAGAATGCACCACAGCACTCCAGCCAGAGCGACAGGAGTGAAACCCTGTTTCAAAATAAATAAATAAATAAAATAAGTGGTTTTTTTTTTTTTTTTTTCTGAGAGAAGTCTCGCTCTTGCCCCCAGGTCTGAGTGCAATGGCTTGATCTCGGCTCACTGCAACCTCCACCTCCCGGGTTCAAACAATTCTTCTGCCTCTGCCTCCCAAGTAGCTGGGATTAATGCACCTGCGACCATGCCTGGCTAATTTTTGTATTTTTTGTAGAGATGGGGCTTCACCATGTTGGGCAGGCTGTTCTCGAACTCCTGACCTCAGGTGATCCGCCCGTCTCGGCCTCCCAAAGTGCTGGGATTACAAGTGTGAGCCACCGTGCCCAGCCATAAAGTATGTATTTTTTAAAACCTTTTTATTAATTATAGACTCACAAGGAAATGCTGAGATAGTAGAGAGGTCTCATATGCCCTCCGCCCAGCTCCCCCACAATGAGGATGTCTTTTTTTTTTTTTTTTGAGACAGAGTCTCGCTCTGTCACCCAGGCTGGAGTGCAGTGGTGTGATCTTGGCTCACTGCAAGCTCCGCCTCCTGGGTTCACGCCATTCTGCTGCCTCAGCCTCCCCAGCAGCTGGGACTACAGACACCCGCCACCACACCTGGCTAATTTTTTTGTATTTTTAGTACAGACGGGGTTTCACCGTGTTAGCCAGGATTGTCTCGATCTCCTGACCTCGTGATCTGCCCGCCTCGGCCTCCCAAAGTGCTGGGATTACAGGCGTGAGCCACCGCGCCCGGCCTTTTCTTTTTTTTTTTTAAATGGAGTCGCACCCTGTCACCCAGGTTGGAGTGCAGTGGTGCGATCTCAGCTCACTGCAACCTCCGCCTACCGAGTTCAAGCGATTCTCCTGCCTCAGTCTCCCGAGTAGCTGGGACTACAGGCATGTGCCACCATGCCTGGCTAACTTTTGTATTTTAGTAGAGAGGGGGTTTCGCCATGTTGGCCAGGATGGTCTCAAACTGACCTCAGGTGATCCACCCGCCTTGGCCTCCCAAAGTGCTGGGATTACAGGCGTGAGCCACCGTGCCTGGCCGTGGTCGAATGCTTCTTGTTTTCTGGTACAAGACTTTAAACTCCCGCTTTATTTTTATTTTTTATTTTTTTTTGTCACCCAGGCTGGAGTGCAATGGCACCATCTCAGCTCACCGCAACTTCTGCCTCCCAGGTTCAAGCAATTCTCCTGCCTCAGCCTCCTGAGTAGCTGAGATTACAGGCGCCCACCATCATGCCTGGCTAAATTTTATATTTTTAGTACAGATGGGGTTTCACCATGTTGGCCAGGCTGGTCTCGAACTCCTGACCTCAGGTGATCCACCCACCTTGGCCTCTTAAAGTGCTTGGATTACAGGTGTGAGCCACCACGCCCGGCCTAAACTCCCACTTTTTACATTTCTTGCTCAGTCCTGGAATGGGTCTTTTCCAGAAGCCCTTTTCGTGGTGCAAAATTAGGGTTCAAAGAATACTCGTTGCTATTGGGTTGTCATCGTTTCTGGATCTTCCCAGTGAACAGAGCTAAGAAACACATACTCTTGAAAGAGAAAAAGAAATCACAAGTTCATTCTGATATTTCACGTTCACGTGACACTTACAGTGTTGTTCCTTCCCTTTTCTCTTTCCCTAAAAATTTTGGTTCTTAATACCACTAACATACTCATTTGCATCATACCATTAGATACCAAATAGTTTGAAAACAATATGCCAACATTAACTACTAAGAATAAAACTATATGTGTTGAAACATCACTATGTACCCTATACACATGTACAATTATTGGGTCAAAACAATAAATAAAAGAATAAAATTAGAAAAGGAAGTTTAAGATTTCTTTATAGCTCTCATTTTCCTTTATTATTATTATTTATTTATTTTAGTTTTCTTTTTTGAGACAGAGTCTTGTCCTTTGTCCAGGCTGGAGTGCAGTGGCATGATCTCGGCTCACTGCAACCTCTGCCTCCCAGGTTCAAGCGATCTCTGGATAATTTTTGTATTTTTAATAGAAATGGGATTTCGTCATGTTGGCCAGGCTGGTCTCAAACTCCTGACCTCAGGTGATCCACCCGCCTTGGCCTCCCAAAGTGCTGGGATTACAGGCGTGAGCCACCGTGCTTGGCCTCGTTTTCCTTTAATATGTAGGTCCTCTGTATCCATGGGGGATTGGTTCCAGGATCTGTCTCAGATACCAAAATCCATGGATGCTGAAGTTTTTTTGTTTGTTTGTTTTTGAGACAGGGTCTCGCTCTGTCGCCAGGCTGGAGTGTAGTGGCGTGATCTCTTCTCACTACAACCTCCGCATCCCGGGTTCAAGCAATTCTCCTGCCTCAGCCTCCTGAGTAGCTGGGATTATAAGCATGTGGCACCATGCCCGGCTAATTTTGTATTTTTAGTAGAGACAGGGTTTCTCCATGTTGGCCAGGCTGGTCTTGAACTCCTGACCTCAGGCGATCCACCCACCTCGGCCTCCCAAAGTGCTGGGATTACAGGCGTGAGGCACCACACCTGGCTGCTCACATTTCTGATATACAATAACACAGTAGTGGCCAGGTACGGTAATCACACCTGTAATCCCAGCACTTTGGGAGGCCGAAGTGGGAGCTCAGGAGTTTGAGGCCGGCCTGGGCAACATAGTGAGACCCCATCTCTAAATAAATTACATATTCAAAGAGTTAAATAATAAAATAGCATAGTATTTGCATAGAACCTATGATCACCCTCTCATATACTGTAAGTCATCTCTAGATTACTTGTAATACCTAAAACAATGTAAATGTTATGTAAATAGTTGTTATAGTGTATTGCTTAGGGAATAATGACAAGGAAAAAATTCTGGGCTGGGCAAGGTGGCCCACGCCTGTGGTCCCAGCTACTCAGGAGAGTGAGGTGAGATCGCTTGAGCCCAGGAGTTTGAGGCTACAGTGAGCTATGATTGCGCCACTGTACTTCAGCAAGACCCTGTCTCAAACAAATAAAAAAAAGAATTTTATTTTGGACATTGTGAGGTATGGGGAAAAAAACCAGACCCTGTCTTAAAAAAAAAAAAAAAAAGTCTATACATGTTCAATACAGAGGCAACTTGTTTTCCAAATATTTTCTTTTCTTTTTTCTTTTTTGAGACAGAATTTCCCTTTTGTTGCCCAGGCTGGAGCGCAATGGCGCGATCTCGGCTCACTGCAACCTCCGCCTCCTGGGTTCAAGCGATTCTCCTGCCTCAGCATCCCGAGTAGCTGAGATTACTACCACACCCGGCTAATTTTTTGTATTTTTAGTAGAGATGGGGTTTCACCATGTTGGCCAGGCTGGTCTCGAACTCCTGGCCTCAAGTGATCTGCCCACCTTGTCCTCCCAAAGTGCTGAGATTACAAGCGTGAGCTACTGCGCCCGGCATCCAAATATTTTCAGTCTGAGGTTAGTTGAATTCACAGATGCAGAACTCACGCATATGGAGGACCAACTCTATCCCACTATAGATGCACCATAATAAAAATACAGGGTTGGCCAGGCAACCCTACATAATGAAACCTAACTGAAACAAATGACCCAACTATGTATCTATTGCATTCCTTAATTACACAGAAAATATATATATATATCTTTTTATATGGAGTCTTGCTCTGTCACTCAGGCTGGAGTGCAATGGCACAATCTGGGCTCACTGCAACCTCCGCTTCCTGGGTTCAAGCGATTCTCCTGCCTCAGCCTCCCAAGTAGCTGGGATTAAAGGCACGCACCACCACACCCAGCTAATTTTGTATTTTTAGTAGAGATGGGGTTTCACCATGTTGGTTAGGCTGGTCTCGAACTCCTGACCTCAAGTGATCTGCCCATCTTGGCCTCCCAAAGTGCTGGGATTACAGGCGTGAGCCACCGTGCCCAGTCAGAAAATAATTATTTCAAATGACCTTGTATCCTTTTTTTTCCCCCCCACTCAGAAGGCTGAGGCGGGAGGATCACTTGAGTTGGGTAGTTCAAGGCCCCAGTGAGCTATGGTCACGCCACTGCACTCTATCTAGCCTGGGTGACAAAAGTAGACCTTGTCTGAAAAAAACCCAAAAACCCATAACCAGCATTCACAAGAGGTTTGGGCACAGATACAACAATGGTTAGACCTGGCTGTCTGGGGATTCCTCACGCTATCCTCTTCTGTGTGCGTTTGCAGTATTTCATTACATCAACTTCTTTTCTCTGTTGTCCAGACTGGAGTGCAGTGGTGTCATCTTGGCTCACTGAAATCTCTGCTTCCTGGGTCAAGCGATTCTCCTGCTTCAGTCTCCTGAGTAGCTGGGTCTGCAGGCGTGCACCACCATGCCAGGATAATTTTTATATTTTTAATAGAGACGGGGTTTCACCATGTTGGCCAGGCTGGTCTCAAACTCGTGACCTCAAACGATCTGCCCGCCTCGGCCTCCCTAAGTGCTGGGATGACAGGCCTGAGCCACCATGCCAGCCTGTTTTTTTGTTTTTTTTAACTTTGCCATATATCCATCCAGAATATCTCACATCAGTGTCAAGAGATATTCCTTGTTTCTTTTTTTACAGCTGTGTAGTATTCCATTGTGTGGCCACGCCATTGTATATTCAGCTAATCTCCTATGGGCAATAAATTACTTTCAATCCTTTGCCACTACAGACAATGCCACATTAAATAATAACCTTTGCATGTCATTTCACCTTTTTGCTAGTATCCTTGAAATAGATTAGGAGTGGAATTGCTGGATTAAAGAGAAATGCATAATTTTGCTAGCCATCACCAGATTCCTCTTCATTTTACATTTACAGTGAGACCTACAGAACATGCTGCCAAGGTTTTGGATTTTTGTCAACCTGTGTAGGTGAGAAGTGGTATTTCAGTGTGGTTGTAATGAGCATTTCTCTGGCTACAATTGAGTTTTAATATCTTTTGCAAAGTTTAAGGGCCAAGCTGGGCACAGGGACACATACCTGTAGTCCTAGCTATTCAGGAGGCTGAGGTGGGAGATCGCTTGAGCCCAGGAGTTCAGGGCTGCAGTGAGCTATGATCTTGCCACTACACTCCAGCCCAGGCAACAGAGTGAGACCCTGTCTCTAAAAATACAAAAAGTTTGAAAGGTGTTTTGTTGTCTTCTTCAGTAAACTCTTTCTCTCTCTCTCTCTCTCTATATATATATATATATATATTTTTTTTTTTTTTCTGACAGGTTGTTGGCTTTTTCCTTTCTTCTTTTCTTTTCTTTTTTTTTGAGGCAGAGTCTTGCTGTGTTGCCCAGGCTGGAGTGCAGTGGTGTGATCTCTGCTCACTGCAACCTCTGCCTCCCGGGTTCAAGCGATTCTCCTGCTTCAGCCTCCCGAGTTGCTGGGACTATAGGCGTGCACCACCACGCCCGGATAATTTTCGTATTTTTAGTAGAGATGGGGTTTCACTGTGTTGGCCAGGTTGGGCTGGAACTCCTCACCTCAAGTGATCCACCCACCTCAGCCTCCCAAAGTGCTGGGATTACAGGCGTGAGCCATCATGCTTGGCCATTGCATCACATTTGGATCACATGACAATTATAAACTAGTTTGGGAAGACTCAGCTCCTTTATAATGTTGAGTCTTTCTATCCAAGAATATATATCTGATCCTTCTGTGCAAGTATCCTTTTGAGTCACTTAAGAATATTTTACTTTTTAGGCTGGGCGCGGTGGCTCATGCCTGTAATCCCAGCACTTTGGGAGGCTGAGGTGGGCAGATCACCTGAGCTCAGGAGTTCGAGACTACCCTGGCCAACATGGCGAAACCCCGTTCCTACTAAAAATACAAAAATTAGCTGGGCGTGGTGGTGGCTGCCTGTAATCCCAGCTACTTGGGAAGCTGAGGCAGGAGAATTGCTTGAACCTGGGAGACGGAGGTTGCGGCGAGCCGAGATCGCGCCACCGCACTCCAGCCTGGTTGACAGAGCAAGACTCTGTTTCAAGGAAAAAAAAAAAAAAAAGAGGAGGAAAAAAGTATTAGAACCATATTTGCTTGCAGTGTGCATGCCTCATAGCTTTCGAAGGAGACACAGGAGCAGGTAACTAGGCTGCCTCCAGGGAGAGTGACCCTGGGTGGTTGGAGATGGCGAGATGCTTCACTGTGTGTGTGTGTGTGTTTGGCAGTGAATGTCCTGTCCTCTCCAAAAAGTAAATACGTAAAACTTGAGCTAGAAAAATAAAACAAGGTTGGGCATGGTGGCTCACGCCTATAATCCCAGCACTGTGGGAGGCCAAGACGGGAGGATCACCTGAGGTTAGGAGTTCGAGACTAGCCTGACCAACATGGCAAAATCCCGTCTCTACTAAAAGTACAAAAATCAGCTGGGTGTGGTGGTGTGCACCTGTAATGCCAGCTACTTGGGAGGCTGAGCCAGGAGAATTGCTTGAACCTGGGAGGAGGTGGTTGCCGTGAGCTGAGATCGTGCTATTGCACTCCAGCCTGTGCGACAGAGTGGGACTCCATCTCAATAAATAAATAAATAAATAAATAAATAAATAAATAAATAAATAAAACAGACCAGGGTGGCCTGATTATTCCTTACGTGCCCAAATAAATAAATAAATAAATAAATAAATAAATAAATAAAACAGACCAGGGTGGCCTGATTATTTCTTACCTGCCCACGTAATCCTAGATACCTGGTTTCTGGGGAAGCCGGGGTTCTGGAGCCACTGTGCCTGGTCCCTCCACACCCAGCCCCCTTGTTCGGGTTCCTAGGTGGGCCAGGCCCCCAGCGTCGTCATCGTGTTTGACTGCTCCATGGAGACGATGCTCCGACGAGTGCTACACTGGGGCCAGGTGGAGCACCGGGCAGACGACTCGGAGCTGGCCATCCACCAGCGCTTGGACACGCACTATACCTTGTGTGAGCCGGTCTTGACCTACCAGCGCAATAACCTGCTCTGAAACGTAGGTGCTCCCCGCTTCTGGCTCACTGCACCCCAACCCCTAGGGAACAAGTCTGGCTTTAACAGTCCAGGGTCACCCGGGCCTGGTCCTCGCTTTCCTACCAGGTAACCTGGGGGATTCCCATTCCCCCAGGAAATGCCTTGAGAACCCAGCCTTGGCTCACGTGGGAAGGCAATGGGACACTGGTGGGGCCTCCCTGCACGCCCTCACACAGCAGTCAGCAACACAAGCTTTCCTGACCCTGTCCCCTCTCCCTTCACGTGCATGCCTCTGGGATTTTCCCAGGGTCTGAGCGGGAGAGGGTGGTGTCCCTGCCGTGGGGCCCAGACCTGACCCCTGCGGCTCCCCTTTCTCTAGATCCCGGCAGAAGCAGCACCAGAGAACATCTTTGCCAAGTGCTGCTCTGTCATTGAGAGTCTGCAGTGAGACAGAGGGGCTGGGGGTGGGCCTTGCCCCTCACCGGAACCCGTGCAGTACGTGGGAAGGGTGCGTACCTAGGAGGTGAGACCTCCAGAAAGGGGGACCGATGCCCCCTGTGATTCCAGAGCAACAGGTTCCCTTTCCCGGGGTCTGTTTCCCCACCAGGGAGGTTGGCCAGGGGCCACCAAGGAACATGCCCCACTGGGCCAGGTGCCTGGCACACCTGCATGGGTCAGGGGACTGTCAACAGCCCCCCCTAGAGGCCACAGCTGTTACTGGCTCCTGCCGGGGCTATCACCAGGCCCATGAGCCCAGGACATCTAAGATGAAGCGAGTTTTAAACGCTGGCATTCAGCCACAACCTCAGAGACCCTGCAGCTGCATGCGGGGCTGCAAGACACCTGCCCAGGTCCAAACAGCTTGGGTGGCCCCTCGGTGCCCTCTCCCACCTCACATCCGGTCCCATCACCCAGCGAGCACTGACGCGGGCCTGGCTCCCACCTCAGGGCTCTGAACGTTAACAGGCCAGAGGACCTCCTGTAGCAACAGCCCATCCATGGGAACGCCGGTCCCTGAGGCCCTCCTGAGCGCCTTGCTCCCCAAGGTGCTGGAGGGAAACTGGGTAGGGGAAGACAGCAGTGCTGGGCTCAGCCAGCCTCCCCTTCCCACATGGGAAGGGGAAAGTCTTGGGGGGCCACACCCCACTCTAATTGGCTGAGACTTGCTCAACTTGTTTCCTCTCACAAACACAACTGCGGCCAGCACGCAGTCTTTTTTAAACAAAAAGCACTTTATTTAACAAAAAAAAAAAAGGGGGGGGGGCACGGTTAGGAAAGCACATTGAGCCTGAAGAAAACTATTTTATATTTTTCTTAAAAAAAAAAAAACACAAAGTTTGTAAATTTCAATCACCATTATCAGGCTTTTTAAACAACATCTATAAAGAACAAACATCCGCTTCAAAACTACAGGGAGGGAAGGAAAGGGGGGGAGACAGACAGCACCCGCAGACGGGGAGGTTTTGTTATCATTTATTTGTGAAGTTAAAAACGAGCGATAAAAAGTAAAAACTGCCATACAATTTTTTTTGTTGTTCTCATTTTGTTTTCAGTTTCAATCTCCTCTTGAACAGATGAAAAGACAACAGACCAGTCCTGGGAGGGGGGACGGGCGGGGCCGCGGGAGCTGAGCCAGGGCGGGAGGGAGAGAAGAGGGGGCTTGGCTGCTGGGGGAAGGGGTCCTGCAATACAACACCTGGTCCAAGGAATGTTCCACCTCTAACTAAAAAAAAGAAATAGCAAGAGTGACTTTTTTTTTTCCTTTTTAAAAGTTTATTTTAAAAACAAGAGGGCCGAGGGTGGGAGAAAATGAATTGCTTTATCCTCAGAGAGGCAGGTTCAGGAAGGCTGGGGGGTGAAGAATAGAGACTTTTTAATATATATATATATAATTTTATAAGTTCTGCTTTGCTCTTTGTGTTTTTAATTTTTAAGTTTTTTTTTTTTTTTGGCAGAGATTTAGATCTCGCTATCTTCTCTGGCTGGCTCAACATGGAAGGATCCCAATTTTGAAAGAAAAAGCATGTGAGACACAGAACAGGCGAGAGAGTGAGGGCCCGGCATGCCCCCAAGTCCCCCCCACCCTGCTTGCCGCGAGGGCTCCCCAGTACTCCCCACGGCAGCCATCGCTCTCTCGCCAAACAAAACAGAAGCCCCCAAACAGAACAAAATGGAAAAAAAAAAGATTTTTCACAGATGAAGAAGTTCACATTCATTCGATTCATTGAGCCTGCGGAGAGGGAAGAGATAGGAATTGGTCACTACGGGGAGGGAAGGGTGGGAGACTAGGGGGCGGAAGAGAGGAGGGGCTGGAACACCGTGGGGGGGGCCAGGAAGCCCCCTCCCAAACCTGCGCTGGCTCAGGCTGGAAGGACGTGCTTGTTAACTGTCTAGCCAGGTGCTCGCGGGACTCGCTGAAGTCACGCTGCTCCCTGATGGAGAAGGAGGGACAGAGCAGGAAGAGAGGAGAGGGGCCGCGGAGGGCGGAGGCGCTAGGGTCGTAGGGGAGCTGCCCTGTCTCCGGAGGGCGGTGGCTCCCGGCGCAGCACGACGACATGAACAATCCAGAGATCATGGTGTCCCCACAACACCCCTGTGAGGTAGGTTGGAAGGTGGCAACGATCTTCACGCCCACTTCACAGACAAGCCCGGGACACAGGCAAGCGCGAGCGCATGGGAGGCTGAGCCCGGCGGGGCAGGGGCCTGGGCCGCTCCCCGCGTCCCCACCAGTCCCTGCCAGAGCCAGGCCGCCTGCAACACAGTCACTTGGACACAGGAAAAAAGATCATGGGTTTAAAAAATAAAAGAATAAAAAGAACAAAAACCAAAAAAGTGATGCAGAGAAGGGGAAAAAATAGACGTTTTCTTCCCAAGTGGCCAGATTGTGAGCGAGGTGGTGGCGGCCGGGCCGGTGCCCACCGTCCGCGCTGTCTGCCTGCCCCCCGACTCCCCAGCAGTTCAGAAGTCCCGCCTGCGAGTCTCAGCGCTCCCCAGCATCACGACAGCGGCACACAGGAACAAGCAGCCGGCGCAGGGAGGCCTCTTCGTTTAACCTCTGGACCCAGCGAATGCTTCCCTGGCGGTGCGTGGGGACTCCCGGAGACCTCCGGCCACACGGCCCCCGCTGCAGGCATCAAGGGCACACCCCGCAGGGGAAGGGGTTTCCGGCGCTACCCACTAAGGCAGGATGGACGGTGGCCGGGGGTTGGAAGGAGAAAGGAGGAGGAGGAGGGTGGCAATTCCCACTTGCCTGCTGCTGTCCCTGCTGCGTGGGCGGCGGCTGGGGGCCGCCAGGACCTGGGGTCTGTCCGTAGTAAGCGGCCTGCTGTCTGTAATATTCCGCCCAGGCGGCACTGTAGTCTGGCTGGGAGCCTGGGGGAGCTCCTGGACCCCCTCCGGTGGCCACTTGCGCTGTGGGTGGACAAAGGCAGGTGAGAGGCTGTGGGTGAGGGCTGCCCCTGCCCCTGTCCCCGCATGGTGGCCACTCACCTTGCTTCTTGTAGTACTCCTCCCAAGCCTTCGTGTAGTCCTGCTGTGGGGGTGCTCCGGGCTGCTGGGGCTGCTGGCCTGTGCGGGCGCCGAGACAGGTCAGAAACCACTCCCCCGGCAGGGCTGGAGCCCCCCCGCCACCCTGCAGACTCACCGATCTTTTTGTAATACTCTTCCCAGGCCTTAGTGTAGTCCGACTGGCCGGTGGGTGGGGGCTGAGGGGGCTCACCCTGAGCCGGTGGGGCCGCAGGGGCCGGTGCGGGGCCGGGGACGGGGCCCGGGGGCTGCTGGTAGTAGTGTGAGTAGTAGGCGGCCCACGCGGCGTTGGGGTCCGCGGCCGCTGCAGCTGCTTTGCCTGCAGGAGATACCTCGGGTGAGACGGGGGGACAGAACAGGGCCTGCCCTCCGCCAGGTGGCCCATCACTTACTTGGGTCATGAGGAGCAGGCGGCTGCCACTGGGGGTAGGTATTGCCCCAGCCCTGGGGTGGGTACTGGTGAGGAGGGGGCCCCCCGGCACTGCAGGAGAGAAGAAAGGGATGCTTGAGCAGTGGTGCGGGGGTGGCCGCAGCCGGACCACCTGGGGTGGGGATGTTTTTCAGTGGGGAGGCGCCAGAGACCCAGACCACCAGGCTCAACGGGGCGCCTGGGAAAGGCCTAGACAAGAAGCAACTCGAAGGACGCGCAGCGTCAGCTTGAGGACATGAAAGAAGCCGCGAAACTTGCACGTGCACAGAGGGATGCTGAAAGGCACATGCTCTACCAGTAGACAGGAGAGGGCCTGTTGATGGTATCCACAAAAATGGGCTGGATGAGGCCCCCCGCCTGCACTTCTAGGGAAAGGGAAATGGGGTCTGCTATTCTTCTTGCCAGCTCAGTAAGCCCCCGGCCTCAAAACCCAGGAGGCAGAGGATACTCACTGTGGGGGAGCCCCGGGTGGCCCCTGGTTGAAGGGCCCAGGATTGAAGGGCCCCATTGGGCCAGCAGGGCCTGGGCCACCTGGGCCTGGTCCAACTGGGCAGAGAGGACCCTAGAAGGAAGGAGAGTAACCAAGGTAAGTGGGCTGGGATCCGGGCTGTGAGACCAAATCCCCAGAGCCCGCCCCAACCCACCTCGATCTTTTCCTCGATAAGCTGCTTGGCGTGGTCAATCTGCTGGGGTGAACCCCGGATGATGAACAACTTGAAGTTGGGGTCCCCGTTGGGTGGCAGCTGCCGGGAGATCTCTACGAAGGCTCCCGTCTGCTGGTTTATGGCTTTCACATTCTCGCCACCTGCAGAAACGCAGAAGGTGAAGGTGGCCTGCAGTGATGGCCCAGGGAAGAGGGGGCAAGGGATAGGGTGCAGGGGGCCACACTCACCTCGGCCGATGACCAGCCCACACTTGTGAGTGGGGATGGAGAAGGTCATCTCCCCGCCAGGGGGACCCCAATTGCCTTGGCCTCTTCCTCGGCCTCGGCCCCCCGGGGGCATGCCTGGACCCCCTGGAGGACCTGGGGGACCACTCTGCAAGACAAGAGGAGGAGGAGGATGATGAACCCTGGAAGCCGGTCTGGTCTTGCACTCCCCTGGAGGCCCTGCCAGCCCCTTCAGCACCCGGGGCCACCTACCCTGAGGCTCTGGAGGAGGTCGTTGATGATCCGGGCTGCGTGCTCGCACCTGTCTGGGGGCCCCATTATATGAGCAATCTTCTCGGGCCCTGTCCCGTCATCTGAGGCCAGCACCGAGAGAGCAGAGACACAAGTTTAAAAGAAGAGCCCACCCCAGAGCCCTGCAACGCCGCCTCCAGCGCAGACACCACGCCGGCCTGAGATCTCAGACGCGCTGCGCCGCTCCCAGCCTCCACTCGCTCAGGGATTGAGGGGGAGGCGGCCCACATTCCCAGAGAAGGAAACCCACGGCCAAGCCAGGAGGTGGCTCAAGCTTCTTCCAGCACACAGCACCCCCAGCACTGAGAGATTTTACAGAACAATAAATCTCTGAAAAGCCAGAGGGGCCCTTCTCCCCACGGCAGGCAGCTCAGAGACTGCCTGAGGACTGGCAAGAGCCCAGAGCTGAGGTGGAGTGCCCTGATCCAGCCTGCGGGGCACCCAGGGCTGTCCTGTCAGGATAGGCTCCATCGTAGGGGGAGGAAGAGGAGATCTGATAGGGATAGGAACACACGTTCCCCCTGGATGTGGAAAGCCCTCATGTGTCTGTCCCAGAGAAGAGAAGGGACTGGCCATGTTCTGACGGCTGGACTAAGAGCCGTGAGGTGCTATGGAGGCCACCTGGCTGACCACGGTGCCCAGCTCCCTCAGAGCCTGCCTCCCAAAGAGGGTGGGGGTGCACTGGCCAGGGGCAGGGTGGGCCAGGCCCTGACCTTGCTTGAACTGTATCCGCACGCCAGCATCATTCTGGATCTTCTTGATCATCTCTCCACTCCGGCCAATGACCACGCCAACAGAATGCCTGGGCACTGGCACCTGGGGAGGGAGGCAGCAGCGTCAGCTCGGCCCGCAGCTCTGCTGCCCTCTGCTGCCCACTGGCCACAAGGAGCCACTCACCCCGGCCCCTCCCTCCACTGGCGGGGGAGAGGGGGGTGAAGGCAGGGCCCACACTCACATCGATGCCTCCGCCAATCCGAGATCCGTACTCATTCCGGTCCCCAAAGCCGCCTTGGTCACGTTCCCGGAGGATGTCCATCACCATCTCACAGGCTTGCTGCAAACACACAGGAAGCAGCCCCCATGGGTGAGCCCTGCTGCCCCACACCCCCCCACCTCCTCGGGGGTGCGGGCCTCAACTAAGGACCCACGAACCCTGGGTGAGCCCAGCACAGCACCCTACTGAGCTCTCTACCTGCCACTTTAATGGGGAGGCACTACCAGCAGCCCCGTTTCCAGATAAAAAAGCAGAAGGTCAGAGGTGAGGCCGGTGCCTCACACACACAAAGCTGGGAGTCAGTTCAGGGCCATCCTACGAGCCAGCGCTCTTGCAAGCCTCTTGGTGTTATGACCGACTGTTCACATATCTCTCTGGCGGAATGCAGACCCCGAGACCGCTGGCCCTGCCCACCTGCCCGTGCCTCTCCAGAACCCCCTCCACCACCCCAGGGCGTGCTCACCTGCACTTTGTAAGGATCCCCAATGATGCGGAGAGGTTTGTCCACATTCGTATTCTGAGATCCGTCCTGAATTAAGATCATCTTCACTCCAGCGCGTTCCTTTACAAGCAAGGTTAACCGTTAGTGCTGGGCTCTCCCAGGACTTCCTGGGCTGCTGTGGTGGTGGCGGTGGGGTGTGGCACACGGATGCAGAGGAAGCTGCCCAGGTGCTGCCCTCACCTGCAGCTGCTTAATGGTCTCCCCGCCCTTGCCAATGACCAGGCCGGCCTTGCCCGCGGGGATCATGATCTCCTGCACGGTGCCGTTCTGGCCCCCGTTGGCGTTGTCGTGGAACTGTCCTGGGGGGCCCCCACGACCCCGAGACACAATGTCATCCAGCATCATCTTGGCTTTCCTGGGAAGGGGAGGAGCGGGGGATGAGCGGGTGCCACCGCTGGAGAAAGGTACTGGTCTGGTGGCCCACCCAGCTCAAAGGGAAGGCGACCCCAGAGTGTGCAAGGATGACAGGGAAGAGGGGCCAGTCACAGGGGCTGTTCAGGCTCCAGGTTCCCCAGGTCTTGGGCTGCCGGGGAATCAGCCTCATGTTAACATGGCTGTCTGGAGATGGGGGCAAGAATGGAGGACATGGCGTGCAAGTTGCTCCCAACTTTCAATTCAAACGGACAGAGCAGGCTTCTGCCTGCCCCCCACATCACAATGAGAGGCCCTGTGGGGACTTACTGGACAGATTCTGGGGCTCCTGTCAAGGACACACTGCGCTCGGGTAGGCCACCGCTGTCTGAAAAGAGGAGATAGAGTCAGTGCCCTCCCTGGCCCACAGGCAGAGAAAGGCCTGCCTTGGACACGAGGAAACTTTCAGAACAACCAAGGGCCACTTCTGTCCCATTCAGTGCCTGACAGATCAGTTTACTTCCCCTAAACACCTGGGAGGCTGCTCGATGCAAGGCCAAGGTTGGGAAGAGATCCCAGAAGGGAGGTAGGACTTTAAGGGAAAAGGATGAGGTGGAGGGAGTTGCAGATTCCAGAAGGTCCAGGAGCCGGCCACCCCCACTACCAATGATGACCAGAGCCGCTTCTATAGACAACACGTGCTACACGCCCAAGGAAGCCTCAGAACCCCCTACCCAGCAGGCTTTCTGTAGCTCAGGACTCTGAGATTCGAAAGGTAACTACATTGCCTGAGAGCAGATGTGCAGCCAGAACCGGGATTTGCTCCTGGGCCTGACCTCAGAGTGACCCCTCTGTCCAAGGCACCACCCTGTCTCACGCAGTCTTGCCGGGGTGCTTTCACCCACGCGGCAGGTCAGTGCAGTGCGTCGAAGCTCGGTGTCTGGAACCAGGCCCCTGTGCGAAATGCTAGCCCTGCCACCTCAGTCCATACCCACCCACTGAAAATAAAAAAAGTCACAGCTGTGCCCCGTGGGCAGTACTAGTGGAGTGAGATACTGCACTGAGCCTGGTCCGTAGTAAGCACCAACAAGCGCCAGCTCGCTTCCTGTCCACAGTCCCCGTGGAAATTAAGTAATTAAAGGAAAGTGCAAAGGGCCCAACCCTGGCCCCCACTCTGGCAGGAACCTGACGCTCTTATACCTGGAGAAATCTGTACTTTGCAGCCTGAATCCTGTTGGATTTTGTTAATTTGTTCACCTCCTCTGCCAATGACTGGATGGAGAAAGAAGGAGAAAAGCAAAGCGTGATGAGGGAAGGGAGCCCAGGCCTCAGGAGACTGTGTGGCCGGGGCCCCAGCCCCTCTGACGTTCAGGAGGGCAGCAGTCCTCTAGAGAGCTCCTGTCCTCTGCCCAGAGGGGACGAAGGAGGGACAAATGAGAACAGCACATAGGAGCCCTCTCAGACCAGGGCTTCTGGGCTGGCAGGAGCTCACAGGACACTTCCTCCTGGGGAAGAGTGGGCCTCCCCACCCAAGGTGACCCACACTCACTCAGGCCCACCATGCCGTCTGGGACCCTGTACTCTTCTGTCATTGAAGTCCTGTAAAGAGACACGCCAAAGGTCAGTCCTCAAGTGGGAAGGGAGGAGGACAGCAGCTCTGGAAGGTCTACTTGAAGCCAAGGCCACCATAGGTCTAAGCAGAGTCTGACCACACAGGCCACAAAACTGCCAAGGCCTCAGTTTCCCCATCTGTGCCCCGAGAGGCTTGCTCTGGGCATTGTGGGCCTTGGCCTGGTGCCGTCCCATTGATTCAGGGCGAGAGGGAGCACTGAGTAGCAAGCTGACAGTCACTCTATGTCTCTCAGTTCTAAAAAGCTGGCTGTATGTCCTTTTCATCTTATTTTCCTAGTATTTTATGAAACTACTGGCCCATTAAAAACAAACAAACAAAAAATGACCCCTGACAACTGCCCTGTGTCAGGTTCACCTCAGTCCATCTGGTGGGGCAAAGAGGTGGCAAAGAGCCCTGAGCTCCACAGCACTGAGTGGGATGGGCACTTGCAGATGTGTGAGGGAGGGAAGCAAGGCCCTCCTAGCCTCTTCCAGGAAGACGACATTTGTGCTGCTCAGAGTCCCCACCCCAGCGGAGGAAGCCATAGGGTGCGGAGACCACCCTATCACTACAGTGACTGCCACGACGCTCCCCTCCCACAGCCCTTCAGACAAGGGGTACGAGGAACGGACACAGCTCCTCTGCCTCATTCCCGTCTGAGCACTCTGGTCAACTGGCACTGGGGGATAAAACCTGAGAGATGTGCCCCCAGTCAGAGCCCTCCCAAGTCAGCAGAAAGGCCAGTCTGCTGGCCAACAGACAAGAAAGCAGTGTGGGCCCCACCATGGCTTACCTTGGGGGAGGATGGATGGGTCCAAGTTGAGAACTGATTGCTGTAGAGAGAAAACCCAAAGCAAAGACTGGCTTAGCTCCTCCTCGGGCACTTGGCACTGCCTGCCCCGGGTCAGTGGGAGCTGAGCCCGGCACCACGGTCCCCAGCCTGCTCCAGTGCCTCATGGATGCTGTGGATTCCTCCCCATAAAAGCACAGAGCTCATCTCCCTCAATTTCAGGGTTCCTGGGATCCCTCAAACGTATGGGCCCCAGAATGAAGCACCAGGGGCCTCTGTAAAGAGCTGCCACCTCCTCAGTGCTTCCAGCTCCTGACTCCTGAAAACCTCAACCCTCTGAAGCCACATATCTGCCACCAGACCCCCTGGACTTACAGTCTCCCTGGGAAGCCAGCTTCTTGCTCTCCGGTTGATCTGGGAAAGAGAGAGGATGGCAGATGCAGCACCCACCCACCCACGGCCGCCTCGAACCTGATGCTGGTGCCACATGTCCAAGGTAAACAGTGCCCCTCGGCCCCCACCCTTAACAGGAGCTGAGACAGGAGCCCAGGAGAGACTGGCCCCTGAGGGAGGCCAGACCCCGCCAATTCCGCCACCAACGCTCAGAGTAAAAAAGCCTTCAGAACACGCAACCACCACCAGGCACCTGAGTCCTCCCGGTTTAGGACAGGACCTGCCTCTAGCAGGGAGGGTGTCGTGGATAACAGTGGAGTTGGTCAGGGTTGATCATCCGCTACTTGGGGTCACACTACGCACCCCAGAGCTGGGCCAACTTCACATCAAGCCTCAGTAACTGCTCCAGGTTGCCTCAGCCTCCCAGAAAGGGAGGAATCATCTTGGGAACTTACAACTTCGACCCAGTCACAATCAATCTGCCCTCCTCTCTGCCACCTGATACCTCAGGATGGCAGACGGAACAAGAAGAATTAACAAGGCCGGGATTGCTGAGGTTTTAAAAGACCAAACAACAGTGACACCCACCCCCTCTGAACCACACTCAAACAAAAGCACCTCTTTAGGCCCCCAGCCCTTCCTCCTAAGCTAAAGGCAGCAGCAGGGAGTTACCTCCATCTTCCAACTGTCTCTTTTGGCCCCCAAAACCAAAATCAGGAGTGCTGTTATTCACTGTCGTGGCAGCATCGCCTCCAATTTTGGCTGCAATCTAGAATAAAGTAGTAAGCACAGAAGAATTACCACCAAAAACAACCCTCCATGGCACCCAGGTCAACTTCTCAGAACATCTCCTGGACACGAAAGCCCATCAGGTCTTGGTGTCTGGCCCTCCAACTTAGGGAAGAGTCAGTTGGTTAAGACATCCTAGGAGTTTTGAACCTAGGCCTCAAGGTTCTCACCAGTTAACTGGGAATATCAAAATTCCCCTCTTCCCTTCTCCTGGGATTTGTGTCTTAATTGTGGCCAGCCCATAATCCACACTGACTTCGTTCTAGGGGTGACAAGGAACAGAGGCTCAGGTGTCAGGGAGGGTTCCCAGGTCATCTCCAAGAGCTTTCAGACACTTCCTCCTGCCAGTGGCCCCAGCTCAGAAAACCAGAAAGTGTGTTTTTTTTTAGCCCCGTTTTCCTGGGATGCTGAAGAGTTCAATTTTCCCCTATCTCCCCCACTCTCAAAATCCTTTTATCAATTTATTGAATAAATTTGAGCAAAGCGATCACTTCAAGGGATATGAAATCCTCATTTGACCAAAACAGAAGACTCTCTGGATGGCTGGGCACTGTGACTTATGCCTGTAATCCCAGCATTTTGGGAGGCCGAGGCGGGCAGATCACTTGAACTCAGGAGTTCGAGACAGACTGGCTGACATGGTCAAACTCCATCTCTACTAAAAATACAAAAATTAGCTGGGTGTGGTGGTGCACACTTATAATCCCAGCTACTCGGGAGGCTGAGGCAGGAGGAGCACTTCAACTGGAGAGGTGGAGGCTGTGGTGTGCTGAGATCGTGCCACTGCACCCCTGCCTGGGTGATATTGAGACTGTTTCCAAAAAACAAACAAACAAACAAAAAACCAAGACTCTATGGGACACAAGTTACATCTCAGACACGTGAAGAGCAACTTTAAAGAAACCTCAACCCAGCAAACTTAGGATCAGAGTCTGGGGTTTAGAAACCCAAACCATGTTAAGAATCTCCCTTTCCACCAGTCTCCATTTTTCTACGCTGCCCTAGAGCCAAAACTCATGGGATGCCCACAGGGGGCCTGTCCCCACCAACTGACAGCACCAGCTTCCTCCCTTCAAGCTGTCCCAGAATCAGACGGTTCCATGGGCAATAAGACCAAATGCACGCTAGAACCCACCCAACTCCAAGGGTGAGAGAGACGACAGAGGGCCAGAACACAGGCGTTCACTTAACGGGACCTCCCACCTTGGGAGGAGCCAGTCTCTAGCCCCGGAGGCATTGGGACAGCCCAGGAGCCGGTCGGCGGCAAAGTCCTCCCATTCTACCGACCCCCACCCCTCCAGGCCATGGGGAGGCTGCAAATGGAGCTGGAGAGGTCAGTCCTAGCAGCATGTGACACTTCCTTGTCATTACGCCTCAATACACGGGGGTGGGAGACCCTCCCTTCTTTCCCCCAAAGAGACAGACCACGCTTTCAAGCCACCAAAGCATCCAAGAGCCAGTCCCCATGCTCGTCTTCCCCATTTCGCCCAAGTGCTCAGCCCTAGACAGGTCCCCATCCACTTTCCCGACTGAAGAGGAAGGACTGTCCCTCCCACCCCCACAATGTCCCTTTCTCCTAGAGAGGGGACAGAAATGGGACTGGGTTGGGGGCAAACACTGCCCTTTGCCCTGATATGGAGGGGAGAGTAAAGGCCCTCCGCCCGGGAAGGTGGACCCCTGCCTCCAGGCATGTCCTAAGGCCGGGGGGCTAAGGGGGGGGTCCCAAAAGTGCGTCTCCGAGCTCCGGGGCGCCTGCACACCCAGGCGCCGCTCCTGGTGACCCCCAGTGCGCCCCTACTCCCTGCAGGGGGGTCACCCGTTGGGATCCCACTCGAGGCGCAGCGGGAGGGCCAGGCCCCCGCCTACCGCCCACGTGACCCCGCGACGGCCCCGGCCCCCCTCCGCGACCCTGCGCGCGCGCGCGCACGTGACCCCCGCCCCCTCCCCCGCCTGCGCGCGCGCGCGAGCGCGCCCCTCAGGCCCTCGGCCTCCTCACCTGGCGGGCCCGCTGCACGGCGTCGGCGAAAGCGTCCTTGCGGATTCCCGGGCCGCCTCCGCCGGGTGGCTGAGAGGGGCCCCCGGCCGACCCCCCGCCCGGGCCGCCGCCGCCGGGACCGCCGCCGCCCCGGTCCCCCGCGCCTGGCGGGCCCGGCGGAGGGCCTCCCCCGGCGCCTCCGGCTCCCCCGCCCCCGCCGGCGGGCGGCGGCGGCCCGGGCGGGGGTCCTCCCGTGCTGTAGTCCGACATGGCGCGGCGGGGCCGGGCCTGGCGCGGAGGCTGAAGCTGAGGAGGCGGCGGCGGCGGCGGCGGCTCAACGCGGGAACAAGGCCTCGCTCCACACGGCCGCGGAGCACTCTGGGAACCCAGCCGCTGGGAGGACGACGAGGGGGGAGAGAGTCGCCCCTCCCGCCGCCGACGTGACGGACGACTCCGGCGGGCCAATGGGAGGCAGCCGCCGCACCCCGGACACCAATCGCGAGCTCTGTAGGAGGTGGCCAATCGGAGTGCAATGAGGGGCAGTGGGCGGGAGGCTCAGAGTGACTGACAGCTCTCAGAGGCAATAGCTGCGAGCTGCCCGTGCTGGGCGGGCAAATGAAGGAGATCTGAGAAGGCAGGAGGCCCAATGAAACGCGAGTGCCAGATTCGCGGGGCGGCTTCAGAATTAGATTGACGGTTCTGAAGAGTCACGTGGACTGTAAGGCCGGGCCTAGTGGAAGACTCCTATGGACCGGCTGGGTGGGCGTTAGGTTTGATAGTCGTGGACACAAGCCAATGAATGCACGTGAGAGGTGGTGCTTGTAAAGATGGGCAGCCAATTAATCCAATTCCTGACGAGTTCTGGGTGATGAGGTTGGCTTTGGACTTTAATTGCTTCCCTTGTTAACCAGAATCCTTTTCTATCCCTGACTTCTAAGCCAATGGCTGAGCGACATGGGTGGGTGTTCGGTGACTGACACTGGTCTGGACAAATGGGAATGAAGGAAATCAAAGCGCCCACTTTTGGTGGGAGCCAGTGGAAGCGCCGCTGCATTGGGGCGGAGTCGGCCACCAGACAGCGAGGGGATTAGCGGGAACTGTAGTGAATGGCAGCCGACGTGGGCGGTGGCAATCGGCTGCCCGAACTCAGGCCTGATGTCTGGGTTAGCTCACCGGCAGCCTGGTTGGGTAGGCCCGGCACGTGGCCCGCTTGAAGCCTTAGAGATCGAGCGCTTCCGGAGGTGGGGAGGCCGGAAAGCAGGAAACTCGGGATCCCCCGGGCCTTCTTCTCTCTCGACCCCCCATCTAGAGCGTCCAGTTCTCTTGCAGGACTCAAGGAACCAGCCCCACTCACGAGTCCAGAACCGTTCCAACAACCGGGATCGAGGGATCACAGCCTCGATCACACCCCTCACTTCACACCCCTCACTCCCTTCGCCTAAGGCCCTGGGATCCAAGCCTCAAGCTCCTATCCTAGGTCCTCACTTCCTCTCCTGGACACAAATTCCCATTCAGGACCCAGAGGCCCAAGGTCCCCAGCTCCCCTACTGGGTCCAGGGATCTCATGCACCCAGTTCCACTCCTAGGCCCAAGTATCCAGACACGTTCAGCAAAAACCATCTCTTTATTCCTTGTTGTGTGACATGTTCACCATTTCGCCCTGGAGCCAGGACGACCCACAAGGGGCCAGACTGGAGTCCACGTTTCTTGTCTCAGGCTGCACCCTGGGGAGGGAGTCCCAGGAGTTTTCTGACCCAGCACTGCCCCCCTCCACCCACCACCAACCCCAGCTTCAGGAATCTTCTGACCCAGAGCCCCACCCCCACCCCCAGCCTGCTTTTGCCACCAAAAACTGCCCCAGGGCCTGAACCTTGAGGCCTCGAGGGCTCTTTGGGGCCAGGGGTCATCAGGTCCTCCTGTCCCATTTCTGCCTAGGCTGTGTCGTCCAGCTCACAGCCTATATGCCCAGGGTTTTCTTCATGGCTTCGTACACCACATAGCTGATGCCACCTGCTGGTAAGACCTTCAGTAGCGTGGGGGTCATGCCTCGGTACAGCCCTAGCCAGCCCTGCTGGGCCAGGATCCGCTGGAGGACTCCGCGCATGGTGGGATTTGAGCCCTCCACGGTATCTGCAGGGACACAGGCAAGATCAGGACTAGGCCAGAGATGACCGGGCCTCCTAGGAGTCTGGAATGTTGCGGACAGGTGCTGAAGCCACGGGTAGGGGCCCCAGGGGTCAGTAGGAAAACAGTTTGAAGAGTCTTAGAGGAAATTGGTCAGTTTGAGGAGGAGTGGGGGAGTTTCTGAGTAGTAGTTATCAGGATTAATTTTAGGAAATTTTCTTGAGGGGTGGGAGTGGGGATAGGGTCTCTCTCTGTTGCGCAGGCTGGAGTGTGGAGGCACGATCATAGCTCACTGCAGCCTCGACCTCCAGAACTCAAGGGATCCTCCAGCCTCAGCCTCCCAAGTAGCTGGGACCACAGGTCCATACTACCATGCCTGGCTAATTTTTATATATATATTTTTGAGACGCAGTCTCAAAAGTTATCAAAAGTGGGCTGGGATCAGACACGGAGGGTGCCGGACTCAGTTTTGGGGTATGAGAAAATTGAGACAGCCAGGGTGGGGCGGGGAAGGGGCATGCGTGGTGGCCGCTGGGGACAGGCTGACCTTGGGCCTGCATCCTGGTGCGCACCAGAGTCAGTGGGTAGCTGGCCATCTGGCCACAGGTCGTGGATAGCGTCACAGACGACAGACTGACCAGGCCACTGGGGTCCCCCATATCCCTGCCTGACTTCACCCAGAAGCACTGGAGCATCTGCAAGAGAAGGGGGCCAGGAGAAAGCTCACTAGGAGCCTGGGCTCCGGCCAGCCCTGCCACCCCCTCTGCAGGACCCATACCTCATAGACAGCCAGGTCGGTGCAGGCATAGGGGATGATGCCGAGCATATTGGGCAGGTAGCCGCGGTAAAGGGCGCGGGTGCCCTCTCGCTGCAAGATCTGCCTGGCGCAGTCCAGCAGCCCCTTGTACTGGCCCGTCCGACGCAAGGTCAACCGCGTCTTCAGCACCTGAGGATGGCGGGGAACAAGGCAGCTCATTTGATTGAATCCTGTCAATGACCCTCGGGGTAGCCATTGTCCCCACCCTACAAACAAGGAAAATGAGGCTCAGGAAGGCAAAGAGCTGGGTTTCAGACCCGGATCTGTCAGATTCCATGGAATGCTCTCTGAATTTTGAGTTCTGAAGCACAAATGCTGGCAAAGGCCAAGAGAGTGAGGGAAGAAGGCTCACGTCTGTCTTCCCAGCCCTTTGGGAGGCTGAGGCGGGAGGATCGCTTGAGGCCGGGAGTTCGAGACCAGCCTGGGCAACATAGCGAGACCCCATCTTTACAAAAAAATCAATAAAATAAAAATAAGATGTATATGGAAACATCAACATGGGAGAACAGCCTGGAAAACTGATTAAGAATAACAGGGAAGGGAGGCGAGAAAACATGCCCTCAAGCCTCAAAAATTGAAGACAGCTGGCAAAACTTTATGGCAAAAAGATCAAGCACTGGGGGGAAAGAAAGAGAGTGAATAGGTAGAAAACAGGGCCTTCCTAGGGCAGTGAAACTACTCCGTAAGATACTACAATGGTGGATACAAGTCATTATACATTCCTCAAAACCCATAGAACTGTTAGATTAAGAGTGAACCCTAGGTCGGGTGCGGTAGCTCATGCCTGTAATCCCAGCACTTTGGGAGGCCAAGGTGGGTGGAACACTTGAGGTCAGGAGTTTGAGACCATCCTGGGCAACATGGCGAAACCCTGTCTCTACTAAAAATACAAAAATTAGCTGGGTGTGGTGGCAGGCAGCTGTAATCCCAGCAGGAGAATCGCTTGAACCCAGAAGGTGGAGGTCGCAGTGAGCAGTGAGTCAAGATCGTGCCACTGCACTCCAGCCTGGGTGACAGAGTGAGACTCTCAAAAAAAAAAAAAAGAAAAAGAAAGAAAAAAAGGAGGGTTTCCGGTCCACAGATGAGAAATGAAAATATATATGTATACATATATATAGTATATATACATATTATATATGTATTATTATACATTATGCATATATTATATATAACATGCATAGACATATTTTTATATTACATAGTATATAATAAATGTAATTATATAATTAGATACATTAAATTATTTAGTTATATATAATATATACATGTTATATGTACTATATATTTACATAATAAGTAAGGTATATAATATATGTGTATATTATATATAAAACATATATATATATATATTTTTTTTGAGACAGGGTCTCCCTCTATCACCCAGGCTGGAGTGCAGTTGTGTCCCATCATAGCTCACTGCAGCTTCGACCTTCTGGGCTCAAGTGCTCCTCCCACCTCAGCCTCCTGAGTAGCTGGGACTACAGGCATGCGCCACCACACCTGGCTGATTTTTGTTTTCAGTAAAGATGGGGTCTTGCTATATTGCCCAGGCTGGTCTCAAACTCCTGGGCTCAAGCAAGCAGTCCTCCCAGCTCAGTCTCCCAAAGTGTTGGGATTACAGGCATGAGCCAAGGTGTCTGGCCTGAAAATTTATATATATATATATAATATATATATTATATATATGTTATATATATATATAATATATATATTATATATATGTTACATATATATATAATATATATATTATATATATGTTATATATATATATAATATATATATTATATATATAATATATATATAATATATATATGTTATATATATAATATATATGTTGTATATAATATATACATATATAAATTTATGAAAATGTTATATATATGTATATGTGTTATATATAATATATTCATATATAAATTTATAGAAAGGAGGAGGAGATTGGAGAGGAGGAGAAAGAGGTAAAGGGGGAAGAGGGAGAGGAGGGAGAAAGGAGGAGGGAGAAAGGAAAGGAAGAGGGGAGGAGAAGGGAGAAAGGAAGAGGGGAGGAGAAGGGAGAAAGGAGGAGGGAAGGAGGAGGAAGAAAGGAGGGGAGGAGGAGAGGAAAGAGGAGGGGAGGAGGAGGGAGAAAGGAGGAGGAGGAGAGGAGGAAGGAGAAAGGAGGAGGAAAGAGGAGGAGGGAGAAAGGAGGAGGGGAGACAGAGGAGGAAGAGGTGAACGGGGAGGAGGGAGAAGTGTGAGAAAAAAGGAGGAGAAAGGAGGAGGGGAGAAAGGAGGAAGAGGAAGTAGCCCCAGCAACGTGGGTAACTAGTTTCCACGGCGTTTCCTCACCTGCGGGGCACATGCTCTCTTACCTCCATGGGGTTGATGAGGGTCTGGGAGATGGCCACAGCCAGGGAGCCAGCAAGGAGACGCTCCTGGAAGGGCGGGGACCCTTGTATTCCACAGAAGTAATTCTTGCACTGGGAGAGGAGAGAGGAGGGTGAGAGAGAAGTCAGCCACCCTCCGACACAAAACCCGCGCAGGGAAGAGGCCTGGGGTCTGGAGGGTGAGTGTGTGCTTGAACAAGGGCCTGGAGTTTTGGGGGCATGGGAGGGGTTTGGGCTTGAGCTGGGGGAAGCAGGCCCCTCATTCCCCACCTGCTCGAATACGGAGAACTTGATGGCATACTCAGGAGCAATCTTGAGCACGTTGATGCCGTTGCCCCGCCACAGGGAGCGGAAGCCGCCCTCCTGGACCATGCTCTGTAGCCCCCCCAGCAGGTTGGTGAAGTTCGTCTTGGAGGAGTAGACCTGGGTGGAGGGAGGACCCTGGAGGAGCCCCTGCTCGCCTCTGTCTCCGTCCCCATCCCTGCCCCAAGCGCAGCCCCACCGGGACCTCCCAAGCCACCCAACCCCAACCCATCCCCATCCCATCCCCATTCCTTCTTCAGCTCCTTCCCCGGCCAGTTCTAGAATCGCATGCAACCCTGACCCAAAGCCAACATCAACCTACATTCCCACCTCACCCCTCCTCTTCATCTCCTCAGTCTTTTTCTCTCTCTCTTTCTTCCTTCCATCCTTTCCTTTCTTTCTCCCTTTTTGTTCCCTCCCTCCCTCCCTTCCTCCGTTCCTCCCTTCCTTCTTTTTTTTTTTTTTTGACGGAGTCTCACTCTGTCGCCCAGGCTGGAGTGCGGTCGGGGGATCTCGGCTCACTGCAACCTCCGCCTCCCAGGTTCAGGCGATTCTCCTGCCTCAGCCTCCCGAGTAGCTGGGATTACAGGCTAGTGTCACCACGCCTGGCTTATTTTTGTATTTTTAGTAGAGCTGGGGGTTTGCCATGTTGGCCAGGCTGGTCTGGAACTCCTGACCTCAGGTGATCTGCCCACCTTGGCCCCCCAAATTGCTGGGATTACAGGCATCAGCCACCGCGCCTGGCCTTCTTTTCCTTTTCTTTCTTGTTTTTTTGTTTGTTTATGTTTTCGAGACAGGATCTTGTTCTGTTGCCCAGGCCGGAATGCAGTGGTGCAATCACAGCTCACTGCAGCCCCAAACTCCTGGGCTCAAGTGATCCTCCCACCTCAGCCTTCCAAGTAGCTGGGACTACAGGTGCGTGCTACCATGGCAGGCTAATTTTGTAAAATTTTTTGTATAGATGGGGTCTTACTATGTTGCCCAGGCTGGTCTCAAACTCTTGGGCTCAAGCGATCTTCCCACTTTGGCCTCCCAAAGTGCTGGGATTACAGGTGTGAGTCACCATGCCCGACTCCTTTTTAAATTTTTAATTAATTAATTAATTAATTATTATTTTGTAGAGATGTGGTCTGACTATATTGCCCAGCTGGTCTCAAACTCCTAAGCTCAAGTAATCCTCCCTCCTTGGCCTCCCAAAGTGAGCCACTGCACCCGTTTATTTTTTCAGCCAGGGATCTCGCTCTGTCACCCAGGCTGGAGTTTGTGGCATGATCATGGCTCACTGCAGCCTCCAACTCCTGGGCTCAAGCAATCCTCCTGCCTCAGCCTCCTGAGCAGCTGAGACTATGGGTGTGAGATATCCTGCTTGAGGTAGCTCCAGTTCTATGTTGCCTTTTTTTTTTTTCTTTCTTTTTTGAGACAGAGTCTCACTCTGTTGCCCAGGCTGGAGTGCAGTGATGCAATCTCGGCTCACTGCAACCTCCATCTCCTGGGTTCAAGCAATTCTCCTGCCTCAGCCTCCTATGTAGCTGGGACTACAGGCACGCACCACCATGCCCGACTAATTTTTTTGTATTTTTAGTAGAGACAGGGTTTCGCCATGTTGGCCAGGCTGGTCTCAAACTCCTGACCCCAGATGATCTACCTCCCCTGGGCCTCCCAAAGTGCTGGCATTAGAGGCATGAGCCACTGCACCTGGCCCCTACCTTGTCTTTAAACTCGTCCAAAGACCCCATCCCCAATTCCCTGACCTCCAACCCCCACCTTGGCCCAGCGTTGGTCCCTGTCCCTGGCAAGTTCTCTCAACTCCTCAAACTCGACTCCAAGCCATGTCCACACCAGCTCTATCACCATCCACAACCTCAATCTCAGCTAGTCCAGGAGAGCCCAACTCCAGCCAGCACTCCTATCCTGAACTCCATCCACGTCAACTCCATCTGTCCTCACCCCACGTTCTCCCCAGTGGCTCCAGCGCTGGGTCCCGTCCTCCCCCCAACCCACACAAACCTGCATGTACACCTTGGCTCTGTCCAGAGGTGCCGTGCCCGTGCGAGACACCGCCCCGGCCATAGCTCCTGAGAGTAGAAACTTCCACAAGGCCTCCTTGTTATCCACTTCCAGGACTTCCACGGGGACCATCAGCTGCTCTCCTGTGTCCAGTACCTGCAGGGCAGACCCGGCCCTCCCTCATCCTCAGCCAGGTTGGGGCACCTTCCCCAGACACACATCTAGGGCACCCACCTGGTGAAAGACCCACCCTGTTCCCCCAAGTCTGCATTTTTTTTTTTCGAGACGGAGTCTTGCTCTGCTGCCCAGGTTAGAGTGCAGTGGCACAATCTCAGCTCGTTGCAACCTCCACCTCCCAGGTTCAAGCAGTTCCTGCCGCAGCCTCCTGAGTAGCTGGGATTATAGGCATGCACCACAACACCTAATTTTTTTTTTTTTTTTTTTTTTTTTTTTTAGTAGAGATGGGTTTCACTATGTTGGCCAGGCTGGTCTCTAACTCCTGACCTCAAGTGATTCAACCCTCCCCCCTGGTTTTTTTTTGTTTTGTTTTTGTTTTTTTTTAGACAGAGTCTCACTCTATCGCCCAAGCTGGAGTACAGTGGTGCGATCTTGGCTCACTGCAACCGCTGTCCCCCTGGTTCAAGCGATTCTCGTGTCTCAGCTTCCCAAGTAGGGACAATGGTGTGATCTCGGCTCACTGCAACCTCCGCCTCCTGGGTTCAAGTGATTCTCTTGCCTCAGCCTCCCCAGTAGCTGGGATTACAGTGCCAACGTGCCGAGCAAATTTTTGTATTATTTTAATAGAGGCAGGGTTTCACCATGTTGGCCAGGCTGGTCTTGAACTCCTGACCTCAGGTGATCCACCTGCCTCAGCCTCCCAAAGTGCTGGGATTACAGGTGTGAGCCACCACACCCAGCCAATGTAATATAGACTCTCTAAGTTACTCATGGAGGATCCAAGGAGGAATACAAATGTAATTAGGACTATATCTAGACTCTTAATTTATTCTTATTTTTTGAGACAGAATCTCGCTGTGTTGCTCTGGCTTGAGTGCAGTGATGAGATCTGGGCTCACTGCAACCTCTACCTCCTGAGTTCAAGCGATTCTCCTGCCTCAGCCTCCTGAGTAGCTGGTACTACAGGCGCCAACCACCATGCCTGGCTAAGTTTTGTAATTTTAGTAGAGATAGGGTTTCGGCATGTTGGCCAGGTTGGTCTTGAACTCCTGTCCTCAAGTGACCCATCCACCTCAACCTCCCAAAGTGCTGGGATTACATGTGTGGAGCCATCGCGCCCTGCCTCCCTGCCCCACCCTGCTTCAAGGTGGAATTCTAGGTCCGCTAGCAGGGGAGTGGGCCTGTAGAGGGCGTGGGTAGCCTGGCCTCTCCCTGTAGTCCTGACCAGAGGTGCCGGGACACTGGTGTTTCCTAAACTCACCTGCTGTGACGGGAGATGTTCAAGGTTGTTGTCATGCATGTGGCCAAACGCGTACCCATACACGTGTGTACAGCCAGGGTTCCAGGATGGGGGTGGAGGCGGAGGTTGGGGGGGAGGCGGGGCTTTGATGAGTAAGGTCTTGACCCTCCTAAACAGTGTCTGGATCCTAGAGCAAGTGTTCTGAGGTTCCCCAGGCTGAGCGCCCATGGAGGAAGTTAGGACACCTGGCTTCAAATCCCTAAGCAGTTGTTTGCTGCTCCAGCTACCATGCGGGAGTGTCTAGTGGGAGGATTGTGTGGGGGACCAAGAGGAGGATGAAGTCACAAACGCCCCTGTGACCTTCCTAGGTGTGGTGGGCAGCGTGATGGCCCCCTTCCCCCAAGTATCCACCTCCTGATCCCCCAAACCAATAAATATGTTATCGTTATAAATTGAATTGTGTCCTGTCAAAATTATTATTATTATCGTTTTTTTTGAGACGGAGTCTCGCTCAGTCTCCCAGGCTGGAGTGCAGTGGCGCTATCTTGGCTCACTGCAAGCTCCGCCTCTGGGGTTCACACCATTCTCCTGCCTCAGCCTCCCGAGTAGCTGGGACTACAGGCATCCGCCACCACGCCCAGCTAATTTTTTTATTTTTTAGTAGAGACGGGGTTTCACCGTGTTAGCCAGGATGGTCTCGATCTCCTGACCTCATGATCTGCCCACCTCAGCCTCCCAAAGTGCTGGGATTACAGGCGTGAGCCACTGCTTCCGGCCGCAAAATTCTTATGTTGAAGCCCTATTTCCCAGTGGGTTGGAATTTGGAGACAGGGCCTTTGGGAGGTCCTCAGGGTTAGATGAACTCATGAGGATGGCCCCTGCAAGATGGAATTAGTTCCCTATAAGGAAAAGACAAACCAGAGCTCTTTCTCTCTCTCTGTCTGCCATGGGAGGACGCAGCAAGAAGGCATGGCAGGAAGAAATCCCTCAGCAGGAACTGAGCTAGCCAGCCACCTTAACCTTGGATTTCCCAGCCTCCAGAAATAAATGTCTGCAGTTTAAGACCCCGCTCTTTAGTGTTTCCTTATAGCAGCCTGGGCTGACTTACATTTGTTACATGGCAAAGGGGAATTAAGTTTGCAGATACAAATAAGGTTGCTAGGCCTGATGTGGTGGCTGACGCCTGTAATCCCAGCACTTTGGGAGGCCGAGGTTGGCAGATCATCTGAGGTCAGGAGTTCGAGACCAGCCTGACTAACATAGTGAAACCCAGTCTCTCCTAAAAATACAAAAATTAGCCAGGTTTGGTGGTGTGCCCCTGTAATCTCAGCTACTCTGGAGGCTGAGACAGGAGAATTGCTTGAACCCAGGAGACAGAGGTTGCAGTGGGCCGAGATTGAGCCATTGCACTGCAGCCTGGGCAACAGAGCGAGACTCCATCTCAAACAAACAACAACAACAACAAAACTTTGCTAGGCTGGGCGCCGTGGCTCATTCCTATAATAGCAGCACTTTGGGAGGTCAAGGCAGGTGGATCACTTGAGCCCAGGAGTTCAAGACCACCCTGGGCAACATGGCCAGACCCCTGTCTCTATAAAAAATACAAAAATTAGCTGGGCATGGTGGTCCATGCCTGTGGTCCCAGCTACACAGGAGGCTGAGGTGGGAGGGTTGCTTGAGCTTGGGAGGTGGAGGCTGCAGTGAGCTGAGATCTTGCCACTGAACTCCAGCCTGGGTGACAGAGCGAGACCCTGTCTCAAAAAAAAAAAAAAGAAAAAAAAAAAAAGAATTAAGGTTGCTAAACAGCTGATGGGAAATGGTCTCACTCTGTCACCCAGGCTGGAGTATAGTGGCACACTTAAGGTCAATCCCCTTGACCTCTCTGTTCAGGTGGTTCTCCCACTTCAGCCACCCGAGTGGCTAGGAACACAGGTGCGGACACCACGCCCGGCTAAGTTTTAAAAATTATTTTTGGCTGGGCGTGGTGGCTCACACCTGTAATTCTAGCACTTTGGGAGGCCAAGGCAGGTGGATCACCTGAGGTCAGGAGTTTGAGACCAGCCTGGCCAACATGATAAAACCCCGTGTCTACTAAAAATAACGAAAATTAGCTGGGTGTGGTGGTGCATACCTGTAATCCCAGCTACTCAGGAGGCTGAGGCGGGAGGATCACTTGAGTCCAGGAGTTCAAGACCAGCCTGGGCAGCAAAGCAAGAAATTTTTCTACAAAAATTTTTTAAAATTAGCCAGGTGTGGTCATGTGCACCTGTAGTCCCAGCTACTTGGGAGGCTGAAGGGGGAGGCTCCCTTGAGCACAGGAATTAGAGGCTGCAGTGAGCTATGATTGTGCCACTGCACTCCAGCCTGGGTGACAGAGTAAGACCCAGTCTCTAAAAAACAAAAAAAGTAGTCAGGCATGGTGGTGTGTGCCTGTGGTCCCAGCTACTCCGGAGGCTGAGATGGGAGCATCACCTGAGCCTGGGAGTTTGAAGCTGCAGTGAGCCATGATTGCACCCCTGCATTCCAGCCTGGGGAGGGGACAGAGTGAAACCCTGTTTCAAAAACCAAAACCGAAACCAAACAAACAAACAAACAAAAAACCTGACAAAATCATATACATGTAGGTATATATGTATTAGCCAGCTGTTGCCATGTGACGAATTACCCCCCCGCCAAAGGTTGGCAGCTTAACACAACAAACATTTATCATCTCACCCATATTCTGAGCATTAGGAACTCAGGAGCCGCTGAGCCGGCTGTTCCCGTGATCAGTGTTTGAAGTATAAGAGTCTAAGATTCAGGATTCAGGTACTGGGATCCAGTTGTTTCGGTGGAGGGATCCACAAAGCTTGGACTATCCAGGGAATTCAACTGATAGAATTGCAGTGAGATGTTGGCCAGGACAGCAAGATCCTCTTCCAAGCTCAGTTACATGGCTATTGGCTGAGTTCCTTACCACATGGTCCTCTCCATAAGGCTGCTCATGGCATGACCACCGGCTTCCTCCAGAGCAAATGTTATGAGAAAGGGGGAGAGAGAGAGAGAGAGCATGTAACCAATAACCAGGATGGCAGCGACAGTGTCTTTTTTTTTTTTTCTTTGAGACATAGTTTTGCTCTTGTTGCCCAGGCTGGAGTGCAGTGGCACAATCTCGACTCACTGCAACCTCTGCCACCCAGGTTCAAGCAATTCTCCTGCCTCAGCCTCCTGAGTAGCTGGGATTATAGGTGCCCGCCACCACGTCCGGCTAATTTTTGTACTTCTAGTAGAGACGGGGTTGCCATGTTGGCCAGGCTGGTCTCGAACTCCTGACCTCAGGTGATTCACCCGCCTCGGCCTCCCAAAATGCTAGGATTATAGACGTGAGCCACTGCACCCAATCTTTTATTTTTTTATTTTTTGAGATGGAGTCTTGCTCTGTTACCCAGGCTGGAGTGCAATGGACCAATCTTGGCTCACTGCAACCTCCACCTCCTGGGTTCAAGTGATTGTCCTGCCTCAGCCTTCCGAGTAGCTGGGATCACAGGCATGTGACACCATGCCCGGCTAATTTTTGTATTTTTAGTAGAGACGGGGTTTCACCATGTTGGCCAGGCTGGTCTCAAACTCCTGGGCTCAAGTGACCTTGAACTCCTGAGCTCAAGTCATCCTCCCATCTCAGCCTCCTGAGCAGCTGGAACTACAGGTATATGCCATCATGCCCAGCTAATTGAAAAATTTTTTGTAGAAATGGGGTCTCACTGTGTTGCCCAGGCTGGTCTCAAACTCCTGGCCTCAAGCGATCCTCCCACCCCGACCTCCCAAAGTGCTGGGTTTACAGATATGAGCTACCCCACCCACCCTGAATTTTCTATTTTTTCCACAATAAATTTGAATTACTCATTGTGGGTTGAACTTTGTCCCCCAAAAAGATGTGTTCAAGCCCTAACCCCAGTAACCTGCAAATGTGACCTTATTTGGAAATACGGTCTTTGTAGATATAATCAAATTAAAATGAGGTTACACTGGATTGGGGGGGGTTGCCCTAATCCGATGACTGCTGTCCTTACAAGACATGGAATCGGCCAGGCGCAGTGGCTCACGCCTGTAATCCCAACACTTTGGGAGGCTGAGGCAGGCGGATCACGAGGTCAGGAGTTCAAGACCATCCTGGCTAACATGGTGAAACCCCGTCTCTACTAAAAATACAAAAAATTAGCTGGGCATGGTGGCGGGTGCCTGTAGTCCCAGCTACTTGGGAGGCTGAGGCAGGAGAATGGCATGAACCCAGGAGGCGGAGCTTGCAGTGAGCCAAGATCGCGCCAGTGCACTCCAGCCTAGGCGACAGAGCAAGACTCCATCTCAGAAAAAAAAAAAGGCCGGGCGCGGTGGCTCATGCCTATAATCCCAGCACTTTGGGAGGCATCCTGGCTAACATGGTGAAACCCCATCTCTACTAAAAATACAAAAAAAAAAAAAAATTAGCTGGCTGTGGTGGCGGGTGCCTGTAGTCCCAGCTACTTGGGAGGCTGAGGCAAGAGAATGGCATGAACCCGGGAGGCGGAGCTTGCAGTGAGCCGAGATCGTGCCACTGCACTCCAAAAAAAAAAAAAAAAACAAACTTGGAATTTGCACTTTGGGAGGCCGAGGCGGGTGGATCACTTGAGGTCAGGAGTTCAAGACCAGCATAGTGAAACCCCGTCTCTACTAAAAATGCAAAAATTAGCCAGTTGTGGTGGTGTGCACCTGTAATCCCAGCTATTCTGGAGGCTGAGGCAGGAGGATCACTTGAACCCGGGAAGCGGAGGTTGCAGTGAGCTGAGATCACGTCATTGCACTCCAGCCTGGGAAACAGAGCGAAACTGCATCTGAAAAAAAGGATGGAAATTTGGGCAGAGAGACACAGACACACATAAGGGAGCATACAGTATGAAGATAGGCAGGCAGTGGAGTGATGAGTCTATCATAAACCAAGGAACACCAAGGACCATGTGGCTCACACCTGTAATCCCAGCACGTTGGGAGGCTGAAGGCTGGCGAATTCCTTGACCCCACGAGTTCGAGATGAGCCTGGGCAACATGATGAAATCCTATTTCCACAAAAAAGAAGTAATAATAATTAGGCCAGGCACGGTGGCTCACACCTGTAATCCCAGCACTTTGGGAGGCTGAGGTAGGCAAATCACCTGAGGTCAGGAGTTCGAGACCAGCCTGGCCAACACGGGAATACCTGGTCTCTACTAAAAATACAAAAATTAGCCGGGTGTGGTGGTGCGCACCTGTAATACCAGCTACTCTGGAGGCTGAGGCAGGAGAATCGCTTGAACCTGGAAGGCAGAGGTTGCAGTGATCTGAAATCGAGCCACTGTACTCCAGCCTGGGAAACAAGAGCAAGACTCCTATATCAAAAAAAACAAAAACAAAAAACCAACCAACCAAACAAGAAATTAGCCAGGCATGGTGGCATATGCCTGTGGTTCTAGCTGCTCGGGAGGCTGAGGTGGGAGAATTGCTTGAACCTGGGAGGCAGAGGTGGCAGTGAGCCGAGATCGTGTCACTGCACTACAGCCTGGGCGACAGAGCGAGACTGCATCACAAACAAACAAGCAAGCACAGAAACAAACAAAAAGTTGGGCATGGTGGTGGTTGCCTATAGTCCTAGCTACTTGGGAGGCTGAGGTGGGAGGATCACTTGAGCCCAGGAGGTGTAAGCTGCAGTGAGCCGAGATCGCACCACTGCACTCCAGCCTGGGTGACAGAGCGAGACCCTGTCTCAAAAATAAATTAGCTGGACATAACGGTGCGTGTGCCTGCGGTCCCTGTGGTCCCAGATACTCAGGAGGCTGTGGTGGGAGGATCGCTTGAGCACAGGAATTCGAGGCTGCAGTCAGGTACGATTGTACCACTACCCTCTAACCTGGGCTGCAGAGTGAGATCCTATCTCTCTCTCTCTCTCACACACACACACACACACACACACACACACACACAGACACACAAATTGTTTTAAGCCATTCTGTTTGTGATAATTTGGTCTGGCAGCCCTAGGAAAAGGATAATTTGAAAAAAAATTGAAATTTGTAATTTGAAAAAAAATACAGAGGCCGGGCGTGGTGGCTCACGCCTGTAATCCCAGCATTTTGGGAGGCTGAGGCAGGTGGATCACTTGAGGTCAGGAGTTCGAGACCAGCCTGGCCAACATGGTAAAACCCTGTCTCTCCTAAAAATACAAAAAATTAGCCGGGCGTGGTGGTGGGTGCCTGTAATCCCAGCTACTCAGGAGGCTGAGGTAGGAGAATCGCTTGAACCCGGGAGGCAGAGGTTGCAGTGAGCTGAGACCGTGCCACTGCCCTCCAGCCTGGGCAACAGAGTGAGACTCCATCTCAAAAATAAATAAATAAATAAAAATAATAAAGCCCAGAAAATTTAGAAGGGGTTATAAACAGGGACTCCCTCCCCTGCTCCCATTTTATAGATGTGTAAACTGAGGCTCAAAGAGGGAATCATTTCCTGGCTCTTGGAACTGTGGGTGTTGGGAAGCAGCCCCTTGTCCCTTCCCTAGGGGTAGACTAAGGTGGTCCCATAGCCACCCACCCCCTTTTCAGTAAAAACCACAATAAAAGAGCTTAGAAAATTTATTCCTTTTGTTCTTTTCCTTTGAAATAACACACACAGGCAGGGAGGTGGGGCGCAGTGGAGGTCGAAGGAGGTGGAAGCGTGCGGAAGTCCTCCAGCCCCTCCCCAAATCCCAGTTCCCCTTTCCAAGTCCCTCCATGGGGTCTCCAGATGATCCTAAGCTCAGAATCCAACTATGAAGTGCAGAATGTAAGGGCGCAGGGGAGGAGGACTTTGCTCCTCTCTCTGGTAGAAAAATAGATCTGGAATGAATTTGGGGATTTGGTGGTTTTTTTTTGTTTTTGTTTTTTGCATCATTGGGTGCTTGGGTTTAGGGAAGGGTGGTCTTTGCCGATTTTCTCCTGGCTTTCAACTCTGGAAGCCTGGGGAGGCCCTGATAGTGCTGGGGTGGGGACATCCCTTCATGTGTCCCTGGCCTCAGACTGTCTCCTTGCCAGCCTCCAGGAGTGAGTGATTCCTCGGACCCCTTGGAGGAACACAGCTCTGGGGACTATTCGCCTAGAAGGTGGGAGGGGGATGGAAGATGCTGTGAAGTGTGGGGATGCAGGGAGTGGAGTGGTTCCAGGGAACAGTTTCCCCACAGGGCTGGGAGGGGGTGGCCATGCAGAGGTGGGGTGAGGGGGAATCCAGCATCCGTGCAGGTTGCAGCCAGGACCTGGGCTTCCTTCCCCACAGACTCCCTCGACCATGCAATTTCATGTCATGAGAAGCCGGCTCTGGGCACCAGTGTGTGTGGGATACTCTGTGACTGGGCTGCCAGGATCTAGACTTGGGGCCTGAACATTTGGGACCCGGCGCCTGGAAGATTCAGATCAGAAACCGGGGATTCAGGGCTTGGGATTCAGTGCCTTGGAATATCAGGATCTGCCTTCAAGAGATGAGGTTTCAACATTGAGGGACTGGGCAGAGGGATTGGGGACCCAGAATCTGGAATCCAGCAGCTGCAGTTGCCAGGATCCACTTGCTGTGCCACTGGGGCCCCCGCACTTGTTTTAGGAGCCAGAATCTGGTGGGTGAAGGCTTGGGAATCTGGGATCCAGTGCCTGGGGGTGGAAGGCGTAGTGCTTGAAATGCAGGGATCTGGCAGTCAGCAGAAGGATCTGAGACCCAGTGTCGAGGTTAAAAAAAAACAAAAAACCAAAAACCAATGCAGGAATCCAGTGGGTGGAGTGAGGGGATCTGGGATCCAGTGATGGGGGCCCCAGGATCCAGGCATTGTGGTTGTCAGGATCCAGTGGTGAGGTTTGTTGACATCCAGAATCCAGCAGCTGAGCTTGGAGATCCAGGGCTCGAGGCATGGGGATCTGGGGTTGGGGATCTAGGATCCAGCGTTTCACTAGGACACTGGATCTGGTGCCTGAGGGAGGCAGGGTCTGGGTGTTGAGGTACAGGGAATCCGTGCTCCTGTGGTTGGGGTGTTGGGATCCATTCACTGATTTGTGTGGGATCCAGTGGTTAAGACGTAGAGGTCCAGGATCCAGTAGGGGGCACAGGGAAGCGTGGGATCCACCTTAGGATGTGGGGCTGCAGGATCCAGTGATTTGGGGGATGGGGATTAAGGGCTGGGGTGTGGATAATCTTGAATCTTGTGGTTAGGGTAGCAGACTTGAGTTGCTGAAGTAAGGGATCCACAGTTATGGTTACAGGGGGATCTGGGATCTAGTGGCTGAAGGGTGGGGATCGCATGACCCAGTGGTTGGGGCATAGGAGTCTAGGATCCAGGATCTGGATGCTGGGATCCCATGACCCAATGGTTGGGGCATAGGAGTCTAGGATCCAGGATCTGGGTACTGGGATCTCGTGGCCAAAGAGTAGGGATCCTGTGGTTGGATCATCAGTCTCCAGTGGCTGAGGTGTGGGGGGTGAGGGATTGGGGGGACGGGCTCCGGGTCCCTCACCTGGACGTGACCCCCAAGGCCTGCTTCATGTTCTCGTAGACCACATAGGAGATGCTCACAGCTGGAATAACCTTCATGAAGTTGGGGGCGATCCCCCGGTAGAGGCCCCGCATGCCCTCCTGGGACAGGATGTGACGTAGCAGACCCAGCATGGACAGCTGGGGGCCACCCTCGATGGAGGCTGGGAGGGGGCGGGGGGGGCACCAGGTAAGGCCAACGTTCCCCTTTCACTTCCCCCTCCTACCCCCAGGGTTGGGCCAGGTGGTGTCATTGCAGCAGGAGGGAAGGAGGTTAGACTAACAGTGGGACCTACCACTCAGAGTCGAGACTTGTATTGACCTTGGAACTGGCTGCTCACCTTTTCGCCCCAAGTTTGGGGACAATTAGAAATGGAGCAGGTATGGGTGTGCAAGGTGAGAAAGGACAGAAATGTCCTCCTCCTGGAGCCAGGTTCCCTCCCTCCTTTCCCAGCTGACTCCTACTCATATTCCCAACCCCTATCCCAGAGCCAGCTCCCCAGGGGACTCCTCCTTGGTGCTCCAGTCTAAGTCAGGCTCCTCCCTGCCCTCCACCCACTTTTTGTTTTTTAGACGGAGTTTCGCTCTTGTTGCCCAGGCTGGAGTGCAATGGTGCAATCTCGGCTCACTGCAACCTCCGCCTCCCGGGTTCAAGCAATTCTCCTGCCTCAGCCTGCCAAGTAGCCGGGATTACAGGCATGCGCCACCTTGCCCGGCTAATTTTTTTGTATTTATAGTAGAGACGGGGTTTCTCCATGTTGGTCAGGCTGGTCTCCAACTCCCAACCTCAGGTGATCCATCCGCCTCGGCCTCCCAAAGTGCTGGGATTACAGGCGTGAACCACCACACCCGGCCCTTGAACTCTTAACCTCAGGTGATCCGCCCACCTCGGCCTCCCAAAGTGCTGGGATTACAGGCGTGTGCCACCATGCCCAGCCCTTTTTTTTTTTTTTTTTTTTGAGACAGAGTTTTCACTCCTGTTGCCCAGGCTGGAGTGCGATGGCACGAACTTGGCTTACTGCAACCTATGCCTGCTGGGTTCAAGTGATTCTCCTGCCTCAGCCTCTCGAGTAGCTAAGATTACAGGCGCCTGCTATCACACCCGGCTAATTTTTGTATTTTCAGTAGAGACAGGATTTAGCCATGTTGGTCAGGCTAGTCTCGAACTCCTGACCTCAGGTGATCCACCCACCTAGGCCTCCCAAGGTGCTGGGATGGCAGGCGTGAGCCACTACCCCTGGCTCCCACCCACTTTTTTGAGACAGGGTCTCACTCTGTCACCCAGGCTGGAGTGTGGTGGCATAATCATAGCTCACTGCAGCCTCAAGTGATCCTCCGGCCTCAGCCTCCCAAGTAGTTTGGACTACAGGCACCTGCCACCACGCCTGGCTAATTTATTTCTTCATTTTTTAAAAAAAGATGGGGTCTTGCTATGTTGCCCGGGCTGGTCTCAAACTCCTGGACTCAAATGATCCTTCCTCTTTGGCCTCCTAAAGTGCTGGGATTACAGATGTGAGCCACTGTGCCCGGCCTCCTTCTCCCCTTTATACAACCCTAAATCAATACTTAATTCCAGAATGATTTATTTAGCATCTTCCTTCCTCTCCGGCCTGTGAGCTCTATGAGGGTGGGGACCGTGTCCGTCTTGTACACTGACACATCTCCAGTGAAAATCACAAAACACAAACACTAAAATTCTCAAGAAAATTCTCAAAACAGATTCAGGGAGAATGGGAGGGTAGTGGTGGAGGGGACGGGGGGAAATAATTCATAAAAGAAAAATACAGACAAAAACAATAACCACTCTGGCCCTGACTGCTCCCTACCCCTGTTCCTAGCCTCCCGCTCACGATAACCCAGGCTTACAAATTAAGAGTTCAAGTTACCAGCCTGGAAATGCTAGACATTTGCCAGCAACGACATCCCAGCTAAGTCTGCAAGGGATCTCTTCCTGTACCCACTGCACCTGTTATCCTAGTTAATCCTCAGCTCCATGAAAGTAAAGGACTCCCATTTCAATGTCACAAATGGGGAAACGGAGGCCCAGAGAAGCCCATCGAAATCCAGGAGGGTCCCAGCCCAGGGCTCTACTTGGGAGAAGCTGGGGCCCAAGCGATGAGACTCCCCCTGCCCCATCCTCCCGCCCAGGCCTCACCTTGTGCCTGCATGCGGGTCCGGACCAGGGCCAGCGGGTAACTGGCTATCTGGCCGCAGGTGCTGGATATGGTACCGCAGGCCAGGAGCACGAGGATGCCTGGGTCTGCCGAGTCGTGGCTGTACTGCTGAAGCCACCAGTTCTTCAGAGTCTGGAGTGGAGAAGGGAGTAGGGAGGGTTGGGGTGGGTGACCCTAGGACCCTGGCTTCAAAGGCCTGCTGGCCGGTTCTGTATCCCATGACAGGTGCTACTAGCTGAGCACTTGGTACCTCCTAGGGGCCGGGCCAGCCCTTTCCCTGCGTCCCCTCACCCAGTCCTCATCTGGACCCTCTCTGGTAGGTGGAATAAGGGTCCCCTGTACTGACTATGCCCTAATCTCTGGAACCTCTGCATATGTTACCCAAGATGACACAAAGGACTTTGCAGATGGGATTCAGTTAAGGATCTTGAGATGAGATTATTTTGGATTATCTGAGTGGCCCAATGCCATCACAAGGGTCCTTCTTTTTTTAAAAATTATTATTATTATTATTTTGAGATGAAGTCTTGCTCTGTTGCCCAGGCTGGAGTGCAGTGGTGTGATCTTGGCTCACTGCAATCTCCACCTCCCTGGTTCAAGCGATTCTCTTGCCTCAGCCTCCCGGGTAGCTGGGAATACAGGTGCGTGCCACCACACCTGGCTAATTTTTTGTATTTTTAGTAGAGACAGGGTTTCACCGTGCTGGCCAGGATGGTCTCAATCTCCTGACCTTGTGATCCGCCTGCCTCAGCCTCTCAAAGTGCTGGGATTACAGGAATGAGCCACAGTACCTGGCCTAATTATTTTTCTTTTTACAGAGATGGAGTGTCACTATGTTGCTCAGGCTGGTCTCGAACTCCTGGGCTCAAGCGATCCTTCCCCCTCGGCCTCCCAAAGTGCTGGGATTACAGGCATGAGCCACCATGCCTGGCACAAGGCCCCTTCTTTTTTTTTTCAGAGACGGAGTTTCGTTCTCGTTGCCCAGGCAGGAGTGCAATGGTGCAATCTCGGCTGACTGCAACCTCCGCCTCCTGGCTTCAAGCGATTCTCCTGCCTCAGCCTCGAAGTAGCTAGGATTACAAGCGTGTGCCATCACGCCCAGCTAATTTTTGTATTATTAGTAGAGATGGGGTTTCACCATGTTGGCCAGAGTGGTCTCAAACTCCTGACTTCAGGTGATCCACCTGCCTCGGTCTCCCAAAGTGCTGGGATTACAAGCATGAGTCACCATGCCCGGCACAAGGGCCCTTCTAAGAGTTAGAAAAGTAGGTGTAAAGACAGAAGCAGAAGCGAGAGAGAGATTGGAAGATGCTATGCTACTGGCTTTGAAGATGGAAGAAGGGACCACAAGCCAAGGAGTGCAGGCGGCCTCTAGAAGCTTTTTCAAGGCAACGAAACAGATTTCCTCCTGGAGCATCCAGAAGGAACGCAGCCCTGCCAACATCTCGATTTTATAAAGCCCAGTAAGAACCCCATTTTGGATTTCTGACCTCCAGAACTGTAAGGATATACATTCGTGTTGTTCTAAGACACTAAGTTTATAACTTGTTTGCTTGCAAGAAGGGTAAAGAATAAATTAAAAACAGCAACAGCAACAAAAGGCCAGGCATGGTGACTCACGCCTGTAATCCCAGCACTTTGGGAGGCCGAGGCAAGAGGATCGTTTGAGCCCAGGAGCCTGAGACCAGCCTCGGAAACATAGCAAGACTCTGTCTCTACAAAAACAAACAAACACACAAACAAACAAACAAACAAAAAAAAACTGGATGTGATGGTGCATGCCTGTGGTCCCAGCTACTCAAGAGGCTGAAGTGGGAGGATTGCTTGAACCCAGGAATTCAAGGCTGTAGTGAGCCGTGATGCACTCCAGCCTGGGCGACAAGAGTGAGACTCAGTATCAAAAAGAAAAAAGGTCGGGCCTGGCGTCCTCACACTGGTAATCCCAGTGCTTTGGGAGGCTGAGATGGGTGGATCACTTGAGGTCAGGAGTTCGAGACCAGCCTGGCCAATATGGCGAAACTCCATCTCTACTAAAAATACCAAAATTAGCCGGTGTGGTGGCAGGCACCTGTAATCCCAGCTACTCAGGAAGCTGAGGCAGGAGAATCGCCTGAACCGGGGAGGCGGAGGTTGCAGCGAGGCAAGATCACACCACTGCACTCCAGCCTGGGCAATAAGAGCAAGACTGTCTCAAAAACAAACAAATGAACAAAAAAACACTCTCCAACGACACTGCCTGTGGTAGATGCTGTGAGTACACCACCTTCATCCCTTCCCACTCCAATTCAGACCTGCTGACTTCTTACTGCCAACATTTACCCAAAGACTTTGCTTGTGGACTTTCTCTGAACGCAGGCCAGCCGGCTCTGACCACTTAGGAATGGGCAGAAAGCCCTGGGAAATTAGCATCTCCAGATGCAACCTTCAAAAGACTGACCTGGTGGATCAATACCCCAGCTCCCTCATCTCTCTGGTGCAGCATGTCTTATGCTGCCTCCCACAGATCTCTAGAGGGCTGGAACTCCATTTGCTAGGAATAGTAACTTGCTTGATAACATACTGTTACGGGTTGAATCATGTCCCTCCTTTGGGGGGGAACATGTTGATGTCCTAACCCCCAGTATCTTAGAAGGTGACATTCTTTGGAAATAGGGTCTTTGCAGATCTAATTAGTTAAGATGAGTAGGGTAACAGGGTAGACCCTTAGTCCAGTATGACTGGTGTCCGTAGAGGAGAAAGACAGAGACACACACGGAGAAAGACAGCCAGGTGACAGCGGAGGCAGAGATTTGAGTGAATGTATCTACAAGCCAAAGAATGTCCAGGGTTGCTGGGAACAAGCAGAAACTGAAAGAAGGAAGGAAGGAAGGATTCTCCCCTAACAAGTTTGAGAGGGAGTATGGCTCTGCTGACACCTTGATTTTGCACTTCTGGCCTCTGGAACTGTGAGACAATAACTTTCTGTTGTTTTAAGCCAACCAGTTTGTGATACTTTGTTACAGCAGTCCTAGGAAACTAACATACTCATACTGTGTGCATTGACTCCCTGTCTCATTACCTCCCCAATAAATCACTTGTCCTCACGTCCCAGTTTCAGGGTCTGTTTTGGAAGGATCTCAAACTAAGACCAAAACTATTATTATTATTATTGAGACAGGGTCTCGCTCTCACACCCAGGCTGGAGTGCAGTGGTGAAATCTCGGCTCACTGCAACCTCCGCCTCCTGGGCTCAGGTGATCCTCCCTACTTCAACCTCTGGAGTAGCCAGGATTACAGCTGTGCACCACCACACCCGGCTAATTATCTTTATTTTTATTTTATTATTATTTTTTGAGACACAGTCTCACCCTGTCGCCTGGGTTGGAGTGCAATGGCACCATCTCGGCTCACTGCAACCCCACCTCCCAGGTTCAAGTGATTCTCCTGCATCAGCCTCCTGTGTAGCTGGGATTACAGGCTTATGCCACCGGGATTACAGGCATGTGCCACCAGGCTTGGCTAATTTTTTGCTTTTTTTTTGAGACGGAGTCTCGTTCTGTCGCCCAGGCTGGAGTGCAGCGGCACAATCTCAGCTCACTGCAACCTCCACCTCCCGGGTTCAAGAAATTCTCCTGTCTTAGCCTCCCAGGTAGCTGGGATTGCAGGCACACACAATCACACCCGGCTGATTTTTGTATTTTTAGTAAAGACAGGGTTTAACCATGTTGGCCAGGCTGGTCTCCAACTCCTGACCTCAAGTGATCTGCCTGCCTCTCCCTCCCAAAGTGCTGGGATTACAGGAGTGAGCCACCATGCCCGGCCCTATTATCTCTATTTTATAGAAAAGAAACTGAGGCTCGGGAAGTTACTTGCCCAAAGCTACAAAATAAAGGTGAGAACCAACATTCACAGCTGTATGTGAATCTAGAACTGTGCACCTGAAGACTTTAGGGTGGCTAATCCCTTCTGAAGCCTTCTGCCAAGGTGACTGTAAGAACAAGACCTTCTTTGCTTTGCGGCTGGGAGAGGCTTATAGGTTTCATTTCCTATGCCAATTCTAATCCACCAGAAATTGCTGCCTGAAACTGGAATTGTGTTGAGCAGGACTCAGTGCTGTGATGGATTAGTAATGCCTAGCCCAGGCACAGACTGGGTAAAATAGGCAAGTACTTAACATTATTGCCTTTGAAATTTTAGAAGCCTTCTTTTGGGTCTAGAACAGCACTTGCCAAATAGATGTTTAATGGGTTATTATTAAGATCAATCTGTTGAAAAGAAGTTCTAAAGACGGCCGGGTGTGGTGGCTCATGCCTGTAATCCCAGCATTTTTTTTTTTTTTTGAGATGAAATCTCGCTCTCTCACCCAGGGTGGAGGGCAGTGGCGCGATCTTGGCTCACAGCAAACTCCGCCTCCTGGGTTCAAGCGATTCTCCTGTCTCAGCCTCCCGAGTAGCTGGGATTACAGGTGCCCACCACCACGCCCAGCTATTTTTTGTATTTTTAGTAGAAATGGGGTTTCACCATGTTGGCCAGGATGGTCTTGATCTCTTGATCTTGTGATCCACCCCCCTCAGCCTCCCAAAGTGCTGGGATTACAGGTGTGAGCCACTGCACCTGGCAATTCCAGCATTTTGGGAGGCCGAGGTGGTCGGATCACTTGACGTCAGGAGTTCAAGACCAGCCTGGCCAACATAGTGAAACCCCGTCTCTACTAAAAATACAAAAATTAGCCTGGCGTGGTGGCGCACACCTGTAATCCCAGCTACTCGGCAGGCTGAGGCAGGAGAATTGCTTGAATCTGGGAGGCAGAGGTTGGAGTGAGCTGAGATCACACCACTGCACTCCAGCCTGGGTGACAGAGTGAGACTCTGTCTCAAAAAAAAAGAAAAAAAAAAGTTCTAAAGACTAGATTAATGTGGCCAGCACTGGGTTAAAAACAAAAAAAGTTAAATCACTTTACTGAGAGACTTCTCGGAGCCTTTAAGGGACAAACACAGATTTTGAAACTCCAAGGTTTCTAAAACCTCTTAGACTTTTAAAGTCCCTTTTTGGGTAAAGAATGCATTAAATAATAAGACTGTGTCTTCTTTCTGTCTTTCTTTCTTTCTTTTTTTTTTTTTTTGAGACAGGATCTTGCTCTGTTGCTGAAGCTGGAGTGCATTGGCATGATCACAGCTCACTGAAACCTCTGCGTACTGGGCTCAAGCAATTCTCCCATCTCAGCCTCCTGAGTAGCTGGCACTACAGGTGTGCACCACCACACCTGGCTATTTTTTTTTTTTTTGAGACAGAGTCTTGCTCTGTCACCCAGGCTGGAGTGCAGTGGCACGATCTCAGCTCACTGCAAGCTCCGCTTCCCAGGTTCATGCCATTCTCCTGCCTCAGCCTCCCAAGCAGCTGGGATTACAGGTGCCCGCCACCATGCCTGGCTAATTTTTTGTATTTTTAGTAGAGATGGGGTTTCACCATGTTGGCCAGGATGGTCTCGATCTCTTGACCTTGTGATCCACCCGCCTCGGCCTCCCAAAGTGCTGGGATTACAAGCGTGAGCCACCGTGCCTGGCCACCTGGCTAATTTTTAAATTGTTTTATAGAGACTGGTCTCGAACTCCTGGGCTCAAGCAATCCTCCCACCTCGGCCTCCCAAAGTGCTGGGATTACAGGCACAAGCCACTGCTCCTGGCCGCATCTTATTTCTACTCACAACTCTTTTTTTTTTTTTTTTTTTTTTGAGATGGAGTTTCACTCTGTCACCTGTGCAGTGCAAGAACTCGGCTCACTGCAACCCCCATGCCCCGCCCTGGGTTCAAGCGATTCTCCTACCTCAGACTCCTGAGTAGCTGGGATTATAGGTGCCCACCACCACGCTCGGCTAATTTTTGTATTTTTAGCAGAGCTGGGGTTTCACCATGTTGGCCAGGCTGGTCTTGAACTCCTGACCTCAGGTGATCCACCGGCCTCGGCTTCCCAACGTGCTGGGATTATAGGTGTGAGCCACCGTGACCGGCCTCTACTCATACCTCTTAATGGCTTCCTATTTTACTTAGAAGACCCTGTACCCTGCCCTGATCAGTCCCCCCCAGACACCTAAGACTTCCACTCCTCCAAAAGGCCGTATTTGTTCCTGCTTCCAGACCTGGGTACTAGATTTGTGCATGCTCCCTTGTGATAATACGCCCAACCCATGGCTTCAATGTCACCTTCTTGGAGGCGTTCCTCAACCCCCCTCCCGCCCACTGTTACTGAAGATGACAAATCCTGTCTTGTGATCTTCTGAGAGCTTTTCTAGGAGCTGAAACTATCTTATTTGCTGGTTGATTGCCTGCCTTGTTTATGGGAATGGGCATTCCAGGATGGCAGGGACCATGCTGGTCTCATTCAACACCACAACTGCCACAATCCGCACAGTGTCTAGCACAGAGTAGATGGTCAGTAAATAGTCACTAAGCGAATGAGTGAACAACAAAATGGAGGAACAAATGAATGAGTGAGCAACGGTCTTGTCTCATTTGGTTGTCTACATGCCAGGTGCTGGGGAGGGCAGGTAAAGATGGCAGGAACAGAGCCTATTAGATCAGAATCAGCTACATAATTTGCAGGATCCAGTGCACAATGTAAAAGGGTGGGGGTCCCTTGTTCAAAAATTATTGGCCAGGTGTGGTGGCTCACACCTGTCATCCTAGCACTTTGGGAGGCTGAGGTGGGGGGATCCCCTAAGGTCAGGAGTTTGAGACCAGCCTGGGCAACATGGTGAAACCCTGTCTACTAAACATACAAAAATTAGCCAGGCGTGGTGGCAGGCACCTGTAATCTCAGCTACTCGGGAGGCTGAGGCAGGAGAATTCCTTGAACCTGGGAGGTGGAGGCTGCAGTGGGCCGAGATCGCGCCACTGCATTCCAGCCTGGGCGACAGAGTGAGACTCTGTCTCGGGAAAAAAAAAAAAAAATTAAGAATTTCAGGCCTGGCATGGTAGTTCACACCTGTAATCCAGCACTTTGGGAGGCCAAGGCGGGTGGATCACTTAAGGTCAGGAGTTTGAGACCAGCCTGGCCAACATGGTGAAACCCTGTCTCTACTAAAAATATAAAAATTAGCCGGGCATGGTGATGCATGCCTGTAATCCCAGCTACTCGGGAGACTGAGGCAGGAGAATTGCTTGAACCCAGGAGATGTAGGTTGCAGTGAGCCGAGATCGCGCCATTGCACTCCAGCCTGGGCGACAAGAGCGAGACTCCGTCTCAAAAAAATAAATAAATAAATAAAAATAATTTCGAGACAGCAGTAGCAGAGCGTTACACCAAGCACAGGGCCCTTCCGAGCATGGGGCTCTCTGCGACTTCACAGGTCACATGCCCATGAAGCAGGCCCTGTCTTGCATACAAAGATTTTGGGGGGAACGCTTGGGGACATCCAGGACCATGCTAATTGGGGGAGACCTGGTGATCCCACTAGAAGGTAAAAGCAACAGATGAGGTCCCTGGAAGAGAAACAGCCAAGAACTGTCTGCACCTGCCTGTGTTGATAAAGGTCTCAAGATGCTGGTGATTAGGTGTGGTTCTTATGGTAACAGCAGATGCTCAAATGGGCAGGCCCTGAAGATGACATTGGCTTAGAGACCGTGGCTGGGTCTGATACTTGCTTCGGGGAAGTTGGGTGTCTTTGAGACTCATCTTTGCCTGCCTTTTTTTTTTTTTTTTTTGAGAAGGAGTCTCGCTCTGTTGCCCAGGCTGCAGTGCAGTAGCTCTGTCACCAGGCTGGAGTGCAGTAGCGGGATGTTGGCTCACTGCAACCTCCGCCTCCCAGGCTCAAGCAATTCTCATGCCTCGGCCTTTTGGAGTAGCTGGTATTACAAGCACACATCACCATGCCTGGCTAATTTTTGTAATCTTTGCCTGATCTTATGTTTGTCAGCTAGAGTGGTCCCTGACTTTCAGGTGACCCCGGAAGGCTGAGCTGCTAATCAAAAGTAAGTGGAGAAGTGGGAGAGTCCAATACCTGGAAGGGTTCCCCAGGATTCCCAGGGCCAAGGTGCTCCTCACCTCATAACTGCCTTTCTCTAACTATAGCAGGTCAACTGAGCCAGCCCCAGGGGAAGGGGAAGGGGTGTCCTGTGGGTAAATCCCAGAGGGGAGCAGGGAAAGAGGAACGCGCTGCCCACAGACCTCGTAGACGGCCAGGTCGATGCCCGCATAGGGGATGATGCCCAGCACGTTGGGGAGGTAGCCGCGGTAGAAGGCACGGGGCCCCTCCCTCTCCAGGATACGCCTGGCGCAGTCCAGCAGCCCCTTATACTGGCCCGTCCGGCGCAAGGTCAGCCGCGTCTTCAGCACCTGGGGAGAACCTGGTTATCCCTGGAAAAGCTGTCCCACCAAATCGCTACATCCAGGAATGAAGACACCTAGAAATAGCTACTCCTGAAAACAGATGCCCTGAGAACAACCGAATTTTAAAAACCACCTACTCTAGAATCTTCTGCTATCCCCAAATCCCTATACCTAGAAATAGTTACACCTACCAAAGTGCACACATGTGGCACCACCAGTAACTGTCTCCTGATATCTTTCTTTTATTTTTTGGTCATTTCTGTAGAGATGGGGACTCGCTACTTTGCCCGTGCTGGTCTCGAACTCCTGGGCTCAAGTGATCCTCCCCTCTCCATCTCCCAAAGGACTGGGGTTACAGGCATGAGCCATCATGCCCAGACCTCCAGTATCTTGTTCCCTTCTGCTTTCATATCAGAAACTGTAACTTTCAGCAAGCACACAGCCACTAGAAAGAAAAATGACATTTCCCAGATGCCCTGGGTATGTGGCTATGTCACTATGTCCTAGCCAAAGAAATAGAAGGAAGAGAAAGAGGTACACATAAGGTTCAGAAAGCATCCTTAGAGGTGGGGAGGTGTTTCCTTTTTTATTGCTTCTTCCTTCTTGGCTGGAGTGTGGAATGTGATGAACGGAGCACAAGCAGCCACATTGGTCCATGAGGTTGTGTAACAACAAGATAGACAGAAAGAACCTGCATCGCTAACACTCTGAAGCTACCATCCCAGCCTGAAATGCTCATCTGTAGACTTTGTTGATGTGATTGAAGTTTTTTTTTTTTTTTTTTTGAGCTGGAGTCTTGCTCAGTTGCCCAGACTGAGTGCAGTGACATGATCTTGGCTCACTGCAACCACCGCCTCCCAGGTTCAAGCCATTCTCCTGCCTCAGCTTCCTAAGTGTCTGGGATTACAGGTGCCCACCACCATCCCCAGCTAATTTTTGTATTTTTAGTAGAGACGGTATTTCACCATGTTGGTCAGGCTGGTCTTGAACTCCTGACCTCAGGTGATCCACCTGCCTCGGCCTCCCAAAGTGCTGGGATTACAGGCGCTAGACATCGCACCCAGCTGACATGATTTAAGTTTTCTGTCACTTTCAGAATCCAAACAATACACTTCATAACCTGAAACCTGAAATAATTTATCTGAAAACATGTAGCTAGCACAGTCTATCCTTAGAAGAGGCATATTCATAAACAGTTGGTGACACCTAGACACGACGTCCCTGGGAACGTGCACCCTATCCTTAGAAGATGCATATTTATAAACAGCTGGCTCCTATGACTACCATCCAAACAAGGATAACCGACACTACCTTCCCCAGAAATTATATCTCAGTTGTAATACCCAGACAGGCTACACATGAAATTGCATTACTCTGATGAGCTATACTCCAAATCAGAGAGGGACAAAGGTAAAATCCCAATGGATATTGTGAAATGCAGAGTGAGATGGGTACAGCAGGCCCCCCACCCTGCCATGGGGCCTCCGCTGGGGTCCCTCCTTCTCACCTCCATAGGGTAAATGATGGTTTGGGCTGTGGCACCAGCCAGGGAGCCAGCCACGAAGCGCTCCTGCACATGCAGTGTCTCCTGCTGCCCCAGGATGGCCCTCTTGATCTGAGGCGGGGAGACACAGGGATGGGTAGGACCATGGGGGTTGAACCTTCCTTGCACTCCACTGTTCTCCTGGCTTCCAAAGAACTGGCTTGCTGCAGGCATTCATGCAGAGGAGCAGATGCCTGATCCTGGGGACCTGTGTTCACCACCCACCCCCAAGCCAATCCCGTAAATCTTTATGTACAGCCCAGTCTTCCCTATGGCAAGCACATTCCTCCCTGTACCTGCCCTCACCTGTTCATAGGCCATGAACTTGATAGCTGACTCGGGGGCAATCTTGAGTACATTAATACCATTGCCGCGCCACAGGGAGCGGATGCCTCCCTCAAGGACCATGCTTCGAAGCCCCCCAAGGATGTTCAGCCGGTTGGTCTTTGAGGCATGGACCTGAATGGGGAGACAACAGCTTGGAGGTCCCCTCCCAGGTGTCAGGCCTGGGGGAGGGGGCAGGTCTCTCCAGAGCCCCTCACCTGCATGAAGACCTTGAGGCGGTCCAGAGGGGCCGTGCCTGTCCGTGACACGGCACCTGCCACTGCGCCGGCCACCAGCTGTTTCCACCACATGCCCGTCAGCTTCTCTTGCTTTGAGAACTCGTCCGGCACTGTCAGGCACTCGCCAATGTCCAGGACCTAAAGATACAGGTGTTGGGGGTGTCATGCCATGGTGGGGACAGGGAGATGTGACTCAGTCCTAAATAGGGGAGTCTCCTCTATGAATCCTAGGATACCCTAGAGTCTGCCAATGACTCTTGCTTGGAGACCCCAGAAGAGTCCTGTTGGGTCCTACCAGGTGTCACCAAAGCATCTAACCTAGCAGCCTCCTTAGAAGATCCCAATATCCTACTAAATCCCACCAAAGGATCTGCCAAATCCCACTAAAGGATCCTATTCAAGTATCTGCCACATAAAGATCCCTCCAGGCTAGATGTGATGCCTCACATCTGTAGTCCCAGCACTTTGGGAGGCCCAAGTGGGAGAATCCCTTGGGGCCAGGAGTTCAAGACCAGCCTGGGCAACATAGCAAGATCCCCTCTCTACAAAAATTGGCCGGGCATGTGCCTGTAGTCCCAGCTACTCAGGAGGCCAAGATGGGAGGATTGCTTGAGCCCAGGAGTTTGAGGCTACATTGAGCTATGATCACACCACTGCATTTCAGCCTGGGAAACAGAGTAAGACCTTGTCTGTAACAGCAAAAAAAGATCCCTCAGGGCAAATGAGATTCTACTGAAGGATCCCACTCAAGGGTTTTCCATATAATGATTCCAAAAGATCCCTTCAGGGCCATACAAGATCTTACCAGGCACCTCCCCTATAAAGACCCCAGCAGATCCTTCTCAGGGACCCACGAAATCTCACAGGGATCTCCTCCACATGGAGTCCCCGTGCAGGAATCATTTCCAGTCTAGAATTTCTAACCAAGGTCCCCATGAATCGTCTGGGGTGGGAGTCTCTGGATCTCCAAAGAGGTTCTCACCAGATCCCACAGACGGATCCCCCTCCAGATGCCATCAGATCCTACCAGACACATTGCTCATAGACATTTCACCCAGGAACTAGGGATCTAGAGCAAACCCCCACTACCCTCTCTAGTGGCTCCCATTGGATCCTCTGAAGACCGTGTTTTTTTTTTTTTTTTTTTTTTTTTTTTGAGACGGAGTGTGGCTCTGTCACCCAGGCTAGAGTGCAGTGGCACGATCTCGGCTCACTGCAAGCTCCCGCCTCCTGGGTTCACGCCATTCTCCTGCCTTAGCCTTCCTAGTAGCTGGGACTACAGGTGCCTGCCACTACACCTGGCTCATTTTTTTAATATTTTTGTAGAGACGGGGTTTCACCATGTTAGCCAGGATGGTCGCGATCGCCTGACCTCGTGATCCGCCCACTTCGGCCTCCCAAAGTGCTGGGATTTTAGGTGTGAGCCACTGCGCCTGGCCAAGACCGTGGTTTTTGAACGATTCTGTTCAGCCGTAGAATCTTTTATCCAGGCAGAGAACCCAGCAGAAGAGAGCTGTGTGGGTGGAAGGTGGGAGGCCTTGTACCCCATCTGGTGAGCTCTTTCTTCCCTGTACCCGCAACCCCCACACGCTGTCCCCAGAGGCCCCGATGTAAGTCTCAAGGGCTGCGCTTCAATCAGACAGCAGAGATGTCCCAAATGGGACCCTTGAACCCTAAGTGGAGGAAGAGAGGAACAGACCCTCATCCGTCAGCTGCTGCCAGTGCCTTCTCCTTCTGGAAAGTCCTGGTCCAGCCCATCCAAGCCCTGGGGAGATCGGAGCAAGGCCCCCCTGGGGAAGAGGGCACAGCCTTCAGCTGGGGAAAGCCACCCCCACCTCACCGTGGAATGCTTCCAGAAATACAGCACGTCCTCCACATTTTCCAGCGAATGCAACAGGAAGTGGTCGCGCCATTCTTGCCAGTCAATGGTCATTGTGCCGTCTCGGTCCATGCTGGGGGGAAGAAAGGGGGTGGAGGAGGACAGGTTCAGTGCCTGGGGGTGGGCTAGGCTGGGGTGAAGTTCTGCTAGGTTTTGCAGTTTGGGAGGTTCAAGTCCTCATATCAACCCTATTAGAGATGTAGCAAATATTACCATCATTTTCTTTTTTCTTTTTTTTTGAGACGGAGTCTTGCTCTGTTGCCCAGGCTAGAGAGCAATGGTGCGATCTCAGCTCACTGCAACCTCTGCCTCCTGGGTTCAAGAGATTCTCCTGCCTCAGCCTCCCATGTAGCTGGGACTACAGGTGCACACCACCATGCCCAGCAAATTTTTGTATTTTTAGTAGAGACAGGGTTTCACCATATTGGCCAGGATGGTCTCCATCTCTTGACCTCGTGATCCACCTGCCTCGGCCTTCCAAAGTGGCAGGATTGCAGGCGTGAGCCACCATAGCCAGCTGTATTACCCTCATTTTGTAGAGGGGGAAACGGGCTAAGAGAGGCAACTGGTCCCAGATCTGTCTGGCTTCAATTTGAATTTTTCTTTCTTTTTTTTTTTTTTTTTCCAGAAGGAGTCTCACTCCGTCACCCTGGTTAGAGTGTCCTGGCCTGATCTTGGCTCACTGCAACCTCCACCTCTTGGGTTTAAGGGATTCCCGTGCCTCAGCCTCCCCAAGTAGCTGGAATTACAGGCATGCACCACCACGCCTGGCCAATGTTTGTATTTTTAGTAGAGATGGGGTTTTACCATGTTGGCCAGGCTGGTCCCCAACTCCTGACCTCAGGTGATCCACCTGCCTCAGCCTCCCAAAGTGCTGGGGTTACAGATGTGAGCCACTGCGCCTGGCCAGATCTGTCTGACTTCAAAGCCCCAACCTCTCAGCTGTATCCTCCTTGGGACTGGGTCTGGAGCCCAGAAGACAGAGATGGCCAAGGGGTCACTGTGTCCTGAGTTACTTTGGATTCCAGACCCCCAGCGACTCACCTGTGCAAAATTTTCTCAGCCTGCTCCAGCGAGATGGAAATGCCCAGAGCTCGGAAACTCTGTTGGATCTCAGAGACATCAATGTGACCTGGGGAGGGGGCCGGAGGTGGGGAAGGATGTGCGTGTGAGGACACCTGGGGAACCCCAGGACCAAGGATCAGAACAGCTTGGAATGGAGGTGGTCTAGCAAGATCAGGGGCTCCAGAAACCTAGGAGGAGGTTTGCAGTAGGGCTGTGGGGGGACCCCTGACTCACTGGGGTCAGAGAGGTGGAACTGGGAAATACTGGGGGGGCTTCTCTGTTCTGTAAATGAATGAAGGAATCCAGGGGTAATTGTAGGGGTCTCTATGCCATGGGGGATTGAGAGGCAATATCCACAACCCAGATGCTGCTATGAGGGGATCTCTGTCCCACAGGGGACCCAGGAACAGCATAGGGTATCTTTGCCCCATAGAAAAATCTAAGGGTAATTATCGGGGTTCTGCCCCAGTAGGGAAAGGAGGTGGGATGGGCTGGCTGGGCCTCGAACCACCTAGCTAGGGGGTGAGGAGTGCTCCTGAAATAGCCTATGAGTCATCGGGGAGAAGCGGCCCTCCCCCTCTCCTCCTAGCGCTGCCAGTTCTAACCCCACTGATGTCTCTAGGGCCCCCACAGCCCTATCCCTTGGGGCCTGCAGGCAGGTCGCCCGACCTTACCATCCTGGTTCCGGTCAAGACTGTGAAACATGAGCAGCAGACGCTGTTCCCGCTCCTGCAGATAGCGGGAAAATTCCTCCAGGTCGAGCCCGCCATCTGGGTCAGCATCACCCTCAGAGGAGATACCCTGACAGAGGGAAAGGGGATAGAGGTGGCTCCAGGAACCTGCTCCTGATCTGGAGGGGACGCATGTCACCTTATGCCTTAGGAACCCAGAGCCCCCAGCGCCTTGAGGAAGGGGATAGAAGACGTCACCCCACTTCTCCCTCAGTCAGCTAACTTCTCAGCCAGATCCCTACAGCCACCACAGGTCTGTGCGGTGGGTGTGAGTGGTCTAGTTTTCCTGGTGAGCAAACTGAGGCTCTGCAAGGTCAAGTCACCAGTTCAAGGTCACAGAACCAGGAAATGGTAACCTCAGTTCTCATCTGTAAAGCCTGTCCTTCCAGCTGTCTCTTGTTTTTAGTTTTTGTTATTTTTTTAGGTATCTCATTCCTGTTGAACCCAGCTGCCTCTTAAAAAACCCTGTCCACATGGGGGACCCAGGGGTTCCCTTTGGAGGAAGCCCTGGGCGATGTGGGGCAGGAGAGAACCAAGCGGAGTGGCTGAGGCCTTGGTTTTTCCCATTTGGGAAGTGGGAGGTTGGACTGCTCTCAGGGTTGCTGTGGTTCTCTTAGAGCGATCTGGGGCTACAGGTGTGGGAAGGACCTGCAAAGTGGAGGTGGGGGCAGCGGGAGGAAAGTCTTGTTATAGGTGCATTCCCAGCTGCGGGTGACCGCAGACAGGATTGGGTCCCTGGCTGGGGCAGCCCGGGACAGTGAGCCAGGCCCGTGAACGGCCCATGAAAGGGCAGGCCAGGGAATGTAAACACAGGGATCGGGGCAGCTGCAGGCCAGGGCAGTAGGTGCCCAGAGGATGGAGGGTGTGTCTCCTGGAGGTGAGAGCAGGGCACGTCATGGGCTGTGCAGTCTGGAGGAGGGTGTGTCCCGGGCAGTGGGCAGGAAAGCGCCCCCATCTCTTCCCAGGCAGACGCCCCCTGCCCCGCAGCAGGGGGATCGGGTGTTGGCCGCGGAACTGCAGGCTTGGGGCCTCGGCGTCCCTGTCTTGAGCGATCCCGTTAGGCCAAACACGAGTGGGTAGGGGGAACGAGACAGAGACACAGGTTCTGGAGTCCAGCCACAGGTAGTCCCTGGTGGCTCCGGCCGCCCAGTTCAGGGGCTTGGGTAACCGGGAGCGGGCGGGGCCGGGAGGGGAGGAGGTCCCTGGGGGTGGGGGTACCTGTTGGGCGCCGGGGTCTGGGTTGCCCCCGCCCAGCCTGGCCAGCCCCTGGCGCAACTCGTGCACGTCCACGCGGCCATCCTTGTTACTGTCCAGCTCCTCGAACAGGCGACCCCAGCGCTGCCGCCGCTCCGCGTCGCCCGGGCTCCCCCGCATGGCGCCCGCCCGGGGGGGAGGGGAGGCCCGGCAGCGGCGGCCTCAGTGGGGGCTTCGCGGCTCCCCCTCCCCCCCCGGGACCCCGCAGGGTCAGCTCCCGCGGCCGCCGGCTCCGCAGCCTCCGCGCAGTCCGCTCGGCTCTGGCACTTGCGGGAGGTGGTGACGGCTAGCCGTCGCCGCCCGCGCCAGAACTTGCGTCTCCTCCCCCGACCTGCATTGGGGGGAGGGGACCGAGGGCGGAGCTGGGGGCGTGGGGAGGGAATGTCTGGGATGGTCTGGTATTGCACAGCCGAGGAACACCAGAGTTCCTTCTGGGAAGACGGGCTAGGGAGCTCAGTGGTCTCAGGTCTGGTTTCAGAGTTCCGCCTCTGCGTGCCTCAGTTTACCCTTTCCCCCTTTGCCCAAGGGGGCAAGGTAGAGCGCTGTCGGGGATTGGGTTTCATAATCCCCTTCCACTTGACCTCCCCGCCACACCCACTAATCTTCAGGAACTCAAGTTCTCGCTTTTCCCAGACGCACGCAAGAACCGTGCACCATCTCGCTCGCTCTCTGCCCGCCCGCGCCTTACACCTTCCCCGCTCGGCCGCAGAAACAGAAGATCCAGGAGCGATGCTCTCCCACTGTCCCTTCTTCCCGCCCGCGCGCTTCCTTTCTCGGTTCCCACTCTGACTGGGAAACAGAAAATCAACGCGCGGCGCGGCTGCAAAGTCGGTTTCCTATTGGTCAGCGCCTCCTGGGCTGAGCCCGCCCGCCCCGCCTCTTCTCCCACCTAGGCGGGGCCTCCCCGCAGACCCCCGACTGCCTCCAGCCCGCAGTCCCACCGCCTGCCAGGAGATCTTAAAGGGGCCGCGGCCGCAATCAGACGCTGAGCGGCGTGGGGAGGGGGTGGCTCAGTGACCCGGGCGCGGGGTTGAGGATCCCAGTGGTCGAGCGCTGGAGGCAGGGCCCCAGCCTGTCGCACTCGCTGCACCTGCGGAATGTCCCTACTGCTAGTTTCGGGCGCAGTTTCTCGATCCACCATTAGGGGGAAGGGAGCCCAGACCACTTGACAGCGAATACTCGATAACAAATCTCACTTTGATTCAGTGCTTTGCACATGCCAGGGCTTTTACTCACCTCTCGAGTCGTCTTTGCCAAAACCCTATAAGGTAGGTGGTACTGGCGTTCGCACTTTGCAGATAAGGAAGCGGAGGTTAAGTCATTCTCCCCAGTCCTGATGACCACTAAGGGGCAAAACAGGGTTTAAAGAGATCTGGGATCCTTAACCATCACTCTATACCCTAGAAAGAATTAATTATCTTTTTTTTTTTTTTTTTTTTGAAACGGAGTTTCGCTGTTGTTGCTCAGGCTGGAGTGCAATGGCGCGATCTCGGCTCACTGCAACCTCCGCCTCCCGGATTCAAACGATTCTTTTGCCTCAGCCTCCCGAGTAGCTGGGATTACAGGCGCCCGCCACCAAACCCAGCTAATTTTTGTATTTTTAGTGGAGACGGGGTTTCACCATGTTGGCCAGGCTGGTCTCGAACTCCTGACCTCGTGATCCGCCCGCCTCAGCCTCCCAAAGTGCTGGGATTATAGGCGTGAGCCATCGCACGCAGCAGTGAGTTTTTTTTTTTTTTTTTTTTTTTTTTTTTTTTTTTTTTTTTTTTTTTTGAGATGGAGTTTCGCTCTTATTGCCCAGGCTGGAGTGCAATGGCACGATCTCAGCTCACCACAACCTCCGCCTCCCGGGTTCAAGCAATGCTCCCGCCTCAGCCTCCCAAGTAGCTGAGATTACAGGCGCACACCACCACGCCCGGCTAATTTTTGTATTTTTAGTAGAGACGGGGTTTCACCATGTTGGTTAGGCTGGTCTCAAACTCCTGACCTCGTGATCCGCCCGCCTCGGCCTCCCAAAGTGCTGGGATTACAGGCATGAGCCACCATGCCCGACCGCAGCCGTGAGTTTTGTATTTTTATTAGAGACGGGGGGGGGGGGTTTCACCTGTGGACCAGGCTGGTCTCGAACACCTGACCTCAGATTATCCTCCCGCTTCAGCCTCCCAAAGTGCTGGGATTACAGGCGTGAGTCACCGCGCCCGGCCTGGCCTAATTATTCTTTAATCATCACTTGTCACCCAAGGGTCCTCAGGAGGGGGTCTTGTTATTATCATCATCCTTTATCCAAAGATACAGCATTGGCCGGTCTCGGTGGCTTAGGCCTCTAATTCTAGCAATTTGAGAGGCCGAGATGGGAGGATCGCTTGGGGTCAGGAGTTTGAGACCGGCCTGGGCAATATAGCAAGACACCCAACTCTACAAATAATAATAATAATTATTATTATTTTTTTTAAAAAGGAAAGAAAACAAAGATACAGTCGTGAGGGCATATTTAGTTCACGCCCAGCCTCTGCCTAGACAGGTGTGCTGGAACAGGTGTGCCCCAGACAAATGAGTCTCTTCTAAGAGGCTCCCCAGCAGAGGTTTTCATTTACAGTTGTTCCTTGCAGGTGCCATACAGCATGGAGTGATACAGAGGTTTTTTTCCATGTAAGTGCCCCTAAATAGGTGTTTTCTCACAGATACATTCTTGACAGGTGGGCCTCAGTGTATGTGAGCCCCTGCCCTGATGGTTTTACCCACAGATGTGTGTCAATGTGAGTGTGCCCCGTGCAGATGTTCCAAGTTCTTCCCCTCACTTGAGCTCAATTCCATACAGGTGTTCCTCCTACAAGGTGCTTTCTCTTACCTCACAGGTATGTTTCTGAGCAGGTTTCCCTCCACCCATGAATGCATTCTACAGTCTCCCGCCCCGTAGGTGTGTTTCAGTTAAGTATACACCCATCTGGGTATGTTTCCATACAACCGAGTCCCATACAGGTTTACGTAAATGCAGGTGTGTCTCATACAGGTATTTACAAGACACTGACACCCAGGAATTCCCCCAATGCAAGTGCCGTACATTTCATAGGTGAGCCATGCAGATATGTTCCTAAAACAGGTCTATTCCACATCAGAGTGCCTTAGTTAGCTGTTTGTGATGATAATGCAGGCGTGTTCTATAGAGATACTGTCCACCCTGGTGGTATGTATCCATTTGGTTATATTTCTTTTCTTTTTTTGACAGTCTTGCTCTGTCACCCAGGCTAGAGTGCAGTGGCGTGATCTCGGCTCACTGCAACCTCCGCCTCCAGGGTTCAAGCGATTCTCCTGCCTCAGCCTCCCAAGTAGCTAGGATTACAGGCGCCCACCACTACGCTAGCTAATTTTTGATTATTTTTTAGTAGAGACGGGGATTTCACCATCTTGGCTAGGCTGGTCTCGAACTCGTGACCTCGTGATCCACCTGCCTCGGCCTCCCAAAGTGCTAGGATTACAGGCGTGGGCCACCATGCCCAGCCTTGGCTATATTTCGTATAGCTGTGATTCAATGCAGATTTTTTTTTTTTTTTATGAGATGGAGTTTCACTCTTGTCACCCAGGGTGGAGTGCAATGGTGCAATCTCGGCTCACTGCAATCTCTGTCTCCTGAGTTCAAGCAATTCTCCTGCCTCAGCGCCCCCCGAGTAGCTGAGATTACAGGCACCTGCCACCACACCCGGCTAATTTTTGTATTTTTAGTAGAGACAAGGTTTCACCATGTTGGGCAGGCTGGTCTGGTTTCGAACTCCTGACGTCAGGTGATCCTCCTGCCTAGGCCTCCCAAAGTACTGGGATTACAGGCGTGAGCCGCCGCACCCGGCCATCTGTTTTCTGTATGTTCTTATATGTGAACACCTGTGCAGTTGTCTTCTGTACAGGTTTGGTTCCACACAGGTGTTTACCATACAGCTGTTTTTTTGTTTTTAAAATTTTTTTAGAGACAGGGTCTCACTTTGTCACCCAGGCTGGAGTACAGTGGTACAATCATAGCTCACTCACTGTTACCTCCACTCCTGGGCCCAATCGATCCTCCCACCTCAGCCTCCCAAGTAGCTGGGGCTACAGGTGCGTGCCATCACATCTGGCTAATTTTCTTATTTTTTGTAAATATGGGGCCTCCGTCTGTGGGCCAGGCTGATCTCGAACTCCTGGCCTCAAGTGATTCTCTTACTTCGGCCTTTCAAAGCGCTGGGATTACAGGATCACGCCACCGCCCCCGGCTTATTTTCTTCTTTTTATTTATTTGTTTATTTATTTATTTATTTTTTGTAGAGAATGAGGCCTCGCTGTGTTGCCCAGGCTGGTCTCGGACTCCTGGCCTCAAGCAATCCTCTTGCCTCGGCCTCTCAAAGTGTTGGGATTACAGGCGTGAGCCATTGCGCCTGGGCAGGTATTTTTTCTCATTAAGCGCTCCCCATCCAAGTCTGCCCTAGGCAGGAGTGCCTAGTGCACGGGTACATACATACCCCGTGCGTCTCCACACCTGTGCGCTCCCACAGATATGCTCGCAATGCAGGTGTAAGGTCCCCCTCACACCTGCGCGCTTCCGCGGTCTCCCTCCCCGCATCCCCATTAAGGGACTGGGGTCCCGTTACAGGTGCGCCCACAGCGCGGCCCCGCCCCCTTCTTGACTCCGCCCTCTCAGCGAGGCTCAGGTGCACAAGCCGGAAGTGCGCTCTCCCAGGTGAGTGACTAAACTTTCCGGGTCACGTGACAGGGCGGAGCCGGTGGGGTCGGACCCACAGAACGACCGACGGACCGAGGGTTCGAGGGAGGGACACGGACCAGGAACCTGAGCTAGGTCAAAGACGCCCGGGCCAGGTAGGAAGGCAGGACGCACCGCTAGGCCTGCCCCCTCGCCCGTCCACCCTGCCCGTCCCGTCCCGTCCCGTCCCGTCCCCTTCCTTTCCCCAGCCCAGGAACGCGCTCCTGGGAGTTAATCTTTAATCGCTGACCTCTGGCGGCTGGGGCGGGGCGGGACTCATGGGTGCCCTGGCGCCAGTTGTCTCTCCTGTGGGCCTGCGCCGGGGTCCCCACCCCGATCCCAACGCCTGGGCCTCTCCTTCTCCTGTCCCCAGGTGCCCCGTCGCAGGTGCCCCTGGCCGGAGATGCGGTAGGAGGGGCGAGCGCGAGAAGCCCCTTCCTCGGCGCTGCCAACCCGCCACCCAGCCCATGGCGAACCCCGGGCTGGGGCTGCTTCTGGCGCTGGGCCTGCCGTTCCTGCTGGCCCGCTGGGGCCGAGCCTGGGGGCAAAGTAGGTACCAGCTGAGAGCGCTGGGGGGGAGGGGTCTGGATTCCTGGATCTCTGCTGGGGACGTGGCTTAGAAGCGCTGGGTATCTGGGGCGCAGAGAGGGTCAAGAATTGGGGAGCGGGGAAGAAATACCTTGGGGAGGGGTCTACAGGGTTAGGGCTCGGGGGGATTAAGATTTCTAGTTTCTTCCTTGGACACTGGGAGTTGGTCTAGGAGACCTGAGTTCCCCAGCGAGGTGGAATTGTGTGTTGGAGTGGGGGCTCCTAAGTAGGACTTGGGGGGAGGTAAGGGCTGCGTACCTGAGTCTTGGTATAGTGCAGGTGTTTTTGGGTGAACTGGGAGCTGGGAGGAGGCCTGCCGAGCCGGGTCGACCTGGTTGGCTGAAGGTGTAGACCCCAGCCATTCAGTCTTAGATTTGTTTTGGGAGCCTGTGGGGAGGTGTGAGTCAGACACTCCAGGGAAAAGCTAGGCCCGCCCAGATCCTTAAGGGCCCAGGGCCGAGAGGTGAGTAGGGGAGGGGTGGACTTCTGGACACCCTACTGGGCTCTGCGGGACTGGGTCGGGGGGGTGTCCTGGGGAGCAAACACCCAAGGGAGAGGTCTTACCTGCAAGACACCCAACCATCTCTGTGCGAATGAAAGGCAGAGTTTGAATTGGGACCTGCTAGGGGGAGGTGAAGGGGAATGCCCAAAGCAGGTGCAGATGGGCGGGGATGGGAGAGAAAGATGGAGACTGAGTTATTCTCTGCCTTCACCCTCCACAGTACAGACCACTTCTGCAAATGAGAATAGCACTGTTTTGCCTTCATCCACCAGCTCCAGCTCCGATGGCAACCTGGTGAGTTGGAGGTATATGTGGGAAGATGGCAGCAAGGATGTTATCTAGGGGTCACACATATAGCATGTAGAGAGGACTAGACACCCCCTCCCCCCAGAGGTGGCAGGTCAGGGTGGCTTTGGAGAGCTCTAAGTAGGAGAGACCTGAAGTCTTAGACCAAGAAGACTAGGACACCCTGGAGGGAGTGGGCAGGAATACTGTAGCTGTCAGATGTGTGGGCTCAGGAATTCCATATGCCTCTCAGGTGGGTGGGGGAGCAAGGAGCTCAGACTTGGTAGATGTGATGAAAGCAGGAGTCCCGGCCGGGCGCGGTGGCTCACGCCTGTAATCCTAACACCTTGGGAGGCCGAGGCAGGAAAATCATGAGGTCAGGAGTTTGAAACCAGCACGGCCAACATGGTGAAACCCTGTCTCTACTAAAAATACAAAAAATTAGCCAGGCGGGGTGGCACACACCTGTAATCCCAGCTACTTGGGAGGCTGAGGCAGGGGGAATTGCTTGAGCCCAGAAGGCGGAGGTTGCAGTGAGCCGAGATTGTGACACTGCACTCCAGCCTGGGCAACAGAGCAAGACTCGGTCTCAAAAAAAAAAGCCGGAGTCCCAGACATGGCAGGTGCTTGCGAGGGGTGTCCCGGACATGGCAGGTGGTGGGGAGCCTTCGCACCCCAGACAAGGTAGGTAGGGATCCAGGAAGCCCCACTGTGGGGATCAGATCACCAAAAGTGGCAGATGTGTGTATGTGTGTGTGTGTGTTGTGGGGTAGGGGGTGATGAGGGGGATGCCATTCAGGTGGAGGTGGACAGGCTACCCAGGCTCAGGTGATTCACACCTGTCCCCTCTCTGCAGCGTCCAGAAGCCATCACTGCTATCATCGTGGTCTTCTCCCTCTTGGCTGCCTTGCTCCTGGCTGTGGGGCTGGCACTGTTGGTGCGGAAGCTTCGGGAGAAGCGGCAGACGGAGGGCACCTACCGGCCCAGTAGCGAGGAGCAGGTGGGTGCCCGCGTGCCACCGACCCCCAACCTCAAGTTGCCGCCGGAAGAGCGGCTCATCTGAACGCTGGGGCCTGCTGCAGCCACCAACACTGCCCAGGACTGCGGGTTGCTGGCTTGTACACCGCAGCTGCCACCGAGACACCAGCCTCTGATGGCTCAGGAGGACTTGTGGGGAGAGGCTGGGGGCACCCATGTGGTGGGCTCTGTGCAGCATGTTGCCTCTGCTTGGCTGTGCCTGCAGCTCAGGGTGCTGGGGCTCGGGACCCACCCCCCTGCTTGCGGAACCAACTTTTCTCTGTGTGTCCAGCAGGCCCCACAACCCCCTCTCCTTTCTTTCAGTTCTCCCATGCAGCCGAGGCCCGGGCCCCTCAGGACTCCAAGGAGACGGTGCAGGGCTGCCTGCCCATCTAGGTCCCCTCTCCTGCATCTGTCTCCCTTCATTGCTGTGTGACCTTGGGGAAAGGCAGTGCCCTCTCTGGGCAGTCAGATCCACCCAGTGCTTAATAGCAGGGAAGAAGGTACTTCAAAGACTCTGCCCCTGAGGTCAAGAGAGGATGGGGCTATTCACTTTTATATATTTATATAAAATTAGTAGTGAGATGTAACAAAAGCTTTATTGGTGTGTTTGAGCTGGTGGGTGCATTAGCTGAGATGGAAGTGACAAATGCCGAGAGGAATTGTAAGGTTGCCAGGATTCTAGAAGACCAGGAGGCTTCCTGGAATTCCCTGCTAGGAGCCAGTTAGAGAGGCTGCCCTTGGAGGGACAGAGGTGGGTGGGATGGATTTCCGAGCAGAGTGAGGGCACCAGAGAAATTCACCAGGAAAAAAACCAGCTTTTTTGGGCTCTTGTGGCTTTATTGAGGGACTGGGGTCTCTCTTGGACCCCTGATTCTTAACCCTCAAAGCACTTCTTAAGATCAGCGACTCTGGGCCGGCTGCTGGGCTGGGACTTTTGACAGTTGCTGGTGGGTGTAGCAGGGGAATTCAGGGCTCCTGGTTCCTCCCGTGGCTGGAGGTGAGCGCGCTCTGCCAGCAGGGCTTTGGGAGGCCGGGCTCTGGGGTCCTCCAGAGAACTGGGGTCTGAGGAAGGATCAAGGGGCTGGGACGTCCAGGCTATATCAAAGTTGGGCTTTGTGGGGGCCAGAATTTGGGGGCTTTCTGGAGGGCTGGGCTCAGTGGGTGCAGTGGAGAGCCAGGGAGTGGGGTTTTCCTGGGCTGTAGAATCTTCAGCTGCCTTGTGGGAAGGGGTGAGATGAAGAATTAGGGGCTCTGTGAGAGGAGAGGGTTTGGGGTCCCCCCAGATGCTTGGGTCTGCAGAAGCTGTTGAGGACTGGGATGGAGACGTGACTTCTTGGTCGGACTCTGAGGGTATCAGCTGGGACCTGGAGTCCTTTGAAGAGCTGGTGGCATCCAAAGACGAGGCATTTTGCAGGGATGGCAGGGAAAGGGGCTGGGGCTCCGGCTCTGGTAGTTTCTTATCGTCTGGTTGCCATCTTGGTATGTTGGGCTAGGTGAGATGGATAGGGAAGTTGTGGCTTTTAGATGGCAGAGGGGCTGGCAAGTTGGATGGACCATTAGGGGAAGACTTGGGGTAGGGTTGGGGGAGTGGGCGAGGCTCTCACCAGGCTGAAGCAGCTGTCCAGGTCTCCTCTGTGACAGCAGTCTAAACTCTGGCTCGGTCTCAGGCTGCCTGCGCTCTTGGCTCCCATGCTAAGACTGTCCAGAATCTCGCTCAACAAATCCAGTTCTTCTCCAGACCCCAAGAAGCTGCTGTCCAGAGCTTCTTCTGCCCACGGGCACCCCTCATCCTCAGGGCTCAGTGGGGGTGTCCTGGGTGAGGATGGGCAGCCTCAGATATTTGCCCAAGACCCCCAGCCCTGGTCAGGCTGCTCTGGAGTTTGGGAACCCTCCTCCCCATCAGTCCTGGCCTCCCACTTTCAACACTGCTGTTCCCTTTTTGCCTTACCCCGCCCCTGGGGGCTCGGAAGTTCCCTCTTCCAGCTGGCGTCTCCTGCTGGGGCGAAGGGGCCGGTTCTGCAAAGGGTGGGGGCGATAGGACCTCAGGAGACTGCAGAATCGGGGGGCTGAGGCTTGCTGGAGAAGGGTGAGTGTGAAGTGGGTGCCACATATTTGGGGAGTTGAAGAAGGAGGTGAGATGTCTGGATGGGGACTGGGATGGGTAGAGGATTCAGTGATAATTCCAGGTGTGTGCATGGGGGGAGGGGCGCTCTCACCTTTCCAAAGTGCTGAGTGATTGGGAGGCGTTGCTGCAGGCGGTCTGAGCGGCTGGGGAGGGCTGGGGCCCTCAGAGAGCCCCCCCTCTGCAGGACAGAGTCCCCATCCTAGGAAGAGAAGAGTGAACTGGGAACCTCTGCCACAGAGTCTCCCCACCACCCCCTACCATTGGTCTTTAGTTAGTCTTTTTTTTTTTTTGTTTGAAATGAAGCTTCACTCATGTTGCCCAGGCTGGAGTGCAGTGGTGCCATCTCGGCTCACTGCAACCTCTGACTCCCAGGTTCAAGCGATTCTCATGCCTCAGCTTCCCAAGTAGCTGGGATTACAGGCGTGCGCCACCATACCCAGCTAATTCTGTATTTTTAGTAGAGATGGGGTTTCACCATGTTGGTCGGGCTGGTCTAGAACTCCTGACCTCAAGTGATCCACCCTCCTCGGCCTCCCAAAGTGCTGGGGTTACAGGCGTGAGCCACCGTGCCCAGCCACAGTCTTCTTTTTTTTGAGACAGGGTCTCTCTGTCACCCAGGCTGGTGTACAGTGGCGCTATCTCAGCTTACTGCAACCTCCGCCTTCTAGACTCAAGCAATCCATATTCAGATAATTTTTAACTATTTTTTTGTAGAGACAAGGCCCCACTATATTGCCCAAGCTGGTCTCAAACTCCTGGGCTCAAGCAATCCTCCTGCCTCGGCCTCCCAAAGTGCTGGGATTACAGGGGTGAGCCACTGCACCCGGCCAGTTGATCTTACCTTATACATTAGAAGGCTCTGCACCCCCTTCAAGCCACTCTTGGCCTATAAAGGAGTGGACAGAGAATTACCCAAGGGTGGTGGGATCCTGGGCATTTGAGAGCTCAGCCTTCTGTCCCCTAAGATAGCTTTTTTTTTTGCCATCTGCATGTCTCAAATACGTTCACCACCCCCCATACACCACCTAAGAAGTCAATGCAAACTTTCACCCCTTTGACTAATATAAAATGAGTATTCCTGGAGGCAGTCATCCCCAAAGAAAATGGGGAGTGGCAAAGCAACAGGGCAAGGTGTTCCTGTTTCAAAGCGGTGAAGAACAAAATCGCACGGACAATTTTGAGCTGCAAAAATTGGCCCCAGGAAACTTCTGAGCTTGGGAGATAAAAGGCAGAACCTGGAATTGTAGCATCCAAGGACAAAAAGAATGTTTGCCAGCAAATCTTGGCTGTCAATTTTAAAGGGGCCGTGGGCGGGGCGGAGGGGGGCGGGTAGGATTCCAACAAAAAATGAGTATAATAAATAAAAAATAAAAGGGGGAAGAGTTGTTAATGGTTTAACTGCTGGTTCAGTTCTGATTAAATCATTTGTGTTTAAAGTGTCTGCCAGGGTCAAAATACTCCATCCTTGGGAGGTCAAAGTGTCCTCTGTCCCCTCCCCCTCGTCACCCCAGCAAGAGTGGCCTGTCCAGCTCAGCCTCACCGAGCGGTACATGTTCTTGACGGCTGGTTGGGTCTTGGCCTTGACTGAGTGCAGGAGGGCGCCACCACCTTTCTGCGGGAGAGAAGATACCAAGGGGGAGAGGCTAGGGCCAGATCCCACCTCCCCATCCCAGGTTGTGTGATGCCAATCAAGCCCCTTTCCCTCTCTGAGTCTCCATTTTTTCACCTCTATAAATGAACATGATCGTAGTCATGACCCTACCTGGTGACTTGCGGAGTTAAATTAATCCAATGAGACACACTTAAGTGTTTTGTTTTTGTTTTTGTTTTTTTTGAGATGGAGTCTCAAAGAACAGTTTTTTTTTGTTTTTTTTTTTTTTTTGCTGAGATGCAGTCTTGCTCTGTTACCCAGGCTGGAATGTAGTGGTGCCATCTCGGCTCACTGCAACCTCCACCTCCCTGGTTCAAGCGATTCTCCTGCCTCAGCTTCCCGAGTAGCTGGGACTACAGGCGCCTGCCACCACACCCGGCTAATTTTTGTATTTTTAGTAGAGAGAGAGTTTCACCATGTTGGCCAGGATGGTCTCGATCTCCTGACCTTGTGATCCGCCCGCCTCAGCCTCAAACTCCTGACCTCAGGCAATTCGCCTGCCTCAGCCTCCCAAAGTGCTGGGATTACAGGCATGAGCCACCGTGCCCAGGCAACAAAGTGGTTTTTGAGACAGGGTCTTGCTCTGTCACCCAGGCTGGAGTGCAGTGGCATGATCTCGGCTCACTACAACCTCCACCTCCTGGGGCTCAAGCCATCCTTCCACCTTAGCCTCCCGAGTAGCTGGGACTACAGCTACACCTAGCGAATTTTTTTTTTTTCAGTAGAGATGGGGTTTCGTCACGTTGCCCTAACCGGTCTCAAACTTCTGGTCGCAGCAATCCTTCTATCTCCACCTCCTAATGTGTTGGGATTACAGGCCTAAGCCAACGCCCACGGCCTATTGTTCTGGTGGTCTTACCTTTAGATTGTCGGCCCAGAGCTGATAGGATCGAAGGGCCCCTGGGGTAAGGAGAGAGTGTGGTGGTCACCGAAGGCTGGCTGAGGCTGGGGGTGCTGGTGGCGGGTAGTGGGGGACCCAGGGGCTGGACTCAGGGCTCACCTGAGGAGGCCCCGCAGCCAGTGATCTCCTGCTCGAATTGATCTGAGAAGCCCTCCCCCTTGTTGAGCTTCTCCAGCCGGGCTTCGATGAACTGGGGTGGGGGACAGTAAATCAGAAACAGCAGGAGACACATCTGAATGCCAGCACTTCGAAGCCTGCCTGCTGTCAAGATGTAGAAGCCATCTCTGGCCTCCAACCTGCCCACCCCCAAGCACCTGGGAAACTGGAGCCCACTTTATTTTTTATTTTTATTTTTTGAGATGGAGTTGCTCTGGCACCCAGGCTGGAGTGCAGTGGCGTGATCTCGGCTCGCTGCAACCTCCGCTTCCCGGGTTTAAGTGATTCTCCTGCCTCAGCCTCCCAAGTAGCTGGGATTACAGGCATGCACCACCATGCCCAGCTAACTTTTATATTGTTTGTAGAGACAGGGTTTCCCCATGTTGGCCAGGCTGGTTTCGAACTCCTGACCTCAGGTGATCCGTCTGCCTTGGGCTCCCAAAATGCTGGGATTACAGGCGTAAGCCACTGTCCCCGGCCCGGAGCCCACTTTAGAAACCAGAGATCCTACCTTCTCCTCCCTCCCCGAGTCAGGACCTGTCCCCAGGGACCAAGCCCTGCCCCTTTCAGGGACCCAGAAATTGATTTCTGCCCCCTCTAGAACTACCCACCCGCTCTCATTGAATCAAGAGTAGGTGGACCCCATCTTTAGGGATCTTGTGGTCCAAGCTACCTTCTCCCAGGGGCCTAGAAGTCCAGCCCTATGTGCCACCCCGCCCCCCCACCCATATCCCTAGGACTCAGGAAATCCTGGGATTTCACAGTCAGGACCCATCCCCTCTGGAGTCCAGCTTGGACCGCCACCCCAGTCCCAGAAAGACACCTGCTTAGGGACCTGCGAATTTGGTCCCACCCTGATTTCCCTCAGGGACCTAGGAGTAGGTCTTGTCCCCCAGGAACCCAGGAGTTGGGGGCTCCCATGTTTTTGTTTTGTTTTGTTTTGTTTGAGACGGAGTCTCGCTCTATTATCCAGGCTGGAGTGCAGTGGTGTGATCTCAGCTCACTGCAACGTCTGCCTCCCGGGTTCAAACGATTCTCCTGCCTCAGCCTCCTGAGTAGCTGGGATTATAGGCGCACGCCACCACGCCCAGCTAATTTTCGTATTTTTAGTAGAGATGGGGTTTCACCATATTGGTAGGGCTGGTCTTGAACTCCTGAACTCGTGATCCGCCTGCCTCGGCCTCCCAAAGTGCTGGGATTACAGGCATGAGCCACTGTGCCCAGCCGGGGGCTCCCATCTTTAGGAATCCAGGAGTTCAGTCCTTCCCCACTTGGGAACCCTGGAGTAGGGGATCCTGCTGGACTGTCTCCAGCTATACCCTCAGGGACCCAGGAGTCTGCCCTCAACCCTGCCAGTTCAGACAAGCCCTCGGGGACTCAGCAGTCCACCTCCAGTCCCAGCTGGACCCTCAGGGCTCTGGCATACCTGTTTGAACAGCTGCAGGTGCACAGCCCGCCGGTGGAAGGCCTGCAGAGGTGCCCCAGGCTTCTGGGCCAAGAAGACTTCCTCACTGAAGGTCACTGGCTGGCCCTGGAAGAAGCGTTGGAGTTCTGAGCTCCCTGGGGTGCTCCTGGCCCTCCCTCATTCTACTATATATTTATGTAGCAAACATTGATTAGGCACTTGCTGTGTGTCTGATCCTGTGTGGGGCCTCATGGATGGCAGGGAGGACTTAAGCTGTTTTTTGTTTGTTTGTTTGTTTTGTTTTTTGAGACGGAGTCTCGCTCTGTCGCCAGGCTGGAATGCAGTGGCGTGATCTCAGCTCACTGCAACCTCTGCCTCCAGGGTTCAAGCGATTCTCCTGCCTCAGCCTCTTGAGTAGCTGGGACTACAGGCACGTGCCACCATGTCCAGCTAATTTTTGTATTTTTAGTAGAGACTGGGTTTCACCATGTTGGCCAGGTTGGTCTCCATCTCTTGACCTCGTGATCCACCCACCTCGGCCTCCCAAAGTGCTGGGATTACAGGTGTGAGCCACCGCGCCCAGCCCTGGTTTTTTTTTTTTTTTTTTTCATTTCTTTTTTTGAGTCAGGGTCTCACTCTGTCACCCGTGCTGGAGTGCAGTGGTGTGATCTTGGTTCACTGCAACCTCTGCCTCCTGAGCTCAAGCGATCCTCCCACCTCAGCCTCTCAAGTAGCTGGGACCACAGGTGCACGCCACTGCGCCCAGCTAATTTTTGTAGTTTTTGTAGAGACAGGGTCTCACTGTGTTTCCCAGGCTGGTCCAAACTCCTGGGCTCAAGCAATCCACACACCTTGGCCTCTCAAAAGTGTGAGTCACCGACCCGGCTGATTTAAGCATTTATCTCGAGTAAGGTGGAAGCCCGGGAGGGGTGTGGGCGGGGGGGTGGGGGGAGGGAAATGATCTGACTCGGGTGTTCACAGGTGACCTCTGGCCACTGCAGGGAGGACAGACTCTGGGAGATAAAGCAGAGGGCTGCTTGCAGGAGGCCGGGCGCGGTGGATCACACCTGTAATTTCAGCACTCTGGGAAGAGGAGATGGATGGATCACCTGAGGTCTGGAGTTTGAGACCAGCCTGGCTAACATGGTGAAACCCCATCTGTACTAAAAATACAAAAAATTAGCCATTGTGGTGGTGCATGCCTGTAATCCCAGCTATTCAGGAGGCTGAGGCAGGAGAATTGCTTGAACCCAGGAGGTGGAGGTTGCAGTGAGCCGAGATTGTGCCACTGCACTCCAGCCTGGGCAAGAGAGCAAGACTCTGTCTCAAGAGAAAAAAAAAAAAAAAAGAAGAAGAAGAAGACTGCTTGCGGGGGAGTCCCAGTTTTTGGGAGAGATCAGTGCATTAATTTTAGGCAAACAATGAGAGGGTCCAGGCCAGGGTGGAGACAGAGGAAGTGGGTGGTCTGTGTGCAGATTCAGGATGCAGAGATGACAAAAACGTCAGATGCTCAAGTGATACTAGAACCCCCCAATGATTTTACAGATTGGTTGTGAAAAACAGGGGAGGGGGCTTCAGAGATCAAGGCCCCGGCTTCAACATTCACCCACTGTGGGACTTCTCCAAAGCCTTGGTTTCCTCATATGGAAAATGGGACTATCACAGTATCCATCTCAAAATGTTATGAGCATTAAATGAGATAATAGCAGTGGTAGGAGCTAGCATTTATTGAGTGCTTGCTGTATGTCAGGTACGATTCAAAGTGCTGGGAAAATGCTGATTCACTGATTCTAATATCCTTTTGGGTGGCACTATTGGGGTCCCATTTTACAGAGGGGCAAACAGAGGCACAAAGTAAGCACTCCATTAATGCTACCTATCATTATTATTTTTTAATTAAAAAAATATATAGAGACGGTGGCCGGGCATGGTGGCTCACACTTGTAATCCCAGAACTTTAGGAGCCTGATGCGGGCAGATCACCTGAGGTCAGGAGTTCGAGACCAGCCTGGCCAACATGGAGAAACCCCGTTTTTACTAAAACTACAAAAATTAGCTGGGCATGGTGGTGCGCACCTGCAGTCCCAGCTACTTGGGAGTCTGAGGCAGGAGAATCGCTTGAACCCGGGAGGCACTCCAGCCTGGGGAACAGAGTGAAACTCTGTCTCAAAAACAAACAAACAAACAAACAAACAAACAACAACAACAACAAACGGGAGGGGTCTCACTGTGTTGCCCAGGCTGGTCTTGAACTTCTGGGCTCAAGCAATTCTCCCATCTCGGCATCCCAAAGTGTTGGGATTACAGGCGTGAGCCACTGCGTCCGGCCATCTACTGTACCTATCGTTACATTGCGATTCATTCAGGAACCCACGAGACCTCTCCCGCAGCGTCCCCGCTGCTCACCGGGCTGCAGACGAGTGCGTCGCGGTACCCCCCGAAGAGCAGGGCCTGGGCTTTGAGGAAGAGACGGGACACCCCTTCCCCGGGGGCCAGGGCGACCTTCCTGAGCCGGAGCCTCAGCAGGGACACCTGAAGCACAAGGGAGTGGCCCTGAGTGGGCAGGTGTGGGCCCCTCGCCTCCCGGGGCAGGAAGGTGGGAGGGGCGACACTGACCACGTCTGGAGGCAGCGCCTGCACGTCGTTAAAGGTCGTCTCCAAGGTATTGGCGTCCACGTTCAGCACCACGACGTCCTCCAGGGCTTTTTCTCGTACTCTCTGCGGAAAAGCGGGGTCGGCCGCTCAGAGCCCGGGAGTCCTTGGCAGAGGAGGGCATCTGGGGATGTAGAGGAAGGGGGAACCCTCACGTCCCCGTCGTCTGGGTAGATCCACGCTCACCTCGGCGAGACTGGCGTGCACTCCAATGAGGTAGGGCATGGGCGCGCTGCGGACCGAGGGGACGGGGTCATGCAGGCACCGCCCCCAGGGCCTGCCCACAGGCCCTGCCCCTCCCAGCTGCCCTCGCTCACCAGCAGTAGTCCAGCAGGTGTGGGGGCAGCGTGGGGATCAGCACGTGCTCCCAGCGCATGGGGTACAGGAGCGCGCAGGACGCGTGGACGCACGAGGTCAGCTGGGGAGCGATGGCGGGGCGTGGAGTCAGGGCCTGGACCCTCTAGCGCGAGGTCTCTTCCAGCTGCATTTCCCACGTCCCCAGTCTCCTGTTCCCCCTCCCCATCCACTGCTGGATAATGAGTGACAACTCGAACCCCTTTAGAAATCATGTGGAGACCAGGAATTTGGCCACTTACAGTGCTTTAAGCGGGTGAAGCCAGGACTCATACCGTCCTGATCCCTCTCTGTAAGGGGCGCAGTTAATAGGCAACACCCCTGAGTCTTCCCCATGCAGGTAGAGCAAGGACTGAGCCTCCACTGACTCCACCCCGAAAGAGGTGGAGCTATGACGTAGACCGCCCTTGTCCCGCCCCTAGGGGTGGATCCAAGACGTAACCCCACCCAAAGAGGTGGAGCCGGAAGGCAATCATTTGGCCCCGCCCCTAGGGGTGGAGCCAGTCTCCACGTCTGCCTTTGACCCTGGGTTTCAGGGTCCCTGGGAGTATGGGTCTCTAGTTTTTTGCGCCCCTTGTTATCTGAGTCCCTGTGTTCCTAGGTCCCTGGGTATTCGGGTCCCTGGGTCCTCAGATCTCTGAGTCCCTGAGTCCCTGGGTCCCTGGGTCCCTGGATTCCCACGTGTATAAGTCCCTAGTTCTCAGTGTCCCTGAGGGTCCGGAGGGGTGGAGCCAGACGTGTTGCGGCCCATAGTGGGTGGAGCCTGAGCACAGTACTCCCAAAAAGGAGGAGCTGCAGCGCAGCCCCCTCCCACGAGGGCGGGGCCAGAGTTCAACTCTCCAAGACCTTCGAAGGGGCGGGGCCAGGACTTCGCCCTCGGGTCTCGCGCAGTAGGGTTAGAGCCAGGAATCAGCCCCCTTGTCCCGCCCCCCGGGGCGGAGCCAGGCCCTGCTCCCACCCCGGCCCGGCGGACCCCGCCTCACGGTGCTGAGTTTGCTGGCGGTGAGCAGGACTCTTCTCTCGGCCAGGAGCGCCGCGAACAGCCCCACGATGTTCTCGTCAGTCACGGCCACCACCAGCTCCGTTAGGTTCCTCTGAGGATCAGAGAGTCGCTCTGGGCGTGGACGGGCCCCTGGATCTTGCATCCCCGGTCCGGGTTTCGGGACCTGTTCTCACCCCCAGAGACCCCTCCCCACTCACGTTCTCAGGGATGGATGGCAGGCGGCCGGAGTCCGGGGCCACGAAGCAGGAAAGCTGGTGGGGGTATTGGCAGGGGGATCAATCAGTCAGGAGGCTGGCCTCACCTGGACCCCCGACCTTCCAGGGTCCCCGAGCCCCGCTCACCGGCTTGCTATTCCCCCGGGTAGGGGGGGGGATACCCTGCCCGCTGGAGACCGTCACTCCGCTGCCCTGGGGAAGAGGCACGACTCTGTGGTCATGATGGCTGGGACGCAGCCTTCCCATCCACCTAAGGTCCAGCGCCCAGGGAATGGGAGCTACTCACCAGCTCAAGCCCCACTGAGGCCTGGGGCCCAGACAGGGACTGCTGAAACAGATTTTGAAGAAGTTCCTCTGCCTCGGTGACCTGGGTGGGACGTGGAGGGGCGGGGGTGGCTGAGCCAGATGTGGGGATTGGGGATTCCGAGGGCTATGACTAAGGTTGAGTGGTCTGGGAGGAGCCAAGGGCTCAGGTCAGTCCTGGGAGTTTTTTTTTTTCTTTCTTTAAAAGAAATTAATAATAATAATAATAATAATAATAGAGACAAAGTCTCCCTATGTTGCCCAGGCTGGTCTTGAACTCCTGGGCTCAAGGGATCCTGCTGCTTCGGCCTCCCAAAGGGCTACAATTACAGGCGTGAGCCACCGCGCCCGGCTTTTTAAATTTTTTAATTTAAATTTTTCCTTGTAGGCCGGGCGCGGTGGCTCGCGCCTGTAATCCCAACCCTTTGGGAGGCTGAGGCATGCGGATCACCTGAGGCCAGGAGTCCGTGTCCAGCCTGGCCAACATAGTGAAAACACGTCTCTGTTAAAAGTACAAAAAAAAAAAAAAAAATTAGCCGGGCTGGTGGGCCGCGCCTATAGTCCCAGCTACTTGGGAGACTGAGGCGGAAGAATCGCCTGAACCCGGAATGCGGAGGTTGCAGTGAGGCGGAATCGCACCACCGCACTCCAGCCTGGGCGACAGAGGAAGACTCCATCTAAAAGAAATTTTTTTTCTTGAGACAGGGTCTTGCTCTGTCCCCCAGGCTGGAGTGCAGTGCTGCGATCATAGCTCACTATAGCTTCGAACTCCTGGGCTCAGTTGATCCTCCCACCTTGCTCTCCTGAGTAGCTGGGACCACAGGTGTGCACCACCACGCCTGGCTAATTTTTTATTTTTATTTTTTGAGACGGAGTTTCGCTCCTGTTGCCCAAGCTGGAGTGCAATGGCGCGATCTCGGCTCACTGCCACTTCCGCCTCCCGGGTTCAAGCGATTCTCCTGCCGCAGCCTCTGAGCAGCTGGGATTACAGGCGTGTGCCACGACGGCCGGCTAATTTTTTTTTTTTTTTTTTGTATTTTTAGTAGAGACGGGGCTTCACCATGTCGGTCAGGCCGGTCTCGAACTCCTGACCTCAGGTGATCCGCTCGCCTTGTCCTCCCAAAGTGCTGGGATTACAGGCGTGAGCCACAGCACTTGGCCAATTATTTTTTATATTTTGTAGAGACGGGGGTCTCACTATGTTGCCCAGCTGGTCTCGAACTCCAGGGCTCAAGGGATCCTCCCACCTCGGCCTCCCAAAATGCAGGGACTACAGGTGTGACACAGTGTGCCCTGCCAAGCCTGGGAGATCTGAGAGGGAGGGGTTGGGAGGTTGAGGGGGGTGGGGGCTGGGACTCCCACAGGAGTGAGAGAGGGGCTGGTCTCACTTGGTCCTGGGCTAGGAGGTCTCCCACTGTGTTCAATAGCTTGTAAAACACCTCGAACCAAGGCAGGTGGCTGTGGAGAGAGGAGACAGGTTCCACGAAGTGTCCCTAGGCCTCGGCCTTTCCCATCCCCCCCTCCAACCCCCATATCCCGCACCTGAGGATGCAGAGACAGCTCTGGGTACCCGCCCGCAGGCGGCAGAAACCAAATCTGCGGTTGCCGGCAAGGTCTGTGAGGGCGAAGGTGAAATGCTGCACGGCGGGGCTGGGGGGCTCCCTGGAGTGGGAAGGGCTGTTAGAGAGACCTGGACATCCCAGCTGTCTGAGGATGTCCCCGCTCCCCAACAAAGCTCCTAGGACCCTGAGTGTATGGGTCTCTAGTTGTCAGGATCCCTGAATGTCTGGATCCCTGGGTCTCAGAATCCCTGGGTCCCTGAATCTCTGGGTCCCTGGATCTCTGGGTCCCTGAGTCCCTGGGTCCCTGGATCTCTGGGTTTCTGGATCTCTGGGTCCTTGAATCCCTAAGTCCCTGGGTTCCTCAGTCCCTGAGTCCCTGAGTCCCTGAGTCCCTGGTCCCTGAGTTTCTGAGTCTCTGGGTTCCGAAGTCCCTGAATCCTTGTGTCCCTGAGTCCTTGAGTCTCTGAGTCCCTGGGTCCCTGGGTCCCTGGGTTCCTGAGTCCCTAGATCTCTGGGTCCCTGAGTGTCTGAGTCCCTGGATGCTAATGTATATAGGTCCCTAGTTCTCAGGGCCCCTGAGTGTCTGAGTCTCTGAGTCTCAGGGTCCTCGAGTGTATGGGTTTCCAGATGTCTGAGTCTCTAGGTGTTGAGTCCTTGGGGCCCCTGAGAGATCTGAGTCCCTGAGTCCTTGGATCTCCCCGCCCTTCCGTACCTTTCCACATCAAAAGGGAAGCAGAATTTAGGCACCATCTGCATAGCTTCCTGGAGGTGAAGAAAAGCGCAGACTGCTTGGCCACTGAGGTCGGGCACCACCTCCCTGGGCTCCAGGTCCAAGAAACCAAGTCCCCTCCCCCTGGGAGACTGGCCCTCGCCCTGGGGGAGCAAGGAGCCAGCCTGAATACCTGGTCCCTGAAGTCTGGAGGGAACTGCCGCAGGATGGGGGGATCTGTAGAAGAGAGCACGCCTCTAAGTTCAGCGACCCAGGCCCACCCTCCCCTCCCACTCCCTCACTCCCAGGCTCCCAACTCACCCTCCTGCAGGGAGGCAGGGCAGGCCGCTTCGAAGAACCAATCAAACACAGCAGGGGAGCCCCCTCTGTGGGATGCAGAAGGGGTCCAGAGACTTGCTTCTATGCATGTGTGGTTGTGTCTGCCACTTTGCACACAAGTGTGGTTGTGTGTGCATGTGCCACAAGGTGCGTCGGCATGTGCATGACTCTGGGGGTTTGTGGCTGTGAGTGTGTGGTTGTGTGAGGCTGTGTGTGCAGCAGTGTTAATTGAACACACAAGTACAGGATGGAGTGAGAAAGTGTGACTGTGTGTGTGTGGCTGTGTATGATTGTGTGTGGCTGAGTGCATGGCTTTTGTGAGCAGGCAGTGTGTGTGTGATCCTGTCTGCTGTCTGCCTGAAAAGATGAGACTGTCTCCTATATCTGTGGCATGAGACTGCACAGATATGAAGGACAGCCCGTGCAGTCCCAAGCTAAGTGAATTACATCTCTCTCTCTCTATATATATATCCATCTATCTGTCTGTCTGTCTGTCTCTGTCTATCCATCCATCCATCCATCCACCCACCCACCCACCTATCCATCCACCCACCCACCTATCTATCTATCTATCTATCTATCTATCTATCTATCTATCTATCTATCTATCTATTTTTTTGAGATGGAGTTTTGCTTTGTCACCCAGGCTGGAGTACAGTGGCACGATCTTGGCTCACTGCAACCTCCACCCCACAGGTTCAAGCGATTCTCCTGCCTCAGCCTCCCTGTAGCTGGGATTACAGGTGCCCGCCACCACGCCCAGCTAATTTTCATATTTTTAGTAGAGACAGGGTTTCACATACTGGCCAGGCTGTTCTCAAACTCCTGACCTCAGGTGATCTGCCCGCCTCAGCCTCCCAAATTGCTGGGATTACAGGCTTGAGTCACTGCATCTAGCCATGCCATCTATATTTTCTTGTATAGATGTGAGTGTGTGTGCCCGAGCAAGTGAATGACATCTATATTTTCCTGTACAGCTGTGAGTGTCACTGGGTAACCGCGTGGGATCCTTGTGGGCTGGCTGTGTGTCTCTGTGTGTGAGACCCCATAGAACCCTCGTGGCTGGTCCCACATGTCTCATCAGAGAAAGGAGGGCAGGATACCTAGGTACTTACTGTAAGCCCTGCAATCTCTGCTTTCCTCCTCTGCCCCCATATCAAGCAGAAGAGGCAGCCTTGGGCTCAAGGAGAGAGACAGGGAGATCTAGAGGGAGATCAGCTGCACACACACTGTCCCGCCCAGTTGCACACACAGTCCCCACCATGGGTACCCCAGCACTTCACCCTCACGCCGACACAAGTCACACACGATCACCCACTCATACCAACACCCAGCCTCCCCTCTGCCCTGATCATCCGCCCTGTGGACCCCCTGAAGCCATCACTCAGACATACCAAGGACAAAGCTCAGAGGGGTACATGCATTCACAGAGCTATAGACATAATCACAGGAGCTGGATAGAGAGAGAGAGAGAGAGAGAGAGGAGGGGACCGAGAGTGGCCTGTCCCAGAGTGAAGGTCATAGCGGAGGCCCATGGAGTATCTGATTCCAGCCACCTGCCCTGGCAGGTCACTGCACCTCCCGGGCCTGCTCCAGCCCCAGCTCCCCTCTGCCCCGGCTCAGGCCTGGCCCGGGAATCTTGTACCAGAGAATGAGGGATGGGGTGGCTCTTACTCAGCTCTGGATTCCATGGTCCCTGCAGGGCCAGCCCAGCGGGGCCCTCTCCCCAGGGGTCCTGGGGGCCTGTGTATGCTGGGCCCCAAGCCGGCTCAGCTTCCTGTGTGGCTGAGAGAGGAAGTTTAACGGGTGACGTCCCCGGACAGAGGCCCTGCCCCCACCCCCGTGAGAAACCCAGGCATCCTGCCTGCTAATTATGTTGGGGATGGGTGGGCAATAAGTGGTCAGCCTGGGAAGGCAGACCCCCAGCTCCGTCCCCGCCAGGCTGGACTGTGTCTGGTTCCCCCCATCGTGCCTGGGCCCTCATCTCTCCTTCCCCGCTCCGCAGCAGCCAAGATTCACAGTCTGTCTATTAATGAAATGCCTCCCCGTCTCTTTCCCTTGGTCCATTTGGCCTGGACGGTCACTGGTGGACCACCAGAGGGAGCCACCTGTAAAGTGGACGGTGGGGGGGCCAGGGATGGGGACAAAGAGCACGAAGTACAGGCACAGGGACGGACAGACAGACACAGACACAGACAGTTACACGCTCAGGAAGTCATCAGCACAGACAAACCGAGTGCAGAAGAGCCAGAGACGACAGACATGGAGAGATAGGGAGTCCTACAGCTGGATCATAGTCCCAGGCCGGGCACAGTGGCTCACGCCTATAATCCCAGCACTTTGAGAGGCCAAGGTGGGAGGACCGCTTGAGCCCAGGAGTTCGAGACCAGCCTGGGAAACATGGCGAAACCCTGTGTCTATAAAAGCTACAAAAATTATAGCTGGCGGTGGTGGCACGCACCTATAGTCCCAGCTTACCCAGGAGGCTGAGTCAGGAGGATCGCCTGAGCCTGGGGAGTTTGAGGCCATAGTGAACCAAGATTGCACTACTGTACTCCAGCCTGAGCAACAAAGTGAGATCCTGTCTCAAAAAAAAAAAAAAACAACTTAGTCACAGTTACACACCCATTGTGCGCAGAAAGACAAGGTAAGCGGATCACTTGAGGTCAGGAGTTTGCAACCAGCCTGGCCAACATGGTGAAACCCTGTCTCTAATTAAAAAAAAATACAGGCCAGGTGCGGTGGCTCACATCTGTAATCCCAGCACTTTGGGAGGCTGAGGCAGGTGGATCACGAGGTCAGGAGTTCGAGACCAGCCTGGCCAAGATGGTGAAACCCAGTCTCTACTAAAAATACAAAGATTAGCCAGGCACGGTGGTGGGCATCTGTAATCCCAGTTACTCAGGAGGCTGAGGCAGAATTATTTGAACCTGGGAGGCGGAGTTTGCAGTGAGCCGATATCGCGCCGCTGTACTCTAGCCTGGGCGACAGAGCAGGACTCTGTCTCAAAAAATCAAAAACAAACAAACAAACAAAAAATTAGCTGGGCATGGTGGCATGTGCCTGTAATCCCAGCTGCTTGGGAGGCTGAAGCAGGAGAATCACTTGAATCCGGGAGGCAGAGGTTGCAGTGAGCCGAGATCGTGCCACTGCACTCCAGCCTGGGTGAAAGAGTGAGACTCCATCTCAAAAACAAAAACAAAAACAAAGCAAACAAACAAACAAACAAATGCAGAGACAGACAGAGACACAATAAACAGTTACACAGAGACCACAGCCATTGATACAAACAGAATAACAGAGAAATAGACCCAGATAGATGGAAACACAGCACAGACATAGCTCAAGTAATAACCAGATATAGTTATAGCCAAGACCCGGCCACATGCAGAGAGAGACACAGCTGGACTCACATGACAGCCAGATACTCATGACAGCCCGACACACTCAAGCCGTGCTGCAGACTATGAAAGACACAGGGGCTGGAGGCAGTGGCTCAGTAATCCCAGCACCTTGGGAGGCTGAGGTAGGATTGTTTGAGGCCAGGAGTTAAAGATCAGCCTGAGCAATATAACAAGACCCCATCTTTACAAAAATTAAAACTTTAGCCAGGTGCAGTAGTCCCAGCTATTCTGTAGGCTGAGGCGGGAGGATCCCTTGAGCCCAGGTGGTGGGGGTTGTAGTGAGCTGTGATCGTGCCATTGCACTCCAGCCTGGGCAACGGTGTAAGACCCTATCTCCAAACAAACACAGGAACAAACAAAAACAACAAAAAAGACACAGGCACACAGGTGGACAGACGTAGTCATGTTGAGACAGGATATGTGAACATATCTGCAGGCACAAAAACAGAACATGATATAGTCAGGGTCACACCTACACATGAAATCCTGCCAACAGACTCAGACCACTGTGTGGTGTGAAAACACCTCGTGGCCGGGTGCGGTGGCTCACACCTGTAATCCCAGCACTTTGGGAGGCCGAGGTGGGCGGGTCACCTGAGGTCGGGAGTTTGAGACCAGCATGGGCAACTTGGAGAAACCCCGTCTCTACTAAAGATACAAAATTAGCCGGGTGTGGTGGTGACACATACTTGTAATCCTAGCTACTCAGGGGGCTGAGGCAGGAGAATTGCTTGAACATGGGAGGCGGAGGCTGTGGTGAGCCAAGATCGTGCCATTGCACTCCAGCCTGGGCATCAAGAGCAAAACTCCATCAAAAAAAAAAAAAAGAAGAAGAAGAAGAAGACACCTCGTACCCACAGTCACTGGACACATACAGAGTCAGAATCCCGTCAGCCACATCCTCACACAGTCTGATGGACATGTGCTATTGTCCGAATATGTGTCCCTCCAAAATTCGTATGTTGAAACCTAAAGCCCCAAGGCAGTAGTAAGAGGAGCCGAGATTGCGCCATTGCACTCCAGCCTGGGCAACAAGAGTGAAACTCCGTCTCAAAAAAAAAAAAAAAAAATAGGTGAGGCCTCTGGGAGGTGATGAGGTCAAGAGGTATCCACCCTCAACAGTGGGATTAATGCCTTTATAAAAGAGGCTTGAGGCCCAGTGCGGTGGCTCTGGCAGGGTGCAGTGGTTCACACCTGTAATCCTAGCACTCTGGGAGGCTGAGGGGGGTGGATTGCTTGAGGCAGAAGTTTGAGACCAGCCTGGGCAGCATGGTGAAACCCCGTCTCTACAAAAAATACAGAAATTAGCTGGGCATGGTGGTGTGCACCTGTAGTCCCAGCTACTTGGGAGGCTGAGTGGGAGGATTGTTTGAACCCAGGAGGCAGAGGTTGCAGTGAGTGAAGATTGCACCACTGCACTGCAGCATGGGCAGCAGAGAGAGACTCTGTCTCGGGAAAGTAAAAAATAAAAAAATAAAAATAAATAAATAAATAAATAAAAAGAGGTTTGAGCTAGGTGTGGTGATAGCGCCTGTAGTCCCGGCTACTTGGGAGGCTAAGGCGGGAGGATCACTTGAGCCCAGGAGTTCAAGCCTACAGTGAACTTTGATTGCACCACTGCATTCCAGCGAGTGACAGAGCAAGACTCTATGTTAAAAAAAAAAAAAATTAAGGCTGCTATGACAAAATATCTGCAACCTCTGCCTCCCAGGTTCAAGTGATTCTCCTGACTCAGCTTCCCAAGTAGCTGGGACTACAGATCTGTACCACCATGCGTGGCTATGTAGCTAGCTACTTGGGAGGCTGAGGCAGGAGAATCGCTTGAACCTGGGAGTTGTAGTGAGCCAAGATCGTGCTATTGTACTCCAGCCTGGGTGATAAGAGCGAAACTCCATCCCCCTACCCAAAAAAAAAGAGAGATGGGGTCACACTCTGTCACCCAGGCCGACGTGCAGTGGCGCCATCATAGCTCACTGTAGCCTTGACCTCCTGGGCTCAAGTGATCCTCCCACCTCAGCCCCCTGAGTAGCTGGGACTACAGTTGTGTGCTACTGTACACACAACTGTTTTTTTTTTTAAATTTAATTTAATTTTATTTTTGAGACAGGGTCTCACTCTGTCACCCAGGCTGGAGTGCAGTGGCACGATCTTCACTCATTGCAACCTCTGCCTCCTGGGTTCAAGCGATTCTCCTGCCTCAGCCTCCCAAGTAGCTGGGATTATAGGCGTCTGCCACCGCACCCAGCTAATTTTTGTATTTTTAGTAGAGGTGGGGTTTCACCATCTTGGCCAAGCTGGTCTTGGACTCCTGACCTCGTGATCCACTGATCCACCCGCCTCGGCCTCCAAAAGTACTGGGATTACAGCCATGAGCCACCACGCCCGGCCCTTTTTTTTTTTTTTTTTTTTTTTTTGTGAGACGGAGCCTTGCTCTGTCACCCAGGCTGGCTGGAGTACAGTGGCGCAATCATTGCAACCTCTGCCTCCTGGGTTCAAGCAATTCTCCTGCCTCAGCTTCCCGAATAGCTGGGATTACAGGTGACCGCCACCACGCCCGGCTAATTTTTGTGTGTGTGTTTTAGTAGAGATCTGGTTTCCCCATGTTGGCCAGGCTGGTCTTGAACTCCTGACCTCAAGTGATCTGCCCGCCTTGGCCTCCCAAAGTGCTGGGATTACAGGTATGAGCCACCGTGCCTGGTCAGCTCAGCTAATTTTAAAAAATATTTTTGTAGAGATGGGGTTTCGCTTTATTGCCTGGTCTGGTCTTGAACTTCTGGCCTCCAGCAATCCCCAGGCCTCGGTCTTCCAAAGTGAATGGGATTACAAGCACGAGCCACAGTGCCCAGCCTGTTTTTATTTTTATTTTATTTATTTATTTATTTTTTGAGATGAAGTCTCACTGTCGCCCAGGCTGGAGTGCAGTGGCGTGATCTTGGCTCACTGCAAGCTCCACTTCCCAGATTTATGGCATTCTCCTGCCTCAGCCTCCCGAGTAGCTGGGACTACAGGTGCCCGCCACCACGCCTGGCTGATTTTTTTGTATTTTTGGTAGAGACGGGGTTTCACCGTGTTAGCCAAGGTGGTCTGGATCTCCTGACTTAGTGATTCACCTGCCTCGGCCTCCCAAAGTGCTGGGATTACAGGCGTGAGCCACCGCGCCCGGCCGCCTGTTTTTATTTTTTTAATTATTTTAAGAGATGGGGTCTCCCTCTCTGTGTCTCCTAGGCTGGAGTGCAGTGGTACCATTATAGCTCAATGCCACCTGTAACTCCTTGGCTCAAGTGATCCTCCCACCTCAGCCTCTTGAGCAACTAGGGTTATAGGCACAGCCACCACACATCGTTAATTTTTTTGTTGTTTTTGAGACGGAGTTTCACTCTTGTTGCCCAGGCTGAGTGCAATGGCACGATCTTGGCTCACTGCAACCTCCGCTTCCCAGGTTCAAGCGATTCTCCTGCCTCAGCCTCCCAAGTAGCTGGGATTACAGGCACCCGTCACCACGCCTGGCTTATTTTTGTATTTTTAGTAGAGACGGGGTTTCAGCATGTGGCCAGGCTGGTCTGGAACTCCTGACCTCAGGTGATCCATCTGCCTCAGCCTCCTGAAGTGCTGGGATTACAGGTGTGAGCCACTGCGCCTAGCCTTTTTATTTTTATTTTTAATTTTTTTGAGAGACAGGGTCTCCATCTGTTGCCCTGGCTGGAGTGCAGTGGTGCCATCATAGCTCACTATAGTCTCGAACTCCTGGGCTCATGTTATCCTCCCATCCCAGCCTCCCAAGGAGCTAGGACTACAGCAATGTGCCACCACACCCAGCTAACTTATTGGAACAATTTTCATAGAGACAGGGTCTTGCTATGTTGCCTAGGGTGGCCTCAAACTCCTGGCCTCAAGAGATCTTTGTGCTTCAGCCTCCCAAAGTCCTGGGATTACAGGTGTGAGCCACAGTGCCTGGCCGAGCCAGTAGCATTTATCTTCAAATCTCTCTCACTTGCTGGGACTCCTGCTTTTGTCCTCACTTCTTCTCTGACTCTGATCCTCTGTCTCCCTCTTATAAAGATCCTTGTGATTGTATTGGACCCACCCAAATAATTTGCCATAATCCTGTTATCTTAAAATCCTTAACTTTGCCAGGCATGGTGGCTGACGCCTGTAATCCCAGCACTTTGGGAGGCTGAAGCCTGAGGATCGCCTGAGGCCAGAAGTTCAAGACCAGCCTGGGCAATATATCAAGATCCTGTCTCTATAAAAAAATCTAAAAAAATAGCTGGGTGCAGGCCAGCTGTGGTGGCTCACGCCTGTAATCCCAGCACTTTGGGAGGCTGAGATGGGTGGATCACCTGAGGTCAGCAGTTCAAGACCAGCCTGGCCAACATGGTGAAACCCCATCTCTACTAAAAATATGGAAATTAGCCACGTGTGGTGGCGCATGCCTATAATCCCAGCTACTCGGAAGGTTGAGGCAGGAGAATCGCTTGAACCTGGGAGGTGGAGGTTGCAGTGAGCTGAGATCATGCCATGGCACTCCAGCCTGGGCGACAGAGTCAGACTCCACCTCAAAAAAAAAAAAAATTAAAAATTAGCTGGGTGTGGTGGTACACGCCTGTAGTTCCGAATCAGGAGGCTGAGGTGGGAGGATTACTTGAGCCCAGAAGGTCGAGGCTGCAGTGAATCGTGATCACGCCACTGCTCTCCAGGCAATAGAGTGAGACTCTGTCTCAAAAACAAACACAAAAAAACCTACACCTGGCCGGACGCGGTTGCTTGCTCTTGTAATCCCAGCACTTTGGGAGGCCGAGGTGGGTGGATTGCTTGAGCTCAGGGATCCTCCCACCTCAGCCTCTGACCAGCCTGGGTATCATGGTGAAACGCCATCTCTACAGAAAAGCTAGCTGGCATGGTGACACATGCCTGTAGTCCCAGCTACTTGGGAGGCTGAGGTAGGAGGATCACTTGAGCCCAGGAAGTCGAGGCTGCAGTAAGCCATGATTGTGCCACTGCGCTCCAGCTTGGGTGACAGAAGGAGACTAAAAAAAATGTTGAACCCCCCAAAGCAACTGCCTCATCAAAGTTTGGGGAAATACTTTAAAAAAAAGAAAAAAAGAAAGAAAGAAACAAACAAAACCAGGCTGGGTGTGGTGGCTCACACCTAATCTCAGCATTTTGGGAGGCTAAGGCGGGCCGATCACCTGAGGTCAGGAGTTCGAGACCAGCCCCTGGCCAACATGGTGAAACCCCGTCTCTACTAAAAATACAAAAAAAAATTAGCCGGGTGTGGCGGTGGGTGCCTGTAGTCCCAGCTACTTGGGAGGCTGAGGCAGGAGAATCATTTGAACCTGGGAGGTGGAGATTGCAGTGAGCCAAGATCGCACCACTGCACTGCAGCCTGGGCAACAAGAGCGAAACTCTGTCTCAAAAATAAATAAATAGGCCGGGCGCGGTGGCTCACGCCTGTAATCCCAGCACTTTGGGAGGCCGAGGCGGGTGGATCACAAGGTCAGGAGATCAAGACCATCCTGGCTAACATGGTGAAACCCCATCTCTACTAAATATACAAAAAATTAGCCTGGCGTCATGGCGGGCGCCTGTAGTCCCAGCTACTCGGGAGGCTGAGGCAGGAGAATGGCGTGAACCCGGGAGGCGGAGCTTGCAGTGAGTCGAGATTGCGCCACTGCACTCCAGCCTGGGCAACAGAGCGAGACTGCATCTCAAAAATAAATAAATAAATAAATAATTAATAAACTAAAAACAAAAAACAAAAAAGCAAATAAAAAGTCCGTACACTTCTGAGTAGTTAAGTGCCTTGTGCAAGGAAGGAGGATGCTGAGTGGGGAACCCAACCCAGATCTATCCATTATGCTGCTACCTAAATCCTTTGTATTGCTGGTCTACCACCCAGTGCTGTGCTGTGCTGTGCTGGGCCTGCTGAAGTTGCCGTGGGCTGATGTCCACGCTGCTTCCCTCATGCCTCTCCTTACTCCTGGCTGCAGGGGGACGTAGCAAGAAGACTGAGGCTCCAGCCTGGGTGCCTGGTGTCTAGCATAGAGTGGTGGACGTTACTGCTTGGCTCTCCGCGTGTCCCCCTCTCACCTACCCTTGCCCCTGGCTCGTCTTCCTAATGCAGACGCTGCAAAAAACCCCTCCAACCCCTACATTTCCCAGATGCCTTTGCTGCTCCGTTTCTGGATGCAGAATTGGTTCTACCAATGAGAAATGCTCATGAGAGATTTAGAAAGTGGAAGTGAGGCAGTGTGGGCTTGTGTGTATATCTTGCTGAGAAGCAGGGTTGTGGAGCTATACATTTTATTTTCATGAATTCGTGTTCTTTGTTGGACCCATTTCCAGGTCATAGTTCTGGTAACTGCCTCTTTGTTCTCCACCTTTCTCCCTATACAAAGGAGCTGCTCCTTGGTGACCCAGCTCTGTGGTGTCACGAGGGTCCTACCTATTCCGGGGCTGCTCAATCTGTGGTCTTATTCACACATCTTTAGCATCTCCTGAGAACTTGTTAAAAATGCAGAGTCTTGAGCCCCACCCCGGACCTACTTACTGAATCTGCAACTGTGAGGGGGTGAGACTGAAGAAACTGTGCGTTAGCAAGTTGTTCTGCTGATTCTTTTGCACGGTAAAATTTGAGAAGCCTACACAGCCCACTCTCTCAGCGTCTTCCAGTGATTTTGCAAGCACCATCGATTCTTGTATTAAGTTCCTGTCTGCTTAATATACCTAGAATGGTCCCCACACGGAACTCTGGCTGCCTGTGTCAGGATTCTAGGGTTCAACTAGCAGGGTTTGAATTCCAGCTCACTGTTTAGTAGCCATGTGACCATGGGCAAGTGACTTTGTGTGGCAAATTGTAATTTATTCCTTCATTTTTTCCTTCCTTCCTTCTTTCCTTCCTTCCTCCCTCTTCTCTCCCTCCCTCCCTTCCTTACTTCCCTCCTTCCTGTCTTCCTGTCTTCTTGCCTTCTTCTTTTCTTCCTTCCTTCCTTCTTTCCTTCCCTCCTTTCTTTTCTCTCTCTCTTTCTTTTCTTTCTTTCCTTCTTTTTTTTGAGACAGAGTCTCACTCTGTTGCCCAGGCTGAAGTGCAATGGCACGATCTCAGCTCACTTCAACCTCTGCCTCCCAGGTTCAAGTGATTCTCCTGCCTCAGCCTCCTGAGTAGCTGGGATTACAGTTGCGTGCCACCATACCCAGCTAATTTTTTGTGCCTTTAGTAGAGACGGGGTTTCACCATGTTGGCCAGGCTGGTATTGAACTCCTGACCTCGTGATCCACCCGCCTCAGCCTCTCAAAGTGCTGGGATTACAGGTGTGAGCCACCGTGCCCAGTACATTCCCCTCCCCTCCCCTTACTTCCCCTCCCCTCCCCTTCCGTTCCCTTCCCTTTCTTTTCTCCCACAGTGTCTCACTCTGTCACTCAGGCTGTCGTGCAGTGGTGCAATTACAGCTCAGCTCACTGCAGCCTTGACCTCCTTGGCCTGCTGAGTAGCTGGGGTTACAGTTGTGCACCACCACAGCGAGTTATTATTATTATTATTATTATTATGTATTTTTTGTAGAGACAGGGTTTTGCCATGTTGCCCAAGCTGGATTCAAACTCCTGGACTCAAGTAATCTGCCCGCCTTGGCCTCCCAAAATTTTGGGATTACAGGAGTGAGCCACCGCACCTGGCCAAAAATTTGTAATTTCTAAAGATGGCCATGGCTCTATTACTCACCCTACGTGCTCTTCTAGAATCTTGCCACTCTACCATCAAGAGCTGGAGTGTGGGTTGGGCATGGTGGAACATGCCTGTAATCCCAGCATTTTGGGAGGCCAAGGCGGGTGGATCACCTGAGGCCAGGAGTTTGAGACCAGCCTGGTCAACATGGTGAAACCCCATCTCTACTAAAAATACAAAAATTAGCTGGGTGTGGTGGTGGGTGCCTGTAATCCCAGCTACTCAGGAGGCTGAGGCAAGATAATTGCTTGAGCCCAGGAGGCGGAGATTGCAGTGAACCAAGATCATGCCATTGTACTCCAGCCTGGGCGACAAGGGTGAAACTCTAACAAAACAAAACAAAACAAAATAAAAGAGCTGGAGGATGGACCAAGTGTGGTGGCTCATGCCTGTAATCCCAGCACTTTGGGAGGCTGAGGCAGGAGACTAGCCTGGGTGACAAAGTGAGACCCTATCTCTAATGTCTACTAACAATACAAAAAAATTAACCAGCTGTGGTGGCATGTGCCTGTAGTCCTAGTGACTCTGGAGGCTGAGGTGGGAGGATTGCTTGAGCCCAGGAGTTTGAGGTTTCAATGAACCATGATCACACCACTGCACTCTACCCTGGGTGACAGAGTGAGATCCTGTCTCAAAAAGAAAAGAGCTGGAGTCTGTACTTCATCCCCTTGAATCTGAACAAGGCTTAGTGACTGCCTTGTTGGTGAGTCCTGAATAAGTGACACTGTATGACTTCTGAAGTTAGGTCATAAAAATGCAATCCGTTTTTTTTTGCATTTACTTCTGTCCTGCTCTCTTGGGGTGTTTGCTCTGGGGGAACCTGGCAGCCATGTTGTGAGGAAGCCCAAGGGGACTATGGAGAGACACTAAGGTCTTTGTTCTCCTTACTCCTGCTGAGCCCCCAGCTGATAATTGGCACCACCTGGCCAGTCTGTTGTGAGCCACCTTGGAAGTAGATCCCTCTACCTCTGGCTAAGATGCTCTGGCTGATGTCATAGGGAGCCTAAATGAACTGCCTCGCCAATCCTTGCTCAGATTACAGATTTGGGAGCAAAATAAATACCTGTTTTTGTCTTAAGCCACTAAGTTTTGGGGGATTGTTACACAGCAAAAGCTAACTGATAATGCTCTTCTCTCTCTAAACCTTGGCTTGGAAGGGGATAGAAGCTTAGGCCTTCCAGGGTTGGTGTGAGGCTTGCATGAAATGAGGCATGAGTCATGCACACAGAAAAGTTTCATGTGGGTGAGCTGTGTTGTTACTCTGGCAAGATTGCCACTTGGGTGCCAGCTCAGGCTGCCATCTTCCTGGCACCCTTCCCTAGAGATTCCCCTTCCTGCCTTCCATATTTGCAAGGTGCTGCACAGAGAACAGCAGTACCTCTGCCACCAAGCACCCACTCTGTGCTCCTGAGATCTCCTCAGATCCTCACGAACAATTCTGAGGTGGGTGTGTCAGAGACGTGTGAACCAGAACAACTCCATCTTGAATAGGAGCTGGGTAAAATGAGGCTGAGACCTGAGACCTACTGGGCTGCATTCCCAGATGGTTAAGGCATTCTAACTCACAGGATGAGATCGGCATAAGATACAGGTCATAAAGACCTTGCTGATAAAATAGGTTGCAGTAGGCCGGGTGCGGTGGCTCATGCCTATAATCCCGGCACTTTGGGAGGCCGAGGCGGGTGGATCGCGAGGTCAGGAGATCAAGACTATCCTGGCTAACACGGTGAAACCCCGTCTCTACTAAAAATAGAAAAAATTAGCTGGATGTGGTGGTGGGCGCCTGTAGTCTTAGCTACTCGGGAGGCTGAGGCAGGAGAATGGCGTGAACCCGGGAGGTGGAGCCTGCAGTGAGCCGAGATCATGCCACTGCACTCCAGCCTGGGCGACAGAGTGAGACTCTGTCTCAAAAACGACAACAACAACAAAGCAAAACAAAACAAAACAAACAAACAAACAAACAAAAAACAGGTTGCAGTAAGGAAGCTGGTCAAAACCCACCAAAACCAAGATGATGATGAGTGACCTCTGGTTGTCCTCACTGCTACACTCCCACCAGCGCCATGACAGTTTACAGATGCCACGGCAATGTCAGGAAGTCACCCTACATGTTCTAAAAAGGGGAGGCATGAATAATCCACCCCTTGTCTAGCATATCATCAAGAAAAAACCATAAAAATGGGCAACCAGTGGCTCTCATCTGTGGAGTAGCCATTCTTTGTTTTTTTTTTTTTTTTTTTTTTTTTTGATACGGAGTCTCGCTCTGTCACCCAGGCTGGAGTGCAGTGGCGCCATCTCAGCTGACTGCAACCTCTGCCTCCCAGGTTCAAGTGATTCTCCTGCCTCAGCCTCCCAAGTAGCCGGAACTATAGGCGCCTGCCACCACGCCCAGGTAATTTTTGCATTTTTAGTAGAGTTGGGGTTTCACCATGTTGGTCAGGCTGGTCTCTCCTGGCCTCAGGTGATCCACCCACCTCAGACTCCCAAAGTGTTGGGATTACAGGCATGAGCCACTGCACCTGGCTCCTTTATTTATTTATTTAATTATTATTATTTTTTGAGACGGAGTGTCACTCTGTTGCCAGGCTGGTGTGCAGTGGCGTTATCTTGGCTCACTGCAACCTCTGCCTCCCAGGTTCAAGCGATTCTCCTGCCTCAGCCTCCGGAGTACCTGGGACTACAGGCGCCCACCACCACGCCCTGCGAATTTTTTTATTTTTAGTAGAGATGGGATTTCGCCATGTTGACCAGGCTGGTCTCTCCTGGCCTCAGGTGATCCACCTGCCTCAGCCTCCCAATGTTGGGATTACAGGTGTGAGCCACCGTGCCCTACCCCTTTACTTTCTTAATAAACGTGCTTTTACTTTATGGACTTGCCCTGAATTCTTTCTTGAGATCCAAGAACCCTCTCTTGGGGTCTGGATTGGGACCCCATTCCTATAACAGTTGTGGGGGGATCCTGGGGGAAAACATACGATCCCATTTTACAGGTGGGAAGACCGAGGCTGAGAGAAGGCAAATGGCTTAGTCAAAACCTCAGGGTTAGTGGGTGGCCTAGCCTGGCCCGTCTGATCCCTCCCCAGCACGCCCCCCATCCAGAGATGAGATGTCATCGGTACCCTCCTCCATCCTGTAGAGAAAAGCCCGCACTTGCTGTAAGAGAGGAAAGAGGGATTCGGCAGAAACATCCATGACAACAATTAATTTATTTATTGAGGGTGAGGCAGGGAAGCGGGGAGGGAGGGTAGGGGTGACCTCTCTTCCTCACAGGCACCAGGCCTTGTTTCTCTCCCAGATAAGCTAAGGTCGGCAGGGGCTGAGGGGAGTGAGGCAGGGAGGATGCATGGGGCCTGTGGGAATCAGAGAGAAGCTGGGGTCAGAGGTAGGAGCTGACGCTGTGGGGGGTGGGGGGTGAAAGGTGAGGCAAGGTCAAAGGTGAACTGCAGCTCGGAGGGAGGGGTCCAATATAAACCAGGACTTGCAGGTGTAGAAGTAAAATGGGACTCATAGAGGGTGAAAGAGAAGTTGGAGTCAGAGGGGATTCAGAGATCAAAGAGAAGTTGGGGTCAGAGGTAGGAGCTGGGGCTCAGGTGGGGGGTTAAAGGTGAGGCAAGGTCAGCGGTGAAGTGCAGCTCAGAGGGAGGGGTCAAACATAAACCAGAACTTATAGGTCTAGAGGTAAAATGGGATTCATGGGGGGCAGAGGTCAAAGGTGAAGCAGAAGTCAGGGGTGAAGGAAGGTCTGCAAAGTTAAAGGTGCGGTTTCCAGAGTCAGAAGGGGTGAAGCGGGGCTCCTCCTGGGAATGTCAAGGTTGGAAGAGCTCAAGGGGGTTAAAGATAAATTAGGGCTCAAAGGGGAGCCAGGGTCGGAGATGAAGTAGCCAGAGGTAAAGCGAGCTCCAAAGGTATTGTTAGGGTCAGCGGGGAGTCAGCCTTGGAGGGAAAGCGGGGCTCTAGGGTTCAGAGATGGGGGGCCTAGCGGATCAAAGGTCAGAAGCCTCGAGGGGACAGGTGGGAAGCGATGGGAGCAGCCTAGGCCACCTCCTCCTCCGCCTCCTCCTCGAACTCGCCCTCCTCGGCCGTGGCGTCCTGGTACTGCTGGTACTCAGATACCAGGTCATTCATGTTGCTCTCGGCCTCGGTGAACTCCATCTCGTCCATGCCCTCGCCCGTGTACCAGTGCAAGAAGGCCTTGCGCCGGAACATGGCCGTGAACTGCTCGGAGATGCGCTTGAACAGCTCCTGGATGGCCGTGCTGTTGCCGATGAAGGTCGCGGCCATCTTCAGGCCGCGGGGCGGGATGTCGCACACGGCCGTCTTCACGTTGTTGGGGATCCACTCCACGAAGTAGCTGCTGTTCTTGCTCTGCACGCTCAGCATCTGCTCGTCCACCTCCTTCATGGACATGCGGCCCCGGAACACGGCGGCCACGGTCAGGTAGCGGCCGTGGCGCGGGTCGCACGCCGCCATCATGTTCTTGGCATCGAACATCTGCTGGGTGAGCTCGGGCACCGTCAGGGCCCGGTACTGCTGGCTGCCCCGGCTGGTCAGGGGTGCGAAGCCGGGCATGAAGAAGTGCAGGCGAGGAAAGGGAACCATGTTGACGGCCAGCTTGCGCAGGTCGGCGTTCAGCTGGCCCGGGAAGCGCAGGCAGGTGGTGACCCCGCTCATGGTGGCCGACACCAGGTGGTTGAGGTCCCCGTAGGTGGGGGTGGTCAGCTTGAGGGTGCGGAAACAGATGTCGTAGAGTGCCTCGTTGTCGATGCAGTAGGTCTCATCCGTATTCTCCACCAGCTGGTGCACAGACAGCGTGGCGTTGTAGGGCTCCACCACCGTGTCTGACACTTTGGGCGAGGGCACCACGCTGAAGGTGTTCATGATGCGGTCTGGGAACTCCTCGCGGATCTTACTGATGAGCAGCGTGCCCATTCCGGACCCCGTGCCACCCCCCAGCGAGTGGGTCAGCTGGAAGCCCTGAAGGCAGTCGCAGCTCTCGGCCTCCTTCCGGACTACGTCCAGGACAGCGTCCACCAGCTCTGCGCCCTCCGTGTAGTGCCCCTTTGCCCAGTTGTTGCCGGCTCCGGATTGGCCTAGAGAGGGAAGGGGAGGGGACACACATGCAGTTATGGGGAGCCCCAACCCTTGACTCTGTCTCTCCACCACCTGGAGGGCCTCTAGTAGTTGAATACTAGTAACTATCAAAAATAATAACAAATAGCCGGGTGCGGTGGCTCACACCTGTAATCCCAGCACTTTGGGAGGCCGAGGTGGGCGGATCACGAGGTCAGGAGATCGAGACCATCCTGGCTAACACGGTGAAACCCCGTCTCTACTAAAATTACAAAAAAAATTAGCCGGGAGTGGTGGCGGGCGCCTGTAGTCCTAGCTACTCGGGAGGCTGAGGCAGGAGAATGGCGTGAACCCAGGAGGCGGAACTTGCAGTGAGCCGACATTGTGCCACTGCACTGCAGCCTGGGCAACAGAGCGAGACTCCGTCTCAAAATAATAATAATAATAATAATAATAAATAATAACAATTATAGCCAGGTGTGCTGGTGAGCGATCGTAGTCCCTGGCTACTCGGGAGGCTGAGGCAAGAGAATTGCTTGAACCTGGGAGGAGGAGGCTGCAGGTAGCCAAGATTGAGCCACTGCATTCCAGCCTGGGTGACGGAGTGAGACTCCATCTCAAAAACACACATACACACAAAACACTCCCCCGCCCCCTGCCTAAAAAAAAACCAAGACTGGGCACAGTGGCTCATGCCTGTAATCCTAACACTTTGGGAGGCAGAGGTGGGAGGATTGCTTGAGCCCAGCAGTTCAAGACTAGCCTGGGCAACCTAGTGAGGCCATGTCTCTACAAAAAAAAAAAAAAAAAAAAAAAAAAAAAAATATATATATATATATATATATATATATATATATATATATAAATTAGCCAGTCATGGTGGTGGCACACCTGTAGTACCAGTTACTAGGGGGGCTCAGGTGGGAGATTGCTTGAGCCCAGGAGTTGGAGGCTGCAGTGAGCTATGATCACACCATTGCAGCCTGGGAGACAGAGCAAGACCCTGTCTCTAAAACAAATAAATAATAACAATAAAAAGATTAATATTTAACATCATTATTAATAATAATATCATTTTCAGGCAGGGTCTTGGTATGTTGCCCAGGCTGGAGTACAGAGGTGCAATCATGGCTCACTGCAGCCTTGACTTCCCAGGTTCAAGTGATCCTCCTGCCCCAGCCTTTTGAGTAGCTGGGACTACAGGCTTATGCTACCAGATCTGGCTAATTTTTGTATCTTTTTTTTGTAGAGGTGGGGTTTCGACATGTTGCCCAGGCTGTTCTTGAACTCCTGAGCTGGAGCAATCCACCTGCCATGGCCTCCTAAAGTGCTGGGATTACAGGCGTGAGCCACCATGCTTGGCCTGTGTTTTCTTGTTAATCATGTTTATTGTCTGCAAGCTCACTGTGGAATGCAAGCTCCCGGAGGAAAAGAATCAGTATTAGAATATTGGCCAGGCGCAGTGGCTCATGCCTGTAATCCAGCACTTAGGGAGGCCGAGGCGGGCAGATTGCGAGGTTAGGAGATCGAGACCATCCTGGCTAACACAGTGAAACCCTGTCTCTACTGAAAATACAAAAAATTAGCCGGGCGAGGTGGCGGGCGCCTGTAGTCCCAGCTACTCGGGAGGCTGAGCCTGCAGTGAGCCGAGATCGTGCCACTGCACTCCAGCCTGGGCGACAGCAAGACTCCGTCTCAAAAAAAAAAAAAAAAAAAAAGAAGAATATTGGCCAGGCGTGGTGGCTCACGCTTGTAAACCCAGCACTTTGGGAGGCCGAGGCGGGCGGATAGCGAGGTCAGGAGATCAAGACTATCCCGGCTAACACGGTGAAACCCCGTCTCTACTAAAAATAGAAAAAATTAGCTGGATGTGGTGGTGGGTGCCTGTAGTCTCAGCTACTCGGGAGGCTGAGGCAGGAGAATGGCGTGAACCCAGGAGGTGGAGCTTGCAGTGAGCCGAGATCGCGCCACTGCACTCCAGCCTGGGCGACAGAGTGAGACTTTGTCTCAAAAAAAAAAAAAATGGAATAAAAAAAAGAATATTGGCCGGTATTACTGTGAACAGCTAACGTTTTCTTTCACCCCTCATCTGTCTCCACCTTAGTTCAGCTCCAGCATCACCCTCCTGGATAAGTTCAATTCCCTCTGTCCTGGTCCCCTGGCTCCTACCCTTATCACCCAGTCTGTCCTCTCCACAGTACCCACGAGAGGACACCTGAGAGCAAGTAAGTCAGGTCCCGTCCCTCCTCTGCCTACAGCCCTCCATGGCTCCCACCTACCTTGGGGTCAAAGCCCAAATCCTCCCTGCAGGCCACAAGGCCCTGCCGGACCTGCCCCATCCCCTCCCTCACTCTGCTTCAGCCGCAGCTGTTACTCCAGCTTTCCAGGTGTGGTCCTGCCCTGGGGCCTTTGCACTAGTGGCTTGGCTGCTTAGAATGCTTTCCCCCCAGGTATTCACCTGACTTTTTCCTCACTTCCTTCAGGTCTCAGCTCAATGCCACATCCTCAGAGAAGCCACCTCTGGTCACCCCCTCCCTCCTCCTCCCGAGCCTGGTGGTTTAGACTGCAGATTCTCGGGACTGACAAGACAAACTGTGTGACCTTGGACAAGTGACTTCCCCTTTCTGATCTGTTGGAAGATTTCAAAACATAATGATGCAGTTTTGTGGCCGTGGCCCATCATAGGTCCTTGGGAAATGGCTGGGTGAAATCAAGATGAAATGAGATTGGCCAAATGGTGTGAGTGATTTCAGGAGGACCAGAGGGCTTACAGTTGGGCCAAGAGATTCTATGGCCTCTGGGTGGCCAGGGGGTGGGAGGAGCATTAAAAGTGTGGGCTCAGACCAGGCGCGGTTGCTCATGCCTGTAATCCCAGCACTTTGGGAAGCAGAGGCAGGCAGATCACCTGAGAGGTCAGGAATAGGAGACCAGCCTGGCCAACATGGCGAAACCCCGTCACTATTAAAAATACAAAAAATTAGCTAGGTGTGGTGATGCATGCCTGTAGTCCCAGCTACTCGTGAGGCAGGAGAATCGCTTGAATCTGGGAGGTGGAGGTTGCGTCACTGCACTCCAGCCTGGGCAACGGAGACTCCGTCTCAAAAAAAAAAAAAAGCGTGGACCTAGTAGTCAGACCCTCTCCTCTGGCTCCTGACAGCCCCAGTGGCTTGCAGTGTGACTTTCTGCAAGTGACCTAACGTCTCTGTGCCTCTGTTTTCTCACCTGTAAAATGGAAGTAAGAGGCGAGTTGCGGAAAAGATTCAGAGAGGCAGGACAGGTCCTGCATTTAGCACGTCTTACATGCTGGGAGTATTGGAGGCGGGTGGAGCCAGGGTGGGGACATGCAGCCAGCTGGAGCCAGGAAAGCTTTCCCGGAAGGATTGTCCCAGGGTGTGGACACCCCACTATCTTCACATATGCTGTTGCCTCCGTCTTAAACATCTTTCCTCCCTTCCATGCCCTTTGGCCAGTCCAAATCCTACTCACATTCTAGACTGCAGATAGTAATGAAAACAACGACAAATGCTTATTTACCTCTTTCTCTGTGTCAGGCATTGTTCTAAACTCTACACATATTCATGACTTTAAGCTTCACAATTTTTTTTTTTTTTTGGAGACGAAGTTTCACTCTTGTTGCCCACGCTGGGGTGCAGTGTCATGATCTTGGCTCACCACAACCTCTGCCGTTCAAGCAATTCTCTTGCCTCAGCCTCCCGAGTAGCTGGGATTACAGGCATGTGCCACCATGCCTGGCTAATTTTTTATTTTTAGTAGAGATGGGGTTTCTCCATGTTAGTCAGGCTGGTCTCAAACTCCCGACCTCAGGTGATCCACCCGCCTCGGCCTCCCAAAGTGCTGGGATTACAGGTGTGAGCCACCGTGCCCACCCTGAGCCTCACAATTCTAATAGCATTTTAGAATCCCTGTTTTATTTGATCTTTTTTAGAGATGGGGTCTCACACCATCGCTCAGGCTGGAGTGCAGTGGCACCATCATAGCTCATGGCAGCCTCAACCTCCCAGGCTCAAGTGATTCTCCTACCTTAGCCTCACGAGTAGCTGTGACTACAGGTGCACACCACCTCACTCAGCTAATTAAAATTTTTTTCTTTTTGTAGAGACAGGGTCTCACCATGGTGCCCAGGCTGGTCTCGAACTCCTGACCTCAAGCTCTCTTCCTGACTCAGCCTCCCAAAGTCCTGGGTTTATAGGCATGAACCACCATGCCCAGTGAAATCCCTGTTTTAAAGACGAGGAGGCCGGGCAAGGTGGCTCATGCTTGTAATCCAGCACTTTGGGAGCTGAGTTGGGTGGATCGTTTGAGTCCCGGAGTTTGAGACCAGCATGGGCAACATAGAGAGACCCACCTCTCTACAAAGAAAACTAAAAAATTAGCTGGGTGTGGTGGTGCATGCCTGTAGGTCCAGCTACTTGGGAGACTGAGGCAAGAGGATCACGTGTGCCCAGAGGTGGAGGTGACAGTGAGCCGTGATCATGCCACTGCACTCTAGCCTGGGTGACAGCAGGACAGACAGACCCTGTCTGAAAAAAAAAAAAAAAAGAGGATTTTTGAGGCCCAGAAAGGCTGAGGAGCCCATCCTAAGTTATCCATCTGAATCAACCCCTGGCAGAGCTTTACTTATTTATCTCCTTTGTGGCCTATCACCTTCTACCAGAATGGGAGCTGCACTGGGGCAGAGAGGGAGCTCCGGCTGTTTGATTCTTACCTGGATCTCCAGCTTCTAGAACAGGGCCTGGTATGCAGTGAGTGCTCACTGTTTGTTGAATGCATGAAGTGGCAGAATTGGGATGTGCACCCAGGCAGTCTGGTTCCGGTTCAGACCGTTGAATTAAAATGCCACCTCCTCCAGGAAGACTTCCCTGAATCCTTCTCTGTATCCGCCCTCCTCAGGGCTCTCACAGTGGCCTGAGCATCCCCTCATCACAGCCCTGGATGCAGGGCTGGTGCCTGGTGCCCTGTCCACCCCATCTCTGGTCTGTGGGCCCCGGTGGTGGCTGTTGACTCTGTGGTGTTAGCAGGAATAAGGAGGTTTTCCAGCCTCTGGCTCCCTGCTGGGGGACTCACCAAACACGAAGTTGTCCGGCCGAAAGATCTGACCGAAGGGGCCAGAACGGACAGAGTCCATGGTGCCGGGTTCCAGGTCCACCAGCACCGCTCTGGGGACATAATTTCCTCCTGCAGGGAAACAGATGGAGGGCAGTTCGATGCGTGCCAGGAACCACAGGCGCCCGGTAGCATCCTGTTCCCTCCCAGCTGCCCCTTCCCACCTGGAAGGTGCCTCCTTCGCCCTACCTGTGGCCTCGTTGTAGTACACGTTGATCCTCTCCAGTTGCAGGTCACTGTCCCCATGGTATGTGCCTGTGGGGTCGATGCCATGTTCGTCACTGATAACCTCCCAAAACTAGAGAGAGAGGTGGTCGGAAGAGTTGAGAGAGGGGAAGCCGGTGGCCAAGCCGAGGACTGCCCCCAGCCCCCAACTAGCTCCCTAGCTGCCACCTCTCCCCCAGCAAGGTGAACGGGGGACCTAGAGGCATGGTGTCGGGGCGAGGATGAGGCAGCAAGAAGGAGCGGTGGGGGCGGGGTGCAGCCGAGTCAGCACCCAGCGGGGCCGGCTGGTGCCAGCGCACCCAGGCTGCAGCCCGGGGGAGGCACCGGGGCTCTTTGTGCGTGAGGAGGGGACAGTGGCCCAGCTGTGGGCCCAGCTGTGACAGGCGGACAGAAGGCTGGCTCCCACTCTCCGCAGCCTCTTTGTTCCCAGTCTGGCCCTGCCACCCCCACCCCGCGACCCTTCCCCCAAGGCCCCTGGGGCGCGCTGGCCTCCTGGGGACCTCATTCCTTTCCAAAGACTCCCAGGTTGCGGGGTGCTCCGGGGACCGACCCCGCGGTGCTCCCCGGGGCCGCCACTGCCTCCCCGGGCCCCGTTCCCCGAGCACCTTGGCCCCGATCTGGTTGCCGCACTGGCCGGCCTGCAGGTGCACGATCTCCCGCATGGCGGTGGCGCTGAGGGTGGACGCGGCGGCGGTGGCACGAGCGCGGGGAGCTGCGGCGGCGGCGAGGGTGGAAGATGCGGCGGAGACGGCGGAGCACGGTCCCTGCGCCCCCGGGAGCCGCTATATGAGCGGGCGGGGCACGCGTCACGGCCGGTCACCCTCCCGCTCCGCCCCTTGGTCCCGCCCCGGGATGATGGAGGGGGCTGGGGTGGGGGGAGGTGGTGCAGGGACCTCCCTCCCCAGGGGGCCTCCCAGAGAAGTCCGGGACGCCACGTGCTCCGACCCCTGCCTTGGGGGTGAGGCCCCTTAGGGAGCCACCAGTGCAGTCTCCCCCGTCCCAGCCCCCAGCCAGGCTTGGCCACCCGCAGAAATTGGGCGGAGGAAGGGAGGGGAGCGCCTGGTAAACAGGCATCTGAGAAGTCCTGCCCCTCCCCCTTAGCCTCCACCCTCCCGCCCCAGGCCTTGCCTCAGTTTCTCGGTCCGCAGCCCCCCTTCTCATTCTATTTAGACCTCATTCGCCAGAATCCTTGCAGTAACCGCGAGCCCTCCCAGTGGGCTGGGGGCTCCGGAGCGGCGATCTGGTTTGCGGGTGGGGGGCGGTAGGTTCCTGGAGGGCTTGTCCTGAAGCTGCATAGTAAAACCACGATTTTCCTCCCATGATTGGGTGCAGATGCTGGTGGGCTCCCCTGGTACACCTCTACTGGGCATTGAGCTCGTCCCAGGTGGGGTCACCCCCAGCCTGGCCTAAGGAGGAGAGTGGAGGAGTAAGACAGCTGGGTTCATATTGGGAGGGGGACAGTGAGTCCCCAGGGCTGCCTCGCTTTCCCAAAATAACACCCCTCCTCTCCAGTATTGTAATTTATCTTTATCTATATCTATACCCTTTTTTTTTTTTTTTTGAGACAGAGTTTCGCTCTTGGCGCCCAGGCTGGAGTGCAATGGCCCAATCTCGGCTCACTACAACCTCAGCCTCCCAGGTCCAAGCGATTCTCCTGCCTCAGCCTCCCGAGTAGCTGGGATTACAGGCATGTGCCACCACGCCCGGCTAATTTTTTTGTATTTTTAGTAGAGACAAAGTTTCTCCATGTTGTTCAGGCTGGTCTCAGACTCCTGACCTCAGGCCATCTGCCCACCTCTGCCTCCCAAAGTGCTGGGATTACAGGCGTGAGCCAACGCGCCCGGCCTATATATATATATTTTCGGACAGGGTCTTGCTCTGTCCCTCAGGCTGTAGTGCAGTGGCATGCTCATAGCTCACTGCAGCCTCAATGTCCTGGGCTCAAGCAATCCTCTCACCTCAGCCTCCCAAGTAGCTGGGACTGCAGGTGCATGCCATCACGCCTGGCTAATTTTCAAGATTTTTTGTAGAGATGGGGTCTCGCTATGTTGTCCAGGCTGCTCTCCAACTCCTGAGCTCAAGAGATCCTCCTGCCTCAGCCTCCCAAAGTGCTGGGATTCCAGGCATGAGCCACTGCGCCCAGCTCAGTATTATAATTTATTACCCACCATCTCCCTTGCCTCTGCATTTCCTGTAGCATTAGGTGTATGACCTTGCCCTGGTGCTCCTCTCTGTGTCTGAATTTCACATTTGCAAGTTGGGGTGGTGAGGAAGGCCCACCCTCCAGGGTCTGATTATGCGATGACCCAGTTAACAAGGTGGCGATAGTCTCCCCTCCTGCAGAGTCAACAATAAATTGTATCTTTCTCGAGTCTAAGTATTATCAGAGGCTGGACTGGACTTCCTGTGCTGCCCCTCATGTGAAGGTCAAGCCTCCTGGGGCTGCTTCCTTGGACAGCCTCCAGTCCCGCCCTCCCAGGAAGTCTCCTCCTCGCCTCCCATCCTTGACTTTCCCACTCAAGGACTTTGGTGTATTGCTGGTGGGAGGTGGGGTAAGCCATCTTGGCCATGTGGTTGGGACCTCACATTTGCCATGGCCACTAATTTTTTTTTTTTTTTTTTTTTTTTGACAGAGTCTTGCTCTGTCACCCAGGCTGGAGTGCAGTGGTGCCATCTCGGCTCACTGCAACCTCTGCCTCCTGGGTTCAAGCCATTCTCCTGGCTCAGCCGCCCCAGTAGCTGAGATTACAGGTACGTACCACCATGACCAGCTAATTTTTGTATTTTTAGTAGAGACGGGCTTTCACCATGTTAGCCAGGCTGGTCTCGAACTCCTGACCTCGTGACCTGCCCACCTTGGCCTCCCAAAGTGCTGGGATTACAGGCGCGAGCCACCGCGCCCAGCAAATTCTTTTTTTTTAATTTCTTGCCCTGTCATCCAGGCTGGGGTGCAGTGGCATGGCCATGGCTCACTGCAGCCTCGAACTCCTGGGCTCAAGTGATTCTCCCACCTCAGCCTCCCGAGTAGCTGGGACTACAGGCATGCACCAATATGCCTGGGTAATTTTTGTATTTTTTTGTGGAGATGGGGGTCTTGCTATGTTGCCCAGGCTGGTCTCCAACGCCTGAGCTCAAGCAATCCTCCCACCTCAGCCTCCCAAAGTGCTGGGTTTACACATGTGAGCCATCGTGCCCTGCCCAATGACCACTAAATTTGACCAGTGGCTCTCAACAGCGTGTGTGTGAGAGTGTGTGTGTGTGTGTGTGTGTGTGTGTGTGTGTGTCGGGGGGGCGGGGGAGCGGTGATATTGCCTTCCCAGGGAACACTTGGCAATATCTGAAGACATTTTTGGTTGTCGTACCCAGATGGGGGCGGGGATGTGTGTGTGAGACTATGTGTGCACTACTGGCATCTAGTGGGTGGAGGCCAGAGATGCTGCTGAAAGCCCTTCAGTGCACAGGACGGCCCCACCCCAGAGAATGATGCAGGCCCAATGTCAACAGGGTTGAGGCTGAGAAATCCTGTGTTAATTATTTTGGGAAAAAATTTGTGTTAGCCCCTTCGCTCACACTAGATGCCAGAATAAATTCCAGAGGGGCTAGACCTTATATGGGTTTGGTGGGGCGATCCCTTAGCTTCTGTGACTTATATACTCTCTCTCCCTCAACTCAGTTAGTATGTGTGTATGTATGTTTTTATCTTTTTAGCAAGCTATTTTTTTTTTTGAGATGGAGTTTCGCTCTTCTTGCCCAGGCTGGAGTGCAGTGGTGCAATCTCTGCTCATCTCAACCTCCGCCTCTTGGGTTCAAGCGATTCTCCTGCCTCGGCCTCCCGAGTAGCTGGGATTACAGGCATGCACTGCCACGCCCGGCTAATTTTGTATTTTTAGTAGAGACAGGGTTTCTCCATGTTGGTCAGGCTGGTCTTGAACTCCCGACCTCAGGTGATTCCCCTCACCTTGGCCTCCCAAAGTGCTGAGATTACAGGCGTGAGCCACTGCACCCGGCCGCCATTTTTTTTTTTTTTTTTGAGACAGTTTCACCCTGTTGCACAGGCTGGAGTACAGTGGTGTGATCATATCTCACTGCAGCCTTGACCTCCCAGGCTCTGGTGATCCTCCCACGTCAGCCTCCTGAGTAGCTGGGACTACAGGTGGGCACCACCAGGCCTGGCTAATTTTTGCATTTTTTGTAGAGACAGGGTCTCGCTATGTTGCCCAGGCTGGTCTCAAACTCCTGGGCTCAAGTGGTCCTCCTTCCTGTCAGGCCTCTGAGCCCAAGCTAAGCCATTGTAACCCCTATGACCTGCTCGTATACATCCAGATGGCCTGAAGCAACTGAAGATCCACAAAAAAAGTGAAAATAGCCTTAACTGATGACATTCCACCATTGTGATTTGTTGCGGCCCCACCCTAACTGATCAATGTACTTTGTAATCTCCCCCACCCTTAAGAAGGTTCTTTGTAATTCTCCCCACTCTCAAGAATGTACTTTGTGAGATCCACCCCTGCCCCCAACACATTGCTCCTAACTCCACCGCCTCTCCCAAAACCTATAAGAACCAATGATAATCCCACCACCCTTTGCTGACTCCTTTTTCCCACTCAGCCCGCCTGCACCCAGGTGAAATAAACAGCCTTGTTGCTCACACAAAGCCTGTTTGGTGGCCTCTTCACACGGACACGTGAGACACTGCCTTGGCCTTCCAAGGTGCTGGGATTATAGGTGTGAGCCACTGCGCCTGGCCAGCAAATGATTTTTTATTTACTCGCATAGTATAGCTCCAATAGGAAAGTAATTTGGCTTAGCACTCTTTACAGCTCCAGCACAATCTTGAAGGCATCCTAAGGTTTCTCTGACCCACACCTAACAGTGGCTTTAAAAAACGGCCGGCCGCGGTGGCTCACGCCTGTAATCCCAGCACTTTGGGAGGCCGAGTTGGGCAGATCACGAGGTCAGGAGATCGAGACCATCCTGGCTAACACGGTGAAACCCCATCTCTACTAAAAATACAAAAAAAAAAAAATTAGCTGGGTGTGGTGGTGGGCGCCTGTAGTCCCAGCTACTCAGGAGGCTGAGGCAGGAGAATGGCGTGAACCCAGGAGGCGGAGCTTGCAGTGAGCCGAGATTGCGCCACTGCACTCCAGCCTGGGCGACAGAGTGAGACACCATCTCAAAAAAAAAAAAAAAACAAAAACCCTCCAAAACCCCTCCCCACCTATACTTCTTTTTTTTTTGGAGACGGAGTTTTGCTCTTGTCGTCCAGGCTGGAGTGCAGTGGCACGATCTCAACTCACTGCAACCTCTAACTCCGGGGTTCAAGTGATTCTCCTGCCTCAGCCTCCTGAGTAGCTGAGATTACAGGTGTGCACCACCACCCTCAGCAAATTTTTGTATTATTGGTAGGGACAGGGTTTCACCATGTTGGCCAGGCTGATCGCAAGCTCCTGACCTCAGGTGATCCACTCGCCTCGGCCTCCCAAAGTGTTGGGATTACAGGCGTGAGCCACCACGCCTGGCCCCTATGCTTCTTTTTTCTTTTTTATTTTTTTGAGACGGAGTTTCGCTCTTGTTGCCCAGGCTGGAGTGTAATGGTGCGATCTCCGGCTCACCGCAACCTCTGCCTCCCAGGTTCAAGGGATTCTCTTGCCTCAGCCTCCTGAGTAGCTGGGATTACAGGCATGTGCCAACACACCTGGCTAATTTTGTATTTTTAGTAGAGACGGGGTTTCTCCATGTTGGTCAGGGTGGTCTCGAACTCCCAACCTCAGGTGATCCACTAGCCTCAGCCTCCCAGAGTGCTGGGATTTCAGGCGTGAGCCACCGCACCCGGCCGCGGCCCCTGTGCTTCTTATCTTGCTCACGAATATCTGAAAGTTTGAAGATTCTTCCAGCTTTAAAAGCAGTTATGTGGGCTGGGCGTGGTGGCTCATGCCTGTAATCCCAGCACTTTGGGAGGTTGAGGCAGGTAGATCACTGAAGACCAGGTGTTTAAGGCTGCCCTGGCCAACATGGCGAAACCCCTGTCTTTACTAAAAATACAAAAAGTAGCTGGGCATGATGGTGCGCACACTTGCAGTCCCAGCTACTCAGGAGGCTGAGGCATGAGAATCACTTGAACCCAGAAGGCAGAGGTTACAGTGAGCTGAGATTGTACCACTGCACTCCAGCCTGGGTGACAGAGAGACCCTCTCTCCAAAAAGAAAAAAAAAAATTGATCTCTCTTTCTGAGGTCCATAAAACCAGGAAAAGGCCTGCCTCCTTGTTGGTGTGATCTGCCTGTCATCTGGGGCTGGGGCAACGTTTCCACCCTCTCTGTGAGCCTCGAGAAATTGTTGACATACACCCCAGCTCCTCATCCTCCCCGAGGGGACAGAGAGGGCCCACTCTGCCTATTATTAATAATAATAGTGCTGTGTAGACCAGATCTATGGCCAGATCTTGTTTTCAAGTGCTTGCTGTGTCAGCTTGTGTGTGTGTGTGTGTGTATATATATGTGTGTGTGTATATATATATGTGTGTATATATATATGTGTGTGTATATATATATAATTATTTTTTTAGGTGGAGTCTCACTCTGTCTCCCAGGCTGCAGTGCAGTGGCCCTATCTCAGCTTATTGCAACCTCCACCTTGGCCTCCCAGTGCTGGGATTACAGGCATGAGCCACTGCACCTGGCCTTGTTTATATTTTACTTATTTATTTACTTTTTGAGACAGAGTCTCACTGTGTCACCCAGGCTGGAGTGCAGTGGCCTGATCTCGGCTCATCACAACCTCCACCTCCCGGGTTCAAGTGGTTCTCCTGCCTCAGCCTCCTGAGTAGCTGGAACTACAGGCGCCCACCACCACGCCCGGCTAATTTTTGTATTCTTAGTAGAGATGGGGCTTCGCCATGTTGGCCAGGCTGGTCTGCCAATGTGCTGGGATTACAAGCGTGAGCCATGGCACCTGGCCAGCTTGTTTATATTTTTAGCTGATGAAACCACAACCTAGGAGGTAGTTGCTGTTCTATGCCTATTCTACAGATGAGAAAATGGAGGCCTAAGGAAGTTGAGTATCTCACCTGACTGTCCCATACTGTTGAGGCTGGGAATAGAGTCAAAAGAGCCCCGCATTCCAGGTCCAAAGACCCTGCTCTTTATCGCTACAGGATGTTGGAGTTACTTTGTTATTTGACTTTTTTTGTTTTGTTTTTTGTTTTGAGGCAGAGTCTTGCTCTGTCACCCAGGCTGGAGTGCAGTGGCATGATCTTGGCTCACTACAACCTCTGCCTCTGGGTTCAAGTGATTCTCCTGCCTCAGCCTCCTGAGTACCTGGGATTACAGATGCACACTACCACACCCGGCTCATTTTTGTACTTTTAGTAGAGACGGGGTTTCACCATGTTGGCCATCACACCAGGCTAGTCTCAAACTCCTCACCTCAGGTGATCTGCCCACCTTGGCCTCCCAAATTACTGGGATTACAGACGTGAGCCACCATGCCCATCCAGTTATTTGATCTTAAAAAAAAAAAAGAGGCGGGGTACAGTGGCTCATGCCTGTAATCCAAGCACTTCGGGAGGCCAAGGTACGTGGATTGCTTGAGCCCAGGAGTTTGAGACCAGCCTGCCCAACATGGTGAAACCCCGTCTGTACTGAAAATACAAGAATTAGCCGGGCATGATGGCAGGTGCCTGTAATCCTAGCTACTAGGGAGGCTGAGGCAGGAGAATTGCTTTAACCCGTGAGGCGGAGGTTGCAGTGAGCTGAGATTGCGCCACTGCACTCCAGTCTGGGTGTCAGAGCGAGACTCTGTGTCAAAAGAAAAAAAAAACAAAAAAACCCAAAAGGCTGGCAATCCAGTGAGTTGTCTTTCAGGAGGAAAATGTTGCTGGTGTTGAGGCAGCCGTGTGACTGTCACGTGCTCCGTGGCCTGGGCCTCTCCGTGTCATGTGTCTGCCCACCACGGTGCCCGGTGTTCCCGGCTGGCTCTGATGTGTGCTGTCAGCTTCCAGCATCGGAATGTATGCTGTCTTTGTGTACTTGGCCTGTGGGTCACTGGCCCTTTTCCCAAGGTCCTTGCCACCCCTTCTCCCCGGCCCCTCCTTCCACCTCCCCACCCAGACGGTAGAGTCTGATTTCCTTTTCCTCTGCCAGGGTGGAGCCCAGCCCTGGGCATTGACACAGCCAGCATGGGCCCTCTCCAGCTAGAGGCAGCGGGAGACAGAGGGTTGGAACGGTTACTGTTCTGAGACAGGGATGCTGAATGAGTCTTAAGAGAAGCCCTCCCAACTCCAGGGACACACACAAGCTCTGTGGAAGCCGTGCCTGGCACTGTTGGGACCAATTATGGGGTGGGGGGTGCTGGAAGGGGTGGGGAGGGGGACAATGGAGCATTCTCTGGCCTTGCTGGGCCTACTGCCACCAGATACCCCATGCAGTACATCCCGAAGAAGGCATGTTCAGAATAGAAGGATTTCCTAGTGGCTCACACGGGTAATCACTTTAAGAGGCCAAGCAGGGAAGATCGCTTGAGGCCAGGAGTTCAAGACCAGCCTGGGCAACAAAGTGAGACTCTGTCCCTAATTTAAAATAATTAAGTAAATAAACTAGAAGGATTTCCTGAGCCAGGTGTGTTGGCTTATGTCTGTAATCCCAGCACTTTGGGAGACTGAGGCAGGAGGATCACTTGAGGCCAGGAATTCAAGACCAGCCTGGGCAACAAAGCCAGATACCATCTCTATTAAAACAAACAAACAAACAAACAACAACAACAAAAAAAAAACCATAAAAAAATAGGGCCAGGTGCCGTGGCTCACACCTGTAATCCCAGCACTTTGGGAGGGCGAAGTGGGCGGATCACCTGAGGTCAGGAGTTCGAGACCAGCTTGGCCAACACAGTGAAACCCCGTCTCTACTAAAAATGCAAAAAATTAGCTGGGCATGGTGGCAGGCACCTGTAGTCCCAGGTACTTGGGAGGCTGAGGCTTGAGAATCACTTGGACCTGGGCAGGGGAAGTTGTAGTGAGCCAAGATTGCACCACTGCACTCCAGCTTGGGAGACAGAGCAAGACTCCATCTCAAAAGAAAAAGAAAAAGAAAAGAAATAATAATAGAAGGATTTCCTGGGAGATGGGGAGGGAGGAGTGTTGACATCAGCTAGGGCTGGGGCTGGAATGGGGAGGGGACACTTTCTGAACTCCTCTTCCCTACCCACCCCATTGCCTAGCAGTGAGGACCTCGTCTGGGCACCCGGTGCAGGTGTAGCTGGTGTGCAGTTGCTCTCACAGTTTAAGGAGGCCGGATGTGGCAGGCACATGGTCAGAAAGTGGGGCTGCAGGCTATCCATGGTCATCTTGGAGATTCTGGTCAGGGAGGAGCTGACCATGTCACCAGAGATGAAGGTGCCCCGCTGCTCGTAAACCATGACCCTGTAGATTTTACCGTTGAAGGCCAGCAAGCTCGGCTGCAGGTTCTGATTGTGAAAGAAAAATCAATCTTGGGGCTCCTAAATCACTAAACTAAAGGAAAAAGTCAAGCTGGCAACTGCTTAGGGCAAACCTGCCTCCCATTCTATTCAAAGTCACCCCTCTGGCCAGGCAGCGTGGTGGCTCATGCCTATAATCCCAGCACTTTGGGAGGCTGAGGCTGGTGGTTAGCCGGGCCTGGTGGTGCATGCCTGTAATCTCAGCTACTTGGGAGGCTGAGGCAGGAGAATCACTTGAACCCGGGTGGTGGAGGTTGCAGTGAGCCAAGATCATGCCATTACACTCCAGCCTGGGTGACAAGAGGGAAAGTCCCTCTCAAAAAACAAAAAACAAGGGCCGGGCGCGGTGGCTCATGCCTATAATCCTAGCACTTTGGGAGGCCGAGGTGGGCGGATCATGAGGTCAGGAGATTGAGATCATCTTGGCCAACATGGTGAAACCCCGTCTCTACTAAAAATACAAAAAAATTAGCCAGGCGTGGTGGCAGGCGCCTGTAGTCCCAGCTACTTGGGAGGCTGAGGCAAGAGAATGGCGTGAACCCAGAAGGCGGAGCTTGCAGTGAGCAGAGATCACGCCACTGCACTCCAGCCTGGGCTACAGAGTAAGACTCCGTCTCAAAAAAAAAAAAAAAAACCCCACAAAAAACAAAAAACAACAAGAACAAAGTCCCCACCTGCTCACTGAGATACCTGCATATCTGATTGGCCTCTTTGGAGAGGCTAATCAGAAACTCAAAAGAATTCAAGCATTTGTCTCTTATCTACCTATGACCTGGAAGACCCTTCCCTGTTTCCAGTTGTCCCTCCTTTCCAGACCGAACCAATGTTCATCTTGCATATGTTGATCTCATGTCTCCCTAAAATGTATAAAACCAAGCTGTGCTCTGACCACCCTTGGGCACATGTCATCAGGATCTCCTGAGACTGTGTCACATATACGTGTTCTCAACCTTGGCAAAATAAACTTTCTAAATTAACTGATGGCCGGGCACAGTGGCTCACGCCTGTAATCCCAGCACTTTGGGAGGCTGAGGCGGGTGAATCACCTGAGGTCAGGGGTTAGAGACCAGCCTGGCCAACATGGCGAAACCTCATCTCTACTAAAAATACAAAAATTAGCCAGGTGTGGTGGCACATGCCTGTAATCCCATCTACTCAGGAGGCTGAGGCAGGAGAATTGCTTGAATTCAAGAGGCGGAGGTTGCAGTGAGCTGAGATCGCACCACTGCACTCTAGCCTGGGGAATAGAGTGAGACTCCGTCTCAAAAAAAAAAGAAAAGTAAAAAATAAAAAACTAAATTCACTGAGACCCGCCTCTGATATTTGGGGTTCACATGGACATGAATCATCTCTCCCAGGCTGATCTGCAGGGCTCTGTAACTGCCCAGTGGGTTCACTTTGTCCCCTGCCCAGATAGAATGGATGTATCAAGACAGGAGAATTGCAACAAAGAGTTTAATTCATGCAGAGCTGGATGAACGGGAGACTGGAGTTTTATTTTAATTAATTAATTAATTAATGTATTTATCCATCTATCTTGAGTTAAGTTCTTGCTCTGTTGCCCAGGCTGGAGTGCAGTGGCAGGATGATAAGTTACTGCAGACTCCAACTCCCTGGCTCAAGTGATCCTCCCACCTCAGCCTCCTAGGTAGCGTGTGTGGCTTATGTCTGTGGTCCCGCTACTCTGGAGGCTGAGGCATGAGAATCACTTGAACCCAGGAGGTGGAGGTTGCAGCGAGCCGAGATTGTGCTACTGCACTCCAGCCTGAGTGAGACTCCTTTTTTTTTTTTTAAATAAAAAAAAGAGAGAGAGAGAGAGCAGATGGGTGCAGTGGCTCACGCCTGTAATCCCAGCACTTTGGGAGGCCGAGGTGGGCGGTTCAGAAGGTCAGGAGATCGAGACCATCCTAGCTAACACGGTGAAACCCCCTCTCTACTAAAAATAAAAATACAAAAAAAAAAAAAAAATTAGCCGGGCATGGCGGCATGCGCCTGTAGTCCCAGCTGCTGGGGAGGCCGAGGCAGGAGAATGGCATGAACCCGGGAGGCGGAGCTGGCAGTGAGCCCAGATGGCACCACTGCACTCCAGCCTGGGTGATAGAGAGAGATTCCGTCTCAAAAAAAAAAAAAAAAAAAGACACACACACACACACACACACACACACACACACACACACACACACACAATGAGATACACACAGATACATAGCCCTAGAATCAGACCCCAGGACAGACATAGCCAGACTATTTTCATTTTTTTATTTTTTTAGTATTTATTGATCATTTTTGGGTGTTTCTCGGAGAGGGGGATTTGGCAGGGTCATAGGACAATAGTGGAGGGAAGGTCAGCAGATAAACATGTGAACAAAGGTCTCTGGTTTTCCTAGGCAGAGGACCCTGCGGCCTTCCGCAGTGTTTGTGTCCCTGGGTATTTGAGATTAGGGAGTGGTGACGACTCTTAAGGAGCATGCTGCCTTCAAGCATCTGTTTAACAAAGCACATCTTGCACCGCCCTTAATCCATTTAACCCTGAGTGGACACAGCACATGTTTCAGAGAGCACGGGGTTGGGGGTAAGGTTATAGATTAACAGCATCCCAAGGCAGAAAAATTTTTCTTAGTACAGAACAAAATGGAGTCTCCTAAGACATAGCCAGACTATTATACATGGTTATAAACACAACACACGTCGGGCGTGGTGGCTCACGACTGTAATCCCAGCACTTTGGGAGGCCAAGGTGAGTGGATCACCTGAGGTCAGGAGTTCGAGACCAGCCTGGCCAACATGGTGAAACCCTGTCTCTACTAAAAATACAAAAATTAGCCGGGGGTGGTGGTGTGCGCCTGTGATCCCAGCTACTCGGGAGGCGGAGGCAGGAGAATCACTTAAACCCAGGAAGCGGAGGTTGCAGTGAGCCAAGATTGTGCCATTGCACTCCAGCCTGGGTGACAGAGCAAGACTCTGTCTCCATAAAAAACCCCAAAAAACAAAAAACACAATACAGACTTGGGTACACACATACTACATACATGCAATCAAACATACACAGAGATATGCAATGTATCTGCACAGCCCTACAGACAGACCTGGAGACACAACTCAAAAAAAAAAAAAAAAAAAAAAGCCAGCGCACAGACCCAGGGAGCTGACAACACACGGGCATACACGCTGGGTGCTTTGGACACAAAAGCCACACCGTAGGGAGTTTTTTCTCTCATTCACTCAAACACACATTGACCCAGACGCCCCCACACAAGGACACACACGGATGGACATACACACGACCGCAGTCCACAAGCCAGGGCAGACTGCCATCCCCCAAGTCCAGCGACCCTCAGATAAAGACAGACAAGCAGACTGACCCCAACATAGTCCCTTGAATTTCAGGCTGGGGGTGCTCAAGGCTGGTATGGAGGGGCTCACCCAGCATCAGATAGAAAAAGTCAGAAGCATCCAACATTTTTTTTTTGAGACAGAGTCTCGCTCTGTTGCCCAGGCTGGAATGCAGTGGCACCATCTCGGCTCACTGCAACCTCCACCTCCTGCGTTCAAGCAATTCTCCTGCCTCCAGAGTAGTTGGGATTACAGGTGCTGGCCACCATGCCTGACTAATTTTTTCACATTTTTAGTACAGACGAGGTTTTACCATGTTGGCCAGGCTGGTCTCGAACTCCTGACCTCAGGCGATCTGCCTGCCTCAGCCTCCCAGAATGCTGGGATTACAGGTGTGAGCCACTGCGCCCGGCCTTTTTTCTTTTTTTTTTTGAGATGGATTTTCACTTTTGCTGCCCAGGCTGGTGTACAATGGCGTGATCTTGGCTCACTGCAACCTCTGCCTCCCGGGTTCAAGCGATTCTTCTGCCTCAGCCTCCTGAGTAGCTGGGATTACAGGCATGTGCCACCACGGCCAGCTAACTTTTTTGTAGTTCTAGTAGAGACAGTTTTCACCACGTTAGCCAGGCTGGTCTGGAACTCCTGACCTCAGGTGATCCACCCGCCTCGGCCTCCAAAAGTGCTTGGATTACAGGCGTGAGCCACTGTGTCCAGCCGCATCCAACATCTTGGTGGTGCCGGAGTTCTGGTGACAGTGGAGTGGCTGGGGGGCATCCTGTGCCAGTCCCCAGGCCACTGGTGCTGAGAAAGGATTCCTGCTGGGGTGGGGCCATCACCCCACGTGGTGACCTTTTCCACGTCAGGGGAGCAGAGGGCTTTGGGATGGGTTCACCCACTCAGACCAGGCCTCATGGAGGAAGGGTGGGGTGGAGAAACCAAGGCCTCCGTAGCTCCTGTTAGTGATTTAAGACACAGCCCCCACCCCACACCAGGGGCGTGGCAGGTCTGGGGTGGGGTCTTGGTGGATGTACATGCGGATTATGGGTGAGGGCAGAGCCTGCATGTTTGGAGGGCAGAACGAATGGGGCAAGGCCTAAAGGAATCAAAGGGCGGCTGCAAGTCCCAGCGAAATTGGTGAGGGATGAGCATGGCTTGAAAACCTGGAGTGGGAAGAGGGTGCAGGACTCCGGAAGGGCAGAACCCAGAAAAGGGGCTAGGGGTTGAGACAGGACAAACCCTCAAAGGGGGAGAGGTGCCGAGCCTGAGGAGAGGGTGGTATGGACTAAGAAAAGCAGAAAAGTGCCAGGCGCGGTGGCTCACACCTGTAATCCCACAACTTTGGGAGGCCAAGGTGAGTGAATCACCTGAGGTCAGGAGTTCGAGACCAGCCTGACCAACATGGTGAAACCCTGTCCTTACTAATAATACAATAAAAAAAAAAAATTAGACGGGCGTGGTGGTGCATGTCTGTAATCCCAGCTACTCGGGAGCCTGAGGCAGGAGGATCACTTGAACCCGGGAGTCGGAGGTTGCAGTGAGCCGAGATCGCACCATTGCACTGCAGCCTGGACGACAAGAGCAAAACTCCGTCTCCAAAAAAAAAAAAAAAAAAAAAAGCAGAAAACAGAGTGGGGCACGAAGAGTCTCCAGGCCCTATTCCCAGGTCACTAATGATTGGGAAATGGGCGGGGCCTGGGAGAATGACAGGGAGGTGTGAGGGACTGAGGAGTGGGCAGGGTCTGGGAGGCTGATAACAGGGGAAGTGGGCGGGGCCTGGAGATAATATTGGGAGGAACTGTGGCGTGGGAAGGGCCTGGAGCGGACAGCAGGGGAAGTGGGCGGGGCCTGGGGAGAATGACAGGGAAGTGGGAGGGACTAAGGAGTTAGCAAGGGCTGGGAGACAAATAACTATGAAGTGGGCGGAGTCTAGGGAGAATGACCGTGGGGTAGGGGAACTGAGGAGTGGGCTGGGCCTGGGAGTCTGCTGGGGAAGCGGACGGTCCTCGAGAGAATGACAGGAAAGTGGGAAGGACTGAGGAGTGGGCAGAGCCTGAGAGGCAAACGGATGGGTACGAGGGCGGGGCCTGGGGAGAAGCTAGGGAGGTGGGAGGCGGATGACAGCGGAATGGGGCTTCGGTAGACTGACAGGATCAGTCGTGGAAGGGGCGGGCCCATCTTTCTCTTGAACCCGCGAGCCAAAGCCACGTTGGTGCTGGTGATCATCCAGGCTGAGCGCTGGGCATTCCCAGTCTCGGGCGATTTCTTGGCGTTACTTCCAGGCTGAGAGCCATGACTAGGCGAGCTTCGGCCGTGGGACCGAAGACCTCCCACCCTCAGCACTCTAACCTCCCCGACCCTGCCCTCGCTGTGCCTCGTTGGGAATCCGCCTCCGGGGTCTTCCGCGGTCCAGGAGCCGCACCTGCCGGGTGGAGACGCGGGGCTGGCTGGGGTGCGGGAGTAGGAGGTCTTCGGTCCAACCGCCTCCAACCCATTCCTGCTTCCGACGTTCTGTTCCCGCGCTTAATGCCCTGCCCGATCCAGTTCCGGCCTCCCATCTCCCCTTCCCGCGTCTCCACGCTCTTTCCTTCCCCGGTTCTGCCGTGAATGCTCCCAAGTCCTAGAGCACCGGAACTCCCCGCGCGCCTTGGCTCCTGGGCCCCAGCTCCGTGCAGTCCTGGACTGGGGCTCCAGGTCCACCAGGGGGCGCCCGCTGCCCAAGCTGGGTATCGCTGCGGAGAAAAGGGGCCCAGAGTGATTGTTCCTCAGGGGAGGGAGGGGGAGGTCCCCAGAGGGAAGGGCCTGAGTTTCCTCTTGGGGGATGGATCCTAGGTGGTCTGAGGGGTGAGTCCTGGGTTCCCTGGCGGGAGTGGATCTTGGGTGGTCCTCTGTGGGTACAGGGTGGAACTTGGGTGTTCTGAGGGGTAGTCCCTGGGGACTCCTCTGGGAGCGGGGCAGACCTTGGATGGTCGTAGGATTGGACCTGGACCTCTGTGTGTGTGATTGTGCATGCCCATAACGTGTGTTCTTGCGTTATGTCTATGACTAGCCATGGTGCCTGCCATGTATGTGTATCTACGATTGTGTCTTTGGGTGTCTGTCTCAGTGTGTAACCGTGTACGTGTGTGTTGTGTACCTCCATGTCTGTTTTGGTATGTGTGTGATGGTGTGTCTGTGTTGGTGTGTTCTAGTCTCGGTGTGTTTGGTTATATGCCCTGAATATATGTCTCTTGTGTCCTTGTGTGTGTCTGTTGCTAGCTTTTTTTTTTTTTTTGAGGCAGAATCTTACTCTGTCATCCAGGCTGGAGTACAGCGGCGCCATCTTGGCTCACTGCAACCTCTGCCTCCCGGGTTCAAGCGAGTCTCCCATCTCAGCCTCCTTAGTAGCTGGGACTACAGGCACTCACCACCACGCCCGGCTATTTTTTTTTTTTTTTTTTTTTTGTATTTTTGGTAGAGACAGGGTTTCACCATGTTGGCCAGGTTGGTCTCGGACTCCTGACCTCAAGTGATCTGACTGCCTTGGCATCCCAAGGTGCTGGGATTACAGGCGTGAGACACTGCACCCGGTCTGTGGCTAGCTTTGATGGTTGTTGTGTATCTATGATTGTGTGTCCAGGTGTGTGTGTGTGTGTGTGATTGTGTGTATGTCTGCATGGTGTGTCTGTATGTCTGTCTTGTTTTGTGTGATTGTATATGTCCAGAATGGGTGTGCCCTTTGTGTTCTGGTGTCTGTGTGTGTCTACTTGTGTCCCTCCCCCAGGGGAGTTGGAAAGTCCTTTCCAGGTAGTTACCCTGCTGGGATTCCCTTTCCAAAGCGGGTTGACTTCCCAGCACCGTGAGCTGCCTCTTCATGCTCTTGGAAGGGGTCGCTGGGTCTGCCCCAAGTCTGCCTGGGTCTTCCCCAACCCTGACTCCTCCTTCCACTGCCCTCAACAGGGAAACACCATTTCCTGCCTTTGATGTCACTAGGTACAAAAAGTTTCCTTCCTCCAAGTGGCTCTGGCCACTGGTTTCTTTCTGCGTGTGTGAAAGCTGGCCACGATTCTGTGCTTAATGTTAAAACAAAAAGAATAAAACAAAGCAAACAAAACGAACCCATGGAAAATGCAAGCATGCAAAATCATACACCATGAAACATCCACATCTTCTCACCCCAATACCCTCAATTTTTGCACATCTTTCTGAAATGTTTTATACAAACCTATTTCTGCTCTGAAACCCAAAGCGTGCATTCTGCACATAGCAGCCTGCACCTTGCTTTCGTTTCTTTTTTTCCTCACTTGGTTATTCTTTTAAAGGTTTTTTTTTGTTCCCCCGAGACAGAATCTCACTCTGTTGCCTAGGCTGGAGTGCAGTGGCATGATGATCTCGGCTCACTGCAGCCTCTGCCTCCTGGGTTCAAGTGATTCTCCTGCCTCAGCCTCCTGAGTAGCTGGGATTACAGGCATGCGCCACCACACCTGACTAATTTTTGTATTTTTAGTCGAGATGGGGTTTCCCCATGTTGGCCAGGCTGGTTTCGAACTCCTGACCTCGTGATCCACCTGCCTGGACCTCCCAAAGTGCAGGGATTACAGGCGTGAGCCACCATGCCCAGCCTCTTTTTTTTTTTTTTTTTTTTTGAGATGGAGTCTCACTCTGTTGTCAGGCTGGAGGGCAGTGGTGTGATCTCGGCTCACTGCAACCTCCACCTCCCCGGTTTAAGCGATTCTCCTGCCGCAGCCTCCCGAGTAGCTGGGACTACAGGGGCCCGACACCACGCCCAGCTAATTTTTGTATTTTTAGTGGAGACGGGGTTTCATTATGTTGGCCAGGATGGTCTCGATCTCTTGACTTCGTATCTGCCCGCCCCCGCCTCCCAAAGTGCTGGGATTACAGGTGTGAAGCACCGCACCCGGCCGCCTAGCCCCCTTTAAAGGTTTTGTAAACCATCTGCCCAAAAAAGCAATTACATAGAATAATCACGCCAAATTTTCAACCTAAAGTTCAAACAGGACAGAGACTCAACCTGATGGGTAAGGCCCATTTCACACTAAAAACCTTAATCTTTGAAAGAGTAGAGGAGGCAAAGTCTGAGTGCCTTGTTCTCTTAGCCCTTGGAGATCTCTGTCAAGAGATGACTCAGACATGTTTTTAATTTTTAAACCGATTCTGTGAGTAATAACCTGGCAGTTTTCCTTCTGATGACCAATGCAGTTATTTTCATCTTCAACAATTTTGCACCACATATTCCTGCCTGCCCCTTGTTTTTATTTATTTATTTTTGTTTTTTTGTTTATTTTGTTTTGTTTTGAGACTGAGTCTCTCTCTGTCACCCAGGCTGGAGTGCAGTGGCATGATCTCAGCTCACTGCAACCTCTGCCTCCCGGGTTCAAGCGATTCTCGTGCCTCAGCCTTCCGTGTAGCTGGGATTACAGGCGCCCACCACCATGCCCAGCTAATTTTTGTTGTATTTTTAGTAGAGACAAGGTTTCACCATGTTAGCCAGGCTGGCATGACCCACTGCACCTGGCCTTTTTTTTTTTTAGACAAGTCTTGCCCTGTCACCCAGGCTGGAGTGCAATGGCGTGACCTCAGCTCACTGCAACTTCCACCTTCCGGGTTTAAGGGATTCTCCTGCCTCAGACTCCCGAGTAACTGGCATTACAGGTGTGGACCACCACGCCTGGCTAATTTTTGTATTTTTAGTAGAGACGGGGTCTCACTATATTGCCCAGGCTAGTTTTGAACTCCTGAGCTCAAGTGATTCGCCCCCCTCAGCCTCCCAAAGTGCTGGGATTACAGGTGTGAGCCCCCGGCCATGCCTTCCTTTTTGCCCAAACAAGATCAACCCATGTACACAGTCACGTGGAGGCACCACACTCTCAGCCCACTGGCAGCAATGATGGCTGGTCCTATTGAGCACCTGCTGTATGCCAGGCACTATTCTGGCTCCCTGATTCTGGACAACAGTCCCACAAGGTGGTCACTGGTGTTAGTCTCATTTCATATACGGGGAAACTGAGGCACAGAGAGATGGAGAGATTTCAAGGTCATGTAGCCAGCAGAGGCAGAGCTGGGATTTGAAGCCAAGTGAGTCAAATCCTATGCTCTGGTGCTGCTCAACTGGAAACACATCGATGCCCGCATGCATCCTCCTGAGTACACAGTATCACATCAGAGACACTCAGTCCCAGAGTAGCAGGATGTGTGCCTCAACTTCACAAAGCTCACTTGCTGTGCACAATCATACCTTGCAAGCTGGGAGTGGTGGTTCCTGCCTCTAATCCCAGCACCCTGGGAGGCTGAGACGGGAGGATCTCTTGAGGAAATGCTGTGGTCGTTTCCTCAACTTCAGGAGTTCCAGACCAGTCTAAGCGAGAATGTACCTTGCAACTCTTTTTTTTTTTTTTTTTTTTTTGAGACGGAGTTTTGCTCTGATGCCCAGGCTGGAGTGCAGTGGCACAATCTCGGCTCACTGCAACCTCTGCCTCGTGGGTTCAAGTGATTCACCTGCCTCAGCCTCCCAAGTAGCTGGGATGACAGGCGCCCGCCACTGCGCCCAGCTAATTTTTTTGTATTTTTAGTAGAGACGGGGGTTTCACCATGTTGGCCAGGCCAGTCTCGAACTCCTGACCTCAGGTGATCTGCCTGCCTAGGCCTCCCAAAGTGCTGGGATTACAGGCGTGAGCCACCATGCCTGGCCTGTACCTTGCAACTCTTACACAAAACCCCAGGTGCACACACTCGGGTGCCAGTCTGTGTTTTCCAGAGACCTGGATGTAGCTTTTCCAGCTACTCGACTCATTTGGATGATGTAATTCCCCTCTCTGTGTCTCTTTTCTCCTCAACATGTGTAAACACTCCTTTATGGCTCTAGATCAATCTCAGGCTGGGTGTTCATGCCTGTAATCCCAGCATTTTTGGGAGGCCAAGGCAGGAGGATCACTTGAGTTCAGGAGTTGGAGACCAGCCTGGGGAATATAGCGAGACCCCGTCTTTAAAAAAAAAAAAAAAAAAAAAAAAAAAAAGGCCTGGTGCTGTGGCTCATGCCTGTAATCCCAGCACTTTGGGAGGCCGAGGCGGGAAGATCACGAGGTCAGGAGACCAGCCTGGCTAACATAGTGGATCCCTGTCTCTACTAAAAATACAAAAAATTAGCTGGGCGTGGTGGTGGGTGCCTGTAATCCCAGCTGCTTGGGAGGCTGAGGCAGGAGAATCGTTTGAAGCTGGGAGGCGGAGGTTGCAGCGAGTTGAGATCACGCCACTGCACTCCAGCCCGGGCGACAGTGCGAGACTCCATCTCAAAAAAAAAAAAAAAAAAAAAAAAATAGCAGGGTATGGTAGTGTGCACCTGTAGTCCCAGCTATTAATACATGGGAGGCTGGGGCAGGAGGATTGGTTGAGCCCAGGAGTTCCAGACCAGCCTGGGCAACATAGTGAGACCCCATCTCTACAAGAAATAATAATAAGAATAATAAAATAGCTGAGTGTGGTGGCACGTGCCTGTAGTCCCAGCTACTCAGGAGACTGAGGTGGGAGGATCACTTGAGCCTGGGAGTTCAAGGCTGCAGTGAGTCATGATTATGCCACTGTACTCCAGCCTGGCCAATAGAGCGAGACCGTGTCTCAAAAAACAATAAGATGCACTTCACTCCACACTTTCCTTTCCTCTTTTCTTCAGTTCCATCTGGCCCCTAGCTCACTCCGTAGCTGTCTGACTCATGCAAATTGCTCCGCTCACACCACTAATGCTCTGTTAGGCTTCACTCTGCCCTGGGGTAGATAGAGGACCCAGGCCAGGTAAAAGTTAACCCTCGAAGAGGTCACTGGCTACATGATGGGAGACACACTACAAGGACCCTGAGAGGAGAAGATTGTTGCTGGGAAACAATCAAGGTGGACTTCCTGGGGGAGGAGTCTGTTCACTCAACCTCAGAGGCAGAAGAAGGAGGGCCCCCCTGGCACAGCCTGGGGTGCTGTCCCTTCCAACTACTTCCTGTGCAATCCCTCCCTCAAGGCCTGTGATGGTGAGGGTGGAGAGTGAGGCCCTTCCCCAGTGGGTGAGGAAAACCAGGGCCCACGCTTACTTCGAGGAGACAGCTGAGCACAGAGGTGTGACTCCAGCAAACGTGAGGTGCTAAGAGGGTGACGTTGAGTGCTCCACGGTGGGCGGGGCCGCCTGGCTCAGATGTCCCGACCACAGTGCGTCACGGCGCTCCCTGACTGCGGCCTGAGTCTTCCCCAGGCGTTGAGGTCTTGTTTCCCTTCCCTGGGGGGCATGTTCAGAGCTCCGCCAAGCCCCCCAGCACAGATAGGAGTTCAGACCAGTCACAGTGAGACCTTGGCCAAGAGACCTCACTTTCTGGAGTTTTAATTTCTGTGCCCACGTTTTAGGGATGATGTTGTACCACAGAGCTGTAGAGAAACGTCAGTGACCATCACAATGACAGGTTGCCTTTATTGAACATTTACTATGTGCTCGGCACGGTGCTCAGAGCAAGCTTTCCACTATTCTTTGAGATCCACTATGATTCCCATTTAACACATCTGAACAATGAGCTGAATCAGAGAAGTGAAGCAGCTTGCCCAAGATCACACAGCAAAAACTCCCACTCTTTCTCTCTCTTTTTTTTTTCTTTTTTTTTTTTGAGACAGAGTCTTGCTCTGTTGTCCAGGCTGGAGTGCAGTGGCACAATCCCCACTCACTGCAACCTCTGCCTCCCGCATTCAAGCGATTCTCCTGCCTCAGCCCCCCAAGTAACTGGGATTACAGGCATGTGCCACCATGCCCAACTAATTTTTTGTATTTTTAGTAGAGACGGGATTTCACCATGTTAATCAGGCTGGTCTCGAACTCCCGATCTCAGGTGATCCACCTGCCTCAGCCTCCCAAAGTGCTGGGATTACAGGCATGAGCCACCATGCCCAGCCTGTCTTTCTTTTTTTATTTTTGTTTTTATTTTAAAGACAAGGTCTTGCTCTTTTTTGCCCAGGCTGGAGTGCAGTGGTATGACCACAGCTCACTGGAACCTCTGCCTCCCCAGGTCAAGCGATCCTCCCACCTCAGCCTCTCTGAGTAGCTGGGACCACAGGTGTGTGCCATGACACCTGGCTAATTACTTTTCTTTTTTTTTTTTTGAGATGGAGTCTTGCTCTGTTGCCCAGGCTGGAGTGCAGTGGCGTGATCTTGGCTCACCACAACCTCTGCCTCCCGGGTTCAGGAGATTCTCCTGCCTTAGTCCGCCAAGTAGCTGGGACTACAGGTGTGTGCCACCATGCCTGGCTGATTTTTGTGTTTTTAGTAGAGATGGGGTTTCAGTATGTTGGCCCGGCCTTGTTTTTTTTTTCTTGTAGAGATGGGATCTTGCTATACTGCCCAGGCTGGTCTTGAACTCCTGGGTTCAAGCGATCCTCCTACCTTGGATTCCCAAAGTGTTCGGATTACAGGCATGAGCCACTGTGCCCATCCCACACAGCCAGAACTCTGAAGAGCTGGAATTGAAGACTCCACAGGCAGCAAACATTTTTCTGAAAAGGACCAGACAGTAAATATTTTGGGCTTTGTGAGCTAGTCAGTCCCTTTTCACAACTCTTCAACTCCACCATAGTGTCAGGAAAGCCACCATAGACAATACGGAATGAAGGGAGGATCACTTGAGCCTGGGAGTTCGAATGAATGAAGGCCAGGTGCGGTGGCTCAGGCCTGTAATCCCAGCACTTTGGGAGGCCAAAGAGGTGGATCAGGAGGTCAGGAGATCAAAACCGGCCTGGCCAAGACGGTGTAAACCCTGTCTCTACTAAAAACATAAAAATTAGGCATGGATGCGGGTGCCTGTAATGCCAGCTACTCAGGAGGCTAAGGCAGAGAATTGCTTGAACCTGGGAGGCAGAGTTTTCAGTGAGCCGAGATCATGCCATGGCACTCCAGCCTGGGCGACAGGGCGAGACTCCATCTCAAAACAAAAACAAAAACAAAAACAAAACCAGAAAAGACAATATGGAATGAATGAGTGTGGCTGTGTGCCAGGCACACTTTATTTATGGACAGTAAATGGGAAAGTCATATCATTTGCACATGTCAGGAAATGTTATTTTTCTTTTGACATTTTTCCAGACATTCAAAAACAAAAACAATTAAGTGAAAGGATCTTCATCTACAAGGCTGTACAAAAACTGGCAGTGGGCCATATTTAGCTTTTGGCTGGAGTTTGCTGATCCTGGCTCTAGAGTGTTCTTAACCTTTATGCTATAATTATTTCTCTTTTCATTTTTTTTTTTTTTTTTTTTGAGATAGGGTCTCACTCTGTCACCCAGCCTGGAGTGCAGTGGTGCGATCCTAGCTCACTGCAGCCGCAACCTTCTGGTTTCAAGTGATCTTCCAACTCAGCCTCCTAAGTAGCTGGGACTACAGGCATGAGCCACCATGCCCAGTGGCATCAGGATCTTTAAATCTTTTTAAAATTAATTAAGTTTTTTTTTTTTTTGAGACAGAGCCTTGCTCTGTTGCCCAGGCTGGCGAGCAGTGGTGTGATCTCGGCTCACTGCAACCTCCGCCTCCCAGGTTCAAGCGATTCTCCTGCCTCAGCCTCCCGAGTAGCTGGGATTACAGGCATGCACCACCACACCCATCTAATTTTTGTATTTTTAGTAGAGACGGGGTTTCACCATGTTGGCCAGGCTGCTCTCGAACTCCTGGCCTTAAGTGATCCTCCTGCCTCGGCCTCCCAATGTGTAGGGATTACACGCGTGAGCCATCACGCCCGGCCTAGAGTGCTCTTAACCTTTATGCTATATTTCTTTCTCTTTTCCTTTTTTTATTTATTTTATTTATTTTTTAAAGATAGGATCTCGCTCTGTTGCCCAGGCTGGAGTGCAGTGGTACAATCATACCTCACTGCAGCCTTGACCTCCTGGGCTCAAGCAGTCCTCCCACCTCAGCTTCTTGAGTAGCTGGGAATACAGGCATGAGGCACCATGCTCAGCGACATCAGTATCTTTAAATCTTTATTCCTGGCCTGGTGCAGTGGCTCATGTGTGTAATCCCAGCATTCTGGGAGGCTGAGGCGGGTGGATCACTTGAGGTTAGGAGTTCAAGACCAGCCTGGCCAACATGGAGAAACCTTGTCTCTACTAAAAGGAGGCAGAGGTTGCAGTGAGCCGAGATGGTGCCACTGCACTCTGGCCTGGATGACGGAGCAAAACTGTCTCAAGAAAAAAAAAAATCTTTATTCCTGGTTGGTCAGCTTCCTTGGAGAGCGACCTTCTACCTATGCATCTTCTGGATCCTGGATGTGGAGGGAGTAGAGGCAAGCGCTGAGGGCATGTGTGTGTCTTAATTTCAACATTCACATTCCAGGTTCAATGAACACTCCTGTTTCCCACTACCTGCCATTTTTTTTTCTCTTTCCAGAAACCCTGCCATTTTCCTTTCTCTCTCTTTTTTTTTTTTTTTTTTTTTGCTTTTTTTTTGAGATGGAGTTTCACTCTTGTCGCCCAGGTTGGAGTGCAAAGGTGCGATCTTGGCTCACTGCAACCTCTGCCTCCCGGGTTCAAGCAATTCTCCTGCCTCAGCCTCCTGAGTAGCTGGGATTACAGGTATGTGCCACCATGCTGGCTAACTTTTTTTTGTATTTTTAGTAGAGGCGGGGTTTCACCATGTTGGCCAGGCTGGTCTTGAACTCCTAACCTCAGGTGATTCACTCACCTCCGCCTCCCAAAGTGCTGGGATGACAGGTGTGAGCCACCGCGCCCAGCCCGTTTTCCTTTCTGCTTTTTTTTTTTTTTTTTTTTTTTGGAAACGGAGTCTTGCTCTGTCGCCAGGCTGGAGTGCAGTGGGGTGATCTCGGCTTACTGCAATCTCCGCCTCCTGGGTTCCAGCGATTCTCCTGCTTCAGCCTCCCGAGTGGCTGGGACTACAGTGCGCACCACCACGCCCATGTAATTTTTTGTATTTTTAGTAGAGACGGGTTTCACCATGTTGGCCAGGATGGTCTCGATCTCTTGACCTTGTGATCCACCTGCCTTGGCCTCCCAAAGTGCTGGGATTACAGGTTTGAGCCACCGCCCCGGCCATTCCTTTCTCTTAAGGGAAAAAAAAAAAAAAAAAAAAAAGGCTGCACGCCGTGGCTCACACCTGTAATCCCAGTACTTTCGGAGGCCAGGGCAGGAGGACCCATTCAGCCCAGGAGTTAGAGACCAGCCAGGGCAACATGGAGAGACTCCGTCTCAATTAACATATAAAATAAAATATCCTGTGTGCATTCACTTAGGAAAAAATGCAATAAAATAAAATAAAAAATAAGAATGAAAAAGGACCTGGCGACTCAGCAGCCCACCGAGGTAGCTCACGCCTATAATCCCAGCACTTTGTGAGGTCGAGATGAGCGGATCACTTGAGCCAAGGAGGTGGACTGGGCAATATGGTGAAACCCCATCTCTTCAAATAATACTAAATTAGCTGAGCATTGTGGTGCGCACCTATAGTCCTAGCTACTGGGGAAGCTGAGGTGAGAGGATTGCTTGAGCCTGGCGGTTGAGGTTGCTGTAAGCTGTCATTACCCACTGCACTCCAGCCTCGGTGACAGTGTGAAATCCTGCCTCAAAAAAATAAAAATTACTTAGAAAGGGCCAGGTGAGGTGGCTCATACCTGTAGTCCCAGCACTTTGGGGAGTCTGAGGTGGGAGAGTCACTTAAGCCCAGGAGTTTGAGGTTGCAATGAACCACGATGACACCACTGCACTCCAGCCTGGGCAACAGAGTGAGATGCTGTCTATTTTTTTTTTTTTTGAGACGGAGTCTTGCTCTGTCACCCAGGCTGGAGTGCAGTGGTACAATCTTGGCTCACTGTGACCTCCACCTCCCAGATTCAAGTGATCCTCCCGCCTCAGCCTCCCAAGTAGCTGGAACTACAAGCTAGTGCCACCATGCCCAGCTAATTTTTGTAGTTTTTTTTTTTTTAGTAGAGACAGGGCTTCACCATGTTGCCCAGGCTGGTTTTGAACTCCTGAACTTAAGTGATCCACCCGCCTCAGCCTCCCAAAGTGCTGGGATTACAGACGTGAGCCACCATGCTGGGCTGAGAACCTATCTTAAAACAAAAAATTGCTTCTCTGATTCTCTCTTATGGAAAGTGGAGAGGAGTTGGTGTCCCTTCTGCAATTTTTTTTTTTTTTTGAGATAGAGTCTCACTTTGTCACCCAGGCTGGAGTGCAGTGGCACGATCTCGGCTCACTGCAACCTCCGCCTCCCGGGTTCAAGGATTCTCTTGCCTCAACCTCCCGAGTAACTGGGATTATAGGCATCTGCCATCACGCCTGGCTAATTTTAGTATTTTTAGTAGAGATGGGGTTCACCATGTTAGTCAGGCTGGTCTTGAACTCCTGACCTCAGGTGATCCACCTGCCTCAGCCTCCCAGAGTGCTGGGATTACAGGCGTGAGCCACTGCGCCCGGCCTTCTTCTGCAAATTTATCTATGGCAAACTTCTGTATTTTAGCCGCCATCCACCACATTATTCATAGTTGAGGGGATTCACCAACGAGTAGGTCTTAGGGGTGGTGGAAATCTAAGGAAACTCACCTTTCCGTTCTGCTGGCTTGTAATTTTTTTTTTTTGGTTTACGAACAATTGCTCAAGTGTGACTACAGTGAAGTTTCAGGAGACAGTGAAAACAGAGGCTGGTTCAGTTTGTCATCTTGACCCGGAAGGGATGGTGTAAAGGGAGACATGAGTGGTGAGAAAGTGTCTGGCAGTTGCGGTTCTGGGGAAAGAATGTTCCAGGCCGAGGAATAGCAGATGCGAAGGAAAAACGTGGGCACAAGTGGCATTCTCAAACTTGCGGGGCCGTCGGAATCTTCTGGAGGACACCCCCTCTGAGAGTTTCCGGAGGTTTAGGCGGGGTGCTAGAATTTGCATAGCTAATTGATAGTGGCCCTGTTGCTGGGTCGGGCCTCACACGTGGAGTACCCAAACCGTATATAGGAAGTGTTTAGCATTTGGTAATGCTCCTTCAACACTAGCCAGTAACATTACTGTTTTCTCTGCAATCCCCCAGGGAGGCCCAATACAGGATCAGACACAGTGCTGACCTGGAAGATACTTGTTCTGTTGAATGAGAAGTCTACCTTATGACTGGGCACGGTAACGCATGACTGGCATCACAGTGCTGAGAGGCCAAGACAGGAGCATTGCTTGAGTCCAGGAGTTTGAGACCAGCTGAGCAACATAGCAAGACCCTGTCTCTATAAAAAGTAAAAAATTAAAAAAAAAAATTGGTAGGCATGGTGGTATGTGCCTGTAGTTCCAGCTATTCAGGAGTCTAAGACAGGAGGATGGCTTGAACCCAGGATTGGAGGCTGCAGTGGGCTATGATCGTGCCACTGCACTCCAGCTTGGGCGACAGAGCAAGACCTTGTATCTGAAAGCAAAACAAAAGTCCCTTTATTTTATGGGCTGTTGACTTCTGCTAGCAGAGGGATGAAAGGCGTGGTCTACCCTCCCATCTCCCATGGGGCTGGGAGATGGGAAGGGAGTTGGCCATTGTGGACCCACACTGGTCTGGGCAGACCAGGACTTCAACACCAGCCAAGGGCTTTCCCCGGGTCACGTCCCTCTCCATCTGGGAGTGCTTCCTCTTTTGGGGCCAAGTTTTCACCGCTTCTTGGCCCATCCTCCCAGCCCCGGATTGGCCGCCTCCAGCAGGCCAGAGCAGATGGGAAATGTGTTTCCTCCAACTCGCTCAACACTGTCCCTTTCTTGCAAGGGGAATTTCTCCACCTGGACTCTCCGAGCTTCTGCTTGTAGGGTCCCGAGGGGCTCCTGCCGGGAACCATCCAGTGGGTGGGTGGGGGCAGGCCAGGGAAGGCCCAGGGGTCCCGGGGAAGGTGGCCAGGAGGGCTGAGCATGACACTCAGGGTTCCACTGGGGGGTTGGGGATCAGGGGGCAGATGCTCCAGGAGTGAGGGTGGTTGAGGCTTGGCTGAAGCCTGACCCTTCTTAGGAAGTGCTGGATGTGGGGGAACCCGGGGGAGTCCTAGTGATGGGGGGCTAGGGGGTGCTGAGAGGAGGGGAAGGAGACAAAGAGAGACTAAAGAAGGAAAAGGAGAGAGACAGGGAGAGACAGAGAGTCAGAGAGAGACAGAGGGAATCAGAGACAGAGAGAAACAGGGAGAGAGACAGAAAGAGTGAGAGCCAGAGACATACAGAGACAGGGAGAGACACAGAGATGCATAAAGAGAGGGAGTCAGAGATGGAGAGAGACAGAGATAACGGAGCCAGAGATAGGGAGAGTCAGAGACAGAGAGAAAGAAACACACAGACTGACACAGATAAAAGAGCCAGAGACAGGGAGAGGCAGAGACAAAGAGAGATACAGAGACAGAGATAACAGAGCCAGAGACAGAGAGACAGAGACAGAGATAACAGAGCCAGAGACAGGGAGAGAGTGTCAGAGACAGAGACAGACACAGAGATAACAGAGCCAGAGATAGGGAGAGTCAGAGACAGAGAGAAAGAGACACAAGACAGACATAGATAAAAGAGCCAGAGACAGGGAGAGGCAGAGACAAAGAGAGATACAGAGACAGAGATAGCAGAGCCAGAGACAGGGAGAGAGTGTCAGAGACAGAGAGACAGACACAGAGATAACAGAGCCAGAGATAGGGAGAGTCAGAGACAGAGAGAAAGAGACAGACAGACATAGATAAAAGAGCCAGAGACAGGGAGAGAGACACAGAGACAGAGACATAGAGACAGAGATAACAGAGCCAGAGACAGAGTCAGAGACAGAGACAGAGAGAGCCAGACACAGAGACAGAGAGAGAGAGTCACAGCCAGAGACAGCGACAGAGATAACAGAAGCAGAGAGAGGGAGAAAGATAACAGAGCCAGAGACAGTCAGAGACAGAGATAGAGAGACAGAGATAACAGAGCCAGAGACAGATACAGAGACAGAGATAACGGAGCCAGAGATAGGGAGAGAGAGTCAGAGACAGAGAGAGATATATAGACAGAGATAACAGAGCCAGACATGGGGAGAGAGAGTCAGAGGCAGAGAGAGAGAAGACAGATAGAGAGACAGAGCCAGTGATAACAGAGCCAGAGACAGGGAGAGAGAGTCAGAGAGAGATACAATGAGAGACAGAGATAACAGCCAGAGACAGAGTTAGACAGAGAGATACAGAGACAGAGATAACAGAGCCAGAGACAGGGAGAGAGAATTAGAGACAGAGATAGAGAGAGACAGAGACAGAGATAATACAGGCACAGAGGCACGCATAGACATAAATTGGCAGAGAGAGAGAAAGATCTCTTTCCACCCACTGCAGAGGCAATCAACAGAGACAGAGAAAGACGTTAACGGGGAGACACAGAGAGCAAAGGAGACTGAGTCAGCAAGAGACCCACAGAGATACCGGGAAAGAGCGGCAGAGAGGGAGAACCAGGGCGATGGAGAGACAGCAGGGAGAAAGGAACCTGGAGCCGAGCTTGGAAGGCCGGAAACGGAAAGGAGAGCGAAAAGCGGAGAGAGATCCGAGTGGAGAAAATTCCGCAGAGTCACGGGGACGAGGGGAAAGGCTCTGGGCTGGGAAGGGGCGTGGCCGCGGGCGGAGGGGCGTGGCCGCGGGCGGAGGGGCGTGGCCTCCTTTTGTAGCCAAGCAGCTATAAAAAGCGGCGCGCTGTGTCTTCCCGCAGTCTCTCGTCATGGAATACGCCTCTGACGCTTCACTGGACCCCGAAGCCCCGTGGCCTCCCGCGCCCCGCGCTCGCGCCTGCCGCGTACTGCCTTGGGCCCTGGTCGCGGGGCTGCTGCTGCTGCTGCTGCTCGCTGCCGCCTGCGCCGTCTTCCTCGCCTGCCCCTGGGCCGTGTCCGGGGCTCGCGCCTCGCCCGGCTCCGCGGCCAGCCCGAGACTCCGCGAGGGTCCCGAGCTTTCGCCCGACGATCCCGCCGGCCTCTTGGACCTGCGGCAGGTGAGACGTGCCCCGACCCTCGGTAGCTGGTCTCGCGGGAGACCCCTACCGCCCCTCTGGGACTCCCTTCTCCCTCCCGCACCCCCAGGGACACCTGTTCTACACTCCCGGCCGGGGAGAGGAGACCCACCGGGGCTCCCATTCTCCATCTAGCACCGAGGCCGGGGGGGCACACCTTTCATCCCGCACCCCTACGACACCTCATCTGTACCCCAGGCCGGGGGCGGGGAGGAGACCGCCCAACAGTTCTTTTTGGACCCCCCAAGGGTCTCCTTCTTCTAGTCCGGGGGGCACCCCTTTCATCCTGCGCCCGCTACGAGACCCTATCTGTATCCCGGGAGGGGGAGAGGAGACCCCCACAAGTTCTTTTTGGACCTCCAAGGGCTCTCCTTCTCCGTCTTGCACGGGAGGGCACCCCTTTCATTCCGCATCCCGAGACCCCATCAGCACCCCAGGCCAGGAGGAGGAGACCCCCACAGTCCTCAACCCCTCAGGGATACGTCTTCTGCACCCCGGGTCGGAGAAAGGCTGGCTTCCCTCCATGTGGCAGTGGGTGGGGGCACCCCTCTTCATTCCGCATTCCCAAGGCACCCCATCTGCACCCTGGACGGGGGACCCTCCGCGGTTCTCCAACCCTCGACGGCTTCCTTTCTCTATGTAGGACTTAGGACATTGAGGGCACCTCTTTTTACCCCGCACCCCCACAAGCTCTGCATCTCTGGGGGGAACCTTTTTTCCATCCCCGATCCGAGGGGGGCACTTCCTCTTTATCTGGGACCGCCAAGGAGACCCCCAGTTCCTTTGCTAACTCCCAAAGAGCCTTATCCCCAACATCTGAGGTACCCCTCTCCCTTTCAAGACCCCCAGGGGAATACCCCCAAGGGGGCTGGAAAGAAGAGGGATCGCTTTTCCCTCCTGAATTCTTGGAGATCTGTCCTTGGGGCAGGTTGAGCCACCAGCTTCGTGTGTGTGTGTGTGTGTGTGTGTGTGTGTGTTCGTGTTTGTGTGGGTGTTTGTGTTCGTGTGTGTGTGTTCGTGTGGGGGTGCGTATGTGTGTGTGTTCGTGGGTGTGTTTGTGTTCGTGTGGGTGTGTGTTCGTGTGGGTGTTTGTGTTTGTTCGTTCGTGTGGGTGTTTGTGTTCATGTGGGTGTGTTTGGATATTTGTGTTCGTGTGTGTCTGTGTGTGTTCGTGTGGGTGTTTGTGTGTGTTTGTGTTTGCGTTCGTGTGTGTGTTCGTGTTTGTTCGTGTGTCTGTGTGTTAATGTGGGTGTTCGTGTGTGTGTTCGTTTGTGTTTGTGTTCGTGTGTTTGTGTGTTTGTGTGTGTGTGTGTGCGGTCTCTGTTCTTTAGTTGGGAGGGAAGGGAAGCGTAGGCTTCAGGTCGGCACAGACTCTGGGGACCCTGACAGCTGAAGTGAGTGGGGACAGAACCTCCATTTTCTAGGGGAACCCCCATCCACTTTCCTCCTTTCTACTTTTAACAGGGCATGTTTGCGCAGCTGGTGGCCCAAAATGGTAAGTATCCTCCGCCACTTCCGGTCCCTGGCCCCCCACCATCCCCACCCCGGGATACGAAGAAGGGGGAACCTGGAGAGTGAGGCTCTGCCGCACACTGGCTTTGACCCTTGACCGCTGCTGTCTCTGAAAGCTGCTACTTCCCCTCTTTGAACGCCACCGATCCCTCTTTCTGACTTGCTCTGACTCTCTGGATGCCATGGCCTCCCCATCAGACCCCCATCTGGGCCCACCTGGGACCCCTGCCCTCTCAGAGCTGGGGCTTGACACCCCCAACCCCCAGCCTGGTTTTGTGTCTCTGGCCTCCTTCTTTTCGAAACCCTCTTCCCCGCTGCTTTTCTTCCCTCTTTCCTGCCCCTTCCCCACTCTCCCAGCCTCTCTTCCCTACCTCTTCCCCTCGCCCAGAGCCTCCTCCTTACTCCCATTCTCTTCCCCATCCCCAGGCCCTCCTCCTGTCCCCTTCCCTCCCCCTAGACCCTCCTCCCTGCCCCTTCCCCAAACCCTCCCCAGCCCCATGCTCTCCCAGTTTCCAAGACACTCCTCCCAGCACCTTCCCTCCCCGTCCAGAGACTTCTTCCCCGCTCGAGACCTCTTCCCCCTTCCCCTCCCAGAGACCCCCTTCCCCCTTCCCCTCTCCATCTAGAGATCACTTCCCCCTTTCCCCTCCCCCTCCAGAAACCCCTTCCCCCTTCCCTCTCCCCTCCAGAGACCCCTTCCCCCTCCAAAGACCCCTTCCCCCTTCCTTCCCCCTCCAGAGACCCCTTTCCCCTTCCCTCCCCTTCCAGAGACCCCTTCCCCCTCCCCCTCCAAAGACCCCTTCCTCCTTCCCCTCCCTCTCCAGAGACCCCTTCCCCCTTCCCTCTCCCTCCAGAGACCCCTTCCCCCTTCCCTGCCCCCTCCAGAGTCCCCTTCCCCTCCAGAGGCCCCTTCCCCCTTCCCCCTCCCCCTCCAGAGACACCTTCTCCCTTCTCCCCCTCCAGAGACCCCTTCCCCCTTCCCTCCCCCTGCCTAAGACTCCCCTCCCTGCCATCTTCTCTCCTTGGTGCTTCCTTCTCCCTAACCCCTCCCCCACCCCTTCCTGCTCCCTTTGCCTTTCTTCGAAGTCCTCTCTTACCAGGTCCCCTGTCCACCCCTCTTAAAGTTCCCTTGATTCCCTGATGGATCCTTCCTCTAGAACTTCCTCCTTTCCTAACAGTCTTCCCTCTCCCTCCTAGCTCCCTGTCCACCTCTCCTCTCCCCTTTCCTTCCTTCTCTCCCTTCTCCTCCCCCCATCTCCATCCTGTCCGAGATCTGCTGCTCCCTCCAACCCCCTCACCGCCCTCTCCAGGAGTCCCCTTACCCCTCCCCGAGGCCTCTTCCAGCCAGACTCGCCTGGCCTTTTGCTTTTCACCCCCTCTTCCTCTTCCTGCATGTCTTTCCCCGCACCCGCATCACTCCTTCCCCACCCAACCTCTTGGAGTTTTGCCCTGTCCCGACTCTTGTCCTTCTCCCTGGATTCCCTTCCTCTGTTCTATCCCCGTCTTTCCCTCCCCTAGCTCTACCCCTGCTCAGAGTCCCGCCCCCAACAACCTCAGTTCTCTTCAATCAGCACCCCCCCAACGCCCCCCCCACCCAGGCTCCCCGCTCTGCTCCCCTGTCCCGCTCCCTGCCCCGCCATTCCCCGCCCCCCGGCCCCTGACCCGTTCTTTTCTCCCAGGGCTGCGCTGACATGTTCGGTGCTCAGCCACGCTCAGCTGTGCTGGGACATGCTCAGCTAAGCTAAGTGCATGCTTTCCTCCCACAGTTCTGCTGATCGATGGGCCCCTGAGCTGGTACAGTGACCCAGGCCTGGCAGGCGTGTCCCTGACGGGGGGCCTGAGCTACAAAGAGGACACGAAGGAGCTGGTGGTGGCCAAGGCTGGAGTCTACTATGTCTTCTTTCAACTAGAGCTGCGGCGCGTGGTGGCCGGCGAGGGCTCAGGCTCCGTTTCACTTGCGCTGCACCTGCAGCCACTGCGCTCTGCTGCTGGGGCCGCCGCCCTGGCTTTGACCGTGGACCTGCCACCCGCCTCCTCCGAGGCTCGGAACTCGGCCTTCGGTTTCCAGGGCCGCTTGCTGCACCTGAGTGCCGGCCAGCGCCTGGGCGTCCATCTTCACACTGAGGCCAGGGCACGCCATGCCTGGCAGCTTACCCAGGGCGCCACAGTCTTGGGACTCTTCCGGGTGACCCCCGAAATCCCAGCCGGACTCCCTTCACCGAGGTCGGAATAACGTCCAGCCTGGGTGCAGCCCACCTGGACAGAGTCCGAATCCTACTCCATCCTTCATGGAGACCCCTGGTGCTGGGTCCCTGCTGCTTTCTCTACCTCAAGGGGCTTGGCAGGGGTCCCTGCTGCTGACCTCCCCTTGAGGACCCTCCTCACCCACTCCTTCCCCAAGTTGGACCTTGATATTTATTCTGAGCCTGAGCTCAGATAATATATTATATATATTATATATATATATATATTTCTATTTAAAGAGGATCCTGAGTTTGTGAATGGACTTTTTTAGAGGAGTTGTTTTGGGGGGGGGGGGGTCTTCGACATTGCCGAGGCTGGTCTTGAACTCCTGGACTTAGACGATCCTCCTGCCTCAGCCTCCCAAGCAACTGGGATTCATCCTTTCTATTAATTCATTGTACTTATTTGCTTATTTGTGTGTATTGAGCATCTGTAATGTGCCAGCATTGTGCCCAGGCTAGGGGGCTATAGAAACATCTAGAAATAGACTGAAAGAAAATCTGAGTTATGGTAATACGTGAGGAATTTAAAGACTCATCCCCAGCCTCCACCTCCTGTGTGATACTTGGGGGCTAGCTTTTTTCTTTCTTTCTTTTTTTTGAGATGGTCTTGTTCTGTCAACCAGGCTAGAATGCAGCGGTGCAATCATGAGTCAATGCAGCCTCCAGCCTCGACCTCCCGAGGCTCAGGTGATCCTCCCATCTCAGCCTCTCGAGTAGCTGGGACCACAGTTGTGTGCCACCACACTTGGCTAACTTTTTAATTTTTTTGCGGAGACGGTATTGCTATGTTGCCAAGGTTGTTTACATGCCAGTACAATTTATAATAAACACTCATTTTTCCTCCCTCTGGAGAGTTGGTTGTTAAATTACCAGCACACGCTGTCCGTCTCTGCTCTACAGAGCTGGCCAGTTTCTTCAGCCCCATAGTTTCCCCACCATACAGATCTTTCACGGCCACCCCTATAACTAGACACATCCTCTGGCTGGCTAAGATAGCCCTGTGATTCTGCAACCCAGGGCTTAACATGTGATTTGTGGGGAGAGGAGGATGGTTCCCCCCAATTCTGGTCCAGGAGCCAGTGTCAAATCTGATTAGTCAAATCTGATTGGTCACCGCCTGTCTGGTAGCGGGTTGTTTGCCTGTTTTGAATAAGACCCCTGGCAACAGGTGATTCAATTCTCTCGTCCCAGCTGATTGGGTCAGGTTGGACACGTGACTTGAGCTGGGCCAATCAGGTCTCCCCAGAAATGTGGGTGGGCTGGACCACAGAGGCTAGAGAGTGGAGAAGAGGAAGTTGTGCAAAGACTCAGGTGTGACCACAGAGTTCCAGAGAGACACCAGAGCTACTTTGATTTCCTTCTTGCCTCTTGCTGGTGACATGGGTTGCCATTTTAATGGCAAAACTGCAATAACTTTTGCCTCAACCTAATAGATTTCTAGGGCTGCCATAAGAAAGTACCGTAAAGTGGGTGGCTTAAAGCAAACGAGCTTTGTTCTCGCTCGGTTCTGCAGGCCAGAGTCCAAAGTCAAGGTCTTGACAGGGCCATGCTCATTCTAAAGGCTCCAGGGAGAAGGCCTTCGTTGCCTCCTCCTAAGTTCTGGTGGTTGCCAGCAATCCTCCAGTCTCTGCCTCTGTTGGTCACATGGCTGTGTTCTTTCTGTGTGACTTCATTTCTTTGTCTCTTCTTCCTGTTTTTTTCTTTGAGATGGAAGGAGTCTCACTCTGTCACCCAGGCTGGAGTGCAGTGGCGCCATCTCGGCTCACTGCAACCTCCACCTCCCGGGTTCAATCAATTCTCCTGCCTCAGTCTCCCGAATAGCTGGGATTACAGGCACATGCCACCACACCCAGCTAATTTTTCTATTTTAATAGAGACTGGGTTTCACCATGTTGGCCAGGCTGGTCTTGAACTTCTCCTGACCTCAAGCGATCCACCTGCCTTGGCCTACCGAAGTGCTGGGATTACAAGCATGAGCCTCTATGCCCGGCCTCTTCTTCCTTTTTATGTATTGTTTTTTTTGTAGAGACAGGGTCTTGCTATGTTGCCTAGGCTGGTCTTGAACTCCGAGCAACGCTCCTGCCTCAGACTCCCAAAGTGCCAGGATTACAGGTGTAAGGCACCAGGCCCGAACTCTCCCCTTTTTATAAGGACACCAGTCATGCTGGATTCAGGGCCCATCCTCTTCCAATATGACCTCATCTTAATTTAAATAATTACATCTGCAAAGACCCTATTTCCAAAGAAGGTCATTAATATAGTTTGGCTCTGTGTCCACACCTACTTTTTTCTTTTTTTTTTTGAGAAAGACTCTCATCAGTTGCCCAGGCTGGTGTGTAGTGGCGCAGTCTTGGCTCACTGCAACCTCTGCCTCTTGGGTTTAAGTGATTGTCCTGCCTCAGCCCCCTGAGTAGCTGGGATTACAGGTACAGGCCACCACTCTTGGCTATTTTTTTTGTATTTTTAGTGGAGCTGGGGTTTTGCCATGTTGGCCAGGCTGGCCTCGAACTCCTGACCTCAAGTGATCTGCCTGCCTTGGCCTCCCAAAGTGATGGGATTACAGACGTGAGCCACCGTGCCTGGCCCCCTTGGGGTTCTGAGCTCCCCTAAGCTAAAATCAAGTTGACTGAAGGATTGCTTTCCTTCTGGAGGCTCTAGAGGATAATTGCTTTCCTTGTTTTTCCAACTTCTAGAGGCTTGTTTTTAATTTAATTTAATTTAATTTTGTAAAGACGGGGTCTCCTCATGTTGCCCACGCTGGTCTTGAACTCCTGACCTCAAGGGATCCTCCTGTCTTGGCCTCCCAAAGTGTTGGGATTACAGGCGTGAGCCACTGCACCTGGCAATTTTATTTATTTTTTTGTAGAGATGAGGTCTTGCTATGTTGCCTAGGCTGGTCTCAAATTCCTGGGCTTGAGCAATCCTCCACCATCTGTAAGAATTAAAGAAAGAGGAAAGAAACATGAAAGGTGGCTTAACAGTCAAGGACAGGTTTATTTTAGAGAAAATAAACCTGAGAGGGGCTTCTAGCCGAGTTAGGTCAGAGGCACACTCTCTTACAGACTAGGAGTTTTTAAGCATTTATTCAGGGAGTTTATCAGAGGCTTGGACTGCTTCTGTGTTTCTTTCTTTCTTTTTTTTTTTTTCTTAGTTGAAGTCTCACTCTGTTGCCCAGGCTGGAGTGTGGTGGCACAATCTCAGATCACTGGAACCTCTGCCTCCCTGGTTCAAGTAATTCTCCTGCCTCAGCCTACAGAGTAGCTGGGACTACAGGCATGTGCCACCACGCCCAGCTAATTTTTGTGGTTTTTTTTTTTTTTTTTTTGAGACGGAGTCTCGCTCTGTCACCCAGGCTGGAGTGCAGTGGTGTGATCTCGGCTCACTGCAAGCTCCGCCTCCCGGGTTCATGCCATTCTCCTGCCTCAGCCTCTGGAGTAGCTGGGACTACAGGCGCCTGCCACCACGCCCGGCTAATTTTTTTTGTATTTTTAGTAGAGACGGAGTTTCACTGTGTTAGCCAGGATGGTCTCGATCTCCTGACCTCGTGATCTGCCTGCCTCGGCCTCCCAAAGTGCTGGGATAATAGGCGTGAGCCACCACGCCTGCCCCACAAAGAATTACAAATAAAGCTTTCACTCTTCTTATGTAAAGACCTGACAATGCATACAATGGTCCACTGTTGATTTGGAAGCAGGGACAGTTTTCTATTACAGTCTGTTGATTGTATTGTATAATTGTTAAGGGAAAAAAGGAAAATTATATTTCTGTTTGTTTGTTTGTTTGTTTTGAGATGGAGTCTAGCTCTGTCACCCAGGTTGGAGTGCAGTGGTGCGATCTCAGCTCACTGCGACCTCCACCTCCCTGGTTCACAAGCAATTCTCCTGCCTCAGCCTCTTGAGTGGCTGGGGTTACAGACATGCGCCACCACGCCCAGCTAATTTTTGCATTTTTAGTAGAGACAGGGTTTCACCATGTTGGCTAGGCTGGTCTCCAACTTCTGGGCTCCAGTGATCCACCCACTTCAGCCTCCCAAAGTGCTGGGATTACAGGCGTGAGCCACCATGTCCGCCCACCCCCCCGGTATTTCTTATTGGAACTGTTTTTCTTGTTTGAGGTTTCTTTTCCATACCCTGAATCTACAATGACCCAACCATAACCTTGCTTCTGAGGCCCGTTCTCTGATGAGAAAGTTTAGTTCCAAATGGGGAAAGTACCTGAGTTCCAGCCTTTTCAGCCTGACTTTGCATCTATTTAGAGATAGGGTCTTACAGGGGTGATCACGTTAAAATGAGGTCATTAGGGTAAGCCCTGATCCAATATGACTGATGTTCTTATAAAAGGGGGGCTTTGGCTGGATGTGATAGGGGGGCTCCTGCCTGTAATTCCAGCACTTTGGGAGGCCAAGCCAGGTGGATTGCTTGAGCCTAGAGGCTTGAGACCAGTCATGGGCAACATAGCAAGACCCCGTCTCTACAAAAAATACAAAAATTTGCTGGGTGTGGTGGTGCATACCTGTAGTCCCAGCTGCTAGGGAGGCTGAGATGGGAGATCACTAGAACCTTGAGGTCAAGGCTGCAGTGAGCTGTGATTACCACTGCAATCCGCTCTGTGTGACACAGCAAGATCCTGTCTCCAAAAGAAGTGAGGGTAGGGGGTGGAATTTGGACACAGACACACACAGGGAGAGCACCACGTGGAGAAGAAAATGGAATCCATGGTCAGGCTCGGTGGTTCATGCCTGTAATCCCAGCACTTTGGTGGATCACTGGAGGTCAGGAGTTTGAGATCAGCCTGGCCAACAAAGCGAAACCTCGTCTCTACTAAAAATACACAAGTTAGCCGGGTGTGGAGGCGTTCACTTGTCATCCCAGCATCCCAGCTACTCCGTCTCAAAAAAAAAAAAAAAAAAAAAGGAAAATGTCATCTACAAGCCAAGGAGAGAGGCCTGGAACAGAGCCTTCCCTTACAGCCCTCAGACGGAACCACATCTGCCAATGCCTTGGTTTTGGACTTCCAGCCTCTAGAACTGTTAGACAATAAATTTCTGCTGTTGAAGCCCCCAATATGAGCTACTTTGTTATAACAGCCATATCAATTTAAAAAGAGAATTAAAGGAGTTGATAATTTTTTTTTTTTTTTTTTTTTGAGATGGAGTCTCACTCTGTCACCCAAGCAGACTGCAATGGCACGATCTCAGCTCACTGCAACCTCCGCTCCCGGGCTCAAGCGATTCTCCCACCTTACCCTCCCGAGTAAGTAGCTGGGTCTACAGGCGCATGCCACCATGTCTGGCTGATTTTTCTATTTTTGGTAGAGACAGGGTTTAGCCATGTTGGCCAGGCTGGTCTTGAACTCCTGACTTCAAGTGATCCACCCGCCTGGGTCTCTCAAAGTGTAGGGATTACAGGCGTGAGCCACTGCACCCAGCCAGGAATTGATACTTTAATACACTTTCAATGCACAGTGTCTGGCTCCTGGTTAGCATTCATTAAACGGTAGCAATTATTAAGGACACTCAAATGGACAGAAAGAATGTTACAGAAACACAATGGTACAATAGAGGGGTTGCGGCCAGGCACAGTGGCTCACACCTGTAATCCCAGCACTTTGGGAGGCTGAGGTGGGTGGATCACGAGGTCAGGAGTTCGAGACCAGCCTGGCCAATATGGTGAAACCCCACCTCTACTAAACATAGAAAAATTAGCTGGGCATGGTGACAGGCACCTGTAATCCCAGCTACTCGGGAGGCCGAGGCAGGAGAATTGCTTGAACCTAGGAGGTGGAGGTTGCAGTGAGCTGAGACTTTGCCATTGCACCCCAGCCTGGGTGACACAGCGAGACTCCATGTCAAAAAAAAAAAAAAAAAAAAAGGCTGATTCAAAAAGCTGGCAAGCAAGGCCAATAATAGAGAGAGTAAAAATACTATGAGAGATAGTGAAATAAGAGATAGTGAAAATAGTATACATTGAGCAGGATGTGTTGAGAGATATGACAGACAAGGCAACACAAAGGTGCATTGCTCAAGCAGTGACACACAGATTTACAGATGACATCATACAATAACAGATGTGGGTATTAGAAAGAAGCAACAGCTCACAGAAGAGTGGTTACCATGACACAGCTGTGATGTTATAGAGATATCGCCAAGCTGGGCATGGTGGTACATATCTGTGGCTCCAGCTACTTGGGAGGCCGAGGCGGGAGGATCTCTTGAGCCCAGGAGGTCGAGGCTGCAGTGAGCTGTGATCACACCATTGTACTCTAGCCTGGGCGACAGAGAGACACCCTGTCTTAAAAAAAAGAACACTCTTGCCAAGAAGGGAGTTACAAAGTCATAATGTTATAAAAGCAATTATGCAAGGATAGGATATTGTAAACAGCCACAGCTTTATAATATCATAGCCACGACTCTAACGTTGCCAAACAGAAAGACAAATACTACACGATCTCACTTATATGCGGAATCTAAAATAGTCAAACACATAGAAGCAGAGAATAGAGCGGTGCTTGCCAGGGGCTGTGGGTGGGGAAAACGAAAGGTGTTGGTCAAAGGATACCAACATTCAGTTAAGAAAGATGAGGCCGAGCGCAGTGGCTCATGCCTGTAATCCCAGCACTTTGGGAGGCTGAGGCGGATGGATCACCCGAGATCGGGAGTTTGAGACCAGCCTGACCGACATGGAGAAACCTCATCTCTACTAAAAAGAGAAAATTAGCCGGGCGTGGTGCTGCATGCCTGTAATCCCACCCACTCGGGAGGCTGAGGCAGGAGAATCACTTGAACTCAGGAGGCGGAGGTTGCAGTGAGCGGAGATCACATCATTGCACACCAGCCTGGGCACCAAGAGCAAAACTCCATCTGAAAAAAGAAAGAAAGAAAGAAAGATGGGCTGGGCGTGGTGGCTCACGCCTGTAATCCCAGCACTTTGGGAGGCCGAGGCGGGTGGATCATTTGAGGTCAGGAGTTCAAGACCAGCTTGGCTAACATGGTGAGACCCCATCTCTACTAAAAATACAAAAATGAGCCAGGCGTGGTGGCGAGTGCCTGTAATCCCAGCTACCCAGGAGGCTGAGGTAGGAGAGTCGCTTGAACCTTGGAGGTGGAGGTTGCAGTGGGTCGAGATTACACTACTGCACTCCAGCCTGGGAGACAGAACGTGACTCTGTCTCAAAAAAAAAAAAAAAAGGTGTTTTTATTGGATTAATAAGGAACCCCCTTCTTCTTCCTCTTTTTTTTTTTAATTTTGAGATAGGGTCTCTCTCTGTCACTCAGGCTGGAGTGCAGTGGGGTGATCTCGGCTCACTGCAACCTCTGCCTCCTGAGTTCAAGTGATTCTCTTACCTCAGCCTCAATAGTAGCTGGGACTACAGGTGCACACCACATGCCAGGCTAATTTTTATAGTTTTTGGTAGAGATGTGGTTTCACCATGTTGGCCATGCTGGTTTGGAACTCCTAACCTCAAGTGATCCACTCGCCTTGGCCTCCCATAGTGCTGGGATTACAGGTGTGAGCCACCATGCCCTGCCAAGAACCCCCTTCTTCTACCAGACAGAAGCCAAGGTGCACTGACTTGGGAGCAGATTATGGGCTAGATTTGAGCCTTCACTCACATCTGTAGCCCAGGGACTAAATATATGTTTATATATAAATATGATTGGGTGTGATGGCTCATGCCTGCAATCCCAGCACGTTGGGAGGCCAAGGCAGGAGGATCACTTGAGCGCAGGAGTTCAGGACTGGCCTGTGCTACGTAGGGAGACCCTGTCTCTGCAAAAAATTAGCTGGGTGCAACGGTGTGCACCTGTAGTCCCAGCTACTTGGGAGGCTGAGGCGGGAGGATCGCATGAGGCCAGGAGTTTGAGGCTGCAGTGAGCCATGATTGCACTACTGCACTCCATTCTAGGTGACAGAACCAGACTCTCTCTTTCTCTCATCAGATATATATATATATATATATATCAGAGGCTAGGAAGAGGGGAGAGGGGATGAGGAAAAATAAAGAATACAAATGTATTTATTATCATTGAACTGAACCCTTAATAATGGAAAAAATGGTAAATCATATATGCACATTTTACATATATAATTTAACATTATATCTATATATAATTCACATACATAGTATATTCATATACCTAAAGCTGGAAAAAATGCTAATCTCGCAAGCAGAAAATTGACTTTGTCATAACTCCTTTGGCAGCTGAACTTGACTGTGCCCATGTAATTGTATTGATGATCTTTATTCATTGTATAACCTGCGATGAAACAGGGATGTTTACATGAGTCAAGTATGCTTGATTATGAGGGGGTGTTCCAGGAGCCCCCAGAGGGGGTAATCCATGCTACACATATCATACTACCTTTCTACATTCTAATTTTTTTTTTTTTTTGAGACAGAGTCTTGCTCTGTTGCCCAGGCTGGAGTGCAATGGTGCGATCTCAGCTCACTGCAACCTCCGCCTCCCGGGTTCAAGAGATTCTCCTGCCTCAGCCTCCTGAGTAGCTGGGATTATAGGCATCCACCACCACGCCCGGCTAATTTTTTTTTTTTTAATCTTTAGTAGAGAGAGAGTTTCACCATGTTGGCCAGGCTGGTCTCGAACTCCTGACCTCGTGATCTGCCCGCCTCGGCCTCCCAAAGTGCTGGGATTACAGGCGTGAGCCACCGCGCCTGGCCTCTAAATTCTAGATCTCCAAATCTGGCTTCTAGGGTTTGGGATCAGGGAATGAGGATTTGTCCAAAGGCATGGGGTGGGAAAAAAGACTGTTTGTTTACAAGAGGTAAGATGTCAGGAAGCAGCAATGTGCTTACACCACTGAGGTAGGTGTGCCCCTTTCAGGGGGGAGTTTCCATTCTGGGGATCCCCATTCTGAGGTTTCCCAGAAGGGGACAGTTTTCAAGCCCACTTTCCTGACGGTTGCATCTTGTCGCAGGTTTCATCTCACCTTTGTCTTGCTGCCCGCAATCTCTGGCTTGGTCAGCTCAGGAAACCCCTGGTGCCAGAGATCCGGATGAAGATGAGGGACTAGTTCGGCCTGTTGCGGTATCTCAGCGGGGTGAGACGCCTCGGTGGGGAAGGCAGAGTGGAAAACCCGACGCCTTCCACCAGCAACTCTTGTGAATATGTGTGTGTTGGGGTTATGTGGCTAGCCAGGAGTGGAGATGGATAGTGTGGTCTGCAGAGGATGCATTTTGGAGCTGACAGAGCTGAGTTTGAGCCCTGGTTCTGCCAGTGCTGGCTAGGCTGTGCACCCCTGGGCAAGGGTCTTCACCTCTCTGGGCTCATGTCTTCAGTTATAAAACTGGAAAATAATTCTCATGGGCTCTTGGGAGATTTATTTATTTATTTATTTACAGACGAATTCTCGCTCTTATCCCCCAGGCTGGAGTGCAGTGGTGCGATCTCAGCTCACTGCAACCTCCGCCTCCCAGGTTCAAGCGATTCTCTTGCCTCAGCCTCCCGAGTAGCTGGGATTACAGGCGCCTGCCACCACGCCCGGCTAATTTTTGTGTTTGTAGTAAAGGTGTGTTTCACCATGTTGGCCAGGCTGGTCTCGAACTCCTGACCTCAGGTGATCTGCCTGCCATGGCCTCCCAAATTGCTGGGATTACAGGCATGAAACACTGTGTCCAGTGCTCTTGGGAGTTTTAAATGAGCTAACAGTTTCAATTGCACAGTGGCTGACATTGGATTTCATATGTGAAATCTGTTGTTATTATTATTAACATTATTATTATTATTTTTTGAAACATAGTTTGTGATGTTGCTCAGGCTGGAGTGCGGTGGTGCGATCTTGGCTTACTGCAAGCTCCGTCTCCCGGGTTCAAGCGATTCTCCTGCTTCACCCTCCCAGGTAGCTGGGATTACAGGTGTGAGCCACCTCACCTGGCTCATTTTTGTATTTTTAGCAGTGACAGGGTTTCACCCTGTTGGCCAGGCTGGTCTCGAACTCCTGACCTCAGGTGACCTGCCCGTCTTGGCCTCCCAAAGTTTTGGGATTACAAGCGTGAGCCACTGTACCCGACCTGTTTTTGTTTTTTTTTTTTAAATTTTATTTTGAGATGGAGTCTCGCTCTGTTGCCCAGGTTGTAGCACAGTCTCGCTCTGTTGCCCAGGTTGTAGCAGTGGCGTGATCTCGGCTCACTGCAACCTCTGCCTCCTGGGTTCAAGCAATTCTCCTGCCTCAGCCTCCCGAGTAGCTGGGATTACAGGCACCTGCCACCACGCTAATTTTTGTATTTTTAGTAGACATGGCGTTTCACCATGTTGGCCAGGCTGGTTTCGAACTCCTGACCTCAAGTGATCCACCTGCCCCGGCCTCCCAAAGTGCTGGGATGACAGGTGTGAGTCACTGAGCCCACCTCAAACTTTGTTTTTCCTCTGCTCTAACACCACCACCACCACCGCAATCATCAATACAGAAGACTTCTGTGACCAAATGTGTGGGGTTTTTTTCCCCACACACCTAGCAGCGGACACCAGCTGGGTGTTTCGGGGTGTCTTCCAATTCAATTCCGACATCATCTACGTGGAGATGGTGTCAGATTGCACAGGCTGGGGGCTTAGTCCCCAGGAGTGACGCCCACGCCCCTAGATACCAGTTGCAAGTCTGGGCCTTTGGAAGGTTTTTTATTTATTTATTTATTTATTTTTTAGATGGAGTCTTGCTCTGTCACCAGGCTGGAAAGCAGTGGCACGATCTCAGCTCACTGCAACCTCTGCCTCCCAGGTTCAAACAATTCTCCTGCCTCAGCCTCCCGAGTAGCTGGGACTACAGGTGCGCACCACCATGCCCAGCTAATTTTTGTATTTTCAGTAGAGATGGGGTTTCACCATGTCGGCCAGGCTGGTCTCGATCTCTTGACCTCATGATCTGCCCGCCTCAGCTTCCCAAAGTGCTGGGATTACAGGTGTGCGCCACCATGCCCGGCTAATTTTTGTATTTTTTAGTAGAGATGGGGTTTCATCACATTGGTCAGGCTGGTCTTGAACTTCTGACCTCGTGATCTGCCGGCCCTGGCCTCCCAAAGTGCTGGGATGACAGGCTTGAGCCACTGTGCCCAGCCTGGAGCTTTTGACTGATTGGCTTCAAGTTGGGGTTCCCACGACCCCTTGTTTGAGTTGGATCAATTTACTGGGGTGGCTCACAGAACTCAGGGAAATATTTATGTTCACTGATTTATTATAAGTGATGTTACTAGGGATACAGACGAAGACATGCATGGGGTGAGGTATGGGGGACGTGGGGTGGATCTTTCATGCCCTCCCTGGATGCACCGTCCTCTGGGATCCTCCTGTATTCAGTTAACTGGAAGCTCCCTGAACCCAGTCTTTTGGCATTTCCATGGAGACTTCATTACATAGGCATGATTGATTAAACCATTGGCCATTGGTGATCAACTTGACCTTCAGCCCCTCTCTCCTCCTCCTGAAGGTTGGGGGCTGGGGCTGAAAGTCTCAACCCTCTAATCCTGCCTTGGTCTTTCTGGTGACCAGCCTCACCTTGAACCCATCAGACAAAAGATATACAAAAGACAGCACTTTGAAGATGCCAAGGATTTTAGTAGTTCTAAGCCAGGAACAGTGGACGAAAGCCTGTATATATAATAATGCCGCAAACAGGGTAGACGGTGGAGGCATTTATGGACTTGGGGAACCTGGAGGATCATAGATCACTTTGAATTGTGCGGGATTTCCAGATGTCGCTGAGGGACTTTGACCGGGATGGCCAAGGGGGAGTGTTGAATCCTTTCTGTAGCTATGCAAGCTCTTTGCCTGGAATGCACATTTGAGAGTTGTTGGTATATTTTATATAATGCAAGTTTTGGGGGCAGGATGAATCTCTTACGCAGACAAATAAAGGTGTAGAAGAGAGGAAGGTCTAAGCTCAAGTGCCAAGAAACTCTGATACATAACAGAAGGCATATGTATATGTATTAGAGATGGGTTTCACCATGTGCCAAGAAACTCTGATATATAACAGAAAGCCTATATATGTATATATATATGAGATTGGGTTTCACTGTATGTGTGTGTGTGTGTGTGTATATATGTATGCAGTGTCTGGAAGTCAGGTGTTCAGCATATTTGGAGATTTGGAGGGGTGACCAGACAGGAAAGAAAAAAAATAAGTTTCGAGAAATGTGTTTGAAGAAGTAAGTGGTGGTCAGTGGTGTCTAATTCAACTTCTGAGAGTCTGTCAGGATGAGAAGCTGAGGCAGGAAGGGAGGTAGGCACCATGTCCGGCCATGAAGTTGGCAAGAATCCCCTGAAACAGGCCAGGGAGATGAATGAAGAAGATAAGGCTTTGAGGCAAAAACGATGTCCACATCTACACAGTATTTAGCTCCCATTTATGCCAAGACCAGCTTGGTTGGGGAGACCCTAAGCCAGCGGCGCTAGAGGAATTAAAGACACACACACAGAAATGTAGAGGTGTGGAGTGGGAAATCAGGGGTCTCACAGCCTTCAGAGCTGAGAGCCTTGAACAGAGGTTTACCCACGTATTTACTAACAGCAAGCCAGTGATAAGCATCGTTTCTATAGATTATAGATTAACTAAAAGTATCCCTTATGGGAAACGAAGGGATGGGCCGAAATAAAGGGGTGGGTCTGGCTAGTTATCTGCAGCAGGAGCATGTCCTTAAGGCACAGATGGCTCATGCTATTGTTTGTGGTTTAAGAACGCCTTTAAACGGTTTTCTGCCCTTAAAGAACACCTGGTGGGCCAGGTGTTCCTTGCCCTCACTCCAGTAAAACCACAACCTTCCAGCATGGGCGTCATGGCCATCATGAATATGTCACAGTGCTGCAGAGATTCTGGCTAGTTTTGGGGCCAGTTTATGGCCAGACTTTGGGGGGGCCTGTTCCCAACACATTTATAAGTGAGAGCATGCAGTATTTCACTTTCTGTTTATGAGTTGTTTCACTTAAAGGTAATGGTCTCCAGCTTCACCCATGTTCCTGCAAAAGACATGATTTCATTTTATTTATTTATTTATTTTTTGAGACAGAGTCTCATTTTGTTGCCCAGGCTGGAGTGCAGTGATGTGGTCATAGCTCACTGCAGCCTCAAACTCCTGGGCTCAAGTGATCCTCCTGCCTCAGCCTCCTGTGTAGCTAGGGCTACAAGAGCGAGCCACTGGGGCTGGCTAATTTTTAAAATTAATTAATTACTTGCTGTGTTGCCCATGCTGGAGTGCAGAGGTGTGATCACAGCTCCCTGCAGCCTTGACCTGCTAGTCTCAAGGAATCCTCCCACCTCAGCCTTCTAGGTGGCTGGTACTACAGGGGTGCACCACCATGCCTAGCTAATTTTTGTGTGTGTGTATATATATATAAAATATACATATATAACATATATTTATATTTATATATATTATATATTTATATTTATATATTATATATAAATATATATTTATATTTATATATATTTATATATATATGTTTTTGTAGAGACAGGGTCTTGCTATGTTGCCCAGGCTGGTTTAGAACTCCTGAGCTCAGGCGATCTGCCTACCTTGGCCTCCCAAAGTGTTGGAATTACAGTTGCGAGACACTGCACCCAGCCTAAATTTATTTTTGTCTTATATTTCTATTTAATATTTGAGGTTGAATATGATGAATAGAAATACAAGCGAAGTAAATAATTTTAAATAATAAAGGCGGGGCATGGTGGCTCATGCCTGTAATCCAGCACTTTGGGAGGCCAAGGTGGTGGATCACTTGAGGCCAGAAGTTTGAGACTAGCCTGGCCAACATGGTGAAATCTTGTCTCTATCAAAAATATGAAAAGTGAGCTGGGCATGGTGGCACGTGCTTGTAGTCCCAGCTACTCAGGAGGTTGAGGCATGAGAATCGCTTGAACCCAGGAGGCGGAGATTGCAGCGAGCCAAGATGGCACCACCACACTCCAGCCTGGGTGACAGAGCCAGATTCTGTCTCCAAAAAGAAAGAATAAATGTGTAAAAAAGAATATTTAATATTATATACATTTATAAATAAACATGTTATTTATATTTTATATTATATATATTTTATTTTATTTTTAACTTTTATTTTTCCAATATATACACTTTTTAAAAATATGCCACTGGCCCTTGAGAAAAAATTTATTTGCACTGCTAGCATTCTTCTACTGCAGTATTAGCATTTCATATAGGCACTACTCTTCCATTTCCTACTTACATTCATTTGGGCTATTGTTACAAATACAGTATGCAATTGAAGAAAACTAATGGGGGGCCCAGTGTGGTGGCTCACACCTGTAATCCCAGCACTTCTGGAGGCCGAGGTGGGCGATCACCTGAGGTCAGGAGTTGGAGACCAGCCTGGCCGATATGGTGAAACTTCTTCTCTAAAAGTACAAAACTTAGCTGGGCATGATGGTGTGCACCTGTAGTCCCAGCTACTTGGGAAGCTAAGGCACAAGAATTGCTTGAACCTGAGAGGCAGAGGCTGGAGTGAGCCGAAATTGAGCCACTGCACTCCAGCCTGGGTGACAGAGCGAGACCCTGTCTCAAAACAAACAAACAAACAAACAAACCAAACACCAAACAAAAAAACCCAAAAAACAAACTAGTGGGGAAACGAAGCTTTATATATGTTTTTCCTCTTTACAGCTTCTCAATATCATGCCATTTAAGTGAAAATTTATATGGACATTTTCTGTACATATCTTGAAGGGCAGAGATTACACTGATAAAACCAAAATAATTGTGCAAGGCTGGGTGCAGTGGCTCATGCCTGTTATCCCAACACTTTGGGAGGCTGAGGTGGGTGGATTACCTGAGGTCAGGAGTTTGAGACCAGCCTGGGCACCATGGCGAAACCCTGTCTCTACAAAAAATATAAAAATTAGCCAGGCGTTGGTGGTGCACACCTGTAATCCCAGCTACTCAGAGGCTGAGGCAGGAGAATTGCTTGAATCCAGGAGGCAGAGGTTGCAGTGAGCCAAGATCGTGCCACTGCACTCCAGCCTGGTCAACAGAGTGAGACCCTGTCTCAAAAAAAAAAAAAAAAAAAAAAAAAAAAAAAAAATCCCAAAGCATTTAATTTGACCAAAAACCTCTGTAAATAGAAATACTCAGAATGTTCTTTAGTTAGCTCTCTCTCAAATATCAAGGGTGCACTGAGTTCAGGGCAGAAATCACGTGTGAATTAGTTCCAATGGTATACAAACACATGGAAACACTAAATTAAAAGCTGCCTTCCTCAAAGTGTAGTGAGGCCTCAAAACCACTCTAACTGTAACCTCAGTCACCAAGACAGAGGACAGACTGAACATTTACCTCTGCATAACAAATGTGGCTCTGGCACACCTGTTATCTATCCAAATTATTAACTTTCTTTGCCTTTCTAGAAAAAGGCCTATTATTGAACATTAACCATATTCTAATTTTAAATGTAATTCATTTCTTAAAAAAAACCACTGTCTCTGAACAGATAAAAATGGCTTACATAGGCCAGGTGCAGTGGCTCACACCTGTAATCCCAGCACTTTGGGAGGCCAAGGTGGGTGGATTGCCTGAGCTGAGGAGTTCGAGACCAGCCTGGGCAACACAGTGAAACCCCATCTCTACTAAAATACGAAAAGCTGGGCATGGCCGCGTGTGCCTGTAATCCCAGCTATTCGGGAGGCTGAGGCAGGAGAATCACTTGAATCTGGGAGGTGGAGGTTGCAGTGAGCCAAGATTGTGCCACTGCACTCCAGCCCAGGCGACAGAGCAAGACTCCCTCTCAAAAAGAAAAAAAAAAAAAAAGGCTTACGTAATACTGTTACAGAATCTTTAGGGTGTCACATTTCTGGTCGGAAATATCTGTGTCCCCTGGCACCTTTGCCAGAGTTCTTGTCTTGTGTCCAGGAAGAATGAGTTACACAGGGAAGTGGAGGGTGAACAGGATGAAGAGGAGTTTTATTGAGTGTTAGAACAGCTCAGAGAAGACCAAAGTGGGCAGCTCCTCTCTGTAGACAGTTCATTCCATTGAGTGCTCAGCTCTCAGCAGAGAGGAGACCCCAGAGAGGGTAGTTCCTCTCTGGTCCTCCTGATGGCTGCAGGTCTCAGCAGAGAGGAGGCCTTGGAGAGGGTGGCTTCTCTCTGCCCAGCAGGTCATCCCATCCTCACTGCAGCTTTCAGCAGAGAGTGTAGCTCCTTTCTGCAGCTGGTCGTCAGGTCATCTCCAGCTATTAGCACAGAGAGTGGCTTCTCTCTGCAGCTGGTCATCTGGACGTCTCTCTTTTTCTCTGCCCTGCTCTGGCTGAGCCTGGGGCTTTTATGGACCTCAGAGGGGATGCAGTGTGTGCCGACTGGTCCATTAACAGCCATGCATGGGCCTGGAAAAGGCATCACAAGTCCCCACTCTGGTCCACAGGTCTGGTGGCCCTCAGCCTTCAGGCCCTCCCTGGCCTGAAGGTGGGGTCTTAGCGAGGACTTGCTCCCTTCTGCCAGGAATCAGTCTGCCTCCTGCTGCCGTTCATGGCCCCAGGTTGGACCCTGACTTTGCTCCAAGATCAGAGCAGGCGCTGAGAGCAGGGAGAAACCAGGCAGTGGGAGCAGGTGCTTTGGAGCCTGCAAGGGCAGGGGGGCCTCCCTGGCCCCCCAAGAGCACAGGGAGGCTTGAATCTGCGGCCACAACTTGGGCGGCTGCAGAGGCCCAGGATGCAGCTTCAGGTGCTCCCCCTTGCAAGCTGGGGCGGGGATTCCTGATCCTTGCCGGGCCTGGGCTGGCGCCCAGGGCAGGGGCAATATCACCACGAACTGCCCCTGTTGCCCCGGCACTCAGGGGCAGCCTGTGGGGAGCTGATCCTGGCCCCAGCCTGGCCACGGGGAGTGGCAGGCTTGGTGGTCGCTCTGATGCGGGGTGGACCCCAAGAACACGGCTGGCAAGCCCTGCACAGAGCCTCCTCCTGATGCCTAGGAACCCTGAACCCTCTGCGGGGTGGGTGCAGTGGCTGCGCGGCTGGCTAGTCCCCAAAGAGGGCGCTGCTCCCTCTTCCTGCCCCCGCCCCCAAAGCACGGCCCCAGCTCCACATCCGGGCCCCTCTCTGCCCGACCGCGCTGCTCCAGCAGGGCGTGGGCTCCAGAGGGCTGTGGGCTGCGTGGCCGGGGAGCTGTCAGCCTCCTCCCTGGGCCCTCCCTGCAGCAGCCATGTGATGGCAGCAGCCAGACAGCCCACCACAGCCATCAATACCACACGAATTTTCACAATAAGCTGGACAAACTTTCCCTGGTGGAAAAATTAGTCTGTGGCCGGGTGTGGCTGGCCCTGGCTCTCCCAGGAGGTTTTCATGACGTAACCTGCCAATTTGATAAATCTCTGCCTCATAGAGTCACAAACGTTCTTCTCTAGATGAGAAGTTCTCCATGATTCCATAAATATAAATTTTAAAAAATTTAACCTGGGGCCGGGCGCGGTGGCTCATGCCTGTAATCCCAGCACTTTGGGAGGCGGAGGTGGGTGGATCACCTGAGGTCAGGAGTTCAAGACCAGCCTGGCCAACATGGTGAAACCCTTGTCTCTACTAAGAATACAAAAATTAGCTGGGCGTGGTGGTGTGTGCCTGTAATTCCAGCTACCCAGGAGGCTGAGGCAGGAGAATCGCTGGAACCTGGGATGCGGAGGTTGCAGTGAGCCAAGATCACGCCACTGCACTCCAGCCTGGGTGACAGAGCAAGACCCCGTCTCAAAAAACAAAACAAAACAAAACAAAAAAAACAAAAACTAACTTTAAGTTCAGGGGTACATGTGCAGGTTTGTTATATGGGTAAACCTGTGTCATGCGGGTTTGTTTTACAGGTTATTTCACCCAGGTGCTAAGCCTAGTATCCATTAGCTATTTTTCCTGATCCTCTTCCTCCCCCAACCCTCCACCGTCTGATAGGCCCCAGTGTGTGTTGTTCTCCTCTATGTGTCCATGTGTTCTTATCATTTAGCTCCCACTTATAAGTGAGAACATGCAGTATTTGTTTTTCTGATCCTGCGTTAGTTTTCTAGGGATAATGGCCTCTAGCTCCATCCATGTTCCTGCAAATGACATGATCTCGTTCTTTTTTATGGTGCATAGTATTCCGTGGTGTATATGTACCATATTTTCTTTATCCATTCTACCATTGATGGCCATTTAGGTTGGTTCCACGTCTTTGCTATTGAGAATATGCTGCAATGAATATATGCATGCACGTGTCTTTATAATAGAATGATTTATATTCCTTTGGGTTTACACCTAGCAGTGGGATTGCTGGACTGAATGGTAGTTCTGTGTTTAGGTCTTTGAGGAATCCTCACACTGTTTTCCACAATAGTGGAGCTAATTTACATTCCCACCAACAGTGTAAAAGCGTTCCTTTTCTTAGAAGACAATACCTTTTTTTGTTGTTGTTGTTGTTGAGACGGAGTCTCCCTCTGTTGCCCAGGCTGGAGTGCAGTGGTGTCATCCCAGCTCACTGTAACCTCCATCTCCCGGGTTCAAGCAATTCTCCTGTCTCAGCCTCCCAAGCAGCTGGGATTACAGGCTTGCATCACCACGCCCAGCTAATTTTTGTATTTTTAGTAGAGATGGGGTTTCACCCTGTTGGCCACGCTGGTCTCGAACTCCTGACCTCAAGTGATCCACCCACCTCAGCCTCCCAAAGTGTCAGGATTACAGGCGTGAGCCACCGTGCCCAGGCAAGAAGGGAATATCTTAATGACAACTTCTCCCCGCCGCTTTCCTCGCCAAAATTCTTCACATTCACCTTTGCCAGTGTTCCTGTAACAACAATAGTTTTCACAATTGTTCTCTGAACAAGCAATGGTAGACCTGATCCAGAGCCTGATATTGTCATATCATAAATTAAATCTTTTAATGTAGTTCCCTCTGAAATAAAAGGATAATCTTTTTTTTTTTTTTTTTGAGACGGAGTCTTGCTCTGTCGTCCAGGCTGGAGTGCGGTGGCGCGATCTCGGCTCACTGCAGGCTCCGCCCCCCCAGGGTTCACACCATTCTCCTGCCTCAGCCTCCCGAATAGCTGGGACTACAGGCGCCCGCCACCACGCCCGGCTAATTTTTTTGTATTTTTAGTAGAGACGGGGTTTCACTGTGTTAGCCAGGATGGTCTCGATCTCCTGACCTCATGATCCGCCCGCCTTGGCCTCCCAAAGTGCTGGGATTACAGGCGTGAGCCACCGTGCCTGGCCTAATAAAAGGATAATCTAATGAAGGGTCCTCTTTATTTGACACTTGATGGTGAGTGACAGTGCGGTTGTGGCAGAAACAGATCATTAACATGAGTGAGATGCAGAGGAGGCAATGACAGCTGCCAGTTCTATGAGACCTGGGCCAGGCGACGGCTTCATAGTAGTTGAGTGTTTTATTTTATTGCAATGGTCCTGATTGCAGCAACATATTGTGGTCACAGACCCGGTTTATTTATTTATGTTTTTTATCTTAAACAATTTTTTTTTGAGGCAGTCTCACTGTGTTGCCCAGGCTGGAGTGCAGTGACACGATCTCAGTTCACTGCAACCTCTGCCTCCCAGGTTCAAGTGATTCTCCTGCCTCAGTCTCCCGAGTAGCTGGGTCTACAGGTGTCCGCCATCATGCCTGGCTAACTTTTGTATTTTTAGTAGAGATGGGGTTTCACCATGTTGGCCAGGTTGGTCTCGAACTCCTGGCCTCAAGTAATCTGCCCACCTGGGCCTCCCAAAGTGCTGGGATTACAGGTGTGAGCCACCACACCCAACGAGACAATAGATTCTTGTAAACTATAGACACCCAATTGAGCTAACAAACTCTAGGTCTTACTTCTTTTATCAAACTGTGTATTTGTACCCATTAATCAGCTTCTCTTCATTCTCCCCCTCAAGAATAAACTTTTGTAAAAAAGAATCATGGAGAAGCTCATTCTCTCTTCAGTTGCTTTTGCTCAGCCATTTCTACCTTAGCTATGAGTTAAAAGTAAACCCAGCCTGGGCAAGGTGGCTCATGCCTGTAATCCCAGCACTTTGGGAGGCTGAGGCGGGCAGATCACTTGAGGTCAGGAGCTCGAGACCAGCCTGTCCAATATGGTGAAACCTCATTTCTACTAAAAATACAAAAAATTAGCCAGGCTTGGTGGCAGGTGCCTGTAATCCTAGCTACTTGGGAGGCTGAGGCAGGAGAATCACTTGAACCTGGGAGGTGGAGGTTGCAGTGAGCCGAGATTGCATCACTCCACTCCAGCCTGGGTGACAGACTGAGACTCTGTCTCAAACAAAACAAAACAAAAGTAAACCCAGCCTGGTAAATCCGGGCAGACTCTGTGGCTCAGTTTTTGTTCTTCTCTAAAATTTGGTCTCATGTGGAACCCACACATTCCCACACATTAAAAAAAAATTAAAAGATAACTGAAAACATTTACTGGAGTTTGAACCATGGGAGTCACAGGGTGATTTTACAAGGGCTATTTTTAATCATGGGAGTGAATCTAGCGGCATGAGTGGCTTGAGAAATTAGTGACAAGGGAAGAATTTAAGATAGCCTATAGAATGAGCTTCTTTTAGAAGACTGTTTTAGGGAAATAACTTCAAATGTAAAGCAAAGTAGGCCGGGCATGGTGGCGCATGCCTGTCATGTCAGCACTTTGGAAGGCTGAGGTGGGAGGGCTGCGTGAGCCCAGGATAGAGACTGCACCTCAGCCTGGCAACAGAGACAGACTCTGTCTCAAAACAAAACAAAAAGGAAGGTTACATGAATGAAAAGTGTACAAGGAATACCCATTGTGTCTTTCACCCAGATTCCCCAGTTAATATTCGGGCCTGCTTGCGTTATCATTTGCTCTCCTCATCTCTCTCTCTCTCTTTCTCTGTCTCTTTCCCTTTCTGTCCCTATCTCTGTCTCTCTATATCTCTCTATCTTTCTATCTCTATCTCTTTGAAATTTGTTTAAATTTTGTTTTTTATTTTCTCTATTTTTGTTATTTTTTCTTCCTTTTTTCTCTCTATCTCTTTATCTCTATGTATTTCTCTATTTCAATCTCTCGATCTCTTCATCTCTGTCTCTGTCTCTCTCCATCTCTATCTCTCTATCTCTATCTGTTTCTCTACCTATCTATTTCTGTCTCTATCTCATCTCTATCTTTCTATCTCTACCTATCTTTCTATCTCTATCCCTCCATCTCTATCTCTTTCTATCTCTCTGTATCTCTCTTTGTATCTCAATCTCTCTATCTCAATCTCTGTCTGTATCTCTCTATTTCTGTATCTCCATCTCTATCTATCTGTATCTCTCTCTCTATGTCTATCTGTCCATCTGTATCTCTATCTCTATATCTCCATCTCTATCTATCTCTGTCTTTTTCTTCACGTCTCTACCTCTGTCTCTTTATTTCAATCTATCTCTTGATCTCTCTATATCTCTGTATCCCCTATTTCTCTATCTTTCTTTCTCTACTTCTCTATCTCTAGCTCTCCGTCTCTCAATCTCTCCCTATCTCTTCCTCTGTCTCCCGATTTCCCCTCTCGTCTCCCTTGTGGGTATGATTTAGAAGTTTCATTTATGATGAATCTGACAAGATCGAGGTTAAGAAACAAAGCCAGAGGAAACCACAGGCTCAGAGGCCAGGGAAGTTCTGGGAAATTCCCCATGCAGTGTGAGAGGATTTGAGAAACAGGAGGGAGTCTTGGGGCATTTGTGAAGGCGATTTCTTAGAAAGAAACACAGGACTAGTCGGGTGAGCTTTGCTCCGTCCTTTGGCCCATGTTTTAAGCAGATCAAATGGTATCATTAGCCCTTGGGGGTATAAAATATCAACTAATCAGCAGTCCTCTTTTCTTTTTTTAAACATTTTTATTATTTTTTTTTAACATAGAGTCTCACTGTGTCACCCAGGCTGGAGTGCAGTGGCGTGATCATGGCTCACTGCAGCCTCGACCTCCTTCCTAGGCTGAAGCAATCCTCCCACTTCAGCCTCCCAAGTAGCGTGACTAAAAGCACACACCACCATGCCCAACTAATTTTTTTGTTTTTTTAACTTTTTGGTAGAGACAGGGGCCTCTCCATGTTGGCCAGCCTGGTCTCAAACTCCTGGGGTCAAGCAATCCTCCCACGTTAGCCTCCCAAAATGTTGGGATTACAGGTGTGAGCCACTGCACCAGCTATGCCCACATTTTTCTAGGTCAATGATACGGAATAAAAAGAAAGAAAGACTAGTTTCTGCTCTCAAGCAGTTTATATTTTAGAGTCAAATCTAGCAGGTGAAATCTAGTCCATGGCCTGTTTTTTTTTTCTGAGACATGCTCTCACTGTGTCACCCAGGCTGGAGTGCAGTGGCACCATCATGGGTCACTGCAGCCTCGACCTCCCAGACTCAAGCAATCCTCCTGCCTGAGCTCCCCAAGTAGCTGGGACTACAGGCATGTGTCACCACGCCCGGCTAGTTTTTTATTTTTATTTTTGTAGAGATGGGATCTTGCCATGTTGCCCAGGCTGGTCTCGAACTCCTGAGCTCAAGCGATCCACCTGCCTTGGTTTCCCAAGGTGCTGGGATTACAGGCGTGGGCCACTGTGCCCGGCCTCCTTGCCTGTTTTTGTAAGTGAAGTTTGATTGGAATGCAGCCATGATCATTTGTTTATGTAATGTCTATAATTGCCTTCATGCTGCAATAGCAGAGTTCAGTAGCTGCAACAGACTGTGTAACCCCTGTGGATATGCACATATAGGGGGTTAGAGAAGGGAAGAGAGAGAGAGATTTTAAGAAATTTCCTCTCATGGCCGCGCCCGGTGGCTCACGCCTGTAATCCCAGAACTTTAGGAGGCCGAGGCGGGCGGATCATGAGGTCAGGAGATCGAGACCATCCTGGCTAACACAGTGAAACCCCGTCTCTACTAAAAATACAAAAAAAAAAAAAAAAAAAAAAAAAAAGAAAAGAAAAAAAGAAAAAAAAAAGAAAAAAAAAGGAATTGTCTCACATGATTGATGGGACTGGCAAGTCTGAAATCTGCAGGGCAGGCTGGACACCCCGGGGAGAGTTGTTGAATCTGAAGTCAGAGACTAGAGGCAGGACTCCTTCTCCCTGTGGAGGATTTCAGTCTTTTTCTCTTAAAGCCATCAACTGATTGGTTGAGGCCCACCCACATTATGGAGGATCTCCCAGGGACTTTACCCAAAGTCTGCTGATTTAAATGTTAGTCCCTAAGCCAGGCGCTGTGGCTGTAATCCCAGCACTTTGGGAGGTCGAGGCAGGTGGATCCCCTGAGGTCAGGAGTTTGAGACCAGCCTGGGCAACATGGTGAAACCCCATCTCTACTAAAAATACAAAAATTAGCCAGGTGCAGTGGCGCATGCCTGTAATCCCAGCTACTCAGGAGGCTGAGGCAGGAGAATCTTTTGAACCCAGGAGGCGGAGGTTGCAGTGAGCTGAGATCTTTCGGCCTCCCAAAGTGCAGGGATTACAGGTGTGAGCCACTGTGCCCAGCCTTGTATCCTAACTGCTATATCTCTTCCCTTCTTTGTGTACCAAGGTAGTTCTGATATTCCAACTTCATTTGGTGTAGGTCACTTTCTGGTCCATGATTGAAGCAACATGCCAAACTGTTAGAGCTCTTAAAATTTTTAAAAATTATTTATTTATTTTAATGGATACCCTGGTACCCAGTTATCTCCATAATATTTAGGTTTCCAGATTCAGTGGCAGTATTTTCACTGTAATTTCTGAACTAATTTATTTATTTATTTTTGAGACATAATCTCTCTCTGTTGCCCAGGCTGGAGTGTAGCAGTGTGATCTCAGCTCACTGCAACCTCTGCCTCCCAGGTTCAAGTGATCCTCCTGCCTCAGCCTCCCAAGTAGCTGGGATCACAGGCGCACGCCACCACATCCAGCTAATTTTTGTATTTTTTTGTAGAGATGGGGTTTGACCATGTTGGCCAGGCTGGTCTTGAACTCCTGGCCTCAAGTGATCCACCCATCTCGGCCTCCCAAAGTGCTGGGATTACAGGCATGAGCCACTGCACCTGGCCGAATTTTTGCATTTTTAGTAGAGATGGGTTTCACCAGGTTGCCCAGGCTGATCTCAAACTCCTGGCCTCAAGTGATCCACCCGCCTCGGCCCCTCAAAGTGCAGGGATTCCAGGTGTGAGCCACCATACCTGGCATTTATCTTGTTTTTAATATAGGATGGTAATGCCTTCTTTAGATCATGTATGTTAAATATGCTTTAGAAACAAAAATTTCCTTGATATTTTGACAAACCTACGCTTCCTTAGGTTAATTTTCATAAGTGTTAATTTTTATATTACTAATCACTGTACTGCTATAGCTAAATCAACTAGATATCAGTTTGTGTAGTGTTGCTCAAAAGATGTACAAATAGCAAGTTTGATAATTGCTTCAAAAATGAGCTTTTTAAAATAAAGAAAGCAATAATGTTCCAAGTCAGTGGCAGGGGGCAAAATACATACAACAAACATATTGAGACAGAGTATCAAGTGCCCATCAGTTTCTCTTATAAGAATAACATGCTTGAGGAAGGTCTTGAGAAAATCCTCCCTCCCTCTACTAAACTTTTAGTTTCCACATAGTGTCGGATGTTACAATTGGTATGAAGGATAAATGCTTTTAGGCAAAAGTAAAAAGCTATCTACAGGCTGGGCGCGGTGGCTCAAGCCTGTAATCCCAGCACTTTGGGAGGCCGAGGCGGGCGGATCACGAGGTCAGGAGATCCAGACCATCCTGGATAACACAGTGAAACCCCGTCTCTACTAAAAATACAAAAAAATAGCCGGGCGTGGTGGCGGGCGCCTGTAGTCACAGCTACTCCGGAGGCTGAGGCAGGAGAATGGTGTGAACACGGGAGGTGGAGTTTGCAGTGAGCCGAGATCGCGCCACTGCACTCCAGCCTGGGTGACAGAGTGAGACTCTGTCTCAAAAAAAAAAAAAAAAAAAAAAAAAGCTATCTACAAAGCAAAATCCATAGTGACTTTTTGTAGGAGGCTCTCATCTCTGGTGGTAATATTCTTTAGTACTTATACAGCATAGAGGAAATTGAAACAATATTTTGGATACAGTAGCAATTATTTCTTATAGTCTTACTAAATGTTACAAAATTCCTAAATATATGTAAATATTCTTCTTACCACCCATTATGCACCAGTTTGGGGCTGCCTGATGAAGTGGCTACTGTTTTTGTTTTTTCTCTTTTTTGACAGGGTCGTCCAGGCTGCAGTGCAATGGCAGGATCATGGTTCACTGCAGCCTGAACCTCTTTGGCTCAAGCAGTCCTCCCACTTCAGCCTCCTGAGTAGCTGGGACTACAGGCGGGTGCCACGTGTGGCTCATTTTTGTATTTTTTTTGTAGATATGGGGTTTCGCCATGTTTTCCAGGCTGGTCTCAAAGTCAGAGGCTCAAGTGATATGCCTGCCTCAGCGTCCCAAAGTGCTGGGATTATAGGCGTGAGCCACTGCACCCAGCCATGGCTACTATTTTAACAGTTAAACATTGCACCTAGGCCAGGCACGGTGGCTCATGCCTGTAATCCCAGCACTTTGGGAGGCCAACGTGGGCTGATCACCTGAGGTCAGGAGTTCGAGGCCAGCCTGGCCAACGTGGTGAAACCCCGTCTCTACTAAAAATACAAAAATTAGCTGGGGAAGGTGGCAGGTGCCTGTAATCCCAGCTACTTGGGAAGCTGAGGCAGGAGAATCGCTTGAACCTGGGAGGCAGAGGTTGCAGTGAGCCAAGATCGTGCCACTGCACTCCAGCCTGGGTGACACAGTGAGACTCTGTCTAAAAAAAAAAAAAAAAAAGGAAAAACAAAACAAAAACAAAAATTGCACCTCAAAAGTTCTGCCATCCATGCACAAGAAACGGGCACAATAGTGAGGACTCCTCAGAGATGGCAAACTACTTCCCAAGTGAAAAGTTAGTGATAGAGTGTCTCCAAATTAGAGGAGAGAGGGACATGGGTAAGGGAGGTAGGTAGAGCAAAAGGACTTTAAAATAATACTGCTTAGGAGTGTGTATGCGTGTGCATATATATGCCATCACACCCACCTAATTGTTAAAAATTTTTGTAGAAATGAGGTCTCACTATGTTGCCCAGGCTGGTCTTGAACACCTGGGCTCAAACACTCCTCCCATCTCAGCTTCCCAAAGTGCTGGGATTACAGGTGTGAGCCGCTGTTTCCAGCCAGGAGTGTTTTTTTTTAAAATTTATTTAATTAATGCATTTGTTTATTTATTTAGAGACAGGGTCTCACTCTGTCTCCCAGGCCGGAGTGCAGTGGCATGATCTTGCCTCACTGCAACCTCTGCCTCCCAGATTCAAGAGATTCTCATGCCTCAGCCTCCCAAGTAGCTGGGACTACAGGCATGTGCCACCACGCCTGGCTAGTTTTTGTGTTTTTAGTGGAGACAGGGTTTTGCCATGTTTGGCCAGGGTGGTCTCGAACTCCTGACCTCAGTTGATCTGCCTGTCTTGGCCTCCCAAAGTCCTGGGATTATAGGCATGAGCCATTGCACCCTCCAGTAGTGTTTTTTTGTTTGTTTCTTTTTTCTTTTCTTTTCTTTTTCTTCTTTTTCTTTTTTTTTTTTGTTTTTGTTTTTTTGAGATGGAGTCTTGGTTTATCGCCCGGGTTGGAGTGCAGTGGCATGATCTTGGCTCACTGCAACTTCTGCCTCCTGGGTTCAAGCGATCCTCCTGCCTCAGCCTCCCAAGTAGCTGGGATGTAGACGTGTGCCACCACACCCTGCTAATTTTTGTATTTTTACTAGAAATGGGGTTTTACCATGTTGCCCAGGCTGCTCTTGAACTCCTGACCTCAGGTGATCCACCTGTCTTGGCCTCCCAAGGAATTACAGGCATGAGCCATCACACCTAGCCAGGAGTGTTTATTTTTAAGATAACTTCTATACCTTGTCTGTCCTTGATCCTAATCCTTGAATAACTCATGTTCGTGCTAAATACAATTTCTACTCTAAAGGAAGAGGAGTGGTCTGTTAGGAGAAGCATATTTTAAGGAGAAGACACGAAGACATCTCTGTCATAAATGCAAGTTTACTTGGTGAGTCTTTTGGTTACATTACTACATTAACTGTTTCTGCTGCTATTTCAATCTCTTTATCATTGGGACAGGTATTGTTGAACATATCCCTACTACTTGTATTCGTTAGGTATCTCCAGATGCCAGTCATTCCTTTTTTTTCTATATTTTTTTATTTTCTATATTTATTTATTTATTTTTGAGATGGAGTCTCGCTTTATTACCCAGGCTGGAGTGCAGTGGTATGATCTCGGCTCACTGCAACCTCCGCCTCCCGGGTTCAAGGTATTCTCCTGCCTCACCCTCCCAAGTAGCTGGGATTACAGGCACCCATCACCAAGCCTGGCTAATTTTTGTATTTTTAGTAGAAATGGGTTTCACCATGTTGGCCAGGCTGGTCTAGAACTCCTGACATCAAGTGATCCACCCACCTTGGCCTCCCAAAGTACTGGGATTACAAGCATGAACACCGTGCCTGGCCAGTCATTCCTTTTGGAATATCAAAGTTGTGACTTTTTTTTTGACAATATGCAGTTTGGGCAGCAGATGGCAATCAGCTAATGCCATTTTATTGCCATTCAGAAATTTATGTGTAGAAAACTTAGTGTCCTGCATGCTATTTTCATCAATTTCATCAGGGAGAGGAGAATTCAGATATTCATAAGTTTTTGCAGTTTTTTTTTTAACTTTTATTTTAGCTACCAGGGTACATGTGCAGGATGTGCAGGTTTGCTACATAGGTAAATGTGTGCCATGGTGATTTGCTGCGGAGATCAACCCATCACCTAGGTATTAAGCCCAGCATTCATTAGCTATTCTTCCTGATGCTCTTCCTCTCCTTGCCCCACTGACAGGCCCCACTGTGTGTTGTTCTCCTCCCTGTGTCCATTGTTCAGCTCATAGTTATAAATGAGAACATGCGACATTTGATTTTCTGTTCCTGTGTTAGTTTGCTGAGAATAACTGCTCCAGCTCCATCCATGTCCCTGCAAAAGACATGATCTTGTTCCTTTTTATGGTTGCATAGTATTCCATGGTGTATATGTACCACATTTTCTTCATCCAGTCTATCATTGGTGGACATTTGGGTTGATTCCATGTCTTTGCTATTGTGAGTAGTGCTGTAGTGATCATATGCGTGCATGTATCTTTATAACAGAATGATGAATATTCCTTTGGGTATATGCCCACTAATGGGATTGCTAGGTCAAATGTTTTTCCTGCTTCTAGATCTTTGAGGAATCACCACACTGTCTTCCACAATGGTTGAACTAATTTACACTACCACCAACAGTGTAAAAGCGTTTCTTTTTCTCTGCAACCTCACCAGCATCTGTTGTTTCTTGACTTTTTAATAATCACCATTTTCTGCAGGGTTTTTAAGAGATGCTTCACTCATGCTTCATTAACCTCTGGCCTTGAATTCTTGATCTATGCAGAGAATTTGGCAAAGATGTCCATTCCAGCAGTATTTGATTCTGGGTGTTTTGGTGAAAGCTTTAAGTACTTGGGAGGACATAAGACTTCTTCAGGAGCTTCCTCAATCTTATTTGACTTCACTGTTGAAAGTTATAAGTGGTGGGTGGTTCCCAGGAGCCTTGTTTTGCAGATCTGCAGGTTTCCTTTTTCAGATCAACAGTTGTGACACTGAAGACAACTCCTTTGAGCTAAAGAATCATGAGGAATCTCTGGGAAAAAAGGCAGATTCCTGTGCTTTCACCATCACTGACAGCCTTGACCCAGAGCTCAAGGAGGGGCTCTTTGTCTTCCTCCTTCAACTTGTTCAGTGGCATCGACAATGCCAAGGCCAGGTCAGCTGGGCTTTGCAAACGTTGGCAGCTGCTGCTTCTGCTCCAAGGCTGCTCTGGCTGATGGCTTTGGCCATGCTGCTCACTGGACAGTCTGGCATTGAGGTGGCCATGGCCTCAGCTCCTCAGCACTGCACCACACTGCAGATTGAGCCACTTCTTCAATTGGCCTTAAATTTATCAAAGGGAAATTGTCTAGGTGAGCCTGAGTTAATCACACAAACTCTATAAATCTGAATGTAGAAGTCAAATATCAAGAAAGTCAGAAGCCAGAGAGATTCAGACCTTGAGAAGGATTTGACCTGTCGTTGCTGGCTTTAAAGGTGGTAAGGACCACATGAAAAAAACCCAAGAACATCTTCTAGGAGCAGAGTGATCCCTGGCTAACAATGAGCTAAAAAAACAGGGGCCTCAGTTCTACACTGCAAGGAACTGAATTCTGCCAACAACACTAATGAGTTTGAACACAATTCTTCCCCAGACTCCAGATGAAAACACAGCTTGGTCAACTCCTTGATTGTATAACCCTGAGAATAGAACCCATATAAATCTTGCCCAGATTCCTGATGAAGACACCATGAAAATAATGAATGAGTGTTGTTTCAAGCCACTAAGTTTGTGATGATTTGTTACACGGCAGTAGCTAACTAATACAGAGTTATGTGGCCAACCTGTTGATTGGGATCAACAGTCTTATTTTGCAAAGATACTTCAGAACCATGGACAGTGGAACGCATGCCAGGGGAGAGCTGATTGGCTGGATTAGTTACCATCCAAACTGGAGTGATCCTATTGGACAATCTTTGACCTAGCCACTGATCCCTGGTCCAGTCAGATTTTGTTAGGGTCTACAGACTCAACTTCTCTGCCAACCATGAAGATGGTGCCTCAGGAGTCCTGTAAGGTCTTGAGTGAACAAGTCTCTGCCTAGTTCTTCAGAAGGATATTGCACCACCCTCTTCCTCATCTACATTAGCCTCCTTTGGCTTCTCCTTCCCACTTCCCAGCTATTGCCCAGTGATGTTCCTGCAGTCAGGAACTCCCTTCCTTTCTCTCTTTGATACTTTCTATCCTTTACCTAGCCAACTCTCATTTTTTTTTTTTTTTTTTTTTTGAGACAGAGTCTCTCTGTCACCCAGGCTGGAGTGCATTGGCATGCTCTTGGCTCACTGCAACCCCTGCCTCCCAGGTTCAAGCAATTCTTATGCCTCAGCCTCCCCAGAAACTGGGATTACAGGCGCACACCACCATACCAGGCTAACTTTTTTTTTCTTTTTCTTTTATTATTATACTTTAAGTTCTAGGGTACATGTGCACAATGTGCAGTTTTGTTACATATGTATACATGTGCCATGTTGGTGTGCTGCACCCATTAACTCGTCATTTACATTAGGTATATCTCCTAATGCTATCCCTACCCCCTCCCCCTATCCCACGACAGACCCTGGTGTGTGATGATCCCCTTCCTGTGTCTGAGTGTTTTCATTATTCAGTTCCCACCTATGAGTGAGAACATGTGGTGTTTGGTTTTCTGTCCTTGTGATAGTTTGCTCAGAATGATGGTTTCCAGCTTCATCCATGTCCCTACAAAGGACATGAACTCATTCTTTTTTATGGCTGCATAGTATTCCATGGTGTATATGTGCCACGTTTTCTTATCCAGTCTATCATTGATGGGCATTTGGGTTGGTTCCAAGTCTTTGCTATTGTGAATAGTGCCGCAATAAACATACATGTGCATGTGTCTTTGTAGCAGCATGATTTATAATCCTTTGGGTATATACCCAGTAATGGGATGGCTGAGTCAAATGGTATTTCTAGTTCTAGATCCTTGAGGAATCGCCACACTGTCTTCCACAATGGTTGAACTAGTTTACAGTCCCACCAACAGTGTAAAAGTGTTCCTATTTCTCCACATCCTCTCCAGCACCTGTTGTTTCCTGACTTTTTAATGATCGCCATCCTAACTGGTGTGAGATGGTATCCCATTGTGGTTTTGATTTGCATTTCTCTGATGGCCAGCGACGATGAGCATTTTTTCTTGTGTCTGTTGGCTGCATAAATGTCTTCTTTTGAGAAGTGTCTGTTCATATCCTTCACCCACTTTTTGATGAGGTTGTTTGATTTTTTCTTGTAAATTTGTTTAAGTTCTTTGTAGATTCTGGATATTAGCCCTTTGTCAGATGGGTGGATTGCAAAAATTTTCTCCCATTCTGTAGGTTGCCTGTTCACTCTGATGGTAGTTTCTTTTGCTGTGCGGTAATTTTTTTTTGTTGAGATGGAGTCTCACTCTGTCACCTGGGCTGGAGTGCAGTAGTGCAATCTTGGCTCACTGCAACTTCTGCCTCCTAGGTTCAGTGATTCTCCTGCCTTAGCCTCCCAAGTAACTGGGATTACAGGTGCCTGACACTACACTCAGCTAATTTTTTGTGTTTTTAGTAAAGATGGGGTTTCACCATGTTGGCCAGGAAGGTCTTGAACTCCTGACCTCAAGTGATCCTCCCACCTTGGACTCCTAATGTGCTGGGATTACAGGCATGAGCCACCATGCCTGGCCTGATATCTCTGAAATTTAAAAACTATTTAGAATCTCACTGGGACTTATGTGCTTTCATTGCTAATGATCTGCTGCTAAACCTGTATAAGCCCCTTCCCTCTAGGCTCAGGGACTGTCACATAAGAGGTGGGCATGTGAGATTGTAAGGGCCAAATTTGAGGGATAGAATTATTTCAGACCCTCCTACTCAAGCATGGGCACACAGATGCCCAAACATCTGCCAAAATAAGACTGTGTCTTGGCCTACTATGTTGCCTCTCTCCATCCATCCCAACCATAAAAAGTTTTGCTCTCCATAGAATTAAACAAAAATTACGGAAAGATATCCAGATACCTGGTGTATTAGTCTGTTTTCATGCTGCTGGTAAAGACAGACCCAATTCTGGGTAATTTATACAGGAAAAAGGATTTACAGTTCCACGTGTCTGGGGCAGCCTCACAATCATGAAGGAAGGCAAGAAGGAGCAAGTCACGTCTTACATGGATGGCAGCAGGCAAAAAGAGAGCTTGTACAGGGAAACCCTGTTTTTAAAACCATCAGATCTCATGAGACTTATTCACTATCATGAGAACAGCATGGGAAAGACCTGCCCCCATGATTCAATTGCCTCCCACCAGGTACCTCTCACAATGTGTGGGAATTCAAGATGAGATTTGGGTGGTGACACAGCCAAACAATATCACCTGGTGACAAAGCCTTCTGGATATAGTGCTCCCAGTAATAAAATGATGCCAATTATATAAACAATTTTATCAGCCACCTTAGGAGGAATTACTAAAAAGACTACAAAAAGCCTTGCAGCACATTGAAAGTCTCTAAATTCCTTAGCTTAAATGGTTTTAGGAAAATGCTTATGTTTTGTATAGCTAATTACTACAAGCGTGTAACTACAACCAAGATTACAGTAGCTCAATGCATAGAACTTAAATAGATGCCAATTTTATAACCTCGCCTTTTGGCATTTGATTTTTGGCTCTCATGTTACCTAAAGGGTTCCCAGGGTTAATGAGAACCTGCCCACCGCCATTCCCATCTGGCCTGGAATATTTAGTTGGCTATAAACATTTTGACTCCAAATCCCTTGGGCATGGGGTCCCACCGAGGGACATGTTGGGCCTGGGTAGGCAGACACACCACCCCAGCAATAATATGGGACAAAATAGAAGTTTGGCCATCGATGTTGCATCTGGCATATAATGACCAAAAAAAGGGGGAATGTAAACTGATAATTAAATCCCAAGCTCCCTCTTCCCACTGCTACTGACAGAATGGATCCCTCCTTGGCCAAGGGAAGCCCCTGTAAAAAACCTTAAAAACTTAGTTCCCAGACATAATGGGATGGGAGGCCAGGCATACCTTCTTTTTGTGGTTTAGACACAAAAACTGACCACCATTAATGGTCAAATAAAAATCACAAGACAGAACAGGCTTTCTGTAACAATAAGATAGCGAATTAAGCCAGGTATGGTGGCGTGCACCTGTAGTATCAGGTTGCCAGGTCCGATCTGTGGACCCTGACCCAGTGATGGATGAAAGACGTACACTGACACAGACATTTTGCCTGTCAGTGTGGCTAAGGGGCTCTGCTGCCTGAGTCCACAGCATTGGCCTCGATAAACTGGCGAAGTTTGCATTTATTTAGTACAGATTAAATGACAAATGTCTCAAGTAAACACCACTGGAGGGTAATTAACATTGCTGACCTCCTGAGTAGAGAGCAGTCATGCACCCGCAGATGACCAAAGGTCAGTCTTAGGACCACATGAGTAAACAAGCTATTTAGATAAATTCCTCTACATTCCTATGTATCTACGCCCTAAGCTTTTAAGAGAATTCAGCTGCCTCCAGCCAAATCTTTTACTGAAGTGATGCAAACTACCCGGCCTTCCAAGAAAGTTTGTGTCTATTTCCTATAACTCTATAATTTCTCCCACCACCCTGACCAATCTCCTACACCAGGTATTTGGGAGACTGAGGTGGGAAGATAGCTTGAGCCTGGGAGTTCGAGGCTACAGTGAGCTATGACTGTGCCACTCCAGTCCATCCTGCGTGACAGAGCAAGATCGTGTTTCAAAAAAAAAAAAAAGATACCAAATTATAAACAGAACCTAAGACCATGCCAGCAAAGGTTAAATCACACACTCCTTCACTTAAAAAGTAAACTATGTTCATCCCAGCACTTTGGGAGGCTGGGGTGGGCAGATCATGAGGTCAGGAGATCAAAACCATCCTGGCTAACATGGGGAAACCCCATCTCTACTGAAAATACAAAAAATTAACCAGGTTGGTGGCATGCGCCTATAGTCTCACCTACTCGGGAGGCTGAGGCAGGAGAATCGCTTGAACCTGGGAGACGGTGGTTGCAGTGAGCCGAGATCACACCACTGCACTCCAGCCTGGATGACAGAGTGAGACTCCATCTAAAAAAAAGAAGTAAACTATGTTCTAAATGCCACAAAGTTTTTCTTTTTCCCAAGCAGCCAAACAAGCATTTGCCTCTAGATAAGCAACGTTAAAGCACTTTGCAGCTCCACTGGATGCTAACTGACCACCAGCCATAACTATGGCTTTAATTAGGCAAGAGACTTATTTCAGTAACTTTTTCCTGATGAAGAAACCACTGACCACGGGCTAGATCTGGCTGGTTTACAGAAATTGCAAGCTTGTGTGCCTTTTTGTCCTGAAAAGAACTTTTGATCTATAGGGCTTAATAGTAATATTTTTATTCTATTCTATTCTATTCTATTCTATTCTTTTTTTTTTTTTTTTTTGAGATGGTATCTCGCTCTGTCACCCAGTCTGAAGTGCAGTGGTGCGATCTTGGCTCACTGCAAGCTCTGCCTCCCGGGTTCACGCCGTTCTCCTGCCTCAGTCTCTTGAGTAGCTGGGACTACAGGCGCCCACGACCATGCCAGGCTAATTTTCTGTATTTTTAGTAGAGACGGGGTTTCACTGTGTTAGCCAGGATGGTCTCGATCTCCTGACCTCATGATCCACCCGCTTCTGCCTCCCAAAGTGCTGGGATTATAGGCGTGAGCCACCGCACCCAGCTTTCTTTTCTTTTCTTTTCTTTTTGAGGAGTTTCACTCTTGTTGCCCAGGCTGGAGTGCAGTGATGTGATCTCAGCTCACTGCAACCTCTACCTCCTAGGTTCAACTGATTCTCCTGCCTCAGCCTCCTGAGTAGCTGGGACTACAGGCACAGGAAAACTCCTGTTTTTAAAACCATCAGATCTCGTGAGACTTATTCACTATCACTTATAGCCCCACTATGCCCAGCTAATTTTTTTTTTGTATTTTTAGTAGAGGTGGGGTTTCACCATGTTGGTCAGGCTGGTCTGAAACTCCTGACGTCAAATGATCCACCCACCTTAACCTCCCAAAATGCTGGGATTACAGGTGAGCCACCATGCCTGGCCCCACAATATCTTTAAATCAATGACTCTCCTCATGGTTTGGATAAGGTCCCTCCAGATGGAAAAATTTGCTTGTGATTTTAGCCATGATTATAGGGATAGCTTTATTTTTCTACCCTGGACTGTATTGCTGTTGCATGCTATGTATGGGAATGCAAGACTGGCTTTCCCAGAGGCTTCTTTTTTTTTTTTTTTGAGATGGAGTCTCTCTCTGTCACCCAGGCTAGAGTGCAGTGGCGCCATCTCGGCTCACTGCAAGCTCCGCCTCCCGGGTTCACGCCATTCTCCTGCCTCAGCTTCCTGAGTAGCTGGGACTACAGGCGCCTGCCACCATGCCCGGCTAATTTTTTGTACTTTTAGTAGAGACGGGGTTTCACCATGTTAGCCAGGATGGTCTTGATCTCCTGACCTCGTGATCTGCCCGCCTCAGCCTCCCAAAGTGCTGGGATTACAGGCGTGAGCCACCACACCCGGCTGCTCTGATCTTTATTATTTCTTTCATTCTACTGAGTCTGGGTTTGGTTGGCTCTTGCTTTTCTAGTTCTCTAAGATGCATTGTTAGTGTGTTTATTTTAAGTTTTTCTTCTTTTTTGATGTAGGTGCTTATAGCTAAAGCTTCCCTCTTAGTACTGCTTTCACTGTACCCCATAGGTTTTGGTATGTCATGTTTTCATTATCATTTGTTTTGAGGAATTTCTGAATTTATTTTTTAATTCTTCATTGACCCACTGGTTGTTCAGGAGTGTATTGTTTAATTTCCATTGTGTTTGTATACTTTCCAATATTTCTCTTGTTATTGATTTCTAGTTTTATTTCATTGTGGTCAGAGAAGATGCTTGATATTATTTTAATTTTTTTTGAATATTTTAAGACTTGTTTTGTGACCTAACATATGGTCCATCCTTAAGAATGATCCAAGTGCTGAGGAAAAGGTGTTTATTCTGCAGCTGTTTTCAATGTTTATTCTGCAGCTTTATTTAACGTTTATTCTGTAGCTGTTGAAAGAAATGTTCTGTAAATATCTATTAGGTTCATTTTGTCTATAGCGCACATTAATTCTGATGTTTCTTTGTTGATTTTCTGGCTGGAAGATCTGTCCGGTGCTGAAAGCAGGTTGTTGAAGTTTCCAGCTATTATTGTATTGGGGTCTATCTCTCACTTTAGCTCTAATAGTATTTGCTTGTTATATTTGGGTGCTCCAGTGTTGGGTGCATATATATTAACAATGGCCATATTCTCTTGCTGAATTGATCCCTTTATCATTGTATAATGACCTTCTTTGTCTCTTCTTATAGTTTTTGTCTTGAAACTTATTTTGTCTAAGTATAGCTACTCCTGCTCTTCTTTGGTCTCCATTGGCATGGAATATCTTTTTCCATCCCTTCATTTTCAGTCTGTGTGTATCTTTATAAGTGAAGTGTGTTTCTTGTGGGCAACAGATCATTGGGTCTTGTTTCTTTTTTTAATTCATTCAGTGACCCTATATCTTTTGATTGGAGACTTTAGTCCATTTACATTTAATGTTATTATTCATAAGTAAAGACTTACTTCTGGCATTTTAGTTTGCTTTCTGGTCTTCCTTTCCTTCTTTCCTATCTTGTTTTTAGTGAAGGTGATTTTCTCTGGTGGTTTAATTTAATTTATTGCTTTTTATTTGTTTTGTATCCATTGTATGTTTTTTGATTTGAGGTTGCCATGAGGCTTGCAAATACTATCTTATAACCATTATTTTAAGCTGATAACACCTTAACACTGCTTGCATAAATAAACAAACAAGCAAGCAAAAAGAATACTAGTAAAAATTCTAACTTTGCAGGCAGGGTGCAGTGGCTCACGCCTGTAATCCCAGCACTTTGGGGGGCTGAGGCAGGTGGATCATGAGGTCAGACGTTCGAGACCAGCCTGGCCAACATAGTGAAACCCCGTTGCTACTAAAATACAAAAAATTAGCTGGGTGTGGTGGCGGGTGCCTGTAATCCCAGCTACTCGGGAGGCTGAGGCAGGAGAATTGCTTGAACCTGGGAGGTGGAGGTTGCAGTGAGCTGAGATGGCACCACTGCACTCCAGCATGGGTGACAGTACGAGACTCCATCTCAAAAAACAAAACAAAACTCTAACTTTGCCTTCCTGCTTTTTAACTTTTTGTTGTTTCTGTTTATATCTTATTGCACAGTCTGTGTCTTGAAAAGCTGTTGTAGGTATTATTTTTGATTGTTTTATCTTTTAGTCTTTCTAGTTAAGATAAGAGTCCTTTATGCACCACAGCTACAGTCTTATAATACTCTGTGTTTTTTCTGTGTACTTACTATTACCAGTGAGTGTTGTACCTTCGGATGATTTCTTACTGCTCATTGACAACCTTTTCTTTCTGACTGAATCACTTTCCCTCAAATTCACTTAGGGACCCAGAGCACTCCACCCTGCAGTGGCAAGGCTTGCTGGAACTCAAGCCCTGACCACTGAAATGGGTGATTCCGCTCTGGTTAGGGCCAGTCCAACTGCTTCCCCTATGGATGGGTCAGCTGGGGACAGCCCAGTTCCGCTTTCTGCTGTGACAAGTGAGCAGTGAATTCAATGCAAAGCCTCACAATTGCTGCGCTTTCCCCCTCCCAACTCACAGACTCTCTGTCCACATGGTTGCTGCTGGGGGGGGTGGGGGAGGGGTGGCATTGGCAATTCAAGACTGTCTTTCCTTCCCTCTTCAGTGCCTCTTTCAGCGATATGAAGTCAAAACCAGGCACTGTGAGTGCTCACCTGATTTTTGGGTCCTAGGAAGGCACTCCCTTTGTGTAGCTAGTTGTCAAACTTGGTGCTCCTGTTGGAGGGATGATTGGTGGCACTCTTTATTTGGCCACCTTGCTCTGCCCTTCCCAGAAGATTCTCTTGTGTAAGCCCAGGGACTTGTGAATCCTTTCAACTCCAGGTGGATAGGTTCTACCCCATGGCTGCCTAATTCTGCCCCTTTTCAGCAGGAAGTAGCCAGAATGGATGCATCACCTGTTTTCCATAGAAATGGAATGGAGTTTGATGGTGGGGATTTCGTAACTGGGGACTTCAGTTTAAAAATATATTTTATTTATTAATTTTTTTATTAGGATAGTCAAGTGAAGCAGTGGGAGTGGAGAAGGAACAAAGAAATATGTAACTGGTTGTGAACAATTAGTTGTAAACACCACTGCACTTGGACCAGCCTAAAAAGATATTTTAATTGCCGGGTGCGGTGGCTCATGCGTGCATTCCCAGCACTTTGGAAGGCTGAGGTGGGCAGATCACCTGAGGTCAGGAGTTCAAGATCAGCCTGGCCAACATGGTGAAACCCTGCCTCTACTGAAAATACAAAAAAATTAGCCGGGTGTGGTGGTGGGAGTCATAATCCCAGCTACTTGGGAGGCTGAGGCACAAGAATTGCTTAAACCCGGGAGAAGGAGGTTGCAGTGAGCTGAGATTGCACCACTGCACTCCAACCCGGGCGAGAAGAGTGAGACTCCCTCTAAAAAAAAATATATATATATGTGTATATTCATTTATTTATAAGTATCTATCTATCTATCTATCTATCTATCTATCTATCTATCTATCTACACACATATATACTTTTAATCACCCTCCTCTCCTCTCACCTCTTCATTCCTTCCCTCTCTAGATACTCCCTTCTGGCAATGCATGCTTATCTAATTAGGCACTTCCTTGAGAAATTCCAGAGGCTAATCTTAAAACAAACCAGGCAAATCAGGAGCCCTGATTACAGAATCCTTTCACTTAGGGAGAGCCACTAATACTAATGGTTAGTCCACCATCATTTGGACAAAGTCAAGATAATACCAACCAGACCCCTGAACAGACGACAACCCAAGTTAGCCATTGGAACAAGACACACAGACCCCATACCGTGCACCATTCTACTCCACATCTCCCATACTGAAGTGGCATTGTTGTCTGGGGTAAATACCTGGGAGTCGTCCTCTTGCACCAAGAAGATTAACAATATGGACACACACACATGGAATGGGTTAAGAAGCAGAAAGTTTAATAGGCAGAAGAAAGGAGAGAAGAGGAGCAGCTCTCTCCCTCTTTCGAGAGAGAGGTGTCTGAAAAGGAAAAAGTGGTGGACCTCATCAGATTTTACAGGCAGGCTTGAGAAGGAGGTGTCTGACTTATGTAAGGCCCACAGATTGGTTCGACCAGGTGTGATGTTTACATGGTGCGTGGGGAAGGCTGGTTGCCCCACCCTAATCTTATCATGCAAATGGCTTTCTGCTTGGTCAGTGCCATCTTGTCTGCCTCTTACTGTACATGTGGCTGGCAAAGAGAAGAGAAGACGGAGCTGCCATTTTGAGCATGCCTATTCCCGAGTAGTTTCTTCCTATTGGCACAACTGCCAGCATTCACCTGTGCAAACTTCTAGCTTTTTTGTCTATGTCTGCCACTCGATTTTACAGGCTGCTCTTTGCTAGAGAAGAAAATGATTTGGGGGCTGCTTTTCATTAAGAGGAAGACCTTACCGAGGACCCCCATATCTCCCTATCTGCCTAAGTAATTTCTTCTTAACTCCTATATCAATACCAAGCTTTCCTGTAAAATCCCTATGGTAAGATTTTAAAATTTAAGATGATGTTTAAGACTATAGTCTCCCATCTTCCCAGTCTGCTGGCTCTCTGATTAAACCTGCTTTTCCTTCCTCCAATCCTTGTCTCTTGAGTCTGGCTTTCAAATGATGAGCAGCCAAACCTGGGTTCGTTTACACAAGTCCTGAACCACATGACTGTTTCCCTAACACACATAGCATCTTCCCGCTTTCCTCAGATTTCTATTCTTCCAGTTCCAAACCCAGGCCACGCTTGGTTTATCGATGGCAGTGCTTCTAAACCCAATCAATTTTCACCAGCTAAAGCTGGATATGATGTCGTGTCCCACATCTTTATTATCGAAGCTGCTGCACTTCCTCCCTCCACCACTTCCCAACAAGCCAAACTAATTGCTTTAACTCGTGCGCTCTCTCTTGCTAACAGAATGCACATTAACATTTACACGGACTCCAATATGCTTTCCACATCCTCCATAACCATGCTGCCCTCTGGGCTGAAAGAGGCTTCTTTACCACACAAGGCTCTTCCATGATCAATGCCTCCCTAATAAAGGCCCTCCTTAAGGCTGCTCTCCCGCCGGCCATGGCTGGAGTCATTCATTGTAAAGGACACCAGAAACCTACTGATCTTATTGCAAAAGGAAATGCCTATGTCGACAGGACAGCAAAAGAAATAGCCAATGCCTCCACATCTGCCAATATTCCAGCCCCCGCTCCAGAGGGCCAGTATTTTTCTTTCTCCTCTATCACTCCCACCTACTCTTCTTCTGGAAACCTGCTCTACCAGTCTTTTCCAACTCAGGGCAAGTGGTTCTTAAATCATGGAAAATTCATTCTTCCTGCCTCACAAGCTCAGTTCATTCTTTCTTTCCTTCATGACCACCTCCATGTGGGATACAAGTCTCTGGCTCGCCTCCTACAGCCCCTCATCTCCTTCCCTCTGTGGAAATCCATCCTTAAGACCATCACCTCTCAATGCTCTGTCTGCCATGCCACCAGCCCCCAAGGCTTTCTCAGGCCTCCTCCTTTTCCTATGCATCAGGCTCGTGGATTTACTCCGACACAAGATTGGCAAATTGACTTTTCTCATATGCCCCATGTCCGTAAATTTAAATATCTCCTGGTTTGGGTCGATACCTTCACCGGATGAGTTGAGGCTTTTCCCACTAGCTCCGAAAAGGGTACTGCCATCATCTCTTCCCTTCTAACAGATATAATTCCCCGATTTGGCCTCCCTGCTTCTATTCAATCTGACAATGGTCCCGCCTTTATTAGTCAAATCACCCAAGCAGTTTCTCAGGCTCTTGGTATTCAGTGGAAACTTCATACCCCTTACCGTCCTCAATCTTCAGGAAAGGTAGAACAGACGAATGGTCTTTTAAAAACACACCTCACCAAGCTCAGCCTCCAACTTAAGTACTTCTACCACTTGCCCTCCTCAGAATTAGGGCCTGTCCTCGAGAGGCCACAGGGTACAGTCCATTTGAACTTTTATATGGACGCACTTTCTTGCTGGGCCCCAACCTCATCCTAGACACCAGCCCTCTAGGCGGCTATCTTCCAGTCCTCCAGCAGGCTAGACAGGAAATTCACCGGGCTGCTAATCTTCTCTTGCCTACTCCAGATTCCTAGCCATATGAAGATACCTCTTTTAGTACATCCTCTCATCTTTTCACTTTACATTTCCAGTTTTGCCTTACACAAGGTCTCTTTTTCCTTCGTGGCTTCTCCACCTACATGTGTTTAGCTGTTAATTGGACAGGCACATGTACACTAGTTTTCCTTACTCCCAAAAATCAATTTGCATATGGGACCGAACAGCTTCCTGTTCCCCTCATGACACCAACATTTCACTGCTGTTTTGTTTTTCTTACTATTAATATAAGAAGACAGGAATAGGCCTGAACTTGCTCACTGCTGAAAAAGGAAGACTCTGCATATTTTTAAATGAAGACTGTTGTTTTTACCTAAATCTATCTGGCCTGGTATATGACAACATAAAAACACTCAAGGACAGAGCCCAGAAACTCGCCAGTCAAGCAAATAATTATGCTGAACCACTTTGGGCACTCTCTAGTTGGATATCCTGGGTCCTCCCTTAGTCCTTAAATACCTGTTTTTCTCCTTCCCTTATTCAGACCTTGTATCTTCCGTTTAGTTTCTCAATTCCTACAAAACCACACCCAGGCCATCAGCAATCATTCTATATGACAAATGCTCCTTCCAACAACCCCACAATATCATCCCTTACCCCAAAATCTTTCTTCAGTTTAATCTCTCCCACTCTAGGTTCCCACGCCACCCCTAATCCCACTCGAAGCAGCCCTGAGAAACATTGCCCATTATCTCTCCATACCACCCCCCCAAAAACTTTTTGCCACCCCAACACTTCACCACTATTTTGTTTTGTTTTTCCTATTAATATAAGAAGACAGTAATGTCAGGCCTCTGAGCTGAAGCTAAGCCATCATAACCCCTGTGACCTGCACGTATACATTCAGATGGCCTGGAGCAACTCAAGAACCACAAAAGAGGACATTTCACTATTGTGATTTGTTCCTGCCCCACCCCAACTAATCAATCAATCAACCTTGTGACATTCCTTCTCCTGGACAATGAGTCTCATGATCTCCCCACCGCACCTTGTGACCCCGCCCCTGCCCCCAAGAGATAACCACCTTTAACTGTAATTTTCCACTACCTACCCAAATCCTATAAAACTGCCCCACCCCATCTCCCTTTGCTGACACTCTTTTTGGACTCAGTCCACTTGCACCCAAGGGAAATAAGCAGCCTCGTTGCTCACACAAAGCCTGTTGGTGGACTCTCTTCACATGGGTGTGTGTGACAGGATAGTCCTATTCTACCCTCCTTGCAATAGTCTTTTTGAATAAAGTCTTCCCTTGCTAAATTCAGATTTGTTTTTTATTTGACAGAGTAATGGTCGGTGCACATAAAAGACTAAGCATGCACAAAAGTGTGCACACAAAGATAAAGGCTGGGTGTGTGCACTTGAGGAGGCTGTGCTCAGTGTATGTGTGTGTGTGTGTGTTTATGGGTACTGGTGGTAGGTGGTTTTTGAGTTGCATATGCATCTGAGAGTCCAGATAGTCTCTGAATGTAAAGAAAGCTTGGTCTTGTCTGGGCTTGTCTGGGCTTGCCCCCTGAGCGGATGAGACACACCCCGTCTCAGCCTATTTGAATAACGGCAAAGTGTTAAGCCAATTCTCAGGGAGGAAACAATCTTGCAAATACAATATCATCTTGGGGCTGGAGGAGAGAAGAATCTGCCACAGGTCTGCCAGTGGAAGTGTTTGCCTTCTCTGGGTCTTGTGTGGTCCCATCAGAGAACCAGGGTATATAAGACAGACACCAGAGAACAGCTTCACTAAGACCAGAAGACCCCAGCACCCTCTTCCAGAATGCCCTGGGTCTTGCATGGCCCCCATGGGGAAACCAGGGTATATATGAGAAAGACGTCAGAGAACAGTTTCACTAAGACTGGAAGAGCTTACTTCCCTCTTCCAGAATGCAGTATTTGGAGCAGGAGAATCTGCTCTTTAATAGCTTTCAGCTACACAGGTTTCAGTTCCTCAAAGGCTGCACTTCTGACGTTGAGAAGTCAGAACATAGTAATATCTGCATGAACATTGCAGCATTACTATTTTTTTTTAAATTTTACTTTAAGTTCTGGGATACATGTGTAGAATGTGCAGACTTGTTCCATAAGTATACATGTGCCATGGTGGTTTGCTGCACCTATCAACCCATCATCTAGGTTTTAAGCCCCACATGCATTAGGTATTTGTCCTAATGCTCTCCCTCCCCTTGCCCCCCAACCCCTGACAGGCCCCGGTGTGTGATGTTCCTTTCCCTGTGTCCATGTATTCTCATTGTTCAACCCCCACTTATGAGTGAGAACACGCGGTGTTTGGTTTTCTGTTCCTGTGTTAGTTTGCTGAGAATGATGGCTTGGCTTCCAGCTTCATCCATGTCCCTACAAAGGACATGAACTCATTCTCTTTTATGGCTGCATAGTATTCCATGGTGTATATGTGCCACATTTTCTTTGTCCAGTCTGTCACTGATGGGCATTTGGGTTGGTTCCAAGTCTTTGCTATTGTGAATAGTGCCATTGCAGAATTATTTATAATAGCCAAGACATGAAAACAACATAAGTGTCCATTAATGAAAGAATAGATAAAGAAAGTATGGTCTACAGACACATTGGAATACTATTTCATCTTACAAGAGAAGAAAATCCTGACATTTGGGACAATATGGATGAACCTGGAGGACATTAGGCTAAGTGAAATAAGCCAGACACAGAAAGGCAAATACTGCGTGATCTTACTTATACGTGTAAGAGTTAAAGAAAGAGAAAAGAAACACGAAAAGGGGCTCAACAGTCAAAGACGGGTTTATTTTGGAGAATAAACCTGAGAGGGGCTTCTGGCCAATTTTGGTCAAGAGTGCTCTCTCTTACAGATTAAAAGTATATATTGGTTTTAGGGTGAGGGGGCTTATCACAAGCTTGGAATGTTTCTGTGTGGAGGAGAGGTTTATGGCGGGGGGTTGGAATGTCTCTGGTCACAGGGGAGGTTATCTTGGGGCTGACATCTTCCCAGCCAGAAAGGAGGTTATCTTGGGGCTGGAATGTCTGTGGTTGAGGATGTTATTTGTGGTTTATGGTCATAGTGACCTTAGCCATTAGGCTGATGCCATTTGGATTTAGGCAGTTTTTTGATCAAGATGAAACTTTTTTTTTTTTTTTTTTTTGGGATGGACTCTCTCTTTGTTGCCCAGGCTGGATGCAGTGGTGTGATCTCAGCTCACTGCAACCTCTGCCTCCCGGGTTCATGCCATTCTCCTGCCTCAGCCTCCTGAGTAGCTGGGACTACAGGCACCCGCCACCACGCCTGGCTAATTTTTTTGTATTTTTAGTAGAGACGGGGTTTCACCATGTTAGCCAGGCTGGTCTCAATCTCCTGACCTCATGATCCGCCCACCTTGGCCTCCCAAAGTGCTGGGATTATAGGTGTGAGCCACCCCGCCCAGCTCTGATCAAGATGAAACTTAAAATGGCAGCACTTGTCCAAGATGGTGATACTCCTGTTCTGTCAATATGGGGAATCTTTAAAAAAAAAAACAAAGCCAAACTCTTAGACAGAGAGTAGAACTGTGGTTACCAGGGAATAGGGGTAGGAGGAAATGAGCAGATATTGGGGCACAAATATGTGGGCTCTCTGGAGGCTTGCGAGCTATTAAGGAGTGGGTTTACCCCAAATTGGAAAATGTGGGCTCTGCGTTCAAATAGCCTCACTTGGGTCTTAGGGCTGGTAAGGTTTGCTGGAAATTTGCATGTGCATTGTACATACACACACCAGCATGATATTTAAATCAGTATTATGAGAATTTTAAAGAGATACAGTTTTCCTATCTCAGCACAACAGACTCATGAAGCATTTACCATCACCCTTAAAAAAGACCACACACAAAGTGTGGTCGGTTAATTGGTGAATTACGTAGATTCATCAAAACACCAGTTCCTCCTTTGTGCAGGCTAAATTTATGACAGTGGACATCTCTGGTCTCTATCCTGTTAATCTGGATGTCCGAGTTTAATGCTAAATTTCAAAAGATGAGGCTGGGCACAGCAGCTCATGCCTGTAATCCTAGCTCTTTGGGAGGCCAAGGTGGGTGGGTCACCTGAGGTCAGGAGTTCAAGACCAGCCTGGCCAACATGGTGAAACCCAGTCTTTACTAAAAATACAAAAAAAAAAAAAAAAAAAAAAATAGCCAGACTTGTTGTGATCTTGGCTCACTGCGACCTCTGCTTCCTGGGTTCAAGCGATTCTCCTGCCTCAGCCTCCCAGGTAGCAGGGACTACAGGCGCCTGCCATCATGCCTGGCTATTTTTTTTTTTTTTGTATTTTAGTAGAGATAGGGTTTTGCCATATAAGCCAGGCTGGTCTTGCCCTTATTACCCTTCTGACCAAGCCGAGGCGGGTGATCCTTCCCCTCTCTCAGCTGGGACAGGTGAATCACCCGTCTTGGCCTCCCAAAGTGCTGGGAACAAGCATGAGTCACCGCTCGTGGTCCTGTTAATGGACATTGAATTTCCTTTTGAGGAGGTGGACAAGATGGTGATTAACTGTTAACGGACTTTGAATTTTCTTTTTTCTTTCTTTTCTCTCTCTCTCTCTTTTTTTTTTTTTTGGAGATGGAGTCTCGCTTTGTTGCCTAGGCTGGAGTGCAGTGGTGTGATGATCTTGGGTCACTGCAACCTCTGCCTCCCAGGTTCAAGCAATTCTCCTGCCTCAGACTCCTGAGCAGCTGGGACCACAGGTGCCCACCACCACGCCTGGCTAATTTTTTTCTATTTTTATAGACATGGGGCTTCACCACGTTGGCCAGGCTGGTCTCAAACTCCTGACCTCAGCTGATTCACCTGCTTTGGCCTCCCAAAGTGCTGGGATTACAGGTGTGAGCCACTGCGCCTGGCCTTGTATTTTCTTTTCTATAAAACCCTGTGTATACACTCTTTTTTCAAAAATTGAGGTGAAAATCATGTAACATCAAATAATCCTTCCTTCCTTCTTCCCTCCTTCCCTCCTTCTCTCTCTCTCTTTGTCTCTTTCTTTCTTTTTTTTCTTTATATTCCTTTGTCACCCTAGGTGGAGTGCCACATGAACATAGCTCACTGCAGACTCCTGGATTCTAGCCTCCTGCCTCAGCCTTCCTGTTAATGGACATTGAATTTCTTTTTCTTTCTCTCTTTTTTTTTTTTTTGGAAATGGAGTCTCACTCTGTTGCCCAAGCTGGAGTGCAGTGGCACGATCTTGGCTCACTGCAACCTCTGCCTCCCAGGTTCAAGCGATTCTCCTGCCTCAGCCTCCCGAGTAGGTGGGATTACAGGCAGGCGTGGTGGTGGATGCCTGTAATCCCAGCTACTCGAGAGGCTGAGGCAGGAGAATCACTTGAACTCGGGAGGTGGAGGTTGCAGTGAGCTGAGACCGTGCCACTGCATTCCAGCCTGGGTGACAAGAGCGAAACTCCATCTCAAAAAACAAACAAAGAAACAAAAAATCAAAACAAACAAAGAAAAAAGAAAATAGAACTGATTCAAATGACGGTTAAGCACCTGAAGAAAAGTTCTGGACTGGTAGAAACACAAGGAAACCCTCAAAGACTGTATATCTAAAAAATTCTATTTTATATTCCTGTGAACAGTTTTAATCCTATGTGGTAGATTAATGTAAGTTAGTTTATACAATACATATTTTTCCTTTTTGACTGGCTTATTTCATTGAGTATAATGTCCTCAAACTAGTCATGCCTTCCTAACTATCCCCCAAAGTCTTAACTCATTTCAGCATTAACTCAAAAGTCCACAGTCCAAAATCTCATCTGAGACAAGGCACGTCCCTTCTGTGAGCCTGTAAAATCAAAAGCAAGTTAGTTACTTCCTATATACAATGGGGTACAGGCGTTGGATATACCCATTCCAAATGGGAGAAACTGGACAAACGAAGGGGCTGAAGGTCCCCTGCAATTCCAAAATCCAGTGGGGCAGTTAAATCTTTTTTTTTTTTTTGAGACAGAGTGTCGCTCTGTCACCCAGTCTGGAGTACAGTGGCTCGATCTCGGCTCACTGCAACCTCTGCCTCCCGGGTTAAAGCGATTCTCCTGCATCAGCCTCCAAGTCGCGGGGACTACAGGCGCACGCTGCCACGCCTGGCTAATTTTTTTTTTTTTGTATTTTAGTAGAAACGGGGTTTCACCATATTGCCCAGGCTGGTCTCGAACTCTTCAGCTCAGGCAATCTGCTCGCCTCGGCCTCCCAAAGTGTTAGGATTATAGGCATGAGCCACTGTGCCTGGCCAGGCAGTCAAATCTTTTTTTTTTTTTTTTTTTAATTATACTTTAAGTTCTAGGGTACATGTGCACAACGTGCAGATTTGTTACATATGTATATATGTGCCGTGTTGGTTTACTGCACCCATTAATTTGTCATTTACATTAGGTATTTCTCCTAATGCTATCCCTCCCCCCCTCCCCCGACTCCACACTCCACGACAGGCCCCGGTGTGTGATGTTCTCCTCCCTGTGTCCAAGTATTCTCATTGTTCAATTTCCACCTATGAGTGAGAACATGCGGTGTTTGGTTTTCTGTCCTTGCAATAGTTTGCTCAGAATGATGGTTTCCAGCTTCATCCATGTCCCTATGAAGGACATGAACTCATCCGTTTTTATGGCTGCATAGTATTCCATGGTGTATATGTGCCACATTTTCTTAATCCAGTCTATCATTGATGGACATTTGGGTTGGTTCCAAGTCTTTGCTATTGTGAATAGTCAGGCAGTCCAATCTTAAAGCTGCCAGATAATCTCCTTTGACTCTGTGTCTCACATCCAGGTCACGCTGATGTAAGTGGTGGGTTCCCATGGTCTTGGGCAGCCCCTTCCCTGTGGCTTTGCAGGATACAGCCTCCCTCCCGGCTGCTTTCACAGGCTGGCGTCGAGTGTCTGTGGCTTTTCCAGATGCATGGTTCTGAGTCCAGGTAAGGTTGGAGAGGGGCTGCAGGGCTAGATTTGTGAGGGCGGGTGGCGCATGGGTCTCATTTTCCCTCCCTCAGCTGGGACACCCCACCACTCCTCTCACTTCCCCTTCTAGAAGTGAGATCATGGATGCAAGATGCGGGATTATCTGGCTTGGAATCCTGAGTCCACTACTATGTAGATGAATTGCCTCGGGCTTGTGACTCAGGTTTTCTGCCACTATTTTCCTCAACTGTTAAATACTGAGGTTCCAGCTGTTACAAAACCAGTAACTTTGGACAGATGACTCAACGGTTTACGCCTCTGTTTTCCTCATCTGTGAAATGGGAACAATGATGATTCCTCCAGCTTTGTAGGGCTTGCATGAACACGAGCTGAGTTAATGGGATAAAACAGTGTGCAGTCCATATTAAATGCCGTAAGAAGCACTTGACTTTGAGTCCCCAGTTCCAAAATCCAAAAAGCCCTGGAAATCAAGTTGTTTTGGTGAATTGTTTGGCAGCAATCTCTGACCTGAACTAACTTTTTGTTAATTGTAGTCTTTTTTTTTTTTTTTTTTTTTTTTAAAGACAGTCTCACTCTGCCACCCAGGCTGGAGTGCAGTGGCACTATCTCAGCTCACTGCAATCTCCACCTCCTGAGTTCAAGAGAGTCTCCTGTCTCAGCCTCCCTAGTAGCATGGATTAGAGGTGCCCATCACCACACCCAGCTAATTTTTAAATGTTTAGTAGAGATGAGGTTTCACCATGTTAGCCAGATTGGTAACTGTGGTCTTGATTTTTTTTTTTTTTTTTTTTGAGATGGAGTTTCGCTCTTGTCACCCAGGCTGGAGTGCAATGACATGATCTTGGCTCACTGCAACCTCCACCTCCGGGGTTTAAGTGACCCTCCTGCCTCACCCTCCTGAGTAGCTGGGTTTACAGGTGCCGGCCACCATGCCTGGCTAATTTTTGTGTTTTTAGTAGAGACGGGGTTTTACCACGTCGGCCAGGCTGGTCTCAAACTCCTGACCTCAGGCGATCCGCCCACCTCGGCCTCCCAAAGTGCTGGGACTACAGGCATGAGCCACCGCGCCTGGCCTGTAGTCTTGATTTTTATCCCACTTAGTGTGAATGTTAACACTTCTCATTGTAAAAAAAAAAAAAAAAGATGTGGTGTTTGATTACAAAATGCTGTCCCGACCTCACTGAGGTGATGCATAAAAGATGGTATAAGCGCTAGGCGCGGTGGCTCACAACTGTAGTCCCAGCACTTTGGGAGGCCGAGGCGGGTGGATCACAAGGTCAAGAGATCGAGACCATCCTGGCCAACATGGTGAAGCCCGTCTCTACTAATAATAGAAAAATTAGCCGGACGTGGTGGCGGATTTCTGTAGTCCCAGACTTGGGAGGCTGAGGCAGAAGAATTGCTTGAACCTGGGAGGGTGGAGGTTGCAGTGAGCTGAGATTATGCCACTGCACTCCAGCCTGGACAACAGGGCGAGACTCCATCTCAAAAAAAAAGATGGTATAATCCTGTACACCATCTTTAAATACTGGTAAATTCTGAGTTCCAAAATGTATTTGAGGTCCAGGCAGTGGCTCATGCCTGTAATCCCAGCACTTGGGGAGACCGAGGCGGGAAGATCGGCATTTCGGGAGATTGGAGTTTGAGACCAGCTGGGGCAATGTAATGAGACCTCATCTCAAAAAAAAAAAAAAAAAAATAGCCGGGTGTGGTGGCCTGTGCTGGCGGTCCTAGCTATTTGGGAGGCTGAGGTGGGAGGATCGCTTGAGCCCAGGAGTTTGAGGCCGCAGTGAGACAGGATCATGCCACCGCACTGCAGCCTGGGCGACAGATCAAGACCCTGTATTTTCAGTAGAGGTGAGGTTTCGCCATGTTGGCCAGGCTTGTCTTGAACTCCTGACCTCAAGTGATCTTTTATTATTATTATTTAAGTTCTGGGGTACATGTGCAGGATGTGTAGTTCCATTACATAGTTAAATGTGTGCCATGGTGGTTTGCGACACCCCTCACCAGGCTGCAGTGCAATGACGCGATCTTGGCTCCCTGAAACTTCCGCCTCCCAGGTTCAAGAGATTCTCCTGCCTCAGCCTCCTGAGTAGCTGGGATTACAGGCGCCCTGGACCACGCTTGGCTAATTTTTGTATTTTTAGTAGACGGAGTTTTACATGTTGGCCAGGCTGGTCTCGAACTCCTGATTTCAAGTGATCCACCCACCCTGGCCTCCCAACTCATTAGGTATTTTGCATTGTCTGCTTTGAGAGACAGTCACCCAAAGTGATCTTTGTGTTTCCTCTCTTGTCAAATAGATGCACCAAGGAGAAAACAGAACTTTTTTTTTTTTTTTTTGACAAGGAATCTCACTCTTGCTCAGGCTGGAGTGCAGTGGCATGATCACGGCTCACTGCAGCCTTTGACCTCCTGGGCTCTACCCAATCTCCCACTTCAGCCTTTGGAGTAGCTTGGACTAGCACACCACTACATCTGGTTAATTTTTGTATTTTTTGTAGAGATGGGGGTCTCACTATGTTGCCCAGGCTGGTCTTGAACTCCTAGGCTCAAGCGATCTGCCTTCCTCAGCCTCCCAAAGTGCTGGGATTACAGGCATGAGCCACTGTGCCCAGCCCACTTCCTCTATTCTTCAAACATCCCTAACCAAGAACATTTTTTTTTTCCTGAGACAGAGTCTTGCTCTGTTGCCCAGGTTGGAGTGCAGTGGCGCAATCTCGGCTCACTGCAACCTCCACCTCCTCGGTTCAAGCGATTCTCCTGCCTCAGTCGGCCGAGTAGCTGGGATTACAGATGCACGCCACGAAGCCCAGCTGATTTTTGTATTTTTTAATAGGAAAATGAAAGAAAAAGCTCAATGCCTTCTCTTGTCCTGCCACCACTACCCCCCACCACACTCCCACCCCAACCCCGGGTGGCCCCTGTGTGTACACTTTTTCTCTTGAACTTAAATAAAATAAAATAAAATTTAAAAAACCCTAATCAGCAGCAGTGGTCAGGGGCGCACCCACTGCACTCCAAAGAAGGTCTCATCAGTGTTTCGGGAAGGCAAAAGTGTCCCAGTGAGGTTGGTGCAGAGTGTGTCCCCTCGGGCCAGGGGCGTCAGGCGCTGGGAGGCAATGGTACAACCTTGGTGGAAGCTGAGACGCAGCAGGCTGATGCTACGGGAGGCGGGAGAGCAGATTCCCACGGCCAGGGTGGTGGGGTGGTGCCTGGAGGCCGTCGTGGAGGAGCAGATGGCCAGCGTCACCTGGATGTGTACCATGTAGATGCCATCACGATGGATACGTAGCTGCCCCTTGTCCAGCTCTGGTCCATGCAGGAAGGAGCGGCCCAGTGCTGGGCCCCCCTGCCAGTATAGCCTGGGGTCCTGCTGAGGTCCTGGGGGCACAGGGTTAGAGGGATGAGAGGATGGAGGTTTAGGGAAACTGAGGCACAGGGGGTCATAGAGAAAGTCAGATATAGAGATCGAGAGTTAGAGATCAAGGAATAGGTTGGACGTGGTGGCTCATGCCTGAAATCCTAACAGTTTAGGAGGCCAAGGCGGGTGGATCACCTGAGGTCAGCAGTTCAAGACCAGCCTGGACAACAGGGCGAGACCCCATCTCTACAAAAAATAAAAAGTCAGCCAGGTGTGGTGGTGCACGCCTCTGGTCCTGGCTACTCTTGGGAGGCTGAGGCTGGAGGATCGCTTGAGCCTGGGAGGCTGAGACTGCAGTGAGCTATGATCACACCACTGCACTCCAGCCTTGGTCACAGAAACCCTGTCTCAAAAAAAAGGGAGGGGGATAGAAGGTTAGAGATCTAAAGGGAAGGAGAGAGGGGTAAGGGGAAAGGGGTAGAGACAGGGAGAGAGAGACACCAGGAGAGAGAGAGACAAAAAAAAAAAAAAAAAAAACAGAAACAGACAAGGGTAAAGATAGAGGGGGAGGGAGAGATATATAGAGAGAGAATGCAGAGAGAGAGCAAGAGAGAGAGTGTATGTGTGAGAGAGGACGAGAGTGCACGAGAGAGTGCGACAGAGAGCATGAGAGAGAGAGCATGAGAGAGCGAGAGAGTGTGTGAGAGGACGAGAGAGCTTGAGGGAGAGTGCACGAGAGAGTGCGAGAGAGCACGAGAGAGCAGGAGAGAGTGCAAGAGACAGCATGAGAGAGAGAGAGATCATGAGGGAGAGAGAGCATGAGACAGCGAGAGAGTGTGAGAGAGAGGACGAGAGAGCTTGAGGGAGAGTGCACGAGAGAGTGAGAGAGAGCACGAGAGAGCAGGAGAGAGTACGAGAGACAGCATGAGAGAGAGAGCAAGAGAGAGAGTGTGTGTGTGAGAGAGGACGAGAGAGCTTGAGAGAGAGTGCACGAGACAGAGTGTGAGAGTGAGCTCGAGAGAGTGCATGGGAGAGTGTGTGTGTGAGAGAGGATGAGAGCTACAGAGCTCGAGAGTGCACGGGAGTGAGCGAGAGAGTGCCTGAGAGAGTGAGACAGACAGCACGAGAGAGACAGCGTGCGCACGAGACAGCGCGCAAGAGAGTGCACGAGAGAATTCCCCAAGGGACGCCTGCTCGGGTCACACCCTGAACGCCAATAAAAGCTTTGGCTCCCAGGACCCTTTTTTTTTCTTGCTTTCCACCCGCTGGTTGAGTGTGTGTCTCAGAGAGCTCCCCTACCTTCCCGTTGGCCCTCTTCTCTCTAGGATCTTTATTTTCTTTAGAGACAGGGTCTGGTCCTGTCACCCAGGCTGGAGTGCAGTGGTGCAATCATAGCTCACTGCAGCCTCAGCCTCTGGGGCTCAAGCTATCTCCCACCTCAGCCTCCCGAGTCACTGGGAGGTGGCATGCGCCACCATGACCAGCTAATTTTCAAAATTTTGTTCTAGAGATGGTGGTCTTGCTATGTTTCCCAAGAAACATAGTCTAGAACTCCTGGGCTCAAGCGATCCTCCCACCTCAGCCTCCCAAAGCGCTGGGATCACAGCCGGGAGCCAAGGTCCTCGGCTATATTTCACGTGTTTCATCTCAGCGTCTCCTGTCTCCGCAACTTATCTGACTGACACACCTGAGCCTCACTCTCCTCCTCACTCAAGGCTCTCCTGGAGACTGGCTATCTTGTTAGGAAGGAACTGAACGGGGTCAAACAGGAGCCCCAAGGGTGTTTACCAGGCTTTGCAAATTTCCTGTAAGAGTGACACCTGGTCCCCTGTCACACACTTAGGCATGATATCATCCACCAGAAGAAAGAGCTGTCCTGTGAAAGACACTGTCAACACCTGTGGCCACCACCCCTGGTGCCCCATCGATGTGGGGCTGGACAGCCACTCTCCAGAAAGGGGCCTCAAGACCAAATTACAGGAAAAATATGGCAAAGGCCGGGGAGGGGGGGAAGATATATCAGGGGTCAGAGACCCAAGGAGAAGAGAGAGCAACAAAGGTCCCTTCCATTACAAAATGGAAGGAACAAAACACGCAAGCGTGCAGTAATTTTAGTCTCTGGGGATGAACCGTGGAAAAACAGAAGAGGAAGAAGCGTTCGAGAGAGGCTGGGAGGAGGTAGAGACTTCCACCTAGAGCAGAACTGTTCATTTCTTCTCCCTCAAGGCTTCTTGCCAATGCCACCCACTCAGATACCACCCCCCCACCCGACCGCCGCGACTCCACTTTAAATGAAAATCCCCAACCCTGGCATGCCCGGATTCCCCACCCACCTCCTTGCCTGATTTTTTCTCTAAAACCTGCTCTTGGCCTGTTTTACTCTACGTGGCATTGCTCTGTTTTTCACATGTTCGTTTTTATTTTTTTGGTCATCTCCTCCTCGGTAGGAGTGATAGTAGAAGGGAAGCTCACCAGGCAGGGATTTCTGTCTGTTTTGTGCGCGACTGCAGTACCGGAACAGTGCCTGCCCACTGCAGATGTATAATTAGTGCTTGTAGCATGAATGGAGGAAGGGTAGCCTTTCCTGTGAGCGTTTTCGTTTACTAACAAAACCCCTTTGATTCTTCCAAGGGAGGAGATCGAATGTGAAGGACTGAGAGGGAAAGGGAGAGAAAGGTAGTGGATGCCCAGAAACACAAACCTGCTCGCTCTCTCTCTCCTCTCTCTCTCTCTCGTTCTCTCCCTTTTCCTTTTTCTCTTGGGAATGATCTCTTTCTCCCCCGCCCTGTTTTTCTTCTTCCCCCTCTCTGTCTCTGTCTCTTCCTCTCTGTTATTCTCCTTCTCTTTTCCTCTCTCTGGCTTTCTTTCTTTTCTTTCTCTTATTTCTTTTTTTCTCTTTCTTCTTTCTTTTTCCTTTCTCTCTCTCTCACCTCCCTCCCTCTCTCCTTCCTTCCTTCTTCTCTTTCTTTTCCTTCCTTCCTTTCTTTCTTTTTCTTTTCCTTTCTTCTTTTTATTTATTTATTTGACAGAATCTCCCTCTGTCACCCAGGCTGGAGAGCAGTGCCATTATCTTGGCTCACTGCAACTTCTGCCTCCCAGGTTCAGGCGATTCTCCTGCCTCGGCCTCCTGAGTAGCTGGGATTACAGGTGCCTGCCACCACACCCGGCTAATTTTTGTAATTTTAGTAGAGACGGGGTTTCACCATGTTGGCCAGGCTGGTCTCAAACTCCTGGGCTCAAGTGATCCACCCGCCGCGCCCTCCGAAAGCGCTGGGATTACAGGCTCCAGCAACCACGCCAGGTCGCCTCTCTCGTTTTTATTCTCTCTTCCTCTATCTGTCTTTTTTCTCTTTCTCCGTCTCTCTCCCTCTCTCTCGTTCTGTCTCCCCCGCCTGTCTCCCTCCCTCCCTCTTCCACTCTCCCTGCGTCTCTCCCTGTTTCTTTCTTTCCCCTTCTTCTCCTGTCCCGTCTGTCCCCTCTGTCCCTCTCTCTGTTCTTTTTTCTGTCTCTCCCTCCCTTTCTCTGGGCCTCTCCCTCCCTCTCTGTCTTCTCTCTGTCTCCCCCTCTCCGTTTCCCTCCCTATCTCTCCCTCCCTCTCTCCCTCCGTCTCTGTCTGTGTCTCTTTCTCTCTGTCTCTCCCCACTTGTCTTTCTACCTCTCCTTCCTTCTCTCTCTGTGCCTCTTCTTCTCCCCGTCCCTCCACGTCCCCCGTGTTACCTGTGTGATTCAGCTGCAGCTCAGCTACGTCCCACTGGAAGAAAAGACCAGAAAACAGGGCACGGACGTAAGCAGAGAGGTTCTATGTGTCCCCTGTGCCAGGAGCTCTCTTTTCTCTGTCCATCCTCCTTTCCACCTCTCATCCCACGGCGCGCACTGGTGATTTTATTTCATTTTATTTTTTTTTACTCTTAAGACTTCTTAAAGAGGAAGCAGGTCTGAACCAGCGGGGAACGTGAAGTCGAGACCTTCAAAAGAACTTCTTCGTTTCCCGAATCGTTTTCCTGGATGTCACTGGGCGCGAGAGCACCGCGCGCAGCGGACTCTCTACGCTGCAAAGGCGCCCGGCGCGGTCCCCAAAGGGACCCCTCCCCCACCCGGAGCGAGTGGCTGGGGCCATCCCGTCCTAGGAGGCCCCAGGAAGCCCCCACGCCCAGCCTTGTGAAGCCCCCAGCAGCCTCTGAGTCAGCCTGCCGGGGGAACACCAGAGCCGAGTCATCTTCCATTTCCATGTGTGCCTACCTTTCCCATCCCGGGATCTCCCTGTACCTCCTGGCAGGGCTGCCTGTCTCGTAGCCCCTACACCGGGCAGCCTGGTCCCCGCCTCGCCTCCCTGTTCTGGTCTCTGTCTCTGCCCTACCAGATCTTCCTCTCTGGCCTCTTTGTACCCATCTCATTCTGTCTTTTCGGTCACGCGCCTCTCTATGTTTTCTTCCCAACTTTTCCATCTCAACTCACCCCAAGTGACTCGAGCGGCAGCTGCTGCTGAGCCTGTGCGAAGCGCTGGATGCACACCACGAGGCAGATCACCAAGCCCGCGACCAATGGGACCAAAGCAGCCCGCAGGACGCACCCATAGGGCCTGCGCCGCACCGAGCAGCCCGAACCCTCCTCCGGCATCGCCGCGGCGATCACCTCCGCTAGCGCAGGAGGGGCGATGGGGGCGCGGAGCGCTGCCGAGAAGGAAGGAAGGAAACTGCAGCCCCCTCCCGGGGCTCCTGGGCGTCTACTTGCTTCAACCTGTCAGGGGACCAGCCTGCCCCTCTCTGGGGATGTCCGGCCGGTCGAGGGGAGGGACTTGAGCAATTGGCGAGGGGAAATTCCCTCCAACCGCTGCCAGTCTGAAGATCCTAAAGTGGGTGGAGGCAGTTGCCAGGATGCAGGCAGTGGCCCCGGGTGAGCCTCAGAGTTGCCTGCCCCCAACCCCTCCCCGCCCGACCTTCAGGCAGGAGACATTCAATCTTCCTATTCCCCTCTCCACCTCATTCTTCTGGGGCCCATTCATTTATTCAACAAACCTCCACTGCACATTTATTAGGGATTAGATTGTGCTGTGCACTGGGGATACAGCAGACATCCAAGAATTGGGGGTGCTCCCCAAATATTCGTGTACCCCTCTCCTGCATTTTTTTGATTTGTTTTGTTTTTGAGACGGAGGTCTCCCTCTGTCACCCAGGCTGGAGTGCAGTGGCGCCATCTCAGCTCGCCGCAACCTCGATCTCCTGGGTTCAAGCGATTCTCCTGTCTGAGCCTCGCGAGTAGCTGGGAGTAACATGCGCGCGCCACCATGCCTGGCTAATTTTTTGTATTTTTAGTAGAGATGGGGTTTCACCATGTTGGCCAGGCTGGACTTGAACTCCTGACCTTGGGTGATCCACCCGCCTTGGCCTTCCAAAGTGCTGGGATTAAAGGCATGAGACACTGCACCCGGTCAGTTATCTCCTGCATTCTTGGAGACCACCTGCTTTTTTGTTTAAAGTTAAATTAAGTTAATATTTTTATTTTTTATTTTTATTTTATTTTATTATTTATTTTTTTTTTTTTTGAGACAGAGTCTCGCTCTGTCGCCCAGGCTGGAGTGCAGTGGCGCCATCTCGGCTCACTGCAAGCTCCGCCTCCCGGGTTCACGCCATTCTCCTGCCTCAGCCTCTCAAGTAGCTGGGACTACAGGCGCCCGCCACCACGCCCGGCTAACTTTTTGTATTTTTAGTAGAGATGGGTTTTCACCATGTTAGCGAGGATGGTCTCCATCTCCTGACCTCGTGATCTGCCCGCCTTGGCCTCCCAAAGTGCTGGGATTACAGGCGTGAGCCGCCGCGCCCGGCCTAAATTAATATTTTTAGAGACAGAGTGTTGCTCTGTTGCCCAGGCTGGATGCAGTGGCGCCACACAGCTCACAGCAGCCTCAAACTCCTGGGCTTCAGTGACCCTCCCATCTCAGCCTTTTGCATAGTTGGGTCTACCAGCACACGCTACCATGCCCGGCTAATTTTTTTTTTGGGGGGGGTAGAGGATAGGGTGTTACTATGTTACCAGGCTGGTCTCAAACATCTGGGCTCAAGCGATCCTGCTGCGTAGGTCCCCCAAAGTGCCGGGATGACAGGTGTGAGCCACCGCATCCAGCCTCCTGCTGCTGTTCTCGATGGCTGTAGTGGGTTAACGGTGTCCTCCCAGAATTCATGGCCTCCTGGAACTGCAGAATATGACCTCATTTTGAAATTACGGGGTTTTTTTTGCAGATATAATTAGGCTTAAATGAGGTCATACTGGATTAGAGTGGGCCCTCAGGTGGAGAGAAAAGAGGCTCATAGAGAAGGAGCCGTGTGAAAACAGAAACAGAAACTGAATGAGGCAGATGAAAGTCAAGAAACACCAAGAAGGAGCCAGGCGCAGTGGCTCACGCCTGTAATCCCAGCACTTTGGGAGGCTGAGGCAGGCGGATCACTTGATATCAGGAGTTTGAGACCCTCCTGGCTAACACGGTGAAACCCCCGTCTCTACTAAAAATACAAAAAATTAGCCGGGCATGGTGGCGGGCGCCTGTAGTCCCAGCTACTCAGGAGGCTGAGGCAGGAGAATGGCGTGAACCCGGGAGGTGGAGCTTGCAGTGAGCCGAGATCACGCCACTGAACTCCAGCCTGGGTGACAGAGTGAGACTCCGTCTCAAAAAAAAAAAAAAAAGAGTTGGAGACCAGCCTGGCCAACATGGTGGAACCCCATCTCTACTAAAAATTCAAAAAATAGCTGGGTGTGGTGGTGGGCACCTTTAATCCCAGCTACTCAGGAAGCTGAGGCAGGAGAATCGCTCAAACCCGGGAGGCAGAGGTTGCAGTGAGCCGAGATCACACCATTGCACTCCAGCCTGGGTGACAGAGCGAGACTCTGTCTTAAAAATATATATATTTTTTAAAAAGAGGATCCAGCCTCTTTTTCCGGCTGGAACCATGGAGGGTGTAGAAGAGAAGAAGAAGGAAGTTCCCGCTGTGCCAGAAACCCCTAAGAAAAAGCGAAGGAATTTCACAGAGCTGAAGACCAAGCGCCTGAGAAAGAAGTTTGCCCAAAAGATGCTTCGAAAGGCAAGGAGGAAGCTTATCTATGAAAAATTGAAGCACTATCACAAGGAATATAGGCAGAGGTACAGAACTGAAATTCGAATGGAAAAGATGTCAAGAAAAGCTGGCAACTTCTATGAACCTGCAGAATCCAGACTGGCGTTTGTCATCAGGATCAGAGGTATCGATGGTGTGAGCCCAAAGGTCCGAAATGTGTTGCAGCTTCTTTGCCTTTGTCAAATCTTCAATGGAACCTTTGTGAAGGCCAATTAACATGCTGAGGATTGTAGAGCCATACATTGCATGCGGGTACCTAAATCTGAAGTCAGTAAATAAACTAATCTACAAGCGTGGTTATGGCAAAATCAATAAGAAACGAATTGCTTTGACAGATAACGCTTTGCACGATCTCTTGGAAAATATGGCATCATCTGTATGGAGGATGTGATTCATGAGGTCCATACTGTTGGAAAACGCTTCAAAGAAGCACATAACTTCCTGTGGTCCTTCAAAGTATCTTCTCCATGAGGCAGAATGAAGAAACAGACCACCCATTTCGTGGAAGGTGGAGATGCTGGCAACAGGGAGGACCAGATCAACAGGCTTGTTAGAAGAATGAACTATGGTGTGTACTATAATTATTTTTCTAAGCTGTTCAATAAACATTACCTGCTCTCAAATGGAAAGAAAAATATGTCTGTATATACATACAGTTAGGGTCCCAAGGGCCTCTGGCTATGAATCATCAAGAAGTCAGTGTCATCAGCAGCAAACTCACAGCCAACAGCGCTAGAACTCGTGCCTGGGGATAGCTTCTCTAACACGTGGATTTCCTCCTCTGTGAGGCTCATCACGGCCTCCTTGCTCTTGGGGGACATTAGACAGGGCTTCAGCACTATTTGGGGGCTGTTTGAAACAGCAAAATTACCAACAAAAAGCAAAAAATTGAAAGGAGATAAAAATGGGAGATTTCAGAGCCTGAGCCTATAGCATTTGCTGGGTGGGTGAAGAGGGTGGTCAAAGAGGTCCAGAATTTTGAGGTATCCAGAAATCAAAATATCCTCCCTGAGATCCCCAAGTACTAAAGGGATTTCCTTCACGGAAGCCCTAGGACTCCAGGTCTGGGGGAAGCGGGTAGACAGCACCTTCAAGACAATCTCCTACCTTAATTTATTTAATATTTACTTAGCTGATCTTTTTATCAGCTTAAGATATAAATAGTTTAGATTCATATCATTAAGAAATAACTAATACCTTCTAAAAGATGGGGGAAAGAGAGATGGGGTGGGGTGGCTCATACATGTAATCTCAGCACTTTGGGAGGCCGAGGTGTCTTAGGAAAATCCCAAAATGAGACAGGAGCAGCCAACTCATAAAAATAAATACAACTGCTTGGCCGGGCGCAGTGGCTCACACCTGTAATCTCAGCACTTTGGGAGGCCGAGGCGGGCGGATCACAAGGTCAGGAGTTCAAGCCCAGCCTGGCCAATATGGTGAAACCCCGTCTCTACTAAAAATACAAAAATTAGCTGGGCGTGGTGGCGGACACCTGTAGTCCCAGCTATCTCGGGAGGCTGAGTCAGGAGAATCGCCTGAACCCGGGAGGCGGAGGTTGTCGTGAGCTGAGATCTGGCCACTGCACTCCAGCCTGAGAGACAGAGAGAGAGTCTGTCTTAAAAAAATAAATAAATAAAAAAAATACAACTGCTTATGAAACTGAATCTCGTTCACCACAAGAAAATTGGAAATTGAAAGCTCCGTGAAACACAATTTTTCTTTCTCTCTCTCTCTCTCTTTTTTTTTTTAAGATCGTGTCTCCCTCTGTCGCCCAGCTTGGAGTGCAGTGGCGCCATCTCGGCTCACTGCAATCTCCGCCTCCCAGGTTCAAGCAATTCTCCTGCCTCATCCTCCTGAGTAGCTGGGATTACAGGTGCCCACCACCACGCCTGGCTAATTTTTGTATTTTTAGTAGAGATGGGGTTTCACCATGTTGGCCAGGCTGGTCTTGAACTCCTGACCTCCAGTGATCTGCCCACCTGGGCCTCCCAAAGTGCTGGGATTACAGGTGTGAGCCACTGTGCCCAGCCACACTTTATCTTGTCACCTGTGATTTGGTAAAAGATCAGAGTGTTTGATGATTCACTGCTCAGCAAGTGCGTGGGTGAGAAGGAGCCTCAAACCTGGAGGCTAGGAGCTGAAATGGATCCAACTTTCTGGAAGGACAGCTTGTTGAAATCTATCAATGCACCAAAATGCACCTTCCCTTTGGTCCAGAAATTTTACTTCAAGGATATTCTTTCGTAAGCACACTTGCACGCGTCACAGACGCGGACGTACGCACACAAACTCAACGTGGTGTGGTTTGAATGATACCGGAACACAACCAACCAGAAGACCCATGCGCAATTGAGGGTTTAGTCCTGTGCTAAGCACTTGTCAGGTTTCACCTTTTCTGACCTTCCCAAGAACCCTATGAAGTGAATCATGCTGTTATTTCTATTTTCCCTGTGAGCAGGCTCAGAGAGGAAGGCCACCAGCTTAATCCACCTAGCAAGGAGCTTGGGAGAGGAAGTGCCTAGATTTGAATGTGGATCCATATCGTGTACCTGAAGAACCTGGACCTTCCCACCTGAGTCACTTAGTGACTTGACCTGGCCTCTGACCACTTTCCAGTCTGTGCAGTTCTGCTGGAGGTCATTTGCACCATTTTTTATTTTTTAATTTTTATTTATTTATTTATTTATTTTTGGGACGCCTTTCTCTGTCACCCAGGCTGGAGGGCAGTGGCGTGATCTCGGCTCTCTCTGCAACCTCTGCCTCCCGGGTTTAAGTGATTCTCCTCCTGCCTCAGCCTCTCAAGTAGCTGGGATTACAGATGTGCACCACCACATCCGGCTAATATTTGTATTTTTAGTAGAGATGGGGTTTTGCTATGTTGGCCAGGCTGGTTTCGAACTCCTGACCTCAAGTGATTCGCCAACTTTGGCCTCCCAAAGTTCTGGGATTACAGGCATGAGCCACCACGCCCCACGGTCGTGTGCATTATTTTTGAGAAGAAGGTTTTCTAAAACCAGAGTTTCCCCATCTGCAGACTCTAGAGCTGAGGCTCCAGGACAAGACGTCCACTGATGTTGGCACTCTCTCTCTCTCTCTCTCTTGCTCTAAGTCAGGGGAATCATGAGCCCTGTGAAGGGAAAGAGTTGAGGGGAGAGACCCAGAGGACAGTTGGAGCACAGAAAGTAAGATCACTTTCCTCCTGAGGAAGCCCGAGGCCCACCAGGCTGATTTTTGGCTGCCTTCTGCTTTCCCCCAAGGGAAATCTGGAAACTTCTGCCTCTCTTCCATAACCCTGGAAGCCGCGGGCAGCTTGAAAGTGCCAACTCAGGCTTCCTCTTTGTCCAACTTGGTCACTCCTTCTGTTTCCCTTTGCTGTGGCTGATCTCAAGTTGCCACAGGGATATGCCCCTTGGTGTTGATATAGGAATTAAAAAGGAATTACTGGCTGGGTGCAGTGGTTCACGCCTGTAATCCCGGCACTTTGGGATGCCGAGGTGGGCAGATCACCTGAGGTCGAGAGTCTGAGAGCAGCCTGACCAACAAGGAGAAACCCTGTTAAGGGAGGAGACCACCCCTCATATTGTCTTATGCCCAGTTTCTGCCTCCAAAGAAAGAAAAAGTAAAAACAAAAAGGCAGAAAGGAAATCCACAAGCAGAAAGCCCAGCACCTCACCCTGGGCCTGGTAGTTAAAGATCGACCCCTGACCTAATCGGTTACGTTATCTATAGATTACAGACATTGTAGAGAAAAGCACTGTGAAATCCCTATCCTGTTTTGTTCCGATCTAATTACCGGTGCATGCAGTCCCCAGTCACGTACCCGCTGCTCGCTCAATCGATCACGACCCTCTCACGCTCACCCCCTTAGAGGTGTGAGCCCTTAAAAAGGACAGGAATTGCTCACTTGAGGAGCTCGGCTCTTGAGACAGGAGTCTTGCTGATGCTCCTGGCCGAATAAACCCCTTCCTTCTTTAACTCGGTGTCTGAGGAGTTTTGTCTGCGGCTCGTCCTGCTACATTTCTTGGTTCCCTGACCGGGAAGCGAGGTGATTGGCAGAGGGTCGAGGCAGCTCCTTAGGCACTTAAGCCCGCCCTGTGGAACATCCCTGCAGGGGACTCCGACCAGCCCGAGTGGCGCGGATCCTGAGAGTGCTTCCGGGTAGGCATTTGCGCCGGTGGGACGCCTCGCCAGAGCAGTGTGTGGCAGGCCCCCGTGGAGGATCAACGCGGTGGCTGAACGCCGGGAAGGAACGGGCACTTGGAGTCTGGACATCTAAAACTTGGTAAGACTAGTCTTTGAAACTTGCCCACTCCGTTTGAGTGGAAGCGTGGCCTGATCACCCACGGCATGCCTGTACCGGCACTTTGGTTTTGGTTTTGACTTGGTTTGAATTGCTTGACAGGATTGGTCTCAGGAACTTGCCCACTCCATTTGAGTGGAAGCGTGGCCTGATCACCCACGGCGTGCCTGTACTGGCACTTTGGTTATTGTTTTTGACTTGACTTGGATTGCTTGATACTTTGGTTTTGGTTTTGACGTGGCTTGGATATCTGGATACTCCGATTTTGGTTTTGATTTTGGTTTGGTGCAAACTGCAAAAGTGTGTGTGTGTGTACCCTTTTTACCCGTTCTTTGTTTTGTGGTGTGCGTGTGGTGTGAGCGTGGTGTTTTGTCTCGAAGAAGCATAGGTCAGGCACCAATAAGCCCACCCTACTAGGAACTAGGTTGAAAATTTTCAAAAAAACATTTAAAGGAGACTATGGAGTACTATGACACCAGGAAAACTTAAAACTTTGTGTAAGATAGACTGGCCAGCATTAGAGGTAAGTTGGCCATTAGAAGGAAGCCTGGAGAGGTCCTCTGTTTCGAAGGTATGGCACAAGGTAATCTGTAAGCCAGGGCACCCAGACCAGCTCCCATACATAGACACTTGGTTACAGCTGGTTTTAGACCTCCCGCCCCCAACACACAGTGGTTGAGAGAACAGTAGCATAAGTGGCTGGCAGAGGCAAGGAAAGACCAGCAGAGAGAGAGAAAGGAAAGAGACAGAGAGGAAGAGACAGACAAAGAGGGAGTCAAGGAGAGAGAGAGAAAGAAAAAAAAAGAGAGAGAAAGAGAGAGGCAGAGAGAGAGAGAAAGAGACAGAGGCAAAAGGAAAGTCAAAGAGAGAGTGACAAAGTCAAAGAGAGAAAGAAAGAAGATGATTTAACATTAACCACTGAAAATTCCATTCACTCAGCAGGTTTCCTAACAGGGGATCTAAATCTTAATTACCAAATACGAACGTCTGACCAGACGTAGGAGGAACTCCCTTCAGGACAGCATGAATGATGGTTCCTCCCGGGTAATTAAAAAAAAAAAAAAAAAGCCATCTATACCAATTCTAATTTAGAGAAAACAAGGTCTTATCAATAGCAAAGGATAATTAAAATCCCGACTTACAAGGTTTTCAACAAAAGTAAAGTTTGCTAAAAGTTAACAGTTTAACATGTATGACAGTAACTTCTATGCTTCTGGCCTTAGACAGTCTAGTCCACAGACATAAAAAAAGGTTCGCTTTGGAAAAGAATGGTTATCATCTTCGAGAAAAAAAAAAGGAAAAAAAAAGGTGGGGCAGAATTTATATAAAAAGAGTATTATATGGTAAATTCTTGTCTTGAAATAAATTAACTGGTTGTTTAAAGAAAGAAATGTTTGTAGTAAGTCCGAAAGTTAAGGCATGTCGAAAAATTGCCTGTAAAAGTTGTGAAAGAAAAATAAGTTATAAAAATAGTGTTAAAAAAAGAATTTATGCAAAAAATGTTGTATAATTTAAAAGTAACTAGGCCTCCTGAATGTAAAACTATTGAAAAAAAAAACAGTTTATGTGCAAGGTGTATAAGAAAAGTAAAATATACCTTTAGTAAAAGGATTATAAGGAGGCATAAGAGTGTACATTTTTACCTACATTAAAAAGTTAAGTTAAAAAAATTATTGTTTTGAAGATTTAAGCAAGTTTTAAAACGTTAATTGTAAAGAAAATTCTGTGTGTAAACATATTAGCTAAAGTTAAAGAACTATCACCCAGTTTTTCTGGACATTAAAGTAAAAGCATAACAGGTTTTTCTTAAACCACCAACCTGCTCTTTAGCAAAAATTATAAAAGGTTGAAAAGAGTCTATAAAATCATACCTTATAGTCAAACATTAAAAATTAGATAAATATGTCTACAAGGTTTTATTAAAATTAGGTTTAACATTAATAACACACTAATATAAAAATAAAATTTAGCTTATCTGGTATAAAAATCATACAAAAAGCATTATTAAACATAAAATAGTGTTTAGATTTCTTTGGTCTAAAAACTAATAAAAATAGGTGCTGAAGGAAATTTCTCAGTAAAAAGGCACTAAGGACTATAAAGTCCACTGCCACAGTCCCCACATTTAAAACAAAAGGTCAATTTCTTAGAAATTATATACTTGGTTTATCTTCCACTTTCTTTTCTCTCAAAAAGTAATATGAGGGGCTGTCCCCTCCCTTAACAGGGTTTCTCCTTGTTGGTCAGGCTGCTCTCAAACTCCCGACCTCAGGTGATCCGCCCACCTCGGCCTCCCAAAGTGATGGTCTTGTGTCATTTAGGCCAATTAGATAAAAAAAAAAAAAAAATGAAAAGGATCCAGTCCACCTTCAGAAAGGAAAAAATGGCTCTTCCTGTACTAAAGGACAATGTAACCCCTTAGAGCTAGTACTAACCAATCCCCTTGATCCTCGCTGGAAAAAAGAGGAACGTGTAACCCTAAAAAATTGATAAGAGCTAGACTGGATCTTCAAGTAAATATCGTGGTTTGAGAAAAAGTGTATAAATGCTCTCCCGAGCCAGTATTTCAAACCTTCTATGATAAACTAAAAGTGCCAGTACCAGAAATTCCATGAAAAACAAGAAATTTGTTTTTGCAATTAGCCGAGCATGTGACCCAGTCTCTCAATGTCACTTCATGTTATATATGTGGAAGAACTGTCACAGGAGATCAATGGCCATAGGAAGCACGAGAATTAGTACCTACAGACCCAGTTCCTGATGAATTCCCAGCTCAAAAGAATCACCCTGATAATTTCTAGGTCCTAAAAGCCTCAATTATTGGACAATATCGCATAGCTAGAGAAAGAAAAGAATTCACTCACCCCGTAGGACGATTTAGTTGTCTGAGACAGAAACTGTATAATGGTACCACAAAAACAGTCACTTGGTAGAGTTCAAATCACACAGAGAGAAATCCACTTAGTAAAAAATTCCCAAAGTTGCAAACCGTGTAGACATAGCCGGAGTCCCACCGGGACTAGACAGCCCCGACTAGATTATGCTACGTATGTAGGCATAGAGCTTATGCCAAATTGCCTAACCAGTAGGCAGGCAGTTGTGTTATTAGCACTATTAAACTATCTTTCTTCCTACTGCCCATAAAAACAGGTGAACTCCTGGGCTTCCCTGTCTATGCTTCCCTCGAAAAGAGAAGCATAGCTATAAGAAATTGAAAAAATGATAAATGGCCCCCGAGAGAATCATACAATATTATAGTCCTGCTACTTAGGCACAAGATGGCTCGTGAAGATACTGGACTCCCATTTACGTGATCAACCAAATCATATGGTTACAAGCTGTCTTAAAAATAATCACCAATAAAACCGGCACAGCCTTGACCATTCTGGCCCAGCAAGAAACTCAGATGAGAAATGCTATCTCTCAAAATAGATTAGCTCTCGACTACTTGCTAGCAGCTGAAGGAGAAGTCTGTAGGAAATTTAACCTTACTAATTGCTGCCTACACATAGATAATCAAGGGCAAGTAGTTGAAGACACAGTTAGAGCTATGACAAAACTGGCACATGTGCCCGTGCAAGTGTGGCATAAATTTGATCCTGAGGCCATGTTTAGAAAATAGTTCCCAGCGCTAGGAAGATTTAAAACTCTTACAGTAAGAGTTATAATAGTAATAAGAACCTACTTACTGCTTGCTTGTTTGCTACCTGTACTTCTTCAAATGATAAAAAGCGTCATCGCTAACTTAGTTCACCGAAATGCTTCAGCACAAGTGTACTATATGAATCATTATTGATCTGTCTTGCAAGAAGACACGGGTAGTAAAAATGAAAGTGAGAACTCCAGTATTGAGCGAGAGTCTCAAAAGGGGGGGATAAGGGAGGAGACCACCCCTCATATTGTCTTATGCCCAATATCTGCCTCCAAAGAAAGAAAAAGTAAAAACGAAAAGGCAGAAATGAAATCCACAAGCAGACAGCCCGGCGCCACACCCTGCAGCCCCCAGTCACGTAGGCCCTGCTTGCTCAATCAATCATGACCGTCTCACGCTCACACCCTTAGAGGTGTGAGCCCTTAAAAAGGACAGCAATTGCATCCTCGAGGAGCTCAGCTCTTGAGACAGGAGTCTTGCCGATGCCCCCGGCCAAATAAACCCCTTCCTTCTTTAACTCGGTGTCTGAGGAGTTTTGTCTGCAGCTCGTCCTGCTACACTATCTCTCTAAAAATACAAAATTAGCTGGGCGTGGTGGCACATGCCTGTAATCCCAGCTATTCGGGAGGCTGAGGCAAGAGAATCGCATGAACCTGGGAGGTGGAGGTTGTGGTGAGCCAAGATTGCACCATTGCAATCCAGTCTGGGCAACAAGAGCGAAACTCCGTCTCAAAAAAAAAAAAAAAAAAAAAAAAGAGAGAGAGAAGGAATTACTTAGGCAGAGAGCAAGGGCATGGGAGTCCTCGGTAAGGCTTTTCTTTTTAATGAAAAGCAGCCCCAAATCATTTTCTAACAAACAGCAGCCTGCAAGCTGGGAGCTTGCCTGGATGAATGCCAGCGGGAACTAAGGACTAGATATATTGAAGATGGCGGCTCTATCTTCCCTTCTCTGCCAGCCACGTGTGCTGTAAAGGAGCAGACAAGATGGCACAGATCAACTAGAAAGCCTATTTGCTTAAGAAGGGTAGGCTGGGGCAGCGGGGTGCTGTGGCTCACGCCTGTAATCCCTGCACTTTGGAGGCCGAGGCGGGTGGATCACCTGAGGTCAGGAGTTCGAGACCAGCCTGGCCAATGATGAAATCCAAATAATAGCTGGGCGTTTTAGTGAGCACCTGTAATCCCAGCTACTCGGGAGGCTGAGGCAGGAGAATCGCTCGAACCCGGGAGGTGGAGGTTGCAGTGAGCCAAGGTCACACCACTGCATTCCAGCCTGGGTGACAAAGTGAGACTCCATCTCAAAACACACACACACAGAATTAGGGTGGGGCAACCAGCCTTCCCTGCACACTATGTAGACGTCATATCTAATCAAATCAATCTGTGAGCCCTGTGTAAAACAGACACCGCCTTCTCTAGCCTGCCTATAAAATCTGCTGTGGTCTGCTGGCTCCCCTTTTTTCGGATCTCTCTCTCTCTCTCTCTCAGCTCCTCTCTGCTCTCTTTTCTTTTTTTTTCTTTGATATGGAGTCTTGCTCTGTCACTCAGGCTGGAGTGCAGTGGCCTGATCTCAGCTCACTGCAACTTCCCCCTCTTGGGTTCAAGCAATCCTCCTGCCTCAGCCTCCCGAGTAGTTGGGATTACAGGCGTGCACCACCATGCCCAGCTACTTTTTTGTATTTTTAGGAGAGATGGGGTTTCGCCATATTGGCCAGGCTGGTCTTGAACTCCTGACCTCAGGTGATCTGCCTGCCTCAGCCTGGGTCCCAAAGTGCTGGGATTACAGGCGTGAGCCATCCCACCCGGCCCTCTCTCCTTTCTTCTATTAAACTTTCCACTCTTAACCCACTCACTTGTGCCTGTGTCCTGAATTCTTTCTCTGCACACGTCAAAGAACCCCAGGGTATATAACCCAGACAGCGTAGCGGGTTCAGTGTTACCCTTGGCAGAGTTCTAACAGGAAAAGGACAGGGATCCTTCAACTTACAGCTTCCCGCTTAACTATATAGCATGCCTCTCACTGCTGGGATTTCTGCTGGGAGGGAGGGTATCAAGACACTTTTGTCTCAGCACTTCTCACTCTTCCATTCCTGTTCCTTTCTTTCTTTTTCTTTTCTTTTTTTTTTTTTTGAGACGGAGTTTTGCTCTTGTTGCCCAGGCTGGAGTGCAATGATGCAATCTCGGCTCATTGCAGCCTCCGCCTCCCAGGTTCAAGGGATTCTCCTGCTTCAGCCCCCCAGTAGCTGGGATTACAGGCGCCCACCACCATGACCAGCTAATTTTTGTATTTTTCGTAGAGACGGGGTTTCACCATGTTGGCCAGGCTGGTCTCGAACTCTTGATCTCAGGTGATCCACCCGCCTCAGCTTCCCAAAGTGCTGGGATTACAGGCGTGAACCACCATGCCCGGCTCATTCCTGTTCCTTTCTTTATCCCATGAGCCAGCAGGACTAGGAGAATTCTGTGCAAAAGGAAGCAACAAGAAACAATTTTCACCTACATGAAAGTCTGGGCTGGCATGTCATCTCTGTTCTGCAAAATCTTTAGGAGCCAAAATTCTTTCACTGAAGTGCCTCCGACACATCAAAGGTGATGCCCTTGTCTGCAAAGTACAAAGTGACACACCACCATGGCTGAGTTCCAGGAAACAGGAAGGTCAAAAAGTGAAGGGAAGCAACTATCCTTCCTTTTCAAGGAAGTGCTTGCGCTAATAAATTCCGCTTACAACCCATTGGCCAGGACTTTGTCACATGACTCAGGCAAGGGAGACTGGGAAATGTAGTCTTCATTCTGATTAGCCATGTACCCAGCTGAAACTCCAGGGTTCTATTACTATCAGTAACAGAATTTTGTGCCTCAAGTGCAAATTTCAAGGGGGCATCTCAAACTGTCATTGTCAAAATAAATGATATTCTCAGGCAACATTTTAAAAAAAATCTAAAAAGTGAAGGTCAAAAAAATTCATGATGAACAAATTGCAAAGATGTTTTAAAGATCAGATCCAACCCTACACTTCTACAATCTGCTTCATTTTTTTCCACCTTCATTCTGGTCTTGCAGCCCAAATTTGCATTCTGGCTCCAACACTTACCAGCTGTGTGACCTGCAGCAAGTGATTTAACCTCTCTGTGCCTCAGTTCCCTGGAAGTAATAAAAGTATCTCACAGGCTTGCTATGAGGTTGGAAGGAATTAATATTTGTAAACTGTTTAGCAAAGAGCCAGTACGTAGTAAGGAACTGGTGAGAACTATTACTATCATTGCTACTACTGAAACGGCCTCCTTGTCTGGAGTAACACCCGAGGTTCACAGTCTCACAGCCAAGGAAAACAAGGACATAGACATAGAAAGAGTGAGGTCGAGAATGGAAGTTTCATAGGCGAAAGAAAGAGGAGAGCTCTCTGCTGCAGAGAGGGGTCCCGGAAAAATGGGTTGCCGTATCAGCGGGGAAATGTAGGGGGTTTTATAGAGAAGCTAGTGAGCAAACGGTGTTTGATTTATATAGGGTGTGAAAAACTGGTTAGACCATGTGTCGCATTTGCATAGGGTGCAAATTTCTGGTAGCCTCTGACCCTAATCTTTTATTATGCAGGCAGGTTCTCTGCCCGAGCTGCGCCATGTTGCCCATTTCTGTTACTGCACGCGTGGTAACATAAAAGGGAAGAGGAAGCGTCCATGTAGGGCCTGCCTGGCCCCTGGGTAGCTCTCTTCTATTGGCGCACCTGCCGGCATTCTCCCGTGTAAGCTTCCAGCTGTGCCTATCTATGTTTGCAGCTCAATTTTTCAGGCTGCTGCTTGTTAGAAAAGAAATGATTTGGGGGCTGCTTTTTGTTAGAAGGGAAGCTCTGCCGAGGACTCTGCTGCCTTCACTATCTGCCTAAATAATTTCTTTCTACCTCCTGTATCACTACGACTGTTGCTATTATTAATCTGAGAAAGAGACTCACTCTGTTGCCCAGGCTGGAGTGCAGTGGCCTGGGCTCACTGCAACCTCCGCCTCCCAGGGTCAAGTGATTCTCATGCCTCAGCCTCCCAAGTAGCTGGGACTACAGGAGCCTGCCATTATGCCCAGCTAATTTTTTTGTATTTTTAGTAGAGACAGGGTTTCACCATGTTGGCCAGGCTGGTCTCAAACTCCTGACCTCAAATAATGTGCCCGCCTTGGCCTCCCACAGTGCTGGGATTACAGGTGTGAGCTACTGCGCCCGGCCTCTTATTATTATTTATTTATTATTATTACTGCTTTTGGAGACAGGGTCTTACTCTGTCGCCCAGGCTGGAGAGCAGTGGTGCAATCATAGCTCCCTGCAGCCTCCAGTTCCTGGGCTTGAGTGATCCTCCTGTCTCAGCTTCCTGAGAAGGTGGGACTACAGGCATGCACCACCACACTCAGCTATTTTTTTTTTTTGAGTTGGAGTCTTGCTATGTTGCCCAGGCTAGAGTGCAGTGGTGCAATGTCGGCTCACTGCCAGCTCCGCCTCCCGGGTTCACGCCGTTCTCCTGCCTCAGCCTTCCGAGTAGCTGGAACCACAGGTGCCCGCCACCTCGCCCGGCTAATTTTTTTGTGTTTTTAGTAGAGACGGGGTTTCACTGTGTTAGCCAGGATGGTCTCGATCTCCTGACCTCGTGATCCGCCTGCCTTGGCCTCTCAAAGTGCTGGGATTATAGGCGTGAGCCACCGCGCCCGGCCTCACATTCAGCTAATTTTAAAAGTTTTTGGAGAGATGGGCTCTTGCTATGTTGCTCAGGCTGGTCCTGAACTCTTGGCCTCAAGTGATACTCCCACCTTGGCCTTCCAAATTGTTGGGATTCCAGGCGTGAGCCACCACCCCTGGCCAGACTTTACACAATAAAGGTGTATTTAGGGCTGCTCTGCCTATGGAGTGGCCATTCTTTACTCCTTTACTTTCTGTTTTGTGTTTGTTTGTTTGTTTGTTTGTTTGAGACGGAGTTTTGCTCTTGTTGCCCAGGCTGGAGTTCAATGGCGCGATCTCAGCTCACTGCAACCTTTGCCTCCTGGGCTCAAGTGATTCTCCTGCCTCAGCCACCAGAGTAGCAGAGATTACAGGTGCCTGCCACCACACCCGGCTAATTGTTTGTATTTTTAGTAGACATGGGGTTTCACCATTTTGGCCAGGCTGGTCTCGATCTCCTGACCTCAGGTGATCTGCCCCCCTTGGCCTCCCAAAGTGCTGGGATTACAGCTGTGAGGCTAACACTCCTGGCCTATTCCTTTACTTTCTTACTAAACTTATTTCACTTAAAAAAAAAGTTTATTTTCTACTCACACAACATTCAGATCAGCAAGGGGTTCTGCCCATGGTAGGCTGAAATAGGCTTCTTCCTTTTTTTTTTTTTTTTTTGTTGAGACAGGGCCTCACTCTGTTGTTCAGGGTGCAGAGCCGTAGCACAATCTCGGCTTAATGCAACTTCTGCTTCCTGGGTTCAAGTAATCCTCCTATTTAGTCCCCCAAATAGCTGGGACCACAGGTGCACGGCACCATGCCCGACTAATTTTTTTTTTTTCATTTTCAACAAGTGTTTTGTCACCAAACATTAAAAACCTACACAAAATACAGGCCAGGTACAGTGGCTCACGCCTGTAATCCCAGAACTTTGGGAGTCCGAGGCGGGCAGATCACCTGAGGTCAGGAGTTCGAGACCAGCCTGGCCAACATGGTGAAACTCCCTCTCTACTAAAAATTCAAAAATTAGCCAGGCGTGGTCATGTGCAATTGCAGTCCCAGCTACTCAGGAGGCTGAGGCTTGAGAATTGCTTGGACCTGGGAGGCGGAGGTTGCAATGAGCTGAGATCATGCCACTGCACTCCAGCCTGGGTGACGAGAGCCAGACTTCATCTCAAAAAACAAAAATATATACAGAATACAAAGATAGTATAATAGACTTGTCACCCAGGTTGAACAGCTACTAGTCATGCCATGTTTGCTTCATCTATACTTTGACCCATTTCCTACCCCCCAATTTATTAGTTTTTTGGGTTTTCTTTTTAGATAAAATGTATACATATTGAAAGGTACAATCTGAACTGTACCATTTTGACAAATTAATACACTCATATAGACTTCCCCCCTTTAAAGAATAGAATTACTCCACTTACTAATCATTAATGTACATATAAGTTACGTCGAAGTAGTATTTACAATCCAAATTTTTATAAAATAGGTCAGAGTTTTGACTGAGAATTTTTTTTTTTTTTTGAGACCGAGTCTTGCCCTGTTGCCCAGGCTGGAGTGCAGTGGTGCAATCTTGGCTCACCGCAACCTCTGCCTCCCAGGTTCAAGCGATTCTCCTGCCTCAGCCTCCCGAGTAGCTGGGATTACAGGCTTGCGCCACCTCGCCTGTCTAATTTTTTGTGTTTTTAGTAGAGATGGGGTTTTGCCATCTTTGCCAGGTTGGTCTTGAACTCCTGACCTTCTGATCCACCCACCTCAGCCTCCCAAACTGCTGGGATTACACGCGTGAGCCACCGCGCCTGGCCGAGAATTTTTATTTTTAAAAAAGTAGAGATCTGTAGAGCACACAGTAACTACAATGTCTATTTATCTCAAGTAAATACAGTTTGATGAATAAAATTAAGGAAAATTCACCTAAGATGAAAAAAAAACAATCAAACCATCTGTGCAATATGCTATCTGTAGGAGCATTTGGTTAAGAATAACAAACTAACCCAACAATTTTATTATTTTAATAACCAAAATTGGCACAAATTTCTACTATTGTTTTCATAGAAATGCTCCCTCACAATAAAAAAATTTTCATATCATGAGAGCAAAAACAGCAAATATTTGAAAAAGTAGATGTCTTATAAAATTAAGTAGCAAAGGCCAGGCGCAGTGGCTCATGCCAGTAATCCCAGCACTTCGGGAGGCCGAGGCGGGAGGATCACCTGAGGTCAGGGGTTCGAGACTAGCCTGGCCAACATGGTGAAACCATATCTCTACTAAAAATTCCAAAATTAGCCAGACGTGGTGGCGGGCAGGAGAATCGCTTGAATCTGGGAGACAGAGGTTGCAGTGAGCCGAGATCTTGCCACTGTACTCTAGTTTGGGTGACAAGAGCAAAACTCCATCTCAAAAAAAAAAAAGAAAAATCACAGTTACCTATAATTCGATCATTCAATCAATCATCAGATAACTCAGCTCATTCAATTATCTGCAAGTGTAGATAATTCTCATAGCTTCCTATTAAAATTATGTTTTATGCCCTTACAAATTTTAACTTAGTTTTTCTTTTATTTATTTATTAGTAGGAGTCTCACTCTGTCGCCCAGGCTGGAGTGCAGTGGCACAATCTTGGCTCTCTGCAACCTCCACCTCCTGGGTTCATGCAATTCTCCTGCCTCAGCCTCCTGAGTAGCTGACATTACAGGCATGAGGCACCACACCCAGCTAATCCCACAGTGCAGGGATTAGAGGCATAAGCCACCTCCCCCTCCTACTTTTTCTTCTTACTTGGTCCGAGGGCTGTGGGACGGGGCCCCACCCCAGCCCATCACCAGAGACTTTTGGTCTTGGCCATGTGTCCTAAGACTTAATAGTTCTTGCACATTCTCTTGGTAATCAATTCAATTTGTTTCTTCCAAATCTTGCAGTAAAACTGATGTTCCAGCCAGGCGCTGTGGCTCATGCCTAGACGGTTTTCATCTTGACATGACCCTTGTGCTAGGAGTGTAAAGTAGAAAACCACAGATGGATACACATCATTGCCAGTCCCTTTTCACTAACCAAAGCGTGTCAGTGACCCTGCTTAACTTTAGTGGGTGCAGGGAAGTGGCATGCTTGCAAGAGTCAGAAAGAAAGCTGAAAATACTAGGTGGAGAACACGAATCGCTATCAAAACCCACCCATTTGATCACAGAAACTCAGCTCATGCTCCTTCCTGCTTGCAAAATACAGTCACCCCTCCAAGAGAGAACTCCATAGTCCCACCTGTAATGGCATCAAGCCTCTTTTTCTTTCCATGTGGTCTGTGATCATTCAGTAGCCTAGCCAAGCTTTTTTTTTTTTTTAAAATTACTGAACATATATTTCTGAGTTCCTGCTGTTTCCAAGGTATTAATACAATAGTGCAGAAATCAAAGTTCCTACCCTCTTGGAGATTGCATTTGATGAGTTCCCATTTGTGTCAGGCCAACTTTCTTGCATTCTGTTTTTATTTTAAAAATAAATATGGTCTCAAAAAACAAACAAAAACAACAGCAACAAAATGGTCTCAGTTAATATTCCAACAGCCCTGGGAGATAAGTAGTATTATCTTGAGATGCCTTTTGTGAATTTTCAGCAACAACTAGAATTTTAAAAACAATCCATAGATATTTCCATAACGTACGTATATGAAAGGACACAGTGAACAATGATAAGAAAACTTAGGTTTTAAAAAGGTTAAGTACCTTATTAAAGGTAAAAGCTGGCCAGGCGTGGTAGCTCACGCCTGTAATCCCAAAACTTTGGGAGGCTGAGGCAGGCTGATCACTTGAGGTCAGGAGTTCGAGACAAGCCTGGCCAACATGGTGAAACCCTATCTCTACTAAAAATACAAAAATTAGCCAGGCATGGGGGCGGGTGCCTGTAATCCCAGCTACTTGGGAGGCCAAGACATGAGAATCACTTGAAACCAGGAGGCGGAGGTTGCAGTGAGCTGAGATCGTGCCACTGCACTCCAGCCTAGGTGACAGAGTGAGACTCTGTCTCAAAAAGAAAAATAAATAAATAAATAAAAATAAATAAATAAAGCAAAGCCAAAATTCAAAACTCAAACTTTATTTTGACTCCAGAGTTCCTTTTATACAATACCTTTTCCTCTGAAGTCATGCCCCAGCTGATATCACAGTCAAAATACATTTTAAAGGATGAGTGGGACAGAGGTGTAATGGGGAAAAGGTACTAGTCAAAACTTTTTAAAAAATAGGCTTTTATGGGTGTGGTGGCTCATGCCTGTAATCCCAGCAACTTGGGAGGCTGAGGCAGGAGAATTGCTTGAACCTGGGAGGTGGAGGTTGCGGTAAGCCAAGATCGCTCCATTGCACTCCAGCCTAGGCAACAAGAGTGAAGCTCCGTCTCAAAAAAAAAAAAAAAAAAAAAAAGTCTTTTTAGAGCAGTTTTAGTTTCGCAGCAAAATTGAGCAGAAAATACAAAAAGTTCCCACACACCCCTAGAGCCCCCTGCTCCACAAACAATCCCATTGTTAACATCCCACCGCACCCGGCCGGCTCTGTGTATTTGTCTTCACTTTTTTCCCCTGCTTCTTGGATTTGCTAACTTTATGGTTGCCTTATCTTCAAGTTTGTTGATCTTTTTTCTACCTACTCAAATCTGTTCTTGAATTCGTCTAATGAATTATCACCTCCATTATTGTAACTTTCAGCTCCAGAATTCCTGTTTGTGAATTTTTAATAATTTATTTCTTTCTATTGACATTCTCACTTCTTTCATATATCATTCTCATGATCTGCTTTAGTTCTTTGTCCATATTTTCCTTCATCTCACTGAACACATTGGAGACAGTTGATTTAATGTCTTTGACTAATAGTTTCAATGTGTGGGCTTCCCTAGTAACAGTATATGTTAAATCATGGTTTATTGTAAATGAGTTATACTTTCCTATGTCTTTATGCTTTGTAATTACAACTGGACATCCTGAGTATTATGATTCATAAGTCTGGAACTCCGATGCTCCAAGTCTTCATGGATTGCTGATTTCTGCTTACTGAAGGCTGAAACTATTCATTTCTGACTTTTCCCGACTGTTTTTTGGCAACTGTGTATCCTTTGGGTGTGATCACTGAAGTGTCTTTTCCATTTTGTGGTCAGTTAGTAACATGACAAAGATTTTACAAGGCATCGAACCTCTAAGTCTGAGGGATACGAAGGGACTCAAGAGAGCCAAAACAAGCATCTTATTGGCTTCTCAGGAATTGCCAGACCTAGTAGAGTGCAAATTCCCCAAATTTTGGAGGCCAAGGTCTCAACTGCCTGCTCTGGCACTGGTCACCTGTTTGAGGAAAATGGACTGTCTCCAAATTGCCCCACTCGGACGGAGGAATGGGGAGTGGGGGCTGGTTTGTGAAGGCTGTTCTCTTTCTAAAGTCTCAGTCTCTCTTTTCATCAAGCACTCCTCTCATTATTATAAGTGCTGCAACAGGATGACTAGTTCTGAAATCATTGATTCTGTGTCTCCTGCCCCTCAGTTCACTGTTTATTTCACTGGAGGGAGGGGCTCCCAGAGCTTTCTACTCCGTCTTTTTGCTTGATCTCACTGTTTGCTGACTTTCTGAGATATGCCCAAACTCATATGGCTATTGGAAATTTCCACATTAAAAGTACTTCACCACATTGGGCAACATGGTGAAATCCTGTCTCTACAAAAAAGAAAAATACAAAAATTCCTTGGGTGAGGTGGCACACTCCCGTAGTCCCAGCTACTTGAGAGGCTGAGGTGGGAGAATCGCTTGAGACCGGGAGGCAGAGGTTGCAGTGAGCCGAGATCGCACTACTGCACTCCAGCCTGGGTGACAGAGTGAGGCTCTGTCTCAAAAAAAAAAAAAAAAAAAAAGGTACTTGACATGATAGTTTCCAATAAAAACATTTTAACCTAATTCCTTCATTTCACTCTTTAGCAATCAATATGTGAAAATTATATTGAACTGGTAAAAATGCAGGTTACAAAGATAAGATAAATATGAAATGCTATGATACACTTCTGACCACTGGAAGACATAAGAGAGAGTTGCAATGATTATATTTAATATTTTGGTTAGTAAACAGAGAGAACGCATCTACCCAGGGATTCAGTAGGGGTATGTGAAGATTTAATAAGGTAAGTAATCCTTAGTTTTTGAGAAACCAGAGATAGAAAATATGTTGGTGATTTTTTTTTTTTTTTGAGATGGAGTCTGGCTCTTTTCGCCCAAGCTGGACTGCAGTGGTGTGCTCTCAGCTCACTGTAACCTCTGCCTCCCGGGTTCATGCCATTCTCCTGCCTCAGCCTCCTGAGTAGCTGGGATTATGGGTGTGTACCACCACACCTGGCTAATTTTTTTTCTTTTTTGAGACGGAGTCTTGCTCTCTTGCCCAGGCTGGAGTGCAGTGGCGTGATCTCGGCTCACTGCAAGCTCCGTCTCCCAGGTTCATGCCATTCTCCTGCCTCAGCTTCCCGAGTAGCTGGGACTACAGGTGTCTGCCACCACGCCCGGCTAATTTTTTGTATTTTTAGTAGAGACGGGGTTTCACCGTGTTAGCCAGGATGGTCTCGATCTCCTGACCTCGTGATCCGCCCGCCTTGGCCTCCCAAAGTGCTGGGATTACAGGTGTGAGCCACCGCGCCCGGTCAATTTTTTTTTTTTAACTTTAAGTTCCGGGATACATGTGCAGAACATGCAGGTTTGTTACATAAGTATATGTGTGCCATGGCGGTTTGCTGCACCTGCTGACCCGTCCTCTAAGTTGCCTCCTCTCACTTCTCACCCCCCAACAGGCCCGATGTGTGACGTTCCCCTCCCTGTGTCCATGTGTTCTCATTGTTCAGCTCCCACTTATGAGTGAGAACATGCGGTGTTTGGTTTTCTGTTCCTGTGTTAGTTTGCTGAGGGTGATGGTTTCCAGCTTCATCCATGTCCCTGCAAAGGACACGATCTCTTTCCTTTTTATGACTGCGTAGTATTCCATGGTGTATAGGTACCACATTTTCTTTATCCAGTCTATCATCGATGGACATTTGGGTTGGTGCCATGACTTTGCTATTGTAAATAGTGCTGCAATAAACATATGGTGCGTGTGTCTTTATAGTAGAATAATTTATGTTCTCTTTTTTTTTTTTTTTTTGAGATGAAGTCTCAGTTTGTCACCCAGGCTGGAGTGCAGTGGCATAATCTTGGCCCACTGCAACCTCCAACTCCCGGGTTCAAGCAATTCTCCTGCCTCATCCTTCCGGGTAGCTGGGATTGCAGGTGCCCACCACCATGCCTGGCTAATTTTTGTATTTTTAGTAGAGATGATATTTCGCCACGTTGGACCAGGCTGGTCTCGAACTCCTGGCCTCAGGTGATCTGCTCACCTTGGCCTCTCAAAATGCTGGGATTACAGGCGTGAGCCGCCACACCCGGCCAGGATTGTTATTACTACTTTTAACCCATTTCCCATTTGCCCCGAGAATACTCTTGTCTCTAATCCCAATGTAACATCATATACATTTCTGCTACATTAGGATTAGAGACAAATTCTGTTCAGAAATAACTCCAAGAACAGTTTTTATATTTTATTTGCACATTGAAACTCAACCAGATTTGCTTCAGCCTCAACAAGTGTGTTTATGTAAAGTTAAATGAACTCTGGCAGTGAGCTGCACGTTTTTTAAAATTAGGAAATGAGTTAGCTAATATTGAACTTGAGGTTTTAGTCAATGCAATGAGACAAAAAGATTGAATAGGAAGAAATGAGTCATTATTTAGAGATTACTTCATTATGTATGTAGAAAATTCTAGGCCAGTCATTGTGGCTCACGCCTGTAACCCCAGCACTTTAGGAGGCCGAGGTGGGTGGATCATGAGGCCAGGAGATCGAGACTATCCTGGCTAACACGGTGAAACCCTGTCTCTACTAAAAATACAAAGAACTAGCCGCCTGTAGTCTCAGCTACTTGGGAGGCTGAGGCAGGAGAATGGCGTGAACCCAGGAGGTGGAGCTTACAGTGAGCCGAGATCACACCACTGCACTCCAGCCTGGGTGACAGAGTGAGACTCTGTCTCAAAAAAAAAAAAAAAAGAAAATTCTAAATAATCTACACATAGTTTTATTTTTACTTTTGAGATGGACTCACTGTGTCGCCCAGGCTGGAGTGCAGTGGTGCAATCTCGGCTCACTGCAACCTCTGCCTCCCAGGTTCAAGCAATTCTCCTCCCTCAACCTCCCAAGTAGCTGGGACAACAGGTGCTCACCACCACACCCAGCTAATTTTTTCTGTAGTTTTAGTAGAGATGTGGTTTTATCGTGTAGGCCAGGGTGGTCTCAAACTTCTGGTCTCAGGTGATCCACCCATCTCAGCCTTCCAAAGTACTTGGATTACAGGTGTGGGCCACCACGCCCAACCTACACATAGTTTTTTTTTTTTTTTTTTTTTTTTGAGACAGAGTTTTGCTCTGTTGCCCAGGCTGGAGTACAGTGGTATATCTTGGCTCACCACGACCTTCTCTTCCCGGGTTCAAGCAATTCTGTTGCCTCAGCCTCCTGAGTAGCTGGGATTACAGGCATGCACTACCACACCCGGCTAATTTTTGTATTCTTAGTAGAGATGAGGTTTCACCATGTTGCCCAGGCTGGTCTCAAACTCCTGACCTCAGGGGATCCGCCCACCTCAGCCTCCCAAAGTGCTGGGATTACAGGCATAAGCCACTGCGCCCGGCCTACACATAGTTTTAATATATTGATTTAGCAACAACACCGGAGGCAAAGCCAAAGTACAAAAATAAATCATATTTTTATATACCACTGTCAACTAGAAAAGACATGTAAAACTATGTCATTTACAAACTCAACAAAAATATATCAAATACCTGGGACTACATCTAATGGAAGCACTATATAAATTCTACACCAAAAACCATAAAATGTTACTGAGAAAATTAAAGAAAGCTTAAATAAATAGAAGGATATACCATGGCCAAGAGGTTGGAACATTTAATACCATGAAGACACCAATTCTACACCAATATCTATTGATCTATAGATTCAATGCAATCCCAGTCAATACCTCAGCAGGAAGTATACGTGTGTGTGTGTGTATGTGTGTGCGCGTGAGAGAGAGAGAGGAGAGAGAGAGAGAGAGACTGATTCTAATAAAAACACAGGGAAATGCAAAGAACTAAGAAAGACAAGATGATCTGTAAAAAGAACAGAATGGAGAGACTCTACTATATATTGAGTCTTATTAAAAGGCTACAGCAAGTTAAACAGTGTGGTATTAGTGCCATCAGGGACTACAATCCAGTGGGATTATAAAAATAATTGCTTGGCCGGGTGCAGTGGCTCATGCCTGTAATCCCAGCACTTTGGGAGGCTGAGGCGGGCGGATCACGAGGTCAGGAGATCGAGACCATCCTGGCTAACACGGTGAAACCCCGTCTCTACTAAAAATACAAAAAATTAGCCGGGCATGGTGGCGGGCGCCTGTAGTCCCAGCTACTTGGGAGGCTGAGGCAGGAGAATGGCATGAACCTGGGAGACGGAGCTTGCAGTGAGCCGAGATCATGCCACTGCACTCCAGCCTGGGCGACAGAGCAAGACTCCTTCTCAAAAAAAAAAAAAAAAAAAAAAAAAAAAATTAGCTGGGCGTGGTGGTGTGCACCTGTAATCCCAGCTACTCAGGAGGCTGAGGCAGGAGAATCACTTCAACCTGGGAGGCAGAGGTTACAGTGAGCTGAGATCGTGCCACTGTACTCCAGCCTGGGCAACAGAGCGAGACTCTGTCACAAAAAAAAAAAAATTCTGTAAGGCAAAAAGAAAAAGACAACCTACTTTTAAAAGATATAAAAGATGTGAAGCAACACTTCACATAAAATAATATACAAGTGGACAATACTAGAGAGCATATTTAGCTACATTACTCCAAAAAAAAGTAAAACCACGTGGAATCCCCCTTATTCAACAGTGGAAATTGGCAAGACTGGGCATGACTCTGAGAGTGAGTCAACAATGTGGCAGGATATGTTTCGAACCTTTATCCTTTCACAGAAACATTCATTTCAATAATCTTCTGTGCAGAAAAATACTTTCACAAGAGTCAAAGAATCAGCTGAGAGACCACAGAACTTGAATGGAAAATAACGGTAAGAAAAGATAGGCCGAGCATGGTGGCTCACGCCTGTAATTCCAGCACTTTTGGAGGCCGAGGTGGGTGGATCACCTGAGGTCAGGAGTTCCAACCAGCCTGATGAACATGGAGAAACCCCATCTCTACTAAAAATACAAAAAAAAAATTAGCCAGACGTGGTGGACGCACCTGTAATCCCAGGTACTCAGGAGGCTGGGGCAGAAGAATGTCTTGAACCGGGAGGCAGAGGTTGCGGTGAGCCGAGATCGCGCCATTGCACTCCAACCTGGGCGACAGAGCGAGACTCCATCTCAAAAAAAAAAAAAAAAAAAAAAAGGCAAAAAGAAAGAAAAACAAGAAAAAGAAAAGAAAAGATGTACTGAAGATGGTAGGAAAGAGTTTCACTTGATCTGCATCATCCCCTTCCTGAACCCAAGGCAGCACAGAGAGAGAAACCCACTTCATGGGGGATGGAGAGTAAAGTGAGTTCCTGGCTGCACTGCAGACCTGAGCCCGAGTTCCACTTTAGCGAACACGGATACAGGCTGTCCAGAGAAAAGCAAGTGGAAACTACAGAAACTGTTGTAGAACTTTTACTTGCTGGTCTGGTCTTGGTTGTATCCATCTTTGGCCAGTCACATATGTACTCAAGAAACCTTCCCAATAGAGTACAACAGGATGAGACTCTGAAATCCCTTTCAATATTCCCTGCTAGATATTGATTGTTATATCAAGCATTAAGTGTAAACTTTTAATGGACAATTAGTGTAACTGTGGATGGCATCTGCTTTTGTTTTTAATTCTGTGGATTGTGTTTAAGCAATTCAATAGTATGTTCCTGATTTTGAGATGCTAAGTGGTATTGCACAGATGTCATTTTATCCAGCATGTGCAACAGTCCCATGAAGTTTATAGAGCATACCCTTGTATAGCTTCAGGTGCTAGAATTAAAATTGATCTGTTATCACACACACACACACACACACACACACACACACGCAATCATTCATGTGGACTCAAACTCCAGTTCCATCCCAGGGGATCCAGGCACCAGGTCAGCCCCTGTGGAACCAGGTGCCAAGCCTCCTCTCTTGCTGAAATAGGCACCAGGCAATCCCTCTCAAGGACTCCAGCGAGAAGTCCACCAGCAACTCCCCACCAAACAGGCTGCCTAGAATCTCTAGATAGGCTGACTGGCAAAGTGCTTTTCCTGCTAAAGCCAGTATGTAAAGAACTGACTACTTCAAATGCACAGACACTAATGCAAGGCCATAAGGATCATGAATAATCAGAGAAACATGACATCACCAAAAGAACAAAATAAAGTATGAGAAACTGACACAAAAGAAGTGGACATCAACGAACTCCAGATGAAAAATTCAAAATAATCATCTTAAAGAAGCTCAGTGAATTATAAGAGAACACAGAGAGACAACTGAATGGGAAACAAAACATAATGAAATGACAAATTCAACAAAGAGATAGAACCTATATTTAAAAAAGGACTAAAAAGAAATTCTGGAGCTGAAGAAAACAAGGACTGAACTGAAAGTCTCCATGAAGAGCTTCAACAGCAGATGTGATCAAGAAGAAGAAAGAATCAGTGAGCTCAAAGGCAGGACATTTGAAATTATCCATTCAAAGGAGCAAACATAAAAAAGAATAAATAATACTGAAAAAGCTCAATAGGCTTATGAGATACCATTAAGTGAACCAATATATGCATTATGTAAGTGCTCCAAAAGGAGCAGGAAAGGTGAAAAGGAGAGAAAACATATTTACAAAAACAATGATAGAAAAATTTTGAGGCCAGCCGTCGTGGCTCATGCCTGTAATTCTAGCACTTTGCAGGGCTGAGGCAGGTGGGTCACTTGAGGTCAGGAGTGTGAGACCAGCCTGGCCAACATGGTGAAACCCTGTCTCTACTAAAAATACAGAAATGAGCTGGAGGGGTGGTGCACACCAATAGTCCCAGGTACTTGGGAGACTGAGGCATAAGAATCACTTGAACTTGGGACGTGGAGGTTGCAGTGAGCCAAGATTGTTCCACTGCACTCCAGCCTGAGCAACAGAATGAAACTCTATCTCAAACAAAAACAAAAACAAACCCCCCAAAATTTCCAAATCTGGAAAAGGAAAAATGAATATGAAGATCCATGAAGCCCCAAAAACCCCAAATAGGGTTAAGGTATAGAGAACGTCACTGAGACACATTGTAATAAAATTCTCAAAAATCAGAGATAAAAAGAATTTGAAAGCAGCAAGAGAAAAGCAACTCATCATATACAACAGAACCTCTATTCAAGTATTAGAGATTCCTCAGCAGAAACATTCCAGGCCAGGAGAAAGTGGGATGATGTATTCCAAGTGCCAAAAGAGAACAAAAACAACTGTCAATCAAGAGTACTATAACAGCAAAGCTATCCTTTAGAAATAAAAATAAGTAAATAAAAACTTTCCCTGATAAACAAAAACTGAGGGAGTTCCTCACCACTTGACCTGCATGACAAGAAATGCTAAAGGAAATTCTTCAGTTTGAAACAAAAGAATGCCAAATAAAAATATGAAAACAGGCCAAGTGTGGTGGCTCACGCCTGTAATCCCAGCACTTTGGGAGGCCGAGGGCGGATCACCTGAGGTCGGGAGTTCGAGACCAGCCTGACCAACATGGAGAAACTCCGTCTCTACTAAAAATACAAAATTAGCCAGGTGTGGTGGCACATGTCTGTAATCCCAGCTACCCGGGAGGCTGAGGCAGGAGAATTGCTTGAACCTGGGAGGCAGAGGTTGTGGTGAGCCGAGATCGTGCCATTGCACTCCAGCCTGGGTAACAAGAGTGAAACTCCATCTCATTAAAAAAAAAAAAAAAAAAGTAAAAGTATAAAACTCACTGTAAAGGTAAATATAGAGTCAAATTCAGAATGCTTTAATACTGTAATGGTGTGTACAGATCATTTTAAACCGTAGAATAAAAAGCAAAAATATTTTAAAACTATACAGTAATGTTAATGGATACAAAATATTAAAATATATAAAATGTAACATTAATAACATATAAGAGGGAAGTACAAGTGTAGAGTTTTTTATGTGATCAAAATTAAGTTGCTAGCAACTTAAGATGAACTGTTATAACTATAAGATGCTTATGTAAACCTCATGGTAACCACAGAGAAAAAACCTGCAGTAGATACACAAAAGAGAGACAGAAAGAATCAAAGCTTATCACTACCCCAAATCATCAAATCACAAAAGACATTAAGAGAGGAAGAAAGAAATGAAGGAACTACAAAAACAGTCAGAAAAAGATATGGAAAACAGAAATAGTAATTACCTATCAATAATTATTTCAAATGTATGTGGATTAAATTCTCCAACCAAAATATGTAAAGTGGCTGAATGGATTAAAAAAACAAGAGCCATCTATATGCTGCTTACAAGAGACTAATTTTACTTTTAAGGACATATATGGGCTGAAAGTAAAAGGATGGAAAAAGATATACCATGCAAATGGTAGCCAAAAGAGAGAAGGGGTAACTGTATTTATATCAGACAAGATTAGCTTTTAGTAAAAAACTGTCACAAGAGACAAAGGAGGTCATTATATAGTAATAAAGAGGTCAATTCGTAAAGATGATCTGCCAATTATAAATATATTTGCATCCAACATTGGAGTTTCTATTATATAAGCAAATATTAACAGATGGGAAGAGAGAGATAGATAGCAATACATACTAATAGAGGAATTTGATACCCCACTCTCTATGATAGATAGAACATCCAGACAGAAAATGAATAAGGAAACAGTAGACTTGAATAACACTGCAGACCAAAGGACCTTGCAGACATATATAGAACATTTCATCAAACAGCAGCAGAATACACATTTTTCCTCCAAATACACATGGAACATTCTCTAGGACAGATCAAGTGTTAGGTCACAAAATAGGTCTTAACAAGTTTAAGAAGACTGAAATCATATCAAGTATGTTTTCTCACCACAATGATACGAAACTAGAAATCAAAATAGGAAGAAAATTAGAAAATGCACTAATATATGAAAATTAAACAACACATTCCTGAACAATAAATGAGTCAAAGAAGAAATAAAAAGAGAAATAAAAGAGTAGCTTGACAATACAAAAATGGAGAAAGACTGTATCAAAATTTATGGGAGGTAGCAACAGCAGTTTTAAGAGTGAAGTTTATAGCAATAAATGCCTACATTAAGAAAAGAGAGGCCAGGCACGGGTGGCTCACGCCTGTAATCCCAGCACTTTGGGAGGCCTAGGTGGGTGGATCATGAGGTCAGGAGTTTGAGACCGGCCTGGCCAATATGGTGAAACCCTGTCTCTAATAAAATACAAAAATTATCCGGGGGTAATGGCATGCACCTGTAGTCCCAGCTACTTGGGAGGCTGAGGCAGAAGAATTGCTTGAACCCAGGAGGCGGAGGTTGCAGTGAGCTGAGATCATGCCACTGCACTCCAGCCTGGGCGACAGAGTGAGACTCCATCTCACAAAAAAAAAAAAAAAAAAGAGAGAGAGAGAAAGAGAGAGAAAAGAAAGATCTCAAATAAACAACCTAAGTTTATACTTCAAGGAAATAGACAAATTAAGCAAAAGTTAGTAGAGGAAGAAAATAACGGAGCAATAAATAAATAAAATCGAGACTACAAACGCAATAGAAAAGATCAATGAAACTAAGAGCTGGTTTTATAAAAAGATAAACAAAATTGACAAAACTTTAGCTAGACTAAGAAAAAAGAGAGGAGACTCAAAATCAGAAATGAGAGGACACATTACAACTGATACTACTGAAATACAAAGGATTATAAGAGACTATTATGCACAGTTATACACCAACAGATTGGGTAGCCTAGAAGAAATGATAAATTCCTAGAAACACAAACCTACCAAGTCTGAATCATGAAGAAATTAAAAAAGATCTGAACAGACCAATAATAAATTAGGAGATGGAATCAGTAATCAAAAGTGCTCCAACAAAGACAAGTCTGTGGCCAGGTGGCTTCACTGGTGAATTTCACTAACCTTTAAAAGAAAAATTAACACTAATCTTCTCAAACTATTCAAAAAATTGAAGAGGTGGGAATATTATCAAACTAATTTTACAAGGATAGTATTACTCTGATACCAAAGCCAGAAAAAGCACTAGAAGAAAAGAAAATTACAGGCTAATATCCCTTAGAAACACAAATGCAAAATTCTCAACAAAGTACTAGCAAACCTAATTCAACAGCACATTAAGAGGCTCATTCACCATGATCAAGTGGGATTTATCCCTAGGATGCAGGGATGGTTCCAAATACAGAGATTAATAAATATAATACACCATATTAACAGAATGAAGGATAAAAATTATATTATCATCTCACTAGATGCAGAAAATCATTTGACACAATTCAACATCCTTTCACGATAAAAGCTAGCAACAAAGTAGGTATAGAAGGAAGGTATCTTAACATAATAAAGGCCATATATGATAAGCCCACAGCCAACATCATACTCAGTGGTGGACAAGTGAGTCCACTCTCACCACTTCTATTCAAAATAGTACTGAAAGTTTTAGGCAGAGCATTTGGGTAAGGGAAAGAAAGAAAAGAAATTTAAATTGGAAAGGAAGAGGTAAAATTACCTCTGTTTGTAGATGTCATAATCTTATGTATAGAATTTTTTTTTTTTTAGATGGAGTTTCGCTCTTGTTGCCCAGGCTGGAGTGCAATGGCATTATCTTGGCTCACTGCAACCTCCACCTCCTTGGTTCAAGTGATTCTCCTGCCTCAGTCTCCCGAGTAGCTGAGATTACAGGCATGCGCCACCACGCCGACTAATTTTGTATGTTTAGTAGAGACCGGGTTTCTCCACATTGGTCAGGGTGGTCTTGAACTCCTGACCTCAATGATCCGCCTGTTTCGGTCTCCCAAAGTGCTGGGATTACAGATGTGAGCCATTGCACCCAGCCTAGAGAATCTTACAGATGCCACAAACAAATCTCTTAGAATTAATAAACAAATTCAATTGCAAGATTCAACATCAATGTAGACAATTCAGTGTGTTTCTACACACTGACAACAATCTATCTGAAAAAATAATCAATAAAGCAATCCCATTTAAAATAGAATAAAAAATGCTCAGGAATTAATTTATCCAAGGAAGTAAAAGATCCGTTTACAAAAAAAAAATTGATCAAAGAAATTGTAGAAGACACAAATGAATGAAAAGATATCCCATGTTCATGGATTGAAGGAATTAATATTGTTAAAATGTCCATGCTACACAAAGTGATCCACAGATTCTATGCAAATCCCTATCAAAATTTCAGGGGTATTTTTCATAGAAATAGAAACAAAATTCTAAAATTTAACCACAAAAGACTTTGAATAATAAACACAATTCAGCAAGAAAAACAAAGCTGAAGGCATCAGTTCTGGATTTCAAACTATATTACAAATCTATAGTAATCAAGACAGTATGTTACTGGAATGACAGCAGACACACAGACCAATGGAACAGAATAAAAAGTCCAGAAGTAAACTCACACATGTACAGTCAATGAATTTCAGACAAAAGTGCTGAGAACACACAATGGGAAAAGGAGAGCTCTTTGATAAATGATGCTGGGAAAAATAGATATCCACATGCAGAAGAATGAAATTAGACCCTCATCTTGTTACTGAAACACCAGGGATATGGTCTAGGTCTGCTGCTTGCCACACAGAAAGCCAATGGCTGAGGTGATGAGTATTGCCAGGGAAGAAGGCTTTAATTGGGTGCTGCAGCTGAGGAGGTGGGAGATCAGTCTTGAATCCATCCCCTTGACTGACTAAAATTAGGGGTTTATGTAGCTGGGAAGAAATGTAATGATGTGTGGGAAAATGGGAACTTGGGAGGCATAAGGAAGTAATCGTGATGAATGAGGGGTCTGGATGTGATGATCTGGTGAGTTTCAGTTCTTTGATATTTTTTGAGATGCCTGGGTTGGGGTGGGGAGGTTCCTTCTTGAAGAAGAAGAAATTCAGATAAAACAAACATAAGTTTCAAGGTTTAAGACTGGAAGTGTCCATTTCTATTTATCAAAAACAAAACAGTCTATGGGACTATTGGGTCAGTTTCAGTCCCCTCTATTTATCAATTTTTTTAATCATGGGGAATCTGACCATTGATCTTTCTGGCTGCTTCATGCTGAGGAGGTGACCATGTGGCCACCTTCTGAAACACAATCATTCTCTGTCCAGCCACCACTGCCCCCACCAAAGACAAGTCAAAGCAGGATGAACCTACCTGCAAAATAAGCTTCAGTCCATGGCTGGGCATGGTGGCTTCTGCCTGTAATCCCAGCAGTTTGGGAGGCCAAGGCAGGTGGATCACTTGAGGCCAGGAGTTGGAGACCCAGGAGATGGAGGTTGCAGTGAGCCAGTCTGGGTGACAGAGTGAGACTCTGTCTAAAAAATAAAAAATAAAAAAGCTTTGGTCCCATATACTTGGCCTGATTACCCCCAAAAAGTGCAGCAAAAATCATTGTCCACATAGATCCTTCTAAATTGGCCTTGCTGGAACCTCACACTGTTCCATTATAAAAGAAAATAGGTTCTTACTCAAATTATGCCAAGAAACACATTGACATATCAGAATTTTAGGAATCTCATACAATCCTAGAACATATATTAACAACTCATCTATATAAATATAACCCTAAGGGCCAGGCGTGGTGGCTCACGCCTGTAATCCCAGCACTCTGGGAGGCCGAGGCAGGCGGATCACGAGGTCAGGAGTTTGAGACCAGCCTGGCCAGTATGGTGAAACCCTGTCTCTACTAAAAATACAAAAATTAGCCGGGCATGGTGGCACGTGCCTGTAATCTCAGCTACTTGGGAGGGTGAGGCAGAAGAATTGCTTGAACCTGGGAGGCAGAGGTTGCAGTGAGCCAAGATTGAGCCACTGTACTCCAGTCTGGGCGACAGAGTGAGACTCCATCTCAAAAATAAAATATAACCCGAAGGAAGCTAAACACCACCTTGGATCTGACAATGTTTCCTGCATGATTCTAAAATAACAAATTAACCTAAGATATCTCTCTTGGACTTGAGGGAACCTAATATCCAAAAAAGTTAGTTTGAGGTCAAAAAGACTGAATTTAGACCTTTAAATTGTGCTCCTAGAAATTTTGCCAATTACAAAAATTTTAAAACACTTGATATCACAAAACATGATCACAGGTCACAATAAAATAGTCATTTATGGCCGGGTGCAGTGGCTCACACCTGTAATCCCAGCACTTTGGGAGGCCAAGGCAGGCAGATCATCTGAGGTCAGGTGTTCAAGACCAGCCTGGCCAACATTGTAAAACCGCGTCTCTACTAAAAATACAAAAATTAGCCAGGTGTGGTGGCACGTGCCTGTTAATCCCAGCTACTTGAGAGGCTGAGGCAGGAGAACTGCTTGAACCTGGAGGCAGAGGTTGCAGTGAGCTGAGATTGGGCCACTGCACTCCAGCCTGGGCGACAAGAATGAAATTCTGTCCCAAAAAAAAAAAAAAAGAAAAAAAGGAAAACACAAGTCATTTATTTAGCCAAAATGATAAAACAAAAATATTTACCTTTTAATAGGAGATACAGTTTCTCAAACAATAAGACAGCATGAGACCAAACAAATCTGTCCCTCTCCAATCCATTTTTTCCCTCCAGTTTACTTAAACAAAACTATTTTCTCTCTTATTAATATTATACAAATTTTGTTCAAAAGAGAAAACCCAAATTTTACCTTTATATGGTGTATTTATTAATGTTAAAGATAATTTTAATAAAACTTTATCAATAAATCTATCTAATTTTCATTGGTTTGACCATAGGGTAAGATTTTGATAAACTTTTTATAAGCTTTCATGATTTTCTATTAAAAAGAACAGATCAATGCTCCACAAAAACCCTTACTCCTGACACATGGGCTCAGACCCTCACCTTGCATCAGTGTGCTTTTGATATTAACGTTTAATTTATAAGAAAAACTCTGAACTAATTTTATCCCTCAAAATTGGCCCTTATAATCTCACACACCCACCTCATCCGTGATAGTTCCTGGGCCTAGAGGGATTGAATAGTTTTGGTTTTTTTTCTTTTTTTTTTTTTGAGACAGAGTCTCGCTCTGTTGCCAGGCTAGAATGCAGTGGCACAATATTGGCTCATTGCAACCTCTGCCTCCCCAGTTCAAGCGATTCTCCTACCTCAGCCTCCTGAATAGCTGGGACTACAGGCACCCGCCACCACTCCTGGCTAATTTTTGTATTTTTAGTAGAGACGAGATTTAACCATGTTGGCCAGGATGGTCTCGATCTCTTGCCCTCGTGATCCACCCACCTCAGCCTCCCAAAGTGCTGGGATTACGGGTGTGAGCCACCGCACCTGGCTGAATAGTTTTAATTTCTAGCCCTGTGTCTCATGAAAACAGTTCATTTTGATTGTCATTTTTCCCTGGATCTGAAGACAAGACTTCCACTGGTTTTGATGTTCAAGACTTAGCAGGGGTCAGTGCCTTTTTCAGACCCAGGAGTCAAAGTTGTGAAACTTAACAGCACAAGGATTAGTTAATAGGGTATTTATACTACCAAAAGGCCTGTCATTCTAACATGCCACACATTGAAACGCTGTGATTTGGTGTCTAGGAGTTACTGCTTGCAGCACTTCAAACCACTGTATTAAAGTAATCAGGTTACTCATTGCATATGTCCAATTGCTAGCATTCTAGTGACAGAACTGTGACCAAAAGCATAAAAAATGTGGTAGGTGCTAAGTCAAACTTATCAAAGTAAGACAACTACCTTTTTCCCCATCATTAAAAAAAAAAATAGTAAATGCAGGCCACGCATGGTGGCTCATGCCTGTATTCCCAGCACTTTGGGAGGCTGAGGCAGGCAGATCACTTGAAGTCAGGAGTTCGAGACCAGCCTGGACAACATGGTGCAACCCCATCTGTACTAAAAATACAAAAATTAGCTGGGTATGGTGGCATGTGCCTGTAATTCCAGTTACTCGGGAGACTGAGGCATAAGAATTGCTTGAATCCAGGAGGTGGAGGTTGCAGTGAGCCAAGGTGGTGACAGTGCACTCCAGCCTGGGTGACAGAAACTCTGTCTCAAACAAACAAACAAACAAACAAAACAAACAAAAAATACCCCAAAACAAACCCACGTGATGAATATTTTGTTTCTGACACACAATTTAATGTCTTTAAGTCCACCAATACCACTGTATGTTTTGTGCAATTAAGAAATTCACTTTAGGCTCATGATCAGTAAGTACTTTAGTGCTAGTGCTATCTATGCAGAAGAACAAATACAGTGAGAAGCAAAGCAAGTCTTTACAGAAAATTTGGCTTCACAGAAAATCTGGATTCATACTTAACTATATGAAAAACGGATTGCCAAATTGCCAATGTATTTCTTTACAATATTTCTTAATTTTCCTTCATCAAGACTAAGAGCTTTAACTATGAACAACATTAATTAGCCAAACTTCTCCAATTTTCTATCAGGTTTTAAAGGATATTCTACATCTAAATATTTTAAACTTTGTTTTCTCTGTGTATGCATAAAGGCAGACATACAGAGAGAGAGGAAAAAAACTACATATGACATACACAGACCATCTATGACATGCTTGAACCTTCAGTTTGTTCTAAATTTATTTTCTTATTCCCTCCCTTCCTTCCTTCCTTCCCCCTTCCTTTCTTCCTTCCTTCCTTCTTTCCCCTGCCTCCCTCCTTCCTTTCTTTCTTTCTCTTTCTTTTCTTTTTTCTCTTTCTTTCTCTCTTTTCTTTCTTCCTTTCCTCTTTCTTTTTTCTTTCTCTCTCTGTCTCCCCCTCCCTTGCATCCCCTCCCATTGTCTTCTTTCCTTCTTTCCTTCCTTCCTTCCTTTCTTCCTTCCTTCCCAGTCATTTTACTTTAAGACAAAAATTCACCATACAAGATCCTTTCTCATATAAAATTATTCCTTTTTTTTTTTTTTCTTGAGACGGAGTCTCTCTCTGTCGCCCAGGCTGGAGTGCAGTGGTGTGATCTTGGCTCACTTCAAGTTCCACCTCCTGGGTTCATGCCATTCTCCTACCTCAGCCTCCCAAGTAGCTGGGACTACAATCGCCCACCACCATGCCCGGCTAATTTTTTTGTGTGTTTTTAGTAGAGATAGGGTTTCGCTGTGTTAGCCAGGATGGTCTTGATCTCCTGACCTCGTGATCCGCCCATCTTGGCCTCCCAAAGTGCTGGGATTACAGGCGTGAGCCACCGCACCCGACAAAATTATTCTTTCTTTATAACCTTCCTTACCAAAAATACATCTTCATATCCATAATTTTCTTCACATCTCACTCCTTTACTTATTGGTTCCTTTCTTTTCAAGTCCATAATTTGAATTAACCTTTAGATAACTTCTGAATTTGATAATAATTTTTTTCTCAATAAGAACATCTCTTCTTTGGCATATTTTATATGCAGAATTATATATTAACTAGAATTCTTATCCTTAGTAACCTCAAATTTTAGTGAAAACCTAGGAAGAAAGAAATCCTGAGCTACCTATCAGATATTAGCATTTTATAATGAGAACTCTTCCATAATTTTTAGAAACATATTTCCCCATATCATAACCCTTCCTTAATTAGAAATGACCCAGACATCTAATAAGCATAATTTTAAATATTATTCTTAAACATAATTTTAAGATTTTAAGTTACACAATAAGTTCACCTGCAGCACTTAACCCATTTACACTTTATTTTTAGCAGTTTATATAGATTATTTACACATTATTTTCTTGTTAACCCTTTTATAACTTGTGAATATCAGATGTTCACCTAAATAAGAACCTTAAAGTTAACTGCATGGGCATTTTCACCAATAACTCAGTAGACTCAGGTGTTTTCATTAAACCAATAACATTAAATAGTCTTACTTATATAAAAAAAAACACAAAAAGATCATTTTGTTTTGGCTGGGTTTATGGTTTGATAACCTTCTATGCCAAACCCTGATACCTCAAAATATCTAGAAGAGACAAATATGAAACCCAGAGAAAAATGTATGCTGACAATTCTGAAGACATTTCTATTCCTATTTTACCAATAATTTAAAAACCACCTTGTTGGCCAGGTACAGTGGCTCATGCCTGTAATCCCAGCACTTTGGGAGGCTGAGGCAGGTGGATCACTTGAGGTCAAGAGCTCAAGATCAGCCTGACCAACATGGAGAAACTCCATCTCTACTAAAAAAAAATACATAAATTAGCCAGGCATAATTGCACACAACTGCAGTCCCAGCCACTCAGGAGGCTGAGACTTGAGAATCGCTTGAACCCAGGAGGTGGAGGTGGCAGTGAGTGGAGATCATGCCACTGCACTCCAGCCTGGGCGACAGAATGAGACTCTATTTCAAAAAAAAAAAAAAAAAAAGCTTGCTCATTAAAGACTTACTTAAGTCATATAAACTTGAAAAATACTTTGGACTTAATTAATGAGCACTCTTTTATTTATAAGCCAAATTGGTAGGCATAACATATAACAATAAATATACATACATATACACACATCTAAATATGTACTCACACACAGAAACAAAGATCCAATAGCTTTTACTTTGGAATTCTAGTTGGGAGGCTGAGGCAGGCAGATCACCTGAGGTCAAGAGTTTGAGACCAGCCTGGCCAACACGGTGAAACTCCATCTCTACTAAAAATACAAAAATTAGCCAGGTGTGGTGTCAGGCGCCTGTAGTCCCAGCCACTTGGGAGGCTGAGGCAGGAGAATTGCTTGAACCTGGGAGGTGGAGATCGCAGTGAGCCAAGATTATGCCACTGCACTCCAGGCTGGGCGACAGAGCAAGACTCCATCTCAAAAAAAAAAAAAAAAAAGGAATTCTAGTCATGAGATAGTAATACAAACTCACCTATCTATGAACGTGTTCACATGGCTGCATTTTGTCTGCTCTGATAGGTAATCCCATGAAGACTGTTGTATTCGTCTGTCCTCACACGGCTATAAAGATATTGCCTGAGACTGTGTAATTTACAAAGAAAGGGGGTTTAATTGACTCACAGTTCCACATGGCTGGGAGGCCTCAGGAAACTTACAATCATGGTGGAAGGCGAATGGGAAGCCAGGCATGTCTTACATGGCAGCAGGAGAAGAAACAGAGACAGAGAGAGAGACAGAGAGACAGGGGGAACTGCCACTTTTAAAACCATCAGATCCTGTCATGAGAACAGCATGGGGGCAACTGCCCCCATGATCCAATCACCTCCCTCTAGGTCCCTCCCTTGACATGGGGGGATTACAATTCGAGATGAGATTATGGTGGGGACACAGAGCCAAAACATATCAGCTGTGAGCCAAAATTTCGGGTAAAGTAGTTTCCACGGCAGTTTGATTTTTTTTTTTTTTAAGACGGGAGTCTCGCACTGTCGCCCAGGCTGGAGTTCAGTGGCGCGATCTCGGCTCACTGAGAGCTCCGCCTCCTGGGTTCACACCATTCTCCTGCCTCAGCCTCCCGAGTAGCTGGGACTACAGGCGCCCACCACCACGCCAGGCCAATTTTTTGTATTTTTAGTAGAGATGGGGTTTCACCATGTTAGCCAGGATGGTCTCGATCTCCTGACCTCGTGATCCGCCCACCTCAGCCTCCCAAAGTGCTGGGATTGCAGGCGTGAGCCACTGCGCCCGGCCCGGCAGTTTGATTTTTAGAAGTCAAACCTTTAAACATTGGGGTCAAACAGAAGAACATCACGTATTAACCAGGCTGAACCCTGCTTAGAACAGCAGCCCAGGCTGGGCGCAGTGGCTCACGCCTGTAATCCCAGCACTCTGGGAGGCCGAGGCGGGCCGAACACGAAGTCAGGAGATTGAGACTATCCTGGCTAACATGGTGAAACCCCATCTCTACTAAAAAAATACAAAATAATTAGCCAGGTGTGTTGGCGAACGCCTGTAATCCCAGCTACTCAGGAGGCTAAGGCAGGAGAATGGCATGAACCTGGGAGGTGGAGCTTGAGGTGAGCCGAGATCGCACCACTGCACTCCAGCCTGGGCGACAGAGCAAGACTCCGTCTCAAAAACAAACAAACAAACAAACAAACAAACAAAACAAAACAAAACAAAACATAACAAAAAAGAACAGCAGCCTAAAAGCCTGGGTACATGGAACTCCATCCCACATGATCCGCCTGCCTTGGTCTCCCAAAGTGCTGGGATTACAGGTGTGAGCCCCCACACCCAGCCTTGGTGATGATTTTTTGGATTTGACACCAAAAGCACAGAGAACAAAAGCAAAAATAAGTGGAATTGCAACAGACTAAAGAGCTTCTGCCAAGCAAAGGAAGCAATCAAGGAAATTAAAAGGCAACGTATGGATGGAGAGAAAATATTTGTAAGCCATATATCTGATAAGGGGTTGAGATCTCTAAAATATATAAAGAGCTCATATAACTCAACAGCAACATAACAAATAGCTCAATTTAAAAATGGGCGAATGATCTTAATAGGCATTCCTCAAAAGAAGACACACGAATGGCTAACAGGTGTGTGAAAACATGCCCAACGTCATTAATCATCAGGGAAATGCAAATTAAAACCACAGCGAGATATGACTGTGGTGATAATTTTAGCATATAGGTGTATCAAAGCATCACATTTCCTTCCTTCTTTCTTTCTTTCTTTCTTTCTTTCTTTCTTTCTTTCTTTCTTTCTTTCTTTCTTTCTTTCTTTCTTTCTTTCTTTTTCTTTCCTTTTTTTGAGACGGAGTCTCGCTCTGTTGCCCAGGCTGGAGTGCAGTGGCACGATCTCGGCTCGCTGCAACCTCTGCCTCCTGGGTTCACGCCATTCTCCTGCCTCAGCCTCCCAAGCAGCTAGGACTACATGCGCCCGCCACCACACCCGGCTAATTTTTCGTATTTTTAGTAAAGACAGGGTTTCACCATGTTAGCCAGGATGGTCTCGATCTCCTGACCTCGTGATCCACCCGCCTCGGCCTCCCAAAGTGCTGGGATTACAGGCGTGAGCCACTATGCCCGGCAAAGCATCACATTCTCACCTTAAATATACACAGCTTTTATTTGCCAGTGATGCCTAAATAAAACTGGATAAAATATGGGAAATAATAAGATTTGGCAGAATGAGAAACAACAGAAATTCTCACATTTGGCTGGTGGAGATAATTTCTTTCTTTCTCTTTCTTTCTTTCTTTCTTTCTTTCTTTCTTTCTTTCTTTCTTTCTTTCTCTTTCTTTCTTTCTTTCTTTCTTTTCTTTCTTTCTTTTTTTGTGGAGACAGGATCTTGCTCTGTTGCCCAGGTGGAGATATTTTTTTTTTCTGTGGAGACAGGGTCTTGCTCTGTTGCCCAGGCTAGAGTGGAGTGGCACCATCATAGCTCACTGCAGCCTCGAACTCCCAGGCTCAAGCCATCCTCCCTCCTCAGCCTCCTGAGCAGCTAGGACTACAAGCCCATGCCACCATGCCAGGCTATTTTTTTTTGTAATTTTTCATAGAGATGAGGTTTTGCCATGTTGCCCAGGCTGGTCTTGAACTCCTGGCCTCAAGTGATCTGCCTGCCTCGGCCTCCCAAAGTATTGGAATTACAGGCGTGAGCCATCGCATCCAGCCATGATTTTCTTAATAAGAGTTTCTTTCCTCTAGCTTACTTTATTGTAAGAATACAGTGTATAATACATGTAACATACAAAGTATGTGATAATCCACAGCTTATGTTATCAGCAAGTCTTCTGGTTAACAGTCTGCTGAGTTAGGCTTTGGGGGAGTCAAAAGTTATATGTGGCCGTTTGACTGCTCAGGGGTTGGTGCACCTAAGACCCCACATTGTTCAAACGTCAACTGTCTATGGAAGAAAACGTTTACGAAACATCTCACTTTGACTGTTGTATGAAGAATGGCCTGTAGGGGGAGCCAGTGGATACAGGGAGACCGAGTAGGAGGCTTTTTGCAGACAAGAGACTTAAAGTGTTAGACTCTGATAGATTAAATATGTAAATTAAAATTTCTAAAAGTATAGGAATAAAATGTATAATTTCTGAACTCAGAAGAAAAACGGGAATAAGACAAAAATCCGAAACAAGGCAAGGAAGGAGAGAAACAGAAATACGGAAGAGGCAAATAATTCCTCCAAAAAATTCAAAATGTATGAAGAATTGCAATTAATGCAGATGGTCCAAATCTGTGCTACTCAATACCATGCTATTCCATGTCAATAGCCATATGTTACTATATGGCACTTGGAATGTGGATCTGAACTGAAATGTCCTGTTGTGGCCAGGCGCGGCGGCTCACGCCTGTCATCCCAGCATTTTGAGGGGCCGAGGCAGGTGGACTACTTGAGGTCTGGAGTTTGAGACCAGCCTGGCCAACATAGTGAAACGCGGTCTCTACTAAAAATACAAAAATTAGCCAGGGTATGTAGGGACCAGCCCCACAGGGTCGGTGGGTTTTTCTCCCTGTGTGTGTGAGGAGATGAGAGATCGTAGAAATAAAGACACAAGACAAAGAGATAAAAGAAGACAGCTGGGCCCGGGGAACCACTGCCACCAAGACGCAGAGACCGGTAGTGGCCCCGAATGCCAGGCTGCACTGTTATTTATTGGATACAAGACAAGGAGGCAGGGTAAGAAGCGTGAGCCATCTCCAATGATAGGTAAGGTCACATGAGTCACGTGTCCACTGGACAGGGGGCCCTTCCCTGTTTGGCAGCCGAGGCGGAGAGAGAGAGAGAGGAGACAGCTTACGCCATTATTTCTGCATATCATATCAGAGACTTTTAGTACTTTCACTAATTTTGCTACTGCTATCTAGAAGGCAGAGCCAGGTGTACAGTATGGAACATGAAAGCGGACCAGGAGTGTGACTGCTGAAGCACAGCATCACAGGGAGACAGTTAGGCCTCCGGATAACTGCGGGCGAGCCTGACTAATGTCAGGTCCTCCACAAGAGGTGGAGGAGCAGAGTCTTCTCTAAACTCCTGGCCTCGAGTCTGCTAAGTAGCCCGTGTTTTCCCTTGGCACTGACGCTACCGCTAGACCACGGGCCACTTGGCAACGGGCGTCTTCCCAGATGCTGGCGTTACCCCTAGACCAAGGAGCCCTCTAGTGGCCCTGTCCGGGCGTGACAGAGGGCTCGCACTCTTATCTACTGGTCACTTCTCACCATGTCCCTTCAGCTCCTATCTCTGTATGGCCTGGTTTTTCCTAGGTTATGATTGTAGAGCAAGGATTATTATAATATTGGAATAAAGAGTAATTGCTACAAACTAATAATTAATGATATTCATATATAATCATATCCATGATCTATGTCTAGTATAAGTATTCTTATTTTATGTATTTTCTTTATTATACTGGAACAGCTCGTGCCCTCGGTCTCTTGCCTCGGCACCTGTGTGGCTTGCTGCCCACAGGGTGTGGTGGCGGGCACCTGTAATACCAGCTACTTGGGAGGCTGAGGCAGGAGAATCTCTTGAACCTGGGAGGTGGAGGTTGCAGTGAGCTGAGATCGAGTCACTGCACTCCAGCCTGGATGACAGAGGGAGACTCCATCTCAAACAAACATACAAACAAACAACAACAACAAACAAACAAAGAAACACATTAAGAAATGCTTAGTGGCCCGGCATGGTGGCTCATGACTGTAATCCCAGCACTTTGGGAGGCTGAGGCAGGTGGATCACTTGAGGTCAGGAGTTTGAGACAAGCCTGACCAACATGGTGAAACCCCGTCTCTACTAAAAATATGAAATTAGCCTGGCGTGGTGGCAGGTGCCTGTAATCCCAGCTACTCGGGAGGCTGAGGCAGGAGAATCGCTTGAACCCAGGAGGCGGAGTTTGCAGTGAGCCGAGATGGCACCATTGCACTCCATCCTGGGCAACAGAGCAAGACTTCATCTCAAAAAAAAAAAAAAAAAAAAAAAAAAAGAAACACTTAAGGATCTGGTAGGAATGTAAATTGTGCAGCTGCTATGGAAAACAGTATGGCACTTCCTCCAAACATTAGAATAGAATTACTATGATCCAGCAATTCTACTTCTATGTACATACCCAACAGAATTGAGAGCAGGGATGAGAACAGATATTGTTACGTCTGTGGCCATAGGAGTAGTATTCACAGTAACCAAGATACAGAAGCAACCCCAGTGTCTACTGATGGATGAATGCATAAACAAAATGTGGTATATCCATATAATGGAATATTATTCCGCCCTGAAGAAGAATGAAGTTTTAATATATCCTACAACATGGATGAAACTTGAAGACATTATTCTAAATGAAATGAGCCAGCTGCAAAAGGGCAAATACTGTTATGATTCCACTTATATGAGGAAATGATGGAGCAAATTTATAGAGACAGAAAGGAGAAAGGTGGGTGTCAGGGGCTGGGGAGGAGGGAATGGCGAGTGAGTGTGAGTGTTTAATGAGCACAGAGTTTCAGTTTTGCAAGATGAAAAACTTTCTGGAGATGGACGGTGGTAATGGTTGCACAACAATGTGAATATACTTCATATCAGTGAAGAGTACACTTAAAATTGTTAAAATGGTAAATTTTTGTATTTTTAGAAGAGACGGGGTTTCGCCATGTTGGCCAGGCTGGTCTCGAACTTCTGACCTCAGGCGATCCACCCACATTGGCCTCCCAAAGTGCTGGGATTACAGGTAAATTTTATGTTATACATGTTACCATAATTAAAAATAGATGCATTTTTAAATGCTTAGGGAATATTTCCAAAGCTTGGCCTTATACTGAGTGATAAATCACATCGCTATCAAAGGAATTGATATCATATACTCTCTCTAAGTTACTCATGGAGGATCAGAGGAGGAATAAAAATGTAATTAGGACAGTATCTAGTTTCTTAATTTATTTTTATTTTTAATTTTTATTTTTTTGAGAGAGTCTCGCTATGTGGCCCAGGCTGGAGTGCAATGGTGTGATCTCGGCTCACTGCAGCCTCCACCTCCCGGGTTTAAGTAATTCTCCTGCCTCAGCCTCCTGAGTAGCTGGGATTACAGGCACGCACCACCATGCCTGAATAGTTTTTGTATTTTTAGTAGAGACAGGGATTCTCCATTTTGGCCAGGCTGGTCTCGAACTCCTGACCTCAGGTGACTCCCCTGCCTTGGCCTCTCAAAGTGCTGGGATTACAGGCGTGAGCCACCGCATCCAGCTTGGAATCTTAATTTAAATGAAGCAGAGCCTTTCAGACTCTTTAAATAGGCAAAAAATGTGCCTGTGTTTATCATCGAATTCAGTGGTTCTCAACTGGGGTGATTCTGTCCTTCCAGGAAACATTTGGCAACATCTGGAGACATTTTTGGTTGTTACAACTGGGGGTGATCCTGGCATGGAGGCAGGATCCTGAGACACTCCTCAGCACCTTGCAGTGCCCAGATGGCTCCACCCAAGAGGACAATCTGGCTCCAAATATCCACAGAGCTGAGGCTTAGAAATCAAAACTGACAAGTATTTGCAGTTTTTTATTTTATTTTTTGAGACAGAGTCTCGCTCTGTCGCCCAGGCTGGAGAGCAATGGTGCGATCTCTGCTCACCACAGCCTCCGCCTCCCGGGTTCAAGTGATTCTCCTGCCTCAGCCTCCCGAGTAGCTAGGATTACAGGCGCCCGCCACCATGCCCGGCTCATTTTGTATTTTTAGTAGAGATGGTGTTTCCCCATGTTGGTCAGGCTGGTCTCGAACTCCTGACCTCAGGTGATCTGCCTGCCTCAGCCTTCCAAAGTGCTGGGATTACAGGCTTGAGCCACAGCGCCCTGCTGCCTTTTCTTAGAAACAGAGATTTTAGTTTCAATGGTGTTTCCAGGGCAACAAATAAAGAAAATCAAGCAGAATTATAGAGATTTCAGAGACTGACAGTTACTTTACCAGAACACACCATCTGACTGTGAAGTTCAGGTGTATAGAATATACAAATCTTCTTCTATAAAAGAATATTTGCAAGTCTAGTTTCATGGTGCAGAATAATTGTTTTTTTCAGCTGTAGGGGAAGGAGAAACATGTTTTTTCCCCTCTGCTGGAAGGAAAAATATGCTGCCTCCCTTTCTCCCTCCCTTCCTCCCTCCTTCCCTCTCCTTTCCTTCCGTCCCTCCCTCCCTCCCTCTCTCCCTCCCTCCCTCTCTCTCATTCCTTCCTTCCTTCCCTCCTTCCTTCCTTCAACTTTTTTTTTTTTTTTTTTGAGATGGAACCTTGCTCTGTCGCCCAGGCTGGAGGGCAGTGGCGCGATCTCGGCTCACTGCAAGCTCCGCCTCCCGGGTTCACGCCATTCTCCTGCCTCAGCCTCCCGAGTAGCTGGGACTACAGGCGCCCGCCACCACGCCCAGCTAATTTTTTGTACTTTTAGTGGAGACGGGGTTTCACCGTGTTAGCCAGGATGGTCTCGATCTCCTGACCTCGTGATCCGCCCATCTCGGCCTCCCAAAGTGGTGGGATTACAGGTGTGAGCCACCGTGCCCGGCCTTACTTTTTAAAATTTAAATTTATTGGCCGGGCGCAATGGCTCATGCCTGTAATCTCAGCACTTTGGGAGGCCGAGATGGGGTGATCACAGGGTCAGGAGTTCAAGACCAGCCTGGCCAACATAGTGAAACCCCGTTTCTACTAAAAAATACAAAAAATAAGCCAGGCGTGGTGGTGGGCATCTGTAATCCCAGCTACTCAGGAGGCTGAGGCAGGAGAATCACTTGAACCCGGGAGGCAGAGGTTGCAGTGAGCCGAGATTATGCCATTGCACTCCAACCCTGGGGAATAGTGTGAGACTCTGTCTCAAAAAAAAAAAATTAAATTAATTAATTAATTTATTTTTTGAGACAGAGTCTCAGTATGTCACCCAGGCTGGAGTGCAGTGGTGCAATCTTGGTTCACTGCAACCTCTGCCTCCCGGATTCAAGCAATTTTCTGCCTCAGTCTATGGAGTAGCTGGGATTACAGACGCCCTCCACCACCCGACTAATTTTTGTATTTTTAGTAGAGATAGGGTTTCACCATGTTGGCCAGGTTGGTCTCGAACTCCTGACTCCAAGTGATCCACCTCCCTCGGCCTCCCAAATTGCTGGGATTACAGGTGTGAGCCACCGTACCTGGCTTTAAAAATAATTTTAAATTAAATTTTATTTATTTTTTGAGACAAGGTCTTTCTTTGTTGCCCAGGCTGGAGTGCAGTGGTGCGATCACAGCTCACTTCAGTCTCAACTTCCCCAGGCTCAGGTGATCCTCCCACCTCAGCCTCCCGAGTAGCCGGTACCACAGGCAGGTGCCACCATGCCTGGCTAATTTTTTAGTTTTATTTTTTGTAGAGACAAGGTCTCGTTATGTTGCCCAGGCTGCTCTTGAACTCCTGAGCTCAAGCAATTCACCCGCCTCTGCCTCCCAAAGTGCTGGGATTACAGGCAGGTGCCACCATGCCTAGCTAGTGGCCATTATTTATTGAGCATCTAGTTTGTGCCAAGAACTGCTAAACTAAGCACATGTGGGTCGGGTGTGGTCGCTCATGCCTGTAATCCCAGCACTTTGGGAGGCCGAGGCGGACGGATCACCTGAGGTCAGGAGTTCGAGACCAGCCTGACCAACATGGAGAAACCCCATCTCTACTAAAAATACAAAAAATTAGCCGGGTGTGGTGGTACATGCCTGTAATCCCAGCTACTCCGGAGGCTGAGGCAGGAGAATCACTTGAACCCGAGAGGCAGAGGTTGCGGTGAGCCGAGGTTGTGCCATTGCACTCCAGCCTGGGCAACAAGAGCAAAATTCCATCTCAAAAAAACAACAACAACAAAAACAAAAAAACAAACAAAAAAACCCTAAGCACTTGTGCTGTTTTAACGATACCCAGATAGTAGGGGGAAATATGAGTTATGACATAGTGGGGATGCTTTTATCACTTTTTACAGGTGAGGAAACTGAGGCACAGCAAGGTTAAGTCAGCCACTTAAGGTCACCCAACCAGTAACTGACAGAGTGGAGATCTGGATCAGAAGGAAGAATGGAAAAAAAAATCTTAAATTATTTTAAAATCACTATCCTTCCATGCAGGATCTCTTTGAATCTTCCCAGTGACTTAGTGAGGAATGAGCTATTTTTTTTCTGTATTGTACAGCTGGGGAAACTGAGGCTTAGTGAGGTGAAGGGACTTGACCAGAGTGATACAGGAGCCCCTAAACTGTGGCAATTCAGTTCTCAGGGCCAAGTTTTGGTAAGAGTGTCCTGAAGTGGGGTGAGGGCAGCGTAAAGAGGAACATGGAGAAGAAAGCGTGGGAGGGCCGGGCGCGGTGGCTCTCGCCTGTAATCCCAGCACTTTGGGAGGCCGAGGCAGGCGGATCACTTGAGGAAAGGAGTTCGAGACCAGCCTGCCCAACATGACAAAACCCCATCTCTGCCAAAAATACAAAAATTAGCTAGACGTGGTGCTGGGCACCTGTAATCCCAGCTACTCGGGAGGCTGAGGCAGGAGAATCACTTGAACCTGGGAGGCGGAGATTGCAATGAGTCAAGGTTGCACCACCACACTCCAGCCTGGGCAACAGAAACCCTATCTAAAAAAAAAAAAAAAAAAAAAAAAAAAGCAAACAGCTGGGCACAGTGGCTCAAGCCTGTAATCCCAGTACTTTGGGAGGCCAAGGCAGGAGGGTCTCCTGAGGTCGGGAGTTCGAGACCAGCCTGACCAACACTGAGAAACCCTGTCTCTACTAAAAATACAAAATGAGCCCGGTGTGGTGGCACATGCCTGTAATCCTAGCTACTCGGGAGGCTGAGGCAGGAGAATCACTTGAACCTGGGAGACAGAGGTTGCAGTGAGCCAAGATTGCACCACTGTGCTCCAGCCTGGGCGACACAGAGAAACTCTTATCTTAAAAAAAATAATAAATAAACAAACAACAACAACAACAAAGAAAAGATGGGAGATGAAGGGAAGCAGGTGCAAAGGGCTGGATTTGAAATCCTGAGATGATAAAGGTCAACACCCAAAGGCTCAAAACCCTTCTCCAAACCCTCATCTGAGCTCACCCAGCACCTGTGACGGGGGCCCACCTGCATAGAAAGACACTCAATTGGATGTTCATCACTGCATTGCGTATAACACTGTGAAGCAGGCTACGTGTCCATCAGTAGGAGAGCAGATAATAAAATGGGGTCTATGCATAGGCTGATACCAGCCCATATATCCACCCAGAAGATATAGGTGAGTGGGTTAGGGCAAGGGCTCTGAAACCAGAAGGATCTACCACTTCCTAGCTGAAGAACCTTGCACTGGTGACCTCACTCCCTCGTGCCTCCGTTAGCTCATCTGTAGTTAGGGGACAATCATAGTATCAACATCGCAGGGGTTAAGATGATCTGGGTTAAGCACTGAGCATGTGGAAATGACTCAGTAGATGAGGTGTCAGCAAACTTTTCCTGTGGATAAGACCAATGGAGACCTCTAAAATCACTTTCCTTGTCACCTCTCACTGACCAAGACAGTAAATCAATGCAAGGTTGGGCCAGGCACGGTGGCTCATGCCTGTAATCCCAGCACCTTGGGAGGCCAAGGCAGGTGGATCACCTGAGGCCAGGAGCTCGAGACCAGCCTGGCCAACATGGTGAAACCCCGACTCTACTAAAAATACAAAAATTAGCCGGGCGTGGCGGCACGTGCCTGTGGACCCAGCTACTAGGGAGGCTGAGGCAGGTGGGTCACTTGAACCTGGAAGCCGGAGGTTGCAGTGAGCCAAGACTGTGCCACTGCACTCCAGCCTGGGCTGCAGAGTGAGACTCTGTCTCAAAAAAAGCAAAAGCAAAAGCACAAACACAAACAAAAACAAAAACAAATGCAAGGTTGCATCACAGTGGAATAGCAGAGATTAATGTCGCCCTTAAGGGCCTAAAGACATGGTGAGCAAGGTCTCAGATCCCTCAGGGATGAGGATCTAGGTGACCCCACCAGGTGAGCCACCTACACCAACAGAAGGGCCACCTGAAGATGAAGGGACTCTAGAAGGGACAGTGGGAGAGGGAGAGGGTGAACACTCACGGGGGCTGCTAGACTCCACTCCTGCAGTGTAAACTGTGGCTCATCCCACCAACCTTCATTTTCTGGCTGGCATAGAGACCAAGAATCCTAAGTAGCTGTCCTCAAATGCAGTGAGTCTCCTTATAAAACAAATGAATCTGGGCCGGGCGCCATGGCTCACTCCTGTAATCCCAGCACTTTGGGAGGCTCAGTTGGGCGAATCACCTGAGGCCAGGAGTTGGAGACCAGCTTGGCCAACATAGTGAAACCCCATCTCTACTAAAAATACAAAACTTAGCTGGACGTGATGGGGGGCACCTGTAACCCCAGCTACTCGGGTGGCTGAGACAGGAGAATCGCTTGAACCCAGGAGGCAGAGGTTGCAGTGAGCCGAGATCGTGACACTGCACTCCAGCCAAAAACAAACAAACAAACAAACAAACAAACACACACACACACACAAACCCCAAATGAATCTGAGTGGCTTAAGGGGCGGGCTATAGCGGATGCTGTGGTGTGCTACCCAATCCCCACCGTTCTCCTATTGCTATTGTAACAAATTACCACACACTTAATGGCTTAAAACAACACAGATTGGTTGGGTACAGTGGCTCACATTTGCAGTCCCAGCACTTTGGGAGGCCGAGGTGGGAGTGTAGTGAGAAGCCAGGAGTTTGAGACCATCCTGGGCAGCATAGTGATACCCCATGTCTACAAAAAAAAAAAAAAATTAGCCAGGCATGGTGGTGCATGCCTGTAGCCCCAGCATTTTGAGAAGCCAAGGTGGGAGGATCGCTTGAGCCAGGAGTTCAAGACCGGCCAGGGCAACATAGCGTGACTCTGACTCTACAAAAAATTAAAAAGTTAGTCGGGTGCCATGGCATGGGCCTGTATTCCCAGCAACTTGGGAGGCTGAGGCAGGAGGATCATTTGAGCCCAAGAGTTTGAGGCTGCAGTGAGCTATGATCGCACCACTGCACTCCAGCCTGGCTGACAGCTGGTCTCTTAACAAAAACAACAACACAAGTCTATTATCTTAAAGTTCTGGAGCCCAGACTCCAAAATCAGTTTCACCAGGCTTCTCCCTGTGATTTTTCAATCCAGGGTTAAATGCACTCCAGGCTGCTGGAGTGCAGTCATATGATCGTAGCTCACTGCAGCCTTGAACCCCTGGGCTCAAGCAATCCTTCTGCCTCAGACTCTCAAAGTGCTGGGATTACAGGCATGAGCCACCACGCCCTGCCCTCCCTGTGTCTTTATAAGATGGTCCCTTTTTCTGTATCCCTGTCCTAATCTCCTTTTCTTATACAGACCCTAATCTTATTGAATTGGAGCTCATCTTAAGGGCCTCATTTTAAGTTAATTACCTTTTCGAAGATTCAATCTTCAAATACAGTCAAATTCTGAGGTGGTGGGGGCGAGGACTTCAGTGTGTAAATTTCGGGGGAACATAGTGAGGCCCGTACCATGGAGGAAAGTTCCTACACCCTGCTTTTTAGGTAGAGATCTAGAAACATGGAAAGTTCCCCAGAGGAGTTTTAGAGGAACCTAAAGATAGAGAAGGCTTGGACTCTGCTCACCACAACAGAGACCAGAGAAGCGGCAGGTCTCCAAAAAAGGAAGTGACTTAATAGTGGCTTTGGGCATCTGAAGCCACAGAAAGCCTCAAAAAGTTTCCTGTGCCTCAACTCAGCTGAAAATCGGCCTCACGAGCAAGGTATAGGAGTAGTAGAGAAAGTGCTGCCTTTCTTTCTTTCTTTTTTTTTTTTGAGACAGAGTCCCACTCTGTCACCCAGGCTGGAGTGCAGTGGTGCGATCTCTGCTCACTGCAAGCTCCGCCTCTTGGGTTCAAGCGATTCTCCTGCCTCAGCCTCCCCAGTAGCTGGGACTACAGGTGTGCACAACCACGCCCAGCTAATTTTTGTATTTTTAGTAGAGGCGGGGGTTTCACCGTGTTAGCCAGGATGGTCTTGAACTCTTGATCTTGTGATCCACCCACCTCGGCCTCTCAAAGTGATGGGATTACAGGCGTGAGCCACCACGCTCAGCCAAGGCGCTGCCTTTCTAAGGAACAAGGACAAGAAAGAAGGTCTCATAGGCCAGGAGCAGACGGATGGTGGGGACCTTATGGACATGCATTTTGAGAATTAGTCTTTTCTTCACCCTTAATGCCTCCGCAATTCCAAAGCTCCCTGGAACTTTGACAGTCTTGGGAAAGCAGGATGTAGGGAGAGATGGTTTCCGAGGGACTGTTGGCAGGTTCTCAGCATTCTGGTACAAAGGGGTCTTGAAATATAAATAACGTTACGTTAATGAAAAAATAAAGTTAACTTTGCACTCCTTGTGGATTGAGATTTAATTTTTTTTTTTTTTTTTTTTTGAGACAGGGTCTCGCTTTGTCACCCAGGCTGGAGTGCAGTGGCATGATCTCGGCTCACTGCAACCTCCACTTCCCAGGCTCACTGGATCCTCCCGCCTCAGCTCCCTTAGTAGCCGGGACCACGGGCATGTGGCACCACGCCCAGCTAATTTTTGTAGAGATGGGATTTTGGCACGTTGGCCAGGCTGGTCTCGAACTCCTGATCTCAGGTGATCCACCTGCCTCGACCTCCCAAAGGCTGGGATTACAGGCGTGAGCCTCCATGCCCCGCCTGGATTGAGATTTATATAAACTGCTTTTGTGCCTTAGTTTGAGTTCCCATAAAAGCAGACCCTGGGAAAAAGATGTGGGGGCAAGAGGTTTATTAGCTAGCTATTGCTGTGTAAGAAATGAAATTATCAAGAACCTGGCAGCTTAAAACAACACATCTTTATCTTTTTTTTTTTTTTTTTTTTTTTTTTTGAGACAGAGTCTCGCTCTGTCGCCCAGGCTGGAGTGCAGTGGTGCAATCTTGGCTCACTGCAAGCTTCGCCTCCCGAGTTCACGCCATTCTCCTGCCTCAGCCTCCCGAGTACCTGGGACTACAGGCACCCGCCACCGCACCCGGCTAATTTTTTGTATTTTTAGTAGAGATGGGGTTTCACCATGTTAGTCAGGATGGTCTCGATCTCCTGACCTTGTGATCCGCCCGCCTCGGCCTCCCAAAATGCTGGGATTACAGGCATGAGCCACTGCGCCTGGCCCACATCTTTATCATTATCTCAGTGTCCTCAGTCAGAAGTCCAGGTACAGATTCACGTCTGTAATCCCAGCACTTTGGGAGGCTGAGGCAGGCGAGTCACCTGAGGTCGGGAGTTTGAGACCAGCCTGGCCAACATGGTGAAACCCTGCCTCTACTAAAAATACAAAAATTAGTTGGGCGTGGTGGCAGGTGCCTGTAATCCCAGGTACTGGGAGGCTGAGGCGGGAGAATGGCTTGAACCTGGGAGGTGGAGGTTGCAGTCAGCCAAGATCGCGCCATTGCACTCCAGCCTGGACGACAAGAGTGAAACTCCGTCTAAAAAAAAAAAAAAGTTCAGGTAGACGGACAGTTTAATTGAGCATTGTGCTGTGGGTCTCAAGACTACAGTTCATATGTCGACTGCACTACATTCTTTCCCGGAGTTTGCAGTCCTTTTCCAAGCTCAGCTGGTTGTTGGCAGAATTCGGTTCCTTGTGGTGGTAAGATTGAGGCCCTCGGCTTTTAGAGGCTTCTTGCCGTTCTGTGCCATATGACCCTTTCCATAGGCAGTTCACAGCTGGCAATGTGCTTCTTCAAGGCCATCAGGGAACCTCTCATTCCAGTCTGATAGTCCTATATAATGTAACCTAATCAAGGGAGTGATAGCCCATCACCTTTGCCATCTTTTAAATTTTTATTTTTATTTTTTTAAATTGAGACAGCATCTCGTTCTGTTGCCCAGACTAGAGTGCAGTGGTGTGATCATAGCTCACTGCAGCCTCAAACTTCTGGACTCAAGCAGTCCTTCCACCTCAGCCTCCTGAGTAGCTGGGACTACAGGCATGTGCTACCACGCCTGGCTAATTTTTAAAATTTTTTGTAGGCCGGGTGCAGTGGCTCACACCTATTATCCTAGCACTTTGGGAGGCCGAGGCAGACGGATCACCTGAGGTTAGGAGTTTGAGACCAGCCTGGCCAACATGGCAAAACCCCATCTCTACTAAAACTATAAAAATTAGCTGGGCGTGGTGGCACATGCCTGTAATCCCAGCTACTCAGGAGGTCCAAGCAGGAGAATTGTTTAAGCCTGGGAGGTGGAAGTTTCAGTGAGCCGAAATCACGCCACTGCACTCCAGCCTGGGCAACAGAGTGAGAGTCTGTCTCAAATAAAATAAAATAAAATAAAATAAAATAAAATAAAATAAAATAAAATAAAATAAATTTTTTTGTAGAGCCAAGGTCTTGCTATGTTGCCCAGGCCAGTCTTGAACTCCTGAACTCAAGCGATCCTCCTGCTTCAGCTTCCTGAGTAGCTGGGACTACAGGCGTGTGCCACCACACCTGGCTAAGTTTTTAAATTTTTTGCAGAGCCAGGGTCTTGCCATGTTGCCCAGGCTGGTCTTGAACTCCTGAACTCAAGTGATCCTTCTGCCTCAGCTTCCTGAGTAGCTGGGATTACAGGCATGCGCCACCATGCCTAGCTAACTTAAAAAAAAATTTTTGTAGAGATGCGATCTCACTATGTTGCTCAGGCTGGTTTCCAATTCCTGGGCTCAAGCAGTCCTCCCGCGTTGGCCTCCCAAAGTGCTAGGATTACCGGTGCAAGCCACCACACACCTGGCCATCTTTGTCATCTTCTATTGGTTAGAAGCAAGTCAGGTTCTGCTGGAACTCAAGGAGAGGGGATTATACAAAGGCTTGGATGCCAGGAGGTAGGAATTTTTGGGAAATCACCCCAGGGTCTGTACACCACAAAGGCATCCCCAGGAAATGTGAGAAGAGGTATGGGTAGGAACTAATACAGGGTGTATTAGTGCACAGGTGTCTGCTATGGGCTATCCCATTGGGGACTTTGGGGTGACTGTGTAGACTATGCCTTGGAGTTGTCCCACCCTGGGGACAGGGAAGCCGGGTATTTATCCACTAAATCCCATCCATCATTGGTTAAATGCTGCTCCTTGTGGTGTTAATGATGGAAACTCTCTATTGCCTATAACTGACACCACAATTCTTTACACTGGCATTTACAATTTCCCCTTGCCCTGCCTCATTTTCCTCTGTGACCCCTGCCATGGTCACCCTCCACTGCAGCCTTAGACTAGCGATGGCCCTGAATTTCCTCCCTGTTCACTGAGATCTTCCTGATCCTCATCCAGCCTTCCATGGCCTCAGACCACTGAGCTCTCTCCCGTTGCAGAAATCCTGCAGAACATTTTTCCTGGACCCCTTACTGGGTGTAGGGGACCCCAGAATAACTCATGTCCAGGCTCCTTTTTTTGAGGATCCTCTGGGATGGGTGGAGGAGTCACAGCTGGACAAGATGCTTTTAGTTCTATGTGGTCAGGGCTGGAAGAATGGAGCCCCAGGGATGGAGCCCAGGAATGGAGGAGATGGGATGTGGGTGAGATTCAGAAAAAGCTTTATGGAGGAAGGCTGAGCTTATCTTTTTGTCTCCTTACCCCAAAACCTCCCTCCCAACTTTGATGCTGGAGCCTGCTGTTCCTTCTCTGATCAGAATCCTCTCTCTTCATGTCTCACCCCTGTCCTAACAGGGGTGCTATGAATCCACTCTTCTGGCCCCCACCATTAGATCACTGATGTGATCTAACCACATCAGTCTCCTGCTGAAAGACCTCCAATGTTTGAGATATATATATATATATATATATGAAACTTAATGGTTCCATTTCTCTGGAGAATCCTGACTAATACAGATTTTGGTACCAAGAGTTGTTCTAAACTGGGTGTGATGGCTCATGCTGGAAATCTCAGCATTCTGGGAGGCTGAGGCAGGAGGATCGCTTGAGGCCAGGAGTTCAAACCAGCCTAGGCAACACAGTGAGACCTCATCTCCAAAAAAATTTTTTTAATTAGCCAGGTGTGGCTGGGTGCGGTGGCTCATGTCTGTAATCACAGCACTTTGGGAGGCCGAGGTGGGCGGATGAAGAGGTCAAGAGATCGAGACCATCCTGGCCAACATCATGAAACCCCATCTCTACTAAAAATACAAAAATTAGCTGGGCATGGTGGCACGTGCCTGTAGTCCCAGCTACTCGGGAGGCTGAGAAGGGAGAATCACTTGAACCTAGGAGGTGGAGGTTGCAGTGAGCCGAGATAATGCCACTGCACTCCAACCTGGCAACAGAGCAAGACTCCATCTCACAAAAAAAAAAAAAAAAAAAAAAAAAAAAAAAATTAGCCAGGTGTGGAAGCGTGTACCTGTAGTTCTAGCTGTTTGGAAGGCTGAGATGGGAGAATCCCTTAAGCCAAAGAGTTTGAGGCTGCAGTGAGCGATGATTATGCCATTGCAATCCAGCCTGGGTCACAGAGTGAGACCCCAACTCAAAAAAAAAAAAAAAAAGTGGTTCTAGAGGAAGAATGAGCTTTCTGAATTGCTTCTCGTTCTTCTGAAATTGGCTCTCTAATCTGATTAAACTGAAAGAGGCTAATGACTCTTTACAGTAGTAAGAGAGCACTGGTGGTCCATGGCATGATCTGGCAATAGAGAGATGCAGATATCACCACTGTATACTCCTAATTAACTATCTATAAGAAGCAAAGATCTTGTCACTGTGTATTTGATACTTCTGAGAAGTTTTGAAAATCGAATGAATATAATGAGATTGGCTGGCTCCTCCTAATGTCACTGGATAGAGTGCTGAGAGAAGAGGATGAACTTAGGGATTTGAATTCCCAGCTCAAGCACTGCATAAGTAACCTGACATCTTCTATGTGTGCCCTAAAGGACATCCTTGTCTCCTGTAGCCTCAGGGCTGAGAGTGGTGAAAAGCAAACACAGAATCTTATTCTGTGATTGGCCGGATTTCAGGGCAAGTTGGACTCCCAGCTTCCAAGGATGTCTACTGATAAACTGAGGGCATTGATTAGTATCAATGGTATCCTGTAAGAATAGTATCCTGGAAACTGGAATTGGGATATGTGGGAAGACAAGGATGAAGTTGAGGACATGGAGCACCTAAATTCTGAGTCTTGTTTGCCGCTGGAAAGGCCTCTACCTTCCCCTCCTTGGTTCTGTTTCTCTGGAGAACCCTGACTAACATGACTGGCTTGAATCTGGATCCAAATGTAATCCCAGCACTTTGGGAGGCTGGCATGGTGGCTCACATCTGCAATCCCAGCACTTTGGGAGGTGAAGGAGAGCGGGTCACTTGAGCCCAGGAGTTCAAGACCAGCCTGGGCAACATAGCGAAACCCCGTCTCTACAGAAAATACAAAAATAAGCTGGGTGTGGTGGCGCATGCCTGTAATCCCAGCTACTTGGAAGGCTGAGGCAGGAGAATCACTTGAGGCAACATGGTTTTATACATACGTGAAGGAGATACACCTTCTACCCCTTGGAGATACCTTCAAAATATTCAAGGGGGCATGTGAAATGGGATGATATCTGAAACAATATCAAATTTAGAAAGAGGGTAGTTGATAAAGTCAGCAAGGCAGGACATTGAAACTATTGAATTTAAGTGATGGATTTATGGGTATTTCTTAGACTATTGTCCTCTCCTTTTGGAAGGAGAGGAAAGTTTGCACACTGGATTTGTTGGATGCATTTCCTACTAAAAAAAAATCAATAAATATTTTCCCTTTACACTCTCTACGCCTACTGCTGTTTTTTCTTAAGCTATTGGATACACTAGGTTGCTTGTCCTGTAGATTTTTCCAGTGTGATTTCACCCTTGCAGTGTCATTGCACGTATTCTTCTATCCCCTAACCCTGTAAACCAGAGCTTGGCAAATATTTTCTATAAAGGGCCCAATACTAAATACTTTTGGCTCTGTGAGTTATGCAGTCCCTGTCACGGCAACTTAATCCTTCCATTTAAGTGCAAAAGCTGTCATAGACAGTATACAAATAGACGGGAGTCACTGTAGACCAATAAAAATCTTTATGGATGCTGGAATTTTAATTGCATATACTTTTTGTGTTATAAAATATTATTCTTCTTTTGACTTAAAAATGTGAAACTATTCTTAACTTGTGAGCTGTACAAAAATTGGAGGTGGGGCAGGATTGTGTCCACGGGCCAGTTTGCTGACCCCTGCTGTAAGCTGGTAATCTGAACATAAGACTTGATCAGAGTCGGGTTCAATTCTGGGAGACAGAGGGAGATTTAAATACCCTGTAAGGGAGATTAAAACGCCCTGTGGGTGAAGCTAGACTCTGGGGAATTGGTTTTATTAAGGAAATGTCATTTCGTTGAACGTGATCATGGCGGCATGGTTTTATACGTACATGGAGGAGATATACCTTTTATCCCTTGGAGATACATTCAAAATATTCAAGGGGGGATGTGAAATGGGATGATATCTGAAATAATATCAAATTTAGAAAGAGGGTAGTTGATAAAGTCAGCGTGGCAGGACATTGAAACTATTGAAATGAAGTGATGAATTTATGGGAGTTTCTTAGACAATTTTCCTCTTTTTTGTGCATGTTCATAAATTGCCCTAATAATTTATTTATTTTTTTGAGACAGGGTTTCACCCCTGTTGCCCAGGCTGGAGGGCAGTGGCACAACCTTGGCTCACTGCAACCTCCGCCCCTGCCAGGCTTAAGCGATTCTCCTGCCTCAGCCTCCCGAGTAGCTGGGACTGCATGTGCATGCCACCACACCCAGCTTATTTTTGTATTTTTTGTAGAGACAGGGTTTTGCGATGTTGCCCAGGCTGGTCTTGAAGTCCTGGGCTCAAGTGATCCGCCCTCCTTGGCCTCCCAAAGTGCTGGGATTACAGATGTGAGCCACCGTGCCCGGCCCTAATAAGTTTTTGTAAAAATCTCTAGGCATTAACAATTTTTAAAAAGTATTCTAATGGTCTTCCATTAGAAATCTTCCATTACACTTAAAATAAAATTCTAATGGCTTATACAAAGTCCTTCCTCTTCTGTCTCCTCCACCCCTCTGGCCACTGCTCACTGCACCCCGCCCTCCTCCTCACTCTTCACCTCTGGACTCCAGAGACTCTGGGTTTCCTTTGATTCCTGGATGTCTTCAAGCTCCTTCCTGCTTCAGAGCCTCTGCACAAGCTGCTCCCTTTGCCTAGAGCCCTCGGCCCTCCAGTCTTTGTTTTATCAACTCAAAGGTTAAATGTCAGAATCCTTTGCATTCCCAAATCCTGGTCATGAGCCATGTTATCTAAGGATATTCAAGGATTCCAAACTCAAATGCTTACAGGGGCCAAGTAATTGGTGTAAACATGTAAAGTAAGCTGGATTCTGTTTTTAACACTCATAGGCACACACCTTGATTATTTAAAATATAGAAAACATTCTTTATTTGCCACAAAGGACTGTTATGGCAGACAGAATAAGGCAATTTCTCCCCAACCCCACACCTCAAGATGTCCACATCCTACTCCTTAGGATCTATGGATATGTTTGTTTCCTTACACAGCAAAAGAGATTTAGTAGATGTGATTAAGTAAAGGACCTTATCCTGGGTTATGTGGGTAGGTCCAACCTAGTCAAAAGGATTTTTGTTTTTTGTCCTTTTTTTTTTTTTTTGGTAAGTGACAGGGTATCACTGTTGCCCAGGCTGGGGTGCAGTGGTGCGATCATGGCTCACTGCAGCTTTGGACTCCTAGGCTCAAGCAATCCTCCCATCTCAGCCTCCCAAGTAGCTGGAACTATAGGCATGCACCACCACACCTGGCTAATTTTTGATTTTTTATACAGACATGGTCTCACTATGTTGCCCAGGCTGATCTTAAACTCCCGGACTTAAGCGATCCTCCTGCCTCAGCTTCCCAAGTAGCTGGAAGTACAGGCATGCACTACCACTCCTGGCTATTTTTTTTTTTTGAGACAGTGTCTTGCTCTGTTGCCCAGGCTGGAGTGTAGTGGTGTGATCTCAGCTCACTGCAGCCTCCACCTTCTGGGCTCAACTGATCCTCCCACCTCAGCCTCCTGGGTAACTGAGACTACAGGTGCATGCCACTATGACTGGCTAATTAAAAAAAAAATTTTTTTTTTGTAGAGATGGGGTCTCACCATGTTACCCAGGCTGGTCTCAAACTTCTGGCCTCAAGTGATCCTCCCAACTCAGTCTCCCAAAGTGCTGGAATTACAGGCATGAGCCACCATGCTCAGTCTAATTTTTTTTTAATGTTAATTTTTGTAAAGATGATGTCTCAGTATTTTGCCCAGGCTAGTCTTGAACTCCTGGCCTCAAGTGATCCTCCCATCTCAGTCCCCCAAAATGCTGGAATTACAGTTGTGAGCCACCACACCTGGCCTATTTTTGTTTTTTTAATTTTAATGTTTGTAGAGATGAAGTATCACTATGTTGCCCATGCTGGTCTTGAACTCCTGGCCTCAAGTGAGCCTCCCCTCCTTGGCCTCCCAAAATGCTGGGATTATAGCAGTTCCCAGTCAGAGATTCCTATAAAATGGAGGCAGGAAGGGATCAGAGTCCAAGAAAGAGGTGATAATGGGAGCAGTGGAGGGAGAGAGAGAGATATTTGAAGGCGTTATACTTCTGGCTTTGAAGACAGAGGAAGGTGGACATGAACTAGGGATGGATGGTGGCCTCCAGAAGTGAGAAAAGGCAGGAAAAGGCTGGGTGCAATGGCTCACGCCTGTAATCACAACACTTTGGGAGGCCAAGGTGGGTGGATCACCTGAGGTCAGGAGTTTGAGACCAGCCTGATCAACATGGTGAAACCCCGTCTCTACTAAAAACACAAAAATTAGCTGGGCATGGTGGTGGGCACCTGTAGTCCCAGCTACTCGGGAGGCTGAGGCAGGAGAATCACTTGAACCCGGGAGGCGGAGGTTGCAGTGAGCCGAGACCATGCCATTGCACTCCAGCCTGGGTGACAGAGTGAAACTCCGTCTCAAAGAAAAAAAAAAAAAAAAAAAGAAAGAAAAGAAAAGAAAAGTCAGGAAAATGAATTATTCCCTAGAACTCCCAGAAAAAAATACAGCTCTGCTGATACTTTGATTTTAGCCTCTTAAGACTCATTTTGGACTTCTGGCCCCTAGACCTGTAAGAAAATAAAATAGTGTTGTTTTAAGCCACTAAGTTTGTGATCATGTGTTTCAGCAGCAGCAGGGAACTAATAAAACGATGAACTCTCCTTTTTCTTAAAACTTTGGTCATCTCAGGCTGTTATATATTTTCTCACCTTTGATGGAGAAGTGACAACTTCTCTGTGCCTGGATTTCCCCATCCATAAAATAGGAGTCAAAATAGTACCTCCCTGCAAGGTTATTGTGAGAATTAAATAAGTTAAAGTGAATGAGTAACACTTATCATGGTGCATAGTGAGTACTCCAGAAATGTGAAGTATAATTAATATTACTATTACTTAAAAACAACAGCACAAGTATGATGATGAAAGGCGACTGGCATTCAGCCTCAGTGTGAGAGACAACTGGGAGTGGTGGGGACTGTGGTGAGCTGCTGAGCCCATGCCCTATCCAAAGGAGACAGCCACTATCCAACCTGGGCTGTTGTCACAGCTTCTACCTCCCCAAGAAAACCCAGAAATCTGGATTTGTCCATGTCTATGTGAAAATTTTCTTTTTTCTTTTTTTTTTTTTTGAGATGGAGTCTTGCTCTGTCTCCCTGTCTGGAGTGCAGTGGTGCAATCTTGGCTCACTGCAACTTCCACCTCCTGGATTCAAGCAATCTTCCTGTCTCAGCCTCCCGAGTAGCTGGGACTACAGGCACATATCCATATGCCTGGCTTGTGGGTGAAACACCCATAGGGTTTCACCATATTGGTTAGGCTGGTCTCGAATTCCTGACCTCAGGGGATCCACCCACTTCAGCCTGCCAAAGTGCTGGGATTACAGGCGTGAGCCACCCACGTGCAAAATTTTTGAATATTTATATAATGGTTACCAATTCCCATTTAAAAAACACACTAGATGTGGCCTGTGAATGTAAGGCCACTTTTGATGTAATAACTGAAAAGAATCAGAAATTTAAATGTGCACATGATTACAGCATGCTTACAAAAAGAATAGCTACGAAGGATTCAAGAGCTCACTGTGGGCCAAGCTCTGTAAAAGTACCTAAGGGTTCAAGCCATGTAATCTCACAATAAGCAGGGTAAGGTAGAGGCCACTTTTCATCGTCTTTTAAAGATGAGGAAACTGAGGCCCAGAGATGCCAAGGATGAATACTAAGGTCACCCATCTGGGAAGTGACAGAGTGGGGATTTGACCTCAGGGGGTCTGGCTTGTAAAGGAACATAGAAAATATCAGAACCCTCAACCTCTTTGTGCAAAAGGGAAGGCTAAGCTTGGAGGCTGAGTCATTGTCACATCCTCATCCAATGAATAGCTGTCACTGGTTTTATGTATCAGCTATATCCCCCCACCCCCAAAAGTAAAAGGCCTCAGGCATCTATGAAGGGCTAATCCCCACAGATCTTTCCTCAGGAAATTCTTTGCTGGCTTCCTATAAACAAGAACATGAAAATGTTAACTTTAGGTCTGCAATCTAAAGCTAAAGTCTGTTCCATTTCACAGTGACAACGTCAATTACAAGCTTATCTTCCCAGGTGAAAGACAAAGACAAGACAAGATTAGTCATTGCTCCCTTCCTCTTCAAACATTCACCTTAGCTTATGTAAAATGTAGATTTACTGGGCACTAACTAAAGTCTCATAAGAATGTAAGGGTTTGCCTTACTGCCTACCTGCCTTTCTTCCTCAGTGCCATTCCCCTCTTTAAGGAAATGTGTAGGCCGGGCACGGTGGCTGATGCCTGTAATCCCAGCACTTTGGGAGGCCGAGGCAGGTGGATCACCTGAGGTCAGTCAGGAGTTCGAGACCAGCCTGGCCAACATGGCAAAACCTCGTCTCTACTAAAAATACAAGAATTAGCCGGGCATGGTGGCGGGCTCCTATAATCCCAGCTACTTGGGAGGCTGAGGCAGGAGAATTGCTTGAACCCAGGGGGTGGAGGTTGCAGTGAGCCGAGATCATGCCACTTCACTCCAACCTGGGTGAAAGAGCAAAGCTCCGTCTCAACAAAAAAAAAAAAAAAAAAAAAAAGGCCGGGCGCAGTGGCTCAAGCCTGTAATCCCAGCACTTTGGGAGGCCGAGGCGGGTGGATCAGGAGATCAGGAGATCGAGACCATCCTGGTTAACACGGTGAAACCCCGTCTCTACTAAAAATACAAAAAAAATTAGCCGGGTGTGGTGGCGGGCGCCTGTAGTCCCAGCTACTCGGAAGGCTGAGGCAGGAGAATGGCGTGAACCTGGGAGGCAGAGCTTGCAGTGAGCCGAGATCCCGCCAGTGCACTCCAGCCTGGGCAACAGAGCGAGACTCCGTCTCAAAAAAAAAAAGAAAAGAAAAGAAAAGAAAAGAAAAATGTGTAAATATGAAACCTCCTGAAACTTCTTTGGAAAAACAGCCACAGAGGCAACTGTGGCTGGTGATTTTCCCAGATGTGTGCTAAAGCTGGCTTCAGAAACCTTGATCAATTGACTCTTGCCCCTGTCTCACATTCTGGTCATCAGGCTCCAGGATAAGAACCATCCTGCTTCTCTGCAACGATGCGTCTCAAGTGTTCAAATGCTGTGGCATTCCCCAGGAGGAACATAGCGTCCTACTATGAGATTAATCATTTGTTTTCTTGGCCAGGCATGGTGGCCTGTAATCCCAACACTTTGGGAGACCGAGGCAGGTGGATCACCTGAGGTCAGGAGTTCAAGACCAGCCTGGTCAACATGTTGAAACCCCATCTCTACTAAAACTACAAAAAAAAAAAAAAAAAAAAAAATTAACCAGATATGGTAGCGTGTGCCTGTAATCCCAGCTACTCAGGAGGCTGAGGCAGGGGAATTGCTTGAATCTGGGAGGCGGAGGTTGCAGTGAGGCAGGATCGCGCCACTGCACTCCAGTCTGGACGACAGAGTGAGACTGAGTCTCAAAATAATAATAATAATAATTTGTTTTCTCATCATTGCTTCTTTACTTCTACCACCTCTTGGTCTTGGCAAGAGATGAAGAGGGGGGAGGATTTCCTGCCCAGGGGGTGGGGGTAGGGTGAGGACGGTGGACTTCAGGTCCTGAGGAAGAGCTGATGGTGGTGGTGGGTTGGTGGGTGCGGTAAGGAGGCAATCTGAAAAGAAGCTGGAGCGCAGGAGGCGAAAAGAGGAAATGAGGTAGATAAACTTCTCAGAAGTGAAAAGTAGGTTAGCAGCCTGGTATAGGAGGTCTCTGTCCCTATACTTTATTGAAGGTCAAGTACGGGTGTACAGTCTCTTGTTGCACCAGCTTCTGTCTTTGTGGGGTTTTTCCTTGTTCTCCTCCCATCTTTTCCTCCCCTCCCTGTCTTTCCTTTCTCTCCTCTCTTTCCCCTTCATCTCCTTCCCCTCTCCACTCCTCCTCTGGCTCTCCCCTTTTTTCCCTCTCCATCCTCCTCCTCCTCCTCCTGCCACCTCCTCCTCCTTTCCCCCTCTTTCTTCATCTGCCCTTCCCCATCTCTTTCCATCCTCCTCCTCACCCACGTCTCCTTCTTCCTCTCTCTCCAGCTCCTCCAGGTTGAGAGACGCCTCCCAGAATGATTTTTGGAGGCTAAACTTAGCAAGAGGTTCCATCCCCACGCGGAAGTTGGTAGCTGCTGGTGACTTTTATCAATACATGCTCTCCACACCTTGGTTTCCTCATCAAAGCCACAGAAACAGAAAGACTGTGATGAGAGTGAAGGAAACTCCAGCGGGGGTTGGGGCCAGGCGCTGGGGGCTCTCCTACCTCCCACCAGCCCAGCAAGGGCAGGGAAGGCAGGAAACTGCCCTGAATCCACTGCGTACCCTTGGCAGAGGTAAAGGGCATCCTTGCCTCTCTCGGTCCACAGTTCTGCGTCTAAGATGTGCAGACAGTAACAGCTCCTGCCCGAAGCCAAAAGATGCATATAAATGTATAACTCACACAAGACGCCTAGGCCTTGAATAGGCCGGGCACGGTGGCTCAAGCCTGTAATCCCAGCAGTCTGGGAGGCTGAGGGGGGTGGATCACCTGAGGTTGAGAGTTCGAGACCAGCCTGGCCAACATGGTGAAACCCCGTCTCTACTAAAAATACAAAAAGAAAAAAAAAATTAGCTGGTTGTGGTGGGCGCCTGTAATCCCAGCTACTGGGAGGCTGAGGCAGGAAAATCACTTGAACCCGGGAGGCAGAGGTTGCAGGTTGCAGTGAGCTGAGATCACAACATTGCACTCCAGCCTGGGAGACAGAGGGAGACTCAGCCTCAAAAAAAAAAAAAAAAAGAAAGAAAGAAATTCATTTATGTTTCATATATACCTTGTACACATAGACTGAAGATAATTTCATAAAATAGTATTAATAATTTTGTGCATGACACAAAGTTGGTGTACACTGAACCATTTGAAAGCAAAGGTCACTGTCTCAGCCACCCATGTGGACAATCTGTGGTTGCTTGGCATCATCATCATTCCTTTTATTTATTTATTATTTTTATTTTTATCTTTTTTTGAGACAGAGTTATGCTCTGTTGCCCAGGCTAGAGTGCAATGGCGTGATCTCAGCTCACCGCAACCTCCACCTCCTGGATTCAAGCGATTCTCTTGCCTTAGCCTCCCAAGTAGCTGGGATTACAGGCACGTGCCACCATGCCCAGCTAATTTTGTATTTTAGTAGAAATGAGGTTTCACCATGTTGACCAGGCTGGTCTCGAGCTCCTGACCTCAGGTGATCCACCTGCCTCGGCTGGAATTCCAAAGTGCTGCGTTGTAACCGGGCAAGTTATAGAGAAACGCCACACTCTTAGACTAATTAAGGAGTCCTTTATTAGCCGGCGACTGAGAGATGGCTAGCGCTCAAAATTCTCTCAGCCCCGAAGAAGGGGCTAGGTTTCTTTTTATACCTTGGTTTAGAAGGGGAGGAGGGAGCAGAGCTGAAGCAATTTTATGGAAGCAAAACAGGCAAGAAAATTAAAAAGATAAATGGTAAAAGGAAAACAAACAGTTCCAGGTGCAGGGGCTTTAAATCTATCACAAGGTGATAGACGCGGGGGCTTTGGGTGCTATCAACCGGACGAATTCCTGGGAATTGTGGATATAGCTTGTCACAGTATCTTATCAGTAATCGCATTCTTGGATGTGCTGGGAGTCAGCTTAAGTCCTTGAGGAAGGGGGGTGGGTGAGGGACTGCAAATGAAGGAGCCAAAATGGAGTCTGTCTGGCTTTCTCAGCTAAGGGAGGGTCAATCAGGTTAAAAACAAGGTAGGGTATGACATTCCCCACTCGTGTTTTGGGGAATCGAATCATTGATTCCTCGGTTATAACAAGGGGGTTATATTGGGTCCTAAGATACATAAGTTTGACAGAAGCTATGCGCTGCTTTATAAAGTTAAGAACCCATTTAATACACAAGGCCTGAAGACTAACAAGAGGAGGAGAATGGGTCCTGCCAATCCAGTAATGAGAGTCGTCAGCCATGGATTCCAATTAAGCATGTTTTGGTACCAGGGGGTGTTATTTTCTCGTTTTTGCTGGCATCTATCTAGATTTTCTCGAACTTTTTGGAGAGTATCTTTTATGACTCCAGACTGATTGGCATAGAAACAACGACTCTCTCCTAGAGCTGTGTGTAGCCCTCCTTGGGAGAGAAATAGCAGATCTAAGCCTCGGCGGTTTTGAAGAACTACTTCAGCTAGAGACTCTACCTGGGTATGCAGTATATTTATGGCTGATTGGAGATTGCTTAAATTAGCATCTACTTGTTTTTTTTTTTTTTGAGACAGAGTCTCGCTCTGTCACCCAGGCTGGAGTGCAGTGGTGCAATCTCAGCTCACTGCAAGCCCCGCCTCCCGGGTTCACGCCATTCTCCTGCCTCAGCCTCCCAAGTAGCTGGGACTACAGGCGCCCGCCACCACGCCCGGCTCGTTTTTTGTATTTTTAGTAGAAACGGGGTTTCACCGTGTTAGCCAGGATGGTCTTGATCTCCTGACCTCGTGATCCACCTGCCTTGGCCTCCCAAGGTGCTGGGATTACGGGCATGAGCCACCGCGCCCGGCCAGCATCTACTTGTTGAGACAGGGACATTAGTCCGGTCTCTCCTTGAACCAGGGCAGCCGTGCCAATGGCTGCTGATCCAGCTATGCTAAGGCCGGCCAGAAGGGGCACAAGGAGTGGGGCAGCTCGGTGAAACCTGGAATGTAATTCAGGGGGAGCGATGAGAAGCTGTCCTTCTGGCCCACTGTACGTGTAGACCTGGGGGAGCACATGAACCAACACGCACAGGAGGGGTCCTGGTTCAGTCCCATTGATGCAGCGAGTGAGACCTAAAGTGCAGGCTAACCAGGTATTGTTAGGTGCCTGGCAGGAGACTGAGGCACTTAAGGGAGTAAGTAGAGACTGATTACAGGTAGCCTGTAAGGGAGAAGTAGAGAAGTTATATCCAGTGCTAATTAGAGAAGAAGTATTCCCGGACATGTCTCCTAGTATGAGGGCATGGGGGCGTGTATGACAAGAAAGAGAGCCCATTTTATTTTGTTTTGTTTAGTTTTGTTTGAGGCAGAGTCTCGCTCTGTCGCCCAGGCTGGAGTGCAGTGGCACAATCGCGGCTCACTGCAAGCTCTGCCTCCCGGGTTCACGCCATTCTCCTGCCTCAGCCTCCTGAGTAGCTGGGACTACAGGCGCCCACCACCACGCCCGGCTAATTTTTTGTATTTTTAGTAGAGATGGGGTTTCACTGTGTTAGCCAGGATGGTCTCGATCTCCTGACCTTGTGATCCACCCACCTCGGCCTCCCAAAGTGCTGGGATTACAGGCGTGAGCCACTGTGCCCGGCGAAAGAAAGCCCATTTTAAGCATAGCTTCTACTCCTAATCCAACATCATATGGGGGTTTGGCCTTCAGGCACAACCAACAATCTCGGGCTAGTTGAGGCCGGGTGAGATTAAGGAGGTGCTGTACCCTGTCCAGAATGGACATCAGGCTGGGTTGGAGGTGTTGCCGTTGCAGCTGAGGTTTAGAAACCAGGAACGGCGGTGGGAAAGTTAAATCGACCCTGTCTGGGTGTTTTGGGAACATAGGATTACCTAAATCAGTTAAAGGTCCGATTGGCTTAGGAGAGCTCTATGGGACCAGGATTTTTTTCTGGATGGTGAACATAGTTCCAACATTAAATCCTGAGATATAAAGCCTTAATCCCCATGACATGCCATAATACCATTGAGCTGTACCAGGGTTATGGATAGTTGTAGGAAGAGGGTTGCAATTTCTCATAGTACACAGTCTAGGATGGGAAGTGCGAGTTATGGAGAGGGTTGAGGACTGGGTTGATCCTCCAGGGTAAGTGGCTAGGGTTACACAGGACCAGCGAGGGCAGAAAAACTGATAAGAATCTTGACAACTTCAGTCAGGGTGATTTCCAAGACAGAGGTAAAAGTCAGCCTCCTGGAGTCCTTTTTCTGCACCTTTAGAGCTTCCACATGCAGTCCGGCTTCCTATGTGTCCAAACCCTGCTGCAAGGTCGACGTTCCCTGTTCCCATGACCGGCAGATTGCGTTGCTCTTCACGGGTGAGGGCAGGCTCTGGGAACAAAGCACATAAATCGACTGCAAAAGAGACTTCCTTGGAGGTCCCCGCCTTCCAGGTGGTGATTGCAAACACACGTCCTGTCGTGAAAGAAGTAAGGAGAAAAGAGTAGGAAGGAGCAGAGGGCATGACAGGTGGAAACAAACAAAAGAGGTAAATAAAAAGAATTAATCCAATGGCTTCACTCGACTTAGGTGCAGTTTTAAGGGGCCCGACCCAGGCTTGGGGTCTGTGCTGGGGTCTTGCTTGGGGTCTTGCTGGACTTTGTTGGCCTTTTTGATGTGAGAGTGATGAACCCAAGCAGGAATGCTGTCCACTTTCAGATCTGTCGGCATGGTGAGGATGACAGTATGAGGTCCTTTCCAGGCAGGAGTGAGTCCTTCCTTCTGGAACTTTTTTTTTTTTTTTGAGACGGAGTCTCGCTCTGTCACCCAGGCTGGAGTGCAGTGGAGCGATCTCGGCTCACTGCAACCTCCGCCTCCTGGGTTCACACCATTCTCCTGCCTCAGCCTCCCGAGTAGCTGGGACTACAGGCACCTGCCACCACGCCCGGCTAATTGTTTTGTATTTTTAGTAGAGACGGGGTTTCCCTGTGTTAGCCAGGATGGTCTCGATCTCCTGACCTCGTGATTCACCCACCTCGGCCTCCCAAAGTGCTGGGATGACAGGCGTGAGTCACCGCGCCCGGCCGAGAAATTTTGTAACATGCGTTGGAGAGGGCTCCAATCTCTACAGGGCTGGGAAGAAGAGTTTCCCATTCTGGAGGCAATTAACAAGGTTTAAGCAGAAATATAAAACCCAGCACGGACAGAGAAATTCACGGCCTAGAGGGCTGCAGTATCGGAAGAACAGAGGTAGATGTGCGGGGTAAGGGATGGGGATGAGGAGGAAAAGGGGCCACTCGGATCTTCTCAGGCTGGGAGGAGCCGTGCTGGGCAGCGCTGGGTCGCCAGGACTACTCCGCAGTCCCCCCGCCCCGCCTCCAGGCCCCGTCAGGCGCTGCAAGCCCAGCTCAGAAGCCCGGGCCCGGGACCAAGGTCACCGCAGCAGTCCGGGCCCCTGCGTTCTGAGCCGGGTGCGGACGCGCCGGTAGTCGGGGAAGTCAGGGTCTTTGACGCCTGAAGGCGCAGGAGCGGGGGTCCCTGGGGGAGAGGGTCCAGCACCGTCACCTCCCACTCCTCATCCGTGGGTTGGGGAGCCCCTGCTGTGGGGGAAGGAGGCTGTTTCGTTTGTAAACTGGCGGAGGAGTGGCCCCTGGGCCTGGCAACCCGAAGAGACACGCCTGAGACCCCCTGTAATAGAAAATCTGCACTAAAGGACTTTGAAGAAGTCCTTGCCCAGTCGTCTTGGGCAATATGGGTGACCTGACCCATGAAATTTAGACAGACACCAAACAGGACAATAGACACTAAACAGGACAATAGACACTAGGGTATATAGACAATTATGACAATTTTTATAGACAGACAAGGGGTGGGGGTCCCGTGATGGGATCAGTCAGATGCCCGCCTGGCCACTCCCCTTGTGAGGACTCAGGCTCCTCTTAGCTTTGGCAGGCCGGTATAAACGCCCGTTCAGATCCAGCTATGCTCAATGCTGCCCTAAGCCTTATGAGGTCACCACGGAACCACAGGTGAGGGCCCACTCGAACTCTGTAGCTTTTGCCGTGGAGCTACAAACTGAAAATTCAAGCGCGAGCCCTTGACCTCCACATTCACTCACTCACTCACACAGAGTTTATTACAATTCTTCAATACCCGTTTTAAAACAGAGGTCTCCTTGAGACCTCAACGAGAGGAGAAGAGATAGAGAGAGAGAGAAAGAAAGAGACTAGTCTTACAGAGATGCCTGACAGAAACCAGGACTCTGTCCTCCAGCATCCTGGAATTTGGACAGAGTCAGAGGGATGCCCTCATCAGAGCCGCTTCCCTCCCAGAGAAACAGAGTCAGACAGAAACCAGGACTCTGTCCTCCAGCGTCCTGGAATATGGACAGAGTCAGAGGGACGCCCTCATCAGGGCCACCTCCCTCCCAGAGAAACAGAGTCAAATCTGACTTACCTTCCCGGGACCAGACACTGAGGACTCAGGAGTTGAATTTGGTTGAGGACACCGGCAGCCGATCCGTTCCCCTCTGGAAGACGGTGGCCTACACGTCCCTGGAACGTCTTTAGGTGGCGCCTCCCCTATAAGCTCGCCGTCTGTCCAGGGGAGCCCGGAACGGGTCCAGATTTCACCCGGTGGCGGATCTCGCTGTGGCCTCCAAATGTTGTAACTGAGTGAGTTATAGAGAAATGCCACACTCTTAGACTAATTCAGGAGTCCTTTATTAGCCGGCGACTGAGAGACGGCTAGCGCTCAAAATTCTCTCCACCCCAAAGAAGGGGCTAGGTTTCTTTTTATACCTTGGTTTAGAAGGGGAAGAGGGAGCCGAGCTGAAGCAATTTTACAGAAGCAAAACAGGCAAGAAAGTGAAAAAGATAAATGGTAACAGAAAAACAAACAGTTCCAGGTGCAGGGGCTTTAAATCTATCACAAGGTGATAGACGCGGGGGCTTTGGGTGCTATCAACCGGACGAATTCCTGGGAATTGTGGATATAGCTTGTCACAGTATCTTATCAGTAATCGCATTCTTGGATGTGCTGGGAGTCAGCTTAAGTCCTTGAGGAAGGGGGGTGGGTGAGAGACTGCAAGCGAAGAAGCCAAAATAGAGTCTGCCTGGCCCTCTCAGCTAAGGGAGAGTCAATCACGTTAAACACAAGGTAGGGTATCACATTGGAATTACAGGCATGAGCCACTGCACCCAGCCGACATCACCATCCTTCCTGACTCTGAATTTATATACTACTAACCAGCAATCATTTTCCTCCACCTATTCAACACAGAAGTACCTAACAGTAAAAGATGAGAGATACCTATCTGGCATGTGAGAAAATGATATATAGCTACTGACGGGGATTTCCTTTGAGGATGCTGAGTAAACTTCGTGGTGTGTGCCTGCATTTCCACTGCAATCTATCACATGTGATGAGTTGTGGAATTTCCCACTTGTGGCATCACACTGGGGCTCAAAGAGTTTCAGATTTTGGAGCATGTTTTTTTGTTTTTTGAGATGGGAGCCTTGCTCTGTCACCCAGGCTGGAGTGCAGTGGTGTGATCTCAGCTCACTGCAACCTCAACCTCCAGGGTTCCTGCCTCAGCCTCCCGAGTAGCTGGGGTTACAGGTGCCCCCCACCACACCCAGGTAATTTTTTGTATTTTTAGTAGAGATGGGGTTTCGCCATGTTGGCCAGGCTGGTCTGGAGCTCCTGACCTCAGGTTATCCGTCCACTTTGACCTCCCAAAGTGCTGGGATTACAGGTATGAGCCACCACGCCCGGCCTAGATTTTGGAGCATTTTGAATTTGGGATGGTGAATCTGTACTGTTGTTCCTCTCCCCCCACAACCATCTTGCCGATGGGGAAACTGAAGCATTGAGAGGTGATGGAAATTGCTGGAGGTCATATAGCTGGTGAGTGGCAGAGTGGACTCAGAACCCAGGATCATCTGATTGCAAAATCTGTTTCCTTCATCTCTGTACTGTGCAACAATGACAAGAATACTATTGGCGATAACAACAATAACCCACAAATTTTGACTTGTCATTCACAACAACAACAAAACAATAATAACAATACATTCACCTCTGGGGTCGAAACCCATATCCTAGAATCCTAGGAACTAAGGATTCCCTCCAGCCACACTGCAGCAATGCTCATTTGCATAGACCCTCTAATTTGTATGCATATCATTATCTGCCCCCACCCAACCCACCAGCTCCCTGTGTTTTATGCTTCCAGCTGGCTTGGCGGATTGTCATTCTGTCCTGGATGTGTCTAATAAGGGCGTCTTGCGGGATGTAGCCTCTACTTCCTCAGGAATTGTGGATTGGAGAGGAAGCCAGATCCAGACGTGAGGTCTCTGGTTTCCCCCACATTTCCTGCATGGACTTGAGCCAACTGGGTCCAGGTTCCTCATCTGTAGAATGACCTCCATGGGTCATTACCTCCATCCCTCTGCCTCTAGGAGCCACCACTTGTTGCTGATGGTTGCCCCCCATCCGACTCCTCCCTTTCCCTGTGGGGCTCTTTAGGCCTGACAATTCCTCTCCACCCTTCTTCAGTTTGTTCCCCTAAGAACTAGACAGATCCAGGTACAACTATTTGCCATTTATTTCAAAGATCAGTGGTTAAGAGGCCCAGGGTTATGAACAAGGTCTGGTCCTCACCCCGAGATGTGTTAGTCTGGGCTGGGGAGGGCCCTCAGGCTGTGTGTATATGTGTGTAATGTTGTGTGTTTGTCATTGTGATGTGTGTGTGATGTGTGTGTCATTGTGATGTTGTGTGTGTGTAATGTTGTGTTTGTCATTGTGATGTGTGTGTAATGTGTGTTTGTCATCGTGATGTTGTGTGTGTAATGTGTGTTTGTCATCGTGATGTTGTGTGTGTAATGTGTGTTTGTCATTGTGATGTTGTGTGTGTGTAATGTGTATTTGTCATGGTGATATTGTGTGTGTGTATGTGTGTAACCAGGTCTGACTATAACTTGGTCTGTCTGTGTCTAATGTAATGAGTATTAATTACCAAGTGTGACGGTGACACCTCTGGGAGTGGCTGTGTAGCTGGGATGCTGTCTGAGTTTTGTGTGCTTGTGTTATAACATACACACAGTGCTGTGACTGTCTGTGATGCCGTCTGTGACTTCCATGTGATTGTGTGGTTGTGCATGAATCTGGCACTTCGCGTGTATGAGTCTATAGTTGTGAAAGAGTGGCTGAGATTATGCAGCCATGTGACAGATTTTGTGGGATGCCATAGGTGTGACTGTAGAGTCATTCTTCCTTCCTTTCAATCAGCAAGCATTTCCCTAGAGCATGCTTTGTGCCAGGCCCTGGGCCGGATGCCGGGGACAGATCCGTGGTGTCCTATTAGGGATGTCTATGCTTGGCAGTGATGAAATCAGCCATGGTGGTAGCATTTACACCATGGAAATTGGCAAACATTACAAAGCTGTCCCCCTCCCAGGACAGCTGGTTGTTAAACAGTTATGAGCACGCTGCCGTGCTCATGTATCTGAGTGTAACTCTTTGTGACCAGGCTGAGGTGTGGCCACCAGTCTGTGGGTGGGATCTGAGTATGTGGGGTGGGGCTGGGCTCTTCATGATGAGTCCCGATGATCAGTCTCCCGCCCACCCTGTCCGTACTCATGATGAGAGTAGGGAAGTGGATGAAGTTTCCCACCCCCAGCCAAGTCCCTGGAATCCCAAGCCCCACTTTCTTCTGAATCAAAAGCATAAATACCCACCCCTCACCCCTTCTTCCTGAATATCAGGCAAATCAACTTTACCCCATGTTTGGGGGCCCACAGACCCCAAGTCTCTGGGTTTTTGTCCTTAGTATTGTCCGTGGCAGGGTCTGCAGTCTACGTGGGTCTTCTGAAGGTGCCTGCTGGGGCTTCATCTCGCCTTGGTGGTGCCCACTGAGCTCTCCGCCTTTGAGTTTTGGGTTCCCTGGAGTGTCCCCCAAGATCTGTTTCCTGAGTTTTCTTTTTTCTTCCTTTCTTTTTTTTGAGGCACAGTCTCACTGCGTTTCCCAGGTTGGAGTGCAGTGGTGTGATCTCGGCTCACTGCAACCTCCGCCTCCCGGGTTTAAGCAAAATTATCCTGCCTCAGCCTCCTGAGTAGCTGGATTACAGGCAGGCACCACCACGTCCGGCTAATTTTTGTATTTTTAGTAGAGATGGGGTTTTGCCATGTTAGCCAGGCTGGTCTCGAACTCCTGACCTCAGGTGATCCGCCTGCCTTGGCCTCCCAAAGTGCTGGGATTACAGGCGAGAGCCACCACGCCCAGCCTCTGCTTCGTGAGTTTTCTTTCCCCTGAGGCACCCTCTGAGTTCTCCACGTGTCAGACCCATGTCCAATGCACCACGCTCCTTCCTTCACACCATGAAAGCCCCGAAGTAAGACCGGGTACCATCACGCAGTCGAACCAGGCGTTCATCCAGCACACGGACGACCACCTTCTCCCCAGCCTCCAGGTGTACCACACCACCCAGGAAGCTGCTGTCCCACCAGACCCGGGAGCTGCTGGTGGCCCGTCCGCAGGGTGACTGCTGGCTGACCAACAGCTCCAGCTCCTCGGGGTAGCGGGGTGTGCGCTTGTAGAGGCCGTGGGTGATGGTGCTGGCCAGGCCCAGCGGGCAGCCCACACCGCCCAGCTGCACCTTGGAGTAGATGTAGTAGTAGCCAGCTTTGGTGACCACAAGGGCCCCATCGTGGTAGCTGAGGCCCCTCAGGAAGGCCAGGCCCAGCTGAGTCTCCCATAACAGCGGCCCCCCGCTGCCGGTCAAGCTGGAGTTGGCCCCTGTTGGGAAGAGAGAGACAAAGGGGGCTGCCGGTCAGCACATGTCTTCCTCTGTTGCTTGTTTGTTTGTTTGTTTGACACAGAGTCTCGCTCTGTGGACCAGGCTGGAGTGTGGTGGCATGATCTCGGCTTACTGCACCCTCCGCCTCCCAGGTTCAAGCGATTGTCCTGCTTCAGTCTCCTGAGTAGCTGGGACTACAGGTGCCCGCCACCGCACCCAGTTACTTTTTGTAGTTTTAGTAGAGATGGGGTTTTGCCATGTTGCTGAGGCTGGTCTTGAACTCCTGACTTCAGGTGATCCACCCGCCTCGGCCTCCCAGAGTGCTGGGATTACAGGTGTGAGCCACCACGCCCGGCCTCACATGTCTTACTCCTGCTGTGTGACTCCAGGCCAGTCACCACTAGGCTGTTTGTGTGTGTGTGTGCATGTGTGCGTGTGTGTGTGTGTGTGTGTGTGTGTGTGTGTGTGTTTGTAGAGGTGGGGGTCTCACAATGTGGCCCAGGCTGGTCTCGAATTCCTGTGCTCAACCGATCCTTCAGGCTCCCAAGTGCTGGGATTCCAGTCATGAGCCACCACCCTGCCTAGCCTGTTTGTATGTATTAATTTGCTTTATCCCTGCTTTGCAGAGGAGGGAAACTGAGGCACAGGGAAGCAAATTAACTTGCTTAGTCTATATCTCAACTCTTTGCATCCCTCTTTTGCAGGTGGGGAAACTGAGGCATGGAACCGTTAAGTGATTTGCCAAAAGTGTCAAAACTTGGCTGGGTGTGGCGTCTCACCCCTATAATCCCAGCACTTTGGGAGGCTGAGACAGGAAGATCCCCTGAGCCCAGGAGTTTGAGTCCAGGAGTTCCAGATGAAGTAACATAGGGAGACCCTGTCTCTACAAAAAACAAAAAAATTAGCTGGGCATGGTGGCAGGCACCTGTAGTCCCAGCTGCTGGGGAAGCTGAAGTGGGAGGATCGCTTGCACCTGGCAAGTTGAGGGTGCCGTGAGCCGTGATAGCACCACTCCAGCCTAGTTGACAGAGTAAGACCCTGTCTCAAAAAAAAAAAAAAAAAATGTCCAAACATGCAAGTTTGCAAAACCAAGAAACCAAAGCGGCACCTCGTACTCGCTGTGTGCCTCAGTTTCCCTCTCTGTAAAATGCGCATATTAATAGCACCTGCTTGGAATGTAATGAATTAATATGTAGAAAGCGTGTCACAGCACATAACACAGCATAAGCACTATATGAGAGTTCATTAAATTAATAAAACTAGGCCGGGCCCGGTGGCTCACGCCTGTAATCCCAGCACTTTGGGAGGCCAAGGCGGGAGGATCACCTGAGATCGGGAGTTTGAGACCAGCCTGGCCAACATGGCAAAACCCTGTCTCTACTAAAAATACAACAAAATTAACCGGGTGTGGTGGTGCATGCCTGTAATCCCAGGTACTTGGGAGGCTGAGGCAGAAGAATCGCTTGAACCCGGGAGGCGAAGACTGCAGTGAGCCGAGATCATGCCACTGCACCCCAGCCTGGGCAACAGAGTGAGACTGTCTCAAAAATAAATAAATAAATAAATAAATAAATAAATAGAAATAAAAAATAATAAAATAAATAAAACTGGAAATACATAGCACTTGCAGCCTATGTTCTGAGCAACTCTGTGAGTAAATAAGCAATGAATGAATGAATACACTGATATGTATGGCGTTTATCTGGTCTTCCCGAGACGCCCTGACCCCTGCCCCTTGCCAGGATCCAGGGTCCCTCTCACCTGTGAGATGCGCTGCTGGGTTGACCTCGTGAGACCTTCGCTCTGGGGAAAGAGGGTCAGAGGTTAGAGACGAAGACAGTGGAGGTAAAAAGCCAGCCTCCTAAAGGGCCACCGTGTACACCTCCTGGAATCAACCCCACCCCTTCCGGAGTGACCCAAACTTCTGCTTCTCAGGCCTGGGGGAGGGGCACCTGTGAGGATTTGGCCAGTTGTGCAAATCATATTGGGCAATTGACCGAGGGGTGGGGGTGGCATGGGAATCATCACACCTCCTTCCCTGGGGCCAGGACCCTGACTCACCTTGTATCAGCTGCTCCCAGGAGCCTGCAGGTCCGTCCTGAAAATGCAGAAGGGGCCTGCGGTAAGAACCTGCAGCGGGGGCCACGCCCTCGCATTGCTCACACATGGCTATGAGACATGAGGACCATAGCCACCGACACCACCCTCAGACACGTACACAGGGCCACATACTCTCACTTGCAGACACACACCCCCTGTCCAGAGGCCTCACAACCACTTGGTGCCTCAGTTTCCCTCTATGTAAATGGAGTTACGAATCGTGTCTGCTTGGCGTTTAATGAATTCACATATGTAAGGCATTATTACAGTGCTTGGCACATAGTATGCACTAGAGAAAGGTTTAATAGGTCGGGTGCATTGGCTCACACCTCTAATCCCAGCACTTCGGGAGGCCGAGGTGGGCAGATTACCTGAGGTCAGGAGTTCGAGACCAGCCTGGCCAACACAGTAAAACCCTGTATCTACTAAAACTACAAAAATTAGCTGGGCCTGGTGGTGGGTGCCTGTAATCCCAGCTGCTCTGGAGGCTGAGGCAGGAGGATCGCTTGAACCTGGGAGGTTGCAGTGGGCCCAGATTGTGCCACTGCACTCTAGCCTAGGTGACAGAGTGAGATTCTATCTCAAAAAATAAATAAATAAATAAAAGGGTTTAATAAATAAATAACATTGCCCAGAGCAGTGGCTTACACCTGTAATCCCAGCACTTTGGGAGGCCAAAGTGGGAGGACAGCTTGAGGCCAGGAGTTTAAGACCAGCCTGGGCAACACAACAAGACCTCATCTCTACAAAAAATTTTTAAGATTAGCCAGGCATGGTGGTGCATGCCTGTAGTCCCAGCTACTCATGAAGCTGGGACAGGAGGCTTGCTTGAGCCCAGGAGTTCAAGGCTGCAGTGAGCTATGATCGTGCCACTCCACTCTAGCCTGGGAAGCAGAGTGAGACACAGTCTCTAAGATAAATAAATATGTAATTAATTAAATAAATAAGTAATATTTAAAAATACAGGGACAAGGCCAGGCGTGGTGGCTCACACCTGTAATCCCAGCACTTTGGGAGGCTGAGGCAGGTGGATCACTTGAGGTCAGGAGTTCGAGACAAGTCTGGCCAACATGGTGAAACCCCGTCTGTACTAAAAATACACAAATTAGCCAGGCACGGTGGCGGATGCCTGTGATCCCAGCTACTGCTCAGGAGGCTGAGACAAGGGAATCACTTGAACCTGGGAGGTGGGGTTGTAGTGAGCCAAGACTGCACCACTACACTACAGCCTGGGCTATGGGAGAGAAACCTTGTCTCAAAAAAAAAAAAATGCAGACAGCGAGATGGCTGGACACATGGACACCACCCTTGGGATATAGCACCTGCCACAGGGCACAGACCTCAACATCATCATGACGCTGAGAAGACACATGTGGGCTCAGATGCGTGGACATGTGGTTTGTGGTTTATGGATCCATGTGCGTCTACAGACACAGAGACCCAGAGACAAAGACAGACAACGTGAATACACCGGCTGCAGCTAGGCGGGTGTGTGGACATGTGGGTACACGCACATACGTCCACATGGGTATATGGACACGAATGTGTGGCCACCGGATCCAGACCCAGGACACAAAAGGGGCCAAGCCCACAGGGGTATGGTGTTGGGCACACATAGACCCCCAGGTGAGGCACACAGACAGGCGGACACATCCACAGCCAGCTGGAAGCAGACCGAGAAATTTCCACAGATGGAAATGGTCAGAGAATTAATGACAATCGCAGTAACAGTAATAAGAGTACCAGAGAAGGCCAGGCGCAGTGGCTCACACCTGTAATCCCAGCACTTTGGGAGGCTGAGGCGGGTGGATCTCCTGAGGTCGGGAGTTTGAGACCAGCCTGACAAACATAGAGAAGCCCCATCTCTACTAAAAATACAAAATTGGCCAGGCGTGGTGGCGCATGCCTGTAATCCCAGCTACTCGGGAGGCTGAGGCAGGAGAATCACTTGAACCCGGGAGGCAGAGGTTGCGGTGAGCAGAGATCATGCCATTGCACTCCAGCCTGGGCAACGAGAGTGAAACTCCGTCTCAAAAATAAAAAAGTACAGAGAAAATGCATGCGTGTGTGCACAGGGGTGTGCATGGCAGTGTTGGGGTGTCAGTTCCGACGGGTGGAGCTGGCATCGTCTGGTACTACACATGCCATAGCATACTTCGTCCCCTATGAAGAGACTGCCCTTATTTTGTAGATGAAGACACTGAGGTTCAGAGAGGTGAATTCACTTGCCCAAGGCTGGGAGCAGCAACCAGTCAAGCCAGCTGCTCTCAGCCTGTGCCCTGTCCTACACACACACACACACACACACACACACACACACACAGACACACAGTGACCCACAATGACACAGGGGAGCCCCCCTCACCTCCACCTGCTCTCAGCCCCCCGGTCCCACTCACAGGCAGGCGGGTGACCATCTCTCCTAGACGCCAGTGCAGCTGCAGGAGGAACCAGCCTTGGACGGCCAGCCCGGCCCCCATCAGCAACAGCAAGAGACCCAGACCCACCCGGGCCACACTGCACGACTGTCTCCGGTGGCTTCGTCCCAGCCTCGTGAATGGGATGTCGGTCTGTCCATCCACCACAAACACTGAGGGCCGTACGACACTCTCCTCCATGCCCAAGGTGTCTGGAGCAGGGCTGACACGCCTGGGTCCTTCAACCTCAGAGGAAACCGAAATTGCTCAACACTCCTGGGCTGTGCACGCTGCGGACAGGCACCCGTGGGCCGCCTTTAGAGCTGGGGTTCAGCCCCACCCCTTCCCCCACTCACCCTCCTCTTCTTCCGGTACCCGCCGCCCCCGGTCTTGGCCCTGTCTCACTCTCACTCATACAGACTCTCACACTTTCCAGAGGCTTCTGAAAATGTGACTCAGGTGGCAAGTGCAGTGGGGAGCCCCCAGCTTTCCCTTCTTGGATGCTTCATTCGCTTGGGGCCACCAAATATCGACTGAGGACTTTCTGCCCATGCCAGGCTCTGCTCTCGGTGTGGGGGATGCAGCAATGAACAACAGCAAGAAGGGTCCCTGCTCCTCTTCTGGTGGAGCCAGAGAGACAAGAAACCTCGTAAACAAGAAAATAATACGTTGTGGGTTTTTTTGTTCGTTTATTTGTTTTGTTTTTGAGATGGAGTCTCGCTCTGTTGCCCAGGCTGGAGTGCAGTGGCGCGATCTCAGCTTACTACAACCTCCACCTCCTGGGTTCAAGCAATTCTCCTGCCTCAGCCTCCCAAGTAGCGGGGATTACAGGCGCGTGCCACCACGCCTGGCTGCTTTTTGTATTTTTAGTAGAGATGGGTTTTCACCATGTCGGTCAGGCTGGTCTCGAACTCCTGACCTCAAGCGATCCACCCACCTCAGCCTCCCAAAGTGCTGGGATTACAAACGTGAGCCGCACCATGCCCGGCCTTCTGTTGTGTTTTGATGTGACAAGTGCAGTGAAAAACACAAGAGTGGAATAAAGGAGTGGATGTGTGCTCTGTGTGTGTGCTTGTCTGCATGCATATATGTGTGCAGTGTGTGCATGTGAATGTGTGTATTCAGTTGTGTGCATGCAAGTGTGTATCATGTACACATGTGCAGGCGCATGCCTGTGTATCATACATGTGCTGGCATGTAAATGTGCGTGCATATGTGGGCAGGTGCATGCATATGTGTATGGTCATCTGTGTGCATGTGCATGTGGTCCATGTACATGCATGCATGTGCACGTGTGTGTATGTGTGAACATGCATCACATGTGCAAGTGGGTGTGCATATATGTGCTGTGTGCAGGTGTGTGCATGTGTGTGTGCCTGTGCATTGGTGCGTGTATGTGTGTGTGCGCACTTGCACGGGTGTGTTCATGTGTGTGGGGAGGTCCATGTATGAGTGTGCATGCATTCAAGCGTGGATTTTTTTTTTTTTCGAGACGGAGTCTCGCTCTGTCGCCCAGGCTGGAGTGCAGTGGTGCGATCTCGGCTCACTGCAAGCTCCGCCTCCCAGGTTCACGCCATTCTCCTGCCTCAGCCTCCTGAGTAGCTGGGACTACAGGCGCCCACCACCGCACCCAGCTAATTTTTTGTATTTTTAGTAGAGACGGGGTTTCACCGTGTTAGCCAGGATGGTCTCAATCTCCTGACCTCGTGATCCGCCTGCCTTGGCCTCCCAAAGTGCTGGGATTACAGGCATAAGCCACCGCACCCAGCCTTTTTCTTTCTTTTTTTTTTTGAGGCAGAGTCTCACTTTGTCACCCAGGCTGGAGTGCAGTGGTGCCATTTTGGCTCACTGCAACCTCTGCCTCCCGGATTCAAGCAATTTTCCTGCCTCAGCCTCCTGAGTAGCTGGGATTACAGGCGCCCACCACCATGCATAGCTAATTTTTGTATTATATGTTGGCCATTATATATGTTGTAACATATATGTTGTCTATATGTTGGCCAGGCTGGTCTCGAACTCCTGACCTCAGGTGATCTGCCCACCTCAGCCTCCCAAAATGCTAGAATTACAGGCGTGAGCCACTGCACTTGGCTTCTGTCTTGTTTCATAAGTATCTTTGTAATATCCTTGATTTTACCTCTTGGCCCTGAAAGCCAAAAACACTTATGTGGCCCTTTATAGATACAGTTTGCTGCCAGCTTGCCCCTGAGCTTAGGCTAAGACACGAAGTGCCCTTCACTGGGGCCTCTGTGGTTGGACCCTCGTGCTTTTGCTCACTCTGCCCCAGACAGATATCCTGGGTCTTTGCACTTCCTCTTCCTGCTGCTGGGAACCATCTTCCCTAGATCTCCAAAGCAGGCTCCCCCTGCTCATCTGCGTCTTGACTCAAGAAACTTCTCACAGGAGCCCTCCCTGAATTGGTCAGGTGTCTCCCGAGAGACAGAACCAATAGAAGATACACAGAGAGATAGAGATGGGATCTATAGGCTGGGTGCGGTGGCTCACGCCTGTAATCCCAGCACTTTGGGAGGCTGAGGCATGTGGATCACCTGAGGTCGCGAGTTCGAGGCCAGCCTGGCCAATATGGGGAAACCCTGTCTCTATCAAAAATACAAAAATAAAAAATAAAAAATTAGCTAGGTGTGGTGGCACACTTCTGTAATCCCAGCTACTTGGGAGGCTGAGGCTCAAGAATCACTTGAACCCGGGAGGCACAAGTTGCAATGAACTGAGATTGTGCCACTGCACTCCAGGCTGGGCAATGGCATGAGACTGTCTCAAAAAAAAAAAAAAAAAAAGAGATCTGTAGAGACAGACAAAGATACAGAGTCAGAGAAGAGACAGACATGGAAAACTAGAGAGACAGGGACACAGAGATACAAAGACAGACGGAGAGAGAGAGAGAGAGAGATGTATAGAGTCAGAGAGAGTGTGTAACACATTTATTTTAAGAAATTAGCTCACACAATCATGGGAGTTGGCAAGTCTGAAGTCCACAGGACAAGCCAGTTAGGCTGGAGGCTCAGGTAAGAGGTGACACTACCGTCTTAAAGCCTAAAGCCTGGAAACTCAGGCAGAATTACTAAGTTGCAACCTTGAGGCAGAATTCCTTCTTCAGGAAACTTCGGTGTTTACTCCTCAGACCTTCAACTGATCAGGTGCGGCCCACTCACATTACCTAGGCTCATCTCCTGTCCTGAAAGTCAACTGTGGTTGTTGACATGATCTGAAAATTACCTTTCTAGCCAGGTGCAGTGGCTCACACCTGTAATCCCAGCACTTAGGGGGGCAGAGGCGGGAGGATTGCTTGAGCCCATGAGTTTGAGACCTGCCTGGGCAATATAGTGAGACCCCGTTCTCAACAAAGAGGAAAAAAAGAAAAAAGACAAAAAAGTAAAGAAATATAAAATACTTTTCTTTCTTTCTTTCTTTCTTTTTTGAGACAGAGTTTTGCTGTTGTTGGCCAAGCTAGAATGCAATGGTGCGATCTTGGCTCATTGCAACCTCAGCCTCCCAGGTTCAAGCGATTCTCCTGCCTCACCCTCCCGAGTAGCTGGGATTACAGGCATGCGCCACCAGGCCTGGCTAATTTTGTATTTTTAGTAGAGATGGGGTTTCTCCATGTTGGTCAGGCTGGTCTCGAACTCCTGACCTCAAGTAATCCACCCACCTCAGCCTCCCAAAGTGCTGGGATTACAGGCGTGAGCCACTGTGCCCGGCTAAAATACCTTTCTAGCAACATTTAGACTAGTGTTTTACCAAATGACTTCATATAGCCTAGCTTTGTTATCACATAAGTTAGCCCTCATGCCACTCAATCTAAGTGATCTTCTTAACCGCTGGACCCACTGCATGGGTGAACTTTTCTTTTTGGACATCCTCACCATCCAAAATCCATTCCACACTGTCTTCTTTTTGGGGGAGCCGGTGTGGGGGATGGAGTCTCGCTTTGTTGTCCAGGCTGTAGTGCAGTGGCCCGATCTCAGCTCACTGCAACCCTCCGCCTCCCAGGTTCATGCGATTCTCCTGCCTCAGCCTCCCGAATAGCTGGGATTAGAGGTGCCCGCCACCACGCCTGGCTACTTTTTTGTATTTTTAGTAGAGATGAGGTTTCTCCATGTTGGCCAGGCTGGTCTCAAACTCCTGACCTCAAATGATCTGCCCACCTCGGCCTCCCAAAGTGCTGGGCTTACAGGCGTGAGCCACCACGCCTGGCCCCATGCTGTTTTCATGAGTCCTATCCTGCTCCCCCTTTTAGAATGTAAGTTTCATAAGATCCTATCTGCACCGTTCACAGCCTCAAGTGATAGGTTTTAGCTCAAAATAAAAGCAAACACAAACAAAAGCACCAAACACCCCCATATGTTGAAGAAATGAATCAAATGAATCCCAAACAGGAGAAAGGGGGAGTGAAGGCCAGGTGCAGTGGCTCATGCCCGTAATCCCAGCACTTTGGGAGGCCGAGGTAGGTGGATCACCTGAGGTCAGGAGTTCGAGACCAACCTGGCCAACATGGTGAAACCCCACCTCTACTAAAAATACAAAAATTAACTGGGCGTGGTGGTGGGCACCTGTAATCTCAGCTACTTGGGAGGCTGAGGCAGGAGAATTGCTTGAAGCTGGGAGGCGGAGGTTGCAGTGAGCCGAGATTGTGCCACTGCACTGTAGCCTGGGGGACAGAAAAAAAAAAAAGAGAAAGAAAAGAAAGGAGGAATGAATAAGAAAAGAAAAAAGAAATGAGAAGAAGGATGTGAAGTAGAGTGGTGGTCTTGGCAGATATCAGCCGGGATAGCCAGTGAGTTGCAAGGCATTTGACAGGAGGCTTTGTCATTTAGGAGCTGGATGGAGTAGGGTAGACTGTGAATCTATTTCGCCCATACCCCTGGAGTTGTGGGGTGTCTTAGGAAAAGAGGCTGTGGAGGCGTGACTTTCAGCCTCAGTGGGTGTTTCGTGATGATGTGGTGCAGAGCTGGGAGGCTGCATCCCACCCTCCATACAGACACCTTCCCAGTCCCCAAAGGACCAGAGGTGCAGTGAGAGGAGGTGCTCAGGGCCCCAGTCCCCTTTAGCAACAGCGCCCCTGCTCTCCAAACCCAAGGCTGCTGCTCCCCAAGCAGCGCTGTCACCAGAAAGCACTTTGTGTGCCGTGACCACAAAGCCCCCGCACTCCCTCCCTAACTGCTGACTCATGTCTTCCCCTCCCTGGGGCTCCAGCCGGAAACACTGCCCTGCCTGCCAGCCCCTACTGCCTCCTCTCGGGTTCAGTCACCAGACACAGCTCACCCCAAAGCATGGATTCTTGGCTCAGGCCCATCTAGAAACGGGGTCTGGGAGAGTGAGGTGAGGCTGCAGGAGGGCAGAAGGGATGCAAATGAGGACAGGTAAGGATGCAGGTGAGAGGGCAGAGCAGGTCTGCAGGTTGATGGTGATGGCGAATCTACAAGGACAGATGCCGGGGGAGGTGCAGGTAATGAAACCGCTTTTGCAAAATCATAACTGAGGAAATTATGACGCTGAAAGAAATCAGACCTAAGCGTCTCCGTCTTGCTTCTAAGCTTCAAGCTGTCCTTGTTCTTTCCTGGGCATAGGCCGAACTAACTTTGGGAAGGAATTCAGTTCATGGTTTGGCTCTGAAACAAAATTGGTAACAGCCCTTTCCCGAAAAGACCCCCTTTTTGCCTGGGGACCAGTCTGCCTTTGCAGGACTGACAAATTAGCTACAAGATTAGAAATTACAGTTTAGGGGCCATACAGCCTCTGGCTCCAAGAGTCTGAACCTCCCCAAATTGCTCCTGGGGACAACATCACTATTGTAAAACCTAAGATCAGTGCTCCAGATATGTTGCAGACCCTGAACTCAATGGATCAGCTGACACCATCGAGACCAGTAATCTGACCCCTCCAGTTCTGTGATCCCACCCAGGAACGGAAGACAGAAAACCTCACCTGGACCCCCTATGATTCCAACTTCAACCTCACCAATCAACACTCCTCACTTCCCAAACCTCTACCTGCCAAACTATTATTATTATTATTATTTTGAGATGAAGTCTCGCTCTGTCACCCAGGCTGGAGTGCAGTGGCGCAATCTCGGCTCACTGCAACCTCCACCTCCCGGGTTCAAGCGATTCTCCTGCCTCAGCCTCTCAAGTAGCTGGGACTACAGGTGTGCATCACCACGCCTGGCTAATTTTTGTATTTTTAGTAGAGACGGGGTTTCATCATGTTGGCCAGGCTGGTCTCGAACTGCTGACCTCAGGTGATCCACCTGCCTCGGCCTCCCAAAGTGTTGGGATTACAGGCATGAGCCACTGCGTCTGGCCCACCAAACTATCTTTAAAACCGCTGATCCCCAAATGCTCGAGGAGACTGATTTGAATAATAATAAAACTCTGGTCTCCTGCACAGCTTGTTCTGCACGAATTACTCTTTCTCCACTGCATCCCCCGTCTGATAAATCGGTTCTGTCTAGGCAGCGGGCAAGGTGAACCCATTGGGCAGTTACAGTAAGAAGATAGGTAAATCTGCAGGTGAGAATGTAGGTGAGAATGTGGGCAAGAACCCAAGAAAATACCTAGAAAAGCATGCAGGTAAAGATGCAGGTGAGGACCCAGATGAAGATGCAGAGAAAATACACTCACCGGAGAGGATGTAGGTGGAAAAAGGTGAGAATATAGGTAACAATGCTGTTAAGGTAAAGATACAGGTAAGCTTAAGATAGAGATGTAGGTGTTGGGGCCAGGTGAGGATGCTAAAAAACAAAAACAAAAAACCCTGGCGGGGCACGGAGGCTCACGCCTGCAATCCCAGCACTTTGGGAGGCCGAGGCGGGCAGATCACCTGAGGTCAGGAGTTCGAGACCGGTCTGGCCGACATGGTGAAACCCCGTCTCTAATAAAAATACAAAAATTAGCCAGGTGTGGTGGCCGTGTGCCTGTAACCACAGCTACTCGGGAGGCTGAGGCAGGAGAATCGCTTGAACCCAGGAGGAGGGGTCACAGTGAGCCGAGATCGCGCCATTGCACTCCAGCCTGGGCGACAAGAGTGAAACTCCATCTCAAAAAAAAAAAAAAAAAAAAAAAAACAGAAAAACCCACAAAAACAAAACAACAACAACAAAAACCCATACATGGATTCAGCTGAGGGTGCAGAGGAGTGAGCAGGTAAAGATTCAGATGAAAATATTGGTAACATTGGGAGCAGGGAGAACATTAGGGAAAAGACCTAATGCATCCTGGACGTAATAACTAGGTAATAGGGGGCTGGGTGTGATGGCTCACGCCTGTAATCCCAGCACTTTGGGAGGCCAAGGCGGGCGGATCGCTTGAGATCAGGAGTTCAAGACCAGCCTGGCCAACATGGTGAAACCCCGTCTCTACCAAAAATACAAAAATTACCCAGGCAAGGTGGCGGGCGCCTGTAATCCCACCTACTCAGGAGGCTAAGGCAGGAGAATCACTTGAACCCGGGAGGTGGAGGTTGCAGTGAGCCGAGATTGTGCCACTGCACTCCAGCCTGGGCGACAGAACAAGACTCTGCCTCAAAACACACAAACAAAAAACCTAGGTGATGGGTTGATAGGTGCAGGAAACCACCATGGCACACTTGACCTATGTAACAAACCTGCACATCCTGCACATGTACCCCGGAACTTAAAATAGTAATAATAATAAAATAAAAAAAAATTGGTAAGATTAACAGGTGAGGATGCCGGTAAGTGAAGAGGTGAAGGGGCTGTGAGCTGCCGGTGAGTGTGCAGGTGAAATGGAGGTGAGGCGCAGGTGCATGCCACGTGCAGGTGAGGCAGGTCCATGCTCCTTGGCTAAAGAAGTCAGCACACTAGCAGGCGAACGCCAGGAGAAAATGCGGTGGGAACAGGTGAGGTTTCAAGTAGGATGGAGCTGAGCTGCAGGTGAGGCGGCTGGGGATTTCAGCCTCTCCCTCTTGGCAAAGAACTCCAGACACGTGAGATATAACTGAAGCTTTATCTGGAGTGGGGGAATGGGGGTGTGGTCAGTTGGGGCACCCAAAGACAACCATGCTCTCGGTGAAGGCGCCGAGGTCCTGGCATTGTTTCTGGTTCTCTTCGTCTTGGCATTCGTCCTCCTCGGGCCAGTGCTCCACCCAAGTGTCCTTCCCGATGATGTAGCTGAGGCTGGAGGGAAGAATGGCAGGTCAGGAAGGGGCGTGGTGTGGGCGTGGCGCAGGGGCGTGACAATGGTGTGGGCGTGGCATGGGCGGGGCAGTCGGGCGGTCGCGCGCACGCGCAGGGAAAGCACTCACTTGGGCTTCTCTCCCCAGAAATCGGAGGAGAGACCCCACATGAGGTAGTGTTTCTTCTCCTCCAGCTTCAGGGCTTCTCTGCACTTGATGGGGCTGATGAACGTGCGCTGCTGTCCAACCTGCACCTCATCCGAGCCTGGAGTGGAGGGGAGAGGGAAGAAGCTGAGTCGTGGGGAGGAAGCCAGGGAAGAGCCACGGGAGGCAGCGTGCTGAGCCTGACCTGACTTGATGGTCTGCTCAATGGCCATGATGTACTCGTCAAAGTCATTGGACAGCTGAACCTTGACCAGTCGGGTCTTGTACACTGTGGGGGAGAGGCAGACAGTTTGGGTGGTGGGCTAGGTTGACCATGAGGGGCACCCTGGTTTGCAAGTGCACCCGGGCATGTGGCTCTCTCTCCCAAGCAGAAAGTTGCAGAATCACAGCCAGTCACACTATGGCCCACCCCTCATTACACACACAACCATAGAGGGTCCCATGTCACCATCCACACACAGTCGTGCTCATAGGCATGCACAGAGGTCACAGCCACCCACAATGTCTAGTAACATACTATTCATACTATGCAATGAGAGTGACTCATATGCACAAAATACTGTAGCCTCATGGCCATGCACACAACCATAGCCACGGAAAACTACAGTCATATACGTAACTTCAGGACCTCACACTCACTGCCATCTACAACCACACAGCCTCACACAACCACAGCCACACACAACTACAACCTCACAGCCACCCACGCAATGATGCATACAACCACATCTACCTTTTCTCACATGAGCATACCTAGGCCACTCACAGTCATGGTTCCCCACACAATCATGGCCCCTCACAATACATGCTCTCACACACACCACAGTCACCCACACCCACAGCCTGAAGCCACACCATGACAACCACACCTACCACCCACCACACAATTGGACACACACAGCTAAACATGCGTGACCCCCACCCATCACCCACTCACCATAGTCCACTCCTGGCTCACAGGCCTTGTCCAGCCGTTCTTCCAGGGTGACCTTGTCATCCGACTTTTGTATGAAGCAATTCTCTGCAGGGTGGGGTGGAGACAGGGTCTAAGTCCCACTCCTTATCTGGGGCCTACTGCCCATGGGTGTGGCCAGCCCTGGGAGCCTACCCCCCTTGGTATCCCCTGGGTATGGGTCTGGGGGTCCCTGACCATGGGATAGATGACCTGGGTAAGTGTGGCTTGCTCAGACCCACCTGTTCCCGGCTCCAGGGAACTCACCCTCAGCACAGCGGCACAGTTCATCACGGCAGAGCTTGTTCAGCTTTCCATCCTCCTTTTCCGGATGGTAGAACCGGGTACAGCTTTCCTCTGCGGGCAGATGTGATGTGAAGATGAGAGGATAAGGGCCTCCCTCCAAAGACCATGCCTGGGAGGCCCAGATCCCCAGTTCTCAGTCTTCAGACCTGGAGATGCTAGGTCTTCAACCCCTCAGATCCCTCAGACCCCAAGACCCCCTCTACTTTCTGATCTTTGGGATTCTCAGACCCTTGAGTCTCTTAGACTCTCAACTCACAGAAGCCTGGGACCCTCAGACCCCAAATTCATAGATTCCTGGGACACGCAGGCCTCCAACCCTCATATATCTAGAATCCTTAGACCCTTATTTTCAGAACCCCCTGCAACTCACATATTCCTAAGACCCTGAGACCCCTGAACCCATCAGACCCCCAAGTCTCAGATCCCTAGAACCAACTCATAGATCCTTGGGACTCTCAGACCCTGGGACCTTCAGATTACTAATCCTGAAATCCCTGGCCTGCTTAGACCATCATTCTCAGATCCCCTCAGAACCTCAGAACCTCAACTCATAGATCCTTGGGACCCTCAGACCCGTGGGACCTTCATACTACGAATGCTCAAATCCCTGGACTCCTTAGACCTTCATTCTCAGATCCCCACAATTCATATATACCTGGGACTCTCAGGCCCCTGGAACCATCAGACCCCAGGCCCTAGGTTGGCTGCTCACCCAGGTTGTAATAGGCGTAGACCTTGACTGCTCCAGGCTGGATAAGCTCTACATTAAAGTATTGGTGAACTTTGAAAGCTAGACAGTCATCCTCAGAGTGTGAGACCTGAGGGGGAAGGAGGAGCTTGGTCAGTGGGGTGATGTGGGAGGGAGTCCAGCATTGTCTTGGGAGCTGAGGCAGTGGTGGAGAAACTGAAGGATCAAGGAGGAAGTGGCAAAGATGAATGAGCAATTCAGCAAATCCATTTACTTTTCTTCCTAGACTCACAGTGAGACTACCTTTCTCAGCTCCTCTTTCAATTAGGTGTGGCCAGGTGGCTGAACAGATTGCTATCTATGCCCATAAAAACAACCCATGCACAATCTTATTTCCATCTAGAATGAATGAATCCTGCAGAGAACTACAGAAGATCCTAAGGATTGCAGAGCCACAGGATGGAAGGTGCTTGGATCCCTGAGAGACTACATGGAGCAGAGGGACCCTTCCTTACCCCCCATGCCAACTGGACTTTACATGAGTGAGAAATACAAGTCTGTTGTGTTAAGACCCCATATTCTTAGGGGTTTTGTTTTAGTAGCTATTGTTACTTAAGCTGACTAAAATGGGATTGAGGGGCCCTGTGGGTATCAGGAGTTAGCAGGGAGGATATGGGGATAGGAGAATGGGAAGAAATAAGAGAAGGGAGAGGAGAAAGCCCAAATCATGGTAGAGATGAAAGAGTCAGAGAATGCCAGATGGAGAGAAAATAACAGAAGAGGTGGCAGGTGTGGTGGCTCATGCTTGGAATCCCAGCCCTTTGGGAGGCTGAGGCAGGAAGATCGCTTGAGGCCAGTAGTTTGAGACCAACTTGAGCAACATATCAAGACCCCCATCTCTACAAAAAATAAAACAATCAGCTGGGTACTTACACAGAATATTTATGAAGAAACAAGAACAAAAATTCAGCTGGGGCCAGGCACCAGGGGCTTATGCCTGTAATCTCAGCACTTTAGGAGGCTGAGGTGGGAGAATCACTTGAGCTCAGGAGTTTAAGACCAGCCTAGGCAGTACAGTGGGACCCCATATCTACAAACTTTTTTTTTTTTTAATTCACTGGGCATGGTGGCATGCACCTGTAATCACAGCTACTCAGGAAGCAGAGGTGGGAGGATCATGTAAGCCTGGGAGGTCAAGGCTGCAGTTAAAAAAAAAAAAAAAAAAAAGCTGGGTACAAAAGCATAATATTTATGAAAAAAAAATTAGCTGGGTGCAGTGTCGCAGGCCTGCAGTTCCAGCTCCTCAGGTGGCTGAGGCAGGAGGATCCCTTGAGCCCAGGAATTTGACTTTGCAGTGAGCTAGTATCAAGACACTGTACTCCAGTCTGGGTGACAGAGCAAGACCCTGTCTCCTGAAAGAAAGAAAACAACAGAAGAGAGAAATAGATCAAAGAAAGAAACAAAGCCCAGGATTGGGTTAGGGAACGAGGCAAGACCTTGCTCTCTACAAAGCACTTAAAAAAAAAACCAAAAAAACCAAAAGGGCTTTTTTTCAATGGTTGTTTAAGACTCTGATAACAAGTTGGAGGAGGCAAATGGTCAGAAGATGAGATGTTTATAGAAGATGCTGGGTTGACCCCCTTATTTTACAAGCTCCTTCCCCTACAACTCAGCAGCACAGACCCTGTCTCCTCTGGCCCAGGGTTAGTCTGACCCAGAGACAAAAGCTGAAAGGAAAAGAAAGACCAGCCAGATAGAGGTCAGGGTGCCCCTGGAAGCCTCCCAGGGGAGGATGATGCAGCCTTACCTTGTCCAGGTAGATGATGAGGGTGTTCCTATCGGAGAAGGCTTTGTCCAGCTCATACTTGGAGATGTATCTGTCAACACCATTGGCCAGCTGGGGAAAGGTGGAGCCTGTGAAAAATCCCTCCTGGACCCCTCTCTCCCTGCAGCCTCTTCCAGAACCCAGGCTCCTTTCCACTTATCCCAGCTCCTGAGCCCTTCATACCTGCTTCAGGTCATCTGTGTCTGGAGCAAAGCCAGTCATCATGGATATGTCCAATATAGACATAGTGGCATCCTGGTCTCCCCGGTACCTGGATAGTGCAGAAAGAAGGGCATTGGGTCCCAAGGAGGGGTCAGCCCCAAGGGTCTGTTCCTGGACAAGGAGGTCTGATCAGGCACTGAGACTTCTGATTCCCACATAGCAGCACAGAGGGGCGTTACATTTTTTAGGAAACATTTCCCCAAAGGAAATAAAAAGCAAGGTAATGTAATGGTCAAGGTGATTAAGAGCTCAGACTCTGCACCCAACTGCATGGATTCAAATTCCAGCTCTAAATAACATTGGATGCATTATTTGACCCTCCATGCTTCAGTTCTAGAAAACAAGGCAAGAATACAGGCAGCCCTCACTCTGCATGATTCAGTTAAATAACACTAGTAGCCCAGTGACATGGTTCTTTTTCAGTACCTTGGTATATTGATCACGAGTAGTTGCATATGGTATAAACTTTGTTGCTAACTCTTCAGTCTAGAAATCACGACATAAATAAAAGATAAGCATCATAATTGAGGGCCAATTACTGTCACTCCTTTCAAAGTCCATCAGTGATTGGTCACTGAGCTTCTGCTCTTCAATTTATGCACAGACAGCAAAGTGTGTAGTTCTGTTGCCTCCCTGTCTCCAGGTGGCTAACTCCCATGAGATTTTACAACAATGTATCACGAAAAGAGGGAACTGGCCAACAAAGATAAAAATGCAGCAAAGAAATGAAAAGTGATAATGCCAGAAGTGAACTTCAAAGACAGCATAAATGGAGTTATCAAAGAATAGCAGACTATGGTGATGTTGACCCTGCTGCCATTTGAGAGATAGGTAGTGTAGAGGAACTCAGGGAAGGCAAATGTATTAGCATAAATAAGGAAGGTCATGGGGACAAAAAGGATGAAGATGTCCCAGAGGAAGGGACATTATAGAATACAAAGTCACTTTAAAGGAACTCTTGGAGGAATTTTGTGTCATGGAAAGCTCAAAGGATAAAATATTGGAAGCTGATCCAAACTTAGAAAGGAGCAAGACAAGGTACTAAGGCATAGAAAAGATGTTTACTCCATGTTGTAAATTATACAAAGAGAAGAAGGCAAGCATTTTTTTGAACTAAAGTACTCTCCGTAAGTGTCATACAAAGGAAAAAAAAAACAACAAATACACCTTGCATCTCAATGTTCTAATGTTTTAAATTACGGTGTAGTCAAATACTCATCTTACTATGAATTTCATTTCCCTGTATCTTTATTTTGTTTTATTCTATTTTTTTTTTTTTTTTTTTTTTGAGACAGAGTCTTGCTCTTTCGCCCAGGCTGGAGTGCAGTGGCGTGATCTCAGCTCACTGCAAGCTCCGCCTCCTGGGTTCACGCCATTCTTCTGCCTCAGCCTCCCAAGTAGCTGGGACTACAGGCACCCGCCACCATGCCCGGCTAATTTTTTTGTATTTTTAGTAGAGACGGTGTTTCACCGTGTTAGCCAGGATGGTCTCGATCTCCTGACCTCGTGATCTGCCCGCCTCAGCCTCCCAAAGTGCTGGGATTACAGGCGCGAGCCGCCACACCCGGCCATTTCCCTGTATCTTTATAACTGGCAGTATGATAATTTTAAATGTTGTAATAGAAACATTTAGGCTGGGCATAGTGGCTCATGCTTGTGATCCCAAAACTTTGGCAGCCCAAGGCAGAGGAATGCTCAAGGCTAGGAGTTCGAGACCAGCCTGGGCAACACAGTGAGGCCCTGCCTCTAGAAAGAATAAAAAATAAAAATCAGCCAGGTGTCATGGCACACGCCTGTAGTCCCAGCTACTTGAGTGGCTGAGGCAGGAGGATCGCTTGAGCCAGGGAGTTTGAGGTTACAGTGAGCTATGATTGTGCCACTGCACTCCAGCCTGGCTGACAGAGCAAGACCCTATCTCTCTAAAAAGAAAAAAAGAAAACTTTAAAGGTCATGGAATGATTGTGTACTTTCCTCCATTGATTACTAAGATGCTTTGACAGTCTCAGCTTACGTGGTCATTGCTGTGGTCTCACATTAACATGCAAAGCAAGGACTGTCTGTGTTGTCTACCTCATGGTGGATACTTAGAACAGTATCAGATACACAGTGTACTTGGAAAGTACTGAATATCATGGATATTATTTGCAAGAATTCTTGCTAGAGATAGAGGGATGGCCAAGATGAACCCCGGTGACCTAGCTTCTTACCTGGTACAGATCTCAAGGATCATAGTGTTCTTGGCATCCTGAGGCCTCTTTTCTAGAAACACAGAAGAGAGAAAGATGGGAGAGGGTATACCTGTGTGTTGATTCAGGAGCGGGGAAGACATTAGAAGAGGGGTAGGAGGAAGGTGACAGATAAGGCCTTGATTCCTTTTACCTGTTTCCGGTGCTGGTTTTATGGTGACCTTGAGGTCGAATTTATTACAGGTGAGTTGATCTTTGGCCTTAGCATGGTACATTGTCACCACCTGGTAAGATGGGAGAGGAGACACAATGTCAGCCCACAGGACTAGGACTGCTGGGGACAAGAGGAGATGGTCCCTCTGGGGCAGAGGGGCATGGGCCAGGCAGGTGTGGGTTTCTGTTCCTTACCGACAAGGTGCCTTGGCCTTTTCCTTCAGCTGTGACTGTGAAACCCTCATTTTCCTTGGTCTGCAGAGTGAAAAGAGAGAAGAGAGCATGTTGGGAATTAAGCCTTCTGCTGCCTGTGATGGTCACCTGGCCCTCCCTCTTGCTTCCCAGTAAACCCTGGCTAGTGTAGGGGGAGACAGCCAGAGTGAGGAGGGCTTGGCTGGGTGACTGTACCTCTTCTGATCGCAGGAGGCTGGCAGATTCCCAGTGGATACGGTGGGTGATCTTGGAGCTGCGGCTGGGCAGTTGGAGGGACACATCAAGGTTCAGTTCCTGGTGGTCAGGGGCGTCCTTTTGGTATTGAGCCAAGGCTTGGAACACCATGAAGGTGGCCTAGAACCCACAAGAGAGAAAGATGGTGATCTGGGAGCCTGGGAAAGTGGCTAGAATCCAGTGGGGGATAAAGAGGTTCAAATCAGAGCTGGGACATCAAAATGTGGCCTAGAACCTACTAGAGAGTGCAGGGGTGATAACTGGAGGTCACTGGACTCTGAGGACATGTTCAGAACTCTCCGAGAGACAGAAACTTACACCAGGACTTGGAGATGCTGAGAACATGTCTAGAATCCATCAGAAAGTCCAAATGTAAGACTGAATGTCTAGCGACCCTGAGGATGCAGTCTAGACCCATCAAGAGGAGAGAGTCTTAGACCAGGGCTTGGAGACACTGAGAATATGTCTAGAACCCACTCATGAAGAACAGAATGAAACCGTAGCCAGAGGATACTGAGCATATAATCTACAACCCAAGAGTGACACTGTAACACTGAGAACGTGAGTGACAGACCACCAGAAAGAAAGGAGGCCAACTGGAGCCTGAAGTTGCTGAAGCCTGAAGTTACTGAAACCATGGCCTAGAAGAGGGTTTGCGTAATGCCCCAGGGTAACTGGGAACATACTATAGAGCCCGCCAGTGAGGCAATGTGACATTGGGAGCCTGGTAGAACTGGGAACATGGTCTAGAACCCACCAGCAAGACAGGGTAAGATTGTGAGATAGAACTGGGAACCTGGTCTAGAGCCCACCAGGTGGAGAGAGAGGCTTAGACCTGAACCTGGGCCCTGAGAACATGATCTAGACACCTGGGGCAAGAAGAAGGCTCAACACACAGCTTGGAGTACCCAGATTGTATTCTAGAACCTATAGATGGGTTTGCAAGTAATAAAAACTGATTCTCAACTCCACTGCAATCACACTGGCTCGTGGGAATGAAGAACTGCCTCGCTGGGCCTCAGTGTCTTCTCTAGGAGGCCAGTGGGAAGCCGCAGGAGACAGGGATGCATGTGCCTAGGGGCTGTGGGCCCACTTGCCTGGGTAGAGCCATAGCCACCACCGTAGTATCTCTGTTCATTGAGCCAACGCACGACGGGAGGCACAAAGTCAAAGTCTTTTAGCTGCAGTAGGGCCAAGAGGGCATAGGATGTGGCCTCCACGTTGTAGAGCTGCTTACCAGGGTCCTCCCAGCGGTTCTTATCTGCAAAGAAGATACCCCATCCCCAGTGCTCACTGCTCTGTCCAGCCTGGGGATGGCTCAGAGAAAGCTCAGAAAGAGATGCATGCTAGACTTCCTGGTGTTTGGGTGTCCTGGCTGACATTCGAGGCTCTCAATTACTTGGCTCCTGCCTTACCTCTCTTGTTTCATCAACTCTCACTTCTCCCTTTGAAATGAATGCTTAATACGCATTTGTTGAATAAATGACGCAACAAACTTTCTCGTGTGGTTTACAATGAGGACCTGCGAAAACTTAGAGCCGTGCATCCCAGCTCAGCTCAGGGTTATGCATCCCAGCTTGATACCTTAGGACTATCCATCTCAGCTTGGCTTAGGGTCATCTGTCCCAGCTCAGCTAAAAGCCATGCATCCCAGCTCAGTATCTCCCGCCCTGAACTTCAGCCATGCATCTCCCTTCACCCCTCCAGGCCAACCCTCACCTTTGGCTGTGGTCAGAAATTTGTTAAGAAGAGGCCCCTTCAGCCTGCCCATCTGGGCCAGAGCATAGCCAGCAATGGCCACAGTGTAGGATCTCTGTAGGTTCATGTAGTTGGCTTCAAGGAAGTCTCCTGCTTTAGTGATGCTGCCTGGCAGGCTCTATGAGAAAGAGGATCAGATTCTCCGGTCATGTGGGCATTGCTGTCACGTTAGTAAGGATCATTCGAGCAGCACTTCCTGAGCATCAGGGATTTCTGTCCTTGGGACACACCTGTCTTAGATTTGTCCATTTTTGAGAATTTCCCAGATATTTTAGCCACCATGAGCTGCCTTGTTGCTGCATATCTATTATGTATCTGGAGAAATCCACGTACCCCGTGGTGTGCTGGTAAAAGTTTAACAGCCAGCTCTCCAGTGGGAGGGTTGAGGGATCCTTGGTTTATAATGATTTACAATTTCTGTGGTGTAAATACTCCCACCAGGGGCCAATTTCACGGTGTCAATGCGACATCACTGAACAAAGTCCTGGGGAGACATTCTCCAAATTGTTACTCATAAACTAGTATGCGCCAGATTCAGTATACCACTGTGAACACCTCATCCAGTCATCATCATCATCGTCATCATCATCTTTATCTTCTTCATCATCATAGCTCACACTTACTTTGTGTCATTCAGATACCCACACATTTAATCTCATAAAACCTGATGAGCATACTGAGCCCTGAGAGATGCAGTAATTTTGCAAAGACCACCTAGGAAATAAGTGGCAGAGTTAGGATCCAAACACAGCCTTCTGGGGATGGGGGAAGACATGATTTGTACTGTTTTCTCATTTCCATGATGTAAATACTTCCATCACTGATTTCAACCTACCAATATGGTGTCGTTGAATGTAGAGTTGGGAAGAGCTTTGCAGTACCACAGTATTATATAGTATTTTCACTATACAGATCCAACAGACATAAGTAACCCCAAGAGTATAGATTATGGGAGTAAGGCGTTTAGGAAGCGATGAGTTTGAGTGTTTCTAACCTTTGTGTTTAATATAATTTATTTAACTGTAACTTTTATAACTTTGTTTGTTTGGTTGGTTGGTTGGGTTTTTTGTTGTTGCTTTTTTTTTTTTTTGAGACGGAGTCTTGCTCTGTCGCCCACGCTGGAGTGCAGTGGCGCGATCTCGGCTCACTGCAAGCTCCGCCTCTCGGGTTCAAGTGATTCTCCTGCCTCAGCCTTCCCAGTAGCTGGGACTACAGGCGTCCGCCACCGCGCCCGGCTAATTTTTTGTATTTTTAGTAGAGACGGGGTTTCACCGTGGTCTCGATCTCCTGACCTCGTGATCCGCCCACCTCGGCCTCCCAAAGTGCTGGGATTACAGGCGTGAGCCACCGCGCCTGGCCTTTTTTTTGAGACGGAGTCTCGCTCTGGCCCAGGCTGGAGTGCATGGCGCAATCTCGGCTCACTGCAACCTCCGCCTCCCGGGTTCAAGCGATTCTTGTGCCTTAGCCTCCTGCGTAGCTGGGATTACAGGCGCCCCCCTCCACCATGCCCGGCTAATTTTTGTATTTTTAGTAGAGACGGGGTTTTGCCATGTTGGCCAGGGTGGTTTTGAACTCCTGACCTCAGGTGATCTGCCGGCCTTGGCTTCCCAAAGTGCCGGGATTACAGGCTCACTGTGCCTGGCCTAATATTTAGTTTTTAATAATAATTGTATTTAATGACCAGCTTGAAAAATTCCTGGAAATTTAACACTGGGCTCCAGCAAGCTAGTTATAGCACACTTTTTTTTTTTTTGAAAAGGAGTCTTGCTGTGTTGCCCAGGCTGGAGTGCAGTGGCGCAATCTCGGCTCACTGCAACCTCCACCTCCCTGGTTCAAGTGATTCTCCTGCCTCAGCATCTTGAGTAGTTGGGATTACAGCACACTCTTGACCCCAGGAGTCTGGTTTCACAGCCTGTGCTATACTCTGCTACAATGTTGCTATGTTGTAGCAGAAACAAATCTCTTTTATTCCTGCCCATTTGCCTCTCTGACATCCACTCCTTTTGTAAGAACTTCTTCTCCCTTCCATTCACGTGGCCACAGTGGAAACAGCCATGTCTGCCCCCTGAGACCTACTTCCTGTCCTTAGCTGATTGGTCCAGATATAGTCATCTGACCCAGGCTGAGCCAATCAGAGTCCTTTCCTGGGAATATGGCGGCCCTAACCTTGATCTGATATTTTCTCTAAGGAAGGCAGCCATATTCTGCCTGAACTGAATTATTGGCCAAGAACGGAATGAAGATCACGGGAGAGAGGAGCAAAGCATCCTGGCAGAGTCCCTGAGGCCACCTTCATCTCTATTTGATGCCTTGGTGCCTGCACATAAATTCCCCATCAATTTTTGTATAATCTGGGTCACATGTGTGTTATATCTGGGACAACTCAGAGGCCTAAAAATACAGAGATCGTTATTTATTATCCCCAATTTACAGATGCACATCCTGAGTGAGGCTCAAGGGTGGAAGTGCCCATGAGTCAGGATTTGAAGTCAGATTTGTCTGACCCCACCTCTCCTCTCTCTCTCTCTCTCTCTCTCTACCTACCTCCCTCCCTCCCTCCCTCCCTCCCTCCCTCCCTCTCTCTCTCTCTCTCTCTCTCTCTCTGCCTTGGTCCCTCTTGGGTGTTAGAGGCAACAGCCCTGTGTTTGTTTTTCTCTTCACTGGCCCCTCCCCTCCATCTCTTTTCCTAAGGGGGGAGAAGCCACTAGCTGAGGGTGGAATCCTGGGCTTCCCACTTGGAAAGCTAAACGTTAAACAACCCACTCAAAACCCCACGATCAGCTAGGTGCAGTGACTCACGCCTGTAATCCGAGCACTTTGGGAGGCTAAGGTGGGTGGATCACTTGAGGTCAGGAGTTCGAAACCAGCCTGGCCAACATGGTGAAACCCCATCTCTACTAAAAATACAACAATTAGGCTGGGTGCAGTGGCTCATGCCTGTAATCCCAGCACTTTGGGAGGCCACGCCAGGCAGATCACCTGAGGTCAGGAGTTCGAGACCAGCCTGGCCAATATGGTGAAACCTCATGTCTACTAAAAAGACAAAAATTAGCCGGGTATGGTGGCGGGTGCCTGTAATCCCAGATGCTCTGGAGGCTGAAACAGTAAAGTCCCTTGAACCTGGGAGGCAAAGGGTGCAGTGAGCTGAGATCATGCCACTGCATTGCAGCCTGGGCGACAGAGTGAGACTCCATCACAAAAAATAAACAAACAAACAAACAACCACAATAAAGCAGACAAAGGCATTCCAGACTCTCAGCGGCCCATCTTTCCAAGCTTCCCTGCTTCAGAATCAAAACCAGAGGAAAAAGAGACAGTGATGAGCCAACAGTGTTCACCGTTTCCTGTTTGGAGTCACGGATCCCTTTGAAAATCACCTGAAAGATCCTCTGGACTAAGGAAATAGTCTTAGCTCTGTATCCCAAGTTTTCTTTAAGGAAGTAGCAAGTACGCAACTGTACTGATCATGTAGCACTGATGTAGAAAGCACTTTTGGAAATGGGCTGAAAACCCTCTGAAAATTGTAAGGCAGACAGAAAGAATCCCCACCTTTGATCTCTTTGTGCCTCAGTTTTCTCATCTGCAAACTGGGGATAATAAGAGTGACTTACCTTTCAGGCTGCTAAAAGGATTATGAGACTTAACATGTGAAACTATTAGAGGGCGGGTCTGTATTAGATGAGTTAAGTGCTCAAAAGATGTTAGCTATTAACATGACTGCAGTGATGTCTGTTATTGCACTGGGAGAGCTGCAAATTCCCTGAAGGCAACCTCTCACTCTCCAAGGTGGCTGTGCTCTGCATCGGGTAAGGTAGGGTAGGGTGGGAAGATGGAGGGCACTTACGTTGACCTGCTCCTCGCAAATATCTTTAGCCTCCTGCAGCGAGATGAGAACAAAGGCCGTGAGGGCCATGTCTTTCTCGTTGTTGTTCCGTAATCCACCCTGAGATAGAGAGCAGAAAGCAAGGATGGGGTCACCGGTGTGTCCACACATGGCAGTCATCCCCCCTTGCAGATTCAGAATCAGGGGGTCTGGGCAGGGCTGAGTCTCTTCTAGGTGTTACCCCGCTACCCTAGGAAGGTCAAACTTCTTAGTATTAATTCATGCAACAATTTGTTCCTTCTGCAAATGTCAATGTACAATGTGCAATGTACAATGGGTACAACGGTCTGATCCATTGTAAAACCAGACACAGGCTCTAGCCCTCACAGAGCTTTTGTCTAGTAGGGAAGATGGACATGGTCCATCCAGCTCCTCAAGAGATATACACTTTTTTTTTTTTTTTTTGGGACAGTTTTGCTCTTGTTGCCCAGGCTGGAGTGCAATGGCGCAATCTCGACTCCCTGCAACCTCCGCCTCCTGGATTCAAGCAATTCTCCTGCCTCAGCCTCCGAAGTAGCTGGGATTACAAGCATGCACCACCACACCAAGCTAATTTTTTTGTATTTAGTAGAGATGGGGTTTCCCCTGTTGGTCAGGCTGGTCCCGAACTCCTGACCTCAGGTGATCCACCTGCCTCGGCCTCCCACAGTGCTGGGATTACAGGCATGAGCCACTGCGCCCAGCCAAGAGATATATACTTATAAGTGGATGAGTTCTGTGCAAGGGAAAGAGGACATCGCAGCGATAATGAACTGTGGGAGTGTGACCCAGTTGGGGAGGTCAGAAAAAGTGTCCCTGAGGGAGTCAACTCTCACAGACGGCAGGGATTAGCATACTAGGTGGCAGAAACAGCATGTGCAAAGGCCCTGTAGAACAATAGAGCAAGGCTCCTATCAATGGATGGAGCCTGGAAAGAAAAGAAAGGCTGGAAGTCTGGAAGCCTGAAAGGTGAGACTGAGGCAGTGATTCTCCATCTCAAGCACACATTAGCATCACCTGGAGGAATGCGGGCACTTTTAAAAACTCAGATTCCTAGGCCGGGCGCGGTGGCTCATGCCTGTAATCCCAGCACTTTGGGAGGCCAAGGTGGGCGGATCACCTGAGGTCAGGAGTTCAAGACCAGCCTGGCCAACATGGTGAAACCCCGTCTCTACTAAAAATACAAAAATCAGCTGGGCATGGTGGAGCGGGCACCTGTAATCCCAGCTACTGAGGAGGTTGAGGTAGGAGAATTGCTTGAACCTGGGAGGTGGAGGTTGCAGTGAGCCAAGATCGGGCCATTGCACTCCAGCCTGGGTGACAAGAGCAAAACTCCATCTCAAACACACACACACACACACACACACACACACACACACACACACACACTCACACCCCTCAGATTCCTGGGTCCTGCCCCTAGAATTTCTGATTCAGTGAGTCTGGGGTCCGGTCTCAGAATATGTTTTGTTTTTGAGACAGGGTCTCACTCTGTTATCAGCCTGGAGTGCAGTGTCATGATCATGGCTCACTGCAGCCTCGACCTCCTGGGCTCAAGCCATCCTCCTGCCTCGGCCTCCCAAAGCGCTGGGATTACAGGCATGGGCCGTCGAGCCCAGCCACAGAATGCACATTTTTAGTAAGTCATGGGTGCTGTTGCTGCCGCTGGTCTGAGGATCACACTTCGAGAACCAGTGCTCGAAGGAGTTTTGTGTTTAAGTGCCACAGGGGGAGCCACGGGACTTTCTAAGAACTGATCCAGCTGGATTTGAAAAAATCACCCCAACTGCTATGTGGTGAGTGTCTGAGAGCCAACAAAAGTGGGAGGCCACCAGGATGATGACCAGGAGGTGGTTTCTACAAGGTCTCCAAATAAGGAGGGGCGGGGAGAGTGTTGCTTGGACCAGGGGCTGGCCATAAGGATGGAGAGAAGGAGGTGATTCTTATAACATCATGGGAGAATGCAGGTGTTGATGGATTGAATGTGAGAAAGGGATTCCCAGGCAGGACCCCTGCACTTGGTTTAATGAAATTCTTAATAATTTCTGAGCGAGGGGCCGTGTCTCTTCATTTTGCGCTGGGCTTCGCAGGTCTCTGGTTTTTGCAATGCTGGAGTGACGCCTCTGGCTCATATATCTGCCTGCCCCCACCCCCCAGCCCAATCTTTGCAAAGGGAATTGGGCAGTGGGCACATGGAGGTGGGGCTCTCTCTCGTGTTCATCCTGCGAGACTCAGGAGCCCCTCTCTTCCATTTTGCCCTAAATCCCAGCCTCTTACAATCATTTCTTGGTGTATCACGGGCGCATCCTCCTGGAAGACCCCGTCGGGCTTCTGCTTCTCCAGGATCAGCCATTTAACAGCCCCGCAGAGGACTTGGGAGTCGATGGCGATGAGGTTGACAGCCAGAGAGAAGACCTTGACCACGTAGGCGGTCAGCCTGGAGTGGGCACAGAGCATGAGCCAATCGGCTCTGAGATCCAGAGACTGCCATGTCAACCAGCCAATGAGCGTGGGGGAGGGACCAGGGCCTGGCCCAGTTTGCCTGGTTTGCCTTCCCAGGCCCCAGGACCCAGCTGTTGTATGCGGTCCGTGCTTAAGGATGCTTAATGACCGCCGGCCACTCAGCCAGCGCTTGCCTGGACTCTGCAGGTCCAGGGCTGTTTGGGCAAGGCTGGCCTAAGGGACCACCCCTGGCCAGGGTCCGGGCCCTGCTGGGGGTTGAGGGTGGGGAGTATGCATGGCCTGAGCTGGCTGTTGGGACTCACCAGGTGCTGGGTGCCCGTTTCACGAAGGCCGCAAAGGCAGAGCTGGGTTGTCTGAAGGCCAGCTGCTGGGTGTACCCTGCAGAGAAGAGAGAGGAACCCCCAAAAGAGCCGGGGCTGAGCAGAGGGGGCACGCCAGAAAGGGCAGGGGCGGGGTGCAGAGAGGGGACAGGGGCTCAGGGTGGCGGAGGGGTTCTGGGAGGAGGGGACCTTAAAAAGGGAAGGACTCAAAGAGGGTGGGGGATCAGAACGAGGAGGTGGAAAAGTTCTCAAGAGGACAAGGGATTCAGAGAGGAGAAGGATATTGAGGGTGGGGGGCTTTCAGGGAGGGGAGGGCTCTCAGAGAGGGGGTGGAGTCTCAGGGAAGAGGCATGGCCTGGAGAGGACGTGGGGCCTCAGATGAGAGTGGCTGGGACAGGAGGTGGCGCCTCACAGAAGGGTGTGGCCTTGAGAAGATGTGGGGACCCAGGGGATGGGCGTGGCCTTGAAAAGAGGCAGGGTCTCGAGATTCTGGCCTGGGAGGAGTCAGGGCCTCAGAGGGCGTGGCCTTGAGAAGAGGTGGGAGGCCCTCAGGGGATGGGCATGGCCTTGAGGAGAGGCGGGGTCTCATGAAGAGCCTGGCCTGGGAGGAGTCAGGGCCTCAGAGGGCGTGGCCTTGAGAAGAGGTGGGGGGCCCTCAGGGGATGGGCATGGCCTTGAGGAGAGGCGGGGTCTCATGAAGAGCCTGGCCTGGGAGGAGTCAGGGCCTCAGAGGGCGTGGCCTTGAGAAGAGGTGGGGGGCCCTCAGGGGATGGGCATGGCCTTGAGGAGAGGCGGGGTCTCATGAAAAGCCTGGCCTGGGAGGAGTCAGGGCCTCAGAGGGCGTAGCCTTGAGAAGAGGTGGGGCCTCAAATGAGGGGAGTGGCTAGGAGAGAAGGTGGAGCCTCAGGGGAGGGCGTGGTCTTGAGATGAGGTGGGATCTTAGGGGAGGGATGCGCTCGGAAAGGGGTCCCTGGGGTCTCCAAGAGGGGCAGGGAGCCCACCCTTCTTGATGAGCTCCAAGGCCCCCTGCCGCTTCTCTAGGCCGAACTTCTCCCACTGCTCCGTTTCATCCAGGTAATGCACAGCGATGACCGTGGGCGTCATGCCGATCATGTTCTGTTCCCCGCAGCCCGAGGGGGTCACAATGAGGTGCTTCAGCCGTTCCGCGTCGACGGCATCCTCTGTCATCTGGGCCACTGGGGTCCCTGCAGCAGGTGGGAAGAGGACGTTGCTCAAGCCAGGTGGGTGACCCACCTTGGGGTGGCGTGAAAAGGGTTCCAGCCTCCCAACCAGCCAGGGCCAAGGGGTTAGGGACAGGCGAGGACTGGGGAGGATGTGACTGCGGGGAGGGGAGGCTGCATGGCTGAGTGGCTGTTCGGGGGTCTGCACTGTTAGGAGTGGGAGGTGCTTCACAGGGGCACCCTGGTCCTTGGGTCTCATTTCACCAGCAGTAAAATAATTCCAGTAACAATATTCAGGAATACTTATATCACGCTTAATGTTACTTTCCAGACTGTTCTAAGAGAATACCATAGAGTGTCTCACTTAATAGTCAACGAGGCTGGGCGCCGTGGCTGAAGCCTGTAATCTCAGCACTTTGGGAGGCTGGGGTGGGTGGATCACCTGAGGTCAGGAGTTCAAGACCAGCCTGACCAATATGGTGAAACACCGTCTCTACTAAAAATACAAAAATTAGTGGGCATGGTGGCGGGCGCCTGTAGTCCCAGCTACTTGGGAGGCTGAGGCACAAGAATCACTTGAACCCGGGAGGCTGGGGTTGCAGTGAGCCGAGATCACGCCACTGCACTCTAGCCTGGCGACAGAGTGAGACTCCGCCTCAAAAAAAAAAAAAAAATCATCACACCAACCCTTGGAGGTAGATACTATTATTCTACCCCTACCAAAGGTGAAAAAACCAAGGCTCTTGCCCCAAAGCCTTATAGCTTACAGGTTGCAAGTCCCTTTCTTTCTCCAGTCTTCCCTCCTGGGGCAAGAAATGACCTCCAGAATTTCTGCTCTTGTACTATGTTGCTTGTCTTTTTGTTTGTTTGTTTGTTTGTTTTTGTTTGAGACAAAGTCTTGCTCTGCCGCCCAGGCTGGAGTGCAGTGGCCTGATCTCGGCTTACTGCAACCTACGCCTCCCACGTTCAATCGATTATCCTGCTTCAGCCTCCCGAGTGGCTGGGATTACAGGCATGTGCCACCACGCCCAGCTAACTTTTGTATTTTTAGTAGAGACAGGGTTTCACCATGTTGGCCAGGCTGGTCTCAAACTCCTACCTCAGGTGGTCTGCCTGCCTCGGCCTCCCAAAGTGCTGGGATTACAGGCTATTGAGTCTCATTTAAGCTGGTTTCCCATCTAAGAAGCACAGAAGGTCTAGAAAAATTAAAATAAACTGATGTATCAGCGAAAGCTCTTTGCTGAACTAAATGCTATCTGGAGGCTTCTATAAAACCGATCATAGCAAATAATATCTGTATGGTTAAAAAAATTTTTAGGCCGGGCATAATGGCTCATGCCTGTAATCCCAGCACTTTGGGAGGCTGAGGCGGGTGGATCACGAGGTCAGGAGATCGAGACCATCCTGGCTAACACGGTGAAACCCTGTCTCTACTAAAAATACAAAAAAATTAGCCGGGCGTGGTGGCGGGTGGCTGTAGTCCCAGCTACTCGGGAGGCTGAGGCAGGAGAATGGCGTGAACCCGGGAGGCGGAGCTTGCAGCGAGCTGAGGTCGCGCCACTGCACTCCAGCCTGGGTGACAGAGCCAGACTCTGTCTCAAAAAAAAAAAAAAAAAAAAATGTAAAAGAGGGAAAACAGATCACAGATGGGCTGTTCTAGCTGAAGGGGAAGAGAAAGGTGCGGGTTAAACACCTCCAGAATGAGATGGAATTTGGCTCCATCCATGCCCTCCTGGGACCCATGGGGTCGGGGTCAAGGGTGTCTCACCTTGCAGGAGAATTCTGGTCTCAGACTCGGTGTCCGGGACTTGGTCACTGAGGTCTGCAGGTGGGATGTCCTCTTTCTGCACTCCTTCTGCAGGGTGAGTGAGAGATACCGATGGCTCTAGCTCCCTCCCGCCCTATCCTACCTCACTAAACCCAGGTCATTTACCCCCCTTACCCTGCCAGCCCCTCAGCCCCTCCCCCTGCAGCCGACTCACCACGGCCCAGGCGTTCTGGATCCAGGGTGCGAACAGCCACAGTTTTGTTCATTCTGATTCCTTCCGGCTACGCAGTGTTAGAGGTGGGGGGAGTCGTTGGATGAATAAAAGAACAGACAGACACACAGATGGTCAGCAGGGCACTGTCCTTAGGATCACCCTAGCATTGCCGGGCGCGGTGGCTCGTGCCTGTGATCCTAGCACTTTGGGAGGCCGAGGTGGGTGGATCACGAGGTCAGAAGATCGAGACCATCCTGGCTAACACAGTGAAACCCTGTCTCTACTAAAAATACAAAAAAATTAGCCGGGCGTGGTGGCTGGCGCCTGTAGTCCCAGCTACTCGGGAGGCTGAGGCAGGAGGATGGCGTGAACCCGGGAGGCGGATATTGCAGTGAGCTGAGATCGCGCCACTGCACTCCAGCCTGGGGAACAGAGTGAGACTCTGTCTCAAAAAAATAAACAAACAAATAAATAAATAAATAAAAAATTTCAAATCGAGTATAAAAAAATTATTGATTGGTGATGGTCGACGAGGTTTTTGGCACCACCTAAAATTCTAAGCCTGGGGTCATCTCACTCACTTTACCCCAATCCTGGCTCTGCTTCTGAAATTCTGGGACTTCCAAATTTCCTAAGCTGGACACTATGATTCTTAGTGTCTCAGAGCCTGGATCTCCAACCTGAGTCAATAGTACGAAGACCAGGAGCCCTCTCTGAAGGACAAGGGTTTGTGGGTGCCCCAAGCACTCACCACGACCTTCAGGGACTTCCTGACACCGTCACTGATGAAATGATGGTAGACAGCAGCCTTGACTTCCACTTCCTGCAGGCCGGTCTTTAGCGGCACGATGACATATGGAACGGACAACGAGGACTTGGGGGGGATGGTTACGGTCTGCTGGTGACGCCTCTTGGTGGTGGCCAGGCTGCAGAAGGCTGGATTGTGGAGTAGTTCCACCCTCACCTGCCAGGGAGAGAAAGGATCCGGGCAAGTGTGTGTGCAACAGGCTACCTACCCCCTGGCAGCCTCCAAGAAGCCTCTGCCACCCCGGGACCCACCTTGAGCTCTTGGTTCTGCCGGTAATTGTAGAGAACGGCTCGGATTTCCACCTGCTCGTTTCGAACAACAGAGTAGGGTAGCCGCAGGTCGATGAAGAAGTCCTGCATTACTGTGACCTCGAAGGGGTCTGCCACACAGATCCCTGCTCGGGCAGAGACAGAACACGGAGTGTCAAGGTCGGGGAGTGGACAAGGCCAGGCTCCTGGGTCTCAGCTCTTAGTCCACTCCGCAGGAGCTCTCCCTAACTCAGCCTGTCTTTGCTGAAGCCTGTGAACTAAACGCTGTCAATGGCGACAAATGACAGATGATGATGGTGGTGGCTGGGAGTTACCATTATTTATTATTATTATTATTATTATTATTATTATTATTATTAATTATTTGAGACAGAGCAAGACTCTGTCGCCAGGCTGGAGTGCAGTGGCGCCATCTCGGCTCAACGCAACCTCCGCCTCCTGGGTTCAAGCAATTCTCCTGCCTCAGCCTCTCGAGTAGCTGGGACTGCAGGCACGCACCACCATGTCCAGCTAATTTTTGTATATTTAGTAGAGATGGGGTTTCACCATGTTGGCCAGGATGGTCTCGATCTCTTGACCTCACGATCCACCCGCCTCAGCCTCCCAAGTGCTGAGATTACAGGCGTGAGCCACTGCGCCTGGCCGGAGTTACCACTATTTAATGATTTACATTCTGTTTGTAGTTTGACTCAGAGATCTACGTGTAGGGAGGAAGAGAAATCTCCAAAATATATCTGCTTGTCTGATATGGTAGCCCCAAGCTGTGGGGGAGCGCTGAGCACTTGAAATGGGGTTTGCCTGAGTGAGAAACTGGATTTGTACTTTTATTTGATGTACTTGTATTTAAATGTATTTAATTTAATTCAGACTTAAACTTTAAACCTGATGATCTAGCTAGGTGCGGTGGCTCATGCCTGTAATCACAGCACTTTGGGAGGCTGAGGCAGGAGGATTGCTTGAGCCCAGGAGTTCAAGGCTGCAGTGAGCTATGATCGCACCACTGTGCTCCAGCCTGGGCAACAGAGTGAGATCCTGTCTGTAAAACCAAACCCAATGAAACAAAACAAACAACTGATGCTCATTTTAAATATATGAAACACCACTGAATTATATATTTTATTATTTTTTATTTATTTATTTTTTGAGATGGGGTCTCGCTCTGTCACCCAGGCTGGAGTGCAGTGGCGTGATCTTGGCTCACTACAACCTCTATATCCTGGGTTCAAGCAATTCTCCTGCCTCAGCCTCCTGAGTAGCTGGGATTACAGGCACCCACCCGCATGTCCTGCTAATTTTTTGTATTTTTAGTAGAGACAGGGTTTCACCATGTTGGCCAGGCTGTTCTCCACCTCCTGACCTCAGGTGATCTGCCTGCCTGGGCCTCCCAAAGTGCTGGGATTACAGGTGTGAGCCACCGTGCCCGACCTGAGTTGTACATTTTAAAAGGGTGACATATAGTAAGTGAATTAAATCTTAATTTTTTAAAAATGATGATTGAGTGGAAAACGTTTAAGTATTTTTGCAACTACTTGAGTATGAGGATCTACCTTTTCTTTCTCTTTTCTTTTCTTTTCTTTTTTTTTTTTGTAGAGACGGGGCTTTGCCATGTTGCCCAGGCTGGTCTCAAACTCCGACCTCAAATGATTTGCCGGCCTCAGCCTCTGAAAGTAATGGGATTACAGGCTTGAGCCTTTGCACCCGGCCTGAGAATCTACCTTTTCAACTGTAAATTTTATGAAACCTAAAATACAGATCAAAGTATTTCCAGTGAAAACCTAGCATCCTGCGCTGGGCGCGGTGGCTCACGCCTGTAATTCCAGCACTCTGGGAGGCTGAGGAAGGCAGATTGCTTGAGGCCAGGAGTTTGAGACCAGCCTGGCCAACATGGTGACACCCTGTCTCTACTAAAAAAAGAAAACTTAGCATCCTGTTTACACCACTGCACTCCATCCTAGGTGACAGAGCAAGCTCCTGTATCAAAAAAAAAAAAGAAAGAAAATCTAGTATCCTAAATGAGATGCACTGAATTGTAAAACACATGCTGGATTTTGAAGACTTAGTGCAAACAGAAGTAAAATATATCATCAGTAATTTTGATATACTAGTAGATTATTATCAAATATTAAAAGGTTATAGTCACATTATTAGTGGGTTGTGGTTTTGCAACTTTTTACAAAATGTTGAAATGATACTATTTTGGGTATATTTAAATTAAATAGAATGTTTTGTAATAAGTTATGATATGGTATAATTATAGATATGTAATCAATAATAAATGATACATCATTTATATTATATATCTAATAAAATATACATTATATATGTTAACATGTCAACAATAACAAATGACATATTAGTAGTAAATTATAATTATACATTACAACAAAATTAAATTATAATAAATTATGGTTTATTATAATGTATTAAATTATAATGAATTATGGTTTATTATAATTCATTAAATTATATTATAATTAAATTTCTTATAAATTATAATACATATTATATGTTTACATAATATATTACATGTGTAATATGTATATATTACATATATATTATATATGTAATATACAATATATAATATATTATATATGTAATATGCAACATATAACATATTATATATGTGATATGCAATATATATTATATGTAATATAACATATTACATGTAATATGTAATATATGATATATATGTAATATGATATATTATATATGTAATATATGATATATATGTAATATGATATATTATATATGTAATATATGATATATGTAATATGATATATGTAATATATATGTTATATATGTAATATATAATATATGTAATATGATATATTATATATGTAATATATAATATATGTAATATGATATATTATATATGTAATATATAATATATGTAATATATGATATATTATATATGTAATATATAATATATGATATATTATATATGTAATATATAATATATGATATATTATATATGTAATATATAATATATGATATATTATATATGTAATATATAATATATGATATATTATATATGTAATATGTGGTATGTTATATATGTAATATGTGGTATATAATATATTGCATATGTAATATGTGATATGTAGATATGAAATATATTATGTAATATATAATTATATATTATAATTATAAACATTACAATTAATAAATATATAAATAAATATTATAATTAAATTTATTATAAATTATAATAAACCATATAAATTATGGCTGGATGACCGAGTGAGACTCCTTCTCAAAAACAAAAGAAAGAAAGAAAAGCATCAATTTTAGAGACTGTACCCCCACCCTGTCTAGCTTTTGACACTGTTAGAGTAGGCAGATAGGCGGAAATGAGCAGGCAGGGGAGCTTTCTGGGAAAAGAAGTCCCAGACAGGCTGCCTACTGACAGCGCTGCTCACTGGCAGTCAGCGAAAAGGACGATGGCTACTTTAGCTACACATGGCCTTGTGGTTGGGGTCCTCTGGCCCTGAAGGGGACTTATCAGGTCCTAGCTGGAAATAACTTTGCTAGGGATTTTCCCCGATGATGAGCATGTGCACTGCTCCGAAAACACCCTAGAGTTGTGTTTTGCTCATTATCATAGTAAAAAACACACCTCTGGGTGGAGATTTTCGATGCTAATGAGACATGCCACGTGCATGCTAGTACCTACAGCCACAGAGCCTGCTCGCCCAAAGAGACCTCCCAAAACATGCTTACAAGTGACACCCACTCACGCCCCTTCACGAAAAATCATGTAAGAGTCTCATAAAAAGAGTCTACCAGCAGTATCTGCTGCTGGCTCGTTCTGTTGAGCAGCCATGTCTGTGTCGTCTTTCAGAGCATACGGTCACTTTTTATTTATTTAGAGAAGGAGTTTTGCTCTTGTTGCCCAGGCTGGAGTGCAGTGGCACAATCTCAGCTCACCGCAACCTCCACCTCCCGGGTTCAACCAAATCTCCTGCCTCAGCCTCCCGAGTAGCTGGGATTATAGGCGCCCGCCACCCCCTGCCTGGCTAATTGTTTTGTACTTTCAGTAGAGACGGGGTTTCACCACGTTGACCAGGCTGGTCTTGAACTCCTGACCTGAAGTGATTCCCCTGCCTCAGCCTCCCAAAGTGCTGGGATTATAGGTGTGAGCCATCGAGGCTGGCCCTGTCTCTTTAAATAAGCATTGCTACTACTATTTTTCCAGGGGGACCAGCCCAGAGCTGTTTCTTCCTTCAATAAACTCTGCTACTTAACCCTTGCTATGTGACTCTTGGCTGAATTCTTTCTTCCAAGTTAGACAGGAACTAAGGATTCCCACAGTTCCTGGTAACAACACCTCTGTGGTAACCAGGGCAGAGAATAAAGTGCCAAGAAACATAGGGTTGATTGAGTTTGGATAAAATGAGATGACACTCAGACACCCTGGGGTCCCTGCCTCCCGGGGACCAGCCAGCATCCTCTCTCACCTTTCTTGTCCGACATGCTCACAGCCAGAATCTCCCACGTGGTGATGGAGTCTTTCAAAAATATATTCATGAGCTTCGTAGAGATTCTGGATGGAGAAGAGGTTGGGGTATTAGGAGATGTCATCTAGCAGGGTGGTAGAGGGGAAGAACTGGTGCAGAGGGACCCCAAGGGACAGGCTGGAAGGGTCTGGGGGTGCCTCCATGTAGGTCACCCAATTCCTGATTTTTCTAGGTTGGGCTGTGGGGTTGCACTGTGATTCCAGAGAAGACCAGAGATAGCAGGTGCATGCAAATTAAACGGTCTGACTCTGGGGTGGGTTGTACCGGGGGTACCCCGGCCTTACCCATTTTTCGGTGGCTCTTTCAAGTCCTCAACGTTCCACAGCCAGCTCTCTGGGAACTCACTTCGGGAAACGATGTTCTCTTCTGCAATGATGTCCTCATCCAGGTTACCTGCAGGGGGTTTAGATCTGCATTTAGAACAGAGCAGGCCAGTTGCCATGGCTCATGCCTGAAATCCCAGCACTTAGGGAGGCCAAGGCAGGTGGATCACTTGAGGCCAGGAGTTGGAGACCAGCCTAGCTAACATGGTGAAACCCATCTCTACTAAAAATACAAAAATTAAGGCTGGGCACGGTGGCTCACCCCTGTAATCCCAGCACTTTGGGAGGCTGAGGTGGGTGGATCGCTTGAGGTCAGGACTTTGAGACCAGCCTGGACAACATGGTGAAACCCCATCTCTACTAAAAACACAAAAATTAGCTGGGTGTGGTGGCGCGTGCCTGTGATCCCAGCTACTGTGGAGGCTGAGGCAGCAGAATCACTTGAACCCAGGAGGTGGAGGTTGCAGTGAGCTGAGATCACACGACTACACTCCAGCCCAGGCGACAGAGACAGACTCCATCTGAAAACAAAAACAAAAAACAAACAAAAAGAGAGCCGACCTACTTCCTCAGCGGTCACACCTTTAGATCCTACCTCTGCCCAGGAGGGATTCCTAGCAGTGAAATACATCCCGGACATGGAGGACTTCAGGATGAATTTTCACGAGCCCCAGACACATCTGCCTTGGGAACTTCTTCTCCATAAAAAGAACTAAAAATTATATCCCACAAATGTACTGGTATAAGGACATATACAATGCAGACTGGATTATAGTCATTCCTTTCCCTTTGATTTTTAAAGAAACGAAAGCATTTGGCCAGGCACAGTGGCTCACATCTGTAATTCCAGCACTTTGGGAGGCCGAGGCGGGTGGATCACTTGAGGTCAGGAGTTCGAGACAGCCTGGCCAATGTGGCAAAACCGCGCCTCTACTAAAAATATGAAAATTAGCCAGGCTTGGCAGCGGGCACCTGTAGTCCCAGATACTCGGGAGGCTGAGGCAGGAGAATCGCTTGAACCCGGGAGGCAGAGGTTGTAGTGAGCCAAGATTATGCCACTGCACTCCAGCCTCGGTGACGGAGTGAGACTCCATCTCAAAAAAAGATAATAATAAAAGAAAGCAAGCATGTGCATGTGGCTCTAAAGGATCACCGTCCCGAGAAACCGTGTCTGCTTCCTCTGAGGGATTTGTCCATTCTGAACATGACTAGGTGAGCTGAGAACATTCCCAGACCTGGTGCAGAACACTGAAGAAGCGGTGGCCTTTAAAAACCACCTAATACAAAAATTAGCTGGGTGTGATGGCATGCGCCTGTAATCCCAGCTACTCGGGAGGCTGAGGGATGAGAATCTCTTGAATCCAGGAGGCGGAGGTTACAGTGAGCCGAGACTGCGCAACTGCACTCCAGCCTGGCGACAGAGCGAGACTCCCTCTCAAACAAACAAACAAACAAACAAAAAACAAAGAAAAAAACACAAAAAAAATCTCGATAGGCTGGATGTGGTGCTATCATCCCAGCGCTCTGAGAGGCCAAGGTGGGAGGATGGCTTGAGCCCAGGAGTTTGAGACCAGCCTGGGCAACACACTGAGACCCTCTCTCTACAAATAATAATTTAAAAATTAGCTGGGCATGCTGGCATGCACCTGTAGTCCTAGCTACTCAGAAGGCTGAGGATGAGACAGAAGGACTCCTTGAGCCCAAGAGGTTGACGCTGCAGTGAGCTGTGATCGCACCACTGCACTCCAGCCTGGGCGAAAGAGCAAGATCCTGCCTCTAAATAAATATATAAATAAACAAAAACAGCTTGACACTACCAGCAAGTAAATGAAATTGGACTGGACTAGGCTTTGACTCAAACTGCACTTTCCTCAAACATGATAGACAGGCTTTAATTGGGTTCTGGATCTCCATAACAACAAAGTAGCTGGAATCCCTTAAAAAATATATATATTTTAATATTTTTCAGCCAGGCACAGTGGCTCATGCCTGTAATCCCAATACTTTGGGAGGCGGAGGCGGGCAGATCCCCGAAGGTTGGGAGTTCGACACCAGCCTGGCCAACACGGTGAAACCTCTTTTCTACTAAAAATACAAAAATTAGCTGGGTGTGGTGGCAGGTGCCTGTAATCCCAGCTACTTGGGAGGCTGAGGCAGGAGAATCACTTGAACACGGGAGGCGGAGGTTGTAGTGAGCCAAGATTGCACCACTGTACTGCAGCCTGTGTGACAGAGCGAGACTCCATCTCAAAAAAACAAATAATAATAATCTCAGCTACTCAGGAGGCTGAGGCAGGAGAATCGCTTGAACCCATGAGGTGGAGGTTGCGGTGAGCCGAGGTTGTGCCACTGTACTTCAGCCTGGGTGACAGAGCAAGATTCCATCTCAAAAAAAAAAAAAAAAGTTTTCGTCCGTACAAAGTCTCACTACGCTGCCCAGACTGCTCTCAAACTCCAGAGCTCAAGCGATCCCGCTGCCTCAGCCTCCCAAAGTGCTGGGATCACAGGTGTGAGCCACTAAGCCCAGCCCAAAGTAGATGGAATTCCTAAAAGAGATACCTGAATTTACTCACACTCTGGAATAATCAATCCAAGTGTCTTGGGATAGTAACATTTAGCCATTCTTTTTCTGACCCCCAATGGGCCAAAGGAATTACACAATTCTGGAGAAAAGTACAGCCCACCATCCATGTGGATGTAAACCATATTTCAGTAGACCAGACTTTTTGTCTAATTTTCCCAGTGACCCTCACACTATCGCCTCTTTGTGAAGGAGATCATTCTAAATTTGCTTGAATTTTTTCTTTTCATTTTCTTTTCTTTTCTCTCTCTTTTTTTTTTTTTCTTTTTTGAGACAGGGTCTTGCTCTGTTGCCCAGGCTGGAGTGCGGTGGTGTGATTTTGGCTCATTGACGCCTCCATCTCCTGGGTTCAAACGATCCTCCCACCTCAGCCTCCTGAGTAGCTGGGACTACAGGTGTGCACCCCCACACCCGGCTAATTATTTTATTTTATTTTTGTAGATATGGGGTTCTGCCATGTTGCCCAGGCTGGTCTCAAATTTCTGGACTCAAGCAATCCACCCTTCTCGGCCTCGCAAAGTGTGGGCATTACAGGTGTGAGCCACCGTGCCCGGCCAATTTTCTTTTTCCTTTCTTTTTTTGTTTTGTTTTGTTTTGTTTTTGAGACGGAGTCTTGCTCTGTTGCCCAGGCTGGAGTGCAGTGGCACAATCTCAGCTCACTGCAACCTAAACCTACCAGGTTCAAGCGATTCTCCCACCTCAGCCTCCTGAGTAGCTGGGATTACAGGCGCCTGCCAGCTCGCCAGGCTATTTTTGCATTTTTAGTAGAGACGGGGTTTCACCATGTTGGCCAGACTAGTCTTGAACTCCTGACCTCAAGTGATCCATCCACCTCGGCCTCCCAAAGTGCTGCGATTGCCGGTGTGAGCCACCATGCCCGGCCAATTTTCTCTTATTATAAGATAAATTTCTCTTTGTTTCACTTAAGACTTATTTCACGTGAGATCTAAAGTCTCACCTGATTCAAAAACTGAATGCATGCATGAATGAAGAAGGGCTGCCTGTTCACTCATCGAGTTTGGCAGGTCTTTCTGGAATGCCACACAAATTAGTTTTCTCTGGTGAAGCCAAACTTGGAACTCACCTTAGCTTTCCCATTGGTAATTAGTGTGTGACCAGCCCCATCATCTTTCTAGACTTTTCCCTCAGACCTCCAATGTCCTGGGCACTGGTGATGTCCAATTCAGACTGATGGGTGGGGCTGGGATGACCTTCCCAGGCAGGAAACTGCTCTGCCTTCAGGCAAGGGCCCTTCTCCCCATCAGACTAGGCCCTTCTCCTCCCTCAGGCCTGGGCCTCCTGGCTCCTCATCTGAAGGCCTCTGTCCCTTCCAGACAGGAGTGTCCCCTCCCCTCGGACGGGAGCCTCCTCCATCTCAGATGGGCATCTACGCTTCTCTGACTTGATCCTCCCCTCTTCAGACCTGGGTCTTCTCTACCTCACGCTGGCAGGGCATCACCTCATCGGCATCACCCTCAGACAGGGGCCTCCTCTCCCAACAGACAGAGGCCTCCTCCTACCCTCTCAGACAGCGGCATCCTCCCCCCTCAGACAGAGGCCTCCTCCCTCCTCAGACAGGGGACTCCTCCCCCCGAGACAGAGGCCTCCTCCTACCCCCTCAGACAGGGGCATCCTCCCCCCTCAGACAGAGGCCTCCTCCCCCCTCAGACAGGTACCTCCTCTCTCCTCAGACAGAGGCCTCCTCCCTCCTCAGACGGGGACCTCCTCCCCCCTCAAGGCCTCCTCCCTCCTCAGACAGGGACCTCCTCCCTCCTCAGACGGAGGTTTCCTCCCTCCTCAGACAGGGGCCTCCTCCCCCCTGAGACAGGGACCTCCTGCCCCCTCAGACAGGGGCCTCCTCCCCCCTCAGACAGCGGCCTCCTCCAGCCCCACCCCCACCAGACAGGGCATCCTCCCTCCTCAGACAGGAGTCTCCTCCCCCATCAGACGGCCCCCTCCCCCTGTCCCCACCCCGTGGGACCTACTCCTGGCCAGGCCCAGGTGGCTGGCCCGCGCGTGCTGCCGCCGCAGCTCTGTGATGTAGTTGCAGCAGTCCAGGAAGACCTTCTTGCACGCCTCGCCCAGGGAGATGAAACGGGTCCGGCGCTGGCACGAGAACCTCATGGGGTTCTCCCGCATGCCGTCCTCGCAGCACTTGCGCAGCTCCTTGGGGTACTTGCCGACTGCGGGAGCACGTGTTCCCCCAGGCCACACCCTCAGCCGGGGGCCGGCAGCAGGAGGGACGCGGGACGGACCCCAGGGAGGACTTCCCCGCCGCCAGGGCCTCCCCTCCTCCCTCTCTGGCTCCTGCACGGCCGGGCTGGGGTCTCCTGGGGTGGGGCTCGGGGGCAGGAGTGGGTAGGAAAGGCTCCCACCTTTGTCCATTCGCTTCTCCGTGAGCTGCACGGAACGGCGTCGGCGGGCGGCTGGCTGCGGGCACTGAAGTTCTGCAGGGCAGGCGGACCGAGAAGAAGATGGATGAGGCACCTACTAGGTGTCCTCGGTTCACCCCTCACGATCGTGTGAGGTGGGGGTGTTCCTGCTCCCATTTGATGGAAGAGCAAACTGAGGCTCAGAGGGGAGGGATTTACTAGGTGGTGGTGGAGGCGGGGCTTGAACCCAGGCCCCCGGTTTCCAGAGCTCTGCTCCCAGCATCTGGGAGGTGGAGGTGCTGTCTGTCCCTGCACCGGCCCCTGGTGGCGACCTCACCTGCCCTCTGGGCGGTCTGCTGGCCACTGCTGCTCGTGAAGGTCAGCCCTGCGTCGGAGAAGACACCGGCGTAATCCTTCCCACTGCCCGGGGTGCAGCCGATGTCTGCCTTCTCCACCACGTCCCAGATCTGCGGGGGGCATAGGGGTGGCGGGACGCAGGGAGGCCAGGCTGACAATTGGGATCCCCCACATATGCACCTGTGTATCTCTTCCCAAATGACCCCACCCTGTCCCACTCTCATCTCCCCCATTCCTGCTTCTGCCCTTCCTTTCTCTTTCTCTTTCCTTCCTTCCTTCTCTCTCCTTCCTTCTCTTTTTCTTTCTCTTTCTCACTCTCTCTCTTTCTTTCTTTCGAGATGGAGTCTTGCTCTGTCACCCAGGCTGGAGTGCAGTGGTGTGATCTCCGCTCACTGTAACCTCCAACTCCCAGGTTCAGGCAATTTTCCTGCCTCAGCCTCCCGAGTATCTGGGACTACAGGTGCATGCCACCATGCCCAGCTAATTTTTATATATTTAGTAGAGACGGGATTTCACCATGTTGGCCAGGCTGGTCTCGAACTCCTGACCTGAAATGATTCGCCTGTCTTGGCCTCCCAAAGTGCTTGGCCTCCCAAAGGGATTACAGGAGTGAGCCACCATGCCCGGCCTTCTTTTTCTTTTCTTTCTGTCTTCTTTCTTTCCCTTCCTTCCTCTCCCTCCCTTCCTCCCTCCATTCCTCCTTTCCTCCTTCCTTTGCTCCCCCTTTCCTTCCCTCCTTCCCTCCTTCCTTCCTTCCTTCTTTCCTTCCTTCATTCTTCACTCCCTCCCTCCCTTCCTCTTTATCTCCTTTCTTTTTCTTTCTCTCTGTTTCTCTCTCTCTTCTTTTTTTTTCCTCCTTTCTTTCCATTCTTTTTTTTTTTTTTTAAGTTGGGATTTTCCACTGTCTCCCAGGCTGGAGTGCAGTGGTGCAGGCATAGCTCACTGCAGCCTCAAATTCCTGGGCTCAAGCAATCCTCGCACCTCTGCCTCCTGAGCAGATGGGACTACAGGCATGCGCCATCATGCCCAGCTATTTTAAAATTTTTTCTGTAGAGATGGGGTCTTGCCATGTTGCCCAAGCTGGTCTGAACTCCTGGCCTCAAGTGATCCTCCCACCTTGACCTCCCAAAGTGCTGGGATTCCAGACGTGAGCCACCGCACCTGGCCTCCATTCCAAATCTTATCTCCATTTCCCCTCTGATTCCATCTGCATTCCCATCCTCACTCCTGATCCCAAGCCAACCCCATCTCCATCTTCGTCCCTACTCCGGAAACCTTCCCCACTGAATGACCCTGGGTGTGCTGCCACCAGCCTCTCAGGGCCCCAGTTGAAAGTGTCCAATTCTCAGCCGGGCGCAGTGGCTCACGCCTGTAATCCCAACACTTTGGGAGGTCGAGGCGGGTGGATCACAAGGCCAAGAGATCGAGACCATCCTGGCCAACATGGTGAAACCCCCGTCTTCACTAAAAATACAAAAATTAGCTGGGCGTGGTGATGGGCACCTGTAGTCCCAGCTACTAGGGAAGCTGAGGCAGGAGAATCGCTTGAACCTGGGAGGCAGAGGTTGCAGTGAGCCGAGATTGTGCCACTGCACTCCAGCCTGGTGACAGAGAGAGACTCTGTCTCAAAAACAAACAAACAAACAGAAAAAAAAGTCCAATTCTCAGGACCATCCCCAATTGGAACCCATGTCCAACCTCATTCCCATCTTCAGCTTCAACCATCCCTGTGTCTGGTCTGCTCCGATCTCTGCTTTCAGCGCATGCCCCCCACTGCACTGCCCTCTCCAGTCCCACCCACCTCCCCCAGCCCCAGCTCCGTGCCTCCGCCTCTTCTCAGCAGCCTTGGGTCACTGGCCCTTACCTTACTCTGCGTCAGTTTGTTCTTCTTATTCAGCACGAACACGCCCTTGTCCACGGCCACCAGTACCACCCGGGCCCCGTGGTCACCCTCTATCTTCAGGGTCATCTGCTGCCCAGGTACAGGCTGCCGGTCTTCTGACTGGCCGCTTTTTACCACCAGCTGTGGGGAGGGTGGAGACGCCGAAAGAAGTCAGCCCTGGGAGAGAGGAGTGCCTGGGATGGAGTGGGTGCTGGGCTAGAGTGGAAAGACAGAAAGGTTGGGGGGAGCCGTGGGGCTGGGGAGGGGGAGAGAGAGGGAGAGAGAGAGAAAGGGAGAGAGGGAGGGAGAGAGAGGGAGAGAGGGCGGGAGAGAGAGAGAAAGGGAGAGACAGGGAGAGAGACGGAGAGACAGGGAGAGAGGGAGAGAGACGGAGAGACAGAGAGAGGGAGAGTGAGGGGGGAGAGAGGGAAAGGGAAAGAGGGAGAGAAAGGGAGAGGGAGAGAGAGGGAAAGAGAGAGGGAGAGAGAGAGGGAAAGAGAGAAGGAGAGAAAGAGGGAGAGAGAAGGAGAGAGAGGGAGAGAGAGAAAGGGAGAGAGAGAGGGAGAGGGAAAGAGAGAGGGAGAGAAAGAGAGGGGAGAGAGAGGGAAAGGGAAAGAGACAGGGAGAGAGAAAAGGAGAGAGAGAGGGAGAGAGAAAAGGAGAGAGATGGAGAGAAAGAGAGATCGAGAGAGGGAGAGAGAGAAGGAAAGAGAAATAAAGAGAGAGGGAAAGAGAGATGTAGAGAGAGGGAAAGAGAGATAAAAAGAGAGACAGTTGAGAGACAGAGAGGGAGGAGAGAAAGGGAGAGGAAGAGAAGAGAGAGAAAGGAGAGAGAAAAGGAGAAAGGGAGAGAGAGAGAGAGAGGAGACAGGGAGAGAGAGAGAGAGAGAGGAGTAGGGAGAGGGAGAGGGGGCGAGCGAGCCCAGGGCACACTTACCGAGCCCACGCAGGAGTCCTTGACGTCCACCCACACGGAGTCGGCCACCACCTCCCTCTGGCCGCTGGCACCGATCAGCGTGTAGTACGCCACCAGGCGGAAGGAAGGGATGAAGTCGGTGGTGATGGACAGGGGCAGCACCACCAGGTCCTGGCCGGGCTCTCGCACCTGGCGTCCCGCCTTCAACAGCCTGCCCTTGTTCATGATCTGGGGGGACAGGCTGGCATCAGGCTGGGGAGGGTGAGTGGCAGGGAACGCAGGGAGGGATCCGGGATGGGGGAAGGAGTCCCAGGGGTGCGGAAGAAACAAGGAGGAGGCGGGGGCTGAGGTTTCCAGGTGGCCACGGACCAGGTAGGTGTAGTAGCGGATCTTGGCCTCGTGGGCGCGGTCCATTCGCAGGAGGAAGTTGACGTTGAGGGTCTCCCCGGGTCTGAGCTCTGTACGTAGCACTGAGAGATGCAGGTAATTGTTGGAGTTGCCCACGGTGCTGTAGGGCAGAGCCTGCATGGTCCTGGTAGCCTGCTCTGCCTCCGAGAGCTCCTGCTTCTTCGTGCGCACCTGGGTGGGGAAAGAGGGATGCCTGCTGGTCGCCGCCCGAGGATACCCACACCCGAATCCCTGAGACCTGGGAATTGGTGGCCTTTCTTAACAAAAGGGGCTTTGCAGATGGGATTAAGTTAGGGATCTGGAGATGGAATCATTATCCTGGATTATGTAGGTGGAGCTAATGTAATCATAAGGGTCTTTATTAAGCAGGGGCAGGGGAGAAAGGAGAGACAGAGACAGAGAGAAAGAGAGACACTGGAAGATGCTATGCTGCTGCCTTTAAAGGTGGAGGAAGGGGCCATGAGCCAGGCCTTTAGGGTGCCCTGGCGACACTGGAAAAAGCAAGGGAGCGAACTTTCCCCCAGAGCCAGGACTTCTGACCTCTCAAACTATAGACCCATAAATGTGTGTTGCTTTAGATCACTAGGCTGTGGCCATTTCTCATGGTAGCCACCGGAAATTCACGCACATGCTGAGCACAGGGAGGGGTAAGTGGGGTGCGCAGCCTGGGAGCTGCAGAGGGACTGGGAGGCCATCTGCAACCTCCGCAGCTGTCATGAGACTTGCTTCCCTCCCAGTGAGGGGCAACAGAGCCACGTGCACAGAAGCCAGGAGAACTGAGACCACCTCACAACAATGGGCCTGTCCCAAACACTACACAACCCTCCTTGTGAGATTCAGGCTCCTTCCCCCATGGGAGTGGAAAGACTGTGCGTGGATGGAGCGCCTCTCCGTGTAAGTGGAAGGAGCAGGGCATGCAAGAGGAAGATTCCTGTTTCCTCAAACTGCGGACCCCTCCATGCAGACGGCAGGACCCCACTGTGCAGGACAGAACCCCTCTAGGCAAATGAGAATGTCTATGCAAATGGCAGGACCCCACTGTGCAGGACAGAACCCCTCTATGCAGATGAGAGTATCTCTATGCAAATGGCAGGACCCCTCTGCGCAGGAGAGAACCTCTCTATGCAGATGAGAATATCTGTATGCAAATGACAGGACCCCACTGTGCAAACACCAGAACCCCTGTACCGTCTTCCCAGTGATGGGGTTCCGAGGCTGGGCCCAGACGCACCGTGATGCTCAAGGGCTTCTGGCTGGGGTGTGTGTTGATGCTGAGTTTGGCCACGCCATCTCCCTGGGTTAGAGACTGCACAGTGTCCTCGCCCTGGACTGCCACGGGGACTCGGTAGGCTGGAGAGCCATCAGGGTTCGTCACGAACACCTGTGATGTGGGGTGCAGGTGGGGGAAGTTCAGGCAGGCTCAGGGCTGTGGCCGGTGTCCCCGAAGGGAGGAGTGGGACCCCTTCCCGCCCCGGGTCTCACCATGAGGTCAAAGGGCATTCCTGGTTTGAAGTACTTGGGTGTCTTGGTGAAGTGGATCTGGTAGGGAGAGGTCACGATGGGGATCCCGCTGCGCTCTGCCTGCACCATGTCACTGCCTGAGGGGACCAGCTGTGAGTGTAGGCTTCTGGGCCACCCCTCAGGATTAGACCTCCTCCCTCAGAATGGACCCCAACTTCAGACTAGACCTCCTCCCTCAGAGTAGAGTCCACTTTCATACTGGGCCTGTGCCCCCCATCAGACTGGACTCCACCTTTATACTGGCCTTGCCTCCTCCATCAGACTGGCACAGACTTCATACTGGGCCTGTGACCCCCATCAGACCGGACCCCACCTTTATACTGGCCCTGCCTCCCCCATCAGACTGGACCCATCTTTATACTGGCCCTGCCTCCCTCATCAGACTGGACACAGACTTCATACTGGGCCTGTGCCCCCATCAGCCCGGACCCCACCTTTATACTGGCCCTGCCTCCCCCCATCAGGCTGGAATCCATCTTCATACTCGGCCTCCCCTCTCAGACTGGGCCTACCCCATCAGACTGAACCCCACTTTCACTCTGAGCCTCCCTCCTTAGACTAGGCTTTCTCTTCTGACCTGGTCTCCCCTCTCAGACCGGCCCACTTGGTGGTCCTGAGCCTGGCCTTCAGACTGGGCCTCACCTGAGTGCAAGATGACGGTGGCAGACACGTACAAAGACTTCCCCACCAGGTCTTCTGCTCGGGGGTTCTGCACCCCGTCCAGCAGTACCTTCCGGCTCAGCACAACCTCCCCCGAGCCATCCTCAATCTGAGAAGGGAGAGGAGGGCTCAGAGAGGGGAGCGGGCTCAGAGGTGGCGGGGACTGGGGCAGGGATCAAAGCGGCCTCCGTCTATGGTACCGGAATGCGCTTGAGGGATTCAGGCAGGGAAATCCTCTGTTCGCCATCCTGGATCCCGAAGATGACAAAGGCAGTTCCCTCCACTTTCTTCCCGTAGAGGAACCTACGGGACAGACAAGGAGGGCTTCAGGTCCATCCCTCCTGGAGAATGGGATCTCCCCCAGCTTCTCCTGCCTGTGCTGAAGACTGGAGCCCCCAACCCACTGCTGGCCTCTCACCTGGCCCCACCTCCAGCCCCTCACCTGGCCCCACCCCCAGCCCCCCACCTTGCCCCACTCCCACCCCCCACATGGTCCCACCTCCAGCCCCTCACCTGGCCCCACCCCCAGCCCCCCACCTTCCCCACTCCCAGCCCCCACCTGACTCCACCCCCCAGCCCCCCACCTGGTCCCACCCCCAGCCCCTCACCTTGCCCCACCCCCAGCCCCCCACCTTCCCCACCCCCAGCCCCCCACCTGACTCCACCCCCAGCCCCCCACCTGGTCCCATCTCCAGCCCCCCACCTGACTCCACCCCCAGTCCCCCACCTGGTCTTCACCTGGTCCCTCACCTGGCTCTTACCTGGCCCCACCCCCAGTCCCTCACCTGGCGGTGATGGTGACCTCCAGGCCCTTCTCGTTATAGATGTAGTAGAATTTCTCTGTAGGCTCCACTATGACCTCGAAACTGGGCAGCACTGGGGGAGAGATGGCGTTGGTGGGGCCGGCGCTGGGCCAGGCGTTCTGGGCACTGACTCCCCCCAGCCCCTCCTCCTCTTACCGTACTCCTTCACCTCAAACTCAGTGGAGAAGACCTGCTGTGGTGAGTTTTCATAGTAGGCTCGGATCTTCCACTGGCCCATGCTGTGAGGAGGGCGGATGAGTGGTCTCTCAGGCCTCGGAGCCCCCCTGCTCCCTCTCCGGGGATAGGGGAGCCCTGAGCCCCCTCCTCAAGAACCTGACATACTTGACGAGTTCCGGAATGTCCCAAGACAAGGGCAAGACGCCAAGCTGGTTCTGAGAAGACAAGGAGTCCTGCTTGACCGGGATGCCTTCCGGGTTCTGTGGGAGGCAGGAGGGAAGGATAGAGGATAAAGTGGCTCTTCGGAGGCTGGGCTTAGCCTCTCAGCTCTCCCCGACCTGTGTCTGGACATTCTCTGTGCACAGTGTCTACTGTGGTTAAGAACAGGGACCCAGGTGGGCGCAGCGGCTCACGCCTGTCATCCCAGCACTCTGGGAGGCTGAGGCGGGCAGATCACCTGAGGTCAGGAGTTCAAGACCAGCCTGGCCAACGTGATGAAACCCTGTCTCTACTAAAAATACAAAAATTAGCCAGGCATGGTGGTAGGCACCCGTAATCCCAGCTACTCAGGAGGCTGAGGCGGGAGAATCGCTTGAACCCGGGAGGCGGAGATTGCAGAGAGCCAAGATCACTCCACTGCACTCCAGCCTGGGAGACAGAGTGAGAGTCTGTCTCGAAAAAAAGAACAAGGACCGGAGTCAGTCAACCTTAGGTTTCAATCTCTACTGTGCCACTTACAAGCTGTGTGACCCTGGGCAAGTTACCTAACCTCTCTGTGCTCAATGTGCAAATCTTGAAACAGGAGATTATAATGGCACCTACTGTGTTGGCTTGGGACATAGTTCATATGAGTAGGGGCTCATTTTTTCAGTGTCTCTCTGAATACTAATAACTAGTAGTGTCATTTCATTTGCTGCCAACATTTAAACATCATGAGACATCATTGCACCACTGCACTCCAGTCTGGGTGAAAGAGCGAGACCCCATCTCAAAAAATAATGTATTAGGGCGAGCGCAATGGCTCAAGCCTGTAATCCCAGCACTTTGAGAGGCAGAAGTGGGAAGATTGCTCAAGGTCAAGGGTTCAAGACCAGCCTGGGAAATGTAGGGAGACTCCATCTCTACAAAAATTTTTTAAAATTAGCTGGATGTGGTGGCGCACGTCTGTGGTCCCAGCTACCCAGGAGGCTGAGACAGGAGGACAGCTTGGGCCCAGGAGGTCAATGCTGCAGTGAGCTGTGATTGTGCCACTGCACTCTAGCCTGGGCAACAGAATGAGACCCTGTCTCAAAAATAATAATAATGAATGAATGAATGAATAAATAAGTTTAAAAGAAATTGTACAGAGGTAACAGGGATCAGGCAAGTGGCATATCTGAAGGCCGTGAGCTGGCTTTAGGAATTAAAACATATAAAAATCTGTTTTTTTTTTGTTTTTTTTGTTTTTTTTTTTGAGACGGAGTCTTGCTCTGTCGCCCAGGCTGGAGTGTAATGGCGAGATCTCGGCTCACTGCAGGCTCCGCCTCCCGGGTTCACACCATTCTCCTGCCTCAGCCTCTCGAGTAGCTGGGACTACAGGTGCCCGCCACCACGCCCAGCTAATTTTTTTTTTGTACTTTTAATAAAGACGGGGTTTCACCGTGTTAGCCAGGATGGTCTCGATCTCCTGACCTCGTGATCTGCCCGCCTCCACCTCCCAAAGTGCTGGGATTATAGGAGTGAGCCACTGCACCTGGCCAAAAATCTGTTTTTCTAGCTTCTGTTGGAAACAAGGAAATTTCTGTGGATAGTGTACTCTGGTTAGCAGGAGACATCTAATTGGAGCTGGGCAACTGTTGTGCCTTTACAAGAGATGTGTGGTCTCTGTTCCCCACAGACCACATCAATCCCTAAATCTAGATAATTTTTACATTTTTTTTGTAGAGATGTAGTCTCCCTAGCTTTCCCAGGCTGGTCTTGAACTCTTGGCCTCGAGCAGTCTTCCCACCTCTGCCTCCCGAAATGTTGGAATTACAGGCTTGAGCCATTGCATTTGCCCCAATTATTTTTTGAGACAGGGTCTCACTCTGCCACCCAGGCTGGAGTGCAGTGGTGCGATCACGGCTCACTGCAGCCTGGAATTCCTGGGCTCAAGTGATCCTCCTGCCTCAGCCTCCTGGGGTAGCTGCAACCACAAGCAAGCACCACCACACACAGCTGTTTTTTTGTTTGTTTTTAACTTTTCTTTTTTGTAGAGACAGGGTCTGGCTGTGTTGCCCAGGCTGGTCTTGGACTCTTGGGCTCAAGCGATCCTCCCGCCTTGGCCTCCCAAACAGCTGGGATTACAAGTGTGAGCCACTGCACCTAGCCTTGTATGATTTCAACACATCCTCATGATAATTCTATGAGAACACCCTCCTTCCCCTTCTCTCCTCCCATCCTTCTCGCTTCTTCCAGTAAGTTTTTTATTAAACCCAACTATATACCAGCATTGTGCTGAGTTCAGGTGACAAAACCCTCAACAAACATAACAATTCCTTCCTGGAGGGATTTAGGTTCAATAGAGGGCGAGGCGATGGGAGAAGCAATTATCAAATGAATAAATCTCATTTGCAGGACATGGCAGGAAGGAGGAGTGTGTGTAGCGGGGAGGGGGGACGCTCAGGGTGGGTATTTGCGACTTTATAGGTTACTCAGAGAGACCTCATTGTAAAATTGAGACATTGGTGACATTTGAGCAAAGACTTAAAGGAGGAGAGAGAACAAGCTGTGTGGATATTTGGAAGAAGAGGGTTTTCTTGAGAAGAGGGCACAGCCCGTGCCAAGGCGCCAAGGCAGGACTGCACCTGGGTGTTGGAGGAACAGGGAGGATGGCCCGTGTGGCTCCAGAAGAGTGAACGAGGGGGAGAGAGGGAGGAGGGGAGGGCAGGGAAGGGACAGGGCAAGGTGTGCAGGGCCTTGTGGACTGCAGGGAGGACTTGGGCTTTGACGCATAGGAAGGTGGGAGCCATGGAGGGCTGTAGGCAGAGCAGGGATGGGCCCTGACTCAGGTGCTCACAGGCGTCCTCTGGCTGCCGTCGGTAGAATAGATGACATACAATTATCCGTCATGATCCCGATATTCAGATAAGGTAACTGAGGCTCAGGGAGGTGAAGTGATCAGGGGTTTAACTGAAAGCAGAATCCACGGACACCTGCACTGCTCCCTGGGGTCTCCCTGGATCTCCACCTTGTCTCTCAGCCTGTGTGTGTGTGTGTGTGTGTGTGCGCGCCATATGGTGTATTGTGTGGTTGTGTGTTGGGTTGTGTGTTGTGTGTGCTATGTTTGTGTGCACTGTGTTGTGTGGTCGTGTATGTTGTGTGGTTGTGTGTTGTGTGGTTGTGTATGTTGTGTGTGTGTTGTGTTTTGTGTGTGTTGTGTGTGTTGTGTGTTGTGTGTGTTTGTGTGTGTTGTGTGATAGTGTTGTGTGGTTGTGTGTTGTGTGTGGTGTGGTTATGTATGTTGTGTTGTGTTGTGTGTGTTTTGTGTGTATTGCGTGGTTGTGTATGTTGTGTATTGTGTTGTGTGTGTTGTGTGTTGTGTGTGTGGTCATGCACGTTGTGCTGTGTGTATTGTGTTGTGTGTTGTGTTGTGTGTGTTGTGTGGTCGTGTATGTTGTGTGTTTGTGTGTGTTGCATTGTGTGTGTGCATTGTGTGTGCACATGTGTCTGCATATCTCTTTGCCTCTGTGTGTGTATTGTGTGCTGTGTGTGTGCATGTTGTGTGCTGTATGTGTGTGTGTTGTGTGGGTGTGTGTCTGCATATCTCTTTGCCTCTGTGTCTCTGCCACTGCACCCCTTCCGGTGTGTCTTTCTCTGTCTCTCTCGATCTCTTTGCCTCTCCTAAGCCTGTGCCCCTGCTTCCCCTGGGGCCCCCTCTGGCTGGCACCTCAATGTTGACCATGACCGTCCGGCCCACGGGTAGCAGCTTGTGGTTGACGGTGAAGATCCGATAGAGAACTGGGGAGAGACAAAGAGGCCTCGTGAGACCCTAGCCCGCCCACGCCGGTGCCCCGCCCTCTCCAGCCGCCCCCAGCCTCACCTGTGGAGCCAGGGGTGTAGATGGTCTTGTCTGTCTGGATGAAGAGGTACCCGCTCTGCAGGCTGACCAGCACCACCTTCTCCACCACTTGGGTCCCGAAGGTGGCCTGCACGGTCACGAACTTGTTGCGCCCCTTTTCTGACTTGAACTCCCTGTTGGCTGGGATCTAGGCGTGGGCAGGGCATTGTCAGGGGTCTGTTCCAAGGCCCCATGCCCACGGTCCAGCTTCCGGATCTTGGGCTGGGTCCCTCCTTGCCTGCCCATTATTCTTGGTCTTCCGAGGTGGCCGTTTTGGGGAGGGAGGGGCATGTGAAGGAGGTGCGAGGGGAGAGGGGGGACCAGGGAGGGAACTCAAAAAGAAGAGCTCACAAGGAGGAGAGAGCTTATAGGAGGAGGGGCTCAGAAGGGGCGGGGACTCAGAAAGGGAAGGGGCTGACATGGGAGGGGCTCAGAAAGGGGGAGGGACTCAGGTGAGGGAACTTAGAAAGTGATGGAGACTAAGAGGGGAGGAGTTCAGAAGAGGAGACTTCGAGGGGGAGGGGCTTGGAAAAGGAATTCAGTGGGAGGGACTTAGAGGGGGAGGAGACTCAGAAGGGGTGGAGTCTCAGAGAAGGGGAGGAACCTCAGAAGGGGTGGGGTCTCAGGGAAGGGAGGGACTCAGAAGGGGAGGAGTCTCAGAAGGGGTGGGGTCTCAGGGAAGGTCAGGGCTTAGAAGGGGAGGAGATTCAGAAGGGGTGGGGGGGGGTCTCAGAAAAGGGAGGGGCTTATAAGGGGAGGAGACTCAGAAGGGGTGGAGTCTCAGAGAAGGGAGGGGCTTAGAAGGAGAGGCGACTCCGAAGGGGTGGAGTCTCAGGGAAGGGCAGGGCTTAGAAAGGGAGAAGACAGAAGGGGAGGGGCTCAGGAGGAGGGGGGGAGTGGGCGTGGCTGTGGGTGTCAGCCGGGTCCTGCGCCAGTCTGCACTCACCGTGAAGGTGACGTTGCCCATGTGGTTGGTGGCAGGGGTCAGCACAGTCTTCTCACTGGACAGCACTAGTTTTTTGCCTGGGAAGTCGTGGACAGTAACAGTGACTGGAACATCCCCTTGCGCGTCGTGGGCCTCCAGCACCATGGTCTCCTCGCTCTCCAGCCGCAAGATGTTGGGGGTGATGATAGAGTACCTGTCGGAGTGGGGCACGGGAGTGGGCTTGTCATTCCACGGATGTGAGACGCCAGTCCTCACTGGAGTCAGCGCCTGGCAGGCTGTGTGCCCCAGCCTCTGGTCCTGGAGAGGATCCAGTGACTGCCGGCGCACTTGCCAATGCCATTATCTTCTCTGGGCACTGCCACCGTCTCAACCACATGGGCAGGACAGCAGCCACCATGACTCCCACTCTCAGCCAGCTGGGCCTGGCCTTTGAAAGCCTGGGCAACGAGGGGGCCACACATCCCACCAAACCCTGAACCTTCCAACCAGCGTCAGCAACTCCTCCAAGTCTCTGGACTTCCAGACCCACAATCGCCTAAACCCACACATGCCCCAAACCCTAAACCTCTACCTCTCTAAACACTCCAAATATGTAAACACTCAAACTCCCGGACACCCTCAACTCTACCTACCCAAACCCACATACGCCAAAACCTCTAAACCTCAAATCTTAGAGCACCCCAAACCCAGCCTAAACCTCCAACACCCCAGTCCTAATAAATACAATCAATTCCAAATGCCCCAACTATACATGAACCCGAAGTAGCCAATCTTTAAACCCACACTGAAAATTGCAAGTCCCCAAGCTGCAAACTCCCAAATCTTGTAAAGTCCAAACCTCCGAGTCTCCAAACACCCCCAACCGCACCATCAATGAACACCACATACACCCTAAACCAACAGATGACCTCAATTCTAGAAACATCCCAAACTCCAATTCCACCATACCTGGATTCCACAAACACCCAACCCATAAACACCCAAACTCTCAGGCAGCCCAAATGTATATAAACTCCAATTCCACGATACCTGGATTCCACAAACACCCAACCACAAACACCCAAACTCACAGGCAGCCCAAATGTATATAAACTCCAATTCCATGATACCTGGATTCCACAAACACCCAACCACAAACACCCAAACTCACAGGCAGCCCAAATATATATAATCATTCCCAACCTGCTAACCCCTGAATCCACAAACACCCAAATGCACCCTGAATTCTACAGGGACCTGGACCCCCAAATGTCTGCTTCCACCCCAGAACCAGCCCTGTTTGTGGGTAGAGTCATAACCACTCACATGGGACTCCCCAGAGCCAGGGGGAGGTGGGTTAGTAGCAGGAGCAGCAGGCTGGGACCTGAGGTGGGTCCCATGGTGCTGGGACAGTGCAGGGTCAGAGGGACAGAGGGACAGAGGGAGAGGATGGGGAGGAGTGAGCAGCGCCTGCTGGAGCTGGCTTTTTATCTGGCTCCTGCCTTTCCCCCACTCAGCCCCCCCTTCTCCCCATGGCCTCTCCCCTTTTGGGGCTGCCCCAGATTTCTCAATACCATTTCCTAAGCTTTTCAGTCCCTGGGGCCAACATGTCCATGGGGTGAGTAACCTGAGGGCATGTTCCCCAGCAGCATGAATGCAGCTGCACCCTGCCCTGGACTCTCCCAGGGTCAGGGCCACCTGGTGAACACAGACCTTTCTCTGTTGGACCCACTTTGTAGTGGAAGAACACTAAGGTCTGGAGAACCCCCCACCGCAGATGTCTTGGACCTCATCCCCAGTTCACTTTTGGCCATGCGTTTATCAGTCGAACACTTCCTAGGAATCTCTCTGTAGGCTGGGAGTCAGAGCCCCACTTCCAGAGGCTTCCATGCTGAGGGAGGGGAAGTAGAATGGGGGAGGGACAGAGCCCAGCACAGAAACTCCCAGTTTCATGAAATGTTTTCTAGCTCATGTGCAGGGCAGGGAAAAAAAAGAAGAAGAAGAAATGTTTTCCCCAGTGAAATAGAACTCTGCTTCTTGGAGGGTCAGGGAAAACTTCCTGTAGGAGGGGACATTTCAGATGGGCTTTGAGGTATGTGCAGGAGTTCACTATCCAAGTGAGTTTATTTTCCAAGGAGGCTCCCCTCACTTACCCTTGTCAGGATGCCTGAGTGACTTTGGTGGTGAAAAAAGTCATCACTGAGGAAAGTCCTCATTTCTAGAGCTTTTGTACCTGTCTAATGTCAATATCCTCTTAGGATATTAAATTGTATTGTTTGTGTGTGTGTGTGTGTCTGTGTGTGTGTCTGTGTGTATAATATATTCATATTGATCAACATCTAAAAGGTACAAATGTGTATAGCAGTAAAGGTGGTCTTCCTCCCATCCCTGTTGACAGCATATTCTTTTTGTGTTTTCCTTTAAAAAAATTTTTTTTTCATTCTGTCACTCAGGCTAAATTGCAGTGGTGCAATCACAGCTCACTGCAGCCTCAACCTCCTGGGGTCAAGTGATCATCCTGGCTCAACCACCCAAGTAGCCGGGACTACGGGTGGCCGCCACCATGCCCGGATAATTTTTTTATTTTTGTGGAGATGGGGGTCCCACGATGTTGCCCAGTCCAGTCTTGAACTCCTGGGCTCAAGTGATCCTCCCGCAGCAGCCTCACAAAGTGCTGGTGTGAACTACTGTGCCCTGTGGACAGCACATAGCACATACTATTCTTCCTGGTCTCTTCAGTTAAATCTTGGGTTTCGTTTTGTTTCGTTTTTTCATGAACAATATACCTCAGAGGCTATTTCACCTCAGTGAGCAAAGAACTGCCTCATTCTTACAGGTTACAGGCCTCTTGTTATATTGTGAGAAAGTAACCAGCCTCCTACTTTTTGGGGGATATTTTGTTTGTTTGAGTGTTTTTTTTTTAGAGTCTTGCCCTGTCACCCAGGCTGGAGGGCAGTGGCGCTATCTCAGCTCACTGCACCCTCCACCTCCTGGGTTCAAACAATTCTCCTGCCTCAGCCTCCGGAATGGCTGAAATTATAGGTGAGCACCACCACGTCTGGCAATTTTTGTATTTTTAGTGGACAAGGGGTTTCACCATGTTGGCCAGGCTGGTCTTGAACTCCTGACTTCAAGTGACCCACCTACCTTGGCCTCCCAAAGTGTTGGAATTACAGGCGTGAGCCGCTGTGTCCAGCCACCAGCCTCTTCTTGATGGAGAGACTGACATCTGTGGCTTCACACCAGGCTCTCTGCAGTGAATAAGCTTGAACCTGCGTTATTTTCTAGCTCTGAAACTAGCTGTGATCTTTGGGTAAGCTACTGATTACCGCCCTGAGCCTCAGTTTGTTCATGGAAAAGGAAACCCTTACCACCTGCTTCATAGAGTTGTCGTTGCAATGAAAGGAAATATGTTGGGTCAATCTCTGAATGCACTGGTAATCTTGCTAGATATTGCCAAATTCCCCTGCACAGAAGTTGTATTGATTTACACACTTATGAGCCCTGCATGAAATGAATTGTCAGTTTCTTCCACAGCCTCATCACAAGGGCATGTTGATGAACTTGAAGATTTTTGCCAGCCTTATGGGTGAAAACTGGTACCCTGGTGTCATTTTTTTTGTTTTGTTTTGTTTTTTTAAATGGAGTCTTGTGCTGTCACCCAGGGTGGAGTGCAGTGGCGCCATCTCAGCTCACTGCAACCTCTGCCTCCTGGGTTCAAGTGATTCTCCTGCCTCAGCCTCCCAAAGAGCTGGGATCACAGGCATGCGCCACTACACCTGGCTAATTTTTTTTTTCTTTTATTTTTTATTTTTTGTATTTTTAGTAGAGAAAGGGTTTCGCCATGTTGGCCAGGCTGGTCTCAAACTCCTGACCTCAGGTGATCCGCCCACCTCGGCCTCCCAGAGTGCTGGGATTATAGAAGTGAGCCACCACACCCCGGCAGCCGGTGTCATTTTAACTGGCATTCCTCTGACGTTCTGCAGCATTGCTGCCCAGGCATACGAGGTGGATGGTGAGGGCAGGAGAAGGGTCTGTGGGTGGGGCCCCCTTATCCCTGGAGAGGCGGTTTCTGAAACCCCACTGAAGGGGTTAATGGGGAGTTTTCTCTGATTTCCTGTAAACCACATTCTTTTCCGTGCCAGGGGTAGGGGGAGGCGTGGAGCATGAGAACAAACCTGGCGTCTGTCTGCACTGATTGCGACACACTCTTTGGAAGAGGAGGAGGAGGAGGAGAGAGAATGAAAATACCTGCTTGCTCTCCAGAATTGGGGTTCAGCTTTTGAAACTGCATCCCCTTGCCAGGCGCAGTGGCTCACGTCTGTAATCCCAGCACTTTGGGAGGCCGAGGCAGGCAGATCACTTGAGGCCAGGAGTTGGAGACCAGCCTGGCCAACATGGTGAAACCCCGTCTTTACTGAAAGTACAAAAATTAGCCAGGCGTGGTGGTGGGTGCCTGTAATCCCAGCTACTCAGGAGGCTGAGGCAGGAGAATCGCTTGAAGCCGGGAGGCAGAGGTTGCAGTGAGCTGAGATTGCACCACTGCACTCCAGCCTGGGTGACAGAGAGAGACCCTGTTGCCAAAAAAAAAAAAAAAAATTAAAAAAAGGAAAGAAACTGGATCTCCCAATTGCCCCATTCCATCTTCTATCCCCCACTTTCTCCTCAAGCCACCCCATTTCCTGGTTTCATTCTAGACTCAAGCATTCGGCACTGTGGTTTGACAACCTTGAGAAGGAATTCCTGTCTGGCCTCTGTCTAGCGGCAAGCCTGGGTTCCTCTTTTCTCTGAGCCTCGGTTAATCCAACTAAACAATGCGACTGAAGATAGTTCTGGTTGTTGTGACAATTAAAGAAACCAGGATGCCTAGAAGCCACCAGGCTCAGAGGGGCCAGGTGTGGTGGCTCACGCCTGTCATCCCAGCACTTTGGGAGGCTGAGGCTGGGGGATCGCTGGAGGTCGGGGGTTCGAGACCAGCCTGGCTAACATGGTGAAACCCTGTTTCTACTAAAAAATACAAAAATTAGCTGGCTAGGCATGGTGGCTCACACCTGTCATCCCAGCACTTTGGAAGGCCGAGATGGGTGGATCACCTGAGGTCAGGAGTTCAAGACCAGCCTGGCCAACATGGTGAAACCCCATCTCTACTAAAAATACAAAAATTAACTAGGATTGGTGGCGGGCACCTGTAATCCCAGCTACTGGGGAGGCCGAGGCAGGAGAATTACTTGAACCTGGGAGGCGGAGGTTGCAGTGAGCCAAGATCGTGCCACTGCACTCTAGCCTGGGCGACAAGAGCGAGACTCTGTCTCAAAACAAAACAAAACAAACAACAACAACAAAGAATTAGCTGAGCATGGTGGCAGGTGCCTATAATCCCAGCTACTCGGGAGGCTGAAGCAGGAGAATCACTTGAACCTGGAAAGGGTCTGGCCCTACCCTGACCTCCAAGAAGTGACCAGAGGGGAGGGGCAGGATGAGAAGTGAGGGGGTTGGAGGCTGGAGCAGATGGTAGCCTACTGGGAGGGAAGGAGGGAGGGAGATGAGACCGGGAATTCTTCAGAACCTCGTGACTTTTTTCTGGGAGATGTGCATTGGTGTCCAGAGGTTTGGGAGGGGGATAGTGCACAAGGATGAGCCAGCAGGGGAGGGAGAGAAGGAGGTCTGGGTGTGTGTTGGGGTACTTTCCATTTTGAGGCCCACCCAGCCCAGCATTCCCGGAATCAAGGAGGGAGAGTGTGGCCAACCGGGCTGACCATTCGTGGGTTATCTGGAAGCTACATATACTGAAAAAGTAGTTGTTATTTATCTGAAATTCAAATGTAACTGAGCGTCCTGTATTCTGTTTGGCAATCCTAGCTGGGGTGCAAGGGGAAAATGAGAAGGGGCCAGGGTGCGGTGGCTCGTGCTTGTAATCCCAGCACTTTCGGGAGGCCGAGGTGAGAGCATTGTTTGAGTCCAGGAGTTCGAGACCAGCCTGAGAAATACAGTGAGACTTCGTCTCTACAATTGAAAAAAAAAAAAAAATTAGCAGGGCATGGTGGCGTGCCTGCAGTCCCAGCTCCTCGGGAGGCTGAGGCAGGAGGAGTTAGAGGCTGCACTGAGCTATGACTGCACCACTGCCCCCCAGCCTGAATGACAGAGCAAGACAGGAAAAAGAAAGAAAATAAGAGGAAGGAAGTGGGAATGATTTCTGGGTGGGGGACCCAGATGCCCCCGGCTCACACCTGCCTGAGTTCACTCACTGTCCCCTATATCCCATCCCTCCCCTTCCCCAACAAAGGGGCAGCCAGGCCTGGGAGCAGCTGGGAAACCCCTATCCCATCGTCTAATTCCAGGCTGAGGTGGCTGCTTTCCTAGAATTTTTCTCCAGAACCCACAGCAAGGCCATCCCCTTCTTCCACCCTATTACTGATTAATTCAAGTTAACCTTGACCTGACTGACTGAATCAATCTATCTGCCTGGCAACAATGGCTCTTTCCCTCCTCTCCCTCTGGTACACTCAGCAGAAACAAGCTGGGGCCCTATAGACTCCCGCCCTGGGAAAATGGAGAGCAGTGGGTTTTGATTCCAGCTCTGCAGGGCCCCTGGGAAGGTCCAACCCCTCCTCCCAGCCTCGGTTCCTAATCTATCAACTGGAGATGCACAGCCTACAGCCTCCTTTCTAGTCTTGGAGTGGAAGTCCCAAGTGGCACCCAGGAAACAATCCTTAACCCAGCGCCCTGCGCATACTGAGCGCTCAGTACACTTGAACTGTACTTTTTGTTTTTGTTTTTTGAGACAGAGTCTCGCTGTTGTCGGCCTGGGCTGGAGTGCAATGGCACGATCTTGGCTCACTGCAACCTCCGCTGCCCGGTTCCAGCAATTCTCCTGCCTCAGCCTCCCAAGTAGCTGAGATTACAGGCGCCCGCCACCGCACCTGGCTAATTCTTATATTTTTAGTAGAGACAGGGTTTCACCATGTTGGCCAGGCTGATCTCGAACTCCTGATGAACTGTATTTTTATTTTTGCAAATACCCGTGTCTTCTACCCCAGCCTTGCTTGGGTGACGGCCCCACCAGGCTTCCAGGCTGGACTCCTTCCTTCCTCTCATTCCCAGAATTCACCTGCTGGCCAAGCCCCTGCCTGGAATCTCCCAGCTTATCCTCCCTCTCCACACCTGTGATCTCTGCCCTCACCTCTGCCCCAGCCTCCTCCTTACCAGCCCATTTACTCTGCAGCAGCTGGGGACGCTTTACTTTTATTTATTTAATTTATTTTTCTAAATTTTATTTATTTATTTATTTGTGAGACGGAGTCTTGCTCTGTCGCCCAGGCTGGAGTGCAATGGTGCGATCTTGGCTCACTGCAAACTCCGCCTCCTGAGTTCAAACAATTCTCCTGCCTCAGCCTCCCAAGTAGCTGGGATGACAGGCACCAGCCACCACGCCCGGCTAATTTTTTGTATTTTTAGTAGAGACGGGGTTTCACCATGTTGGCCAGGCTGGTCTCGAACTCCTGACCTCAAATGATCTGCCCATCTGGGCCTTCCAAAGTGCTGGGATTACAGGCGTGAGCCACCGCGCCCAGCCTTATTTTACTCTTTTAAAAGCAGGGTATGGCCCTGTCGCCCAGGCTGGAGTGCAGTGGTGCCATCATAGCCCACTCTGGCCTCAAACTACTGGGCTCAAGCAATCCTCCCACCTCAGCCTCCTGAGTAGCTGGGACTACAAGGTGCATGTCACCATGCCTGGCTTGGGGACTCCTTCCTTTCTAAAATCCACCTTTGGGCCAGGCGTGGTGGCTCATGCCTATAATCCCAGCACTTTGGGAGGCCGAGATGGGTGGATCACTTGTGGCCAGGATTTTGAGACCAGCCTGGCCAACAGGGTGAAACCCCGTCTCTACTAAAAATACAAAATTAGCCGGGCGTGGTGGCACATGCCTGTAATCCCAGCTACTCGGGAGGCTGAGGTGGGAGAATCACTTGAACCCAGGAGGTGGAGGTTGCAGTGAGCCGAGATCGCACTATTGCACTTCAGCCTGGGCGACAGGGCGAGACTGTCTCAGACAACAACAACAACAACAAATACCCTACCTTTGTATTCCTTTGACCGATCATGAGCGCACTGACGCTCACAAACGCCTATGAGATGCGGGTGGCAGCAACTTATCTATTTCACGTATTTTAACCCTTGTTTATGCCACATGCCATAGGTTCTATCATTGCCCCATTTTACAGATGAAGAAACAGAGGCTTTGGCTGCTTGCCCGAGATCCTGTGGCTGGTAAGTGCCGGAATCTGAACTCAGAGAGCTGGGCCCTATAGAGTACGTGCCCTTAAACTGCATGAGTTCTTAACTGCTGCAGCAAAAGATGACTGCAAACTCGGTGCGTTAAAACAACATGTTTCTTATCTTACAGTTCTGGAGGTCAGACGTCTAAAATCAAGGTGTCAACAGGACTGTGTTCCCTTCTGGAGGAAACAGATGAACCCATTTCCTCGCCTTTTTCAGTGTCTAGGAGCCGCCTGCATTCCTTGGCTCGTGGCCCCTTTCTTGGAATCACTGCAGTCTCTGCCTTTGTCACTGAGTCTCCTTAACTCTGACCCTCCCACCTCCCTCTTATAAAGACCCCTGTGACGATATTGGGCATATCCAGATAATCCAAGATAATCTCCCCCATTTTAAGAGCCTTAATCCCATGCACAAAGTCCCTTTTGCCGTGTGACAGAACATATCATATCCACAGGTCTTGAGGATTCAGACGTGCACACCTTTTTTTTTTTTTTTTTTTTTTGAGACAGGTCTCTCGCTCTGTCACCAAGGCTGGAGTACAGTGGTGCAATCTCAGCTTACTACAACCTCCACCTCCTGGGTTCAAGTGATTCTCCTGCCTCAGCCTCCCGAGTAGCTGGAATTACAGGTGCCCACCACCATGCCCAGCTAATTTTTTATTTTTAGTAGAGATGGGGTTTCGCCATGTTGGCCAGGCTGGTCTTGAACTCCTGACAAGTGATCCGTCTGCCTCGGTCTCCCAAAGTGCTGGGATGACAGGTGTGAGCCACCACACAGGCTGGACGTGCCCATCTTTGAGGGGACCATGACTCAGCCGACTGCAGCATGCACATGCAGTCTCTCTGGCCATGCTCCTCCCTGCTTTAAATTCCTCCATGGCTCCTGTGGACCCCTGGATGAAGCCCCATGTGCCTGCCTGTCTTTAGGCCTCTGCCAGCTTCTCTCGCCCTCCTCCTGCCCCCTCCAGCCTCGCGGGCCATCCCAGCCTTCCCCGCCGTGTTCATGTAACTTCCCCAGTCTGCAATGCCTCCCACTTCCTTCTTTGTCTGACCAGGCTATTTATTCATCTGGGCCCCAGCTATATTTGTTTCTGCTTACAGGAAGCCTTCACCCCAGCCCTGTTCCCTGCCGCTGTCCCATGCTTGTGTCTCCAGCGAGGAAGGCTTCTCCGAGCTCCAAAAGGCATTCTGGATGCTCTAGTTGAAGGGCAGGTGGGTGGGGGGTGGAGACCCATCTTGGGAACCTGCCCTTAAGTGTGCACACAAGCAGATCTCCAATTCCTCAGTCGCCCCTCAAGATTCAGGGCTGGTTCCCTAGAAATCAGGTCGAGGCTGTGCAGCTGGGTGCTGTGCCTGCTATTGTATGTGATACTCAACAAACTTAGGAGGCCCCATGTTATATGCAAGGAAACAGAGAGAGTAAGCCAGTGATCCAGGGTCACACAGCAAATGGCAACAGGCTGAGAGATTTGGTCCCAGGGAGTCTAGCTATGGAGCAGCAATGCATATAGTCAGTGTCTGGCTTTGAGCCGGGAGTCTCCCACTCACTCATGAGCTGTGTGACCTCAAGGAGGTTTCTTACCCTCTCTGTGCCTCACAGGCTTTTTAACAAATTAAAATCCACAGAAGCCTTAATAGACAGCGTGGCGTAGCAATCACTCTGTGTTACCTCGTATTATTTTTTCTTTTCTTGAGATGGGGTCTCGCTTGTTGCCCTGGCTGGTCTTTAACTCCTGGGCTTGAGTGATACTCCTGCACTGACCTCCGAGTAGCTGGAACTACTACAGGCACTTGTCACTGTGCCCGGTTAGCTTCTATTATTATTATTTGTTTTGAGATGGAGTCTTGCTCTGTTGCCCAGGCTGGAATGCAATGGTGCAATCTCTGCTCACTGCAACCTCTGCCTCCCTGGCTCAAGCGATTCTCCCATTTCAGCCTCCTGAGTAGCTGCCATTACAGGCACCTGCCACCACACCCGGCAAATTTTTGTATTTTTAGTAGAGACGGGGTTTCACCATGTTGACCAGGCTGGTCTCGACCTCCTGACCTCAAACGATCCGTCCGCCTTGGCCCCCCAAAGTGCTGGGATTACAGGCGTGAGCCACCACGCCCAGCCTATTCTTTCTTTTCCTCTGTAGCCTGAGCCACTTGGGGGCCTTCAAATCCCCGTTCTCCCCTCGCCCCCAGCTTTCATGCCCGCGGTTCCCTCATCTGGGCATGAGCTCTTCCGCCATGTTTCTACTGACCTTTCCTGACCCCCAAGGCCGGGTCAGAGCCCTGTGCAGTTCCCGTCACGGCGCTGATGGCCCAGTGATGGTACTGCCAGGTGACATGTCCCTCTGCCTGACCCCCACTCTGGGCACTGGGAGCCCCTTTAGGGCTGGGACCAGGTGGGTCTTTGTGACCGCTCCGTCCCAGCGCCTGGCTTTGGGCCCTGCATGCAGCGGTTACTGAATGAATATTTATTGAATATACAAAGACACGGACCCTGTGCCCGCGCCCCCGCCACACACAGCGAAAACAGGTTTCTACATTGTAAACACAACCTCCGTGTAGACCCCAACCCCCAAAAAGGCAAGACAACGGCGTAGCCAAACAGATTGGTCATTATTGTACACATAGCTGGAAGGGAGGGGTGGTCCCGGGGTAAGGACAGGGCTGCCCAATATTTGGGGGGAGGAAGGGACTCTTCTTCCAAATGGGCTTGTCCGGGAACCGGGGTCCCGGGGAGCTGGGCGCCTGGTCCACATGGACCCCCTCCACCTCCCCACATACGCTGTGGAAGAAGGGCAGGAGTGAGAAATGCTGGGGGAGGACGACCCTTTGGTCTGAGATGTGGAGGTGATCATAACAGTTCCCGCCCGCTGGCTGTTTTGTTGACTTTGGAGAGGCCTTCCCGGAACCCAGAGTCCGTCATTCTGGGGGCAGACAGCGAGGAGGCGTCTAGCGTTGCAGGGCAGCAGGCCCCACCCACTCTACCCGGAACCACTCAGGCCCCGCCCCACTCCCCCCAACCACAGCAGCCCTGGCCTTGCCCACTCTACCCCAGACTCACCCAGGCTGCACCCACCTCGCTCCCACAGCAGCGCAGGCCCTACCCTTCTACTCCAACCACCTAGGCCCCGCCCCCAGCAGCCCTGGCCCCACCCACTCTACCCGTAACCACTCAGGCCCCGCCCACCTTACTGCCATAGCAGCCCAGGCCCCACCCGTTCTACCCGAACTACCTAGGCCCCGCCCACCCCCGCCCCCAGAGCGGCCCTGGGTGTCTCCCTAGCGGCCCTAACCCCACCCCTAGCTCAGCCTGGCCTTAGGTACTCCACAGCTGTCCGGTCCCCACCTGCACAGCTGCCCTGGCTGCCCCCCATCTCCCCTCCATCCCTTCTCAACAGCAGGCTCTGCCCTAACACTGCCCCCAGGGCTGCTACAGTCCCTCCCCCCTGCCCACCCTGCCCGTAGAGCTGCCCACCCCCTACTCCACCCCCAGAGCCGCCGGCCCTGCCCATGGTGCCCAGCTCACACTTGCTCCATCTGAACATCCTCCTCGTCCTCCTGGGGCAGCTGCAGGTACGGGTTGTTTCCTGTGGGCTGGAACTTGTAGCCCGTGAGCACGAAGAAGGCCAGGGTGGAGCCCTCCACCAAGAGCTGGGGGACGGGGCGGAGTGGGGGCGTCAGGCGCACCCCCACCCCCACCGTGGCCGCCCTCCCGTCCCACCTGGGCCTCGGGCTCACCTGGTACAGCCACTGCCACTGAAAGGGCACAGCCACCTGCAGCAGGATGGCGATGATGCGGGTGAAGTAGACGTAGCAGATGACCTGCAGGGGCGCGAGCAGGCGTGGGGCCAGGACTGTAGGGGCACGGGCAGGCATGGGGCTAGACTGCAGGACTGCGGGCTGGGGAGCCTGGATGGGGGCCTCGGGATGGGGCAGCAGCTGAGGGGCTGGGGTGGGCGTGCAGCAGGCCGGTAATCCCCCCAAACCCGCTGTGAGTGAGGCGGGCTCCTACCATGACATAGTAATGCCGGAACAGCTTCAGCTTGGCCAGGTTCACTGCCACTGAGGGTGGGCACAGAGAGGGCGGTCAGGGGAGACTGAGGGTGGGAGGGAGGGGAGGGGGCTGGGGGCTGGGAGAGGTGACAAACAGAACATCTGAGGGAGTGTCCAGGAGCAGCAAGTCTCGAGGGGACATTAGGTGGGGCAGAAAGGCGGAAGGGGGAGATCAGAGAGGAGGGAAGGGCCACCCAACAGGGCAGAGAGGCCAGATAAAGGCATTCGGGGGAAAGAGAGGCCAGACTGGGGCATCCAGGGAGGCAGAGGCCTGGGGGCTGGGCAGAGAGGCCAGGAGGGGCATCCAAGGGGCAGAAAGAAGGGCCCGGAGGAGGAATGGGGCCATGAGCAGAGGGCCTGCAGGCGCAGGGCCTCACCCTTCCCGTCTGTGCCAGACGCATCCTGGAGATGCCGGATGGACCTGGGACAAGTGGAGGACACAGGGTACGGTCAGCGCGGACATCGCCCATGTGCACAGGGCAGAGCCTCAGCCCGGGGGCAGGGTCCTCACCAGACTACGGGGAACAGGATGGCACCACAGCAGATGAGGTCCACCAGGAACAAAATCTCCTTCCACAGCACGTAGTCGCTGGCGCCTTCCTCGCGGGACTCGATGATGATGTAGGCCACGTTGGCCAGGACCTGCGCAGGCGGCGGGGGTGGGTGGGCACTGCCTGGCACGCTCCCCTTTGCCCCCACTGCCCTGTGCAGCCCTCCCCGCCCTGCTCCGGAGGCTGCTCCATCCGCACCTGCATGGGGATCACGATCCCAAAGACCTTCTTCTCCTTATCCGACAGGACGTACTTGATGAAGGCCCAGCCTGAGCCAATCAGGGCGATGGTGATGAAGAGGAGGGCGCCCTTCAGCCTGAAGGAGCAGGGGAGGGCGTGATGATGAGGTGGGGGGCCAACCCTCCCCTGCCTGCCTCCCCCCAGCTGCCCAGCAGAGTGGGGGACACTCACAGGTGTGCGATGTAGTACATGACGGCAAGGCCTTCGATGGGGTGGCCCTGGCTGTTGATGAAGTAGTAGTTGATCTGGGGGTGGATGGACAGACGGACAGTGAGGCGCACAGAGGGGTGGGAGGCTGATGGTGGTGGTGGGGGATTAGGAACACGGACCGTCACCATCAGATGGGTGGTCAGAAAGTTGAATAATGAGGACGGTGGGTGGGACTCAAAACTGGTAATCGGGGCTGAAAAAATGGAGGGAACAGTCACAGCTGAAGGGGTGAATAGTTGGACAATCAGAGACGGACAGTCACAGCTGAACCAAGGGACAGTGGTGGACAGAGCTGCCCCGCAGGACTGGTGGACAGAGGGGATGGGTGACTGGCCACACTGGTAAAATGGGTGGACACGTGGATAGCTGGCGGATGGCCCTCCCACAGGCCCAGGGTCTGCAGAGATTTGGGGGATGGCCCGGGTGGGCCTTTCAGCCCACCCCCCGCTGCTCCCCGGTCCAAGGCTCTCACGCTGTGGAAGAGGAGAGAGATGCTCTTGGTGAAGGCCAAGGCCGCCATGAGCCAGTGGATCTTGAAGACGCTGTACCTGGTGGGAGGGTCAGGGAGAGATGGGGGTGCGGGGCATCAGCAGAGCATAGGGATGGGGGTCTGGTGAAGGGACGTGGGGGACCCTCAGGGGCAGGGGCATTACGTGTTCCTGCAGAGGATGGACACCCAGAAGATGCCAGCGGCCAGGAAGCAGGCGGACATGACCATGTAGAGCTTGAAAAGGGGCATCTCCGCTGCCGACAGGAAGCCATCGGGGTTCTTCTCCCGGATCATCACCTGCGGAGGGGGCAGTGGTGGGCGGCGGCAGGGGCACAGCCCGACCGCTGGCCTGGGAGAGCAGCGAGTGGGGGTCTCCAGCTCTCTCACTTTCTACTGGGCCACTCATCCACTCTGAGCCTCAGTTGGCCCCGTCTCTCAAATGGGTATAACAGCTCCTACTTCGCACCCGGGAGGGCTGGGAAAAGCTAAGCGGGGTGAGGCACTCTGGGCCCGCAGTGGCCTGCAGGGGGCGCTCCCTGGCCCTGCTGCCCTCCACTCCGCTCACCGTGATGTCGAATGGATGCTCCTTTCCTGGCACTGAATTGTTGCAGTTGTGGAAGTTCAGGCTGTACTGGCCTTCTTCCGCCTGAGAGCCGATCACCACGTGGAACTGGGCGGGCGGGGAGAGAGGAGGGCTCAGCCTGGGGGACCCGTGGTCTGGGGCGACAATCAGCTTGGGGGTCCCATGGTCTGGGGCGATGGTAGGGCTGCAGGAGGGCTCAGCTTGGGGGTCCCGTGCTCTGGGGTGACGGAAGGGCCGCAGGCGCTGCAAACACTCACACTGAAGTTGTAGGAGTTGTTGAGGTGGCTCAGGCCCAACACCAGGTCCTTGTCCTTCCCACTAGGACCCTGAAGGGACAGAGCCCCTCCATCAGCTGGTTCTGGGTCCCCGCAGGGCCCTGGGGTGTGCATCTTCCCTCCTGCCCCGCCTCCCCGAAACCTGAATCACTGCGGGTGTTGACTTGGGCTTGCTGGCTGCAGAGGTCCCTCCTGTAAGAGACCGGGCAGTGATTTTAAGAGATGGATGGATGGATAGAGGGGCAGTGGGAAAACGGCATGGGGAGTGCAAAGGGCAGACCTGCCCATCCACCCCCGTCTGCACAGCCAGCCTGACTCACCGCCATCCACCTTGCGGGGGACTGTGGCCTGTGGCTTCGGGAGCCCTGGTTTGGAGGGTGCTTCCGGGAGGAGCCCGGGAAAGATAAACAACGTCTTCTGCTCTCCATACTTCCGCACCTGGACCCTGGGGTGAGGGTGGGGTGGGGCATGAGGCTGGGGGGCTGAACTTGGCTCAGGCACCGGCAAAGGACTCAGTGGCCCCTTGGACCCTCTGCGTGTCCTCCCTGAGGGGCGGGGTCCAGTCGAGTCAGTTATCACTGAGTTTCAGCCTTTGGTTCCCACCGGTCAAGGAGGCTGCCGCCTTCCTGTGCTGCCTGCATCCGCAGTTATTCGTCATTTCCCATGACATCAATCTACTCTTTTTCTCTTTTCTTTAGAGACAGGGTCTTGCTCTGTCGCCCAAGCTGGAGCGCTGTAGTGCAATCACAGCTCACTGCAGCCTCAAATTCCTGGGATCAGGCAATCCTCCCACCTCAGCCACAGGAGCAGATGGAACCACAGGCGCACACCATCATGCTTGGCTAATTTTTAAATTTTCTAGAGACAGGGGTCTCCCTACGTTGCCCAGGCTGGTCTTGAACTCCTGGCTTCAAGTGATCCTCCTGGCTCAGCCAGTCTCCCAAAGCACTGGAATTAATGGCATGAGCCACCATGGCCAGCCCTACATTATTATTATTATTATTATTATTATTATTATTATTATTATTATTATTTTGAGACAGGCTCTTGATCTGTCGTCCAGGCTGGAGTGCAGCAGTGCAAACTTGGTTCACTGCAACCTCCACCTCCCCAGCTCAGGAGATCCTCTCACCTCAGCTTCCAGAGTAGCTGGGACTACAGGCGTGCACCACCATGCCTGGCTAATTCCTGTACATTTTTTGGTTTTTTAGTAAAGACAAGGTTTTGCCATGTTGCCCAGGCTGGTCTACAATTCCTGGGCCCAAGCAATCCTTTTGCCTCGGCCTCCCAAATACTGGGATTACAGGCGTAAGCCACTGCCTGGCCCTAAGTATATTATTTAAAAAGAAAACATTTTATCTACAGAAAAGCAACATGGTTTTGTCAGACCCTGGCCCCAGAATCCCAGTTCCTGGGACTCAGTTTTCTTGTCTGAAGAGCGGAGATGATCACAGGATAAGGAATGGGTGAGTTAGTGTATTAAAGCTCCGGGACACCGGAAGCACTCAACATGTGCGAACAATTGTTATTCATTCTCACAACAACCCTCTGTATCCGGGTCTTCTGCCCTGAGACACCAACACCCGCGGAGTCCCTCTCTCCTTCCTTCCAACAATCAGAAGACTTGAAGGCAAAACTAAAAAGTAAGTGGCTTTCTCTCTCTGCTTCTCATCCCACCTGATCAGCCCAGGTGCGTGTGGGCATCACACCAGGGAAACGCAGACGAAGGATCTGAGCGAGCCCCCGGTCCCCAACTCACTGCAGATCCTTGGTGTTGATGAGGAACAGGACCAGGAAACTGCTACTGTTTTTCTGGAGAGGGCAGTCCTGGAAATCCCGGGTCTGGGGGGTGGGCAGGAGGGAGTGAGTCTTGGTTACTCCTCTCCTGGTCCAGCTCCACCCTGTCTCCCTCCCTGTCCACCCACGGGATCTTCCTGCTCCTGCCTCTGACAAAGAACAGGGGCCCTTGGGTTACAGATGCAGAGGACAGACCCTACCCCCTCCCTCCAGCCCCTTCTCCCGTCTTCCCCATGCCCTCCACTCACTGAATAGGAGCGAACTCTGCCAGACCGAACCCGGCTGAGACTGAACCCCACCTGGTGGGTGGAAAAAAAAAGGGGAGGGTGTGAGGGACAGTAGAGACCTCCCAGCTATCCCTTTCAGTAGCAATAGAAACCTAACCTCACATTTACTGAACACCTAACATGTGCTAGATCCCACACGCTCTTTTTCTTTTTTAGAGTTGGGGTGGTGGGTGGACCTCATTCTGTTTCTCAAGCTGGAATACAGTGGCAGGATCATAGCTCACTACAGCCTCGAACTCCCAGGTTCAAACGATCCTCTCACCTCGGCCTCCCGACTGGCTGGGACTACAGGCACACCTCACCACGCCCGGCTAATTTTAAAAACTTTTTGTAGAGACGGGGTTCTCACTATGTTGCCCAGGCTGGTCTTGAACTCCTGGCCTCAGGCAATCCTCCCACCTTGGCCTCCCAAAGTGCTAGGACTACAAAGCCTGAGCCACCGCGCCCCGCCTGTCCCCCAAGTCTTAAGAAAAGTGCCTAGCACATCCTGTGTAAGACATCATTACTCCCAGGTACAGATGACGAAACAGGCTCAGAGAGATGACGGGACTTGTACAAGATCACATGGGTAGCGGCAGAGCTGGGAACCCAGAACCGGGGGATTGCACCGTGCTCTCCTCCAGCAAACTCCTCAAGGTCCCTCACCAGCAGGGACTTCTCTTCTGCCTCCCGGAGGCCCAGCCGCAGGACGCTCAACTCCACCTCCAGAGAGCCATTGGTGTAGAAACCGAAGCTGTTCAGCTGGATGTCCGCTCGCTTCTCCCCCTGCCGGAGACCAAGGAGGCAGAGGCAGTTCAGACCTCTTTCCGCCTGCCCAGCCCCAGGGGTCTGGCACGAGGACCTCCAGAAGGGCCTCCTGGTACCCCTCTATTTAGGACAGGCCCAGAGGATGACAAGAGAAAGTTGAGAGGGACTTCCTCCCTGCAGGGGAAGGGTGGTCCTGCATTCTCCGACCTCTGTTCTGAGAACCCAGGAACAGAGATCCTGCGGCACCTGGAAGTCTCCCCACTGGGGTGAGCACCGCCCGGAGAACAGTTATTCACCTCGGCGTGCCTGACCTTCACCTTCCCGAAGAACTTTTACATTCCAGTTGAGCTCCCAGCAATATTTCAACAGAACCCCCCAAATCCCATTAAGTGCCCAGAGGACCCCACTCTATAGCCCCCCAGGACCCCGCTGTGCGGCTCCAGGGTCTCTAGCGCCCCAAAAGTGATTCCAAGAATTTAAAGGACTAAGACCCAGTTGGGGGGAAGGGGGGTGTAGTCCCCAAGAGATGGAGCCTCGCCCCCGAAGGGAGGGGGCCGACCCCAGCGAGGCGGACCCGGCAACTCCATCCGGAGGACCGAAGGGGATCCCGGGACGAGACCACTCCGGGCCCGGAAACGGGGGGCGCCGGACCACTCCACCGCCTCGGGGACGGGGGAGGGCGGACGAGACCACTCCAAGCCAGGGGGCTTCTCCGAGACAAAGTTGCGCCACCGACCCCAGACCCTCGCGCGGCGGGCCTCACCGTCAGCGCCAGCTGGTGGATGCGCCCGGAGCAGCCACCCAGCAGCAGCACCAGAAGTAGCCGCTGCCCCCACTCCGCGGGGCTCCCGCGGCCGAGCCCCCTCCTCTCGCTCACTGCCATCTCTGGAGCCACCTCCTCCCCGACTCCGCCTCTGGCGCCCAAGCCCGCCCACCGATGAGCCAATCGCCGCACGGCGGGGCCCGGCCTTTCGGAGTTTCCAGTCCGCCAACCAATCAGCAATTGCCTCTCCGCAAGCCCGCCTGCTTGCGTCACCGACGGACAGCACCGGTTCCGAATGGGAGAGCCGATAACGCTTAACCCCCAGCTCACTCTCACCAATCGCTATAAAGATTGTCCGGATGTGATTTAATGAGCAGTTTATCTAACCAATTGTCATGGATCTGATATCCGGCCCTTAAAGCGGAATTTCTCCACCCACTCTTAACTGTCCGGGACTACATTACCCAGAATGCAGCGGGAGCAGACAAGGGCCACAAAGCATTAAATAAACTACCTTTCCCAGTATCCCCAAGGACGGACTTCCTCTTCTTGAGCCAGGGATGTGGCTCCCAGCCAGAGCTGAGGCTTTTGGTAAACACACGCATCTGTTCAGGCCTGACCTGTTTTCCTAATCTTCCTGGTCCACAGAGAGGCCTAAAGCTGGCCTCAGGTTAAAGTTTGACCCTAGGATGACCTATGACCCCAGGCTGAGACCCCAGCCTTAGGCTAAGCCTTTTATTCCAGAGTGAGGCAATTGGAGCCCCACCCCCAGATTCCAGGCTAGACCGGACTCCGGGCTGAACTCTGACCCCAGGTGAACTCCCTCTCTGCAAGTTGAGTCCTAACTTCAGCCTGAAACTCTGACACCCCCTCGTCCCCCACACCACACACTGAGGCTTAATCTCTGGTTTAGGCCACCGATCTGGACTAGCCCTGACTCCAGATTGGACCTGACCCCTTACCGGGTTGCTAATCCTTCTGGTTAAGCCTCTGGCCTCTATCCCCTATCCCCACGGTGGTGCTGACCTGGACTGAACCCCAATTCCAGTTTGAGTCTCTGAGCAGAGGTGAACTCAGAACTTTGCTAGGCTGAGCCCCCATTTGAGACTAGCCACAGAACTCACTGGGTTCAATTGCCCAACTGCAATCAGACATTTTCTAGCTCAGAAGCCACCAGCAGGTGGGGCCAGGTCTCAGCAGAGACATCAGTCCCAGTGTGGGCTCCCAAGGCTCTCCTCCTGGGCTCAGCTGTATCTCTCTGTTCTGGGAGCCTGGGTGCTCTGTGTAAGGGGAACGTATACCCAAGGGCCCCCCTGCAAGACGCCCAGCCTTGTCTGAGGCTGCAGAGAAAGCGCCAAAGCCCGGAGAGAATGGGAGTGGGAATCCCCAGTGCCTCCTCTCCTCTTTCATTCCAGCACCTCAAAGGGATTTACAAGGTGTGAACAGACTTTTATGGGAGAGGTGACAGACTTCCCTTCTCCAGGGCCCAGATGGCCCAGATGTCTGGGGGAGGGGCGGAGTCGGAATCTCAGGGGCAGTACTGAGAATGAAACCAGGTTAAACTGGAAAATGGGCAGATGCAGGCGCGAACTGGAAGGCAGCTGGGGAAAGGCCTGGGCCTGGCGCCCCAAGGACGGCCTGTCTTCAGTTTCCCAGCGGAGACTCTGGGGGAGGGAAGGCAGGATGCGGTGCGGGAGTTAATGGACCTGGCCTTGGCGAAGGCGCGTCCTGGGTTGGATCGAAACCCTCTCATCCGCCCTGTGGCCGGAGGGACCAGACCATTAGTGGGACGAACCTAGACGCCTGGAGCCGGGCCGGCTCGCAAGAACGGGGTGACCTCAGGTTGCCCCTGCAATGGGGTTGAGGAAGGACTTCTTGAGTTTGGGGTTTTAGTGTCTTGGCCCTTTAAGGAATAATTGCGGGGAAAGGGGAAAAGGAGATGGGAAGAACCGTTTGGAGCGGGGAAGGAAGATGAGAGGACGAGAGGGACCCCGGGGATTTGGAAAAAATGGGTGGGGGTTCTTTAAGGGGTCGGTCCAGCGGCGTCGAGTGGCAACGTTGCTTTAAAAGGGGGCGGAGCGTCCGTTGGGCCCCGCCCCCGAATCGCAGTGCTTGGGCTCCGCGCGGGTGGGGGCGTGGCAGAGCGTGCAGGGGGGCGGGGAAGAGTCTGGGGTGGGCGGGGCCGGGCGGGGCGGGGCGGGGCCAGGCGCACCGCCCTCGGCTGAGTCTCCCCGGGGAGGGCGGCGGGCGGCGGGCGGCGGGGACCGGGTGCGGTGGTGGCTGCGGCGGCGGCGGCGGGAGCAGCATGGATTGGGGCACTGAGCTGTGGGTAAGTCCAATCGGCCCGCCTCTAAGTTCCCCTTTGCTGGGGTCCAGGCACCCCCCTTTTGTCCCCAATGTATCTTAGAGGGGGCTCCGCGCCTTTCCCTTCCACCGACCCCTGGGTCCCCGCCCTCCACCCTCCGCTCTCTCTCGAAGTTTATCTGGGAGTCTCAGCACGCTCAGGGGCGAAGGGCGACTTTGCCGGACCGGAGTGGGGAAACTGAGGCACAGGGTTGCGAATGAGGCGGGCAGAAGGAATCCTGGGGCCAGGCCGGGGCGGCTGAGAGAGGTCACCTATTTTGGGCGCCCTGGCCGGGCAGGCGGCTTATCTTACGGCCCCTGGGTCCCTGCCCGTCGTCCGCCTGTCCGGCTAGGAGGGGGGAGGGGACCCTCTGGTCACCCTCATCCCCACCCACGTGGGACCTAGAAGTCCTGACCGCCCTTTCCCTCGCCTTTAATCAACACCTAGGGGCTGGGGACGCTCATGGAGGGGAAGGGGGATGCTAAGCTCGGCCTGATCCCCCTCCCTGGCTTCCCCCTGCTCACCCCAGGCCCAGGGCGGGACCGCCCCCTGGTCGCCTATAACCTCAGCCCTGGAAGCCCCAGAAATTTCCCCCTATCCTAGCCGGACCTCTGACCCCTCCCCTTGCTGGGGGCGGTGGAATCCCTGAGTTCTTAGTGCAGCGGGGGTAACCAGACTGCCACCCCCTCCTCCAATTCTGCGATTTCTTTTGGATGTGTAGTGGGGTCAGTGGGGTAAATTGAGTCACCCATCGGGGGATCCCTGGAAGCAGGGAGATTCAGGGAACCTGGTGCCTGCCCCCTGGCCACTCAGGGGCCCCCAGTCTGCCAGGAACCCTGCCCCTCTGGCCTTGACTCACGCCGGGCCGGCCGGATTTTCCGGAATCCGGGGGGATTAGGGGAGCCCGAGCTGGGGGAGTGGCCCTGTCCCCTTCCACGCCCCTCTTGGCGGTCCTATGTCGGAGACCTCCATCTCCCGGCCGGGGTGGCTGGGGCCTGGGCGCTGTTCTCCGGCCCTTCCCGGGAAGGGGAGGGGGTTCCCGCCAGTTTCCTGCCTCCCCCCGCGCCACGCCGGGGCGGCGCCGGGAAGCCACTCCTTCTAGGAGCGCAGAGCCTTGGCCCTCCCTGGGAGTCTGGTCGGCGGGCTGTGGGGTCCCAAAATCGTGACCCCGGCCCCTCTCCCCTCCTCCCCCACCATGTCCCATGTCAGGATCAGTTCGAGGTGCTCGAGCGCCACACGCAGTGGGGGCTGGACCTGTTGGACAGATATGTAAAGTTCGTGAAAGAACGCACCGAAGTGGAACAGGCTTACGCCAAACAACTGCGGTGAGACCCTGGGGTGGACGCTACGGAGGACGCGCCTGGGGCGACGGGGAGCGGTGGGAGGGCTGCGGGCTCAGCCCTCCTACCTCTGTCTCCCCTTAGGAGCCTGGTGAAAAAATATCTGCCCAAGAGACCTGCCAAGGATGATCCTGAGTCCAAGTAAGGTTGGAGAGGGGCTGCAGGGCTAGATTTGTGGGGAAAGGCGGTGCTTGGGTCTCACTTCCCCTCCCTCAGCTGGGACACCCCACCGCTCCTCTCACTTCCCCTTCTAGAGGTGAGAGCATGGATGCAAGATGCGGGATTATCTGGCTTGGAATCCTGAGTCCACTACTATGTAGAGAAATTGACTTGGGCTTGTGACTCAGGTTTTCTGCCACTATTTTCCTTAACTGTTAAATACAGAGGCCCCAGCAGTTACAAAACCAGTAACTTTGGGCAGATGACTTAAAGTTTTGCGCCTCTGTTTTCCTCATCTGTGAAATGGAATGATGACGATTCCTCCAGCTTTGTAGGGCTTTCATGAACACGAGCTGAGTGAATGTGTTTAAACAGTGTGCAGTCCATATCAAACGCCGTAAGGAGCATTTGACTTGGAATTGAGTCCCCAATTCCAAAATCCAAAAAAGCCCTGGAAATCAAGTTGTTTTGGTCACTTGTTTGGCAGCAATCTCTGACCTGAACTTTTTGTTAATTGTAGTTGTTTTGTTTTGTTTTTGACAGAGTTTCACTCTGTCCCCCAGGCTGGAGTGCAGTGGCGCCATCTCAGCTCACTGCAACTTCCGCCTCCCAGGTTCAAGCGATTCTCCTGCCTCAGCCTCCCTAGTAGCTGGGATTACAGTCACCTGCCACCATGCCCAGCTAATTTTTATATTTTTAGTAGAGACAGGGTTTCACCATGTTAGCCAGGCTGGTAATTGTAGTTTTGACTTTTATCCCACTTAGTGTGAATGTTAACACCTCTCATTGTAAAATTAAAAAAAAAAATAGGGTTGGGCACAGTGGCTCACACCTGTAATCCCACACATTGGGAGGGTGCGCAGGTGGATCACTTGAGGTCAGGAGTTCGAGAGCAGCCTGGTCAACATGGTGAAACCTTGTCTCTTCTAAAAATACAAAAATTAGCCAGGCGTTGTGGTGCGCGCCTGTAATCCCAGCTACTCAGGAGGCTGAGGCATGAGAATCGCTTGAACCCGGGAGGCGGAGGTTGCAGTGAGCCAAGATCGCACCACTGCACTCCAGCCTGGGCGACAGAGTGAGACTCTGTCTCCAAAACAAATAGATACGGTGTTTGATTACAAAATGATGTCCCCAACCCCACTAAGATGATGCAGAAAAGATGGTATAAGCTTTGTACACCATCTTTAAAAACTGGAAAATTCTGTGTTCCAATATACATTCGAGGTCCAGTGCGGTGGCTCACACCTGTACTCCCAGCACTTTGGGAGGGTGAGGCGGGAAGATGCGGAGTTCGGGGGGATTGGAGTTTGAGACCTCATCTGGAAAAAAAAAATTAGCCAGGTGTGGTGGCGTGTGCCTGTGGTCCCAGCTATTTGGGAGCCTGAGGTGGGAGGATCACTTGAGCCCAGGAGTTTGAGGCTGCAGTGAGACGCAATCATGCCGCTGCACTGCAGCCTGGGTGACAGCAAGACCCTGTCTCAAAAAAAAAAAAAAAAAAAATCTACTCAAGGGTTGGGGTTAAGGAATATGGACCAGAATTTGTCATCGCTTCAGGGATTACATTCTTGGGGCTTAACCCTTTTCCACCTGGAGGTGCGTCCTGGGGCATCAGCCTGCTCGGGAGGAGGGGCCTGACTCCCTGTTCCCCGATTCTCATCCAACCCCAGATTCAGCCAGCAACAGTCCTTCGTACAGATTCTCCAGGAGGTGAATGACTTTGCAGGCCAGCGGGAGCTGGTGGCTGAGAACCTCAGTGTCCGTGTATGTCTTGAGCTGACCAAGTACTCACAAGAGATGAAACAGGAGAGGAAGATGGTGAGGAGCCCCCCGATTCAGGTTTTACAAAGGGCTTCTGCTGGAACCCTGGCGAGCCTTATCACTCTTCTTTCTGTAGCACTTCCAAGAAGGGCGGCGGGCCCAGCAGCAGCTGGAAAATGGCTTTAAACAGCTGGAGAATGTGAGTTTGCAGAGGTAGCAGTGACTGTGGCCCGGAGGCATGGGGGCAGGGTTGCGGATCCGGAGTCAGGGAGCTGCCCTCTTTGTCAGACCTGGACCTTCCCTCCCCCATAGGCTTCCAGTACTCCCTTGACCCCTACTTACTGGATGACATCCCAATAATCCCTGAAACCTTGGTTTCCCACCCTGCTGTCTTTGGGATGGTGGCTCCCTCACTCCGGTTCTGTCCCCTACACAGAGTAAGCGTAAATTTGAGCGGGACTGCCGGGAGGCAGAGAAGGCAGCCCAGACTGCTGAACGGCTAGACCAGGATATCAACGCCACCAAGGCTGATGTGGAGAAGGTGTGTGTGGCGGGGGCGGGGGGGGGGTGCGGGGTCTGGGACAAGCTTGGGGAGTCCGAGTGGGACGTGATCGGAACCTGGCAGTACCTTCCACCTCTGCATTCTTCAGGCCAAGCAGCAAGCCCACCTTCGGAGTCACATGGCCGAAGAAAGCAAAAACGAATATGCGGCTCAACTGCAGCGCTTCAACCGAGACCAAGCCCACTTCTATTTTTCACAGATGCCCCAGATATTCGATGTGAGTGCTCCCAGTTCTCAGACCTACCTTCCCGAAAGCCTCCAAATGTTAGCCAACTCCTACGCATTCATCAAAACCCCAGCTGCAATGTCCCAGTCCCTAGATTGAAAGGGAATCAGAAACCTATAGTAACAGTGAGCTGTGCTTTTAGTCAGCTGTTCTTCCTGCTGGGCATGCCTTTTACTTGTTTGTTTATTTACTTCTATAGAGAGATGGGGCCTGGCTCTGTCACCCGGGCAGGAGTGCAGTGGCATAATCACAGCTCACTGCAGCCTGGAACCCCTGTGCTCAAGTGACCTTTCTTTCTTTTTGAAATTCCTACTTATTCTTCTAAGCTCCACCTCTAACAACCCCTCTGAAAGGTCTCGAATTTCCCCTCTCCTGTTTCAATCTAGCGCTCCACTCTCTGTCCCATCCGTGGCCCTGGGAGTATCAGGGCTGGTTCTGCTTTTTCTTCAAATCCCTGTTCCCTTGTCTCCTCCTTTGAGAAGCCTTTGCTGACCCCCTAGGCACGCGTCCCCCTCTGAGATCCCCCTGGCCCTGTGTCTCTTCCCCAACCACAGTGGGCTGGAGTCTCTCTTCCCGACTCTGTCTTCCCCTCCAGACTGGCTTGGGGCTGGGGCCAGCGTGGAGCGCGATCATATTTGCAGAGTGAATCACTGTGCTTCTAGTCCCTCTGTTAGCACCCCTGAGCCACCCTTGTCCCTGTCCTTACAGAAGCTCCAAGACATGGATGAACGCAGGGCCACCCGCCTGGGTGCCGGGTATGGGCTCCTGTCGGAGGCCGAGCTGGAGGTGGTGCCCATAATAGCCAAGTGCTTGGAGGGCATGAAGGTGGCTGCAAATGCTGTGGATCCCAAGAACGTGGGTGCCTGGTCTGGGTCCACTGGGCTACGGGAAGGGCAGAGGGAGGTACCCATAGGCTAGGCACTCGACTGCTCATCCACTGTCCCCCTCCCCCAGGACTCCCACGTCCTTATAGAGCTGCACAAGTCAGGTTTTGCCCGCCCGGGCGACGTGGAATTCGAGGACTTCAGCCAGCCCATGAACCGTGCACCCTCCGACAGCAGTCTGGGCACCCCCTCGGATGGACGGCCTGAACTCCGAGGCCCGGGTCGCAGCCGCACCAAGCGCTGGCCTTTTGGCAAGAAGAACAAGGTGGGGGCCGGGACCCTTGGGATGGTGGGGGAGAAGGACAGTGAAGTGGGGACAGTGGGGCCCCTATTGAGTCAGCCCCAGCCGCCTGAACGCCGAGTCTCGGGCAGGAATTTTCCTCTTGGCTGCCAGCCCGGACTGGAGGGAAGGAAGGCGGCCGATTGGCCTGGGAGTCCCCCGAGGCGAAGGCGGGGGCAGGGTGGGGAGGTGGGGAGGTCCGTGGCGTTTGTCTGCTGCTTCTCGGGATGCTGGGAGAAAACCTGCTGGTGGAATTCAGGGCTGGCCTGAGGGCTGGTGACACCATCCCTGGGGACTCCCCGAGTTTCTCTCTCCATCCTGCTGATGGGACTCTGGGAGCCGCCCTGCATGTCTTGCTTTCTTGGGTTTTTGGATTTTAATATACCTTAGCACCCTTGGTTTATACCTTTGATTTATACTTTGGGTCCCTCTTCACTTACACTCTCATACCTCTCCTTGACTTAACACCTGTGATCCCCGAGCTTAAACTTCTGATGCCCCTAACCCCTCTCATTTTCCTGCCTTCCACTCCCTCTCGGCTTGTGGTTTTATTTTTGTTTATTTATTTTTGTCCTCTGTGGCCTCTTACCTGTCTGAGACCTTGATTCCTGCATGCGTCTTCTAGACTGTCAGCCCAGAAAGCTAAGTGGACAGAGAGACATGGGCCTCCCTGCCTCCTGGACCCATGCTTGCTCCCGGACATAACATTCCAGAGACCTAGGAGATACCGGGGGAGTGAGAGTTCTGGCTTTCGGGCTTACAGTTCAACATCCTCCCCGCCACCTTCCAGATTTTTTTGTGTCGCTCCTGCATGCGTTTTCTCTGTGTGGTTGTGCATCTTGAGTTGTGGTTTTCTTACCGTTTTTTTTCTTTCTCCATTTTGTTTTTCCTTTTTCCTTTTTTTGCGTCCATCCGTCCATCCGTGCGTCCATCCCTCCGTCCATTCGTCCTCACTCTCTACATCCTCCTATGCCCCCCCACCCCTTCAACCTATCCCCCTCCCCGGCCCCCGCCGGTAGCCTCGCCCCCCACCCCTCTCCCCCCTGGGGGGCCCCGTACCCTCGGCATTGCCTAACGGACCCCCGTCCCCCCGCTCCGGCCGTGACCCCTTGGCCATACTGAGCGAGATCAGTAAGTCGGTCAAACCGAGGCTAGCATCCTTCCGCAGCCTTCGAGGCAGCCGTGGGGTAAGTGAGGCCTCGGGGCAGGAGGAGGTGGTGGCCCTAGCCTGCCCAGCGGCGGGTGGCGGGACCCTGGGCTCGCTTCCTGCCGCTGGCTGGGCCCCTCTTCCCTGGTTGCCCAACCCAGACCTGCTTTGCTCTGTGCATGGCTTCGCTGTCAAGAACCATGGCTGGGGAAGGGAGTGAAATATCTCAGACGGGTGCAGAGTCTGGCAGGCTAGACTCCTTGATCCCAAATTCAGCCCTCTACCCACCTTGCAGACAGTGGTGACCGAGGATTTTAGCCACTTGCCCCCAGAGCAGCAGCGAAAACGGCTTCAACAGCAGTTGGAAGAACGCAGTCGTGAACTTCAGAAGGAGGTTGACCAGAGGTAAGGTGGTGGGGTAGGGAAGGACAGGCAAGGAACATGATAAAATAGTAAATGAACTTCACTTATTTGTTTATTATTTTATTTTATTTATTTTATTATATTTTATTTTGTGACAGGGTCTTAGTCTGTCGTCCAGGCTGGAGTGCAGTGCTGTGATCTTAGCTCACTGCAATCGCCACATCCCAGGTTCAAGCAATTCTTGTGCCTCAGCCTGCCGATTAGCTAGGACCACAGGCATGCACCAGCTAATTTTTATATTTTTAGTAGAGGCGGGGTTTCCCCATATTAGCCAGGCTGTCTTGAACTCCTGGCCTCAGTTGATCTGCCTGCCTCAGCCTCCCATAGTGCTGGGATTATAGGCATGAGCCACTGCCCGGGTCTGTAAATGAATGACATTTAAATGGTACTCAAAGATCTCCCCAATAATCCCAAGGCCCCGACGGTTTTACAGGTGATTCCTACCACACTTAGTTACTTCTTGGCCAGGTGCAGTGGCCTGTGCCTGCAATCCCAGCATTTTGGGAGGTTGAGGCAGGAGGATCATCTGAGCCTAGGAGTTTGAGACCTGCCTGGGCAACAGAGTGAGACCCCATTTCTAGCAAAAATAAAAAAATTAGCTGGGTGTGGTGGTTTGTGTCTGTAGTCCCAGCCACTTGGGAGGCTGAGGTGGGAGGATGGCTTAAGCCTGGGAAATGGAGACTACAGTGAGCTGTGACTGCACCACTTGCACTTCAGCCTGGGTGTCAGAGTGAGACCCTGTCTCAAAAAGAAAAAAAGAAACAGTTACTTCTTGTCTTATACAAGTCATTCCAGCAAACAGAAAAAGTGTGAAAGCTGTCAACCTCTTTAGGCTGAAGAATCCTGATTCCCAAATCTGTGGCCAAGAATTCAATAAGATAAAATTAAGGGCTCATTTTACCTTATTTATGATCATAGAGGCAAAATCCTAGCCAAGCAAATCCAGTGTTTAAAAAATAATACATCACTTTGGGAGGCCAAGGAGGGCAGATCACGTGAGGTCAGGAGTTCGAGACCAGCCTGACCAACATGGTGAAACCCCGTCTCTACTAAAAATACAAAAACTAGCTGGGCATTGTGGCACGCGCCTGTAATTCCAGCTACTCGGGAGGCTGAGGTGGGAGAATCGCTTGAACCTGGGAGGCGGAGGTTGCAGTGAGTCAAGACTGCACCACTGCACTCCAGCCTGGGTAACACAGCGAGTCTCTACCTCAAATAATAATAATAATAATAATAATACATTAGCCGAGCACAGTGGCTCATGCCTATAAGCCCAGCACTTTGGGAGGCTGGGTAGAAGGATCACTCACTTGAGCCTAGGAGTTCAAGGCCAGCCTGGGCAACGTAGTAAAACCCCATCTCTTAGAAGAAGAAGAAGAAAAACCCAAGTAAATTTTTTTAAAAACTAAAAAAAAAAAAATCCACCATTGGTTGGGTTTTATCCCAATAATGCAAAGATAGTTCAATATCAAAAAATGTATCCATCTAGTTCACCACATTAATTGGCTAAAAGAAAAGCAGCATATGGTTATCTATTTAATAGCTCAAACACTTAAAATATTGACAATAAAAAAATCTGGCAGATTAAAAAAAAAATCTTTACTCACTCTTTCCAGGCAACAAAATCCTCTTCCCAGTTCTGTTACATAATAGGAATGATGTTTGCCACTTGCAAACAGGCAGCCAAATTATATTTTGCCATTTGCATGTAACCTCTTGGACAGAATGGCTTTTATTGGTGTAAAGTTCCATTCAGAACTCTCTAGTTCCTGAGTTTCTACGGTGGAGGGGTTAAGGGTGCATGTTCTAGAGTCACGACAAACTGGACTTGATTTCCAGCTTCATCTCAGGACTTGGGCAGCCTGTTTTACCTTTTAATTCCTCAGTTTCTTCATCTGTAAAGTGGATCAGGTATTAGAACTGGAATGAAGTTGGCAGGGTGCAGTGGTTTATGCCTGTAATCCAAGCACTTTGGGAGGCCGAGGCAGGCAGATGGCTTGAGACCGAGTTTGAGACCAGCTTGGCCAACATATGGAAATCCTGTCTCTACTAAAAATATAAAAATTAGCCAGGCGTGGTGGCGTGTGCCTGTAGTCCCAGCTACTCCAGAGGCTGAGGCACGAGAATCACTTGATCCCGGGAGGCACAGGTTGCTGTGAGCCGAGATTGCGCCACTGCATTCCAGCCTGGGCGACAGAGTGAGACTGTGTCTCAAAAAAAGATAAAAAATAACTGGAAGGAAGTTGAGCTCAGATCTGGTCTTTTCCAAAGGTCCATTATAGTCGTGACTACCTGTATATATAGACATAGGGGAGACAGGGATGAGAAACTGATGATAATGATAACAGTATTTATTAGTCACTTACTGCATTCTAGGCACTATTCGAAACAGTGTACATGGATTTATTCGAATTTTCAAGGTTTCCTGAGAGATTGTATGCAGACTTAAGATCTGTCTTGTTTAGTGTTATATTTATCTTTATTTATTTTTTCCCCTGCCCCCCCTTCTTTTTTTATTTTTTAAAAATTATTTTGATTTTTTACTAGAGACAAAGTCTCACACCATTGCCCAGGCTGGTCTTGAACTCCTGGCCTCAAGTGATCCTTCCACCTCAGCCTCCCAAAATAATGCTGGGATTACAGATGTGAGCCACCACGGCCAGCCCAGTGTTATATTTCTGATGCTTGGAATAGGACCTGTATGCAGTAGGTACTCAATATGTATATGAGTAATAGTGAGGACTTACTAGGTATCAGGCATTGTATTAATCCTCACAGTGACCCACATGAGATATTAGGATCATTATCTCCATTTCCAAAATAAGCAAACAGCAGTGGGGGTTCAATGATTTAAGCCAAGCTCACACAGCTAGGAAATATTCAAACTGAGATTCGAACCCAGGCAGTCGGGCACTAGTATTTGCATCCTTAACCATTGTCCTGCCTTGCTATTTGCTCCTTGATGCAAAACCCCTGTTTTTTGCTTGTTAAATCACATGGAGCCCGGTGCTGTGGCTCATGCCTGTAATCCCAGCACTTTGGGAGGCTGAGCCAGGAGGATCCCTTGAACTCAGCCTGGGCAACATAGCCAGACCCCATCTCTACTAAAAATTTTTGAAAAATCAGGCGAGTGTGGTGATGCGGGTCTATAGTCCCAGTTACTCAGGAGGCTGAGGCAGGAGTATCACTTGAGCCCGGGAGGTTAAGGTTGCAGTGAGCCATGATTGCACCACTGCACACCAGCCTGGGGAAAGAGTCAGAATGAGACCCTGACTCAAACAAAACAAAACAACAGCAACAAAAAAACTCACACGGAAGTATGTTTTCCTGTCTATCCTGTCTCCCTTGTCATAGGGAAGCCCTAAAGAAAATGAAGGATGTCTATGAGAAGACACCTCAGATGGGGGACCCCGCCAGCTTGGAGCCCCAGATCGCTGAAACCCTGAGCAACATTGAACGGCTGAAATTGGAAGTGCAGAAGTATGAGGTCAGGAAAGACCCTGGGGAGGGGCGGGAGCCAGCGGGCCTGGCTGAGTCACTGCTGGGTGGGGTGGGGGGTCGGGGACAGGGGAGGTGTTCGGAGCGGGGGGTCTCCAGCTGTTTTCCATCACAGCCTTGGCTGTGCGTGGGTGATCTCAGGGAACCTCTGGGTCCAAAGTGGGCTGACCCCGGAGCTCTGCCCTGGAACGATTTTCCTGTCCCCTCCTCCCAGGCGTGGCTGGCAGAAGCTGAAAGTCGAGTCCTTAGCAACCGGGGAGACAGCCTGAGCCGGCACGCCCGGCCTCCCGACCCCCCCGCTAGCGCCCCGCCAGACAGCAGCAGCAACAGCGCATCACAGGACACCAAGGAGAGGTGAGGGGTGACGTCAGAGTGGGTCTGTTCCCAGGGTCCCAGGAGGGCCTGTCTTTATCTGCCGAATTATCCCCAAACAGCTCTGAAGAGCCTCCCTCAGAAGAGAGCCAGGACACCCCCATTTACACGGAGTTTGATGAGGATTTCGAGGAGGAACCCACATCCCCCATAGGTCACTGTGTGGCCATCTACCACTTTGAAGGTGAGAACGGCCAGAGTGGGCTTGGCGGGGTATGGGAGGCAGTGTCTCTGGCTAGGTTCAGTTTAAATTCGCCTAAAGCAGGGCTGGGCGGGTGGCTCAGGCTTGTAATCCCAGCACTTTGGGAAGCTGAGGCAGGCAGATCACTTGAGGTCAAGAATTCCATACCAGCCTGGCGAACACGGTGAAACCCCATCTCTACTGAAAGTACAAAAATTAGCCAGGTGTGGTGGCGCACGCCTGTGATCCCAGCTACTCGGGAGGCTGAGGCAGGAGAATCCCTTGAACCTGGAGGCAGAGGTTGCAGGGAGCCAAGATCCGTGCCACTGCACTCCAGCCTGGGCGAGAGCGAGGCTCTGTCTCAAAAATAAAAAATAAAAATAATAAATTTTGCCTAAAGCAGATCTGGGCCCACCCCCACCCCCATCACAGGGTCCAGCGAGGGCACTATCTCTATGGCCGAGGGTGAAGACCTCAGTCTTATGGAAGAAGACAAAGGGGACGGCTGGACCCGGGTCAGGCGGAAAGAGGGAGGCGAGGGCTACGTGCCCACCTCCTACCTCCGAGTCACGCTCAATTGAACCCTGCCAGAGACGGGAAGAGGGGGGCTGTCGGCTGCTGCTTCTGGGCCACGGGGAGCCCCAGGACCTATGCACTTTATTTCTGACCCCGTGGCTTCGGCTGAGACCTGTGTAACCTGCTGCCCCCTCCACCCCCAACCCAGTCCTACCTGTCACACCGGACGGACCCGCTGTGCCTTCTACCATCGTTCCACCATTGATGTACATACTCATGTTTTACATCTTTTCTTTCTGCCGCTCGGCTCCGGCCATTTTGTTTTATACAAAAATGGGAAAAAAAAAAAAGAAATTATATAAAGTTCCTAGAGTCGGTGTCTTATTAGAGGATTTAAATACTGGGACTGGAAGTATCTAACACCACGTTTCTTACAGGCCACACAGGGAATGAGGAAGGGGAGGTGATCTTGGGCACACCTTGGGTCAACCCTGCCCCTTTCTGGAAGTTGGCCTATGTCATTGTCAGTGGGTGTCTGCTTGTGACTCAGGTAGGGAGAAGGATACCAAGTTTCTTTTTTTTTTCTTTTTGAGACAGTCTCACCCAGTTGCCCAGGCTGGAGTGCAGTGGCGTACGTGATCTCAGCTCACTGCAGACTCCATCTCCCGAGTTCAAGCAATTCTGCCTCAGCCTCCCAAGTAGCTGGGATTACAGGCACACACCATCATGCCCAGCTAATTTTTGTATTTTTTGTAGAGACAGGGTTTTGCCATGTTGGCCAGGCTGGTCTTGAACTCCTGACCTCAAGTGATCCATCTGCCTCGGCCTCCTAAAGTGCTGGGATTATGGCGTGAGCCACCGCACCTGGCCAGGACACCCAAGTTTCATCCCTTCTGAATGCACTGCAGCTTCTGAGAATGGGTAGCACTTATTGAAGACCTACTGTGTGCCAGGCATTCTCCACCTGGGGTCTCATTCCTGGCCACAATTCTTAGAAAGTACACAGCCTCAACTTTTACATTTTTTAAAAGTTTTTTATTTTTCAGTTTTTGTAGAGATGAGGTCTCACCATGTTGCCCTGGCTGGTCTTGAACTCCTGGCCTCAAGCCTTCCTTCCGCCTCGGCCTCCCAAAGTGCTGAGATTACAGGCCTGAGCTGCTGTATGGCTATGATTTTGTTAAAGGCCGACACAGAGGTGAAGTCAACTGCTAGAAATCACGGCTTTTAAGAGGTGGAGTCACATTTGAACTCTGGCCTCTGATGCCAGATCTGCAGGTCACATGTTCACCATGGTCCAGGTGACCCTGACTGCGGTCCCCACCTCTTCTGTGAGGCACAGGGCAGGATTCCACCTGAGGCGCGAGGAGCCTGGGACGACTCCTTTGGTCTCTTCTGGGGTTCGCAAAAACCTGGGGGTCCCGGGTGTGAAGAAGGGTGTCTGCGCTCTCAGCGGTCAGGCTCCAGGCGCTGCGACAGGACGCCGAGGACGCGCTGGAACTTCTCAAAGCGTTCAGCGCGCGGAGCTCCCGCGCCCCGGCTACCCCAGAGCAGCCTCCGCACGAAGCCGGTGGTCAGGGCCTCCCTCAGCTCCGGGTTAGGCCGGAATCCTGGAAGCAAGGTCAGGTGGGCTGGGGGCGGGGCCCAGGCGCCCGCCTCGCCCCTCCCAACCTCCCGGCACCTTCCTTTCCCCAGAGGACTTTGACCCAACAGGGGCCCGGGAGGGACCTGCCCCACCTGCGGGATGACTAGGCGGGGTCAGAGGGGAGGGGGCTTCCAGCTCTCTGCAGGAATGGGGGTGGGGTGCCTGAGGGGCTCTACCGCAGTGCAATGGGGTGGCCTGTTCCAGGTGCCAGATCCTGGAGGTCCCGCCTTAGGGGCTGTGCCTGGACGTGGGGCTGCCCCGAGGACGGGATCCCAGGTTGTCGGGGAAGGTGGGGGGATCTTGCCGGGTGGGCTGCCCTAGGATAGGACGGAGGAGTCGTTTTGGAGGGAGCAGGGCGTTCTTGGGGATCGAGATCCCTGGGGGACGGGATCGTCTTAGGTGGGAAGGGGGAGTGGGGACCCGCGGAGGTGGCTCTGGGGGCAGGACAGCCCGTTTTGAGGTGGACGGCCCTGTTCCTATCAATACCGCTGGATGCAGCGTTTGCTTGGGGTGAGAACCTTCCTGGAGTGGAGCCGTCCCAGTTTGGGTGGGGCTCCGGGAGGCGTGGCGAGAGGCTCCCCTCCTGGGACAGGCTGGGTTTGGGGGATCCGGTTAGAACCTGCAGGGTGCTCTGAAGTCTGCAGTCCAGCGCAGAGGGAACGCTCACCTCGCAGGCGCTGGGCTGCCACCTTGCGGAATTTGGGTGCGTCCCGGACCATGTGACGCGCCCCGTGCAGGGTGCGCAACAGCCGCTCACAGCTCTCGTCCAGCGGCCCCGCGACTTCCTCGCCCTCCAGTAGGCGAACCATGGGTGCCACGTGCGGCAGCGCCACCTCGCCGGGGTCGCAGGGTCCTGCGGAGGGGGAGGGTCTGATCAGGGTTTGGGGCTGTAGATGGGGCATAGGGCAGAGGTGGAACCTAGGACAAATGCAGGGGCGGGGCTTAGGACTGAGCGACAGCGGGGTCTGTGGAGAGGGGCCAGGACCACACGCCCCGTATGGAGGGCGGGGCCTATGGCGAAGGGGCGTAGCCTAGGGAAAGGGGCTGGGACCAAGGCTGGTGGGGGCGTGGCCTAGGAACAAGTCTCGTGTGGAGGGCGGGGCCTAGGGAAAGGGCCAGGACCAACCCTCATGTGGAGGGCGGGGCCTATGGTGAAGGGACCGGGCCTAGAACAGATGCAGGGACTGGGCATAGGACTAGATTGAGTCCTGTTAAATTTGGTCTGGGCCCCCAGGGGATGCTAAGCCCCAGACCTTCACTTACCAGCGCCCTCATCCAGAGCCCGCATCAGCGGCTTCAGCTCCTGCTCAAAGGCCAGCGCAGCCTCCGTGTGGCTCCTTCGGAGCTGGCGCCACGTGTGCTCCAACCGGGACACCTGGGAGAAGAGATCTGAGCACGCCTCCTCTCCAGTCTTCCCAGTCACCCGCACTCCAGCTTCCTCCAGTCCCTGCTCCCCACGAACCTGGGGCATGAGCAGGGCGCCCATGACTGCAGCCAGCCCGGGCAGGTCCCCCGCCGCCCCTGGCCGCAGCGCCAGCGCCAGCTCTACCAGTCCCCTCAGTGCGGCTGCGCGCTCCTCCAGCGGCCCCGAGCAGCCCAGCACCGCCAGCGCCCCGGCCAGCGCCAGTGTCTGATGCCTGCAGAGGTGGAGGGCAAGGGTCTGGGGGAAGTGGGGAGGTTTGTAATGCAGGGGTGAGGGGGGACAGGAGGTGGCATTGCCCCATCTCCCTTCTTCCCTGGGGAACCATGAGTGGGGAGCTGTTTGGAGATCTTGGGAAGTGGGGGGAATTGGCCTCCCCCAACCAAGATTACAAGCTGCTGGCTCACCTCTCCAGCAGTTCCAACCTCAAGTGGTGTCCATGGGGAAGAGTGAGCAGCTCCAGGCCAGATGAGACTCCCATGTTGCCCCGCTGATCTCTGGTCACTCCCAGGAGGCCTGTGGCCTGCAGAAGGGAATGGGGAAGTCAGGTGAAGCGTGATTATGTAGGCATGGTTGGGTCTTGCCCTGGGCCTGGGGAGGAGCATCCCAGGAGGTGACCCACCTGGCAGTCTACCAATAGCAGGTGAAGGGCGGTGCTCCCAGGATGGTGCTCCAGGAACAGGCCACGGAGGGTATGCAGGACTTGGGGTTCCAGGGGCCGATTCTGGGGGCCCAGCAGGCAGGAGGGGGCATCATGGGGGCAGAAAGAGATCTCAGCCTGTGGTCTTGTAAAACATCTATTCTCTTCCTCCTCATCCTCCTCGGCCTCCCACCATGGGGCCTCTGGCTCTGGGCAGCTTTGGCTCGGGGATGTTCCCTGGACACTGGGCACTCGGGGCACCAGCTCGCAGTACGTCGGGGGACGTTCAGAGGCATCAGGCAGTTCGAAGGAGGGTGTCCGGGGGGGCTTCGTTGGTGCCTTGGCTTGAAGCTGCCCATCGGAGGCCCTGAGACTGTCGGCAACAGTTCCCAGGGGAGCAGGGGCCTTCAGCAACACCGGGTCACTGCTCGTTCGGGGCAAGGCAGATATGGGCATGGTGGAGGCTTCTAGAGGTCATACAAGAGGGGTCAATGGGAATACACAGGGAAGATTGCTGAATGGGCGGGGGTGAGAGCTTCATCGGCTACCACCCACCTGATCCATCCACTCATTCCAATAATGGGGTATAACAACCTATCCGGGTGCAGTTTTGAATTTCAACCACCTCGACGGTAGAAATGCTACATGCTTACACATGGTTAGAAAACTTTAGCATCTCTATAGTTCTGTAAATTATTTTTTTTTAATTTTATTTTATTTTATAGAGATGGGATCTCACTGTGTTGCCCAGGCTGGTCTGGAATTCCTAGTCTCAAGCAATCCTCCCTCCTCGGCCTCCCAAACTGCTGGGATCACAGGCATGAGCCACCTTGCCTGACCCTATGAATTCTGAATACTACATTTTAAATTTGAATTCTTTGTTTTTGCCCCTCTGACTGAAAGATGGTAAGCAGTGACCCAACGAAATTAAAAATTTTTTTAAAAAAAGGATGAGCGTGGTGGCCGACGCCTGTAATCTCAGCATTTTGGGAGGCCAAGGTGAGAGGATTGCTTGAGGCTAGGGATTCCAGACCAGCCTGGGCAACATAACAAGATCTTGTTTCTACAAAAAGTTAGAAAATTAGCTGGGCATGGTGGCATGCACCTGTGGTCCCAGCTACTTGGGAGGCAGAGGTGGGAGGATCACTTGAGCCAGAGGCTGCAGTGAGGTATGACTGCACCACTGCACTCCAGCTTGGATGACAGAGTAAGACCCTGTCTCAAAAAAAAAAAAAAGATATCTATCTATCTACAATTAAGTGATATATCTCTCTATATCATATCTATAGAGATAGATATATATTATATAAATATATAATATATATTTAAATTAAGTATATGTTAAATAAAATTAACATTATTAAATGTATAATGTTGCCCTATATACTACATATAATTACATTTATATATGATAGATATTTTACTTTTTTTGTGATAATATATCTCTCCATAGACATATCTATATAAAATATATACAATTAATATAGATATCTATAGAGAGACAAAGTATAAAAAATTCACAAAGCTGCGTATGGTATGACACTCAGATAAGTGTCAAAGAAACCAAGCTTATTAAACTTTCTTTTCTTTTTTTTCTTTTTTATTTCTTCTTAAAAAAAAAGATACATGTGCAGAATGTGCAGGTTCAGTATCTGTGTGCCATGGTGGTTTGCTGCACCTACTGACCCCTCCTCTAAGTTCCCTCCCCTCATCGTAAACTTTCAAATGACGTCCTTTGTAAGTTGGTGGCATGTTGATCTCCTGGACTATTAGTACTTAAAACTGTACTAAGACTTTTGGGAGACTGTATTTACCATGCCTTTGAATAGGCTCTTTTCTAGGAACTTGAAATCATCCAACAGTGCCTGGCTCACTCTGAGTTAAGGTCCAAAGTGCTCACAGTAGCTGAAAAATCCTCACAATCTGAGCCCCAGGGTCTCTCTCTCTGACTCTCCCCTCATTCCCTCTGCTTCAGCTACACTCGTGTGTCCCTCCTTCCCTCCCTCCCTTCGTTCCTTCCTTCCTTCCTTTCTTTTCTTTCTTGACGGAGTCTCACTCTGTCACCAGGCTACAGTGCAGTGGCGCCATCTCGGCTTATTGCAACCTCTGCCTCCCGGGTTCAAGTGATTCTCCTGCTTCAGCCTCCCGAGTAGCTGGGACCACAGGCGCCACCACACCCAGCTAATTTTTGTATTTTTAGTAGACACGGGGTTTCACCATGTTGGCCAGGATGGTCTTGATCTCTTGACCTCGTGATCCGCCCGCTTTGGCCTCCCAAAGTGCTGGGATTACAGGCTTGTAATTTCTGGACTATTAGTACTTAAAACTGTACTAAGACTTTTGGGAGACTGTATTTACCATGCCTTTGAATAGGCTCAACCTGCACATTCTGCACGTGTATCTTTTTTTTTTTTTTTTTAAGAAGAAATTGAGCCATTGCACCCAGCCCTTTCTTTTCTTCTTCTTTTTTTTTTTTTTTTTAAATTTGAGTCAGGGTCTCACTCTGTGGCCCAGGCTGGAGTGCAATGGTGCGATCACGGCTCACTGCAGCCTTGACTTTCTGGGTTCAAGGAGTCCTCCTGCTTCAACCTCCCAAGTGGCTAGGACCACAGGCGTGCAACACCACACCCAGCTACCCACTCATTTTTTGGTTGAATGAACAGCTTAAATTCTTGTTCTGACCCAAGAGCCTTTGCACTGCCTCTTCCTCCTGCCTGCTTATCCCCCAGTTATCCACCTGTTCCCTCCCTCATTTCCTTCAATTTTATTTTTTTCTGCAATGGGGCCTTTCCTGACTACCACTTAAAATTGCTTGCTTGGGTACAATGGCTCACGCCTGTAATCCCAGCACTTTGGGAGGTTGAGGTGGGTGGATCACCTGAGGTCAGGAGTTCGAGACCAGCCTGACCAACATGGGGAAACCCCATCTCCACTAAAAATACAAAATTAGCAGGGCGTGGTGCACATGCCTGTAATCCCAGCTACTCGGGAGGCTGAGGCAGGAGAATCACTTGAACCCAGGAGGTGGAGGTTGCAGTGAGCCGGTATCACGCCATTGCACTCCATCCTGGGCAACAAGAGCAAAACTCTATCTCAAAAATAAATAAATAAATAGAAATAAAATAAAATTGCAATATACATCTCCATCTTTATAGTCTCTATCTCCCTTACTCTGTTTTTTTTGTTTTGTTTTGTTTTTGTTTTTTCGGTTTTTTTGAGACAGTCTCACTCTGTCCCAAGTAGCTTGGATTACAGGCATATGCCACTACACCTGGCTAATTTTTGTATTTTATTTTATTTTATTTTTTTTTAGTAGAGATGGGTTTTCACCATGTTGGCCAGGCTGGTCTCGAACTCCTGACCTCAAGTGATCCGCCCACCTTGGCCTCCCAAAGTGCTAGGATTACAGACCTGAGCCACCTCACCCTTCCCTTACTGTTTTTTGTTTGTTTGTTTGTTTTTTGAGACAGAGTCTCACTCTGTTGTCCAGGCTGGAGTGCAGTGGTGCAATCTTGGCTCACGGCAACCTCTGCCTCCCGGGTTCAAGCAATTCTCGTGCCTCAGCCTCCCGAGTCTCCCGAGTAGCTGGGATTACAGGTGTGTACCACCACGCCCGGCTAATTTTTGTAGTTTTAGTAGAGACGGGGTTTCGCCATGTTGGCCAGGCTGGTCTCGAACTCCTGACTTTAGGTGATCCGCCCGCCTTGGCCTTCCAAAGTGCTGGGATTACAGGCCTGAGCCACTGTGCCTGGCCTTCCCTTCCTGTGTTTTAATTTTCATCTTGAAGCAAACAAAATTGCCTTATTTTTGTGGTTCATGGTTTGTTGTCCTCTCGTGGACTGTTGGCTCCCATCGGGCAGGGATCTTTGTCTCTTTCTGGTTTGTTGATGTATCCTAGCACTCCGTGCAGGGCCTGGGATGCAGGGACGGCTCATGTTGAATGGGGTTGGGAGAAGGATGGGAAAAAAGGGGCATGAGGGGGCATTCAGGTGAGTCCTCCTTTAGGTAAGACCGTCAGACTCAACTGCTTTGAGGAACTTACCCTGGATGGAGAGGAGCCACTCAGGAAAAAATTAGGGGAATGAGAATGTTCCCGTCACTGGTGGAAATGTAAAATGCAAAGGCCCCGAGGCGGGAATAAAAGCCTGAGGGTTCGAACAACTGCAAGGAGGGCTGTGTGACCAGCATGAGGAGGGTACGTAGCAGAAGTTGTTAGCAAGGTAAGCTGTGGTCAGAACAGGTACAGCTCCTTGGAATAATTGTAAACACTTTTTTTTTTTTTTGAGATGGAGTTTTGTTCTGTCACCCAGTCTGGAGTGCGGTAGCGCCATCTCGGCTCACTGCAACCTCCACCTCCCAGGTTCAAGCGATTCTCCTGCCGCAGCCTCCAGAGTAGCTGGGATTACAGGTGCGTGCCACCACGCTCGGCTAATTTTGTGTTTTTAGTGGAGATGGGGTTTCACCATGTTGGCAAGGCTGGTCTCGAATTCCTGACCTCAAGTGATCCACCGGCCTCGGCCTCCCAAAGTGCTGGGATTACAGGCATGAGCCACCGCGCTCAGCCTTGTAAACACACATTTTAAGCACCCACAAAGTCCCTGCATGTTTTAAGTCATCGTGATTGTCATCATTTTCTAAAGCAAGAAATTGAGGCTCGAAGAGGTGCCTGCACCTGACCAAGATCTCTTAGGTGGTGAGTGGCAGAGCCAATCCCTGAGCCACAGGCCATTCTAGCAGACACTTACCCATCCCAGCGGGGTCTTCTCTTGACCGCCCCATATGTGCCAAATCTGCAGGCTGACTGTTGCTCCACTTCCTTGCCCTGGGGGACAGAAGTGGGAGAAACCTGTAGTCCCCACCTAAGCAGTGTCCCCCACCAATATCTGCAAAACCCTGTGTCCAGTTACTCTGTACCAGTGAGTCTCAACCAATCAAGGTGACCTACGTCCAGGGGACTCTTAGCAACGTGTGGAGACATCTTTAGTTGTCACAACTAGTAGCATCTAGTTGGATGGAGCTCAGGAATGCTGCTCAGCACCCTATGATGCACAGGACATCTCCACCTCCTCCCCCACAACTAAGAATGTTCGGGCCTCAAAAGTCAACCAAGGCCGGGTGCGGTGGCTCACACCTGTAATCCCAGCACTATGGGAGGCTGAGGCGGGCGGTCACGTGAGGTCAAAAGTTCAAGACCAGCCAGGCCAACATGGTGAAACCCTGTCTCTACTAAAAATACAAAAAATTAGCCAGGCGTGGTGGCTCATGCCTGTAATCCCAGCACTTTGGGAGGCCGAGGCGGGTGGATCACTTGAGGTCAGGAGTTTGAGACCAGCCTGGCCAACATGGTGAAACCCCGTCTCTACTAAAAATACAAAAAATTAGCCAGGCATGGTGGTGCACGCCTGTAATCCCAGCTACTCGGGAAGCTGAGACAGGAGAATTGCTTGAACCCGGGAGGCGGAGGTTGCAGTGGGCTGAGATCGTGCCATTGCACTCCAGCCTGGGCAACAGAGTGAGACTTCGACTCCAGAGAAAAATAAAAAATAAAAAAGTAAAAAAATTAGCTGGGCGTGGTGGTGCACTCCTGTAATCCCAGCTACTCTGGAGGCTGAGGCAGGAGAATCGCTTGAACCTGAGAGGTGGAGGTTGCAGTGAGCTGAAATCATGCCACTGCACTCCAGCCTGGGCAACAGAGTGAGACTCAGTCAAAAAAAAAAAAAGTCAACCATTGAGTTGGAAAACCCTGCGAGTGTTGGGTGTTCTCAAGGAGGCAGGGAGACTGTGAGTACCTGAGAGGCTCTATCCGAGCTGGGCCATCCATCAGGGTGTCCTCGCTAAAGCTGCGTCGCAGAGGCCCCTGCCAAGTCACAGGCCTGGAGACCACAGCCCCTGTGGCCTGGGACAGTGGGCGCCTGCCTGTCATATAACTGTGAACCAGAGCCGGTATGCTGGGGAATTGCTCATCCTCCAGTTGAAAGAGGGCTGTGGGTCGGCCTGGCCGGGGACGCAGGGCCACACGGAACACCTCAAAATGGAGGGCTGAGCCCCGCCAGCGGCAGGAGATCACGGGGTTGCCCCCACGGGACCCAGAGGCGCGAACCAGGAAGTCGCCATTTTGCTGAAGAAGAGCTTCAGCCTTCTGTGGATGAAGTTCAGGGGGCAGGGGAATTAGGAATGAGTCCAGGGCAGTGGTTAATGGTAGCTCCCCCCACCATTGCCCCCACCACCCAAGAAAAGCTACCCCAGTGAAACTTCTGTGGCAGGCAAAGACGGGGAACTTTCACACCAAGTTCTGTCCCCCTTTCTCCTGGCACCTACGTAGACTACATTTCCCAGGTTCCCTTGCGGCTAGGGTTGTCATGTGATGAGAACTGGCCAATGGGATGTGGGGTAGAAGGGCTATGGGAAATATCCAGACCTGGCGCATAAAACCCTGCTGCACAATCTTATAGGTTGTGTCCCCTGTCTGTCAGCTGATATCCCCCAAAGCCCAGAGGGATGACAGAGCTACAAGATGCACTTGGCTCCCAACTGATTTATGGAGCTTTGCATCTCTGCTTCTCAACCACCTTGGACTATGACATTAACATGTTGACTGTGTTTAGCTGGTGATATCTTGGGAATGTTTGTTACAGCCACTAGCTGATGCTGACCAATGCAACATCTAATTTGGTAAATGCACTGTGCTTGTTATGCAAATGTGGCTTCAAGAGAAGCCATTAGCTGGATGCTTCCAGATTGGGGCCCCCTCTTTTATAAACATTTGCAAGCAGTCTTATGCCAGCTGTGGTGGCTGGTGTCAAAATAGGGTAGGAAGGGTGGGGCACAGTGGCTCACACCTGTAATCCCAGCACTTTGGGAGGCTGAGGTAGGCAGATCACTTGAGATCAGGAGTTTGAGACCAGCCTGGGCAACATGGCAAAACCCTGTCTCTACCAAAAAATATAAAAATTAGCTGAGCGTGGTGGTGTGCACCTGTCATTCCAGCTACTCAGGAGGCTGAGGTGGGAGAATCGCTTGAACCCAGGAGGCAGAGGTTGCAGTGAGCCGAGATGGAGCCATTGCACTCCAGCATGGGTGACAGAGTGAGATCATGTCTCAAAAACAAAAAAAAAACAAAAAAAAAAACAAAAAAAAGGCTTGGGGAGGCAGGTAGAAGGGCCAGGACCCCAGAGAGAGGCAAAGTAGAGCTGAACATGGGGTCTGGGGACTAAATAATAGATGTAGCAGACACACGTGTGTAGCCCTTACTATATGTCAAGCACTGCTTTAAATGTAAAGGGTGTTAACTCTTGTAATTCCTGTAACAAGGGTGGTAGGTATTATTATACCTTTTTTTGTTGTTGTTCTTTGGGACGGAGTTTCACTCTTGTTGCTCAGGCTGGAGTGCAATGGCACAATCTCGGCTCACTGCAACCTCTGCCTCCTGGGTTCAAGCGATTCTGCTGTCTCAGCCTCCCGAGTAGCTGGGATTACAGGTGCATGCCACCATGCCTGGCTACTTTTTTGTATTTTTAGTAGAGAGGGGGTTTCATCATATAGGTCAGGCTGGTCTCGAACTCCTGACTTCAGGTGATCTACCCACCTCGGCCTCCCAAAGTGCTAGGATTACAGGCATGAGTCACCATGCCCGGCCCATTTTTTTCTTCCGGCCTTTTTTTTTTTTTTTTTTTTTTGAGTCAAGGTCTCTCTCGATTGCCCAGGCTGAGTGCAGTGGAGCACTCATGGCTCACTCACAGCCTTGACCTCCTGGGCTTAAGCAATCCTCCCATCTCAGCCTCCTGAGTAGTTGGGACAACAGGTACATGCCACCCATGCCTGGATAATTTTCGCTTTTTTTTTTTTTTTTGTGTAGAGACAGAGTTCTGCTATGTTGCCCAGACTGGTTTGGAACTCCTGACCTCAAGTGATCCTCCTGCCTCAGCCTCCCAAAGTGCTGGGATTACAGGCATGAGCCAACATGCCTGGCCTGCTATCCCTATGTTAAAGATCGGGAGACTGAGGCCCAGAGAGGTCAAATGTCCTGCCCAAGGTCACATACAATATAAATTGTAGGGTTTGGATTTGAACCTAGGGTGTCTGGGTCTCAATTATGGGATTTTAACTATTAAGTTCTACTGCCTCTCATGATTTCATGAGATGCTCAGGGTCCCAGAATTTTTGGGGGTGACAACTGAGTTTCAGATGGAGGTGGGAGCCTCAGATTTATTTGTTTGTTTATTTATTTATGTTTTTGACAGAGTCTCGCTCTGTTACCCAGTCTGGAGTGCAGTGGCACAATTGTGGCTCACTACAACCTCTGCCTCCTGGGTTCAAGAGATTCTCCTGCCTCAGCCTCCCAAGTAGCTGAGACTACAGGCGCATACCACCATGTCTGGCTAATTTTTGTATTTTTATTAGAGATGGGGTTTCACAATGTTGGCCAGGCTGGTCTTGAACTCCTGACTTCAAGTGATCCGCCCACCTCGGCCTTTCAAACTGTTGGGATTACAGGCGTGAGCCACCATGCCTGGCTTGGGAGCCTCACATTTAGAGGGAAATACCAGGAGGTAGATGGAGTTCAGAGGGAGAGACGGCCAGAGCCAAGAGTAGTTTGGGGGCATTAGGACTCTCCTTAAGCTCCATCACCAATCTCATCATCCCAAAGAAAGTGATAATTTAAATATAGTGACAGTCCCCAGCCAGCCAACCTTCAAGACAGTCCCCAGCCCTCTGCCACCTGTCCCAATAGACCTTGGCACTAAGTCCCTCATCCAGGGACCCAGGAATCCTCAGCAAGGGTGGGAGAGGCTCCCCACCAGATGGTGCTGAGGTCCTGCTGTGGGTGGTACCTGGCGGGACAGGAGGCCGTGGTACCAAGGTTGGCCAGCAAGGTCTTCTCCATCCTGTGGCACCTGCATGGAGCTCTTGGGAACAGAGGGTGCCAGGGCTGAGCTCTGCACTTTCAACAGGCCTCAGTCTTCCACATCTGTAAAAGGGGAATAATTAGCCCTGCTTGAGTGTCTGGGTCAGCTCCTTTCATCCTCTTCTTAATTTTGGAGACAGCTCCATCAAATCTTTTTTTTTTTTTTTTTTTTTTTTTGAGACAGAGTCTCATTCTATCACCCAGGCTGGAGTGCAATGGTGCGATCTTGGCTCACTGCAACCTCTGCCTCCCAGATTCAAGCGATTCTCCTGCCTCAGCCTCCCAAGTAGCTGGGATTACAGGCATGCACCACCACACCCAGCTAATGTTTTTTCTTTTTTTATATTTGTAGTAGAGACAGGGTTTCACTGTGTTCGCCAGGCTGGTCTTGAACTCCTGACCTCAGGTGATCCACCTGCCTCAGCCTCCCAAAGTGCTGGGATTACAGGCATAAGCCACTGCACGCAGACTTTTTTTTTTACATTTAAAGAGAGAGGTCTTATGTGTTGCCCAGGCTGGAGTGCAGTGCTATTCACAGGTGTGATCATAGCACACTTTAGCCTTGAATTCCTGGGCTCAAGGAATCCTCTAGCCTCAGCCTCCCAAGTAGTTGGGATTACAGATGTCACCATCGTGCCTGTTCCAAATATAATGCAATCGAAGAAAAAAAAAATGGCTGAAGATGACAACATGCCACCCCATCTTGCAGAAATGTAATTAATGAATTCACTGAACCCCTATTTATTCAGCACCTTATGGGGTCCCAGGCTCTGTTCTAGGCCCTAGAGACATAGCATTGAACAAAACAGATGGAAATCTCTGTCCTTGGGAGCTGACATTCTACTGGGGAGCAGCACCTCAGAAAAGAACTAGATGATGGCATACATGAGTGAGTGCTAGACAAAAAAACTAAACCATGGATGGGATATAATGAAAGTACAGGTGCTAGGGTGAACACTCTTTTTTTTTTGAGACAGAGTCTTGCTTTATTGCCCAGGCTGGACTGCAGTGGTGCAATCACAGCTCATTGCGGCCTTGACCTCCTGGGCTCAAGTGATTCTCCCACCTCATCCTTCTGAGTAGCTGGGACTATGAGCGTGGGCCACTGTACCTGGCTAATTTTTTTTTTTTTTTTTTTTTTTGAGATCAAGTCTCACTCTGTTGCCCAGGCTGGAGTGCAGTGGCATGATCTCAGTTCATTGCAACTTCCGCCTGCTGGTTTCAAGCAATTCTCGTGCATCGGCCTCCTCAGTAGCTGGGACTACAGGTGTGTGCCACCATGCCTGGCTAATTTTTAAAATATTTTTAATAGAGATGGGGTTTCTCCATGTTGGCCAGGCTGGTCTCGAACTCCTGACCTCAGGTGATCCACCCTCCTCAGCCTCCCAAAGCACTGGGATTACCAGCATGAGCCACTGCGTCTGGCTGTGCCTGGCTAATTTTTAAATATATATGTAGAGATTGGGTCTTGCCACGTTGCCCAGGCTGGGTGAACATTTTTGATCATGTGACCAGGAAAGGTCTCATTGAGTAAAGTCTGGAAGGAATTCTGGGGAGTGTGCCAGGTGACTCTGGGTGAAAAAACATCCCAGTCAGGGGGAATTTAACTTACAAACATCCATGGCTTCTCGGCAACCTATGCGCACACTCAGAGGTTCTCAGGATAGGTGCAGATCTAACCCCTATTCTTTGCTTTAGAATGCAACGCTGGGGGCCAGGCGCGGTGGCTCACTCTTGTAATCCTAGCACTTTGGGAGGCAGAGGTGGGTGGATCATCTGAGGTCAGGAGTTTGAGACCAGCCTGGTCAACACAGTGAAACCCCGTCTCTACTAAAAATACAAAAATTAGCCAGGCATGGTGGCGTGTGCCTGTAGTCCCAGCTACTCAGGAGGCTGAGGAGAGAGAATCGCTTGAATCCAGGAGGCAGACCCTGCAGTGAACCGAGATCACACCACTGCACTCCAGCCTGGGTGACAGAGCAAGACTCCGTCTCAAAAAAAAAAAAAAAAAAAAGAATGTAACCCCAGGGTTAAGATTTTTAAAAGGTCACATTTTGTAGCAATGTCAGCAAACAGCAATGTTGCCTTTGCAGATCCTTCTATTTCGGAGCCCATACATGTGGTTATCATGATGATTGAATTTGGATCTCAGACATTTTGGTAGTTTCCCGATAATCTCACAGGCCTCAGGGCCAGTGTGTCTCAGGTGTCTGGTGGGGGAGATTTCTCTGGATGGTCCAGAAGAAGATAATCTGCTTCTTACTCTCCTGCAAGCTCTCCCTGCAGCCCTGCAAAGTCTTCTGGTGGGGTCTGCAGAGAAATTCCTGCCTCCTGAGTCAGCAGGAAGTTCCCAGACCAGCCCTAGGTGGCTTTAGGGGAGGAGCGCTGGGCAGGGAGCCAGCTGCCAGTGCCGCATACCTGAAGCCAGGTGTGTCTTTGCAATGCCTGCGCACTTCCTGTTTGTCACCTGGACCAGGGCTAGCCTCGGTCGCAGAGTTTCCCAACCCCAAGTTCCTGTCTTGTGTCTCCCTTAGTGAGAGTGAAGTTGAGTCAATGGCAAGGTTCTGGTTAGTTTGAGGACACAGGGTGGCCATAGGTCAGCCAAAGGCCAACTAAGCCATCTCCTGCCTCTGAGTCCTTTGGGATCATTTATTCGGGCACGGAAGAGAAGAAACGGGCAGAATCAGGAATCAGACCAAGCATAGAGAGAGGAGAGAGGGGATTATTCATGTTCCAGTTGGATCATAAACATGTGTCCACGTGTGGGGAGGACGTGGAGGGTGGGAACCACCAGCACAGGCAACACAAACACAGATGTAGGCAGGACTCGCTTTTGACGTTGGACGACCATTGCTGGAGCACTTGCTGTGCACCAGGCTCTGTTCTAGGACCTAGAGATACAGTGACTAAGGAGATTAAAGCTCGGCACCACCCTGCCCTCCAGAGCTTGCAGTCGGCTGCGCAAGACAGACTGCAAACGAGCACAAGATGAATGGAGAAGACAGACCATTTCTAAGAGTTATCAATGAAAGTGATAAGCCAGGGAGATGTGATAGAGGAGGCTGGACAGGACAGCCTCTCCTATAAAGTGACATTGGAACTGAGACCTCAGTACAGAAGGAGGCAGTTAGGCAAAGATTTGGAGGAGTCGCCTGGGTGAGGGGTACAGTAAGGGTAAAGGCCTGGAGCTGAGATGGACTTGCTTTTTACATTTTACATCATCAAGGCGGCTGGTGTAGCCGGAATACGATGAGGAAGGAGTAGATAGGAGGGCAATGAGGTTGGAGAGATCAGGAGGAGAGACTAGGCAAAAACTAGTGGACTTTGAATTTTAATCTCTATGACCCAAGGGTTTTAAGTGAAGGAGGGGCCCGATCTGATTCGCCGTTTAAGAGGATCACTCAGGCAAAAATGGAAACAATGGCTTTCTGTGCTGCACAGGAAATACACTTAGAGAGGCACGCCCAGGTGAGCCCGAGCACACCGACACGCGTAACGCACAGCGACCCTCTCATTCGCGAGGCGACCTCTTCTACCCCAGATCCTCCCTGCGAGCCGGTGACCCCACCTGGAAAGAGAGGACTCCCCATCCCAATAATCCTGGTTCTGGATCTGCCCTGGGGCTCCACTCACCTGGGCAGGACCCGCGGGGCTCCCACGAGGCTGGGTCCAGGCGGAAGCTGAGGCTCCGCGGCTCCGGGCTGCTGTCACCCCCGCCCTCCACCTTGCCACCGCCCCAGCCTTCCCAGACCACACCTAGTGGGAACTCAGCCCAGTTACCTGACCACACCTCCTGCAGACCCCGCCCCCTGCGGGCCCCGCCTCAAACTAACTTCCCAGGCCCTTGCTCCGCCCCCTTAAAACCATTTTTTTTGCTACTAGCCACGCCTCCTTCTGCATCGCACCGCTTTCTCCATAGACCCCGCCCACTAGGGGAGCACCACGCATCCTTTCCTGCCAGTGGCCCCTCCCCTTGTATATAGCCACGACCACCGCCGAATGACTACGCCCACCCGCAGCCACCTCCTTCTCAGCCCCGCCCCTTAGGGCAATAGAAGAAATTTCATCCCAACGTTCCCGCCCCTTAGAACCCTGCCCCTCCCTTCCACCCAGGCGGCCCCAAGCACCCATGGCCCTTTGGGACCAGGGCGGGGTGGAGTGGGGTGCCTCTCTCCCCTCCCCGCCAAGGCTCCGGGTCAGGGCAGGGCAACTCCCTCGGGCTCTTACGCCAGGCTGGGGTAGCTGCGGCAGCTGTGACGTAAGGAGGGGTACGCTTCCTCCAGACCGCCCTCCCGGATTTTCCGGAAAGAAGCCCCATTTAGGTGGCGGGTTTTGTGGAGAGACGTCCGGGAAAACGCGACAGCTTCCTTCAGTGACAGCACGCTGGAGCGGGGCGGGACTTTGGTGGAGGTGGAAGGCAAATCATTCAGGTGGTTTCCCAGGTGGGAAGAAGGGTGGGGGGGACTTCCATCGTGATGCCTGGAGACGAACAAGAGAAAAGGTGACAGGGACCTAGTGCAAGAGAGAGGACTCTTTGGCCACGTTTATTGATGAGTTCCTCATATTAACATCAGTCTTGTCTTGTAGAGACAGGGTCTTGCTATATTGCCCAGGCCGGAGTGCAGTGGTGATCATAGCTCACTGTAGCCTCAACCTCCTGGGCTTAAGCTATCCTCCCGCTTCAGCCTTCCAAGCAGCTGAGACTAAAGGTGCACACCACCACACCCAGCTGATTTTATTTTATTTTTTGTAGATGTGGCGTCTTACTATGCTGCCCAGGCTCTGGAACTCCTGGGCTCATGCGAACTTCCTGCCTTGGCCTCCCAGAGCGCTGAGATTACAAGCAAGCATGAACCACTGTGCTTGGCCCCAGTAACCACAGTCTTAAAAGCAGTAGCAGCAGCTAACATTTATTGAGCACTTACTGTACACAAGGGCTGTTCTGTCAACTTGCCTTTATTTTATTTTATTTTATTTTTTGAGATGGAGTTTCACTCTCGTTGCCCAGACTGGAGTGCAGTGGCAGCAGTCTCAGCTCACTGCAACCTCCACCTCCCCGGTTCAAGCGATTCTCCGGCTGTAGACTCCCGAGTAGCTGGGATTACAGGCTAATTTTTGTATTTTTAGTAGAGATGGGGTCTCGGCCAGACTGGTCTCAAACTCCTGACCTCATGTGATCCACCTGCCTCGGCCTCCCAAAGTGCTGGGGTTACAGGCATGAGGCCTCTATTTTAATTTTCAAACAGACCACCCTGTAAGGGTGGTAGGTAGTATTTTCATCACTTCCATTTTCCAGATGGAGAAACTGAGGCACAGGGCAACTAAACCATTTGCCCAAGTTAACCTGGCTTGTAAGTGGTAGAGGCGAAATTCAAACCCGGAGCTCTGGAGCTTTATCCTGTCTGCCTCCTTTTCAATCTTCGCATGCCCACTTTCTCCACGATGCTGCTTTGCGGTGAAAGTTACTCACCCACCATTTTACAGATGAGGAAATTGAGGCCTAGAGGGCCAACGATGCTTGGGGATGAAAAGTTTTGATGCCTGTAGGTTGCAAAGCAGGGAATTTCCAGACTGGGCTCCCCCGACTGGCCCTGGCAAATATGGAAGAGACTCCAGGCTCAAGAGGGGAAGAAAGTTTCTTCCTTATCCCTCACCGGTCTGGTATTGGTACAGTCAGAGGGTAGGGGCATGTTCAGGGAAGGGGTCTAGCGCCTCCTCGTGGTTATAATAATTTAAAAAGAGGGCCCAGCACTTTGGGAGGCCGAGGTGGGCAGATCACCTGAGGTCAGGAGTTCCAGACCAGCCTGACCAACATGGTGAAACCCTGTCTCCACTAAATACAAAATTAGCTGGGTGTGGTGGAATGCACCTGTAATCCCAGCTACTGGGGAGGCTGAGGAAGGAGAATCACTTGAACCTGGGAGGCGGAGGTTGCTGTGAGCAGATTAGCTGTGTGTGGTGGCATGCACCTGTAATCCCGGCTACTAGGGAGGCTGAGGAAGGAGAATCACTTGAACCTGGGAGGCAGAGGTTGCTGTGGGCAGAGATTGCACCATTGCACTCTAGCCTGGGCAACCAGAGTGAAACTTTCTCCTAAGAATAATAATAACGATAATTTAAAAAGAAACTCCATGATGAGGGCCACGTATTAGGTGGACGGGGGAGGGCCTGCTTACACTCTACTGGGGTGGAAGCTAGGGATGGGGGCAGAGAGACCTAATCTCATGAAGATGATTTCAGCTAATGATAAGGTAATGGCCGGGAAGCCAGTAAATGTTTGTTGAATGAGTTAATGAAAGACACTATTGGGCCTGGCACAGTGGCTCGTGCCTGTAATCCCAGCACTTTGGGAGGCTGAGGCAGGTGGATCACTTGAGGCCAGGAGTTTGAGACCAGCCTGGGCCACATGGCGAAACCCTGTCTCTACTGAAAATACAAAAATTTAGCCACGCATGGTGACACCTATAATCCCAGCTACTCGGGAGGCTGAGGCAGGAGAATCACTTGAATCTGGGAGGCAGAGGTTGCAATGAGCCGAGATTGCGCCACTACACTCCAGCCTGGTCCATAGAGCAAGACAAAAAAAAAAAAAAAAAAAGACACTATTGTAGTCTATAAGGAGAGGGATGATGGTGGCTTGGATTTGGGTGGTGACCATGGACATGGTGATAAAGGGATGGATTTGGGATAAATGTCAGGTGCAGTCAATAGAGCTTTCAATTATTTATTCATTCAACAGGTATTTAAGGGGCATGCCTATGTGTCAGGTGCTGCATAAGAGAGGGGTCAGTAGTGAACCAAAGAAACATAAATTCTTGAACAGACAATAAAGAAACAATGATGAGCGGGTGCCATGGCCCACGTCTGTAATCCCAGTACTTTGGGAAGCCGAGGTGGGAGGATTGCTTGAGGCCAGGAGTTCAAGACCAGCCTGGGCAACATAGTAAAAGCCCCTCTCTGCAAAAAAATTTAAAATTAGCCAGGCACAGTGGCACAAGCCTGTAGTTCCAGCTACTTGGGAGGCTGAGGCGGGAGGATCACTTGAGCCCAGGAGTTTGAGGCTGCAGTGAGCTATGATCATGCCACTGAACTCCAGCCTGGATGACAGAAGAAAGAGCCTGGGCACAGTGACTCAAGCCTGTAATCCCAGCACTTTGGAAGACCAAGGCGGGCAGATCACTTGAGGTCAGGAGTTTGAGACCAGCCTGGCCAACATGCTGAAACCCTGTCTCTGTGAAAATACAAAAATTACCTGGGCATGGTGGCAGGTGCCAGTAATCCCAGCTGCCTGGGAGGCTGAGGTCAGGGAAAACCTGGGAGGCAGAGCTTGCAGTGAGCTGAGATCATGCCACTGCACTCCAGCCTGGGTGACAGAATGAGACCCTGTCAAAAAAAAAAAAAAAAAAAAAAAAAAAAAGCCGGGCGCGGTGGCTCACGCCTGTAATCCCAGCACTTTGGGAGGCTGAGGCAGGTGGATCACCTGAGGTCAGGAGTTCGAGACCAGCCTGACCAACATGGAGAAACCCTGTCTCTACTAAAAATACAAAATTAGCTGGGCGTGGTGATGCATGCCCGTAATCTCAGCTACTTGGGAAGCTGAGACAGGAGAATCGCTTGAACCCAGGAGGCAGAGGTTGTGGTGAGCTGATCACACCACTGCACTCTAGCCTGGGCAACGAGAGTGAAACTCCGTCTCAAAAGAAAAAAAAAGAAGAAAGAAGCCTGGCGCGGTGGCTCACGCCTGTAATCCCAGCACTTTGGGAGGCTGAGGCGGGCGGATCATGAGATCGGGAGATCGAGACCACGATGAAACCCTGTCTCTACTAAAAATACAAAAAATTAGCCAGACGCGGTGGCGGACGCCTGTAGTCCCAGCTACTCAGGAGGCTGAGGCAGGAGAATGGCGTGAACCCGGGAAGCGGAGCTTGCAGTGAACTGAGATTGCGCCACCGCACTCCAGCCTGGGTGACAGAGTGAGACTCCGTCTCAAAAAAAAAAAAAGAAGAAAGAAACAAAGAGAGAAAGAAAGGAAAGAAAGAAAGGAAGGAAGGAAGGAAGGAAGGAAGGAAGGAAGAAAGGAAGGGAGGGAAAGAGGGAGAGAAAGGAAGGAAGGAAAAAAATAACTTAAAAAATCAGATTTGTTGGACAAAGATCAGGGCTTAACCTAGGGAGGTGGGTAGAGCTAATGGAATGCGGAAAAGGCTGTGATTTGAAATGAGGGGATTTAGGAAGACCTCATGAGAAGGTAGCATTTGAGCAAAGACATGTAGGGGTGAGGGAGCTAGCCATGAAGTTGCTTAAGGTGGAGGACACAGCCCGTGCAAAGGCCCTGGGGCAGGGCCGTATGTTCCTGGCATGTTGGAGGAAGAGCGAAGAGGCCCGTGTGGCTGGAGCACAGTGAAGAGGGGGAGAGAGGGAGTGGGGAGGGCAGGGAGGGAACTGGGCAATTCAAGCAGGGTTTTGTGGGCCTTGGGGAGGACTTGGGCTTGTCCCTGGAGGAAAGTGGGAGCCATAGAGAGTTGTGGGCAGAAGAAGGGTGTGCCCTGACTCAGATGCTCACAGGCAACCTCTGGTGGTGGCTGCAGGGAGGACAGACTGTGGGGTACGGGGGCTGGAGTCAGAAGACCAGCTGAGTGATGACGGGGCTGGACCAGACAGAGGAGGGGGTGAGAAGTGGGTGAATTCTGGGTATATTTCAGAGTGTCACTGCCGCCGTCTGCATATGGAGGAAGCTCACCCATCTCATAGTCTAGCTGGCCTGACTCCCCCAGCCCCCCAACTCCCCATGCCCAGGCCTGTGTCGAGTGGGCGGAAGAAAGAGATGTCAGATTCTGCATGGAAGGCGTGGGGTGGGGCTGGGCTGCAGGTGCTCCCCCAGCTCCCCCCCGCCCCATGGCTCCTCCTCCTCCACCCCCTCTCAGGGCGACAGTTACAGGCAAAGAAGAGGAAGTGGTAGCACTAGCTGTCGCTCCACAGGCGAGCAGGGCAGGCGTGCGGGCGGGTGGGTGGTGGAGGCTGCGAGGGTGCACGGCCGGCCCTGGGCAGGCGGTAGCCATGGAGCTGTGGCGCCAATGCACCCACTGGCTCATCCAGTGCCGGGTGCTGCCGCCCAGCCACCGCGTGACCTGGGATGGGGCTCAGGTGTGTGAACTGGCCCAGGCCCTCCGGGATGGTGTCCTTCTGTGTCAGCTGCTTAACAACCTGCTACCCCATGCCATCAACCTGCGTGAGGTCAACCTGCGCCCCCAGATGTCCCAGGTGAGCCCTCCGCGGGCAGGTGTGCTGAGGGTTGGAGACGGGGGTCCTCCCCGGGGCTGACAGTCGAGGGGCTGACGTGCTGCTCCACCTCTGGGCCTGCAAAGGAGAGGGAATATGCTTACAGGTCCAGGGCTGGCCCAGGGGGTGGTCACAATCTGAGATTCTGGGGTGGCCTCCCCAAGCTTAACAGGCTCCCTGTGTGGGTTCACGGGCCCTGAGTTGGCCCGCATCTGGGCTGAGAACTGGCAAACTAGGGGTTAACTCTCTCAAGCCCCAGGCGCCTCTACTGTGGTTCATGCCCCCAGATGGGACCAACCAGAGGTCTCGGGGGAGCTCCCCAGAACCCCCAGGGTGGCCATTGGGTTACCTGAGGCTTTGGACTCCTTTGACCCCCAGAGTCTGGATGTGGGGGAGGAGCCTCCGCCAACATCTTCCCCCACATGTGTCTCCTCCTCCCGGGCCCTGGGCCCCTTCCTTCCCCTTACATCTTCCTTCCCCTTGGCTTCCTGCCTGGGCCTGGGGCAGCATGGGGCAGGTGGGGGGCTGCAGCCCCAGGGATCTGAGCTTCCTCCCTGCATCCATCTCAGAGGAGATAGTAAGGCAGGGCCCAGTCCTGGGCTCAGAGAGTGGGTCCTGAGGTCTTGGTGCTTGGAAGAGCTGCATTTTCTCGGCAGGGATTTCTGCAGGGGCCCAGGCTGGAGGGGTGGTGGTGGATTTGACTGTGGCTGTATGAGACTGGCTCAGGAAATATATTCAAATCCCTATTTGAATGTGGTTGGGTGGGCGTGTGATGTGGCTGCATTATGTTGCTGTAGCATCATGTCTGGTTCCCCAGGGCTGCTGGGTGGGAACGGGGGACGGGGCGGGGCTGGTGGAGTCCCATCTCCTCTGGGATGAAAGGAGATACAGCCCTATCCTGGGGCCTGGGGGACACAGTCCTGCCCTGAGGTCTGAGGGGACAGCTCCCATCTGGTCCTCAGGCTGGCCCTGCAGATGAAGAGCTGGGAGGATAAGTTAATGGAGATGGGCCCATGGGGGTTCCTGGCGGGTGGTTTTCAGGGGCAGGGCCATTGGTGGAAGAGATCCATGCGCCTTTACTCCTTCTGTTTATTTTATTTATTTATTTATTTTTTTGAGACGGAGTCTCACTCTGTCACGCAGGCTGGAGTGCAATGGCACCATCTCGGCTCATTGCAAGCTCCGCCTCCCAGGTTCACGTCATTCTCCTGCCTCAGCCTCCCGAGTAGCTGGGACTACAGGCGCCCGCCACCACGCCTGGCTAATTTTTTGTATTTTTAGTAGAGACAGGGGTTTCACCGTGTTAGCCAGGATGGTCTCGATCTCCCGACCTCATGATCCGCCCACCTCGGCCTCCCAAAGTGCTGGGATTACAGGTGTGAGCCACCGCGCCCAGCCTTTTTTTTTTTTTTTTTTTTTTTTTAAAGACAGGGTCTCACTCTGTCGCCCAGGCTGGAGGCAGTGGTGCGATCTCAGCTCACTGCAACCTTAGCCTCTCAGGATCAAGCAATTCTCCTGCCTCAGCCTCCTGAGTAGCTGGGATTACAGGCGCCCACCACCACACCTGGCTAATTTTTGTATTTTTAGTAGAGACAGGGTTTCACTATGTTGGCCAGGCTAGTCTTGAACTCCTGACCTCAAATGATCCACCCACCTCGGCCTTCCAAAGTGCTGGAATTACAGGTGTGAGCCACTGTGCCCGGCTGCTCCTTCTGTTTTTTTTTATCTTATCTTTTATTTTTTGAGATGGAGTCTTGCTCTGTTGCCCAGGCTGGAATGCGGTGGTGCAATCTTGGCTCACTGCACCCTCCACTTCCTGGGTTCAAGTGGTTCTCCTGTCCCAGCCTCCCAAGTAGCTGCGACTACAGGCACACATCACCATGCCTGCCTAATTTTTTTTTTTTTTTTGTATTTTTAGTAGAGATGGGGTTTTCCCATGTTGACCAAGCTGGCCTTGAACTCCTGACCTCAGGTGATCTGACCACCTCGGCCTCTCGAAAGGCTGGGATTACAGGCATGAGCCACCATGCCCGGCCCTTCTGTTTCTTTAGTGCCAGGGGATTACACTGTCCTCAGCTGGGACAGGGCTTCCTGAAAGGAGAAGGCACTCCCCCCACCAACCTAAGCATCCATCCTCTGGCCACAGCCCATCCCAGCTTTGCCTACATTTGCTTAATCTTCTGGTTTCTAGGGCATGAGGAAGTAGTCATGGGATCTGTTAGGCCCCATCTGTTAGACCTGGCAGGGAGTCAAGCTCTCTGTGATGCTTCAATAGCAGCTAATGGGAAAGTGGATAGACTTAAGGATGAACTTCCATTCTTGTGTATGTCTTAGCTAAAGCTAGTTTTTGGATGAAGGACGAGGGTGCATGATGCTAATCCCTGGGAGAGCAGCTGCACTCCAAATACAGTCCTAATCCTCTGTAACAGGGAACAACGGGAACCCAGATGGGGTCAGGCTTTATGCAAGAGGGGACATTTGTGCTGGGGTTTTGAAGAGTAAATAGGAGTTTTTCTCATTGTTCTGGCTTCCTGTGCCCAGCTGTATCAGGCTCCAGGCTGGGCATCGGTGTACCCAGACCCTTTCCCTCTTCGAGGGGGCACATTCCTGCCCCTACCCATTTTGTTGCCCTTTGAAGCCCGGCCGTGTGTCTGGTATGTAGTGGGGACGTGTGAGGGAAGGTAAGAGGTCTTGACAAGAAGCCAGAGGAAGCTGCCACAGGAACAACCTCTCTGGGTTTCTGGGTGCCTAACTGTCCACAGATTGAAGCAGAGCTGTGAATGCCCCATGGGATGTGAAAGGGTAGAGGGAAAAAGGAAAGGTGCTCCTGTGGAGGAAATGGCATAAATAAAGGTGTGCAGGCTGGAATGAGAATTCTTCCCAGTTTCTGTCATTTCTCTTCGGAGTCCTTCTCTTTTTTCTCAGTTGTTTCTTGGGAAGAGGGTGGAAAGAACATATTCATCCATCCGTTCATCCACCCATCCACTCATTCATCCACTCATCTATCCCTCCAATTATCCATCCATCTACCCATCCATCCATCCATTTATCCATCCATCCATCCATCCATCCATCCATCCATCCATCCATCCATCTGCTCATCCATTCATCCATCTGCTCATCTATCCACCCATCCATCCATCCATCCATCCATCCATCCATCCACTCCTCCATCCATCTGCTCATCCATTTATCCATCCACTCATCTATCCATCCATCCATCCATCCATCTGCTCATCCATTCATCTATCCACTCATCCATCCATCCATCCATCCATCCATCCATCCATCCATCTGCTCATCCATTCATCCATCCACTCATCTATCCATCCATCCATCCATCCATCCATCCATCTACCCATCCACCCACCCATCTATCCATCCATCCATCCATCCATCCATCCATCCATCCATCCACCCACCCATCCACCCACCCATCCATCCATCCATTCATCCATTCATCCATCCACTCATCTATCCATCCATCCTCTCATCCATCCATCCATCCATCCATCCATCCATCCATTCAACCACCCACTCATTCACCCACTCATCCGTCCATCCACTCATCCATCCATCCATCCATCCATCCACTCATTTATCCATCTATCAGTCTATCCATCCATCTACTTTTCCATCCATGTATCCACCCATCCACCCACCCACCCATTCACCTATCCACCCACCCATCTATCCATGGATCCATCCATCCACTAATCTGTCTTTTTTATTTATTTGTTTATTTATTTACGGCGTCTCACTCTGTCACCCAGGCTGGAGTGCAGGGGCATGATCTCGGCTCACTGCAACGTCTGCTTCCTAGGTTCAAGCAATTCTCCTGCCTCAGCCTCCTGAGTAGCTGGGACTACAGGCACCCGCCACCACGCCCGGCTAATTTTATATTTTTAGTAGAGATGGGGTTTCACCATATTGGCCAGGCTGGTCTTGAACTCCTGACCTTGTGATCCACTCGCCTCAGCCTTCCAAAGTGCTGGGATTACAGGTGTGAGCCATACGCCCGGCCCATCCATTCATCTATCTATCATCCACCTGCCCACCCACCCATCCATCCATCTACTCATCCATCCATCCATCCATCCATCCACCCATCCCATCCATCCATCCACTCATCCACCCGTCTACTCATCTATCCATTCATCTACCCATCCATCCATTCATTCATCCATCCATTTATCTGTTTAACTATCCATCCATCCATCCATCCATCCATCCATCCATCCATCCATCCATCCATCCAGCAATGACAAGGTCTGCCAGGCCCTGTTCTTGGTGCTGGGGACAGTGGGAATAGCACACACACACAAAAACCCCTGTTGTTGAGGAGCCTGCATTCTAGTGGGGGAGGCTGACAGTGAAGAAATAAGACAATGTATAAGTCATCAGGAGGTGGTATGTACTGCTCTGGAGAAAACAAAGTGGAACAGGGTATGAGGGGGGCACTTTGACGAGGAGGGCTAGTGGTAAGGTGACATTGCAGCAGAGACCTGGGGAAAATTAAGGAATGAATCATGTGGATCTGGGGAAATGGTGTTCCAGACAGTGGTTACTGCCAGTGCAAAGGCCCTGAGGTAGGAGCCAGTCAGTGCCTGTATGTTCAGGGCAGTGACTGGCCCAGCTGGTGGGAATGGTGCAGGAGGTCAGGTTGGATGAATCTCCAAGCGGCTGGTCCCCTTGAGATCTGAGGCCCAGGGAGAGAATGATACCATCATGAGAAGCCACAGCTATACTGAGACACCCAACTCTCAATTATGAATTTTGTTTTTTTTAAATGAGACAGAGCCTTGCTGTCTCCCAGGATGGAGTGCAGTGGCATGGTCCCAACTCACTGCAGCCTCCACCTCCCAGGTTCAAGCAATTCTCCTGCAGCAGCCTCCTGAGTATCTGGGATTACAGGCGCCTGCCACCACGCCTGGCTAATTTCTGTTGCCCAGGCTGGAGTACAGTGGCATGATCTTGGCTCACTGCAACCTCCTCCTCCCGGGTTCAAGCGATTCTCCTGTCTCAGCCTCCTGAGTAGCTGGGGCTACAGATGCGTGCCACCATGCCTGGCTAATTTCTGTATTTTTAGTAGAGACAGGGTTTCAGCATGTTGGCCAGGCTGGTCTCGAACTCCTGACCTTAAGTGACCCACATGCCTCGGCCTCCCAAAGTGTTAGGATTGCAGGCGTTAAGCCACCACGCCCAGACACCACTGTGCTCTTGAAGTCCAAAATCTGGGCTGCGGAGATGGAACTTGAAGGCCAAGAGACTGGAGAGGAAAGAACAGATGGTTGGAAAGATCCACCAGGACATGGGAGCTGGTTAGACCTAGGATGTGGGCAGCTGCTGGGGCCAAGATGATGTTAAGTTCCCCAGCCCCAGTGAATAGTGGGGAGAGGGTGGGACAGTTAGAGTAGGGGGTGGACTGGGGAGTGGGTTGGGTGGTGGCTTTGGAGAGCCACACCTGGGTTCAAATTCTGGTACCACCACTTCCTGGTTTCACCTCTCTGAGCTTCAGTTTCTCCATCTGTGAAACATAGATAAAAATGGCACCTTTTAAGGCTGGGCGGTGGCTCACGCCTGTGGTCCCAGCTACCCGAGAGGCTAAGTGGGGAGGATCACTTAAGCCTGGGCTGCAGTGAGCTGTGATGGCACCACTGCATTCCAGCCTGGGCAACAGAGAGAGACTTTGTCTCAAAAAACAAAACAAAACAAAACAAAACCCAATTTTGCCTGGGTGTGGTGGCTCGTGCCTGTAATCCCAGCACTTTGGGAGGCTGAGGTGGGAGAATTGCTTGAGTTCAGGAATTCAAAGCCTGGTAACATAGTGAGACCCCGTCTCTACTTTTTTTTTTTTTTTCTTAAGAGACAGAGTTTTGCTCTGTCAGCCAGGCTGGAGTGCAGTGGTATGATCACAGCTCACTGCAGCCTCGAACTCCTGTACTCAAGCAGTCCTCCTGCCTCAGCCTCCCGAGTAGCTGGGACTACAGGTGTGCACCGGCATACCTGGGTGATTTTTTTGTTTGTCTGTCTGTTTTCTGAGACAGGGTCTCAATCTGTCACCCAAGCTGGAGTATAGTGGTATGATCACAGCTCACTGCAGCCTCGAACTCCTGTGCTCAAGCAGTCCTCCTGCCTCAGCCTCCTGAGTAGCTGGGACTACAGGTGTGCACCAGCAATACCTGGCTAATTTTTTATTTTTTGTAGAGATGGGGTTTTGCTATGATGCCCAGGCTGGTCTTGAACTCCTGGCCTCAAGCAATTCCTCCCGCCTTGGCTTTCCAAAGTGCTGGGATTACAGGCATGAGCCACTGCACCCGGCCAGAATAGAGGTTCTTATCTCCATCCTCCCATAACAGGAAAGATGACACATGCCACCCACTGCTCTATGCTTGCTTTCCTCACTAATCACCTTGGCAGTCTTTCCAAGTCAGTCTGTAGAGATTATAATTATTCTTTATAACATGACTGCGTATTCCATTTATTTCAAGAAAGACTTACATTTTGCTCGCCCTGTGCTAGACATTAGTCTAAACCAGGGAGGGGCCTGGCTGGATGCAGTGGTTCAGGCCTGTAATCCCAGCACTTTGGGAGGCCGAGGCGGGAGGATTGCTTGGGTACAGGAGTTAGAGGCCAGCCTGGGCAACAGAGTGTGACCTCGTCTCTATAAAAATGAAAAATAAAACTAAAATAAAGCTGGGGGCTGGGTGCGGTGGCTCATGCCTATAATCCTAGCACTTTGGCTTACAGGTGTGAGCCACCGTGCCTGGCCCAATTATAGCTTCTAAAAAATAATAAAAGGCCGGGCACGGTGACTCACACCTGTAATTCCAGCACTTTGGGAGGCCGAGGCGGGCGGATCACAAGGTCAGGAGATCGAGACCATCCTGGCTAACACGGTGAAACCCCGTCTCTACTAAAAATACAAAAAATTAGCCGGGCGTGGTTGCGGGCGCCTGTAGTCCCAGCTACTCGGGAGGCTGAAGCAGGAGAATGGCATGAACCTGGGAGGCGGAGCTTGCAGTGAGCCGAGATCAGGCCACTGCACTCCAGCCTGGGCGACAGAGCAAGACTCTGTCTTAAAATAATAATAATAATAATAATAATAATAATAATAATAATAATAATAACCTCATCCATGAATCATTTTCCAGCTCCTCTGCTGTGTGATCTTGGGCACATTAGTAAACCTCTCTGTTTCCTGGTTTCTCATCTGTAAAATGAGGATGCTAAATCCCTATTTACAGCATCATTGTGGGGGATAAGTGTATTATTATAAAGAACCTAGAAAAGTGTTTAGCTGCATATGCAGTTGTGTGTTGCTTAATAAAAGGAATCTGTTCTGAGAAATGCGTAGTTAGATGATTTCACAGTTGTGTGAACATCAGAGTACATTTACATAAACCTAGAGGGTACAGCATACTGCACACCTGGGCTATATGGTATAACCTATTGCTCCTAGCTACAAACCCGTACAGCATGGGACTGCACTGAATACTTACCATTGCATTAAAAGATTGCCTTCTCCTTTTCTTTCTTTTTTCTTTTTTTTTTTTTTTTGGGACGGAGTCTCACTCTATTCCTCAGGCTGGAGTGCAATGACGTGATCTCAGCTCACTGGAACCTCCACCTCCTGGGTTCAAGAGATTCTCCTGCCTCAGCCTCCCGAGTAGCTGGGATTACAGGCACGTGCCACCACATCCGGCTAATTTTTTTGTATTTTTAGTAGAGACAGGGTTTCACCATGTTGACCAGGCTGGTCTTGAACTCCTGACCTCAGATGATCTGCCCGCCTCAGCCTCCCAAAGTGCTGGGATTACACGTGATAGCCACCATGCCCAGGCGATTTCTTATCATTTATACCATATTTTATACAAAGATTTCTTATCTTTCTTTTGAGACAGAGTCTCACTCTGTCACCCAGGCTGGAGTGCATTGGCACGATCTCTGCTCACTGCAACCTCCACTTCTTGGGTTCAAGTGATCCTCCTGCCTCAGCCTCCTGAGCAGCTGGGACTACAGATGCACACCACCAAGCCCACCATTTTTTAAAGTAGAGATGGGGGTCTCACCATGTTGCCCAGGCTGGTCTCAAACTCCTGGCCTCAAGAGACCCTCCCACCTCGGCCTCCCAAAGTGCTGGGATGATAATCGTGAATCATCGTGCTCCACCCAGTCCTCGTGTTTTTATTTTTCAAATTTTAAGACGTTTTATTTTGTCAACCGAAGTGCTAGCCAATCTTTGTGTTTTTGATAGATATTGCCAAATTGTTATCCGTCTGGGATTGTTTCCATATGAATTATTTCAATTATACCACCACATGCCAGAGGACTGGCTTCTCTGCCGCCTCCCCGACAGACGGTTCTGTTGCCAAGATTCTGGAGTTTTGCCAGCTGGATGGGAAATCAGTGGAGCTCATTAAGGCTCAGTTTACATTTTCTCTTATTCTGAGTGAAGCTGAGCCTCTTTCCTTATGTTTAAGAGCTATTTATATTTTCTTCCTGTGATACAATCTCTGTTCATATCACTTGCTTACTATTGTTGCACTTTCTAGAACTACTGACCTTTTCTCTTACTGATTTTTTTTTTTTTTTTGAGGCTGAGTCTTTCTCTGTTGTACAGGCTGCAGTGTAGTGGCGCAATCTCAGCTCACTGCAACCTCCGCCTCCCAGGTTCAAGTGATTCTCGTGCCTCAGCCTCACAAGTAGCTGAGATTACAGGTGTGCGCCAAGATGCCCAGCTAATTTTTGTATTTTTAGTAGAGACAGGGTTTCGCCATGTTGGCCTGGCCGGTCTCAAACTCCTGACCTCGAGTGATCCACCCGTCTTGGCCTCCCAAAGTGCTGGGATTACAGGCATCTCTTACTGATTTTTAGGAGCTCTTTATATATAGGTTGACTTAAATTGCAAGTCAGGTATTTGCTAGCTTTGTGGTCTTGGAGAAAAAAATAATTACTTAACCTATTGGATCCCTGATTGTCTTATCTATAAAACAGGAAATCTATAAAATGAGAATGTTGGCCGTGCACATGGCTCACTCTTGTAATCCCAGCACTTCGGGAGGCTGAGGTGGGGGATCACCTGAGGTCAGGAGTTCAAGACCAGCCTGTCCAACATGGCGAAAGCCCAACTCTACTACAAATACAATAATTAGCCGGGTGTGCTGGTGGGCACCTGTAATCCCAGCTACTCAGGAGACTGAGGCAGAAGAATCCCTTGAACCCAGGAGGCGGAGGTTGTAGTGAGCCAAGATTGCACCACTGCACTCCAGCCTAGGCAACAGAGTGAGACTCCATCTAAAATAAATAAATAAATAAATAAATAAAAATAAAAATAAAATAAAATAAAATGGAAATGTTGACAGTACCTTTATTTCAGAGTTGTGTAAGGATTAAACATGATAAGGTAAATGAAATTCCCAGCATGGCAATTAACATATAGTGAGTGCTAAATGAACGAGAGTCATTATTTTTGTTAATTTAATTCCATTGAGTCCCAGCTGCCTGTAGGCAATGGTATATAAGTCAGGGTACGTATGTTAACTGCTGTAACAAATTGCATCATTTTGCCAGGCACAATGGCTCACGCCTATAATCCCAACACTTTGGGAAGCCAAGGCAAGGCTAATCGCTTGAGGCCAGGAGTTTGAGACTAGCTTGGGCAACATACAAGATCCCCATCTCTACAAAATATATATATATATTAGCAGAGCATGGTGGTGTGTGCCTATGGTCCCGGCTACCTAGGACGCTGAGGCAGGAGGATCACTTGAGCCCAGGAATTGGAGGCTGCAGTGAGCTATAGATCGCGCCGCTGCAGTCCAGCCCGGGTGACAGAGTGAGATCCTGTCTCGGAAGAAAAAAAAAAAAGGCCAGGTGCAGTGGCTCACGCCTGTAATCCCAGCACCTTGGGAGGCCAAGGCAGGTGGATCATGAGGTCAGGAGTTTGAAACCAGCCTGACCAATATGGGGAAATCCGGTTTCTACTAAAAATACATAAATTAGCCAGGCGTGGTGGTGTATGCCTGTAGTCCCAGCTACTCAGGAGGCTGAGGCAGGAGAATGGCTTGAACCTGGGAGGTGGAGGCTACAGTGAGCTGAGATCATGCCACTGCACTCCAGCCTGGTGACAGAGCGAGACTCCGTCTCAAAAAAAACAAAAACAAAAACAAACAAAACCAAACCCTCAAAACACAAAACCAAATTACATGACTTCAGTGATAGTGAGACTTTACTTCTTATTGATGTCACAATTCAGTTTGGGTCAATGTCAGGGGTTGGGGGAGGAGGGCTCTATGTTATAGAGTCTCTCTAGGGCCGAGGCTCCATCATCTCATGGTCTTAGCTTCCCGAAGGCCCTTGGAGTCTTTTCTACTGGGGAAAGAGCGCTATGAAAGAATTTCCCAGGCCAGGCCTGGAAGTGGCGCCATCACCTCCATCCTTTTTTTTTTTTTTTTTTTTTGAGACGGAGTTTTGCCCTTTTCCTCCAGGCTGGAGTGCAATGGCGCGATCTCTGTTCAGTGCATCACGGCAACCTCCGCCTCCCAGGTTCAAGTGATTCTCCTGCCTCAGCCTCCCAAGTAGCTGGGATTACAGGCATGCACCATCACACCTGGCTAATTTTGTAGGGGTTTCTCCATGTTAGTCAGGGTGGTCTCGAACTCCTGACCTCGGGTGATCCACTCGCCTCGGCCTCCCAAAGTGCTGGGATTACAGGCGTGAGCCACCATGCCCTGCCTCCATTCTTGTTATTGGCCAGAACTTGGTCACATGGCTCCATTTAACTACGAGGGAGACTAGGAATGTGGTTAAACTGGAGCTGGGGATAAAAAGGAGATAGGTTGGTTGGACGCAAAGAAGTCACTGCCGTAGAACCTCAGGGTAATGCCTCACTGGCTCCAGAAATGCAGGTATGGAGCGGGTTTCAGGAATGCAGGTCTAGGGCCAGGCATGGTGGCTCATGCCTGTAATCTCAGCACTTTGAGAGGCCGAGACAGGAGGATTGCTTGAGGCTAGGAATTCGAGACCAGCCTGGGCAACATACCAAGGTCCCGTCTCTACAAAAAATAAAAAAATAAGCCCGGCATGGTGGTGCACGCCTATAGTCTCAGCTACTCAGGAAGTTGAGGCAGGAGGATCGCTTGAGCCCAGGAGTTTGATGCTGCAGTGAGCTATGATTGTGCTACCACTGTACTCCAGACTGGACAAAAGAGTAAGACCCTGTCTCTAAATATATCTATGCAGGTCTGTGGAAATCTCAATGGGATGTAGAATAAGAAGGACCTGAGCCAAGGCCATGGGGGAGGAATTCAGCTGGGGATGAGGGAGCTGGGTGATAGCAACTTCAGCAAAATGGGTTGGGCTGATTGGAAAACCTCCTCTTACCTTGCCTGCTAGGGCCAACAGGAGGGGCATCTAGGAGGGTCAGCACTTGGCACCATCCCTTTCCATTCCATTCTGTTCCTTTTTTTTTTTTTTTTTTGAGACAGAGTTTCACTCTCTCTCCCAGGCTGGAGTGCAGTGGCACAATCTTGGCTCACGGCAGCCTCCGCCTCCCGGGTTCAAGCGATTCTCCTGCCTCAGCCTCCTGAGTAGCTGGGATTACAGGCAAGTGCCACCACACCTAGCTGATTTTTGTATTTTTAGTAGAGACGGGGTTTCACCATGTTGGCCAAGCTGGTCTCCAACTCCTGGCCTCAAGTGATCTACCCGCCTCGGCCTCCCAAAGTGCTGGGATTACAGACGTGAGCCACCATGCCCAGCCTCCATTCTATTCTATTCACTGACCTCCTCTCTTGGTCCAGTGCTGGGAAATGTCACCTTTCAGGACTTTCACAGAGATGCTAGAAATCTCTGTCCCTTCCCTACTCACAGCCCTTCCCTGGTTCCCCACTGCCCTTGGTGAAAAAGACAAAATCCTCACTGTAGCCCACAAGGGCTTATGCATTTGGCCTCTGTCCATCTCTCAGCCCTTCCCTGCTCCCTCTCTACCCATTGCTCTCTGCACCGCAGCCAAATCGGCCACCCAGCACAATCCAGCCTCAGGGCCTTTGCACTGGCTCTTCCTTCTTCAGGGATTTCTCTTCCCTCAGGTATACACGGTGAGTGTTCTCTTATCTCCTTCAGGTTTCTCTTTCTCTCTCTCTCTGTCTTTTTTCGGAGAAGGGGGTCTTGCTCTATTGCCCAGGCTGGAGTGCAGTGGTGTTATCATAGCTCACTGCAGCCTCCAACTTCTGGGCTCAAGTGATCCTCTCGCCTCTGCCTCCCAAAGTGCTCGGATACAGACATGAGCCACTTCACCTTTTTCTTTTTTCTTTGTTTTAACGGGGTCTCTGTCTATTGTCCAGGCTGGAGTGCAGTGACATGATCTCAGCTCACTGCAACCTCTGCCTCTTGGATTCAAGTGATTCTCCTGCCTCAGCCTCCCAAGTAGCTGGGATTACAGGCATGTGCCACCATGCCTGGCTAATTTCTGTATTTTTAGTAGAGACGGAGTTTCACCATGTTGGCCAGGCTGGTCTCAAACTCCTGACTTCAGGTGATCTGCCCGCCTCAGCCTTTCAAAGTGCTGGGATTACTGATGTGAGCCACTGCACATGGTCAGTGGCCAGGTTTCTTTCTTTCTTTCTTTCTTTTTTTTTTTTTTTTGAGATAGAGTCTTGCTCTATCGCCCAGGCTGGAGTGCAGTGGCACGATCTCAGCTCACCGCAACCTCTGCCTCCTGGGCCCAAATGATTCTCCTGCCTCAGCCTTCCGAGTAGCCAGGATTATAGGGACGCACCACCACACCCAGCTAATTTTTGTATTTTTAGTAGAGATGGGGTTTCACCATGTTGGCCAGCTGGTCTTGAACTCATGACTTCAAGTGATCCGCCCGTCTCGGCCTCCCAAAGTGCTGGGATTACAGGTAATGAGCCACCGCGCCCAGCCCAGATTTCTTATCTGAGAGATCTTCCACTGTTTCTAGATATAAAATCATAGATTTCGCCCTCCCAACTTCCCATTCTCTTTCATGTTTTATTTTTCTCCATAGCACTTAGTGCTCTCTGACCTGTCATAGTTTTTACTTATTTGCTTATTACCTGTTTTCCACACTCAAATGTCAAGGCAAGGATTTTTGTCTATTTTACGTCCCCCAGTGCTTTAGAACACCACCTGGCACATAGTACGGAATCAATTAATTTATTCATTTATCATATGAATATATGATTCTAATTGCTTCATTCATTCGCTTAACACAGGGGCTGGCAAATGATAACTCATGGGCCCAAGCTGCCTCGTGTTTTAAAAATTATCTTAGCTTGTATCTGTAGTCCCAGCTACCCGGGAGGCTGAGATGGGAGGATCGCTTGAGCCCAGGAGTTTGAGGCTGCAGTGAACTATGATCCTGCCACTGCACTCCAGCCTGGGCAACACAGCAAGCCCGTCCCTGTAAAATAAATTAATTTAAAAAATTAAAAATGAAAATTATGGCTGGGTGCAGTGGCTCACGCCTGTAATCTTAAGACATTGGGAGGCTGAGGCAGGAGGATCACTTGAGCCCAAAAGTTTGAGATCAGCCTGGGCATCCTGGCAAAACCCCATCTCTATAAAAAATATAAAAATTACCTGGGTGTGATGGTGTGCGCCTATAGTCCCAGCTACTCAAGAGGCTGAGGTGGAAGGATCACTTCAGCCTGGGAGATGGAGGTTGCAGTGAACCACGATTGCACCACTGCACTCTAGCCTGAGCAACAGAGACAGGGTCTCAAAACAAAATGAAACAAAACAAAATAAAAATTATTTTATTTATTTACTTTTCTTGGTATTGATTTGACGTTTACTATTTTTATATTTTATTATTATTATTTTTGGTATTCCGCATATTCAGAAAAACTTCTCTAGTAACAATCTATATAAAAATGATCCCTGAAAGTAGAGTCTTACTGCCTTATTTTGAAAATAAAATTTAACCAATACACGGTCAGGCCCATTTGTTGACACGCTGTCTATTTTTTTTTTTTTTTGAGATGGAGTCTTGCTCTGTCATCCAGGCTGGAGTGCAGTGGCCTTCAGGTCTGGCTGGATCCAGGGGCTCAGGCAATATCTCAGGACACCTCCTCCCCACCCTTGGTCTTTCCATCTCTCTCTCTCTATTTTTTGTTTGTTTGCTTTTTTGTGTTTTGAGACAGGGTCTCACTCTGTCACCAAGGCTGGAGTGCAGTGGTGCGATCTTGGCTCACTGCAACCTCCATCTCTTGGCCTCCAGTGATCTTCCCACCTCAGCCTCCTGAGTAGTTGGGACTACAGGTGCACACCACAATGCCAGGCTAATTTTTGTATTTTTAGTAGAGATGGGGTTTCACCAAGTTGGCAAGGCTGGTCTTGAACTCCTGACCTCAAGCAATCTTCCCCGCCTTGGCCTCCAAAAATGCTGGGATTGCAGGCGTGAGTCACCGCACCCAGCCCTCCATCTCTTAACTCTGCTTTCTTGTGGGTGTTTTCCTCCATCCTCAATCATTCTTTTCCCTCATGGAGGCAGATGAGGGTGACCAACTACTCCAGATTTATTTATTTATTTATTTATTTATTTATTTATTTATTTAAAGTCTAAGTTTTGCTCTGTCACACAGGCTGGAGTGCAATGGCATAGTCATAGCTCCCTGCAGCCTCAAACTTCTGGGCTCAGGAGATTCTCCTACCTCAGCTTCCCAAGTAGTTGGGACTAATAGGTGTGCGTCACCATGCCCAACTGTTTTTTTAATGTTTTAAAAACATTAAAACACAGCCAGACATGGTGGCTCACACCTGTAATCCCAGCACTTTGGGAGGCCGAGGCAGGTGGATCACGAGGTCAGGAGATCGAGACCATCCTGGCTAACACGGTGAAACCCCGTCTCTACTAAAAAATACAAAAAATTAGCCGGGTGTGGTGACGGGCACCTGTAGTCCCAGCTACTTGGGAGGCTGAGGCAGGAGAATGGCGTGAACCTGGGAGGTGGAGCTGGCAGTGAGCCGAGATCCCGCCACTGCACTCCAGCCTGGGTGACAGAGCAAGACTCCGTCTCAAAAACAAACAAACAAACAAAAAAACATTAAAACATTCAATGGAGATGGACCTCACTGTGTTGCTCAGGCTGATATGGAACTTCTGGCCTCAAATGATCCTTCTGCCTCAGCCTCCCAAAGCTCTTAGATTACAGGAATGAGCCACCACATCCAGCCTGCTCTAAATTTATATTCTCATCACTCTGAGTTCGATGGAAAATAGGGGGGTTGGCTTTCTGGTCACTGAAGCCAAGGTCCTAGCATTATCCTTCGTTGAACATGATTCTTTTTATTTTATTATTATTATTATTATTATTATTATTATTATTATTTTGAGACTGAGTCTTGCTCTGTTGCCCAGGCTGGAGTGCAGTGGCACAATCTCGGCTCAGTGCAACCTCCACCTCCTGGGTTCAAGTAATTCTTGTGCCTCAGCCTCCCTAGTAGCTGGGATTACAGACAGGTAGGTGCCACCACACCTGGCTAATTTTTGTATTTTTAGTAGAGACGGGGTTTCACCAGATTGGCCAGGCTGGTCTTGAATGACCTCACGTGATCTGCCCACCTCGGCCTCCCCAAGTGCTGGGATTACAGGTGTGAGCCACTGCACCTGGCTGTTTGAACATGATTCTTTTTTTGTGGAGGTGGGAGGTGGCTGGTCACATGTCTATTTCTGAACCGGCTGCTGTGGCCAGGAGAATACCATGCTCTGATGGGCCAGGCCAGGGTCATGTGCCTATTCCTTGAGTTGAGGTTGGGGTGGCTTCCACAGAGGAAACTGAGGAACTGTTACCTCAGAAGGGTAAATAAGATGTCAGGAGGCAATCAGTGTTTATATGGGCAGTGACTTCTAAATTTAAGCCAGAATTTCTGATTCTCAGTCCTGTTGACATGTGGGGCCGGATCATTTTCTGTCCTGGGAGCTGCCCTGTGTATTCTAAAATGCTTAGCAGTATGCTTGGACTCTATCCATTTCACACAAGTAGCACCTCTCCTCAGTATCTCCAGACATTGCCAAATGTCCCCTGGGAGGCAGAATCGCCCTGGGGGCGGGCAAACCAGTTTTGGAGGGAGTGAGCTTGCTGTCTTGGGGAAAATCCAAAGAGATCTGATGATTACTGGCTGAGAACAGCAAAGAAGAGATTGAGGGCTTCTTTGAATTAGAATATTTATTTTAATTTCTTTCTTTCTCTCTCCTTTCTTCTTTTTTTTTTTTGACAGAGTCTCACTCTGTCGCCCAGGCTGGAGTGCAGTGGCGCGATCTCGTCTCACTGCAAGCTCCACCTCCCAGGTTCACGCCATTCTCCTGCCTCAGCCTCCCGAGTAGCTGGGACTATAGGTGCCCACCACCATGCCCAGCTAATTTTTTATATTTTCGTAGAGATGGGGTTTCACCGTGTTAGCCAGGATGGTCTCAATTTCCTGACTTCATGATCCACCTGCCTTGGCCTCCCAAAGTGCTGGGATTTCAGGCATGAGCCACCGCACCCGGCTCTTTCCTTTCTTTTCTGTTCTGCTTTCTTTTCTTTTCTTTCCCTCCTTCCTTCCTTCCTTCCTTTCTGATGGAGTCTCTCTCTGTCACTCAGACTGGACTACAGTGGTGTGATCTTGGCTCACTGCAACCTCCGCATCATGGGTTCGAGTGATTCTCCTGCCTTGGCCTCCAGAGTGGCTGGGTTTATAGGCATGTGCCACCATATCCGGCTAATTTTTGTATTTTTTAGTAGAGAAGGGGTTTTGCCATCTTGGCCAGGCTGGTCTGGAACTCCTGACCTCAAGTGACCTGCCTGCCTTGGCCTCCCAAAGTGCTGGATTACAGGCATGAGCCACTGCACCTGGCCTTATTTTTTATTTAATGATGGGGAGAGGCCAGACGTGGTGGCTCATGCCTGTAATCTCAGCACCTTGGGATGCTGAGGCGGGTGGATCTCCAACATGGTGAAACCCCATCTCTACTAAAAATACAAAAAAATTAGCCGGCCATGGTGGCAGGCGCCTGTAATCCCAGCTACTCGAGAGGCTGAGGCAGAAGAATCACTTAAGCCCAGGAGGTGGAGGTTGCAGTGAGCTGAGATCGTGCAAGTGCACTCCAGCCTGGGTGAGAGAGTGAGACTCTGTCTCAAAAATAAAATAAAATAAAATAAATGCTGGGGAGAGGAAGAGGGGAGGAAGACTCATTTGATGTTATTTTATCATCAGTGATAAGGGCTACACTGATTGCTGGGGTTACAGCACAGGACATAATGGACACAGTTAATACTTTTCTGAGTTCATGCCCTCTTGAGGGAGGGGGTGGTGTTTTTGTTCCTTGTGGCTTTTGTAACAAAGAACCACGGATCGGATGTCTTAGAACAAAGGACATTTATTCTCTCATAATCCTAGAGGCCAGAGGTCTGAACTCAAGGTGTCTGCAGAGCTGTGCTCCCTCTGGGGGCTCCAAAGGAGAATCTTTCTCTGCCTATTCCTGCTTCTGGGGGCTCCAGATGATCCAGGACAGGCGAGCCCCTAGATTGGGGCTTAGCCCTGGAGGGTTCTTGGCTTCACCCAGGAAAGAATTCAAGGGCAAGCTGGTGGTGTTAGCAAGTTTTATTGAAGCAACCATGCAGAGCAGCAGCAGAGGTACTGTTCCTTGCAGAGCAGGGCTACCCCATTGGCAGTGAGCCCAGAGTAGCAGCTCAGAGGCAGTGCTGCAGGCATATTTATCCCGTTTTAATTATATGCAAATCAAGGGGTGGATTATGCAGAGATTTCTAGAAATAAAGTGGTAACTTCTGAGTTGTCAGGTCTTTGCCATGGAAGGGGGCATCAGCTTCTGGGTGTTGCCATGGCAATGGTAAACTGACATAGCACTGGTGGCCATGTTTTATGGAGAGGCACTTTTGCCTCTTCCCTGTTTCAGCTAGTCCTCAATCTGGTCCAGTGTCTGAGCCCCACCTCCAGAGTCGAGTCCTGCCTCCTATTTCACATGCATCCTTGGATTGTGACTCCATCTTTACATGGTTTTCTCCTATGTCTGTCTGTGTGTCTCTTACAAGGACACTTGTTATTGGATTTAGGGCCCACCTGGATGATCCCAGATGGCCTGGGTGGGTCTTAAATATCTCCTCATCTTGAAGTCCTTGAGATACCTCCTCATCTTGAAGTCCTTGAGTTATCTCCTCATCTTGAGGTCCTTGAGATATCTCCTCATCTCGAGGTCCTCAAGCTATCTCTTCATCTTGAGGTCCTTGAGATACCTCCTCATCTTAAGGTCCTTGAGTTATTTCCTCATCTCGAGGTCCTTGAGATAACTCCTCATTTTGAGGTCCTTGAGATACTTCCTCATCTTGAGGTCCTTGAGCTAGCTCCTCATCTCGAGGTCCTTGAGCTATCTCATCTCAAGGTCCTTGAGCTAGCTCCTTATCCTGGGGTCCTTGAGCTACCTCCTCGTCTCAAGGTCCTTGAGATATCTCCTCATTTTGAGGTCCTTGAGCTATGTCCTCATCTCAAGGTCCCTGAGACATCGCCCCATCTCAAGATCCTTACCTTACATCTTACAAAGTCGTTTTCTCCAAAAAATGTTCACAGGTCACCTTCACAGCTTCCAGGGATTTGACCTGGATACATCTTTAGAGGGGGCCAGACCCATTCCAGACAGTAAACAAATAGACAAAACGCTGGCACATTGTAATAAATGTCACAGATGAAACAAACCCAGGGATCAAGGGGAAGAAGAAGAGGAGGGCATGCTTTCTGGAGGGTGGTCAAGGAAAGCTGAGAGCTGCAGGAGGAGGAGCCAGCTCTGGGAAGCATGAGGCAGAGAGGGCAAAGACTGTGCAAATGCCCTAAGGTGAGAAGAATCAGAATGAAGGAGCTTCTGGAAGGAAGGGAGTGAGTGGAGGGAGAGTGGTAAAGAATGAGGTTTGGGAGGAAGGTACTTACCTAGAATGGCTATGGGGATGTGTGTGGAACTTAAGGGGGGGATGGGAAATCCTTGGAGCATTTAAGCAGATCAATTGTTTAAAGAGGTCCCTGACCAGGTGTGGTGGCTCATGCCTGCAATCCCAGTGTTTTGGGAGGTTGAGGCAGGAAGATCACTTGAGGCCAAGGGTTTGAAACCATCCTGGGCAACATAGTGAGATCCCACCTCTACAAAAAACAAAAAAAGAAGAGAGATCTGGAAAAAGAAGGTTGATGAAGGCATCCCCATGAGAAGTGATGGTGGCCTCGACTGGGAGTTGGGAGTCATGGATCCAGCTCACATTTTCATTGAGGAGGAAGGGTGGAGGTGGATGAAAAGAGGAGGCAGGTCTCATATTCCAGGAAGGCAAGAATTAAAAAAAAAAAGGAATGAAATGAAATGAAAAGAGGAGGCAGGGTGGTGTCTAGGTTTACAGCTTAGGGACTTGCGTGAATTAGGGTATCTTCTACTGTAGTAGGAAGACTAGGGGAGGAACAGGTCTTGGGGAGTTTGATCAAGCAAGGGAAGGAAGGCAGTACAGCATAATGGCTAGCACATGGTTCTTTTTTCTGTTTTGTTTTGTTTTGTTTGTTTTTGTAGAGACAGGGTCTCACTATGTTGCCCAGGCTGCTCTTGACATCCTGGGCTCAGGTGATCCTCCCATCCCAGCCTCAGTGCTGGGATTACAGGGCATGAGCTACCATGCATGTCCGGTGCATGGTTCTTAACTAAGGGGTGGTGTGGGGCAGCAGTGGGGGCGAGGGGAGTGACTCTGTCCTCCCAGGGGACATTTGGCAATGCCTGGAGACAGTTTCAGTTATCACTACTGGAGGGCTTGGTGTGTTATTGATATCTATTGGATAGAGGCCAGAGATGCTTCTGAGTGTCTTCCAATGCCCAGGACAGGCCCCTCTCCCACCAAATGTCAACAGCGCTGAGACCGAGGGACTCAGTGCTAGGCACATGGACTCCAGTTGTGTGGGGGGTCCAGGTTCCAGTCACAGCTGTGGGATCTTGGGCAAGTTATCAAATGCTTCAAGAAAGGACCATATATATGGCCGGGCGCGGTGGCTCACACCTGTAATCCCAGCACTTTGGGAGGCCGAGGCAGGTGGATCACAAGGTCAGGAGATCAAGACCATCCTGGCTAACACGGTGAAACCTCATCTCTACTAAAAATACAAAAAATTAGCCAGGCATGGTGGCGGGTGCCTGTAGTCCCAGCTACTCCGGAGGCTGAGGCAGGAGAATGGTGCGAACCTGGGAGGCGGAGCTTGCAGTGAGCCGAGATCGCGCCACTGCACTCCAGCCTGGGTGACAGAGCGAGACTCCATCTCAAAAAGAAAGAAAGAAAGAAAGAAAGGACCATATATCAAAAATGACCCCAAAAGCAGAGGGAGCCAAGACACCAAAGAATGCAGCAGACAAATCCTGTTTGTTGGTAAAGGGTGATTTGTTGGGGGAGCTTATGGAGAGAAGAAACATGGTCTTGGGCGGCGGCAAGACAGGTACCTCTCTGCACCATTACCTCACAGACCCAGTGCTTATATAGTACAGGAAAATGTGCAGGACCCAGTGCTTATATAGTACAGGAAAAGGCAGTCCTCCAGAACAGGCAAAAACACCGTGCACATCACAGCCTATAATTTGTATGATAACATCAAGTTTGCTTTGATATGTTCTTACACTAGGGACAGCAAATAATGTAGAACTCAGGAGACATTCCCGGGAGTGGGGTTAATCAGAAGTCAACATGGCAATTAGCATCCAAGATGGGGCCACTTTGTCTTCACACAGAACCTCTCTGTGACTCAGTTTCCCTATCTTTCAAATGGAGATAAAACTAGTCCCTACCTTATAGGATTGTTGTAAGAATTAAAAATGAGGTAATAATTGTAAAGTCGTAAAGTGCTTCAAGCAGTATCCATTAAATGATTGATAAATAAATCATTGGTAAATGATTTACCAGTGATACTGATAAATGACTTCTTTATCATTTATGAAAAATTGATAAATGATTTATTTACCAATAAACCAACGGTAAATGATTTATTTACCAATAAACCAACGGTAAATGATTTATTTACCAATAAACCAACGGTAAATGATTTATTTACCAATAAATCAACGGTAAATGATTTATTTACCAAGGGTAAATGTCACTCATTGATAAATGACTTATTGGTAATAAATCAATTATTAGTTTATTGGTTTATTGGTAATAAATCATTTATCAATGAGTGAAATCATTTGGGACAAAGAAGAGAGAGGGAAAAGAGGTGGTCTGAGGGTTGGGCCTTAGGTTGTAACAGCATAGAAACATTGGGGAGAGGAGAATACAGTGACTGAAGAGGAAAACCAGGCCAGGCGTGGTGGCCCATGCCTGTAATTTCAGCATTCTGGGAGGCTGAGGCAGGAGGATTGCTTGAGCCCAGGAGTTTGAGGCTGCAGTGAGCTATGATTGCATCACTGCGCTCAGGCCTGGGCGACACAATGAGATTCTGTCTCAAAACAAAACAAAAAAACAAAGAGGATAACCAGATGGGTGTGGTGTCAAGAGACCAATGCCGTTGAGAGGAGTAGATTCAGAAAGTGTCATGAATAGCAACAAAAGCAATAGGTCACTTTAATGAGCACCCACTATGTTCAGGTGTTGTTCTAGGTACTTTATACTTATTAACACTTTTGAATTTTCACAACAAATCCATGGTGTTGGCACCATCATATATTTAGGTTATTAGTTATTGCTGTGAAACAAACCACTCCAAACTGAGTGATGTAAGAAAAACATGATTTTTGATTCTCACAGATTCTATGACTCAGGAATTCAGACAGGGCATAGTGATGATGGTGCCTCAGCTCCATGGTGAGAAACTTTGACTTTCTGGGAACTAGAATGCTCTGGAGGATTCTTCGTCACATGATGGGTGTCTGGGCTGGGATGACTTGAGGCTATGCTCAGTTGGGGCTATTGACTGGAGCACTTACGTGTGGTATCTCCAAGTGGCTTGGGCTTCCCCACAACATGGCGACCGGGTTTCAAGAAACCCGGAGAGAGAGCAAGTATTCCTCAAAAAGATCAAGCCAGAAGCTGCAAGGCGTCTTCTAACCTACTTGGAAATCACGCAGTGTCACTTACAGCAGTTTTCGTAACAAGAAGCCATACCCTGGCTTCTCTCTTCCTACCCTAGGCACCAGCAGGGACCTCCAATTGGCTGAACCTATCTAGGAGCAGGGTGCAAAGGAGCCTGGGAAATGTAGTTGTCTTCCTGGCAGCGCAAAACAAAGGAAGGGGATGAGTCATTAACCAATCAGGTTAATGACCTACATGAACCTTGAGCAAATGACCCTCCTTCTCTGAACTCTGTGTATCGCTCGCGAAATAGGAGCCCTACTTCATTGCAGGATCGTTTTGAAGACCAGAGGAGACAGTTGTAATGCACACGAATTGCTTCACCCAGGGCGTAGTTCTTTTATTTATTTATTTATTTATTTATTGAATTAATTTTATTTATAACTCTAATGGGTAAGCAGCCTGGTTCTCAATTGATGGGAGCTGTCAATATTGCTATTGGTCTGAGAACTGATGATACGTAACGGTTTACTATGTCCTGGCACAGGGTGGCACGTCTTAGCTCTACTGGTCCTGCTGGTTTTGGGGTTTAGTCCACTCTTTTTGCTTGTTTGTTTGTTTGTTTGTTTTTTGAGATGGAGTCTCACTCTGTCGCCCAGGCTGGAGTGCAGTGGTGCGATCTCAGCTCACTGCAACCTCCGCCTCCTGGGTTCAAGTGATTCTCCTGTCTCAGCCTCCCGAGCAGCTGGGACTACAGGCGCGTGCCACCGCGCCCAGCTAATTTTTGTTATTTTTAGTAGAGACAGGGTTTCACCATATTGGCCAGGCTGGTCTCAAACTCCTGACCTCGTGATCCGCCCGTCTCAGCCTCCCAAAGTGCTGGGATTCCAGGGGTGAGCCACCGCACCCGGCTAGTCCACTCTGAGATCAAGCCTAGATATCCTTTCTTGTGACCGTCTCTGCCATGAGCTACCAGGACATGACGAATCTGCCTTCCTTCTTGCTGCCTGTTAGAGATATACCCTGGTGATCTAATCACCTCTTAAAGGTCCCGCTTCTCAACACCATTGCATTGGGGATTATACGTTCCCAACATGTGCACATTCAAACCATAGCAGCGTTTAAGCACTCCAAGGATATGGGTCTACTGCCTTCAGCCTGACTTGCTATTGAGTGTGTACTCGAGAGAGAGGTGGGAGAAATACTTCAAAGGCTTCAAAATCATTTATTTGTCCTTCTTTATAGGGACCCCGGGAGATATGGCAGAATATGGGGTGCTTGGGGTGACAGCCACTTGCTGCATTTTGATTACATGGCCACGGTTTGGGCATATCGGCACCTGAGACCACCCTTGGTTCACTCCCTTCCTCCCTCCCCCTCGCTTACTCTGCTCCAGGCACACAGATCTCCTGGCTCCAACATGCCAGGGCCTCAGGGCCTTTGCACTGGCTGTTCCCTCTGCCTGAAATGCTTTTTTCTCAGAGCCTTTGCACTAACCTCAGGGCTTCTTGTACTAACCTCACTGGCTATTCCCTCTGCCTGAAATGCTTTTCCTCCAGACACCCACCTGGATTGTCCCCTCACCTCCTTCAAACCTTTACTGAAATGCCACTCTCTCAATGAGGCTTCCTGGACTTCCCTATTTAAAATTGCACCCCCTCCTGACATTCTCCATTCCTTTTCCTACTTATTTTTTTCTCGCTTAACACTTACCACCTTCAGACAAGCTATGTAATATACTCCTACAATACCTTCATTGTCTTCCTTTGCCAGAATATCAGCCCCTTGAGGGCAGAGATGCTTATCTCTTTGGTTCATAGCTGTATCTCCAGCACCTAGACCAGTACTGGGTGTATAGTAGGTGCTCAATAAATATTTGCATATTTGGCCAGGCACGGTGGCTCACATCTGTAATTCCAGCACTTTGGGAGGCCGAGACGGGTGGATCACTTGAGGTCAGGAGACCAGCCCAGCCAACGTGACAAAACCCTGTCTCCACTAAAAATACAAAAATTAGCCAGGCATGGTGGCAGGTGCCTATAATCCCAGCTGCTCAGGAGGCTGAGGCAGGAGAATCACTTGAACTCAAGAGGCGGAGATTGCTGTGAGCCGAGATTGCAGCACTGCACTCCAGACTGGGTGACAGAGTGAGACTCAGTATCAAAAAAAAAAAAAAAAAAATTGCATAGTGAATGAAGGAGTGTCTGAATGATCAAAGCCCTCTCACCTGCTACTCCCTTTGCTTGGAGCCTTTTTACCCCCTTCACACTCTAAAGTAAGAATAGTTTGAATTACAAAGAATACAAATTTATCTCTCATTCACTATGTTTTATCAAGAGTAGGAGCAAAATGGCCGGGCACAGTGGCTCATGCCTGTAATCCCAGCATTTTGGGAGGCCAAGGCGGGCGGATCATCTGAGGTTGGGAGTTCGAGACTCAGCCTCACCAGTATAGTAAAACCCAGTCTCTACTAAAACTGCAAAATTAGCTGGGCGTGGTGACGCATGCCTGTAATCCCAGCTACTCAGGAGGCTGAGGCAGGAGAATTGTTTGAACCCCGGGGGCAGAGGTTGTTGTGAGCCGAGATCGTGCCATTGCACTCCAGCCTGGGCAACAAGAGTGAAAGATCGCGCCATTGCACTCCAGCCTGGGCAACAAGAGTGAAACTCCGTCTAAAAAAAAAAAAAAAAAAAGAGTAGGAGCAAAAATATGACTAAGACTGTATTTTGCATTATTGACCAATGATGGTTTACATTATTTCCTTATTTTCCACCCCATCCTCCCCCACCCACTCCCTAAGCTGATAGTCATCCTATGCACCTAGTTTTAGGGGAAAGACACAGCAGGGCAGCCAGTATCCTGCTGACTTAAAAAAAAAAAAACCAGCTATATTGACATACAGTAAATTACATATTTAAAATACATTGGTGGGGCGCGGTGGCTCACGCTGTAATCCCAGCACTTTGGGAGGCCGAGGTGGGCAAATCACTTGAGGCCAGGAGTTCAAGACCAGCCTAGCCAACATGGTGAGACCCTGTCTGTACTAAAAATACAGAAATTAGCCAGGCATGGTGGCACGCACCTATAATCCCAGCTACTCAGGAGGTGGAGGCAGGAGAATCGCTTGAACCTGGGAGGCGGAGGTTGCAGTGAGCGGAGATCGCATCATTGCACTCCAGCCTGGGCAACAGAGTGAGACTCTGTCTCAAAAAAAAATATATGATTTGGTAAACAATTTTTTCTTTAATTTCTAGATTTGTTTTCAGAAACGGTCTTGGCAGGGCATGGTGCCTGAAGCCTGTAATCTCGCCCCTTTGGGAAGCTGGTGTGGGAGGATTGCTTGAGTTTAGGAGATCGAGATCAGCCTGGGCAACATGGTGAGACCAGCCTCATCTCTAATAAATAATAAATAAATAAATAAATAAATAAAATAATTAGCTGGTCATAGTGGCATGTGCCTGTAGTCCCAGCTACTTGGGAGGCTGAGATGGGAGGATCATTTGAACCCAGGAAGTCGAGGCTGCAGTGAGCCAGGATTGCACCACTGCACTCCAGTCTGGGTGACAGAGTGAGACCCTGTTTCTCCCCTTCCCCCCCCCACCCAAAAGAAGGGGGAAAAAAGAAAGAATCAGGGTCTCCCTATGTTGCCCAGACTGGCCTTGAACTCCTGGACTCAAGCGATCCTCCTACCCTAGCCTCCTGAGTAGCTGGGATTACAGGTGTGTGCCACTGAACCTGGCCTGATTTGATAAATTTTGACATATGTGTGCAACTATGAACCCAGCCTTGAAATCAATGGATCATATCCATTGCCCCTCAAAGTTTCCTCCATCCCACCCCTCCCTGCCTCCCCCTCCTCCCACCTCTCATTCCCTCGTACCTCCTGATTTGCTGTTAGTCACTGTCGATTAGTTTGTATTTCCTGGAGTTTTATGTAAGTGGAATGGTACCATCTGTGGTCTTCTGTGACTGGCTGCTTTCCCTGAGCATGATGTCCTGGTTCATCCATGTTGTTGTATGTATCAGTGTACCATTCTGTTGTACGGATGCACCCCAGTTTGTTTATCCATTCATCCCTTGATGGAGGTTTTTTTGTTTGTTTCGCTTTGTTTTTTTGAGATGGAGTCTCGCTCTGTCGCCCAGGCTGGAGTGCAGTGGCGCAATCTCGGCTCACTGCAACCTCCGCCTCCCAGGTTCAAGCGATTCTTCTGCCTCAGCCTCTCGAACAGCTGGGACTACAGGTGTGCGCCACCACGCCTGGCTAATTTTTTTGTATTTTTAGTAAAGACAGGGTTTCACCATGTTGACCAGGCTGGTCTCGAACTCCTGACCTCATAATCTGCCCACCTCGGCCTCCCAAAGTGCTGGGATTACAGGCGTGAGCCACCATGCCCGGCCTATACTTTAAGTTCTGGGATACATGTGCAGAACGTGCAGGTTTGTTACATAGGTATACACGTGCCATGGTGGTTTGCTGCATCCATCAACCCATCATCTACATTAGGTATTTCTCCGAATGCTATCCCTCTCCTAACCCCCAGCCCCCGACAGGCCCCAGTGTGTGATGTTCCCCTTGGTTGAGGTTTGAATTACTGATGGCACTTTTGGCTATCATGAATCAAGTTGCTAGCTGGATATGGTGGCACATGCCTGTAGTCCTAACTCTTTGGAAGGCTGAGGCAGGAGGATTGCTTGAGCCCAGGAATTTGAGACTGCAGTGAGCTGTGATTGGGCCAGGCTGCACTCCAGCCTGGGTGACAGACTGAGACTGTCTCAAAAAAAAAAAAAAAAAAAAAAGGAAAGAAAAGAAAACAGAATCAAGCTGCTATGAACATTCTGTACAAGTCTTTGTATGGACATGTGCTTTCATTTCTCTTGAGTAAATGCCTGGTAATGGAATATATCGTATGATAGGTGCATGCTTAATGTTTTAAGAAAACTTACCAGGCCAGTCACGGCGGCTCATGCCTGTCATTCCAGCACTTTGGGGAACTGAGGCGGGAGGATTGCTGGAGCCTAGGAGTTTGAGACCAACCTGACCGACATAGTGAGGCTCTGTTTCTTAATTTTTTTTTTTAATAAGAAGAAAATGTACCAACTTTTCTTCCTTTGTGCTGGAATTGCAAGGTAAAAAAATAATAGTAATAACAAGGAAAACGTACCAACTTTTCCAAAGTGGATCTGCCATGTGATGTTCCTGCCAGCTGCTCAGCATGCTTCTCTTCTTTGCTTCACTATCTGTCTCATTTTTTTTTTTTGAGATGGGGTCTTGCTCTGTTGCCCAGGCTGGAGTGCAGTGGCATGATCTCGGCTCACTGCAACCTCTGCCTCCTGGGTTCAAGCGATTCTCCTTCCTCTGCTTTCCAAGTAGCTGGGACTACAGGCGTGTTCCACCACACCCAGCTAATTTTGTATTTTTAGCAGAGACAGGTTTCACTATATGTTGGCCAGGCGCGTCTCAAACTCCTGACCTCAAGTGATCAACCCACCTCAGCGTCCCAAAGTGCTGGGATTACAGGCATGAGCCACCACACCCAGCTTCTTTTTTTTGTTTTGTTTTGTTTTTTGTTTTTTTGAGACATCCTCGGTCTGTTGCCCAGGCTGTGCAGTGGCGTGATCTCGGCTCACTGCCACCTCCGCCTCCTGGGTTCAAGCGATTCTCCTGCCTCAGCCTCCAGAGTAGCTGGGATTACAGGCGCCTGTCACCACGCCTGGCAAATTTTTGTGTGTGTGTGTGTGTGCAGTCGGGGTTTCACCATGTTGCCCAGGCTGGTCTTGAACCCCTGACCTCAAGTGATCCGCCCGCCTCAGCCTCCCAAAGTGCTGGGATTACAGGCGTGAGCCACCGCACCCAGCCGCTCACCATCTCTTTGTCGCCTGCATGGCACCATTCTCTCCTGTACCACCCCAAAGCCTTACCAGGTGCCTCCTGCATTTAACCAGGTCCCATAGCTCTCTGTGCTTCCCGGCACACCCTCTCACCACCCTCATCATCAATTATTCACCTTGCTGACTGCTTAGTGTTTGTCTCCTGGCTGGATTACATAAGCCCTGTAAGGGCAGAGCTCTGTTTGTCTTGATCACCATTAGGTTCTGGTGCTTGGCATACAGTAGGCATTCCACACATGCTTGCTGAATTAATGCATGACCGGGTCTGGGGTGCTGGGTTTCACACCAGGCTCTACCGCAAACATTGGGTCAAGTATTTTCATTCCCGACGTACAGATGAGTCAATTGAATCAACGGAAAGCAAAATGATCCCATCCAAGCTCCCTCAACTTGCCGGGCTGGTCTGGGAGTCGAACCAGATCTGCCTGACCCTCCCACCGGTGCTGAAAAGTGGAGTGTGTGCTGGGGTGGTAGGGGATGGGGCAGAAGAGAGACGGGCTTCCTCACAGAAGGGTTTGAGGGCTAGGATGAGGCGTGCACACTCTGCACCCCTGCTTCGGAGCTTTGAAAGGGTGCACAGCACACCCGCCCTCTCTGGGAACCCTCGGGAGCTTGAGGTTGCCTGATGAAGGGGCTGATGGGTTGAACGCAAAGGGCCCCTCCACCCACCCTTTTTTCTATCTCCCCAACCAAGCCCTGGTAACAGGCATTTCCGGTTTCCGGCCGGCTCCCTGGTGCTGGGGTGGGGGTGGGGAGTTGATTGCTGCCGTCGTGCTTGGCTCTGGGTCCCCTTCTCCCAGACCCCAGAGGCCTCTGTCCCTGCACACTGCTTCCCCGAAGGAGCGTGGAAAGCCAGCCGACCTTTCTGGCTCTTTCTTCATCTTGGGCAGGGGTTTTGTTGATGGGAGGCTGGCTGGCAAATGGGGAAGAATGAACCTCAGGGTTCACCGCAGTGCGCCTGGGTGCTGATTTGCATATGGGCACGATGCCAGCACAGTGGGTGCCCGCCTCTTCCTGGAGGAAGGAAGAGGGGCACTGAGGGGGGTTGCCCCCAGCAGGGAGGAACCGTCCTCATAATGCCTCTCCTACGTTTGTTTAAAGGACCATCATTCTCAGCAAACTATAGCAAGGACAAAAAACCAAACACCGCATGTTCTCACTTATAGGTGGGAATTGAACAATGAGAACACATGGGCACAGGAAGGGGAACATCACACACAGGGGACTGTTGTGGGGTCGGGGAAGTGGGGAGGGATAACATTAGGAGATATACCTAATGCTAAATGAGGAGTTAATGGGTGCAGCACACCAACATGACACATGTATACATATGTAACAAACCTGCACGTTGTGCACATGTACCCTAAAATTTAAAGTATAATAATAATAAAATTAAAAAAAATAAAGGACCTCCTGTCCTTTGCCACTTTCTCACACTCTTCAGGCGACCAGGAAGTCCTTTCTGGTGGTCTAACTGCAGTCACTGCTGCTGTCTGATGGAGCCCCTTTCTTTAGCTGGCCCCACCGCAGCCCGGAGAGGGGATGAATCATGCCCCCTTTCCCCTCTTTGAGGCATCACATGACTGGAAGGAAGCTGTCTCCGGGTTCAGCTGATCTCCCTGAGGTCAGGAGGGAACTTCCTCCCTCGAGCCACAGACACAGCCATCTGCTCTATTGTCTCTGGTGATCTGCCTGCCCATGAGCGCCCTCATTATGCCACTCTCTAAGAGGCACCAGGAGCAGCTTAGTGTGGTTCAAAGAGGCAGTGTTGTACAGAGGTTAGAGGCACAGACTTTGGGATCCAGTGCTGGTATCTGGTTCTCCATTCCTATCTGTGTGGTCCGGGATGGGCAGTATCCCCTCTCTGAGCCTCAGTTGTTTCCTCTGTCAAAGGGAGATTTATTCATTCGACAGATTTTATTGAGCATCTACTATGTGTCAGACATGGTACTAGGTATTGAGGTCCTCTATTTACCCAAAGGAGTTGAACATTTATGTCCACACAAAAACTTACACTCAAGTCTTTGTAGCGGCTTTATTCATGATTGCTGAAACTGGGAGGCAACAAATTGTCCTTCGGTAGATGAATGCGATGTAGGGCAAGGCAAGCCCTAAATTGGGGCTCAGCCTGGGACGGTTCTTTGTTTTGCCCAGGAAAGAATTCCAGGGCGAGCTGGAGGTGTTAGACAGTAGCTTTTACTGAAGTGAAAGTGCATAGCGGCAGTTGCAGAAGTCCTGCTCCTCGCAGAGCAGGGCTACCCCACAGGCTGTGAGCCCGGAGTAATCAGGGTTGCAGTCATCTTTGTACCCACTTTAATTATATGCAAATTAAAGGGCAGATTATGCAAATTTCTAGGAAAAGGGTGGTAACTTCTGGGTTGTCGGGTCATTGCCTTGGGAAAGGAGTAGTAGCTGCTGGTGTTACCATCACAATGGCAAACTGCCATGGCACACTGGTGGGCATGTCTTATGGAAAGGTGCTTCTGCTCCAGCCCTGTTTTAGCTAGTCCTCAATTTGGTCCGTTGTCTGAGCCCCACCTCCAGAGTCAAGTTCCACCTACTTCCTCGTATGGATAAATAAGCTGTGGTGCATCCAGACAATGGAATATTATTATTATTATTAGAGATGGACTTTTGCCCTTGTTGTCCAGGCTAGAGTGCAATGGTGTGGTCTCGGCTCACTGCAACCTCTGCTTCCCAGGTCCAAGCTGTTCTCCTGCCTCAGCCTCCTGAGTAGCTGGGTTTACTGGCACCTGCCACCACACCTGGCTAATTTTTGTATTTTTAGTAGAGATGGGATTTCACCATGTTGGCCAGGCTGGCCTCAAACTCCTGACCTCAGGTGATCCAGCCACGTCGGCCTCCCAAAGTGCTGAGATTACAGGTGTGAGCCACTGCTCCCAGCGCAGACAATGGAATATTATTCAGCACTGAAGAGAGATGAGATGAGCTCTCAAGCCATGAAGAGACACGCAGGAACCCCAAATGCATATTACTAAGTGAAAGAAGCCAGTCCCAAAAGGCTACATACTATATGATACCAGCTATGTGATGTTTCAGAAAAGGCAAAACTGTAGAAGCAGTAAAAAGATCAGTAGTTGTCAGAGGTTAGTGGAAAGGGGGTATGGATAGGCAGAGCATGGAAGCTTTCCACGGCAGTGAAAATACTCTCTATGACACTATAATAGTGGATACCCATCATCATACATGTGTCCAAATCCAGAGAATGTGACGCACGGCAGGCAAGCCCCAAAGTGGGGCTTAGCCTGTGAGGCTTCTTGGTTTCACCCAAGAAGCCTCACAGGCTAAGGAAAGAATTCAAGGGTGATTCCAGTGGTAGGGTAGACGAAAACAGCTTTATTGCCGTGGCAGTGTTACAGCTCCATGACTGCTCTTGCAGGGCTACCCCACAGGCTGAGAGTAGCAGCTCAGGGCAGTTTGGCGGTCCTATTTATATTTATTTATTTATTTATTTAGAGACAGAGTCTTGCTCTGTCGCCCAGGCTGGAGTGCAGTAGTGCAATCTCAGCTCATTGCAACCTCTGCCTCCCAGGTTCAAGCAATTCTCCTGCCTCACCCTTCTGAGTAGCTGGGATTACAGGCGCGTGCCACCACGCCTGACTAACTTTTGTATTTTTAGTAGAGATGAGGTTTCGCCATGTTGGCCAGGCTGGTCTCAAATTTCCGACCTCAGGTGTTCTGCCTGCCTTGGCCTCCCAAAGTGCTGGGATTACAGGCATGAACCACTGTGCCCTTCCCATACCTCCTTTTTTTTTTTTTTTTGAGACGGAGTCTTGCTCTGTCGCACAGGCTGGAGTGCAGTGGCGCAATCTTGGCTCACTGCAAGCTCTGCCTCCCACGTTCACGCCATTCTCCTGCTTCAGCCTCCCAAGTAGCTGGGACTACAGGCGCCCGCCACCATGCCCGGCTAATTTTTTGTATTTTTAGTAGAGATGAGTTTTCACCATGTTAGCCAGGATGGTCTCGATTGCCTGACCTTCCTGAGGCGTGAACCACCCGCCTCAGCCTCCCTAAGTGCTGGGATTACAGGTGTGAGCCACCGCCCCCCGGCCCATACCTCCTTTTAATTACATGTAGAGTAAGGGGCAGTTTATGCAGAAATTTCCAGGGAAGGGGTAGTAACTTTTGGGTGATCAGGTAATTGCCATGAAAAGCGGTGGTAAGGCCGGGCGCAGCGGTTCATGCCTGTAATCCCAGCACTTTGGGAGGCCGAGGCGGATGGATCACCTACAGTCAGGAGTTCGAGACCAGCCTGGCCAACATGGTGAAACCCCGTCTCTACTAAAAATACAAAAATTAGCTGGGTATGGTGGCACACACCTGTGATCCCAGCTACTCAGGAGGCTGAGGCAGGAGCATCGCTTGAACCCGGGAGGTGGAGGTTGCAGCGAGTTGAGATCATAATACTGCACTCTAGCCTGGGCCACAGAGCAAGACTCCATCTCAAACAAAACAAAACAAAACAAAAACAAAGAAAATAGACCAGTTGTGGTGGCTCACATCTGTAATCCCAGGACCTTAGGAGGCTGAGGCAGGAGGATCACTTGAGCCCAGGGGTTCGAGACCAGCCTGGGCAACATAGTGAGACCCTCATTTCTACAGATACACACACACACACACACACACACACACACATACACGCACACACACATGAGTTGGGGGGATGGTTTCAGGATGAATCAACCACATTACATTTATTGTTCACTTTATTTCTATTATTATTACATTGTAATATATAATGAAATAATTATACAGCTCACACATATGTGTATATATATATGCACACACACTATATGAATATTATATATAGTAATATTTATTCATTTATATGAATAAAAAAGAAACTAAAAGAGAGGAGGAAAGGAAGGAAGGAAGAAGGAAGGAAGGAAGATCAGCCTGGAGTCTCTGGACTGCCCTGATGGAAGTGTCTTGGATGCTAAAGGGGTTTATGGGCTGATTCCCTCAACTTCCTCCCGTCTAACAAGGTCTGGTGTTCCATCAAGGCAGTGGCTATGCTCCCAAGAAGTTTGCAAATGACAGAAAACCTAATTACAGGTCAACAAACCATGACCTGTGGGCCAAATGCAGCCTGCCACCTGTTTTTGTAAATGAAGCTCTTTTTTTTGAGATGGAGTCTCACTCTGTCACCCAGCCTGGAGTACAGTGGCACGATCTCGGCTCACTGCAACCTCCGCCACCCGGGTTCAAGCAATTCTCCTGCTTCAGCCTCCCGAGTAGCTGGGATTACAGGTGCATTCCACCACGCCCAGCTAATTTTTGTATTTTTAGTAGAAACGGGGTTTCACCATGTTGGTCTGGCTGGTCTCGAACTCCTGACCTTGTGATTCACCCGCCATGGGCTCCCAAAGTGCTGGGATTCCAGGCGTGAGCCACCATGCACGGCCAACAATTTTTTTTAATGAAAATAATTTTTTCTCAATGCCGTTTTGGAAGAGAAGCAAACTCGTATGTGGGTTTTAAGTATGGCTTCATTCAGTAGCTCCAACAATGTCATCAAGGACTGCATGTCTCTGTGATGGATTCCTTTTCTGGCTTTGTAAATCTAGGATCTCCCACTCATGGCAGCAAAGTAGCTGCAGTTGCTCCAGACCGCCTAACCTCACTCTTGACCAACACAGCGGAGAGTAAATCACTGTCCCAGAAGCTGGAGCTTAAGATCCGGGATTTGCACTCTCTCATTGGTCTGAAGTGGGTCATGTGTTAATCTCTGAACCAATAGTCATAGGCAAGGGGATGGGCCATGCTAATTGACTGGAACTGGGGGTGGAGCCCCTCTCAGCCCATGTTGCTAGAAGAGAAAGAGGAAAGGGTATGGATGTGTGCATAATTAGTTAATGAATATATTCATTCTTTCCACCATCCCTCATTGATTTGTCTACTGCGTCCCAGCAGCAGGGAATGTGATGGTTGATAAGAACTTGTTTCTGCTCTCATGGTGATCCCAGTCTACTGGGATTCCACGATCTGTTCAGACAGGTACAACCTGTTGTAATCAATGCTGTGTATTCATTAGGATAGAGGTTTGGCTACTGTAACAGTTAGGTAGAGATTAATTTATCATCTAAACCTATAGAGCAGCAGTCTCCAACCTTTTTGGTAGCAGTGACCGGTTTTGTGGAAGACAATTTTTCCATGGACCAGAGTTAGGGGGGATGGTTTCAGGATGATTCAAATGCGTTACATTTATTGTTCCCTTTATTTCTATTATTATTACATTGTAACATATAATGAAATAAGTATACAACTCACCATAATGTAGAATCAGTGGGAGCCCTGAGCTTGTTTTCCTGCAACTAGATGATCCCATCTGGGGGTGATGGGAGACAGTGGCAGATCATCAGGCACCAGATTCCCGATAAGGAGCGCACAAGGTAGATCCCTCACATGTGGAGTTCACAGTAGGGTTTGCACTCCTATGAGGATCTAACGCTGCAGCTGATCTGACAGGAGGTGGGGCTCAGGTGGTAATGCGAGCAATGGGGAGTGGTTGTAAATACAGATGAAGCTATGCTAGCTCACCTGCCCACCACTCACCTCCTGATGTGTGGCCCAGTTCCTAACAGACCATGGACCGGTACCAGGAGGCTTGTACTGGGAGCTACTCTGGAGGCTGAGGTGGGAGGATCACTTGAGCCCAGGAGGTGGAGGCTGCAGTGAGCTGTAATCATGCCACTGCACTCAACTGGGCAACAGAGTGAGACCCTGTCTTTTAAAAAAAAGTTAAAATCACTCCTGTAATCCCAGCACTTTGGGAGGCCAAGGTGGGCAGATCATGAGGTCAGGAGTTCGAGACTAGTCTGACCAAGATGGTGAAACCCCATCTCTACTAAAAATACAAAAATTAGCTGGGCTTGGTGGCACACACCTGTAATCCCAGCTACTCAGGAGGCTGAGCAGGAGAATCGCTTGAACCTGGGAGCCAGAGGTTGCAGTGAGTCGAGATTCTGCCACTGCACTCCATCCTGGGTGACAGAGTGAGACTCTGTCTCAAAAAAAAAAAAAAAAAAAGAAAAGAAAAAGTTAAAAAAAAGGCCGGGCGCGGTGGCTCAAGCCTATAATCCCAGCACTTTGGGAGGCCGAGGCAGGTGGATTGCCTGAGGTCAGGAGTTTGAGACCAGCCTTGCCAGCATGGTGAAACCCGTCTCTACTAAAAATACAAAAATTAGCCAGGTGTGGTGGCAGGTGCCTGTAATCCCAGCTACTCGAGAGGCTGAAGGAGGAGAATCGCTTGAACCCAGGAGGCGGAGTTTGCAGTGAGCCAAGATCACACCATTGCACTCCAGCCTGGGAGACAAGAGTGAGACTTCATCTCAAAAAAAAAAGTTCAAAAAAACCCCAACCAATTCTCTCCTCCCCAATAATTACCTTAGGACAACAGGCATAAGCTTGGGTCATCCTTGGCAAACTAGGAGGTAAGTCACTCTATGTAGCAGAGAACCAAAGTAACAAGGACTTAAATAAAACTGAAGATTATTTATTTCTTATGCAATAATCTGAGCTTAATCAGTCCAAGGCTGGCATGGTCCTTTCTACAATGTCAAAGACCAGCTCCTCCTGTTCTGTTCTTCCGCCACCTGTGAATTTCCTTTGTCCTCAGTTTCCAAGAATACTCATCACCATACTCACTTGCCAGCCAGATAAAGGGGCTAGAATGTTCCTCCCTTTAAGAATGCAACCTGGAATTGCACATTATCAGTTAGCTTTTGCTGTGTAACAAACAGTCCCCTAAAATGGAATGGCTTAAAGACAATATTTGTTATTCCAATTAATTTAGTAAATTGTCTGGGCAGATAGGTGATCTCTGTGGTTAGCTAATAACTTGGCTGGGGTAGGTAGTCTAGGAGGGCCTCATTCACATATCTGCTGGTTGGCCAGTTGATTAGTATAGGATACCTTTAGCTAGGTGCTTGTCTCTGCTCCACACGGTCTCTCATCCTCTGGCAATTTAGCCTGAGTGCTTGAATTTGGCAGGAGTATTCCAAGAAAGCAACAGGAGAAGTTGCAAAGCCTCTATGGGCTAAAGCGAGCCACAAGACCAACCCAGATACAAAAGATGAAGACTTAGAATCTACCTCTCTTTTTTTTTTTTTTTTTTTTTGAGATAGGGTCTTGTCTTGTCGCCCAAGCTGGGGTGCAGTGACTTGATCTTAGCTCACTGCAACCTCAAACTCCTGGACTCAATTGATCCTCAGCCTCCTGAGTAGCTGGAACTATAGGCATGTGCCACCACACCTGGCTAATTTTAAATTCATTTGTAGAGACGGGGTCTTGCTTTGTTGCCAGGCTGGTCTTGAACTCCTGGCCTCAAGCAATTCTCCCACCCCACCCAATCCTCCCAATCATGTCTTGGGGTTACAGGCATGAGCCACCATACCCGGCAATTCTCTTTGGCTGGTAGGAGCTGGAAAGTATTTGTAATCTACCACAAAGGGCATTCAGGGCAGAGGCAACCTTATATATGAGACCTGGAGATGAGAGACAGTAAAATAGGTGCATTTAGCGTGTGGCAACCACTTCCACCTGGCTGGAGCAGAGGTGGGAGAGGTAAGTGAGAAAAAAAAGAGTAGAGTCATCAGAGAAGTCAGCAGGGGCCGTGGTGAGGTTGAACTTTGTGTTGGGGATGATGGGGGAACCATGGCAAGGTTTCAAGAGGAGATTGACATGGTTAGATTTGCTGTATGAAGGTGGGCTGGGAGGAGTACAAAACGGATCAGGAAGACCACTGAGGAGGCTGTTGCAGCCACAAAGGTGATCACTGCGGTGGCTGCTCTAGGATTTGGGAACAGGGATGGTGAGAAGAGCTTAGATGTGACAGATAGTTTGGATGTAGAATCTGAATAATCTATTGATTGACTGGAAATGGAGGATTCAATGAATCCTCCATTTCCAGCCAGGTGCAGTGGCTCATGCCTGTAATACCAGCACTTTGGGAAGCCAAGACAAGCTAATTGTTTGAGGCCAGGAGTTCAAAACCAGCCTGGACAATGTAACAAGACCCTGTATCTACAAAAAATAAAAATAAAAATAACGTTATCTGGGCATGGTGGTGCATGCCTGTAGTCCCAACACTCAGGAGGTTGAGGCAAGAGGATCAATTGAACCCAAAAGGTGGAGGCTGCAGTGAGCTATGATTGTGCCACTTCACTCCAGTCTGGGTGACAGAGCAAGACCTCATCTCTACAAATAAAAAGTTAGCCAGGTGTGGTGGTGCATGCCCATAGTCCCAGCTGCTCAGGAGGCTGAGGCAGGAAGATTGCTTGAGCCCAATTTCAAGGCTGCAGATTGCACTACTGCACTTCAGCCTGGGCAACAGAGTGAGACCCTGTCTCTAAAGAAATAAAAATAAAAATAAACCCGACTTTCAAAACACTTAGATTCGTTCCTGGCTTGTAGACGATCACCTATGAAATTACTCTAACTTGGCCGGGCACAGTGGTTCATGCCTTTAATCCCAGCACTTTGAGAGGCAGAGGTGGGTGGATCCCCTGAGGTCAGGAGTTCGAGACCAGCCTGGCCTACATGGTGAAACCCTGCCTCTACTAAAAATACAAAAAATTAGCCAGGCGTGGTGGCGGGCGCCTGTAATCGCAGCTACTCAGGAGGCTGAGGCTGGAGAATTGCTTGAACCCAGGAGGCGGAGGTTGCAGTGAGCTGAGATCACGTCATTGCACTCTGGCCTGGGCGACAAGAGTGAAACGTTATCTCAAAAAAAAAAAATTACTCTAAGTTGATTCTGAAGGATTGGGGAGTGTTGAAAATCATCTTGGGTTCCTAAGACAAATTGCTGGGTGGTAATGGCACCATTGTTAGATGAAGAGGCTGGAGGGAGAGCAAGTTTGAACTGGCAATGATGTCAATCTTGGACCTGTTAAGTTTGAGGTGCCCATTGTTGAAAGAATGAACCTGTTTCCCCAGCTGTAAGCAAAGAAATGGATTGCAATGAAAAGGCATGCTTTCAACTGTTGTTCCAAAACCTTTGTCCTCATCTGGAACGGAGGTACAGACTGTCTCTTAGTTACTGTGTTATTCATTTCTATTTATTTATTTATTTTTGAGATGGCGTCTTGCTCTGTTGCCCAGGCTGGAGTGCAGTGGCACGATCTCAGCTCACTGCAGCCTCCGCCTTCCAGGTTCAAGTGATCCTCCTGCCTCAGCTTCTCAAGTAGCTGGGATTACAGGCATGCACCACCATGCCCGGCTAATTTTTGTATTTTTAGTAGAGACAGCATTTCACCATGTCGGCCAGGCTGGTCTCGAACTCCTGACTTCAAGTGATCCACCCTCTTCGGCCTCCCATAGTGCTGGGATTATAAGCATCAGCCTCCACACCCAGCCTCATTTATTTATTCAATAAATTGTATTGGGCACTATTGCATGCCACCATGTGGTGTTCAGGATTCAGAGGTGACTCAACCCTGGGTCCTGACTTCATCTGGAGAGAGCCCAGCACAGGCGTCTTCGTTGTCAGGCCTGGGTTGAGGAGGGACATCATGTTAAGGGAGGCTGCAGTTGGGGGAGAATGAGGACTCTGCTTGGCTGAAGACATTGGGGAAGGTTTCCTGGAAGAAGAGATATTGGAGATGGGCCTTGAAGGATGAGTAGGAGTTCACCAGGCAAATAGGAGAGGAACTTTTAGCCCAGACAGCAGTCCTTTATTCATCTCCCTGCATATAATTACTGTAAGAATCGGCAAGAGAAGCTGGAATGGAGATCCATGAGGTCTCTGAGGATCAGACAGACACATCACAGCTAACTCTGGCCCAAAGGGTACTTCATTAGGATAACACCAGCTACTGTAACAAACAAGACATTTCAGTGACTTCACATGGTAAAAATTGATTTCTTGTACACAAAACAGTACAATGCATGTGCTTCTAGTTCCAGGTCGGGGGGCTTTTCCCCGCAGATAATTCAGGGACCCAGGCTACTTTCATTTGCAGTTTTGCCATCCCTTAGAGTCTCAGCCTGCAGAAAATAGGGAGAGAGGAGGTATGGAGAAGTAATTTCTCCTTAAATACAGTGCCCTGAAAGTGATGCTTATGACAAATGCTCCTATTCTATTGGCCAGAAGCAGTCACATGACTGCATCCACATGCAAGGAGAGATGGGAAATGCAGTCCTTAGCTGGGCAGCCATTTTCCAGCAGCAATTCCATATTATGGAAGAGAAAACACGAATATTGGTGGATCTTTAGTGGCCTCTGCCCGAGGTAGACAGCAGGAATAGAACTAAGGGCTTGGAGGCAGTAACACTCAGTTTGATTTGTGCTCTTGAGTAAACCCTTCTTCTCACTCTTTGGGTTTCTCTCTCTGAGTGATGAGTGAAGATTGGAAGCTGATTAATATCTGAGGTATTTTCCAGTTTCAAAAATTGACCGGGTGCAGTGGTTCACACCTGTGATCCCAGCACTTTGGGAGGCCAAGGCAGGCAGATTACTTGAGGTAAGGAGTTCAAGACCAGCCTGGCCAACATGGTGAAACCCTGTCTCTACTAAAAAGAAAATACAAAAATTAGCAGGGCATGGTGGTGGGCGCCTGTAATCCCAGCTGTTCGAGAGGCTGAGGCACTTGAACCTGGGAGGTGGAGGTTGCAGTGAGCCAAGATCACGCCACTGCACTCCAGCCTGGATGACAGAGGGAGACTCTATCTCAAAACAAAAACAGAAACAAAGACAACCCAAAATACAAAAATTGATGGGTTGGTGAATGCTCTTGGTTTCCCAGCTGGAGCTAAGATGATGATGGTGGTGATGCTCATGGTCATGAATACTATTGTGGTAATGATGGTGGTGATGATTATAATGGTAACGATGATGGTGATGGTGGTGATAATGATGATGATGATGATGATGATAAGAATGGTGATGAGGAGAATGGTGATGGTGGTGATGATGATATTACTATCATAATGATAATGATAATTTCCAGAACTTGAAACGTCCAGCCCTTTTTATGCATCATATAACTGAATTACAACAACATGACACAGTAGGCATAAACCCTTCATGTTGGTTCATTTGCCTTTATCCTTGTTACCTATTTATTGCTAAGTAACAAATTATCCCCAAACTTAATTGTATAAAACAACCATTTATTATGCTTATGGATTATTTGGGTCAAGAATTCTGAAATAGCTCATCTAGGCAGTTCCCCTTTAGGGTTTCTAATGAGGTTGCACACAGATGTCGGCTGGGGCTGCAGTCATCTAAAGGCCTTAGCTGGAGGGTCTACTTCCTGAGTGGCTGGGCCACATAGAGCTTCAGCTCCTCTCCACCTGGGGCTCCCCACAGGACTGATTGAGTGGCCTCACAACATGGTCGCCGGTGAGTGGTCCAAGAGACCAAAATGGAGCTTCGATATGTTTCATTATTTAGTCTTGAGAACTCACATCTTGTTTCTTCCACCCTGTTCTTTTAGTGACACATGGCCAGTCTTGGTTCAATGTGGGAGGGGATTACAAAAAGGCATCTTAACTTATGTATGAATACTAGGAGCTATGGACCATTGGGGGCCATCCTGGAGGCTGGCTACTACAAACACATTGTCTTAATTACTGTAGATTTATGGTGTCTTAATATTTGGTAGGACTCATACCCTTTATTTTCCCTCTGTAGGAGTATATTGGCTACTCATGGCTGAGGTTTTCTATACAAATCTTAGGATTTGTATGTCAAGTTCAATGAAAAGCCATTCTGGGGTTTTTAATTGAAATTGGATTAAATCTATAGCTCAATTTTGGAGAGAATTGAAGATTTTAAAACTTGAGTCTTGGGGCTGGGTGCGGTGGCTCATACCTGTAATCTCAGCACTTTGAGAGCCTGTGGTGGGAGAGTCACTTGAGGCCAGGAGTTGAAGACCAGCCTGTGTGACATAGTGACATCCTGTCTCTATAAAAAATCTTTAAAAAAAAATTAGCCAGGTATGATGGCATATGCTTGTAGTCCCAGCTACTTGGGAGACTGACGCAGGAGGATCTTTTGAGCCCAAGAGGTCAAGGTTACAGTGAACTATGATCGTGCCACTCCACTCCGGCCTGGGTGACAGAGTGATACCCTGTCTCTAAAAATAAATCAATGAATGAATAAATAAAATAAAACAAAACACTGAGTCTTGCTAGAAAGGAACTGGTATATATTCTATTTTGTTTAGGTCACTAGCTTTATGCAGTTTTGTTTCACATCTTCTAGGCTATGGTCAATAGTATCCTTTTAAAATCAAAGTCTGATTTCCCTATGTGAAAAGCTAAATTCTTCATTTTATCATTCAATCAGTTCTAGCAACTGTGGACACTTGTGCAATCCACACCCTTATCAAAACAGAACATTTCCATCACTTGTGGCCTCTCTGAGTCAATCTCTACCTTCCCTCTTGCTCCGGAAGCAACCACTGATTTGATTTCTATCATCATAGGTTAGTTTTGCTTACTGTAGGATTTCACAATTTTTTTTTTAATTTGTGAGTTATTTTTGCTTATGTACTGACACTTAGTACACTTTGTATACTGGTTTTGTATTCAGCCACACTGCCAAATAATTTTATTAATTTCAGCTATTTATCTATATATTCTTTGGGAATTTCTATGTTGATGATTGCTTCTTCTGCAAAAATGACTTTCTTTCTTTCTTTCTTTTCTTTCTCTCCTTCCTTCCTTCCTTCCTTCCTTCCTTCCTTCCTTTCTTTCTTTCTTTCTTTCTTTCTTTCTTTCTTTCTTTCTTTCTTTCTTTCTTTCTTTCCTTTTTCCCTCTGTCTTGTCTTGCAGTACAGGCTGAGATCTTCAATACAATGTTGAATAGAAATGGTGATAGCAGGTTCCGTTGCGTAGTTCTGATTTCAAAGGGAATCTTTTCAACATCTCATTATTAAGTACAGTGTTTCGGTCTAGGTTTTCTGAAGACCTTCTTTATCAGGTTACAGAAGTTCCCTTCCATTTTTACTTTGCCAAGAGATTTTTTTCCCCCTCTTTCTTTTGATCAGGAATGAATGTTGAGTTGCTACCGCATCTTTCATGTGTCTTCTGTTGCAGATTTCTCTTTTTGACAAAAAGAGAACAGGTCTTGGGTCAGAGCCTTGGGCGAGCAACAGAATCTACCTAGAATTTAGTAACGTTGTTTGAACCATATTTATTCTACAGTTGCTTCTTCTTTTATTTATTTATTTATTTATTTTGAGACAGGGTCTCATTGTGTTGCCTGGGCCGGAGTGCAGTGGTGCGATCATAGCTCACTGCAGCCTCTACCTCCTGGCCTCAAGTGATCCTCCTGCCTCAGCCTCCCAAGTAGCTGGGACTACTGGCCATCACACCAGGCTAATTTTTGTATTTTTTGCAGAGACAGTGTCTCTCCGTGTTGCTCAGGCTGGTCCCAAACCCCTGACCTCAAAGTGATCCTCTCGCCTTGGTTTCCCAAAGTGCTGGGATTACAGGTATGAGCCATCACACCCATCATACAGTTGTTTCTGTTTGTAGCCCGTGAGCTTAGTTTTGTAGGAGGATGTAAAGCTCTCTTCTTAAACACAAAAGAGTTAAAGTTCATGTTCCATATGCAATGGGTTGCATAGACTGTGGCAGCAATTGAGAAGATGATACATTCTGCAAATGGAAGTGTGAGAAACAGGGTTACAACAGACATTAAGTGCCAAATGAATTCACACACACAGCTATGGCATAATGGTTACGCACAGGCTTGGAAGTCATGCTGCCTGAGTTTGTATCCCGGCTGTGTGTCTCACCTCAGTTTCCTTCTCTGTAAAATGAGGATAATAATATGACTTACCTTGAAGAGTTGCTGGGAGGAGTCCATGTTATCTCTGCAGCATGCTGAAAATTGAGAGCATGGTGGGTGGAAGCTCATGCTAGCTTCCACTACACACAAGGTAAAGAGAAAAGGCTGTGGTCAAGAAAGTGGGCTCAGCTGGGAGTTGTGGCTCCCACCCGTAATACCAACATTTAGGGAGGCTGAGGCAGGAGGATTGCTTGAGGACCAGCCTCGGCAACATAATGAAACTCTCTGTCTCTACAAATTTTTTTTTTTTTTTTTTTTGAGACGGAGTCTCGCTCTGTCGCCCAGGCTGGAGTGCAGTGGCGCAATCTCGGCTCACTGCAAGCTCCGCCTCCTGGGTTCACGCCATTCTCCTGCCTCAGCCTCCCGAGTAGCTGGGACTACAGGCGCACACCACCACGCCCAGCTAATTTTTTTGTGTTTTTGGTTGAGACATGGTTTCACCGTGTTAATCAGGATGGTCTCGATCTCCTGACTTCATGATCTGCCCTCCTCGGCTTCCCAAAATGCTGGGATTACAGGTGTGAGCCACCATGCCCGGCTACAAAAACATTTTTAAAATTAGCTGGATGTGGTGGCACACATCCATTGTCCTGGCTGCTTGGGAGGCTGAGCTGGGAGCATTGCTTGGTCCCAGGAGGTGAAGGCTGCAGTGAGCTATGATTGCATCGCTGCACTCCAGCCTGGACAACAGAGTGAGAGCATCTCTCTCTCGCTCTCTCTCTCTCTCACACGCACACAGACACATACGCACACACAGACACACACACACACAGAACGTGGGTTCTAGATTCATACCATCTCGGAGTTTAATTGCAGCTCCTCCCCTAACTTACTCTTGCTGTTAATCTCAAGCAGCATCCCCACACCGATCTAAGCCTGCTTTCTTGTAGGTAAAATAGACACAGACGGGTGTGGTGGCTCATGCCTGTAATCCCAGCACTTTGGGAGGCCGAGGCAGGTGCATTACTTGAGATCAGTTCAAGACCAGCCTGGACAACATGGTGAAATCCCCATCTCTAGCAAAAAATACAAAAATCAGCTGGACGTGGTGGCACACTCCTGTAGTTCCAGCTACTTGGGAGGCTGAGGTGGGAGAACCGCTTGAACCTGGGAGGTGGAAGTTGCAGTGAGCCGAGATGGTGCCACTGCCCTCCAGCCTGGGCGACAGAGCAAGACTCCATCTCAAAAGGGTATAAACACTGACAGTGTGGTTATGAGAATGGAGTTAATCTGAATGCCTAACCATGTGTAGTAGGCATCCAAGAAATGCATTTTTTTTTTCTTTTGAGATGGAATCTCACTCTTGTTGCCCAGGCTGGAGTGCAGTGGGGATATCTCAGCTCACTGCAACCTCCGCCTCCTGGTTCAAGCAATTCTCCTGCCTCAGCCTCCCAAGTAGCTGGGATTACAGGTGCCCGCCACCATGCCTGGCTAATTTTTTTTGTTTGTTTTTTTGGTATTTTTAGTAGAAATGGGGTTTCACCATGTTGCCCAGGCTGGTTTTGAACTCCTGACCTCAAGTAATCTGCCTGCCTCTGCCTTCCAAAGTGCTGCGATTACAGGGATGAGTCATAGCACCCAGCCAAAAAATGCAAATATTGTTATGGTAGGGGCACAGAGTAGGGGTTGGCAAGTATGTCAGAATCACCTGAGGAGAGTGTTAATATGCAGATTCCCAGGCCCCACCTCCATCCATCTAGTTAACAAACATATATCAGGGGCCTCCTACACATAAGGTACTATCATAGTTGCTGGGCATTCAAGAAACAGAACGATGGCCCTCCCCTCTTCAAACTGACATTTTATTTGGGTGAGATAAACAATAAACACAACAAGAGAAGCAAAACTAAGGGGATAGAAAACGCCGGAGTAGGGGTGTGGGATTTTATGAAATTTTAATTAATTTATGTATATATTTATTTTCTGAGATGGGGTCTCGCTCTGTTGCCCAGGCTGGAGTGCAGTGGCACCGTCGTGGCTCACCGCAGCCTCCACCTCCTGGGCTCCAACAATCCTCCTCTCTCAGCCTCCCGAGTAGCTGGGACTACAGGCACCCGCCACCTTGCCTGGCTAATTTTTTGTGTTTTTAGTAGAGACGGGATTTCACCGTGTTAGCCAGGATGGTCTCGATCTCCTGACCTCGTGATCCGCCCGCCTCGGCCTCCCAAAGTGCTGGGATTACAGGCATGAGCCACCACGCCCAGCCTTAAATTTGTTTTTGTAGAAATGGGATCTCATTATGTGGCCCCAGGCTGATTTTGAACACCTAGGCTCAAGTGATTCTCTCACTTCCACCTCCCAACGTGCTGGGATTACAGGTGTGCACCACCACACCCAGCTGACTTTTTATTTTTTGTGGAGATGGGGTCTCCCTGTGTTGACCAGGCTGGTCTTGAACTCCTGGGCTCAAGTCAACCTGGGAGTGGGATTTTAAATAGGGTGGCTAGAGGAGGTCTCACAGAGAAGGTGTCCTTTGAGGAAAGACAAAGACGTTGGCAAGGAACTTTCTTCTGGATATCAGGGTGTATTTGTTTGCGTGGGTGCCACAACAAAGTACCACGAGCTTGGAGGCTTAAACAGCAGAAATTTATCTTCTCACAATAAATGTCTTGTTCACCTCCCTATCCTCCCCTCTTCTTCCTCCTCGCCCACTCTAACTCCAGCCACATGGGCCTCCTTGCTGTTCCTCCAACATGTTAGGCAAGATCCTGCCTCAGGACCATTGCATGCACTGTTCTCTCTTCTTGGAATACACTTTCTTGTGTGCTATGGGTTGAACTGTGTCCCCCCAAAATTTATACATTGAAGTCTTAACCCCTAGTACCTCAGAATGTGGCAGTATTTGGATATGGAGTATTTACAGAGGTAGTTCAGTTAGAATGAGGTCATCTGTGTGGGCCCTAATGCACTGTGACTGATGTCCTTATAAGAAGAGTAAACTAGGGTGCAGGCAGGGCAAGACCACGTCACAGTGCAGGGAGAAGGTGGCTGTCTACTGAAATGAGCCCTTAGAGGAACCTACAAATATCTAGTCCTAAAAAGTAGAAACAAACTGGCCGGGCGTGGTGGCTCACACCTGTAATCCCAGCACTTTGGGAGGCCGAGGCGGGTGGATCACCTGAGGTCAAGAGTTCAAGACCAGCCTGACCAACATGGTGAAACCTCATCTCTACTAAAAATACAAAAATAAGCTGGGTGTGATGGCGGGTGCTTGTAATCCCAGCTACTCAGGAGGCTGAGACAGGAGAATTGCTTGAACCTGGGAGGTGGAGGTTGCAGTGAGCTAAGATGGCACCATTGCACTCCAGCCTGGCGGACAAAGTGAGACTCCATCCCCCTCAAAAAAAAGAAAGAAAAGAAACAAGCTATCCATGAAAACACTTTGTGATGTGCTGTTTTATATCACAGAATGGAACCTGTGTTTTGATTCAACAAGTTCAAAACACTCTTTTCATAAAATCTAAGAAGTTATGTTTCTGAACCTATTGAGCCTTTATAGGAACATATGAATATCCAGTCCTAAAAACTAGAAATGAGCGATCTGTGAAAACACTTTGTGATGTGCTGTTTCATATCACAGAATGGGACCTGTGTTTTGAAGAAACCAACCCTACTGACACCTTGATCTTGGACTTCTAGTCTCAGAACTATCTTGGACATTTCCTATGAATAGAATTGTACAATACATGGCATTTTGTGATTTGCTTCTTTCACTGAGCATGTTTTTAAGGTTCATCCATGTTGTAGTGTGGAACAGTATTTTGCTCCTTTTTTATGGCTGAGTAATATTCCATTGTGTGGATTTGCCTGTACTGGACATTTCCTATAAATAGATGCATGCAATACGTGGCTTTGGAAGATGGATTTTAACCAACTCTACTGACGAGTCTGCTTTAGGACTCTTGGTCCAGACTGACTTCATGGAGAGTGTTGGGGGTTGTGGGAGAGGCCAAGCCTACAAGCTGTGGGAAGCTGGTGGATGGAAGGCTGGTTAGAATTCTTCAGGATCTGGGGAACCTCAGAGAGTGCTGAACCTGTTGGGACGTTGGATGAGCCAATACTTGGCAAATGCAAGAATACAAAGGTTTCTTTCTTTCTTTTTCTTTTTCCAGATACTCAAAAGCTGGGGCCATGTTACATGTGCCCAGCTGTTTCATTAGTTAATATCTTTTGGTTGCAGGCCATGGCAACCAAATCTAAAGTAACTTAAACAAGAAAAGGAATGTTTTGGCTCATGAAATAAAAAAGTTTAGGGATGGCCAGGCATGGTGGCTCCCACCTGTAATCTCAGCACTTTAGGAGGCCAAGGTGGGCAGATTCCTCAAGTCCAGGAATTCAAGACCAGCCTGGGCAACATAGCGAGACCTCGTCTCTACAAAAAATACAGAAATTAGCTGGGTGTTGCGACACATGACTGAAGTCCTAGCTACCTGGGAGGTGGAGGCAGGAGGCATGGTTTTTTGTTTGTTTGTTTGAGACAGGGTCTTGCTTTGTTGCCCAGGCTGGAGTGCAGTGGTGCCATCATAGCTCACCGCAGGCTCGAACTCCTGGGCTCAGTGATCCACTCATCTCCGCCTCCTGAGTAGTTCAAAATGTTTTTCAGGTCATCCACATTGTAGTATGAATCAGTGCTTCATTCCTTTTTATGGCTGAATAATATTCCATTGTATGGATATACCACATTTGTTTAACCGTTAGTGATTAATTTTATCTTTTGTGAATTTTAACTCAATAAAAACATTCAGAGCATAGATCTGGATCAGGCACAACTTAATCTTTACCAGAAGATAATTCAATTTCATGGAAGAGGGTCTGTGCTTTCATTTCCCCTCCACACCAGTCCCCAAGCTAGGTGGCCTGGGGGTCAGTTTCTCCCCTGCCCTTTCGTACTGCCCCACCCTCATTTCTCTGTCTCCTCACAGTTCCTGTGCCTTAAGAACATTAGAACCTTCCTGTCCACCTGCTGTGAGAAGTTCGGCCTCAAGCGGAGCGAGCTCTTCGAAGCCTTTGACCTCTTCGATGTGCAGGATTTTGGCAAGGTGAGCTGCACACTTGAAGCCCAAAGACTGAGTTTCAGTTAATTTCTATTGACGTCTACACTGGGCAAGCTAAGGACTGTCAGGGGACAGGCAGACAAGCCAGACCAGGCCATATACAAGACGCAAATAGCACTGGCTTGGGATATGTGGAACTGGGTTTGAGTTCCTGCTCTGACACTTGCTGTGTGACCTTGGATACGTGGCTGTGCCTCTCTGAGCCCCTCGTTTCTCATCTGAAATATGGGAATATTATCATCCTGCCCTCTCTGAGTGGCTATGAGGATTAAATAGAAAGATAGAGGGCCGGGCGCAGTGGCTCATGCCTGTAATCCCAGCACTTTGGGAGGCTGAGGTGGGCAGATCACGAGGTCAGGAGATCGATTCCACCCTGGCTAACACAGTGAAACCCCGTCTCTACTAAAAATACAAAAAATTAGCTGGGTGTGGTGGCCGGCGCCTGTAGTCCCAGCTACTCCGGAGGCTGAGGCAGGAGAATCGCTTGAACCTGGGAGGTGGAGGTTGTAGTGAGCCGAGATGGTGCCACTGCACTCCAGCCTGGGTGACAGAGTGAGACTCCGTTAAAAAAAATACTAAAATATAAAAGAAAGAAAGAAAGATAGGAGCAAAGGGTGGGGCTCATTTGAGAGAACGATGGTATGGGGAATAGGAGGTAGAGAAAATCCTGAATTAGGCTTCCAAGAGGCATGGGATCTAGCGCCTCAGACAGAGCCTTGCAGCTGGAAGCTGTGTTCTGCCGTGGGGGTGTACAAGGGGCTCACTGAGTGGCCACTGCCCCGTCACAGGTCATCTACACCCTGTCTGCTCTGTCCTGGACCCCGATCGCCCAGAACAGGGGGATCATGTGAGTAACCACCTGGGCCTTGGGCCATTTAGCCCCAGTCCTCCCCCTCCCTGAAGCCCCACTTCTACCCAGCCCCCAGGCCCCTGGCTCACACCCTCCTGACCCCCCAGGCCCTTCCCCACCGAGGAGGAGAGTGTAGGTGATGAAGACATCTACAGTGGCCTGTCCGACCAGATCGAGTGAGTGCTCAGGCCTGTGGCCGCACAGCTCACTGGAGCACCGTCCTGGGGGTGGAGGGTGTGGGGGGACATGGCCTTGCCCTCCGGGAAATAAGGTCATACCCTGGTGTCTGGGGCACACAACCTTGCCTGAGAGTCTGGGGAGACACAGCCCTGCCCTGGGGTCTTGGGGGACATGGCACTGTCCTGGGGTCTTGGGGGACATGGCCCTGCCCTGGAGCTTGGAGGGACATGGCCTGCCCTTGGAGTCTGAGGTCCCACCCTTGGAGTCTTGGGGGGACAAAGCCCTGCGCTGGGGTCTGCGGGGACCCTGCTGTGATCTGGGAGAGGTCCAAGGGATCCCTGACCTCACAACCCACAGCGACACGGTGGAGGAGGATGAGGACCTGTATGACTGCGTGGAGAATGAGGAGGCGGAAGGCGACGAGATCTATGAGGACCTCATGCGCTCGGAGCCCGTGTCCATGCCGGTGCGTGACGTGGAGGGTCGGGCCTGGGGAGGGCGTGGGCGGGGGGCAGCCCCAGGCCCCCCAACACCGGCCTCTCCCCTCGCTCTCAGCCCAAGATGACAGAGTATGACAAGCGCTGCTGCTGCCTGCGGGAGATCCAGCAGACGGAGGAGAAGTACACTGACACGCTGGGCTCCATCCAGCAGGTGGGCGCCTCCCACCCAGCGCCTGCCGGGCGCATGCGCGGGAGCTGGGCCGGCAGGTGCACGTCCACCTGTCCGGCCGCTCTGGGCAGCTGAGGATTTCCTGCTCCCATCGCTTTTCCTTTCTGTGACTGTCTCCGTCTCTGAGTTTCTCTGACTTACATATGTATATATAAATATGAGTCTGACGTATATATATATTAAAAAATATATATAAAATATAGGACACTGCCTGCAGGAGCAGTCAAAAAACCAAAAACAAACAAAATAAATACAAAATCAAAAATATATAAATATATTAAACATATACATAAATAGAAAATATATAAATATATACAAAGTATATATAAAAATATAAACATATAATATGTATAAAATATAAACATGATATATGATATTTATAAGATATAAAATATATAGTTTTTCATATAGAGCTATATGTAAATAATATATACAATATATAAATATATAAAATATAAAATGTAGATATATTGATATAGGTATATATCTTTTTATATAGATATATATTTTTAATATACAAGATATATGTCCATATGTAGATATATATACCTTTATATATCTTATATACATAAAAGATATATATCTTTATCTATCTATCTTTTTTTTTTTTGAGACACGGTTTCTCTCTCATTGCCCAGGCTAGAGGGCAATGGCAAGCTCTCGCTTTACTACAATCTCTGCCTACCGGGCTCAAGCAATCCTTCTGCTTCAGCCTCCCAAGTAGCTGGGATTACAGGCATGCACCACCATGCTCGACTAATTTTTGTATTTTTAGTAGAGACGAGGTTTTGCCATGTTGGCCAGGCTGGTCTCGAACTCTGACCTCAAGTGATCTGCCCACCTCGGCCTCCAAAAGTGCTGGGATTGCAGGCATGAGCCACTGTGCCTGGCTTATATATCTATCTTTTAAAGATATATATCATTATTTAAAGATATATATATAAAGTATGTATAAGATATGTAATAGATACAAATATATATTTTATATATATTTTTTGTTATGTTAACCAGGCTGGTCTTAAACTCCTGGGCTCAAGCAATCCTCCTGTAATCCAAGCCCTTTGTGAGGCTGCACTGGGCCTCTTCCTCTTGTCTCTCTGTCTCTCTCTTTATCTCTCACTCTGTCTCTTTTTCCCTCTGGGTCTCCTCTCGCTACTTTCTTCCTCAGTGTGTCATTCTCTCCTTTGTAGCTCTTTATCCCAGGCTCAGTCTTTTTCTGTATCCTCACCTCTCCATTTCTTTTAAAAATAGCTTTATTGAGATTTCATTAATATACATGTAATCCACCCATTTAGAATATACAGTTCAATGGTTTTTGGCACACACAAGATTATGCAGTCATCATCACTGTCTAATTTTGGAATATTTTCATTTGTTTTGTTTTGGTTTTTTTTGTTTCTTTTTTTTTGATTTGTTTTGTTTTGAAATGTGGTCTCACTCTCCCATCCAGGCTGGAGTGCAGTGGCACGATCATAGTTCACTGCAGCCTCGAACTCCTGGGCTCAAGTGATCCCCCTGCCTTAACCTCCTGAGGAGCTGGGGCCACGGGTGCATGCCACCACACCCTGCTTAATTCTTTAATTTTTTTTGTAGATATGGGGTCTTGCTATGTTGCCCAGGCTGGTCTCCTACTCCTGGCCTCAAGTGATCCTCCTGCCTTGGCCTCCCAAAGTGTTGGGATTTTGGGTGTGAGCCACCACCCCGGCCTTAATTTTAGAACGTTTTCATCATCTCCCAAAGAAACCCCAAACTCTTTAGCTGTTCCCCTTCAATCTCTTATCTTCCCCCGGTCCATGGCAACCACGAGCTTACTCGCTGTCTCTGTGGATTGGCCTCTTCTGGACATTTCATATAAAGGGCATCACATACTATGTGGTTTATATGTGTCTGGCTTCTTTTGCTGAGCGTAGTGTTTTCAAGGTTCATCCACATTGTAGCCTGTGTCAGAGCTTCATTCCTTTTCATGGCTGAATAATATTCCATTGTATGGATGGACCACATTTTTTTTTTCTTTTTTGAGATAGAGTCTCACTCTGTCACCCAGGCTGGAGTGCAGTGGCGTGATCTCAGCTCACTGCAACCTCTGCCATCCAGGTTCAAGTGATTCTCCTGCTTCAGCCTCCTGAGTAGCTGGGATCACACGCATCTGCCACCGTGCCCAGCTTATTTTTGTAGTTTTAGTAGAGACGGGGTTTCACCATCTTGGCCAGGCTGGTCTTGAACTCCTGACCTCGTGATCCACCCACCTCAGGCTCCCAAAGTGCTGGGATTGCAGGCGTGAGCCACCGCACCTGGCCGGACCACATTTGAAACACCCATTTACCCATTGATAAGCATTTTGGTTGTTTCCGCTTTTGGGTTATTATGAATAATTTCACTGTGAACATTCTTGTACAAGTTTTTGTGTGGACGCGCTGCCTCTCTTTATCTCCCTCTCTCTGTCTCCTTCCCCTGTCTCTCTGAGACTGGTCTGGAGGAGGGAATCTTATCTTCCGTCATCTTTCTCTCCCTTCCCCGCAGCATTTCTTGAAGCCCCTGCAACGGTTCCTGAAACCTCAAGACATTGAGATCATCTTTATCAACATTGAGGTGAGCCGGCCGATCCCCAGCCCTCTTGGGTCTGTCTAGTGCGGATAACCTGCTGCCCCTACCTCTCCCTGGAGTACGGGGGTTGGGAGTTGAGCGGCATGGGGCGGGTGGATGACCCTTTCCTTCCTGGCCCCCTGAGCCCTGGGCTCTGGTCCCAGCCCTCACCCTTCCCTCCGAGTAGGACCTGCTTCGTGTTCATACTCACTTCCTAAAGGAGATGAAGGAAGCCCTGGGCACCCCTGGCGCAGCCAATCTCTACCAGGTCTTCATCAAATACAAGGAGAGGTGAGACCCAGCTGGCCAGACTGAAGCTCTGGGGTCACTCTGTCTTGCCTAGGCTGGGCATCTGAGAGACCTTACCCTCAGACACCACTGGACGGGGAGGACTTTTTGCTGTGTGTTCATGGGCGAGGGGCTGCCCATCTCTGGTTCAATTCCCAGCTCTGCTGTGTGGCACTGGGTAGTCACTTAACCTCTCTGTGCTTCTGCTTCCTCATCTGTACATCAGTGGGCCACAGGAATGTGCCTCCTAGGCTGGTGGTGAGGGTTGACTATACGGATGCACACAGGGCCTGGCACATAGTAGATGCTCAATAAGTATTTGTTAAATGAAGGAACATTGGCCAGGTGTGGTGGCTAATGCCTGTAATCCCAGCACTTTGGGAGGCTGAGGCGGGTGGATCATTTAAGGTGAGGAGTTCAAGACCAGGCTGGCCAATATGGTGAAACCCCGTCTCCATCGCCTAAAAATACAACTAAAATACAACTAAAAATACAAAAAACAATTAGCTGGGCGTGGTGGCATGCACCTGTAATCCCAGTTACTCAGGAGAATTGCTTGAACCCGGGAGGCGGAGGTTGCAGTGAGTCAAGATCATGCCACTGGACTCCAGCCTAGGCAACAGAGCAAGACTCTGTCTCAGAAATAAAAACAGGCCAGGCGTGGTGGCTCACGCCTGTAATTCCAGCACTTTGGGAGGCCGAGGAGGGCAGATCACTTGAGGTCAGGAGTTCGAGACCAGCCTGGCCAACATGGCAAAACCCCGTCTCTACTAAAAATACAAAAATTAGCCAGGCATGGTGGCAGGTGTCTGTAATCCCAGCTACTCGGGGGGCTGAAGCAGGAGAATCGCTTGAACCCGGGAGATGGAGGTTGCACTGAGCCCAGATCACACCACTGTACTCCAGCCTGGGAGACAAGCGTGAAACCCCGTCTCAAAAATAAATAAATTAATTAAATTAAATAAAAATAAATAAACATTGGGCAGAGACAATACCAGGTACTGTGGTGAAATTACTGTAGCATTAAATGAGATAATGCTACAATAGCCTCACATGGGAGATGCTATTGTTATGCCCATTTCACAGATGGAGAAACTGGGACTCAGGTTTCTTCTCCAGCGGGGAAGAGCAAGGCCAGGGCTGACGCCAGCCTCTGCCCGACCTTGATGCCAGTCACCTTTACCTGGTGGCCTGTCTTCTCCCTGTAGGTTCCTCGTCTATGGCCGCTACTGCAGCCAGGTGGAGTCAGCCAGCAAACACCTGGACCGTGTGGCCGCAGCCCGGGAGGACGTGCAGATGAAGCTGGAGGTGGGCGCCGGGCCACTTCTCGGGGGCCTCTCCCGCTCCTCCCCAGGCCCTGGGGGCAGCAGGGAGGACACTGAGTTGCAGATGGTCCACTTTCTGCTGCAGCCCAGCCAGAGATCCACCAAAGGACTAGGGAGGGAGGTACTAGCCAGCCAAGCAGAGGAAATGGAGAAGAACAGAAATGGGCTGGCCCTGGGTCTGGGCTGACCCCTGATATCAGGGTGAAGTCCTGACCCTGAACTGAGCTCTGATCTCACACTCAACCCCAGCCCTGGGCTGAGCCCTAGCACTGATTGTACCCCAAGTCGGGCTGAGCTCCCACTTCTCACTGAACCCCAATTCCAACCAACCCCTGATCCCAGGCTGAACTTGATCTTGAACTGAACTTCAACCTGGATCTGTCTGGTGGAAACACAGACAGGGCAGGGGTGGTGAGGACGGGGGCTCTCCAGATCTGTCCCCCTCCCCATCTCCAGCCCCCCTCAGCAGGCAGAATACTGGACCTCTATCCCAGGCAGCATTTGCCACATTCCAGTGGGTTTGTTTGTTTGTTTGTTTTGTTTTGTTTTGTTTTTTTGAGACAGGGTCTCATTCTGTCCCCCAAGCTGGAGTGTAGTGGCATGATCATAGCTCACCACAGCCTCGACCTCCTGGACTCAAGCAATCCTCCCAACTCCTACCTTGGCCTCCTGAGTAGCTGGGACTACAGATGCATGCCACCATTCCTGGCTAATTTTTGTGTTTTTTGCAGAGATGGGGTTTCACCATGTTATCCAGGGTGGTCTCAAACTCCTGGGCTCAAGCGACTCACCCACTCAGCCTCTCAAAGAGCTAGGATTACAGGCCTGAGCAATCGTGCCCAGCCTCTTCCCATTGCTTTTTTGTTTGTTTGTTTGTCTTTGTTTTTTGAGATGGAGTCTCCCTCTGTCACCCAGGTTGGAGTGAAGTGGTGTGATCTCAGCTCAATGCCATCTCTGCCTCCCGGGTTCAAGCAATTCTCCTGCCTCAGTCTCCTGAGTAGCTGGGATTGCAGGAGTCTGCCACCACGCCAGCTATTTTTTTTTTTTTCATAGCAGAGACGGGGTTTCCCCGTGTTGGCCAGGCTGGTCTTGAACTCCTGACCTCAAGTGATCCTCCCGCCTCGGCCTCCCAAAGTTCCTTCCAGTGGTTCTCAAGCTGCCCCCACCTCATGGAGTCCTTTTCCTGTTTCCTTGGGGGCAGATATGATGCTTTGGCCTCTAGAAAAATTCCCACAGCTCTGGGGTGGAGAGCTGCTCACGTATTTATTCAAATCTATCTGCACCCACCCTGCAACTGGCTGTTTCTGGGACCTGCCTCAGTTTCCCCATTGTTCTCTGATTCCCCAGGAATGTTCTCAGAGAGCCAACAACGGGAGGTTCACCCTGCGGGACCTGCTGATGGTGCCTATGCAGCGAGTTCTCAAATATCACCTCCTTCTCCAGGTGCCAGGCACATCTCTAGGCGTGGGCTCCACGTACCTACTCTCCTGTGTCTATAAAAGTGGGGACGGGGCTGGCTTCTGGGGGTTGGGTCTCTAGGACGCTCGGGGATGGGTCACTGGGGTCATGTCTCAGCCTCCAGGGTCAGCAGTACGATGGAGGAGCTGGTGAGCTAGCATTGTTTGGAAGGCCCTCCCCGCAGGGAGAAGGGGAGGGGCCCAGGTGACGTCTGACGTCTTGGTTCTCTCAGGAGCTGGTGAAACACACGCAGGAGGCGATGGAGAAGGAGAACCTGCGGCTGGCCCTGGATGCCATGAGGGTGAGTGGGTGTAGGGTGCTGGTGACTCACCTGCTGCAGACACCCTCCTGGTAGGGGCTGATCCTCTAGCCGGGATTAGGTAGGAGCCTGGGTCGGCTGTTGGGGGGCCAGGTTCACCCCTGCCCCCTCCCCAGGACCTGGCTCAGTGCGTGAACGAGGTCAAGCGAGACAACGAGACACTGCGACAGATCACCAATTTCCAGCTGTCCATTGAGAACCTGGTGAGGCGGTGGAGCCGGGTGGGCCAGGGGTGTGGCCACGTGGGGAGAGTGTGTGTCTGGCTCCTTTCTTGGGAGACCCTTGCTAGACCCCCTGCCTACTGCATAGGACCAGTCTCTGGCTCACTATGGCCGGCCCAAGATCGACGGGGAACTCAAGATCACCTCGGTGGAACGGCGCTCCAAGATGGACAGGTGGGTGGAGTCAACATGGATCTGGGATGGAGCCTGGGCAAAGGGGTGGGACCAGGCTCCTAGATGGGCAGGTGGGTGGAGTCAACACAGATCTGGGTGGAGCCTGGGCAGGGGCGGGGCCGGGCTTCTAGATGGACAGGTGGGTGGAGTCGACATAGATCTGGAGCAGAGCCTGGGCAGGGGCAGAGCCAGGCTTCTAGATAGGCAGATGGGTGGAGTCAACACAGATCTGGGAGGAGCCTGGGCAGGGATGGTGCCAGGCTCCTAGATGAGCAGGTGGGTGGAGTCAACACAGATCTGGGTGGAGCCTGGGCAAGGTGGGGGCCAGGCTCCTAGATGGGTAGGTGAGTGGAGCAAACCATATCTGTGGTGGAGCCTGGGTAGGGATGGGGCCAGGTTTCTAGATAGGCAGTTGGGTGGAGTCAACATAGGTCTGGGGAAGAGCCTGGATAGGGGCGTGGCCAGGCTCCTAGATGGACAGGTGGGTGGAGCCAACACAGATCTGGGGTGGAGCCTGGGTAGGGGTGGGGCCAGGTTCTTATGTAGACTTGTAGGTGGAATTAAGATGAATTTGGGGAGGGACCTGAGTGGGGGTGAGGCAAGATTTCTAGACAGACAGGTGGTAGACCCATCCAGAGAAGGCGGTGGAGCCTTGATGGACAGGCAGGACAGGGCCAGCGAGGGGTATGGGTGGAGCGAAGACTGACAGGCAGTAGGGCCAATGCGGATCACGTGGGTGAAGTCAGGATGGACAGGTGGGCATGGCCAAGTTGGCCAAGGAGGAGGAGAAGGGCAGGGTGGGACCAGGATGTGGAGGAACTGGTCAGAGGGCTGATGGGGACAGTTGGGAAGAGCCAGACAGGAATGCGTTATCCATCCTTCCAGGTATGCCTTCCTGCTCGACAAAGCTCTACTCATCTGTAAGCGCAGGGGAGACTCCTATGACCTCAAGGACTTTGTAAACCTGCACAGCTTCCAGGTTCGGGATGACTCTTCAGGAGACCGAGACAACAAGAAGGTGGGGCTTTGACGCCGGAACTATGGGGTCCTCCACGCAGTCGGCAGCTTAGCCCTCTCCACTTGGGCATGTGCCTGTTTGCCAGACTACATCTACATGGAAGTGTGTGTTAATCCACTCAACAGGTGTTTTTTGTTTGTTTGTTTTGTTCTGTTTTTTAAGATGGAGTCTCGCTCTGTCGCCAGGCCGGAGTGCAGTGGCACAATCTCGGCTCACCGCAACCTCCGCCTCCTGGGTTCAAGCGATTCTCCTGGCTCAGTCTCCCGAGTAGCTGGGACTACAGGCACACACCACCACGCCCAGCTAATCTTTGTAGTTTTGGTAGAGACAGGGTTTCACCATGTTGGCCAGGATGGTCTCGATCTCTTGACCCCGTGATCCACCTGCCTCGGCCTCCCAAAGTGCTGGGATTATAAGCGTGAGCCCACTCAACAGTTTTTAAATTGAGCACCTACTATATCCAGGGCACTCTTCTAGGCACTAGGACTAAAATGGAAAGCAAAACAGAATTTTCATTTTGTTTGTTTGTTGGTTTGTTTTTGAGACAGTCTCACTCTGTTGTTCAGGCTGGAATGCAGTGGCACGGTCTTGGCTCACTGCAACCTCTGGCTCCCAGGTTCAAGCAATTCTCCTGCCTCAGCCTCCCGAGTAGCTGGGATTACGGGCACCCACCACCATGCCCAGCTAAATTTTGTATTTTTAGTAGAGACGAGGTTTCACCATGTTGGCCAGGCTGGTCTCAAATTCCTGACCTCAAGTGACCTGCCCATCTTGGCCTCCCAAAGTGCTGAGATTACAAGCGTGAGCCACTGTGCCCAGCTTATTTTATTTCTTGTATGGTACTTGCGTTCTTATGGGATGCTTTCTACAAAGAAAATAAAGTAGGTGGCTGGGTGCAGTGGCTCATGCCTGTAATCCCAGTACTTTGGGAGGCCGAGGTGGGAGAATTGCTTGAGCCCAGGAGTTTGAGATCAGCCTGGGCAACATAGGGAGATCCCCGTCTCTACAAAACATAAAAAAAAATTTAGCTGGGCTTGGTGGCACATGCCTGTAGCCCTAGCTACATGGGAGGCTGAGGTGGGAGGATCGCCTGTGGCTAGGAGTTGGAGGCTGCAGAGAGCTATGATTGCACTACAGCTAGGACCACAGAGTGAGATCCTGTCTCTATTAAAAAATAAATGAATGAAACAGGAGATGTGGCTGTGGTAGGTGAGGGTGGGAGGGGGAGCTATCTTACCTCCATTGTTCAGGGACATTCTCTGTGGAAGTGACATTTAAGCTGAGACCCCTCTCCCTCTCGGCTCTTCCTTACTTCCTTCTGCTTTTTCTCCTGTGAACTCTTCCGTTCGCTTCAGTTTTTGCCCTGGAGTTCCCCCTGTGCTCTGGTCTGTGGCTTCTCTATTTCTTTTTTTGAGACGGAGCCTCGCTCTGTCACCAGGCTGGAGTGCAGAGGCATGATCTCGGCTCACTGCAACCTCCGCCTCCTGAGTTCAAGAGATTCTCCTACCTCAGCCTCCTGAGTAGCTGGGATTACAGGTGCCCGCCACCACGCCCAGCTAATTTTTTTGTATTTTTAGTAGAGACGGAGTTTCACCACATTGGTCAGGCTGGTCTCAAACTCCTGACCTCGTGATCCGCCCACCTCAGCCTCCCAAAATGCTGGGATTACAGGTGTAAGCCACCGCGCCCGGCTGGCTTCTCTATTTCTCAACCTGTGTCTCCCTCGAGGAGCCAGTTGCTGTCTTGTAACTGCCTGCTTACAGCATCCGTCTCTCCTACCAGGCTGGAGCTCTGGGGACCACATCCTATTCACTGCTCTGTCCCCAGCTCCTAGCAGTGTCTGTTTCTCAGCAGGTGCTGCACCAATGCTTTGTTGAACAGAAAAATCGATGATGAGTGACATGCTGTGTCTGGTGTGTGCTTCTGCAAAGGGGAGTGTGTGTGTGTGTGTGTGTGTGTGTGCATGTGCACGCCTGCGTATGTGGTTTTGGGTTTATGGTTGTGTATTTGGATATCCTAGAAAGCCCTTTTACAAGGATATCCATGCATGGTGCTAGGGGCATAGAGACTGTCATGGGCTTGCCTGTTCCCTACAGAGGGAGGGGTGGGTGGGTGTGTGCTCCCACCCTCTGCGGGGGCAGTGCCTTCAGTCTGAGCTCTGCTTCCCTGCAGTGGAGCCACATGTTCCTCCTGATCGAGGACCAAGGTGCCCAGGGCTATGAGCTGTTCTTCAAGACAAGAGAATTGAAGAAGAAGTGGATGGAGCAGTTTGAGATGGCCATGTGAGTCCCCGTCTTCCTCCCTCTTTCTGTCCACAGAGGGGCAGGGGCTGGGAAGGAGGAACGTGATCTAGTCCCTACTCTGTCCTGACATGCCATGGGACCACTCTGAACCACAGTCTCTTCATTTGGGAAATAAGAGGGACAGGCCCAAGGCTGTCTTCATCCTTGGAATGCAGGGGTTGTGTGCAAGCTTCAGTTACCAGCCCAGACTCTTCTCCTTTCCTCCTCCTCTTTCTTGTTCTCCTCTCCTCTTCCTTCTCCTCCTTCTGGTTTCCTTCCTCCTCCTCCTCCTCTTTCTCCTTCTCCTTTCCTCCTCCTCTTTCCTCCTCCTCCCCTTCCTCTTCTTCTTCCTCCTCCTCTCCTTCCTCCCCTTCCTCCTCCTCGCCCTCCTCTTCCTCTTCCTCCTATTCCTCCTCCACCTCTTCTTCCTCCTCCTCCCTTTCCTCCCCTTCTTCCTCCTCCTCCTCCTCTTCCTCCTCTTCTTTCTCTTCCTCCTCCCTTTCCTCCTCTTCCTCTTCTTCCTTTTCCTCCTCCTCCTTCTTCTTCCCCTCTTCCTCCTCTTCCACTTTTGTCTTCTCTTTCTCCTTTTTATGTGAGGCAAAATTCCAACAACAAAAATCTAACAATTTCGAAGTGTATGATCGCATGGCATTTTGTACACTAACAGCATTGTGCAACCATCACCTCTATCCAGTTTCAAAACCTTTTCATCAGCCCAAAGGAGACCTCATACCCATTAAGCATTCACTCCCAATTCCCCGCTCTCGCAGCCCCTGGAAACTCCTAGCCTGCTTTCTCTTTCTCCCAATGTGCATGGCAGCACGATTCAGTGTGGCCAAAGGGTGAAAACGACCCAAAAGCCAATCAATGAATGAGTGGACACGCAAAACGTGGTCTGTTCATACCATGGAATAGTATTCAGCCATAAAAAGGAATAAAATACTGACCTTCTTTTTTTTTTTTTTTTAATTTTCCCCTGCCAGCTCCAACATCTATCCGGAGAATGCCACCGCCAACGGGCATGACTTCCAGATGTTCTCCTTTGAGGAGACCACATCCTGCAAGGCCTGTCAGATGCTGCTTAGGTGAGAATCTGGGAGGAGGGTCCTGCATACCGGACTTGGTCATCAGTTCCTTGCTAGAGAAGATGGCCTAGTAATTGGTTCCCTAAATTGGGAGATGGGGGAGTCCCTACTTTGATCTTCTGCTTCTCCGTCACTCTCCTGATCTAAAGAGAACCCAAGGGGTCCCTTTATGTTTTTAGCAGAATATTTGGCCCTGTCTGTAAAGGTCACTCGCTCTTCTTTATGTGTTCCCTGCATCTCAGAGGTACCTTCTATCAGGGCTACCGCTGCCATCGGTGCCGGGCATCTGCACACAAGGAGTGTCTGGGGAGGGTCCCTCCATGTGGCCGACATGGGCAAGGTACGAGTGGGAGGGAGGCTGGGAGGTGAGCTTGGTTCTCTTTGGAGGATTTCCCGTTCTCACCATTTCCTTTACCCTCCCGTAGATTTCCCAGGAACTATGAAGAAGGTAAGACTTTCCCGTGGTCCTTCCTGTGTACCACAAATAATGGGCAACAGCGCGGGGAGGACCCAGGACATCCTGGAACTGGGCAGGATCCTTTGTGGGGTGAGGAGAGTAAGGGGGCCTACAAGCCCCCAGGCTGGGCATAGGTAGACAGGCTTTCTTTGTTTCTCCTTCCAGGACAAACTACATCGCAGGGCTCAGGACAAAAAGAGGAATGAGCTGGGTGAGTTGGCAGGGGTTGCTGTGTGGGGGCAGGAGGAAAATTCATCTCTATTGATGTTGACCCAGGGACAGATCTCCATAATCATATTAACAGCCACATTGGGCCGGGTGCAATAGCTCACACCTGTAATCCCAACAATTTGGGAGGCCAAGGCGGGAGGATCGCTTGAAGTCAGGTGCACACCACCACGCCTAGCTAATTTTTTTTTTTTAAATAGAGATGAGGTCTTGCTACGTTGCCCAGCCATACTGTATAAATTAAATCATACAGTATGTGCTTATTTTAATTAATTAATTTATTTATTTCTGGAGATGGAGTCTTGCTGTGTCGCCCAGGCTGGAGTGCAGTGGTGTGATCTTGGCTCACTACAACCTCCACCTCCCAAGTTCAAGCGATTCTCCTGCCTCAGCCTCCCAAGTAGCTGGGATTATAGGCACATGTCACCACGCTCGGCTAATTTTTGTATTTTTAGTAAAGACGGGGTTTCACCATGTTGGGCAGGCTGGTCTCGAACTCTTGACCTCAGGTGATCTGCCTGCTCAGCCTCCCAAAGTGCTGGGATTACAAGCGTGAGCCACTGTGCCCAGCCTTAATTTTAAAAAATTTAAAAATATATGTATTTTATTAAATATATAATAATTTATTATTTAATAATATATTAATATTAATTAATATAATATAGTAATAATATATTATAATAATATATAAAATATATATTAATATATATTTATTAAAAATATATTATATGTATATATAATATATCTTTTTTTTATTTTTAGAGGCAGGGTCTTGCTCTGTATCCCAGGCTGGAGTGCAGAGGCAGGAGTGTTCCACTTATATGCCATTTATATGACATATAAATATATAACATAAGTCAGGTGTGGTGGTTCATGTCTGTGATCCCAGCACTTTGAGAGGCCAAGGCCAGGAGTTTGAGACAAGCGTGGGCAACAGAACGAGACCCTGTGTCTACAAAAACATTTTTAAAAATTAGCGGGGTTCTTGCTTGAGCCCAGGAGTTCAAGGTTGCAGTGAGCCATGATCACGCCACTGCACGCCAACCTGGGCAACAGAGCAAGATCCTGTTTCAAAAAAATAAAAAAATAAATATATGAAATCTATGAATGGGTATGTTTTCTTCTTATTATTACTTACTATGTAATTAGCAATAGTCAGTCAGCTTTCTTAGCAAGAGTCAAAATTAGAAACAACCCGTGTCCTTTGTACAATAGAATATATATATGTGTATATATATATACATACACACACACACACACACACACACACACACACACGTATTTTATTGAGAGAGGAAATACATACTTTAAGGTATGTAAAAATCAATAAATCTTAAGTATATGACTTAATACATTTTTATCCATGCAACCAACAATCAAATAAAAATGTAGAACATTTCCATCCCTCCAGAACTGCACTGTGTAATATAAATTAATTAAAATGAAATCACCTTAAAAATTTTTTTGCTCACGTTAGCCTTGAAGTTCTCAATAATGGCCTGTGGCTAGTTGCTACCATATTGGACATATCCATCACCACAGAAAGCTTTGTCAGAAAGCACTGCTACTCACCTATCTCCCATAGGGAACCACTGTCTGACCTCTATCACCATAGATTAATTTTGCCTGCTCTTGAGTTTTCTATAAATAAAATCATACAGTACATGCTTATTTCATCTGGTTTCTTTTATCTGACGTAATGACGGTGAGATGCATTGATGTGATCGCCTGTAGCAATAGCTTGTTCCTTTTCATTGTTGTATAGTATTCCATTATGTGATGATATCACAATTTGTTTATTGATTGATCAACCTATTGAGGACATTTGGTTGGTTGCCAGTTTTTGGATATTGTGTATAAAGCTGCAACTTTTGAAGGACTTTTTTTTTGTTTTTTGTTTTTTTGTTTAGTTTTGTTTTGAGACAGAGTCTCACTCCATCGCCCAGGCTGGAGTGCAGTGGCATGATCTCAGCTCACTGAAACCTCTGCCTCCTGGGAGTTCAAGTGATTCTCCTGCCTCAGCCTCCCAAGTAGCTGGGATTACAGGTGCCCACCACCACACCCAGCTAATTTCTGTAGTTTTAGTAGAGATGGGGTTTCACCATGTTGGCCAGTCTGGTCTCAAACTCCTGACCTCAGGTGATCTTCCTGCCTCGGCCTCCCAAAGTGCTGGGATTACAGACATGAGCCACCGTGCCCAGCCAGGACACATGTTTTCATTTCTCTTGGGTTGCTGGGTTACAGAGTAGATACAATGTTTAGCTTCAGTAGATATTGCCAAATAGTTTTACAAAGAGTATCCCCACCAGCAATGAGTGAAAATTCCAGTTTCTCCACGTCCTTGTCAACACTTAGTATTGCCAGTCTAAAAAGAAAAATTTTAGCCATTCTCGTGGGTGGCAAGATTCAGGGTTGAAAGTTGACTGCCAACCACCCTGTACTCCTGTACCCTGTCCTCCAGGTCTGCCCAAGATGGAGGTGTTTCAGGAATACTACGGGCTTCCTCCACCCCCTGGAGCCATTGGACCCTTTCTACGGCTCAACCCTGGAGACATTGTGGAGCTCACGAAGGCTGAGGCTGAACAGAACTGGTGGGAGGTACAGGCTGGGGCCACAAGAGTGATGGGGTGGGACCCAAGTGTAGGGTTATGGATTCATGTGGTCTCAGGGAGTTGGGTCATAGTTCCACCATGCTCTGGAGGTGATGCCTGGGGAGTGGGGTAGGTAGACTGAGACTTCTGGGCATGGCTTTTCTGAGCGGGCCATCTTCCCAGGAAGCTAATACTCATTATCACCTCTCTGGGCTCTCCAGGCCATCCTGAGATAGATGGACAAGCAGAGTGACCATTGAGCAGAGAGATGGACACACACACACACACACACACACACACACACACACACACACACACGAGTGATGGGGCAGGATCCACGTGTAGGGTTATGGGTTTAGATGGCAGGTGGGGTTATGGATCCTATAACCTCTCTGTTCCTGTTTTTGTCTCCTGGGTGTTTAGGGCAGAAATACATCTACTAATGAAATTGGCTGGTTTCCTTGTAACAGGGTGAAGCCCTATGTCCATGTGAGTGCCTCAAGTCTGAATGGAATAAGGGCAAGGGGTCCAGGGCGGGTCCTGGGAGGATGGACAGACTTGGAAAGACACCCCCGGAGTTGGGGAGGGGGCTGCCCATCATGGCAGGTCTTTCTCTAACTCAAGGCTTCACCCACCCCACCAACTGAGCCCAGAGAGGGGCCACCCTGGAAACAATGATTGATCTTTTTCTCCTTGATCATTTTTGTGTAAAGGTCCTTTCCTTCCTACATGGGTATGGTAGGGAGGAAGGAGCAGGGACCTAGAAGGTGGGCCTGCCCCTTGCTTCCTTCTGAGACACCAAATTGAGTTCTGTGGGAGCACTGTGGCCTCCATTGCCTGTGTCCTTGCCCTGCTCCTGGTGGACACACCTGTCCACTCCAGCCTCTGCTGTTCTTCCAGTGTTCTCTGCTTGATGGACCCCTCGCTCTTCATGATGACTTCAGATCTCTCCCTCTCTCCCCAACCTCAGACACCCCCTACCTCATTCACAGCAAATGACCCCACTGTACACTTCACAGCCTGCAGAGGGAAATTCTCTCCAGTGCTGGTTTTAACTTTATATTATTTCAGACTTCTAGCAAAGCTATGAGAATAATGCAAAGAGCTCCTGTGTAGCCTTTACCCAGTTTCATCAGTTCTGTTAATGTTTTGTTCCATTTGCTCTGTCATTTCCTCTCTCTACCCACACATAGTATTTATTTTTCCTGGAAGAGTTAAAAGTGAGTTTGCAGACGACGTTCCCCTTTACCCCTAAATACTTCTTAAGAGCAAGAGCCTTCTCATGCATAACCAGAGCAAGATATTAAAAGACACAAAATTCAACATTGACATTATACTATTATTTAATTCATAGTCTGTATTTAAATGTTGTCAATTTCCCCAAAAATTTTATCAAAAATTTTTTTGTTCCTATGGTTTCTCCACTGTCAAGTTACAATAGGAATTTCCAACCCCATCATTCTTTCCAAATTTATTAGCTGGTGTTCTGCTGCAAGAAAGAGCTGTCCTTTCTGCCCTCATCTGTCTGTCTGTCTGTCTATCTATCTATCTATCTATCTATCTATCTATCTATCCATGCATCCATCTTTTATCTATATATCATCTATCTATTTACCTATCATCTATTTGCCTATCACCTATCTACCCATCTATTATCTATCTATATCATCATCATCATCATCAATCTTTTATCTATTTACCTATCATCTATCCATCTATTCGTCATCTACATATTATCTATCTATCTATCTATCTATCTATCTATCTATCTATATGTCTATCTATCCATGTACCTACCCATCAATCCATCCATTCATCAATCAGTTCTTCTATCCATCCATCCATCCATCCATCCATCCATCCATCCATCCATCCATCTATCATCTATCTACTTATCAATACATTCATGATCTATTCATCCACCTATCATTTATCTATGTATCATCTGTCTATGTATTATCTATCATCTATCTATTCACCGATCATCTCTCTGCCTATTTTTCACCTACCGATCTAACCATCTATCATCTGTCTATTACCTATTTATTATCATTTCTCTCTCATCTATTCATTTATCATTTATCCATCACCTGTCTGTTTATCATCTATCATCTTTCCATCTATCTATTACCTGTTTATCCATCATCCATCTATTCTATCTATCTATCTCTTAATTTTTTGTTTTAGAGAGAGGGTCTCATTCTGTCACCTAGGCTGGAGTGCAATGGTGTGATTTAACTCACTGCAGCCTTGACCTCCTGGGCTCAAGCAATCCTCCCACCTCACCCTCCTGAGTAGCTGGGACCACAGATGCAAGCCATTATGCTCAGCTTTATTTATTTATTTATTTATTTATTTAAGATGGAGTTTCACTCTTGTTTCCCAGGCTGGAGTGCAGTGGGGTGATCTCGGCTCATTGCAACCTCCGCCTTCCGGTTTCAAGCGATTCTCCTGCCTTAGCCTCCTGAGTAGCTAGGATTACAGGCGCCTGCCACCACATCTGGCTAATTTTTGTATTTTTAGTAGAGATGGAGTTTCATCATGTTGGTCAGGCTGGTCTCGAACTCCTGACCTTGTGATCCGCCAGCTTCAGCCTCCCAAAGTGTTGGGATTACAGGTGTGAGCCACTGCACCCAGCCGCAGCTGTTTTTTTGTGTGTGATTTTTTTTTTTTTTAGAGATAGGGTCTCACTATGTTGTCCAGGCTGGTCTTGAACTCCTGGGCTCAAGCAATCCTCTCATAGAACATCCTTCTCTTTTTTCTTTTAAAAAATTGAGGTGAAATTTGCACAGCATAAAACTGACCGTTACAATGAAAAATTCAGAATACTGAGTAGCTGAGATTACAGGCGTGCACCACCACACCTGGCTAATTTTTTGTATTTTTAGTAGAGATGGGATTTTACCATGTTGGTCAGGCTGATCTCAAACTCCTGACCTCAAATGATCTGCCTGCCTCGGCCTCCCAAAGTGCTGGGATTACAGGCGTGAGCCACCACGCCCGGCTGGGTATGGCATTTTCTTTTGGAGTGATAAAAATGTTTTAGAACTAGGTAGAGGCGGTGATTCCTCATTCATTTTATTATTATTATTTTTGATTATGGCAAAATATATAGAACATAAAAGTTAACAATGTAACCTTTTTTTTGGAGACAGGATCTCACTCTGTTGCCCAGGCTGGAGTGCAATGGTGCAATCTTGGCCCACCGCAGCCTCGCCTCCCAGGCTCAGGTGGTCCTCACACTTCCGCCTCCCAAGTAGCTGGGACTACAGGTGCATACCACCATGCCTGGCTAATTTTTTGTATTTTTCGTAGCGATGGGGTTTTGCCATGTTGCCCAGGCTGGTTTCGAACTTCTGGGCCCAAGTGATTCCCCTGCCTCAGCCTCTCAAAGTGCTGGGATTACAGGCCTGAGCCGCCATGCCCGGCCAACATAACCATTTTCTAAGGTACAGTTGAGTGGCATTAAGTACATTCACAGTGTTTTGCCACCATCACCACCATCATCTCCAGAACACTTTTCATCTTGCAGCACTCTGAACCCATTAAACAGCAACCACCTATTCCCCTCTCCCAGCCCCTGACATTCACATTCTACTCTTGAGCTCTATGGATTTTTCTGTCCTAAGTACCTCACCTAAGTGAAATCATACAGTATTTGTCCTTTGTGTCTAGCTTGTTTCACTTGGCATAATGTATTCAAGGCTCATCCATGTTGTGGAATGTGTCAGAATTTTCTTTCTTTTTTTTTTTTTTTTTGGTGAAATGGAGTCTCGCTCTGTCACCCAAGCTGGAGAGCAGTGGCGCAATCTTGGCTCACTGCAAGCTCCACTTCCCGGGTTCACACCATTCTCCTGCCTCAGCCTCCCGAGTAGCTGGGACTACAGGCACTTGCCACCACGCCTGGCTAATTTTTTGTATTTTTAGTAGAGTTTCACCGTGTTAGCCAGGATGGTCTCGATCTCCTGACCTTGTGTTCCTCCCGCTTCGGCTTCCCAAAGTGCTGGGATTACAGGCGTGAGCCACTGCGCCCGGCCTTTTTTTATTTTTATTTTTTTGGGATGGAGTGTGGTCCTGTTACCCAGGCTGGAGTGCAGTGGTCGTGTAATTATAACTCACTGCAGACTCGACCCCCTAAGCTTAAGTGATCCTCCCACTTCAGCCTCCTGAGTAGCTGGGACTACAGGCATGTGCCACCATGCCTGGCTAATTTTTCTACTTTTAAAAAAATTTTTGAGATGGAGTTTCGCTCTTGTTGCCCAGGCTGGAGTGGAATGGTGCAATCTCGGCCCACTGCAACCTCAGCCTCCCGGGTTCAAGTGATTCTCCCACTTCAGCCTCGAGTAGCTGGGATTACAGGCATGCACCACCACACCAAGCTAATTTTTGTATTTTTAGTAGAGACAGGGTTTCACCATGTTGGCCAGGCTGGTCTCGAACTCCTGACCTGAGGTGATCTGCCCGCGTTGGCCTCCCAAAGTGCTGGGAGTACAGGTGTGAGCCACCATGCCGGGCCTAATTTTTGTATTCTTTTGTAGGGACAGGGTTTCATCATGTTGCCCAGGCTGGTCTCGAACTCCTGGGCTCAAGAGACCCACCCTCCTTGGCTTCCCAAAGTGCTAGGATTACAGGCATGAGCCACCGTGCTGGGCAATTTTCTTAATTCTTAAGGCTAATATTCCATGGTATGCATATACCATGTTTTGTTTATCCGTTTTCCTGTCAATGAACAATTGGTTGCTTCAACTTTTGCGTATTGTGAATAAAGCTGCTACAAACATGGGTATGCAAATATCATTTCGAATCCATGCTTTCAATTCCTTTGGGTATATACTCAGAAACAGGACGGCTGGGTCATATGGTAGTGTAGTTCTAGTTTTTAATGTTTTGAGGAACCACCATACTATTTTTCTTTTCTTTTTTTTTTTTTTTGATAGGGAGTTTTGCTCTGTCCCCAGGCTGGAGTGCAATGGAATGATCTCGGCTCACTGCAACCTCCGCTTCCCAGGTTCAAGCAATTCTCCTGCCTCAGCCTTCCAAATAACTGGGATTACAGGCATGCGTCACCACGCCCGGCTAATTTTTTGTATTTTTAGTAGAGACGGGGTTTTGCCATGTTGGTCAGGCTGGTCTTGAACTCCTGACCTCGTGATCCGCCTGCCTCGGCCTCCCAAAGTGCTGGGATTACAGGCATGAGCCACCGTGTCCAGCACATACTGTTTTTCATAGTGCACCATTTTCCATTCCCACCAACAGTGCACAAGGGTTCTGATTTCTCCACATCCTTGCCAACATTTGCTACTTTCTGTTTTGTTTGTTGATTTGTTTTTGCCTTATAGTAGCTGTCCTAATTGTTTTAAGGTAGTGAAAGTGAGCACTTTCGGCCGGGCGCGGTGGTTCACGCCTGTAATCCCAACACTTTGGGAGGCCGAGGCGGGTGGATCACCTGAGCTCGGGAGTTTGAGACCAGCCCGACCAACATGGAAGAAACCCCATCTCTACTAAAAATACAAAATTAGCCGGGCGTGGTGACACACACCTGTAATCCCAGCTACCTGTAATCCCAGCTGAGGCAGGAGAATCGCTGGAACCTGGGAGGCGGAGGTTGCTGTGAGCCAAGATCGCGCCATTGCACTCCAGCCTGGGCAATAAGAGCAAAACTCTGTCTCAAAAAGAACAAATAAATAAATAATAAATACATACATAAAACAAAAAAGAAAGTGAGCACTTTCATCCATATTTAGATGAGGGTTGGTAAACTTTTTCTGTAAAGAGCCGAAGAGTAGTGTAAATCTGCTCACCCTCCAGGGTCCCATATGGTTTTGCAACTCTTCAGCTCCGCCCCTGTAGTGCAAAAGTAGCCACAGATAATCTGTAAATGATGTATAGACACGGCTGTGTTCCTACAAAGCATAATTCATGGGCACTGACAGGTGAATTTCATATGATCTTCACAATCCCAAAAACATTCTTTTGGCTAGGCGTGGTGGCTCATGCTTGTAATCCCAGACCTTTGGGAGGACAAGGCAGGAGGATTGCTTGAGGTCAGGAGTTTGAGACCAGCCTGGGAAACAAAGGGAGACCATCCCCCGCCCGATCTTGACAAAATTTAAAAAAATTAAAAATTAGCGGGTGTGGTGGTGCGTACCTGTAGTCCCAGCACTTGGGAGGCTGAGGTGAGAGGATCGCTTGAACCTGGGAGATCGAGGCTGCAGTGAGCTATGATCATACTGCTGCACTCCAACCTGGGCAGCATAGTGAGACTCTGTCCCTAAAAAAAAGAAAAAATTCTTTTGATTTTTGCCAACCATCTAAAAATGTAAAAACCATTCTTGACTTGAGGGTAATGATAAACTGCTGGGAAGACAACCCCTGCTTTATATGATACTGGGGCAGTCTCTCCCCCGAGGTTCTGGGACTTTATCCCCAGTGAGTACCACAGTGCCTGGCACATAATAGGCACTCACTAAATGCAAGTGGAATGAGTGAATGAATGAATGAATGAAGTGCCCTGCCCTCTGCTGTCAAGCTGGGGTCTTTACACTAAGTTGGGGTCTCTCTCTGTATTCTTAGGGCCCTCCTCAGGACCTGTCTGTTCATCTCTGGTGAGTAGAAACATTTATTTTTGTTTCAATGAGAGGTTTCTGGGTTGGGGTTCCAGGCTGGGTATGGGAGGAACCTCCGAGCCAATTAGTTATGCATTCTGTGATCCCTGAGCACCGACTTCTGAATCTAGCTCTGGGCTGGGGGCTGCTGGGGATGGGACAGACAAAGGAGGGTCCCTCACCTTGGGAGATGATGGTCTTGTTGGAAGGAAAATGGTTACAATGATGATGACGATGATGACAATGATGATGATGATAATGATGATGGTGGTGATGGTAATGACAGTTCCAGTTGTTTTTGTAGGATTTTTTGTTTTGTTTGTTTGTTTGTTTTGCACCTATAGCATGTCAAGCATATAGGGGTGGAGGTTTACAGTGTGGCTTTTGGAGCCCGCTGACCTGGATTCAAATTCTGACCCCAACCTTACCTAGCTGTATGACCTTGGGCCGGTTACTTAACCTCCCTCTGTTTCAGCATTCCTCTCTGGAAAATAGCTTAATGACAGTATCTACTTCATAGTGTTTTTAGGAGGCGTAAATGAGTCTGTCAAGTGCTTAGTCCTGGTCCTGACACATAATGAGGACTTTATACAGCATTAGCTGTTGTTATTACTCATTTAATCTGTTCTAAGATGCATGGTTGTTTTTTTTTTCTTCTTCACATTTGAACATCTCTGACATTGAAATAGCTCTTGCGATCCACAGTGTCCATCTTCTGCTGAATTTTATAGGCAGGAAGTGTTCTTTCATAATGGCACATAAAAGAATGGGGCATTGAACAATTGCTGGCGCATCAGCTATTTAATGAGCTCCTTTAATCTTCACAAAAGCCCTTCGGAAAATAGATTTGATTCTTACTCTCTGCCCCCATACTTTCTTCTTTTCTTCTTCTTCTTCTTTTTTTTTTTTTTTTTTTTTTTTTTTTTTTTTTTTTTTTTGCAAATGAGGCTGAGAGAGGGTAAGTGAATTACTTAATGTCACATGGTGAGGAAGTGATGGAGATGGGATTTGAACCCAAAGCCTCAGTGCCTCAGTTTATCATCTCTGGCTAGTAATAAAACACAGCATGATGATGCTCCCATCTTCTTGTTGCCCAGGCTGGAGCGCAATGGCGTGATCTCGGCTCACTGCAACCTCCACCTCCCAGGTTCAAGCGATTCTCCTGCCTCAGCCTCCCGAGCTGGGATTACAGGCACCTGCCGCCACACCTGGCTAATTTTTTATATTTTCAGTAAAGACAGAGTTTCACCATGTTGGCCAGGCTGGTCTCGAACTCCTGATCTCAGGTGATCCACTCGCCTCAGCCTCCCAAAGTGCTGGGATTACAGGTGTGAGCCACCTCGCCCAGCCGACGCTCCCATCTTCTAAGTGTGTACCACATAGTAGCAGGTGCACTATTGCCATTTATAAAAAATGTGCATCTGTGGCGTCTCCCTCTTTTCAGAAGAGGAAATTGAGGCCCAGAGAGGCAAAACCAGTTGCCGAGGTCTTAGAACACGTAAGAGGCAGGGTCAGGATTTGAATCGTGCTCTCCTGCGTTAGCGCTCCTTCCGCCCTTCTGCGCCGAGATGTGGTCAATGGGGTGGGGACCAGGGTGAGACCAGGGAGGCTCTCTCGTGGGTGCAAGATTTAAGGGGACGCTGAAAATCTCAGTCATTAAGGTCCATCATGTTTTAATGCAACATTAAAAAAAATCAAAAACAAGCCAAAAAAATTTCGAGATGAACAAATACCAAAACTGTAACTAAAGACAGGATCCAATAGAGCTGGGAGTAAGAGGAGGTGGGTGAGGTGAGTCGGGCAGTCAGATTCTGTCTTTATTCAAAATGTTGATGTTTGTTCATCATGGTTTCTTTGCATTCATTAAAAAAAGATGTTAAACACCAACTCGAACCAGATTTGCATTCGTTTTTTAAAATTGAGGTGAAATTCGGCTGGGCGCAGTGGCTCACGCCTGTAATCTCAGCTCTTTGGGAGGCCGAGGCGGGTCGATCACTTGAGGTCAGGAGTTCAAGACCAGCCTGGGCAACATGGTGAAACCCTGTCTCTACTAAAAATACAAAAAAAAATTAGCTGGGCATGGTGGCGCACGCCTGTAGTCCCAGCTACTCAGGAGGCTGAGGCAGGGGAATCGCTTGAACCTGGCAGGCGGAGGTTGCAGTGAGCCGAGATTGCGCCATTGCACTCCAGCCTGGGCAACAGAGCGAGACTCGGTCTCAAAAAATAAACAAACAAACAAATAAATAAATAAATAAAAATGAGGTGAAATTCATACAACATAAAATTAACCTTGTAATTGTTACTGGCATTTCTATTTCTATTCATATTTACATTTATATTACATATTAACATTTACATGATGTTAGATATTATATGCAATTACATATGATTTATAATTAATACTTATCATTTATATTGTGTATTTATGTTTACAACCTATTATATATTATACCACATATCATAAAATATATTTATATTATGCTATGTATTTTCACAAATTAATGTTTTTTATTTATGTTGCACATTTATGTTTATATTATATTATACCATACACAATATATTATAATAAGATTTATAGGTTACCTATTTACTTTACATTATATTATATTTATCTACAATTATGTATAATATATAACTAATATTTATTCTTTAAATTGTATATTTACATTTATATCATCTTATCACATATTATACCATATATCATAGTATATTTATATTACAGATTTGCATTTATATTATGCTACATATTCTAGAGAATTAACATTTATTATTTATATTGCACATTTATGTTTATATATCATATGCGTTATATAATATACTATACTGTAGCTTTATATATTACATATTTACATTTACATTATGTTAGGTGACATAAAATTATATATTATGTATAATTAATATTTATTATTTATATATGTTACATTTATGTCATATTGTACGTTATGTATTTTAACATACATTTACATTAACATGATGTATTTACACTTATATAAAATTATATATTATGTATAATTATGTATTACACATAATTAATATTCTTTATTGTATGTTACATTTAAATCATGTTGTACATTATATACTATAATATACATTACATTAACAAGAGATATTTACGCTTATATAAAATTATGTATTATGGGCTGGGCACGGTGGCTTATGCCTGTAATCCCAGCACTTTGAGAGGCTGAGGCGGGTGGATCACTTGAGGTCAGGAGTTCGAGACCAGTTTGGCCTACATGGTGAAACCCCGCCTCTATTAAAAGTACAGAAAATTAGCTGGGCGTGGTGGTGTGCACCTGTAATCCCAGCTACTCCAGAGGCTGAGGCAGGAGAATTGCTTGAACCCAGGAGGCAGAGGTTGCAGTGAGCCAAGACAGAGCGAGGCACTGTCTCAAAAAAAATTATATATTATATATAATTATGTATTACATATAATTAGTATGTATTATTTATGTTGCCCATTTACATTTATAATATATTGTATGTTATACCATATATTATACATTTACATAGACTATATATGGTGTATTCCATGTAATATAAATATTACATGTATATTTATATTATATTCATATTATATATTATAGGGTTATATATAACTATCTATATTAACATATAGCTATCTACAATAGATAGTTATATATTATTATATAATGATTATATATTATTATATATAACTATTATTTATATTGAATATTTACACTCACATTATAAATATATTCATGTTATATTTATATTCAGTGGCTTTTTGTTTTTTTTTTTTTGGAGACAGAGTTTCGCACTGTTGCCTGGGCTGGAGTGCAGTGGTGTGATCTCAGCTCACTGCAACCTCCGCCTACCGAGTTCAAGCGATTCTCTTGCCTCAGCCTCCTGAATAGCTGGGATTACAGGCGCCCGCCATCAAGCCCAGCTAATTTTTGCATTTTTAGTAGAGACGAGGTTTCACCATGTTGCCCAGGCTGGTCTCGAACTCCTGACCTTGTGATTCGCCCACCTCGGCCTCCCAAAGTGCTGGGATTACAGGCGTGAGCCACAGCGCCCAGCCAGTGCCATTTGGTATATTTGCAATACTGCGCCGCCATCACTGCCGTTTAGCTCCAAAACATTCTCAGCACCCCCAAGAGAAACCCCATCCCGGGCAGTTGCTCCTGCCTCCCGCAGCCCCCGGGAACCAAGGGTCTCCTTCCTGTCTCTGTGGATTGGCGTGTTCTGGGCATTTCCTATGAATGGAAATCACACAGTGTGTGGCCGTTTGTGCCTGGCTTCTCTCACTGAGTGTGATGTTTTAAGGCTCATCTCCATTGTAGCCCATGTCAGTGCTGCTTCCCTTTTGATGGCTGACTTTATTCATTTTGATTTCTAAGAATATTGTATTAGAATACTGTTTGTTTTACTTATTGTCATTTACCTTGATGACTAGGTTTTTTGGCTCTCACTTACATTTTGCACCTGAGGCTCGTGACTCATTCTCCTTCCCCTACTTCTGTCCGGGTGACCACAGAGATGGGCACACAGTGAGCCTTCAGGAAATGCCTGGTGAAGCCATCGCCAAATTCCAGACACCCAGCCAGACCCAAAGGGCTGAGCCATCCCCCCGAATCCATGTGTCAAACCTTAGTGGTGACCTGTAGAAGTGGAAGCCCGCTCCCCATGTCTGGGCTCCGGCCCCTGCCTCCACGGGGCCTACCTTGGTGCTGAAGGGCTGTTAGAGCCAGGCTGTCACCAACTTAAAAAATCAAAGGGGTTCAGGGGGAAAGGCAACCTCCATATGGCAATATGGGGACCCAGGCACGGGGACCGTGCCACCTCTGTCCTTGGTGTCTCTTTGCAGGTACGCAGGCCCCATGGAGCGGGCAGGGGCAGAGAGCATCCTGGCCAACCGCTCGGACGGGACTTTCTTGGTGCGGCAGAGGGTGAAGGATGCAGCAGAATTTGCCATCAGCATTAAGTAACTCCTTTCTCCCTGACTCATACCCTTTTGGGGCCTGGGCCCTGCGGGCCTGGGAAAAAGGGTATCCAGGTTTTACTTTATAGAAGTGTACGGTAATAGCATCCACCTTTTACTGAGCCCCTGCTGGTTCCCACGTGCCTTTCACCTTCTTTATTTCTTTTAATTGACGACCACAAGAAAGAGATATGATTCCTATAGAGGCTCAAAAAGGCTCTTAAAATTAATTAATTAATTTGAGTCAGAGTCTCCCTCTGTCGCCCTGACCTTTCTTTTTTCCCCTTTTTTTCTTTTCTTTTCTTTTCTTTTTTTTTCTGACAGAGTCCCTTTGTCGCCCAGGCTGGAGTGCAGTGGTGAGATCTCAGCTCACTGCAACCTCCCAGGTTCAAGCGATTCTCCTGCCTCAGACCCCCGAGTAGCTGGGATTACAGGCGCCTGTGACCATGCCCAGCTAATTTTTGTATTTTTAGTAGATACGGGGTTTCTCCATGTTGGCCAGCCTGGTCTCGAACTCCTGACCTCAAGTGATCCACCCGCCTCGGCCTCCCAAAGTGTTGGGATTACAGGCGTGAGCCATCGTGCCTGGCCTGAAGGCTTTTATTTTTAACCAATTTTCATATATATGTTTTTTCTTTTTTTTTAACTTCCAGGAATTTCTAATTTTTTTAATTTAATTTTATTATTATTATTGTTATTTTGGTGACAGTCTGTCTCTGTTGCCCAGGCTGGAGTGCAGTGGTGAGATCTTAGCTCACTGCAACCTCTGCCTCCCAGATTCAGGGGACCCTCCTAGCTCAGCCTCCCCAGTGGCTGGGACTATAGGTGTGCACCACCACATCCAGCTAATGTTTATATTTTTTGTAGAGACGAGGGTCTCTCCTTGTTGCCCAGGCTGGTCTCATACTCCTGACCTTCAAACATCCTCCCACCTCAGCCTCCCAAAGTGCAGGTGTGAGCCACTACATCCCACCTATATATTTTTTTTTTCAACTTATTTTAGAATCAGAGGGCACATGTGCAGGTTTGTTACAAAGGTATATTGCACAATGCTGAGGGTTGGGGCCATGAATGATCCCAACACCCAGGGAGTGATCATATACTCGGTAGTTTTTCAGCTCTTTCATCCCACCCTCCTCCCTCTAGTGCTCCCCCGAGTCTACTGTTTCCAGCCTTTTTTTTTTTTTTTTTTTTTGAGATGGAGTCTCACTTTGCCGCCCAGGCTGGAGTGCAATGGCATGATCTCAGCTCACTGCAAACTCCACCTCCCAGGTTCAAGCGAGTCTTCTGCCTCAGCCTCTTGAGTAGCTGGGATTTACAGGTGCACGTCACCATGCCTGGCTAATTTTTTTGTATTTTTAGTAGAGACAGTGGGGTGGGGGGTGGGGGGAAAGTTTCACCATGTTGGCCAGGCTGGTCTCGAACTCCTGACCTCAGGTGATCCACCTGCCTCGGCCTCTCAAAGTGCTGGGATTACAGGCGTGAGCCACTGTGCCTGGCCAATATTATTCCCATCTTTATGTCCATGTGTACCCAATGTTTAACCCCTGCTTATAAGTGAGAACATGTGGTGTTTGGCTTACTGTTTCTGTATTAATTCATTTAGGATAATAACACCCAGTGCATCCACGCTGCTGCAATGCACATGATCTCATTCTTCTTTATGGCTGTATAGTAGTCCATAGTGTGTGTATATGTACCACATTTTCTTATCCAGTCCACTGTTGATGGGCACCTGGGTCGATCCATGTCTTTGCTATTGTGAATGCTGCTGTGATGAACAAACAAGGGTGTGTGTCTTTCTGGTAGCACAATTACTTTTTCCTTTGGGTAGATACCCAGTCATAGGGTAGCTGCATCAAATGGTGGTTCTATTTTTAGTTCTTCGAGAAACCTCCAAACTGCTTTCCGCAGTGGCTGAACCAATTTACAGTCCAGCCCACAGTGTAGAGGAATTCCCTTCTCTCACATGCTGCTGAGTTTGTAATTTCATTGTTATTTTTGGCTCCTGTGAATTTCCCTTACTTTTTTTTTTTTTGAGAGCTCAGCAATTTTTTTCTCAACATTTCTAGTGTTTTTTTAAATAGGAAGAGTTTTGTTTGTTTGTTTCTTTGTTTTTTTTTTTTTTTTTTTTGTGATCTAGTTTGCCAGATGAGCAGGAGTGGAGGTCTTCTCCAAGGCCCCTTTTAGTCTATTTCCACCATGTTGACAGAAATGGGTCTTTCCTCCCTCTTCCTTTATATCCTATGGTTGTCTATATTGGTGGAAGGGGAGGTCTCTTCGTATCCATTCTAGAACACTGCCTTCTTTACAAGATCTTACTGACTTCTCAACAAACCTGTGAGTCAGGGAAGATGATTCCTCTTCTACGAGAGGAAGACATTAAGGCTTTAGAGTAGCAAAGGCCCCAGGGAATGGGCTCTGTTGGGACAGCTTGTCTTTGGTTTCCAGTAGTTACTCCTCCCTGAAGGGGTCAAGGTTGCTTCCTCCATAACTGGGGCTTGGTGGGGAATGGGCCTGGTCCCCAGACTCAGGGCCCGGTGACCATCTGGTTCCAGATATAACGTCGAGGTCAAGCACATTAAAATCATGACAGCAGAAGGACTGTACCGGATCACAGAGAAAAAGGCTTTCCGGGGGCTTACGGTAAGGGTCAATGTCCGCTCAATCCCAGCTTTCCAGAACCTAGGAGGACCCTCCCTGCACCTCCGCCTTGGGACCCCCTTTTCCCACATTCAGGGTGACCCCCCTCCAGTGGCACTACAGTGCAAGTGACCTTAAACTTATGCTCTTAATGATGAACAATGGGAATAATAATGAATAACAGCAGTTGAATATTGACAGAGCACTTAAGTGTAAGATATGTTCATTTTTAAATTTTATTTATACATATATTCAAGCATTATGTATATATGTATGTGTGTATATATGCATATATACATACATATGTATGTATGTGTATTTAAATTTTACTTACGTATATATACATATGTATACATATGTATGTAGGGTACATGTATATACGTGTATCTGTTTATTTTTATATATATAGATAGATAGAGAGAGAGAGATTGAGAGAGAGAAAGAGAGTCTTGCTCTGTTGCCCAGGCTGGAGTGCAGTGGTGCAATCATAGTACACTGCAGCCTCAAATTCCTGGTTTAAATAATCTCTCGCCTCAGCCTCCCGAGCAGCTGGTACTATAGGCATGCACCATCATGCCTGGCTAATTTTAAAAAAAAATTTTTTTTTTGTAGAGATGGGGACTTGCTTTGTTGCTCAGGCTGGCCTTGAACTCCTGGGCTCAAATAATCCTTCTGTCTTGGCCTCCCAAAGTGTTGGGATTACAGGTGTGAGCTACTGCATTCAGCCCTCAAATATGTTATAGATAGAAACCTAATTAATCCCCTCAACCTTCTTTCTGAGTTCCCATTTCACAGATGGGTAAAACTGAGGTTTACTCCTCGTCTAGCTTCACTGAATGGCAGAGCCCATAGCTTGTCTTTGCCTAATCTGCTGCATAATCATTTCAGCAACAACTCAAATGCCTTTTGAGGGTTCTTGCTTCTGTTTGGTGCCTTGTAATTTTCAACCATATTTTAGACACTTTAGGCCTAATGATCTAAGGCATATGGTTTTTACCCATGGTCTGTGGGCCCTTGAGAAGCTGAGTCCTCTGAAAGAAAATCAGAATGTTGCATGCATCTGTATTTTTTGTCTTAGATTTCACTTGATTCTCAAATGGATCCTTGACTCCCCCAAAGTTTAATTTATTCAACAAATCTTTTTTTTCCTCCATACTTTTTATTCTGAAACATATTCCCCCAATTTTTAACTTCTGAAAAATTTCAGACAAGTTATTGGAATAGGGTAGTGAGTATCTATGAACCTTTCATATAGGTTTACTTTAAAAAAAATACAAGAGACAGGGTCTTGCTCTGTGGCCCAGGCTAGAGTGCAATGTTGTGATCATAGCTCACTGTGGCTTCAAACCCCTGGGCTCAGGCGATCCTCCCTCCTCAGCCTCCTGAATAGCTGAGACTACAGGCATGCACTGTCATGCCTGGCTAATTGTTTAAATCTTTTTTAGAGATGGGATCTTGCTATGTTGCCCAGGCTGGTCTTGAACTCTTGGCTTCAAGTGAACTTCCCACCTTGACTTCCCAAGGTGCTGAGATTCCAGGCATGAGCCACTACATCTGGCCTGATGATGATTGCTAATTGTAAATTAAGGCATGTGGCCCCATAGAAGGTTTTGAATTTGGTGAGCTAATTATCTGGTAAATTTATCACGAAGTAAGTTAGTCCACTATTGAAAGAACCTGTTTTTGGCCGGGCACGGTGGCTCACGCCTGTAATCCCAGCACTTTGGGAGGCCGAGGCAGGCGGATCACGAGGTCAGGAGATCGAGACCATCCTGGCTAACACGGTGAAACCCCGTCTCTACTAAAAATATAAAAAATTAGCTGGGCGTAGTGGCGGGCGCCTGTAGTCCCAGCTACTCGGGAGGCTGAGGCAGGAGAATGGCATGAACCCTGGAGGCGGAGCTTGCAGTGAGCCGAGATTGCGCCACTGCACTCCAGCCTGGGCGACAGAGCCAGACTCCGTCTCAAAGAAAAAAAAAAAAGAAAGAAAGAACCTGTTTTAGGCAGTGTGGTCCCTTCCCCATAAATAGTCCTGGCTGCTCAGGGAGGTGATGAACTCCCCATCATGGGGAGTATTCAAGGGGTCACTTTCCAAAGAGGCCAGAAACAGGGCCTGCTTCATGTGAGGAGTTGCATATGGCTGTTCCTAGCTCTGCCCCCTTATGGGCTGGCCCGCTGGGATAGCATCTGCCATGTGGTCCGCCTTCTAGGAGCTGGTGGAGTTTTACCAGCAGAACTCTCTAAAGGATTGCTTCAAGTCTCTGGACACCACCTTGCAGTTCCCCTTCAAGGAGCCTGAAAAGAGAACCATCAGCAGGCCAGCAGGTAGGAGGTCTCAGACTGGGGGCTTACAGCCTCAGCCCCTTCCCATTGTGGAGGGAAACTTTGGGGATGCCATTGACACCCCTTCCAATGGCCTTGCAGAGGTCATATCTGTGCAGTAGCAGGAACCCCTTTCCACTCCTGTCTATCCCTTCCTATATATATTTTAATATAATATAATTTAATTAATTAATTTATTTATTTTTTGAGACAGAGTCTCACTCTGTTGCCTAAGCTGGAGTGCAGTGGTGCGATCTTAGCTCCCTGCAACCTTTGCCTCCCACCTCTTGGGTTCGAGGGATTCTCATGCCTCAGCCTCAAAATAAAAAAATAAAAATAAAAATTCCAAACCAGTCTTATTTTCTGGCTGGGTGCGGTGGCTCATGCCTGTAACTCCAGCACTTCGGGAGGCCAAGGTGGGTGGATCACTTGAGGTTAGGAGTTCAAGACCAGCCTGGCCAACATGGTGAAACTCCATCTCTACTAAAAAAAAAAAACATAAAAATCAGCCGGGCATGGTGGCACAGGCCTGTAATCCCCGTGATTCAGGAGGCTGAGGCAGGAGAATCACTTGAACCCAGGAGGCATAGGTTGCAGTGAGCTGAGATTGTGCCACCGCACTCCAGTCTGGGTGACAGAGAGAGACTTTATCTCAAAAAAAAAAAAAAGTGTTATTTTCTAAATTCAGACGGGAGGATGATGCTGGGAGTACAATTGTGTCCCCTTACAGTACAGGGCATCTAATACTCTGCAGAAAAGAGCACTGAGGAGCCCTTTATCCTGGAGTTACTGTCCTGAGAGCTTGTGCCCCCAGAGAGTGAGTGGGTATCTGCCCCAGACCCTTTTCTCACTTCTGTTCTCTCTCCACAGTGGGAAGCACAAAGTATTTTGGCACAGCCAAAGCCCGCTATGACTTCTGCGCCCGAGACCGATCAGAGCTGTCGCTCAAGGAGGGTGACATCATCAAGATCCTTAACAAGAAGGGACAGCAAGGCTGGTGGCGAGGGGAGATCTATGGCCGGGTGAGGCAGGCAGGGCTGGGTGACGGGGAGGGCATGGGGGTTGAGCTGGTGGTGGACGAGACTGGAACTGGGGACTGGAGAAGGTGAGGTGCGGCTCCCATGGAGATCTCTCACGGTGGGAGGGAAGGAAGGGACACAGGGATGTCATTTATGCATTTATGCAACCTACCTGCATGTATTCAGCACCTGCTGTGTGCAGACATTGTGCTGGGTGTCGAGGAGACAGAAACAAGCACGGTACAAGGATTGCCCTCATGAAACTTATAATCGAATGTGGAGGACAGACCTATAACCAAGCAGTCATGACACTGAGTGGTCAAGACTAACAAGGGTGCCAGTCACGGTGGCTCATGCCTGTAATCCCAGTGCTTTGGGAGGCTGAGGTGGGAGGATCTCTTGAGGCCACAAATTCAAGGCAAGCCTGGCTAAAATAGTGAGATCCCACCTCTACATAAATAAAAATAAAAACAAAAACATTAGTTGGGCGTGGTAGTGTGTCCCAGGTACTCAGGAAGCTGAGGTGGGAGGATTGCTTGAGTCCAGGAGTTGGATGCTGCAGTGAGCTATGATTGTGCCACTGCAGCCTGGGTGACAGAACAAGACCCTGTCTTTAAAAAAAAGAAGAAAGAATAAAAGAGATTGTGGTGGAGAATCACAGGGCAGCGTGGGAGCACTGAGGGAGCCCCTGACCCACCCTAGGAGTGGATCAGGATGACTTCTGAAAGGCCAAACTGATTAATAAGGGATAAATAAAGTCATGCAAATGAAAAGGTTGTATATGTGTTGGGGGAAAGCATTCCAGACAGAAGGACCAGTGTGTGCAAAGGCCCTGGGGTGAGAGGTGCCTAATCAGTACTGAATATACAAAGAGGTAGAGCTGGGACTAAACCACTGTGCTCACTTTGCCTGCTTGAATTCCGATTCCAAGGAGTGGAATAGACTTCAAATGTCTTCAAGTCCACTTGTTTCTGCCAAGTTCTCATTTTTGTTCCATGAAGGCAGAGCACCTTCTTTATTTCATCCACTGATGACTTCTCAGCCTCTAGAATTCTGCCTTATGATGGATTTCTCAGAAATATGTTTGTGTAATGAAGACAAGGACAGTGGTTAGAGTTTACATTCTACTGGGGAAAATATACACAAAAAATGATGTGGATAATTGCATCGATGAGGAGTTTTGTTAAAACATTGGAGGGTCAGTTTAATGAGCAGTGGAGGACAATTAGGCTTTGAGAGAGGCTTTTGGAGCATTGAGGAAGGATTGGGATGTAAAGGATTCATCCATCCATCCATCCATCCATCTATCCATCCATCCATCTATCCATCTATCTATCCACAAATCATCCATTCATCTGTGCATCCATCCATCTTAGCCTATGCATCCATCCATTTCAACCTACGCATCTATCCATTCATCCACCCACCCTTCCACTCACGCATCTATCTAACCATCTATCCACCTACCCACCCATTAAAACATTAATCTATCCATTAATCCACCATCCAGCCAACATCTATTCATCCATTTCTATCTGTGCATCCATCCATCTATCCATGCATGCACCCATCTGTTAATCTATCTCTATATTTATCCATCCATACACCTACTCACCAGTCCATTAATTCATCCATCCATCCATCCGACCACCATCCACTCACCCTTCCAATCACCATTCACCAACCCAAGTATCCATCCACCCATTCATCTATCTATCTATCTATCTATCTATCTATCTATCTATCTATCCATTCATTATCTATCTACCTATCTATCCACCTACCCATCAATCCAATAATCCATCCATTCATCTATCCATCCAGCCAAAAAATATTCAGTAAGTATCTACTGTGTGCCAGGAACTGTTCTAGGCTCTTGGGATTCAGTGACAAATAATACAGACAAAAATCCCTGCTGGCCAGGCGTGGTGGCTTATGCCTGTAATCCCAGCACTTTGGGATGCCAAGGTGGGTGGATCAGTTGAGGAGAGGAGTTTGAGACCCGCCTGGCCAACATGGCGAAACCCTGTCTTAACTAAAGATACAAAAAAATTAGCTGGGCATTGTGGCGTGCGCCTCTAATCCCAGGTACTCGTTAAGCTGAGGCAGGAGAATCGCTTGAACCCAGGAGGCGGAGGCTGTGGTGAGCTGAGATCGCGCCACTGCACTCCAGCCTGGGCAACAGAGTAAGACTGTGTCTCAAAAAAAAAAAAAATTCTGCCTTGTAGAGCTCACATTGCAGTTGCAGGGAGGGGAACAGACAAAAAGCTTGTAAATAAGCAAATGATACATAATGAATCAGACGGTGATATGTGCTATAGAAAAAGATAAAGCAAGACAAGGGGTCCAGGCACGGTGGCTCATGCCTGTAATCCCAGCACTCTGGGAGGCCGAGATGGGCAGATCACCGGAGGTCAGGAGTTTGAAACCAGCCCGGCCAACATGGTGAAACCCCGTCTCTACTAAAAATACAAAAAAATTAGCCGGGTGTGGTGGCAGGCGCCTGTAATCCCAGCTACTCGGGATGCTGAGGCAGGAGAATCACTTGAACCCGGGAGGTGGAGGTTGCAATAAGCTGAGATTGCGCCATTGCACTCCAGCCTAGGGGGCAGAGTGAGACTCTGTCTCAAAAAAGAAAAAAAAAAAAAAAAGAAAAGAAAAGAAAAAGAAAAGGGGCTAAGGAGTGTTGGGGTGGGTGGAGCTTGCAATTTTGAATAGTATGGCTAGGAAGGTCTTGCTGATAAAGTGCCATTTAGGGAGGGACTTTTAGGAGGTAATGGGTGTGTGTGTGTGTGTGTGTGGTCAGCCTTGTGTACGTTGGGTGATGTGTTTTCTGGGATAGACAGAAGGAAGAGCAGGTGCAAAGGCCCTGAGGTGGGAGGGAGCCTGCCTGGTGTGTGGAGGGGCAGTAGGAGGATGTGCAGAGGTTGCACTGATGAACTCCTCGTCTGTTTCCAGGTTGGCTGGTTCCCTGCCAACTACGTGGAGGAAGATTATTCTGAATACTGCTGAGCCCTGGTGCCTTGGCAGAGAGACGAGAAACTCCAGGCTCTGAGCCCGGCGTGGGCAGGCAGCGGAGCCAGGGGCTGTGACAGCTCCCGGCGGGTGGAGACTTTGGGATGGACTGGAGGAGGCCAGCGTCCAGCTGGCGGTGCTCCCGGGATGTGCCCTGACATGGTTAATTTATAACACCCCGATTTCCTCTTGGGTCCCCTCAAGCAGACGGGGCTCAAGGGGGTTACATTTAATAAAAGGATGAAGATGGATAGAAGGACTGGTGTCGTTCAGAAGGACCTGCTAGGAGAGAGATGGGGAGAGAGTGTGCCACACTGACAAAGCCCCCTCACCAATCCACAGACAAAGCCCCCTTACCAACCACAGACAAAGCCCCCTCAACAATCCACAGACAAAGCCCCCTCAACAATCCACAGACAAAGCCCCCTCACCAATCACAGACAAAGCCCCTCACCAATCCACAGACAAAGCCCTCTCACCAATTTCTGTCTCCTAACTTGATTGCTGTTCTCTGTCATCTATTAATACAATACAACTTGAATCTGGGATATGAAATTCCCTCTTTTGGGCTGGGCATGGTGGCTCATGCCTGTAATCCCAGCACTTTGGGAGGCTGAGGTGGGCAGATTACCTGAGGTCAGGAGTTCAAGACCAGCCTGGCCAACATGGCAAAACCCCGTCTCTACTAAAAATACAAAAACTAGCCAGTGCCTATAATCCCAACTACTCAGGAGGCTGAGGCAGAAGAATCCCTTGAACCTGGGAGGCGGAGGTTGCAGTGAGCCAAGATCGCACCACTGCACTCCAGCCTGGGCAACAGAGCGAGATTCCGTCTCAAAAATAAATAAATAAATAAAATAAAATAAAGCAGGAATTTGCTGGGTGCAGTAGCTCACGCTTGTAATCCCAACACTTCAGGAGATTGAAGCGGGTGGATCACCCGAGGTCAGGAGTTCAAGACCAGCCTGGCCAACATGGTGAAACCCCGTCTCTACTAAAAATACAAAAACTAGCCGGGCGTGGTGGCAGGTGCCAGTAATCCCAGCTGCTTGGGAGGCTGAGGCAGGAGAATCGCTTGAACCCAGGAGGCAGAGGTTACTGTCAGCCGAGATCATGACGCTGTACTCCAGCCTGGGTGACAGAGCAAGAACTCTGTCTCAAAAAATAAAAATAAATAAAGAAATAAATAAATAAAAGTGAGAATTTCTTTTCTTTTTTTTTTTTAGTACTCAAAGATTTTTATACTCAGGAAAGAATTTTATACTCAAAGATTCAAGATCACAAAAATGTACCGCTCATTCGTTTTTCTTTCTTTTTAAATTATTTTATTTTATTTTTTCAGGGACAGAGTCTTACTCTGTTGCCCAGCCGGGGGCACAGTGGCACGATCATAGCTCACTGCAGCCTCCACCTCCTGGTGTCAAGCGATCCTCCCACGTCAGCCTCCCAAGTAGCTGGGACTAAAAGCAAGCACCACCACACCCGGCTAATATTTTATTTTTTGTAGGGAGGGGGTGTTGCTATGTTGGTCAGGCTGGTCTTGATCTCATGGGCTCAAGCAGTCCTCTCACCTTGGCCTCCCAAAGTGCTGGGATTACAGGTGTGAGCCACTGCACCTGGCCTCATTTGTTTTTCTTTTTGAGACAGAGTCTTGCTCTGTTGCCTGGGCTAGAGTGCAGTGGTGCAATCTTGGCTTACTGCAACCTCCGCCCCCCAGGTTCAAGTGATTTTCCTGCCTTAGTCTCCCGAGTAGCTGGGACTACAGGCACGCGCCACCATGCCCAGCTAATTTTTTGTATTTTTAGAAGAGACAGGGTTTCACCATGTTGGCCAGGCTGGTCTGGAACTCCTGACCTCAGGTGATCCACCCGCCTCGGCCTCCCAAAGTGCTGGGATTACAGGCGTGAGCCACCTCACCTGGCCATTTTTTATTTAATAGTCTTTATTAATTATTAAAATTGCAGTAAAATATACATTACATGAAATTTATTTTCTTAAGCTTTTTTTTTTTCTTTTTTTTTTGAGACGGTGTCTTGCTCTGTCACCCAGGCTGGAGTGCAGTGGTGCGGTCTCAGCTCACTGCAAGCTCTGCCTCCTGGGTTCACGCCATTCTCCTGCTTCAGCCTCCCGAGTAGCTGGGACTACAGGCGCCTGCCACCACACCCGGCTAATTTTTTGTATTTTTAGTAGAGACGGGGTTTTGCCTTGTTAGCCAGGATGGTCTCGATCTCCTGACCTCGTGATGCACCCGCCTCGGCCTCCCAAAGTGCTGGGATTACAGGTATGAGCCACCACGCCTGGCATTTTTTTTTTTTTTTTTTTTGAGATGGTGTCTTGCTCTGTCACCCAGGCTGGAGTACAGTGGCGCAATCTCGGCTCACTGAAACCTCCGCCTCCTGGGTTCAAGTGATTCTCCTACCTCAGCCTCCCAAGTAGCTGGGATTACAGGCACCCGCCACCACACCCGGCTCATTTTTGTAGTTTTAGTAGAAACGGGGTTTCCCCATGTTGGCCAAGATGGTCTCGATCTTCTGACCTTGTGATCGACCAGCCTCGGCCTCCCAAAGTGCTGGGATTATAGGCGTGAGCCACTGCGCCCAGCCCTTAGACTTTTAATGCTCATAAACTAAGATTCAGGATCTCCAAGGAAGATTTTGAAGTTCAAAAGCCAGGGAGGCTGAGGGCAGAGGATTGCTTCAGGCCAGGAGCTCGAGACCAGCCTGCACAAAATAGTAAGATCTTCCTCTCTACAAAAAAAAAAAATAAATAAAAAAATAAAAAAAATAAAAAAATTAGCTCTGCATGGTGGCACACAACTGTAGTCCCAGCTACTCAGGAGGCTGAGGTGGGAGGATTGCTTGAGCCCAGGAGGTGGAGGCTGTGGTGAACTATGATTGCACCACTGCACTCCAGCCTAGGCAACAGAGTGAGACCTCATCTCTAAAAACCAACCAGGCCAGTCACAGTGGCTCACGCCTATAATCCCAGCACTTTGGGAGGCCGAGGCGGGCAGATCACTTGAGGTCAGGAGTTTGAGACCAGCCTGGCCAACATGGTGAAATCTCATCTCTACTAAAAATACAAAAATTAGCCGGGCGTGGTGGCAGGTACCTGTAATCCCAGCTACTTGGGAGGCTGAGATAAGAGAATCACTTGAACCTGGGAGGGGGACGTTGCAGTGAGATGAGACTGCACCGCTGCACTCCAGCCTGGGTGACAGAGCAAAACTCCATCTCAAACAAAAACAAAAACAAAGAACAAAAAACAAAACAAAGCAAAGAAACAACCAAGTAACCAACTGACCAACAAAAGCCAGGGAGTTGCTTTTTGGGTAAATCTGCAGGCTGCTAGCATAACCCTTAGGAGGCAAAAAGATGGGCTGGCCTAAGCTGACAGGGCTGGGGAAGGATCATGGGCTATAAATTAATTTGGGAAAAAGTAGTTCATACTTCCAAATATATTACCCTACCATACTACTAACAGAGGCACCTCCCGTGTCAAGTATTCAGTGTTGTCTGGCGCCATGAAAGTAAGCACTTCCTACACAGTATCTAGATTAATCTCACAGCCAGCTTCGTGGTATTTTATCTTATTTTATTATTTATTAATTTATTTTTGAGATGGAGTCTAGCTCTGTCGCCAGGCTGCAGTGCAGTGGTGCAATCTTGGCTCACTGCAACCTCCACCTCCCAAGTTCAAGCGATTCTCCTGCCTCAGCCTCCCGAGTAGCTGGGATTACAGACACACGCCGCCACACCCAGCTAACAGTTGTATTTTTAGTAGAGACACAGGGGTTTCGCCATGTTGGCCAGGATGGTCTCGATCTTCTGACCTCGTGATCTGCCCACCTCAGCCTCCCAGAGTGCTGGGATTACAGGCGTGAGCCAACTGCAACCGGCCGGGTTTCTTTTTGTTGTTGTTGTTTTTTTTGTTTTTGAGACGGAGCCTTGCTCTGTCGCCCAGGCTGGAGGGCAGTGGCGCGATCTCGGCTCACTGCAAGCTCCGCCTCCCGGGTTCACGCCATTCTCCTGCCTCAGCCTCTCGAGTAGCTGGGACTACAGGTGCCCGCCACCACGCCCGGCTAATTTTTTGCATTTTTAGTAGAGATGGGGTTTCATCGTGTTAGTCAGGATGGTCTTGATCTCCTCGCCTTGTGATCCGCCCGCCTCGGCCTCCCAAAGTGCTGGGATTACAGACGTGAGCCACTGGGCCTGGCCAGTTTTTATTTTTATATGAAATAGAGCATAGTGGTCAGGGCTCCAAGAGATTCTAAGGTCCTCTGTGCCCCTGTGAAATTAGCTATAAAGTTTTGGGAAAGACTTCGCCTCTCTGAACCAGAGAAAGATAAAATCAGCTCGCCACAGGCAGAGAGTCGGTATGCACCTAAGCACAGAACCACGCTCTTAACCGTCACTCTAGTGCCGGGTGGGGATCTTGGTATATCCTAGCTCTCTCTGCAACCCCAGGTAAGCCAACGCCTAGATGGTACCTGCACACACCTGGCCAGGTGCAGGATATAGCCTCTGAAGCCTGGAGTGAAGTGTTTTTCATGTTTGAGGAACCATGAATCTAGAAATGGGTGTTGGAGGAAGCAATGCAGTCACAAGGGATCAGGAACTAGGACGGGGGGTTTCTGCCCCTCCCGTGACTCCCCCAGAGTCACACCATGAACCTACCTATGGCCTAAGGTGGCTACCTGGGCTGTCTAGTTCAGGGTGTTGGTGAGGTTGAGGTCATGGACTTGTTCTTGGAGTTCCTGGGTGGCCCTCACCTTCAGCCCCAGGCTGTGTGAATGACTCAGGCGCAGACCTGCCTGAAAAGCACGTATAATCCAGTAGGGGACTTAACAATCAACCAGGCAATTATAACACAGAGTTGATGAATTTCATAAGGAACACAGGTGGCTGTGGGAGCAAATACAGATCTAACCCAGGCTTGAGTAGGGGAGGATGGTCAGGGAGGGCTTCCTGGAGGAGGAAACATCTAAGGTGGCAACTGTATAATCAGCTGGATGGAGTCACCTAGAAAATAAATGAGGGGACAGCCTAGCACGGTGGTCCATGTCTGTAATCCCGGCACTTGGGGAGGCCGAGGCGGCGGATCACTTGAGGTCAGGAGTTCGAGACCAGACTGGGCAACATGGTGAAACCCCCATCTCTACTAAAAATACAAAAATTAGCCGGTGTGGTGGCAGGTGCCTGTAATCCCAGCTACTCGGGAGGCTGAGGTAGGAGAATCACTTGAACCTGGGAGGCAGAGATTGCAGTGAGCTGAGATTGCACCACTGCACCCCAGCCTGGACGACAGAGTGAGACTCAATAATAATAATAATAAATAATGAAGGGAAAGTTTTTTAGGGAGAGGGGCAAATGATAGTGATCCTGGTAGGTTCTGGAAACTTCAAGGGGCTCATTTTGCTTGGAGAGGGAGGAAAGTGGGGGTGGGGTGGGTGAAAAGTTGTTGGGAGACCGGGCGTGGTGGCTCATGCCTATAATCCTAGCACTTTGGGAGGCCGAGGCAGGTGGATCACTTGAGCTCAGGAGTTCGAAACCAGCCTGGCCAACATGGTGAATGTACAACGGACAGCCCCCAATACAGACAGACAGACACACACACACACACACACACACACTCACTCACTCCTACCCCCAGCCCTAAGAATTTACAAACACTGATAAAGACAAATGAAATCAGCGGATATAGACTTCAAACGCCGTCAGACAGACACCCACTAGATCAAACAGGGACATTCCTAAACATCACACAGACACATCGCCAGGCAGTCCCACCGCAGACAGCCACAAATTAAAGCCGCGCTTGCCCCCTGATGGACAGCAGCAGTAGTGCGCCACCTCGATAGCGCAATCTCCCAGAGCGCTGGCATTGCAGGCGTGAGCCAACGTCCGCAGCCAAACACGTTCATATTGTTGAGAAGGCAGAGAAATACAAAGTAGGTGGAAGGGTCTCCACCTACAGCTGTTTTCTGTGGTCTGAGGATTCTTCCCACGTCTTTAATTTCTAGTGCTTTCTAGGGGTCTCAACTTGAACTATTTAATATTTTCTGGAAGAGAAACATTTTTTGTGGGGGGGGCGGGTGGGGGTGGGACCGAGTCTCGCTCTTGTCTCCCAGGCTGGAGCACAGTGGCGCGATCTTGGCTCACTGCAACCTCCGCCTCCCAGGTTCAAGCGATTTTCCTGCCTCAGCCTCCCGAGTAGCTGAGATTACAGCGCCCAGCTAATTTTTGTATTTTTAGTAGAGATGGGGTTTCACCATGTTGGCCAGGCTGGTCTCGAACTCCTAACCTCAGGTGATTCGCCCGCGTCGGCTTCCCAAAGTGCTGGGATTACAGGCGTGAGCCACCGCGCCCGGCCCAGAGGAACTTTTTTTTTTTTTTTCCAGAGGAACATTTTTTATCCAAAGGAATGACTCCCTAATGGTGGAATTCCAGGCAATGAAGTGAGGCGCGAGGCAGATTGTCACATAGGGAGCTGTCATATTTCATGGGTACCATTCACGCAAGGCGGGACTTGTTCTTAGGCAGCCAACACTTCCGCATTGTCCTGGCATTTGAGCCGCGGAACCAAGTTCCGCGTATCTTGCCCATTGTAACCCCACAGCACCAATTTGAAGCTATGTAGTGCCCTCTGGTGGCCTTCGGTGATTTGGCTTCAGTGTCTCAAACTCTCTGATTAGACTGTTTCCAAAGAGAAGGCTGTTAGGGGGCCTCAGAAGTCAGGTTTGGATGTTTGAGCTCTAAGCTGCAGGATTTGGGGAGCCGTGGTGTGGGGGTGATTTATTTATTTATTTTTGAGAAAGAGTCTCACTCTGTCGCCCAGGCTGGAGGGCAATGGTGTGATCTTGGCTCACTGCAACCTCCACCTCCCAGGTTCAAGTGATTCTCCTCCCTCAGCCTCCCGAGTAGCTGGGACTACAAGAGCCCGACACCACGCCCAGCTAATTTTTGTATTTTCTTTTGAGTAGAGACGGGGTTTCACCATGTTGGCCAGGCTGGTCTCGAACTCCTGACCTCAGGTTATCCACCTGCCTTGGCTTTCCAAAGTGCTGGGATTACAGGTGTGAACCATGCCTGGCCGGAGTGGGGATGATTCAAACAGTGGATATTCGCATAGAATGTGCCCATTCCTATGGTGTAAATAGTCCCACCGCATCTGATTTCTTTTTTCTTCTTTTTTTTTTGTTTTTTGTTTTTTTGTTTTTGAGATAGAGTCTTGCTCTGTTGCCCAGGCTGGAATGCAGTGGCACAATCTCAGCTCACTGCAACCTCCACCTCCTGGGTTCCAAGCAGTTCTCCCTGCCTCCGCTGCCTGAGTAGCTCGATTACAAGTGCCCACCACCAAGCCCAGCTAACTTTTGTATTTTTAGTAGAGATGGGGTTTGGCTGTTTGCCAGGCTGGTCTTGAACTCCCGACCTCAGATGATTTGCCCGCCTCGGCCTCTTACAGTGCTGGGATTACAGGTGTGGGCCACCGCACCTGGCCCACAGCTGATTTCAAGTCATCATAAGTATCCTCACTTTCCTTGCCTCCAGTCCACCCAGCAAAAGCACAACTAACATCAGAGAGCTCAGGCACGGGGATAACCATAAGGTCCTATGTAATCTGCATCTCCCTTCCTGCCTTGGCCATGCTGGCCACAGGCAGCAGGAAGGGGCAGAGGAAGGAGCTGGGCGAGGATGTGGCCTCAGCTGGAGTTTACTTAGAGATTAGCTCCATGGAGAAAAATAAAGTGGAGTAACATGCTAGCAAGTTTTTATTTAAAACTTTAAAAATAAAAAAGTTTTTGAGGCCGGGCATGGTGGCTAATGCCTGTAATCCCAGCACTCCGGGAGGCCGAGGCAGGCGGATCACAAGGGCAGGAGATCGAGACCATCCTGGCTAACACGGTGAAACCCCGTCTCTACTAAAAATATAAAAAATTAGCCGGACATGGTGGCAGGCGCCTATAGTCCCAACTATTCGGGCAGCTGAGGCAGGAGAATGGCGTGAACCCGGGAGGCGGAGCTTGCAGTGAGCCGAGATCGCACCACTGCACTCCAGCCTGGGCATTACAGTGAGACTGTCTCAAAAAAAAAAAAAAAAAAAGAAAAGTAAAAAAAGAACAGAATGCTTTGGCATATTTAAAAATGGTTCCTGCCGGGCACAGTGGCTCATGCCTGTAATCCCAGCACTTTGGGAGGCTGAGGCGGGTGGATTACGAGGTCAGGAGATCGAGACCATCCTGGCTAACACGGAGAAACCCCGTCTCTACTAAAATAGTACAAAAAAATTAGCCAGGCGTGGTGGCGGGCGCCTGTAGTCCCAGCTACTCGGGAGGCTGAGGCAGGAGAATGGCGTGAACCCAGGAGACGGAGCTTGCAGTGAGCCGAGATCGTCCCACTGCACCCCAGCCTGGGCGACAGAGCGAGACTCTGCCTCAAAAAAAGAAAGAAAGAAAGAAAGAAAGAAAGAAAGAAAGAAATCTAGCCCCTTCCTCAGGGCCGAGAGAATTTTGAGCACTAGCCTTCTCTCGGTCGCCTGAATTCATCTCAGAGTGTGGCATTTCTCTGCAACTCACTCGGTTACAACACGGGGTGTGGATTATTCAGGAGTGTTCTGGGAAGGGGTTGAGGATTTTCCAGAACTAAGGGTTCCTCGCCTTTCTAGACTCTCTAGGATAGCTTCCGGACATTGCCATGGCATCTGTAAACTGTCATGGCGCTTGCGGGAGTTTCTTTTAGCAGCTAATACATGATAATTAGTGTATAATAAGAATGAACAATGAGGACAACCACAGGTCAGTTTTGTCGCCATCTTGGTTTTGGTGGGATTTGGGCTGGCTTCTCTACCGCAGCCTGTTTAATCAGTAGGGTCTTTATGACCTGTATCTTGTGTCGACCTCCTATCTCATCCTGTGACTAAGAATGCCTGATCTCCCGGGAATGCCCAGCAGGTCGCAGCCTCATGTTACCCAGCTCCTGTTCAAGATGGAGTCACACTGGTTCAAACTCCTCTGACAAGTTTGTAAAACTTATGAAACTGCGGGGGCTGCCCTAAGACTTCTGCACACTGAGTCTTGAGCGATTCGTCAATTACCGTTCAGGTTTTTCTACCCCGGTACTGGTTCCTGAGGTGTTTTCTGCTCCAGTAAACCGACACTCTCTCTCTGACTCTCCAATTCATAACAAAACATTTCATGACACGAAACACAAACATACATAAAATGTACTTTTTTTTTTTTTGAGATGGAATCTCACTCTGTCACCCAGGCTGGAGTGCAGTGGCGGGATCTCAGCTCACTGCAACCTCTGCCTCCCGGGTTCAAGCAATTCTCCTGCCTCAGCCTCCTGAGTAGCTGAGATTACAGGCACGTGCCACTATGCCTGGCTAATTTTTTGTACTTTTAGTAGAGACGGGTTTCACCATGTTGGTCAGGCTGGTCTCGAACTCCTGACCTCATGATCCACCTGCCTCAGCCTCCCAAAGTGCTGGGATTACAGGCGTGAGCCACCATGCCCAGCAAAATGTACCTCTTTTACCATTTTCTTTTTTTGAGATAGGATCTTGCTCTGTTGCCTGGGCTAGAGTGTAGTGGCACGATCACAGTTCACTTCAGGCTCAACCTCACCAGGCTCAAGCGATCCTCCTCCGTCAGCCTCCTGAGTAGCTTGGATTACAGGCACCAGACACCACACCCAGGGCAGCTGTTTGCCCTGTGTCCTTGTAACTACCCAGTGGGTTCACCTTGCTCTCCGCCTAGACAGAGTCAATTTCTCAAGACAGGAATTGCAGTAGAGAAAGAGTAATTCACACAGAGCCGGCTGTGTGGGAGACTGGAGTTTTATTAATCAAATCAGTCTCCTTGAGCTTTCTGGGAGCAGAGCTTTTAAGGACAACTTGGTGGGTTGGGAGAAGCCAGCGAGCCAGGAGTGCTGATCGGTCATGGATGAAATCACAGGGAGTCAAAGCTGTCTTCTTGCACTGAGTCAGTTCCTGGTGGGGGACCACAAGATCTCATGAGCCAGTTTATCAATCTGGGTGGTGCCAGCTGATCCATCAAGTGCAGGGTTTGCAAAATATCTCAAGCCCTGATCTTAGGAGCAATTTAGGGAGGGTCAGAATCTTTTAGCCTCTAGCTGCATGCCTCCTAAACCATCATTTCTAATCTTGGGGCTAATTTGTTAGTCCTACAAAGGCAGTCTAGTGCCCAAACAAGAAGGAGGTTTGTTTTGGGAAAGGGCTGTTATCGTCTTTGTTTTAAACTATAAAGTTCCTCCCAAGGTTACTTCCGCCTATGCCCAAGAATGAACAAGGACAGCTTGGAGGTTAGAAGCAAGATGGAGGCCAGGCGCGGTGGCTCACGCCTGTAATCCTAACACTTTGGGAGGCCAAGGCAGGTGGATCACCTGAGGTTGGGATTTCGAGACCAGCCTGACCAACATGGTGAGGTGAGAGGATGGCTTCAGCACAGGAGGCTGAGGCTGCAGTGAGCTATGATTGTACCATTGCACTCCAGCCTGGGCAACAGAGCAAGACCCTCATCCCAAAACAAAAGCAAAAATAATAATAATAATAAACCCCAACCCTCACCCAGTCTGTAGTACTTAGTTATGGCATTCCTAACAGACCAATACAGTGAAACTAGGTCTATCGCCAGAAAAGCCCATTCTGTGGGCTAACAGAATATATTGTCCCTTATTTTTTTATTTTTTTTGACAGAGTATCGCTCTGTCACCCAGGTTGGAGTGCAGTGGTGTGATCTTGGCTCACTGCAACCTCCACCTCCTGGGTTCAAGCAATTCTTCTGCCTTAGCCTCCTGAGTAGCTGGGATTACAGGCATCCACCACCATGCCTGGCTAATTTCTGTATTTTTAGTAGAGATGTGTTGTCACCACATTGGCCAGGCTGGCCTTGAACTCCTGACCTGTGATCCGCCCACCTCAGCCTCCCAAAGTGCTGGGATTACAGGCATGAGCCACCGTGCCCAGTCTATTGCCCGTTATTTAGGCTGTATCTTTGTGTAGCTCCTCCACTTCCCAGAACCCTCTATCTTCTCAGAGGCTTAGGCCTGGAGATCCATTTTCTTTCTCTAGATTCTTTGAGACCCACTTCCTTCAAATTCAGCTCCCCGTCTGCCTGGTCTCAGGGGCCCTATCTTTGGGGATGAATAAGATGATTTATTATTTTTTTCTTCAGTCATTTTGCACTTTCACATATTCTTCTGGGTCATCTTCTCATAATGTCCAAAGACAGTCTAGACTATCAGTTCCTCTAGCTGGTTCTTCTGCCCCCTGTGAGATGCAAGGATAAGTAAAACCATTCGGGGAACTGGCTTGGAGCTCAGCCAGAAACCCTTGCAGAAATTGGCAGAGGGAGAATCTGTGCACAGCAACGCTTGCAGACGTTAGGTGTCCCTTGCAAAGGGAGTGGATAAACACACAGCTGCCCACTGTGTAAGTTCACCAGCCTGTGCCCCGAGCTCTAAACAGGACTGGGGAAAGGTTTCCAAGATGTATTTCTTATCAGCAGCCTGCAGTTAGGAAACAAAAATTGCAACAGTTTTTGTTGCTTTATTTTAGTTTTTAAGGAAGTATATGGTTAGATTGTTGCTAAGGTTTATAAGGTCATATGTCTTTTTCTTTTTTTCTTTTTTCTTTTTTGAGATGGAGTATTGCTCTGTTGCCCAGGCTGGAGTGCAGTGGCATGATCTCAGCTCACTGCAACCTCCACCTCTGGGGTTCAAGCAATTCTCTTGCCTCAGCCTCCTGAGTAGCTGGGATTACAGGTATGCACCACCACACTCGGCTAATTTTTGTATTTTTAGCAGAGACAGAGCTCCACCATGTTGGCCAGGCTGGTCTCGAACTGTGGGCGGAGGATTACCTATGTGCCGAGTCAAGAGACTGAAGGCACAAACTGTTTCAGTATAATAAAGAAAATAGTTAGAATAGTCATAATACAAGTTAGATATAGAGATGATCATGAACAGTTATTAATCATTATTATAAACATTAATCATTAGCTTTTAATATTACTCTTTGTTGCATTACTAATATAACCTAGGAATAACCGGCGGATATAGGGTCAGGTGCTGAAGGGACATTGTGAGAAGTGACCTAGAAGGCAAGAGGTGAGCCCTCTGACATGCCCGCATAAGGGCTGCTTGAGGGCTCCTTGGTCAAGCGGTAACGCCAGTGTCTGGGAAGGCACCCGTTACTTGGCAGACCGCGAAAGGGAGTCTCCTTTCCTTGGAGGAGTCAGGGAACGCTCTGCTCCACCAGCTTCTTGTGGAAGGCTGGATATTATCCAGGCCTGCCCGCAGTCATCCGGGGGCCTAAACCCCTCCCTGTGGTGCTGTGCTTCAGTGGTCACTCTCCTTGTCCACTTTCATGCTCCTCCAGTACTCCTGGTTCCTCTTTGAAGTTCACAGTAGATAGTGGTAGCAGAAATAGTGAAAGTCTTAAAGTCTTTGATCTTTCTTATTAGTGCAGAGAAGAAAACGCTGACGTATGCTGCCTTCTCTCTCTGCTACCTAAAAGGTAAGGGCCCCCTATCCTGTCATCATCCTGTAATCACGTGACTTGCCTCACCTTGTCGATCACTTAGAAGATTCACCCTCCTTACCCTGCCCCCTTGTCTTGTATGCGGTAAATATCCGCGTGCGCAGCTGTTCCGGGCTACTACCAGTCTCCGCATCTTGATGGTAGTGGTCCCCCGGGCCCAGCTGCTTTCTCTTTATCTCTTTATCTTGTGTCTTTATTTATTACAATCTCTCATCTCCGCACACGGGGAGAACACCCGCTAAGCCCCATAGGGCTGGACCCTACATTGAACTCCTGACCTCAGGTGATTCACCCGCCTCGGCCTCCGAAAGTGCTGGGATTACAGGCGTGAGCCACCGCACGCGGCTGGTCACATGTCTTCAACATTGTGCAATGAGATCAACTCTATATTAAAAGAAATTTAAGAGATCACATTTCATTGGAGATGTACAAAACCAATGTCATTAGGTCCCTTTATATGGCACACACAATAAAACAATTTGATTCCTCCATTTAGCAGGCAGCATAAAATAATTTGGTTGCTTTGTAGAACATGCACTGACGAATAACGTGGTCCCCTCATGCAGAATGCACCATAAAATAATTGGACAGGATGGTGGGTGCTGTTTTATTTTGGGGCCTATTTTATCAACTTCATTGAGGAATAATTTGTGTACAACAAATGGCATGCTTTGGCAGTGTACAATGTGATGTTTTGACAAGCACTGTTAACAATGCTACAGTAAAAATATGGATCAGTCCGGGCACGGTGGTTCATGCCTGTAATCCCAGCACTTTGGGAGGCCAAGGTGGGCAGATCGTTTGAGGTCAGGAGTTGGAGACGAGCTTGGCCAACATGGTGAAACCCCGTCTCGACTAAAAATACAAAAATTAGCTGGGCATGGTGGTGCGCGCTTGTAATCCCAGCTACTTGGGAGGCTGAGGCAGGAGAATTGCTTGAACCCAGGAGGCAGAGGTTGCAGTGAGCCGAGATTGCACCACTGCACTCCAGCCTAGGCAACAGAATAAGACTCCATCTTAAAGAATATACATAGATCATTTCCATCATTCCCCTAAGTCCCCTGGGACCCTCTTGTAATTCATCCTTCCCTCCACCCCGGCCCTAGGTAACCACTGATTTGCTTTCTCTACCCCTAACCATATATGGTTTGTGTTTTCTAGAATTTCAAATACATAGAGTGGTTAATTTTATATGTCAACTTGTCTAGACTGTGGGAAGGTATTTTTAAGCTATGATTAATGTTTATAGTCAGTTGACTTTCAGTAAATTAGATGACTCTCTATAAAGTAAGTGGGCCACTTCTAATCAATTGAATTCCTTAGGAGCAAAGATAGGTTTCCCGAAGAAGAAGGAATTCTGACTTCAGACTTTAACATAGAGATATAGAAATTCTGCCTGTGAATTGCAACAAAAGCAAAAATTGACCAATGGGATCTAATTAAACTAAAGAGTTTCTGCACAGCAAAAGAAACTGTCATCAGAGTGAACAGGCAATGGCCGGACCTGGTGACTCACGCCTGTAGTCCCAGCACTTTGGGAGGCTGAGGAGAGTGGATCATGAGGTCAAGAGTTTGAGACCAGCCTGGCCAACATGGTGAAACCCTGTCTTTACTAAAAATATAAAAATTAGCGGGGCGTGGTGGTGGGTGCCTGTAATCCCAGCTACATGGGAGGCTGAGGCAGGAGAATTGCTTGAAGCTGGGAGAAGGAGGTTGCAGTGAGCCGAGATTATGCCACTGCACTCCAGCCTGGGTGACAGAGCAAGACTCCATCTCAAACAAACAAAAAATTAACTGGGCATGATGGCACATGCCTGTAGTCCTAGCTACTGGGGTGGCTGAGGTGGGAGGATCACTAGAGCCCAGGAGGCTGAGGCTGCAGTGCCGAGATTGTGCCACTGCACTCCAGCCTGGGCAACAGAGCAAGACTCTGTCTCAAAAAACAAAACAAAACAAAAACAAAAGCAACAAACAAACAAAAAACGAGTGAACAGGCAACCTACAGAGTGGGAGAAAATCTTTGCAATTTATCCATCTGACAGAGGTCGAATATCCAGAATCTACAAGAAACTCAAACAAATTTACAAGAAAAAGACAAACAACACCATTGAAAAGTGGGCAAAGGACATGAACAGACACTTCTCAAAAGAAGACATTCATGCAGTCAACAAAAATATGAAGAAAAGCTCAACATCAATGATCATTAGAGAAATGCAAATTGAAACCACAATGAGATACCATCTCATGCCAGTCAGAATGACCACTATTAAAGAGTCAAGAAACAATAGATGCTGGCGAGGTGGCAGAGAAATAGGAATGTTTTTACACTGTTGGTGGGAAAGTACATCAGTTCAGCCCTTGTGGAAGATGGTGTGGTGATTCTTCAAAGATCTAGAACCGGAAATACCATTTGGCCCAACAATCCCATTACTGCAAATATACCCAAAGGAATATAAATGATACTATTACAAAGATACATGTATGTGTACTTTCATTGCAGCACTACTCACATAGCAAGGACATGGAATCTACCCAAATGCCCATCAATGATAGACTGGATTAAGAAAATGTGGTACATATATACCATGGAATACTATGCAGCCATAAAAAGGAATGAGATCGTGTCCTTTGCAGGGACACGGATGAAGCTGGAAGGCATTATCCTCAGCAAACTAACGCAAGAACAGAAAACCAAATACCACATGTTCTCACTTATAGTGGGAGCTGAAAAATGAGAACATATGGACACAGGGAGGGGAACAACACACACTGAGGCCTGTCAGGGGGTGGGGTTGGGAGAGGGAAAGTATTAGGAAAAATAGTGAACTCATGTTGGGCTTAATACCTAGGCGACAGATTGATAGCTGCAGCAAACCACCATGGCACATGTCTACCTGTGTAACAAACTTGCACATCCTGCACATGTACCCCAGAACTAAAAATACACATTTAAAAATGTTTTTAAAAAGAAACAAGGCTGGGTGCGGTGGCTCACACCTGTAATCCCAGCACGTTGAGAGGCCGAGGTGGGTGGATCACCTGAGGTCAGGAGTTCAAGATCAGCCTGGCCAACATGGTGAAACCCCATCTCTACCAAAAATACAAAATTAGCTGGGTATGGTGGCACATGCCTGTAGTCCCAGCTACTCGGGAGGCTGAGGCAGGAGAATTGCTTGAACCCGGGAGGCGGAGGTTGCGGTGAGCCGAGATCACGCCATGGCACTCCAGCCTGGGCAACCCAAGAGTGAAATTCCCTCTCGGGGAAAAAAAAAAAAAGAAAAAGAAACAAAGCTGGGTGTGGTGGCTCACGCCTGTAATCCCAGCACTTTGGGAAGCCAAGGTGGGTGGATCACCTTGAGGTCAGGAGTTCGAGACCAGCCTGGCCAACATGGTGAAACCCCATTTTTAATCTCTACTAAAAATACAAAAGTTAGCCGGGCGTGGTGGTGCATGCTTGTAATCCCGGCTATTCAGGAGGCTGAGGCGAGAGAATCGCTTGAACCCAGGAGGCAGAGGTTGCAGTGAGCCAAGATTGCGCCATTGCACTCCAGCCTGGGTGACAGAGTGAGACTCTGTCTCAAAAAATAAATAAAATAAAATAAAATAAATTTTAAAAGAAGAAAGACATTTTGCCTGTGCTTTAAGCCTTTGGGCCCAAGACTGCAGTATCACCTCTTACCTGAATCTGCAGCCTGTCAGATTGCCTTAGGGATTTCGGACTTGTAACCCCTACAATCCCGTGAGCCAGTTCCTTAAAATCACTCTCTCTCTCTTTCTGACTCTCTGTCTCCCTCTCTCTGTCTCTCTGTTTCTCCTCTTAGTTTTGTTTCTCTGGAGAATCTTGGATAATACAAGATCCTTTTAGTTTATTCCCTCTTTGTGTCTGGCTTCTTTTCTGTCTTTTTTCAAAAATTTGCATGAATGTATGAGGTACAAGTCCAGTTTTGGTACATGGATTACTGCTTAGTGGTGAAGTCTGGGCTTTTAGTGTAGCCATCACCCGAGCCATGTACATTGAACCCACTAAGTAATTTCTCATCCCTCACTCCCCTTCCACCCTTCCAAGTCCCCAGTGTCTATTATTCTACACTCTACGTCCATGTGCACGCATTATTTAGCTCCTATTTATAAGTGAGACTATGTGGATTTGACTTTCTGTTTCTGAGTTGTTTTATTTAAGATAACGGCCTTCAGTTCCATCCAGGTGTTACCAAAGACATGATCTCATTCTTTTTTATGGCTGAGTAGTATTCCACAGTTCATATATGTGGGGGGTTCAGTCAGAGTGGTTGGAAAAACTATAAGGAAAGGACTCAAACCTTCTGAAAGTTTGGAAGGTTCTGCAGAGCCCCGGGGGAGGAATAGCTGAAGGCAGCTGTTCTATAACCCTGAGGCAGAGGGCAAGGAGTAGGTACAAGGGAGTGTGGGCGAATTTATCTTAAGCAGGCCTGTTTACTTACGTTGACCAGGAACTGACTTTTGATCATCTGCCTATGTGATGTTCCCTGAAAGGGGAGCAATAAATGTTAATTACCTACAGGTTGTGTGTACTCCATGTTTTTGGCATTGTGCCCACACTGAACAAATGCAAGCAGCTCCAGCTTCTCGGGGCTGCTCTCTGGCCGCTAGAGCCAGGCAGTCACCTGGCTGCTCTTACACTGCATACCTGTGTCTGACTACTCATTTCATCCCATCGGCCAGGGTCTGCGGGACAGACCCAGTACACATACACCACATTTTCTTTATCCAGTTGTCTGTAGATAAGACACTTGGACTGATTTCATATCTTTGCTCTTGTGAATAGTGCTGTGATAAACCTACAAGTGTGGGTATTTTTTTGAGAAAATGATTTCTTTTCATCTGGGTAGAGTGGGACTGTCAGAACGCCTTCTCAATTTTTTTCTTTTTTTAGAGATGGGGTCTTCCTCTGTCACTCAGGCTGGAGTGCAGGGGTGCAATCATGGCTCACTGCAGCCTCAAATTCCTGGGCTCAAGCGATCCTCCTACCTCAGCCTCCCAAGTAGCTGGGACTACAGACTTGTAGTAATTTTTGTATTTTTAGTAGAGACGGGGTTTCACCATGTTGGTCAGGCTAGTCTCAAACTCCTGACCTCAAGTGATCTACCCACCTCGGCCTCCCAAAGTGCTGGGATTACAGGCATGAGCCATCACACCTGGCTCCCTCTTCTGACTTTTTGCTCTGTATCCTTTCACTGTAACAAATCATAACCATTAGCAAGACTATATGCTGAGTCTTCTTAGAGAATCATTGAGCTTGGGGAGGGGGGTCTCCGGGACGCCTGATAAACCACCCCTACCTTTAAAGAAAGAGCCTTAGGAGCCATAGATAAACCATGAAGTCTTTGGAGGACAATGAAGTCTTTGCATCCACCTCCCTCTTAGAAACCCTGATTCTTTTCTCCTGCAAAAGGGCAGCTGCTGTTCATTTCTCACCCCCTCAAGAATTGTGGTCTTCCTTCTGGGGAAGCGGGGTAGGGATGCAAAGTTCAGTAGATTCATCTATTTCTCTTCCCTTCTTTTTCCTCATTTGTTTCTTTATTTTCTAGGATACAACAGCCAATGAAATTCTTTCCCTGCCCTGAGAAAATGCTCAGTTTTTTGAGGGAAACAGACATTCAAGCAAGCATAGATAATACTGACTATGGTGATGGGGGGGGAGGATGGAGGAGGCGCCTCACTCTCAAGTGGAAGTCAAGGAAGGCTTCCTGGAGGAGGTGATATTTACACAGAAAGGTTGTATAGGATTGGGGTGAATGTGCATTTCAGACTTGGTGTCAAGAGAGAACTGGGTTTGGTGGCACATGCCTGTAATCCCAGCACTTTGGGAGGCTGAGGCAGGAGGATCGTTTGAGCCCAGGAGTTTGAGACCAGCCTGGGCAATAAAGCAAGATCTCATCTCTAAAAGAGAAAAAAAAAAATTAGCAGGGTATGGTAGGGTATGCTTGTGGTCTCAGCTATTTAGGAGGCTGAGGTGGGAGGATTGCTTGAATTCAGGCAGTTGAGGCTGCAGTGAGCTGTGACTGAGCCGTTGCACTCCAGCCTGGGCAACAGAGCAAGTCCCTGTCTCAAAAAAAAGAAAAGAAAAAGAGAGAGAGTTTGAAGTAGAACTTGCTGTGAGGTTTCTTGTGCACAGGTGTTTTTGAGGGAGAAGATCAGGACAGAGCAAGGGAATGAGCTAAGCAAGGAAGTGGTCTTAGCTGGAGTCCAGCCTTAGCCGGATCCCATGGGGAGCCCTGGAGTGTGACTGGTGCCACCAGGTTGGTCTCACCCTGGGGGCATGGGGCTGGCCTTCTGCACCTCTGTGACCATCCGTTATGGCTGTGGGCTGGGTCTGAGGGTTTGCACAGTTGCTCAGCTGAGGAGAAGGGGGAAGCTGTGAGCTATGAGCTATTGTAGGCAGCACTCACTCACAGCAGCCCCAGGATGGGTGCACCAGCCTGGGAAAGGTCAGTGAGCAGAGCGTTGACTGCACCCACAACAGGGACTTCAAGTATTTTATAATCACTGGGGGGCTTTTTGTTGTTGTTTTTTTGAGACAGGGTCTCACTCTGTTGCCCAGGCTGGAGTGTACTGGTGCCATCACGGCTCACTGTGACCTTGACCTCCTGGGCTCAAGCAATCCTCCCGAGTAGCTGGGACTACAGGCATACACCACTAGGCCTGGCTTATTAAAAATTTTCTTTTATAGAGATGGGGTTTCTCCATGTTGCTCAAGCTGGCCTTGAACTCCTGGGCTCAAACAGTCCTCCCACCTTGGCCTCCTGAGTAGCTGGGACCACAGGTGTGCACCAGCCACTATGCCCAACTAATTAAAAAAAAATTTTTTTCTGTAGATTCAGGATCTCAGTATGTTGCCTTGAACTCCTGGGCTCAAGCGATCCTCCTGCCTTGATTTCCCAAAGTGGTGGGATTACAGGCATGAGCCACTGTGTCTAGCTGATCACTAGGGCTTTAGGGGGAGTGGAGATCAATAAAACAAGATGGGGAGACCAGAGTCAGACTACGTAGAGCCTTGAGTGCCATATTAATAAGCCTGAACTTCATCCTGAGGGCAATAGGGAGCCATGGAAGGGTTTAGAGTCTAAGCAGGGCGTGGACAGGTTAGGCAGGGATTCCCCAACTTCCCTGCCCCTTCCCGGCACTCTGTGTGACGGTAAGTGATGTTCCTGCAGCTCCCCAGGCTGATTTCTTCAATCTTGAGAGTCCCTTGTATTCCCCTTTGCTAGGGAAGTCATTAGGGGTTAGATTTTGTAAGCTTCTTGGCCAGAATTGTTGATTTCCTCTTCCACATCTTTCCCCTTCCTGTTCTTACACCCCCACCCGCAACTCTGCAGGGCCGCTGCAGGACAGTCTTTATATAGCTTCGGTCACCTCTGTGGGTTTGAAGGGTGTCTGGAGTCTTGGGTTTTCAGTGTCTCACTAGGACCCGATACCCTGCCTGTGGTAGGTGGGATAAAGGGCCTCCTCTCCCTCCACGAGGCACCTACAGCCTAATCCCTAAAGCCCAAGGATGTGTTCCCTTCTATGACAAAAGGGACTTTTGCAGATGGGATTCAGTTAAGGGCTATTTTTTTGGGGGGGAGGTGGGGGGAGTGGGGACAGAGTCTTACTCTGCTGCCCAGGCTGGAGTGCAATGGCACGATCTCAGCTCACTGCAACCTCTGCCTAATGTCATTACAAGAATTCTTACGAGAAGGAGACAGGAGGATCAGGGAGAGAGAGAGAGATGGAGAGATAGAGATACACAGAGAGTGAGAGAGAGAGAAAGAATGAGAGAGAACGAGAGAGAGAGAGAGAGAACAAGAGCAATAAGGAGAGTGAACAAGACAGACAGAATGGGCCAGGCGCAGTGGCTCGCGCCTGTAATTCCAGCACTTTGGGAGGCCGAGGCGGGCGGATCACTTGAGGTCAGGAGATTAAGGCCAGTCTAGTCAATATGGTGAAACCCCATCTCTACTAAAAATACAAAAGTTAGCCAGGTATGGTGGCAGATGCCTGTAATCCCAGCTACTCGGGAGGCTGAAGCAGGAGAATCGCTTGAACCCGAGAGACGGAGGTTGCAGTGAGCCGAGATCGTACCACTGCACTCCAGCCTGGGTGACAGACTGAGACTCTGTCTCAAAAAAAAAGGAGAAAAAAAAAAGAGAGAATGAAAGAGCAAGAGGGAGGGAAAAATGAGAGAATAAGCAAGAGAGAGAACTTGAGAGAGAGACAGACAGAGAAAAAGAGAGAGAATGAGAGAGCAAGAGAGAGGGAAAATGAGAGAGAGAGAGAGAGCAAGAACGAGAGATTTAGAGTACGCAAGAGACATTTGAAACTGCTAGCTGCTGGCTTTGCATAGGAAGGAAGGGACCATGAGCCAGGGCATGTGGGTTGCCTCCAGAAGCCAGAAAGGACAAGGAATGGATTCTGCCCTGGAGCCTCGGGAAGGATTGCAGCCCTGCTGGCATCTTGGTTTTAGTCCCATGAGACTCGAGAGGACTCTGACCTCTGGACCCATCATATACTAAATCTGTGTTTTCCCCAAGCTGCCAGGTCCGTGGCAAGCCTCATCCCATCCCCATCCCCAGAAGGGATCTGGGTTTGATTGCAAAACCTTCCAACTCTTTAGCCCAGCCTCCAAATGTCGAATCCTTCTTCTGTCTCAAACTCCCCTGCTACATCTAGACAGTCCCCAAATTCGGTTGTTCCTGCCTCCTAAATTCTCCGTCACTATAGCCCCTGCCCCAGACCAGGCCACTGTTCTCTTCTCTCTCCTGGCTGTATCCCCAGCCTCCTCCCTATCTGCCCACCTGTGAACCCATCCTGTCCAATACCCACCTACAAAACACAAACATAAAATTCCAACCTGAGCCTGTGGCTCCTTTGCTGAACCTCCTTTTATTGCCCCGAGGGTAAAGCCTAAACTCTTTCACCCACCTTATAAGGTTCTGTCTGATATGAAATTTGCTGGCTTCTCCAATTCAAATTTTGCTGGTATCAGGATTTTTTCTATGAGTAGCTGCAACTATTTAGCATGGTGGAATAATAATAATACCAATAATAACTAATAGTATTTAAGCATTTAATCTGTGCCAGGCACAGTTTTATTATTGTATCACCTTAACCCTCAAACTCCATGAAGTTAGACCCTTTATTTATTTATTTATTTATTTATTTTTGAGACAGAGTCTCGCTCTGTCACCCAGGCTGGAGTGCAGTGGTGTCATCTTGGCTCACTGCAACCTCCGCCTCCCAGATTCAAGTGAGTCTCCTGCCTCAGCCTCCCGGGTAACTGGAACTACAGGCGTGTGCCCCCATGCCTGCATAGTTTTTTGTATTTTTAGTAGAGACGGGGTTTTACCATGTTAGCCGGGCTGGTCTCAATCTCCTGACCTCATGATCCACCCGCCTTGGCCTCCCAAAGTACTGGGATTACAGGCATGAGCCACCACACCTGGCCCTAGTTAGACACATTATTACCCTCATTTTATTAATGGTGAAAACTGCTTCTTAGGTGTATTGGTTATCTCTTGCTGTGTATCAAATTACTCCAAAACTTAGCAGCTTAAAATAGGGAACTTTTAGTCTCTTACAGTTTCTGAGGATCAGGAGTCTGGGGGTGGCTGAGCTGAATAATTCTGGCTCAAGCTCTTGCTTGAGGTTATAGTCAAGCCATTGACCAGGGCTGGCTCATCTGAAAGTTCGACTGGGGTGGGAAGATTTGCTTCCAAGGCAGCTCACTCACATGACTGTTGGTGGGAGGCTCAGTTCCTCCACAGCACTGCTTGAATCTCCTTACAACATGGCGACTGGCTACTCCCCAGTGCATGACCCTGGAAAGAGAGAGCAACGAGGATGCCACAATGGCACGTATGACCTAGTCACAAACTGTCATGTGCTCCTTTTTCTGATCAATAGAAACAAGTCACACTGGGCATAGTGTCTCATACGTGTAATCCCAGCACTTTGGGAGGCTGAGGCAGGAAGACCACTTGGGCCCAGAGTTCAAGACCAGCCTGGGCAACATAGCAAGATCCTATCTCTGCAAACAAACAAAAAGTCAGCTGGGTGTGGTGGCACATGCTTGTCATCCCAGCTACTTGGGAGGCTCATGTAGGAGGATCACTTGAGCCCAGGACTTGGAGGCTGCAATGAGCTATGATCATGCCACTGTACTCCAGCCTGGGCAACAGAGCAAAATTCTGTCTTAAAAAAAAAAGAGAGAGAGAGAGAGAGAGAGAAACAAGTCACTAAGTCTATGTTCAAGGAGAGAGGGATTAGTCTCTACCACCTGAAGAGTATGAAAGAACTGATGGATATGTTAAAACCACCACATTGGTCTTCCTGCCTCTAGAGTCCACACTCCTGGATACACTGAACAAGGATTATAGGAGAAAGTGCAAGCCTCTGGCAGTCACTTCTAGTAGATAACATTACCTGAAAGGGAATTATGGGGGGAGGAGGAGAGCGAGGACCAATATCACCAGGGGATGGGAGGTGGGAGGGGAGAGCTACATCTGTGGTCTCTGCAGAGCAGACACTTTTCCAGGGAAACCCTTTTCTTTCTAATCTTTGTGAGTCCCCCAGTGGATATTTGTGTATCTGAGACCTATGAGATACTCGTCCTATGAGACCTCATAGGACGCTGAGACCCCACATTCAGCATTCTATGATCAGGAGCATATGGAGAAGATGTGGGTGCAGAGACATTGCTCAAAGAATACAAAGTTTCAGTTGAACAAGAGGAATATGTTCGAGAGATCTATTGTACAACATGGTGACTGTAGTTAATAACAATGAACAATGTAGCATATCCTTGAAAATTGCTAAGAGGGTAGATGTAACTATTCTTACCACAAAAAAATGACGTGCATGCAAAGGAACAGATAGGTTTATTGCCTCGATTTAGCCATTCCACCACATATACGTATCTCAGAACACCATGTTGTACACCATAAATATATACAATTTAATTTGTCAATTCAAAAAAGAATTTTTTTTTTTTTTTTGACAGAGTCTTGCTCTGTCGCCCAGGCTGGAGTGCAATGGTGCAGTCTAGGCTCACTGCAACCTCTGCCTCCCAGGTTCAAGCAATTCTCCTGCCTCAGCCTCCATGTACCTGAGATTACAGGCACCCACCAGCACACCCAGCTAATTTTTGTATTTTTAGTAGAGACGGGGTTTCACCATGTTGACCAAGCTGATCTCAAACCCCTGACTTCGTGATCCACCCGCCTCGGCCTCTGAAAGTGCTGGGATTACAGGTGTGAGCCACTGTGCCTGGCCCAAAAACGGAAAAGAAAAAAAGAGAGCACATAGACCTCACATATTAACTAGGGGAAATAAGAAGTCAAAATAAACCAAGGCTCAGAAGCCAACGAATTAGAGCTGGTGTTTCTCATAGGTCTCAGACACCCAAATATCCACCTGCAGGCTTTTTTTTTTCTTTTTTTTTGAGACAGGGTCTCACTCTGTCACCCAGGCTGGAGTGCAGTGGTACAATCTCAGCTCACTGCAACCTTCTCCTCCTCCCGGGTTTAAGCGATTCTCCTGCTTCAGCCTCCCAAGTAGCTGAGACTACAGGTGTGCACCACCATGCCTGGCTAACAAAGATTGTAAAGAAAAGGATTTCCCTGGACAAGTGTCTGCTCTGCAGAGACCACAGATGTAGCTCTCCCTGCTCACCTCCCATCCTCTGGTAACATTAGTCCTCGCTCTCCTTCTACCCCCAGAATTCCCTTTCGGGTAATGTTATCTACTGGAATGGACTGCCAGAGGCTTGCACTTTTTCCTATAATCCTGGACTCTGGATACAGCGTGGAACAGAAAAATGTAGAAGGAAGCTGGGTGCGGTGGCTCACACCAGCAATCCCAGCACTTTGGGAGGGTATCGTGGGAGGATTGATTGAGCCCAGGAGTTCAGGACCAGAGACCAGCCTGGGCAACATTACCAGACTCCATCTCTACCAAAAAGTGTTAAAAAAAAAATTAGCCAGGCATGGTAGCAGGTGCCTGTAGTCCTGCTACTCAGGAGGCTGAGGTGGGAGGACTGCTGAAGCCCAGGAGATGGAGGCTGCAGTAAGCTGTGATTGCACCACTGCACTCCAGCCTGGGCAACAGAGCGAGACTCTCTAAAAGAAATAAAAATTTTTTAAAAATTTAAAAATTACAGAGGGGGCCGGGCCTGGTGGCTCATGCCTGTAATCCTAGCACTTTGGGAGGCTGAGGTGGGTGGATGACAAGGTCAAGAGATAGAGACCATCCTGGCCAACATGGTGAAACCCTTCTCTACTAAAAATACAAAAATTAGCTGGGCATGGTGGCATGTGCCTTTAGTCCCAGCTACTTGGGAGGCTGAGGTGGGAGAATTGCTTGAACCCAGGAGGCGGAGGTTGCAGTGAGCCGAGATCGCGCCACTGCACTCCAGCCTGGCAACAGAGCAAGATTTGGTCTCAAAAAACAAACGAAAAAATTGCAGAGGGAATCCTAGAGCTGTGGAAGTCTGGATAGGTGCCCTCTTCAGACAGCAGCTTCTTTCAAACTTAATGAGGCTTTGCACATGCTTTATTTTATTTTTCTTTTGTATTACCTTTTCTGCTAAGTGTGATTATCTCCTGCTCATTCTCCAGGGCTAAGCTTAGACGTTAGCTCCTTTGGGAGGCCATTCTCTCAACCCCCAACCTGGGTCAGGCCTCCTCTGGCCAAGTAATAGCTTCCTCACCTCTGGCTTTCTGTATCTTACAATGGGGAGGACAATCCTGTCTTTTCCCCAGCAACCCTGGGGTGTTGGGCGTGTGGACATCATCCATGCCTGATAACAATACCAACCATCTCAACCAAGGGAAATGAGAAGTCAAAAGACACCAAGAGTCAGAAGCCAACAAGTTAGAGCTGGTGTTTCTGTTTATGGAGCTCATGGCAGGCACTCACCTGCCGCATATGCTGAGCGGTTTCCAGCATCCCTACATGCTCAAGGATCCTGTGGGACAGGGCTGATCATTATCCCTATTCTCCTGATAAGAGACTGAGGCTCAGAGAGGTGAATCACCTCCTGTGGTCACTTTGGAAATACCTTACAGAGTCAGGATTTGAACCCATGGCTGTCTGAGTTCAGTTCCTGTCACTGCAATAACCAACACTTGGAACGTTGGGTGCCAGGCTCTGTTCTTGGTATGCCATATATACTCACTCCTCTGATGCCCACACCAGGTCCATGAGGCAGATCCTACTCTTTTTTTTTTGAGACAGAGTCTTGCTCTGTCACCCAGGCTGGAGTGCAGTGGCACAATCTCAGCTCACTGCAACCTCCACCTCCCGGGTTCAAGTGATTCTCCTGCCTTGGACTTCCAAGTAGCTGGGATTACAGGCACGTGTCACCACGCCCAGCTAATTTTTTGTAGTTTTAGTTGAGACGGGATTTCACCATGTTGGCCAGGCTGGTCTCGAACTTCTGACCTCAAGTGATCCACCCGCCTCCCAAAGTGTTGGGATTACAGGCATGAGCCACTGCTCCTGGGTGAGATCCTATTCTTAATGCGCCCATTTTACAGATGAGAATATTTGAGGCAAGCAGTGGAGGTGGGATTTGAACCTCTGGCAATATGTTTCCAGAGTTCATCTCCAGTGCTTCCGGAAACCACAATGCAGCTCTGTTTGTACCCCTTCCTGGTGGAATTTACTGTATTTTCATGCTGACTCTTAAGTTCAGCCTCTCCAGGCAGTGTCCCTTATTTTCCCCTTAAGAAAAAAAAAAAGTGCAACTGGCTGTCAGCACTTACTTAATTTTACATAAACACCCTTTTTGGGGCTGAAGCAAATCTGACTTCTTTTCTTTTTTTTTTCTTTTAGAAAAACACACTTTATTCATATTTCTTTGGGGTTTTGTTTTGTTGTTGTTGTTGTTTTTGTTTGTTTTTTGAGACCAAGTCTTGCTGTGTCACCCAGGCTGGAGTACAGTGGTGCGATCTCAGCTCACTGCAACGTCTGCCTCCCAGGCTCAAGCTATTCTCCTGCCTCAGCCTCCCAAGTAGCTGGGACTACAGGTACGTACCACCATGCCGGGCTAATTTTTGTATTTTTAGTAGAGACAGAGTTTCATCATGTTGGCCAGGCTGGTCTTGAACTCCTAGCCTCAGGTGATCCACCCACCTCGGCCTTCCAAAGTGCTGGGATTACAGGTGTGAGCCACCGTGCCCAGCCAAATCTGACTGATTTTCAATGTGAAAATAAAATATAAAAACAGTTCTTGGAGTTATTTCTAACCAGAACTAACATCAGAATCGTCAATTTTGGAAAAATTGGATTCATCAGATAAATTTTCAGCCAACAACTGTTTGAGAATGATAGTAACATCATGCGTAGGAATGCTACACTTTTCTAGGATCTGACATTTTCAGCAATCAAGAATTACTGTATTTTGTAAAATATACTATAGTATATAGTAAAAAATACCATATTTTGTAAAATATAGTAATCTGGAAATATCCCTACTAAAAACAGAACACTATAAATAGAATCATGTCTTTTGTTTTCAAAGTTGATACACTAGAGCAATGCAAAAATAATAATAAAGGTGAGATATTTCACGGCAAAGTTATCTCTGGGTAAATGCTGCAGCCACAAGCGCCACCAGCTAGTATTCTTGGGGCCAACGGGGAAAGAATGAAGGCACAAACAGAAAGCCACTGATGAATCTGGCTAGACGCGGTGTCTCAGGCCTGTAATCCCAACACTTTGGGAGGCCAAGGTGGGAGGATCACCTGAGGTCGGGAGTTCCAGACCAGCCTGGCCAACATGGTGAAACCTCGTCTCTACTAAAAATACAAAAGTTAGCTGGGCATGGTAATACACGCCTGTAATCCCAGAAACTACTCGGGAGGCGGAGGTTGCAGTAAGCCAAGATCACGCCACTGCACTCCAGCCTGGGTGACAGAGCGAGAGTCCATCTCAGAAAAAAAAATAAAATAAAATAAAAAAAGAAAGCCATTGGTGAATCTTTGTTCCAGTGACAATAACTCCAAAGCTGGTAGTTTGCTTTGCAAAGAACAAAAGGGGAAGGCAAAAACACGTGGAGCTTTTCTTTCTAAGAATTCGGGGATGTTCTATGCACCTCCTTTGTACCTTGTGACAGCTGCTATCAGTGGCTGCCCACACCCATAACCTAACAACACATTAATATGCCCTAGCTTAACGCTGATACGGGAGCTAGAAAGAAGTTATTTAGGCAGAGAGTGAGGGCAAGAGAGTCCTCGGTAAGGTTTGCCTTTTAATAAAAAGCAGCCCCCAAATCATTTATTTTATTTTATTTTTTTTTTTTTGAGACAGAGTCTTGCTCTGTCGCTCAGGCTGGAGTACAGCGGCACAATCTCGGCTCACTGCAAGCTCCGCCTCCCGGATTCAAGCAATTCTCCTGCCTCAGCCTCCCGAGTAGCTGGGATTACAGGCGCATGCCACCATGCCCGGCTAATTTTTGTATTTTTAGTGGAGACGGGGTTTCACCATGTTGGTCAGGCTGGTCTCAAACTCCTGACCTTGTGATCCACCCGCCTCGGCCTCCCAAAGCGCTGGAATTACAGGCGTGAGCCACCGCGCCCGGCCAAATAATTTCTTTTCTAAAAAAGAGCAGTCTGAAAAATCAGCCGGCAGACATAGAAAAGCAAGCTGGAAGCTTGCTCGGGTGAATGCCGGCAGCTGTGCCAATGGGAATAGGCTACCTGGGTGCCAGGCGTGTTCAACATGCAGGCTTGCTCCATGTTCCCTTTTCTTTATCAACCACGTGTACGGTAAAGGAACAGGCAACATGGTCCTGGCCAGGTAGAGACCCCATCTGCATAATAAAATATTAGGGTGGGCAGCCAGCTTCTTTGTACTCTATGTAAACGGCACACCTGGTCCAACTAATCTTTGGGCCCTTATGTAAATCAGATATCACCACCTAAAGCTCATCTATAAAACCCCGTGCATTTCACCATGAAACTGGAAGACCCACTTGGGAGCCCCCTCTCTTTGCAGGAGAGAGAGCTTTTCTCTTTCTCTCGCCTATTAAATTTCTTTTCTTTCTTTCTTTTTTTTTTTTTTTTTGAGATGGAGTCTTGCTCTGTCACCCAGGCTGGAGTTCAATGGCACAATCTCGGCTCACTGCAACCTCTGCTTCCCGGGTTCAAGCGATTCTCTTGCCTCAGCCTCCTGAGTAGCTGGAATTACAGGCATGAGCCACCACACCTGGCTAATTTTTGTATTTTTAGTAGAGATGGGGTTTCACTATGTTGCCCAGGCTGGTCTCAAACTCCTGATCTTAGGTGATCCACCCGTCTCAGCCTCCCAAAGTGCTGGGATTACAGGCATGAGCCACTGTGCTCGGCCTAAACCTCTGCTCTAAAAGTAATTTTTTGTGTGTCTGCATTTTATTTTATTTTATTTTATTTTATTTTATTTTATTTTATTTTATTTTATTTTAAGACAGAGTCCCACTCTGTTGCCTAGGCTGGAGTGCAGTGGCACGATCTCGGCTCACTGCAGCCTCCGCCTCCTGGGTTCAAGCAATTCTCTGCCTCAGCCTCCGGAGTAGCTGGGATTACAGGTGCCTAACACCATACCACACTGGCTGATTTTTTGTATTTTTAGTAAAGACGGGGTTTCCCCATCTTGGCCAGGCTGGTCTTGAACTCCTGACCTCGTAATCCACCCTCCTCAGTCTCCCAAAGTGCTGAGATTACAGGTGTGAGCCACGGTGCCCGGCCATGTCTGTATTTTCTATTTCCTTGGTGTGAGGCAATGAACCTCGGGTATTACCCCAGATGGATGACACTGCTTCAATATCTGCCAGTCACTACACTTTGTTATCAGTGGGATTACATCAACTGGAGCCCATTCTATCTGCTTGGAGGCCAGGCCTGAAGATTCAAGGGGTTGACACCCTCTAGGAGCAAGCCTCAAGTCAACCCATGACTGACAGTAGGTGGGATATAAATACCTCAGCTCCCTCACCCCTCGGTTGGAATAACTGAAGAGTATGTTCCATGCCGCTCCCCAGTCATCCCTGGGGAGGTTAAGTTCCACTTTCTCACCATGTAACTTATTTGAAGACACACCCAGTATTGGCTCTTTGCCTTTCCTGATTCACTTTCTCCTCCCCCAGCTGGTGCTTTCTGGGGCCACCTTCTTGATAAACTACTTTTGCTAGAATCCTTGTCTGAGGGTCTGCCCTTGTGAGACCCTAAGATGTTACCAGAGAGAGTTAGGAAGCTGGGAATGGGGTGGAAGTGTTGCTGTATAATCGTCAGACAGAGTTGAGATCTGAAGGAAAATAAGATGGTTAAAGCTCTTGACTCTGGAATCAGAGGGTCCTGGGTTCAAATCTCAAGTCTGAGAGATCTTGGACAAGTTATAACTCCTCTGCAAGTCTCAGTTTCCATTTTGTTGGTGAATAGAGGGAGGGAGGGGAATTCCTACTTTACAAGGTTAACATGATAATGAAATTACACTTTGTTGCCAATGTGCCTAGCACACTGCCTGGTACATGATGGTTGTGATGGCTGTCTTTATACGGGAGACTGGGAAGAGACCCTAAAGGCTGAGATTTGCTTCACTGGAGGCAGGAAGCGGAAGCTCCTTTATTGGGTGCAATGAAAGAAGGTGTTGAGAGATGGGAGATAGATGTTGATGGGAAAGAAAAAGGGAGAGACCATGGGAAGGAGAGAGAGAGAGAATGATATACATTAGGCAGATTAACTTCTCTTTATTGTGAAGAAAGGGGGAAATTAGGATTTTCTAGGCTGTCTTTTAGTTGCAGCAAGTCAGCAAAAAGGGCTATGATGACCAGGCAGCATTGAGCAACTCTGACTCCGCCTTCCCCTCTTCGCACACCTTCTGGTTACTGAAAACCCAGCGTTAGTAGAAAAGTTTCTTTTCTTTGAATGACAGAACTACAGCATAATGCGTGGCTTCAACCTGCTCCTCTTCTGGGGTGAGTGTGAGGCTGAATGGGGGGCTAGGGGAGGCCTGGATTGGAAATAGACTTCAGGAGAAATGGGAGGGCCATGGATGGTCCAGCCAAGAGATCATAAGTCCAGACTGGATGCTGCAAACACCTTCATTCAGGGAACCTTTGACAAAATTCCATAGCTCAGGGAAGTCCATCTGTTAGGATAGATTTTTCTCTATAGTCATTCATTTGACCTGAGCAAGTCCTGTGTGTCAGGTGCTGTTCTAGGCACTAGAGGATATAGCAGTGAGAAAAAAAGACTAAGTTCCTGCACTCTTGAGGCTGATATTCTAGTGGGTAGGAGCAGACAGGAAAGAAGGCACAGATGATCATAGCCCACTTAGCACTGCTGTAACTTCTTTAAACATAGAGTGTATCCAATTGTCACAACATTTCTATGACATTGGGTCATTATTAGTCCTATTTTGCAAATGAGAAAACTGAGGCAAAAGAGATAAAATAATTTTCCCAAGGCCACTTAGTCAATAAGGGGTAGAGGCAGGATTTCAAGCCAGACAGTCTGACTTCAGAGTCTGTAAGCTTTTCCACTATACTATGTTGCCCCAAAAAATAAGTAAACATAGGAATTTCAGGTAGTGATAAGTGCTATGAAAGAAGTTGTTATAGAATGTGGTCGGGAGTTATGTTGAAGGGAGAAGTCTGGGGTTGAGGAGGGGCAGTTCGAGCTGAGTCCTGAAGGATGAGATAGACCCTTCCTGTGCTCTTATTTCTCTTTCTTCAGGTGTCAGTTTGTCTCAGCCTTGTTTATCTTCTGTGTTTCTGGTTTTTCTTCTATGTCTTGTGTGTTTTGGTCATTGGATCAAATTTAAGAATGGAGGATATTGGGGACATATTCTAAGTAGCAAGTATGGGTTTCCTCTGCTGTTGAAGAGTGGATCTGAATACCCTATTTTACCAAGGAGGAAACTGAGGCACAAAGAGATTAAATAACTTCCTCAAGGCCACGCAATCATTAATTGGTGAAGCCAGATTTTTAAACCTAAGCACTTTGACTTCAGACTTTGTATGCCTAAACAGCATGCTGAATTACCTCTAAAATAATTAATGAATGAGTAGAAGAATTTTTGTTAGTAATAATAGATAGAATTTGGGAGTTTAGATCTGTGGGACTTGTTGACTGGCAGGCTACATTAGAAGAAATAGGTGGCCTGTGGACATCAAATGTAGGCATGCAGAGTTGTTATTTTGGGGTGTTGGCAATGGTATTAACCATTAACACTCCCTATTCTGCCCTGAAGATAATCAGCAAAGAGTTGTGATAATGATAGTGATGATAATGATCATGATGGTGGTGGTTATAATAGTGATGATGAAAATGGTGATGATGATGGTGATGGTGATGATGATGATGATGATAATGGTGATGATAGTGATAATGAAGATGATGGTGATGATGATGGTGTGATAATGACCATGAAGATGGTGATGATGGTGATGATGATAATGGTGATGATAGGGATAATGATGATGATGGTGGTGATGATGGTGTGATAATGACGATGAAGATGGTGATGTTGGTGATTATGGTGGTGATGATGATGATGGTGGTGATGGTGATAATGGTGATGGTGATGATGATAATGGTGATGATGGTGATAATAATGATGATGATGATGGTGATGATGAAGATGATGATGGTGATGATGATAGTGATAATGATGGCGATAATGATGATGGTGCAGGAGACCTAAATGCTGCAGGGCTGCATTGCCTTTAAACACTAAAAAATGGGCAGGGCGCAGTGGCTCACGCTTGTAATCCCAGCACTTTAGGAGGCTGAGGCAGGCAGATCATGAGGTCAGGAGATCGAGACCATCCTGGCCAACATGGAGAAACCCCGTTTCTACTAAAAATGCAAAAATTAGCTGGGCGTGGTGGTGCGTGCTTGTAATCCCAGCTACTCGGGAGGCTGAGGCAGGAGAATAGCTTGAACCAGGGAGTTGGTGGTTGCAGTGAGCCTAGATCACGCTACTGCACTCCAGCCTGGTGACAGAGTGAGACTCCATCTCAAAAAAAAAAAAAAAAAAAAAAAGGAAAGAAAAACGAATTGCCCTACCCTCTCATGAAATGTTAATACTACAGATATACTGTATACCTATATATGTATTTTCTATATATACATATGTATCTTATACATAAAAGAGTAAGCTTAAAAAGATCTCTTCCTGAGAACCAAGTTTGGGTCCTTAGAGGATATATCACCCCTTTTGAGAATGCATGCTTTAATGTATGTTTTTGAAAATCAGCTAGAACTTTTTTTTTTAGACAGGGTCACCTAGGCTGGAGCGCAGTGGCATGATCTTGGCTCACTGCAGTCTCTATCTCCTGGGCTCAAGCAATCCTTCCACCTCAGCCTCCTGAGTAGCTGGGGCTACAAGTTGTCACCACCACCCAGCTAATTTAAAAAATTTTTTTTTTGTAGAGACAAAGTCTCACTGTGTTGTCCAGGCCGGTGTCAAACTGCTGGTCTCAAGTGATCCTCCCACCTTGGCCTCCCGAAGGGCTGGGATTATAGGTGTGCACCACAGTGCTTAGCCTGGAACTATTTAATCAAAAAGAAAAAGAAGATAAAGACAGACAAAATGAAAAGCAAAAGCAAAGTACAGAAAACCAGGAATGGTCATTGTTAAGCTTATGCAAAATAGTGTATGTTTGTTCCTTAACTAGGTTTGTCATCTAGCCTCTTCAAACCTATTTCTGTGGGGCCAAGCCAGGAGTAATTTTGCAGGTTGAGCCCAAAAGGTTTTTTTTTTTTTTTTTTTTTTTGGTGGTTCATGGTGTTTTTCTTTTCTTTCTTCACAGGATGTTGTGTTATGCACAGCTGGGAAGGGCACATAAGACCCACACGGAAACCAAACACAAAGGGTAAGTTGGCCAGAGAGAATGCAGATGCCTGAAGGGGTAGAGAAAGTTTTCTCCCCGGGGAAACATCCCAGGAAGCTGAGCCTCATCCAGATGCTTGCTGGGAGCTAGTTAGCGGCAGAGCAAGGGTTAACATGCAAGTCTCCTGATTCTCACTTCAGGCTCTTTCCTTTGTGCTTAGAATTGCTGTGTGATCTCAGATAAGTCACATAACCTCTCTGAACTTCAGTTTCCCAAGCTGTGAAATACAGATAACAATAGGGATGTTGTGAAACTTTAATTCAAAGAGGTAGCTTTGGAAACCACCTGGTATGTAGTATGAGCTTTATAAATGGTAGTGTAGTGAGAGTAGGGATGGAATTTACTCAAACTACAACTCAATGTGCAAAAAAAAAGTGACTTCTTTATGTTTTGTTAAATACTCTCATCTACATAAACTCTTGCTGGATAAAGGAAGAAAGACATTGTCAGTTCGTAGTTGTTGATATGGTTTGGCTATGTCCTCACCCAAATCTCACCTTAAATTGTAAGAATCCCCACGTGTCAAGGGCGGGGCCAGTTGGAGATAATTGAATCATGGGGGATGGTTTCCCCCATACTGTTCTCGTGGTAGTGAGTAAGTCTCACGAGATCTGATGGTTTTATAAATGGGAGATCCCCGCACAAGCTCTCTTGCCTCCTGCCATGTAAGTAAGACATAATTTTGCTCCTCATGATTGTGAAGCCTCCCCAGCCATGTGCAACAGTGAGTCAAATTAAACCTCGTTCCCTTATAAATTACCTAGTCTCGGGTATGTCTTTATTAGCAGCATGAAAACAGACTAATACAACTGTTCCCAGTGTCTCTGTTTCCTGGTTCTTCTTTGGGCAACTTAGCAACTTGGTCTATATTGTGTTAACAGCTCATCTTTCACATTTTTTTTTTTTTTTTGAGATAGATTCTCGCTCTGTTGCCCAGGCTGGAGTGCAGTGGTGCGATCTCGGTTCACTGCAAGCTCCGCCTTCCAGGTTCACGCCATTCTCCTGCCTCAGCCTCCCGAGTAGCTGGGACTACAGGCGCCCGCCACCACGCCTGGCTAATTTTTTTGTATTTTTAGTAGAGACGGGGTTTCACTAGAAACCAGGCTGGTCTTGAACTCCTTAGGTGATCTGCTCACCCCAGCCTTCCGAAGTGCTGGGATTACAGGCATGAGCCACTGCGCCTGGCCCCTTTGTAGGACTTTTTCAAAAGGGCTTTATTGAGATGGTTGGGAAAATTTTCTCAAGGAAGTGATGTTCCAGTGGACTTAAAGGATGGATGAATTGATGTTACCCAGGCAAAGGGGCAGGGTGGGATAGGGCATGTCTGGTGGCCAGAACGGTGGGTGCAAAGGTCCTGAGGTTGGAAAGAATTTGGAGGACCGAGCGAAGGTGAGTGTGACTGATGACACAGGGCAGGAGATGAGATGGGGAGGTGGACAGGTACCTAGTCCCACAAGACCGGGTTGTTACTCTGACCTTGGTGGGTTTCAGTTGTGAGGGAGAGGGCTAGTGGAAGAGAATGATGGGAAACTTACAGCATTAAGAGACCACAAGTGATAAAATGCCGGAAGTCTGCATAGAGAAATGTTGCCTCTACAGATGAAAGAGGAAGCTGGAAATGAGAAGAGAGATACCATCTGAGGCCTCATGCAGGGAAGGGAAATAAACAAGGCACATTATAGGAGCAAAGAACGTAGATCTCAAAACCAAATGTGTAACAAAAACAGGGTGAATAATGTCACAATCACGATAATCCATTCCTTCTGTTTTTATGATACTTTTTAGTTTTTCCATACTCCTAATTGATGTTGGCATTATCGTTGGTTCCTCTCTTTTCACTCCTCACATCCAATCCATCGGCAAATTTTGTTAGTGTTGCTTTAAAAAAATCCTGAATTGCATTCCCTTCATTGATTCCCTCTGGGTTGTATCTACTGACATCTTTCACCTGGACAAGTGCAGTCACCCCCTCCTTGGTCAGTTTATTTCTGATCTTCTATAGTTCGTCTTCCAACCAGTGGCCAGAAGGCTCATGTTAAAACCTTATGTTGTGTCCCTACTCTGCTCGAAATCCTCCCATGACTCCCATCTTTCTTTGATAAAAAACCCAACTCCACTATTCACAATAGTCAAGATATGGAATCCACCTCAGTGTCCGTCAACAGATGAATGGTTGAACTCAATGTGGTCTGCATACACAACGGATTGCTATTCGGCCATAAAAAGAATGACATTCCACAATTTGCAGCAACATGGATGAAACTGGAGGTCATTAAGTGAAACAAACCAGGCACAGAAAGACAAATGTCACATGTCCTGACTCATAGGTAGTTGCCCTACTGTGCTACTGAGCACTCGATCTCATTCCTTCCATCTAACTGTGGTTTTTGTACCAACCAGTCAATCCCTCTTTATCCCCCTTCCCCACTATCCTTTCCAGCCTCTGGTAATTGTCATTCTGCTCTCTACCTCCATTAGATAATGATGATGATGATTTTTAGCTCCCACGTAGGAACGAGAACATGCAATATTTGTCTTTCTGTGTCTGGTTTATTTCACTTAACATAATGTCCTCCAGTCCTCCAGTTCCATCCATGTTTCTGCAAAGGATGGGATTTCATTCTTTCTTTCTTTTTTTATTTTTTATTTTTTTGAGACGGAGTTTTGCTCTTGTTGCCCAGGCTGGAGTGCAATGGCGCAATCTTGGGTCACCACAACCTCCGCCTCCCCAGTTCAAGTGATTCTCCTGCCTCAGCCTCCTGAGTAGTTGGGATTACAGGCATGAACCACCATGCCTGGCTAATTTTTTTTTATTTTTAGTAGAGACGGGGGCTTCTTCATGTTGGTCAGGCTGGTCTCGAACTCCCGATCTCAGGTGATCTGCCCGCCTTGGCCTCCCAGTGTGCTGGGATTACAGGCGTGAGCCATCACGCCTGCCCGATTTCATTATTTCTTATGGCTGAATGATATTCTATTGAGTACATATACGACATCTTCCTCACCCATTCATCCACTGATAGACACTTAGGTTGATTCCATCTCTTGCATGTACTTTGGATTTTGAAAGGTCTGGCTCTGCTGCTCTCCAGCAGATGTGGTTGTGTGTCTTTGGGTAAGTCACTCAACCTCTCTGAGTCATGTTTTATTTTCACATATGGGTATTGGGAATGGTGCCCATTTCCTGTGGCTGCTGTAACAAATTGCCACAAACTTGGTCGCTTAAAACAAAAAAAACTTACCTATCATTCTGGAGGTCAGAAGTCTGAAATGGGTCCCACTGGGCTAAAATAGAGGCAATGGCAGGGCTGCGTTCCTTCTGGATGCTGTACGGAAGAACTATTTTCTTACTTTTTCCTGTATCTAGGGTCAACCATGTTTCTTGGCTCATGTCCCCTTCCCCCAACTTCAAAGCCAGCAGTGGCTGGCCAGCTCTTTCTTACATCACATCACTCTGACAATGCTTTTCTTGGTTTCAGCTTTCACTTATAAAGACTCTTGTGGTTACATTCATTGCCCCTGGATGATCCAAGATAATATGCCCATCTTGAGATCAGCATGATTAGCAACCTTAATTCCATCTGCAACCTTAATTCCTCCTTCGCCATGGACCATAACATATTCACAGGTTCCAGGGATTAGGACATGGTCCTCTTGGAAGGGTCTGTTATTCTGCCTGCCACAAGGATGACAGCAGCAAGTGAGCCTCTTTCCTAGCACCTGGGAGCCTGCTCCCACCTGTGGTCTTGTCCTTTTGAAGCTCACAGTGTGGTGGTGAAGGTGGCCATGAAGGAGCAACTCACTGAAACAATCAAGCAGTCACGGTTTTGATGAATTCCATAAAAGAAGAGCTCAGGGAGCTGTGGAGGAGTCAGGGAAGGCTTCCTGGAGGAAGTGATGCTAAAGCAAGATCTGAAAAATGAGTGGAAGCTGGCCAGGCAAAGCAGAGGCAGAGGGAACAGCATGTGCAAAGGCCCTGTGGTAGGAAGGCTAGAAATGGAGTGCAAAGAGAAACTGACATGATGAGGCTGAATGATGTGGTTGGGTCTGGTCACTGGGGGCTTTGCAGTTCATGTTGAGTAATTTGAGTTTTATTTCTAAGGAGAACAAAGAGCATTATAGGCAAGGGGTGGAGGTGGGAGATCAAATGTGCATTCAGAGATGACCATGGTGTGGAGTAGAAGATTGTGGAGGACAATGGGGTATATAGAAATGTTAAATTCAGAGGAAGATCTGGATCAGGCATAGCCAAGGTGGTGGGGTTAAATGGGTAATTGTCAAATTATATTTGGGAAGGGGGATCAACAGGGCTTGGAGGCTTATTAAATGTGGTGGCTAAACAGGCAACCTGAGGTACAGACACGTGAAATCACTTGTCCCAAGACTGGATTGGCTAGGATAGAGTGTTGATTGTTTCCATAGAAACAAAATAACTATGAATGAAACAATGCAGATGTTTATTTTTATCTGTCTCATAAATCTCCAACTTGAAGATGGAACAGCGTCGTGGAACAACCTTGCCTAGGAGGTCATTCCATCTCCCAGGTGCCTTTTGCCTTGTTGCCTCTCCAATCTTAGGCGTGAGCCTCATCCCCGTGGTTGGAAATGGATCACCCCAGTCTGTCCATCTTCCAGCCCATGTGAAAAGGGAGAAAAAGTGTGGAGTATGCTCTTTCTTTTCAAGGGCATGACCAGACAGTACACACATCACTTCTATTCATTCTCCTTGGCCAGATTTTCACCAGGTGGCCACAGCTAGCTGCAAGAGAAGCTGGGAATGCAGTCCTAAACTGGATGGTTCTATTATTATAAGGAAGAGGGTGGAATGGATTTGGGGGAACAGCCACCATTCTTGGCTTTGAGGTTTGCTGCTGGAACTTGAACTCAGATCTGCCTTGTCCCGAAATTTGCAGTTTTCACTCTCACACTTTTCTGTCTAGTGCTTGGATGTTCATGGTGTGATCCATGGAGCAACAGAATTGGCATCCTCCAGGCACTTGTTAGAAATGCAAAATCCCCGGCCCCCTTCCCCAGACCTGCTGAATTAGTACCTGATTTTCCAAGATGTTCTTGGAATCCAAGGGGAGGCAGGTGATACTGGTCTGTGGATACTTTGGGTAGCAAGGATCCAGATGAGTGCTTCTCAAACTTCCCTGTGCGCACACATCACCTGGGATCTTGTTCAAATGCAGATTCTGATTCAATGGATTTTGCATTTCCATCTAACTCCCAGGAGATGCTTATGTGGCTGACTCACAGACCCTACTCTGAGTAGAAAGGGTCTAGGATCTTTGAGGTACATGGTTAAATATGATTGGTTGCTGTATCCGTTTCCTAGGGCTGCTTAAAATGACAGAAATTTATTCTCTTCAAGTTCTGGAGTCCAGAAGTGTGAATTCAAGGTATTGGCAGGGCCAGTCTTTCTCCAAAGGCTATAGGGCAGAATCTGTTCCATGCCTTTTTTTAAGGCTTTTGTTATTGCTGGCAATCCTTGGTGTTCCTTGGCTTCTAGACATATCACTCTGATCCCGGTTTGCACTGTTGCATGGCACTGTCCCTGTGCATGTCTGTGTGTCTCTTCTCTTCTTATAAGGACACCTGTGGCCCACCCTACTCCAGCACTACTTCATCTTAACTTTTATCTTAATTGCATCTACAAAGACCCAGTTTCCAAATAAGATGAAATTCACAGGTACCAGGGTTTAGGACTGTAACGTATCTTTTGGGAGGAACACAATCCAACCCATAACAGTCACCTCCACCCTTGTATGCTGGGTTCCCTTGCAGCCTCACTCTAATGCTCTAATCTTGTCTAAACTTTTCTTTATACACTGCCTAGGTAATAACTGTAGAGACAGTACCTTGTGCCCAGCTTATGCCACCTGCACCAATACAGTGGACAGTTACTATTGCGCTTGCAAACAAGGCTTCCTGTCCAGCAATGGGCAAAATCACTTCAAGGATCCAGGAGTGCGATGCAAAGGTGAGTTCATGTCCCCTCAAACCATCCAGCATTTGGTAGGAAAATCAAGTCAAAGCTGGCTGGGTATTGAATGTAGGTACTCCCCCACCCCCCATTTTTTTTTAAATCTGGTTTAACTATATATTTTAAGTGGAGTATTAGGTCATTTCTGTTCAAGGTTAATATTGATATGTGGGGGTGTTGTTACTGTCACAGCATTGCTAGCTAGTGTTGCTAGCAAACATGATTTTCTTCCTTCCTTCCTTCCTTCCTTGCTACTTCCCCACCCTTCCTCTCTTTGATCATGTAAATAATTCCTGGTCACTGTAAAATTTCATGGATGGTTGAGTTTCCTCACAATATGGTGGCTGGATTCCAAGGATAAGCATCCCAAGAGAACAAGGTAGAACTACATGATATTTTTATGACCTAGTGTCACTTCCACCATAGTCACAAGTATGCTCAGATTCAAGATGGGGACATACCTTCCATTGCTTGACAGAAGAAGTACCAAAGTGAAGTGCATATGGGATGGGAGATATTGTTTTAACTTTTTTTTTTTTTTTTTTTGCAAAATACAGTCTTCTATCTAGTATAAGTAAATTTGTAACTCCAATTCTCTGTCTAGATATTGATGAATGTTCTCAAAGCCCCCAGCCCTGTGGTCCTAACTCATCCTGCAAAAACCTGTCAGGGAGGTACAAGTGCAGCTGTTTAGATGGTTTCTCTTCTCCCACTGGAAATGACTGGGTCCCAGGAAAGCCGGGCAATTTCTCCTGTACTGGTAATGCTCTCAGGTTCCCAGGGATGGGTCTTGGGTGGATATCTATCAGTGGGGTGAGTTCATGTATTTCTGAACTGAGGCACCCAATTTCTTATCTGCTCACCCTCTTCCACTGCTTCTCAGATATCAATGAGTGCCTCACCAGCAGCGTCTGCCCTGAGCATTCTGACTGTGTCAACTCCATGGGAAGCTACAGTTGCAGCTGTCAAGTTGGATTCATCTCTAGAAACTCCACCTGTGAAGGTATCCATGACCATCTCTTTATTATTTACCTACTTAATTAATTAAGGGTCATCTCACTGGAAGACCATATGAGAAAGGGATTTTCTCATGTAGGGATAAGAAAATTGGGGCTCAGAGAGGTAAAAATATATAGTTGCTTATATCTTTTTCTATCCCTTTACTTTGAGCCTGTGGGTGTCTTTACATGCTAGGTAGGTCTCTTGTAGCCAGCACATGGTTGGGTCTTTTTAAAAAATTTTTTATCTGGTTTAACAATCTATATCTTTTAAGTGGAGCATTAGGCCATTTCTATTCAAGGTTAATATTGATATTTGAGGGTTTTGTTCCTGTCACAGCATTGCTAGCTAGTATTGCTAGCAAACATGATTTCCTTCCTTCCTTCCTTCCTTCCTTCCTTCCTTCCTTCCTTCCTTCCTACTTCCCCACCCTTCCTCTCTCTGATCATGTAAATAATTCCTGGTCACTGTAAAATTTCATGGATGGTTGAGTTTCCTCACAATATGGTGGCTGGATTCCAAGGATAAGCATCCCAAGAGAACAAGGTGGAAGTACATGATATTTTTATGACCTAGTGTCACTTCCACCATAGTCACAAGTATGCTCAGATTCAAGATGGGGACGTACCTTCCATTGCTTGACAGAAGAAGTACCAAAGTGAAGCGCATATGGGATGGGAGATATTGTTTTAACTTTTTTTTTTGGCAAAATACAGTCTTCTATCTAGTATAAGTGAATTTGTAACTCCAATTCTCTGTCTAGATATTGATGAATGTTCTCAAAGCCCCCAGCCCTGTGGTCCTAATTCATCCTGCAAAAACATGTCAGGGAGGTACAAGTGCAGCTGTTTAGATGGTTTCTCTTCTCCCACTGGAAATGACTGGATCCCAGGAAAGCCGGGCAATTTCTCCTGTACTGGTGATGCCCTCAGGTTCCCAGGGATGGGTCTTGAGTGGATATCTATCAGTGGGGTGAGTTCATGTATTTCTGAACTGAGGCACCCAATTTCTTATCTGCTCACCCTCTTTCACTGCTTTGCAAATATCAGTGAGTCCCTCACCAGCAGCGTCTGCCCTGAGCATTCTGACTGTGTCAACTCCATGGGAAGCTACAATTGCAGCTGTCAAGTTGGATTCATCTCTAGAAACTCTATCTCTTTATTATTTACCTGCTTAATTAATTAAGGGTCATCTCACTGGAAGACCATATGAGAAAGGGATTTTCTCATGTAGGGATGAGAAAATTGGGGCTCAGAGAGGTAAAAATATATAGTTGCCTATATATTTTTCTATCCCTTTACTTTGGGCCTGTGGGTGTCTTTACATGTTAGGTAGGTCTCTTGTAGGCAGCACATGGTTTGGTCTTTTTTACAAAAATTTTTATCTGGTTTAACAATCTATATCTTTTAAGTGTAGCATTAGGCCATTTCTGTTCAAGGTTAATATTGATATTTGAGGGTTTTGTTCCTGTCACAGTGTTGCTCGCTACTTGCTTTGTGATCTCAGTTGTGTAATTGCTTTATAGGATCTGTGAACTATATGCAAATATTAAGTGGAAGAGCTGGGATTTGAACTCCTGCTGAGGACCTACTATAAGTCAAACAATGGTATCAGAATATAATGGGGTGCACTTGTCTCCAGACCGATATTTTCCCCAGGGGACATTGGCAACATCTGGAGATATTTTTGATTGTCTCAACCGGTGATGGTGGGGAGAGGTGCTGTGTATGGCATCTGATGGGAAGAGGTCAGAGATGCTGCTAAACATCCTATAATGCACCGAAAGGCCCCCACAACCAAGAATAATCTGACCCTAAATGCCAATAGTGCTGAGGTGGAAAAACCTTATTCTGGGCTGGGCGCGGTGGCTCACGCCTGTAATACCAGCACTTTGGGAGGCCAAGGCGGATGGATCACTTGAGGTCAGGAGTTCAAGACTAGCCTGGCGAACATGGTGAAACCTTGTCGCTACTAAAAATACAAAAAATTAGCCGGGCATGGTGGCAGGCACCTGTAATCCCAGCTACTCGGGAGGCTGAGGCAGGAGAATTGCTTGAACCTGGGAGGCGGAGGTTGGAGTGAGCTGAGATTGTGCCATTGCACTCCAGCCTGGGCAACAGAGCAAGACTCTGTTTCAAAAAAAAAAAATACCCAACAACAAGAAGAACAAAACACACAAAACCTATTCTGGGGAGATTCTAAAGTCTAAACTTCAGAACGTTCCCCTAAAAGGTATTTGAATTAACAGTTGAAAGTTATCTTTAATCAGCCGGGCGCAGTGGCTCCTGCGTGTAATCTCAGCACTTTGGGAGGCCAAGGCAGGCAGATCATGAGGTCAGGAGATGGAGACCATCCTGGCTAACAAGGTGAAACCCCGTCTCTACTAAAAATACAAAAAAAAATAGCTGGGCCTGGTGGCACGTGCCTGTAATCCCAGCTACTTGAGAGGCTGAGGCAGGAGAATGGTGTGAACCCAGGAGGCAGAGCTTGCAGTGAGCCGAGATCACACCACTGCGCTCCAGCCTGGGTGACAGAGCGAGACTCCATCTCAAAAAAAAAAAAAAAGAAAGTTATCTTTAATCTTTTCTCTCCCTTCACATTAAAGCAGTCATCACACCTTGGAGAATCTACCTGCTAAATATGTTTTGAGACTGGGTGTGGTGGCTCACACCTGTAATACCAGCACTTAGGGAGGCTGAGATGGGAGAATCGCTTAAGACCAAGAGTTTGAGACCAGCCTGGGCAACATAGTGAGACCCTGTCTCTACAAAAAAAAAAAAAAAATTAGAAAATTAGCCAAGTGTGGTGGCATGTGCCTGTGGTCCCAGCTACTCAGGAGGCTGAGGTGGGAGGATCACTTGAAACCAGGAGGTTGAGGCTGCAGTGCACTATGCTTGCATCACTGCATTCCAGCCTGGATAACAGAGCAAGACCTTGTCTCAAAAATAAATATATAAATAAATATGTGTTGAATTCCTCCACTGTTTTCCATCCTTGGTTCAGGCTTGATCATCACTGCAGCAGCCTCCTCTCTAGTCTTGCCTTTTTCAGTCTTATTCTCTCCAATCCATCCTCTACACTGCAGCCAGAATGTCCTCACCAAGAGACAAGAGCTCCATCTTCCTGTGTCTAGTGCATTGTTATTCTCCACATTCATTTATGGGATGGTGACTCCATTGAGAAAGGCAAGGAGTGGTCAAGCCCTCATTATATCCCCCTGGCTTAGTTTAAGAGATGTTTGAAATCATCTCTGCCTTTGCTACTCCATTTGTAGCAGTGAGCTATCACTGGGTAACAAATTGTCTTAAAAATTAGTGTCTAAAAACAACCACCATATATTTAGCGCTTGATTCCATGAGTTGACATTTTAAGTGGTCTATTCTAGCCAGATCTTTTGGTCTCAACTGGTCTTGTTCTTGTGTCTGCAGTCAGCTGACCTTGGCTGGGCTTTTGTCTTGTTGCCTCTGCCACCTTAGGTGTGAGCCTCATCCCCATGGTTGGGAATGGATCACCCCACTCTGTCCATCTTCCAGCCCAGGTGAAAAGGGAGAAGAAGTGTAGAGTATGCTCTTTCTTTTCAAGGGCATGACCAGATGGTGCACACATCACTTCTATTTATTCTCCTTAGCCAGATTTTCACCATGTAGCTACACCTAGCTGCAAGAGAAGCTGGGAATGCAGTCCTCAGCTGTATTGTTACATTATTACAAGGAGGAGGGAATGGGTCTCACATGTCTGGGGCTCATCTGGGATGATTCATTTCTCTCCCATTTGGTCTTTTGTTCTTCATTAGGCTAGTCAGGGGCTTGTTCATATGGCAGAGATCAGAGGCCCAATAGAATGAACAGAAGCCAACAGGTCTCTTGAGGCCCAGGTTTGGAATTAGCACCTCATTACTTCACTGTCTTCTATTGGTCAGTGCAAGTCGTAGGGCCAGCTGTATTTAAGGGGTAGAGAAACAGACTCCACCTCTTAATGCAAGGTATGGTAAAGTCACATCTCTTACAATCTACATCTTGGGGTGTAAATACAGAGAGAAGTAAAGGACTATGGCTACTTTTCCAATTTCTGATAATTATGTTTTGAAACTATTTGCCACCCTTCTGCTTACATGCTATTGGCTAGAATTTGCTCTCATGGCCATGCCTACTGAAAGAAGGAACTGGGAAATATGTCCCACTGTGTGCCTGGGAAGAAGGGGGGAACATGGATATTGGGGAGCATCAGCCCTGTCTGCTGAAAATCAACACTCAGAGTGCATCTCCTATTTGTAGTCTCTACTCCTTGCTTTCTCATTTACCTTGACCTGGGTTTTCTCTTCCACTCTTCAGACGTGGATGAATGTGCAGATCCAAGAGCTTGCCCAGAGCATGCAACTTGTAATAACACTGTTGGAAACTACTCTTGTTTCTGCAACCCAGGATTTGAATCCAGCAGTGGCCACTTGAGTTTCCAGGGTCTCAAAGCATCGTGTGAAGGTAGGTGGGGGTGTCTTCTGAGAAGTCAGGTCCAAGTCTGTTTGAAAAGACAGCAGTGAGGGGATTAGGGTGGGTCTTGGTTGAGTTTGAGACTTTCATCTGCAAATCTGAAGCCAATAATCATTCATTCACTCATTAAAGAAATACCTCTTGAGCACTTACAGTATACGTGGCACTATTCTAGGCACTGGGGATAGAGCAGTAAATAACATCTCCAAATAACATCCCACTGGGGCTTAGGGCTTCCATATAGGAATTTGGAGGAGGGGCACCATTCAGTCCATAGCACCCATGAACAAACAGCTTGTAAGTGACAGAGCCAGGCTATGAACCCAGAATGTCCATGTTCTCAACCCCTCCACTGTGTGCCTCTTTTTGTTTGTTTGTTTGTTTGTTTTTTGTTTTTTTGGGGTTTTTTTGTTTTTTGGTTTTGTTTTGAGATGGAGTCTTGCTCTGTTGCCCAGGCTGGAGTGCAGTGGTACAATCTCGGCTCACTGCAACCTCCCCCTCCTGGGTTCAAGCAATTCTCCTGCCTCAGCCTCCCAAGTAGATGGGATTACAGGCATGTGGCACCATGTCCAGCTAATTTTTGTATTTTTAGTAGAGACAAGGTTTCACCGTGTTGGCCAGGCTGGTCTCAAACTCCTGACCCCAGGTAATCTGCCTGCCTCGGCTTCTCAAAGCGTTTGGATTACAGGCATGAGCCACTGCGCCCAGCCTGTTTTTTGTTTTTGAGACGGAGTCTTGGTCTGTCGCCCAGGCTGGAGTGCAGTGGCTTGATCTCAGCTTACTGCCACCTCTGCCTCCCAGGTTCAAGCAATTCTTTTGCCTCAGCCTCTTGAGTAGCTGGGATTACAGGTGTGTGCCACCATGCCCAGCTAATTTTTTATTCGGGACAGGTAAGCCCCAAAGTGGGGTTTAGCTCACAAGGGTTCTTGGCTTTGCCCAGGAGAGAATTCAAGGGCAAGCCAGAGGTAGAAGAAAACAGCTTTATTGAAGAGGCAGTGTTGCAGTTCTGTAAGTGTTACAGCTCCTGCAGAGCAGGGCTACTTCATAGGCAGAGAGCAGCAGCTCAGGGCAGTTTTGCAGTCATACTTATACCTACTTTTAATAATATGCAGATTAACAGGTGGTTTATGCAAAAATTTCTAGGGAAGGGGTAGTAACTTTTGGGTCATTGAGTCATTGCCATAGAAAGGGGCAGTAACTCCCCAATATTGCCATGGCAATGGTAAACTGACCTGGCACACTGGTGGGCATGTCTTATGGAAAGCTGCTTCCACTCTGTCCTTGTTTTAGCTAGTCCTCAATTTTGTCCAGTGTCTGAGTCCCTCATCTGGAGTTGAGTCCTGTTTCCTGCCTCATTACTAGCTTAGCATAATAGAAATGTATCACTCTCATAATAATTCAATATGGATATACCTGGCTGGTGGGCAGCTTTTCTCCACATGGTGATAAAGGAGTTCAATCTCTCTCCATCTTTTGGTTTTTGCATTCCTTAGAGCCTTGGTGTTCCTGGTTTAGCCAGTTGAGGTGAAAGAGGGAGGAGAGAAGTCACACCCACTTCTTGACCACCTTGGCCCTGAAGTGACATATATCATGGCTCTCATATTCCATGAGTGAAAAGTAGTCACATGACCTCACCTAGATGCAGAGGGTTCTAGGAAATGTAGTCCCTGGCTGGGACACCATTTTCTAGTGAAACATGACTCCATATTTTGCAAAGGGAAGCATGATTTTGTTGGCTCATTGGCCAACTTGGCTCCACACCCATTCTGTACCCCACAGATATTGATGAATGCACTGAAATGTGCCCCATCAATTCAACATGCACCAACACTCCTGGGAGCTACTTTTGCACCTGCCACCCTGGCTTTGCACCAAGCAATGGACAGTTGAATTTCACAGACCAAGGAGTGGAATGTAGAGGTGAGCAGAGAGTTTGATGGACAATCCAGAAAAGACATTTCTCTTTGCTCTTCTGGGTTTCTTGATATTCTCCAGTTCTTTGCAGATATTGATGAGTGCCGCCAAGATCCATCAACCTGTGGTCCTAATTCTATCTGCACCAATGCCCTGGGCTCCTACAGCTGTGGCTGCATTGCAGGCTTTCATCCCAATCCAGAAGGCTCCCAGAAAGATGGCAACTTCAGCTGCCAAAGTAATAATCTCTTTGTATGTCTTGGCAATGGAATCTGTTTCTGGCTTTGGTTGGAAAATTCTCATTCTACCCAACCTCGGGATCTTCCTCTTAGTGTTGCCTCATCCACATATTCTGTTTCTTTTTCTTCTTCATCCATTTACTCTTTCAACAAATGATTTTTGGAGTACCTATTAATTAATTAGTTAAACAGGACCCTGCAGTAGGCACTGAAGATTTGGTCCTGAATATCATAGGCATGCTTCTTGTCCTCTTGTAGCTTATAGTCTAGGGAAGGAGCCAGAACACACACACACCCAATTATTTAATTATAACTATGAATGAAACAACAACAAAAAAGTGTGCTTTTTTTTTTTTTTTTCACCCAGGCTGGAGTACAGTGGCAGGATCTTGGCTCACTGCAAGCTCCACCTCCCGGGTTCACGCCATTCTTCTGCCTCAGCCTCCTGAGTAGCTGGGACTACAGGCGCCCGCCACCACGCCTGGCTAATATTTTTGTATTTTTAGTAGAGACGGTGTTTCACCATGTTAGCCAGGATGGTCTCGATCTACTGACCTCGTGATCAGCCCGCCTCGGCCTCCCAAAGTGCTGGGATTACAGGCATGAGCCACTGCGCCTGGCCAAAACATAGTGTGCTTTGAAGTGGCTAATAGGATATTGATTATGCTCCAAGCAAACAACATTTAAGCAGAAACCTGAAGGAGGAGAAGGACTTCTCTAGAGGAAGAATGGAGATCATGCTGTTCTGGGTTATAGCAGATGCAAAGGTCCTGAGGCTCACACCAAATGAGGACAAGGGGAAGTGGCAGTAGACATATCTGATGAAGTGGACAGAGGTCAGATTCTGCAGGGTCTTGGTGGCTTGTGAAGAATTTTGAAAGGGCTGGATGCAGTGACATACCTATAAACAGCACTTTGGGAGGCCAAGGTGAGAGGATCACCTGAGGCCAGGAATTCAAGACCAGCCTGGGCAACATTGCAAGACTCCGTCTCCACAAAAAATAATGATAAAAAATTAGCCAGGTGTAGTAGCATGGGCTTGTAGTCCTAGCTACTCAGGAGGCTGAGGTGGGAGGATCGCTTGAGCCTGGGAGGTTGAGGCTGCAGTGAGCTGTGCTCATGCCACTGCACTCAAGCCTGGGTGACAGAGTGAGACCCTGTCTTTTGTTTTTTTTTCTTTTTTTTTTTTTATGGAGTCTCACTCTGTCGCCCAGACTGGAGTGCAGGGGCGCGATCTCAGCTCACTGCAACCTCCACCTCCCAGGTTCAAATGATTCTTCTGCCTCAGCCTGCCGAGTAGCTAGGATTACAGGTGCCCATCACCACACCCAGCTAATTTTTGTATTTTTAGTAGAGATGGGGTTTCACCATGTTGGCCAAGCTGTTCTTGAACTCGTGATCTTGTGATCCTCCCACCTCAGCCTCTCAAAGTGCTGGGATTACAGGTGTGAGCCACCGTGCCCGGCCAACCTTTCTTTTAAAAAAGAATTTCAGAGTCCTTTCCCCTCCCCCCAAGAATAATGGGGAACCATGAAAGGTTTAAAACTGTTAAATTATGTATTATTTATTACATTAAAAATATGTGTAACTTATTGGAGGCAATGAAGTATAACAAGCAAATGAATATATCTGATGTATTTCCAAATATAATAAAGATAATATCATCAATGTCGCTGGTTCTCCTATATGTTTCTTCTCCATTCTATCTCCTTGTATCCTCCTTAGACAGCCACTTGGAATTTTGTGTTTATTATTTCCCTACTTAAAAAAATATTTTCCCATGGTATGTACCCCTAAACAATATCTGCCTAGTATTGCTTGTGTTTGGAGCTTTGTAAAAATGATATCATACTACATATGACTATAGATGTATGTCTTTTATATGTATGACTTCTCTAATTTGCTCTGTTTCACTCAATATCATGCCTCTTAGAGTGTAAGCTGTGCAGGGACATAATATTGAGTGAGAAGTCACACATATAAAAGACATACATCCACAATCATATGCATGATTGCCTCTAAGAGGCATGATATTGAGTGAAACCGAGCAAATTAGAAAATTGTGTGTTGTAGTAAACACGTCCTTCATGTTGTAGTGTGTAGTTGTGGTTTGTTCATTTTCCCCCTTGTGTATTAGGGTAATAGATGGATTTTAAGTCGGGCACGGGAGGACATGAAATCAGACTTGAATTTTCATCTTATTTTGCTGAGGTTGAAGTTTGGTTTGGTTGCTGTTGTTTTCTTCCTAGGGGTTCTCTTCAAATGTAAGGAAGATGTGATACCCGATAATAAGCAGATCCAGCAATGCCAAGAGGGAACCGCAGTGAAACCTGCATATGCAAGTATTTTTTAAGGTTCCTAGTTTTTGAGGTTTTCTTAGAAGCCATTTAGGTAGAATGTTGTTTTTGCAGTTCTAACAAAGGCAAAAGTAATAGTGGCCAAAACCAGACAGCAGTTTATTTTTCTCCTCTGTAACCTGCTGAGTGTAAGCTGTGCAGAGCTCATACCATGGCTCCATTATGCTCTGCCAGCATCAACACAAGACTCCCACTTTGTGGCCCAAGGTGGCAGCTCCAGCTCCTGCCCTCACATCTGCATTCCAGCTTGTGGGAAGGGGAGAAGAGGAAGTGAAAAGTACGGTCCTTCTCTTTAAGCGTATGACCCAGCACCACTTCTGCTTGCACCTGATTGGGTAGAAATTAGTCACATGGTCCCACCTAGCTGCAAGGGAAGCTGGGAAGAGAGAATGTTTGCCTATCTAAAACTTGAGGATTCTCTTAATAAAAGAACGGGAGAATATATTGGAGTCTTCCTGCCAGTGAAGGTGTTGATGCTGCAACTGAGTAATGTTGGTGTGGGGGTGTTACACAGCCAGCCAGGCCAAAAGGAATTTGGACATCCTGACTGTCTAATGAAGTCATTACAATGAGTAAAGACTCCATGACCTCTTTAGAAATCAATGTCACTATTCTAAATATGAGCTTGTAAATTGGCTATGGGCTTCCCACATGCCTTGGACCACTGTTTTTCTTTTTTAATTGTGGTGAGGTACACATAACATAAAATTCACCACTTTAACTATTTTAAAGTGTGCAATTCAGTGGCACTTAGACCATTCACAATGTTATGCAATCATCACCTCAATCTAGTTCTAGAAATTTTTTTTTTTTTTTGAGATGGAGTCTTGCTCTGTTGCCCAGGCTGGAGTGCAGTGGGGTGATCTTGGCTCACTGCAACCTCCGCCTCCTGGGTTCAAGCAATTCTTCCTGCCTCAGCCTCCCAAATAGCTGGGACTACAGGCACCCACCACCATGCCTGGCTAATTTTTGTGTTTTTAGTAGAGACGGGGTTTTGCCATGTTGGCCAGACTGGTCTCAAACTCCTGACCTTGAGTGATCCACCTGCCTCAGCCTCCCAATGTTCTGGGATTACAGGTGTGAGCACCGTGCTCAGCCAAGTTCTGGAATATTTTTATCACTAAGCAGTCACTCCCCATTCTCCCCTCCCACTAGCCCATGGCAAACACTAATCAGCTTTCTGTCTCTGTGGATTTGTCTATTCTTGACATTTCACAGAAATGGAATCATGCAATGTTTGCTCCTTTGTGTCTGGCTTCTTTCACTTAGCATGATATTTTCAAGGTTCTTTCATGCTGTAGTACATATCAGAGAACTCCATTCCTTTTTATGGCTGAATAATATTCCACATGGACCACTGTTAGTTCATACATTTCCTCTTCTTTTAATATCACTGGTTGGGAACAGGCCCCCCAAAATCTGGCCATAAACTGGCCCCAAAACTGGCCATAAACAAAATCTCTGCAGCACTGTGACATGTTCATGATGGCCATAATGCCCACACTGGAAGGTTGTGGGTTTACCGGAATGAGGGCAAGGAACACCTGCCCAGCCCAGGGCGGAAAAATCGCTTAAAGGCGTTCTTAAACCACAAACAATAGCATGAGCCATCTGTGCCTTAAGGACATGCTCCTGCTGCAGATAACTAGCCAGACCCATCCCTTTATTTCGGCCCATCCCTTCGTTTCCCATAAGGGATACTTTTAGTTAATCTAATATCTATAGAAACAATGCTTATCACTGGCTTGCTGTTAATAAATACGTGGGTAAACCTCGTTCAAGGCTCTCAGCTCTGAAGGCTGTGAGACCCCTGATTTCCCACTTCACACCTCTATATTCCTGTGTGTGTGTCTATAATTTCTCTAGTGCCGCTGGCTTAGGGTGTCCCCGATTGAGCTGGTTTCAGCAATCACTAAGTAGTTTTGCTATTTGTTTATGTTTGCTTTTTTTATTCATGGAAGGAAAAGGTGATGTGATTCTAATTCTGATCAAGTAATGAGTTTTAGTTTCCCTGAGAATTCTAGAGACTCAGGAATTCAGAGCCACCTCATATGATGGGCTTTATGGGCTAATTTGTAGATTACATGCTTGGGGGAATACATCGATTCATGCTCACAAATGCTCTTTTTTTTTTTTTCTGGGACGCAGGTCTCCTTTTGTGCACAAATAAATAACATCTTCAGCGTTCTGGACAAAGTGTGTGAAAATAAAACGACCGTAGTTTCTCTGAAGGTAACGATTGGGTCTTTTAAATTGTGTTTTGAGTTTCAAACATCTTGGGCACACTTTGGGTGCAGAAAGATGTCTTTATGGCTGGGCGTGGTGGCTCACACCCATAATCCCAGCACTTTGGGAGATTGAGTCAGATGAATCACTTGAGGTCAGGAGTTCAAGACCAGCCTAGCCAACATGATGAAACCCTGTCTCTACTACAAATACAGAACTTAGCCGGGCATGGTGGCAGGTGCCCATAGTACCAGCTACTCAGGAGGCTGAAGCAGGACGATTGCTTGAACCCGGGAGGTGGAGGTTGTGGTGAGCCAAGATAGCACCACTGCACTTCAGCCTTGGCAACAGACTGAGACTCCATCTCAAAAAAAAAAAAAAGAAAGAAAGAAATATCTCTTTATAATGAATGGATTGTGAATTAATATTTAATTTTTTATAGCTGTAAGATTTGAAAAATTAGCATACAGTAAAATTACCTTTTTACTTGTATAGTTTGATGAGTTTTCTCACCTGAATAGACTTGTTGAACTACCACTATAATTAGGATGCAGAACAGTTTAATTATCTCCAAACATTCCCTTGGGCTTCTCCTTTATAGTCAGATACTCCCTCCACCACTAAACTCTATAAATCCCTGATCTGGTCTCTGTCACCAGAGTTTTGTCTTTGGAAGAGTGTTATATAAATGAAACCACATAGTATGTGGTCTTTTGAGACTGGCTTCTTTGACTCAGCATAGTGCATTTGAGATGCCTGGATAGTGTGTATATAAACAATGCCATTTCCTCCTCCTCCTCCTTCTTCCTTCTTTCTTTTCCTTCCTTTTTACTGTTAATGAGATTCAGCACATTCTCATTGCTGTATATAACCATCACCATTATCCATCTCAAGAACTTTCTCATCTTTCTCATCTTTTCAGGGGGACAGAATTGGTTGGTGGTTTTTTTTGTTTGTTTGTTTTGTTTTGTTTGTTTGTTTGTTTTGAGATGAAGTCTTGCTCTGTTGCCCAGGCTAGAGTGCAATGGTGCGATCTTGGCTCACCGCAACCTCCACCTCCCAGGTTCAAGCGATTCTCCTGCCTCAGCCTCCCGAGTAGTTGGGATTACAGGCATGCGCCACCATGCCCGGCTAATTTTGTATTTTTAGTAGAGACGAGGTTTCTCCATGTTGATCAGGCTGGTCTCAAACTCCCGACCTCAGGCGATCCACCTGCCTCGGCCTCCCAAAGTGCTGGGATTAGAGGTGTGAGCCACCAAGTCTAGCCAAAAGCTAGTTTTTCTTAAGCTTTAAGTTGAACTCATTGATATTGTCATTTTCTTTATAAATCTGGTTATTTTTGTATGAAAATAAGAATAACACTTTTACTTATAATTGTATTAATTTTAAATTAATACATTTATTTTTATTCATAAAGTATACATTCATCCCTAGGGTTTTCAGATTAAATTTTGATAAATGATTAATCCTATTTACAAACTTAGTTCAATTTCCTCGAATGTTTTATACTATGTTTATAAATATTCCAATTCCCCCCTCCCGCTCCACCCAAATTTCAAGTACCTGGTGAAGAGGATTTACAAATCTAATAGGCAAAGTCACTTGGGTCCTGAGCGACTCATAAATCCAATCGATCGAATCTATAAATATAATAATTCAGATTCTTTTAGACATTCAATATGGTTTATAAATAGCCACGTTCTCTTAAATTGTTCATATTAAAATAACAAGTCTAATTGCTTTTTGCAATAAAATTATGTGGTTTATTGGTTAGCTTCTCTAATGTGTCAAACTGTTCCAACTCTTTTTTTTTTTTTTTTTTTGAGATGGAGTCTTGCTCTGTTGCCCAGGCTGCAGTGCAATGGCGCAATATTGACTCACTGCAAGCTCCGCCTCCCGGGTTCATGCCATTCTCCTGCCTCAGCCTCCCAAGTAGCTGGGACTACAGGCGCCCACCACCAAGCGTGGGTAATATTTTGTATTTTTAATAGAGACGGGGTTTCACCATGTTGGCCAGGCTGGTCTCGAACTCCTGACCTCAGGTGATCCACCCACCTCAGCCTCCCAAAGTGCTGGGATTACAGGCATAAGCCACCACACCCAGCCCCAACTCTTTAAATAGGAGATGTTTCTAGATTATGCTAAAGATGTCAAAAACTTCTAAATTTAACACAAATCCTACTAAGGATGTTTAGTTTGCCTAAAATTTTCTAACTTTCCTGAGGATATAAAATAACTTCCCTAGCTAAGAATAAATTTAACATATCAGAGGGGCGGGATTTGAAGAGATTTTGCCAGTTGTCGAACTGAGTACTATGTTTCCTGGAGATGGTCCTAGTTGAGATGTTTCTGCTATGTCAGTGGGGAGGGGAGTCCCACACCCATGCCTTTTGGGGATTACAGAGCTCAGGGCTTCCTGTTTCTCTTGGACAAATATCTCTCAAATGTCCCGCTTACCCCGTGTTTATTGAAATCCTTTTTTTCCTTTTATCATCTAATTTGGATAGATAGAAACTTGTATTGCTGCTCAAATTTCAGTTTAATTTCCTCTACCATCTGACTGGATTTAATTCATTTAATGCATTTTCCTGCATTTATTAGGTTCTGGATTCCTTTTAGTTTTTTTTTTTTTTTTTTTTGCTTGGGTCAGAGTCACATGTGATAGTCAATTTATTGATAATAATCAATAATAAGGGGAATCATATGAATATTACTATTACTATTGTTGTTATTGTTTTTCTTACCTTAATCCTATTCCTCAAACACATCCAGTGTTAAGAGGTAGATAAGTATCTTCCCCTATCTTTTTACCTTGTAAGCATGTACACACATACACACATATACATACATACACATACAAATAAACACACACACATATACACACATGCGCACACACATACACATACATACAAATACATACACGTATACACACGTGTACACACACATATACACCTCCCCCACATGCACACACATGCACACACAGTATGTACACACATACACACATATACATATGCATATACACATATAACATACATACACATGCACACATACACATACAAATGCATACACACACACCCCACACACATTTACACACATACACACACCCCACACACATTTACACACATACACCCCACACACATTTACACACATACACACATGTATACACACATCTATGCATGTACCCATACACACATACAGACATACACAGACATCTACACACAGATACACACATACACATCCACACACATATACACACTCCTGACACACATACACACATATATACATACAGGCATATACAAATGTACACACATACACAAACACACATATATACACACACGTATACATACATATACACAAACACACATACATACATAGGCATACATAGACATACACAGAGATATACACACATGCACACGCATGTACACAACCCAACACATACACACATATACACACACCCACATATATAAGCACACACACACACATGCACACACAGTGCAGTCATTTTATTGAGCACTTACTATGAGAGGTTTAGGACAGTGATTAATGATTCAGCCTCTGCTGCCAGACTGCCAAGGTTCAAATCGTGGTTCTTCCACCTGCTAGATATGAGTCCTTGTTTCTCCTTTCAAAAATCAAAATAATCATAAATAGCCTCTACTTCATAGATATCTTCTACAAATTAAACAAGTTAATATATAAAAGACATTTAGAGCAATACCTGGCTCGTAATAAGTGTGTGCTATTTTTATTTCTATATGCCAGAACATAAATACCATAATATAAAATTTTAAATTAAACCAATTGTTTCTAAACCAAATGCAATACTATATACATGATACTCTGTAATTTGCTTTAGTGAACAGTGGCTCAGAGACCCTTTTGCTTGTTAATGCCTATAGGTATACTGCAATATTCATTTTAACAGCTGTATGGCTGTTATTTGATTTCATCTTCATTTATTGACCCAGTCTGTAGGGCATTTAGGCTTTCCACAAACTATCCTGAGATGAACATCACTGGACAAGATCCTTGCACAACTTTTAAGTATTTCTGAAAAGATTAATTCCAGGAAGGGGAATTGCTGTGTCAAAGGGTATATGCAATTTACATGGCTATGGGTACAAACTTACTGCATTGCATAAAGGTTACATCAATTTGTCTTTCTTGCTTGCTTTCTTGCTTTCTTTTGACAAGATCTCACTCTGTCACCCAAGCTGGAGTGCAGTGGAGTGATCATAGCTCACTGCAGCCTTGAACTCCAGGGCTCAAGAGATCCTCCCACTTCAGCCTCCTGAGTCGCTGGGACTAGCGTCATGCACCACCGTGCCTGCTCTTTTTTAATTTGTTTGTACAGATGGGGTCTTGTTATGTTGTCCAGGCTGGTCTTGAATTCCTGAACTTCAATTTGTATTTCTTTTTTTTTCTTTTTTCAGACAGCCTCTCTCACTGTCGCCCAGGCTGGAGTGCAGTGGTGCGATCTCAGCTCACTGCAAGCTCTGCCTCCTGGGTTCAAGTGATTCTCCTGCCTCAGCCTCCCAAGTAGCTAGGATTACTGGCACGTGCCACCATGCCCGGCTAAATTTTTTTGTATTTTTAGTAGAGACAGGGTTTCACTATGTTTGCCAGGCTGGTCTCAAACTGCTGACCTCATGATCCACCCACCTCAGCCTCCCAAAGTGCTGGGCTTACAAGTGTGAGCCACTGCACCCGGCCTGAATTTGTATTTCTGATGGGGCTTCTTGAATCAGAAAAAGGAGCCCGAGTGGATGCCCCTTTTAATTCTCCTTTGGATGGACTCCCAGCCTATTCTTAATCAGAAAAGGGACAGCTGTTATTTCATTAATGAGAGAGAGAGAGAGAATGAACAAACACATCTTTCCTTGCAGAATACAACTGAGAGCTTTGTCCCTGTGCTTAAACAAATATCCACGTGGACTAAATTCACCAAGGAAGAGACGTCCTCCCTGGCCACAGTCTTCCTGGAGAGTGTGGAAAGCATGACACTGGCATCTTTTTGGAAACCCTCAGCAAATATCACTCCGGCTGTTCGGACGGAATACTTAGGTAGGAGACACCCTTTGTGGCAAGGTTACACCTAGGGGATGATTTTGAAAGTTGACTTTGGCAATGGGATATTCCCTGGGTTTCCCACCCATTCTTTCCCCAACTGTTTAAAAACTTTGAATTCACAGCAAAGCAAGTCTAATCATATTAACAACATTTTCCATTCACTGAGTGCTTGGCAAAGGCCAGGCACTGTGCTAAGACCATATCATTAATTTATTCTACAAATATTTGCTGATTAGCTGCTATGTGCTGGGCTAAGGTATGACAGTCATAGGCTGTGCTCAAGTACTTCCTGTTTGCCCTGCTGGGCCCATGGTAGAATTGTACTTCCTGGCTACTGTGTGGTTAGGTGGGATTTGGGGAGTAGCTCAGGCCAATAAATATGGGAATAGAGTAGTTGCAGGTATGAGACTTTCCAGAACTTTCCCTCTGCCCATATGAATAACAGTGCTTCAGATCACAGCTGCTCCTTCTGCCTGGGTCCCAGAATAAAGACAATATAGAACATGGCCTCAAGTCAATTTACAATAGACCCAAAGCATTAATGAGATGTAAACACTTGTTATTTTTTAATCCACTAAGACTTAGGGTTGTTTGTTACTGCTGCAAGACTGATCCTTTCCTGACTGATACATACTTGATAGATAACTACTTGGGAATAGTGGTTGCTGTAGATCTTTTACATTAGCACCCCACTCCTGGTAGTAGTTCCAGTATCATTCACATAAACCTACGAAGTTCCTACCTAATGGATGCCCAGACGGCCAAGAGGTGGAAATAAAGTATTTGGTGGACTCCAACCAGTAGTGAACAAAATTAGCCTCATGAATCTCATATTTTAGTGAGTTGAGTCAGATAATAAACAAACAGACATCTGGTATACCAAATAGAGGTAGCACTATTGAGAAAAAGTACAGCAGGCTAGGGAGGTTAGAGAGGGTTGGGATTACAGGGAGAGTTGCTATTTTATATAGCAAGATCAGAGTAAGTCTCATTGGGGCAGGGATGTCAGGGAAGAGAGCCACGTAAATATCTGCAGAAAGAGCAAGTGCAGGAATACCTGGAGAATTCAAGGAACAATGAGGTGCACAGTGTGGCTGAAGTGGCATTGAAGATGGTGAGAGCAGTAGGAGAAAGGAAGGGAGATGGAAATGTAGATAAATGTAGGGAGTTAAGGTTTTTTTTTTCTTGAGACAGGTTCTCACTCTGTCACCTAGGCTGGAGTGCAGTGGTGTGATCATAGCTCACTACAGCTTTGCACTCCCAGGCTCAAGTGATCCTCCTGCCTCAGCCTCCTGAGTAGCTGGGAACTATAGGTGTGCACCACCATGCTTGTCTAGTTTTTAAAATTTTTGGTAGAAATGAGGTCTTGCTATGTTGCCCACGCTGGTCTTGAACTTCTGAGCTCAAGTGATCCTCCTGCTCGGCCTCCCAAAGTACTAGGATTACAGGCCTGAACCACTGTACTCAGCCAAGATTTTATTTGAAGATGAAAGGACATTGGAAAATTTGGGAACAGGTATGGTATTATCTGGCTTATATTTTACAAGGATACTTCTTGTTCCATTATCTAGTTTATTTTCATGAAGGGCCAGTGGGTTAGGTCCTGCAATGCTTGTCATGATAGAGATGAGAAATTGGAGGCACAGAGAGGTTAAGTCAATGCGCAAATTTAGGCAGCTAGTGCGTGGCAGAGCTGGACCTCCCAGTTACCACCATCTGACTACAGAACCTGAGCTCTTGTGTACCATGCTAGGCTTGCCCCAATCCCTTACTATTTCTTTTGGTTTTAGAAAACTTATATAAGGCCGGGGGCAGTGGCTCACACCTGTAATCCTAGCACTTTGGGAGGCCGAGGCAGGTGGATCACAAGGTCAGGAGATCGAGACCATCCTGGCTAACACAGTGAAACCCCATCTCTACTAAAAATACAAAAAATTAGCTGGGTGTGGTGGTAGGCACCTGCAATCCCAGCTACTTGGAAGGCTGAGGCAGGAGAATGGCGTGAACCCGGGAGGCAGAGCTTGCAGTGAGCCGAGATCGTGCCACTGCACACCAGCCTAAGTGACAGAGTGAGACTCCGTCTCAAAAAAAAAAAAAAAAAAAAAAAAAACTTAGAGAGAAAATCATGACTGTTGCCTTCCATCACTGTTGACTTTGACCCCATCTTTCCCTGATGCACCCCCTAGGAGATGAGAGTTCACTTCTAAGGCTCCAGCTGGGTTACTCATTTATTTGGTGCTATGGTCCCCCTATCATTCATCATGGGCCTCAAGATCTTTCCTATGATGAATTGAACTTTCTATTCTTTTCCTTTGCTCGCCATGATGGAGGTGTACCTTTTTTTGGACAGAAACCAAATTCAGGACTGACTTTCTGGGTGACCTCATACGAACTCTCCCTTTCTCTTTTTAGACATTGAGAGCAAAGTTATCAACAAAGAATGCAGTGAAGAGAATGTGACGTTGGACTTGGTAGCCAAGGGGGATAAGATGAAGATCGGGTGTTCCACAATTGAGGAATCTGAATCCACAGGTACAGGTCCTCTCCTGAGAATGCAGGTTATGGTGTATTCCATCAATAAGTATTTATCGATCCCTTTCTAGGTGCCAAGACCAGTGCCAGATAGTTGAGAACCAATGAGGGTAGAAATGGTCCATGCTCTCAGAGAGTTTTCCATGTGCTAGGGAAGTCAAACATTAAATAACCTTATAATACTGGAGTACTGAGACCTTCACTGGCCTATATGATATGTGCTGGTCACATTCTGCTGTTGAGCAGTTGAAATTTGTATAAGCCAGGTTGAGAGGTACTGTAAACCTAAAATAAACACTGTATTTCGAAGCTTTGTTGCACAAAAAGAAGGATTAAAACGTCTCACTCATCTTTTTTATATTTAAAATAATTTAAAAATAAAAAATATTTAAATTTTTAAAATATGTAATATTTAAATTTTTAAAATATGCAATATTTAAAATATATCTTTAAATTTTAAAATATCACATTTATATGTTGAAATGATAATATTTGGCTTATACTGAGTTAATATATTATTAAAATTAATTTTATCTTTTTTTACTTTTAAAAAATGTGTACTAGAAAATTTAAAATTACATATGTGGTTCATACTGTATTTCTGTTGGACAGTGCTAATCTGTGTCAGGGATGGCAAACTTTTTCTGTAGAGGGCTCGTTAGTAACTATTTTAAGCATTGCAATTAATACAGCCTCTATCACAATGATTTAACTACCATTCTAGTGCAAAAGCATCCATAGACAATATGAATATGAATGTGCCTGGGCATGTTTCAATAAAACTTTATTTAAAAAAGTAGGTGACAACCAGATTGGCCCATAGGCCACAGTTTTCCAGCCCCTGATCTGATCTATGCATACGATTAATGCTATGATTAATACTTTAATGTAAAAGCACAGTGTGCAATATGGAAGAGCTATTTAAGCGAAGTCCTGAGGAATAGGTAGAGAAAGCAGGAGAGAGTGTGTTACAGGAAGTATAAGCTATGGCTCTGTGTTGAAAAAAAGCTTGGTATGGTCATGGAACTAAAAGTAGAGTGGGCTGGAGCATCAGGAATGTGGGGGAGAGAGGGAAAAGAATTGAGGGTCGCTGGGCGTGGTGGCTCACACCTGTAATCCCAACACTTTGGGAGGTGGAGGTGGGTGGATCACCTGAGGTTGGGAGTTCGAGACCAGCCTGACCAATATGGTGAAATCTCATCTCTACTAAAAATATAAAGAATGAGCCTGGTGTGGTGGCGGGTGCCTGTAATCCCAGCTACTCAGGAGGCTGAGGTAGGAGAATTGCTTGAACCTGGGAGGTGGAGGCTGCAGTGAGCTGAGATCGCGCCACTGCACTCCAGCCTGGGTGACAGAATGAGACTCCATCTCAAAAAAAAAAAAAAAAAGAATTGAGGGTGTTGCATCCCAGTTTATTACATTTGGACTTTCTCTGTTGGGCACAGAAAGCCTTGGAAAGTTCTGTATACAGCAGGATGATCTGATTATGTCTTCCAGATAGATGTCTTTTTAGAAATAAATCCTCTGGCTGTGATATGGGCAATCCATTGGAGAGGTGAGGCTAGGGGAAGGCAAGGACATTTGTGAGGAAGCCAGTGGTCTGGGAGAGAGATGTGAGGCTTGGTCTAAGGCTAATTAGAAGGGAGAAGTGGGGAGAAGACAGGTTCAAGGCACATTAAGGAGGAGGAATCTGTTTTGCGGGGAGAAGAATTCAAGGATGACTCTCCAGGTTCCAGATCAGGTAATATCAGTTATTGAAGTAGGAGATGCAGATAAAAGAAGATGAGAGAGCCAGGCATGGTGGCTCACGCCTGTAATCCCAGCACTTTGGGAGGCCAAGGCGGGCAGATCACCTGAGGTCCAGAGTTCAAGACCAGCCTGGCCAACATGGTGAAACCCCGTCTCCACTAAAAATACAAAAAATTAGCTGGGTGTGGTCTCGGGTGCCTGTAATCCCAGCTACTCGGGAGGCTGAGGCAGGAGAATCGCTTGAACCCGGAAGGCAGACGTTGCAGTGAGCCGAGAACCTGCCATTGCACTCCAGCATGGGCAACAGAGCAAGACTCTGTCTCAAAAAAAAAAGAAGATGGGAGAGGAATTGCTCAATTTATGATGTCTGGGGGGACATCCAAGGGGCAGATGAAGCCTGGGGGTTGGTACTGTCTGGTTGGGACAGGAAGCGGCATAGGACGTATCCCTGGAGACCGTCCATATTTAAAGGGGACACTCCCCAAAGAGACTGAAACAGAATAACCATAGATGTGGGAGAACTTATTTCCCACTGAGTTGCATTGTCCCTTAAAAACACAAGTTCAAATTTATTTTTAAATGTAGCCAAGACTTCTCCAGGTAAGAGCACTGGGAGGTCTGTTTTGTTTTGTTTTCTTTTTTTGTCACCCAGGCTGGAGTGCAGTGGCGGGATCTTGGCTCATTGCAACCTCCGCCTCCCAGGTTCAAGCGATTGTCGTACCTCGGCCTCCCGAGTAGCTGGGACTACAGGCACCTGCCACCACGCCTGGCTAGTTTTTTTATTGTTAGTATAGACAGGATTTCACCATATTGGCCAGGTTGGCCTGGAACTCCTGACCTCAAGTGATCCACTTGCCTTGGCCTCCCAAAGTGCTGGGATTACAGGCGTGAGCCACTCTGCCCAGCTGTGGAAGTTTTTATTTTGTTTTGTTTTGAAATGGAGTCTTGCTCTGTCACTAGGCTGGAGTGCAGTGGTGCGATCTCGGCTCACTGCAATCTCCGCCTCCCGGGTTCAAGCGATTCCCCTGCCTCAGACTCCCAAGTAGCTGGAGCTACAGGTGCGCATCACCACGCCCGGCTAATTTTTTGTATTTTAGTAGAAACGGGGTTTCACCATGTTGGTCAGGATGGTCTCGATCTCCTGACCTCGTGATCCACCCGCCTTGGTCTCCCAAAGTGCTGGATTATAGGCGTGAGCCACCATGCCCGGCCAGAGGTTTTTTTTTTTTAATGGTTCTAGAAGCCCGCTGGTTATTTTAATCTCAGAGCAGCACGGTGAGGTGCATGACTCTCTCTCTCTCTCTCTCTCTCCCCCTCCCTCCCTCTGTGTGTGTGTGTGTGTGTGTGTGTGTGTGTGTGTGTGTTGGGTCTTCTATAATAACAATTGAGCAAACGATTCCTTCCTTTTTTTCATTTGGGGAAACCTGCAGAGACCACTGGTGTGGCTTTTGTCTCCTTTGTGGGCATGGAATCGGTTTTAAATGAGCGCTTCTTCAAAGACCACCAGGCTCCCTTGACCACCTCTGAGATCAAGCTGAAGATGAATTCTCGAGTCGTTGGGGGCATAATGACTGGAGAGAAGAAAGACGGCTTCTCAGATCCAATCATCTACACTCTGGAGAACATTCAGGTTTGTGAAGAGGTCTCTACTGAGATTCTTGTCTACCTGTTGGGAACTCCTCGTCTCTCGATTGCCTTAACTCTCATTTTTTACGGGAAGCTATTGAGGCCGGTAAGCTTCCACAATTTCCAGCAATTCAAGCCAATTAACAGAAGCTACCGCTAGAGGAATGAGGTCTCCCACTGTCACCAAACAGAACTAGGTCCATTTGCCCATGTGCAACAGAAAGCCAAACACCGAAGCACCGGGTTTTTGTAGAGAGAGAAGTTTATTGCAAGGCTGCCAAGCAAGGAGACAAGAGTCTGGCTCAAATCTGTCTTCCCAAGCTGGGAGGCTGGGGCAGGTTTTATAGTCGGTGGGTAATGAACTGCAATCTGATTGCATCTTACAATGAAGTGATGCAGGGAGGTGTGATCTGATTGGATCCGGCCATGGGGTGTTGCCAGGTCTTGATCTGATTGGATCCTGGATCCTGCTATGTGGTGGTTGCTTCTTTTTTTTTTTTTAGTCTCACTCTGTCACCCAGGCTGGAGTGCAGTGGCACAATTTCAAGTCATTGCAAGCTCCACCTCCCAGGTTCACGCCAGTCTCCTGCCTCAGCCTCCCGAGTAGCTGGGATTACAGGCGCCCGCCACCATGACCGGCTAATTTTTTGTATTTTTAGTGCAGACGGGGTTTCACCATGTTAGCCAGGATGGTCTTGATCTCCTGACCTCGTGATCCGCCCGCTTTGGCCTCCCAAAGTGCTGGGATTACAGGCATGAACCACCATGCCCGCTTTTTTTTTTTTTTTTTTTTTTTTGAGATGGAGTTTCACTCTTGTTGCCCAGGCTGGAGTTCAATGGTGCAACCTTGGCTCACTGCAACCCTCACCTCCTCGGGTAAAGCCATTCTCCCGAGTAGCTGGGATTACGGGTGCCCACCACATGCCCAGCTAACTTTTTTGTATTTAGTAGAGACGGAGTTTCACCGTGTTGCTCAGGTTGGTCTGGAACTCCTGAGCTTAGGTGATCCACCCGCCTCAGCCTCCTGAAGTGCTGGGATTACAGGCATGAGCCACCGTGCCCACCCTTCTAGGATACATTCTTAAAGCATGTTGTTCTTAAACTGTTACTAAAAATATTTCTCTGCTTACTTGGTTTTTATGATTTTTTCTCCCACTGCACTATGATCTCTTTTTGGGGGAAGAACTGTTTTCTCATGTCTCCTGTAAACAGCACAGATCAAGGCATGTAATAGGTGTTCAATAAAAACACGTTGAATGAGGCTGGGTGTGGTGGCTCTTGCCTGTAATCCCAGCACTTTGGGAGGTCTATGCAGGAGGATCACTTGAGGTCAGGAGTTCGAGACCAGCCTGGCCAATATGGAGAAACCCCATCTTTACTAAAAATACAAAAATTAGCTGGATATGGTGACACACACCTGTAATCCCAGAACTTTGGGAGGCCCGAGGCAGGTGAATCACTTGACATCAGGAGTTCAATACTGGTCTGGCCAACATGGTAAAACCCCGTCTCTACTAAAAGTACAAAAATTAGCTAGGCATGGTGGCGGGCACCTGTAATCCCAGCTACTTGGGAGGCTGAGGCAGAAGAATCGCTTGAACCCCGGAGGCAGAGGTTGCAGCGAGCCGAGACTGCACCACTGCACTCCAGCCTGGGCAACAGAGTGAGACTCTGTCACACACACACACACAAACCACACATTCAATGAATAAGTGAATAATGAGTGACTATGCAGAAGGCTTTATTATGGATTTGATGAAAGGAGGAGTTTTCTTCTAGCAACAGCAATGTGAGCTGCCCTATCAGATTGGCCCTCACTGCATAATGAAATACCAGCATTTTTCCCCATTCCCTCAGAACATACCCTGTGTATTCTTGTTCCCAGTGACTCTTGAGGATGGTCACATTTAATCCATTTGATGGGGATTCCCAGAAGACCTTTGTTTTTTTGTTTTTTTGTTTTTTTTAGCCAAAGCAGAAGTTTGAGAGGCCCATCTGTGTTTCCTGGAGCACTGATGTGAAGGGTGGAAGATGGACATCCTTTGGCTGTGTGATCCTGGAAGCTTCTGAGACATATACCATCTGCAGCTGTAATCAGATGGCAAATCTTGCCGTTATCATGGCGTCTGGGGAGCTCACGGTCAGTACTGATGATTTGTTCCCTGAGGCAGAGTATCTGCCTCCAAATCCAATGGGAAAATATTGATTAAACATCTGTTGTGTGTCTCCCATGGGGTTGGGTGTTGTGGGATGGAGTCACGGGGACAGAAGGGGTAGGTGATATGCCTTTGCCCCTGCAGAATTTACAGTCTGGTTGGGAGGCCATGAAACTCAAATATACAATGAGAAATAATGACCCTAAGTAGGGCCAGGCACTGGAGCAATCACAGATCTTACTTAATGAGCACATACAGTGTGCTGGGCTCTTTAAGTTAAGTGGTTTTAGACCCATTTCACAGAATGGGTAAAGTGGCCCGTCTAGTCCTGAAGCTAGAAATTGGAGCAGGTGGAATTCAAATCTGGGGAAGTCTCTTTCCACTAACACATGCAAATGGGTCAAGAAGAAATGCTGTAAGAATTCAGAGGTGTTGGCCGGGTGTGGTGGCTCATGCCTGTCATCCGAGCACTTTGGGAGGCTGAGGCGGGCGGATCATGAGGTCAAGAGATCGAGACCATCCTGGCCAACATGGTGAAACCCCCGTCTCTACTAAGAATATAAAAATTAGCTGGGCATGGTGGTGCATGCCTGTTGTCCCAGCTACTTGGGAGGCTGAGGCAGGAGAATCGCTTGAACCTGGGAGGCAGAGGTTGCACTGAGCTGAGATGGCACCACTGCATTCCAGCCTGGCAACAGAGTGAGACTCTGTCTCACACACACACACACACACACACACACACACACACACACACACACAAACAAAAAGAATTCTGAGGTGTTTCCAAGAGAGCCGATGATAGATCATGAGGAAACAATATGAAATAAGCCTTGGTAAATGAGTAGATTTGGAAGAGAGGAAGGACATCCTCATTAGTGTTGTAGAAAGTATCCTTTCACCTGGCTCGGTGGCTCACGCCTGTAATGCCAGCACTTCGGGAGGCCGAGGTGGGCAGATCACAAGGTCAGGAGATCGAGACCATCCTGGCTAACACGGTGAAACCCCATCTCTACTAAAAATACAAAAAATTAGCCGGGCGTGGTGGCGGGCACCTGCAGTCCAAGCTACTCGGGAGGCTGAGGCGGGAGAATGGCGTGAACCCGGGAGGCAGGGCTTGCAGTGAGCTGAGATCATGCCACTGTACTCCAGCCTGGGTGACAGAACCAGACTCCGTCTCAAAAAGAAAGAAAGTATCCTTTCCTATCATGGTAGATCCAAGGTTTAATTCCCTACCAGAGAGGCCATAAGTAAGTGCCATTTCGAGGACCCTGTGGCTTAGGATTTAAGAGAACTGGATCCAGAACAAAACTGACTTAGTTTCAAGTCTTGTCTCTACCACTTTCTAGCTGTGTTTTCTTGGAAAAGTCACTTAACTTCTCTGCACTGAGCCCAGCTCTCTCATCTCAAAAATGAGAACAACAATAACAAAAAAATACTGATAACTAGTATTTATATAGTATGCTTCTGGCACAGTTGTACTTGAAATGTTTTCATTTAATCCTAAAACAACTCTATAAGGCAATTGCCATTAATATTCTCTTTTCAACAGATGAGGAAACTGAGGGCACAGAGCAGTTAAGTGTCTTGTCCAAAATCACACAACTAGAAATTGGCCAGTTTTTTTCTTTCTTTTTCTTTTTCTTTTTTCTAGACTGAGTTTCACTCTTGTTGCCCAGGCTGGAGTGCAGAGGTGTGATCTCAGCTCACTGCAACCTCTGCCTCCCAGGTTCAACCAATTCTCCTGCCTCAGCCTCCCATGTAGCTGGGATTACAGGTGCCCGCCACCATGCCTGGCTAATATTTTTTGTTTGTTTGTTTAGTAGAGATAGGATTTCGCCATGTTGGCCAGGCTGGTTTCAAGCTTCTGAGCTCAGGTGATCCACCCGCCCCAGCCTCCCATAAGTGCTGGGATTACAGGCATGAGCCACTGCGCCCAGCCAATGGTCAGTTTTCTTAACCACTTTGTGACAATATCATAGAGAGGTGCTCATAAGATGGTGCCTGGCTTATCTTTAACCCACAGAAACCACTCAGAGACATTTAAAATTAATTTTAAAATTAATTATGAATAAATGGCATAGAAGAAGGACTTAGCTTGTCACGTTCCACTCCTGAAGTTGAAGCATTCCTGAATGTCTGCATTATCAGTTGGGATTCAGTACAGGAAGCAAAAACCACCCCAGGTATTTCAAGCAGAAAGGCATTTAACACAGGGAATTGGGTGCTCACAAAAATCTCTGGGAGGGGATGGAGGAGTTGAAGTCAGGGGGCTGTCACTTCAATTTTGGCTTCAAGGTCATCCCCCAATGCAGCTGTAACTCAGAGGTCAGAAATTGCTGCTGTCATTTTGCCACCCCACTCCACCATGAAATTGGGGACTGGACAGTTGAAATGTGGAATTAGGCTCACTCCTGTCTGCCGAAAGCTGATATTTGCCTCCCTTCTGCATTCCAAAACCTTCACAGATGTATCTCACTGGAGAACTTAAATTACATCCAGGACCTTAGTTCCAAAGGATTCTGGGAGATGTAGTTTGTGGACATCAAGCCCCAGTAATACATGGAGTAACGCATAGGACAGGACTGGGAATAGGTGCTGGTGGATGCCAGTGGATTGCAAAGGATAATGAAGGACAGTATCTAGTTCACTCTGAGTGTTAGAGGGAGAAAATTCCCCCAAGCTAATTTTGCCCGAGCCAGGGTTTTAGATAACTCTTCTTCCCGCCTGGGGGGATTTTGATCCCATTCTCAGGCCAACTCTGAAATTCCTTCCTGACAGATGGACTTTTCCTTGTACATCATTAGCCATGTAGGCATTATCATCTCCTTGGTGTGCCTCGTCTTGGCCATCGCCACCTTTCTGCTGTGTCGCTCCATCCGAAATCACAACACCTACCTCCACCTGCACCTCTGCGTGTGTCTCCTCTTGGCGAAGACTCTCTTCCTCGCCGGTATACACAAGACTGACAACAAGGTCTACATCGCTCGGGCTGTGTCCCCACCAAGCCCCATCTTCTCCCCACCTGCCTCAGCTCATTCCTAGCCAACTCCCTCTATCCCTGTTCCTACCTCAGGGCCTTTGCATATGCTGTGCCCTCTGCCTGTAACACTCACTTCCCAGCTTCTTACCTGCTTGACTCCTTGTGACAGCTCTCAGTTTAAACTTATGTCCCTGATCGTGTTATGAATTATAGTGGTTCCTCCTATTACTTGTTTTTGTTTGTTTGTTTGTTTGTTTTTGATACTGAGTTTCGCTCTTGTTGCCCAGGCTGGAGTGCAATGGCACGATCTTGGCTCACTGCAACCCCTGCCTCTTGGTTCAAGCAATTCTCCTGCCTCAGCCTCCTGAGAAGCTGGGAATACAGGCATGAGACACTATGCCCGGCTAATTTTTTTGTATTTTTAGTAGAGACGGGGTTTCACCATTTTGGCCAGGCTAGTCCTGAACTCCTGACCTCAGGTGATCCACCCGCCTTGGTCTCCCAAAGTGCTGGGATTATAGGCTTCAGCCATCACGCACGGCCCCTCCTGTTACTTTCTAAACCAGAGGTTCTCTCCCTGGGTGCTTTTTGTCCCCAGGGGAGACTTGGCAATGTCTGGGGACATTTTTCCTTGTCACAACTGGAGCAGCGTGCTACTGCTCTCTGGTGGGTAAAGGTTAGGGATACTGCTAAGTATCTTGTCGTGCCCAAGGCAGCCCTCCACGGCAGAGAATGACTCTGCAATAATGTTACAGATGTCGATAATGCTACAGTTTAGAATCTCTACTTCCCTTTATTTTTCTTTTCTTTTTTTAAATTTTTAATTTTTTTAGTTTTTTTGAGACAGGGTCTTGCTATGTCACCCAGGCTAGAGTGCAGTGGCCGAATCACAGCTCCTTATAGCCTACCAGGCTCAAGCGATCCTCCCACGTTTGCCTCCCAAGTACCTGGGACCACAGGCCTGTGCCACCATGTCTGGCTAATTTTTGTATTTTTGTATAGAGAGGGGGGTTTCATCATGTTGCCCAGTCTGGTCTCAAACTCCTGGGCTTGAGCGATCTGCCTGCCTCAGCCTTCCAAAGTGCTGGGATTACAAGCATGAGCCACCACACCCAGCCAGTAAAACTTTATTTACAAGGCAGGCAGCCAGCCTATGGGGTCTAGTTTGCTGAACCCGCCTGTTTTCAACCATTCCCTAAAGTAGGGTGATCGACAATCAGTTTTCCTAAAACTCTTCCTGTTTTAGAACTGAAAGTCATGCGTCTTGGGAAATCTTAGGTCCAGACAAACCAGGACCATGGGTCTCCTTACCAAGAAGTGCTCCTCCCTGTGGTCAAGAACCACTGCACCTCTCTATAAATGTTTGTGAGATGAATGAGTGAGCTAGGTTTGGGGAATTTCCAGCCGAGGAGTCTCTCTCTTCCTTTCTTCCTTTCGATTTCTCTCTGGGGTGGAGGATTCTGATGCGCATGCTTCTCCCCTCCAGATGGGCTGCGCCATCATCGCGGGCTTCCTGCACTACCTTTTCCTTGCCTGCTTCTTCTGGATGCTGGTGGAGGCTGTGATACTGTTCTTGATGGTCAGAAACCTGAAGGTGGTGAATTACTTCAGCTCTCGCAACATCAAGATGCTGCACATCTGTGCCTTTGGTTATGGGCTGCCGATGCTGGTGGTGGTGATCTCTGCCAGTGTGCAGCCACAGGGCTATGGAATGCATAATCGGTGAGTGACATCCTCTCTCTTCCTGAAGACCCTGCTGCCAGGGCTTATGGTGATAATGACATGAGCAACAAGAAGAGTAACAACAGTAGCAGTAGTTGTGGCTACCATTTATCGAGCTCTTCTATTATGTACTATTGGTTTCAGGACCACCATGTACAGCAGCATGGGTTGTGCACTGCACAAATCCAGGATCACTACTATTTGAGGTTTATGTTCCAGGAAGAGAACATCTGGTTTACCTAACTTGATTATTTTCCTTTTCTTGCGTGTATGACATGGGGGGTGGTGGGGGTGAAAGTGGGAAAGGAATACTTCTGCATGGTGGTGTGCACCTGTAATCCCAGCTACTCGGGAGGCCGAAGCAGAAGAATCACCTGAACCCGGGAGGCGGAGGCTGCAGTGAGATGAGATGGCATCATTGCACTCCAGCCTGGGGGACAAGAGCGAGACTTCATCTCAGAAAAAAGTGGGGGGAATATTGGGGTGCTGTTATTGAACATGACGGAATGGTTGTTGTGTTGTAAAAGCAGCTAATGTACACTAGAGACATAATAAAAGGAGCCAATCCTTTCTTCCTCCCTCCCACTCTCCCTCCCTCCCTCCTCCCTTCTTCCTCCCTCCCCTCTTCCCTCCCTCCTTCCTTCCTCCCTCCCTCCCTCCCTTCCTTCCTTGCCTTCCTTCCCTTCCCTCCCTCCCTCTCTTCCTCCCTTCCTCCCTCCCTTCTTTCCTTCTTTCCTTCCTTTCTTCGAATAAACAATTTTATGAAATATCTTGTCTATGCTAGGCTGTGCTCTGAGTGCTGAGTATTCAGAGATGAACAAACACCTAAGGCCCAAATTCTCATGAAACTCATAGTCTAGTAGTGGAAGACAGTTTGCAGTTACACAAGCAATTAAACAAGGTAACTTACGATAGTGATAGCTGCTGTTTTAAAAATGCAGTGAGCTCTGCTAGATGGATACCAGGAGCAGAGACAGGTTGCCCTATCTAAGGATAGTCAGGAGTGGCTTCTCAGAGGAGGTGACATTTGAGCTGAGATTTATTTATTTATTTATTTATTTGTTATTTATTTATCTTGAGACAGAGTTTTGCTCTTGTCACCCAGGCTGGAGTGCGGTGGCGTGATCTCAGCTCACTGCAACCTCCACCTCCTGGGTTCAAGCGATTCTCCTATCTCAGCCTCCCAAGTAGCTGGGATTACAGGCGTGAGACCCCACGCCCGGCCTGAGCTGAGATTTGAATGATAAGGTGTACCAGTGGAGAGTTCTGCATAGAGGGAAACAGGATTACAAAGTTGTGAATTGGGAAATGAGCTCAACCTTGGGCACTAGGTAAACATTTCAGGTACATTTGCCCAGGAAGAAGGTCTAAAAGAGGAAGCGCAGTGATCTAAAGGAAACTGAACTGCAACCGGGACCATCCTGAGCATCATCTGAGTCTCACCTCCCAGTGTTCTCCTCCACTAGGGCATTTGTTGGGACAGGGTTAACTGTAAGGTCAGGACTCTGAGACAAGCGCTGACTCCTCCTATTTCTCTCCACAGCTGCTGGCTGAATACAGAGACAGGGTTCATCTGGAGTTTCTTGGGGCCAGTTTGCACAGTTATAGTGGTAAGCAAATACTACAACAGCCTGGCGAAGTGTGTTCTGAAGGAGGAGCAAGGAGACCTGCGAGATCTGGAATTTCCAGGGACGTGTGCAGCTGAGAGGGTCACTTATTCCCATCAAAAGTTCTCCTTTCCAGGCCGGGCGTGGTGGCTCACGCCTGTAATCCCAGCACTTTGGGAGGCTGAGGCGGGTGGATCACCTGAGGTCAGGAGTTCGAGAACAGTCTGGCCAACTTGGCGAAACCCCATCTCTGCTAAAAATACAAAAAATTAGCTGGGTGTGGTGGCGAGCACTTGTAATCCCAGCTACTTAGGAGGCTGAGGCAGGAGAATCGCTTGAATCCAGGAGACATGGAGGTTGCAGTGAGCCAAATTCATGCCACTGTACTCCAGCCTGGGCAACAGAGTGAAACTCCGTCTCAAAAAAAAAAAAATAAATAAATAAGTTATCGGCCAGGTTGCGGTGGCTCATGCCTGTTATCCCAGCACTTTGAGAGGCCCAGGATCACTTGAGGTCAGGAGTTCAAGACCAGCCTGACCAACATGGAGAAACCCCATCTCTACTAAAAATACAAAATTAGCTGGGTGTGTTGGCACATGCCTGTAATCCCAGCTACTCAGGAGGCTGAGGCAGGAGAGGAGAATTGCTTGAACCAGGGAGGCAGAGGTTGCGGTGAGCCGAGATTGCGCCATTGCACTCCAGCCTAGGCAACAAGAGCAAAACTCCATCTCAAAAAAAAAAAAAAAAAGTTCTCCCTTCCAATCCTTCATTCTTGAGATTTCGAAGTTACAGAGTAATTTCTTTGACTTGGGAATTTTGTTTTTCCTTCTGAAAGGCAAATACCCCTGGGAGGGACCATAATTGTATCCGTCTTGTGCACAGGTCCATGAGTCTCTCTGAAGCAGTGTCATTGTCTGGGGGTAATAATGCCTGAGGTTCGTTGCCTCATGCTAAGGAAATCAAGGACACAGACACACACAAGGAGTGAGTTTAAGAGCAGAGGTTTAATAGGCAAAAGAAAGAGAAAGGAGACTAGCTCTCTGTGTCTTGCAAGAGAGAGGGCCTCCTGAGTGGGACTTCTGGCCCGCAGCAAAGTGCAACAGATTTTAGACTGGCTTGAGGGGGCGGTGTCTGATTTACATAGGGCCCAAAGATTGGTTGGACCCAGTGTGACATTTACGTAGAGCGCGAGGAAGCTGGCCACCCACCCTGATCTTTTATTATGCAAATGGGGTCTTTACTTGGCTGGCACCATGTTGTCTTCTCCTTACTGTCTACATGGTTTACAAAGAAAAGGGAAGACGGAGCTGCCATTTTTTTTTTCTTTTTTTTTAGACGGAGTCTCACTCTGTCACCCACGCTGGAGTGCAGTGGTGCAATCTCGGCTCACTGCAACCTCTGCCTCCTGGGTTCAAGCAATTATTCTGCCTCAGCCTCCCGAATAGCTGGGATTACAGGCACGCACCACCACACCCGGCAATTTTGTATTTTTAATAGAGATGGGTTTTCACCACGTTGGCCAAGCTGGTCTCAAACTCCTGACCTCACGTAGTTTGCCTGCCTCGGCCTCCCCAAGTGCTGGGATTACAGGCATATGCCACTATGACCAGCTAATTTTTGTACTTTTAGTAGAGATGGGGTTTCACCACGTTGACCAGGCTCCTAACCTCAGTTAATCCACCTGCCTCAGCCTCCCAAAGTGCTGGGATTTCAAGCGTGAGTCTCTGCGCCCAGCCAGAGCTGCCATTTTGAACATGCCTATTCCCCAGGTAACCGCTTTCCTATTGGCACAACTGCCAGCATTCACCCATGCAAGCTTCTAGCTTGCCTTTCTATGTCTATAGCTCGATTCTACCGGCTGCTCTCCATTAGAAAAGAAAATGATTTGGGAGCTGCTTTTCATTAAAAGGAAAACCTTACCGAGGACTTCCTTACCCTCACTATCTGCCTAAATAAATCTTTTTTAAATCCTATGTCATCTCCTAGGCACAGATGTTGAATGAAAGAAAAAGTAAAAAGAAATTAGGAGGAATTGTGGGGGAAGGAGTGAGATGACAGAGGGAAATGGTGGATCGAGGCAAAGGGAGGCCAGGGAATGTTAAACACCCATCTCTTTGCCTCCCAACCTCCATCCAGACTTGACAGCCCTGCCAGATGATGATTCTTCTGACTCTCACTCATGGTGGCTCATTCCCTTATGTCTTTTGTCATATTTTTCGAGGATTAAATTTTTTTTTATTTTTAATTTTTGTGGGCACAAAGTAAGTGTATATATTTATGGGGTATATGAAATATTTTCATACAGGCACAGAATACATAATAATCACATCAGAGTCAACGAGGTATCTGTCCCCTCAAGCATTTGTCCTTTGTGTTACACACAATCCAATTATGTTCTTCTGGTTTTTGTTTTGTTTTATTGTTTGGTTTATTTTTATTTTTATTTTGAGACAGAGTCTTGCTCTGTCACCCAGGCTGCAGTGCAATGGCATGATCTCAGCTCATTGCAGTCTCTGCCTCCTGGGTTCAAGCGATTCTCCTGCCTCAGCCTCCCGAGTAGCTGGGATTACAGGTGTGCGCCACCACGCCCAGCTAATTTTTTGTATTTTTAGTAGAGACGGGATTTCGCCATGTTTTCCAGGCTGGTCTCGAATTCATGACCTCAGGTGACCCACCCGCCTCGACCTCCCAAAGTGCTGGGATTACAGGCATGAGCCACTGTGTCCAGCCTCTCCTGGTTATTTTTAAATCTACAATGCAATTATTATTAACTATAGTCACCCTGTTTTGCTAACAAATACTAGATCTTATTCATTCTTTCTATTTTTTTGTACCCATTAACCATCCCCTCTTCCCTGTTCCCCACCCACCCCTTCACTATCCTTCCCAGCTTCTGGTAACTGCTGTTCTACTCTCTAGCTCCATGAGTTCACCTGTTTTAAATGTTTAGCTCCCACAAAGAACTGAGAACATGTGAAATGTGTCTTTCTGTGCCTAGTTTCATTTGTAATGTTTACTTGACTGATCTAAGTCTTGGGAATGCTTGAAATTATATTCCTCCACAGAGGTTTTGTGCTGATGTCTATCAGATTTTTTTTAATGGGGGGCATGTATTAATTTTCAGGGGTCACCGTAATAAGCTACTGCATGCTGGGTGGCTTAGAACAACAGAGACTTGTTGTTTCACAGTTCTGGAGGCTTGAAGCCTGAAATCAAGGTATTGGCAGGGCCACGCTCCCCATGACAACACGAGGGAGGGTCTGTTCCAGACCCCTCTCCAACAAATTTTCCCATTTGTAAGATCACCGGCCAGGTGCAGTGGCTCATGCCTGTAATCCCAGCATTTTGGGAGGCCGAGGCGGGTGGATCACCTGAAGTCAGGAGTTCGAGACCAGCCTGGCCAACATGGCAAAACCCTGTCTCTACTGAAAAATACAAAAAATGAGCCAGGCGTGGTGGCAGGCACCAATAGTCCCAGCCTCGGGAGGCTGAGGCACAAGAATAACTTGACCCCTGGAGGGAGAGGTTGCAGTGAGCCGAGATAACATCACTGCACTCCAGCCTGGGTGACAGAGGGAGACTGTCTCAAAAAAAAGAAAAAAAAAAAGGAACACTAGTCATATTTCAGTCAGATTAGGGTCTGCCCTAATGAGTTCATCTTAACTTGATTATTTCTGTAAAGATTCTATTTCCAAATAAGGTCTTGGGGCGCCTGGCCCCAACAGACAGCCTCTTAAGCTCGTTAAGAAAATAAAAACAAATCTTCAGAGGCCATAAATTAGACAGCAGTAATGAACCAGAATGCTGTAGCTGCCCTAAGGGTATTTCCTAAAATCAAGAATCTAAAACCTTGGAGATTGAATGGTCATTTGTGGAGTTGGATGGGCAAGCCCTAGGGTCTGAAGAAGGTGTAGAGTCCACCAAATAAAATAAAGACCCCATTCTTATTGAAAGGGTGGACTAGAAAATAAAATTCTGGGCCGGGCGTGGTGGTTTATGCCTGTAATCCCAGCACTTTGGGAGGCTGAGGCAGGCGGATCACGAGGTCAGGAGATCGAGACCATCCTGGCTAACATGGTGAAACCCCGTCTCCACTAAAAATACAAAAAATCAGCCAGGCGTGGTGGTGCACGCCTGTAGTCCCAGCTACTCAGGAGGCTGAGGCAGGAGAATGGCGTGAACCTGGGCGGTGGAGCTTGCAGTGAGCCGAGATGGCGCCACTGCCCTCCAGCCTGGGTGACAGAGCAAGACTTGGTCTCAAAAAATAAAATAAAAATAAATAAATAAATAAATTTAAAAGGCTATCTGTTGGGGTTCCTCCAGCATTTTTGGTGTTTTGTAGCGAGAGGGATTTTCAGAGTGAGATTCCTAAAACTCAAAGTTGATCCTGATGCTCTTCTGTGTGAAACTGTTCTATAGCTTCTCCATTGCACTCAGGGTGATGTCCACTCCCTGAGCCTGACACCTCAGATCCTTCACTGCCTGGCCCTACCCAACTTCCCTAGGGTCCCTTTCTGGCTTTTTCCTGCCTGCTCGGCCCTCTGGCTGTACCAGCCAACTTTCTACTTCCTTGAAATGCCAAGTTCTCCCCTCTAGACCTCTCTCATGGAGGTGGTGGTGATGATGAACAAACCATATGTGTGAGATGCTTAGTACAATGCCAGGCATTGCCAAGAGTGCAGTAAATATTAGGTATGAACAATCATGGAAATAATAATTATGATGATGTTGGCCAGACATGGTGGCTCATGCCTGTAATCCCAGCACTTTGGGAGGCCAAGGCAGGCAGATCACTTCGGGTCAGGAGTCTGAGACCAGCCCGGCCAACATGGTGAAACCCCATCTCTACTGAAAATACAAAATTTAGCCAGGTGTGGTGGCCCGCGCCTGTAATCCCAGCTACTCAGGAGGCTGAGGCAGGAGAATCGCTTGAACCTGGGAGACAGAGGTTACTGTGAGCCGAGGTTGCGCCATTGCACTCCAGCCTGGGAGACAAGAGCGAGACTCCGTCTCAATAATAATAGTAATGCAATGTTTATCTTACCCATTCCCAAATCTTCAAGGACATTGGGCTTTCTTGGAAGTTCTACTCATCTGGAAAAAATAATTCCCCTGGGGCCGTGATTCTCCACTGGTGCAGTTTTCCCTCTAAGGGGAAGTTGGCAAAGTGTGAAGACTTTTTTTTTTTTTTTTTTTGAGACAGAGTTTCGCTCTTGTTGCCCAGGCTGGAGTACAATGGCATGATCTCTGCTCATTGAAAGCTCTGCCTCCCAGGTTCAAGCGATTCTCCTGCCTCAGCCTCTGCGGTAGCTGGGATTACAGGCATGCAGCACCACGGCCAGCTAATTTTGTATTTTTAGTGGAGATGGGGTTTCTCCATGTTGGTCAGGCTGGTCTCGAACTCCTGACCTCAGGTGATCCACCCACCTTGGCCTCCCAATGTGCTGGGATTACAGGCATGAGCCACCGCTCCCGACCAGAAGACATTTTTGGTTGTTACAACTAGAGAGGTGGGTTCTACTGCCATTTAGTGCATAGAAGCCAGGGATGCTGGTTAACATCCTACCGTGCACAAGGCAGCCCCCTTCTCCCCGCTGCCCCCACACACCAAGAATGCTCTGACCCAAATGTCAGTATTGCCGTGGGTGAACAGGCCCTGCGCCAGGTGTATGTATATCTTGCTCAGGAATGCTTTTGAGGGAGGGCTTTAGAAGATAAACTCAAGATAATAAACTCCACTCAAGTTCGCAGTCTATGTCCTAACGTACTGGATGCACTTTGGGAAAATACACAGAGACCGCCCCATTGAGAACAAGCAAAGGCTGTTTATTCCGAGATTTCTGTAGTCCAGTAGTACGAGAGTCAGCTACCATCATCACTCGCGTTGGCTCAGACTCAAAGGCAGGCAGAGAAGTGGGGAAGGTTTATAGAGGAAAAAAAGAGAAGGCTACAGGTAAGTCCTGCTTGGAGGCTGTTGCACGGATGGGCAAGCTGTAGGTGGCTAACTAGGAGCGGGGTATCCTGTGTGATTGGTTAGGGGTACCTATTGGCTTCTACCTGTTGGTCCTAAGTTGGAAGTAGGGACAAAAATTAAGGAAGCTGTCAATTACTAACTAAGTCCTGCTGTCTTGGTTCAATTGCTGCATGGATCATTCTTTGGCTTTCTGGATTGGTTGCTATAAATCGTGGGTCAGAATTCTTCTTCTTCTTCTTTTTTTTTTTTTTTTTTTTGAGACACAGTCTTGCTCTGTTGCCAGGCTGGAGTGCAGTGGCACAATCTCAGCTCACTGCAACCTCTGCCTCCCAGGTTCAAGTGATTCTCATGCCTCAGCCTCCCAAGTAGCTGGGATTACAGGTGTGCACCACCACACCTGCCTAATTTAATTTTTGTATTTTTTTTTTTTTTTTGAGATGGAGTCTCACTCTGTTGCCAGGCTGGAGTGCAGTAGCACAATCTCAGCTGTCTGCAACCTCTGCCTCCCAGGTTCAGGTGATTCCCCTGCCTCAGCCTCCTGAGTAGCTGTGATTACAGGCATCCACCACCATGCATGGCTAATTTTTTTTTTTTTTTTGTATTTTAGTATAGACAGGTTTCACCATGTTTGCCAGGCTGGTCTCGAATTCCTGACCTCAAGAGATCCGCCCGCCTCAGCCTCCCAAAGTGCTGGGATTACAGACGTGAGCCACCACGCCCAGCCCAGAGTTCTCTTTTTATAGGTGTTCTGGCCCTTGTCTATTTGTATATCCAGTCTCTCCATCCTTCTGCTTGACTTTGCAGATCAACTCCCTTCTCCTGACCTGGACCTTGTGGATCCTGAGGCAGAGGCTTTCCAGTGTTAATGCCGAAGTCTCAACGCTAAAAGACACCAGGTAAAGCCCTCTTTCACCTCCCCCCCTCTTTTAATTTCCTCTTTCTTCTTCCCAGAAAAGTTCTTTGAGCACTTCTTGTGTGCTGGGTCCTATGCCTGAGACAGAGGTGATGAGGTCTGTTTAGCATATCACACCATCTAGATCTGGAGGCTTAAAGTCCAGCTCAACTATTTACGAGCTGTGTGACCTTAGGCAAGTTACGTAACCTCTCAGAAGCCCATTTGCCTCACCTACAGAATGGGGATATTAACATTGCTTATTTTAGGTGCCTTACAAAGCATTTAGCACGGTTACTAGGAACAGTGAGTGTTTCATATACTACAACTCTTAATAAATTTTCTAATTTTTCTCTGTGTATACTTATATGTGCACATTTACAAGAAACTGAATCATACTATTTTGTTTTTTATGGTTTTTTTTCTCTCGAGAATGTCCTGATGATTTCTGACTTCATTAGATATTATTCTACAATATGGTGTAAATTTGTAGCACATTGTATTTAAGTCATACCATATTCATGGACACTTAATTTGCTTCTATGTGTTTTTGGTTTTGGTTTGTTCTCTGTATAAACAATACTGCCTTGAGCACCCTTGTAGGTAAATCCTTCCACACCATGGTTATTTAATTACAACACTAAACATGAAACTACCCAAATCCAACTGCCTGAAGAGTAGGTTGGACTGTAATGCTTTTAGAATGTGCGTCGTAAATTGATTTTCAGAAAATTTGTTTCCGACGGTGAGAATACCTATTTACTTGCAACATTGTCAACACTGGAGTTTATTGTTTTTGATGTATTTTCTGCTGATTTAATGCGTGAAATATTCTATCTCATTACTTTTGTTATACATATTTTATATTAGGGATTTGGGACTTCTTAAATATTTTTACAGGTCAATTGTGTTTCCTAACTTCCCCACTCAACTACTGTTCATTTTAAGAAACTTCAGCAACCATCATCTAGGTTTTATTGTCAGTAACCTAATAACATTCTTTGCTTCTTTTTTCTTCGGTATCCAATCCCTTATCCATTTTAAATATGTTTGAAAAGTTAGTACAAAAGTCAAAAAGGAGGCCTGGTGTGGTGGCTCATGCCTGTATTCCCAGCAGTTTGGGAGGCTGAGGCAGGTGGATCACGAGGTCAGGAGATCGAGATCATCCTGGCTAACATGGTGAAACCCTGTCTTTACTAAAAATACAAAAAATTAGCCGGGCATGGTGGTGGGCACCTGTAGTCCCAGCTACTTGGGAGGCTGAGGCAGGAGAATAGCTTGAACCCAGGAGGCGGAGCTTGCAGTGAGCCAAGATCACGCCACTGCACTCCAGCCTGGGTGACAGAGTGACACTCCATCTCCAAAAAAAAAAAAAGACAAAAAGGTAAAACAAAGTTGATACATACACATACTCATAGCAGAAAATGTAAGCAATAAGTTTCACATCAGATGAAATTCACCATTTTAACCATTTTAAAGCGTGTAACTCGGTGGCTTTTCGTACATTCACAGTGTTGGGCAGTGACCGCCACTATCTAGTGGCAAATCCTTGTTTTTTTTTTTTTTTTGAGACAGAGTCTCTCTCTCGCCCAGGCTAGAGGGCATTGGCACGGTCTCGACTCACTGCAACCTCCGCCTCCCAGGTTCAAGCGATTCTCCTGCCTCAGCCTCCTGGGTAGCTGGGATTACAGGCATCTGCCACCGTGCCCGGCTAATTTTTCTATTTTTAGTAGAGACGGGTTTTCACCATGTTAACCAGGCTGGGCTCGAACTCCTGTCCTCAGGTGATCCACCAGCCTTGGCCTCCCAAAGTGCTGGGATTACAAGCACCCACCACCACACCCAGCTAATTTTTGTATTTTTAGTAGAGATGGGTTTTCACCATGTTGGCCAGGCTGGTCTCGAACTTCTGTCCTCAGGTGACCTGCCCACCTCGGCCTCCCAAAGTGCTGGGATTACAGGCTTGAGCCACCGCACCCAGCCTGATTGCATTTAAATGTCTATAGGATTTGATTTTGCAACACCTAGGCTTGGAGACCCCACCCTACATTTGTCCACACCTAGGTGGCAAATTGGAGAGTGGCCACCTCAGACCATTCCTGGAAGTGTGGCCTGCAAGGACAATAGCCACCTCCCAGAGCCTTACATGCTGTACATCTTCTCCCCAGGTTACTGACCTTCAAGGCCTTTGCCCAGCTCTTCATCCTGGGCTGCTCCTGGGTGCTGGGCATTTTTCAGATTGGACCTGTGGCAGGTGTCATGGCTTACCTGTTCACCATCATCAACAGCCTGCAGGGGGCCTTCATCTTCCTCATCCACTGTCTGCTCAACGGCCAGGTGTGTAGCTGCTGCCCTCCCCATCCCCCTCCTCCCATCCCCCTCTCCCCCCTTCCCCACCGCATCCCTCCACCCAACATCCCTGTCACTGGACCATTTCCCTGCATCTGGATGATGTGTCTCCTTCTCCAGGTACGAGAAGAATACAAGAGGTGGATCACTGGGAAGACGAAGCCCAGCTCCCAGTCCCAGACCTCAAGGATCTTGCTGTCCTCCATGCCATCCGCTTCCAAGACGGTGAGAGACTGCATGCTCCCTGCAGGTGCTGGTCGAGGGAGGTGCCGGCCTCTTGGTGACACTCAGCTCTGCCACGTGTTGGGTACTGAATGGGAGCTGAGGGTGCCCACCCTAGTTAGCTCATGGATGAAGTGTGGAGTTGAAGACTGGGGATTTATATGTATATATTAGCAGACACACACACATTATCTATCTCTCTATTTAAATAAAATTTCAAGAATAAGACATATATAATTTATAACAGATTTACATAGATACATTTGTATATGAATTATGTAACATATTAAAAATAATACATATTTATATGTTATGTTTATAAAATACATTTATATGCACTTATTATATACATATAATGTATAATATTATATACATATAAATGTAAGATGTAAGTTTAAATATAGATACCGGCTGGGCGCGGTGGCTCACACCTGTAATCCCAACACTTTGGGAGGCTAAGGTGGGCAGATTACCTGAGGCCAGGAGTTCGAGACCAACCTGGCCAACATGGCAAAACCCCCATCTCTATTAAAAATACAAAATTAGCCGGGCATGGTGGCAGGTGTCTGTAATCCCAGCTACTCATGAGGCTGAGGCAGGAGAATTGCTTGAACCCAAGAGGCGGAGGTTGCAGTGAGCAGAGATTGTGCCATTGCACTCCAGCCTGGGCAAAAAGAGCGAAACTCCATCTCAAAAAAAAATTAAATAAATATAGATATCTTCACATGTATATTTATATAGAGAAAATTTTTATGTATTATGGATAACATTTATATATGTAGATTTTCAGGAATATTGAAATATTGGAATGAATATGCAAATGGAGGCAAAGCTGGTTTTCCCACTAGAATGTCTTATTTTTTTCAACAATGTATTCCACGCCCCTAAAATGCTGTCTAGCACACAGTAAGTTCTTAGTGAATATTTTCTGAGTAAATAATAATTCAATAGCTTAGTTTCCTCACTGATAAAATGGGGATAATGGTAATCCTTACCTTGGAAGGTTATACTAGATATTAGATGAACCAGTATGCAATGGGGTTGGAAGAGTGCCTCGGACATAGCAGGATCTCAGTGTTAAGCCTTGCAGAAGTCCAGTGAGGTAGGTATCACTGCTCTATTTTCTTTTTTCTTTCTTTCTTTCTTTCTTTTTTTCTTTTTTTTTTTTGAGATGGAGTCTCGCTCTGTAACCCAGGCTGGAGTGCAGTGGTGTGATCTTGGCTCATTGCAACCTCTGCCTCCTGGGTTCAAGCGATTTTCCTGCCTCAGCCTCCCAAGTAGCTGGGATTACAGGCGCCCGCCAGCACACCCAGATAAATTTTGTATTTTTAGTAGAGACAGGGTTTCATGATGTTGGCCAGGTTGGTCTCGAACTCCTGACCTCAGGTGATCCACCTGCCTCAGCCTCCCAAAGTTCTGGGATTACAGGTGTGAGCCACCACGCCCAGCTGGTCTATTTTCATTATGAGGAAACCGAATGTCATAGAGGTTAAGTCCAGTGATTTCAGAATGAGCCACAGGAATCACCCCACTGGAAAAATTGCCCATATCATGGATGACATATTCTCTTGGCAATACATTTTTAAACATAATGCAGTTTACTATAGTTTTAATGAAAAAGACAGTATAGGTATAGAACATTTTAGAAAACATTTGTAAGCATTGAAAACAAATAAAATTTCCCATTATCCCACCACATACAGATCCCAGTGAGTCATATTTTTGGATGCAAGCACCTTAGATCCAGTGGCTTAATTAAATAGGGAAATGATTTTCCTTGCAAGAAGTCCAGAATTAGGTGTTGCGAATATTGCTGGTGTTGCTGGTTCTATGCTTAGTGGTGTTGTAAAGGCTCTAAACTAAGAATCTGGGTTTTCCCCAGTTTTCCATTCCACCATCAACATGTTGACATTTTATTGTATTTTCATGGTTGCAATATGGTTGCCACAGCTCCAGACATCATGACTATGTTCAAGTCAAGAAGAAGAGGGATGGACAGGACCAGAAAGCCCTTCTTTCATGTCTTTGTCTTTAACAGTAAATGAAAGCCCAGAAAACTCTCAGATTTCCCTTTACCTAATTGGTCAGAAGTGTATCATGTGACCACTCATATGGGCAAAAAATTTTGAACCAACAGCTGTTTGGCTTCCTAAAGTCCAGAGTGGGCGCTGTCAATGCTGAGGAGGTTGAGAATGGCTTTTGGGTTTTCCAACTCTGCCTGCCACACTAGGGACAATCGCATTTAACATTTTAGTGTTTATCCTTCTAGTCTTTGTTACTGTATTTTTAATACTTCTGTCCCTGTAGACATGACCCTTGGAATCACGTTTGTATTAATTCTGCTGCAGACTCTGAGGAAATTCTTTTCTCTCTCACAGGGTTAAAGTCCTTTCTTGCTTTCAAATATGCTATGGAGCCACAGTTGAGGACAGTAGTTTCCTGCAGGAGCCTACCCTGAAATCTCTTCTCAGCTTAACATGGAAATGAGGATCCCACCAGCCCCAGAACCCTCTGGGGAAGAATGTTGGGGGCGGTCTTCCTGTGGTTGTATGCACTGATGAGAAATCAGGCGTTTCTGCTCCAAACGACCATTTTATCTTCGTGCTCTGCAACTTCTTCAATTCCAGAGTTTCTGAGAACAGACCCAAATTCAATGGCATGACCAAGAACACCTGGCTACCATTTTGTTTTCTCCTGCCCTTGTTGGTGCATGGTTCTAAGCATGCCCCTCCAGAGCCTATCATACGCCTGATACAGAGAACCTCTCAATAAATGATTTGTCGCCTGTCTGACTGATTTACCCTAGGATAAAGACTCTTTGTGATTTTAAAGAAATGGTCAGTAAAACTGTAATGAGAGTCCCAGGGAACCAAGACGGCACATAGACAGATAAGCTACTTTGGCACAAACACTTAAAAATAGTTGTGTTGGTAAGTAGGGGGATGTTTGATGTAGCAGAATTCTAGCACTCCCTGGAGGGTTGAAGCACTTGGTGACAACAACCTTTGGAAAGTGCTTTGGTTTCCTGAGGTCCTTCAGGTAACCAAGACCTCCCTGTTTTCTAGAAACTTTCTAATGACTTGGCTAGGATTTAGGATTTTCTCTATCACAGTTATCGCTACCTATCCTTAATTTTTTTTTTTTTTTTGACAGAGTCTCGGTCTGTTGCCCAGGCCAGAGTGCAGTGGCATGATCTCGGCTCATTGCAACCTCTGCCTCCCGGGTGCAAGTGATTCTCCTGCCTCAGCCTCCCAAGTAGCTGGACTGCAGGCGTGCACCACCACGCCTGGCTAATTTTTGTATTTTTAGTAGAGACGGAGTTTCAGCATGTTGGCCAGGCTGATCTTGCACTCCTGACCTCAGATGATCCACCCGCCTCACCCTCCCAAAGTGCTGGGATTACAGGCATGAGCCACTGCGCCCGGCCACCATCCTTAAATTCTTGAGCTTGGGAGAGAAGAAGATGAAGGTTTAAATGCAGGTATTTTCACTTCTATGGGCACTGTAAAACCTCCCAATCCAAAGCGTGGTCCCTGGATCATCAGCATCACCTGAGAGCTTGTTAGAAAAGCAAAGAAGAATCTCAGACCCCACTCCAGACCTCCTAGATCAGGACTTGCATGTTAACATCCCCAGGGGATGAATATAACCATGGGTGTCTGAAAAGCACTATTGTAGAACATTCTTCTGTTTGCCATGCTGACAGCAGAGCTTGTCTTTAAAGCCAGAGAGAAATGTCTTCTTCTTGACTTGGACCCTTTGCATCTTCTCTTAGAATAACTTCCCTGAAAACTCAATTGATGTCTTCTGTCTCTTTGAGTTGCAGTGTAGTCATCCCCTCTGCTAGGAAGCATTCTTTGAATCTCCTACAGTAGAATTTGGCATTATTTTTGTGTGTGCCAAAAAGCTTCATGCTTTCTCACCCTGTATTATGATTTCTCTTTTTGTTGGGTGTCTCCAACATAGACTGTGAGCTTCGTAAGTACAGAGATTTGCATTAAGTAGCGTCTCAACAAATATGTTGAATGAATGAATGAATGAATGATTAGAATGATTACTCTTCATTTTGAAGACAGGGGAACTGAAGCTCAGAGAGGTTAAGTGACTATCCCAGGATCACACAGCCACATAGGTCGTTGAGCTGGGTTTTGAGCTCTTGACCATAAAGCTCCTTCTCCAGATGCCTTGTTCCCCTTTTTCTCTTCCTTTCGTGCCAGGAATACTTAGTTTAGGGTTACAGAGACTAGAATAATATTTACTCTGAGTCACCTAAGCAGTTAGGATTCAATTAGCTCAGTCATATCATGCACTGGACAATTTGTTAACAATATTAAACTCAGTTGATGGAGGCTCTGTCTTTGTTATTCTTGGCAGCCTAACTTGGGAGGTGGGACACATGTTTGTGAACAAGAGTTCATCTATGATAAATTAGTCTTCAACGCTTGGCTTATCCAGAGTGCTCAATACAGAGGTGATAGTTCTTAGAGAGATGGAAGCAAGAGATGGCACTGCTCCTATCCATAGCCAATTGTCATAGGTCAATGGCATCAATGGGCCCAATAATGGTCTCCATTTAGCCACATCCCTTTCCTGTAACTTTGTAACTCTCTCCTTGTCTGACTCTGGGGTTGGACTTGAGATTTGCTGCAGCCAGTGGAAGGTTAGGAAATGTGACTGGAACGTAAGTTTCAAAATCGTATGTGTAATCCTTCTTACCAGTTACACGATTACATTTGCTCACCTTGCTTCCTTACCCCCACCATGTGAACATGCCCAAGCCCGCCTGCTGGAGGGACATGAGAAACACAGAATGAAGGGTAAGTCACCGCAGTTACACTGGTGGAGGTTGTCCTCAGCCAGCCACCATGCCAACTTGCTGCTTTAATCACAGGAGAGAGCCCAGCCAACATCAGCAGACCTGCTCAGCCAACCCATAAACAGACTGAGGAGCAGCAAGAAAGTATCATTTTTCAGACACTGAGTTTCAGGAGTTATTTGTTATGAAGCATTTATTTGTAGCAATTGCTGATGGATACAACAACCAAAGTATGGTCAACATTCTGCATTGGACTGCAACAATTTGGAATGTAAAAAGAAAGAATTTTGATCTCAATTTCTTCTGAGATATCAGGATAATAAATTCTGTACTACTTGAATAAAGTTTTTTCCTGAGAGAAGATTTGCCTAAGGCTTTGTCTGTCTGTACAACGGTGTTACATGTTGGTCTGAAATATAGTCACCTTAAGAAGCTCTATATTTCTAAGGTAAGTGGATAAAGGTGTGACCTCCATGCAGGATTTTTTTCGTACTACACACATCAAGCTATACTTGGTACATTTTTTTTACCCTTGTGGTCTCATATGTCTCCGCTAGAGGGAGAAAGGAGACAATTAAAAAAAAAATGCGGCCCGGCGCGGTGGCTCACGCCTGTAATCCCAGCACTTTGGGAGGCTGAGGCGGGCGGATCACGAGGTCAGGAGATTGAGAACATCCTGGCTCACCCGGTGAAACCCCGACTCTACTAAAAATACAAAAAAATTAGCCGGGCGTGGTGGTGGGCGCCTGTAGTCCCAGCTACTAGGGAGGCTGAGGCAGGAGAATGGCGTGAACCCGGGAGGTGGAGCTTGCAGTGAGCCGAGATCGTGCCACTGCACTCCAGCCTGGGTGACAGAGCGAGACTCCATCTCAAAAAAAAAAAAAAAAAAAATGCATGAGTAGAAGAAATACGTTCTGAAGTTCACTGGTAGAGTAGGGTGACTATTGTTAGCAACACTGTATTGCATATTTCAAAATATCTAGCAGAGAAAACTTGAAATGTTTCCAACAGCTAGAAATGATCAATGATCAAGATGGTGGACACCCCAAATACCCTGTCTTTATCATTGCAAACTCTGCATGCAACAAAATATCACATGTACCCCATAAATATGTACAGATATTATATATGGAAAACCCTAAGTGGCTGCAAATCCCATGAATATAATGTGAAATAACTTTGCTATCTTATAATCCAAATAATTGTGTACAGAAAATTACAGATCCATTCACTCAAAAAATATTTATTGGCCGGGTGCTGTGGCTCACGCCTGTAATCCCAGCACTTTGGGAGGTCGGAGCAGGCTGATCATGAGACCAGGAGATTGAGACCATCCTGGCTAACACGATGAAACCCCGTCTCTACTAAAAATACAAAAATCAGCCGGGCGTGGTGGCGGGCGCCTGTAGTCCCAGCTACTCGGGAGGCTGGGACAGGAGAATCGCTTGAATCCGGGAGGCGGAGCTTACAGTGAGCCGAGATCGCGCCACTGCACTCCAGCCTGGGTGATAGAGTGAGACTCTGTCTCAGAAAAAAAAATGTATTGACCACCTCTATTGTGCTTCCCCCTCAAACACTGAAGTAGTTAAAAACATTGAAACATTGAAAAGTAATTATTTTAGAACCTAAAAAGTATTTTAAATTTAAGTATTTTATAGTTCCCAAACTAGAATTATTAAAATTATACTTTACTGGTTCTAATGGAAGTAAACTCATCAATAACAGTTTTTAAATTGGTGTCTGAAAAGAAAAATCATTAAAAAAATATTATTTGGCCATACAAAAGGAGATTCCTGCCATTTGCAGCAACAAGAATGAACCTAGAGGACATTACGCTAAATGAAATAAGCCAGGCACAGAAGGACAAATACTGCATGATCTCATATGTGAAATCTGAGAAAATCAAACACACTGAAAGAATAGAATAACGGTTATGAGGAACAGGGATGAGGTGAGGGAGAAATGGAGAGAAGTAGGTCAAAGGGCACATAGTTGCAGTTATGTAGGAAAAATAAGTTTAGAAATCTAATGTACAGCATAAAGACTATAGCTAATGATATTATATTGTATTTATTTCATTTATTTGGATATTTTCTCTATTTTCTTAGTCTAGCTAAAGGTTTGTCAATTTTATCTTTTCAAAAAAACCAACTCTTCTTTTCATTGATTTTTTGACTTGCTTTTCGTCTGTATTTTGTTTATTTATGCTCTGAGTCTTATTATTTACTTCCTTTTACCAATTTTTGGCTTACTGTGTTCTTATTCTTCTAATTCCTCGGGGTGCACAGTTGGGTTGTTTATTAGAAACCTTTCTTCTTTTTGAGGTAGGGTGTTTATTGCTATGAACTTTCCTTTTGCTATGTGTTAGGGGTTTCTGTATGATGTGTTTCCATTTTCATTGGTCTCAAGGAATTTTTAAATTTCCCTTTTAATTTCTTCAATGAGCCATCAGTTATTTAAGAGCATAAGGTCTAATTTCCACATAGCTCTAAGTTTTCCAAGGTTTTTATAGTTGTTGATTTTTAGTTTTATTCCACTGTGGTCCAAAAAGATACTTGATATGATCTCTATCTTCTTAAATATGTTAAGACTTGTTCTGACCAGGCGCAGTGGCTCACGCCTGTAATCCCAGCACTTTGGGAGGCCCAGGTGGGTGGATCATGAGGTCAGGAGATTGAGACCATCCTGGCTAACACGGTGAAACCCCATCTCTACTAAAAATACAAAAAAAAAATTAGCCGTGCATGGTGGCAGACACCTATAGTCCCAGCTACTCGGGAGGCTAAGGCAGAAGAATGGCATGAACCTGGGAGGCAGAGGTTGCAGTGAGCTGAGATTGTGCCACTGCACTCCAACCTGGGCAACAGAGCGAGAGTCTCAAAAAAAAAAAAAAAAAAAAGACATTACATGGACACTAACATGATCTATCCTAGAAAATGTTCCACGTATAGTTGAGAAGAAAGTATACTCTTCACTGGTTGGTTGGAATGTCCTGTAAATGTGTGCTAGACCCATTTGGTCTATGGAATAGTTTAAATCCATGTGTATTTGTTTATTTCTTGACTAGACAATCTGTCTATTGTTGAAAGTGGGATGTCAAAGTCCCCTATAAGTACTGAATTGCAGTCTATCTATCCCTTAGATATAATAACATTTGCTTTATATATTTGGATGCTTTGGCGTTGGGTGTATATATGTTGATGATGGTTATAGCCTCTTGTTGAACTGCTATATCTTTTTTTTTTTTTTTTGAGACAGAGTCTTGCTCTGTCGCCCAGGCTGGAGTGCAGTGGTGCTATCTGGGCTCACTGCAAGCTCCGTCTCCTGGGTTCACTGAACTGCTATATCTTTAACATTAGCTAATGATCTTCTTTGGTTCTTTTTGTTACGATAGTTTTTGACTTATCATCAATTTTATCTGGTATAAGTATGACTTATACCACTCACTTTTGGTTTCTCTTTGCATGATATATCTTTATCCATCCCTTCACTTTCAGTCTGTTTGTCTTTAATGGTGAGGTGAGTCTCTTGTAAGAAGCATACAGTTTGGTCTTTTAAAAATTTCATTCAGCCACTCAATATATTTTTTTTCTTTTTCTTTATTTTTTTTTTTTTTGAGATGGAGTCTCACTCTGTCATCCAGGCTGGAGTGCAGTGGTACAATCTCTGCTCACTGCAACCTCCACTTCCTGGGCTCAAACAATTCTCCTGTCTCAGCCTCCTGAGTAGCTGGGACTACCGGCATGCACCACCACACCCAGCTAATTTTTTTTTTGTATTTTTAGTAGAGACGGGGTTTCACCATGTTAGCCAGGCTGGTCTCAAACTCCTGACCTCAGGTGATCCACCCACCTCAGCCTCTCAAAGTGCTGGGATTACATGCATGAGCTACTGCACCTAGCCCCAAATATTTTAAAACTTTTTTTTTTGAAGCTCTTCATGGTAATCTAGGGTGTTTATGTGTCATAAAGTATTTAATCCCAGTTTGTATCATTTCTAAATTTTCAGTGCTATAAACAACACTGTAATGAACATCTTTGAGCTAAAATTTTAACACTCTACTGCATAAGTGACTTTAAAATTAGTAATAGGTTATAAGTGGGAAGAAATTTATATGTTCCCCTTAGTGTTTGATTAAAGACAAACATTTTTCACTATACAAGGGCTGCCAAAACTTTCCCAAACTGTAAAAAACAAACCATTAGAGGCTGGGCATGGTGGTTCATGCCTGTAATCCTAGCACTTTGGGAGGCTGAGGTGGGTGAATGACTTGAGCCCAGGAGTTCAAGACTAGCCTGGGCAACGTGGCGAAACCCTGTCTCTACCAAAAATACAAAAATTAGCCAGTCTCATAACTGGTCTCTAAATAAATAAATAGATAAAAATTTAAAATAAAATAATTTTAAAAGTAGCCATTAGAAACATAGTAATTTGGCTGGGTGTGGTGGCTCACACCTGTAATCCCAGCACTTTGGGAGGCTGAGGCGGGTGGATCACAAGGTCAGGAGATAGAGACCATCCTGGCTAACACAGTGAAACCCCGTCTCTACTAAAAATACAAAAAAATTAGCCAGGCGTGGTGGTGGGTACCTGTAGTCCCAGCTACTCAGGAGGCTGAGGCAGGAGAATGGTGTGAACCTGGGAGGCGAAGCTTGCAGTGAGCCGAGACCACGCCACTGCACTCCAGCCTGGGCGACAGAGCGAGACTCCATCTCATAAAAAAAAATAAATAAATAGACCAATATAGTAATTTGAAGTTTATTTAATTTTTGCTCCCAGAAAATCTTTCCATCATCAGTTCTAAGCCATCTGGTTGCCTTCTGATGTGACCTTTCTGTTCCATTTTGCCTAAAGTTATTAACTTTTTATTTGTAATACTTGGTATGTTGGATCAATTTCAGATGAGTTCATTGTCTCATTTATCTCTGTAAGTTTACTATCCAGCAGAAGATTGGGGTCACTGATTGGGTTAATAATATTTGTTAAATGAATATATCCAGGAAAGAGAGTGTGTCTATCTACTGCACAGCAACAGAACACTATTCTGATATTCTGTGTCGTGAAGTGATCACTCTTGGTTTTATAAATAACAGATTCTGATTTTCAGAATCTTCAAAACAGATCTCTTTTGTTTAATTTTCCAGTAACAATAACCCTGTGCTCATTCTATTACTAATATTACTATTTATAAAATGACAATAAGTGATTGAGGTCAGGTGTTCTAAAAGCAGAGCCTGAGACCAGGATTGTGGTGCCCATGATTTACTGAGGGAGTGCTTGGAGGAGAAAAGTGAGGGAGTCAGGATGGGGTTGGGAAGTTGGAGGGTAAGGCTATGGTCTCAGCTGGAAGTGATTGCAGCCTGATCTCCGGGGAGCGCTGGAGCATGAGTCATACCTCAGAGTTGGTCTCACTTTGAGTCAAGGGCCCAAGCCTTGTTTATGCCTGTGTCAGTCAATTATTGGCTACATTGCCCCGACAATGGTAGGGCAGTGCGTCACCTTCCAGATGGAGCACTTCCTGTTCAGCTGAAACCAGTTTCCTGGAGAAGAGGATGGGGGCTGAAAAGGAAATTAGGAACGGGCAGCAACAGTACCAGCTACTCTGCTCATGATCATCAAATATGAAAAAGAAAGCTATGAGTCCCTTAGATACTTGATTGAAGTTCACTGTCATGAGATTTTGAACTGCATTCAAAAAAGAGTATTGTTTCTAATGATATTGCAAACTTCTTAGACATTCCAGTAAGCATTTCACTTACTAAAAAAAAAAAAAAAAAATTTTTTTCTGCCATTCACTTAGACTTCTTTTTTTAATGTTTATTTTAGGTTCAGGGTTACATGTGCAGGTTAGTTATATAGGTAAGTTGCATGTCATGGGGATTTCATGCACAGACTTTTTTTAATCATCCAGGTAATAAGCTTACTACCTGATAGGTAGTTTTTTGATCCTCTCCTCTCACCTTCCACCCTCAAGAAGGACCTGGTATCTGTTGTTTGTTCCCTTGTTTTTTTGTTTTTGAGATGGAGTCTTGCTCTGTTGCCCAGGCTGGAGTGCAGTGGTGTGATCTCGGCTCGTCACAACCTCTGCCTTCCGGGTTCAAGCAATTCTCCTGCCTCAGCAGGACACCCAATCCCAGGGAAGTTCAAAGCTAACATAAGATAGAATTCAGTTATTCCCCTAGTTCCTTGTAATTGAATAGAAACATTTTACCAACTTATGTTAATATTATACAATTTTAATCCCTGGATATTGGAACTGGGTCTGACTCACTAACTGAAAACTTTCACGTTTTGTGCTATTCACAATAGCACGTTTCAGAGCTATTGTTTTTCTCATTTTTCTTGCCCTAAATCACCTCAGACATCTGCATTTATTACTGCAACTTTGTCCTTACCTATAAACTAATCCCTAGACCAATGGTTTTCAACTGGGAGCATTTTTGTTCCCAGGTGGCAATGTCTGGAAGCATATATATATACATTATATATATATACACATTATATATATATATACACATTATATATATGCACATTATATATATATACACATTATATATATATACATTATATATATACACAATATATATACATTATATATATACATTATATATATATGAAATAAAAAATATATATTTCAAATAAAAAATATATATTTCAAATTAAAAATATATTTTTTCAAATAAAAAATATTTATATTTCAAATAAAAATATATATATATATATTTTTAAGACAGGGTCTCTCTCTGTAGCCCAGGCTGGAGTGCAGTGGCACGATCTCGGCTCCCTGCAGCCTCCACCTCCTGGGTTCAAGCAATCCTCCCACCTCAGCCTCCTGAATAGCTGGGATTATAGGCGTGAGCCACTGCACCCAGCTGATTTGTTTTGTATTTTTAGTAGATACAGGGTTTCACCATGTTGGCCAGGCTGGAACTCGAACTCCTGGTCTCAAGTGATCCGCCCACCTCAGCCTCCCAAAGTGCCAGCATCACAGGTGTGAGGCACTGCACCCCCCCTCTGGAGGCATTTTTGATTGTCATGACTGGTGGGGAAGTGTCACTGGCACCTACTGAATAAGGCCAAGCTGCTTCTAAACACCTTACAATACAAAGAACAACCCCTTACAAATAAGAAATTATCAGCCGGCGCAGTGGCTCACACCTGTAATCCTAGCACTTTGGGAAGCCGAGGCAGGTGGATCACGAGGTCAAGAGATCGAGACCATCCTGGTCAACATGGTGAAACCCCGTCTCTACTAAAAACACAAAAATTAGCTGGGCGTGGTGGCATGCGCCTGTAGTCCCAGCTATTCAGTAGGCTGAGGCAGGAGAATCGCTTGAACCCGCGAGGCGGAGGTTGCAGTGAGCCAAGATTGCGCCACTGTACTCCAGCCTGGGCAACAAAGCGAGACTCCGTCGCAAGAAAATAAATAAATAAATAAATTATCCAGCCCAAAATATCAATAGCGCAGAGTTTGAGACATAATAATTAGGTGGAGGCCGAGAATATTTAATGTATCATCTCTGCCATTCTTGCCTTCACGAATTTTCTAATTCAGGGAGGCAGGATTTACAAACACACGTGACATCATTTGTGAAACAGCACACCATGTAGAAGGGTAAGTCATGTTGTACAGACCTGAATAAATTGAGTTTAAAAGATGGATTTATTTGAAAGCCTGAATAAGAAATCGGTTTTGAAGGAAGCAGAAGCCAGATTGGCTCTTAAAAAGAATGGAAAAGAATGAGAGAGGCAGGAAGGAAAGAAAGCAGCCGACCGGGAGTGGTGGCTCACGCCTGTAATCACAGCACTTTGGGAGGCTGAGGCGGGCGGATCACCTGAGCTCAGGAGTTCGAGACCAGCCTGGCCAACAGGGAGAAACCTCATCTTTACTAAAAATACAAAATTAGCTGGGTGTGGTGGCGCATGCCTGTAATCCCAGCTACTCGGGAGGCTGAGGCAGGAGAATCACTTGGACCCGGGAGGTGGAAGTTGCAGTGAGCTGAGATTGTGCCATTGCATTCCAGCCTGGGCAACAAGAGCAAAACTCCATCAAAAAAAAAAAAAAAAAAAAAAAGAGAGAGAGAGAAAGAAAAAAAAAAGAACAAGAAAAAAAGAAGAAAGCAGCCTTCAAGTTGGAAGGGAGGAAAAATGGCCAATAGAGGAGTCTGAATTCAAATCTGCAACACCTAGAATACATGGCTTATTTATTCTGTCTTTCTTCAACTGCCATGGACCAGAGAGCAATCGCAACATGACTAGGAATTCGGCACAAGGGTTTCTCAGCTGCCCAGGAATATTGCATTTTACGAAGCCTTTATTCGTGTACATTTGAAATTATGCAAAACAAAAAGTTGCGCTGCATGCACACATTTTGCAACCATGTGAATATCCCTTCATTTTCCCTTTTCCAAAGGAATCCCATAACTTCAAAGCCAGCAGGTGGAGTGGATGTACACTACTCTGTTTATATCTATGGAGGAGACATTTGCTTTAATTAAGCAGAAAAGTCCTCAACCCTTTGTCTGCAACCCTAGAAGAAGACCTCACATGATTTTCTTTTTTTTTTTTTTTTTTTGAGACAGAGTACCACGGCCTCCCAGGCTGGAGTGCAGTGGTGCAATCATAGCTCACTATAGCCTCGAATTCCTGGGGCTCAAGCAATCCTACCGCCTCAGCCTCCTGTGTAGTGGGGAGTACAGCAATGCACCACTATGCTTAGCTAATTTTGTAAATTTTTTGTAGATATGGGGTCTCACTATGTTTTCCAGGGCGTCTCAAACTCCTGGCCTCAAACAATCCTCCTACCTCAGCCCCCCAAGGTGCTGAGATTACAGGCATGAGCCACCGCGCCTGGTTTGAAATTTCTTCAAATAAATGATGATAACTCTTGCCTATTTTAACATTGACAGTCATTAGCATTTAAAATCTTTTTGGAGCTGTTCTGTCATAACAATCATCCACACATTTATTAATATGCTGAAAACATACCTAAAAACCAGTAACTTTGTAAAAGTAATTAGACATGGTAAAACGAAAAAATGAGTCCGAATGACCCACGTTTTTTGTTTCCAGACATTTGTACTGGGACATGTTCAAGAGGACACTAAGAAAACAAAATGATCTTTAACCCATGTGTACATGTAGGTTCCAAAAGTCTCAGGCAGACCGGGCTAGGTCGCTCACACCTGTCATCCTAGCACTTTGGGAGGCCAAGGAGGGTGGATTGCCTGAGACGAGGAGTTCAAGACCAACGTGGCCAACATGGTGAAACCCTGTCTCTACTAAAAATACACAACATGAGCTGGGCGTGGTGGCAGGCGCCTGTAATCCCAGCTACTCAGGAGGCTAAGGCAGGAGAATCTCTTGAACTTGGGAAGCAGAGGTTGCGGTGAGCAGAGATCATGTCACTGCATTCCAGCCTGGGCAACCAGAGCAAAACCCTGTCTCAAAAAAAAATAAATAAATAAATAAAAAAGTCTCAGGCAAAGAAAATGGGGAAAATGTCAGTGTCTTGGACAAAAGAGCCTGCGCAGTGACAATACACCCCTAAGCTAGGATGATAATGCATTTTTGTTTTTGGTTTTTTATTTATTTATTTATTTATTATTATTATACTTTAAGTTTTAGGGTACATGTGCACAATGTGCAGGTTAGTTACATATGTATACATGTGCCTTGCTGGTGTGCTGCACCCACTAACTCGTCATCTAGCATTAGGTATATCTCCCAGTGCTATCCCTCCCTCCTCCCCCCACCCCACAACAGTCCCCAGAGTGTGATGTTCCCCTTCCTGTGTCCATGTGTTCTCATTGTTCAATTCCCACCTATGAGTGAGAATATGCGGTGTTTGGTTTTTTGTTCTTGCGATAGTTTACTGAGAATGATGATTTCCCATTTCATCCATGTCCCTACAAAGGACATGAACTCATCATTTTTTATGGCTGCATAGTATTCCATGGTGTATATGTGCCACATTTTCTTAATCCAGTCTATCATTGTTGGACATTTGGGTTGGTTCCAAGTCTTTGCTATTGTGAATAATGCCACAATAAACATACGTGTGCATGTGTCTTTATAGCAGCATGATTTATAGTCCTTTGGGTATATACCCAGTAATGGGATAGCTGTGTCAAATGGTATTTCTAGTTCTAGATCCCTGAGGAATCGCCACACTGACTTCCACGATGGTTGAACTAGTTTACAGTCCCACCAACAGTGTAAAAGTGTTCCTATTTCTCCACATCCTCTCCAGCACCTGATAATGCATTTTTGTATTGCAAAATGCAACACCCTCTTTAATACTGATCCATATGAAAATTGTTGAATTATGTGAATGTGGAGTGTTAATGTAAGATCTTTGGGAGCATAAAATACAGCAGAGAGGCCAGAAAGGGAACTATGAGCTGAATCCAGATGCCAGTTAGTGAGTTTCTGGCAAGGTGGCAGTAGCTGCAAGAAGAAAATCCACTTCTCCCGCCCGCCATCTTTAAAATGCATCCTTCCGACACTTCATTGCACGTGCCACACTACTGGACTCTGGATCTAAGAATTCTCCCAAATGTCTTGTTCTTTCTATGAACATAAAAAGCCAAAATAGGTGAATGAGCCTAGACTTTTCACAGGAAAGCTAGAAATAGTGGCATTTGTCCAATCTATGTGTGACCACAGGGGCGCTGTAGACAAACGGAAAGGAGCGGTAACTTCCGGGTCATTGCCATGGCACTTGCCAGGTCAGTTCATCTTTAGCCAAGCAGCAGAGACGAGATGAACCTGTGGCTGCGGTTGCTTGGTTGACTCTGCAGATGATGATGCAGTGCCTCCTTTATGAAAGATTTCTGAGGACTTCCCCACTTCTTCCTACTTGCGGGGAAGATAATAAGGAGAAAAGGTGACAGAGAAATTAACTAAAACTTCTAACTTGCCCAGAGATGACAAGCTAGGATTTCTGTTAGGTCCAAAGCTCAATATCTGACATTACAACTTCCCATCCTCCAAAAAAAACTCCACCATCTAATAATGGTTATTTTATTTGATCTTTTCACAAACATTTACAGGGGCTTCCTGTGGTGCCAGGCAGCCTTCTAAGCGCTTAACTTATTTGACATCATTTAATCTTCACAATGAGAAGTGCTACCCTTGCTAAGAAGCTCTTTATCCCAAATAAAGCTCATATCTTTGTAATAGCTCCATGGTCTTAGCATTCAGGCTGCCGCAAGGGGCAAACCCAGTTTCACGAGTCACAGCACTTAGGAATCTGTGGTTTCTGACCAAAAAGAGTCTCTTCCTAGCCCTCCAAATCTAGGTAATTTCACAAACCGGAGGTCGTTTTTATCATACACAGCCTTCAGATTTTTGGTCAAGTGCCAGCTTCTTGTAGTCACCTTATTTAAAACTGGAATCCTCCCACCCTGTCATTCCTGGCTGCTCTCCATTGCTCTATTTTTTCTAAAGCATTTATCACTTTCTAATACCATAAAATTCACTTTTTGGGGTCTGTTGTCAGTTCCCTCACCCAACTAGAATGTTAGCTCTGTGAGGTCAAGGACTACTGTCAGTGGGTCCACTGATGGTTCTCCAGCACCTAAACAGTGCCTGGCACATAGCGGACAATAAATAGGTGTTAAATGAGTGTTGTTAATAAATTAAACTTTTTTTGTTAAATATCCCTTGGATGTTTGTTGAAGGAAGAAATGAAAAGAGAGAGGAAGAGAAGGAGGGAGTGATAGAAAGAATGAAACAGAGAGTTAGAAACGAGAGAGGAGGAAGGGAGAGAAAAAGATAGATGGTGTAAAAGAGAGTGAGAAAGAAATAAAACGTAAGGAAGGAGAGGGAAACCAGGAATGAGGGAGAGGAAGAGACTGAGAGAGAGCAAGAAAAAAGGGAGAAAAGGAAGGAAGGAAGGAGGAAAGGAGGGAAGGAAGGAGGGAGGGAGGGAAGAAAGGAGGGAGGAAGGATGGAAGGAAGGAAGGAAGAAAGGAAGGGTGGGTGGGTTCTGGTTTTGGTCTCAAAACCCAGAAACTTCAGCTGCATAATACAGGAACCTAATGCAATTTCTCTTTTCTTTCAGATCAAGGAACCAGAAAGCTTCTAGAGGCATGAGATGTCGGATTCCAATAAAGCACTCAGAAGGAGCTGATCTTACCGTTTTGGTTTGGGTAGTAGAGCGAGACATCTCAGTGCTTTCAGTTTCTACCCCTTTCCGCATCCCACTAAACCACTTTTTATATTCCATTCGAACCTGGAAATTTGAGTGGAGAGGTCCGTGTTACATCCAGAGCTTGGTTTGGGAGAAAGGATCCTAAAATGGGAGGCTAAAGATAAAGACACCAAGCCCTACTCTCTAGTTTTCCATATAATCTTGGCCATGCCCATGTTGATTCATTTTATTTAAACTCAAACTTCTCAGTTGTAAAAAAGATGTGTATTAAATATCAGACACTATAGGACTCAATAGATGATGATGATGATGGTGATGAAGGTGACTGTTGATGATAGTGGTGGTGGTAATGAAAGTAATTAAGATGATGATGGTGATGATGAAGGTGATGGTAATGGTGATGATGGTGATGAAGGTGATAATGATGAAGATGATGATAAAGGTAATGAAATTGATGATGGTGAAGGTGATGGTAATGGTGATGATGGTGAGGGTGATGATGAAGATGATGACAATGAAGGTGATGATAGTGATGATGATGGTGAAGGTGATGATGATGAAGTTGATGATAATGGAACGGACGATGGTAAAAGTAGCGGTGATGATTAAAATGATCATGATGAGGGTGATGATGGTGATGTTGATGAAGGTGATGGTAGTGAAGGTGATGATGAAGGTCATGGTGATGGTGGTGATAGTGATGATGAAAGTAATGTGAAGGTGATGATGAAGGTGATGGTAATGGTGATGATGGTGATAGTGATGATGGTGATGGTGATGATGGTGATGGTGATGATGAAGATGATGAAGGTGATGATGGTGAAGGTGATGATTATAAAGGTGATGGTGATGACAGTGATGATGATAAAGGTGATAATGAAGGTTATGGTAATGGTGATGATGGTGATGGTGATGATAGTAAAGATGATGAAGGTGTGATAAAGGTAATGAAGGTGGTGATGGTGAAGGTGATTATTATAAAGATGATAATGGTGATAATGACAAAAGTGACTATGGTGATGATGGTTAGATGATAATGGTGGGGGTGTTGGTGATTATATGATGGTGAAGGTCACCATTTATTGAACACTAGCTATATTCAAGACACTGTATATGCAATATATCATTTAATTCTTACATAAATGGAGTAAGAAAGACATTTCTCCTACCCACAATTAAAGATCCGAAGTTGAGACTCTTGCAGTTAAATTGATATGCCCAAGGTCACACAGCCAGGACTCGAAACCTTGTCATCTTACTCAGAGCCCTGACGCTAACCATTACAATCACCCATCCTCTGTGATTCCAAGAATTGCCTTCCTCTAACCTCCTTAACATGCTAAAAATGACATTTAAAGATTTAATGCTCGACATCATTTCACAAGGACAATTAAATTATATTTTACTTCTTCTGTGAGTGAGAAGTACCAAGCATGAAGGCACTAAAAGATTGAAGAGAAATTAATGACGTGTTAAGATAGCCTTTTGCCACTAGCGTCTTAACTGCTGGTAGTTTTATTCAACAGCAAAGGGAAAATGCCAGGAAAATTTGTCCTAATTTTCTATGGAGAGTAAAATTGAAATAACACTCACTGAGATCTTAATAACAACACTAACTGAGATCTTAATGTGTGCTAAGGACTATGTTAGGAGTTTGCACTGATTCATTTAAGTCTTCAACCCTGTAATGAAGGCATCACCACATCTGCAGATGAGAAAACTACAGATGATGCTCAGAAAGGATAGGCGGTTTACCCAGAGTCACACAGCCACCTACTCAGTGGAAGAACTGGGATTAGACTTGAAGTCTCTTTGAGTTTGTGGTAGATTGTGCCACATATTTCAGCATCACTTCTTGTAGTGCCCCTCACTACAGAAGGATTATTCATCCCCTTCTTGGTGAACTGAGGTATGGCCATGTGACTTGCTTTGACTAATTAAATGAGAGCAGAACAGAAGTGCACCACTACTAGGTAGAAGCTTTAAGAGAGCTAAGCTGTGCTTTCCCACAATCTCCTTTTCCTGTGCCATGAAACCATCAATGTTCTAAAAAGGGGGCCACACCTTCAGCCTGCACTCCAGAGGAAAGACGATGTGGGTTAAGTCACAGTTATGTAGCACAAGCAAGAAATAAATATTTATTGTTTTAAGTTGCTAAGATTAAGTGTGGGAGGCAAGGGGCTATTTGTTATTGCAGCATAATCCACTTTATCCTGACTGACCCATGCTCTTCAGGATATGTTAGGATGCTAAACAGATGAAACCCACAGCATACAGCATACCCCAGCAGCACCTAAACCCTCATCCCCAAATCAAGACAAACCCAAAATACAATTATAAAAGGTCAGGGAAGAGTGAGAACGTGAACAACCATTCAATTAGACTTTGGGACTAGGCTGATGACAGACAAAATAATTAGCCTTACCTGGCGATTAAGGAGACAGTGTACCACAAAGAGCAACACTCCCTGAAGGGTGTTGATGATGGTGAATGAGTATGCAATGATTGATCCAATCGTCTTCCCTACTTCTTCAACCATAAAAAAACCAAGGCCCCAAGAACAGCCCAGGATAAATAGCTGAGAAATGGCTTTAAATGTCATGACTCTGCAGGGAATAAAAGTAATAATAACTACGGTTTACCAGGTATCCACTACAAGTGCTAACTAAATGCTCTGTGTGCATTCCCTTATTTAAATCTCACAACAGCTTCATGCAGTTAAGTGACGTATACAACAAGGTCACACAGCTTGAGGATGAAGTGGAACCCATGACTTCAGTCATGGCAAATCACTGAGAATAGTGCTTTCTCCCCACCGTTGAAAATAATTTGATTTCTCTGCATGTCTTCTGCCTAGATTTTTTGGAAGATTTATGGGAAAATGCCTTCTAGAAATTTGTATTAAAACATTTGAATAATGGTGAATTCCTGACTTTAGAACATAACATAATGTTGGGTTTCTTCACACAAAGTATATTGTGTTTCATATAATGGAGTGGGATTGTTGATGGCAGCTGGCTGGGAGAGCTGATGAGTGTGTGTGTGTATAGGTGTGTGTGTGTGTGACTTCACTTTTTACTTTTTGTGTTACCCCCTGGGAATATAAACTCTATGAGGGCAGGGATTTTGGTCTGTTTTACTCACTGCTTTATCTCCAGTCCTTAGAACAATGCCTAGCACATAGTAGATACTCAATAAATATTATGGTTTGTGATAAACTTGCTAATTAGTCCTTCCTGTTCCTGATTTGGTTCCTAGGTTTTCCACAACTGCTATCTAGCTTGGTGATTTTTCTTACATCCAGCCCTCCTTCCATTTGCACTTACAGAAAGATATATACTTATAGAAAAGACAGAAAACCTACCTATGTCCACATTTAGGAGACAGCATAATCACTGGTATATGAGGATTCTCCCATGACAACTTTCTCTTTGGCCTAAATGGTGCCATATGGCTTCATCCCCACTGACCATAGCCAGTTGCCCCACAGTAGACACCTGACCTATAAGGAGTCAATCAATCCATTTTCCCCCCAGCCAACCAGATTTTGTCTCTTAAGCATTTGAAGTAAGAGGCTTGGAGAATGGACCTGTGAGACGCCTTTGAGGTGGCTCTGCCCTGTTCATCAGCTGTGGGAAGTCAGTCTGCAGGGAGAAGAGGACAGAGCCAAGGTGCAGGAAAGGGAGCCATAAATATGCGATTTTTTTTTTGAGATGGAGTCTTGCTCTGTTGCCCAGGCTGGAGAGCAGTGGCACGATCTCGGCTCACTGCAACCTCTGCCTCCTGGGTTCAAGCGATTCTCCTGCCTCAGCCTCCCAAGTAGCTAGGACTACAGGCGTGTGCCACCACCATGTCTGGCTAATTTTTGTATTTTTAGTAGAGACGGGGTTTCACCATGTTGGCCAGGATGGTCTCGATCTCTTGACCTTGTGATCCACCCACCTCGGCCTCCCAAAGTGCTGGGATTACAGGCATGAACCACCGCGCCCAGCCAGATATGCGATTCCATATCACAATGGTTAATTCTGGAGCTTAGGAGACAAAGGGACTCAAGTGGATGGGGGCTTCTAACAGATCTGGAACAAGTCTCTCAACAACTCTTTCCCAGCCTCCCCTTCCTGCCATGATGTCTGAAATTTCTAGAATCCAAGTCCTTCCTATTGAAAGAGCATGATGTTTCCACCATGTCAATGTTAACCTCGGATTTATTACTTAGGAAATAGACGAGATAGTTAATCTCTACCCCAAAGTGTGACATTAACCTAGTGTAGCACAACAGGGTAACTGTCTATTCACCAGCAAGAGGAAGAGGTTGGCAGCAGGGCATGGCTGCTGGGATGAGGTCAGACATGGAGCTTGCTGTTTGCAGTTCTAAGGAAGAAGTGAGCCCTTACAGGGTAAGGAATTGAGAAATGGGGGGATGGGGAAACACCAAGAAGGGTGGCACTTTGACCCTCAAGAATTGAGGAAACCAAATTTAAGAAATGTCAGACTGGTCTGATAAGTAGAGGAGTCTTGAGACAGGGTCTGAAATTAGACAGTCCTTTAATTTTCATGCACGTGACTCACCAATGCAAGATCCTTACCCACTCTTGGGGTAAGGATCCAGCATCTATCAAGATTCTATTGAATATTAGCTTTTGTCATCATTATTTTTAATAGCATAGATTGGTACCCATGAGAATTGAGTTTCTACAACCAAAGAACATGGAGTCCAGGTAGGGTGCGGTGTGGTTCATGCCTGTAATCCCAGCACTTTGGGAGGCTGAGGCGGGTGGATCATCTGAGGTCAGGAGTTCGAGACCAGCCTGACCAATATGGCAAAAGCCTGTCTCTACTAAAAATACAAAAATTAGCCAGGCATGGTGGCGTGTGCCTGTAGTCCCAGCTACTCAGAAAGCTGAGACAGGAGAATTGCTTGAACCCAGGAGAATTGCTTGAACTCGGGAGTGGGAGGTTGCAGTGAGACGAGATGGTGCCGCTGGACTCCAGCCTAGGCAAAAGAGTGAGACTCAGTCTCAAAAAAAAAAAGAAAAGAAAAGAAAAAGAAAAGGAAAGAAAACGGAGTCCAGGGGCATATGGGCTCTTGGTGGAGTGAGAGGAGGATGTTGATACTCTTGGAATTAATTTCATAATAAGAGTGTGTTATACAAAGGAGGCACTTGATAAATGTTTATTTTTCTTTTCTTTTTTTTTTTTGAGACCGAGTCTCGCTCTGTTGCCCAGGATGGAGTACAGTGACATGATCCGTAGCTCACTGCAGCCTCAACCTCCCCAGCTCAGGTGATTCTCCCTTTGCAGCCTCCCAGATAGCTGGGACTGCAGGCGCACGCCACTATGCCCAGCCAATTTTGTAAATTTGTTGTAGAGACAGGGGTCTCAGTATGTTGCCAGGCTGGTCTTGAGCAGCTGGACTCAAACAGTCCTGTCACCTCAGCCTCCTCAAGTGCTGGGATTACAAGTGTGAGTCACTACACCCAGCAGGAATATTTATTGAATAAGGAAATGAAGTTACCTGAAAATCAGAGTTTCTATTTCTTCTATAAATTGTCCTTCACATGCTCTTTATCGCGTACCAGAATAATTTATATCATATTTCTGCTTGGGTTCTTTCTTTCCCAAAAGAGCAGCCACGTAGGAATAATGTTTGGGTACCACTGATTCTGATGCCTTCTTACCTGGTGTCCTGAATGGTGGAAACTTCTTTATTGAGGGAGGAAAGTTTGCTTCTCAAAATCCACAGAACTTGGAAGTAGAACACCAGGTTTATCTGTGGGAACCGCATGAAAAAAGTGACTTGGAATTTTCTTTTGGAGCCATTTTATACAATCTAATTTGAGGAGGGCCTAAGAATCTTTTCCCAAAAGACACAGGTTTTATAAAGATGGTATGCACATATGTTCTGGTCTATTACGTACAACACGCAGCATATACCCTGTAGCATTTGGTGCTTGATTAGGTAACTATCGAATTTATCATTCAAACCAGGAGACTTTGAAAGTGGAAAGGTGCTATTAATGTCTCTACCAGGGAACAGGTGTCATCAGAAAGTTTCCGGCAAACAGGAAACCATGTCACCCTGTGTAGAGAAGCCAACCATTAAATATTTGTTGAATGGAATGAATAACAGCATTTTGAAAAGAAGTCCCAGGAGAGGTGATATTATTACATCAAAGCAACAAGTGAGCCAGGAGGAATCCAAGGAAAGAAAAGTGGAGACAGTACTTTCAGGAAGAGGGGCTGATCACATTAAGCTGTTATTTCTTATCTTCATCTCATTTCCCCTTAGATAAGAAAAACATTTTGTATGCTTGGTCAACCTAAGGCGGGCACACCCATAAATAATTATCGCCTACCAAGATAATGACTGCTACTGGCCCCATGAAGCTCCAGATGAATCCTTTATCAAGCTTGAGCCAACAGCTGTTGAGACAGAGAGAAGCATTAGCTGCCTCTTCCTTGGGAGAAGGCAGAGAACTTGAATACAGGCTCCTGGGGCAAGATGTGAACAGGGCCAGGAGTTACTTCGGTCAGAATCCTGAATTTTAGATGGAGTCAGATGTGAGTTCTCATTTGATGCAGGTGCATGCTCTGAGGCTGAGTTTTTTCAAGTGTATAATAGAGCTAATCAAAGTACTGGAAAGATTAAATGATGACCGTAGCTGTCTACTGAGGCTTGAAGTCAGGGAATGTCAGTTCTCTGGCTTCATTGTTCTCCTTCTAAATAGAGTTGGTCATTCTAGGTCTTTTGCCTCCTTTATCTAAACTTCAGAATCCGTTTGTCCAATATCCACAAAATAATTTTCTGGGAATTTGATTTGGAGTGTGTTGGATCTATAGATCAAGTTGGGAAGAAGTGCCATCTTGACAACGTTGAGTCTTCTTATCCATGAACATAGAATATCTATTTGGATATCCTTTGATTTTTTTCATCAGAATTTTGTCACTGCCTTCATATAGAACTTGTAGGAAAGATTAAATAAGATAATGTGCTTAAAGTTTTTGAGTACAGTTCCTAGCAATGAGTTAACGGTAATAAATGTAGTTAGCAAGTTGATAATGATTGCTATAATGAGAAAGATAGTAAAAACGATAACTACAGCTATAAAAACTAACTCTAATTAAGCATATTGCATGCACCAGGTACTCTGTTGTCCAGATAATTTGTATTCTTTCTTGGCTTATGATGGCAAAGGTAGCATACCTTATTTTTAAAGGGAAGCTGAGAGCCTGAATCTCTAACATTCAGTAGGCAGAAAAGCTTCCAAACTTAAGTTCTATCCGAAGGGCTGCCAACTATGGCCCACGGGTCTGATCCAGCCCGCCACTTGCTTTCATAAGTTTTACTGAAAGACAATCAACTCATTCGGTTACATATTGTCAATGCTGCTTTCACACTACATGGGCAACATTGAGTAGTCACCTCAGAGACCTTGTGGCCAGCAAAGCCAAACATATTTACTGTCTGGCCTTTTATGGAAAATGTTGGTTCCAAATCTTTGCTATTGTGAATAGTGTCACAATAAACATACGTGTGCATGTGTCTTTATAGCAGCACGATTTATAATCCTTTGGGTATATACCCAGTAATGGGATGGCTGGGTCAAATGGTATTTCTAGTTCTAGATCCTTGAGGAATCGCCACACTGTCTTCCACAATAGCAACCCAAATGTCCATCAGTGATAGACTGGATTAAGAAAAGGTGGCACATATACACCATGGAATACTATGCAGCCATAAAAAAGGATGAGTCAATGTCCTTTGTAGGGACATGGATGAAGGTGGAAATCATCATTCTGAGCAAACTATGGCAAGGACAGAAAACCAAAGACCGCATGTTCTCACTCATACGTGGGAACTGAACAATGAGAACACTTGGACACAGGGTGGGGAACATCACACACCGGGGCCTGTCGTGGGGTGGGGGTAGGGGGGAGGGATAGCATTAGGAGATATACCTAATGTAAATGACGAGTTAACGGGTGCAGCACACCAACATGGCACATATATACATATGTAACAAACCTGCATGTTGTGCAAATGTACCCTAGAACTTAAAGTATAATTAAAAAAAAAAAACCACCAAATTTCCATCTTCCATAATAGAAAAAAATCAGAAGGGAGTACCTAAAATTGTAAAAAAAAAAAAAAAAAAAAAAAAAAAAAAAAAAAAAAAAAGAAAAGAAAATGTTGGTCAACTCCTCTACCGTTCTATCTCCAGCATTCTGGTAGGACATAGAGTTCAAGCTGGAAACAAAGCACCTCTTTGACTTTAAGAGGACAAAGCACCTCTTTGACTTTAAGAGGGACAACATTGGGAGGCCGAGGCAGGCAGATCACCTGAGGTCTGGAGTTCAAGACCAGCCTGGCCAACCTGGTGAAATCCCGTCTCCACTAAAAAATACAAAAATTAGCAGGGCATGATAGCGGGTGCCTGTAATCCCAGCTACTCAGGAGGCCAAGACGGGAGAATTGTTTGAAACCGGGAGACGGTTGCAGTGAGCTGAGATCACACCACCGCACTCTAGCCTGGGCAGGTGAGCAAGACTCTGTCGCAAAAAAAAAAAAAAAAAAGGGACAACAGTAACTAACATACATGATGTTTTAGTGTGTGCACAACCTACTTCCTAACCCAAGCACCATTAACAAAATATTGACTTCTTCAACTAACTGTTGTGTGTTGAGTTTTGCAAGCTTCATTACTGAAGCAATAAAACATGGCTATTCAGACTATTTCCTTGAAAATTCTGACTTACTTGCCTTGCAGCTCTGACTTTGGGGAAGTTTATGAAATGCACTCAGGCCCAGGTGTCCTGTGCGTAAGAAAATAAACTGCTGACGTCATAGGGTCATGGTGAGAATGGCATGAGCTACTGCATAGAGGAAGCACGATTTTTGATGCACCATAGGGCTTTGATAGTTGTAATATTGGTGTTATTCTTTACAGTAGCCATTGCTACTACCATCATAAAGACACACATTATGCTTACTGAGTAAATGTTCCATAATTCTGGGGTCCAACTATTGCTGACACAGCAATAATCACAGCTGGGATCCCGTAGCCTACAGGGTACATGAACCTCTTCTTGAATCTGCCCGTGCTGGTGTAGTTGGCCACCTTGAGGTTCCTGACGGTGAGGAAGAGGTGCAGCCCTTCCAGGAGCATCCAGGTGAAGCAAGCCAGGTAGAGGAAGTGCAGCAGCCCTGCAATGATGGAGCACAGCACCTGGAGGGAACAGAAGAGTTAGGGGTGTGCAGCAGATGTGGTCTGTACCTGATTATATGCTCAGCACTTAGCATTTCCTGGATGTGGCCTGGAATTTCAATTTGAGCATCTGTAACATTTTGCCTGGGGGCTACACATTTTCTGAAGACTTCTGCTAGCCATTGAAGTCTGTTTACATCATGCATAGAGCAGGGTAGAAACCCAAGGAATACATGTCGTGGGAACAGCCCCCAAATGTATAATAAACAAAAATTGGTAGAATCTACCAATCTAAGACATGTGCTCTACACTGCCCCCTGGAGATCCTCGGTGGAATTGAGCTCCAAATGTCTATAGTGGAAACATCTATTGGCTAGGTGCGGTGGCTCATGCCTGTAATCCCCAGCATTTTGGGAGGCCGAGGTGGGTGGATCACCTGAGGTCAAGAGTTTGAGACCAGCCTGGCCAACATGGTGAAATCTTATCTCTACTAAAATTACAAAAATTAGGCAGGTGTGGTGGTGCACGCCTGTAATCCCAGCTACTTGGGAGGCTGAGGCAGGAGAATCGCTTGAGCCTGGGAGGCAGAGGTTGCAGTGAGCTGAGATTGTGCCATTGCACTCCAGCCTGGGTGAAAAGAGTGAGACTTCATCTCAAAAAAAAAAAAAATTTCATGTGCTGATGTTCTAATCCCCAGTATCACAGAAGGTGAGTGTACTTGGAGACAGGGCTCTTCAAGAGGTCATTATGTTAAAATAAGTTCAGATATGTGGGCCCTAATCCAATACAAGTTATGTACATCTAAAAATAGATTAGGCCGAGGAGGGTGGATCACCTGAGGTTGGGAGTTCAAGACCTGCCTGACCAACATGGAGAAACCCCCTCTCTACTAAAAATACAAAAATTAGCCAGACGTGGTGGCTCACGCCTGTAATCCCAGCTACTCTGGAGTCTGAGGCAGGAGAATCGCTGGAACCCGGGAGGCGTAAGTTGCGATGAGCTGAGATTGTGCCATTGCACTCCAGCCTGGGCAACAACAGGGAAACTCCATCTTAAAAAATAATAATAAATAAATAAAAATTTAAAAATAGGAGATTAGAGTGCAGACACACACAAAGGGATGACCAAGTGAGAACACAGGGAGAAGATGGCCATCAACAAGCCGAGGAGAGGCGTCTCAAAAAAAGCCAACCCTGCTGACATCTTGATCTCAGACCATGAGCCTCCAGAATTGTAAGAAAATTAATTTCCATTGTTTAAATCACTCCGTTTGTGGTACCTTGTTATGGCAGCCAGAACAAATGAATATACTTTTATAGAAGTCATGCTTCATGATTTCTCATAATTCTCCAGATGTGTTCACAGACACAAAATTTTCCATTCAATGTGCGGAATAAGGCTTCCATTTCTAATCGTGATAACATAATGAGGATGGGATTTACCCTCCCACATTAAACAACTAAATGCTAAATGACATGTATGACATTATGAGTTACAGATATTGGAGAATAGGCATTGAATATTTATGTTTACAGTGATTTCTAAAAGGAGGGAAAGGCCGGACAAGGTGGCTCACGCTTGTAATCCCAGCACTTTGGGAGGCCAAGGCATGTATCACCTTAGGTCAGGAGTTCGAGACCAGCCTGGCCAACATGGTGAAACCCCATCTCTACTAAAAATACAAAAATCAGCCAAGTGTGGTGGCATGTGCCTATAATCCCAGCTACTCGGTAGGCTGAGGCAGGAAAATCACTTGAACCCGGGAAGTGGAGGTTGCTGTTAGCCGAGATCAAGCCACTGCATTCCAGCCTGGGTGACAGAACAAGACTCTGTCTAAAAAAATAAAAAAAATAAAAAATAAAAACAAATAGAAAAAGAAACCTACCCTATCAACACATAGACCGTAGACTTCTGGCCTCCAGACCTGTGAGACAATAAATTTATATTGCTTAAGCCGTCCATATGGTGGCTCTTCATTATGACAGCTCTAGAAAATGGAGACAGAGACCAAGTTATCTAGAATGTATGAGGCAGGCTGGGCGCAGTGGCTCACATCTGTAATCCCAGCACTTTCGGAAGCCAAGGCGGGTGGATCACCTGATGTCAGGAGTTTGAGACCAGCCTGGCCAACATGGTGAAACCCCGTCTCTACTAAAAATACAAAAAAAAAAAAAAAAAAGAAAAGTAGCTGGGCATAGAGGCAGGCACAATAATCCCACCTACTTGGGAGACTAAGGCAGGAGAATCACTTGAACCCGAGAGGTGGAGGTTGCCGTGAGCGGAGGCTGCGTCATTGCACTCCAGCCTGGGCAACAAGAACAAAACTTTATCTCAAAAAAAAAAAAAAAAAAGAATTTATGAGGCAAAATACCACAGGGTAGGGAGCTACAGTGGGGTTGGGAAGCGGGGAAGGGGAGAGATTGGCAGAGGGTTTGATTACTTATCAGCAAATGCTTGCAAGGAGACTAACCAAAACTAGGAGAAGGCTCCTAAAGAGGAGTAGGCAGAACAATCTTCTGAGTTCACACAGAACTGGAAATAGCTTGTTCCTATTGTCCAAATGGTTTGTTCCTATTACCCAATTTTACCTGAAGTTCTGTGTGTTAGGGGAGTCTGATATACAGATTCCCTGTATGTTAGAGCAGATTTTCTGTAAACAGGCTCTCTGTATGTTAGAGCAGACTCTCCTAACATCCAGAATTTCAGGTAAAATTATCAGGAGAGTATTATATCATTAATGGGGCCAAATGAGCCCTAGACGAAAGAGAATTCCGTGACCACTCTATTCAATCTTAGAATCAAGACTTGAATGTATCAAACTGTTTCCAAGTCACTTAATTATGTCCCCTCAAAAGCCTAAAACTGTTTAAATAATTTTTTTGAAAAGATACAGCACTCATAATTTAAAATTCACCAAGAATGGCATTCAAACAAAAAATAGCAGGCATGCAACAAAGCAGGTAAATCCAATCAGGTAATATACACACATCCTACTATTTCTGTCTCTCCAGAAACCCTGACTAACACAGCCTCTTAACTACCAAATCCAGCAGTCTCTCTACTTGGCGTTTCTGTTTGTTTTTGTGTGTTTGTTTGTTTGTTTGTTTGTTTTGTTTTGTTTTTTGTTTTGAGACAGAGTCTTGCTCTGTCACTCAGGCTAGAGTGTAGTGGCATGATCTCGGCTCACTGGAACCTCCACCTCCCAGGTTCAAGCGATTCTCCTGCCTCAGCCTCCAGAGTAACTGGGATTACAGGCACGTGCCACCATGCCTGGCTAATTTTTGTATTTTTAGTAGAGACGGAGTTTCACCATGTTGGCCAGGCTGGTCTGGAACTCCTGATCCACCCGCCTTGGCCTCTCAAAGTGCTGGGATTACAGGCATGAGCCACTGTGCCCGTCCTTCTACTTGGCCTTTCAGCAGAAGCTGATCAACCTAGTTGGCACTTTCTGTCCTTTGATGTCCTGGACATTCATCTATCCAGGAATTCTCACCTGCTTATCTTTGAGTCTTCTCGTCTATCTCATGTATCTTCCTCCTCCCAATCTTTAGATTACAGGCGTGAGCCACCACGCCTGGCCTGAATTTGCTTTTCCTGTCCCTGAATTAACTGAAGTTTTATTCAAAATTTTGTGTATAGGTACATTTGTCTGGGAAAAAGGGCTTTAGCTTTCAACAAAATTCTCAGAGGGATCCAACTTCAAAGATGCTGAGAACCATTGCTCTGGGGATTTTCAAGAGAAAATAGAATTCAGGCTTAAGGAAGAACTGGTTTGAAGTATAATTGGCAATTAAAATGTGGACTAGGCTGGGGTGACTTCTAAGCCTTTGTGTCCCCATCCAGAATGTGGAGACTGTGGCTCCTACATCCTGGTGGTCCCTACCTCATAGGTGTTTGCAGAGGGCCTGGCACCTGTGAAGACCCTCCTTACTGAGTGGCCTCTATTCTGAGAGCATGGCCTCAAGGACTCTGGAGAGAATTATGGAGAGACCACGTGTGGAACTTTCTTCCTCCTGTCCCAACGCCCCCTCTTCCTCTTCCTCCTCCTCCTCCCTCTACCGCCTCCTTCCTCCTCCACAGAGCTTTATTCTTAATCCATTTTACTTATCACTGATCGTTATTTCTGTAGCTTGAAGTGTCTCCTTCGTGTAGAAAACTCCAATATCCCTTTCTCCTGCTTCAATCTCTCCTGGGCTCAAAATTCCTATTTCCAATTTTCTATTGTATGTCTCAATTCCAGTGTCTGACCAGCACCTCTAACTAACAGATTTAAACCCGAATTCATTCTATGTCTCGCTCCAAGTCTGTTCCTCTTTCTCGCCATCCATCTACCCAACCTCCCAAATGGGAGACCTCTAATTCATCCTTATTTCTGCTTTCTCACACACACACCACTTCCACATCTATTTGGGCCTCAAGTCTTACCAACTCCCCTTACAAACATTTCTAAAATCTGGCCCACTTCCTTTAGCAGTGTTCATGTTTTTATTTTTTTATTTTGTTTTATTTTTTGAGATGGAGTCTCCCTCTGTCACCCAGGCTGGAGTGCAGTGGCATGATCTCCGCTCACTGCAACACTTGCCTCCCGGGTTCAAGCAATTCTCCTGCCTCAGTCTCCCAAGTAGCTGGGATTACAGGTGCCCGCCACCACGCCTAGCTAATTTTTTGTATTTTTAGTAGAGACGGGGTTTCACCATGTTGGCCAGGCTGGTCTCGAACTCCTGACCTAGTGATTCACCCACCTTGGCCTCCCAAAGTGCTGGGATTACAGGCGTGAGCCACCGTGCCAGGCCCATATTTTTATTAACTCCCACTTAGACCATTCATAGCCCTGTTGCTATTCTTTCTGCTGCTAGTTTCATCTCACTGCAGTTATCTTTACCTTCAACTTTTGTTGTCCTGATAAGTATTTTCTGTCATTCCCAGCTTGAAGTCCTTTCCACTGCTGCCTTGAGCAGGGTTAGGAAATCAGTGGCTTTGGGCCAGTTCTGGCCCAGTATCTGTTTTTATAAGTAAAGTTTTATTAGCACATGGCCACACACATTCATTTACTTTTATCTGTGGCTGCTTTTTTTTTTTTCTTTTGAGACAAAGTCTCGCTCTGTTGCCCAGGCTGGAGTGCAGTGGCGCAATCTCGGCTCATTGCAAGCTCCGCCTCCCAGGTTCAAGTGATCCTCCTGCCTCAGCCTCCCGAGTAGCTGGGATCACAGGTGCCCACCAAAGGTCTGGCTAATTTTTTGTATTTTTAGTAGAGGCAGGGTTTCACCATGTTAGCCAGGCTGGTCTCAAACTCCTGACCTCAGGTGATCCACCCACCTCGGCCTCCCAAAGTGCTCGGATTAGGCGTGAGCAACCGCACCTGGCCTCAGCACATGTTTCTAAGCTGTGAACTCTATGGGGAAAGTAACTGAGGTAGTTCCCCTAGTCCCCTAATTATTAATGTATTTGCAACACAATGCCTGACACACAGTGGGTATTTTTAAAATATCCATCAAATGAATAAATAAATAAAATAAGAGGTAGGATTTTAGAGCATTATATAAAAGCATATATTTTCAAGATGACTAAGTCAACTCCATCTTACCCACAATATTATTTTTACAGTTTTTAAAAACATCATTTGAAAATTTTATCAGAGAAGTAATTAGTACCTTCCGAGCACTTAACTATGGGTGAACACTGATCAAATTGCTTTGTTAAGTATTAACTCATATTATTGTCTCAATACTCTGAGACAAAAAAATTTTAAGGGCCAAATTTTAAGCTATGCAGTCAAATCTCTATTGCAATTACACCATTCTGCCATTGTAGCGTAAAAGCAGCCACAAACAATATATAAATGAATAGATGAGGCTGTGTTTTAATAAAACTTTATTTACAAAAACAGAAGGTGGGCCAGATTTGGCCTGAGGACTGTGTCTTCCCAACCTCTGCCTATTTTCAAATGAAACACCAAGAGGTTAAAATCTGGCCCCCAAATCTCACAGCGAGTAAAAAATAAAATTGGATTTGAACCTAAACTATCTCCAGAAAATGTACTTACTCTTAACCATAAAACTATACTATTTCTCAGGAAAAAAAATTTAAATATAAACAGAGTGCTTTTGTAACTTTCTAGCTGTGTGATCATAGTGTTTTAGGGTTAACAGGAGACTTAGAGAACCATCTAGCTTTAAATCTTCCTGGATAATATGATGGCCAGGATCATGATAAAGATAAAAGTGAACATTGTTCTCTGAGTGATTAATTCATAATCTTTTATGTTTTGTCTTGCTAAGTTCTTACTAAATCCTATGATTAGGCCCCTGTTTTGCAGAGGAAGTTTAAAAAGGGGAAGCCACAAGAGATCTATTGTAAAACATGGTGATCATAGTTGCATGGTAACAATGTATGTATTCTTAAAAACTTTTAAAAGAATACGTTAGTGTTCTCATCACAAACACACACACACACACACAATAAAGCTGAGTATGTGAGGTGATGCAAATGTTAATTAGATCAACTGAGCCATTCTATGACGTATAATATTTCAAAACATGCTGTACAGAAAAAAAATATACATATACTTTATATTTTTCAGTTTAAAAATTAAATTTAAATAAATTAAAAGGGGAAGTCACTTCAACAGGTCTTACAGCAAGTAGGGTGAAGAGCTGCGATTCAAGCGCAGATCAGTGCAGCAAACCCACTGCCCACCAAAAATGCAAGCCTCTTCCCCACCCTCAAATCCAGAGTATAGATTTGTCACTAGGAAGTGGCTTCCCAGACAGAGACCACATTTCCCAACTGCCCTTGCAGTTATGTGTTATCATGTGACCGAGTCCTAGCCAATAGAGTGTGAGGGGAAGTGATATGCACCACTTCATGATGTGGCACATGTTAACCTCCCCCATGGGAACTCAGCCATGTTCTTTTCCCCCTCCGGGTTGGCTGATATGTGAACACCACGATGACCTTGGGAGCTGTGTATGGAAAATGACAGAGCCTCCCTCAACCTGAGGGTGCAGGATAGACACTCTTCAGACCTGTTTGCTCACCCTCTACTGATACATAAGGAAAAAATAACTCCTACTGTGGCAAGCCTGTGACATTCTGGAGTTGATCCTAACAACCGCTAATGTTACCCTATTTAATACCATCAGCCTGACACTCCATCACTTTGCTAAATGGCCCCTCAGAATGTAAAGGTCTTATTCCAACTTCTATAGGAGGACAACTGAAATGGAGCTCATACTTTTCCTCTCTACATCATCACTGCTGACTAATGCCTTGCTCTCCATCTTCTTGTGGGACAAGATGGCTGGATTCGTTATGGCAATGAGGTAATTTGGGTAAATTACCTACCTCAGGCTCAGTTCTGTTGATGCCCGTCAGGAACAGGAGGTGGGCCAGGAAGAGGCAGAGGGAGAGCTCTAGATGGAGGGAGGTGCTGGTGTTCTGGATGGGCCGGCACAGGAGGAAGGTGAGGATGGCCAGGAAGAGGCACAGCAGAGAGATGGTCAGCCCCACCTGGGTGATCACGGTCAGCACAGGGTCCTCCTGCAAAACACCAAAGGGGGAATCCATTATGGTGTCCGATGGTGTTGTTATTTTCCTGAGGTAGTGCCAGATGGGCTTCCTAGTTCAGTCCCTGAAACAATTGACTTACCTTTCTGAGACTTAGTGTTCTCATCTTCAAAATGAGGGCAGTAGTAACACTCATCACACAGGAATGTTAAAAACCAAAACAACTAGACCAGTGCTGGATACAGCTCTTAACAAATGACTAATGGGAGTTAGTGTATAAATACTCCAGCTCCCTTGCTGCTCAGATAGAATGACCCAGAGATGTGAGTTCTACACTGACTCCCAGAGTCCCCCAGAGGGAATAAATTCCAGTTACCTATGGTGGTAACTGGCTTGATAATGCTGTCTGCACTGACACCTGTCTTACTTCCATCTCATTGTCTCAGTCCCCCACTAGTGTTTCCTGTAATCCCCTTTCAAGTAAGCTACTACCATTTGACTCCTTGTCTTAGAATCTTTTTTCTTTTTCTTTTCTTTTTTTTTTTTACATGGAGTCTTCCTCTGTCACCGAGGCTGGAGTACAGTGGCATGACCTCGACTCACTGCAACCTCCACTTCCTGGGTTCACCCAATTCTCCTCCCTCAGCCTCCTGAGTAGCTGGGATTACAGGTGTGCACTACCATGCCCAGCTAATTTTGTATTTTTAGTAGAGACGGGGTTTCATCATGGTAGCCAGGCTGGTCTTGAACTCCTGACCTCAAGTGATCCACCTGCCTCGGCCCCCCAAAGTGCTGAGATGACAGGCGTGAGACACCGCGCCCGACCTTTAGAATCTTTTTGTAAGAAATGCAGAGGATAACTCACAAATTCTCGGACATACACAGGTTCACAGGAATGAATCTTGGTACCTTGGGGGCAAGAGCCACGAGGACGGCAAAGCTGGACAGATGGAAGCACTTGCATTTGGTGTAAGAACCGTTGCTGTGCACATGAGAGCAGCCCTCCGTGGACCAGCGGCCTCCCTCTGATCCCTCCCAGTAGACACAGATATGTTTTGTTCTCTTGTCACCAGGCTGGAAAGAGAATAGTATGAAAGTGGGTCTCTTCCTGGTTTTATTTTTTATTTTATTTTATTTTATTTTGAGATGGAGTCTTGCTCTGTCACCCAGGCTGGAGTGCAGTGGTGTGATCTCAGCTCACTGCAACCTCCGCCTCCCAAGTTCAAGTGATTCTCCTGCTTCAGCTTCCCAAGTAGCTGGGACTACAGGTGAACACTACCATGCCTGGCTAATTTTTGTATTTTTAGTAGAGGTGGGGTTTTGCCATGTTGGCCAGGCTGGTCTTGAACCCCTGGCCTCAAGTGATCCGCCTGCCTCGGCCTCCCAGAGTGCTGGGATTACAGGCATGAGCCAACATGCCTGGCATATTATTTCAACTTTACAGGTTAATCACAATGCACAGTGTTGGAAACTGGATCGGAAATACACTTGTAGGGGAAGAGTTTCACATCACCACGCCTGCGGTGGGTTTATTCTCCATCTATTCTGCCCTTCTCTGGTCAGCTCAGCACCCTGGGGTTGACCCTCTGAATGGCTTCGCCAGCTTCCTTGCTATTTATAGAAGCAAAGAGAGGCATTGGTGAGACTCACTGGGTGAGAGAAGAGAGAGAAATAAAGTATTTCTTCCCTGTGCCCTTTCTGCTTTGAGCCATCTCCAGTTTCTGCAGAGCGATCCCTCATTCCTGCCTCCAGCTTCCACTGAGCTCAATAGAGCTTCTCCTCCATTGCCTTTTGGCTTCAACGTGAGAATGGCATCTCACTGTGGCAAGCTCTGGATGCCTCAACACTTCCTTTCTTCCTGAGCTTTACTAAAGTGTGATTAACAAAGAAGAATTTGTATTTATACGTTTTGATAGATGTATACATTTTTAAATGATTACTACAATGAAGCTAACACATCCAACACCTCACATATTTTTGTGTGTGTGTGTGTGTGCGTGGTGAATACACTTGCAATGCACTCTCTCAGCAGATCTCAAGTGTACAATACATTATTAAGTGTAGTTACATTGAGTGTTGTACATTAGGCTGGGCATGGTGGCTCATGCCTGTAATCCCAGCACTTTGGGTGGCTGAGGCAGGCAGATCGCCTGAGGTCAGGAGTTTGAGACCAGCCTGGTCAACATGGTGAAACCTTGTCTCTACTAAAAATACAAAAATTAGCCAGGCATGATGGCAGGTGTCTGTAATCCCAGCTACTCGGGAGGCTGAGGTGGGAGAATCATTTGAACTCAGGAAGCAGAGGTTGCAGTGAGCCGAGATTGCACCATTGCACTTCAGCCTGGGTGACAGAGTGAGACCCTGTCCCTTAAGAAAAAAAAAAAACAAAAACTATTGGCCAGGCATGGTGTCTTACACCTGTAATCCCAGCACTTTGGGAGGCTGGGGTGGACGGATTACCTGAGGTCAAGAGTTCGTGACCAGCCTGGCCAACATGGTGAAACCCCGTCTCTACTGAAAATACCAAAAATTAGCTGGGTGTAGTGGCACACTCCTATAATCCCAGCTACTCGGGAGGCTGAGGCAGGAGAATTGCTTCAGCTGGGGAGATGGAGGTTGCAATGAGCCGAGATGACGCCACTGCACCCCAGCCTGGCCGACAGAGCGAGACTCTGTCTCAAAAAAAAAAAAAAAATCTTCATTCATCTGTTGACAGATACTTAGGCTGTTTCCATATCTCAGCTAGTGTGAATAATACTGCAATAAACACGAGAGTGCAGTTATCTCTTTGAGATCCTGATTTCAATTCTTTTGGCCACATACCCCAAAGTGGAATCGCTGGAACAGACGATAATTCTGTTTATAACTTTTTGAGAGGCCTCTGTACTGTTTTCCATAATGGCTGTACCACATTACATTTTCATCAGCAGATCTATAAGGGTTCCTCTTTTTTTTTTTTTTTTTTTTTTGCCACATACTGATATTTTAAGTTTTTGGTAATAGCCATCCTCACTGTGGTGAAGCAAAATCTCATTGAAGATGCCTCAGCGTGTCTTGTGTGTTCTCTTACTTCTGAATTCCGTTTCCTACTTGGGAAGCTGACTGCACCTGCTCACCCTTTAAGGTACTGCATGGAGACCCAGCCCTGGGTGTTTCTCACCTGATTATGGCGAAAAGTCAGGAACACAGGTTCAGAGAGGGAAATTTTTTCCTTCAAACCGACGGTGCCGCTCACAACGTAAGAGTTCAGTTTTACTTCCTGCATCCCTTTTCGTTTACTAAAAAAGGATGCATTCAGAATATCCCCAAGAGATTGATAAGTGATAGGGCAACTGCAGTGCTCTCTGAAGAAAAAAATGGAAAAGAAATACTGTTAGTGGCCATCCATAGTTTGGAGAGAAAGTACAGTACTCTCTAATGTGAGGGTCGTAGGGCAGGCAATGAATGGCTAAAACTGCCCTTGGAAATCCCTTAAATGCTGTTCAATACACCGTGTGTCGCTTGGGGTGCAGCATTTTTGTCTACGTAATATGTATTATAATGCCCCATACATTATAAGCGGTGCAAAATATGTGCAAAATATGTGCAAATTATGCTCTTCAGAGTCCTAAAAATATATATGAGCCCTTGAGCATTACAACCAGAGTTGTGAGGCAAGATGCTTGTCCTCAGAAGGGCACATGGAACTCACGCAGGCTAAGAAAACCACACTCTCTCAGCCTTCACCTCAAGCTCACTCCGGGGTACCTAATTTAGTGGAAAGGTATGCAGAATGACCCACTGTATTTAATTAATTCACTCATTTTTTCTCTTTCTCATCTTATTACCCTTCCTCTCCCTGTCTTCCTTTTCCCCCTCCCCTTTTCATGAAGCCACCGTTTAATGTATAGAGGTTCAGGCCGGGCGCGGTAGCTCACACCTATAATCCCAGCACTTTGGGAGGCTGAGGCAGGTGGGTCATCTGAGGTCAGGATTTCGAGACCAGCCCGCCCAACATGGCAAAATCCCATCTCTACTAAAAATACAAAAATTAGCCAGGCGTGGTGGCGGGTGCTTGTAATCCCAGTTACTCGGGAGGCTGAGGCAGGAGAATCGCCGGAACCCAGGAGGCGGAGGTTGCAGTGAGCCGAGATGGTGAATGGAGAATCCGACTCCAAAAAAAAAGAAAAAAAATCATGGAGGTTCAGTGCACACAGGACACCCGTATGATGGGAGTGTTTCCCAAATTGCAGTTATCCACGTGCTACCATCCCATTTTTGACCAAAGCTACTTATCATCTGTATTTCTATTTGCTCCATTTAAAAAATCCAACGCGGTTGGGCGTGGTGGCTCACGCCTGTAATCCCAGCACTTTGGGAGGCCGACGCGGGCAGATCATCTGAGGTCAAGAGTTCGAGACCACTTTGGCCAACACGGTGAAACCCCGTCTCTACTATAAATACAAACATTAGCAGGGCTTGGTGGCATGTGCTTATAATCCCAGCTACTTGGGAGGCTGAGGCAGGAGAATTGCTTGAACTCGGGAGGCAGAGGCTACAGTGAGCCGAGATTGTGCCACTGCACTCCAGCCTGGGCAACAGAGTGAGAGTCAGTCTCAACAACAACAACAAAATCAACTCATTTTTAGATCCCTTTCCTCCCTTTCCCTACTCTACCGCTCACAGTAAGGAGTGAAGATTAATGAATAACCAGGAATTTTTTGGAGGAAATGCAGCAGATATTTCATTTTTAAGGTAACCAGGTTTTTCTCTTTGAAATAGTTTATATGCATTCATTCATTTATGTTTCATGGAAATATTTATGTATCCTCTACTGTGTGCCAGACATTCTAGGAATTATTATACAGCAGTGAGCAAAACAGACAAAACCCCTGCCATCAGAGAGCTGACGATGTCGTAGTGAGAGAGATGGGCCACCAACAAATAAATAAATTAGAAAAAATACATAGTGCAGGAGCTTTGCAGAGACTTCAGGTGATGAGATAAAGTGTGGGTGAAACACTATGCCGTGAAGGTAAAACCCAGCCTGCCACCTGCTTTTGTAAATAAAGTTTTATAGACACACAGCCTCACTCCTTCACTGACACATCATCAATGGCTGCTTTCACACTCTGATGGCAGAGCTGAGTAGTTATGACAAAGGTCATCTGGAACAAAAGGCCTAACATATTTACTCTCTGGACCTTGTAGAGAACATTTGTTTTCCAATCTGTGGTAAAGAACAAGACTCGGCAGCTCTTTTAAAAAGGGTGTACATAAACGCTTCTCAAGGAAGTGTTCAAGGCAATCTGACACCATTGAGTGTTACCTTTTCAGACCATTACATGGAAACAGAGCATGCATCAGCCAGTCCCTTTTTTTTTTTTTTTTTTTTGAGACAGAATCTCACTCTTGTCACCCAAGCTGGAGTGCAATGGTGCGATCTTGGCTCATTGCAACCTCCGCCTTCTGGGTTCAAGCAATTCTCCGGCTTCATCCTCCCGAATAGCTGGGATTACAGTCACGCACCACCATGCCTGGCTAATTTTTGTGTTTTTAGTAGAGATGGGGTTTCTCCATGTTGGCCAGGCTGGTCTCAAACTCCTGACCTTGTGATCCACCCGCCTCACCCTCCCAAAGTGCTGGGATTACAGGCGTGAGCCACTGTGCCCGCCCAGCCAGTCCCTTTTAAGGAGGCATTTCAAGGAATCCTTATGCAAACCTTTGTGTATGTCACAAAATACACACCCCATGTGACAGCCCGACTTCTCTCTGCAAAATGCCTAGTTAGTGGTTACGGAAGATCATTTTATTCCACCATGTAGAATCTCCCTACCTTAAAAGCTTTGTGAATTCTCACCCCAGGGTTTAATCGCCTAGAAATAAAACAATGATGTGTAGAATTTGGAGTCAAGATAATTCATCGGAGATATGGTACCTCTTAGGTTTCCTTTTAAAGCATCAGCACAGTTGATATCCATGGTGTTATTTCCAGCTTCCAGAAAAGCATTCTCCCTTGTCTCATTGCACCTCTTGGTTTCATAGACTGAAAACATTAAGAAAGTCAGTCCTGTTCTCAAGTCTCATACCTAAATAATTTGCTAAAGAACTCCCTTTTCTGGAAGACCTCCTACTGGTGATTCCATCTCTCCTATGCAAGGTTGGCCACGTGGCACCTTGTTCCCATCTTTGGCTGGTAGAAATGGAGTGGCCAAAATGGCCTTAGCAACACACTGGCCACAGCCCAAGAGAGGAGAAGGGCATGCTTCCCAGAACTGGTACTCTGATAGGCAAGCTAAGCAGTTTCCACAGGACACTTAATGGTACCGGAGTCCCTGGTTAGGGGAGAATGCAATCTTTATAAGCAAGAGTAGCTAAGCATTTAAATGTTTTCCAAAAAAAAAATAGTCACTAGGAACAGAACTTCTGCATTTGGGAAGAATCCCTGTAAACCTATAAACACAAGAGCTGATCATTTTGTGAGGTCAACCTCAACATTTTGGGGTATACAGAGTTTGTCTCAGAACAAATGAGAAAACTGTCCTAGGTGCTATGGCAGACTGCTTATTACCTGTGATCACCATTTACCTATTCTTTCTTTGCATCTAGAACTACTAAATTTAAGCTGAAGACAAGCCATTTTCCAGCTTCCCTTGCAGCTAGGCAGAGCCATGCAACTATTTTCAGGCCAACGGATCAAAGAACAGAATGGCATGTGCTAAGGGAAACAGGCATCCTTTCAACTTCTCTTCTCCCCTTTTCATTGGCTGGTAAAAGGGTGTGATAGTACAACAACTCTCTTGTATCACAAAGTGAAGGTGAATGTTGAAGACAGCAGAGCACAGAGCTGGCATGGTATTGCTACATCAGCCCTGACTCACTTATGCTCAAACTATTCAAGAAATAATGGTTAAGCTGCTGTTTACCACGGTTATACCACCAGATTTGGTATGTTAATTCAGACACTAAGTTCACATGGAACATTTGCTAAAATAGACCATCAGTCAAGTCTCAACAAATTCAAAAGGATTGAAATCCTACATAGTGTGTGCTCAGACAACTCATCAAAAAGAGTATATATCACAACTATTTTTTCCTGGTAAGTAAGCCTGGTTTAACATATGTAAATCAATCAATAGGGTTCATCTCATTAACAGAATGAAAGATAAAAATCATCTCAATTGATGATAAAATGATCATCTCAATTGAGGTAGGAAAAAGCATTTGACAAAGTTCAATATCCTTTCTTGATTAAAACCCACAATAAATTAAATGAGGCCATTAACACAAGGAAACCTTAAAAAGCCACAAATATTTGGTAATTCAGCAACACACTTCTAAATAAACCATGAGTTAAATGATAGATTACACAGGAAATGTTTTAATATTTTGATCTAAATGATAATGAAAGCCCAGTATATGAAAACTTGCAGGATGCAGCTAAAGCAGTGCTTAGAGGGAAATATATAGCTCTAATTTATAGCTAAGTTTTAAGTTTTAAATGCATATATTGGGAAAGGAGAATGGTTTAAAATTAGTAATCTAAATAACCAAGACAACAAGTTAGAAAATGAAAAGCAAGGCCAGGCGCGGCGTGATGGCTCACGCCTGTAATCCCAGCACTTTGGGAGGCCGAGGCGGGTGGATCATGAGGTCAGGAGATTGAGACCATCCTGGCTAACATGGTGAAACCCTGTCTCTACTAAAAATACAAAAAATTAGCCGGGCGTGGTGGTGGGCGCCTGTAGTCCCAGCTATTCGGGAGGCTGAGGCAGGAGAATGGCGTAAACCCGAGAGGCAGAGCTTGCAGTGAGCCGAGATCGCGCCACTGCACTCCAGCCTGGGCGACAGAGCGAGACTCCATCTCAAAAAAAAAAAAAAAAAAAAAGAAAGAAAATGAAAAGCAAGTTCCACCCAAAGAAAGTAAAAGGAAAGAAATAATAAAGAACAAAAATCAAAGAGAAAGGAAATGGAATAATAATATAAATAATCAACAAAGCCAAAAATTGGTTCTTTGAAATGATTAACAGATACAGAGGTCAGAAAGAAACCAGAGTTCCTGACATAGAGTTCCTAAAACCCTTAGAGTTTCCTGAGCAATAGAATCACTAGGAAAATCTTTTGTTCTGATATTTGGTCTTGGACTCAAGTTGCTGACATATAGTCCCTAAGACCGTTGTAATTTCCTGAGTGACAGGAGTGTGTGACTCAACTCTGAAATCCTTTGTACTTTCTTGGTTATAGAAATATCTTTTATTCTAATGTAGTGACTCTTAGCCAGCTCCTGGATAGCCTCAGGATGGGGGTGGTTGCCAAGGAAACCAATGGTGAGATTAAAGGGTTGGAACTTTCAGTTTCACCCCCATCCCAGATACAGGAAGAGGAGGGGGGCTAAATGTTGAGTTGGTATCAATGGCCAATAATGTACCCAATCGTGCCTAACTAACGAACCCTCCATACAAATCCAAAAGATTTGTTAAGCTGTCTAGGAGATTCTAGATTGCTGAACATGTGTGGGTCCCCGGGGTGGCACCTCTAAAGAGGGCTTGGAAGCTCTGCACCTCTTCTCCCATACCTTGCCCTGTGCATGTCTTCCATCTGGCTGTTCATCTGTATCATTTGTTTATATATATATATGTGTGTGTGTGTGTGTGTGTGTGTGTGTGTGTGTGTGTATATGTGTGTGTATATATATGTATATAAATGTGTGTATATAAATGTGTGTATATATATACACACACATACACACATATAATATATATAAATATATATTTATGTTTTATATTTTTATTTTAATATATATATTTTTTGAGATGGAGTCTCACTCTGTTGCTCAGGCTTGAGTGCAGTGGTGCAATCTCAGCTCATTGCAACCTCTGCCTCCTGGGTTCAAGCGATTCTCCTGCCTCAGCCCCCTGGGGAGCTGGGATTACAGATGCGTGCCACCATGTCCAGCTAATTTTTGTATTTTTTTTTTTTAGTAGAGATGGGGTTTTGCCATGTTGGCCAGGCTGGTCTTGAACTCCTGACCTCAGGTGATCCACTTGCTTCGGCCTCCCAAAGTGGCATGACCCACCACACCCAGCCCATTTGTAATATATTTTTAATAAATGGATAAATGTAAGTAAAGTGCTTTCCTGAGTTAAGCGAGTCACTCTAGCAAATTACTCAAACCCAAGGAAGGGGTCATGGGACTCTAATTTACTGCCTGTCAGTTGGACGTACGGGTTACAACCTAGAACTTGGGATTGGCATTTGAGGTGAAGAATACTTTTGTGGGACTAAGCTTGCAGCCTGTGGGATCTGACGCTCTCTTTGGTTGATAATGTCAGATAATGTCATAATTGAATTGTAGAACACCCAGCTGGGGTCCACTGGAGAACTGTGTGGTCAGTGTGGAAAAGGAGCCCACAATAATTTGGTGACCAGAGATGAAGTATTCCGTGTTCTTGTTACTATGTGAGAGTAGAGTAGGAAAATAACCGAGGTTTTTTCTATCCCCTAGCCATGGTGGCATAGCGAATATGCTCTTAAATACTTTCCATCATACCAAGGGAAGTTGAAAAGAAGAAGAGAGCTGGTTTATTCTCTTGTCCCTTGAATTTGCATTTTTGAAAATGGAGTCCTTCTCATGTAGAATGTTGGTGTAGAGGGTCTGTGATCCTGAGAGCCCACAGATTTCATCATTCAGAAACCCTGACAAAGCCAGGACCCAGACGTCTTTATGGTCTTTATGGAGGGTCATAAAGACTCTACTCAGCCTCTCTTACCTATATCAAATTCAGAAATTTGACCCTTTCCTGGAGAAGCAAAACTCGCATTCCAGATGCTCAACTCCACGCTTTGAATTAGTTGAGTAGCCCTTCTTGCAAAGTCCTCTCTGCTTCCATTTCTTCTCAGATTTTCCTTCCAAAAAAATTAAGCTAATTAGATTGACTCTTACTGAAATGTAAGAAATAGGGAATATGCACAAGTGTTGGAGTGGGGAGCCCAGAAGGCAACGATATTTATTAAGGTGCTACAAGGTGCGTGTGGCATTGAGAATCTAGGTGCTTGATGTAGGTCTTTGAATGCCAGCTGAGGCACTTTCCCCCTACGCTTGTATTTCTCTATCTCTATGGACATGTGGCACTAGGCACTTCTTGATTGTGGGAGGCTGTCCTGGGCACTGTAGGATGTTGAGCTGTATCCCTGGTCTCCATCCACCAGATGCCAGTCACACACATCACCCCCAAGGTATGACAACCAAAAGTGTCCCCAGACATTGACAGATGACCTTGGGACAGAGGACAAAATTACCCCTGGATAGAACTACCCTACCCTAAAAATCACAGGAAGACATGTTAATGTTTGGGTAGGAAAATGGCATAGTTATACGTACCAGCTGTTTCCCAAATCCAGGCTTCACCCCACTCACCCAAATATCCACGTTTGACTGTGTCGTCCCTTGACTATTGTTCTCTGTGAAAGAAAAGATGTCATTGAAAGAGATATGGGAGAAAATACACCCTGCTTACATCCCTTCTTCTAGTCACCCTCAAGTTGAGTCTTTCCCTAATAATTCTGCAGCCCATCCTAATTCCCCTCTAAGAAGCCTAAAAGGTATTGCACAGTAGAATTATAAAAGAGAATTAGAATGGGTCTTCCAGTTTCATATTGAGTTGGTGCAAAAGTAATGGTCATCTTTGCCATTGAAAGAAATGGCAAAAACCGCCATTACTTTTGCACCAACCTATTGCTTTAGTCAACACTGTTTATTCGGCACCTACTCAATACCAGGCACAACGCTGAACTATATGGATATAGGCTAGGAAAAGAAACCAAGGTATCCCCTTGTGGAATCTGAAGTCTGGCAGGAAAGTCATTAAGCAAGTTATTATCAATAAATAATTAAGCAATTGCAAGGGACGCTCTTAATAAATAGAACATGACATGTGGACAAAAAGATGGGAACTATAGACAGTGGGGACTACTAGAGGGAGAGGGTGGGAGGCTGATGAGGGCTGAAAAGCTACATATCAGGTACTATGCCCACTACCCGGGTGATGGGAACATTCTTACACCAAACCCCAGAGACACGCAATTTACCCACGCAACAAACCTGCACATGTACCACCCCCAAACCTAAAATAAAATAAAACAGGACTTCCCAAAATCAATCAATCAATAATAAATAGGACACAATGGTGTGGGAGTATATAGCAGAGGGTCCCAACACATCAGGGTGACATGGAAGAAATCAGTGTTAATTGAGTTAATATTATAGAAGCAGTTGCCTACACATCACAGTATATAACGTGCCTTCATATATATTATCTCATTTCAAGGAACACTGAAGGTTGTAGAAAAGGCATATACAGCATAATATCCAGTATTAACTGACCCTTCCTAGGTGCCTAGGACTGTTAAATATTTCACATACATTAATAATGAGTAGGGGCCGGGTGCAGTGGCTCACGCCTGTAATCCTAGTACTTTGGGAGGCCGAGGCGGGCGGATCATTTGAGGTCAGCAGTTCAAGGCCAGTGTGGGCAACATGGTGAAACCCTGTCTCTACCAAAAATGCAAAAATTAGCCAGGTGTGGTGGCACATGCCTGTGGTCCCAGCTACTCAAGGCTGAGGTGGGAGGATCGCTTGAGCCTGGGAGGCAGAGGTTGCAGTCAGCCAAGATCACACTACTGCACTCCAGCCCGGGTAACAGAGTGAGACCGCATCTCAAAAATAATAATAATGAATAGGTAAGGTGTATTAATTTGCTAGGGTTTCCATAATATAGTGACACAAATTGGGTGGCTTAAAGCAATAGAAATATATTGTCTCATAGTTCTGGAGGGCAGAAGTCCAAATCAAGATGCCAGCAAGACCATGCTCCCTCTGAAGGCTCCAGGGAAACACCTTGCCCTGCCTCTTCCAGCCTCTGGTGGTTGCCATCAATCTCTGACATTCCTTGCCCTTTGGCAGCATAATTCCAATCTTCACCTCTGTCTTCACATGGCCATCTTCCCTGTGTGTGTGTCTCTGTGTCCAAATATCCTTCATCTTATAAGGACACCAGTCATGTAGGATTCAGGGTCCACTCTGATCTAATATGACCACATCTTGACTTATTACATCTACAAATACCCTATTTCCAGATAAGATCACATTCACAGATTCCAGGTGGAATCAGTTTGGGGAGAACACTATTCAGCCCAGTAAGAAGGAATCAGAAATGGCTCCAAATAATCCCTGCCTCTTGGAATTCACATCCTTGGGTAATCTTCCCTTGACTGTGGACTGGACTAAGTGACTCATTTCTAAGGAACAGAATATGGCAAACATGATAGGATGTCACTTCTGAGAGTGGGTTATAAAAGACTATGACTCCTGTCTTATTCATGCTCTCTTTCTGGCTATTCTAATGTGTTTGCTATAACAAAGCAAGCTGTAGAGACCCACATATCTAGGAACTAAAGGCTGCCTCCCACCAGCCACCAGAAATGAACTGAGGGTTTCAGTCCAATAGCTCTGAAGGAACTAAATTCTCCCAGCAACCTTGTGAGTAGCTTGGAAGCAGAACCTGCCCCAGTCGAGTCTCCAGATGAAACCACAGCCTGGATAAAACCTCAATTGCAACTGTGATAGACCCAGAAGCAAAAGACTCAGCTAAGCCATGCTTAGTTCCTTAACCCAAAGAAACTATGAAACAATACATATGTGTTGTTTTAGGCCACTAAATTTGGGGATAACTTGTTATGCAGCAACACAGAACTGACACAGTAGATACTATTAATATTACTACTCCCATTTAAAGATGAGGTATATAGAAATTAAGTCATTAACTGAAAACCAGATGGTAAGTGGAAGATTTAGCACTTAAATCCCATCTCTCTTACCCAAAAAGTGAAATAATACTGGAATTAAACAAATAAATAAATTGTGGATAGTGAGAGACAGGTTTCTCATTGTTGGAGAAGGAAGCTACAAATAAGGAAAGAGGGAAGTTTCCGACAAGCCTTGATGTTGAACTGGAACCAGAGGTATCAGTGTGAATTCGTCAGATTTAGTAGATAGGTAGATAGACATAAAAATTGAATTTAAGGTGAGTGAGAGATGAATAAATAGAGAAATTCAGAAGAAATTTAGAGCTGCCCTTTTGGAAGCTCAGGAAACAGACCTGTATTGGACACATACATTTGGAAGCATCTATATAGAGATAGTTATTGATGCCAAGGCTTGGATGACACCATCTTGGAAAATATCATCAAAGACAACAAAGGAATGAGGGACGAGGGTTAGGATGGAGCTTTGCACTCTTACCCTGGCCTGAAATTAGAGAATCTCTCAGAGTCTCCCCCAAGTCCCCACCATTTTTCATAGTGGAAATAGGATTTGGAGGTTCTTACCGTAACAATCCGGATGATCATAATCTATAATACCAGCCAGAAAGTTGAATAAAGTATATTTTACCAAACAGCTACAGATGTAACCTCCAACTTTATTCCTACAATATGCTTTATACTTGCACTTTGCCAGCCCGGTTTCACATTCATTAATATCTGTGAATCAAGAGAAAGTGTTGCTTTCATTTTCATAGAATTATACCATTTCCCTTGCCCATGAAATTTTTATTGCCCAACCATTGTCCATCAATGTTCTCCCTAAGTTAATTTATAAATCCAATGCAATTCCAATTTTAAAAACATCTACATGTATTTTACGGGGTGAGAGACAAGTTGTTACTATCATGCAGGTGTAGCCAGAAAAAACTACAAGGTGGGAACCAGACATTAAAACAAAGTATAAAGCTGCAACTAAACAAAGAGGTACTGATGCATGCATAAATAAAAATAGACTAATGGAATAGACTAGAAGTCCAGACACAGATGCAAGTACCTATGGAGCTTTAGAACATGGTAAAGGTGGCATGTCAAATCACTAGAATAAGGATGGAATGTTGCTGTTTTTAATGTTGTTTTTAAGTCACGCCATTTGCTAAATCAATTTAACACACATAGTGCATAGCAGGGGAATAAATATACGGTAAGTTAACACACTATTAGAAAAGCTTGAGAGAGATGAGGAAGGACCACACTACTAAAATCCTGGCTCAGCCGGGCACGGTGGCTCACGCCTGTAATCCCAGCATTTTGGGAGGCTGAGGCGGGTGGATCACCTGAGGTCAGGAGTTCGAGACCAGCCTGGCCAACATGGTGAAACCCTGTCTCTACTAAAAATACAAAACTTTGCTGGGTGTGGTGGCACGTGCCTGTAATCCCAGCTACTCAGGAGGCTGAAGCAGGAGAATCGCTTGAACCCAGGAGGCGGAGGTTGCAGTGAGCTGAGATCGCGCCATTGCACTCCAGCCTGGGCAACAGAGTGAGGCTCTGACTAAAAAAAAAAAAAAAAAAAAAAAAAGGCGGGGCACGGTGGCTCACACCTGTAATCCCAGCATTTTGGGAGGCCGAGGCGGGCGGATCTCGAGTCCAGGAGATTGAGACCATCCTGGCGAACATGGTGAAACCCCGTCTCTACTAAAAACACAAAAAATTAGCAAGGCATGGTGGCAGGCGCCTGTAGTCCCAGCTACTCAGGAGGCTGAGATAGCAAAATGGCGTGAACTCAGGAGGCGGAGCTTGCAGTGAGCAGAGATCGCGCCACTGCACTCCAGCCTGGGCAACAGTGACTTATGCAATGTTTATGTGTCTTGCCTCTCCCAACCACATCAGCCTTCCGTGCTGAATGGACCAGAGCTGAGGTTCAAGCAAGGGACCCACAGGCAGAAGGTGCTCTGGACCACAGACTTATACTTGTGCTCTCCATCTGAAGGACTCAGGGACAAGCACACCTGGCCAATGGCTGTACTTTGTCAAATAGTCTGCTGAAGAGGTACGGGTTTTATTTGGGCTATGGGTTTATGTGTTTTGGGCAGAGGACACATGGAACAGAATAGTTATCACTAATGAGAGATTAAATTAAAACCCCGTTAATATTTTTACCTTCACACTTCTCAGAGGAATCATGAAAGTATGTCCTGCCAGACCTGGCCCGAAAGCCATCTTCACAAGTACAGTGGGTGCTGTTGTGGCAGCTGGCATATTTAGGGCATGGAGGACAGGAAGCTGCAGAGAAACAGAAATATTCAGTATGCATCTACCACGTACCGATGCTGCGGTCAGAAGAATGTCATCTTAGGAATGCCTCTGTTGGCATCCTTTTGGCACCCAGCCCATTGCTGAACACAGTGGCACACAGTGCCCAGCCGTGTCCCACTTCTGCCACCAACACCACTTTTGCCAGATAGGTGAACCTCCAAATGCCGGCACCTGTGTTTCTTTCCTTGCAGGCTAACCCTGGCTACCAGAATTCTCTTTGTTCATCACATGGCAGGTTAACAATGCCTTTCCTAAGTAGCTCCCTTTATCAATGATTGATAGAAGATAGTGCATTAAAAAAAAGCCAATTTCATTATTATTTAAAAAAAAAAAACAGAAAATAACAAGTGTTGGTGAGAATGTAGAGAAAATGGAACCCTGGTGCACTGCTGGTAGAAATGTAAAATGATGCACTGTCTATGAGACACAGTATGGCAATTCCTCAAAAAATTCTAAATCAGAATTACCATATGATCTTACCATATGATCCAGCAATCACACTTCTGGGAATATATGCAAAGGAATCAAAAGCAGTGTATAGAAGAGATATTTGTCCACTCATGTTCATATCAGCATTATTCATAATAGCCAAATGTTGTATGTAACCCAGGTGCCCACGAATGAATAAATGAATGAACAAAATGTGGTCCATCCACACAGTAGTACGTTATTCAGCCTTTAGAAAGAAGGAAATTCTGGCCGGGCATGTTGGCTCACATGCCTGTAATCCCAGCACTCTGGGAGGCCAAGGTGGGTGGATCACCTGAGGTCAGGAGTTCGAGACCAGCCTGACCAACATGGTGAAACCTCGTCTCTACTAAATGCAAAATAAATAAATAAATAAATTAGCCTGGCATGGTGGTGCATGCCTATAATCCCAGCTACTTGGAAGGCTGAGGCAGGAGAAACGCTTGAACCCGGGAGGTGGAGGTTGCAGTGAGCCAAGATTGCACCATTGCACTCCAGCCTGGGCAACAAGAGTGAAACTCAGTCTCAAAAAAAAAAAAAAAGGAATGAAATTCTTTTTTTTTTTTTTTTTTTTTTTTTTTGAGACGGAGTCTCGCTCTGTCGCCCAGGCCGGACTGTGGACTGCAGTGGCGCAATCTCGGCTCACTGCAAGCTCCGCTTCCTGGGTTCACGCCATTCTCCTGCCTCAGCCTCCCGAGTAGCTGGGACTACAGGCGCCCGCCACCGCGCCCGGCTAATTTTTTGTATTTTTAGTAGAGACAGGGTTTCACCTTGTTAGCCAGGATGGTCTCGATCTCCTGACCTCATGATCCACCCGCCTCGGCCTCCCAAAGTGCTGGGATTACAGGCGTGAGCCACCGCGCCCGGCCAAAAGGAATGAAATTCTGACACATGCTACACCATAAACGAACCTTGAGGACATTATGCTCCATGAAATAAGCCAGGACAAAGCGTCAAATAATGTATGATTCCACTCCTATGAGATCCAATCCCAGAGTTGCTGGATTCATAGAGACAGAAAGTAGAATGGCGGGTGCCAGGGCCTTGGGGAGGAGGAATGGGGAGTTCGTGTTTCATAGAGACAGAGTTTCAGTTCTGCAACTAGAAAGAACACTGTGGGTGGATGGTGGTGATGGTTGCATAACAGTGCAAATGTTGAATGGCATTGACCTGTACCCTTGACAATGGTTAAAAAGCTACATTTTACGTTGTGTACATTTTACCACAATTTAGAACATAGTCATAATCAATAGCTTCCTTACCCATTGAGGGGTACAAATCTGAGGTGCCTGCTCCATGCCATACCCAACAGCTGCCTCCAGGGATTAAACTCCAGCTGCCCGCATCTAACTTGCTTGATAAAGATCCTATATGAGCTCCTCCCCTTCCTATGCCACTGCCCACTCCCAGCTGGTGCCTCCTAGGATTCCCTCCCAGAACAACGAGTTGCTCTCAGGGTCGGCTTCTGGGGGAACCCAAGCAATGACTTGTGGTGAAGGCAAAGTATTTCCTGGAATGACTCAAGACACAGGTTTGGGGAAAGAAAGAGGACAGTCTAGCATCCACCAGCCATGTGACCTTGAGCCAGCCACTTCTCTGGAGGACCCTTGATCAAGTGGGTATAATGCCCATGCTGAGTTTGTAGGATTGTTGTGGGGATTAACTGAGATGGCACGTGTGATGTGCTTTGCTATGTAAATGCAGATGATGGTGATGATGGAGATGGGAAAACAGCTCTTGGGACCTCCAAAGAGTCAGAAGAAAGTGCCAGAGACTCCATGCTCTGTCTCTTGAAAAAGCTCCTTCCCTCCTCCAAAGGAAGCTTCCAGATCCCAATTTCCTTTCCCCTGGCCTTTGGCTATGAATAGACTCACCTCCAGAATTCTTGGCTTCTGATCCTGGCAGAGCCAGTAAGACAGTGAGACCTGGAACAGAGAGAGGAGGGGATCATTCAGACGGGGATCCCCTGGACTCTGCGTGGCTGAAGACTAGGTGAGTTAGGGGCAACTAACCCTAACTCTTTGCCCAGTCACACGTGCAAGCTTCACCATAGCATCTTCCAGGCAGGTTACAAACACAAGAGTCACAGATTTGGACATCACATCCTTCTGAAGTATGAGAAGTGCATCTGATTGCAGCTGTGTTTCCCAATTTCAGAAAACTCAGCAGCAAATTCAGCTTCTTCTCTACATCCTAGCACCAAAAGACCAAGTTGGCAATCTCCTTTCCATATTCAACAGTTTATTTTAATATCAGTCCAGACCTCGAACCACACACTGTCCGAGAAAAATATAATGGAAACCCCATAGGTCCTTTTAAATTTTCCATTACCGACAATTTTTTGTCTTTTGAGACAGAGTTTTGCTCTGTCGCCCAGGCTGCAGTGCAGTGGCACGATCTCAGCTCACTGTAACCTCCGCCTCCTGGGTTCAAGCAATTCTCCCACCTCAGCCTCCCAAGTAGCTGGGATTACAGGCACCCACCACCATGACCGGCTAATTTTTGTATTTTTAGTAGAGATGGGGTTTCACCATGTTGGCCAGGCTGGTCTCCAACTCCCGACCTTGTGATCCGCCCACCTCGGCCTCCCAAAGTGCTGGGATTACAGCTGTGAGCCACCACGCCTGGCTGACATGGACATTTTTATGACCTAAAACACTCAACACCAATTTTCCTGTGAATAATTTTTTTTCAGAGAGAAATATCACTTGATTCCCATAGGGTAGGGGACAGCAAACTGGACTTATGAGTTGAGGTGACTTTTATATTTTTTACATAAAACATTTTAAATGGTTGGAAAAAAACAAAAGAAGAAGAATACTTAATGGCCATGAAAACCATGTGAATTTTAGCTGCCTATGTCTGTAAATAAAGTTTTACTGACACGCAGCCACATCCATTCATTTACATGAGGTCTATGGATGCTTTAGGGCTGGAATAGCTGAGTTGAGTAGTTAAGACAGAGACCATACGGGCCACAAAGCTGAAATTCAAATTACCTGTCCCTTTACAGAAAAAAATATGCTTGCCCCTTACATAGAGTATGGAACATCACTTACCTGTAAGGTCTCTTAACAAACCTTCCATCCTTAAACTGCATCTGATGCCTCCTATGGAGATTTCTTTTTCTCATCTCTAAGACCCTAAAGCCCAGAGGACAGGGTGGGAAGGTCTAGGTTGTAACTTACTGAGCTATGACGCTCCAAGTGCGGACCCATTTGGTGTCAATCCATGTAGCAGATACTCGAAGTGACCCTTTAGCCTACCCCAGAGAGGGTTCCTATAAATGCAGATGACTTTCTTTTTCGTTCTTTCTTTCTTTCTTTCTTTTTTTTTTTTTTTTTGAGACAGAGTCTCACTCTGTCATCCAGGGCTGGAGTGCAGTGGCGGAATCTTGGCTCACTGCAACCTCTGCCTTCCAGGTTCAAGTGATTCTCCTGCCTCAGCCTCCAGAGTAGCTAGGATTATGGGCGTCTGCCACCACGCCCGGCTAACTTTTTTTTTATTTTTAGTAGAGACGAGGTTTCACCATGTTGGCCAGGCTGGTTTCAAACTCCTGACCTTAAGTGATCCACCCGTCTTGGCCTCCTAAAGTGCTCTTCACTCTTTCTTGCGTGGCCTCCCCACACCCTCCTTTCCTGGGATCCCCTCCCAAAAAAACTATTTACACACATGAGTCCTTGTTTTCGTTCTGCTTTGGGGCAGCCCAGCCTAACTGACTCAAGAGGAGAGTTTCTACTAGGACAGGCACACGCAGTTATTGCTGGAGAAAATGCCAAATTTGAGGAAGCAAATCAAGCGAGGACACCAGGGGCATGAGGAGAAGGAAAGGGAGTTCTTTGCTCCACTTACCTGAGAGCAGGACCAGGAGGAACCTGCTCCCCATAGCACTGAGACGCCGGGAACAATCTCTCTGAAGCAGGACGTGGTCAGAATGCCTGGAACAAATAAACCTCATGAAATCCAATTTCTGATGGTCCCAAGTTCAGAAGCCCCGTGGCCAGTGCTTATCAAAATGTAAGGCTGAGGCAGGAGAATTGCTTGAAACCAGGAGGCAGAGGTAGCAGTGAGCCGAGATCGCATCACCGCACTCCAGCCCGGGCGACAGAGCAAGACTCCATCTCGAAACCAACAAACCAACAAACCAACCAACAAACAAAAAAAACCCTTTAATCTCTCCCTCTCGTTTGACCCAATAATTCTGCCTCTGGGTAACTCTCTCAAGGAAAACACCCTGCGAGGATGATCTTAGCGTATTTGGTTATAGGGAACAAGTTTATCACCCAACAAATGCTAAAAAAAACGGATGCATCTGAGGAAATATAAGGCTGGAATTTAAAATCCTGTTCTATCGCAGTCGGCAAGATCAAGACTGCAAAACTCCACAGGACAAACTACTCACTTTTTATTTATTTATTATTATTTTTTTTTTACATTGCTGTCATTGATTTGTTTATATTTAATTTTTAAATTCATAAATAATTATATATGCTTATGGGCTATAATATGTTTTGACATTGTGGAATGATTTTTTTTTTTTTTTTGAGATTGAGTCTGGCTCTGTCGCCCAGGCTGGAGGGCAGTGGCGCGATCTCGGCTCACTGCAAGCTCCGCCTCCCGGGTTCACACCATTCTCCTGCCTCAGCCTCCCGAGTAGCTGGGACTACAGGCGCCCGCCACCACGCCCGGCTAATTTTTTGTATTTTTAGTAGAGACAGGGTTTCACCATGTTAGCCAGGATGGTCTCGATCTCCTGACCTTGTGATCCACCCGCCTCGGCCTCCCAAAGTGCTGGGATTACAGGCGTGAGCCACCGCCCCCGGCTGACATTGTGGAATGATTATATCAAGACAATTAACGTATGTATCACCTCACATACCTATCATTTTTCGGTATGAGAACTTTTAAAATCTACTCTTTCAGCCATTTTGAAATACACAATATAGGCCGGGAACAGTGGCTCACACCTTTAATCCCAGCACTTTGGGAGAACGAGGTGGGCGGATCACCTGAGGTCAGGAGTTAAAGACCAGCCTGGTCAACATGGTGAAAATAATATAATATATAATATATTATTAATATATAATATATTATTAATATATAATAAAATTAATATATTAATATAATATGTTAATGTAATACATCAATATATTAATATACTAAATCAATATAATACATTGATATATTAATATAATACATTAATATATTGATATATTAATATAATACATTAATATATTGATATATTAATATAATACATTAATACATTGATATATTAATATAATACATTAATACATTAATATATTAATATAATACATTAATACATTAATATATTAATAAATATTAAATATATATTTAATATATATTTATATAAAAGGTTACTATCTGTTTTAGGAAAATGTTAGCATTCTATATACAATTATCCATATATGCATGTATGTGTATTTATATGTGTATATACAAAATCATACATACAAATGTACAAACATATAAATGCATCAAATGCATGTATATATGTATGATAATTTTGTATTTGCATAAAATATTCCTGGAAGGTACCTAAGAAACTCATAGCATCGGTTGCTTTTGAAAACAAATGTATGCGAGGCTTAATACCTAGGTGATGGATTGATAGGTGCAGCAAACCACCATGGCACATGTTTACCTATGTAACAAACTCGCACGTCCTGCACATATATCTTGGAACTTAAAATAAAGTAAAATTTATTTATTTATTTATTTATTTATTTTGAGACGGAGTCTCACTCTGTCGCCCAGACTGGAGTGCAATGGCCCTATCTCGGCTCACTGCAACCTCCGCCTCCCGGGTTCAAGCGGTTCTCCTACCTCAGCCTCCCCAGCAGCTGGGATAACAGGCACCTGCCACCACGCCTGGCTAATTTTTTGTGTTTTTAGTAGAGACAGGGTTTCGCCATGTTGGCCAGGCTGGCCCTCCTCAGCCTCCCAATCCCAAAATGCTGGGATTACAGGCGTGAGCCACTGCGCTCAGCCGAAAATAAAACAAGATATTTTAAAAAGAGAGAAAGAAAGCAAGTGGCTGGGAAGCCGAGGCAAGGAGACTTTTCAGTTTACCCTCTTCTATCTTTTGAATCTTGAGCCAAGTGAAGATCTTTTCTGTTCAAAACATAAATCATTTCTAACAGAGAAAATAGTGGAAGTACTAGACATTACTATAAATGAGCCTTTCTTACCGTGTCGCCCAGGCTGGAGTGCAATAGCGTTATCTCTTCTCACTGCAAACTCCGCCTCCTGGGTTCAAGCAATTCTCCTGTCTCAGCCTCTCGAGTAGCTGGGATTACAGGCTCCCGCCACTACGCCTGGCTAATTTTTGTATTTTTTAAGTAGAGACAGGGTTTCACCGTGTTGGTCAGGCTGGTCTTGAACTCCTGACCTCAGGTGATCCACCCACCTGGGCCTCCGAAAGTGCTGGGATTATAGGCGTGAGCCACCAAGCCAGGCCTAAATGAGTCTTTCAAAGAAGACTTTAAGGATCATTTTAGTAAGCGTTGGCCTATGGATATCAATTTAAAATGCAGAAAGCACTCTCCTAAGGTAATGTCGGTGGCCAATTGGGGTTTAAGATAAAACCTCCAGTGCACATTAGCAAAGATATTGTGCTCTGCAGATCTGTGAAGCCTTTCAAAGGCGCTGCCAATGATGAGGGAGGCACTGATGGAGAAGATGCTTTAAGTAGTTTGCAGAAAAGTTTCACAAAATGTAAGCAGGAAGGAAAACAACAATTACGTGTAATGCAAACAATCTGATATCACATGCAAAAATAATGTTGTAGGAGGCTATTAGAACAACATAGGGCCGGGCACGGTGGGTCACACCTATAATCCCAGCACTTTGGAGGGCAGAGGCGGGCAGATCACTTGAGGTCAGGAGTTTGAGACCAGCCTGACCAACATGGTGAAACACCGTCTCTATTAAAAACACAAAATTATCCGGGCAATGTGGTGAGTGCCTGTAATCCCAGCTACTTGGGAGGCTGAGACATGAGAATCACTTGAACCTAAGAGGTGGAGGCTGCAGTGAGCTGAGATCAAACCACTGCATTCCAGCCTGGGTGACAGAGCGAGACTCTGTCTCAAAATAAATAAATAAATAAACAACCATAGAAAGTGATTATGACGTAGCATTAGGAGCAAAAGGAGGTTATATTATTCTGTCATTACACATTGTATGCATGTATCAAAATATATCATATGTAACTCATAAATATGTGCCACTATTATGTATCAATACAAAATGTAGGTTATAAAGAAAGTATATTACATGTAAGAGAATCTTAAATGTTAATAGAAGAATGTCAGTATGAGTGATTTTAAATTTCTCTTTTTTCAGCTGTAATTCTAAATTATGTACATTGCCTTAGCAATAAAAATAATATAATGAAGCGTTTTAATAAAAGAGGAAACAAAATAATAATAATAATAATAATTATTATTATTATTATTATTATTTGAGCCAGGGTCTCACTGTGTCACCCAGGCTGGAGTACAGTGGTGCAATCTTGGCTCACCGCAACCTCCACCTCCCAGGTTCAAGCAATTCTCCTGCCTCAGCCTCCCAAGCAGCTGGGATTACAGGCACTTACCATCAAACCCAGCTAATTTTTGTATTTTTAGTAGAGAACGGGTTTCACCATGTTGGCCAGGCAGGTCTCGAACTCCTGACCTCAAGTGATCCACCCACCTCATTATCCCAAAGTGTTGGGATTACAGGCGTGAGCCACCGCACCCGGCCACAAAATTACTTTAAAAACTCTTCTTGGGAGGTCTATACTCCTGCTTTGATATATTCATGCTGCTTTGATCTCTGAGTTTGGAATCTGTTGGGGCTGCCTGTGTGTTTATGTGACAGTTCTCCCTCCATGCTTCACGCACAGTTACTTGCTGGCCATACACTGTCAGATGGCTTTAGAATTTGGTGCACAGGCAAACCTGGGTTTGAATCCCAAATCTACAACTACTAGTTAAGTGGCCCTGAGGTTGTGACTTTACCTCCAAGCCTCTCGTCTGCAAAACGTAGCTAAGAAAGAGCACATATTTTACAGTTTCATGCTGATTCAGTGAGATGACCCTTCAGACCTGCCGGCACATGGTAAGTCCTGAATAAAGCTACCTGTGAAGAGAAGTGGGAAGGATGATGATGGTGGTAGTGGTGGTGGTGGTCGTGGTGGATGTGATAGTAGTGGTCATGATGGTGATGGTAGTGATGGGAGTGGAGATCATAATGATGGTGGAGGTAGTGATGAAGGTGGCAGTGGTGGTGATGGTACTGACAGTGGTTATGATGGTGGACATGATAGTAATGGTGATAGTGATGGTGGCAAAAGTGGTGGTGATGGTGATGGTGGTGACAGTGATGGTGGTGATGGTGATGGTGGTGACAGTGATGGTGGCAAGGGTGATGGTAGTAATCAGGGTGATGGTGGTGATGGTGTCAATGGTGATGGTGGTGGTAATAATGGTGATGGTAGTGATAGGAATGGTGGCAATGGTGATGGTGGTACTAATGGTGATGGTGGTAATGGTGATAGTGGTGATGGTGATGATGATGGTCTTGGTGGTGGTGATGCCAGTGGTAGTAACGGTGATGGTGGTGACGATGACGATAGTGATGGTGGTGCTGATAGTGACGGTGATGACAGTGGTGGTGATGGCAGTGATGGTAATAGCGAAGAGGGACTGCATGGTTGTGGTGATGGTGGCAAGGATGGTGGAAGTGACAGTAATGCTGATGCTGATGATGGTGATGAAAGCGGTCATGGAGATCTCTCATGTCCCTTCCCTGGTGCCAATTGTAATCACAACTTTGCATGCTAAGGACTGACCTTTTACCCAGTGGTAATGAGAATTAACGAGGGTCCTGTGAAGTCCCCACAGGAACACAGTAGTGGCCTAAGAAGACCCATCCCATGGAACCCCCTATTCCCAAGCAGGCAGCTGCACATCATGCACTGGAATCCTCTTGCAAGTCAAATTTTGCTGCAGATGCTTCTCTCACCCCTTCCATTACTGCCTCCTAAAATCACTTACGGAACTTCTACTATGGGCCAAGTGCCTTAAGAACTCTGTGGCTATTATCTTATTGAAAGCTACAACCATCTTGTGATGTAGGTTTCTTTTGAAACGGAGTCTCTCTCTGTCACCCAGTGGTGCGAGCTCAGCTCACTGCAACCTCTGCCTCCCGGGCTCAAGCAATTCTCCTGCCTCAGCCTCCCGAGTAGCTGGGACTACAGGTGTGTACCACCACGCCCGGCTAATTTTTGTATTTTTAGTAGAGACGGGGTTTCACCACGTTGGCCAGGCTGGTCTGGAACTCCTAACCTCAGGTGATCCCCCCACCTTGGTCTCCCAAAGTGCTGGGATTACACGTGTGAGGCACCGCTCCCGGCCATGATGTAGGTCTTATAATTATCTCCTAAGTCTTCAGATGAGGAAATTGAGGTTCAAAACAATGATATCATTTGCTTAAGATTGTGCTGCTAGGAAAATACAAAGCTAAGATTTGGACAATGTCAGCTTGAGTCCAAAGCCCATGCACAACCACCTCACCAAGATCATAAACTCCAGTGTCTACCAAGATCTAGACATGCGACATAAATACATAAGGCCATTGGTGGGACGTAATAAGGACTGTGGGGAACTGGAGACCAAAGGCTATCTAGAGACACCCACACCCACTTTTTCCTTAAATACAGAACCAGGAGACCAACCACTTTCAATCTCTGCAGTAGACAATACTACTTCACTGAAATCAATTTCTGTTGCGGGAATCTTGTGTCCCATTGGTGGAGTTATACTTGATTACTTTCTGGATACCTTTCCTCTTTCAAAATTTGTCTTCTTTTTAGAGTCATGTTGCTCCACCCTTCAAAAAGTCCACTCTAAAATATAACTGGAAAATTCTCAATGAAAAGAACCCCTGTCCAGGTAAGGGCATTTCTTTGCTGAGGCCTGATTTGAAACAAGTTTAACTAAAGTGAGTATTTTGAAAGGAAAAAGGTGGTAAGATTTTTCACAACAGCCGAGGCCTCTAGAGATGCTGATTTGTAGGGGACTTTCGGCCATAACCAATTGTGAGAAAAGAATTTCACATCAGAGAGAAAGAGAGGCAGACACAGAGAACTGAGCCAAGGATCACACACAAAGAAACTCACTGTTTGCAGCGACTGATATTTTATAATTATAGTTGTTTTCATTTCTGCTTGTTGCCTTGTTGGTTGTTACCCACTAAGGTGGTGCCATGGTGGTCGTTACCCACTAAAGAGGACCAGCCTCCTCCTGTGGATCATAACCAGCCGGTTGAAAAAGTTGACATGTAAATCCCTCTGCTTTGGTCATGAATAAAGGACAAAACCCTTCCACCATGATAATGATGATGACTGTGAGGCTGGCATTTAAACACATGTGCTGATGTGTACATTATGGGTGTCAGGTGTATGGAAAAGCTGTTAATTCACCCTACAGACTTAGGAAACTCGCTCATCTTTTTAGATCTTGTTTTCCTTGTTTTTCATAACACGTTCGTTATAAGCTATGTTCATCTTAGACTCTTCTTGAATCTTGATCATTCTAGTTCACCTTAAGCCCCTTTCCACACCATTGCCCCCTTCTTTGTGCGTGATAAGGCATCCCAGCAGGTTTCAGAGTATCACATAACAACACACACACTCCTTGCCCAAGCAGAAGTGGAAAAATGAATGTGAGATAGAAGCCGACATAGCAGCTTTCAAGAAATAAAGTAACCGGACATGTAATGAGGCCTCCTTGAAAATGTTTCCAGAACCAGAATATTTTTCTTAGATTCATGATCACAAGTAAAATATTTCCTATTTTCTATAGGAAGATACTACTTACCCTAAAGATGAAAAGTCCTTGCCTCTCACTGAGTCTGGTAGCTTTTCAGAACTGACAGAAGAGGAAGTACGTCGCTCTTTATCTTGAGCTCCGGTTTCTCAAGGAGTCTTGTGGGTGGACACGGAGGCTGCGTTGTTGTTTGGGGAGTTTGCATAATGCAGGGTCTATTAGTTCTCTTTCCACTGCCGTAATTTAAGTGGTACATTATCATGGTGGACCATATCAAAGTGCCTCAGAAAATGAATGGGGAAATGGTGATGGTGATCAGTGGGAAATGGAGAGGGATAATGGAGAGTGAAGCCAACTTCCAAGGATATGGGTTCAACTTCAAAGAGGTCTTTTTAATTTAATTTTCACTACCAGAGTTGAAGGCCAGAGTGTGGGAAGGAGTCAGCATATCTTTGTATTGCTTCATTTCCTATTCCAGTTGACCAACTTGGGAAAATGACTCATCCATATTCTTGGTTTTTGGGATGGTACCATTGAAGAGAATTACACTGATAGACTTGGCTGATAAGATTTTCAACGGTTTCATTAGGGTGGTATTCTGAAATTGTTGTCTCATTTGTATTAGAAGAATCTTCGTGGCCGGGCGCGGTGACTCACGCCTGTAATCCCAGCCCTTTGGGAGGCCGAGGCGGGCAGATCACGAGGTCAGGAGATCGAGACCATCCTGGCTAACGCGGTGAAACCCCATCTCTACTAAAAATACAAAAAATTAGCCGGGCATGGTGGCGGGCGCCTGTAGTCCCAGCTACTCAGGAGGCTGAGGCAGGAGAATGGCGTGAACCCGGGAGGCGGCGGAGCTTGCAGTGAGCGGAGATTGCGCCACTGCACTCTAGGCTGGGCGACAGAGCGAGATTCTATCTCAAAAAAAAAAAAAAAAAAAAAGAAGAAGAATCTTCGTAAGATCCAGCATGAATATGGCAAATATGCCCTAATTTGGCAAGTCCAAATACACATCAAGCAATTTACTTCTTGTCTTGATTTTATTACATATATGAAACGTGGTCTTATTATCCCTAACGTTAACACCTTCATCTTTCTGTTTTCCATTTATTTTTATAAATTCATGAGTAAATGCAATAAATTATGCAAATAATAACATAGATATGGCTGGATAGCTGGGCTGGTAATCACCTCCTCCATGTACCACTCAAAATGTTTGCTGCATCATCTTTTTTTTTTTTGGGATGGAGTTTCTTTTGCTCTTGTCACCCAGGCTGGAGTGCAATGGCACAATCTTGGCTCACTGCAACCTCTGCCTCCCGGGTTCAAGCGATTCTCCTGCCTTAGCCTCCCCAGTAGCTGGGATTACAGGCACACACCGCCACGCCCAGCTAATTTTTGTGTTTTTAGTAGAGACGGGATTTCCTCCATGTTGGCCAGGCTGGTCTCGAACTCCTAACCTTAGGTGATCCGCCTGCATCGGCCTCCCAAAGTGTTGGGATTACAGACGTGAGCCACCGCGCCCAGCCTGCTGCATCATCTTTTAAATGACAAATGAAAGACGGATTAAGCCTGCCATTGTCAGCTGTACTGAAGACAAAATTGTCTGCATGTAAAACTGAAATGCCTAAACCCAAAGGAAGTCCCTGAAATTCTGAGCATTCTGTGTGCTCATAGTCCAATTCTGCACGCGATAGATTGCACCATGGGATGGAAGAATTCTCTATCTTTAAGTGTAGTCTCTGGCTCTAATCTTGGCCATGTGACTGGCTTTGGCCAATGAAACAACAGCTAACAGGATGCAAAAAAAAAATGCTAGCCTGCTGGAGTGTAAGAGGCCATGTTGAAGAAACCAAGGCTTGATAGACAATAATTCATCACTTTGGTTGCCAATCTGCCGATCACCACATGTGTGGGTAAGGCCGTGTCAGATCATCTATTCAACCAGCATACCCACCAACTGATAAACACGTATGAATGGAACAAACAAGCCAGCTCAGATCTGAAGAATGACCACAGAATCATGAATTAAATGAAATAGTTGTTATTTTAAGAAAAAAAAAATTCAATGGGGAGAGGATGGTTTGTTATACACCCAAGGCCAACTGAGACACTTCCCAAGGTGTCCTGGAATAGGTTATTTGCACTCTTGTTGTCAGACATGGTATTATTTAACTCTACCTCCCAACCACAGCTGATTGGAACATGGATTGGTCCATATGGCAAACAACAACTTATGAGATGGCCAAGAAGATAAGTGTACCTTCAAACAGTTCTGTATATTGAATATTGACTGACCAATCCATTCAGACTGTGTCTCTCTTGAGGGATCTGAATAAGTCCCAGAAAGGGATACAGACAGCAGCGTGACTCATGAGCTGCAATGAACAAATTAAGAAACAACAAAAGCAGAAGCCGTTGGATAGGAGAATCTGTTGATGACCTTCCTCTCCAATCTCTACGTTGGGTATCTCACCTTGCCTCGGTAGAGCAGTACAGTACACTGTCACCGTCAGAGAAACCAGCCCATTTCAAAACCCAAGGAGCAAATGTTCGGTCTAGGAACGTTTGATATGGCCTGGTCATTTCCCAAACTTTAACAAGCATTTAACAATTCACTTTGGGCAATTGTGAGAAACACCTGTTCTCCATCCTTCTGCAACCGGCCCTGTGCATTAAGAGGTTTCCCTGTATGTTCTGGATCATGAGGCACTTGTGTACTCTGCTGTGAAGCTGGATTTGACCAGGGTTAGCCCCGGAAGAAGAAAAGACAGCTGATGCAGCTAGAGATGGGGTGTTTACTTCTCTAGCTTCCTCTTCCCTGCCAGCATTGCACATTTGGACAGAGGTTGGGTTTTTCTGCTGTAGGCTAAAGCCCTTTCCAGGTTCTTATAAATGCTCCCTGCCTTCATGCCTTCAAGCCAACGAGTGGTTGGCTTCCCACATTGCTAATCCCAGGGTGCCATTAGCAATGGCACCCACAATCCCATTGGATTACCCACATTGCTAATCCCAGGGTGCCTCACCATCCTCTGTTGATTTCCCTTAGCCCTACCCTCACCTAAATAAACAGTCCTTTCATTAAACCCTCCTCATTTAACTCATTTGAGTGGGCAGCTGTTTCTCCCCATGTCACCAATTAATACACACTTTGGTCCTGATTCTGCTTATTCTAGCTTTCTTATCAACTGTCATAGAAGAGGAAACCCTTATTTCAAGAAAAGAAGAAAACACCATTCTTTGACCAACATGTGGAACTGAACCACAAAACACAAATATCACTTCCTCCTTTGCCAATCATTTAAGAGGAATTGTTTCTCAGCAAACTTCCCATGCCTTGAAATAGTGGTGTTCAGTATGTGAATTGGCTGGAAATATGGCGTAGGTGGTCCACTTGGAAAGAATGGGATATAGGAATCAGAGCTTAGAACCTGGGCTCTGTCAGAATGGCAGCCCAGACTTGATGCCTAAAAGGTCATGTTCAGTGGCTCGTACGTATGATCTTTCTTGCCAGTTCACTGGACACCAATGGAATTATGCCCTTAGATAATATTGTCACCTTTGTTTCTAACAAACCTCTTATGCTAAGTGTGCTTGGTGCCTGAGATGGTATTAAAACATGTCCCCACACTTTCTGACATTCTTTTCTGGAGAGCTGAAGTCTATGTCTTATCTCCTTGTATCTGGGCTTTGTAACTTCTTAACTAATAGAACTGACAATAGAAAATAACTCTATGCATCTTACAGGACCAGATCTTATCTTAAGACAGTAGTAGCTTCTTTTTTTTTTTTTTTTTTTTTTTTTTTGAGACGGAGTCTTGCTCTGTCGCCCAGGCTGGAGTGCAGTGGCATGATCTTGGCTCACTGCAACCTCCCCCTCTCGGGTTCAAGCGATTCTCCGCTTCAGCCTTCCAAGCAGCTGGGACTACAGGCGCTTGCCACCACCCCCGGCTAATTTTTGTATTTTTAGTAGAGATGGGGTTTCACCATGTTGGCCAGGCTGTCTCAAACTCCTGACCTCATGATCCACCCGCCTCAGCCTCCCAAAGTGCTGGGATTACAGGAGTGAGCCACCGCATCCAGCCCATGACGTTATTTATAAAACCAAGAGTGCACATGTACCCTAGAACTTAAAGTATAAAAAAAAAACCAAGAGTGATATAAAAAAAAAAACCAAGAGTGTCTCTTCAGGAGACAGAATGTCAGAATAACATTCTGTTGCTGTGCAGTAGATTGACACACGGTCTTTCCCAGATGTATTCATTCAACAAACATTATAAACCCAATCAGTGACCCCAATCTCCTGCTAGGTAATACACTTTCAGAGATAAATCAGACAAGGAACTTGTCTGATTATGATCTAACATGATGAGTATTACACATAAAAGATCAATAATAACTTTGGACACAATGAAACAAAAACGTTAAGTCAGGAGGTAACCAGATGACTTTGAACTGATGATGGAAAGCTTTTCTATGAGCAAAAATTAAATAAACTTCAAATTAGCTGGGCACGGGGGCTCATGCTTGTAGTCCCAGCACTTTGGGACGCTGAGGCAGGTAAGATCACTTGAGGTCAGGAGTTTGAGACCAGCCTGGCCAACGTGGTGAAACCCCATCTACTAAAAATACAAAAATTAGCCATGCATGGTGGTGGGCACCTGTAATCCCAGCTACTCAGGAGGCTGAGGTGGGAGAATGGCTTGAACCCACAAGACAGAGGCTGCAGTGAGCTGAGATCATGCCACTGCCCTCCAGCCTGGGCGACAGAACGCGACTTGTTCTCAAAAAGGAAAAAAGAAACCCTGTCCCTGTTAATAACTCAAAAAATAGCTGGGCATGGTGGCAGGTGCCTGTAATTCCAGCTACTTGGGAGGTTGAGGCAGGAGAATTGCTTGAACCTGGGAGGCGAGGTTGCAGTGAGCTGAGATTGCGCCACTGCACTCCAGCCTGGGCGACAGAGTGAAACTGTGTCTCAATAAAATAAAATAAAATAAACTTGAAATTACTAATTACTATATTTATTTTAGAGATAGAGACGGGGTCTTGCTCTGTTGCCCAGGCTAGAGTGAAGTGGCATGATCAAGACTCACTGTAGCCTTGACATCCTGGGCTCAAGCAATCCTCCCACCTCAGCCTCCCAAGTAGCTGAGATCACAGGTGTCCACCACCATACCTGGCTACTTTTTGGTGGAGGGGAGTAGAGACAGAGTCTTGCTATGTTCCCTGGGCTGGTTGTGAACTCCTGGGCTCAAGCAATCTTCCCTCTTTGGACTCCCAAAGTGCTGGGATTATAGGTATCAGCCACTGTGCCTGGTCAAATTACTACATTTCTAATGATGTATTTTTACAATTTGGGAAAGTTTGGGCAACTTCTGTGTAGTCATAAATGTTTTTCTTTTTCTTTTCTTTTCTTTTTTTTTAAATTGAGACAGAGTCTCGCTCTGTTGCCAGGCTGGAGTGCAGTGGCATGATCTCAGCTCACTGCAACCTCTGCCTCCTGGGTTCAAGTGATTCTCCTGCCTCAGCCTCCTGAGTAGCTGGGACTACAGGCGCACACCACCACTCCCAGCTAATTTTTGTATTTTTGGTAGAGACAGGGTTTCACCACGTTGGCCAGGATGGTCTCTACTTCTTGACTTTGTGCTCCTCCTGCCTCGGCCTCCCAAAGTTGCTGGGATTACAGGCGTGAGCCAACGCGCCCGGCTCATAAATGTTTTTCTTCAATCAGACAATAAAAGAGACATATAAATTTCCTCCCACTGATAACACCCTACTGATTTTAAAAGCACTCAAATAGTAGAGTGTTAAGATTATAGCTTGAAAATGTTTTTAAGGCTGAAATAACATCGTTAATGGACCAGGCACGGTGGCTCACACCTGTATTCCCAGCACTTTGGGAGACCAAGGTGGGCGGATCACCTGAGGTCAGGAGTTCAAGACCAGCCTGGTCAACATGGTGAAACCCTGTCTTTACTAAAAATACAAAAATTAGTTGGGCATGGTGGCGCATACCTGTAGTCCCAGGTACTTGGGAGGCTGAGGCAGGAGAATTGCTTGAACCTGGGAGGCGGAGATTGCAGTGAGCCGAGATCTTGCCACTGCACTCCAGCCTGGGTGTCAGAGTGAGACTCCATCTCAAAAAAAAAAAAAAAAAATATATATATATATACATATATATATAGAAATACAGAAATATATTTAAATATAAATATATATTACATTTAGTTAATGGTTCATTTTCTTCCCAGAAGTTGATTTTAAAAATATTGATGAATTTGCTTCCATTAAAACCAGGAAAGAGCTGGGCATGGTGGTGTGCACCTGTATTCTCAGCTACTCAGGAGGCTGAGGTGGGAGAATGGTTTGAGCCCAGGAGGTCAAGGCTGCAGTAAGCCCAGATCGCACAACTGCACTCTAGCCTGGGAGACAGAGCAAAAACGTGACTCCAAAAATAATAAAAAATAAATCTTACAAAAATTTAAAAACAAACAGGAAATTAGAGTTTTAATAATTTTGGTTTGGGGATACATAAAACATTTATACAATGCTTTAAATTCTAATACACTTTCCAATTTTTCAGTATTTTTTCAACTAATGCTCTGGGAGGATAAGCGTGTTGTACGTGGTCAATAAATATTTGAGTAAATGGATCTGTATTTTCTTGCATACCATAAATTATTCGGATTATAAGAGGGTAAATTTATTTCATGTTATATGTGTGGGATTACAGAGCCACGCAGTTTTTACTGCGTCTCCTTTCTCCCCCTAGTGGAGACAAATGATACCACAGGGATAACAGAACGGCAAGTGCAGTTTGATGATAGTAAGAAAAATCCCTGTTGTGGAGGTCACAGCTTTACCTACTTACCTTAAACACAGGAGTTTTCTGGCCAGGCGCGGTGGCTCACGCCTGTAATCCCAACACTTTAGGAGACCGAGGCGGGTGGATCACCTGAGGTCGAGAGTTTGAGGCCAGCCTGACCAAAATGGAGAATCTCCGTCTCTACTAAAAATACAGAATTAGCCAGGCATGGTGGCGCATGCCCGTAATCCCAGCTACCTGGGAGGCTGAAGCAGGAGAATCGCTTGAACCCGGGAGGCAAAGGTTGCAGTGAGCCAAGATCGTGCCACTGCACTCTAGCCTGAATGACAGAACCAGACTCTGTCAAAAAAAAAAAAAAGGAAACAGAGTTGGCTAAGGCGACTATATCTTATTTATTTATTTATTGACCTTTTTCCAGTACAAGTTTAATATTCATTAGAGGAGTTTTTTTCATGTGATGGGGGAGAATGGCGGCAAGTAGTAGGATCTGCTGAAGGCAGGAGCTTCACTGTGATGATGGCGCCCCACACCTCGGGTTTCCTGCAGCCCAGGATCTGATAGCCGGCCATGGTATCATCACATATTTTTTCAACAACGATGGGACATGGTCTGCCTCATCTCCCGGGGACACCAGGAGCGCTTTCCAGACTCCGGGTGATCGGGGAGCAGCTCCCAGTATGGCCTTAGTTAGCGTCTCCTCCTGGCCCATGTTAATCCATAGGCGCCCCATGATGAGGGCTAGTGAGGGCCTCTCCCTGGAGTCAACGGCCAGAATTGTGTTTATGAGGCATTCTCGTTCTATGGAAACAAGGAATGGGATCGCCTGTCACCATTCACACAGTATTAGTGTCGTCCTCAGCCCCACAAAAGTCTGCCCAACAGATGGCAGTCCTCGGCCACCATGGTGTAGACAGTGGCTCCCAGGCTCCACACGCCCACCAGGGTACATCGTACTTTTGTCCCGGGGAACAGTTCTGAGGCTGTATAAGAGGAGCTCCCACCGAAGGGGATCAGCTTTCAGCCTACGGTGAATCTGGTATCAAAGCCAGCGTCTGTTGTTTCCATGTCGTGCTGAGCCTCCTCAGGGAAGTTCTCTGACTTCAGATCCCTGTGGATAATTTCCTTCTGGAAGCCTCACTGCATGGAATATCCTATTTGCTGGAACTTGCCTCAGGCCTCTTCCCCCTTCAAGAAGAATTCGAGGGTGAAGTCGGATAGCTCTCCCGAGCTGGCTTAATCCATGACTAGGAACAGCCTGTTCTCGGTGCCAGCCACGTGGGTCTGATGATCTTCGGGTGATTAAGGGCCTTCATCATATGGTCCCTGCAGTACAGACCCTGGGGGCTGCAGGAGCCCTGCTGCCCTGTTGGGGTGACCTCCACAGCCATCTTGGTCCCAGTGAGAATGTGCTGGGCCAGCTGCCTTGACTTCTGCAAAGCTGCCCTGGCTGATGACCTTGAGGAGCCTATGATCATCAGTAAGGGACTCCTCGGAGGCAGAAGTGGTTCCAAGGCCCTGCAGCGTGGTGACCTCCCGGCTACACATCTCAGCTAGGAATGCCAACTGAGAATACTACCCCTACAAACTTTGCTAACCAGGAACACGAATGACACGGCTGGAGGTGTCTGCTGACATGTGAGGGTGGCCTCTGGTCACCTCCATGCCAGGGACAACGTTCGAGGCCAACTCTACCATGGCTGCACCCAGGAACCGGATGATGTCATCAGGAATCATCTCTCCCGGCCTCTTGGCCCTGCTGACTTCCCTCTGAGTTGATGTCATTCTCAGGTGGGCTCTTCCTCCAACGTGGCAAGATGGCACCCACAGCTCCAGCAGCCTAACGGAAATAGATCTTCTCCGCCCAGATGTTTCCAAGACAATGACCTGACCTTTGGCACTGAGTGTGTCACATGAGCAGGCCTTAGCCAATCACTGTGGACAAAGAAGATGGGATCAGCCCATTGGCCAGGTTGAGGTCATGTGGCCACTGTCTCTATGGAAACTTGGGAGATGCTTAACTGTTTTCAGTTGGGAGACTCTGTGGTGGCTGAGAGAGCAGGTTCAGGCTCGAAAGGTCACTACAACTGGATATGCAACTGCAGAAGAATGACTTTGGACGCCTACCTCACAGGATATATAAAAAATGAATGAAACAACAGCTAACAAGGGGCCAGAAAGTGCTAGTCTCCTGGAGTGTATGATACACAAAAATCAGATCAAAATCGATCAGTGTTATAAATGGAAACGTTGAAACTAGAAAGCTATTAGAAGCAAACAAAGGGTAATTTTTTATAACCCCATCTAAGGTCATGAAAACCCATAGTGATTTTAGAGATGACACCAAATTACAAGCAAAAAAACAAAAAGTAGATACATTTCAGTTCACTATTTTGTACACTCTATGAGTTTTAACAAATGTGTAATAACCTGTACCCATCATTATGTGTCATACAGAATGGTTTCGCTGCCCTGAAAATCCCCTGTACTCCACGGCCTTAGAGGTCTGGCGGTGTGAGCCTCGTCATTGATGTTTTGGGTGGTGGGGAATGTAGGTGTTTTTCAGTTACTATCCTCCGCTTTAGGGCAGAAAAGAGAGGAATTCCCCACCTAGCCCCAGGTTTTCATAAAACCATAAGTAATGAAGGAACCCAATACTGCAGGTGAAGAAATGAATCGTCAGGATATATTGATCCGTGGGATTATCATAGTAAAAATAGCTAAGAAATAAGGAAGGAGATCACATTTTAGAACCCAACAATGCAGCTTGAATTCTGCATGGATCTTGAGCTACTCATTTGGACTTTGTGAATTCAGTGTGAATGTTGCTTCCCAGGCAATGGGGGACGCATGCACTTGCCGGTGCTCGTGCACACGGGATTGGCGTGCAGATGTGTGCGGGCCGCACAGGGGATGTTCTGCAGCTGCCCTGGGCCCTGGGTGTGTGAGGCTGCCCCCCTGCCATGTTGAACTTTAAAGGGTGTGATGCCGGAATGTTGTTGGCTGAGTCCGGACTGGCATGAGCCCTTCTGATCCTGTTACCTCACACCTTGCCTGGCATCATCCCAAAAGGCGTTTGTGCAAATGGCTTATTGACACGGGCTTGGGACCAAATCCACCCAAGGGGAGGGGGTCCCTGGGGCCTTGCTATCTGTGGACTTGGATGAAATCATAGTGCCTGGGGGTGGAGAGGATGACCCTCAGATATGTTTTCCAACTCGTGTTTTTCTTCTAGATGCAGGACCCCAGATGCAGAGCCCCAGGGCATAGAGGATTCCAGATTCTTGCAGGGGACTGGAGGAGGCTCGGCTGAAAGGAGTCAGGGCTGCGAGGGTAGGGGACAGATTCGAGTAGTTTCTCCATTTCACAGCAATAATTACTGCCCCCCACCACACACACACACACACACACACACACACATGCACACACATGATATATGCATACACCTGTCTGTGCTGCAAGTTCCCCTTTTGCTCAGACTTAGGGTTTTGCAGACACTTCTAAGGAAACAAAGATGTTCCCTTTTATTTTTGTCTACTTGCTCCTGAAGCTTCCCCTCCATGTGTGCAATATGACTGATGCCAACTGCTTTCTTTCTTTCTTTTTTCTTTTCTTCTCTCTCTCTCTCTCTTTTTTTTTTTGAGACGGAATTTCACTCTTGTTGCCCAGGCTGGAGTGCAGTGGTGTGGTCTCGGCTCACTGCCACCTCTGCCTCCCGGGTTCAAGCGATTCTCCTGCCTCAGCCTCCTGAGTAGCTGGGATTACAGGTGCCCACCACCACACCAGGCTAATTTTTGTATTTTTAGTAGAGACAGGGTTTCACCATGTTGGCCAAGCTGGTCTCGAACTCGTGACCTCAGGTGATCAACCCGCTTCGGCCTCCCAAAGTGCTGGGATTACAGGCATGCGCCACTGCGTCCAGCCTATTTTTTACATTTTAAATCAGGCAATTATAATATATCAAACATCTATATTCCAATCACCCAGAATGGAGAATTACTGAATTTGGTTATATTCACTTTGAGTCTTTTAAAAATAACATTTTACAAACAAGTAGTCTCCCGTTGGCTCCCCAGACAATCCAATTTCTCTTCTCCCTGTTTCCCAGAGCAGGCAAATATCATTATTTATTCGGTGTATATACTTCTATTCTGAATTTCATACACATACATTATATACATCCAAATACATATTAATAACATTTAAGCATGTATTAATATACAAAACACATATATCCGTTAACATTACCTAGGATTGTTTAGTGCATTTACATTTTTACATATATACAAAATACGTATACTTATTATGTTTGATTCTATTTTTTGGTTAACTTGTTCTTTAAAGATGAATCTAGCTGGGCCCGAGGCAGGCAGATCACCTGAAGTCAGGAGTTCGAGACCAGTCTGGCCAACATGGTGAAACCCTGTCTCTACTAAAAATACAAAATTAGCCGGGTATGGTGGTGGGCGCCTGTAATCTCAGCTACTCGGGAGGCTGAGGCAGGAGAATTGCTTGAACCCAGGAGGCAGAGGTTGCAGAGAGCCAAGATGTGCCACTGCACTCCAGCCTGGGAGACAGAGCAAAACCATGTTAAAAAAAAAAAAAAAAAGAATCCTCTGGTCTTGGGAATCTAATGCCCTATATTATAATTCATAGCCAGACACAGAGTAATTACTTGTTTGCACCCAGCGTTCTAACCACAGGAAGGGAATGGGGGAAGTGGGTTTTTGCAAGAACCTGCTTTGAGGTGCACACCTCCACAGAGCTAAGCAATCTAGTCTGGGAGATAATACTCATACGTGTCCAGGAAATGAGGAACAACCAGATAGCACATAATTAAAACACCATATTTTATGATGCAGATCATTTAAGAAATGTGGGAGGCTGGATGCAGTGGCTCATGCCTGTAATCCCAGCACTTTGGGAGGCTGAGGCGAGTGGATCAAGAGGTCAGGAGTTCAAGACCAGCCTGGCCAACATGGTGAAACCCCGCCTCTACTAAAAATATAAAAATTAGCCAGGCGTGGTGGCGGGCACCCGCAATCCCAGCTACTCTGGAGGCTGAGGCAGGGGAATCACTTGAACCCGGGAGGCAGAGGTTGCTGTGAGCCGAGATCATGCCACTGCACTCCAGCCTGGGCAACAAGAGTGAAATTCCATCACACAAAAAGAAAGAAAAGGAAAAAAGAAAAGAAAAGAACAGGAAAGAAAGAAAGATGGGATGAGTCACACTGCACACTTGCAGAAGTTTCAGGAGCAAGATGACAAAAATTAAAGGGAACATCTTTGTTTCCTTAGAAGTGTCTGCAAAACCCTAAGTCTGAGCAAAGGGGGAACTTGCAGCACCAGACAGGTGTATGCATATATCATGTGTGAATATGTGTATGTGTGTGTGGTGGGGGGCGGTAATTATTGCTGTGAAATGGAGAAACTACTCAAATCTCTCCCCCACCCTCGCAGCCCTGACTCCTTTCAGCCGAGCCTCCTCCAGTCCCCTGTAAGAATCTGAAATCCTCTATGCCCTGGGGCTCTGCATCTGGGGTCCTGCATCTAGAAGAAAAACACGAGTTGGAAAACATATCTGAGGGTCATCCTCTCCACCCCCAGGCACTATGATTTCATCCAAGTCCACAGATAGCAAGGCCCCAGGGACCCCCTCCCCTTGGGTGGATTTGGTCCCAAGCCCGTGTCAATAAGCCATTTGCACAAACGCCTTTTGGGATGATGCCAGGCAAGGTGTGAGGTAACAGGATCAGAAGGGCTCATGCCAGTCCGGACTCAGCCAACAACATTCCGGCATCACACCCTTTAAAGTTCAACATGGCAGGGGGGCAGCCTCACACACCCAGGGCCCAGGGCAGCTGCAGAACATCCCCTGTGCGGCCCGCACACATCTGCACGCCAATCCCGTGTGCACGAGCACCGGCAAGTGCATGCGTCCCCCATTGCCTGGGAAGCAACATTCACACTGAATTCACAAAGTCCAAATGAGTAGCTCAAGATCCATGCAGAATTCAAGCTGCATTGTTGGGTTCTAAAATGTGATCTCCTTCCTTATTTCTTAGCTATTTTTACTATGATAATCCCACGGATCAATATATCCTGACGATTCATTTCTTCACCTGCAGTATTGGGTTCCTTCATTACTTATGGTTTTATGAAAACCTGGGGCTAGGTGGGGAATTCCTCTCTTTTCTGCCCTAAAGCGGAGGATAGTAACTGAAAAACACCTACATTCCCCACCACCCAAAACATCAATGACGAGGCTCACACCGCCAGACCTCTATCTAAAGCCGTGAAGTACAGGGGATTTTCAGGGCAGTGAAACCATTCTGTATGACACAGTAATGATGGGTACAGGTTATTACACATTTGTTAAAACTCATAGAGTGTACAAAATAAAGAGTGAACTGAAATGTATCTGCTTTTTTTCTTGTACTTTTGGTGTCATCTCTAAAATCACTATGGGTTTTTATGACCTAAGATATGGATCATAAAAAATTACCCTTTGTTTGCTTCTAAAAGCTTTCTAGTTTCAAGGTTTATGTTTACGACACTGATCGATTTTGAGTTGATTTTTGTGTATCATAACGTGCATTAGACTAGCACTTTCTGGCCCCTTGTTAACTGTTGTTTTCATTCATTTTTCTATATCCTGTGAGGTAGGTGTCCAAAGTCATTCTGCAGTTGGATATCCAGTTGTAGTGACCTTCCGAGTCTGAACCTGCTCTCTCAGCCATCACAGCGTCTCCCAACTGAGAACAGCTGAGCAGCTCCCAACTTTCCATGGAGACAGTGGCCACATGACCTCAACATGGCCAATCCGCAGATCCCATCCTCTTTGTCCACAGTGATTGGCTAAGGCCTGCTCATGTGACACACTCAGTGCCAAAGGTCAGGTTGTTGTCTTGGAAACATCCGGGAGAAGATCTATTTCAGTTAGGCTGCTGGGGCTGTGGGTGCCATCTTGTCACCTTGGAGGAAGAGCCCACCTGAGAACGACATCAACTCAGAGGGAAGTCAGCAGAGCCAAGAGGCCGGGAGAGGTGATTCCCGGTGACATCATCTGGCTCCTGGGTGCAGCCATGGTAGAGTTGGCCTCGAACGTTGTCCCTGGCATGGAGGTGACCAGAGGTCACCCTCACATGTCAGCAGACACCTCCAGCTGTGTCATTCTTGCTTCTTGTTGGCAAAGTTTGTAGGGGTAGTATTCTCAGTTGGCATTCCTAGCTGAGATGTGTAGCTGGGAGGTCACCACGCCGCAGGGCCTTGGGACCAGTTCTGCCTCCGAGGAGTCCCTTACTGATGATCATAGGCTCCTCAAGGTCATCAGCCAGGGCAGCTTTGCAGAAGTCAAGGCAGCTGGCCCAGCACATTCTCACTGGGACCAAGATGGCTGTGGAGGTCACCCCAACAGGGCAGCAGGGCTCCTGCAGCCCCCAGGATCTGTACTGCAGGGTCCATATGATGAAGGCCCTTAATCACCCGAAGATCATCAGACCCACGTGGCTGGCACCGAGAACAGGCTGTTCCTAGTCATGGATTAAGCCAGCTCGGGAGAGCTATCCGACTTCACCCTCCAATTCTCCTTGAAGGGGGAAGAGGCCTGAGGCAAGTTCCAGCAAATAGGATATTCCATGCAGTGAGGCTTCCAGAAGGAAATTATCCACAGGGATCTGAAGCCAGAGAACTTCCCTGAGGAGGCTCAGCACGACATGGAAACAACAGACTCTGGCTTTGATACCAGATTCACCGTAGGCTGAAAGCTGATCCCCTTCGGTGGGAGCTCCTCTTACGCAGCCTCGGAACTGTTCCCGGAGGCAAAAGTACGATGGACTCCGGTGGGCGTGTGGAGCCTGGGAGTCACTGTCTACACCATGGTGGCCGAGGACTGCCATCTGTTGGGCAGACTTTTGTGGGGCTGAGGAGGACACTAATACTCTGTGAACGATGACAGGAGATCCCGTTTCTCATTTCCATAGAACTAGAACGCCTCATAAACACAATTCTGGCCCTTGACTCCAGGGAGAGGCCCTCACTAGACCACATCATGGGGCGCCCATGCGTTAACATGGGTCAGGAGGAGACATAAATAAGGCCATACTGGGAGCTGCTCCCCGATCACCCGGCGTCTGGAAAGCTCTCGTGGTGTCCCCGGGAGATGAGGCCAACCACGTCCCATCCTTGTAGGAACAAAAATGTAGGAACAAAAATTTTTAGTAGAGACGGGGTTTCTCCATTTTGGTCAGGGTGGTCTCGAACTCCTGACCACAGGTGATCCACTCGCCTCGGCCTCCCAAAGTGCTGGGATTACAGGCGTGAACCACTGCGCCCGGCCCACAACATGGATTTTTCTTACTATAAACATCAAGCTACACTTGCCACAGTCTTTTACCGCTGTGGTCTCATTTGTCTCCACCAGAGGGAGAAAGGAGACTCAATAAAAACTGCATGGTTCTCGGCCGGGCATGGTGCCTCACGCCTGTAATCCCAGCACTTTGGGAGGCCGAGGCGGGTGGATCACTGACGTCAGGAGTTCGAGACCAGACCAGCCTGGCCAACATGGTGAAACCCTGTCTCTACAACTACTACTACTAATAATAATAATACAAAAATTAGCTGGACGTGGTGGTGTGCACCTGTGATCCCAGCTACTCGGGAGGCTGAGGCAGGAGAATCACTTGAACCCGGGAGGCAAAGGTTACAGTGATCCGAAATCACACCATTACACTCCAGCCTTGGGCAACACTCCATCTCAAAAAGAAAGAAAGAAAAAAACCTGCATGGTTCTCTATTCCCATAAATATACTGCAAAATAACTTTGCCCTCTTATAATCTGAGTGATTTATGATGTCCAAAAAAATAGATTCTTTCACTCAAGAAGTATTTATTGACCACCGACAACATGCCGTTTCCCCAGAACATTAAGGCAGTTCAAAAAATATTGAAAAATGGAAAAGTAAGCATATTGGAACATAAAACATTGTTTAAATATTTATCCCCAAACTATTAAAAATTTTAATTTCCTGCTCTCAAATGTTTGTAAAAACTTTTTTATTTTTTCATATTTTTGGAGTCAAGGTCTTGCTCTGTCACCCAGACTGGAGTGTAGTGGTACGATTACAGCTCACTGCAGCCTCGACCTCCTGGGCTCAAGCGATCCTCCCACCTCAGCCTCTGGAGTAGCTGGGATGCCAGCCAATCCACATACTGAATACCACTCTTTCAGGGCATGGGAAGTTTGCTGAGAAACAATTCCTTTTACATGACTGACAAAGGAGGAAATGATGTTTGTGTTTTGTGCTTCAGTTCCACATGTTGGTCAAAGAATAGATAATCTAAGATAGTGTTACTCACTCATCTTGTGGTTGGAAGTTGGCAACCAGAGTGATGAATTGTTGACTGCCAAGCCTTGTTTCTCTCCCACGTGGCCTCTTACACTCCAGCAGGTCAGCACTTTTTGACATCCAGTTAATTGTTGTTTCATTAAGTTTTGTATACCACATGAGGTAGGGGTCTAACTTCATTCTTTTTCATTTGGATATCCAGTTGTAAAAGCACCATTTGTTAAAAATACTGATTTTTCACTTTGGGAGGCTGAGGCTGGTGGATCACTTGAGATCAGGAGTCCAAGACCAGCCTGGTCAACATGGTGAAACCCCTTCTGTACTAAAAATACAAAAATTAGCCAGGCATGGTGGCATGCCCCTGTAATCCCAGCTACTCAGGAGGCTAAGGCACATGAATCGCTTGAACCCAAGAGGCGGAGGCTGCAGTGAGCCGAGACTGCGCCACTGCTCTCCAGCCTGGGTGACAGAGTGAGACTGTCTTTTCCCCATTGAATGGTCTTTGTGCACTTGTCAAAAACCAGTTAGCTATGGATATGGGTTTATTTCTGGACTCTCAATTCTACCCCATTGTTCCATGACCCTATCCTTATTTCAATATCACACCTGTGATTACAGAATTTTTGTATTAAGTTTGGTAATTGGAAAACATGGGTTTTCCAACTTTGTTTTTCTTTGACAAGATTGTTTCAAACCTTGAAATTCTACATATTAATAAATTATAGGATAGTTTCTCCATTTCTGCAAAAAGGGCCACTGGGATTTTGATAAGGATTTCATTGAATCTATACATTGCTTTGGATTGTGTTGTAATCTTAATTATTCTAAGTCCTCTGATCCATGAATATGGGATGTCTTTCCATATATTTAAGCTTTCTTCATTACTTTCAGCAATGTTTTCTAGTTTTTAGCACAAATCTCTCACCTTTTAAGTTAAATTCATACCTAGGTGCTCTACTCTTTTGGCTGTTACTATAAATAAAATTATTTCCTTAATTTTCTCTTTGGAGAATTCGTTTGAAGTATATAGAAACACAACTGAGTTTTGCATATTGATCTTGTACCCTGGAGCCTTAAAAATTTGCTCTAATCATTTTTTGTGGATTCTTTGAGATTGCTTGTGTATTGGATCTTGTCATCTGGGAATCAGGATAATTTTACTTCTTCCTTTCCAATTTGAATGCCTTTTATTTGCTTTTCTTGCCTAATTTTTCTAGCTAAAACTTTCAGAACAATGTTTAATAACGAAGTGAAAATGGGCTCCTTGTCTTCGTACTGGACTTAGAGGTGAAGCAGCCAGTCTTTTGCTATCAATTATGATGTTAGCTGTGGTTTCTGATTTATGTCCTCTATCATGTTAAGGAAGTTCCCTCTTATTATTTCTGAATGTGTTTTTATTAAAAAGTATTGGATTTGATCAAATGAACAGCTGCATTTTTTTAAAGCATGATTTTTTCTTCCTTTTATTTTTATTTTATTTATTTATTTATCTTTGAGACAGAGTCTCGCTCTGTCACCAGGCTGGAGTGCAGTGCAGTGGCATGATCTCAGCTCACTGCAACCTCTGCCTCCCAGATTGAAGCAATTCTCCTGCCTCAGCCTCCCGAATAGCTGGGACTACAGGCGAGTGCCACCACGCCCAGCCAATTTTTGTACTTTTAGTAGACACGGGGTTTCACCATGTTGGCCGGAATTGTCTCGATCTCTTGACCTCATGATCTGCCTGCCTCGGCCTCCTAAAGTGCTGGGATTACAGGCGTGAGCCACCCACCGCCTTCTTCCTTTTATTAATGTGGTAGATTACATTGATTGATTTAACTAAATTGAATGTCCTTTGCTTTCCTGGGGTATTTTCCATTTGGACATGGTATGTAATTTTTCAAATACGCTATTAGATTTGATTTGCTAGTATTTTATTGGAGATTTTTAATCTGTTATCTTAAAGGTATTGGTCTATAGTTTTCTTGTTATGTCTTTGTCTGGTGTGTTACCAGTGAAATGCTGGCCTCATAGAATAAGTTACAATGTGTTCCCTCCTTTTCTATTTTTTGGGGGATTTTAAAGGTTTGATCAGATTCACTAGTGAGGCCATCTAATTGTGAGCTTTTCTTTGTAGGACTGTTTTTATTACTAATTCAGCCTTTTTTCATATTATAGATCTATTCAAACTTTGTATTTTTTCTTGAATTTGCTTTGTTTTTTATTTTTGTTTTTGTTTTGAGACAAGGTCTCACTCTGTGGCCCAGGCTGGAGTGCAGTAGCGAGATCTTGGCTCACTGCAACCTCTGCCCCCTTGGTTCAAGCAATTCTTGTGCCTCAGCCACCGAGTAGCTGGGGTTACAGGTGTGCACCACCACGCCTGGCTATTTTTTGTATTTTTAGTAGAGATGGGGTTTCACCATGTTGCCAGGCTGGTCTCAAACTACTGGCCTCATGTGATCCGCCCACCTCAGCCTACCAAAGTGCTGGGATTACAGTCATGAGCCATCACACCCGGCCTTCTTGGATCTGTTTTAATAATTTGTGCATTTTAAGGAATTTGCTCATCTACATTACAGAATTTATTCATGTATACTTCATTATATTCTCCTTTTTTATTTCTGCAAGGTCAGTAATAATGTCTCCATGTTCATCTCTAATTTATTTATTTGCATTTGCCCTCTGTCATCGAGGACAGACTACCTAAAGGTTTGTCAGTTTGCCAATCTTGAAGAACCAACTTGTGGTGTCACTGATTTTCTCTGTGCTTTTTATATTCTCTATTTCATGTACATTCATTCTAATCTTTATTTCTTTCTGTCTGCCCACTTTTAATTTACTTTGCTATTCTTTTTGTAGTTCCTTGAGATTAAAAGTTAGATTATTAATTTGATACCTTTTTTCTTTTTTGAAGAAACTTGTTAAAGGTTTAAATTTGCGAGCAATGTTTCTACAGAATCTCACAGACATTGATATGTTGTGTTTCCAATTTCATTTCTCTCAAGATATTTTCTAATTTCACTTGTGCATTCTTTTTTGTTTTGTTTCGTTTTGTTTGAGATGGAGTCTCACTCTGTTGCCCAGGCTGTGGAGTGCAGTGGCGCAATCTTGGCTCACTGCAACCTCTACCTCCTGGGTTTATGCGATTCTCCTGCCTCAGCCCACCCCTGCCCCAAGTAGCTGGGATTATAGGCGCACGCCACCACGCCCGGCTAATTTTTGTACTTTTAATAGAGACGGGGTTTCACCATGTTGGCCAGGCTGGTCTTGAACTCCTGACCTCAGGTGATCCACCCGCCTCGGCCTCCCAAAGTGCTGGAATTACAGGCGTGAGCCACTGCGCCCAGCCGTGCATTCTTCTTTAAACCATTGGTTGTTTATGAGCCTGCTATTTAATTTCCACATATCTGAATTTCCCAGCATTCTTTTTATTGTGAATTTCTAGCTTCTTTCTAGAGCAATCTTGGAAGATACTTTGTATAGTTTCAGTTTTTTTTAATTTGCTGTGACCTGTCCCATGGCCTAACATATGGTCTATCCTGGAGAATGCTCCATTGCACTTGAGAGGGGCGACTGCTCCGCTGTTGGTAAATGCAGTGCTCTACGTAGGCTTTGCGTCCAAGTTGGTCTATAGTTTATTCAAATCCCCCCTTTCATGATTAATGCGCTGTCTGTTGGGTCTATGCATTATTGCAAGGGCCATATTGATGTCTCCAGCTTTTGTAAAACCATCTATTTTCCGCCTTAAATTTTGTTCATCTTTACTTCTTATATTTCTGGTCTCCATGGTTTCGTGAGTACATTGTCATAGTTTTGTTTCTTCTTACTGAATTGACACTTTTATCAGCATCTACAGTTGAACCTTGAACATCTTGGGGGTCCGGGCACTGACCCCACACCACCAGCAGTTGAAAATCCGCATATAGGCCGGGCACGGTGGCTCACGCCTGTAATCCCAGCACTTTGGGAGGCCGAAGTGGGCAGATCACCTGAGGTGAAGAGTTCGAGACCAGACTGGCTAACATGGCAAAACACTGTCTCTATTAAAAATACAAAAATTGGCCAGGCGTGGTGGTGGGCACTTGTAGTCCCAGCTACTTGGGAGGCTGAGGCAGAAGAATCGCTTGAACCCAGGAGGCGGAGGTTGAAGTGAGCTGAGATCGTGCCATTGCACTCCAGCCTGGTGACAGAGCAAGACTCTCTCTCTCAAAAAATAAATAAATAAATACATAATAAAATAAAGTTAAAAAAAGGAAAAATGTAACTACAAAACACTAAATGATCCTTCAGCATAGAATAATTTAATTACTTCTTGTTTGAAACATTATCTTTTGTAAAAACAAAAAAAAAATTACCTTTTGTATACAATGTTCACCATTTGGGTAACGAGTACCCTAGAAACCCAATCCGTACCATTCAGCAAAATATATTAATAAAATCAACAAATACATGTACCCCTGAATCTAAAAAATAAAAATGAAAATGTAATTTCAAAATAAAAATTTAATGTTAAAATCAGTGTACTTTATTAAATTATGTAATGTAATCATATCACTTAAAAAGTATATAATTTAATTTTATTTTTTAGAATTTCATTTAAGATTAAATTAGAATTTAGTAGGAAAACTAATTAACATCAGGCCAGGCACAGTGACTCACACCTGCAATCCCAGCACTTTGGGAGGCCAAAGCAGGCGGATCACCTGAGGTCGGGAGTTTGAGACCAGCCTGACCAACATGGTGAAACCCGCATCTCTACCAAAAATACAAAATTAGCCAGGTGTGGTGGTGGGCGCCTGTAATCCCAGCTACTCAGGAGGCTGAGGCAGGAGAATCGCTTGAACCCGGGAGGCAGGGGTTGCGGTGAGCCAAGATCGCGCCATTGCACTCCAGCCCGGGCAACAAGAGGGAAACTCTGTCTCAAAAAAAACAAGAAAAGAAAAGAAAAGAAAAGAAAAACTAATAAAAATCATGGTAAACGGACATTGAGGTGTACAATGACATATAAAGGTCTCCTTCTTTGCCTTACGAAACCCAATTTCTCGCCACAAAACCATCCACTCCTTACACTGTTGCCTTTCAAATGCTTTTAATAAAGAACTGGTGGGGAAGTACAAAGTGTGACAATTCATAGCAGGAAAGAGGACGGGCATTAAAAGATAGGGATTCAAAACCCAGGACTGTCCCCACTGACTCACCCCCCAACTGCGGGGCCACACCCCACAGCTTCTCAGCACCCCCTCCTCCTGCACTTCATCCACCTGTCACATTTCTGCCCGCCTGGCCAGCCTGTCTGCCTGCAAGGCCTTGGCCAGTCTCTCCCTGGCTTTCTTCACCCTCCTGGCCTGTCTCCGGATATCTGCAGGAGTCACCAATTGGCCAGAGAGGGGCGGTGGGAGCTGACAACCCATTCCTGGGGTTGGCCCCCCTGCCACAGCTGGAAACCGCCCAGGGGTGGGCTCAAGCGGGCTGCGCACACGCTCAGCACCAGCTCTGTCCAGAGATTCACCGGCCGTCCCCGGTGCAAGGATACTTAAGACGCTCTCCAAATGCAGTGGACTTGAACCTTCTCCTTGGCTGCTGCAGGGCTGCAGGGCCTGCAGTCTCCGGTAGGCGCAGAGTTGCTGCGGCTTCTCCAGGTGCTCGTCCCCTTTTCTGCGTCTGACCTGGTTGTCAGGATGAGACCTGATCCTTGTCACCGGCCTCCGGAAGATGCAGCTGGTGAGTCTCATGGGGAGAGCAGACCTCGCAGCTCGTCTCCGATGGGCCTTGGCCATGTGGATTTCTCGTTTCTTCTGTAAAGCCCAGGGCATCATGTTCCTTTTGAGCTTCCCCTTTCAAAAGAAAAGAAAATGTGAAATTTCAACCAAATGGAGACAGGAGAAGATCAGCTGTGGGGGGCTTCTCTCAGCTCAGTGGAATCTTCCCACCAGCCTCTCTTTCTGGGGAAATGTGTCTCAAATGGCAGTGTACATCCTCAGCACCTGCAGGGTTTGCTGAAGTCAGATATGTGGACCTGAACCCAAGTAAGTCTGGGGTGGAACCTAGAGTCTGCATTTCTCCGTGTGACCCTGATGCTGCTGGCAGGAGCTCCAGGCATTGACACTGGGTCCTGGGACCTCATCGGGCTGATGCGAGTCAAGGACTAAATGCTCAAGGTCATGACCCAGGGTCAGTTCCAGACCTTGTCCCTCCTCATCCTCCTCAGAGGACACCCCTCTCTTCTCTTCCCTGCCACTGTCAGCTACACAGATGCTGGTGCCTCCTAACCCATCCCCAACAGGACACCGGGATCCCAGACTTCCCTGTTCACCAAGACCTCACGCTTCTCTGTATCTCTTTCTGCTGTGCTTCAGGACACAACGTCATTTTCATAGCTCCTTGACTCTCTGGTTTCCAAAGAAATCGTGCACTCGCCACCTTAAATACTCACTGCCACACCCAGATCCCACCTTCACCTGAACACCTCCTGCTCATGAAGAAAAACCTCAGAAACACCATGTTGCTTTCTGTTTCTAATAAGCTCAATTAACTAGAGTTACACCATGAGAGAATCTTTTGATGACATACTGAGAAAGATGATTAAGCCCCTCCTAAGATTTGAAATCCTTTCTTGCTCTAAATCAATTGGAAGACTCTAGTCTCATAAAGCTGTTTCAGATACAAACATAAAGCCTTCATTTCTGTCCTTCTCATTTCATTTCTGTTGTCCTGGCATTAAGATTAATACTACCCCTTACACGACCCAAGGTGTTCCCCTTTGGAGGGAAAATTATTTAGTCTCCTTAGTTACAGGGCACTTATGATGTGCCAAGCTGTGCAGTAGAACCCCTGATCCAGAAGTAAACTGCAGAAATCACCACTCTGTTGATTTTCATCTTGGTGAGAAGGAAGACATAATAAACACACTAAAAACAAATTTCCGATAGGGTATCAGATATAATTAAGTTCCATGATGAAGAAGAAGGGAGAGACAGAGAGGGATGGAAGGAGGAGAAACAGAGAAACAGAAAAGAAAGAAATTCACTACAATGAATCATGACAGTGAGTTTAGGGAAGGACTAACCAATCATGATATTTAACCAGAGAACTAAAATTTTTTTTTAAAGGGACCAAGCAATTTCTGGTTCAAGAACTTTCCAGAGAGAGAGACAATTTGAAGACTGCAAGGCCAAGTAATACCTCTTTTCCTTCTTAGTGATGTTGTTGGACTTTTAAAAAATCAGGGCTATTATCCCCAGATAGCTCCGTGAACAAAAAATTAGAATATTGTTGAATATTTTGAATATTACTTGAGTATTACTCAACAAATATTAACACCTAGGGTATAAGTTTCCACGAGATAGCATCTAGTTTTGAGAACAACTTGCTAAACTGTGAAGATGTTTTACAGAAAGAAAAAGGAATACAAATGGACATTATTTTGGTCAATAGTCAATAAGGATCCCATACTCACCAGAACAGGCAGGCTTGGAAAAGAGGTGAACGCAGGTTCTCCCATAGCTGTAGAGTTCCTCCTGCTGACCCCACTCCTGAGGCACAGACAGCCCTTGGCTTGCCGGAAAATGCAGTGGCTTCTGCATCTAGCTCCTCTTTTATAGAGGGAGTGATAATGCAATCAGTGGATAATCCATAGGGAACGCCCTGTCTCCACCCATTGGATTTGAAGCATTTCTAAATCTTTATACAGAAACCAATATGGTGTTACCAACACAGAATGTCAGTAGAAAAAGAATTTAATCCGTGTGTGTGGCGGGGTGGTATTTACAGTTAATATCGGCATTTTAGATATGTTTCCTTTTCCTCCCATTCTCTCAAACATCTTTGAAAGCATTCTACGGAAATAAGAATGGAATTGTCGGCCGGGTGCGGTGGCTCAATCCTGTAATCCCAGCACTTTGAGAGGCCGAGTCGGGCGGATCACCTGAGGTCAGGAGTTCGAGACCAGCCTCAACATGGAGAAACCCCGTCTCTACTAAAAATACAAAATTAACTGGGCATGATGGTGCATGCCTGTAATCCCAGCTACCCGGGAGGCTGAGGCAGGAGAATGGTGTGAACTTGGGAGGCAAAGGTTGCAGTGAGCCGAGATAGTGCCACTACACTCCAGCCTGGGCGACAGAGTGAGACTCCATCTCAAAAAAAAAAAAAAAAAAAAAAAAAAAAAGAGAGAAGAAACAAAAAGAAAAACACCTAATAAATAAACAGACCTAATAAAAAAGAAATACAGTCTCAGCAGCCTTGGTCTATGCAGTGACTACTCAGTTTTTTCCTATTATTTTTCATGATGTTTTCATTGTATAAATCTTCCTGGTTTGATCTTTGAGGAGGCAGACAGATGCTGGCTATTTTACCAATTTGGACCTGGGGCTAGGAAGTTTAAGACACAATTAGCTTACGTATTTAATCACATTGTGGCAATTTCAATGCACCGATGCCTCCCCTGCAAACTCCAATATATAGACACAATATACCGCGCTCTAGCCTGGGCGACAGAGTGAGACTCCATCTAAAAAAAAAAAAAGAAAGATCTCCTATTAATGAAAATGCAGAGAGAAATGGGTGTTAGAAAATCATATTGGAAAAGATATTTGCATGATGTGCATCCAGTAAAGTACATCAAGCCAGAATACAGACTAGAAAGATGTCCATCAAATGAAAAAAAATACTAAAAATTGATGTGCAAAATGAGTGGAAAACTTCAGTAGGCACTATTGAAGAGAGAATAAATAAATGGTCAATACAATCCTGAACACATGCCCAAATTCTGTTTAGCTTCAGATAAACGCTGATGAAAAATCACTATGAGATACTCATATACACTTCTGTTTGGCTAAAATGAAAAAATAGCAATGCCAAGTGCAGACATGGCTATGGAGCAATCATACCATTCACGTGTAGCCAGTGAGAGTTTAAATGGGAAGAAATGTACTTTATTTGTATCCCAACCTGAACGTACATTGGAATCTCCTGGAGAGTTTGAAAAACTAATGGTAGCACACACCCCTACACATTTTTATTCCACTGATGTTGGATGCAGCCTAGGCTATAGGAATTTTACAATCCCCTAAAGACCAAAAGGACAGGCAAGGATGACACACCACTTCCCTGGTTGGTTTGGAGTCTGTGGTTTTGAACTTTGGTTTGCAGAAAACACACCTGGGAGTGTTTTCACACCTGGGTGCCTTCCAGACCAGTGTCTCCGGATGCCTACGGGAGGGGCCAGGAAATCAGAAATCATTTATTTATTTATTTATTTATTTAGAGTCTCCCTCTGTTGCCCAGGCTGGAGTGCAATGACGTGATCTCGGCTCACTGCAACCTCCACCTCCCGGGTTTAAGCAATTCTCCTGCCTCAGCCTCCCAAGTAGCTGGGTTTACAGGCCCAAGACACCACGCCCAGCTAATTTTTTTTTCTTGGAGACAGAGTCTTGCTCTGTTGCCCAGGCTGGAGTGCAATGACGTGATCTCGGCTCACTGCAACCTCCACCTGCCAGGTTCAAGCAGTTCTCCTGCCTCAGCCTTCCAAGTTCCAAGTAGCTGGGATTACAGGCGCCTGCCACCACATCCGGCTATTTTTTGTATTTTTTTTAGTAGAGACGAGGTATCACCACGTCGGCCAGGCTGGTCTCAAACTCCCGACCTCAGGTGATCCACCTGCCTCAGCCTCCCAAAGTGCTGGGATGACAGGCATGAGCCACCACGCCCAGCCACGCCCAGCTAATTTTTGTATTCTTGGTAGAGTCAGGGTTTCATCATGTTGGCCAGGCTGGTCTTGTCCTGACCTCAAGTGATCTGCCCACCTCAGCCTCCCAAACAGAATTTATTGTTATTATTATTTTTAAGAACTCCAAGTCCTGCCAGGGCAGGGTGGTTTACACCTGTTATCCCAGCACTCTGGGAGGCCGAGGCGGACAGATCATTTGAGGTCAGGAGTTTGTGACCAGCCTGGCCAACTTGGTGAAACCCCATCTCTACTAAAAATACAAAAATTAGGCCGGGTGTGGTGGCTCACGCCTGTAATCCTAGCACTTTAGGAGGCCGAGGTGGTTGGATCACTTGAGGTCAGGAGTTTAAGACCAGCCTGGCCAACATGGTGAAACCTCATCGCTACTAAAAATACAAAAATTAGCTGGGCGTGGTGGCAGGTGCCTGTAATCCCAGCTACTCAGGAGGCTGAGGCAGGATAATTGCTTGAACCCAGGGGGCAGAGGTTGCAGTGAGCCAAGATCGCACCAGTGCACTCCAGCCTGCACGACAGAGCAAGACTCTGTTTCGAAAAAAAAAAAAAATACAAAAGTTAGCTAGGCTTGGTGGTGGGCACCTGTAATAACAGTGACTCGAGAGGCTGAGGCAGGAGAATTGCTTGAATCCGGGAGGCGGAATTTGCAGTGAGCTGAGATCGCACCACTGCACTCCAGCCTGGGTGACAGAGCCAGATTCTATCTCAAAAAAAAAAAAAAAAAAAAAAAAAGGAACTCTAAGTCCTTCATTTCTAAGTCAAGAAGAGGACATTTCTGTCATTTCGGGGGTCTCAGATTTTGCAGCTCATTTGAATTTCACAGTAAAATTTAAAAGGACTGGTGTCTGGATCCCAGGCAGGATCATTTGCATCCATATAATGGAGTTTGCTGAGGTGCTGAGGGAGACATCAGTACCTTGAAATTGCCCTACAGGATTAAATCTGTAAGCTAATTGTGTCTTTTTTTTTTTTTTTAATTTGAGACGGAGTCTTGCTCTGTCGCCCAGGCTGGAGTGCAGTGGCGCGATCTCAGCTCACTGCAAGCTCTGTCTCCTGGGTTCACGCCATTCTCCTGCCTCAGCCTCCCGAGTAGCTGGGACTACAGGCCCCCACCACCACGCCCAGCTAATTTTTTTTGTATTTTTCAGTAGAGACGGGGTTTCACAGTGTTAGCCAGGACGGTCTCAGCTCCTGACCTCATGATCCTCCTGCTTTGGCCTCCCAAAGTGCTGGGATTACAGGCGTGAGCCACCGCACCCGGCCCTAATTGTGTCTTAAACTTCCTAGTCCCAGGTCCAAATTGGCAAAATAGCCAGTATTTCTCTGCATCCCCAAAGATCAAACCAGGAGGATTTACACAAGGAAAAGATTGTGAAAAATCATAAGAAAAAACTGAGTAGTCACTGCAGAGACCAAGGCTGCAGAAATTGTATTTTTTTTATCTGTTTATCTATTAGGTGTTGGGTGTTTGTTTGTTTGTTTTGAGACAAATTCTCACTCTCACCCCAGCTGGAGTGCAGTGGCGTGATCTCAGATCACTGCAACCTCCACCTCCCAGGTTCAAGGGATTCATGTACCTCAGCCTCCCAAGTAGCTGGGATTACAGGTGCCCACCACCATGCCTGGCTAATTTTTGTATTTTTAGTAGCAACAGGGTTTCATCATGTTGGCCAGGCTGGTCTCAAACTCCTGGCCTCAACCAATTCACCTGCCTCGGCCTCTCAAAGTGCTGCGATTAGAGGCGCGAGCCACTGCACCCAGGTGTGTGGGGGTTTTGTTTGTTTGATTGTTTGTTTGTTTTTTGAGACAGAGTCTCGCTCTGTTGCTCAGGCTGGAGTGCAGCGGCGCTATCTCGGCTCACTGCAAGCTCCACCTCCCAGGTTCACGCCATTCTCCTGCCTCAGCCTCCCAAGTAGCTGGGACTACAGGTGCCCCCCACCATACCCGGCTATTTTTTGTATTTTTAGTAGAGACAGGGTTTCACCGTGTTAGCCAGGATGGTCTTGATCTCCTGACCTCGTGATCCACCCGCCTTGGCCTCCCAAAGTGCTGGGATTACAGGCGTGAGCCACTGCGCCCAGCCTGTGTTGTTTTTAATTGTATGTATTTAAGGCATACATGATGTTTTGATGCACGTATATGTAGCGAAATGATTACTACAATGAAGCAAAGGAACATATCCGTCTCCTGATGTAATTACCTTTGTGTACGTGTGTGTAGAAAGAGTAGCTGAAATCTACTCTTTCGGCAAATTCCCAGTATACAAGGCGGTATTCCTGAGGTTGTTTTATGGGGTGGAAGTTTGCCACAGATTGGCCATAAGCGGGAGTTTATATCTCAGTCTCTTTTCCTCAATTGTTATTGCCATAGAACTTACATAGAGCAAAGTGCAAAAAATCAGACACATACATCTTCACGAACTTTCACAAACTGAACGCACTCATGCCCAGCACTGAAATCAATGAATAGAATAGCGGATTCATCCCCAGGTGCCTTTTCCTGCTACCCCATCCTGCCTCCCACAAAGGCACCCTCTGTTGTAACAGCACCTAGGATTAGTTTGGCTGGTTTTTGTTTCACGTGTAGGGAACCACATGGTATGCACTGTCTTGGGTTTGGATTAACCTCAGCTTTGAGAGATCAAGGCTTAAGGTTGTGCCGGTTGTCATTTGTGAGTTCTGATTGCTGTGAGAAGATCCGATGGGTGCAGATGCCCCAGTATTTATTCATTCTCCTGCTGTTCATTGGCTGGTTTCTGACAAGAGCTATTATGACTGCAGGTTCTGTGCCCCGCAGAACATGAAATTGGTGGGCACGCATGTACAATGTTGAGATAAATGCTGTGTGCAAGGGAAGAGGGTAGACGTTTATACGGCTTTTGGGGTTTGTTTGAGACGGAGTCTCGATCTGTTGCCCAGGCTGGAGTGTAGTGGCACGATCTCGGCTCACTGCAACCCTCGCCTCCCAGGTTCAAGCAATTCTCCCACCTCAGCCTCCCAACTAGCCGGGATTACAGGCACCCACCATCAGGCCTAGCTAATTTTTGTATTTTTGTGGAGATGGTGTTTCACCATGTTTGCCTGGCTGGTCTTGAATTCCTGATCTCAGGTGATCTGCCTGCCTCGGCCTCCCAAAGTGCTGGGATTACAAGCTTGAGCCACCGCCTGTTTGTTCTTTTGAGACAGTCTCTCTCTCACCCAGGCTGGAGTGCAGTGGCGCAATCTTGTCTCACCGCAACCTCCACCTCTGGGTTCAAGCAATTCTCCTGCATCAGCCTCCCGAGTAGCTGAGACTACAGGCGTACGCCACCATGCCTGGCTAATTTTTTTGTATTTTCAATAGAGAGGAGGTTTCACCATGTCGGCCAGGCTGGTCTCAAACTCCTGACCTCAAGTAATCCGCGCGCTTCAGCCTCCTAAAGTGCTGGGATTACAGGCGTAAGCCACTGTGCCCAGCCTACAGCTTTTGTTTTTGAGACAGGGTCTTGCTCTGTCACCCAGGCTGGAGTGCAGTAGCTCAATCACAACTCACTACAGCCTTGATCTCCTGGGCTCAAGTGATCCTCCCACTTCAGCCTCCTAAGTAGATGGGACTACAGGCAGGCATCACCATGCCTGACAATGCTTATTTTTTATTTTTTGTAGAGATAAGGTCTTCCTATGTTGTCCAAGTTGCTTCTAGACTACTGAGCTCAAGCGATCCTCCCACCTCTGCTTCCCAAAATGCTGGGATTACAGGCATAAACCACCATGCCTGGCCCTATACAGCTTTAATAGATGTTTGCATATAGTTTTCCAAAGCGGTTATTCCAATTTAAACTCCCACTATCCTTACGGGAAAGACTGGTCCCTCCATAATCTAGTCAGCACTTGGTGTTTCTGCGTTTTTCCCTTTAGCTAAGTTGATATCTATATAATAGTATCTCATTGTAATTTTTATTTTTTTAGCATTTCCCTGAAGCTAAAAGGGTTAAACATTTGCTCAAATTTTGCTGGTCATTTAGGCCGGGCGCGGTAGCTCATGCCTGTAATCTCAGCAATTTGGGAGGCCAAGGCGGGTGGATCACTTGAGGTCAGGAGTTCAAGACCAGCCTGGGCAACACGGTAAAACCCTGTTTCTACTCAAAATACAAAAATTAGCTGGACGTGGTGGTGGGAGCCTGTAATCCCACCTACTCAGGAGGCTGAGGCAGGAGAATCGCTTGAACCCAGAAGGCAGAGTTGCGGCGAGCCAAGATCGTGCCACTGCACTCCAGCCTGGGTGACAGAACAAGACTCCACCTGAAAATTAATAATAATAATAATGATGATAATAATTTTTTACGGTCACTTGTTTATATTCTTTTGTGTAGGATCCATTCAAGTTTTTCACCCAGTTTCAAGTGTGTTTTCATTATTTTTCTCTGTTTGTTTGACATTATTCTCTTTTTTTTAAATATTAAGATTTTTTTTATATATATACTCTGGCTTGATGTACTTTCCTGGGGGTACAGGATCCAAACCTCTTCCCCCACTCCGGTTTTCCACGCTTTCTCTCTTACTGATGTATTTGAATGAATAGTTGCTCTTAATGTATCTTAATATGGTTCAAATTTGAATTTTCTCCTTTCTATTTAGAGTTTCATTGTATCAAGAAGGCAGATTATCTCCTCATTGACTGTGAAGCTGTTCTTCTACCTAGTTTTTAATTAAAGCTATTTACTGTGTTTTATACTTAGAACTGAAACTAAGAGTATAAGAAATTAGGCCAGGCACGGTGGCTCACGCCTGTAATCCTAGCACTTTGAGAGGCCAAGGCAGGTGAATCACTTGAGGTCAGTAGTTCGAGACCACCCTGGCCAACATGGTGAAACCCCGTCTCGACAAAAAATACAAAAATAAGCTGGGTGTGGTGGCATGTGCCTGTAGTCCCAGCTACTTGGGAGGCTGAAGCAGGAGAATCATTGAACCCGGGAGGCAGAGGTTGCAGTGAGCTGAGATCCCGCCACTGCTCTCCAGCCTGGGTGACAGAGTGAGACCCCATCTCGAAAGAAAAGAGAGAAAAGAAAGGAAGACAGGAAGGAAGGAAGACAGGAAGGAAGGAAGGAAGGAAGGAAGGAAGGAAGGAAAATTAAAATGAGACTGAACCTAGAAAAAAGGTAGATTAGCAAAGTGGAACAAGGTTCAAGAGCAAATATTCCCACCAAAGCATGAACAACATTGGAAACTTCAGAGACAAGTGGGATGTGATTAAAAGAAGAGTAGAGAGAACTTGGACAAGAATGGATATCAGAAGTGAAGGATACATATGCACCTTCCAAACCAATGAAAGACATCAACCCACAGATGCAATTGACTCCACACCCTCTAGGCAAAGGAAATACACAGGAAGCAATAATGAGCTACACTGTGGCCTACAAACCAACCACAACGAGAAAGAGTTTAGAGAATGTGGAAAGCAAAGAAGCAAGGAAAAGCCTGACAGCTGACATCTCAACACAGGTAAAATGAGATAGACATCAGTGGGGCACCATTTCTAATATGCTGAAAGAAATTTGTCAAACCAGACACCCGTACCTGACAGCAATATTGCCCCCAAATAAAGATGCCTAAATAAAAGTGTAAAGGAAAACAATTAGTTGTTAGCAGCATTGAATTAGAAGAAAAATACTAGAATGAATTCTCAAGTCCACAGGGAAATAATCCCAGATTGAATGCTAGAAATGCAGAAAGGAACAAAGATGAATGCACAAGATAAGCTGTAGGTAAATATTAGTGCATATTGCTTTATGAAGCAATACTAGAAATGTCTCCTGGAGAGTAAAATATGTGTAGAATTAATATGCATGAGAATGGTAATACAAAAGTCAGAAACAGCTAAAAAGAGAATTAAAAGTGTTCTAAAGTATTAGCATTTTGTGGGAGGGGTTAAAGTAATTAATTGTATCAGAGTATATGATTTAATTATTAGCATAACTACACAGATTTGTATGGCTGTAACTAGCAAGTTCATGGAGATAACAATAAAATAATAAACATATTTAATTCAAAGTCAGTCAAGTAAAGGCAAAAGGAACGTGAGTCAGTTAAGTCAAAACCTAGGAAAAATGAGATGATTGAAACAATTTCAAATTTACTGGTAATTATATTAAATGTAAATGCACGAAATAGAACTTTTTTTTTTTTTTTTTTTTGAGATGGAGTCTCACTCTGTCGCCCATGCTGAGCTGCAGTGGTGCGATCTCGGCTCACCGCAACCTCTCCCTCCCAGGTTCAAGCGATTCTCCTGCCTCAGCCTCCCGAGTAGCTGGGATTACAGGTGCATGCCACCACACCAGGGTAAGTTTTGTATTTTTAGTAGAAATGGGGTTTCACCATGTTGGCCAGGCTGGTCTCGAACTCTTGACCTCAGGTGATCTACCTGCCTTGGTCTCCCAAAGTGCTGGGATTATAGGCGTAAGCCACCTCTCCCGGCCAAAGTAGTAATTTCTTTGCAACAACTGTGTGATATATTCTATAGGATTGTGAATAAAAGTTTTGGGCTTTCTTTTCTTAAAGAACATTTAAATGGTCTTTAGTTGTTGTTATTAAATCAAATATTACGTGAACATTTATGTACATAGACAATTCCATTCCTATTTCTATAGAAAGTATTCAAAGATGTTTGGAAAACTGGGAGAAAAAGGGAAACATATCTAAAATGCTGATATTAACTGTAAATACCACCCCGCCACACACACATACACACGTATTCAATTCTTTCTCTACTAACACTCTGTGTAGGTAACACCACATTGGTTTCTGTATAAAGATTTAGAAATGCCTCAAATCCAATGGGCGGAGACAGGGTGTTCCCTGTGGATTATCCACTGATTGCATTATCACTCGCTTTCTCTATAAAAAGGGGAACCAGATGCAGAAGTCACTGCATTTTCCGGCAAGCCAAGGGTTGTCTGCATCTCAAGAGTGGGGTCAGCAAGAGAAACTCTACGGCTATGGGAGAGCCTGCGTTCACCTCTTTTCCGAGCCCACCTGTTCTGGTGAGTACGGGATATTTATTGATTACAGGAATGTCCATATGTGTCCTTTTTCCTTCTGTAAGACAGCTTTACAGTTAGCAGTGGGTTGTTCTTAAAACTGGATGTTGTGGAACGTTATACCTCAGGTGTTAATATCTGTTGAATAATGTTCAAAGTATTCTCATTTTTGCCCATGAAACTGTATGGGGATAATAGCTTTGAATTTTTTTTAAAAATCCAACATCACTAGGAAAGGGAAGAAGTATGATTTGGCCTTGCAGTCTTCAAATTGTCTCCTTCTCTGGAAAGCTCCTGAACCAGAAATTGCTTGGTCCGTTTTTTTAAAAAAACAAAAAACAAAAAAAATTAGTTCTCTGGTAAAATTTCATGATGAGTTGCTTATTCCCTAAACTCACTGTCACGATTCATTGTAGTGAATTTCTTTTCTGTTTCTCTGTTTCTCCTCCTTCCATCCCTCTCTGTCACTCCCTTCTTCTTCATCATGGAACTTACTTATATCTGATATTCCACCAGAAATTTGTTTTTAGTGCGTTTATTATGTCTTCCTTCTCACCAAGATGAAAATCAACAGAGTGGTGATTTATGAAGTTTACTTCTGGATCAGGGGTTCTACTGCACAGCTTGGCACATCATAAGTGCCCCGTAACTAAGGGGACTAAATAATTTTCCCTCCAAAGGGGAACATCTTGGGTCAGTATTAATCTTTATGCCAGGGGTACTGTAAGGGGTAGTATTAATCTTTATGCCAGGACAACGAAAAATGAAATGAGGAGGACAGAAACAAAGGCTTTAAAATGGAAAGTGCACTGATGAGGTTTGTGGGGGAAACAGCTTTATGAGACTAGAGTCTTCCAATTGAGTTAGAGCAAGAAAGGACGTCAAATCTTAGGAGGCGCTTGATCATCTTTCTCAGTATGTCATCAAAAGATTCTCTCATGGTATACCTCTAGTTAATTGAGCTTATTAGAAACAGAAAGCAACATGGTGTTTCTGAGGTTTTTCTTCATGAGCAGGAGGTGTTCAGGTGAAGGTGGGATCTGGGTGTGGCAGTGAGTATTTAAGGTGGCGAGTGCAGGATTTCTTTGGAAACCAGAGAGTCAAGGAGCTATGAAAATGACGTTGTGTCCTGAAGCACAGCAGAAAGAGATACAGAGAAGCGTGAGGTCTTGGTGAACAGGGAAGTCTGGGATCCCGGTGTCCTGTTGGGGATGGGTTAGGAGGCACCACCAGCATCTGTGTAGCTGACAGTGGCAGGGAAGAGAAGAGAGGGGTGTCCTCTGAGGAGGATGAGGAGGGACAAGGTCTGGAACTGACCCTGGGTCATGACCTTGAGCATTTAGTCCTTGACTCGCATCAGCCCGATGAGGTCCCAGGACCCAGTGTCAATGCCTGGAGCTCCTGCCAGCAGCATCAGGGTCACACGGAGAAATGCAGACTCTAGGGTCCACCCCAGACTTACTTGGGTTCAGGTCCACATATCTGACTTTAGCAAGCCCTGCAGGGGCTGAGGATGTACACTGCCATTTGAGACACATTTCCCCAGAAAGAGAGGCTGGTGGGAAGATTCCACTGAGCTGAGAGAAGCCCCCCACAGCTGATCTTCTCCTGTCTCCAGTTGGTTGAAATTTCACATTTTCTTTTCTTTTCTTTTGAAAGGGGAAGCTCAAAAGAAACATGATGCCCTGGGCTTTACAGAAGAAACGAGAAATCCACATGGCCAAGGCCCATCGGAGACGAGCTGCGAGGTCTGCTCTCCCCATGAGACTCACCAGCTGCATCTTCCGGAGGCCGGTGACAAGGATCAGGTCTCATCCTGACAACCAGGTCAGACGCAGAAAAGGGGACGAGCACCTGGAGAAGCCGCAGCAACTCTGCGCCTACCGGAGACTGCAGGCCCTGCAGCCCTGCAGCAGCCAAGGAGAAGGTTCAAGTCCACTGCATTTGGAGAGCGTCTTAAGTATCCTTGCACCGGGGACGGCCGGTGAATCTCTGGACAGAGCTGGTGCTGAGCGTGTGCGCATCCCGCTTGAGCCCACCCCTGGGCGGTTTCCAGCTGTGGCAGGGGGGCCAACCCCAGGAATGGGTTGTCAGCTCCCACCGCCCCTCTCTGGCCAATTGGTGACTCCTGCAGATATCCGGAGACAGGCCAGGAGGGTGAAGAAAGCCAGGGAGAGACTGGCCAAGGCCTTGCAGGCAGACAGGCTGGCCAGGCAGGCAGAAATGCTGACAGGTGGGTGAAGCTCAGTCCTGGGCTTTCGGTCCCTTTCTTTTAATGCCCATCCTCATTCCTACTCTGAATTGTCACACTTTTCCCTTCCCCACCAGTTCTTTAATAAAAGTATTTGAAAGGCAACAGGTGTAAGGAGTGGATGTTTTTGTGGTGAGAAATTGGGTTTTATGGGATGAGGAAGGAGACCTTTACATGTCACTGTACATCTCAGTTTCTGTTTACCATGATTTTAATTAATTGTTTTTTTTTGTTTGTTTGTTTGTTTTGAGACGGAGTCTTGCTCTGTTGCCCAGGCTGGAGTGCAATGGCGCGATCTCGGCTCACTGCAACCTCCACCTCCCGGGTTCAAGTGATTCTCCTGCCTCAGCTTCCCGAGTAGCTGGGATTACAGGTGCCCACCACCATGCCCGGATATTTTTTGTATTTTTAGTAGAGATGGGGTTTCACCATGCTGGCCAGGCTGGTCTTGAACTGCTGACCTCAGCAATCTGCCCACCTCGGCCTTCCAAAGTACTGGGATTACAGGCATAAGCCACCTTGCCTGGCCGTTAATTAGTTTTTGTATTAAATTCTAATTTAATCTTTGGCCTGGCGCTGTGGCTTATGCCTGTAGTCCCAGCACTTTGGGAGGCGGAGCAGGGCAGATCGTCTGAGGTCAGGAGTTCAGGACCAGCCTGGCCAATATGGCGAAACCCCATCTCTACTAAAAATAACTAATCAGGTGTGGGGGCGGATGCCTGTAATCCCAGCTACTGGAGAGGCTGAGGCAAGAGAATTGGTTGAACCAAGGAGGCAGAGGTTGCAGTGAGCCAAAATGGTGCCACTGTACTCCAGCCTTGGTGAAACTTTGTCTCAAAACAAAAATTCCAATTTAATTTTCAAATGAAGTCCTTTAAAAATGAAATGAAATTCTGTAATTTTAAATGAAACGAATACATTACATTATAATTTGTTAAAAATGTATTACATTTTCATTTTTAAATTGAGTTTTCATTGTTTGAAATTTTCGAATTAGGGGAACATGTACATGTTTGTTACATGGATATATCGCTTAACGGTGGGGGTTGCTTTTGTAGTTTATGGGTTACCCAAATACTGAATATCGTACCCAGTAGCTAAGTTTTCAACCCATGGGTAAACTCAATTAACCTAGCCTGAAGGATTATTCAGTGTTTAGACATTACATTTTCTCCCTATAGTATACGTTCTCAAGGCGAAGTTGGTACGTATCCCAAGATTTTTTTTTTAATGAAACATTTTTACCCCATTTACTCTGATGTGGTTATCAGACATTTTGTGCCTGTATCAAAATATCTCACGTACCACATAAATATATACACATACTACGTCCCTGCCCGCTGTTTGACTTTGAGTTTCCTTACCTCTTTATCATTGATCGAAACATGGAATGGAATACCTCATGGTAATTATTTTATGCATCTCGGGTTAGGTGGAAACTACTGGTTGTTTTCACTCTAGCAGAGTTAGGGTGGCAGGAAGTGCCCATCAGCAGATGCTACTGCACACCAGCCCGGGCGACAGAGCAAGACTCTGTGTCTAAAAATAGATATATAATTTATATATAATTATAAATACATTATATATAATTTATACATAATTATAAATACATTATGTATAATAAAATTATATACTATATAATTATATTATATACTATAATATATTTCTTATATAATTATATTATAATATAATTTATATGTTATATAATTATATTTTATATTATAATATAATGTATGTTATATAATTATATTTTATATTATAATATAATTTATATGTTATATAATTATATTATATATTATAATACAATTTATATGTTATATAATTATATATTATAATATAATTTATATGTTATATAATTATATTATATATTATAATATAATTTATATGTTATTTAATTATATTATAAATTATAATATAATTTATATAGTATATAATTATACATATTATATATTAAAATATAATTTGTATATTATATAATTATATATATTAAAATATAATTTATATATTATATAATTATATATATTATGTATTATAATTATATTTATATATTATATTTATATAATTATATGTAATATATTTAATTATATAATATAATTATATAATATATACGTATATTACATAATTATGATATATAATTATATATAATTATATTATATATATTATATTATTATAATATAATATATATAATATTATATTATATAATTATATATATTATATATATATATTATATATTATAATATTATATATAATATATATTATATATATATTATATTATATATATATAATATATTATATTATATATAATAATTATAAAATATAATATATATTATATTATATAATATATAATTATACATAACTATATTATATATAATATATAATATAATATAATATGAAATAATTTTATATAATTATATTATATTATATATATTATATATTATATATTACATATTATATATATTATATATAATATATACTATATAATATAATAAAATATATATTATACATAATATATAATATAATAATATATAATTATATATAATATATATAATATACTATAATATAATTATATATAATTATATATAATACAGTTATGTATAATTATATATTATATAATATAATATATATTATATTATATAATTATAATATATATAATTATATATAATTATATAATATACCGATATAGTATATATTATACAATTATATTATATAATTATATAAATATGATATATAAATATAATTATAATATATAATATATAATTACATAATATATAAATTATATATTAATATATAATATATGTAAGTATATAATATATAAATTATATTATATATATAATATAATTATATAACATATAAATTATATTATATATATAATATAATTATATAACATATAAATTATATTATATATATAATATAATTATATAACATATAAATTATATTATATATATAATATAATTATATAACATATAAATTATATTATATATAATATAATTCTATAACATATAAATTATATTATATATAATATAATTATATAACATATAAATTATATTATATATAATATAATTATATAACATATAAATTATATTATATATAATATAATTATATAACATATAAATTATATTATATATAAAATATAATTATATAACATATAAATTATATTATAATATAAAATATAATTATATCACGTATAAATTATATTATAATATAATTATATAAGAAATATATTATAGTATATAATATAATTATATAGTATATAATTGTATTATACATAATGTATTTATAATTATGTATAAATTATATATAATGTATTTATAATTATATATAAATTATATATAATGTATTTATAATTATATATAAATTATATATAATGTATTTATAATTATATATAAATTATATATTTATTTTTAGACACAGAGTCTTGCTCTGTCGCCCGGGCTGGTGTGCAGTAGCATCTGCTGATGGGCACTTCCTGCCACCCTAACTCTGCTAGAGTGAAAACAACCAGTAGTTTCCACCTAACCCGAGATGCATAAAATAATTACCATGAAGTATTCCATTCCATGTTTCGATCAATGATAAAGAGGTAAGGAAACTCAAAGTCAAACAGCGGGCAGGGACGTAGTATGTGTATATATTTATGTGGTATGTGAGATATTTTGATACAGGCACAAAATGTCTGATAACCACATCAGAGTAAATGGGGTAAAAATGTTTCATTAAAAAAAAAATCTTGGGATACGTACCAACTTCGCCTTGAGAACGTATACTATAGGGAGAAAATGTAATCTCTAAACACTGAATAATCCTTCAGGCTAGGTTAATTGAGTTTACCCATGGGTTGAAAACTTAGCTACTGGGTACGATGATTAGTATTTGGGTAACCCATAAACTACAAAACCAACCCCCACCGTTAAGCGATATATCCATGTAACAAACATGTACACATGTACCCCTAAATCGAAAATTTCAAACAATGAAAACTCAATTTAAAAATGAAAATGTAATACATTTTTAACAAATTATAATGTAATGTATTCGTTTCATTTAAAATTACAGAATTTCATTTCATTTTTAAAGGATTTCATTTGAAAATTAAATTGGAATTTTTGTTTTGAGACAAAGTTTCACCAAGGCTGGAGTACAGTGGCACCATTTTGGCTCACTGCAACCTCTGCCTCCTTGGTTCAACCGATTCTCTTGCCTCAGCCTCTCCAGTAGCTGGGATTACAGACATCCGCCCCCACACCTGATTAGTTATTTTTAGTAGAGATGGGGTTTCGCCATATTGGCCAGGCTGGTCCTGAACTCCTGACCTCAGACGATCTGCCCTGCTCCGCCTCCCAAAGTGCTGGGACTACAGGCATAAGCCACAGCGCCAGGCCAAAGATTAAATTAGAATTTAATACAAAAACTAATTAACAGCCGGGCAAGGTGGCTTATGCCTGTAATCCCAGTACTTTGGAAGGCCGAGGTGGGCAGATTGCTGAGGTCAGCAGTTCAAGACCAGCCTGGCCAGCCTGGTGAAACCCCATCTCTACTAAAAATGCAAAAAATATCCGGGCATGGTGGTGGGCACCTGTAATCCCAGCTACTCGGGAAGCTGAGGCAGGAGAATCACTTGAACCCGGGAGGTGGAGGTTGCAGTGAGCCGAGATCGCGCCATTGCACTCCAGCCTGGGCAACAGAGCAAGACTCCGTCTCAAAACAAACAAACAAACAAAAAAAAACAATTAATTAAAATCATGGTAAACAGAAACTGAGATGTACAGTGACATGTAAAGGTCTCCTTCCTCATCCCATAAAACCCAATTTCTCACCACAAAACCATCCACTCCTTACACCTGTTGCCTTTCAAATACTTTTATTAAAGAACTGGTGGGGAAGGGAAAAGTGTGACAATTCAGAGTAGGAATGAGGATGGGCATTAAAAGAAAGGGACCGAAAGCCCAGGACTGCGCTTCATCTACATGTCAGCATTTCTGCCTGCCTGGCCAGCCTGTCTGCCTGCAAGGCCTTGGCCAGTCTCTCCCTGGCTTTCTTCACCCTCCTGGCCTGTCTCCGGATATCTGCAGGAGTCACCAATTGGCCAGAGAGGGGCGGTGGGAGCTGACAACCCATTCCTGGGGTTGGCCCCCCTGCCACAGCTGGAAACCGCCCAGGGGTGGGCTCAAGCGGGATGCGCACACGCTCAGCACCAGCTCTGTCCAGAGATTCACCGGCCGTCCCCGGTGCAAGGATACTTAAGACGCTCTCCAAATGCAGTGGACTTGAACCTTCTCCTTGGCTGCTGCAGGGCTGCAGGGCCTGCAGTCTCCGGTAGGCGCAGAGTTGCTGCGGCTTCTCCAGGTGCTCGTCCCCTTTTCTGCGTCTGACCTGGTTGTCAGGATGAGACCTGATCCTTGTCACCGGCCTCCGGAAGATGCAGCTGGTGAGTCTCATGGGGAGAGCAGACCTCGCAGCTCGTCTCCGATGGGCCTTGGCCATGTGGATTTCTCGTTTCTTCTGTAAAGCCCAGGGCATCATGTTTCTTTTGAGCTTCCCCTTTCAAAAGAAAAGAAAAGAAAATGTGAAATTTCAACCAATTGGAGACAGGAGAAGATCAGCTGTGGGGGGCTTCTCTCAGCTCAGTGGAATCTTCCCACCAGCCTCTCTTTCTGGGGAAATGTGTCTCAAATGGCAGTGTACATCCTCAGCCCCTGCAGGGCTTGCTAAAGTCAGATATGTGGACCTGAACCCAAGTAAGTCTGGGGTGGACCCTAGAGTCTGCATTTCTCCGTGTGACCCTGATGCTGCTGGCAGGAGCTCCAGGCATTGACACTGGGTCCTGGGACCTCATCGGGCTGATGCGAGTCAAGGACTAAATGCTCAAGGTCATGACCCAGGGTCAGTTCCAGACCTTGTCCCTCCTCATCCTCCTCAGAGGACACCCCTCTCTTCTCTTCCCTGCCACTGTCAGCTACACAGATGCTGGTGGTGCCTCCTAACCCATCCCCAACAGGACACCGGGATCCCAGACTTCCCTGTTCACCAAGACCTCACGCTTCTCTGTATCTCTTTCTGCTGTGCTTCAGGACACAACGTCATTTTCATAGCTCCTTGACTCTCTGGTTTCCAAAGAAATCCTGCACTCGCCACCTTAAATACTCACTGCCACACCCAGATCCCACCTTCACCTGAACACCTCCTGCTCATGAAGAAAAACCTCAGAAACACCATGTTGCTTTCTGTTTCTAATAAGCTCAATTAACTAGAGGTATACCATGAGAGAATCTTTTGATGACATACTGAGAAAGATGATCAAGCGCCTCCTAAGATTTGACGTCCTTTCTTGCTCTAACTCAATTGGAAGACTCTAGTCTCATAAAGCTGTTTCCCCCACAAACCTCATCAGTGCACTTTCCATTTTAAAGCCTTTGTTTCTGTCCTCCTCATTTCATTTTTCGTTGTCCTGGCATAAAGATTAATACTACCCCTTACAGTACCCCTGGCATAAAGATTAATACTGACCCAAGATGTTCCCCTTTGGAGGGAAAATTATTTAGTCCCCTTAGTTACGGGGCACTTATGATGTGCCAAGCTGTGCAGTAGAACCCCTGATCCAGAAGTAAACTTCATAAATCACCACTCTGTTGATTTTCATCTTGGTGAGAAGGAAGACATAATAAACGCACTAAAAACAAATTTCTGGTGGAATATCAGATATAAGTAAGTTCCATGATGAAGAAGAAGGGAGTGACAGAGAGGGATGGAAGGAGGAGAAACAGAGAAACAGAAAAGAAATTCACTACAATGAATCGTGACAGTGAGTTTAGGGAATAAGCAACTCATCATGAAATTTTACCAGAGAACTAATTTTTTTTGTTTTTTGTTTTTTTAAAAAAACGGACCAAGCAATTTCTGGTTCAGGAGCTTTCCAGAGAAGGAGACAATTTGAAGACTGCAAGGCCAAATCATACTTCTTCCCTTTCCTAGTGATGTTGGATTTTTAAAAAAAAATTCAAAGCTATTATCCCCATACAGTTTCATGGGCAAAAATGAGAATACTTTGAACATTATTCAACAGATATTACCACCTGAGGTATCACTTTCCACAACATCCAGTTTTAAGAACAACCCACTGCTAACTGTAAAGCTGTCTTACAGAAGGAAAAAGGACACATATGGACATTCCTGTAATCAATAAATATCCCGTACTCACCAGAACAGGTGGGCTCGGAAAAGAGGTGAACGCAGGCTCTCCCATAGCCGTAGAGTTTCTCTTGCTGACCCCACTCTTGAGATGCAGACAACCCTTGGCTTGCCGGAAAATGCAGTGACTTCTGCATCTGGTTCCCCTTTTTATAGAGAAAGCGAGTGATAATGCAATCAGTGGATAATCCACAGGGAACACCCTGTCTCCGCCCATTGGATTTGAGGCATTTCTAAATCTTTATACAGAAACCAATGTGGTGTTACCTACACAGAGTGTTAGTAGAGAAAGAATTGAATACGTGTGTATGTGTGTGTGGCGGGGTGGTATTTACAGTTAATATCAGCATTTTAGATATGTTTCCCTTTTTCTCCCAGTTTTCCAAACATCTTTGAATACTTTCTATAGAAATAGGAATGGAATTGTCTATGTACATAAATGTTCACGTAATATTTGATTTAATAACAACAACTAAAGACCATTTAAATGTTCTTTAAGAAAAGAAAGCCCAAAACTTTTATTCACAATCCTATAGAATATATCACACAGTTGTTGCAAAGAAATTACTACTTTGGCCGGGAGAGGTGGCTTACGCCTATAATCCCAGCACTTTGGGAGACCAAGGCAGGTAGATCACCTGAGGTCAAGAGTTCGAGACCAGCCTGGCCAACATGGTGAAACCCCATTTCTACTAAAAATACAAAACTTACCCTGGTGTGGTGGCATGCACCTGTAATCCCAGCTACTCGGGAGGCTGAGGCAGGAGAATCGCTTGAACCTGGGAGGGAGAGGTTGCGGTGAGCCGAGATCGCACCACTGCAGCTCAGCATGGGCGACAGAGTGAGACTCCATCTCAAAAAAAAAAAAAAAAAAAAGTTCTATTTCGTGCATTTACATTTAATATAATTACCAGTAAATTTGAAATTGTTTCAATCATCTCATTTTTCCTAGGTTTTGACTTAACTGACTCACGTTCCTTTTGCCTTTACTTGACTGACTTTGAATTAAATATGTTTATTATTTTATTGTTATCTCCATGAACTTGCTAGTTACAGCCATACAAATCTGTGTAGTTATGCTAATAATTAAATCATATACTCTGATACAATTAATTACTTTAACCCCTCCCACAAAATGCTAATACTTTAGAACACTTTTAATTCTCTTTTTAGCTGTTTCTGACTTTTGTATTACCATTCTCATGCATATTAATTCTACACATATTTTACTCTCCAGGAGACATTTCTAGTATTGCTTCATAAAGCAATATGCACTAATATTTACCTACAGCTTATCTTGTGCATTCATCTTTGTTCCTTTCTGCATTTCTAGCATTCAATCTGGGATTATTTCCCTGTGGACTTGAGAATTCATTCTAGTATTTTTCTTCTAATTCAATGCTGCTAACAACTAATTGTTTTCCTTTACACTTTTATTTAGGCATCTTTATTTGGGGGCAATATTGCTGTCAGGTACGGGTGTCTGGTTTGACAAATTTCTTTCAGCATATTAGAAATGGTGCCCCACTGATGTCTATCTCATTTTACCTGTGTTGAGATGTCAGCTGTCAGGCTTTTCCTTGCTTCTTTGCTTTCCACATTCTCTAAACTCTTTCTCGTTGTGGTTGGTTTGTAGGCCACAGTGTAGCTCATTATTGCTTCCTGTGTATTTCCTTTGCCTAGAGGGTGTGGAGTCAATTGCATCTGTGGGTTGATGTCTTTCATTGGTTTGGAAGGTGCATATGTATCCTTCACTTCTGATATCCATTCTTGTCCAAGTTCTCTCTACTCTTCTTTTAATCACATCCCACTTGTCTCTGAAGTTTCCAATGTTGTTCATGCTTTGGTGGGAATATTTGCTCTTGAACCTTGTTCCACTTTGCTAATCTACCTTTTTTCTAGGTTCAGTCTCATTTTAATTTTCCTTCCTTCCTTCCTTCCTTCCTTCCTTCCTTCCTTCCTTCCTTCCTGTCTTCCTTCCTTCCTGTCTTCCTTTCTTTTCTCTCTTTTCTTTCGAGATGGGGTCTCACTCTGTCACCCAGGCTGGAGAGCAGTGGCGGGATCTCAGCTCACTGCAACCTCTGCCTCCCGGGTTCAATGATTCTCCTGCTTCAGCCTCCCAAGTAGCTGGGACTACAGGCACATGCCACCACACCCAGCTTATTTTTGTATTTTTTGTCGAGACGGGGTTTCACCATGTTGGCCAGGGTGGTCTCGAACTACTGACCTCAAGTGATTCACCTGCCTTGGCCTCTCAAAGTGCTAGGATTACAGGCGTGAGCCACCGTGCCTGGCCTAATTTCTTATACTCTTAGTTTCAGTTCTAAGTATAAAACACAGTAAATAGCTTTAATTAAAAACTAGGTAGAAGAACAGCTTCACAGTCAATGAGGAGATAATCTGCCTTCTTGATACAATGAAACTCTAAATAGAAAGGAGAAAATTCAAATTTGAACCATATTAAGATACATTAAGAGCAACTATTCATTCAAATACATCAGTAAGAGAGAAAGCGTGGAAAACCGGAGTGGGGGAAGAGGTTTGGATCCTGTACCCCCAGGAAAGTACATCAAGCCAGAGTATATATATAAAAAAAATCTTAATATTTAAAAAAAAGAGAATAATGTCAAACAAACAGAGAAAAATAATGAAAACACACTTGAAACTGGGTGAAAAACTTGAATGGATCCTACACAAAAGAATATAAACAAGTGACCGTAAAAAATTATTATCATCATTATTATTATTATTAATTTTCAGGTGGAGTCTTGTTCTGTCACCCAGGCTGGAGTGCAGTGGCACGATCTTGGCTCGCCGCAACTCTGCCTTCTGGGTTCAAGCGATTCTCCTGCCTCAGCCTCCTGAGTAGGTGGGATTACAGGCTCCCACCACCACGTCCAGCTAATTTTTGTATTTTGAGTAGAAACAGGGTTTTACCGTGTTGCCCAGGCTGGTCTTGAACTCCTGACCTCAAGTGATCCACCCGCCTTGGCCTCCCAAATTGCTGAGATTACAGGCATGAGCTACCGCGCCCGGCCTAAATGACCAGCAAAATTTGAGCAAATGTTTAACCCTTTTAGCTTCAGGGAAATGCTAAAAAAATAAAAATTACAATGAGATACTATTATATAGATATCAACTTAGCTAAAGGGAAAAACGCAGAAACACCAAGTGCTGACTAGATTATGGAGGGACCAGTCTTTCCCGTAAGGATAGTGGGAGTTTAAATTGGAATAACCGCTTTGGAAAACTATATGCAAACATCTATTAAAGCTGTATAGGGCCAGGCATGGTGGTTTATGCCTGTAATCCCAGCATTTTGGGAAGCAGAGGTGGGAGGATCGCTTGAGCTCAGTAGTCTAGAAGCAACTTGGACAACATAGGAAGACCTTATCTCTACAAAAAATAAAAAATAAGCATTGTCAGGCATGGTGATGCCTGCCTGTAGTCCCATCTACTTAGGAGGCTGAAGTGGGAGGATCACTTGAGCCCAGGAGATCAAGGCTGTAGTGAGTTGTGATTGAGCTACTGCACTCCAGCCTGGGTGACAGAGCAAGACCCTGTCTCAAAAACAAAAGCTGTAGGCTGGGCACAGTGGCTTACGCCTGTAATCCCAGCACTTTAGGAGGCTGAAGCGCGCGGATTACTTGAGGTCAGGAGTTTGAGACCAGCCTGGCCGACATGGTGAAACCTCCTCTCTATTGAAAATACAAAAAAATTAGCCAGGCATGGTGGCGTACGCCTGTAGTCTCAGCTACTCGGGAGGCTGATGCAGGAGAATTGCTTGAACCCAGAGGTGGAGGTTGCGGTGAGACAAGATTGCGCCACTGCACTCCAGCCTGGGTGAGAGAGAGACTGTCTCAAAAGAACAAACAGGCGGTGGCTCAAGCTTGTAATCCCAGCACTTTGGGAGGCCGAGGCAGGCAGATCACCTGAGATCAGGAATTCAAGACCAGCCAGGCAAACATGGTGAAACACCATCTCCACAAAAATACAAAAATTAGCTAGGCCTGATGGTGGGTGCCTGTAATCCCGGCTAGTTGGGAGGCTGAGGTGGGAGAATTGCTTGAACCTGGGAGGCGAGGGTTGCAGTGAGCCGAGATCGTGCCACTACACTCCAGCCTGGGCAACAGATCGAGACTCCGTCTCAAACAAACCCCAAAAGCCGTATAAACGTCTACCCTCTTCCCTTGCACACAGCATTTATCTCAACATTGTACATGCGTGCCCACCAATTTCATGTTCTGCGGGGCACAGAACCTGCAGTCATAATAGCTCTTGTCAGAAACCAGCCAATGAACAGCAGGAGAATGAATAAATACTGGGGCATCTGCACCCATCGGATCTTCTCACAGCAATCAGAACTCACAAATGACAACCGGCACAACCTTAAGCCTTGATCTCTCAAAGCTGAGGTTAATCCAAACCCAAGACAGTGCATACCATGTGGTTCCCTACACGTGAAACAAAAACCAGCCAAACTAATCCTAGGTGCTGTTACAACAGAGGGTGCCTTTGTGGGAGGCAGGATGGGGTAGCAGGAAAAGGCACCTGGGGATGAATCCGCTATTCTATTCATTGATTTCAGTGCTGGGCATGAGTGCGTTCAGTTTGTGAAAGTTCGTGAAGATGTATGTGTCTGATTTTTTGCACTTTGCTCTATGTAAGTTCTATGGCAATAACAATTGAGGAAAAGAGACTGAGATATAAACTCCCGCTTATGGCCAATCTGTGGCAAACTTCCACCCCATAAAACAACCTCAGGAATACCGCCTTGTATACTGGGAATTTGCCGAAAGAGTAGATTTCAGCTACTCTTTCTACACACACGTACACAAAGGTAATTACATCAGGAGACGGATATGTTCCTTTGCTTCATTGTAGTAATCATTTCGCTACATATACGTGCATCAAAACATCATGTATGCCTTAAATACATACAATTAAAAACAACACAGGCTGGGCGCAGTGGCTCACGCCTGTAATCCCAGCACTTTGGGAGGCCAAGGCGGGTGGATCACGAGGTCAGGAGATCAAGACCATCCTGGCTAACACGGTGAAACCCTGTCTTTACTAAAAATACAAAAAATAGCCGGGTATGGTGGGGGGCACCTGTAGTCCCAGCTACTTGGGAGGCTGAGGCAGGAGAATGGCGTGAACCTGGGAGGTGGAGCTTGCAGTGAGCCGAGATAGCGCCGCTGCACTCCAGCCTGAGCAACAGAGCGAAACTCTGTCTCAAAAAACAAACAAACAATCAAACAAACAAAACCCCCACACACCTGGGTGCAGTGGCTCGCGCCTCTAATCGCAGCACTTTGAGAGGCCGAGGCAGGTGAATTGGTTGAGGCCAGGAGTTTGAGACCAGCCTGGCCAACATGATGAAACCCTGTTGCTACTAAAAATACAAAAATTAGCCAGGCATGGTGGTGGGCACCTGTAATCCCAGCTACTTGGGAGGCTGAGGTACATGAATCCCTTGAACCTGGGAGGTGGAGGTTGCAGTGATCTGAGATCACGCCACTGCACTCCAGCTGGGGTGAGAGTGAGAATTTGTCTCAAAACAAACAAACAAACACCCAACACCTAATAGATAAACAGATAAAAAAAATACAATTTCTGCAGCCTTGGTCTCTGCAGTGACTACTCAGTTTTTTCTTATGATTTTTCACAATCTTTTCCTTGTGTAAATCCTCCTGGTTTGATCTTTGGGGATGCAGAGAAATACTGGCTATTTTGCCAATTTGGACCTGGGACTAGGAAGTTTAAGACACAATTAGGGCCGGGTGCGGTGGCTCACGCCTGTAATCCCAGCACTTTGGGAGGCCAAAGCAGGAGGATCATGAGGTCAGGAGCTGAGACCGTCCTGGCTAACACTGTGAAACCCCGTCTCTACTGAAAAATACAAAAAAAATTAGCTGGGCGTGGTGGTGGGGGCCTGTAGTCCCAGCTACTCGGGAGGCTGAGGCAGGAGAATGGCGTGAACCCAGGAGACAGAGCTTGCAGTGAGCTGAGATCGCGCCACTGCACTCCAGCCTGGGCGACAGAGCAAGACTCCGTCTCAAATTAAAAAAAAAAAAAAAAGACACAATTAGCTTACAGATTTAATCCTGTAGGGCAATTTCAAGGTACTGATGTCTCCCTCAGCACCTCAGCAAACTCCATTATATGGATGCAAATGATCCTGCCTGGGATCCAGACACCAGTCCTTTTAAATTTTACTGTGAAATTCAAATGAGCTGCAAAATCTGAGACCCCCGAAATGACAGAAATGTCCTCTTCTTGACTTAGAAATGAAGGACTTAGAGTTCCTTTTTTTTTTTTTTTTTTTTTTTTTGCGATAGAATCTGGCTCTGTCACCCAGGCTGGAGTGCAGTGGTGCGATCTCAGCTCACTGCAAATTCCGCCTCCCGGATTCAAGCAATTCTCCTGCCTCAGCCTCTCGAGTCACTGTTATTACAGGTGCCCACCACCAAGCCTAGCTAACTTTTGTATTTTTTTTTTTTTTCGAAACAGAGTCTTGCTCTGTCGTGCAGGCTGGAGTGCACTGGTGCGATCTTGGCTCACTGCAACCTCTGCCCCCTGGGTTCAAGCAATTATCCTGCCTCAGCCTCCTGAGTAGCTGGGATTACAGGCACCTGCCACCACGCCCAGCTAATTTTTGTATTTTTAGTAGCGATGAGGTTTCACCATGTTGGCCAGGCTGGTCTTAAACTCCTGACCTCAAGTGATCCAACCACCTCGGCCTCCTAAAGTGCTAGGATTACAGGCGTGAGCCACCACACCCGGCCTAATTTTTGTATTTTTAGTAGAGATGGGGTTTCACCAAGTTGGCCAGGCTGGTCACAAACTCCTGACCTCAAATGATCTGTCCGCCTCGGCCTCCCAGAGTGCTGGGATAACAGGTGTAAACCACCCTGCCCTGGCAGGACTTGGAGTTCTTAAAAATAATAATAACAATAAATTCTGTTTGGGAGGCTGAGGTGGGCAGATCACTTGAGGTCAGGACAAGACCAGCCTGGCCAACATGATGAAACCCTGACTCTACCAAGAATACAAAAATTAGCTGGGCGTGGCTGGGCGTGGTGGCTCATGCCTGTCATCCCAGCACTTTGGGAGGCTGAGGCAGGTGGATCACCTGAGGTCGGGAGTTTGAGACCAGCCTGGCCGACGTGGTGATACCTCGTCTCTACTAAAAAAAATACAAAAAATAGCCGGATGTGGTGGCAGGCGCCTGTAATCCCAGCTACTTGGAACTTGGAAGGCTGAGGCAGGAGAACTGCTTGAACCTGGCAGGTGGAGGTTGCAGTGAGCCGAGATCACGTCATTGCACTCCAGCCTGGGCAACAGAGCAAGACTCTGTCTCCAAGAAAAAAAAATTAGCTGGGCGTGGTGTCTTGGGCCTGTAAACCCAGCTACTTGGGAGGCTGAGGCAGGAGAATTGCTTAAACCCGGGAGGTGGAGGTTGCAGTGAGCCGAGATCACGTCATTGCACTCCAGCCTGGGCAACAGAGGGAGACTCTAAATAAATAAATAAATAAATAAATGATTTCTGATTTCCTGGCCCCTCCCGTAGGCATCCGGAGACACTGGTCTGGAAGGCACCCAGGTGTGAAAACACTCCCAGGTGTGTTTTCTGCAAACCAAAGTTCAAAACCACAGACTCCAAACCAACCAGGGAAGTGGTGTGTCATCCTTGGCTGTCCTTTTGGTCTTTAGGGGATTGTAAAATTCCTATAGCCTAGGCTGCATCCAACATCAGTGGAATAAAAATGTGTAGGGGTGTGTGCTACCATTAGTTTTTCAAACTCTCCAGGAGATTCCAATGTACGTTCAGGTTGGGATACAAATAAAGTACATTTCTTCCCATTTAAACTCTCACTGGCTACACGTGAATGGTATGATTGCTCCATAGCCATGTCTGCACTTGGCATTGCTATTTTTTCATTTTAGCCAAACAGAAGTGTATATGAGTATCTCATAGTGATTTTTCATCAGCGTTTATCTGAAGCTAAACAGAATTTGGGCATGTGTTCAGGATTGTATTGACCATTTATTTATTCTCTCTTCAATAGTGCCTACTGAAGTTTTCCACTCATTTTGCACATCAATTTTTAGTATTTTTTTTCATTTGATGGACATCTTTCTAGTCTGTATTCTGGCTTGATGTACTTTACTGGATGCACATCATGCAAATATCTTTTCCAATATGATTTTCTAACACCCATTTCTCTCTGCATTTTCATTAATAGGAGATCTTTCTTTTTTTTTTTTTAGATGGAGTCTCACTCTGTCGCCCAGGCTAGAGCGCGGTATATTGTGTCTATATATTGGAGTTTGCAGGGGAGGCATCGGTGCATTGAAATTGCCACAATGTGATTAAATACGTAAGCTAATTGTGTCTTAAACTTCCTAGCCCCAGGTCCAAATTGGTAAAATAGCCAGCATCTGTCTGCCTCCTCAAAGATCAAACCAGGAAGATTTATACAATGAAAACATCATGAAAAATAATAGGAAAAAACTGAGTAGTCACTGCATAGACCAAGGCTGCTGAGACTGTATTTCTTTTTTATTAGGTCTGTTTATTTATTAGGTGTTTTTCTTTTTGTTTCTTCTCTCTTTTTTTTTTTTTTTTTTTTTTTTTTTTTTTGAGATGGAGTCTCACTCTGTCGCCCAGGCTGGAGTGTAGTGGCACTATCTCGGCTCACTGCAACCTTTGCCTCCCAAGTTCACACCATTCTCCTGCCTCAGCCTCCCGGGTAGCTGGGATTACAGGCATGCACCATCATGCCCAGTTAATTTTGTATTTTTAGTAGAGACGGGGTTTCTCCATGTTGAGGCTGGTCTCGAACTCCTGACCTCAGGTGATCCGCCCGACTCGGCCTCTCAAAGTGCTGGGATTACAGGATTGAGCCACCGCACCCGGCCGACAATTCCATTCTTATTTCCGTAGAATGCTTTCAAAGATGTTTGAGAGAATGGGAGGAAAAGGAAACATATCTAAAATGCCGATATTAACTGTAAATACCACCCCGCCACACACACGGATTAAATTCTTTTTCTACTGACATTCTGTGTTGGTAACACCATATTGGTTTCTGTATAAAGATTTAGAAATGCTTCAAATCCAATGGGTGGAGACAGGGCGTTCCCTATGGATTATCCACTGATTGCATTATCACTCCCTCTATAAAAGAGGAGCTAGATGCAGAAGCCACTGCATTTTCCGGCAAGCCAAGGGCTGTCTGTGCCTCAGGAGTGGGGTCAGCAGGAGGAACTCTACAGCTATGGGAGAACCTGCGTTCACCTCTTTTCCAAGCCTGCCTGTTCTGGTGAGTATGGGATCCTTATTGACTATTGACCAAAATAATGTCCATTTGTATTCCTTTTTCTTTCTGTAAAACATCTTCACAGTTTAGCAAGTTGTTCTCAAAACTAGATGCTATCTCGTGGAAACTTATACCCTAGGTGTTAATATTTGTTGAGTAATACTCAAGTAATATTCAAAATATTCAACAATATTCTAATTTTTTGTTCACGGAGCTATCTGGGGATAATAGCCCTGATTTTTTAAAAGTCCAACAACATCACTAAGAAGGAAAAGAGGTATTACTTGGCCTTGCAGTCTTCAAATTGTCTCTCTCTCTGGAAAGTTCTTGAACCAGAAATTGCTTGGTCCCTTTAAAAAAAAATTTTAGTTCTCTGGTTAAATATCATGATTGGTTAGTCCTTCCCTAAACTCACTGTCATGATTCATTGTAGTGAATTTCTTTCTTTTCTGTTTCTCTGTTTCTCCTCCCTCCATCCCTCTCTGTCTCTCCCTTCTTCTTCATCATGGAACTTAATTATATCTGATACCCTATCGGAAATTTGTTTTTAGTGTGTTTATTATGTCTTCCTTCTCACCAAGATGAAAATCAACAGAGTGGTGATTTCTGCAGTTTACTTCTGGATCAGGGGTTCTACTGCACAGCTTGGCACATCATAAGTGCCCTGTAACTAAGGAGACTAAATAATTTTCCCTCCAAAGGGGAACACCTTGGGTCGTGTAAGGGGTAGTATTAATCTTAATGCCAGGACAACAGAAATGAAATGAGAAGGACAGAAATGAAGGCTTTATGTTTGTATCTGAAACAGCTTTATGAGACTAGAGTCTTCCAATTGATTTAGAGCAAGAAAGGATTTCAAATCTTAGGAGGGGCTTAATCATCTTTCTCAGTATGTCATCAAAAGATTCTCTCATGGTGTAACTCTAGTTAATTGAGCTTATTAGAAACAGAAAGCAACATGGTGTTTCTGAGGTTTTTCTTCATGAGCAGGAGGTGTTCAGGTGAAGGTGGGATCTGGGTGTGGCAGTGAGTATTTAAGGTGGCGAGTGCAGGATTTCTTTGGAAACCAGAGAGTCAAGGAGCTATGAAAATGACGTTGTGTCCTGAAGCACAGCAGAAAGAGATACAGAGAAGCGTGAGGTCTTGGTGAACAGGGAAGTCTGGGATCCCGGTGTCCTGTTGGGGATGGGTTAGGAGGCACCAGCATCTGTGTAGCTGACAGTGGCAGGGAAGAGAAGAGAGGGGTGTCCTCTGAGGAGGATGAGGAGGGACAAGGTCTGGAACTGACCCTGGGTCATGACCTTGAGCATTTAGTCCTTGACTCGCATCAGCCCGATGAGGTCCCAGGACCCAGTGTCAATGCCTGGAGCTCCTGCCAGCAGCATCAGGGTCACACGGAGAAATGCAGACTCTAGGTTCCACCCCAGACTTACTTGGGTTCAGGTCCACATATCTGACTTCAGCAAACCCTGCAGGTGCTGAGGATGTACACTGCCATTTGAGACACATTTCCCCAGAAAGAGAGGCTGGTGGGAAGATTCCACTGAGCTGAGAGAAGCCCCCCACAGCTGATCTTCTCCTGTCTCCATTTGGTTGAAATTTCACATTTTCTTTTCTTTTGAAAGGGGAAGCTCAAAAGGAACATGATGCCCTGGGCTTTACAGAAGAAACGAGAAATCCACATGGCCAAGGCCCATCGGAGACGAGCTGCGAGGTCTGCTCTCCCCATGAGACTCACCAGCTGCATCTTCCGGAGGCCGGTGACAAGGATCAGGTCTCATCCTGACAACCAGGTCAGACGCAGAAAAGGGGACGAGCACCTGGAGAAGCCGCAGCAACTCTGCGCCTACCGGAGACTGCAGGCCCTGCAGCCCTGCAGCAGCCAAGGAGAAGGTTCAAGTCCACTGCATTTGGAGAGCGTCTTAAGTATCCTTGCACCGGGGACGGCCGGTGAATCTCTGGACAGAGCTGGTGCTGAGCGTGTGCGCAGCCCGCTTGAGCCCACCCCTGGGCGGTTTCCAGCTGTGGCAGGGGGGCCAACCCCAGGAATGGGTTGTCAGCTCCCACCGCCCCTCTCTGGCCAATTGGTGACTCCTGCAGATATCCGGAGACAGGCCAGGAGGGTGAAGAAAGCCAGGGAGAGACTGGCCAAGGCCTTGCAGGCAGACAGGCTGGCCAGGCGGGCAGAAATGCTGACAGGTGGATGAAGCTCAGTCTTGGGCTTTCGGTCCCTTTCTTTTAATGCCCATCCTCATTCCTACTCTGAATTGTCACACTTTTCCCTTCCCCACCAGTTCTTTAATAAAAGTATTTGAAAGGCAACAGGTGTAAGGAGTGGATGTTTTTGTGGTGAGAAATTGGGTTTTATGGGATGAGGAAGGAGACCTTTACATGTCACTGTACATCTCAGTTTCTGTTTACCATGATTTTAATTAATTGTTTTTGTTTGTTTGTTTGTTTGTTTGTTTTGAGACGGAGTCTTGCTCTGTTGCCCAGGCTGGAGTGCAATGGCGCGCTCTCGGCTCACTGCAACCTCCACCTCCCGGGTTCAAGTGATTCTCCTGCCTCAGCTTCCCGAGTAGCTGGGATTACAGGTGCCCACCACCATGCCCGGATATTTTTTGCATTTTTAGTAGAGATGGGGTTTCACCAGGCTGGCCAGGCTGGTCTTGAACTGCTGACCTCAGCAATCTGCCCACCTCGGCCTTCCAAAGTACTGGGATTACAGGCATAAGCCACCTTGCCCGGCTGTTAATTAGTTTTTGTATTAAATTCTAATTTAATCTTTGGCCTGGCGCTGTGGCTTATGCCTGTAGTCCCAGCACTTTGGGAGGCGGAGCAGGGCAGATCGTCTGAGGTCAGGAGTTCAGGACCAGCCTGGCCAATATGGCGAAACCCCATCTCTACTAAAAATAACTAATCAGGTGTGGGGGCGGATGCCTGTAATCCCAGCTACTGGAGAGGCTGAGGCAAGAGAATCGGTTGAACCAAGGAGGCAGAGGTTGCAGTGAGCCAAAATGGTGCCACTGTACTCCAGCCTTGGTGAAACTTTATCTCAAAACAAAAATTCTAATTTAATTTTCAAATGAAATCCTTTAAAAATGAAATTCTGTAATTTTAAATGAAACGAATACATTACATTATAATTTGTTAAAAATGTATTACATTTTCATTTTTAAATTGAGTTTTCATTGTTTGAAATTTTCGATTTAGGGGTACATGTGTACATGTTTGTTACATGGATATATCGCTTAACGGTGGGGGTTGGTTTTGTAGTTTATGGGTTACCCAAATACTAAACATCGTACCCAGTAGCTAAGTTTTCAACCCATGGGTAAATTCAATTAACCTAGCCTGAAGGATTATTCAGTGTTTAGACATTACATTTTCTCCCTATAATATACATTCTCAAGGCGAAGTTGGTACGTATCCCAAGATTTTTTTTTTAATGAAACATTTTTACCCCATTTACTCTGATGTGGTTATCAGACATTTTGTGCCTGTATCAAAATATCTCACGTACCACATAAATATATACACATACTACGTCCCTGCCCGCTGTTTGACTTTGAGTTTCCTTACCTCTTTCTCTTTATCGTTGATCAAAACATGGAATGGAATACTTCATGGTAATTATTTTATGCATCTCGGGTTAGGTGGAAACTACTGGTTGTTTTCACTCTAGCAGAGTTAGGGTGGCAGGAAGTGCCTATCAGCAGATGCTACTGCACACCAGCCCGGGCGACAGAGCAAGACTCTGTGTCTAAAAATAAATATATAATTTATATATAATTATAAATACATTATATATAATTTATATATAATTATAAATACATTATATATAATTTCTATATAATTATAAATACATTACACATAATGTATACATAATTATAAATACATTATGTATAATACAATTATATACTATATAATTATATTATATACTATAATATATTTCTTATATAATTATATTATAATATAATTTATATGTTATATAATTATATTTTATATTATAATATAATTTATATGCTATATAATTATATTATATATTATAATATAATTTATATGTTATATAATTATATTATATATAATATAATTTATATGTTATATAATTATATTATATATATAATATAATTTATATGTTATATAATTATATTATATATATAATATAATTTATATGTTATATAATTATATTATATATATAATATAATTTATATGTTATATAATTATATTATATATTATAATATAATTTATATATTATATACTTACATATATTATATATTAAAATATAATTTATATATTATGTAATTATATATTATATATTATAATTATATTTATATATCATATTTATATAATTATATAATATAATTGTATAATATATACTATATAGGTATATTATATAATTATATATAATTATATATATTATAATTATATAATATAATATATATTATATTATATAATATATAATTATACATAACTGTATTAAATATAATAATATATAATTATATATAATATATATAATATACTATAATATAATTATATATAATTATATTATATATTATGTATAATATATAATTTATATTATATAGTATATATAATATATATAATATATAATATGTAATATATAATATATAATATATATAATATGTAATATATAATATATAATATATATAATATAATATAATTATATAAAATTATATCATATTGTATTATAATTATATATTATATATAATATAGTTATGTATAATTATATATTATATAATATAATATATATTATATTATATAATTAATATATATAATTATATATAATAATTAGATACCTATATATTATATAATTATATTATATAATTAATAAATATATTACATATAATTATATAAATATAATATATAAATATAATTATAATACATAATATATATAATTATATAATATATAAATTATATTTTAATATATATAATTATATAATATACAAATTATAATTTAATATATAATATGTATAATTATATACTATATAAATTATATTATAATTTATAATATAATTATATAACATATAAATTATATTATAATATAAAATATAATTATATAACATATAAATTATATTATAATATATAATATAATTATATAACATATAAATTGTATTATAATATATAATATAATTATATAACATATAAATTATATTATAATATAAAATATAATTATATAACATATAAATTATATTATAATATAATTATATAAGAAATATATTACAGTATATAATATAATTATATAGTATATAATTTTATTATACATAATGTATTTATAATTATGTATAAATTATATATAATGTATTTATAATTATATATAAATTATATATTTATTTTTAGACACAGAGTCTTGCTCTGTCGCCCGGGCTGGTGTGCAGTAGCATCTGCTGATGGGCACTTCCTGCCACCCTAACTCTGCTAGAGTGAAAACAACCAGTAGTTTCCACCTAACCCGAGATGCATAAAATAATTACCATGAAGTATTCCATTCCATGTTTCGATCAATGATAAAGACGTAAGGAAACTCAAAGTCAAACAGCGGGCAGGGACGTAGTATGTGTATATATTTATGTGGTACGTGAGATATTTTGATACAGGCACAAAATGTCTGATAACCACATCAGAGTTAATGGGGTAAAAATGTTTCATTAAAAAAAAAATCTTGGGATACGTACCAACTTCGCCTTGAGAATGTATACTATAGGGAGAAAATGTAATGTCTAAACACTGAATAATCCTTCAGGCTAGGTTAATTGAGTTTACCCATGGGTTGAAAACTTAGCTACTGGGTACGATATTCAGTATTTGGGTAACCCATAAACTACAAAACCAACCCCCACCGTTAAGCGATATATCCATGTAACAAACATGTACATGTTCCCCTAATTCGAAAATTTCAAACAATGAAAACTCAATTTAAAAATGAAAATGTAATACATTTTTAACAAATTATAATGTAATGTATTCGTTTCATTTAAAATTACAGAATTTCATTTCATTTTTAAAGGATTTCATTTGAAAATTAAATTGGAATTTTTGTTTTGAGACAAAGTTTCACCAAGGCTGGAGTACAGTGGCACCATTTTGGCTCACTGCAACCTCTGCCTCCTTGGTTCAACCGATTCTCTTGCCTCAGCCTCTCCAGTAGCTGGGATTACAGGCATCCGCCCCCACACCTGATTAGTTATTTTTAGTAGAGATGGGGTTTCGCCATATTGGCCAGGCTGGTCCTGAACTCCTGACCTCAGACGATCTGCCCTGCTCCGCCTCCCAAAGTGCTGGGACTACAGGCATAAGCCACAGCGCCAGGCCAAAGATTAAATTAGAATTTAATACAAAAACTAATTAACGGCCAGGCAACGTGGCTTATGCCTGTAATCCCAGTACTTTGGAAGGCCGAGGTGGGCAGATTGCTGAGGTCAGCAGTTCAAGACCAGCCTGGCCAGCATGGTGAAACCCCATCTCAACTAAAAATACAAAAAATATCCGGGCATGGTGGTGGGCACCTGTAATCCCAGCTACTCGGGACGCTGAGGCAGGAGAATCACTTGAACCCGGGAGGTGGAGGTTGCAGTGAGCCGAGATCGCGCCATTGCACTCCAGCCTGGGCAACAGAGCAAGACTCCGTCTCAAAACAAACAAACAAACAAAAAAAACAATTAATTAAAATCATGGTAAACAGAAACTGAGATGTACAGTGACATGTAAAGGTCTCCTTCCTCATCCCATAAAACCCAATTTCTCACCACAAAACCATCCACTCCTTACACCTGTTGCCTTTCAAATACTTTTATTAAAGAACTGGTGGGGAAGGGAAAAGTGTGACAATTCAGAGTAGGAATGAGGATGGGCATTAAAAGAAAGGGACCGAAAGCCCAGGACTGCGCTTCATCTACATGTCAGCATTTCTGCCTGCCTGGCCAGCCTGTCTGCCTGCAAGGCCTTGGCCAGTCTCTCCCTGGCTTTCTTCACCCTCCTGGCCTGTCTCCGGATATCTGCAGGAGTCACCAATTGGCCAGAGAGGGGCGGTGGGAGCTGACAACCCATTCCTGGGGTTGGCCCCCCTGCCACAGCTGGAAACCGCCCAGGGGTGGGCTCAAGCGGGCTGCGCACACGCTCAGCACCAGCCCTGTCCAGAGATTCACCGGCCGTCCCCGGTGCAAGGATACTTAAGACGCTCTCCAAATGCAGTGGACTTGAACCTTCTCCTTGGCTGCTGCAGGGCTGCAGGGCCTGCAGTCTCCGGTAGGCGCAGAGTTGCTGCGGCTTCTCCAGGTGCTCGTCCCCTTTTCTGCGTCTGACCTGGTTGTCAGGATGAGACCTGATCCTTGTCACCGGCCTCCGGAAGATGCAGCTGGTGAGTCTCATGGGGAGAGCAGACCTCGCAGCTCGTCTCCGATGGGCCTTGGCCATGTGGATTTCTCGTTTCTTCTGTAAAGCCCAGGGCATCATGTTTCTTTTGAGCTTCCCCTTTCAAAAGAAAAGAAAAGAAAATGTGAAATTTCAACCAATTGGAGACAGGAGAAGATCAGCTGTGGGGGGCTTCTCTCAGCTCAGTGGAATCTTCCCACCAGCCTCTCTTTCTGGGGAAATGTGTCTCAAATGGCAGTGTACATCCTCAGCCCCTGCAGGGCTTGCTAAAGTCAGATATGTGGACCTGAACCCAAGTAAGTCTGGGGTGGACCCTAGAGTCTGCATTTCTCCGTGTGACCCTGATGCTGCTGGCAGGAGCTCCAGGCATTGACACTGGGTCCTGGGACCTCATCGGGCTGATGCGAGTCAAGGACTAAATGCTCAAGGTCATGACCCAGGGTCAGTTCCAGACCTTGTCCCTCCTCATCCTCCTCAGAGGACACCCCTCTCTTCTCTTCCCTGCCACTGTCAGCTACACAGATGCTGGTGGTGCCTCCTAACCCATCCCCAACAGGACACCGGGATCCCAGACTTCCCTGTTCACCAAGACCTCACGCTTCTCTGTATCTCTTTCTGCTGTGCTTCAGGACACAACGTCATTTTCATAGCTCCTTGACTCTCTGGTTTCCAAAGAAATCCTGCACTCGCCACCTTAAATACTCACTGCCACACCCAGATCCCACCTTCACCTGAACACCTCCTGCTCATGAAGAAAAACCTCAGAAACACCATGTTGCTTTCTGTTTCTAATAAGCTCAATTAACTAGAGGTATACCATGAGAGAATCTTTTGATGACATACTGAGAAAGATGATCAAGCGCCTCCTAAGATTTGACGTCCTTTCTTGCTCTAACTCAATTGGAAGACTCTAGTCTCATAAAGCTGTTTCCCCCACAAACCTCATCAGTGCACTTTCCATTTTAAAGCCTTTGTTTCTGTCCTCCTCATTTCATTTTTCGTTGTCCTGGCATAAAGATTAATACTACCCCTTACAGTACCCCTGGCATAAAGATTAATACTGACCCAAGATGTTCCCCTTTGGAGGGAAAATTATTTAGTCCCCTTAGTTACGGGGCACTTATGATGTGCCAAGCTGTGCAGTAGAACCCCTGATCCAGAAGTAAACTTCATAAATCACCACTCTGTTGATTTTCATCTTGGTGAGAAGGAAGACATAATAAACGCACTAAAAACAAATTTCTGGTGGAATATCAGATATAAGTAAGTTCCATGATGAAGAAGAAGGGAGTGACAGAGAGGGATGGAAGGAGGAGAAACAGAGAAACAGAAAAGAAATTCACTACAATGAATCGTGACAGTGAGTTTAGGGAATAAGCAACTCATCATGAAATTTTACCAGAGAACTAATTTTTTTTGTTTTTTGTTTTTTTAAAAAAACGGACCAAGCAATTTCTGGTTCAGGAGCTTTCCAGAGAAGGAGACAATTTGAAGACTGCAAGGCCAAATCATACTTCTTCCCTTTCCTAGTGATGTTGGATTTTTAAAAAAAAATTCAAAGCTATTATCCCCATACAGTTTCATGGGCAAAAATGAGAATACTTTGAACATTATTCAACAGATATTACCACCTGAGGTATAACTTTCCACAACATCCAGTTTTAAGAACAACCCACTGCTAACTGTAAAGCTGTCTTACAGAAGGAAAAAGGACACATATGGACATTCCTGTAATCAATAAATATCCCGTACTCACCAGAACAGGTGGGCTCGGAAAAGAGGTGAACGCAGGCTCTCCCATAGCCGTAGAGTTTCTCTTGCTGACCCCACTCTTGAGATGCAGACAACCCTTGGCTTGCCGGAAAATGCAGTGACTTCTGCATCTGGTTCCCCTTTTTATAGAGAAAGCGAGTGATAATGCAATCAGTGGATAATCCACAGGGAACACCCTGTCTCCGCCCATTGGATTTGAGGCATTTCTAAATCTTTATACAGAAACCAATGTGGTGTTACCTACACAGAGTGTTAGTAGAGAAAGAATTGAATACGTGTGTATGTGTGTGTGGCGGGGTGGTATTTACAGTTAATATCAGCATTTTAGATATGTTTCCCTTTTTCTCCCAGTTTTCCAAACATCTTTGAATACTTTCTATAGAAATAGGAATGGAATTGTCTATGTACATAAATGTTCACGTAATATTTGATTTAATAACAACAACTAAAGACCATTTAAATGTTCTTTAAGAAAAGAAAGCCCAAAACTTTTATTCACAATCCTATAGAATATATCACACAGTTGTTGCAAAGAAATTACTACTTTGGCCGGGAGAGGTGGCTTACGCCTATAATCCCAGCACTTTGGGAGACCAAGGCAGGTAGATCACCTGAGGTCAAGAGTTCGAGACCAGCCTGGCCAACATGGTGAAACCCCATTTCTACTAAAAATACAAAACTTACCCTGGTGTGGTGGCATGCACCTGTAATCCCAGCTACTCGGGAGGCTGAGGCAGGAGAATCGCTTGAACCTGGGAGGGAGAGGTTGCGGTGAGCCGAGATCGCACCACTGCAGCTCAGCATGGGCGACAGAGTGAGACTCCATCTCAAAAAAAAAAAAAAAAAAAAGTTCTATTTCGTGCATTTACATTTAATATAATTACCAGTAAATTTGAAATTGTTTCAATCATCTCATTTTTCCTAGGTTTTGACTTAACTGACTCACGTTCCTTTTGCCTTTACTTGACTGACTTTGAATTAAATATGTTTATTATTTTATTGTTATCTCCATGAACTTGCTAGTTACAGCCATACAAATCTGTGTAGTTATGCTAATAATTAAATCATATACTCTGATACAATTAATTACTTTAACCCCTCCCACAAAATGCTAATACTTTAGAACACTTTTAATTCTCTTTTTAGCTGTTTCTGACTTTTGTATTACCATTCTCATGCATATTAATTCTACACATATTTTACTCTCCAGGAGACATTTCTAGTATTGCTTCATAAAGCAATATGCACTAATATTTACCTACAGCTTATCTTGTGCATTCATCTTTGTTCCTTTCTGCATTTCTAGCATTCAATCTGGGATTATTTCCCTGTGGACTTGAGAATTCATTCTAGTATTTTTCTTCTAATTCAATGCTGCTAACAACTAATTGTTTTCCTTTACACTTTTATTTAGGCATCTTTATTTGGGGGCAATATTGCTGTCAGGTACGGGTGTCTGGTTTGACAAATTTCTTTCAGCATATTAGAAATGGTGCCCCACTGATGTCTATCTCATTTTACCTGTGTTGAGATGTCAGCTGTCAGGCTTTTCCTTGCTTCTTTGGTTTCCACATTCTCTAAACTCTTTCTCGTTGTGGTTGGTTTGTAGGCCACAGTGTAGCTCATTATTGCTTCCTGTGTATTTCCTTTGCCTAGAGGGTGTGGAGTCAATTGCATCTGTGGGTTGATGTCTTTCATTGGTTTGGAAGGTGCATATGTATCCTTCACTTCTGATATCCATTCTTGTCCAAGTTCTCTCTACTCTTCTTTTAATCACATCCCACTTGTCTCTGAAGTTTCCAATGTTGTTCATGCTTTGGTGGGAATATTTGCTCTTGAACCTTGTTCCACTTTGCTAATCTACCTTTTTTCTAGGTTCAGTCTCATTTTAATTTTCCTTCCTTCCTTCCTTCCTTCCTTCCTTCCTTCCTTCCTTCCTGTCTTCCTTCCTTCCTGTCTTCCTTTCTTTTCTCTCTTTTCTTTCGAGATGGGGTCTCACTCTGTCACCCAGGCTGGAGAGCAGTGGCGGGATCTCAGCTCACTGCAACCTCTGCCTCCCGGGTTCAATGATTCTCCTGCTTCAGCCTCCCAAGTAGCTGGGACTACAGGCACATGCCACCACACCCAGCTTATTTTTGTATTTTTTGTCGAGACGGGGTTTCACCATGTTGGCCAGGGTGGTCTCGAACTACTGACCTCAAGTGATTCACCTGCCTTGGCCTCTCAAAGTGCTAGGATTACAGGCGTGAGCCACCGTGCCTGGCCTAATTTCTTATACTCTTAGTTTCAGTTCTAAGCATAAAACACAGTAAATAGCTTTAATTAAAAACTAGGTAGAAGAACAGCTTCACAGTCAATGAGGAGATAATCTGCCTTCTTGATACAATGAAACTCTAAATAGAAAGGAGAAAATTCAAATTTGAACCATATTAAGATACATTAAGAGCAACTATTCATTCAAATACATCAGTAAGAGAGAAAGCGTGGAAAACCGGAGTGGGGGAAGAGGTTTGGATCCTGTACCCCCAGGAAAGTACATCAAGCCAGAGTATATATATAAAAAAAATCTTAATATTTAAAAAAAAGAGAATAATGTCAAACAAACAGAGAAAAATAATGAAAACACACTTGAAACTGGGTGAAAAACTTGAATGGATCCTACACAAAAGAATATAAACAAGTGACCGTAAAAAATTATTATTATCATTATTATTATTATAAATTTTCAGGTGGAGTCTTGTTCTGTCACCCAGGCTGGAGTGCAGTGGCACGATCTTGGCTCGCCGCAACTCTGCCTTCTGGGTTCAAGCGAGTCTCCTGCCTCAGCCTCCTGAGTAGGTGGGATTACAGGCTCCCACCACCACGTCCAGCTAATTTTTGTATTTTGAGTAGAAACAGGGTTTTACCGTGTTGCCCAGGCTGGTCTTGAACTCCTGACCTCAAGTGATCCACCTGCCTTGGCCTCCCAAATTGCTGAGATTACAGGCATGAGCTACCGCGCCCGGCCTAAATGACCAGCAAAATTTGAGCAAATGTTTAACCCTTTTAGCTTCAGGGAAATGCTAAAAAAATAAAAATTACAATGAGATACTATTATACAGATATCTATACATTATATTATAATATATAATTATATTATAATATTATATAATATAATTATATATAAATTATATATAATATAATTATATAATATATAAATTATATATAATATATAATAGAATTATATAATATATAATTATATTCTATATAGAATATAATTATATATAATTATATTCTATATAGAATATAATTATATATAATTATATTCTATATACAATATAAAATATAATTATAATATATAATATAATTATAATACATAATATAATTATATATTATATACTTATAGATAATATATAATAATATAATTATATAATATATTATTATATAATTATATATATAATATAATTAATATATAATTATATATTATATAATTAAATATAATTATATTATAAATTATAATATAATTATATTATATATAATTATATATATAATTATATTATATATAATTATATATATAATTATATTAAATATAATTATATATTATAATATATTATATATAATTATATATATAATATATTATATATAATTATATATATAATATATTATATATTATAATATATTATATATAATTATATTATAGATTATAATCCATAATTATATATATTATAATATATATAATTATATGATATATTATAATATATTATATTATATATAATTATATATTATAAATAATATATTATATTATTTATAATATATAATATTATATTATAATATATAATTATATATATTATAATATATAATTATATATATTATAATATATTATATATAATTATATTATAGATTATAATTAAATATATTTAAATTATACATTATAATATAATTAAATATATTTAATTATATTATACATTATAATATAATTAAATATATTTAATTATATTATAATGTATAATACAATTATATAATATAAATTATATTATAATATATAATTATATATTTTACATTTCATATATAATACAATATATTACATATAATGATAGTTATATATAATACATTATATATAAATATAATTATATACAATAGAATATGTTATATATAATTATAATTATATATATTATAGATAATAAATATATTCATTATGTATATTATATTTTTTATATTATATATTTACTATTATTGGAATTATAATTTATTTTATGTAATTGTATATTATATATTATAATTATATATTATATGTATAATTACAATATATAATATATAAATTATATATTATATATGTAGATTACATGTTATATATAATATATGTAAATTATATATTATATTTATATATTATATGTAAATTATATTTTTTTCATATATTATAATATATGTAAATTGTATATTATATTTATATATTATAATATATGTGAATTGTATATATCTATATATTATAATATATGTAAATTGTATATTATATTTATATATTATAATATATGTAAATTATATATTATATGTGTAAATTATATATATTTATATGTATAAATTATATATTATATTTATATAGTATAATATGTGTAAATTATATATTATGCAAGTATATATAGCTTATATATAGTATAATTATACAATTCTATATAATGTAATTATATATTAAATATATGTAATTTATATAATATATAATGTGTATTTAATTTATATTATATAATTACATTATGTGTTTATATATATTATTATAGAGAGAGATAAACAAGAATCTCCATGTGCTCCCCAAACTGTCTCTGGGTTTCCATCTGTGGGATGCCTTTCCCAGTGTCCTAAGGATCTTGGAGAGCTCCCTTCTGTGGCTCTCTGCAGGGAGACAGACTATCCCTAAATACAACTGCCAGACACAGAACAAAACTGTTGCCGTCATGCCAGGTACCACGTCAGTATCTTCAACCAAGATTGGAGCTCTTCTGGGGTGCTACAGAAGCCCACGGGTAAGGAGTTTGGGAATTCTACAGAGAAATATTTGGGTCTCCCCTAATGCCACTCTCTTACATCTCATCGAATGGAAAGGTGGACACTGAGCTTACATATCCATGAGAGTTATAACAGAGTTATAAACAGACCTTAGGGAATTCCCTGTATCATGAAATGATCATGATGGTGATGATGCTGATGATTATTATTATTATTTTGGAAAGAAGGTCTCACTCTGTCAACCAGGTTGGAGTGCAGTGGTACAATCACGGCTCACTGATGTCTCGACCTCCTGGCTCAGGTGATCCTCCCGCCTCAGCCTCATAAGGAACTGGGACTACAGATGCATGCCACCACACCTAGCTAATTTTGTTGTTGTTGAGAAGGGGTCTCACAATGTTGCCCAGGCTGGAGTGCAGTGGCATGTGGTATGATCATGGCTCACTGTAGTCTTAACCTCCTGAGCTCAGGTGATCTTCCTGCCTCAGCCTCCCAAGGAACTGTGACTACAGGCGCATGCCACCACACCTGGCTAATTTTTGTATTTTGGGTTTTTTTGGTAGAGATGGGGTCTCACTATGTTGCCCAGCCTGGCCTCAAACTGTTGGCCCCAAGTGATCCTCCCGCCCTGGCCTCCCAAACTGCTGAGATTACATGTGTGTGCCCAGTCAACATTATTAACAATAGCAAGGATGGGAATAAAACAGAACGTGCAGTGGATGCTGTGAGTCTCGACCCAGAGTCCTGTCCATGGCCAATGCCTCCATCCCCCAGCTGCTGAGAATACTGACTGCTGACAGTTCATAGCTGTGTGCCTTACTGGAAACATCAGGATTACAGGACGCCAGGAATTCCGCAACACAGAGAAGTACCCCATCCTAGAATATGACTTTCTCAGGGGCATCCAGAGACCAGGCTCACACCTATAATCCCAGCAATTTGGGAGGCCAAGGCGGGCAGATCACCTGAAGTCGGGAGTTTGAGACCAGCCTGACCAACATAGAGAAATCCCGTCTCTACTAAAAATACAAAATTAGCGGGCGTGGTGGTGCAGGCCTGTAATCCCAGCTACTTGGGAGGCTGAGGCAGGAGAATCGCTTGAACCCGGAAGGCGGAGGTTGTGGTGAGCTGAGACGGCGCCATTACAAACAAACAAAAAACCAAAACAAAACAAAAAAACCAGAGACCAATGACTGTCAGATGCTAGAGATACAAAGAGAAAATTTACTAAAGAATTTACTTCTGCCTTTCACACCAAAAGAGAGAAATCTCTGGTTTCCAACACTTCCTCAAGACAGTGAACCCTTTCCAATACACAGAAGACTTTTACTTTAGTAAATTCTGGATTGACCTTTTTTTTTTTTTTCCTACTTGCTGGATCGCAAGGTGGAAGAATTGTGGAGCTTGCCCATCAAATTCTGCCACTGCACTCCAGCCTGGGTGACAGAGGAGACTTGGTCTCAAAAATAAAAATAAATAATAAATGTATACATTTTGATGGGTTTGGACATATGCACACACTTATGGTGCCACCACCACAATCGAGGTACTAAATATATTCATTCATGTCATGCCCTTTTCAAAGTACAAGGACCAGGTCAGGAGCAGTGGTGGCTCATGCCTGTAATCCCAGCACTTTGGGAGGCCAAGGCAGGAAGATTGCTTGAGGCCAGGAGTTCAAAACCAGCCTAGGCAAAATAGCAAGAGCCTGTCTCCATAAAAAAGAAAAGAAAAAGAAAAAAATGAAAAATTAGCTGGGCATGGTGGCATACACCTGTAATCTCACCTACTCAGGAGGTCGAGGTGAGCAGATCACTTGAGGCTAGGAGTTCAAGACCAGCTGGATAACATAGCAAGACCCTATGTCTACAAAAATGTTTTAAATTAGCCAGATGTGGTGGTGTGCACCTGTAGTCCTAGCTCTTCAGGAGGCTGAGGCAGAAGGATCACTTGAGCCCAGAAATTCGAGGCTACAGTGAGCCATGATGGAGCCACTGCACTCCAGCCTGAGCAGCAGAGTGAGAGATCCTGTCTCAAAAATATATATATTATTACTGTTAGTAAAATTAGAAATTAGATGGTAAATTAAACTTTCTAACATTAATTTTTATAGGTTATAAATTTTTATAGGTATGCATCCATCTCTGTCTAGATATTAAATCTGATTTATTCGGCTGGGTCCACTGGCTCACGCCTGTAATCCCAGCACTTTGGGAGGCCGACGCAGGTGGATCACCTGAGGTCAGAAGTTCAAGACCAACCTGAGCAACATGGTAAAACCCTGCCTCTTTTTAAAAAATTAAAAAAAAAAAAAGACTACATAATATGACTATGTGTTAGTAGATGAGTGATTAAATAAATTTTGGTACAGCAATTAATTGGAATATCATACCACTTATTTAAGACTTGGCTAAACACTCATATCTACCTGGAAAAAAGTCCATGGTCTGTTAATTTTTTAAAGTAATCTCCAGAATAATTAGTATATAGTATTATAGTATTTTTAAAAACTATTTTAAAACTCTCAATATAGGAATATATATTGTGATAAAATGCTTTTTCTAGTATTTATGTAGTAAATTATATTATTACATGTCTTAAGTTTAATTTTTTGTAGAGCAAGGACTATAGTAATGGTCACCTCAAAGTCAAATTAGAGAAGGGAAAGGGAGTTTTATCTTATTTTTTACTTTAATTTTTTTTTTTGAGATGGAGTTTCACTCTTGTTGCCCAGTCTGGAGTGCAATGGCGTGATCTCGGCTCACTGCAACCTCTGCCTCCCAGGTTCAAGCAATTCTCCTGCCTGAGCCTCCCGAGTAGCTGAGATTACAGGCACCACACCCGGCTAATTTGTTTTGTAATTTTAGTAGAGACAGGGTTTCATCATGTTGGCCAGGCTGGTTTCGAGCTCCTGACCTCAAGTGATCCACCCACCTCTGCCTCCCAAAGTGCTGTGATTACAGGCATGAGCCACCACACCCGGGAAAGGGAGTTTTGAATTGTGTTTTACATACTCCATATTTGTGAGAATGAGCATATATTATTTTATTAATTTTAAAAATCTAATTAAAAACTTTTAAATAAAACAACATTAAGAACTATGAAATGTAGGGGCCAACCCCACAGGGTCAGTGGGTTTTTCTCCCTGTGTGTGGAGACAAGAGATTGTAGAAATAAAGACAAAGAGATAAAAGAAAAGACAGCTGGGACTGGGGGACCACTACCACCAAGATGCAGAGACTGGTAGAGGCCCTGAATGCCAGGCTGTGCTGATATTTATTGGATATAAGAAAAAGGAGCAGGGTAAGGAGTGTGAGCCATCTCCAATGATAGGTAAGGTCACGTGGGTCACGTGTCCACTGGACAGGGGGCCCTTCCCTGCCTGGCAGCCGAGGCAGAGAGAGAGAGGGAGAGAGAGAGACAGTTTACGCCATTATTTCTGCATATCGGAGACTTTTAGTACTTTCACTAATTTTGCCACTGCTATCTAGAAGGCAGAGCCAGGTGTACAGGATGGAACATGAAAGAGGACCAGGAGTGTGACCACTGAAGCACAGCATCACAGGGAGACCGTTAGGCCTCCAGATAACTGCAGGCGAGCCTGATTGATGTCAGGCCCTCCACAAGAGGTGGAGGAGTAGAGTCTTCTCTAAACTCCCCTGGGGAAAGGGAGACTCCCTTGCCCCGTCTGCTAAGTAGCGGGTGTTCTTCCTTGATACTGACACTACCGCTAGACCAAGGTCCGCTTGGCAACAGGCGTCTTCCCAGCCGCTGGCGTTACCGCTAGACCAAGGAGGCCTCTAGTGGCCCTGTCCGGGTATAACAGAAGGCTCGCACTCGTCTTCTGGTCACTTCTTACTATGTCCCCTCAGCTCCTATCTCTGTATGGCCTGGTTTTTCCTAGGTTATGATTGTAGAGTTAGGATTATTATAATATTGGAATAAAGAGTAATTGCTACAAACTAATGATTAATGCTATTCACATATAATCATATCTATGATCTGTATCTAGTATAACTATTCTTATTTTATATATTTTATTATACTGGAACAGCTCATGCCCTCGGTCTCTTGCCTCGGCACCTGGATGGCTTGTTGCCCACAATGAAATATGAAAAATTTAGCACACAGATCACCATATGTTTCCTCATCTATAAATAGTGATAGATAGTAACACCTTCCTTATAGGTCTCTGTGAAAATATTTAGGGATAATGTATGTAAAACTGTTTATTACCAGGCAGGTTGGAAAGTAATGTCCCATTCATTTGTCCACTAGGATGGCCATAGGGTTTTTGGTTTTTTTTCCTTTTAATTCTTGAATTCCAGAGTCTTCAAATACATTCCATTGTTGTAAAGTGAATCATATTCACATTTTTTCCCTAGAGTTTAGCGATTCCTTTTGCATACAAATTCAGGCTGTATGTGTTCACACATAGATCTCAAATAACATCTTAATTTTCACAACGAAAAGCTCCCTTCCTCACCCTGTAGCCTGGCTCCTAGAAGCAACTTTTTTTTTTTTCTGATAGTAATTACATATTTGTAAGTTAGGTATTTATACTGCTTTTTCATTTATCAGCTTTAAACTATATTGAATTACTTTCTTCTCCGAAACAATTAGCACATAACTCTTACGTACTGTAAAACTAATTTTCCTCACCAAACATAATCATTTAAGGAATCTGGATAAATCAAAATTCAATGTTTATCATTTTATGACATCAATATTTACCATTTGTAGCATCTAAACCTTAGCCAGACATGTAACAAGTAGTATGTCATTAATAATTTTTTCTCATTTTTTCTTTTGATCTCTTAAATTTTAAAATTTCCTTTTTTATTTCTTCCTATGAATCCAACACCTATTTTCTCCACCAGAAATGTAGTTCTCTTTTCAGTAGATCCAGATGTGCACTAGACAATTAATCAGCTTTGGCTTTCACTTGGAGACATCCCTCCCTAGTCCTCCCTCCCCTCGTCCCCCTCTGGATGGGAGAAATATGCATACATGATCCCATTTTTGAAAGAAATTAGGAAGCTCAAAATCACACAAAAAGGCTGGGTGTGGTGTGGCTCACACCTGTAATCTCAGCACTTTGGGAGGCCGAAGTGGGGTATGACTTGAGGCCATGAGTTCTAGACCATCCTGGGCAACACAGACCTCCTCTCTACAAACAAATACAAAAATAGTCAGGCTTGGTAGTGTGGGAGGCCCGGGTGGAAGGATGGCTTGAGCTCAGGAGGTCGAGGCTGCAGTGAGCTATGATTGCACCACTGCACTCCAGCCTGGGCCACAGAGTGAGACCCTGTCTCAAAACAAACAAACGAAAAGCCACACACACACACACACACACACACGCCCTAAATGTGTGGCTATATCATTTTAACAGGCGGTGAATGTGGAGAAATGACTGAAGAAAACTTTAAAGAGTTCATTTTGCATCCTGCTACCTGAACAGTTTTAAAATCCACAAAAAGCCCTACACCCAAAAACTGACCTCCACCAAGTCTTGTCCTCTCAGCCTACTAGCTCAACCCCATTCCATGCCCCACCACTGCCTTATCTTGTCCACATACTCGCCCACCAAACCTGGTATTAACCCACAGCAAGATCCGCCCATCAAACCTAATGCCCGCCCACAACCTCGCCCCGGAACTTAGTCTCTGTCCTGACAGCCCCGCCCCCATGCCTGGTACCGCCCACGGTCCCGCCCCAGAACTTCTCCCCACCCCCGGAGCTGATCTCCACCCACACTCAGCCCTGCCTCCAGGCCTGGTACCGCCCACAGCCCCGCTCCAGAGTTGGTCCCCGCCCCCGGAACTGGTCCCCGTCAACACTCAGGCCCGCCTCCAGGCCTGGTACCGCCCACAGCCCCGCTCAAGAGCTAGTTCCGCCCCCAACCCTGCCACAGACCCGCGCCAGGACGACCCTGCCTCCGCGGCTGTCCCTAGCCAGGGCCCAACCTGGTTCTATTAATAACTAAGCAAACTAGAACACCTCAGCCGGAGGCTGGGGTGCGCGGCTGCTGCACCTGCAGCCTGAACCCGGGGGTCCTGACACGCCGCATTTTGGGCTGGGACCAGCTGGAGCCGGAAGCGGAGGTGCAGTGTGGCTAGCCGGAGACCGGAAGCGGAAGCGCGCTTGTGTCTTGTGAGAAGAGCCGCGCTTGCAGCGTCTGGGAGAATCTTTCGGTCTCCGCGAGAGGTGCTTCATTCCGTGAGTCCGAGTCCAGAGAGGGGCCCCAGCCGCGGGCCTGCGTCCCTCCCGGGAGCCGGGTTTCCGCCCCTGAGGCCTCGGGCTGTGCGCTCAGTTAAGCCCGAAGCTGCTGTTTCCTCCGGTGTCCGGGCCCCGCGCCCCTGTCATCCTCACTCTGTCGTCCTCACCCTGTCGCCCTCACCCGGGGCGATTCTGCGCCCCAGGGGACTTTTGGCTATAGTTGGAGACGGTTTGGGATGTCACAAAATGGAGGGTAGGAGGGACTGTGCTACTACTGTAATCTAGAGGGTGGAGGCCAGGGATGCTAGCAGCTCAGCATCCTGCAGCGCGTAAAGCAGCCGCCGCCAGCAAAGACTCATCCAGCCCCAAATGTCATTAGTGCCCAGGTTGGGAAACCCTGCTGGAGGGCATTAAAATCTCTGCAGTCCTGAATACACTGTAGAAATTATTTAGAATTCAGCCGAGTCCACTTATAAGGCCTAAAGTGACGAATTTAAAGCATCTGGAGTCACCATACAATCTCCAGCCAAATGAGTTAAGCAAGTCAGATGAAAACAGCTTTAAGCTTCTTGTCCCATTTTAGGGACCAGATGGCTGGATAGGAATCTGGTGAATTCAGGCACAGCCAGTAGCCTGGGTTCTTATTCTTTAAATCAATTTTTTTTAAGTGAATGGGGTGGTCTTTCTATGCAACAACTGTATTAGTCTCAGTAAATACATTTTACTATACGTACATATTACTCCCTACAAAAGGCCTCATAAGCGATTTTTGTGCCCTTTTTATTTAGACGAAAAAAGTATAATTCAAGCTCAGATTTGTGTTGAAACCAGCCTCAAGTTTCACCTATCCTCACTGATCCGTGGACTTCTGTATGATCAGGTAGGTACCGTGTAGAACCTGCAAGTTGCAAGACTCCACTGTGTAGAAAACCTGTGAATGGATTTTTCCTGTGTTCAGGTTGTAAACACAAGGACTCACTAACAGTGAGGGTATTTTTTTTTTTTTTTTTGAGACAGAGTCTCACTCCGTTGCCCAGCCTGGAGTGCAGTGGTGCGATCTCAGCTCATTGCAACATCTGCCTCCCAGGTTCAAGCAGTTCTCCTGCCTCAGCCTCCCAAGTAGCTGGAATGACAAGGGTGCACCACCACGCCCAGCTAATTTTTGTATTTTTAGTAAAGATGGGGTGTTGCCATGTTGGCCAGGCTGGTCTCGAACTCCTGACTTCAGGTGATCCACCCACCTCGGCCTCCTAAAGTGCTGGGATTACAGGTGTGAGCCACGAGTGAGGGTATCTTAAAAATTATTTGTTTGATGCCTTATATTCAAGAGAAGGATACTAAGGGGTGTGTGATAATGTGTGTCAAAATAAGTCAGTAAATACAGCTATATGCAAATCAGTACACAAAACATGTAAACACTATTTAAAAGTTTTTTTTTCAACCTTCCAAGACATCTCAATTTTTCTTTTATTTTTTTCTTTTCCTAACAGGCCTGCCAGCCTGTAGACTTATGCTGTATAATAAGGTAGCTGCTGGTCCATGCGGTTGTTTTAATTTAAATGTAGACCAATTAAGATTCCATAAAATTTTAAATTCAGCTTCTCAGTCGCACTAACCACATTTCAAGTGCTTGACAGCGACATGTGGTTAATGCCCCTATTGAACAGCAAAGATTAAGATCATTTCCATCATCCCAGAAAGCCCTGCTGGGCGGCATTGTTCTAGTCTCTTCCCATCTGTCCATTGCAATGAAGCCAGAACGGCTATTGTAAAAGATAATTTGTGGCCAGGAGCAGTGGCTCAAGCCTGTCTGTAATCCCAGAACTTTGGGAGGCCGAGGTAGGTGGATCACCTGAGGTCAGGAGTTCAAGACCAGCCTGGCCAACAGGGTGAAACCCCGTCTGTACTAAAAATATATAAATTAGCTGGGTGTGGTGACTCTCTTGAGCCTGGGAGGCGGAGACTGCAGTGAGCCAAGATGGCACCGCTGCACTTCAGCCTGGGCAACAGAGCAAGACTGCATCTCAAAAAAAAAAAAAAAAAAAAAAAAAGCTGGGCATGGTGGCTCACGCCTGTAATCCCAGCACTTCGGGAGGCCAAGGCAGGCAGATCACGAGGTCAGGAGATCGAGACCATCCTGGCTAACGTGGTGAAACCCCGTCTGTACTAAAAATACAAAAAAAAAAAAAAAGATTACCCGGGCGTGGTGGCAGGCGCCTGTAGTCCCAGCTACTCGGGAGGCTGAGGCAAGGGAATGGCATAAACCCGGGAGGTGGAGCTTGCAGTGAGCCGAGATCATGCCAGTGCACTCCAGCCTGGGTGACAGAGCGAGACTCCGTCTCAAAAAAAAAAAAAAAAAAAAAAATACAGCCAGGCACAGTGGCTCACACCTGTAATCCCACCACTTTGGGAGGCTGAGGTGGGCAGATCGCCTGAGGTCAGGAGTTCGAGACCAGCCTGGCCAACATGGCAAAACACTGTCTCTACTAAAAATACAAAAATTAGCTGGGCATGGTGGTGGGCACCTATGATCCCAGCTACTCGGGAGGCTGAGGCAGACAGAATTGCTTGAACCCAGGAGGCGGAGGTTGCAGTGAGCCGAGATCTCACCATTGTACTCCAGCCTGGGTGACAGAGCAAGACTGTCTCAAAATAAATACATAAAGATAAATTTGCTTTAGTCACTCGCCTGCCTGAAAAGCCTTTGCTGGCTCTCCACTGCCTCTCATGTTCAAACTCCTCACCACTCTTTATAATACCTTTCAAAATACAACCTTTCCCGTGCACTCTGGCCCCTTATTTGTCCACATGCTCCAAACTGTGAACTTGGCTTCCTAAGCAGCTTGCTTTCCTGCCTCTGCACGTGCACTTTCCACTGAGCAAGACCCTACCTCGACTCTCAAGACTCAATTCAAATGTTCTTAGTGTTTTTCCTTCCAAGGCTTCCCAGTCCCCTTCTTCCCAGATCCTGGGTTGGATGCCATGTGCCCCTCTGCCATATCACATATCACTCTGAAATGCAGCAGCAGGTCTGTGTGTGTGTCCTGCTCCCAGAAAGCCAGTTCTTAGATGACAGGGATCTTCCTCCCCTCCATCTCCAGCACCCAGCTGGGGGCAGGTATCAATAAAACGTGAATGAGGGGTCAACGTCGGGACCCTAGGGCTGCAGAAGGGATTTGAGAGGAATAACTGGGTGAGGAAATGCTATGCCTGGTTTGGACTTGGGAGGGAAGAGGGGGCGACCCACCAGGGGCTCACCTGTGCAGAGTTCTCTTCTCTACCGTTTGTGCAACACAGCTGCTGGAAGAGCCCACTCACAAACAAGTATAAATACATGGAACTGTAGAGAAATAATACAGATATTTGTTTTTTTGGTTTTTTTTGTTTTTTTTTTTTTGAGATGGAGTCTTACTCTCACCCAGGCTAGAGTGCAGTGGCATGATCTGGTCTCACTGCAACCTCTGCCTCCTGGGTTCAAGCGATTCTCCTGCCTCATCCTCCCAAGTAGCTGGGATTACAGGCACCCACCACCATGCCCAGCTAATTTTTTAAATATATTTTTAGTAGAGACAAGGTTTCACCAACTTGGCCAGGCTGTTCTTGAACTGCTGACCTCAGGTGATCCGCCCACCTCGGCCTCCCAAAGTGCTGGGATTGCAGGCGTGAGCCACTGTGCCTGGCTATAATACAGATTTTCTTGCATGTCATAATACTAAAACTTTCAGGCTTTTACATATAAGTACAAATATATAAACTTTTCACATGTATATGTGAATTTTGGGGGTTCTGTTAACACCACAGAGACCAGATGTCAGAGACACTTGGCAGCTATATTAACTGGAGGGTGGGGGCTGTGAGGCTGCAGGCAGGAATGGGAAAGAGCCTCCCATCTCTGCTTGGCTCCAAGTACCAGCGAACAACTGGCCTGTGGGGAATGGCTCTCCATTCAGTCCTCTCCCAATCCTTCTCTCCCCGGAGATTGGGGGTATGGGGGTCACCCAGGATAAATTCCCTGGGCAAGAGATCTAGAAGGAAGCCAGGGCCTGAATGCTACATCTCAATACAAATTCCTAGAGAGACTGAGTGGCCCTGCCTTCCATGAATAGCCAGCACCGTCCACCCTCTACAGCTCTGTTTTGTCTACCTGGCCCAAACTCTTACAAGTCTCTAACTGCAGACAGCGCCTGCCCCCGCCCCCACCAACCCCTCCCACACACACCCTTGACCACTTTTTTTTTTTTTTTCCAAATGGAGTGTTGCTCTGTTGCCCAGGCTGGAGTGCAATGGTGCAATCCCGGCTCACTACAAGCTCTGCCTCCCAGGTTCACGCCATTCTCCTGCCTCAGCCTCCCAAATAGCTGGGATTCCAGGTGTGTGCCATCACGCCCAGCTAATTTTTTATTTTTATTTTTTTAGTAGAGATGGGGTTTCACCATGTTAGCCAGGATCGTCTCGATCTCCTGACCTCGTGATCCGCCCGCCTCGGCCTCCCAAAGTGCTGGGATTATAGACAGGAGCCACCGCGCCTGGCCAGCCGCTTTCATCTTTGTGTGTATATACACACACACACACACACACACACACAGCCCTTCTTTTCTCATAAAAAAGGAAACATTCCATATATGCTATTTGGTACTTTTTTTTCCCCTTAAATTTACTGACGATAATAACCTCTATTGATATCTAGAGATCTTCTCTCTTTTTTTTTTAATGGGTGCACTGTAATGCCACAGTGAATAATCTTACACAACTTTTACATTTGTGTATCTTACAGATCGATTCTTAGAAGTTGCAGGAACCTAGGGTCTCTGATAGAAAATGGCTGGAGCTCTGCTGGGCTGGCATGAGAGTGGGGAGTGGGGAGGAGGAAATCAACTGAAATGAGGGGTAGTGACATCTGAGCTGGGTGAGGTGGAAACCAGGAGGAGGGGGTGGTCAAGGCAGATCACAGGCTGGAGAGGGGGTGACCGAGGCAGGGCACGGGCTGGAGGGGGGTGACCGAGGCAGGGCACGGACTGGAGGGGGGGTGTGACCGAGGCAGGGCACGGGCTGGAGAGGGGGTGACCGAGGCAGGGCACGGGCAGGAGGGGGGGTGACCGAGGCAGGGCACGGGCAGGAGACGGGGTGACCGAGGCAGGGCACGGGCAGGAGACGGGGTGACCGACGCAGGGCACGGGCTGGAGGGGGTGACCGAGGCAGAGTGTTCCCCCCATTTCTTCCAGGGTGCTGTCCTGAGAGCGCTGCGGGATAAAGGAGGAGCGTCCTGCTTCCCGGCTGCCCTGTTGCTGTCGGAGTCACAGGATGGCGGCTGTCGTCCTGCCCCCAACTGCCGGTGAGTCATGGGGTCCTGGCAGTTCTCAGAGTCCAGGCTTGAAAGGTCCTGACCCACAGCATGGGATGGGAGGGGGTTGGGCAGAGCAGGTGAGGCAGGAGTGGAGCCCCAGGGGCCCAGAGGTCCTCCGTGTCTGATCGGGCGGCTCTTGGGACTTGGGACTTAGGCATTTGGGTGTCTGTGGATGTCACCTGTGTGGTGAATGTGCTGGAGCTTTTGAATTCTCCCTTCAGTTCTTTCTGTGAACCTGATAAAAACACAGTGACGCCCTCGGAACTTCAGTTTCCTCATCTGTGAAGTGGGAATAATCCCTTCCCCAAGTGCAGTCAGACCTTAAGCCCTGTTTCCTGGCGTGGATGCGGCAGGGCCATGCTCTGGTTTCCTTGGATTGCTGTGGGTTGGTGTTTGCTTGGAGTAGAGGTGGATGCTTTGTGGGTGACTGTGTATGCATGGGGACCTGGTCGATCGCAGGCAGGTGGGGAAGCCTCCAGATGTGTGAGTGGACACAGGGCAGGTGTGGATTCCTGGTACTCATTTCTCCTCCTCCAGCTCTGTCTTCCCTGTTCCCAGCCTCTCAGCGAGAAGGACACACAGAGGGCGGAGAGCTGGTTAATGAGCTCCTGAAAAGCTGGCTAAAGGTGAGTCGGATGTTCCTTTTTCCAAATCATGATTCCTTCAGCCAGAAGGTTGGACTTGATGCCTTTCAGTGGCCTGGAGCCCCACGGCCAAACTTGTTCCTCAGGCATCCCAGGGTCTCTGAGTGAGGGCTGCCCAGAAAATGTCAGTGTGTGTCAACGTTTACTGCAGGTTCAGAGCTCCCTCCAGAGTCCCTGAGTACATCATGTGCTCCTGAGAGTTTTAAGGGAAAGCCAAGTAAAGACGTGATGATGTTCTAAACCCAAGCAATTAATAAAGGCCATACGGAAATCATTCATTCACTTACCAAGTATTTCTCTGATTTCTGCCATGTCACGGGCCCATGATCCCCTGGAGACTGAGGGAAATAAGATCATAGGAGCTCCCAGTTTGAGTGAGAAAAGACAGCTGCTCTGCGGTACTGTGCGCTGGACCTGGGAGTAGCCTAAGGAGACAAGCATTGAGGGCTGAGCTCAGAAGCCAGGGAGAAGAGCTCAGAACCTCAGGAGAGGAGCTCAGAATCCCCCCACATCTCGTGCTCAGGTTTCCCCAGCCCTGGCTCTGTTCTCCTGGCCCCTCTTCCTGTGCACATTGGTGGGGGTGGTCCTTGGCTAAGCCGTGATGTTTGCAATGCTTTAGGGCTTGGTGACCTTTGAGGATGTGGCCGTGGAGTTCACCCAGGAGGAGTGGGCATTGCTGGACCCTGCCCAAAGGACACTGTACAGGGACGTGATGCTGGAGAACTGCAGGAACCTGGCCTCACTGGGTAAGCCTAATGTCATTCCTGCATTTATTTAATGACTCAGGAAGTCAGTCTTTTTTTTCTTTTTTTAAATTGAGGTAACACAGGACACAAAAGTCACCATTTAAACTATTTTAAAGTGTCCAATTTGGTGGCTTTTCGTAGGTTCACAGTGTAGTACAGCCATCACCACTAATTCCAGAACATAGTTGTCACACCAAAAATAAGCCCCATAGTCATGAAATGGTCTCTCCCCAGTTCTCCCTCCTGAACATCTTGGCAGGCACTAATCTTTCCGTCTCTATAGATGTGTCTCTTCTTTTTGAGGGGGTTGTTTTTAGACAGTGTCTCCCTCCGTCACCCAGGCTATAGTGCAGTGGCGTGATCCTGAGTAGCTGGGACCACAGGTGCGGACCACCACGCCCAGCTAATTTGTTTATTTTTTGTAGAGACAGGGTCTTGCTATGTTGCCCTGGCTGGTCTCAAACTCTTGGGCTCAGGTGATCCTCCTGCCTTAGCTTCCCAAAGTGCTGGGATTACAGATGTGAGCTACCATTCCTGGCCCAATTCTTGACATTTTATATAAATGAAATCATACAAAATGTGGTCTTTTGTGTCTCACTTTTTGCTTAGCATAATGTTTTCTTTCTTTTTTTTTTTTTTTTTTTTTGAGATGGAGTTTCACTCTGTTACCCAGGCTGGAGTGCAGTGGTGTGATCTCAGCTTACTGCAGCCTCCACCTTCCAGGTTCAATCTGTTCTCCTGCCTCAGCCTCCTCAACAGCTGGGACTAAAGGCATGCGCCACCACACTCAGCAAATTTTTGTGTTTTTAATAGAGATGGGGTTTCACCATGTTGGCCAGGCTGGTCTTGAACTCCTGGCCTCAAGTGATCCACCCACCTCAGCCTCCCAAATTGCTGGGATTACAGGGATGAGCCACCACGCCTGGCCGATGTTTTCAAAGTACAGCTGTGTTGTAGCACATAGCAGAACTTCATTCTTTTTATGGTTGAATATTATTCCGTTATGTGTATATACCACTTTTTATATATCATTTCATCAGCTGATGGAAATTTAGCCTGTTCTCATCTTTTGGCTATTGTGGGTAGTGCTGCTATGATCATTCATATACAAGATTTTGCTTGAGCACCTGTTTTCTCTTGGGTATATACCTAGGAGTGGAACTTCTGTGTCCTGTGGTAATTCTGTGTTTAATGTGTTGAGGAATGTCCAAACTTTTCTACAACTGCTACACCATTTTACATTCCTACCAGCAGTGCATGAGACCAGCAACGTATTAGTTTCTCTGCATCCTTACCAACATTTGTCTCTTTTCCTTTTTTTAAAAAATTATGATAGCCATTCTTGTGGTTGTCTGTCTCATTGTGGTTTTTATTTCTATTCCCTAAAAAAAATGATGAGATTGGCCATCTTTTCTTGTGCTTGTTGGCCATTTATACATCTTTTTTGAAGAAATGTTCATTCAAGTGCTTTTTCCATTTGGGGGGCATTGTTTGCCTTTTCGTTATTGAGTTGTAAGAGTTCTTTATATGTTCTGCATCCTAGACCTTTATCAAATATATCATTTTCAAAGATTTCCTCCCATTCAGTGGATTGCCTTTTTACTATCTTGAATGATAGTTTTGCAGGAGATAGAATTCTTGGTTGATATTTTTCTTTCAGTACTTGGAGTATGTCATCATCCCACTGGCTTGCGGCCTCCATGGTTTCTGGTGACAAATCAGCTGTTAATCTTGTACATGATGACTTATTTCTCCCTTGCCATTTTTCAGGATAGTCTGTCTTTGGCTTTTGACAGTTTAATGTTAAGGTATCTCAGTATGAGTTTTTAAGTGTATCCTATTGGGAGATCCTTGAGCTGCTTTGATGTGTAGACTTGTAATTTTCATCAAATTTGGGAAAGTTTGGCCATTATTTTTACATATATTCCTTTTTTTTTTTTTTTCCCGGAGTCTCACTCTGTCGCCCAGGCTGGAGTGCACTGGCACGATCTCAGCTCACTGCAACCTCTGCCTCCTGGGTTCAAGCAATTCTCCCTGCCTCAGCCTCCTCAGTAGCTAGGATTACAAACGCGCACCACCACAGCTAGCTAATTTTTGTATTTTTAGTAGAGACAGGGTTTCACCATGTTGGCTAGGCTGGTCTCGAACTCCTGACCTCAGGTGATCCTCCCACCTCGGCTTCCCAAAGTGCTGTAATTAGAGCGTGACCCATTGCACCTTGCCAATTTTTCCATATATTCCTTCTGCTCCTTTCTCTGTCTCCTCTCCAGTAGCAACTCCCATTATGTGTATTCAGATGTTTGATGGTATCTTCTGGGTTTCTTAGGCTCTGTTCATTTTTTTCCCTTTATTTTTAATTTCTGCTCTACAGATCAGGCAATCTTAATTGACCTGTCATCAAGTTCACTAATTGTGTCTTCTGCCTGATCAAGTCTTCTGATGAACCCCTCTAGTACATTTTTCATTTCAGATAATATATATTTTTCAATTTTAAAATTCCTATTTGGCTCCTTTTTATAATTTCCATCTCTTTATGATTTTCTCTATTTGGTGAGAATTCATTCTCATGGTTTCCATTAGTTCTTTGTACACAGTTTCCATTAACTCCTTGAGCATATTTGAAATAGTTGATTTGAAGTCGTTGCCTAATAAATCCAATGACTAGGTTTCCTTATGGAAAATTTCTGTTCATTTCTTTTTTCCTATAATGCAGTTTCATTCATTTTTTGTTTCTTTTTTTTTTTTTTTTTTTGAGATGGAGTCTCACTCTGTCACCCAGGCTGGAGTGCAGTGGTGCAATCTTGGCTAACTGCAAGCTCTGCCTCCCAGGTTCACGCCATTCTCCTGCCTCAGCCTCCCGAGTAGCTGGGACTACAGGCGCCCACCACCACGCCTCGCTAATTTTTTATATATTTAGTAGAGACAGGGTTCACCGTGTTAGCCAGGATGATCTCGATCTCCTGACCTTGTGATCCGCCCACCTTGGCCTCCCAAAGTGCTGGGATTACAGCCATGAGCCACCGCGCCCGGCCCATTTTTTTGTTTCTTTACATGCCTCATAATTTATTTGCTGAAAACTACTTTCAGAATATTACAATATGGCAGTTCTTTAAATCTGATTTCCCCCCTCCCCAAGGTTTGTTGTAGTTGGTATTGTTTCTTTGTTTAGTGACATTTCTGAACTAATTTTGTAACGTCTGTATTGGTCATGTGTGGCCACTGAAGTCTCTGTTCTGTTAGCTTAGTGTTCAGCTTGGGATTAATTTGTCAGAGATTTTTTTAAATACCTGGAACCCAAAAGATGACCAGTCTTTGCCAATGGATCTGAATTACATGTTGGAGCATGCCTTCAAAACTCAGCTAAAGCATCTTACAACTCTGACTTAGCCTTCAGTTCCTTCTTATGCAGAGCCTGAAGGTCAGTCAAAGGTGAGGGCTTGGTGCCTTCTCAGATCTTCTCTGAGCATGTGTTCATCCCTGGGTATGAGCATGGCCTTCTAGAAATGTGTGGAGGCCGGGCGCAGTGGCTCATGCCTGTAATCCCAGCACTTTGGGAGGCTGAGGTGGGCGGATCACCTGAGGTCAGGAGTTGGAGACCAGCCTGGCCAAGATGGTGAAACCACATCTTTACTAAAAATACAAAAAAATCAGCCAGGCGTGGTGGCAAATGCTTGTAATCCCAGCTACTTGGGAGGCTGAGGCAGGAGAATTGCTTGAACCCAGGAGGTGGAGGTTGCAGTGAGCCGAGATCACACCACTGCACTCTAGCCTGGGCGACAGAGCAAGACTCCATCTTGTGGGGGAAAAGAAGGTGTGGAAAGATGCTCTACTCCTCAGAGCATCTTGTTCCCAACTTCTCCTCCCAGGTTTTTTGGTTAGTCTTTTGTTTGCTTCACAGTTTTCCCTTGCCCCATTGAGCAGTGGCTGATTTGCCTTTAGATGTGTTGGGACACACTTCCCTCTCCACCCTCCAGCTTCCATAGGTGTAGCCTCTTCAGACCTGGGAGAGTTTGGAGTTACACAAATAAAGGGAAGCCCTTTGATCCAGCCCATCAGGGAGCCAGCAGACAGGTCAGAAGAGAACAGCCACAGGTTTTTGAGAATAAGGTGCATTCTGTTCCCTTCAGCACTAGAAACACAGGTTGTTGTCCTCAAGGCAAAATGGGGAATAGAGTGTGCAGCTAGAGTCAGTTAAAATGTCACAAATCTCTCTTACCCAGATTCAGCTGTTTGTCTTGATTAGGCATTCTCCTGTGGCTGTAAACTTTTGATGACATTCAAGAGCTCCAATGAAGTTGATTCTGTGTTTGCCCATTTACATACTGTTTTTGTGAAGGGATGGAGTTGTGGAGTTCCCTACTCCACTACCTTCACTGACATTACTTCGTTTAAGTCCTTCATAAGCACCTCTGTTCCTAGGTCTGTGCTGGGATGTGGGAGTAGTGAAGAATGCAACAGACATGCCCCCCACCCTCATGGAGCTGTCTGTCTAATGCTATCTGTATGAAATGAAGATCTCCTTCTTTCCCTGACTATATATTCTCTGTAGTTAAATCTTTTGGGCTTTCAGATTCTGTATTTAAACCTGGACAGGGGCTCCTGGGACCAGTTATCCTGCAACCACCCTAGATATTGCTTGTGGGGTGTGTGTGTGTGTGTGTGTGTGTGTGTGTGTGTGTGTGTGTGTGTGTGTGAGTGTTTAAGACGGTTGCTATATTTATTCAATTTTGGCATAATTATTTCTCTGCTCCTGAAGTCACACCTCTTCACCTTCAGAACTGATTTCAGTTTCATGGGAGAGCTTGTCTGCTGCACAGTCCCCCTACATCATGTGTCTTTTCTCCATGTACAGGGAACCAAGTTGATAAACCTAGGCTGATCTCCCAGCTGGAGCAAGAAGATAAAGTGATGACAGAAGAGAGAGGAATTCTCTCAGGTACCTGTCCAGGTGAGCACCAGGTGGATATAAGTCCTTGTGAGGAACAGCTCTGGCCAGGGACTGAGAAGTTGGGAGTATTATAATACATTAGGAAATATCAGTCAGAGAACTGTGTAAATGCCCCTTTTCCCAAGAAGGCCAAGAACGTTTGGTCTGAGCCCCCTCATGTACCTTCATGACTTCCAACTTTCTGTCATCTCATACTTTACTTGGGCCTCAGGGGAGAAAAAAAGACATCTCTTTTTCTGAAATTTAAGTCTCCTATGAGCTCTTTGATCAGTTTCAGTCCACCTTGCCTTCCTGACAATTCCTTCATTCTGTCAACATCAATCTCAATCTTCCTAGAGTCTTTCTTAAACATTGCCTAAAATTTTCACACCCATATCTCTTTCACCGAATGCCTTCTCAAAAACCCTCACCTCTCAGATTCTGCCTTCACTCACGTATGCATTTTACTATTTCACCATCAACTTAAAATTTGCCTCTTTTCTATCAACTTAAATTTCTTTTTAACTTGTTTCAGATGTGGAGAATCCATTTAAAGCCAAAGGGTTAACTCCTAAGCTGCATGTTTTTCGAAAAGAACAATCTAGAAATATGAAAATGGTAAGACTAACATGGGTGATTCCTGGTTTTTTTCATGGTAGAATGCCCTACATGAGAAAAGCCACAAGGACTGGCCTTGTTGGCCAGGCACAGTGGCTCATGCCTTTAATCCCAGCACCTTGGGAAGCTGAGGCAGTTGGATCATGAGGTCAGGTCAGGAGTTGGAGACCAGCCTGGCCAATACGGTGAAACCCCATCTCTACTAAAAATACAAAAAAAACTTAGCTGGGTGTGGTGATGCGCACCTGTAATCCCAAATACTTGGGAAGCTGAAACAGAAGAATCACTTGAACCCTGGAGGTGGAGCTTGCAGTGAGCCGAGATTGTGCCACTGCACTCCAGCCTGGCGACAGAGCAAGACTCTGTCTCAAAAAAAAAAAAAAAAAAAGTGGCTTTATTAAATAGTTATTAAAGGAAAGTGTCATTTTTTTCAAAGATAAAGTAGTACCTCTGGAGAGATACTGTGAAATTATTTTGAATTTGGAGAAAAGCATTAGTTAGCCCCAAACTTGTTTTTCCTGAGAATTCCCACAAGTAAATATTTCCAGTAGTCTGAGTCAGATATTGGATATTTGAAAAAGAAATTAGCCTTAAATTTATCAAAAATACTCTGTGAATATGATAAAGATTTGTAGAAAGAATCCATCTTCTTTAAATGCTAAGAATTCAAACTGACAGAAGCCATGTACCAGCACTCATGATGGCAAAAACATTAATTCCAATACTATGATACACAACAGAATTCCTGGGAGAGGAAATTCCTCTGACAGCATTCAATGTTAAAAATATTATAAATGGTACTTATTGTCATCTCTTAATCAATAGGAGAGGAATCATCTTGGAGCAACACTCAACGAATGTAATCAGTGTTTTAAAGTCTTCAGCACAAAATCTTCCCTTACACGGCACAGGAAGATTCATACTGGAGAAAGACCCTATGGCTGCAGTGAATGTGGGAAATCCTACAGCAGTAGATCTTACCTTGCTGTTCATAAGAGAATCCACAATGGGGAGAAACCCTATGAATGCAATGACTGTGGGAAAACCTTCAGCAGCAGATCTTACCTTACTGTTCATAAGAGAATCCACAATGGGGAGAAACCCTACGAATGCAGTGACTGTGGGAAAACCTTCAGCAATTCCTCATACCTCAGACCGCACTTGAGAATTCACACTGGAGAAAAACCGTACAAATGTAACCAGTGTTTTCGTGAGTTCCGCACTCAGTCAATCTTCACAAGGCACAAGAGAGTTCATACGGGGGAGGGTCATTATGTATGTAATCAGTGTGGAAAGGCTTTCGGCACGAGGTCATCTCTTTCTTCGCACTATAGCATTCATACAGGGGAGTACCCTTACGAATGCCACGATTGTGGGAGAACCTTCAGGAGGAGGTCGAATCTGACACAGCACATAAGAACTCATACTGGAGAAAAACCCTACACATGTAATGAGTGTGGGAAATCCTTTACCAATAGCTTTTCTCTTACAATTCACAGGAGAATACATAATGGAGAGAAATCCTATGAGTGCAGTGATTGTGGAAAATCCTTTAATGTTCTCTCATCCGTTAAGAAACACATGAGAACTCACACTGGAAAAAAACCCTATGAATGTAATTATTGCGGGAAATCCTTCACAAGTAACTCCTACCTTTCTGTGCATACGAGAATGCATAATAGGCAAATGTGAATTCAATAACTGTGGGAAAAGCATTCATTGATCTTTCATGCCTCAGATAACATGAGCAAACTCTAACAAGATGTATGAATCACCTGCTACTGTGTAACAAATTACCCCCCAAAATTTTGTGGCTTCAAACAAAAACACTTGTTATCTCAAAATTTTTGTAGGTCAGGAATTCAGAAACAACATAGCTCTATAGTTCTTCAGGATATCTCAAGAGGTTACAGTCCAGATGTCAGCAGAACTGTAATCATCCAGAATTGTTACTGGTGAAGGGACCACTTCCAAATGGCTTACAAGCCCGACAAGTGCATGCTAGCTGTTTCCAAGGGAGCTGCGCTTCCAAATCACGTAGGCCTCTCAACAGGGCTGAGTTTCTTTATGGAAGCAACTTCTCCCCAAAGCCAGTGATCTAAAGGAGCCAACACAGAAAGCATAATGTCTTTTATGACCTAGCTTCAGTGAGATATGTTTTCATGTCCCTGTTACATTGGTCATACACACCAATCCTGATACAATGTGGAAGAACACCACAGGAGGTATGAACAGTAGACATTTGGAACCATCTGGAAAACTTGCCATGAAATCAGTGGAGGAAAGCCTTCAGCTGACCCTCATTTTTTTTTTTTTAAGACAATGTCTCACTCTGTCACCCAGTCTGGAGCGCAGTGGTGTGATCACAGCTCACTGCAGCCTCTACTTCCTGGGATCAAGTAATTCTCCTGCCCCAGCCTCCAATGTAGCTGGGACTACAGGTGCATGACACCATGTCTGGCTAATTTGTTTTTTTTTAAACTAGAGGGAGGGTTTTGCCATGTTGCCCAGACTAGTCTCAAACTCCTAGGTTCAAGCAGTCCTTTCATCTTGGCCTCCAGAAGTACTGGGATTACAGGCATGAACCACCATGCCCAGCCAACTTCTAAACTGATCAATATGGGAGTAGCATTCAATCACCCACAGGTTAACTCACTCTAGAGAGAAATCTTGTGAGTGTAATCTGTATGGTAAAACTTTGAGCTCAAACTTTCCCCCTACCAAAAAAAAAGTATCTACTGGGGAGCTGCCCAGGTAATGCAGTAGCTGTAGGAAAGCCTTCAGTGATGGCTTCAGGGAGTCACATGACAACTCACAATAAGGGGAAACCCTGTGTGTGGCATCAAAAATGGAAAACCAGGGGACACTCATTCCTTAAGTCACATTTCGGAGATCATACAACAGAGGAATATGTTGAGTATACACAGTGTTGAAAAGCCTGTGACACAAACAGTCATATTACCAAGCACAAGACAGTATAGTTTGGTATGCTATAAAAGCCTTGAATATTCTCTCCATTTTTAAGAAGTGAGATTCATACTAGAAAAACCATTGAATTCCATCAGTATTAGAATGTCATTTTTCCACATTTTTAGGAACCTAACTCAGTGTAAGATAACAATTTATACAATTTATTTTTTGAGACAGGGTTTCATCTGTGCCCAGGCTGTAGTGCAGTGGTGCAATCTTGGCTTATTGTAACCTCTGCCTCCCAGGCTTAAGGGATCCTCCCACCTCAGCCTCCCAAGTAGCTGGGACTGTAGGCATGCACCACCATGCCTGTCTAGTTTTTGTAAAGATGGGGATTCACCATGTTTCCCAGGCTGCTCTCAAACTCCTGGGCTCAAGTGATCCACCTGCCTCAGCCTCCCAAAATGCTGGGAATACAGGAACGAGCTACCACTCTCAGCCAGAACTTCTTAAGATAAAGGATGAGGGAATGTTTTCAGTGATACCTCTTATATTAGGAAAAATATGTAAATGTTCCTTGGATGCAATACTCACGAGTGTATTAATTTCAGAAAAATTTTCAGTGATTCCTCCCTTTATGCATGAGAGAATTCATTTAGAGGAAGCCCTAGGAACGTAATCAATGTTAGGATGCCTCATCTCTTAACTGAGTGGCCACGCAGTAACTTAGAACAAAAGGTGTAAGTGCTATGAATGTGGAATTACCTTCATCAATGTCTCATTTGTAGGTTGGGCCACTAGCTCGTTCATTTTCAGTCTTTTAATATAAACATTTATGGCTATAGTGGTCCTGAAAATCTTACTACCTCGTTTTATATACAGTGTATTTATTATAATTCTAAAACATCAATACACCAAATATTCAGAAAGGTATTTCCAAACAGCTCCTGAGTGATCTAGTTTGTTATAATAGAAATTAGACATTTGCCAGGTGTGGTGGCTCACACCTATAAACCTAGCATTTTGGGAGGCTGAGGCGGGCAGATCACCGGAGGTAAGGAGCTTGAGACCAGCCTGGCCAACATGGTGAAACCCCGCTTCTACTAAAAAATACAAAAATTAGCCGGGTGTGGTGGCAGGCATCTATAATCCCAGCTACTCAAGAGGCTGAGGAAGGAGAATCACTTGAACCCGGGAAATGGAGGTTGCAGTGAGCCAAGATCATGCCACTTCACTCCAGCCTGGGCAAAAGAGTGCAACTCTGTCTCAAAAAAAAAAAAATCAGACAATATTTGATATATTTTTTTCTAATTTAATAGTATTTTGCCAGAGTACATGGACTTTGTGATTTTGGTTGTTTTCTCTTTGTGTCCTAATATAGCAAATACTGTTTCTTTTTTTTTTTTTTTTTTTTTTTGAGACGGAGTCTTGCTCTGTTGTCCAGGCTAGAATGCAGTGGCGCGATTGTGGCTCACTGCAAGCTCTGCCTCCCAGATTCACGCCATCCTCCTGCCTCAGCCTCCCGAGTAGCTGGGACTACAGGTGCCCATCACCATGCCCGGCTAATTTTTCATATTTTTAGTAGAAATGGGGTTTCACTGTGTTAGCCAGTATGGTCTCAATCTCCTGACCTCGTGATCCACCTGCCTCGGCCTCCCAAAGCACTGGGATTACAGGCGTGAGCCACCATGCCCGGCACAAATACTGTTTCTTAATGTTCATTCTCCCTACTTAAAGAAAAAGATAAGTTGTCAATGAGCAGTATTGAAAATGTACAGTGGGGCCAGGCGCCATGGCTCATGCCTGTAATCCCAGCACTTTGGGAGGCCGAGGCAGGCGGACCACCTGAGGTCAGGAGTTCAAGACTAGCTTGGCCAACGTGGTGAAACCTCGTCTCTACTAAAAAAAATACAAAAATTAGCTGGGCGTGATGACAGGTGCCTGTAATCCCAGCTACTTGGGAGGCTGAGGCAGGAGAATCGCTTGAGCCTGGGAAGCGGAGGTTGCAGTGAGCCGAGATTGCACAACCACACTCCAGCTTGGGCGACAGAGTGAGACTCCATCTCAAAAAAAGATGTACAGTGTACTAGGCTTTCCTGAAGCTTAGACAGGCTTTATCCCACTCTGCTGGCTAAAAGAAGTAGGAATAACGCACTGGGTGAGACACCGTCTGGCTTATTCTCATCTATTTTCTTTTCATTCTTTTGGAAAGTGGACACAAAGCATAGAGTTAAAAGAGCTTTTTTTTTTTTTTTTTTTTTTTTCTTCACTGTGGTGATAAAAACCACAGTGCAGGGGCTGGGCGTGGTGGCTCACGCCTGTAATCCCACCACTTTGGGAGGCCAAGGCAGGCGGATCACCTGAGGTGGGGAGTTCGAGACCAGCCTGATCAACATGGAGAAAACCTGTCTCTCCTAAAAATACAAAATTAACCGAGCATGTTGGCGCATGCCTGTAATCTCAGCTACTTGGAAGGCTGAGGCAGGAGAATTGCTTCAAACTGGGCAGAGGTTGCAGTGAGCCAAGGTTGACCCACTGCACTCCAGCCTGGGCAACAAGAGCAAAACTCCATCTCAAAAAAAAAAAAAAAGAAAGAAACAGTGCCGAAAAATCACAATGATTTGAGTTCTTCAAAAACCTTTGATTGGCTGCATTGGCTCTGTTCTGCATATTACTAGACTTCTTACATGATCACAAGTAACCACTAATTGGTTAAAACCAAAGAGAGAGAGAGAGAGAGTGTGTGTGTGTGTGTGTGTGTTTGGTTGGGGGGTGTTGTGTTAGCTTCCAGGTGAATGCATTATCTGTTAATCCTGTTTATTGATCTGTTTTTATAAGTGCTCCATGATTCTCTGAAAACAGTATACTATGTATCTAATTTTTGGATACAGGATGGACATACGTACTCAAACTGTGTTTTTCAATTTGTACTGTATTTGTTTCTCTCGACCTGACTTAGTGATAGAGGTATATTAAAGTCTTCCACTAGCATGGTAGATTAACAAATTCTTTCTGTAATTCTGTCATTTTTACTTTATATATGTTTATGTGTAATGTAACTAGGTGCGTAGAGGTTTAGATATTCTCCTGTGAATTTATTTATTTTCAGTAGGGGCCATACCTTTTCATACCAAATAATTGTAATATGAAAATATATTAACAAAAAGAGATCAAACATTTCGCTAGCCCATCCTATAGACCAGGCGCTCTTCAAAGTGCCTTATAAATATTAACTGCGTCCTCACTATAAGCTTGCAAACTGTGCTATTACTGTCTCCAACTTACAGATGGGAAAACTGGCATGGAAATGTCTAGGTTGCTTGCCTGAGTTCACCAGCTAGTAAGTGGTAGAGCACAGATTGGAATCCAGACAGGTGATTCTCATAACCACTAGCCTGTTCATTGAGTACATTCCATGTGGCTAAGCACTGTTTGAGATGCCATGTCTAGAGCAGTGAATGAAACTCAAGTTTTGCCATTGAGGCACTTACATCCTAACGGGGAGGGGTGAATTATAGAAAAATCAACAACATGGCCGGGCGCTGTGACTCACGCCTGTAATTCCAATACTTTGGGAGGCTGGGGCAGATCATGAGGTCAGGAGTTTGAGACCGGCCTGACCAACATGGTGAAACGCCATCTCTACTAAAAATACAAAAAAATTAGCTGGGTGTGGTGGTGCGCTCAGCTAATCAGGAGGCTGAGGCAGGAGAATCGCTTCATCCTGGGAGGTGGAGGTTGCAATGAGCCGAGATCGCGCCACTGCACTCCAGCCTGGGCAACAGAGCAAGACTCCATCGAAAAAGAAAAATCAACAATATTCATGTTGTGCAGAAAAATAAAGCATTGTGAGAGAGTTACGGAGGGCTGGGGACTTTCCATTTTATGTAGCATAGGAAGGAAAAGGCCCCCAGTTAAGGTGCATTTGAGGAGAGACTATTGAGTAGGAACTTGTGGCAAGAGGACTGTTGGCATGCAAAGACCCACAGCACAGAGGCCAGTATGACTCAGGTAAAATAGGGATTCAGGGATTAGAGGGTAATCGGAGATGCAGATCCTGATCTTGTGGGGTTTTATAGGTCATTGTTAGGGCTTTTCCTTACATGTTCAGGAAGTTGGAATATCAAGAGTCCCAGCAGGAAACAGTTGACACACACGTCAACTGGGATGATTCAAGCGCAGTTTATATCAAGGGGCTCCTCACAGAATTGTGAACAGGATGTAGGGAAACCACAAAAGGTACTTGAAATGGAACATCGGTCTTCTCCCCACCTCAGATACGGGTGCTTCTGGTTCTCCAGCCTTCAGACTCAGACTCGCAACTTACACCATTGGCCCTCCTGGTTCTCAAGCCTTTGGACTTCACACTGGGGTTTACACTGTTGGCTCCCCTGTTTTCAGGTCTTTGAGCTTGGACTGGAGCAAGACTACCAGCTTTCTTGGTTCTCCAGCTTCCAAACAAATGGCAGATCGTAGGACACCCATAAGCCTGAAGGGACAAAGGAAGAGAACTGCAAGTTGTTGTTCAAGCGAGGAGAGGGCTGCATTCCAGGAGCTGACAGGAGGTCAGTGAGGGGCAACATCCAGCCTCGAGTTCTGCAAGAAATAGTAAGGGTCGGCCAGGCACAGTGGCTCACACCTATAATTCTGGCACTTTGGGAGGCCGAGGTGGGTGGATCACTTGAGATCAGGAGTTCAAGACCAGCCTGGCCAACATGATGAAACCCATTCTCTACTGAAAATACAAAAACTAGCCGGGTGTGGTGGCATGCGCCTGTAGTCCCAGCTATTCAGGAGGCTGAGGCAGGAGAATTGCTTGAACCCGGTAGGTGGAGGTTGCAATGAGCCAAGATCATGCCATTGCACTCCAGCCTGGGTGACAGAGTGAAACTCCATCCCCACCCCCCCACCACCACCAAAAAAGAGAAAGAAATAGCCAGGGCCAGCCCTCCTTGTCCTTCATTCTTCTTATATCATATTTGGGTTCCCCATTTGCCAAACTCAACCAAAAGCCAATAAGGTAAGGGAGTTCGTTGATAGCATTCATAGTAACTAATCATCCCAAGTACAGCAGGGTAGAGGAGGTGAATCTGCTGGGGCGAATGGAAGATACCCAGTATTGGTCACTCCTTTTGCTTCTCAGAATCTACTCATGCCCATCACCTGGATGGAAAGTTCATATCCAAGCCCAGGAATTCTATCAGTTGCTCAGCTACCCTGGGGTGGTGTCCATGCACTGATACTCCCCGATGAAGCCTAACATAGTTGCCAACACCAGTGTTTCCTGTATAGGATGAGGAACAGAGCCATTGGGGAGGAAAGCAAAAGAAATAATTAACCTGGCCAGGCGCAGTGGCTTACCCCTGTAATCCCAGCACTTTGGGAGGCCGAGGTCGGTGGATCACGAGGTCAGGAGTTTGAGACCAGCCTGGCCAACATGGTGAAACCCCGTCTCTACTAAAAATACAAAATTAGCCAGGCACAGTGGTGGGCGCCTGTAATCCCAGCTACTCAGGAGGCTGAGGCAGGAGAATCTCTTGAACCCGGGAGGCGGAGATTGCAGTGAGCCGAGATCATGCCACTGCACTCTAGCCTGGGTGACAGAGTAAGACTTCATCTAAAAAAAAAGAAAAAAGAGAAGTAACCTAAAGGACTTGGTTCCCAGAGGGAAACACTTCCACCAAGAGACACAGTAAGAGTCTCATCGGATGTTAAACTGTGACTTCTATGAGACCAGCACACAAGGAAAGAAGTCACCATACTGACTTAGGTAATTAATGCTATCATCCATAGAATCTGAGGCTGCTGTTACATGATGAGTGCAGGGAGGAAAACATTTGGCATTCACGGAATCCATTGGGATGTCTCTTACTATTCTTTCCCCAATTTTAAAGATAAAAAAATTTTGGCCAGGCGTGGTGGGTCACGCTTGTAATCCCAGCACTTTGGGAGGCCGAGGTGGGCACATCACAAGGTCAGGAGATCGAGACCAGCCTGGCTAACATGGTGAAACCCTGTCTCTACAAAAAATACAAAAAAATTAACTGGGCGCGTTGGCAGGCGCCTGTAGTCCCAGCTACTTGGGAGGCTGACGCAGGAGAATGGCGTGAACCCAGGAGGCGGAGCTTGCAGTGAGCCGAGATCGCGCCACTGCACTCCAGCCTGGGCAACAGAGCGAGACTCTGTCTCCAAAAAAGAAAAAGATAAAAAAATTTCACCAGCTATGTCCTGAGAAGGGCATGGTGAAGACCCCGTAGGCATAAGGATCTGGAGCAGCTCTCCAGGTAAGCCACCTAGACCAGCAGGATCTAGGTGAGAAGGAAATCTAGAATTTTCACCCTAGTCAAGGGTAAAGGGAATCTGGAAGGTGCAAGTAAAGGAGTGTGATAAGCATCAATTGCATCTCTGAGACTTGTTCAGGTGGAAAGGGCTGTCTACAGTTTGTCCCACTGATCTTCCTCTTGTCAGTTTCTCCAGGCAACGGGACCAACCTGGATCCTGAGGGCACTTACTTTAAGAATCCTGGGGCCGGGCACAGTGGCTCACGCCTGTAATCCCAACACTTTGGGAGGCAGAGGCGGGCAGATCACTTGAGGTTAGGAGTTCGAGACCAGCTTAGCCAACATGGTGAAACCTCATTTCTACTAAAAATACAAAAAATAGCTGAGTATGGTGGCACATGCCTATAGTCCCAGCTACTCCAGAGGCTGAGGCAGGAGAATCACTTGAACTCAGGAGGCAGAGGTTGCAGTGAGCCAAGATGGTACCACTGCACTCCAGCCTGGGCAACAGAGGGAGACTCTGTCTCAAAAACAAAACAAACAAAATGAATGCAGGGCATCTGAGTGGCACACATGGTGGACCACAGTAGGTACAGTGGTGGCACTACCCAGCAAAAGAGCTCTTCACCCAATGTGCTAGAAGCCAATACTATGACATCAGATTTTTGAGAAAAGGAAAGGTTTGTATTGCAAGTTAACAAGGAGACAGGAGTCCAGCTCAAATTTGTCTTATGCTGACTTTAAGGCAATAATTTTCTTAGAAAAGGTGTAGGGCGTGGATTCTGGGATTAGCAGGCGATTGGTGGGAGGAAAGGTCTGTTAAGTCCTCAGGCAGGTGCAATGATCTCTTCATGCCTCCCCATGGGTTCCATGTGCAAAGTCATACTAACTCAAGGGAGTTTGTATGAAACACGTGGAAATTTGCACTGTGACATCAGCAAGCTCATTCTGCACAAACTCCATTTGGCCATGTGGGTTCTCACAGATTTTAGGCAGTTTTGTTACAAGTGGAGGCAGTTTCAGCGTTTTAGCAAGTTATTTCTTTTTTTACCTGCCATCCTGCAAACTCAATGAGAGGTGAAGCCAGCTGGACTTCCTGGGTCGAGTGGGGACTTGGAGAACTTTCCTGTTTTACAAGAGGATTGTAAAACACACCAATCAGCACTCTGTAGCTAGGATTGTAAACCGCACCAGTGAGCGCTCTGTAGCTAGCAAGAAGATTGTAAAATGCACCAATCAACAGTCTGTAAAACACACCAATCAGCAAGATCCTGAAAGCAGCCAATTGCAGGGAGGATTGAAAAAAGGGCACTCTGATAGGACAGAAACAGAACATGGGAGGGGTCAATAAGGGAATAAACGCTGGCCACTCCAGCCAGCAGCGGCAACCAGCTCGGGTCCCCTTCCAAGCTGTGGAAGCTTTGTTCTTTTGCTCTTCACAGTAATCCTTGCTACCGCTCACTCTTTGGGTCTGTGCCATCTTTAAGAGTGAAGGTCTGTGGCTTCTTTCTTGAAGTCAGCGAGACCACGAACCCACCAGAAGGAACCAGCTTCCAACACATCAAGAATTTCTGCTAGTCTTTGCTTTAACACTTTAGGCATGGTTTCAGTGGCATATTTCCCAGATTCTTCCTTTAAGACTAAGGCACTAAGGCCAGGCGTGGTGACTCACGCCTGTAATCCCAACACTTTGGGAGGCTGAGGCAGGTGGATCACGAGGTCAAGAGATCAAGACCATCCTGGCCAACATGGTGCAACCCCGTCTCTACTAAAACTACAAAAATTAGCTGGGCGTACCTGTAATCCCAGCACTTTGGGAGGCCAAGGCCGGCGGATCACGAGGTCAGGAGATAGAGACCATCCTGGCTAACACGGTGAAACCCCATCTCTACTAAAAATACAAAAAATTAGCCAGGCATGGTGGCGGGCACCTGTAGTCCCAGCTACTCGAGAGGCTGAGGCAGGAGAGTGGCGTGAACCTGGAAGGCGGAGCTTGCAGTGAGCCGAGATGGCGCCACTGCACTCCAGCCTGGGCGACAAAGACTCCATCTCAAAAAAAAAAAAAAAAATTAGCTGGGCGTGGTGGCGTGTGCCTGTAGTCCCAGCTACTCAGGAGGCTGAGGCTGGAGAATCGCTTGAACCTGGGAGGCGGAGGTTGCAGTGAGCCAAGATCTTGCCACTGCACGCCAGCCTGGTGACAAAGCAAGACTCCATCTAGAAAAAAGAAAAGACTAAGGCACTCCCCTAGCTGCTGGAGGTGTTGCCTGATGATGGTGATGCTGCTGTCCTCTCTGGGAACTCCCCAAGGCCCAGAGGAAAGTGCCCAACCCAAGATTATGCTCTCTCTCCAGGGGTTGCCTACTTCCAGTGACTGGTTGATGTAGGGGGTACAAAGGTCCAGTGCCTTTGTTTCAATGTAGGACACCCCTGAAGGGCAACCCCAGCACCAGAACTCCCTGTGGGATCGACGGCAGCCTCAGTTGACAAGTTACATGTCAGCCTCATCTGTCCCCTCCGCTTCTCGCATGCCTTTAAAGATGTTGTTCCCAGGAGTTTTATCCAATAAACAAAAAATTGCCAGCACAAAATCTGTTCCCAGAAAACCTGATCCGAGATAAGATCACTCTATCAGGGTAAAGAATCCATTCAGGGCCGGTCTCAGGAGATCGAGACCATCCTGGCTAACACAGTGAAACCCTGTCTGTACTAAAAATACAAAAAATTAGCCGGGCGTGGTGGCGGGCGCCTGTAGTCCCAGCTACTCAGGAGGCTGAGGCAGGAGAATGGCGTGAACCCGGGAGGCAGAGCTTTCAGTGAGCCGAGATCGCGCCGCTGCACTCCAGCCTGGGCGACAGAGTGAGACTCCATCCCAAAAAAAAATAAAAATAAAAATCCATTCAGATAAGGGACTGGCAGAGAGAAAGCAGAATGTGGAATGGATGTGGAAGAATTAAATTCAGTCCTGAAGACCAGGTCCCAAAGCAGGAATAGAAGACAGCTATGCTTTGGGTTTGGGTTTTTTAAAAAATCTTTAATTTTTTCCGCTTTTTCCCTGGTTCCCCACCACCACCATCACCATTTTATATGAAGAGTCCTGGTTGTGGCCAAAGCTTAAGGTTTCTGATGGGAATACGACCAAATGACATTATCCCAACAGTAGCTTCCTTTGTATCTCTTTTTTTTTTTTTTTTTTTTTGAGATGGAGTCTCACTCTGTCACACAGGCTGGAGTGCAATGGTGCCATCTCTGCTCACTACAACCTCCGCCTCCTGGATTCAAGCGACTCTCCTGCTTCAGCCTCCCGAGTAGCTGGGACTACAGGCACACGCCAGCACACCCGGCTAATTTTTGTATTTTTAGTAGAGATGGGGTTTCACTATGTTGGCCAGGCTGGTCTTGAATTCTTGACCTTGTGATCCGCCCACCTCGGCCTCCCAAAGTGCTAGGATTACAGGCGGGAGCCACCGCGCCCGGCCCCCTTTGTATCTTATGTAGGGACATGAACTTAGCGCCAAGTGAAGGACAAGAATTGATATCCAAAATCCAATAGATTTTTCTTTTAAATACCTGAAAGTGAAACTGGCCCAATTTTCCCATATTGCTGATGTTTATGGTTTCCTTGAATAAACAAACAAATTGATCTTCCCAATCTTAAAACTTAAGAAAGTTACATTTATCTTATCTGAGTTCCTTTCTCAGGAAACCAACCATCAGGCCTCCCAGATAGTATCTAGGAGCTGAAACGCACCAGAATACTGCATTTGTACAGTGAGACATCAGACCCATCACCCATCATGATTGCCTAACTGACCACCTGCTTCCTGTTGACCAACTCCTCTTCCTTACCCTTCCCTAATTCCTGTATTCCCACACATGGTAACATTTCTTCCCTGCTATATAAACCTCAAATTTTAGTTGGTCAGGGAGATGGATTTGAGATTGTTCTCCCACCTCCTCAGCTGCAGCAGCTGATTAAAGCCTTCTTCCTTGGCAATACTCATTGTCTCAGCGATAGGCTTTCTGTGCAGTGGTGAGCAGCAGGACCTAGATTGAACCCCTGGTGTTTCAGCAACAACATAGTTCATCACCAGCAGAACTGCACTTCAAGAAACACTAAAGAAAGTTTTGGGCCAGACACGGTGGCTCACACCTGTAATCCCAGCATTTTGGGAGGCTGAGGCAGGTGGATCACCTGAGGTCAGGAGTTCGAGACAAGGCTGGCCAACATGGCAAAACCCCATCTCTGCTAAAACTACAAAAAAAAAAAAAAATTAGCTGGGCGTAGTGGCGGTCGCCTATAATCCCAGCTACTTGGGAGGCTGAGGCAGGAGAATTGCTTGAACCCAGGAGGTGGAGGTTGCAGTGAGCTGAGATCGCACCGTTGCTTTCCAGCCTGGGCGATGGAGCGAGACTCTGTCTCAAAAAAAAAAAAGAAGGAAGGAGGGAGGGAGGGAAGGAAGGAAGGAAGGAAGGAGAAGGAAAGAAAGAAGGAAAGTTTTGGGGCTGGAGGAAAATTATTCCATGTGGAAGCAATTCCAGAAATATATAAGGATAATCAGGAAAGATAAAATGTGAGCAAATACAAATAAATATTGACTGTATAAATCAAGCCTGTATAGTTTTAACACTTTTATACGTCTAAATCTTTTTTTTTTTTTCAGACGGAGTCTCACTCTGTTGCCCACACTCACCTCACTGCAACTTCCGCCTCCTGGGTTCAAGCAATTCTCTTGCCTCAGCCTCCAAGTAGCTGCAACTACAGGTGTGCACCACCACGCCCAGCTAATTTTTGTATTTTTAGTAGAGATGGGGTTTCGCCATGGTGACCAGGCTGGTCTCAAACTCCTGACCTCAAGTGATCCATCTGCCTTGGCCTCCCAAAAGTGTTAGGATTATAGGCGTGAGCCAACGTGCCCAGCCCTAATTTTTTTTTTTTTTCAAATAAAAAGAGTTTTAAATCACATTGAACTGGTCCCTTAAAACTAGAGATAATAGAAAGCATGGCAAGCCATTTCCCAGTCCCCCTAAGACTAGAGATTATGGAAGCCCCAGCAAGTGATTCTCACAATCTGCATACAGCAGTAGAGCTGACAGAAGCCCTAGCAGGTAACCACCAGTCACCCTCAAAACAAGAGGCAACAGGATGCCAGATCTCCACCCCTCAATCACTTACAAACACAAAAGATGGAGTCCAAACATGAAGACCTCCGTCATCGCGAAACTACTCCAGCAAGCACCCCTCAGTCACGTCCAAAACTATAACAGAAGTCCCTGAAATGACCCCTTCAGATGCCCCTCAACACTAAAGAATGGGGACTCCAAGCCCAATGGCCTACCCAGTCTATACCAACAGTACAGGCAAGCGGAGACCCAGAATATGACCCTCCCCAACTAGAGATAAGTGGAACCCCATCCAATAATCCCTCCATCCTCTCCCCAAACAATACACAGTAAGGCCTCTATCTGATAAATGCTCTTGACCCTTCAACACTAGAAAAAAATGGAAGCCCCAGGCACTGGCCCTCCAGTTACCTCCAACATCAGAGACAATGAAAGCTTCGCCAAGTGATTCCCCGTATCGCTCCTACATTAATGATGGAAACTCCAAAAACCAATCAACCCTCAATCCTCTACACACTCAAGAAAGGAACTCCAGGCTGGGTATGGTGGCTCACGCCTGTAATCCCAGCACTTTGGGAGGCCAAGGCGGGTGGATCACGAGATCAGGAGTTCGAGACCAGCCTGACCAATATGGTGAAACCGTCTCTACTAAAAATACAAAAATTAGCCGGGCGTGGTGACACGTGCCTGTAGTCCTAGCTACTCAGGAGACTGAGGCAGGAGAATCTCTTGAACCCGGGAGGCAGAGTTTGCAGTGAGCCAAGATCACACCACTGCGCTCAAGCCTGGGAGACAGAGCAAGATTCTGTCTCAAAAAAAAAAAAAAAAAAAAAAAGAACTCCAGCAAATGCCACCATTCTTACCCACTACCGCTGCAACATGCATCCCTTGTCTTCCCAAGACTATAAATAAGTATCCCCAGCAATGACACCCAAAACAAGCAATGGTCAGAATCTCAACAGGCAGCCCCCCAGATTCTACAACATAAGTGACAAACTCATACCCCAGAAAACTATCTCTCTTCCCATTATCCCAAAGTAAGAGTTAATAGAAGCATCAGCAAGCAACACCCTTAACATAAACGAGGAGGGGAGCCCAGAATGCAAATCCCGTCTCCCCCAACATGAGTTGACTGCCCCTGCGGTGACCCCTCCTTTATCCCAAACACAAGGAATAATCTTAGCCCCAGCAGGCAACTCCTGCAGCCTCCCCTTGCAATATGAGTATCTCTACCCTCACAATATAGATTGATAGAGCCCTATCAAGCCAAGTGTCCCCTGCTAGGGGAATGTTGGGTACTCCAGTCTCAGAACATGGAAGACGATGGTAGTCCTGACAAGCTGGCAAATACTCTAAGCTCCCATAATACAGGAGGTGATACAGCCCAGCAAGCAAACCTTCCAACATTTCCTGCACCCAGCAGACCCTTATCAGCTGCATTCCCAGTTGACTCTCAGAGCATCTCCTGCTCGCTCACTAGAAGCAAAGAAAGACTAGAGTTGGGGGTAAGGCTGAGAGGAAGAGAGAGGGGAGAAGGGTAAAAGAAAGAGAAGAGGGGGAAAGGAGACCTTCCAAGTTGTTCTAAACCCGGCCATGAATTCCAGATGCCTCAAACAGCTACAATCAGATCAGGCACTCCAGCACAAAAAAAGAGATTCCGGGCTGATGAAAAGAGGTGGTCTGAAGGAAAGGTGGGTGTGTTGACTAGCCTTCAGAATGCTCACCAAAGACCCTTGCCACCTGATATTCCTGTCCTGTGTACCCCACCTCCAATATTGAATCATACACGACCCATATGATCAATACAGCACTGTTGCATGTGACATCTGAGGCTAGGTCATAAGACACACTGAAGCTTCCTCCTTGGTCTCTTCTATTGCTCTTTCTCTAGGAGAAGCCATCCGCCATGCCATGAGGAGACTCAAGCAGCCCCGTAACCAGTAACCAACTCACCAGCACCACATTGCTAGCCAGGGGATGAGCCACCTTAGATCTTCCAGCCCCAAATTTTGAACTCTAATTAATGATATGTAAGCTATCTGCAACCTACTTCAAAATGCATTTAAAAAGATGAATTGATGGATGATACAGAGATGTATATGACAAAGTATAGTAAAATGTTACTGATGAATGTTCCTGTACATTTTTTCAAAAATTATTTCCATGCTTGAACATTGCTCATAATAATTTGTTAGTATTCAAGAACTCCTACGAAGCAGTAAGAGAAAGACCAAGAGTTAATTAGAGAAAGGAGCAAATGCTAACAACAGTTCACAGAAATACAAGTGGCTCTCCTAAGAAAAATGGGAAGTAATACATTGAGATTCCCTTTTTCATTGATCAGGAATTTTTTTCTTTTAAAAAGATAACAGATTGACCAGGATGTGGAGACACTGGCACCTCCATATCATAATGACGGGAACTCAATTAGTGCAACTCCCCCGGACTAAGACAAGGACCCAACCAGACCCAGAGCCACGCCGAGCCCAGGGTGCCATGGGGAGACGCGGAAAGAGCCGAACTGAAGCGGCGAAATCGGAGAAAACTGAAGCCGGGCGGAGAAAGCCGAACTGAACGAACTGAGCCGAGGAGCGGCGGAGAAGCCAAGGCTGGGCGAGGGGAGCCAAAGACGGGTGGTGGGAGCCGAGGTCGGCCGAGAGGAACCGGAAAAGCCAAGGCCAATGGGAGGAGCCGAGGCCAGGCGGGAGGAGCCGAGCAGGGCCGAAAAGCAGCGGGAAGGGCGGCGGAGAAGCCGAGCCATGGCCAGGACGGAGGGAGGGGAAGTTTCAGGTCGGAGACAGAGAGGGACAGGCAGCGCCATGGTAGGACGCCAGGCGAGGACGGATGGGGAAGCCGAAGCTGGGCGGAAAGAGCCGAAGCCAGGCGCGAAGGAAGCCGAAGCTGGGCGGGGGAAGCCGAGGCTCGGCGGAAGAGCCGAGGCCGGGCGGGAGGATCCGAGCTGGACCGAAAAGCGGTGGCACTGGCGCCAAGCGCGGGAGGTCGCGGGGCAGAGAGGGCGAAGGGAGGGTAGCACCTGGGGTGAGGGCGGGCGGGAGAGTCGAGCTGGGCAGAAAGAGCGGAAGCCGAGAGCAAGTGCGGGGTTGAGGGCGGGCGAACCGAGGCAGGGCCCTGGAAGCCGAGGTCCAGCGGGTGGCGGAGAGGGTAACCGAGGCTGCGTGGGAGGAGCCGAGGTCGGGTGGGAGAAGTCGAAGCCCCGGTCGAAGGAGCTGATGCCAAGTGGGAGGAGCCAGTGCCGGGTGGGAGGAGCTAAGCGGGCGAAAAGCGCTGAGGTTGAGCCGGGACCCATCTTCTTGGGAGCAGGGGAAGGGAGGTCAGGGGACTGCAGTGGGGAAGGGGCCGTGGATGGTTGAGCCCGAAGCTGTCAACATGGCCAGAGTCATCTGCAGGGCCTCAAACTGCCTCTGCAAAAATTAATAACAGTGAGAAAATTATGACAGTGAAAGACACCTGACCCACTCCATCTCGCCTTTAACCTCCAAACTCTCCTCGGTCATTCCTAGGTGTGGGCCAAGCTAACCTTGGGAGAAATTTAGTTACAGTTTAAATAACAATAGCCTTTCCTAAAACTAAACCGCCTTATAAAAATAAGAGATCACCAAGTTATGATTAGAGCAGGGCCTGAATTCTGCTCAGATGTAGACTTCGTTAAGGATTACCAGCCCTTGCTCAGGTGATCACAAGATTTGTAACCCTTCCAATTACTCCTGTAAATAACATCACTATTGTAGAAGCTAAGATTGGCCTTTTGAGATGTCATTTAAGACTTTTGGGCCAGGCACAGTGGTTCATGCCTGTAATCCCACCACTTTGGGAGGCCGAGGCGGGTGGATCACCTGAGGTCAGGAGTTTGAGACTAGCCTGGCCAACATGGTGAAACCCCATCTCTACTAAAAATACAAAATTAGCCAGGCATGGTGATGCATGCCTGTAATCCCAGCTACTCAGGAGGCTGAGGCACGAGAATCGCTTAAACCTGGGAGGCGGAGGTTGCAGTGAGCCAAGACTGCGCCACTGCACTTCAGCCTGGGCAACAGAGCAAGAGACTGTTGGGGACCAGCCTCAACACCACCCGTAGGGTACTCTAAGTCCGGTGGCGTCAAAGGATTGAGAAGAGACAAGTTAAAGGTGGGGAGCCAGGGGGGCCAGATGCGAGGTAGGAGGCGGCAAAAGGCTCAGAGCTCTGGTCTCCACACTATTGAGTACAATCACTTAGATCTGAGAAGCAGATGTTCAGGGCAAAACAGTGAAAGGGAGGCAGTGCGTCATACGCGTAATCTATAGCAATAGTGGTTTAAATGATTCTCCGTTGTGCTCAAACAACATATCTTTAACTTATCGGAGAGTAGCTAGTGGGAGCAGGCTTTACTAGGAGCCTGCACGTCTGTCCACATTCCAGTGTTTCAAAGGAGTGTCTTTCTCCTTGAACACAGTGTTTACAGATAAGAGAGCAGGTCTCGCTCTGAGCATGTGAACATGATGGCAATTAGGAGGCTTTCCTCCTCAGAAGCCTTTTGTGGCTTTCCACAACTTATTGTCCCATATTTTTATGGCCAGTTTATACAGGCACCCCACAAGCCCTTTTCCCAACAGAGACTCTGTCTAAATAAATAAATAAATAAATAAATAAATAAATAAATAAATAAAGACTTTTGCATTTCTGACGACCGGATGATTCCTGTGGCCCCCACCCAGAAACAAACTCAGCACACAAGGACTGTTTATTTCCACGCATCCTGGACCAATTAACAGCACCTGTTCCCTGCCTCCCTGCCCACGAAACTATCTTTAAAAAACCCTAGCCTCCAAATTTTCAGGTTCCCCATTTAGCCGGCCGTGCATTTTGTTTGTTTGTTTGTATTTTCTGAGACGGAGTCTCGCTCTGTCGCCCAGGCTGGAGTGCAGTGGTGCAATCTCGGCTCACTGCCAGCTCCGCCTCCCGGCTTCATGACATTCTCCTGCCTCAGCCTCCCGAGTAGCTGGGATTACAGGCGCCCACCACCAAGCCCGGCTAATTTTTTGTATTTTTAGTAGAGACAGGGTTTCGCCGTGTTAGCCAGGATGGTCTCGATCTCCTGACCTCATGATCCGCCCGCCTCGGCCTCCCAAAGTTCTGGGATTACAGGCGTGAGCCACTGTGCCCGGCCAATGTGCATGTTTTGAATTCTTTCTCTATTCCAATTCTCCTGCCTTGATAAATCAGCTCTATATTGATGAGTAAGATGAACTTCTCCGGTGGTTTCAGGTCCTCCTGCCCTCCCGGTCCTGTTGCTCCGGCCCTGCCACCGTCCCCTGCGAGGGCTGCTCCATCGGCAACAGCTGCATGTTCTCTGCCCCCAGTGAATGCTCATTGGTGATATTTGCATAGGGACACCCCATCGGCCTGACAGACAGTTTCTCTGAACTGCGCTGAGACCTGGCCCCTCACCTGTTTATCCTCACATTGGAATTCTGTTTTGGTGTTTGCTTTTTGGAGGACTTGCATGATAACACTGTTTTACGAATGAGGAAACTGAAACACGAAGGCACAGAGGGGTTAAGTAACTTACCTAAGGTTACGCAGCTGGTAAGGGATTTAAATGGGATAGTCTCACTGCAGAATCAGTACCCTTAACCATCGCGCTATGAGCGAAAGAGACAATGAGAGAACCAAATCAAGATAAAAAAGAACATCCTTATCTTGATTTTGTGGTCTCCCTGAACTTTTTTTTTTTTTAATTTGAGACAGAGTTTCTCTCTTGTTGTCTAGGCTGGAGTGCAGTGGCGCCATCTCAGCTCACTGCAACCTCCACCTCCTGGATTCAAGCGATTCTCCTGCCTCAGCCTTCCAAGTAGCTGGGGTTACAGGCAAGCGCCACCATGCCTGGCTAATTTTTGTATTTTTTAGTAGAGACAGGGTTTCAACATGTTGGCCAGGATGGTCTCGAACTCGTGACCTCAGGTGATCCACCTGCCTCACCCTCCCAAAGTGCTGGGATTATAGGCATGAGCCACCGTGCCTAGCCTCCCTGGCCTCTTTCAATGAGGAGTTTCTAATACTTTCATCCGTTTTTCCCACGGCTGACACATCTAGAGTGCCGTTCTTTTTTTATTTCAAAATATGCCCTGAAGATGGCAGTATTGCACCACCCTAAATCCACAAGCTCTTTTCCAAATGTTTGCCCTGATGTCCATCTTCTGAAAACAATAATCACCAATTAGACATGTGAGCCAATTAGCATTAACTCCTTCCATGAAGAACAATGCAATTGTCTCCTAGAGAGCAACTATACAATTTATTCACTTTGTTTTTTGTTTGTTTTGAGATGGAGTCGTGGTCTGTCGCCCAGGCTGGAGTGCAGTGGCGTGATCTCAGCTCACTGCAGTCTCCACCTCCCCGGTTCAAACAACTCTCCTGCCTCAGGCCCCCTTAGTAGCTGGGATTACAGGCATGTGCCACCACGCCCAGCTCTTTTTTTTTTTTTTTTTTTTGTATTTTTAGTAGAGATGGAGTTTCTCCATGTTGGTCAGGCTGATCTCAAACTCCCGACCTCAGGTGATCCGCCCACCTCGGCCTCCCAAAGTGTTGGGATTACAGGCATGAGCCACCGCGCCCGGCCACAAATTTTTGTATTTTTAGTAGAGATGGGGTTTCACCATGTTGGCCAGGAGGGTCTCAAACCCCTGACCTCAGGTGATCCACACGCCTCGGCCTCCCAAAGTGCTGGGATTACAGGCGTGAGCCACCGAGCGTGGCCGTAACCAGGCTCAATGACTTTAACTCTTTTCCTCAATGATTTTCATTCCTCAATGGCTTTAACCTCTTCCAAATGATTGCGCTGATGGCTAACATATGTCTGTCTTCTGAAAACAATAATCACCAATTAAACATGTGAGCCAATTAGCATTTACTCCTTCCATTAAGAACAATACATTGGTCTCCTAGAATGCAATTTACAATTACTCACTTTGAACAAGGGAAATCTCTTCAACTCCACAGACAAGGGAGCCACTCCCTTTCTGATCACAGATTACAGTGAGCAATGGAAGTTTCATAATCGATGGCCTTCACTTTCTTCTCTGGAATGTAAAGTTGACTCAGCTGGGAAGAAGCCCATAAGAAAAAAAGATCAATATGAGACAAGGAGACTTGTCTGCAGTATGGCAGGCTAATTATCTTGAAAAACAGTCCTACTACACAACATTTAAAAAGATGAATACACACCTGTAATCCCAGCACTTTGGGAGGCCAAGGTGGGCTGATCACTTGAGGTCAGCAGTTTGAGACCAGCCTGGCCAACATGGCAAAACCCTGTCTCTGCTAAAAATTAAACAAAATTAGCCGGGCTTGGTGGCACATGCCAGTAGTCCCAGCTACTCGGGAGGCTGAGGCAGGAGAATCGCTTGAACCCAGGAGGCAGAGATTGCAATGAGCCGAGATCGTGCCACTGCACTCCAACCTGGGCAACAAGGGCGAGACTCCATCTCAAAAACAAAAAAAGAATACAAGGCCGGGTGCGGTGGCTCATGCCTGTAATCCCAGCACTTTGGGAGGCCAAGGCGGGCAGATCACCTGAGGTCGGGAGTTCGAGACCAGCCTGCCCATCATGGAGAAACCTTGTCTCTATTGAAAATAAAAAATTAGCCGGGCATGGTGGCACATGCCTGTAATCCCACCTACTTGGGAGGCTGAGGCAGGAGAATCACTTGAACCCAGGAGGCGGAGGTTTCAGTGAGCTGAGATTGCTCCATTGCACTCCAGCCTGGGCAACAAGAGCGAAACTCTATCTCAAAAGCAAACAAACAAAAATACTCCCCAGAAAAACCCTATTTCCAAATAAGGCCACATTCTGAGGTCCTGGGGACTAAGAGTTCAATATATTGGGGTTGCACAGTTGAATTCATCTCATTGTTTAGGCACGGGGACCAACCTGTCATACCCCATCAACCATCAAATGCGGCTGCTCTCTGGGAAGGGGGAATAACCTTGGACAAAATAGCTCCCTTAAGCCTGGGAAAGTTCCAGAAGAGGGACTCAGTTGTCCGCCCCCAGAAGACAACTTTCCTGGAAGTTGGAAGAGTGAGCACTTGGTTCTGAAGAGGTGATCTGGGTGGTGCATGACAGCATCCACGACAGTGGATGTGCCGTGGCTCTTGCTGCATCCACTACAGCATCCACTACAGCATCCGCTACCTCCACCTCAATATCCACTACCTCCACTACAGCATCCACTACCTCCACTACAGCATCTGCTACCTCCACTACAGCATCATGGATCCACCACAGCAATCACCACATCCACTACAGCATCCACTACAGAATCCACTACAGTGACTCCAACACAGTGGCCTCCCACTCCTGGGGTTATGCTTCAGGAAATGGGTCAGCAACCTCTAAGGAGCCTGGAGATCAACAGTTGAGAACATTAGACCATGGACTCATAGTCTAAACCACCCACCAACTATGTCAGCCCTATTAAAATTATGGCTTCCCTCTTTTGTGAAGTACTTTGAAGATGTTTTCTCTCACTTGTGTACTATCCTGATGACCACTGTCTCATCTGTGGTCATGCAGAACACACATGGAGCAGAGCCAAGGCCAGAATTTGCATTTCCTGGCTCCCAAGTCTGACTGTCTCAGCAACCCACATCCCCATTCTAACCCAGAGCCCAGCCAGAGTTCCTCCTCTGGTTGTGAGGCTGTGGTCTATGAAACCAAAGCCTGTGCCTTGCTTTCTCAGCCTGTCAGGGTCTTACCACTGGATAGGAGCCTTGGATGAAAGGACAGGCAGACAGATAAATTGATGGACAGACAAGAAGAGGGATAGATGATGGATGGATGGATGAATGGATGGATGGATGGATAGGTGGATGGATAAATGGATGGATGGGTGGATGAATGGACAGGTAGGTGGATAGATGATGAATGGATAGACAAGATGGATATACAGACAAATGGGTGGGTGGATGGATAGAAAGGAAGGAAAGAAGGACAGATAGATGGATGGGTGGATGAAGAGAAGGCAATAGACAAACATATAGGAAATTACAAATACAGATAGATAAAAAAAAAAAAGGCCCCAAGAGAAGTAGAGGTAGAAACAGAATGGTAGAAAAGGGGGAGGAGGTCAGAGATATGAGTGGGAGGAGGAAGGTGAAATGAGAGAGAAAGAAAAGCAAAGCCCAAATTATAGTGTGACAGGAAGATTGGGTAGCAGAAATACACAAGCAAAAAAAGAGAAACAAGTGAGACCAAAACTGGAGAAATAACTCAGAGAGAGTGACCAAGAAGGAGAGAAACTAAGGAACACACACAAGGGAAGCAAAGGGAGAGAAGAAAAATAAGACAAGAGTGGGAGGAGGAGAGGGGGAAATAGAGAAAAAAATGGGAAGACAGAAAAGTCCTACATAGAAGGAAAGACAGAGGGAAAGATGGGGTAAGGAGATACAGAAGTAATGTATAAAAGAAATAAAGTAGGTCAGGCGCACCTGTGGTCAGGAGTTCGAGACCAGCCTGGCCAACATGGTGAAACTCCGTCTCTACTAAAAATATAAACAATTAGCTGGGCATAGTGGCAGGTGCCTGTAATCCCAGCTACTCAGAAGGCCGAGGCAGGAGAATCACTTGAACCCTGGAGGGGGAGGTTGCAGTAAGCTGAGATTGTGCCATTGCACTCCAGCCTGAGCAACAAGAGTGAAACTCTGTCTCAAAAAAAAAAAAAAAAAAAAGAAAGAAAGAAAAAGAAAGAAAGAAAGAAAGTGAGGGAACCATGGTGGGTGCAAGAGGGGAGTAGATGGTGAGGATGGAGAGAGAAGGGAAAAAAAGAGGAGAAGCACAAATGAAGAGAGGCAGAAACATGGCTGACCACAAAGGGAAGCACACAGAAGGAGAAAGATTAAGAGAATAGGAGAAAAGAGCAGAAGGCAGATACAGAAAAAGATGGAGGAGAGGATGAAGCAGACTTGAAATAAATAAAACAGAGATAAAAGAGTGGCAAGAAGTAGAAAGTAGGACAGAAACAAGGAGGGAGCAGGGTGATGAAGAAACAATCAAGCAAACAAAAAAAAATCAAAACACAAGGAGAAACAGTGAGATAAATACAGAGAGAGGAAGGGAATTAAGGGGAGAAGTGAAAAGGGGAAGCCAGGGTGGAGGCAGCAAAGAAGAGGCCCACACTGAACAAGATACAGGAAAGAGAGCAGGGAAGAGGGAAAGAGAAGAAAGAGAAGTATTTCTTTCTTCTAGAAGGGTGGAAGAAGGAGGCAGAGATCCAAGGGTAGTAGCCAGCACTGGAAATGATCCTGAGGCATCAGATAATGATGAAGATAATGATGGTGATGATAAGAATGGCCATGATGGCGATGATAGTGATGGTAATGAGGGTGATGGTGATGAGATGGTGATGATGATGATGGTGATGAAGATGGTAAGGATGGTGATGATGATGATGGTGATGGTGATAGGATGGTGATGATGGTGATGGAGATGGTGATGATGGAGATAATGATGATGGTATAGTGATGGTGATGGTGATGGTGATGATGATGGTGATGATGGTGATGATTATGATGGTGATGATGGTGATGATGGTGATGGTAATGATGATGGTGAAGATGGTATGGTGATGGTGATAATGGTGGTGATGATGATGATGGTGATGATGGTGGCGATGGTGATGATGATGGTGATGAAGATGGTGATGATATAATGATGATGAGGGTGATGGTGACGATGGTAATGGTGATGAGGATGGTGATGATACTGATGATAATGATGAAGGTATGGTGATGGTGATGATGGTGATAGTGGTGATGATGTTAATGATGATGGTGATGATGACAGTGATGGAGATGATGATGACGCTATAATGATGATGAGGGTGATGATGGTAATGAAGATGGTGATGATGGTGATGATAGTGATGATGATGATGGCAGTGCTGATGATGGTGATGATGACAGTGATGGAGATGGTGATGATGATATAATGATAAGGGTGATGATGGCGATGGTGATGAGGATGGTGACGGTGATGATAGTGATGATGATGATGATGGTATGGTGACGATGGTGATGACCGTGATAATGATGGTGATGATGATGATGACAGTGATGGATATGGTGATGATAATATAATGATGATGAGGGTGATGGTGATGATGGTGAAGGTGATGAGGATGGTGATGATGGTGATGATGGTGATGATACTGATGATGATGGTATGGTGATGATGGTGATGATACTGACGATGATGGTGATGACGGTGATAATGATGATGGTGATGCTGATGACAGTGATGGAGATGGTAATGATGATATAATGATGAGGGTGATGGTGATCACGATCATGATGGTGATGATGATGATGATGGTGATAATTATGATGGTGATGATGTTAATGCTGGTGGAAGCAACAGCTGACACATACTAAGTGCTTACTGTGTGCCAGGCAACTTCTTTTAACTGAGGTATAATTTACATACAATAAAAGGGATAGGTTTTAAGCGTACAGCTCAGTGAACTGATAAATGCATATACCCATGTATTTGCTACCTCAGTCAAGGTACAGAACATGTCCATCACCCCAGAAAGTTCCCATGTACCCCTTTCACAACCAAGATCCCGTTACCCCCACCATAGGAAACCCATGATCTGGTTTCTGTCACCATCAATTACTTTAGCCATGCCCTGTGTAAGTGCTTTACACACACCACAAATTTATTTTATATCCCGCAACACCCGTAAGGAGCAGGGACCACTGTCATCCCCATACACAGGGAGATTCGTACAACTAATCATAGGAGAGCCATGGTTCAAAATGAGGCAGAGGGCTTCCGGGAGCTGACTTGAGCCACTAAGACAAATATAATATTTTGGGGGTCAGGTGAAGTAACCTTTCCCTCTCACCCTCTTAGAGTCTCTGACTGGGACTGACATAAGACAGATTAACAAGATAAATATACACATTTCATTTAGTTGAGGATTTTTGTTTAGTTTTGGGGACAGTGTCTCACTTTGTCGCCCAGGCTGGAGGACAGTGGCACAATCATAGCTCACTGCAGCCTGCAATTCCTGGGCTCAAGGAGTCCTCCCACTTCAGTCCTCTGAGCAGCTGGGACTACAGGTGTGCACCACTGTGCCTGGCTAATTTGTAAAATTTTTCGTAGAGATAGGGTCTCTCTATGTTGCCCAGGCTGGTCGTGAACTCCTGGCCTCAAGTGATCCTCCTGCCCTGACCTCCCAAAGTGGTAGAATTACAGGCCTGGGTCACTATGCCTGGTCTTTATTTAGTAATTTTTACATGTGCAGGGGAGATTTTGTAAGAAAAACGAAGACCTAAAGAAGCAGTTGGAGCTGAATGCTTATGTACTAGGTTGGACAAAATATAGTATGGTAGTTTCATCTCCTGCTTTCAGGAAGAAAAAGGAAAGTCAGAGTGTCCTTCTTGTTTGCTATTTTTCAAGCACCTTTAACTCAAAATAACCAATGTGCCAAAGTGGCATACTTTGTTGTTGTGAAGTGTTTTTTTTTTTTTTAGACAGAGTCTCGCTCTGTCATCCAGGCTTGAGTGCAGTGGCGTGATCTCGGCTCACTGCAACCTCCGCCTCCCGGGTTCAAGTGATTCTCCTGCCTCCTCCTGAGTTCAAGCGATTCTCCTGCCTCAGCCTCCCAAGTAGCTGGGATTACAGGTGTGCACCACCACACCCAGCTAATATTTGTATTTTTATTAGAGACAGGGTTTCACCATGTTGGCCTGGCTGGTCTCGAACTCCTGACCGCAGGTGATCCGCCTGCCTTGGCCTCCCAAAGTGCTGGGATTACAGGTGTGAGCCACTGTGCCCGGCCAAAAGTGGCATACTTTGGAGTGGCATATTTGGATCCCTTACACAGGCAAAGGCAGAATGGAAGCAAAGTTCCCGTGTTCTTGTCCTGAGTCAGCTGAGTCCAGTGGGGGAAGGGGAAGTTGTTAAAATGCAAGTTCCCAGGCCCTGCCCCATAGATGCTCATGGAGGAGGCCTGGGTGTGGCTTAGACAGACACACCTTTGTTTTTAATAAGTGGGATTCTGATAAGCACCCAAGGCCCAGGAGGAAGCTCCAGGAACCCAGTGCAGACACTCCCCACTCCAGGCCAGGGCGCCAGCTACCCTGCTAAAAGGTGCTGTGATCACTTGGCCAGGGCTTTCAAGGAATCCAAGTGGCTCCTCTGCACAGAGACCACACGGCCGTCCACCCTCCCTGAGACTGATGCCTTCCTTGATGAGCTTTCCTTGGAAGAAAAACATTTTCCATTTTCCAAGAGACTCACATTGAATTTCACAAACCCAGGGAAGCAGAATTTACGCTGCCACCACAGCCGATAAGCAGTAGCATCAATTTCTTGGAGAACAGGGAACTTGGAGGGACTTGGGGATATGGGAATGTCCATCCTGAAGGGAGCATGAGAGATCAATGTTACCTCATTTAATCTTTGCCATGGTCATATAAGGTAAGGTCTATCGTCAATAATAGGAGGGTAGGGCCTCTGTGGGCCATGATCAGCCTGCTAGCTGGATGGCAGAGAACTGGGAGCAGAAAGGAGGAGGGGAGAGAGCTGGAATGACCATTGGGATTCCAGAGCCCAGGGTTAGGACCACCGCCCTTTGTAAAACCAGCCACTTAGCCAGTTAGTTGCTTTGTGTGTCTTCAGGCTAATTTAACAACCCCATACTGCGGAACTCTGGGCCAGAGTTTGGAGGAATGTGAAGAATTCAGACGCAACTTTCATGCAGCCTCTGGAAAGCTCCCAGGATAATGGGGAAACACACACATTCAATAACCTCAACTTTCGATGGCCCAGCTCAGAACACTGCCAGCTGGAGGTAGGTGGTCTGGAGAAATCCAGAGACCGCCTGGAGGGGTTGGGGATTGAGTTCCATTGCCTTTGGGAGGGAGAGAGATTCCACAGCCCACATACTTTGCACTTTAGCTAAGGTCAACCCCTCCACCTGTGCCGTAGATCTCATCGTCACTTGTTTGCTTAAGGACATAGAGCTAGTGATCCCCTGCCTTCATCTCTTTTCCCTCTGATGACTGGATTATCCCTGTCATCATCCATACTGCTATTTCTCCCATCTCAAAAACAAGGAATAATAATAATAATAGGATGGTAAAGTGAGAACTTTACCTTTATATTATTATTAGTAGTAGTAGTAGTAGTATTTTTTTTTTTATTTTTGAGACAGAGTCTCACTCTGTTGCCCAGGCTGGAGTACAGTGGCATGATCTCAGATCACTGCAACCTCTGCCTCCCAGGTTCAAGCGATTCTCCTGCCTCAGCCTCCCGAGTAGCTGGGACTACAGGCGCCCGCCACCACGCCCAGCTAATTTTTGTGTTTTTAGTAGAGACGGGGTTTCACCATGTTGGCCAGGTGATCTCCTGGCCAAGGTCTCGATCTCCTGACCTTGTGATCGGCCCGCCTCAGCCTCCTAAAGTGCTAGGATTACAGGCATGAGCCACCGCGCCCGGCCCACTTTTATATTATTAAAAAAATATAATAATAATGATAGGAGGGTAAAGGAGTGGAAGATTATTGCAGGATTGGACTCTAGTTGGTTCACATCACCTTTTATCTGCATCCTTGGACAGTCCTCTCCAAAGCTGACTCTGGGTTTGGCCATGGGACTTACTTTGGGCAATGGGACAGTAGCAAATACCACACGAGCAGAAGTTTGGAAAATATTTACATTTGGGGGCTTTTTGTTCCTTCCGACTGGGTATCCCTGCAACCACCACCATATGAACAAGCCTGAGTGAACCTCCTAGAAGACAAGCAATCCTGGCTCTCCCAGCAGAGGCCTCAGCACAGGAGTGAGGCTGTTCCCGGAAGAACCACCCAACCAACACATAGAACTGTAAGAAACAGGCCAGGCACCGTGGCTCATGCCTGCAATCCCAGCACTTTGGGAGGCCGAGGCGGGCAGATCGCTTGAGAACAGTAGTTCGAGACCAGCCTGGGCAACATGGCGAAAACCCGTCTCTACTAAAAATACAAAAATAATCATCATAATGATAATAATAAGGCTGGGTGTGGTGGCTCACACCTGTAATCTCAGCACTTTGGGAGGCTGAGGCGGGCGGATCACCTGAGGTCAGGAGTTTGAGACGAGTCTGGCCAACATGATGAAACTAAAAATACAAAATTAGCTGGGAATGGTGGTACACGCCCGTAATCCCAGCTACTTGGGAGGCTGAGGCAGGAGAATTGCTTGAACCCGGAGACAGCGTTGCAGTGAGCTGAGATTGCACCACTGTCCTCCAGCCTGGGTGACAGAGTGAGACTCCATTTCAAAAAACAAACTAACAAAAACAAAAACAAACAAACAAAAAAAGAAAATAAATAAACAGTTGCTGTTTTAAGCCACTCAAGAAAGACTATTCAAAAGGCTTTCAATCCCATGGTCTAACCCATGGTCACTCACCTGTCCACCCAACCTGGGACAGGTCTCCACTCCCAGGATGACATTGAAAATACTTAACATATGAGTTTCCCGCATGTCAGAATAGAGCAAGATCTTGAAGGTTCATTGGTATTCTCGGAGTGAACCCTTTAGTGGTTGGACCATGGGGAGGTCTGGGAGCCCTTGGGGAAGCGCTTACTTACCAAATGGTATGGAAATAGTGCAATATTTAAACCACCAGTTTGGCCATACAAGTATGTCCCTACGAGTCATCAACTCTGCTGGTAGCAACTATTTAACCTCCCTTTTCATGTGTGGAAGAATCTAGGTGTTTTTCTCCTCTAAAAAAAGGCACCTACATATTCCAAGAGGTTTTCCTTAACACAGCCCAACTCATAGCCACATCCCCCGACCACACGACAGGTCCTTACCGGGACACCACACAAAAACAAGCGTATTCTCAGATAATTTAATCAGAATTTTAATATAAACAGGTCATTATCCCATATTTTACATGCAGAACGATTTCAATATTCCAAAAAAAAAGGCGTCTTCTGTACATGGTGCTACTTGGCTCTTGTAGGAAAACATTGAAAAAATAATAATTGAGCTGTTGGGGGGTTTTGTGTTTCTGAGTTGTTTTCTGCAAAAGCTGCAGCACATTTGATCCTGCGTTGCCAACGCACAGGGCCGAGGCCACCCAGGCACACAAAGGGACGAGGAGAAGCAACTTTCAGGCAAAGTGTAAAGACTAAACAAGCTGTTCCTGAATATGTGCATGGGTGCACACTTATTTTGAGGCTCTTCCTTCCTTCTCCAATGGGACCAAGAGCCCCAGATTTGTGATCTGGTTTTTAACAAGGATTTTCAGTGGCCCGCACCCAGATAGAAATTTGGCTGGTGGCTGGTTCTGGACCTTGACTAGTATCAGAAGGTAAAAGTAAGCTCAAAAAGCCATTGTGTCCCCTCCCCTCACTCCCATTTCTCGGGGACCCTTAAGGAAATATTCACCTTCCATTGCACTCCCTGAAAGTCCACCATGTTCTTTTGTATGTTCTAGGAAAAAAAAAAGTGCTGACCTGTTCTTTTCATTCCCAACCTCACCTCGCATATAAATTAATATTCTGAAGAACATGCTGGAAGATTTTCTGAAGTGACACCCCTCTCTGTGTACCATGTATATAAAATCGGCATTCCCTGTTCCCCATCCTCAACAAAACCATTGTTTCTGAAGAGCCTAAGGTGTCAAGGACTCACCAGGTGACATTCAAAGGACATTTAACCCTAAACTTCCACCCACTGTGAAGGAGAGAAATGATTAGCACTGGGACTACAGCACATCCATTTACCGGATGACCAGCGCAAGTCATATGCTGATGACGCTCCTGCTCTTTCACACGTGTTACAGCAGACTACAAATAAACACCTCCCAATCCAATAAGCACATTTCTTGGTGGACTACCTGCCCTGCTAGGATACAGTGAAAGATCTGTCTGTCAGTTGGTAACATAGTCCCCAGGGTCACAGGATGACCTATGCAGACCCTTGTGTCAGTTCCCACAGCTTCTCTCAATCATCCTCAGCCTATATCCAGACAAGCAGCAGTGCTTCTCTTTCTCACTGCTTCCAATGATGAAACAGCACCTAGGACAGCTCCTAAAACCTGAACATTTTCTGATGCGTATTTGACATCACTGATGCAGAGAGAAAGTGATGTGCTTGGTATTCTCCTCCTGGAAGAAGGAACTCCTGTGTGGCTTTCACTACATTAATGAAAAGGGTTTTAATCATAGTGAGACATCTTTAAGAACAAGCAACAAAAAGTGTTATCCTAAGCTGGTTTTGTTGCTTTTTGTTGTTGTTGTTGCAACTTAACACTACAAACTCCCAGGACAACCGTGTCTTTCTAGGACCAAAGTTTTATTGTTACAAAGTCAACATTTCCTAATGTCAAAGGAGGTTTGCAACCCAATAGCTGTTTGCTCTTTTCACTGTGGCAGTAGAGTCAAATAAATGAAACTGGTGAATCCCATTTGCAAGGGGCAGGCCCAGCACACCCTACCTTTCTCCAGGGCAGGTGGAGAAAGGTGAGTCTGCAAGGGCAGTGCCTAAAAGTACAAGAGCAGCAAGATTTGGGCCCCACTGGTCCTGCCTAGACTCTCACATGGGTTATCAAAGCTGCACAAGGTCCAATAATATCAGCTTGAGGTCAGTCAAACCCCAACACAGAGGTCCAAGGTGTTGTTGCAAAAAAAAAAAAAAAAAAAAAAAAAGCGTTCAGCACATTAATGGGTTTTGGATTGGAATTTCCCTCACATGCTCCCATCCCACTTGGAGAATTTAAAAAGACATTGCATTAGGTGTTTGTGTGTAAGGTGCATCACCAGCCTGAAAGGAGTGGGCATAAACCATCAGGGAGCCCAGGGCACCTTTGTGCTCACTTCAGGGGGATTCCATGGAACAGGTGGGAATGCTTGCTCTGAATCAAAGCCCGTCTTTGCCCCGGCAGCCATCTCTCACCAAAGGAAGGTACACCTTGCTGGGTTACCCCATATATCAGATACATCATGACAGCCTGGAACTTAGTTTATGTTTGGGGAACATAGTGACAATAGATGGAGGATTTTTTTTTAAAGGAAGATTAAATTCAGAGAAGAATATTACCAGCCAGGAAGAAAAGGATCTATGCTCGCATAAAGGCCATACCTTCTCCATCCCAACTCCCTCCCTCAAAATTCTTACTGGTCCCTGGCATTCGAATCAGCTGATACACACGTTCCCTGATTCAGACCGGTTCCAGGTAGAATTCTGAAATCTCAAAGATGTCCATGATTGAATCACATCTTAACAATACACTGAGGTAGACTGTGCTGAAAAAAGAAAATCACTATCCCCCATTCACCTGTTTATTTTTCTTTGATAAAAATTTACATGCGCTCCATTTTTTATGAGAGTGATTTTCAGAGTGATTTTATATATTAAAATAAATACTTTTTCCCCTAATATAAGAAAAACCTTTCTGAATTAGAAAAATGTGAAAATTGCAGCTAGTGTAGTATACAACCACTACAAATTTACTAAGAAGAGAACAAAATACCTAGTTCTACGTGTTTTTTTTTTAAATTTAGGTACAGACCCTCATATTTACAAAATAAATTTGGCAAAAATAATTTCTGTACTCTTGCTTCTTGTACCCAATCACTGAGGCTCCTCAGCAATATTTTTACATGCTGTATTTTCCCGAATCATATAAATAAGATAGCAATAGACAATTGGGATTCATGTCTACCTGTGTTCTTAATCAAGAATTGAGAGGGCTTGGAGGTTGCCATTATGACTCTATCCCATTCTTAAGCCCACAACTCTTAAGAGAAGAAGAAAAGGAAGCAGTCAAAAAGTTGTAAGAAAATGCACTCAGGAATAACGCATGGGCGATGATTTTTTGATGAACCAAAGTGATGAGTTCACTGTGTTCTTTGAGCAGCTGTGGTGGTTCTTTTTGCAAAGAGAAGAAACGGTGGATTCACGCCCATTCGGAAGTTCTTGGTGGTGTGTAAGGTCTTTTTCACGGTTTCTCCTCCAGACTCTACTCTCTTAGGGATTGCAACACTGTAAGCACCTGAGCATTCAGCTCAGGCACCACACCTGGCCCAGATGAGGTCACCGGGCTCAGAGCAGCTTCCGGGAGTTCAGTACTGAGGACCGTCAGATGCTCTCAGGGTGGAGGGGACCAAGACGTACTCTCAGTGCACCTCTCTCTTACATTGCTTAGATGTTCCCAAAGTCCATCCAGGTTGTTGTGCTTTGGGATCTGACGTTCTTGGGTTTGCACAATAACGGTTAGGATGTTCACACCCGGGAGAGGAAACGCCACAAGAGGTACACACAGAGAATCAGAGGATGAACACAGGTGTTCTTGAAGGCAGGCTCAGAGCTAGGTAGCTACCAGCTTATCCGAACAGGAACCTTCCAGCAGACCTGGTACCTGAACCAGACCATCCATAAAACCTAGTCTCTCACACACTCCACGTGGCCTCACAACATCCAAAAGTGTTAGCAGCGAACATGGCTTCATTCCCAGAAATGGATGCCTTTAAGACCAAACAAAGAGGCCACTTGTGCCTGACTCCCTCCCCTTCCCGGCCCCACAACAGGCAGACCAACTCATGTCCCCACTCCCCGCCAACCCCGGGGAATAGTCAATAACTTATGAGGCTAATACCAGAGACTTTAAAAATTAAATATGGTACAAATATATTCTCAAAACTCTGTCATCTCAGTTCTTTTTTTTTTTCCTTTTTCCATTTTGTTTTTTCTTTCTTTTTCTTTTTTTTTTTTTAATGTCCTAGCTTGGTTTGGTCTTGAAAAGATTCATAATCACTCCAAATGAAATGCTCCTCCCTTGGCCACCAATGTGAAGGGAGGGTAGAAACCTGAGGCTAGACTTCTGACACAAGAAGAATCTGTCGAGAGCACAGTCTCCCAGTCAATAAGAAGGAAGGAGAGAGGGGGATGAGCTCGCACCCTTGAGAAGAACCTTCATGAGCCAATTCCCAAAGCATCAACTCCGCATGGATACTTTGCACACACATCAGCCGTGTCTAATGGACACACACACGTGCATACACACGTGAGCACACGCCGGGACCACAGACCCTTATCCAAAATATGAAAGCAGCAGCTATTGGTCAATTTGAGGAACTCATTTTGTAAAGAAAAAAAAAATCCTTCAGCCTGGATGAGAGAAAAAAAAAAAACCAAAAAAACCATCTTGAAGCTCAACCTGTAAAACTTGAAATTCTCCTGGAACAGGGCTGGGTGTTTTTGTTTTGTTTTTTCTTTCGAACTTTTGTTCCACAAACAGGAAGTTTTGTCTTTTATACTGAAGCTCAGACACCAGCAAAAAAAAAAAAAAAAAAAAAGAATTTGTAAAAACAGGTGCTTTCTTTCCATCTGCTGGGGGCGGGTGGGGGGAACGAAAAAACACAAAATCCTGGTTTGAAACCGTCGTTGCCCCAAAGGAGCAGCAACTGTGGAAACCCCTTGCCCTCCAGGTTCACAGTTAAATCCTCTGCAGGACTAGTTAAATTGGTAACCAAACGAGTCCACCTTAAGATGAACAGAAATGTATAGGAACGATCTCTGAACTCCATTGGACATGGTAGAGTCGTGAGAATCCTGAGTTTTCCAGAGGCTTTCAAACCAGAGGAAAGCGAAAATGGGAACCCCTGCCCGCCCCCGCCACGGTAGGCACTGTTAGGAAGGATTGGACCGAGGCAAGGTCAGAATCCGCCCGTTTTTCTTGCCTCCGTTCATGTGTGTGTAAGGGATGTGTTCCTCGTAGCTCCGCTTGAAACCCAGCGAGGACCCTCCATCCCGGCCCCCCGCCTCCTCCCTCTGACAGTGCGAGGAACGGTCCAGGGGCACATTCTCCATGTCCTCAAACTCCATCTCCAGCTCCTCACTCTCGGGAGCCTTGTTCTCCTCGCTGTGGAAGAACGACACCTCTGGAAAGCTGGGGTGCAGGTCGTCCTTGAGCAGGTTGACAATCTCCAGGAAGGTTGGCCTCATCTTGGGGTTGAATTGCCAGCACATGCGCATGAGGTCAGTGCTGCGGGGCAGAAGGACACGTCCTGGGTGAGTCTGGGGGCCCTGCCACGCATCCTCCCAAACCCCCACTCTTGTCCCTGCAGCCGACACCCACGGACCACATGTGCTCACATCAGATGCTGGCTGTGTGTGTGGACAATTGTCAAGGCAGAAATAGCATTGCTAGAGGTGCTGAGAGATGGTGTTTTCTTTTTGCTTTTCTTCTTCTTATTTTGGACACAGCGTCTCATTCTGTCACCCAGGCTGGAGTGCAGTGGCATGATCATAGCTCACTGCAGCCTCTGCCTCCTAGGCTCGAGCAATCCTCTCACCTTGGCCTCCCAAGTAGCTGGGACCACAGGTGTGCACCACCATGCCTAGCTAATTTTTGTATTTTTTGCAGAGACAGGGTTTTGCTATGTTGCCCAGGCTGGCCTCAAACTCCTAGGCTCAAATGATCCACCCACCTTGGCCTCCCAAGGTGCTGGGATTACAGGTGTTAGCCACCATGCCTGGCCGCTTTTTTTTTTTTTTGAGACAGGGTTTCTCACTTTGTCACCCAGGATGGAGTGCAGTGGCGCAATCATAGCTCATTGCAGCCTTGAACTCCTGGGCTCAAGCCATCCTCCTGCCTCAACCTCCCAAAGTGCTGAGGTTCCAGGCATGAGCCATCCTGTCCAGCCTGAAAGATGGTTTTGAAAAGGGATTCCTCATTTCAAAACTGGCTCAAGAGTAATCCCAGCACTTTGGGAGGTTGAGCCAGGAGGCTGAGTCCAGGAGTTCAAGGTTGCAGTGAGCTGTGATTGTGCCACTGCGCTCTACCAGCCTGGGTGACACAGCGAGACTTCATCTAAATATATATATATGTACATATGCATATATATTTGGAGGGGGGAATATATAATATGTATGCCTGACAAAATTTTTGTGTGTCTGTGTTTGTTTTTGAGACAGAATCTCACTCTGTCACCCATGCTGCAGTGCAATGGTGCAGTCTCTGCTCACTGCAACCTCTGCCTCCCCGATTCAAGCAATTCTCCTGCCTCAGCCTCCTGAGTAGCTGGGATTACAGGCGCCCACGACCGCGCCTGGGTAATTTTTATATTTTTAATAGAGGCGGGGTTTCACCATGTTGGCCAGGCTGGTCTTGAACTCCTGACCTTAGGTGATCGTTCACCTCGGTCTCCCAAATTGCTTGGGATTACAGGCGTGAGCCACCCATGCCCAGCTACCTGACAAAATTTTAAGTGTATAAAGAATTAACAGGCGGCTGTAATCCCAGCACTTTGGGAAGCCAAGGTGGGTGGATCACGAGGTCAGGAGATCGAGACCACGGTGAAACCCCATTTCTACTAAAAATACAAAAAAAAAAAAAAATTAGCCAGGCGCGGTGGTGGGTGCCTGTAGTCCTAGCTACTCGGGAGGCTGAGGCAAGAGAATGGTGTGAACCCGGGAGGCGGAGCTTGAAGTCAGCCGAGCTCGCACCACTGCACTCCAGCCTGGGTGACAGAGCAAGATTCCGTCTCAAAAAAAAAAAAAAAAAAAAAAAAATTAACAGGCAAACAGGTCTCTCTCCCCCAACCCCAGGTCTCCAGTTCCCTTCTCCCAAGATAACTACCGCTATAGGTGTTTTGTGCAACCTTCCAAAGATACAATATGCAAGAAAATCATATGATTTGTGAACACAAGCAGGCAGGTAAAGACATAATATGTAAACATGTGTGCTTATAATATGTAAATGAGGTGTACATGTGCCATGATATGCTGATGCACACAGAAACATATAATATGCAAACATAAATACCTATGTAAATATATAATATGCAAACGTAAGCGTACATGTAGCACATATGGGAACTCAAGTGTGTGTACCACAATGCAATATGCAAATGCAAGCATGCATGTAAAGACAAGCTATGCAAACACAAACACACCTGTAACATACAGCATGCAAACACGGTGAGCGTGTAGACATAGGAAAGGCAAAACCAAGCACACGTGTAAAGGGCAATACCCTTTCAACGAACACCTCACACACCTTAAACCCTTTCTACACTTACACTCTCTCTGGACAGTTGTCGGGTTGATCCAGATACCCTCCATCCATGACAAATTTCAACACCTGTTCATTAGACAGGCCTTGGTAAGGCTGTTCTGCCAAGCTGGTGATTTCCCAAAGGACCACGCCAAAGGACCTGCCGATGACAGTTGATAGTAGTAACAAAGAAGCCATTTAGACACACACACACACGCGCGCGCGCAAACACACACACGCAAACGCACACACACACGCAAACACACATGCCAACACATACATGCAAACACACACATGCAAACACACACGCACATACACGTGCACACACATGCAAATACACACAAACACGCATGCGCACACATGCACACACAAATATGCAAACACACAAACACATATACACACACAAACACACACACCCAAACACACACACGCACACACATGCAAACACACACAAACACACATATGCACACACATACACACACAAACACACACACAAACACATCTCTTGGTTTCTAGAACATGGTTAGCCACTTAATAAAACAATTCATGCTGCAGTTCATAAATGCTGTGAAAGGAAAATCAATTTGGGGCTCCCAAATCACTAAACTCAAGGAAAAAGTCCAGCTAGGAACTGCTTGGACAAACCTGCTTCCCATTCTATTCAGAGTCCCCACTCTGCTCACTGAGATACCTGCATATCTGATTGGCTCCTTTGGAGAGGCGCATCAGAAACTCAAAAGAATGCAACCATTTGTCTCTTATCTACCTACAACCTGGAAGCTCCCTCCCCACTTCGAGTTGTCTCGTCTTTCCAGACCGAACCAATGTTCATCTTATATATGTTGACTGATGTCTCATGTCTCCCTAAAATGTATAAAACCAAACTGTGCTCTGACCACCTTGGGCACCTGTCCTCAGGACCACCTGAGGCTGTGCCACGGGCACACGTCCTCAACCTTGGCAAAATAAACTTCCTAAATTAACTGAGACCTGTCTCAGATTTTCGGGGTTCACAATGCCTACAGGATTAGTCAGGACATAAGAGTAGCCGTGGGAAGATCCTAAGACAGGACGCTGCCTTCCTTTCCTTGATGGGGCGTCCAGGAGGATGGCAGGCTTCCTTCCCCCGCTCTTGGCTCTCACTAGCACCTGGAATTCAAGCCCAGCGTCCATCCACCCATCCACACACAACTCACCACATGTCAGAAGAAGTGGTGAAGACCCCATCCTTCAGGGACTCCGGTGCCATCCACCGTACAGGGAGCAGACCCTTGCCCCCTTTCCGGTAGTAATCCGTTTCATAGATGTCTCTGGTCATTCCAAAGTCTGACAACACAAAAGGTTCACACGCTCTTAACCTTCAGCCTTGGTCCTAGCATCTGCCACCTTGACTGCCCCACCTCTCACAGAGCCCTAAGAGGGGTTCACCTGGCCCACGTCTGCGCTCACCTGGGTGGTGGCCAAATCCAGTAAGAATGGATTCTGAGGGTACGCATGGGGAAGTGAAGGGGGAAGATGGGCTACTGTTTAAAGGGAGGGAAAAGAAGGTACCAAATCACAAAGAAGCTACATTTTTCTTTTTTTTTTTCTTTGATATGGAGCCTCACTCTGTCCTCCAGGCTGGAGTGCAGTGGTGCAATCTTGGCTCACTGCAACCTCTACCTCCCTGATTCAAGCAATTCTCTTGCCTCAGCCTCCTGAGTAGCTAGGATTACAGCTGTCTGCCACCATGTCTAGCTAATGTTTTGTATTTTGAGTAGAGACAGGGTTTCACCGTGTTGACCAGGCTGGTCTCGAACTCCTGATCTCAGGTAATCTACCCACCTCAGCCTCCCAAAGTGCTGGGATTACAGGGGTGAGCCACCGCACCTGGCCAGGAGATGTCTTTTTGAGTCATAAATAGAATCATATCACTTCCTGCTGCCCCTTGCTAATGTAAGATAATGTCGAGATGACTTGCTGTGACACGCAAGGTCCTTCTGGGTCTGGTTTCTGCCTCTCTCCTCATCCTCACATCTCACGCTGCTCTGGTCCCCTCTATATTCCTTTTTTATTTGTTTTTTGAAATAGCGTCTCACTGTCACCCAGGCTGGAGTGCAGTGATGCTGTCACAGCTCACTGCAGCCTCCACCTCCTGGGCTCAAGCAATCCTCCCACCCCAGCCTCCTGAGTAGCTGGGACCACAGGTGTGCACCACCACACCCCACTTTTTAAAAAATCTTTTCAAGGAGATGGAGTCTCACTATGTTGCCCAGGCTGGTCTCAAACTCCTGGACTCAAGCAGTCTTTACACATTGGACTTCCAAAGCACTGAGATTACAGGCGGGACCCCCGGTCCTACAAACATATCTTTTAAAGAAGTGAATGGGTAAGTGAGTTTATCAATACATGCAATTAAATGACAGCTGGTGGGGGGTCCCCATCCAAAATCTTGCCCAGCCAGGCACAGTGGCTCATGCCTGTAATCCCAGTGCTTTGGGAGGCCAACACAGGTGGATCATATGAGGTCAGGAGTTTGAGACCATCTTGGCCAACACAGTGAAACTCCGTCTCTACTAAAAATACAAAAAGTAGCTGGGTGTGGTGGCGCACGCCTGTAATCCTAGCTACTCAGGAGGCTGAGGCAGGAGAATCGCTTGAACCCAAGAGGTGGAGGTTCAGTGAGCCGAGATCCTGTCACTGCACTCCAGCCTGGGCGACAGAGCAAGACTCCATGTCAGAAAAAAGAAAAAAAAAAAAAGCCGGTGCAGTGGCTCACGCCTGTAATCCCAGCACTTTGGGAGGCCGAGGCAGGAGGATCACGAGGTCAGGAGATCAAGACTATCCTGGCCAACATGGATGAAACCCCATCTCCACTAAAAATACAAAAATTAGCCAGGCATGGTGGCGCACACCTGTAGTCCCAGCTACTTGGAAGGCTGAGGCAGGTGAATCACTTGAACCTGGGAGGTGGAGGTTGCAGTGAGCTGAGATCACACCACTGCACTCCAGCCTGGGCAACAGACAGAGTAAGACTCCGTCTCAAAAACAAAAAGACAAAACAAAACAAAAAAAACCCCACAAAAAAAAAAGAAGTATCTTGCCCCTTTATATTATCAGAAAAGACTTAACGGCTCATTATAGACAACTTCCTTCTGAAATCAAACCTGGCCTGGGTCGTTATGTTTTCAAAGCAGAAAGCCAGACGAACCTCCAATTTTGACAGTAAAATCATGGGCGACCATGCAGTTTCTCGCTGCCAGGTCCCGATGCACAAACTTCTTGGCGTTCAGGTAGGCCATCCCGTCAGCAATCTCTGCCGCCATCTGAATCATCTCTTGAAGGGTAGGGGGAGGGCGGCCAGGATTATTCTAAAACAGAAACACGGGGTTGGTGTTTCAGCAGCACTGGGATCCGAGGAGGCCAGGAGCGGGTGCTCCACCGAGTACCCCGCTGGGTCCCCCGAAGCAGCTTACCTCAGCCTCTGGCCGCAGAGAACGGAGGTAGCTCTTCAGGTCTCCGTGAGCCATCAGCTCCATCACCACCAGCGTGGGCTGGCCCTTGGACACCACTCCCAGGAGGCGCACCTGCAGAGCAAGCAACCAGGGTTCTTGGAGGAGGGTCCGTGATTCGACTCACCAGGGTTCTCCTCCCTCCCTGGTGTCTATGTCACACACAGCACCCTGTGGCCTGGATGCAGCGTGCTCAGCCCTGGTCTAGGAGAGCAGACATACCTGCCCGGACAGCAGACAGATAGGCCTTTGTATTTTTTTTTTTTTAATTTTCGAGACGGAATCTTGCTGTTACCCAGGCTAGAGTGCAGTGGCGTGATCTCGGCTCACTGCAACCTTTGCCTCCCGGGTTCAAGCAATTCTCCTGCCTCAGTCTCCCGAGTAGCTGGGGTTACAGGTGCCCGCCTCCACACCCGGCTAATTTTTGTATTTTTAGTAGAGACAGGATTTCTCCATGTTGGTCAGGCTGGTCTTGAACTCCTGACCTCTGGTGATCCGCCTGCCTCAGCCTCCCAAAGTGCTGGGATTATAGCCACTGCACCCAGCCAGGCCTTTGTATTTTAATCATTCCCTCTGCCTGGCTCTCTGTTCCCTGCCACATCCACAGGGCCCAGCTCCTCATGTCCTCTAAGTCTTTGCTCAAATACACCCCTGTCCAACCCTCCTTTCCTCCCTTTCTTCATGTTTCCATAGCATTTGCTCCTAATGTATAAAGGGTTTGGAGTCAGCTGGGGGTGGTGGCTTATGCCTGTAATCCCAGCACTTTGGGAGGCTGAGGCCGGTGGATCACCTGAATTCAGGAGTTCGAGACCAGCCTGGCCAACATGGCGAAACCCCATCTCTACTAAAAATACAAAAATTAGCTGGGTGTGGTGGTGGGCTCCTGTTATCCCAGCTACTCAGGAGGCCGCGGCAGGAGAATTGCTTGAACCTGGGAGGCAGAGGTTGCAGTGAGCCGAGATTGTGCCACTGCACTCCACTCTGGGCGACAGAGAGAGACTCTGTCTTAAAAATATATAAAAATAGGCTGGGCGTGGTGGCTCACGCCTGTAATCCCAGCACTTTGGGAGGCCAAGGCAGGCGGATCATGAGGTCAGGAGATCGAGACCATCCTGGCTAACACAGTGAAACCCCGTCTCTACTGAAAATACAAAAAAATTAGCCAGGCACTGGGCGTGGTGGCTCACGCCTGTAATCCCAGCACTTTGGGAGGCCAAGGCGGGTGGATCACGAGGTCAGGAGTTCAAGACCAGCCTGGCCAGCATGGTGAAACCCCGTCTCTAATAAAAAAAAGTATAAAAAGCATTAGCTGGGCGTGGTGGCAGGCACCTGCAGTCCCAGCTACTCGGGAGGCTGAGGCAGGATAATTGCTTGAATCCAGCAGGCAGAGGTTGCAGTGAGCTGAGATCATGCCACTGCACTCCAGCCTGGGTGACAGAGTGAGACTCCATCTCAAAAAAAAAAAAAAAAAACAATCAGCCAGGCGTGGTAGCAGGCGCCTGTAGTCCCAGCTACTCGGGAGGCTGAGGCAGGAGAATAGTGTGAATCCAGGAGGTGGAGCTTGCAGTGAGCTGAGATTGTGCCACTGCACTCCAGCCTGCACAACAAAGCGAGACTCCGTTTCAGGAAAAAAAAAAAAAAAAAAAAAAAAAAAAAAAAAAAAAAAAAAAAAAAATATATATATATATATATATATATATATATATATATATATATATATATATGAAATAAAATAAAAATAAAGGTTTTGGAGTCTGTCTCCGCCTGCTGTTTTGGAAGCTCTACAGGGGCAGGTATCCACTGTATCACAGGGACAAGAGCAGGGCTTTAAATGCCCCATAAATATGTGTGGCAAGGATGAAAGCACATAGGACTCAAAGAGGAACAAAGGAGCAGAAAGGCAGGAAGAGTTGGTGCTGCCTTCAAAGGAGAGTAGGAACGAGGGCAGGTGGTATCAGGTGGACCTCTATGTGGTCCTGGGTTACAAAGGTGCCAGGAAAAAGCAAGAAATGGAAGAGTCTAAAAAGCAATGGAAGATTGTGGAAAATGATGGAAGATTCCGGAAAGTGGTGGAAGATTCCAGAAAATGATGGAAGATTCCAGAAAGTGATGAAAGATTCTGGAAAGCAATGAAACATTCCAGAAAGTGATGAGACAGTGATAGAGTCTGGTTCCAGGCGAAGTGGGAGAGGATGGGATTTGAGAAGGGAATGATCCCTCCTCACACCTCTAGGATGGGAAGCTTAGTGGAGTGAGGGGTGGGTAGGAGGTTACACCCTGTGTCCTCTGTCGCTCTGTGCAGGAGGAGGAGGCAGAGAAAGGGAAGGGTCAGGAAAGCCAGCCCATGTCCCACCCCCACTGGACTCACCACGTGATGGCAGGTGAAGCCCTTCATGACCGAGGCCTCATTGAGGAACTCAATCCGCTCTCGGAGACTGGCTGACTCGTTGACCGTCTTCACCGCCACGCGGGTCTCTGCCTCACCCTTGATGATGTCCCTGGCATTGCCCTCATACACCATGCCGAAGGAGCCCTGCCCCAGCTCTCGAAGGAGGGTGATCTTCTCTCGAGACACCTCCCACTCGTCCGGCACGTACACAGAGCATGGAAACACTACTTCTTACTTATCTACACAGCATCCTTGGAGGATCCCTTGGGGGTCTGCAGCCACCTTCCACCCAAGCCCTCACCCAAACCCCCTCGAAAACACTCATGAAATGAGTTCTGTGATCCAGGACCCATGCCGGGCACTGGGCATATGGCCGAGAACAGGACAGGCATCTGCACCCATGGAGAGGGCATGGCAGAGACTCAAGGAAGGAGCCACAACTGGTCCAAGATCCTGGCCAATATGTCCTGAGGCAAACCTGCATCCCCATCCTTCTTGTCTGATTTCAGACCCTTGCTATGGAATGATGCTACTTCCCACCTGAGACTACTGTTTCTGCAAAGTGCCAAGGGGATGGAAGACAGGTTGTAATAGGTTGGGGAAAAAAAAAGCCAGGATACTTGGAGCTCTTCCCATGAAAAGGTGGAGTCTATCTCACCACCCCTTGGCCCTGGGCATGGCCTTGTGAGTTATTTTGGTCAATGGGAATCAACAAGAATTGTCCAAGCAGAGATTTGGAATGGACTGTTGCCCTGGAGCTTGCCCTGGAGCTTTCTACTAGGAACCAACAGAGGACCATGGAATGAAGCCTGAGCCAGCCTGCTGGAGCCTAAGAGGCTAGATGGACAGAGTGAGGCTCAGCCTCCCCCAGCTTAGGGCCCCCACCTTGGGACCACCCAGCCTACTGACCACCAGACATGTGAGTGAAATCATCTAAGACTACCGAGTGCTAGCTGACACACCAGCAAAATGTAGCTACATGGGTGAAGCCAGGCAAGACCAGAAGAACTGCCCAGCTGAGCCCAGCCCAAGTGGTCGACCCTGCCCAAGGGTCCCAGACCGGCTAGATGAGCCCATTCAGGCAGGTGCCAAATACCATGTGTCCAGATGCACACAGTAATGAGGTTTCTGCAGCAAGGGCAGTTTGGCAAGCTCAAATGAATAAGAGGGCTTTTCTTGGCCTCCCTGGGGAACCCATCCTTCACTCTCACTCAATGGTGAAGGCAAAGGAAGCTGATGAGTAGGGTTCTGGCCACCCACAGGGAAGGGATGGTACTCACCATCACTGGCACTGAGATACTCAGGGTTTGAAGAAGCGTAAAGCGGTCCCAGCGGCCCATCTGGCTGCCTGGAGGAGGAAAACGAGGCACGTTAGCTTGAGATTCTCATGGGACTCTGCAGAAAGGTGTTTCATACAAGACTCCCCAAGGCAAATGGCAGCCCTTACCAGCAGAATCCCCATAATCCTAGATGCAGTCTAGGGCAGGGATGGGGGACCTTTATGTTTTGAATGGAAGCCCATCAGACAGGTATGTAAGTGCATCAACATGGGAGCACTCATCCCTCCCTGGGTGGTTTTTTTTTTGTTTTGTTTTTGTTTTTGTTTTTACATTTCAGAGTTGCAGTCTTGCTCTGTTGTGGCTGGAGGGCAGTGGTATAATCATAGCTCACTGCAGTCTTAACCTTCTGGGCTCCAGAGATCCTCCCACTTCAGCTTTCTGAATAGCTGGGAATACAGGTGCTCACCACCACACCTGGCTAATTTGTAAAATTTCATATAGACAGGGTCTCACTATGTTGCCCAGGCTGGTCTTGAACTCTTGGTCTCAAGTGATCCTCCTGCCTCATCCTCCCGAGCGGCTGGGACTACAGATATGCACGACCATGCAGGGCTCTGGCTGGCTTTTTAAATAATTTATGGCCATCCATGTAACACTTAAAAGCCACTCACCCAGTACTGTTCTAGAGCGAGCTCATCCCGACTGATGAGAAACAATTATTAAATTTTCAGGAAACTAGTGAGCCAGTTGTTAAATACAAGCATCATTAAAGATTAAATTGTACAATGCCTTCCAAATAGAACAAAAAATATAAATTATAGAGGCTTACAATTAAATAAATTATCCTAAAAGCAAAGACAATACATGTTCAAAACTCATCACTTCCTAACTCTCATACTACATTTAAATATGATCAATGCAGTTGAGGTTATTTACATTATATCATTTATACACCATATTGTATCCATAGGGTGGATTCAATGGGGAGCTATTATGTATCTCTTTCTAACACTGCACTCAGTAATATTATGTCTACAGCTTGAATTTAGACATCCTGGGAATATTTACATTACAGAAACTGGCAAATGCTATAACTCAGGACTGGATTTGTTGTTCTGTTGTTTGTCCAGGCTTGAGAAAGTGATGAGAAAAATATTTTTTTGTTTTGTTTTGTTTTTGAGACAAAGTCTCACTCTGTTGCCCAGGCTGGAGTGCAATGGTGCGATCTCGGCTCACTGCAACCTCTGCCTCCTGGGTTCAAGCGATTCTCCTGCCTCAGCCTCCTGAGAAGCTGGGATTACAGGCGCACATCACCACACCTTGCTAATTTTTGTATTTTTAGTAGAGACGGGGTTTCACCATGTTGGTCAGGCTGGTCTCGAACTCCTGACCTCATGATCCGCCCGCCTCGGCCTCCCAAAGTGTTGGGATTACAGGTGTGAGCCACCGTGCCCAGCTGAGAAAAATGTTTAATCATGTAGATTAAACTTAAAAGCGTGTCATGTCTGCAACTGTGATGTTGCATGTGGCACAAAATGTTCTTCTGATATTTAAAAATTACCATCTGACTCAGCAAAGACGTCACTCATATCACTGATGAACATATATGTCTTATTTCAGTTTTGTCCTACTTTTTTTTTTTTTCCCGAGACGGAGTCTCCCTCTGTCGCCCAGGCTAGAATGCAATGGTGCGATTTCAGCTCACTGCAACCTCCGCCACCAGGGTTCAGTAATTCTCCTGCCTCAGCCTCCTGAGTAGCTGGGATTACAGGCGCCCACCACCATGCCCGGTTAATTTTTTAGTATTTTTAGTAGAGACGAGGTTTCACCATGTTGGCCAGGCTGGTCTCAAACTCCTGACCTCAGGTGATTCACCCGCCTTGGCCTCCCAAAGTGCTAGCATTACAGGTGTGAGCCACTGTGCCCAGTCAAGTCCTACTCCTTAATGTAAATTTTGAAAAATTAATCAACATTCACATTGGAGCTTTACTTGTTTATCAATTGCAATAATAGGTTAGCTTCGGATATAAAGGTTTGGGCAAAAAAAAAAATCAATAAAAACATTCTGTGAGAATCAACTGTCTAGAGGGAATTTACAATAAAGAGTTGTGTATATCATATTATGACAATTATCTGTAAATTGCATGTTACACATCCTATATCAGCAAAATTCATAATAAACTTAAATATGCCTATACCTATATCAAGGCATGTTTTCCCCCAGAGAACCAACTGTTCCCAGCACACCACTGAACTCACTGAACTCACCTCTTTCTCAGGAATAGATAAATACTTCCAATCACAACACTGAAGAGAAAGACAAAGATGAGGGGGCCGATGATAATTTTTGCAATATTTGACGGGACGTCTACTGAAATAGAATAAGAAAATATATGTTTCATATCAATGTGTTTCCAACAAAGTTCACATCAAAAATCACATCCACTCCTGGAATGGGTGGGCCACCCTGTTCCTTCCCTCCCTTGTCCATAAACCTCTCTGCTGCTCTTCCACATCCTGATTTTCCAGCAGTCCCGAAACAGTCCCGTAGGTGCAGTGGGACCAGGCAGTGGGCTCAGAGGTCAGTATTCTGGAAGCACACTCTTCCCCACCCCTGCCCCAAATCACTGCTCATTTCCATCCCTCCCACATCTCAGGCAGTGGATGCAGGACCCTTTTCTGTCAGTTTAATGCTCTGCTGTTGCCCCTCTGAAATGCTTATTCATTTTATTTTAATTTTTATTTATTTACTTATTTTTGTGACAGAGTCTTGCTCTGACACCCAGGCTAGAGTTCAGTGGCACGATCTCGGCTCACTGGAACCTCCTCCTTTCGGGTTCAAGTGATTCTCCTGCCTCAGCCTCCCAAGTAGCTGGGACTACAGGCATGCACCACCACACCCGGCTAATTTTTGTATTTTTAATAGAGACAGGGTTTCACCTTGCTGGCCAGGCTGGCCTCAAACTCCTGACCTCAGGTGATCCTCCCGCCTCAGCCTCCGAAAGTACTGGGATGACAGGCGTGAGCCAACGTGCCCGGCCAAATTCTTAATAATTTTAAAGCAAGGAGTTCTGCATTTTCATTGTTCACTGGGTCTTGCAAATTACATAGCTAGTCCCGATCCCAGCATGACTTTTGACAGATGTAAACTTCTTTTAATTTTTATTTTTTAGAGACAGGGTCTTACTCTGTCACCCAGGCTGGAGTACAGTGGCACAATCACAGTTCACCGCAACCTCAAATTCCTGGGCCCAAGTGATCCCCCTGTCTCAGCCTCCCAAGTACCTGGGATTACAAGCATGCACCACCATAGCTGGCTAATTTTTGTATTTTTTTGTGGAGACAGAGTCTCGCTATGTTGCTCAGGCTGGTCTCTAATGCCTGTCCTCAAGCAATCCTGTTGCCTCAGCCTCCCAAAGTTCTGGGATTACAGGTGTGAGCCACCTCATCTAGCCAAAAAACTCTAGTAACAAAGATGGAGACACTAGCAACAGGTGCCAGGCACTTAACATTTGTGTCATTAAAATGTCCCTCCACCTCCTGAAGTGGTTCTGTTATTATCTCCATGTACAGATGAGGAAGTGCAGGATTGCCAGATAAAGAAAATGTGATACATACACACCATGGAATACTACACAGCCATGAAAAAGAATGAGATCATGTTCTTTGCAGCAACATGAATGGAGCTGGAGGTGATTATCCTAACTGAATTAACACAGGGACAGAAAACCAACTACCTCATGTTCTCACCCATAAGTGAGAGTGAGACACTGACCACACATGGACAGAAAGAAGTGAACAGTAGACACCGGGACTGCTATGGTTTGGATCTGTGTCCCCACCCAAAGCTCTTGTTGAAATGTAATCCCCAATGTTGGAGGAGTGGCCGGGTGGGAGGTGATTGGATCATGGAGGCGGTTTCTAATGGGTTAGCAACATCCCTACTGGGTACTGTATAATAAGTGGGTTCTCATGGGATCTGGTTGTTTAAGAAGTGTGTAGCACCATCTCCCCGTCTTAACACCTTGCTCCCACTTCACCTTCCACCATGATTGAAAGTTTCTTGAGGCTTCCTCAGAAGCTGAGCAGATGCCAGCATCATGGTTCCTGTACTGCCTGCAGAACTGGGAGCCAATTAAACCTCTTTTCTTTATAAATTACTGAGTCCCAGTCTCAGACCTCTTCCTCTTCCTCTCTCTCTTCTCTTCTTTCTTTTTCTTTCTTTTATCTCTCTTTTTCTCTCTTTCTTTCCTTTTCTTTCTTTTTCTTTTTCTTCTCTCTCTCTTTCACTCTTTCTTTCTTTTTTATTTTTTGAGACAGAGTCTCACTCTGTCACCCAGGCTGGAGTGCAGTGGCGTGATGTCGGCTCACTGCAACCTCCGCCTCCCGGGTTCAAGTGATTCTCCTGCCTCAGCCTCCTGAGTAGCTGGGACTGCGGGTGCACACCACTATGCCCAGCTAATTTTTGTATTTTTGGGTAGAGATGGGGTTTCACCATGTTGGTCAGGCTGGTCTCGAACTCCTGACCTCAAGTGATCCGCCCACCTCGGCCTCCCAAAGTGCTGGGATTACAGGTGTGAGCCACTGTGCCCGGCCAGGTATTTCTTTATTGCAGTGTAAGTACAGACTAACACAGGTGCCTACTTGAGAGTGGTGGGTGAGAAGAGGGAAAGGATCAAAAAACGACCTATCAGGTACTATGCTGATTACATGGGTGACAAAATTATCTGTACAGCAAACCCCCAACAACACCCAATTTACTTATTTTATTTTATTTTTTGAGACAGAGTCTCACTGTGTTGCCCAGGCTGGAGTGCAGTGGCACGATCTCGGTTCACTGCAAGCTCTGCTTCCCGGGTTCCTGAGGCTCCTGCCTCAGCCTCCTGAGTAGCTGGGACTACAGGCGCCCGCCACCATGCCTGGCTAATTTATTTTTGTATTTTTAGTAGAGATGGGGTTTCACCATGTTGGCCAGGATGGTCTCGATCTCCTGACCTTGTGATCTGCCCGCCTCGGCCTCCCAAAGTGCTGGGATTACAGGTGTGAGCCACCGTGCCCAGCCACAATTTACTTATATAATGAACTGCACAGGTACCTCTGAAACTTTTTTTTTTTTTTTTAAGTGCAGGATCAGGCCAGGCATGGTGGCTCATGCCTGTAATTCCAGCACTTTGGGAGGCCGAGGCGGGTGGATCACTTGAGGTCAGGAGTTTGAGACCAGCCTGGCCAACATGGTGAAATGCCATCTCTACTAAAAATACAAGAATTAGCCGGGCGTGGTGGTGGGCACCTGTAGTCCCAGCTACTGTGAGGCTGAGGTGGGAGAATCACTTGAACCCGGGAGGCGGAGGCTACAGTGAGCTGAGATTGTGCCAGTGCACTCCAAAGCAAGCCTCCATCTCAAAAAAAAAAAAAGTGCAGGATCAAAGAGGGCAAGCACCGCAGCAGCTGATAGGCCTGAGAGTCAAGGCCAGGGCCAGCACCTGCGGCCTCTCCAAGTCATCCCCTGCAATGTCCCACCATGCTCAGTGCTAAGCACAGCCCCAGTCAGCTGAGGCTGCCATGGAGACTTACAATAGTCTGTCACGTAGAAATAGGTGGGTTCCGTCCAAGAGCCGTTGCCCGCAAGGGAGGTGGCCCGGATTCGCACGCTGTAGTTCCCCGGTGACAGCCCACGCAGCCTGCAGCCCCGTTCCAGAGCGAAGTGCTTGCGGGAGACGCAGAGATGCAGCTCCTGGGAGGAAGAGAGGAGGAGAAGGAGGGTGGCTGAGCTTTGCACATCTGGGAGTGTCCACCCCTCGCAGGGAGCTCACAGCCAGGATCCTGCTCAGAAATGACGCCAAGGCAGCAAAGCACAGACTAAGACACATAAGCGACTTTGAGAATTGCAGAATTTTATAACCATAGTGCTATGGATAAAGATATATGCAGAGGTTATCATTATCGGTAAGAGCCAGACTTCCTAAGCCAGAAGCTGAGCATTAAACCCTGATGGTTTCTTTTCTTTTCCTTTTTTTTTTTTTTCCAGACGGAGTTTCACTCTTGTTGCCCAGGCTGGAGCGCAATGGCTTAATCTCGGCTCACTGCAACCTCTGCCTCCCGGGTTCAAGTGATTCTCCTGCCTCAGCCTCCCGAGTAGCTGGGATTACAGGCGCTCACCACCGCGCCTGCCTAATTTTGTATTTTCAGTAAAGACAGGGTTTTACCATGTTGGCCAGGCTGGTCTCAAACTCCTGACCTCAAGTGATCCGCCCACCTCGGCCTCCCAAAGTGCTGAGATTACAGGCGTGAGCCACAGCTCCCAGCCCTATTATCTATTTTCTATTAATATTAATTTCCATAATATTATCTTTCTAAAAATCATTTGTTTTATTTTTAATTGACAACAGTATTATAGGTCAGGCACAGTGGCTCGTGCCTGTAATCCCAGCCCTATGGGAGGCCGTGAAGGGAGGATTGCTGGAGCCCAGGAGTTAGAGACCAACCTGGGCAACATAGCCAGACCCCATTTCCACAGAAAATAGAACAATTAGCCGGGCACGATGGTTCGCACCTGTAGTCCCAGCTACTCAGGAGGCTAAGGCGGAAGAATCACTTGAGCCCAGGAGGTCAAGGGTGCAGTGAGCTATGAAGGCTCCACCGTACTCCAGCCTGGGTGACAGAGCTAGACCCTGTCTCTAAAATAAATAAACAAAAATAAAAATAATAGTTGTGTACACGTATGGGGTACAGTGTAAAGTTATGTTACAGTATAAATTGTGGAATGATTAAAACAAGCTAATTAAATCCTCATCACTTCATGTACTTATTTCTTTGTTGTGAGAACATTTAAAATCTATTCTTCTAGCCATTTTGCAATATGTGTTATTAGCTATAGTCACCATTCATCTACAGAGCAGTGGATTCCTAGAACGTATTCCTCCCATCTGAAACTTTGCACCCTTTGGTTCACGTCTCTCCTTGTTTTTCCTTTAATCATTTTAAAATGCAAAAGTGGGCAGGGCGTGGTGGCTCATGCCTGTAATCCCAATACTTTGGGAGGCCGAGGTGGGCGGATCACCTGAGGTCAGGAGTTCGAGACCAGCCTGGTCAAGATGGTGAAACCCCCACCTCTACCCAAAATACAAAAATTAGCTGGGCATGGCGGCACACGCCTGTAATCCCAGCTACTTGGAGGGTGAGACAGGAGAATTACTTGAACCCAGGAGGTGGAGGTTGCAGTGAGCCAAGATTGTGCCACTGCACTCCAGCCTGGGTGACAGAGCAAGACTCCATCTCAAAAATAAATACATAAATAAATAAAATGCAAAAGTGACTCCTAGCTCACAAATCATTAGAAATCAGGCAGCAGGCCACATTTAGCCTATGGGATATAGCTTACTGACTGACCCCTGGTTTAAGAGATTATATGGTTTGTCCGAGATCTCATAGCTGCAAAGTGGCAGGGCCAGCTCTTGAACTCAGAACTGTCTGGCTCTACAGCTACTTGGGAGGCTGAGGCAGGAGAATGGCGTGAACCCGGGAGGCGGAGCTTGTAGTGAGCCGAGATCGCGCCACTTAAGTCCAGCCTGGGTGACAGAGCAAGACTCCATCTCAAAAAAAATAAATAAATAAAAAGAAAGAAACTAAAAAAAGAGAACTGTCTGGCTCTAGAACTTCTCCTTAAGACCACTGCAGAATATTTTTGCCATGTATCCAGCAAAATTAGAAAAGAGTGGAAATGAAGGATCTGCAGGGCCTATGCCAGATTTCCTGCCTTTCCCTGCAACTCCCAGCCTCTGTCACATCAGAACCAAATGGATAAATGTGCTTAATGTCTAAGGACAAATAAAAAAGCTCTTTCTTTGCCACGGTGCTGCCTTTCGATTTTTTTTTTTTTAATCATTATAAAAACAGTTGAAGCCCGGGCACGGTGGCTCATGCCTGTAATTCCAGCACTTTCAGGGGCCAAGGCGGGCAGATCACGAGGTCAAGAGATTGAGACCATCCTTGCCAACATGGTGAAACCCCGTCTCCACTAAAAATACAAAAATTAGCCAGTTGTGGTGGTGTGCGCCTGTAATCCCAGCTACTCGAGAGGCTGAGGCAGGAGAATCACTTGAACCCGGGAGGCAGAGTTTGTAGTGAGTCGAGATCGTGACACTGCACTCCAGCCTGGGCAACAGAGCAAGACTGTCTCAAAAAGAAAAAGAAAATGTGGTATACTTTGCCTCAAAAATAAACACATAAAATAAAATAATAAATAAATAAATAAAACAGTTGGGATCCACCCAAATGGAGATTTGCAAAGTGGGAAACATACCCTGTGATAAGCACGTAACTAGAGATAATTCCAGAACTTATGAGAAGAGACAGGAGGCTCTTGGGAATAAGACCATGAAACCTGCAAGCATCGAGCCCAAAACTCTGAAAAGTTTTCGACACAGTTCCAAGCTAATAGTGCATGCAGAGAACCGGGCTGGAACATTTAGGAGGGGGGTGGAGAGTGGAGAAGAGAAAGAAATGTTAAAAAAAAAAAAAAAAAAAAAGCCAACAACCCCATGCTTATCGTGTGACAATAACAGCAAGAAAACAAATCAGTCTGGTGGCAGGGGTGGGGGCAGGGAACTCCAGTCCAAAGTTTCTTCCAAGTGGAATGAGTCACCGAGTAGAGAGGGACAAATAAGCAAATATAGAAACCCAAGGTAGCTGCTATCCAGGACAAAGGGGAAATGCATCTTCTTTTTTTTTTTTTTTTTTTTTTTTTTTGGAGACGGAGTTTCGCTCTTGTCACCCAGGCTGGAGTGCAGTGGCATGATCTTGGCTCACTGCGACCTCCGCCTCCCGAGTTCAAGCGATTCTCCTGCCTCAGCCTCCTGAGTAACTGGGATTATAGGCGTGTGCCACAAAGCGAGACTCCAGCCTGGGCAACAAAGCAAGACTCTGTTTGAAAAAAAAAAAAAAATTATCTGGGCATGGTGGCGGATGGCGGGCCTGGGTGACACACCATGACTCTGTCTCTGAAAAAAAAAATTTTTTTAACGGGAGATACTGAAAATGCAATTAAATAGCTAGAGGTGGCTTTGTTTATGAAACTAGCAAAAGAAAAAAAAAATACCTTCCACCAGCTGGGCACGGTGGTTCACGCCTATAATCCCAGCACTTTGGAAGGCCGAGGCGGGCAGATCACGAGGTCAGGAGTTTGAGACCAGCCTGACCAACATGGTGAAACCTCGTCTCTACTAAAAGACAAAAATTAGCCGGGCGAGGTCGTGGGTTCCTGTAGTCCCAGATACTCAAGAGGCTGAGGGAGGAGAATCACTTGAACCCAGGAAGCGGAGGTTGCAGTGAGCCAAGATCGTACCAATGCACCGTAGCCTGGGCTACAGAGATAGACTCCATCTCAAAAAAAAAAAAGAAAGAATGAAAGAAATGCCAAACTCTTTCCTAAAGCAGCTGTGCCATTTTATGTTCCCACCAGCAATGTATGAGGGTTCCGATTTCTCCTCATCCTCACCGACACTTGTTATTGTCCGTCTGTTTGTTTTTTGCCACGCTCGTGGGCATGAAGTGGTATTGCATCGTGGTCTTGATTTGCATTTTTGTCATGGCTAATTTGGGGCTGAGTTTTGTGTTTTGCCCTGGTACCAGGCTGGGGTTGAGAGTGGGAGGTGAGAGCCACTCAAGGGTGAGGAGCAGATTCCAGAGGAAGTTCGGGGCATTGTTGACAGCAAGAATACAGATTCTGCAGAGTGAACAATGCCCGTTTCCACTGCAGACCCTCCTTGATTTTTTTTCTGCTTCTGTGTCCAACTTGTCCCCATTTGCCCAGAACTTTCTGAGTGTGGACATTGAAAATCTCACATCCCAGGGAGCCCTCAGTCCTGGCTAAACCTAGACAACTGGTCACCCTGTTGGCACTGGATTTAACTCGAATCCTAACTTCTCCTAGCTTCTTCCCATGCCTTTGACTGGCCCGTGTCTCCTGTTCCTGGGACCCAAGGGTCACTATTAGGAATTCCCATCACGAATCCCCAACAGCCTCTGCCCCACACAGCACAACCCCAATCCCACCCAGACCAACTGTGTTCACCCTAGAGAGAAGCAGAGATGGGGGAGAAAATGAAAGGAGAATGTGAGGTTACAGTCACCTTCTTAAGAACCTTTTCATAGACACATTTCTGTTATTGCCAACAATGTCCTTAATTACCTAGCATTGCTTTGATCAAGAAAAAAAGTGATGTAAAACTTTATTTATTTATTTACATATATATATATATATATATTGAGATGGTGTCTCACTCTGTCACCCAGGCTGGAGTGCAGTGGTGTGATCTCGGAATCACTGCAACCTCTGCCTCCCGGGTTCAAGTGATTCTCTTGTCTTAGCCTCCCGAGTAGTTGGGATTACAGGCGTGCACCACCACGCCCGGCTAATTTTTGTATTTTTAGTAGATACGAAGTTTCACCATGCTGGCCAGGCTGGTCTTGAACCCTGACCTCAGGTGATCCACCCACCATGGCCTCTGAAGGTACTAGGATTACAGGCGTGAGCCACTGCTCCTGGCCTAAAACTTTATTTTTATGTGCACAATTTATACTGTTGGAGTGTAATTTTACTCCATTTACAAAATTCTCTCTAGCATGTGGTGGGAGTGAATATTATGGTATGTAAGTTACAGCTCAATAAAGCTGTTTCTAAATTAAAAAAAAAAAAAAAATCCCTCATGCCCAAGCCAATCAGCATACAGCATTCCTCTGGTCACATGATTGGGCACTGGATGTCACATGACCTCAGTCTAGCTGGGAATGCTGGGATGCACTCTGTCTTCCTCTGGGTTTGGCACTGCAAAGAAATGAGGTTTGGAACCACTACAACCACCGGTGGACAACCAGGGGCTACTGGGCTCACTGCCAGGAGCCGTTAAGATGCAACTGACCCAGGCTAGGCATGGTGGCTCACGCCTGTAATCCCAGCACTTTGGGATGCCAAGGTGGGTGGATTACCTGAGGTTAAGAGCTCGAGACCAGCCAGGCCAACATGGTGAAACCTCGTCTCCATTAAAAATACAAATATTAGCTGGGTGTGGTCGTGGGTGCCTGTAATCCCAGCTACTCAGGAGGCTGAGGCAGGAGAATCGCTTAAACAGGGAGGCAGAGGTTGCAGTGAGCTGAGACTGCACCACTGCACTCCAGCCCGGATGACAGGATGACAGAGTGAGTGAGACTCCATCTCAAAAAAAAAAAAAAAAAAAAAAAAAAGATGCAACCGACCCAAAGGAATCCTGGATCCAGCCATGTGAGAAGCTCTTCAGTTGTTCAACTCTGGGAGCTAAGAAGCTTTTCCTCTATCATAAGCTAGTCTGGATACAGGGGGATTCCTTTTTCTTCTTTTTTCTTTTTCTTTTTTTTTTTTTTTGAGATGGAGTCTCACTCTGTCGCCCAGGCTGGAGTGCAGTGGCGTGATCTCGGCTCACTGCAAGCTCCACCTCCTGGGTTCACGCCATTCTCCTGCCTCAGCCTCCCAAGTAGTTGGGACTACAGGCGCCCGCCACCATGCCCGGCTAATTTTTTTGTATTTTTAGTAGAGACGGGGTTTCACCGTGTTAGCCAGGATGGTCTCGATCTCCTGACCTCATGATCCACCCGCCTCAGCCTCCCAAAGTGCTGGGATTACAGGCGTGAGCCACTGCACCCAGCAGATACAGGGGGATTCTTAACTGCTGGGGGATAACAACACAAACGAACTAAACTCCAGAGCATGTAATTTTAACTTCTACATTACACTGAACAAAGGTCATCCCAAACATTTTATCTTATTTTTTTGGAGACAGAGTCTTCTTGCTCTGTCACCCAGTCTGCAGTGTAGTGAGTGAGTCACAGCCCACTATAACCTGGAGCTCCTGAGCTCAAGCAATTCTCTCCTCAGCCTCCCAAGTAGATGGGACTACAGGCATAGACCACCACACCTAGCTAATTTTGAAATTTTTTTTTTGCAGAGATGGGGTCTGGCTGTGTTGCCCAGGCTCAAACTCCTGGCCTCAAGCAATCCTCCCACCTCAGCTTCCTGAGTCACTGGAATTACAGGCATGAGCCACCATGCTTGGCCCCCAAACATCATTTTCAATGGCTCTTCATCCACCAATTCTATGGATGCACCGTCTTCCATGTGTCCATTCTCCAATGGATGGACATCTTAGTGGTTTGCATATTTTGCTACTGATGAAAATCTTATGCATAGAGCTTTGTTCCCTGCCCCAAATTTGAATTATTTCCTTAGGACCTACAGGATTAATACATATAGGATAATATATTAATAAACTTTGCAATTATGGCCCCCAGGGAATCATGACTTTCTGTGTCTATGAGACTCTGGAAGCCTCAGTATCCAGCTCACTGAGATACTCAGAGGATGTATTGTACTTCCTCATTCTGGGCTTAGCCATGGGCTCACTTTGCCAAAGGGACACTAGCAAATGTGATGCAAACAGAGTCCTAAGAAGTGTTTGTATATGGGGCATGTCCTTCCTTGCCTGGGCTAGCTCACTGGGCAGTGAGAGAACACATGAGGACAAAGCTCCAAGTGCCCCCAGCTGAGGCCCCAGCCATGTGAATGAGGCCATCCAGCCCCAGCCAAACTGGCCCAGGACAAAGGAATCACCCAGTGAACCTGCAGAATTGAGAGAAAGAATAAATGTCCTTTGTTTTAAACCAGTACCTTTGGGGGCAGTTTGTTACGCAGCAAGAACTGACTGAAACAATAACTAAAGCTGTCAATCCAAAAAGCTAAAATGGTTTCCAGATAAAATTAGTATTACCTAACATGGTAAAAACCAGAGGCAATCCAAATCCCCAAAAATAAATGATACCCCAATCATGAGATTAAATTCTATCTAGCAACTACAAATCATAATTCCAAAGGCTATTGTGGACAGAGACATCAAAAGGCAGAGGAAAGTAACTCATGAATATGGATTAGAGGCATATGCACGTTTCTGCCAATTAAAAACTAGCTGAGCTCTGTATGATAAGGAATTTTATTTTAAAAATGAATATTAAAAAAGGCAAATCAAGCCATTCATTTAGCAATTTTATTTTAAAAATGAATGTTAAAAAAGGCAAATCAAGCCATTCATTTAGCAAACAGGGCCCCAAAATAGGCCCAGAATGACAAGTTCAGTAAGGACACTTTCTATTTTTGAAAGTTTACTTTTTCTGTGAAGCTGTGAAGGGCCACATATAGTCTCTGTTGCGTATTCTTTTTTTTTTTTTTTTTTTTGAGACAGAGTCTTGTTCTGTCGCCCAGGCTGGAGTGCAGTGGCACGATCTTGGCTCACTGCAACCTTTGCGTCCCGGGTTCAAGCAATTCTCCCTGCTTCAGCATCCCGAGGAGCAGCTGGGATTATAGGCGCCCACCATTACGTCCAGCTAATTTCTGTATTTTTAGCAGAGACGGAGTTTCGCCATGTTGGCCAGGCTGGTCTTGAACTCCTGACCTCAACCCTGTTGCACATTCTTTACAATGCTCTGCAAGCCAGATTTGGCCCACAAGCCACAATAATTTAGAATTAGATCTCAATTGTAAATTATTGTCAAAGCCAAAATCTTTGGTTGCCAAGAGTAGATGTGGTCCCAGGAGGGGTAGAGGGAGGTCCACCTGGTTATAGGAGGACTCCCTCTCAAAGTTCCAGGAAATCAGACATTTTGCTGTAATCTCTGTTAGTTGTTGGCAAACTCTGGCCCACCAACTAAACCTGGTCCACCACGTGTTTTTGTAAATAAAGTTTTATTGGTACACAACCACATCCATTCATTTACATATCACCCATGGCAGCTTTCTCAGTAGAATGGTGGAATTGAGTAGTTGTAACAGAAATCATCTGGCCACGGAGTCAAACATGTTTACTATCCAGACCTTTATGGTAAAAAAAATTTGGCAGTTTCTGGATTGAAATATCAGTCATGCATTTGGATCATGATTCTATTCTTCCAGGTTTTGTGCAGCAACTTAAACTCTGGAAGCCTCAGTACCCAGCTCACTGGGATAATGTGAGGACGTATTGTACTTCCTCAGTCCCAAGAGGTATATTATTTTTGCATTTTGGCATTTCTGAAATTGGAATGCATCTTACAAGCAATGCATTTTACAAACACTTAACAGTACTCAGGATCTATATTCTACGAAAAAAATAAAATTAGAATTAACGGCCCTTTTTTTTTTTTTGCCTAGCTGTCCATAAAAATAATGGGGCCTCTCAAAATTTCCTAGAGGTAATAAAATGTGATCAATGAGATACTCTGTGTAACGTGCTGAATGTGTTTGGGACATACAGTGAGCCCTGGGAAGAGCTTAGCAACTGTTTGGGTTCTTTTGGGTTATTTGTCTTGGATTCTATGTCTTGTGCATCTCTGCACTCACCCAGCACCTTGCATGGTGTCTGGCTCAATGGAAGCATCTAATGAAAGTAACTTATAAGGTTTTTGTTGTTGCTGTTTTTGAGACAGAGTCTCACTCTGTCACCCAGGCTGGAGCGCAATGGTGCAATCTCTGCTCACTGCAACCTCCACCTCCTGGCTTCAAGTGATTCTCCTGCCTCAGCTTCCCACCTTGGCCTCCTGAGTAGCTGGGATTACAGGCACCCACCACCACGCCTGGCTAATTTTTGTATTTTTGTAGAGATGGGGTTTCACCATGTTGGCCAGGCTGGTCTCAAACTCCTGGCCTCAAGTGATCTGCCTGCCTCGGCCTCCCAAAGTGCTTGGATTACAGGTGTGAGCCACTGTACCCAGCAATTTATAAGGTTTTAAGACTCAAATAACTCCTTCTAAAGTGAAATGAGTCTCCTGTTGTGGTGGGAGGCAGACATCATTCAACTTAGAGGACACAGCTGGAAAGCAATGTGAGAAACTAAGAAAAGTAACAAGCTGGTAGATTGGCATTTCTGACCCATCTTCCTGCGAAGTCAGGTATCAAGGCTTTAAGTACTAATAGCACAGTACCTGATGAGAGAAGCACTGGAATCAAAATTTCAGCAGAGGAAGGAGGTACCAAGTGCAACTCTGAAGGGGCATGCTGAAGTGTGCAGGGGCATGCCCAAGAGTCAAGGGCCTTACCTCATCACCATATCGCCGATAACTCACTTCATACAGCACGATCAGACCATTGGGCTCCTTCGGCTCCTGCCACATCAAGTGGACGACGTTGTTCTCAAAGATTTCATGCGTCACAGGGCCAACAATGTCATCAGCCTTGGCTGTAAGGAGAGGAAGTGAGAGGCAGGGATGTAACTCTTGGATGAGATCCCACTTCTGCCACCTGTCCATGGTGCAACCTTGGGCTGGTGACGTCATTTTCCCACAACCCATTTTCCTCGTCAGAGAACGGACATCTAAAACTCATCCCACAAGATTGTTAGGAAGATTAAATGGGTTACTTTCTGCGTATAACTTTTTTTTTTTTTTGAGACAGAGTCTTGCTCTGTCACCCAGGCGGGAGTGCAGTGGTGTATTTTCTAAAGTTTACATAATGATTGCCTATGACTCATAATTTTAAAATATGACCTGGCATGGTGGCTCATGCCTGTAATCCCAGCACTTTGGGAGCTCAAGGTTGGCGGACCACTTGAGCTCAGGCATTGGAGACCAGCCTGGGCAACATGGTGGAACCATCTCTACTGAAAATACAGGTGTGGTGGCACACGCATGTAGTCCCAGCTACTCAGGAGGCTGAGGCAGGAGAATTGCTTGAACCAGGGAGGCGGAGATTGCAGTGAGCCAAGATTGCGCCATTGTACTCCAGCCTGGGCGACAGAGCAAGACTTCATCTCAAAAAAAAAAAAAAAAAAAAAAAAGGCCAGGTTCGGTGCTCATGCCTGTAATCCCAGCACTTTGAGAGGCCGATGTGGGTGGATCACTTGAGCCCAGGAGTTCAAGACCAGCCTGGGCAATATGGTGAAACCCCATCTCTACTAAAAATACAAAAATTAGCTGGGCGTGGTGGCAGACACCTGTAGTCCCAGCTACTTGGGAGGCTGAAGCAGGGAATCACTTGACATAGGTGGCAGAGGCTGGAGTGAGCTGAGGTCGCACCACTGTACTCCAGCCTGGGCGACAGAGCAAGGCTCCGTCTCAAACAAAAATGAAGGCCAATAAGGTAAAATACAGATATGCACTGCTTAGAGGGTGGAGAATCTGTCCTTGGTCAGCCTTGATGTCCCACCCATGACACTCGGACCCCGGAGCAGCAGCCCTACCTTCAGGCATGGTCCTCGCACTGACGTAGGCTGCCACACTGCACCGTTCCTCAGGGGTGTCCTGGTTGCAAGCCTGCAGCTCGATGCGATAGCCCGTGAAGTGTCGCAAGCCGGAGATGACCAGCGACTCCTTGTTCACCACCTTCTCAAAAGGCCTGTGCTCCTCCGGACTCGTGGGCACGCTGGTCGAGGAAGTGTTGGGGAAAGCTGCCACCGTGGGCACGGCCACCGTCACATTCCCAACATCGCCAAGGGACCTGCGTTTCCGAGATGGCCTGGAACGACAGTAGGACATGTATGATGACACCATCACCATCATTTTTTTTAAAAAAGTGACACTGGAGAATAAAAGGCTTGATTAAGAAGAAAGATCAGAGCGCAGGAGGGTGCAGCAATGGGGAACATGGATTACAATACAGACTGCCAGGAATGACCACTCAGAGCAGCTTTCAATATACCCTTGTGAGCATCTGAAGGATTAGAGCAGGCCCACCTCGTGAGGGATGAGTGCTTCTAAGACCGTCAATGGTAGACACACACCGATATTCCCCTCGACATGCTCGATTTCAGGTTTTTCATTTTGCAGATAAATAGGCCAGCCAGGGTCAGTGACAAAAATAAGACACCAAAAGCACGTAAGAGTCTAGCTTTTCAGGAAGCCCTGCCAAATGGCATTTGCTCATTGGCCCAAGCTACTGATCGACATCATCAGTTTAAATAGGAAAAAATACATCTTTTCCTTCTTATTGCTGCTTAGGGCACCTGTATAATTTGAGTGATTAAGCTGCAATTCTTAGAAAAGGAATCACATCACTCAGGTCAGGAAGATTAACTCCAAGAAACATCTATGCAATTGGCACACTTCTCCCCATCCCTTAAGAAGACATATTAAACAACAAAGGTTGATAGCTAACAAATTTTAAAATACAAAGAAAAAAGGATAAAGAAGAAAATGTAGGCTGGGCGAGGTGGCTCATGCCTATAATCCCAGTACTTTGGGAGGCCAAGGCGGGCAGATAACCTGAGGTTAGGAGTTCAAGACCAGTCTGGCCAACATGGGGAAACCCCGTCTCTACTAAAAATACAAAAATTAGCCGAGCCTGATGGTGCACAGCTTTAATCCCAGCTACTCAGGAGGCTGAGGCAAGAGAATTGCTTGAACCCGGGAGGCGGAGGTTGCAGTGAGCTGAGATCGTGTCACTGCACTCCAGCCTGGGCGACAGAGTGAGACTCTGTCTCAAAAAAAAAAAAAAGAAAAGAAAATATAAATCACTCATAAATCCACAGCCCACTGCTTCCTTTGGACAATTTTTTCCCTGTAAATATTATGTGTGAACATGATGAGGATCAAGCCTGTTTTATAAGTAAACTTTGTCTACTTATTATATTGGAAGCATTTACTAAATATTTTCCTTTCAACATAACATTTTAGGAGAGAATTTTGGGACTTTTCCTTTTTAATATTAGGGTTTTCCTCCATCATCTACAAAAGTAGCATGTGTTCCCTGCAGAAAACTTGGAAAACGATGAATGACTGTAAAATATTCCATTTGCTACGTGAGTCGTCACTCACTTAACCATCCTCCTTATTTATTTATTTATTTTGAGACAGAGTTTCACTCTTGTCGCCCAGGCTGGAGTGCGACGGCGTGATCTTGGCTCACTGCAACCTCCGCCTCCTGAGTTCATGCGATTCTCCTGCCTCAGCCTCCTGAGTAGCTGGGATTACAGGAGTCCGCCACCATGCCCAGCTAATTTTTGTATTTTTAGTAGAGACGGAGTTTCGCCATGTTGGCCAGGCTGGTCTCAAACTCCTGACCTCAGGTGATCTGCCCACCTCAGCCTCCCAAAGTGCCAGGATTACAGGCATGAGCCACCGCACATGGCTCTTTTTTTTTTTTTTTGCTGTTATAAATATTCCTTTGATCATTGTCTGATTGTCTTATTACTTCCCCAAAGTAGATTCCTAGAGGAAAATATTACTAGGTTCAGGGAGATAAGAAACTCTTTAAGCTTCTTAATACCTACAGCTAAATGGTTGTCCAGAAACTCTATATTGACTTGTGGTTGCACCAGCAGGCCATGAGACTGCATTCCAGGACAATCTCAGCAACCCCTAAGCCTTAATAGTTTTTTTTTTTCTTTCTATGTTTGTTTGTCTAGATCTTTAACCCAAGAGATTAAAAATATGCTATCACTCGACTACGTTATTTGCGGATCTTTATATTACTGAGTGTGACTTCATTTTTCCTTTATTGGTTCTCTGTGATTCTCCAAAGAATTGTCCCCTCCTTGTCTTTTGTCTGTTTTTCCATGAATTTCTTGTGTTTTCCTTACTCCTGTGTTGTTTATTCATTAAGGATATTAACCTTTTATGTATCGTGCTATACAACTTACTCTTTTCCATTTGCCAGTAAGCTTTCTTTAAATGATTTGAAACAGGCTTTCATGTTTATTTGTACAATTTAATATATCAGTAACACTTTAAAACGTGTTCCTTTATAAGTCATTCTAGATGGGGTTATTATGAGTTGTGCTAAGGTTTTACGGCAATTTTGAAAGGGATCTTTTCCCTTATTTTATATTCTAATTATTGCTTGTGTATCTACAGTCTTTTTGCTTATTTCTATGTACCTACTTTCCCAAACTCTAACTCATTTAAAAAGTTTCATAATTGGCTTTCCTGGGTTTTCAATGACACACTAGAAGAGGGGTCAACAAAATTTTCCCGTAAAGGGCTAGATAATAAATATTTTGGGTTTTGCAAGCCAAATGACCTCTGTCACAACTACTCTGTCATTGTAGCTTAAAGCAGCCCTACATGATGTGTAAACAAGTGGGTGGGGTTGCATTCCAATAAGAGTTCATTTACAAAAACAGGCAGCTAGCCCATGGGCCATAGTTTGCCTACCCTTGAGCTAGACGCTCTGCAAATAGCAATGACTTTATTTCCCACATTCCATTCTTTACAACTCTGATTTCTGTTTCTTGTCTTATTACATTGGCTGGATGCCCAGAGAAATGTTAATTAGTAATGATGAGATGGGGCTTCCTTGTTTTGTTCCTAACTCTGCTAAGAATAATTTTAAGAATGATGTTAGCTTGGCTGTTGGTTTAACCTAGGTAATATTTATCTTGTAGAAGAAATATTCTATTATGAGTTTTATGAAGCCTCTTTTTTTCCTCCCCTTTCTCTAAGTTAGGAATTTTAAATTAAGGTTATTGAAACAGATATGATCTTCCTTATTGCACCTCTTGATGAACTAGATGATGTTATCAAATCTTCTGATCTTAAACCATCCTTGCATTTTGGAGATAAACAATATTGCCAGTGCAGTGTTTTATTTGGGACATTTGAATCTAACATCACATATTAGCTTGGCCTGTGGCTTTTGTTCAGTGCAGTATCTTTGTCAAGTTCTTTTTTTTTTTTTTTTTTTTTTGAGACAGAGTTTTGCTCTGTTGCCAGGCTGGAGTGTGCAATGGCGCAACCTCGGTTCACTGCAACCTCTGCCTCCCAGGTTCAAGCGATTCTCCTGGCTCAGCCTCCCAAGTAGCTGGGATTACAGGCGTGTGCCACCATGTCTGGCTAATTTTTGTATTGTTAGTAGAGACAGTGTTTCACCATGTTGACCAGAATGTTCTCAATCTCTTGACCTTGTGATCCGCCCCCCACCTCAGCCTCCCAAAGTACTGGGATTACAGGCATGAGCCACCATGCTCAACCTCTTTGTCAAGTTCTTTAAGGGTGTTATGTTCATTTCATAAAATGAACTGGGATAACTTTTATAGATTTCTGTGCCCTAAAATAGTTTTTCTATTATAGGAAATAGTTGCTCTCTCACAATTTGAAAGAACGTGTCTATAAAACTCTCTGGGCCAAGGGACTTTTTTGAGGAAATTATTTGACACATATCTTTTTCCAAGGTTCATAACCACTTAATTTTTCTGCTTCTTTTTGAATCCATTTAGACAAGTTAAATTTTCCCACCTTACTGAAACTTTCAAATTTAGCAAGTGCACCATTGTCCAAAGAACTTAACACATTAAAATTTTCTTCAGACGCTAGTTTTATGTCATCTTCTTTCCTTCTGGTTTGTGTTTTCCCTTTGATTATGTTTACCATAGGCTTAGCTGTTATTGCTTTTCCCTTCCTAACACATTTATAGTTTTATAGTTTAAAGTTTATTTCTTAATTTATCAATCCATTTAAGTCTGCTAAGTAACATCAAAGCCAAGCTTTGACAATATTCTACAAGTTAAGGTATGTGATATTCACATTTTCATTATTTTCCAAAAGGACTTCAATGGAAGTTTCCATTTCTGCTTTGGCCCGATAGATATGTAAGTGTTTAACTTTTTAACTTTTTTTTTTTTTAGACAGAGTCTCGCTCTGTTGCCCAGGCTGGAGGGCAGTGGCGTGATCTCGGCTCACTGCAACCTCCACCTCCCAGGTTCAAGTGATTCTTCTGCCTCAGTCTCCTGAGTAGCTGGGACTACAGGCGCACGTTACCACATCTGGCTAATTTTTGTATTTTTAGTAGAGAAGGGGTTTCACCATATTGGCCAGGCTGGTCTCAAACTCCTGACCTCAGGTGATCCGCCTGCCTGGGCCTCCCAAAGTGCTGCGATTACAGGTGTGAGTCACTGCGCCCAGCCTGTAAGTGTTTAACTTTTAACCACCAAGAAGTGAAGTTTTCTGTTTAATCTTTTGAAATTAACTTTTAGTTTCTATTGCAGCGTCATCAGAAAATGTGTGGTCAGAAAACAAATCCTACTTTGGGGGCATTTCTTAAGATTCTCTTTATGGTCTTTTTGTATTAAAAGACTAACAACATTGTAGAATGGAAAAGAAAACAGCTCCACCACTTATCAAGCCAAAGATATGTCCGTATTAGCAAGATTCAGATAATTTCTATACAGGCACAAATGGGTCTCGTGAAAATAACCAAGACGTTGGTGCTTCATGAGTAACTACTGAGAAATTGGTATCTCAACAACCAGAGATGTAAAATGGGCTCATCAAACAGGCCAAATGAGTTTATATACCAAAAAGATTATAACCAAAAAGACCATGAAGTGGCAAAAGACAAAGCATCAACTGATTTTTTTTTTTGAGACAGAGTCTTGCTCTGTTGCCCAGGCTGGAGTGCAGTGGTGTGATCTTGGCTCACTGTAACTTCCAATTTCTGGGTTCAAGCGATTCTCCTGCCTCAGCCTCCCAAGTAGCTGGGATTACAGGCGTGCATCATCATGCCCGGCTAATTTTTGTATTTTTAGTAGAGACGGGGTTTCGCCATGTTGCCCAGGCTGGTTTCAAACTCTTGACCTCAGGTGATCTGCCTGCCTGGGCCTCCCAAAGTGCTGGGATTACAGGCATCAGGCATGAGCCACAGCACCTGGCCTAGGCAGCATTTTATTATCCAGCAATCCCACACTAACCTGGTCATCTCAACCAAGGGTCCTTCTGACCCCATCACCCAGGGGGATATTTAGCAATGTCTGAAGATATTTTTGGTTATTACTACTTTAGGGGGAAGACACACTACTGGCATCAGATGAGTGGAAGCCAGGGATGCTTCTCAGTGTTGTTGGACAGTGCCCTAGAATAATCTGACCCCAAATATTATTTATTATTATTATTAGTATTATGTATTTATTCTTTTTTTTTTTTTTTTTTGAGACAGAGTCTCGCTCTGTCACCCAGGCTGGAATGCAGTGGCGAGATCTCGGCTCACCGCAACCTCCGCCTCCAGAAATCAAGTGATTCTCCTGCCTCGGCCTCCCAAGTAGCTGGGACTACAGGCGTGTGTCACCATGCCCGGCTAATTTTTATATTTCTTGTAGTAACGGGGTTTCACCATCTTGGTCAGGCTGGTCTCGAACTCCTGGCCTCAAGTGATTGCCCCGCCTGGGCCTCTCAAAGTGTTGGGATTACAGGCGTGAGCTACCAAGTCCAGCTGTGGCCCCAAATATTATTTTATTTTTATTTTTTTTGAGACGGAGTCTCGCTCTGTGGCCCAGGCTGGAGTGCAGTGGCACGATCTTGGCTCACTGCAAGCTCCGCGTCCCAGGTTCACGCCATTCTCCTGCCTCAGCCTCCCGAGTAGCTGGGACTACAGGCGTGTGTCACCACGCCCGGCTAATTTTTATGTTTCTTGTAGTAACGGGGTTTCACCATCTTGGTCAGGCTGGTCTCGAACTCCTGGCCTCAAGTGATTGCCCCGCCTGGGGTAGCTGCGTCACCACGCCCAGCTAATTTCTTGTATTTTTAGTAGTGACGGGGTTTCACCGTGTTAGCCAGGATGGTCTCGATCTTCTGATCTCATGATCCGCCCGCCTCGGCCTCCCAAAGTGCTGGGATTACAGGCGTGAGCCACCCGAATATTATTAATAGCAGGACTGAGATTGAGATCTGCTTTGGACCAAGCCCGTACATTTTTAGACCCTTCTTGGCTACAGTTAGTATTGCAAATGGCCACTAGAGGGCAGATCAGGCCACACAGGTGCCTGGGAAAAAATAAATAAATAAACACTCTGCTAAAGGAAGAAAATCTCTCCAAGTGGTCCCAACTTGCCTCTTTAGTCTCACCTCCTGTTCCTCCCAAAAGCCACGACAGGTAAACATCTCCTTGCCTTTCTCCCAAGTTCTCCAAGCTTTTTCTCTCTCCCAGGACCATACTGCTTCATTCTCTTAAGACTCAAGTTGAAAAGAAACGTCCCTGGCCAGGGGCGGTGGCTCACGCCTGTAATTCCAGCACTTTGGGAGGCCGAGGCGGGCGGATCGCCTGAGGTCGGGAGATCGAGACCAGCCTGACCAACATGGAGAAACCCTGTCTCTACTAAAAGTACAAAAATTAGCCGGGCGTGGTGGCGCATGCCTGTAATCCCAGCTACTCAGGAGGCTGAGGCAGGAGAATTGCTTGAACCCGGGAGGTGGAGGTTGTGGAGAGCCGAGATCGCACCACTGCACTCTAGCCTGGGCAACAAGAGTGAAATTCCATCCAAAAAAAAAAGAAGAAGGAAAGAAGGAAGGGAGGGAGGGACGGACGGAGGGAGAGAGGGAGGGAATAAAGAAAAGAAAAGAAAGAAGGAAAGAAAGAAAGAAGGAAAAAAAGAAAGAAGGAAGGAAGGAAGGAAGGAAGGAAGGAAGGAAGGAAGGAAGGAAGGAAGAGATCCCTGACTCTCCTCCGTGGAATTCAGTGAGCGACACGGTGTTCTTTTGTTCATACCCTGTCGCCCTTTCATGAAAATATTCTGTTTCCAGATCAACCTCCATTCATGGTGTAGGAGCTGCTGGGTCGGGGCACCCAGCCGCGGGGAGCTCAGACTCCGGGGACCCCCACCCACCTCTGCAAATGCACGCGGGAGGTGCAGAGATGTTTAGTGAGCAAACAGTGGCTGCAAACAGAAGGCAGGGAGGGGGTACCCAGGAAGCACTCCCATGATTCTATGTTTTAGCAAGAGTGTGTTAGTGAAGGTTTCTCCCCACATTCATGCCCAGATTTCATTTCAGAGTGAAGGCATTGGATTTCTGAATTGGTGAAGCATCTGCTCTCCAGCACAGCTGCCCGCCGCATGCAAAAAGCCACAGAAACCCCTGGGTTCTCCGAGGCATCTGCCTGGCACGCCGCCGGCCCTGCGCGGAGCAGGCACCAGGGGTCGCACAGGTGAGTCATACCTAGGGTCCTCGGCACCAGTGCCTGAAGAGGTTTTTCTGTGGAAACAAAACCAACGCCTTTGAGGACAGAGGGAACTTCATTAGACAGACCACTGGGCTCTGACACTTGGAGGCCACATGTGTCCGAGTAAGGGCACCCTGGCTTTGACCCTGGACCACTCGCTCCCATCACTTGCTAGACGGAGTGAGCTACATCTTCCCCAGCAGGTGCAGGGGTCCAGCAAGGGAAGGGGAAGAAATCAGAGAAAATTCTCCCCAGAGACGGCCTGCTGAGGTGGCCCTGGGATGTCAAACGTGACTACATGTGGACATCACAACTGACTCAGCCACTTCTCCAAGTCTGGCAGAATTTTTCTTTTCTTTCCCTTCTTTCTTCTTTCTCTCTCTCTTTCTGGTTTCTTTCCTCTTTCTCCTTTTCTTTTCTCTTTCTCTTTTCTCTCTCCCTCTCTCTCCTTCCTTCCTTCTTTCCTCTTTTACTTTCTTTCTCTCTTTTTCCCTCTTTCCTTCCTTCATTTGCTTTCTTTCTCTTTCCTTCCTTCTTTTTTTCATTTTCTTTCTCTTTCTTTTCTTTCTTTTCCTTTTTTCCTTCCTTCCTTCCCTCCTCTCTCCCTCCCTTGCCCCCTTCCTTTCTCTGTCCTTTCTTTCTCTCTTTCCTTTCTTTCTTTCTCTTTCTTTCTTTCTTTCTTTCTTTCTTTCTTTCTTTCTTTCTTTCTTTTTCTTTCTCTCTTCCTTCCTTCCTCTTTCCCTCCCTCCCTCCATTCCTTTCTTTCTTTCTTTTTTTCCCTTCCTTCCTTTTTGAGACAGGGTCTTGCTCTGTTGCCCAGGCTGGAGTGCAATGGTGCCATCATAGCTCACAGCAGCCTCCAACTCCTGTGCTCCAGCAATTCTCCCGCCTCAGCCTCCGGAGTAGCTGGGACTACAAGGCATGCACCAACATGTCTGGCTATTTTTTTTTTTTTTTTCCTTTTTTAGTAGAGATAGGGTCTCACTCTGTTGCTCAGGCTGGTCTCCACCTTTGGCCTCAACTGATTCTCCCACTTCGGCCTCCCAAAGTGCTGGGATTACACGAGTGAGCCACTGTGCCTAGCCAACATTTTGTTTGTAACAGGTGAAACAGTAACCACTTTGAAGCCTTGGCTGTCCCCCTGAACATTCTTTTGGACTCAGGGTCATAGGGGAAACATGCAACAAAAAAAGAAAAAGAAAAGAAAAAAAAAAAAGAGGATTCTTACACACTGGTGGTTCTGGGAGAAAAGTCTGCTCGGATGAATAGCATTGGTAAACATCTGAACAGATACTTTTAATTTTTTTTTAGAGACAGGGTCTCACTCTGTCACCCAGGCTGGAGCGCAGTGGCGCCATCATCGCTTATCGTAGCCTCCATCTCCTGGCCTCTTGTGATCCTTCTTTCTCAGCCTCCCCATGGGCTAGGAGTTCAGACATGCATTACCATGCCTGACTAATTTTTAAACTGTTTTTTTTTTTTTTTGGTAGCGATGGGGTCTCATTATGTTGCCCAGGCTGGCCTCAAGCAACCCTACCACCTCGGCTTCCCAACTAGCTGGGACCACAGGCTTACACCACTGCGCTCAGCTAAAGCCTCAATAATCACGGCCAGGCACGGTGGCTCACACCTATAATCCCAGCACTCTGGGAGGCCGAGGCAGGCAGATCACCTGAGGTCAGGGGTTAGAGACCAGCCTAGCCAACATGGCAAAACCCCGTCTCTACTAAAAATATAAAAATTAGCTGGGCGTGGTGCTGCGCACCTGTAGTCCCAGCTACTTGGGAGGCTGAGGCACAAGAATCACTCGAACCCGGAAAGGGTGAGCTGAAATCGCACCACCGCACTCCAGCCTGGACGATAGAGTGAGACTCTGTCAAAAAAAAAAAAAAAAGAGAGAGAGAGAAAAAAAAAAATGTTAATCGTCTAACGGAGTTTGTTTTGGAACTCACGTGGAGACCAGCTCAGGAGAGGTAAGAAAGGCAAATGCTGAGTTTTGTCCATTTTTCCCCTTTTGTGCGATTATTTGCTCTTCCTGATAAAATTCCCCTCGAAATTTCGAAACTGCAAGATCTCTTCCTCCACCCAGGAAAGGGCTCCATTCAGACTCCACCCACCCTTCTGCCGTCTCTGGGTCCCACTACCTCTCGGTCCCTAAGTAATGACCTTCCACCAACACCAAGCCAATTGGCACCCACTAAGAGAGCCCAGCGCCAAGTCCTGACCTGGGGACGAAAACCACGTTGTGCAGGTAATCCTCAAACGTCTTCCTAAACGAGGACTCCTCCAGCTCCTTCAGGATCTGAGAGTCTGTCTTTGGACAGGAGCAGCATTCGCCGGCCGAATCCTCATACTCACTCTGGTTGTGCTTCTGAGAATCTTCAGACTCGAATGGTGGAGACCAGGTCCTCGAGGGCAGCTTCAGCCCTGGAGAAAGAAACAGAAAAGGGGGGCTCAAGTCTCTGCGGCTGAACACACATACACACACACACACACCCCACACACACACACACCACACACACACACCACACACACACACACCACACACCCCCCCACACACACACACCACACACATCACACAACACACCACACATACACACACCACAAACACACAACCACACACACACACCACACACCACACACACCACACAACACACCACACATACACACACCACAAACACACAACCACACACACACCACACACACCACACACCACACACACGCACCACACACACACCATACACGCACCACACACACACTACATGCACACCTCACACACCACACCACACACCGCACACACACCACACAAATCACACACACACCACACACACCCACGCCACACACCACAGACCACACACCACACACCCCACACACACCATACACGCACCACACACACACCACATACACACTTCACACACACCACACACCACACAAATCACACACACCACCACACCCACGCCACACACCACACACACACCACACACGCACCACACACACACACAGTGAAGGGGGCCTTCTCAGAGAGGCTGAGCTGAGACAGAGCCTAGATTTGAGCTCCGCTTTGGAAAAAAGCCAGACACTATGGTTCACGCCTGTGGTCCCAGCTACTTGGGAGGCTCAGGTGAGAGGATCGCTTGAGCCCAGGAGTTCGAGGCTGCAGTGAGCTATGATTGCACCCCTACACTTCAGCCTGGGTGACAGAGTAGAACCCTGTCTCAAAAGATTAAAAATATAGCCGAGCACAGTGGCTCACACCCTTAATCCTGGCACTTTCGGAGGCCGAGGTGTGAGGATCACGTGAGCCCAGGAGTTCAAGACCAGCCTGGGCAATGTGGTGAAACCCTGTCTCTACTAAAAATAAAGTAAAATAACCAATAAAAATAGGCCAGGCAGCTCACACCTGTAATCCCAGCACTTTGGGAGGCTGAGGTAGGCAGACCACCTGAGGTCAGGAGTTCGAGACCAGCCTGGCCAACATGGTGAAACCCCGTCTTTACTAAAAATACAAAAATTAGCCAGGTGTAGTGGCGCATGCCTGTAATCCCAGCTACTCAGGAGGTCGAGGCAGGAGAATCGCTTGAACCTGGGAGGTGGAGGTTGCAGTGAGCTGAGATGGCACCACTGCACTCCAGCCTGGGTGACAGAGCGAGACTCCGTCTCAAAAAAATAATAAATAAATAAATAAAATATCTGTATCTAGAGTGTCATCTGAGAAGTGCATGTCAACATGTTTTATTAGTTTAGTGCATAAGTAATTGCAGCTTTTGCTATTAAAAGTAATGGCAAAAAACCACAATTACTTTTTTTTTTTTTTTTTTTTGAGATGGAGTCTCGTTCTGTTACCCAGGCTGGAGTGCAGTGGCGCGATCTTGGCTCACTGCAAGCTCCACCGCTTGGGTTCATGGCATTCTCCTGCCTCAGCCTCCTGAGTAGCTGGGACTACAGGCGGCCGCTGCCACGCCCGGCTAATTTGTTGTATTTTTAGTAGAGATGGGGTTTCATTGTGTTAGCCAGGATGGTCTCGATCTCCTGACCTCGTGATCTGCCCGCCTTGGCCTCCCAAAGTGCTGGGATTACAGGCGTGAGCCACTGCACCCGGCCCACAATTACTTTTGCACCAACCTAATAGAAACTGCCAGGTGGCTGGGCGCGGTGGCTCACTCCTGTAATCCCAGCACTTTGGGAGGCCGAGGCGGGCAGATCACCTGAGGTCAGGAGGTCCGGACCATCCTAGCCAACATGGCGAAACCCCGTCTCTACTCAAAATACAAAAGTTAGCCGGGCGTGGTGGTGGGTGCCTGTAATCCCAGCTACTCAGGAGGCTGAGGCAGGAGGATTGTTTGAACCCGGGAAGCAGAGGTTGCAGTGAGCCGAGATTGAGCCATTGCACTCCAGCCTAGGCGACAACAGCGAGACTCTGTCTCAAAAAAAGGCAACAACTGCCCGACACCATAATCACAGGACTGAAGATTATAAGGTAACCAGACAATGCTTCTGTCTTCAGTGGACTTACAGTCTACAATAAACTCATAAATACACAGTCACAGGTCAGATGTTGGGGTAAAAGAACAGTGGGTGTCTGCGGGTGCCATTTTCATGAAGGGGTCTCAAAGAAAGTCACCACTGAGACATCCTGAATTCAGCAAAGGAAAGCACCATCCACATATCGTGGTGTAAAGCAATTCAGACATAGCAGAAACCCAGCAGAAAGGCCCCAGGACAGGAATTTTCTTGGCACATTAAAAAACGTCTGGCCAGGCGTGGTGGCCCTCTCCTGTAATCCCAGCACTTTGGGAAGCCGAGGCAGGAGGATCACTTGAGGTCAGGAGTTCGAGACCAGCCTGGCCAACATATAGTGAAACGCTGTCTCTACTAAAAAATCCAAAAATCAGCTGCACGTGGTGGCACATGCCTGTAGTCCCAGCTACTTGGGAGGCTGAGGCAGGAGAATCACTTGAACCTGGAAGGCGGAGGTTGCATTGAGCCAAGATTGCGCCACTGCACTCCAGCCTGGGTGACAGAGGAAGCATTCCATCTCTCAAAAAAAAAAAAAAAAATCTCTGGAAACCAATATAGCTGGAAGGGGGTGAGAGAGAGAATGGTGGGAGGGGGTTAGAAAAAGATAAAGGGGGCCAGGTACAGTGGCTCTTGCCTGTAATACCAGAACTTTGGGAGGCTGAGGGGGAAGGATCACTTGAGCCCAGGAGTTCAAGATAAGCCTGGCCAACAAGATGAAACTCCGTCTCTACCAAAAAATACAAAAATTAGCCAGGCATGGTGGTGTGCGCCTGTAATCCCAGCTACTCAGGAGGCTGAGGTAGGAGGATTGCTTGAGCCTGGGAAGTCGAGGCTGCAGTGAGCTGAGATGGGGCCACTGCACTCCAGCCTGGGCAACAGAGTGAAATCATGTTGAAGAAGAAGAAAAAGAAAGAAGAAGGAGAAGAAGGAGGAGGAGAAGGAGCCAGGTCACAGCTGCATGAAAATATCAATCAATCAATTAATCAACCACACAAATAAGATGGGAGGGCAGAGTAGAATGCCATATGGAATTCTTTTTTTTTTTTTTTTTTTTTTTTTTTTGAGACAGTCTTGCTCTGTCGCCCAGGCTGGAGTGCAGTGGCGTGATCTTGGCTCACTGCAGCCTCCGCCTCCTGGATTCAAGTGAGTCTCCTGCCTCAGCCTCTCAAGTAGCTGGGATTACAGGCGCCTGCCACCACCCTGGCTAATGTTTTGTATTTTTAGCAGAGACAGAGTTTCATCATGTTGGCCAGGCTGGTCTGGAACTCCTGACCTCATGTGATCTGCCCACCTCGGCCTCCCAAAGTGCTGGAATTACAGGCCTGGGTCACCACACTGGGCCTCCACATGGAATTCTAAGGGGTCCATTCATGAGTCCAGAAATCAGACTTGATCAGTGAATGGTTCTCACCCAGGGGGTGATTTTGTCTCCTACTAGGGACATTGGGCAACATCTGGAGATATTTTTAGGTGTCAGGACCTGGCTGGGGCGTCCTCCTGGAGCATGGAATGGGTGAAGACCAGAGATGCTGCTGAGCACCCTGAAGTGCTCGGGACAGTCCCACCCCAGAGAATGATCCAACGCCAGACAGAAAAAACACCAAGACAGAGAAACCCTGACCTAAAGGCATGAGAGGAGATAGAGGAAGGAACTTTTCAAACATGCATAGAAAAGGGAATTTAAAAATTAATAAATGAAGAAGAACACCAGTAGCTTATAAAGGTAGCAGTCCTAAAAATACAAAATACAATACTATTTCTCTCTTTTTTTTTTTTTTTTTTTTTTTTGAGATGGGGTCTTGCTCTGTCGCCCAGGCTGCAGTGCAGTGGCGCAATCTTGGCTCACTGCAACCTCTGCCTCCTGGGTTCAAGCGATTCTCCTGTCTCAGCTCCACTCCCCGTAACTGGGATTACAGGCATGCACCATCACACCTGGCTAATTTTTTGTTTGTTTGTTTGTTTTTTGTTTTTGTTTTTTTGGGATGGAGTCTCGCTCTTGTTGCCCAGGCCGGACTGCAGTGGCGCTATCTCGGCTCACTGCAAGCTCTGCCTCCCGGGTTCACGCCATTCTCCTGCCTCAGCCTCCCAAGTAGCTGGGACTACAGGCGTGCACCACCATGCCCGGCTAATTTTGTATTTTTAGTAGAGACGGGGTTTGGCCATGTTGGCCAGGCTGGTCTGAACTCCTGACCTCAGGTGGTCCACCCGCCTCAGCCTCCCAAAGTGCTGGGATTATAGGCTTGAGCCACTGCGCCTGGCATTTTTTTTGTATTTTTATTAGAGACGGGGTTTTGCCATGTTGGCCAGGCTGGTCTTGATCTCCCGACCTCAGGTGATCCACCCGCCTTGGCCTCCCAAAGTGCTGGGATTACAGGCGTGAGCCACTGCGCCCAGCCGATTTTTGTATTTTTTTTTTTTTTTTTTGGTAGAGACAGAGTTTTGCTGTGTTGGCCAGGCTGATCTCAAACTCCTGAGCTCGAACGATCTGCCCGCCTTGGCCTCCCAAAGTGCTGGGATTACAGGCATGAGCCATCGCACCCAGCCTACAATACTTAAGTACCGCAGCTGGTCATGTCTTAAGCCCCGAAGTCAAATCCCAGGGTTCTTGTGACCCACGGTGCAAGCACAGTTATGCCTCTGGTACAGCCACTGAGATGGACGGACACAGCTCTTTACAAGCAAAATCTGCAACAGTCCCTGGAGAGCCACCTCCCCTGCTGCCACTCTGCTTGGTGCCTGGTGACTGCTGAGCAAAGGAAATTCCATTTTCTCTCCTCCCCTTAATGCCTCGAGGATAGACAATAAGCTCTAAATCGTGTATCAAGTACCTTCCTGTGAATGGTGAGTATCCACTCGGAAACCCAAGTATTTACACAGCTTTAAAAGCCTATGAGAGACTGGAAAATACTTCTTAAGTTTATAAATAGACATAGAATACCCTGCCTGGGTTAACTCTGATGGGAGCTAGTTACAGCATTACAGATGGAAAAAAAAATGTAGAACTGCCTGAATAAGGGAAGCTCCTGGTATTATTATTATTATTATTATTATTATTATTATTATTATTATTATTTGGAGAGGAAGGGATATTTGTTCAGGCACAGGTATCATTCCTGATACCTGCTACCTCTTCCTAGAATCCACTGCATGAAACATGGTACACTGTGGTTTTCCTGAGATTAGAAAAATGAAGCATAATGGGCCAGGCGCGGTGACTCACGCCTGTAATCCCAGCACGTTGGGAGGCCAAGGTGGGCAGATCACGAGGTCAGGAGATCGAGACCATCCTGGCTAACATGGTGAAACCCCGTCTCTACTAAAAAATACAAAAAATTAGCCGGGCGTGGTGGCGGGCGCCTGTAGTCCCAGCTACTCGGGAGGCTGACGCAGGAGAATGGCGTGAACCCGGGAGGCGGAGCTTGCAGTGAGCCGAGATCACGCCACTGAACTCCAGCCTGGGTGACAGAGCGAGACTCCGTCTCAAAAAAATAAAAAGAAAAGAAAAGAAAAATGAGCATAATGAAGTCTCTAGAATCAGATTCACAGAGACAGAAAGGAGGATGGTGGGTGCTGGGGCTGGGGGAAGGAGAAGGGGAGTGAGTGTTTCATGGGGACAGAGTTTCAGTTTGAGAAGATGAGAAAGTTCTGGAGATGATGGTGGTAATGGCCGCACAACCACGGCAATGCACTTAATGCAGCTCAACTGTGCTCTTAAACATGGTTATAATAATAAATTGTATGTGATGTATATTTTACCGTGGTAACAACATATACACTAGTGATATTAACAGGAAGGGTTTGTAAGCTTATTTATTTGTGTGTGTGTGTGTTTGAAATTGTGGAAAAATAAGCATCACATAAAATATACCAATTTACCATCTCAATTTTTGTTTTGTTTTGTTTTTGGTGGAGTCTTGCTCTGTTGCCAGGCTGGAGTGCAATGGCGTGATCTCGGCTCACTGCAACCTCTGCCTCCCAGATTCAAGCGATTCTCCTGCCTCAGCCTCCTGAGTAGCTGGGATTACAGGCACCCACCACCACACCCAACTAATTTTTGTATTTTTAGTAGAGACGGGGTTTCACCATGTTGCCCAGGCTGGTCTCGAACTCCTGGCCTCAAAGTGATCCACCCCACCTCGGCCTCCCAGTGTGCTGGGATTACAGGCGTGAGCCACTGTGCCCGGTAAATCTCAACCATTTTAAGTGTGCAGTTCTGTGGTATTAAGTGCATTCACAATGTTGTGCAATCATCACCACCATCATCTCCGGAACTTTCTCATCTTCCCAAACTGAAACTCTGTCCTCAACCCGTCCCCTCCGCAGTCCCTGGCACTCCCCATTCTACTTTCTGTCTCTATGAATCTGAGGACTCTAGGGACCTCCTAGGAGTGAAATCACACAGAATTTGTCCTTAGTGAGTTTCCTTTTAATGATATTAACTTTGTGACAATTACAAATAAAACCATGTTTAAATGGTCCCTTGGTAATTACAGATTTAGACTTTCGGAATTAAAAAAAAAAAAAAGGAAGCTTCGAGTGACATTACTGGTGGCAGCTCTCACGGGTGGTTCTGGTTACTTGAATGCAGGGCCAACAGCTTACAGCGGAGCTGATGACTGGACTCGCCCTGGAGTTATATAAAGCATCAGAGCAGATAAATCACGTTTGCAACCCTCGGCTCAGGCGGGGATGATGTCACACACATACATATAGCATATGAGCTTAGAGCTGGGACAGCTCCCAGAGATCATCTGTCCTCCCGCCCCTTCTCCCAAAAAGGAGGCAGACGGTGACTTGCTTGGGAACTTAGCCAAAGCCCTTCAGCAGGTCAGGGCCAGAGCCAAGAGCAAATGTTGAGCTCCTGGCCTCAGCCACACCTCGCCAGTGGCCCCCTGGCCTTCTCCTCCAGGGTCATGGACCGAGGATATCACTAACAGAAAATATCTCAAGAAAAATACATCAAGATGCACAAGGAAACCAAAACTAAAGAAGGAAATGGGCCCAGCGCAGTGGCTCAGGTCTGTAATACCAGCACTTTGGGAGGCTGAGGCAGGAGGATCGCTTGTGGTCAGGAGTTCGAGACCACCCTGGGCAACATATCAAGATCCCCACCTCTAAAAAATTATTATTATTTTTATTATTATTATTTTTCTTAGATGGAGTTTTGCTTTTGTTACCCAGGCTGGAGTGCAATGGTGCAAGCTCGGCTCATTGCAACCTCCACCTCCCGGGTTCAAGCGATTCTTCTGCCTCAGCCTCCTGAGTAGCTGGGATTACAGGCCCACGCCTGGCTAATTTTTGTATTTTGAGTAGAGACGGGGTTTTGCCATATTGGCCAGGGTGGTCTCAAACTCCTGACCCCTGGTGATCCACCCGCCTCGGCCTCCCAAAGTGCTGGGATTACAGGCATGAGCCACTGTGCCCGGCCTAAAAAATTATTTTAAATAATTAGCCAGGTATAGTGTCTCAGGCCTGTAGTCCTGTGTAGTCCAGCTACTCAGGAGGCTGAGGCGGGAAGATCGTTTGAGCCCAGGAGTTCAAGCCTGCAGTGAGCTATGATTGTGCCACTGCACTCCAGCCTGGACAACAGAGTGAGACCCCATCTTAAAAAAGAAGAAGAAAAAGAAAAAGAAAAAAGTGACAGATGCTTCTCCAGTTTGGTGGGTTCTAAAAAAACCCAATGTTAAAATAATTTTAGGCTGGGCGCGGTGGCTCACGCCTGTAATCCCAGCACTTTGGGAGGCTGAGACGGGTGGATCATTTGAGGTCAGGAATTCAAGACCACCCTGGCCAACATGGTGAAACCCCGTCTCTACTAAAAATACAAAAATTAGCCGGTGTAGTGGCAGCACCTGTAATCCCAGCTATTCAGGAGGCTAAGGCACAAGAATCGCTTGAACCCAGCAGGCGGAGGTTGCAGTGAGCCAAGATCAAGCCACTGCACTCCAGCCTGGGTGACGGAGTGAGACTCCGTGTCAAAAAAAAAAAAAAAGAAAATAATAATAATAATAATTTTAAACTAATGTATACACACTAGTTTGAGACTTTAAATATTATTCCATTTTCCTTCAGATGGATGGAGGTCTATTAAGTAAACAAGATTAAGAAAAATTTGTCATTAAGTTTTATAATAAAATTATTTATATAATTATTTATAAATTTTATTTATAATTTTTATACAATAAAATGATTGCACAACATTGTGAATGCACTTAATGCCTTTTTTTTTTAATTTTGTATAATTTTTTTTATATATATAGAGACAGGGTCTCGCTCTGTCACCCAGGCTGGAGTGCACTGGAATAATCATAGCTCACTGCAGACTTGAACTCCTGGGCTCAAGAGATCCTCCCGCCTGGGCCTCCCAAGTAACTGGGACTACAGGTGTACACCACCATTTTTTTAAATTTTTTTAGAGATGGGATCTTGCTATGTTGCCCAGGCTGGTCTCAAACTCCCGGCCTCCAGTGATCCTCCCACCTTGGCCTCCCAATGTGCTGGGATTACAGGCATGAGCGCCAAGCCTGGCAGACATTTTTAATTGAAAGTATGGGGTGGGGGATATGAGATAACCAATTCTTGCTGCCTTCGATCCTTACAACTAAAGGATCTCAGTGGGGCCAAAATCCTTCCCTGACTTTGTCAATAACCATTAGTTGTGTTTCTAGCTTTGCACAGAAGTCTTGCGTGGGTTAACACAGCTGCATCCCCATCAGTGTGAGGAGGGATGAAGAGAACAAGGAAGGCAGGGAGGGAGAAAGAAGGAGAGACAAGAGGAGAAAATCCCAGAGGGAAATGGTGCCAAGACATGGGAAAAATCTGGTTTTGACACAAGTCTTCAGTGCGTGCTTGTGTTACGATGTTTAAAAATGTGTATGTATGAGCCGGTCATAGTGGCTCACGCCTGTAATCCCAGCGCTTTGGGAGGCTGAGGGGGGTGAATTGCTTGAAGCCAGGAGTTTGAGACCAGCCTGGGCAATATAAGGAGACTCCATCTCTACAAAAAGAAGTTTAAAAATTAGCCAGGGCCAGGCGTGGTGGCTCATGCCTGTAATCACAGCACTTTGGGAGGCCGAGGCGGGTGGATCATTTGAGGTCAGGAGTTCAAGACCAGCCTGGCCAACATGGTGAAACCCCATCTCTACTAAAAATACAAAAATTAGCCGGGTGTGGTGGCAGGCGCCTGTAGTCCCAGCTACTCAGGAGCCTGAGGCAGGAGAATCGCTTGCGCCTGGGAGGCAGAAGTTGCAATGAGCCGAGATCATGCCACTGCACTCCAGCCTGGGTGACAGAGTGAGACCCTGTCTCAAAAAAAAAAAAAAAAAAAAAAATTACCTGGGCATGCTGGTGCACACCTGCAGACAATTGTGGTGTTCCAGCAACTCATGAGGCTGAGGCAAGAGGATTGCTTGAGCCTGGGAGGTGGAGGTTGCAGTGAGCAGAGATCATGCCACTGCACTCCAGCCTGGGCAACAGAGTAAGACCCTGTCTCAAAAAAAAAAAAAAAATAGGCCGGGTGTGGTGGCTCATGCCTGTAATCCCAGCACTTTGGGAGGCCAAGGTGGGTGGATCACCTGAGGTCACCTGAGGTCGGGAGTTTGAGACCAGGCTGACCAACATGGAGAAACCCCGTCCCTACTAAAAATACCAAATTAGCCGGGCGTGGTGGCGCGTGCCTGTAATCCCAGCTACTCGGGAGGCTGATGCAGGAGAATCACTTGAACCCGAGAGGTGGAGGTTGCGATGAGCCAAGGTCGCGTCATTGCACTCCAGCCTGGGCAACAAGAGTGAAACTCCATCTCAAAAAAGTAAATAAATAAAAAATAAAATAAATAAATAAATAGATAAAAACATGTATGTGTGTTTTCATATGAGATAGAATGGAGTGTGTGTGTGTGTGCCTTCCGACACTGAGACACAGGAAGAGATAGCTGCTTCCCTAGAGGTGAAGCAAAGTGCATCAGACACACGTGTGCAAACCCCACCGATCCTAGCACAGCTGCCTGCACTCACCTTTGAGGCAATAATCCAGCTCGAACAGCTCACTGTCTTCCGCCTGCCTCTCCCAGAAAACCAGGTAGTGGGTGATGTTGCCATTGGGGTCGGAGGGTGGTTTCCACTTCAGAATAATCTGGGATGATGAGTTAGACACTGAGATTGGATCCAGGGGCACAGAGGGGTCTGTCAGGGAGAAAGGAAATGGGTCCATCATGAGAAACAGTGTGCAAAGAAAGCTGGTGGGAGGATGGCGGGGGACACACAAGTTAAAGACATCATGAGGGCACCCATCCCAGCATTTTGGGCGGCCAAGGCAGGCGGATCACGAGGTCAGGAGATCGAGACCATCCTGGTTAACACAGTGAAACCCCGTCTCTACTAAAAATACAAAAAATTAGCCAGGTGTGGTGGTGGGCGCCTGTAGTCCCAGCTACTTGGGAGGCTGAGGCAGGAGAATGGCGTGAACCTGGGAGGCGGAGCTTGCAGTGAGCCGAGATTGCGCCACTGCACTCCAGCCTGGGTGACAGAGCAAGAGTCCGTCTCAAAACAAAACAAAACAAAAAAGAAAAAAAAAACCACCACCAACCAACCAAACAAAACCCAAAAAACCCAAAGTAACGGAGGTGGCCGAGGGAGCTGGGGATGGGGAGGGAGTCCAAACACCTGGGAGCTAGAAGTTTCTGAAAACTGTAAGTCTTTTGGTGTCACTAAAAGATACAGGATGAATGAGCGGGGATTAACTGAAGAAGATAGGGTTGATTTATAAAGTTTGAATTCGAGGCCAGGCACAGTGGCTCATGCCTGTAATCCCAGCACTTTAGAAGGCCGAGGTGGGCGAATCATCTGAATCACCTGAGATCAGGAGTTCGAGACTACACCTGGCCAACATGGTGAAACCCTATCTCTACTAAAAAAAAAAAAAAAAAAAAAAAATTAGCTGGACATGGTGGTGGGCGCCTGTAATCTCAGCTTCCTGGGAGGCTGAGGCAGGAGAATCTTGAACCTGGGCAGAGGTTGCAGTGAGCTGAGAATGCGCCATTGAACTCCAGCCTGAGAGACAAGAGTGAAACTCCGTTAAAAAAAAAAAAAAAAAAAAAAAAGCTTGAATTTGAGCCTACAGGACGGGGTTTCTCACCCTTAGTACTATTGGCTTTTAGGACTGGATAATTCTTTGTCATGAAGGAGGGTGCATCCTGTGTGTTGCAGGACATGGAACAGCCTCTCTGGCTTCCGCCCACGAAATGCCAGTGGTTTCATCTCCACAGCTGTAACAACCAAAAATGTCTCCAGACATTGATTGGCAGCTGTTCCCTGGCAGAGCAGTTAACCTCCTTTGGGAACTACTGCTATAAGAGAAGCACTTAGGTTTTACAAAAATATAATTAGGCCGGGCCCAGTGGCTCATGCCTGTAATCCCAGCACTTTGGGAGGCCAAGGTGGGCGGATCATTTGAGGTCAGGAGTTCCAGAGCAGCCTGGCCAACATGGTGAAGCCCCATCTCTATTAAAAATACAAAAATGGCTGGGCGCGGTGGCTCATGCCTGTAATCCCAGCACTTTGGGAAGCCGAGGCAGGCGGATCACCTGAGGCTCGGAGTTCGAGACCAGCCTGACCAACATGGAGAAACCTTGTCTCTACAAAAAAAAAAAAAAAAAAAAAATTCGCCAATCGTGGTGGTGCATGCATGTAATCCCAGTTACTCGGGAGGCTGAGGCAGGAGAATCGCTTGAACCCGGGAGGCAGAGGTTGCAGTGAGCTGAGATAGGGCCATTGCACTCCAGCCTAGGCAACAAGAGCGAAACTCCATCTCAAAAAAAAAAAAAAAAAAAAAAAAGGCTGGCATGGTGGCTTATGCCTGTAATCCCAGCACTTTGGGAGGCCAAGGTGGGCAGATTGCAGGTCAAGAGATTGAGACCATCCTGGCCAACATGGTGAAATCCCATCTCTACTAAAAATACAAAAATTAGCTGGGCGTGGTGGCACGCCTGTAGTTGCAGCTACTTGGGAGACTGAGGCAGGAGAATCACTTGAACTGGGACGGGGAGGTTACAGTGAGCTGAGATCACACCACTGCACTCCAGCCTCAGTGACAGAGTGAGACTCTGTCTCAAAAAACAAAACAAAACAAAACAAAAATTAGCCAAGTGTGCTGTAATCCCAGCAACTTGGGAGGCTGAGGCAGGAGAATCACTTGAACCTGGGAGGTGGAGGTTGCAGTGAGTCCAGATGGCGCCACTGCACTCCAGCCTGGGTGACAGAGTGAGACTCCATCTCAAACAAACAAACATAATTAAATTGCTGTGAAATACTCCAGGCCAAAACAAACAACAAAACAAAAAGAAGTAACAAGTGGGAAGAGGGAACAGGCGTCGAGATGAAACAAAAATGACCAAAGGCTGAAGCTGGGAGGCGGCTAACTATGGGGTTTTGTTCTGTGTTGTGAATATTTGACAATTTTTCATAATAGGATGAAAAATATAAATATTCCCATCAAGTGGCTTGTTGCTACTGCCTCGTCTGAAACTATAAGCCTCAATACCCAGCTCCTTTAAAAGCCAATAACTGACTGGGCAAGGTGGCTCACACTTCTAATCCCAGGACTTTGGGAGGCCGAGGCAGGAGGATCACTTGAGGCCAGGGGTTCAAGACCAGCCTGGGTAACACAGCAACGTTCTGTCTCTACAAGAAATACAAAAATTAGCTGGGTATAGTGGTGCATGCCTGTAGTCCCAGCTACTCAGGAGGCTGAGGTGGGAGAATTACTTGAACCTGGGAGGCGGAGGTTGCAGTGAGCCGAGATCATGCCATTGCACTCCAGTCCGGGTGACAGAGTGAGACTTCATCTCAAAGAAAAAAAAAAAAAAAAGCCACACATGGTGGTATACTCTGGTAGTTCCTTCTACTTAGGAGGCTGAGGCAGAAGGATTGCTTGAGCCCAGGAGTTTGAGGCTGCAGTGAGCCATGATCACCCCACTGCATTGCACTCTAGCCTGGGTGACAAAGTAAGACCCTGTCTAAAAAAAAAAAAAAAGCCAATAACCATATCAAGGAGCATTTTATACAACCTCACTGCATCAGCCTATTAAAAGCAAGAGGTCTGATTCACATACGAATTCACATTCCCAAGACACACTCACTGGTGGCATCTGTCTGGACATAAATGATGTCACTCTTGGCCCCATAGGTCCGGCGTTCATCCGAAAAGGTGACCAGGGTCTTCACAAAGATGGCATACTGGGTCCAGGGCTTGAGACCCCGCATCAGCCACCCTGGGTGGTTCTGTGATTTGGGGTCGTTGGACCTCAGGGGTGGGTCAATGTCTACCACCGTCCAACTGTTGGAACCACACGCATCCTGCCCGTCGAACTCCGTCACATTCTGATAAGGGCTTTCAAGACAAAACAGCAGAAGGCAGTTACCCTTACAAGACCGTCACACTGAGTGCCGTGCAGATGAGGCCTGGGAAGTTACATCCCATAGGGTCACATGTTACTCACCCAACAATCTAATGCCACAAGAAAAAATAACTCGGGAACAGCCAAAGAGAAAGGAACTGTCAACCCTGACATCTCAATGAAAAAACACAGCTTGGGCATCCCTTATTCAAAACACTTGAGACTTGGCCAAGTGCAGTGGCTCACGCCTGTAATCCCAGCACTTTGGGAGGCCGAGAATGGCGGATCACCAGAAGTCAGGAGTTCGAGACCAGCCTGGCCAACATGGTGAAACCCCGTCTCTACTAAAAATACAAAAATTATCTGGGCATGGTGGCAGATGCTTGTAATCCCAGCTATTCAGGAGGTTGAGGCAGGAGAATTGCTTGAACCCGGGAGGCAGAGGTAGCATCAGCTGAGATCGCACCACTGCACTCCAGCCTGGGCGACAAAGGGAGACTCTGTTTCAAAAACATAAATAAATAAATAAATAAATAAATGCTTGGGACCAGAAGTGTTTTGGATTTTGGATATTTTGGGGTTTTGAAATATTTGCATTTTACTAGTTAATTTGCATTGTACTGGTTCAGCATCTCTAATCTAAAAATCTGAAATCTGAAATGCTCCAATAAGCATCTCCTTTGAGTATCAAGTCGGCCCACAAAAAGCTTTGGATTTTGGAGCATTATAAATTTCAGATTTTCAGATTAGGGATACTCAATCTGTAATAATAGTAATAGCAGGAGCTCCCTCACAAGTTACTGATAAGATTAGACTGTGTGTCAGTGCTCAGCAAGGCACAAGGTAAATCTTGAGGGCTAGAACTATTATTAATATTACTACTGGTCAGGTGCGGTGGCTCATGCCTGTAATCCCAGCACTTTGGGAGGCCAAGGTGGGCAGATCACCTGAGGTCAGGAGTTTGAGACCAGCCTGGCCAACATGGCAAAACCCGTCTCTATCAAAAATACACAAATTAGCTACGTGTGATGGTGTATGCCCATAATCTCAGCTACTCAAGAGACTGAGGCAGGAGAACTGCTTGAACCCGGGAGGCAGAGGTTGCAGTGAGCCAAGATCTGCCACTGCACTGTACCCTGGGCAACAGAGCAAGACTCTGTCTCAAAAAAAAAAAAAAAATTGGGGATAAAAAAGAAAAATAGATAAGCAATACATTTGATAACATCCACTTAGTAGACTGAGCTCCTGACTACTAAGGATGTCTGATGAGACATACACAGGCAAGGCAAAATAGAATATTGCCCCAGGAAACTGGCCAGTCCGGGCTTCTATGGGAAAGCTGTCTGCTTCCATTTTAGGCATTTGATAAAAGCAGACACTATTGACTTTGCATGCCATCGACTGGTGAGATTGTAAAAAGGAACCTAAGATATTTATTCCAGGAGGAGGAGGGAGATAGACAGGAACCCAAGAGGGGCAGATTGGAGCACAAACGTAGCAAGCACAGAGCCAGCCAGCCCTCGCCTCCTCAGCGTCTCTCTAACTCTTCTACTTACGCCTCTTTGTAGAACAGCATGAACCCCAAGAGGTCTCGGAAGTCGGGGGGCCAGTACGGCTCCCATCTCAGCAAGATCTTGTCAAAAGATGTCCGAATGTAAGAAAATTTAAGTAACTCATTTTCACCTGGAAAAGTTAAAACAAAAGGCAAAAATGAGCTATTTCAGTGTAGTTTCAGACCAAAGCCTGGGACCCCCACACTTCCTGGAGGGACCGTGAGAAGGCAGAGGTGACGCTGCTATTCCCTTAAGGGTCTCCTCCCCATGTGCCTGGCTGAGTATGAATGGGGGAAGATTCAAAGGTAAGAGCCAGTTTTGCAACTTGGCCACTCACACTCACGTAAGCCAATGACTTGACTCAGCCAGACAGTCAACTGAATAAGCGCAGTCTGTACCCGCGCAAGAAGGACAACCGGCCAATAGTTATTGGAGGAAGGGATTTCCAAGGGTGATGTTTGTCCTGACACAACGTTGTCTCGCATATGGACTTGTAAGACTGACCTGGAAGGAGGTGCAACTCCAGTGCAAATAAACCTATGCCAAGTGAGTTTAGAGACCCTGCAGATCATTAGACATCGGAGAGACGCATCTAAGTAATTCTCTCTGCCTAGAAGACAAACCCTCTCCTAAACCTCACCCCAACCTCGCTCTCTCTCCTTGCACTACATTTTTTTTGAGACAGTCTTGCTCTGTCACCAAGGCTGGAGTGCAGTCCACCTACCGGGTTTAAGCAATTCTCATGCCTCAGCCTCTCAAGTAGCTGGGATTACAGGCACCCACCACCACGTCCAGCTAGTTTTTGTATTTTTTTTTTTTAGTAGAGATGGAGTTTCACCACATTGGCCAGGCTGGTCTCGAACTCCTGACCTCAAGTGATCTGCCTGCCTCGGCCTCCCAGAGTGCTGGGATTCCAGGCGTGAGCCACCATGCCCAGCCCTTGCACTACATTTTGACATAAGTAACTAACTCCCCATGAAGGTATCCCAGAAGCCCTTGGCAGCTCACTGTTTAGAATCTGTCAGGGAAGTGCAGTCAGCAGGCAGCCTGCAGCTGCAGAAACTGCAGGACCTGCTGTAGCATTCCAGCCAAAACCTGACTCTCCCTGGACAGCCCCCACCTATGACTGAGCTTGGTAGATGCCTGGCCGTCCCTTTGCAATGCAGAACTTCCCTGCAGACAACCGTGGCCTTGATCTCTTTCTGGGTTTGGCCAAGACTCAGGGATGCATCACCATCTGAGACTCTCCCAGCCCTATCCTCCCTCCTTCCCGCTCTCTGTTCACAGAGGTCAGACACACGCTATTGTCAAAAGGCTCTTCATGGCTGAGCGTGGTGACTCACACCTGTAATCTCAGCACTTTGGGAGGCCGAGGCGGGAGGATCACCTGAGGTCAGGAGTTCAAGACCACCCTGGCCAACATGGCAAAACCCTGTCTCTACTAAAAATACAAAAAAAAAAATTAGCCGGGCTTGGTGGCATGTGCCTGTAATCCCAGCTATTCTGGAGGCTGAGGCGAGATAATTACCTGAACCCAGGGGAAGGAGGTTGCAGTGAGGCAAGATCACGCCACTGCACTCCAGCCCTGGGTGACAGAGCAAGACTCTGTCCCAAAAAAAAAAAAAAAAAAAAAAGAAGCTCTTCCTCTGTTTCATATTTTATGAATATTACCCTCAATACATTTTCTGCACTCCTAACTTCAACTTGGCAGTCACTTCCCAGGAGATGCAGACTGACATAGGTATTTTACTCAACTTTGAAGTCTTCAGCATCAGCCTGATACACATATAAGAAGGTGTCATCCATTCATCCATCATTCATTCATCCATTCATTCAGTGCTTGTATGACTTCATCCCGTATCCGGTACTATATGGCACAGTAAGCATAGTGATAATATTAATAAATGTGCAGAATCTGCCCTCAGTAAGAAAGCCTATCACACAGTGAGTTGTTAGAGGGAAGTAATACCCCCTGGGGGTGACTGTGATGGATGAGAGAGGACAGCCACATTATCTGGTTTGTGGACCACTTACAGCAGGGGTCCCCAGCCCCTGGGCCACAGACCAGTACTTATCCATGGCCTGTTACGAACAGGGCTGTACAGCAGGAGGTGAGTGATAGGTGAGCAAGTGAAGCTTCATCTGTATTTACAGTCACTCCCCATCGCTTGCATGACCACCTGAGTTCTGCCTCCTGTCAGATTAGCGGCGGCATTAGATTCTCACAGGGGTGTGAACCCTATTGTGAACTGTGTACATGAGGTACCTAGACTGCACACTCCTTATGAAAATCTAATGCCTGATGATCTGTCACTGTCTCCCATCACCCCCAGCTGGGACCATCTAGTTGCAGGAACACAAGCTCAGGGTTCCCATTGATTCTACATGATGGTGAGTTGTACAATTCTTTCATTATATATTACAATGTAATCATAATAGGAATAAAGTGCATAGTAAATGTAATGCACTTGAATCATGCTGAAACCATCCCCACCCACCACCAGTCCATGGAAAAACCATCTTCCACTACACCGGTCCCTCATGCCAAAAAGGTTGGGGACCAGTGACTTACAGGATGCCTGGTCCCCATTGGTCTTCAGGGCAATGTCGTTTCTCTCCTGGCGCCCCTTGGTTCCTGAAACTTCTTCCATCTTGTGGATTTCTGACAAGCAGAGTTTGGGGTTATAGTGGAAGAAGAGTTTCCCCTGAGTGATGGTGAGGTTGTGTTTGCTCCAGTCCCAGAGCTGCCTTAGGTTCTGGTTGTCCAAGGCATAGAAGGAGTAGTTCCTATGGAAAAAACACACACATCTAGTCATTCAACGGCTGGTCTTCTACAACTCCAAGATGGTGTGGCCATGCTCGGAGTTGATCTTGTTCAGTGCTACGTGCCTAATCCTCTCCACTTGCTTGGCACATACTCAACACATATTTGTTGAATGTGGATAACAGAGGAAGTTGAGGAAGTTTTCATGGCCAGGAAGGAGGCTCAGCTCAGTCTTGAAGAGGGGTGGTGAGTCTGTGATGGACTGAGGAATAGGTTTTGCAGAAACCAATTTCTGCAAATAGGGGAAATACTGATAACACAGAGGCACCTAAGCTGAGTTCAGGGAAGAGCAAAGTAGCCTGTTTTGGCCAATAGGTGACAGGAAATAGCTGTAGTTGCAATGGACCAGACCCTCTAGTATATTGCATGCCAGACCAAGACCAAGAACATGTGGCCATCCTTAATAAGGAGAAAGGAGCCATTGAAGGTTTTTGTTTGTTTGTTTGTTTGTTTTATTGAGATGGATTCTCACTCTGGTGCCTAGGCTGGAGTACAGATAATATAGTCTAAACTATATTGTTTAGACCACCTTCTCAAGTCACTTACCAGCTCATGTTGATTAACATGTCCTTTTGTCCCTTTCCCCATTTGCTGTCTGTTCTACAGATGTGAGGCTGGGGCTGAGGCAGCCATCTTGTGACCATGAGGAGCACAAAGATGGAAAGAATCTGGGTCTTCCACAGACCTCCTGCCTATGAGTCAATCTTGATCTAGCTAGTTTGAGTTTCTGCTGTTTTGCTAATAGAGTTTCTAGGACCTCAAGGAGAAGGTTGGAATATACTGGAATATACTGAGATGGAGTCCATCCCAGAAATTAGGATGGACAACCGGGACTAAGAGGGAATGTTCATTTTATGCATGCCAAACTCTACTCACAATGCAGCCCAAACAGCAAATTTAGCAAAAATTCCAGCCTGTACCCTTGGAGGATGGGCACCAAGGTTGGGCTGCTCCCACTTTTGTTTCTCAAGAATGACTATAAAAAAGCTTTTACAATTTTTGGCTGGATGGACCTTTAGGCACATTCCAAGTTCTTTTTTCCCGAGGTTTTGCCAGATATACTTTTATTTGTTTTTTATTTGTTTTTATTTGATTTTTAAAAAATCCTTAAGTTTTTCCTTTTCTTTTCTTTTTTTTTTTTTGGACAGAGTCTCACTCTGTCACCCAGGCTGGAGTGCAGTAGTGTGATCTTGGCTCACTGCAACCTCTGCCTCCCAGGTTCAAGCTATTCTCCTGCCTCAGCCTCCCAAGTAGCTGGGATTACAGGCATGCACTATCACACTTGGCTAATTTTTGTACTTTTAGTAGAGACAGGGTTTCACCATGTTGGCCAGGCTGGTCTTGAACTCCCCGCCTCAAGTGATTCACCCACGTTGGCCTCCTAAAATGCTGGGATTACAGGCATCAGCCACCACACCTGGCCAAAAAAATCCTTAAGTTGTTCTAATACACGAACTTCCTAGTTAGCACTCAGGCCATACACACAATCAGGCCCACGTACCCAATTTCCAAGGTCTCTCCTCGAATCAGACGTAACTTCCGGAAGAAGGAAAGTGACACCAGAGCGTAGGATCGGCGGATTTTTAGATACCCTGAAATTTCTTCAATGAGGCCGAGGTTGGCTTCTAGCTCAGCTGCCAGATTGTCTAAGGAAAGGAGAGAATATCCAGTGGGTTTCTATAGACATATTTCAATCTTCTCATGATTCTCCATGGTGAGAAGATAACCCTCAGGCTGCAAATGACTGGACATACCCAGCTCAAAACTCATCATGCTTAGAACACAATCTGAAGTCCTTAGCATTCCTTAAATGGGTCAAGCATACTTCTGCCCCAGGACCTTGGCACTGGCTGCGTCTGTTGCTCAGAATATTATTCCACCATATATCTCCTTGGCTTGTTCCATCATCATCTCAAACCCTCCTTTCCCATACCAGAGACTTCTCTAAAATAGCAACCCCCAGCTTGGTGCTGGTGGCTCATGCCTGTAATACCAGCACCTTGGGAGGGCGAGGCAGGTGGATCACTTGAGGTCAGGAGTTCAAGACCACCCTGGCCAACATGGTGAAACCCTGTCTCTACTAAAACTACAAAAAAAAAAAAAAATAGCAACCCCTGTTAGTCTCCATTTTAGAGGTTGACAAATGACAGCCCACTGGCCAAATTCTACCTGTTTTGTAAATAAAGTTTTATTGGAACAAAGCCATGCCTGCTAGCTGACATGGGTCTATGGCTGTTTTCATATTACAACGGCAGAGTTGAGTGGTTACGGCAGAGACTGCCCGGCCTGCCAGGCTGAATATATTCATGAAAGAGCCCTTTATAGGGAAAAGTTGCCCATTTCCATTCCACCTATTACCCTGCTGCACTTCCCTTCACAGCACAGACCACAACCTGACCTTACAATATCTGTCGATTTACTTATGCGCAAAAATCCATCAAGGTAAGGACTTTCCCTTACTCACTGTGAGTATTCAGTACATGTTCGCTAAAGAAATAAACAAAGGAATGCCTTTTTGCCTGACATGGTATTTCTTTTCTTTTTTTTTGAAATGGAGTCTTGGTCTATGGCCCAGGCTGGAGTGCAGTGGTGTGATCTCGGCTCACTGCAACCTCTGCCTCCCAGGTTCAAGTGATTCTCCTGCCTCAGCCTCCCAAGTAGCTAGGACTACAGGCATGTGCCACCGTGCCCAGCTAATTTTTGTATTTTTAGGAGAGACAAGGTTTCACCATGTTGGCTGGTCTCAAACTTCTGACCTCAAGTGATCCGCCCACCTCAGCCTCCCAAAGTGCTGGGATTACAGGCATGAGCCACAGCGCCTGGCTTTTTTTTTTTTTTTTTTTTTTTTTGAGATGGAGTCTCACTCTGTCGCCCAGGCTAGAGTGCAGTGGCGCGATCCCAGCTCATTGCAACCTCCACTTCCTGAGTTCAAACGATTCTCCTGCCTCAGCCTCCTGCGTAGCTGGGATTACAGGCACGCACCACCAAGCCTGGCTAATTTTTTTGTATTTTTAGTAGAGACAGGGTTTCACCATGTTGGCCAGGCTGGTCTTAAACTTCTCACCTCACGTGATCCACCTGCCTCGGCCTCCCAAACTGTTGGGATTACAGGCATGAGCCACTGCACCCGGCCCTGAGATTTATTTCTGAAAACACAGCCTGCAGTTCTGCAATAGGGCATATTGCTTGATTGTTAAAAACGACGATTCCAAAGCCAGGTGGGGTGGCTCATGCCTGTAATCCCTGCACTTTGAGAGGCTGAGGCAGGAAGATTGCTCGAGCCCAGGAGTTTGAGACCAGCCTGGGCAACATAGTGAGAACCTGGCCCTGGAAAAAAATTAAAAAAAAAAAAAATTAGCCCGGCACAGTGACACCTGCCTGTACTCCCAGCTACTTGGGAGGCTGAGGTAGGAGGACTGCATGAGCCCAAGAGTTTGAGGCTACAGTGAGCTAGAGTTGCCCCACTGTACTCCAGCCTGGGCAATGGAGCAAGACCCCATCTCTAAAAATAAAAATAAAAATAAAAATAAATGTAAATGCAGATTCCTGATGCCCCAACTCCCAAAGTAGAAAATGAGAATCTCAAGGTTAGTAAGGCCAAGACTGAGCTGTTCATTTCAGGTTTTGAGGCAGACTCCCAGCATGGTTCTATCCATGGGGGAGCCACTGAACGACCATCCTAAAAGTGCTGTAGGAGCACGCAGCAGGGTCTGCACTGCTTTTCTTCCCCGCTCACAGCTCAGAGGGACATGGAGCCCAACAGGCACCCCCGACGCCCACACAGAGACACTCACTGCCTCCTCGAATGTTGATGATCAGACTCCCGTTGATGACGGTGCATCCTCGGAGCTCCTGGGCAGACGTCACCGAGTCGATGGTCTTCTCGCCTTCTAGGAGGTGGCACACCTTGGGACAGGGACCCAGGCATGGGGTGCACAGCAAGCTAAGGACGGAGCAGAGAGAGAGAGAAAGAGAAAGGGGAGGGGGGTGTCACGGTATCCAAGGTCCTTCAGACATCTCAGGCATCTTTCTGCCTGATATGGTATTTCTTTGTGTGTGTGTGTGTGTTTGTGTGACAGAGTCTCGCTCTGTTGCCCAGGCTGGAGTGCAGTGGTGCGATCTCAGCTCACTGCAACCTCTGCCTTCTGGGTTCAAGAGATTCTCCTGCCTCAGCCTCCACAGTAGCTGGGATTATAGGTGCCCGCCACCGTGCCTGGCTAATTTTTGTATTTTTGAGTAGAGACGGGGTTTTACCATGTTGGCCAGGCTGGTCTCAAACTCCTGACCTCAAGTGATCCACCCGCCTCGGCCTCCCAAAGTGCTGGGATTACAGGTGTGAGCCACTGCACCCGGCCCTTTCTGCCTGAGATGATATTTCTGAAAACACAGTCTGCCGATCTGCAATAGGACATATCGCTTGATTGTTAAAAATGTAGATTCTGGAGCCGGGCGTGGTGGCTCCTGCCTGTCATTCCTGCACTTTGAGAGGCCAAGGAGGGAGGGTTGCTTGAGCCTGGGAGTTCAAGATCAGCCTGGGAAGACAGCACACTATGCAGGGTCTCAAGTGATGGCATAAGTCCATCATGCTACGGCAAGGTCTTCTGACCTCAGCATTGTTCACATTTGGGGCCAAGTAATTCTCCACTGTGGTAGTGGGGGTGGCGTCCTATGCATTGGAGGATATTGAGCGGCATCCCTAGGCTCCACTCACGAGCTGCCAGTAGCATCCCTCCCACAAGTTGTGGCAATTAAAAATGTCCTCCAGGCCAGGCAAAGTGGCTCACGCCTGTAATCCCAGCACTTTGGGAGTCCGAGGCGGGCAGATCACCTGAGGTCAGGAGTTCAAGACCAGCCTGGCCAACATGGTGAAACCCTGTCTCTACTAAAAATACAAAAATTAGCTGGGTGTGGTGGCACGTGCCTATAATCTCAGCTACTCAGGAGGCTGAGGTAGGAGAATCGCTTGAACCTGGGAGGCAGAGGTTGCAGTGAGCCGAGATAGCACCACTGCACTCCAGCTGGGAGACACAGTCAGACTCCATCTCAAAAAAAAAAAAAGTCTCCCAACATTGCCAAAAGTCCCCTGGGGAGGGAGGATGCCAGATTGTCCCCAGAAAAGAACCACTGCCTTAAGTGAGAGAATTATGCCATTACCCTATGGTTGCAGGTCCTCTTGCTTTTACCCCAAAGTGACAAGACTCATATTTTACCCCAAAGTGATGGGACAGGACTCCTGCTGGACCCCACAGTGATGGGATTCACACCATATCCCATGGAGGCAGGACCATGATCTACCCTGTGCGTGACAGCAATGGGACTCATAGCATTATCGTGGCGATATGTTTTGGATCTGTGTCCCCACCCAAATCTCATGTCAAATTGTAATCCCCAATGTGGGAGGTGGGGCCTGGTGGGAGATGACTGGATCATGGTGGGCGGAGTTCTCATGAATGGTCTGGCACCATACCCCTTGGCAGTGTATAGTGAGTGAGTTCTCACGAGATCTGGTTGTTTAAAAGTATGTAGCACCAGCCGGGCATGGTGGCTCATGCCTGTAATTCCGGCACTTTGGGAGGCCAAGGCGAGCGGATCACTTCAGGCCAGGAGTTCGAGACCAGCCTGGCCAACATGGTGAAACCCCGTCTCTACTAAAAATACAAAAATTAACCAGGTGTGGTGGTGCCCACCTGTAATCCCAGCTACTGGGGAGGCTGAGGCATGAGAATTGCTTGAACTCAGGAGGTGGAGGCTGCAGTGAGCCGAGATTGTGCCACTGCAGCCCAGCCTGGGTGACAGAGTGAGAATCTGTCTCAAAACAAACAAACAAAACTATGTAGCACCTTCCCCCTTTCTCTCTTCCTTCAGTCATGTAAGATGTGCCTACCTCCCCTTTGCTTTCCGCCACGATTGTAAGTTTCCTGAGGTCTCCCCAGAAGCAGAAGCTGCTATGCTTCCCGTACAGCCTGCAGAACTGTCAGCCAATTAAACCTCTTTTCTTTATAAATTACCCAGTTCCATGTATTCTTTATAGCAGTGCAGAAATGGACTAATGCATGTGGTAATAAGAATGTGCCGTTACCTTGAGATGATGGGCCTGATGTGGCAGAACTGACAGTTACCCCAACGTGGCAGAATTCAACCTGCTACTCCAAGGAGACAGGACATTTGCTGTTCTGTGTGGGATGTGATGCAACTACGGCTGTAACATGACCCCATGTTTAATGGCAAGTGACTTGGGCAGCCTTTGGTTTTGCCAGCCTGCAGCCTGATGCCATCAAACTCACAGCCCCCAGGAGTCCTTTGGGAACCAGTCCTCCCCAACACGGGGTCTCTGAGATCAGTTCTTGGTTGCCAAAGCCCTTCTAGATCCAGGATGGGCACAAGATCCAAGCCAAGCTGAGCACCACCTTCTATTCCTGTGGGGGCTCAGAGGTGGTGGGTACAGAACTTAAGTCAGTGCAGTGAGGGTTTTGCTAGAACATGCTGGAAGGGGAAATTGTCTTCCTTCTGGAGTATCTAAGGGTTTTGCCATCTTGCTAGCATGGGGTGAAGGGTGAGGGAGAAGCTGCCTGATAACAAAACCAACAAAGAGGAAAATAAAGATGAAGGAGACTGATCAGGTACATCGCTTAAGCTTCTTGATACAGCTATACCTGAACCAACTCCCTGAACTTTTTGGTTATGGGTACCAACAAACTCCTTTAATCTTGGTTAAGTCAATGGTTTTTTTGTTTTGTTTTTGTTTTTGTTTTTTTTAAGATGGAGTCTCACTCTTGTTGCCCAGGCTGGAGTACAATGGCACGATCTCGGCTCACTGCAAGCTCCGCCTCCCAGGTTCAAGTGATTCTCCTGCCTCAGCCTCCCGAGTAGCTGGGATTACAGGCATGCACCACCATGCCCCATCTAATTTTGTATTTTTTTTTTTTTTTTTTTTTTTTAGTAGAAACAGGGTTTCTCCATTTTGGTCAGGCTGGTCTCGAACTCCCAACCTCAGGTGATCCACCCGCCTCGGCCTCCCAAAGTGCTGGGATTACAGGTGTGAGCAACCGTGCCCGGCCAGTTAAGCCAATTTGAGTTGGGGTTCTGGTGCATGAAACCACAAGATTCCCAACTGTTACAGTCTCCATTTCTTCATCTGAAAATAACACCACCAACGCCACAGCTTGTGATGAGGAACTCAATGAAGCATACCACAAAAGCACTTCGCACACAGAACGCAATTTTATCCGTTGCTACAAGGGTCATTTTTTATTGGTGGCATCCTTGTTGCTGCTGCTGTTGTTCTCACACTCCTGGGTATTCAACTCTTCAGAGTGATTTTTGTGACTGTAGGATCATAAAGTATGTATCTGGTCTTCATCCCGGTTCTTGGCACAGAGCTTCAAAAACCCTTGGAACTTTCTGAGTCACAGGAATGCTTTTGTTAGGAGTGTTAGGAATGTCGGGGTGACTTGTGGGGGGGGGGGTGCCTAGATAACATGAGGGTGGGGGGCGGTCACCAGAAAGAACAACCCTGTGATCAGAGGGTTGGGGCTTTTAGGACCTCCAGGGAGATGAGGGGGCTGGAAATGGCAGTGTTGAATCACATGGTCAATGATTTCAATCAATCACGCCTAAGGAATGAGACTCCAATTAAAACTCTGGATACTGGGCCGGGTGCAGTGCCTCACGCCTGTAATCCTAGCACTTTGGGAGGCTGAGGCAGGTGAATCACGAAGTCAGGAGTTTGAGACCAGCCTGGCCAACATGGTGAAACCCTGTCTCTACTAAAAATACAAAAATTAGCCGTGCGTGATGGTGCATGCCTGTAGTCCCAGCTACTCGGGGGGCTGAGGCAGGAGAATTGTTTGAACCTGGGATGTGGAGGTTGCAGTGAGCTGAGATTGAGCCACTGCACTCCAGCCTGGGTGACAGAGTGAGACTCCGTCTCAAAACAAACAAACAAACAAACAAAAACTCTGGACGCTGAAGCTCAGTAGTACTTCCCAGCTGGTGGACACACCAGTATGTCAAGAGGGTGATACATGCTGTTGCCACGAGGAGGCAATATGGAAATTCTGCATCTAGAACTCTCCCAGATCTTGCCGTATGTGTATCCTTTATAATAAAACTGTAATTGTATAGCAGGGTTTTTAAATTTGAGACAAGATCTTGCTCTGCCACCCGGGCTGGGGTGCACTGGCACAATCTTAGCTCACTGCAGCCTCGAACTCCTGGGCTCAAGCGATCCTCCTGCTTAAGCCCCTCAAGTACCTGGGACTACAGGCATGCACCCCCTCACCTGGCTAATGTTTTTAAATTTTTGTAGAGATGGGATCTCACTATGTTGTCCAGGCTGGTCTCGAACCTCTGGGCTCAAGTGAGCCTCCCACCATGGCCTCCCAAAGTGCTGGGATTACAGGCATGAGCCACCACACCTGGCCAGGTTTATTTTCATTCTGTGAGTTCCTTCTAGTAAATTATGAAACCCAAACAGTTTGTGGGAATCCCCCAATTTAGAGCCAGTTAGTCAGAAGTGTGGGTGGCTGGGGGATCCCCAAGATGCTGCCAGTGTCTGAAGCAAGGGAAATCTCATGGAGGGCTGAGCCTTAAACTTGTGGCGTCTGATGCTAACTTTGGAGGAGGATGGTGTCAGAACGGTGTTGCAAGTACACCCAGGTAGTGGCAGAACAGCTGAGGCAGAAACAAAATACTGACCAAATGTTTGACTTCTTTTATTGCCTCTATTCTTATTATGTGGCAGGCAATGCTCTAAGCCTGGAGTTGGCAAACAGTGGGCTGGGAGCCAAATCCAGTAGGCCACCTGTTTTTGCAAATAATATCCTATTGGAATATGGCCACATTTATTGGTTAGTACATCGTCTAACCCTGCTTTCACGCTGCAAAGGCAGAGTTAAGTAGCTCCAACAGAGACCATATGGCCCTGAGAGCTGAAAATATTTACTATCTGGCCCTTGGCCAACCCCCGTTCTCAGCTGCCGGTATACATGAGTGAACAAAGCAGATAATATGCTTTCCCAGTGGGAAATTATAAATGACCATGAGTTCTTTGCAGCCTCTCCCACCAAGAAGTGGAGTCTATGTTCCCACCTGTTGAATCTGGGCTTGGCCATATGGCTTGCTTTGGCCAATGGAATATTTGCAAACGTGATACAAGCTGAGGCTTGAAAAGCACTTGAACATTGAGGTCTGCCCTTCCTGGCTGCTGGGGTAAGAGACTTATGGAGAGAGACCCCCACTGACCATCAAAGACACAAGAGGCTCCCCTAAACCATCAGCCGTAGCTAAACAGGCCCAGGCCAGACAAACCTTCAGTCAACACATGAAATCATCAGAGCTCCTAAAGGAGTGTTTTAAGCCACTAAGCACTGAGGTGGTTTTGTTACGCAACAAGAGCTAGCTGATACACTCACAAAGCTTATCATCTGGTTGGGGAGAGTGAATAAATTGACAACAAAGGCTAGGTACAGTGGCTCAGGCCCTGTAATCTCAGCACTTTGGGAAGCCAAGGTGGGAGGATCACTTAAACCCAGGAGTTCAAGACGAGCCTGGGGAATATAGCAAGACCCCCAACACTACAGAATTTTTTTTTAGCCAGGTGTGGTGGTGTGTGCCTATATAGTCCCAGCTACTCAGGAGGCTGTGGCAGGAGGATCTCTTGAGCCCAGGGGGTTGAGACCACAGTGAGCCATGTGGGTGCCACTGCACTCTAGCCTGGGTGACAGACCAAGACCTTGTCTCAAAAAAAAAAAAAAAAGACAAAAATATCAGCTAGTGACAAATCGAAGAGTTAAAACTAAATGATGTGACAGAGAGTGCACGGATGATTGACTCAGACGGGAAGGATTTGCCAAGGAGGTGACTTTTAAGCTGCCATCTAGATGACGAGGGGAAAAAGTGGATCATTCTCAAATGCAGGGACAAGCATTATAGGAAGAGGGAACAGCTAATTGAAAGGCACAGAGGAAAGCGGATGTAGCAAGTTGCAGGAAAAGCTCCTGCGGTAACGACCACCACGGCCAGGGGGCACCGGAATGAAATGAGAATGAGAACTGGCCGAGCCCTCCCGATGAGGAGTTTGGATTCTGTCCATTGGTCTTGGGAAGCCACCGGAGGGTTTTAGGGAAGGACATGGCATATGATCAGATGACCACTTTTATTTTTTCTTTTGAGACAGAGTCTCACTCTGTCACCGAGACTGCAGTGCAGTGGCACACTCTCGGCTCACTGCGACCTCCACCTCCCGGGTTCAAGCAATTCTGCTGTCTCAGCCTCCCGAGTAGCTGGGATTACAGGCGCCCACTGTAATCCCACGCCTGGCTAATTTTTGTATTTTTAGTAGAGATGGGGTTTCACCATGTTGGTCAGGCTGGTCTCGAACTCCTGACCTCAGGTGATCCACCCACCTCGGCCTCCCAAAGTGCTGGGGTTATAGGCGTGAGCCACCGCGCCTGGCCCAGGTGGCCACTTTTTACCAGTGTCACTAGAATGGAAGCAGGAGCAAAGAGATTGTTCAAGGGGACTGGGTCAGACCAGACATGATGGTGAAATAGATGGAGGTGTAGACAAATTTGAGACCTCAGCTTAATAGGAAGAAGTGAGAGAGGCCAAGAAGAATCAAGGATTTTAGGTAATTCTCCCCTTCCCAGTGGATACCCCATACGCATTGAAAATTTATTCATCACAAATATCTGGTCCTTCTCATCTCAGGAAGCAGCACTGTGCTATTACATCCCAGCAGGTACTTTGGAACGACAGTAGATGGTGAGACCTTTTTTTTTTTTTTTTTGGAGATGCAGTTTCACTCTTGTCACACTTGCCTGGGGGCTAACGTGCAATGGCGTGATCTCAGCTCACTGCAACCTCTGCCTCCTGGGTTCAAGCAATTCTCATGCCTCAGCCTCCCGAGTAGCTGGGATAACAGGTATGCATCACCATGCCCAGCTAATTTTTTTTTTGTTTTTGTATTTTTAGTAAAGACGGGGTTTCACCGTGGTGGCCAGGCTGACCTTGAACTCCTGCCCTCAGATGATCCGTCCACTTCGGCCTCCCAAAGTGCTGGGATTACAGGCATAAGCCACTGTGCCTGGCCAAGGCCTTTTAACATGGGTTCCCAGAACTCTGCTCTGAAAACATCAAGAACTCCTTCCCAGATAAGCCACCAGAATGGAAGAAAACATCTGGCCCTATTTGATATCAAACCACATTAGAAAATGCCACAGTACGATTAAGTCTTTCATAAGATAAAAAGAAAAGCTTCAGGCCAGGTGCGGTGGCTCATGCCTGTAATCCCAGCACTTTGGGAGGCCGAGGTGGGTGGATCACTTGAGGTCAGGAGTTCAAGACCAGCCTGGCCAACATGATGAAACCCGGTCTCTACTAAAAATACAAGAAAAATTTAGCTGGGTATGGTGACAGATGTCTGTAATCCCAGCTACTTAGAGGCTAAGGCAGGAGAATCACTTGAACCCGGGAGGCTGAGTTGCAGTGAGCCAAGATCGCACCATTGCACTTCAGTCTGGGCAACAAGAATGAAACTCCATCTCAAAAAAACAAAAGCACAAACAAAAAAAAATTGGCCAGGCTTGCTGCCTCACACCTGTAATCCCAGCTACTTGGGAGGCTGAGGCAGGAGAATGGCTTGAACCTGGAAGGCAGAGGTTGCAGTGAGCTGAGATCATGCCACTGCACTCCAGCCTGGGTGACAGAGTGAGGCTCTGTCTCAAAATAAATAAATTAATTAATTAAAAGCTTCAGAAATAAAAATATTAATTTTTTTAAACCTACGCAATAAAATACGGTGACAATGCACCCCCCTCTCCTTTGTTTTCTTCCGTTCAGGAAAGGTCCCAGATACCAAGGATGTGCGGTCAATTTCTCAGGGTTTCTGTTTTAGCATCTCCCGCATCATCAGTGAGAAAATCAAAGGAGGTTGCTATATTTCTCAGGCCATTGTTAAGGTGAGGGAAAAATGCCTTTTATTTAAGGCCAATGTCTTTTAAACAAACATCTTGCCAGAAGATATTAACCCATTTTTTTTATTTCAATTGTGATTTTAAAAAGAAAGAAATGAATCAAAAGGAATATGGTCATTTCCTCAATCTTGGGAATACACTGGCCAAAAAAAAAAAAAAAAACCTAAAACAAAAGTCTGTCTGGTATGAAAAGGTGATTTATAGACCCTTTTGGTCAATAAAGCCAAAAGGTTTTTTTGGTAGGTTTTTATCAACAACGAGCAAAACAAAACATATTGTACTTGCAGGTTTCACAAACACTCAAAGAAAGAGTCATAAGAACTGAAATTACAGCTTGTTTTCCTTCCCGCCCTCTCCACCCAGGGAAATACAATTTCCCACCCCAACACTCTCGCTTGGCTAATTCTCAAGTCTGAAGAGGAAGATACTTTACGTAAGCAGGTCAGCTCAAGGCCTCTTGATGTGTGTCTGTTTCTGATTTGTTTTTGTGTTGTTTTGTGGTGTGTGTGTGTGTGTGTGTGTGTGTGTGTGTGTGTTTTAAAACAAAACATAAAACCTCAATACAAAAACCAGGAAACAGATTTTTGCAACTCAGTTACGGCCCCAAAATAGCTCATGGAAGAAGCTCACAGTACGAACAGAAAGTCTGCGATGTGCGTAGGAAATCTGACTCTGTCGAAGAGAGAAAACCCTGCTATTTCTCACCCAAACGGCAGGAAATGGTTTGATTATACTGTCCTTCAGAGAACAGCAAAGCCCTGAGAATAATGCAGAAGCGAGTCTCTTCCTCCTGGAGACAGTATGTTCTGGGCTAATCTTGGCACACCACCAGGCTACAGGTCAGGGAAGACACGAAAGACCTTGGTATATCCTTTATGTGACAATGATGAAGCTACATCAGTGAGGACAGGCCACGTGGAGGATTTTAGGGAAAACCAAGGACTCTGTCCTTATTATATTTTCTTGTTCTGAAGCCAACCACAGAAAGCTTAGAACTGAGGTCCACAATGCCAGACTGGGTGCGGTGGCTCACACCTGCAATCACAGCACTTTGAGAGGCCAAGGCAGGTGGACCACCTGAGGTTGGGAGTTCGAGACCAGCCTGACCAACATGGCGAAACCCTGTCTCTATTAAAAATACAAAAATTAGCCGGGCATGGTGGCAGGCACCTGCAGTCCCAGCTGCTTGGGAGGCTGAGGCAGGAAAATCGCTTGAACCCAGGAGGCAGAGGTTGCAGTGAGCCAGGTTCGTGCCACTGCACTCCAGCTTGGGAGTCTTGCGGCAAGACTCCATCTCAAAAAAAAAAAAAAAGAATGGTGGGCACAATGCCAGAAGTATATACTATCTGGTCCTTTAGAGAAAAAGGTAGTCAACTCCCACTCCCAAGCCCAGGACCAAAACAGGGTGCAAAAGTAGCATCTGAGAGCAGAGACCTCACTCATAGCCAATTAACCCTGGGTTTGCACACAGTTTTAACAAGCGGCATCGTCACAACCAACCCCACGTTCCTTCTCCTCTCGGCTGCCCCCCAGACCCACATCCAGAACTCACTTGCTGGAATTCATCGTGTACCCGGAGGGACACTCAGGGATGCACTTGTTGTTGTGAATGACGTACTGGTGGCAGCCCTGCCTCCGCGAGTTCTTGCATTTGTGGTGCAGGTCCTGGCAGAAGCTGAAGTTCACACAGCGCCAGTCCTGGAAGTGGTAGTACGGGGGCGGGCAGGTCTCCACACACCTGCCGTCCAGGTAGAAGTTGCGGCAGGCCACGCACTTGGTGGGGTCGTCGGGCTGAGAACAGTTGCCCAGGCACTCGCTGTGGCAACAGAGGCCTTCGGCGGTGCAGCCGTGTGACTTACAGATGGTCGGGCAAACTGGAGAGAGAGAGAGAGAGAGAGGGAAATAAATAAATAAATAAATAAATAAATAAATAAATAAATAAATGGCTTTGTCCAATTCCTGTCTGCATATGCAGCAATTCTGGATCAGACAGTGAAAGCCAACCAAACACTAACAGTAAAAGCGGCACGTCTACATCATTACCCACATGTCAGACACATCTATTAACTGGTTTAAGCCTCCAAACCATTGGTGAGCTTGTAAATGTTTAACAGCTGCCTGAGGGAGGGGCCCAGGGAGGCCCAGATTTATATAGCATTTGCCGATTTCCATGGTGTAAATATTCCTACCAGTGGTGGATTTCAGGCCACCAACATGAAGTTACTAAACATAAGCTGACAAAAGATACACAGTAGCATTCCTCTAAGTAGTATTTATAAGTATACACAAAATGTATCTACTATTGACACAAAAGTAGTAAATAACCTCAACAGCACAAATAATAGGAAAACATCGTATGATATTAGGAGGTGGTGAGTTTTGAGTATTTGTTACTTTTAAAAAGCTTTGTTAATTTAAAAACTTTTGTTTTTAATGTAATTTGTTTAACTGTAGGTTTATGTAATTTTTATGAATATCTATGTTTAACAAATGGCTCACAAATTGCCTGAAAATTTCACCACTGGCTCCAGCAAGCCAACTCCAGCATGCTGCTGCACCCCACATGTGAAGTAGATACACTGTTAGCTCCTTTATTTTTTTGTTTTACAAATGGGGAAACTGAGGTACAGGGAGGTTAAGTAACTTGCCCCCAAACCACTGATTGCTTCAACAGACATTTGCTTGCACTAATCTAGATACTGTGGCCACTGTGGGGAAAAAAGTGGCTGCAGATCCTGCCTTTGGGAGCACAAGGTCTAATGGAGGAGACATGTTAGTTACTTAAACATGCAAATGTGGCTCGGTGTGGTGGCTCACGCCTGTAATCCTAGCAATTTGGGAGGTCGAGGCGGGTGGATCACCTGAGGTCAGGAGTTTGAGACCAGCCTGGTCAACATGGTGAAACCCTGTCTCTACTAAAAATACAAAAATTAGCTAGGTGTGCTGGTGCATGCCTGTAATCCCAGCTGCTCAGGAGGCTGAGGCACGAGAATCACTTGAATCTGGGAGGTGGAGGCTGCAGTGAGCCATGATCGTGCCACTATACTCCAGCCTGGGCAACAAGTGCAAAATTCTGTCAAAAAAAAAAAAAAAAAAGAGAGAGAGAGACAAAGAGAGAGAGAAAAGGAAGGAAGGAAGGAAAAAAAAAAGGCTGGTTGTGGTGGCTCATGCCTGTAATCCTAGCACTTTGGGAGGCCAAGGTGGGCGGATCACCTGAGGTCAGGAGTTTCAGACCAGCCTGGCCAACATGGTGAAACCCCATCTCTACTGATGATACAAACAATTAGCCGGGTGTGGTGGTGGGCGTCTGTAATCCCAGCTACTCAGGAGGCTGAGGCAGGAGAATCGCTTGAACCTGGGAGGGGAGGTTGCAGGGAGCCGAGATCATGCCACTGCACTCCAGCCTTGGTGACAGAGGGAGACTCTGTCTCAAAACAAAAAATGAAACAAAACAAAAAATAAGAAAGAAAGTTGGGGAGTGTTCTTCACCCCAAATCCCCAGACTGTGATTCTCAGCACAGTGGATCCCACCGGCCAAACTCAGGGAACAGAAGTGGCCCCAGAAGCTACATCCATATATGAACAGCACCATCTGGTCGAAATTTCTGCGATGACGGAAATGTTCTCTATCTGGGCCATCCAACATAGTAGCCACTTCTCCCCTGTGGCTTCTGAATGTGCTTAGTGCAACTAGGAAATCCAATTTTTTTTTTAATTGTGGTAAAATACACATAGCATAAAATTCACCATTGTAATCATGTTTAAATGTATAGTTCAGTGGTATTAAATACTTTTATGTGGCTATGCAACCATCACCACCACCCATCTCCAGAACTTTCTCACCTTAACCAAACTGAAACTCTGCCCCCATGAAACAGTCACACTCATCCTCCTCCCCAACTCCTGGCACCTGCCATTTTACTTTCTTTTTCTTTTCTTTTTTTTTATTTTTATTTTTTGAGATGGAGTCTTGCTTTGTTGCCCAGGCTGGGGTGCAGTGGCGCGATCTCAGCTCACTGTAACCTCTGCCTCCCGGGTTCAAGTGATTCTCCTGCCTCAGCCTCCAGAGTAGCTGGGATTACAGACGCCCACCACCACACCCAGCTAATTTTTGTATTTTTAGTAGAGATGGGGTTTCACCATGTTGGCCGGGCTGGTCTTGAACTCCTAACCTCGTGATCCTCCTGCCTCAGCCTCCCAAAGTGCAGGGATTACAGGTGTGAGCCACTGCGCCCGACATCCCATTTTACTTTCTGTCTCTGTGACTCTGATGACTCTAGGAACCTCATATAAGTGGAATAATATAGGATTTATTCTTTTTTAAAAAATTTATTTTGAGATGGAGTCTCACTCTGTCACTCAGGCTGGAGTGCAGTGACTCGATCTCGGCTCACTGCAACCTCCACCTCCTGGGTTCAAGGAATTCTCCTGCCTCAGCCTCGAGTAGCTGGGATTACAGGTGCCCACCACCACACCCCGCTAATTTTTTTGTATTTTTAGTAGAGACGGGGTTTCACCGTGTTGGCCAGGCTGGTCTCGAACTCCTGACCTCAAGTGATCCACTCACCCTGGCCCCCCAAAGTACTGGAATTACAGGTGTGAGCCACTGTGCCCAGCCTAGCTGCAGTATTTTACATTCCCACCAACAGTGTACCAGGGCTCCAATTTTTACCAAGGAACAAAACTTTTAACTGCATTTCATTTTAATTTCAGTTTAAAATTTTTAAAAAGTTTTACATTGATACAGAATATTTTACACATTTATGGGGTACTTGTGATATTTTGTCATATGGATAAAATGTGTAACGATTTCTTTTTTGGGTGTGTGATGGGGTCTGGCTCTGTCACTTAGGTTCTGGGGTACAGTGACACAGTGACAGTTCACTGCAGCCTCAATCTCCTGGGCTCAGGTGATCCTCCCACCTCGGCCTCTTGGGTAGCTGGAATAATGGACATGCGCCACCACGCCCAGCTAAGTGTTTAATTTTTTGTAGAAATGGGGTCTCACTATGTTGCCCAGGCTGGTCTCGAACTCCTGGCTCAAGCGATCCTCCCACCTCAGCCTCCCAAAGTGCTGAGATTACAAGTATGAGCCACTGTGCCTGACACAATTCCAATGTTTACTAGCCACAGATGACTACCGTCTCCCAGACGAGACAGTTCAGGCATACAGAATAAAAGCCAACTCCCTACAGGCCTTGGGGGGTCTAATCCCTGCCAGTCTTGCTAAATTCTTCTCCCAGGCTGGCCTCCTTTCTGCACCTCCCACCCACACACACCCAGGCTCAGCCCTACCTTAGGACCTTGCACAAGCTGTTCTGGGTGGAGCACCCTGGTCCCTTGTCCCCTTGTGACTTGCTCCTTTGCATCCTTCAGGTCCTTACACAGATCTTCCCTGACTTCCCCAGCAGAAGTCGCCCTTCCTGCTCCATTCATAAGCTAACACATTATCTCATTACATTTTCCTTATGGCATGGATCACTCTTGAAAATTATCTTGGGGCTGGGCGCGGGGGCTCACACCTATAATCCCAGCACTTTGGGAGGCTGAGGTGGGTGGATTATTTGAGGTCAGGAGTTCAAGACCAGCCTGGCCAACATGGTAAAACCCCGACTCTACTAAAAATACAGAAATTAGCTGGGCGTGGTGGTGGGCGCCTGTAATCCCAGCTACTCAGCTACTCAGAAGGCTGAGGCACAAGAATCACTTGAACCTGGGAGGTGGAGGTTGCAGTGAGCTGAGATCCACTGCACTCCAGGCTGGCTGACAGAGTGAGACTCCGTCCAAAAAAAAAAAAAAAACAAGAATATTAGGAAGTTCTAATAGGGCTAAGCACAGTGGCTGATGCTTGTAATCCCAGCACTTTGAGAGGCTGAGGTGGGTGGACCACTTGAGGTCAGGAGTTCAAGACGACCAGCCTGACCAACATGGTGAAACCCGTCTCTACTAAAAATACAAAAATTAGTCGGGTGTGGTGGTGCTTGCCTATAATCCCAGCTACTCGGGAGGCTGAGGCAGTAGAATCGCTTGAACGCAAGAGGAGTTTGCAGTGAGTCAAGATTGTGCCACTGAACTCCAGCCTAGGTGACAGAGCGAGACTCTATCTCAAAAAAAAAAAAAAAAAAAAAAAGGGAGGGGGGATTGTTAATAAGAGTCCCTTCCTTCCTTCTTAAGGCTGTTGCAAGAAATAAACAGGATGACGTCAGTAACACATCAGATTCTTTGATAGAGACATTTTTAGGCTTGATAGAAATTAACTACAGAGGGTATCTATAATTATCATAATTATCAACATCATTAACACTGATCTGTCTGTGGGAACCTGAGGGCTGAAATTCAATTGAAGGAAGCAATATACAAGGCAGACAACAATGATCCAGGACCCACGGAGTTCCAGCACTCTGGCAAGGAAACACACACACAAGAGGAAGGGGCTTGTTTCCTGGGCTGGAGCCACTTCAGAGGGTCAGCCCTTTCATTCAAAAGAGGCGTCATCAATGGCCTAACACAAACCTCTCAAACACATAAGTCCTTCCGGCCTAGACAATGGGAAGAAAAATTATCCAACCATTGCAAACAAGGCCAGAGGCTGCGAGACTTTGCAATCCTGTGTTGGAGCCCTAGCTGACAGGCCTATCTGAGCTATTTCATTTGTCAGCACAGGAGTTGGTCAACTTTTTCTGTAAAGGGCCACAAGCAAATACTTGAGGCTTTGCAGGACATATGGTGTTGGTTGAAACTACTCAACTCTGCCACGATGGCATGATAGCAGCCACAGACATATGTACATGAAGAGGCATGGCTAGGTCCAATAAAACTTTATTTATAAAAGCAAGTGATGGGCCAGATAGTTTATCAACCTGCACTAGTTAAATGTACCTGTAATTGATTTTACTATTACTTTTTTTTTTTTTTTTTGAAACCGAGTCTTGCTCTGTTGTCCAGGCTGAAGTACAGCGGTGCCATCTCCGCTCACTGTAAACTCTGTGTCCCAGGTTCAAGCAATTCTCCTGCCTCAGCCTCCTGAGTAGCTGGGATTACAGGCACCCACAACCATGCCTGGATAATTTTTGTATTTTTAGTAGAGACTGGGTTTCAGCATGTTGGCCAGTCTGGTCTTGAACTCCTGACCTCAAGTGATCTGCCCACCTTGGCCTCCCAAAGTGCTGGGATTATAGGCATGACCCACTACGCCTGGCCGATTTTACTATTTCTATTAGGAACTAGACTCAAGGAAATTAGAGTTAACTTACAGACAGATATGCTACAAATTATTTTCATCTCAGAGAAAAGATACTCTCAGCTGGGCATGGAGGCTCATGCCTGTAATCCCAGCACTTTGGGAGGCTGAGGCGGGAGGATTGCTTGAGCCCAGGCATTCGAGACCAGCCTGGGTAACAGAGTGAGATCCTATCTCTCCTTGCCGAAAAAAAAAAGAAAAAAATCATCCCCAAAGATTACAGTTTTATTGTCCTATGGGACATTAAGCAGCCTCACAGCTAACACTGCCTTCTTATTTCAGTGACTATACATGTTTTGGCTTTATAATCCTGCTGTTCCCTCACTAATGGGTTAAATAAACATGCTGACCTGTGTTCTTTGGTGGTTTTTTTTTTTTTTTTTTTTTGAGACAGAGTCTCACTCTGTTGTCCAGGCTGAAGTGCAATGGTGAGAACTCAGCTCACTGCAACCTCCGCCTCCCGGGTTCAAGCAATTCTCTGCCTCAGCCTCCTGAGTAGCTGGGATTACAGGCGCCCGTCATCACGCCCAGCTAATTTTTGTATTTTTAGTAGAGATGGGGTTTCACCACGTTGGCCAGGCTGGTCTTGAACTCCTGACCTCGGGATCCACCCATCTTGGCCTCCCAAAGTGCTGGGATTACAGGCGTGAGCCACCGCGCCCAACCAATTCTTTGAAGACTATCCTTCGAACACTATAAGCTCATTCCAGGTGTTTCCAACTCTGTAGGGAGATGTTGATCAAACTACAAAATTTCACTTAGGAGAAATAAGCTTTAGTTATGTATTGGACACAATGGTTGCTATAATAAGTAATAGTGCACTGGACATTTCAAAATTGCCAAAAATGTAGATATTTTTAACCATAAAACAATGATAAGTATGTGAGGTGATAGCTTTTAAATTGGCATGACTTAGTAATTCTACAATGTAAACAGATATCAAAACATCACATGGTACCCCATAAATATGTAACATATACAATTATTATTTGTCAATTTTAAAAAAATAGAGGCTGGGAACGGTGGCTCACGCCTGTAATCCCAGCACTTTGGGAGGCCGTGGCAGGTGGATCACCTGAGGTCAGGAGTTCGAGACCAGCCTGGCCGACATGGTGAAACCCCATCTCTACTAAAAATACAAAAATTATACAGGCGTGGTGGCAGGTGCCTGTAATCCCAGCTACTTGGGAGGCTGAGACAGCAGAATTGCTTGAACCCGGGAGGCGGGGGTTGCAGTGAGCCGAGATTGTGCCACTGCTGGAAGAGAGAGTGAGACTCTGTCTCAAAAAGAAAGAAAAGAAAAGAGAAAGAAAGAAAGAAAAAGAAAGAAAGAAAGAAAGAAAGGAGGGAGGGAGGGAGGGAAGGAGGGAAAGAAAAGAAAGAAAAGCCACTCGGGGTGGCCACTGCACCCCCTAGCTGAGTGGGAGTCCTCTAAACTGGTGCTGGACGTTTCCACATACTCTTGCTCCCCATACTGGTTCCTCTGAACTCGGATTGTTAGACAGAATGTGAAAAGCTCCACATGAAAATCACAAGCCTGCCAGGCGCAGTGGCTTGTGCATGTAATGGCACTTTGGGAGGCTAACACGGGAGGATCTCTTGAGTCCAGTAGTTCAAGACTAGCCTGGGCAAAATAGCCAGACCCCTGTCTCTACAAAAATAAAAAAATTAGCCAGGTGTGATGGTGCACACCCGTAAACCAATAGTCCCAGCTACTCGGGAGACTGAGGTGGGAGGATTGCTACAGCCCAGGGGTTTGAGGCTGCAGTGAGCTGTGACTGCACCACTGCACTCCAGCCTGGGCAATAAAGCAAGACCCTATCTTTAAAAAGAAGAGAGAGAGAAAAGAAAGAGAGAGTGAAAGAAGGAGGGAAGGAAGGAGGAAGGGAGAGAGAGAAAAGAAAGAGAAAGACAGAAAGAAGGAGGGAAGGAAGGAAGGAAGGAGAGAGATAAAAAGAAAGAAGGAGGGAAGGAAGGAGGGAGGGAGGGGAGAGAGAGAGAAAGAAAGAAGAGGGAGAAAGAAAGAGAAAGAAAGAGGCAGGAAGGGAGGGAGAAAGAAAGAAGGAAAGAAAGAGAGAAAGAAGAAAGAATACAGAAAGAGAAAAAAGAAAAGAAAGAGGGAGAAAGAAGAAAGATAAGAGAGAGAGAAAGAGAAAGAAAAAGAAAGACAGAGAAAGAAAAGAAAAAAGAAAGAAAAAGAAAGAAAGGAGAAAGAAAAGAAAGAGAAAGAAGGAAGGGAGGGAGGGAAGAAAAGAAAAGAAAAGAAAAGAAAAGAAAAGAAAAGAAAAGAAAAGAAAAGAAAAGAAAAAAATCACAGGCAGCCCAGGCTGGGGAAAGGGCATGACACAGATGAACTAGCCACAAAACAGCAGCTTCTTCTGGTGAGAGAGACCGCAAAGTGAAGACATTATGAAAGCCACGTGTCATGCAAGATGAGAAACAGCCCCAGTGGAGGACGGGGTTGACTTTCCTCTCCCTGTGCCCCTGACCTGATCCCCCTCATTGACACGTAATGAGCCCAAGTGTCCGTTCCTGCCCAAATTCTGGTTTGGGGTAGGGACAGTCAGCAGCCCAGGCTATGTCTGCCAGACAAGATGGCAGACTTGCAGGAAAATGCCAAACCGTCCGGGGGCTGTCACTCCCTCACACCTGCACACAAGTGCTGCTGTGTATGTAGGGAACATCTACCCAGACCTCCCCTCTCCAAAAATGCAAGTTCTGTGTCCATCCGCTGTCTCCCCTTCAAAGCCACATTGAGCTGCTGGTCCCAATTTTCCCCCAGTTCTCCCTAAACCTCCCAAAAGCTCCTGGGTGAGCACACAGAAGCAACTATCATCTTCCTGAAACTTTCAGCTGCGGTGGCTTTTTCACTATACACTGCTGAGAAGATCAGGGACTAAAATCTAACTAAGTTGACGGAGGAGAAAGGAGACCGCTGTGTCAGAGTCCTCTGGTGGACCCTCCCCAAGAAAGACAATGTCCCCACTAAAGGACCCCTTCCCTAGACAGAGGGAGTCACAGAAACACCAATTTGCTTCAGGGAGGCAGTTCAAAGCAAAGGAACGAATCTTGCACCAAGAGGCAAGTGCAATTTGATGCAGTATTTCTTTTTTTTCTTTTTTTTTTTTTCCCCAGATGGAGTCTCACTCTTGTCCCTCAGGCTGGAGTGCAGTGGCACGATCTCAGCTCACTGCAACCTCCGCCTCCCGGGTTCAAGAGATTCTTCTGCTCATGCCTGTAATCCCAGCAGGCTAAGGAGGCTAAGCCTGGGAGGCTAAGGTGAGCGGATCACGAGGTCAGGAGAGCCAAACCATCCTGACCAACATGGTGAGACTCCGTCTCCACGAAAAATATAAAAATTAGCTGAGCATGGTGTCGCGCACCTGTAGTCTCAGCTACATGGGAGGCTGAGGCAGGAAAATCACCTGAACCTGGGGAGCGGAAGTTGCAGTGAGCTGAGATCACGCTACTGCACTCCAGCCTGGCGACAGAGTGAGACTCCATCTCATAAAAAAACAAACAAAAAAATTAGGGGCAGGAGGGGGGAGGACACATGGGACATATGTCCCTCTGAAAGGGACACAAAAAAGTGCCCTATTTTATTTTTATTTTTTACTATGTATGTGTACTATCCTGTCAAAACTGACATATATTTGGAAATACATATTTTTTTCAAGTAGCTTCTTCTTTCATTTATTTATTTAGAGACAGTGTCTCACTCTGTCGCCCAGGCTGGAGTGCAGTGGCATGATCTTGGTTCACCGTAACCTCCGCCTCCCAGGTTCAAGTGCTCCTCCTACCTCAGCCTCCTGAGTAGCTGGGACTACAGGCGTACACCACCATGCTTGGCTAATTTTTGTATATGTATATATACATTTGGTAGAGATGAGGTCTCACAATATTGCCCAGGCTGGTCTTGAACTCCTAGGCTCAAGAGATCCGCTCTCCCCGAGCTCCCAAACTGGGCATAGGCGTAAGCCACAATGCCCAGCCAGGAAATACATTTTTCAAAAGCCTCTGCTAGACAGTAAACAATGTTATTGATCAGTTACATGATTCTACTCCCAAATATTCTAATAATGACAGGCATCGGTGAGAGCTTTTACAAAGGTTCTCTTAAAATCATCTTTGTTGGCTGGGCATGGTGGCTCACGCCTGTAATCCCAGCACTTTGGGAGGCTGATGCAGGAAGATCACTTGAGGTCAGGAGTTCGAGACCAGCCTGGCCAACATGGTGAAACACTCTCTATTCAAAATACAAAAATTAGCTGGGCGTGGTGGTAGGCACCTATAATCCCAGCTACTTGGGAGGCTGAGGCAGGAGAATTGCTTGAACCCAGGAGGCAGTCGTTGCAGTCAGCCAAGATCGTGCCACTGCACTCCAGCCTGGACGACAGAATGAGACTTCATCTCAAAAAAAGAAAAAAAAATTATCTTTGCCTTATTACAAAATCAATATGGGGCTCAGGGGTGAAGTGTGGAGTGTGTTTTAATAATAGCTTTGCTTTTTTTTTTTTTTTTTTTTTTGAGACAAAATCTCTTTCTGTCACCCAGGCTGGAGTGCAGTGGTGCAATCTTGGCTCACTGTAACCCCCATGTCCTGGGTTCAAGCGATTCTCCTGCCTCAGCCTCCTGAGTAGCTGGGATTACAGGCACACGCCACCACACCAACTGATTTTTTTTTTTTTTTTTTTTTTAGTGGAGAAGCGGTTTCACCATGTTGGCCAGGCTGGTCTCAAACACGTGACCTCCGTCTGCCTTGGCCTCTTAAAGTGCTGGTACAGGTGTGAGCCACCGCGCCAGGCCAGCTTTGCTCTTTTATGGACTATTCAACAAATTGTTAGCATTTCTCTTTTTTCTTTTTTTCATTCAACAAACACATGTCGAATGTCCCAGTGTGCCAAATCATAGGAAACCTGTTCTCGTATTAAATGAAAAAGCATCAGAACATAGATGACACAAAAACCCCATCCCCTGTCCTCGAGACATCCAGGTTTAGCATTGTCCTCAGCCCCCAGCAGCATCCCCTCCTGCAGGGGGAAAAGAAAAGGAAAAAATCCCACAGTACTAGAAAATGGCAAGAGTAAATCTTGTTGTGGGAAACTTTTCATTCAGGTATATGCATGTCTTGGGTACTGAGCCTTACGGGAAATGTATTTCTTCTTAAAAATTCTAGTTAAAAATACTTCAAGTAACATTGCCCACAATAGTGGGACAAGGCAACAACACGTACTTCCCATTATGAGGCAATGAAAAAGACAAAATATTTGTGTAGCTTTCTTTCCATATATTACTAACCCTAGCTTGAGGTCATTCGATAAAATAACTGGCCTGTGCTCTTCAAAACTGCCAATGTTGGCCAGGTGTGGTGGCTAACACGTGTAATCCCAGCACTTTGGGAGGCTGAGGCAGGAAGATCACTGGAGATCAGGAGTTCGAGACCAGCCTGGCCAACATGGTGAAACCCTTTCTCTACTAAAAACACAAAAATTAGCTGGGTGTGGTGGCGCATGCCTGTAATCCCGGCTACTTGGGGGCTGAGGCAGGAGAATCACTTGAACCCAGGAGACAGAGGTTGCAGTCAGCCAAGATCTCACCACTGCACTCTAGCCTGGGTGACAGAGTAAGACTCCGCCTCAAAAAAAAATAAAAATAAATAAATAAATAAATAAATAAAAGCCAATGTTGGGAAAGACACAGAAAACTGAGGAATTGTGCGGACTTAAGAGACAGCAGCATTCAAATGCAAAGTGTGATCCTAGATTGGAACCTTCGCCTAGGAAAAAAAATCTATATAGGGCAATATTGAGACAACAGATAAGATTATAGAAGACATTGGATTAAAATACTGTATCAATGTTAATTTCCTGATTTTGACAACGGCACCAGTACCATCATTATGTAAGAGAACTTTCTTTCTTTTCTTTCTTTTTTTTTTTTTTTTTGTTTGAGACGGAGTTTCGCTCTTGTTGCCCAGGCTGGAGTGCAATGGCACCATCTCGGCTCACTGCAACCTCTGCCTCCCAGGTTCAAGCGAACCTCCTGCCTCAGCCTCCCGAGTAGCTGGGATTACAGGCATGTGCCACCACGCCTGGCTAATTTTGTATTTTTAGTAGAGACGGGGCTTCTCCAAGTTGGTCAGGCTGGTCTCGAACTCCTGACCTCAGGTGATCCGCCCGCCTCAGCTTCCCAAAGTGCTGGGATTACAGGCATGAGCCACCACGCCTGGCCTCAGAACTTTCTTGTTCTTAGGAAATATCCACTGAAGAATTAAGGAGTATGTATCATGCCTGCAACTAACTCTCAAATAGTTCAGGGGAAAAAAATGTATATAATGTGTGTGCATAAATATATTAGAAAGGTAATAAAACAAGTAGAATAAAACGTAAACAATTGATTGATCTAGATATAATCTTGCAATTTTTCCGTAAGCTTGAAACGACATCAAAACAAAAAGCGACCAATTTGTCCAAAGCAAGGTTAAAAGCCAGAGAAATAGGAGACGCAGCGCTGCATTGTTAAATGACTTGCGCACAAAAATCCAGTCACTCTGACACTTTTTTGTTTGCCTCCCTTTTAAAGTTCAAATTAGTTTGGGTTTTTCTTAATTAAGAAGGTATGTGATAAAAAACAAAACAGAAAATACAGAAACCACCATTAAATGATTCGATAGCTCCACATATGTTAATAACATTTTGTTACATTCTTTCCAAAGCTTAAAACTTTCCGAAGTTTAAAAAAAACTTAAAAAAAAAAAGTTTAAAAACCTTTCCAAAGTTTAAAAAAAAAATACTCAAGATTTATGATTCCAAAAATTACTGCTTTCCAGAAATTTCCAAACGGAACAGTTGCGTCATGGGCCTGCTGGTACATTGACCACAGGGCCCCGCGGCTCTCCCTATAAGTGTGAGTTTTATAAACTCCTTAAAGTAATTTATTTTGTTTCCATTCAAGGCCTTTCTCTCCCACACTGGCCCCAGACCCTGACCTCAGAGGTTCGAGTCCCCGGAGCCAAATTCCTCTAGTTGGAATCTAGTAAATGATTTAATGGCAAAGGGGCAGGGGTTGGGGGCAGCCAAGGAGGTGAACTTTTGACAGCTTCGTGGTCAGCAGCGACGACCGCAGGAGCGCGTGTCCTTGAAGCGGGGAAGCGCCCCTTTTCCTTGCCTGACAATACCGCCCCACACGCGATGACGCCTTTGGAATAGAACTGCGCAGCTCTTTGGAGACATACGGCGCATATAGAGGCTAGAAAGGGAACAGAGTACCAGAGGGCCTTCCCGCTTCGGGAGCCGCAGGCTTCTTCTCTTCGGAGAGAGAGTGAGTGAGTGAGTAAGCGAGTGAGTGAGTGAGTGGGGAGGGAGTGAGTCCGTCCACGGGGGCGGGCCCTCTCCATGCTGCGGATCTCTTAGGAGATATACTGCGCACGCAGAGGCCCGGAAGGAGGCGGGGTCCCAGGGGTCTCCTCGCTAGAGCAGCCCCAGGATTGGCAGGTTCCAGAGTGGGAGTGGGGGTGTGTGTGTGTGTGTGTGTGTGTGTGTGTCAGGTTCCAGAGTGGGAGTGTGTGTGTTTGGGTGTGTGTGTGTGTGTGTGTGTCAGATTCCAGAGTGGGAGTGTGTGTGTGTTTGGCAGGTTCCAGAGTGGGAGTGTGTGTGTGTGTTTGGCAGGTTCCAGAGTGGGAGTGTGTGTGTGTGTTTGGCAGGTTCCAGAGTGGGAGTGTGTGTGTGTGTGTGATTGGCAGGTTCCAGAGTGGGAGTGTGTGTGTGTGTGTGTGTGTGTCCCCAGGATTGGTCGGTTCCAGAGTGGGAGAGAGAGCGAGAGAGAGAGAGAACGAGAGAGAGAGAGAGAGAACGAGAGAGAGTGTGTGCGCGTGTGTGTCTGTGCAGCCCCAGGATTGGTCGGTTCCAGAGTGAGAGTGTGTGTGTGTGTGTGTGTGTGTGTGTGTCCCCATGGTGGGAGTGTGTGTGTGTCCCCATGGTGGGAGTGTGTGTGTGTCCATGGTGGGCGAGCGTGTGTGTGTGTCCATGATGGGCGTGTGTGTGTGTCTGCGTGTGTGCCCGTGTCTGCGTGTGTGCCCATGGGGGCGAGGGAGGGAGCCCTAGGCGCTCAAGGCTCCGCCCCCTCGAGCCGGAGGCCTCAGCGCAGCACAAAGCCCGGGGCGCACTCCGCTCCGGGGAATCCGGCCCCGGCGGTTGCGGCGGCCGCAGCGCCGCCCTCGCGCTCAGCCAATGGGCGGGCGTGCTGCAGGGGCGCTGGCCCCGCCCCCCGGGTGCGCCGGGCTCCGCTCCCCAGACTGGCGCTCGGGCAGTGGCCGCCGCCGGGCGGTCCCGGCCAGAGGAAAGGGCGCCCTGGGAGGGCCCCTCGTGGCTGCAGACCCCGCAGGTCGAGTCTGCCACGGATGGAACTTTGGAAAAAGCTAGGGAAAAGGAGAAACCGAGCTTGCAAGGGCTCATCAAGCATCCACCGGGGTGGCTTAGGCTGCGCGCGGCGCTGGGCGTGTGCCCGGGAGGAGATCGGGTCACCGCGTGGCAGCTCCCGGGACTGCCGAGGGGCCCCCTGACCCCAGGCCTCCCTCGGGAGGGGTCCAGAAAGGTGCAGCGGCTCACTAGGGTCACACAGCAAAATTCCTCACATTGCAGGGGGGGAGGGTCCGCATCTCCGAACTCGCCGGGCCAGTGCACCCTCTATTCTCACCCACCACTCACCCAGAAAACGAGAACCATACTCATAAATACATTCTTAAAATCCACAGGCTACGTTTTTGGGGTAACCTCCAGCCAGTATTCCGCATGCATTTGAAAACTTGTGTGTCCCCATTGAATTTGCAGTTCCAGTAAACCAAGGCAGCGAGTGGACATTCTCATTTAACATTCACCCCCATAAATACACTTTTTTTGGGGGGGGGGTCTCACTCTGTCGCCTCAGGCTGGAGTGCAGTGGTGTGATCATCGCCCACTGCAGCCTCAAACTCCTGGGCTCAAGCCATCCTCCCACCTCAGCCTCCCGAGTAGCTGGGACTACAGGCGTGCATCACTATGCCTGGCTAATTTTTTCTATTTTTTTGTAGACATGGGGACTCGTTGCCCAGGCTGGTTTAGAACTCCTGGCCTCAAGTGATCCTCTTGCCTCAGTCTACCAAAGTGTTGGGATTACAGGCATGAATACACTTTAAAGTGTGTAATCTGTTTGCAGCACACACGGTCCAATCCATCAATGAGGTCATATTAACTCAATTATTCAAGCAATCATCACCATTAGAATTGGAGAAACCGAGGCATAGAGGGGCTACTTTGCCAATAACCAGCTCTGCCAGAACTCGAATCCAGGTCTCCCAGAGAGACCAGGAGAGGGTGTGGTATGGAGTTTGGGGGAGTGGGAGTTTGTTTGATTTTTTAAATTTGTTTGTTTGTTTGAAACAGGGTCTTACTCTGTGGCCCAGGCTGGAGTGCAATGGAGCCATCATAGCTCACTGCAGTCTAGGACTCCTGGGCTCAAGTGATCCTTCCGCTTCAGCCTCCCAAGGAGCTAGGACTACAGGAGAGTGCCACTGCGACAGCTTTTTTTTTTTTTTTTTTTTTTGAGAGCGGGTCTCTCTATGTTGCCTAGGCTGGTCTCAAACTCCTGGCTTCAAGCAATCCTCCCACTTTGGCTCCCCAAAGCGCTGCCATCACAGGCGTGAGGAACCCAGCCTGGCTGTAACACGGCATCACACTGTGAGTTATGTTTACCTGTTCCCTACCTCGACCCACCCAGATCTGACACCCTCTTGGCATTGGAATGCAGAAATGAATGGAGACCCTGTCCCTGCCCTCCCAGTATGCACGAGACACATACGCCCCGTGAAGGGAAAGATGTGTCTGTCTTGCTTATTACAGCATCCCAGAGCCATACACACAGTAGGTGCATAATAAATCTTGTAGGAAAAAAAAAATGCAACGGAGGGGCGGGGATTAGGTGACTGTCCCTTTATCACAGCAGGAGAGGAACAGTACATGCAAATGTGTGAATCACTCGGGCTATGTTCAGAGAACTATAAACAGTTCAGAGTTGATGAAGGGCAAAGTACAGGATGAGAGGAATAGAAGATTAGACCAGAGAGGAAAGACAGGGAACCAAGGGGCTTGGACTTTACCCCACAGCAGAAGCCAAAGAAAGATGTCAGGCAGAAAGAACACCATCGGATTCACATTTGGGGGTCATTTTTCTGGCTTATGGTAGATGGATGAGGAAGTTGAGAGGCAGAGGAAACAGAAAAGAAGAGGCTGGCTTCTGAAGCCATCGGGGAGGTGGAGGTGTCAGGACTTACCTGCTGGATGACGCCCAACTTTCCACCTTGGGCAACTGGATACAACTCACGAGAGAAACAGCAAACCAAAAAGACAGGTGCTCACATGTGGACAATCTGGGTTTGAGGTGTGGAGTTCAAGATATAGAGGCTGCACTTTGGAGGCTGAGGTGGGAGGATTGCTGGAGCCTAGGAGTTCAAGACCAGCCTGGGCAACAGAGCAAGACCTTATCTCTTTAAAAAAATAATAAATAAAAAATTAAAAATTAGCTGGGCATGATGATACACAAGTGTAGTTCCAGCTAATGGGGAGGCTGAGGCAGGAGGATTGCTTGAGCCTAGGAGTTCAAGACCAGCCTGGGCAACATAGCAAGACCTCATCTCTATTTCTTAAAAAAATTAAAGATTAAAAAAAATAAAACTTAGCTGGGCATGATGACACATGATTGTAGTTCCAGCTACTTGGGAAGCTGAGGCAGAAGGATTGCTCGAGTCCAGGAAGTTGAGGCTGCAGTGAGCTAGGATCACGCCACTGCACTCCAGCCTGGGTAACAGAGTGAGACCTTATCTCAAAAAAAAAAAAAAAAAAAAAAGGCTGAAGAGCCACACTTCCACACAAAAATGGTTGTGTTTGTGGTTGCCGAGTCACAGCTCTAACCACTCCGGCTTGCTCCAGAAAGCTACTCATGGCAAGGTGCAAAAACCCCTGTTTGTTGGGGGCATTTTGGAAGTTTTTATTCTCATTCATGTAGGCAATACACATTTTATGCAATTAAGTACAGGAGTAACTTTTTACAAGTTGTTGAGTTTCAACCTATTGATGTTTCCTGCATTTTGAGTCCATATAAATTTTACAGGCTATTTAGAAATTACTGATAATAAGAGAGTACAGCTTATGAGAGAGAATGGCATACCCATTCTCTGGGGCAAATTCAGAGCCTCAATTTCTGGTAAAGAGAAACAATTAAGCTAAATAAAAGTAACACTTGAATCAGTAAATGAAGTTATTTTTAATATTTCCAAAATTGTTAGTAGAGCTGTCTTTACAATTTTTTATGGATTTAAATGACATCTGTTTTTAATCCCAGCACTTTGGGAGGCCGAGGCGGGTGTATCACCTGAAGTCAGGAGTTCAAGACCAGCCTGGCCAACAGGGTGAAATCACTTCTCTACTAAAAATACAAAAATTAGCTGGGTGTGGTGGTGGGCGCCTGTAATCCCAGCTACTCGGGAGGCTGAGGCAGGAGAATCGCTTGAACCCTGGAGGCAGAGGTTACAGTGAGCTGAGATTGTACCACTGCACTCCAGCCTGGGCGACCAAGTGAGACTCTGTCTCAATCAATCAATCAATAATAAATAAATTACATCTATTTTCATTCTTTTTTTTTTTTTGAGTTGGAGTCTCACTCTGTCGCCCAGGCTGGAGTGCAGTGGCGCGATCTCGGCTCACGGCAAGCTCCCCCTCCCGGGTTCACGCCATTCCCCTGCCTCAGCCTCCCAAGTAGCTGGGACTACAGGCGCGGCCACCACGCCTAGCTAATTTTTTGTATTTTTAGTAGAGACGGGGTTTCACCGTGTTAACCAGGATGGTTTCGATCTCCTGACCTCGTGATCCACCCGCCTCGGCCTCCCAAAGTGTTGGGATTACAGGCGTGAGCCACCGCGCTAGGCCTTCATTCTTAATTTTATCTACAATATTTGTTCTCTCCCCCTCCTTTGTCTTAGTTTTTCTGTTTTATTGATTCCTCCCTCTAAAACAGCACTGTCCAACAAACGTTCAGCAGCTATGGAAAAGTTCTGTATCTGTTCTATCCATTTCAGTAGTCACTAACCATACATGGCCCCTAAGCAGTGGAAACTTGGCTCGTGCGACTGAGAAAATGAATTTTTAATTTAATTTTCACGTGGGTTGTGGCCACCCTACTGAGCAGCATCTCTCTAAAAGATCCAGCTTTTTGATTTTGTCAGTTCTATTTGTTTTCTAATCAGTTCGTCTGTGCTTATTATTTCCAATATTCATCATCTCATTTTTGTGATTTCTCTCTATATTCATATAATAAATTATCAAGCAAATTTCCTCTATAATCATTTAAACCTCTGCCTTTGTCTCCATGTTCACATCATTGTCATCTTCAAATAGTCTATCCTTGCAGTGTTTCGATCCTCCAACTTAAGACTTAGGGGTTGGTTGTTTTTTTGTTTTGTTTTGTGTTTTTTGTTTTTTTGAGATGGAGGTTAGCTCTTGTTGCCCAGGCTAGAAGAGTCCAATGGCACCATCTCGGCTCACTGCAACCTCTGCCCCCGGGGTTCAAGCGGTTCTCCTGCCTCAGCCTCCCAAGTAGCTAGGATTACAGGGTATGCGCCACCACCCTCAGCTAATTTTTGTACTTTTAGTAGAGACGGGGTTTCACCATGTTGGCCAGGCTGGTCTCGAACTCCTGACCTCAGGTGATCCGCTCGCCTCGGCCTCCCAAAGTGCTGGGATTACAGGCGTGAGCCATGGTGCCCAGCCCTTTTCGGTTTTTTTGTTTTTGTTTTTTTGGTTTTCATTTTCTTTTTAATTATCAAGTGGTAGGAGTCTCTCTTACATGCTTGTTCAGTTAAGCTTTTAAAAATTAATTCCAGTTATGCTTACTTGCAGCCAGAGATTAGAACCCGTACAATGTCTGCTTTTTTGGAATGTATTGGTTTGGGGTGGGGTTTTGTTGTTTTTTTTTTTTTTTTTTCAGATTTAACAGATGATTGATTTTTCTAACTATTCCAAGAGCACTTTAAAATGTATATTGTTTGCAGAGTGCAAAGTTCAGTCCTATCTGTTACCACAATCTTATTAACCATGTTATTCAAACTTTTTGTTACCTGAGTCTCATCTCCCAGATCCAGGCTGTGTTGGAGTCTTCTCCGAAGTTTCTCCTTGCATTTCCAACAATTTGCTCTCTACAGTTTAATTCTATTCTAGGTGACCCTCAACTCATTAAAGATCATCCCTTCAAACCATGCAAAAGCTCTCCCTCTCTCCCTGAAAACGCCTCGCGCCTTGAATTCTTTGCTTATTTTTCTCTGTTCAAATTTAGCCACACGTTGAAGTTTTCTGTGTCATTTTTGGAAATAGGTATGACAATCTGTAAGCGGCACAGAGAGAGAGAACCGCAGCCTCCATGGGAACGAGGAAGTGGGAACGGGATGAGAGTTTGGAATCGATCTCCGTGGAAGGTCTGAATTGCAAGGCGGGTTTCCCTGGGGACAATCTCAACCATAAAAAAGTTCTGCTCACATGACTGATGGCTTTTCAATAACAAGTATATGGCGGTCTTGAATGTGCACAGGTTGACAGTTTTCCCGGGAGCTTCTACATGCACGAGCTGGCAGAGTCTAGGGACAGGGACAAGGAATGGAGAAAATTTCCTCAACTCCTGAAGGACACAGGTGCCCATGGGGACGTACTGAATTTCTGCAGAGGCACCGTGAAACAGAATCATAAGTCAGAAGGAAAATGCACCTATTTCACATTCCATCGTGACAAAAGGGAGACGACTTTTAGCTTACCTCCTGATTCTGCGGGTTCCTAAAAGCCAGGATGACTGCTTTAACTTTTATATTTTATTTTATTTCAGATGGAGTTTCACTCTTGTCACCCAGGCTGGAGTGCAGTGGTGTGATCTTGGCTCACTGCAATCTCTGCCTCCCAGGTTCAAGGAATTCTCCTGCCTCAGCCTCCTGAGTAGCTGGGATTACAGGCTCCCGGCTCACTGCAATCTCTGCCTCCCGGGTTCAAGCAATTCTCCTGCCTCAGCCTCCTGAGTAGCTGGGATTACAGGCTCCCGGCTCACTGCAATCTCTGCCTCCCGGGTTCAAGCAATTCTCCTGCCTCAGCCTCCTGAGTAGCTGGGATTACAGGTGCCCAGCACCATGCCCAACTAATTTTTTTTTTTAATTTTTTATTTTTAGTAGAGTTGGGGTTTCACCATGTTGGCCAGGCTGGTCTCGAACTCCTGACCTCAGGTGATCCACCTGCCTCGGCCTCCCAAAGTGCTGGGATTACAGACGTGAGCCACCATGCCCAGCCTGGAATGACTGCTTTATTTTCCCCTCTATAAGTTACGAGAGTCTTCGTGTGTCATCTCCATGCCAGGAGCCTCATGGCCTCGTTTTCCCGGGGGGCCACTCCCCGTGTATATACCTCAGACACTGCTATTCTATTAGAAAAACATGTGAAGTTCTCTGATTGGGGGAAAGATCCATTTCCTGCTCATGTTGATTTCAACAAAAGAAAGGAATAAGTTTCCCTCTGGATCCTCAGACTTCACTGGCTAATCAAGACCCACCTTGCAGCTGCTCTTTGTCCACCAGAGCAAACAGCCCAGATACCTGGAACTTCCCAGTTCTACCTGGATTTATGCTACTGAGCCCTGGCACCTATGCGGGGAAAATGCAATAAGGAAAAAAAGGACAAACAATGCTCCCCTATCAGGCTGGCTGCTGAACATCATCATGTAAGAAAGATGGGTAGAGCCGGGCGCAGTGGCTCACGCCTGTAATCCCAGCACTTTGGGAGGCCGAGGCGGGCAGAGCACTTGAGGTCAGGAACTCGAGACCAGCCTGGCCAACATGGCAAAACCTCATTTCTACTAAATATACAAAAAAAATTAGCCGGGCATGGTGGCGGGTGCCTGTCATCCCAGCTGCTTGGGAGGCTGAGGCAGGAGAATCGCTTGAAGCCAGGAGGCAGAGGTTGCGGTGAGCCGAGAAGGCACCACTGCACTCCAGCTTGGGCAACAAAAGTGAAACTTCATCTCAAAAAAAGTTTACTAGGCAGCAAAACACCTCCTGTTGCTTGTCCCATTCTCTAGTGGCTTCTATCAACAGATCTGAGCTCCTACGGAGTGTCCGGCACCATCTGAGCTCCAGATACAAGCTAATGGTTAGAACAGACCTTTCCACAGCCTAGAGGGTAGACAGAGAGAAATCTTTAGCACTGGGCATGCAAGCACATTTCGTTACAAATTGTGACCATGCTCCAATCAAGTTCACAGGGGGCTGAAACGCCCGGGTTGTTAATTTCCTCAGAAGGTTATTCTATAAAAGCCAAAGTGTTACTTTCTTGCATTGAGAAACCAGAGCACCAAATGCCAACTTTCTAGCTCAGTTCTCACCTTCCTTCCTCATGTCTGCCATGCAATCAAACTAAGGAACGGATGGACAGCCAGCCATGCCTGTCAGTCCCGCAGTAGCCAGGCCTAAGATGGGGACAGTAGGAGGAGCGTGGAGAAATTCTACATTGTCCAAATCTGCTCTCTTGGCTTCCTGCAGTGGCTCTCTCATGCCTGTAATCCCGATACTTTGGGAGGCTGAAGCTGGAGGATCACCTGAGGTCAGGAGTTCAAGACCAGCCTGGGCAACATGGCAAGACCCCTCACACCCCCCACGCCCATCTCTACAGATAATACAAAAATTAGGTGGGCATTGTGGTGCACACCTGTAGTCCCAGCTATTCGGGAGGCTGAGGTGGGAGGATCAATTAGCCCAGGAGGTCAAAGCTGCAGTGGGTTATGACTGCATGACAGCACTCCAGCCTGGGTGACAGAGTGAGACACTGTCTGAGGCTCTCCCATCAGACCTGCGAGCCACAGCTTCAATAGCCAGCACGTGGAGTGCAAGGACTTATGGTATCAGGTCGACCTGAGTTTCGAGCAGACACAGCTACTTCCTGGTCACATGAGTCTGCTTTCTGTGCCTCGGTTTCCCCATGTGCAGACGGGAACCATCGAAGTACCTTGGGCTGACTTGAATACTGGAGGGGATGACGCACAAAATAGCACTCACAACTTCCTTTATTTCATGGGAAGAGAGGGTTGGATGGATTAAACCAGGGGTCCCCCACCCCTCAGGGAGTTGAGAGACAGAATCTCATTCTGTAACCCAGGCTGGAGTGCAGTGGGTGTGATCATAGCTCACTGCAGCTTCTACCTCTTGGGCTCACTCAATCTTCCCACCTCAGCCTCCCAAGTAGCTGGGACTACAGGCACACACTTGTGATCCACACTCAGCTAATTTTGGTATTTTTTGAGCAGACGGGGTTTGGCCATGTTGCCCAGTCTAGTTTCAAACCAGCCAGTTAGGAACCAGGCTGCACAGCAGTGGACGAGGGGCGGGCGAGCGATGGAAGCTTCATCTGTATTTACAGTCACTCCTCATTGCTTGCATGACCATCTGAGCTGCGCCTCCTGTCAGATCAGCAGCAGCATTAGATTCTCCTAGGAGCGTGAACCCTATTGTGAACTGTGCATGCGAGGGATCTGGGTTGCACGCTCTTTATGAGAATCTAATGCTTGATGATCTGTCACTGTCTCCCGTCACCACCAAATGGGACTGTCTATTTGCAAGAACCCAGGAGGAGGAGGTTTCAGTGAACAGAGATTGCACCAGTGCAGTCCAGCCTGGGTGGCAGAGTGAGACCCTGTCTCAACAACAACGACCACAACAAAAACAAACAAAAAAAGAGTCATCAAGGAATAAATAAAACGGGTGACACGCTGTTTTTCTAAAGCCCAAATATCACGTTGTCAACCACACTTCCTGATGACATCTAAATCCCCTTTGAAACTGCTTGGAAGTTTCTAGAAGAGCTCATCCACAGTAACAGAACACTCAAGTCTAAAAGGGAAAACACAAAATCCCCAATTTTCCTCTCAGAAATCAAGATTTAATAGCCTCCTAAGGAAACCATAATTTGAGGGCCATTGGGAGCATTACTCTCTGAGGCCTGTGATTATAGAATGCCGAGAATGATTGGGAACTTGAACCACCAGTGAATTTGGGCTCCAACTAAAATGAATGAGACCCGTGGCCAGGCACGGTGGTTCACGCCTGTAACCCCAGCACTTTGGGAGGCTGAGGCAAGCAGATCACCTGAGGTCGGGAGTTCGAGACCAGCCTGGCCAACATGGTGAAACCTTGTCTCTGCTAAAAATAGAAAAATTAGCCAGGCATGGTGGCATGCACCTGTAATCCCCAGCTGCTCGGGAGGCTGAGGCAGGAGAATCGCTTGAACCCGGGAGGCAGAGGTTGCAGTGAGCCAAGATGGTGCCACTGCACTCCAGCCTGGGCAACAGAGTGAGACTCCATCTCAAAACAAAACAAAACAAAACAAAATAAAAAATTAAAATGAATGAGACCCAAAGCAGAAGGTATACCAAAGCCCCCTCACCCACACACAGACACTAAGAGGAGGCTGGGGAGGGCTCAAGGAAGTTGGAAAGAGGGAAAATATCACGAGAATAAAGCAACCATCTCAAAAAACAACATGAGTTTCCCCACTTATGTCTCCCTAGCCTGGCTAAAGAAAGGAGAATGGGCCGGGCCAGTGGCTCACACCTGTAATCCCAGCACTTTGGGAGGCTGAGGCAGGAGGATCGCTTAAGACCAGAAGTTCGAGACAAGCCTGGGCAATATAGCAAGACCCATCTCTACAAACAAGTTTAAAAACTACTTGAGGGCCTGAGGCAGGAGGATCACTTGAGCACAGGGGTTTGAGGCTGCAATGAGCTATGACTGTGCCGTTGCACTCTAGCCTGGGTGATAGAGTGAGACCTTGTTTGAGAAGGAAGGAAGGAAAGGAAGGAAGGAAGGAAGGAAGGAAGGAAGGAAGGAAGGGAAGGAGGGAGGGAGGGAGGGAGGGAGGCAAAGAAAGAAAAGAGTTACAAGGAGCTTGGCCTTGGGCATGGAAAGGGATTTGTGGTTAAGAGCTGGCCCCTCTTCCAGCCCTTGTACCCCCCAGAAAACCACCTCGTGTTTGGCTCACGAACTTCTGCTTCTTGGAACTCATCTAAGTCAAAGACAACAACACCCTCTGAGATGCTACTGACCTCATGCCACGTAACTATTCTGTGGCTGCCAGGAGGAACCGCCCACTCGCTCTTCTTGGGTTTACTCCTAATTCCACGCCCACCTCACCTTGAACTTCCCACTTTGAAATCTAAAGATCAAAGGTGTTTCTTGGTTCTCACATAGAAATCCCCCCCTTGAACTTCCTTCCTATCTGTTTCCTCAGCCTATCTTCCCTCTGGCCGTGTATTATTCACAAAGAGTTCTACAGGATACAAAGATAAAATTTAATGTACTTTCCTTAGCAACCGGAAAAAAAAAATCCCTGAAAAATTAAACAGCAGATACCCAAATAGAAACTTTGCTTTAGAAAAATGGGATTTGACCACACACACGTGCACAGGCCACACAAACCGTCATAACCTTGACCAGCTTAAGAGAACAATTCTCAAGCCAGTGAGAAAACAACAGCTGTGGCCGGGCGCAGTGGCTCACACCTGTAATCCCAGCACTTTGGGAGGCCCAGGCGGGTGGATCGCTTGAGCCCAGGAGCTCGAGACCAGCTTAGATAACATGGCAAAACCCTGTCTCGGCTAGGGGTACAAAAATTAGGCTGGGCGCAGTGGCTCACGCCTGTAATCCCAGCACTTTGGGAGGCCGAAGTGGGCGGATCACGAGGTCAGGAAATCGAGACCATCCTGGCCAACATGCGAAACCCCCTCTCTACTAAAAATACAAAAATTAGCTGGGCATGGTGGCGCGTGCCTGTAATCCCAGCTACTCGAGAGGCAGAAGCAGGAGAATCGCTTGAACAGGGGAGTTGGAAGTTGCAGTGAGCCAAGATGGCGCCACTGCATTCCAGCCTGGCAACAGAGCAAGACTCCATTAAAAAAAAAAATTAGCTGGGCATAGTGGCACATGCCTGTGATCCCAGCTACTCAGGAGGCTGAGGCATGGGAACTGCTTGAACCCAGGAGGCAGAGGTTGCAGTGAGCCAAGATTGTGCCACTGCATTCCAGCCTGGGCGACAGAGCAAGATTCCATCTCTAAATAAATAAATAAAATTAGCTGGGCATAGTGGCACACACCTGTGGTCCCAGCTACTCAGGAAGCTGAAGCAGGAGGATTGCTTGTGCCCAGAAGGTCAAGGCTGCAGTGAGCTGTGATCACACCACTGCACTCCAGGCTGGGTGACCAATGCATCGCTCTCACCTCTCTCCAGGCAGCCTGCAGAAGCCAGATATTTATTTGAAACCTCCAGCTTCTGCTCCTCATGTGTATGCAAACGTTGAGCTCAACTCCATAAAAGTCATGTTTTGTTTTGTTTTTTGTTTTGAGACAGGGTCTTTCTCTGTCACCCAGGCTGCCTATCACAGCTCTCTGCAGCCTCGACTTCCCAGGCTTAACTGATCCTCCTGCCTCAGCCTCTCGAGTAACTGGGATTATAGGCACACACCACCATGCCCAGCTAATTTTTTTTTTTTAGAGAAGGGGTCTTGCTATGCTGCCCAGGCTGGTCTCGAACTCCTGGATTCAAGCGATCCTCCCGTCTCAGCCTCCCAAAGTGCTGGGATTACAGGTGTGAGCCATGACGCCTGGCCAAAGTCATGTATTTTATTCCATAATAGATGTACATGAGGGTAAAAATAACACTTGACTAATGTACAGGTTGAAATACAGAACATTTGCACCACCCCCATCTTTGAATACTATTTCATCCACCCTACTCCAATTCCAAGAGCAATGTCGTGGGTGTCTTAGCAATCAAGGATAGCACCTCCAGAACAAAAACGCTGTGAAAGTCAAAGAGAAGTTCTGTTTATACTAACAAAGGGCTGGAAATGTCTATTGGTTGTGGGTTGAATAAGTAAATTCCAAATGAACGTGACCACAGAAGAAACAGAGATTCAAAATGACCCCCAAGAAGTATTACTAAGGGAGAACGCCAAGAGCCAGGCGCAGTGGCTCACACCCGTAATCTCAGCACTTTAGGAGGCCGAGGCGGGTGGATCACCTGAGGTCAGGAGTTTGAGACCAGCCTGATCAACATGGGAAAACCCCATCTCTACTAAAAATACAAAAATTAGTCAGGTGTGGTGGTGTGTGACTGTAATCCCAGTTGCTCGGGAAGCTGAGGCAGGAGAATCGCTTGAACCCAGGAGGTGGAGGTTGCAGTGAGCCGAGATTGAGCCATTGCACTGCAGCCTGGTCAACAGAGACTCTGTCTCAAAAAAAAAAAAAAAAAAGTAAACAAGAGTGTCTCCTCTCCATAAACAAATTAACAGGAGAAACTCAGCCCCACTAAAACACACACAAATTTAGGAAATTGACAAAAACCTAAGAGCTGAGAAAATATGGGTTCTGGAGTCTCAGTGTTTGGCATCAAGTCATGGCTCCACTTTCTCCTCGCTGTGCGACTCCTGGAGGGGAACCTAGTGTGCCTGGTCCTCAGTTTCCCTGTCTGTAGAATGGGCTGGGAAAAACTATGCAGATTCTTGGAACCAGGGTGACACAAGCAAGGCACTGGCCTCTGGCATAAAAGTTAAGGCGTGCCAAAACCGTCTTCAAGATAAGTTATATATATAAATATATATGTATATATGGAGAGAGAGAGACAGAGACAGAGAGACAGAGAGAGACAGAGTCTTACTCTGTGGCCCAGGCTGGAGTGCAGTGGTACAGTCTCAGCTCACTGCAGCCTCTGCCTCGCGGTTTCAAGCAATTCTCCTGCCTCTGCCTCCCAAGTAGCTGGGATTACAGCCACCCACCACCATGCCCAGCTAATTATTATATTTTTAGTAGAGACAGGGTTTCACCATGTTGGCGAGGCTGGTCTCTAACTCCTGACCTCAAGTGATCCGTCCTCCCAAAGTACTGGGATTACAGGTGTTGATCAAACTGTTCTTGATACAATCAGGTAATTCCAGAAAAATTGTCCCCTTGGGGCCTGCTTGTTAGTTGGCTGGTTTGTTTGAAAGAGGATCTCGCTCAGCTGCATGGGCTGGAGTGCAGTAGCAAGTCACAGCTCACTGCAGCCTCGACTTCCTGGGCTTAAGCGATTCTCCCACCTCAGCCTCCCATGTAGCTGCGACTACAGGTGCATGTCACCATGCCCAGCTAATTTTTATATTTGTAGTAGAAATAGGCTCTTTCTGTATTGCCCAGGCTGGTTTTGAACTCCTGGCCTCGAGAATTCCTCCCACCTTGGCCTCTCTAAGCACCAAGATGACAGGTGCGAGGGAGGCACTGCGCTGTCTTATTTAGCAATAAGCTACATTCCATTTTCAGGAGGTGACGCTGTCATCCCACTGCCAGTACAATCCAGGTAAGGATTTCACTCCATCCTCTGTGTTTTCCAAAGGAGCCGGTATTTGAAAAGGACGTGCATTCCACCAAGCATTCTTAACGACCTGGGCCTTTGGGGTCAGGTAAGTTCCAGATTTTATTATTAGTAACAAATTAAATTGACTAACAACAAAAGAAAAGTGCACCATCAATGACCCCTCAGGAACCAAAACATGCACAATCCCATTGACACAGGGACAGAGTAAACTGCTCAACAGCTGACTCTACTCCCACAGACTGAAAGCTGCAGGGTCAGGGCCGGCAGCCGCGGAGAAGGAAGCTGTCCCCGTCAACACGGTCTGGAACAATCCACAACGCTTATCAGGGGAGATACCACAGGCAAGAGGGAACGAAAACACTTCTTCTGCCAAATAGAGCTTTGGAGGGAATATCGGTTTGTCTGGGGCAGGACTGGGTCACGGGCTACACGCCTTCTCCTTGTATTCTCACGAATTCAACACCTGGTAATGCCGGGGCCGTTTCCCAAGTCACAGACTCAGACTCTGGGGTGGATAATTCCCCCATCACTGTTATCTTAAAGTAGGGTTTCTCAGCCTCAGGACTGGTGGTATTCAGAGTCGGATCTTCATCTGGGGAGGGGCCGTCTTGTACATTGCAGGGTGCTGAGCAGTATCCCTGGCCTCCACCCACTCCATGTCAGGAGCATCTCCCCCCACCCCGACGTGTGACAACCACAGATGTCCCCAGAAATATCCAGACCCACCCTAGGGTGAGAACCACTTGGTGAGCGAGACTCTTGCCAGAGCCAGAGGGAAATCATCAAAGCCGATGGGGCTGAAATGGTTAAGTTGGTCCATCTGTCTGTCTGTTCATCAGGCCCTGATTTATAGCTTTGGGGGCTCCAGCACCCCATTCCCCTGGCTTCCCCACAGTCACACTGCCATTCCCCATCATCCCCGGGACCCAAGCCCTGCGATTCCCGCTCAGCTCCCACCTAGCAGACACATGTTGAATCGAATGCCCATTCATCTGTCCAAGATTTGCTGAGGGTCTGCCATGTTTTGGAGGCGCTTCAATAGCGACAAGACATCGTGGACCTTGACCTCATGGTGCTTCCAGTCTAGCAGGCAGGCAGGCAGAATCAGAGAGAAAATTTTTCTTTAAATTTATTTTTGGGTTTTTTTGAGATGGAGTTTCACTCTTGTTGCCCAGGCTGGAGTGCAATGGCATGATCTCGGCTCACTGCAAGCTCTACCTCCCGGGTTCAAGCGATTCTCCTGCCTCAGCCTCCCAAGTAGTTGGGACTACAGGCACCCACCCCCACGTCCTGCTAATTTTTTGTATTTTTAGTAAAGACGGGGCTTCACCATGTTGGCCAGGCTGGTCTCGAACTCCTGACCTCAGGTGATCCACCAACCTCAGCCTCCCAAAGTGCTGGGATTACAGGTGTGAGCTACTGTGTCCAGCCAGAGAGAAAGTTCCATCTGCTTCTGTACCACCCTCTAGCAGCCCTCTCCAGCCCCGCCCCCTCAGTGAATTCCTACAGCACACAAGGATCCCAGGCCAGCAATTAGAGTCCTTTTTCAGCTCTGTTTAAAATGTGAGGCTTAGAATAACAGTGAAGATGCTTTAAACCACTACAGGGGGCCGGGCGCGGTGGCTCACGCCTGTAATCCCAGCACTTTGGGAGGCCGAAGTGGGCGGATCACGAGGTCAGGAGATCGAGACCATCCTGGCTAACACGGTGAAACCCTGTCTCTACTAAAAATACAAAAATTAGCTGGGCGTGGTGGAGCACGTCTGTAGTCCCAGCTACTTGGCAGGCTGAGGCAGGAGAATCGCTTGAACCCGGGAGGCGGAGGTTGCAGTGAGCCAAGATCGCACCATTGCACTCCAGCCTGGGCTACAGAGCGACTCCATCTCAAAAAAAAAAAAAAAAAACAAACAAAAAACCCTACAGGGCACTGCAGGAACCCACCCTCCATAAAGTATGCAAAGAATTATTATGCAGCATTCACTTCCCCTTTGCTTCTCTCCCCCAAGGAATGCTCAAGATAAATTCTCTCTTGCAGGTCCTTTATTTATCAAGCCAAACAGCATCTCAGAGGGATAATTTATGCAACAAAGGTTGCAAATCATTTGCACATCTTCAAAGTATTATTGTCCATAGCCCAGTGCATGAGCGCCTCTAATTGTCTACAAAGAAAAGCAACACCTTCAACAACTCACGTCCAGCAGAGAAAGACTTCAGACAGGAAAAGTCAAATCACAAGTTAAAAAGTCAGAACTGGCTGGGCACAGTGGCTCACGCCTGTCATCCCAGCCCTTTGGGAGGCTGAGGCTGGTGAGTCACGAAGTCAGGAGTTCGAGACCAGCCTGACCAACATGGTGAAACCCCATCTCTAGTAAAGATACAAAAAATTAGCCAGGCGTGGTGGTGCACGCCTGCAATCTCAGCTACGCGGGAGGGCTGAGGCAGGAGAATCGCTTGAACCCGGGAGGCAGAGGTTTCAGTGAGCAGAGATTGTGCCATTGCACTCCAGGCTAGGTGACAGGGCAAGACTTTGTCTCAAAAAAAAAAAGGAAATGGGATACAGACACTTTAACTTCCCAAAACCCAGACAGGTTGGCTGTTAGCAACCTGGGCGAGAAGTCTATGAACCAGCTTCACAATAAATGCCTTTTAAGGATGGCTATGTGATGAAGGTGTTTTCTCTTTGTGATTAAACGCCTTACTCATCTGAAGGGGGAAATTCCATTTAAGAAGTGAACCAGGTATGAGAAGAGACATTTTCCCCAGAGGGAGGCAATGACCTCTTTCCTCCCTGGGGCTCGGAACTTGTTTCTTCACACGTCCTCCCAGAACTCTAGTTCTTATTCCCCCCTGTGCTGGCCCTCCATAAACATTTGCTGAACAAATAAACCCATGATGGAAGGCAAGAGAAACTTCAAGACAAGACGGCTAGGCCGCCGACTGCCTAACTGGAGGGAACCAGATGTTAGCATTAAAGTTAAAAGTTAAAAGCCTTCCCAAGGTCACCAAGCGAGGTCTCTCTAACCTGGCCTGAGGTCCTCATTCTTCTCTACCCTGTTTACCCAGGATGGAAAAATGACATTCTCTGCTGGTGGGCTGGTTGTCCACGTGAGAGATTTCAACACAGCGTTTGGAGGTTTTAAACCTCTATCATCGCTGCAGCCCAAGGAACAAAATCAGGGGCCAGGTATGCATTAGGGGATTTGCAAATGCTGTCTTATTTCATCCACTCAATGACCATAGAGGAAGATATGATGATGACTTATCCCTCTTTTTATAGATGAGGAAACAGAGATGTTCAGTAGTTCCAAAGTTCCTTCCCTTCCCTTTTTTTCTTCCCTCCCTCCCTCCTCCCTCCCCTCCCTCCCTTTCCTTCCTTCCCTCCCTCCTTCCTTCCTTCTTCCCTCCGTCCCCACCTCCTTCCTTCCTTCCTTGTTCCCTCCCTTTTTTTTCCTTCCTTCCTTCCCCTCTCCCTCCCTCCTTTCTTCCTTCCTTCTTCCCTGTCTTCCCAGCTTCTTTCTTTCTTCAGGGTCTGCTTCTGTTGCCCAGGCTGGAGTGCAGTGGTGCAATCATAGCTCACTACAGCCTCGACCCCTGGGCTCAATGGATCTTCCTGCCTCAGCCTCCCGAGTAGCTGGGGCTACAGGCACACGCCACTGTGCCTGGCTAAATTTTTATTTTTTGTAGACAAAGGTCATACAGCAAAGAAGTGGAAGAACTAGGATTCGAACCCAGGACCATGGGCTCTGAGTCTGTGCTTGTTCATGGAAGCACCAGCCAGTTCAGACACTCCCAGGCCTTGCCCAGATGGTCAAATGCTTCAAACAAGGACACCAGGGAAGGTCACTGTTCCTCGTATTTATGCCCCTTGTGTCACTGTCTATATCTGGGGTTAAGAATCACTCCAAAAACACCACAATGATCTCCCAGACTCTCAATTCCAGCAGAGCAGACAGCCGTCCCCACCACCACCCCCTCCACCCACTCAGTCCTCTCTCGGTTCCACTTCAGGATGACTCGAAAGACAGAAAAAGACTCAAAGCAAAATGCCTAAAGCTTGGAAACGCCAGCAGCCCCTGAAAACTACCGAGCTTCCTTTTCCTGTATTTATTTATTTATTTATTTATTTTTTTGAGATGGAGTCTTGCTCTGTCACCCAGGCTGGAGTGCAGTGGCATGATCTTGGCTCACTGCAACCTTCGCCTCCCGGGTTCAAGTGATTCTCCTGCCTCAGTCTCCCGAGTAGCTTGAATTACAGGCGCATGCCACCACGCCTGGCTAATTTTTGTAATTTTTAGTAGAGACAGGGTTTTACCATGTTGGCCTGGCTGGTCTCAAACTCCTGACCTCAGGTGATCCACTCACCTTGGCCTCCCAAAGTGCTGGGATTACAGGCGTGAGCCACCACACCCAACCCTGAGTCTCCTTTTCTGATAACATCCTTCATTTCTGCTTCCTTCTGCTTCCTTCTCTGAACATATTCGAATCACAAAGCCCCAGCTCTGTTGGGAAATTCCGACGGGAATTGAAACAGGTTCCTAATCTCATGGTCTCACCTGAGGGAAAAGTGGCTAAGAAGATGGAAGCAGGCTGGGCACGGTGGCTCACGCCTATAATCCCAGCACTTTGGGAGGCCAAGGTGAGTGGACCACCTGAGGTCAGGAGTTCTAGATCAGCCTGACCAACATGGTGAAACCCCGTCTCTACTAAAAGTACAAAAAATTAGCCAGGTGTGGTGGCGTGCACCTGTAATCCCAGCTACTTGGGAGGCTGAGTCAAGAGAATTGCTTAAACCCAGGAGGCAGAGGTTGCAGTGAGCTGAGATCGTGCCATTGCACTCCAGCCTGGGCAAGAGAGCAAGACTCTGTCTCAAAGACAAAAAGAAGATGGATGTAACTGACTGTGCCTCTGAAATCCTAAACAGAATATTACATGGCGTCTTGGACCTCCGTGATGTTATGCGGTACAAATGAGACGGCCCCTGAACTCCCACTGTGTACCAGGAGTTGGGGAGAGGTGCATAGTAGCAGGACAGACATCCAGAGGGTAACAGGGAACCACGGGGGATGTCCCCGGGCTCTGGGTTCGAAAATGCAGGCCCCTTGTATCCAGGGGGTCTGGGAAGGAACAAATTGCCACGGTGTAATGGAGCCACTGCAGGTGTCCCCAGAAGCCACAGCAAGGCCATCAGGATGCTGGGGCCCCGTATCCACCTCTCACCAAGGCCCTGCTCTGACTCCTGTTGGCCCCTGGCTAGAGACCCGCCCAGAGGGGGTTTCCAGGCCCAGGTGCTGGGTTTCTCACCGTATCCATTTCCCATTGCTGCTGTCACAAACGCCCACAAATGTAAAACGACATACATTTATTATTTTCTCCTGCATCGGGATCTTACTCTGTTGCCTAGGCTGGAGTGCAATGGTGCAATCATGGCTCACTGCAGCCTCGAACTCCTGGGCTCAAGCAATCCTCCCACCTCAACCTCCCAAGTAGCTGGGAATATAGATGTGTGCCACCAAGCCCAGCTAATTTTTCTTCTTCTTCTTCTTCTTTTTTTTTTTTTTGTAGAGATGGGGTCTTGCTATGTTGCCCACACTGGTCTCAAACTCCTAGCCTCAAGAAATCGTCCCACCTTGGCCTCCCAAAGTACTGGCATTACAGGCATGAACCATCATGGCCTGCCTATTTTCTTACAGTTTTGGTGGTGAAAAGCCCAAAATGAGTCTTACAGGGCTAAAATCAAGATGTTACAAAGGTTGGTTCCTTCTGGAGGCTCCAGAGAGAATCCAGCTTTTAAGGCAGCTCCTTTTTCTTGGCCGTAGCATTTCAATCTCTTGCCTCCCTCTTTCCTTGAAAAGGATCCCTGCGATGGCATTTGGTGCACCAGATAATCTAGGATCATCCCCCCGTCTCAAGATCCTCAACTTAATCACATCTGCAAAGAGCCTTGTGCCAAGTGAGGTACCAAATTCACAGGTGACAGGGATTACGATGTGGGCATCTCTGGGGGAAGGGAGAGGCATCATTCAACCGACCACATTCACCCTTTCTGGTATTTTCCTCTCCCAGCCACAGAATGTTTCGGTAGCAGTCATCGAGTGATATCTTTTTTCTTTTTTTCTTTTTTGAGACGGAGTCTCGCTCTGTCTGCCAGGCTGGAGTGCAGTGGGCACGATCTTGGCTCACCGCAAGCTCCGCCTCCCAGGTTCATGCCATTCTCCTGCCTCAGCCTCCCAAGTAGGTGGGACTACAGGAGCCCGCCACCACACCTGGCTAATTTTTTGTATTTTTAGTAGAGACGGGGTTTCACCGTGTTAGCCAGGATGGTCTCGATCTCCTGACCTCGTGATCCACCCGCCTTGGCCTCCCAAAGTGCTGGGATTACAGGCGTAAGCCACCGCACCCGGCCTTCTTTTTTTTCTTTTGTAAAAACAAAACAGAAAAGATGCAAGGGTGACACAGAAAGTTCTCATGTACCCATCACTCAGTAAAGAGATAAATTCCCCAGGAATGGAACAGAATGTGGCACCCAAGAATCTGCTGCTCAGGAGAGTCCCCAGAGCTGTCTCCACTGTGGGAGGATGGGATGGTGACGGAGATAGAAGAGTCCCTGCCTTGTGGCGGGGGAAGAGAGATTGCAAAACGGTGAGCAAAGAAATAAACACGTTCCACCTCCATAGGAAAACACAGGGGGAAGGGGAGAAATTCTGACCCCCCGGGGGTCACGTGGAAGTGTCTTGGAGACATTTCTGGTTGTTGCAACCAGTGTGGGGTGGGAGTGCTACTGGTATCTAGTGGGGGGAGGCCAGGGATGCTAGTAAACACCCTAAAATGCCCAGGACAGCTGCCACCAGAGAGATAATCCAGCTCCAAATGTCCTCAGTACTGTGGTTGAATAGGCAGGGAGTGAGGAAATTTCATCTAAGAGAAATCAAATCAGTTGCCTAATGTCACCCTGCTCAAAAGGGGCAGACCTGGGGTTAACAACCATGGGTTTTTCTCAGAGATTCTGCACACTGAACTTCTTGCCTCTTGTTTTTTGTTTTGTTGGTTTTTTCTGTTTGTTTGTTTTGTTGTTTTTTTCTGTTTGTTTGTTTCTTTGTTTTTATGAAACGAAGTCTCGCTCTGTTGCCCAGGCTGGAGTGCAGTGGCATGATCTCGGCTCACTGCAACCTCTGCCTCCTGGGTTTAAGTGATTCTCCTGCCTCAGCCACCCAAGTCCCTGGGATCAGAGGCACCCGCTGCCACATCTGGTTAATTTTTTGTATATTTTTTGTACAGATGGGGTTTCGCCATGTTGGCCAGGCTGGTCTCCAACTCCTGACCCCAGGTGATCCACCTGCCTTGGCCTCCCAAAGTGCTGAGATTACAGGTGTGAGATTAAGGCCCAGCCCTTGCCTGTTGTTTGAGCAAAGATAATCTGAGGAAATCGTATGAGGAAGTATCACAGGGAAAAGCATGTAGGTAGAGGGAACAGCAAGTGCCGAGGCTTACAGGTGGCAGGAAGGCAGCCAGTGAGCTCCAGCCAAGGGTCCCATGTCAGAGAAGTAGGTAACTGACTTGTTGGTGGCAGCAAAGAAGAAGGCATGAACCATTCGCTCTTCTGTGCAGCAGTCACTCTGTGTGTGGTTTTCAGACATATTTAAAGTGGATTTAAAAAACAAACAAACAAAAAGGACTTGCAATCCAACATCTGAGTAGGGGCTTTATTAGGCTTCCCAGGACCTGGGGAAATTACCCAGGATTCAGGATAAAACTGCAGGGGTGTCTGTTGCAGGGACCAGATATATTACTCTCTCCTGACCACAACCTTTCCAACCTCCACACTGGCCTCTGAAGCTCCGGGCTCCAGTTACTTTCACTGACCACCCCCGGGGCTGGAAGCCATGGAGGGGAGCTCTGCAGCTCTTTGGGCTTCACATGTTGCTCTGATTGTCATGCCTTGGATTAGCAAGACCTCTTTCAGTTTGTGAGAATAGAAAGCTCAGTTATACAGAGAGAAAGAAGAGAGAGAGAGAGAGAAAAGGGAGGGAGGGAAGGAAGGAAGGAGGGAGGGAGGGAACGAAGGAAAGAAGGAAGGAAGGAAGGGAGGGAGGGAGGGAAGGGGGAGAGAGAAGGAAGGAAGGAAGGGAGGGAAGAGAGAGAGAAGGAAGGAAGGGAGGGAGGGAAGGAGGGAGGGAAAGGAAAAGAAAGGAAAGGAAGGAGGGAAGGAGGGAAGGAAGGGAAAGAAAGAAAATGAAAAAAAAGAAAAGAACGATTGCTGGCTCATTTAACTAACAAGTCATAGGACAAGGACACTTTCAGGTACAGCTAGATCCAGGTGTCAAATGATGTCATGGGGACCCCATCTCTCTCCCTTTCCTTTTCGCAGTCCTGCTTCCTTCTATGGTGTCAGAAGTCTGAGACACGTGGTCTCTACATGGTGGCACCTGGATTATAGCTTCACAGCAAGGAAGATTTAGCAAGGAAAAATCTCTCTATCACTCCCACTAAAGTCCCAGAACTGAATCTTATGGAACCTTCTGGGGTCACATGCCCACCCCTGAACCAATCATGGAGGCTGGAGGAATTAAGAAAGCTGATTGGCCCAGTCTGAGTCATGTGCCTTCCCCTGAGCCAATCATAAGAGTCTGAAGGAATAAAGGAAGCTGGCTCTGGGAATAGAGTCCACACAATGAGGTCTGAGTGGCTTCCCAAGCAAAATATGATTCTAACCCATGCAAAATCTGGTTCTATCTCCAGGAATGCTGAGTAGGCAAATCTGAATGCCTCCTCTCCAGAGATGAGTAATCTTGTGTTTGCCTCCTTTTCAAGTTGGTGGCAAAAGTGAATCCTATTTTTTTGTTTTATTTTATTTTTGAGATGGAGTCTCGCTCTGTCGCCCAGCCTGGAGTGCAGTGGTGCGATCTTGGCTCACTGCAACCTCCGCCTCCCGGGTTCAAACGAGTCTCCTGCCTCAGTTTCCCGAGGAGCTGGGGCTACAGGCGCGCCACCACGCCTGGCTAATTTTTGTATTTTAAGTAGAGACGGGGTTTCGCCATGTTGGCCAGGCTGGTCTCGAACTCCTGACCTCAGGTGATCCTCCCGCCTTGGCCTCCTAAAGTGCTGGAATTACAAGTGTGAGCCACTGTGCCCGGCCACGGATCCTATTTTTACAACTTGTGCCAACTCTAGGTAGGTTCGGTCTTGTTATGCCCATTCGAAAAACTGGGACTAACAGAGCATATGTTATGCAGTGACCAAGAAAATTAAATAAAATAATAGATATAAAACACTTAGCACAGGGTCTAGTATTTGGTAAGTCTGCCACACATCGGCAATTATTATTCCTATATTTTAAATTTTACTGGTAACATAATAGTATGATTTGAATATTTGTCCCCTCCAAAACTCATGTTGAAATGTAATTCCTCATGTGGCAGCATTGAGAGGTGGGGCCTTTCAGAGGTGATTAAAAGGGCTGTGTCCTCATAAGTGGATTAATCCATTCATGGATTAATGGTTTATCATAGGAGTGGGACTGGTGGTTTTATAAGAAGAGGAAGAGAGACCTGAGCTGACACTCTCAGCTCCCTCGCCATGTGATGCCCTGCTCCCTGTCAGGACTCTGCAGAGTCCCCACCGGCAAGAAGGTCTTCACCAGGCCGAGCGCAGTGGCTCACGCCTGTAATCCCAGCACTTTGGGAGGCTGAGGCGGGCGGATCACTTGAGGTGAGGAGTTTGAGACTAACCTGGCCAACGTGGCGAGACCCCGTTTCTACCAAAAACACAAAAATTAACCGGCTGTGGTGTTGCGCACCTGTAATCCCAGCTACTCGGGAGGCTGAAGTGGGAGAATCTCTTGAACCCAGGAGGCAGAGGTTGCAGTGAGCTGAGATTGTGCCACTGCACTCGAGCCTGGGCAATAGAGTGAGACTCTGTCAAAAAAAAGGAGGAGGAGGAGGAGGAGGAGGAGGAAAGAAGAAGAAGAAGAAGAAGGCTGGGCGCAGTGGCCACGCCTGTAATCCCAGCACTTTGGGAGGCCGAGGCGGGCGGATCACCTGAGGTCAGGAGTTCGAGACCAGCCTGGCCAGCACGGCGAAACCCCGTCCCTACTAAAAACACAAAAATGAGCCGGTTGTGGTGGCACACGTCTGTAATCCCAGCTACTTGGGACGCTGAGGCAGGAGAATCGCTTGAACCTGAGAGGCGGAGGTTGCAGTGAGCCGAGATCACACCACTGCACTCCAGCCTGGGCTACAGAGTGAGATTCCATCTCAGAAAAAAAAAAAAAGAGATCCCTCCTTTCAGGATAAAGTTTGCATGGACTCTGGCATCACACTGGGTTTCAACTTTTCCTTTCTAGCTATGTCCCCTTCTCTAGGCAATTCAGCTACTCCAGGCCCCCCGTCCACTTACCAGGACACAGGAATCAGAGTAACACCCATCTGGCAGGGCTGTTGTCGGGATCAAGTACAATTATACAGCAGGCTTGGGGTTCTGAAGCAGCTGGGAAGATCCACAAGCCACGATATATTGAGCACCAACTGTTTACAGCTATCAAGCATGTACTATCCACCAGGCACATGATCCTCCTAGCAATTTTTTCATTTTTCTGCACAGCACCATTTGGGAAAGGCTAAGTCAGAGTCTGGGGTGGGTTGAAAGCTAGAAGACACTCTGAGCCTATGTCCTCGGTAAAAAAAAAAAAAAAAAAAATCAGGAGTGACCCATGCTCAGCTGATAGCATTAACGGGGAAGGAAAGAGGGCGACAGAGACTCTTCCCCAACATCTATCTAGCCCAGCTTGGCACTTTGGACCGCAGCCTGTATGGAAATTCCTGGCCTCTGATGACCTCAAGCTGTCTTGGTCTTTAATCCTGACTCTGAACCTGTTTCCTTACTCAGATAGAGGTCTGACTTTTGACATGTGTCCCGTACACCCAGCACCCATCTGGCTTCCTTATTTTTTTGTTTTTTTAAGAGACAGGGTCTTGCTCTGTTGTCCTGGCTGGTGTTCAGTGGTGTGACCGTAGCTCACTGCAGCATCAAACTCCTGCGGTCAAGCAATCCTCCTGCTTCAGCCTCTGGAGTAGCTGGGACTACAGCCATGGGCCACCACAGCTGGCTAATTTTTTTATTTGTTTAGAGACAGGGTCTTGCTACATTGCCCAGGTTGGTCTTGAATCCCTGGCCTCAAGTGATCCTCCCACCTCGGCCTCCCAAAGTGCTGGGATTACAGGCATGAGCCACGGTGTCCAGCCTGGCTTCCCTATTTGGCAGTGATTATGTCCACTCCTTGCTCTTGGTGGAGGAAACAGCTGTGTCCTTGGGGAGGGCCAGGCTGTAGGTAACTACGCTTCCTTAGAGGAAGCTATAGGTATAAGGAAGTTTGCTTACTCCAGGGACAGGGAGGCCAGCTCCCTTGCAAAAAAGGCAAAGAGGGAGGCCAGTGAAAAACTGGCTAAAACTGTCTGGGCACTGTGGCTCATGCCTGTAATGCCAGCACTTTGGGAGACTAAGGAGGGCGGATCACCTGAGGTCAGGAGTTTGAGACCAGCCTGGCCAGCATGGCAAAACACCATCTCTACTAACAATACAAAAATTAGCCCAGTGTGGTGGCGTGCACCTGTAATCCCAGCTACTCGGGAGGCTGAGGCAGGAGAATTGCTTGAACCTGGGAGGCAGAGGTTGCAGTGAGCTGAGACTGCGCCACTGCACTCCAGCGTGGGTGACAGAGTGAGACTCTGTCTCAAAGACAAACAAACAAAAAAAACCAACTGGCTAAAACTAAAGAGGTTACCATGTGCCACTCACTACACTTTACATGTCACAAGCATTAATTACCTCATTTGATTTTCACCCAAACCAAGAAATGGAAGTATCTAGAGAAAGAAGCCCAGCATAAAGACACAAGGGAGCATTTTTGGAGGTAACCATTGACAGAAATGAGTTAAAGAAAATTCAACTGGTGTCCAGGCTCTGGTGTAAAATTCTGCTTTGGGGTGAAACGCAGGGTTACCTGGGCACACTGTGATGGTCCTGGCTAACCAGTAGCAGGTGGGCTTTTGCAGAGATAATCCAGGGCCCTGTGATGAGTTGGTCACCCTAGTGACCCAATTTTGGCCTCCAGATATTGGCTTCTGGCCAATTCTAGGAGGATCAGGAAGCCAAATTTAGCACAGAATGTGCTGCTTCTTCATTGAACTCCTATTCACCCTTCAAAACCCAGTACAAAAGTTCCCTTCCTCTGTAAGGCAGAGTATAGCAAGAAAAGCTAGGGTTCTGAAGCCAGAGAGACTGTGGGTTCAAATCCTAGCTCTGTGAAAAGATTGTTGTGAGGACCATGTGCCTGGGAGACAATACATGCTCAATAACTCTATACAGCTGGTGCTCAGTAGTGACTTATGGATATTCCCAGGTGCTTCAAAGCCCTCAACCTGATGGATATTACTCTATTAAACCCAAAATTTCCCATCTTCCCTCCTCTAAGCCACCAGAATAGACTGGAACAAAAAAAAATTTTTTTTTTTTTTGAGACCAGTCTCGCTCTGCCACCCAGGCTGGAGTGCAGTGGCATGATCTCGGCTCACTGCAACCTCTCCCTCTTGGGTTCAAGCCGTTCTCCCACCTCAGCCTCCAGTAGCTGGGACTACAGGCGTACACCACCACACCCAGCTAATTTTTGTATTTTTAGTAGAGACGGGGTTTCACCACGTTGGCCAGGATGGTCTCGATCTCTTGACCTCGTGATCCGCCTGCCTCAGCCTCCCAAAGTGCTGGGATTACAGGAGTGAGCTACCACACCAGGCCAATTTTTTTTTTTTTTTTTTTAAAGACAAAGTCTTGTGACATGCTCAAACCAGCTCATGCAAATCTCCGTTTCAGTCTTTCTCCCTCAACCTCAAGCCCTGACACCAAGCAGGGCTGTTTTCCAATTGGCTTTTCCTCTGCCAAGAATTTCCCCAGAGCACAAACAGAGGCGTGCAGCGAAGTAAACACGGGAAGCTCTGAAAACCCATTCATGGGCAACTCAAAGGTGTCGAGACATCAGGGTGTGTGGCCGAGCTTTCCGCCATGGGGGCAGCGAGCCTCCACGAAGCCCAGGCGACTTGCCGACGGCCCCACTCCAGGTGACCAAGCCACATCTCGACCAGAGGAAGGAGAACATACAAAGAAAGACACTGTCTCTGCCGGAGGGCGATGGTCCAGGCAGTGCACCCTGGGCGAAGGGGCCAAGAAGCCGTAAGATGTGCGTCCCGAGGAAATGCACCGTGGTTATAAATACAGCAAAGAGTGTTTGGATGAAGCTGGTGTCTGAAAGTGGAGACAGTCCTGGCTAACCAATAGCAGGTGGGCTTTTGCAGAGATAATCCAGGGCCCTTTTCACAGAGACCTAGGGCTGTAAGGAAGTCCCCCAAACGCCCAATAAATATCCAGGTTCTTGTCTCTAAATTAGCTGGCTGAAGAAAACTTGGTCCAAACTGCATCAGAGGTGGGGGTGGGGGAACAGAGGAAAGAAAAGGGGATGAGAGAGAGACAGACAGACAGACAGACAGACAGAGACAGAGAGGGGAGTATCCCATTAAGGCAGCAGGGCAGCAGCAAAGAGGAGAGAGGAGGGGAGAGGGGAGGTTGTGGCCACATGCTGTGTAACACTTAGAGTTTCCTATGCACCCAGCACTATTCCAATTATTAACCATTTATTTCCCCCAACAATCCTAGATGTTCCCATTTTACAGAGGAGAAGACTGAGGCACAGAGAGGTTCAGTAACCTGCCCATGGTCACACAGCTATTGAGCGGCCGAGCCACAAGAAGACACTTGCTCCATCAATGTTACTGTGGGCCAGTTGCCGTTATAGGTGTAAGATGATTCCTCAGGGAGAAACGCTAATGTTCCCCTTCCCCGACACTTTCTCCAGATCAGCTTAGGGGTGCTTGAGTGCCTGACCCGCCACCCCCGCCCCACCACCAAGCCAAAATGCTTGAGTGACACTCTCTGATTCTCCAGTGTACCATGTCACCAATTAGGTGTTTCAAGAGGGGCTTCCAAGAGGGAAGGACCTTTCTGTTTTCTTCCCTGTGGCTATGTCCTGACTCCCCAGCCCAGCACTTGAGTAATACATAAACCCACCTTCATTAAATGACTATCATCATATTCCTCCAGATTCCTTGGTCCCCCAAGTCTAGGGACGTGGTTTTTGTCGGTAGCATGGCAGTGTCAAACCACAGAGCCACGAGGCTGATGATGGGCTCTTGGTTTCCATTTCCCCCCCCTCAAAAAAAGAGCAGAGAATAATTGCAGAGTGCCCCTCACCCCCATTCCAGCACCCTGGTCCAGGGGTCCTCAAATGGAGGCGATTCTGCCCACCAGGAGACACCTGGCAGTGTCTGGAGACATTTGTGTTTGCCATGCCTCGGGGGCGGCGCTCCAGGCATGGAATGGGTGGAAGCCAGGGATGCTGCTAGCACCCTCAGTGCCCAGGACGGCCCCACCCCAGAGAACAATCCAGCCCCAGTATCCGCAGGCCCCAGGTGGAGAAACCCCGTCCCGGAATGAGAAGCCCCTCTCCTCCACCACATCAAAGCCAAGATGACAACGTCTCTGAGTTTGACACAAGGTTAGGGGGAAGTCTCATTTTTCAAATGGCTGGCTGTAACACTAAAAAAGGAAAATTAAAAATGTCTGAGGATCGGCCTAGTGTGGTGCCTCACGCCTGTAATCCCAGCACTTTGGGAGGCCGAGGTGGGAGGATCACGAGGTCAAGAGATCGAGACCATCCTGGCCAACATGGTGAAACCACATCTCTACTAAAAATACAAAAAAAAATTAGCTGGGCATGGTGGCGTGTGCCTGTAGTCCCAGCTACTCAGGAGGCTGAGGCAGGAGAATGGTTTGAACCTAGGAGGTGGAGGTTGCAGTGAGCCAAGATCGCACCACTGCACTCCAGCCTGGCAACAGAGTGAGACTCCGTCTCAAGGGAAAAAAAAAAAAAAAAAAAACAACTCTAAGTACCAACTGCAGTGGCTCCTGCCTGTAATCCCAGCAATTTGGGAGGCCGAGGCAGGAGAGTTGCTTGAGCCTGAGAGGTCAAGACCATCCCTGGCAACATAGTGAGACCCCATCTCTACAAAAAATATATAAAAATTAGCCAGGTGCGATGGTGTACACCTGTGGTCCCAGCTACTCGGGAAGCTGAAGTGGGAGGATTGCTTGAGCCCAAGAGGTCAAGGCTACAGTAAGCCATGATCACGCCACTGCACACCAGCCTGGGCAACAGAGCCAGACCCTGTTTCCAAAAAAAAAAAAAAAATGCCTGAAGGAGGAGGTGAATCCTAGAAACAGCCCAATTTCATCTCCATATACCCCTACTCCAAACAGGTTTCCAAATTGCAAAAATGGCTGATAAAAAAAATTCTTTAAGCTGATGTAAAAACTAATGCCCTCCTCCTCCTGCCAATTTTGCTACTCTTGAGCAAGATCTCAGCAGCTCCACTTGGATGCTGGAAATATATGCCAGAGGAGACTTATGATGCTAATTTCCTTTAGTAAACAGTTCAAATCTTGTCTTGGACACCAATGAAATAAGAAAAGCTAGCCACAGGCTGTGTGGAATTCCTTCCTCTTAACACTAAGCATCAGGCATTCCATGACTTTTGCTCTTGGGATGGCAAACATGAATGTTTCTAGAACACTGAGTTTTCCAGCATATACCTTTTCTGGTTATTTTCAATAGGTTTGGTGTGAAAAATTAACGAATTCACTATTTGTTGCTGGACAGTCCCTCTGGAACAAAGAACTGTGTGTCAAATACCAGCTGAATAATCAAGCAAACATTTGCATTCTTTTTTTTTTTTTAAAGACAGGGTCTGGCTCTGTTGCCCAGGCTGGAGTGCAGTGGCGTGATCACAGCTCACCGCAGCCTCAACCTCCTGAGCTCAAGCAATCCTCTCAACTCAGCCTCTCAAGTAGCTGGGACTACAGGCATGCACTACCACACCTGGTTAATTTTTGTATTTTTTGTAGAGATGGGGTTTCACCAAGTTGCCCAGGCTGGTCTCAAACTTCTGGACTCAAGCGATCCGCTTGCCTCAGTCTCCCCAAATGCTGCAAATACAGGCATGAGCCACTGCACCCGGTCAACATTTGCATTCTCGTCGAAAGATCACGTGCTTTTTCCAAAGCATGTGAGAGTTTTGCATCGACTCCAGCCAGCTTAGACCTAATGTGGGTCCTCCCCTTTCACCAAGAGGACCCGGCTATTGCAGATGCCCTTGCAAGTTACAAAACATGTTCTCCATCAAGCCACACAGGGTTATGGATCGGAAAGGCAGCCCACCCTGATGAAAACCACAGTCGCGGTACAGATTGTTTTGTTTTTGTTTTTGTTTTTCCAGAACACTGATATGTATCCTCAATGGTTAACATTGTGTCCTAAAAGGTGTTTTTCTGTTTCTTAACATACCAGAAACAAGATGGTCTGAGACCGCGACCTTCACACTAGGGTCATATTTCAACACAGAAACCAGGGTAGCATCACCCAGAAAAAAAAAAGGGAGGGGAGGTAAATCAGACTGTCCCAAATCTAGGGCCTCTCTCAGGGCACAAGAAACAGCCCCAGAGGGCCCCCATGGGTCCTGCTCCCTAAGGCCATTTGTCCCTCTTCACTGTGGTACAGGGTGGTTCTGAAACGCACCCTAACTTTAGTGATGACACAGGGTCCGGCAAGTATCCAGACCTATAGTCCAGCAGACTTTCCATGAAGACCTGCCCTAAAATGAATATCGACACTTGGCCAGAAGCAACAAAATAACATTCCACTCTGCTGGAAAATTGAGGCGGGGGCTTAAAGGCTTATTTTAACAGCTTAACAGCTTAGCAAAATAAATCTGCTGTCATTATACACAGACAAATGTCGTTTATGTCTCTTGCATCTATGAGACAATCAAGATTTCATGATCACACCCCATTTACTCAGTGAGGCTAAAGACAGGAAGGTCAAGAGTATTAACAATTATATAATTATCCTCTGCAGTAAAACAATTGAGGCATTCCACTCAAATCAGAAATGAGACTGGGCTGACCATATTCAGCTGCGTCACTGAACACTGTTCTGGAAGTTCCTGCCATAACAAGGTTAACAGCAATAACTGGTCTAATTATTGGCAAAAGGCAAGAAGTCATCATTATCTGCAGATGCTGCAATTATAGAGTTGGAAAATTGAAGGGAATCAATTGCAGGGCTTTTAGAACTAGTAAGCATTTAATAAGGTAGCAGTAAGTAAAGAAAACACAATCCCTGTCCCCTATGCTACAAAATAATCACTTTTAATACTTCAAAACATCTCCCTTATATTAGATGATAGACACACGGATAGATGGAGAGATGAATGGACACATGGATGGGTGGATGAATGGGTGGGTGGAGGGATGGATGAATGAATAAGTGGATGTATGCATGGGTGGATAGATGGATGAGAAGATTGCTGGGTGAGTGGTTGGAAGGGATGGAGGGACAGGTGTGTGGATTGTTGGCAGAGTAGACAGAAGGATGGATGGATGGATGGATGGATGGACGTCTGGGTGGGTGGATGGATGGATGAATGGATGAGTGGATGTATGGATGGATGAATGGATGAGTGGATGTATGGATGGATGGGTGATTGGATGAGTGGATGGATGGATGGGTGAGTGAATGGATGAAGGGTGACTGAATGAATGGATGGGTGAGTGGATGGATGATGGATGAATGGGTGAGTGGATGAATGGATGGATGGATGGATGGATAATAGATGGTGGGTGGTGAATGGACTGGATGAATGGATAGATGGATGGATGGATGGGCAGATGAGCAAGTGGATGGAGGGATGATGGATGGATGGATGGATGGATGGATGGATAGATGGATGGATGGATGGATGGATGGATGGATGGATAGATGGATGGGCAGATGAGCAAGGGAGTGATAGATATAAAGCCAGCAATCTAAGAACAATGCTTACAAGAAGTAGACAAACTGTGTCTGAAGCAAAATCACAAAACATTTCTAAGAACAGGAAAGAACCCTTGGGAAAATGGAGAGGAAATCCATGACATAGGAGAGTACAAGTAAATACTGCCAAGGTGCTCCTTCTCTCCATCAATTTATGGACTTCACATACAATCAACCCCATAAAGGGCCTCTGGGTCTGTGTTTTCCTTTTCCTTTGCTTCCCTTTTTCTTTCTTGGAACTTAGCTACAGTTTTTAAACTTTTGGAAGCATAAACAAAGCAAGGATGCTTTTGAAAAATGAAAAAGAAGAATTACTCTGGAGGATACATTTACAGTCTTTTTTTTTTTTTTTTTTTTTTTGAGACAGGGTCTTGCTCTATTGCCCAGGCTGGAGTGCAGTGGCACAGTCATGGCTCACTGCAGCCTCGAACTCCTGGAGTCAAGTGATGCTCCCACCTCAGCCTCCCAAGTAGCTGAGACCACAAGTCAGTGCCACCATGCTCAGCTAATTTTTCTTTTTCTTTTTTTTGTTTGTTTGTTTTTGTTTTTGTAAAGATGGGGTCTTGCTGTGTTGTCCAGGCCGGCCTCAAACTCCTGGCTTCAAGGAAGTCTTCTGCCTCAACCTCCCAAAACACTGGGTTTACAGACATGAGTCAGCGTACCCGGCTCAGAACTTTTATCCATATTGTTCTCGGCCACATTCTCAGAGGCTCGCACAGCACCTGGCTCTCAGCAGATGGACAGAAGGCACAGGTCAATGAATGGGCAGCTTAGGTAGGGAAGATGGATTTGAAGGCCATGTAAGCAGTTAAAGGGATGGGACTCAGTAATTGATCAGGTGTAGCAATGAGGGAGAGAAAGATTCCCAGCTCTAGACTGAGGTCAGGCTGTGAGCTCAGAGCAAAGCCTGCAGTTCATCTTGGTAGCAGCTGGATCACTTTGAGCACAGTGCTGACCTTTCTGTCAGCCTCAACTTCTCCCTCTGCAAATTAGGAATCCTAACAGTGTCCACCTGGTGAGGTCACTGAGGCGATGACAGGATAAACCACACCAAGTGTCTAGCTCATAGCATGGTACTCCACCTTTCAGAAATATTACCTTGGCTGGGTGAGGTGCTTCATGCCTGTCATCCCAGCACTTTGGGAGGCCAAGGCAGGTGGATCACCTGAGGTCAGGAGTTCGAGACCAGCCTGGCCAACATGGTGAAACCCCATCTCGACTAAAAATACAAAAATTAGCCGGGTGTGGTGGCGGGCATCTGCAATCCCAGCTACTTGGGAGGCTGAGGCAGGGAGAATCGCTTGAATCCGAGAGGCGGAGATTGCAGTGGACTGAGATTGCACCACTGCACTCCAGCCTGGGTGACAGTGAGACTCCATCTCAAAAATAAAAAAAAAATAAAAAATATTAGCTCAAGGCCTCCTCTAGGAGAGATTAGGTCAGACTGTTCCTCCTGCAGCAAGGCCCTTTGCAGTATGGAAAAACCTCAGAGGTCTGTGCAGAAGAGAGACTATCTAGGGACAGATTTCAACAAAGCCAGTGCCAAGGAGGCGCGTGTCTACAGCGGAGCTGCGGCCTTTAGAAGCCTCCAGCCTCCCCTCCTGGCATGGACACAGGGAAGCCAACTCCCTTGGCCAGAGCCAGGAGCCAGGAGCCACACCAGCTCGCTGATTTCCAGAAACTCACAATTGCCCACTTACTCGGCACAGCCTGTGCGCCACGGAGGAAACTGGAAAGGAGGGATCTCCTTGGAACATTCTGGCAGCTCAGCAAAGAGGGGGGAAGAATTAATTTCGGATCCTGAATTTGCATCTGCAAATGCTGTTTTCGTTCAAACGCTTTGTGTTGTCTTGTTTTTGGTGGTGTTTTTTGTTTTTTTTTTTTTTTTTTTTTTTGAGATGGAGTCTCTCTCTTTCGCCCAGGCTCTAGTGCGGTGGTGTGATCTCTGCTCTCTGCAACCTCCATCTCCCAGGTTCAAGTGATTGTCCTGCCTCAGCCTCCTGAGTAGCTGGGATTACAGGTCCCCAACACCACGCCCTGCTAATTTTTGTATTTTTAGTAGAGACAGGGTTTCACCATGTTGGTCAGGCTGGTCTCGAACTGCTGACCACCAGTTATCTGCCCACCTTGGCCTCCCATTGTGCTGGGATTACAGACATGAGCCACGGCACCCGGCCCTGTGTTGTCTTGATAAGAGTTTAAAGTGACTGGATGTTGGGGCTATATATCCACCACCAACAACCTGCCATACATCCTTTTACCCTCAAATTTTTGCTCTTTGAATCCTAACTGCTCCTGGCAGTAAACCCCATCTAGGACTACCTGCCAACATACCTTAAACTTTTCTGTCTCTTTTTTTTTTTTTAATTATAGAGACAGAGTCTCACTATGTTGCCCAGGCTATTCTTGAACTCCTGAGCTCAAGCAATTCTCCCACCTCAGCCTCCCGAAGTGCTGGGATTACAGGCATAAGCCACCACACTCAGCCAAACTTCTCAAACAATACTCTTCTTAAGCCATATCTCAGGCTCTCATATGCCCTACTTTTTGCATGAGGCTAACTATTTCTTTCTCTACCCGCTTCTTCAATAAAACCAAACTAAACAATAATAATCAACAATGGTGATAGTAATCATTGTAACACCTCATTCCCGGGGGTACTGGGAATTCACTGGAAAGGGCTGGGATGAGGCAATGTCCTCCATTTTGTTTTCAGTGGTGGTTACACAGGTGCATATATTTTTTGTCAAAATTCATTGAACTCAATGCTTCAGATCTGTGCATTTTATTTTATTTTATTTATTTTGAGACAGAGTCTCCTTCTGTCACCCCGGCTGGAGTACAATGGCCTGATCTTGGCTCACTGCAACCTCCGCCTCCTGGGTTTAAGCGATTCTCCTGCCTCAGCCTCCTGAGTAGCTGGGATTACAGGAACGCACCATCACGTCTGGCTAATTTTTGTATTTTTAGTAGTTGGCCAGGCTGGTTTCAAATTCCCGACCTCAAGTGATCTGCCTGCCTCAGCCTGTCAAAGTGTTGGGATGACAGGCGTGAGCCACTGCACCCCGGCCATGTGCATTTTATTGTATGTTAAATATTTCAGTTGTTGGCCGGGCCCAGTGGCTCGCACCTGTAATCTCAGCACTTTGGGAGGCTGAGGGTGGATCACGAGGTCAGGAGATCGAGACCATCCTGGCTAACAAGATGAAACCCTGTCTCTACTTAAACTACAAAAAATCAGCCAGGCGTGGTGGCAGGCGCCTGTAGTCCCAGCTACTTGGGAGGCTGAGGCAGGAGAATGGCGTGAACCCGGGAGGCGGAGCTTGCAGTGAGCCGAGATCCCGCCACTGCACTCCAGCCTGGGCAACAGTGCAAGACTCCGTCTCAAAAAAAAAAAATTTCAGTTGCTAAACTTAATCAAAGAAATAACAGTAGCTACAATAGGTCACAATGTACAGCTGCAATATAACTACAATGCTAGCAACAATGTAACTACCATGTTTATCATTCCCGTATCCTCTTCTCTGATCCTCACAACGAGCTTGTGATACATGTTGGGTTTGGTTTTGGTGTTGATTTTTTGAGACAGTCTCCCTCTGTCACCCAGGCTAAAGTGCAGTGGCGCCACCTCGCCATCTCGGCTCACTGCAACCTCCGCTTCCTGGGTTCAAGTGATTCTCCTGCCTCAGCCTCCTGAGTAGCTGGGATTACAGGCACCAGCCACCACACCTGGCTAATTTTTGTATTTTTAATAGAGACGGGGTTTCACCATGTTGGCCAGGCTGGTCTTGGACTCCTGACCTCAGGTGATCCACCCACCTCAGCCTCCCAAAGTGCTGGGATTACAGGCGTGAGCCACCATGCCCAGCCTGTGATACCTTTTGGTTCCCATTTTACAAAAGAGGAAACAGATCCCGGAGAACTCCAGTGGACTTGCCCAGAGCCCCACGGCTACTAACAGGTTAAGCCTGGTTCCAAACCATCGTACTATGCTGTGTGGCCTGGCATGTGCTAGGTAGGGGGAGAAAGAAATGAAACATGACTGCAACTTTTCAGAAACTTCTACAAGCAAGCCCTGACCCCGAGTGCTGGGAACCACCCTATCAATGAAAGAAACCCCACACACTGCCCACTCTGCTGTCCTGCTACCCTGCACATCCTATGCCTTATACCAAGGATGGCCAATCCCTGCAACACTGGGTCACCCAGGAAAGCTAAACGTCTTTTGTTTTTTCTTTTTCTGTCTTTTTTTTTTTTTTTTTTTTTTTTTGAGACGCAGTCTCGCTGTGTTGCCCAGGCTGGAGTGCAGTGGCACGATCTCCGCTCACTGCAAGCTCCGCCCCCTGGGTTCACGCCATTCTCCTGCCTCAGCCTCCTGAGCAGCTGGGACTACAGGCGCCCGCCACCACACCCGGCTAATTTTTTTGTATTTTTAGTAGAGACAGGGTTTCACCATGTTCGCCAGGATGGTCTCGATCTCCTGATCTCGTGATGTGCCCGCATTCTGTCACATTCTGTCACACAGGCTGGAGTGGTGCAGTGGCGCAATCTCGGCTCACTGCAACCTCCACCTCCCAGGTTCAAGTGATTCTCCTGCCTCAGCCTCCCTAGTAGCTGGGACCACAGGCGCGCTATGGTGTCCAGCTAATTTTTTTTATTTTTAGTAGAGATGGGGTTTCACTATGTTGGGCAGGCTGGTCTCAAACTCCTGACCTCAAGTGATGATCCGCCCACCTCAGGCTCCCAAAGGGCTGGGATTACAGGCATCAGTCACTGCATCTGGCCCCTATTATTTTAAATGGAAATGGGGTCTTTCTTTGTTGCCCAGGCTGGAGTGTAGTGGTGCGATCATAACTCACTGCAGCCTGGAACTCCCTGGCTCAAGCAATCTTCCCGTCTCAGCCTCCTGAGTAGCTGGGACTACAGGCACATGCCACTACACCCAATTAATTTTTAAATTTTTTGTAGAGATGGGGGTCTCGCCATGTTGCCCAGGCTGGTCTTGAAGTCCTGGGCTCAAGTAATCCTCCCACCTCTGCTTCCCAATGTGCTGGGATTACAAGTGTGAGCCACACTGCCAGACCAAGATGATTTAAAGTATACAGGAGGATGTATGTAGGTTATGTACAAACACTACGCCATTTTATGTCAGGGACTGGATCCCCAGGGGGGTTTTGGAATCATTGAAGATACCAAGGCACAAGTGTACAATCTATCCAGGAGAAAATGAAAATGGGAGAATCGACAGTTCCGAGTATCAGGATCTAAGGAGGAGATTTCAAAACACTGCTTTTCATATCCTCCCATCATGAAAACAAGGGTTTTTCAAAAATCTCTTCTTAAAAATATTTCTGGGCCCGGCGCAGTGGCTCATGCCTGTAATCCCAACACTTTGGGAGGCCGAGGCGGGTGGACACGAGGTCAGGAGATCGACACCATCCTGACTAACATGATGAAACCCCATCTCTACGAAAAATACAAAAAATTAGCCAGGTGTGGTGGAGGGCACCTGTAGTCCCAGCTACTTGGGAGGCTGAGGCAGGAGAATGGCGTGAACCCGGGAGGCGGAGCTTGCAGTGAGCTGAAATTGCATCACTGCACTCCAGACTGGGCGACAGAGAAAGACTCCGTCTCAAAAAATAATAATAATAATAATAACAAAATAAAAAAAATTTCTGGAAATAGACTTTTCACAGATGGTTGTGAGGGCCAGTATTCAATCATCACTTGCAATCAGTCAGCCCTGACTTCTCCTTTGGCACTTATCTGCTTAACTACAAACTCAGTCAACAGTCTAAAAGCAAGGCAAGTTTCAACCTGCAGCTCGTCCACCCTTTGAGAACCCTGAGAAGATCATTAGACCACTGCTATGCTCTCCCCTCTCCAAACACAGTCACGAACTCCCTACATTCTTACTCCTTGTGTCTGAAGATGAATAACCACCCTAAAATTATCGCTCTCAACTCTCTCACAGGAAAGAAAATTTCCAGGACTCTAGAAAATAAGATTCTGCAAATATCCATGTGTCTGGCGCTAGAGCTTACGGAAGATTTTCAAAGCCACAGTGTGGAGCTAATTAAATTAATTACAACACCCTGTGAAAAATCAGCTGCTTTTCAAAGATACTGTTAAGAAAGTGAAAGGGGCCAGGCGCTGCAGCTCTCGCCTGTAATCCAACACTTTGGAAGGATGAGGAGGGAGATTGCTTGAGATCCCAGGGGTTCAAGACCAGCCTGGGCAAGGTAGTGAGACCTCATCTTTACAAAAATAAAATTAGCTGGGTGTAGTGATGTGTGCTTGTAATCCAAGCTACTCAGGAGGCCGAGGTGGGAGGATTACTTGAGCCCAGGAGTTCAGGGCTGCAGTGAACTCCAGCCTGGGCAACAGAGTAAGATCCTATCTCTAAAAATAATAATAACAATAATAATAATAAAGATTGACAATAAATATTAAGTGCTGCTAAGGATGTGGAGCAATTAGAACTCTCATACATTGCTGGTGGAAATATAACAGACTCCAACCACTTAGGAAAACAATCTGGCCTTTCCTTTTTTTTTTTTTTTTTTTAAAGACAGAGTCTTGCTTTGTTACCCAGGCTGGAGTGCAGTGGTGCGATCTCAGCTCACTGCAACCTCCACCTGCTGGATTCAAGCAATTCTCCCACCATAGCTTGGATTATAGGTGCCCACCACCACACCCGGCTAATTTTTGTATTTTGAGTAGAGACGGGGTTTCACCACGTTGGCCAGGCTGGTCTTGAACTGCTGACCTCAAGTGATCCACCCGCCTCAGCCTCCCAAAGTGCTAGGATTACAAGCATGAGCCACCGCACCTGGCCTGCCCACTCCTTATACACACTTCTACTACACAACTCATCCATTCTGCTCCAGGATATAACCTCAAGAGATATGAAGGCATTGGTCCACATAAAAGACTCCTACACAATTGTGTATAACAGGTTCATGCAGGTTTATGAATAATAGCCAAAAGTTGAAAACAACCCAAATGTCTCTCAACAGCTAAAATGGTGAAACTAAATGTCGTCTCTCCACACAATGGAATGCTACTGAACAACACAAAAGAAATACGCTATTGATAAATGCAAAACCATGGATGAATCTCAAAACATTACACCAAAGAAAAGATGCCAGACATTGGCCAGGCACCATGGCTCACGCCTCTAATCCCAGCGCTTTATAAATTACTTAGTCTCACTCTTATCCTAAGTGAAGTAAATCAGGAATGGAAAACCAAACATCTATGTTTTCACTCATAAGTGGGAGCTAACCTATGAGGATGCAAAGTCTTAAGAATGATACAAGGCCCGGCACGGTGGCTCATGCCTGTAATCTCAACACTTTGGGAGGCCGAGGCGGGCGGATCATGAGGTCAGGAGATCGAGACCATCCTGGCTAACACGGTGAAACCCTGTCTCTACTAAAAATACAAAAAAATTAGCCAGGCATGGTGGCAGGCGCCTGTAGTCCCAGCTACTCGGGAGGCTGAGGAAGGAGAATGGCATGAACCCAGGAGACAGAGCTTGCAGTGAGCCGAGATCGCGCCACTGCACTCCAGCCTGGGTGACAGCGTGAGACTCTGTCTCAAAAAAAAAAAAAAAAAGATACAATAGACTTTGGGGACTCAGGGGGAAAGGATAGGAAGTGAGTGAGGGATAAAAGACTACAAATTGGGTTCAGTGTATACTGCTCGGGTGATGGATCCACCAAAACTTACAAATCACCACGAAATAATTTACTCATATAACCAAATACCACCTGTTCCCCCAAAACCTATGGAAATAAACAAAAAAACAGGCCAGACGCGGTGGCTCACGCCTGTAATCCCAGCACATTAGGAGGCCAAGGCAGGTGGATCACGAGGTCAGGAGTTCCAGACCAGCCTGGCCAATATGGTGAAACCCCGTCTCTACTAAAACTATAAAAATTAGCCGGGCGTGGTGGCAGGCACCTGTAATCCCAGCTACTCAGGAGGCTGAGGCAGAAGAATCGCTTGAACCGGGGAGGTGGAGGTTGCAGTGAGCAGAGACCATGCCACTGCACTCCAACCTGGGCAACACAGGGAGACTCTGTCTCAAAAAAATAAATAAATAGGCTGGGCGTGGTGGCTCACGCCTGTAATCCCAGCACTTTGGAAGGCCGAGGCGGGTGGATCATGAGGTCAGGAGATCGAGACCATCCTGGCTAGCATGGTGAAATCCCGTCTCTATTTAAAAATACAAAAAATTAGCCAGGCATGGTGGCGGGTGCCTGTAGTCCCAGCAACTCGGGAGGCTGAGGCAGGAGAATGGCGTAAACCCGGGAGGTGGAGCTTACAGTGAGCGAAGATGGCGCCACTGGACTCCAGCCTGGGTGACAGAGCGAGACTCCATCTCAAAAAAATAAATAAATAAAATTAAATTAAATTAAATTAAATTAAATTTTTAAAAATTTAAAAAATACCCAGTCTCAGATAGTTCTTTATAGCAATGTGAGAATGAACTAATATCCTCTCATCCCAAAATCAAAATGTTCAGTTATGTACAAAACCAGGAAGAAAAAGGCAAAAAAGGGAAGGGGAGGTTTCCCTCCATCTTGGGCATGTTTTTATACTCATTCATTTCCCAGAGGAAGGATGGAAAGAAAATCCTCCTAGAACAGACTTGACCTGGCCAAACAAGCCCTGAAATCATTTGAAGAGACCAGGATTGAATGTAGAATCATAAAGTAAATCCATAACTGTTTCCCTCCCACACTAAGGAAGTTCTCCATCTCTCAAAATCCAAAAGCAAATGAAATAATAGAGGGAAAAAAAAAGCACCAAGTTCCTGGACAAATGCCACATTCCACATCAACATAGAAAACGTCCACGGGCAGGAGATGGACTTTCCATTGATGCAACAGAAAATGGAAAAAGAGGCCAGGCTCAGTGGCTCACGCCTGTAATCCCAGTACTTTGAGAGGCTGAGGTGCGTAGATCACTTGAGGTCATGAGTTCAAGACCAGCCTGGCCAACATGGTGAAACCCCATCTCTACTAAAAAATACAAAAATTAGCCGGGCGTGGTGGCATGCACCTGTAATTCCAGCTACCCGAGAGGCTGAGGCAGGAGAATCACTTGAACCCAGGAGGTAGAGGTTGCAATGAGCTGAGATCACGCCATTGCACTCCAGCCTGGGCAACAGAGTGCTCCATCTCAAAAAAAAAAAAAAAAAAAAAAGGAAAGGGAAAGTGAACCAAAAAGTGAACCCAGCCATGAGTCTCATCTCTCGTCTCAGCCTTCAAAGAATCACAAGGGTCCAGGCCGGAGAACTTTTGTACTGCCCTCCATTCCCTCCATATTCCTCACTGGAAAGAGGCTCCTATGGGCTAAGTCTCTCAATGGGCCCCATGCTTCAATCAGGAAGGGGTGGGCTTCCACTATGTGTCCCCAAAACTTGGGCAGCCACAAACAGATATTTGTAGACCCGTGTTTTTCCCAGCGTTAGTTACAATGGCCAGAAGGCGGAAACAACCCAAATGTCCATCAACAGATGAATTCTCAAAAAAAAAAAAAAAAAAAAAAAAGGTTAAGATGGTCAATTTTATGATGCATGTCCTATTATTACTACAAAAAAAAAATTACAGATTTAAAGAAGAGCAACTGAAGATATCCAAACATCAGCATCTCAAAGAGATTTAAAAAGATGGATGCTTATTAGTCTAACTGGGTTTCTATCTGGCCACAATTTCAAGTGAGAAAAGCAAAGCAAAGCACAATTGAAATGCTGGGTAAAGAAATGCAATGACAGCAGCAAAGCATTTCCGACACTTCAATCCCTTGTGCACCTCTTTGTGACGTTGCCAATGCAGAGTCCCTGAAGAAAAAGGCCCAGCCCCCCCACCCCAAAACAGCTCCCAGGGAAAGAGGAGGAAGAGGTAGGAAGACATGGCTAAGAAGCATACAGAGAGATTCCCAGTCTTACCAGGAATCAGGGAGATGCAAAAGAATACCATAGGATACCAATTTCCATGCACTGGAATTAACATAATTTTCCTGCAGCCTTGCCCACATTTGACATATACCTTAATGCATCACTGGTGAAACTGTCACAGCCACCTTGGAGACCATTCGGGGAGTATATACTAGATCTAAAAATGCACATACTCCATTCCCTGTGACTTCAATTCTGAACATCAATCCTAGAAAACCATTCACAAATGGGTAGGAGGAGATGGACACCAAGATGTTCATTGCAGCATTGTTTATAAAAGAAACAAACCGGAAACAATCTCAATGCCTCCCACTAGGGGAGCTGGTGAGTAGCATGTGGCTTATTCATACAAGATACTATGTAGCACTTAAAAGAATGAACTAGCAATACTGAATCAAGAGGCATAAACTTAAAGAACATAGTGGCTGAGAGGAAAAAAAAAAGCATTTGGCTTAAGAACTCATGCAGCAGGTGTAGCAATTGGAATCACAATCACAAAAATATCATATGTGTGCATGGTGAGGAAGATCGCAGAGTTTTTTGTTTTTTGGTTTTTTTTGAGACGGAGTCTCACTCTGTCGCCCAGGCTGGAGTGCAGTGGCGCCATCTCAGCTCACTGCAAGCTCTCGCGGAGTATTTTTAAAGACTAGATCCATTACAGCAGGACCAGCCACGTGTGGCCAGTCAGAACTGAAATGTGCTTTACGTGCAAAATACACAATGGCTTCCTAAGGGATAGTACTACTTAGCTTCCCAATATATGCAGATATTTAGAATACTCAAAAGTGTATTACAATATAAATGGCAGTGTTTAACACCAGTGAACTGTATACTGAAAAATAAATAAGATGGCAAATTTTATGATGTATATTTTATTACAGCAGCGAAAGATTTAAAGAAAGATTTATGCCAGGCGTGGTGGCTCATGCCTGTAATCCCAGCACTTTGGGAGGCTGAGGCAGGTGGATTACCTGAAGTCGGGAGTTTGAGACCAGCCAGGCCAACATGGTGAAACCCCATCTCTACAAAAATACATAAATTAGCCAGGCGTGGTGGTGCACACCTGTAATCTGAGCCACTAGAGAGCAGAATTGCTTGAGGCAAGGCGGAGGTTGCAGTAAGCCAAGATTGCGCCATTGCACTCCAGCCAGGGTGACAAGAGTGAAACTCGTTGTCAAATACAAATAAATAAATAAATAGATTTAAAGAACAACTGAAGATAACCCAAAATCCAAAATCTTAAATGCTCCAAAATTTCCTGGCCCGAAAATCCAAAATCCTAAATGCTCCAAAATTCAACTTTTTGAGCGCCGACATGATAGCAGTGGAAGAAAATTCCATTCCTGACCTCTTGTGACAGGTCACAGTCAGGGCGGTGAAAACCTTGTTTCCCGCACAATATTACTGAAAATATTGTATACAATTACCTCCAGGCTATGTGTATAAGATGTACATGAAACATAAATGAATTTAACGTTTAGACCTCGTTCTCAGCCCCACAGTATCTCATTACATATACGCACATATTCTAAAATCCCAAGTGGGAAACACTTCTGGTCCCAAGCATTTTGAATAAGGGATACTGAACCTGTATCTGGCATTGACGTGTGTACAAGGTTATGTGTCAAAATACATGCAGGGCTGGAAGTTTATGTACCAAACCTAAGAGAGTTGTTACCTCTGGGAAGAAGGGAGGAGAATATAGCAAGGGAAGATGACAAAGAGAACTCCAACTGTATCTTACATTTTATTACTTTCACTTATTCACTTTTTATTTTATTTTGTTTTTTTTTTTTTTTTTAAGAGATGAGGCCTTGCCCTGTTGTCCAGGCTGGAGTGCAGTGGTGTGATCGTAGCTCACTGCAGCCTCCAACTCCTGGGCTCAAATGATCCTCCCACTTTAGCCTCGTGAGTAGCCAGAACTACAAGAACATGCCGCCACCCCCGGCTAAATTTTTTTAAATTTTTGGTAGAGATGGGGTCTTGCTATATTGCCCAGGCGGGTGGATCACTGGAGGTCAGGAGTTCGAGACCAGCCTGCCAACATGGTGAAACCCCGTCTCTACAAAAATACAAAACTTTGCCAGGCATAGTGGCGTGCACCTATAATCCCAGCTACTTGGGAGGCTGAGGCAGGAGAATCACTTGAACCCGGGAGGCAGAGGTTGCAGTGAGCTGAGATCGTGCCAGTGCACTCCAGCCTGGGCGACAGAGCGAGACTGTCTCAAAAATAATAAAATAAAAATAAATCAGCTGGGCATGGTGGCACATGCCTGTGATCCCAGCACTTGGCAGTATCCGGAGACATTTTTGGTTGTCATGACTTGGGGTTGCTACTGGTATTGAGTGGAGGCCAGGGATGCTACTAAGCTTCCTGTAATGTACAGGGCAGTCCCCACCACGGAGAGGGGTTCAGCCCAGAATGCTAACACTGTTGAGGCTGAGAAACCCTGCCTAAACTCATTAAATTTAAAAAAAGAAGAAAACAAGCCAGGCACAGTGGCTCATGCCTGTGCACTCTGGAAGGCCGCAGTAGGAGGATCACTGGACGTCAGGAGTTCGGGACTGGCCAACATGGTGAAACCCCGTCTCTACTAAAAGTACAAAAATTAGCCAGGTATGGTGGTATGCACCTGTAATCCCAGCTGCTTAGGAGGCTGAGGCAGGAGAATTGCTTTGAACTCAGGAGGCAGAAATTGCAGTGAGCCAAGATCATGCCACTGCACTCTAGCCTGGGTGACAGAGTGAGACTCTTGTCTCAAAAAAAAAAAAAGAAGAAGGAGGAGGAGAAGGAGAAGGAAAAGGAGAAAGAGAAGGAGAAGGAGGCAAGCCAGATGTGGTGGTGTGTTCCTGTAGCCCCAGCTACTTGGGAGGCTGAAGCTTGAGGATCCCTTTAGCCCAGGAGTTTGAGGCTGTGGTGTACTATGGCTGTTTCTGAATAGCCACTGTACTGGGCAACATGGTACACATCTTTTTAAACATTCTTTCTAAAAACAGCAAATTTCATTTTATGTGTGACTTTTACTATAAATAAAAATGTTTTTAAAATAATAAAAGTTCAGCCGGGTGTGGTGGCTCATGCCTGTATTCCCAGCATTTGAAAGGCTGAGGAGGAGGGCAGATCACTTGAGGTCAGGAGTTCGAGACCAGCCTGGCCAACATGGTGAAACCCCGTCTCTACTAAAAACACAAAAATTAGCCAGGTGTGGTGTGGGCGCCTGTAATCCCAGCTACTCAGGAGGCTGAGACAAGAGAATTGCTTGAACCCGGGAGGTGGAGGTTACAGTGAGCCAAGATCGCACCACTGCTCTCCAGCCTGGGTGACACAGCGAGACTGCCTCAAAAAAAAAAAAAAAAAAAACAGCTACAACTCTGCAACTCTGGTGTAATATCATGAAACCAAAAATATTTGCATGTTGTGTACCACAGAAGCTATTTATAAATGAAAATTTTGGCCTAAAAAAAAAGAAAGAAAAGGAATCCAAATCAGAACTCCTCTAAAAAAGCAGTACCCTGTTTTCAGTGTTGGGCTACTGCTAAAGCAGAGAAAAATGAGGTTTTGGGAAGCGGGACAGATTCTTAGAGCCATGTTAGCAAAATTACCAAACCCCATCCCCCCAACACAGACACACACACCACTCTTAGTCTTGAACAATAAAGACATACAAGGAGCACAGACTCCAGATGGCAGACTAAAAAAACATTATTAGATTTCCAATGAAAACTTTTGCTGTAGTGGTTCTAACGTGACACAGCCCTACAAAAATAAAGATGAATCACGGCCCATTTCGAAGGAGAGGTCTGACTGCCTTACGTCACAGCCAGTCACACACTGTTTTGGTTTTTTTTTTTTTTTTTTTTTTTTTTTTTGAGATGCAGTCTAGCTCTACTGCCCAGGCTGGAGTGCAGTGGTGCGATCTCGGCTCACTGCAACCTCCGCTTCCTGGGTTCAAGTGATTCTCCTGCCTCAGCTTCCCGAGTAGCTGGGATTACAGGCGTGCGCCACCACACCTGGCTAATTTTTGTATTTTTAGTAGAGACGGGGTTTCACCATGTTGGCCAGGCTGGTCTCGAACCCCTGACCTCCAGTGATCTACCTGCCTCAGCCTCCCAAAGTGCTGGGATTACAGGCATGAGCCACCGCACCTGGCCTAAATTTTTTCTTAAGTTATCAAAGAATTGCTTCCCCCCAAAAGTTATGGCACCATAAAATTTGTCAATGAATACTCAGTTACCTGCTATTTCATTTTATGTGGCTAGAACACAATAAATAATCCAAACTGATGAAGACATTGCAAAATAAAACCAACCAAAAACATAGCCCAATTTCACTCATGAACACAGATGGCAAGAATTCAGAAAACGAAACAAAGCAAACCTAGCAAATCGAATTCAACGTTATGCTGAAAGAATAATTCATCACAACCAAGTAGGTTTTACCACAGGAAAGCAAGGATGATTTTATATTAGGAAATCTATTAAACATAGATGTCGGATAATACCATTGTTAAATATTTAATGTTAGTCTAGAAGCCCTGGTCAATAGAATAAGATTTAAAACCGAAACAAGAGGTATGATTTTAGACATAATTTTTTTCATGCTTCCAGAACTGAGCAGACATAATTTTTTTAAATGACCATAATTTGTAGAGGACGAAATTGCACACAATGAATAAAACAATTTAAAAACCTACCAATCAATTTCACTAAAGTATCTGGATTCAGGGTAAATATGCTATTCATAGTAGCCATAACTAACACAACAAAACTCTGTGATACAGAAATCAGGAACCATCGTCACAAAAATAATACAGGATAAAGATGAAGAAAGGACAATATAAAAGATTTGAACAAATTGGCTGGGCGCAGTGGCTCATGCCTGTCATCCCAGCACTTTGGGAGGCCGAAGTGGGCAGATGACTTGAGGCCAGGAATTCGAGACCAGCCTGGCCAACATGGTGAAACCCCGTCTCTACTAAAAATACAAAAATTAGCCGGGCATGGTGGTGTGTGCCTATAATCCCAGCTACTCAGGAGGCTGAGGCACAAGAATTGTTTGAACTTGGGAGGCAGAGGTTGCAGTGAGCCGAGATCGTGCCACTACTCTCCAGCCTGGGTGACAGGGCGAGACTCTGTCTCAAAAAGAAAAAAAAAGATTTGAGCAAATGGAAAAGGAGATCCCATACCTGCCCGGAAAGGAAAAATACGAAAGTATTGATTTCTTAATTTATGGATTTTAACCCATTTTTCCATTTGTCCCAAGAATAATCTATTCTCTAATCCTAATGTAACATTATAGACATTTCTGTTACATTAAGATTAGAGACAAGTTCTGTTTAGAAATAACTCCAAGAACCGTTTTATATTTTCTCATATTGAAAATCAGTCAGATTTGCTTCAGCCTCAAAGAACATGTTTATGTAAAATTAAAGGAGTGCTGGCAGCGAGCTGCACTTTTTTTCCTCTGGGAAATGGGTTATGTTTTTAATTAAATTTTTAAATCAATATCTCAATGGGTTTTTTTGTTTTTGTTTTTGCTTTTTTTTTTTTTTTTTTTTTCAAGATGGAGTCTCGCTCTGTCGCCCAGGCTGGAGTGCAGTGGCATGATCTCGGCTCACTGCAAGCTCCGCCTCCCAAGTTCACGCCATTCTCCTGCCTCAGCCTCCCGAGTAGCTGGGACTACAGGTGCCCACCACCATGCCCGGCTAATTTTTTTGTATTTTTAGTAGAGACAGGGTTTTACCGTGTTAGCCAGGATGGTCTCGATCTCCTGACCTCGTGATCCACCTGCCTCGGCCTCCCCAAGTGCTGGGATTACAGGCGTGAGCCACCGCGCCCAGCCCTCAATGGGTTTTATATGAGAGTGAGAGGAGGGAAATATTTAGTTCAACCAGAAAAGGAAACACTCTTCTAAAAGGTGTAATAGGGAAAAAACTAGATTTGCCACTTTATAAAGCATGTTCTTACCAGGCATGAGCTTGTAGTCCCAGCAACTTGGAGGCTAAGGAGGATCACTTGCACCCAGGAGTTTGAGTCCAGCCTAGGCAACACAGTGAGCCCCCATTCTTTTTTTGAAGACAGAATCTCGCTCTGTCACCCAGACTCAAGTGCAGTGGCACAATCTCGGCTCATTGAACCTCCACCTCCCAAGTTCAAGCAACTCTCCTGTCTCAGGTTCCCAAGTAGCTGGGACTACAGGCATGTGCCACCATGCCCGGCTAATTTTTGTATTTATAGTAGCGGGGTTTCACTGTGTTGGCCAGGCTGGTCTCGAACTCCTGACTTCAAGTGATCCAGCCACCTCGGCCTCCCAAAATGCTGGGATTGCAGGCATGAGCCACCACGCCCAGCCGAGCCCCACTTCTTTAAAAACAAAACGACAACAAAAACAAAACTAAAAAAACACATATTCTAAATCTATAAACAGTATGGTACTGGGATAAGATTAAGACACAGAGGACTTGAAATAGAATTGATATCCCAAAAGCAAATTCATGGTTTTGGTTGAATTTAATACCTGATGAAGAAAACATCAAGAATTACTGGGGAAGGAATTGGTTATTCAACAAGTGGAATTCATAAAGTTAAATTCCTACTCAAAAAAAAATCATTTAATGTCCTCAGTCACACCATACACAGTCCTGATGTCCAATTGAGCTCCAAATTCTGATTAAAATGTTATTGTACTCATGAACCTAAAATAAGAGGTTTTTAAAAAAATGTTTTATGAGCCCCACTGTTTCCCACTCCAGGGTTCTTTGGCAGATGGCAAACAGGGCCACAAATTCTTCCTCTTCCATCAACAGGTAAAGACTATATTCTCCCTTTCCCTCCCAGCTCACCTTAGCCAATGGGATGTTAGCACACAAGATGCAAACAGAAACTCAAAAGGCACTTTTGTACTGGAAATTGATCTCTTGCCACTCTTGGAACGCTGAGACTATCATGTAATCTAAGCCCAAACTAGCCAACTGGAGGATGAGCAGCTACAGGGAAGAAAACCAAGGCCTCCCAGCTGACAGCCAGCACCAACCACCAGACATGTGAGTGAGGCCATGCTAGACCATCCAGCTACCAGACAACCCACTGGTTGATCCCAGACATGAGAGAGAAAAGAGCCTGTGTTTGTGGTCAGCTGGTGGGTCTAAACAAGAAAACTTGCCCAGCGACCCAAAGAATCATGAGCTAAGTACATGATTGTTGATTAAGCCATTACGTTTCAGAGTAGTTTGTTACACAGCAAAAGTTAGCTGATAAAAGTTCCATGATTGAACGTGGATACAACAAGTTCCCAGTTTTATGTTTCAGGGTGGTTTGTTACACAGCAAAACTAGCTGATACAAGCTCCATGATTGAACTTGGATACAACAAGTTCTAAGTTCTATGTTTCAGGGTGGTTTGTTACACAGCAAAAATTAGCTGATACAAACTCCATGACTGAACTTGGATACAACAAGTTCCAAGTTGTATGTTTCAGGGTGGTTTGTTACACAGCAAAAGCTAGCTGATACAAGCTCCATGAATGAACTTGGATACAAGTTCCTAGTTCTATGTTTCAGAGTGGTTTGCTACACAGGAAAAGCTAGCTGATACAAGCTCCATGATTAAACTTGAATATAAATTCCAAGGTCTGTGTTTCAGAGTGGTTTGCTACACAGCAAAAGCTAGCTGATTCAAGCTGAGAGCCCTGTGTTGCCCCAGTTAACACACTGCCCCCACCTCATGGCTTAAGTGAATCCAAATAGATTCCCATTACTGGCATTCATGTGTTGACTGAGACACTCAGTGCTGAGCCAGGAAGACAAACTCAGGCTGGGGTTCTCTCCCACGGCCCCTTCCCCATCCTTAATCCACTTCCTCCAAACCCACACCCATTTTACTCCACTTAAGCTGCAATGCACTGTTCTCTGTTCCCAGAGAGGAGAAGCCAGGAAGGAGCTGACACATTCCTCATTCTTGGTGACCCACAGACAAGACACTCTGAGCCCCGGTCAACACACCTACTCCTTCCTTGTTCCTCTTCTCGATTAGATGTACCTATAATAGCCTCTTTGTTGTGATCAACTTTCCCAAGCCACTCCTTCCTCTCTATTCCAGGGACTCTCAAGGGGTGGAGAGGTTGAAAAAACATTCAACGGTATATTTTATATTTAGAGGAAAAAAGAACAAACTCCAAGTAGGGAAGAGGAACTGGATTTTTATTTTTATCGAAAGAGGGGATATACCAGTTCAAAGCTGAGGAAAACCTTGGAGACTGGTTCCCTTATCATGTCCTCATGATAGAAGAAAAAACAGACATTCAGAAAAGCTAGACAATTTGCCCAAGGTCACAAAACAGATATAGGCTTCAAATGCAGGCCTGTCTGACTCCAGAACAATCTTTCATCATGGAATGAAAAGTTCTAAGGCAGAGGTACCCAATACAAGTTTTTGCAGTGATAGCAACATTGTCTGTCTGCATTGTCTAAATATGGTGAGTACAACTGAGGGACAAATATCTAATTTTAATGAATTTCTACTTAAATTGCCACATGTGGCTGTGGCTGGCAGAGCTACCTTAGTGGACAGCGTCATTCTAGAATTTCACTAAGTTGGTTCTATATCACTACCAAAAGCAGGACCCAGACAGGTGCAGTGGCTCATGCCTATAATTCCAGAACTTTGGGAAGCCAAGGCAGGAGGATCACTTGAGCCCAGGAGTTCAAGACCAACCTGGGCAACACAGCAAGACTCCATCTTTTATTTTTTATTTTTTATTTTTTTATTTTTGGAGACAGGGTCTCGCTCTGTCACCCAGGCTGGAGTGCAGTGGCATGATCTTGGCTCACTGCAGCCTCAACCTCCCAGGCTCAAGCAATCCTCCCACCTCAGTCCCCCAGGTAGCTGGGACTACAGGCGTGCACCACCGCGCCTGGCTAATTTTGCAAAAATATTTTTTAAAAATTAGTCAGGCACGGTGGTTCATGCCTGTAGTGCCAGCTACTTGGGAGGCTGAGGTGGGAGGATCACTTAAGCCTGAGAGGTTGAGGCTTCAGTGAGGTGTGATTACATCACTGCACTCCAGCCTGGGCGACAGAGGGAGACCCCATCTCAAAAAAAAAAAAAAAAAAAAAAAGCATGACCCTCAACATACATACCCACCCACCCAGAAGAAGTGGCAACTGAAAGATTTCAGAAAGACTTTAAGGGACAAATAGCATGAGGAAAATGAAGTTATGAGTAAACCTGGGAAAGCCCTTCATAAATATTCTAATGTCCTCTAAAATACAGTAGACAACCCACGCCATTCGACACTTAACTGAGTTAGCAAGAACAAGTTCTGAAGAATGGATTATCCTGGACTATTCCCGGTTGGCCAGAATTTTTTTTTTTTTTTTTTTTTGAGACGGAGTCTCACTCTGTTGCCCAGGCTGGAGTGCAGTGGCGTGATCTTGGCTCACTGCAAACTCTGCCTCCCAGGTTCAAGCGATGGTCTCCTGCCTCAGCCTCCCACGTAGCTGGGACTACAGGCATGCGCCACCACGCCCAGCTAATTAAGTATTTTTAGTAGAGACAGGGTTTCTCCATGTTGATCAGGCTGGTCTCGAACTCCCCACCTCAGATGATCCGCCCACCTCGGCCTCCCAAAATGCTGGGATTACAGGCGTGAGTTACTGCGCCCATGTCCCCCAGTATCTTTTGAAGCCATCCTTTCAAAACTAAAAGTCTGTGAAGAATTACACTTTCCTCTGAACTACATTGACAAATTTAAGACCATCCTCTAACTTTTTTCCTGCATCAAATTCATCCTTCCCTGGGAACCTCTTTCCTTTCAGAGGTTCAGCTATCGCTCTCCCCGTGACATCTGTGATGACGTCTTCTGCCCATTCCATCTTCTTTACCACCAGGAATCCTAAGGTAAACCTCTTGCTTTTTTTCTCACCCCAGTAAAATTCCTTTGCAAATAACCTTCATACCTTTCTCGCTTATAAAAATAATTTTCTTAGCAAAACTTGCCTTCGTCAAGAACACAAAGTTTTGTTATGAAGTTCGGTCTGTGCCCTGTTTGTCAGACACTAAAAAAAGGGAGGCCCGTCGGCACCGTTTTACCGCAGAACCGAATTCCCAGATGGAACCTCATATAGCTTTATCACTCAAGTATGGATCTCTAGACAAATATTTAGTCTGGCCCATTTTTAAAAAATGGGTACACCTGTAATCCCATTGAATTGGGGGAGGCTAGTGTGCCAGAACTGCTTGAGCCCTGGAGTTCAAGACCAGCCTGGGCAATATAGTGAGACTCCATCTGTACAAAAAATAAATTAAAAAAAAATTAGCGGCTGGGCGCGGTGGCTCACGCCTGTAATCCCAGCACTTTGGGAGGCCAAGGAGGGTGGATCACGAGGTCAGGAGATCGAGACCATCCTGGCTAACAGGGTGAAACCCCGTCTCTACTAAAAATACAAAAAATTAGCCGGGCGTGGTGGCAGGTGCCTGTAGTCCCAGCTACTCAGGAGGCTGAGGCAGGAGAATCACTTGAGCCCAAGAGGTGGAGGTTACAGACAGCTGAGATCGCACCACTGCACTCCAACCTGGGCAACAGAGCCAGACTCTGTCTCAAAAAAAAATAAAATAAAATAACTGGGCATGGTGACAGGGGCCTGTAGTCCCAACTACTCTGGAGGCTGAGGTGGGAGGATGGCTTGAGACCAGGAGTTCCAGACTGCTGTTAGCTATGATCATGCTACTGCACTCCAGCCTGGGTGACAGAGCAAGACCCTGTCGAAAGAAAAGAAAGAAAGAAAAGAGAGGGAAAGGAAAGGAAAGGAGAAAAGAAAGAGAGAGGGAGGGAAAAGAAGGAAAGGAAGAAAAGGGAAGAGAGGGGATGGGAAGGAGGAGAGGGGAAGGAGGGGAGGAGAAGAAGGGGAGGGGAGGGGAGAAAAATGAAAGGAAGAGAGAGAAAAAGAAAGAGGAGGGAGAAAGGGAAAGAGGAAGGAGGAGGGAGAGAGGAAGGGAGAGAAGGAAGGGAGGTAAGAAATAAAAAGAAAGCAAGGAAGAAAGAAGAAAAGAAAGAAGAAAGAAAAGGAAGAAAAGAAAGAAAGAAAAGAAAGAGAAGGAAGGAAGGAAAGAGAGAAGGATAAAGGGAGGAAGGGAGAGGGAGGGAGAGAAGGAAGGAAGGGAGGAAATAAAGAAAAAGGAAGGAAGGAGGGAGGGAAGGAAGGAAGGAGAGGAGGGAGGGAGGGAGGGCAGGGAGGAAGAAGATGAGAGTTCGGGCAACCGTGTTTAAAAAACGGTGTGTTTTTCTTTAAAACAAAAGAAAAAGAAAAAAAATCAAAGAACACACCACCACTCAGAGCCATGTGCAAACGAACAGCATCAAGCATGGTCGCCTTTGAAAACAGCTGACTGCAGAGAGTGCTGAAATGGTACTTGTTAAATAAAGTCAGTCCAAGAGGTAGAACCTGAGTGTGACCCTAGCTCTGAGTCTGGAGCTCAGAGGGGCAAGCAGAACTGTCCCAGGAACGTACGATCAGCAACACTCAGACTGGGGACTGCACCCCAAGCCAGAAAGCCCAGCTCTTCAACAGAGAGAAGGTAAAAGGAAAGGGATGGAGGGAGAACCTGTGGACCAGGCTTTCTGCCCCTCAGCACTATTGACATTTGGGGCTGGATCATTCTTTGTGGCTGGGCTGTCTCTGCATTGCAGGACGTTGAACGGCATCCCTGGCCTCCATCTGCTCAATGAAAGCAGTACACACACATTCCCTGGAGTTGTGACAACCAAAAAATATCTCCAGACATTGCCAAATGTCCCCTGGGAGACAAAAAAAATCACCCTCAGTTCAAAACCACTGCTAGAGACCCAAACAAACACATCAATTTATTTTATTGTGTTAATTTTTGAGCCAGGGTCTTGCTCTGTCACGCAGGCTGGAGTGCAATATGCAATCTCGGCTCATTACAGCCTCAACCTTCTGTGCTCAAGCGATCCTCCCACCTCAGCCTCCCGAGTAGCTGGGACTACAGGCATGCACCACCATGCTCGGCTAATTTTTTATTTTATTTTTAGTAGAGATGGGGTCTCACTATGTTGTCCAGGCTGGTCTCCAACTCTTGGCTTCAAGTGATCCTCCCGCCTCAGCCTCCCAAAGTGCTGAGATTACAGGCATGAGCCACCATGCCCGGCCATCAATTTTTTTTTTTAATGGGCAAAGCTAAATATTTGTCTACAGATTCACACTTGGGTGATAAAACTATACAGAAAGAAGGAAGTGATGTCTACAAAAGACAGGACAGTGACTACTCTGGGGGAAGAGGCCTGTGACTAGGATGTGGTCCGTGGCATGGCTTTTGGAGGGGGTGTTCTGGCAAAGTACTATTTCTCAACCAGAGTTAGGGATTATATGAGTGTTGACGTTAGAGTGAACCATTAGGCTATTCATTTGTTTGGTGTGGCTTTTCTGAACCTGTGGTTTTTTTATGTAATAAGATAGAATTTTTTAAAGTAAAACCAAAAAAAGAAAAGAAAAAGAAATCTTGATTCCATTAATTAAATATAGAATTACCAACTGACCCAGCGATTCCACTCCTAGGTATAACTTCGAAAGAAGTGAAAATAGCCCAGGTGCGGTGGCTCACGCCTGTAATTGTAGCACTTTGGGTGGCTGAGGTGGGTGGATCACCTGAGGTCCGGAGTTCAAGACCAGCCTGGCCAACATGGCGAAACCCTGTCTCTACTGAAAATACAAAAATTTGCCAGTGCGTAGTGGCGCACGCCTGTAATCCCAGCACTTTGGGAGGTCGAGGTGGGTGGATCACTTGAGGTCAGGAGTTCAAGACCATTCTGGCCAACATGACGAAACCCCATCTCTACTAAAAATACAAAAAAAGTAGCCAGGCGTGGTGGTGTTCACCTATAATCCCAGTTACTCAGGAGGCTGAGGCAGGAGAATCGCTTGAATCCAGGAGGTTGCAGTGAGCTGAGATCACGCCACTGCACTCCAGCCTGGGTGACAGAGCAAGACTCCATCTCAAAAAAAAAACAAATTTAAAGAAAAGGAATCTTGACCACTTTGGATCAAACCCGTCTGCTAGGTTAGTCAATTTATTTGCAAATGAGGAAACTCTTAACATCATCACCACCAATGAGGCAGCCTGGGACAAGAGCCTTGTTCACCAGCCGACGGGCTTTGCAGGTGGTCAGTAAACAACGCCGTGCTTCGCACACCGCGTGTGGACATGACTAGCTGCCAGCGCTTTAAAGCCCATCCTTATCAGACCTCCGAGTAAAAATGTTTTCCTTCCCCAGGTAAGCCCTTGGAAACACTCGGTAATAAAGCCTATTAAACAACCATTCTTTCTGGGCTACACTCAATAAGCCATGGAGTCATTAAAGATCCAAGACCCTCCTCGCCTGGGACAAAACGAGAGGCAAAGAAACTTCTAGGATAAAGAAGCCACAGCCAGGCGCGGTGGCTCACGCCTGTAATCCCAGCACCCTGGGAGGCCAAGGCGGGCAGATCACAAGGTCAAGAGATTGAGACCATCCTGGCCAACATGGTGAAACCCTGTCTCTACTAAAATACAAAAAAATTAGCCGGGCGTGGTGGCGGGCGCCTGTAGTCCCAGCTACTCAGGAGGCTGAGGCGGGGGAATCCCTTGAACCCGGGAGGCGGAGGTTGCAGCGAGCCAAGATCGTGCCACAGCACTCCAGCCTGGTGACAGAGTGAGACTCCGCCAAAAAAAAAAAATAGAAGAAGCCACAGGACCCTCTACCCCAAACCCTCTAGGTAGGTACTTGACAATGGTGGGCTTCACCTACCACATGCCCTACAGTGTAATTTTTTATTTATTTATTTGTTTATTTATTTATTTAATTATTTGATACGAGGTTTTGCTTTTGTCACCCAGGCTGGAGTGCAGTGACGTGATCTCGACTCACTGCAACCTCCACCTCCCGGGTTCAAGCAATCCTCCTGCCTCAGCCCCCCGAGTAGCTGGGATTACAGGTTCCAACCACCAGCCCGGCTTATTTTTGTATTTTTAGTAGAGACGGGGTTTCACCACGTTGGCCAGGCTGGTCTCGAACTCCTGACCTCAAGTGATCTGCCCGCCTCAGCCTCCCCGAGTGCTGGGATTACAGGCGTGTGCCTGGCCCCTCCAGTGCAAATTTGATGATCATGCTAAGTCCAGTGTGTTGAAAGACTTTGGTCCACTTCCCAAACCTGTGATTGGAGGAAGGTGGCCCAATCTGCAGCCACTCCTCGGGCCCCAGGATGATAGGTAACCAGGGAGCAGAGGAGAGCAATGCTTTCAACACTTTCTTGTTTGCTTCCCACTCTTGACATCATTTATGTTTAAAAATGAGCAAACGGGCCGAGTGTGGTGGCTCACGCCTGTCATCCCAACACTTTGGGAGGCTGAGGCTGGTGGATCATTTGAGGCCAGGAGTTTGAGACTAGCCTGGCCAACCTGGTGAAACCCCGTCTTCACTAAAAAATACAAAAATCAGCCGGGCGTGGTGGCATGCCCCTGTAATCCCAGCACTCAGGAGGCTGAGGTAGGAGAATCGCTTGAACCTGGGAGGCAGAGGTTGCAGTGAGCCGAGATTGTGTCACTGTGCTCCAGCCTGGGTGACAGAGCGAAACTCCATCTCAAAAAAAAAAAGAAAAAAGAAAAGAAAAGAAAAAAGGAAAAGGAAAAATGAGCAAACAGGTCGGCCTGGTGGCTGACACCTGTAATCCTAACACTTTGGGCTTCCCAAAGTGGGAGGATTGCTTGAGTCTAAGAGTTCAAGACCAGCCTGGGCAACATAGCAAAATCCCCATCTCTACAAAAAGAAAAATTTAAAAAATAAATTAGCCAGGGATGGTGGTGCGCACCTGTAGTCTTAGCTAATGGGGGAGGCTGAAGCGAGAGGGTCACTTGAGGACAGGAATTTGTGAGCTGCCTGGGAAACATAGCAAGACTCCATCTCTTTAATAAATAAGTAAATAAGTAAATAAAATTAGCTGGGCGTGGTGGCATGCACCCATAGTTCCAGCTACTGGCCAGGCTGAGGCTGGAGGATTGCTTGAGCCCAAAAGGCTGAGGCTGCAGTGAGCTATGATCGCACCACTGCACTGCAGCCTGGGTGACAGAGCAAGACCCCATCTCAAAAACAAACAAACAAACAACAAAATAAAAAAGTAGAGAGGGAAGACAGAGGAAAGGGGAGATAGGATAAGGGGTACAATCTTGAAACTCCAGCACACACATCACCTCCTTTTACTGGGAAATGCACGGTTCTATCTGACACAGGCGCATTGAGAGAAACAGATCACTGAAGGACCTGGGCTGCCAGCCTGACGCACAGGCGCTCGCTGACTTCCTTGGGTCCTCCCCGGGGCATTTCAGGTGTTCAGTCACAAAGAACAGATTTTAATTCTGACAAAGGGTCGGGTGACATGGGAAGTAACCGGTCAGTGAGTATCAGGTAGGAGGAAGGAAAAGAAAAACTTGTCAGGCCAGTCACCAAGTTAGCAGACAGCCAAAGGGAAAGCCGCCTTTCCATTACGATGGATTTTAACTCTACCCGCCTTCTTCCCAAAAGGATTGGGCCAAAAGGTCAGTTTCAACTGATAGCCCTCAGCCTCCCCCGGCCCCCCTCCCCGGTCCCCGCACCCACCCGCTCCAGGAAGCCAGGCAATGGTGGGAATTGTAAATTCGTTATCTTCACCACTCAAGATTTAGACAGCATCATCTCTGGGGCAGCCAAGTGACCACACGGTCAACTGGTCTACCATCTTTCAGCGCAGCCTTGAACCCACCAAAACACTTTCTGCCCACCCATCAGCTTATCTAACCTGATAGTTACTTTGACTTCCTCCCTGACTCAGCAAGGACTTCGGGGACGCAACAAAAAGCCTGGCTCAGCAAGGCTGTCCACTCAGTATTGGTGGAAACAGCCCCTCCTAAACACAGCCCCTGTGTGACCTTCATGACGGCATTGGAGCCCATAAGGACCCTGCACTGGTCCAAGCCTCCCTTCCCGGCATGAGGCACCCTCTTCACTCTTGCCCACAAAACGCCTCTTGGCCTTCTCTTTGCCATTTCATCCACCCGAATACCCTTCCCTCTCACCCTGTCTTTTCTTTTTTTTTTTTTTTCTTGTCTTGTCTTTTCTCTTTCTTTCTTTCTTTCTTTCCTTCCTTCCTTCCTTCTGTTTTTGTTTGTTTGTTTTTGAGACAGGGTCTCACTCTGTTACCCAGGCTGGGGTACAGTGGTGTAATCATAGCTCATTGCAGCCTCAAAGTCCCAGGCTCAAGCGATCCTCCCACCTCAGACTCCTGAGTAGCTGGGACTATAGGCACACAGCACCATGCTTGGCTAATTTTTTAAAATTTTTTGTAGAGATGGGGTCTTGCTATGTTGCCCAGGCTGAGCTCGAATTCTAGGTTCAAGTGATCCTCCTGCCTCGGCCTCCCAAAGTGCTGGGTTTACAGGTATGACCCACCACACCCAACCTCATCTTCTTTCTTTGTGATCCTTGCCACCCAAACCAAAGCACATCTCTGCCACTCCAATCTGGAACAATCTCTCCTCTTTTACAAAGGCCAACGGCAATTCATCTTCAACCCCCGGAAGAGGAGCCGGGAGCCCAGAAACATACTCTCTAGGGTACTTGTTCTTTCCTGCTCTACAAAATCCAATCATCTCCAAAGTGAAAAGTTTGTTTAAAAAATTTCAATCAAATTTTTAAAATTTATTTTATTTTAAAATAAAATAAAAATGAATAAATAAGGGCTGGGCATGGCGGCTCACGCCTGTAATCCCAGCGCTTTGGGAGGCCAAAGTGGGAGGATCACCTGAGGTCAGGAGTTCGAGACCACCCTGGCCAACATAGTGAAACCCTGTCTCTACTAAAAATACAAAAAAAACACAACAATTAGCCGGGTGTGGTGGTGGGCGCCTGTAGTCCCAGCTACTTGGGAGGCTGAGGCAGGAGAATCACTTGAACCCGGGAGGCAGGGGTTGCAGTGAGCCGAGATTGCGCCACTGCACTTCAGCCTGGGCAACAGAGCAAGACTCCATCTCACTAAATAAATAAATAAATAATTCCAATCCTGGCTGGCACAGTGGCTCACACCTATAATATAATGCAACAGTTTGGGAGGTTGAAGCAGGTGGATTGCTTGGGCCCAGCAGTTCAAGACCAGCCTGGGTAACGTGGTGAAACCCCATGTCTACAAAAAATACAAAAATTAGCCAGCATGGTGGTGCGTGCCTGGAATTCCAGCTACTCAGGAGGCGGAAGTAAGCCAAGATTGCGCCACTGCACCCCAGCCTGGACAACAGAGTTGAGACCCTTGTCTCAAAAAGAAAAAACAAGAAAAAAAAATGCCAATCATCTGAGTGAAAAATGAATTACAACTACTGTGGAATTTTTTTCAGTACAGTTTTTTTTGTTTGTTTCTCTCCTAGATTTTTTTTTTAAAGATCTTTGACAACATAAAAGGGAAGAAAGACGAATGAGAGATTCAAGTGGGCCATCATTCACGTTACATGCTCTACCCTACCTTTTTTTTTTTTTTTTTTTTTCTTTTTTTGAGATGGAGTCTCGCTGTGACACCCAGGCTGGAGTGCAGTGGCACAATCTCGGCTCACTGCAACCTCCGCCTCCTGGGTTCAAGCGATTCTCCTGTCTCAGTCTCCCAAGCAGCTGGGATTACAGGTGCCCACCACCATACCCAGCTAATTTTTGTATTTTTAGTAGAGACGGGGTTTCACTATGTTGGCCCAGGGTGGTCTCGAACTCCTGACCTCAGTTGATCCACCCACCTTGGCTTCCCAAAGTGCTGGGATTACAGGCCTGAGCCACCGTGCCCGGCCTCCCCCACCTTATCTTTTTCTTTTTGTTGGATCCCCGTGTGCAGGCGTTACACTTTCCTGTCTTCTGTATGGACGACAGTGACATCGCCACAAGGGAATTTATCAATATTCCCTGTTATCTAGAGAACATCATGATTTCCAGGTGCTCTGCTCCAAACACGTCTAGAAGCACGGGTTCGATGACTCACTCGAAGGGGAAAGGCGGGGTGGGAGGAGGGAGGAGGGTGGAGTGGGGGCCTTGCCTTGTACATATACTGCCCTCCTCCACCCAAACAGAGAGCTCCAAAAAAAAAAAAAAAAAATGCTAATCATCTGAGTGAAAAATGAATTACAACTACTGTGGAATTTTTTTCAGTACAGTGCTCTACCCCACATTTTTTTTTCTTTTTTTCTTTTTTGAGACAGAGTCTCAAAAAGTAAGGAAGGAAGGAAGAAAGGAAGGAGGGAAGAAAGAAAAGGAAAGAAAGGAAGGAAAGAGGGAAGGAAGGAAGGAAGTACCAGCAAAGGGCAGCTGGGCTGTATGGCCTCAGGCCGTGGTGCTCCCAAGTCCCACTGAAACAGCCTCTATCCCTGAATGCTGAATGTCCAGCTCATATATAGACAGAGTCTCACCCTGTCACCCAGGCTGGAGTGCAGTGGCGCAATCTCCACTCATTGCAACTTCCGCCTCCCAGGTTCAAGTGATTCTCCTGCCTCAGCCTCCTGAGTAGCTGGGATTACAGGTGCCCGCCACCACGCTCAGCTAATGTTTGTACATTTTTTAGTAGAGATGGGGTTTCTCCATGTTGGCCAGGGTGGTCTTGAACTCCTGGCCTCGAGTGATCTGCCCGCTTCGGCCTCCCAAGGTGCTGGGATTACAGGCATGAGCCACCATGCCCGGCCAAAAATGTGAAAAAGCATTCTTAAGCCAGGCAAGCACAGTGGCTCACGCCTATAGTCCCAGCACTTTGGGAGGCCAAGAAAGGAGGATTGCTTGAACCCAATTGTTTGAGACCAGCCTGGGCAACATAGCAAGACCCCATCTCTACTAAAAAAATAAAAAGAAATTAGCTGGGCGTGGTGGTGCCTGCCTGTGGTTCCAGCTACTGAGGAGGCTGACTGAGGTGGCAGTGGCCTATGATCACCCCACTGCACTCCAGCCCAGGCGACAGAGTGAGACCCCATCTCTAAAAATAAAAATAAAATAAAAAATTCTTAGCTCATAGGTCATACAAAAATAGCAGCTGGCGGACTGGATTTGGCCCACAGGTCGTAGTTTGCTGATCACTGGGCAAAGGCCTTACGTCAGACAAGTCTGAAGTCAAACCATTCCCCAGCTAGGTCTCCTAGAGCAAGTCTCATAATTCCTAGCCATGCCTCAGTTCCCTCTTCTGTAAAATGAGGATAACAAACCCTCATAGGCTGTGATGGGATCCCCTAAGGCATTGCTTAGCACATAGTAAGTGCTCAGTAAACACTAGCTATTGATGAGTGTTAAGGATGTCATTGTCAACTGTGAGCCAGGTACTATGACAGGTGCTTGAGATACAACAAAGTCCCTGCCTTCAGGAGAGCTTAGTCTGATAGGAGAGGCCCTAAGTCAAGACAGAATGAGAAGGCTGATAAGAAGAGGCAACACACATGTTGGCAGGGGCAAATTCTAGATTTCCTCTCCAGTTTCTTTTCCTTCTTTCCTTCCTTCCTTCCCTCCTTCCTTTCCTTCTTCCTTCCTTCCTTCCCTCCTTCCTTTTTTTCTTTCCTCCTTCCTTCCTTCACTCCTTCTTTCATTTCTCCTTCCCTCCTTTCCTTCCCTCCTTCCTTCCTTTCTTTCTTCCTTCCTTTCTCCTTCCCTCCTTCTTTCCTTCCCGCCTTCCCTCCTTCCTTCCTTCCTTTCTTTCCTTTTATTTCTTCCCTCCTTCCTTTTTTCCTTCCTTTTCTTTTCTTTCTTCCCTCCTTCCTTCCTTCCCTCCTTCCTTCCTTTCTTTTTACAGTTTCCTGCATTTCACCAACTTCCCGCAATGACATCTATAAGACACAAAGGTAAAGAGCTTGGATTCTGAGCCAGAATCCCCAGCTTCAAATCCCATCTCCACTACTTACTACCCATGTGTGTGGGGTGCGCGGCGGAAGGGGTGGGCGGGGCAGTGTTGGAAGTAGAAGTTGCTTAACCTCTCGAAGCCTTAGTGGTCTCAACAATAAATAAGATTGTTGGGAAGATGGGATGCAATATCCTAATCAAAGCACCCAGAACCACGGCTGGCATGAAATCAGCATTTGCCACAAAGACAATTCCGATTGTTAAAATACCAAGGCAAGCCCAGAGTAGTGGTTCACACCTGTAATCCCAGCACTTTGGTAGGCCAAGGCAGGCGGATCACTTGAGGCCAGGAGTTCAAGACCAGCCTAGGCAACATGGCGAAACCCCATCTCTACTAAAAATACAAACATTAGCCAGGCATGGTGGCACGTGCCTGTAATCCCAGCTACTCAGGAGGTTGAGGCAGAAGAATCGCTTGAACCCAGGAGGCGGAGGTTGCAGTGAGCTCAGATCATGCCACTGCACTCCAGCCTGGACAACAGAGCGAGACTCTGTCTCAAAAAAAAAAAAAAGAAAAAGAAAACAAAATCAAGTCAAGTCCAGCGTGGTGGCTCACATGTGAAATCTCAGCACTTTGAGAGGCTGAGGTGGGGGGATTCCTTAGAGTCCAGGAGTTTGAGACCGACCTGAGCCACATAGCAAGACTCCCATCTCAATTTAAAAAAATATTAAAAACTAAATAAAAATGTAAAAAAATAAAATATCAAGGCAAACTTTTTAAATGGAAGAAGAAAAAGAAGCAGAGAGTTTCCATAGGCAGCTAAAAATTCTGCCAAAAATCAAACCCTCCAAGAGCATGCATTTAAACTCGTGCATTTAAATACGTGATATTTAATGTGGTAGGCACAATACCACACTTTGAGAGACTTTGACTCGGAGCTGTAATCTCAGACCCAGGGAGGAGGGATTTGCTGCTTTCAGCCTCCCCCTCCTGCTTTGGTGCCGACGTCCATATGTGGCATCTCGGGTTGGTTTCCCCTGGCACCCAGCATGTCCCGGCCTCACCCACCCCTCTGGCCGGCAGTGAGCAGCTGGGGTGACCTCCCAGAAAGAAAATGCCAGTGGGTTTGGCTAAAGCAGCTGGTCAGGCAAGCCCTGTGGCTTCTGGTCCCCTCAAAATGCCCAGAGCTGAGAATTTCCAGAGCATCCCATGCTGTTGGCACCCAAAAATCAGGGTGGTCTTCCCTCTGGGGCTGGAGGTGTGGCACCCATCCCTCATCAGCAGGTCGCAAGATACATGTTCCTCTGCCTGCCTCAAAACCAAAGTCAGAAATGAGGCTGAGCCCTGGTAGATATTCACCTGGAAGCTAGTCTGCCCAGATAGGGTGGGCCCATGGTGCTTACTTACTGGAAGCTTCCAGGACACTCACGGAGCACCTGAGGCTAGGTTAAGTGCCTCCCCCTGCACCATCTCATTCAACCCCCACACCACCACCCTAAGAAGCAGGTCCCATAATGACCCCCATTTTTCAGATGGAGAAACTGAGGCTTGAACCAGCTTGTGACCAGTCAATGGTAAAACGAGACTGGAAGCCGGTGCTGCTTGCCTCAAAGAACTTCTTTTTTTTTTTTTTAAAGACAGAGTCTCACCGAGTCTCACTCTGTCGCCCAGGCTGGAGTGCAGTGGTGTGATCTCAGCTCACTGCGACCTCCGCCCCCGGGGCCCATGCGATCCTCCCACCTCAGCCTTCCAAGTAGCTGGGGTTACAGGCACCTGCCACCATGCCTGGCTAATTTTTGTATTTTTTGTCGAGACGGGGTTTCTCCATGTTGCCCAGGCTGGTCTCGAACTCCTGAGCTCAAGCAGTCTGCCCTCCTCGGCCTCCCAAAGTGCTGGCATTACAAGCATGAGCCACCGCGTCCAGCTGGCTGAACTAATGTAGATCTCCCTCTAACTCTCCCCCTCTTCTGAGTGTACTTGGTTTGATCGTGAACATCTGCATTTGCCACTAGACTGGCCGCTCTGAGGAGGCAAAGGCTGGCTCCCTTCCTATGCCCTGAGCGCCCCAGAACATGACACCTAGTAGGCAGTCAATAAACGAACTGCATAGACCCCGTCTCCACTCTTCCCATGTAAGGCTTCGTGCATTGGACCTCTCCTGGTATCTTTGCCCCAAATCCATTGCAGGATAATGGAGAGAGGGTGTCCAGGCTATGGATCATTAGCACATGCCATGTTTTTTTGTTTTTCTTTTAATTCCCCTAACCATTTTTTTTTCTTTTTTTAAAAAATGGAGTTTCACTCTGTCGGCCAGGCTGGGGTGCAATGGCACGATCTCAGCTCACTGCAACCTCTGCCTCTCGGGTTCGAGTGATTCTCCTGCCTCAGCCTCCTAAGTAGCTGGGATTACAGGCGCCCACCACCACGCCTGGCTAATTTTCATATTTTTAGTAGAGACAGCGTTTTGCTATGTTAGCCAGGCTGGTCTCGAACTCCTGACCTCAAGCGATCCACCTACCTCGGCCTCCCAAAGTGCTGGGATTACAGGTGTGGGGCCTCCACACCCGGCCCCCTTAACCATTGAAAGCCTTTTTTTGGTCTCCCTGTAAAAAGTGCTTAAGGGACAGGTAGAAGAAGGGGTGGATGTTGCTCGGAATTGCTTAAACTAGGTCCAAAGGACAAACCAGCACCTTCATCCTAAATGTTGATGCATTCCCCTGATGCTTCCAGAAGCTGCCAAGTGTGGAAGACAAAAATAGCAACTACGGATGTTCACAGAAGTATCTGAAAAGACTCTGGGGGAAAAGAGGGGTTGATGGATAGTTTTCTCCAGCCCATTTCTGTCACCTAAGACAGGGGAGTATCCTCTGAAGGCTCAATCTATTCTGTATTCAAAAATCCCATCAGACATCAAATAAGCCTCCTAAGGCTGGGCGCGGTAGCTCACGCCTGTAATCCCAGCACTTTGGGAGGCCGAGGCCAGTGGATTATCTGAGGTCAGGAGTTCAAGACCAGCCTGGCCAACATGGTGAAACCCCATCTCTACTAAAAATCCAAAACATTAACTGGGCGTGGTGGCAGGTGCCCGTAATCCGAGCCACGCGGGAGGCTGAGGCAGGAGAATCGCTTGAACCCGGGAGGCAGAGGTTGCAGTGAGCTGAGATCGCACCATTGCAATCCAGCCTGGGCGACGAGAGCAAAACTCCGTCTCAAAAAATAAATAAATAAATAAGTTTCCTAAAGCCTCAGCAACAAGGTTAATGCAGGCATTGAAAAGCTAGATGCGTCAACAGCAGTGGCCCTGATTCACAATGGCAGAAATGTGAAAGCGACCAAGTGCCCGTAGATGGATGAATACACAGGCAAAATGTGCTCCCTCCATACAATGGAACATGATTCAGCCTTAAAAAGGAAAGAATTTCCGACACAGGCTACCACGTGGATGAACCTTGAGGACAACATGCTCAGTGAAATAAGCCAGGCACAAAAGGATAAATCCCGTCTGATTCCACTCACAGGAGGTCCCTACAGTCATCACATTCATAGAGACAGAAAATAGGATGGTAGGTGCCAGGGGGCTGGGAGAGGGAGATGGTGGAGTGAGTGTTTCATGGGGACAGAGTTTCAGTTTGGGAGGATGAGAAAGTTTGGGAGATGGTGGTGGTGATGGTTGCAAAACCACGTGAACGTGCTTAATGCCACTGAAAACTGTGGACTTAAAATGGTTAAGATGGGGCCAGGCGCGGTGGCACTCACCTGTAATCCCAGCACTTTGCGAGGCTGAGGTGGGTGTATTGCTCGAGGCCAGGGGTTTGAGACCATCCTGGCCAACATGGCAAAGCCCCCTCTGTCCTGAAAATACAAAACTTAGCCGGGCATGGTGGCTGGTGCCTATAAGTCCCAGTCACTCGGAAGGCTGAGGCAGGAGAATCATTTGAATCCAGGAGGCGGAGGTTGCAGTGAGCTGAGATCACACCACTGCCCCCCAGCCTAGGTGGCAGAGCAAGACTCCATCTCAAAAAAAAAAAAAGTTAAGATGAAAAATTTATTCTATGTGTATTTTATCACAATACAAGAAATTGAAGAGGGGAAAGAAAGCTGAAGCTGAGTTGCTCTCAAAGACAGGGGCAACAGTTCAAAAAACAATCATTTTTTGGCCCCCTGGGGATACTGCTACTAATGGATGGCTGAGATATATACCACATGCCAGGAACCCGGTACCCCGGGAAGTGTTAGTCGCACCTTCTCCGGGTAACAAAACCCCCAGTACTGGAAAAACAAGCCCGGTTCTTTTTATTGTTTTGTTTTGTGTTCATTTTTGTTTTTGTTTTCTTTTGTTTTTGAGATAGAGTCTCAGTTTGTCACCCAGGCTGGAGCTCAGTGGCATGAACAGGGCTCAGTGCAGCTTCGACCTCCTGGACACAAAAGCCTGGTTCTTAATAGCAAAGCAATTTTTAATTCACTCAAAACATCAGGCACAGCCAGGCACAGCCAGGCACAGTGGCCGATGCATGTAATCCCAGCACTTTGGGAAGCCGAGGTGCTTGAGCTCAGAAATTTGAGACCAGCCTGACCAACATGGCCAAACCCTGTCTCTACAACATACACAAAACTTAGCTAGGTGTTGGCCAGGCACGGTGGCTCACCCCTGTAATCCCAGCACTTTGGGAGGCCAAGGCGGGCAGATCACCTGAGGTCGGGAGTTCGAGACCAGCCTGGCCAACATGGAGAAATCCCATCTCTACTAAAAATACAAAATTAGCTGGGTGTGGTGGCGCATGCCTGTAATCCTAGCTACTCGGGAGGCTGAGGCAGGAGAATCGCTTGAAGCCAGGAGGCAGAAATTGCGGTGAGCCAAGATCATGCCATTGCACTCCAGCCTGGGCAACAAAAGCGAAACTCCATCTCAAAAAAAAAAAAAAAAAAGTAGCCGGATGTGGTGACACCTGTAATCCCAGCTACTTGGGAGGCTGAGGCAGGAAAATTGCTTGAACCTAGGAGGTGGAGGTTGCAGTGAGCCGAGATTGTGCCACTGTACTCCAGCCTGGGTGACAGAACGAGACTCTGTCTCAAAAACAAACAAACAAACAAACAACAGCAACAACAACTGAACACCCAGCAGGGAGCAGGAGACTCAATTGCAGATAACACCATTCTGGATATTTTGTCTAAAACAGATACAAAAATAAATTCATAGAGGAATGTCTTAAATTATATCTCAAGATAGGTAGGCCTAGAGCTTTTCAAACAAGCACTACATTTGGAAAACTCAGTAATAGAATAAAAGAATGTTCACTGTTTCCCCTGGTGTCCCAGCTAGAAGCAGCTCACTTGTTTCTAAACAGAGAGGACATCCTTCCCACTCCTCCAAAAAATCATAGCTTTTATTCTGGTGTATGTCTTGCATAAATTTGGCACAAACCCCAGTTCTGTCTTTTATTAGCTGTGTGGCTCTGGGCAAGTTAAGTAACCTCTCTGGTCATAGTTTAGCTTCTCCTTGCCCCTGACCTACAATATTCTCAGGATTTTTCCACAGTGCAATAATAACGGTCCCCTCTCCCACCACCCTTCACTAACCCATCTTCCTTTTTCAACTATCCCACTCCCGATTTCCAACCATCCAACATGTCCCATGGAAGGACTCATGCTGGGGGCTCCAAGGGAGTCCTCACAGACAATTCCAAGGATTCTATTTAGGTCTATTTAAGGACTCACTCACTCTGGGTGGCTTCCCCAGAGCGTTGGGCTCAGATAAGAAGATCCTCCTTTCTCCCCTCCCTTCTATCTTTTGTGATACAACCCTCAAGCCACCCACTTAACTTCTTCCCACCTCCATCGCATGTTCCCTAGTTCTTCCCAGGGAAATGTGAAAAGAAGTCCATGAAACAACAAACAAGTAATGTGTGAATGTGGAATTGCCTCCTTGAGCATGAAAACATGATAAAACTACCATGATCAGAACAGTCACTACCATGATCAGAACAGTCACCGCTCTGTGGCATGGAGAGGCAGATCTATGGACACACCAGAAACAGACCCCAAAGCAATGGCAAAGAGGTAGATTTCTATAATCAACAGCTGTCTGAGGCCCCCAGTTAGCTATTTGGGAGAGAAACGAAACGCCCGTTGAGTCACACACACAAACAGATCTCAAGTAGTGAGGATGAATTTTTTTAGATAATAATAATTAAAATATAGGCTGGGCGCGGTGGCTCACGCCTGTAATCCCAACACTTTGGGAGGCCGAGGTGGGTGGATCACCTGAGAGTTCGAGACCAGCCTGGTCAACGTAGTGAAATCTCGTCTCTACTAACAATACAAAAATTAGCTGGGCTTGGTGGTGGGTGCCTGTAATCCCAGCTACTTGGGAGGCTGGGGCAGGAGAACCGCTTGAACCCGGGAGGCAGAGGTTGCAGTGAGCCGAGATTGCACCATCGCACTCCAGTCTTAACAACAAGAGTGAAACTCCATCTCAAAAAAAAAAAAAAAATTAAAATATAAAATGTAGAGAAAAAAAACCTTTCATGGGTAGAAGAAGACTTTCTAAGTGTAAAGTACAGAAGTGGCACACTGAAATCCAGCTCTGAACTCCATAAACATTTTAAGCTTCTCCAGCAAAACACTTCCCAGAGCATTTAAACCACTGAACAACAAAAACAACAAAATGCAATTGGCAAAGGGTTAGTAGCCTTCACTGATGAAAACCACATACAGATTAATTTTGCAAAAGCTACTGAGGTACTAAAAGACAAATGGGCAAAGGATATGAACAGGAAGAGAAAACTCAAATGATAAATAAACATGTTTTAAAAGGTTCAACCCCGATAGCAATCAAAGAAATGCAAATAGAAACAATGACAACACGTCAGCTCCTCCCTCCCGCAGTAAATTATGAAAGATTTTTCAAATAACACTCAAAGCTGGCCAAGGTGTTCCCTCTCCTCCAAAGCTAGGAGGAGTGGCCGTTGGCACAACATTTCCGGAACACCATTTGTCAATCTGCACCAAGAGCCTCTGACCCAGAAATTGCACTTCTGGAAAGCAAGCCTAAAGAAACAACTGCTAGATAAAGCTTTGACTCTAAAATGTTCATCACTCTCTTTGTGAAAACTAGAAATTATCTTTTTTTTTTTTTTTTTTTGAGAAGGAGTTTCCCTCTGGTTGCCCAGGGTGGAGTGCAATGGCACAATCTCGGCTCACTGCAACCTCCGCCTCCCGGGTTCAAGTGATTCTCCTGCCTCAGCCTCCCAAGTAGCTGGGACTACAGGCGTGCACCGCCACGCCCGGCTAATTTTGTATTTTTAGTAGAGATGGGGTTTCACCGTGTTGGTCAGGTTGGTCTCGAACTCCTGACCTCAAGTGGTCCACCCGCCTCAGCCTCCCCAAGTGCTGGGATTACAGGCCTGAGCCACCGTGCCCGGCCTGGAAATCATCTTAATGCCCAATAACAGGAATGGTTAAGGAAACCTTCAGTAGACACGACAGATTCCTGAAGATCACTAGAAGGAACAACCCCCAATAAACTACTCTCGGCGACATGCGTTGTGGAATAAGATGAATGTTTTGCTTTTTTTTCGTTTACAAGTGTCTTTTTCCAAATGTCTATTATAAGCAATATCACTTCTATAATCAGATAAGAACTAAACTATTTTTTTAAAAAAACCGAATCTACAGTTTTCCACTCCTTTTCCTCTCCCAAGCAAGAAGAACATTCACTGACTAGCACAGGCGGTGGCAAACTGCTGCCCTCGAGCAAAATCCGGCCCACGACTTGTTTTTGTAAATAAAGTTTTATTGAAACACAGCCACAGTCATACATTTATGCATGCCTGTGGCTGCTTGTCCAATACAGTGGCAGAATTGAGTCGTTGCATCAGAGACCATATGGCCTGCAAAATCTGAAGTATCTACTATCTGAGTCTTTACAGAAAATGTCTGCCACTCCCTGGGCTAGTGAATGCCACCACCCACTATTCCCCGGCCCCTACCTAATGACCATTTAACATTTTTAAGCCATAAAACATTTTAAGCTTTCTAGAACAAGGCACGAGACACTGCTTAGAACCCTGTATCCCCGGCGTACCTTTCTGGCAGTGACTATGAGTCCAACATCGTTCGACAAACTGCCCGTTGATGACGGTGGCGGGGCAGTTGGTCTTGCCCTTCGCGGTACCCGGACAGATGTCTCCACACTCCTCGTTGTCATCTTTGTTCAACACGATGTAATTATCCTCCACGGAATCCAGGATACGGGACCAGTCGATAGTGGCCAAGTAACAGAGCTCATTGTTCTTCTCGATGCGGACAGAACCCCGGGTGATGTTCATCAGGTTGTAGAGGCCGAGTTCCTTGAGGTGAACCATCTCGAAGATGACCAGCGCGTAGTTAAAGAACAGTCGTGATCCCCGGATGACCGTGAGGTTGGGGAACAGGTCCTTCAGGCTCTCGAGCCCATAGACCCGGAAGAGCAGCAAGTAATCAGTGATCATGATGAGTTTGGGGAAACTGAGGTCTCGGAAATCTTCGGGCCTCGTTTTGAACATCAAGAGTATCTGCAAGTGTCCTTCGATGACAGAGCAATTCTCCAGCTCATGCAACCTAGTGAGGTTGTTCCGGATATCCATGCCGGGACACACTACAAGAGAAAATGAACAGAAAGCAAGACAGGTGAGCAGACGCACGGTGGATGCATCAGAAGGATCAGGGGCAGAGCCGGCTTCATGGACAGGAAACCTGGGCCCTGTGTTTTCATCCCGGGCCCTGTAAACTCTGCAGCCAGCCGGGATGAGTAGCTTTCTCTGTAAAGTACCCATGCCTAAGTAATTACTTTCAAAACGCCAAGAAAATAATTCTTTTGGCAAGCCCTGTTAAAATCCTTAAAATCACCACCTCTGAAATGATGCAGTCGGGACAATGGGATTACAGGGGATTGAGTAACGCGGCAGGTGCAGAAGGAGAAAGGGGAACTGTCTCCAGTGCGTCAACATAGAAGATCTTCAGGAGATAATTTACGGGGATAAAGGTGCCCGCGGTCAGAAATGGGGCAAGGAAAGCTAAATGTATTTGTTTTGTCAATCCTCCCACCTCGCTGGCTGACTTTCCTTCCCGGACTGCTCTCCTGACCTGCAATCAAGACCTAATTACCTTTTACCTGGGTGTGGTGAGGGCTTCCCAGGGAGCCCGATCTCCATTGCCCAAATGCCCTGAGTTCTCATTCTCCTGAAGGCGGTCCCTCCCAGGCCCCAACGCCCACCATGGCTCCCCATCATCCTGCACTTCCCTCAAGATTCTGCCCCTACATCCCCTGCACACCACTAAACAGGCCTGCCCACAACTCTTGCACAACTCCAAGACTCCTATCCTCCTCTGTAACATGGCTTATATGGAAGAAGAAGTGAAACAACTCAGGGCAAGCACTCAAACAGTGCCTGAGACATAGTAAGTGCTGCACTAATGTCAGCTATTTTGTTGTTTGTTGTTGTTGTTCTTCTTGCTGTTGTTTATTCCCCCAAACATATAACAGTCATCTCTAGGCTAGTCTATCTTTTGGCTGGCGAAGTGCTTTGTACCTTAGCTCCCTATTTCTAAATCCAGCCCATCATGCTTCAAGATATCCAGTTCAAATGCTGCCTCCTCCTCCAGGCAGCCGTCCCTGATTTCCTTTCCTTGGCACACCTATTTGCGTGTTTCTCCTCCTTGTGTCCCTTACACCTGAGTTAACGTTTTTCAAAATTGAAGTCTTTAGATGGCTTCTCTCTGCCAACACACCCACACACCCACACACACACACACACACACACCGCCTCCCCAACACACACACCACAGTCCTCAGCACCTAGAATATAAGGCTCAGTATACAACCCCTGCTTATTTTGTTCCAAAACACTAAACCTTCCACCAATATCTTTGAGGAAAACAGATTGTTCTAAAGAAGAATAGTAAATCCTCTAAAAAAAAAAAAAATCCACCCTGAGAATTACCCACAAAAGAAGCACAAATTAGAAAAAACAATAACAACGACAAAACACAGCAAAAGCAAACAAATGGGAAAAAAAAAGTAGCAGTGATCCTGGATCACATTCCATGCAGCAAATGGATTAGGCTAAGTCGAGAAAACACACACACACACACACACACACACACACACACACACACACACACACACTTGCTTGCTAGGAAGTTGGAGGAAAGCCCCAGTACACAACTATGGATTAATCTCCACCCTCCCCTCAACACTGGCTGCCTGGGGTCTGAACCAAGCAGGAACCCTGCAGGGACCAAGCTCAGGCTGGGAGGCAGCTTCAAGAGGACAAGGATGCCAGTCCCAGCCCCCCCACCCCTCCTAGTCAGGGACCCAACCCCAGTCTGAGGCTCCCAGTCAGTCACATCAACAGCTTCCACATCCAGAGATGTCAAAGAACCCCGCGTGCCATTGGTGCCTCCCAGCAAGTTCTGTCCCCATCCCATAGATGAGAAAACTGAAGCTCCAAGAGGCAAAGACCATCACTCAAGGACACACAACTCACCAGTGACTGGCAGGGTTGCCAGACTTAGCAAAGAAAAATGCAGAATGCCTAGTTGAATTTGAATTTCAGATAAGCAATAATACCTTTTTGAGGATAAGTATATCCCATGTAATGTTTGGGACATAACTTACCCTAAAAAAAATTACTCATTGTTTCTATGAAATTCTTGTGGGGTTTTTGTTGTTGTTGTTTTGATGTGGAGTCTCGTTCTGTTGCCCAGGCTGAAGTGCAGTGCCGTGATCTTGGCTCACTGCAACCTCCACCTCCTGGGTTCAAGTGATTTTCCTGCTTCAGCCTCCCAAGAAGTGTCCAACACCACGCCCAGCTAATTTTTGTATTTTTAGTAGAGACGGGATTTCACCATGTTGACCAGGATGATCCTGATCTCCTGACCTCGTGATCCACCCGCCTCAGCCTCCCAAATTGCTGGGATTACGGGCATAAACCACCATGCCTGGCTGGCATCCTAATCTTAGATTTGGCCATAGCCCTGGGCTTCTCAACCCTGAGTCCCACACTATATTTCATTTCTCTCTCTCTCTCTCTCTCTCTCACACACACACACACACACACACACACACACACACACACACTGCAGGTAGAAAGAACACTTGGCCGCCATCCTCCCCAGGCTATGGCAGAACCAAAATCAGACATGAATATGCATTCAAAGGTTAACTAGGGCTGGGCACAGTGGCTCATGCCTGTAATCCCAGCAGTTTGGGAGGCCACAGTGAGAGGATCGATTGAAGCCAGGAGTTTAAAGTCAGCCTGGGCAACATAGCAAGACCCCAACTCTAAAAAATAATAATAATAATTAAATATCCAGGCATGGTGGCATGTGGTTGTAATTCCAGCTACTTGGGAGGCTGAGACAGGAGGATCACTTGGGTCCAGGAATAGGAGGTTACAGTGAGCTGTGATCACACCACTGCACTCCAGCTTGGGCAACAGAGTGAGACCTCGTCTCGATTAAAAAAACACAACGGCTGGGCGTGGTGGCCAGCTCATGGCTGTAATCCCAGCACTTTGGGAGGCCAAGATGGGCTGATCACGAGGTCAGGAGATCAAAACCATCCTGGTTAACACGGTGAAACTCCGTCTCTACTAAAAAATACAAAAAAATTAGCCAGGCGTGGTGGCGGGCACCCGTAGTGGCAACTATTTGGGAGGCCGAGGCAGGAGAATGGCATGAACCCGGGAGGCGGAGCTTGCAGTGAGCCGAGATCACACCACTGCACTCCAGCCTGGGCGATGGAGCAAGACTCTGTCTCAAAAAAAAAACAGAAAAAAAGGAAAGATTAACTGGCTGTTGGACATTAGAGAAATACAAATTCAAACCACAGTGAGATACCACTTTATCCCCACTAGGATAGCTAAAACCAAAAAGAGTGACAATTACAAGTGCAAAGAATGTAAAGAAATGGGCCGGGCACCGTGGCTCACACTTGTAATCCCAGTTCTTTGGGAAGCCAAGATAGGCAGATCACCTGAGGTCAGGAGTTCAAGACCAGCCTGGCCAACACGGAGAAACCCCGTCTCTACTAAAAATACAAAAAACAACTAGCTGGGCGTGGTGGCAGGCGCATGTAGTTCCAGACACTTGGGAGTCTGAGGCAGGAGAATCACTTGAACCTGGGAGGTGGAGGTTGCAGTGAGCCAAGATCACTGCACTCCAGCCTGGGCGACAGAGCGAGACTCCATCTCAAAGAAAAAATAAAATGTAGAGAAACTGGTATCCTTTTGCATTCCTGATGGGGATGTAAAACAGTGCAGCCACTGTGGAAAACACTCTGGTAGTTCCTCAAAATATTAAACCAAGAATTGCCATATGACCTGGCAATTCCACTCCTAGGTAACTACCTAAGAGAAATGATACTATACGTCCACACAAAGACGTGTACACAAATGTCTATAGCAGCATTATTCATAATAGCTGAGGCTGAGTGCAGTGGCTCACGCCTGTAATCCCAGCACTTTGGGAGGTAGAGACGGAAGGATTGCTTAAACCCAAGAGTTCAAGACCAACCTGGGCAACATAGCGAGTCTCCATCTCTATAAAAATTTAAAACATTAGCTAGGAATGCTGGTGTGTGTCTCTGGTCCCAGCTACACGGGAGACTGAGGCAGGAGGATCGCTTGAGCCTAGGAGGTCAGGACTGCAGTGATCTGTGTTTGTACCCCTGCACTCCAGCCTGGGCAACAGAGCAATATCTTGTCTCAAAAGTAAATACAGGCTGGCCGCAGTGGCTCACGCCTGTAATCCCAGCACTGCGGGAGGCCGAGGTGGGCGGATCACGAGGTCAGGAGATTGAGACCATCCTGGCCAACATGGTGAAACCCCATCTCTACTAAACATACAAAAAAAATTAGCTGGGCATGGTGGCGAGTGCCTGTAGTCCCAGCTACTTGGGAAGCTAAGGCAGAAGAGTCACTTGAACCAGAGAGTTGGAGGTTTCAGTGAGCCAAGATTGCACCACTGCACTCCAGCCTGATGAAAGAGTGAGACTCCGTCTCTAAATAAATAAATAAATAAATGTAAATAAAAGGCCAGCCACAGTGGCTCACTCCTTTAATCCCAGCGCTTTGGGAGGCTGAGGCAGGTGGATCACCTGAGGTCGGGAGTTGGAGACCAGCTTGGCCAACGTGGTGAAAACCTGTCTCTACTAAAAATACAAAAATTAGCTGGGCGGGGTGGCGCATGCCTGTAATCCCAGCTGCTACGGAGGCTGAGGCAGGAGAATGGCTTGAACCTAGGAGGCGGACGTTGCAGTGAGCTGAGATCGTGCCTTTGCACTCCAGCCTGGGTGACAGAGCAAAACTCCATCTCAAAAAACAAAAAACAAAACCAAAAAAACCCCACGAAACAAAAACAAAAACAAACAAACAAACAAAAACAAAACAAAATTATGCCTCCAGTATAGCTGGAACCACAGACATGCACCACCATGCCCAGCTAATTTAAATTTGTTTTGTAGAGATAGTGGTCTCTCTATGTTGCCCAGGATGCTCTCAAACTCCTGAACTCAAGCAATCCTCCAGTCTTGGCCTCCCAAAGTGCTGGGATTACAGGTATGAACCTTCTCCATAAAAGAAGTCAAACAGAGAAGGCCACATGTTGTCTGACTCCATTCATACAAAAAAATCCGAAAGAGGCAAATCCATAGAGACAGAAAATAGATTCGTGGCTGCCAAGAGCTAGGGAAATGGGGGATGGAAAGTAGTAGCTAGAGGGTACAGGGTTTCTTTGAAGATGATGCAAATATTCTAAAACTGACTGTGGTCACAGTTGCACAACTGTAAATGTCCTCAAAACCACCTAACTGCACACTTAAAATGGGTGAATTGTATGTCATGTGAATTCTGTCTCACTAAAGTTGTTATGAGTAAAGATTAAACAGCTATAATTGTAGGGAACAATCAAGAATTGCTTTTCTTTTTAAATATCCTATGAATCTAACTCTTAATTCATTAAAGCCGTATGTGTCCCTATTAGTGAAAGACAATAGAGCAGTTTACCACTGGGACAGAAAATACCCAGAGGATGTTAGAAATGAAGGCAGAAATAGACACGAGGACTTCTGCTGGCTTTTAACATCTCTGAGTGGGCGTGAAGGATGCTTCAAGTTCTTCATAATGGGTACCTGGTTAATGGCCACTCTTTGTACAGGTAGAAAAAGGCAATGAGGAAGAGGGTGCTAAGTGACAGCTAATATTTTCTTTTTTCTTTTTTTTTTTTTCTTTAATTGAGACTTGAGTCTTACTCTGTTGCCCAGGCTGGAGTGCAGTGGCATGATCTTGGCTTGCTGCAAACTCCACTTCTGGGGTTCAAGCAATTCTCCTGCCTCAGCCTCCCGAGTAGCTGGGATTACAGGCGTGTGCCACCACACCTGGCTAATTTTGTATTTTTAGTAGAGATGGGATTTCATCATGTTGGCCAGGCTGGTCTCGAACTCTGACCTCAGGTGATCCGCCCACCTCGGCCTCCCAAAGTGCTGGGATTACAGGCGTGAGCCACCGTGCCTGACCACCATCTCCGTACTAAAATATGCCGAATGGGCCAGGTACCATGGCTCACACCTGTAATCCCAGCTACTCAGGAGGCTGAGGCAGGAGAATCGCTTGAACCCAGGAGATGGAAGTTGCAGTGAACTGAGATCATCCCGTCGCACTCCAGCCTAAGTAACAAAGCAAGACTCCATCTCAAAATAAATAAATAAATAAATAATTCCCACATATAATCAATCCTAAAAAAAAAATGATTAATGAGATAGTCCACAGCAGTGGTCCCCAACCTTTTTGGCACCAGGGACCAATGGTAGAAGACAATTTTTCCACGAACACGGGATGGGTGGTGATGGTTTTAGAATGAAACTGTTCCACCTCAGATCCTCAGGCATCAGTTAGATTCTCATAAGGAGCAGGCAACCTAGATCCCTTGTATGCACAGTTCACGACAGGATTCGAGCTCCTATCAGAATCTAATGCTGCCATTGTTCTGACACGAGGCGGAGCTCAGGCGGCAATGCTCACCTGCCCTCTGCTCACCTCTACTGTGCAGCCCAGCTCCTAACAGGACATGGACTGCTACTGGTCTGTGGCCTAAGGGTTGGGGATCCCTGGTCTGCAGGATTTTTTTCCCATGACGCCTACGAGATGTGGTGTGTGCTTTACCCTGGCAGCCCATCTCGAAACGGAGGCTCATTTTTCTTTAAAAATAATTGATTTGTCGCCCAGGCGTGGTGGCTCACGCCTGTAATCCCAGCACTTTGGGAGGCCGAGTCGGGTGGATCACGAGGTCAGGAGATCAAGACCATCCTGGCTAACCATGTGAAACCCCGTCTCTACTAAAAATACAAAAAAAAAATAGCTGGGCATGGTGGCAGGTGCCTGTAGTCCCAGCTACACTCGGGAGGCTGAGGCAGGAGAATGGCGTGAACCCAGGAGGCGGAGCTTGCAGTGAGCCAAGATCAGGCCACTGCACTCCAGCCTGGGCAACAGAGTGAGACTGTGTCTCAAAAAAAAAAAAAAAAAATTGATTTGTCTATGTAGATTTTATAAAGAGTATCATCGAAAATGTAGGTTTGATGTAGAAGAGGCAAGCCCCAAAATTGAGCCTTACCCCGGGAGGGTTTTTGGCTTCACCCAGGAAAGAATTCGAGGGTGAGCTGGTGGTGTTAGACAGCACTTTTTTTTTTTTTGGTCAGAGAGGGAGTTTCACTCTGTTGCCCAGGCTGGAATGCAATGACATGATCTCGGCTCACTGCAACCTCTGCCGCCTGGGTTCAAGTGATTCTCCTGCCTCAGCCTCCCGAGTAGTTGGTATTACAGGCATGCACTACCACATCCAGATAATTTTGTATTTTTAGTAGAGACAAGGTTTCACCATGTTGGCCAGGCTGGTCTCGAACTCCTGACCTCAGGTGATCCACCTGCCTTGGCCTCCCAAAGTGCTGGGATTACAGGCGTGAGCCACTGCGCCCGGCCAGCCCTGTCCTTGTGGCTAGTCCTCCATTTGGTCCAGGGCTGGATCCCCGCCTCTGGAGACGAGTCCCGCCTACTACCTCAAGTTCACATAACCAAGTTGTTCCAAATATATGGGAGAGTTTTCCAGTAACAGAACTGAGTACTAATTTTTTTTACATTTCCATGAATTAAATAAAAGTTTACATTGACATTTCAATGAATTAAAGTGAAAATAAAATTCAGTTTCAGCCAGGTGCGGTGGCTCACGCCTGTAATCCCAGCACTTTGGGAGGCCAAGGCGGGTGGATGACCCAAGGTCAGGAGTTTGAGATCAGCCTGGATAACATGGTGAAACCCCGTCTCTACTAAAAATACAAAACTTAGCGGGGTCGGGGGAGTGGCGCATGCCTGTAATCCCAGCTACTAGGGAGGCTGAGGCAGGAGAATCGCTTGAACCTGGGAGGCAGAGGTTGCAGTGAGCCGAGATTGTGCCATTACACTCCAGCCTGGATGACAGAGCGAGACTCCATCTCAAAAAAAAAAAAAAAGAATTCAGTCTTACCAGCCACAACTTCCAGGGCTCAAGAGCCACCCGTGGATGGTGGCTGCCATATTGGACAGAGCAGATACAGAGTATTTCCATCAAAGCAGAGCTGTATTGGACCGTGCTGGTCCTGAATCTGAGAATTTTCCAGAAGGAGAGAAGGCGGACATGAGAGCCATCTTAGGAAGTGTTCCTTTCTTCCCTGATTTTCTCTCCATCATGAAAACAGCAGGGGAGATGGGTTGGGAGCAGGGCAGAGAAAGAACTTTCTAGAAGATTCTGAAATCCTTTACAATGCTAAGAGTTTTCTACTTCCTGTTTTCAATCATAAAGGTCCTTGTTCTTCAGTTACAGGATTTTTTTTTTGAGACAGAGTCTTGCTATGTTGCCCAGGCTGGAGTGCAGTGGTGCAATCATAGCTCACTGCAGCCTCAAATTCCTGGGCTCAAGTGATCCTCCTGCCTCAGCCTCCCAAGTAGCTGGGACTACAGCTGCGTACCACCATGCCTGGCTAATTTTTGTATTTTTTGTAGAGATGGGGTTTCACCATGTTGCCCAGGCTGGTCTCAATATCCTGGGCTCAAGCAGTCCTGCGTCGGCCTCCCAGTGTGCTGGGAGTATGGGTGTGAGCCATCAAGCCCGGCCAGTAACAGCATTCTTAAAATGCTCCCTGCTGACCTATTCTGGGGCCCACACGTCCCTTTCCACATTCTTTCCAGTCCTCAAACTGCTTCCTCTTAAATTCAGGAGGTCCTGCCTCAACAAGTCTTGGGTTCTGGTGTCAGGCCACCACCTATACCAGTTTTGGGGCACACTAGAAATCTAACGAATCTGGCTTCCCAACCCAGCTCTGTCACCTGTCAACTGTGTGATCCTGGACAACATCTTCAACCCCTCTGCACGCCTTAGTTTCCTTTTTATTTATTTATTCATTTATTTATTTTTATTTTTGAGACGGAGTCTCACTCTGTCTCCCAGGCTGGAGTGCAGTAGCGTGATCTCGAATCACTGCAACCTCCATCTCCCGGGTTCAAGCGATTCTCCTGCCTCAGCCTTTTGAGTAGCTGAGATTACAGGCGCCCGCCACCACGCACAGCTAATTTTTGTATTTTTAGTAGAGACAGGGTTTTGCCAAGTTGGCCAGGCTAGTCTCAAACTCGTGACCTCAGGTGATCCACCCGTCTAGACCTCCCAAAGTGCTGGGATTACAGGTGTGAGCCACCGTGCCTGGCCTCAGTTTCCTTTAAATGATGACAACAGCATAATGAAACCTACAAAGAAGAGATGAGAACTGGGGTCTCTGGCTGTGTATACCTGTTCTGTCTCCCATCTGAGCCAGATGGAATCCATTCCCAGATTTATTACCTCCAGAAATTAGAGCTTGGACACACTGGGGTGTCAGAGATCCTTAAGATTCTCCACCTGCCTGCAAGAATAGCTTTCAAATCTACCTCTGCGAGAAGGAATGGAGGCGTCTGGATCAAATGCAGGTTCTGGACCCGGCAAGTCAGCTACATGGAAATCATTCCTGTATTCACTCAGCAAACGTTTGCTGGGCATCTCGGTGGGCCAGACATTGTGCCAGGCCCAGGGGGACTCTCAAGACAAATAAGGTTGCACTCTTACAGCAAGTAAAGGAAAGACGCACCTAAATAACTGTGATAAGCTACCACCAGAGCTAAAGGACAAAGTACTAAAACAAAGAACTGCAGAGATGTTGGCCGGGTGCAGTGGTCATGCCTGTAATCCCAACATATTGGGAGGCATAGGCGGGTGGACTGCTTGAGTCCGGGAGTTCAAGACCAGCCTGGGCAACTGGCAAAACCCTACCTCTACTAAAAATACAAAACATAGCCAGGCGTGGTGAGGCGCGTCTGTGCTCCCGGCTACTCAGGAGGCTTAGGCAGGAGAATTGCTTGAGCCCAAGAGGTTGAGGCTGCAGTGAGCTATGACTGCACCACTGCACTCCAGCCTGGGTGACAGAGTGAGACACTATTTCTAAAAAAAACCAAGGCCGGACACGGTGGCTCACGCCTGTAATCCCAGCACTTCAGGAGGCCCAGGCGGGCAGATCACTTGAGGTCAGGAGTTCGAGACCAGCCAGGCCAACATGGTGAAACCCCGTCTCTACTAAAAATACAAAAAAATTAGCCGGGCACGGTAGCGCTCGCCTGTAATCCCAGCTACTCAGGAGGCTGAGGCAGGAGAAACACTTGAACCTGGGAGGCAGAGGTTGCATTGAGCCAAGACTGTGCCACTACACTCCAGCCTGGGTGACAGAGTGAGACTCGGTCTCAAAAAAATTAAAAAATAAATTAAAAAATAAAAAATAAAACAACAACAAAAAGAAATGAGAACAGAAGAATGCAGATGGAAACAGTGAACCAGTGAAGACAAAGGATGAAGGAAGAAAACAAGTGTAATCTGTAGGACAGAACTGAAAGAGGACTGTGATGAAACCCTCATCATCCAGATCATAGTCCTTCCAGAAACTTATCATGTCATTAGTCTCAGAAGATGTACCGAGGACATCTTTGGAACAAACCAAGAAGCCAGCAAGGAGGAAGTCAGTGAAAGCCCTGGGACCTAAAAGCAAAGATGCCCCCTCAGGATTCTTCCTCCTTGGGAGAGAAAGGCAGATACCCAACTCTGGACATTCATAAGGCAGCAATTTCAAAAGGCCGGAGAAGACCAACAATTTCCAGGGATCATGGACCCACCAGGGAGGATGAGCTTGAGAAAACAGGATACCACAGGGTAACCAAAAGAGAGCCACACAGGCTGGGCACAGTGGCTCACGCCTGTAATCCCAGCACTTTGGGAGGTCAAGGGGGGTGGATCACCTGAGGTCAGGAGTTTGAGACCAGCCTGGCCAACATGGTGAAACCCCATGTCTACTAAAAATATGAAAATTAGCCTGGTGTGGTGGCGTGTGCCTGTAATCCCAGCACTTTGGGAGGCTGAGGTGGGAGGATCACCTGAGGTCAGGAGTTTGAGACCAGCCTGGCCAACAAAGTGAAACCCCATGTCTACTAAAAATACAAAAATGAGTCCGGTATGGTGGCGTATGCCTGTAATCGCAGCACTTTGGGAGCCTGAGGTGGGAGGATCACCTGAGGTCAGGAGTTCAAGACCAGCCTGGCCAACATGGGGAAACCTCATCTCTACTAAAAATACAAAAATTAGCCAGGGATGGTGGTGCACACCTGTAATCCCAGCTACTCAGGAAGCTGAAGCAGGACAATCTCTTAAACCCAGGAGGGAGAGGTTGAGTGAGCTGAGATCACGCCACTGCACTCTAGCCTGGGTGACAGAGTGACACTCCATCTCAAAAAAAGAAAAGAAATAAAATAAAATAAAATAAAATAAATATCCCTCTAGACAGGGCACAGTGGCTCACATCTATAATCCCAGCCCTTGGGGAGGCTGACGCAGGAGGATCACTTAAGTCCAGAAGTCTGAGACCAATCTGGGCAACACAGTAAGACCCCATGTCTATAAAAATAAAATTAAAAAATAAAAAAGAAAGAGAGAAACAGCCTTCTGGCAGCAGAATGAAGAAGGTACTGAAGACAGCATGCATAGCACCACAGAAACCAGGGGCAGTTTGTGTGAACAGGACTTCATACCCAGGAGAAATGGAAGAGAAGAGGGAGAAGAGAGTGAGGAGGGATCGTCAATGAGCCTGAAGCATTCGAGATAGGAACAGTTTAGAGTGGCAAGAACAACAGGCTGAGTTGGCAGCATATTGAGTCTGTGAGGGCTTTGGGATACTCAGGGATGTGGGTCCCGTGGGCATTGGGAAGATGGGGGAACAGGTACGGATGCTGGTGGACGCAGTGACAACAGGTGATATTGCAGGAAAGGTAGCACGGAGACAACTGAGAGAAGAAAATGATAGAAAGAGAGGCTCACGCCTGGAATCCCAGCACTTTGTGAGGCTGAGGTGGGTGGACTGCTTGAGCCCAGGAGTTTGAGATTGGCCTGGGTAACATAGCAAAACCCCATCTCTACCAAAAAAAAAAAAATTGGATGGGTGTGGTGGTGTGCACCTGTAGTCCCAGCTACTCGGGAGGTTGAGGATTGCTCGAGCCTGGGAGGTGGAGATTGCGGAGGCCTGACATCACACCACTACACTCCAGCCTAGGCGACAGTGCGAGGAGACCCTGTCTCAAAAACAAAACAAGGCCAGGCACGGTGGCTCACACCTGTAATCCCAGCACTTTGGGAGGCCGAGGCGGGCGGATCACGAGGTCAAGAGATTGAGACCATCCTGGCTAACAAGGTGAAACTCCGTCTCTACTAAAAATACAAAAATTAGCCGGGCGTGGTGGCAGGCGCCTGTAGTCCCAGCTACTCGGGAGGCTGAGGCAGGAGAATGGCGTGAACCCGGGAGGCGGAGCTTGCAGTGAGTCGAGACTGCGCCACTGCACTCCAGCCTGGGCAACAGAGCGAGACTCCGTCTCATAACAAAAAACAAAAAAACAAAACAAAACAAAGGCTGGGTGCGGTTGCTCACGCCTGTAATTCCAGCACTTTGGGAGGCCAAGGCAGGTGGATCACTTGAGGTCAGGAGTTCGAGCCCAGCCTGGCCAAAGTTTGAGACCCGTCTCTACCAAAAATATAAAAAATTAGCCAGGCCGGGCATGGTAGCTCACACCTGTAATCCCAGCACTTTGGGCAGCCGAGGCGGGTGGATCACCTGAGATCAGGAGTTCGAGACCAGCCTAACCAACATGGAGAAACCCCATCTCTACTAAGAATACAAAATTAGCTGGGCATGGTGGCGTATGCCTGTAGTCCCAGCTACTTGGGAGGCTGAGGCAGGAGAATCGCCTGAACCCGGGAGGCGGAGGTTGTGATGAGCCGATATCATGCCATTGCACTCCAGCCTGGGCAACAAGAGCGAAACTCCATCTCAAAAAAAAAAACAAAAAACCCAAAAATTAGTCAGGTATTGTGGTGCACACTTATAATCCCAGCTACTCAGGAGGCTGAGGCAGGAGAATCGCTTGAACCTGGAAGGCAGAGGTTGCAATCAGCCAAGATCGTGCCACTGCACTGCACTCCAGCCTGGGTGACAGAGCGAGACTCGATCTCCAAAAAAAAAGAAAAAAGAAAGAAAGAGGGGCTCCAGGGGGCACAGTATGAAAGGCCAGGGACTAGGAAGGGCACCTGTGTCCCACAGCCACCCGGACACCAACACCTTCTGTGAACTCTGGAATGTCTGACTCCTCTAGTCTATGACATAGTTTTGTAATCCTAACAATATCAAACATCAAACCACAGGATTAGAAGGGGGCTTCCGTGCTATTTCAGGAGTCCTGAAATTTATACAGACAAGAGCAGACAGGACACAGAAGACAGGAGGAAAAACAAGAGAAGTCCTGCCAGACCAGAAAGTCACTTTGTAACAGGTGGTATGGAGACCGTGTAACTGGGTATAATTAGGAGGGAACATATGAGGTCCTCCCTTTTCTGATCTTCTGCAAGGAAACAACAAGATACATCCTTGAGAGTAGAATGACAACAACAAACAAACACACACACACACACACAGACACATACACAGGCAGTCAGAAAACAGTTGTATCCCACCAGGCACAGTGGCTCACATCTGCAATCCCAGTGCTTTGGGAGGCTGAGGCGGGACGATCACTTAAGGTCTTGAGTTCGAGGCCAGCCTGGGCAACACAGCCAGACCCTGTCTCTGCAAAAAATAAAAATAAAAAAACTAGCCAGGCATGGTGGTGCATGCCTGTAGTCCCAGCTACTTGGGAGGAGGAAGCGCGAGAATCATTTGAGCCCAGGAGTTCAGGGCTGCAATGAGCCATAATCACACCACCGCACTCCAGCCGGGATGACAGAGCAAGACCCTGTCTCTAATGATAAGAATAAATGAGATTTTAAAATCAATTTAAAAAAGCAGTTGCATCCCTACTCTCGAGTCCCTTCCTGTCTGACTACTTTTGCCTGCATTGATAAAAAGGGTAATTTTTAGACAGTACCTATGGTTTCCACATTCCCACAAAGGCAAAGGAAATAAGAATCTCATGATAGCATCCTGCCTTTCCTGAACATACATCAGGGGCTTTTATATAAACCTGATGAGATATCCTACTTCTAAGGAACTGGAAGAAAATGCCAGATGTGAAATTAAACATTCATTCCCACAAGTCCGCTTTGAACTCCAACAGGAGCTTAGAGCCAGTCTGTACGTGGCACCGCAGGATAGCAAAGCTTGTTCTGCTGGAAACAAAATATGTTTCTAAAACCCCGCGAGCCGGCGGGGCACGGTGGCTCACACCAGTAATCCCAGCACTTTGGGAGGCCGAGGTGGGTGGATCATTTGAGGTCAGGGGTTCAAGACCAGCCTGGCCAACATGGTGAAACCCTGTCTCTACTAAAAATACAAAAATTAGCTGGGCGTGGTGGTGTACGCCTGTAATCCCAGCTACTCGGGAGGCTGAGGCAGGAGAATTGCTTGAACCCAGGAGGCAGAGGTTGCAGTGAGCCGAGATCGTGCCACTACACTCCAGCCTGGGCAACAGAGTGCGACTCCATCTCAAAATAATAGTAATAATAATAATAATCCTTCAAGCCAGCTGGACAAGGTGGCTCACACCAGTAATCCCAGCCCTTTGAGAGGCTGAGGCAGGTGGGTGGCTTGAGGTCAGGAGTTTGAGACCCACCTGGGCAACATGGGGAAACCCCATCTCTACTAAAATGCAAAAATTAGCTGGGCGTGGTGGCACATGCCTGTAGTCCCAGCTACTCAGGAGGCTGAGGCAGGAGAATTGCTTAAACCCTGGAGGCGGAGGTTGCAGTGAGCTGAGATCGTGACACTGCATTCCAGCCTGGGCAACGGAGTAAGACTGCTCAAAATAATAATAATAATAGGCAACATGGCCAGGCGCAGTGGCTCACGCCTGTAATCCCAGCACTTTGGGAGGCCGAGGTGGGGGATCACGAGGTCAGGAGATCGAGACCACGGTGAAACCCCGTCTCTACTAAAAATACAAAAAATTAGCCGGGGGCAGTGGCGGGCGCCTGTAGTCCCTGCTACTCAGGAGGCTGAGGCAGGAGAATGGCATGAACCCGGAAGGCGAAGCTTGCAGTAAGCTGAGATCACGCCACTGCACTCCAGCCTGGGCGACAGAGTGAGACTCCGCCTCAAAAAAAGTAATAATAATAATAATAATAATAGGCAACATGGTGAGACCCCATCTCTACTAAAATACAAAAATTAGCTAGTCGTGGTAGCACACGCCTGTAGTGCCAGCTACTCAGGAGGCTGAGGTGGGAGGACCACTTGAGCCCAGGAGGTCGAGGCTGCAGTGAGCTGTGATTGCGCCACTGCACTCCAGCCTGAGCAACAGTGCAAGACCCTTTCTCAAAAAAATGTAAATGAATAAATGAAATAAATAAAATCCCGAGAGCCACTGCTGCCTCTCCCTGCCACCAGTGTTGGCAGAGGGCAGGGATTCCCCTCCCTGAAACATGGGCCAGGGGTTTTTGGACATCTCATGAACTTTCCAAAAGGTATCAACCCAGCGGTTTCCACGCAGATGAAAATACAACAAAAAGGGCATTTGCATTCAAAGGATTCTAAACGGAAAATGACAAACCCACAGTTTTGTTTGGTTTGGTTTGGTTTTTTTAGATGGGGTCTTGCTCTGTTGCCCTGGCTGGAATGCAGTGGTGCAGTCTCGGCTCACTGCAACCTCTGCCTCCCGGGTTCCAGCAATTCTCCCGCCTCAGCCTCCTGAGTAGCTGGGACTACAGGCATGAGCCACCGTGCTCGGCTAATTTTTGTATTTTTAGTAGAGACGGGGTTTCACCATTTTGGCCAGGCTGGTCTCGAACTCACCACCTCAGGTGATCCACCTGCCTCGGCCTCCCAAAGTGCTGGGATTACGGGTATGAGCCACAGATTCACCAGTTTTAAACCACTTGCAGCCGATTCTTGTTATTGGTGGTAGTTTGGCTCTGTGAAATTCCCCTGAATGTTGAACTAGTGAATACTGAACCATTGTTCCTAGGAAAATGCGAGGGTAAGTACCTGCGAACTTCTGGCCACAACACATTTATCCATGGATCAATACCTAGCCTTGTTTTATGTGTGTTTCTGTTGAAAGACACTATTGAATCTATATTGTTGATTCATTAACACCGAACTCACGGCCAACAGTAATAGAACTCATGCCTGAACAAAGTTTATGTAACACATGCCTTTGTGTGTGTGTGTTGGTTTTGGAGTTTTTTTGTTTTTTTGGGTTTTTTTTGAGACAGGGTCTCACTCTGTTGCCCAGGCTGGAGTGCAGTGGCACCGCCTTGGCTCACTGCAACCTTCACCTCCTAGGCTCGAGCAATTCTTGTGCCTTAGCCTCCCAGGTAGCTGAGATTACAGGTGTGCGCCATCACGCCCAGCTAATTTTTGTATTTTTAGTAGAGATGGGGTTTCACCATGTTGCCCAGGCTGGTCTCAAACTCTGGCCTCAAGTGATCCACCTGCCTCAACCTCCCAAAGTGCTGGGATTGCAGATGTGAGCCACCGTGCCCCGCCACGCTGCCTTTTCTCCACAAGGGTGGTGACAGCCCTCCTTAGCCAAGGAAGAGTAGAGAGCAGGGCTTCAGCACCCTGGGGGGCATTTGAAACAGCCCCATCACCAACTGAAAGCACAAAAATGCTAAAAATGTGGCACCAAATAACCACAAAAAGGACTCAGGTTTTTTTGTTGTTGTTTTTTGTTTTGAGTCTCACCCTGTCACCCAGGCTGGAGTGCAGAGGCACAATCTCGGCTCACTGCAACCTCCACCTCCTGGGTCCAAGTGATTCTCCTGCCTCAGCCTCCGGAGTAGCTCGGACTACAGGCGCCCGCCACCACACCTGGCTAATTTTTTGTATTTTTAGTAGAGACAGGGTTTCACCATGTTAGCCAGGATGGTCTCGATCTCCTGACCTCGTGATCCACTCGCCTCGGACTCCCAAAGCGCTGGGCATGAGCCACTGCGCCTGCTCAAAAAGGACTAGTTTTAATCCTCAGTGTGCAGATTGTATGAATCTGACGCATAAGGGCTGAAGCAAGAAGGTGGAATGCCCTCTTACTTGACCTCACATTTGAGACTCGTACTTATGAGTGTCCTAAAATGACCAGAAAGGCACTGAGCATGCTGGTTTGAGGGTTACAAATACATTTGAGTGAGTAGGTGAATTCAAAAATACAGGGTCTGGGGCCAGGTGCAGTGGCTCATGCCTGTAATCCCAGTACTTTAGGAAGTCAAGATGGGAGGATCACTTGAGGCCAGGAGTTCGAGACCAGCCTGGGCAACATAGCGAGCCCTTATCCCTGCTGAAAAGTTAAAAATTAGGCCGGGCACAGTGGCTCGCGCCTGTAATCCCAGCACTTTGGGAGGCTGAAGTGGGCGGATCACTTGAAGCCAGGAGTTTGAGACCAGCCTGACCAACATGGTAAAACCCCATCTCTACTAAAAATAAAAAAAACTAGCCGGGCATGGTGGCGTGCCTGTAACCCCAGCTACTAGAAAGGCTGAGGCAGGAGAGTTGCTTGAGCCCAGGAAGCAGAGGTTGCAGTGAACCCAGATCACACCACTGCAGTCTGGCCTGGGCAACAGAGTTAGTGAGACTCCGTCTCAAAAATAAATAAATAAATAAATAACAATAAAAACTAGCTGAGCATGGTGGTGTGTGCCTGTAGTCCCAGCTACTCAGGAGGCTGAGGCAGGAGGATCGTTGATGCTCAAGAGTTGGAGGCTGCAGGGAATTAGGACCACACCACTGCACTCCAGCCTGGGTATCAGAGCAAGAACCTGCCTCTCAAAATAAAAATTTAAATTTTAAATTTTAAAAAGAAAATATGGGATCTGGGAATGATGAGGATCAACCAGACTCAAATTTAAAATTTCAACTTTAGGAATATTAATCCAATTATAAGATAAAATCTTTTAAAGTCTAGAGAAAACTATAGGGATGGAGAACAGATCTGTGGTTAGGGGTGGAGGTGGTTTAGTGATAAAGGGGTGAATTGAGGGAGTTTGGACAACAACGAGACTGTTCTCTATCCTAATTGTGGCAATAGCCATACAACTCTACACATGGCTTAAAAATCATAAAATGGTACACCTTTAAAAAGCCAATTTTACTGTATGATAATGTTTAAAATATTTTGTTGTTGTTGTTGTTACACAGTCTCACTATGTCACCCAGGCTGGATGCAGTGGTGCAATCACAGCTCACTGGCGCCTCGACTTCCCAGGCTCAGGTGATCCTCCCACCTCAGCCTCCCTAGTAGCTGGGACCACAGGTGCTCACCACTGTATCTGGATAATTTTTTTGTAGGGTTTTGTAGAGACGGGGTCTTGCTATGTTACCCAGGCTGGTCTTGAACTCCTGGGCTCAAGAGATCCACCTGCTTCGGCCTCCCAAAGTGCTGGGATTACAGGAGTGGCCCCATGACACCTAGCCTAAAAAATTACTAAACATCAAAAAGATACATAAACCAATGGCACAGTTACCTCCCTGGACATGAATGGAATGCTTTTGGGGACAGGGGGACAAGATTTTTTTTTATTATTTCTTTTCTTTTTGAGACAGGGTCGGGCTCTATCACCCAGGTTGGAGTGCAGTGGCATGAATATGGCTTACTGTAGCCTCAACCTTCTGGGCTCAAGCGATCCTCCCACCTCAGCCTCCTGAGTAGCTGGGACTACCGGTACACACCACCATGCTCAGCTAATTTTTAAACTTTTTCTAGAGATAATGTCTCATTATGTTGCCCAGGCTGGTCTCAAACTGCTGGCTTCAAGTGTTCCTCCCACCTCAGCTTCCTAAAAAGTCCAGGGATTACAGGTGTGAGCCACTGCACCCCACCACAAGATTTTGCAGAAGGACTTCTGTGTTTTTTTTTTCCTTTCTACACTTTTGTAATTTTTCTTTTTGCAATGAGAATGCATTACCCGTCACTATTTAATTAAAAACTGTAAATACCATGCAGCTGCAAAATATCAACCAGGCCACCCCAAGAAGTATTCTTTTTTTGTTTGAGACAGAGAGAGGATCTCACTGTTGCCCAGGCTGGAGTGCAGTGGTACAATCACAGCTCACTGCAGCCTTGCCCTTCCAGCCTCAAGAGGTCCTCCCATCTCAGCCTCCCAAGTAGCTGGGACTACAGACACATGCCACCATGCCCAGCTAATTTTTGTTTTATTGTTAGTGGAGACAGGGTCTTGCTGTGTTGTCCAGGCTGATCTGAAACTCCTGGACACATGTAATCCTCCCACCTCAGCCTCCCAGAGTGCTGGGATTGCAGGCATGAGCCACTGCACCTGGCCAAAAATATTCTTTTTTTTTTTTTTTTTTGAGATGGAGTTTCGCTCTGTCACCCAGGCTAGAGTGCAGTGGCGCAATCTCGGCTCACTGCAACCTCCACCTCCCAGGTTCAAGCGATTCTCCTGCCTCAGCCTCCCAACTAGCTGGGATTACAGGCATGCGCCACCACGCCTGGCTAATTTTGTATTTTTTCAGTAAAGATGGGGTTTCACCATGTTGGTCAGGCTGGTCTCGAACTCCTGACCTCAAGTGATCCACCCACCTCGGCCTCCCAAAGTGCTTGGGATTACAGGCGTGAGCCACCACACCTGGCCCAGAAGTATTCTTAACAGAAATTAACACAAGAGAGGCCTGAGAGAAAAAAAAAAAATCTCATTATATACACCAGTTATATTTTGGGTTCTAGATACAGGGTTGAGAGCATGAAATCCTCATTCAATGCCAATATAGCTGTTTAAATAAATACACATGGCTAAGTAGGCAACATCACGGTGATTTTTCTCATCCTTGGAATCCGTATATTCAGTGCAGCAAATGACACACGTTTCTTTAACATCTCTTGCGGTGTAAAGAGAAAGACATAGCGTTTCATTTCACTCACTTCATTCGAGTTGTACCAGGGACTGCACAAGCTATTAGGCATGCTATCATGAATGAAACCTCAAGGCGTCTGTTCCAGATCAGAGGTCAGCAAACGCTGTTCTGTAAAGGGCCAAAGTGTAAATATTTTGGCCATGGAATTCCTGTTTTAACTACTCAACCTGCCGTGTCGGGGCATTTTTGCGCAGTCATAGATGATGAGTAGACAAATGAGTGTGGTTGCATGCCAATAAAACTGCATTTACAAAAACCGTGGGATTTGGCCTGAGGGCCATAGTTTGCTGACCCCTGTTCAGATGAAGAAGTCGGAATCTATGTAAATTTCTTAGCTGGGCGCAATGGTTCCTCATGCCTATAATCCCAGCACTTGGGAGGCCCAGGAGGGAAGACTGCTTGAACTAGGAGTTCAAGACCAGCCTAGGCAACATAGCAAGACCCTGTTTCTACAAAAAAAAAAAAAAAGTTTTAATTAGCCAGGCATGGTGGTGACTGTCTGTGAGCCCAGGTACCCAGGAGGCGGAGGCAAGCAGGTTGCTTGAGGCCAGGAATTCAAGACCAGCATGGGCAACATAGCTAGACTCTGTCTCTACAAATAAATTTTAAAAATTAGCTAGTCATGGTGGTGCCTGCCTGTGATCCTAGTTTCTCAGAAGGCCAAGGCAGGAGGCTCACTTGAGGCCAGGAAATCAAGACCAGCCTGGGCAACATAGTGAGACTCTGTCTCTACAAACAAATTTTTCAATTAGCTGGGCATGGTGGCACCTGCCTGTGATTCCAGCTACTTGGGGAACCTAGGTGGGAGGACTGCTCCAGGCCATGACTTGGAGGCTGCAGTAAGCTAGGACTAAACCTCTGCACTCCAGCCTGGGTGACAGAGCAAAATCCTGTCTCTAAAAAGAAATAAAAATTGGAAAAAAAAAAAAAAAAAAAAAGGGCCGGACACGGTGGCTCATGCCCGTAATCCCAGCACTCTGGGAGGCTGAGGTAGGTGGATCTCTTGAGGTCAGGAGTTTGGGACCAGCCTGGCCAATGGGGTGAAACTCTGTCTCTACTAAAAGTACAAAAACTAGCCAGGCGGGGTGGCACATGCCTGTAATTCCAGCTACTGGAGAGGCTGAGGCAGGACCATTGCTTGAACCCAGGAGACGGAGGTTGTAGTGAGCCAAGATCATGCCATTGCACACCAGCCCGGGTGAAGAAGTGAAAAAAAAAAAAAAAAAAAAGTGAGCTGAGAGAAGATTAAAGGAAACACTGACCCTCTGGGAAGAGAGAGCCAACATCTTAGCCCAGGTAGAAGGAGAAGAGAACAGTAAAACAGAAGAACTTAGGCACAGGTGAGACGGGAGACACAGCCTTCCAGGAGGGGGGACTGGCAATGTCAAACCCAGAGGGGTCAAGTGAGGTGAGGCTGCAGGAGACGCAACTGGGAGATGAGAGATTAACTTCGAGAGCCATCGGTAAAGCAGCGGAGATGCAAGCCAGATGCTGGGGGCAGAACAGTGAGAAAAGAGTGAGATGGAAAGGGCAGGGAGGACTGGCCTGGGGAAGCTGGACAGGGTGGAGGCTGGAGGTCAGTGGTAGGTAATGGGGATTGGGGGGTACTGGGTGTTTAGAGGCTGAAAAAGCACGTGGGTAAATGAAGATTCTTTTTTCTTTTCTTTTTTTTTTTTTTTTTTGAGACAGAGTCTCTCTCTGTTGCCCAGGCTAGAATGCAATGGTGTGATCTCGGCTCACTGCAAGCTCTGCCTCCCAGGTTCAAGCGATTCTCCTGCCTCAGCCTCCCAAGTAGCTAGGATTACAAGGACCCGCCACCACACCTGGCTAATTTTTGCATTTTTAGTAGAGATGGGGTTTCACCATGTTGGCCAGGGTGGTCTCAAACTCCTGACCTCAGGGGATCCGCCCACCTCAGCCTCCCAAGGTGTTGGGATTACAGGCGTGAGCCACTGCACCCGGCCGAGGATTATTGAACAAAGAGAGGAGAAAGAGCAAGAGCCCAGATGGGTAAATGTCTCAGACAGGGAAAAGGTTAACTCCTGCAGAGACGTGCCTGGCAATGTCTGGAGACATTAGTGGTTGTCATGCCTGGGGGGAAGGGGATCCTCCCAGGACCACATGGGTGGAGACCATGGTTCCAGCTCAACACTCTACATACAGGACAGCCCCCACCACCAGGAATGATCCAGCCCCAAATGTCAGCAGTGCCAAGATTGAGAGTTCTGCTTAAACCAAAGAGGAATGGAAGTCAAGGGTAGAGTGGGGTGAGGTGGGGAGCCCTGGGGACTCAGCCCACACCCTGTGGTCTCTATGCATGAATGGGGAAGGGCAAGAAGCAGGTCTCCAGGAGAGAAGCAAAGAATAAGAATAACTGCAGAGGCCAGACACCGTGGCTCATGCCTGTGATCCCAGCACTTCGGGAGGCCAAGGCAGGCAGATCGCTTGAGGCCAGGAGTTTGAGACCAGCCTGGACAAAATAGCAAGACTTCAGCTCTACACATTAAAGTAAAAATTAGCCAGGCAGGGTGGCGTGTGCCTGTGGTCCCAGCTACTACGGAGGCTAAAATAGGAGGATGGCTTGCGTCCAGGAGGTCGAGGCTGCAGTGAGCCATCATTGCCCAACTGCACTCCAGCCTAAGCAACAGAGCAAGACCTCATCTCAAAAAATAATAGATAGCTAGAGAGATAGATACAAAAATCACACTGATTTTCCTCCACCCTTCATCCCAATCAAAATGCCATATTGGGCCCGGAGTGATGGCTCACACCTATAATCCCAGGTCTTTGGAAGGCCGAGGCAGGCAGATCACTTGAGGTCAGAAGTTTGAGACCAGCCTAACCAATATGGCGAAATCCCATCTCTACTAAAAATACAAAAATTAGCCAAGGGTGGTGATACACGACTGTAATCCCAGCTACTCAGGAGGCTGAGGCAGGAGATGCACTTGAACCTGAAAGGCGGAGGTCGCAAAGATCGTGTCACTGCACTCCAGCCCGGGTGACAGAGTGACACCCTGTCTCAAAAAAAAAAAAGAAAAAAAAAAAGGCCAGGTACGGTGGCTCACTCCTGTAATCCCAACACTTTGGGAGGCCGAGGCGGGTGGATCACAAGATCAGGAGGTCGAGACCATCCTGGCTAACACAGCAAAGCCCTGTCTCTACTAAAAATACAAAAAATAAGCCGGTGTTGTGGAACACGCCTGTAATCCCAGCTACTGGGGAGGCTGAGGCAGGAGAATCCCTTGAACCTGGGAGGTGGAGGTTGCAGTGAGCTGAGATCGTGCCACTGCACTCCAGCCTGGGTGACAGAGCAAGACTCCGTCTCAAAAAAAAAAAAGCCATATTGGTTGACATTAGAGATTAATGATCTGAAAAGTTCTTTGCCCCTCCCCAAGCCTTCAAGAGGCATCACAGCCCATTTATTTGACAGGATTTTGTTCACCATCACCCCAATCGTGGGGGGTACGGAGGCTCGGACTCAAAAGAACAAAGATTTGTTAAGAAACCATTGCTCTGCAGCCACACTAGCTAGATTGCAATCCCAGCCCTGCTGCCTGCTGGCCTCAAGCGAAGTTTTCTCACTTGTGAAAAGGGAAGATTAAACCGCACCTCGTGGGGTTTTGCCGTGAGGATTAACTGAGATTATATATGCAAAGCGCATAGAACAGCACCTGCTGAGAGCTTGCTCTTCTAATTCTTAGGAAGGTATTATGCAGAGAATAAGGAACTCCTTAAGATGATAAAGGAGCCCAGTACACCCAGGAACTCCACCACTTGTGCCCCACTGCAGAACAAATATTTACTGAACACCTACTATGTGCCAGGCATCGTTCTGGGCTCTAGAAATGCAACGGTGAACAACAACAAACCATAAACCCCTGCCCATATGGAAGCCATAAATGTGCAAAGAAATGGTAAATCCATTTACTGACCCTGAAAGCCCAGGCACAGATCCACAATTAATTACCAAAGCTACAAGGAACAGAAGAACAGGGAACCACACACACGCACACATAGAATCTGGCATAGTTCGAAACCACTCATCTTGGATTTTCTTTTTATTTATTTATTTATTTTTGAGACAGAGTCTCGCTCTGTCGCCCAGTGGCACGATCTTGGCTCACTGCAAGCTCCGCCTCCCGGGTTTACGCCATTCTCCTGCCTCAGCCTCCGGAATAGCTGGGACTACAGGCGCCCGCCACCACGCCCGGCTAATTTTTTCTATTTTTCAGTAGAGACAGGGTTTTACCGTGTTAGCCAGGATGGTCGTGATCTCCTGAACTGGTGATCCACCCGCCTCGGCCTCCCAAAGTGCTGGGATTACAAGCGTGAGCCACCACGCCCCGCCTTTTTTTTTATTTTTTTGAGACAAAGTCTCGCTCTTTGGCCAGGCTGGAGTGCAGTGGTGCCATCTGAGCTCACAGCAACCTCCTCCTCCCGGGTTCAAGCAATTGTCCCGCCTCAGCCTCCCAAGTAGCTGGGACTACAGGCGAACGCCACCAAACCCAGGTAATTTTTGTATTTTGAGCAGAGAAGGGAGTTTCACCATGTTGGCCAGGATGGTCTCCATCTCCTGACCTCGTGATCCGCCCGCCTCAGCCTCCCAAAATGCTGAGATTACAGGCTTGAGCCACCGCAGCTGGCCAGATTTTCTTAACAAGAACTCCAACTAACCGCCACCCTTCATTGAGCACCTACTGTCTCCCAGGCACCTGGGGGCGGGGCTGGGGGGGGGTGGGCCCGGGGCTTTTAGACATTATGTGATTGACAGAGTCGACTCAGCAAACCCGGTTGGTCCACTCTAGCACCTGATTTTACATGCACCCGTTTCCCCATCAATACATTTAAGAGCTTCAATTCCTTCCCTCCCTGACCCCTTCCTCATCACGACTGATTTCCTTTTATGGAGAAATCTGAAACAGTAACCCAACAGATATTTTTAAAGCAGGGCCTCAGACCCCACAGTGGGAAACCCAGGCTATATTCCTTAAATGATTGCGCCATCTTCATCTTACAACCCCAAAGGTGCCTATTGTCAAGCCCAAGGAAGATGCTGCCCACACGTGGGAGAGGGGCCCATGGGGTCAGGGGGAACGAAAGGCTCACTCAAGGTCAAAGGCTCCTTCATGAAGCGCAGGGCTGAGGGGAGAGGAGGGGTCAAGGAGACAGCAGACAAGGGACAGTAGTCCAGATTCTTGGGCAGAACGGGACACACAGAGGCTCAAGTCCTGGCTCTGGCACTGACTTTAGGGCAAGGGAGTTATGCGTCCTACATGAGCCTCAGTTTACTCCTCTGTGAAATGGGTGCATAACTGTATCTGCCTCCGGGGGCCACTGTGACAGTCCAGAGAGATAAGATAGACTAGGCTGTGGCGTGCGGTGATACCAATTACAATAAATAGGGTAAAAAACCGCCACTACTTCTGCTACAATTGCTGCTGTTGCTAAGGCTTTAGAATTTGCCTCCGGACATCTGGAAACAGAACCCAAAAGGGTAAACATGGACCTAGAGTCCGGGGTGGCCACGGGCCTAGATCCAAGGTAGTTGGGTAGAGGGGGGCTCTGCAGTCCCTGACCCCAGGCAGCGTCACCCACCGGTGAGGCACTCAGGGCGCTTGGCTCTACCTACACCATATGCGCTCGGGGGACTTGGCTGTTCGGGGCTGTCCAGACCCAGTGACCCCACTTCCCGGCCGCGACCCAAAGATGACGCGTGTCGTGTCTCCGGAGCGACTTGGGCTCGGAGGGGCCGGGGCACGGGTCGGAGGCGCGCTCCAGAGAGGAGCCCGCGGCGGGGCGGGCACCGGGGCAAGGTTCCTCGGGCTCAGGTCGGGCACGCAGGGCGCGGAGGCGCGAGCCCGGGCGGGCAAAGGCCAAGGTCAGAGGCTTCCCGCTCCCCCTACGCGATGCAGGAGCTACCGTCCTGGCCACCGCCCCCCGCCCCTGGGGAGGGTTCTCAGTCCACAAGCGGGGGCTCGATTTTGGCTTGGGTGGGGTCCTCTCCCCATCGCGGCGCTCCCCGCCCACGCCCGCGCCCCCAGACTCACCCTCTCCGGGGTACAGGTGGCCCGCGGCGCCCAGTAGCAGCGCGGCCACCGCCACCAGCAGCGGCGCGGCCGCCGCCCCCCGCCGGCCCCCGGTGGCCATGGCTGCGGGAGCGCGGGGTCTCCTCGGATCAGAGCGCGCGGCGCTGGCCCGCGGGGGTCATGCTCCGAGGCGGCCACCCAAGAGGCGCTGGGGGCCGCGCGTCCTTCTCTTCCACGCCCGCGACCCGCGGGCCGCAGCCCCCCTGCCGGGGAGGGCCCAGAGGCAGCCCCGGGAAGGGCGCGCGCGGCTTCGCCAGCTACAAATACTGAGCGGAGGCCCTTGCGGTGGTGGCCCCGACCCCCCGGCCGCTGCGGCCCGGGCCCCGTCCCAGGATCTCGGGGCCCGGAGCTCCGCGCTGCGCCCGGGACTGTCTCTCGGCTCTCGGCCCCGCGCGCTCTGGGTCGCGATCTGCGGGCTCCGGGACAGAGGGACGCGCGGACCGACGGACTAGCTGACTGGCGGGCGGGCACCTGGGCTGGCGGGTGGCGGGCGGGCGGCGGGAGAGAGGGCTGCTCGGGCCCGTAAACAACGCGGCCCGTCAGCTGGGCCCCGTGCGGGCCGCGGGAAAAGGCGGCGCGGATCTGGCCTAGGAAGGGACTCTGCGCCCGGGAGAGGCCCAGGAGAGGGAGGGAAAGCTTGCAGGGGAGGGAGGTGCCGCCCGGCCCCGCCCCGCCCCGCCCGCCTCCCCGCCTCCCTGTGCCGGGCCCCGCGCGGGAGGCCCTGGGCGCGCCGGGACCGAGGGCGCGCCCCAGATCCGCGCGCCCTACAGCCCCGAGTCTCCTCCAGTTTCAGACCCCCGGAGGCGCCCCACAGGCCCGACGCAGCGGCACAGATCCTTTCTCTACCATTTTGCTATTTTGTTCATAGTGGGCTTTGGAGGATTCCTGTTGATTTTTTAAAAAATACTGCATTAAAATGTTTATTTTGGTGACTCGAGGTGGTTTTGGTTTCTTTCTTTTTTTTTTTTTTTCACTCCCTTAAATTTTGCACCCCAGGCGAGTAGTGTCTCACTCGCCTTTCCTCAGTCCGGGCCTGGCCAGCGACACTCGTCCCAGAGCGCGTGGGCGCCCCCAGATGTCCCGCCCGCGAGTGCGCCCCGGCCCAGGGGCGAGACCCAAGCCAGGCCCCTGGGGACAGCCACGTGCCCGCGTGCCCAGTGCGCTCCCTGTGTTCAAGTTGGAGAAATGACACCTGGAAAAATGTGCAGACGCTTCTGAAAGGGCAAAGACGACGCCAAAGAAGACGCCGGAGACCTCGAATAGGGCGCAGGTGGACATCTCTGATTTTCAGCAGACCAGCCTGTATGTGTCTGAAGTCTAGCAACGACATTCACCAACAAGGCGGGACAGCGGTTCCACCTACCTTACTGCAGGAGAGGAAGGGGCTTTCAGTATAGGAAAGCCAGAACTCAATGGGAGGAGGGTTCCTCCACCCCTCACTCCTGTGTGGTCTTGGACCAGGGACTTTTCTGTCTCTGGGCCAGTTTCACTTGTGTAATGGGTTTAATAATACCTGCATGCCAGTTCTGGGGAGGTACCCGGGAAAGAAAACTTAAGAAAGCGCCCAGCACAACCCTAGACCCAAGGCATTCATTCTTCTTTCATTCAATAAACAGTTTGCTAGGAGCTGGACCCACTGTTCATGCAACAGGCCAAACCTATTCCTGCCTCTGGGCCTTTGCCCCAGCATTTCCCTTGCCCGTAACACTCCAGGATGGCTTCATCTCTGAAGTGCCATCCCTAACCATATTTTTGCAAATCCTCCCCCCAGTTCCGTTTCCTTCTCTCTCTCTCTCTCTCTGTTTTTTTTTTTTTTTTTTTTTTTTTTTTTTTTTTTTTTTTTTTAGATGGAGTTTTTCTCTGTTGCCCAGGCTGGAGTGCAATGGCCAGATCTCAGTTCACTGCAACATCACCTGCCTGGGTTCAAGTGATTCTCCTGCCTCAACCTCCCAAGTAACTTGGATTACAGGCATGCGCCAGCACACCCAGCTAATTTTCTGTATTTTTAGTAGAGACAGGATTTCACCATGTTGGCCTGGCCGGTCTCAAACTCCTGACCTCAGGTGATCCACCGGCCTTGGCCTCCCAAAGTGCTGGGATTACAGGCCTGAGCCACTGCGCCTGGCCCCTTCTCTCTCATTTTCATAGCATGTTTACCCCACTACCTGCAATTGTTTGTTTTTTTTTTTTCTTTTCTTTCTTTTTTTTTCCTTTTGACAGAATCTTGCTGTCACCCAGGCAGGAATGCAGTGGTGCAATCCTAGCTTACTGCAGCCTTGAACTCCTGGCCTCAAGCAATCCTCCTGCCTTGGCCTCCCAAGGTGCTAGGATTACAGGCATGCGCCACCATGATTGGCCTTGAAATTCTTATTCGTTTTCTGTGTCTTCTCCCCTTCCCGTGAAGGCGGAAATCTTTTCGGTCTTGTTTCACTGCTTAAACCCAGTGCCTGACAAATCTGTTGCTTAATAAATATTTGTTGAGTGGGAGAATCAACAAGCAATAAGTAATAGGGGATTTTTCAGTGAGCAAAATAAACATGACCCATTTCCTTATGGAGTTCACAACTGAGCCAGGGAGAGAGCCCTTAAAATAATTGAGTGTGTAATGAGCTGAGGGAAATGGGAGGTGCATAGGGAGGGGTTTGCTGAGGACATGGGGTTTTTTGTTTGTTTGTTTTTTGATGGATCTTACTCTGTTGCCCAGGCTGGAGTGCAGTGGCACGATCTTGGCTCACTGCAACCTCCGCCTCCCAGGTTCAAGCAATTCTCCTGCCTCAGCCTCCAGAGTAGCTGGGATTACAGGTGCATGCCACCACGCCTGCCTAATTTTTGTATTTTTAGTAGAGGCAGGGTTTCACCATATTGGACAGGCTGGTCTTGAACTCCTGACCTCAAGAGATCTGCCTGTCTCGGTCTCCCTAATTGCTGGGATTACAGACGCGTGAGCCACTGCACCTGACTGAGGATGTGATTTTGAGCTTAAGTCTGAAAATGAAGAGGAGCCATCCTAGGGAAGCCATAGGGATGTGTTTCAGGTGGGGGAAGGCATGAGCAAAGGCCCAGAGGAGAGTGGGCAAGGCATTCTTGCAACTGAACCAGGCATTCACTGTAGCTGCAGAAAAGAAAGAGGAGAAAGTGAAGCCATGGGTGAGAACTGCAGTGGGCCCTTGAACATGAGTTTGAACCGTGCACATCTTTTTTTTTTTTTTTTTTGAGGCAGAGTCTCGCTCTGTCACCCTGGCTGGAGTGCAGTGGAGCAATCTCAGCTCACTGCAATCTCCACCTCCAGGGTTCAAGCTATTCTCCTGCCTCAGCTTCCCAAGTATCTGGGACTACAGGCACACGCCACCTCACCCGGTTAATTTTTGTATTTTTAGTACAGACGGGATTTTACCATGTTGGCCAGGCTGGTATCGAACTCCTGACCTCAGCTGATCTGATCAGCCTCCCAAAGTGAGGTCATCTTTAAACAGAATGTTTTTCAATAAATATATTGGAAACATTTTTAGAGATTTGCAATAGTTTGAAAAGACTTGCAGATGAACTTGGTAGCCAAGAAATATTAAAAAAAAATTAGGTATGTCATGAATGCATAAAATATATGTAGATACTAGTCTGTTTTATTATTTTTGTTATTATTTTCTTTTAGAGACAGGGTCTTGCTCTGTTGCCCAGGCTGGAGAGCAGTGGCCCAATCATGGCTCACTGTAACCTCCAACTCCTGGGTTCAAGCGATCTTCCTGGCAAGCACCAACACGCCCGGCTAATTTTTTTACTTTTTATAGAGACGAGGTCTCACCATGTTGCCCAGGCTGGTCTCTAACTCCTGAACTCAAGTGATCCTCCTGCCTCTACCTCCCACAGTGCCGAGATTACAGGTATAAGCCACCATGTCCAGCCCTATTTTATAATTTGCTAACATAAAATATACACAAATCTGTTACAAAAAGTTAAAATGTATTAAAACGTACACACACACTTACAAACCATACATGGTGTTATTCCAAGTCAAGAGAAATGTAAATAAATGTAAAGATGCAGCATTCAATCATAACTGCATAAAATTAACTATAGAATATATTGTGTTATTGTAACAATTTCATAGCCACCTCCTGTTGCTACTGGAGTGAGTGCAAGTGTTGCAAGTATCCGCTTTAAATGCCATGTTACATTAATTATCTCCCTGTGGGCAGTTCACCTCTCCAGGAATTTGTGCCCCGGTAAAAAGGGATCTCTTGGCGGTTCCCGCGTATTTTTCACTGTGTTTAGTGCAATACCGCAAACATTGAATAACATCCTGAGACCCATGTAAAGTGCCACTAGTGATGCTGGAAATGCTCCCGAGAAGCAGAGAAAAGTCAGGACAGGACAAGAAAAAGTTGAATTGCTTGCTACGTAACATAAATGGAGCTCTACAGCTGCGGTTGTCTGCTTCAGACAGACAATTCATCTTGTAAACAAATTTATGGCATTGATAAATATTGTAGCGTTCTGTAACTGTAAATGTATTTTCTCTTCCTTGTGATTTTCTTTTTCTTTTTCTTTTTTTCTTCTTTTTGGAGACAGGGTTTCACTCTGCTGCCCAGACTGGAGTGCAGTGGCACCATCAGGGCTCACTGCAGCCTCTACCTCCTGATCTCGGGTGATCCTCCTGCCTCAGCCTCCCAGGGAGCTGGGATTACAGCCACATGACACCATGCCCAGCTGTGATTTTTTAAATAACATTTTCTCTTCTCTAACTTGCTTTATTCTAAGACTGTAGTGTGTAGAGGCTGGGCACAGTGGTTCACTCCTGTAATCCCAGCACTTTGCAAGACAGAGGGAGGCGGATCACTTGAGGTCAGGAGTTCGAGACCAGCCTGGCCAACATTACAAAACCCCATATTTACTAAAAATACAAAAATTAGCCAGGCGTGGTGTGCTTGTAATTCCAGCTACTCTGGAGGGCTGAGGCATGAGAATTACTTGAACCTAACAGGCGGAGGTTGCAGTGAGCCAAGATCATGCCACTAGCGCACTCCAGCCTAGGTGATGCAGTAAGACTCTATCTCAAAATAATAATAATAATAAAGTAAGAAAGAAAGAAATACAGTATGTAATACTTGTAACATACAAAATGCCTGTTAATCGGCTGTTTATGTTATTGCTAAGTCTTCAGGTCAACAGCAGGCTATAAGTAGTTAAGTTTTCAGGGAGTCAAAAGTTATATTCAGATTTTCAACTCTGTAGGGGTGAATTGGCACCAGTAGCCACAACACTATTGAAAGGTCAACTATAAAAAGTGCAGAACCTAGAATATGCCATGTTAAGATTTGCTTTGGGGCTGGGTATGGTGGTTCATGCTTGTAATCATAATCCCAGCACTTTGGGATGCCAAGGTGGGTGCATCACTTGAGCCCAGGAGTTCGAGACCAGCCTGGGCAACAAGGCAAAACCCTGTCTCTACCAAAAATACAAAAAAAATAGCCAGGCATGGTGGTGGGTGCCTATAGTCCCAGATACTCAGGAGGCTGAGGTAGGAGGATCGCTTGAGCCCAGGAGGCAGAGGCTGCAGTGAGCTGAGATCGCCCCACTGCACTCCAGCCTAAGCAACAGAGGGAGACTCCATCTCAAAAAAAAAAAAAAAGATTTGCATCTCCATGATACTAAAAATGCATTTGGTAAACTTCACAGCCATTCAGATATGAAACCATAAGACTTTATGATATGAAAATTTTATTTTATAATTTCAGACTGAGGAAAGTTTCTCCAAGCCAGACGTGAATCCCAAGTTTAACTTTGTAAAATAACAAACTTGGCTATGTAGAAATTAAGATTATAAGAATAGCCAAAAAAAAAGTCTCATATATCAAGTCAAAAGACAGATTTTTAAAGAAATTTTTCTTGGCCAGGTATAGTGGCTCACGCCTGTAATCCCGGCACTTTGGGAGGCCAAGGCAGGCGGATCACTTGAGGTCAGGAGTTTCAGACCAGCCTGACCAACATGGTGAAGCCCCGTCTCTACTAAATACAAAGAATTAGCTGGGCGTGGTGATGCATGCCTGTAATCCCAGCTACTTGAGAGGCTGAGGCAGGAGGCTCGCTTTAACCCGGGAGGCAGAGGTTGCAGTGAGCCGAGATCGCGCCATTGCACTCCAGCCTGAGCAACAAGAGCAAAACTCCATCTCAAAAGAGAAAAGAAAAAAAAAAGAAAAATTTTTCTGTTGATGCATAACAGACGTACATAGTTTTGGGGTACATGTGATAATTTAATACATTCATATAATTTGTAAAGATCAAATCAGTGCACTTGGGATATCCCTCACCTTAAATATTTGTCTTTTCTTTATGTTAGAAACAGTCAAATTCTTCTAGCTATTTTGAAATATTCAATAGGCTATTGTAAACTATAGTCACCCTACTGATCTAACAAACACTGTCTTATTTCTTCTATCAAATTGTACATTTGTACCTAGCAATCAGCTTCTCTTCATCTCCCTCTTTCTCCTACCCTTTCTGGTAAACCAACAATCTACTGTCTATCTTTTTTTTTTTTTTTTGAGACGGAGTCTCGCTCTGTTGCCCAGGCTGGAGTGCAGTGGCACGATCCCGGCTCACTGCAAACTCCACCTCCTGGGTTCACGCCATTCTCCTGCCTCAGCCTCCCGAGTAGCTGGGACTACAGGCGCCCGCCACCGAGTCCGGCTAATTTTTTGTATTTTTAGTAGAGACGGGCTTTCACCGTGGTCTCAATCTCTTGACCTTAGGTGATCTACCTGCCTTGGCCTCCCAAAGTGCTGGGATTACAGTTGTGAGCCACCGCGCCCAGCTACTGTCTATCTTTATGAGATCCACTTTTTTTTTGTTTTTGTTTTTGAGACAAAATCTCGCTCTGTCACCCAGGCTGCAGCGCAGTGGTGCGATCTTGGTTCACTGCAACCTTCACCTCCTGGATTCAAGCAATTCTCCTGCCTCAGCCTCCCGAGTAGCTGGGACTACAGGTGCTCACCACCACATCCGGTTAAATTTTTGTATTTTTAGTAGAGATGGGGTTTTACCATGTTGGCCAGGCTGGTCTCGAATTCCTGACCTCAAGTGATCCATCCACCTCGGCCTCCCAAAGTGCAGGGATTACAGGCATGAGCCACTGCGCCCGTCCGAGATCCACTTTTTTAGCTCCCACATAGGAGGGAGAACACGGGATATTTGTCCAAAAGACAGACGTTTTAAGTGAGGAAAGTATATGCAACAGATAAAAGGCATGCATTCAGTCTGGGCAACATAGCGAGACCTTGTCTCTACAAAGAATGTGAAAATTAGCTAAGTGTGGTGATGTGCACGGATCATCCCAGCTACATGGGAGGCTGAAGGGGGAGGATTGCTGGAGCCCAGGAATTCGAGGCTGCAGTGAGCTATGATTGCACCACTGCACTCCAGCCTGGACAACAGAGCAAGACCCTGTCTCTAGGAAAAAAAAAAAAAAAAAAAGCTTAAGGGTCAGAAATGAGATTTTTTTTTTATTTGTACAAATTTAAGTGGTACAAGTGCAATTTTGTTACATGGATATATTGCATCGTGGGGAAGCCTATGCCTCTGGTGTATCCATTACCCAAATAACATACATTGTGCCCCAGAAATTTAAAATGAAAGACTAAGAGAGCTTTTTGGGAGAATTGAAATATACCTCCTTGTTTTGGTTTATTATAGTAAAATACACATAACACAGAATTTATGATTTTAACCATTTTAAAGTGTACGACTCAGGAATATTCAGTACTTTCACGACGCTGTGCAACCGTTGTCACCATCTCATTGCAAAATGTTTTCATCACCCCAAACAGAAACCCTGTCCCCATGGGCACTCACTCCCCACCTCCCCTCCCCAGCCCCAGGCATCCACTAATCCACTTCCTATCTCTGTGGACTTGCCTGTTCTGCAAACTCCATATAAATGGAGCAATATAATATGCGAGCTTTGGGGACTAGCTACTTTTATTTGGCATAATGTGTTCAAAGTTCATCCTTGTCATTGCCTGAACCAGTGCTTTATTCCTTTTTATGGCTGAAGGATATTCCATCATTCCTTAGAGTTTGAATGATCAGACCCATTCCACACTCCTATTTTGAACTCATGCTTATTTATTTATTTATATATGTATTTATTGAGACAGGGTCTCACTCTTGTTGCTCAGGCTAGAGTGCAGTGGTGCTATCTCGGCTCACTGCAGCCTTCAACTCTCTGGTTCAAGCGATTCTCCTGCCTCAGCCTCCCAAGTAGCTGGGATTACAGAAGTGTGCTACCATGCCCCGCTAATTTTTGTATTTTTTGGTAGAGACAGGGTTTTGTCATGTTGGCCAGGCTGGTCTCCAACTCCTGACCTCAAGTGATCCTCCCGCCTTGGCCTCCCAAAAGTGCTGTGATTACAGGCGTGAGCCACTGTGCCCAAATAAACCCATGCTTTTTGAAGCCTGCAATGTGAAAGTGCAAACCACGATAGTCAATAATAATTTTATTGTACTTTTTAATTAATTAATTAATTTTTTTTGAGACAGAGTCTCACTCTGTAGCCCAGGCTGGAGTGCAGTGGTGCCACCTCGGCTCACTGCAACCTCCGCCTCCCAGGTTCAAGCGATTCTCCTGCCTCATCCTCCTGAGTAGCTGGGATTACAGGTGCCCACCACCACACCCGGCTAATTTTTGTATTTTTGTATTTTTAGTAGAGATGGGGTTTCACCATGTTGGCCAGGCTGGTCTCCAACTCCTGACCTCAAGTGATCTGCCGGGCTCAGCCTCCGAAAGTGTTGGGATTACAGGCGTGAGCCAGCACGCCCGGCTTAATTGCACATTTAAAAATAACTAAAAGAGTATAACTGGATTGTTTGTCACACAAAGGATAAATGCTTGAGGGGATGGAGACCCCATTCTCCATGAAGTGATGATTACACATTGCATGCCTGTGTCAAAACATCTCGTGTACTCTGTAAATATAATCAACCACTATGTACCCACAAAAATTAAAAACACAAATTTAAAAATAAAAGAAGTGCAACCCACAGGAATTTCTGGGCGATGAGCTTCCTCCAGTGTCTTATGCTGCTAGGGCCATGATCAGAATTGAGGCTTCATGTTAGAGTCTCAGCACAGATATTACCTGGGCTCAACATAGAAAACTCTTAGAAAATGATTGGGAGAGTCAGGCGCGGTGGCTCACGCCTGTAATCCCAGCACTTTGGGAGGCCGAGGAGGGTGGACCACCTGAGGTCAGGAGTTCAAGACCAGCCTGGGCAAGATGGTGAAACCCCATCTCTACTAAAAATACAAAAATTAGCTGGGTGTGGTGGCATGAGCCTGTAATACAAGCTATTCAGGAGGCTGAGGCAGGAGAGTCGCTTGAGCCCAGGAGGCAGACGTTGCAGTGAGCCAAGATTGTGCCATTGCACTCCAGCCTGGGCTATAGAGCGAGACTCCATCTGAAAATAAATAAATAAATAAAATGATTGAGAGGCCAAGGGGGGTGGATCACTTGAGTTCAGGAGTTCAAGACCAGCCTGGGCAACATGGTGAAACCCTGCCTCTACAAAAAGTACCAAAATTGCCACTGCACTCCAGCCTGAATGACAAAGTGAGACCCTGTCTCAAAAAAGAGAGAGAAAGGAAGAGAGAGAGAGAGAGAAAGAAAGAGAGAAAGAGAGAAGAGAGAGAGAAAGAGATAGAAAAAAGGAAATCAAAGGAAGGGGAGGGGGAGGGGGAGGGGAGGGGGAGGGAGGGGGAAGGGGAGAGGGGAGGGGAGGGGAGGAGAGGGAGGAAGGGAAGAAGAGAAGGGAAGGGCAGGGCTTCTATGTCAAACTATTTGTGCCTCAATCAGGCAAAGAATATAAAGGAAGTATTACCAATTTATCTGGAGATACTGGCGCAATGATCTTTGCTTCTCTCTCTTCCCATTTCCCTCTCCTCGGTGCACTTTTCAAGAAAGACGAAGACAAAATTTATGTAAAATATTCTCATTTCTCAAAAGCACTTCTTGGATTTGTTTCGCAAATGTACAAGACCCTTTCCCACTGGCTGAGAGAGGTAGTTACCCGAATCTAGGTAGAAAATGATTATATAAAATTTTATAAGTAAAATTATTTTTGCAACATAAACACTGAAAAGATATTCAGCGAAACAATGTCATGTTTCAAGAAAAGACCAAGCTACATCTACATGTCCTGAGATGAGAACTTCCTATATATATAACTACCTAAAAAGAATCAAATGCAGAACCATGTACCTGAAACACTATCATTTGCATTTTAAAGGGGGGTGAGGTACAGCCACGCACACTCACCTATACGCATTCACAGATATTTCCAGAATCTTGAAGTACGTCTCCAAAAACACATTCAAAACTGGCAATCTTTTTTTGTCTGTTTGAAGAGTTTTAACCATGTATATTAATTCCCTTTTTAAAACACAGCATGAGACAGTTAATTTTTTTTTTTTTTTTCAGAACAGCATCACCATAGCTACAAAATGACATAAAATAAAATACAAAGAGAGCCGGGCGTGGTATGCCCCGCCTGTAGTCCTGGCTACTCCGGAGGCTGAGGCGGAAGGAACGCTTGAGCCCGGGAGTTCAAGGATATAGAGAAACATGTTCCCGCCTCTGAGTACCACTGTATTCCAGCGTGGTTGACATAGGGAGACCCCACCTCCTAAGAAAAAAAAAAAAAAAAAAAACTTAGAAAAACAATTAACAGCAATGGCTCTGACCTAAATTTTTTAAAAAACTAATGCTTTATAACTTGAATAAATAAAGAAATGTGCCTTATTATTTCTGGGAAAAAGAACAGAATATTGGAGGCCAGGCACAGTGGCTCATGCCTATAATCCCAGCGCTTTGGGGGGCCCAGGCAAGAGGATCACATAAGGCCAGGAGTTCAAGACCAGCCTGGGCAACATAGCAAGACCCTGTCTCTACAAAAAAAAAAAAAAAAAAAAAAATTGTAAAAATTAGCTGAATGTGGTGGTGCCTGCCTGTGGTCCCAGCTACTCCAGAGGCTGAGGTGGGAGGATCACTTGAGTCTAGGATTTCAAGGCTGCAGTTAGCTATGATTGATTGTATCGTTGCACTTCAGCCTGGGTGACAGAGCCAGATCTTGTCTCAAAAAAAAAAAAAAAAAACTTCAAAATTATACCTAAAAGGTATAGAAAAATTATTCTGAAGTTCATCTGGCATAGGGTTTCTCAACCTCAGGGATATGGACACTGAGGCATGGATAACTCTTCGTTGTGGAAGGCTGTACTGCACATTGTAGAATGTTGTGTGTGTGTGTGTGTGTGTGTGTGTCCGAGTCTGGCTCTGTCACCCAGGCTGGACTATAGTGGCACAATCTCAGCTCACTGCAACCTCCACCTCCCAAGTTCAAGTGATTCTCCTGCCTCAGTCTCCCGAGAAGCTGGGATTACAGGTGCCCACCACCGTGTCCGGCTAATTTTGTTGTGTTTTTAGTAGAGACAGAGTTTCACCATGTTGGCCAGGCTGGTCTCGAACTCCTGACCTCAAGTGACCAGGAGCATGGACTCACATCCCAGTTCTGCTGCTAGACCAAGATGTTTGGCCAAGACCAAGTAGAGTACCTCAACCACTAGCTCTTTCTCCAGAAAAACTCTCTTGTGGCTGTGAACTGCCTCCATCAACCCAATCACCAATCTCAGACCCTGGATGTCCACCACAAGACCCGCTGCCTACTCTGCCCTCTGAACACCTCTCTACCTGCTTCCTTCACTTTCAGTTCTTTCTTATTTATTTATTTATTTTTGAGATTAAATCTTGCTATGTTGCCCAGGCTGGGGTGCAGTGGCACGTTCTCGGCTCACTGCAACCTCCTCCTCCCAGGTTCAAGCATTTCTCCTAACTCAGCCTCCCGAGTAGCTGGGACTACAAGCATGTGCCACCACACCCAGCTAATTTTTATATTTTTAGTCGAGATGAGGTTTTACCATGTTGGCCAGGCTGGTCTTGAACTCCTGACCTCGTTATCTGCCTGCCTCGGCCTCCCAAAGTGCTAGGATTGCAGGTGTGAGCCACTGCACACGGCCCTCCTTTTCAGTTTTTTAAAGACAGGGTCTCACTCTGTCACCCAGGCTGGAGTACAGTGGCACAAGCTCAGCCCACAGCAACCTCCGCCTCCGAGGTTCGAACGATTCTCCTGCCTCACCTTCCCAAGTAGCTAGGACTACAGGTGTGCACCACCACACCCAGCTAATTTTTGTATTTTTAATAGAGACGAGTTTTCACCATGTTGGCCACACTGGTCTTGACCACCTGACCTCAGGTGATCCACCCACCTCAGCCTCCCGAAGTGCTAGGATTATAGGCGTGAGCCACTGCACGCAGCCCCATCTGACTTCTTAAGTCACCTTGCCTTATTACCCATCAGAGGAAGACATTTCTACTCCCTTCCCTCTCTGAGATGCTCTATTTGCGTTAAAACAATCGTAACAGTCCATGCTTTCATTATGTGCAGTAGCTCAAAACTAGAAGCAACCCAGATTTTTATCAACAGGTGAATGGATAAACCAACAGTGATATAACCATGCCATGGATCACTGCTTCACAATAAAAAGGAAGGAACTATTGATACATCCAACAATAGGGATGTATCTCAAAATAATTCTGCTGACTTAGAAGTCAGGCCATAAAAAAATGCTTGGTACATGATTCCAGAAAATCTTAGAAATTCTGCTGACTTAGAAGAAGCCAGGCCAAAAAAAAAAAAAAAAATGCATGGTACATGATTCCATTTCCATGCCTGTAATCCCAGCACTTTGGGAGGCCAAGGCGGGTGGATCACAAGGTCAGGAGATCAAGACCATCCTGGCCAACATGGTGAAACCCCGTCTTTACTAAAACTTCAAAAATTAGCTAGGTGTAGTGGCAGGCACCTGTAATCCCAGCTACTCAGGAGGCTGAGGCAGTAGAATCGCTTGAACCTGGGAGGTAGAGGTTGCAGTGAGCCAAGATCAAGCCACTAAACTCCAGCCTGGGTGACAGAGCGAGACTCCATCTCAAAAAAATAAATAAATAAAACTCATCCATAATGACAGACAGCAAATCACGAGCTGCCAGGAGAGGGGAAAGAGGGAGGGGTTCCAAAGAAGCATGTAGAAACTTTCAGCTGGGCACAGTGGCTCACGCCTGTAATCCCAGCACTTTGGGAGGCAGAGGTGGGCAGATCACTTGAGGTCAGGAGTTCGAGACCAGCCTGGCCAAAATGGTGAACCCCGTCTGTACTAAAAAAAAAAAAAAAAATAGTGGGGCATGGTCGTGGGTGCCTGTAATCCCAGCTACTTGGGAGGCTGAGGCAGGAAAATCACTTGAACCCAGGAGGCAGAGGTCGTAATGAGCCGACATCACACCATTGCACTCCAGCCTGGGTGACAGAGTGAGACTCCATCAAAAAGAAAAAGAAAAAAAGAAAGAAAGAAGAAAAGAGAAGAAAAGAGAAAAGATCAAACTACTCTATAATGACAGACAGCAAATCACTAGGTGCCAGGAGAGGGAAAGAGGGAGGGGTTCCAAAGGAGCATGTAGAAACTTTCAGCTGGGCTCAATAGCTCATGCCTGTAATCCCAGCACTTTGGGAGGCAGAGGTGAGCAGATCACTTGAGGCCAGCAGTTCGAGACCAGCCTGGCCAAAATGGTGAAACCCCGTCTCTACTAAAAATACAAAAAAAAAAAAAAAAAAAAAATTGGCGGGGCGTGGTGGTGGGTGCCTGTAATTCCAGCTACTCAGGAGGCTGAGGCAAGAGAATCATTTAAACCCAGGAGGCAGAGGTTGTAATGAGCCAAGATTACACCATTGCACTCCAGCCTGGGTGACAGAGCGAGACTCTGTCTCAAAAAAAAAAAAAAGAAAGAAAGAAAGAAAAGAAACTTTCAGAGGTGATGGATGTGTTGCTGTCCTGATGGTGGTGGTGTTTTCACAGGTGTAGACATACAGCAAAGTGTATCATATTGTACACCTTAAATATGAGTGGTTTATTGTATGTCAATTACACTTTAATAAAGTTGTTTTTTAAGCAATAAAAGTTGCATTTTACAAGTTTCAACTGGCGATTTTTTTGTTAGTTTGTTTGAGACAGGGTCTGGTTCTGTTGCCCAGCCTGGAGTGCAGTGGTGCAATCATAGCTCACAGCAGCCTTGACCGCTTGGGTTCAAGCAATCCTCCCACCTCAGCCTTCCGAGTAGCTGGGATTGCAGGTGCTCGTCACCACACCCGGCTAATTATTTTATTTCTTGTAGAGACAAGGTTTTGCCATGTTATGTTGCCCAGGCTGGTCTTGAACTCCTGGGCTCAATAAATCCATCCACCTCAGCCTCCTAAAGTGCTGGGGTTACAGGTGTGAGCCACTTTCCCCGGCCTCCTAGACTGACGATCTTTTGATGGTGTTTGCTCTTCCCCACACTCTGAAGTTTAAGGACACAATCAATGAGACCAGTCTCTACAGCAGAACACGTTGGTGCTACCTGCTATTCTGTTGTGGAGTTGGTGGTTGGGAATTTCCTATTGAGTAGCTCTCATTCAAGGGGTTATAATTCCGTAAAAGCTGCCCCCATCCTATCTGATGTAAAAACCTTCAGAGTTGAAACCATCCATCACTAGTTACAAAGTAGCTCAACAAGAATCCAAGAGGCAGGCCGGATGTGCTGGCTCAGGCCTGTAATCCCAGCACTTTGGGAGGCCAAGGCAGGCGGATCAGGAGGTCAGGAGATCAAGACCATCCTGGCTAACACAGTGAAACCCCGTCTCTACTGAAAATACAAAAAAAGTAGCCAGGCGTGGTGGCATGTGCCTTGGGAGGCTGAGGCAGGAGAATCGCTTGAACCCGGGAGGCAGAGGCTGCAGTGAACCGAGATCGTGCCACTGCACTCCAGCCTGGGTGACAGAGCGAGACTCCATCTCAAAAAAAAAAAAAAAATCGAAGAGGCAGTAAACATCCCGAGCAAAGGAGACCACGACGAGGTAAGAGATTGTAACTCTGCACCAGACATTTCACAGGACTGAATTAAGCGTCACGGATTTGTGGTGAAAAGTGAGCATAACAAATTTCATCCAGCCAATGAACCTCTCCAGACAGGAATGCAACCAGCTTTTAAAGGGACAGCCGCAAGCAATATGAAGGTGTTTCCAGCTATTAAGGATGCACCTGGCCAGCATTATTCTAAGTGAAGTAACTCAGGAATGGAAAGGCGAATATCCTATGTTCTCATTGATAAGTGGGAGCTAAGTTAGGAGGATGCAAAGGCATAAGAGTGATATAATGGCCAGGCGCGGTGGCTCATGCCTATAATCCCAACACTTTGGGAGGCCGAGGTGGGCGGATCACGAGATCATGAGTTCGAGACCAGCCTGGCCAACATGGTGAAACCCCGTCTCTACTAAAAATACAAAAATTAGCCAGGCGTGGTGCTGCACACCTGTAATCCCAGCCACCAGAGAGGCTGAAGCAGGAGAATCGCTTGAAACCAGAGGGCGGAGGTTGCAGTGAGCCGAGACCGCACCACTGCACTCCAGCCTGGGCAAGAAGAGCAAAACTCTGTCTTTAAAAAAAAAAAAAAAAAAAAAAGTGATATAATGGACTTTGGGGACTTGGGCAGGGAAAATTGGGGGGAGAAGGATAGAAGACTACATATTAGGTACAGTGTACACTGCTTGGGTGACAGGTGCACCAAAAGCTCAGAAATTGCCACTAAAAAGCTTATCCATGTAACCAAAAACCACCTGCACCCTCAAAACTACTGAAATAAAAATAAAAATTTAAGAAATAAATAAATATACCTTCTTCCTAGGAAAATAAATAAATAATGCACCAGCCAGGCTCAGTGGCTCACGCCTATAATCCCGACACTTTGAGAGGCTGAGGCAGGTGGATCACCTGAGGTCAGGTGTTCAAGACCAGCCTGGCCAATGTGGTGAAACCCCGTCTCTACTAAAAATACAGCAGTTAGCCAGGCATGGTGGTGCACGCCTGTAATCCCAGCTAGTCCAGAGGCTGAGGCAGGAGAATCACTTGAACCTGGGAGGCAGAGGTTGCAGTGAGCTGAGCTCACGCCATTGCACTCCAGCCTGGGTGACAGAGCGAGACTCTGTCTCAATAATAATAATGATAATAATAATAATAATAATAATGCACGTATCCAGGTGCAGTGACTCACACCTGTAATCCACCACTTTGGAAAGCCAAGGTGAGAGTATCTCTAGAGGCCAGGAGTTCAAGACCCACTTGGGCAACATAGCAAGACCCCATCTCTTAAAGATTTCAAATTGGCCAGTCATGATGGTATATCCCTATAGTCCCAGCATTTTGGAAGGCTGAGGTAAGAGGATGACTTGAGCCCAGGAGGTCGAGGCTGCAGTGAGCAATGATCATACCACTGCACTCCAGCCTGGGTGACAGAGTGAGACCCTGTCTCTAAAAAAATTAATAAATAAATAAAATAAGGAGTCAGAGAGAGTTTTGACAGAAGAGAATAAGGTCATGTAAAGATAGTTGCAGAGACTGGAGTGATTTAGCCACAAACAAAAGAATGCCAATAGCCACCAGAAGTGAGAAGAAGCAAGAAATGTGTGCGTGTCTGTGTGTATGTGTGTGTGTGTGTGTGTGTGTATTTTCTTTTTTTGTTTGAGACAGACTTTCACTTTAGTCACCCAGGCTGGAGTGCAATGGCGTGACCTCGGCTCACTGCAACCTCCGCCTCCTGGGTTCAAGCGATTCTCCTGACTCAGCCTCCTGAGTAGCTGGGATTACAGGCGCACACCACAACACCTGGCTACTTTTATTTTTGGGAGACGGGATTTCACCATGTTGGTCAGGCTAGTCTCGAACTCCTGACCTCAGATGATCCATCCACCTTGGCCTCTCAAAGCCATGAGGCACCGCACCCAGCTGTATGTGTGTATTTTTTAATTGATGTGAAATTCCCATAAAATAAGATCGTGGATCTTAAAGTGAATAACTTAGTGGTATTTTGTACATTTACAATGTTGTACAACCACCACCTCTATCAAGTTCCTGAACATTTTCATCACCTTCAAAGGGAAACCTCACATATATTAAGTAGCTGTTCCCCATTCCACCCCCTCCGTGACAACTAGTAATTTACTTTCTGTCTCTGTGAATTTCCCTATGCCAGATTTTTTTTTTTTTTTTTGAGATGGAGTTTCACTCTTATTGCCCAGGCTGGAGTGCAGGGGTATGATCTCGGTTCACTGCAACCTCCGCCTCTCGAGTTCAAGTGATTCTCCTGCCTCAGCCTCCCAACTAGCTTGGATTACAGGCATGTGCCACCACGCCTGGCTAAGTTTTGTATTTTTAGTAGAGACGGGGTTTCATCATGTTGGCCAGGCTGGTCTCGAACTCCTGACTTCAAGTGATCTGCCCGCCTCGGACTCCCCGAGTGCTGGCATTACAGGTGTGAGCCACCGCAACTGGCCAGAGTTTCCTTCCTATTTATTTATTTATTTTATTTTTGAGATGGAGTTTTGCTTTTGTTGCCCAGGCTGGAGTACAGTGACGTGGTCTCGGCTCACTGCAACCTCCGCCTCCCGAATTCAAGTGATTCTTCTGCCTCAGCCTCCCAAGTAGCTGGGATTACAAGTGCCCGCCACCATGCCCAGCTAATTTTTGTATTTTGAGTAGAGACAGGGTTTCACCACATTGGCCAGGCTGGTCTCGAACTCCTGACCTCAAGTGATCCACCTGCCTCGGCCTTCCAAGTGCTGGGATTACAGGCATGAGCCACCGCGCCTGGCCGAATGTCCTTCCTTTTTAAGGCTGAATCCTATCCCACCCTACGGAGGGACCACATTGTTTATCCATTCGTCTCTTGCTGGGCACTTGGGTGCCTTCTGTCTTTGGCTGTTATGAATCACACTGCTGTGGACATGGGTGTACAAGTGTCTCTTTGAGTCCCTGCTTTCAAATCTCGTGCGTGTATACCCAGAAGCAGAATTTCTAGGTCATATGGTAATTCTATGTTTAATTTCTTTTTTTTTCTTTTATTTTTTTTGAGACTGTGTCTCATTCTGTCGCCCAGGCTGGAGTGCAATGGCGTGATCTCAGCTCACTGCAACCTCCACCTCCCAGGCTCAAGCGATTCTCGTGCCTCAGCCTCCTGAGTGGCTAAGATTACAAGGGCCCGCCACCCCACCTAGCTAATTTTTTTGTATTTTGAGTAGAGACAGGGTTTCACCACATTGCCCAGGCTGGTCTTGACTCAGGCAATCTTCCGGCCTCGGCCTCCCAAAGTGCTGGGATTACAGATGTGAGCCACCGTGCCCGGCCTGATTCTATGTTTAATTTCTTTAAGGAACCAGTGTACCCTTTTCCATAGCAGCGGCACCATTTTATATTCCCACCATCACTGCACCGGAATTTCGATTCTTCCCCATCCTTGCCTTGTGGCGTACACATCCCGCACCCCAACACCTTCTTGGTGTCTGCTTCCAGAGCACCCCACTGGGTGACCGTCAAGCTCCACAGCTGAGTTTCTGACCACTGTGCTTCCCAGATTCCCTCCTGAATGCTCCATCTTCCGAATGCCTTTGGGCCACAGATGGCCCGGGAAGGAGGCTTTCTGCTAGCATAAGTCACTGTAGTACAGTGTACATAGCAGATATCCAGGTCCTGGGAGCATCCTTTCCCTAGTTCTTTCTTTTTTTTTTTTTTTCCTGAGATGGATTCCACTCTTGCCACCCAGGCTAGAGTGCAGTGGCGTGATCTCTGCTCACCACAACCTCCGCCTCCTGGGTTCAAGCGATTCTCCCACCTCAGCCTCCCAAGTAACTGGGATTACAGGCATGCGCCACCATGCCCAGCTAATTTTTTTTTTAGTATTTTTTTTTTTAGTAGAGACGGAGTTTCTTCAAGTTGGTCAGGCTGGTCTTGAACTCCCGACCTTAGGTGATCTGCCCGCCTTGGCTTCCCAAAGTGCTGGGATTACAGGCATGAGCCAACGCGCCCAGCCTTCTTTCCCTAATTCTTGGTCAACCATCCCCACTCACTTTCCACAACCTGACTCAAGCCCTGCCATTCTTCTCAGCTCCCAAGACCTCCCACCCCTGCCTGAGACACACCAGCTGGTGGCCTTCCTCGCTCCCAAGAGGAAGAGCAGTCATGCGGTCCATTACCCGCCTTCCCAGTCTTTACCCGGAACTCCATCCGCACCCACCTCATGGCCTTCCTTCCTCCCTGTTCCCGGCTGTGATCAGCCCTTCCCCTCTATCCTGGGCCTGTCCCTTTGCAACTTCCAGGTTGGCATCCACCAGCCATTCTGTCTCTCCTGAGCCTCTCTGCTCCATTCCCCTGGCTGTGGACTCAGCCTTCTCAGATCCCAGCTCTTCCACATCCCGGCTGTGTGAGAGGCAGATGCACCTCTTCTGTAAAATGAGGAATAAAAAAAGAAATATGGGACCAGGCACAGTGCCTTATGCGTTAAGAGGCCAAGGCGGGAGGATTGCTTGAGCCCAGGAGTTTGAAACCAGCCTGGGCAACATAGTGAAAGCCCGTCTCTACTAAAAATATAAAAACTAGCTGGCCATGGTAGCGGGTGCCTGTAATCCCAGCTACTCGGGAGGCTGAGGCAGGAGAATCGTTTGAACCCAGGAGGCGGAGGTTGCAGTGAGCTGAGATCACACCACTGCACTCCAGCCTGGTGACAGAGCGAGACTCCATCTCAAAAAAAAAAAAGAATAAGAATAAATAAAATTAGCTGGGCATGGTGGCACATGCCTATAGTCCCAGCTACTCAGGAGGCTGAGGCAGGAGGATCGCTTGAGCCCAGGGGTTTAAGGATGCAGTGAGTCACGATCATGCCACTGCACTGCAGCCTGGGAGACAGAGTGAGACCCCATCTCAATAACAACAACATACAAACAAAAATGATGCCTCCGTATCCTTGTCACAAACAATTGGTGCTATTTTCTTAGTGCATAATTAACAAAATTCACCCATGCTTCCAGTTCACCAGATCAGTGGTGCCTGTACCATCCCACACAGAAGAAAATCTTATTTATTTTCTATCTTGATTTTTTTTTTTTAAGATGGAGTCTCACTCTGTCACCCAGGCTGGAGTGCAGTGGCATGATCTCAGCTCACTGCGACCTCTGCCTCCCGGGTTCAAGCGATTCTCCTTCCATAGCCTCCCAAGTATCTGGAACCAGGCAAGTGCCACCACACCTAGCTAATTTTTGTATTTTTATTAGAGACAGGGTTTCACCATGTTGGCCAGGCTGGTCTTAGAACTCCCGACCTCAAATAATCTGCTCACCTCGGCCTCCCAAAGTGCTAGGATTACAGGCGTGAGCCACCACAACAGACCTATTTTTAAATTGGGTGTAATTTACATGCAATAAGTTTATGTAAACTGTAAGCAGAAGGTTTGATGAGCCTTGATAGCATACACACCTTTTAACCATGACCCCTATCAAGATATAGAATATTTCTAAAAATAGTACTACCATTCCATCCAGCAATCCCACTACTGGGTATCTACCCAAAGGAAAAGAAATCAATATATCAAAAAGATACTTGCACCCATATGTTTATTGCAGCACCATTCACAATAGCAAAGACATGGAATCAACCTAAGTGTCCATCAATGGATGACTGAATAAAGAAAATGTGGTATACATACACCATAGAATACTGTTCAGCCATAAATAGTATAGTATTCTTTGCAAAATAATGAGATCATGTCTTTTGCAGGTTCATGGATGGAACTGTAGGCCATTCTCTCTCTCTCTTTCTTTCTTTTTTTTTTTTGAGACGGAGTCTGGCTCTGTCTCCCAGGCTGGAGTGCAGTGGCACAATCTCGGTTCACTGCAACCTCCGCCTCCGGGTTCAAGAGATTCTCCTGCTCAGCCTCCTGAGTAGCTGGGATTACAGGCACCCGCCACCACACCTGGCTAAATTTTGTATTTTTAGTAGAGACGGGGTTTCACCATGTTGGTCAGACTGGTCTCTAAGTCCTGACCTCATGATCTGCCCACCTCAGCCTCCCCGAGTGCTGGGATTACAGGCGTGAGCCACCGCGCCCGGCCCTGGAGGCCATTCTCTTATGTGAAACAAGCCAGACACAGACAGACAAATATCACATGTTCTTACTTATAAGTGGGAGCTAAACAATGTGTACACCTGGACGTAGAGACTGGGGTGATTGACAATAGAGACTCAAAAGGGTGGCGCAAGGCGGTGGGTGATGAGAAAATACATAATGTATATGATGTACATTATTTGGTAACGGATATCCTAAAAGCCCTGACTTTACCACTAGGAGCACAACTATGCATATCACAAAATGGCAAGGCTGAACGTGGTGACTCAGGCCTGTAATCCCAGCACTTCAGGAGGCCGAGGCAGGCTGATGGCTTGAGATCAGAAGTTGGAGACCAGCCTGGGCGAGTCCCCATCTCTACAAAAACTACAAAACTTAGCCAGGCGTGGTGGCACATGGCTGTGTTCCACCTACTCAGGAGGCTGAGGTTGGGAGGATCGCTTGAACCCAGGAGGTGGAGATTGCAGGGAGACAAGATGGCACCACTGCACTCCAGCCTGGGTGATAGAGTGAGATCCTGTCTCAGAATCAAAAATAGCACTTGTACCCCATACATTTACATATATTTTAAAAAAACGCTATATGTGTAAACTTGTTTTTTAAAAAGATGTGAAATATTGGCCAGGCACAGTGGCTCACGCCTGTAATCCTACCACTTTGGGAGGCTGAGAGAGGTGGATCACCTGAGGTCAGGAGTTTGATACCAGCCTAGCCAACATGGTGAAACCCGGTCTCTACTAAAAATACAAAAAAGCTAGCCAGGCAGCAGCTGTAAACTCAGGAGGCTGAGGCAGGAGAATCGCTTGAACCTGGGAGGTGGAGGTTGCAGAGAGCCGAGATCGCTCCACTGCACTCCAGCCTGGGCGACAGAGCAAGACTCTGCTTCAAAAATAAATAATAAAAAAAAAGATGCGGAGTATTTCCATTACCCCAAAAATCTTCCTCATGTCTCTTCCCTGTCTGTTGGGGTCCCCAACATCCAGAGGTAACTGTGATTCTCCATCATGTTAAACTCCTTTGATCTCTTAGAGGACTTTATAGAAATGGAATCTTGTGGTCTGGTACGGGTTGAGCTCCCTTTGCTCAACATAACGTCGGTAGCATTCAGCAGTATTGCTGAGGGGACAGAGGGTCATGTTCACAGCAGCACTATTCACAATAGCCAAGAGGTAAAAGCAACCCAAGTGTCCATCAATAGATGAATAGGTAAACACAATGTGGTATATCCATACAGTGGAAAATTATTTAGCCATTAAAAGGAAGGAAATCCCGACACATGGTAAAACATGGATGAACCTTGAGGACATTATGCTCAATGAAAAGAGCAATTAGCCAGTCTCAACAAATCCTGTCTTTTTTTTTTTTCATAGACTGAGTCTCACTCTGTCACCCAGGCTGGAGTGCAATGGCGCCATCTCGGCTCACTGCAACCTCTGCCTCCCGGGTTCAAGTGATTCTCCTGCCTCAGCCTCCCGAGTAGCTGGGATTACAGGTGCATGCCACCACGCCCAGCTAATTTTTGTATTTTTAGTAGAGACGGGGTTTCACCATCTTGGCCAGGCTGGTCTCCAACTCCTGACCTCGTGATCCACCCGCCTTGGCCTCCCAAAGTGCTGAGATTACAGGCGTGAGCCACTGCGCCCGGCCGGTCATGGCTTTTTATTGCTGTGTTCACAGCTCTGTCATCTTTCTGGCGCATTAGGCTTCCTGCAAGGCTTGGACTTCCAGCCTTGGCTCCTCTGCTCCAGTGCTGTGGACACGGACCAAGGAGTGCTCTCCTAGGAATGATCATGTCTCACCAGTGCCCTGGTGAAGAACCTTGCGCAGAGCCATCCATGACCAACTGTGGCATTTCCCGAGGTGCTGGGCATGGATTACTGTTAGTAAGATAAGTGACTCGAGGTGGCATAAAGGCGTGATGATGTCCTTTCACACAGCGAGGACGTGATTGCCTCTTAAATTCTCTCGGTTGACTCTGGGAATACGTCTCTATTTGGTGTTACTCCGGCTTTTCTTGTTTTGTTGTGGTAAAAAACATATAAAATTTACCATCCTAACTTTTTTTTTTTTTGAGATGGAGTCTCACTCTGTCACCCAGGTTGCAGTGCAGTGCACGATCTCAGCTCACTGCAACCTCCCGAATTCAAGAATTTCTCCTGCCTCAGCCTCCTGAGTAGCTGGGATTACAGGAATCTGCCACCATGCCTTGCTAATTTTTGTATTTTTAGTAGAGACGGGATTTCACCATGTTGGCCAGGCTGGTATTGAACTCCTGACCTCAAATGATCCTCCTGCCTCAGCCTCCCAAACTGCTGGGATCACAGGTGCCCACCACCACAGCCAGTTATTTTTTGTATATTTAGTAGAGGCAGGGTTTCACCATGTTGGCCAGGCTGGTCTCAAACTCCTGACCTCAAGTGATCCACCCACCTCAGCCTCCCAAAGTGCTGGGATTACAGCAGGCATGAGCCACAGCACCCGGCCATCCTAACCATCTTTTTTTTTTTTTTTTTTTTGAGTTGGAGTCTTGCTCTGTCACCCAGTCTGGAGTGCAGTGGTGCGATCTCAGCTCACTGCAACCTCTACCTCCCGGGTTCAAGCGATTCTCCTCCCTCAGCTTCCCAAGTAGCTGGGACTACAGGTGTGCACCACCATGCCCAGCTAATTTTTGTATTTTTTAGTAGACATGGGGTTTCACTACATGTTGCCCAGGCTGGTCTCGAGCTCCTGACCTCAGGTGATCTGCCTGCCTCGGCCTCCCAAAGTACTGAGATTATAGTCATGAGCACCACGCCCAGCCATCCTAATCATTGTGTGTGTGTTTGTGTGTATGTGTGTGTGACAAAGTTTTGCCCTTGTTGCCCAGGCTGGAGTGCCATGGCGCGATCTTGGCTCGCTGCAACCTCCACCTCCCGGGTTCAAGGGATTCTCCTGCGTCTGCCTCCTGAGTAGCTAGGATTACAGGCACCCGCCACCATGCCCAGCTATTTTTTGTATTTTTAGTAGAGACAGGTTTTCACCATGTTGGCCAGGCTGGTCTCGATCTCCTGACATCAGGTGATCCACACACCTTGGCCTCCCAAAGTGCTGGGATTATAGGTGTGAGGCACCGCGCCCGGCCATCCTGACCATTTTTAAGTGCATAGCTGAGTGGCATTGAATACATTCACCTGGTTGAGTGACCATCACCACCATCCATCTCCAGAACTTTCACACCTTCCCAAACTGAAACTCTTCCCATGAAACATTCACTCCCCACCCCCACTCCCCAGCCCCTGGCACCCTCTATCCTACTTTCTCTCTCTATGAATCTGACAACTCTAGGAATCTCATATGAGTGGGATGATACAGGATTTGTCCTTTGGAGACTGGCTAATTTCACTGAGCTATGACGTCCTCAAGATTTATCCACATTGTAGCATGTGTCAGAATTTCTTTCTTTTTTATGGCTAAATAATATTCCACTGTATGGATATACCACGTTGTTTTTATCCATTCATCTGTTGATGGACACTTGGGTTGCTTCCACCTCTTGGCTGTTGTGAATAGTGCTGCTATGAACATGGGTGTGCAAATATCTCTTTGATAGTCTAATTTAAACTCCTTGGGATATATACACATAAGTGGGATTGCTGGATCATAGGATGATTCTATTTACTTTTTTGAGGAAACGCCATACTGTTTTGCACAGTGGCTGCACCATTTTGCATTCCCACCAATAATGGGAATTTCCAACTTCTTCACATCTTCCCCCACACTTCTTATTTTCTAATATATATCATATATATATAATCATATATACAGTGTTATTATATTAGCATATTCGATCATATATAGTGTTATTAGTCACATAGATTATATATATATTTTTTATTTGTGTAAATTTACTGGGTACAAGTGCTATCTTTGTTTTTGTTTTCATTTTTATTTTGAGATGGAGTCTCACTCTGTCACCCAGGCTGGAGTGCAGTGGCATGATCTCGACTGACTGCAACCTCCACATCCAGGGTTCAAGCAATCCTCCCAACCTCAGCACCACGAGTAGCTAGGATTGCAGGCATGTGCCACCATGCCTGGCTAATTTTGTATTTTTAGTAGAGACAGGGTTTCACCATGTTGGCCAGGCTGGTCTCGAACTCCTGACCTCAGGTGATCTGCCTGCCTTAGCCTCCCAAAGTGCTGGGATTACAGGCATGAGCCATCATGCTTGGCCTCCTTTTTGTTTTTGAGACAAGGTCTGGTTCTATCGCTCAGGGTGGAGTGCAGTGGCGTGATCTCAGCTCCCTGCAACCTCCGCCTTCTGGGTTCAAGTGATCCTCCCAACCTTGGCCTCCTGACTAGCTGGGACATAGGCATGTGCCACCAAGCCTGGCTAAGTTTTGTATTTTTTGTAAAGAAGGGGTCCCGCTATGTTGCCCAGGCTAGTCTTGAACTCCTGAGCTCTGATATATACCATACATATATGATATATAATATATATCAGCATATATATTTACGAGGATATATATATGCATGTATATGTGTGTGTGAGGCAATATATCATTGCATTTCCCTAATGACTAATGATGTCGAGCATCTTTTTCATGTCCTTATTGGCCATTTATACATCTTCTTTGGAGAAATGTCTATTCAAGTCCTTTGCCCAGTTTTTAGTTGGATTATTGGATTTTTGTTGTTGAATTGCAGAAGGTATCCTTATGTATTATGGATACCAACCCCTCATCAGGTATATATTTGCGAATGTTTTCTCTCATTCTGTAGGTTGCCTTTTCGCTTTGTTGATTGTGTCCTTTGACACACAAAAAATTTTAAGTTTGAAGTAATCCCATTTGTCTATTTTTGGCTTTTATTGCCCATACTTTTGTGTCATATTCTTTTTTTAATTAATTAATTTATTTTTTGAGACAGGGTCTCACTCTGTCGCCCAGGCTGGAGTGCAGTGGTGCAGTCTCGTCTCACTGCAACCTCTGCCTCCTGGATTCAAGCAATTCTCCTGCCTCAGCCTCCCAAGTAGCTGGGACTACAGGCATACGCCACCACGCTCAGCTAATTTTTTTGTATTTTTAGTAGAGACGGGGTTTCACGAACTCCTGGCCTCAAGTGATCCACCCACCTTGGCCTCCCAGAGTGCTGGGATTACAGGCGTGAGCCACCATGCCCAGCCATTTTGTGTCATATTCAATAAACCATTGCAGAAGTGAACAGAACAAACTTTTTTCAGCCTCCTAACTTTTCTATGTGCTGCTCTTCTCCCTAAAAGGTCTCTTCTTTGGCCCAGCTAACTCTTATTTGTCTATTAATGCTAACTTCTTGTGGGAAGACTTCCCTGACTATCCCTGGGCCCAAACCTTGGGTGTACACCCAGAGGAATAGAAATCATTCTATCATAAAGATACACGGAAGTGTATGTTCATTATAGCACTATTCACGATAGCAAAGACATGGAATCAACATAAATGCCCATCAACGATAGACTGGATAAAGAAAATATGGTATATGGCCGGGCACGGTGGCTCATGCCTATAATCCTAGCACTTTGAGAGGCCAAGACGGGCGGATCACCTGAGGTCAGGAGTTTGAGACAAGCCTGGCCAACATGGTAAAACCCTGTCTCTACTAAAAATACAAAAATTAGCCAGGCATGGTGGTGGGCACCTGTAATCCCAGCTGCTCAGGAGGCTGAGGTGAGATAATCGCTTGAACCTGGGAGGTGGATGTTGCAGTGAGCTGAGATCACACCATTGCACTCTAGCCTGGGCGACAAAGTGAGACTGTGTCTCAAAAAAAAAAAAAAAAATCATAATAATCCATATAACAAACTCCCATGACACAAGTTTACCTATATAACGAATCTGCACATTTTCCCCTGAACTTAAAAGTTAATTTTTTTTTTTTGAGATGGAGTCTCGTTCTGTCACCCAGGCTGGAGTGCGGTGGTGGGGTCTCGACTCACTGCAAGCTCCGCCTCCCGGGTTTAAGCGATTTTCCTGCCTCAGCCTCCCAAGTAGCTGAGATTACAGGCACCTGCCGCTATGCCCGGCTAATTTTTTGTATTTTTAGTAGAGACGCGGTTTCACCATGTTGGCCAGGCTAGTCTCAAACCCCTGACCTCGTGATCCACCCGCCTCGGCCTCCCAAAGCGCTGGGATTGCAGGCGTGAGCCACCGCACCCGGCCAAAAGTTAAAATTTTAAAAAAAGAAAAACAACAGCCAGGGGTTATGTCTCGAGACCATCCACAGGGGGATAAAAAAATGTCTTCTCTAAATTGCAACAAAAAATAGACAATCATGAACAACCCCAGTCATAAAATCATCATCTCCGTGATCACCACCAGACCATCAGCAGCCAACCAACCCCCTAAAACAGCTCCGGCTTTACAGTTCTTGGGTCTGTCTGAGAGAGACCTCAATGCATGCATGTTCCAAACCAAGAGAACCCGAAGGTCACTTCTGAAGTCACATCCTCTATCCACCCGCCAGGCAAGGCCAAAACAAACAGGAGCTGATAAGCCGGCTCTATTCTGAGTAGAGAAGGGTCAGCTTATCACCCAGCCGGCCCTGCCCTAAATGGAAAGACACGTCCCTCTCCTTGGCCCAGAGACGGGAATGTGTTCAACAGCACAGAAAAATAAAAAAATGAAAGAAAGAAATAAAATGACTCCAAGTAGAGTTCATTCCGTTAGAATGGAGTTATCCAGCCTCAGCACTGTGGATACTTGGGACTGCATAATTCTTTGCATAGGGACCATTCTATGTGCATGGGAGGACATTGAATGGCACCCCGGCCTCTACCATCCCGATTCCGATAGCAGCTACACCCCAGTTGTGACAGAGTCTCGCTCTGTCTCCAGGCTGGAGTGCAGTGGTGCGATCTCGGCTCACTGCAACCTCCACCTCCTAGGTTCAAGTGATTCTCCTGCCTCAGCCTCCCGAGTAGCTGGGATTACAGGCACGTGCCACCATGCCCAGCTCGAGAGCAGCCTGGCCAACACGGTGAAACCCCGCCTCTACTAAAAATACAAAAGTTATCTGGGCATGGTGGCGGGCGCCTTCATCCCAGCTACTTGGAGGCTGACGAACTAGAGATTCGTCATACTTTTTTGACTTTTACCCATTAATAGATCTTGCTCATTTTTCAGGAAAAGCATAGAAAACAAGACTTAGAGTGTTACTTTTAAAAATGGTATATTATTATTATTATTATTATTATTATGTAAATTACTTTTTTTGAGACAGGGTCTTGCTCTTTTGCCCAGGCTGGAGTACAGTGGTGCCATCTCGGCTCACTGCAACCTCCGCCTCCTGGGCTCAAATGATTCTCCTGCCTCACCCTCCCAAGTAGCTGGGATGACAGGCGCCCGCCACCATGCCCAGATAACTTTTGTATTTTTAGTAGAGGCGGGGTTTCACCGTGTTGGCCAGGCTGCTCTCGAGCTGGGCATGGTGGCACGTGCCTGTAATCCCAGCTACTCGGGAGGGTGAGGCAGGAGAATCATTTGAGCCCAGGAGGCGGAGGTTGCAGTGAGCCGAGATGGCACCACTGTACTCCAGCCTGGGCAAAAGAGCAAGACCCTGTCTCAAAAAAAGTAATTTACATAATAATAATAATAATAATAATAATATACCATTTTTTAAAAGTAACACTCTAAGTCTTGTTTTCTATGCAATGACATGGAAAAATGAGCAAGATCTATTAATGGGTTAAAAGTGCAAAAAAGTATAAAGCGTGATCCCATTTTCACAAAATGTGGGTATTATATATTTATTTGGGTGTAGATAAAGAACATAAGGCAATACATATGTAGTTGTCTGTGTGTGTGTTTATAGCATTCTAGGAGGATATACAAATATTCATAGTGGTTGAGATCACTACAGGAGACTTCCACGTTCTACATTTTTGTGTCATTTCTTTTTAAAATGTGTATTGCTAAGGCTGGGCATGGTGGCTTGCACCTGTAATCCTAACGCTTGGGGTGGTCGAGGTGGGCAGATCACGTGAGGCCAGGAGTTTGAGACCAGCCTGGCCAACATGGTGAAACCCTAACTCTACTAACAATACAGAAATTAGCCGGGTGTGGTGGCAGGTGCCTGTAATCCCAACTACTCGCGAGGCTGAGGCATGAGAATCACTTGAACCCAGGAGGCGGAGGTTGCGGTGAGCCGAGATCACACCACTGCACTCCAGCCTGGGCGACAGAGCGAGACTCTGTCTCAAAATATGTGTGTGTGTGTGTGTGTGTGTGTGTGTGTGTGTATAATGTGTATATATATAATGTATATATCTATATAGTATTGCTTTTTTCAATACAGCAATTTTTTAAATTTTTACTTGTGGCAAATCACACATAACATAAAATGTATCATTGTAACTATTATTCAGTGCACAGTTCAGTGGCACTAAGTGCATTCACATGGCTGTCCAGCCATCACCACTATCATCTCCAGAACGTTCTCATCTTCCCAAACTGAAACTCTGTCTCCATGAGACACTCACTCCCCATCCCCCCTCCCCAGCCCCTGGCACCCACTGTCCTACTTTCTATCTCCATGAATCTGATGACTCTAGGGACCTCATGTAAGTGGAGGAAGGGGATATTTGAAAAACCTCAGAATCATCATTAGTGATTTGCGGGTTCCAGCTATACACGGGAGATCTCAGAGAGGCAAACTAATCCTATGGAATAAAGGAGTGCCCCTTTCCATCTTCTAGAGAGATGGGAACCAGGGATGAAGATTCCAAGAATCCCGACAGAGGCCAGAAACAATGGTCATGTTCCTGAATTGATTGTTTCTTGCTTTTTGGGAAGGGAGGATGAAAGAAACCAGGCCCACCATGCCCCAGAGCCCAGGCCAATTTAGGATAGGAGTGCAGCTTCCACATGGAATCTTGGCACAATCTGGACATCCTGGGGTCCAAACCCTCTTTGTGGGCAGGGAATCAGAGGCACTGTCCCAGTTGGCATGGGGTTGGGGTGCTCTCGAGCAGCCAGAGAGACCTGGACAAGGTTTCCTGGCCAGGCATGGTGACTCACACCTGTAATCCCAGCACTTTGGGAGGCCGAGGCGGGTGGATGACTTGAGGTCAGGAGTTCGAGACCAGCCTGGCCAACATAGTGAAACCCCATCTCTACTAAAAATACAAAACATTAACCGAGTGTGGTGGTGGGCGCCTGTAATCCCAGCTACCCAAGAGGCTGAGGCAGAAGCATTGCTTGAGCCCAGGAGGTGGAGGTTGCAGTGAGCTGAGATCGCGCCACTGCACTCCAGCCTGGGTGACAAAGTGAGACTCCATCACACACACACACACACACACACAAAAAGGTTTTCTCTCTCTGAGCCTCAGTTTCAACATCTGTAAAATGGCAGTATCCTAACAGGGCCCACAAAACCACAATCTATAAAAGACTGATAATTGGCTTTCACCAAAATTCAAACTCATGCTATTCAAAAGATACCAGTGGGAAAATGAAAAAGCAAGCACAGATCGAGAAAAAATATTTGCAAAGCATGTATCCCCACAAAGGGCATGGATATTAAACACGTAAAGAACTCTTACAACTCAACAGTAAGAGGACAAATCTGGCCAGGCGTGGTGGGTCACGTCTGTAATCCCAGCACTTCAGGAGGCAGAGGTGGGAGGAACGTTTTAGCTCAGGGGTTCAAGACCAGCCAGGACAACATAACAAGACCTCATCTCTACCTCGCTCTGTCTCCAGGCTGGAGTGCAGTGGTGTGAACTTGGCTCACCACAACCTCCACCTCCTGGGTTCAAGCAATTCTCCTAACATTTAAAAAAAAATTGTTTTTAATTAGCCAGGTGTAGTAGTGCATGCCTGTAGTGCCAGCTACTCAGAAGGCTGAGGCAGGGGGATCCCTTGAGCCCAGGAGGTCGAGGCTGCCATGAGCTGTGATTGTGCCACTGCACTCCAGCCTAGGGGACAGAGCAAGACCCTGTCTCAAAAAGAAGAGGAAGAAGAAGAGGAAGAGGGACAGGAACAGGAACAGGAAGAGGAGGAGGAGGAGGAGAACAAATCTAATATTGTTGACAATCTAGTTTTTTTTAACGTGCAAAAGATTTGAACAGGCACTTCCCCAACGAAGATATAGAGATGGCAAATAAACACCCGAAAAGGTGTTTACCATCATTATTCATTAAGAAAAAACAAATTAAACCCACAATTGAGATACCACTATAAGCCTACTAGAATGGCTAAGACTAAAAATAACACTATCAACTGCTGTCAAGGATGTGGAGAAACTGGAACTCCCATACACAGCTAAGGGGAATGTACAATGATACAACCACTTTGGAAGCACTTTGGTGGTTTCTTGAGAAGTTACACACACACTTACTGTACAAATCAACCATTCCAATCTTGATTGTCGACCTATGACAGGTAAAAGTATATATCCATACAAAGATTTGCAGGTGAATACTCATAGCTCCATTTATATTCACCAACAAATAAAAGCAAATCCAATGTCCATCAACAGGAGAATAAATAAACATACTATGGTATATTTGAACAATGGAACATTATTACTTAACCATTAAAAAAGAGAATAGGCCAGGCATGGTGGCTCATGCCTGTAATCGCAGCACTTTGGGAGGCCAAGGCGGGCAGATCACTTGAGGTCAGGAGTTCAAGACCAGCCTGTTCAACATAGTGAAACCCTGTCTCTATTAAAGATACAAAAATTAGCCAGACTTGGTGGCATGCCCTTAGTCCCAGCTACTCAGGAGGCTGAGGCAGAAGAATTGCTTAAACCTGGGAGGTGGAGGTTGCAGTGAGCCAAGATCGTGCCACTGCACTCCAGCCCGGGCAACACAGTGAGACCCTGCTTCAAAAAATATGTATATATAAATTAAAAAAAGAGAACAAACTATGGACACCAACAACAGCATGGATAAATCTCAAAATCACTATGTTGAGTGAGCATACTGTATGCTCAGACAAAAATTAGCACATGCACCTTGATTCTATTTATATGAAATACTAGAAAATGCAGGCTGAAATGTAATGGCACGATCTTGGCTCACTATCACCTCCGCCTCCCGGGTTCAAGCGATTCTCTTGCCTCAGCCTCTTGAGTACCTGGGATTACAGGCATGCACCACCACAACTGGCTAATTTTTGTATCTTTAGTAGAGACGGGACTTCACCATGTTGCCCAGGCTGGTCTCAAACCCCTGAACTCAGGTGATCCGCCCGCCTCGGCCTCCCAGAGTGCTGGGATTACAGGCATGAGCCACCGCTCCCAGCCTGGTTCACTTCTCTCCAAATCCTTCATGTCCCACCTGTACCAACCTGAGGCAGCTGCCTCCTCCTTGATGGCCTAGTGTCCACTCCTGCCCCCTAGAGTCCATTCTCATCACTACAGCCACGGAATTCTCTTTGTTTTAAGTACATAATAATCCATGGGGTGCTCCTCCCATTACTGGGCTGGGAAAGCCAGGTCCTGGAGTTGGCGCTAGAAAATGGTCCCTGCCCTCTTGGAGGTTACGGTTGAATCAAACAACTACACAAATAAATATACTCTTACAAATGGAAGTCTGTACCATTCACTGGTACATTCGACCCTATCATACTGGTGCTTCTTTCTAAAACTCAGCTGGCACTCCAGTTCTCTTTTGAGTAGAAAATAAAAAAGAAAACAATTTTTAAATAAAGTAAAACACAGCTGGTCTTTCATTCCTCTGCCACTGTCAGCTATTTCAACCAAAAAGAACCTCTCCTCCTGGAAAACTCTTATTCACCCGTCAAAACCCAGCTTAAAGTTTACTTCCCTTGACCCACTTTTCTACTACATCTCAGAAAATGAGATCTTCCTTTCACTGTGATACTATGGAAGTCAATAAACCTCTGAAGCATTCAACTCAAGAAGTCCTAGAGAAATAAGCTGAGAAAGGAATTTGTCCTGGGTAACAAAAGTGGAACTTTATCCATTAAAACACATAAAAACGCTAGAATAAAGAAAAAAATTTGGGAAATAGAATTTGTTTTCTTTTTCTGTTTCTTGAATAAACTCTAGCCAGTTTATTCAAGAAACAGAAAAAGAAAACAAATTCAATTTGCCACAACAGAAAGGTGGCTATAAACGCAGATTTAGAGTTTTTTAAAATAAAAGAGTATGATATACAACTCTATGCTGAAATTTAAAAAATCTCAATGAAACTGAGCTTTCTGTAAACATGTAAATTATCAAAATTAATTCAAGAAGGAATAGAGGTACTGAATGCATAACTAAATAATGACGAAAGAAACTAAAGATATTATGAAAAATAACCTCCAAAAAGGTCAATCCCAAATGGTTTATGGAATCATTTAACCTTCAAAAGTTCAAGAAATAGATAAAGATTTCTAAGGTTTATGGACTCATTAAACTTCAAAAGTTCAAGAAATAGATAAAGATTCCTAAAATAGATGAGAAATTTCCTAATCATTCTATAAACAGCTCAATCCTGGTACAAAACCTGACTATCTACCAAAAAATTTTTAAGACCAAGTTCTCTGTCTCTCTTTCTGTCTCTCTCTCTCATAGATACACACACACACACACACACACACACACACACACACGCAGCTAATTAAATAAAACTAGGTTCACTAACTCTTTTTTTTTGAAACGGGATCTCACTCTGCTGCTGAGGCTGGAGTGCAGTGGTTCGATCGTAGCTCATAGCAGCCTCCACCTCCCGGGCTCAAGCGATCCTCCCACATCAGCCTCCCAAGTAACTGGGACTACGGGCACACACCACCATGCCCGGCTAAGGTTCACAGACTCTTTTCGATAATTCTGAAAACCTAAATGCTCTGGGCACAACAAATATTTGGCATAAATTTGGCACCAAAACTAAGTTGGTAACCAACTTCACTAAAAGTGATATTGTCTATTTATATTATTTATGACACCTATATGAATATTCATGGATTTTCTCTGCTGAAATATTAATGTGCTTGATTATGAGGTCCCCCTATATACACCATAAGTGGTGTTAGGTAGTAACACACTATATGCACTCTATTGAATATATGTGTGTATTAAAATAATAAATGATATATAATTAATAAATTATAATAAATAATTAAGAAAAATAATTAACAAAAATTATTAATAAATAATAAAACTACATCCGAGTTTATGGCCACCTTTCTGTTGTTTAGATAATTGAATTTTTCTTTTTCTGTTTCTTGAATAGACTTTATTTAAGACCCTAGAGGTCTATACCAGGAACACATGTATGAATCAATGTAGGCAGCAATGTGTTGGAACTGGCTCAGAATGGGTCACACTGGCCAATGGGCAGCATCTCTTCCCAACCTACCCTTAGTGCCATCATCTTGGGTAGCTTGAATCACCCACAGTGGAAGTATTTACACCACTGGAATTGGCAAATGCTACAAATTTGGAACTCTCTTTTTTTCCATTGGCCAGCACCTTCTTAACACTGGGAAATCTTTTAAATAAAACTCACTGTCTGTAGGTAAAAGAAAAAAAAATAGTGCTTGTTCATCTCCAAAGAAGTCAAACAGTTGTTAGATAAAATCTCTTTTTTTTTTTTTTTTGAGATGAAGTCTCACTCTGTTGCCCAGGCTGGAGTGTAATGGTACCATCTCGGCTCACTGCAAACTCCACCTTCTGGATTCAAGCGATTCTTGTGCCTCAACCTCCCAAGTAGCTGGGATTACAGGCGCGTGCTACCACGCCTGGCTAATTTTTTTTTTTTTTTAGTACAGACAGGGTTTTGCCATGTTGGCCAGGCTGGTCTCAAACTCCTGACCTTATGATCCGCCCACCTCGGCCTCCCAAAGTGCTGAGATTATAGGCATGAGCCACACTGCTCAGCCATTGTTTGATAAAATCTTTATCCATTTCTGATATAAAAGTTTAGTAAATTAGTAGTGGGAGGATATTTTTATTGTCTAGTGGGGGCAGTATAGCCCAGGTAAACACCGGAGTTCTATTGCCTGTGTTTAAATTCTGATTCTTCCACTTTCTGGTTTTTCATGGGTTCTCTGAGCCTATGCTTTCTCCTATGCACATGAAATAATATTAGTACCTACCTCTGAAGGCTATCTGCAGGAATTAAGTGAAATAATTTCTGTAAAGTGCTTAGAAAAATGCCTGACGAATATTAATAGTAAGAACCTAGTAAATGGTAGCTAGTGCTATGAATTGTTAAATATAGGAAAAGATTATATTTTCTGGATAATAAGTGGTTCTACCTCAATCACTGCATCATGTTTAACAAGGAGTCCGTGTGCAGTGGCTCATGCCTATAATCCCAGTACGTTGGGAGGCTGAGGCGGGCAGACTGCTTGAGGTCAGGAATTCGAGACCTGCCTGGGCAACATGGCGAAACCCTGTCTCTACTAAAAATACAAAAATTAGCCGGGAGTGGTGGTGTGTACCTGTAGTCACAGCTACTTGGGAGGCTGAGGCAGGAGAATGTTTTGAACTGGGGAGATGGAGGCTGCAGTGAGCTGAGATCATGCCGCTGCACTCCAGCCTGGGTGACAGACCGACACTACATCTCAAAAAAATAAAAATAAAAATAAATAACAAGGGGGCTGGGTGTGGTGGCTCACGCCTGTAATCCCAGCACTTTGGGAGGCTGAGGTGGGCAGATCTCTTGAAGTCAGGAGTTTGAGACCAGCCTGGCCAACATAGTAAAACCCCGTCTCTACTAAAAATATAAAAAAAATTAGCCAGGCATGGTGGTATGCGCCTGTAATCCCAGCTACTCAGGAGGCTGAGGCTGGAGAACCACTTGAACCCAGTAGGTGGAGGTTGCAGTGAACCAAGATCATGCCACTCCACTCCAGCCTGGGTGACAAAGCGACACTCTGTCTTAAAAAAATAATAATAAAAATAAATAACAAGGAAACACAAGCTTTCTTGTTACAATTAGGGAAGTAATATGTTGTCATTATTAGAATTTCTGATTTCATCAGTTAACATTTAGATGTCCTGACCAGCATGGTATAGCACACACACACAAAAAGAAATAGTAGTACTAAGAGAAAAGGGCCTCAGATAATTTTTATTTACCGATAATTAACCTATTTGCCCTAGAAAACCTAGCTGAAAAACTATTCAAGTTAACAGGAATTTAGAAAGACAACAAGGTACAAAATACTTAAATATTAATAGCTTTCTGATAGACTACCCATAATCAGAAAATATAATGGGGAAATGAACTATTTTATAATAGCAGCCCAAAATATGTATAAACTAGGAATAGAATTGATAATAATTGTATAAGACTTATATGAATGAAATCACAAAATTTTAAGGAATCTAAGAAACTAAACAAATAAATATTCCTGGTTGGGAAGAATATTTTGAAGCTATCACTATGATACAGACAAGAAGAGAGAGAGATTAAAAAGAAAAGAACAGAAAATCCTTAAGCAGACCCTAATATGGATAACTATTTGTATTTATAAATGAACAACTTTAAATCAGAATGCAAATAGCTACTTATTCAATAAATGGGTCTTGGACAACTGAGTAAACATTTGGAAGAAAATAACTTTGACCTTCATGTCAACCCATACAACCAAATAAATACTATATGGATAAAAAAAAAAAGTTAAGTGTAGAAAATTTCCAAAAACACGCTGCTAAAAGAATACTTACCAACGGTATAAATCACAAAGGAATAGGCTGATTAATTTGATTAGATAGAATTTTTAAGCTTCTAGGGGCCAGAAACCACGTTCAAAATGTTAGAAGAGAAAAACAAGAAAAGAATATTTGAAACATATTTGCCAAAGGACACTTTATATATAAGAAATCTTAGAAAGCAAGCTGGGAGCAGTGGTTCACACCTGTAATCCCAGCACTTTGGGAGGCCGAGGCAGGTGGATGACTTGAGGTCAGGAGTTCGAGACCAGCCTAGCCAACATGGTGAAACCCAATCTCTACTAAAAACACAAAAATTAGCCAGGCGTGATGGCTCGTGCCTGTAATTCCAGCTACTTGGGAGGCTGAGGCACGAGAATCACTCGAACCAGCCATTTCTTGTTTCCTCATTTCCAAACTCCACAAGCCTGAGACAGAAAAAGCATGCACTTTAGACTGACTACCTTGAGATTCAAATCTTGGCTCTTCCACTTTTCAGCTCTGTGACTGTGACTAGGAATCATGTTTCATCTCTCAGAGTCTCTGTTTCCTCATTGTGTTGTTGGAGGAATGATAGCAATGGATGAAATATTGAATCATGTGCCTGGACATAATTATTGCATTATTGTTGCTACTCCTACCTACCATCATAATCATCACCACCATCATTACTGTCACCATCACCATCTCCACCACTATAATCACCAACATCACCAACATCAATATCACCATCATTGTCATCACCATCATCACCATCACCATTGCCATCTCCATCATCATCATCACCATCATCATCACCACTGTCATCACCACCATCACCATTACCGTCACCATCACCATTTCCATCATTATAATCATCAACATCAATATCACCATCATTGTCATCACCATCATGATCACCACCATCATCACCACCATCATCACTATGATCACCATCATCATCTTCATTATCATCATCACCACCATCATCATATCACCATTATCATCTCCACTGCCATTATCACCATCGCCACAGTCAATATCATCATCATTGTCATCACCGCCATCATCATTACTATCACCGTCATCATCTCCATCACCATTATCACCAGCATCATCACCATCAACACCATCGTCATTATCACCATCATCATCACCACCATTATAATCATCATCAATATCACCATCACCATCATAATCACCATCATTATTACCACTGCCATTATCATAATCATTATCATCACTGTGGATTACTATCATCATCACCATCATTAACTTCATCATCACCATCATCACTATCATAATCATCAATATCATCACCATCACCATTATCACCATCACCACCACCAACATCATTATTATAATTATCATTCTTGTTGCTGTTATTATGTTCTGTCATTAAGTTCATAATGATCCAGTTTGTGATAAGATGACACACTAGTGTGGGCTGCTAGCTTACTCCCTACAAAACGAACACAGGAGAGAGAGGGAAGCAAGGCATTGAGGGATTAATATAAAAACCATGAGAAACCCTGCTGGTGAACAGGTGCATGTGTCTGGGGGGCCACAGTAGATCATAGGACAGGAGGGAGGTGGGAAAAAGGAGATTTACATTCCGTTTGTGCCTTTCCCCTTTATTGTCCTGGGAGGGTCAGTGTTTGTTCCATGTCTCAGGTGGGATTCTTTGGAAGCAGACACAGAAAAAGAGTTTTAGGTGCAAGATATTTATTAGAGGCCAACACCTATGAAAGGAAGGGAGAGGAAGCAGAATCATCAGAGAGGGAAATCACAGTGCATGGTAGATTCTCAACAAAGATGGTTGAACGAATAAATACTTGAACTAATGGAGTTATATGCCCAGAGTGGGGCAGTTAACTTCCATTTCTTCCTTCCATGAAGGTTTTTTTAGGTGTGCACTTAATAATAAATAATAGTGAATATCATTTGAGTGCACACACACCAGACACTGTTTTCTAAGTACTTTACATGGGTTTGCTCTGAAGTAGGAATGATTATCATTGGCCAGGCGCAGTGACTCACACCTGTAATCCCAGCTCTTTGGGAGGCCAAGGTGGGTGGATCACTTGAGTCCAGGAGTTCAAGACCAGCCTGGCCAACATGGTGAAAAAATACAAAAAAATAGCCAGGCAGGGTGGTACATGCCTGTAATCCCAGCTACTTGAGAGGCTGAGGCACAAGAATCGCTTAAACCCAGGGAGTGGAGTTTGCAGTGAGCCAAGGTCGAGCCACTGCACTCCAGCCTGGGCAACAGAGCGAGACTCTGTCTCAAAAAAAAAAAAAGGCTGGGTGCAGTGGCTCACGCCTATAATCCCAGCACTTTGGGAGGCCAAGAAGGGCAGATCACTTGAGGTCAGGAGTTCAAGACCAGCCTGGCCAACATGGTGAAACCCTGTCTCTACTAAAAATACAAAAATTTAGCTAGGCGTGGTGGCATATGCCTGTAATTCCAGCTACTCGGGAGGCTGAGGCGAATGGCATGAACCCGGGAGGCAGAGCTTGCAGTGAGCTGAGATCGCCCCACTGCACTCCAGCCTGGGCGACAGAGCGAGACTCCCTCTCAAAAAAAAAGAAAAAAAAGAAAGAAATTAGCCAGGCATGGTGGCTCATGCCTATAATCCCAGCTACTCAGGAGGCTGGGGCAGGAGAATCACTTGAACCTGGGAGGTGGAGGTTATAGTGAGCTGAGATCACGCCATTGCACTTCAGCCTGGGCAACAAGAGCCAGACTCTGTTTAAAAAAAAAAAAATATCATCATACCCAGTGAATACATCAGACAAAGGAGGCACAGATGTTAAGCAACTTTCCCACATGAGTGGTAAGTAGAGGAGCATGGAACGTGGCTGGAAATAAACTGGACAGGTTCCTGATTGTACAAGTTTCCGTTCCAGCTGCAGAGAGAGAACAATGAATAAATCCCAGTAACAATGAATAAAGTCAAGAAGTGTCATGAGAGTAGAATAAAGAAAGTAGAGGGGTGGGGGGCATGTGGAGGGAGGCCTGCCTGAGGTGACTTGTGACTTCAAGTCTAGAGAATGAGAAGGGGCCATCCGTGAAGATCCCGGAAGCAGAGGGGACCTGGAAGAGAGAACGCTGAGCAGAGAGAACAGCATGTGCAAAGTCCCGGAGGCTGGAGAGAGGTCTGTCTGAAGGACGAAAAGGCAGCCTGTGTGTTCGATTTGTTGGGAGGAAGATATAAAGCAGTGTTCATAACTTCTTAGTCCTGGGCCTGGCACTCAGCCCACACTGACTAAATGCAACAATTGTTACAACTTCATTCTAAGAGGTGGGCGCCTCCGTAGCTGCCCTCTGGGGCTAAGCTTTGGGAAGTCCCCTAGCCTTCGGATGTGAATCGTCTGCCGTGGGAACCTCTCCCAGGTCTGGCTCAGGAAAGCTTGGGAAGGTCCTAACCGGTCAGCGAGTCATTCTTTCTCACGTCCTCAAACACAGCCCTGGGGTCACCCCCACCTACCTTCCAGGAAGAGGGCTGGGGATTCAGCACCCCTCCCATTCTCCTAAGAAACCTCTGTCAGATGACAGCTGACTGCTTTTTTTTTTTTTTAAACACAATAGTCACATTGGAGAAGGGAAAAACTAAAAAAAAAGAAAGTGCTCAAAAGTCATTTTTATCCAAAATATTTGTATGTATTAACTATATATTTTATGCACACTGCAATGACTGCTGCTCAAGGCAGGGTTCTTAAGAAACTGAAGGGCCAGTCATGGTAGTTCACCACTGTAACCCCAGCACTTTGGGAGGCCGAGGCAGGTGGATCACTTGAGGTCAGGAGTTCAAGACCAGCCTGATCAACATGGTGAAACCCCGTCTCTACTAAAAATACAAAAATTAGCCAGGCGTGGTGGTGCGCACCTGTAATCCCAGCCACTAGGGAGGCTGAGGTGGGAGGATCGCTTGAGGCTGGGAGGCAGAGGCTGCAGTGAGCTGAGATCATGCTACTGCACTCCAGCCTGGGCAACAGAATGAGACCTTGTCTCAAAAAAAGAAAAAGAAAGAAAGAAAGAAACTGAGGCCATTTATATTTTAATGGATGTTTGTGCCTGCTAGGGGTAGAAACCCCTGAATGGTGGAGCGAAGGCATTTAAACTGAACTCCCCACTGTGGGAAGCATCACAAGACCCAAGTCCCGGGCTGTGAGGTTGGGGAAGGGCTATTCTGGTTGACCTGAAAATATGACTGCAATTTTGTCTGATTTTGTTAGGAAGTGGAATCTACCTCTCAGCCCTTGAATCTGGGTTGGTTTTGTGATTTTATGAATTGGTTTGACTGGTAGAACCTGTGTTGTATGAATGACAGCCTGGGAGATAGGAAAGGAGTGTTGGGGAGGGAGAGAGGCAGAGAGAGGGAGATAGATAGATAGAATTATAGATAGATGGATGCATAGATGATGATGATGATAGATAGATAGATAGATAGATAGATAGATAGATAGATAGATAGATAGATAGATAGATAGACAGACAGACAGACAGAGCCAGGCACAGTGGCTCAGGCCTGTAATCCTTTGGGAGGCAAAGGTGGGAGAATCCCTTGAGTCCAGGAGTTTGAGACCAGTCTGGGCAACATAGTGAGAACCTGTCCCTACAAAAAAATAAAAAATTAGCTGTGTGTGGTGGTATGCATCTGTGGTCTCAGCTACTTGAGAGGCTGAGGTGGGAGGATAACTTAAGCTTGAAAGGTTGAGGCTACACTAGGCTATGATGGCACCACTGCACTCAGCCTGGGCAAGACAGCGCAAGACCCTGTCTCAAAAAAAAAAATAGATACATACTACGTAGATAGATATATAGATAGTTAGAGTCGTAGGTAGATGGATGGATGGATGGATGGATGGATGGATGATGTATTCGTCCATTCTCATATTGCTATAAAGAAATACCTGAGACTGGGTAATTTATAAAGAAAAGAGGTTTAACTGGCTCACGGTTCTGCAGGCTGTACAGGAAGCAGGGTGCTGGCTTCTGGGGCGACCTCAGGGAACTTACAATCATGGCAGAAGGTGAAGAAGGAGCAGGCACGTCTTACATGGCAGGAACAGGAGCAAGAGAGAGTGAGGGGAGGGGAGAGGTGTCACACACTTTTAAATGACAGAGTCTCACGAGAACTTATTGTCACACTGTCACAAGAATAGCACAAAGGGGATGGTGTTAAAGCCAGAGATCCTCAACCTTTTTGGCACCAGGGACCAGTTTCATGGAAGACAGTTGGAAGGTGGCGGTTCCAGGATGATTCAAGAACATTACATTTACTGTGCACTATGATGCACTGTTGTTATATTATTACCACATTGTAATACATAATGAAATTATTATACAACTAGGCCGGACCCAAGGCGGCTCATGCCTGTAATCCCAGCACTGTGGGAGGCTGAGGCGGGCAGATCTCTTGAGGCCAGGAGTGTGAGACTAGCCTGGCCAACATGGTGAAACCCTGTTTCTACTAAAAAAAAAAAAAAAAAAAAAAAAAAAAAATTAGCCGGGCACAGTGGTGCAAGCCTACAGTCCTAGCTACCCAGGAGTTTGAGGCGGGAGAATCACTTGAACCCTGGAGGCGGAGGTGGCCGTGAGCTGAGATGGTGCCACTGCGCTCCAGCCTGGGTGACAGAGTGAGACGCTGTCTCAAAAATAAACGTATAAATAAAATAAAGACGACTCAGAAAACAAAATGGGGGAGGTATGGAGGGGAGCAGAGAGATAGAGAGAGGTGAAGTCCCTTGAGGGAGTACTGTTTGAGCAGACTAAAGGATAAAGAGCCAGATGTGCCTCCAGGGTGACATCCACACACCTGTCCAGATGACAAACACAGGTTCTCAGCCCCCACCGTCCACCTAGGATTCCTGAGCCCTCTCCTGCTGACACCTGGCAGGGTGCTGAGCCCATGAGCTCATGGGAAGAGAGGAGCCCATAGCCATGACCCCTTGCCCACCCGCTGGACACCCTGCCCTTCCTCTGGGGTTCCCAGATGCCCTGGCACAGTGCTACCTGGAGGAAAAGGAAGAGCGTCAGCCGGGGGCAGCCTCTGCCTTGCGGGCCAGCTGCTGGGATGGGAGACCTCCTTCCCAGCCCTCCCCCTTCCAGGGCAACCAGAGGAGCAGCTGGAAAGTTCCAGGCTCAGGAAATGCAAATAGATGAATGGAGGGAAGTGGACAGGGACACTACACCCATAGACTTGAGGCTGTCAGTCAAAAGTGCTGACCCTGGAGCCTGTCCCAGACCCTGTCCGCTGGGGAGTCAGGCTGAGAGCTGGGTGGCATTCTCGCTCCCCATCCACCCATATCTACACAAAGTCCAGCTCATTTTGCCTCTCGAATTCCCCCCCGAGTCACCCACTTTTCTCCCTCCTATGGCTGGGCCACTGTCCTGTCTTCCTGAATGACAGCATTGCCACCTTGCCAGCTTCCAGGATTATACCCTCTAACCATTCCTTCCATGCCCAGTTAAAGGGAGCTTTCTGAAACAAAGAGCAGACTTTGCCTCCCCTCCGCATAAAACTTCCCATGTCTCCCCATTGCCTTAGGGATAAAAGCTAAAGCTATGCCATTGGACCCAGACACAATGGCCTCTGTCTCTAGCTTCCCCCATTATAGCCACTTTCCCCTTTGGTTCTCCTTGCTGTGGATGAGTGCAATCACCTGTGGCCCTGTGCTTGTCCCAGGTCCTTCACATCCTTCAGGTATGTGCTGGGCACTGCTTCCTGAGGAAGCCTCCCTGGACTTCCAAGTCTGGGGCTCAGGGGCTGCTCACCTGGGCTCCAACTATCACACCTGCCATATTGCTTTGTGCTTACTGAATAATGCAGTGTGGGAAGGGAACTGCTGTGGCATGGCCCTGTGTGCCCTGATGAGTCTTCTGCAGGTGCAAGTGGTGAGCAGAGGTTGTCCACTGCACCATCTGTGTGAGTTCAGGTCACTGGCAGAGACAGGCAGGGTTAGCAATACGGGTGCCCGGCCCCTCGGCCAACGTGCCTAACACAGGTTCCCAGAGGCTGTGTCTCTCAACATGCCGTTAACAAAGCAGATGTTCTAAGGGGTTCTGCATGCTGCAGCCTCTGGGGGACAGTGTGTCACAGAGCCTTGCCTCACTGAGCCTCAGCTTCCTCATCTACAGAACGGGGCCAATAAAGCCAACAGGGCCTTCCTCCTTGGATGGTTGTGAAGATTGCATGAGATTAAATAAACTACATAGAAAGTGCTCAGAGAGGGGTGACCCCTCTTTTATGATTCATAACCAGTGCCAGAAGCCACGCCAGGACACATCTTGCCATTGGAAGTATGTAAAGTAATGGCACTGTGCTTCTGTGGACATCTCATTACGAGAATGTTCAGTTCTTGGGTTATATTAAGATGCGGTTTTCCTGTTGAAGCCTCTAAAGTCCCTTGTGGTTTCTCTGGGGTCCAACAGCCTGGATGCGAAAAAGAAAGAGCCCAGCCTGCTGCCCCACCCCGTGTTACTATGAGAATTGGGGAACCAGCCCCTGGGGACACAGATGCTATCACAAAGAGTCCCTGAATTGGCTTGCCACATTTAACGGATAAATATATAAGATACTCAGGTTCCTATATTTGATCTGGCAACCCTATTTCCAGAAGTGTGCTAGGTACTCTCACTTGTCTGAATAAGTAACATCTACTGCATATATATAGATCTATTTTTCTTTTTCTTTTCTTTTCTTTTTTTGAGACAGGATCTCACTCTATTGTCCAGGCTGGAGTGCAGTGGGGCAATCATAGCTCACTGCAGTGTCCACCTCCCAGGCTTAAAGGATCCTCCCATCTCAGTCTCCTGAGTAGCTAGGTCAACAGGTGGGCACCACCATGCCTGGCTAATTTCTAAATTTTTTGTAGAGACAGGATCTTGCTATGCTGCCCAGGCTGATCTTGAACTCCCGGGCTGAATTGATTCTCCTGCCTCAGCCTCCCAAAGTGCTGGGATTACAAGCATGAGCCACTGTGCCCAGCCTAATTATCTAATCTAAGCTTTTTGCCTACACACACACACACACACACACACACACACACACACACACACACGGAGAGAGAGAGACAGAGACAGAGAGGGAGAGAACTGAAAGAGGACCAAAAGAAGAATAAAGAAGAACAGTCCAGCTGGGTGCAGTGGCTCATGCCTGTAATCCCAGCACTTTGAGAGGCCGAGGCTGGAGGATCACTTGAGGTCAGGAGTTTGAGACCAGCCTGGCCAACACGGCGAAACCCCGTCTCTACTAAAAACACAAAAATTAGCTGGGCATGGTGGCATGCGCCTGTAATTCCAGCTACTCAGGAAGCTGAGGCAGGAGAATCACTTGAACCAGGGAGGCAGAGGTTGCAGTGAGCCGAGATCGTGCTATTGCACTTCAGCCTGGGTGACAGACGAAGACTCTATCACAAAAAAAGAAAAGACAAAAGAAACAGTTAAAATGTTTCTTACAACGCTAAATATACATTTGTCATAGCACCCAGAAATTCTATTCCTATGTATTTTACCAAGATAAATGAAAGCATATTCACATTGAAGTCTTGACATAAATGTTTGTAGTGATATTATTCATAATTGCCAAGAAAATATACAATTTGGCCGGGTGCAGTGGCTCACGCCTGTAATCCCAGCACTTTGGGAGGCCAAGGTGGGAGGACCACGAGGTCAAGAGATTGAGACCATCCTGGCCAACATGGTGAAAACCTGTCTTTAAAAATACAAAAATTAACTGGGCGTGGTGGCACGCACTTGTAGTCCCAGCTACTCGGGAGGCTGAGGCAGGAGAATCGCTTGAATCTGGGAGGCAGAGGTTGCAGTGAGCCGAGATTGTGCCACTGCTGGGAGACAGAGACTCCCTCTCAAAGAAAAATAAAAAAGAAAGAAAGAAAAAGAAATGCCACTTGAGGTGGCCACCTGTTGTCCAGCTACTCAGGAGGCTAAGGTGGGAAGATCGCTTAAGCCCCTGAGAGGTTGAGGTTACCGTGGGCTGAAATTGTGCCATTGCACTCCAGCCTGGGTGACAGAGGGAGACCCTGTCCCCCGACCCCCCCAAAAAAAAGAAGAAAGAAAAGAAAAGAAAAAAGAAAATATTAGAAATCATGTAGACAAATTAAGACTGTAGAATTTCATAAATACATGTTCTAATTTCCAATATAATTTCAACTACAGTAAGATGATAATCAGATACATTCCTTTTGGTGGTTGCTATTGCCGCACTCTTAGATATGAAGTGAACAGCTCCCTGAAATTCGCACTCTCTGGGCTTCTGGGAACTATATTTTCATCATTCTTTGGCTCCCGTCTGTGCTTTTCTGAGACATGCCTGTTCACACCCTTTCTTTCTCTTTTTTTCTTTTCTTGCTTTTTCTTCTTCTTTTTTTTTTTTTGAGACAGAGTCTCCCTCTGTTGCCCAGGCTGGAGTGCAATGGCGCGATCTCAGCTCACTGACGCAACCTCTGCCTCCCAGGTTCAAGCGATTCTCCTGCCTCAGCCTCCCAAGTAGCTGGGTCTGTAGGTGCCCACCACCTGCCCAGCTAATTTTCACCATGTTGGCCAGTCTGGTCTCGAACTCCTGACCTCAACTGATCCACCTGCCTCAGCCTCCCAAAGTGCTGGGATTACAGGCATGAGCCACCAAGCCCGGCCCCAAATTCTTAATTTTCTATTTCTGTTGTGTTTTTTTCTTATCAATGTGTGAAATCTCTTTGCATATAAAGGTACCAACCCTTCTCAGGCAACCAATTCATCTTTCTTTATTGCTTTTGTATATACTTCCCTGATAATTTATAAAATTATTCTGTTAGTTATATTTATTTTTATTATAAGATTTTTAACAGATGTTTATATAGTTTTTTGTTTGTTTCGTTTTGTTTTGTTCTGTTTTGTTTTTGAGACAGGGTCTTGTTCTGTCACCCAGGCTGGAGTGTGGTGGTGAGATCTCAGCTCACTGAAACCTCTGCCACCAGGGTTCAAGTGATTCTCCTGCCTCAGCCTTCCGAGTAGCTGCAATTATAGGTGCCCACCACCACACCCAGTTAATTTTTGTATTTTTAGTAGAGACAAGGTTTCTGCATGTTGGCCAGGCTGGTCTCTAACTCCTGGCCTCAAGTGATCCACCTGCCTCAGCCTCCCCAAGTGCTGGGATTACAGGCATCAGCCACTGCACCCGGCCACGTTTATATAGATTTTTATGTATTAAGTATTTCTGTGGTTTCATTCATAGCTTCTGGGTTTTCTGTCTTAGTTAAAACACACACACAACAATTTCAAAAAAAGCATGTTTTCAACCCTCAATTGTAAAAATAGCCTTGTAAATTCCTTCTATGATCTGTATTGGTTTATTGTTCACATTTCATCTTTAACCCAACTGAAATTATGTTGTTTTCTGCAGCACAGGAATATTTCACTCTGCCACGTCTCTGTCAAAAGTGGGAGAAAAGGCCAGGTGTGGTGACTCACATTTGTAATCCCGGCACTTTGGGAGGCCGAGGAGGAAGGATCACTTGAGGCCAGGAGTTTGAGACCAGCCTGGCCAACACAGTGAGACTACTCCAAGAAAAAAATAAGCGTGGTAGAAGGAAGGGCAAACCCGTGTCTCACACCCCATGGCCCTCACTAACTCAGGCTGCTGCCTGGCCCCTGTAAGCCTTCCGGCTTTCCACAAGGGTCGGTTTTTTTTCCTGTTTTGCTTTCTGTGGTCTTTCTGGCCAGAGGAGAAGCCATGGGGAAGTGCTGCCCCCACGTGGCCATCTCCATGATAGCAGCTAAGGCTGGAAGAAAAAGGCTTTTTGTTGTTGTTGTTTGAGATGGAGTCACTAGGCTGGATTGCAGTGGTACGATCTTGGCTCACTGCTATCTCTGGCTCCCAGGTTCAAGCGATTCTCCTGCCTCAGTCTCCCGAGTAGCTGAGACTACAGGCGTGTGCTACCATGCCCGGCTAATTTTTGGATTTTTAATAGAGACGGGGTTTCACCATATTGGCCAGGCTGGCCTTGAACTCCTGACCTCACGATCCGCCTGCCTCGGCCTCCCAGAGTGCTAGGATTACAGGCATGAGCCACCGCACCTGGCCAAGGCATCTTTTAAAGCTGAAAGCAAAATAGGTTCACAGGCCCCTGCTTAAAACCCTCCAGGGGCGGCTGATGCCTGTAATTCCAGCATTTTGGGAGGCCGAGGTGGGAGGATCACTTGAGCCCAGGAGTTTGAGATCAGCCTGAGCAATATAGCGAGACCCTGTCTCTACAAAAAATAAAATAAGGCCGGGCAGGGTGACTCATGCCTGTAATCCCAGCACTTTGGGAAGCCGAGGTGGGTGGATCACCTGAGGTCAAGAGTTCAAAACCAGCCTGACCAACATGGTGAAACCCCATCTCCACTAAAAATACAAAAAAAAAAAAAAATTAGCCACGTATTGTGGTACATGCCTGTAATCCCAGCTACTTGGGAGGCTGAGGCAGGAGAATCTCTTGAACCCAGGAGCCGGAGGTTGCAATGAGCCAAGACTGCGCCATTGCACTCCAGACTGGGCAATAGGGTAAGACTCTGTCTCAAAAGGACAAAAATAAAATAAAATAGCAAGGCGCGGTGTTGTATGCCTGTGGTCGCAGCTACTCCAGAGGATGAGGAGGGAGGCTGGCTTGAGCTTGGGAAGTCGAGGCTGCAGTGAGCTATGATCACACCACTGTACTCCAGCCTGGGTGACAGAATGAGACCCTGTCTCTCAGAAAACAAGAATAAAAACTTTATTTACAAAAGTAAGCATTGGGTTAAACTTGGCCTAAAGGTTATACTTTGCTGACCTGTGTTCTATTGCATATATTCTGCTGGACGTGATGGCTCACATCTGCAATCTCAGCACTTTGGGAGGCCGAGGCAGGTGGATCACTTGAGGCCAGGAGTTTGAGGTCAGTCTGGCCAACATGGTGAAACTCTGTTTCTACTAAATATACAAAAATTATCCAGGTGTGGTGGCACATGCCTATAATCCCCAGCTATTCGGGCGGCTGAGGCAGGAGAATCGCTTGAACCCGGGATGCGGAGGTTGCAGTGCAGTGAGCCGAGATCACGCCACTGCACTCCAGCCTGGGAAACACAGTGAGACTCTGTCTCAGAAACAAACAAACAACACCACAAAAGAAGAAGGAAGGAAGGAAGGAAGGAAGGAAGGAAGGAAAAAAAATCTCTCCAGCGGTACATACCCAAATGTTGAAAGCAGGGACTCAAAACAAATGTTTATACACCCATGTTCTTTTTTTTTTTTTTTTGAGATGGAGTCTCGCTCTGTCGCCCAGGCTGGAGTGCAGTGGCGCGATCTCGGCTCACTGCAACCTCCGCCTCCCGGGTTCAAGCAATTCTCCTGCCTTAGCCTCCCAAGTAGCTGGGACTACAGGCGAGCGCCACCACGCCCAGCTAATTTTTGTACTTTTAGTAGAGACGGGGTTTCACCATGTTGGCCAGAATGGTCTCGATCTCTTGACCTCGTGATCCACCCGCCTTGGCCTCCCAAAGTGCTGGGATTACAGGCGTGAGCCACCACGCCCAGCCTATACACCCATGTTCTTAGCAGCATGATTCACAATTACCAAAAGATAGAAATAACCCAATTATCCACCAATGGAATATGATTCAGATGCAAAAAGAAGGAAATTCTGACACCTGCTGACATGGATGGACCTTAAAGACATTACGCTGGGTGAAAGAAACCAGGCACAGTAGGACAAATCCTGTGTGATTCCACTTATAGGAGGTCCCTACCGTCACTAGATTGACAGAGACAGAAAGCAGAATGGTGGGTGCCAGGGGCTGGGGAGGGAGATGGGGAGCGAGGGTTTCATGGGGACAGAGTTTCAGTTTGGAGATGAGAAAGTGCTGGAGATGATTGCACAACAATGCGAATGCATTTAATGCCACTGAACTGTGCACTTAGAAATGGTTAACAAGGGCCAGGGGCGGTGGCTCACGCCCGTAATCCCAGCACTTTGGGAGGCCGAGGTGGGTGGATCACCTGACATCAGAAGTTTGAGACCAGCCTGGCCAACATGGTGAAACCCTGTCTCTACTGAAAATACAAAATTAGCTGGGCATGGTGGCAGGTGCCTGTAATCCTAGCTACTTGGGAGGCTGAGGCAGGGGAATCGCGTGAACCCAGGAGGTGGAGGTTGCAGTGAGCAGAGATTGCGCCATTGCATCCCAGCCTGAGCAACAAGAGAGAAACTCTGTCTCAAAAAAAAAAAAAAAAAAAAAAAAAAGGTTAAAATGGGCTGGGGGCAGTGGCTAATGCCTGTAATCCCAACACTTTGGGAGGCTGAGATGGGAGGATTGCTTGAGTCTAGGAGTTTAAGACCAGCCTGGGCAACATAATGAGACCCCTTCTGTACAAAAAATAATTAAAAATTACCCGCTCATGGTGGCACGCACCTGTAGTCCCAGCTACTCGGGAGGCTGAGGCAGGAGGATTGTTTGAGCCTGGGACATTGAGGCTGCAGTGAGTTGTGATCCCACCACTGCACTCCAGTCCAGGTGACAAAGACCCTGTCTCAAAAACAAACAAACAAACAAACAAAAACAAAGGGTTAAAATATAGAATTAATCATGTCTTTTGCAGCAATATGAATGGAACTGTAGGCTGTTATCATCTTAAGTAAAACAGTTCAGAAATAGAAAGTCAAATACCGCATGTTCTCACTTATAAGCGGGAATTAAATCATGTGTATACGTGGTCATAGTGCGGAATTTTAGACAGTGGAGACCCGGAAGGGGTAAAGGAGGAAGGGCGGGAGGGGTAAGGGATGAGAAATGACTTAATGGCTACAATGTACATTACTTGGGCGATGGTTACACTAAAGCCCAGGCTTCCTGCTGCGCAATCTATCCATGTAACAAAGTTGCCTTTATACTCCTTAAATGTATACACATTTTAAAAATCATTTTTTAAATTTAAAAAAATGGTTAAGGCCAGGCACGGTGGCTCACGCCTGTAATCCCAGTACTTTGAGAGGCCGAGGTGGGCAGATCTCTTGAGGTCAGGAGTTCGAGACCAGCCTGGCCAACAGGATGAAACCCCATCTCTACTAAAACTACAAAACATTAGCCAGGTGTCGTGGCAGGTGCCTGTAATCCCAGCTACTCAGGAGGCTGAGGCAGGAGAATTGCTTGAACCTGGGAGGCGGGGGTTGCGGTGAGCCGAGATCGTGCCACTGCACTCCAGCCTGGGCAGCAGAGCGAGACTCCGTCTCAAAAACAAACAAACAAAAAAGGTAAAAGGGTAAATGTTATGTTATGTGTCTTTTCCCACCAACGCAAGCAGTAAAGGGTAGAGCAGGTGGTGGCCCTCCCTGCGGGCTGGACGGGGTGGTGGAGGGGAAGGAAGGGAGCCAGGTGTGCACAGCCGAGGGGTGGCCTCTGCATTCGGCCTTAAGGCCAATATCAGGTGTCCGGGGCGCAGTGGGGACAGAGGCCAGGGTTCAGAGAGTGGGGAAGCGTGGACAGGAAGTGTGGACGGTACTCCCAAACAGCACAGAGTATTTCTACAGCACAGAAATATTTCACTCTGCTATGTCTCTATCAAAAGTGGGAGAAAAGGGCAGGTGCGGTGTGTCGTATTTGTAATCCCAGCACTTTGGGTCCTGTGACAGTCCTCCTCCGCCTGGCTCCAGCCACACCTGCTTCCTTCTGTTCCTCAAACACCCCAAGCTCAGTCTTGCCTCCAAGCCTTTGCCCTGGCAGTTTTTACCACCCAGAATAACTTTCCCCTAGATTTTTTTTTTCTCACTCTATCACCCAGGTGGGAGTAGGGTGGCACAATCTCGGCTCACTGCAGCCTCTGCCTCCCAGATTCAAGTAATTCTCCTGCCTCTGTGTCCCGAGTAGCTGGGATTACAGACAGACGCCACCACACCCGGCTAATTTTTGTATTTTTAGAAGAGATGGGGTTTCCCCATGTTGGCCAGGCTGGTCTTGAACTACTGACCTCACGTGATCCACCCGCCTCGGCCTCCCAAAGTGCTGGGATTACAGGCGTGAGCCCCCACGCCCAGCTAGACATTGATTTATATGCCTGACTTCTTCTGAGCTTACAGATCTCAGCTCAAATGGCCTTCCCTGACCTTCCCAGCTAAAGCATCAACCTCCCCCACCCACTCTATCGCATCACTCTGTTTACTTCCTGTTGCGGCAATTCACAGCACCTGAATTTATCTCCTAGGTGTGTTTCCTGATTCACTGTTTGCCTCCCCCAGCTGGAGCTCCTGCAGGGCGGGGGTTTGTGTCTGTCTTGTTCACCGTGATCCCACACCTGCCACAGTGCCTGGCATACAGTAGGTGCTCGATAAATGCATGTTGCCTGAAAGAAATAATCAACTGGTTACAGAATGGGTGTGTGCAAATCTGTGTATATCTGTGTCTCCTTGTGTTCTGTGTGTGTCTCGTTGGTGTGATTCTGGGGATGGCCCCACCTGTGTCCCCAGGGACAAGCGCGGCGCTATGGGCCAGTGAGTGTTTGTGGTGAGGGCTTTCCGGGTCTGTGTGTTAGTGATTTTGAGTGGTCCCGTGGCAACCGGTGTGCAAGTCAGTGTCTCCAGAGGTGTTCTCAGAGGTGGCCAGCATCTGCTCTTTTTTGTTGTTGTTGTTTTGTTTTTGTTTGTTGTTTAAGATGGAATCTCACTCTGTTGCCCAGGCTGGAGTGCAGTGGCATGATCTTGGCTCACGGCAACCTCCGCCTCCCGGGTTCAAGCCATTCTCCTGCCTCAGCCTCCCGAGTAGCTGGGATTACAGGCACATGCCACCACACCCGGCTAATGTTTATATTTTTAGTAGAAATGGGTTTTCACCACGTTGGCCAGGCTGGACTCAAACTCCCGACCTCAGGTGATCCACCTGCCTCGGCCTCCCAAAGTGCTGAGATTATAGGCATGAGCCACCGCGCCTGGCCAGCAGCATCTGCTCGTGTGTGTGTGTGTGTGTGTGTGTGTGTGTGAGTGTTCTGTGTGACTGTGGCTGTGAGTCCACATGTGTGTCGGGGTGTTTGTTGTGTATGTGTGTCTGCATGCCCATTCTGCATGTCCACATGACACTGCATGCTCCTGTGTGAAGTTGTGCCCATGAGCACACGTGTCTGTGTTTGCGTATCCTTGTGTGTCCTCTGGGTGTGTCCTTGAGCTTTGTGTTCCAGGAGCCTGCAGCCCTGTTGTGCAGCGCTGTTGTGCTCTGTTGTGCACGTGCATGTGTCTCGTGTCCTCTGTGTGTGGGGTGGCTCCTACATGTAGTTGTGCACACTTGTATCTGCCTCTGTGAGTCCCTGTGCCTATGTGTGACCATGTGTGAAGTGTGATTGTGCAGTATCCCAAAACCATCTGTGTGCACCGCTGTGCAGTAGTGTGCTGGTAAATGTTGAACCTCTCCAGTGGAGAGCACTGATTTATAGCATTGCCAGTCCTCATGGTGTAAATACTCTCGCCACAGCCAATTTCAAGTGATGCCACCGAACAGTGAGTCAGAAAGATATGGACAGCAGCAAACCATTATACAGTATTTCTACCAAACAGGTTCCATACACAAAAGCAACATCAAAAGCATAGATTATGAGGCCAGGTGTGGTGGCTCACACCTGTAACCCCAGCACTTCCGGAGGCTGAGGTGGGCGAATCCTCTGAGGTCCGGAGTTCGAGACCAGCCTGGCCAACATAGTGAAATCCCGTCTCTACTAAAAATACAAAAATTAGCCTGGTGTGGTGGGGGTCACCTATAATCCCAGCTACCTGGGAGGCTGAGGCAGGAGAATCACTTGAACCCAGGAGGCAGAGGTTGCAGTGAGCTGAGATTGCACCACTGCACTCCAGCCCGGGCAACAGAGCAAGACTCCATCTCAAAAAAAAAAAAAAAAAAAAAAAAAAAAAAAAAAGGAAAAGGAAAAAAAGCATAGATTATGGAAAATGCAGCAAAAATAATGTTAAAGTGATTAATTTAAATGTGGTAAAATAGGCATAACGTAAAATTTACCATTTTAACTTTCTTTAAAAAAAATGGGATTTCACTCTGTCACCCAGGCTGGAGTACGGTGGCACAATTATAGGTCACTGCAGCTTTGAACACCTGGGCTCAAGTGAGCCTCCCCGCCTCAGCCTCCGGAGCGGCTGGGACTGCAGGCAGGCACCACCAAATGTGGCGAAGTTTTAAATTTTTTGTAGAGTACTCACTCCAGTGACAGGCTGAAGCCAGCCCAAGAGCCAAGTTTAGTGGAGCATCATGGCTCATGCCTGTAATCCCAGCACTTTGGGAGGCCAAGGCGGGTGGACTGCTTGAGCCCAGGAGTTTGAGACCAGCCTGGGAAACATAATAAAATCCCTGTCTCTACAAAAAAAAAAAATTAACTTAGGCTGGGCGCCATGTCTCGTGCCTCTAATCCCAGCACTTTGGGAGGCCAAGGTGGGAGGATTGCTTGAGCCCAGGAGTTCGAGACCAGCCTGGGCAATATGGTGAGACCCTGTCTGTACTAAAAATACAAACCAAAAAAAAATAGCCAGGCGTGGTGATGTGTGCCTGTGGTCCCAGCTACTCAGGAGGCGGAGGTGGGAGGATCACTTGAGCCCAGGGGATGGAGGTTGCAATGAACCAAAATCACCCCCACTGCACTCCAGCCTGGATGACAGAGTGAGAGCCTGTCTCAAAAGAAAAATTATATATAAAAAATTATATATAAATTATATATAAGTCTATATATAATCCATATATAATTATATATAAAGTATATATAAATTATACATAAATTATCTGTAAACAAAAAACTTAGCCAGGCATGGTGGCATGTGCCTGTAATCCCAACTACTCAGGAGGCTGAAGCAGAAGGATCACTTGAGCCCAAGAGATTGAGGCTGCAGTGAGCTATGATTTTTCCACTGCACTCCAGACTGGATGACAGAATGAGACCCTATCTCTAAAAATAAAATAAACAGTTTTTTGTTGTTGTTGTTGTTGTTTTCTAAAAAAAGCCAAATCTGAGCATTTCCTATCAACTCCACACTCGGTGACATCACACTGGTAGGTGAAATCGGCCATGCTGGGGGTATTTACACCAGGAGAATTGGCAATGGCTACAAATCGGAGAGGTGGTTGTTAAACGTTACCAGCACACCATGTTGTTCCGCCAGCTTCCAGGTACCCATGTAACAATGTAGCCACGTGTGTTTCTGTCTCTCTGTGTGTACCCACCATGCTGGTGTGTGTCTGGGTGCCTGAGTCTCTACGGATACACATGACCTGCACGTCCCTATATGTTGCTGTCTATACACCCATGTGCCTGGGTGAGGCCCCCACACCCTGTTCCTCTTCAGCAGTTGGTTCCACAGGAAGCTGCTGGGGTGGGGGTTGAGGACGCTGGGCCTCCCTCCAGCTCCCCACCCCTCCTCCTCAAGACACCTGCATGCGCAGGGCTGAGGGGTGGGAGCAGGGCTCTCTGCCTCCAGAACCCCCATCCTCTGGGCTCTTTTTAGGCCCCTAGATTGGCCTGCAGCTGGGAGCAGAGTGGCAAGCATGCAGGCAGGCAGTTGAGAAAGAGGAAGTCGAGGTGCTATTGGGTCATTCTGTGGTTATCCCAGGCTCTACCCAGCCAGCGGTTCCCTTGGGCCAGCTCGAAACGCTGGCCGTAGGTCATGGGAGCTGCAGGAGCTGTTAGCCAGGCTAGGTGCCTGCAGGTTGAAGAACTGAGCTCTATCTGGTAAGTACTTATCCTGGGAAGTGGAGAGAGATGGACCCATCGGGACAGAGTGGCAGTGGGGTCTGGGAAGTCTAGGGGGACAGCGAGCAGACATACATCACTGTTTCTCTCCCCCTTGCAGTCAACTTGCTTCCTGAGTGGGTGGGGGAAGCTGTTTGACCCTTGCGTTCATTGTGCAGAGATCTGTGGTCATAAGAGGTCACCCCAGGGGACGGGGATCCTTGAGGGGCTGCTAGGTAAGAAAGGAGGGTGGAGGCCGGGCGCGGTGGCTCACACCTGTAATCCTAGCACTTTGGGAGGCTGAGGAGGGCGGATCACTTGAGGTCAAGAGTTGGAGACCAGCCCGGCCAACATGGTGAAACCCCGTCTCTACTAAAAATACAAAAATTAGCCAGGCGTGGTGGCGGGCAGCTGTAATCTCAGCTACTCGGGAGGCTGAGGCAGGAGAATGGCTTGAACCCGGGAGGTAGAGGTTGAAGTGAGCCTCTCAGTCTCAAAACAAAGAAAAGAAAAAGAAAAGCAAAGAAAGGACGATAGAGCTCCTTGTAGCCAAGGCCCTCCTGCGTGGAGACAGGAGACAGAGAATGAATGGGGGAGCTGGGGCAAAGGCTCAGGTGCCCTTTGCATCTTAAACTGCAGATTCCGGGCCCCCCAAGAACCTCCCTGTTGCAGATTCTGAATCCACTGTCAAAACAAACTCACACTTAAGGCTGATGGCTGACAACCAGCCCTGAGAAGGGTCTTGTCCTGATCTGAAATCATCCAGAGAGCACATCCCTCCACCCAGGCAGCCTTCCTCCAGGTGAGGGTTCTCCCCCTTGGGAGACATCCCCTGTCTCCTCTCGTGGCCCCTTCTTAGGGGGACCTCCTGCACCACCGCCTGCCTGGGACTGGGAGGGGTGGGGGAGGAAGGCTGCGGTTTCTGCTGGGCACACCCAGTCTGTTGTTTCCTGCCAGCCCCCAATGCTGCAGGGCAGGCTTCAGGCACCCTGAGGTCTAGGAAGGTGGCCCCAGAACCAGGAGGGAGTGAATTGAGCTAGAGTGGACAGCTGGGGCCAGAGAGGATGGAGCTAGGAAGTGACGCTGGGGGCTGATGCTCCAAGGCCAGGTCACCTGCAGTTCTGAGAAAAGAACATGACAACCAAAGGAGGTCAGGAAAGGGTTGCCCTCATAATCAGCCACATTTCAACTCCCTTGCTGTGACTGGGAGTCACTCTGGGAGGGCTGCTTGGTAGAGGCAGCCTTTTCATTATGCCTTGAAGAACCAGTAGATGGCAACTGCAAACACGTCGGTGCTTCTGGTCTGGGCTGTCTCCCATGCCTCCCTGGGCATCCCCTAGCCCATGACAAAGGGATGGGCATATGTTGATGCTCGATACTGTTGTAGATGACATGGTGACTGTGTTGGACAGCTGGGCGTTCAAATCCCAGTTCCCTGGCCTCTATGTGGCCTTGGGCAAATGACTTAACTGCTCTGAGCTTTCGTTTGCTCATCTGTTAAAAGGCTGTTGAGTTTTTTGGGGTGGGTGTGTGTGTGTGTGTGTGTGTGTGTGTGTGTGTGTGTGTGTGTGTGTGTGTTGGAGATAGAATCTTGCTCTATCGCCCAGGCTGGAGTACATTGGTGCAATCTCAGCTCACTGCAACCTCCGCCTCTCGGGTTTAAGCAATTCTCCTGCCTCAGCCTCCCAAGTAGCTGGGATTACAGGCACACGCCTCCATGCCCAGCTAATTTTTGTATTTTTAGTAGAGACAGGGTTTCACCATATTGGTTAGGCTGGTCTTGAACTCCTGACCTCAGGTGATCTGCCTGCCTTGGCCTCCCAAAGTGCTGGGATTACAGGCATGAACCACCTCGCTCAGCCTTTATGAAGTTTGGTCTGTGAGATCTTAGTGCAGTGTCTGGCACGTAATAGATCAGAAAACATTGTCAGCCTCACCTATGCCTTCATACTGACCTTGTCCCCAGGCCTTCCTTCCTGAGCAGTCCCACCATCTTCTGAAATGTTCTGGGTCATACCCATGGTGGATCTCAATCTGTAAGCAAGTCTGCTAGAGTGGACTTCTTTTGTTTGTTTGTTTGTTTGTTTGTTTGTTTGTTTTGAGATGGAGTCTTGTTCTATTGCCCAGGCTGGAGTGCAGTGGCACGATCTCGGCTCACTGCAAGCTCCACCTCCCGGGTTCACGCCATTCTCCTGCCTCAGCCTCCCAAGTAGCTGGGACTACAGGCGCCCGCCACCATGCCCGGCTAATTTTATGTATTTTTAATAGAGACGGGGTTTCACCGTGTTAGCCAGGATGGTCTTGATCTCCTGACCTTGTGATCCCCCCACCTCAGCCTCCCAAAGTGCTGGGATTACAGGCATGACCCACTGTGCCCAGCTAGAGTGGACTTCTTAAGGATCCCATCCAGCCATCCCTGTATCATATGCTACTGTATTTTCTCTCTGCCTCTCTCTCTCTCTCTTTTTTTTTTTTTTTTCTGAGACAGAGTTGCCCAGGCTGGAGTGCAGTGGCACAGTCTCAGCTCACTGCAACCTCCACCTCCTGGGTTCAAGCAGTTCTCCTGCCTCAGCCTCCTGAGTAGCTGGGATTATAAATGCATACCACCACACCTGGCTAATTTTAGTAGTTTTAGTAGAGACAGGGTTTCACCATGTTACCCAGGCTGGTCTTGAATTCCTGACCTCAGGTGATCCACCTGCCTTGGCCTCCCAAAGTGCTGGGATTACAGATGTAAGCCACTGCACCTGGCCTGTTGTATTTTTAATTCTAGCATCTTTATCTCCTGTAGGGCTGTTGCTATTGTCTGTGTTTCTTCTTGTTTTTTGGTCATGAGGTTCTGTCTTCTAGTATGCCTGGTAGTCTGATTAAATGCCAGGCCTTGTTTGTGAAAAACTATAGGGATAATTTGTGTCTCTTTATGGTGTCATTTTCCTCCATAGAGCGTTTATTTTTGCTTTGGGCAGGCAGTTAGAGAAAGGAAAGATCACTTTAATCTGATTGTGACCTATGCTGACTTGAAGATGGATTTTGCTCTCGGTGAGGGCTAGTCTATGTCTGGTCCCTCCTTGCTCCTAGGGTGTAGTCTTTTAGGGGTGGCAATCACCTCCTCTTTTTGGGCCCTGAATTCCAATGTTTATTTCCCCAACATAAGATTGCTAAGAGCTACATTCAGGTTCTCAGGCTTTTTCTGGTCTGCCTCCCACTCACTCAAGAACTGTGTTCAAATCAACAACTTGTTTGTGAGGGAAAAGCATTACATTATGTCCTTCTCACTTTCCTAGGTTTCCTTTTTTTTTTTTTTTTTTTTGAGATGGAATCTCACTCTGTCACCCAGGCTGTCGTGCAGTGGCATGATCTGGGCTCACTGCAAGCTCCACCTCCCAGGTTCACGCCATTCTCCTGCCTCAGCCTCCCGAGTAGCTGGGAATACAGGTGCCTGCCACCACGCCCGGCTATTTTTTTGTATTTTCAGTAGAGACGGGGTTTCACAGTGTTAGCCAGGATGGTCTCGATCTCCTGACCTCATGATCCGCCCACCTCGGCCTCCCAAAGTGCTGGAATTACAGGTGTGAGTCGCCGTGCCTGGCCTTTTTTTTTTTTTTTTTTTTTTGACATAGACTCTTGCTCTGTCATCCAAGCTGGAGTGCAGTGGCATGATCTTGGCTCATCACAACCTCTGCCTCCCAGGTTCAAGCGATTCTCCTGCCTCAGCCTCCTGAATAGCTGGGATTACAGGCATCCACCACCATGCCTGGCTAATTTTGTATTTTTAGTACAGACGGGGTTTCACCATGTTGGCCAGGCTGGTCTCGAACTCCTGACCTCCAGTGAGTTGCCCACCTCGGCTTCCCAAAGTGCTGGGATTACAGGTGTGAGCCACCGCGCCTGGCCCCTAGGTTTCCTTTCTTTCCAGGGCCGTGATTCTTCCAACTCTGACTGCCAATGCCTTCCAAGCAAGGGTGGTTTTTCACTCTTCCAATTTTGTCCAGCTTTTCTATTTGTTCTTGGTGGGAGAATAAATCTGCAATAAGCTAGCCTGCCATCATTAGAAATACATATTCCAGCTGGGTGCAGTGGCTCACGCCTGTAATCTCAGCACTTTGGGAGGCTGAGGTGGTTGGATCACCTGAGGTCAGGAGTTCGAGACCAGCCTGGCCAATATGGCAAAGCCCTATCTCTACTAAGAATACAAAAAATTAGCCAGGCATGGTAGCGGGCGCCTGTAATCCCAGCTACTTGAGAGGCTGAGGCAGGAGAATCACTTGAACCCGGGAGGCAGAGGTTGCAGTGAGCCGAGATTGCGCCATTGCATTCCAGCCTCAGCAACAAAAGTGAAACTCCATCTCAAAAAAAAAAAAGAAAAAGAAAAGAAAAGAAAAAGAAAAAGAAATAGATATCCCTGTTGTATTTTTTTAAAGTGAGATTTAGCCAGGTGTGGTGGCTCACACCTGTAATCCCAGTACTTTCGGAGGCCGAGGTGGGAGGATCACCTGAGGTTAGGAGTTCAAGACCAGTCTGGCCAACATGGCAAAACCCTGCCTCTACTACAAATACAAAAATTAGCTGGGCATGGTGGTGCACGCCTGTGATCCCAGCTACTAGGGAGGCTGAGGCAGGAGAATCGCTTGAATCTAGGAGGTGGAGGTTGGAGGTTGCAGTGAGCTGAGATCAGCCACTGCACTCCAGTCTGGGTGACAGAGCAAGACTCTGTCTAAAAAAAAAAAAAAGAAAGAAAGAAAAAGAAAAGAAATAGATATCCCTGTTGTATTTTTAAAGTGAGATTTGGCTGGGTGCCATGGCTCACGCCTGTAATCCCAAAACTTTGGAGGCTGAGCCAGGAGGGTCACTTGAAGCTCGGAGTTTGAGACCAGCCTGGGCAACATAGAAGACCCCATCCCTACAAAAAAGAAAAAAGTAAAAAAAATAGCCAAGTGTGATAGCATGCATGTACATTCCCAGCTACTCAGGAGTCTGAGGCAAGAGGATTGCTTGAGCCAACGGGTTCGAGGCTGCAGTGAGCTATAGATCATACTACTCCAGCCTGGGTAACAGAGTGAGATCCTGTCTCAAAAATAAAAGTTAAAAAATAACAGGCTCATGCCTGTTATCCCAGCACTTTGGGAGGCTGATTTGGGGCTGGGGGTGATTTGGGGCTGGGAAGTAATGTAAACAATTGGGAGACTGAAGGAGGGAGTCACACAGCAAGTACGTGCTGGAGGAGCTGGGATTTGAAGCCAGGATTTGAAGCAGGGATTTTTCAGACACAAGGAGTGAAGACGCTGATAAAGGAGCTTCCACCACGAGGGGGCAGCACCTGCACGGATGAGCACTCGTTGACACACACACACCATACCCCACACTTGGGTACAGAGAGAAAGGTGATGTGGCTCAATGCCTGCAATCCCAGCACTTTGCGAGGCCGCGGCAGGAGGATCGCTTGTGCCTGGGAGTTTTGAGACCAGCCTGGGCAACATAGTGAGACCCCAGCTCTACAAAAAATACAAAACTTAGCCAGTGTGGTGGCACACACCTGTAGTCCTAGCTACTCAGGAGGCTGAGGCCGGAGGATCCCTTGAGACCGGGAGTTGGAGGCTGCAGTGAGCTGTGGTCACGCCATTGCACTCCAGCCTGGGTGACAGAGCAAGACCCATCTCAAAACTAACAAACAACAAACAAAAAACAGAAACAGATGAAGACACAAATATGTAGAAACACAGAAACCCAGGCGGACACCAAAACCACCTCATAGATACTAGAAACAGATCTCCCCAAGACACAGATGAGTCATGTAGTTAAATCTGACCTCACGGATACCAATGGGCTTCACACACACACACACACACACACACACACACACACACACACACACAGACAATCACAGAGACACTTTTAAAACTATCTAGATAATCAAATACACCCCCACATTGACAAGCTGATATTCAGAACTCACCCTGAAACACAGAATCACAAACCCAAAAGCACGTGCTCTCTACACAACATGGAAATGCATCATCAAACCCACCAAGACGATGGCACGCACACACACACAAACACTCAGACATCCATGCACACCCAGGCTCCCCGAGGGACCCAGTTTGTACTTGTATTTCCCTAAGATTGTCTTGTCCAGCCAGGGTAAGAGGCCTGTAAGACTGGGTTTAAGGGACAGAGGGTGCTAAAGGGCTTGGCTTCTCCTCAAACCAGGGGTCCCTGGGCCCCTGAGCTGGAAACCCCAGCCCCCCTGCTGAAGCCCCAGGCTTCTATCAGCTGATGTATCTGGCAGACCTTGGAGGCAGTCTCCGCCCCTCTTACTGGCAGCCCCATCCTGGCAGGGATTCCCAGGCCAGCTCACACTCAAGCTCTCACACGCACGCATGGCCCCCATGGCTGACTCGGTGCTCAACCACTCCTGGCCGGCCTTCTCCAAGCTGTGGCTGAAGCGGTGGGCCTTCAAGAGAGGTAAGCAGCTGGCAGTGACCAGCGGGAGCCATCCACCCAGGTGGGGATCCCAGGACAGCCTGCCCGCCATCCCCCTTCGAGCTTTTTCTTGGCTGCAGTACAGACTCTGCTGGCATCGGCCCTGGATTCCATGACCCCTGATTCTCCAGGGCCCCCTGGAATTATCACAGACTTGTGGGGTCCCTCTTGTTTCAGAGGAAATGTCTCCCAAGACTTGGCCAGGAATTTGTCTCGGGCGGTAAATTTGCAGAAAGAAAGTCCGCCCTCTTAACTCAGCCGCTGAACTCCTCAGGGGCAGCCCAGCGATCTCCTGGGGGTCCCAGATGCTGTTGGTTTCTGGCCCAGCTGCAGGACAGGAGGCTCAGGGCAGAAACAAAAACGGGGGGATTAGAGGCTCTGGGGCACACACCTCCCTCCAACACACATACACACACACATCGGCTGGTGCTCTCTCTCTCAACCCCCAGGGTCCCCAGGCCTCAGGTGACCTCTCTGGGGACTGATAACAGCCTTTATTATGTCATCAAAGGCCTGAGTGAACTGTTGTTGCAAAGAGAGACACTTTTTCTTTTTTTTTTTTTTTCTGAGACCGAGTCTCATTCGGTCGCCGAGGCTGGAGTGCAGTGGCGCGATCTCAGCTCATTACTGCAAACTCTGCCTCCAGGGTTCAATTCATTCTCCTGCCTCAGCCTTTCGGGTAGCTGGAATTACAGGTGCCCCCCACCACACCTGGCTAATTTATATATTTTTCGTAGAGACGGGGTTTCACCATGTTGATCAGGCTGGTCTCGAACTCCTGACCGCAGGTGATCCACCTGCCTCGGCCTCCCAAAGTGCTGGGATTATAGGTGTGAGCCAGCGCGCCCAGCCATCAAAGAGACACTTCTTAATGCTCAAGAGTTTAGCCCTTGAAGATAACCAGATGATGTCCTGGTACGTAGGGCATGAGAGGACAGTGCTGGACAATATCATAAAAGCTGGTCATGCACTCATTGCCTCATGGGTTTTCTTGTCTCCGGCTCCCCACTGCCCATATGAGCGCCTCCTGGTCAGGCCAGCCGCATCGCTTAGCCTGCATGACTTGTTAGTCACAGCCACCATCACCTGCATGAGCCACGTACTTGTTCAAGGTAGCAGTGAGTTTTCATGAAAGAGGGGGCCAATGTGAAGATTCGTTAGCTCATTCATTCCACTGACCCTCCTTGAAGGCTCATTGTGTACCAGGCACTGTGCCGGGGTCAGGGAGCAGATGGGAGTGCCAGGGGACCCAAGGGCTGGGGTTAGGGGGAGAGAGGATGGCCTGGGAACTGGGATGCAATAGAAGAGTAATCATCAGGATAAAAGTTGTTGGTGGCTGTTGAGCTCTCATGAAGTTGGGCTCAGAGAGGTTGAGCGACTTGCTCGAGGTCACACAGCAAGTATATGCTGGAGGAACCGGGATTTGAAGCCGATTCTGTGTGAGGCCACTTTGATGTGTTCTGACTGATGAACAAAGCTGCCAGTGTGGGCAGCTGGAGTGCCTGGGGAGGGTTTTTAGATCCAACGGTGGATGGCGATCCTGAAGAATCAGTGTATCTGCCATGGATTACCAAAGTGTCTGCCTGTGACCCAGGTCCCTAAGAAGTTCTGTCCCTCTTGTGGCTGCTCAGCTCACCCTGTCTCCCTGCCCAGGCAGTTGAGGCTGGGATTTATATGCTAGCAGGTGGGGGAGTGAGCTGTGGGAACTGACAGTGACTCTTAAACCCTTTTATGGCTGATGCTGTGGGGGCTGATAGTGGAGGAGGCTGCCTGGGACTGAATCCAGGCTGATGGACAGCTCCTTGGAGAGAAGCATGGGGGTGGGGAGCAGGGTGCATCCCCAACAGAGCCCCTTTCCCTGAGGCCTCATTTCTCCTCTGGCTTAGCTCCCCTGGGAGAGTGACTCCCTTACAGCGTGTCTCCTGTCATCAGCCTTGGAAAGCAGGGAAGAATGGCCTTTTTGTCACCCTCTTAAGCTCTGTAATTGGCTGTCTGGGCACCTAATAGGAATTTCCCGGGGAAAGGGTGGGATTGGACTTGGGGTGGCAAGTAAGGCTTGAGAGAGGAGAACTGAGACCTTCAGTGAAGGGTCCCAGTGCCCCTTCCCCATCAACTGCCCCCATTACCCATTCTGCTCATGCTTTTTCATTCATTCCTCAATCTGTTGGTGCATGTCTGATGAGTGCAGTCTGTGCCTCGCTCACCTTGGTTTCCTTCCTGTGTGGCTCTTCTGCCACAATTCTGTCCCTCTTCCTTCTATATGTGCTTCCTCACCCCCTCAGAATGCCATCTCCTGAGTGTAATGCATCGCTGCCTCTGGACACTGCCATATAACCTATCCATCCCACTATCTACCCATTCATCCCTGCAACCATGCAGCCATCCAACTATCTATCCAGCCAACCAGCCAATCAGCCAACTCTTCAACCATCCATCCTTCCATCCATCCATCCATCCATCCATCCAATCAGCCAACTCTTCAACCATCCATCCTTCCATCCATCCATCCATCCATCCATCCACCCATCCACCCATTCTTCCATCCATTCTTCCATCCATCCATCCATCCATCCACTCTTCCATCCATCCAACCATCCATCCATTCAACATCCATTCATCCATCTACCTATCCATCCACCCATCCACTCATACATCCAATTATCTACTCATTCATCCATTCACCTATCCATCCATCTACCTGTCCAACCATTCATCCATCCACCTATCCATCCATCTACCTATCCAACCATTCACCCATCTGTCTATCCACTCATTCATCCATCCATCCATCCTTCTACACATCCACCCATCCATTCAACCATCCACTCACCCATCCATCCATCCATCCATCCAACCATCTATCCATTTATCTACCCATTTATCCAAATATATGGGCACTGACTCTGTGCCCAACCCAACACAGCAGAGGATAGCCTGGTGATTGGGATCTCTTCTTTGAATTCAGAAACATCTGAATTTGACTCCCAGCTCTACCTCATACCAGATTGGTATGGCCTTGGTAAAGTCAGTGCACCTCTCTAAACCTCAGTTTCCCTTTCTATAAAATGAGGACTCAGAGTTGCTGTGAGTATAGAAGAGTGAAAAGTACATGATGGGCTTAGCACTAAGCCAGACATATAGAAAGTGATTGATACAAGATTTTACCTTTTGGAGCTTGGGGATGTAAAAGTGGATCAGATATAGTCACTGCCCTCACAGACCTCATGCTCTAGAGCATGGATCAGCAAACCTTTTCTATAAAGAGCTAGGCAGAGCAATCCAAAGTCCTATGGCTAAAATTGTCTGCAGAGGATCTGAGACAGAGCCCTCAGTTGCCAGGCAGGAAGAGTGGTAGGAACAGCACAGAGATACCAGGAGAATGGTGAGTTGGGTGTGCATGTGTGTGACAGGGAGGTAAGAGGACAGGCTGAGGAGGGCTCTGAATGTCATTCTAAGGGGACTGGAGTCTATAGGGGTGGGGATCAGTAGAAGGGGAGTGACCATCAGAGGGTTATATCAAAAGGACACACCAACTCCAGGACAGAAGATGGACTACAGGGGAGAGACTGGTAGCTGAGGATCAGTGACAAATGTGATTGGCAATCGTTTGGGGCAATTGTGGTTGGTAATTGACAGAGCTCAGTCTATGACACTGGGATTAGGGCTTAGCTCATAATATTGGAATCAGGACACAGCCTATGACATCAGGATTGGAGCTCAGTCTATGATGCCAGATCAAGATTCAGTCTATGACACCAGGATTGGGGCTCAGTCTATGATACCAGGATAAGAGCTAAGACTATGACACCAGGATTAGGGCTTAGCCTATGACACTAGGATCAGGGATCAATATATGACACCAGGATAAAGGCTTAGTCTATGACACTAGGAGGGGGGTTCATTCTATGATACAAGAATGAATGCTCAACCAATGACAGCCAGATGAAGTTCAGTCTGTGATATCAGGATCAAGGCTCAGTATATGACACCAGGATCATGGCTCAGTCTGTGACACAAAGATTGGAGTTCAATCTGTAAAACTAGGATCAGAGTTGAGTCAGTCATTGGGAACTAGGATCACAGTTGAGTTCATCATCAGGTCAAGCTCAACCTGTTCCTCGGTCAGAAGCTTCCCTATAAAAACAAAACTCAGCCAGGCACAGTGGCTCATGCCTGTAATCCCAGCACTTTGGGAGGCCGAGGTGGGAGGATCATATGAGACCAGGAGTTCGAGACTAGCCTAGCCAACATGGTGAAACCCCATTTCAACTAAAAATGCAAAAATTAGCTGGACATGGTGGTACACATCGGTGGTCCCAGCTACTCAGAAGTCTGAGACAGGAGAATCGCTTGTACCCAGGAGGTGGAGACTGCAGTGAGCCAAGATGGAACCACTCCAGCCTGGGTGACAGAGCAAGACTCTCTTGAAACAAAACAACAACAACAACAACAACAACAAAACATGCACAATCACACAACCCTGGCATTTCTTTTCTTTTCTTTTTTCATTCTTTTCCTTTTTTTTTTTCTTTGAGACAGAGTCTCACTCTGTCACCCAGGCTGGAGTGCAATGGCACAATCTCAGTTCACTGCATCCTGCCCTTCCCTGGCTGAAGAGATTCCCATGTGTCAGCCTCCCTAGTAGCTGGAATTATAAGCACATGCCACCATGCCCAGCTAATGTTTGTATTTTCAGTAGAGACTAGGTTTCGCCATGTTGGTCAGGCTGGTCTCAAACTCCTCACCTCAAGTGATCCGCCTTCCTCGGCCTCCCAAAGTGCTGGGATTACATGTGTGAGCCACTGGGCCCGGCCAACCCTGGCCTTTCACCTTTGATCTTTGGATCCCAGACCTTCAGGGTTCACAGATACAGGGCATGAGGTCCTGCAGGCTACAGGAGGCCTCAGGCCTCCACAAGGACCCTGTCCAGTGAAGCAAGCCAACCCTGCAGGCTCTCCTCCAGCCCTAAGGGGACTTGGCTGAGGAATGGGACTGCCTTTCCCCTCCCAAGCTCCCACCAACCTCCAGGACCCTCCCCCACATCTGGCTTTCCTCCTCCTTCACAGCCTGCTTGTTTCGTTTCTGTGAGTCATAGATGCTGCTTCGGCTTCTGGGTGGGGAAGAGAACAGATGCAAAGCTTAACAACAGCAGCTGAACAGAGTCCCTCCAACCAGCCCGGGAGGGCAACCTGGAAAGCAGTGATGGTGGAAACCCTGGCATTGCTCGTTACTGTCCAGCCACTCATCTGTGAATACAGGTGGCATCAGGGGGCAAATTTACCTTGAAGCAATGGAAACTGAAGCTTCAGGCCCCATGTGTACCTGCCCCATCCAAAGCTCTGCAAGAGGCTCCAACAAAAAACTTTTTAGGAACAGCTTTATTGAGCTACCATATACTTCACCCATTTAAAGCATACAATTCAGTGGTTTTAGGCCAGGTGCAATGGCTCATGCCTGTAATCCCAGCACTTTGGGAGGCCAAGGCGGGGGGATTGCCTGAGCTCAGGAGTTCCGGACCAGCCTGGCCAACGTAGCAAGACCCCCGTCTCTACTAAAAATAAAAAAAATTAGCCAGGTGTGGTGGTGCATACGTGTAATCCCAGCTACTCAACAGGCTGAGGCAGGAGAATCACTCAAATCCCGGAGGTGGAGGTTGCAGTGAGCCAAGATGGCGCCACTGCACTCCAGCCTGGGCAACAGAGTGAGGCTCTATCTCAAAAAAGAGACTGCATAACAGCGGTTCCTCAAAAAGCTAAGCATAGATTAGCATGTACTCCAGCAATTCCCTTCCTAGGTAACGACCCAAGACAATGGAAAACACACATCCGTGCAATTGCGTACATCTGTATGCAATTGTTCATGGCAGCGTGATTTGAAATAACCAAATGGTGAAAACGACCCAAATGTCCATCAACAGATCAATGGATACACGAAATGTGGTATCTCCATGCAATTGAATATTATTCAGCCCTAAAACAAATAAAGCACTGGCCGGGCACCGTGGCTCACACCTGTAATCCCTACACTTTGGGAGGCTGAGGCATGCAGATCACCTGAGGTCAGGAGTTCTAGACTAGCCTGGCCAACATGGTGAAACCCCAACTCTATTAATCACACAAAATTAGCCAGGTGCAGTGGTGTGCACCTGTAATCCCAGCTACTCAGGAGGCTGAGGCAGGAGAATGGCTTGAACTCGGGAGGCGGAGGTTGTGGTGAGCTGAGATCACGCCACTGCACTCCAGCTTGGGGGCAACAGAGCAAGACTCTGTGGAAGAAGAAGAAGAAGAAGAAGAAGGAGAAGGAGAAGGAGAAGGAGAAGGAGAAGGAGAAGGAGAAGGAGAAGGAGAAGGAGAAGGAGAAGGAGAAGGAGAAGGAGAAGGAGAAGGAGAAGGAGAAGGAGAAGGAGAAGGAGAAGGAGAAGGAGAAGGAGAAGGAGGAGAAGAAGGAGAAGAAGGAGAAGAAGGAGAAGAAGGAGAAGAAGAAGGAGAAAAGAAGAGGAAGAAGAGGAAGAAGAAGACAAGAAGAGGAAGAGGAAGAAGAAAGGAAGAAGGAAGGAGAAGAAGAGGAGGAGGAAGAAGGAGAAGGAGGAAGAAGAAGGAAGAAGGTGGAGGAGGAGGAGGAAGAGGAGGAGGAGGAAAAACAATGTGGGCATTGGGTACTTGCATTTGGTCTACGGGACCATTAGCATCATTGATCAACTGAGGGCTTTTTCCTAGAGCAGGCATAACAAATTGATTTCATACATAAGCCAACTTGGATCACCTGGTGATGGCTGTTGGAACTGGTGTGTTGGGAAGAATCCTGAGGGGGCAAATGGCTAAGCAGGAAATTGACTCATGATTGACTAGCAATGTCTGCCATAGGCTTGGGATGGGGAAGAGGTGACACGTATGTTGGCTTCAAGATCATTGAGACCATCTTCCCCCTCCCCTCACCAACTCATTTTATAGTTGAGAAAACTGAGGTCCAGGGTGACCAGCAACAGATGCAGAATCCAGGTCCTGGCTTCCTCAGCACTCCCAGCTTATCCCTGACACCTTGTCCCTCCTTTCTCCACAGGCTCTGAGCCCAAGTCATGTGTCCAGCCTTTTGACTCTGGAGCTGTGGCTTCAGCCACCAAGAGCAGCAGTGGATCCTGGAAACCTGAGAACCCAGACTTCTTCTCTGCCATGGGGGATGATCAGGCAGGTGTCTGACTGCTGAAACGGGCAGGAGCTGATGACGACAGTGGCAGCAAGTACACTTTGTTTAGCACCTGCATTTTACCAGGCACTTTGTGTACATTATCTCAGGGAATCCTCATCGAAACTTGCAAAGTCATTTATTATCCTGTTTTACCTATGAGGAAACCAGAATCTGTTCTGAAATAAGAAGAGGGAGGAAAGGAGCAATGGAGGGATGAATGGATGGATGGATAGATGGATGGGTGGGTGGGTGTCTGGATAGATGGATGGATAGATGGAAGGAAAGAGGAAATCAAGGAAAGATGAGTAGAAGGATGGATGGATGGATGGATACGTGGATGAATAGAAGGGTGGCTGGGTGGATGAATGGATGACGGATGACTAGAAGGAAGGGAGGAAAGATGGGTAGAAGTGTGGGTGAATGGATAAATGGATGATGGGTGAATAAAAAGAAGAAAGCTAGATGGATAGATGGATGGACTGATGGAAGGAAGGAGGATGGATGAAGGAAGGAAGGAAAGAAGGAAGTATGGATGGATAGGTAGAAGGATGGGTGGATTAAAGGAAGGAAGGAGAGATGGTTGATGAATGAAAGAGTAGAAAGGTGGGTGAATGGAAGGAAGGAAGAAAGATGAGAAATGTGGGTGGATGGATACATGAATGATTGATGAATAAAATGAAAGATGGAAGGAAGGAAGATGGATGGATGAAAGGAAAGAGGATGGATAAATGAAAGAATGAAGGAAGGATGGATGGATAATGGATGGGTGAGTGGATGGATGAGAAGAAATGTGAGTGGAAGGAAGGAAGGAAGAAAGATGGATGGGTGAAAGGAAGGAAGATGGCTAGATTGATGAAAGGAAGGAGGATGGATAAATGAAAGAATGAAGGAAGGATGGATGGATAATGGGTGGGTGAATGGATGGATGAGAAGAAGGGTGAGTGAAAAGGAAGGAAAAAAGGAAGAAAGGAAGGAAGGGGGATGGATGGATGGGTTGATGGAAGGAAGGAGGATGGATAAATAAAAGAATGAAGGAAGGATAGATAAATAATGGGTGGGTGAATGGATGGATGAGTAGAAGGGTGAGAGGAAGGAAGGAAGGAAGATGGGTGGATGAAAGGAAGGAGGATGGATAAATGAATGAATGAAGGAAAGATGGATGGGTAATGGATGGATGAATGGATGGATGAGAAGAAGAGTGAGTGGAAGGAAGGAAGATGGATAAATAAAAGAATAAAGGAAGGATGGATGGATAACGGATGGGTGAATGGATAGATGAGAAGACGGGTGAGTGGAAGGAAGGAAAGAAGGAAGGAAGTAAGGAAGATGGATGGATGGGTTGATGGAAGGAAGGAGGATGGATAAATGAAAGGATGAAGGAAGGATGGACGGATAATGGAGGGGTAATGGATAGATGAGAAGAAGGATGAGAGGAAGAAAGGAAGGAAGGAGGGAAGGAAAGGAAGGAAGGAAGGAAGGAAGGAAGGAAGGAAGGAAGGCAGGCTGACTAAAACCAAATACAGCCTAGAAAGGTAGACTGACTTGCCTAAGTTCCCGTCATGGCAGAGTTGGGATTCAAGCCCATTCTGACTCTGCAGCCTGCGTCCATACCCTCTGCTCTCATCACACTTTCTCTAAGCGCTTATGTCAGGGGCCTGTGGGGTAGGCCAGCCCCCAGGCTCCAGTCTCAAAAGAAAGACCCTGAAAGCTTGTGGTCCCTGGGTGGAGTTGGGGCACAGTTAACATCAAGTCCTGATGGTGTGTGGCTGGGACTGAGGTCGTGGCAAAGGTCCTGGTGACAGCCTCCAGGCTGCTTCAGGGAAGGTCTCCTGGGGTGGAAGATGTGGCATCTAGGAGGTGCATCCTTAAGAGGGTAGGGGCCAGGGAGAGGTCTCGTAAACATAGTTCAGCTCCAGCTCCACCAGGGACCAAGACAGTCAGGTGGTGTGTGTTGGGTCTCCAGGAAGCAGACTCAGACGGAGTTGGGCTGAAATGGGCAAGCTTTTATATCCCCTTGTCAATCACCCATTGCTGATGGGCTGCCCAGGAAGGGGGCTGAGAACTGACAGTTCCTTCTCCCACAGCCTCGGAGGATCTGAGTGGTTTTCCACAACATCCGCTACACTAAGGAAGGAGGATCTGTTACGGTTAAGCCATAAAGGGCATCCCATGTACCCAGGCTTGTCATTTTATGGAAGAGGACACTGAGGGGCTGGGCATGGTGGCTCGTGCCTGTAATCACAGCACTTTGGGAGGCCGAGGCGGGCAGATCACTTGAGGTCAGGAGTTTGAGACCAGTCTGGGCAACATGCCCAGCACAGGCCAGCCTGAGCAACGGGGTGAAACCCTGTCTCTACTAAAAATACAAAAATTAGCTGCGCATGGAGGTGTGCACCTGTAGTCCCAACTACTCGGGAGACTGGGGCAAGAGAATCGCTTGAACCCAGGAGGTGGGGATTGCAGTGAGCCAAGATCACACCATTGCACTCCAGCCTGGGTGACAGAATGAGGAAAAAAGACACTGAGATGCAAGCAGTGAAGGAATTAGTCCAGATGTCATGGAAGGTCCCGGGTAAAGGATCACAGAACCAGGACTGGAGTTTAGCCCTGCGCCCTCCCTGGGATCTGGACCTCTTTGAAAGAGAACCATGGGATGCAGGCAGTTGGACAGGTAACACGGCAATGGGGGAACGGTGGGCTCTGGGGAAGCAGGCAGGCCTGTGAGTAGGCAGCAAGGCTGTGCCCCCACCCGCTGGCAAATCTGCCCCCTCTTCCTGAGTCTCGATTCTCATCATCCACTTTGTCTTCAGAGCTGGAGACCAGGGCATTTTCCTTGTCCCTTCCTCTCCCATCAGGCACCAAGTCCTGTGAATTTTGAACCCCAAGGACCCTCCATTTCTGTGCATTGCACCCTCCTTCTCCTTCCCTGGTGGTGGTCCCCGTCATGGCTCCCCCAGGTAATCTGCACGGGTGTCCTGGCTGGGCCACCTGCCTGCATCTTGGCCCCATCCAAGCCCATCTCTGCTCTGCAAGCTGAACACATATGTATTTTTTTTTGAGACAGGGTCTCACTCCATCACCCAGGCTGGAGTGCAGTGGCACAATCTCGGCTCACTGCAACCTCCACCTCCCAGGTTCAAGAGATTCTTGTGCCTCAGCCTCCTGAGTAGCTGAGATTACAGGCACCCACCACCACATCCAGCTAATTTTTGTATTTTTAGAAGAGATGGGGTTTTGCCATGTTGGCCAGGCTGTTCTCAAACTCCTGGACTCATGTGATCCACCCGCCTCAGGCCTCCTGAAGTGCTGGGATTACAGGCGTGAGCCACGGCGCCCAGCCAGCAAGCTGAATAATCTTTCTGAAGGCCAATCACTGCCCTCCCTACCACCACTATTGGAAACTTCCAGATTAAATCCATGCTTTGGCCAACCAGACTCGTGTTCCCCAACGGTCCACACCTCAGCCATAGGAACATTTGCCATTTGCTTAAAGGCGCCATGAGCTCTCCAGCCTGCAGACTTCTGGATGTCCTGTTCTTTCACTGCCTGTAATGTGCTTACCTGCAGTATCTGCCTAGCCAGCTCCTACTCAGTCCTCAGACCTTCACTTGCTGCCATTTCCTCCAGGAAGCCCTCCCTGATACTTTTTGGAGAGCGTAATCTGTTCCCCCTCAGATCTTCCCCAGCCTGCTGGCTGGAACCTTCTATCATTCTTGACTATAACGGTTTGGCTTAATCATCTATCTTCTCCAATTAGCTCCATGAGGACAGGGGAGACTGTGTGATTCCATTTGGGGTTGTCAGAGGCTTGCTCAGAGGAAGGGTCCTGACTCCTGAAATTTATTTATTTTATGTAATTTAATTATTTATTTGTAGAGACGGGGTCTTCTCTGTCACCCAGGTTGGAGTGCAGTGGTGTGATCATAGCTCACTGCAACCTCTGCCTCCTGAACTCAAGCAACCCTCCCACCTCAGTTTCCAGAGTAGCTGGGACTACAGGTGCACGCCACCACATCCGGCTAGTTGTTTTTTTTTTTTAAAGATGGGATTTCGCTATGCTGCCCGGGCTGGTCTCAAACCCCTAGTCTCAACTGATCCTCCTACTTTAACCTCCCAAAGCACTGGGATTACAGGTGTGAGCCACGGCCCTGGCCCCCTGACTCCTGAAATTTAAAAACAGCAATATATTATTCTATCCGCCAAGGTTTGCATTGCCCAAGCATCTCATTTCACCTGCACAACACAATCCTACAAGTAGGTGGCAGTATGCCCATTTTAGAGATGGAAAAAACTGAGGCTCAGAGAGCTTTAGGTACTTGATCGAGGTCATGCTAAGCTAACAACAGTTACCATAGCAGGATGCAAACCTTGACTGAGGTCTTTTTACCCAATGACCATTTGAAAACCATCTGCCCTGTGAGGCACGGTGGCTCATGTCTGTAATTCCAGCACTTTGGGAGGCCGAGGTGGGATGGTCACTTTAGCCCAGGATTTCAAGACCAGCCTGGGCAACATAACAAGACTCTGTCTCTACAAAAAATAAAAAAATACTAGCTGGGGCCGGGCGTGGTGACTCACGCCTGTAATCCCAGCACTTTGGGAGGCTGAGGCAGGCAGATCACCTGAGGTCAGGAGTTCGAGACCAGTCTGGCCAACATGGTAAAACCCGTCTCTACTAAAAATAAAAAAATTAGCCAGGTGTGGTGGTGGACACCTGTAATCCCAGCTACTCGGGAGACTGAGGCAGGAGACTCACTTGAACCCAGGAGGTGGAGGTTGCAGTGAGCCAAGATCGCACCATTGCACTCCAGCCTAGGCAACAAGAGTGAAACTCCATCTCAAAAAAAAAAAAATATATATATATATACACATATATATATTTTATATATATATACACATATATATATTTTATATATATATACACATATATATATTTTATATATATATATACACATATATATTTTTATATATATATATTTTATATATATTTTTTATATATATATATTTTATATATATATATAAAAGCTGGGCATGGTAGTGCAGACCTGGAAAGAAGGAAGAAAGGAAAGAAAGAGAGAGAGAGAGAGAGAGAGAGGGAGGGAGGGAGGGAGGGCGGAAGGAAGGAAGGAAGGAAGGAAGGAGAAGACTATCTGCTCTATGATTTACTTGCCATTTTGTTTGAAATTAAGCCACTTTTTTACATGACAAAATGGGACCAGGGACACATTATGCTTTGGTGTGTTATCTTTTTCCAACAGACAACAAGATCAATAACTATTTACATTTTTAAAATAAGCATGTATTCATGTACTATGCAAAACTGTGCGTGGTGAGCCTTTCTGAAGAGTGGGGAACCCTGGGCTGTTTCACCTCTGGATTTGATGGGGGATCCCATCCCCCAAGGCTCCCCCAGGTCTAGGGAACAGGAGCCTGGATTTATAGCATCCTCTTTGGGGTGTCAGGGCCAGCAGGGCAGCGTACGATGCTTACTCAGATACCTGGAAAGACCCCCACTGGGCTGGCTCTCATCTTTTCTTGCCCAAGATATGTCAGAACAAAGGTGCAAGCTCCAAAATAAAAGATGAGACACCCCCTCTCTCCCTCCCTCAATGTACCTACCAGTGGGAGCTGGAACAGCCTGTACTGCCTGGCTCCCCACTCCCCAGCTCCACCCCCATCTCTGGCCTGGCTCCCACCTCTGCCTCCTCTGAGGGAGGCCAGATGCAGGAGAAAGAGGGAGGCTCAGCCAGGCCAAGAGGCTGTCCTGACGTGTTTATATTTACAGGAGGATGAAAACCAGAGACACAAAAAAACCTTCGGGGGCTGCGACAGAAAAGACAGTAGGAGGTTTTCCAGGCACTGGGGGTAGGAATGGAGCCATTTGGGGGGTAAGTGGGAATTTGAAAGGAGGCTGCCGCCCAAGTCACATGAGGGCCAGCCAGAGCTAGAGCTGTGGCTCTTTAGAAAGAGACTGAAAAAGAGGGACCCTGGTGATCAAAAGGCAGAGGGAGGAAGAGGACGCAGAGGAGGAGTCAGCAGGGAGAAGGGAGGGAAATGAGGACGGTGGCCACAAAGGAGAGATTCAAGAAGGCAGGCTGTGGAAACAGCAGAGTGAGTCCTTAGGAAGTTAAACCTAAAATTGACCAGGCGCGGCGGCTCATGCCCGTAATCCCAGCACTTTGGGAGGCCGAGGCGGGTGAATCATGAGGTCAGGAGTTCAAGAGCAGCCTGGCCAAGATGGTGAAACCGTGTCTCTACTAAAAATACAAAATTAGGCGGGTGCAGTGACTCACGCCTGTAATCCCAGCAGTTTGGGAGGCTGAGGCGGATGGATCATCTGAGGTCGGGGGTTTGAGACCAGCCTGGGCAACATGGAGAAACCCTATCTCTACTAAAAATACGAAATTAGCTGGGCGTGGTGGCACATGCCTGTAATCCCAGCTACTCGGGAGGCTGAGGCAGGAGAATCGCTTGAACCCAGGAGGCAGAGGTTGCAGTGAGCTGAGATCGGGCCATTGCACTCCAGCCTAGGCAACAAGAGTGAAACTCCGTCTCAGGAAAAAAAAGAAAAAAAAAAGGAAAGAAAGAAAGGAAAGTTAAACCTAAAATTGGCTGGGCACGGTGGCTCATGCCCGTAATCCCAGCCCTTTGGGAGGCTGAGGCAGGTGAATCATGAGGTCAGGAGTTCAAGAGCAGCCTGGCCAAGATGGTGAAACTCTGTCTCTACTAAAAATACAAAAATTAGCCGGGCATTGTGGCAGGCGCCTGTAATTCCAGCTACTTGGGAGGCTGAGGCAGGAGAATTGTTTGAACCCGGGAGGCAGATGTTTCAGTGAGCTGATACTATGCCATTGCATTCCAGCCTGGGCGACAGAGTGAGACTCCATCTCAAAAAAATTAAAAGAAAGAAAGAAAGAAAGTTAAACCTAAAATTGCCATGCAATTGTGCCACTGCACTCCAGCCCAGGAGACAGAGCGAGATGCCGTCTCAAAAAATAAAATAAATTAGTTTGGGCGCAGCGGCTCACGCTTGTAACCCCAGCACTTTCGGAGGCTGAGCGGGGAGGATCATCTGAAATCAGGAATTTCAGACCAGCCTCGGCAACATGATGAAACCGTGTCTCTACTGAAAATAGAAAAATCAGCCGGGCATGGTGGTGCACACCTGTAATCCCAACTACTCAGGAGGGTGAGGCACGAGAATCACTTGAACCCAGGAGGCAGAGGTTGCAGTGAGCCGAGATGGTGCCACTCCACTCCAGCCTGGGTGACAGAGCAAGACTCTGTCTCAAAAAGTAAAAAATAGGGGCTGGGCGCGGTGGCTCACGCCTGTAATCCCAGCACTTTGGGAGGCCAAAGCGGGTGGATCACGAGGTCAGGAGATCGAGACCATCCTGGCTAACACAGGGAAACTCCATCTCTACTAAAAATACAAAAAAATTAGCCGGGCGTGGTGGCGGGGGCCTGTAGTCCCAGCTACTCGGGAGGCTGAGGCAGGAGAATGGCGTGAACCCGGGAGGTGGAGCTTGCAGTGAGCTGAGATTGCACCACTGCACTCCAGCCTGGGCAACAGAGTGAGACTCCATCTCAAAAAATAATAAATAAATAAAATAAATAAATAAATGTAAAAATAAAATTACCATATGATCCCGCAATTCCACTTCTGGGTATCTTCCCAGAAGAACTGAGAGCAAGGACCCACAGATATCTGCACACTGATGTTGATAGCAGCGTTATTCACAAGAGCCAACAGATGGAAAGAGCCCAGGTGTCTGCTGATGGATGGATGAATAAATGCGATGTGATCCATCCACACAATGGAATACAATTCAACCTTAAAAAGGAAGGAAATTCTGACACATGCTGCAACGTGGAGGAATCTTGAGGACGTTATGCTCGGTGAAATAAACCAGACACAAAAGGATAAATACTGTCTGATTCCACTCGTAGGAGGTCTCTGGACTCGTCGGGTTCATAGATTTACCACACCCCGCTTTTTTTTTTTCTTTCTTTCTTTCTTTGGAGACAGGGTCTTGCTTTGTCACCCAGGCTGGAGTGCGATAGCATGATCACAGCTCACTTCAGCTTTGACCTCCCAGGTTCAAGTGATCCTCCCACCTCAGCCTCCCATGTAGCTGGGACTACAGGAGCCTCCCACCATGCCCAGCTCACTTTTAAATTTTTTTGTAGAGATAGGGTCTTGTTATGTTGTCCAGGCGGGTCTCAAACTCCTGGGCTCAAGCGATCCTCCCAGATTGCTGGGATTCCAAGGCATGAGCCACCACGCCAGGCCTGGTCAGATTCATGGAGACAGAAAGTAGAAAGGTGGGTGCCAGGGGCTGGGAGGGGAATGAGGAGGCTGTGTTTCATGGGAACAGAATTTTAATTTGGGAAGATGAGAAAGTTCTGGAGATAGATGGAGGTGATGGTTGCACAGCAATGGGAATGTGCTTAATGATACTGAACTGGACACTGAAAAATGGTTAAGATGTGGGCCCGGGTACAGTGGCTCACGCCTGTAATCCCAACACTTTGGGAGGCTGAGGCAGGAGGATCACTTGAAGCTAGGAGTTTAAGACCATCCTGGCCAACATTGTGAAACCCCGTCTCTAATAAAAAATATATAAAAATTCACCAGGAGTGGTGGCACATGTCTGTAGCCCCAGCATCTTGGGAGGCCGAGGCAGTTGAATTGCCTGTGGTCAGGAGTTCGAGACCAACCCGGCCAACATTGTGAAACACCATCTCCACTAAAAATACAAAAATTAGCCGGACATAATGGTGGGTGCCTGTAATCCCAGCTACTCAGGAGGCTGAGGCAGAAGAATCACTTGAACCCGGGAGGTGAAGGTTGCAGTGAGCTGAGATTGTACCACTGCACTCCAGCCTGGGCGACAGAGCAAGACTCCATCTCAAAAAAAAAAAAGGTTACGATGATAAATGTTATGTGATGTGTATTTCACTGGAATAAAAAGAAGGGAGGGGCCAAATCTATAAAGACATCAACATGGGTGAGTTCTGGGTAAAGGGCAAACCCTGCGTAGCTCCTCCTTCCTCATCCCAAGACAAGTGTGGACACTGGCCCCTTGCCTCCTGCCGGCAAAGATCCCCAGCTGACAAATTGAGAGCATCCACCAAGGGCTGCCTGAGATCACATGGATGCCTGGAGCCACATCTCAGCACTGGCCTCGCATGGAGCCATGGGGGAAGCCCACTCGCCCACCTACCCACCAAACCCTGTGTGCAGACAGTCCTAACAAATGCCTGGAAAAGGACAATTCCTGTCCTGCAGATCCTGACAGCCCAGAGGAAGGGCACCTTACCAACCTTGAGGAGTCAGGAAGGCAACCTGGAGGGCATGCCCAAGCTGGGTTTTGACGGTTGCATAGGAGTTCACCAGACAGACTCAGGATGGGCCGGGTGGGAGAGGAGGTTTTGCAAGAAGAAAAGGCAGGTGCCCTGGCTGGACAGAATGACAAATACAATGACTGGGAGGAGAAGAGGGAAGTGAAGGACAAAAGAAGGGAAGGACAAAGAAATAGGAACAGGAGCAGAAACTGTACCAAAAAGAAAAAAAAAAAGAGAGAGAGATAATCAGATGGAAACTCAGTGACGAGAAGTGCTTTGCCAAGGCTAGAAGTAGGGGAATCTGGCATGGAAGACCAGACTTCTGGTCCTTTTGTGGGGGTGAGCTCTTGAAGGTCCAGGTTAGACAGGGGACTGGGGGACTACTCCCTCCCATTCCATCCCACCCGCTGTGAGGAGGGCGCTGAGCCCAGGAGGGACAGGTAGGGGACAGGCAGGGTCTGGATGTTGGGAGCAGGGACCTTGTGGTCAAGAGACCCCAGGTTCTGCTGCCCCTTGGTCAATGTCTTCTTCTCCCTCCTCACCTTCCCAACCTACAGGAGGATGATTTTCCCAGGCGGCTCAGCGAGAGTATGGAGGACCTCAGCCTGGATTTGGGGGCCCTTCAGGGCAGCGAGTATCTGCAGGACCTGGGCCTTGGGGCCCCTTCCCACAGCCAGCCTGGGGAGACCCCAGACAGCCGCCCCACCGGTGAAGAACCAGGAAGAGATTCTCTTTTCTCCAGCTTGGCAGGGTCCCAAGACCTGTCAAGGCGGCGCAGCTGGGAAAGGTCGCGGAGCTGCTCAGAGAGCTGGCGGAGGTCAGTTCCCCACTGCTGCCTGCTTCCCACAATGCACCCCTGGGACAGGGAAGAGGTCCAGAAGGCCAGAGCCAGGTCCTAAGACAAGCCACCCCTTGCACCTGCCGTGGTCCCCAACCTTTTTGGTACCAGGGACCAGTTTCATGGAAGACAATTTTTCCATGGACCCAGGGGGACAGGGGATACTTTCTGGACAATTCAAGCACATTCCATTTATCGTGCACTTTATTTATATTACGTTGTAATACATAATGAAATAATTATACAATTCATCATCATGTAGAATCAGTGGGAGCCCCGAGCTTGTTTTCCTGCACTAGACAGTCCATTCTGGGGGTGATGGGAGACAGTGACAGATCATCAGGCACTAGATTCTCTTGTTTTTGTGTTTGTTTTTTTTTTTTTGTTTTTGTTTTTTTTTTGAGATGGAGTCTCACTCCATTGCCCAGGCTGGAGTGCAGTGGCGTGATCTCGGCTCACTGCAATCTCCGCCTCCTGGGTTCAAGCGATTCTCCTGCCTCAGCCTCCCGAGTAGCTGGGATTACAGGCACGCACCACCACACCCGGCTAATGTTTGTATTTTTAGTAGAGACGGGGTTTCACCATGTTGGTCAGGCTGGTCTCGAACTCCTGACTTCATGATCTGCCTGCCTCAGCCTCCCAAAGTGCTGGGATTACAGGTGTGAGCCACCGCACCCAGCCTAGATTCTCATAAGGAGTGTGCAACCTAGATCCCTCGCATGTGCCGTTCACAATACAGTTCCCGCTCCTATGAGAATTTTTTTTTTTTTTTTTTTGAGACAGAATCTCACTCTGTTGCCCAGGCTACAGGCTCACACCACCACACCCGGCTAATTTTTTGTATTTTTAGTAGAGATGGAGTTTTACCATGTTGGCCAGACTAGTCTCAAACTCCTGACCTCAGGAGATCCTCCCGCCTTGGCCTCCCAAGTGCTGACATGACAGGCATGAGTCACCATGCCGGGCCCCTGCTCCTTTGATAATCTAATGCTGCCACTCATATGACAGGAGGTGGAGCTCAGGCAGTCATGTGAGCAATGGGGAGTGGCTGTAAATACAGATGAAGCTTCGCTCACATGCCTGCGCTCACCTTCTGCTTTGCAGCCCGGATTCTAAAAGGTCACAGACTAGTACCAGTCTGTGGCCCAGGAGTTGGGGATCCCTGCTCTAGGGCCATGAGGGGCGTCTGCACCATCAGAGGCAGCCCAAAAAACCCTCTTCTAACTTGCACATGCATGAACATAGAGCCTGTGCAAGTGACCGAGCATGCATGCACAAGCCCAAACTGAAAACTGCATGTGAGGCCGGGCGCGGTGGCTCACACCTATAATCCCAGCACTTTGGGAGGCCAAGGCGGGTGGATCACCTGAGGTCAGGAGTTTAAGACCAGCCATGGTCAACATGGCAAAACCCCCTGTCTACTAAAAATACAAAAATTAGCCAGGTGTGGTAGTGCACACCTGTAGTCCCAGCTACTCGGTAGGCTGAGGCCCGAGAATCGCTTGAACCCAGGAGACAGAGGTTGCAGTGAGCCAAGTTTATGCCACTGCACTCCAGCCTGGGCGACAGAGCGAGACTCTGTCTCAAAAAAAAAGGAAGAAAAAAAAATCGACTGCATGCACACACTGCAAGCACACAAAAACCTAAATTTACACACCTGCTGAGAGTACGGCCACGATCAGCACCCATCAGACCCACGCATATAAGCTTAAACGTGATCTGCATACTGCTTGCATGCATACGCATGAAGCCACCATGCAGTTATGATCAGAACGGAAATGTGTGAGACACCATGCACCCCACAGTGGCAGCACCAAATAGTAGAGGCAGGGGGTGCTCTAGCCACCCCTAACCCGTGTCCCTCAACCCCTTCCAAGTCATCCCACATAGAAATTCAGGCCGGGTGCAGTGGCTCACGCCTGTAATCCCAGCACTTTGGGAGGCAGAGTCGGGCGGATCACTTGAGGTGAGGAGTTCGAGATCAGCCTGGCTAATGTGGTGAAACCCTGTCTGTACTAAAAATACAAAAATTAGCTGGGCATGGTGGCACGTGCCTGTAATCCCAGCTATTTGGGAGGCTGAGGGAGGAGAATCGTTTGAACCTGGGAGGCGGAGGTTGCAGTGAGCTGCGATCGTGCCACTGCACTCCAGCCTGGGTGACAGAGTGAGACTCTGTCTCAAAAAAAAAAAAAGAAAGAAAAGAAAGAAAGAAAAGAAAGAAAAAGAAAGAAAGAAAGAAAAGGAAGAAAGAAAAAGAAAGAAAAGGAAGGAAGGAAGGAAGGAAGAAAGAAAAGGAAGGAAGGAAGAAAGGAAGGAAGAAAAGGAAGGAAGAAAGGAAGGAAGAAAAGAAAAGAAAGAAAAGAAAGAGAAAACCAGTCTGTGCAAAAACGATCTGAGATGCAAATGTAGCTCCAACAAATCTAACCAGGCTGGCTTTCTTTGTCCTCTCCCCCTTGCCACCCACTCCTCTCATATTGGGAGGTCTGGACCCCTTTCTGTGGCTTGCGCACCCTTCCTTGTCCTGGAAGGGCCCCCTTGCATGTTCTTTCAAGCCCCCCTGGATGCCTGGGGCAGCAGCCAGGTGGGCAAGACCTGCTGAAGCCCCAGTACCCTGTCTTCTCCACTAGGCTCAGCCTCGATGCCTCAGCTGTGGATGAGGAACCCTGTCTCCCCCGAACACTGGCCAGCCTTGCTTTGAACCTGCCAGGAGGAGGGCTGAAGACCTGGACTCAAGGGTGTCTCTCTGGGGGCGGGACCCCCGCAGAGAGCCCAGGCAAGGTGGGTATAACCTGCAGCCACCCCTGACAATAGCACACTTTTGGGTTTAGAAAGCAGTGCTATAGGTAGGAAGGAGAGACTTGCCAGGGCTGGTGGCGCTTACCCACCATGGCAGGGTGGAGGCTGCTTATCTGTGGTGTGGCCCGTGCCTCAGTTGTCTCTGGGTCCTAGGATTCCAGCCTAGGCCTGAAGGGATTTCCCTGGGTAAGCATCTGGGGCAGGCCATGCATGGCCATGACTCCAACCCAAGGGCTGGAGACAAGGGGATGGGGGATGTCTTATCTTGCAGTTTCAGCCAGGCTTGGAGGATCTTTGCCTGGAGTGTAGCCCTGCAGCCGGAAGGCAGCTGTGTCTGTGGTTGGGGTATGCAGCTACAGCTAAGGAGAATTTGTGTCTGACCTGAGATCCCAGCTCACACCTGAGGAATGCATGCTTGGAGCTGTGGCTGGTGGCTGAGACATCTTTGGCTGTGATCACAAAGGACCCTGGGGGAAATTCCTGGCCATTGTTGGAAGCTGTGGCTCTGATACCTGGGGCTCCAGCTCAGAGCTGGAGGCTCCTCCGCCAGGACTACAGCCCTGTGGCTGGGGAGGGGGTGGCTGAACCCATGTCTTATGGCTGGGGGGAGTGGCTGGAGGCTGAGGCTTGGATGAGTGTGTCACCCCATTTCTGTGGAGGTGGCCCTGGCTGTGGGTTGGGCCCCTCAATCCAGGGAACCTGCCTGCAGTCCAGGCTGCCTTCCCAGCTTAGTGAGATGTTTAATCCCCTGCAGGAATGTGACAGCCCCAAGAAAAGAGGGAGGTCAAGGTCCGTTCCTGTGTCCTTCTATGAGATCCGCTCTCCGGAAATCTCTCCGGGTTTGGAAGTGCCCACTCCACCTGTTCAAGGTAGCCAGCCTGGGAGTTTCCTTCATTCAAACCAAGTCAGGGAAAGAGGAGCCTGGCCAACATGGTGAAACCCTGTTGGGGTTTCATCCTTCATCCTGGAGGGTCCCCTTGGTGGGGCTCCAGATGGGCCCCAGGGAAGGGAAGGGAGCTGGCTTAGGGTCCCCTGGGCAGGGACTGAGCAGAACGCTGGGGGAAGCCAGAGAGGGGAAGGGACCTCCAGCATCTGTCCCTCCTCCTCTCCCTGCAGCTCTTGAGCCAGTGTGAGATTGCCCCATTGCAATGAGCTTGTCCCCAAGATTCTCTCTTCTCTCTATGACTCTTTTTTTTTTTTGAGATAGAGTCTTGCTCTGTCGCCCAGGCTGCAGTGCAGTGGTGCAATCTCAGTTCACTGCAACCTCCGCCTCCCGGGTTCATGCCCTTCTCCGGCCTCAGCCTCCCAAGTAGCTGGGACTACAAGCACCCGCTACCATGCCCGGCTAATTTTTGTATTTTTAGTAGACACAGGGTTTCGCCATGTTGGCCAGGCTGGTCTCAAAGTCCTGGCCTCTAGTGATCGGCCCGCCTCAACCTCCCAAAGTTCTGAGATTACAGGCATGAACCACCGCGCCCAGCATTCTGACTATTTCTTTATCTCTTTCTTTATCTCTGAATTTTTATCCTGAGATCTTGCACCTCTCTGGCATCAGACAAACCTGGAGTCTAAACACATAACAAGTCTCTGAGCCTCTGTGGCTTCCTCTATTAGAACAGGTGCAGCAGCTCACACCTGGAATCCCAGCACCTTGGGAGGCTGAGGCAGGTGAATAACTTGAGCCCAGGAGTTTGAGGCCAGCCTGGGCAACATGGCGAAACCTTGTCTCTACTAAAAATACAAAAAACAATTAGCCAGGCATGACGGTGTGCACCTGTAGTCCCAGCTACTTTGGAGGCTGAGATGGGAGGATCACTTAAACCCAGGAGGTCAAGGCTGCAGTGAGTTCTGATGGCAGGACTGCGCTCCGCTCTGGGTGACAGAGTGAAACCGTCTCAAAAAAAAAAAAAAAAAGGCCTGGTGCGGTGGCTCACGCCTGTAATCCTAGCACTTTGGGAGGCCGAGGCAGGTGGATCACCTGAGGTCCAGAGTTCGAGACCACCCTGGCCAACATGGTGAAACCCCGTCTCTACTAAAAATATAAAAACGCAAGAATTAGTCGGGCATGGTGGTGTGCGCCTGTAATCCCAGCTACTCGGGAGGCTGAGACAGGAGACTTGCTTGAACCCAGGAGGCGGAGGTTGCAGTGAGCTGAGATTGAGCCATTGCACTCCAGCCAGGGTGACAGAGCGAGACTGTGTCTAAGGAAAAAAAGGGGAGGGGGGACAATAAGCGTATCTCCTTCAGGCCACTTGGAGAGTCTGCTGATCTCACACACGTAAAGCACTTAGTAGGTTGTAAGCACTCACGAGACACTGGGGACACCTGCGTTTGTCCCTGGCTCTCTGTCCTCTTCTCGTCTCTGTTGCCTGAGAGTACAGGCCCTGTCTGCATGGCCTCCAGTTCTGCAGGGGCCCAGGGTGGCATCCGGGAGGGCTCTGCTGGGCTGGTCCTGTCCCAGAGCTCCTGACAACTGTGCTTCCTGGGATGGGGGGCTTCTTCCAGGCCTGGAACCTCCAGTGCTGGAGTGCATGGAAAAAGACCATGTGGAACCAGATCACGTGTGAGTTTCTGCCTCGTGGTGGGGGAGGGACCCCCAGGGAACAGGCCACAAAGTCAGGGCTGCGGGAGGAGGGCTGCCAGGGTGCAGTGTTGCTGGCCATAAGTGACCAGGGCCAGACACCATCCCACTAGTCCCCCCATAACCTCATCTTTCTGCCACCATCCTTCTCCCGGTGGGAGGGACCCAGGCCCCTCAGAAAGGTTCTCAATGTAGCCTTGGGAGACAATTGTGGCTTTTTTTTTTTTTTTTTTTTTTTTTTGAGATAGGGTCTCACTCTGTCACCCAGGCTGGAGTACAGTGGCGTGATCTCAGCTCACTGCAGCCTCTGCCCCCTGGGTTCAAGTGATTCTCCTGCCTCAGCCTCCAGAGTAACTGGGACTACAGGCGCCCGCCACCACGCCCGGCTAATTTTTGTATTTCTAGTACAGACGGGGTTTCACCATGTTGGCCAGGCTGGTCTCGAACCCCTGACCTCAGGTGATCCGCCCACCTTGGCCTCCCAAAGTACTGGGATTACAGGCGTGAGCCACTGTGCCCGGCTGACTGTGGCTTTGAGTAGGGTCTGCATCAGGACCTGAGGCCTGCTTGGGCAACCCCAGCTTATCTAGGGGAGAGTGTCTGTAACCTGGAGCTACCATGGGCTGTTCTAATCCCACCTCCACCCCCACAGGCTGATTGTCCAGCAGGTGCTTCAAGAACTTCGACAGTACCATGGGTAAGTGGGAATCGGGACAGGCTTGAGGGGAGCAAAGTGGGAGACAAAAGCAGGAAGCATGCAGGGGTGTGCACAGGTGTAGGAGACAGGGGTAGAGAAGACTGGGTGAGGGCTGGGTACAGTGGCTCACGCCTGTAATCCCAGCACTTTGGGAGGCTGAGGCAGGCAGATCACCTGAGGTCAGGAGTTCGAGACCAGCCTGGCCAACATGGCGAAACCTCGTCTCTACTCAAAATACAAAAATTAGCCAGGCGTGGTGGCACGCACCTGTAATCCCAGCTACTCAGGAGGCTGAGGCAGGAGAATTGATTGAACCCAGGAGTTGGAGGTTGCAGTGAGCTGAGACTGCACCATTGTACTCCAGCCTGGGCAACACAGTGAAACTCTGTCTCAAAAAAATAGAAAAAAGACAAGGCTGGGTTCAAGGGAAGAAAAATGGGGCAGAAGAGGAGGGAGGAGGATAGAAGACAAGAGTTGGAGAGGAGCAGGCTGCCACTGGCATAGGGGTTCCTTGGAGCAAACAGGTGAAGGTGCCTCCTGCCTAAGACACTGCCATCTGTTACAAAATCTTCCTGTAGCTGGATGTGGTGGCTCATACCACTGTAATCCCAACACTTTGGGAGGCCAAGGTGAGAGGATCATTTGGAGGCCACGAGTTTGAGACCAGCTTGGGAAAGATAGTGAGACCCTGTCTCTACAAAAAACATTTAAAAATTTGCTGGGCGAGGTGGCTCATGCCTATGATCCCAGCAATTTGGGAGGCTGAGGTGGGAGGATTGTTTGAGCCCAGGAGTTTGAGACCAGCCTGGGCAACAGAGTGAGACTCTGTCTGTATAATTTTTTTTTTTTGATTAGCTGGGCGTGGTGGCACATACCTGTAGTCCCCAGCTACTCTGGGGGGTGTGGGGGTGTTGACGCAGGAGGATGGCTGAGTCCAGGCAGTGAAGGCTGCCATGAGCCATGATTATGCCACTGCACACCAGCCTGAGCAACAGAGCAAAACCCTGTTTAAAAAAAAAAAAAAATTGTGGGCTGGGCGCAGTGGCTCACACCTGTAATCCCAGCACTTTGGGAGGCCAAGGCGGGCGGATCACGAGGTCAGGAGATCGAGACCATCCTGACTAACATGGTGAAACCCCGTCTCTACTAAAAAATACAAAAAATTAGCTGGGCATGGTGGCAGGCGCCTGTAGTCCCAGCTACTCAGGAGGCTGAGGCAGGAGAATGGCGTGAACCCAGGAGGCGGAGCTTGCAGTGAGCCGAGATCGCACCACCACACTCCAGCCTGGGTGACAGAGCGAGACTCCATCTCAAAAAAAAAAAAAACTGTGTAAGATTTAAGTACTTGGTTAAAAAAAAAATTAAAAATTAGCCAGGCATGGTGGCACATGCCTATAGTCCCAGCTACTCAGGAGACTGAGGCGGGAGGATTGCTCAAGCCCCGGAGGTCGAGGCTGCAGTGAGCTGTGATTGTACCACTGCACTCCAGCCTGGGCAACAGAGGGAGACGCCATCTCTATTAAAAAAGAAAAAAAACATCTTCCTGCTACACTGATTTTGTTTAGCCAAGACACATTACTGCCCTCTGCTGGAAAACCTGTCATAATGTCTCATATACAAGCCCAGAGTGTCAAGGACAGGTGGGCTCTTAGACGGGGTACCTGGTGTATGCCTGTACTCGGTAGCACTGGGGTAGGTGAGTGGGAGAAGAGGCTGCCGACCCAGGTATCTGTCCCCTCTGATCCTGCAGGGCCCGGCAGAGGGCTTGCATGTCAGCCAGCCCCGGAGGAGCCCACTCGAACCTGACCTGGTTTGAATTCCTGTCGGAGTAAGTACACAGATCTGCTTCTGGGGAGGGCAGCCTTGGATTCGAACAAGTGTTTACAGATGGTCCTTTGGGCCAGACCCCCCATGCTGGGGGCAGGAGCTGGAGCCCCCATCAGGGCAATGGTGGGAGCTGGCAGGAAAGGGAGGGATGAGGCTCCCGTATACCCTGAGAGGACAGAGGAAGACTTCCTGGAGGAGGTGACGATGTAAGCAGGGTTCTGACGGAAGAGTAGGAGTTTGCCAATACGTGCAGATAAGGATGAAGGAAAAAAAAAGAAACTAGAAGGCTTAGGGAATGACATCGGAGTGGGGCTGGGAGGAGGGAAGGTGGGAGAAATCAGCAGAGACCAGACCACCTCAGCTACACAAAGGCGCTCACACTTTATCCGAAACAGCAGTGGGGCTTGGGTGCGGTGGCTCACGCCTATAATCCCAGCACTTTGGGAGGCCGAGGAGGGTGGATCATCTGAGGTCAGGAGTTCAAGACCAGCCTGGCCAACATGGTGAAACCCAATCTCTACTAAAAATACAAAAATTAGCCGGATGTGGTGGCGGGTGCCTGTAATCCCAGCTACTCACGAGGCTGAGGCAGGACAATCACTTGAACCCAGGAGGCGGAGGTTGCAGTGAGCCAAGATCACGCCCTTGCACTCCAGCCTGGGCAACAGAGTGAAACTCCGTCTCAAAAATAAATAAATAATAAATAAATAAATAAATAAATAAATAAATAAAAATAAAAAGAGCAGTGGGGCCTTTGAGCATTATCAGTTCTGGTGATAGGATGGGGACAGTATGAGGACCACAGACAGGGCTGGAGGTCCCTGAATCCCTCTCTCTCCCTCCTTTCCTCCCTCCCTCTCTCACTCACTCATTCATTCAAGAAACATTTATGGATATTTACAAAGTTCCAGAAGCCACTCGGACTGGGATCTGGGGGCACAGACTGGAGGAATGGCGTCTCCGCCCAGGAAATAGACCCTACCAGAGCAGGAATCATGTCTGCCTTATATGTCACTGACCTAATATTTATTAAATGAAGGTGTGCCTGAAATCCAGGAAACCATGCCAGTGACCTGGGGATGGAGTTTGGGGTGGGGGAGGAGATAGAAGAATGAGCAGGATTTAAAGACCAATTAGGGCCGGGCGTGGTGGCTCATGCCTGTAATCCCAGCATTTTGGGAAGCTGAGGCAGATGGATCACCTAAGCCTGGCCAACACGGTGAAACCCCACCTCTACTAAAAATACAAAACAATTAGCTGGGCACAGTGGCACACACCTGTGGTCCCAGCTACTCGGGAGGCTGAGGCATGAGAATCGCTTGAACCTGGAGGCAGAGGCTGCAGTGAGCCGAGATTGCACCACTGCACTCCAGCCTGGGTGACAGAGTGAGACTCTGTCTCAAAATAAATAACAAAATAACTAAATAAATAAATAAATAAAGGCCAATTAGATACCGGGTGGGGGTGGGGGGCGTGAATTAGAGGGAGAAATCATAAGTGAACAGAGCTGAAATTCCCAGCCCAGGCATTGAGGGACCTCAAACCTGAGATCACGTTGCATTTCCCTCTGTAAACCCAGTCCCCAAAGCTCTTGCAAACATTCATTCATGTCTGCTGAGTGAATAAGTAAGACAGGGAAGGAGGGAGGGAAGGAGGAAGTCAAGGGCCAGGGAAGGGGTAAGGCAGGACCAGGAGGCCACAGGGAGACAGGTTGCAGGTGGATTCCTGAAGCAACCCACAGGGCTGCCTCAGAATGGCCCCTGGCCCCCTCTAGTGGACCTTCCCTCTCGTCCCTCAGGAGCGAGGACGGTGCTGGCAAGAACGAGAAGAGTGACAAGAGTACCAGTGTGAAGCGCAGGCTGAGCTGCCTCCGCAGTCGAGTGACCAGGCAGAAGGAGAAGGTAAGGGGAGCTAAGCCACGGGGGCCCTCCTCTGCCTTCCCCAGCTTGGCTTGCTGCCCTTAGCCCGGGAGCCCTGTGACTGGGGCTGGTGGTGGGCTGGGTACACAGTATATAAGAGGGCCAGTGCCTGCAGAGGGCATCCTGAGACCCACCTCTGTCCCATCCAGGGGAAGAGCCCAGCACATCTGAAGGACAAGGGCCAGGATGCACGAGAGAGGCGGGAGTGTGTCAATGGGCACCAGCTGTTGCAAGGGACCTTCTCCGGCCCCTCCAGCTGCCCCCTGTGTGGCAAACCTTTCTTGAGCTCAGGTAAGTCTGGTGGCCCAATCCATCCTCCTGGAGGGCAGCCACTTTCTCTTCTTCACGTCCTTTCAATCATACTCCTGGGGTCTCTTTTGATGTGTGCATCCTCGTTCTGTTTTGCCCTCTCCTCGGCGGCTCCCTGGAGAGAACCAGGGATCAGTCCCTGGGCACAGGGACCCTTGGGCTAACTCGGGACTGGCAACAGTCCCTTTAAGTCTCAGCTTTTGCGATTGTGGGAATCCTCCTGCAGCATCTGGACTTGAGCCGTGTATGAGTTTGCTAGGGCTGTCATGACAAAGTACCATGCACCAGGTGGCTTAACCATCAGAGATATATTCCCTTGCACTTCTGGGGGCTTAAAGTCTGAGATCAAGGGCTAAGCTTCATATGAAGGTGCCAGGAAATGATCCATTCCAGGCGTCTCTCCTGGCTTCATCCCTTAGCCTCACATGGCCCTGTCTGTGTCCCAGTTTCCCCTTTCTATAAGGATACCAGCCATATTGGATTAGGGGCCCACCACACTCCAGTGTGGCCTCAGCTTAGCTTATTTACATCCATGAAGACTCTATTTTCAAATAAGGTCGCATCCTAAAGGACAGAAGTGGGGGAGTAGGATTGCAACACATGAATTTGATGGGTGGGGGGAGGGGCATACAATTTTATCCATAGCAGGTCGTTTTCTGCTTCCTGGGGCACTTGGTGGTTGTGGGGTGGTGAGGGAAAGAGTCTCTACTCGAGAAAAAGTACCAGATTCAAGAGACTCCCAGAAAGAGATGGCTCTGGTCATTGCCGGGATTTAGAACTTTGTCTTTTTGCAAATAAGCTCCACGTTGGAGGGAATGAAGAGGAGGAGGTGGTGGCAACTGCGTGTTAGAAAAGATGCGTGCGCCGTTTGTAACCGAATCCAAACTGCAGTCTGTGGCTGGCAGAACTCAGGCTAGTTCACAGTTTCTGGGCCTTAGCACTGTCAACATTTGGGGCCAGGTGATTCTTTGTTCTAAGGGGCTATCCTGTGCATTGTAGGATATTTAGTAGCATCCCTGGCCTTCACCCTCTAAATGCTGGTAGTAACCACCTCCTGCCTCCAGTTGCAACAATCAAAAATGTCTCCAGACATGGCCAAAAGTCTCCTGGGGGGCAGAATTTCCTCCAGACAGGAATCAATGGGTGAATGAGATGGGCAAACAGATCCTAGATGGGCTTAGACCCTGCAGTGAGAGAACATCTCCACCCCCGGGGCAAGTGCCTCTGAGCAACGTGCCTTGCAGGTTTTGCATTTGTTGGCTTTACCTGCTTCAGGCGTGGGAATTTTCCTTCTTTCTCATTTTCCTCTCTTTCTGCAGTGCCATTGCTGGCCATGGGGCTGGGGGTGGCTGTTGGTGGCTAGTGGTGTCAACGATGTTCCTCTTTGAGCTCCCTCTGTTAGGCAATCCCCATCCAGCTCTGTGACCCATGAGCTGTCCTCAGCAGAGGCTGGCATGAGCTTTTTGCAAAATTTTTTTTTTTTTTTTTGCGACAGGGTCTCACTCTGTTGCCCAGGCTGGAGTGCAATGGTGTGATCTCAGCATACTGTAGCCTCTTTCTCCTGGGCTCAAGCAATCCTCCCACCTCCTCCTCCCGAGTAGCTGGGTCTACAGGTGTGCACCACCATGCTTGGCTAAGTTATTAACTTATTTTTGTAGAGACAAGGTCTCACTATATTGCCCAGGCTGCTTTCAAACTCCTGGACTCAAGCGATCCTCCCGCCTCAGCCTCCCAAAGTGCTGGAATTATAGGTGTGAGCCACCTCACCCAGCCTTTGCCAAATCTTCAGTGCACCAACAAAGTCAGTGTGTTGAAGTCCTTAATTTGGGACAGCAGGTGACTCCCTCTTTTCCCTGGCACCTTGTTCTCTTCTGCAGGGGATGAGCTGTGCTCAGTCTATCTTAGGCATCAGATGCAAGGGGCAGATAGAAGGTTGGAAGTTGGAAGAGTAAAGCCAGAGGTCTAGAACCAAGACTGCACAGAGCAGGCGCTGGGAGCCTGCCCTCGGATACCCTTCCTTGAACAGCTCCAGGCTGAGCTGAACCATGCACTTCCTTCTGTGATTGCTGGTTCCTTATCATTCTCCATTTGTTTCTGTTCCTGCTTTTGCTTTGCTTCTCAGAAAAATCCTGAGGTCTTTAAACTCTGATTTGGGGTCACCCAAGGTCTTGTATGTCCATGTGGCCCACTGACTTAGAGCGTCGCCGTCATCTGGGAACTTCATTATTATTATTATTATTATTATTATTATTATTATTATTATTATTATTTTGAGACGGAGTCCCACTCTGTCACCCAGGCTGGAGTGCAGTGGCACGATCATAGCTCACTGCAACTCTCACCTCCCAGGTTCAAGCGATTCTCCTGCCCCAGCCTCCCGAGTAGCGGGGATTACAGGTGCCCACCACCACGCCCAGCTAATTTTTGTATTTTTAGTAGAAACAGGGTTTCACCATGTTGGCCAGGCTGGTCTTAAACTCCTGACCTCAAGTGATTTGCCTGCCTTGGCCTCCCAAAGTGCTGGGATTACAGGCGTGAGCCACCGCGCCTGGCCTGTCACCTGGGAACTTTTTCAAAATTTCTATTTTAGAGATAGGATCTATCTCTCTCTATCTCTCTCTCTCTCTCTCTCTCTCTCTCTCTCTCTCTCCCCCCTCCCTCTCTCCCTCCCTCCCTCTCTCTCTCCCTCTCTCCCTCTCTCTCTCTCTCTCTCTCCCCCTCTCCCTCTCTCTCTCTCCCTCCCCCTCTCTCCCTCTCTCCCTCTCTCTCTCTCTCCCTCTCTCTTTCTCTCTCTCTCCCTCTCCCTCTCTCCCTCTCTCTCTCTCCTCCCCGCCACCCCCGGGGCTGGAGTGCAGTGGTGTGATCATAACTCACTGCAGCCTTGAAATCCTCGGCTTAAGGAATCCTCCCACCTCAGCCTCACAAATACCTGGGACCACATGCATATATAACCACACCCTGCTCATTTTTAACATTTTCGTTTGTTTGTAGAGACGGGCTCTTGCTATGTTGCAAAAAAAAAAAAAAAAAGACAAAGGAAAAACATGAAGTTAGAAAAGGAGACAGAGTGATTACAGAGTTTGTCAACCTCAGCACTACTGACATTTGGGGCTGTGGTGTGGGGCCGCCCTGTGCCTGGGAGGAGGTTGAAAAGCATCCATCGTCTTCACCCACTTGGTGGCAGGAGCGCCTCTAGCTATGATGACCAAGTTGCCACGTGTCCTCTAGTGGCAGGGTAGGAATGCAGTCACCCCCAGGTGAGGACCACGGCTCTCCCTCAAGTGTCCAGGGATAGCCTCTCCGAATTGGTGACATTGGAATCCAGATGTGGAGGAGGTGGGAAAAGGGCCCTGTGGATAGGTAGGGAAGAGTATTCCAGGTCGTAGGTGGAAAGGTCCCAGGGCAGGAATGTGCCCCGGGCAGCAGAAAGGCCAGTGTGCTTGAAGTGGAGGTAGAAGAGGTCTGTCGGAACCTGTTGCAGGTCACACAAATGTGCATGCCTGCCCCCATCTGAGCCATTGCTCAGAGGACCCTGTCACTTGTCACTCGATAGCTGAGCTTGCTGTCTGCAAATCCCACCTCCACCTAGACTCCTATCAGGGCAGACAGGCTTCAGTGGCCCCTGTGTGAGCCTGGAAGTTCCCATTGCTGCTTCGGATCCCTTCTCCACTCTGGGCGCTGCAAAGACAGTTCCTGCCTTCCAGCTGGGGATTTGGGCGGGACAGCGTCCAGCACCTCCTTATGAGCTTTCAGTCCCCCTGAAGTTGTATGCCACATCTGCTGTGTCCCTGCGTTTTTCTGGAGGAGCAGAGCAGCTAGGGTTTTCATCAGATCTCCAACCAGAACATGCGACCTTGGAAAAGTTCGGCAACAATTTTCTAAGCCAGGGACTGGCAAACTGCAGTCCATCACCTGTTTTTGTTGTTGTTGTTGTTTGTTTGTTTGTTTTGAGATGGAGTCTCACTCTGTTGCCCAGGCTGGAGTACGGTGGCGCGATCTCAGCTCACTGCAAGCTCTGCCTTCCTGGTTCATGCCATTCTCCTGCCTCAGCCTTCCAAGTAGCTGGGACTACAGGTGCCCGCCACCATGCCCGGCTAATTTTTTGTATTTTTAGTAGAGACGGGGTTTCACCGTGTTAACCAGGATAATCTCGATCTCCTGACCTCGTGATCTGCCCGTCTCGGTCTCCCAAAGTGCTGGGATTATAGGCGTGAGCCACCGCGCCCAGCGCTGTTTTTTGTTTTTTGAGTTTTTTTGTTTGTTTGCATACGCTGAAAGCTAAGAATGGGGTGGGTTTTTTACATTTGTAAATGGTTGAAAACAAATATTTGGTGACACACAACCATTCTATGAAATTTGCATTTTACAGTCTGCAAATAAGGTTTTGTGGCAGGACAGCTCGCCTGTTCATTTATGTATCACCTTCGGTGGTTCCCAAGCTACATCTTTGCTTTTGGTTTTGTTCTGAGACAGAATCTCGCTCTGTCGCCCACGCCAGAGTGCAGTGGCGTGATGTCGGCTCACTGGAGACTCCGCCTCCCAGGTTCAAGCGATTCTCACGCCTCAGCCTCCCGAGTGGCTGGGATTACAGGTACCTGCCACCATGCCTGGCTAATTTTTTTTAGTAGAGACGGGGTTTCACCATGTTAGCCAGGCTGGTCTCAAACTCCTGACCTCAAGTGATACACCCACCTCAGCCTCCCAAAGTGCTGAGATTATAGGCATGAGCCACCGTGTCTGGCTCAAGCTACATTTCTGGTTGGCAGAGTTGAGTTTGCAGCATTACAAAGCAAGTTTGCCAACCCCTGAACGAGGTTATCTGGTAGCAAGCAAGGTGAGTGGCTTATCATGTCCTGCAAATCAATAAACCCCTTACAAAAAAATGACCTTGAGCAATGAGAGTTCCAACAGCGTCTAATTTCCTGAATGTCACTTTATAATCACAGAAAACTTTGCACAAATAATAACAATGGTTAGCATTACCGTATGGAGCACTTACACTATCCCAAGCACTGTAAGTGCTTTATTTTGTTTTTATTTAGATTTTTTAAAAATAGAGACAAGGTCTTGCTATGTTGTCCAGGCTGGTCTCGAACTCCTGGCCTCAGGTGATCCTCCCACCTATGCCTCCCAAAGTGCTGGGATTACTGGTATGAACTACTGAGCCCGGTCTGTAAGTGCTCTAAACCGATTTCCTCATTCAGCTTTGTAACTCTGTAGACACTAGCACTTTCTCTCTTTCACAGATGAGGAAACTGAGGCCCAGAGAAGTTAAGTTTTTGCTCAAGTCAGGGTTTGAACTCACAGCCTGAGCCCCCGATCACCAATCCATTGGCATATGATGCCCTTTTATTTTTATTTTTATTTATTTATTTTCAGATGGAGTTTTGCTCTGTCACCCAGGCTGGAGAGCAGTTGGCACCATCCCAGCTCACTGCAACCTCCGCCTCCCAGGTTCAAGCCATTCTCCTGCCTCAGCCTCCTGAGTAGCTGGGATTGCAGGCATGCGCCACCACGCCTGGCTAATTTTTGTATTTTTAGTAGAGATGGGGTTTCACCATGTTGGCCAGGCTGGTCTCAAACTCCTGACCTCAGGTGATCCACCCCCCTCAGCCTTCCAAAATGCTAGGATTACAGGCATGAGCCACCGCGCCTGGCCTGCCCTTTGATTTTTAAAAAATATACTTTTAATTTTATATTTACAGGAAAGTACAAAGAAAGCAGAGAGAGTCCCTTTAAGCCCTCCTTCCCAGCTTCTCCTCATGTTATTTTTAATTTTTTTGAGACAGAGTCTCACTCTGTTGCCCAGGCTGGAGTGCGGTGGCACGATCACAGCTTACTGCAGCCTCGACTTCTTGGGCTCAAGAGATCCTCCCACTTCAGCCTCCCGAGTAGCAGGGACTACAGTCTCGTAGCACCACACCAGGCTAATTTTTTTTTTTTTTTTGAGACAGAGTCTCGCTCTGTTGCCCAGGCTGGGGTGCAGTGGCGTGATCTTGGTTCACTACAACCTCTGCCTCCTGGGCTCAAGCAATCCTCCCACCCTAGCCTCCCAAGTAGCTGGGACTAGAAGTGCATGCCATCATACCAGGATAATTTTTTTTTTTTTTTTTTTTTTTGTAGAAACAGGGTTTTGTCACATTGCCCAAGTTGGTCTTGAACTCCTGGGCTCAAGCGATCCACCCACCTCAGCCTCCCAAAGTGCTGGGATTACAGGTGTGAGCCACTGCATCCACCCTACATTTTCTTCCTTCCTTCCTTCCTTCTTCCTTCCTCCCTTCCTTCCTTCCTTCCTTTCTTTCTTTCTTATTTACTTATTTTTTTTTTTTTGAGATGGAGTCTTGCTGTGTCACCCAGGCTGGAGTGCAGTGGCACAATCTTGGCTCACTGCAACCTCCACCTCCTGGGTTCAAGCTACTCTCCTGTCTCAGCCTCCCGAGTAGCTGGGATTACAGGCGTATGCCACCATGCCTGGCTAATTTTTTGTATTTTTAGTAGAGACAGGGTTTCGCCGTGTTGGCCAGGCTGGTCTCGAACTCCTGGCCTCAAGCGATCCGCCCACGAGTCGTGACATCCAGCCCACTCTCAGGGTGGTGGGAATTAAGCTCTTTCTCCTGGAGACATCATTTGATTTTGATTTGCAGGACAACCCTTTGAGGTCAAGAAAGATTTGAGTTTGTGTGAAAGAAATGATGTGGGGCCGGGCGCGGAAGCTCACTCCTGTAATCTCAGCGCTTTGGGAGGCTGAGGCAGGAGGATCCCTTGAGTTCAGGAGTCTGGGCAATATAGTGAGACCCTCGTCTCTACAAAAAAAATGTTTAAAAGTTAGCCAGGTGTGGTGGCACTCGCCTATAATCCTAGCTACTCGGGAGGCTGAGGTGGCAGCATTGCTTGAGCCCAGGTGTTCAAAGCTACAGTTAGCTATGATTTGCCACTGCCCTCTAGCCTGTGCCACAGAGCAAGACCCTGTTCCTAAAAAGAAAAAAGAAATAATGTGGGTAAAGGCTGGGCGTGGTGGCTTACACCTGTAATCCCAGCACTTTGGGAGACCAAGGTGGGAGGATCACTTGAGGTCAGGAGTTTGAGACCAGCCTGGCCAACATGGTAAGACCCCATCTCCATTAAAAACACAAAACAATTAGCGGGGCATGGTGGCACATGCCTGTAATCGCAGTTACTCAGGAGGCTCAGGTGGGAGGATCCCTTGAACCCAAGAGGTGGAGGTTGCAGTGAGGCAAGATTGCGCCACTGCACTTCAGCCTGGGTGACAGAGCGAGACTCTGTATCAAAAAAAAAAAAAAAAGAAAAAAGAAAAGAAAAGAAAAGAAAGAAAAATGATGTGGGTAGCACTCACTTAGCATGATGTCTGGTACACACGGGCAATGGTATCTTGTATCATCATCATCATCCTCTTCATTTTTTGTTATTGTCATTTAAAGTCTTTCAGCCAGTAAGCGGCAAAGCTAGCATTTAAATCATAGACGCTTGCCTCTGCAAAGCTGCAAAAACAAATAAAAATAATAATAAATCACAGACCAAGCCAGGTGTGGTGGCTTACGCCTGTAATCCTAGCACTTTGGGAGGCCGAGGAGGGAAGATCACGAGGTCAAGAGAGGGAGACCATCCTGGCCAACATGGTGAAACACCGTCTCTACTAAAAATACAAAAATTAGCTGGGTGTGGTGGCGCCTGCCTGTAGTCCCAGCTACTTGGGAGACTGAGGCAGGAGAATCACTTGAACCCGGGAAGCAGAGGTTGCAGTGAGCTGAGATCACACCACTGCACTCCAGCCCGTTGACAGAGTGAGACTCTGTCTCAAAAAAATAAATAAATAAAATAAAAATAAAAAAATAAATCACAGACCCTAACCCTGTTCTCTGACAACAAACCCCTCCCCACCTGTGTCAGGAGGCATGAAGGGGCCAAAACACCCATGTCTCATTCCCAGCAGGCTGAGAAAAGTCCTCCCAAGGTATAACTCCCCACAGGCCTACCTGCTTTTAAAGGTATTCAAAGTCAACGTGACAGTCTGTCCCGTTTCCTCCCGTCCGTGGGACAGACGGAGGAAACAGCCTCACAGTAAGTTAAACAAACAGAACAGAGAATGAGTCATACTCCAGGTAATTAGAGAAGGTGGGTCTCCACGATAAAGTTGGGATGCTTTTCAGAGAACAGACACCACGCCAGACAGTCCTGTTCCTGGCCTTGACCTTTGAGGCTGTTTATAATTCAACCCCACCTATCCCTCCACGCTTCTCTCCCACTACTCAGGTTCTCCGGACTCCACGGCCCAGTCACCCTGAAGTCTCATGGCTGTTCATACACGTCATACACATACGCTGTGCCTTGCTCATCCAGCGCTGTTCCTGGAACTCCCTCTCCCACCTAACTCTTACTCATCCTTTTAAGACAAAGCCCAGGCCCACTTCCTCCAGGAAGTCGGAATTAGGCTGGATAAGTGTCTGAATGTCTCTTAGGCCAGTTGCTCTCAGCCAAGGAAACATCTGGAGGCATTTTTTTCAGGACCAGGGGAGCCACTGGCATCTAGGAGGTAGAGACCAGGGATGCCGCTCAACACCCTCCAGTGCATAGGAGACCACCCCTGCCACCACCACCGAGAATTATCCAGCCCTAATTGTCGAAAGTGCCAAGCTGAGAAAACCCTGCTCTGGGCCTAAGCTCCTTGCATCTCCTTAGCTCCTAGCGCCCCTGGTCCATGCTAAAGACTCATAAATGAGGCCAGGTGTGGTGGCTCACGCCTGTAATCCCAGCACTTTGGGAGGCTGAGGCAGGCAGATCACCTAAGGTCAGGAGTTCAAGACCAGCCTGGCCAACATGGTAAAACCCCATCTCTACAAAAAATACAAAAATTAGCCAGATGTAGTGGCGGGTGCCTGCAATCCCAGCTACTCGGGAGGCTGAGGCAGGAGAATTGCTTCAATCTGGGAGGTGGAGTTTGCAGTGAGCCAAGATGGCACCACTGCACTCCAGCTTGGGCAACAGAGTGAGACTCCGTCTCAAAAAAAAAAAAAAAAAAAAAGACTCATAAATGCAGAATGGTTGGATGGATAAAAGAAAGATGGGAGATGTTTCTCCTTCCTAGTTGTCTCTGAGAAAGTTGGTTTCTATGTTTAGGGGAGGGCTGTGTCCACCTGAAGTTTCCTATAACCAAGATAGCTATAGAAATAAGGCTGATGGCCAGACCCAGTGGCTCACGCCTGTAATCCCAGCACTTTGGGAGGCCAGGGTGGGAGGATCACTTGAGGTCAGGAGTTCAAGACCAGTCTGGCCAACATGGTGAAACCCTGACTCTACTGAAAAAAAAACAAAAAAAAAACACAAAAATTAGCCAGGCTTGGTGGTGCATACCTGTAATTCCAGCACTCGGGAGGCTGAGGCAGGAGGATCACTTGAACCCAGGAGGTGGAGGCTGCAGTGAGCCTAGATGGTACCACTACACTGCAGCCTGGGTGACAGAGTGAGACTCTGTCTCAAGAAAGAAAAAAAAAAAAAAAGAAAGAAAAAGAGAAAGAAAGAAATAAGGTTCAAAGGCCGGGCATGATGGCTCACACCTACAATCCTGGCATCATAGGAGGCCCAGGCGGGCAGATCACTTGAGCTCAGGAGTTCGAGACCAATCTAGGCAACATGGCGAAACTCTGTCTCTACAAAAAAATTAGCCAGACGTGGTGGTGTGTGCCTGTGGTCCCAGCTACTTGGGAGGCTGAGGTGGGAGGACAACTTGAGCCCAGGAGATGGAAGCTGCAATGAGCTATGATTGTGCCACTGCACTTCCAGCCTAAGTGACAGAGTGAGATCCTGTCTCAAAAAAAAAAAAAAAAAAAAAAAAAGGAAAAAAAATAAGGTTCATGCCCCTAAGTCCATAAGCCACAGCTACACAGCTGCCCAACCATTGAGCCCTCATAAACTCCCGTGTTAGAGTTTCTGACCTCAGCTGCAGTAGGGTGCCTGGTGAATTACGTCTTGCATTTCTGGGACATCCAATTCCCTGAACATGCTCCCTTCCTCTGGACCATGAAGGTTGGACTTGAACTGAAGGCTAGTCCACCTGGGGACGCAACCCTCCAGCTTCTGAACTGGGGACTCTCAACAACATATTGTGCATGTTTTGAAGTGATTGGGTTTGGGGAAATCTTTTTTTCTAAAATAGAGACTGGGTCATGCGAGGTTTCCCAGGCTGATCTCAAAGCTCCTGGACTCAAGTGATCCTCCCTCCTCAGACTCCCAAAGTGTTAGGATTACAGGCATGAGCCGTCTTGCCTGGCCATGGGGAGATCTTCTAGGCCTGGCTGACCAGCCAACCTTGGTGAGAGCTGTTCTGCTCGACTCCTGGTTACTGTTCAACTGCCTCCCCTGTGGCAGGACTTGGATTAGACAGGCAACCTCAAGACTGGGGTGTCTGATGGCAATTGAGAGGTTGCTGGTGCTGGGGGAAGCATCTGGCCTATCCACATCTGCCAAATAGCACCTGTGTGGAAGTGGATAGGGGAGGGTATGGTATGTGTTTCAGACTCTGAGCACCTGTTTGAGGGTATCTGACAGCATCTGTATTGGGGTTATCTAGTATGTGTTTGGGGGTATCTGCTGGACCTATGTGGAGTGTCTGACATATTTGGGGGTTACCTGGAAGCCTGTTTTGGGTATCTGATGGCACCTGCCTGGGTGCCTGTGTTTAGGGGATCTGATGGTATCTATGTTGGGGTGTCTGAGACCACTGGAGAGGTATATGATTCATTTTTCCCAGACCCACCTTTCTGAAGTCTATGCTGCCTCTTTTTTTGTTGTTGTTATTTTGAGACAGAGTCTTGCTCTGTTGTCCAGGCTGGAGTGCAGTGGCATGATTATAGCTCACTGCAGCCTGGACCTCCCAGGCTCAAGTCATCCTCCCACCTCAGCCTCTGGAGGCATGATCATAGCTCACCGCAGCCTGGACCTCCCAGGCTCAAGTCATCCTCCCACCTCAGCCTCTGGAGGAGTTGGGACCACAGGCAGGCGCCTCCATGCCCTGCTCATTTTAAAAAATGTTTTGTAGAGATGGGGTCTTGCTATGTTGCCCAGACTGGTGGTCCTGAACTCCTGGGATGAAGTGATCCCCCCACCACTCCCTGATGCTGCTTCTTTTTTCTCAGGTGACAGACCCTGCCCTCTCCATTTCTTGGACTCTCCCCGCTAGGACTCCCCACCACTGGGAGTGCCCCCCTTAGGTACTTCCAATCCTAACGAGCCCGTAGGAGCCCACTGACAACCCCTCCAGGCATCCGTTGATTCTTCCAAAACACCCCCAGCTCCACTGTCCTCCCTTGGGGTCCCCTTAACCCCGCTATCCTCCCTCGGGGTCCCCCAACTCCGCTGTCCTCCCTCGGGGTCCCCCCAACCCCGCTGTCCTCCCTTGGGGTCCCCCAACCCCGCTGTCCTCCCTCAGGGTCCCCCTAACTGTGCTGTACCCCCCTTGAGATTCTCCAAACCGCTGTCCTCCTCAGGACTCCCTCCCCAGCCGCGCTAATCACCCAGGCTTCCGTTAACCCCACAAAACGCCCACCTAACCCTGCTGCTCTCCCTCTGGATCCCCGCAACCCAGCTGTCCCCTCAGAGCCCCCGGCCCTACTGACAGCCAGGCTCGCATTGCTCTCCTTCAAAAAGCCCCCCAACCCCGCTGACCCGCCCCTCAAAAGTCGCCCTCACCCTCGCCGCGAGCACCCTCCCACTTCGGTGCCCGCGCCCCTCTCAAGGCCGAGCCGACGCCCCCTCACCACGGCTCGGGGAGCAGCAGCCCCAGGTCCCCGGGAGCGCCCCGCCCTCGAGGGCACGCCTCCTTCCGGGTCACGCCCTCTGCCCCGCCTCCGAGGCGGGATCGCGCATGCGCTGCTCTCCTCGCGCGGCTTCCCGCTTCCGGCTCCCAGCTGCTAGCTACTGTGGATCTGGGGGGGCCGGACGGAGGCATCGGAGGCGGCTGCGAGAGTGGCAGAGGAGCTGGCGGAGAGCGGCCTGCGGGCGATCGGGCCGAGGTGAGGACGGCGGCGGGGCGGTCCCGAGGAAAACGGGGCTCAGGAGGGGGCCCTCGGTCTCTTCAGGGGGTGGCCTGGGGCGCGGGACCCCCGGGGCTGCCTCGGGCCTCCCGCCGGCTCCTGGGGGACTTCTCCAGGCAGGCGAACGGGTGCTGGGGTGCAGGCTGCTCCTTCAATGCATGGAGGCTCTAGGCGGCGATTGCAGGGTGCAGAGGTGCAGACGATGCCCGCCCGCTCCGTCCGAGCCCCAGCCAGTCCTGGGGTGCTACGGCTTACTCTCCTCCAGGAGAGGAGAGGAGGGGTCACTTGGGCCCCAGCCTCTGCTCCTCGTTCAGGAGCGCCCGGGGCAGGACCAGGGATGGAATGGAACCCACCACAATACCCAGCACCGTCGTATTTCAGGCCTCCCGGGAGAACCCTCACACCCCGGAGCAGACAGCCCTCCCTGGCAGGGAGCGTTTGGGTGCAAAACCGTGAGAACTATCTGTGCCATGGGTTTTAGTTTCTTGTATAAGAACTCAGTTGGTGCTTTCATTGCGGACGGGAACGAGAAGCTTTCCCCTGGTCCTTACATGTTTCGTTTTGTTTTACGTTTTTAAATTTCAACTTTTATTTGAGATTGAGGGGGTACATGTACAGGTTTGTTACCTGGATATATTGCGTGATGCTGAGGTTTGGGGTGTGACTGATCTCGTCACCCAGGTACTGAGCATAGTACTCAATAGATAGTTTCAACCCTTGACCTCCTCCTTCCCTTCCCGCTCTAGTAGAGCCCAGTTTCTGTTGTCTTCTTGGTGTCCATGAGTACCCAAGGTTTAGCTCCACTTACAAGTGGGAAAGTGCAGTATTTGGTTTTCTTTTCCTGCGTTAATTCTACTAGCACTTGAGTGTTTTGCTGTGGCTATCTGCCCCTTATCTCTTGCTCTGTTGAGATTAAAGCCTGGACCACAGGATTAAAAAACATTCTTAAAGTTTTACCACGGAAGCGAAGCGGCCAACACACCTTTTCCCCTTTGCCTTGTTTTCGCGGAGATGAAGCTCCAGCCAGTAGCTTTGAAGGGCCCCATTCTCTTCCCATTGACCAGAGAGAGAGTTCAGGACAGTATAGACAGCCCAGTGGCCAAGGGATGAGTTTTGCAGGTGTCTGAGTGAATGATTAATCCTCCAGCTGTAAGAGGTGTCAGGAGAGGCTGGGCGCGGTGGCTCAAGCCTGTAATCCCAGCACTTTGGGAGGCCAAGGTGGGTGGATCACGAGGTCAGGAGATCGAGACCATCCTGGCCAACATGGTGAAACCCCATCTCTACTAAAATACAAAAATTAGCCGGGCATGGTAGCGGGCGCCTGTAGTTCCAGCTACTCTGGAGGCTGAGGCAGGGGAATCACTTGAACTCGGGAGGCAGAAGTTGCAGTGAGCCGCGATCGGGCCACTGCACTCCAGCCTGGCGACAGAGCAAGACTGTCTAAAAAAAAAAAAAAAGAAGTGTCAGGAGCACAGGCTTGAGGTCAGATCCGAGCTGGGTTCTGGTCCCAGTTCCACCACCTGTTAGCCGTGTAACTTCACTAAGTTTCCGTCTTCCCATCTTTAAAATGGGAATAAGGGTTGGTTGGGGTTTCTATGAAGTAATCTGTGTAAGGTGCATCACAGAAGTGTCTGGCATATGGCAAACTTTCCATCAGTGTTATACACCCTTTGCATATGCGAATGCTCCCAGGCTTGGATGTTTAGGTTAACATTCCAAATTATAAAGAGTTTGGAAAATTTGAGCATCTCGGATGTTGTTTGGACCGAGTCAGGGTTTACGCTTTATCAGTAGTTTCCTATTTCTGTAGGTCAGCAAGCCTTTTTGCGAAAAAAAAAAAAAAAAAAAAATGAAGATGTGTTTGTTCTAGAGCAAAAAAGAGCAAACAGCTGGCAGGCATAATACATTTCATTTTTGTAAACGTTACTTTGTTTTGGTTTTGTATAGCTTATTTAGTTTTTGTTTTCTTCTGAAATTAGTATGTGATTTTACTTAAAATTTTTTTTTTCTTTTTAGAGACAGGGTCTCACTCTGTTGCCCAGACTGGAGTGCAATAGCACAATCATAGCTCACTACAGCCTCGAACTCCTGGGCTCAAATAATCCTCCTGCCACAAACTCCCAAGTAGCTGGGACTACAGACACGCGCTTCCATGTCTGGCTAATTTTTAAAAATTTTTTGGGCCGGGTGCGGTGGCTCACACCTGTAATCCCAGCACTTTGGGAGGCCCGGGGGGGGGCAGATCACGAGGTCAGGAGATTGAGACCATCCTGGCTAACACGGTGAAACCCCGTCTCTACTAAAAATACAAAAAATTAGCTGGGCATGATGGCGTGTGCCTGTAGTCCCAGCTAGTCAGGAGGCTGAGGCAGGAGAATGGCGTGAACCCGGGAGGTAGAGGTTGCAGTGAGCCGAGATCGTGCCACTGCACTCCAGCCTGGGCAACAGAACGAGATTCCATCTCAAAAAAAAAAAAAAATTTTTTTTGTGGGGTCTCGCTATGTTGCCCAGGCTGGTCTTGAAGTCCTGGACTCAAGCGATCCTCCCACCTCGGCCTCCCAAAGTGCTAGGATTACAGGCGTGAGCTGCCACAGCCTGTGGTTTTTGTTTTTGTTTTTTTAACTGACAGATAACAGTGTATGTATTTATCATGTGCAACGTGACATATTCTTGAAAAATGCAAGAGGAGCGGATGTTAAGCACTTTCACCACAAAAATGAGAGCTATGCGAAGTGCTGCATTTGTTACTAAGCTAGATTTAATCATGCCACTGTGTATATATACTTCAAAGTGTGTTTCCTTTTTCTTTTTCCTTTTGTTTTTTGAGACGGTCTCGCTCTGGCGCCCAGGCTGGAGTGCAGTGGTGTGATCTTGGCTCACTACAACCTCCGCCTCCCAAGTTTAAGCAATTTCGCCTCAGCCTCCCGAGTAGCTGGGATTACAGGTGTGTGCCACCACGCCCAGCTAATTTTTTGTATTTTTAGTAGAGGCGGGGTTTCGCCATGTTGGCCAGGCTGATGTCGAACTCCTGACCTCAGGTAATATCCCCTCCTTGGCCTCCAAGAGAGCTGAGATTACATGCATGAGCCACCACGCCCGGTCATATTTCATTTTTAAATGGCATACCTTAGAGAAGCAGAAAAGAGACCGGGCACCATGGCTCACACCTGTAATCCCAACACCTTGGGAGGTCGAGGTGGGCAGAGAGGCCAGGAGTTCGAGACCAGCCTGGCCAACAGGGTGAAACCCCATCTCTACTAAGAAATACAAAAATTAGCTGGGCGTGGTGGCCTGCGCCTGTAATCCCAGCTACTTGGGAGGCTGAGGCAGGAGAATCGCTTGAACCCGCAAGGCAGAGGTTGCAGTGAGCCGAGATCACGCCATTGCACTCCAGCCTGGGCAACAGAGCTAGACTCTGTCTCAAAAAAAAAAAAAAAAATAAAGAAAGAAAGAAAAGAGATTCTTTGGTTCCTTCTCTCTTTCTTGCTTAAATCGACTTGAGAATGTCCCCACTTTGAAAGGGGAAGTAGCACATACATTGTTTCTGGCATAGCTGTAGTATAATTTTCATTCTTGTCACACAGTAGCAATTACGGCTTCAAGGCCATTGCCCTTTGTGGGCCAGGGCCGTGGTGACTGGCTGTGCCTCCCTGGGTGTTTACCTAGCACATGTTTAACATAGCTCAGATCGTGTGTCAAGATCTCCCTCATTCTCACTCATCCTGGGTCATGTTTCTATCTCTTCAAACTCTATGACTTACAAAACATTTTTGCTGCCACCTCTCTGAAAATCATTTAAAAGCCCAGAGACCTTATATGAAGTCCAGCCAATCGCTGTTTCTTTGTTATTTGTTAGGTAAACTTTACTTTCCCCCTGAGACGGTCAAGAACTACTGTGTTTGAAAACCCTCTCTCTAGGTGCAAAACAGCACCAGTGGAAGCCTCGCAGCTGCCTGGAGGAATTTTTTGAGGGGAGGATTGTGGCTGACTGGGTGAGGGAGGGAAACTGGGTAAAATAATGTCCTCCGAGAGCATTCGGTGACAGCAGTTGTTCTCATTTTTGTGATGCAAATTAAGTTGTATGTGAACTAAATTAAATTTGCTTGCTTCTCTGCTTTTGTCAGAGATAGATTCATAGTTTCAACTGAGTATAGAGTTCTAGTCTGATTATGTTCAATATGTTCAAAGCAGTAGATACACTAATGTTTTTTTTTCCTTCTTTTTTTTTTTTGAGACAGAGTTTTGCTCTGTGCCCCAGCCTGGAGTGCAGTGGCGCGATCTTGGCCCACTGCAAGCTCCACCTCCGGGTTCACGCCATTCTCCTGCCTCAGCCTACCGAGTAGCTGGGACTACAGGTGCCTGCCACCACGCCTGGCTAATTTTTTGTATTTTTAGTAGAGATTGGGTTTCACCGTGTTAGCCAGGATGGTCTCGATTTCCTGACCTCGTGATCCGCCCACTTCGCCTCCCAAAGTGCTGGGATTACAGGCGTGAGCCACCACGCCTTTTTTTTTTTTTTTTGAGACAGAGTTTCGCTCTTATCACCTGGGCTGGAGAGCAGTGGTACGATCACAGCTCACTACAGCCTCGACCTCCTAGGCTCAAGCAATCCTCCCACTTCAGCCTCCCAAGGAGCTAGGACTATAGGTGCGTACCACCGCGCCCAATTAATTTTTGTATTTTTGTGTGTGTGTTAGAGATAGGGTTGCCCAGGCTGGTCTCAAACTCATGGGCTCAAGCGATCCTCCTACCTTTGTCTCCCAAAGTGTTGGTATTATAGATGTGAGTCACCATGCACGGCTTCATACACTGATTTATGGTCATATATTGAAAAAATATATATTCTAAAGGTTTCACTAACAGTACACGTTTAACACATTGTGGATGGTGGATGGTTACATTTTTAATTCACGTCACTTTTTTAATACAGCAGCTTTATTGAAATATAATTAGCACAGCATAAAATTCACCTTTTAAAAGTGTACCATTTGGTGTGTTTTAGGATATTCACAGAGTTAAGCAACAGTCATCAGTATTTAATTCCAGGACATCTTATTATTTTTTTAAAAAAACAGGGTCTTGCTGTGTTGTCCAGGCTAAATGCAAACTCCTGGGTTAAAGTGTTCCTCCTGCCTTAGCCTCCTGAGTAGCTGGGACTACAAGCATCAGCCACCATACCTGGCTCAGTTCATCATTCTTATGGGTGGGTTTCAGGAGGAGAGAAAGTGAAAAGAGGGAGTTGGTCTGGAGAAAGTCTCAGCTCAAAAATGAAAACAAAAATTGGCCGGGCACAGCAGCTCACACCTGTAATCCCAGTACTTTGGAAGGCTGAGGCAGGAGGACTACTTCAGGCCAGGAGTTCAAGACCAGCCTGGATAGCATAGCAAGAATCCTATCTCTACAAAAAATTGAAAAATTGGCAAGGTGTGATGGCTCACACCTCTGGCCCCAGCTACTTGGGAGGCTGGAATGGAAGGATTGCTTGAGCCTTGGGAGGTCAAGGCTGCAGAGAGCTGTGATTACACCACTGCACTCTAGCCTTGGCAACAGAGCAAGACCCTATCTCTAAATAAATAAATATTTATAAATGAAAAGAGGGAGTCCTGAGCAGGTGCTCTCTCATTGCAGTGTGGGATGGAAGGAGGGGAGGACCATGTCAGATTACTTGGCAGGAATCTAGCATCATCTTGCATACAGGGACATCCCAGTTACACTCTGTGTAGGGATACCTCTAATTTGCTGACGTTTCATTTGAAGAGCAAAATTGAATTTAGAAACCATAGTAAGTTGGGAAGTTATCCACAATGGGGATTACTGGACTCATTAGTTCCCTTACGGGGGTGAAATGGATAGTGACGGACCAGGTAGAATGTAGAGCAAAGGATTTCAGCATCCTTGGGCGCTGGAGGCAGCAAGGGATCAGCTCTGTAGCGCTGACAATGCCAGGGTGTGGTGGCCAGTGGTGGGTCCGTGTGACCCTTTGTGATGTCCACTTGGGGGCTCCTAACCAATGAGGTTTTGTTTGTTTTGGTTTTGAGTCAGGGTCTTGCCCTGTCGCCCAGGCTGGAGTGCAGTGTCACAATCATAGCCCACTGCAGCCTCAACCTCCTGGGCTCAAGTGATCCTCCCACCTCAGCCTCCCAAATAGCTGGAACCACAGGCACACACCATCACGCCTGGCTAATTTTTTTTTATTTTTTGGAGAGACAGGGGTCTTACCATGTTGCCCAGGCTGGTCTTGAACTCCTGAACTCAAGCAATCTGCCTGCCTTGGCTTCCCAAAGTGCTGGGATTATAGGCATGAGCCATTGTGCCCATCCCTAAGAGAGATGGGAAGATGGAAAAATTGGAACCCTCATACACTGCTGGTGGGAATATAGGTTGGTGTAGCTGCCTTGGGAAACAGGCAGTTCCTCCAAAGCTTAAACCTTGAGTTAACCCAGCAATTCTGTTCCTCTGTAGGTTCCTAAGGCAAATGAAAACATAGGTCTACACAAACACTTGCAGAGGAATGTTCATAGTAGCATTATTCCAAGTAGCCAGAAAGCAGAGACAACCTAAATGTTCATCAGCTGAGGAACGGATACATAAAATGTGGTCCCGCCATACTGTGGAATATTACTTGGCCATGAAAAAGAAGTTCCGATACAGAGATGGACCTGGAAAAAACTTGCTCAGTGGAAGAAGCCAGTCCCCAAAGGCCACCTGCTGTATGATTCCATTTATATGAAATGTATACAACAGGCAAATCCACAAGGACAGAAAGTGGATTAGTGGTTGCCACAGGCTGGGGGTAGTGGAGTGGGGAGTAATGGCCAAGGTAATGGGGTTTCTTTTTGAGGTGATGAAGGCATTCTAAAATTGACTGTAGGCTGGGCGCAGTGGCTCATGCCTGTAATCCCAGCACTTTGGGAGGCCAAGACGGGCAGATCACAACGTCAGGAGTTCGAGACCAGCCTGGCCAACATGGTGAAGCCCAATCTCTACTAAAAATACAAAAATTAGCCAGGTGTGGTGGTGCGTGCCTGTAGACCCAGCTCCTCCGGAGGCTGAGGCATGAGAATTGCCTGAACCCCAGAGACGGAGGTTGCAGTGAGCCGAGATCCTGCCACTGCACTTCAGCCTGGGCAACTGAGCGAGACTCTGTCTCAAAAAATAAAATGAATAAATACATAAAATAGATTGTGATGACAGATGCAGAACTCTGTGAACATACTAAGAACCATTGAATTGGATGCTGTCAAAGGGTGAGTTGTGTGGTATGATAATTCTATCTCAATAAAGCAGTTACAAAGAGAGGAAGAGATGGAATAAGAACTGGAAGCACAGTGGCAATGGGACAGAATTTTAAGGAATGGTTTGAGACTGAGTGGCAGGAAGACTGGGGGGTAAAGCTAAGAGAACCCTAAAGGAAAGGGGACCAGCTTGCCCCGTAAGTGGTGTGGGGCTAGGTTAATAGATTGCCTAATGCCCAGGAGATGTCAGTGTGCCCATGCGCTGGTCCCTGCCATGTAGGACCACGTAGGAGAAGGTTACAAAGTGTGTCTGTACCATCCAGTGTGACAAAGTGAGAGCCTCGGAGCAGGTATAGCCCAGGCATGACCCAGAAAGCCCTCTTGACCAGCTGCTGCTGGCCAAGATAATTATATGATCACAATTTATGTTATATTATAGCAAATTTAAAATTGGGATAATGTGATTCACATACCACAGAACTCACCCTTTTACAGTGTACAATTCAATGTGTTTGTTTTGTCTTTTCTGAGACAGAATCTCACTCTGTCACCCAGGCTAGAGTACAGTGGCGCGATCTCGGCTCACTGTAACCTCCGCCTCCTGGGTTCAAGCAATTCTCTTGCCTCAGCCTCCCAAGTAGCTGGGGCTACAGGTGCAGGCCTCCTGACCTCAAGCAATCCGCCCGCCTTGGCCTCCCAAAGTGGTGGGATTACAGGCGTGAGCCCACCACACCCGGCCAAATCAGTGATTTTTACTATGTTCACAGAGTGGTGCAGCTGTCACTACTATAATTTCAGAACATTGTCATCACCCACAAGAAAAGCTCACACCCATAGCTTTCACTGCCCATTCCCCCATCCTCCCAGCCCCCAGCAGCCACGACCCTACTTTCTGTCTCTAGATCTGTCTATTCTAGACTTTTCATATCAGTGGAATCTTACAGTATACTTGATGTATTAATGTGACTTCTTTTACTTAGCATAACGATTGCAAGGTTCATTTACGTTGTTGCCTAAACTTAGCTTTTTCTTTCTTTCTTTCTTTCTTTCTTTTTTTTTTTTTTGAGACGGTCTTGCTCTGTTGCCCAGGATAGAGGAATCACAGCTCACTGAAGCCTTGACGTCCTGGGCGCAAGCAATCCTCCCGCTTTGTCCTCCTAAGTAGCTGGCACTACAGGTGTGCGCCACCGTGCCCGGCTAATTTTTTATTTTTTGTAGAGATGAAGCCTCGCCGTGTTGCCCAGGCTGGTCTTGAACTCCTTGGCTCAAGAGATCCTCCTGCTGGGCTCAATGACTCACACCTGTAATCCCAGCACTTTGGGAGGCCAAGGCAGGCAGATCACCTGAGGTTGGGAGTTCAAGACCTGCCTGGCCAACATGGCAAAACCTCATGTCTACTAAAAATACAAAAATTAACCAGGCGTGGTGGCTGGTGCCTGTAATCCCAGCTACTGATGAGGCTGAGGCAGGAGAATCACTTGAACCCGGGAGGCGGCGGAGGTTGTAGTCAGACGAGATTGAGCCAGTGCATGTCAGCCTGGGCAACAGAGCGAGACTCCGTCTCAAAAAAAAAAAAAGAGATCCTCCTGCCTCAGCCTCACAGAGTGCTGGGATTAGAGGTGTGAGCCACTGCACCTGGCCTAGTTATTTGTAATCTGTAAGAAGAAATGTGAAGGAATAGTAAGGAGCACCTTGCCAGAGGCAGGTACGGGCTGCCCTGGGGCCGTTTCACTGAGTTGACCTGACCTTGTGTGTTCATTGTTGATCCCTTCCCTGTCCTGGCTCCAGGGAGCCAGTTAGATGCTCGAGGGGCTTCTCGGGCTGCGTTCTCTGTTGTCCTGTAAATACCGACTGATCTGGATAACAGTTGTCAAGTCACAAAAAAGAGAAACACAGTTAGGTAGAAACCCAAAGCAAACCCGCTCTGTGAGGCTGAGGCAGGAGGATCTCTCTCTTTTTTTTTTTTTTTTTTTTGAGATGGAGTCTCGCTCTGTCACCCAGGCTGGAGGGCAGTGGCTCAATCTCGGCTCACTGCAATCTCCGTCTCCCGGGTTCAAGTGATTCTCCTGCCTCAGCCTCCCCAGTAACTGGGATTACAGGCGCCCACCACCACACCCGGCTAATTTTTGTATTTTTAGTAGAGATGGGGTTTTGCCATGTCTCTATTAAAAGGCCTTTTAGATAGATCGTGGAGCTAATCCGACCTGAACATCCCAGTCCTGGAGTATTTTAGCATGAGGATAGCTCTCTATTGGTCTGGAAGGTTCGCCTGATGGTTGGGCCTGAAGACAGGGGCCTCAGGGACTCTCTTGTAGCTCCTTCAGATGGGTGCTTTTGTTTTGACCAAAAACAGAACATTCTATACCGTGATCCAATGGGCACACGTACAATAATAGGATGCAAAGTGTTACCAAACCGAACTCACCTTTATTGTGTGCGACAGACTCGGGTGCTTTATTTTTATTTTTATTTTTTTGAGATGGAGTCTCACTCACCCAGGCTGGAGTGTAATGGCATGATCTTGGCTCACTGCAACCTCTGTGTACTGAGTTTAAGAGATTCTCCTGCCTCAGCCTCCCCAGTAACTGGGATTATAGGTGCCCGCCACTATGCCCAGCTTATTTTTTATATTTTTAGTAGACACGAGGTTTCACCATGTCAGTCAGGCTGGTCTCAAACTCCTGACCTCAGGCAATCCGCCCGCCTCAGCCTCCCAAAGTGCTGGGATTACAGGCGTGAGCCACCGCGCCCAGCGACCTCTTCCAACTTCTAAAAGGTGGCCCTAGGGATTCCTCGGCTTGTAGCCATGTCATTCCACACCCTCCGTGGTCACGTGGCCTTCACCTGTGTGTGTGTTTCCCCTCTGTATCTGTGTCTCTAAATCTCCCTCTCCTTTCTCTACACAGACACCAGTCATAGGCTCTAGGGCCCACCCTAAATCGAAATTTCATCCCGAGATCCTTAACTAATGACCTCTGCCCCAGGCTCTCTTTCCAAAGAAGTCCATATTCCAGGGTTCTTAGTGGACGTGAATTTTGGTGGGACACTGTTCAGCCCACTTCAGGAACCTCCTATTTCTAGCGATTTGTAAACAACAAATTTGTTTTGTTTTAGTTTTTGTTTTTGAAACAGGGTCTTGCTCTGTTGCCCAGGCTGGAGTGCAGTGGTGCGATCATAGCTCACTGCAACCTCTACCTGCCAGGCTCAAGCAATCCTCCCGCCTCAGCCTCCTGAGTAGCTGGGACCACAGGCATGCACCACCACGCCTGGCTAATTGTTGGTTTTTGTAATGCTGTTTTGTAGAGATGGGGTTCCACCATATTGCCCAGGCTGGTCTTAAACTCTTGGGCTCAAGGGATCCTGCTTCAGCCTCCCAAAACACCGGGATTCCAGGTGGGAGTCACCATTCCCAGCCTAGAACAAGTTTACAAGCTATTGGCACTCATTTCTTAGGCTCTTTACAACACAGTGATTTTCCAGTATTTTGAAGTTGAAGTAAATGTAGAAGGTCTCACTCTTTAGAACCAGTTAATTGCAGAGAGGAAAGAGGAGGTCTTCAGGAGAACACCAGATTCTTTTTGTTGTTGTTGTTATTGAGACGGAGTTTCGCTCTGTCACCTAGGCTGGAGTGCGTTGGCGCTATCTCGGCTCACTGCAACCTCCACCATCCGCTTGGGTTCAAGCGATTCTCCTGCCTCAGCCTCCCAGGTAGCTGGGATTACAGGCGCGTGCCACCACGCTTGGCTAATTTTTGTATTTTTAGTAGAGACAGGGTTTCACCATGTTGGCCAGGCTGGTCTCGAACCCCTGACCTCAGGTGATCCACCCACCTCGGCCTCCCAAAGTGCTGGGATTACAAGCGTGAGCCACCACACCTGGCCTCCAGATTCTTTTTGAAAAGCTTCTAAATCTGAATTCTCTGTGAATATAATTTGCCAAAACGTATGAGTAGGAATCTGATATTACAGTCTGTCAAATGTCTGGCCGTGTGCCTATACTCCATATAATCTTTTCCTTCCCCTGCATTCAGATACCACCTTCATCAAACACAAAAGTGTTATAGATTCAGAGAGGGCAAAAAACAAAGCTGTACCAGCTGCCTTCCCCTGCACCTAGCTTACGAGCTGACCTTGAGACACAGGATATGTTAAAATATATTCAAGCTCACACTGTTGCAGTTCTAAAAGGAATGCTAATGAAGGTCTTTGCAAGGTTCTGGAATTTTCCTAGCGTAGGAGCTGGTTGCTGACTTATATTAATAGTTATAGCCACCTGGCACAGTGGCTCACGCCTGTAATCCCAGCACTTTGGGAGGCCGAGGTGGGCGGATCATGAGGTCAGGAGATTGAGACCATCCTGGCTAACACAGTGAAACCCCGTCTCTACTAAAAAAAAACAAAAAAAAACAAAAATTAGCCGGGCGTGGTGGCGGGCGCCTGTAGTCCCAGCTACTTGGGAGGCTGAGGCAGGAGAATGGCATGAACCCGGGAAGCAGAGCTTGCAGTGAGCGGAGATCGTGCCACTGCACTCCAGCCTGGGCGACAAGGCAAGACTCCGTCTCAAAAAAAAAAAAAAAAAAAGGTTATAGCCATCATACTCAGGATGGTAGGGAACTTGAGATGCTCAGAAACCAACCACTGGCCAGGCATGGTGGCTCACGCTGGTAATCCCAGCACTTTGGGAGGCCAAGGTGGGTGGATCACCTGAGGTCAGGAGTTCGAGACCAGCCTGGCCAACATGGTGAAAACCCCGTCTCTACTAAAAATGCAAAAATTAGCCGGGTGTGGTGGCGGGCACCTGTAATCCCAGCTACTCAGGAGGCTGAGGCAGGAGAATCGCTGGAACCCAAGAGGTGGGGGTTGAAGCGAGCCGAGATTGAGCCACTGTACCCCAGCCTGGGTGACAGAGTGAGACTGAGTCTCAAAAAAAAAAAAAAAGAAACCAACCTCTTTGCTACTTGTTTGTGGCCTGTTTGCTCCCAGCATGGGCAATTTCAAGCGTCTGGAATTCAGTAATGACTTTGCACAGCGAATCCACTTTGCCACTCCTTTTATTCCGGTTCCTTCTGCACATCAGGGATAGAGCATTGGGAGTTCCCAGACTGCATGAGCCCAGCTGGTTGCATTTGAATTCTTGGAAATAGGCTCTCCCTTCCAGAACAAACCAATTAGATATAGTAGGCCAGGGGCCAGCAAATTTTTTCTGTTAAGAGCTAGGTAGAGGCCGAGACGGGCGGATCACGAGGTCAGGAGATTAAGACCATCTTGACTAAAACGGTGAAACCCCGTCTCTACTGAAAATACAAAAAAACTAGCCGGGCGTGGTGGCCGCGCCTGGAGTCCCAGCTACTCGGGAGGCTGAGGCAGGAGAATGGCGTGAACCCAGGAGGCGGAGCTTGCAGTGAGCCGAGACCGCGCCACTGCACTCCAGCCTGGGCAACAGAGCGAGACTCCGTCTCAAAAAAAAAAAAAAAAAAAAAAAAAAGAGGTAGTAGGCTGGGTGCAGTGGCTCACGCCTGTAATCTCAGCATTTCAGGAGGCAGAGGTGGGCAGATCACTTGATCCCAGGAGTTGGAGACCAGCCTGGGTAACGTGGTGAAACCCCATCTCTACTAAAAATACAAAAATTATCCAGGCATTGTGGCTTATGCCTATAATCCCAGCTACTTGGGGGGTGAGACAGGAGAATTGCTTGAACTCGGGAGGTTGAAGTTGCAGTGAGCCGAAATCGCACCACTGCCTCCAGCCTGGATGATAAAGTGAGACCCTGTTTCAAAAAAAAGAGAAAGAGCCAGATAATAAATATTTCAGGCTTTGCAGCCCACATAGCCTCTGTCACAGCCACTCAACTCAAAAGAAGCCACAGACAACAGAGAAACAAGTGGGCGTGGCCGTGTTCTGATAAAATTTTATTTACAAAAACAGGTGGCCAGCCCACAGACAGTAGGGGTTCACCAGCCCCTACAGTAGACGCATCATTTTTACAGTTCTGTTTCTAGGGCCACAATGGTCTGACTAAATTTGGCGAGGGATGCGGGTTAGGGAACAGGAGGCCCTCACCTGTCTCATGAGCTTAGCAGCTGTGTCCCAGGTTGACCTCTTCACAATCTGGGCCCATCCATGAGCAGCAGCTCCCTGAGGGGCCCCTCTTTATCCTGCAGTGTGTTTTCTAAGGGAGTAATGATCTGTTGTGGTATTTGCAAGCCTGGGGGTGTTCAACATAGAGTTTGAGTCCCCCCAGATGAAAACAACAAGACCGGCTGAGTGCAGTGGCTCACGCCTGTAATCTCACACTTTGGGAGGCTAAGGCGGGAGGATCACTTGAACCCAAGAGTTCAAGACCAGCTTGGGCAACATAGTGAGACCCCATCTCTACAAAAAGAAATATATAAACTTACACACGCGTGGTGACTACAGGTAGGTAGTGTGCACCTATAGTCCCAGCTACTTGGGAGGCTGAGGCAGGAAGATCGCTTGAGTCCAGGAGTTCGAGACTGCAGTGAGCCGTGATTGCACCACTGCATTCCAGCCTGGGCAAGAGCAAGACCCTGTTTCTTTTTTTTTTTTTTTTTTTTGAGTTGGAGTCTCGCTCTGTCGCCCAGGCTGGAGTGCAGTGGCGTGTTCTCGGCTCACTGCAAGCTCCGCCTCCTGGGTTCATGCCATTCTCCTACCTCAGCCTCCCAAGAAGCTGGGACTACAGGCGCCCACCACCTCGCCCGGCTAATTTTTTGTATTTTTAGTAGAGACTGGGTTTCACCATGTCAGCCGGGATGGTCTTGATCTCCTGACCTTGTGATCCACCGCGTCCGGCCGACCCTGTTTCTTAAAAAAAAAAAAAAAAAAAAGACTTAATGGCAGTCCCAGTCCATGCTATGGAAAGGTTGGCCTCTGTGAGAGTTTGGATTAGATTGGAAACTAATGAAGAGTCTTTTTTTTTTTTTTTTGAGTTGGAGGCCACTCTATCACCCAAGCTGGAGTGCAGTGGTACAATCTCGGCTCACTGTAACCTCCACCTCCTGAGTTCAAGCTATTCTCCTGCCTCAGCCTCCCAAGTAGCTGGGATTACAGGCGCCTGCCACCACCTCCAGCTAATTTTTGTATTTTTGTATTTTTTAGTAAACACGGGGTTTCACCATGTTGGCCAGGCTGGTCTCAAACACCTGAACTCACACTTGAGCCAAGGCCCACCTCGGCCTCCCAGAGTGTTGGGATTACAGGCGTGAGCCATCGCGCCTGGCCTGTGAGGGGTTTTTCTTTCTTTCTTTCTTTTTTTTTTTTTTTTATTGAGATGGAGTCTCACTCTGTCGCCTAGGCTGGAGTGCAGTGGTGCAACCTCAGCTTACTTACTGCAACCTCCGCCCTCCAAGTTCAAGCGATTCTCCTGCCTCAGCCTCCCAAGTAGCTGGGATTACAGGTGCCTGCCACCACACCCGGCTAATTTTTTTTGTATTTTTTTTTTTTTTTTTTAGCAGAGATGGGGTTTTACCATGTTGGCCAGGTTGGTCTTGAACTCCTGACCTCGTGATCCACCCGCCTTGGCCTCCCAAAGTGCTGGGATTACAGGCGTGAGCCATCATGCCCGGCCTGTGAAGGGTTTTTCTAAGGTTCACCAGCCCTGACATCATTGCAGTTCCCTTTTTCCAGAAATGCAGTGCCCTTGAATACTTTCCCCGCCCATTGAAGGCAAACAGGGTTTTTTCTGGCATTCTGCACACCTGTTTTGCTGCCCTGCCTTCCGCCTGTGACTGATTGCTTTTGATCTGCTGAAAGAGAAACCCCCGGCCTCTCTCAGGTGTTTGGTTTCCTCTGTCCGTCTTAGAGTCACCTCTGCTGACATTTATTTGCTGTTTATTTCCCACATTAAAATTGTTGGCTTGAAATATATATATATATACACACACACATACATACACACACACATATGTATATAAATCTTCCAGCTTTCTGGAAGATTTCAGCTATGTAACTAGACCTGAATTAATGTTTTCAGAATCAGTCTTCTTTTCATCAAAATGTTTTTCAGGGGCTGGGCATGGTGGTTCGCGCCTGTAAATCCCAGCACTTTGGGAGGCTGAGGCTGGCAGATCATCTGAGGTCAGGAGTTCGAGACCAGCCTGGCCAACACGGTAAAACCCCATCTCTACTAAAAATAAAAAAATTAGCTGGGTGTGGTGGCATGCACCTATAATCCCATTTACTTGGGAGGCTGAGGCACGAGAATCGCTTGAACCTGAGAAGCAGAGGTTGCAGTGATCTGAGATTGTGCTATTGCACTCCAGCCTGGGCAGCAGCGTGAGACTCCATCTCAAAAAAAAAAAAAAAAAAAGGTTTTTCACCCTTGTCATTTTGATTTCTGCCCAGTCAATAGAACTAACATAATTGTTTAAAAAATGCCACGCACTGCCCTTCCTAAGAAGGCCTCAGGGGGTGGAATAGTTTTGCTGGGACCTCTTATACTTCAGCATCTGGCCTGTACCCAGTGTCAAGAGAAATACTCACAAGGCAGATGCTTTTTCAGCATCTGCAATATCTATAGGTGATATTGAAGGTCCCTCCATCCTGATACCAGAAAATAGTGTGAAATTTGCACAAAAGGAAGCAGAGGATCTCAGAACAAGCCTGGGCAGCGCAGGGCCTCTCCACCTGAGACCTGGCCTTAGGCACTTTCTTTTGTCAGATATGTTAAAAATGAAGTTGCACACCAAGCTTCTCTCTTTCCTTCTTTTCTTCCTGTTCCTTTCCCCTACCTCTTCCCCTTCCCCTTCCCCTTCCCCTTTCCCTTTCCCTCCCCTCCCCTTCCCTTTTCTTTTCTATTTCTTTTCTTGACAGAGTCTTGCCCTGTTGCCCAGGCTGGAGGGCAGTGGTGTGATCTCAGCTCACTGCAACCTCCACCTCCCAGGTTCAAGCAGTTCTCCTGCCTCAGCCTCCCAAGTAGATGGGATTACAGGTGCACACCACCATGTCCAGCTAAGTTTTGTATTTTTAGTAGACACAGGCTTTCACCATGTTGGCCAGGCTGGTCTTGAACTCCTGACCTCAAGTGGTCTGCCCACCTCGGCCTCCCAAAGTGCTGGGATGACAGGTGTCAGCCACCGTGCCCAGCCAAGTGGCATCTTTTTTTAAAAAAATCATTTTTTAAGTGCACAGGTTGGTGGCATTAAACACATACACATTGCTGATGCTACCATCACCACCATCCATCTCTAGAACTTTCTCCTCTTCCCAAGCTGCAACTCTGTCCTCATAAAACACTCACTCTCCATCCCCCTCCCCAGCCCTTGGCACCCACCATTCTACTTCCTGTCTCTATGAATCTGACAACTCTAGGGACCTCCTAGAAGTGGAGTCACATACGATGTATTCTTTTGTGACTGGCTTATTTCACTGAGCATAGTGTCCTCAAGGTCCATCTGTGTGTCAGAACTTCCTTCTTAAGGCTGAATAATATTACAGTGTGCGTGTATGTCACGTTTTGTTTATCCATTCATCTATACATGCACACTTATTTCCATGTTTTGTGTTTTTTTGTTTGGTTTTTCTTTTTTTTTTTTGAGATGGAGTCTCGCTCTGTCACGCAGGCTGCAGTGCAGTGGCGTGATCTTGGCTCACTGCAACCTCTGCCTCCCGGGTTCAAGCAATTCTCCTGCCTCAGCCTCCCAAGTAGCTGGGATTACAGGGGCGCGCCACCACACCCGGCTAATTTTTGTATTTTTAGTGTTGGTCAGGCTGGTCTCGAACTCCTGACTTCGTATTCCGGCCTCCTCGGCCTCCCAAAGTGCTGGGATTAGAGGCGTGAGCCACCGCGCCCGGCCTATGCTAGGGTTTTTAGGAACCACCAAGCTGTCTTCCATAGCAGCTGCCCCATTTTACCTTCCTACCAGCAGTGTATGAGGGTCCTGGTTTCTCCGCCTTCTCACCGAGACACTTAATTTTCGGTTTTTTAAATTATACCATTTTAGGCCAGGAACGGTGGCTCAGCCTGTAATCCCAGCACTTTGGGAGACGAAGGTGGGCGGATCACCTGAGGTCAGGAGTTCCAGACCAGCCTGGCCAACATGGCAAAACCCCGTCTTTACTAAAAATACATAAAGTAGCCGGGCGTGGTGGCAGGCGCCTGTAATCCCAGCTACTCAGGAGGCTGAGGCAGGAGAATCACTTGAACCCAGGAGGCGGAGGTTGCAGTGAACTGAGATCGAGCCACTGCACTGGAGCCTGGGTGACAGAGCAAGACTCTGTCTCAAAAAAAAAAAAAAAGTAAATAAAATAAATTATCCCATCTTAGTGGGTGTGAAGTGGGCGGTTTTGCTTTGCGTTTCCCTGGTGACTACTGATGTTGAGCGTCTTTTCATGTGCTGACTGGTCGTTTGTATCTCTTCTTTGGAGACGTGTCTGTTTACATCCTTTGCCCATTTGTGAATGGGAGTATTTGTTTTTTATTGTTGAGTTGGAGGAGTCCCCTTACTAGTTGCATCTGACACTATAGGATCTTGCAAGAACTGGAAAGCAAGTCACAGTTTCCCGTGACCTTTGGCATTTCAGCCAGCGAATCAGGATCAAACACATGGAAATAGAAAGCATCTAACCACGTCCCACACCATATTTTTGGGGGCAGGATCAGAAGCACGCAGAGATATTAAGATAGTTATGGGCTGGGTATGGTGGCTCATGCCTGCAATCCCAACACTGTGGGAGGCCAAGGCAGGAGGATCGATTGAGCCCAGGAGTTCAAAACCAGCCTGGGCAACACGGCAAGACCCTGTCTCTACCAAAAAAAACACAAAAAACAAAAAGCTTTTTTTTTTTTTTCTTTTTTTTTTGAGACAGAGTCTTGCTCTGTTGCCCAGGCTGGAGTGCAGTGGCACGATCTCGGCTCACTGCAAGCTCCACCTCCTGGGTTCACGCCATTCTCCTGCCTCAGCCTCCCAAGTAGCTGGGACTACAGGCGCCCGCCACCATGCCCAGCTAATTTTTTGCATTTTTAGTAGACACGGGGTTTCACCGTGTTGACCAGGATGGTTTCGATCTCCTGACCTCGTGATCCACCTGCCTCGGCCTCCCAAAGTGCTGGGATTACAGGCGTGAGCCACTGCGCCCGGCAAAAAAATCTTTTTTAATTAGCCATGGTGGTGTGCACTTGTAGTTCCAGCTACTTGGGAGATAGGGAGAAGGATTACTTAAGCCCCAGGAGTTTGGGGCTGCAGTGAGCTATGATTATACCACTATACTCCAGCCGAGACTCTGTCTCCAAAAAATAAACAAACAAACAAGATGGTCGTGAGGTAATCATCTTTTAGCCATGCTCATCGGTGGATGGAAGTTCACAAAGCTGTTAATTAATGGGCTGATGTTAACTTAGTAGGAAGCCACCCACGGTTCTGTCCTCTGCTGTGTCTCGGTCAGTCATTTAACTTGTAATTTGGGAAGATAAAGATGTAGAAAGCTTATTTATCAAAGCTGGAGATGACAGACAGCTATAGGGGTGGCTTTAATCACCAGGTGACAGAGTGAGTACCGGGATGCTTAGATTCCTGCGCGTGGGTCTAAATCAGGGTTTCCCAGCCTAGATACTGTAGGCATTTGGGGCCGGATCATTCTTTGGGATGGGACCTACCTGGGCACTGCAGGGTGCTGAGCAGCATCCCTGGCCTCCACCCACCAGATGCCAGGAGCACCCCTCTTCCCCCCTCACTCCCATAGCAACCAAAAATGTCTCCAGACTCTGCCAAATGACCCTGGGAGCAAGAATCACCCCTGGTAGAGAATCGTTGGTCTAGATAAGCAACCATATAAGTACAGGATGGGGAAATAGAACCTCATGACAGCTTGTGAGGAAACAACTTCGGGGTTTCAGTTGATCGTTTTTTTAAAAAGTCATAATAATACTAGTTTGAGGGCCAGGCGCGGTGGCTGATGCCTGTAATCCCAGCACTTTGGGAGGCCAAGGCGGGCAGATCACCTGGGTCAGGAGTTCGAGACCAGCCTAGCCAACATGGTGAACCCCATCTCTACTAAAAATACAAAAATTAGGCTGGGCACGGTGGTTCACGCCTATAATTCCAGCACTTTGGGAAGCTGAGGCAGGCGGATCACAAGGTCAAGAGATCGAGACCATCCTGGCCAAGATGGTGAAACCCCGTCTCTACTAAAAATACAAAAATTAGCTGGGCATGGTGGTGCGTGCCTGTGATCCCAGCTACTCTGGAGGCTGAGGCAGGAGAATCGCTTGAACCCGGGAGGTGGAGGTTGCAGTGAGCTGAGATCGCGCCATTGCACTCCAGCCTGGCGACTGCGAGACTCTGTCTCAAAAAAAAAGAAAAAAACAAAAACAATAAAAATACAAAAATTAGCCGGGTGTGGGGGCAGGTGCCTGTAATCCCAGCTACTCGGGTGGCTGAGGCAAGAGGATCATTTGAACCCAGAAAGCAGAGGTTGCAGTGACCCGAGATCGTGCCACTGCACTCCAGCCTGGGCCACAGAGTAAAATTCCATCTCAAAATAAATAAGTAAATAAATAAATAAAATAATACTAGTTTGAGCCAGTGATTATGATACAACTGTGTTCTCCCCTCCCCCAAAATAAAAACCACGCATGCCATTCAGCTATTCTGCTCCCAAGACCGCTTTCAACAAAGCTGGACCCAAGGACCTTAGTTCCATCCCTTATCCCATTGAATCTCCAGGCAGCTCCATTAAACCACCTCCCTAACCCTGCTCCTGGGCACTCCTGGGTTCTCCCGGGCTTCAGGTAGCACCTTAGGCCCAAATGTCCACCCCTTGCTTAGAGCGCCCTCCTGAGCGCAACACCCCGTGCCAGCGGCTGCCTGCTGCCGAGCCCGCCACTCTGCCCCCCACTTCATGGCCCCTGCACCGCCCCTCTCTGCCACTCTCCACCCTGCCCTCGAGGTCCCGGTCCCCCTGCGTCCACCAGCAACCCCTTCCAGTGTGCCCTGCTCCCCACGCTGCAGCCATCGTTTCGAGAAGCAGAGCTCATCCAATCCTCCACATAAACCTTTCCGTGGCTTCAGGTTCAATGACAAAGTGACTCTCCAAGGGCCCCCAAGGCCCATGGCAGAACCTCCTGGAATAAGACATTCCCTCCACCCTGCCCTTTCCTTTCTCTGACCGGTCCAGACCAGGTCCCTCCCAGACGTCCTCTCCCTCCCTCCCTGAAGCGCGTATTTGTTAAGCACCCACCCACCACATGACAGGCCTCGTGCCAGCCATGACCACAGAGACCCGCAGCTCCTGGAGTTTCCCTTCTAAATAAACAAAACTACAGTTGAGCCTTGGGATTTGCAGAGTCAGTGTTTACCCTTTTGAAGATATACCCAGGAGTAGAATTGCTGGATCGGATGGTAATTCTTTGTTTAATTTTCACCCGCTTGCTAAAATTTCTCTGTAACCGCAACATGAATCCATTCATATTGGTGCAGAGTGGAGAAAACTTGGAGTTCCCACACAGGTTCCCAGCTGAGGCTGAGCGAGGCGACACTCCACCTTCTCGTTCAGCCTCTCACACTGTAAACACATGCCCTGTTGAAGGTCTATGGAGTACCACGGTTTTCGCATTTGTGTGCTTCTTGTTGGTGATGTTAATGTTGAAAATGACCCCTAGCTGGGCGAGGAGGCTCATGCCTATAATCTCAGCACACTGGGAGGCCTAGGCAGGAGGATTAGTTGAGCCCAGGAGTTTGAGACCAGCCAGCCTGGGCAACATAGCAAGACCCTATCTCTAAAAAAAAAATTTTTTTTAATTAGCCAGGCATGGTGTCACACACCTGTGGTCTCAGCTACTTGGGAGGCTGAGGCAGGAGGATCCCTTGATTCCTTGAGCCCAGGAGTTCGAGGCTGCAGTGAGCTACGATCACGCCACTGCAGTCCAGCCTGGGCAGCAGAGACCTCATCTCTAAAATAACAATATAATAATAAATTTTTTAGAAAATAAAATGACCTTCAAACGTAGTGCTGCAGTGCCAGCAAGTGCCCCTGAGTGCAAGGAGGCTGTGATGTGCCTCACGGAGAAAATTCGTGTGTGTGTGTGTGTGTGTGTGTGTGTGTGTGTGTGTGTGTGTGTGTTTTGGGGTGGATGATATTTTATTTGGGTTTTTTTTTTTTTTTGAGACAGAGTCTTGCTCTGCTGCCAAGCCTGGAGTGCAGTGGCACGATCTTGGCTCACTGCAAACTCTGCCTCCCGGGTTCACACCATTCTCCTGCCTCAGCCTCCCGAGTAGCTGGGACTACAGGTGCCCGCCACCACGCCCAGCTAATTTTTTGTATTTTTAAGTGGAAACGGGGTTTCACTGTGTTAGCCAGGATGGTCTCGATCTCCTGACCTCATGATCCGCTCGCCTCAGCCTCCCAAAGTGTTGGGATTACAGGCGTGAGCCACCATGCCCGGCTGTTTTTGTTGTTGTTGTTGTTTTTTGAGATGGAGTCTCACACTGTTGCCCATTCTGGAGTGCAGTGGCACCATCTCGGCTCACTGCAGCCTTTGCCTCCCAGGTTCAAGCGATTCTCCTGCCTCAGCCTCCCAAGTAGCTGGGATTACAGGCACGCACCACCACACCTGCGTAATTTTTGTATTTGTGGTAGAGACAGGGTTTCACTATGTTGGTCAGGCTGGTCTCGAACTCCTGACCTCAAGTGATCCACCCGCCTCAGCCACCACCCAAAGTGCTGGGATTACAGGTGTGAACCACTACACCTGGCCTGGATGATATTTTAAACAAGGTGGCCTCTGGGGCTTCACTGAGAAGGTGGGCAGGTCAGACAAGATGGCTTACCACCTGTAATTCTAGCACTTTGGGAGGCAGAGGGAGGAGGACTGCTTGAGGCCAGGAGTTCAAGACCAGCCTGGGCAGCATAGCAAGACCCTGTCTCTATTTGAAAATTATACATTTAAAAATAAAAGTTGGCCCAGCACAGTGGCTCACACCTGTAATCCTAGCACTTTGGGAGACCAAGGCGGGCAGATCACTTGAAGTGAGGAGTTGGAGAGCAGCCTGGCCAACATGGCAAAACCCCATCTCTACTAAAAATACAAAAATCAGCCAGACGAGTGGCGCACGCCTGTAATCCCAGCTACTCGGGAGACTGAGGCATGACAATCACCTGAAACCAGGAGGCAGAAGTTATAGTGAGCTGAGATCGCACCATTGTACTCCAGCCTGCATGACAGAGCGAGACTCGGTCTCAATAAAAATAAAATGAAAAAGAAGATGGGGACAGGCAGAAGGAGCAGCAGCCACGGGGGCCCAGTGGGATGGTGACATGTTTGGAGGAGGCCGGGGTGGGTGGAGCCAGGTGGCCCAGGAGAGTGGGAGAGTGAAGGCTGGTGGTAGCTGGTGAGGAGATAGCCTGGGTGGGGCCAGAGGTCCTGGACTCTCTGTAAGAGACCAGATGGTACATACCTTGGGCTTTGTGGGCAGCATAAGGTCTCTGGTGCATATTTTTGCTCTACCAAAGGAGGTGCTGGATTTGGCCCTGGGGCCATAGTTTGCCGACCATTCTTGCAGGTCACAGTGAAGACGGGTTCCTGGGGAAGGTGGGGGCCATGGCAGGGCTTTGAGCAGAGGAGGGACATGCCTGACTTGGTTGTTAGTTGAATCATTCCAGCAGCTACGGAGGAAGTGAATGGTAGTACAAATAGTCAAGGAAAGTATTTGCTTTGTGTCAGACAGCATTCCAGAATGTTCTCTATCACAGCCAACCCCCAGAGAGGGCATTACTGGTTTTTTGTGTTTGTGGGGTTTTTTTGTTTTGTTTTGTTTTGTTTTAAGGCGGGATCTCACTGTCACCCCAGCTGGAGTGCAGTCGCACAATCACAGCTCACTGCAGCCTAGAACTCCTGGGCGCAAGCGATCCTCCTGCCTCAGCCCCCCAAGTAACTGGGAGCACAGGCGTGCACCATGCTTGACTAATTTTTTACTTTTGGTAGAAATGGGGTTTTGCAATGTTACCCAGACTGGTCTCAAACTCCTGGGCTCAAGCATTCCTCCCACTCTGTCAGTGACAGATGGCCACTCTGTCACCTTCTTGCCACCTCAGCCTCCCAAAGTGCTGGGATTACAGGTGTGAGCCACTGTGCCCAGCCAGCAGGCACTACGATTATCCCCATCCTACAGATGGGGGAAATGGAGGCAGGGTGCAGTTAGGTCCCTGGCTCTGGATCTCGGAGGTGGGGGTTTGAGCCCGGGCAGCGTGGCTGCGATGTCTGTTCCTAGCACACCTGCCCTCTCTGCCCCGGCCCATGTGGCTGATGGAGTTGTCGGTGTGGATTCAAGGGGGAGAGAGGGAGGAGAGGAGGTGAAGGTGGCACTCATTGACGGCTCTTTTGAGTTTCCACAAATACTTGTTTCCTGGAGAGTCTTTCCTTTCAGACATCTGCTAGTCCACCTGGCGCCTGTTCAGTAAGCACCAGGGAATGGAAGGGCCTCTCCCTTCATTTCTGCATTGCAGGTGTGTCTGCTCTCCAGCCCCCCAGCAGCCCCTCACCCCAGGTGCACCCGCACTCGGCCTCTGTACCCCAGATGTACCCACACTCGGCCTCTGTACCCCAGATGTACCCACACTCGGCCTCTGTACCCTGATGTACCCACACTTGGCCTCTGTACCCCAGATGTACCCACACTCGGCCTCTGTACCCCAGATGTACCCACCCTCAGCCTCTGTACCCCAGATGTACCCACACTCGGCCTCTGTACCCCGATGTACCCACACTCGGCCTCTGTACCCCGATGTACCCACACTCGGCCTCCGCACCCCAGGTGTGCCCACACTCGGCCCCCGCACCTGGGTGTGCCCACACTTGGCCCCCACACCCGGGTGTGCCCACACTTGGCCCCCGCACCCCAGATGCGCCCACACTTGCCCCCTGCACCCAGATGCACCCACACTCAGCCCCTACAACCCAGATGTACCCACACTTAGTCCCCCCACACCCCAGGTGCACCTGCAGCTCCTTCACCACAGCCTGGGCAGCCCATCCCACTGTGAAGGGAACTCCCGGCCTCCAGCCTGTCTCAGAAGGACCCCTCTCTCCCTACCCTTGCCTGCTGCAGGACAGGCACCACCCTAGTCTTGCCCTGAAACCCACCCTCCCTCAAAACCCTTTTCTCTTGAAGGGTTTCCTTTTCTCCATCAGGCCACCCTAGCCTAAACCTCACGGAGGATTCTCCCACACACTCCAGACCTGCCGTCTTGAGCACTGAGTTGCGTAGGGTGTGTTGCAGTCACTTGGGAAGGTGTCGGGCAGGGCACTTTTCCCCAGGACAGACTTCTGAACCCCAAGCCCATGCAGGTGGCCCTTACCTCTTCTTCATCTGTGTTTTGAATACACACCCTCCACCATAGAAAGCTGCCTGGAGTGGAAGCACCTGGGGTGCACCCACACTTGGGCTCTGTACCCCAGATACACCCACACTCGGCCTCTGTACCCCAGGTGTACTCACACTCGGCCCTCATACCCCAGGTGCGCCCACACTCGGCCTCCACACCCACACTCGGCCCCTGCACCCCAGGTGCACCCACACTCAGCCCCCACACTCACGCTAAGCCCTGACGACAGCCTCAGGCCAGCTGAGCTCTCAGAGATTGGCAACTAATCAAAAAAGGCCAGCTCTCTCTATATATTTTAGAGATTGGGTCTTGCTGTATTGTCCAGGCTGGTCTTGAACTCCTGGGCTCAAGTGATCCTCCTGCTGCAGCCTCCTAAGTACAGGTGGGACTGGGGCTACAGGTGTATGCCACCACGGCCAGCTGAGCAATTATTATTATTTTGAGACAGGATCTTGCTCTGTTGCCCTGGCTGGAGTGCAGTGGCACAATCTGCAACCTCCACCTACCAGTTCAAGCAATTCCCGTGCCTCAGCCTCCTGAGTAGCTGGGACTACAGGCGTGTGCCATCACATTCAGCTAATTTTTATATTTCTAGTAGAGACGTGGTTTCATCATGTTGCCCAGGCTGGTCTTGAACTCCCAGCCTCAGGTGATCCGCCCACCTCGGCCTCCCAAAGTGCTGGGATTCCAGGCGTGAGCCCCCACGCCGGGCCTGTTTTGCTTGTTTTTAAGTGACTTGCTTTTCAGTTTTTCCAAAGCATTTGACTCTGTTTCGTAGAAACACTCAACTCTTTTGCACCCATGGGTTCATGAGTTATGAGTTTAGGTGGCACTTTGTCGCTCAAGTGCATAACTTTGATGGCAGGCAGCGATGGCACACACAGCCCTGGGAACAAACAGTAATGGCTCTGGGTAAGCACAGTTTGCAGGCAGACGGCTGCAGAGGGCAGGTGGCCCTGCCCTGAGTCACACCCGTCGTGGAGAGGAGACGTTATGGGGTGAGCCTGTCAAACCTAAGAGTCTTAAGACTCTGTCTGCTGTGCTGGTTCACCTGGGATGGATGGCGGACAGCTCTGTTCAAAACTGTTTTTTGTTTTTTTGTTTTTGTTTTGAAACAGTCTTGCTCTGTCGCCCAGGCTGGAGGGCAGTGGTGCAGTGATGGCTCACTGCCGCCTCCACCTTCCGGGCTCAAGTGGTCCTTCCACCTCAGCCTCCTGAGTAGCTGGGTCTGCAGGCGTGTGACACCACACTCAGCTAATTTTTGTATTTTTTGTAGGGATGTGGTCCCACTGTGTTGTCCAGGCTGGTCTCAAAACTCCTGGGCTCAAGCGATCTGCCCACTTCAGCCTCCAAATGCCGTTCCTCAGGATTATGTCTTTGACTGCAGTCGGCCCTTGAACAGCACGGGTTTCAGCTGCGTGAGTCCAGTTACACACAGACGTTTTTCAGTCAATACAGTCAGCCCTCTGCAGCCACAGGTTCTGCTTCTGCAACCAAAGCAGACCAAAAATACAGTGTTCTCAGGATGAAAACCCACAGATTCAGAGGGCCGACTTTTCCCATATGCCGGACAACTGTACCCCCCTCTTCTTTTCTGTTTCTGCACATGGACTGCTCCCAAATAGATATCCCCAGCTTTGGCCGGTTGCAGTGGCTCACACCTGTAATCCCAGCACTTTGGGAGGCCAAGGCAGGCAGATTACCTGAGGTCAGGAGTTCAAGACCAGGCTGGCCAAACATGGTGAAAACCCGTCTCTACTAAAAATACAAAAATTAGCCAGGCATGGTGGTGCACGCCTGTAATCCCAGCTACTTGGGAGGCTGGGACAGGAGGATCACTTGAACCCAGGAGGCAGAGGCTGCAGTGAGCTGAGATGGTGCCACTGCACTCCAGACTGGGCAACAGAGTGACACTCCGCCTCAAAAATAAAGAAATAGGTGTCCCCAGCCTTGATGATGGCCCTGACTCCACGCACGTCTCAACAGCCTTCAGGACTTCTGAGCAGAGGGTCCTGGGTGGCATTTCAGACTGACCATGTCTGCTGGGAGAGCTGTTCTTTTTCCCACCTCTGTCCCCTTCTCCCTTCCTTCTTCCAGGTCCCACCTCGGTGGCCCAAACCAGACATCTTCGTCATCCTGGCCTCCTCCATCCGTGCCCGTGTTTACCGGGGCACCAAGCCCTGCTGGTTCTGCCTCTGACCTCCTGTCCCAACTTTTCACCCTCTGCCTTCCTTAAGGGCTTTGTCACCTCGCACTCAGGCTGCCAAACTGGTTCCCTGCCTCTGTCATCTCTCTGTCCCCGTCTAATCATTTGCCTCTCCTATCACTGGTTACCTCTGTAATGCAGGTTTAATCATGCCTCTCCCTGCCTAAAACCTTCCCCTGGCTCCTATTCTGGAAGAGTGTCGTAGGGCAGCATGTAAAACGCCACGCATGCCCCGCCCAGCCTGCCTTTTAATCTTCATCTCTGGCCACACTCTTCTAGCACTGCCTGTCTGCCCAGCTCCCGCCCATGCCCCCCCGCCCCGCGCAGCCTTCTGTCCTGTAACCACCTTCCCCACAATATGCCATCATTCCCCCTGTTAATGGCTCTGCCCTTGCCCACTGTCCTATCCTGGAATGACTTTCCCTCATCCTTCTTTCTTCTAATGACCTCCTATTCATCCCTCAAAACCCAGTGCAAAGGATCCCATGATCTCCTGCCTTCAGGCAAAATGACTCACCTTCCTCCTCAGGCCACCCCAGCTCCCACTATTGGCGATCCCATCATCCTTTGCTAACACACCACCTCCTGGATCACCTGGGCTCCTCTGGACTGGAGATCTCCTCTCAAACACCGCATCATCAGTCCCACAACAAAATGTGTTCTAACTTTTCTTTTTTTTTTTTTTTTTTTTGAGATGGAGTCTCACCCTGTCACCCAGACTGGAGTGCAGTGGCAGGATCTCGGCTCACTGCAGTCTCCACCTCCCAGGTTCAAGCAATTCTCCTGCCTCAGCCTCCCAAGAAGCTGGGATTACAGGCACACACCACCACACCCAGCTACTTTTTGTATTTGTAGCAGAGATGGGGTTTCACCATGTTGGCCAGGCTGATCTCAAACTCCTGATCTCAAGTAATCCGCCCATCTTGGCCTCCCAAAGTGCTGGGATTACAGTCATAAGCTACCCCACCAGGCTGTTTTAACTTTTCTAAACAGATGTGTAAATAATTTTTTTTTGGAAACATGGCTCATGGGTCATCAGTGACTGTCTGGACAGCTCAGGGATTAATAGCCGGGAGGAGCTAAGCCCCAGTTCCTCCTCGTTCCATTGTGCTGGGGTTTCATGGATTATTACTGAGCCCATTTGCACGGTCCGGTCTGCGTTCAGGAGAATATTGTCCCATCTATCTTCAGTTAGCTGTTTGAGTATTCGGGTTGGGTGTGAGGGAGCTAACAGTTGGCCCCTTGCTCTGTTCTCAGATTCTTGAGGTTTATTTCCCCCTTGAATTGTCCCAACAGTCCTGTGAGGTGGATGTCATTTATTACTTCTGCACAGATGACTAAACAATCTCAGGGGAGCCTGGTCATTAATTGGCCATGATCAAAAAGGTAGTGAAAGCACATGGCAGCACTTTGGGAGGCCGAGGCGAGCGGATCACTTGAGGCCAGGAGTTTGAGACCAGCCTGGCCAACATAGTGAAAATCCTTCTCTACTACAAGTAGAAAAAATTAGCCGGGCGTGGTAATGCATGGCCGTAATCCCAGCTACTCGGGAGGCTGAGGCACGAGAATCACTTGAACCAACCCAGGAGGCAGAGGTTGCAATGAGCCGAGATCGCGCCACTGCACTCTAGCCTGGGTGACAGGGCGAGAGACTCTATCTCAAAAAAAAAAAAAAAAGCACGTGGCAGAATAAGATTCAAACCCGTGTTCCACCTGATGCCAAAGCCTGTGTTTTGGAAAAGAAATGTCATGTATCAAGATACCCCTAATTCTACAGCCCGCATCCCTACACTTGGGAAAGGAAACAGAGGAAGTCGATCTAGTATTGATAGAAGCGAGCTGTGTGTTCTAGTGGCTCTAGTAGAAGTGAACCCAGAAGTGGATCTCATAGAAGCAAGCCATGTGAAAACTGACACACTATTGATTTGGGGTGGCATCAAAAATGGTGGCCCTCCACTTTGAGGTTTTTATGTTATTTACTTATTTATTTATTTCTGAGATGGAGTTTTGCTATTTTTGCCCAGGCTGGACAGTGCAATGGCGTGATCTCGGCTGACCGCAACCTCCACCTCCCGGGTTCAAGCGATTCTCCTGCCTCAGCCTCCCGAGTAGCTGGGATTACAGGCGCCCACCACCACGCCCGGCTAATTTTGTATATTTAGTAGAGAAAGGGTTTCTCCATGTTGGTCAGGCTGGTCTCGAACTCCCGACCTCAGGTGATCCGCCTGTCTCAGCCTCCCAGAGTGCTGGGATTACAAGCATGAGCCACCACCCCAGGCCGGAGTTTCTTTCTTGAGCTAGATTTTCTTGCAAGGTTACACTTATTAGCAAAGTCCTTGGGAAAAGCAATTTGGTAATGCAAGTCTAAACATCAGAAAGGATTTGTAACCTTTGCGTCCAAAATCTCGTCTCACGGAGGCTCTTGTATGAAATTGGAATGCCTCGAATGTCTAACAGCAGGGAAACGATTAAAGCGATACTTACAAAGTCTATAGCAACGTGAAATACTTGTGTGTTCCCTGCAACTATAACTGAACATGTACACCCGTGTCAATAAAGATGGGGGCACAGAGACATTTGTAAGTGATGGTAAGAGTGCTGGTCGATTTTAATTTAATTTTAAATTTTAGTTCACTCTTGTACTATTCATTAAGAAGGCTCAAATTTAGACTGGGCGCGGTGGCTCACGCCTGTAATCCCAGCACTTTGGGAGGCCGAGGCGGGCGGATCACGAGTTCAGGAGATCGGGACCATCCTGGCCAACATGGTGAAACCTCATCTCTACTAAAAATACAAAAATTTGCCAGGCATGGTGGCAGGTGCCTGTAATCCCAGCTACTTGGGTGGCTGAGGCAGGAGAATCGCTGGAACCCGGGAGGCAGAGGTTGCAGTGAGCCGAGATCACGCCACTGCACTCCAGCCTGGTGACAGAGTGAGACTACGTCTCGGGGAAAAAAAAAAAAAAGGCTCAAATTCAGGTAACAGTGCTATAGGTGATATTTCTTCATGAGCCCTTATCAGTATTTCCCGAGAGCCATTTCTTATCAGCCAGGAATCTTTGCAGATGAAGAGTTTGTACCACATTTGTACTTTTTTAAGACCATGACATGCAGCCAACTGGTTTTATGCCCAAGAATGTTCCACTTTGTTCCGCCCTTTTTTTTTCTAATGCCCCTAAGGTGACTCACCTATAGCAGTTTACCTTAGTTCTTATCTTCATTAAACAAGAGTAGGGCTCTGGCTTGGTCTTACACATTTAGAGAAATGCGTTCTACATCAATGGAAAAAAGGTGGGGGTCTCCCCCTACTTCCCCACAAAAAAAACAAACTTTTGAAGTTAAAGCTTATTAAGAATGGGCCGGGCACAGTGGTTCACGCCTGTAATCCCAGCAATTGGAGAGGGTGAGGCGGGCGGATCACGAGGTCAGGAGTTCAAGACCAGCCTGGCCAACATGGTGACACCCCGTCTCTACTAAAAATACAAAAATTAGCCAGGCATGGTGGCGGGTGCCTGTAATCCCAGCTACTCAGGAGACTGAGGCAGGAGAATTGCTTGAACCTGGGAGGTGGACGTTGCAGTGAGCTGAGATAGCGCCACTGCACTCCAGCCCGGGTGACAGAGTGAGACTCCGTCTCAAAAAAAAAAAAAAAAGCTTATTAAGAATTATGAGAGGCCGGGCACAGTGGCTCATGCCTGTAATCTCAGCACTTTGGGAGACCAAGGCAGGAGAATCGCTTGAGGTTAGGAGTTCAAGACCAGCCTGGGCAACATAGCAACACCCTGTCTCTACAAAAAACATAAAAATTAGCCAGACATATTGGTGTGTGCCCGTAGTCCCAGCTACTCAGGAGGCTGAGGCAGGAGGATTGTTTGAACTCAGGAGTTCGAGGCTACAGTGACCTATGAATGCACCACTGCACTCCAGCCTGGGCAACAGAGTGAGACCCTGTCTCAAAAATAAAATAAAATAAGAAAATAGGAAATTAGCCAGGCTTGGTGGCACATGCCTATAGTCCCAGCTACTTGGGAGGCTGAGGCAGGAGGATGGCTAGAGCCTAGCAGTTGGAGACTGTGGTGAGCCATGACTGCACCACTGCACTCTAACCTGGTCAACAGAGCAAGACCCTGTCTCAAAAAAGAAAAAAAGCAGCAAAGAATAACCTGGGCGCGGTGGCTCATGCCTGTAATCCCAACACTTTGGGAGGCTGAGGCGGGTGGATCACCTGAGGTTAGGAGTTGGAGACCAGCCTGGCCAACATGATGAAACCTGTCTCTACTAAAAATAGAAAAATTAGCCGGGCGTGGTGGAACGTGCCTGTCGTCCCGGCTACTCAGGAGGCTGAGGCAGGATAATTGCTTGAACCTGGGAGGCAGAGGTTGCAGTGAGCTGAGATTGCGCCAGCACACTCCAGCCTGGGCGACAAAGTGAGACTCTGTCTCAAAAAAAAAAAAAAAAGAAAAAAAGCACCAAAGAATGATGAGAATTTACTCTTAGGTAGTACACCAGACACCTAATCGACGTCTAGTGATTTGGGCACCAGAATCTAGCTCTCTGCCTGCCTTTCCCACCTCCACCTCAGTTTTCCCCTTATGCAAAATCACGTAGTATTTTCCTATGTCACAGAAATGCCGCTGCCGTGGCTGAGAGAACGTTTGCTCAGAATGGAATGCTTCCACCAGGATAAAGGCCTTAGGATGTGGATATTTCCAGCTAGCAGCAAGTGTGTTTTGTACTGTGAAGCATCCCTTACTTTTAGGACGAGACTGGTCCCAGGAGGAAAAGTGGCGTCGATTGGTTTCCATGGAGAATGCAGTTTCTCACTGTGGACTCTTGAGTTCTTAGTTATGCTGTCAAATATTCTAAAATCATAGGTCACCTCGCCGTGTTGAAAGGTTCTACAGAGCCTTCTGAGTCTCAGAGAAAGTTAAGTTTGAATTCTTGGGGTGGAGGAGCCGAGGTCAGGCACTTTGGGGTTAGAGGTGACCCTGGCCTCCTTTTTCCCTCTCGTAAGCTCGAGGTGGGGAAAACCCAGAACCCCCACTGCAGGCAAGAATGTGGTTCCATCTGGCCTTTTTGCTGTCGCAGAACCTGCCAGGAAAGGCGCACACAGGATGTTTTAGGGCCCAATTCACCGCAGGCTCCTGGAGAGCCCCCAGTGAAGAAATGAGTCTCACTGAGGTCAAATGTTGCCCCAGCTGCCTCACTTTCGCAAGGTGGGCCCAACGGCAAGTGTGTCTACCCAGTACCCTGGAGGGGGGATGTCTGTGGGCTTCATGTGTCCAGGCATTGTCCAGAAAAAAAGGGCTGTCTTGGCCAGGCATGGTGGCTCTCGCCTGTAATCCCAGCACTTTGGGAGGCCGAGGTGGGAGGATTGCCTGAGCGCAGGAAGGAGTTCAAGATCTGCCTGGGCAACATAGCAAGACCGTGTCTCTACAGAAAATACAAAAATCAGCCGAGTGTGGGAGTGTCTGCCTGTAGTTCCAGCTACTTGGGAGGTTGAGGTGGGAGGATCACTGGAGCCCAGGAGGTCAAGGCTGCAGTGAGCTATGATCACGCCACTGCACTCCAACCTGGATGACAGAGGGAGACCCTGTCTCTAAAAAAAAAAAAAAAGAAGGCCGGGCGCAGTGGCTCACACCTGTAACCCCAGCACTTTGGGAGGCTGAGGCAGGCAGATTTCTTGAGCTCAGGAATTCAACACCAGCCTGAGAAACATGGTGAAACCCTGTCTCTACTAAAAATACAAAAATTAGCCAGGTGTGTTGGCACACGCCTGTAATCCCAGCTACTTGGGAGGCCGAAGCACAAGAATTGGTCGAATCTGGGAGGCAGTCTGCAGTGAGCCAAGATCGTGCCACTGTACTCCAGCCTGGATGACAGAGTGAGACTCTGTCTCAAAAAAGAAAAAAGAAAAAGAGGGAGAGAAAAAAATGAAAATCACCTCTCTTTTAAAGGAATAGAATAAGAGTAACAGAGTCAAATCTCTGGGCAAACATGTACAGAACTTAAATAAACAGTAAGAAGAATAAGATGATAAAACCAGAAAGTAGCTCAACAGTTAATTCCTGCGGTCATGTTGAGAATGTGTAAGGATTTTCATGTTTATGTGAAACTGAATGGGGGTGGGTGGTAGCTAAGTCGAAGAGTCATACAATTCCACTTAAGAAATAGCAGTGCTTAAAATGCATTTTTTCAGGCAGTTTTTAACTCAATTTTCTTGGGTAAGTAACCCTTGGCTTTGCGAGGTAGTTTGTGTTCCCATCTGTCGGGCCAGGCGCCCACTTGCTTCCTGGCTATGGCCTTCCTTCACCTTCCAGCAGAACCTGGTGAGCCCACGGCCTGTTGCATGGAGATTTTCTTTCTTCTGAAATGGACTCTCACTTCTCTCAAGCTGGAGTGCAGTGGTGCGATCATAGCTCACTGTAGCCTCGAACTCCTGGCCTCCAGTGATCTTCCCACCTTGGCCTTCTGAAGAGATTTTTTTTTTTAAGTGGAACTTAAAATCCCACCAAAGATAATGGCCCTGAAGGTGGCTGTTGTCTTTAATGGTTCAGAAGGCTGAGGCAGGAGGATCACTTGAGCCCAGGAGTGGGAGGCTGCAGCGAGCTATGACCACGCCACTGCACTCCAGCCTGGGCAACAGAGTGAAACTGTGTCGAAAAAACGAAAGTGAAATGGCCAAGAAAGAGATTACCCTGGGCCCCTGCAGGTCGAACCTTTGGGTGCCCTCCCTGATCTCTCTCCTAACTGTGCTCCCCGCCCTGCCCGACTGCATCCTTCGCCACAGGGCCGTGGTAGCCTGCATGGCTGTGTGCTCGTGCCGCAATGGGCTGAGCACGTAGATCTGATGTGACACCAGTGCCTGGAGATGAACAGCACCTGACCCTTGCTCCCAGGGAGGTCAAGGTGCAGCGAGGCTGTGCAATAAAGTCGGGAGTGTGGTGAGCTGTAAAGGAAGCCCGCAGGCCTAGGCCACGGGCCCGAGGGCAGGGGCACGCCATGCAGAAGGACTCTGACCCGGCCCCACAGCTGGCCAGATAAGAGAGACGCCTTGAGTCGAGGGGCCGGGGGCTCTGAGGCTCCCCCCTGGTATGGCATGTCAGCGTAGTTGGGGTATAGGGTACAAAATGTGGCAAGAGGTGAGGCCAGAGAGGGTCTGGACCCTGTAGATGGGGCGGGATGAGAATGGGTGAGTCTGGATGGGCAGCCACCCACGGCGATCTCAGCCTGGGCTAAGTGACCAGTGGGCAGCCCCAAAGCCCGTTAAACAGAAGGCCAGGTGTGGCGGCTCATGCCTGTAATCCCAGCACTTTAGGAGGCCAAGGCAGGCAGATCACTTGAGGTCAGGCTTTTGAGACCAGCTTGGCCAACGTGGTGAAACCTCATCTCTACTAAAAATACCAAAATTACCTAGGTGTGGTGGCAGGCGCCTGTAATCCCAGCTACTCGGGAGGCTTAGGCGGGAGAATTGCTTGAACCCGGGAGGCGGAGGTTGCAGTGAGCTGAGATCACACCACTGCACTCCAGCCTGGGCAACAGAGTGAGACTCCGTCTCAAAAATAAATAAATAAATAAAAATAAACAGGCAGAAGGCAGAACTGTGGCCGATTGGATTTCAGGGTGCAAGAGAAGTCATCATCCCACAGACGCCCCCCAAGCTGGGGCTCATGTCCCTGGCACAGAGAGAGGGCCCACACCCATAAGAGGAGGCTCTAGAAGATCCCACAAGAGGGGCCCAGAGGGCAGTGGCATGCATGCCACGGAGAGGGTGCTGTCTCCTGGCCAGTGAGTTCTGGTTCTTTCTTAAATCAGAGCGCTCCCGTGCATATGCCTTAGCAAAATCTCTGCTGTGTTTAACAAGCCTCAGTGCATCCTGGAAGTACTTTTTTTTTTTAAATCGACTTGTGCCTCAATATACTTTTTTTTTTTTTAAGGAAACTATTGCTTGGGAATAATTTTCAGTTTACAGAAAAATTGCATAGATAGAAAAGAGAATATTCATGGTACCCACACCCAGTTTCCCCGCACATTAATAACTGATGACTAAACTCCCAGGCTTTATCCAAATTTCACCTATTTTTCTGCTCCAGAATCCAGCTCAGGCTCCCACATTGCACTTGGTGGATTTAACTTTTGAGATACTTCCCTGTCATTTTTTATTTTTCTTTAAAAGAAATGAAGGCCGGCTCTGTCACCCAGGCTGGAGTGCAGTGGCATGATCATGGCTCACTGCAGCCTCAAGGTCCCAGGCTCAAGCGATCCTTCTGCCTCAGCCTCCCGAGTGCTCAGGACTACAGGCATACACTACCATGCCTGGCTAATTTTTTTTTTTTTTTTGACAGATGAAGTCTCACCATGTTGGCCAGGCTGGCCTCAAACTCTTGACCTTAAGTGATCCTCCCGCCTCAGCCCTGCAAAGTGCTGGAATTACAGGCATGAGCCACTGTACCCAAATACACAGCTCCCAAAATTAACACAGGCCAGGCATGGTGTTGCCTGTAATCGCAGCACTTTGGGAGGCTGAGGTGGGAGGACAGCTAAAGCCTGGAGTTCGAGATCAGCCTTGGTAACATAGGGAGACCCTATCTCTATAAAAATATCTAAAAAATTAGCTGGGCATGGTGGTATGCGCCTATAGTCCCAGCCACTTGGGAAGCTGAGGCCAGAGGACTGCTTGAGCCCAGGAATTCGTAACTGCGGTAAGCTAAGTCTGTGCCACTGTACTCCAGCCTGGGTGACAGAGCGAGACCCTCTCTTCAAATAAATAAGTAAATAAAATAGAACAATAATGCCCACATCCATAGACAATAAATAAATATACCAACCATCCTCAACCTAAATGTTATACTTCATAACAAAAATGAACTCCAGCACTTTGGGAGGCCAAGGCAAAAGCATCACTTGAGTCCAGGAGTTCGAGACCAGCCTTTGCAACATAGCCAGATCCCATCTCTAAATTAGCCAGGTGTGATAGCACACACCTATGGTCCCAGCTATTCGGGAGGCTGAGGTGGGAGGATCACTCGAGACAAGGAGGTTGAGGCTGCAGTGAGCCGTGATCGTGCCTGTGTACTATAGCCAGGGCGACAGAGTGAGACCCTGTTTCAAAACATAAAAAGATAAAATAACAGTAGTACCTACTTTTGAGTCATTGTGAGGACTGCAGGACTTAAGAAATATTAAGTGAGGCCGGGCACGGTGGCTCACCCCTGTAATCCTGGCACTTTGAGAGGCCGAGGTGGGCGGATCACTTGAGGTCAGGCATTCGAAACCAGCCTGGCCAACATGGTAAAACCCCGTCTCTACTAAAAATATAAAAATTAGCTGGGCATGGATGTGGGCGGCCATAATCCCAGCTACTCAGGAGGTTGAGGCAGGGGAATCGCTTGGGAGGCGGAGGTTGCAGTGAGTCAAGATCGTGCCACTGCACTCCAGCCTGGACGACAGAGTGAGACTCCATCTCAAAAAAAAAAAAAAAAAAAAAAAGGCCGGGCTCAGTGGCTCACGCCTTTAATCCCAGCACTTTGGGAGTCCAAGGCGGGTGGATCACCTGAGGTCGGGAGTTTGAGACCAGCCTGACCAACATGGCGAAACCCCGTCTCTACTAAAAATACAAAATTAGCGGGCGTGGCGGCGCATGCCTGTAATCCCAGCTACTCGGGAGGCTGAGGCAGAAGAATCGCTTGAACCCAGGAGGCGGAGGTTGCGGTGAGCCGAGATTGCGCCATTGTGCTCCAGCCTGGGCAACAAGAGCGAAACTCCAGCTCAAACAAAAGAAATACTAAGTCCTCAGGACACAGCCTGGAATGCAAGAAGCACTCAATAAATAGTACCTGTTGCTACGAATTACCACATTTTTTTAAATGGTATTTTGGGGGTTTGACGTGTAGTTTGGGGTAGGAGGCTTTTCGTTTTGTTTTTTGTTTTTGGATAGTACCAGGTTTGGGAAGAATATTCTGAGTCATACTTACCTTCTAAGCTGCAAGATGTCTTTTTTAATTTTTCTTTGTCCCCTGAGGTGCGGGATGAAGGGGTTTTTTTCTTCCTCCTACCTTTTTATTCTTTTTAATACTGTCTTGCTTGTGTAACATCAAAATGAGGCAAGAAAGAGAAATCAATGAAGTCATCTTCTCATCGATTTAGTCTATTCCCAGGTGGCCGAAAAGGCAGGAACTGTGAACTGAAAACTTCATCTGGCATCAGATTTTCTTTAATTGTCTCTCGAACACTCACCAGTAAGCCAGTGCTTGCTAGAACTCTCTAGAGCCAGGTTGCACTCTCAGCCTAAAAGAAAAGTCTTGGCTGAAACAAAGAACAGAAGGATGGGTGGGGACAGAAAACCTCCCTAAATGTGAGAAAAGGAGTCATTATTTCTGAGACCAGGCCTTGAAACCGAGGTGCTTGTCTGGTTCACTTGTTTCTTTCTTTTTGTTTTTGTTTTGTTCAGAGACAGGGTCTCACTACGTCGCCCAGGCTGGAATACAGTGGTGCCATCATAGCTCACTGCAGTCTCGACCTGCTGGGCTCAAGGGATCCTCCTGCCTCAGCCTCCCAAAGTACTCAGATTACAGACTTGAGCCACCACTCCCAGCCCTGTTTGTTTCTTGAATAGTCCTTTGCAGAAAACTGGAGACTTATGGACTAGGGCCCAGCTGCCTTCAAAAGATGTTTGGGGTCCCTTTACAAGTGAGAGGCTATATAGGAATCTGCAATTTAAGACAGGCAATTCTTGCTTACAAATTGGCATTTCTGGAAGTCAGTGTGCCTCTAGATTATTTATAAAGGACAGTTTGAAACCAATTAAGACAGTCACTTAATATGTCATATCAGGTCCGGGTACACTGGCCCATGCCTATAATCCCAGCACTTTGGGAAGTCGAAGCGGGAGGATCACTTAAGGCTAGGTATTCAAGACCAGCCTGGGCGACATAATGAGACCCCCGTTGCTACAGAAAAATTTTAAATTAGCTGGGCATGGTATCACACACCTGTAATCCTAGCTACTCAGGAGGCTGAGGCTGGAGGATCCCTTGAGCCCAGGAATTGGAGGCTTCAGTGAGCTGTGATCATGCCACTGTACTCTAGCCTAGATGATGGAGCGAGAATGTGTCTCTCTTTAAAAAAAAAAAAGAAGGCAGGCCGGGCACGGTGGCTCACACCTGTAATCCCAGCACTTTGGGAGGCCAAGGCGGGTGGATCACCTGAGGTCAGGAGTTTGAGACCAGCCTGGCCAACATAGTGAAACCCCGTCTCTACTAAAAATACAAAAATTAGCTGGGTGTGGTTGGACACACCTGTAGTCCCAGCTACTCGGGAGGCTGAGGCAGGAGAATCACTTGAACCCAGGAGGCGGGGTTGCAGTGAGCCAAGATTGCACCACTGCAGGGAGGCGGAGGTTGCAGTGAGCCAAGATCATGCCACTGCATTCCAGCCTGGGTGACAGAGCAAGACTCCGTCTCCAAAAAAAAAAAAAAAAAAAAAAAAAGTGTATCAGGTTTTCTTGGACATCACTTTGAACAGGCTAGTAACTACTCAGCCGTTTTCATGTAATTTTTGGTGAGTCCTGTTCCTGTAAGACCTAATAAGGAGTGTGCTTGGCTGTCAGAGGACAAAGCCTGTGGCTTACAGGATTTATGAGAGACTGAGTCACAAAGGAAGCACAGCGGCACTGGAAAAAGTCTGGGGTCTTAGGCTGGGTGCGGTGGCTCAGGCCTGTAATCCCAACACTTTGGAAGGCCGAGGCAGGCGAATCACTTGAGGCCAGGAGTTTGAGACCAGCTTGGCCAACGTGGAGAAACCCTATCTCTACTAAAAATACAAAAATAGCCAGGCATGGTGGCAGGCACCTGTAATTCCAGCTACTCGAGGGGCTGAGGCAGGAGAATCACTTGAACCTAGGAGGCGGAGGTTGCAGTGAACTGACATCACACCACTGCACTCCAACCTGGGCGACAGAGTGAGATCTGTCTCATTAAAAAAAAAAAAAAAAAGAAAAAAAAAGTATGGAGTCTTTTGTCCCAGTAAAGTAATGCAGGTGGGATCCTGACACCTGTTACGAAAGCTTTGTCATCTAACTTGCTCAGAGATTGCTCTTGTTTTAGTGTTTTTTAAAAAAACAAAAAATTTATAGAGACAGGGTCTATGTTGCCCAGGCTGGTCTCGAACACCTAGCCTCAAGCGATCCTCCCACCTCAGCCTCCCGAAGTGCTGGGATTACAGGCATGAGCCACTGTGCCTGGCCAGGGACTACTCTTGAATTCATGAAACCAAGACAAAACCAACTTTTAAAAATCACCCTGAGGATAGGCCACTGTCTGTGTTTGTTGCTGAGAATAGGGTATATTTTTTCCCCCTCAGGTCAGAACTGTTTTGATTTTCACCGTTCACCTCTTTCCATCCATCCTCCAGGTCCCCTTGCAGAAAGAGCTCTGCGGCATACAGTGGCCACAGCGGGCCAGGTGCTCACTAATCGATCGCACCTCTCAGCAGTGGGCAGGAGGCGCTAATTAGACTCTGAGTAGCTTTTGCAGCTGCACAGAAAGTGCTGGACAGCACAAGCTGAACCCCAAGCACCATGGCCGTCTGCTGTAGGAAAAACCGTAGCAGGAGATAAATATGTATCCCTGTCTCTCTCGGAGCCAAGAGCAGAGCGACTAATTCCCACCATATGTTGAGCTGCAAATCAGATGTTTTGCTCTCCTCCCACAGAAAGAAGCCTGTCCATCACAGGTGTGAGTTTGTTGGTTGAGCAGGTTTATTGAGACGTAATTCACAGACCATACAATGCACCCATTTAAGAGTACAACCCAGGGGCTTTTAGTATATTCAGAGTCACCGAAATGGATCTTAGAACCCCAAAAAGAAACACCATAGGCCAGGCGCAGTGGCTCACGCCTGTAATCCCAGCACTTTGGGAGGCCAAGGCGGGCGGATCACCTGCGGTCAAGAGTTTGAGACCAGCTTAGCCAATGTGGCAAAACCCCATCTCTACTAAAAATACAAAAATTAGCTGGGCGTGGTGGCAGGCACCTGTAATCCCAGCTACTCGGGAGGCTGAGGCAGAATGACTTGAACCTGGGAGGTGGAGGTTGCAGTGAGCCGAGATCACCCTCACTGTTTTCCAGCCTGAGTGACAGAGCGAGACTCCATCTCAAAAAAAAAAAGGCGTCAGAAGATCTGAGGCTCTCCCATCCCTGGCAAGCAGACTTCTGGCCTCTGGGCAGCTGGTGTTTTAGGGTACCCAGGATTTGTCTTAACCCAGTATGGTGAGACTCACAGACCCAGAAATGACCGTCAGGAAGGAAGAAGTTTATATTCACAGTCCTCTGGAAGCAGGAGGCAGGGCACACCACACAGGGGCCACATGGGGAAGCACCAGGGTCAGTTGAGGGACAGAGGGGAAAATATGGACAGGAGTCTTCATTGTGGTTTCCCGGGGAACAAATGGGCCAGGCAGGGTGAGCAGGTTCAGGATGGGGCCCCGAGGTGATGAGGGCAGCGGGACCGTGGCCAGGAGTGTGAGAGCCCCATAAAGGAGGCAACTGGGGGTCTGAGCTCTGCACTGGGTGCAGACCCTTTACTGTCTCTAGAAACTGGCCTGGGAGGGGCTGTGCATCCATGGTCAGCAAAGCCCCAAGATGTCAGAGCATCACAAATCCGGAATAAAAGGACATAATCAATACAGCGGGTCTGTGGCAGGGCCACTGACTCATGTCTTGACCCATCAGCTATTTCAGTGGCCGCATGTGTTCCAGGAAGACTCAATTTATGACTGTCCACCTCTTATTCTATTTCATTTCATTCTTTTTCAGAGTCTTGCTCTGTCACCCAGGCTGGAGTGCAGTGGGGCAGTCATAGCTCACCACAGCCCTGAACCCCAGGGCTCAAGCAATTTTCCCACCTCAGCCTCCCAGGTAGCTGGAACTACTGGCACACACCAACATGCCTGCCTAATTTTTTGTTGTTGTTTTTTAAGAGACGAGATCTCACTGTGTTGCCCAGACTGGTCTCTAACCTGCTGTCCCTGGTCATGACCCCAACATGTGAAAACTTCAGTGTCTTCTAAATCATCAAAGGAGGGTTTACATATATTCCCATAGATTTAGCATTACCAATAGTTTATTAAAATTCTTTGGAATCAGCATTTCTTCTTTTTTTTTTTTTTTTTTTGCCATCAACTTGATTTTGGGAATTGGCATTGCTTACATGCTGTTTTTTTTGTTTGGTTTTTTGGTTTTAGTTTTTTTCAAGACAGGATCTCACTCTGCTGCCCAGGCTGGAGTGCAGTGGCATGATCTCGGCTTACCACAACCTCTGCCTCCCAGGCTCCAGCAATTCTCCTGCCTCAGCCTTCTGAGTAGCTGTGATTACAGGTGTGCACCACCACTGCCAAGCTAATTTTTGTATTTTTAGTAGAGACAGGTTTTCCCCATGTTGGCCAGGCTGGTCTTGAACTCCTGACCTCAAATGATCCACCCCGCTCGGCCTCCCAAAGTGCTGGGATTACAGGTGTGAGCCACAACACCCAGCCAGATGCTATTTTTAGTGACTTTTTCTTCTATGGACTATTGTATTAGAGCAGAATTAATCTGATTTCAGTCAAGACCTCAGTCCACAAGCAACCATCTGTCAGCCCTGCCAGGATGCTGCTGGGCAAAGGATACATCTCGGGATTTGCGCCATATTTGTACGTTTAGGTCATAATTGCCTGGGTGGAGTTGAGTGTTGTACAGAAATGGCAAGAAATGCCTGTCCTGGACCGTGTCGCCTTTGGTTTAGGATTCCTGTTTTTTTACATAGGTGTTGCTTTGTGAGTGACATCTTCAATTGCTTTGTCTCCTATAACAATAGTAATTGTTAGTCATGTGTTATGACGTCAGAATGTTTCTGGCCTCTGAACAAATGTCATCTTTGCTGTGCTGGGCTGTGGAAAGAATGAACAGCTACTGAGTATATGTGCAATGTGCTGTTACACAGCTTAGTGGCTGATGTCTTAATTGGCAAGAATTCTTGACTCCTCTGCCAGAAAATCTCTAACACACACTCACCTGCTCGTTAACAATCACCTTCAATTTACAGCTAAATTAAAAGTTGCTCAGAGGCCGGCTACGGTGGCTCAAGCCTGTAATCCCAGCACTTAGGGAGGCCGAGGTGGGTGGATCACCTGAAGTTGGGAGTTCGAGACCAGCCTGACCAACATGGAGAAACTCCGTCTCTACTAAAAATACAAAATTAGCCGGGTGTGGTGGCACATGCCTGTAATCCCAGCTACTCGGGAGGCAGGAGAATCGCTTGAACCTGGGAGGCAGAGGTTGCGGTGAGCTGAGATCACGCCATTGCACTCCAGCCTGGGCAACAAAAGCGGAAATCCGTCTCAAAAAAAAAAAAAAAAAGTTGCTCAGAGAATGCTGAATCCTCTCCCAGGAGAGCTGCTGCGAGTACGTTTTCCCTAGGGTAAGCTCTGCCCACCCCATGGTTTATAACTCCGTGTTCCCAAGAAAGAGACTTCTAGCTGCTCTCTTCCTGTAACATAGACAAGGCAATGGTGTATCGGGACCTAGGAGCCAGGAGGCCACAGGACAGATCAGATTTCTTTTTTTTTTCTTTTTTTTTGTGAGATGGAGTCTCACTTTGTTGTTCAGGCTGGAGTGCGGTGGCATGATGTCAGCTCACGGCAACCTCTGCCTCCCGGGTTCAAGCGATTCTCCTGCCTCAGCCTCCCGAGTAGCTGGGATTACAGGTGCCCGCCACCATGCCCAGCTAATTTTGTATTTTTAGTAGAGATGGGGTTTCATCATGTTGGCCAGGCTGGTCTCAAAATCCTGACCTCAGGTGATCCACCCGCGTCGGCCTTCCAAAGTGCTGGGATTACAGGCATGAGCCACTGCACCTGATCTGACAAATCAGATTTCTATTTCTCTTCTCTAAGCTCCTCTCCTCTCCTCTCTCCTCCCCTCCCCTCCCCTCCCCTCCCTTCCCTTCCCCTCTCCTCTTCTCTCCTCTCTTCTCTCTTCTCTTCTCCCCTCCCCTCCCCTCCCTTCCCCTCTCCTCCCTTCTCCTCCCCTCTTCTTTTCGAGAAGGTCCCGCTCTGTCACCCAGGCTGGAGTGCAGTGGCACAATCATAGCTCACTGCAGCCTTGAACTCCTGGGCTCAAGCAATCCTACTGCCTCAGCCTCCCGAGTAGCTGAGACTACAGGCGTGCGCCACTTGTGCTCAGCTATTTTTTTATTTTGTGTAGAGACGGGGTCTTGCTATGTTTCCCAGGCTGGTTTTGAACTCCTGGCCTCAAGCGATCCTTCCACCTCTACCTCCCAAACTGCTAGGATTACAGGCGTGAGCCACCATGTCTGGCCCAGATTTCTTTTTTTTTTTTTTATTTTTGAGACAGAGTTTCACTCTTGTTGCCCAGGCTGGAGTGCAGTGGCACGGTCTCGGCTCACCACAACCTCCACCTCCGGGGTTCAAACGATTCTCCTGCCTCAGCCTCCCTAGTAGCTGGTTTTACAGGCATGTGCCACCATGCCTGGCTAATTTTGTATTTTTAGTAGAGATGGGGTTTCTCCATGTTGGCTAGGCTAGTCTTGAACTCCCCATCTCAGGTGATCCACCCACCTTGGCCTCCCAAAGTGCTGGGATTACAGGCATGAGCCACCGTGTCCGGCCGCCAGATTTCTTTTTAATGCTGCTCTTTGTCCTTACCTGGGCAAAGCTTTAAGATACAATTTTATAAAATGTAAGAGTAAACTAGCCAAGTAGCCCATCTCAACTATGCTTGTCAAATAGGAGGGGAAAACTGAACCTAATGAATGATGGTTGAGCTTTATTTATTATTTGTTTATTTTTTAGGCGGAGTCTCACTCTGTCGCCCAGGCTGGAGTGCAGTGGCGCAATCTCCGCTCACTGCAACCTCCGACTCCCGGGTTCAAGCGATTCCGTGCCTCAGCCTCCCGAGTAGCTGAGATTACAGGCATCCACCACCACGCCCTTCTAATTTTTGTATTTTGTATTTTTTATTTTTTTTAAGTAGAGACGGGGGTTTCCTGGCCAGGCTGGTCTTGAACTCCTGACCTTGTGATCAACCCACCTCGGCCTCCCAAAGTGCTGAGATTACAGGCGTGAGCCACCGCACCCGGCCATAGTTGAGCTTTATTAAGTGTTGCATCTTGGGAGGCCCAAAGCAGGAGGACCGCTTGAAGTCAGGAGTTCAAGACCAGCCTGAGCAACATAGTGAGACCCCCCCCCAACCTCTACAAGAAAATATTTTTAAATTATACAGCACACCTGTAGTCCCAGCTACTCAGGAGACTGAGGCAGAAGGATTGCTTGAACCTAGGAGTTTAAGGCTGCAGTGAGCTATGGTCGGCCACTGCACTCCAGCCTGAGCTAGAGTGAGACTGTCTCTAAAAATAATAATAATTAATTTAAAAAGTTGCATCTTTCCATGAGTAGGTGAGCTTGTCAGCGGGCACACGTATCCTATGATCTGAACCCTTAAATTAATGAACAGATGGGTGTAGACAGCGGTTTGCAGCCCCTGTTGATGTTGGGTTGGTTTATAATCACCATATGGAACAGAATCGGAGCCTCGCGTCCACTTCGATGCTAGAATTCTGTTCGAGTGCTGATGACCAGGGGCGGCTAAACACCATGCCCTGCCATCTCTGGGTCTTAGAGTCACCCTAACATCTGATCTAGATTAATTATCATCATGTGCGAGGTTTTGGCATGAAGCACGCCAGGCTCACCGTTTCATGATCTTAGACTATTTACAGCAAACTCAAACAGCTCACTTGCTTTTTACACCCTGCAAAGACCAAGGGAGAGCCTGGAGGGGTTGTTTTTTTTTTCTGTTTTATTCTATCAAAGCAGCAAATACTGCAATTTCCACAGTAAATGGTCACAGTGGGGACCAATATCCTGCCCTCCAGACCCGCTGCTTCAGCCAATACAGCAAGGGAAGACGCAGCTCTGTTTTCTAGAAGGATCCCACCGAGGCATAAAAACGGCGCAGCCCAGCCTGGCGCCGCGCCGGGTCCCGGAGCCCCGGGCGCGAACATGGGGAATGCGCACTCCAAAAGCGGGGACAGGCACAGCGCGCTCCCCGGCCGCCCCGAGCTGTCTTTTTACGGCTCTTTCCCCAGGAAATGGAGCGAGAACGTCTTCTTGGATAACGAGCTGCTGACCTCCAAGATCCTGTCTGTGCTGCGGCCGCAGTCGGAGCGGGGCTTCCGCGCCGGGGACCTCCGCTACCCGACCCACTTTCTCAGCACCAACTCTGTCCTTGCCTCTGTCACAGCCTCGCTCAAGGAGCACCCCCGGGGCACCCTCCTGTCCGATGGCAGCCCGGCCCTGTCCAGGAATGTCGGTATGACGGTCTCTCAGAAAGGGGGTCCCCAGCCAACACCGAGCCCGGCTGGCCCTGGGACGCAACTCGGGTAAGCCAGGGTCCCCTCTGTGCCCTCGGGTGGGTGGTGGCATTCCCCGGGGAGCTGTTGACAGCCTCTTCGGAGGGAGACCCCGACTTAGATCTGTGTGAATCCACACGGCAGCCCCCGTGCTAAGCAGAGAAATTCCCATTAACGCTTGCTTCCAGGATCCACGCCTTTTTTGCAAAAACGATGTGTCCCGGGGTGTATTCGGCCCCTGGTGGAGCCAGTTTGCTTAGTGCCCTCGAGGGATCCTTGGACTCGCTCCTTAGGCCGGGCTCCTGACTTACTCAAGGCGATGCTCAAAGTCCTGCTGGGTGTGTGGAGGCGGCGTCCCATTATCTGTGCCTTACCTCGTTTTATAGGACTTCAAAGTGGTTCCCTTGATAATGCCTGCAGCGGTGTCCGGGTAGAAAGTGATGCTAGAAGCTGATATGTTTGTGGTGACTATTCCATGAGTTCGTGGGAAAGGGAGTAAATTATCATTTTCCTCTGAGTAAGGACTGCCCTCCCACCTTGACCATGAAACCATTTCCACTTAACTCCTGGTAGACAGGATCCCAGGGGCCCCAAGTGGGCTCCAGTGGTCTGTCAAGGAAGCTGCAATCCACACCCCGTTAGAACGTAACTAAACATTAAAGGAAGTTACTATGGAAGAAATCCTGATGTGACATTGACAGATAATCTTCCCCACCCCCCGCCCCCCACCACTTTTTTTTTTTTTTCTTTAGACAGAGTCTCTGTCGCCCAGGCTGGAGTTCAGTGGCACAATCTCAGCTCACTGCAACCTCCACCTCCCAGATTCAAGTGATTCCCCTACCTCAGCCTCCCAAGTAGCTGGGATTACAGGCACCTGCCACCACACCCGGCTAATTTTTGTATTTTTAGCAGAGACGGGATTTTGCCATGTTGGGCGAGCTGGTCTCGAACTCCTGACCTCAGGTGATCCTCCTGGCTTTGGCCTCCCAAAGTCTGGGATTACAGGCGTGAGACACTGCACCTGGCAAATCTCCCAATTTTTAAAAATGATCTGTAGACAAAGTTGAGGCTTCTGTGAAAATGTGGAGAGTTCTCAGAGAGTATCGAATCGGATGGAGTCACCGATGTGCCTTTGTTGCATGAGGTCGTGTGTGTTTAATTCACTTTTCTAAAACAATTGTTTTTATTGTTTGCACTCAGACCAATCACAGGAGAGATGGATGAAGCCGATTCTGCGTTTTTAAAATTTAAGCAGACAGCTGATGACTCTCTGTCCCTTACATCTCCAAACACCGAGTCCATTTTTGTAGAAGGTATGGTCATCTCCGCTCTCTCGCGGCTGCCACACAGTTCCTGTCTCTCCTGGGAAGAGCTGGGGCTCGTGTCAGCATGTCTACGGGAGGGAATTGGGGTGGCATGGCTCTGGGCCCCCAGCAGCCACACCTCGCTCTTCCCTCAGATCCCTACACCGCCTCGCTGAGGAGTGAGATTGAGTCAGACGGCCACGAGTTTGAAGCTGAGTCCTGGAGCCTCGCCGTGGATGCAGCCTACGCCAAGAAGCAAAAGAGGGAGGTGGTGAAAAGACAAGATGTCCTTTATGGTGAGGAGTCCACAGCCCTGTGCCATCACACCGGCCCTCCACTCTCTTCTCTGCTCCCTCCCTTCCTCCCTCCCTTCCTTCCTTCCTTCCTTCCTTCCTTCCTTCCTTCCTTCCTTCCTTATCTTTTTCTTTCTTTCTTTCTCTCTTTCCTTCTCTCTTTTGTCCTCTTTCTCTCTTTCTTTCTTTCTTTTTTTTCTTTTTTGAGACACAGTCTCTCTCTATTGCCCAGGCTGGAGTACAGTGGGACAATCAGAGCTCACTGCAGCCTCGACCTGGGCTCAAACAATCCTCCCACCTCAGCCTCCCTAGTAGCTGGGACCACAGGCATGGGCCACTACACCTGGCGAATTTTTTTATTTTCTGTAGAGTTGGGGGTCTCACCATGTTGCCCAGGCTGGTCTCAATCTCCTGAGCTCAAGTGACCCGCCCGCCTGGGCCTCCCAAACTATTGGGATTATAGGCGTGAGCCACGGTGCCTGGCCTCTCTCTGTCTTTCTCTCTCCTCTCTTGGTGCAGCCCTGCCTCCCATGCCAGGAAAGAGACTGTCGGAGAGGATTTTGTTATAATACGTCCCTGTGAACATGTCTGGCTGAATGCCCAGGTCTGGCTTCTTCTTCCCTTGTTGGTGGCTGTCTTAGCCTATATAGGCAGCTCTCATAGAACACCATACACAGGGTGGCTTAGAAGCCACAGAAGTTTATTGCTTACAGTTCTAGAGGCTGGGACGTCTAAGACCAAGGCGGCGGCAGACTTAGTGTCCATGAAGGCCCCATTTCCTGGCTTCCTGCTGGTGGCATCTGGCTGTGTCCTCACAAGGTCTTCATGGTCTTTCTCAGGTCCTCTTTTTTCTTTTTTTGAGACAGGGTCTTACTCTGTCACCCAGGCTGGATGCAGTGATGCAGTCTCAGCTCCCTGCAACCTCCACCTCCCAGGTTCAAGCAATTGTCCTGCCTCAGCCTCCCGAGTAGCTGAGATGACAGTGCCTGCCACCATGCCCAGCTAATTTTTTTTTTTTTTTTTTTTTTTTTGAGATGGAGTCTCGCTCTGTCGCCCAGGCTGGAGTGCAGTGGTTCCATCTCGGCTCACCTCCACCTCCCGGGTTCAAGCAATTCTCCTGCCTCAGCCTTCCAAATAGCTGGAATTACAGGCGCCCACTGCCACGCCCAGCTAATTTTTGTATTTTTAGTAGAGGCGGTGTTTCACCATGTTGGTCAGGCTAGTCTCGGACTCCTGACCTCATGATCCTCCCACCTTGGCCTCCCAAAATGCTAGGATTACAGGCGTCAGCCACCATGCCCGGCCATGCCCGGCTCATTTTTTTATTTTTTGGTAGAGACAGGGTTTCGCTGTGTTGGCTAGGCTAGTCTCGAACTCCTGACCTCATGTGATCTGCTCACCTCGGCCTCCCAGAGTGCTGGGATTACAGACGTGAGCCACCACCCTTGGCCCTCAGGTCCTTTTCCTAAGGGCACCAGTCCCACCATGAGGTTCTCTCCCCTTAGGACCTCATCACCTTCCAAGGGCTGTACCTCCTGATACTATCACCTTTGGGGTTCGAATTTCGACATACGAATTTTGGGGGACGCAAACATCTTGTTCATTGCAGTCTAGGTCTGGTCAGGGACACACACAGATGTGATGGATGAGTTTTAACAGCCACAGGAGTGTTCCTCAGAACACTCTTCTTCCTAAAACAGACTTGATAGCCAGGCGTGGTGGTGTGCACCTGTAATCCCAGCTACTTGGGAGGCTGAGGCAGGAGAATCGCTTGAACCCGGGAGGCGGAGGTTGCAGTGAGCTGAGATTTTGCCACTGCACTCCAGCCTGGGCGACAGAGCAAGACTCCATCTCAAAGAAAAAAAAAAAAACACGGACTTAAAATGTCGTCCGTTGGGTTGACACTGGGCGCAAAACCCTCCCGTGATGGGGAGGCCCAGGGTTCTCTCCTTCCCCTGCTCCTTCAGGCTGGGATCCCCCGCAGCATTCTAAACCCTGGACACCCTGGAAGTAAGAAAGATCCCAAAGGCACAAGGTCTTAGGCAGAGAACTCTCAGAAGCCAGTTCAGCACGTGAAGGGCAGGCAGCACCCACGACTGCCCAGCGGGGCCGTGGAGCCAGCATGGCTAAGTCCTGCCGTCTGTGTCCCTGCAGAGCTGATGCAGACAGAGGTGCACCACGTGCGGACGCTCAAGATCATGCTGAAGGTGTACTCCAGGGCCCTGCAGGAGGAGCTGCAGTTCAGCAGCAAGGCCATTGGCCGCCTCTTCCCATGCGCTGACGACCTGCTGGAGACGCACAGCCACTTCCTCGCTCGGCTCAAGGAGCGCCGCCAGGAGTCCCTGGAGGAGGGCAGTGACCGGAATTATGTCATCCAGAAAATCGGCGACCTCCTGGTTCAGCAGGTGGGTGCAGCCGTGTTCATCTCAACAGTCTTCAAAGCCTCTGCCTTGTCTCTGTTCCTTTCTTCTTTTTTTCTGAGATAGGGTCTTGCCGTGTCGCCCAGGCTGGAGTGCAGTGGTGCAGTCACAGCTCAATGCAGCCTCAACCTCTCAGGCTCAGGTGATCCTCCCACCTCAGCCTCCCAAGTAGCTGGGACTACAGCTATGCGCCACCATACCCGGCTAAATTTTATTTTTTGTAGAGATGAGGTCTCACTCTATGGCCCAGGCTGGTCTTGAACTCCTGAGCTCAAGTGATCCTCCTGCCTCAGCCTTCCACGTAGCTGGGACTCCAGGGAACACCATGCCTGGCTAACTTTTTATTTTTTGAAGAGATGGGGTCTTGCTTTGTTGCCCAGGCTAGTCTCAAATTCCTGGCTTAAGCAATCCCCCTGCCTCGGCATCCCAAAGTGCAGGGATCACAGGCATGAGCCATTGTGCCAGCCTTTTCCTTTCAGTAATAAAACGAGAGTGGCCCCTGAGGACACACAGTTCTGGGCCCCTTACAGCGATGCCTGCAGTTCATATTCTAGAAACACAGAGACCTAAATTAGGCAGTGTCCCTGGCTGAACACTATTCAATGTTACATTCTTCTGTGCTCTTGTTTGGTTGGTTGGTTTTTGGTTTTTGGTTCAAGTCACTTATGCTTTCAACCGTTCAAAGCTTACCTGTTGACTGAGTGCAGTGGCCCACACCTGTAATCCCAGCACTTTGGGAGGCCAAGCAGGTGAATTGCTTGAGTCCAGGAGTTCCAGACCAGCCTGGGCAACATAGCAAGACCCCGTATCTACAAAACATGAAAATAAATTAGCCAGCTGTGGTGGTGTATAGCTGTAGTCCCAGCTACTCAGGAGGCTGAGGTGGGAGGATCACTTGAGCTTGAGAGGTCAAGGCTGCAATGAGCTATGATCATGCCACTGCCCTCCAGCCTGGGCAGCAGAGTAAGACCCCAATTTGGGAGTGGGGGAAAGCATACCTGTGAACCAGCACCAACCGTGGTAGTGGTATTAACCCCAAATGATCACCCTAGGCCAAGATTTACCCAGGGGAGCTGTGCCCTTCATGTGACCTCAAACTATTTGCTCGAAGCATCCTGGGCCAACTAATTAGAAGAACACTCCTTTTGCTTTTTATGTTTCTTTTTTTGAGACAAAGTCTCACTCTGTCGCCCAGGCTGGAGTGCAGTGGTGCAATGTCGGCTCACTGCAACCTGCACCTCCCAGGTTCAAGCAATTCTCATGCCTCAGCCTCCCGAGTAGCTGGGATTACAGGTGCCTGCCACCACACCCGGCTAATTTTTTTTGTATTTTTAGTAGAGACAGGGTTTCACCATGTTGGCCAGGCTGGTCTTGAACTCTTGACCTCAGGTGATCCGCCTGCCTCAGTCTCCCAAACTGCTGGGATTACGTATGTGAGCCACTGCGCCTGGCCTGCTTTTTGTTTCTAACGTCCTTTGGCTGAAATTTACTTTTTTTCTCGGCTCTCAGGAAGTTGTACAGCATCTGTGATGCAGCAAAGCCCCGAAGCAGAAGGTTTTTTTATTTCACCTTTATGACACCTTGCGATTAGACACCCCAAACTGAAGCATTTCTCTGTTTGAGGACATATTAGAAAATGGAACTGCAGCCAGGCACTGTGGCTCACACCTGTGACCCCAACACTTTGGGAGGCTGAGTGGGGGTGGATCACTTGAGGTTATGAGTTCAAGGCCAGCCTGACCAACATGGTCAGGTTAGCCAGGTGTGGTGGTGGCACCTGTAATCCCAGCTACTCAGGAGGCTGTGGCAGGAGAATCACTCAGACCCGGAAGGCAGAGGTTGCAGTGAGCCAAGATCACACCACTGCCCTCCAGCCTGAGCCACAGAGCAAGATGCTGTCTCTAAAAAAAATAAAAGAAAATGGAATTGCAAATAAATCTAATATTTATTTTAGCAGAGTCAGACAAATTAGATGAAAATATACTTTGGCTGGCCAGGCGCGGTGGCTCATGCCTATAATCCCAGCACTTTGGGAAGATGAGGTGGGTGGATCAAGAGGTCAAGAGTTCGAGACCAGCCTGACCAACATGGTGAAACCTGGTCTCTACTAAAAATACAAAAATTAGCAGGGCATGGTGGCATGCCCCTGTAATCTCAGCTACTCAGGAGGCTGAGGCAGGAGAATCGCTTGACCCCGGGAGGTGGAGGTTGCAGTGAGCCAAGATCACGCCACTGCACTCCAGCCTGGGCAACAGAGTGAGACTCTGTCTAAAAAAAATTAGCCAGGCGTGGTGGCGGCACCTGTAATCCCAGCTACTTGGGAGACTACAGCAGGAGCATCGCTTGATCCCGGGAGACAGAGGTTGCAGTGAGCCAAGATCGCGCCATTGCTCTTTAGCCTGAGCCACAGAGCAAGATGCTGTCTCAAAAAAAAAAAAAAAAGAAGAAGAAAGAAAGAAAATGGAATTGCAAATAAATCTAATATTTATTTTAGCAGACTCAGACGAATTAGATGAAAATACTCTTTGGCAGTTTTCGTGTTTAATTAACATTTCCATCCTTTTGTTTATCAGTTTTCAGGTGAAAATGGGGAGAGAATGAAAGAAAAGTACGGTGTGTTTTGTAGTGGCCACAATGAAGCTGTTAGTCATTACAAGTTGCTGCTTCAGCAAAACAAGAAATTTCAAAACTTGATCAAGGTAAAAACAATTTTTTTTTTTAATCAAAAACTTATATTCTGGCCGGGCGCAGTGGCTCACGCCTGTAATCCCAGCACTTTGGGAGTCTGAGGCGGGCGGATCACAAGGCCAGGAGATCGAGACCGTCCTGGCCAACATGGTGAAACCCCGTCTCTATTAAAATACAAAAAATTAGCCTGGCATGGTGGCACGCACCTGTAATCCCAGCTACTTGGGAGGCTGAGGCAGAGGAATTGCTTGAACCCAGGAAGCAAAGGTTGCAGTGAGCCGAGATCGTGCCACTGCCACTGCACTCGAGCCTGGCAACAGAGCAAGACTCTGTCTCAAAAAAAACAAAAACAAAATAACAAAAAGCAAAAAAAAAAACTTACATTCTTCACTGTGGGGTTTTTCCACAGAATTGTAGAGTCTTGAGACTTGGGAATTAAAAGGCATCTGTTATGTAGCAGTGATTTTTCAAGGTTTGGTTTGGGTTTTAACTACAACCCCATTCAGAACACGTCAGTGAAATCTTACATAGAATCCTGAGATGTAAAATAAAGCGGGCCAGATGCAATGCCTCACGCTGTAAATCCAGCACTTCGAGAGGCCAAGGCAGGAGGATCACTTGAGGCCAGGAGTTCGAGACCAGCCTGGGCAACATAGCAAGATCCTGTCTCTAAGAAAAATTTAAAAATTAGCCAGGCATGGTGGTGCACACCTGTAATCCCAGCTACTCCAGCCGCTAAGGAGGGAAAATCAGTTGAGCTCAGGAGTTTAAGAGCAGCCTGGGCAACATAGCAAGATCCCATCTCTATTATATAAGATACATATGTATACACACACACATATTAACAAAATCAATCAAAGAAAGCATATCTAGACTTTGTTCCTTACCAGGCCACGGTGGCCCCTGAGAGACCCCTGCAGCTCAGTATGGGACCTGCTGACCACCACTTTGTGTCATCACTGTTTGGATGACACAAAGGGTCGTTTGAAGGGGCTGCCCTGCCCCAGGAACTGGGCCTCCAGATCCAGCCTGTCTTGCCTTGGGGATGCCGTCTGTCTCAAGGAGGGTTACTCCAGATGGGCACGGTGGCTCACACCTGTAATCCCTGTAACTTTGGGAGGCCAAGGCGGGCAGATCACCTGAGGTCAGAAGTTCAGTACCAGCCTGCCCAACATGGCGAAACCCCGTCTTTACTAAAAATACAAAAAATTAGCCAGGCGTAGGCCGGGCACAGTGGCTCATGCCTGTAATCCCAGCATTTTGGGAGGCCAAGGCGGGTGGATCACGAGGTCAGGAGATCGAGACCATCCTGGCTAACATGGTGAAACCTGGTCTCTACTAAAAGTACAAAAAATTAGCCAGGCGTGGTGGTGGGCGCCTGTAGTCCCAGCTACTCGGGAGGCTGAGGCAGAAGAATGGTGTGAACCCGGGAGGCGGAGCGTGCAGTGAGCTGAGATCGCACCACTGCACTCCAGCCTGGGCAACAAGAGCGAAACTCCGTCTCAAAAAAATACAAAAAAAAAAAAGGAGGGTTACTCCAAACTTTTGTCCCCTTGCTGGTCCATGTTCGCCCCCGGAGCGTGTAGAATGATCTTCCTGCCTCCTTTGTGTGAGCGTGGGTAGGTGCTCGAAGCCCAGCCGGAGTCAGCCAAGTCAAGGGAGACCCCACCTCCCACGTCCTAGAAACCACACTTGGATGATGGCTAGTTGGTTCTATCAACATTCACCTCTTTAGAGGCCCTAACACTGCTGATTCCACAAGAGCTGCATCACCTGTGGCCTGGCCAGGACTTGGTTCTGCAGTGGCATTCTACACCCAGTGGTCCAAAGTTAGGAGTGACATGCGTTTAAACTTCATTGCATTATAGGTAGGTAGGAAAGGGGGAGGATCGTTTTGGAGCCGCAGTTCCTCAAAGCCAGGAGGGGGATTCCAATGAAACCTCCGTCCACGGACTCTTGCAAATCCCACAGCGGCTCCGGGCCTCTTCAGTGGCTCTCTGCAAGTGCTGGCATCCCTCAAATGCATACAAGAGCAGCGGGAGCAAACAAGCAGAAAATGTGCTATGCTCCCGAGAGAGTGTCAGGTGACCCCTTTTGGTTCTTAGCCAGAGGTGAGCATCAGAAAGCACCCAGGCTGGGCGTGGTGGCTCACGCTTGGAATCCCAGCACTTTTGGGGAGGCCAAGGCAGGCGGATCACTTGAGCCCAGGAGTTTGAGACCAGTCTGGGGAATATGGCGAAACCTCATCTCTACTAAAACTACAAAAATTAGCCAGGTGTGGTGGCGCACACCTGTAATCCCAGCTACTCGGAGGCTGAGACAGGAGAATCGCTTAAACTTGGGAGGCGGAGGTTGCAGTGAGCTGAGATCACACCCAGGGACCCATTCAAAAGGCACAGGCCCACTCTAGTTCTGGAGGGTTCCAGCAGTCATGGGTTAGGGGGTGTGTGTTCATGTGTACATTGTGTGTGTGGACAGCTTGACAGATGATTTCCATAATAACCCCCTGGCTGGTTCTCATTTATTTTATTTTTTTAGAGTCAGGGTCTTGCTCTGTGGCCCAGGCTGGAGTGCAATGGAAGAATCATGGCTCACTGCAGCCTCAAACTCCTGGGCTCAAGCAAAACCTCCTGTCTCTGCTTCCTGAATAGCTGGGACTACAGGAGTGTGCCACCATGCCCAGCTAATATTTTAATTTTTTGTAGAGATGGGGTCTTGCTGTGTTGCCCAGGCTGGTCTCAAACTCCTGGTCTCAAGCATTCCTTCCACCTTGGCCTCCCAAAGTGCTGAGATTACAGGCATGAACCACCACATCTGTCCTTTGGTGGCCTTTGTATATACAGCAGGTGATCCCTGCGTTCAGGTATCTGGTGTCTGTCTCCTCCAAAGTGGCAAAGGAAAGGTCCTGGTGAGCTGAGAAAGGAAGGAGCCCCCAGCCTTGGCAGCCGATTGTTGACAAATTGGGCAGAAACCGAGATGTTAATGCAGGATCTTGCTGTCCATTTCCGAGATGTTAATACGCAATCTTGCTGTCCATTTCCGAGCTGTTAATGCGGTATCTCGCTTTCTGTTTCTGAGATGTTAATACAGGCTCTTGCTGTCCATTTCCGAGATGTTAATATGGGATCTTGCTTTCTGTTTCCATTTCCAAGACGTTAATACAGGATCTTGCTGTCCATTTCCAAGATGTTAATGCGGGATCTTGCTGTCCGTTTCTGAGATGTTAATACGGGATCTTGCTGTCCGTTTCCAAGATGTTAATGCGGGATCTTGCTTTCCGTTTCCGTTTCCGAGATGTTAATACAGGATCTTGCTTTCCGTTTCCGTTTCCGAGATGTTAATACGGGATCTTGCTGTCCATTTCCGAGATGTTAATACAGGATCTTGCTTTCTGTTTCCATTTCCGAGGTGTGAATGTCGATCTTGCTTTCTGTTTCCAAGACATTAATATGGGATCTTGCTTTCCATTTCCATTTCCAAGATGTTAATACGGGATCTTGCTGTCCATTTCCGAGATGTTAATGCGGGATCTTGCTGTCCGTTTCCGAGATGTTAATGCAAGATCTTGCTTTCCGTTTCCGAGATGTTAATGCGGGATCTTGCTGTCCGTTTCCACGGTGTTAATGCGGGATCTTGCTTTCCGTTTCCGAGATGTTAATACGGGGTCTTGCTGTCCGTTTCCGAGATGTTAATGCGGCGTCTTGCTGTCCGTTTCCGAGATGTTAATGCGGGGTCTTGCTGTACCTTTCTGAGATGTTAATGCAGGATCTTGCTGTCCGTTTCCGAGATGTTAATGCGGGATCTTGCTGTCCGTTTCCGAGATGTTAATGCAGGATCTTGCTGTCCATTTCCGAGATGTTAATATGGGATCTTGCTGTCCATTTCCGAGATGTTAATGCGGGATCTTGCTGTCCGTTTCTGAGATGTTAATACAGGATCTTGCTGTCCGTTTCTGAGATGTTAATACAGGATCTTGCTTTCTGTTTCCTAGAAAATTGGCAACTTCTCCATCGTGCGGCGGCTTGGCGTGCAGGAGTGCATTCTCCTGGTTACACAACGCATAACCAAATACCCAGTGCTGGTGGAGCGCATCATCCAGAACACGGAAGGTAGGCCTTCTCCCCACTGCCCCGCCCGCCCGTGCTGCTGCAGCACAGGGCTCTCTCCGTGTACCCACTCCCTATTTGAGCAGCAAACTGAATAAATTCCCTTTGAAATCCAGTTTGCTGGGTGCTGGGGTTCCTTCCTTTTTTTTTTTTTTTTTTTTAAGAGACAGAGTCTCACTCTGTTGCCCAGGCTGGAGTGTAGTGGTGAAATCATAGCTCATTGCACAGCCTCCAACTCTGGGGCTCAAGTGGTCCTTCTACCTCAGCCTCCCAAGCACCTGGGACTACAGGCATACGCCACTACACACAGTTAATTTTTTTTAATTTTTTTTTTAGAGATGGGGTCTCGCTGTGTTACCCAGGCTGGTGTGGAACTCCTGGGTTCAAGTGATCCTCCCACCTCGGTCTCTCCAAAGTGCTGGGATTACAGGCATGAGCCATCACATCTGGCCTGGGTTTTTTTGTTTTGTTTTGTTTTGAGACAGTCTTGCTGTGTCCCTCAGGCTGGAGTACAGTGGCACGATCTCGGCTCACTGCAACCTCCACTTCCCAGGTTCAAGTGATTCTCCTGCCTCAGACTCCCGAGTAGCTAGGACTACAGGCGCCCACCACCACACCTAGCTAACTTTGATATTTGTAGTAGAGATGGGGATTCACCATGTTGATCAGGCTGGTCTTAAACTCCTGGCCTCAAATGATCCACCCATGTTGGCCTCCCAAAGTGCTGGGATTACAGGCATGAGCCACCATGCCACGCCCAGCCTGGCCTGGGGCTTTTGATACAAGAAAGATGGGGTGGTCAGCACCATGAAAGCAGGAGCCAGGTCTCATTTGCCAACTGTTTCCCCCAGCCCCTAGCACAGGCTGGGCCACTGCAGGCCCTCAGTGTTAGTGTCTGTGGAAAGGATGAATGGATGGAGACGGTGCCCTGGTGGTTCAAACAGACCCAGAGATGGCCTCTGTGTCACATGACCAGGGCTGAGCAAGGGATGTGTCTGGAGCCAGGGAGGCAGAGAAGGGCGGGCAGTCCAGCCAGGAGTTCTGGCAGCCAGGGCCGTGCTGACCACAGCTCTCGCTTCACCACTGAATTCAGGCCGTGAGAGGATGAACAAATTTCCCCACTATAAAAGCCACATCCTTGGAGTGGGAAGAGCCAGATCCCAGTCACAACAGGAGGTGGAGGGAATCTAATTTATTTATTTATTTATTTATTTATTGTAAGATGGAGTTTCACTCTTATTGCCCAGGCTAGAGTACAGTGGCATGATCTTGGCTCACTGCAACCTCTGCCTCCTGGGTTCAAGTGATTCTCCTGCCTCAGCCTCCCGAGTAGCTGGGATTACAGGCATGTGCCACCACGCCTGGCTAATTTTTATATTTTTAGTAGAGACGAGGTTTCTTCATGTTGGTCAGGCTGGTCTTGAACTCCCGACCTCAGGTGATCTGCCCGCCTCAGCCTCCCAGAGTGCTGGGATTACAGGCGTGAGCCACCATGCCCAGCTGGGAGTCTTTTATGAAGGGATTGGGACAGAGGAAAGTTCGTTTACCAAGCAGTAGATGGCAGAGCTAGTCATGGCAGTTTTGCCACTTGAATTGCACCTTAGCTTCTGCATTCGATAGATGCTCTACCTAGGTAAAAATTCAGCTCTGGGCCAGGCACAGTGGCTTATGCCTGTAATCCCAGCACTTTGGGAGGCTGAGGCAGGCGGATCACTTGAAGTCAGGAGTTTGAGACCAGCCTGGCCAACATAGTGAAACCCCGTCTCTACTAAAAATACCAAAAAAAATAGCTGGGCATGGTGGCGGGTGCCTGTAATCCCAGCTACTTGGGAGACTGAGGCAGGAGAATCGCTTGAACCTGGGAGACAGGTTGCAGTGAGCTGAGATTGCGCCATTGTACTCTAGCCTGGGTGACAGAGCCAGACTCCGTCCACCCTACCCTCCCCCCCCCAAAAAAAACCTAAACTCTGACGTGTTGCATTTATTTTGGAGAACTATTTGCATCTCAGGAGATTACATTTGGGAAGTGATCTTGAGGGTCTTCTGAGTGGTGGCCTTGGAGAACACACCTCATAGATCCCACACGCCCATACATAGTGTGTCCACACACCTCATAGATCCACATGTCCATACATAGTGAGTGTGTCCACTTCTGTTGTGTTAAAGTGGAAAAGAAAGACGCTAACTCTGCTATGTGTGGCAGCTGGCACTGAGGACTATGAAGACCTGACCCAGGCCTTGAACCTCATCAAAGATATCATCTCACAAGTGGACGCCAAGGTCAGTGAGTGTGAGAAGGGCCAGCGCCTCAGGGAGATCGCAGGGAAGATGGACCTGAAGTCTTCCAGCAAACTCAAGAACGGGCTCACCTTCCGCAAGGAAGACATGCTTCAGCGGCAGCTCCACCTGGAGGGCATGCTATGCTGGAAGACCACATCAGGGCGCTTGAAAGGTAAAGGCCTGCCCCTGCCCACCTCTAGTGGGTGCCATCTTGGATCAGTGGGCACTGTCTTGGAGTGGTGGGCACTGTCTTAGATTAGTGGCACCATCTTGTATCAGTGGGTACCATCTTGGAGAGGTGGTCACCATCTTGGATTGGTGGGTACTCTCTTGATTGGTGGCACTATCCTGTATCAGTGGGTACCATTTTGGAGTGTTGGTTCCCATTTTTTATTGGTGGGTGCCATGTTGGATTGGTGGCATTATATTGGATTGGTGGGTGCTATCTTGGGTTGGTAGCACCATCTTGGGAGTTGTGGGTGCCCTCTTAGAGTGATGGGTGCCATCTTGGATCAGTGGGCATCATCTTGGATTGGTAGGTGCCATATGGGATTAGCAGCACCATCTTGGAGTGGTGGCACCATATTGGATTGGTGGGTGCCATCTTGGGAGTTGTGGGCACCCTCTTGGAGTGGTGGGTGCCATCTTGGATCAGTGGCACCATCTTGGTGGGTTCCCTCTTGAATCAGTGGGCACAATTTGGGTTGGTGGGTGCCATCTTGGATTGGTGGCACAGTCTTAGGAATGATGGCACCATCTTAGATCACTGGGTGCCTCTTGGATCAGTGGCATAGTCTTGGAAATAGTGACATCCTGGATCAGTGAGTACCATCTTGGATCAGTGAGCACCATCTTGGAATGGTGGCATCATCTTGATCAGTGGGCTCCCTCTTGGATCAGTGGCCACCATTTTGATTGGTGGGTGCCATCTCGGACTGGTGGCATGGTCTTGGGAGTGGTGGCATCCTCTCAGATCAGTGGGTGCCCTCTTGGATCAGTGGGCACCATCTTGGTTTGGTTTGGTGGGTGTCAACTGACACAGAGCCACTGAAGTCTGGCTACTTCATGGCTGAAGGGAGGTTATGAGCTGAGTCAGGATGAGCAAGGCAGCTGGGGTGTAGCATAAAAGAGATGGTTGTATCACCGTCCTCCTCCTCTGGTCTTTGGAAGGGTGCAGTACACACCAGGAGGGCATGCTGAGTTGTTGACTTCCCAATGGAAACCCAGGGCATTGGTGGCACATCGAGACACCCCAGGTTTGGGCCCAGAATTCCAAACACGCTCAGCTGCCCATCTGGGCAGTCATGGGCCAGCCTGCCTGCCATGGGCCCAGCCACTGAGAGGCCCCCATGTGGATAGAGAATACCCCCAGGACTGCTGATCAGCATCCCCAAGCATCCCACTCGCTGCCCAGGGTGTGCTCCGAGCCCTACTTTCAAGACCCATGTTGCAGTTCAGACCAGAGAGTGCTCAGGATTCATTCCTGGGTTTCCTGTTCATTTTTGGAGCCTCTAGAAACATCCCAAGCTATCTATTCACATCAGCATCTTTAAGGATCTTGAGGGAGTCATTGAGGTGGCCAAATGACAGCACTTGCCCACTCATCATTTGAGTAGGCGTGTATTTCGCAGACAGGTTTAGCGCCTTCTGCCTGCCAGGCGCCGAGTTGGATGGTAGGAATACACCCCACCGGGCAAGACCTGGTGCCTAGCCTTTTAAGGCATCAGTCACTGGGCTGAAAGAGAGAAACAAGCCAAAAAACGGAAAAACTAGTTAGAAGTCCAGCACATGCTTTAAGGAAGCCAGCAGGCTGCAGTGTGAGAGAATTAGCAAAAGCGTATCTGACTTAGACAGGGGTGTTGGAAGCAGCTCCCCAAAAGTGGCGTTGCCCTTGAAACGCAGCTCAGGATTTGCATCTATGTGCAGGAAGCCTTACAGCACGAGAGGTTCATACAGGGACAAGGCGCCAAGGGGGACTGAGGGGCACGAGGGGACTGAGACCACCCCTGGCCTGCATCGCTGCTGTGGCTCGGGTCCTGGTGACCCAGGAGCAGGGAGAACAGAGAGCTCCGTTCACATCTGAGACATCAGAGGGAGAGATGTTGTATTAGTCCGTGTTCATGCTGCTGATAAAGACATACCTGAGACTGGGCAACTTACCAAAGAAAGAGGTTTAATGGACTTAAACAGTTCCACCTGTGGGGGAAGGCCTCACAATCATGGCAGAAGGCAGGAGGAGCAAGTCAAGTCTTACATGGATGGCAGCAGGCAAAGAGAGAGGGAGCTTGTGCAGGGAAACTCCCCCTTATAAAACTGTCAGATCTTGTGAGACTCATTCACTATCACGAGAACGGCATGGAAAAGATCTGCCCCCATGATTCAATTACCTCCCACCAGGTCCCTCTTACAGCACGTGGGAATTCAAGATGAGATGTGGGTGGGGACGCAGCCAAACCGTATCAGATTCTCAAAGGTCAGACCCAGCAGGTGTTGTTACAGCAAAGAGAATTGCCGGGCACAGTGGCCTGACATGGGCGGGAGCCCTGGTTTGAGCTCTGGACACGGAAGGGACTTAGAGGAGGCTCCGGCTGCTCGTTGGTGCTGAAGGTTGAGACCTGGAAAGGTGATGGGGGGTGCAGGCAAGGCAGAAAGGAAACTTCTAGGCCCAGGCAGAAGCATCATGCTGCTTACACCTTCCTGGGAAGTGGCATCCGCGGGGGTGGCCAGCAAGACCTCCTGGCTATGGGACTTTTAAGATGCATCCTTCCATGCTGTTTTCCCAGATATCCTGGCTATCCTGCTGACCGACGTACTTTTGCTGCTACAAGAAAAAGATCAGAAATACGTCTTTGCTTCTGTGGTATGTATCCTGTCTCTTCAGACGAAGGGTCGGCTGGGTGCTGTGGCTCACGTCTATAATCCCAGCACTTTGGGAGGCCGAGGTGGGCAGATCACTTGAGGTCAAGAGTTGAAGTCCAGCCTGGCCAACATGGTGAAACCTCACCTCTACTAAAAATACAAAAATTAGCCGGGCATGGTGGCCCATGTCTGTAGTCCCAGCTACTCAGGAGGCTGAGGCAGGATAATCACCTGAACCCAGGAGGTGAAGGTTGCAGTGAGCTGAGATTGTGCCACTGCTCTCCAGCAAGACTGCGCCACTGCTCTCCCGCCTGGGCAACAGAGCGAGACTCTATCTCAAAACAAAAAAACAAAACAAACAAACAAAAAACAGACGAAGGGCCCTGCTTGCTGTGACCTTGTTGGGAGGTTGGCTGAAACTGCCCATGGAAGGGGCACCTGTGAGTTTTCCAGGCCCACATAGCTGGGATTACAGGCGCCCGCCACCACGCCTGGCTAATTTTTTGTATTTTTAGTAGAGACGGGGTTTCACCATGTTGGCCAGGCTGGTCTCCATCTTCTAACCTCAAGTGATCCTCCCGCCTTGGCCTCCCAAAGTGATGGGATTACAGTCGTGCGCCACCGTGCCCAGCTGCTGGTGTGTTCTTAACCAGTGTATTTGTTTGCTGAGGCTGCTGTAAACAAAGTACCATGGACTGGGTGGTTTAGACCACATAAATTTATTGTCTCATGTTTCTGCAGGCTGAAAGTCCAAGATGAAGGTATCAGCAGGGTTGGTTTCTTCTGAGGCCCCTTGGCTTGTAGGCAGCCATGTGCTCATCTGTTCTCTGTGTCCTCGAGTGGCCATCCCTCTGTGTGTGCCTCTGTGCTAATCTCCTCTTGTTAGAAGGATGCCAGTCAGATTGGATTTGGGCCCGCCCATATGATCTCATTTTGCCATAATCACCTCTCTTTTTTTTTTTTTTTTTTTTTTTTTTTGAGACAGTCTCACTCTGTCGCCCAGGCTGGAGTGTGCAATGACACAATCTCGACTCACTGCAACCTCCACCTCCCGAGTTCAAGTGATTCTCCTGCCTCAGCCTCCTGAGTAGCTGGGATTACAGGCACCTGCCGCCACACCCGGCTACTTTTTGTATTTTTAGTAGAGATGGGGTTTCACCATGTTGGCCAGGCTGGTCTTGAACTCCTGACCTTAAGTGATCTGCCTGCCTCAGCCTCCCAAAGTGCTGGGATTACAGGAGTGAGCCACCACACCCGCACATTAATCACCTCTTTAAAGGCCCCATCTCCAAAGACAGCCACATTCTGAGGTGCTAGGGCTCAGGACTTCATATGAATTTGTGGGGAACACAGTGTAGCCCACTCTAGCCAGTTAAAATGTGCATTTTGCTGGTCTGTGGAAGCATTGTCTCTTGAAGGATGCGTGACAGACTAGAAATACCGGTGGCTCTGGGTGGCCTGAGGCACAAGACAGAGATGGGTTTATCTGTTGTTATATACTACATACCGTTGTATCTTTTGAGCTTTCTCGTGTGTATGTGCATTGCCGACTATTTAAAAAAAAATTTTTAAGCTGATGAAATTGACACATTATCGGGATACTAAGGGGCAAGATGGCTCACTCCTGTCATCTCAGCACTTTGGGAGGCCGAGATAGGAGGATCACTTGAGCCTAGGACTTCAAGACCAGCCTGGGCAACATAGTGAGATCCCATCTCTACAAAAAATACAAAAATTAGCTGGGCCTGGCGGCACGTGCCTATAATCCCAGCTACTCAGGAGGCTGAGGTGGGAGGATCACTTGAGCCCAGGAGGTCAAGGCTGCAGGGAACAATGATTGCACCACTGCACTACAGCCTGGGTGACAGAGCAAGACCTGGCCTCCAAGATAGTTTAAAAAAAAAAAAAAAAAAAAAAAGGTTTCTAGGATTTCACTGCAATAGTATCTTTTTTCCCCCAGATGGCAAAATATTTCCGCTTTGAATTGTTTGAAAAGAAATGAGGAGCGTGACCCCCACTCTTAGTTCCCCTCACCAGGCCCTTGACCTCCCTGCTGTTTGGGTGCTGTGGGGTAAAGGGTGACCTCCCCAATGCCCTCTACTCATGCAGGACTCAAAGCCACCCGTCATCTCGTTACAAAAGCTCATCGTGAGGGAAGTGGCCAACGAGGAGAAAGCGATGTTTCTGATCAGCGCCTCCTTGCAAGGGCCGGAGATGTATGAAATCTACACGAGCTCCAAAGAGGACAGGAACGCCTGGATGGCCCACATCCAAAGGGCTGTGGAGAGGTGAGGAGGGCCTGGGGGTCTCCCCACCCACTGTGTTCCTTCCGCTGATTGGTCCACCCTTGGCTTCGACCGTTGGCCATCAGCTGTGACCTTGAACTCCCTCATCCCAGCTTGGGACCCATGACGCCATTCCAGCTCCTTCTGATGACTCAACCTGTTGGACGTTGAGGCCAACGGGCCCAGAAAGGCAGCTGTAACCTGGGCCTTTCTGCATGCGTGGGCCACTGCACCTGCCATGGCGGGCTCTCTGCATTCTAGGGCCAGATTTGTTGGAGCAGGGCATGGCATCTTGTCCTTCCTCCTTGGGCCGAGCACCCCTCAGGGCCCAGAACCAGCTGGCTTCCCCTCCCTCTCTTTATTTTTTATTTTTTTGAGACAGAGTCTTGCTCTGTCACCCAGGCTGGAGTGCAGTGATGCAATCTCGGCTCACTGCAGCCTCCGCCTCCCAGGTTCAAACGATTCTGCTGCCTCAGCCTCCCCGAGTAGCTGGGATTACAGGCGTGAGCCACTGCGCCCAGCCTATTTTGTTTTGTTTTGTTTTGTTTTTTAGAGTCTGGCTCTTGCTCTATCACCCAGGCTGGAGTGCGCTGGCACAATCATAGCTTATTGCAACCCAAACTCCTGGGCTCAAGCCATCCTACCCCCTCGGCCTCCCAAGTAGCTTGAACTACAGGCATACACCACCACACCCAGCTAGATTTTTTATTTTTGTAGAGATGGGGCCTCACTGTGTTGCCCAGGCTGGTCTTGAACTCCTGGCCTCAAGCCATCCTCCTGTCTTGGCCTCCCAAAGTGTTGGGATTACAGGCGTGAGCCACCATGCCTGTCCACTCCCTCTCTTGATTCCCGGAGGCTTCCTGGTGCCTTAATCTGGTTCAGACTCCCCCATCCACAGTAGCTGTAGCTCTACGGGGCTTGCAGCCACCCACCTGCACCTGGCAGGTCCTCTGCAAGCCCGCTGTCCCCTGGACTCCTCCTCTAAGTCACAGGCAGGCATGTAAAGCCTCTTCCTGGTTATGCCCTGGCGCTTTGGGGCGGGATGAATGTCAGTGGCTCTCTCTCTTCCCCTCCTCGTCCTCCTGCACCACGAACAAGCTAAATCACTCCCAAAGTCAGAGACGGTCGTGGCGGCTGGTTCTGCAGAACCAGCGTCTGTGCCGAGGCTGGCCTGCCTGGGAAGCACAGTTACCCACCCGACTCCTCTCCCTGCAGCTGCCCTGACGAGGAGGAGGGGCCCTTCAGCCTGCCCGAAGAGGAAAGGAAGGTGGTCGAGGCCCGCGCCACGAGACTCCGGGACTTTCAAGGTGAGCGGGAGACAGCGTCTGGGCACACCCCTTGTGTGGTGAGCCCTGGGCCCTCCATCAGGACTGGCCACAGAGGGTGAACTGCCCCCCAGGTGACCCGGTGTTTTCCCGTGGGCTGTGCCATGTCCTGCAGCTCTGTGAAGCATTAGAACGGGCTGTGCCATGACATAGCGATCTCCAGAGGTCACTTAGCCCTTTGGGGGTATGTGGGAGAGGGAGGGAGGAGAGCCCAGAGGACCTGAGCCCCTTCCAGAGCCGACCACACAGCCACACACGCCACCACCACCCCATCCTCGTGCAGCCAGGAGCTCAACAGGGCATCCCAGTCCCATACGAAGGAATAGCACAGGGTCCCCACAGCCTCCTTCCAGAGCTTCCTCCTCCCTGTTTAATTACACGATTGAGATGTAATTCACACACCACAGCACTCACCCTCCCAAGCGTGGGGTTCAGGGGCATTTCAGTGCATTTCCAATTATGCAGCCAGAATCATGTTAACTTTAGAACATCCCACCACCCCAGAAAGAAGCCCCGTCCCCCTTAACAGTCACTCCCCACCCCATGCCCCAACCCTGGCAACAGGAATCTACTTCCTGTCCCTGTAGATTGGCCTGCCCTGGACATTCCACATAAATGGAGTCACACCGCGCGGCCTTTTGGGTCTGGCTCCTCTCGAGGTGTGGTATTAAGGTTCGCCCGCGCTCAGTGAGCACTTTGTCAAGAACAATTCCTGGTGCCCTGTAGCCTGCGGCAAGCTCCCTTCTTCCCTTTCACTGTCTGTATTTTTTTTTATTTTATCTTCTTTTTTTTTTTTAAACAGAGCCTCGCTCTGTCACCAGGCTGGAATGCAGTGGCGTGATCTCGGCTTACTGCAAGCTCTGCCTATCAGGTCCAAGAGATTCTCCTCCCTCAGCCTCCCGAGTAGCTGGGACTATAGGCACCCGCCACCACGCCCCACTAATTTTTGTGTTTTTAGTAGAGATGGGGTTTCACCATGTTGGCCAGGATGGTCTCAATCTCTCGACCTCGTGATCTGCCTGCCTCGGCCTCCCAAAGTGCTGGGATTACAGGCGTGAGCCACCGCTCCCGGCCCTGTATTATTCATTTCTAAATTGGATAATACTCAAACAATAAGTGGCCTGGTATGGTGGCTCATGCCTGTAATCCCTGCACTTTGGGAGGCTGAGGCAGATGGATCACTGGAAGCCAGGAGTTTGAGACCAGCCTGGACAACATGGCAAAACCCTGTCTCTACAAAAAATTTAAAAATTAGGCTGGGTGCGGTGGCTCACGCCTGTAATCCCAGCACTTTGGGAGGCCAAAGCAGGTGGATCATTTGAGATCAGGAGTTTGAGACCAGCCTGGCCAAGATGGCAAAACCCCGTTTCTACTAAAAATACAAAAAATTAGCCAGGCATGGTGGTGCGTGCCTATAGTCCCAGCTACTCGGGAGGCTGAGGCAGGAGAATCGCTTGAACCCGGGAGGTGGAGGTTGCAGTGAGCCGAGATTGTGCCACTGCACTCCAGCCTGGGCGACAGAGCGAGACTCCTTCTCAAAAGAAGAAGGAAGGAAAGAAAGAAAGGGAGGATGGAAAATTCAGTTTTCTAAGGCTCTAAGTTGGTCCCAGACTAATAAATGGGCCTGATACAATCCTCACTCACACCCTACTGTGTTTGATTTTATTTTATTTCTTTTAGAGACAGGATCTTGCTTTGTTGGCCAGGCTGGAGTACAGTACTGCAGTCATAGCTCACTGCAGCCTTGAACTCCTGGGCTCAAGCGATCCTCCTGCCTCATTTCCCAGGCATGCACCACCACAACCAGCTAATTTTTTATTTGTAGAGACAGAGTCTCATTATGTTGTCCAGGCTGGTCTCGAACTCCAGGCCGCAAGAGTCCTCCTACCTTGGCTTCCCTAAGTACTGGGATCGCAGGCCTGAGCCACCACAGCTAACCTGATTTTTATAACAAGGGGGAAAATAATCAGAGGACAAGGCCATGCCCTCCCCTACCTCCCAGGAATGCAGGACACAAGGGGGCAGCCTACCTCAGGGCAGGGCCAGCGGGGTTCCTCATCCTTAGGCCAGTCCCCGGGGCTCAGATGATTCCAGGGAAGGCCGACCCGGCTGACTGCCACCTCCACCATCACTCTGCAGAGCGGTTGAGCATGAAAGACCAGCTGATCGCACAGAGCCTCCTAGAGAAACAGCAGATCTACCTGGAGATGGCCGAGATGGGCGGCCTCGAAGACCTGCCCCAGCCCCGAGGCCTATTCCGTGGAGGGGACCCATCCGAGACCCTGCAGGGGGAGCTAATTCTCAAGTCGGCCATGAGCGAGAGTAAGTTGGCTGCCCACACCTCAAGGGTGCAGTCTTGCCGGGGTGGGCTCCTCAGGGAACCCCAGGCCAGGCTCACGGCTCATTGTGGCCGACACGGCACCCTGTCCAGGACAGGCTTCTATGTGGGGGGGGCCCAGGAGCAGCACTGACCGCCCCCCGGTGCCTGTGAGAGCCAGAAGGGCCTTAGACATAATCTGGGCCAAGCCGCTCCTTGCAGACATAAAGCACTTTCTCCCCGTTCAACAACCGCTCTGATGCTCCCTGCATGCAGAGGCTCTAAGCCGGGCCGTGGGGAGGATCTGAAGTTGACTAAGACTGGTTCCCTACCTACCAGAGGTTCCTCTTCTTCCTGGGAGGTGGGTCCTGGTGATATCCCCAGAAAAACACACGCACACTCCCTCAGTGGGTCCCCACGCACAGCTCTAACACAGCCGCCAGGCCCCTGGGCTGGCCGCTTGAGCAGGCAGTCAGCGCCCAGTCTGCTCTTTCTTTTTTTCTTTTCTTTTTTTTTTTTTTTTTTGAGATGGAGTCTCGCTTTGTCACCCAGGCTGGAGTGCAGTGGCGTGATCTCGGCTCACTGCAACCTCCACCTCCTGGGTTTAAGTAATTCTGCCTCAGCCTCCTGGGTAGCTGGGATTACAGGCACCCACCACCACGCCCAGCTAATTTTTGTATTTTTCGTAGAGATGGGGTTTCACCATGTTGGCCAGGCTGGTCTCGAACTCCTGACCTCAGATGATCCACCCTCCTCTGCCTCCCAAGGTGCTGGGATTATAGGCGTGAGCCACCGCGCCCTGCCTCAATCTGCTCTTTCAACAGTGAGGGAAGCCGACTCAGCCCCTGCCTTCCAGAGCCTTTCCGCAGAATAAGACGGCAGAGACGGGGGTCAGTCTTTCTCCCTCCAGGCCCACTGACATCCTTCCACCCGGCTCCAGTGGCCATTGTTCTTGGCCCCCTGGGGACACTCTCATATCCCGCACCTTGGCCTGGAATGTTCTTGTCCCCACCTCTGTGCCTGGCCACAGCCTGTTGGTCCTAGAGGGCTTTCTGTAGACAGCCCTTCCCCACAAAGTCACTCTCCCATATGGCCATTGTCACACAATCAGTGTATGGTCATTGTCATATAACACACCAAGTGTTTCCTGCTGGCCCTGGGCAGGGCCACATCCAGCATTCGCCAGCCCCTGGCCCAGGGCGGCCTGGTGGAAGGAGCTGCAGGAGCCTGTACCCGCCCTCCCCATGGCTGCCCCACAGCCCTGTCCTCTCACTTAGACGCAGATTGGCCTGTCCTGGTGGCCATACCTGAAGTAAGGGTGTGCGCAGGGACAGTGGGGCTGAAATCCCACGGCACACAGAAGGGGGCAGGCGATCACCACCCCAGTGAGTCCCTCCGTCCACCCGGGTCTCGCTGCCCCAGCGCTCCGTATTCCCCCAGCACACTTCCGCAGGGCGACCCGTGCCTCCTGTCCCCTTCCTTCCACAGTCGAGGGCATCCAGAGCCTGATCTGCAGGCAGCTGGGCAGCGCCAACGGCCAGGCGGAAGACGGAGGCAGCTCCACAGGCCCGCCCAGGAGGGCTGAGACCTTCGCGGGCTACGACTGCACAAACAGCCCCACCAAGAGTAAGAGCGGGGCCGTCTCCCCTCCTGCCTCCAGGGCCGCCCCTCAGGATGCACATTAACTTGTATGGGGTTTCCTAGAACTTTCTTTTTTGTTGTTGTTGAGACAGAGTCTTGCTCTGTCACCCAGGCTGGAGTGCAGTGGCGCAATCTCAGCTCTCTGCAACCTCTGCCTCCTGGGTTCAAGTGATTCTCCCGCCTCAGCCTACCAAGTAGCTGGGACTATAAGCACACGCCACCATGCCCGGCTACTTTTTGTATTTTTAGTAGAAATGGGGTTTCACCATGTTGGCCAGGCTGGTCTCGAACTCCTGACTTCAGGTGATCCGCCCGCCTCAGCCTCCCAAAGTGCTGAGATTGCAGGTGTGAGCCACCGCACCCAGCCGATTTTCTGGAACCTTCTGAAACCCTCCAGACATCGTTGGTTGTGTTGTGACAGCAGCACCCAGACCAGCCTGCCCCTCTCCAGCAGGCGTCTGTGCTGCAGACGCCACCATTCGGGCCTAGCCTGGGTTTCCTACCTGGGCAGGGGCTGGGGGTGGACTGGGAAGCTTCCCCCTCCCCACGGGATGGCAGCATCCTCATGCCCCTGGCTTGGGGTTCTCAGATGGCAGTTTCAAGAAGAAAGTCAGCAGCACTGACCCCAGGCCCCGAGACTGGCGAGGCCCCCCAAACAGCCCGGACTTGAAGCTCAGTGACAGTGACATTCCTGGGAGCTCTGAGGAATCGCCGCAGGTGGTACGTGGATATCCATTTGCTCGGTACAGTCTGAGTCGTCATAAGGATTCATGTGTGTGAGCAGCTTCTGCTGGGGTTGTCCAGTTTTAGTCTTATTAGCATCGACAAGCATTGTTTGTTTTGTGGTGAATAACAGTATCTCAGCCCAGATTAATGCACTGGCAGGTGATTTCTTCCTGCAGCCTCCTGGGAAAAGCAAAGAGGTCCCCAAGAGGAAGGCTGGGGAGGGGACAGGCTCAGGGCACTCACCATGGCTTCATCAACAGGCGAGGAACCCCCTACAGGGACCACCAGCTTTCAGCCGGGGCAGGTGTGGTGGTGCCTACCAGATGCCAGATGTCCCCGGCTATTCCTTTGCCTTTGAATCAGAAGGCCAGGTGCCTACTCGGCCCTGCCCAGGTCAGGGGGTCAGAGGCCAAGGCCAGTTGCCTCTGATCAGTTCTGAGGCTTGGACTTGCCCCTGTGGCCAGAGCTGGCACGCAGGCCTCATAGCCAAGCCCACTCTACCTCCCAGGAGGCCCCAGCCCCTCGTTTTCCAAACACCCAGATTTGTACAAGTCAGCTGACCAGCAGGGCCTGTGTTCCCAGTCATGACCCGGTCCTGGGTCCTTCCTGTTATCCACACTAAGGGATGTATTTTCAATAATAAGCAGGGGCCGGGTGCAGTGCCTCACACCCATAATCCCAGTGTTTTGGGAGACCGAGGTGGGAGGATCACTTTTTTTTTTTTTTTTTGGAGACAAGGTCTCACTCTGTCACCCAGGCTTGAGGGCAGTGGCGTGATCACAGCTCACACAGCCTCTAACTCCTAGGCTCAAGCAATCCTCCCACCTCAGCCTCCCAAGTAGCTGAAACTACAGGTGCGCGCCCCCACACCTGACTAATTTTTTAAATGTTTGGTAGATACAGGGTCTCACTATGTTGCCCAGGCTGGTTTCCAACTCCTGGGCTCAAGCAATCCTCCTGCCTGGGCCTCCCAAAGTGTTGGGATTATAGGCAAGGCCGCCATACCTGGCCTTGGGAGGATCACTTGAGGCCATGAGTTTGAGACCAGCCTGGGCAACATAGCAAGACCACATGTCGACAAAATATTTTTAAAATAGCTGATCCTTTGGCTGGGTGCGGTGGCTCATGCCTGTAATCCCAGCACTTCAGGAGGCCGACTCGGGTGATCACTTGAGTCCAGGGTTTGAGACCAGCCTGGCCAACATGGTGAAACCCTGTCTCTACTAAAAATATAAAAATTAGCTGGACGTGGTGGTGGATACCTGTAATCCCAGCTACTCAGGAGGCTAAGGTGGGAGAATCGCTTGAACCTAGGAGGTGGAGGTTGCAGTGAGCCGAGATTGCACCACTGCACTCTAGCCTGGGCGACCAAGCAAGACTTTGTTTCAAAAAAGTTAAAAATAGCTGCTGGGTGTGGTGGCTCACGCCTGTAATCCCAGCACTTTGGGAAGCCAAGGCAGGTGGATCACCTGAGGTCAGGAATTCGAGACCAGCCTGACCAACATGGTGAAACCCCGCCTCTACCAAATATACAAAATTAGCCAGGCGTGGTGGCACATTCGAGTAATCCCAGCTATTTGGGAGGCTGAGGCAGGAGAATCACTTGAACCAGGAAGGTGGTGGTTTCAGTGAGCTGAGATCGTGCCATTGCACTCCAGCCTGGGCAACGAGCAAAACTCCATCTCAAAAAAAAAAAAAAAAAAAATTAAAAATAGCTGATCCTGGTGGTGCACACCTGTAGTCCCAGCTACTCAGGAGGCCGAGGTGGGAGGATCAGGCCACTACACTCTAGAGCAAGGCCCTGTCTCAAAAAAAAAAAAAAGAAGCCAGGCATGGTGGCTCATGCCTGTAATCCCAGCACTTTGGGAGGCCGAGGCGGGCGGATCACCTGAGGTCAGGAGTTTGCAACCAGCCTGGCCAACATGGTGAAACTCCGTTTCTACTAAAAATACACAAAATTAGCCAGGCGTGGAGGCTTGAGCCTATAATCCCAATTACTCGGGAGGTTGAGGCAGGAGAATTGCTTGAACCCGGGAGCTGGAGGGTGCAGTGAGCCAAGATCGCGCCACTGCACTCCAGCTTGGGCAACAAGAGCAGAATTCCGTCTCAAAAAAAAAAAAAAAAAAAAAAGTTAAAAAAAAAGAAGAAGAAGAAGAAGGCTTGAGTCTAGTCGGATGGGTCTTGAGCCACTCTCTCTGGTTTGACGGTGTCCTCTTCCCAGGTGGAGGCGCCAGGCACGGAATCCGATCCCCGTCTGCCCACCGTCCTGGAGTCGGAGGTAGGCGCCCGCGGGTCTCCATCTCCCCAGGGCCTTGTGCACGCGCGTGTGGCCTCAGCCCGATAACTAGCATCAATCTCCCTCTCCTCTCCGCAGCTTGTCCAGCGGATCCAGACACTGTCCCAGCTGCTCCTGAACCTTCAGGTACAGGGGCGGGGTGGGGCCGGCCACGCGTGCCCTTTCCTGGTTGGCTGGGGCGCAGGTGCGGCTCTCACTCGCCTGGCCCTGGCCCTCCGCAGGCGGTAATCGCCCACCAGGACAGCTATGTGGAGACGCAGCGGGCTGCCATCCAGGAGCGGGAGAAGCAGTTCCGGCTGCAGTCGACGCGTGGGAACCTGCTGCTGGAGCAGGAGCGGCAACGCAACTTCGAGAAGCAGCGGGAGGAGCGCGCGGCCCTGGAGAAGCTGCAGAGCCAGCTGCGGCACGAGCAGCAGCGCTGGGAGCGCGAGCGCCAGTGGCAGCACCAGGAGCTGGAGCGTGCGGGCGCGCGGCTGCAGGAGCGCGAGGGCGAGGCGCGGCAGCTACGCGAGCGGCTGGAGCAGGAGCGGGCCGAGCTGGAGCGCCAGCGCCAGGCCTACCAGCACGACCTGGAGCGGCTGCGCGAGGCCCAGCGTGCCGTGGAGCGCGAGCGGGAGCGCCTGGAGCTGCTGCGCCGCCTCAAGAAGCAGAACACCGCGCCAGGCGCGCTGCCGCCCGACACACTGGCCGAGGTGAGCGCGCAGCAGCCAGTGTGCGCAGGTTGGGGGTGACCGGTTTGCACGTGCATTTGCACGAGTGCATGCAGGTGACAGGGTTCGCGGGTGCATGCGTGCAGGAGTGTAAGAGCAAACGGCACAAGATACCCTTGCATTAACAGCTCATGCCGCAGTACAGACCTTTCTCGGAGCTGGCTAAATGCTTAACAGAACGCTGTTGCTCAAAACATGCCATAAATGTTAGAAACTTCTTAAAAAAAAAATGCACTCCTGTAATCCCAGCACTTTGGGTGGTGGAGGCAGGCGGATTGCTTGAGGGCAGGAGTTCCAGGCCAGCCTGGGTAACATGGCGAAACTCCATCTCTACAAAAAAATACAAAAATGAGCTAGGCATGGTGGCATGCACCTGTGGTCCCCGCTACTTGGAATGCTGAGGTGGGAGGATCACTTGAGCCCGGGAGAATGAGGCTGCCATGAGCCGTGATCACGCCACTGCACTCCAGCCTGGGCAACAGAGTGAGACATGAGCCGTGATCATGCCACTGCACTCCAGCCTGGGCAACAGAGTGAGACCCCGTCTCAAAAAAAAAAAAAAAATGAAGCTGGGTGCCATGGTGTGCACCCTAGCTACTCGGGAGGCTGAGGCCGGAGGATTGCTTGAGGCTAGGTATTTGAGACCAGCCTGGGCCACGTAGTGAGACCTCATCTCTAAAAAAAAAATGCAAAAATTAGCAGGGCGTGGTGGCACATACCTGTAATCCAAACTACTTGGGAGGCTGAGGCAGGGGGATCATTTGAGCCCAAGAGGCTCAAGAGCTATGATTGTGCCACTGCATTCTAGCCTGGGTGACAGAGCAAGACCGTGTCTCTGAAAACAAATCTATAAACCATGGGTTCTGTGAACAGATGTGGACACGGATGTGTGAGATGTTTGTATATGAGTGTGTGACAGTATGGGTGCCACTGAGTGTCACCACAAGTCTGCACATTTAGCAGGGGTTGGGGACGGGCAATGACCAGCAGCTCCTTCAGGCTGCACCTGGCTCTGTCCAGAACAGGAGAGGTCGAGGGTCTCCTGTGCACGACCCTCGGGGGCTCTCCAGAGGCCGCACAGCAGGAACCTCACATTGGATGTATCTGCTGTTGTCCCCTCAGGCCCAGCCCCCAAGCCACCCTCCCAGCTTCAACGGGGAAGGGCTGGAGGGCCCTCGTGTGAGCATGCTGCCATCCGGCGTGGGGCCAGAGTACGCAGAGCGCCCCGAGGTGGCTCGCCGGGACAGCGCCCCCACCGAGAACCGGCTGGCCAAGAGCGATGTGCCCATCCAGCTGCTCAGCGCCACCAACCAGTTCCAGAGGCAGGCGGCCGTGCAGCAGCAGATCCCCACCAAGCTGGCGGCCTCCACCAAGGGTGGCAAGGACAAGGGCGGCAAGAGCAGGGGCTCTCAGCGCTGGGAGAGCTCAGGTGAGCCGGCCCCACCCCTTCGCCTGGGCCTGGAAGGTGCAACTGGTCAGGCTCTAGCGGCTCGCTGGGAGCCAGGAAATTCGGGACACCTGTGCCATCCTCTGGAGAGGAAAACCAGAAGGCACAGCTGGCATCGTGGCTGAGGCCACCCCACACAGGGCCGTGTTTGGTCTCCAGGCCCAAAACTGAGATGATCCACCCTGCATCTTCTCCACCTCAACCCTCAAAACAGTGGGATGGGGACCAGGAGCCTTAGAAAGGGACACGGGCAAGAAGGCAGAGATCCCTGGCCACGTGGGATCAGCACAGCCGGGACAGGGACAGGTGCAGGCGCCTCTGCTCATTGTCCCAGTTCCACAGAGCCGTTCCACAGAGTGGGACACGGAGCCCAGAGCAGCCCCAGTGTTTCCACGGAGGATGTCCAGGAGCTCCTCTGGGGGACACCTCCCTGGGGGACAACCAGGGATGTTCTGGGATGTTCTCTGAAGATTAAGGGTGTGTCCCGTGGTCACTAGGGCCTGTGCTATTTCCACAGGAGGCTCAGCCTCCTCTCCAGATGCCGGGTGACTCTGCAGGTCCTTCCGCAGGGAGGTTGGGGCCGTTCTCCCTGAATCTGGGGCTTAGCATCTGAGCAGCTCAGGTCACGGGATCCAGGCCGCCCGTGGGAAGTGTCAGGTGGGGGTGGCCAGGCCCCTCTGCTCTCGGAGGCTGCCCTGGCGGGTGGGGACAGCTGGCCAGCCTGGAGCTGGCCCAAATACCTTCTCTCTTCCAGCGTCCTTCGACCTGAAGCAGCAGCTGCTGCTCAACAAGCTCATGGGGAAAGATGAGAGCACCTCACGGAACCGCCGCTCGCTGAGCCCTATCCTGCCCGGCAGACACAGTCCTGCGCCCCCACCAGGTGAGCCCCCACCCCCTGACATGAGCCCAGTCCCAGGGCAGCGGGGCTGCGGCACCACCCGGCGACTGCTCAGTCTGAACCCTCTCTCTGTTCCAGACCCTGGCTTCCCCGCCCCGAGCCCACCGCCAGCTGACAGCCCCTCCGAGGGCTTCTCTCTCAAGGCCGGGGGCACAGCCCTCCTGCCCGGGCCCCCAGCTCCCTCGCCACTGCCGGCCACACCACTCAGCGCCAAGGAGGACGCCAGCAAAGAAGACGTCATCTTCTTCTAAAAGGGCCGTGACTCAAGGTGCAAGGCCCCTCCCTGCCCTGCCCACCCTTCCTGCTCTCTGGGGACCCCCATGGGGTCACCATGCCCACCCAGCTGTCCCCTCCTCTTCCCTAGCAAACCACTGATGACCGCCTGGCAGGGGCCAGCCTGTCGGTGCTCTGGGCCTTGCAGCTGTTTCTGTAGGGTTAGCGGTGGTGCCGGGGTCACTTTCTGAATCTCTTTTTTTTTTTTTCAAAAAGGAAAGTTTTTAATGGAAAGTTGAGCCAGAACTAAACCAGGGAGCTGTCTGAAATCATAGCACCCCATCCGGGTGGCGGGGAGATCAACTCCGAGCTGTTTTTCCGAGGCAGTGAGGAACGGTGCCGGCTCTGCACGGAGCTGAGGACAGGACAGACCTTGCTTTGAGAAGGAGCTGCCGGCCGGGGCCACGCTCCACAGCCGCCGCGCGACAGTGGAGCCAAGGGTTAGGGCACCAGGAGGGGCCAGGTGGCGTCGGCAGCATCTGTCCCCAGAATCAGGCAGAATCCACTTCCCAAACAGAGCCCCACGCAGGTTCACCATGAACCTCAGGGTCAGGGAATGAGCCAGGCACGGGGGCATGGGCAGAGAGGGCCACGGGGCAGGGCCCACTGAGGGAACATCAGTGGCCCTCCAGTCAGGTTCTGTGGGTTTGGAAGCCCATCGTGAAAGGGGCTGACCTTTGCCCCTTTTTACTTGGCATTGGTTTTGAAACCAGCTGTTTCCCAAACTCTGCTTCCCAAGGGCAACCGTTGCTGTTCACACGCTCAGCCTGTCTGGGGGAGCGGGCCTCTAGCTTCAGCCAGGGCGGGTACACACCCTGGGCACAGGGTCCTCAGCCCCCGGGAAATGAGCTCCCAGGGCTGGCGTCCCACCTTCCAGGTGGGGGCTGGCACATCACAGACTGTCGAGAGCGCCATGTCCCAGGGCATGCAGAGGATGCACCTAGAGACGTTGCAGCAAGTGGACAAGTGGCCGCTGTGCGGGCCCCTCGCTTGTAGTGAGCTGTTGCAGCTTACGGTCCGTTCCCTGGAGGGGTGGAGGAAGGAGGTGTTGGGCAGCATCAAAGGTGCTGGGACATCCCAGGGTGGTGAGATCCATCCACGATCCAGCTCCGGTGGAGAAAGGGCCCATGTCAAGCCTTGTTCTGCACCCCAAGCATTGGTGGTAGGACTGGGTCCTGGCTGATCGTCCTTGTTCCCAGTGGGGTACATGTGAGCCCCTGCCAGGGCCAAGTCCTTCTCCCGAACCCAGGGTCCTGGGAACTGCAGATCCCGGGGGGATTCAGCCCTTCTCCCACTGTGCTGGCAGAGGCACTCCTGTGACGCTGAATACAGTGAACAGGGACATTCCCGCCACTCGGGGACAGATGGGCACAAGGGAGGGGAAACTCCATCAGGAAGTGCTCCCCTGGGCAGAGGCGCCCACTGGGTGCTGTGGGCTCAGGAGGGGGCGGGGCAGGAGCTGGTGCCAACCGGGAACCAGAGCCCCACAGCCATACAGCCCATTGGTGACAAGGTCCTGAGAACACAGTGGCCAGGTGTCCCCAGGCTCCTGGCCCCTCCGACGACCTCAACTCTGCCCAGCCCGGTCCCTGGCCATCAGCGACGCTGTCCGCCCCCCGTCAGATCCCATGTGTGCCATGTTTATCATCAGTGTTTTGTATTTTTGTACTGAGTATCGGAGCACTTTACAGAAGCTGACTGTACATTCCTGTTCTGTTGTGAAGAGAACATTCCCAGACCCTGGCACCCTCCTGAGCCGGCGTGTGCCGGTCCAGCCCTCCGAGATGCCACAATTCCTTGGATGGGGGAGAAGTTCAAGGAATTTCTGCTCGGCCACGCGGTGGGAACCCCGCGTCCCCGCCATGTGGCAGAGGGGTCTCAGTCGTGCTAGGCATCGGGCGGCAGCGCCGACAGCCCTTCCCTCGCCAGTGCCCCTCGGCCACTCCTGGGTTGGAGCCCGATTTTATTTGTAAAGTTGACAGTCGAGCAAATGTTCCTATTTTCGTGGGATCTGCACACGTCTTTGTCAGTTGTGGTCATGATCTTAGTCACCTGCTAATTATTTTTACAATGATTACAACATTTCCTCACTGCGGGATATTTCTGACCCGCTTTAGAACTTAAGACCTGATTCTAGCAATAAACGTGTCCGAGATGAGCGGTGACTGGCGTGCACGTTCTTGGAGGTTTTATTTGAGGATTTTCTTCTGCCCAAACGTTGCTGCAGGAGTAGCAGGTTCTGTTGGGGGCTCCCCATGGCTCCTGCCCCTCAGCTCGCTCACCTGCCCTCCGTGTCCTGCTTAACGCTCTGAAGACCCCTTCAGGTCCAGTCCCCAGGAGTTGTTGGGGGTTTTGTTTTTGTTTTTGTTTCTGTTTTTTTGGTTTGTTTGTTTTTTTGAGACAGAGTCTTGCTCTGTCGCCCAGGCTGGAGACCAGTGGCAGGTTCTCAGCTCACTGCAACCTCTGCCTCCCGGGTTCAAGCACTTCTCCTGCCTCAGCCTCCTGAGTAGCTGGGATTACAGGTGTGCACCACCACGCCCAGCTAATTTTTGTATTTTTTTAGTAGACATGGGGTTTCGCCATGTTGGCGAGGCTGGTCTCGAACTCCTGACCTCAAGTGATCTGCCCGCCTCAGCCTCCCAAAGTGCTGGGATTACGGGCACAGGGCAGGAGTGGGGCGTGGAGGTGCCTGTGGAGGGTCCTGCCCACCGGGTACACTTCAGGCTTTGGTGGCGCCTCCACGAAAATCTTTTTGCTTTTAATCCACAATAACCGCAAAGGCTGGAACTTTCACTTCCTCCATCTGGGGTGAGAGGCAGCTTGGCCATGAGTATGAAATCATCATTTCCACCTGGTCTGAGTCCCGGTCCAGTGAGGCGAGGACCCTGCTGTTTCAACAGAGGGTTTCCCATCACAAGGGGACTAGGTGTAAAGTCGATCACTAGCTCACTAGGAAGCGCAAAAAGGGAACTCTCAGGCAGCACTGTCCACCAGGAAGATGATGCAGGCCACGTGTGGAATTTTTCATTTTTAGTAGCCATATTAAAAAAGTAAAAGGAGGGCCGGGCACAGTGGCTCATCCCTGTAATCCCAGCATTTTGGGGAGGCGGGGGCTGAGGCAGGAGGATAGCTTGAGCCCAGGAGTTCAAGACCAGCCTGGGCAACATAGTGAAACCCCTTCACAGAAAAATTAAAAAATTAGCCAGGTTGGCCGGGCGCAGTGGCTCACGCGTGTAATCCCAGCACTTTGGGAAGCCAAGGTGGGCAGATTACGAGGTCAGGAGATCGAGACCATCCTGGCTAACAAGGTGAAACCCCGTCTCAACTAAAAATACAGAAATTAGCCGGGCGTGGTGGCGGGCGCCTGTAGTCCCAGCTACTCGGGAGGCTGAAGCAGGAGAATGGCGTGAACCCAGGAGGCGGAGCTTGCGGTGAGCCGAGATTGCGCCACTGCACTCAGCCTAGGCAATAGAGCGAGACTCCGTCTCAAAAAAAAAAAAAAAAAAAAAAAAATTAGCCAGGTATGGTGGCGTGCACCTGTAATCCCAGCTACACAGGAGGCCAAGGCAGGAGGATTGCTTGAGCCTAGGGGTTCAAAGTTGCAGTGAGCTATGATCGTGCCACTGCACTCCAGCCTAGGCAACATGGTGAGACCCTGTCTATAAGAGCTTAAAAAAAAAAAAGGAAATTTGGGGGATAGAAAAAAGAAATGAAATTTAAAAAAAAAAGAAAAAAGGGCTGGACGCAGTGGCTCACGCCTGTAATCCCAGCACTTTGGGAGGCCGAGGCAGGCAGATCACCTGAGGTCCGGAGTTTGAGACCAGCCTGGCCAACATGTTGAAACCCCATCTCTACTAAAAACACAAAAATCAGCCGGGCGTGGTGGCAAACACCTGTAATTCCAGCTACTCTGGGGGCTGAGGCAAGAGAAGCGGTTGAACCCGGAGGCGGAGGTTGCAGTGAGCCGAGACTGCACGATTGCACTCCAGCCTGGGGGACAACAGTGAGACTTCGTCTCAAAAAAAAAAGAAAAAAAGGATGTAATTAATTTATTACATTTTTATTTATTTTTTTGACATGGAGTCTTGCTCTGTCACCCAGGCTGGAGTGCAGTGGCACGCTATCTTGACTCACTGCAACCGCCGCCTCCCAGGTTCAAGTAATTATCCTGCCTCAGCCTCCCGAGTAGCTGGGATTACAGGCACCCACCATCATGCCCGGCTAATTTTTGCATTTTTGTAGAGATGGGGTTTCACCATGTTGACCAGGCTGGTCTTGAACTCCTAATCTCAGGTGATCTGCCTGTCTCGGCCTCCCAAAGTGCTGGGATTACAGGCGTGAGCCACCGCGCCTGGTCTATTTTTTCTTCATTGTGGTCAAATGCACACAACATAAAACTGGCCAGTTGCTATTCTCCTGATGGTGGGCATTGGAGTGTGTGTGTGTGTGTGTGTGTGTGTGTGTCTCCCCCCACCCTCTGATTTGCTCCACCCCAACCCCAGCCGTCCTCTGACCTCTGCCTAGCTGACCCCTCCACTGGGATGCCCCCAGCCTTCCTCAGCACTCCTTATGGGCCCTGGGGGGCTTGGAGGCACCCTAAAATGAGATGTTCTGCAAAGAGGGCCTGTAGTGGCTGGGCACGGTGGCCCACGCCTATAATCCCAGCACTTTGGGAGGCCGAAGTGGGTGAATCACTTGAGCACAGGAGTTCAAGACCAGCCTGGGCAACGTGGTGAAACCCCGTTTCTACTAAAAATACAAAATTAGCCAGGCATGCTTGGGCGTGCCTGTAGTCCCAGCTACTCGGGAGGCTGAGGCAGAGAATTGCTTGAACCCAGGAGGCGGAGGTTGCAGTGAGCCGAGATCGCGCCACCGCACTCCAGCCTAGGCGACAGAGTGACTCTGTCTCAAAAAAGAGGGCCCGTAGTCTTTAAGGTTCACAAAGGGGTCTGTTCCCAGCCCCTAAAAGGTTGAAAACCACTGGACCAGAATGGGCAACCCAGGGACAGAGTAGTGGTCACCAAGCCTGGGGGCTGCGGGTGGGTAACAGCTGAGGGGTGTGAGGTTTCTCTCTGGGGTGATGGAATGTTCTAAGGTTGACTGTGGCTCTGCTTGCACGACTGTGAATGTACTAAAAGCCACTGAACTGTCCCCCTTCTGTGGATAAATTTTATATGTGAATTATATTTCCATAAAACTGTTTAAACACACACACACACACACAACCACACACACACACAACCACTGGACCAGCTGAGAGAGTGGGAGAGCGGCCTCCCTTTCTGGAAGCATCCAACCTGTCTGCTCTGTGCCTGGGCTCCACATGGTCAGTGTCCAAGGCCTTCCCAGCCCAGGCTGTATCCCTGAAGGTGGCTTGCTTTTCCTCCTGGCACCTGTGACCAGGTGGTCATGTGGCTTCCCCACACAGAGGCGCTGCTCCAAGGGCCCCACTGGTATGAGCTAGTAAGTAGTTGGGTCTCCAGGTAGACAATGAGATGCCCTAATCATGCAGGTGCTGCTAGGGGCTGGGAAGGAGGCCTCTGCTGAGGGCCAGGACAGGCCTGCACCCCCGACAAGGGAAAGAAGGGGGAAACCCACCAAGCCTGGCCCACTCGTGAGTCCTGGGCAGAAGGAGCCCCCACAGATGGGGTCTCCCGCACCCGTGTGACCCTGAGCAGTCCCCGGCCTCCCAGCTGCTCAGAGCCACCTGGTATCTTCCTTGTAAAAAACAAACCACAAATGTACTCTGGGAGGCCGAGGCAGGCAGCTCACTTGAAGCCAGGAGTTCAAGACCAGCCTGGGCAATGTGGTGAGACCCTGTCTCTACAAAAAGTTTAAAAATTAGCTGGATTTGGTGATAAACACCTGTAGTTCCTGCTATTCAGGAGGCTGAGGTAGGAGGATCCCTTGAGCCCAGGAGTTTGAGGCTGCAGTGAGGCTATGATCGCACCACTGCACTCCAGCCTGGGTGACAGAGATCCTGGGTCAAAAAGATAAAAATCAAGGCAGTGCAATTGATATCACATGAGGCCCAAGGGCGCACACACACTGGCTGTTGTGTGTTCCTGGGCCAGGCTGTGCAACAATGTCTGCCAGAGGCCACATGTGCACAGACTCTGAAGGGTTGTTCTCAGCCAGCAGACTAAGCAGTGCCCTCATCCCATCCCACCACACATTGGCTGAGGTGGGAGCCCCAAGTATCTTCAGCGATGCCAGTGTGTGTTGCCCAGTCTCAGCCTGGAGCCCTTAAAATGCTCACAGTGGCCCTGCGTCGGCAGCACAGTGGCATGAGGCCACGCCCTCGGGTGGCCTGATGAGAGGTGGCGCCTCTGGCCTGTGTGCCCAGGACTCTGGGGAGTAGAGAACAGCCCTCAATGGCTGGAGGCCACTTGGGGTCCGTGGGCAACGCTTGCTCAAAGATGGAGAGGACCCACCGGGCTGAGGGCATTCCTGAAGGTGGGCTGGGGTAGTGTGGTTTCCAACTTTGGGTCCGTCCTGTGGAGGGTAAGGGGCCAGGAGCCAGCAGTGTAATAACCTTCACCCCTGAGCCAGGCGCCAGCACCACAATGTTTAATTGATTCCCGTTCCAGCTTTCTCAAGGCACGACAGGCCCCCTCTTCCTCATCTTGATTTGGATACAAGACGCCAGCTGGCAGGCAGGAGGTGCTGCTGAAGCCCTGCACGGCCCCTGAAAACTGTCACGGCTCAGGAGCTCCAGGCTGAGGCCTGGGGGACCTCGCATCAGTCCCTCCACCCACCCTGCCCATGGGTTTCACCACAGGCAGCTCCATGAGAGCCCCGGCCCCTGCCCTGGCGGCTTCTGCTTTGCGGGAAGGGCCCTCCGTGGGCTCTGGCTGTGTCCCTGTGCTCTTCCGGCAGTGTCAGGGGGTAGTGGCCTCGGCCTGGCCGCCGGCCCGGGCCGCCTGGTACATGCTGAGGATTGAGGAGATGGTGCCCATGAGGCCCACTAGCCACGGCGGGAAGCGGCCGGCCCACAGCACGCCCCGGGGCAGCCAGTGCACGGCGTTGGCCAGGTCGGCCAGGTTGCTGAGAAGTGACAGCGCCTCCGACTGCATCTGCGCCTCCATGGCCCTCCGCTTGCCCCGGGGCAGCGGGCTGTGGGGCAGAGAGGGGCCGCTTACACTCACGCTCACACCTGCCTGCCCTTCCCAAGCCCCTGAATGCCCTGTGTGGCCTGGCAGCCCTGAGCCCCTGCCTGTGAGTGGGAGGAGCTGGCAGGACTGAGGTGGCCTCCCTGACCATCCACAGAGACTGAGTCCCCATCACCCCCCCGACCCAAGCACGAACAGGGCAGGAACCCGGGTCCAAGTCCTCAAATCCACACCTCACTCCTCGTCCTGAACACCCAGAGATGGGGATTCCTTGTGAAAAACAGAAAGCACAAATGCACTTTGGGAGGTGTGGAGGGAAGGGGGAACCCCCAGGAGCGTGGCCTGTGCCTGCCCGGCCTTTCTTTATCAGGATGACACAGTGACGATAAGCCTGGCCAATATGGCGAGACCCCATCTCCACCAAAAAATAAAAAACAAAATTAGCCAGGCGTGCTGGCCCGTGCCTGTAGTCCCAGCTACTCGGGAAGCTGAAACAGGAGGATCAGTTGAGCCCAGGAGGCAGAGGCTGCAGTGAGCCAAGATGGCACCACTGTGCTCCAGCCTGGGCAACAGAGCAAGACCCTGTCTCAAAAAACAAAAAGAAAAAGCAACAGTAACAATGGCCATGGCCTTCGGGAAATTGATCATTCTCTCCTGCTGGGGGCGCAGCCATGAAGGCTCAGCCCTGGAGTCCCCGCTCAAGCAAGCCTCAGTTTCTCCATCTGTAAAAGGTACCGCCACCCACCAGAGGCTGTGATGACTCCCCCATGACCTGAGCACAACAGTCCCCAGCATGGGCCTGCACAGGGGTGGCTGCGAGCCGGGATCCCACGCCTGCTGGAGGGAGTGGGCCTCCCTGCTGGGTGATCACGGGCTCCTACCTGGTGAAGGGCGCCGTGGGGCTCCGCAGCCTCTGTCTCAGTTTCAGCAGCATCCACAGGGACCTGCAGCACCAGAGCCCGAGGGAGGATGCCCCGGCGGGGAGCAGGAGGGTTAGCTCCACAACGCTGGCCCCGGACATACAGTCTGGGACAGGTGCTGCATCTCGGATAAACGGCCTGCCCTCTCCCTGCCCCCACAGTCCCACACCCTCCTGGCTGTGCCTCATGCTCCCGGGGACTCATCTCTAACACGGCCCCGTCCCACCCGGGACATCGTCCTGCACTTCTGACGTGGCCATCCAGGGCCTGGCCCAGCCTCTGCAAACCACTGGCAAGTGCTCAAAGGAACATCAAGCCCCGTGAGGTGTTCACAGCCTGGCAGGGAGTCCTACACAGAAAAGGATGCCAAGAGGCCCGCAGTTGGACAGGCGTGGGGACGCCGTTTCCCCTCCGGGCCTCAGCTGCCTTGTCTGCTCTGTGTGGAAAGGTCCAAATCAGTGCCATGCCAGCACCCCCTGCACACACACCCCGGACATTGGCTGGACCTGTCTGGATGATCCCCTGGGCCCCCAGGGCTGGCATCTGCAGGCTGAGGAAGGGGCTACCCAGTGGGCAGCCTCTGTGCTCCCAGCAGGCTCTGCAGCCGTGCATGGCACCCACCCGGGCCAGTCCACCAGGCACCTGCACTCTCCAGCCTCGGCCGTGGGGTGTGCCGGGTTGTGACTGTGACAGAATGGGCAGGGCCTGGTCACAACTCCTCTGGCCACTGGGTACCCAGGGTGCAGGATGCAGGATAGCGCCAGTGGCACAGCAGGTGGGAGCCTCCTGGGGGGCTAGGGAAAAACACTGATTCCTGGGCTCCCCAGACCCACAGAATCAGAAGCTCTGGGCCAAGCGCGATGGCTCACACCTGTAATCCCGGGACTTTGGGAGGCCAAGGCCGGTGGATCACCTGAGGTCAGGAGTTCAAGACTAGCCTGGCCAACATGGTGAACCCCTGTCTCTACTAAAAATACAAAAATTAGCTGGGGGTGGTGGTGGGCGCCTGTAATCCCAGGTACTCGGGAGGCTGAGGCAGGAGAATCACTTGACCCCGGGAGGTGGAGGTTGCAGTAAGCCAAGATCGCACCACTGCACTCCAGCCTGGGCGACAGAGGAAGACTGTGTCTCAAGAAAAGAATCAGAAGCCCTGGGCGCCGGACCCAGGCATCTCCATTTAGCAACCTCCTGGCTGATGCTCCGGCAGCCCTGGGCCTTAGGGCAGATGTCTGGTCATGATGAGCACACATGGAATGCTCTCCACCCACTCCCCCTGCTCACTGCAAATCCAGAGAAATGATGAAAAACCACATGCCCGAAACAAGAATGCCGCAGCAGGCGGGGCACACAGGACTTCGATGGCCGTGAAACAATTCCATTTGATTCTGCAAGGGGGGACACGTGTCAGTGTCCAAACCCATAGGATGCCCAAAACCTAGCGTGAACCCTAACGTGAGCTACTCACTTGGGGTGATGATGGATCCATGGAGGGGCATCAGTTGTAACAAATGCACCATGTGGATGCTGCCAGTAGTCGGGGAGGCTGTGTGTGGGGGTATATGGGAGCTCTCTGAACGTTATGCTCAATTTTGCCATGAGCCTAAAACTGCTCTAAAAAAATAAAGTCTGGGCCGGGAGTGGTGGCTCACGCCTATAATTCCAGCACTTAGGGAGGCCAAGGCAAGTGGATCACCTGAGCCCAGGAGTTGGAGACCAGTCTGGGCAACATGGCAAAACCGTGTCTCTACAGAAAAAAAATTACAAAAATTAGCCAGATATGGTGGCACAGCCTGTGGTCCCAGCCACTCAGAAGGCTGAGGTGGGAGTATTGTTTGAGCCCAAGGGGCGGAGGTTGCAGTGGGTCAAGATTGAGCCACTGCTTTTCAGCCTGTCTCAAAAAAAAAAAAAAAGTTTATTTAAGCAAAAAAGAAAGGAACCAAGGCTGCCCCTAAAATACAAACCAGAGGTCACGAGGCACCCAGAGGAAGGTGGCGGAAGAGAGGCTGTGAGCCAAGGCCCCCCTCTGACCGGAGCCCCAGGAACATCCAGGCTGGGCCCAGGCACCCTCCCCCAGGTCTCCCAGCACACAGGGAAGGCCAGCAGCACAGACACCGCTGCCTCCAGGGGCCATGGCCATGAAACATGACCCTTTTGAGACAGCCAAAATGCACAGGCAGGGTATTAGGTCAAAGGCTGGAAAAGAACCACCCAAGCTTGAACAGTGGGAGTCTGGGTTGGATTGTGGGTAATTCGAATCTTCTACTCTGAGGTTTATCTATTTTCCAGATTGTCTACGGTAAGCATGTAATTAGGACATCTGTGCCGGGGGGAAAACAAGAACTACTGAGAGTCAGAGCCTCGACCAGGGACAAGCAAAGCTTCCCCCAGAAAAAGGACACAGCCTGCCTGAGGCTGGGGGCAGCCGCACCTCACCCCAGCGATCTAAGAGCCCTTCACAGCCACTGAAACATGGAGACCAGGGGGCCCAGCTCCTGCTGGTGTTTTCAGGGGCAGGGGATTCTGACTCAGCGCATTTGCAAAGAGGAAAATGTTTGGGAGGAAACCATTACTAGAAAGTTCTAGAAACTATATGGTTTTTTGGAGGCACAGAACTAGTCAGGAAACTGCTGACTGTTTTCTCTGGGGTGTCGGCTGACAGCAACGCCAGCAAGACTCAGGGACCCGGGTAAAGGCCACTCCGCTGGCTGCTTCTCACAGGCCCTGGAGTTACTTCTTCTTTCTAAGTGTGGTCAGCAGAGTCATGACCCCTTCTAAAATGTCCATGTCCTGAACCTGTCAACATGTTCACCTCCAAGGCAAAGGATATTTTGCCGATGGGATTAAGCTAAGGATTTTTTCTTTTTTTGACACGGAATCTTGCTCTGTCGCCAGGCTGGAGTGCAGGGGTGTGATCTCGGCTCACTGCAACCTCCACCTCCCCAAATTCAAGCAATCCTCCTGCCTCAGCCTCCCAAGTAGCTGGGATTACAAGTGTGCACCACCAAGCCCAGCTAATTTTTTGTATTTTTAGTAGAGACAGGGTTTCACCATGTTGGCCAGGCTGGTCTAGAACTCCTGGGCTCAAGTGATCCACCCGCCTTGGCCTCCCAAAGTGCTGGGATTACAGGCATGAGCCACCACGCCCAACCTAAGCTAAGGATCTTGAGATGGGGTATTACCCTGGATCATCCAGGTGGTCCCCATGTCATCATAGGGGTCCTTATAGGAGGGAGGAAGGAGGATGAGGGTCAGGGAAGGAGGTGTGACGCTGAAAGCAGAGGTCATGCTTGGAAGATGAAGGAAGGGGCCATGAGCCAAGGAATGTGGGTGGCCTCCAGAAGCTGGAAAATCCAAGGAAACGGACCTCCCCCTGGGACCTCCAGAAGGCATCAGCGCCTGCTGACACTAGCCCAGGGAGTGTTCTGACTTCCAGCCTTCAGAATCCTAAGATAAGAAGTTTCTGTTGCCCAGCACTACAGAGTTGTGCTAATTTGTTCCGACAGTTATTCTAAACAAATACACCCACAAAAGGAAGAAACAACAAAACCTCCAAGGAAAACTCTAAGAGGCAAAGACCCACCGCAGTCTGAAGCCTGTGCTGTTGCTGGGGCCGCTGCCACTTTGCTAAGGAGGCACCGCCCAGGGACCTTGGGTGCTCCCTTCTGGCCCATGCCACTTACCTGGCAACCCCCAGGAGCAGAGAGAGGGCCCACAGGGTTGTACTCAGCGTCCACCACCGAGAAGAGTCCACGTGGAGGACCCGGGCATCAGCCGCCCAGGCCACGTGCTCACAGGGGTAGTAGAGCTGGTCAGCCAGGTTCCCTAGGACGGAGACACAGCGGACAAAGGCGTCCTCCTCCTGCAGGACCAGGAGCAGAGGGGGCCTAGGGTCAGACTTACCCACTGCCCATTTTAGCACCGTAGCCATGCCAGGTGGCAGAGAGCTATTTCCTGACCCCAGTCCCTGGGCCGTGTCCAGGCCTGGCAGGCCCCGCGGGAGAAAGGCTCTGGGGCTGGGGTCCCCGCACAGGCCTGATTTCTGTGTCTCGGCAGCACGGTGCTCAGTGCCCCTTGGAGGGAGGCTCTCAACGCAGCTGTGCAGTGCAGTCCTCTGCAGAGCTTCAAAAACCCCATGCCCAATGCCAGCCGTGAGGATTCTGCCTCACTCAGCCTGGGGCAGGCCCCAGTACCGGGAATTTTCACAGGGAATTTTCACATTCCCAGGGGATTCCCAGGCCAAGTTGGGAGCCCTGTGTCAGAGCCTTCCTTCCCAAAGGCTTCCAGTTCCTGCACAGGTGGGGACCTCTGTTGCCAGACTCTATGCAGGGAGCATGAGGTGGCCCGCAGCGAACCCTGACCAGGCTGAGATGGTGTGCCAACCCTTGGGCCACCGCACGCCCACTGCTGACCACGCGCCAGGCACAGTGCGGCAAGGCTCATGGCCTCCCTCAACTCCGAGCAAGTTACAGACGGCCACGCTGAGGCTCTCAGGGAAAGCCGCTGGCCCCCAGTTCCGGCAGGGATGGGCCTCCAGGCCCTCGAATTGCAATGCACACGCGGGCTCTCGGTCCTGCACAGTGCCCATACCCTCTGCCCCAAGTTCTTAATCACACGGCCTAGAGCCAGCGAGGCAGGACCAGTTGAGGCTGTAGAAACCAGCGCTGAAGCCTGGTTTCTGGGACTGGAGCCCCGCAGCCAACCGGGGGACCCGCCCCCTTGGGACCCCACCCCCCTTGGGACCCCGCCCACCGTGACCCCGCCCCATCGGAGCCCCGCCCCCTCTACCTTTATCCTCCTTGTTACCTGCCACACCCTTCCCCTCCTCTCTGACTTCCCAGGAAGCTCCTCCCCGCCCCCACCGCTGATTCCAGATGCTGCTCTCCTTCTTTCTGGCCAGTCATGATCCTACCTCCCTCCGGGCTCTGAACCTCACTCCAGCTTCCCTCATCTGCCTGGCGCGTCCTGGCACATTGCCCACCTCCCTGAGGATGGCGGACCCCGCCCCAATGTGCTCATTCCGCCCGGATTTCCTGAGAAGCGGCAGGGTCCAGGCTAGACTCTGGGGAGGGGCAGAGGCTCACCAGGGCAGGGAGGAACGCAGACATATAAACCGGGAACCCAACAAACAGGGCTCTTGTTCTGGCCAAGGGACACTCGAGGTGCAAGGGCCTCCACCCCTTGCCTGAGGGCTCTTCCACAGAGGGCATAGAGGAACGAGGGGTCTCAGGGATGCACCAGAGCGCTGTCCTAATCAGACACGGAGGAGGAGGATGCTATAGGTGTCAAAACAGGAAGGCGGCCCACAGCAACACTTATGATATAGGATGATCAGGCCAAGGACACGTGGTGCTGAACACGGTGGGGTTGGGATTTCGGGGCGGGGAGCACCTGAGTAGCAAGTGGCTCAGAGAGGTGATCCCTGGGAGGACAGAGAGAACAGACAGGGCAGCCCAGGGAGGGGCAGGACGCTGAGAGGCTGGCCCACGCAGCCTCTGAGATCATCCCGTGGGGGGCAAGATGGCTCTCTAGATAGGCTGGCACGCCTGTGGGACGCCGCAGGGACAAGGCTACTCTCTGCAGCACTGTCGCAATAGCAAAACCTTAGAAATCATTGCCCTGTGCGTCAACCAGAGGCCAATTAAATAAATCCGAAGCTGCATAGCAGAGCACTATGTGGTCCTGAGAACGCAGCTCTTTCTAGACCGATAAGAAATGATCTGTGGCCAGGCGCGGTGGCTCACGCCTGTCATCCTAGCACTTTGGGAGGCGGGGCAGGTGGATCACTTGAGCCCAGGAGTTCAAGGCCAGCCTGGGTAACATGGCAAAACCCTGTCTCTACAAAAGATACAAAAAATTAACCAGGTGTGGTGGTGCACCTGCAGTCCCAGCTATTCCGGAGGCTGAGGTAGGAGGATCACCTGAGCCCGGGAAGTCAAGGCTGCAGCGAGCCATGATCACGCCACTGTACTCCAGGCTGAGTGACAGAGTGAGACCCTGTCTCCAAAAAAAAAGAAAGATAAAGAAATGATGCCGAAGCTGTACCGTTAAGTGAAAAAAGCACTGTTTATGTAAACCATATGTATTTGCCTATGCGAGTACAGGAAATCTCACAAAGGAGACACAAGAAGCTGACCACAGGGCCGGGCACGGTGGCGCACACCTGTAATCCCAGCAGTTTGGGAGGCTGAGGCAGGTGGATCACTTGAGGTCAAGAGTTCGAGACTAGCCTGGCCAACATGACAAAACCCCGTCTCTACTAAAAATACAAAAATTAGCCAGGCATGGTGGGGGGTGCCTGTAATCCCAGCTACGTGAGGGGCTGAGGCAGAAAAATCATTTGAATCCCGGAGGCAGAGGTTGCAGTGAGCCGAGATCACGCCACTGCACTCCATCCTGAGTGACAGAGTGAGACCTTGTCTCAAAAAAAAAAAAAGAAGCTGACCACAGTGGCTGCCTCTGTGGGGAAAAATTGGAGGCCTGGAAGATCAGGAAGGAGGGAGGTTTTTTAAAATTATATCCTCCTTTGGAATGTGTGAACGTTTGCTATTTTTAAAAATTTAAATCAAAATGAGAACATCTGATCCTCTCAAAGAAGAAAGTGAAATTTTTAAAAGTAATAAACTACCCACGCAGGGAGCACTTTGGGACAAGACTATAAAACGCCCATGGTGGCTCACGCCTGCCATCCCAGCACTCAGGGAGGCTAAGGCGGGAGGACCACCTGAGCCCAGGAGTTCAAGGCTGCAGTGAGCTATGGTCACTCCACTGCACTCCAGCCTGTATGACAAAGCAAGACCCTGTCTATAAAAAAAATTTTTTTTGTTTGTTTTATTTGAGATGGAGTCTCGCTCCATTGCCCAGGCTGCCAGTGCAGTGGCACAATTCTCGGCTCATGGCAACCTCCACCTCCCAGGTTCAAGTGATTCTCCTGCCTCAGCCTCCCAAGTAGCTGGAACTACAGGCACACGCCACCATGCCAGGCTAATTTTTGTATTATCAGTAGAGACAGGGTTTTTTTTTTTAGACGGAGTCTCGCTCTGTCGTCCAGGCTGGAGTGCAGTGGCGCGATCTCGGCTCACTGCAAGCTCCACCTCCCGGGTTCAGGCCATTCTCCTGCCTCAGCCTCCTGAGTAGCTGGGACTGCAGGCGCCTGCAACCACACCTGGCTAATTTTTTGCATTTTTAGTAGAGACGGGGTTTCACTGTGTTAGCCAGGACGGTCTCCATCTCCTGACCTCGTGATCCGCTCGCCTCAGCCTCCCAAAGTGCTGGGATTACAGGCATGAGCCACTGCACCCAGCCGAGACAGGGTTTTACCATGTTGGCCTGGCTGGTCTCGAACTCCTGACCTCATGATCCGCCAGCCTTGGCCTCACAAAGTGCTGGGATTACAAGCATGAGCCACTGTGAGGGGCCAAAAAATTTTTTAAAAAATGTCCACTCAGGTCCGCACCCTACTCCCTAGAGCCCCACAAACCCTGTTACCTGTGCCCCCAGGCCATATTGCTTAGTGTAGACAAACATGGCCAGGTCATCAAAGAGTCGCAAGATGGTCCTGCAGTGGCTGAGTTGGGTGGACACCACCAACAGACGTGTCCCCACTTCGGACCTGGCGGGACACTGTTCAACCAGAACTCCACCAACCAGCTGGCAGCAGTACCCCAGCACTCGGATCTGTGGGAAACCAGAAGCAGTCAGTGTGGCCCTCCTGTTCTGCAGAACTGAGCTGCATCCCCCCATACCTGGCCCCGGGCCCCGCTGGATTGAGAGTGTGGAAGATTCTCTTTTTTTTTTGAAAGAGTCTCACTCTGTCATCCAGACTGGAGTGCAGTGGCACGATCTCGGCTCACCGCAGCCTCCATCTCCCATGTTCAAGCAATTCTTGTGCCTCAGCCTCCCCAGTAGCTGGGATTACAGGCGCCCACCACCACACCCTGCTAATTTTTATATTTTTTGTAGAGACAGGGTTTCACCAGGTTGGCTAGGCTGGTCTCAAACTCATAACCTCAGTGATCCACCTGCCTTAGCCTCCCAAAGTGCTGGGATTACAGGCATGAGCCACCGTGCCTGACCCAAGAGTTTGGAAGATTCTAAATCTACAAAGTGACAGTAAAAGCTGAAAGTTTAGGTGGGGCACAGTGGCTCACACCTGTAACCCCAGCACTTTGAGAAACCGAGGTGAGAGGATGCCTTCACACCAGGAGTTTGAGACCAGCCTGGGCAACATAGCAAGACCCTGTGTCTACCAAAAAAATTTTTTTTTTTGAGACGGAGTCTTGCTCCGTCACCTAGGCTGGAGTGCGGTGGCGCGATCTCGGCTCACTGCAAGCTCCACCTCCCGGGTTCATGCGATTCTCCTGCCTCAGCCTCCCGAGTAGCTGGGACTACAGGCACCCGCCACCAAGCCCACCTAATTTTTTGTATTTTTAGTAGAGATGGGGTTTCACCATTTTAGCCAGGATGGTCTTGATCTCCTGACCTCATGATCCACCCGCCTCGGCCTCCCAAAGTGCTGGGATTACAGGCGTAAGCCACCGCGCCTGGCTACCAAAAATTTTTTTAAGTTAACAGGGCATGGTGGTTACTTGGGAGGCTGATGCTGGAGGATCACTTGAGCCCAGGAGTTCCAGACTGTAGTGAGCTGTAATCGTGCTACTACACTCCAGCCTGGGCAACAGGGCGAGACCCTGTCTAAAAAAAGAAAAAGAAAAAGAAAAAAAAAGCTGGAAGTTTAAAAACATACTTGGAGGTGGGACAAATGAAGAAACATGACATCATTGATGTAACTGAAGGGCACAGCCTTTGGGAACAGATGTGACAGGAACAAAGAAAACAAAGCTCCTTACTTCCCACCTCCTAGGTCCTTCTTTTCCCAGGTGGCAGGAAGCCACAGCTAAAGTGTATATTTACATCTACCTGCCTGGACCAAAGCCTTTGGATGTGCTGAATGGTGGGCACAGGTGATCAGGCCTCAACCCAGTGAACAACAGGATAATTTGGTAGAATTACTTTAGAGAGAAAGAACCTACTCAGTAGGTGATGTGGAGCCTTCTGAAATAGGTCATCTTCACTACTCAGATCTTTTTTCTTTTGGAGACAGAGTCTTGCTCTGCTCCCCAGGCTCGAGTGCAAAGGTGTGAGCTCACTGCAACCTCTGCATCCCAGGTTCAAGCAATTCTCCCGCCTCAGCCTTCCAAGTAGCTGGGACTACAGGCACGCACCACCACATCCGGCTAATTTTTGTATTTTAGTAGAGACGAGGTTTCATCACTTTTCCCAGGCTGGTCTCAAACTCCTGAGCTCAGACAATCCACCCAGCTCAGCCTCCCAAAGTGCTAGGATCACAGGCGCGAGCCACCACGCCTGGCCTCCCTTATATCTTTATTTTACCTGCTTTTCAGAAATTGCTTGTTCCTGTTGTTTTATTTATTTTTACTTGTAATTCCTTTCCAGCCCCATTATAATGGCAAAACACTGCAATCTGAATGTTCAACTCGGGGGAGATTTGTTAACCCACCCCCCCAATCATAAGATATTTGAATGGAATCTAAATGCCTAGCCACCAGTACACCGCCTGGTACAACCTGAATGTCTACCTATAAGAGACTGGTGGGGACAAGCTAAGAGTCCAGACTCAGGGGCATGGATGGCATAACCTAAATGTTCAACCATATGGGACTTGATTGGAACTAAAAACTGTCCAGCCATAGGGAGAGTCTTGCAATATCCTAAATCCCCACATGAGATTGTTTGGGACAACCCAGGGACCAACTACAGTGGCCCGGTCAGATCCTAAATGTCCAAACATGGGAATCTGTTTGGTATGTAAACGTCCAGCCAGGCTGGGTTGGCAGAGACGATCTAAATGACCAACTGGGGTTTTGTTGGAACCCATCGCTGCTTAGGCATGGCAGGGCCCAGGCCATGGCGTGTTCTTTGGTCTAGGTTGGCTGAAACAACCTAAATGCCCAACTATAGGGAATCTGGTTGGAAGTGAATGTCCAGCCACAGGGGAGCCCTGCAACATCCCAAATCCCAACACGAGATTGTTCAGGACAACTTCAGTGGCCTGGTCGGATCCAAAACGTCCAAACACGGGAATCTGGCCAGTGTGTCAATGTCCAGACAGGTTGGGTTGGCAGAAACTATCTAAATGTCCAACGCTGGCCAGACGCGGTGGCTCACGCCTGTAATCCCAGCACTTTGGGAGGCCGAGGCAGGTGGATCGCTTGAGGCCAGGAGATCGAGACCATCCTGGCTAACACGATGAAACTCCGTCTCTACTAAAAATACAAAAAAATAGCAGGGAGTGGTGGCGGGCGCCTGTAGTCCCAGCTACTCGGGAGTGCTGAGGCAGGAGAATCGCTTGAACCCGGGAAGCGGAGGCTGCAGTGAGCAGAGATCGCACCACTGCACTCCAGCCAAAATAAATAAATACATAAATGTCCAATGCTAGGGCACCGCATTTGAGCCTAGCTCGGACGGGGCCTCTGCGACGGAGTATCCTGGGCGACCCCGTCCCCTCTCTGGCCCGTTTCCCAGTCTCTGAGCTTGGGCCAAACTCTAGGACCTCCGGCCCCGGTCCGCCCCTGCCTCACCAGGCGGTCCCGGCCCCTGTACGACTCCAGCGCCGACGCCAGGCCGCTCAGCGACGCCATGGCAACTCCGTGACGTCACCGCGACGTCGGCGCGCCGCGCCAGGGGGCGGGGCCAGGCCGGGGTACCGGGAGCGCCCCAAAGGCTTGCGCGCAGGCGCGGCCGCAGGCCTTTGTCCCCCTGACCGGCTTTTTGTCCGCTGTAGGGGAGGGACAGAGTTTGCAGAGGTGGGGCCGACACGTGTGTGCTCTCCAGGCCTGCAGACCCTGGATCATCCTCGGAGTTTGCTGCATTCTGCCCCACGGCGGTTTGGCCAACTACCCACGCACAAAAAAATATATTTCTAAGTTTAACCAACTACCCACACGCTCCAAAAATATTCCAAGCAAAACCACCAACCTGTTCGCAGTGGTTCAAGGAGAGATTTTCCTTTTTAGTTTTTGTGCTTCACCTTTTCTGCACTGTCTGCCTGCCCGTAGTGAGCAGGAATGACTGCTGTAATATCACAACAAGGCATCTTTCGACGTTAAGGAAAGACGTTATCTTTGGACGTTAAGAATTGTTCTAGAATACATAAATAAAAAATAAAAATGCACAATTCAGTGACATTAGTACATGCACATGTTGGACAACCATCACCCCTTGCTAGTTTCGGGGTATTTTTATCACCCCCAAGAGAGACCCCCGTAGGAGACCAGCATATGCCCCTCTGAAATATGCGACCTTGGTGTAGGATTATTTTGAGCTGAGATCAATGAAGCTGATACCGGAAAAGCTCTCTGTTCTTCCCTGATTTGCCTCAAAGCAGGACCTAAAGGTACAAAGGTGCCCTCCTCCCCTCTCTACCAGGAAGGACAAAGGTTGATCACCAGGGACACCTTTAGACTCTTGTCTGGAGACGTCTTTTTTTTTTTTTTCTTTTTTTTTGAGACGGAGTCTTGCTCTGTCCCCAAAGCTAGAGTGCAGTAGCGCCATCTCTGCTCACTGCGTCCTCCGCTTCCCTGGTTCAAGCGATTCTCGTGCCTCAGCTTCCCAAGTAGCTGGGATCACAGCTGTGCACCACTGTGCCCGGCTAATTTTTGTATTTTTGGTAGAGTCGGGGTTTCACCACGTTGGCCAGGCTGTTCTCAAATTCCTGGCCTCAAGTGATCCGCCCGCCTCGGCCTCCCAAAGTGCTGGGATTACAAGCGTGAGCCACCGCACCCGGCCTCAATGTCCTTTTCCTTCGTCTTGTCACTTCTCCAAAAATTTGCTGCTATATGTTGAAGGTGCTATATAAGCAGGAGTTATATAAGCTATATAAGCCACCTCATTTCTCTTGGCATCTCCCATGTACACATAAGGTACACATGTTAATAAATTTGTTTTTCCCTTGTTAATTTTTTTTTTTTAGACGGAGCCTCGCTCTGTCGCCCAGGCTGGAGTGCAGTGGCACGATCTCGGCTCACTGCAAGCTCCGCCTCGCGGGTTCACGCCATTCTTCTGCCTCAGCCTCCCGAGTAGCTGGCACTACTACAGGCGCCCGCCACCACGCCTGGGTAATTTTTTTTTTTTTTTTTTTTTTGTATTTTTAGTAGAGACGGGGTTTCACCGTGTTAGCCAGGATGGTCTTGATCTCCTGACCTCGTGATCCGCCCGTCTCTGCCTCCCAAAGTGCTAGGATTACAGGCGTGAGCCACCGCGCCTGGCCTCTATTTTTTTTTTTTTTTTTTTTTTTTTTTTTTGAGACAGGGCCTCGCTCTGGGAGGAACCAAATTTGTAGATGTGAAGCCGCCACTTGTGTGCTCTCTGGGCCTGAGGACCCAGGATGATGCCCAGAGCTTGCTACATTCTGCCCCATGGTAGCTTGACCAACTACCCACAAAAAAGGGGTAGAGTGCAGCGGCACGATCTTAACTCACTGCAGCCTTGAACTCCTGGGATCAAGCCATCCTGCCACCTCAGCATCCTGAGTAGGTGGGACCACAGGTGCCTGCCACCACAATTGGCTAATTTCTTTTTATTTTTTATTTTTTGTAGAAATGGAGTCTTACCATGTTACCCAGGCTGGCCTTGAGCCCTGGGCTTAAGCAATCTTCCCACGTCGACCTTCCAAAGTGCTGGAATTACAGGCGTGAACCACCGCACCCGCCCTTCTTAATTCTTTCATTGCAAGGATCCATCACAGCTAAGAACTAAGAATAAAGGAAAAAGTATGTTTCCTCCCCTACACCCTGTTCCCATAAAGCAATCACTCAATTCCTCCCTCCTCCCAGCCCCTGGCAACCACTAATCTGCATTCTCTGCTGTCTCTCTGTATTTTTACCACTTCTTGATTTTTTTTTTTTTTTTTTTTTTTTGAGACAGAGTCTCACTCTGTCACCCAGACTGGAGTGCAGTGGCATGATCTCAGCTCACGGCAGCCTCCGCCTCCCAAGTTCAAGCAATTCTCCTGCCTCGGCCTCCCAAGTGGCTGAGAGTACAGGTGCGCACCACCACACCCGGCTAATTTTTGTATTTGTAGTAGAGATGGATTTTACCATGTTGGCCAGGCTGGTCTTGAACTCTTGACCTCAAGGGATCTGCCTGCCTCGACCTCCCAAAGTGCTGGGATTACAGGCATGAGCCACCATGCCCGACCTCCTTGATATTTCATACAAATGGAATCATACAATATGTGACCATTTGTGTCGGCCTCTTCCACCAAGCATAATAGGTTGTTTTGGTTTTTGCTTTTTGTTTTTGAGACAGGGTCTTGCTGTGTCACCAGGCTGGAGTGCGGTGGTGTGATCATAGCTCACTGCAGCCTTGAACTCCTGGGCCTGAGAGATCCTCCTGCCTCAGCCTCCACATTGCCTGGGACTACAGGTGCACGCCACCACATCTGGCCAATTTTTAAAATTTTTCTTTTGTAGAGATGCGGTCTCGCTATGTTCACCAGGCTGGTTTCGACCTCCTGGACTCAAGGGATCCTCCTGCCTTGGCCTCCCAAAGTGCTGGGATTACAGGTGTGAGCCACTGCGTGCAGCTGAGCATAATGGTGTTGAGGTTTGTCTAAGTTGCAGCATGTATCAGAAATTCATTCCACTTGCAGCTATATAACATTGCGCCATATGGATGGACCACATTTTGTTTATCCACGTATCAGCTGATGGTCATTTGGGCTGTTTCTGCCTTTTAGCGATCGTGAATAAGTACAGCTATAAACATTTGTGAATATGTAGTTGGAGTCCCTGGATTCCATTCCTTTGGGTCTATACCTAGAAGTGGGGTTGCTGGGTCATTTTGTAACTCTATGTTGAACTTTTTGAGTAATTGCCCAACTGTTTCCCACAGTAGCAGTACCATTTTCCATCCCCACCAGCATTACACAAAGGTTCCAATTTCGCCACTTCCTTGCAACATCCTTTTTTGATTATGATAGCCATCGTAGTAGGTGTGACGTGCCACCCCATTGTGGTTTTGTTTTGCCTTTTCCTGATGACTAATGATGTCAACGAGTCTGTTTGTTGGTTTGTTTGAATTTTTTTTTTTGAGACAGAGTGTCACTCTATTGCCTAGGCTGGAGTGCAGTGCTGATCTCAGCTCACTGCAACCTCCACCTCCCAGGTTCAAGCGATTCTCATGCCTCAGCCTCCCAAATAGCTGGGATTACAGCACACCCGCCACTGTGCCCGGCTAATTTTAGACTTTTAGTAGAGACGGGGTTTCGCCATGTTGGCCAGGCTGGTCTCCAACTCCTGATCTCAAGAAATCTGCCCACCTCGGCCTCCCAAAGTGCTGGGATTATAGGCGTGAGTCACCGCGTCTGGCCTCGATGTTAACCAGTTTTCTTTCACAGAATATTTCCTCTTGATTTCAACTCTTGTTACTCTTCTCCTGCATTGCTTTCCTCCTGTTGTTTAAAGTTACAGCAGATTCCTGCCTCAGGAACTTTGCATGTTCTGTTTCCTCTGCAGAAATGTTCTTGAGCCAGATACCAACGTGGCTCCCTCCTTCCCTAACTTCCTTTACTCGAATGTCATCCTCTCACGGGACCCACCCGATCACACCCTCCTGGACACTTCCTACCCATGTTACCTGCTGGTGACCTGTCTTGTTCATGGCTATATCCGCACAGCCTGGCAGAAAACAGAGAATCTGTTTTGTAAGTTTCACTGCCCTGTCCAAAGATCTCTTCTTGTGCTCCAAGGGAGCATGGAACACAAGGGGGCACAAGAAAGGCCTTGTCCACTCCTGTGATTTTCTTCCTCTCTGTCTCTCTCTCTTTCTGTTTTTGTTTTTAAACAGAGTCTCACTCGGTTGCCCAGGCTGGAGTGCAGTGGCATGATTTCGGCTCACTGCCATCTCCACCTCCCGGGTTCAAGCAATTCTCCTGCCTCAGCCTCCCAACCAGCTGGGATTACAGGCACCTGCTACCACGCCCCCACTAATTTTTGGAGTTTTTAATAGAAATAGGGTCTCACCATGTTGGCCAGGCTGGTCTCAAACTCCTGGGCTCAAGTGATCCACCCACTTCGGCCTCCCAAACTGCTGGGATTACAGGCATGGGCCACCATGCCCAGCCTCTTTTTTTTTTCTTCTTGTTTGTTTTTGAGACAGGGTCTCGCTCTGTTGCCCAGGCTGGAGTGCAGTGGCATGATCATAGCACCACTGCTGCATTGAACTCCTGGGTTCAAGTGATCCTCCATCCTCAGCCTCCCATAGCACTGGGATTACAGGTGTGTGCCACCACACCTGGCCCCAAGAGACTCTTTAACTTCCACATCCAGCTCCTTTTAAGACTTGGGTCCACTGGCTGAGCTCAGTGACTCACACCTGTAATCCCAATACTTTGGGAGGCCAAGGCAGGTGGATCACTTGAGGTCAGGAGTTGGAGACCAGCCTGGCCAATATGGTGAAACCCCGTCTCAAAAAAAAAAAAAAGACTTGGGTCCACGGGTCTTTGTGCACTCCCCTCTCCCCCAGTGGGGGGGTCACTCTTTTTTTTTTTTTTTAGAGTCAGAGTCTCGCTCTGTCACCCAGGCTGGAATACAGTGGTATGATCTTAGCTCACTGCAACCTCTGCCTCTGGGTTCAAGTGATTCTCCTGCCTCAGCCTCCCAAGTAGCTAGGATTACAGGCACCCACCACCACGCCCAGCTAATTTTTGTATTTTTAGTAGAGATGGGGTTTTGCCCTGTTGGCCAGGCTGGTCTCGAACTCCTGACCTTGGGGAATCCTCCCATCTCAGCCTCCTAAAGTGCTGGGATTACAGGCATGAGCCACTGCGCCCAGCCACGGGGTCACTGTTTTCACAGCAGAAAAATTGAAGCCAAGCCAGCTGCAGTGGCCTGTGCCTGTGGTCCCAGCTACTCAGGAGTCTGAGGCACGAGAATCGATTGAATCCAGGAGGTGGAGGTTGCAGTGAACCGAGATCACGCCACTGCACTCCAGCCTGGGCGTCAGCAAGACCCATCTCTAAAAAAGTAAAACAAAAAAAAATCCAAAGCCAAGGTCCAGACATGCAGAGGAAAGAGGTCACTGGCCGCAAAGCCTGCTGCTGCATGAATAAGCAGATCCCTCCTCTCAGGCCCAAGAGCCTTGGAACAGCGCAATGCATTTGCCCGAATGCTTCCTGTGTGCCGGGTCCCGCTCTAGGCAACAGAGATACAGCAGTGAGCTTTGCAGACACAGCCCAGCCCTCCCAGCGTCCCCCATCTGGCTAGGTCTGAGCTCGACCTTTGAAAAAGACACAGGAGCTGGCCTGGTGTTCACAGCTGGCCTTGGTGTTGCTAGGAGCTGGCCTGGCAGTCAAAGCAGGGCCCTGGTGTCCTCCTGCTGGACATAAACAATCTCACATGACGCCGACATCAGACAAGGCCACTCTGTGACCGCGGCAGAGCAAGACAAAACAAGCCTGCTCCATAATCATGTCTGAACACAGGCAAAACACGAACACTGTCCACACTATCAGAGTAACTGGACCTCCTCTGCTACTAGCTAATACCAGCAACGGCTGTTCCTTACCAAGCACAGCTTTAGTCTTCTGACTTCTTTCTTTCTTTCTTTCCTTCCTTCCTTCCCTCCTTCCCCTCCCTCCCTCCTTCCTTCCTTCTTCCTTCCTTTCCCTCCCTCCCTGCTTCCTTCCCTCCTTCTCTCCCTCCCTCCTTCCCTCCTTCTTTCCTTCTTCCTTCCTTTCCCTCCCTTCCTCCCTCCTTCCTTCCCTTCGTCCTTCCTTCCTTCCTTCCAGCTCCCAGCTTCCCTGGAGCTCTAAGGAGGCAGGATTTGCACAAAAAACAAAACCGTGCCCCCAAAACACCTAACAGAACTGCAGATCCCAAATCCCTCCCTCCCTCCCTCCCTCGCTCCCTCCCTTCCTTCCTTCCCTCCCTCTCTCCTTCCTTCCTTCTGACTTCTTCATACAGATGATTAAGATGCTGAATAATAGTTACTTCTCTCCCTAGCTGCTCTTTTGTTTTGTGTTGTTTCTGAGACAGAGTCTCACTCTGTCACCCAGGCTGGAGTGCAGTGGCGGAATCATAGCTCACTGCACCCTCACTGCAACCTCAATGTCCTGGGTTCAAGAAATCTTCCCACCTTAGCCTCCCAAGTAGCTGGGACTATAGGCACGCGCCACCGCACCTGGCTTTTTAATTTTTTATAGAGATAGGGTCTCACTGTGTTGCCCAGGCTGGTCTCAAACACCTGGGCTCAAGCAGTCCTCCCGCTTCAGCCTCTCAAAGTGATGGGATTACAGGCCTGAGGCACTGCACTCAGCCGCCCTTGCTTCTTTTTTTTTTTTTGAGACAGAGTTTTGCTCTGTGGCCCAAGCTGGAGTGCAGTGGCACGATCTCAGTTCACTGCAACCTCCACCACCTGGGTTCAAGCGATTCTCCTGCCTCAGCCTCCTGAGTAGCTGGGATTACAGGTGCCCGCCACCATGCCCAGCTAGTTTTTTTTTTCTTTGAGACAGAGTTTTGCTCTTGTCTCCCAGGCTGGAGTGCAATGGCGTGATCTCAGCTCACTGCAACCTCCGCCTCCTGGGTTCACGCAATTCTCCTGCCTCAGGCTCCTGAGTAGCTGGGAATACAGGTGCCCGCCACCACACCCGGCTATTTTTTATATTTTTAGTAGAGACAGGGTTTCACCATGTTGGCCAGGCTGGCCTCGAACTCCTGACCAAAGGAGATCCGCCTGCCTCAGCCTCCTGAGTAGCGGGGATTACAGGCGTGAGCCACCACGCCCGGCTAATTTTTGTATTTTCAGTAGAGACAGGGTTTCACCGTGTTCGCCAGGCTGGTCTCAAACTCCTGACCTCAAGTGATCCACCCACCTTGGCCTCCCAAAGTGCTGGGATTACAGGCGTGAGCCACCACACCAAGCCACAACAGCCCTTTTCTGGACGCTACTTTGGGAGGCTGAGATTACAAATGTGAGCCACCATGCCTCACCTGTGTGTTGTTTTTATTTGTTTTTATCTGCTCATCTCAAAAAAGAAAGTAAAATTTCCAACCAATAAATTCATCCCACCCAAATCCCCTACTTCCTTAAGCTGTGCCCCCAAAACACCGAGCAGAATTGCAAATCCCATAATAAGTGCTTTCTGGCCGGGCGTGGTGGCTCACGCCTATAATCCCAGCACTTCGGGAGACTGAAGCGAGCGGATCACCCGAGGTCGGCAATTCGAAACCAGCCTGACCAACATGGAAAAACCCCATCTCTACTAAAAATACAAAATTAGCTGGGTGTGGTGGCACATGCCTATAATCCCAGCTACTCGGGAGCCTGAGGCAGGAGAATCACTTGAAGCCGGAGGTTGCGATGAGCTGAGATCGTGCCACTGCACCCCAGCCTGGGCAACAAGAGCGAAACTCCATCTCAAATAAATAAATAAATAAATAAATAGCGAAAAAAAGTTCTTTCTAACACCTCCCTACTGAGACCGCCATAGTGCCCTATGACATGTATGAGCTCTCTCTCCCTCTCTCTTTCTTTCTCTCTCTCTCTCTGATGAATAATAAGCTTGAATGTGTTCAATCACAGGTACATTCCTGGTGGTCTTTGACTGGGGAAGGAGGGGTGACCGGCCCCTTTAAAGGGAGATCTGTGAGCCCTAGAATAATATCAAGAGGTGCAGTGATTCAGGGAAGTGGGTCCATTCTGTGTGGGGTGTGTAGAAGGTAGAGGGACAGAAAAACTTTAGAGGATGATAATAATAATGGACACCAGCAGCCTATTTAATCAAATCCTCAATACTGACACTGCTTTCTGAACTGGCTACCATCATTAGTCCCCTTTTGCAGATGACAAAACCTAAGTCCTAGCCAGGCATGGTGGCACACACCTGTGGACCCACCCACTTGGGAGGCTGAGGCGAGAGGATCGCTTGAGCCCAGGACTTCAAGTCCAGCCTGGGCAACATAGCGAGAGCTTACCTCAAAAACAAAACCAACCGAACAAAACCCCAGAGGCTCCAAAAAGTCAATTACTTGCCTGGGTTCCTGGAGCTCTAAGGAGGCAGTATTCGCACCAAGCCTGCCTGCTAATTTTCCTCCCGGCTGCCCCTAGAGGTGCTGAGTGGTCATTGTGACAGTATCATTACACAAAGGAAGCTCTTGGGGTCACAATGCGCAGGGCTGGACCACCCTTGGATGCAGCCTGGGAAGGAACATGAGGATCCTCTGAGAGACCAGGGACAGAGGGAGACCCAAAGATCTGGTCTGTAGCTAAGTGAATTTTCTAAAACTCATTGATTCACACGCCATCCCTTGAGGTAGGTGCACTGTCCTCGTCCCTGATGTACAGAGGTGAAAACTGAGGCTCATGGGAGCTTAATGACTTATTCCAAGATTACCTGGCTAGTAGTCTCAGTTGTTGGATTCTCTGATGACCCATTTTGGAGGTCATATTCAACTCTCAACTATTGCAGGGGGCAAATGATTCAAAAAGCAGCAAACTCAGCCAGGCGCGGTGGCTCATGCCTGTAATCCCAGCATTTTGGGAGGCCGAGGAGGGTGGATCACCTGAGGCTAGGAGTTCGAGACCAGGCTGGCCAACATGGCGAAACCCCGTCTCTACTAAAAATACAAAAATTGGCCGGGCGTGGTGGCGGACACCTACAGTCCCAGCTACTCTGGAGGCTGAGGTGGGAGAATCGCTTGAATCCAGGAGGAAGAGGTTGCAGTGAGCTGAGAAAAAAAAAAAAGCAACAAACTTACACACTGAAAAACTGTGGTTTCATTAAAACACACACACACACATACACACACACACACACACACACACACACACCCTTCATCCATGTTTTCTTTCTATTTTTGTGATGGGGTTTCGCTCTGTCACCCAGGCTGGAGTGCGGTAGCGTGGTCTCGGATCACTGCAACCTCTGCCACCCAGGTTCAAGCGGTTCTCCCGCCTCAGCCTTCTGAGTAGCTGGGATGACAGGTGCATACTACCATGCCCAGCTAATTTTTGTATTTTTTTCTTTTTTTTTTTTTTTTTTTTGAGACAGAGTTTCGCTCTTGTTGCCCAGGCTGGAGTGCAATGGCGCAATCTTGGCTCACCACGACTTCTGCCTCCTGGGTTCAAGCTATTCTCCTGCCTCAGCCTCTGGAGTAGCTGGGATTACAGGCATGCGCCACCACGCCTGACTAATTTTGTATTTTTAGTAGAGATGGGGTTTCTCCATGTTGGTCAGGCTGGTCTTGAACTCCGACCTCAGGAGATCTGCCCACCTCGGCCTCCCAAAGTGCTGGGATTATAGGCCTGAGCCACTGCACCCGTCTGATCCATGTTTTCTAAATAGGTAGAGGTAAGCAGGTTTTGTGGGTTGAAGTGATCTGGGAGGTCTTCCTGCAAGAGGTGAGCCTGAGAACTTGGAATGCTGGTCTCCAAGGGAGACAGAGAGGAGAGCATGGGAGACACTTGTGATCTAAGCAAAGGCAAGAAAGTCCCAGGTGACTGAGCAGAGGCGGAGGGTCAGGGGAGGCTTGGAGTCTGAAGCTGAAGGTCAGAGGAGAGAGCTAACTCTCAGAAGGTGTGAAGACAGGAAGAGATTGAGAATAGGCAGGACCTAGGACAACTGCAGAGCAGGGGAAAACCAGTAAGAAAGTGCGTGGCAGGCCGGGCACAGTGGCTCACACCTGTCATCCCAGCACTTTGGGAGGCCAAGGCAGACAGATCACTTGAGGTCAGGAGTTCGAGACCAGCCTGACCAATGTGGTGAAACCCCGTCTCTACCAAAAATACAAAACTTAGACGGGCATGGTGGCAGGTACCTGTTATCCCAGCTACTTGGGAGGCTGAGGCAGGAGAGTCAGTTGAATCCAGGAGGTGGAGGTTGCAGTGAGCTGAGATCGTGCCACTGTACTCCAGCCTGGGGGACAGAGTGAGACTCTGTCACAAAAAGAAAAGGAAAGAAAGAAAGAGAGAGAAGGTAGGGAAGTGAAAGGAGCGGAGGGGAGGGGGGAGGGGCGGGGGAGGGGGAGAGAAGGGAGAAAAAGTGTGGCAGAAACGGAGATGGCCAGTGGCTGGGGTGCAGGGCTGGAGTTAGGCAGAGGAACAAAAATGGGTCCCCCAGAGGGGAAGAAGGAGAAAACCGTGGCCTTGACAACTGACTGAGGGTGAGAAGACGCGGTTCTTGTATCAGACATACAGTAGAATGCAGTGGTTAATTCTCCAAGTTCTAGAATCAGAGTCGCCCTGGGTTCAAATCTCAAGCAAATGACCACCTCCCTGAGCCTCAATGTCTTTTGTGAAGCAGTGGTTAAAACCTACCCTTGGCCAGGCATGGTGGCTAACACCTGTAATCCCAGCACTTTGGGAGGCTGAGGCAGAAGGGTTGCTTGAGCCCAGGAGTTTGAGACCAGCCTGAGCAACATAGCCAGACCCCTGTCTCTAAAAAAAAAAATAGAAAGAATTAGCCATGCATGGTGGTGCACACCTATAGTCCCAGATGCTCAGAAGACTGAGGTGAGAGGACCGTTTGAGCCCAAGAGGTTGAGCCCACCACACTTGTCTAATTTGTGTGTGTGTGTGTGTGTGTGTGTGTGTGTGTGGAGACGGGGTCCCACTATATTGCCCAGGCTGGTCCTGAACTCCCGGGCTCAAGCAGTCCTCTTGCTCTGACCTCTCACTGTGCCTGGATACAGGTGTGAGTCACAGTACCCAGCTATTACCTTCTAACCTACTCTTCAATTTTTGTTGTTATATTTTTTATTATTGTCTGTCATCTCCCGCCCCATTATCAATTCCACAAAGGCAGGGATCTAGGTCTATTTTGTGAACTAATGTTAGTTCCCCACCCCTGCTGGCCTCCAGGCCTAGAGTAGGGACAGAAATCATTTATGTGGTGCCTACTGTGTGCCAGGCCTACAGTAGGCACCACATGAAAGATTTTTTTTTATGTTTTGAGACGGAGTCTCGCTCTGTCGTCCAGGCTGGAGTGCAATGGCACAATCTCGGCTCACTGCAACCTCTGCCTCCCGGGTTCAAGCGATTCTCCTGCCTCAGCCTCCCGAGTAGCTGGGACTACGGGCGCCCACCACCACTCCAGGCTAATTTTTTTTAAAAATTATTTTTAGTACAGACAGGGTTTCACCACGTTGGCCAGGCTGGTCTCGAACTCCTGACCTCAGGTGATCCACCGGCCTCGGCCTCCCAAAGTGCTGAGATTACAGGCGTGAGCCCCCGCGCCCAGCCATGATTATTTCTGTCTCTGCTCTCGCTGGGGGAAGGCACAGAAGCTGTACCAGTTTCCCGTGATGTCCCCAGCCTCCAGCTCAGTGCTTGGCGAACAGAAAGGAGTCAAAGGCAGCAGAAAGGAGTCAAAAGCAGGAGTCAAAGGCAAGTGCCCCAATGGGCACTTGCTCAGTCCCTCATCTCCACCCTCTCGCAGGTGGCTGGTGTCCCGCGATGGCCACAGGCGCCCTCCTGCCGTGCTCGCGCCCGTGCCCGATGTCCCGGCTGGACTTCCTCAAGGCCTCGCACTTCTCGCTGGGGCCTGACCTGCGGCTGCACGAGGGCACCATGCGCACCACGTCGCACCGGGACTTTGCCTACCCGGCTGCCACCCGGGAGCCGCCGAGCCTGCAGCCGCCGCCCGCGCTGCTTTTCCCAATGGACCCGCGCTGGGACCGGGAAGAGCGCGTGTCGGAGGCGCACCGCGCGTTCCCGCCGCCATCCACGCCGCCGTGGGAGCTGCTGCAAGCGCAGGCGCGGGAACGCACGCTCGCCATGCAGGCCGGCAACCTGCACCTGCACGAGGACGCGCACGCCGGGATCGGCCTCTCCAACGCGCACGCCGCCTACGGCTGGCCCGAGCTGCCGGCGCGCACCCGAGAGCGGATCCGCGGCGCGCGCCTCATCTTCGACCGCGACTCCCTGCCTCCTGGCGACCGCGACAAGTTGCGCATCCCGCCCACCACGCACCAGGCGCTCTTTCCACCCCACGACGCGCGCCCGCAGCCTCGCGCGCCCAGTTGCCACCTCGGTGAGCGCGCGCCCGGGCTGAGTGGGCGATTTGCTTCACATTGTGGTTCTCAAACAGGGGCAAGGGCTCTTCATTCCCCTTCCCCCAGGGAACATTTGGCAATGTCTGGAAACGCTTTTGGTGGTCAGGACTTGGGGGGTGGCCGGGCGCGGTGGCTCAAGCCTGTAACCTCAGCACTTTGGGAGTTGGAGGCGGGGGGATCGCTTGAGGTCAAGAGTTCGAGACCAGCCTGGCCAATATGGAGGAACCCCGCCTCTACTAAAATACAAAAATTAGTAGGGCGCGGTGAAGGGTGCCTGTAATCCCAGCTACTTGAGAGGCTGAGGCAGGAGAATCGCTTGAACCCAGGGGGCAGAGGTTGTGGTGAGCTGAGATTGTGCCACCGCATTCCAACCTGGGAGACAGAGCAAGGCTCCGTCTCAAAAAAAGGAAAGAAAGAAAGGAAGAAGAGAAAGAAGAAAGAGAGAGAGAGAGAGAGGAAGGAAGGAAGAAGGAAGGAAGGAAAACAAGACAGAGAGGAAGGGAGGGAGGGAGGGAGGAAGACTTGGGGGGTGGCGAGGCCACCCGCGGTGGCTCACGCCTGTAATCCCAGTGCTTTGGGAGGCCTAGGCAGGAGGATGTCTTGAGGCCAGAATTGGAGACCAGCCTGGGCAACATAGCGAGACCCATCTCTACAAAATAAAAATTTTATTATTTTTTTATTATATATATATGTGTATATATTTTTTTGAGAAAGTGTCTCTGTCACCCAGGCTGGAGTGCAGTGGCATGATCTCGGCTCACACAGACTAAATCTGCCCAGCTCAAGTGATCCTCCCACCTCAGCCTCCCAGGCAGCTGGGACTGCAGACACGCATGTCACCAGGCCCAGCTAATTTTTTGTACTTATTTGTAGAGATGCAGTCTTACTATGTTGCCCTGGCAGGTCTTGAACTCCTGGGCTCAAGCAATCCATCTGCCTCGACCTCCCAAAGTGCTGGGATTATAGGCATGAGCCACTGAGCCCAGCCCTTACAAAATAAAAATTTAAAAAGATGGGCAGAGGTGCTACCAGCAGACAGCGGGTAGAGGCCAGAGATGCTGCCAAGTATCCTCCCAGCCAGCCCCAAATGTCAATTACACCAAGCCTCAGAAACCCTGGAACCACCTTGAGCATCAGTTTCAGCATCAGGAGGGTGGACATATCCTCTGAATCTGTCCAGAGTGGTGCATGGTTGGCAGAAGTCATGAATGCCAGTTTGGGGTCAGACAAATCAGCTAAGTTCCCCAGCTGTACACCCTCCTCCCCACACCCCCCAGCCTTACCACCTTAGTAGCTGTGTGAGTCTGAGGGAGTTAACCTCTCCAAGCCTCAGTTTCCCCGTCTACAAAATGGGTGCAATCACAGGGCCCAATTCACAGGAGCTAGTAAAGCTGAATGTGTATGGTGTGTCTGGTGCAGAGAGCACTTAACAAAGAGTAGCCAGCATTCGTGTAATTTTCCAATTCTGTGACTCCAGGGACCCTTTGGGTGAACATTACTGGTCAGAGGCCCCTAAGATGGGCTCAGGGATTGTCAAACCCTGATTTGACATTTAGTTGTGATTCCTAGTTTCTGTGATTTCTGGCAAGTTGCTTAACCTCTCTGAGCCTCAAGGAGGCTGTAACAAGAGAAATGATACCAGGTCCAAGAAGAAGTTGCGGCCGGGTGCAATGGCTCATGCCTGTGATCCCAGCACTTTGGGAGGCTGAGGCAGGCGGATCACTTGCGGCCAGGAGTTGGAGACCAGCCTGGCCAATGTGGTGAAACCACATCTCTACTAAAAATACAAAATTCAGCCTGACCTGGTGGTGCGTTCCTGTAATCCCAGCTAGCTACTTGGGAGGCTGAGGCAGGAGAATCGCTTGAACCTGGGAGGAGCAGGTTGCAGTGAGTCAAGATTGTGCCACTGCACTCCAGCATGGGCCACAGAGCGAGACTCCATCTCCAAAATAAAAGAGAGACGGAGAGAGAGATACTCAGTCCTGGAAAAAGATGCAATGCACTTAACCTATGTGTGGCTCAATATAGTCCTTGGTAGATATTATTGGGGTTTTTTTGTTTTATTGTGTGTGTGTGTTTTTGAGACAGAATCTCACTCTGTGGCCCAGGCTGGAGTGCAGTGGCACGATCTCGGCTCACTGCAACCTCCACCTCCCAAGTTCAAATTATTCTCCTGTCTCAGTCTCCTGAGTAGCTGGGACTACAGGCACATGCCAACACACCCGGCTAATTTTTATATTTTTGGTAGGGATGGGGTTTCACCGTATTGATCAGGCTGGTCTTGAACTCCTGACCTCAGGTGATCCACCTGCCTTGGCCTCTCAAAGTGCTGGGATTACAGGCATGAGCCACCACACCTGGCTGTATTTTTAAATTTATCATTATTTTTTAGAGATGAGGGTCTTACTATGTTGCCCAAGCTGGTCTCCAGCTCAAGATGGGCTCAAGCCCATCTTTGCACTTCAGCCACCTGAATAGCTGGGATTACAGGCATGGGCCATTGCACCTGGCTTTTAGTATAATTTATTTTATTTTTATTTTTATCTTTTGGTGTTTGCCAGACAGCTCTCAGTCTACACTGTTCAGAATGGCCCAGCTCCCCTTCCCAGGCAAGAAATAGAATTCCTTCCAGAGGGCTTGAGATGGCAGGGAATCTCAATCTCTCTCTCTCTCCCCCCATCCCCCTTGCCTATCCTAAGGGGGCCCCAACACCCTCAAGTGGGACTACACGAGACAAGATGGGACTTCCTACCAAAGACAGTTCCAGGCCCTGCCAGGCCCACCTGCCTTGAGGTGTAAGAGGGTAAATTGAGGCTGTGTTGGGGCTGCAGGCGGGGGCAGAATTGGGGGCTGGGTGGTTTGGGCCTTCCTATCCCTGTCTGCCCACAGGCCTCCTCCGGAGTGGAGCTGGGAGACTGCAAGATCAGCTATGGATCAACGTGTTCGGAGCAGAAACAGGCCTACAGGCCCCAGGATCTGCCTGAAGATAGGTATAAAGGGGCCACTGCGGGCACGGTGGCTCATGCCTGTAATCCCAGCACTTTGGGAGGCTGAGGCAGACAGATCATGAGGTCAGGAGCTCGAGACCAGCCTGGCCAATATGGTGAAACCCTGTCTCTACTAAAAATACAACAATTAGCCGGGTGTGGTGGTGGGCGCCTGTAATCCCAGTTACTCCGGAGGCTGAGGCAGGAGAATCGCCTGAACCCGGGAGGCGGAGGCTGCAGTGAGCCAAGATTGCACCACTGCACTCCAGCCTGTTCGACAGAGCAAGACTCCATCTCAAAAAAAAAAAAAAAGTGGGGGACGAGGGGGCACTGCCTTCCCACCCAGATGGGACAACTGGCTTTCAGTAGCATGTGGTATTTGCCCCTTAGGGCTTTAGGGCCCATACTCTGCCTCTGAGGTCTCTGTCACTGGTAGCCAAGGTGCACTATTGTGCCAGATCTCTCATTATCAGAGCCCCACAGCTTGGTCATTAGGAAACCCTGCTCCCCTCCCTCTTTCTGGGGGTTGCAAGGCCCCAGATGGATCCACTTTAGCTTCTTCTTCTTCTTTTTTTTTTTCTTTTTTTTTTTTTGAGACGTAGTCTCGCTCTGTTGCCCAGGCTTGAGTGCAGTGGCACAATCTCAGCTCACTGCAACCTCCGCCTCCCGGGTTCAAGCAATTCTCCTGCCTCAGCCTACCGAGTAGCTGGAATTACAGGCATGTGCCACCATGCCCGGCTAATTTTGTATTTTTAGTAGAGATGGGGTTTCACCATTTTTGCCAATCTGTTCTCAAAAGCCTGACCTCAGGTGATCCACCCACCTCAGCCTCCCAAAGTGCTGAGATTACAGGGGTGGGCCACCATGCCCAGCCCACTTTACCTTATTCTTGATGGAATAATACACTACGTACAGGTATGACAAGGCCCAGGCCACAGCCCACATCCACTGTGTAAATATCCGTCCTGGTGACGGCCTCTTCCGCGACAGGACCACCAAGGCCGAGCACTTCTATGCCAGGGAGCCAGGTGAGAGCCTGAGGCCCGCCCCGTCCCGCCTCCCACCGCAGCCTCCCAGGGCAGCTCTGCACCTGTTCCGCTTCTGGCAGAGCCTTTTGTTCTTCACCACGATCAGACTCCGGAGTCGCACATCCTGAAAGGAAATTGGTGCCCCGGCCCCGGCAGTCTGGACACCTTCATGCAGTACTTCTACGGCCAGGTGAGCAGGAAGAGCGAAAAGGCGGCAGGGAAAAGGGCTTCCCAGACAGAGCAAATAGCAGGTGCAGAAGTCCCAAAGTGGGAGTGAGCTTGATATGTATGCAGGAATCTCCTGGATGTACTTGAGTGATCTAGGGCGAGTCACTTAACCACTCCGATCCTCCTCCGTGGCTCCTTCTGTAAAATGAGATAAGAGTACCAACTCCCAGTGCTACCAGGTGGGGCCCAGAAGGGGTGAGGGAGCTGTCCAAGGTCACACAGAGCCCACCTCCTCCCTCCCCCCCGGGCCCGGGGACCTCTCGGACGCCGGAGCTTTCAAATGCCATGTGGTCCTACAGCCGCCACCCCCGACCCAGCCACCCAGCCGCCACGTGCCTCATGAGAAATTGCAGAGTCATGTGACCCTAGGGGAGCCAAAGCTACTCAAACGCTTCTTCAAGACCACCATGGGCTCGGACTACTGCCCTTCAGAGTGGAGACAGGTGCAGAAAGCGCCCAACCTCCACTTGCAGCAAAGCTACCTGCCGCGGGGCACGGGCGGTGAGCGCTCCCGGGAAGCCCCGCCCCATGGAGCCCCGCCCCGGGAAGCCCCACCCCCGAAAGCCCCGCCCCCATGGAGCCCCTCCCCATGGAGCCCCGCCCCCACGGAGCCCCGTCCCGGGAAGCCCAGCCCTGGAAGCCTCGCCCTTGCCACTGCTCTGGCCCCGCCCCTAACCAGCCCTCCCCTCCCCCGGCTTCATCCCCTGAAAGGCTAAATCCCACCCCCAATTGACCAGAACCCCAACTCTGCTCCTGGATAATCCCGCCCCTTCATGGCCATGCCTCTCCCCTTCATAACTCCATCCTTCTGGACACGGCCCTGCCCCTTCTCCATCCTCTCTTATCCAGTCTTAACTCCTCTTCCATTGTCAGACTCTGGCTCCGCCCCTGACCCGCTAGCCTGCCCTGCCTGGCCCTGCCCACAGACTCATCTGGCCCGGCCCCGCCCCTGACCTTCTTAGCCCTATGCCCTAGCTCTGGGTTCCTCCCCTAGCTCCTCCGTCCTCCTCCAGCTCCTCCCTCTTCCCAAGCTCCTCCCCCTTTCTCTGGCTCCTTCCTTTGTCCCAGCTCCTCCCTCTTTCCCAGTTCCTCCCTCTTCCCCAGCTCCTCTCTCCTCCCCTGGCTCCTTCCTCCTCCCCCACCTCCTCCCTCTTCCCCAGCGCCTACCTCTTTCCCAGCTCCTCCCTCTTTCCCAGCTCCTCCCCCTTCCTCTGGCTTCTCCCTCCTTCTTTGGCTCCTCCCTCCCCCCTCTCCTAATCCATTTTTCTCCCCTGGTCAACTTCAGCGCTGGCCTGGGCTTGGCTCTTGAACCCTTCCCTTGAACTTCACCACACCCTCAGCCCCGCCTCGGCCCACAGCCCTCACTCAGCCTCCCCAACCTGAATCTCCAGAATTCGATTTTTTAACCATGAACCAGAAGATGCTGAAGCCACACAGAACACCTCCGGCCCCGGTGACTGAAGAGATGCTACAGCGGGTAAGGGAGGCGGAGGGGAGCCACCCATCATTAGGCAACCCCCACATTGGTGTAGAGTTATCTCAGGACGACTATGCTGTCACCCTGTCTCAGAGTTAGTGATCACCCAGGCTCGGGGGCATCTTAATATCCCTTCAGCCTGAAGATCATCCCTAGCTTGGCCGGGTGCAGTGGTTCACGCTTGTAATCCCAGCGCTTTGGGAGGCCGAAGCAGGCGGATCACCTGAAGTCAGGAGTTCGAGACCAGCCTGGCCAACATGGTGAAACCCCGTCTCTACTAAAAATACAAAAATTAGTCAGGCATGGTGGCGCATGCCTGTAATCCCAGCTACTAGGGAGGCTGAGACAGAATTGCTTGAACCAGGGAGGCAGAGGTTTCAGTGAGCCAAGATCGCACCATTGCACTCTGGGCTGGGCAACAGAGCAAGACTCTGCCTCAAAAAAAGGAAAAAAAAAAATAGAGGTCATCTCTAGCTCACCCCCCAGGGTCATGTCAAGGTCAGCTCAGGGGCATCTTTGCACCACCACCACTGTTATACCCAAGACGAGGGTTAATTCAGAGCCACCCAGGATCACCCCAGCCCTGGAGTCCTTCCAGGGACACCCCTGGTTTCTCTCCATCTTCTTATCCAGCTCCTCATTCAGCCCAGCCTGGGGCCCTTTTTGCCCACCTCTCCCCAGAGTTCAACCTCCCCAGCCTTTGATGCTCTGGCTCTGTCCCTAGGCGGCCCCACCTTACCCCAGGCTTCACCTTCTGAAGGGCTAAATCCCACCCCAAATTGACCAGAACCCCAACTCCGCCCCTGGACAATCCCGCCCCTTCGTGGCCAAGCCCCGCCCCTGCATAACTCCACCCTTCTGGCCATAGCCTCGCCCCTTTCCCTATCCTCTCTTACCCAGTCTTAACCATCCTCCTTGGTCAGACACTGGCTCCGCCCCGACCAGCTAGCCTGCCCTGCCTGGCCCCGCCCCCTGACTCATCAGGCCTGGAGATCCTGGGGTGGACAGGGTGGATCGGCCACCTCCCAGGCTGCCCTGCCAGGCTGTCCACCCTGTCTCCACAGTGCAAGTACAGCCACATGGAGCCCCCTCTGGGTGGACTGCGCTTCTTCTCAACACAATACAAGGACGAGTTTCCTTTCAAGTACCAGGGCCCAGCAGCCCTGAGACTGAAAAATCCTCAGGAGGGCTTCGTGCCCCTGGGCACGCCTCACCAGCGCGGCTGCAGGGAGAAGATAGACCCTCTGGTCCCCCAGCCCCCTATGTACCTGTGCCCCAGCCAGCAATAAATGCCATCTTGGCAACATTCCACTCTTTCCCATCAGTCAGCCCATCCAGAGGATGCTTGGGTGGGTGGGGGCTGGAGGAAGGGACTGCACGGGAAAGGATGACTCCACTGTTGCTGCGTTGCCATGAAGAGTATGGAGTCAAGGCTGGGCGCGGTGGCTCACACCTGTAACCCCAGCACTTTGGGAGACTGAGATGGGAGGATTGCTTGAGCCCAGGAGTTTGAGATCAGCCTGGGCAACATAGGGAGATCCTGTTTCTACAAAAAAAAAAAGATAATCGGCCAGGTGCAGTGGCTCACACCTGTAATCCCAGCACTTTGGGAGGCCGAGGCGAGCGGATCACCTGAGATCAGGAGTTCGAGACCAACCTGGCCAACATGGTGAAACCCTATCTCTACTAAAATACAAAAATTAGCCAGATGTGGTGGCACATGTCTGTAATCCTAGCTACTCGGGAGGCTGAAGCACGGGAATCACTTGAACCTGGGAGGCGGAGGTTGCAGTGAGCTGAGATCACACCACTGAGCTCCAGCCTGGGCAGCAGAGTGAGACTAAGTCTTAAAAAATAAATAAATAAATAAATAAAAATTTTAGAAAGCCAGGCATGGTGGTACGTGCTTGTAGTCCAAGTTATTCAGGAGGCTGAGGTGGGAGGATCACTTAAGCCCAGAAATTTAATGCTGCAGTGAGCTATATGATTGCACCACTGCACTCCAATCTGGGCAACAGAGCAAAAACTCTGTCTCAAAAAAAGAATAAAGTTATAGTGCTGAACAGAGATACTGGCGTGCGTACTTCAGAACACAGATCCCTGGGGCCGGGGAAGGGTGGGGGTGCTGGATGGGCATAATCCAAACTCGGACTCCTCCACGTCCTGGGTGGTAGTTTGGGCAAGTCACTTAACCCCTATGAGCCTCAATTTGCTCATCTATGAAATGGGGATAAGTAGCAATTCTCCCATGAGACTGTTATACATGAGAAATGTACACACTTTTCAGTGCATGGGGCTGGGGTCGTGGAGGGGAAGCTTCCCTTCTGAGGATGAGAATGGGGAAGGCCAGGGTGTGGGGAAAAAGCTTTCAATGGTGGGGACACTGGATGTGGCCCATAGAGGACATGGAAGAGTGGACACAGCTGAGAATAACCCAGCAGTTTTTTCCATCATGGACAGAGACTAGAGACCGAATGGGGCACTGGTTGTCTGGGCAACTGGTCCCCAGGTCAGAGCAGAGTCCAGGGGCAAATTGACAAAAGCCATCAAGATATTATGAGGTCCAGGGGGGTAAGTGTTCAGCCAGGGACAAAATGTAAAGGGTCAAAAGGAGGAGGATGTGATGGGGCTCTGCAGCAAGTGAGTGACAGGGCTTAGCAAGGACCAGTACCTTGGACAGCGCCTGACCTTTAAGGTCCAGGGCATGGTGAGGAGAAAGGTCTGTCTGGGGTAAGGTCTGTCTCGGGTAAGGTAGGCTTTAGTGACCATGCCGGGGCCTGCCTCTGTGGGCTGTTGAACATCCAGTCTCAAGGAGTGAACATGGCTTTCCTGAACCAAGAATCAAACCTCCAAAGACCAAGGACCCCAATCCAATGAACCATAAGGTTGAGCCAATCTCGACCCTGCCCAGGAGCCCTTTCCTGGTTGGCATCAGTTCTTCTAGGCCAGGTTGTCATTTCTGCAGGAAAGGCAGGAGGGAATCCAGCTTTGCATCCTGTAGGGACAAGATGACCCTTTTGGCCACACATGGTATCCACCTCGACCATGCAAGAATCTGCCAGCTGTGAATATGTCCTCTAAAGATATTTGGCATCATGCTCTTCTGAGTTACTTCAGGATAAACCAGGGCTTATCATTTATCGGTGTCTTAGATCAGATCATTCTTTATTGGAGGCTCTCCTGTGCATTGTAGGATATTTAGTGCCATCCTTGTCCTCTACCCACTAAATGCCAGTAGAACCTCTCCCTCCCACTTGTAACAAAATGTCCCAAATATTGCCATATATCTTCCAGATGGGAGAGAACTGCCCTGGTTGGAAACCACTTCGATAAGCTCATCCTCTTCTGATGAAGCTGGTCTGCCTAGTGACCAGACTACTAGAACAGAAAGGCTTTCCCTTTTTGCCTTGCCTTCTGGGAAGCTCAGAATGTTTATTTGGTCTTAAGTTCCATGTAGCTGTAGTTGCAGGATTATCTTCCTGCCTCATCCCAGGAATGGTTTAAAACAGCCTTAGGCATTAGATGAAAACAGTCCATAGCAATTAAAAAAGAGCTGGATTTCAGCACAACTTGGAGCACTTTCTGACAATGAAAATGACCAGCCCTAGGATGGCTTGCCAGGGAAGAACAGAAACTGTACTGGAAATGTTTAATCCTTGGGGAAAGACACTACATCAGGATTATTCTGGATGTATTTTATGGATTTATGACTAACCCTCCTATATTCCACTCACTCCCTTCCTTCCCCCAAAAGCCTAGGGATTAAGACAAAAAAATATAGAATTGAATGTGAGAAACCAAGATTTTTTTTTTTTTCGAAACAGAGTCTTGCTCTTGTCACCCAGCCTGGAAAGCAATGGTGCAATCTCAGCTCACTGCAACCTCCGCCTCCTGGGTTCAAGCAATTCTCCTGCCTCAGCCTCCCAAATAACTGGGATTACAGGTGCCCACCACCGCGCCTGGCTAATCTTTGTATTTTTAGTAGAGACGGAGTTTCACCATGTTGCTCGGCTGGTCTTGAACTCCTGACCTCGTGATCTGCCCGCCTTGGCCTCCCAAAGTGCTGGGATTACAGGCATGAGCCACCGTGCCCAGCCCACCAAGATTAATTTTTAAAGGAAAACAACTTTCTCAGTGGTAAGCGTCACCCAGCAGCAGAATTCAGACCTGCCTTTCTGTCCTTAGGCAAAAATACACCCTGACCCTCACTTTCCTTATCTGTAAAATGGGAATGCCAATAGTTCCCGTTTCATAGAGTGGTTACAGGAATTAAATAAGAGGTGCATGTACCATGCTCAGAAGAGGGCCTGGCACTTGGCTGCAGCTCAGTGAATGGTGACTAAATGTGTTAATGTCTTACGTCATTTTGTTGCAAATGACAGAAACCAAGCTCCATCTGGCTCAAGGAAAAAAAGGAATTTTATTGATTTAGAAAAAGACAGGCCAGACGTGGTGGCTCATGCCTGCAATCCCAACACTTTGGGAGGCTGGGGCGGGAAGATCACTTGAACTCAGAAGTTCAAGACCAGCCTGGGCAACATAGTGAGATCTCATCTCCACTAAAAATAATTTAGAAAATTAGCTGGGCATGGTGGTGTGCACCTGTAGTCTCAGCTACTTGGGAGGCTGAGGTGGGAGGATTGTTTGAGCCAAGAAGATTGAGTCTGCAGTGAGCTATTATCATTCCACTCCAGCCTTGGCAACTAAGCAAGTTTCTGTCTCAACAATAACACACACACACACACACACACACACACAGACACACACACACACACAGAAACAAGAAGGTCTGAGTCTGGAATTGGGTCTAATATCAGGCATTTTGCATCAGGACTCTGTCCCCCTGGCCATCTCTCAGTCCTGTGTCCCTCCAAGCAACAGCAAAGGAAGATGCTGGTAGTATTTTCCAATCATTATGATTAGATCCCCCAGAGAAGGGCGGGGTCTTTCCACCACGCTCCCTCTATCGAATTTTGGTTTTTGTTTTGAGACATCTGTCACCCAAGCTGGAGTGCAGTGATGCAATCTCGGCTCACTGCAACCTCCGTCTCCTGGGTTCAAGCAATTCTCCTGCATCAGCCTCCCAAGTAGCTGGGACTACAGGCATGCACCACCATGCCCGGCTAATTTTTGTATTTTTTATTACAGACGGGATTTCACCATGTTGGCCAGGCTGGTCTTGAACTCCTGACCTCAAGTGATCCGCCCGCCTCAGCCTCCCAAAGTGCCGGGATTACAAGCATGAGCCACCACACCGGGCCCCATATTGGGATTTAAGGAACAGGCTGATTGGCCCATTTGAATCACTCACCGAGTTGTGGACCAATCACTGTGCCCAGAGGAAAACAATATGGTGATTGGTTTGCCCAGCTCAGGAACCCACCCCTAGGTTATTTAACTCCCCAAACCCAGCCAGGATCACGGCGCTGGAGCCCAACCTTAATTGACTGTGTCTCCTAAGGACAAATCTGTGTCCTGCCCCAGGTTGCAATCTGGAGGGTGGATTAGCTCAGCTAATAGGCTCTTCCCAGTGAGAGTGATTGTCAGCTTTGCAGACAAGGAATGTTCAGCGTTTGGGAGTAGTTTAGGGTGTCAGATGTCCTCCCATAATCCCAGTCTTATCTTCTACCTCATCATCTGCCTCGTCTTTTAGCCTGGGGCGGAAAATTCAGCTCTGAGGTTCTCACAAGATGAAGCAGATGATTCTCTGCTTTGAGAAGAAACACATTCCAGAAACTTGTGTCTTTCTTGCAAGACTTTGCTGAAGATTGCATGAAAGCTGCCCCAGGCCAGGCATGGTAGCTCACACCTGTAGTCCCAGCAAGTTGGGAGGATCGCTGAAGTCAGGAGTTTGAGACCAGCCAGGGCAACATAGTGAGGTTCCATCTCTACAAATAAAATAGTAATAATAGCCAGGCATGGTGGCTGTAGTCCCACCTACTCAGGAGGCTGAGTCCCCAGGTACTCATCTGTAGTCCCAGCTACTCAAGAGGTTGAGGTGGGAGGTTGGCTTGAACCCAGGAGTTCAAGGCTGCAGTGAGCTATGATTGTGCCACTGCACTCCAGCCTGGGTGACACAATGAGACCCTGTCTCTAAAAGAGAAAGAAAGCTTCCCCATATTCCAATATTCTGGTCCTTAGGAGACACATGGTTAGAGTTCCATGAAAAAATCAGTAACTATTTATTTATTTATTTATTTATTATTCATTTATTTTTGAGATGGAGTCTCGCTCTGTTGCCCAGGCTGGAGTATAGTGTGGCACGATCTCGGCTCACTGCAATCTCCACCTCCCGGGTTCAAGTGATTCTCCTGCCTCAGCCTCCCAAGTGGCTAGGATTACAGGTGCCCTCCACCATGCCCGGCTACTTTTTGTATTTTTAGTAGAAATGGGGTTTCACCATGTTGGCCAGGATGGTCTCAAACTCCTGACCTCAGTGAGCCGCCCATCTCAGCCTCCCAAAGTGCTGGGATTACAAGTGTCAGCCACCGCGCCTGGCCAGGCAACAATTTAATCCGCTGGTTTTCTTCCACATAACTCTAGTTTTCTGGGGGAAAGCTCTTTTACAAAGCCCCGTATACATCTAGACAGGTCGTGCATTGCATAACTTAAGGTGCCCTATTCACTTTATAGTCCATGTATGTGGCAACCCTGGCTCTCTATCCCATCTTTCTTTAGTTTGTTCCACATTTTAGGGTTTTTTTTAAAAGATTTTTTTTATTACTCTTTCCTTTCCAGGTAATAATTCCTAAATTAGTCAAGACTGTCACGGATGCAAAGAACAGACATCCACTAAAACCAGCTCAAACACCCAGAACATTTGTTGGTTTGTGGTACAGGAAAGAATGAGTTCTGTGGCTTCAGGTACGGCTATATCCAGGAGCTCAACAAATATAGCCAGAGCTATCTCTCTGACTCTTACTTGTACATCTTGGTGCATATTGTCCTCAGTCTGCAGACCGTTCTTTTGAACAACTGGGGAAAGTGGCTGCAGGCAGAATGAGCCCCCTGTGGCTCATAACCCCAGAAGTAGAGTGAGAACCTCCAATGTCACCTTCTCAACCCATACCTAATTATTGTGGCCAGGGGATAGGGGCCCTTTGATTAGAGTCCAGCTCACGTGGGACTGGGAAGGGGTGTTAGACACATGTGCATCTGGAGTAGTGGAGGGGACCCCACAAAGGAAAAGAAAGTACTGTTAGATTCTGAGCCAAAGAAACAACAGATGTCATCACATGTATTTGTAATGGGATCATCCAGGAAGTGTCAGGATAAGGAACCAGGGGCATAATCCAATTGAAGTTATCTCCAATCTCTCAGATCTGCTGTGGGCTCTGCGGAAAGATGGAAAGCAGGTCTCAGGCTGAGTCTAACACACATCTAGAAGGTTCAGGAAGGAAGAAGGAACCATAGGGTGTCTCTATAAGGAGGACATGGGGACAGAGGAGTATCTTATAGAATTTGGGCTTGTACTTGGTGGTTTGCATTTTTTGTTTTGTTTTTGTTTTTGAGACGGAGTCTCGCTCTGTTGCCCAGGCTGGAGTGCAGTGGTGCAATCTCGGCTCACTGCAACCTCCACCTCCTGGGTTCAAGCAATTCTCCTGCCTCAGCCTCCCGAGTAGCTGGGATTACAGGTGCCTGCCACCACGCCTGGCTAATCTTTGTATTTTTAGTAGAGACAGGATTTCACCATGCTGGCCAGGCTGGTCTCAAACTCCTGACCTCAAGATCCACCCGCCTTGGCCTCCCAAAGTGCTGGGATTACAGGCATGAGCTACCGCACCCAGCCTATACTGGGTGGTTTTACAGAGAATTACTAGGGTGGTATTGTCGGGAACCTGGGAGCGCTTTGCTGACTAGGTATTTCAGTGATTTTTGTCTCAGAGGTGGGAGGATGGCAGTTGGGTTGGAATTGTCGTCGGTAAGAAGTGGCAGTCATTTGTGTTCACTTGGAGAGGGGGATGAGAACTCATTTTTGTGGTTGCACAGGGCCCATGTCTCTATCTTGGTTCAGACATGGTCACAGAGTGGCCTTGCCTCATCATTGTTTATATTCTGTGACCATTGTTTATATTTAGTGGAGAACATCGCGGCCCAGCCATCAGGAGCTGATTTCCACTCTCTCTCCTGGCTGGCAGCGGGGATCTGTGTCTCCAAGGAAAGTTTGCCCCGAGCCCTTCCCGGCCCGGCGTAGGGTTCTCCGGAAACCATCACTCACATCTAGCACTTGGAGGCCTCCAGGGACAGCGGTGACCCACCATCTGGGTAGGAGGCTGAAAACACTAGAGGAGGAATATCCCAAATCTGTGCCTTGGCGGGTGTTACCCAGAAAGGGTGACGGGTTTCACCATGCAAAAAGGAAAAATTGGAGGAAGGCCAGGTTAAGCAAAAATAGACATGTTTTTAGATTGCAGAGCTGAGAGGCTTGGCTGTGCCTATGTGCGCTGCAAGTCTCCAAGAACAACATGTGTAGAGTTTTACGAACAAAGATAGAGTCAGAGACATGGGCAGGAGGCAGAGACAGAGAGAGAGAGACAGACAGACACAGAGAGAGATAGAGGCAGAGAAAGCAACAGAGGCAAAGAGATTGGAACACAGAGAAAGAGATGGGGACAGAGACACAGAGAAAGGAACAGAGATGGGAAGACAGGGACAGAGACAGAGAATGAACAGAGATAGAGAGATAGGGACGGAGAGAGACAGAGAGAGGGACAGGGATGGAGAGAAAGAGATAGGGCCAGGGCCACAGAGGGACTGAGACAGGCCCAGGAGGAGACTAGGGATGGGGCCAGGGCTGCGTGCGGGCGGGGCACGGTGCAGACAAAGGCGCGGCCGCGCGGTCGGGGTGGCCTGGCCGGGGACAAAGGCCTGCCCGGGGGGCGGGGGCAGCGATGGCGACGGCCGCGGCGGGCGCGGGCGAACTACAAGTCCCAGCAGCTCCCGCTGCGGCCCTCGGCCGGCCCCTCTCGCTCCCCGGGAGCGCCTGGCGGGGCCGCTGGGCCGAGGGGGCCGCCGGCGGGGCTGGCGGGCGGGGGGCTTCCTGCGGGCCCGGGGGGAGCCGGCGGCCGGCGCGGGCGCGGCGGGCCGGGCAGGGGCGAGGGGCGCCGGGTGAGTGTCCCTGCGAGCGGGCTGGGGCCGGGGCGGGGGGCTGGGTGGGGGGCGGGCGGGCGGGGGAGCTCCAGGCGCGGGGCGCAGCCCGGGGCGACCTCTAATCGTCCCCCGCCCTGCGCGCCGCCGGCCCTGGCCCAGGCGAGCGGGGGTCGCGGGAGCGATGGGGAGGGGACTCTGCGGCCAGCTCCGGCCTAGCGCACCCATCCCGCCGCTGGGGCCCGGGGGGAAAGGGCCAGGAGGTTGGGAGCCTTCAATCGGGCGGGGTGGGGGGCGCCCGCCAGCTCTGGGGTCTGGAGCTCAGGACGCCCCCTCCCTAGGAGGCGATCCAGGACCCCCTCCCCTCCTGATTCGAGGTATTGTTCCCACCTCCCGCCTGGGGTCTGGAGTTCAGGAGGCCCTGTCCTCAAAAGGGGGACCTAGGGGTTCCCTCTTCCCCCAGGACCCTAGGAAGGGTCCCAGCGATTGTTCCCTTGCCCCTCCAGTCTTGGGGTCTGCAGTTCTGGAAGCTCCTTTCCCTGGAGGTGATCCAGGGGTCCACCTGCCCTCACCCCTGGGAACTCAGGAAAGACTTAAGTGATTTCTCCTCCCACCTTCCAGTTAAGAGATGGGAATTCAGGGGGCTCCTTCCCCTGGAGGCAATCTAAGGGTTCCTCTGCCCCTGATGCAGGAGGGGTCCCAGGTCTTGTTTCCCCCACTCTCCAACTATGGGGTCTGGGTTGAGGACCGCCGTCCAGGAACTCGGCTCTGTTTGCCTGCACACTCCCAGCTATGGGGTTGTGGCTCAGTGTATTCCTTTCCCCAGAAGGGGAGCCACAGGTCCCCCCACAGCTTCTCCCAGGAGCAGATCATTCATTGTTGACACCTCAACACCCAGCCATGGGGTGGGGAGCTCAAGGCATCCTCCCGGCAGGTCATCCTGGGCTCCCATTGCTCCCCAGAAGTGGTTCCAGCTTTTGTCCCTCTACCTCCCAGTCTGCCCCTAGCCACAAGCTGGCAATTCAGTTCAGGATCCTTCCTGCAGGAAGGGCTACAAGTGTGCTGACACTACCCGCCATGTCCCAGCCATGGGAGGAGATGACTCAGGCGTTCCCCCATTAACTTCAGAGGGTCCCCAGGTATTATTTTTGCCTATCCTCCAGCTAGAAGTTAAAATGCAGGACCTTCTAGCCAATAGGGAAAACAGGTATACTGGCCGGGCATGGTGGCTCATGCCTGTAATCACCATACTTTGGGAGGCTGAGGTGGGAGGATCATTTGAGCCCAGGAGTTTGAGTCCAGCCTGGGCAACATACCAAGACCCCATCTCAAACATAAATAAATAAATAAAACAGGTATACTAACAACTGTCCCCACCATCCTGCCTATGGGGTTCATGAGTCTCCCTACCCATCCCTCCTCACCAGGAGGGGTCCCAAATATCACTCTACCATGCTCACTATCTGGCTGTAGGAAAGGGCATTTCCGATCTGTCTAAGAGAGAGGATTTGACACTGACTCCCACCTGGAGCTGTGAGCTCTGGAATTCAGGTTTTCTTTTCCCCAGAGGGCAAGCCAGAGTCTTCTTGTCTTTCCCCAGTGACTTGGGAGGGATACCTGATGTTATTTGTTCCATATTCTTATCCCCCAGACATGGGTTCTAGAGCTCAGAATGCTGCTGCTGGAGGGGGGCCTCCCTACCAGAACTCGCCCCCTAAATTAATCTGCCGCCTCCAAGTATGGGACAAGAATTCAGGCCATGTGCTCAGGAGCACAGAAACGCTGACACCCACACTGTTCCCCATGTGGGGACGCCCAGCAAGGGGGTAGGAAGCTAGGACTGTCTCCTCCACAGGACCCCAGCTTCCCACAAGAGGAGCCCAGGTTGGAGAGAGGTGCAGAGCCATGGAGTTGGGGACTAGAAACCTCTAGTGCTGGGTCTCATGACCTCCGTCCAGGTTTGGGGCTGAGAGGGGAGGGTCCTACCATGTCCCACCTGGTTCCCTCAACTCCCTGCCCTGGCTGGGGTAAGTCAGAAATCTCCTTGCAGTCAGAGACAAGGGAAGGATCCACGTGTATGCTCAGAAGTGAGTGGGGTTTGGCCAGGCACAGTGGCTCATGCCTGTAATCCCAGCACTTTCTGAGGCCAAGGCCAGAGGTTTGCTTGAGTCCAGGAGTTTGATACCAGCCTGGGCAACATAGCGACACCCCATCTCAAAAAAGAGAGACAGAGGGAGAGAGAAAGGAAAGAAGGAAGGAAAGAAGGAAGAAGAGAGAGAAGGAAGGAAAAGAAGGAAGGAAGGAAAGAAAGAAAGAAAGAGAGAGAGAGAGAAAGAAAGAAAGAAAGAAAGAAAGAAAGAAAGAAAGAAAGAATTGAAGTTAGCTGAGTGTGGTGGTGCATCTGTAATTCCAGCTACTTGAGAGGCCGAGGTGGGAGGATCGCTTGAGCCCGGGAGTTCCAGTCTGCAGTGAGCTATGTATGATCACATCACTGCACTCTAGCCTGGGTGACAGAGTGAGACCCCATCTCAAAAAAATAAAAATAAAGAAGTGGGGCTGGGCGCGGTGGCTCACGCCTGTAATCCCAGCACTTTGGGAGGCTGAGGCATGCAGATCACCTGAGGTCAGGAGTTTGAGACCAGCCTGTCTAACATGCTGAAATCCCATCTCTACTAAAAATACAAAAATTAGCCAGGCATGGTGGTGGACACCTGTAATCCCAGCTACTCAGGAGGCTGAGGCAGGAGAGTTGTTTGAACCTGGGAGGCGGAGGTTGCAGTGAGCCGAGATGGTACCTTTGCACTCCAGCCTTGGCAACAGAACGAGACCCCATCTCAAAAAAAAAAAAAAAAAAAAAAAGAAGTGGGTTCTGGGGGCACAATCGGGTCCCGTCTCTCATCCCTAACCAGACTCCAAAAGACACCCCCGCTCCCACAGAACCCACCTACCCTCTACCCTCTATCCTTGCCCTTGCAGGTCTTGCCCCAGAAGCTGCGGGCACATCCACGCCTGAAATGCGGCGCTCAGTCCTGGTCAGGAACCCAGGCCACAAAGGCCTGAGACCCGTTTATGAAGAGCTCGACTCTGACTCCGAGGACCTAGACCCCAATCCTGAAGATCTGGACCCGGTTTCTGAAGACCCAGAGCCTGATCCTGAAGACCTCAACACTGTCCCGGAAGACGTGGACCCCAGCTATGAAGATCTGGAGCCCGTCTCGGAGGATCTGGACCCCGACGCCGAAGCTCCGGGCTCGGAACCCCAAGATCCCGACCCCATGTCTTCGAGTTTCGACCTCGATCCAGATGTGATTGGCCCCGTACCCCTGATTCTCGATCCTAACAGCGACACCCTCAGCCCCGGCGATCCAAAAGTGGACCCCATCTCCTCTGGCCTCACTGCCACCCCCCAGGTCTTGGCCACCAGCCCCGCGGTGCTCCCCGCCCCCGCCAGCCCGCCCCGGCCCTTCTCCTGCCCGGATTGCGGGCGAGCCTTCCGCCGCAGCTCCGGGCTGAGCCAGCATCGCCGCACGCACAGCGGCGAGAAGCCGTACCGCTGCCCCGACTGCGGGAAGTCCTTCAGCCACGGTGCCACCCTGGCTCAGCACCGTGGCATCCACACTGGGGCGCGGCCGTACCAGTGCGCGGCCTGCGGCAAGGCCTTCGGCTGGCGCTCCACGCTGCTGAAACATCGCAGCAGCCACAGCGGGGAGAAGCCGCACCACTGCCCGGTGTGTGGCAAGGCCTTCGGGCACGGCTCGCTCCTGGCACAGCACCTGCGCACGCACGGCGGCCCGCGGCCCCACAAGTGCCCGGTGTGCGCCAAGGGCTTCGGCCAGGGCTCTGCGCTGCTCAAACACCTGCGCACGCACACGGGCGAGCGGCCCTACCCGTGTCCGCAGTGCGGCAAGGCCTTCGGGCAGAGCTCGGCGCTGCTGCAGCACCAGCGCACACACACGGCCGAGCGCCCCTACCGCTGCCCCCACTGCGGCAAAGCCTTCGGGCAGAGCTCCAACTTGCAACACCACCTGCGCATCCACACGGGCGAGCGGCCCTACGCCTGCCCGCACTGCTCCAAGGCCTTCGGCCAGAGCTCAGCGCTGCTCCAGCACCTGCACGTGCATTCGGGCGAGCGTCCCTATCGCTGTCAGCTCTGCGGGAAGGCCTTCGGCCAGGCCTCCAGCCTCACCAAGCACAAACGGGTGCATGAGGGTGCAGCCGCTGCTGCAGCTGCCGCGGCCGCTGCAGCTGCAGCAGCGGCCGCCGGCCTGGGCCTCGGGCCTGGCCTAAGCCCTGCATCCATGATGAGGCCGGGGCAGGTCTCCCTCCTGGGTCCTGATGCTGTTTCTGTGCTCGGCTCTGGCTTGGGCCTCAGCCCTGGCACCAGCTCTGGCCGCAACCCTGACCCTGGCTCTGGGCCGGGCACTCTGCCGGATCCCAGCTCCAAACCCCTCCCCGGCTCCAGATCCACCCCCAGCCCTACTCCTGTGGAATCTTCTGACCCAAAGGCTGGGCACGACGCTGGTCCCGACCTTGTGCCCAGCCCAGACCTTGATCCTGTGCCCAGCCCAGACCCTGATCCTGTGCCCAGCCCTGATCCCAACCCTGTGTCCTGCCCTGACCCCTGTTCTCCCACTCGTGGCACTGTCAGCCCAGCCCTCCCTACCGGCGAGAGTCCAGAGTGGGTACAGGAGCAAGGGGCACTGCTGGGGCCTGATGGCTGAAGGAGACGCCGGCATCCTCGGGGGCCTGGGGAAGTTGTGTGTTGTGCAGTCAGTAAAATCCTCCCACTGCCTCCGGGCTCTGTGTCGTGGCTTGCCTTTTGTGCTTTCTTTCTGAGCACAGCCCCTTGCTCCGGAGATGGGACATTGTGGCCAGGGCCAGCCACAATCTGGAGCTCCAGTGTCCTGGCTTCCTTCTTGGGCCCACCAGCTAGACTTTCCAGCTTAACCCACAGTGTCTCATCCTGGTCCATCCCACTAGTCACCACTCTCTGTTCCTCTCACTTACCCCTTGCTCTTCAAAGCCCATACAGTAGGTATACAAGTGGACAAAAAAAGTTGCTCATTTATGCAATCAACAAACATCTCTGGATTGCTGGGGTCTCAGCAGGGAACAAGATAAATATGGCCTCGACCTGCATGGAGCTCATAGATACTAAATTCAGAATACTTAAAAAATAATTACGGGGTATAGTACATTCTAGGAGAAGCATAACAAGACTTCTGATATAAATGGCAGGCAGCTTTCTCAATGAAGGATTTTGTAATCCCAATAATCACTAATTTAATAATCAGTACTGTTTGCCCAGCCTTATGCGATAGTTTTTGCATTCTCTCATTTAATCCTCTCAACAGCCCCAGTAGGTAGATGACTTTGAATATCCCCATTTTGCAAATGAGAAAATTGAGGCACATTTTTTTTTTTTTTTTTAGACAGTCTTGCTCTGTTGCCCAGGCTGGAGTGCAGTGGTGTGATCATAGCTCACTGCAGCCTCGACCTCCTGGGCTCAAGCGATCCTCCCACCTTAGCCTCCCGAGTAGCTGGGATTGCCGGTGCATGCCACCGCCCACTGCGCTCAGCTTGGAGTTGAAGGGACTCTGGAAGATGTAGAAGTGGCATTGTCAGTGCCTAGATTTAAATCCCAATTGCCCTCCAGGGTCCAAATTCTTAACCATTACGCTCCAGGGCAAAAGTATGCAAAGGCTCTGGGGCTATAGAAAGATGAGCTTTGGATGGAGGTAGGAGCCAGATCAGAGGGCCCTGATAGACGAGAGTGGGGACTCTGCCTGTCATTACAGAGCAATGGGAAGCCGAGGGCAGGTTCTCGCAGGAAGGATAGGAATTATTCTTTGAAGATGCTTGTGGCTGCTGGGTAGAGAGTGGAGTGGAGGGAGGCTGAGATCGGGGAGGAGGTTGCTGCAAAGATCCAGGCCAGGAATGTTGGAAGACTCTGGGCTGGGGGCCATGGGGTGGGGATAAGTGGTTCTATTTGATACATAATTAGGAAATCGTGTTTGCTGAAGATGCGCAGGAGAAGGGTAAAAGGAGTTTCTGGGAGAAAGAGGAAGACAGCGTTGAGATAGTAGGCAGGGTCATCACCAGGCACCAAGGAGGATAAGGGGTCAAGCTCTGGACATGGAAGTCACAAGCCTGGCACCGGATTCGGGGCATGGCCGGGAGCCAGGGCAGAGCTCGTCGTTGCCAAACTCAGAGTCAGCCCATCCCCCGCCACCCAGAGCGCGTCGGCGCTAGGACCTAGCGACTGCCTTCGACCCAGAGGGCGCCGGCAGAGGCACGCATGCGCGCTGTTCCGGCAGGGGTTGTCGTGGCGCAGGGGGCGGGACCAGAGGCGGTCACGTGAGGGGCTCTGGGCTACCGGGTCACGTGACCGAGGCACAGATCAGCTGATGCCGGAGGGTTTGAAGCCGCGCCGCGAGGGAGCGAGGTCGCAGTGACAGCGGCGGGCGATCGGACCCAGGCTGCCCCGCCGTACCCGCCTGCGTCCCGCGCTCCCGCCCCAGCATGACAGCCCCGGCGGGTCCGCGCGGCTCAGGTGAGGGCGCGGGCGGCACCGTGGGGCCCCGAACTCAGGCGGGCGGGCTGTGTCTCCCACCTGGGGCGGCGGAGCTCCTAGTCTCTTTTTTTCTAAGCTCCAGCGCTGACTTTTCACGGTGGAGAAAAGGGCAGACGGCTCCTAGAACTTGGGCGGCGGGTGGGCACCAGCCTCTCCAATTCTTCCTCCTGAACCCAGGCTCTGCTGGGTTCCCAAACTCAGGCAGGGATCGCGCCGGGCCGCCAGCTTCTCCCTCTGGGGCGGCGAGGTTCCTGGGATTCCCACTGGGAGCCTAGGTTCCGATTGCTCAACTTCGTCTGGAACTCAGACAGCGGGCACCAGCTTCTCCAACCCGCACGTGAGACTCCCAGGCTTCCCCTCCTGATTCCAGGGGACAAATGCTCAGCTTCCCTAAGCTCAAGCCTGGAGAGCTGGAGGGATTGCCCCCAGGCGATTAACTCAGTTTTAGCTTTCCAAACCGCTGGAAGCGCAGCCTTCTTAAATTCGGGCTTCTAGCCAATTCTGATGCCACCCCTCCTCGGGGAGGCTGGAGGAAGACCCCTTGTGTTAGCTTCCCCTTCTGGAGCTAGCTGGGGACCCCTACCTGATAGATGTCCCGGTGTCCCAGCTAGTAGGGTCTGGGGTGGGTTAGCTGTAATCTCAGCTCTGTAAGCGGGCCCTGCCCTCTGGCTTTGTCGTAAACAGCCACAGCAGCATCTCATTGCAAAGGGAGGGGCCGGGAACTTGTCCCTCTCTGCAAGGGAGGTTCTGACAGTGCACACATTTATCCTGACTGCTTTGCTAGGCAGGAGGCCAGGCCCTAGAAAGCAGCACGGGGCCAGGCCCTAGAAAGCACATCCCCATGGGGGTGTGACAGGGACAGTTTTGGGCTACTGTGACTGGTTTTGACTCCAGCAGTTGCTGAAAGCTTAGATCTAACCATTAGGCTGGAAAAAAATAAACAGTGATTAGAACAGCTTGTGTTTGCTGAAGAGGTCTTTATCTGCTGTGTCTCACTGAATTCTCAGAGCAGCTTCAGGATCTCAACCTCAAGGCTCAGGGAGAGGGTGGACTTTTTTTTTTTTTAATAAACTTTTTTTTGTTGCCCAGGCTGTAGTGCAGTGGCATAATCCTAGCTCATTGTAACATCGAACTCCTGGGCTCAAGTGATCCTCCCAACTCAGCCTCCCGGGTAGATGGGGTCCCAGCTACTAACTACGGGCATGAGCCGTCACACCTGACTATTTAAAAAAAATGTTTTTTTTTTGTAGACAGGGAGGTCTCGCTGTATTACCTAGGCTGGATCCTCCCACCTTGGCCTCCCAAAGCCGTTGGGATAACAGGCATGAGCCACTGAGCCCAGCCAAGGGGTCGCCTTTTTAAAATTTCCACTCTTCAGATGAGGAGATGGAGGCTCAGGGAGGTACCTGGAGTCAACCTACTGTAAAGTGGCAGGTCTGGGATTTGATGCTAGGGCTGCATGATTTCTAGGAGCTGGTGCTTTTCAGGGAGATAAAATGAGTCTTTAGCGAATGTGTTCCATTATTATTACTTATGTTGTCAATTACCTCTTCTCCAGGTCCTTGGCTTCTGAGAGTGTCAGCTGATGGGCCAGGTTATAATGAACCCAGAGGTCATCTTTTGGGTATTTGTCCAGACAAACCTAGAATACAGGCTGAGTTCTATGCTCATGTCTGGAAGCTGGAGTTGGGATAAGCCCAGCAGGCTTGAACGCCCAGTGAAAAGCCAGTGGGAGCAGTTCATTCTCTCCCCACTGATCAATAACGGGAACATTGATGAAATGTTCTGACATTCACCATGGACCAGCCCCTGTGATCAATGCTTCATAAGCATCCAGTCCTTAGCGTTCCCATGAGACATATTATTGCCCCATTTCGCAGATGAGGAAACTGAGGCTCAGAGAGCTGGTGAGCAGGAGGGGCAGGAATCAGCCCAGGCCCTGTACCTCCCAAACCCAAACTCATAACCTCTGAGCAGGACGGGTGCATAGATACCTACAATGTCACAGGTTTTCTGGTTTTCTTTAGACCTCTCAGAGCTCTTCCTTGGCAGGAGCATGGGGACATGAAGATAGGGCGTGTGCTGCCTTCCTGGTTGGAGAAAGGGGAAAAGGGGAGTTGCCCAGGCCTCACCCCAGTGCCCTCTCCTATTCCCACAGAGACCGAGCGGCTTCTGACCCCCAACCCCGGGTATGGGACCCAGGCGGGGCCTTCACCGGCCCCTCCGACACCCCCAGAAGAGGAAGACCTTCGCCGTCGTCTCAAATACTTTTTCATGAGTCCCTGCGACAAGTTTCGAGCCAAGGGCCGCAAGCCCTGCAAGCTGATGCTGCAAGTGGTCAAGATCCTGGTGGTCACGGTGCAGGTGAGGCCAGCCAAGCAGGGGCCCCAGCTGAAGGCCACCTGTGGCTGCTGTGCTCCTTGAAGAGAGTCTTAAAGCAGCACTTTGGAAGGCCGAGGCCGGTGGATCGCTTGAGGCTGGGAGTTCAAGACCAGTCTGGCCAGCATGGTGAAACCCCATCTCTACTAAAAATACAAAAAAATTAGCCGTGCGTGGTGGCGGGTGCCTGTAATCCCAGCTACTTGGCAGGCTGAGGCAGGAGAATCGCTTGAATTGGGAGGCGGAGGTTGCCGTGAGCTGAAATCATGCCACTGCACTCCAGCCTGGGCAACAGAGCAAGACTGTCTCAAAAAAAAAAAGAAGCCGACTCTGAGGCTCAGAGAGGTTAGGAGACTTGCCCAAAGTCACACAGCAATAGAACATTGGGAGCTGGGATTTGAACCCAGGCAGTCTGACACCATGTTGACCCAATGGCTGCACAGATAGTTCTCCCTCCCCCATGCCAGACCCTGTGCTGGGCTCTGGGAACCCCAAGATGAATCAGACCCAGCCACTGCCCTAAGTGCTTACTTCATGTTTTGGGCTGACTTTAGCATGTCACCATGCCTCTAATTTTCCCTCTGAAAAGGGACCCAATTGTCCAGGCATGGTGGCTCATGCCTGTAATGCCAGCACTTTGGGAGGCTGAGTTGGGTGGATCATTTGAGGCCAGGAGTTTGAGACCAGCCTGGCCAACATTGCAAAACCCCGTCTCTACTAAAAATACAAAAATTAGCTGGGTTTGGTGGCAGGTACCTGTAACTCAGCTACTCAGGAGGCTGAGACAGGAGAATTGCTTGAACCCAGGGGGTGGAGGTTGTAGTGAGCTGAGATCATACCATGGCACTCCAACTTGGGCAACAGAGTGAGACTCTGTCTCAAAAAAGAAAAGAAAAGGGACCCAGTCATGGTACTTACCCTGAAAGTTTGGGTTTAACACAGAATCGGACATCCAGTAAACATTTAATGAACGTTAGTCCCTGCAGTGAGATAGATGAGTCCCCACCCTGTGTTGTACGGGGGAGGACACAGTGGTGGGCGTGGCATGGAGCTTATGCCAGGAGGTGGGGTGAAATTAATCAAAGCAAAGAAATGCACAAGTGAAATCCGTGTTTGTGGCCCAAGTTAGCAGGGCCCTGCCCCACCCCAGTGGACATCTGCAGGGCCCTCCCTGTCCTCTTCCAGGGCCTGTGCCCTGAGGGAGATACACCCCAACCCCCATCCTAGCCATGCCAACCTCTACTACCCTCTCCCCAGCTCATCCTGTTTGGGCTCAGTAATCAGCTGGCTGTGACATTCCGGGAAGAGAACACCATCGCCTTCCGACACCTCTTCCTGCTGGGCTACTCGGACGGAGCGGATGACACCTTCGCAGCCTACACGCGGGAGCAGCTGTACCAGGCCATCTTCCATGCTGTGGACCAGGTGCTGGTGGGCGGGCAGGTGCTGGTGGGCAGGCAGGTGCAGGTGGGCGGGCAGGTGCAGTTGGGCGGGCAGGTGCTGGTGGGCGGGCAGGTGCAGGTGGGTGGGCTGCAGAGAGCGGGCCGGACTCACAGGCCCTCCCCTTCTCTGCCCACAGTACCTGGCGTTGCCTGACGTGTCACTGGGCCGGTATGCGTATGTCCGTGGTGGGGGTGACCCTTGGACCAATGGCTCAGGGCTTGCTCTCTGCCAGCGGTACTACCACCGAGGCCACGTGGACCCGGCCAACGACACATTTGACATTGATCCGATGGTGGTTACTGGTGAGTGGGCAGGACGAGGCTTCACTGTTGGGAGCCTGAGCTGCTGGGATTAAAATCAACAGCTGTGGCTGGGCACGGTGGCTCACGCCTATAATACCAGCACTTTGGGAGGCTGAGGAGGAAGGATTGCTTGAGGCCAGAAGTTTGAGACCAGCCTGGGCCACGTAGGAAGACCTTGTCTCTACGCACAAACAAATTAGCTGGGCGTGGTGGCGTGCCCCTGTGGTCCCAGCTACTCAGGAGGCTGAGGCAGGAGGATCGCTTGAGTCCGGGAGGTTGAGGCTGCAGTAAGCTATGACCACGCTGCTGCACTCCACCCTGGGTGACAGAGTGAGACCCTGTCTCAAAAAAAAAAAAAAAAAAAAAAAACAAGTATGCTTAGTGTGAGTGTGACTCTTGCCACGTAGAAAGCACCAGATGTTATATTTTAATATGGCTCATTCAGTAAAACATCCGCAGGCCCAGAGAGTGCCAGGCCTGTAGGAATGACCCAACCCTGGGGAAGCACAGGGAAGAAGGCCACTGGGGACTCTGGGGAGACCAGCCTGGCCTCCCCGGCCCCCTGAGGCCCTTCCCTGACTCCCTGTCCTTAGACTGCATCCAGGTGGATCCCCCCGAGCGGCCCCCTCCGCCCCCCAGCGACGATCTCACCCTCTTGGAAAGCAGCTCCAGTTACAAGAACCTCACGCTCAAATTCCACAAGTACTGCCTGCTCACTCGAGGGGGGCCCAGGGTGGGGGAGGCAGCACACTAGGCACTCTCACCCCAGCAACTACTTCCCTAAGGTGGGGACAGGGCCCCCCCGCCCGCGCTGGTGCCTGCTGGGTGAGCACTTCCCCTGCCAGCTGCAGAGTCAGCACGTGGCAGGGGACGCTGGCACTTGGGGCCGGAAGGGACCCGAAGACGCCCCTGACCCTCACCCGAGCCTCCTGCCTAGGCTGGTCAATGTCACCATCCACTTCCGGCTGAAGACCATTAACCTCCAGAGCCTCATCAATAATGAGATCCCGGACTGCTATACCTTCAGCGTCCTGGTGAGGCCCCCCGGGAACCCACAGGGCTCCTGAGTTCCAGGGCAGGGACCTGGTCAGGGAGTGTCTTGGGAGCACTGGCCAAGGGCAAGCGTGCGGGTGATGAGGGAGGGAGCCCGGGGTCTGTCAGGCCACCTGTCATGTGGACCTTGGGGCTTGGGGCTGCCAAGGTTTACTCTGCCCCCAACTGGCCCCCACAGATCACGTTTGACAACAAAGCACACAGTGGGCGGATCCCCATCAGCCTGGAGACCCAGGCCCACATCCAGGAGTGTAAGCACCCCAGTGTCTTCCAGCACGGTGAGCCCCTGAGCCCCAGACCAGCACTGACCAGGGGCCCTGGCCTGTCCTGGGATTCCCCAAGCCCCAGATCAGCGCTGCCTGGGGGCCGTGACCTCCCCAGGAATCCGCTGAGCCTCAGATCAGCACAGACCAGGGACCCCGTCCTGTGCTGAGATCCCCCAAGCCCCAGACCAGCACTGACCGGGGTTCTTGACTCACCCCAAGCAAGCCCTGAGCCCACTGACCAACCAAAACCAGCCGTGCAGCCCCCTAGGTCTCCAGCCTGGCCTGGCACCAATGCTAGCCTCCCAAGGCTCCATGCCATCCTTGGCCCTACCCGCTCTGCCCTCCCCGCAGGAGACAACAGCTTCCGGCTCCTGTTTGACGTGGTGGTCATCCTCACCTGCTCCCTGTCCTTCCTCCTCTGCGCCCGCTCACTCCTTCGAGGCTTCCTGCTGCAGAACGTGAGGCTTCTGCGTCATGTGTGCTGGTGTCCTCCCCGCCTGGCCCTGGGGCGATAAAAGCCAGGGCTTTGAGGGTCCTGTGCCTGGTCAGGCCCTCACCCCGCCTGCCTTCTGCAGGAGTTTGTGGGGTTCATGTGGCGGCAGCGGGGACGGGTCATCAGCCTGTGGGAGCGGCTGGAATTTGTCAATGGCTGGTACATCCTGCTCGTCACCAGCGATGTGCTCACCATCTCGGGCACCATCATGAAGATCGGCATCGAGGCCAAGGTGCGTCCTGCCAACACCCTGGGCCCCAGGTCCCATCCCTGCTGTCAGTGCCTATCCGGGGCCATATCCTCCCCCAGGCCCCCCAAAGGAAGGGCTGGGCCAGATAGGTTGACGCAGCTCCCACCCGCAGAACTTGGCGAGCTACGACGTCTGCAGCATCCTCCTGGGCACCTCGACGCTGCTGGTGTGGGTGGGCGTGATCCGCTACCTGACCTTCTTCCACAACTACAATGTGAGTTTTGCACATGCAGCTGGGCCTTCCACATGGTTACTCCACACCCTCCAAATAAATCCCTACACACGCAGCCCTCACCAGCCCCGGCCAATGGCCCCTTGCAAGCCTCCTCCTCCTACCTGCCCACACCAGATATATCTGTCACTGCACCTGCGCGGGGCCCCGGGAGCCTGCTCCTTTGTGCCCACCCAGCTGAGTCTAGCCGTGCGTTGCCCTCGGACCCCCTCAGACGTGGCCACGCCCCCTCTAGGCACCCACTGGCTCCCATGACCACACCGGCTGTGCCCTCGGCAAGGCCCCGCCCCTCCCACCCCCATCTGGGTGCCCACAGCTGACCTGAGTTGTGGCCACACCCTCAACGAGGCTCCCTCTGCCCCAACCCAGATCCTCATCGCCACACTGCGGGTGGCCCTGCCCAGCGTCATGCGCTTCTGCTGCTGCGTGGCTGTCATCTACCTGGGCTACTGCTTCTGTGGCTGGATCGTGCTGGGGCCCTATCATGTGAAGGTACATCTAACCCCTGATGTCCCTGACATTGACCCTGTGACCTTGTCATTGACACTGTGACCCCCAGATGACCCCTTGGTGACTGCTGGGAGTCTGTCCACTGTCCCCTGTGGTCCTTGGTGACCCTGACACTGACCCTGTGCCATTATTGTTGTCACAGTTGTTGATGACCCTATTTCGACCTGAATTACTCCCCTCCTGCTCTATCTACCCAGACCCTAGGTCGGCCCTGTGGCCCTGTCATTGACCCGTGGTCCCGGCCATTCACATGGGACCCCAGCCTGGGACCTGGCCATTCACATAGTGACCCCAGCCTGGGACCCGGCCATTCACGTGGGACCCCAGCCTGGGTCCCGGCCATTCACGTGGGACCCCAGCCTGGGACCCGGCCATTCACAGGGGCCCTAGCCTGGAACCCGACCATTCACATGGTGACCGCAGCCCGGGACCCGGCCATTCATGTGGGGCCCCAGCCACCAGCTCCTAGCCATTTGCATGGGACCCCAGCCTGACCCCAGCCCCCGGTTCCTGGCCATGCCTTGGCTCCCTCTGACCCCGCCGCCCCTCTGGCAGTTCCGCTCACTCTCCATGGTGTCTGAGTGCCTGTTCTCGCTCATCAATGGGGACGACATGTTTGTGACGTTCGCCGCCATGCAGGCGCAGCAGGGCCGCAGCAGCCTGGTGTGGCTCTTCTCCCAGCTCTACCTTTACTCCTTCATCAGCCTCTTCATCTACATGGTGCTCAGCCTCTTCATCGCGCTCATCACCGGCGCCTACGACACCATCAAGGTCAGCCGCATGCACCCAGCCCTGAGCTCGGGCTCTGGGTGCCCTGGAGTCTGCCATGAGGGGGTCTTGGGGACACCGCAGGGTGAACAGAGAAGACCCAGGAGAGAATATGGGAGACTCTATGAAACCAAAAAGAGGGTGGTTCAGAACTGGGGGGCGCAGGGGGATGTCAAGGTGGGCTTGGGCCAGGAGGGGGCCTGAGTCAGTCTTTGCCAACAGGGCAACCGAGTCATAGAGTTTATTTATTTATTTGTTTATTTGAGACGGAGTCTTGCTCTGTCACCCAGGGTGGAGTGCAGTGGTGCGATCTTGACTCACTGCAACCTCCACCTCCCGGGTTCAAGCAATTCTGTCTCAGCCTCCTGAGTAGCTGGGACTACAGGCACACGCCACCACGTCCAGCTAATTTTTGTATTTTTAGTAGAGATGGCATTTCACCGCATTGGTCAGGCTGGTCTCAAACTCCTGGCCTCAGGAGATCTACTGCCTTGGCCTCCCAAAGTGTTGGGATTACAGGCGTGAGCCACCACGCCCGGCCTATTTTATTTTATTATTAAAGTATTGTTCTTTATTTTATTAGAGACAAGGGTCTCACTGTGTTACCCAGGCTGGTTTCAAACTCCTGAGGTCAAGTGATCCTCCCACTTTGGCCTCCCAAAGTGCTGGGATTACAGGCGTAAGCCACCACACCCAGCCTATTATTATTATTTTTTTTTTGAAATGGAATCTTACCCTGTGGCCCAGGCTGGAGTGCAATGGCATGATCTCGGCTCACTGCAACCTCCACCTTCTGAGTTGAAGCGATCCTTGTGCCTCAGCCTCCTGAGTAGCTGGGATTACTTGCACGTGCCACCACACCTGGCTAATTTTTGTATTTTTACTAGAGATGGGGTTTCACCACGTTGGCCAGGCTGGTCTCGAACTCCTGACCTCAGGTGATCCACCTGCCTTGGCCTCCCAAGGTGCTGGGATTTCAGGCATGAGCCACTGAACCCAGCTAAGTCATACAGTTTCAATGACCTTGTCATTGACCCTGGGACGTTGCCATTAACATGGTGATCCTCAGCTGGCCCCATTCCTATGGCGGACCTCTAAAAACCCAACCCTGACCCCAGCCCCCAGCCATGCCCCCGACTCCCTCTGACCCTGCCCAAGGTTAGCTTCTTTATTTATTTATTTTTTTTGAGACGGAGTCTCGCTGTGTCACCCAGGCTGGAGTGCAGTGGTGCAATCTCGGCTCACTGCAACCTCTGCCTCCCGGGTTCAAGCGATTCTCCTGCCTCAGCCTACTGAGTAGCTGGGATTATAGGCACACGCCACCATGCCTGGCTAATTTTTGTATTTTTAGTAGAGATGGGGTTTCACCATGTTGACCAGGCTGGTCTCAAACTCCTGACCTTGTGATCCGCCCACCTCAGGCTCCCAAAGTGCTGGGATTACGGGCGTGAGCCACTGTGCCCGGCCCAGGTTAGCTTCTGAGCAGTAAAACTGGGCTCAACCCAGGGCTGTCTGATTCCAGAAGCCGTGCTCCTAACCCCTCTGTCCTCAGTTTAGTAGGGTGGCTGGGAACAGTGGTTTCCCTGCAAGCTGCAAGGGTCAGGGGACAGAGCAGGATGCGGAAGTGGCAGGTAGATAGGATTCTTTCAGCAGATATATCTAAGGGCCAAGATCTGTGCTGGGTTCTGGGCATGGAGGAAAATCAGGTGTGCATGATCCGTCCAAGGCCTGTGGGCAAGGATGGCACAGGAACAGACATCCCATGACCAATGACCTACTTGTAACAGGTATGAAGGAAGAGTGGAAGGTTGCAGAGGGACCCCTGCTTTAGATTGGTATGACAGGAGATCCAGGAGAGCTTCTAGAATGTTCTATCCATCACTAGTCTCTAGCCCTATGCAGCTATTTAAATTTTGATTTTAATTCCGGCTGGGCACGGTGACTCACGCCTGTAATCCCAGCCCTTTGGGAGGCCGAGGGGGGGTGGGGGTGGATCACCTGAGGTTAGGAGTTCGAGACCAGCCTGGCCAACATGGCAAAACCCCATCTCTACTAAAAATACAAAAAATTAGCGGACGTGGTGGCAGGCACCTGTAATCCCAGCTACTCCGGAGGCTGAGGCAGTAGAATTGCTTGAACCTGGGACGTAGAGGTTGCAGTGAGCCGAGATCAAGCCACTGCACTCCAACGTGGGCGAGAGACCGAGACTCTGCTTCAAAGACAAAACAACAATTTTTTAAAAATTTTAATTCAAATGAAGTACAATTGCAAATTTAGCCTCTGACTTGCACCATCCTGTATCCAGTGCTCAAAAGCCAGTGTGGCTGGTGGCTGCCATATTGGACAGCATAGATATTGAATACTTCCATCGCCTCTAGACTGAAGAGATGGGAGCCCAGGGGCAGTGCACCGAGGGGAAGGAATAGCTAAAGCAAAGGTCTAGTAGCCTGAAAAAACTTGGAGAAAAGATGGCCCCTCCATGAGGCCGAGTGAGAGGAAGGAAGCCTTGGCTGGGACCCTGCCACATCCAATGTCACCGGCAGATGGGTACACCCCCTTTTCCCCATGCATGGATTCAGCTGTCCCACAGACACATTGACTCAGGCCCTTGGAACTACTTCCTGTCTTGCCTTAGCACGTAGACATCACACACATGCATCCACTCAGGTGGGCAGTCTCAGGCCCTGCTCCCACTGCTGTGCTCAGCGTGCATCCAGCTCACTCAATAGATGGTTTCTGAGCATCGAGGTCATGTCAGCCCTGGCTCTAGGTCTGTAGGTGCTGGACCTACAGCAGAAGGCAAAGACACAGACTGGCAAAGACACAGCTTGTATCCAGGTTCAGGGGTCAGGGAAGGTCCCTCTGTGCAAGCAAACTGTGGAACAACGGGTGGAGCAGGCCCAGCAAGTGCAAAGGCCCGGAGGTGGGAAGCGATGCAGATATGGCTGGAGGGGAGGGCGGACTTCAAGGGCCTTGGAGGTTGGGAGCCACTTTCAGGCTGAGCCTCCCGGCTTCTCTCCCCAGCATCCCGGCGGCGCAGGCGCAGAGGAGAGCGAGCTGCAGGCCTACATCGCACAGTGCCAGGACAGCCCCACCTCCGGCAAGTTCCGCCGCGGGAGCGGCTCGGCCTGCAGCCTTCTCTGCTGCTGCGGAAGGTTCGAGTCCCGGGTCTGGCACATTCAGATTGGAGGTTAGGGAATGGGGAAAGGGGAGCGAGCCAGAGAAAACTGACGCCCCTCTTCCCTGCTTCCTTCCTCCAGGGACCCCTCGGAGGAGCATTCGCTGCTGGTGAATTGATTCGACCTGACTGCCGTTGGACCGTAGGCCCTGGACTGCAGAGACCCCCGCCCCCGACCCCGCTTATTTATTTGTAGGGTTTGCTTTTAAGGATCGGCTCCCTGTCGCGCCCGAGGAGGGCCTGGACCTTTCGTGTCGGACCCTTGGGGGCGGGGAGACTGGGTGGGGAGGGTGTTGAATAAAAGGGAAAATAAATGTGTCGTTTTCATTTTTAGCGGGAGGAGCAGTCCTTGCGTTAAGCGGTGTGAGGCCCTTTAAGGCGCGGCCACACTCAGCATGGCGGCCTCAGTCGGCCTTCCAAGCATGGCGCGGGGAGGAGGGGTGGGAGGGTCGGGAGGGACTGCGGTGCGACTAGGAGTGAATAATTTAAAGGGGCCGTGCCTGCGGAGCCGGGCGGAACGCTAGCGGTGTTGGCGCGGAGTGGACCCCGGCTGCGGCCCCTGGGTGAGTCTGGGTTTCCGTTAGCCTCGCAGGGGTGTCCCTTCGAGGGTCGTTAGCGAGCCTCCGCTTTCCCACGATCTGTCCTCCGATTCCTGTTAACTCTAGACTTTCTGATGTTCCCATACCCCCCACGTCTCGGCAGGTGTTTCCACACCGGTAGCCAGCTGTGCCCTGAGGTGGAAGAGGACCGGCCACCCAGGAATTTTCCAAGTAACGACTCGGAGTCTCCGGGATTCCTATCTCCCGGCCCCCGAATTTCCATTAATATTCTAGCGATGTCAGAAACATCCTCAGCTTCCCAGAAAAATCCCAGTAATATTCCAGCATCTCTCAGTATCTTCCAAGGAGCCCGGACGCCCTCCCCAGGCCCGCTCTCATAAGCACCCCAGGAATGTGCCCACCCACCTCCTGGTTTTCCCAGCAGTAGTATTGTAATCCTCAGAATCTCAGTAACTTTCCAGTGACCCCGCATCCCCACCCACTAATCCCAGCGTCTCTGGTTACGCCTCCCAGCAATGGCGCCACCATCGGTCCCGGAGTCCCAGTGATGCTCTGTGCCATAGAGCCCCCATAACTTCACTACTACGTGATAGTAAATCCCCGGCAAAAACCAGCAGCGCCTTGCAAGCCCACGCCACCCCAAGCATCCCAGGACTCTTCTGAAACGTGGGTATCAGACGCCTTCCGCGGATGCCCCGGCAGTACTCCCGTGCCTCCCAGCTCCTGGGTCTTCCCCGGGGCAGGCTTGCGTCGGGAGCCGAGTATCTAGGTGCCCACTCCCGGACCCCACGGTTTGCGGGCCCGTTTTCCTGGGGTGGGGCATTCAGTCTTCGACGGAGTAGGGGGTGCGGCCTGGGGGGTGGGGTGGTCAGGCTTGATCAACCCTGCAGAGGGCAGTGACCCGGGAGGAAGTCACCAGGTGCAGAGGACCGTGCCCTGTGGGGACCTGCCTGCAGGCTGCTGACAGTGGGTACCAGGTCGGCCTTTGGCCCCGGGGTGGGGTTGGACAGGCGGGCGTCTGGTAGGCCCTACGCGTAGGCGAAGGGAGCAGGAAGCCGGGGACCCGCCTCATCTCCTGGCCAGGGCCGAGAGGTCGGTTTGCTCCATCCCTTAGTCCCGCAGCGCCCCTCTAGCCTCGCCCCTGGCAGCTGGAGACGCTTCCCCCGCCACCCCAGAGGGCAGGGCTTGAGCTGGGGGCAGGGCTTGAGGCAGGGGAGAGGTGGGCCCAGATTGACGACTTGCACGGGTTCCTTCGACTCCTTGATTTCCCAGGACTCCGGGCTACCAGATCGGCCGTCCAGCTGGAATCAACCGATGGAGGCTCCGCTGCAAACTGGAATGGTAAGGGGTGGGGCGGAGACCGGGTAGGTGCCGGCGTGGGGCGCCAAGAGGACTACAACTCCCGGCGTGCTCAGCGCGCATTACGTGGTCTGGCGATAACGCGCTGCGTCCGCTCGGGCGGAACTACGTTTCCCGGCATGCACTGCGGGCCGCCGGGCCTCAGGGAAGAGTCGCGCCCCCGGGGAGGGAGCAGCACTGGCCCATTCTGCAGATGGGGACATCGAGTCACGGGCTGGCTACGAACTCCTCGGGGGCGAAGGTGGCGGAGAGGGATGGGTTCCAGGACGTCCTGGCGCCCGGGGAAGGCTCGGCGGGACGGATTTGCGGTGCGCAGCCAGTGCCGTTCGTCCCTCAGGTGCTTGGCGTGATGATCGGGGCCGGAGTGGCGGTGGTGGTCACGGCCGTGCTCATCCTCCTGGTGGTGCGGAGGCTGCGAGTGCCAAGTGAGCACCCGAGGGGCCCCTCTTGGGAGGCTGTATGGTGGGGGGCCCAAATGCCCGGGTCCCGAGGCGGCAGAGATGGGGATTTGCTGGCGTCTGTTCGCGGTACCCCAGCTCTGGCAGGGTGGAGTCTGCACAGAGCTCGGAGTGCCCCTGTCCCCACCTATCCCCAGAAACCCCAGCCCCGGATGGCCCCCGGTATCGGTTCCGGAAGAGGGACAAAGTGCTCTTCTATGGCCGGAAGATTATGCGGAAGGTGAGTCCGGGACCCCTGGGGTCCGCCCTGACCACACAGAGGCCGCGCCCCTTCCCTATTTACACTTCTTAGTGTCCGCCACCGCTCCTTCCTTGATGGAGACCCCCTGGATCCGTCTGCCTCTTCTCCAAGGTCTGAATTAGCAATTCACCCATCTCCGCCTTCATTCTCCCAGGTGTCACAATCCACCTCCTCCCTCGTGGATACCTCTGTCTCCGCCACCTCCCGGCCACGCATGAGGAAGAAACTGAAGATGCTCAACATTGCCAAGAAGTAAGGCTGTGCTGGGTGTGACCTGGTATTAGGGGTTATCTCAGGGGCCTTTTGAGTAATCAGCTTACACCAAAGTGTTGTGGAAGTCTTCCCATATTGGCTGCGCGCTGTGGCTCATGCCTGTAATTCCCAGCACTTTGGGAGGCTAAGGCGGGCAGATCACCTGAGATCAGGAGTTTGAGGCCAGCCTGGCCAACATGGCAAACCTCATCTGTACTAAAAATACAAAAATTAGCTGGGCGTGGTGGCATGGGCCTGTAATCCCAGCTACTCAGAAGGGTGAGACAGGAGAATCACTTGAATCTGGGAGGTGGAGGTTGCAGTGAGCTGAGATCATGCCACTGCACTCCAGCCTGGGCAATAGAGTGAGACTCTGTCTCAAAAAAAAAAAAAAAAAAAAAAAAAAGAAGAAGAAGAAGAAGAAAGTCTTCCTGTTTCAGAGAGACATCTCTGGACTCTCCTCTCAGAGCTCTTCCACACCAGACATGCTGTCTCTAGGGTATCTCTTCCCTGAGGGCTACCTCAGTGACCTTCTCCTTCCACTGGAGTATCTGAGCTATTTGTTCCCAAGTCAATATCTCAGAGGTCTTGCCATATACTTAGTGGGGGGGTCTACATCAGGGGTTTCCATGTAGGTTATTTCATGAGTCTCTTCACATGAGTGGTTTTCTTCCAGGGTACCTCACTGAGGTAATTGTGTTTCTACGATCTCCTAAAGGGGCTATCTCCAGCCTCCAGCCTCTCTTCTCCGGGGGTTATCTCAGGCATCTCTGTACATCAGAAGGCATCTTTCCTATGTTATGGACCTTGAAGTTCTTCCCACACTAAGGAGGCTGTCTCAGGAGTTTCTGTTCCCTAGGGGCTATCTTATGAATTTTCTTGCACTAGAAATATAGGAAGGATGCATCAGAGATCCCTGTTGGCAGCAAGGTCTGCGAGAAAGGCTCTCCAACTCTCTTTGCAAGTTGGGTGCTGGCTCTGGGATCCCTGTGCGTCATGTAGTCTACCTGGAGGTCTGCCTCAAGGGTTTCTTCACACCAGGGCAGGGCTCTCCATGATCAATAGTCCTGCAATGGCAGTCCTTTCTTTTTTGTTTGTTTGTTTGTTTGTTTTTGAGATGGAGTCTTGCTCTGTCACTAGGCTAGAGTGCACTGGCACGATCTCGGCTCACTGCAACCTCCACCTCCTCGGTTCAAAAGATTCTCCTGCCTCAGCCTCCCGAGTAGCTGGGACTACAGGCTCATACCACCATGCCCAGCTAATTTTTGCATTTTTAGTAGAGACGGGGTTTCACCATGTTGGCCAGGATGGTCTCGATCTCTTGACCTTGTGATCCGTCCGCCTCGGCCTCCTAAAGTGCTGGGATTACAGGCATGAGCGACTGAGCCCGGCCAATGGCAGGGCTTTCTGTGAGTTGAGTAGAAGGACTATCTCAAAGTTCCCCATGATCAGTTGAGGGTCTATACCTCAGGTTTCTCCACATCACAGGAGCTGTCTGTAGTGTTTGCACACTCTTAAGGGACTACCCTGATATCTTCATGATTGTCAGAGGGCTGTCTGAGCTTTCTGTGACCTAGGGAAGAGTTAGCCCAAGATCTCCCTGATCAAAAAAGGAATAATCATAACAATTATAATTATTATTATTATTTTGGAGACAGGATCACACTTTGTTGTTGAGGCTAGAGTGCAGTGGCACAATCACAGCTCACTGCAGCCTTTACCTCCTGGGCTCAAGAGATCTCTCCTGCCTCAGCCTCTTAAGTAGCTGAGACCATGGGCATGCACCACCATGCCTGGCTAATTTTTAAATTTTTTTGTAGAGATGGGAGTCTCACTGTGTTGCCTGGGCTAGTCTTGAACTCCTGGCCTCAAGCAATCCTCCCACCTCGGCCTCCCAAAGTGCTGGTATTACAGGCATGAGCCACCACGCCCAGCCAAAAAAGGAATTATATCTGAATTTCTTGATTTCACTGAGTTTAACTCAGGGTCCCATCCTCCAAGGTCTATCTCAGGGATCTTTTGCCAGCGGAGGGTCTTTCTCAGCAATCACTGTGACTTGTGGGGAAGGGCTCTCCCAGGTCCACGATTAGCAGAGGGGCTATCTGGATTCTCCACTTATAATGAGGGCTACTTCAGGGACCTCTGTGGCTGTCAGAGGGGCTGTCTCAAGGTTCTCTGAGACTGGGAGGAAGGTCTATCTCAGGAATGTTTATGTAGAACAGAGAGACTGTATCTGCGGTCTTCTCATATATTGGAAGCTATGTCAAAGGCATACTCACGTTAAGGGGACTATCTCAGGAATCTACTCTGTGACTACTGGAAGGACCGTTTCAGGACCCCCATGATAAACACAGGTACCATTTCTGGGCCTACCCTTATCTTGGAAGCTATGTCAGGGGTCTGCCTTCCTAAAGGGTTCAGCTCAGGGGCCTATGCCTAGTGGAGGGGCCATCTCAGAGAACTTTAGGTCTGGGGTCATAGGGTTTTTCCATAAAGGGCCAGATAGTAAATGTTTCAGGCTTTGCTGGCCACATATGGTCCCCATTGCAACTCTTCAACTCTGCTGCATGGGAGCAGCCATAATGATATGCAAATACATGAATGTGGCTTTGTACCAATAAAACTTTATTTACCAAAATAAATGTGGCCAGCCGGGTGCAGTGGCTCACGCCTGTAATCCTAGCACTTTGGGAGGCTGAGGCGGGAGGATCACTTGAGTTCAGGAGTTTGAGACCAGCCTGGCCAACATGGGGAAACCTCATCTCTACTAAAAATACAAAAAATTAGCTGGGCGTGGTGGCACCCACCTGTAGTCCCAGCTACTTGGGAGGCCGAGGCAGGAGAATCGCTTTAGCCTGGGAGGTGGAGGTTGCAGTGGGCCGAGATTTCGCCACTGCACTCCAGCCTGGGTAAAAGAGCGAGACTCCTGAGGCAGGGCACAGTGGCTCACACCTTTAATCCCAGCCTTTGGGAGGCCGAGTCGGGCGGATCACCTGAGGTCAGGAGTTCGAGACCAGCCTGCCCAACATGGAGAAACCCCATCTCTACTAAAAATGCAAAATTAGCTGGGCGTGGTGGCACATGCCTGTAATCCCAGCTACTAGGGAGGCTGAGGCAGGAGAATCGCTTGAACCCTGGAGGTGGAGGTTGCAGTGAGCCGAGATCGCACCATTGCACTCCAGCCTGGGAAACAAGAGCAAAACTTCGTCTCAAAAAAAAAAAAAAAAAAAAAAAGGTGGCCAGCCTGATTTGGCCAGCGGGCCAGAGTTTGCTGTACATGAGCCCTGGGGAAAGGGGTATGCGGGGGTCTTAGGTTTGCCTGAGCCTTCTCCGTGCCCCCCTCACCCCCGGCACCCCTCCCCTCCCACCAGGATCCTGCGCATCCAGAAAGAGACGCCCACGCTGCAGCGGAAGGAGCCCCCGCCCGCAGTGCTAGAAGCTGACCTGACCGAGGGCGACCTGGCTAACTCCCATCTGCCCTCTGAAGTGCTTTATATGCTCAAGAACGTCCGGTCAGTGTTGGGGTGCAGGTGGGGGTGGAGGGCTGCAGACGTGGGGCCGCCCTGACCTCCAGCCTCTGTCGCCCACCGCCTGTCCAACAGGGTGCTGGGCCACTTCGAGAAGCCACTCTTCCTGGAGCTCTGCCGCCACATGGTCTTCCAGCGGCTGGGCCAGGGTGACTACGTCTTCCGGCCGGGCCAGCCAGATGCCAGCATCTACGTGGTGCAGGACGGGCTGCTGGAGCTCTGTCTGCCAGGGCCTGTGAGTGGGCCTCCCCAGGGGCTGCTGCAGGAGGATGGGTGGTGGGGATGGGCAGCAGGCATTGGTCTGTAGAGCTGGTGGTCTTTGGAGATGCGTCATCGGGAGTCAGGGGAACGGGTGACCGAGGACATTTGGGGTAGTCTGCGTAGTTGCTCAGTAGTTACAAGTATTGAACGATGGGAGATGCCTGCTCGTTGGAAGGGTTGGTGGGTTCCCCTGAGAAGGGATGAGAAGTGTCAGTGATCATTGGGATGGATGAGGGGGCGACATGCCAGTCACCAGGGCGAGGCCACTGAGGGTCCACGGTCTCCTGTGTCTCAGGACGGGAAGGAGTGTGTGGTGAAGGAAGTGGTTCCTGGGGACAGCGTCAACAGCCTTCTCAGCATCCTGGATGTCATCACCGTGAGTGACCAGTTTCTGAGGCAGGGGGGCTGGGGTGCAAGGTCCCACCCAAGGGACTAGGTTGAAGGAAATCACAGGGTCCCCAATCTCTGGTTCATCCGTTATGCTGCCGATGGCCCCTCACGGGACTGGCGCCAGGAAGGATTAGGGGAGTAGCGAGGGGGACTCGCAGCCTCTGCCCTTGTCTCTCTTCACGCCCTCCCCTCCCCCAGGGTCACCAGCATCCCCAGCGGACCGTGTCTGCCCGGGCGGCCCGGGACTCCACGGTGCTGCGCCTGCCGGTGGAAGCATTCTCCGCGGTCTTCACCAAGTACCCGGAGAGCTTGGTGCGGGTCGTGCAGGTCAGTGGGCCTTCGCCTCCTGTCACCCCCTGAGGGACCCCACCCTGGCCCCCACCCATTCCAGGCTCCAAGGGACCGAGGCCCAGCAGCCAGCAGGCGCTGGAGCTGTGGTTATCGGCCTGGAGCAGCCAGATGTCTGCAGCCGCGGACTCCTCCCTTAGCTGCCTCGCCCCATTTCCCCAGACTGTGGGTCTCTCCCTGGTTCCCGCCCGACCCCTTATGCTGCGAACTAGCCCGGCCCACCATCTGGCCCTGCCCCTTACCCCGCCCCATCTTATGGCCACGCCCCTCGAGCCCTGCAGATCATCATGGTGCGGCTGCAGCGAGTCACCTTCCTGGCACTGCACAACTACCTGGGTCTGACCAATGAGCTCTTCAGCCACGTGAGTGGGTGGCGGGGAGCGAGCACAGGGGGGATGGGGGCGAGGTCTCCCTCCCAGGACAGGCCACAAGCTGTTCTCTGCCCCCAGGAGATCCAGCCCCTGCGTCTGTTCCCCAGCCCCGGCCTCCCAACTCGCACCAGCCCTGTGCGGGGCTCCAAGAGAATGGTCAGCACCTCAGCTACAGACGAGCCCAGGGAGACCCCAGGGCGGCCACCCGATCCCACCGGGGCCCCGCTGCCTGGACCTACAGGTACCCAGGGACCCGAGGCCAGCCGAGCCCAATCTCCCAGGAAGCCCCGTCTCAGCCGCCAGCCCCTTTTTCAGTTCTGCATAGAGTCAACCTGACCTTGTCCAGCCCCACAGGGACTCCATAGCGGGGTACCCAGGTCTGACTCCTATCTGGTACCGAGGAAGCTGTGGCCTCGTCCCCAAGGGCCCATTGGAATTGCTTTAACTAGTTAATCAGTCGCCAGCATCTCCTTATCTCCCAACCTGCTAATCCTCCTAGTGGCTCTGAGGGGCAGGAGCCTGAACATGTGTCTCCCCCAGGGGACCCTGTGAAGCCCACATCCCTGGAAACCCCCTCGGCCCCTCTGCTGAGCCGCTGCGTCTCCATGCCAGGGGACATCTCAGGTTTGGAGCACTGGGTCTGCGGGGAGGGCCATGGAGCTTCCAGGTTTGAATCCAGGTCCACCGCCTGCCTGTCTTGATTGTTTTAATCTGCGAAATGGGAACACTGCCAGTACTTCCCCAGGCACTGTTTTGTAGATATTCATTGAGATAGTGCTTCTCCCACCTGTTAAGAGGGATTCAGAGGGAGAGTGCAGGCGTTGATTAGTCATGTCTGCTACAGCAGTGGCCCATGGCACATTGGTATCCATTGGTCTCAGACTGCAACTGTGGTTACTCTCATCTTTTTCTTTTCTTTTGAGACCTGTCTCCCAGGCTAGAGTGCAGTGGTGCTGTCATAGCTCACTGCAGCCTCGAACTCCTATGCTCAAGTGATCCTCCAGCCCCAGCCTCCCAAATAGCTGGAACTACAGGCCTGCACCACTACACCTGGCTCATTTTTTAAAAATCTTACTCTCATCTTTATGGTTTTTGTTGCCCCCCTGCCTGCCTGCAGGCTTGCAGGGTGGCCCCCGCTCCGACTTCGACATGGCCTATGAGCGTGGCCGGATCTCCGTGTCCCTGCAGGAAGAGGCCTCCGGGGGGTCCCTGGCAGCCCCCGCTCGGGTAAGGCTTGGGACCCTGCCCGGTGGTGGAGCCCGCAGGGGAAGGTGGCTGGGAGGGAGCATCAGGAGGTCACAAGCCTGCCCCACTCAGACCCCCACTCAGGAGCCTCGTGAGCAGCCGGCAGGCGCCTGTGAATACAGCTACTGTGAGGATGAGTCGGCCACTGGTGGCTGCCCTTTCGGGCCCTACCAGGGCCGCCAGACCAGCAGCATCTTCGAGGCAGCAAAGCAGGAGCTGGCCAAGCTGATGCGGATTGAGGTGGGCAGCCGAGGGGAGCTGGGCACAGGGCGCAAGGGAGGCCTGGCTGCGCCCATCTCAACCCCCCTACCTCCCCAGGACCCCTCCCTCCTGAACAGCAGAGTCTTGCTGCACCACGCCAAAGCTGGCACCATCATTGCCCGCCAGGGAGACCAGGTGAGGCTGACCCCTGACCTGTAACCATGCCACCTGAGATCATTCCCTATGACTTCTGTGACCTCTGATCCCTGCCCTTTGACTGTAAGACCAGCACCTTCTCCCATAGAAGCAGACCTCTCTCATCCTATCATTTCCAACCTCTAACCCTTGGGTCCTGTGACCCCCACCCCCTAACCCCACCCTATGTCCTCTGGACCTGTCAACCCTTCACCTGTGACCCCTGAACCTTTTGCCCTAGGACTCCAACTCCTAGATCTCTCCTGCCTGCCCTGGCTCTTCCTGTAATTCTGTTTTCTGAACTTCTGATCCTGCAGTATTCACTAACATGTCTGCTTCTCATGCTGACCGCTGCCAGGATAGGGGCTCAATAAATGGCTACAAATCGCCATCTGGCCTCGGAAGGCCATGAACCAGCCCTGGGTCGGGGTTTCAGGGCCTTGTGGCGGCACCCAGGATGTGTAGGAAAATGTATCCTACCATTCTGTCCACTGTCCATATGGGGAAACTGAGGCCCATCAAGGGTTAGTGACCCGACTACCAGCTGAAAGTCAGGAAGCCTCAGGGTAGGAGGAGGAGGAGGAAGAAGAAGAGGAAAGTTGAAACCCACACTCTGTCCCCAGAGTGTGGCAGATGATCTAGAAAGTTCTCTGCTTCCTCATCAGTGGAATGAGGTAATAAAGAAGAGATGCCTAGTTCGCAGAACCCCAGTAAGACTTCTTTTTTTTCTTTTTTTTTTTTTTTGAGACGGAGTCTCGCTCTGTCACCCAGGCTGGAGTGCTGCAGTGGCGTGACGGTGGCTCACTGCAAGCTCCGCCTCCCGGGTTCACGCCATTCTCCTGCCTCAGCCTCCCGAGTAGCTGGGACTACAGGCGCCTGCCACCATGCCCGGCTAATTTTTTGTATTTTTACTAGAGAGGGGGTTTCACTGTGTTAGCCAGGGTGGTCTCGATCTCCTGACCTCGTGATCCGCCCGCCTAGGCCTTCCAAAGTGCTGGGATTACAGGCGTGAGCCACTGCGCCCGGCCTTTTTTTTTTTGTTTTGAGACAGAGTCTTGCTGTTGTCACCCAGGCTGGAGTGCAGTGGCACAATCTCAGCTCACTGCAACCTCCGCCTCCTGGGTTCAAGCAATTCTCCTGCCTCAGCCTCCCGAGTAGCTGGGATTACAGGGTTGTGCCACCACGCCTGGCTACTTTTTATATTTTTAGTAGAGATGGGGTTTTGCCATGTTGGCCAGCCTTGTCTCAAACTCCTGACCTCAGGTGATCCGCCTGCCTCGGCCTCCCAAAGAGCTGGGATTACAGGCATGAACCACTGTGCCCAGCCTACTGAGACATTTTTGATTGTTAGGATTTCACAGGGTGCTGTTCCTGACACCTGATGGGTAGAGATCAGGGATGCTCAAATGTACAGAGCAGCAGGCCGGAACCATACAGTCCATTATCCACAGTGTGGGGTTTGCAAGAGTGACAAGTGGTCAGGGAGGGTGTTTAGCAGCAGCTTATAGGGAGCGGGGGCTTGAGGTGACAGTGAGCTGTCATAGGCACTGGGACCCCAGCTCTGCCCCAGGCTTGGGGGAGAGAAGCCTGGGGCAGGGTTGGGGTGGGGTGGGAGCTGTGGTCCCACTGTTAGCCGGCTGGAGTGTTGCTGTGTCACTTGACCCAGTGACTCTGCTGTCCCCTTGAACCACCCATGGCAGGGATGGGCTCTTTTCTGGAGAGGAAGTCAAGGCTTTTGCCAGCTGTTCTTAGAATAGCTGAGGAAGTAAGGTTACCCTGTGGCTTCTTTGGGGGCCCCTGGGCCCTGCTTATCTGGGAGACTGCTGGCCACAACCCAGCCCTGGCCTGTCAGTGTACCACGCTGGTCTGCAGCCCCTCAGAGCTTCTCTGCGTTGGCAGGACTTTTGTTAGGGACCCTGTGCTCTCCTGTGCTTCTCCTTGAAACTTTTTTTTTTTTTCGGAGACGGAGTCTTGCTCTGTCGCCCAGGCTGGAGCGCAGCGGTGCGATCTTGGCTCACTGCAACCTCTGCCTCCCGGATTCAAGTGATTCTCCCACCTCAGCCTCCCTCGAAGCTGGGACTACAGTCACGTGCCACCACGCCTGGCTAATTTTTGTAGTTGCACTAGAGATGGGGTTTCACCATGTCGGCCAGGCTGGTCTCAAACTCCTGGCCTCAAGTGATCCACTCGCCTCAGCCTCCCAAAGTGCTGGGATTACAGGCGTGATCCTCGGCACCTGGCCACAGTCTGGAAATTCTGTCTTAGAAGGTTCCAGCATGTGTTTATATCTCCTGGGACTGTGCCTCACCCAGGGGTCCCTGCAGTGTTTTGGCAGGTGGAGCTTCACTGGGTACCAGACAGGTTGGTGTGGTGGATAAAGAAGGAATCTCTCCATTTCTGGGCGGTTTCAGTTCCTTATTTATAAAGGGATGGAACAGGAAGGTTTCTAGCTGGTCAGGCTACCCAAAGAAGAAAGAAACGTGTTTACCCAGCATTTGCCCCATCTCGAACTGTGTGCTGCTGGCTGGACAAGAGGCAGGAAAATGGCTGGGCACGGTGGCTCACGCCTGTAATCCCAGCACCTTGGGAGGCCGAGGTGAGAGGATCACTTGAGGTCAGGAGTTCGAGACCATCCTGGCCAACATGGTGAAACCCCATTTCTACTAAAAATTCAAAAATTAGTCAGGCACGATGGCGGGCGCCTCTAGTCCCAGCTACTCGGGAGCCTGAGGCAGGAGAATCACTTGAACCCAGGAGACAGGTTGCAGTGAGCTGAGATCGCACCCCTGCACTCCAGCCTGTGCAACAGAGTGAGACCCTGTCTCAAAAAAAAAAAAAAAAAAAAAGTGGGCAGGGAAAACCCTTAGTGGTCCCTGCCCTTGGGCAGCCCACCGTATTCTGAGAGACATGACTCAAAGGATTACACAAATTCTTGTAAAATCATAAGTGCTTAGTGTCACAAAGGAAATGATCTTGGCACTACAAAGTCTGGCTTAGACAGGGTGGCACCTCTAAGGGCATGACCTAAGAAGGAAGGAGGGGGAGGAACAAACTGGGTGCAGGTGGGAGGAAAGGTCATTCTAGGCAGAAGGAAGAGCTTGTGCAAATGTTGTGTGGTGGGAAGAAATAGGTTGATCTCTAAGAAATAAAAAAGGAAGTCAGTGGGCCTCAAGTGAAACAATATTTTTTGGGGGGGTGTAATGGTTTTATTGAGCTATAATTCATGTACTATACAATTTACCCATTTAAAGTATATACTTTAGGCTGGGCACAGTGGCTCACGCCTGTAATCCCAGCACTTTGGAAGGCCGCGGCGGGAGGATCTCTTGAGTCCAGGAGTTCGAGACCAGCCTGGGCATCATGGCAAAACCCAGTCTCTACAAAAAACAAACAAAAAAAATTAGCCAGGCATGGTGGCGCATGCCTGTAGTCCCAGCTACACGGGAAGCTGAGGCAGGCATAAGCCACTGCACCTGGCCATGCCCACCTAATTTTTGTATTTGTAGTAGAGACAGGGTTTCGCCATGTTGGCCAGGATGGTCTTGAACTCCTGACCTGAGGTGATCCGCCTGCCTCACCCTCCTAAAGTGCTGGAATTACAGGCATGAGCCACTGCACCCGGCCTTATGTAAGGGCTTCTGTGTAGACATATATTTTATTTATTTTTTTAAAGGTGGGGTCTCACTATGTTTCCCAGGCTGGTCTTAAACTCCTGGGCTCAAGTGATCCTCCCACCTTGGCCTCCCAAAGTGCTTGGACATATGTTTTCATTTCTCTTGGGTATATACCTAGGAGTTGAATTGCTGGGTTATAAGCCAATTCAATTTTTTTTTTTTTTAAGAGGGAGTCTCGCTATGTCGCCCAGGCTGGAGTGCAGTGGCGCGATCTCAGCTCACTGCAACCTCTGCCTCCTAGGTTCAAGCAGTTCTCCTGTCTCAGCCTCCTGAGTAGCTGGGATTACAGGCACACGCTGCCACGCCCAGCTAATTTTTGTATTTTTAGTAGAAACACGGTTTCACCATATTGGTCAGGCTGGTCTTGAACTCCTGACCTCAAGTGATCCATCCACCTCAGCTTCCCAAAGTGCTGGGATTACAGATGTGAGCCACCATGGCCAGCCTCTATTTTTAATTTTTTTAAGCACTGTGTGTTTGTTTGTTTCTTTGCTAGACTGTTTTCCAAAGCAGCGGCACCATTTTACATTTCCACTGACAGTGTATGTGAATTCCAGTCTCTCTACATTCTCTCTAACCCTTTGTAATTCTAGCCATCTTTGTGGGTGTGAAGTGTAGTATGTCATTGTGGTTTTGCTTTGCATTTCTCTAATGACTTGACGTTGAACAGCTTTTTATGTGCCTATTGGCCATTTGTATATCTTCTTTGGAGAAGTTTTTATTCAGATCTTTTGCCCATTTTACTCTTACTTTTTTTAGAGACGGGGGTCTCACTATGTTGCCCAGGCTGGTCTCCAACTCCTGGGCTGAAACTATCAAGCGATCCTTCTGCCTTGGCCTCCCAAAATGCTGGGATTGCAGGCGTGAGCCACCGCACTTGGCCTTTAATTTATTTTAGAGACGGGGTCTTGCACTGTAGCCTAGGCTGGAGTGTAGTGACGCTATCATAGCTCACTGCAACCTCAAACATCTAGGCTCAAGCAATCCTCCTGCCTCAGCCTCCAGAGTAGCCAGGACTATAGACACATGCTACCATGCCTGGCTAATTAAAAATTTTTTTTTTTTTTTTTTTTTTTTTTTTTTTTGTAGAGACAGGGTTTCACTATGTTGCCCAGGCTGGTCTTGAACTCCTGGGCTCAAGCGATCTTCACACCTAGGCCTCTCAAAGTTCTGGGATTACAGTTGTGGGCCACCACACCCAGCCCCTTCAGTATACTTTAAATCAGGGGTGTCCAATCTTTTGGCTTCCCTGGGCCACATTGGAAGAATTGTCTTGGACCACACATAAAATACACTAACAGTTATAGCTGGGCATAGTGGCACACACCTGTAATCCCAGCACTTTGAGAGGCCAAGGCGGTTGGATCACTGAGGTCAGGAGTTCAAGACCAGCCTGGCCAACATGGTGAAACCCCGTCTCTACTAAAAATACAAAAATTAGCCAGGCGTGTGGCAGGCACCTTTAATCTCAGCTACTTGGGAGGCTGAGGCAGGAGAATCACTTGAACTCTGGAGGCAGAGGTTGCAGTGAGCCGAGTTTGTATCACTGCACTCCAGCCTGGGCAACAGAGCAAGACACCGTCTCAAAACCAACAAACCAAAAAACCCCACTAAAGATAGCTGATGAGCTAAAAGAAAAAAAATCGCAAAAAAAAAAAAAAAATCTCATAATGTTTTAACAAAGTTTATGAATTTGTGTTGGGCCAAATTCGAAGCCATCCTGGGCCACGTGCAGCCCGTGGGCAGCAGGGTGGACAAGCTTGCTTTAAATCATCTCGAGATTACTTATAATACCTAATACAATGTAAATGCTATGTAAATAGTCATTATACTGTATTATTTAGGGAAAAACGGGGAAAATAGTCTGTAAATGGTCTGCGCAGGTGCAATTTTTTTTTCCTGAATATTTTAGATCCAAGGTTGGTTGAATCCTGGGTATATGGAACATATATATATATATACACACACATATATATACACACATATATATATAGAGAGAGAGATGCTGCTCATCTATATATAATCTATGTAAAAAAATTTTTCTTTTTTTTTTTTTTTTTTTGAGACGGAGTCTCGCTCAGTCGCCCAGGCTGGAGTGCAGTGGCGCGATCTCGGCTCACTGCAAGCTCCTCCTCCCGGGTTCACGCCATTTTCCTGCCTCAGACTCCCAAGTAGCTGGGACTACAGGCGCCCGCCACCACGCCTGGCTAATTTTTTGTACTTTTAGTAGAGACGTGGTTTCACCGTGTTAGCCAGGATGGTCTCGATCTCCTGACCTCGTGATCCGCCTGCCTCAGGCCTCCCAAAGTGTTGGGATTACAGGCATGAGCCATCGCGCCCGGCTAAAAAATATTTTTATATTTATTTATATTTATATATAGATGGTGCTTATATCCAAAGTCTTTATTCTCTCCTTCATGTTTCTTTTTTTTCTTTTTTTTTTTTTGAGACGGAGTCTCGCTCTGTCGCCCACGCTGGAGTGCAGTGGCGCGATCTTGGCTCATTGCAAGCTCCGCCTCCCGGTTTCACGCCATTCTCCTGCCTCAGCCTCCCAAGTAGCTGGGACTACAGGCGCCCGCCACCACACCCGGCTAATTTTTTGTATTTTCAGTAGAGACGGGGTTTCACTGTATTAGCCAGGATGGTCTCGATCTCCTGACCTCTTGATCCGCCTGCCTCGGCCTCCCAAAGTTCTGGGATTACAGGCGTGAGCCACCGCGCCTGGCCTTCTTCTTCTTTTTTTTTTTAAAGACAGTGTCTCACTCTGTCGCCCAGGCTGGAGTGCAATGGCATGATCTCAGCTCACTGCAACCTCAGCCTTCCAGGTTCAGGCAATTCTCTTGCCTCAGCTTCCTGAGTAGCTGGAATTACAGACATGTGCCACGACGCCCAGCTAATTTTTTTATTTTAGTAGAGACAGGTTTCGCCACGTTGGCCAGGCTGGTGCCGAACTCCTGGCCTCAAGTGATCCCCCCTGCCTGGCCTCCCAAAGCGCTGGGATTACAGCCGTGAGCCACCGCGCCCTGCGCCTTCATATTTTTCTTAACCCTTCCTTTCTTCTTTAATTTTTTCCTGTGGGGGCATGTTGACCTGAGCTGGGGTCCACGCTGTCCGGGTTCTGTGTTCATCACATCCCCTGCCCGCACAGGACGTGAGCCTGCACTTCGTGCTCTGGGGCTGCCTGCACGTGTACCAGCGCATGATCGACAAGGCGGAGGACGTGTGCCTGTTCGTAGCGCAGCCCGGGGAACTGGTGGGGCAGCTGGCGGTGCTCACTGGCGAACCTCTCATCTTCACACTGCGAGCCCAACGCGACTGCACCTTCCTGCGGATCTCCAAGTCCGACTTCTATGAGTATGACAGCCCGAAGTTGGAGTGTGGGTGGCACTCGGAGGACCCCAACCCGTGGGAGTGGCCAGAACCCCATCCCTCAACCTCACTCCTGGAAGAGCAGAAGGGAGCCCCCAGATCTGGCCTCCCAGCGCCGGTGTAGGACGGTTTTGAGGCCTTCCTCTTTCATCCCAAGTCTGTTCCTGCAGGATCATGCGCGCACAGCCCAGTGTGGTGCTGAGTGCGGCGCACACGGTGGCAGCCAGGATGTCGCCCTTCGTGCGCCAGATGGACTTCGCCATCGACTGGACTGCAGTGGAGGCGGGACGCGCGCTGTACAGGTGCAGCTCCCACCGCGCTGCTCAGGCCCGGCCTAGGGGTGGGGACCTGGGGGTGGTCAGACCTTGCTGACCTCCACGCCCACTCAGGCAGGGCGACCGCTCCGACTGCACTTACATCGTGCTCAATGGGCGGCTGCGTAGCGTGATCCAGCGAGGCAGTGGCAAGAAGGAGCTGGTGGGCGAGTACGGCCGCGGCGACCTCATCGGCGTGGTGAGCGCGACCCCCACCCACTGACCTCTGGCCTTTTCCAGGCCAGTCCCTCGACAACTCACACACATCATCCCGGGTAATCCAGGGAGTGGTGAATGCAGCTCCCGACCTCTGAGGTCACCCAGTCCACTCCCCGCCCAGACCTCATTTCGTTGGAAAAAGGGGATTCCGCCTGTCGTGGATCCCTGTCCTCTCCCTCTCCCCAGAGCTCTAATGGGTAGCGAGCGAGGCTTGCTTCCCTACACCCCCATTGCAGGGGAGCCCTAGATGGGGCAGTACAGCCCCCTTTCCACCCATCTTCGGCCTCCTCATTCCCCACCCAAGCAGCCCCAATCATGCACGCGGCCCCCCAGGTGGAGGCACTGACCCGGCAGCCGCGAGCCACGACGGTGCACGCGGTGCGCGACACGGAGCTGGCCAAGCTTCCCGAGGGCACCTTGGGTCACATCAAACGCCGGTACCCGCAGGTGCGGCCTGTTGTGGGCGGGGCAGAGAGGCGGAGGCGGGACTCCGGGGGGGTGGGGGCCGGGCCTAGTGTGTGGGCGGGGCTTACAGAGGGGCGGGGTCGAGGGAGGGGCCGAAGCGAGAGAGTGAGGGCGGGGGCTCTCGGGGGTGGGACCCAGGTAACGGGCACCCAGGAGCCCCGGCATAGGAGGGAGAGGTGGGACCTGGACAGCCGCTTCCCAGGTCTCACTGAAATGCCGGCCTCCAACGCCCCCAGGTCGTGACCCGCCTTATCCACCTACTGAGCCAGAAAATTCTAGGGAATTTGCAGCAGCTGCAAGGACCCTTCCCAGGTGAGAGCCGGCCGGCCCAGAGCGTGCTGGGAGATGTAGTCCGGCGTCCAGAGCATGCTGGGAGGGAAGCCTTCTTTCCTGAGGGATGCTGGGAAATGGAGTTCCGCGAAGAAATCGTGCCCCTGAGGGTTTCAAACCCTAAGTAGGACCCAGGTGCAGAGCATTCTGGGGAATGGAGTTCGTGTTCCTGAGCATGCTGGGAAACGAAGTCCTCGACCCCTGGCGTGCTAGTTAATGGGCTCGAAAGTAAATCAGTGGTGCCGGGGAGGGAGTCTTAGGCGGTGGACTTGGCGTAGTCTGCCCGGGAGTCAGGGCTTGCTGGGGAAGTCCACGGCCTGGACGTTGAGAGAAAGGGAGTCCTAGATCAGAATATGATGGCAGGGCCGTCATGGTGGCTCATGCCTGTAATCTCAGCACTTTGGGAGGCTGAGGCAGGAGGATCGCTTGAGCCCAGGAGATTGAGTTTGAAACCAGCCTGGGCAACATAGTAGGACCCCCGTCTCTACAAAAATTTCAAACATTAGCTGGGCTTGGTGACACATGCCTGTAGTCTCAGCCACTCAGGAGGCTGAGGCGGGAGGATTGATTGCTTGAGCCCGGAGGTCGAGGCTGCAGTGAGCCGTGATCGTGCCACTGTACTCCAGCCGGGATGACAGAGCTAGAACCTGTTTCAGAAAAAATAAAACAGCAAACAAACAAAACTCCCCATACCATGATGGAAAATAGTCTGTGGATTGTTGTTTAGGACTCTGGGCACCTCGCCTTCTGAAGTTACAGCTTGCTGGGAGATGTAGCCCCCTGTTTCAGCCTGTGGCTTCAGTGAGCTAGAACAGAATGGGGCGTGCGGTGGGGTTGGAGGCCTGCTGAAATGAGGGCCTGAGTTTCTACATTGTGGTGGCCAGATTCTGGGCCAGCCCAGCAACCTAGATACCCCTTTTCCCTCCAGGGGTTCTACCCAATTGGCCCTGAGCCCTAGATCCCCCAAGGCGGGGGCAGGGCGGTAGTGGCAGAAAAGACATCATTAAGAAATTACAGAGGCCTGGGGCGGTGGGTCACGCCTGTAATCTCAGCACTTTGTGAGGCTGAGGCAGGTGAATCACTTGAGGTCAGGGGTTCGAGACCAGCCTGGCCAACGTGGTGAAACTCATCTCTACTAAAAGTACAAAAATTAGTCGGGTGTGGTGGTGGGTGCCTGTAATCCCAGCTACTTGGACGGCTGAGGCAGGAGAATCGCTTGAACCGGGGAGGCAGAGGTTGCAGTGAGCCGAGCCTACGCCATTGCACTCCAGCCTGGGCAACCAGAGCAAAACTCCATCTCAAAAAAAAAAAAAGAAAGAAAAAAAAAAAGAAAAGAAAAGGAAAGAAATTACAGATAGAGAATACAATATCTAGAAGACAAAAGAGGGTCATCTTGCCGTGTGGCTGAAAGAGGGAGGGAGGAAGGGAGGGAGAAAGAGGCTTTTCTAAGGACAGTGAGCTGAGACTTGACAACTAAGATGGGGCCAGACATGAAAGAGAAACCAGGGGTGCTGCACAGGAGGCTGGTGGTTTTGAAGCACTGAGGAGGAAAGCGATCAAGGGGAGAGGTGATGGGGGTTGGGGGGTAAGTCACATAGGGGCTAGGGGCTGTGGACAGGCACTTGAGCTTATTTAGATTGTTATTGTTAGATTGGGGAGGAAGGATTCCACCAGTAAGGAGGCAACAAGAGGTCTAGGCAAGATATGGGAGTTGACAGCTGGTCTAGGCTGTTAGTGGAGAAACTGGGAAGCAACAGCTGGGTCAAAAGTAGCTTTTCTTTTCTTGTCTTTGTCTTTTCTTTTATTTTCTTTTTAAGACAGGGTCTCGCTCTGTAGCCCAGGCTGGAGTGCAGTGGCACGATCTCGGCTCACTGCAACCTCTGCCTCCCAGGTTCAAGTGATTCTCCTGCCTCAGCCTCCCAAGTAGCTGGGATTACAGGTGTATGCCACCATGCCTGGCTAATTGTTGTGTATTTTTAGTAGAGCAGTGTTTCTCCATGTTGGCTAGGCTAAAAATAGCTTTATTTCTGCCTCGTTTTATGTTCAGGTCCCCCATTAGACAGAGGAACCAAGGCCAGAATGAGGCAGGGGCACTGGCCAATTGATCTCCCAAGCACAGTGAATCTGAATGGTTGTAGAGTTGTGTAATGGATCCCACTGAGGTGATCAGGGCCCAAAGTGGAGGGTAGATGGCCAGGTTTTAACAAAAGAGGGAATAGTAGTTGAGGCTGAGGGTCCAGGACCAGAGCCATGGCTTTCTGTATGGTAGAGTCAAGACTTTGGGCAACTGGGGGCTGCAGTCTGGGAGCACAGGAGCAAGAATTTCAGATAAGGAGGAAGAGGAAGAAGAGGAGGAGGAGGGTTCATCTCTCTGGACACAGGTTCGCACCACAAATCTCATCCATTGGGTTCTTAGCAGGCTCTGGGTTGGGTGTGCCCCCACACTCGGAACTCACCAACCCAGCCAGCAACCTGGCAACTGTGGCAATCCTGCCTGTGTGTGCTGAGGTCCCCATGGTGGCCTTCACGCTGGAGCTGCAGCACGCCCTGCAGGCCATCGGTCAGTGGGGTGAGGGTCATGGGTGGGGGCTGGCGGTGGGTGGGACATTAGTGAGTGAGAGATGTTAGGGTAGGTCATTTGGGGGGTGGAGGGGAACAGGGCCACAGGGGCGGGGTAATGGGTATTCTTTTCTGAGTTAGGCCCCAGCCCTGTGGACCATGGTTCCCAGCCTCCCTTCCCCACCTACCCCTAGGTCCGACGCTACTCCTTAACAGTGACATCATCCGGGCACGCCTGGGGGCCTCCGCACTGGATAGGTGTGTGTTGCAGAAGGGAGTGGGGAGGGTGGTGGGTGGGCCTGGAGCCTCAAATTCTTTCAGACCTGAGTTCAAGTTCTTGGCTTCCAACCACGGAGCCTGCGTCTTACCCATAGGTCAATGGGGAGATTCGCAGTGGTGTGAATCTGCCCACCGGAGCACGGACTTCCGTGGTGGGGGTTTGGGTGTCTAAGTTCCTCCCAGCAACGGAGCTATGTGGTCTCGGGGAGCACACTGACCCCAGGCCAACCCCAGGATGACGCTGCCCCCTTCCCACCCTAGCATCCAAGAGTTCCGGCTGTCAGGGTGGCTGGCCCAGCAGGAGGATGCACACCGTATCGTACTCTACCAGACGGACGCCTCGCTGACGCCCTGGACCGTGCGCTGCCTGCGACAGGCCGACTGCATCCTCATTGTGGGCCTGGGGGACCAGGAGCCTACCCTCGGCCAGGTCGGAAGCCCGTGCCCCCTGATCTCACCCACCTCGGGTCCCGTCCTTTGCCCTCCCGTGCCTGCACCAGGCCACGTGCACCCTCGCCATGGGGGTAGGCGATCAGGGACCCAGGTGTGGCCAGGTGGTGGTGGGGCGGCTGGTGACCTCAGCCGTCCGTATTCCGCAGCTGGAGCAGATGCTGGAGAACACGGCTGTGCGCGCCCTTAAGCAGCTAGTCCTGCTCCACCGAGAGGAGGGCGCGGGCCCCACGCGCACCGTGGAGTGGCTAAATATGCGCAGCTGGTGCTCGGGGCACCTGCACCTGCGCTGTCCGCGCCGCCTCTTTTCGCGCCGCAGCCCTGCCAAGCTGGTGAGGAGCGGGCCGGCCCCCACCTTCTAGGGGCGTGGCTGGTGGGCGAGGCTTGGGAGACTGGGGCGGGGCCTGGGAGGGCTGAGGACAGGCTCGAAGGTCAGGGTACCCCTGGGGGATCCGCCGGACCCCGCCCTCATGCTCCTGGGTCGCGACTATCTCCCCCATCCCAGCATGAGCTCTACGAGAAGGTTTTCTCCAGGCGCGCGGACCGGCACAGCGACTTCTCCCGCTTGGCGAGGGTGCTCACGGGGAACACCATTGCCCTTGTGCTAGGCGGGGGCGGGGCCAGGTGAGGGCGGGGCTTGCTCTCTGGGGGCGGGGCCTGGATGTCCGAGGGTGGAGCTTCCTGGGAGAAACCGTGGGGGCGGGGCCTGGGTGTTCGAGGGTGGAGCTTCCCCTCCGGGAGAGACCCCGTGGGTAGGGGCGGGTCCTTTGTTCCTTAGCAGTGCGGGAGGTGGGAGGAGGTAGGGGCAGGGGAGTTCCTGCAGGTGGGGCCTAGCGGGTCACTGGGGCCCATTTTCCCGGCAGGGGCTGCTCGCACATCGGAGTACTAAAGGCATTAGAGGAGGCGGGGGTCCCCGTGGACCTGGTGGGCGGCACGTCCATTGGCTCTTTCATCGGAGCGTTGTACGCGGAGGAGCGCAGCGCCAGCCGCACGAAGCAGCGGGCCCGGGAGTGGGCCAAGGTGTGTGTTGCGAGGAGGGATTGCTGCACCCCAGGAGTGCCATAAAACCCGTGGTTCCAACCTAACCTGATCCCATGGGGGAGCCTCCGGGGTCAGGGTGACCCTTCCTGATTAAATCTATGATCCCCAGCTGTCCGGACTTTTATAGATAAGCTTCTAGGACTCTGGGTAACCACTTTGGGACCTCCTGTCTACTGACCCTAACCCATAACCCCCAACGAGAGCACCCAGGGCCCTTGGTGACCACCTTGTGGATGGCCTTGGATGACCACATCATCCCTAAGTGTTCCTTTTTTTTTTTTTTTTTTTTTTTTTTTGAGACTGAGTCTTGCTCTGTCGCCCAGGCTGGAGTGCAGTGGCACAATCTCGGCTCACTGCAACCTCCACCTCCCAGGTTCAAGTGATTTATCCGCCTCAGCCTCATGAGTAGCTGGGATTACAGGCACGCCCCACCAGCCCGGCAAATTTTTTTGTATTTTAGTAGAGATGGGGTTTCACCATGTTGGCTAGGCTGCTTTTGAACTCCTGGCCTCAAGTGATCTGCCCGCCTTGGCCTCCAAAGTGCTGGGATTACCAGTGTGAGCCGCTGCACCTGGCCCCTAAGTGCTGCTTGCTCACCCCCTATTGATGAACCTTATCTGTGACCCCATGTAACTCCTATTTGACCCTGTCTGGCCCCTTGTCCCTAGAGCATGACTTCGGTGCTGGAACCTGTGTTGGACCTCACGTACCCAGTCACCTCCATGTTCACTGGGTCTGCCTTTAACCGCAGCATCCATCGGGTCTTCCAGGATAAGCAGATTGAGGTAGGCCCACCTCATCCCCTGCCCTGCCTACCCCTCCCCGGAGGAGCCCCCTGCTCCTCCCCCACCTCGATCCCTGTCCCCGCAGGACCTGTGGCTGCCTTACTTCAACGTGACCACAGATATCACCGCCTCAGCCATGCGAGTCCACAAAGATGGTGGGTGTCCCCGCCCAGCCTGCAGCAACCGCTGACGCCACGTGGGGTTGGGGGGATGCTTCCGGGAGGGCCGCTGAGCTTCTGGGACGTTGTTAACACGAGTGACCGTCCACCCTGGCCCGATCACCGACCACTAACCGCCACCCACTAATGCCCCGGAGACCCCAGGTACGTCCGTCCTTGGGGGAGGGGAGCAGGGAGACTCGTCGGACGCCTTACCCCCCTCACGCCATCCCCGCAGGCTGTGTGTGGCGTTACGTCCGGGCCAGCGCCTCCTACTGCCCCTACCTGCCCCCACTGTGCGACCCCAAGGACGGGCACCTGCTGGTGGACGGGTGCTACGTTAACAACGTCCCAGGTCAGCGAGCCCATCGGGCCGGCTGGGCCTCCGGCGTGTCTGAGCGTGTCTGTGCGTGTTTGTGTCTGTGTGTCCCACCGCGCAGGCTCCCTGTGGCGGTACGTGCGCGCCAGCATGACGCTGTCGGGCTACCTGCCCCCGCTGTGCGACCCCAAGGACGGGCACCTACTCATGGATGGCGGCTACATCAACAATCTGCCAGGCAAGTGGCCGCCCGCACCACCCGCACACGCAAGCACCTCCCGCACCACACACACGCACACGCGTGGGCACACACAGACAGGCTCGATGACGGGACACATGCCCAAGCTGCCCATGCAGGGGTGCAGACACACATGCGCACACATACGATCACTTGCACAAAATGATACATGAATGTGCCTGTGGACAGCGACATGTGCAGTTGAGATCTACATTCTGGCCAGGCGCGGTGGCTCAGCCTGGAATCCCAGCACTTTGGGAGGCCTGAGGTGGGTGGATCACCTGAGGTCAGGAGTTTGAGACCCGCCTGGCCAACATGGTGAAACCCCGTCTCTACTAAAAATACAAAAAATTAACCAGGCTGGTGGGGTGTGCCTGTAATCCCAGCTACTCAGGAGGCTGAGGCAGATAAATCACTTGAACCTGGGAGTTGGAGGTTGCAGTGAGCTGAGATCATGCTACTGCACTCCAGCCTGGGCGACAGAGCAAGACTCAGTCTCAAAAAAAAAAAAAAAGAAAGAAAGAAATCTACATCTACCTGCTGGCGTGCTGTGTTAAGCACAAGTGGATGTACGTACAAGAGGGACAGGTGCACACGTCCACACACACATCAGGGGACATGCAGGTGGAATGCAACACTCGTGTGCACACCAGCTATATATGCACATGCTTTCTCTCAGGGGCAGGTAGGGCTTACACACACGTGTACACACAGGCACATGTGCACAGATGAACACGTGTGTCAGTGAAATAGGGCATTTGCCAACGCATGCCAGTCTGTCCCGTTTGTCCTGCACGTTCCCTCAAACACGCAGGGATGTGCACACACGTAGATAGGATGCGGCACCTCTGACCGAGTTAAGTCATGCCTACCACCTTTATGGGTGCAGGTGAGAAGCGGGCAGGTACACAACTTAAAATCTCACACCCCAGAAGTGTGCATATATGAACAGACATGTACGCCAACTGCACACATGCTCACAATCTTGTAGGCCAGGGGTGGGCAAACTATGGCCCACAGGCTGAGTCCTGCCCTCTGTTTGATTGTATAAATAAAGCTTTATTGAGCTGGGCACAGTGGCTCATGCCTGTAATCCCAGCACTTTGGGAGGCTGAGGCGGGTGGATCACTTGAGGTCAGGAATTCGAGGCCAGCCTGGCCAACATGGTGAAACCCGGTTTCTACTAAAAATACAAAAATTAGCTGGGCGTGGTGGTGTATGCCTCTAATCCCAGCTACTTGAGAGGCTGAGGCAAGAGAGTTGCTTGAACCCGGGAGGTGGAGGTTGCATCGAGCCCAGATCGTGCCATTGCACTCCAGCCTGGGCGACAGAGTGAGACTCTGTCTCAGAAAATAAAACAAAACCTCCCAACACCTGACCCCCCTCCTCAACTTCAGTTGCATCATTTGCACGTCTGTGCATGACAGCATGGTGTTTGCATGTGTGGGTATTCTCTCTTTTTTTTTTGCGTGATCATTTGCATGATGGCATCTGTGGGACTGGGTTGAACATCTCTGCCCCGGGCCCCCGAGGGGAGCAGCCCGCTGACCCCCCTGGCCCCACAGCGGACATCGCCCGCAGCATGGGTGCCAAAACGGTCATCGCCATTGACGTGGGGAGCCAGGATGAGACGGACCTCAGCACCTACGGGGACAGCCTGTCCGGCTGGTGGCTGCTGTGGAAGCGGCTGAATCCCTGGGCTGACAAGGTAAAGGTTCCAGACATGGCTGAAATCCAGTCCCGCCTGGCCTACGTGTCCTGTGTGCGGCAGCTAGAGGTTGTCAAGTCCAGCTCCTACTGCGAGTACCTGCGCCCGCCCATCGACTGCTTCAAGACCATGGACTTTGGGAAGTTCGACCAGATCTATGTGAGTGGGCAGGAGTGGCATGGTGCCTGCATAGGTGGTCCGGCTAAGCTTTGCTACTTAAAGCCCAGAGTGGTATGAGGGGGAGGAATCCAGGAGGAATCCAGGAATCCCATCTGGAATCTCTGGAAAACAGATCAGTGATCAATTGGTGATGTCTGCAGGGGATGTAGTAGGGGTGTGGCTGTGCATGTGCTGTGTAAGAACTTTCTCCTTATAGGCCAGCTGCACCCCTGGAAGCACTGTATAGTGATTTCTACTGCCATTTCTGCATTGGTGGGAATGAGAATAGTGATGAAGCAGAAATGTCTGCCACAGTTCCAGGAGAGGGAGGTAGCAGTGCGTGTGTTATGTGCTACTGACCCTGAAAAATGTGCCATAGCCCAAGCCAATTGAAATTGATCAGGGGGCCAGGCATGGTGGCTCATGCTTGTAATCCCAGCACCTTGGGAAGCTGAGGTGGGAGGATTGCTTGAAACCAGGAGTTCAAGACCAGCCTGTGCAACATAGCAAAACCCCATCTCTACAAAGATTAAAAATAAAAAATTAGCTGGGTGTGGTTGTGCATGCCTGTCACCCCAGCTACTTAGGGGGCTGAGGTGGGAGGACCGCTCGAGCCCAGGAGTTTGAAGCTGCAGTGAGCTATGATTGCGTCACTGCACTCCAGCCTGGGTGACAGAGCAAAACTCTGTCTCTAAGAAAAAGAAAGGGCCAGGCATGGTGGCTCATGCATTTAATCCCAGCATTTTGGGAGGCCGAGGTGGGCAGATCACTTGAAGTCAGGAGTTCAAGACCAGCCTGGTCAACATGGTGAAACCTCATCTCTACTAAATATACAAAAATTAGCTGGGTGTGGTGGCACATGCCTATAGTCCCAGCTACTTGAGAGGCTGCAGCAGGAGAAATCGCTTGAACCTAGGAGGCAGTGGTTGCAGTGAGCCAAGATTGTGCCACTGCACTCCAGCCTGGGTGACAGAGTGAGACTCTGTCTCAAAAAATAATATTAATTTTAAAAATTAAAGATAAAAATAATAAAAATTTTTTTAAAAAGAAAGAAATTGATCAGTAGCTGCAGCCCAGAAGCCCTGAGTCTGAGAAGAGATGTGTGATGTCCCTTGTGGGCTCACTGGGATAGCATGCCATGAGAAATTCAAGATGTTTGCTGTGGGCTTGGGGATGGCGACATCCACAGATGTACTGCCTGTTTGCAGACTTCAAAATAAGCTCACACATCACCACCTTGTGTTATTTGCTACCCAGCACCCTGCATGGGGCTGTGTGGGAAAGAACATGGAGAGATTGATTGGTAATGTCTGTCAAGGGCAGGACAGGGGATGTGTAGGCGAGTGTGCTATGTGCAGCTGACTCTGAAATAGGTTTAGTCTCAAATGCAACTCCCCCAGAGAATCAGGCTTTTGAGGGGCCAGAGAATGGGCAGACAGAGTGGGGACAAGCAAAGCAGGGTTGCAGACATGGACCCAGCCCCTCATTTCCCACAGGATGTGGGCTACCAGTACGGGAAGGCGGTGTTTGGAGGCTGGAGCCGTGGCAACGTCATTGAGAAAATGCTCACAGACCGGCGGTCTACAGACCTTAATGAGAGCCGCCGTGCAGACGTAAGCCTGTGATGCCCCCAGGGCCACTCTGACTCCACTGATTACAGAACCCAAGCCCCCTTAAAGTCTCCCCGAAACCTCAGATGACCCCACATGTCCCTGGGTTTTGCTGAGCTCTCAGACCTCTGCTGACTTCAGAGAGTTCCCACCCTAGGATCTCCTCTGAGCCCCCAATGCACCACTGGGCCCCCCAGGGGCCCCAAGACTCTGTGGGCCCCCCCTAAGAGCCTCACCAGTGTCACCCCACAGGTGCTTGCCTTCCCAAGCTCTGGCTTCACTGACTTGGCAGAGATTGTGTCCCGGATTGAGCCCCCCACGAGCTATGTCTCTGATGGCTGTGCTGACGGTGAGGGGCCCAGGGGACCCCCCAAGAGGGAGGGGAGTGGCTGGAGATGGCAGGCCAGCCCCAATCCCCTCACCTGTGCCCTGCTCCCCGATTCCAGGAGAGGAGTCAGATTGTCTGACAGAGTATGAGGAGGACGCCGGACCCGACTGCTCGAGGGATGAAGGGGGGTCCCCCGAGGGCGCAAGCCCCAGCACTGCCTCCGAGATGGTGAGAGTGGGTGGCCCAGGGTCCCCTCACATCCCCCAGAGGGTCATGAGTACAGTGTCAGGCAGGGGAGCCGGGGGCGTATTTGAGATCCTGTGTGTGCTGGGTGCTGGCTGACATGTGACGCATCAGTGTCCCGTGCTGGGTGACGTGTGTGTGACCTTCCCTCGCAGGAGGAGGAGAAGTCGATTCTCCGGCAACGACGCTGTCTGCCCCAGGAGCCGCCCGGCTCAGCCACAGATGCCTGAGGACCTCGACAGGGGTCACCCCCTCCCTCCCACCCCTGGACTGGGCTGGGGGTGGCCCCGTGGGGGTAGCTCACTCCCCCTCCTGCTGCTATGCCTGTGACCCCCGCGGCCCACACACTGGACTGACCTGCCCTGAGCGGGGATGCAGTGTTGCACTGATGACTTGACCAGCCCCTCCCCCAATAAACTCGCCTCTTGGAAATGGCTTCCTGTCGTTTTCGGACTGGGGACCCACCTTCTGTGCTCAGGATGGCTGGGGCTGGGGTCTGACACCACCTGGTGCTTGCCCCCCACAGGGAATGCCTTTCTAGAATCCACACGGAGCCCCACTAGGTGCTTGTCCCCACTCTGCCCCTTCTCTGGCTCCTCAGAAGCCAGTGCTGACTCCGGACCACAGGGCCAGACATTCCGTGCCACCCTCCCGGGCTCACAGGTGCTCTTGGGGGCCCGATATGGCACCCCTCAATTTCTTTCTGTGTGTTTTTTGTTTTTTGTGTTTTTTTTTTTGAGATGGAGTCTCACTCTGTCACCCAGGCTGGAGGCTGGAGTGCAGTGGCATGATCTCTGCTCACTGCGACCTCCATCTCCCGGGTTCAAGCGATTCTCCTGCCTCAGCCTCCTGAGTAGCTGGGATTACAGGCGCCCGCCACCACACCCAGCTAAATTTTGTGGGGGGGTTTTTTGGTTTTGTTTTGTTTTTTGTTTTAATTTTTGAGACAGTGTCTCTCTCTGTCACCTAGGCTGGAGTGCAGTGATGCGATCTCAGCTTATTGCAGCCTCCAGCTCTTGGATTCAAGTGATTCTCATGCCTCAGCCTTCCAAGTAGCTGGGGCCACAGGCGAGCACCACCATGCCTGGCTAATTTTTGTATTTTTTGTAGAGAAGGGGTTTCACCATGTTGGCCAGTCTGGTCTCAAACTCCTGGCCTCAAGCCATCCACCTGCCTCAGCCTTCCAAAGTGCTGGGAATACAGGCATGTGCCACCACACCTGGCCTTAATTTTTGTATTTTTAGTAGAGACGGCATTTCATCACGTTGCCCAGGCTGGTCTCAAACTCCTGACCTGAAGTGATCTGCCCGCCTTGGCCTCCCAAAGTGTTGGGATTACAGGCATGAGCCTCCTTGACCGGCCAGAACGGTTTATCTTTTTTATGAGTGAATAATATCCCATTGTGTAGATGGACCACATGGTATTTATTGGTTCATCTGTTGGACGCTTGAGTTGCTTCCACCTTTTGGCTATGGGGAGTCATGCTGCTGTGAACACAGGTGTACAACTATCTGGATCCCTGCTTTCAACTTCCTTGGCTAGATGCCCGGGAGTGGAATTGTTGGGTTACATGGAGATTCTGTGTTGAATTGAAGAAACGCCAAACTTTTCCATAGCGGCTGCACCATTTTAAATTCCCACCGACTGTCAGTGCCTCGAGCTGTCAGCACCATGGACAGGGATGGTGCTGTCCGAGGTGCTACTGACGCCCCCTCTGTGTCTTTCCCTCCAAGCCCCCCCACCCCCGCCGATATCCCTGCGCCCTCCAGATCTCTGAGTTTTGAGGGTGGAGGGGGACATTTAGGGGAAAGTTCAGTCCATAGTTTGGCACCTACTGGTGTCTGTATCTTAACTGGCTCCCCTTCCATCCTGGCTCACAAGGCTCCAGTTGTACCAGCCTTCATTCTATTCCTCAAATTCTCCATCGATTCCTGGCTCAAAGCACAGAATTGGGCTTTTTACTCCCTGTGTAGCTGATTAAGCCTGTCCTCAATTGTCACCTCTTCGGACTGTGTACAGTAACTTCCCTGTTCCCGTTGGCCCCTGTCTCCTTGCCTTTAAAGCACTTCATTAGTCACAGTTGCTTCACTTGTTTTTATTGTTTTCATTGTTTATTATTACTATTATTATTATTATTATTATTATTATTATTATTATTATTATTATTATTATTTTGAGACAAGATCCCACTCTGTCACCCAGGCTGGAGTGCGGTGATGTGATCACGGCTTACTGCAGCTTTGACCTCCTGAGCTCAAGTGATCCTCCCACCTCAACCTCCCGAGTAACTGGGACTACAGGCGCGAGTCACCACATGCAGCTAGTTTTTTTTTTTTTTTTTTTGTAGATATGGGGGTCTCACCATATTGTCCAGGCTGGTCTCAAACTTCTGGGCTCAAGCGATCTACCTGTCTTGGCCTCCCAAAGTGATGGGATTACAGGTATAAAGTGTTGTTGGTGTTGTTGTTTTGTTTGTTTGTTTGTTTGTTTTTGAGACAGAGTTTCACTCTGTTGCCCAGGCTGGAGTGCAGTGGTGTCATCTCGGCTCACTGCAACCTCTGCCTCCCGGGTTCAAGCTATTCTCCTGCCTCAGCCTCCCAAGTAGCTGAGATTACAGGCAACCGCCACCACACCTGGCTAATTTTTGTATTTTTAATAGAGACGGGGTTTCACCATGTTGGCCAGGCTGGTCTCTAACTCCTGACCTCAGGTAATCTGCCTGCCTCAGCCTCCCAAAGTGCTGGGATTACAGGTGTGAGCCACCACACCCGGCCTAAAGTTTTTAATTAACTTTTTTTTTTTTAGAGACAGGATCTCACTCTGTTGCCTAGGCTGGAGTGCAGTAGTGAAGTCATAGCTCACTGCAGCTTCAACCTCCCAGGCTCAAGTGATGCTCCCACCTCAGCCTGCCAAGTAGCTGGGACTACAGGCAAGCACCACCACACCTGGATAATTTTTAAAAAAAAATTTTGGTAGAGACAAGGGTCTCGCTAGGTTGTCCAGGCTGTTCTCAAATTCCAGGGTTCAATTGATCCTTCTGCCTTGGCCATCCAAAGTGCTGGGATTACAGGCACGAGCCATCACATCAGGCCTCACTTGCTTACTTGTTTCTCATCTGTCTCTGCAAGACACACTTAAATATAAGTTCCATCACTGGAAGAACCTTGCATAGAACAGCACCTGGCTCATGGTAGGTGCTCAGTAAATGTCGAATGACATCAAGCTCCAAAGACGAAGCAAAGATCCCTGAGATAACTCCCACTCTCTCTCTTTCTCTCTGATTTTGTTTTGTTTTATTTTGAGATAGGGTCTGGCTCTGTTGCCCACCCTGGAGTGCAGTGGCGCCATCTCAGCTCACTGCAACCACGCCCAGGCTTAAACCATCCTCCCACCTCATCCTCCCTGGTAGTTGGGACCACAGGCACATGCCACCACACCTGGCTTAATTTTTGTATTTTTGATGGAGACAAGGTTTTGCCATATTGCCCAGGCTGGTCTTGAACCTGGGCTCAAGCAATCCAACTGCCTCAGCCTCCCAGAGTGCTGGGATTACAGGCGTGAGCCACCTCACCCAGCCGACAATACGTTTTTGTTGCTGAAGTCACCCCATCTGTGGAACTTTGTGACAGTGAATCCTAGCAAATTAACATAGAAGCCCTTGGCTAGACTCAGCTGCCATGATGTGGATGGTGTAATGGATCAGGCAGGACAAGTCAGGTTATGCCGCTGTAACAAATAACACCAAAGTCTTGGGGGGCAAAAACAATACAAAAGTAATTTCTGAGCTGGGTGCAGTGGCTCATGCCTATAGTCCCAGCTACTTGGGAGGCTGAGGCAGGAGGATTGCTTGAGCCCAGGAGTTTGAGACCAGCCTGGGAAACATAGCAAGACCTCATCTCTAAAAAACTTTTTAAAATCAGCTGAGCATAGTGGCATGCACCTGTAGTCTCGGCTATTTGCGAGGTCGAAGCAGGAGAATCGCTTGAGCCCAAGAATTCGAGGCTGCAGTGAGCTATGATTTCACCACTGCACTCCAGCCTGGGCGACAGAGTGAGACTGTCTCTAAAACAAAAGTAGTCACTATCTGGAATGTTTTGGGTCACTGTGACTGAGGAAAGACATCTCTGGAAGGCCTCATACCCATCATTAAATACTCTGGTCCAGAAATGATGCAATACTTTTATCTCACTGCTCATTGGCTAGAAAAAGTCACATGGTCCTACCCAACTGTAAGTGGCCAGGAAAAAACAGCCCTACCATGTGCCCAGAAGAGAGAGCATTGGAAATATTTGGTGATCATCACTAATGATCAACAGGCTGGGCTGCAGTAGCTCACGCCTGTAATCCAAGCACTTTGAGAGGCCGAGGCGAGTGGATTGCTTGAGCTCAGTAGTTCGACATCAGCCTGGGCAACATGGCAAAACCCCATCTCTATCAGAAATACAAAAAATTAGCCAGGCATGGTGGTGTGAGCCCGAAATCCCAGATCCTAGGGAGGCTGAGGTAGGAGGATCACTTGAGCCAAGGGAGGTCTAGGCTGCAGTGAGCCATGATCATGCCACTGCACTCCAGCCTGGGCAATAGGGCGAGACCCTGTCTCAAAAAATTAAAATAAAAACAAACAAAAAACAAACTATTGACTAACAGAGTTGGAACTGAGCCTCAACTGGACCTTCCTGGACTCTCTAGGCTACCCCTCTCTGGTTCCAGAGCTTGAGACTCAGCTAGCGCCAAGAAATTTTGAGGTTACAGTGAGGACCTGGGTTCAGGGTCAGGGGCCCTGTCCTGCAATCCACAGGAGCTGGCCACGAGGTGTGGACCCAAGAGACTGATAAAGTCACATTCTCAAGAGTGTTTTCTTGGTCTCTCTCTCTCTGTCTCTCTCTGTCTCTCTCTGTCTGTCTCTCTGTCTCTCTCTCCCCCTCTCCCTCTCCCTCTCCTCTTTTTCTTTCTTTCTTTGACAGAGTCTCTATCTGTCACCCAGGCTGGAGTGCAGTTGTGTGATCTCGCCTTAGCGCAACCTCCACCTCCTGGGCTCAAGTGATTCTCCCACCTCAGCTTCCTGAATAGCTGAGATTATAGGTGCATGCCACCATGCCCAGCTAATTTTCTTTTTAATTCTTAGTAGAGATGGGGTTTTGCCATGTTGGCCAAGCTGATCTTGAACTCCTGACCTCAAGAAATCTGCCTGCCTTGGCCTCCCAAAATGCTGGGATTACAGGCATGAGCCACCGCACCCAGCCTCTTGGTGTGTTTGTTGCCCAGTGTCTGGAAATGGCCATGTAGAGGTTGGACAGGGAAGAACCAACCTGGTCAGGCTGTAGGACATCTTTTGGCCACCCAGGCCAAGTGCAGTGGCTCATACTTGTAATCCCAACACTTTGGGAGGCCAAAGCAGGAGGATCGCTTGAGGCCAGGGGTTCAAGACCAGCCTGGGTGACATAGTGAGACTCTGACTCTATGAAAAATATTAAAAGTAGCTGAGTGTGAGGGTGGGCTTCTGTAGTCCCAGCTACTTGGGAAGCTGAAGTTAGAAGATCGCTTGAGCCCAGGAGTTAGAGGCTGCAGTGAGCTATAATTGCACCACTGCACTCCAGCCTGGGCAACAGAGTAAAACCTTTTATAAAAATAATATTAATAATAAGTTTAGGCCAGGCACAGTGGCTCATGCCTGTAATCTCAGTACTTTGGGAGGCCAAGGCAGGTAGGTCACTTGATGCCAGGAGTTGGAGACCAGCCTGGCCAACATGGTGAAACCCCTTCTCTACTAAAAATACAAAATAGCTGGATGTGGTGGTGCGTGCCTGTAATCCCAGCTTCTTGCGAGGCTGAGGCACGAGAATTGCTTGAACCTGGGAGGCAGAGATTACAATGAGCCGAGATCATGCCACTACGCTCCAGCCTGGGTGACAGAATAAGCCTCTATCTCAAAAAATAAATAAACAAATTAAAAAAAATAAGAGGCTGGGCATGGCGGCTCACACCTGTAATCCCAGCACTTTGGGAGGCTAAGGCAGGAGGATTGCTTGAGCCCAGGAGTTTGAGGCTGCAGTGATCTATTATCACACCACTACACTCCAGCCTGGGTGACAGAGCAAGACCCTATCTCTGAAACAAAAATAATAACAAAAAAAGCAAAAAACAGGGAATTTTCCTTTCCTTCTTTATTGCCAGAAAGGAAAAAAAAAATCAGGGTCCTACATTTGCACAGATTGGCAGGTTCTGCCCATTGCTAGCCAGCTGACCTTGGGCTTCCCTTCCCCCATTCTCAAATTTGTCACCTGTGTATTCTACCTAATTTTAGTCCCAGTGGGTTGCTTTGTAATTTATCTTTATTTTTATTTTTTTGAGATGGAGTTTTGTTCTTGTTGCCCAGGCTTGAGTGCAATGGCATGATCTTGGCTCACCACAACCTCCGTCTCAGCTCACCGCAACCTCTGCCTCTGGAGTTAAAGCGATTCTCCTGCCTCAGCCTCCCGAGTAGCAGGGATTGCAGGCATGTGCCGCCACACTTGGCTAATTTTGTATTTTTAGTAGAGACAGGGTTTCTACATGTTGGTGAGGCTGGTCTTGAACTCCCGACCTCAGACGATCTTCCCACTTTGGCCTCCCAAACTGCTGGGATTACAGGCGTGAGCCACCATGCCCGACCTGTGATCTAAATAAAAGGAAACAGGCTGGGCGTGGTGGCTCACACCTGTAATCCCAGCACTTTGGGGGGCCAAAGTGGGAGGATCGCTTGACGTCAGGAGTTCGAAACCAGCCTGGGTAACATAGTGAGACCCCCCCCCCCGTCTCTAATAAAGAATAATACATTAATAAAATAAAATAGGCCAGGCACGGTGGCTCACGCCTGTAATCCCAGCACTTCGAGAGGCCAAGACGGGTGGGATCACCTGAGGTCAGGAGTTCGAGACCAGCCTGGCCAACATGGTGAAACCCCGTCTTTACTAAAAATACAAAAATTAGCTGGGCGTGGAGACGCACGCCTGTAATCCCAGCTACTCAGGAGGCTGAGGCAGGAGAATCGCTCGAACCCAGGAGGCAGAGGTTGCAGTGAGCTAAGATCGTGCCACTGCGCTCCAGCCTGGGCGACAGAGCAGGACACCGTCTCAAAAAAATTAATAATAAAATAAAACTAAGATAAAACAAAACAGAGCTCCTTGCAGGAGGAAACTGACGCACACACCTACCTGGACCAGATTCTTACTTTTCTGCCACCAGGGGGCGGTCCTGCTATGGCGTTCAGGCGTCTGGCTCCGGGGTGGAGCTTTGCTGACTAGGGGAGGGTTAAGCACCGAGTAGCTGTGGGCTGACTTACTGCTTTTTTTTTTTTTTTTTTTGTCGTTTAGAATTAACATTTATTGGAAAGGAGGGGAGGGGAGGGAGTACTGTTCTCATTATAAAATCATTACCTGTGTGCTTCAGCCAGGTGCAGTGGCTCATGCCTGTAATCCCAGCACTTTGGGAGGCTGAGGCAGGTGGATCACTTGAGGTCAGGAGTTCGAGACCAGCCTGGACAAGAAGATGAAACCCCGTATCTACTAAAAATACAAAAAATTTAGCCGGGCGTGGTGGTGGTCGCCTGTAATCCCAGCTACTCGGGAGGCTGAGGCAGGAGAATCACTTGAACCCAGGAGGTGGAGGTTGCAGTGATCTGAGATCACACCACTGCACTCCAGCCTGGGCAACAGAGTGAGACTCCATCTCAAACAAACAAACCCACAAACAAATTATTACTTGTGTGCTTAGAACAAATTTATAAAACAAATGCAACATAAACATAAAGGTAATATGTGTTCATTTGGAAATATATGTTCATGGAAAGCAGAGTGTAAAAAAAGAAAAGGTCACAGGAATTCCACCGCCTGGATGTGAACACTGCTAATACTCCCTTCTTTTTTCCCAATTTCCTTCCTTTTGTTTTGTTTTGTTCTGTTTTGTTTTTTGAGATGAAGTCTCACTCTGTCGCCCAGGCTGGTGTGCAGTGGTTTGATCTCGGCTCACTGCAACCTCCGCCTCCCGGGTTCAAGCGATTCTCCTGTCTCAGTCTCCTGAGTAGCTGGGATTACAGGCATAAGCCACCATGCCCAGCTAATTTTTGTATTTTTAGTAGAGATGGGGTTTCACCATGTTGGCCAGCTGGTCTTGAACTCCTGACCTCAGGTGATCTGCCCACCTTAGCCTCCCAAAGCAATGGGATTACAGGCGTGAGCCCCAGTGCCTGGCCCAGAGTCAGTTTTTTATTCTGCAATCAATTTAAATGTCCTAGATTTGCTTTTATTGCAAGTCAGTGCCTTGAAAGAAAAGATGAGAGCGTTTGATGACATGAAAACATGCTTAACAAAGACAGAAGACAAACAAAGCCAATAGCCTGGAAGGAAATATTTGTCACATAAATTAGGCAGATGATCGAGCTTTGTTCATGTTTATTGAACACTTACTATTATATATACCAGCCATTGTTTGGGGGGGGTTGTATTTATCAAATAACTTAATTTTTAGCCCTTTGATATAGGTAGTATTATTATTTCCTTTTTTATCTTTTTGGTGTTTTTGTTGGTGTTCTTGCTGTTTTTGAGAATGGGTACCGCTCTGTCGCCCAGGCTGGAGTGCTATTGGGCAATCATATCTCACAGCAGCCTCGACCTCCTGGGCTCAAGCAATCCTCCCACCTCAGCCTCCCCAGTAGCTGAGACTACAGGCCCCTGTCACCACACCTGACTAATTTGTTTTATTTTTTCAAAGTGAGATGGCGGAGGCGGGTGGGGGGTCTCACTTTGTTGCCCAGGCCGGCCTCGAACTCCTGGGCTCCAGCGATCCTCCTGCCTCAGCTTCCCAAAGTGCTGGGATTACAGGTGTGAGCCACCATGCCCGGCCAGTTTTCACTTCTTAATTTGGCAAATGCTAAAAATATTAACACATCCAGTCACACTGAAAGTTGGGTGAATAAGAAACATCTTCACAGTGTTAGGCTGGGAAACTGTCAATTATGGAGATTTTAGGGGGAAGGGAATTTGACTGTCATCATGCAACAAATTTTTTTTTTTTTTTTTTTGAGACGGAGTCTCGCTCTGTCGCCCAGGCTGGAGTGCAGTGGCGTGATCTCGGCTCACTGCAAGCTCCGCCTCCTGGGTTCATGCCCTTCTCCTGCCTCAGCCTCCCAAGGAGCTGGGACTACAGGCGCCCGCCGCCACGCCCGGCTAATTTTTTGTATTTTGAGTAGAGACGGGGTTTCACCATGTTAACCAGGATGGTCTCGATCTCCTGACCTTGTGATCCGCCCGCCTTGGCCTCCCAGTAAACAACAAATATAAAGCGCATAACTTTTGACCTAGCCGGGTTTCGTCCAACAATCAATCCTCTATAAACGCATGCGTCTAAAGATGTGTGTTCCTCACAGCGCTTTTCTGCAATGATGCCGTTGCTTATAAAAGTGAAAATTGGAAAACAGTCTCAGTGACTGACAACAGAGGCATAGTTTAATAAATTAGGGCACAGTACCTTACGGGAATGCTCTGAAGCCATTAACAAGAATGAAACAGACTTATAGCTATTGACATAAAAAAAATTCCTAGGTACTCTGCTCCACGGATAAAAAGAGTCATAGAACATTGTGTACAGTATGATCACATTTACGTCCAAGACCGTCCATGACACACAGGTTTGTACATGCACGGGATGCCCTGGGAGGATAGTTCCTTGGGAAGAAATATCAGGGTGGGAATTTAAGGGGGAGAATTTCAATATTTTTACTTTTCTACTGTTTGACACTTTAACAATGAGATTGCATTATTGTGATAATTTTTAAATTTATTTGATAATTTTTAAAGCCCCCAGAAATGATCCTGTTTTGAAATTGTTAAATATTTCTTTTTGTTTTACTTATTTATTTATTTTCGAGACAGGGTCTCATCCCATCACCCAGGCTGTAGTGCAGTGGCACTGTCTCAGCTCACTGCAGCCTCTGCCTCCTGGGTTCAAGTGATCCTCCCACCTCAGCCTCCCAAGTAGCTGGGACTACAGGGCATGTACCACCATGCCTAGCTAATTTTTTTATTTTTAGTAGAGGTGAGGTCTCCCTATGTTGCCCAGGATCGTCTCAAACTCCTTGGCTCAAGCAATCTGCCTGCCTTGGCCTTTCGAAGTGCTAGGATTACGGGCATGAGCCACCTTGCCTGGCTCTTTTTAAATTTTATTATTTTTTATTTTACAAAAGTAGAGACAGGGTCTCACTGTTCTGCCCAGGCTGGTGTTGAACTCCTGGGCTCAAGTGGCTGGCCCACCTCCACCTCCCAGAGTGTTGGGATCACGGGCTTGAGCCATCGCACCTGGCCTAAATATTTCTTTAAAATGACAGAAAGCCGGGCATGGTGGCTCACTCCTGTAATCCCAGCACTCTGGGAGGCCGAGGCAGGCGGATTACCTGAGGTCAGGAGTTCCAGACCAGCCTGGTCAACATGGCAAAACCCCATCTCTACTAAAAATACAAAAATTAGTCCCAGCTACTTGGGAGGCTGAGGCAGGAGAATCGCTTGAACCCGGGAGGTGGAAGTTGCAGTGAGTCGACATCGCACTACTGCACTCCAGCCTGGACGACAGAGCAAGACTCTGTCTCAAAAAACAATAACAAAAACAAAACAGAAAATAAAACATAACAGAAGACAGGCAGAGCAACAGTCTGGGAGGAAATATTTGTCACATCAATTAGGCAGAATATCAAGCATTGTTCATGTTTATTGAACACTTATTGTATACCAGCCACTGTTTTGAGGCGGGGGGGGGTTATGGTTATATTTATCAAGTAACTTAATCCTGTGATCATGGTTGTTTCTGACATTTCAGTGTTATGAATGAAACCGGGATGAATATCTTTTTTTTTTTTTTTGAGATGGAGTTTCACTCTTATTGCTGGAGTGTAAAGGCACGATCTCAGCTCACTGCAACCTCCATCTCCCGGGTTCAAGCAATTCTCCTGCCTCAGCCTCCTGAGTAGCTGGGATTACAGGCATGCGCCACCACGCCTGGTAAATTTTGTATTTTTAGTAGAGACAGGGTTTCTCCATGTTGGCCAGGCTGGCTCGAGCTCCCAACCTCAGGTGATCCACCCGCCTTGGCCTCCCAAAGTGCTGGGATTACAGGCATGAGCCACGGCGCCCGGCGAGGGGATGAATATGTACGAATCTTCACGTGCATCTGTGAGGATATCTTTATGTTATCTCTAATTTTTGTGTTTGGTTTATTTCAGAGTTGGGATCTCACTATGTTGCCCAGGCTGGTCTTAAACTGGACGATTCTCCGGCCTCAGTCTCTCAAAGCGCTGGGATTACTGACAAGCCACTGCCCCAGTCCTGCTTAGTTTTCTTTACATTACAAAGCAAACTTTTGTGTCAGGGACTAAAATCAGGTAGAATACAAAGATGGTAAAACAGTCTGGGAGAGCTTAAACCCGAGGCCATCTAGCTGGCAAGCGGCAGAACTTGCCACTCTGTGCACGTTCAAGTCCCTGTTCTTTTGTTTGTTTCTTGTTTTTTTTTTAGAGACAGGTTCTCTCTCTGTCGCCCAGCTGGGAGGGAGTGCACAGGCATGATCATAGCTCAGTGCAGTCTCCACCTCCTAGGCTCAATCGATCCTCCCACCTCTGCCTCCCAAGTAGGTGGGACTAGAGGCATGCGACACCATGCCTAGCTCATTTTTAATTTTTTTTTTATAAAGACGGAGTCACGGCTGGGCACAGCAGCTCATGTCTCTAATCCCAGAACTTTGGGAGGCTGAAACCAGCAGATCACGAGGTCAGGAGTTCAAGACCAGCCTGGCCAACATAGTGAAACCCCGTCCTACTAAAAATTCAAAAATTAGCCAGGAGTGGTGGCAGGTGCCTGTAATTCCAGCTACTCAGGAATGCTGAGGCAGGAGAATCACTTGAACTCTGGAGGCAGCGGTTGCAGTGAGCTGAGATCATGCCACTGCACTCCAGCCTGGGGCAACAGAGTGAGACTTAGTCCTAAAAAAAAAAAAAAAAAAAAAAAAAAAAAGCCAGGCATGGTGACTCACACCTATAATCCTAGCCCTTTGGGAGGCTGAGGTGGGTGGATCACCTGAGGTTGGGAGTTCGGGACCAGCCTGGCCAACATGGAGAAACCCTGTCTGTACTAAAAATACAAAAATTAGATGGGCGTGATGGCGCATGCCTGTAATCCCATTTACTCAGGAGGCTGAGGCAGGAGAATCGCTTGAACCCAGGAGGTGGAGGTTGTGATAAGCTGAGATGGCGCCACTGAACTCCAGCCTGGTCAACAAGAGCCAAACTCCATCTCAAAAAAAAAAAAAGATATTGATTTTTAAATTTTTCAATTCCCAATTATTCATTGTTATCGTGTAGAAATACAGTTTAGTTTTATATATAGACCTTGTATTCTACAACTTCACTAAATCACTTACTGGATCTAGTAGGTTTTTTGTACATTCATTCTGATTTTTTGTGTAGATGATGTTTTATTTTTCTTTCTTTTCATATATGTTCGCTATCATCTTTCTCTTCTTTCCAAGTCTGTGTGCTTTTTATTTCATTTCCTACCTTATTGCACTGTCTGGGACTTCCAATACAATACTGAATAGAGGTAGTAAGAACAGACATCCTTGGCCAGGCATGGTGGCTCACGCCTGTAATCTCAGCACTTTGGGAGGCCAAGGTGGGCGGATCACCTGAGGTCAGGAGTTCGAGACCGGCCTGGCCAACAATGCGGAACCCCGTCTCTACTAAAAATACAAAAATTAGCTGGGTGTGGTGGCATGTGCCTGTAATCCCAGCTACTTGGCAGCCTGAGTTGGGAGAATCGTTTGAACCTGGAAGGCAGAGGTTGCAGTGAGATGAGATCGTGCCACTGCACTCCAGCCTGAGGGACAAAGCAACAACACCCTGTCTCAAAAAACAAAACAAAAACCAGGCTGGGCGCGGTGGCTCTCGCCTGTAATCCCAGCACTTTGGGAGGCCGAGGTGGGCAGATCACGAGGTCAGGAGATCGAGATCATCCTGGCCAACATGGTGAAACCCCGTCTCAACTAAAATACAAAAAAAAAAAAAAGAAGCCAGGCAAGGTGGCACGCGCCTGTAATCCCAGCTACTCAGGAGGCTCAGGCAGGGGAATTGCTTGAACCTGGGAGGCAGAGGTTGCAGTGAGCTGAGATCGCGCCACTGCACTCCAGCATGGCGACAGAGAGACTGTCTCAAAAAAAAAACAAAACAAAACAAAACTGGACATCCTTACCTTGTTTCCAATCTTAGGATAAAACATTGAGTCTTACTATTAAGTATGATATTAGCCATGTTTCATGTATTTCTTTGTTTAATCTCTTAATTTGGCAATTCCATTGATTGATTTTATTTTATTTTATTTATTTTTTTGAGACAAGGTCTCCCTCTTATCCCCCAGGCTGGAGTGCACTGGCGCGATCTCAGCTCACTGCAACCTCCGCCTCCCGGGTTCAAGCGATTCTCCTGCCTTGGTCCCCCGAGTAGCTGGGATTGCAGGTGCCTGCCACCACACGCAGCTAATTTTTTTATTTTTAGTTGAGACGGGGTTTCACCATGTTGGCCAGGCTGGTCTCGAACTCCTGACCTCAGGTGATCCACCTGCCTCAGCCTCCTAAAGTGCTGGGATTACAGGCATGAGCCATCACACCCGGCCACTTTTTTTTTTTTTTTTTAAACAGAGTCTCTCTCTGAGCCACCTTGCCCAGTCCCATTGATTGATTTTCAAATGCCGAACCCACCTTGTATCCCTCGGACAAATTCCACTTGATCAGGACATGTTTTCCTCTTTATATACTCCTGGACTCAATTTGCTAATATTTTGTGATGGATTGTTTGTATCGATGTTCCTGAAGAATATTGGTCTGTACTTTTCTTTCCGGGCATGGTGGCAGGTGCCTGCAATCCCAGCTACTCAGGAGGCTGAGGCAGGAGAATCGCTTGAACCAGGGAGGTGGAGGTTTGCAGTGAGCCAAGGTTGTGCCATTGCACTCCAGCCTGGGTGACAAGAGCAAGACTCCATCTCAAAATAAAATAAAGGCGTAGTGGTTTTGCATTTTGAGGAACTTGTCTATGTCAGGTAAATTGTCAAATTTATTGCCACAGAGTTGTTCATAAAATTTCCTCATTATCCTTTTAATGTCCATAGGGACTGTAGTGATATCCCCTCTTTTACCTCAGTGTGCAAATGCTTTTCAAGCCTCTGCTTCTCTCACATTTTCTATTGTCCCATTGGCCAAAATAAGTCATATGGCCAAACCCTGAGTCAGCATGGGAGGGGACTCCCCAAGGGCGTGGATACGAGCAGATGTGAACAAACCGGGAATTATTACTTCTACAATCCACCACACGAAGTCCCTCCCTGTGGTAAGTTTCTGCCCCTAAGGGACAGATTTGTTCACATTAGTTGCTTGGTGATTTATTCATATATATTTATTTATATATTTATTAATATGTATTTATTTATATATTTATTAATATATATTTATTTATATATTTATTAATATATATTTAACAAATACATTAATAAATATATGTTAATATATTTATTATAAATAAGTTTATAGAAATATATATATATGGCCAGGCCAGGCGCAGTAACTCACACTTGTAATCCGAGCACGTTGGGAGGCCGAGGTGGGTAGATCAATTGAGGTTAGGAGTTCGAGACCAGCCTGACCAACATGGAGAAAGCCCGTCCCTACTAAAAATACAAAAGTAGTCAGGCGTGGTGTCGCATGCCTGTAATCTCAGGTACTCGGGAGGCTGAGGCACGAGAATAGCCTGAACCCGGGAGGCGGAGGTTGCAGTGAGCCAAGATTGCGCCATTGCACTCCAGCCTGGGCAACAAGAGCGAAACTCCGTCTCAAAAAAAAAAAAAAAAAATTAGCTGGGCATGGCAGTGGGCACCTGTAATCCCAGCTACTTGGGAGGCTCAGCCAGGAGAATTGCTTGAACCTGGGAAGCAGAGGTTGCGGTGAGCCAAGATCGCACCACTGCACTCCAGCCTGGGTGACACAGCGAGACTCTGTCTCAAAATGAAATAAAATAAAATAAGTAATAAAATAATAAACTCTATGACGACTGCAAGTCACTTCACACCTTGAAAATGATGTTTACATCTAGGATATATATATAGACAAGGTCTCACTGTTTTCCAGGCTGGCGTGCAGTGGCGTGATCACGGCTCACTGGAGCCTCAAACTCTTGGGCTCAAAACATCCTCCTGCCTCAGCCTCCTAAGTAGCTACAGAGGTGCTCCACCACACCCTGCTAATTTTTTAAATCTTTTGTAGAGATGTGGGTCTCCCTTTGTTGCCCAGGTTGGTCTCCAATTCCTGGGCTCAAGCGATCCTCCCGCTTTGGCCTCCCAAAGTGCTGGGATTACAGGCATAAGCCACTGCACCCAGCCTTAGGATACATAACTTAGTAGAGAAGTTGAGAAGTGAGGAGAGCATACTGAAAGGTAAGTCAGGGTGATGGGGGCTCAGAAAGTACCAGAAGGGCCAGGAAACAGATTCCACAAACATCAATTGAGTATTTACTGTATGCATGAATCTGCTAAAGGAATAACTGTGTGGTCAACAGAGCTGGAAAATATGGCTTTTCTCAATAATGAGCTCCCTGTTCACAGAAAGAATCAAGGATAGGCTGAATTTTGTGAGCTCCGGGGAAAGGTTTGGACTAGCAGATGTTTAAGGCTCTGTTCTTTTGGAATAGTCTATAATTCCACAACAGGGATAGTGTTTGGGGGAAAGATAGAAGGTGGACAAGAAACAGAAAATGAGGACACTGGCTGGGCGTGGTGGCTCACGCCTGTAATCCCAGCACTTTGGGAGGCCGAGGCGGGTGGATCACCTGAGGTCAGGAGTTCGAGACCAGCCTGGCCAACATGGTGGCCAACGTGGTGAAACCCCATCTCTACTAAAAATACAAGAATTAGCTGGGCATTGTGGTGGGTGCCTATAATCCCAGCTACTTGGGAGGCTAAGGCAGGAGAATCGCTTAAACCCGGGAGGTGGAGGTTTCAGTGAGCTGAGATCACGCCACTGCACTCCAGCCTGGGTGACAGAGTGAGACTCTGTCAGAAAGAAAGAAGGAAAGAAGGAAAAAAAGAGAGGAGAAAGAAAGAAGGAAGGAAGGAAGGAAAGAAGGAAAGAAAGAAAGAAAGGAAGGAAGGAAAGGAAGGAAGGAAGGAAGGAAGGAAGGAAGGAAGGGGAAGGAAGGAGAAGGGAAGGGAAGAAAGGAAGGAAGGAAGGAAGAGAGAGAAAGAAAGAAGGAAAGAAAGAAAGAAAAAGAAAGAAAGAAAGAAAAAGAAAGAAAAGGAAAGAAAAGAAAAGAAAGAAAGGCAGGCCAATAGGCCAGGTGTGGTGGCTCACGCCTGTAACTCCAGCACTTTGGGAGGCCAAGGTGGGTGGATCACTTGAAGCCAGGAGTTTCATACCAGCCTGGCCAACATGGTGAAACCCTATTTTTACTAAAAAAATTAAAAAAATTAAGTTACCCGGGCATGGTGGTGGCTAACACTTGTAGTCCCAGCTACTTGGGAGGCAGAGGCAGGAGAATGGCTTGAACCTGGGAGGCAGAGGTGGCAGTGAGCCGAGATCGTGCCACTGTACTCCAGCCTGGGTGACTGAGGAAAACTCCGACTCAACAAAACAAGACAAAAAACCAACAAAAAAGAGGACACCGAAGGAGGAAGGATGGGAGTGCAGGAGAGAACCGCTTGGGAGAGGAGAGAGGAAAGGGATGCTGGATAGGCAGACCCCAAAGTTTGCGCTTAGCCCGGGAGGGTTCTTGGCTTCACCGAGGAAATAATTCAAGGGTGAGCTGGTGGTGTAAGTTTTACTGAAGTGACAGCAGTAGCAGAGGTTCTGCTCCTGGCAGAGCAGGGCTGCCCCATAGGCAGGGAGCCCAGAATAGCAGCTGAGAGGCAGTGCTGCAGTGAGACTTATACCTACTTTTAATTGCATGCAAAGGAAGGGGCAGATTATGCAGAAATTTCTAGAAAAGGGTGGTAACTTCTGGGTGACTGCCATGGAAACGGGTGGTAAGTTCTGCGTGTTGCTATGGCAATGGTAAACTGACATGGCACACTGGAGGGCATGTCTTAGGGAGAGGTGCTTTCACCTGTTCCCCGTTTCAGCTAGTGTTTTTTGTTTGTTTGCTTTTGGGGGACGGAGGCTCACTCTGCTGCCCAGGCTGGAGTGCAGTGGTGTGATCTTGGCTCACTGCAGCCTCTGACTCCCAGGTCAGCCTCCCAAGTAGCTGGGATTACAGGTGCCCACCACCACGCCCATATTTTCAGTAGAGATGGGGTTACCTCATCTTGGCCAGGCTGGTTTTGAACTCCTGACCTCAGGGGATCCACCAGCCTCAGCCTCCCAAAGTGCGGGGATTACAGGCATGAGCCACCGTGCCCAGGCTGTTTCAGCTAGCCTTCAGTCTGGTCCAGGCTCTTAGCCCCATCTCGGGAGTCCAGTCCTGCTTCCTACCTCAAAAGGAGTGATGTGGCCACCAGGTGCGGTGGCTCACACCTGTAATCTCAGCACTTTGGGAGGCTGAGGCAAGTGGATCACCAGAAGTCAGGAGTTTGAGACCAGCCTGGCCAACATGGTGAAACCCTATCGCTACTAAAAATACAAAAATTAGCTGGGCGTGGTGGCGGGTGTCTGTAATCGCAGCTACTTTGGAGACTGAGGCACGAGAATCACTTGAATCCAGGAGGCAGAGGTTGTAGTGAGCCAAGATCGCACCACTGCACTCCAGCCTAGATGACAGAGCAAGATTCTGTCTCAAAAAATAAAACAATTAAAAAAAAAGAATGGATGGTGGGTGATGATGCAGAGAGGTTTAGGAGGGGAGGTTTTAGGTAAAACCTCCCTCACTGACTCCTCTCACTGACTTCTTCATCGGACACCCTCTTTCCTGCCTTCCCACACACATACCGCTAAGACTGTCTTCCCCGAGGTCACTATAGGACGCCGTGTCCCGAGATCCAATGCAACCACCCACTTCTTATCTCACACAGCCTCCAGGCCAGCCCAAGACACTGGAGACTACTCCCACCTTCCCAAAGCCTTTGTTCCCTTGTTAGTTTGATTTCCTCCCTCCCTGGAAGCTCAGAGCCTCCTCTTTCTCCTCCATCCCCTCCCAGGGCCACATCCTCAACCCATGTCTCACATTCCATGGAGCTTCATTTATATCACTGGCACACCTGTATTCCCAATCTATGTTTGTTGGTTTGTTTTGAGTCAGAGTCTTGCTCTGTCCCCCAGGCTGGAGTGCAATGGCACCATCTCGGCTCACTGCAACCTCTGCCTCCTGGGTTCAAGCGAGTCTCCTGCCTCAGCCTCCTGAGTAGCTGGGATTATAGGTGTGTACCACTTTTTTGTATTTTATTTTATTTTATTTTTTCGAGACAGGGTCTCACTCTGTCTCCCAGGCTCGGGTGCAATGGCATGATCTCGCCTCACTGCAACCTCCACCCACCTCCCAGGTTCAAGTGATTCTCCTGTCTCAGCCTCCTGAGTAGCTGGGATTACAGGCATGCACCACTATGCCCAGCTAATGTTTGTATTTCAGTAGAGACGGGATCTCACCATGTTGGCCAGGCCAGTCTTGAACTCCTGGCCTCAAGTGATCCACCCGCCTTGGCCTCCCAAAGTGCTGGGATTACATGTGTGAGCCACCACACCCAGCCTTGTATTCCTACTCTTGACCATGACTTGGAGGGTCTGGATCTGCAGAGCCCAGAAACTCCTGCACCGTGTAGTCTTGGTACACGGAGGTATCATGAAACCCCAAAGTTTGTATGTGATTTGCTTTTTCCTGTGTATCTGCATGGTTGATAAGGACAAGAAGATACCACAGTTTCAGAGGATGATACAGACATTCATTTGTGTTGGGCTCCTGTTGGCTTCACCAATATCAAAAAAGCTTCCAGCTGGGCGTGGTGGCTCATGCCTGTAATGCCAGCATTTTGGGAGGCCATGGCAGACTGTTAGTTTGAGCCCAGGAGTTTGAGACCAGCCTGGACAACATAATGAGACCCCATCTTTTTTTTTTTTTTTGAGACAGAGTCTCGCTCTGTCACCCAGGCTGGAGTACAGTGGCGCAATCTCAGCTCACTGCAAACTCTGCCTCCCAGATTCAAGCGATTTTCCTGCCTCAGCCTCCTGAGTAGCTGGGACTACAGGCGCCTGCCACCACGCCCGGCTAATGTTTTGTATTTTTAGTAGAGATGGGGTTTCACTGTGTTAGCCTGGATGGTCTTGATCTCCTGACCTCGTGATCTGCCTGCCCCGGCCTCCCAAAGTGCTGGGATTACAGGCTTGAGCCACCGCGCCCGGCCGAGATCCTATCTTTAAAAAACAACTTAGCCGGGCATGGTGGCACCCACCTGTGGTCTCAGCAACTTGGGAGGCTGAGGTGGGAGGATCGCTTGAGCTTGTAAGGTCGAGGCTGCAGTGAGCTATGATCGTGTCACTGCACTCCAGCCTGCGAAACAGAAACCCTGTCTCAAAAAGAAAAGAAAAGAGCAGCTGGAGCCCCCTTATCTCTGCACGTCTCCCCCACTCTCAATCACCTTGGTCTTTTTTTTTTTTTAATCTACCAAAGTCACTTTCTCGCCTCTGTCTGCCCAAACACCTCCTTCTACCAGAGGGAGGGAAAGGAAGTTTCTTCCTATCAAGGACATATAAATGACGGAGAGCACACTTGAAATAATGTCTCTCCCTTGACCTACATCAGTAGTGAGCATCTGCATGAATGTATTGATGTGTGTGTGCACGTGCGCAGATGTTCGCGTTAATGCATGCAATTCTGTGGGTATTACTGGTTACCTTTGTAAATATTTGAGTATGTATTTGTGGATATTATCTATATTTTATTTTATTTTATTTATTTTGACACAGAGTCTCGCTCTGTCACCCTGGCTGGAGTGCAATGGCGAAATCTCAGCTCACTGCAACCTCCGCCTCCTGGGTTCAAGCGATTCTCCTGCCTCAGCCTTCCAAGTAGCTGGGATTACTGGCGCGCGCCACCATGCTGGGCTAATTTTTTGTATTTTTAGTAGAGACGGGATTTCACCATGTTGGGCAGGCTGGTCTCAAGCTCCTGACCTCAGGTGATCCGCCCACCTTGGTCTCCCAAAGTGCTGGGATTACAGGCGTGAGCCACTGCGCCCGGCCCACCATTATAGTGTCATACAGAGTAGTTTCGTTGCCCTAAACATCCTCTGCATTCCACCTACTCATCTGTCCTCCCTCTTAACCCTTAGTAACCACTGAGGTTTTACTATCTTCATAGTTTTGCCTTTTCCAGAATGTCGTGGAGTTGGAGAAGTACACAATAAGTGGCCCTTTCAGACTGTGTTTTTCACTTAGCCATATGCACCTAAGTTTCTTTGATGTCGTTTCACAGCTTCAGAGCTTTTTTTTTTTTTCGAGAAGGAGTCTTGCTCTGTCACCCAGGCGGGAGTGCAGTGACATGATCTTGGCTCACTGCAACTTCCACCTCCCAGGTTCAAGTGATTCTCGTGCCTCAGCCTCCTGAGTAGCTGAGATTACAGGCAAGCGCCACCACGCCCAGCTAATTTTTGTTTGTTTTTGTTTTTGAGGCAGAGTCTCGCTCTGTCGCCCAGGCTGGAGTGCAGTGGCACGATCTTTGCTCACTGCAAGCTCCACCTCCCCGATTCACGCCATTCTCCTGCCTCAGCCTCCCGAGTAGCTGGGACTACAGGCGCCCGCCACCACGCCTGGCTAATTTTTTTTTTTTTTTGTATTTTTAATAGAGATGGGGTTTTACCATGTTGGCCAGGGTGGTCTTGAACTCCAGGCCTCAAGTGATCCACCCACCTTGGCCTCCCAAAGTCCTGGGATTACACACATGAGCCACCGCGCCGGCCTTTTTTGCTTTTTGTTTCAAAGAGCGATAGGGTCTTGCTGTGTCACCCAGGCTGGAATGCGGTGGTGTGATCATAGCTCACTCCTCTCACTCTTTTGGGGATCTTGTGTATTGGTGGAGGTGCCTGGGCCCGCTCTCATCATCATGTGGTAAAGATGACAAATTTCTGGCCTCCTTGGTGGCCCTCCGGGATGTGAAACTCAACCTGTCCAAGACGAAACTCATCCTCCCCACCCAGCCTGGCCCCTCATCTCCTGTCCCCATCTCAGCATGCAGCACCACCATCTACCTGCTTGCGAAAGGCAGAGATCTGGGCATCTTCCAAGACTCCGCCCTCCCTCTCCTGGCCGCCTGTTCCCATCCACCAGCAAGCCCTGCCAATTCCATCTCCCAACACATTCTGCACCCGTGCGTGCTCCCCGGCCCCAAAGCCACACCCTGGGGCTGACCTCGTTACTGAAGCCTCTGTGGTCTACCTGAAATTGTCTTGGCAACACCGGGTCCCCTAAGGGCAACCTGAAGCTCACAGATGTGCATGGGTTTTTCTGGACCGAGCTTTCAGGTTTGATTTTGTCATCCGTATGTACGCAGTTTTCTTTCTTTCTTTCTTTCTTTCTTTCTTTCTTTCTTTCTTTCTTTCTTTCTTTCTTTCTTTCTTTCTTTCTTTCTTTCTTTCTTTCTTTCTTTCTATTTTTTTTTTTTTGAGACAGAGTCTTGCTCTGTCACCCAGGCTGCAATGTAGTGGCACAATCACAGCTCGCTGCAGCCTCCGCCTCCCGGGTTCAAGCGATTCTCCTGCCTCAGCCTCCTGAGTAACTGGGATTACAGGTGTGCACCACCATGCCCAGCTTACTTTTTTCTATATTCTTGGTAGAGATGGGGTTTCACCATGTTGGCCAGGCTGGTCTTGAACTCTTGACCTCAAGTGATCCGCCTGCCTCGGCCCCCCAAGGGGCTGGGATTACAGGAGTAAGCCACTGAGCCCAACCTGTTCATGGTTTTTAAGGGGACGATGATTCCTCCTGCTGGGGGACATTTGGCAATGTCTGGAGACATTTTGGGTTGTCACAACTGGAGGGGGCTGCTAGTGGCATCTGGTAGGTAGAGACCAAGGGTGCTGCTAAACTTCATGCAATGCACAGGATGGCCCCCACAGCAAAGAGTTATCCAAATATTCTACATCTCAATAGTGCCGTGATCAAGAAAACCTGTACTTGTACTACCCGAAGTGTGAGCTGCAGACTGCAGCTGGTCCCCAAGCTGTTGATTTCCCATTTAGATGAGAGAGTCCAGAAAAAAAAAGCTTTCAGAATCTTTATTTTTATTTATGTTTTTTGAGACGGAGTCTCACTCTGCCGCCCAGGCTGGAGTGCTGTGGCATAATCTTGGCTCACTGCAACCTCCGCCTCCCAGGTTCAAGAGATTCTCCTGCCTCAGTCTCTGGAATAGCTTGCACCACCATGCCTGGCTAATTTTTGTATTTTTAGTAGAGACAGGGTTTCACCATGTTGCCCAGGCTGGTTTCAAACTCCTGACCTCAGGTGATCTCCCTGCCTCGGCCTCCCAAAGTGCTGGGGTTACAGGCATGAGCCACCGCACCCTGGCCAGCTTTTAGAACCTTTAAAGGCTGGGTACAGTGGCTCATGCATGTGATCCCAGGACTTTGGGAGGCCGAGGCAGGAGGATCGTTGGAGCCCAGGAGTTCTAGTGCAGCCTGGCAACATAGCGAGACCCCATCTCTGCAAAATAAAAAATAAATTAGCCAGATGTGGTGGCACATGCTTGTGGTCCCAGCTGCTTGGAAGGCTGAGGTGGGAGGATTGCTTGAGCCTGGGAGGTCCAGGCTGCAGCAAACCATGATCACACCACTGCACTCCAGCCTGGGTGACAGAGTGAAGCACTCCAGCCTGGGTGACAGAGTGAAACCCTCTCTCAATAAATAAATAAATAGAATCATTATAGTAATTTCACACAGTAATTTTATGACAGCTGGGCTCATGTTCTGCATGCCTTTTAAATTCCTTCCTGTATTAATAGAATTTTTTATTTTTTTATTTTCATTTTCTTTTTTTTTTTTTTTTTTGAGATGGAGTTTCGCTCTCGTTGCCCAGGCTGGAGTGCAATGGCGCTATCTCGGCTCACCACAACCTCCGCCTCCCAGGTTCAAGAAATTCTCCTGCCTCAGCCTCCAGAGTAGCTGGGATTACAGGCATGCGCCACCACGCCCGGCTAACTTTGTATTTTTATTAGAGACGGGCGTTTCTCCACGTTGGTCAGGCTGGTGTCAAACTCTCGAACTCAGGTGATCTGCCCGCCTTGGCCTCCAAAAGTGCTGGGATTACAGGTGTGAGCCACCGCGCCCGGCCTTTTATTTTCATTTTCTTGGAGACAAGGTCTCACTCTGTTGCCCAGGATGGAGTGCAGTGGTGCGATCACAGCTCACTGCAGCCTCCAACTCCTGGGCTCAAGTGACCCTCTCACCTCAGCCTCCTGAGTGGCTGGGACTACAGGCTTGTGCCACCATACCCAGCTAATAGACTTTTTAAAGAACAGTGTTAAATTTTCAGAAAAATCAAGTAGATGGTACAGAGAGTTTGAGTACACTCATTCTCCCCCAACACATACACAATACAATTTCCCCTTTTATTAACATCTTACACTGGTATGGCACATTTGATACAATCAATGAACCAATTTTTTTTTTTTTTTAAGTCAGAGTCTCGCTCTGCTGCCCACACTGGAGAGGAGGGGGTGCGATCTCAGCTCACTGCAATCTCCGCCTCCCAGGAATGAACCAATATGGATACATTTTTAGTAACTAAAGTCCATTCTTCATTCAGTTTCTTCAGCTTTCCCTTAATGCCCTGTTTCTGTCCCAGGATCCCATGCAGGATTTCACATTTATTTATTTGAGACAGAGTCTCACTCTGTCACCCAACCTGGAGTGCAATGGCGTGATCTTGGCTCCCTGCAACCTCCACCTCCCAGGTTCAAGCAATTCTCCAGCCTTAGCCTCTCAGTTCCTGAGAAACTGTCCCAGTTGAATGGAAGGAGAAGTGATGACTAAATGTCATGTGAGGCCGGGTGTGGTGGCTCACGCCTGTAATCCCAGCACTTTGGTAGGTGGAGATGGGCGGATCACCTGAGGTCAGGAGTTCGAGACCAGCCTGGCCAACATGGTGAAACCCCGTCTCTACTAAAAAGACAAAAATTAGCCAGGCTTGGTGGTGTGTGCCTGTAATCCCAGCTACTCAGGAGGCTGAGGCAGGAGAATCACTTGAACCCAAGATGCAGAGGTTGCAGTGAGCCCAGATCTCGCCACAGCACTGCAGCCTGGGTGACAGAATGAGACTTTGTCTCAAAAAAAAAAAAATAGCCAGGTGTGGTGGCACCCACCTGTAGTCCCACCTACTCAGGAGGCTGAGGTGGGAGGATTGCTTGAGCCTAGGAGGTGGAGGCTGCAGTGAGCTGTGATCGCACCACTGCACTCCAGTCTGGGCAACACAGCAAGACTGTGTCTCAAAATAAATAAATAAATAAAAGTACATACTAACAACATAATTTCTGACTGTCAAGGTTGTCTTTGACTGTCTGCTGGAGTAGTGTGTTAGGTTTCTCCACTGTAAAGTTATTCTTTTTTTTCCTCTTTCCTCCTTCCATACTGTGATCTTTGGAAGGAAGGCACCCCGTGTAGCTTACACCTAAGGATTGGAGAGTTACGTTCCACTCCTTGAGGGCAGAGCATCTACATGAATTATTTGAAATTCTTCTGCAGGGGAAGAAGTCCCTCATCCCCTATTATGAAATTATGTGCTCCTTTTTTTTTTTTTTTTTTTTTTTTGTTGCCCAGGCTGCAGTGCACTTATGCAAACACGGCTCACTGCAGCCCCAACCTCCCACTCTTAAGCAATCCTCCCACCTCAGCCTCCTGAATAGCTGGGATTACAGGTGTGCACTGCCACACCCAGCTAATTTCTTTAATTTGTTTTATTTTTAGTAGAGATGGAGTTTCGCTATGTTGTAAAGGCTGGTCTGGAACTGCTGGCCTCAAGCGATCCTCCCGCCTTGGCCTCTCAAACTGCTGGGATTACAGACGTGAGCCACCATGCCTGGCCTGCTCATTTCTTGACATCAGCATGGACTCACAAATATTCATTTTATATTTCGGATTATAATCATCCGACGTCATTTTTTTTTTTTTTTTGACAGGGTCTCTCTCTGTCACCCAGGCTGGAGTACAGTGGTGCAATCATAGCTAACTGCAGTCTCAAACTCCTGGGCTCAAGGGATCCTCCCGCCTTAGCCTCCCAAGCAGCTGGGACCACAGGCATGCACCGCCATACCTGGCTAATTTTTAAATGTTTTATTTTTCAGCCTGGGCAACATGGTGAAACTCCATCTCTACTAAAAATACAAAAACTTAGCCGGGCATGGTGGCACGCACCTGCACTCCCAGCTAATCAGGAGTCTGAGGCACGAGAATCATGTGAACACAGGAGGTGGAGGTTACAATGAGTTGAGATCTTGTCACCACACTTCAGCCTGGGTAACAGAGTGAGACTTCACCTCAAAATAAATAAATACATAAATACATAAATAAAAATTTAAAAAAAAAGAATGGGGCCGTGTGTGGTGGCTTACACCTGTAATCCCAGCACTTTGGGAGGCTGAGGCGGGCGGATCACCTGAGGTCATGAGTTCAAGACCAGCCTGGCCAAAATGTTGAAACCCCATTTCTACTAAAAATACAAAAATTAGCCAGGCATGGTGGCGTGCGCCTGCACTCCCAACTACTCGGGAGGTTGAGGCACGAGAATTGCTTGAACATGGGAGGCAGAGGTTGCAGTCAGCTGAGATTGTGCCACTGCACTCCAGCCTGGGTGACAGAGTGAGACTCCATCTCAAAAAAAAAAAAAATGAAGAAGTGGTGCTTTACCAGGGAGAGTCTGGGCAGCAAAACACCCTCCGGCGTCTCCTGGCATTGCTCCTGGCTGCACTCCAGGGACAGTGCCCTTCCTTGAGCACCAGCTTGGTCCTTCCCCAGGGCCTTTGTCCTTGCCAGTTGCTCTGCCCAGAATGCTCTTCTCCCATCTGCTTCTTTTCATCGCCCCATTCCCTGCCCTACCTCTCCCTCCTCCTCGAAGAAGCTTGCCCAGACAACTGCCCTAGCAAAAGCAGCTCCCACCCTGACTGTCACTAGCTCCTTTGCTAGACTGTGTGATTGTCCCAATATTTTATCCCTAGGTGAAATGATCTTTTTCTTTTCTTTTTTTTTTTTTTTTGAGACGGAGTCTCGCTCTTTCGCCCAGGCTGGAGTCCAGTGGCACGAACTTGGCTCACTGCAACCTCCGCTTCCCAGGTTCAAGTGATTCTCTTGCCTCAGCCTCCCAAGTAGCTGGGACTACAGGCGCGTGCTACCACACCTGGCTAATTTTTTTGTATTTTCAGTAGAGATGGGGTTTCACCATGTTAGCCAGGATGGTTTCCATCTCCTGACCTTGTGATCCACCCGCCTCGGCCTCCCAAAGTGCTGGGATTATAGGCATGAGCCACCGCGCCTGGCCATGAAATGATTTCTTTCACTCGTATTAGTCTATTGCATCTAAATGCAACTGTCATGAGGCGCAAGGACAGGGATGGCCTTTGGCATGCACAATATTTGTTTTTTGTTTTGTTTTGTTTGTTTTTTGAGACGGAGTCTCGCTCTGTGCCCCAGGCTGGAGTGCGGTGCGCGATCTCAGCAAACTGCAACCTCCGCCTCCTGGGTTCAAGAAATTCTCCTGCCTCAGCCTCCCAAGTGGCTGGGACTACAGGTGTACACCACCACGCCTGGCTAATTTTTGTATTTTATTTTATTTTATTTTACTGAGACGGAGTCTCGCTCTGTTGCCCAGGCTGGGGTGCAATGGCATGATCTTGGCTCACTGCAACCTCCGCCTCCTGGGTTCAAGCGATTTCCAGCTAATTTTTGTCTTTTAAGTAGAGACGAGGTTTCAGCAAGTTGGCCAGGCTGGTCTTGAACTCCTGATCTCAAGTGATCCGTCCACCTCGACCTCCCAAAGTGGCTAGGATTACAGGCGTGAGCTAGCACGCCCAGCCTAATTTTTGTATTTTAGTAGAGACAGGGTTTCACCATGATGGCCAGGCTGGTCATGAACTCCTGACCTCAAGTAATCCGCTTGCCTCAGCCTCCCAGAGTGCTGGGATTACAGGTGTGAGCCACCGTGCCCAGAATGTTGGTTTTTTGTTTTGTTTTTGTTTTTGAGATAGGATCTTGCTCTGTTGCCCAGGCTGGAGTTCAGTGGCATGATCACAACTCGCGTCACTGCAACCTCCACCTCCCAGGCTCAAGGGATGCTCCTGCCTCAGCCTCCCAAGTAGCTGGAACTACAGGTTCAAGCCACCATACCCAGCTAATTTTTTGTATTGTTTACAGAAATGGGGTTTTTCCATGTTGCCCAGGTTGGTCTCGCACTGCTGGGCTCAAGTGATCTACCGCCTCGGCCTCCCAAAGTGCTGGGACTACAAGCATGCACCACCCCGCCCGGCTAATTTTTGTATTTTGTGTGTGTGTGTGGAGACAGGATCTCACTGTGTGGCCCAGGTTGTTGTCAAACTCCTGGGCTCAAGCAATCTGCCCACCTCAGCCTCCCAAAGTGCCGAGATTACAGGCGTGTGCCACCATGCCCAGTCAATATTGTTCTTAAAAATTATTTTGAGGCTGGGCATGGTGGCTGGGCATGGTGGCTCACACCTGTAATCCAGGCACTTTGGGAAGCCGAGGTGGAAGGATCGCTTGAGGCCAGGTGTTTGAAACTAGCCTGGGCAACATAGCCAGACCCATCTCTACAAAATATTTTTTAAATTAGCAGGGTGTGGTGGTGCACACCTGTAGTCCTAGCTACTCAGGAGGCTGAGACAGGAGGATCGCTTGAGCCCACGAGTTCCAGCCTACAGCGAACTATGATTGCGCCACTGCACTCCAGCCTGGGCATCAGAGCGATACCCTATTTCTACAAATATATATATAACATATATACATATATAGCATATAATATTTACATATATATAACATAATATTTACAGATATATATATACACACACACTATATATAAATAATTCTTTTGAAATATTTTGGACATGTCCCCCTGAGGTACCTGGGGAGTGCTGATAATAAACTCCATACTGGCCAGGCACGGTGGCTCACGCCTGTAATCCCAGCACTTTGGGAGGCCGAGGTGGGCGAATCACTTTAGGTCAGGACTTCGAGACCAGCTTGGCCAACATAGTGACACCCCATCTCTACTAAAAATACAAAAATTAGCCGGGCGAGGTGGCAGGTGCCTGTAATCCCAGCTACTCCGGAGGTGGCACGATCTCAGCTCACTGCAACCTCCGCCTACCAGGCTCAAGTCATCTTCCTGCCTTAGCCTCCCGAGTAGCTGGGATTACAGGTGCCCAGCACCACACCCAGTTAATTTTTGTATTTTTAGTGGAGAGGGGGTTTCGCCATGTTGCCCACGCTGCTCTTGAACTCCTGACCTCAAGTGATCCACCCGCCTCAGCCTCCCAAAGTACTGGGATTACAGGCATGCGCCACTGTGCCCGTCCTGAAGGTCATAGACATTGAGAGAAGGGTGAACCAGCCTCATACTGGAAGGGCTGCAAAGTGGCTCAGCTGGTGGACCCTAGATCCGGTGACTTGGGGCTCAAAGCCTCCTTCTATTCTCCTTGGTGTATGACTCAGTTTTTCCATCTGTAAAATGGGTACAATCCTCATTATGCTGGTGTTGGCGTGAGGATTAATGAGACGATGTCGGGCATATAACACTCTCAGAAATTGTCATCTATGAGTCTGATCCCTGAAGTGCACACACAGGTAGAATTTTGCAGATGATTTTATGGGGTTTCACATACTCCCCCAAACCAAATCCTGAACTCCTGACCTATAAACCCTCTAAGTCATCCCCACCCCCAGCTTAATAACCAGGCTCTGTCTAATGAGTTAGGAGGTGTAAGAGCCCAAAGAGCTCCAGGTGTGGGAGGAGGCGGGAGGCTGGAGGGGGGCTCGGGGAGGGGCTGCCCCATGCACACAGGGCAGCCAGTGTGTCTGAGGCTGCCTAGGCCGTAGGAACAGGCCCCCAGGGGCAGGTGGGATCTTGATTCCAGCCTGCAGTGTGTGGGTGGGGCAGTCTAGACCAGCCAGGCTTTCCAGTCCGCCCAGTGTGGGGGTTGGGCCAGTGGAGGCCCCTGGAGGCAGGGACAGGAGCACTTGACCTGCACCAACACCTCTGGACCTGGACGGCCCCCCACCCATCCTTCCCAAACTGCAGCCCCCTCCCGGGATGGGAAGCTGAACCCGTGTATCCACCCCACATCTCCCCGGATTGTGTGTGAGCATGCTGCATTTGCTGCCTTTGCTGGGTTTGTCCTTGGGGTCCACGGAGGTCATGGGAACCATCCCAGGAAAAGCAAACCCACGTGTGAGCCGGCAGGACACGCCAAGCTCACAGAGGGGCAGGTTATGGCAGAAGCACCCTTTCCTGCTGGAAATGCTTCCCCGGGCCAGGAACCCCAGGTCTCCAGATGGGGAAACTGAGGTCCAGTGGGGAAAAGACCTTGTTTAGGTCCTTCGAGGGGACTGGGACAGGAGCCGGGGCATGCGTCATCCACATCAGCACCTGTGCTCACACACACAGACACTGGCCCCTTTGCGCACCCACACCCACTCCTGCACGGGCACATCCAGACAGGAGGGCCCACGCCCCAGCTCCCCTCCCTCGGCACACCCACCCCCATGCCTGCTCACATGCTCCGGACCATGAGACCCACGCCCCAAACACACGTGCCATTTCAACAAAGAGCTAGCTCTGGGGCCACCATCCGGGGTCAAGGGTCTTGGAGACCACCTTGCCACAGCGTCTTTCCATTTCATAGCGTTTTGTTTTTGTTTTTTTTTATGAGACGGAGTTTTTTTGCTCTCATTGCCCAGGCTGGAGTGCAATGGTGCGATTTTGGCTCACCGCAACCTCCACCTCCCAGGTTCAAGCGATTCTCCTGCCTCAGCCTCCTGAATAGCTGGGATTACAGGCATGCGACACCATGCCTGGCTAATTTTGTGTTTTTAGTAGAGATGGGGTTTCTCAATGTTGGTCAGGTTGGTCTTGAACTCCAGACCTCAGGTGATCTGCCCACCTTGGCCTCCCAAAGTGTTGGAATTTATTTATTTATTTATTTATTTATTTTTTTTTTTGAGACGGAGTTTCGCTCTTGTTGCCCAGGCTGGAGTGCAGTGGTGCAATCTCAGCTCACCGCAATCTCTGCCTTCTGGTTTCAAGCAATTCTCCTGCCTCAGCCCCCCAAGTAGCTGGGATTACAGGCATGCACCACCACCTCTGGCTAATTTTTTTTTTATTTTTAGTAGAGATGGGTTTCTCCATGTTGGTCAGGCTGGTCTTGAACTCCGGACCTCAGGTGATCCGCCCACCTCAGCCTCCCAAGGTGCTGGGATTACAGGCGTGAGCCACTGGGCCCGGTCTTTTTTTTTTTTTTTTCTTTTTGAGATGGAGTCCTGCTCTTTCGCCCAGGCTAAAGTGCAGTGGCACGATCTCAGCTCACTGCAACCTCTGCCTCCTGGGTTCAAGCAATTCTTCTGCCTCAGCCTCCTGAGTAGCTGGGATCACAGGCGCCAGCCACCACACACAGGGAATTTTTGTATTTTTAGTAGAGATGGGGTTTCACAATGTTGGCCAGGCTGGTCTCGAATTCCTGACCTCAGGTGATGCACCTGCCTCAGCCTCCCAAAGTGCTGGGATTACAGGAGTGAGCCACTGTGCCCGGCCTGTATGTTATCTTTTTACGTATCACTTTCTGAGTGCATTTGTGTGCATGAAGCTGACATTTACATTTGTGTGAATTTGTGAATATTTGTGTGAGTCTGTGAGCACTTATTCCTGTTCACAAGGTGACAAGGTGCCTATGTATGTGTGTGTGTGTGTGTGTGTTCTGAAAGTAACACACGTTTTTCTTTTCTTTTTTTTTTTTTTTTGAGACAGAGTCTGGCTCTGTCACCCAGGCTGGAGTGCAGTGGCAAGATCTCAGCTCACTTCAACCTCTGCCTCCTGGGTTCAAGCGCTTCTCCTGCCTCAGCCTCCCAAGTAGCTGGGATTACAGGCATGTGCCACCATGCCTGGCTAATTTTTGTATTTTTAGTAGAGACAGGGTTTCACCATGTTGGTCAGGCTGGTCTTGAACTCCTGACTTCAAGTGATCCACCTGCCTCGGCCTCCCAAAGTGCTGGGATTACAGGCTTCAGCCACCGTGCCTGGCCGAAAGTAACACACTTTTCTTTCCAGGCCTGTAAAGAACGAACTCACACAAACACTTGTGCATTCACAATTATATACAGCTAAGAGGCATGCAGGGGATATTTTGACAAAAATACAATGGAGGGCCAAGCACAGTGGCACATGCCTGTAATCCCAGCACTTTGGGAGGCCGAGGTGGGAGGATCCCTTGAGCCTAGGAGTTTGAGATCAGCCTGGGCAATATAAGGAGATCCCATCTCTACACAAAACAAAAAATTAGCCAGGGATGGTGGCTGCAGTGAGCCATGATTGTGCCACTGCACTCAAGCCTGGGGTGACAGAGTGAGATCCTGTCCAAAAAAAAAATAAAACAACAACAACAAAACAAACAATAGAACAAAAGCAAATATTAAAATATTAAAAACATCCGGCTGGGCGCGGTGGCTCATGCCTGTAATCCCAGCACTTTGGGAGGCCGAGGCGGGTGGATCACCTGAGGTCAGGAGATCAAGACCATCCTGACTAACACAATGAAACCCCGTCTCTACTAAAAATACAAAATATTAGCTGGGCATGGTGGCCGGCGCCTGTAGTTCCAGCTACTGGGGAGGCTAAGGCAGGAGAATGGCGCGAACCCGGGAGGCGGAGCTTGCAGTGAGCTAAGATTGCACCACTGCACTCCAGCCTGGGTGACAGAGCGAGACTCGGTCTCAAAAAAAAAAAAAAAAACAAACAGAAAAAAAAAAACCAAAAATCCACAAATCGGTGCTTAGACCTTACAAATAAACACACAATTGCACTCATGTACACAAATATTTGTACTCAACGCGTTCACACACACTTCCATACTTACAGACACAATCAGATTCATACACAGAAATACATTTGCTTACACAGATATGAATTCCTAGATAAATATGCACATTTGAACTCTCACAAAAGCATTCAGACACAGGCATTCTTTTTTTTTTTTTTAATGTGACGGAGTCTCACTCTGTCGCCCATGCTGGAGTACAGTGGTGCAATCCTAGCTTGCTGCAACCTCTGCCTCCTGGGTTCAAGCGATTCTCCTGCCTCAGCCTCCCAAGTAGCTGCAATTATAGGTGTGGGCAACCACGCCCGGCTAACTTTTGTATTTTTAGTAGAGATGGGGTTTCACCATGTTGGCCAGGCTGGTTTTGAACTCCTGACCTCAGGTGATCCACCCGCCTCAGCCTCCCAAAGCACTGGGATTACAGGCATGAGCCACTGCACCCAGCAGAAACAGGCATTCTTGCACAGGTATACCTGCTTTCATGCCTACACAATCTGTCACAGGCACCCACCATATATTCAAATCCACAAAGATACTCACATATAAACACACATATATGCACAAAAATATAGTCAGGAACTGCTCATCATAAATCACACATCTGCTGGGCGCGGTGCCTCAAGCCTGTAATCCCAGCACTTCAGGAGGCCGAGTTGGGCGGATCACGAGGTCAGGAGATCGAGACCATCCTGGCTAACATGGTGAAACCCGGTCTCTACTTAAAAAAAAATACAAAAAACCAGCCGGGCGTGGTGGCGGGTGCCTGTAGTCCCAGCTACTCGGGAGGCTGAGGCAGGAGAATGGCATGAACCCAGGAGGCAGAGCTTGCAGTGAGCCAAGATCGCACCACTGCACTCCAGCCTGAGCGATAGAGCGAGACTCCGTCTCAAAAAATCAATCAATCAATCAATCACACATCCATGTGCATATAGCCAGATTCACATACTCAAATACAAACCCACTTAGACACACAGCCTCACCTCCACACAGAGCCTTCTCCCAGCACACACTGCAGATACCAGAATAATACACAAAGACACTTGCAAATACACCCAGTACAGCTACGCAAGGACACTCATAGACACAAATAGTCACACTCTTGCAGAAATATACACACTTTTTTTTTTTTTTTGAGACAGGGTCTCACTCTGTTGGCCAAGCTGGAGTGCAGTGGCACTATCTCAGCTTCTGCCTCCCTGGTTCAAGCGATTCTCCCGCCTCAGCCTCCCGAGTACTTGGGATTACAGGCATGCACCATTATGCCCGGCTAATTTTTAAAAATTTTATTTTTAGTAGAGACGGGGTTTTGCTATGTTGGCCAGGCTACTCTTGAACTCCTGGCCTCAAGTGATCTGCCCGCCTTGGCCTCCCAAAGTGCTGGGATTACACTCGTGGCCACCGCTCTCGGCCTGAAATACACACACTCTCAATGTCTCTCCATACTCCTGCATTGACAGAGGCATCAATAACAGCCTCATACAACACACCAGTACGTTCAGATGCACAGAGATAGACATACTCACAGCACTCCAAAAACACACACACAGCCGGGCACGGTGGCTGCCGCCTGTAATCCCAGCACTTTGGGAGGCTGAGGCGGGTGATCACCTGAGGTCAGGAGTTTGAGACTAGCCTGGCTAACATGGTGAAACCCCAACTCTACTAAAAATACAAAAATTAGCCGGGAGTGGTGGCGCAACCCCGTAATCCCAGCTACTCGGGAGGCTGAGGCAGGAGAATCGCTTGAGCCTGGGAGGCGGAGGTTGCAGTGAGTCGAGATCGCGCCACTGCACTCCAGCCTGGGAGACAGAGTGAGTGAGACCCTGTCTCAAAAACAAAAACAAAAACAAAAACAAAAAACAGACACACACTCATCACTTCCATCCATCCTCAGGATACAGACATCTATATAATACATATCCTTGTACACACAACAAATTAAACACACACTTACACGTGCCCAGATACATACCCCACACACACACACCCCTAGACACCCCCCAATACACTTGGTCACCACCCAAATGTATTCAGAGATACACAGATACGAAGACACTCATATTCTTGTGCCTTCACTAACATAATCAGAAACAGGTGCACCCAACCACTCTCTGCCTGAGGGCCGGCGTTTATTGCAAGCACTTGCAGGAGCTCCTACGCCTAAGGGTAGACACTGGGGCTGGCACACACAGAGGGTCCCTAATCCTTTCCAGTAAGCTAGGCGCGCGCGCACACACTCACACACGCGCGCGCGCACACATACACACTCAGTCCTCCGCAAGCTCCCTCCACCATCGCCGCAGTCCAGGCCGCCCCCCTCCGCCCCGCCCCTGCTGCTCCGTGCACACTGCAGTGAGGGGCCCGGGCGGGGCGCAGGGGCGCGCCAGGGTCCGGGTCCGGGTTCGGGGGCGGGGCGCACCTGGGCTCCTCCCCGGGGCGGGCCCGACGCAGCGTCGCCAGCGCAAGCGGCCGCACCTGGCTCAGCAGCGGCGGCGGCGGCGGCGGCGGCAGCGGCGGTAGCAGCAGCGGGCCCGGCTGGGGCGCGAGCGCGGCGCAGCCCAGCCCAGCCCAGTCCGAGCGCGGACCCGGCGCCCGCAGCCCCGGCGCCGCCATGGTGGAGGCGGCGCCCCCCGGGCCCGGGCCGCTGCGGAGGACCTTTCTAGTGCCCGAGATCAAGTCGCTGGACCAGTACGATTTCTCGCGGGCCAAGGCGGCGGCCAGCCTGGCGTGGGTGCTGCGGGCCGCGTTCGGGGGCGCAGGTACCGGGGCTCGGGGGACCGGGGTCGGGGGCGGCGGGCCGGGCGCGGCAGGTGCTGGGGGGGGGCGGGGCGCCGGGCCGGGAAGGCAGGGGGCCGTGGGAACAATAGCGCCGGCCGCCGGGGGTCCCCGGGCTCGGGCCCCTGCCGCGCCGGGGCCTCCGAGCTTCCTGCTCGGCCCGGGCGGTGGACTTTGCCCCGCCGGCTGCGGGAGCGCGGTGGGGGTGGGGCCCGCGGCCCAGCTCCGCGCGGGGGTCCCCGGCGTCCAAGCCTCCAGGTGAGCCGGGCGGGGTCTGCGGGCCGGGTGGGGTCTCCCCGTGCGGACCTCTCGTTCCCGCCTCCCGCACCCCCAAGGCCTTCCCTTGCACGCCTTCTTCTCTTTTACACACATCACGCCCCTGCGAGGATCTCCTCTCGGTCTCTTCCCCCGCCACACACCCTGGAGACCCAGACCCCGACCTCGCTGGGGGGTCTCGAGCGCTCCGGTCTCCACCACCGCACGACCCCCAGGCCCCAACACACACCCCGCGTCGGCCCTGGCCGCGCTGCGGGCGGCGACCGGGGAGCTCTGGGAACCCCCTTTCGCCTCCATAGCCCCCTCCAGCGCCTGGCAGCTGCGACTTATGGCCCCATTTTACTGGGGAGGTTGGCGAGCCCAGCTGAAGGGAAATGGGTAGTACAAGATCGCCTGGGGTGGGCCCCCCGCTCCTCCCGGCTGCGGGGCCTTCTCCCATTAGAGCAGATCCTTCACTCCCTCCCCCAGGCCCGCTTGCCTGAGAGCCCGAGCCACCCTAATGGGGAGGATGCCGTAATCCCGGGTCCCCGGGATTAGAGGCCCTGGAAACACTCAGTCTCGGCTTTGGGCAGCTTCACAACCCCAGGCCAGAGCTAGGAGTCAGGGCCTGGCCAGAGAAGACAGGGGTTAATTAAGGTCTGGGCTTTCCAGCGGGGAGCTGTGGGGGTACATCCTTTTCTCCCACTGGTTCTGCCCACTGGTGTTGGCACAGCCCATCCCCCCTCTCCCTGGCCTTCCCAGATCAACCTGTTCTGGGTGTGGGTCTCAGTGACAGCTGTCCGTCTCCTGGTTCCGCCCCAGCCTGTCCCTCTTTCTCCCAGACAGTCTCTGTCTGCGTCGTTCCATGCATGCATTTCCCACTCTGGGGTCTACCTCCCTGCAGATATTTGCTTGAGGAAGAAAGAGATTGGGCATTGGACAGCCAGGACAGCCCCAGCTCCTCACTTCCAAGGTTACCAGGCTGTAGAGAACTCAACGTGGAGTGTCAGAATTGAATGTGAAGTCCAGCTGCACCAGAATGCGAATTATCCCAATTATCTGAGCTTCTGTTTCCCCTTCTATAAAAGAAGGCGTTCATTCACAGACTTATCTGTTTTGCGAATGTTTGTGGGGCAGGGGCACTTGCTATGTGTAGGGCACTGCTCCAGTGATGGAGACCCCCCGTTACCTCTTTGCAAGGTTGCTGGGAGGCGTAAAAGCTGTAGTGACCACAGAATTCTTCGCGTGGCACGGGGCGCGTGATACATGCGAAACGGTTGCTCGCTGCTGGTGTGATTGGCGGTGGTATATTTTGATGAATAATATTAACGTTATCCATTATCCCCTGGCCAGGAATCAGAGTAGAAATTATCCCATTTTGAAGACAGCAAAGCAAACTTCTGATGAGGGGTGTTGGTGAGCTCCCAGTGCCCTGACTCACCCAGTTCTGTTCTTGTTGACCCAGCTCCCTCTGCTGTGTGACACACGGCAGTGGCTGCCTCTACCGTGAGGGTCAAGTTCAATCTGTTCCCTGTTCCACTCCCCTAAAAAGAGGAGAAGGGCTGAAGGAAATGGGAGCAGAGTTCTACAAGATTCATGAGCTCTGGGGACTCTTGACGGTATGATACCTATCAGGTGCTGGGCTGGGCGCTCAGGGTGTAGAGGAGACGGCAGGGGATGGATATGGGGCAGAGGGGGATGGGCAGGAAACCAGATCATAGGGAAGCTGGCCAGCGGGGCCTGGGGAAAGAAATTCTTGAAATCTTCCAGGGAGGGAAGAGATCCCACAGGTGGAAAGATTTGAGTCTGGAAGGATGCATGGAAGTTTGACACGGAGAAGAGATGTGTGGGCAGTGGGCAAAGGCTCGGAGTGTGGACCAGCAGGGAGTTCTCAGAGAATAAGATGCAGGTCCCCGGGGTGGCGGTGGGAGATAAGGGAGGCTGGTCAGACTGAGGAAGGCCCTTCAGGCCCCTGGTTATGGATCCAAGGGTACTGGGGAGCCACGGACAGTGTTGGGAACTGACAAGATCAGGTATGCAGTGGCCCCGTGGGAGTAGTGATGGCTCAGAGGAAGGGATAGTTCTGGCAACTCCAAGGCACAGGTGTGAGAAGGCTGTGCAGAAATAAAAGCAGAACACAAGCTTGGAGATTAGATAAGAAAGGGTTCCAAGCCTGGCCAACACGATGAATCCCCGTCTCTACTAAAAATCCAAAAATTAGCCGGGAATGATGGCACACGTCTGTAGTCCCAGCTACTTGGGAGGCTGAGGCAGGAGAATTGTTGAACCTGTGAGGCGGAGGTTGCAGTGAGCCGAGATTGCACCACTGCACTCCAGCCTGGGTGAAAGAGAGAGACTCTGTCTCAAAAAACAAAGGGTTCCATGTTAAACACATTTGGAAAACACCCCATGCAGTTCTTTATGCCTTCAGAACAGATGTGTGATGTGTGAGGGAAACTCAAGTTCATGTTGGACATTTTTATCCTGGACAAGTTATCTCAGCTCTCCAGGCCTTGGTTTTCTCATCTGTACAAGGGGTATAATAATAAGTGTCGTAAGGATTAAATGACTGGATGCAGGGAAGGTCATGGTATAAATAAATGGTTGGGTGTGGTGGCATGGGCTTGTAGTCCCAGCTACTCAGGAGGCTGAGGCAGGAGGATTGCCTGAGCCCAGGAGTTCCAGGGTACAGTCAGCTATGATCACGCCACTGCACTCCAGCCTGGGCAACAGAGTGAGATCCTGTCTCAATCAGCCTTCCATCCATCCATCCACCCATCCATCTACCCACTCATCCATCCATCCACCCACCCATTCATTCATCCATCCATCCACCCACCCACCTACCCACTGCACTCATCCATCCACCCACCCACCCCACTCATCCATCCACCCACCCCACTCATCCATCCACCCACGCACTCATCCATCCACCCATCCATCCACCCACTCATCCATCCATCCACCCATCCATCCACCCATTCATTCATCCATCCATCCATCCACCCACCTACCCACTGCACTCATCCATCCACCCACCCACCCACCCACCCCACTCATCCATCCACCCACGCACTCATCCATCCACCCATCCATCCACCCACTCATCCATCCTTCCACCCACCCATTCATTCATCCATCCATCCATCCATCCATCCATCCATCCACCCACCCACCTACTCACCGCACTCATCCATCCACCCACCCCACTCATCCATCCACCCACCCACCCACCCCACTCATCCATCCACCCACCCCACTCATCCATCCACCCACGCACTCATCCACCCACACACTCATCCATCCACCCACCCCACTCATCCATCCAACCACGCACTCATCCATCCACCCACTCATCCACCCGCCCATCCATCCACCCGCCCATCCATCCACCCACCCACCCACCCATCCACCCACCCACCTACCCACCCACACACTCTCCCACCCACCCATCCACCTATCCACCCATCCATCCACCCACCCATCCACCCATCCATCCATCCACCCACCCACCAACTCATCCACCTACCCACCCACCCACTCATCCACCCACCCACCCATCCACCCATCCATCCACCCGCCCACTCATCCATCCACCCGCCCACTCATCCATCCACCCGCCCACTCATCCATCCACCCGCCCATCCATCCATCCACCCACCCATCCATCCACCTACCCACACTCCCACCCAGCCATCCACCCACCCACCCTCCCACCCATCCACCCACCCACCCTCCCACCCATCCACCCACCCACCCATCTACCCATCCGTCCGTCCATCCACCCACCCACCCATCTATCCTTCCACCCACCCACCCACCCACTCATCCATCCACCCATCCACCCACCCACTCATCCATCCACCCACCCACCCACTCTCCCACCCTCGCACCCACCCACCAACTCATCCACCCACCCACCCACTCATCCACCCACCCACCCATCCACCCATCCGTCCACCCGCCCACTCATCCATGCACCCGCCGACTCATCCATCCACCCGCCCATCCATCCATCCACCCACCCACCCACCCCCTCATCCATCCACCCACCCTCCCACCGTCCCACCCATCCACCTATCCACCCATCCACCCACCCACTCGTCTACCCATCCATCCATCCACCCACCCACCCCCCATCCATCCACCCACACACCCACCCACTCATCCATCCACCAACCCACCCACTCATCCACTCATCCATCCACCCACCCACTTATCCATCCACCCACCCACTCATCCACTCATCCATCCACCCACCCACTCATCCATCCACCCACCCATCCACCCACCCTTCCATCCACCCATCCATCCACCCACCCACCCATCCTCCCACCCTTCCACCCACCCACCCATCCACTTATCCACCCATCCACCCACCCACCCATCTACCCATCCATCTATCTGTCCATCCACCTACCCATTCATCCATCCATCCATCCACCCACCCATTCATCCATTTATCCATCCATCCATCCATCCACCCACCCATTCATCCATTTATCCATCCATCCATCCATTCACCCACCCATTCATCCATTTATCCATCCATCCATCCATCCATCCTAGCTATGTTGTAGACCTGTGCTATTCAATATGGTGGCCACCAGCCAGATGTGGCTACTGAGTCACTTGAAATGTGGTTGATCAGAACCAAGATGTGCTGTAAATGTAAAATATACTCAGGGTTCCAAAGACTTGGTCCAAAAACAAACAACAAAAACCAGTGTAAAATATCTTATGAATAATATTTTTATGTTGATTACATGTTAAAATAAGAGTGGGATATGTCTTGGGTCAATGAAATATATTACTAAATTCTTATTGTTTCTACATATGTAATGTGGCTTCTAGGAAACTTGACGGCTCATTGGGCTCACATTATACGCATTATATTTCTTTTTTTTTTCTTTTTGAGACAGCATCTTGCTCTGTGGCCCAGGCTGGAGTGCCGGGGCACAATCTCGGCTCACCACAGCCTCCGTCTCCTGGGTTCAAGTGATTCTCGTGCCTCAGCCTCCTGAGTAGCTGGGATTACAGACATGCGCCACCACGCCCAGCTAATTTTTGTATTTTTAGTAGAGGTGGGGTTTCACCATGTTGGCCAGTCTGGGCACATTGTATTTCTATCAGACAGCAGTGTTCTGCTGTAAATAATGCTCAGTAAACATTTTAGCCAGGTGTGGTAGCACATGCCTGTAGTCCCAGCTACTCAGGAGGCTGAGGTGGGAGGGTCCCTTGAACTCAGGAGTTCAAGACCAGCCTGAGCAACATAGTGAGACCCCATCTCTAAAATAAAATAAAATAAAATAAAATAAAATAAAATAAAATAAATGAATAAATAAAATAAAAAGAAAGTGGGGCCAGGTGTGGTGGCTCATGCCTGTAATCCCAGCACTTTGGGAGGCTAAGGTGGGTGGGTTGCTTGAGGTCAGGGTTTGAGACCAGCCTGGTCAACGTGGTGAAACCCCATCTCTACTAAAAATACAAAAAGTAGCCGGGCATGGTGGTGCACGCCTGTAGTCCCAGCTACTTGGGAGGCTGAAGCAGGAGAATAGCTTGAACTTGGGAAGCAGAGGTCGCAGTGAGCCGAGATGGCACCACTGCACTCCAGCCTGGGTGACAGAGCAAGATTGTCTCAAAAAAAAAAGGAAAGAAAAATAGAATAAGTTTATAGTATAAGGCAGTGGTTCTCAACTGGTGATGATTTTGACACTTAATTGACATTTGGCAGTGTCTGGGGACATTTGTGGTTGTCATTACTTGGGAGGAATGTACTACTGACGTCTAGTAAATACAGACCAGAGATTTTGCTAAACATCTCACAGTGTACAGGACAGGACAGCATCCCCTGAATACAAAGAATTTTCCAGCCCCAAGTACCAATGAACCAAGGTGGAAGAACATCGGTGTATAATAAGTGTCTGATAAATGTCAGTGTAGCCCTAGCTTAAGGTTTTGGTGTTTTTTGTTTCTTGTTTTTCATCTTAAAGGCCCTGAAAAGTCCTGTAGGAAAGAAACACGTGTGATTTTGCTGGTGGGAGCAAGACGTGCCCAAGGCCGGGGCTGGGGAGGTAGAGAGGAGGGTTTGGATTTGGGAGATATCAGGAAGTTGAAAGCCAAGGACGCATTAAATGTGGGGTGAGGGCGTAAAGAAAGGGAGGGAGGGTGATTTCTCACTGCCTTGGGGGCAGGGAGGAGGGGAGGTGTGGGTGAGATGTTGAGAATTGTGGGAGATGCCCAGGGTGCAGTGGGGCCCGTGGCAGCCGCTGTTGCAGTCTTCAGGTGGCCCTGGAAGCCGTCACGGGGTAGGGTGGCCTGGGGTGGGGGTGGGGCATGTCCATTTACAAGGAGACGCCTGTGGGAGGAAGGTTTCTGGAAGAAGGAGGCACTGGGCACAGAGCCCAGGCGAGATACGGGCCCACAGATATGCTTTGGAGGTCCCTGCTGGCCTTGGGGAGACCGGAAGCCATGAGGGCAGCATCGAGCTCAGGGAAATTGAGGGAGAGGTGGAGGGGGGCTGGGAGGGCAGGGAGGAAGTGAGCCTGAAATACCTCTTCTTTCAAGGAGCCAAGATGAGAGGGGCAAAAAGAAGGTCCAAGTCTACATGCGGGTGGCGCGTTAAGTGGGACGGTCCAGTGTGGTTTTAGAAGGTGGGAAAGGAGCCAGGACAGGGAGGGACAGAAGGCAGCCAAGAGTGCCTGGGTCCTCACAGGTGGAGAAGTCCCGTTCAAATATGTTCTGAAGCACTAGAACCCCTTACCCTGTTCTTTCTTTTCTTTTTTTTTCTTTCTTTCTTTTTTTTTTTTTTAAGACAGAGGCTTGCTCTATCACCCAGGCTGGAGTGCAGTGGCGCAATCTCAGCTGGCTGCAACCTCTGCCTCCCAGATTTAAGCGATTCTCCGGCCTCGGCTTCCCGAGTAGCTGGGATTATAGGCGTGTGCCACCATGCCCAGCTCATTTTTGTATTTTTAGTAGAGATGGGGTTTCACCATGTTGACAAGGCTGGTCTTGAACTCCTGACCTTAAAAGATCTGCCTACCTTGTTTTCCCAAAGTGCTGGGATTACAGGCATGAGTCACTGCACCCGGCCCCCACCCCGTTCTTTCAAACACACACACAGAACCCCAATATACAAAACAAGTCTGGGCACAGTGGCTTACCCCTATAATCCCAGCACTTTGGGAAGCCAAGGCAGGTGGATCACTTGAGGCCAGGAAATTCGAAACCAGCCTGAGCAACATGGTGAGGCTTCCATCTTTATAAAAAAATTTAAAAATTGGCTGGGTGTGGTGGCACGTGCCTGCGGTCCCAGCTACTCAGGAGGCTGAGGCAGGGAGGATCCCTTGAGCCCAGAGTTCAGGTTGCAGTGAGCCATGATCGTGCCACTGCACTCCAGCAAAAACTCAAACAAACAGAGAAGGCTGTGCAGGCTGGGCGTGGTGGCTCACGCCTGTAATCCCAGCACTTTGGGAGGCCAAGGTGAGCAGATCGCTTGAGGTCAGGAGTTCAAGACCAGCCTGGCCAAAATGGTGATAACCCTGTTTCTACAACATACAAAAATTAGCCGGGTATGGCAGCATCGCACCTGTAATCCCAGCTACTTGGGAGTCTGAGGCAGGAGAATCATTCGAGCCCGGGAGGCAGAGGTTGCAGTGAGCCAAGATTGCACCACTGCCCTCCAGCCTGGGCGACAGAGAGACTCTTATCTCCAAAAAACCGCAAAAGCTGTGCAGATTAGAACAAGAGCTGGACAGATTCCCTGCTGTTGATTTCAGTCACCTCTTCCCCGACCCCTGCCAAGCCTTCCTGGCCTTCTCCTCTCCACTCTTGGTCCTACGTGGATTTCTGCCCCCAGCCCACTGTCCACCTGGGGCTTCCTCACGCCTCTTCCCATTGTCCTATTTAGGGACCTCAGGCTGTCTCTATGATGTGACCTCACCATCTCTCTAAGCCCCAGCCTTTCACATAATCTGCCTCAAGGATGTCCTCAAAGCCCCTCACATTCAATTTCACCCCTTCACCTCCCATTCCTCCTGCACCCAAGCTCAGTCATTACCCCTCTCTTCCCTCTTCCCCCTCAGACCCAGCAAGGTCCTGGCTACCTCCCTCTCTGTCCCTTGCCTCCTCCCTTCAATCACCAGGTTTACATCACTCAACTCCCTCGATGTGCCTGTGGTGTGCCCACCTCCCCTGCTCGCCTGTGTGCCCCCCACTCATCCCCCCCTGCCTGCAAGCTAAGAGAGGGCGTCCAGTTTGCTGGGTCTAACCCCAGTCCTGGTGTTGAAGAGTTATTTGGCCTGGGGCAAGGGACTTTCCTTCTCTGTGCCTCAGTTTCCTCCTCTGTAACATGGGGGTTGCCAATTGGGCCCTGGCTGCCTCCTAGCGTTGATGTAAGGCTCAGTGAGTCTACATTGGCAAGAGCAGGAAGGCTCTTAGGATTGCCGATGTTATTGTCTTTCCTGGGACCTACAAGAGCCAGTCCAGCTGGCCTGGTATTGGGGGTAGCCTCCCCTCCTTTCCACTCTAAGTGCCCATCAGCTCCCTGAGGCACCGTGTTCTCTCCCACCTGCTGGGCTTTGCATCTGCAGGCCCCTCTGCCTACAACGCCATCACCCCTTCCTCCAGCAAACTCCTGCACATCTGCACTCTCAGCCCAGATCCCCTTTCTCCTTTCCCAATGCCATCCTCCCTGGTCCAGACACACTCTTAATCCGGGCCATGTGGTGTGTGTGTGTGTGTGTGTGTGTGTGTGTTGTATCTGGTGACCCTGACCCCCGTGTTTCCCCTCTATGCCCCCACAGAGCACGTGCCCCCGGAGCTGTGGGAGCCCTTCTATACCGACCAGTACGCGCAGGAGCATGTGAAGCCCCCGGTGACACGGCTGCTGCTCTCAGCCGAGCTCTACTGCAGAGCCTGGCGCCAGGCACTGCCACAGCTTGAAACACCCCCCAACCCCTCTGCACTGCTGGCCCTGCTGGCGCGGAGGGGCACAGTGCCTGCTTTGCCCGAGCGCCCGGTGCGCGAGGCCGACCTGAGGCACCAGCCCATTCTCATGGTAGGCCCCGCCACTGCCTGTTAGACCACGCCTACCATGCTCAGCTCCTCCCCTCAAGCTCCTCCCGCCAGTCCTGGCTCCTCCCAAGTTCCCTCTATCAGTCTTGGCTCCTTTCAAGCTTTGTCGATTAAGCCTAGCTCCTCCCATCAGGCTTGGCTCCTCCCCCAGGTTCCTCCCACCAGGCCTGGCTCCTCCCCTCAAGCGCTATTAAGCCTAGTTCCTCCCACGAGGTCTGGCTCCTCCCCTCAAGCGCTATCCATTAAGCCTAGCTCCTATCAGTCTTGGCTCCTTCCCTTAAGCTATGTCCATCAAACCTAGCTCCTCCTATCATCAGTCTTGGCTCTGTCCCTTAAGCTCTGTCCATCAAACCTAGCTCCTCCCACCAGTCCAGGCTCCTCCCCTCAAGCTCTGTTCATTAAGCCTAGCTCTTCCCCCCAGCCCTGGCTCCTCCCCTCAAGCTCTTCCCATCAAGCCTGGCCCCTCCCATCAAACCCAGCTCCCCAAAAAGGCGCTACTCTGGCCCTTGAGGATTTGTGTACACAGCCCACCCTATCCTAACGCCTAGCATCTGACCTCAAAGTCCCACCCATCGTGCGTGGCTTTTCCGGGACCCCATTTCTTGTTCCTTCCCTTAAGGCCCCACCCATGAACCACTGGCCCCGCCCCCTCAAGCCCCACCCCCCCCGTCAAGTCCCTCCCATCTGCAGGTTCTTCCTTTTCCCAGGCCCTTGGGGGCCGAGGTGCGCCTCCTGCAGCTCTCAGGTCTCACCCTCTAGCGCTTGCCCCCACAGGGAGCCCACCTAGCTGTCATTGATGCCCTCATGGCTGCCTTTGCCTTCGAGTGGACAAAGACCCTGCCAGGTCCCTTGGCCCTGACCAGCTTGGAGCACAAGCTGCTTTTCTGGGTGGACACGGTAGGTGGGGTTGGGCCTGGGGTGGGTTCGGGGACCAGCATCGTCCAGTGGCCAGACCACTGACCCCCTCCCTGCCCTCCAGACCGTCCGGCGGCTGCAGGAGAAGACCGAGCAGGAAGCGGCCCAGCGAGCCTCTCCAGCAGCCCCTGCAGACGGGGCGGCCCCGGCGCAGCCCTCGGTGAGGCCAGGGCATAGAACCGTCAGAAGGATGGGGGACCGGAGATCTGGGAGGGCAGGGCTGTGCTTCCTGGACACTCCTGAAGTGGGGAGGGGGCTAGAGGTGACACACTCTCTCTTTCTTCCCCCCTCTCTCAATCTCTCTGTGCCCTGCCCGTCCCCTGTGCCGGTACCCGCTGCCCTCCTCTCTGCCTCTCTGGCCTCAGTGCCCTACGCGCTGGTACTGGAAGCTGGTTCCTGTAAGTGGGGCTGTCTGTCCGCCCCGTCTGCCTGCCCTGCTTGTAGCTCTGTCTGTCTGTATGTCTGTTTCTGCCTGCCTGTCTGCGCGCCCTCTCATACCTCCCCAAGCTGTGAGCAAAGGAGGTTGGACCCCAGTCCTGGGAGACAGGGAGAACCCCTCTGTGAACCAAGAGAAGGGTAGAATCTCGGCCATTAACTGAGAGGGCAGACCCCTCCCCCAGCGAACTGATGGGTGGGGACGAACTTCCCCTCCCGTTATTCAGAAGGGCAAGCCCTCCCCGTTCCCATTAATGAAGAGGGTGGGACCCCCTGAACCTGTCCCCCTTAGCCGAGGTGGGGAGACCACATAAATTTCTGAAGGGGGGACCTGCAGCCCATCACAAACGTGGATCCTGACCCTAGCAGGCAGGGCACCCTCTGGCCAAGGGGAAGACCCTCCAATGCAGAAGAAGATAGAATAACTTTCCTAACTGAGACCCCCAGCTTCCCTAGAGAAAAATCCCAGCTTTGAAAAGGAGGAGGAGGCCCATCCCTGAAGCTGGAAGTTGAAATTTCTCTCTTCCCTGAATGAGCTGTGTGACCTTGCAGAAGTATCTAAACCTCTCTGTGCTTCATATAAATTACTCCCATAGTAGATAAACAAGGAGGAAGTGGGGGAGGTTTTGGGCTGGCTGGCGTCCCCACCTTTGCTCACTCCTTCCCCCACCCTGGGGCCTGGGTTGGGAGGTTCCCTTCCTGCCTACCCGCTTCCTCTGCATCCTCTCCCCAAGCTGGGGGCCTGGGTCTTTTGTGGGAGGAGGATTCCCCGCATAAGAGGGGGTTCCTACTCTGTGGGGTCCCTTGGGGCTGGGAGGAGCTGGGGTTCGCGAAGCCGGCCAGAGCAGTCAGGGAGCTGGACGGCCGGGGCTCAGGACCAGGGTCAGGGCTACCCCCTCCCCCCCAAGGTGGGCTTGGGGGCCCAGCAGGTCAGCACCCCTCCCCCTTGCTGATGGCTGCTCCTCTCCCCCCAGCACGCAATTGCCTTCTGTTTGAAGGAGTCGGGGAGCAAACCCCCCATGGTAATGTATCCCCCGCCCCGGGGTCCCAGGAGTCCCTGTCCCCAGCCCCCGCTGCTGGCCTGGCTGCTCGAAGACATCTCCTCTGCCTCTTGCTGCTGCCCCTCCCCTGCTCCAGGCTGGCCCCCCAACTCTGTCTCTGGGACCCCCAGCTTCCCGCCCCCTCATGGCGGAAACCCCAGGCCTCCCTGCCCAGCCTGCATGACCGCTGACCCTGGGGGCCAGCCTGGCCACTCACCTGACCTGGCTCCCATCTGCAGATCCGATACCGCAAGGACCGTGTGGTGGCGCGACGTGCCCCCTGCTTCCCGACGGTGACCAGCCTCCAGGACCTGGCCAGTGGGGCCGCGCTGGCCGCCACCATCCACTGCTATTGTCCCCAGCTGCTTCGACTTGAGGGTGAGTAAATGGATGTGGAACAGATCTTGTGCCGGGGAGCTGGGCATCCTAAGTCCCAGCCCCTAGACCCTCCATCCCCAGGTCCGCGAGACCAGCAACGATGCAGTGGTCATGAGGGCAGCTTCCGGAACTGGCAGGCCTGAGTTTGTGTCTCTCTCTTCCCCAATGAGCTTTGTGACCTCACACAAGTATATAAACCTCTCTGTGCTTCCAGGAGTTCATTCCTGCAGCAGATGAAACGTATGGAGTGTGGACTGTGTGCCAGACCTTGTTTTAGGCACTGGGGATCCAGCCAGAATAGAGACACACTCCCCACTTCACAGACGGCTCTAGCTGGGAGAGAAAGATACTAAGTTTATCCAAAAGTACTTTTTTTTTTTTTTTTTTGAGACGGGAGTCTTGCTCTGTTGCCCAGGCTGGAGTGTAATGGCATGATCTCGGCTCACTGCAACCTCCACCTCCCAGGTTCAAGCCATTCTCCTGCCTCAGCCTCCTGAGTAGCTGGGACTACAGCCACACGCCACCACGCCTGGCTAATTTTTGTATTTTTAGTAGAGACGGGTTTCACCGTGTTGGCCAGGCTGGTGTCGAATTCCTGACCTCAAGTGATCTGCCTACCTTGGCCTCCCTAAGTGCTGGGATTGCAAGTGTGAACCACTGCACCCGGCCCAGAAGTACTTTTTGCATACTGGGTAGTCCTAAAGGCAATGGGTGGTCAGAAAAAGCTTTTTTTAAAAAAACTCTTTTTTCTTTTTTATTAAAAAAAAAATTATAGGGCTGGGTGTGGTGGCTCACGCCTGTAATCCCAGCAGTTTGGGAGGCCGAGGCGGGTGGATCACGAGGTCACGAGTTCAAGACCAGCCTGGCCAGGATGGTGAAACCGTCTCTACTAAAAATACAGAAATTAGCCGGGTGCGGTGGCGGGCGCCTGTAATCCCAGCTACACAGGAGGCTGAGGCAGGAGAATCGCTTGAACCCAGGAAGTGGAGGTTGCAGTGAGTCAAGACCATGCCATTGCACTCTAGCCTGGGCAACAGAGCGAGACTCCATCTCAAAAAAAAAAAAAAAAAAGTATAAAATAGAGATGGGGTCTTGCTATGTTGCCCAAGCTGGTCTTGAATCCCTGGGCTCAAACATCCTCCCACCTCAGCCTCCCCAAGTGCTAAGATTACAGGTGTGAGCCACCACACCTGGCCCGGAAAAGCTTTTTGAGCTGAGGTCTTGGGGGAGAGTGTTCTAGAAAGATGCAAAGGCCTAAGGCAATAGTCACCAACTTTTTGGCTCCAGGGACCGGTTTTGTGGAAGACAATTTTTCCACAGATGGAGGCAGGGAGGTGGTCTTGGGATAATTCAAGCACGTTAATCTTTATTATGTACTTTATATCTAATACGTTGTAACATAGAATGAAATAATTCTACAACTCATCATCATGGGGAACCAGTGGGAGCCCTGAGCTTGTTCCTGCAACTAGACGGTCCCAGCTGGGGGTGATGAGAGACAGTGACAGATCATCAGGCATTCGATTTTCATAAGGAGGGTGCAACCTAGATCCCTCACACGCCAGGTTCACAATAGGGTTCGCGCTCCTGTAAGAATCGAATGCCGCCGCTGATCTGACGGAAGCGGGGTTCGGGTGGTCCTGCAAGTGACGGGGAGCGGCTGTAAATACACTCACTGCAGCTCACCTGCTGTACGGTTCAGTTCCTGACAGGCCACGCCCCGGGGGTTAAGGACCCCCGGCCTAAGGACGGTCTATCATATAATTCACCTCGGCCGGGTACAGTGGCTCACGCCTGTAATCCCAGCACTTTGGGTGGCTGAGGCGGCCGGATCATGAAGTCAGGAGATCGAGACCATCCTGGCTAACACGGTGAAACCCCATCTCTACTAAAACCACAAAAAATTAGCCTGGTGTTGTGGCACACTCCTGTAATCCCAGCTACTCAGGAGGCTGAGGTGGGAGAATCACTTGAACCCGGGAGGCAGAGGTTGCAGTGAGCTGGGATTGCGCCACTGCACTACAGCCTGGGTGACAGAGCGAGACTCCATCTCAAAAAAAAAAAAAAAAGAATTCACCTCTCGAAGGGCACCTGGCAGAAGCTGGGCTCATAGGAGGTCTTCCGTGTGTGGGGGACTGCTGGTCCCTGGCTTCCCTGGGGCCCCATCCTCCTCCTCATAGAGTTGGGGACCCACTCCTCCTGTCCCCACAGAGGTGTGCTTGAAGGACCCCATGTCTGTGGCGGACAGCCTGTACAACCTCCAGCTCGTGCAGGATTTCTGTGCCTCTCGCCTTCCTCGTGGCTGCCCCCTGTCCCTTGAGGACTTGCTGTACGTCCCACCGCCACTCAAGGTAAGGCCATCCTGGGGCCTCCTGGGCCGAGGCGGGCATCTGGGGCCAGGGGTCCCGTCTGCTGACCCGGCCTCCCACCTCCAGGTCAACTTGGTGGTGATGCTGGCCGAGTTGTTCATGTGTTTTGAGGTGCTCAAGCCCGACTTTGTGCAAGTGAAGGACTTGCCCGATGGTCACGGTGAGGCCCTGGGGGCCTGGGGGCCGGGTCGGGGGCGGGTGGGAGAGCCAAACCCCCGCCTGACCCTCTTCTCTGTACTGCAGCTGCCTCCCCCCGGGGCACTGAGGCCTCCCCACCTCAGAACAACAGCGGCAGTAGGTACGCTCCCCACACTGGGCGAGTCTCTGGCATTGTGGGTGTGGGGCTCCATGTCTGCCTTGCTGAGCACTGGGACGCAGCTGGGTGATGCTGTTGTCTCCCCCCGGGGAGAGGCGGAGGAGGAGGTGGGGGTCCTGAGGCTGAAGTACGTCTCTCCGTACAGTTCTCCTGTCTTCACCTTCCGCCACCCGCTTCTGTCATCTGGTGGCCCCCAGTCCCCACTCCGAGGATCCACAGGTGAGGAGGGGGTAGGTGGCTTCTGTCACGGGGGACCCCCCCACTCACAGACTGCCCCAGTGGGCCTCATGTTGTCTCCTCGTGAGCCTTCCAATAGCCTCTCCATCAGATCCCCCTTGGGCATCCCAAAGTGACCCCCAGAATGGCCTCCCCAGTGGCCCCACAGTACCCCGTAGTGACAGTAAATGGCCCCGGGTATCTGTTTCTGGAAACCTCTGGTCTCACTAGACCACATAATGAGCCATCAGTGACTCACCCAATGACCTTGCAGAGGTTGTCCCCAGATGCTGGCTGACCCCACTCAGGGTTCCCAGGGTCCCCATAGTGACCACTCATCGCCTCCCCCAGGCTCCCTGAAGTCTTCCCCGTCCATGTCCCATATGGAGGCCCTGGGCAAGGCCTGGAACCGGCAGCTCAGGTGAGTAGACCTCACAGGCCAGGGTAGGGGGTGGAGCAGGCTAGGGCGGGTTGGGGCCGAGGCTGGTCCCAGGGGCTGACCCCTCCCTCCGGCCGCCCAGCCGTCCCCTCTCCCAGGCTGTGTCATTCAGCACCCCCTTTGGCCTGGACAGCGACGTGGATGTCGTCATGGGAGACCCTGTGCTCCTCCGCTCTGTGAGCTCGGACAGCCTGGGCCCCCCGCGTCCCGCGCCGGCCAGGACCCCCACCCAGCCACCCCCGGAGCCTGGTGACCTGCCCACCATCGAGGAAGCTCTGCAGATCATCCACAGTGCCGAGCCCCGGCTCCTCCCAGATGGGGCGGCCGACGGCAGCTTCTACCTCCACTCCCCTGAGGGGCCCTCCAAGCCATCCCTGGCCTCCCCCTACCTGCCCGAGGGGACCTCCAAACCACTGTCCGACAGGCCCACCAAAGCACCAGTGTACATGCCACACCCCGAGACCCCCTCGAAACCATCTCCCTGTCTGGTGGGGGAGGCATCGAAACCGCCAGCCCCATCCGAGGGGTCCCCGAAGGCGGTGGCTTCGTCCCCAGCAGCCACCAACTCCGAGGTGAAAATGACCAGCTTTGCAGAACGCAAGAAACAGCTGGTGAAGGCAGAGGCTGAGGCCGGAGCGGGGTCCCCCACGTCCACTCCGGCCCCGCCGGAGGCCCTGAGCTCGGAGATGAGTGAGCTCAGCGCCCGGCTGGAGGAGAAACGCAGAGCCATCGAGGCTCAGAAGCGACGGATTGAGGCCATATTCGCCAAGCACCGCCAGCGGCTGGGCAAAAGCGCCTTCCTGCAGGTGCAGCCGCGGGAAGCCTCTGGGGAGGCGGAAGCAGAGGCGGAGGAGGCCGATTCCGGTCCAGTCCCTGGTGGGGAGCGGCCCGCAGGCGAGGGCCAGGGTGAGCCAACCTCACGGCCCAAGGCAGTGACCTTCTCGCCAGACCTGGGCCCGGTGCCCCACGAGGGGCTGGGGGAATACAATCGAGCGGTCAGCAAGCTGAGTGCCGCCTTGAGCTCGCTGCAGCGGGACATGCAGAGGCTCACGGACCAGCAGCAGCGGCTCCTGGCCCCGCCCGAGGCCCCCGGATCCGCCCCACCACCTGCTGCGTGGGTCATCCCTGGCCCCACGACGGGGCCCAAAGCTGCATCCCCCAGCCCCGCCCGGCGAGTCCCGGCCACCCGGCGCAGCCCTGGGCCCGGGCCCAGCCAGTCACCCCGCAGCCCGAAACACACGCGGCCAGCGGAGCTGCGGCTGGCACCCTTGACCAGGGTGCTTACGCCACCCCACGACGTAGACAGCCTCCCCCACCTGCGCAAGTTCTCGCCGAGCCAGGTGCCCGTGCAGACGCGCTCTTCCATCCTCCTGGCGGAGGAGACGCCCCCCGAGGAGCCAGCCGCCCGGCCGGGCCTCATCGAGATCCCGCTGGGCAGCCTGGCAGATCCCGCCGCCGAGGACGAGGGAGACGGGAGCCCCGCTGGTGCTGAGGATTCCTTGGAGGAGGAGGCGTCTTCGGAGGGGGAGCCCCGGGTGGGGCTGGGGTTCTTCTACAAGGTGAGTCCCCGAGCAGGTGGCTGGAGGGTCCTGGGCCTGGGGCGGGGGCGGGTGGGGGCGGGGGGAGGTGGACAAACCCACTATTGGATGAATAGGGCTTTACTGAAGGATGGGTGGGCGGGTGGGGGATAGATGGGGAGCCAGGTATGAATGGACAGAACAGGTGTGAGTGGCTGGGTAAGGCCTCCATGGGTGGGAGAGGGGGGAAAGGGACATTTGCACGGTGGGGGGCAGGTATGTGGGGTGACAGGGGCCTCAGATGGGATTTGACCCTGTCTGTTGGGTAAGGACTTCCACAAGGGGCTGTGGGGGTGCAGTGGGGTGAGAGGTCCTCCCCCTGTGGCTTAATGAGTGAGGCCCTCGGGTATGTTTGGGGGTGAGGGGTTTCCAGTGGGGGCTGACCCAGTCATGTCCCTCCCAAACAAGGTATGGGTGGCCGGACAAGGGGGATAGATAGATGTGGGGAGGGGTGGAGAAACAGGGAGGAGTCATGGATAGACAGATGGATGAATGGCTGGTTGCATGGGTGGGTGGGTGATGGACAGATAGACGGACAGGACCAGGATCTTCAGCGCACCTCCTTGCTCATCCTCTCCTTCACCCCCTCGCCCCCAGCACGCTCCTACCACCCCTTTCCTGGCCCTGCCCTGTGTCCACTGTCTCTCCATTCCCATGGCTTTCCCAGCCGGGGACACCTAGGGTTACCTGACTGGCCTCTGCTGCCTGCCTCCATCCCGGGCCATTTTGCACTGAGTGGTCGGGGATTTTGACTGCTCCCCTTACCCTTGCTTTTAGAATGAAAGTCCTCCCCAGGGTGGCCGGGCGCAGTGGCTCATGCCTGTAATCCCAGCACTTTGGGAGGCCAAGGCAGGCGGATCATGAGGTCAGGAGATCGAGACCATCCTGGCTAACATGGTGAAACTCCGTCTCTACTAAAAATACAAAAAATTAGCTGGCGTGGTGGCGGGCGCATGTAGTCCCAGCTACTCAGGAGGCTGAGGCAGGAGAATGGCGTGAACCCAGGAGGTGGAGCTTGCAGTGGGCCTAGATCGTGCCACTGCACTCCAGCCTGGGCAACAGAGCGAGACTCCATCTCAAAAAAAAAAAAAAAAAAAAAAAAGTGAGCACAGCCCAAAGCCCTGGGGAGGACTTCCTTTTCATTTTTTTTTTTTGTTTTGTTTTCTTTTGTTTTTTGTTTTTTGAGACAGAGTCTCGCTCTGTGGCCCAGGCTGGAGTGCAGTGGCATGATCTCGGTTCACTGCAACCTCCACCTCCTGGGTTTAAGTGATTCTCTTGTCTCACCCTCCTGAGTAGCTGGGACTACAAGAGCATGCCACCACGCCCAGCTGATTTTTGCATTTTTAGTAGAGACAGGGTTTCTCCAGGCTGGTCTCGAACCCCTGACCTCAAGTGATCCACCTGCCTTGGCCTCCCAAACTGCTGGGATTACAGGTGTGAGCCACCGCGTCTGGCCTGTACTCACTTCTGACTTAGTCCTGCGCCACTGTCCTCAGCTCTGTGTCCCAGCCACACTGGCCCCCTTGTACTTCCGTGCCCCCCAGTAGGTTTGCTCCAGCCTCAGGGCCTCGGCACTAGCTGTCCCCTCTGCCTGGAACGCTCTGCTCTGTACGCCCACCTAGTTAAATCCTGATCATTCTACAGGGTACTTCCTCTGGGAAGCCTTCCTGGGTGTCTCCAGGCCAGGCCGGGGTCCTCCCGCAGTGTAGAGTGTCTGTGCCCAACACGAGCTTTTGCTGGCACTCACTGCTGTCTGCTGCTTTTGTCTTCCCCGTTGGGTTAAGCAGTGTGTGTGTGAGCGGCACCCAGTGTATCCCATCCCTGTTGTGTCCCAGTACTTAGTGTGGGGCTGTGCATACAGTAGGCACCAACTAAGTGCATTTAGAACAATGATGAAAACAAAAGCACAGGTGGGTGGCGGGCAGGCTGGGTGGAGGGAAGATGGGCCTCCAGCCATGTTGGGGGAGGGGGTGGCTGGCTGGACTCGGCGTCTGTCCCCAGGATGAAGACAAGCCTGAGGACGAGATGGCCCAAAAGCGGGCCAGCCTGCTGGAGCGGCAGCAGCGGCGAGCAGAGGAGGCGCGGCGGCGCAAGCAGTGGCAGGAGGTGGAGAAGGAACAGCGGAGGGAGGAGGCCGCGAGGTGAGGCCGGGCCTGCCCGGGACGCCCGCTCCTTGGCCTGTCTGCCACCGCGGACCCCGTGAGCGGTTCTGATGCCGATTCCCTGTGATCTGCAGGCTGGCCCAAGAGGAGGCCCCGGGCCCAGCCCCGCTTGTGTCCGCAGTCCCGATGGCGACTCCAGCCCCTGCTGCCCGGGCTCCAGCCGAGGAGGAGGTGGGCCCCCGGAAGGGGGACTTCACGCGGCAGGAGTACGAGCGCCGGGCCCAGCTGAAGCTGATGGACGACCTCGATAAGGTGCTGCGGCCCCGGGCTGCGGGGTCCGGGGGTCCAGGTCGGGGCGGGCGGAGGGCCACCCGGCCTCGCTCGGGTTGCTGTGACGACTCAGCCCTGGCACGAAGCCCAGCCCGCGGCCTGCTGGGTGAGGACCCTTGGGGGACGGGGCCTGCCCAGTGCCCTTTCCGGGGCTCACTGGGTGAGGCCCCCATGGGTAAGGGGGGAGGGGGAGGGAGATGTAAGCAGGGGTGCCGGGAGGGGGCGGGTATGTGGGGTGACAGGGGGCCTCAGGTGGGGTTGGACACTGTCTCTTGGGTAAAGACTTCCATAGGGGGCCGGGCGCGGTGGCTCACGCCTGTAATCCCAGCACTTTGGGAGGCTGAGGCGGGCGGATCACCTGAGGTCAGGAGTTTGAGACCAGCCTGGCCAACATGGTGAAAGCCCATCTCTATTAAAAATACAAAAATTAGCCGGGCATATGGCATGCCTGTAGTCCCAGCTACTTGGGAGACTGAGGCAGGAGAATCGCTTGAGCCTGGGAGGTGGAGGTTGCGGTGAGCCAAGATTGCACCACTGTACTCCAGCCTGGGCAACAGAGCGAGACTCCGTCTCAGAAATAAGACAAAAAAAAAAAAAAAAGACTTCCATAGGGATGTGGGGTGCAGTGGGATGAGGGGTCTTTCTTCTGTGGCTTCATGGATAGGAACCTTTGGGAGTATGTTTGGGGTGAGGCGTTGCCAGTAGGGGCTGACCCAGTGCTGCTCCCCACTTGCCTGCTGGGCAAAGCATCCTCCCTCATAGAGGGGTCCCCCCATAGGGGTGCTGCAGAGGGCCGAGGGGTCTTGGGCAGGACTGACTCCTCCTGTGTTCCCCCCACAGCCTGCTGGACCGGGTGTTGTGGAGGGCAGGGGCTTCTGGTGGGCACTGACCTGCAATCTCTGTCCCCAGGCTCTCGGCTGAGCAAAATCTATTCCCAGTCCACCCTGTCACTGTCCACTGTGGCCAACGAGGCCCACAATAACCTCGGGGTGAAGAGGCCCACGTCTCGGTGAGTTTAGCCCGCACAGGCGGGGTTCGTATGCCGGGTGGCTTCCCAGAGCCTGGGAGGTGTGTGGGCATCTGGGTGAACCTAGAGGGCGGTATGGCTCGAGTTTATGGATACGCCATGAAGAGATGGAGGGACGCGTGTGGGCACGTGTGCATGGGGCATAGTCTGTACCTGGCAGACAGGACTCAAGCATGTGCCTCAGTGCACTTGAGTGCCAGGTGTTCCTGTGGGAGGAGGACAGCACGGGGCACTGCATGGACTTGGGAGGGTGTGCAGTGTATACCGCCTCCTCTGCAGTGTGTGTGGCCCGCCTTTTTTTTTTTTTTTTTTTTTTTTGTTTTTTTGAGAGGGAGTCTTGCTGTGTCGCCCAGGCTGGAGTGCAGTGGCGCAATCTTGGCTCACGGCAACCTCCGCCCCCTGGGTGCAAGTGATTCTCGTGCCTCAGCCTCCTGAGTAGCTGGGGTTACCCGTGCCTGTAGAGACGGTGTTTCACCATGTTGGCCAGGCTGGCCTCGAACTCCCGACCTCAAGTGATCTGCCCGCTTTGGCCTCCCGAAGTGCTGGGATTACAGGCATGAGCCACGATGCCCAGCCGTGGCCCTTATTTTCCTTGGCCCCTCTGCACATAGGGAAGCTTCCCATCTCTGACCCCACCTCCATCCCATCCTGACCCCACCTCCATCCCATCCTTCTCCCACTGCAGGGCTCCCTCCCCGTCAGGTCTCATGTCCCCAAGCCGCCTGCCTGGAAGCCGCGAACGGGACTGGGAAAATGGCAGCAATGCCTCCTCCCCAGCGTCAGTGCCCGAGTACACAGGTAAGCAGGGGCTCTGGGTGATGTGAGGAGCAACAGGCACCCTCCTCCACAGCCCCTGCTCATTCCTGCTGCCCCCCACCCCCTCCCACTGCCTCACCCTCTAGGTCCACGGCTGTACAAAGAACCCAGCGCCAAGTCCAACAAGTTCATCATCCACAATGCCCTATCACACTGCTGCCTGGCGGGCAAGGTGAACGAACCGCAGAAGAATCGCATTCTGGAGGTGAGCCCGCCCACACGTGGGAGTTGGGGGCTGGTGGGTGGGTGGGTGGCCTGACTTGGCCAGCTGACCATTTCCAGCACTCCTGCCCAGGAAATTGAGAAAAGCAAGGCCAACCACTTCCTGATCCTCTTTCGCGACTCGAGCTGCCAGTTCCGGGCGCTCTACACGCTGTCGGGGGAGACAGAGGAGCTGTCGCGGCTGGCAGGGTATGGGCCCCGGACCGTCACGCCCGCCATGGTGGAAGGCATCTACAAGTACAACTCGGACCGCAAGCGCTTCACCCAGATCCCCGCCAAGACCATGTCCATGAGCGTCGATGCCTTCACCATCCAGGGACACCTCTGGCAGGGCAAGAAACCCACCACTCCCAAGAAGGGCGGCGGCACCCCCAAATAGCCCCACCCGGGCGGTCCACGGGCCGGGCCCTGTGTGCTGCGGCCGCCATCCCCTGGAGGACAGTCAGTCGGTATTCCTGGGTCCTGTCTGTCCCCAACCGTGTCTGGGTGGGGCTGGAGTCTCCACCCTCTGACTTTGAGTCCAGTCCTGCTGTGGGGGCTGAGCTGGGAGGTTCAGGGACTCAGGGCTCAGCTCAGTCCCCTTGTCTGTCCTCCCCCACTTCTTGAATAAAATAATTTAAAGAGAAGTTGAACCTTGTCCCCCCCTCCGAGGCTGGCCGGGGTCCCACACTCCCTGGCTGTGTTTTTAGTCTCCTGTTCTTTCTCAAACCAACTCCTGTCTTCAACCCCCATAATCCCCTAATGCAGCTTCAGCCAGGGCACTCCCAGCCCCCAGCCAGGGCTGTTTCGAAGCTGCCTCTGAACTGATCTCTCAGGCTCGAGGTGTCCCACTGGCCCTTCCTGTGGCCTTGGCCACCCCCGCTTGCTGGATTCTCCTGGTCTGTGTGGCTGTTGTTACTGGCCCTAACCAGCGTTTGGCATGGGGCCAACTTCTAACTTGATCTTGTCTCCCCTGGCCAGCCTGGTGTTTCCAGGCCTGGCATCTACCTCTGGGCCAGTGATTCCAGGTTTCTCTGAGATCTGTGTTTGACAATCCAGTTGCCCCCTGCCATTGCCTGGGTGTCTCTCTCAGATGCAAGGCCTGCCCTGCAACCCAGGCTGGCACTGGCTTCCCAGCTGCCGCCCAGTTCTACACAGCTCAGCCCTCCCCTCCTGTCTCACTCGCTTCTCTCCAGCCCTGTCACCTCCCTGCAAAGTCCAAGCCAATGGCCTGGGCCTCCCCATGTCCCCAGCTGCCTCCTGCCCACACAGCAGCCTGTGTGACCCGTTCGAAGCACAAATCTGATTATATCCCTTGATACTTAAAACCCCTTAATAGCCTACAGCCCGCTAATGGCTTCCCAGGCTTAGGACTAAGGACCACGCCCTGGTCCTGGGCCGTGCACAAGGTCTGGCGCCTGGCCCCCGTCCAGGCACAGAAACGCGTTACTAATCAGTTCCCAGAGCTGGGCCAGAGCCTGCCTGACTCCAAGACTTGAGGGCAAGGGCCAGTCCCTAGTGGGGAACAGACAGTGGGTGCCACCCCAGGGAGGCGGCAGCTGCCTGGGGCCACAGAAGGGCTCTGAGAGGCAGGGGCTGGCGAGACCTGGGCAGCCAGGGGCTGGATTGCCCTTCCCAGGCTACAGAGGCTCAAGGAAGTTTCCGGGCAGGACCCACTCCAAGGCCCCAGGCAGCGGAGGGACTGGCCTCTCGAGTCCAGAACTGGCTCTGCGGGGTGAGGCCGGGCAGTATCTGGCCTGGGGCCCAGCCGCCCCACCTCCCACAGCAGCCAATCCCGGCCCAGGGCCAGGCACTCCTGAGCTGTACTCCCTCGGGCACCTGGGCAGCAGGAAGGAGGCTCAGACCATGATGTACAAACGTAGCTGTATTGGGGAGGGGGTGGGGAGGGGGGATGGGGGAGGGACGGGTCAGTCTTCCTTCAGGCTCCCAAACACTGCGGCTGGCACGCTCTGCTGCTCCAGCCGAACCTCTGTGGGGAAGGCGGGAGCCAGTCACCCTCCTGGCGTTGGCCTGTCCCCCGAGGCCCACCCTGGTAATGCCACCGTCCCCGCCCCAGCCGGGCCCTCACCGTTGGGCTCCAGGTCCATCTCGTCCTCGTCCTCGTCCTCGCCCAGCTGGATCTCCTCGGGGTTGACCTGCTGTGCCAGCTCTGCCAGCTCCTCCCGGGAGGCGTCACTCCTAGGGACGGGCCATGCTGCCTCAGTTCCCCACCCCGGGCCCCCTTGGGACCTGTCCCAGTCCTGTCCCGTCCAAGGATCCGCCCTCACCTCACGAACAGGATCTTGCTCTGGGCGCGCAAGGGCTGGTCACGCTCCGCCTCAGCCGCCAGCTGCTCTGCCCGCTGTTCCAGCAGCTTCATGTCGTCCATGCCACTCTGCCCAGGGGCCAGGTCAGACACTAGGGGGTGGGAGCAGGGGGTCAGCGCCACGGGGGCCCCTCCCACACATCGGACGTTGCACTATCCCAGTCCCCCAGGTGATGGCCCAGCCCTCAAGGAGATTGCCATCAGGATCCGAGGCTCCCAGACCCGGAAAGCCCAGGTCAGGCCGGGCTGAGATGCCCTGGATCAGGAACTCAGCCAGCTGGGACGGCTCACCGGTGCCCGTGGCACTGCCCGAGACCTTGAGCATCTGCGAGGCCATGAAGTTGACCTGCGTGTTGTACGTGGCCTGCACGCTGCGCCGGATACGCAGCATTTCCTTGATGGTGTCCTCATTGCCATGCCGGACCTCAAAGTCCTTCCACGTCTGCCAGAACGCGCCGGTCGTCTGCGTGGGGGGCAGGGCAGGGGTGGGTGTGTGTGCCCGTGAGCTGGCTGACTCCGCCGCAGCCCCCAACCCTGATACCCGTCCCTCCCCACAGCCCTACCCGGGGGTCACAGATCTGGGAGCAGAAGCTGTAGATGGCCCGGGCGCGGTCAATCTCCCCGAGCTTGCACTCCATGTCTGCAAACCGCAGGCACATCTCACGCGCGTGCTCGTCCGACAGCACCTGGACACCGGGGTTGGGGAGGCCGGGAGTGAGGCCGGGGTAGCTCGGGGGCTCCCAACACACCATGGCCATCCCTGTGCTTCCAGAAGGCTCCTCCTCAGCCCCTCCCACCTGCCTGGACCCCTTCCGTCTGCTCAGGGACCTCTGGCCCCGGCCCAGCCCCCCACGGTGGGTACCTCAATGGCCTTCTGGTAGATGCCGCGGGTGTGGGTGACCCCATAGATCTCGGCCGCCCGCTTGATGTAGATGTTGAACATGTCATACTGCTGGGCGGGCTCCACGGCCCTGGTGGCACGCTCGTACACGGCCATGGCATGCCGGGCCAGGCCCCACTCCTCCTCCAGCTGTGCGTACAGCAGGTACAAGGCTGGGCGGGGTAGGCGGGGAGAGGGGAGCACGGTCAGCCGGGGCCAGTCAGAAACCCAGCCCGCCCGCCACCCCCCCCATGCCCTCTGCCCGCCTCACTCTTGGCATATTTTGGGGGGCAGCCGTCCAGAGCCTGTTCAAACAGGTCCCGTGCCCGCTCCAGCTTGCGGCCCCCATAGCGGGCAATGAATTTGGTCAGGTAGGTGCTCCAGATGTCGGACACGTTGGGCCACTTGAACAGCGAGATGCCGCGCTCGTACGCCTGTTACCAGAGGGAGAGTCACATGTGAGAGTCTGCAGATAGAGACCACCAGGCACCCGGGATGTCCTTGGGTGGCGTCTGTAGGGAGCCTGCCAGGAACTCCCTTGGGGCCCTTCCCTGTCCACGCCTCCCTGTCCCTAATGGCAGTTGTGGGGGTCTGTCCTCTGCACTGTCTCCCTCTGTGAGAACCCCAAGAACAGGGGTGCAATGGGACCTGCTAAGCACAGTCTGGCCCCATAGGAGGTGACATGATGGGTGAAGGTGGGTGGCTCCCCAGCTCCGCTGACGCTGGCTGCCTGTCCCCAGGGAGAAGGCCGCACCCCCTGACAGAGGGGCAGGCAGTAGCACGCGTATGCATGTACGACCTCCCCATTTGTGTATCTGTATAATGCCCACACGATCCATAGAAACACACACTCAAACATGACTGCTCCGGCCGCGGGACATGGCCTTCCCACGGACACGCAACCCACCCCCTGGACCCCACAACCCGTCTCCTGAGCAGCGGGGCAGGGAGAGCCCGCACACACTGGCACCAACACCCTCCCCATGAGTCATGGGTGCACGTGGAAGTAGGATTCTGTGCCTGCTATGGAATGAACTGTGCCCCCCTCAAAACATTCATATGCTCAAATCTTAACCCCCAGTACCTCAGAAAGTAGATTCGTTTGAAGATGAGATCACTAAGTTAAACTGAGGTCGTTAGGGGCCACCTAATCCATTATGACTGATGTCCTTTATAAGAAGAGGAAATTTCAAAAGTGACACACACAAAGAGAAGGCCACACAAAGACATAGGGAGAAGGCGGCTGTCTGTAAGCTAAGGAGAGAGGCCTCAGGAGGAACCAGCCCTGCCCATGCCTCGATCCTGGACTTCCAGCCTCCAGGACGGGGAGAAGCTAAATCTTTGTTGTTTAAGTCACCCAGTCTGTATACTGTGTCACACAAGCCCCAGCAGATTCGTAAGTTGCTGAGGACCCCTGGGGAGGGGACACTGCCATCAGGGGCCTCTGGGTCCACCCTAGCCCCTCACCTTGAAGCTCTCCTCGAAGTACTTGTGCTCCTCCAGGAACATGGCATAGTTGATGACGATCTGGGGTGTTGCGATACGCAGGTCCAGGATGCGGTCGTACACGGCCTTGGTGGACTGCAGGGGTGGGGATGGGAAAGGTTGGAGCTGGTTCTGGAGCTGAGTCCGGGGCCCCGTCCCTCCCCAGCCACAGGCAGCTCACCTGGAAGGTGCCGAGGCTCTCCTCCAGGTCGGCGAGCATGGACCAGACCTTCAGTGACTTGTACACGCGGTTCTGCACGGGCTCTGAACCATCAAAGTACTCGGCCCGGCGGGCAGGCAGCGCCGTGGCCTTCTGCAGGGGCAGACAGTGGCCGGGGAGGCGCTCAGGGGCTGTCCCTGGCCCTTGCCCTACAACCTGCAGCCCCCACCCCACAGCCTGGGCCTGTTCTCACTCGCAGCAGCCGCAAGGCCTCATCGTAGTTCTCGTGTCGGAGCTCCAGCTCTCCGCACTGACACCACACGCTTGCCAGGTCATCCACCTGCTTGAAGTTCACCTTGGTGGCCTTCTCCAGGATGACACGGGCCTGCCGGGGCGGGCAGAGGCGAGGCTGAGACCCTGCCCACCTGGACAGCTCCCACCATCAAGGGTCAGAAAGGTGACCATGCTCACAAACATACAGGCACAAACACACAGGCACACACACAGGCACACACATGCGTGCACATATGCATGCACCCAAATGCACATGCACACACACGTGCACACATCCATGCACAAATATGTACACACACATACATGCACACATATACAAGCACACACACATGCATGAACACACAGGCACACGCAACAGGGTGCTCACATCGTCCAGCTGTCCGTTGTCCTCATAAAACTTGGCAAACGCCACCCACAGAGTGTGGGGCTTGCCTGTGGCCTTGAAGGGGTCCACCGTCTGCACAGCCTCTGTGTAGGTGTTGATGATCTGGGGACAGGAGGGAGGAGGTCATATAGGACTCAGGACCCTGCAGATGACGGTCGGGGCAGAGCTGTGGCTCTGAGGGGTGGGGCCTGGAGGGTGCTGTGGCCCCTGTCGGGAGAGGCCAGAAACGAACTATGGCCCTTGACAATGGTCAGGACCAAGAGAGAGCTGTGGCCCTAAGGGGCGGGGCCAGGAGAGAGCTGTGACCCTCCAAGGGGCGGGGCCACGAGGGAGCTGTGGCCCTCCAAGGGGTGGGGCCAGGAGGGACTGTGGCTCTGAGGGGCGGGGCTCGGGCAGGAGGAGAACCCCAAGAACAGGGGTGGAATTGGACCTACTAAGCAAAGTCAGGCCCCTAGAAGGTGACATTATGGGTGAAGGTGGGTGGCTCCCCAGTTCTGCAGGAAACTGGCCCTCAGGGGTAGGACTGGGGCAGGCTTCATGTACCTCCCGGGGGCGGCCCTGGTGCAGGGCGACACGCTTGTGCCACTCGTGCACGTGGTGTGGGTTTTGGCGCAGCAAGACGCTGTTGAGGAGCAGGGGCCGCCGGCTGATGAGCTGCTCGAAGCGGGCCAGGCGCAGCTCCAGGTCCACATCATCTGGGAGCCGCGAACATGTTTGTCAGGGGCGGAGACCCAGGATGCAGGTCCCCGGATGCCACCGCCTCCACTCCCCACCCTCACTCCGCTCCAGCCCCCAGCCAAGTGCTCTGGGCCCTAGACACTCAGCTCGGGTGTCCACCTGAGCCCCACCCCCAGCCCCAGGTACTGTGGATACCCCCTCCTACCCCCACTGTTCCCCTAGCCCTCCTGCCCTGCCAGGCTCTGGCCCAGGCCTGAGAAGTGTCCCCATTCCTGGCTCCTTCAAGACCCCCACACCCCCTGCATCCACTCAGCCTCCTTCCCTGCTGGCCCCCAGCTGAGCCTCCCAGGGCTGCCTCACCTGAGATGTGTCCCGCCCCTACCGCTAATGTCCACTCAGCTCTCTCCCCACCAGCCGGGGCCCCCAGAGGCTCACCCTCCTCCTCGCGCCCCAGCTCCGAGGCGGTCTCCATCTTTGCAGCGATCATGCTCTCCTCGAACTGGGCGTAGCTGTCAAACACCTGTGTGAAGTCCCGCACGGTCATCACTGTCCGGATGGCCTCCTCGTACACGTCCCGAGCCTGTGGGGACCCAGGGAAGGGGAGGTGAGAGGAAAGTGGCGCAGGGGACAGGCAGCAGCACTCTTAGCACCAGCCTCAATGTGGAACCCCTGGGGGCCTTCTGGGTAGTGACGCATCCAGCACCTCTGGGTAGTGACCCCAGGACAGAGCCTCCGTGGAGCCTTCTCACCCCCGCCCTGCCCTGCACTGCCAGGGTGGTCTTGGGAGCTTCAGGACCTCCTCAGTAAACTGGGTGACTGCCCTTTGCACACAGTGACCTCAGGGCTCGACTGAGACACATGTGTGAAGCACTTGGCACCCAATAGGTGGCCAAAAACCCCCCAGCGCCTATGGGTCCACCCTGCAGGGACCCTCGCCTCAGCTCATCCTCCGAGGCCTCAGAATTTGCTCCAAAGCGTCCCTCTCGCTTGCCTGACCCTCTTCCCCAGCCCGCCTGTCCTCCACCTGGCTCGCCCACCCCAGCTCAGGTCCCCTCTCTCTACCCAGCCCTGACGGGTCTTGCCCTGCTGCCTCCGACAGCCTTGGCCTACACGTGCCCCTGGAAGGGGCGCTGCGAAGCGCATACCGCCCACACCCCACTGGCGGCTCCCCCAGCCAGGAGCATGGCCAGCCCGTTTGGCTTTCGAGGCTCCCAACCTATCTTCCCTGGGTTCCTGAGCCTCCCCGCTCTCGGCTCTGGCCCCCTCTGCACCCACCTGCCCCCAGGCCATCCCCTGAGCTTGCCACTCCACTGCCTGCCAAGAGCCACAGTCAGCTAACCCCTGAGGGAGTGGCCCTCACACCACGTACCTCCTCAGTGCTGTGCCTGCGTCACTGAGCTGATTGGTGACAGGCAGTAACTGTCACCCTGATTTTACAAATGAAGACACCCCACCTTAGTGGGGCCAAGGCCGCAGAGCCAGAGGGTGAACCCTGAACGCAAATGTGGCTGACTCCAAGGCTGACGTGCCTGCGGGCAGGAGTGCTCCCCCACCCTCAGCAGGATAGTAATCGTGTGCAGGGATATGCATGTCTGTCAAAAATGGCACTTTTTTTTTTTTTTTTTTTTTTTGAGATGGAGTCTCGCTCTGCCACCCAGGCTGGACTTCCGTGGCGCGATCGCAGCTCACGGCAACCTCCACCTCCCAAGTTCAAGCGATTCTCCTGCCTCAGCCTCCCGAGTAGCTGGGATTACAGGCGCGCACCACCATGTCTGACTAATTTTTGTATTTTTAGTAGTGATGGGGTTTCACCATGTTGGCCAGGCTGGTCTTGAACTGCTGACCTCAAGTGATCCTACCGCCTCGGCCTCCCAAAGTGCTGGGATGACAGGTGTGAGCCACCACACCCAGCCATAAATGGCATGTTTTCTGCCTGTGCATGTGTCAACATGTGTCCCCGAGTGTCGGAGGGAGACCCCGCCCCGAACCCAGAGCCCCGTGTGCCAGCATGCACCTTCTCGAAATGGCCGCTGCGGATGTAGTAGTCGGCGAGAGAACACCAGAGCTTGCCCAGCTGGTCGGTGAAGCGGGTGAGGCCCCCGCGGATGATGGCGTCCACATTGAGGGACTGTACCTTGTCCGGATTCTGGGAGATGAGGTCGCACAGCTCGTGCCACAGCTGCAGGGCATGGGGCAGTGGGGGAGAGTCTCAGGCTCAGTCATGGAGGGGGTGGCCCTCCCACCCAGTTGCCGGCTCCCGGCAGGCCCACCTGGTAGTTGGACTTGCCGGCCTTAGACACGAAACGCTCGTCGTTCACCACGGTGGCCAGGCGCTGGGCGGCCTCATCCAGCCGGTCACTTGACTTGAGGTACTCAATGTACTCCTCTGCACTCTCAGGACTCAGCTGGGGACCGAGCCACCCCTCAGGCAGTCAGTGGGGTGGCAGGGCTACGCCCACCTCCCGATTCAGTGGCTTCGGGGCGTCCCCCCCCACCCATTTATGAGTGTCTTGGGCAAAAGCAAGCCCTGTCAAACCAGCCTCAGCCCCACTGGTCCAGCCCGGTTCCTACTGGTCTAGCCTTGGCCCCACTGGGTTAGGCTCAACCCCCTGTGGGTCCTGCCTTGGCTCCACTGGTCCAGCCTCAGTCCTGACTAGACCAGCTGTGGACTTTTTGGGTTAGCCTTGACCCGCAAGGGCACAGCCTTGACTGCGGTGGTCCAGTCTCAGCCCCAATGGTCCAGCCTTGGTCCTTTTGGGTTAGAATTGACCCCCAACCCACAATGGGTCCAGCCTTGGCTCCACTAGTCCAGCCTCAGTCCTGACTGGTCTAGCCTTGGCCCCTTTGGGTCAGCCTTGATCCCATGGGTCCAGCCTTGACTATAGTGTCCAGCCTGGGCCCCACGGGTCCAGCCTCAGTCCTGACTGGTCCAGCTTAGAATCCAAACGTCATAAAACAGATACTTTAAGTTTGAGCAAACCATGCCCCACTCCCGCCCGGCTGGTGCTTCCACTCTCCACCCTGCCTGCTTCTCCCCACCCCTATTCCTGGCCCTCTTCATGGCTGTGGTTTTACTCTAGTTCATGCCATCAGCTCATATGCATCTGTCTTCCTACTTAGACTAAAAGCTCCGTGCAGGCAGGGAGTGTCTTAGTCACACTGTCCTCAGCACCCATCGCTATGCCTAATGTGAAACCAGTGTGAACAAACTATTTGGAAAATAAAGACATGAATCACGGACAACAACAAAACACATGCATCTCCAGGAGCCTCTTCCCACATCCCGTCTGCTGGGTGACATCCTACGCGGAGCTAGTGTCACAGTGAGGCCGTTTCTGGAAACTAACCTGGGGAACCAGCGCACCTGCTAGGCTCACCTTGAGGAAGCGCCGATAGCCTCGCACAGCTGTCTCAGGCAGTGGGTGTGAGCGCAGGAAGCGCAGATACAGGGGCCAAATTCGAGAGTGCTGCGTGATGGGCAGTGCCCGGAGGGCACGGTCGAAGGTGCGGCGGGTGTGTGTGACGCGCCCCTGGTCCATGAGGAACTGGCAGTAATCTAGCCACAGACGAGGCATCTGGGGGTGTGGGGAGAGGCGGCTGGGGCTAAGCCACGGACTCCATGGCCTGGCCACAGACACTCGATGTCCTGTGGCTGAGCCACACCTGGGGCCACCACATAAATGCGGCGGGACCCAGAAACCCCCAGCTCCAGGACTGAGTCCAGCCCAACTTCCCATGCAAAGAAGCAACAGGAATCCAAGCCCCCATCCCTAACATGCTGAGCCCAGCCCCTGTCCCCGCCCCACCCACCACCATGGACTGAGCTCCACTTCCCGATTCATCCCCTCGCCGAGCCCCAAACCTTGTGCATGAACACAAAGGCCCTCTCATGACAGTTGTTGACATCTTCATAGGCAGGGTCGGTCACACAGCGATGCTTCACCTGTGCCCGACGCGCCTTCAGGTATCGGTACCAGAGTTTGTAGCTGGGGAATAGGAGGGGACAGATGCTGATCGGTCAGCTTTATGGACACCCCCAGAACCATTTGCCCTGCCCCAGTTGGCAAATGTGGGAAGAAGGGGTGTGGGAGGGGTGACATGTCTCAGCAATGACAGGGACAGACTGGGACATCAGAGAAGGTGTGCTGACCCATCAAGGGATGTACAGGTCAGTGATGAAACACGAAGCAATCACCCGGGACCCGGGACCCACTTGGCAGTTTTGTTATAACTGGACCAGGTGGGGTGGGGGCTGGTGGGCAGGGCAGCTGGAGCCATTCCCACCTGCAGGGCAGCAGCTTGAGTGCCCGCTCGTATAGCTGATTGAGCCTGGGCTTCGGGGCGCCCTGTTTGAACTCGATGTAGCGAAGCCAGCATTTGACAGAGAATTGGTTCCGCATGATTTCCTCCTCATAGGGGAGGTCCTCTTCCTCCTGCCAGGGCCAGGGAATGGGAAGAAGAGAGGCCTACCCTCAGAGCCTGTGTGCAGCACCATCCCACTGCTGGGGCTCAGGTCCAAACTCCGGACTTTTACCTAGATCCCACCACCCACCAAGGAAGTCAGGTCACCAGATGCCCAGGCACCAAACCAGATGCCCGACACCAAGACAGTGGCCCAGACCTTTACCCCTCAGAATTCAACTACCCAAAATCGAACCCAAATCATCAGACTTCTCAGTCATTAGGGCTCTGGGCCAGGAATGAGTCCGCATCACCACTCGCTTTCTGCCCCAGATGGTCAGACTCCTTAGATACCAAGGCCCTGGCCCAGATGCCAGTCCTGGACACCAGACCCCACTTCTTCAAAACGTGCCTCTTCCCAGACACCAGGCCTTTGGCCCCTCAGACTCCCACTGTCACCATCTGACCCATCTCCACCCCAGGCCCAGATGACCAGATCTTTACCCCAGCCACCAGGGCTCTCAGGTCCAGATTCCAAGCCACTAGCCCCGCCCCCAGGATCCCACTAGCCAGCGTCTAGCTCAACTCTGCCCCAGAAATTAAAAGCTAGGCCTTTATCTCACAGGAGGAGTTATACACCAGAAGCCAAGCCTTTAACTCTGCACACCAAGAATCTGGTGAAGATGTCACGCCTCTACTCCAGAGAGTAAGTATTTCACTGGCCATCGCCTGACAAGCTCCACATCACCAGGGTTCTTCTAGCCTGGCCACCACCCCAGAAACTGTCATGCTGCAGTCCAGGCCTAGAGACCGCTATCCAGAAAACCAAGCCTTCATCCCAGAAACCAGAACCCTGGCCTCGTAAGCAAGCCTTTACTTCAGACACCGATCTTCACCTCTCAAGGTTCAGTTATGCGATCTTCCTCCTCTCCCATTCCCTGCACGCCCCCATTTCCGCCCCTGGTTCGGGAGGCTAGACGCTTCCCTTCGACAGTGGTTTTCTACTCAGACCCGAAGATACAACACCATATTTTTACTCCTGGACAGTTCGGTGCGGACATGACGATCCGGTCTCTGGCCCATTAGGGTTCCCAGACCTTGGCCTGGCAGTTTCGGCCTAAATCTCCTTGCCGACCCAGCCTCGATCCCCTGCGGCGTCCAGGTCCCAATGCCCCAACGCAGGCCACCCCCGGCTCCTCTGTGGACTCACGAAGACAAGGTCCGGCCGCTCGGGCCGCGAGAGTCGCGCCATCACCACCATTTTTCTGGATGCCCAGGTACAGGAGAGAGTCGCGCGCTTATGACGTCTACCACTGACGGCCCGCCCCTCCGAGCCAGACCCGTTTTCTATTGGTTAAATCATTTTTGACGGACAGGCCCACGTTATTGACTTCTTTTCGACGACGCCAGCGACCGGAAGCAGAATAGAGGCGCCAGAAGATGCGCCATCAGGATACACATTGGCCAATCAGCTTCAGCAATGGAGCGTGCAAAACACCAGTGAGCTTCTGTCTTGCTGGAGGGTCGGCTTTGGGCGGAACTGGCTTTGTTGACCGGGAGAAACGAGATGGGGGTGAAGCTGGAGATATTTCGGGTCAGTGGACACAGGAGTGGGTTGGGAGGCTGGGCAGGGGATCTTCCTGGATCTGAAGATGAGGTTGGAAATGGGGGGACTTCAAAGGAAGAGGGAGCTCCAAGGAGAAAGCTCTTAAGATTTGAGAGGAACCTTTCTGGTTGGAAATCCAGGAGAGGGGACGCTGGGCTGGGGGGGTTCTCGGATTTGGGCTTCTGGGTTTGGGGGCTGTGAGAGGGCTGGTCCGAGGAAGGACCTCAGAGAGGGGTGAGCTGAGAAGGGGGCTCTAAAGAAGGAAGACTTAAGATCCTGGGGGAGCTCTCGGGCTCGTGGTGGGTGGGTGTCTATGACAGGGAGATTCCTAGACTTCGAGAAGTGGAGTTGAAGAGTGACGCCTCCTGGGTTTGGGGGTGCTCCCGGGATCTTAAGTGGGGATGGGTAATGAGGTCTCGAGGAGATGCTTTTGATTGTAGCTGGGGCGTCTGTGTGTCTGTCTGTGTTTGAGAGGAAGACTCCAGCTCAGAGGGAACTTTCAGGAATGAGGCCTCCTGGATTATAGGAGTTAGGTTTTAGGGTGCGAGGTTTCTGTACCCTTGGTGGGAGTTCTGGGATTCTTGGGTCGGCCGTAACGAGGCGCTTCTGGACTCTGCAGTAGGATGGGTCCCCCAGGCTCTGAGGAGCCTCTGCACATTGCTTGGGGGGAGCTCACCTCACCCACCCTCTGCCATTCCAGATGATAATCTACCTCACTTTCCCTGTGGCTATGTTCTGGGTTTCCAATCAGGCCGAGTGGTTTGAGGACGATGTCATACAGCGCAAGGTGGGCATAAGAGGAGTGTTTGAGGGTTCATTCCAGGGGTGGGAGAGGGTGTGGGGCAGCAGTCTGCTGGGGACTAATGTCTGCCTCCCATAAGCCGACCCTGCCCTGATGTGGGGCTCTGGAGGCCTTTGGCTCGTGTCCCATTTGTGACTTTTCCTTACAGAGGGAGCTGTGGCCACCTGAGAAGGTAAGTGATCTCTTCTTCCTGCCAGAGGGATGGAGGAGGCTGGATTCTTGTATCCGGGATGGGTTTTAGATGAAAATTTTAGGCCAGGCGCAGTGGCTCATGCTTGTAATCCCAGGGCATGGGAGGCTGAGGTGGGTAGATCACTTGAGGTCAGGAGTTCAAAACCAGCCTGGCCAACATGGCGAAACCCCATGTCTACAGAAATACAAAACTTAGCCAGGCATGGTGGCAGGCGCCTATAATTCCAGCTGCTTGGGAGGCTGAGGGAGAAGAATCACTTGAACCCAGGAGGTGGAGGTTGCAGTGAGCCCAAGATCACGCCACTGCACTCCAGCCTGGGCAATAGAGTGAGACTTTGTCTCAAAAAGAAACATTTTACTCTCAGCCATGAGTAAGGAACCGAGAGCAGAGGAGTAGATGGTTTCCTTATTGCCTTCTCCTGGAAGAGTGAAGCGGATCCCACGCGGACCCCTTTGTAATTGGCAGGGGGCTTCCAGTGAAGACACTGAACCCTGAAGCCGTGGTCTGGGGCAGGGTGGTGGGAGAGGTGGGCGGGGGGGGGTGGTCCCGGCTCTGAGGTGTGTGCCCCTCCCCCCTTCCTGTCCCACCCGCTTCTCCACCCCTAGCTTCAAGAGATAGAGGAATTCAAAGAGAGGTTACGGAAGCGGCGGGAGGAGAAGCTCCTTCGCGACGCCCAGCAGAACTCCTGAGGCCTCCAAGTGGGAGTCCTAGCCCCTCCCCTGATGAAATATACATATACTCAGTTCCTTGTTATTCATTTAAGTGTTTTATTCTTTTATCAGTTTTTGGGGGCCGAGTGAGACCCAGGATGCCTCAGGCCCTCAGGGGGCTTGTGTCGGGGGCTGGGGGCTGCTGTTCCGACGGAAGCCGAGAGCGGTCGGGTCCTGAGGGGTGAGCAGGGGTTGGGGACTGAGGGTCCCAGCTCGTTTCTGTGCTCCGTCCTGTGGATGAAGAGGGGTCAGCCAGGGGGAGGGCTCAAGGGCAGTGCCGGCCACAGGTGGCGAACAATGGAGAGAGGGTGCAGGTAGCCACCGTGTCCCACCTCATTGTGAGCACTGGTCTATGTTTACCCTCAATATCTGCCATTTAGGGTGGCATTTGAGTGTGAGGTGGCAGGTCTTGGGGCCCTCGCTGGGATCTTGATCAGAACCCAAGCTTCGTGTATGTGTGAAGTCAACAGATGTGAGTATACAGATGTATATATCCTATGTGTGAGCTTACGTGACTTCCTCCCTGGGATACTTTCCTAGGAAGGGGTCCTATTTTCTCCCTTTGGCCTCCCCAGAACCTTCAGACTTGGGGGCAGGAGCCACAAGTTCCAGCCATGGGTCTTACACTAGCATGGCCCCTGTATAACCTTGGGCCCCTCTAGCCACTGCCTGGGCCTTGGTCCTCCCATCTGAAGTCAGGGCAGCGGATGGACAGAGATGGGGCAGGCCCTGTTCCCTCCTGGCTGGGGTGGAGGGCAGGATCGGAGAGCACTGCCTGGCGGGTTTCTCCTCGACATCGCCAGAACATCACCTACCTTGGACCCCACGGGCTGGAAGCCGGGCAGGCTGCTGACTGTCACACGTTGGTCATCCATGCGGCGGCCCTGGGTACTGGCCAGCATGTCCATGAGGCTGTCCATCTCGGGGGTGGGGTCGCTCTCTGCGTGGACGTTCACAGACTTGGGAGGACACAGCCGGAGTGGGGGCCCCCAACCCTACCCCTTCACCCCCACACAGATGCTTCAGGGTGCACAACCACCTCCCACATCCCGTGCCCCCAGGCCCTCCAGATGACCACTTGCCCTGCACTCCCACCCCGTTCACGCCCCATGGACAGCACCCCCGTGCCCATGCTCACGGCTCTTGGTGGTCTGGCCCGGCCCGGCTTGCAGTGAACAGCGCTGTCCCTCCATCCGGTCGCCCTGCACGTGGCTCAGCAGATTGAAGAAGCCCTCCTGGTCTGGGGAGCCCGCCTGGGGACAGACTCGCTCAGTCTGGTTGGCCCTTCAGCTTGGGGGCCCCTCCCCAAACTTCCTAGCCAGCTTGCTCACACCCTGACCCCGGGGCCTGCCGTCCCCACTTCCTCAGCTCTCACCATGGTCCCCGCCGATCCTCTCTGCAGAGCTGTTCTGAATGAGACATGAGTCTCCTTCCCAATCCCGGCCCCCGCCCCAGGGGCCCTGGCCAGCAGTGCCACTTCACGTGGTACCGCTTCAAGGGACAGGCTCCGATGCGTGTCCCGCCGTCCTAGATTGGGGCCTGATGAGTGTGGCCTGGGAGCTGGGACACGAATCAGGGAAACATGGCCCAGGAGCTACCCCCAGGTCCCAGCATCTCCCATCAATAGGGGTCCACACGGAGAGCCCTGCCCTCTGCCCTGGGGCCTGGCACTCAGACCCCCAAGCCCACCAGCCCCTTTCTACAGCCACAACTGGGTCAGGGGGTCCTAGGAGACTCACTCGTTAATTAGGTGCCCTACAAACTAGTCTTGTCAATCATGGGCTCTGAGACCTTGAGCTGGGGGTGGGGTGGGGGCAGGGCCCTCTCACCTCGGCACAGGGGCCTGAGCCTTCCTCCGTCTTCTCCTCCTGATCCATCATGTCCCTGGACTCCAGTCACTTTTCTGCTGGCCTCTGCCCCGGCCCAGTGCCAGAGAGGGCCTTTTAAACGTCCAGGACGTGGGGGTGTGGATTCCCCCCATCCCCAAATCCCCAGCTCATGCCCCATCTGCTCCCACCCAAGCTTAAGCCCCATAAAGATCATCCAGATAATTGTTTGCCCACAACGATGCTGGATCTGGCATGGTGGGTAGGGGGCAGGGCGACCTGAGCTTGGACCTCGCTGTGCCCAGCAGCAATGACTGGACCCCAGGGACTCTCAGGTGTGATGTCACAAAAGGCCTGAGCAGCATCCCCACAGTTGGAGAAGGGAGGCCAACAGTGTAGGGTGGTAGCTGGCTTAGGGAGGACTTGCAGGTGTCCCCACCCAGCCACCCAGGTTCCCCCACTGGCTCCTGAAAGGGCAGCTGCCACCTGCAGTCGGTACAGAAAAAGGAGGTTGGAGTCAAAGGCCCCTTCCCTCCCTCCCTCTCTGCACCTGCCTCAGACACCACCGGCCACCCTAGCTCCAGCTCTGTCTCCTTGGCAGCAAGTCAAGGGGTCTCCCAGCCACCCTTCCTTCAACTCACTGTCCCTGGAGCCTGGTTGCCTGCCCCAGACCCCAAAACAAGAAAGTCTGGGGTCTCCTGTTCCCACACCACCTAAATGCCAGGTTGAGCTATCTCCTCTCCTCTATCACCCTAGCCCCAGGTGGGAACAGGAGGCGAGACTCCCTGGGGACAGAGGCAGGCGGGGAGAGGACGTCCCTGCCTTTTCCCCCGAGCCACTGTGGCTTTCCCTCAGTGCCCAAGCAGGGGATACCACTGGGAGGTCCCCATCCCCTTCCCTTCCCTCCCCAAGACGCCTTTACGGAAACCAGTGGAAGTTTCATCTCAGAATGAATGGGCTGCACTATCACCACCTCTGCCCGAGCCTCCTCTGTTCCACAAAAGGCCAAGTTCACACTCTCTCCCTCTATGCCAATGAAGTGTCCCCCTCCTCAGTACGTGTATCCCTTTCCTAGGCCTGCCAGAACAAAGTGTCATAGACCAGATGGCTTAAAACACATAAGTTGACTTTTGTTATATATTTTTATATAGAGATGAGGTCTCACTATTTTGCCCAGGCTAGTCTCAAACTCCTGGGTTCATGTGATCCTCCTGCCTGGGCCTCCCAAAGTGCTGGGATTACAGGCATGAGCCACCATGCTGAGCCTTTAAAATTTTTTTTTAACAAATTTATTGAGCCAACGTTCCAGAGGCCACAGCCTGAAATGAAGGTGTTGGCAGAGCTGTGCTCCCTCTGAAAACCAGGTCTCAGGAGCCCTCCTTGCCCCTCCCTGGCTTTTGGCAGTGGCCTGCCGTCCTTGATGTCCTTGGCTTGTCACTGCAGCTCTTCACTCCCTGCCTCCGTGGTCACATGGCATTCTCCCTCTGTGTCCCAGTCTTCATATACCCATTTCCCCACCCCCCCAACCACCTACACAGAACCAGGCAGACATATAACTATCTTACAAGGACACCAGTGATATTGCATTAGGGGCCTACTCTACTCCAGTGTGACCTCATGCTCACTGCTAATATCTATACTAACCCCATTTCAAATAAGATCCTATTGTGGGGTATTGGGGATTAGTACTTCATATCTTTTGGGGGTTAGTGGTGGGGTGGCTGGCCCTAACAGCTCTCTGTCCCCCCAAGGGGTCAGGCTGAGAAGCTGGAGGCGGTCCTGGCTTCCATCCCCCCAGGATCTGGAGGGTTCCCCGCCTTCCCCTGCTCAAAACTCTTGAGAAGACAAAACCCAAACACCTAGGGGTTGTGGAAATGTTCTAAAATGGATTGTGGTAATGGACACACAACTCCAAAAATACTGAAAGCCATTGACTTACGCACCTTAGGTCAGCGAGTTGTATGGTATGTGAATTATATCTCAGTAAAGCTGTTACAAAAGGAGGAAGGGGCAGGGTGCGGTGGCTCATACCTAAAATCCTAACACTTTGGGAGGCCAAGGCAGGAGGATCCCTTGAGCCCAGGAGTTTGATACCAGCCTGGGCAACATAGGGAGATCCTGTCTCTTAACAACAACAACAAAATCAACCGGGCACGGTGGCGTGCACCTGTAGTCCCAGCTACTTGGGTGGCCGAAGTGGAAGAATCCCTTGAGCTCAGGAAGTCGAGGCTGCAGTGAGCTATGATCGTGCCACTGCCCTCCAGCCTGAGCAACAGAGCGAGACCCGTCTCTTTACAAAACAAAAACAAACAAAAATGGGGAGGAGGGAGAAGAAGGAAGAAAGGAAGGGAAAAGGAAAGGAAAGGAAGAAATAGCTCAAACTCCTACCTACGGTTGCCAACCGTCCTGGTTTGCCTGTGACTGTCCTATTTTTAGCACTGAAAGTCCTGCATCCTGGCACTGGGATGGGTCAGTCTGACCTTGTCCTACAGAAGTCTGGCCCCTGCTGCCCCCACCCTCCAGCCTTCTTAAGCTCGGGGCTCCTCCCTTCTCTACCTGGACATGCTGTGTGGCTGCTTCTAGAATCCATTTAGGGATAATGTCAAAAGGCTGCTTCTTCAGAGAGGCCCTCGGGGGTCATCCTCAGTAAAGTCCCCTCCCACCCCTACCTTCTGTGGCACTTGTTGTCACATTAGTTTATTTCCTTTAGGGCAGCATGGATCCTTTCCTATCTCCCCCAGACCTTCGGGTCTGATTCACTCCCTATGTCCCATGTAAGTGGCAGGGGGCTTGGTACCTTCATCAACACGGCCGAGCGAAGGAACCAGCTCAGACCAGCAAGAGTCTGTTTGCACACATACCTCGCACCTTAAATCGGAGACCTCATTTTGTATGGGTGCTGCTGGGGCTGTGCCTTCCAAGCGACAGGACACACAGCAGAAGCAGCTTCTGAAATTCCGAGTGTGTGTCTGTGTTTGCAAGCATTTGAGGGCGTCACTCACCCCATGTGTGTATCAGCATGTTAATTCGATTGTTGGTCCACGAGGGTAAGCGTTGCGCCTCCCGGAAGAGGGTAAGGCTGTGACAAATGCCCCCTGGGGACAGGCTCCTGGCTTGAACCCAGCAGGCTCACTCGTCGTGGCCTTGGATTAGGGATCCCGCTAAGCCTCGGTTTCCTCGTCGGCACCGCAGTCCAGGTCGGAACATTGGGCAGGACTGAATGAAAATTATGTCCAGGTGCCTGCACACAAGAGGTCTCCAGGCCTCCTGAATCCATCAAAAGTTATCCAAGACGGCTGCTGCTGCTGCTGCTGCCTCTAAACCCTGAAGTACAGAAGGCAAGTGGGTCAAGATCCCAGGCCCAGACAGTGGCGGCCCGGTGGCATCGAGTGGGTGCCGTGTATCTTGCAGGCACAGAACCTCCCGGGGAAGATGGAGGGATTATTGCCCTGCGATCCTGCTTCGCACGCAAGCCAGGAAGTGTGTGTCTGAACTCCCATCTGTGAGCGTGTCGTCGAGGTGTGCACCTCCAGCGACTTCGTGCTCGGCAGCGCGGACGCACCTGCCCGTCCTCCCCGCCAGGGACTCAACTTCCTGGGCCTGGGCGAGAACCGACGGCGGGGAGGGGCCAGGTGCGCAGGGGGCGGGGACAGGGCCCGCGGGGCGGGGTCCACGTGGGTGACGCGCGGGGCCACGCCCCCACCTTGGGACACACCCGGAAGCGGCGGCGGCGCCCCTCGGGGAAGATGGCGCCCTCGGGGCTGAAGGCGGTGGTGGGGGAAAGTGAGTGCCTCTCCGGGGCCGGGCTCTGGCGTCCGGTGTGGGACGGGGGTCGGGGACGCACGGGCTCTGGGATCCTGGGTTTCATGGCGGCTGGGAGTTGGGGGCCGGGCTGGGCGTCCGAGCACCTGACCCTCGAGGGGGCGGGCGGGGACGGGTTCCCAGCTGGACGCCCCTGCTCTCCGGTGCCAGAACAGAACAAAATTGGGGGGCCGGACTCCGGGGACCCAAAGGGGACGGGTAGAGTGTGGCGGAGGCTGGGGCCCGGACTCCTGGGCCTCCTAGGGTGCCTGCCGGGGGAGGAGGGCACAGCTGGATGCCCACACTCTAGGATCTCTTAAGCCGGGCAAAGTTCAGGGGCTGGATTCTTGGGGCCTCCTAGGGCTCTGGTCAGCGACCCTAGGTGCTGTGAGCGCTCAGGGGACGTGTCCAGGCCCCACAGGGGTGGTGTAGGGGATGTCTTCCTCCTTGCCCCATTTCCAGGAGCGCCTTGCAGCTGGAGGACGCAGGCGTCCAGGCCTCACCGGCCCCGGTTCTTGGGGGAAGGGTGGAGGGCGCCTCTTCCTCCACCCCGGGGAGTTCCGGCCTCAGCTGCTCCTTCCGCCCTGGCCGTCTTGATAACAGTGGACATGACACAGTGGACGTGGCTGGGCGGGGCCACCCCGTTACTTCTCTCCACTCTCTCCTCTAGGCAGGGCGGTCTGTAGCTCAAACCCCTTTAATTGGGGGAGATTAGAAAAAAGTGATTCCATTTTACAGATGAGGAAACTGAGACCGGAGGTCAGTGGGATAGCCTCAGCTAGGCATGCCTCAGAGCTGGGAACCAGGGGTCCTACATTTTAGACCAGGTTGGGGGGACTGGCTGAAACCCTCACAGCAGGAATACTTGAGGTAGCAGGTGGGGAAGCCGAGAGCCTGGCGCTAGAGGCAGATAGAGCTGTAGATGATCCCGGTTCTCCTCTTTTCATTCACCTAAAACATGTTTATCGAGTGGCACCTTTTGCCCCAGCACTCTGCCACTTAGACACTCAGGATGCGTAGGTGAGTTACATGTTGCCTAAGAATCTGTTTCCCTGTCTGTAAATTGGGGGTGACCCCAGAAGCCAATTTGCAGAACTGGGGGCTAAAAATAAATGATTCCTGTGCCGTGTCTCACACCTGTAATCCCAGCACTTTGGGAGGCCGAGGCAGGAGGACTGCTTGAGGCCAAAAGTTTGAGACCAGCTTGGGCAACATAGCGAGACCCCATCTATACAGAAATAAAAATAAATTAGCTGTGGGTGGTACATGCACCTGTAGTCCCAGCTACTCGGGAGGCTGAGGCAAGAGGATCGCTGGAGCCCAGGAGTTGGAGGCCGCAGTGAGTTATGATCACACCACTGCACTTTAGCCTAGGTGACAGAGTGAGATCCTCCTCTCTTAAAAAAAAAAAAAAAGTAAATGGGAATTAAGATGGGGGTTCAGCCCCAAGGCTGAGAAGGCTTGGGGCAGTGGTGGGACCAGAGAACCAGCATTCTGACCCCTCCCCTCCCTTCCCTGCAGAAATTCTGAGCGGAGTTATTCGGAGTGTCAAGAAGGATGGGGAGTGGAAGGTAGGGGTGAGGCAGATGGCTGGGTACCCAGAGGCAGCTCATCATCAGGCCTATGGGGAAGACCCTGAATGTGGGACCCCCAAGAACTGCCTGTCCACATGGGTGGAGTTGGGTGAATGGGTTCTGGGTCCTCCCACCCAGCCAGCCCTTGAAACTGCCCCTCCCACTGCCTTGGCCCCTTCTGGGGCCAGCTGTGGCCTCTTCCGCCTGCTCCTCCATCCATCTGTCCATCCATCTGGACAGGTGCTTATCATGGATCACCCAAGCATGCGCATCTTGTCTTCCTGCTGCAAAATGTCAGATATCCTGGCTGAGGGCATCACCAGTGAGTGAACGCGTCCCCAGTGAGATGGGACCTGAGCGTGGGAACCCCTGACTGTGCCCCTCTCCCAGGGTTCAGCCCTTGAGTGTAGGATCCCCTCAAATCGTCCAGAACTCCCAAGTACGCAGCTCCCTGCACGGACAGCCCGGATCATGTGACCAAATCCATTCTTAAACCTTGCAAGCTGACTGCGGGAGCCCATGGATTGCAGGCCTCCCCTGCAGCACTCCCTGGCTGCAGCCCCTTCCTGACCGTGCAGCTCCCTCGTGGAGCCCTGTGTGGGACTCCCAGGGTGGACTCTGGATGTGGGGTCCCAAGAATGCAGAGCCTTCTATGGGTGACCCCAGGTGGTGTCCCAGTCACTTTGCCATTGAGGGATAGGTGCTGAGGGAGCCTGTCCTCTCAGAACCTCAGTCTCCCTGTCTGTAAATTTGGGGAACCCAGTTGGCTGCACAACCCCTGCAGAACCCTGTCGTGTGGCTCTTAGCTGGTGGTCCCTAAGTGGGTTTCTCCTGCAGTCCCTCCTAAGCATCCACCCCTCCTCCCCAAGCCTCCAACCCCCCACACCTGAGACTCCCCACGTGGCCCTGCCTGGATGCCACCCACCTGTGTCCCTTCCTCTGTTCCTACTAGTTGTTGAAGACATCAACAAACGGCGGGAACCCATTCCCAGTCTGGAGGCCATTTATTTGCTGAGCCCCACGGAGAAGGTGCCTACATGAGTGAGCGTGTGTGTATGCGCGTGCATGCGTGTACATGTGCATGTGTGTGTATGTCTGCATGCATGTGATTGCATGTGTGCATGTGTATACGTGTGCATGTGTCCATGTGTATGTGTGTGCATGTGTGTGCATGTGTGTGTGCATCTGTGTATGCATGTGTGTGCGTGTTTGCATGTGTGTCTATGTATGTGTCTGTGTGCATGTGCATGTGTGTGCGTCTGTGTGTGCATTTGTGTGTATGTGTGTATGCGTGTGTGTCTGTGGGTCTGTGTGTGCATTTGTGTCTGTGCATGTGTGTATGCGTGTGTATGTATGTGTGTGTGCATCTGTGTGCATCTGTATGTGTGTGTGTGCGTCTGTCTGTGTGCATGTGTGTATGCGTGTGTATGTATGTGTCTGCGTCTGTGTGTGCGTCTGTGTGTATCTGTGTGTGCATGTGTGTATGCGTGTATATGTATGTGCATCTGTGTGCATGTGTCTATGTATGTGTGTGCATCTGTGTGTGCGTGTGTATGCGTGTGTGTATGCGTCTGTGCATGTGTGTATGCGTGTGTGTGCGCATCAGTGTCTGCATGTGTGTATATGTGTGTATGTATGTGTGCGCGCGCATCTGTGTGTGTGCATGTGTGTATGTATGTGTGTGCATCTCTGTGTGTGCATGTGTGTATGTGTGTGTGCATCTGTGTGTGTGTGCATGTGTGCATGCGTGTGTATGTGTGTGTGCGTGCGTGCATCTGTGTGTGTGCGCGTGTGCCCATGTGGGTGCGACACTAGTGTGCATTTGCACATATACATGTCCCCGTCCGTCCATGTTTGCACATGGTGGCAGATGGGGGGTGGCTGGGAGGCCTAGGCAGCCAATGAGCCTAGGTGTGCAGGCTCAGGCCCAGAGAGTGATCCACCTTCCCCAGTCGGTTCAGGCCCTGATCAAAGACTTCCAGGGGACCCCGACTTTCACCTACAAAGCGGCCCATATCTTCTTCACCGACAGTGAGTGAGGAGAGCCTAGGGTGTTGGTGGGTGGGGCAAGGAGGTGTGGGGGCTGCTCTGGCCTGATGCCCCACTCCTGCCTCACCCCAGCCTGCCCCGAGCCCCTGTTCAGTGAGCTAGGCCGCTCTCGTCTGGCAAAGGTGGTGAAGACGTTGAAGGAGATTCACCTTGCCTTCCTCCCCTACGAGGCCCAGGTACGGCCCGGGCTCATCCTGGGCAGGGGGTGGGGGTTTGTGACCAAATGTCCCCTGTTCCCTCAGAAACAGACACTGAGGCTGGGCGCAGTGGCTCATACCTGTAATCCCAGCGCTGTGGGAGGCCAGGGCAGGAGGATCACTTGGGGCCAGGAGTTTGAGACCAGCCTGGGTACAGAGCAAGACCCCGTCTCTTAAAAAAAGAAAAAGAAAGAAATTAGCTTGGCGTGGTGGCGTGCACCTGTAGTCCTAGCTACTCATGGGGCTGGGGTGGGAGAGTCGCTTGAGCCCGGGAGGTCGAGGCTGCAGTGAGCTATGATTGCACTGCTGCCCTCCAGCCTGGGCGACAGAGCGAGATCCTGTCTCAAAAACATACATAAAGTAAAATTTTAAAAAGGGGAGGTACCCACAGAGTCCAAGGAGCTCTTGCCTTGAGTTCTATCCCACTAGGCCCTTGCAGGGGGCAGCGTAGAGCGCACCGCGGGGTTGTCCAGCCAGCTTAAGGGACACGGGCTGGGGTATTTATCCACTGACTCCTGCAGGCATGGGTTTAGGGTTGACCTGGGCCTGCCTCCAATTCGGCAAAGCAGGCTTCAGGGACCAGGGACGGCTCCCAGGAGGTGCAGGTGGCGGCAGCGGGAAGCGGGGCAGGTGTGCACCTGCAGCGGCAACCCTGGTGCTTCTGTCCCCTCCTCGCCCAGGTGTTCTCCCTCGATGCTCCCCACAGCACCTACAACCTCTACTGCCCCTTCCGGGCAGAGGAGCGCACGCGGCAGCTCGAGGTGCTGGCCCAGCAGATTGCCACGCTGTGCGCCACCCTGCAGGAGTACCCGGCCATCCGCTACCGCAAGTGGGGACCCCACCCAGCCCCACCCCGATGCCGACCCCCCCTTAACCGCGTGCAACACCTAACCTTTAACCTCTCTTGTGACCCCAGCCCCGGCCCTACCCTGGCCCCTGACTCTCACCTTCAAACCCATCCTTGACCCCATCCCCTGATGATGTCCCCCGTGTCTGACCTCCCCGCCAGGGGCCCAGAGGACACAGCCCAGTTGGCCCACGCCGTCCTGGCCAAGCTGAACGCCTTCAAGGCAGACACTCCCAGTCTGGGCGAGGTGAGGGGGCGTGCTTGGGAGGTGAGGGGCAGCCCCAACCGGCTCAGGGTCAGTGCCTCATTCCTGCCCTAAACCCCACCCCAGGGCCCAGAGAAAACCCGCTCCCAGCTGCTGATAATGGACCGGGCAGCTGACCCCGTGTCCCCACTACTGCATGAGCTCACGTTCCAGGCCATGGCGTATGATCTGCTGGACATAGAGCAGGACACATACAGGTCTGCAGACTTGGAACCCGTCCCCACCCTTGCCACTGACCTGGTTCCCCAGTCCTCAGCTCCCCTGACCCCCAGGCTCCCTCCTTCCTCCCCAGGTATGAGACCACCGGGCTGAGCGAGGCGCGGGAGAAGGCCGTCTTGCTGGACGAGGACGATGACTTGTGGGTGGAGCTTCGCCACATGCATATCGCAGATGTGTCCAAGTGCGTGCACACGGGGACCGGATCCCCCCCCCACCGCCCACTGTGGGCCTGGTAGCGGCCTTGGGATCCCTGGCTGCTGCCAAGTCTTTGGCCCTCATGAGCACCCCTCGTGTGACTCCAGACTGGCCTCCAATTTCACCCCACCTCTCCCTGTCCCCCCTGAGTGGGCTCACCCATGGCCTGTGGCTCCTCTCCCCTCACTCTCACCCCCGCCCACCCTCATGGCCAGGAAGGTCACGGAGCTCCTGAGGACCTTCTGTGAGAGCAAGAGGCTGACCACGGACAAGGTAGGGGCGGACCCAGGTCACCAAAGGCGCTGGTGGAAGGAAGCCCCCCTCCCCATGGGCGCAGGGCCACAGCCTGGATTTCGAGCCTGGACTGAGACCCAGGTGGGCACTGCCTGGCTTCGCCCCCCAATCCCTACCCTCTTCCCCCTACTTCCCCAGGCGAACATCAAAGACCTATCCCAGATCCTGAAAAAGATGCCGCAGTACCAGAAGGAGCTGAATAAGGTGTGCTCGGGTGGGCAGGGAGCGGGGACACCTCGGCCCCTCAACCCCATGCTCTGTCTGCGTTCTGCCTTGACTCAGCCTTTGTTATCCCCCAACCCCCACCCTGCACCCTGCAGTATTCTACGCACCTGCATCTAGCAGATGATTGTATGAAGCACTTCAAGGGCTCGGTGGAGAAGCTGTGTAGTGTGGAGCAGGTGGGGCAGGGCTTGCGGGGGGCAGGGGTGATGGTCCTGCCAAGGCGGGGTATTGGGGAGGGGCTGAACTGTAGAGATGGGGGGTTCTGGGGGAGGGGCAGGGCTTGTGGAGAGGTGGAGGGGCCTTGGAGAGAGGTGGGACCTGGTGGGGAAGGAGTGGGTCTTGTGGAGAAACGGTCCTAGGATGAGGGTGTGGCCTGTGCATAGGTGGATGGGGCTTGGAGAGGTCAGACTTGGGTGAGGGGCAGAGCCTTGGACAGGTGGTCCCAGGACAGGAATGTGGCCTATTCATAGGTGGGTGGGACCTTGGAGAGGTAGGCAGGGCCTTGGAGAGGTGCGACCTGGGAGAGGAATGGAGCCTTGGAGAGGTGGGACCTGGGTGAGGGGCAGAGCCTTGGAGAGGTGGGACCTGGGAGAGGAATGGAGCCTTGGAGAGGTGGGCCCTGGGAGAGGGGCGGAGCCTTGGAGAGGTGGGACCTGGGTGAGGGGCGGAGCCTTGGAGAGGTGGGACCTGGGTGAGGGGTGGAACCTTGGAGAGGTGGGACCTGGATGAGGGGTGGAACCTTGGAGGGGTGGGACCTGGGAGAGGGGTGGAGCCTTAAGAGAGGTGGGACCTGGGAGAGGGGCGGAGCCTTGGAGAGGTGGGACCTGAGTGAGGGGTGGGGCCTTGGAGAGGTAGGAGCTGGGAGACAGGTAGAGCCATGGAGAGGTGGGATCTGGGTGAGGCACGGGGCCTTGGAGAGGTGGGACCTGGGTGAGGGGTGGAACCTCGGAGAGGTGGGACCTGGGTGAGGGGTGGAGCCTTGGAGAGGTGGGACCTGGGTGAGGGGTGGAGCCTTGGAGAGCTGGGACCTGGGTGAGGGGTGGAGCCTTGGAGAGGTGGGACTTGGGTGAGGGGTGGAGCCTTGGAGAGGTGGGACCTGGGTGAGGGGTGGAGCCTCGGAGAGGTGGGACCTGGGTGAGGTGTGGAACCTCGGAGAGGTGGGACCTGGGTGAGGGGTGGAACCTCGGAGAGGTGGGACCTGGGTGAGGGGTGGAGCCTCGGAGAGCTGGGACCTGGGTGAGGGGTGGAGCCTTGGAGAGCTGGGACCTGGGTGAGGGGTGGAGCCTTGGAGAGGTAGTCTCAGGATAGTGGTGTGACCTGTGTGTAGGTGGGTGGGGCACTGGAAAGGTGGGACCTGGGTGAGGAGCAGGGCCTGTGGAGAGACTGTCCCTGGACAGGGGTGGGACCTTGAGAGACCTGGTGCTGAGATGAGGTAGGACCCAAATGTCCTCTTGCCGAGGATCCTGGGGATGTCCTTGGCCCGCCTCTCCCATCCCCTTCCCTGACACATAGCGGCCGGTGGACGGCTGACCCCATGCCCGCAGGACCTGGCCATGGGCTCCGACGCAGAGGGGGAGAAGATCAAGGACTCCATGAAGCTGATCGTTCCGGTGCTGCTGGACGCGGCGGTGCCCGCCTACGACAAGATCCGGGTCCTGCTGCTCTACATCCTCCTTCGGAATGGTGGGTGGGGGCTGCAGGGAGTTGGAACGTCCCCATTTGCCAGCGTCTCCCACGATCCTGGGAACTGCTGAACCCCACAGCTCTCCTTGGGTCATTTGCACTCACCGGGCTCACCAACCCCCACAGCTACCCCTCTGGACCCGGGAACCCTCCTCCATTGGCTTGGGGATTCCTCCACTGAGGTGAGGGCTCCCTGCTAACGTAGAAACCCTCACATCTGTGATTCCTATAGATGTGGGGCTCCCTCAGCTCATCTGGAGGAGCCCCTGATCTACCCCCTCCAGGTTTCCCACTCTTGCTCACACTAGCACAGGGTACTGAGGCCCTCCCCACTGCAAGGTTCTCTCATCAGAGTCCTGGGAGCTCCTCAGCCCACCCCAAACTCCCCTAAACCTGGGAGCTCACCTGGCCGCCGCCTCCACCCTGCCCATTCCCGTCCCCCAGGTGTGAGTGAGGAGAACCTGGCCAAGCTGATCCAGCATGCCAATGTACAGGCGCACAGCAGCCTCATCCGTAACCTGGAGCAGCTGGGAGGCACTGTCACCAACCCCGGGGTACGCCAGGAGCGGGCATGGGGGGACCCTGGGAGAGGGTGCGGATCACAGCCGGGGCTCTGCAAGGCAGAGGGCCATTGGTGCACAGGCACGGTGTGGTTCCTGGCGTGGTGTGGTTGCTGGGAGGCCAAAAGCAGTGTTTCGGGTCTGGTCTGGGGCCCAGAGGACACTGGGGCCTCTCCCAGTCCCAGCTTACACAATAGGCAGGGGAAGTGAGACATGGTCGCTGCCAGGCTGGTCCTGGCAGTGGTGCAGTTGGGAGCGGGTGGTCTGAGTGCTAGAGGCAGGGAGTAGGGTCCCCAGCATGGGGGCTACACCACATTGTCTATCTGGGCTCCCAGGGGTCTCTGAGGGTCCCCCGCACCCATCCAGCACCCACACACAGCCATGTGTGTGCTTGACTCTTGGGTCAGCCTCTCCTGTCTCTCTCTGGCCCTGTGCGTCCCCCTCCAGGGTGCCCTCACCCCGTCCCCATCTCTCCCCCATCCCTCATCCATCTCGCTGTGCACTGTTTCTCCATATCTCTCTCTCTCACCCTTCTCTCTGCCTTCCCCTTTCTCTCTGTTCTCTGTCTTGCTCCCCTCCCCTCTCCGTCCCCCTTCTGTCCCCATCTTCCTCTCTCTGTTTCCTGCTTCATCTCTTGTCTCTCTCTTTGCCTTCATACTTTGTCTCACTGCTTCTTATCTCTTTGCCTATCTCTGCCTCTGTCTTTGTCTTTCTCTGGCTCGCTCTCTCTCCCTTTGGCTTTCTCTCTCCGTCTCTCTCTGGCTCACTGTTTCTCTCTCTCGCTTTCTTGCTGTCTCTCGCTCTCTCTCGCTCTCTGTTCCACTTCCCCATCTTTGCCTGCCATCCCCCACCCTACCAGCCACACCAGGCGCAGCCCCTCTGTGACCAGCCTCCTTCCCCTCAATCCCCCTGCTGCCCTCCCTGCCCTGCCTGTAGGGCTCGGGGACCTCCAGCCGGCTGGAGCCGAGAGAACGCATGGAGCCCACCTATCAGCTGTCCCGCTGGACCCCGGTCATCAAGGATGTAATGGAGGTACTGGGTGGCAGGTCAGGGTGGGGGCCAGCCCTCCGCATCGGCTGGCGGCTCAGCCTCCCTCCTGCTGAGGTGCTAAGCCTCAGGGCTTAGGGGAAAATGCTCATTGCTGGCATTCCCTTGGCACCGATCTGCTCTGCTGAGGGGGGCACGCCAAGCCCGCAGCTGAGGAATTGGGGTGACAGCGGGGCCTGTGCTGGGGAGCCTCACTTCCTCCCCACCTGCCGGCTGCCTCCGCTATATCTCTCTAGTCTGTTCCCCTGTCCCGCAGGAGTGCCCCTGAGCCCCAGCCCTGGCCTTCCCAGGATCCCAGGGCAGCACCATCCAATGGCAATGGGCCTGGGGCGGCTTCCTGGCTTCCTCCTTGTCCCTCTAAGAGCCCCGGCCCCTCTTTCTGCGTGGGGGCCAGAGACCTGGGCCTCCTCATCCCCATGGACCTTGAATACCTGGACTTCTGGGGCTCTGAGGGGCTGAGAGCCCAGACACTGGGTTCCCCAAAGGGCTGGGGGTATTGACTGATGGTCCCCAAGGGCCTGGAGGCCCAGACTACTGGGTTGCCGAGGAACTGTGGGTTTAGACTTCTGGGTACCCAAGGAGTTATGGAATTAGATTCGTGGGTCCCCAGTGAGTTATGGATCTAGATTTCTAGGTCCCCAATGGACTAGAGGCCTAGACTCCTGGGTCCCCCAGAGGCAGGAGGTGGAGATGCTGGTTCCTGTCTGCCAGGATCTTGGCCCCTGAATACCCCGTGGGGGGCACTCCTGACCCCGGACCCCATGCCTGGGGTTCCTCCCCTAACCTGCCTCTCGGCCGCCAGGACGCCGTGGAGGACCGGCTGGACAGGAACCTGTGGCCCTTCGTATCCGACCCCGCCCCCACGGCCAGCTCCCAGGCCGCTGTCAGGTGAGGCCCCGGGGCCGCCCCCGCCCACGCCTGGGTCTGTGTTAGGTGGGCGGCCTGGCGGCGGTGAGGGCCTCCTGCCTGGACTTTCTGCCCCTGCCCTGCACAGTGCCCGCTTCGGTCACTGGCACAAGAACAAGGCTGGCATAGAAGCCCGGGCGGGCCCCCGGCTCATCGTGTATGTCATGGGCGGTGTGGCCATGTCAGAGATGAGGGCCGCCTACGAGGTGACCAGGGCCACCGAGGGCAAGTGGGAGGTGCTCATTGGTAAGTCACCAGGACTGGGACCCTGGGGTCTGGGGCTTGGGTTCCCGGGGCCTGGGCTTGTACCTTCTAGGTGTCTGGACTCCAGAGTCCTTGGAGTCAGGGACCTGGTTTGCTGAGGGACAGGGACAGCCCCACACCAGCCGGGACCGGGAGCCTGTCAAAGACGAAGGCAGCGCCCCCCAACATCTTCCCCAAACCTCTGCCCCTGCACAGGCTCCTCACACATCCTCACCCCGACCCGCTTCCTGGATGACCTGAAGGCACTGGACAAGAAGCTGGAGGACATTGCCCTGCCCTGACCCCTGGCCCCGCCCCCTACCCCTCCCTTTCCAGAGAAATAAACTCTTCCCGTCGCTCTGCCAGCCAGTGCCTACCTCACCTTCTTATCAAGGGAGTCCCTGGGAGTTGTGCTGAGCCAGGCCTGTGCCCCAGGCCCCACCAACCCCTATTATCCTCTCAGAAGGAGAATTAGCCTCTCCCTGCCCCTGAGGGCATCTCAAGCCCTCATGGAGGTTAAGAACTTGGACTTTTGGCAGGGCACGGTGGCTCACGCCTGTAATCCCAGCACTTTGGGAGGCCAAGGCGGGAGGATCACTTGAGGTCAGGACTTCAAGACCAGCCTGGCCAACATGGTGAAAACCCATCTCTACTAGAAATACAAAACAACTAGCTGGGTGTGGTGGTGTGCACCTGTAGTCCCAGCTACTTGGGAGGCTGAGGCAGGAGAATCACTTGAACCCAGGATGTGGAGGCTGCAGTGAGCCGAGATTGCCCCTTTGCACTCCAACCTGGGCAACAAAGCGAGACTCCGTCTCAAAAAAAAAAAAATTGGACTCTCATTTGAATATCAGCTCTAAGATATTCTAGCGGTGAGGCCCTGACCAACTTCCGGGGTTCCCAATCTAAAAACAGGGAGCCCAAAATAGCAGCTGCTTTGCAGAGGAGAGAACAGAGATAGCGCAGGAAGGCTGGTGGCGTGCAAGCATGACAGCTGCTGCTACCCCATTTTCACTGGAACCATTTTGGCTGCTCCGTTAATATTGTTATTAAGCAGAATGGACCCTGGAACTCCAACCCCCCTAGAACTGTTCCAAGGGGACCTGTAGGCATACGATGCCAGGAGTTGTGTTCAGCTTCTGCTGTATTCATGTGAGGCACACAGCAAACGCTCCCTGCTTTCTCCTCCCAGCCCCACGGGGTTCACAGAGACTCCTGACTGCAGGACTTATCAGGGCCTTCGGTGGGTGTATCTGTTTGCTAGGGCTGTCATAACAAAGTACCACAGACTAGGTGACTTAACAGAAATTGCCAGGCACCGTGGCTCATGCCTGTAGTCGCACATTGGGAGGCCAAGGCAGGTTGATCACTTGAGGCCAGGAGTTCAAGACTAGCCTGGGCAACATAGTGAGATCCTGTGTCTACAAAAAAATAGAATTAGCTGAATGTAGTGGTGTGCACCGTGGTCCCAGCTACTCAGGAGGCTGAGGTGGGAGGATCATTTGAGCCTGGGAGGCAGAGGTTGCAGTGAGCCAAGACCGTGCCAGTGCACTCCAGCCTTGGGTGACAAAAGCGAGACCTCCATCTCAAAAACAAAACTATAATCCCAGCACTTTGAGAGGCTGAGGCAGGTGGATCACCTGAGGTCAGGAGTTCAAGACAAGCCTGGCCAACATGGTGAAACCTTGTCTCTACTAAAAATACAAAAATTAGCCAGGTGTGGTGGTGGACACCTGTGGTACCAGCTACTTGGGAGGCTGAGGCAGGAGAATTACACTACGCCTCCTTCGGGAGGCGGAGGTTGTAGTGAGCTGAGATCGCACCGTTGCACTCCAGCCTGGGCAACAGAGCAAGACTCTGTCTCAAAGCAAACACATTTATAGTCTTCTGTTTCTAGAGACTGGAAGTCCAAGATGAAGATGTCCACAGGTGTGACTCCTTCTGAAGCTTCTCTCCTTTCCTTGTAGACAGCTGTGTTTTCCCTGTGTGTTCACACAGTCTCCTCCCCCCGCCCCAGTGCATGTCTGTGTCCTAATCTGCTCTTCTTACAAGGAAACTGGTCATGTTGGATTAGGGCCCACGCATATGACCTCATTTTTACTTAATTATTTCTTTAAAGATTCTATCTCCAAGTATAGTCACTTTCTGAGGCAGTTGCGGGGCAGGACTTCAGCATAGACATTTGTGGAGAGGACACAGTTCAGCCCATAGCACTCAAGTGAGGTGTGAATCTCACAGCACCAATAGAACAGGAGAGGCCGGGCGAGGTAGCTTACACCTGTAATCCCAGTGCTTTGGGAGGCCTAGGTGGGAGGATCGCTTGGGCCCAGGAGTTTGAGACCAGCCTGGGCGGCATAACACGATCCTATCTCTACAAAAAAATTTTAAAATTAAATTTTTTTAAAATTTTTTTATGGGCATGGTGTCTTGCACCTGGGGTCCAGTTTACTCAGGAGACTGAGGTGGGAGATCGCTTGAGGCTAGGAGTTTAAGACCAGCCTGGGCAACATAGCAAGACCCCATCTCTACAAAAAATAAGAAAAATTAGTCAGGCACGTGATGGCACACGCCTGTAGTCCCAGCTGCTCAGGACTTTCAGGTGGAAGGATTGCTTGAGCCCGGGAGGTTGAGACTGCAATGAGCTATGATCATGCCACTGCACTCCAGCCTGGGTGGCAAGGTGACACCCTATCTCAAAAAAAAAAAAAAAAAAGAAAAAGGAAAAGAAACCTCTCTGGGGCACAGATATACAGCCAGCCACATGAGTAATCTGAGGCAAAAGGGGCTGTGGGAGCCCATATCACATCTAATCCACCCAGACTGGGGGCAATCAGGGAAGGCTTCCTAGAGGAGGCAGCATTTGCATAGAGAATGAAAATGAAGGGGGCGAAGGGAAGGGAGGGGAGGGCAGAGCAGAAGCCAAGGCCAGAGAATGCAGGAGGCCCCTGAGGAGCTGGAGGGGAGGGTACTGACCTGCAACCCAATCTGAGAACCACGTGGAGGTTCTGGTGAGGCCATGGTGAGGGTTTTGGTCCCTGCTGAGGCCATAGGACATCATAGACAGGGTCTGAGTTGGGACAGGTAGGGACCCATGTCTCATGTTGGCAGTGAAATTCTCACTGCTGGAGTGGGTGCCTGGGGAGGGGGCAGAGGGTGGGGAAGCATCCTCTTCAGAGGTAGAGCCTCTCTTACCGCCTGTGCTCAAGCGATCCTCCCACCTCAGCCTCCTGAGTAGCTGGGACCATGAGTGCACATCACCAAGCCCAGTTAATCTTTTAATTTTTTGTAGAGACTGGGTCTGGCTATGTTGCCCAGGCTGGTCTCCTGGGCTCAAGCGATCTGCCCACCTCGGCCTCCCAAAGTACTGGGATGACAGGCGTGAGCCACCGTGCCCGGCCTCTCTCCTGATTTTGAGGTCACAGATCCTTTTGAGAATTCAGGGAAATCTAAGGACACTCATCCCAGAAAAACTGCACACACAATTTGCAGGTGGGGGCTAAGGAAAATGCAGCCCCCTCTGATTCAGCAGTTCCACAATTAGGATTTATCGGAATCTCCCACCAGGGCAGGGAGATGGATGAGGAGAGTTGTGAAGGGGATGAGGTGTGGGGAAGAAAGTGGGTCGGCTGTGGACCCCTGGGGTCCGCCTGCCCTGGATATGCCTTTGCAGGGCCTCAGCAGGGACGCGTTTTAACTTACGGGAGGTGCAGGGAGTGGGAGGGAGGTGGTTTTAATGTTTAAAACTTAAGCTCAAGGTCGGGCACAGTGGCTCACGCCTGCAATCCCAGCACTTTGGGAGGGCGAGGTGGGAGGATTGCTTGAGGCCAGGAGTTTGAGGCCAGCCTGGGCAACATAGCAAATTCCTAAATATATGTATTTTTGAGACAAGGTCTCACTCTGTTGCCCAGGCTGGAGTGCAGTGGTGCGATCTCGATTCACTGTAACCTCTGCCTCCTGGGTTCAAGCGATTCTCCTGCCTCAGCCTCCCAAAAAGCTGGGATCACAGACGTGCGACACCATGCCCAGCGAATTTTTGTACTTTTAGTAGAGATGGGGTTTTGCCATGTTGGCCAGGCTGGTCTCTAACTCCTGGGCTGAAGACCTCCCACCTCAGCCTCCCAAAATGCAGGAATTAGAGGTGTGAGCCACTGTGCCCAGCCAATCTCTACAATACTCTTTTTATTTTATTTTATATTATATTATATTTATTTATTTATTTATTTTTTGGAGATGGAGTCTCGCTCCGTCGCCCAGGCTGGAGTGCAGTGGCATGATCTCAGCTCACTGCAACCTCCGCCTCCCCGGTTCAACCGATTCTTCTGTCTCAGCCTCCCGAGTAGCTGGGACTACAGGTGCGTGCCACCACGCCCAGCTAATTTTTGTATTTTTAGTAGAGACGGGGTTTCACCATGTTGGCCGGGATGGTCTCGAACTCCTGACGCCGTGATCCACCTGCCTTGGCCTCCCAAAGTGCTGGGATTACAGGAGTGAGCCACCGCGCCCGGCCAATACTCGTTTTAATAAAAATTTTAAAATGTATTCACGCCTAACTGGGTAGTTACTTGATACAATAAATGATCTTTTCTAGATTAAGAAAAAAGAAAAAAAAACATTTAAACTCAATTTCCTGGGAAGCCGCAGTTTTGCGCCGGGAGTGGCTTGTGTAGGCACGCGCTGCGAACGCCAGGGGGCGCTGCGGCGCAATTTCCCGGTTTCTTTGATCTTCCGCGTCTGTAACTGGAGATGAGGTGACCCGAATTAGACACGACGGGGAAGTAGGTCAGGGGTTATTCCGTGGTTCTCAGCGGAGACAAAAGTCTGTTGCTTAAACCGCCTCTGCCTCTGCTCCTTACTTATACCCAGGTGATGCAATGTCTTCACACTAAAGGCAAATATTGAGTCTACAAATATTTATGTGTCCCTGTGGGCGGCGGCAGCTGACAATATCGGGTCCTAACGAGCACGAAGTCAAGCTCCCTCTGCACGCTTTATGCAGATCCTCAAAACCCTCCTGTGAGGATCGCTGGAGCCTAGGAGTTCGAGGCTGCAGTGAGCTATGATTGTGCCTCTGCCCTCCAGCCTGGGTGAGAAAGCGAGAAGTTGTGTTAAAAACAAAAAAAAAGTTGGGGGGCCGGGCGCGGTGGCTCACGTCTGTAATCCCAGCACTTTGGGAGGCCGAGGCGGGCGGATCACGAGGTCAGGAGTTCAAGACCAGTCTAGCCAACATGGTGAAACCCTGTCTCTACTAAAAATACAAAAATTAGCCGGGCGTGGTGGTGGGCGCCTGTAATCCCAGCTACTCGGGAGGCTGAGGCAGGAGAATCGCTTGAAACCGGAAGGCAGAGGTTGCAGTGAGCCATCATGCCACTGCACTCCAGCCTGGGCAACAAGAGCGAAACCCTGTCTCAAAAAAAAAAAAAAAATTATCCTTTGAGATCCCTTCCCCCAAGTCCATTTCCCATCTCATGGTGAACCTGGCTGCTGTTCTTCAAACACACCACACTGTCCCTGCCCCAGAACCTTTGCACCTGCTATTCCCATCATCCGCAATGCTGTGCCTTGCAAGCTATTGTACTCCTTCCTCCTTCCCTTCCCCAGCTGGGAGAGGCCCCTGCTTTACTTCCTTGTGGTATCCCCACTTAGGGTGCTTTCTTTCTGGTTCTCTTCTGGTACCGAGGAATGATCCTCATTCTGGATTTGGCAGGTTGCTTCCTCTCTCCCCATCCCTGCCCCAATGTTTACCCTATAAATGGCTTAGAACCACATGCTCTATTGGAATAAGGGTCAGTTGCAGCCAGAATAATATCATGCTGGTAGGGCCGGGTACTTCCTGGTACATCACATCAGGGGGTCCATAACGTCATGTCACTACGATTGATGGGTGGGTTTGGGGAATGTCCCTGGTCCCCAGTAACTCTCCACATAAAGATGTTAACAGGAGCTGGGCCCAGTGGCTCACGCCTGTAGTTCCCAGCACTTTGGGAGGCCAAGGCAGGAGGATCACTTAGGCCCAGGAGTTTGAGACCAGCCTGGGCAACATAGCAAAACCCTGTCTCTACTAAAAATAAAATAAAGACCGGGCACGGTGGCTCATACCTGTAATCCCAGCACTTTGGGAGGCTGAGATGGGCGGATCACTTGAGGTCAGGAGTTCAAGACCAGCCTGGCCAACATGATGAAACCCCGTCTCTACCAAAAAACCAAAAATTAACCAGGCGTGGTGGTGCACACCTGTTATCCCAGCTACTCAGGAAGCTGAGGTAGGAGAATAACTTGAATCCAGGAGGCGGAGGTTGCAGTGAGCTGAGATCATGCCATTGCACTCCAGCCTGGGTGACAGAGTAAGACTCTGTCTCAAAAAATAAATAAATAAAATACAACAAAATAAAATAATTAGCCAGATGTGGCAGCAATTGCTTGTAGTCCCAGCTACATGGGAGGCTGAGGTGGGAAGATCACTTGAGTCCAAGAGGTTGAGGCTGCACTGAGTTATGATCTCGGCACTGCACTCCAGTTTGGGCGATAGAGTGAGACCCTGTCTCATAAAAAATAAAAATAAAAAAGGAAAGAAAAGAAAAAAAGTCATTAGCAGCCATCAATTTTGTTGTTGTTATTGTTTGTTTGTTTGTTTTTGAGATAGAGTTTCGCTCTTGTTGCCCAGGCTGGAGTGCAGTGATGCAATCTTGGCTCACTGCAATCTCCACCTCCAGGGTTCAATCAATTCTCCTGCCTCAGCCTCCCAAGAAGCTGGGACTACAAGCATGAGCCACCATGCCAGGCTAATTTTTGTATTTTTAGTAGAGACGGGGTCTCACCATGGTGGCCAAGCTGGTCTTGAACTCCTGACCTCAAATGATTCACCTGCCTCATCCTCCTAAAGTGCTGGGATTACAGGCATCAGCCACCGTGCCTGGCCCGCCATCCATTTTTGATTCATTACTCTCTTGAGGATTATGTCCAACTTTATCATTCCTGCTACTGGAATTAGCTGTGGTTCTTCTGAAAAAGGCTTTCTGCTTCCCTCCGGAACTAGCTGGTTTGTACAGAAAGTGACAACGTGATACATTGACTTATGTATTATTTGTGGAATGCCTTGAGGCAAGCGGTTACATGAGCTCAGCAGAAGAGCCTGGAATGGGCACAGCCCTGAGGGTCACGTGTGGCTCCCTTGGAAGCATCTAGGGAGCACCCAGGAACGATTGGCTGCCATAGTAATTACTATCTAATTTATTAGATATAGTAAAAATAAATTTATTACTAATTATCACTAACGATTCTGATTACTGGGTGAGAACAATGGTGATCTCATGTATTTATGTGCATTACAGGGTGAGAGTTCTCCTTCCTGTGGCGTGCAGGAGATTCTAGAATAGAAACTCATTGAAAGAGTGAGAGGAAAACATTTGTGATCTTGAACCTGTTCCGCTTAAAAATACATGAGGGAGGCCGAGTGCGGTGGCTCACGCCTGTAATCCCAGCACTTTGGGAGGCCGAGTTGGGTGGATCACCTGAGGTCAGGAATTCGAGACCAGCCTGGCCAACACGGTGAAACCTCGTCACTACTAAAAATACAAAAATTAGCCAGGCATGGTGGCGGGCACCTGTAATCCCAGCTACTCGGGAGGCTGAGGCAGGAGAATCACTTGAACCCAGGGAGTGGAGGTTGCAGTGGGCCGAGATCATGCCACTGCACTCCAGCCTGGGTGGTACAGCAAGACTCTGTCTCAAAATAAGTAAATAGATAAATCGATTAATAAAAAATACATGAGAGGACGGGTGCAGTGGCTCATGCTGGTAATCCCAGCACTCTGGGAGGCCGAGGTGAAAGGATCATCTAAAGCTGGGAGTTTGAGACCAGCCTGGGCAATATAGCAAGACCCCTGCCTCTACAAAAAATGTAGCTGCACCTGGTGGCACACACCCAGCTACTTGGGAGGCTGAGGCAGGAAGATCACTTGAGTCTGGGAGGTGGAGGCTACAGTGAGCTGTGATTGCACCACTGCACTCCAGCCTGGGTGACAGAGCAAGACCTCATCTCCAAAAAAAACACAAATAACAAAAACGTGAGGGTCCAGAGAAATTAAAGCTGCGGGCTGGGCCAGCAGCAGTGGTGGTGGGATGGTGAAGCCAGCGACCCTAGCAGAGAAATCGGGGACAAAGGAATCAGTGCTGGAGACCTGCAGAGGAGGCGTCCTGGACCCAGACAGGAAAAGGAGGTGATGTAACTCAACGAAGCAAGGAAATCTCGTGGAAATGAGTAAGGTGACAAAGAGAGGCCACCCAGGGGGAGACCCAGACATTGAGGGTAGCTTCCCTTTTATTTTCTGTAAAGTTGCTCAAAAACCTTAAAACACAGTTGACCAACAGCTGCTGCCAAGAACATTGTGAAAAGGTTTCTGGGTAAGGAAATGGCCCTGCGAATGGGAAGGTTCCGCTCTGGTGGGATCAGAGATGAGGTGTCCAGGGCTGGGATAGGCAGGCCAGGATAGCAAAGCCCTGGCAGACAGAGGCTCCATTTTGGGTGTCCTTCATTCCCTTCTTTTTTTTTTGAGGCGGAGTCTCGCCCTGTTACCTAGGCTGGAGTGCAGTGGCGCGATCTCGGCTCGCTGCAGCCTCTGCCTCCCGGGTTCAAGTGATTCTCCTGCCTCAGCCTCCCAAGCAGCTGGCATTACAGGCATGTGCCACCACGCCCGGCTAATTTTTGTATTTTTAGCAGAGACAGGCTTTTTCCATGTTGCCTAGGCAAATCTCGAACTCCTAATCAAGCAGTCCACCCGCCCTCAGCCTCCTTCATTCACTTCTGAGATGATTCAGTTTCTGTCTCTGTTGGCAGCTGGGAAAGTTCTGAAAAAAGAATGAAGAGCAGTCCAGGCGTGGTGGCTCGCAACTGTAATCCCAGCACTTTGGGAGGCTGAGGTGGGCAGATCACCTGAGCTTGGGAGTTGGAGACCAGCCTGACCAAAAAGGTGAAACCTCACCTCTACTAAAAATACAAAAATTAGCTGGAAATGGTGGTGGATGTCTGTAATCCCAGCTACTCAGGAGGCTGAGGCAGGAGAATCGCTTGAGCCTGGGAGGCAGAGGTTGCAGTGAGCTGAGATTGTCCCACTGCCCTGCAGCTTGGGTGACAGAGTGAGACTCTGTCTCAAAAAAAAAAAAAAGAAAAAGAAAAAGTAAAGACAATGGCATCAGACAAATTCTGGCTCTGAAATCTAGGCTAGCTGGCCTGGTGACTTTTTTTTTTTTTTTTTCATAGAGATGGGGTCTTGCTATGTTGCCCAGGCCGGGTTTTGAATTTTTGGCCTCAAGCCATCCTCCTGCCTCAGCTTCCCAAAGTGCTGGGAATATAGGTGCCCCACTTTTTTTTTTTTTTTTTGAGACAGAGTCTCATTCTGTCACCCAGGCTGGAGTGCAGTGGCGCAATCTTGGCTCACTGCAAACTCCACCTCCCAGATTCAAGCGATTCTCCCACCTCAGCCTCCCGAGTAGCTGGGATTACAGGTGCCCACCATCACACCCAGCTAAGTTTTGTACTTTTGGTAGAGACAGGGTTTCACCATATTGGCCAGGTTGGCCTCGAACTCCTGACGCCAGATGATCTGCCCGCCTCGGCCTCCCAAAGTGCTAGGATTACAGACATAAGCCACCGTGCCCTGCCCTTTTTTTTTTTTTTTTAAGAGTCTCTGTCTGTCACTTAGGCTGGAGTGCAGTGGTGCAATCATAGCTCACTGCAGCCACAAACTCCCGGGCTGAAGCAATAGATCCTCCCCCTTCGGCCTCCTAAGTAGTGGCTGGGATTACACGGGCATGCCACCACACCCAGCTAATTTTTAAAAAGTTTTTGTAAAGACGGGGGTTTTCCTGTGTTGCCCAGGCTGAACTCAAACTCTTGAGCTCAACGGATCCTCCTGCCTTGGTCTCCCAAGGAGCTGGGATTATAGGCGTGAGCCACTGTGCCTGGCCCTGGTGACCTTTTGACAGTAGCCCCGCCTTCCCCAGCGTGGGTTTTGCCCTCTGTAATGTTGCGTAGGGCTGTTGCGATCACAGAAGGTGGTGGAGTGTGAGTACTTCTGGGGTACTTGCCGGAGGCTGGGGATTTGTGGAGGTGTGTGGCTCAGTTTTATTCCAGGAAACCGTGGCCAGACGGGCCTGTCAGCACCTTCCCTTTCATCTACAGTTCCTCAATTGGGGGGGTGTGAGTTGTTTCATAAGCCCCTCCCCCTCATTTCTTGCAGGAAAGTGGTAATGCAAAGAAACTTTTATTTTATCCACATCTATATTCTTTGTAACCTTTTAAAATAAGATACTTGGCCTGGCGCCTGTAACCCCAGCATTTTGGCAGGCTGAGGCAGGCAGATCACTTGAGTTCAGGAGTTCAAGACCAGCCTGGCCAACAGGGTGAAACCCCACCTCTACTAAAAATACAAAAATAAGCTGGGCACGGTGGCGCACGCCTGTAATCCCAGCACTTTTGGAGGCCAAGGCGGGCAGATCACCTGAGTTCGAGAGTTTGACACCAGCCTGACCAACGTGGAGAAACCCCCGTCTCTAATAAAAATACAAAGTTAGCCGGGCGTGGTGGCGCACGCCTGTGATCCCAGCTACTCGGGAGGCTGAGGCATGAGAATTGCTTGCACTCGGGAGGTGGAGGTTGCAGTGAGCCGAGAGGGTTAGGGTTAGGGTTCAGGAGGAAGGAAAAACCTAGGGTGTTTAGCCCCGGAAATCTCTCTTTTGATGTTCACTGCCTCGAGGTTCTTGCTACCTCTTGCTCCAAGTCACAGCCTGGCCCCAGCAGGTCATGCCAGAGCCCCCAGCCTGTCCTCTGCCAAGCGGTGGTCCTGGCAGCTGCTTAGACTCCCACTCCGAAGCTGGATCATCTGTAGATGGGAAGTGTTTGCATAAATGGGGCCAAGGAGTGCTCTCCAGCTCTTTGGTAAAGAAGCCTGACAGCCGCCAAGGCTTTTACTTTTATTTTCCATCCTTCACCCGGGAGGGGAAGCAAGTATCACTGTGTTCTGATTTGGCAGAGCCACCTGTCATTGCAACTTGTCACCAGGGCAACAAGTCACCATCTTAGTAAGGCAGCCAATGAGAAGCATGGGTTTCCTCTGGTGGTCGGTTTCACAGAACGGCAACAGTTTCTAGGCATCCGAGTGATACCAGAACTCTTTGTTCAAATAAGGCTTCAAGGACAGATGTATAGTGACAGAGAGGAGAACAAGCTGGTAGCAATTATGAATTTTCACAAGGAAAACTAGTTGTGGGGAGCAGAAAAATCCTCTCTGTGGCTTCAGGAACAAAGAGGCCATTTCCCTTGGGTCTTTAGGAAACCCCTTTTTTCCAACTATAATTTATTTTATTATTATTTTTTGAGATGGAGTTTCGCTCTTGTTGCCCAGGTTGGAGCACAATGGTGCGATCTCGGCTCACTGCAACCTCTGCCTCCCGGGTTCAAGCGATTCTCCTGTCTTAGCCTCCCGATTAGCTGGGATTACAGGCGTCTGCCACAATGTCCGGCTGATTTTTGTATTTTTAGTTGAGACAGGGTTTCAGCATGTTGGCCAGGCTGGTCTGGAACTCCTGACCTCAGGTGAACTTCCCCCCTCGGCCTCCCAAAGTGCTGGGTTACAGGCGTGAGCCACCGTGCCCAGCCCAGCGATAATTTAAATTACAAGTATTTGGCCCGGCATTAGTGGTGCATGCCTGTAATCTCTGCACTTTGGGAGGTCAAAGACCAAGGATCCTGGCAACATATGAGACCCTGTCTCTACAAAGAAGAATCAATTTTTTCAATTAACTGTGGGTGGTGGTGGGTGCCTGTAGTCCTAGCTACTCAGGAGGCTGAGGCAGGAGGATCGCTTGAGCCCAGGAGTTGGAGGATGCAGTGAGCTCTGATGGCACCACTGCACCCCGGCGTGGGAGATCGAGACAGAGTGAGACGCCATCTCTAAAAAATAATAATAAATAAATAAATACGTATTTGGTGGTGATGGTTACAAGATCGTGTGCAGAATTTTAGTGTATATAAATGCCACCTTAATAAAAACTGATTTTTAGAAAATAATTCTTGGGAAAACCAAAACGTGCAGCAGGCAGGTAGACACATTTGTCAAAATGCATCAAACTCAGTAACAGCAGACCAAAGACTGCCTGTTCTCACTTATAAGTGGGATCTAAACTTCAGGTACTCATGGACATAAAGGTGGCAATAATGAACAGTGGGGATTGCCAGGGAGGGGTGAGGAAAAGGGGCATGAGGGTTGAAAATCTAACTGTTGAGTGCTGTGCTCACCATCTGGGTGACAGAGTCGCTCATACCCCAAACCTCAGCATCATGCAATATACTCAGGTAGGAGACTGGCACAGGTATCCCCTGAATCTAAAATAAAAGTTGATAAAGAGGGTCCCGGGCGCGGCGGCTCACAACTGTAATCCCAGCACTTTGGGAGGCCAAGGCGGGCAGGTCGCTTTGAGGCCAGGAGTTCGAGACCAGCCTGGGCAACATGGTGAAACCCCGTCTCCACTAAAAATACAAAAATTAGATGGGCGTGGTGGCGGGCACCTGTAATCCCAGCTACTTGGGAGGCTGATGCAGGAGAATCGCTTGAACCCGGGAGGCGGAGGTTGCAGTGAGCTGAGGTCGCACCGCTGCACTCCAGTTTGGGCAACAGAGCGAGACTCCGTCTCAAAAAAATGAAAAAATAAATAAAAGTTGATAAAGAGGGCTGGCCATGGTGGCTTATGCCTGTAATTCCAGCACTTTGGGAGGCCAAGGCAGGCAGATCACTTGAGGCCAGGAGTTTGAGACCAGCCTGGGCAACATGGTGAAACCCCATCTCTATGAAAAATACAAAAATTAGTTGGGCGTGGTGGTGTGTGCCTGTGGTCCCAGCACTTTGGGAGGCCGAAGTGGGTGGATCACTTGAGGTCAAGAGTTCGAGACCAACCTGGCCAACATGGAGAAACCCTGTCTCTACTAAAAATACAAAAATTAGCTGGGTGTAGTGGCGCGTGCCTGTGGTCCCACCTACTCAGGAGGCTGAGGCAGGAGAATTGCTTGAACCCGAGAGGCGAAGGTTGCAGTGAGCCGAGATTGTGCCACTGCACGCCAACCTGGGCAACAGAGTGAGACCCTGTCTCAAAAAAAAAAAAAAATTTAAAAAGTTGAAAAAGAAAAACAATGCATGAAACCAAACACATAAGATAGGCACATTCTACTGTATGTAAATTACACATCAACAAAATGGATTTTTCAAAAATCACTGTTTCTGGGATTTTATTAGATAGCATTTGGTACAAAATTGAGGTCAGTAGAGCTCAGTTTTACTGGTAGAAATCAGAGGAAGTTAAAGGATTTTATGTTTTAGAAGAGAATTAAGGGGCATATTGCCTTTTCCTGCTACTGAACCAAGAGTTTTCAAACTGGGTCCCTAGGGAACCCTAGAGGTTCCATGCCTACCCTGCTTTCTCCTCAATCTGTCATCACAGCTGCCCACTCCTTTTGTGTCGTTCAAAAGGTTTTACCCGAAGAGTTCTGAGAACAAAGGGTTTGAAAATCAGAGCTCTCAAAAAATGATTTTTCTTTTTCTTCTTTTTTTTTGAGACGGGATCTTGCTTTGTTGTCCAGGCTGGAGTGCAGTGATGCCATCATAGCTCATTGCAGTCTCAGCCTTCCTGGGCTCAAGTGATCCTCACACCCCAGCCTCCTCAGTAGCTGGGACTACCAGCATGGACCACCACACCCAGCTAATTTTTTTCCATTGATTGATTGATTGATTGATTGAGACCAAGGCTCACTCTGTCGCCCAGGCTGGAGTGCAGTGGTGCAATCTCAGCTCACTGCAACCTCCACCTCCTGGGTTCAAGTGATTTTCCTGCCTCAGCCTCCCGAGTAGCTGGGATTACAGGTGCCCGCCACCACGCCCATCTAATTTTTGTATTTTTAGTAGAGACGGGGTTTCGCCATGTTGGCCAGGCTGGTCTCGAACTCCTGACCTCAGGTGATCTGCCCACCTTGGCCTCCCAAAGTGCTGGGATTACAGGCGTGAACCACTGCGCCCGGCTTTTTCCCTTTTATCTTTGTAGAGATGGGGTCTTGTTATGTTGTCCAGGCTGGTCTCAAGCTCCTGGCCTCAAGCGATCCTCCTGCCTCAGCCTCCCAAAGCACAAGGATGACAGGCGTGAGCCACTGCACCTGGCAATAACATGGTTTCTGTCTCTTTTCAAGCTACCCTTTGTCCAGGGTGTGTCAAAGAGTAGCTCAAGAAGAGACAGAAGTCATGTCTTCAAGGAGGCAGGATGAGCTGGGACTTGAGCATGGGGAAATATCTGGACAAAAACGGACTTGAAAGTTCCTGCTAGGACCAGAAGAGACAGGGAGCCTGTGGAATTCACTTTTCCCCTCTAGATCCCCTGTCCCACAAATTTGCTTTCAGTTCCTCTAAATACACACACTCCATTCTGCCTCAGGTCCTTGGAACATGCAGTCCTCTCCCTCCACCCAGAAGGCCCTCCCTAACTGCCTCTCCTGGTTAACCCTTCTGCATCCTCCACCCTCCCTTCAAACATCTTTTCCTCCCCCCAAAATACTTTCTGGATTCCCCCATGTGGGGTTGATTTTTAGGTCAGAGGTTCTCACGGAAAAGGGTTCCTCTCCTTGGGAGATGGAAGGGTCCTTGAGGCTGATGGCTGATTGAGCATTCTATTGGTGTTTTTTGTTGTTGTTTTTTTGTTTTCTTTTTTTTAGAGATGGGGTCTTGCTCTGTTGTCCAGGCTGGAGTGCAGTGGTGCGATCATAGCTCACTGCAGTCTCCAACTCCTGGACTCAAGCGGTACTTCTGTCTCAGCCTCCTGAGTAGCTGGGACTACAGGAAGCCACCACCATCCCTGCCTAATGTTTTCTTACGTTTTGTACAGAGGGAGGGTCTCACTGTGTTGGCCAGGCTGGTCTTGAACTCCTGGGCTCAAGTGATCCACCCACCTCGGTCTCCTAAAGCACTGGGATTACAGGTGTGAGCCATGGCGCCCGGACTTTTTTTTTTTTTTTTGAGATGGAGTTTTGCTTTTTGTTGCCCAGGCTGGAAAGCAATGGCACAACCTTGGCTCACCACAACCTCCGCCTCCCGGGTTCAAGCAATTCTCCTGCCTCAGCCTCCCGAGTAACTAGGATTACAGCTACCCACCTGGTGTGCCACCACGCCTGGCTAATTTTGTGTTTTTAGTAGAAAAGGGGTTTCTCCATGTTGGTCACGCTGGTCTCGAACTCCCGACCTCAGGTGATCCACCCGCCTCGGCCTCCCAAAAGGCTGGGATTACAAGCATGAGCCACCGCGCCTGGCCCATTGCCCGGCCTTTTTATTGCTGTTCTGTTGGTGTCTGCCTTTCCCTGACTGACAAGGGCCAACTCGTCCCGGGCAAGGGCAGCATCCCTCTGCTTCTTAGTGTATGCATGGTGTTTAACACAGCATATGGAACATAATAGTTGCTCAATAAATATTGCCTGCGCTTTGAACCTGTGTGCACCGTTGCATTTACACAGGGCTTTAATACACATGCATCATGTTGATTGAAATATAAATACATAGAGAAAATTGTGCAAATGAGAGTTACAGCTGAAAACTTTTACAAAATTCCCCCCTCACTAGGGGCCTTCCTGGTATGCTTTTATCACCACTATCTCTGATTCCCCAGGACTCTTCCATCGTCATTTCCGACAGCATAAATTAGTTTTGTTTGTATTTCATTTATTATTATTATCATTATTGTGAGACGGAGTCTCTCTCTGTTGCCCAGGCTGGAGTGCAGTAGCATGATTTCAGCTCACTGCAACCTCCACCTCTTGGTTCAAGCGATTCTCCTCCCTCAGCATCCCGAGTAGCTGGGATTACAGGCACCTGCCGCTACACCTGGCTAATTTTTGTATTTTTAGGTATTTTTTTTTTTTTTTGAGACGGAGTCTTGCTCTGTCGCCCAGGCTGGAGTGCAGTGGCGCCATCTCGGCTCACTGCAAGCTCCGCCTCCCGGGTTCACACCGTTCTCCTGCCTCAGCCTCCCGAGGAGCTGGGACTGCAGGTGCCTGCCACCACGCCCGGCTAATTTTTTTGGATTTTTAGTAGAGATGGGGTTTCACCGTGTTAGCCAGGATGGTCTTGATCTCCTGACCTTGTGATCCGCCTGCCTTGGCCTCCCAAAGTGCTGGGATTACAGGCAGGAGCCACCGCGCCCGGCCCCCTTTTTTTTTAATAAATGGATTTGTATGGTATGTTCTTTTTGGGGTCTGGCTTCTATGCTAACATATGTTCGTGAGAATCAGCCACATGGTTGGGTGTAGCTGTAATCCATGGACAGTTGTCTCATTCTCACTCATCACCACATACCAGGGGTACAAAAAAATGTTTTCTGTAACGAGTCAGATAGTAAACATTCTCAGCTTTGGGGGCCCTACTGTCCAACCACTCTACAGCTGCTGAGCTCTGCCATGGACATGTGATAGCAGTCACTGATGATATATTAAAAAATGGGGCCAGGTGCAGTGGCTCATGCCTATAGTCTCAGCACTCTGGGAGGCCAAGGCGGGCGGATCACTTGAGATCAGGAGATCGAAGCCAGCCTGGCTAACATGGCGAAATCCCATCTCTACTAAAAATACAAAAATTAGCCGGACATGGTGGCGCACCTGCCTATAATCCCAGCTACTCGGGAGGCTGAGGCAGGAGAATCGCTTTAACCCGGGAGGCAGAGGTTGCGGTGAGCCAAGGTCGTGCCACTGCACTCCAGCCTGGGTGACAAGAGCGAGTCTCCCTCTCAAAAAAAAGGGGGTAGCAAACTGTGTGTGTGTGTTTGTAGGGACAGGATCTCACTATGTTGCTCAGGCTGCCCTCAAACTCCTGGGCTCAAACAATCCTCCTGCTTTGGTCTCTCAAGTAGCTAGGATGACAGGTGCCTGCCACTGAGCTTGGCAATTTTTTTTTTTTTTGAGACAGAGTTTCGCTCTTGTTGCCCAGGCTGGAGTGCAAGGGCACCATCTTGACTCACTGCAACCTCCACCTCCCGGGTTCAAGCAATTCTCCTGCCTCGGCCTCTCAAGTAGCTGGGATTACAGTCGCGTGCCACCACACCCGGCTAATTTTGTATTGTAAGTAGTGATGGGGTTTCACCACATTGGCCAGGCTGGTCTTGAACTCCTGACCTCAGGTGATCCACCCGCCTTAGCCTCCCAAAGTGCTGTGATTACAGGCATGAGCCACCGCACCCAGCTGACAATGTTTTAAGAAAATTTTCTTTATGGACTTTTTATGAAAATTATATGAATTTGAATTTTATATGATTTCTATTTTCACTAAACATTACAAATATTTTTTGGCTAGGCACAGTGGCTCATGCCTGTAATCTCAGTGCTTTGGGAAGCTAAGGTGGCAGGATCTTTTGAGGCCAGGAGTTTGAGACCAGCCTGGGCAATAGAGTGAGACCCCACCTCTACAAAAAAATTAAAAAAATTAGTTAGGTGTGGTGACACATGCCGTAGTCCCACCTACTCAAGAGGCTGATGAGGGGGGGATTGCTTGAGCCCAGGAGTTTGAGGCTGCAGTGAGCTATGATTGCACCATTGCACTCCAGCGTGGAAAACAGAGCCAGACTGTGTCTTTTTTAAAAAAAAAACAACTTTTTTTTCCCTATGGTTTAAAAATGTGAAAATTGGCAGTGCCTCAAAAAGTTAAACATAGAATTACCATATGATCAGGCAGCACTACTCCTGGACATACGCCCAGAAGAATTGAAAGCAGGAGCTGCAAACAGATATTTGCACATCTATGTTCAGAGCAGCATTATTCACAATAGCCAAAAGGCAGAAGCAGGCCAGGCACAGTGGCTCACACCTGTAATCCCAGGACTTTGGGAGGCCGAGGCAGGCGGATCACTCCAGATCAGGAGTTTGAGACCAGCCTGGCCAACATGGCAAAACCCCATCTCTACTAAAAATACAAAAGAAAAAAAAATTAGCCAGGTGTGGTGGTGGCACATGCCTGTAATCCTGGCTACTCGGAGGCCGAGGCAGGATAATCACTTAAACCCAGGAGTCAGAGGTTGCAGTGAGCCAAGATCGTGCCACTTGCACTCCAGCCTGGGTGACAAGAGCGAAACTCTGTCTCAAAAAAACAAAAAACAAAAACCTTTTAGATCCGCCATCTGTGGTGGAGCCGCCACCAAAATGTAGATTTTCCTGAAAACCCTTACAGGGAAGACCACCACCCTCGAGGCTGAACCCTCAGATATGGTAGAAAATGTAAAGGCCAAGATCCAGGGTAAAGAAAGAATTCCTCCTGATCAGCAAAGACAAGCACTGGAAGATGGGCGTACTCTGTCTGACTACAACATTCAAAAGGAGTCTCCTCTTCATCTTGTATTGAGAATTCGTGGTGGTGCTAAGGAAAGGAAGAAGTCTTTTTTTTATTTTTTTTGAGATGGAGTCTCGCTCTGTAGCTCAGGCTGGAGTGCAGTGGTGCAATCTCGGCTCACTGCAACCTCTGCCTCCCGGGTCCCAGTTCAAGCAATTCTCCTGCCTCAGCCTCCCGAGTAGCTGGGATTACAGGCACGTGCCACCACGCCCAGCTAATTTTTGTATTTTTAGTAGAGACAGGATTTCACCATGTTGGCCAGGCTGGTCTTGAACTCCTGACCTCGTGATCCACCTGCCTCGGCCTCCCAAAGTGCTGGGATTACAGGCCTGAGCCACTGAGCCCGGCCAGAAGAAGAAGTCTTACCTGCAAGACGAATAAGCACAAGAGAAAGAAGGTGAAGCTGGCTGTCCTGAAATATTATAAGGTGGATGAGAATGGCAAAATTAGTCACCTTCGTCGAGGTTGCCCTTCTGATGAATGTGGTGCTGCAGTGTTTATGGCAAGCCACTTTGACAGACATTATTGTGGCAAATGTTGTCTGACTTACTGCTTCAACAAACCAGAAGACAAATAACTGTATGAATTAACAAAAGACGGCCAGGCGCAGTGGCTTACACCTGTAATCCCAGCACTTTGGGAGGCCGAGACGGGCGGATCACAAGGTCAGGAGATCGAGACCATCCTGGCTAACATGGTGAAACCCCGTCTCTACTAAAAATACAAAAAAATTAGCTGGGCATGGTGGCGGGCGCCTATAGTCCCAGCTACTCGGGAGGCTGAGGCAGGAGAATGGAGTGAACCCGGGAGGCGGAGCTTGCAGTGAGCCGAGATCGTGCCACTGCACTCCAGCCAGGGCAACAGAGTGAGACTCCATCTCAAAAAAGAAAGAAAACCCACAAAAGACGTGAACTAACAAAAACAAACAAACAAACAAAAAAACAAAACAAAAGCTGGAAGCAACCCAAGTGTCCATCGATGGATGAAGGAATAAACACAACGTGGTTCATCCACACAAGGGAATGTGATACAGCCATGGAAAGGAAAACAGTTCTGACTCAGGCTACAGCAGGGATGAACCTTGGGGATATTATGCTCAGTGAAATAAGCAGATACAAAAGGACAAACACTGTGTGATTCCACTCCTAGGAGGTCCCTAGAGTCATCAGATCCATAGAGGCAGAAAGCAAGATGGAGGGTGCCAGGGGCTGGGGAGAGGGATAGGGAGTGAGTGTTTCATGGGGACAGAGTTTCAGTTTGGAAAGAGGAGAAAGTTCTGGAGATGGACGGCAGTGGTGGCTACATAACAACATGAATGTGCTTATTGCCACAGAATTGTGCTCTGAAAAATGGTTAAAATAGGCTGGGCATGGTGGCTCACACCTGTAATCCCGGCACTTTGGGAGGCTGAGGCGGGTGGATCACTTGAGGTCAGGAATTTGAGACCAGCCTGGCCAACATGGTGAAACCCCATCTCTACTAAAAATACAAAAAATTAGCCGGGCATGGTGGTGCACGCCTGTAATCCCAGCTACTCGGGAGGCTGAGGCAGGAGAATTGCTTGAACCCAGGAGGTGGAGGTTGCAGTGAGCCAAGATTGAGCCACTGTACTCCAGCCTGAGCAACTGAGTGAGACTCTGAAACAAAGAAACAAACAAAAGCAATGGTTAAAATGGAACAAGATGGTGCATACCTGTAGCTTCAGCTACTGGGGAGTCCAAGGTGGGAGGATTACTTGAAGCCAGGAGTCTGACACTAGCTTGGGCAACATAGCAAGACCCCGTCTCAAAAAAAAAAAAAAAAAGGCCGGGCACGGTGGTTCACGCCTGTAATCCCAGCACTTTGGGAGGCCAAGGCGGGCAGATCACAAGGTCAGGGGATCGAGACCATCCTGGCTAACACGGTGAAACTCCATCTCTACTAAAAAAAAAAAAATACAAAAAATTAGCTGGGCGTGGTGGCAGGCGCCTGTAGTCCCAGCTACTTGGGAGGCTGAAGCAGGAGAATGGCGTGAACCCAGGAGGCGGAGCTTGTAGTGAGCCGAGATCGCGCCACTGCACTCCAGCCTGGGCGACAGAGCAAGATTCCGTCTCAAAAAAGAAAAAAGTAAGTTATAATGGTAAGTTGTATGTTATATGTATTTTACCACAAAAAGGCCCGTTGTACTGGAAACAAAGAACAAATAAAAATGTAATAACCATTCCAAGCTCATGGGTGGTCCAAGAAGAAACATGAGCTGGACCTTGGCCCATGAGCAATGGCTTTCCAACTTCTGTTGCAGGTGATGCCATTGATGGAATAAACCATGATTTTTCTTTCTTCTTTTTGAGATGGAGTCTTGCTATGGTGCCCAAGCTAGTCATCCAGGATGGAGTGCAGGGGCACGATCTCAGTGCACTGCAACCTCCACATCCCGGGTTCAAGTGATTCTCCCACCTCAGCCTCCCAAGTAGCTGGGATTACAGGCACACGCCACCACGCCCAGTTAATTTTTGTATGTCTAATGGAGACAGGGTTTCATCATGTTGGCCAGGTTGGTCTCAAGCTCCTGACCTCAAGTGATCCGCCCGCCTTGGCCTCCCAAAGTGCTGGGATTACAGGCGTGAGCCACCGGCCATAAACCATGATTTTATTTACCAGTTCTATTGCTCATGGGCATTTGGGTATGAATGTGGTATGTCATTCTCACCCAGAGACATAATTATTATTACTATTTTAGAGAAGTGGTCTTGCTCTGTTGCCCAGACTGGAGTGCAGTGCTGTGATCATAAGTCACTGTAGCTTCGAACTCCCGGGCTCAAGCAATTCTCTCACGTCAGCCTCCTTAGTAGCTGGGACTACAAGTGCTTGTCCGCACCATGCCTAGCAAGAGGCATTAATTTTGTCATGTTTGCATCAGCCACCCTTGCATGCAAAACTCTGCTTGTCTACCTGTTCCTCAGACCACAGCCCCTGGCATTATCCCTGGGGCACCACCTCCTGACCAGTCTCTGGACATGAAGACGGAGGCCCTGTTGGAAGTGGGAAGGCTCCCTTCCTCCTCCAGCCCTTACTGTCTGCTCAGGGGCTTCCTCTTGGCCCCGGATGTGGGACCGGAGGGTTGGGGGCCCAGGGACTTATTAGCCAAGCCAGGAAGCCCCACCCCAAGAGGCCTCAAAGAAAGAGCTGCGGTGCAGGAATTCGTGTGCCGGATTTGGTTAGCTGAGCCCACCGAGAGGGTAAGTGACAGCTGCTCCTGCGCTTGCCATGGCACCAGCGGGGAGGCTGGGGTCAAGGCTGAGCCTCCATCCCTGTCCCCCACATGGGGGGACAGGGGTCCAGGTCCAGGGGCAGATCCTACTCCCTCCATGGGCCGGATCTTCCCCACAGGGCAGGGCTGATCCAGCTGTGGGTCTCTTGGTTCCCTCTTTCAGCGCCTGCAGGATGAAAGCTCTCTGTCTCCTCCTCCTCCCTGTCCTGGGGCTGTTGGTGTCTAGCAAGACCCTGTGCTCCATGGAAGAAGCCATCAATGAGAGGATCCAGGAGGTCGCCGGCTCCCTAAGTGAGGACCCCCCACTTGGGCAAGCTCCCCAAGGGTCTCAGAGACCTCACTGATCCCTGGCACAGACCTGACTCCAACCCAGCCCCAGCGCTCACCAAATCTCATCCTCAAATCCAACCAGATCATAAATTCAACCCCAACTCCACTCCCAACCCCTCCGACTGTCCCCACCTTATCCACGGCTCCAAACCCAATCCCCGCTCTCACTCCAAACCTTCCCTTACTCCAAAACACCCAACTCAAGACAGGGTCCTGGAGGCCAGTGAGCTCCTATGCCCACAGGGACCTAGCTCCAAACCAACAGGGCTAGGGGAGGATGGGGGAGGGACCGTTTGGTCTCACAGCTCCCCCTGTCTCCTTTCCTCCTGCCCCCCAGTATTTAGGGCAATAAGCAGCATTGGCCTGGAGTGCCAGAGCGTCACCTCCAGGGGGGACCTGGCTACTTGCCCCCGAGGTGAGTGCAGGAGACTGTTGTCCAGGCGCCCATTTCTGTTCCAAGTCCCCTGGGAATGCCCCCTCCCCGCCACGTTCCCCGTGTCCAGCCTCTACTCCCCTAGGATCTTGGTCCTGACTCCCAGCCTTCTCCGCCCACCATCTGGACACTGGTGTCCACCCTCACTCCCTGCCTCCAGTGCCCATTCAGTGGTTGGAGCCTCCAGCCGTCCCCGTCCCCACCCCCGCCCCCCCAACCCCCCTCCGCGCTCCCCACCCCCCTCCCGCTCCCACCCTCAGCCTCCCAGCTCAGAGTCCACGCTCCTGTGTTCCGGGCTGCAGGCTTCGCCGTCACCGGCTGCACTTGTGGCTCCGCCTGTGGCTCGTGGGATGTGCGCGCCGAGACCACATGTCACTGCCAGTGCGCGGGCATGGACTGGACCGGAGCGCGCTGCTGTCGTGTGCAGCCCTGAGGTCGCGCGCAGCGCGTGCACAGCGCGGGCGGAGGCGGCTCCAGGTCCGGAGGGGTTGCGGGGGAGCTGGAAATAAACCTGGAGATGATGATGATGATGATGATGATGATGATGGAGCGGATCTGAGCCCTGCGTGGTTTCTTTAGTAGGCCCGGAGGGACTGATCTAGCGTCTCCAAGAGAGTGGGGCGCGTAGCTGCTGGAGGGGGCGGGGACACCGCGACTTTCTACTGCCCCATCGCCCTTCCTCCTATGGGGTCTCCAACTGCTTCCTCCGAAAATAGGGCCTGAACTTCCTCTAGTGACGTCCCCACCCAAGGCTCATGGCTGCCTTCAAGAGGTGACGTCTCATCTTTGAGGCTACCTTGACGCTCACCCTGGGGTCTCCGACCTCCCCAGGAAGTGGCTGGGTCCTTTTCCCCCAGTCCTCATAATGAGGCTTCATCGAGGACCTGGGTCAGTCTGGGCAGTGGACGGGACCCTCCAGGGCCCCAAGACTCCAGGAGCCCCAGGTCAGGGTGGAACCCTGAATCATGTCTCAGCCCAGAGCTGGAACCTGTACCCCTCACTTCCTACCTGCAAGGAGGAATCCCCAAGGCACAGGCAAAGTTGGGTTACGGAGAGTCAGGGACGCCTACCTGACGTCACGCATCATCACAAGCTCACGTTTTCACACAGGCAAGTGCAGTTGTGAGTAGTTAGTTACAACCAGATACACGCAGGGTGCTTACCCCTTCCTGGATACTAGATTATGAAAACACAGAGCAGGGGACTTGTCTGCTCCTAGATCCCCCCCAGGGTTTCGTTTCTTCCCTTCCCTTCCCCTCCCCTCCCCTCCCCTCCCCTCCCCTCCCCTCCTCTCCCCTCTTCTCTTTTCTTTCTTTCTTTCTTTTTTTTTTTTTGAGACAGGGTCTCGCTCTGTTGCCCAGGCTGGAGTGCAGTGGTGCAATCTCGGCTCACCGCAACCTCTGCCTCCTGGGTTCAAGCGATTCTCCTGCCTCAGCCTCCCACGTAGCTGGGACTACAGGCGCTCGCCACCATACCTGGCTAATTTTTGTATTTTTAGTAGAGAAGGAGTTTCACCATGTTGGCTAGGTTGGTCTTGAGCTCCTGGCCTCAAGCGATTCACCCGCCTCAGCCTCCCAAAGTGCTGGGATTACATGCATGAGCCACCGCGCCTGGCCTATTTTTTAATTTTTATTTTCGAGACAAGGTCTTACTCTGGCGCCCAGGCTGGAGTGCAGTGGCACAATCTCGGCTCACTGCAACCTCTGCCTCCTGGGTTCAAGTGATATTCCTGCCTTAGCCTCTCAAGTAGCTGAGATTACAGGTGCCCACCACCATGCCCAGCTAATTTGTATTTTTAGTAGAGAGCGGGTTTCACCATGTTGGCCAGGCTAGTCTCAAACTCCTGACCTCAGGTGATCCACCCACCTCGGCCTTCCAAAGTGCTGGGATTACAGGCATGAGCCACTGCACCCAGCGCCCCCAGGGTTTAGAATAGAGCATGGAACACAGTAGACGTTCAGTAAATGTCTGTTGATCAGTAGCCACATGTGCACTTAGATACAGCACCGACGTGCACATACTGCACATGCACACACAGCTATACACAGCCACGTGCACACACAGAGTACACAACCCACCTACCACGGCCACATGGAGACACCACATCCACAGACACACCCATGTGCCCCTAGACACTCTTGGACACAGAAAGGCACCACCCCCCCGGCCAATGCACGGAGAATCGCAGATTTGACTATGGTGGGCAGAGATGATGCAGGACACAAACACACACATGCTCCAGGCAGACTCTTGCATTTCTGACTCTAGTCCCCACTGCACCTGGATAAGTATCTGATACCCTAGTGCAGCGATCCCCAACCTTTTTGGCACCAGAGACTGTTTTCATGGAAGACAGTTGGTGTGTGTATGGGGTAGGGGGGGAGCGGGGATGGTTTCTGGGTGATTCAAGCGCATTACATTTATTATTCACTTTATTTTTATTATTATGACATTGTAATATAGAATAAAATAATTCTACAACTCACCATAATGTGGAATCGGTGGGAGCCCTGAGCTTGTGTTCCTGCAACTAGATGGTCCCAGCTGAGGGTGATGGGAGACAGCGACAGATTACCAGGCATTTGATTCTTATAAGAAGTGAGAAAGCTACATCCCTCAAATGCGCAGTTCACGATGGGATTCTTGCTCCTATGAGAATCTAATGCTGCTGCTGGTCTGACAGGAGGTGGAGCTCAGGTGGTAATGCGAATGATGGGGAGTGGCTGTAAATACAGATGAAGCTTCTCTCGCTCGCCCACCACTCACCTCCTGCTGTGAGGCCCCGTTCCCAATGCCCGGTGGCTGGGGACCCCTGTTCTAGTGGGCAAAAGCCTCAGCATCCCCCGCCTCAGCTCCCTGGGGCACAAATTCAGGTGATTCGGGGTCCAGTTCTACAGGAAGCCTGACCCAGGAGTCTTGCCATCCAGTCCCTGATTTCCCACCACAGACTTCAGAATTCCTAGCACCTAGTCTTGAAAGGGATCCCAGACTCAAATGTCACACCTGGACAACAGATGATAGAGTGAGGTTCTGGTTTGCAGGATGTTTTGGACTCTCCTCCCACTGCCACCCACCCCCTGTGATGGTCCCAGCCCCCTGTCTGATGCTGGTGGCCATGAGCAGAGATTACAACCACTTCTGGTGCCAGGGACCCCACCCAGACTCCAGCCCAGGGATTCCCTTCCCAGACCCTCTCTCCTGACTCCACAGTGGTCATGGGGGTAGGGCAGGACCACTGAGTTAGAAGCATGGCCAGGGCCAGAGAGGGTGAGTCTAGTGCCTTGTGTGTGTCCCTGCCCCTTACTGCTGTGTGTGTGTGTTGGGGGCGGGGATGCTCCATTGTCCCCAGAACTATTTGTCTCCACCCCCATCCAATAGTCCTGTATCTGAAACCTAAGAGGGCTCTCTTCAGGTTCCTCAATTCCAACATAGACATTCTCCTGCCCCAGAGTGCAGACTTGGAGGTCATATCTGCCCAGGTGATGTGGACAGGCAAACCCCCTATTAGAGCCTCAATTTCCTCAATAGCTAATGCCTAGATCCCCTGTGGTAGGCAAGATATCCTCCTCCCTCCTCCCTCCTCCCTCCCTCCTTCCTCCTCCTCATCCTTCTCCTCCTCCTCCTTCTTCTTCTTCCTTTTTGAGATGGAGTCTCACTCTGTTGTCCAGGCTGGAGTGCAGTGGCACGATCTCAGCTCACTGCAACCTCCACCTCCAGGTTCAAGTGATTCTCCTGCTTCAGCCTCCTGAGTAGTTGGGATTGCAGGCGCCCACCACCACTCCTGGCTAATTTTTGTATTTTTAGTAGACACGGGGATTTCGCCATTTTGGCCAGGCTGGTCTCAAATTCCTGACCTTAAGTGATTCACCTGCCTCGGCCTTCCAAAGTGCTGGGATTACAGGCGTGGGCCACAGAGACCAGCCAAGGCAAGATTCTTCTGCTTGCAAGTACAACAGACCCCACTTCAAACTAGCTTGGGCAAAACTAAAAGGAAGTTTCTTGTTTGTGTAACTGACAAGCCCAGGGTTAGAACAACAGGTTCAGGTATGGCTTGGAACCAGGGTCTCAAATGATGTCTCCAGGACCCAGACTTCCTCTCGGGTCTGATTTTCTCAGCACTGCCTTTGCTCTCAAGTAAATTCTTCCCTGTCACAGCTCCCATTACATCCTCCCATTGTGGCAGCCCTAGTGAGGGCTGGAAAAAAAAGAGAATGCTTTTTCCCCCGTGGTTAAACCAATAAAAATCCCAGACCAGCGTTTCATTGGCTGGATCTTGCTCAAATGCCCGCCTCTCTGCCCAATCTTAGACTCTGGTTGGCTGGGTCTGGATCATTTGTCCACTGTAAACCAATCCCTAGCTTATGGTTTGCTGGATCTAGCACACATTTTCTTTCTTAAAAGAAAATTGAGAATGTTACCCTATGAAAGGGACGGGTGCTGGTCAGGCAGCTTTGCAGATGTTTCCCACATGACATGATTGCTTGTGGGCCTCTGGTTTAGCGTGACCTTTTTCTCAAAGGAAGTCCAGAGCCTGGAGCCGCGTCTCAGCCCCACCCAAGCCCGGGAAATGTGCAACGCTGTGGCTCCACCCCCTGTGCCTGTCCATCAAGGCAGAGCCCACATCCAATTGGTCCGTCTGCTCCATTAGAAGGCGGTCCTATAGCTCAGTAACTGACTTCTTTCTAAGACCAAATGGAGCAGCTGGCATGAAGTCATTATCAAATTGATCTTTCTTGGAGACACAGGATTTGGCAATATTTTAGGAAACAGAACTTTATCCTCACCAGATCTCGACGCTCATTTCTCAACATTCAAGTTGTCTGAAATTTAACCACATATTTTTAACCAAAACATCATCACTTTCTGCACATAAGACAGTCTTATACTTGTTTTTTCTTCTTTTCTTCTTCCTTCCTTCCTTCTTTCTTCTTTCTTCTTTTTTCTTTTTTTTTTTTTTTTTTTGACGGAGTTTTGCTCTTGTTGCCCAGGCTGGAGTGCAATGGCGCGATCTCGGCTCACTGCAACCTCCACCTCCCGGGTTCAAGTGATTCTCCTGTCTCAGCCTCCCGAGTGGCTGAGATTACAGGCGCCTGCCACCACGCCCAGTTAATTTTTGCATTTTTAGTAGAGACAGGGTTTTATCATATTGGTCAGGCTGGTGTCTCTAACTCCTGACCTCAGGTGATCCGCCCGCCTCAGACTCCCAAAGTGCTGTGATTACAGGCGTGAGCCACCACACCTGGCCAGAAAAAAATAAAAATAAAAATGTATGCCTGTAATCCCAGCACTTTGGGAGACCAAGGCTGGAGGATCAGTTGAACCCAGGAGATCAAGACCAGCCTGGACGGCATATTGAGACCCTCATCTCTACAAAAAATAAGAAAAATTAGACTGGGCCACGGTGGCTGATGCTTGTAATCCCAGCACTTTGGGAGGCCAAGGCGGGTAGATCACGTGAAGTCAGGAGTTCGAGACCAGCCTGACCAACATGGGGAAACCCCGTCTCTACTAAAAATACAAAATTAGCCGGGGGTGGTGGTGCATGCCTGTAATCCCAGCTACTTGGGAGGCTGAGGCAGGAGAATGACTTGAACCTGGGATGCGGAGGTTGCAGTGAGCTGAGATAGCGTCATTGCACTCCAGCCTGGGTGACAAGCACAAAACTCCATCTCAAAAAAGGAGAAAAATTAGCCAGGTGAAGTCGTGCCCACCTGTAATTTCAGCTACTCGGGAAGCCGAGGACGAAGGATTACTTGAGCCAGGGAGGTCAAAGCTGCAGTGAGCCATGATCACGCTGCTGCACCCCGGCCTGGGCAACAGAGTGAAACCCTGTCTCAAAAAAAAATTATTAAAAAACATTTAAAGAGACAGGGTCTTGCTATGTTGCTCACGCTGGTCTCAAACTCCTGGCCTCAAATGATCCTCCTACCTCAGCCTCCTGGGTAGCTGGGACTACAGAGCGAGCCACCATACCCAGCTACTTTGTGCCTTTTGTAACCCCAGTTTTCAAGATCAGATAAACACAAAGTGAACTAAGACACCTTCTAGACAGAGTGCGGGCATGTGAACGCATGCTTGTGTCTATTTTTCTGAGTGTCACAATGCAAATAGTATGCAAATGAGTTTGTGATGTGTGTCCGTGTGCAGACCTGTGTGTGTACATGTGTGAGAGAGAGTATCTGGGTAGATAAGCAGATGGATGGATGAGAATGAGAAACCTGGAGTTTCCAGGTGCAGAGGAAACTGTTCCTCCAGGGTTCTTTTTTGAGACAGAGTTTCCCTCTTGTCACCCATTCTGGAGTGCAATGGTGTGATCTCCGCTCACTGCAGCCTCCGCCTCCCAGGTTTAAGCGATTCTCCTGCCTCAGCCTCCTGAGTAGCTAGGATTACAGGCGCTCGCCACCACGCCCAGCTAATTTTTGTATTTTTAGTAGAGACGGGGTTTCACCATGTTAGCCAGGCTGGTTTCAAACTCCTGACCTCAGATGATCCACCCACCTCAGCCTCCCAGAGTGCTGGGATTACAGGCGTGAGCCACCGCACCCAGCCTCCTCCAGGGTTGTATAAAAGCAGGGGATTTGGGGAGGGAGGGAAGGATGTGGGTCTGTCCTCAGTCCCAGATGTGGGTGTGGCGTTCCAGTGGTTAGTTCCCGTTGCCTCACATCTGTGCTTTTCCTCCACGGGGACTTGTAGAAGTAGAAGAACTTCTTGGGGGTGGAGCTGAGGGGTGGAGCTGAGGCTGGAGGGAGGAAGGTGTGGGGGGACCCAGGGGTCCTGTCTCCAAGCCTGGTTGCTCTTACGCGAAAAGTTGGGACACTGAGGTGTCACAGCTTCTCTTTTGAAATGGAGAGGAGGTAGGAGGGTGAGGTCCATCCAGGTAGACACAGACACACACAGAGACCACAGCTTCCTGTAACATTTCCGAGTGTCGAATTCCATCTCCCGGTCTAGAGGTTTTTCTTCTTGGTCCTTCCTGAGACCTCTTGGCTCCCAAGAGCCTCTTGATCGGGGCAGGAATGAGGGTGCCCCAGGGTGCGAGAGTCGTGGATCCCTGAAAAGAGGAGGCTGCTCCCCCTCTTTCTTCCCCCCACCTCCAGATTTCCTCATCTGCCCACACCTTCCGGTGGGCGGGGACGTGTATGGACAAATTTGCGGGCTGGGGACCATGGAAGTGGAGGAAATCTACAAGCACCAGGAAGTCAAGATGCAAGCACCAGCCTTCAGGGACAAGAAACAGGGGGTCTCAGCCAAGAATCAAGGTTAGGGAACTCGAGGTGGAAGGGAGGGGTTAAGAAGGAGAGATTGGGGGGCCGGGGGCTTTTGCTCATGTCTGTAATCCTAGCACTTTGGGAGGCTGAGGCGGGAGGATTGCGTGAGCCCTGGAGGTGGAGACTGGCCTGGGCAACATAGGGAGACTCTGTCTGTAAAAAATAAAAATAAAAAAAGAAGGAGAGTTCAGATGGGAGAGGTAAGGGGTCAAAGGTGGGGGCCGGGGGCTCCTTCCCCTCCAAGATGTGTGGATGTGTGTGTGGATGTGTGTGTGGTGTGATCACTCAAACTCTCACACACCCGCTCCACTTAACCAAAAAGCAGATTTTAGCTTCTCACTCCTTATCTTTCACCCCCTACAATTTATTGAGTGCAAAGGGTTGGGTAAAACAAGATCCCGGATCCACTCTCCACACCACAGAGCTCTGAGCAGATCTCCAACCCCTCCCAGGTGCCCATGACCCAGACTATGAGAATATCACCTTGGCCTTCAAAAATCAGGACCATGCAAAGGGTGGTCATTCACGACCCACGAGCCAAGGTGAGCAGACACCCACCTGCTCACATCCCATCACCTTGGGAAGGGGCAGGTGGGCGGGCAACTGCAGGGCCCCCGGGGCTGCGTGGAAGGGAGGAAGCGATGGGGAAGGAAGAGGTGACAGCTGTTGACGTGCTAATGAGGTCTGTTGATGATGACAATGTTGGGGAATGCTGGAGAGGGGGTCTGTGATGGTGACGGTGTTAGATCGCTGAGGGTGGCTGGTGGTGGCAGTGTTGTTGACGATGATGACAAGCTGCATGACCACAGCTGCTGATGGTTTTGAGAGGAGCGAGGTGTCCATGGTGTTAGAGACAGTGAGGATGGTTTGAGTGGTGGTGCTGGCCCCTCAAGGTCACTTTGCTGCCTCTTTGCTCCAGTCCCAGCCCAGTGCAGGCCGCCCTCAGACTCCACCCAGGTCCCCTGCTGGTTGTACAGAGCCATCCTGAGCCTGTACATCCTCCTGGCCCTGGCCTTTGTCCTCTGCATCATCCTGTCAGCCTTCATCATGGTGAAGAGTGAGTACTTCTTGGGAGGAGGGTGCTGGGGGGCCTAGACTTTCTCCCTTGTCCTTCTCTCTCTCTCTCCCTGGGTGCTTCAAGGATTTTCCTGCCCCTCCTGAACAGATGCTGAGATGTCCAAGGAGCTGCTGGGCTTTAAAAGGGAGCTTTGGAATGGTGAGCGGAGGGTCTGAGGGAGACCCGTGGGGTCATGGTGGGGGTCTGGAGAGGGATGGATGCACAGACACCCCTGTTTCATGCCCTCAGTCTCAAACTCCGTACAAGCATGCGAAGAGAGACAGAAGAGAGGCTGGGATTCCGTTCAGCAGAGCATCACCATGGTCAGGAGCAAGATTGATAGATTAGAGACGACATTAGCAGGTGCCTGTGTAGTCTCGCCTTCTATGGGGGTTATTTGTCACCAATGCCCGGAGCTGAGCTGGGGGCAGGGGATTCAGGGGAGGAGAAAGCCGGGGTCCTACCCTCCCAAAGCTCAAGTTGTGGAGGGGCGATGGGTGTTACCATCTGGGTTGCTCTGTGGGTATTGAAAGGCTCCTGGGAACCCCAAATCCATGGGCTCTGCTGTACCCCAGGGTGGGTGTGGGGCAGGGGGGGTGCTTCCAAGGAAGGTGGGGGCTTTGTTTGAGGCTCCACCGCAGCTTGACTTATCTGTTCCCACCCAACCCTCCCCGCCCCCTAGGCATAAAAAACATTGACACAAAGGTACAGAAAATCTTGGAGGTGCTGCAGAAAATGCCACGTAAGTTGGCGCCCCGACAGGAGGTGGAGGAGGGTGGGTGGGGCTTCAGATTTAGCCCCAGCTCCTCTCCCAGGGGCGGGATCTGCCTCACTGTGGGTCTCTCCCCATCCCCAGAGTCCTCACCTCAATAAATGAGAGGACATTGTGGCAGCCAAAGCCACAACTTGGAAGATGGGGCTGCACCTGCCAACGAAGACGGGAAATGACCCCCCCCCCCCAGCCTAGTGTGAACCTGCCCCTCGTCCCACGTATAGAAAAACCTCGAGTCATGGTGAATGAGTGTCTCGGAGTTGCTCGTGTGTGTGTACACCTGCGTGCGTGTGTGTGCGTGTGTGCGCGTGTGTTCGTGTATGTGCGTGTGTGCGTGCGCGTGTGTGTGCATTTTGCAAAGGGTGGACATTTCAGTGTATCTCCCAGAAAGGTGATGAATGAATAGGACTGAGAGTCACAGTGAATGTGGCATGCATGCCTGTGTCATGTGACATATGTGAGTCTCGGCATGTCACGGTGGGTGGCTGTGTCTGAGCACCTCCAGCAGATGTCACTCTGAGTGTGGGTGTTGGTGACATGCATTGCACGGGCCTGTCTCCCTGTTTGTGTAAACATACTAGAGTATACTGCGGCGTGTTTTCTGTCTACCCATGTCATGGTGGGGGAGATTTATCTCCGTACATGTGGGTGTCGCCATGTGTGCCCTGTCACTATCTGTGGCTGGGTGAACGGCTGTGTCATTATGAGTGTGCCGAGTTATGCCACCCTGTGTGCTCAGGGCACATGCACACAGACATTTATCTCTGCACTCACATTTTGTGACTTATGAAGATAAATAAAGTCAAGGGAAAACAGCGTCGCTATGGGACCTGTTACTGGGGCAAGGGGAGGGGTTTTGGGACCTGGGGAGAGGGAGAGTCTGCACGTGACAATGACCCCGGGGCACCAGGGTGGGCGAGACTGAGTGCCCTGCGTGAGTACCTGTGCATCTGTGAATGAGTAACTCATTCCCTGTGTCTTCCCTGTGTCCCAGAGTGGGTGCCCCTGAGCATACAACATCTCCCTGAGTGTACCTGGGACCACGGATATATACAAGCCCTAAGCGTGTACCCACGTGTGTAATTGTGCCCGTGAGTGTATCTATGCCATTGAGCATGTATCCATGAGTGTACATGACCCTAAGGTACTATGTCCACCGCTCATGCATGCACTTGATTTGTTGTTGTTGTTGTTTGTTTTTGTTTTTTTGAGACAGGGTCTCGCTCTATCACCCAGGCTGGAGGGCAGTGGTACGATCATGACTCATTGCAGCCTCGACCTCCTGGGCTCAGGCGATCCTCTTGCCTCCGCCTCCCGAGTAGATGGGATTACAGGTTCACACCACCACACCTGGCTAATTTTTTTTAAAGAAGTGGGAGTCTAGCTATGTTGTCCAGGCTGGTCTCAAACTCCTGGCCTCAAGTGATTCTCCCACCTCCGCCTCCGAAAATGCTGGGGTTACAGGCGGGAGCCACCGCGGGCCACATGGATGCACTTGAGACAATTGAACCCATCCCCAAGGACATAGGAGTGCCTGGAAAAGCCAACAGGTGTGTCCATGTGCAAGGGTATACATTGGCCCATTGTCATACGTGCGCCCTGAGCAGGTGACTAGGCCTGCAAGCGTCCCCTCCAGCGTGGGCCACCCAGAGCCAGCGAGACCCTGGCCACGCGCGGAGCAGCCATCACGGCCGTGGGCCACGTCCCTGGGTCCGGCTCCGCGGACTCGCGCGCCCCCCTGCGGCCGCTCTCAGGCACCGCTGCGCGCGCCCCGCCCACACGCCTGGCCCGTCGAGCGCCTGCGCACGCAGCGCCTTTTACGGCGCCGTAAAGCAGCTCGGCCGAGCAGACTGCTGCGGTTCCTGGTGAGACCCTACCCACCCCCCTGCCCGCGCCGGGCCTCGTCCGCTCCCCGGCCCCTTCCCCGCGGGCGTGTGGGTCCCGGGCTGGGGTCTCGGCGTCCGCGATCCCGAGCCCGCTCGCTTCGGCCCCCCTCAGGAGGCTGCGAGGAGGGTGGGTTTCTCCCCAGTGTAGAGGTACGGGGCGAGGGTCGCGGGGCCCTGACCCTACGGCAGTTCAGCTCACTTCAGCCCCCATCGCAGCCCGGTGGTGGGGTCTTAACGATCCCTCTCCCATCTCGCGCGCCCAGGGCCCTCGCCACGGACGGATCTGCATGCTGGGGCGGGGGCGGCCCGGAGCCCCTGGGACACCCCTCCCCGCTGGTTCTCCCACCTCCCACGCAGACCTCGTTGGGGTCGGCTTAGCATCCACACACCTCCCCATGCATGGTGGGGGCGGGTTCTCAGCTGCCCCTCCGATCCCGTCTCGGCGCCCGCTCCCCACCCCATTTCTCTTCAGGAGCCCCCTACCCCATCTCCCTCTCCCCGCACCGACAGCTGATGGGAGGACCACAGTTGCTCAGCATCCAGCTTCCTTTCTGGAGAGCACGGGGGTGGGAGGCTCCCAACACCTCTGGGCCCCTCCTCCCAGCCTTCAGAACCCAGGCCCATCCGCGTCTCAAAGGACGAAGGGTTCCTGCGTGACACATCGGAGCTGCCTGCCTGAGGGCTTGGGGTTGGGGGTTACCCGCCCCTCCTGCCTGGCCCCACGGATCCCCCCTGTTAAAGCCCCCAACCCTCCTGGCTTTTGGTCTTGACACGCTCCTACCCCACTCCCACCCTCCACCCCCTTTACTCTGGCTTTCCGCAGGGGGCCGGCAGGAAAGTTCCCGAGGGTCGTCTGTGCTGGAGCGCAGGGCGGGGCAGGAGCGACTGCCCATATCCCCTCGTGGTGCCTCATCTTTGTCACCTCCCTGCCCTAGATCTGACGCCCCTCCCCCCATACACTAGTTTTCTAGTTACTCCTGTAGGTGGCGGAGCGGGCAGGAAGGCGCTTTCGCAATTGAACCGTCTGCATGCCCGAGGGTTGGGTGGTTTCGGCCTCCTCTTCTGTTCCCCCTCGTGTCTCTCCTCCCACCTTGTCCCCACTCCCGCTAGCCCGCTGCCTGCCGAGGGTATAAGACTCCCCCCTCCCTTGATTTATCTGGTTACGTGTAATCGAGGCGTGTTTTACGCGCATCTCTTTGCAAGTGGGAAGTCGGCACTGGAGCACACAACAGTGGCATGGGTCGAGGGTGTCCCAGGGCCCCTCGCGGTTCTCCCTCCTTTCCTCCCGGCCTGCTCCCCTTCCCATTGCCCCTGACACCTGCACTTCCTGGTCTCCCCGCAGGGTGGCGGCGGCATGGAGGCGCGCTTCACGCGCGGGAAGTCGGCGCTGCTGGAGCGCGCGCTGGCGCGGCCGCGCACCGAGGTGAGCCTGAGCGCCTTCGCACTGCTGTTCTCCGAGCTGGTACAGCACTGCCAGAGCCGCGTCTTCTCCGTGGCCGAGCTGCAGTCGCGCCTGGCCGCGCTGGGCCGCCAGGTGGGCGCGCGCGTGCTGGATGCGCTGGTGGCGCGCGAAAAGGGTGCCCGGCGTGAGACCAAGGTGCTAGGCGCGTTGCTCTTCGTCAAGGGCGCCGTGTGGAAGGCGCTCTTCGGCAAGGAGGCGGACAAGCTGGAGCAGGCCAACGATGACGCGCGCACCTTCTACATCATCGAGCGCGAGCCGCTCATCAACACCTACATCTCCGTGCCCAAGGAGAACAGCACGCTCAACTGCGCCAGCTTCACGGCGGGCATCGTGGAGGCGGTGCTCACACACAGCGGCTTCCCTGCCAAGGTCACGGCGCACTGGCACAAGGGCACCACGCTCATGATCAAGTTCGAGGAGGCAGTCATCGCTCGAGACCGGGCCCTGGAGGGCCGCTGACCCTGCCGGAGATAAAGGATACAGAGAGCCCCTCCCCACGTGTGTCTTGTGTCTTGTGTGGCGGCCTTAGATCCACTCAGTACCTTGAGCCACAGCCCTGCCCCAGGCTGGGGAGGGAGGCCAGGTCCGAATGTGTTTACAGTAGAGTGGGGGCGGGTCTGGCCATAGGGTTGGGGGGTTGAGTGAGACCAGGAGTGGTGGGGAGAAATAAACCCGGCAAAAGGAGTTGGTGGGAAATGCTGGCAGGTTCTGGAATCACGGTTGGAGGCTGTCTGCAGGCTGGAGGGGGCATGGGGTCCTGGGAGACGCATCAGGCTGAGACAGACGCCTTTAGACTGGGGGTGGGCAAACTGCGCAAAGTGCCAGATGGGCAATATTTTATGCCATGTGGTCTTTATTATTATTTTTTTTATTTGTTGAGATAGAGTCTTGCTCTGTCGCCCAGGCTGGAGTGCAGTGGCACCATCTCACCTCACTGCAAACCTCCACCTTGGGTTCACGTGATTCTCCTGCCTCAGCTTCCCAAGTAGCTGGGATTACAGGTGCCTCCCACCACACCCGGCTAATTTTTGTATTTTTAGTAGAGATGGGGTTTCACCATGTTGGTCAGGCTGGTCTCGAACTCCTCATCTCAGGTGATCCGCCCACTTCAGCCTCCCAAAGTGCTGGGATTACAGGCGTGAGCCACTGCTGTGCCGCCATGTGCTCTTGCCCCATTACTCCGCTGATGTACTGAATGCAACCACAGACAACATGTAAAGGAGTGGGTGTCACCGTGTGCCTAGAAAACAGGCAGAGGGAGATTGTTTGCCTTCTTCCCTCATTTATTATATTTTTCAGAGACAGGGTTTTGTTCTGTCGCCCAGGCTGGAGTGCAGTGGCAGCATCTCGGCTTCGGCTCACTGCAAGCTCCGCCTCCCGGGTTCATGTCATTCTCCTGCCCCAGCCTCCCGAGTAGCTGGAACTACAGGTGCCCACCACCACACCTGGCTAATTTTTCGTATTTTTAGTAGAGACGGGGTTTCACCATGTTAGCCAGGATGGTCTCGATCTCCTCACCTCGTGATCTGCCCACCTCGGCTTCCCAAAGTGCTGGGATTACAGGCGTGAGCCATGGCGCCCAGCCATGCCCAGCTAATTTTTAAAAAATTTTTGTAGAGATGGGGGCTCTTATTAGGTTGCCCAGGCTGGTCTCAAACTCTTGGCCTCAAGCAATCCTTCCACCTTGGCCTCCGTAAGTGCTGGGGTTACAGGCGTGAGCCAAATCAAAGTGTGTTCTGTAGATCAGCAGTAGCAGCATCAACTGGGAGTTGGTCCATAATGCAGTCTCAGGCCCACCCCAGAGCTGCTGAATCTGAGGGTGCATTTTAGCGAGGCCCCCAGGGGATTCCTGGGGACCTTAGATTGAGATGCAGGCTTTAGGGTATCAGAATCACCAGGAGGGGCCACGTGCGGTGGCTCACGCCTGTAATCCCAGCACTTTGGGAGGCTGAGGCAGGTGGATCACCTGAAGTCAGGAGTTCGAGACCAGCCTGGCTAACATGGCAAAACCCCGTCTCTACTAAAAATAGAAAACATTAGCCGGGTGTGGTGGCACATGCCTGTAATCCCAGCTACTTGGGAGGCTGAGGCAGGAGAATCGCTCCAACCCGGGAGGTGGAGGTTGCAGTGAGCCGAGATTGCACCATTGCACTCCAGCCTGGGCAACAAGAGCGAAACTCCATCTAAAAAACAAAAAGGTCAGGCGCGGTGGCTCACGCCTATAATCCCAGCACTTTGGGAGGCCGAGGCAGGCGGATCACGAGGTCAGGAGTTCGAGCCAGCCTGGCCAATATGGTGAAACCCTGTCTCTACTAAAAATACAAAAATTAGCTGGGCATGGAGGTGCATTCCTGTAGTCCCAGCTACCTAATTTTTTGTATTTTTAGTAGAGATGAGGTTTCACTGTGTTGGCCAGTCTGGTCAATACTTTAAAGTTAATTTTAAAGTCCAGGATGATACAAACACATTTCCCTTGTTAAAAAAATTTTAAAATAAGTGGGGTGCAGTGGTGCACACCTGGAGTCCCAGCTATTCAGGAGGCCGAGGCAGAAGGATCGCTTGAGGCCAGGGGTTGGTGTCCAGCCTGGGCAACATAGTGAGACCTTGTCTAAAAGAATTTGAAATAAGGCCAGGCGTGGCGACTTATGTCTGTAATCCCAGCACTTTGAGAGGCCGAGGTGGGCAGATCACTTGAGGCCGGAAGTTTGAGACCAACCTGGTCAACATGGCAAAACCCATCTTTACTAAAAATACAAAAATTAGCTGGGCGTGGTGGCAGGCACCTGTAATCCCAGCTACTTGGGAGGCTAAGGCAGGAGGATCACTTAAACCTGGGAGGCGGAGGTTGAAGTGAGCCAAGATCACACCACTGGCACTCCAGCCTGAGCAACAGAGTGAGACCCTGTCTTAAAAAAGAAAAAAAAAGTAATGTATTACACCTCAGGCAATTTTCCTTTCCCTTTTTGTTCACCACACTTGGTTCCTGATAACTCCTCCTCTCCCCCAAGGAAAGTTCTTCCAGATTTTTTGGGGGAACCATGATCCAATCTTCCCTGCTTCCTTTCCACCGCCCCCCAGAATGTGAACAGACAGGTCTGTTCAGAAAAGGAACTGCAGGGACTGTCAGCTGGGCTCCCCTCACTGGTTATGAGAAGGGCCAAAGGGGTCGGTGTCACCTCTAGATTTGTTTAGGATGCTCTGTTGGACTGCCTGGTGGACCAGGGCTGAGGGCTTGGTCAGGGCAGTCTCAGCCATCCTAGCAAGAGGCATTGAGCAGGGTGGGCTTCAGCACACTGGGGAGAAGGTGGCGTCTCTAGGATGAATGAAACCATTGAGCAACCACCACACATAGCCCCAGGGCTGATCCTGGAATAGCTGTTGGCTGTTGGAGGTGGAGGGAGGCGCCGGGAGAGGGCTTGGGCAGGATGATAGCCTGAATCTGGAATGAGGGGGAGGCGTCTAGGGGGCCAGCAGATGCACAGGTCTTGGGGTTTGGGGTCTGGAGTTCTGGAGGGAGGTCTGGGCGTCTGCACAGACACAGAAACCACAGTCCTGGATGGGGGACGGAGGGAGGGGAACATGGTGTCTGAGAAGCTGGATTTCAGAGCAAAATGCAGGACGCTTTGGGCTAAGCAGCCCCAGGCAGGTCCTCTGAGACCCTGGCGAGAGGGGCTTCCAGGGCCGGCCAGGGCAGGGGCCATTCTTCTGTCCAGAGGCGGGGCTGTGAGGGATGTCAGAGAAATCGGGAGGGAGGAAGAGGGGCTGCGGGAATTTGTAAGCTGGGAGTGCAGGGCCCAGGGTCTGTTCCCACGCCCCATCCCCACCGGCCACCGAGGGTGAGTTAGGGGGCTTGAGGAGAAGGGAAAACGTTTGAACAAGCTGTAGGGTTATGAGGCTGGGCCCGGGGTTGGGGCAAGGGAGGATGAAGAGAAAGAAGAGCCTGTGGTTCGGCAGCTTCTGATCACAGCAGCTCTAACTTACGGTGCTCTGGGCTGCAAGGAAGGTCTTCCCCTGGACCCTCCAGGTGGGTGGGTGAGAGGAAGAGGAGGAGGAGGAGCCAGGCACCAGCCCTTGGTGAGCTGGGCAAGCAGCATCAGCTCATTTCACAGGCAGGTTCCAAAAGAAGTCATGTGCCCATGGTCACACAGATTAATTATTATTATTATTATTATTTAGAGATGGAGTCTCACTCTGTCGCCCAGGCTGGAGTGCAGTGGTGCGATCTCAGATCTCAGCCTCCTGGGTTCAAGCAATTCTCCTGCTTCAGCCTCCTGAATAGTTGGGACTATAGGCATCCGCCACCACACCCAGCTAATTTTTGTATTTTTAGTGGAGACGGGGTTTCACCATGTTGGCCAGGCTGGTCTGGAACTCCTGACCTCAAGTGATCTGCCCGCCTTGGCCTCCCAAAGTGCTAGGATTACAGGCGTGAGCCACCGCACCTGGCTGGCTTTTTCTCTTTTCTTCTTCTTTTTTTTTGAGACAGGTTCTCACTGTCGCCCAGGCTGAGAGCAGGGGCACAATCCTCCCACCTCGGCCTCCCAAGCAGCTGGGACCAAGTTGCCCATCACTACACCTCTAGTTTTTGTATTTTTTGTAGAGATGGGGCCTCACTATGTTGCCCAGGCTGGCCTCAAACTCCTGAACTCAAGCAGTCCTCCCACCTCAGCCTCCCAAAGCGCTGGGATGACAGGCATGAGCCACTGTGCGCAGCTGGCTTTGGCCTTTTATCTGAGCTGGAGGAAACTTCTGGAAAGGGGGCAGTGAAGAGAGAGCCCCGGGCGGAGGTGACTGCTCCAGTCGAGGCAGTGGCAGAAGGGGTGAGCAGTGAGTGATTGTGAGCGCCGTTTGACAGCAGAGCCCACTGGCATTTCTTATGGTCTTGGACCTGGAGGTGTTGTCAGGGGAAAGGGAAGAGGTGCAATGACCCCAGTGTTGGCCTGAGCCACTGGTAGAGGAGTGTGGAGAGGGGACCCTGTGCTCCTGGCCTCCCTCCCGTGGCCTCCGGCATGGGTCGACCTTGGCCGAGCGTGAGGCTGGTGCCACCTCAGCCTCCCAGACCCTGAGTAGGGTTAACACCTCCAGACCCGAAATGGCCTCCGGTTGACCGGGCCCACTCCCCATCAGCCTGTCCAGCCAGCCAGCACTTACTGAGTGCCTTCTGTGTACTAAGCCCTGCTCTGGGTACTTCCATGAGTCAACTCACGCCCTCCCGGCCTCAGGGTGATCCACCGCCTTCCCCTACAGTATTCCAAGGGGCCATTGGACCTCAGAGGCTTCATGTCCTGCACATTCTCCGTGTCATAGAGCAGGAAAAAATAAAAACGGGAGATCGAATTCTACTTCAGTTGCTCCTCAATTTGTTTCTTTTTTCTTCTTTTTTTTTTTTTTGACATGCAATCTCACTCTGTTACCCAGGCTGGAGTGCAGTAGCACGATCCTGGCTCACTGCAACCTCTGCCTCCCAGGTTCAAGTGATTCTCCTGCCTCAGCCTCCCGAGTAGCTGGGATTATAGGCACATGCCACCGTGCCTGGCTAATTTTTGTATTTTTTTTTTAGTAGAGACGGGGTTTCACTATGTTGGCCAGGCTGGTCTCGAACTCCTGGTCTCAAGTGATCGGCTCAATTCAGCCTCCCAAAGTGCTGGGATTACAGGCATGAGCCACCACATCTGCTTGCTCCCAATTTTCTTTCTTTCTTTTTAAATTTATTTAGTTGGGGTCTCGCTCTGTCACAGTGGCGTGATCTCAGATCATTGCAACCTCCACCTCCCAGGTTCAAGCACTTCTCCTGCCTCAGCCTCCTGAGTAGCTAGGATTACGGGTGTGCACCACCACGCCCAGCGAATTTTTGTGTTTTTGTTTTTTTTTTTTTTTTGAGATGGAGTCTCGCTCTGTCGCCCAGGCTGGAGTGCAGTGGCGCAATCTCGGCTCACTGCAAGCTCCACCTCCCGGGTTCACGCCATTCTCCTGCCTCAGCCTCCCCAGCAGCTGGGACTACAGGCACACGCCGCCACGCCCGGCTAATTTTTTGTATTTTTAGTAGAGACGGAGTTTCACCGTGTTAGCCAGGATGGTCTCGATCTCCTGACCTTGTGATCCGCCTGCCTTGGCCTCCCAAAGTGCTGGGATTACAGGCGTGAGCCACCGTGCCCGGCTGAATTTTTGTATTTTTAATAGAGACGGGGTTTTGCCATGTTGGCCAGGCTGGTCTTGAACTCCTGACCTCAGATGATTCGCCTGCCTTGACTTCCCAAAGTGCTGGAATTACAGGCATGGGCCACCACACCCGGCCAAAGATCTGATGTCCCAACTTTCAAAGGTGGTCTCAGGCATCAGACTCTGGAATTCCCAGCTCCCATGTGCCACACCCAGAGACCAGACCCAGCCAGGCCTCCAAGAAGGGGACAAATGTGGGAGGCCATCACTGCCCCATTTTATTGATGCAGGCTGGACAGGAGGACTCACCACCTGAGCTGGGGATACTCAGGTCCTGGGGTGCTGAGGAGATGGGGCTGCATCTGGAGAGGGTGCTGTTGGGGTGTACTCTCATCTGGAGAGGGTGCTGTTGGGGTGTACTCTCATCTGGAGAGGGTGCTGTTGGGGTGTACTCTCATCTGGAGAGGGTGCTGTTGGGGGCACTCCCATCTGGAGAGGGTGCTGTTGGGGTGTACTCCTGGGAAGGCAGGGGCCATAGAGGAGCGGGAGATGTGTCAGCTGCCTCCGTTTGGGTGGCAGAAAATGTCACAGGGACCTTTCAGCCACAAAGAGGCTTTTAGGCCGTGGTTGGGGGTCTTCAGGGTCTTGCTCTGGGCCTGGCTGTATCCATGCTCAAGAGTGGAGAGGGGCAGAGGGGGTGGGCAGGCGGCCGTCAGGGTCTGGTCTTGAATCAGGTCCCATGGACTCCGCGGAACCTTCGCTGGCTGGCGGCGTGCATGTGGCCAGCCGGTCGCACACCCAGGCGCCCAGCTTACGGTCGCAGAAGGCGTCGTTCCAGCGACCGGAGCCCCGCATCATCACGCAGTCCTCGCCCTGGCTCCGGCTGGTGGGCTCCCCTGGAGCCCAGTTGCTGGAGCAAAAGGCTTTGGGTCAGGGGATGGGGCGGGGAGAAGGAGCCCAGTTCCCGGCAGCCCTCTGAGTCTGCACCCTCCCTTCTCACCCCAGGTTCCCCATCCTGAGTCTGTGCCTGGGGACCGGTACCTCATTTTGGTGCCCCATACCCTGCAGCCCAAGACTCACCCTTATTTATTTGTTTGTTTGTTTATTTATTTATTTTGTTGAGACAGAATCACTCTGTCGCCCAGGCTGGAGTGCAGTGCGCGATCTCAGCTCACTGCAACCTCCGCCTCCTGGGTTCAAGTGATTCTCCCACCTCAGCCTCTCAAATAGCTGGGATTACAGGCGCCCGCCATCATGACTGGCTAATTTCTGTATTTTTAGTAGAGAGGGGTTTCGCCATGTTGACCAGGATGGTCTTAAACTCCTGGCAGGTGATCCACCCACCTCGGCCTCCTACAGCGCTGGGATGACAGGCACGAGCCACCCTGCCCGGCCAAGACTCACCCTTCTAATCTGTGCATGGAACTTCCTCCCTGAGCCCCTTCCTCTATATCCCCTCCTCCAGGTCAGAGAAGCCTTGGCCAGGTCCCCCAGCCCCCACTGGCGTCCTTCTCCCCTGCACCCTAGAGACCCTTATCTCTGAGCCCTCATCCGCTTTCCGATGCAGTTTATCTAGGGAGCTCCTCCCTCCACGGTATTTCCATCTCCTCCCCTGGATCCCAGAGGCCCCCTCCTCACCTGTAGTCCACGTGGCTCCCATCCACCCAGATAAACTCCCCCTTCAGGTCCAAGTTCCGAAGGCCAATCCAGGAGCCGGTGTGGCTGGCATGCTTGGTCAGGAAGTCCTGGGGGACAGGACAGGGCTGGAGGACTGGAGACATGTGCCCGGGGCCTTCCAGCCCACTTCGAGAGGTTGGGTAGAGTGGGGTGGGGGTCCCCCCACCCTCGCCATGCTGCCCACCACCTCTGCAGAGCCCCAGCCCACCTGCTCCTCCGGGCTGTGGATGCTGACCAGCTGCCCTTCCATGTCGTCACAGGCATACCGGGCGTGGACCCACTGCTTGGTGCCCTTGCCGAAGTAGTAGCACTTCCGTTGGAAATTGATCCACTTTTCAGGGCACGTGTTGCACACAAAGCCTGGGGTGGAGGAGAGGCTCGGGGGTGGGGCCAATGGAAGTGCCTTGGGCACCCTGGGCAGACTAGGTGGCAGCACCCCTCCTAGGGCCACTCCTGGGGTCCCGGCTAAAAGCAGACCCACCCCAGGGCCTAACAGACAGCCTCACGGGCTGTGTTCTCTGCTGGAGCTATGATGCTGACCAGATCCATAGTAGAAGCACCTCAGCCACCATGGCCACAAACACCTTCATGGTTAGCAGAGCACGGTGTCGACCATCAACACCTCAACTACCATCAGCATCTCCACAAACACCTCATGGCCAGAAGCACCACAAGCACCAACACTGCCACCACACATTCATGTCCAATATGGTCAACACCATGACCACAAACACACTCATGTCCAACAACACTTCAACCACCATCACCACAGACACCTCACGGCTAGAGGTCCCTCAACCACCAGCACCATGACCACAAATGCATTCACGTCCAACAACGCTTCAACCACCATTATCACCACAGACACCTCACAGCTAGAGGCCCCTCAACCATCAACACCATGACCACAAACACACTCATGTCCAATAATATTTCAACCATCGTCATAACCACAGACACCCCACAGGTAGAAGCCCCTCAACCGTCAACACCATGACCAGAAATGCATTCATGTCCAACAACACTTCAACCACCAGCATCATCGCTACAAGCACCACCATGGCCAGAAGCACTTCAGTTGTCATTATAATCACCTTAAATCCACCACGGCTTGGGAACTCTTCAGTCACCAAAGCCATGACCACATCACCGGCTCCACAGCCAGCAGCACCTCAGCCACAAATCCCATCATCACAAATGCTTCACAGCGAGCAGAGCATCAATCACCAACACCATCGCCATCGACAGCTCATAGAAGTGCCTCAATAGCCACCAACATCACCATAAATCCATCCATGGCTAGCAACACTTCAATCACCAACATTATCACCCACATCACCAGTTCCACAGCCAGCAGCACCTCAGCCACAAGCACCATCACCAACAGCACTTTCACCACCCTCATCACCTCAAACACCTCATGCCAGCAGCACTTCAACCACCAACACCAGCACCACAAATACCTCATGGCCAAAAATGCCACCAACACCATCATCACAAATGCCTTACAGGCAGCTGAATATCAGTCACCAACATCATCTCCACAAACAACTCCTCAACCACCATTACATCATCATAAATACACCCATGGCCAGCAACACCTCAGTCACCAACACCATGACTACATTGCCAGTTCCACAGCCAGCAACACTGCAACTGCAAACACTGTCACCACAAACACCTCCCAACTAGAAGCACCTCAACCACCAGCACTATCACCACAAATACATTCATGTCCAACAACACATCAACTACCAACACCATTGTCACACATTCACATTCACGTCCATCAACACATCAACCACCAACACCATCAGCACGAATACATTCACGTCCAACAACACATCAACTACCAACACCATCACCACGAGCACATTCATGTCCAACAACACATCAACTACCAACACCATTGTCATGAACACATTCACGTCCATCAACACATCAACCACCAACACCATCAGCACGAATACATTCACGTCCAACAACACATCAACTACCAACACCATCACCACGAGCACATTCATGTCCAACAACAAATCAACTACCAACACCACTGTCATGAACACATTCACGTCCATCAACACATCAACCACCAACACCATCAGCACGAATACATTCACGTCCAACAACACATCAACTACCAACACCATCACCACGAGCACATTCATGCCCAACAACACATCAACCACCAACACCTTTGCCACAAACACATTCATGTCTAACAACACATCAATTACCAACACCAGCGCCACGAACACATTCACGTCCATCAACACATCAACCACCAACACCATCAGCACGAGCACATTCACATCCAATAACACATCAACTACCAACACCAGCACCATGAACACATTCATGCCCAACAACACGTAAACCCCTAACACTGTCACCACAAACACCTTACAGCCAGCAGAACGCCAGTCACTAACACCATCGCCATCAGCACTTCGTGGTTAGCAACACCTCAGCTGACGCCAATGTCACCACAAACACCTCATGGCCAGAAGCAGCTCAACCACCAACACCGTTATTATAAATACATTCTTGACCATCAATGCTTCAACTGCTGACACCATTACCATAAATACATCCATGGCCAGCAATACTTCAATCACCAACACCATGACCAGCAGCACGTCAGCGGCCATCACTGTCACCACAAACACCTTCATATCCAATAACACTTCAACCACCATCATCACCACAAACACCTCATAGCCAACAGTGCCTCAGCCACCAACCCCATCATGACAAACACCTCATGGCCAGCAGCACTTCAACCACCAACAAACCCCTCCAAGGTCAGCAACACCTTCATCACCGACATCATTAACAGAGGTACCCACCACCAGCAGCAGCTTATCTCCACCACCCACACCACAGCCAACACCATCTTTACCAACCACACCAGCCGTGTCTTCATCACTGGCACCGACAGCAAAACCAGTGCTGTGGCCAGGTCCACCAGCGATTACTTTCCCCAAGCACCATCCCTACCAACAGCCCTGGTCATCATCACTGGCAGAACCCGCCAAACCAGCACTCCTAGCCAATGTCTGGGAAATTGTGATGATTTTCTTCCAGTGGGAGGCTTTGGTCAGGAGAGCCAATGGGATTGCAAGACTAGGTCCCACAATCCCTCAATATGGTCTCTTTCTCCCCTTCCCCCCACCGCAGTGAAACTCCCAGACATTGTTGCTATCGCCTCCCAGGTGGAAGGTTAAACCCACTCTTACTGGATCAAATCTTTCTTGCTTCAAAATAGATTTTCAGCAGTGGTGTGCACCTGTAATCCCAGCTACTTGGGAGGCTGAGGCAGGAGGATCGCTTGAGCCCAGGAGTTTGAGACCAGCCTGGGCAACATAGCAAAAACCCGCTTTAAGTAAGTAGGTTTTCCTATAGTGATATGCAGGGAAGGTTCCACTACACGTGGTCAGATGTTTTTTGTTTTGTTTTGTTTTGTTTTGAGACAGAGTCTTGCTCTGTCTCCCAGGCCAGAGTACAGTGGCGCTATCTCGGCTCACTGCAACCTGCACCTCCCGGGTTCAAGCAATTCTCCTGCCTTAGCCTCCCAAGTAGCTGGGATTACAGGCGTGCACCACCATGCCCAGCTAATTTTTATATTTTTAGTAGAGACGGGGTTTCACCATGTTGGTCAGGCTGGTCTCGATCTCCTGACCTCATGTGATCCACCTGCCTCGGCCTCCCAAAGTGCTGGGATTACAGGCATGAGCCACCATGCCCAGCCACAGATTTTTTTTTTTTTTTTTTTAAAGAGGCAGGGTCTCATCATCTTGCCCAGGCCAGTCTCGAACTCCTGGGCTCAAGTGATCCTCCTGCCTCGGCCTCCCAAAATGCTGGGATTACAGGCGTGAGCCACCACGCCCACCCTCACATGGTCAGATTTTTCTAAGGAGCTTAGGGTCTGCAGTAGCTTGAGATGAGTGTGCTTCTCACCCATGAAATGGTAACCAGTACTCAGCCCTCTGGAGGTGCAGCGTTAAAACAGGAAGAGGTGGCCAGGTGCAGTGGCTCATACTTGTAATCCTAGCGATTTGGGAGGCCAAGATGAGAGGATCACTTGACCCCAGGAGTTTGAGGCCGTAGTGAGCCATGATTGTGCCACTGCACTCCAGCCTTGGTGACAGAACCAGGCCCTGTCTCTGAACAACAAAAACAACAACGACAAAAACCCAAACCCCAAAACCAGGAAGAGGACATTTCTGAGCCCTCAAAGAAAACTTCAGGGGAAGGTGTCTTGGTTGTTTGTTACATAGTCACCCAGAGACAACCTCAGAGCCAGGCTCAGATCCCAGGCTGTGGGGCTGGATTTCGGGGAGACTTCAGGGACTGGGGAAGAATTAGGAGGTGACCTGTCAGAAGTTGTCATGGTCCAGAGTGCTCTTCCCCTGTGCCTCTCCCTGAGGGACCACACTGAGGTTTCTGGCTGGGATTCCCAAAGCCACTTCACATCCCAGGGGATGGGACTCCATCACACCAAGCACAGAAACTTCCTCTTCTCTGCCCCAGTTAGGGCAGCTGGGGCTTCCCAGAGGTCAAAGACCAAAAATCAAGGGTGGGGGCATTAGCTGGCGGAACGGCAGGGCTGTAAAACCCCAGTTCCTACCGTACAGTAATTTTTTTTTTCTTCAGAGGCAAGGTCCCACTCTGTTGCCCAGGCTGGAGTGCAGTGGCTCAATCCTAGCTCACCGCAGCCTCAAACTCCTGGGCTCAGGTGATCCTCCCACCTCAGCCTCCGGAGTAGATGAGACTACAGGTACACATCACCACATCTGGCTAATTTTTTCATGTTTTTGTTGAGGCAGGATCTTGCTGTGTTGCCTAGGCTGGTCTCAAACTCCTGGACTCAAGTGATCCTCCTGCCTCGGCCTCCCAAAGTGCTGGGACTATAGGCGTGAGCCAGTGCACCTGGTCCCTACCCCACATTAAGGGTACAGTGACTGAATGTCTGCTCTCTCTGCAGCCTGCTAGCCTCCTGAGGTCAACACTGCCTCCATTACTGCCACCCCTGGGAAAGAGGCCACCATCTCCATTGTCCCATCACTGCAGACATTACCCCCGTCTGGCTCCCTGCCCTGGTCAGACAATCTACCAGGAAGGCTATGTGTATGAGAATCCTACTAATAACTCCTCACTGGGCCACATCAGGCAGAGGACACCAGCAAGGAGAACCCAGCGAGGGTCAACACTGGACTGCTTTAACGCAGAAGAGGAAAAAAATTGTAGGAGTCTCCAAATCTGTGAAAGGACACAGTTGGAATCAGAAAGAAATTGCCAGGCAAGATGGCTCATGCCTGTAATCTCAGCATTTTGGGAGGCCGAGGCGAGAGGATTGCTGGAGCCCAGGAGTTCAGGACCAGCCTGGGCAACATAGCGAGATCCTGTCGCTACAAAAAATAAAAAAATTAGCTAGGGCCAGGTGCAATGACTTATGCCTGTAATCCCAGCACTTTGGGAGACTGAGGCGGAATGATCGCTGGAGTCCAGGAGTTCAAGACCAACCTGGGTAACAAAGTGAGACACTGTGGCTACAGGAAAATAAAAAATTAGCCTGGCGTGGTGGCACACACTCGTAGTCTCAGCTACTCTGGAAGCTGAGGTGGGAGGATCTCTTGAGCCCAGGAGTTGGAGGCTGCAGTAAGCTATGATTGCACCACTGCATTTCAGCCTGGGCAAAAGAGTAAGACTCCATCTCTCTCTTTTTTTTTTTTTTTTTTTTTTTTGAGACAGAGTCTCGCTCTGTTGCCCTGGAATGCAGTGGTGCGAAGACAGCATGATCTCGGCTCACTGCAACCTCTGCCTCCCGGGTTCAAGTGATTCTTGTGCCTCAGCCTCCCAAGTAGCTAGGATTACGTATGCCCGCCACCACACCCGGTTAATTTTTTAAAATTTTTATTGAGATGGAGTCTCGCTCTGTCGCCAGGCTGGAGTGCAGTGGCGTGATCTTGGCTCACTGCAACCTCCACCTCCCGGGTTCAAGCAATTGTCCTGTCTCAGCCTCCCGAGTAGCTGGGACTACAGGCACGCACCACTACACCCAGCTAATTTTTGTAGTTTTAGTAGAGATGGGGGTTTCATCATGTTGGTCAGACTGGTCTCGAACTCCTGACCTCACATAATCTATCCGCCTCGACCTCCCTAAGTGCTGGGATTACAAGCGTGAGCCACCGCGTCCAGCTAATTTTTGTATTTTTAGTGGAGACGGGGTTTCACCATGTTGGTCAGGCTGGTCTCGAACTCCTGACCTCAGGTGATCCACCCGCCTCGGCCTCTCAAAGTGCTGGGATTACAGGTGTGAGCCACCGCGCCTGGCCAAGACCCCTTCTCTTAAAAAATAAAATAAGCGGTGTTTTATGTATGCTCTGTGTGTCCTGCCCCATCAGAAACTTAGTCCTATTTCCGTCATCACGCACACCTCTGCCTCGCATCCAAGCACACTCCCCACCCTGCGCTTATATCTTTGTGTCCTCCCGATGACACTCGGGTCACACAAACGTATAGACATGCTGCCTCACGTCACACGTGCGTGCCGTCACATTTGCCAACACGCCCGAGCCCCAGGTGAGGTCACGCGTCGTCCTGAGCAGAGACTCACACACTCACCGCTGGACACCTGCAACTCCATCCTTAGCTTTGTCACCTCCTCCCGGAGTCTTTCCAGCAAATCTGAAGCTTCGTTCCTCTCGTTCAATTCTTGGGGAGTCAACAAGGGGCGGTGCTCAGAGACCAACTGGCAGGCCCCCTCCTTGTCCGTTCCCTCCCCCACTGCCCCATCCCCTCCCAAGCCTCACCCTGGGACTTGAAGCTGCTCAGATCTGCTTGAAGCCCGTTCAGGTTCCAGGACAGCTCCAAGTCTGGTGTGTGCAGGAGCGCAGGGCTGGTCTCAGGGAGGATGTGTACAGGCCGAGGGTGCCCCCCAAGCCTGGCCCCCCAGCCTCGTGGTTCCCCAGGGCTCTGAGACACTCCCTCCTTCCCACCCAATCTGGCTTCATAACCCCGATCCCAGTCTCTCACCCTGAGATTTCAATCTCTGCTGTTCAGCTCGAAGTTCCTCCAGTTCCTGTGAAATCTGCGTGGCTGTTTGCAGGGGAGGGGGCTTCATGGTAAGCAGGTCCTCATTGTCTCCCCCATCTACCCCCACCCATCCCTTGGTCTCTTTGCCTGGGTTCTTGGAACCACCTGCTCAGTTTGCAGTTCCCGGGTGTCGGGGGTGGGGCACAGTGAGTCTTAATGCTCTGGGTCCAGGAAGTCATCCAAGACCCCCTCGCTTTTTCCCCTGCAACCCCAACTCCAGGAGTCACTCACACTGGGATTTCTGCGCCATCTGGTCACCGTGGTGGCTTTCCAAGTTCTTGGAAACTTGAGAGACTGGAGCGGCGGGAGAGAAGAGATATCCCAGGAACCTCAAAGGCAGGTCCTTGGACCCCGCCTATGCCCCAGGCTCAGGGACCCTCTCACATAGTCACAACAGCTGCTGTTGCTGTTTGTTCATTTACTGGAGCAGGAGGAGTGTACTCAGGAAGGTATATGCAAGAATATAATGAACTACTGTGTACCTCTCCCTCACCCAGGGTTAACTATAAAAGCAGTAGGCGACTATCAGGGTACTTCACAAATCTTAGAGCTTGTTTCTGTCTCACGGCACTAAAAGTATGCCCATTTTACAGATGAGGAAATGGAGGCACAAAGCAGTTACAAAATCCTTACACTACAGATGCTTAAGGCTGCCAACTTACAATGGCTCAACTTACAATAGCTCGAGTTACAATGGCTCGACTTTACAATGGTCTGAAACCAATATGCGTTTAGTGGAAACCTTAACTCTCTTGCAATGCTGGGCAGTGGTAGGGAGCCAAAGCCTTCAGCCAGCCACACAGTTTTGACTTAAACTATTTTCAACGTACTTTGCGCTTATGGGGACATAACCCCATTGCAAGCGGAAGAGCATCTGTATTAGGATGCTATCAGGCACTTTTCCAAGCTTCCCTGGGTCCCCGCCTTCCCTAGGACAGGGAGCAACTTAGTTTGACCTTCAGTTCCTTAGCGAGGGGACACTGAGGCCCAGAGAGGAGCGGGATGAGTGCTGGGCATCCTAACCCTCACCCCCACCCCCTCCACCTTGACCCCTTCATACCGTTCCGGGCAGCCCTCTCTTCCAGCTGTTTTAGACTCTGTGTGGTGTCCCAGTCTGGGGAGGGGGAGAGAAGAGGAGTGGAGAGGGGGGATTGTCAGTGCCCCCACCTGCCTGCACCCCACCTCCCAGCTGGGGATGGAGGTCTTGGGTATAAGCCATGGAGGTGCTGAAAGTGTGGAGGACAGGGATGCTGGGTGTGGGGTGAGGGGCTCTGGAGGGTGGGGGATGGGAAAGGGCTGGCAGTGGCAAGATGGGAGGCAGGATGGGAAAATTGGGTTTTGAGAGGATGCGTTGGGCTCCCCCAGCTCTGAGATGGGGGTGAAGGAGGGAACACAGAAGGGCCCCATGAGTTGGGGGGACCACATGGAGCTGGGGGTGTCCTCACGCCACAGGAGAAGCAGAGTCAGCAGCCCAGCCCACAGAGCGGCGGTCACCAGCCCCAGCAGCACGATCTGAGTCCCACGCCTGCAACACCGCCTCCTGGGAAGCTCCTCGATCTCTGCCGGGGGTGGAGGGACTGACTATGGGTGCAGGGTGAAGCTGGATGCTGGCCCTGTCCGTCTCTCCATTACCCAGAGCCCCCGACAGCCTGGGAGCTTGTCCAGAGCCCACACTGAAGCAAAGGGTCTCAGTGGACCCCCAGCTCCATTTGCACAGCTTCCTTACCTGACTCAGGGCTGGGTCACTGACCACAGAGACAGATCTGGGACTAAGAGCTAAGACTCCCTCAGCCCCAACAACCAATGCCAGGCCCCCAGCTTCACTTCCAGAAGACTAGGTCCTGCTTTTTCCTTCCCCTCTGAGCCCCAACGCCCACCCTTACACCTCTGCACCTGTCCCCAACCTGGAGTCCCTTCCCTAAACCCAGGACACTGAGTCCCAGTTCTTCCCCAACATCGGAGCCACTCCCCAGCCACTTTCCCAGGTGTCATCCAACATCCAGACCTCCAAACCTCTCCCAGACCCCACCCAAAGGTCTATCTGGATGTCCCACCTCAAGCCCCTGGCCCTCTGCACTCACCCTGGCTTGGAGGATTCATTATGCTAAATTCTGCTTGTTCCAAGTTCCTGTTCTATTTGGCCTCTGACTCTATTGGGCTCCCCGCTCCCTAGCTGAAGCCGTTTTTTTTTTTTTTTCTTTTTCTTTTTTTGTCAGGAGGGTGTTGAATCAGAAAAAGGAGGGGCCCTCAATTTGCCACTCCTTCCTGGCTCTGTGCCAGGAAAGTCAGTCCGGCCTCACCTCCTTACTCACACCAGTCCCTTTCTTAGAAATTCACCCTCTTTCCCAGAGAGGGACTGGGGAGCCCCGCTTCTCTTCTGGGTGAAAGGCAGTAGCTAAGGGTCATTGCTTCTGCCAACGTTAGAACCAGAGAGTCCTCCTACCTGAATATTGACCTTCCTCCATGGCGGTCCTGCTTGGATTCTCCCGATGATGGAGCACTCACTCCCTGACAACGCAGTCCACTCAGCGGGCACAATCACAGCTCTGGCTGATTTGGGATTTAATGATGGTTAGGGTGAGCCATCAAATCCTAGTTACCAGCACAGGATAGCATCTGGGACTTGGTGGCACTCAGGGGCCATTTGCTGATTTTGTTTAGTCTACAATCTGGACTCACTAGCGTGGTTAGCAGGGAGACACAGCTGGTGTGGAGAGATAGCAGCCTGAGATCAGAAGTGGGGCACTCCAGAGCCCATCACACTTGAGCTACACAGCAGGTGCACCCATGAGATCTTGACAAATGGCTTAATTAACCTGGAAACTTCTTTCCTCATTCGTAAAATGATGATACCAAGAACACCTATACTGTTGGTTGGTGATCTGTGCTAAAAATATCACCAGCGTTTATTATAATTGCCTTGCCTGTGTGACCTCAGCCAAGGATTCAACCATTCTCAGCCTCAGTTTTCCCCTCTGTAAAATGGGCTGATGACAGCACCCAACTCATGAGGCCAAGATAGGATCCAATGAGATCACAGCATACCTGAGGTTTTTGGTGCCGGGCTGCGCACAGTGGGTCTTCGGATTCTAAACATTTATGAAACATCTACTCTGTGCCACGTCCCACTGAGAAATGCTAAGAGCCCATAACCCAGGCCTCAGCCTTCTCCTCTGCCAATGTCCCCAGGGCATCTGTAAAGTGCTCTGACTTTATTTATTTATTTATTTATTTATTGAAATGGAGTCTCGCTCTGTTGCCCAGGCTGGAGTGCAGGGGCACGATCTCGGCTCACTGCCACCTCCACCTCCTGGGTTCAAGCGATTCTCCCGCCTCAGCCTCCCGAGTAGCTGGGACTATAGGCACGTGCCACCATGACCAGATAATTTTTGTATTTTTAGTAGAGACGGGTTTTCACTATGTTGGCCAGGCTAGTCTCAAACTCCTGACCTCATGATCCGCCCGCCTCGGCCTCCCAAAGTGCTGGGATTACAGGCGTGAGCCACTGTGCATGGCCTATTTTTTTATTTTTTGAGATGGAGTCTCGCTCTGTCACCCAGGCTAGAGTGCAATGGCACCATCTTGGCTCACTGCAACCTCCACCTCCCGGGTTCAAGCGATTCTCCTGTCTTAGCCTCCCAAGTAGCTGGGACTACAGGCACCCACCACCACACCTGGCTAATTTTTGTATTTTAGTAGAGACAGGGTTTCACCATATTGATCAGGCTGGTCTCGAACTCCTGACCACAGGTGATCTGCCCTCCTCAGCCTCCCAAAGTGCTAGGATTACAGGCGTGAGCCACTGCGCCCGACCAAGTCCTCTGACTTTAAAGCATCTACTATGTGCTGAGGAGCATGGGACTTGGGGTCCTTCAGGCCTGGAGGTCACGGGCTACCTTCTTTCGCTGCTTGACTATAGGTAAGTCCCTTCTCTCGGAGCCTCAGGGAGGTGGGGTGTGGCGCGGCCAGGCTCTGATTAGCGGCAGCTCAAGCTGGCCCTTTTGACATTGTGAGAGGAACCCAGAGACCATCCTGGGACTGGAACTGTCCAGGGAGGCAGCTGGACAGACCTGAGTCCGAGTCCTGGCTTCTTCCTGGATGAGCAGCTCAGTTTGCTCATCTGTAAATTGGGAGTATTCAAAGCACCAGCACACAGTAGGTGCTCAGTAAACCTACTGGCAGGATGCTGGGGGACTGTCCTCATTCTGTGGGGCCTCTCTCAGTGGAACTGAGGTTCCAAGAGGGTAAGTCATTTGTCCCCATCACGCAGTGGTGGGACTGGAACTCAAACCCGGGACCCTTGAGCTGGGAGCCCATTTGCTCAATCATCTGGAGACATAATCTCATGGTGGGGTGTCTACTGGTAAGTGCTGGGTGGCAGGATCCCAACTCCAGGCCGTCCTTCTAACCCAAGAGGTCCTGCCTCTGCCTAGAGTCTTCCATGGCTCCCCAGGGCCCTCTATGATCGGCCCAGCGCACTCACCAAGCTCATCTCAGACCAGATGGCCTGCTTTCACTTCCCCAAATCAGGGACTCGAATGCCTCGAGATTCTGTCCACACTGCGGCCCCCACCCCCGCCCCCTCACCACCCACCACCTCCCTTCTCTGGTTGTGACCTCCTGCTGGTCATCCCTTGAGGCTCAGCCCAAGGTCGTTTCTTCCAAGGGCGCTTTGATCTCCACTTCCCATGGCCAACCCCCAACACACCAGATACGTACTCACTTAGTGGAGTTTGGAGCCTGTGTCTGTCCTCCTAGTGTGTTGGGGTCGACCAGAGCGATTGGCAGGGACCGTCAGAGACAGAGGTTTAAGCAGGAAGAGAGACACTTTCTTCTGAAAGTAGAGCCACTGACAGCTTCTATTTTCATAGACCTAAATATGGGCTTGCCACCCGGATAACATTACACGCATGGCCTCTCCTGGTGCTCCCCACACCCGGGTGAAGTCCGTGTTATTATTATCTCCATTTCTCAGGTAAGAGAATTGGGTGAGAACTAGAGATGTTAAGCAGCAAGTTCCCACAGGGCTGAAGGAGGTGAGTGGTAGCGTCAAGATGTGAACCACTGTTACTGCACACTGAATCATACCACTATGGCCGATCACAGAGGGCCCTGGGGAGCCACGGAAGGCTCTAGGCAGAGGCAGGGCCTCTTGGGTTAGAAGGACGGCCTGGAGTTGGGATCCTGCCACCCGGCACTTACCAGCAGACACCCCACCATGAGATTATGTCTCTTGATGATTGAGCAAATAGGCTCCCAGGTCAAATGTCCCAGGTTTGAGTCCCAGCAAGAAAAAAGGGAAGAGGAGAGAGAGGCAGAGGAAGGGGAAAAAAAAGACAGAAGGAAGGAGAGGGAGAAGGAGGAGTAGGAGGGAAGGAGGGAAGCGGGGGGAAAGAAAGATACGTGAGATAATATTCAGGTCAAATATGGACAGTTTTGGCTGGGCACGGTGGCTCACGCCTGTAATCCCAGCACTTTGGGAGGCTGAGGTGGGAGGATCACTTAAGCCTGGGAGTTCAAGACCAGCCTGGACAACATAGCAAGCCGTTGTCTCTACAAAAACTATAAAAACTAGCAGGGCATGGTGGTGCATGCCTGTGATCCCAGCTACTGGGGAGGCAGAGGTGAGTGGATCACTTGAGCCCAGGAGTTCAAGATCAGCCTGGGCAACACAGTGAGATGAAAGAAAGAAAGAGAGAGAGAAAGAGAGAGAGAGAGACCGGGCACAGTGGCTCACGCCTGTAATCCCAGCACTTTGGGAGGCCGAGGCAGGTGGATCATCTGAGGTCAGGAGTTCAAGGCCAACATGGTGAAACCCTGTATCTACTGAAAATACAAAAAAAAAAAAAAAAAAAAAAAAATTAGCTGGGCATGGTGGTGGGCACCTGTAATCCTAGCTACTCGGGAGGCTGAGGCAGGAGAATCGCTTGAATCCGGGAGGCAGAGGTTGCGGTGAGCCGAGATCGCGCCATTGCATTCCAGCCTGGGCAACAAAAGCTAAACTCTGTCTCACAAAAAAAAAAAAGAAAAGAAAAAAGAAAGAAAAACAGAAAAGAAACACCAAACTCCATCCCAGCCCCATCCTGGAACTAAGACTTCATCCCCATGTCCTCACAACATGGCCCAGCTGGACTTATTCCCAAGCTTCCTCCTCCTTCTCCTCGTGTGTCCCCATTGGTGGGACAGTCCGTCCATCCACCCAGACACCCCGGCCCAGGTCCAGGCCTTGTCCAAGCACTTCCCGATCTTCCACCCCACCGCTCACCCAGCACCCGCGCCTGGCTCGTCTCAAAAAAATAACCTGCTTCTCCCCATCCCCACAGCTGCTCCCTCTTCCCCCTGGACCAGGTGACATCCCCCTCTTAGGGTTCCCCCTGCCTGGTTTGCCTTGTCCCTGGGACTGCCTCCTCCATGGCCTCCCCACTCTCATCCTGCCCCCATGACAGCCTTCCCTGGGGCTCTACCTCCTGTCTTGCCCCCCAAAACAGACCCTCCAGGGTCCTCACTCCCACCTGGCCACCACGGCAGACCCCCCCTTAGGATCCCCAACCCGACCTGCCCTCAAGACTAATCCCCCAGTGACCCCACCCTGGCTTGGCCTCAAATGCTGTCCCTATGTCCACTCAGCAGCCCCCAGCCACCTCTCCAATGCTCAGCGGCCAACTCTTTCCCTTCCTTTTTGATTTTTTTTCTTTTTTTGAGACAGAGTCTTGCTGTGTCATCCAGGCTGGAGTACAGTGGCATGATCTCAGCTCCCCATAACCTCTGCCTCCCCGGATTCAAGTGATTCTCCTGCCTCAGCCTCCCAAGTACCTGGGATTACAGGCACGCGCCACTACACCTGGCTAATTTTTTGTATTTGTAGTAGAGATGGGGTTTCACCAAGTTGACCAGGCTGGTCTTGAACTCCTGGTCTCAAGTGATCCACCCACGTCGGCTTCCCGAAGTGTTGGGATTACAGGCATGAGCCACCGCACCCGGACCCTCCCTCACTTCTTTACCATCTTGGTCCTCGGCCATTACCCCAGATCAAGGTGGAGGGGACATTTTGGGACCCAAAATGAACAGCCTCAGACCACCAGAGTCAGTCATTCACTCAACAGGCATGCACCAAGGGTCACTCGGTCCAGGGTGACAGACAAGGCAGCATGGTCCCAGCTGTTCTGGAGTGCAGGGTCCAGGGGACATTTCAGCCAGGCCCCTCCCTGACACAGTGGGAACGTCCAGCCCTAGTGGATGGCCCAGCCCAGCCCCCTCCTGGTTGGGAGGTGGGTTGTAGGGGCACAGGGGGGTGTCTTCTGGAGTGAGAGACATGGGAGGTAGCCCACCCAGGAGTGGGGATTTGGAGTTCCCCAGTTGAGAGTGGGGAGGGTGTTAAGGATCAGGGGACACATTTTGGGAAGGATGAGGAGGGTGGGCAAAGTGCCAAGGGGTCTTAGTATATAGAAGTCTAGGTGGCATAGTGGCTAGGGCTGCAGATGCCTGACCCACACTACCTGTGTTCAAATTCCTGGTTCTTCCATTGAAGTGCTGTGTGACCTTTGGCAAGTCACCTAACCTCTCTGTGCTTCACATAAGGCAGCATTGATCACCAAAGCATCTAATTCCTAGGGTGGTGGTGAAAATTAGATGTGTTAATATGCACACAAGTCACTAAGAACTGTGTCCGGCTGGGCGTGGTGGCTCATACCTGTCATCCCAACACTTTGGGAGGCTGAGGCGAGTAGATCACCTGAGGTCAGGAGTTTGAGACCAGCCTGGCCAACACAGTGAAACCCCGTCTCTACCGAAAAGTGCAAAAATTAGCCAGAAGTGGTTCCAGGTGCCTGTAATCCCAGCTACTCGGGAGGCTGAGGCAGGAGAATTGCTTGAACCTGGGAGGCGGAAGTTGCAGTGAGCTGAGATTGCGCCATTGCACTCCAGCCTGGGCGATCCCAAAAAACAAACAAACAAACAAATTCCTGTGCCCAGCAACCATTGCTACTAAATTAAACTATACAACAAAATTGTCCATATTTTTTTTTAGAGACAGGGTCTCGCTCTGTCTCCCAGGCTGGAGTGCAGTGGTGCGATCTCGGCTCACTGCAGCCTCAACCTCCTGAGGTTCAAGAGATCCTCCTACTTTCTCCTCCTGAGTAGCTGGGACCACAGGCACGCACCACCACGCCTGGTTAATTTTTTAAATTTTTGGTAGCGATGGGGTCTCACTATGTTGCCCAGGCTGGTCTCAAACTCCTGGGCTCAAGTGATCCTCCTGCCTCAGCCTCCCAAAGTGCTGGGATTACAGGCATGAGTCACTGTGCCCAGCTGGAATTTGGTGTTTCTGAGTTCTACAAGCCCAGGTGCCCCAGCCCAACCCCACCGGCCCCATCATGTCCTTCCCAGGGGTGAAAGCCCCCTGCCTGCTGGGTTCCTGCCAAGACTCAGCTCAAACACTAGGATGCTTTGGGGCCCCAAGGACCCAGTCACGGGACTGCCCCACCCGCTTCCCCTCTGCGGTATTAATACGCCTCTTGCTCACTTCGGGGGAAAAACAGAAAATTGTGCGGATGTGGGCCCCAGATCTGTGGGTGTCGGTTCTTCTTTCAGATTTGGGATCCTCTGCATGTTGGGGGAGGCCGCGTCTCGCTCCTCGTTTGACCTAGGTCAGAATTCAACAGGAAGGAGTTTAGGGTGTCCAGCAACAACAACCCTCAACCATCTCCAGCTGAGCTCTCATCCCAGCCCCGGCCCTGACCGTAACCCCAGCTCAACTACAACTTGATCCCCTCACCCCACGATGCTCTGATCCCAGCCCTAACCTCTGCTCTGCACAGGACGGAGGCACGTCCGCGGCTCTAATCACAGAACCCCCACACCTGGGACAGGGCCTGGCGCTGTGTCCCAACGAGATGGAGCCTGGCGACCCTGACTCTAACCCCATCCCGACACAGCCCTGGGCTTTCCTACCTGTTTAACCTCTCCTGGGGTTACGAAGGGGAGAAGGAAAGGGTGCAGGGGTGGGGAGGAAGGGCAGTAGGTGTGTCAAATCCAGGGGGGCTTCCAGGAGGAGGTGTGTTCAAAGCTGGGTCTCTCCCACCCTGCACTGTTGACTTTGGGACTGATGATTCCTCGCTGGGATGCTGTCCTGTGCATTGTTGGATGTTTAGAAGCATCTCTGGCCACTAGTCGCCGAAAGAGTCACCGTGGTTGAGAAGCGCTGCTTTGAAAACATGATTCCTAGATCACGCTTTATTTTGTTTTCATTGTGGCAAAATATACATAACATAAAATTTACCATCGTAGCCATTTCTAAGTGCACCATTCAGGAGCATGAAACACATTCACACTGTTGTGCAACCATTACCACCATCCGTCTCCGGAACTTTCTCATCTTCCCAAACTGAAACCGTGTCCCCATGAAACACTCACTCCCTATTTACCCAACTCCAGCCCCCATGAGAGCTCCCCTTAGGGTCCTCACCCCCACCAGACCTTCATGACAGCCTCCTTTAGGGTCTCCCTGAAACCCCTCCTCTGTGTCTTCCCTGAACGGCAACCACCTGCCCATATCTTCTCTCTGCCTACAACCATCCATGGCTCCCTTCTGCCCTGGGCCCAAAGCTCCAGCTTCCCATGTCCTGGAGTTCAAGGGTCCTGCCTGCTCAGGCCTGGCAGCTGGTCTCTCCAGCCACGCCCATACCTCTTCCTCCAAGACTCCACAGAGTGCCTTAACTTCACACAGTTCTGAAACACCAGGCTGTCTCCAAGCCTTCGCACGGGCAGCTGCTGCCTAAAGTGCTGAGCCAACCCACAGCACCAATTTGTATGGAAGCCTCCCTGCCACCCATAGTCCTAAGGCCCCCTCTTTTCCCAGCCTTGAGCTCCTGCACTGGATGGGCCCCTCCTGGGACTGGGGGCTCCCCAGGGGCAGGACCTATGCCCCACTCCTAGAAGGGCCAGGAGGGCGGCCCTGAATCACAGTCACATGCACCCCTTTCCCTCCGCTTCCGGACCCCCACTCAGGCAGAGAGCCAGTCAACAGGAAGAGGAAAGGGGTGTGTGGGATGAGAAGAGCCTGGATGTGCACTTTTGTCTTCCGGGAACCTCGGGATCTGGAGCCCAAACCTAGGCTGTTTTTTTGGTGTGGATTGTGGCAGTGGGGTGGGGAGAGCTTGGGGGCACTGGTATGTGTGGCTGGGAGTCCTCAGGCTAAGAGGGGACGCAGAGATGGGGTTGTCCACACCCTTCCCTCCAGAGGGCCCCCCAGAACTCCAGGAGGGGGGTCCTGGACCACTCATTGCCTCCCTGCCCCCTCCCCTCAAGGCCCCAGGATACTTCTAGGGACCAGAGAGCTGAGCCAGCAGGTCCTGAGGCTTCTGAGAGCAGCCCAGGCCCAGCCTGGGAGATTTGGGGATTTCTTTCCAAGAACGCCCTCAGAGACTCTGAAATCCTGGACTCCGGGCTCCACCCTCACAGACCCGGGGCTTCAACTTCCTGGAGACCCAGGAAGCCAGGCCCCCAGACCCCACCCTCAGGGACTCAGGCTCAGTTCCCTAAGGATCAGGAAGACAGGCCCCCAAACCCCATCTTCAGGAACTCAAATTCCCAGCCCTTCAGGGACCCAGGAGGTTGGGACTCCAGCCTCTCAATCCCTGAGAGACCAAAGCCTCCAGCCCCATAGGGACCCAGGAAGCCAGGCCCCAAGACCCCATCCTCAGGGACCCAGGCTTAGCCTCTTTTTTTTTTTTTTGAGATGGAGTCTCACTCTGTCGCCCAGGCTGGAGTGCAGTGGCGCGATCTCCGCTCACTGCAACCTCCACCTCCCAGGTTCAGGCGACTCTCCTGCCTTAGCCTCCCGAGTAGCTGGGATTACAGTCACCCACGACCACACCGAGCTAATTTTTGTATTTTTAGTAGAGATGGGGTTTCACCAAGTTGGCCAGGCTGGTCTTGAACTCCTGACCTCAGGTGATCCGCCCACCTCGACCTCCCAAAGTGCTGGGATTACAGGCGTGAGTGAGGCTTAATATCTTAAAGACCCAGGAATCCAGGCCTCCAGACCTCATCCTCAGGGACCCAGGCCCCCAGACCCCCTAGGGACTTTGGTGTGGGATCGTGTGTTTTTCTCCTCCGTCCCTGCTGATCTCATGCCGGTTTCTGGGTCTGCCAGGACAGTGGCGGGTGCTGCTGCTTTGCTGGACACACCTGGTCACTGCCACCACTGTGTAACCCCTGATGTGGGTAACTAAAGGCCATGGGTTCCCAGCCCAGCTGCACCCCTTTACCTGCTGTGTGACTTAATCCTCTCTGGGCCCCAGTTTCCTCATCTGTAAAATGGGGATAACCTCGTCTGTAAAATCTCTCACATAGGTTGCTGTGTGCGTAAAGCCTTCAGCCCAATGCCAGATATAGGGAGGCTCTAAAAATGGGAGCATTTTTAGTGCAATTTCCTGAAAAATATCTCTCACATAATTAAGCAGCTCCCAATCCGGCAGCCAGCAAGGCCCTGTGTGGCTGACACCTTCTCCTCTGTATTGCCCCCTCTGTATGCCCCTCCAGTGACAATGGCCTGCCTTTCTGTTTTATTTTTGGAGAGATGGTCTCACTCTGTTGCCCAGGCTGGAGTGCAGTGCAGTGGTATGATCACGGCTCACTGCATCCTTGACCTCCTGGGCTCAGGCGATCCTCCCACCTCAGCCTCCTGAGTAGCTTGGACCACAGGCACATGCCACCTGCCTAGCTAATTTTAAAATTATTTTGTAGGCCGGGTGTGGTGGTTCACGCCTGTAATCCCAGCACTTTTGGAGGCCGAGGTGGGCGGGTCACGAGGTCAGGAGATCGAGACCATCCCAGCCAACATGGTGAAACCCCATCTCCACTAAAAATACAAAAATTAGCTGGGCATGGTGACATATGCCTGTAATCCCAGCTACTCGGGAGGCTGAGGCAGGAGAATCACTTGAACCCAGGAGGCAGAGGTTGCAGTGAGCCGAGATCGTGCCACTGCACTCCAGCCTGGCAACAGAGCAAGATCTCCACCTCAAAAAAAAAAAAAATTGTTTTCTTGTAGAGACGAGGGTCTCGCTATGTTGCCCAGGCTGGTCCCCAGCTACCGGCCTTAAGCAATCCTCCTGCCTCGGCTTCCCAAAGCGTTGGGATTACAGGCATGAGCCCACATGTCCTGCTCTTCCTTCATCTTCACAGCCAGAAGCACAGCCTCTTCCAATCTCTCTCTGACTCTCATCCTCCTGCCTCCTCTTGTAAGGACTCTGTGATGACATTGGGCCACCTGGATAATCCAGAGTGATCTCCCATCTCAAGACCCTTAACGTAATTCCATCTGCAGAGCCCCATTTGCCATGTAAGGTAAACTGTTCACAGGTTCCCGGGATTAGAATGTGGACATCTTTGGGGAGGTGTTACTCAGCTGACCACTATACCCTAGGAGACAGATGTTGTTATTATTATTATTATTTGTTTTTGAGAGGAGTCTCGCTCTATTGCCCAGGCTGGAGTGCAGTGGCCTGATCTCGGCTCACTGCAGCCTCCGTGTCCCAGGTTCAAGCGATTCTCATGCCTCAGCCTTCACAGTAGCTGGGACTACAGGCATGCACCACCATGCCCGGCTAATTTTTGGTAGAGACGGGGTTTCCCTATGTTGGCCAGGCTGGTCTCGAACTCCTGGCCTCAAATAATCCACCCGCCTCAGCCTCCCAAAGTACTGGGGTTACAGGAGTGAGCCACCGTGCCCGGCCCAAACTCTGGGCTTTTTGTTGGCATCTGCTACATTCATCCTTTTGAGCTGTGTCTGACTCTGGGGACACGGGAAAGGTAAGAATCCTCATGGGGTTTGGGGGACAGGCCTGACGAGGAGACTCTGTCTGCCCCCGCTTCTTTGGAGAGCACCCTGGGGACTTCCCCACACTCCCCAGCCTTCCTAGGAAGAAGCCCTCGGGATCTGAGGGGGTTTCCTGGGATCAGGGGGAGAGGGGTGGGAGGCTGATAAGAACAGACTACTCTGTCTGAAAGACATGACTTTGGAAAGTGGGATCACCATGGAGCTGCTCTATCCAGGAAACCCTAGCTGGGCTCCAAGGTCACCAGCAATTTGCTGACCGAGCCCCAGAGAGAGTTGCCCTGTGGTCACTCAGGGGGCTAGTGGTGGGGACACCCCGTAAAAAGAATCAGGGAGTGGCTGGAAGGTGCCCCTCTCTGCCTCCATGCCCTGCTTTCCAGCACAAACCCCCATTGGTCTCTTCAGGGCAGAGCCTACTTTCTCTCCCTGTACCCCACTCCCCAGGCCGGAAATGCCGTGGAGGGGGAATTGCTTTTCCAGAATTGTTCATGTCAGACCTCACCACGTGGGCACACCCTCTATCTGTCCTCACCACCTCTTCCTCTCTCTGCCAGACTGTGGGCCCCAGGAGGGCAGCAACCATGACCTGAACCCCAACATTTCACCATGACAATTTTCTTTTCCTTCCTTCCTTCCTTTCTATCTCTCTTTCCCTCCCTCCCTCCTTCCCTCCCTGCCTCCTTTCTTTCTTCCTTTCTTTCCTTTTTCTTTCTTTTCTTTTCTTTTTTCTTTCTTCCTTTCCTTTCCTTACCTTACCTTATGTTACCTTTCCTTTCTTTTCTTTTCTTTTCTTTCGTCAGTCTCGCTGTGTCGCCCAGGCTGGAGTGCAATGGCATGATCTCGGCTCACTGCAACCTCTGCTTCTCAGGTTTAAGTAATTCTCCTGCCTCAGCCTCCTGAGTAGCTGGGATTACAGGCATGCACCACCACGCCCAGCTAATTTTTGTATTTTTTCGTAGAGATGCAGTTTTGCCATGTTGGCCAGGCTGGTCTCGAACTCCTGACTTCAGGTGGTCCACCTGTCTTGGCCTCCCAAAGTGCTGGGATTACAGGCGTGAGCCACCGCACCCAGCCAAATTTTTCTTTTTTCTTTTTTTTCTAATTAAAATTTTTTTTTTTTGGCCAGGAATGGTGGCTCACACCTGTAATCTCAGTGCTTTGGGAGGCCAAGGCAGGAGGATGACTTGAGGCCGGGTGTTCAAGACCAGCCTAGGCAACATAGCAAGACACCCATCTCTACAAAAAACAAAAACAAAAACAAAATAGCTAAGCATGGTGGTGTGTGCCTGTAGTTCCAGCTACTCGGAAGGCTGAGGTAGGAGGATCACTTGAGCCCAGGAGGTCAAGGCTGCAGTGAGTTACAATGGCACCACTGCATTCCAGCCTCGATGACAGAGTGAAACTCTATCTCAGAAAAAGTTTTTTAAAAAATATTTTTATTTTTAGGACTAAGTTTCTGTCTGGTCGGACAGGACAGATGGGGTACACATAAGAAGGCCCTTTCGTATTTTTAGTAGAGACGGGGTTTCACCGTTTTAGCCGGGATGGTCTCGATCTCCTGACCTCGTGATCCGCCCGCCTCGGCCTCCCAAAGTGCCTTTTTTTTTTTTTTAAGATGGATTTTACTCTGTCACCCAGGCTGGAGTGCAATGGCACCATCATAGCCCACTGCAACCTCCCAACTCCTGGGCTCAAGGGATCCTCCCACCTCAGCCTCCTGAGTACCTTGGGACTATAGGCATGTGCCACCACATCCAGCTAATTAAAAAAACTTTTTTGTTTTTTTTTGAGATGGAGTCTCACTCTGTCACCAGGCTGGAGTGCAGTGGCACGATCTCGGCTCACTGCAACCTCTGCCTCCTGGGTTCAAGCAATTCTCCTGCCTCAGCCTCCCAAGTAGCTGGGACTACAGGCACACGCCACCAGACCTGGCTAATTTTTTGTATTTTTAGTAGAGACAGAGTTTCACCATGTTGGCCGGCATGGTCTCGATCTCCTGACCTTGTGATCTGCCCGCTTCGGCCTCCCAACGTGCTAGTATTACAGGTGTGCCCCGCACCTGGCCTTGTTGTTGTAGAGACAAATCTCGCTCTGTTGCCCAGGCTGGTCTCCAACTCTTAGCTTCAAGTGGTCCTCACACCTCAGGCCTCCCAAAATCGTGAGATTACAGGCGTGAGCAGCCACGGGCTAATTTTTGTATTTTTAATAGAGACCGGGTTTCACCGTGTTGGCCAGGCTGGTTTCAAACTCTTGACCTCAGGTGATCCACCCACCTTGGCCTCCCAAAGTGCTGGGATTACAGGCGTGAGCCACTGCACCTGGCTGTAACTTTTTTTTTTAGCCAAAATTATGTGAACATATTTGTTACCAGAGGCAGGTGGTGGTGGGCGGGGTGGGGCGGGGACTGGGGAGATGGTGGCCAAAGGATACAACATTTCAGTGACAGGAGGAACAAGTTCAAGAGATCTATTGTACATCATGGTGACTATAGTTAATAATCACATATTGTATACTCGAAAATTACTCAGAAAGTAGGTTTTTGTTTTTTTGAGACGGAGTCTCACTCTGTCACCGAGGCTGGCGTGAAGTGGTGCGATCTTGGCTCACTGCAACTTCCCCCTCCTGGGTTCAAGTGATTCTCCTGCCTCAGGCCTCCCAAGTAGCTGGGATTACAGGCACCAGCCACTACGCCCAGCTAATTTTTTTGTATTTTTAGTAGAGAAGGGGTTTCACCATGTTGGCCAGGCTGGTCTTGAACTCCTGACCTTGTGACTCGCCCTGGCTTAAGGCAATACATATGTTGTGAATAAGCTTGATTTGGCTAGGCACGGTGGCTCACACCTGTAATCCCAGCACTTTGGGAGGTTGAGGTGGGTGGATCACCTGTGGTTAGGCGTTTGAGACCAGCCTGGCCAACATGGAGAAACCCTGTCTCTACTAAAAATACAAAAATTAGCAGGGTGTGGTGGTATGCGTCTGTAATCCCAGCTACTCGGGAGGCTGAGACAGGACAACTGCCTGAATCCAAGAGGGAGAGGTTGCAGTGAGCCAAGATCACCTCGCTGCACTCCAGCCTGGGTGACAGAGCGAGATTCCATCTTAAAAAAAAAAAAAAGTGATAATAACAATTAGAAGGAATGACTAAGATCTACTATTTAATAGTACAGCAGAGTGACTACAGTCAATAATAATTTAATTGTACATTAAAAAATAACTAGGCCAGGCGCCGTGGCTCACGCCTGTAATTCCAACACTTTTGGAGGCCGAGGTGGGTGGGTCACTTGAGATAAGGAGTTTGAGACCAGCCTGGCCAATATGGTGAAACCCCATCTCTATCAAAAACACGAAAATTAGCCCAGTGTGGTGGTGGGCGCCTGTAATCCCAGCTTCTCAGGAAGCTGGGGAGGGAGAATCGCTTGAACCTGGGAGACAGAGGTTGCAGTGAGCTGAAATTGCACCACTGCACTCCAGCCTGGGCGACACAGCGAGACCCTGTTTCAAACACAGACACACACACACACACACACACCAAAAACAAAACAACAACAAGAAAAAATAAAACAACTAAAAGAGTGTATTAACCGAGCGTGGCTGTGCACACCTGTATTCCCAGCTACCTGGGGGGCTGAGGCAGGAGAATTGCTTGAACCTGCGAGGCGGAGGTTGCAGTGAGCCAAGATTGCACCACTGCACTCCAGCCTGGGTGACAGAGTGAGACTCTGTCTCAAAAAATAAAAATAAAACATAAAAGAATATAATTGGATTGTTTGTAACGCAAAGGATAAATGCTTGAGGGGATGGAGACTGCATTCTACATGATGTGATAATTACACGTTGCATGCCTGTGTCAAAACATCTCATGTACCCCATAAATGTAATCACCTGTATATACCCACAAACATGAAAAACACAAAATACAAAGACACATCACACTGGGAGCAAGCATTTGGAGACAAAATACTATGCACTGTATGATCTAATTTATATGAAACTTCACAAGACAAGTCAAATTCATAGTGATAGCAGATTGGTGATGACCTAGGTCTCTGTCAGGGCTGGTGCTGAGATTGAAGGGCAGGAGGGAATTCTAGGGCTGATGGAAATGTTCTATATCATCAATATCTTGATGGTTGCCCAGCTGTATACCTTTGTTAAAACTCACTGAATTGGCCAGGCGCGGTGGCTCATGCCTGTAATCCCAGCACTTTGGGAGGCTGAGGCGTTTGGATCTTGAGGTCAGGAGTTCGAGACCAGCCTGGCTAACAAAGTGAAACCTGTCTGTACTAAAAATACAAAAATTAGCCAGGCCTGGTGGCGGGTGCCTGTAGTCCCAGCTACTTGGGAGGCTGAGGCAGGAGAATAGCTTGAACCTGGGAGGCAGAGGTTGCAGTGAGCCGAGATTGCACCACTGCACTCCAGCCTGGGCAACAGAGGGAGTCTCCGTCTCAAAAACAAAAACAAAACCAAAAAAAAAAACCTCACTGAATTGTAAACTTGAAATGAGTACATTAAACAATTAAAAAAATTTTTAAATTGAAGTAAAATACCATAACAACAAATTGACCATTTTAACTATTTTAAGCATACAGCTCAGTAGTGTTAAGTATATTCACATTGTTGCACAACCAATCTCTGGAATTGTTTCATCTTATAAAACTGAAAAAAAAAACCAACAAAAACTGAAACTTTACCGATTAAACGACGACTACCCATCGCCGCGTGCCCCAGCCCCTGGCACCCCCCGTTCGACTTTTTGTGTCTATGAGTGAGTTGACTCTGGGGACCTCCTATGAGTGGAATAATGTGGAATCATACCATATTTGTCTTTTTGTGCCTGGCTGGCTTATTTCACTTAGCATAACTGCCTGTGTCAGAATTTCCTTCCTTTTTTTTTTTTTTTTTTTTTTGAGATGGAGTCTCGCTCTGTCACCCAGGCTGGAGTACAGTGGCACAGTCTCTGCTCACTGCAACCTCCACCTCCCGGGTTCAAGCAATTCTTCTGCCTCAGCCTCCCAAGTAGCTGGGACTACAGGTGTGCACCACCACACCCAGCTAATTTTTGTATTTTTAGTAGAGACGGGGTTTCACCATGTTGGCCAGGCTGGTCTCAAACTCCTGACCTCAAATGATCCACCAGCTCAGCCTCCCAAAATGCTGGGATTACAGGCGTGAGCCACCACGTCTGGCCCACAATTTCCTTCCTTTTTAGGGCTGAATTATATTCTATCGTATGGATGGAGCACATTCCACTTATCCATTGATCTGTTTATGGACACCTAGGTTGCTTCAATCTTTTTTTTTTTTAACGGAGTCTTCCTCTATCACCCAGGCTGGAGTGCAGTGTCGTGATCTTGGCTCACTGCAACCTCCACCTCCTGGGTTCAGGTGATTCTCCTGCCTCAGCCTCCTGAGTAGCTGGGATTACAGGCACGCACCACCACGCCCGGCTAATTTTGTATTTTTAGTAGAGACGGGATTTCCCCATGTTGTCCAGGCCAGTCTCGAACTCCTGACCTCAAGTGATCCGCCTGCCTCGGCCTCCCAAAGTGCTGGGATTACAGGCGAGAGCCACCACATCTGACCTGCTTCAATCTTTTGACTATTGTAAATAATACTGCTATGAACATGAGTGTACAAATATTTCTTTGAGACCCTGCTTTCAGTTCTTTTGGCCACACACCCAGAAATGGAATTCCTGGGCCATATGGCAATTCTATTTATAATTTATTTGAGGAACTGCCAGAAGCTTTTTCCACAGTGGCTGTACCATTTTACATTCCCACCAATAGTGCACAATTTTGTCACATTCTCACCAGTACTTTCATGTTCTGTAATTTTTTTGATGGCAGCCATCCTAATGATTATAATAAATGGGTGCATCTTATTGTATATAAATTACATCATGGCTGGGCATGGTGGCTCACACCTGTAATCCCAACACTTTGGACAACAAGGCAGGTAGATCACCTGAGGTCAGGAGTTGAGACTAGCCTTGCTGACATGGTGAAACCCCATCTCTACTAAAAATGCAAAAATTAGCTGGGCGTGGCAGTGAGCCCCTGTAATCCCAGCTAGTCGGGAGACTGAGGTGGAAGAATTGCTTGAACCCGGGAGGCAGAGGTTGCAGTGAGCCAAGGTCGCACCACTGCACTCCAGCCTAGGTGACAGAGTGAGACCTCATCTCAAAAAAAAAAAAAAAGAAAGAAAAAGAAAAGAAAAGAATATTTATACCTGGGTCAAGTGAAAATTAGACAAAGAGAGACATATGGCCACCCTAGATAAGGTAAGTTACCTGTGTGTATTTTTAGGCAAGGAGAGAGTTACAGTTATATCTTAGGTGGTAACATCTTACGGGTGTTAAAGGTTTATTGCAGGTGTTTCCAGTGGTTTTTCTTGAGTTGAGTTACTTCCATCAAGGTGTACAGGTACTTACAGACCTATTAGGGCATGCTATGAAATAGTCACAAGTGGTTACTGTTGTGATATGGGTGAGCTCCAGCTAAGCTTTTGTATTAGTCAGCTACTGCTGCAGTTAACAAATTATCTCAAATTTAGTGACTTCAGACAATGCAAACTTATTATCTCACTGTTCTGAAGATCAGAAGTCTGACACTGATCCCATTGGACTTATATTAAGATGATGGCAGGGTTGCATCCTTCTGGGGGAGAATTCATTTCCTTGCCTTACATAACTTCTAGAAATGGCTGCTATGGTTTGAAAGTTTGTGTCTTTTCAGAATTCATGTGTTGAAACCTAACCTCCAAGATGACGGTATTAGAAGGTGGAGGCTTTAGGGGGTGACTAGGTCATGAGGGTGGGGCCCTCATGCATGGAATTAGTGCCCTCATCAATCATCAGAGACTTACTTGCCCTTTCTACCATGTGAAGACATGGCAAGAACATGGCCATCTGTGAACCAGGAAAAGAGCCCTCACAAGACAGAGTCTGCCAACATGTTGGTTTTGGACTTCCCAGCCTCCAGAATTGTGAGCCAAAAATGTGTGGTTGTTTAGAAGCAACTCAGTTTATGGTGTTTTGTTATAGCAGCCTGAACAGACTGAAACAGCCACTGATGTCCTTGGCTCTTGGTCCTTTTCTCCTTTTTTTTTTTTTTTTTTTTTGAGATGGAGTTTTGCTCTTGTTGCCCAGGCTGGATTGCAATGGCGTGATCTCGGCTCACCACAACCTCCACCTCCTGGGTTCAAGCAATTCTCCTGCCTCAGCCTCCCAAGTAGCTGGGATTACAGGCATGTGCCAGCATGCCTGGTTAATTTTGTACTTTTAGTAGAGACGGGGTTTTTCCATGTTTGTCAGGCTGGTCTCAAACTCCTGACCTCAGGTGATCTACCCGCCTTGGCCTCCCAAAGTGCTGGGATTACAGGTGTGAGCCACCGTGCCTGTCCCCCCCTTTTTTTTTTTTTTTTTTTGAGACAGGATCTCAGTGGGTTGCCCAGGCTAGAATGCAGTGGTGCAATCATAGCTCACTGCAGCCTCCAGCTCCTAGGCTCAAGTGATCCTCCCACCTCAGCCTCCTGAGTAGCTGGGACCACAGTCATGTGCCACGATGTCCAGCTAAGTTTTCAAATTGTTTTTGTGAAGATTAGGTCTCCCTATATTGCCCAGGCTAGTCTTGAACTCATGGGTCCTAGAGATCCTCCCACCTTGGCGTCCCCAAGTTCTAGGATTGCAGTGGCATAATCTTGGCTCACTGCAACTTCTGCCTCCCAGATTCAAGCCATTCTCCTGCCTCAGCCTCCCAAGTAGATGGGATTACAAGCATGCACCACCACGCCCAGCTAACTTTTTGTATTTTTAGTAGAGACAGGGTTTTGCCATGTTGGCCAGTCTGATCTCAAACTCCTGACCTCAGGTGATCTGCCCACTTCAGCCTCCCAAAGTGCGAGGATTACAGGCATGAGCCACTGCACCTGGCCCCCTTCCTCCATCTTTAAAGCCAGCAATGGTGAGTGGAGCCCTCACATCACAGCACTCTGCCCCTTCTGAAGGCCTTCTGCCTCTCTGATTTTCTCCTGCCTCTCTCATTCACTTTTAAGGACACCTGTCATTACTTCAGGCCCACCTAGATAACCTAAAATAAACTCTCCCATTTTAGGAGTCTTTTTTTTTTTTTAAATTTTTTGAGAGGGAGTCTGGTTCTGTTGCCCAGGCTGGAGTGCAGTGGCGCTATCTCGGCTCACTGCAACCTTCACCTCCCGGGTTCAAGCGATTCTCCTGCCTCAGCCTCCCGAGTAGCTGGGATTACAGGCATGTGCCACCATGCCTGGCTAATTTCTGTATTTTTAGTAGAGACGGGGTTTCACCATGTTGGCCAGGCTGGTCTCGAACTCCTGACCTCAAGTGATCTGCCTGCCTTGGCCTCCCAAAGTGCTGGGATTACAGGCATGAGCCACGGCGCCCAGCCAGGACTCTTACTTTAATCACATGTGCAAAATCCCTTCGTGATACCTACCTAAGGTATGACATATTCACAGATTTGGGGATTGGCACAGGGACATCTTTGGGGAAGGCATTTTTTTGCCTACTACAGACCTTGCACGGTGTTCTATGCAATTGGTGTTGCGCCCCAGGGTTGTTACAGGTGTATTTCAGGTCTTACAGGGGCTTCTCAGAGCCCCTGGGAACTCCAGGAAAGTGGATCTGTCTTGAGAATGCTGACGGGGCTCAGCCTGGGTCTGGCGTCGGTCCCATCAGGCTCTGGGGAAATGTCACACGGTTTGTCAGGCACAGGCCACTTCCTGCACCCCCATCAGCCCTTTTTTTTTTTTTTTGAAATGGGGTTGTGCTCTGTTACCCAGGTTGGAGTGCAGTGGCGTGACCTCAGCTCACTGCAACCTCCACCTCCCAGGTTCAAGTGATCCTCCCACCTCAGCCTTCTGAGTAGCTGAGACCACAGGCACATGCTACCACACCCGGCTAATTTTTTGTATTTTTGATAGGGACGGGATTTCACCATGTTGTCCAGGCTGGTTGAAAACTCCTGACTCAGGCAATCAATCCACCTGTCTCAGCCTCCCAAGGTGCTAGGATTACAGGCGTGAGCCACCGCACCTAGCCTGTTTTTTGTTTTATTTTATTTTGTTTTGTTTGTTTGTTTGCTTGTTTTTTGAAGTAGAGACAGGATCCTGTTATGTCACCCAGGGTGGACTGCTGCAGTGACGTGATCATAGCTCATTGTAACCTTGAACTCCTGGGCTCAAGCCTCTTGCCTCAGCCTCCTGAGTAGATAGGACTACAGGCATGTACCACCATGCCCAGCTCATTTAATTTAAAATTTTCTTTTTATAGAGATGGGGGTCTCACTATGTTACCCAGGCTGGGCTTAAACTCCTAGTCTCAAATGATCCTCGCACTTCAGCTTCCCAAAGTGCTGGGATTACAGGCGTGAGCCATCACACTCAGCCACCTGTCAGCCTTTAGAATAGTCTTTCTGGCACCACCAATATTCCAGGAAAACAAAAGCCAACTGAAGGTTAAGGTCTGTTCCAGAAATAGGGATAGGCTCCAGGGATTCCTTTCTTCCCAGAGAAGTTGAATCTTGGAGTGGAGGGTGTGGCCTGGGGCCTGGGACCTGACTCTCTCATTTGGGGTCATTATGGGCCTTCTGGAACACTGGTGGGTTACAGCCAGGCGACTGGGAGGTAGGGCTTGTGAGCTGATCATAAATGCAGATGGCAGGTGGCGAGGAGAGGACGGACATATCCAGGCCAGCCACTTGGCTCTCTGGGCTCCTGACCTGGAGCTCCCTTGGGCCCTGCTGCCCCCAGAATCTGAGCCTGGGGGTACCAGGGGCTCCAGGGCATGCTCTGGCCATGGATAGGATCCCAGGGCAGTTCCAATTTAACTCTGCTGTCTGGGGTCTCTGCCAGACTGGTGTGCGGTGGTACAATCATAGCTCACTGTAGCCTGGAATTCCTGGGCTCAAGCAATCCTTCTGCTTCAGCCTTCCAAGTACAGGAGAATACAGGTGTGCACCACCATGCCCAGCCTTTTATTTTTATTTTATTTTATTTTATTTTATGTTATGTTGAGACAGAGTCCCTCTCTGTTTTCCAGGCTGGAGTGTAGTGACACAATCTCGGCTCACTGCAACCTCTGCCTCCTGGGTGTAAGCGATTCTCCTGCCTTAGCCTCCCGAGTAGCTGAGATTACAGGCACCCACCATCATGCCCGGCTAAGTTTTGTATTTTTAGTAGAGACAGGGTTTCACCATGTTGGCCAGGCTGGTCTTGAACTCCTGACCTCTGGTGATCTGCCCACTTCGGCCTCCCTAAGTGCTGGGATTACAGGCGTGAGCCACTGCGCCCAGCCTATTTTTTAAGTAGAGATGAGGTCTTGGTATGTTGCCCCAGGCTGATCTCAAACTCCTGGACTCAAGTGACCTTCCCACCTCCACCTCCCAAAGTGCTGGGAGTGTTTACGGAAATACCAGGGGTTTGGTCTAGGTCCTGCTGTTCACCGCACAGATAGCCAATCACCGAGGCAAGGATTATTGCCAAGCAAGAAGGCTTTAGGCTTTAATTGGATGCTGCAACCAAGGAGATGGGAGCTCAGTCTCAAATCCATCTCTCTGGCTGATTAAAATTAGGGGTTTATATAGCAGGGGAGAAATAGAACAATATGTGGTAAAACAGGAACGCGGGAGGGGTCAGGAAGCAATTGTGATGAATGAGCAGCCTGGTGTCTCATCGTCTGCATGTAATGATCTGCTGAGTTTCAACTCTGATGATTTTTGAGAGCCTGGGGATCCTTTCCTGAGAAGGAACTCAGATAAAACAAATTTTTTTGGTTTGTTTATTTGAGACAGAGTTTCACTCTTGTTGCCCAGGATGGAGCACAGTGGCGCGATCTTGGCTCACTGCAACCTCCTCCTCCCTGGTTCAAGCGATTCTCCTGCCTCAGCCTCCTGAGTACCTGGGATTACAGGCGCCCGCCACCATGCCTGGCTAATTTTTCGTATTTTTAGTAGAGACAGGGTTTTGCCAAGTTGGCCAGAGTGGTCTCGAACTCCTGAGCTCAAGTGATTCATCCGCCTCAGCCTCCTAAAGTGCTGGGATTGCAGGCGTGAGCCACCGCGCCTGGCCAGATAAAACTAATGCTAAATTTCAAGCTTTAAGACCACAGGGTCAGGCCGGGCACGGTGGCTCACACCTGTAATCCCAGCACTTTGGGAGGTCGAGGTGGGTGGATCACTGGAGGTCAGGAGTTTGAGACCACCTTGGCCAACATGGTGAAACCCTGTCTCTACTAAAAATACAAAAATTAGCTGGGCGTGGTGGCGCATGCCTATAGTCCCAGCTACTCGGGAGGCTGAGGCAGGAGAATGGCGTGAACCCAGGAGGTGGAGCTTGCAGTGAGCCGAGATTGCGCCACTGCATTCCAGCCTGGGCAACAGAGCGAGACTCCGTCTCAAAAAAAAAAAAAAGACCACAGGGTCAATTTCTATGTTTATTGAAAAGAACTGTCTATGGCAACAATCCCTAACCTTTTTGGCACCAGGGACCGGTTTTGGAGAAGACAATTTTTCTTTTTCTTTTTTTTTTAGAGACAGAGTCTTGCTCTGTTGCCCAGGCTGGAGTGCAGTGTCGTGATCTCGGCTCAATGCAACTGCCGCCTCCCAGATTCAAGCCATTCTCCCACCTGAGCCTCCCGAATAGCTGGGATTACAGGTGCACACCACCATGCCCAGCTAATTCTTGTATTTTTAGTAGAGACGGCGTTTCACCATGTTGGCTGGGCTGGTCTCAAACTCCTGACCTCCGGTGATCTGCCCACCTCAGCCTCCCAAAGTGCTGAGATTACAGGCATGAGCCACTGCACCCAGCAGACAACTTTTCCACAGACTGGGGTGGGGGATGGTTTCAGGATGATTCAACTGCGTGACATTTATTGTGCACTTTATTTCTATAATTATTACATTTTAATATGTAATGAAATAATTATGCCACTCTGCATAATGCAGAATCAGTGGGAACTCTGAGCTTGTTTTCCCGCAACTAAGACAGTCCCATCTGGGGGTGATGGGAGACAGTGAGAGATCATCAGTCATTCGATTATCCTATGACCCAGATCCCTCGATGTGCAGTTCACAATAGGCTTCATGCTCCTGTGAGAGTCTAATACCACTGCTAATCTGACAGGAGGCAGAGGTCAGGTGGTCATGCAAGCAAAGGAGAGTGGCTGTAAACACAGATGAGCTTTGCTTGCTCACCTGCTGCTAACCTCCTGCTGTGTGGCCTGGCTCCTAACAGGGCACAGATCAGTACCGGTCTGCGGCCTGGGGGATGAGGACCCCTGTTCTATGAGACTGTTGGGTGGGTTTCAGGATGACAGGTGCACACCACTGCACTCAGCCTCTCTTCCTTCTGCCTCAGCCACAGCTGGCACTTTCTCAGCTCCATCCTCAGGGGAGATGCTGAAACCTCTTGTGCCTGCCCGTGCTGTTGCTGTACATTTGTCACGACAGCCTGGCAGGGGCTCCCCATTGAGGCTGTCGGTCAGACTTGAAGTCCATCTGTTGTTCTTTTAAAAAAAAATTTTTTTTTAGATGGAGTTTCACTCTGTTACCCAGACTGGAGTGCAGTGGCGTGATCTCAGCTCACTGCAACCTCCACCTTCCGGGATCAAGTGATTCTCCTGCCTCAGCCTCCTGAGTAGCTGGGATTACAGGCACCCACAACCATGCCTGGCTAATTTTTTTGTATTTTTAATAGAGATGGGGTTTTGCCATGTTAGCCAGGCTAGTCTCAAACTCCTGACCTCAGGTGATCCACCCACCACAGCCTCCCAAAGTGCCGGGATTACAGGTGTGAGCCACCACACCCAGCCATGAAGTCCGTCTGTCGTTCTGTCTCTGTTGTTCTTCATTCGATCCGGAGTCGCCACCTCATTGTCAGTATGTTTGATTACAATCTGTCTGTATCATCCAGACAATCACTTAATCTGGCTCATCAAGTAGTTAGACCTCTAGGTAAGTATCTCACTGCTGTCCCACCTGGGAGTCTATCTCAGATGGCTCTGCCCTGTGCTGTGATGCTATGATGGTTAACACCTGGTGTCAACTTGACCGGATGGAGGGAGATGCCTGGATGGCTGGTGAAGCATTGTTTCTGGGTGTGTCTGTGAGGATGTTATCAGAGGAGGTTGATATTTGAGTCCGTGGGCTGGGAGAGGAAGACCCATCCTCAATGTGAGTGGGCACCATCCCATCGGCCGCCAGCGTGGCTAGAACAAAGCAGGTGGAAGAAGGCGGGAGAAGCTGGCTTGCTCGCTGAGTCAGCTCCCTCTCTCTTCCCCTGCTGTGCCAATCACTTGGTTTCCTCTCCTCCTACCCTTGGACATCAGGCTCTAGGTTCTTTGGCCTTTGAACTCTGGCACTTGCACCAGTGGCCTCCCAGGTGTTCTCGGGCCTTTGGCTGCAGACTGAAGGTTGCACTGTCTCCTTCCATGATTTTTGAGGCTTTTGGACTTGGACTGAGCCACACTACCACTTTCTGTCTTTCCCGGGCTTGCAGACAGCCTACTATGGGACTTCGCCTTATAATTGTGTGAGCTAATTCTCCCAAATAAACTCCCTTTAATATTGTGTTAGGCTGTTCTTTTTTTTTTTTTTTCCTCAAGATGGTGTCTCATTCTGTCACCCAAGCTGGAGTGCAATGGTGTGATCTCAGCTCAGTGCAACCTCCACCTCCCAGGTTCAAGTGATTCTCCTGCCTCAGCCTCCCAAGTAGCTGGGATTACAGGCACCCGCCACCACACCTGGCTAATTTTTGTATTTTTAGTAGAAATGGGGTTTCAACATATTGGCCAGGCTGGTCTCGAACTCCTGACCTCAAGTGATCTGCCCGCCACGGCCTCCCAAAGTGCTGGGATTACAGGCGTGAGCCACCACACCCAGCTGTGTTAGGCCATTCTTGCATTGCTATAAAGAGATACCTGAGACTGGGTAATTTAGAAGAAAAGAGGTTTAATTGGCTCATGATTCTACAGGCTGTCCAGGAAGCATAGCAGAGATATCTGCTTCTGGAGGGGCCTCAGGAAGCTTCCAATCATGGCAGAAGACAAAGGCGAAGCAGGTGTCTCACATGGCGAAAGCAGGAGCAAGAGACAGCGTGGCAGGGGAGGTATCACACACTTTTGAACAACCAGATTTTATGTGAACTTTGAGTGAGAGCTCACTTATCACCATGGGGATGGTCCAAGCCATTCACGAAGAATCTGCCCCTATGATGCAAAACACTTCCCACCAGCCCCCACCTCCAGCACTGGGGATACATTTCAACATGAGATTTGGGTGGGGACAAATATCCTAACTATATCTCACACACACACACACACACACACACACACACGCATATCCTATCAGTTCAGTCCTGGACAACCCTGGCTAACACAGATTTGTGATGACCTGCAATATACCATGTCCTCATCCCTGGATCCTGTGAACATCACTTTATATGGCAAAAGACACTTTGCAGACGTGATGATGGATTTCAAGATGGGAGGAGCTCGTGTGGTAAAGAATTTGTCCCTGGTTCCTGCTAGGAAGTGTCTAAGTCCTTGGAATTTTCCAAGTGCTGTGAGTCTTTGTTATTCATCAGGGCCCTGGACCACACTTGGGTTTATATGAGGGGGTGGCTTAGGATGGGTGCTGGTCATGCCAGATACATCAACCATGAGGGTTGGAATTTGCAGCCACTTGACCAAAAGGGGGACTGGAGATAAAGTTCAATCACAAGGCCAACGATTCAGTCAATCTTTCCTGTGTAATGAGACCCCACTAAAAACTCCCGAGGCCTTGTGAGGTGGCTCATGCCTGTAATCCCAGCACTTTGGGAGGCCAAGGCAGGAGGATCACTTGAGCTCAGGAGCTCAAGACCAACCTGAACAATATGGTGAAACCCCGTCTCTACAAAAAATACAAACATTAGCTGGACAGGGTGGTGACATGTGCCTGTAGTTCCAGCTACTCGAGAGGCTGAGAGGTGGGAGGATCACTTGAGCCCAGAAGGTTGAGGCTGCAGTGAGCTATGATTATGCCACTGCACTCCAGCCTGGGCAACAGGGCAAGACCGGGTCTCAAAAAAAAAAAACAAACAAAACTGAAACACTGAAGGAGTAATTGGATCAATCCTGCCTACATACTGAAACCCCAAAAAAACTCAGGACACCGAGCTCTGGAGCTTCCTGGCTGGTGAACCCATCACCCTGAGAGTGGGGAAGGCATAGAGAGAGTGATGTGTGCTGACGTTATGGGGAAGGACACAGGAGCTCCGTGTTTGGGACCTTCCCAGACCTCACCCTATGTATCTTCTCATTTGGCAGGTCCTGATTTGTATTTTGTTAAGAAAACTGAAATCAGGGCCAGGCACAGTGGCTCATGCCTGTAATCCCAGCACTTTGGGAGGCCAAGGCGGGTGGATCACCAGATCAAAAGAGTGAGACTATCCTGGCTAACATGGTGAAACCCCATCTCTACTAAAAATATAAAAATTAGCCAGGCATGGTGGTGGCGGGCGCCTGTAGTCCCAGCTACTTGGGAGGCTGAGGCAGGAGAATTGCTTGAACCCGGGAGGCAGAGGTTGCAGTGAGCTGAGGTCGCACCGCTGCACTCCAGCCTGGGCGAAAGAGCGAGACACTGTCTCAAAAAACAAACAAAAAAACAAAACAAAACAAAGAACAAAACAAAACAAAAAACAAACTGAAATCGTAAGCATAGCATTTCCTAAGTTCTGGGAGTCATTCTAGTGAATTATGGAACCTGAAGGGGTCATGAGAATTTGTAGGCAGTTGATCAGAAATGTGGGTGGCTGGGGATCCCCAAACTTGTAGCTGGTATCTGAAATGAGAGCAGTCTTGATGGGGACTGTGTCCTTAACCTCTGGGTGGAGTCTGCACTATCTGGGTGAATAGTGGCAGAACTGCATTTAGAATTACAGGAGGCCAGGAGCAGTGGCTCATGCCTGTAATCCCAGTGCTTTGGGAGGCCAAGGTAGGCGAATCACTTGAGCTCAGGAGTTTGAGACCAGCCTGGGCAGCATAATGAGACCGCTTCTCTACAAAAAAATAAAAAAAATTAGCCAGGCATGGTGGCACACGCCTGTAGTCCCAGCTACTCAGGAGGTTGAGGCAGGAGGATTGTTTGAGCCTGGAGGATTGCTTGAACTTGAACCTGGGAAGTCAAGGCTGCCGTGAGCCATGTTCATGCTACCGCACTCCAGCCCAGGTGACAAAGCGAGATCCTGCCTCAAAAAGAAAATTAAAAAAAAAAAAAAAAAAAGGAACCACAGGAGATCATCCTGTACTATCAGGTCAGGCCCTAAATGCAATCCCAACTGTTCATATAAGAAGGAGGCAAGACCAGCCTGGGCAGCATAGTGACACCCCATCTCTACAAAAAAACTAACAAATAGCTGGGTGTGGTGGTGCATGCCTGTAGTCCCAGCTACTTGGGAGGCTGAGGCAGGAGGATTTCTTGAGCCCAGGAGGTTGAGGCTGCAGTGAACTATGATCGTGCTATTACACTCCAGCCTGGGTGACAGAGCAAGACCCTGTCTCAAAAAAAGGTGATTGTGGGGGCATTCCTAGAGAGATTTGATACAGAAGAAGTAATTGTCATGGCTGAAGCTAGATGCTACCCTACTGCCTTTGAAGATGGAAGAAGGGTCCAGGAGTCAAGAAGGATGAGGACAACAGCTCTAGAAAAGCTAAAGAAGAGGTAAAGAAACATTTTCCCTTTGATATGGTTTGGCTGTGTCCGCCTCCCCAAATCTCACCTTGAATTGTAATAATCCCTGTGGATCAAGGGTGGGGCCAGGTGGAGATAATTGAATCACGGGGGCAGTTTTCCCCATACTGTTCTTGTGGTGGTGTATGAGTCTCTCAAGATCTGATGGTTTTATTTTTTAATTTTTTAATTTTTTTTTTTGAGATGAACTCTTGCTCTGTCACCCAGGCTAGAGTGCAATGGCATGACCTTCGGCTCACTGCAACCTCTGCCTCCTGGGCTCAAGCAGTTCTCCTGCCTCAGCCTCCCGAGTAGCTGGGATTACAGGCGCCTGCCACCACGACCAGCTAATTTTTGTATTTTTAGTAGAGATGGGGTTTCACCATATTGGCCAGGCTGGTCTCTTGGCCAGGCTGGTCCCGAACTCCTGACCTCGTGATCCATCCGCCTTGGCCTCCCAAAGTGCTGGGATTACAAGCGTGAGCCACCATGCCCAGCCTCAAGATCTGATGGTTTTATAAATGAGAGTTCCCCTGCGCAAGTTATCTTGCCTGCCACCATGTAAGACATGCCTTTGCTCTTCCTTTCCTTTCTGCCATGATTGTGAGGCCTCCCCAGCCATGTGGAACTGCGAGTCCATTAAACCTCTTCCCTTTATAACTTACCCAGTATCAGGTATGTCTTTATTAGCAGCATGAGAACGGATTAATACATCCTTAGACCTTGGTTTTTGCCCAGCAAAATCCATTACAGTAGTGGTGGGAAACTCAAACACTCCTCCAAGCCAACTGTGTCTGGAAGTCCAGCAGCCTGGCCCTCAGTCCAGTAGGCAAGTCAATAGGCTCCTGGACTTGCCCAGTGCCTGCTCCAGACTGCAAGTTTAGAAAGATCAGAGGATAGGGGGGTTGACAGGTTACAGCAGTGGAAGAGTTCCACCTGGCCAGGGAATGTGATGGTGTTCCTTCTATTTCCTGCTCAGCTGATGCTGTTATACGGTCCAGCAGCCTGGGGGCTCCCAGCAGCCTGTAGTTCTAGACTCCGTTCTGCACAGAACTAAAAGCTGCCAACCTGTCACTCCCCTGTTGAACCTGTCTCCATGGGAAATTCTTGGAGAGCCCCTAACTCTCCGAGATGGAAGCAAGAAACTGGGAGTGTAGGGTGAATTCAGATCAAAAGTCCCTGGTTGAGAAACCCAGGTTCTATGTAACATATACTGCTGTGTGAATTCAGCAATCTGTATACCTTCCAACCTCCTAGTATTCCTTTTTTTTGAGATATGGTGTCACTGCATTGCCCAGAATGGAGAACAGTGACTATATCAACAGGCAAGATCATAGCTCACTGCCGTCTCAAACTCCTAGGCTTAAGCAATTCTCCCACCTCAGCCTCCCGAGTAACTGGGACTACGAGCTTGCACCACCACACCCACTCTCCAAGCCTTTTTCTTCCTGGACCTTCTGCTTCCAAAGTCCTACCTTCCCAGCTTCATCTACTCAAAATTCCATTGTCCCTTGGAAAATCCACCTTCTCTGGAATGTATTTCCTGACTGACCCATCCAATAGTCACAGACCCTAGATGCACTGAGCAGAAGGGACCTGCTCGTTCCATCAGGGTACCCTGTCCCCCACCTGCCTCAAGGGCCTGTCTCAGGATGCCCATAATCTCCACGAAGACGTGACAGTCTTCTCAAGGACTGCAGTATCTCAGGATGGTCCCTCTCCCCAAAGACAAAGGTGACCCTTCCAAATGCTTCAGGTGTCCTCTCCACACACTCATCCATTACATTACTGGTCATTTTGTTCCTGTACCCCGCTAGACCAGAATGCAGCGGTCCCAGGGGAAAGGACTGCGTCTGACCCATTTCTGTGTCCCCAGCACCCTCTGAGCCAAGCCCCATGCCAGGGACTGAGGAAGTAATGGTGTAGAGTGGGAAACTGCCCCTACCTTCAAGCCCTCCTGGCCCAGGGCAAGTTACCCACCAAAGGCCAAGAGGTCACTGAGAGAGTCCAGGGGTCACTCGTACGGATTAAACTAGGACATCCGGAATAAAGCACAGAAGATCTCGCCAGAGCCAGGATCCTGGATTCATTTCTCAAATATTTATTGATGCTTCCTCAGGCTGCAAAAACAGCTTCCAGTTTGGTGGAAAATGCGAGAAAACCAAACAGCTCCAGTCCTCAGTCACCTAACCTTGGTTAGGGAGAGAAGTGGAGGCATATCACGGGGACGCAGGAGCAGGGATTTTGGAGCTAGTGGAGGTTAGGTTGGGTCTGCGTGAGTGGAGTTAGGATGAGGTCGGCATGGAGGTCCCAGAGCCCAGGCACTGGGCTGGACAGGGCTATGTTGGGCCAAGTGTTTCTGAGACTCAGCAGCGGTGGATGAGGAAGAAAAAACTCTTTGGCAATCAGCTCCAGGAGCCAGGGAGGTGAGCAGCCCCCAGGATACGACATGCTGCAATGGGCGCGGCTCCAGGGCACTGGGCGGGGTCAGCAGTTGTGCCTTTTCTCACAGATCCAGCCGTCCTTCTCGCTGTCACACGGTGCGTCGTTCCACAGCCCCGTGTGCAGCATCATGACACAGTTCTCGCGCCCCCAAGCGTCATTGGGCTCTCCCTGGTTCCAGTGGCTACAGGGGGGTTGAGTGGGGGTGTTGCTGGGAATCTAGACAGAGGATGAACTCGGGGTCCCGCCTTCCTCTTCAGGCTCTAGCCTGTTTATTGCTTGGGTCTACTCTAGACACCCCAACTGTCTAACCTGAGTATACACCTGGTATATAACTTTTTAACGCCCAGAATTTAACCTGAGGACAGTTCCTGGGGTCCAGCCTGCCCATCCCTAAGTATGGAGCCCCAGCCGAGGGGTCCCTGAGATCTAGCCAAAGCATGTCCTCTAGAGCCTAACCTGTCTCCCTCCCCAGGTCTCACCAGGAGCCTTTCCCTCACCTGAAGCTGAGAGAGACTCCGTCCACCCACTGGTAGCCCTGAACCTTGCCCAGATGGCGCACAGCCCTCAGGCCCAGCCAGTAACCACGGCCACGCGTGTTCCGAGTGAGGAAGCCCTAGAAAGGAGGGGACATCTGAGCCTGCAGAGTCCGCCCCGCCCTGCCCCACCGCCTGACCACGCCCCCTCCCCCTGCGCACCTGCTCATCCAGGCCCCCAACGATCACCAGGTGCGCGCTGGCATCTGCGCAGTGATCCTGCGCCGCCGCCCACGTCGTCTTTGGCACAGAGAAAAAGTAGCAGGAGCCCTCGAAGGACAGCCACGACGTGGGGCACGGCTCGCAGGAGTCTGCGGGGTGGCGAGGGTCAGAGAGGTCGCGTGCTTCCAGGGGCAACGCACCGAGAGGATGCAGTGGGTAGGGGTTCGGCCCCGCGGGCTCAGGGGTGGAGACACAGAACCAGGCCAAGGTCCAGGAGTGACAGGGTCCGCTTACGCCCTCACAGCCCGCCCCCGACCCCCCGTCTCGCTCACTGTTCTGGAGCCTCACGGCCTCCAGCGCCCGGAACAGCTCAGTGCGGACGTCCTCACGGCCCCTGCCGGCTTCAGCCAAGCCCTGGGTCACTGCGGGGTCAAGGGAGCGGGGATTATGGCTGGGGTCAGGGCCAGGACCAGGGTCATGACTAGCTAAAGGTCAGGACCCCTGTCTGTGGTCATTGTACCCTCGGTGCCAGCGTCCAGGATGGCACAGGGTCAAGGGCGGTTACAACTGGGCAGGGTCCGGGTGTGGCCGGCGCTAGGAGTGGCAGTCAAGGTCAGAGTGCAGCGTCAGGGTCAGGACGGGGTGCATGATCGGGGTCGGGGGTCAGCACTCAGGACGGGGTCGGGGTCGGGGGACGCGGCCAGGGCTCAGGGCCGGGGTCGCGTCGGGCCCTCACCGCGCTCACGCAGTTCCCGCAGGGCGCTCTCCTGCTCCATCAGCTTCGCCTGCGCCTCCCCAAGCTCCGCGCGCGTGGTCTGCAGCTGCGCCTGCGTCCCCGAGCCTGGGAGCCGCAGGGTGAGAGGGGCGAGGGCGGCGAGGATGGGGCGGGACTTCGGAGACCAGCCCCCGCCCCGCACCACCCGCCGCAGGCCTCCGCCCCGGCCCCCCTCCCATCGCGGCCGCAAGACCCCATCCCTGCGCCCACAGCCTCGACCGCGCCCCCTCACAGCAGCTGTGGCAGTCTCCGACCTCCTCCTTCAGGGCACCCAGCGCCGCCGTCTGCTTCGAGGCTGGAACGACCCCCGCCCCAAAATGCATGCCCCTCGGGTCACTTGGGAGGACTCAGGGGACCCCCTTCCAGCCTCAGGGACCATAGGGCCCCCACGCACTCGAGACTCCATCTCCGGGGTCTCAGAAACTCCCGCCCCTCACGCCCCGGGGGCCCAGGCGCCCGGCTCTGCACACACCGTTTGTCCTCAGCAGGTCGTGGCCGTCAAGCAGCGCCGCGCGCTCCGTGGAGGCTGAGGAGAGAGGCTCCTGCAGGCGAGGCCGGGAACTCGGGAATCCTCCCCTCGCCCGGGGGGTGCAGCGTCCCCCAACTCGGGAGCACGGAGCGGGCGGGCAGGCATACAGCTCACACGATGTGCACACACGCCGATGGGAGACAAACGCGCGGGGACTCGCGCACATACGAGCACGCCATGTGCACACGCGTGAGTGCACACGGCCCAAAGATGTACACACACTCTGCTCACACTCAGACGCGAACAGGACCCCAGGATGCAGCTGGTGCGCCATGCAGTGGGGGTTTTCTGTCCCCAGGGGGGCCGGATGCAACACCTCCCCATTGAGAGTCACTCACCCTTGGACAATAGGATACTCAGAATCACAGCCCAAAGGACTGTGGTGACCAGGACAGCCAGGGCCAAGAAGAGGGGTCTCCTGCTCCAGTGCACCCAGCGTCCCCAGGGCCCTGGCATAACAAGGACGGCATGCTGGGTCCCCCAGAACTGAGCCCTGGAGGCCTGAGTTACTCCCAGGAAACTGAGATTCAGAGAAGTTAAGTAACTTGCCTATGGTCACACAGCTTCTAAGCGGCAGAGTTGGAATTGGACCCTGGTCCAACTGGCTCTATGGCCTGTGGTGTCTCTCCTGCACCCACAACCCTGGCCTGTCTCGACTCTTCCCTCCCCTCCCCCATCAAACCCCAGACACTGGGGCAGGGATGGGGCAGTCTCCTTGCTCATACCTCCGGGGACCTCCTCGGAGCTGCCGCCCCACTTGCTGTACCTGGTGGTGTCCATGGCGATGCAGGCACCCAGTCCTGGGCAGAGATATAAATTTCACGCCTGTTCTCACTGGACCTACGCACTCCCTTCCTTCCTTCCCATTTTCTTGGCCTTAATTCCTGGCAACGGGAACCCATGGACCAATCACAGGATTGGGCCCTTTCAAGGCTGGGCTGGGCTGGGCTGGAGTGAGGCCGGGCGGTTCCAGCCTCCTGGTTCTGGCCACTGCAGCTCCATCCCCAGGCTGGTGCTGGAGGCTTCTCTTTGGAGCTTAGTCACCATCTCTTATGGGCCTGGGGCTGGAGGCTTCTCTTTGGAGCTTAGTCACCATCTCTTATGGGCCTGGGGCTGGGTTTTATCCCGCGAGGGACACACTGAACCCGACCAAATTGTAACCCCTGCTGGCTCCTGAGAAAGCCCCCTCAGGCATAGCCCCCCAGGCCAGTTCAGGTCCCTTCTCAACTCCCCTGCAGGTGCCTGCAGAGGCTGGGTTTGAACCTGACCTTGATCCAGTCCCTCTGTACCAGAAGGGAACAAACAGTTTTGTTAGGGAGGTAGCCGGCGGAGCTGCAGGACTCTACCACTGTATGGGTTCTAGGTAGCTTCTAGAAGCCTTAGTTTTCCCCACTGTAAAGGAGATAGCGATGGGCCTCTCTCACAAAGATGCTATGATAAAGAAACAAGACAGTCTTGCTGGCTCACACCTGTAATCCCAGCACTTTGGGAGGCCGACATGGAAGGATCACTGAGCCCAGGAGTTCCAGACCAGACCAGCCTGGGCAATATAACAAGACCCTCATTTCTGAAAAAAAAAAAAAAATATATATATATATATATATATGAAAACAAAAATTGAAAAAATAAAAAAATAAAGACAATGAGGTTATACATGTCTACCTAGCACCATTTCAGGCATATCAAAAACACTCAGTGTTCATGCATTCTTTCAACAAACATTGAGCACCTGCCATATGCCAGGCATTGATCTTGGAACTGGGGCCACATCAGAGAGTAAAATAAGCAAATTCCTCTCTTCTTGGAGCTAATATTCTAGAAGTGTGGGGAGACAGACTCCATACTCAACGTAATAAACATAATTGAAAACATAAGTTGTATAGCATAGTAGTTCCCAGCTGGGGGCAATTACGCCCACCAGGGGACATTTGGCTATGTCTGGAGACACTTTTGGTTGTCACAGAATGTGTGTGTGTGTGTGTGTGTGTGTGTGTGTGTGCTCCAGGCATCTAGTGGGTAGAGGCCAGGGATGCTGCGCAAAGCCCTACAATGCCTAAGACATCCCCCATAGCAAAGAATGATCTGACTCCTAATGTCCATAGTGCAAAAGGTGGGAACCGTAGTATACTCTATTCAAAAGTCATAAATGCTATGAAAAAACATTAAGGGAAGAAAAAATCCAGTAGGATAAGTACTTGGCAGGACTGGGATGGGCACTAGGCAGTGGGCAGTGGCTAGGGTGGCCAGGGCCAGCCTCACTGACAAGGTGAAATGTTGAGCACTTAATAGAATGTTCCAGCCCCTCTTGTAGATATGTAAACACACTTCATCTTCTTGAGCCTCTCAAAAACCCTTATCCATTTTTTCATTTAAAAATTTTATTTGAGCCGAGGCGCGGTGGCTCAGCTCTGCAATTTCAACACCTTGGGGAGCCAAGGCAGGGGGATCGCGAGACCAGCCTGGGCAATGTAGCAAGACCCCATCTTTACAAAATTAAAAAAAAATTTTAAATTACCTGGGCATGGTGATGTGTATCGGTAGTCCCAGCTACTCAGGAGGCTGAGGCTGGAGGATTGCTTCAGCCCAGGAGTTTGAGGCTGCAGTGAGCTGTAATTGTGCCCGCTGCACTCCAGCCTGTGACAGAGTGAGACCCTGTCTCAACAATAAATAAATAAATAAATTGTACTTATTGTCTATTTCCCCCTTTCTTCTTCCAGGAATGAGAGACATTCACAATAAAATGAAATAAAAAAAACAAGAGGATTTTGTAAAAGAAAGATGGAAGGGAAAGGAAGGTGAAGAAAAAACCACACATCTAAAAAGACAAGCCTTGTACACAAAACTCAGACCAGGGTGTCAGGCTTCATACCAGCATCTCCTGGTTTTGTTGAGGCAGGGAATAGGGTCAGACACCCAGCAATGGGCAACTGACTCTTCCGGAGTAATATTTTGGGGTGGGGTGGGAGAGGGGGATGTGTAGAATTAAGTCCTCATGAAAGTTTCCATAAATGCAGTAGCAATTGGCTGTCACTGAGCAGAGAGTAGATGGCTTCCTGGTTCAGGGAGTGGAAATGAAACCCCACAAGAATTGCACAATCTCTGTCCAAAGCAACCATCGTAATGTGTTCTGGGGAAAGGATTTACATGGAAGTGTTTCATCAGCCCTTATGGAGGAGATAGAATTAGTTCATTTGGGAAATCGGAGGTTTTCTGGAAGAGATAGCATGAGACGTGTGGCTTTGACGACATGTGTATTGTGGACAGAGAAAGGAAGGACACACCAGGCACAGGGCACAGCCAAGACAAAGGCAAGGGGGCAGGAAAGTGGGGCTCAGCTGGATACACCTGTGGCTGAAGCTGCCTTGGCGAGCCAGGGCGGAGCTGTCCAGTTTAGCGAGGAAGCCAGAAGGCTGCCCATCCATGTCCCGTGCCCAGACCTCGCTGTGGGATAACTGAGAGGGGAAGAGAGGTCCTAGAAGGAGGCAGCAGACCTCCACTCTCTACCCCTGGCCTAGGACAGGGAAGGGAGGCCTGTTTCTCGGGGAGGGGGGCAGGGAACATGTAACCAGGCAATTTGAAGGCAATATGATGAGTCTGGGAAGTATAGGAGACTGTGAGGACCACTGGAGACACTGGCTGAGCCGGGAGGGCTTCCTGGAGGAGGTGATGCCTGGGGAAGGAGTCAGAATTATTCCAGAGGAGATGGATACATTAAAGAATGGCCCCAACATGGTTATCAGCACATGCAAAGATTGGGAGAGTAAGGGAACAGGACTTGTTGGAGAAGCTGAGAGTAATTCAGGGGCAGTCATCTGGGGCTAGGGTGTCAGCTGGGGTCACATCATACAAGGACCTGAAGAGCAGGGACAAGAGGTTTGGGCGAATGTGGGAAGAAGGTGAAAATCACAGGATTCAGCCCCAAGGCCATGACCACTCTGGTTTCCATTCTCTGCAGAGATGAGAGGGTTGCTGTAACCAGGGAAGCCAGCCCACTGCAAAGGGCATATGGTGTACTGGTTGTCGCTCTGAATTTTGGCTTTGCTTTTATTTTTTATTATAAAGTATGCAAAGAGGTATGCAGGAAAAAAAATGAAAACGCTTATGCCTTCCACTCAGCTTTATCAAGTTTTGATATCTTCACATATTTCAGATATTCTTAAAAATCATCACGTAACAAATAACAAAATGTAGCAAATAACATCGTATAACAAACATGATAACATAACAAATAACATCACATAACAAATAACATAACATCGTCACATAACAAATCATAGCAAATAGAGTGGAGGTCTCTTGTACCCCACCCTCCTCTTATTCCCCTCCCCAAGGCCACTGCTCTCCCAAACTTGGTGTTTATCCTATCTTAAAATGCTTTAATTACAAATCTTTCAATGGTGAATATATTGGGCTGTTTTGCACATCTGGGAGCTTTATTAAAATGTCATCACATGGTCTATATCCTTCCGGAACTTGTTTTTGTCCTCTCCACATTACAATTATGAGATATGTCTATTCAACATTCATTCTGCATTTAAAATGAAGATAAGCACAAAAAATAAATGCTTAGTAAACACAGAACAGGATAAAGCTTCCTTAATTTGAGAAGTGGCAATTTCCAGGATCTTACAGAAATGTCTTCCTTAATAGTGAAACATGAGAACCATTTTTGGTAAGATCCAGAAGAAATTCAAAATGTCCACGGTGTAGGGGATTGAACAGTGTCCCCCAAAAGCAATGCTGGGGCTAACTGTGGTGGCTTACACCTGTAATCCCAGCACTAGGCTGAAGAAGTGCTTGAGGCCAGGAGTTGGAGACCAACCTGGACAACACAAGAAGACCCCACCTCTACAGAAAAATTTAGCTGTGTGTGGTGGCACATGTTTGTAGTCCCAGCTACTCAGGAGGCTGAGGCAGGGCAATCTCATGTCACTACACTCCAGCCTGGGCAACAGAGCAAGATCCCCTTTTTTTTTTTTTTGAGACAGGGTCTCACTCGGTTTGCCCAGTGGCAGAATCACAGCTCACTGCAGCCTTGACCTCCAGAGCACAAGTGATCCTCTTGCCTGAGCCTTCCAGGTAGCTGCAACTGCAGGGGAGCACCACCATGCCCAACTCTTTCTTTCCTTCCTTCCTTCCTTCCTTCCTTCCTTCCTTCCTTTTTCTTTCTTTCTTTCCTCCTTCCTTTTTCTTTCTTTCTTTCTTTCTTTTCTTTCTTTTTCTTCCTTCCTTCCTTTCTTTTTCTTTATTTCTCTCTTTCTTTCTTTCCCTTCTTTCTCTCTTCTTTCTCTCTTCTTTCCTTCTTTCTTTCTTTCTCTCTCTCTCTTCTTTCTTTTTATTCTTCCTTCCTTCCTTCCTTTCTTCTCTCTCTCTCTCTTTCTTTTTTTTTTTTGACAGAGTTTTGTTCTTGTTGCCCAGGCTGGAGTGCAATGGTGCAATCTTGGCTCACTGCAACCTCCGCCTCCTGAGTTCAAGCAATTCTCCTGCCTCGGCCTCCCAAGTAGCTGGGGTTACAGGCGCATGCCACCACTCCTGGCTGATTTTTTGAATTTAGTACAGATGGGGTTTCACCATGTTGGCCAGGCTGGTCTTGAACTCCTCATCTCAGGTGATCCCCCCGCCTCGACCTCCCAAAGTGCTGGGATTACAGATGTGAGCCACAGCACCCAGCCAGTTTTTCTATTTTTTTTTTTTTTTTTTTTTTTTTGTAAAGATTTGATCTCACTTTGCTGCCTAGGCTGGTCTCGAACTCCTGGCCTCAAATAGATCCTCCTACCTCTGCCTCCCAATGTGCTGGAATTATAGGTGTGAGCTGCCTCACCCAGCCCCTATCTCTTAAAAGCAAAACAAAGCAAAATGAGAGAAGAGAGACACAGAGGGAAGATGACGTGAAGAGGTAGGAAGGGAGAAAATCATGATAACAGAAGCAGAGATTCCAGCAATGGGTGTACAAGCCAAGGAACGCCAAAGGTTGTCGGCAACCACCAGAATCTAGAGAAACGCAGGGAAGGTTTCTCCCCTACGCAATTCAGAGTGAACACAGCCCTGCTGACACCTTGAGTTCAGACTTCCGGCCTTCAGGACTGTGAGAGAATAAATTTCTGTTGTTCAAAGTCCCCGCTTTGTGCTACTTTGTCGTGGCAGCCCTAGCTCACTGATTCTGGCTGGATAAGGGGTAATTTCTGTGAGCCTGCCGAAACGCCTTACTCAATAGTGAAATGTGAGAAGCATATTTAGTAAAATCAAGAACACGATAAAGATGCCCCTCTTGCTATTTTGTCGATGCAATAAGGAAATATAAAGAATTAAGACCTGTAAATATTGGAAAGGATGAGTCAAAGCTGACAATATTTGGAAGATGCGATCTTGTATCTAGGAAGCTCTAGGGACTTCTGGACTAATTAAAGAACTTGGTTGGGCGCAGTGGCTCACGCCTGTAATCCCAGCACTTTGGGAGGCTGAGGTGGGTGGATCAAGAGGTCAGGAGATCAAGACCATCCTGACTAACATGGTGAAACCCTGTCTCTGCTAAAAATACAAAAAAAAAAAAAAAGTAGCCGGGCGTGGTGGTGGGTGCCTGTAGTCCCAGCTACTCGGGAGGCTGAGGCAGGAGAATGGCGTGAACCTGGGAGGCGGAGCTTGCAGTGAGCGGAGATCGCCCCACTGCACTCCAGCCTGGGCGACAGAGTCAGACTTCATCTCAAAAAAAAAAAGGGAGGACATTCTGACACATGCTACAACATGATGAACCTTGAGGAAAATATGCTAAGTGAAATAAGCCAGTCATAATAAGACAAAGGCTGTATGATTCCATTCATGCGGGGTCCCTAGAGTCATCAGATTCATAGAAACAGAAAGTAGAATGGTGGGTGCCAGGGGCTGGGGAACGGGGAATGGGGAGTCAGTGTTTCCTGGGGACAGAGTTTCACTTGGGAAGATGAAAAAGTTTGCGAGATGAATGGTGGTGATGGTTACACAACAATGTGAATCTACTTTGTAAAAGAAAAGAAAATTTCATAGGCTGGGCACGGTGACTCACACCTGTAATCCTAGCACTTTGGGAGGCGAAGGCGGGTGGATCACCTGAAGTCAGGAGTTCGAGACCAGCCTAGCGAATGTGGTGAAACCTTGTCTCTACGAAAAATACAAAAAAATTGCCGAGCATGGTGGCGGGTGCCTGTGATCCCAGCTACTCAGGAGGCTGAGGCAGGAGAACTGCTTGAACCCAGGAGGCAGAGGCTGCAGGGAGCTGAGATTGCACCACTGCGCTCCAGCCTGGGTGACAGAGTGAGACTCTGTCTCAAAAAATAAAAATAAAAATAAAAATCCTTTGGGCTCCACCTACTCCACAGATAGATTTTCAAAATTCTGTTGAAGGATTTCCAAACAGATTTTAAAACAAACTTGACAAGCTCATTATTTGGAATATAATAAAGAGGTTATACTCTTTAGTTGGGAATAAATAGCAAAGCTACAAGTGGGGACAGTAACCTCTTGAGATGGGAAAACGGGGACGGAATGAGCTTTAGTTTTCACTGTAGAGATTGATACGTTTTGGTTCTGTGTGCACACGTGACTTATTCCACAAGTAAATGAAAACCTTTAAAGCCAGAGTAGACTCAAAAATCATCCAAAAATTGCACAAGAATACCTGAGAACATTTTGATAGAGAAGAGCCATGACCAGGCAGGCCACAGCGGCCCAGGCCTGTAAACTCAGCACTTTGGGAGGCTGAGGCAGGAGGATGAGTTGAGCCCGGGAGTTCAAGAACAGCATGGGCAACACAGTGAGACCCCATCTCTACAAAAAATTTTTTAAAAGTAGCTAGATATGGTGATGCACACGTGTGGTCCCAGCTACTCAGGAGGCTGAGGTGGGAGGATCACTGGAGCCCATGAGGTCAAGGCTGCAGTGAGCCATGATTGCACCACTGCACTTCAGCCTGGGTGACAGAGCAAGACCTTGTCTCCCACATAAAAGGAGCCATGCCTGGTAGTTATCAAAATATAAGCTTGGCTTGGGTTTCCCCTACTAAAGAGCTTGAGACAAGGATTTGGATATAAGTAGCTTATCTGGGAGGAGATTCCAAGAAGCATCAGCAGGGGATGGGAAGAATGAAGAGGAGCAGGTAGGGAAAGGAAGGAACCCAATACAAAGGCACCAATGAGCTGAAAAGGGCAATTGGGTCCAATCCCCCTGGGAGCCTCTGGGAGACGACATAGAACAAGCCTCACAGTTCCTCTGCCTGTTGAAGGTCAACTCTTAAGTAAGACGGAATTTAGCTTGCAAGCTGTTTATGAAGGTGCATCTTTGGGGTCAACATCAGTAGAAAGGAAGTGATGTTTGTGGTGTCTTATTTACACCAAAGAAATTCTCTAATTCTAACACTAGCTTCCTGGAGTTAGCACCACATTCCACAAATTAAAGGGCTAGGTCCCAAAAGACTGACCCTGCTTCAGATGCCAGGTGCAAAGACAGTCTTTGCACTGTCTACCCACACTTCTGCCAGGCTGGCAAAAAATTGTGGCTTCCCATAAGTCCATCTCAAGTTCAGTAATTTCCTAGAATGATTTAGAGAACTCGGGAAAACATTTTGCTTATGTTGTTGCCGAACTAAATTGGGTCAGTTCCCTGGCTCACAGTGGAAAACCAAACACTGAAGCACTGGGGTTTTGTAGAGAGAAAAATTTATTGCAAGGCAGCCAAGCAAGGACACAGGAGTCTGGCCCAAATCTGTCTCTCCAAGTTGGAGGCTGGGGCAGATTTTATATACAGAGGGTAGTGAGGCATGATATGATTGGATCTTGTAATGAGGGGATTCAGGAGGCTTGATCTGACTGGATCACGCCAGGGCTCAATCTGATTGGATCAAGGATCATGCCACGTGGTGTCCACTTCTTAACTCAGTCCCTGTTCCTCGGTCTGAGCACTTAGGTTCCACGTGGATTTGCACGCTTCGTTCATCTGGACATGCCCAGGGTATGTAACTTGCAACCTGGGGGTCCACGACAACTGAAAAACAACTCGCCATTTTATTACACAAAGTTGAACCAGATTGGGCTGAATCTGCGGTTACAATGTTTACCAGTTTATTATAAAGGATACAACTAGAGGGGCGGGGCGGTGCCGGCAAGATGGCTGCGCCCGAAAAGGTGACATTTCCAGAGAAACCAAGCCACAAAAAGTACAGGGCCGCCCTGAAGAAGGAGAAACGAAAGAAACGCCAGCAGGAACTTGCTCCACTGAGGGACTCAGGACTCTCACAGAAAGAGGAGGACACTTTTATTGAAAAACAACAACTAGAAAAGCTATGGGGAAGAGAGAGGCAAAGATTACATGAGGAGTGGTTGCTGAGAGAGCAGAAGGCACAAGAAGAATTCAGAATAAAGAAGGAAAAGGAAGAGGTGGCTAGAAAACGGCAAGAACAAGAGCGAAAGTTAAAGGAACAATGGGAAGAACAGCAGAGGAAAGAGAGAGAGGAGGAGGAACAGAAACGACAGAAGAAACAAAAACCGGAAGCTGTCCAGAAGATGCTGGATCAGGCTGAAAATGAGTTGGAAAATGGCGCCACATGGCAAAACCCGGAACCCCCCCTTGGATTTCAGAGTCATGGAGAAGGATGGAGTTAATTGTCCCTTCTACAGTAAAACAGGAGCTTGCAGATTTGGAGATAGATGTTCACATGATTTCCCAACATCCAGTCCTACCCTTCTTATTAAAAGCATGTTTACAGTGTTTGGAAAGGAGCAGTGCAGGAGGGATGACTATGACTCCGAAGCAAGCCTGGAGTACAGCGAGGAAGAAACCTACCAACAGTTCCTAGATTTCTGTGAGGATGTGCTGCCCGAGTTCAAGAACGTGGGGAGAGACTGGGCGCGGTGGCTCAGGCCTGTAATCCCAGCACTTTGGGAGGACGCGGCGGGCGAATCACGAGGTCAAGAGATCGAGACCATCCTGGTCAACATGTTGAAACCCCGTCTCTACCAAAAATACAAGAATTAGCTGGGCGCAGTGGTGCACGCCCAGCTAATTTTTGTACTTTTAGTGGAGTCCCAGCTACTCGGGAGGCTGAGGCAGGAGAATCGCTTGAACCCGGGAGGCGGAAGTTGCAGTGAGCCTAGATCGCGCCACTGCACTCCAGCCTGGCGACAGAGCAAGACCCCATCTTTAAAAAAAAATAGTAATTAAAAAATAACGTGGGGAGAGTGATTCAGTTCAAGGTCAGTTGCAACTTGGAACCTCACCTGAGGGGCAAGTATATATGTTCAGTACCAGTCGGAAGAAGAATGCCAAGCAGCTCTTTCTCTGTTTAACGGACGATGGTATGTACGCAGGACGACAGCTTCAGTGTGAATTCTGCCCAGTGGCTCGGTGGAAAATGATGATTTGTGGTTTATTTGAAATACAACAATGTCCAAGAGGAAAACACTGCAACTTTCTTCAGGTGTTGAGAAATCCAATAGAGACCTCTGCTTGTCTCCTCCTTTGGCAAGAGCTCCAAGGGGAGAGAGAGGGTGGGCCACCACGATGAATACTACAGGCTGCGGGGAAGGAGAACCCTAGTCCAGACCATTCCTACAAAAGAAATGGGGAATCCGAAAGGAAAAGGAAGAAATCTCACTAGCACATGTCAAAGAGCCAGGAGAGGCACAATTCACCTAGCAGAGGAAGAAATAGTGACCGCAGCGGGGGCCGGTGCAGCCGCAGTGAGAACGGCCGGAGCCGTCACAGCCGGAGCCAAAGCTCCTCTAGATCCCAAAGTCGTGGTAGGAGGAGATCAGGTAGTAGAGACAGAACTGTTCAGAGTCCCAAATCCCAATAAACCTGTTTTATTCTTACAAAAAATAATAGGCCAGGCGCGGTGGCTCACACCTGTAATCCCAGCAATTTTGGGAGGCCGAGGCGGGCAGATCATCTGAGGTCGGGAGTTCAAGACCAGCCTGACCAACACGGAGAAACCCCATCTGTACTAAAAATACAAAAAATTAGCCGGGTCTGGTGGCGCCTGCCTGTAATTCCAGCTACTCGTGAGGCTGAGGCAGGAGAATCACTTGAACCCGGGAGGCAGAGGTTGCAGTGAGCCAAGATCGCGCCATGGCACTCCAGCCTGAGCGACAAGAGTGAAACTCCATCTCGAAAAATAGTAATAATAATAATAAAATAAAGAATACAACTTAGAAACAGCCAAATGGAAGCCATGTATAAGACAAAGGAAGATGTGGGGGTGGAAGGGGTTGCGTGGAGCCTCCATGCCCTCTCTGGGTGCCATTGGTTGACTGGGGGAATTAATTCCCTGGTGCTTCCAGCCTGCAAAATGAGCTCTTGCAACCAGTAAGTCCCCGATCAAAGGGGTGCAGGAGGTGGTAGGTGGAAGTTGAACAGATGGTAGGTTTGCATGTATAAGATAACGCCCCAGGGGACATAGCAGCTACACATGGCAACCCAAATATCCTAATCTCCAAAAGGAAGAGAGAGTGGATTCTTGGAACACAAGTCCACCCCCAAAGGCATCCCACACCAGCTCACTCATAAAGCTCCAAGGATGGGCCAGAAAAACAAGCTCTACACCAGGGGAAATTGGAGGCATGACAAGAAGGACAGAATGGGACCCAGCCTTCTAAAGGAGGAAGAATCTGACAAAGAACAGTCCCAGAGATTTTGTGAAGGTCGAAGGATGGAGAGAAGGAACTGTAGCTTAAAAGGGGGTGAAGTTCTGCTACGCAGGAGGGGGGTTTGGGGTGGCAGGGGCTGGAGAAAGAAACTGTTCTTCATCCCTGGAGCAGGAGGCTGCGGACTTTTTGCAGATCCAGAATTTGGCAAGATTACATTTGTCGTCGTTCCAGCCATTGCCACTAAATTCCGCGCAGTCTTCCTCCCCAACGTTGTTGGGCTCTCCTCTGTTCCAATACTGCTTGAAGCTGCAAAGCCCATGCGGAATGTGAGCCTCTGTCCCCGCCAGCTACATGAGCTGTGTTTCTACCTTCTGTCATCTTGATGCCTTAACATCTGCCCTGCGTGTGTATGCTGGACTTGAATCCCTCTGCATACCTGATAATATGCCTGACTCACGATGCCTTGAGTTCCTGCCTCTCTTCTCACAACCTGTCCTTGGGTGGACTCCACCTATTGAGTGTGTGATTTTCAAATACAAGCCAACCAGTCTGGAGTCCACACCTCCAGCGACCTGCCTTACTGGGCTCTTGTACTCCAAGCCACTATCCTGTACTAATCACCCCAAGGCCAGGTGTCAGACAGCGAGGGGCAGCCCCTGTGCCCCAGAGCCCAAAAAATGCTTCACACTTCCCAATCCTAAGCCTGTTCACCTGGCCTTGACCTTTCCTTTCCACAGAAACCATAATAAAGGCTCTGGCCCACAGTCCCCCCTCCCCACCACTCTGACTCATAACAGACCCTGGTGCTTCCCCAGGTGGCCCCCAGCTGTGATGTGTCCTCTCTCTAGGGATCTGTGTATATGAGAAGCTATTCACAATGGCAGGTGTCTCCTGAGCTGGTGGCCTTACTGGACCTCAGACTTCCTATTAATACATTATATTTTAATACACCTCCCCGGTGGCAGGCTCCTCCTGCAGCTCTGCTGGTGGAATTCTAGGCACCTGCCATGCTGTCTGGAAGTGGGTATGAAGACCACCTTCCTCAACTCAGTAAAACCTCCAGATTCTTGGGTCTAGGGTGTCAGGGAGTTGGGGAGGATCCCCAGGGAAAGTTCAAATCAGAGTTTCACAATTCCAGCCCCAGTGGATAGGGTGCCCCTTCTGAGATCTACCTGGGCAACAGAGGTGAGCCGTCCACCCATTGCCACGTGCCTTCCTGATTTAGATCTGAAAGTCCCATCCAGGTGAAGCGGTTACTTCTGGAAGACTGCAGCTGTAGGAAGTTCTGGAGGGTACAGGAGGAGTCAGGAGGGAGCTCTGCTTCCCATTTTCCAGGCTCTGTCTCCCCATCTCTTGGTAGGAAGTTCTGCTTGTAGGCTAACCTACAGCCTTCTGGTATACTAGGTCCTGAGCCCCCTCGTGTCTGAGTCCCTCTCACATGTGTATCCCACGGCACATGTGTCCTGACATGCACACATCCATGCACAGCTGGCCTCTCCTCACACCCTCTTGCTAATACTGCATGTTTATCCATTTCACATGTTCTGTGCATGTCCATGCACATTTACTCATAACTGGGCTTAATGTGTTGGAGCCAGAGGCAACCATTTCCTAACTGCTGGTCATGCACATCTCCTTTCAGCTCTGCACTGAGTGACATCACAACGACAGCTTGAAATCAGCCACCATGGGAATATTTACACCAGGGAAACTGGCAAACACGACCCATCAGGACTTCTTCCTCCAGAGAGCTGGTTGTTAACCTCTTGCAGCATGCTGCAGGGGTTTGCTTACATTTGATGTTTTTTTCCGGAGCATTCACACATGTTCAGATTTGGTTTGTATCTGCTCTAAGGGTACTTGAGACTCCCTCATTCATATCCTTCTCCTCCCTTCTTTCCAAGTGGAGCAAAACCCCTCTTCTGCAAAGTCATCTCTGAGCACCTCCTCCCCAGTTGGCCAGAAGCCATGCCCTAGGCCAGGACGGGGACCCCCACCAGGTGTACCTGCTCCTCAGCACTTTTGATTACGACGAGCTGGGCCCCCACTTCTTTGCAGGCGGTGATGGAGTCGTGCCAGTTCCGCTGGGAGTTAGACATGAAGTAACAGTTTCCTTGGAAGAATGTCCATTCCCAGGGACAGGGGTGGCACAGGCGTTCTGTTGGGGGAGGCTGGTCAGGGCTGGGCTTAGATTAGGTTGTCCATATTCCTGTACCTGCCCAGCCTTCAAGGTCTTGAGAGTCAGAGTCCTTCCTTGACTGTCCACGCCGGGTAGACCATTCCCCTCCCCACTTCCCGAGACCCTCCCCCATCCCCATGAGAACCCAGGAGTCCTGGCCCCATCTCCTCCAGACTAGGAGAAGTTGGGGCTTTAGAACTCAGAACAGAAGGCAGGAGACTGGCTTAACTGAGTGCCTGTTGTGTACCTGGCCCACTGTGAACACTGAGGGCAATGATCACAGTTACCCTGTGTTCTCATTTCACAGATGAGGAAACTTGCTCAGGCAGGGTCAGTGACTCAAGCAAACTCACACCACACAACGACCATCTCAGGCCCAAGAAGCCCTGGTTCCAGATACTCACCCACTGCAGCCTTCAGCTGGGTCAGCTCCTGGTAGATCTCCTGCTGCTTAGATTTCTCTGGAAGCTCACCCACTGCAGCCTTCAGCCGGGTCAGCTCCTGGTAGATCTCCTGCTGCTTAGATTTCTCTGGAAGCTCACCCACTGCAGCCTTCAGCCGGGTCAGCTCCTGGTAGATCTCCTGCTGCTTAGATTTCTCTGGAAGCTCACCCACTGCAGCCTTCAGCCGAGTCAGCTCCTGGTAGATCTCCTGCATCTTAGATTTCTCTGGAAGCTCACCCACTGCAGCCTTCAGCCAGGTCAGCTCCTGGTAGATCTCCTGCAGCTTAGATTTCTCTGGAAGCTCACCCACTGCAGCCTTCAGCCGGGTCAGCTCCTGGTAGATCTCCTGCAGCTTAGATTTCTCTGGAAGCTCACCCACTGCAGCCTTCAGCTGGGTCAGCTCCTGGTAGATCTCCTGCAGCTTGGATTTCTCTGAGAGCTCACCCACTGCAGCTTTAAGCTGGGTCAGGTTCTGGTAGATCGCGTCTTGCCTGGATTGTTCCTGACTTATGGAGCTGGGGACCTTGGACACTGGGCCAAGAAAAAAAAGGAACTGCAATTATTAAACACCTACTGTGTGCCAAGCCTTGAACTGAGCCCCATAGGGACATCATTTGTGAGAGCCAAGGTCTTGGTTAATCCCCTTTGAAGATGAAGAAAACTGACACCTGGAGAAGGCAGCACAGAAGGCCAAGGAGAGCCAGATTCTTCCTGTCCTCCTCCTCCTCCCTCTCCTGTCCTGCCCTAGAGTGGGGAGGGGCTGTGGGAGAGGCCCCTACAGACCCCCAGGGACAACATCTTGGCTCTCAGTCCCACCTCCCTCCCAGATCTGGCAGCCCCAGGCTGTGTCCACAGCCAAAAGCCAGGCGTGGGGACCCCAGACCCTCAGAACCTGCCCCTGACCTTGGACAAGGAGCCCAGCCAAGAGCGTGAAGGAGAGGAGTTGCAGCACCAGGGGACCATGGCCAAGACACCCTGAGAGAGGATACATGCGTCAGCCTGCCAGTGTCCCCACCGGAGCCTGGCCCAGGGAGAGCCTGGTCTAAATCCCTCAGCACCCCAGGACCCAGGAACCCCAGCCCCAGCCCCCTCCACTCCAACACCTGGGAATCCAGGCCCTAGCTCTAACCTCCCCAGGACCCAGGGACCCCGTCCCCAGCCTCCCCTTCCCCAGGTCCCAGGAACCAGGTACCTGCTTCCACCTCCCCAGGACCCAGGAATCCAGGCCCCAGCCTCTACATTCCCAGGTCCCTGGAACCCAGGCCCCCAGCTCCCACCTCCCCAGGACCCAGGGACCCAGGACCCAGCCTCCCCTTCCCCAGGTCCCAGTAACCCAGGTACCTGCTCCCACCTCCCCAAGACCCAAGAATCTGGGTCCCAGCCCCTACATCCCCAGGTCCCAGGAACCCAGGCCCAAGTCCCCACCTCCCCATGACCCAGGAGTCCAGGCCCAGGCCCCCACCTCTCCAGGACCCAGGAGTCTAGGCCCCTGACCCCACCTCCCCAGGACCCAGGAACCCAGGCTTCAACTTCTACCTCCCCAGAACCCAGGAGTCTTGGCCCCAGCCTCCACCTTCCCAGGAACCAGGAATTCAGGCCCCAAACTCAACCTCCTCAGGTCCCAGGAGTCCAGGCCCCTAGCCCCACATCCCCAGGACCCAAGAGTCCAGGCCCCAGCGTCCAGCTCCTCAGGACCCAGGAGTCCAGGAGTCTCTCGTCTCTCCTCCCAAACTGCTAAGTCCTCTCTACCTGCTAAGCTCTTGTATCCTCGAGTCTGTCGGAATCCAAGGCCTCTCAGCTGTTCCTCCTCTGAATGGATAGACGTGAAATCAGAGCCTGGGCAGGCTGAGGCCATGGCTGGCCATCCCTTCCCCCTTCCCAGAATCCCAGCGTCCCAACCCAGCCTCACCCAGGAGGCCCAGCTGCTGCAGTCTTGGTTCCTTGGAGTCACTCATGTCACCCCACTCTCCCCCAGTGTCCAGAACTCCTGGGGGCCACAGCTTTTATTTCCCACCCTGTGATCTTTACTTCCTAAATCTAGTCTCCCACAGAAAGAGAAACAGGAAGTTGGGTAGGGATCTGTCATCCAAAAGACTAGTGGAAAGCATCAGAGCATGAGATGGGCCGGATCTTTCAAGAATTTCAGGGAGGCAGTGGGGGATGGTCTGGGGTTGACAGGGAGAAGGACTCATCCACTCATGGATGGCTGAGCAGTGGGATGCTTTTAATGAAATCTGATAAATTGTAAGAGAAAGCTACTGTGTTACACCCCCTCCACTAGGGCAAGGGTAGGCAGGTAGCACCCCCAGTTCCTGGAAGCACTGTCCCCTGTGACCTCCTGGCTTTCCTGCTTTGAGCTGCTGCTGTCCTCATTTTTGGGAATTCCTGCTGACTTTGGGAGTTGGGGCAGAATCATAATTGCTTGTTTATTTAATGCCTAGGGTAGTCAGGTACTTTTCCAACAGCTTTATAAACTCATTCATTTAATGTTCCTACCCTTCAGTAGATCATATGACCTCCATTATACAGATGAGGAAACTGAGGAGGCACTGCAAGTTTAGCTAACTGGCCCAAGGTCACACAGCTGGTAGATGGTGGGGCTGAGACTTGAACCCAGTCTGCCTCCACAGTGCATGCTGTTAACCAAAGAGTGAAATAGTATCAAAGAGGAAAGAAAAGATCCATAGCAGCTTTATTTAGAATGATCTGAAATTGGAACAACCCCGTGTCCACCAGCAGGTGAATGATAAAAAATATAATGGCATATTCAAAGATTGGAATACTATACAGCAATGAAAAAGCAAAGTACTAGTACATTTAATAACATAGATAAATCTCACAAAACAGTAAAAGGACCCAGACAGAGTGAGTACACACTGTAAGATTTGATTTTGTGTGAATTTTGAGAACAGGCAGAACTAACCTTTGAAGGAGACTCAGAATGGGAATTATCAGGAAGGAGCAGGTGGAGATTGACAACGGGGTTTCTGTATGCTGGAAATGTTCTATATTTTGATCATAGAGATGTGCATTTACCACATGTGTGTTAAATCTCAGTTTAAAGATGGAAAATACATACATGTATCATAATCAAATAGTGGTTTTCGACCTGATCTTTACTTTGTATTCTTTTTTAAAATGTTTTAATTTTAGAATAATTTTGGGTTTATAGCAAAGTTGCAAATGTAGGAAAGAGATTTCCCATATGTAAATCCCTCACCTAGGGATCCCTAATGTGAACCCAGTTTCTCCTAATGGTAACATTTCACATGGTAATGAGGTAGGAAACTGGAAGAACTTGTTTTCTGGCCACAACCCTGCAGACCCATACAGAATCTGGTCCAGATGAGATGATGTGAAGAAACCAGCAGGAACCAGCAGATGGCAACAAAAGCAATCCCTGGCTGCCTCATTGCTCGTGGGCATAAGATACTCCCTCCAGTGCCATGACTGTTTACCGATGCCATGGCAATGACCTAGAAGTTCCCACCTGTTTCCATGGAAACAACCTGGACATCTTCGCCCTTTTCCTTAAAACTTCTAAAGAACCTGCTCCTCAATTTGCATTGACCCACCCCTTAACTGACGTATAACTGAAAGTGAGTTGACATGAGTATAACTACAGCTGCCAAGAGCTTGTATGTTGTTGACTCTGGGTGCACTGCCTATGAGTTAGCCCTGCTTCACAAGGAGCAGTATCATTACATAAAAAATATCTGTCTAAGGCCAGGTATGGTGGCTCACGCCTGTAATCCTAACACTTTGGGAGGCTGAGGTGGGCGGATCACAGGGTCAGGAGTTCGAGACCCTCCTGGCTACATGGTGAAACCCCATCTCTTTTAAAAATACAAAAAAAATTAGCCAGGCATGGCACGTGTCTGTAGTCCCAACTACTCAGGGGGCTGAGGCGGAAGAATTGCTTGAACCTGGGAGGCAGAGGTTGCAGTGAGCTGAGACTGTGACAATGCACTCCAGCTTGGGCGAGAGAGTGAGACTCCATCTCAAAAACAAACAAACAAAACCGGTGGCTCACGCCTGTAATCCCAGCACTTTGGGAGGCTGAGGCGGGCAGATCACCTGAGGTCAGGAGTTCGAGACCAGCCTGAGCAACATGGTAAAACCCTGTCTCTACTAAAAATACAAAATTAGCCAGGCATGGTGGCTGATGCCTGTAATCCCAGCTACTCGGGAGGCTGAGGCAGGAGAATCACTTGAACCTGGAAGGCAGAGGTTGCAGTGAGCCGAGACTGCAATACTGCACTCCAGCCTGGGCGACAGAGTGAGACTCCATGTCAAAAACAAACAAACAAACAAACAAAAGGTGGCTCACGCTTGTAATCCCAGCACTTTGGGAGGCCAAGGCAGGCAGATCACCTGAGGTTGGGAGTTCAAGACCAGTCTGACCAACATGGAGAAACCCTGTCTCTACTAAAAATACAAAATTAGCCAGGCATGGTGGCTGATGCCCATAATCCCAGCTACTCAGGAGGCTGAGGCAGGAGAATCGCTTGAACCTGGGAGGCAGAGGTTGCGGTGAGCTAAGATCGTGCCATTGCCTTCCAGCCTGGGCAACAAGAGTGAAACTCTGTCTCAAAAAAAAAAAAAATCTCTGTCTGACATCACTGGCTCACCCTTGAATTCTTTCCAGAGCGAAGCCAAGAACCCTCCCCAGCTAAGCCCCAATTTTGGGGTTCACCTGTCCTGCAACATTTGGTGACCTTGAAGGAACAAAGACAGTGAGCAAGCGGCAGTGACTGGTGCAGCACTGCCGATCTGCCGATGGTGATCGCCAGTGAGACAGTGAGACAGTGGGGATCACTGAAGAATTAGTAAGACAGCAGAGACAGTGGCAATTGGTGATTGGCAGAGAGGTGAAACAGCAAGGGATGGCAAGACAGCAAGACGGCAACTGGTAAGGTGGCAAGAGGCGCCCGTCGGTGATAGGTCAGTGAGACAGAGAGGTGGTGATCAGAGAGTGGTGGAGTGGTGGCAAAGAAAGAAAGACAGAGAGGTGGTATATTAGTCTGTTTTCACGCTGCTTGATGAAGACGTACCTGAAACTGGGCAATTTGTAAGAAAAAGAGGTGCCTTTTGGCCGTAACTGCCATCTTCCAGTAATTTGCCAAAATGATGAACGCAAAGGGGAAGAGGAGAGGCACCCAATATATGTTCTCTAGGCCTTTTAGAAAGCATGGAGTTGTTCCTTTGGCCACGTATATGCGAATTTGTAAGAAAGGTGATATTGTAGACATCAAGGGAATGGGTACTGTTCAAAAAGGAATGGACCACAAGGGTTACCGTGGCAAAACTGGAAGAGTCTACAATGTTACCCAGCATGCTGTTGGCATTGTTGTAAACAAACAAGGGCAAGATTCATGCCGAGAGAATTAATGTGTGCATTGAGCGCATTAAGCATGCTAAGAGCTGAGATAGCTTCCTGAAATGTGTGAAGGAAAATAATCAGAAACAGAAAGAAGCCAAAGAGAAAGGTACCTGGGTTCAACTGAAGCACCAGCCTGCTCCACCCAGAGAAGCATGCTTTGTGAGAACCAATGGGAAGGAGGCTGAGCTGCTGGAAACTCTTCCCTATGAATTCATGGCATCAGAGGTGTTAAAAAAATAAAAGACCTCTGGATTGTGAAAAAAAAAAAAAAAAGAAAAGAAAAGAAAAGAAAGAAAGAAAGAAAAAGAGGTTTAATGGGCGGTTCCACATGGCTAGGGAGGCCTCACAATCAGGTGGAAGGCAAAAGGTAAGTCTTACATGGCAGCAGACCAGAGCGAATGAGACAGCCAAGCAAAAGGGGTTTCCCCTTATAAAACCATCGGGTCTCATGAGACTGACTCACTACCACGAAAACAGTGTGGAGGAAACTGCACCCATGATTCAATTATCTCCCACTGGGTTCCTCCCACAACACGAGGGAATTATGGGAGCTACGATTCAAGGTGAGATTTGGGTAGGGACACACCCAAACGATATCAGATGGTGATCAGCGGTCAGCAGGATGATGATTGGTGAGACGGAGAGGCAGCAGTTGACGAGAGACAGCAAGACAGCCATCAGCACTACGGTAATCAAAGCTGCAGAGCTGTAACACTAACCAAGGACTCTTTGAAGAACCATCATCTTCCCTAGCAGGCAATGGAGCTGAGCAGATGAACATTCGGCTGTAGTGCCATGTGATGTGGGACCAGCCACTCTGACCAGCAGGCCAATAGGCTACTGGTCCCCTGTGACAGCTGAGCTGGCCCAAGCTGGGAAACCTGGGCACCTGGCCTTGGTGGAGAAGACCTTCACCCAGGCCCTAAGTTGGAGACCAGTCAGTGCCATTTTGGCTCCTGGGGACAGGTGAGTGTCCCCTCTGCCCCCGCCTCCACAGTATTGTGTGAGCCAGGAAATAAGACTTTTGGCTAGATAGTCAATTCAAAGTCCCCTGTAGCACATCTGACCAACTACGTTCTTTTTTTTTTTTCTTTTTTTGAGGCGGAGTCTTGCTCTGTCGCCCAGGCTGGAGTGCAGTGGCGCGATCTCGGCTCACTGCAAGCTCCGCCTCCCGGGTTCACACCATTCTCCTGCCTCAGCCTCCCCAGTAACTAGGACTACAGGCGCCTGCCACCACGCCTGGCTAATTTTTTGTATTTTCAGTAGAGACGGGGTTTCACCGTGTTAGCCAGGATGGTCTCGATCTCCTGACCTGGTGATCCACCGGCCTCGGCCTCCCAAAGTGCTGGGATTACAGGCGTGAGCCACTGCGCCCAGCCCAACTACATTCTTATTACCCCTTTTCTTGGTCCTTCCTCCTCTAATGTCATTTTATTTTTCCATCAGCCGTTTATTTTATTTCATCTTGAAATGTATGTTTTGTTTACAGTTTTAGTTTTTTTGTTTTTGTTTATCATATGATATTACTTATCATGGATATTACTTATTACTTATCATCAGCCAAGCTTGATAACTTAGCTGAGGTACTGTTTGTCATGTTTCTCCCTATACAACATTATGATCAAATAAAGTTTTTTTGACAAACACATGGATGGCATCAGAAAATCTATTAATAATAGCATACCATCCGGGCACTGTGGCTCACATCTGTAATCCCAGCGCTTTAGGAGGCTGAGGTGAATGGATCACCTAAGGTCAGGAGTTCAAGACCAGCCTAGCTAACATGGTGAAACCCTATCTCTACTAAAAACACAAAATTAGCCAACACGGTGGCACATGCCTATAATCCCAGCTACTTGGGAGGCTGAGGCAGGAGAATCGCTTAAACCCGAAAGGCAGAGGTTGCAGTGAGCCGAGATTGTGCCATTGCACTCCAATTTGGGCTACAGAGTGAGACTCCATCTCAAATAATAATAATAATAATAAATCAAATAAACAATTTAAAGTAGAAAACCTACATATCACAGTAGATCAAATAAAAGGGTTCAATAAAACTCAACAGTGACTCATGATTTACATTTTTAAGTCTTCATCAACTAAGAGTAGAAGGAAATATCCTTAACATGGTTGTGGTATCCATCAAACCCACAGCAAACACCATTTCTACTGGAGAAACTTTAGAAGCATTCCCATTGAAATCAAGACAAATGAAAAGAAAATCCACAAACTTGCAAAAATATTTGCAAGACATATATAAAGAAATCATCCAGCCTGGGCAGCACCGTGAGATCTTGTCTCTACAAATAATTTAAAAATTTAGCCAAGCGTGGTGGTGCACACCTGTAGTCCCAGCTACTTGGGCAGCTGAGGTGGGAGATTGCTTAAGCTCAGGAGGTCAAGGCTGCAGTGAGCTATGATAGTGCCAGTGAGCTTCAGCCTGGGAAACAGAGCAAGACCCAATCTCAAAAGAAAAAAGAGACTCATATTCAAAGTAAGTAAAGAACTCCTAAAACCCAACAGTAAGAAAACAACAAACCTAGTTTAAAGATGAGCAAAAGTACAGATCAACAATGGAAAAACAACCCAATTAAAAATGGGCAAAGGACTTGACTAAACATTTTTCCAAAGAAGATATACAAGTGGCCAACGAGCACGTGAAAAGATGCTCGACATCACTAATCATTCAGGAAATGCAAATTAAAACCACAATGAGATACCACCTAACACCCACTAGGATGACTACTACAAAAAATAATAACGTGGCCGGGCACAGTGGCTCACGTCTGTAATCCCAGCACTCTGGGGGCCGAGGCGGGCAGATCATGAGGTCAGGAGATCGAGACCATCCTGGCTAACACGGTGAAACCCCGTCTCTACTAAAAATACAAAAAAATTAGCCGGGTGTGGTGGCGGGTGCCTGTAGTCCCAGCTACTCGGGAGGCTGAGGCAGGAGAATAGTGTGAACCCAGGAGGCAGAGCTTGCAGTGAGCCAAGATCATGCCACTGCACTCCAGCCTGGGCGACAGAGTGAGATTCCATCTCAAAAACAATAATAATAATAATAATATAATAACATAACAAATAATGGCAAAGATGTGGAGAAACTGGAACTCTTGTGCATTGTTGGTGGGAATGTAAAATGGTGCGGTCACCACAGAAAACAGTATGGCAGTTCCTAAAAAATAGAAATAAAAATTTCATTACATATAATCCAGCAATCCCACTTCTGGGTGTATACTCAAAACAATTGAAAGCAAGGACTGTTTTCTGTTTTATGGTGTAATTGTCTAGTTTTAGTCTTGGCGTAATGTGGGCCTGGTAGAATGAGTTAGGAAGAATTCCTTCCTCTTCAATTTTTTGGATTAGTTTGAGAATTTATGTTAGTTCTTTGTAAGTTTGGTAGAATTTAGCAGTGAAGTCATCCAGCCCTGGGCATTTCTTTGTTGGGAGGCATTTTACTTTGATTCAATCTCATTACTCATTATTGTTCTGTTTCAGGTTTTCTATTTCTTCCTGTTTCAATCTTGGTAGGTTGTCCAGGAATTTATCCATTTCCTCTAGGTCTTCTAATTTGGTTAGCATATAGTTGTTCATAATAGTCTCTGATGATTTTTTTTCTGTGTATTTCTGTGGTTTCAATCGTAATCTCTCCTTTTCAGTTCTGATTTTGTTTATTTGGGCCTTATCTCTTTTTTTCTTGGTTAGTCTAGATAGTGGTTTATCAATTTTGATTATCTTTTAAAAAAATTTCCTTTTGCTGATCCTCTGTTTTTGTTTTTGTTTTTGTTTTTAGTCTTTATTTCATTTAGTTCTGTTCTGGTTTGTGTTATTTCCTTCCATCTAATTTTGGGTTTGGTTTGGTTTTACATTCCTAGTTCCTTGAGGTGTATTCCTAGGTTGTTTATTTGAAATCTTTCTACTTTTTTGATGTAGGCATTTTGTGTGTTTTTTTGTTTTTAAGACGGCATCTCACTATGTTGCCTAGGCTGGTCTTGAACTCCTGGGCTCAAGCAAGCCTCTCACCTTGGCCTCCCAAGGTGCTGGGATTACTGGCATGAGCCACCGCACCCGGCCCTGATGTAGGCATTTATTGCTTTAAACTTTCCTTTTAGTGTTGCTTTTATTGTATCCCACAGATTTTGGTATGCTCTGTGTCCATTTTGATTTGTTTCAAGAATTTTTTTTATTTCTTTCTTAAGGTCTTCATTGACCCAGTGGTTGTTCAGGAGCATATGGTTTAATTTCCATGTATTTGTACAGTTTTCAGAGTTCCTCTTGTTATTAATTTGTAGTTTTACTCCATTGTGGTCTGAGAAGATATTTGATATAATTCTGATTTTGTAAAAAATGTGTTGTGGCCCAACATGTGATCTATTCTGGAGTATGTTCCATGTGCTGATGAGAAGAATGTGTGTGCTGCAGCTGTTGGATGAAATATTCTGCAAATATCTGTTAGGTCCATTTGGGCTAAATTGTAGTTTAAATCTGATGTTTCTTTGTTGATTTTTCTGTCTAGATTATCTGTCTCGTGCTGAGAGTGGGGTGTTGAAGCCCCAAACTATTATTGTATTGAAGTCTATCTCTCCCTGTAGATCTAATAAGATTTCCTTTATATATCTGGGGCTTTGGTGTTGGGTACACATATATTTAAAATTGTTATATCCTCTTGCTGAATCAATCCCTTTATCATTATATAATGACCTTCTTTGCCTATTTTTACTGTCTTTGACTTAAAGTCTGTTTTATCTGATATCAGTGTAGCTACTCCTGCTCACTTTTTGTTTCCATTTGTTAGAATTTCTTTTATCATCCTTTCACTTTTAGTCTATATGTGTTTTTTTTTTTAAGAGATGGGGTCTCACTCTGTTGCCTAGGCTGGAGTGCAGTGGCTATTCCCAGACACAATCAGCTCATTGCACCCTCAAAACCCTGGGCTCAAGCAATCCTCCTGCCTCAGCTCCTTGAGTAGTTTGGACTATAGACACATGCTATCATACCTGGCTAGCTTTACAAAAATTTTTTTAGAGATGCAGTCTTACCATGTGGCCCAGACAGGTCTCAAACTCCTGACCTCAAGCAATCATCCTTCTTCAGCCTCCTCCTGAGTATATATACGTGTCTTTACAGGTGAAGTGAGTTTCTTATAGACAGCATATAGTTGGGTCTTTTTAAAAAATTCATTCAGCCAGTCTATATCTTTTAAGTGGGAAATTTAATCCATTTACATTACAGGTTATTACTAATGTCTGAGGACTTATTCCTTTCCTTTTGTTAATTGTTTCCTGGTTGGTTTGCATATCTTTTGTTCCTTTCTTTCTCTCTTATTGTTTGTCGTTGTGGTTTGGTTGTTTTCTGTAGTGGTAACATTTGAGTCTTTTCTCTTCTTCATTTGTGTTTTGCTCTACCAATGAGTTTTATACTTTTGTGTGTTTTCATGATGGTGATATTGCCCTTTCACTTCCAGGTGCGGGACTTTCTTAATTATTTCTTGTAGGGCTGGTCTAGTGATGATGAATTCCTTCTGGTTTTGCTTGTCTGGGAAAGTCTTTATTTCTCCTTCATTTTTGAAGAATAACTTTACTGGGTATAGTATTTGATATGGTTTGGCTGTGTGCCCACCCGAATCTCATCTTGAATTGTAGTTCCCATAGTCCCCATGTGTCGTGGGAGGGACCAGGTAAAGATAACTGAATCATGGGGGCAGTTTCCACCATGCTGTTCTCATGATAGTGAATGAGTTCTCATGAGGTCTGATGCTTTTATAAGGGGCTTCCTCCTTTGCTCAGCATTCATTCTCTTTCTTTCCACCATGTAAAGAAGGATGTGTTTGCTTCCCCTTCCACCATGATTATAAGTTTCCTGAGGCCTCCCCAGCCATACTGGACTGTGAGTCAATTAAACCTCTTTTCTTTATAAATTATTCAGTCTTGGGTATGTCCTTCTTAGCAGCATGAGAACAGACTAATACAGTAAATTGTTACTGCAGAGACTGGAGTGTTGCTACAAAGATACCCCAAAATGTGGAAGCAACTGTGGAACTGGGTAACAGGCAGAAGTTGGAACTGTTTGGAGGGCTCAGAGGAGGATAAGAAAACGTGGGAAAGTTTGAATCTTCCTAGAAACTTGGAGGGCTCAGAAGACAGGAAGATGTGGAAAAGTTTGGAAATTCCCAGAGACTTGTTGAATGGCTTTGACCAAAATGCTGATAGTGATATGGACAATGAAGTCCAGGCTGACATGGTCTCAGATGAATATGGGGAACTTTTTGGGAACTGGGGTAATGGTGACTCTTGCTATGCAAAGAGACTGGCAGCATTTTGCTGCTGCCCTAGAGATCTGTGGAACTTTGAACTTGAGAAAGATAATTTATGGTATCTGGTGGAAGAAACTTCTAAGTGGCAAAGCATACAAGAGGAAGCAGAGCATTAAAGTTTGAAACATTTGCAGCCCAGTGATGTGACAGAAAAGAAAACTCCATTTTCTAGGGAGAAATTCAAGCTGGCTGAAGAAATTTGCATAAGTAATGAGCTGAATATTAATCACCAAGACAATGGGCAAAATATCTCTAGGGCATGTTGGAGACCTTCACATCAAAGGCCTGGAGGCCTAGGAGGAAAAAATGGTTTCGTGGGCTGGGCCCAGGGACCCCCTGTTCTATGCAACCTTGGGACGTGGTGCCTTGCATCCCAGCTGCTTCAGCCCCAGCTGTGGCTAAAAGGGGCCAAGGTACAGCTTAGGCCATTGCTTTCAGAGGGTGTAAACCCCATGCCTTGGTGACTTACACATGGGCTGTGGGCCTGCGGGTGCACAGAAGTCAAGAATTGAGGTTTGGGAAACTTCACCTAGATTTCAGAGGGTGTATTGAAACACCTAGATGTCCATGCAGAAGTTTGCTGCAGGGGCAGAGCCCTCATGGAGAACCTCTACTAGGGCAGTGCAGAAGGGCAATGTGGGGTTGGAGCCCCCACACAGAGTCCCCACTGGGGCACTGACTAGTGGAGCTGTGAGAAGAGGGCTACTGTCTTCCAGACCTCAGAATGGTAAATCCACTGACAGCTTGCACCGTGTGCCTGGAAAAGCCACAGACACCCAATGCCAACCCATGAAAGCAGCCAGGAGGGGGCCACACCCTGCAAAGCCACAGGGGCAGAGCTGCCCAAAGCCATGGGAGCCCACCTCTTGCATCAGCGTGCCCTGGATGTGAGAGATGGAGTCCAAGGAGATTACTCTGGAACTTTAAGGTTTAATGACTGCCCTATTGGGTTTCAGACTTGCATGAGGCCTTTGTTTTGGCCAATTTCTCCCATTTGGAATGTGTGTATTTACCCAATGCCTGTACTCCCATTGTATCTAGGAAGTAACTAACTTGCTTTTGATTTTACAGGCTCATAGGCAAAAGGGACTTGCCTTGTTTCAGATGAGACTTGGGCTTTTGAGTTAATGCTGGAATGAGTTAAGACTTTGGGAGACTGTTGGAAGAGCATGATTGTGTTTTGAATTGTGAGGACATGAGATTTGGGAGAGGCCAGGGGTGGAATGATATGGTTTGGCTGTGTCCCCACCCAAATCTCATCTTGAAATATTATTCCCATAATTCCCTTGTGTCGTAGAAGGTACCAGATGGAGACAATTGAATCATGGGGGTGGTTTCCGCCATGCTGTTCTTGTAATAGCGGATGAGTTCTCATGAGAGCTGATGCTTTTATAAGGGGCTTCCCCCTTTGCTTGGCACTCATTTTCCTCCCTGCCACCGTATGAAGAAGAATGTATTTGCTTTCCCCTCCACCATAATTGTAAGTTTCCTGAGGTCTGCCAAGCCATGCTGATCTGTGAGTCAATTAAACCTCTTTTCTTTATAAATTACCCAGACTCGGGTACGTCTTTGTTAGCCACATGAGAACAAATTAATACAGCATTCTTGCCTGACAGTTTCTTTCTTTCAGCACTCTGAGTATATCATCCCATTCTCTCCTGGCCTTTAAGTTTTCTTCTGTGAAATCTATTGTTAGTCTGGTAGGGGTTTTCTTATATGTGACTAGATGTTTTTCTCTGGCTGTTTATAGAATTCTGTCTTTGTCTTTTATTTTTTACAGTTTGACTATAATGTGCCTTAGAGAAGTCCTTTTGGCCTGTATCTATTTGGGATTCTCTGAGCATCCTATATTTGGATGTCTAAATCTTCCTAGGCTTGGGAAGTTTTCCGTTATTATTTTGTTAAATAGGTGTTCTATGCCTTTTCTCTCTGATACACCCAAAATTTAAATATTTGGTCACCTTATGATGCCCCATATATTATATAGGCTTTATTCATTCTTTTTATGCTTTATTCTCTTTTTGTTTTTATCTGACTAGATTATTTCAAAAGACCTGTCTTCAAGTTCTGGAATTATTTCTTCTGCTTCATCTAATCTTTTTTTTTTTTTGTAGCTCTCAACTGTATTTTTTATTTCACTCATTGAATTCTTCAGTTCCAGGATTTCCGCTTGGTTCTTGGTAAATAACTTCTATCTCTTTGGTGAATTTCTCATTCATATTCTGAATTTTTTTCCTGATTTCTTTGAATTTTTTATTTTTTGAGATGGGGGTCTCACTATGTTGCTCAGGCTGGCCTAGAACTCCTGGGCTTAAGGGACCCTCCTGCTTAGTGAGGATTATAGGCATGCATCACCAAAACACTCAGGTAGTCTTTGTATTGTTTATCCGTGTTCTCCTGTATCTAATTGAGATTCTTTAGGTTCATTATTTTGAATTATTCTTCAGGCAATTTCACAAATTTCGTTTTCATTGGAATCTGTTACTGGAGAATTATTGTGTTCCTTCTGAGGTGTCATATTTCCTTGCCTTTTCATGTTTCCTGTATTCTTACATTGATATCTATGTATGTGGTGTAGCAGTTGCTTCTTCCAATTTTTTGGATTGGTTTTCATAGGGGAAGACTTTTTGCTGTTGATGTATCTATGGTGTTGGTTGGGTAAGTCACTTTAGCTTTGACTGGGTGCATGCAGCAGTGTAGTCTCTATATGATTTCTTTAACCATAAACATCATGAGTGGTATCTGTAAATTCCTCAGCATCTTAGGCTGCAGTTGTTAGCAGAGGCTACAATGAGGCTTTGCTGGGGATAGGGGTGCCATGTGAGCCAGTCCTTGGGTCCCAGTGGTGGCAGCGGCAGGCTGGGTGTACCTGTGCCTCGGCCCCTGGGGGGGATACACAGATGCCAGTAGTGGTGAACAAAGTGAGGTGAACCCCAGATCTTCAGAGAGCACGCTTTGGTGCTGGTGGCAGTTGTTCTGGGCCTGTTTTTTGAGATAGAGTTTTACCTTTTAGCCCAGGCTGGAGTGCAATGGCACGATCTCAGCTTACTGCAGCCTCTGACTCCTGGATTCAAGGGATTCTCCTGCTTCAGCCTCCCAAGTGGCTGGGATTACAAGTATGCACCACCACACCTGGCTAATTTTGAATTTTTAGTAGAGATGGGGTTTCACCATGTTGGTCAGGCTGGTCTCGAACTCGTGACTTCAGGTGATCCACCCACCTTGGCCTCCCAAAGTGCTAGGATTACAGCCATGAGCCACCATGCCCAGCCTGTTCTAGGCCTGTTGTTAGGTCTCCTGATGGTACATGCATGTGCCTAGGGTGACTGATAGAGCAGAGCAATCCCCAGGACCCCTGGTAGTGTGCTTGGCCACCTGGAGGACAGTGCCAGGCCATGCAGGCCTGTCCTCAGGCCCCCCCAGTGGCATTCATGCATGCAGGCTGTGACGGGAAGGGAAAGGCACTGTGCTTGGGTGGTGGTGGCTGCAGTGGTGGTGGATGGGAAGAGCCTGTCCTCATGGTGTCTGCAGGTGCAAGGTGGCCCTGCTGCTAGGAGTGGGGGTTTGCTGTCAATGGCAGCAGCCCCAGGAAGGTGTCTCTCAAGTTCTTGGGACTTTGTCTACCTTTGTCCTGGGGACAGGCTCCCCACTGTGCTCCACTGCGCTCCACTGCCTGTTCCCTGGTACGTAAGACATTATGTGGGCTGCAGCGCTGGGGATCCTGCTACATTCCTGGGTCCAACTACTGTGGCACTGCGGTAGTCTTCTGGATGGATCTGAAGGGATATCAGTTGGACTCCATGGACAAGGAGATGCAGGGGCTGTTGGGTCCCAGGGCAGGATGTAGTCTGGTGGGGACTGGCTTCTCCAAATGGCACTGTGCTGCAACTACCTGTGTGTTGGGGGATGTGTGGAACCCAGAGTCAGCTCCCTCTCTGGAGTAATGTTGTCACATGAACTCCAAGCAGCACCTTATACTGGTCTCATGGCCCATGAGGGTTGAGGAGCTCTCCCACAGCTAGGATTTCAGGAGTTCATGGTGGGAATGTGCACTGCAGGGGATCTCTCACTTACCCTGTTCCTGCACTGGGAACCCCCCAACCTGGTGCTCCCAGCTGATCCAGGCTGGGCCAGCTGCCTTGTTTCCCTCCTTCCAGGCCACAGATGTTTCCTATCACTTCTCTGCTGAATTCCAGTGTTTTCTCTTAGTTGCTGTATTCAAAGTGTGATTATCTACCCACTGTTTAATTCTTCTTTGGGGAGGAGGTGAGTGCCAGATGCCTCCAATCTGCCATGTTGAACTGCCTCTGTATTTCTCATTTTTAAATTGATATATAACACATTTACAACACAGTACACAAGTCTTAAATATATAGTTCAAGAGATTTTGACATATGGGCCAGGCACAGTGACTCACACCTGTAATCCCAGCACTTTGGGAGGCCGAGGAGGGCAGATCACTTAAGGTCAGGAGTTCCAGACCAGCCTGTCCAACATGATGAAACCCGTCTCTACTAAAAATACAAAAAAATTAGCCAGGCATGGTGGCATGCACCTGTAATCCCAGCTGCTCGGGAGGCTGAGGCAGGAGAATCACTTGACCCTGGGAGGTGGAGGTCGCAGTGAGCCAAGATTGCACCACTGCATTCCAGCCTGGGCAACACAGCGAGACTCCGTCTCCAATAAATAAATAAAAATACAAAAATTAGCCAGATGTGGTGGCGCACACCTGTAGTCACAGCTACTCGGGAGGTTGAGGCAGAAGAATCACTTGAACCCAGGAGGCGGAGGTTGCAGGGAGCCCAGATCAGCCACTGCACTCCAGCCTGGGTGACAGAGCGAGACTCTGTCTCAAAAAAAAAAAAAAAAAAAGAAAGAAAGAAAGAAAGAGAAGAAATTTTGACATATGAATTCATCCATGCAGCCACTTCTCAGAAAAAAATATGGAACATTGTCAGCAGAAAATTTCCTTCTACCCCATTCTGGTCAGTTTACACCCACTCCTTCCAGAAAGCCCCCAATTTGAGTCCCATCAAAGGTTAGTTCTTCTGCCTATTCTTGAAATTCATGTAAACTCAAAATCTTACAGAATGTATTCATTCTGTTTGGGTTTCTTAACTCTTGTGAGATTCATCCAAATTGTTGTTTGTATCAGTACTTTGCTTTTTCATTACTGTATAGAATTCCACCCTCTGAATATGCCATGATATTTGTTTTCATTCACCTGCTGGTGGCCACATGGGTTGTTCCAATTTGGGTTGGGATAGTCTAACTAAAGTTACTATAAATCTTTCTATTTTGCCCTTGATGTTATTAGACCCTCTTTGGTTAACTGGGTGGAGTGTGGAGGAAAACTGCCTGGATTCGAATCTCAGCTCCACCATTTACCAGCTGTGTGACCTTGGGCTAGTTTCTTAATCTCGCAGTGCCTCTATTTTCCCCTATCTGTAAACTGGAGGTCACATGATCTACTGCAGGGTAGGAAAGTTAAATGAAGGAGTTTTATAAAGCTGTTGGAAATGTGCCTATCATAGGTATGAAATAAACAACTATCGTTCATCTCCAACTCCCAAAAACAAAGGAAATTCCCATGAATGAGAGCATCCGCAGACCAAAAGAGCAGATCCTGGAGGTCAGAGGGCATGGTGGTTCCAGGAACTAGGCGGTACTGCCTGCCCACCCCTGCCCTACGTAGGGAGGCATAACAAAGTCGCTTTCCATTAGAATGAATTGAATTTTATTAAAAGCATCCCATCGCTCAACCATGTCATGAGTGGAGGAGTCCTTCTCCCTGTCAACCCCAGACCATCCCCCAACACCTCCCTGAAATTCCTGCAAGGTCAGGCCGATCTCAGGCTCTGACTCCTTTCACTAGCCTTTCTGGTGATGTGATCTTACCCAGCTTCCTGTTTGTCTTCCTGAGAGACAGTAGATTTAGAAAGTGAGGATCAGAGGGTGGAAAATAAAAGCTGTGGTCCCCAGGAGTCCTGAACATCTGGGGACAGCGGGAAAACATGAGTGACTCCAAGGAACCAAGGGTGCAGCAGCTGGGCCTCCTGGGTAAGGCTGGGTTGGAACTCTGGGATCCTGGGTAAGGGGAAGGGATGGCCCAGGCTCTGAGCTGATGTCTGTCAATTCAGAAGAAGATCCAACAACCAGTGGCATCAGACTTTTTCCAAGAGACTTTCAATTCCAGCAGATACATGGCCACAAGAGCTCTACAGGTAGGCAAGAGTTAGGGAGCAGATAGTGGAAGACAGAGCCTCCCAGACCCCTGGGTCCTGGGGAGGTAGGTGTTGGGGTCTGGAATCCTGGGTTCTGGGGAAGGAAGGTCTGAGACCTGGGTTCCTGGGTCCTGAAGAGGACGGGGTAGGGATCTGAACTCCTCACACCTGGGGAGGTGGGGGTTGAGGCTTGGGTTCCTGGGGCCTGGGGAGGTGGGAGAGGGGTTCTGGACTCCTGGGACCTACAGAGGTGGGGGTTGGAAGCTGGACACCTGGGTCCATGGGAGGTAGGGACTGGAGCCTGGACTCCTGGAACCAGAGGAGGTGGGAGAAGGGGCCTGGATTCCTGGGTCCTGGGGCAGGTGAGAACTGGGGACTGGAATCCTGGGTCCTGGGGAGGTGGGAGCTGGGACCAGATTACTGGGTCCTGGGGAAGGTGAGAACTGGGGCCTGAATTCGTGGGTCCTGGGGAGGTAGAAGCAGGTATCTGGGTTCCTAGGACCTGGGGAGGTGGGAGCTTGGGCCTGGGTTCCTCCTGGGACCTGGAGATGTGGAGGCTGGGACCTGGATGCCTGAGTCCTGGTGTTGCAGGATAATTTAGGAATCACAGAGATCAAGGGGTTGAGGAGGATTTATTATTATTATTATTATTTAGGTGCACCAGCCCAGTCAGATTAACATCCAAAAAGACTGAGCCCCAAACAAAGAGTCAAGTTACCTTTTAAGCATTTCATGGGGTAGGGGGAGATCTGTGCAGGGGGAAGCATATTACAGAAGCGAGAAACAAAGATAGTTATTCAATTGAGACATGCATTACGTCATTTCTTATTTTTCAAGGAAAAACATGTTTTACAACTTGAGTTTATCTGCCTAGTGACCTTGCAGCTGCACAGCTAGAGAAACAGGGTCTTCACAATGCCTGGGAAAGGGAGAGATAAGGCTCACTAGCCACACACAGAAAAACAGGCAGTTAATTCTTTTTTATTTTATTTATTTAGTTTTTATTTTTATTTATTTATTTATTTTTTTTGAGACAGAGTCTTGCTCTGTCACCCAGGCTGGAATGCAGTGGCGCCATCTCGGCTCACTGCAAGATCTGCCTCCCAGGTTCATGCCATTCTCTTGCCTCACCCTCCCGAGTAGCTGGGACTACAGGCGCCCACCACCACCACGCCCGGCTAATTTTTTGTATTTTTAGTAGAGATAGGGTTTCACTGTGTTAGCCAGGATGGTCTTGATCTCCTGACCTTGTGATCTGCCTGCCTCAGCCTCCCAAAGTGCTGGGATTACAAGTGTGAGCCACCATGCCTGGCCAAAAAGGCAGTTAATTTTTAAAGGATTCCACCTCTTTCTCTTCCTCAGGGGGAATTGGGTTTTCTTACATACAACTGAGTTTTTGCTTACACATTCTTTAATTTCTTTTCATTCCTGTTCCACTGGGGAGGTGGACGCAGGTACCTGGGTTCCTGGGACCTGGGGAGGTGGGGGTTGGGACCTAAACTCCTGGGACTTGGGGAGGGAGAGGCTGGGGATGGGGTTCCTGGGTCCTGGGGAGGTTAGAGCTAGGGCCTGGATTCCCAGGTGTTGGAGTGGAGGGGGCTGGGGCTGGGGTTCCTGGGTCCTGGGGTGCTGAGGGATTAGGCCAGGCTCTCCCTGGGCCAGGCTCAGGTGGGAACACTGGCAGGCTGACGCATGTATCCTCTCTCAGGGTGTCTTGGCCATGGCGCCCTGGTGCTGCAACTCCTCTCCTTCATGCTCTTGGCTGGGGTCCTGGTGGCCATCCTTGTCCAAGGTCAGGGGCAGGTTCTGAGGGTCTGGGGTCCCCAGGCCTGGCCTTTTGGCTATGAACAGAGCCTGGAGTGGCCAGGTCTGGGAGGGAGGTGGGACTGAGAGCCAAGATGTTGTCCCTGGGGGTCTGTAGGGGCCTCTCCCACAGCCCCTCCCCACTCTAGAGCAGGACAGGAGAGGGAGGAGGAGGAGGGGAAGAACCTGGCTCTCCTTGGCCTTCTGTGCTGCCTTCTCCAGGTGTCAGTTTTCCTCATCTTCAAAGGGGATTAACTGAGACCTTGGCTCTCACAAATGATGTCTCTATGGGGCTCAGTTCAGGGCTTGGCACACAGTAGGTGTTTAATAATTGCAGTTCCTTTTCTTCTTGGCCCAGTGTCCAAGGTCCCCAGCTCCCTAAGTCAGGAACAATCCGAGCAAGACGCAATCTACCAGAACCTGACCCAGCTTAAAGCTGCAGTGGGTGAGCTCTCAGAGAAATCCAAGCTGCAGGAGATCTACCAGGAGCTGACCCAGCTGAAGGCTGCAGTGGGTGAGTTGCCAGAGAAATCCAAGCTGCAGGAGATCTACCAGGAGCTGACCCGGCTGAAGGCTGCAGTGGGTGAGTTGCCAGAGAAATCCAAGCTGCAGGAGATCTACCAGGAGCTGACCCGGCTGAAGGCTGCAGTGGGTGAGTTGCCAGAGAAATCCAAGCTGCAGGAGATCTACCAGGAGCTGACCCGGCTGAAGGCTGCAGTGGGTGAGTTGCCAGAGAAATCCAAGCTGCAGGAGATCTACCAGGAGCTGACGGAGCTGAAGGCTGCAGTGGGTGAGTTGCCAGAGAAATCCAAGCTGCAGGAGATCTACCAGGAGCTGACCCAGCTGAAGGCTGCAGTGGGTGAGTTGCCAGACCAGTCCAAGCAGCAGCAAATCTATCAAGAACTGACCGATTTGAAGACTGCATTTGGTGAGTTCCTGCACATCAAGGGTCCTTGGGCCTGAGATGGTCTCTGTGTGATGTGACTTTACTTGAGTTACCAACCCTGCCTGAGCCTCAGTTTCCTCCCCTGTGAAATGAGAACACGGGGTAACTGCGATCATTGCACTTGGTGTTCACAGTGGGCCAGGCACACAGTAGACACTCAGTTCAACCAATCCGCTGCCTTCTGTTCTGAGCTCTAAAGCTGCTAATTCTCCCAGTCTGGAAGAGATGGAGCCAGGACTCCTGGGTTCTCCTGGGGATCAGGGAGAGTCTTGGGAAGTAGGGAGAGGAATGGTCTCTCCCCATTCCAAGCGGTCCACCCAACATGGACAGTCAAGGAAGGGCCCTGATTTTCAAGGGCTTGAAGGCTGGGCAGATATGGGAATATGGACAACCTAATCTGAGCCCAGCCCTGACCAGCCTCCCCCAACAGAACGCCTGTGCCGCCACTGTCCCAAGGACTGGACATTCTTCCAAGGAAACTGTTACTTCATGTCTAACTCCCAGCGGAACTGGCACGACTCCGTCACCGCCTGCCAGGAAGTGAGGGCCCAGCTCGTCGTAATCAAAACTGCTGAGGAGCAGGTACACGTGGTGGGGGTCCTCGTCCTGGCCTGGGGCATGGCTTCTGGCCAACTGGGGAGGAGGTGCTCAGAGAGGATTTTGCAGAAGAGGGGCTTTGCTCTATTTGGAAAGATGGGAAGAGAAGGATATGAATGAAGGGGTCCCAGGTACCCTTCAAGCAAATACAAACCAGATCTGAACACATGTGAATATTTGGGGGAAACGTCAAATGTAAGCAAACCACCACAGCATGCTGCAGGTGTTTAACGGCCAGCTCTCCGGAGAGAAAATTCCTGATGTGTTGTGTTTGCCAATTTCCCCAGTGTAAATATTTCCACTGCGGCTGATTTCAAGCTGTGATGTGCTGTCACTCAGTGCAGAGCTGAAAGGAGATGTGCTGGACCAGCAATTAGTAGTGGGTCCAATGTGGCTCCAGTACATGAAACCCAGTCAGGAGTAAATTCATGTGGACATGCAAAATAGATAAACATGCAGCATTCACAGGAGCACATGAGGAGAGGCCAGCTGTGCATGCGTGCCTGCATGTCAGGACACACATGCCATGGGGATACAGATGTGAGAGGGGCTCAGACATGAGGAGGCTCAGGACCTGCTATATCAGAAAACTGCAGGTTAACTTGAAAGCAGAACTTTCTGCCAAGAGACGGGGAGGTGGAACCTGGAAAATGGGAAGCAGAGCTCCCTCCTGACTCCTCCTCTACCCTCCAGAACTTCCTACAGCTGCAGACTTCCAGGAGTAACCGCTTCTCCTGGATGGGACTTTCAGACCTAAATCAGGAAGGCACGTGGCAATGGGTGGACGGCTCACCTCTGTCACCCAGGTAGATTCTGGGAGAAAGGGACACTGTATCCAGTCGGGCTGGGTTCCTGCAACTCTGACTTGAGCTTTCCCTGGGGGTCCCCCCCAACCTCCCTGACCCCATAGGACTAAGAGTCTGGGGTTTTACTGAGTTGAGGAAGGTGGTCTTCATACCCACCTCCAGACAGGATGAAAGGTGCCAAGAATTCCACCAGCAGAGCTGCAGGAGGAGCTTGCCCTGTGGGTAGGTGTGTTAAAATACAGTGTATTAATAGGAAGTCTGAAGTCTAGTAAGGCCACCAGCTCAGGAGACAATTGCCATTTACACAAAGTGAGTAGCTTATCCTACCCACAGGTTCCTAGAGGGCGCACATTTCACAGCAGGGGGCCGCTGGGGAAGCAGCAGGGTCTGTCGTGAGGGAAAGTCATGGAGGGGACTGTGGGCCAGAGCTTTTATTATGGTTTGCATGGGGAGAAAAGGGCAAGGCCAGGCAAGCAGGCTTCAGATGGGCAGATATGAAGCATTTTGTGGGCTCTGGGGCATAGAGGCTGCCTAGCGGCCTGACACCTGGCCTTGGGGTGATTAGGGCAGAAAGATAGTGGCTTGGAGTGCAAGAGCCCAATAAGGCAGGTGGTTGGCAGTACAGACCCCAGACTGGTTGGTTTGTATTTTAAAATCACACTCTCGGCCAGGCGCGGTGGCTCACGCCTGTAATTCCGGCACTTTGGGAGGTCAAGGCGGGTAGATCACGAGGTCAAGAGATCAAAACCATGCTGGCCAACACGGTGAAACCCCGTCTCTACTACAAATACAAAAATTAGCTGGGTGTGGTGGCGTGCACCTGTAGTCCCAGCTACTCAGGAGGCTGAGGCAGGAGAATCACTTGAGCCCAGGAGGCGGAGGTTGCAGTGAGCCGCCAAGATCATGCCACTGCACTCCAGCCTGGCAACAGAGCGAGAATCTGTCTCAAAAAAAGAAAAAGAGAAAGAAAAGAACAAAGGATAAAAAAGAAAATCACAGCCTCAGTAGGAGTCCTCCCAAGGCTGGGATGCAGCAAGAGAGGCAGGAACTGAAGGCAACATGACTCGGGCATATTATGAGGTGTGGAGAGCAATGCATGTCCAGCATACACATGTAGGGCAGATGTTAAAGCATCAATATTACAGAAGGTAGGAGTGTGGCTCATCTACTGGGCAGGGCAGAGGCTCACATTCTGCATGGGCTTTGCAGCTTCCAGCGGTACTGGAACAGTGGAGAACCCAACAATAGCGGGAATGAAGACTGTGCGGAATTTAGTGGCAGTGGCTGGAACGACAATCGATGTGACGTTGACAATTACTGGATCTGCAAAAAGCCCGCAGCCTGCTTCAGAGACGAATAGTTGTTTCCCTGCTAGCCTCAGCCTCCATTGTGGTATAGCAGAACTTCACCCACTTGTAAGCCAGCGCTTCTTCTCTCCATCCTTGGACCTTCACAAATGCCCTGAGACGGTTCTCTGTTCGATTTTTCATCCCCTATGAACCTGGGTCTTATTCTGTCCTTCTGATGCCTCCAAGTTTCCCTGGTGTAGAGCTTGTGTTCTTGGCCCATCCTTGGAGCTTTATAAGTGACCTGAGTGGGATGCATTTAGGGGGCGGGCTTGGTATGTTGTATGAATCCACTCTCTGTTCCTTTTGGAGATTAGACTATTTGGATTCATGTGTAGCTGCCCTGTCCCCTGGGGCTTTATCTCATCCATGCAAACTACCATCTGCTCAACTTCCAGCTACACCCCGTGCACCCTTTTGACTGGGGACTTGCTGGTTGAAGGAGCTCATCTTGCAGGCTGGAAGCACCAGGGAATTAATTCCCCCAGTCAACCAATGGCATCCAGAGAGGGCATGGAGGCTCCATACAACCTCTTCCACCCCCACATCTTTCTTTGTCCTATACATGTCTTCCATTTGGCTGTTTCTGAGTTGTAGCCTTTATAATAAAGTGGTAAATGTTGTAACTGCAGATCCAGCCTCATCTGATTCAACTTTGTGTAATAAAATGGCGAGTTGCTTTTCCGTTGCCATAGGCCCCCAGGTTGCAAGTTATGTGCACTGGTCATGCCCAGATGAACCAAGCAGGCAACCATGGGCGGAACCTATGTGCTTAGACTAAGGAAGGGGGACTGAGTTAAGAAGTGAACACCACATGGCATGATCCATGATCCAATCAGATTGAGTCCTGGCATCACTCTATGGCATGATCCAATTAGGCCAAGCCTCCCACATCACCTCATTGCATGATCCAATCAGGTTACACCTCACTACCCTCTGTGTATAAAATCTTCCTCAGCCTCCAGCTCAGAGAGACAGATTTGAACCAGATTCCTGTCTCCTTGCTTGGCTGTCTTGCATAAACTTTTCTCTCTATAAAAACCCAGTGTTGGGTCAGGCATGGTAGCTCATGCCTGTAATCCCAGCACTTTGGGAGGTCGAGGCAGGTGGATCACCTGAGGTCAGGAGTTTGAGACCAGCCTGGCCAACATGGTGAAACCCCATCTCTACTAAAAATACAAAAAATTAGCTGGGCATGCTGGGCGGTGCCTGTAAGCCCAGCTACTTTGGAGGCTGAGGCAGGAGAATCATTTGAACCTGGGAGGCGGAGGTTGCAGTGAGCCAAGATCGCACCACTGCACCACTCCAGCCAGGGCGACAGAGCAAAACTCCGTCTCAAAAACAACAACAACAATGACACACACAAAAAAAAACCCACACAGACTTCGCCTCCCTTCTACCATGTTGACCTCAAGGACATTCCTTAATAAACAGCTTGCTTGCTAAATCCCATCTCCCTTAGAGTCGACCTGCAACTGGCATGAGAACTGTGAGGCTTGTTTTTGTTGTTGTTTTTTGTTTGTTTGCTTTTGTTTTTTGAGACGGAGTTTTGCTCTTGTCACCCAGGCTGGAGTGCAATGGCACGATCTGAGCTCACTGCAACCTTCACCTCCCAGGTTCAAGCGATTCTGCCTCAGCCTCCCAACTAGCTGGAATTACAGGTACGTGCCACCACTCCCAGGTAATTTTTTCTTTTTTTTTTTTTTTTTGTATTTTTAGTTGAGACAGGGTTTCACCATGTTGACCAGGCTGGTCTCGAACTCCTGACCTCAGGTGATCCACCTGCCTCGGCCTCCCAAAGTGCTGGGATTACAGGCGTGAGCCACCATAACTGGCTGCGGCTTATTTGATATCAGTGGTCCCCACCTTATTTGGCACCGGGGACCAGTTTCATGGAAGACAATTTTTCCACGGACCAGGGGAAGGGGATCATTTCAGGATGATTCAAGCACATTACATTTATTGTACACTTTATTTCTATTATTATTGCACTGTAGAATATAATGAAATAATTATACAGCTCACCATCATGTAGAATCAGTGGGAGCCCTGAGCTTGTTTTCTTGCAAATAGATGGTCCCATCTGGGGGTGATGAGAGACAGCGATGGATCACCAGGCATTAGATTCTCATAAAGAGTGTGCAACCTAGATCCCTCGTGTGTACAGTGTACAATAGGGTTCCCACTCCCATGAGAATCTAATGCCACCGCTAATCCAACAGGAGGCAGCGCTCAGGCAGTAATGCAAGCAATGGGGAGTGGCTGTAAATACAGATGAAGCTTCACTCGCTCGCCCTCTGTTCACCTCCTGCTGTGCAGCCTGGTTCCTAAGATGCCACGGACTAGTACTGGTGGCCCAGGGGACAGGGACCCCCATTCTACATCATCTACCAGAGGCTCCTGGAGAAACTGAGCCCCAGTTGCCCACATGGGTCATAAGCTCGTCCATGCCTGTAAATTGGCTTCCTTCCTTTTCCTACCTGCCCCTCTTCACTTTCCCCCTTGTCTTCTGGTACTTCTTGGAACCTCCTCCCAGATAAACCACTTGTATCAAAATCCTTGTCACAGGCTTTGTCCCTGGTGAAACTCAAGCCAAACTTATAGTATGTTTTGACACCTGTCAGTCATGGTTCTTCTCCATCAAAATGTTCTCAGAGATTCTTGTGCAATTTCTTTTTTTAGATGATTTTTACATGACTCTAGCTTTGAAGGTCTTACTTTACTTTTTGAATAAGTCATGTGTGTGCCTGGAACCAAAACCCATCAATCTCTACAGTGATAATGAAAGCTGGCTCCCGGCTGGGCGTGGTGGCTCACGCCTGTAATCCCAGCACCTTGGGTGGCCAAGGTGGGTAAATCACCTGAGGTCAGGAGTTCGAGACCAGCCTGGGCAACATGGTGAAACCCCGTCTCTACTAAAAATACAAAAATTTGCTGGGCGTGGTGGCGCGTGCCTGTAATCCCAGCTACTCAGGTGGCTGAGGCAGGAGAATCGCTTGAGCCTGGGAGGTGGAGGTTGCAGTGAGCTGAGATCACACCATTGCACTCCAGCCTGGGCGACAAGAGGGAAACTTGGTCTCAAAAAAAAAAAAAAAAAGAAAAAAAAGAAAGCTGGCTCCCTCCCCATTCTCTGATCTGAAGAAGTTACTCTTCCTAGCTGCAACCTCTTTATCATATTCCAGATAATCCACTTGTCAAATTTGTTTAAAATCTGTTTGGCAATCCTTCAAAAGACTGTTGAAAATCTATTTGTGAATAGGTGGAGCACAGAGGATTCTTAGGGCAGGGAAACTACCGTATGATACTGCAACATCACTACACATTTTTTCAAATCACAGAATGTACAACACCAAGAGTAAGCCCTGATGTAAATTGTGGACTCTGGGTGACAATGATTTGTCAGTGCAGGCTCATCCATTGTAACAAATGCACCACTCACTCTGTCGAAGGATGTTGCATAAAGGTTGTTAATAGTGGTACAAGCAAGTTGCTCAGATATTACCTTGTGTTGGTGCTCTCCAAGGCTCAGCCCTACCCAACAAAATCTTATGCGTTGATATTTAATTTTAGGGGGCAATTGGCAGAAATGTCTATCAAGGCGAATGTGAATGTTTTGGGGAAAACGTCAAAGGTAAGCAAATCACCGTGGCCTGCTGCAAATGTTTAACAACCAGCTCTCAGGAGGGAAAGTATCAGTGCTTTCAGAAAACTTAAAGTACTTTTCAGAAAACTTAAAGGCCAGGAGAGAATGGGATGATATATTCAGAGTGCTGAAAGAAAGAAACTGTCAGGCGAATGATACTGCTGTAATCCTTTGCAGTGAGTCACTAAGTCCAGCCCCACTCAAAGGGGTATAAGAATGTGTGAACATACGTTAAAACCTCCATGCTAATTAGTAAGTATTTGAGGGGGAGGTGATACTTTGAGGTTACGGATCTGCTGCAACTCGGCTCTTGCCTCATCAGAGGAAAGAATTCATCCAAGAAGAGTAAGACAGAAAGTGAGACTGAGGCAAGTTTTAGCGAAGGAGTGAAAATTTATTAAAAGGTTTTACAGCAGGAAAAACAGGAAGTAAAGTACACTCTTGGAAGAGGGCCAACCAGGCAATTTGAGAGATTGAGGTGCTCAGTGCGACCTTTGACTTGGGGTTTAATGTGCTGGGATGCTCTGGAGTTTCACATCTCTTCTCCCCTGATTCTTTCTTGTTGAGATGGAGTTTCATTCTTGTCACCCAGGCTGGAGAGCAATGGCAGTCTTGGCTCACTGCAGCCTCTGCCTCCCGGGTTCAAGCAATTCTCCTGCCTCAACCTCCCGAGTAGCTGGTATTACAGGCACCTGCCACCACGCCCAGCTAGTTTTTTTGTATATTTAGTAGAGACGGGGTTTCGCCATGTTGGCCAGGCTGGTCTCAAACTCCTGACCTCAGGTGATCCACCTGCCTCGGCCTCCCAAAGTGCTGGGATTACAGGCGTGAGCCACCACGCCTGGCCTTCCCTGATTCTTTCACTGGGGTGCGCTGTCTGCATGCGCAGTAGCCTGCCAGCACTTGCGGGGGGCCACGTGAACAGTGTATTTACTGAAGTTGTGCACATGCTTATTTCAGGTGTTTTTCCGTTACCAATCTAGTGGTCCTAGAGGAAGGTCATATACCAGGTAAACTCCACCCACCAGGTGCGGTGGCTCACACCTGTAATCCCAGCACTTTGGGAGGCCAAGGTGGGTGGATCACTGAGGTCAGGAGTTCAAGACCAGCCTGGCCAGCATGGCAAAACCCCATCTCTACCAAAAATACAAAATTAGTGGGGCATGGTGACATGCGCCTGTAGTCCTGGCTATTTGGGAGGCTGAGGCTCGAGAATCACTTGAACCCAGGACACAGAGGTTGCAGTGAGCTGAGATTGCGTCACTGCACTCCAGCCTGGGAAACAGAGCAAGACTCTGTCTAAAAACAAGCAAACAAACAAAACCTCTACCGATTGCCTCTTGGTGCACATGCTTGAGCTGACTTGCCCGGCTCCTGAGATCTTATCAGGAAGCTGCCAATCACCAGCTCCAGGTGTTTTCTGTCTATTGGGAGCCTGCCTTTCCCTAGGACCAGCGGCCCAATTATTATTTTAGAGAAACAGTTTAACAACCACCTGATCATCACCTTGTAGCAGGGGGGCGTCTCCCACCGGGCTCATGTCTGCCTACCTACCTACTCCCTACTCTAAATGGGGAGACTGGGCCGGGCGTGGTGGCTCACGCCTGTAATCCCAACACTTTGGGAGGCCGAGATGGGTGGATCACGAGGTCAGAAGATCGAGACCATCCTGGCTAACACGTGAAACCCCATCTCTACTAAAAATACAAAAAATTAGCCAGGCGTGGTGGTGGGTGCCTGTAATTGTAGCTACTCAGGAGGCTGAGGCAGGAGAATTACTTGAACCCGGGAGGCAGAGGCTGCAGCAAGAAGAGATCACGCAACTGTACTCCAGCCTGGGCGACAGTGTGAGACTCCATCTCAAAAAAAAAAAAAAAAGGCCAGGCGTGGTGGCTCACACCTGTAATCCCAGCACTTTAGGAGGCCGAGGCAGACGGATCACGAGGTCAGAAGAGATTGAGACCATCCTGGCTAACAGGGTGAAACCCCGTCTCTACTAAAAATACAAAAAATTAGCTGGGCTTGGTAGCGGGCGCCTGTAGTCCCAGATACTCGGGAGGCCGAGGCAGGAGAATGGTGTGAACCCGGGAGGCGGAGCTTGCAGTGAGCCGAGATTGCGCCACTGCACTCCAGCCTGGGTTACAGAGCGAGACTCCGTCTCCAAAAAAAAAAAAAAAAAGCAATTTGGGAAGGGCTGAGCTTTGGAGAGTGCCAAGACATGGTGATAGCTGAGATTCTTTGTGGCCCTCAAAGAAATAGTTTTCTTCCCCTTGGGAGCAATGTTAACCCTGTTGAGGCACGGAAGAGAGTATGAAAAGACAAAAAGAGAGATTCTATAGTAGAGAAACCTGGCAGATACCACCTTAACCGAGGCTAGCATTGTCAATAAAAGGCATGTTCACGTGGATATCATACACACACCCCCATAGGATGTGACTAGAAAGGCACCTAGCCTTTGTGATATTCTTTTTTTTTTTTTAGATGGAGTCTTGCTCTGTCACCCAGGCTGGAGTGCAGTGGCTCGATCTCAGCTCACCGCAACCTCCACCACCCAGGTTCAAGCGATTCTCTGGCCTCAGCCTCCCAAGCAGCTGGGATTACAGGCGTGTAATTACAGGTCCGGCACCACCATGCCCGGGTAATTTTTGTATCTTTAGTAGAGACAGGGTTTCACCATGTTGGCCAGGCTGGTCTCAAACTCCTGACCTCAGGAGATCCGCCCACCTCGGCCTCCCAAAGTGCTGGGATTACAGGCATGAGCCACTGCACTTGGCCTGTGATATTCTTAACTCCAAACTAACAACCTCGCTCTAACCATTGGAGAACACTAGAAAAATCCGAATCAAGGACCATTCAATACATGCCTGATGAATACTCTTCAAATCTGTCAATATCGTGAAAGACAAGAAACCTGTCAGCATTTGCAGGAGATGCAGGAGAAGTGATGACTGATACGAGCTGAATTTTGTCTCCCAACAACTTCATACATTGAAGTCCTAACCCCCAGTACCTCAAAATGTACTTGTATTTGGAAATAGGGTCTTTGTAGAGATGACTAAGTTAAAATGAGGTCATGAGAGTGGATTCTAACCCAATATGACTGGTGTCCTTTTTTTTTTTTTTTTTTTTTGAGACAGGGTCTTGCTCTGGCGACCAGACTAGAGTACGGTGGCACAATCTCAGCTCGCTGCAACCTCCACCTCCAGAGTTCAAGCGATTTTCCTACCTCAGCCTCCCGAGTAGCTGGGATTGCAGGCATGCACCACCATGCCCAGCTAATTTTTGCATTTTTTAGTACATGTTGATCTCAATCTCCTGACCTCAAGTGATCCTGCCGCCTCGGCCTCCCAAAGTACTGGGATTACAGGCATGAGGCACTGCGCCTGGCCTATGATGAACTGTCCTTCTAAAACGGGGAAATATGGACACAGGCACATACAGAGGAAGACAGCTGAAGACACAGGGAAGAGGGGACCAGATATAAACTAAGAAGAGACACCTGCAGTGGATCCTTCCCCCACAGCCCAGAAGGAAGTAACTCTGCCGACACGTTGATCCTGGACTTCCAGCCTCCAGAACTGGGACAGAATGGATTTCTGTTATTTAAGCTCCCCTCTCCCCAGCCAGTGGTGCTCAGTTACTGCCGCCAGGCAAATTCCATCACTACCTGAATGCAGTGTGGGATCCTGGATGGGATCTTGCCACAGAAAAAGGACACCCATGGAAAAACTAATGAAATCCGAACGAGATCTATAGTTTCTAGTTCAGAGTATTGCACCAATATTAATTTCTTCACTTTGACATATGTACAATGGTAATGCAAGATGTTAACATCGGCTGGTTGTGGTGGCTCACACCCATAATCCCAGCACTTTGGGAGGCCAAGGTAGGTGGATCACCTGAGGTCAGGAGTTTGAGACCAGCCTGGTCAATATGGTGAAACCCCGTCTCTACTAAAAATACAAACATTAGCCAGGCATGGTGGCACCCGCCTGTAATCCCAGCTACTCAGGAGGCTGAGGCGGGAGAATTGCTTGAACCCGGGAGGCAGATGTTGCAGTGAGCCGAGATCACGCCATTGCACTCCAGCCTGGGCGACAGAGCAAGACTCTGCTTCAAAAAAAAAAAACAAAAACAAAAACAAAAAGATGTTCACATTAAAGGAAGCTGGGCAAAAGATATAGAGAAGGCTCTGTACTATCTTTGCAACTTATCTGTAATCTAAAACGATTGCAAAGTAAAAAGTTTGAAAAAAGACTCAATAAACCTATTTAGGATTCCACTCTTTAGGATTCCACTTATATGAGCTACCCAGAGAAATTTATAATGAAAGAAAGTAGAGGCCAGGCGCGGTGGCTCATGCCTATAATCCCAGCACTTTGGGAAGCCGAAGTGGGTGGATCATGAGATCAGGAGTTCGAGACCATCCTGGCCAACATGATGAAATCCCGTCTCTACTGAAAATACAAAACTTAGCTGGGTGTGGTGGCAGGCACCTGTAATCCCAGCAACTCGGGAGGCTGAGGCAGGAGAATGGTTTGAACCCAGGAGGTGGAGGTTGCGGTGAGCCGAGATCATGCCATTGCACTCCAGCCTGGGTGACAGGAGGAGACTCCATCTCAAAAAAAAAAAAAGGAAGAAAGAAAAGAAAAAGAAAAAGAAAGCAGAATGGTGATTACCAGGGACTGGGGAGAAAAAGGAATAGGACTTAGCGTTTCACAGGGACAGTGTTTTAGTTTGGAAAGTTGAAAAATCCTGGAGATGGATGGTGGTGATGGTTGTACGACAATGTGAATGAGCTTAATCCCACTGAACTGTACACTTACAAATGGTCAATGTTATGTTATATATCGTTTACCACAATTTTTAAAAAAAGCTCTATCAAAAAATCTATTTAGGATTTTTATTGGGATGAGCATTTGTTTTACTCTAGGATTTTTTTTTTTTTTTTTTTTGAGACGGAATTTCACTCTTGTTGCCCAGGCTGGAGTGCTATGGCACGATCTTGGCTCACCACAACCTCTGCCTCCTTTGTACTTTTAGTAGAGATGGGGTTTCTCCATGTTGGTCAGGCTGGTCTCAAACTCCCGACCTTAGGTGATCCCTGCCTGCCTTGGCCTCCCAAAGTGCTGGAATTACAGGCGAGAGCCACTGTGCCTGGCCTACTCTAGGATTTTTAGGATGGAGGAAACCCATTCAATGATTAGGAGAGACAAGAGGTGGAAATAAAGGTTGTATTACTTAGGGGTCCTGGGTAGGGAGGGCATGGCACTTCCAGAGGCCACAAACACACATATACACACACACACACACACACACACACACACACACACACACACACACACAGGTCAGGGAGAGCTTTTGCAGGGAGACAGAGGGGAAGCAACCAGTGTGACAATGCCGTGATTAGGTCCAGGGTGTTATCCACACAGGTTTCCCTCAGGGAGTTTTAATTGGTGGGTTTCATGGAAGCAGGCGTGAGTCTCAGGAGGTCAGGCTGTGACTGAGAGGTGGTCACTGCACCATATCTGCAGTCCGTGTAAGATGTGGATGGGTGGTGTGGGGGCCTGCAGAGCCAATCAATAGGCTGTGTCCAGCTGCCCCATAGGCAGGTGGTCATCGGGGGGAAGTTGGATAAAGCAGATCTGGATCAACCACATTGAGGAACTAGGAGCAGGTGGGGAACTGGAAACTGTGTCAAGGCTGACTGAGCCCTGTTTTTGGAAGGAGAGTCAAACATATTCAGAAAGGGGCTGACGCAACACAAATTAGAGGAATTCACTACAGCATTCGATTTATAAATTCATTTTGGAAGAAATAGCCTTTCTGAAATACTGAGTGTTTTGGGGGGAAACTCATCCTGTGTCTTTCTTTATTCAGATCTTAGTTAAGCATGGGAGATTTACCCATATTCTTCTTACGACTATTCTTTAATGTTTAAAAGCTTTTCTTGCCCTGTGAACAGGGTTTGTTTTCTCCTGCGTTTGCAAATACTCGTTACTTCAACCAAACAAAGCTGCTCCTTTTATAGAGAAATCTTGCTGTGAGCTCTAATTACTCCTGAAGTTAAGCCTCTAGAACTTCCTAGATACGTGATTATGGCTTCAAACTACAGTCAGCTTTGACTCTTGCTTTCAATATATTTATAGGTCTTATTTATTTATTTATTTATTTCTGTCTCTCTTTTTTTTTTTTTTTTTTTTTTTTTGAGACGGAGTCTCGCTCTGTCTCCCAGGCTGGAGTACAGTGGCGCGATCAAAGCTCACTGCAACCTCCGCCTCCCAGGTTCACACCATTCTCCTGCCTCAGCCTCACAAGTAGCTGGGACTACAGGTGCCCGCCACCAAGCCTGGCTAATTATTTTTGTATTTGTAGTAGAGACGGGGTTTCACCGTGTTAGCCAGGATGGTCTCGATCTCCTGACCTCGTGATCCGCCCGCCTCAGCCTCCCAAAGTGCTGGGATTACAGGTGTGAGCCACCGCGCCCGGTCTTTTTTTTTTTTTTTTTTTTTGAGACAAGGTCTCGCTCTGTTGCCCAGACTGGAGTGCAGTGGCACAGTCATGGCTCACTGCAGCCCCAAACCCCCAGGCTCAAATCCTCCCACTTCAGCCTCCCAAGTAGCTGGAACTACAGATGTGCACCACCACACCCGGCTAATTTTTGTATTTTTTGTAGAAACGGGGTCTCCCTATGTTGTGGAGGCTTGTCTTGAACTCCTGGGCTCAAGCAGTCCTCCCACCTTGACCTTCCAAAGTGCTGGGATTCACAGACGTGAGCCACTGTGCCTGGGCTTCTTTTTATTTTCTTACTGCATTGGGAAAACAGCAAGAGGGCCATCTTTATTTTGTTCTTGACTTTACCAAATGCAGTTCTCATATTTAATTATTAAGGAGTTTCTGTAGGATTGTGGAAATTGCCCCTTATCCCACCAGTATCAGGCAGCTAGGGGCTGTTGTAAGCAACTACCATGAACTGGGAGGCTCCAAACAATGCTAATTTATTATCTCACAGTCCCGGAGGCCAGAAGTCTGGAATCAAGGTGTCAGCAGGGCCATGTTCCATCTGAATCATGTAGGGGAGAATCCTTCCCTGCCTCTCCCTAGATTCTGGTGATTGCCTGTTGGGAGCCGAAAAGGCCAAAGGGATCGTGACCAACTCAGCATTCCACTGGAAGCTGTATGATCAAACAGCAAAGTGTTTATCATGAACGCAGGATGTGGGCAAACTCACGACTGCGCCTACCGCCAGAAGGTTTGCTGAGGGCAATCACTCCCTGGCACCACGCTCACTGGGGTTATCTACTGGGACATCTAGAGCCTATTGCTCGAAGAATGCAGCCTTGCAAGCCTGCTGTAAATCAAGCCGCTGACTGACAACCACCCCCCGCCCCCATCTCCTTTACCCAATAAAATGCAAAGGGGTCTAAAGCTCAAGGTACTTGTTCACTAGAAAGAAGCAAGGAGCCCCCCGACCCCTTCTTCCAAATATACTCTTTTGTCTTTATCTTTATTCCCACATTCATCATCCTTTGTTCAGTCCAACAGGGATGGAATCCGTGGCAAAGTGGCGACCCAGAACAGGGACTTGAGGACGTTGCAAAGTGGCTTCTGAACACAGAGACCGGAGGACGTGAACGAAGAAGGTCGGCTGGAGCAGAGGAACCGAAAACGACAAGATGAATGGGGACCCCGAGACAAGCCTGCCAGCAGCGGATATAAGGTCAGTGCCCTAAAGAAGTACTGGGAACGGGAAGTTTTCTGAATCAGGGTAACATGCGGCAGAATTTGTCTGTTGAAGAAAAACATGTGCACTTGCTTCAAGTTCTGTTGAGACAGTCTGGAGCTCAGGTTAATTCGCAGATACTAACCAACCTCCTGCAGAAGCCACAAATGGTTATTAACGCATAACCCATGGTCTCCACAGGCAGGCACTCTTGATGTGGAAAACTGGAACAGAGCGGGAGAAGGATTGAAACATGCTCATCAAAAAGGTCTTAAAGTTGATTCTTCTGCTTTCTGTACTTGCAGTCTAATTCGTACTGTACTTATGCCGTTATCTCCTTATTATTCTGCGGGACAGCAGGCTGAGTCTAAAAATCTGAAAGAATCTGTTGTCCCACCCACAGCTTCAATTGAAAATAAAAAACAGGAGAGGGAGGATAAAAATTGGCCTATACTGCCTCCTCCAGTTGCAGAAACATCTGTGCCGCCTCCTTCGGTAGCAGGAATAGAGACCCCAATACAAAGAATTTTACGCTCTGCTGCCATAGCTGGAGAGCCCTCAGGACCTTGTGCTTTTCCTATTTCCGTAAGGCCCGATTCAAATAATCCACAGCAGTTTATTCATGAACACACCCCACTAGAGTTTAAGTTGTTGAATGAATTAAAAACCAGTGTAGTTAATATCGGGGTACAGAGCCCATTCACTTTAGGATTGCCAGAATCTGCATTTGGTGCTATGCGTCTTCTACCCTTTGATGTAAAACACTGGGCTCGAACTTGCTTGTCTGCTAGTGCATATCTGACATGGAATTTAAATGGGCAAGAAATGTGTACAGACCAGGTTAGACAGAATCGTGCTGCTGGACACGGAGACATCGCAGAGGATATGCTATTGGGTAATGGCCCTTATTCAGACCTGGAACATCAAATGGAACTAAACGCGCCTGGGCCACAATTCCTGAAGAGGGAGTCCCAGTACAATCCTTTTTACCTTTCATGGAAGGGTCACAGGAGCCCTCTGCACAATTTCTTGCAAGATTACGAGAGGCAGTGAAGTGTCAGATTCCTCATGCCACTGCCGCAGAGGCGCTAACCTTAACTTTAGCTTCTGAGAATGCAGACGCAGATTGTAAACGTGCACTGGCACCCGTGAGGTGTACTAAAAACTTGGGAAATTTTCTCAGAGCTTGTCAGGATGTAGGAATTGAGCTTCATCGCTCTGCAATGTTAGCGGAAGCAATGGCTGATTTAGTAGTTGACAAATCTAAAAGGAGCCAAGGATTAAGCCCTCAAGTGGGAAAATGTTATAATTGTGGAAAAACTGGACATTTTGAAAAAGAATGCCGCCAGATCTCAGGACAGAGAGGACCTTATAATGCAGTACCCCCCCCCTCAGTGGAAAAAACGCCAGGACTTTTATTTACTTTTATTTACCCAATAAAATGTGAAGGGCTTTAAAGCTCAGGGCCCTTGTTCAGTAGAAGCAAGAAGCCCCCGACCCCTTTTTCCAAATATACTTTTTTGTCTTTATCTTTATTCCTGCATTTATCATCCTCTGTTCACTACAACAGGGATCAAGGTCAGTGACAGTTGCCGACAACCTTTGGCATTCCTTGGCTTGCAGACCCTTTGCTCGACTCTCTGCCTCTTTTGTCACGTGGCTTTCTTCCCTCTTGCCGTTTTACATAATCTTCTCTCTGTACCTTTCTCCTCCTCATATAAGGACATAGTGATACTGGATTAGGGACCACTCTCATGACCTCACCATAATGTAGTTACATCAGCAAAGACCCTATTTCTCGGCTGGGCACAGTGGCTCACGTCTGTAATCCCAGCACTTTGGGAGGCCGAGGCAGGTGGATCACCTAAGGTCAGGAGTTCGAGACCAGCCTGACCAACATGGAGAAACCTTGTCTCTACTAAAAATACAAAATTAGCCGGGCGTGGTGACACACACCTGTAATCCCAGCTACTCAAGAGGCTGAGGCAGCAGAATCACTTGAACCCGGGAGGCAGAGGTTGCAACGAGCCGAGGTCTTACCACTGCACTCCAGCCTGGGCAACAGAGTGAAACTCCATCTCAAAAAAAAAAAAAAAAAAAAGACCGTGTTTCCCAATTTTAAAAGTCACATTCACAGATACCAGAGGTTAGGCATTCAGCATGTCTTTTTGGGAGCTATAAATCAACCCACTAAACCACGGACATCTTTATTTGTTCTTCATTTTACCTAAAATGTTTCTCATATTTTAGTGTTATGTAAGATATTTCTGTAGGATCCCAGAAATTACCACTTCTCAAATTAAGAAAGCTTTATTCTGTTCTCTCTTTATTAAGCATTTAGTTTTTGTGCCTGTCTTCATTTTTAAATGAATAATGGGTATTGAATAGATATATCTCATAAATGTAATGTAGAGAGGACAAAAACAAGTTACGGAAGGATATAGACCATGTGGTAACACTCCTGTAAAGTTTTCAGATGTGCAAAACAAACCAGCATAGGTCAGGCATGGCAGCTCATGCCTGTAATCCCAACACTTTGGGAGGCTGAGGTGGGTGGATCACCTGAGGTCAGGAGTTCAAGATCAGCCTGACCAATATGGTGAAACCCCGTCTCTACTAAAAATACAAAAATTAGCCAGGTGTGGGGGAGTGTGCCTGTGGTCCCAGCTATTCAGGAGGCTGAGACAGAAGAATTGCTTGAACCTGGGAGGCAGACGTTGCAATGAGCCGAGATCGTACCACTGCACTCCAGCCTGGGTAACAGAGTGAGACTTCTTCTCAAAAAAAAAAAAATCCAAAATATTGTCCTTGGGTACATGCATAATTATTTTAAATAGGATAAACACCAAGTTTGGGAGGGCAGTTACCTTGGGGAGGGGAATAGGAGCAGGGTGGGGTACAAGGGACCTCCACTCTATTTGTTATGATTTGTTACGTAATGATGCTTTACTTTTAAGGTGATCTGAAATACATGAAGATGTCAAAACTTGAAAAAGCCGAGTGAAAGGCATAGCGTTTATATTTGTTTCTACAAACCTCTTTGCATGCTTCGTAATAAAAAAGCAAAGCCAAAATTCAGAGCGACAACCAATGTGCCACATGCCCTTTGCAGTGGGCTGGCTTCCCTGGTTACAGCAACCCTCTCATCTCTGCAGAGAATGGAAACCAGAGTGGTCATGGCCTTGGAGCTGAATCTTGTGACTTTCACCTTCTTCCCACATTTGTCCAAACCTCTTGTCCCTGCTCTTCAGGTCCTTGTGTGATGTGACCCAGCTGACACCCTAGCCCCAGATGACTGCCCCTGAATTAGTCTCAGCTTCTCCAACCTGTTCCCTTATCCTCTATTCTTGCATGTGCTGATACCGTATTGAGAACGTTCTTTAATGTTATTTATCTCCTCTGGAATAATTCTGACTCCCTCCTCAAGCATCACCTCCTCCAGGAAGCCCTCTCGGATCCTCCAGGCTCAGCCAGTGTCTCCAGTGGTCCTCACAGTCTCCTGTACTTCCCAAGCTCATCATATTGTCTTCAAATTCCGTGGTTACATGTTCCCCACTCGCCTGAGAAACAGGCCTCCCTTCCTTGTCCTGGGCCAGGGATAGATGTGGAGGTCTGCTGCCTCCTTCTAGGACCTCTCTTCCGCTCTCAGTTACCCCGCAGCGAGGTCTGGGCACAGGACATTGATGGGCAGCCTTCTGGCTTCCTCACTAAGCTGGACAGCTCCGCCCTGGCTCGCCAAGGCAGCTTCAGCCACAGGTGTATCCAGCAGAGCCTCTATCTCCTCCATAAGGTCTGATGAAACACTGCCATCTAAATCCTTTCCCCAGAACACATTCCTATGGTTGCCCTGGACAGAGATTGTGCAATCCTTGCAGTTTTTCTGATTTCCTCCCTTTGAGCACCTGTCCCTAAAAGCCTCAGAATGAAGAGGGCGTGCCCTCCAAAAAGTTCCTGCCCTACGGTTAAGCCTGCTGCTAAGTCAGCTTTCAGCGCTCCGTTTCTGATGATGAAAGCAAGATGAGTCAGATGGTTTGGGAACAAGGGAACTTCTAGAAAGAAGAGTCTAGGAAGCTAAGTTTTGTTAACCCTTCAGCGTCTCCTAAGCACTGCTAACTTTTAATGTTTAACCCTTCCTCCTCCCTCTGTACCATAGACATCCATTCTGATGTGTTTGATACATGCCCTTACATTAGTTTTTTAAGGAAAATATGCTTACATTTGCCTTTCTTATTGCTATAAATTTATGGGGTACAGGTGTAATTTTGTTGCATGCATAGATTTCATAGTAGTGAAGTCATATCCTTAATATTTATACATACTTGGAGTGTGTGTGTATGTGTGTGTGTGTGTGTGTGTGTGTGTGTTATTGAATCAAATCATTTCTGCTTCTCCCAGCTCTAGGCTACTAAGAATCTGGACTGCTGCTGCCTGTACAACTAGTTGATTACGATTTGTTTCATGTGTGTACTCACTACACTTTACTTACTCTTTGCCTGCTCAGGGTCTTGTAGGTTACCCCCAACTCTGCTACTGTAAACAACACTGTGTTGAACATCCTTGTAAATGCCCTTGGAGAAACCTTCTCTAAAAAGTATCTCTTTTTAAAATATCAGAGGGTATATGCCACCTGTATTTCACTACATACTTCCAGACTGTTTTCCAAATTACTGAACTAATTTATACTTCCACCAGCAGTGAGCAACAGTTCCCACTTCCTCACATCTTCACCAACACTTAATACTATGCATCTTTTTAATGGTTGCATTTTAATTGGTATAAGGTTGTACCTCATTATTTTTTCTACAATTAAGTAGACATTAAACTTTCCTGAAATATGTGCTCAATCTTTGGCTTCTTCTATGAATTGCCTTTTCATTCCCCTGGCCCATTTTTCAATTGATTTTTGTGTGTGGGTGTTTCTTTGTTTGTTTTGTTTTGTTTTTTGTTTTGTTTCTTGGGACAGAGTCTTGCTCTGTCACCCAGGCTGGAGTGCAGTGGCACAATCTCAGCTCACTGCAACCAACCTCTGCCTCCCGGTTCAAGCAATTCTCCTGCCTCAGCCTCCAGGGTAGCTGAGATTACAGGCGCCCACCACGCCTGGCTAATTTGTATTTTTAGTAGAGACGAGGTTTCACCATGTTGGCCAGGCTGGTCTCGAACTCCTGACCTCAGGTGATCCACCTGCCTCAGCCTCCCAAAGTGCTGGGATTACACATGTGGGCCACTGCGCCTGGCTGGCCCTTTTATGTTAATTCTTCTGACCTCTGGAAACATTAGCTATCTTTATCCAAATCCTTTTTACAGTATTCTCTAATTGAATTTAAATTTTTTTCTCTGCAGATATGTCCTGTGCATTTTTTTTATTTTTATTTTACAGTCTTCCTCTATTACCCAGCTAGAGTGCAGTGGCACTATCATAGCTCACTACAGCCTGGAGCCTCGAACTCCTGGGCTCAAGTGATCCTCCCACCTCAGTCTTCAGAGTAGCTGGGACTACAGGCGCATGCCACTACATTTGACTAATTTTTGTATTTTTTGTAGAGAGGAGGGCCTCACCATGTTGCCCAGGCTGGTCTTGAACTCTTGGGCCCAAGCGATCTACCCGCCTCAGCCTCCCAAAAGGCCGGGATTACAGGCATGAGCCACCGCACCTGGCCTCTGGTGCATTCTTTATTGATTCTTAGATACACGATAATTTGAGTTGCTATTTTAGAGGCTTTATTTTTCATTAACTTTCTAGTTTGTTGTTTCTATTAATTTTAGTAATGTAATCACTCTGTGCAAATGCTCTTCGTAGTTGCAATCTTTACATTTATTCCTCTATGTAGGTGATAATATTTTTTTTTTTTTGAGGTGGAGTCTCGCTGTGTCCCCGAGGCTGGAGTGCAGTGGCGCGATCTTGGCTCACTGCAAGCTCCGCCTCCCGGGTTCACGCCATTCTCCTGCCTCAGCTTCCCGTGTAGCTGGGACTACAGTCGCCCGCCACCATGCCCGGCTAATATTTTGTATTTTTAGTAGAGACGGGGTTTCACCTTGTTAGCCAGGATGGTCTCGATCTCCTGACCTCGTGATCCGCCCACCTCAGCCTCCCAAAGTGCTGGGATTACAGGCGTCAGCCACCGCGCCCGGCTGGTTATAATATTTTAAAATACCTGGCACATGGCAGGTATTCAATGTTTGTTGAAAGAATGCATGAACATTGAGAGTTTTTGATGAACCTGAGATGGTTCTGGGTAGACATGCGTAACTTCATTGTTTCTCGGTGTTTCTTTGAGAGAAGCCCCGTCACTGTACTCTTTTCAGGGTTGGTAAAAGAAAACTGGGGCTTCTAGGCTGGCCGCCGTGGCTCACACCTGTAATCCCAGCACTTTGGGAGGTCAAGGAAGGCGGATCATCTGAGGTCACGAATTCGAGACCAGCCTGTCCAACACGGTGAAACCCCATCTCTACTAAAAATACAAAAATTAGCCAAGCGTGGTGGCACGCACCTGTAATCCCAGCTACTTGGGAGGCTGAGGCAGGAGAATCGCTTGAACTTGGGAGGCGGAGGTTGCAGTGAGCCGAGATTGCATCACTGCACTCCAGCCTGGACAACAAAGGGAGACTCTGTCTCAAAAGAAAAAAAGAAAAAGAAAGTTGAGGCTTCCTGAAGCTACACACTGCACAGCCCCATCCGCCACCCACCAAGTGGTAGAGTCCTGCAGCTCAGCAGACCACCTCCTCAACAAAACCTCTGTTTGCTCTCTTCTGGCACAGAGGGAGTGAATCAAGGTCAGGTTCAGACCCAGCCTCTGAGGAGGGACCTGAACTGGCCTGGGGAGCTACGCCTTGGGGGCTTTCTCAGGAGCCAGCAGGGGTTACAATTTGGTCGGGTCCAGTGTGTCCCTCTCAGGCGGAAACCCAGCCCCAGGCCCATAAGAGAGGGGTCCAAGCTCCAAAGAGAAGCCTCCAGCACCAGCCTGGGGATGGAGCTGCAGCGACGAGGACCGGGAAGCTGGAACTACCTCACCCCGAGCCCAGCTCAGCCCAGCCCAGCCCAGAAAGGGCCCAACCCTGTGATTGGTCCAACCCTGTGATTTGTCCTTGGGTCCCTGTTGCCAGGAATCCAGGCCAAGAAAATGAGAAGGAAGGAAGGGAGTGCGTAGGTCCAGTGAGGACGAGGGTGAAATTTATATCTCTGCCCAGGTCTCGGTGCCTGCACCGCCATAGACACCACCAGGTACAGCAACTGGGGCGGGAGCTACGAGGAGGTCCCCGGAGGTATGAGCAAGGAGACTGCCCCATCCCTGCCCCGGTGTCTGGGGTTTGATGGGGGAGGGGAGGGAAGAGCCAAGACGGGCCAGAGTCGTGGGTGCAAAAAAAACAACACAGAGCCAGTTGGACCAGGGGCCAATTCCAACTCTGCCACTTAGAAGCTGTGTGACCATAGGCAAGTTACTTAACCTCTCTGAAACTCAGTTTCCTGAGAGGAACCCAGGCCTCTAGGGCTCAGTCCTGGGGGACCCAGCATGCCGTCCTTGTTCTGCCAGGGCACTGGGGACGCTGGGTGCACTGGAGCCCGAGACCCCTCTTCCTGGCCATGGCTGTCCTGGTCGCCAGTACTGTGGGCTGTGATTCTGAGTATCCTATTGTCCAAGGGTGAGTGACCCTCAATGGGGAGGGGTTGCGTCTGGCCCCCCTGGGGACACAAAACCCCCACTGCATGGCGCACCAACTGCGCCCTGGCGTCTTGCTCGCGTCTGAGCGTGAGCAGAGTGTGTGTACATCTTTGGGCCGTTTGCAGTCACGCGTGTGCACATGGCGTGCACGTATGTGTGCGAGTCCCCACGCGTTTGTCTCCCATCGGCGTGTGTGCACATAGTGTGCGCTATATGCCTGCCTGCCCGCCCGCTCTGTGGTCCCGAGTCGGGGGACCCCGCACCCCCCGGGCAAGGGAAGGATTTCCGAGTCCCTGGCCTTGCCTGCAGGAGCCTCTCTCCGCAGCCTCCACGGAGCGCGCGGCGCTGCTCGGCTGCCAGGACCTGCTGAGGACAAACGGTGTGTGCAGAGCCGGGCGCCTGGGCGCCCGGGGCGTGTGCGGCGGGAGCGTCTGAGACCCCAGAGATGGAGTCCTGGGTGCGTGGGGGCCCTGTGGTCCCTGAGTCTGGCCACGGGGTGTGGAAGGGAGTCCCCTGAGTCCTCCCAAGTGACCCGGCGGGCATGCGTTTTGGGATGGGGGTCGTTCCAGCCTCGAAGCAGACGGCGGCGCTGGGTGCCCTGGAGGAGGAGGTGGGAGCCTGCCACAGCTGCTGTGAGGGGGCGCGGCCCAGACTATGGGCGCAAGGGTGGGGTCTTGTGGCCGGGATGGGAGGGGGGCCGGAGGCGAGGCCTGCGGCGAGTGGGGCGGCGGGGGGCTGGTCTCCGAAGTCCCGCCCCATCCTCGCCTCCCTCGCCCCTCTCACCCCGCGGCTCCCAGGCTCGGGGACGCAGGCGCTGCTGCAGACCACGAGCGCGGAGCTTGGGGAGGCGCAGGCGAAGCTGATGGAGCAGGAGAGAGCCCTGCGGGAACTGCGTGAGCGCGGTGAGGGCCCGACGCGACCCCAGCCCTGAGCCCTGGCCGCGTCCCCCGACCCCGACCCCGACCCCGTCCTGAGTGCTGACCCCTGACACTGATCATGCACCCCGTCCTGACCCTGACGCTGCACTCTGACCTTGACTGCCACTCCTAGCGCCGGCCACACCCGGACCCTGCCCAGGTGTAACCGTCCTTGACCCTGTGCCATCCTGGTGGCTGGCACCGAGGGTACAATGACCACGGACAGGGGTCCTGACCTTTAGCTAGTCCTGACCTTGAGCCCAACCAAAATCCCCATTCCCTTGACCCCGCAGTGACCCATGGCTTGGCTGAAGCCGGCAGGGACCGCGAGGACGTCAGCACCGAGCTGTACCGGGCGCTGGAGGCCGTGAGGCTGCAGAACAGTGAGGGTGAGGGGGGGTAGGAGGGGGTGCGGTGTAAGTGGACCCTGCCCGTGTGCGTCGCCGGACCCCCTCTTTGACCTTGGCCTGGTCCTGTGGCTCCACCCCTGAGCCCGTGGGGCCAAACCCCTACCCCCTGCATCCTCTTGGTGCGCTCTCCCTGGAAGCACTCGACCTCTCTGACCCTTGCCACCCTACAGGTTCCTGTGAGCCGTGCCCTACGTCGTGGCTGCCCTTCGGGGGCTCCTGCTACTATTTCTCTGTGCCGAAGACCACGTGGGCAGAGGCGCAGGGCCACTGCGCCGATGCCAGCGCACATCTGGCGATGTAGGGGGCCTGGGGGAGCAGGTGCGCAGGAGGAGGCGGCGTTCACCCGAGGGGGCGTGGCCGGGCGGTGGGGCGGCGCCGGGGGAGGGGGCAGGACGGGTCTGACTCTGCAGGCTCAGGTGTCTCCTCCTTTCTAGGACTTCCTGAGTCGTGACACTAGTGCCCGTGAATACTGGATCGGCCGCAGGGCCGTGCAACACCTGCGCAAGGTTCAGGGCTACTCGTGGGTGGACTGAGTCCCACTCAGCTTCAGGTAGGGGAAGGGCTCCTGGTGAAACCTGGGGGCCACAGGTTAGACTCTAGAGGACATGTTTTGAGGCCGAGGTGGGCGGATCACCTGAGGTCAGGAGTTCAAGACCAGCATGGGAAACGTGGCGAAACCCCATCTCTACTAAAAATACAAAAAATTAGCCGGGCGTGGTGGCACACGCCTGTAATCCCAGCTAACCCTGGATGCTGAGGCACGAGAATCACTTGAACCCAGGAGGCAGAGGTTGCAGTGAGCCGAGATTGCGCCACTGCACTCCAGCCTGGGAGACAGAGTTAGACTCCGTCTCAAAAAAAAAAAAAAAAAAAAAAAAAAAAAAAAAAAAAAAAAAAAAAAGTCATGCTTTGGCCAGATCTCAGGGACCCCTTGGCTGGGGCTCCATGCTTAGGGATGGGCAGGCTGGACCCTAGGAAGTGTCCTTGGGTTAAATTCTGGGCGTTAGTAAGTTATATCCCAGGTGTATACTCAGGTTAGACACTTGGGGTGTCTAGCGTAGACCCAGGCAATAAACAGGCTAGAGCCTGGGAAGGAAGTGGGGGCCCCGGGTCCATCCCTAGCTTAGATTCCCAGCATCACCCCCCGCCCGGCCATTCAACCACTGCAGCCACTGGTTACAGGGGGAACGCAATGAATTTTGGGGGTGCGAGGCCTGTGTCATGATTCTGGGCATGGGGCTGTGGATAGACCCACCACGTGATGAGAAGGCTGGCCGGATCTGTCAGCAGAGGCACGGTGCTGACCCCGCCCGGTGCCCCAGAGCCGTGCCCAGTGCCCAAAGGGGTGCTGTGCACCATCCCGGCTACTGGAACCCACTGCCAAGGATTTTCTTTTCCCCATCCACCACTGCTGAGAACCAATCGGCCAGGCCCAGCCCTGTCCGGTGCCTGCACTCTGGGACCTCTGCTCTGACTTCATGCAAACCTAACCTAACCTTCACTGGCTCCAAAATCTCCATTTCTGGATCCCAGTGGTCTGACCCCACCTCTCCTCCTAGCCAAGGTCAGGCAACTGAGGAATGGAGCTATTTGGTTTTCCTGCACTTTCCCGCAAAGGGGAAAATGGTACTTCCTGCAAAGCTCTCTTTGCAGCCTGGGGGAGCATCAATAAAGGTTTGAGAAATGGATCCAGGCTCCTGGCTCTGGTGAGCTCTTATTTATTTATGTATGTATTTATTTATTTATTTATGTAGAGATGGAGTCTCACTCTGTCACCCAGGCTGGAGTGCAGTGGCACAATCTCAGCTCACTGTAACCTCCGCCTCCCAGGTTCAAGGGATTCTCGTGCCTCAGCCTCCCAAGCACCTGGGATTACAGGCGTGTGTCACCATGCCTGGCTAACTTTTTATTTTTTAGTAGAGACAGGATTTCACCATGTTGCCCAGGCTGGTCTCGAACTCCTGGACTCAAGTGATCTGTCTGCCTCAGCCTCCCAAGTAGCTGGGATTAGAGGCATGCACGACCCCACCTGGCTCAATTTTGTATTTTTTATAGAGATGGGGTTTCACCATGTTCCCCATGCTGGTCTCAAACTCCTGAGCTCAATCGATCCACCCACCTCAGCCTCCCAAAGTGCTGGGATTACAGGTGTGAACCACCATGCCCGGCCCTCTGGTGAGCTCTTCTAAGCTTCATCCCAGAAGCCCTGGTGTAAACCTTGTGAGTGACCCCTGATCTCTCTAAGTGACCTCATAGTCCTATGATGCTTCCAAACCCAGTGGGTAACCTGCACTAGGCCAGGAGGGCTTGAAGGTAGGGGCAGTTGTCCACTCAGCACTGTTAAAATTCTCAGCCCCCTGGCACAGAGTGTGGTTCAGAGGGTTCTGGGGACACAGGAATGGGTCAAACCCAGTCCTTATCCCCAGGACCTCCACATTCTGGTCTAGCTGGGCACAGGAACATGATCCGTGCATGGAGCGGGTAGCTGATGGGCATGGGGGAGCCACTTTTTGTTGGGGTCCAGCCTCAACACTACCCGTAGGTAGCCAAAGTCCAGTGGTGACAAAGAATGAGAAAAGACAAATTAAGATTTTAGGCCTGGCGCGGTGGCTCATGCCTGTAATCCCAGCACTTTGGGAGGCCGAGGCGGGTGGATCACGAGGTCAGAAGATTGAGACCATCCTGGCTAACACGGTGAAACCCCGTCTCTACTAAAAATACAAAAAATTAGCCAGGTGTGGTGGCGGGTGCCTGTAGTCCCAGCTACTCAGGAGGCTGAGGCAGGAGAATGGCGTGAACTCGGGAGGCGGAGCTTGCAGTGAGCCGAGATTGTGCCACTGCACTCCAGCCGGGGCAACAGAGTGAGACTCTGTCTCCAAAAAAAAAATAAAGATTTTAAAGCTGGTCCAGGGGGCCATTTGCCAGAGTGAAGGCTGCAAAACACCCAGAGCTCTGGTTGCCTGACAATTTATTGAGAACGGTCTTTTGATCTAAGAAGCGGCTGGTATGGGATGAAACGGTGAAGGAGGGGGAGTGTACGTCATTGGAAAGATCTGTAGCAGTAGCAGTTATATGAATTTCCTTTAAGCTAAAAGCATATGTCTAACTACGAAGATAATCTTCAACTTATCAGGCTGCAGCTGGTGGGGACTGGTTTTACAAGGAGCCAGGATGTCTGGTCACATTCCAATGCTTCAAGGGAGTTTTTCAGCCCAGAGCATTCTGTGTAAAGCCGCAGAGCAGGTCATGCTCTCTGGCCAGGGAACTTAATGGCTTGGGGAGATGATTCTCCTCAAGGGCCCCCTACTGTAGGGACCAGCCCCACAGGGTCGGTGGGTTTTTCTCCCAATGTGTGAAGATGAGAGATTGTAAAAATAAAGACACAAGACAAAGAGATAAAAGAAAAGACAGCTGGGCCCAGGGGACCACTACCACCAAGACACGGAGACCGGTAGTGGCCCCAAATGCCAGGCTGTGCTATTATTTATTGGATACAAGACAAGGGGGCAGGGTAAGGAGTGTGAGCCATCTCCAATGATAGGTAATGTCATGCGAGTCACATGTCCACTGGACAGGTGGCCCTTCCCTGTTTGGCAGCCGAGGTGGAGGGAGGGAGAGAGAGAGAGAGAGGAGACAGCTTACGCCATTATTTCTGCATATCGGAGACTTTTAGTACTTTCACTAATTTTGCTACTGCTATCTAGAAGGCAGAGCCAGGTGTATAGGATGGAACATGGAAGCTGACTAGGAGTGTGACCGCTGAAGCACAGCATCACAGGGAGACGGTTAGGCCTCTGGATAACTGCAGGCAAGCCTGACTGATGTCAGACCCTCCACAAGAGGTGGTGGAGTAGAGTCTTCTCTAAACTCCCCTGGGGAAAGGGAGACTCCCTTTCCCGGTCTGCTCAGTAGCAGGTGCTTTTTCCTTGGCACTGACGCTACCAGTAGACCACAGTCTGCTTGGCAACGGGGCATCTTCCCAGATGCTGGCATTACTGCTAGACCAAGGAGCCCTCTGGTAGCCCTGTCTGGGCATAACAGAAGGCTCATGCTCTTGTCTTCTGGTCACTTCTCACCATGTCCCTTCAGCTCCTATCTCTGTATGGCCTGGTTTTTCCTAGGTTATGATTGTAGAGTGAAGATTATTATAATATTGGAATAAAGAGTAATTACTACAAACTAATGATTAGTGATACTTATATACATATCTATGATCTGTATCTAGTATAACTCTTGATATTTTATATATTTTATTACACTGAAACAGCTCGTGCCCTCGGTCTCTTGCCTTGGCACCTGGGTGGCTTGCTGCCCACACCCTACATTTTTCCATAGGTGTCCTACACAGGGACGACTGACTAAACTGGCACCCCATAAACCTTTCCACCAGCACTTGCCCCCTTTTCTTTTTATTAATAACTGCCATTGCTATCATGGCTTGCTCACAGTGTCTGGCTTCTCTCCCAAGGTGTCTTCTTCACCTGTAGACTAAACATAAACAGCATAGACAAACAAAAATTAAAGCAAAGTTTGCAGCAGTTGATCCCCCAATGGTTTTAATCCATTTCAGAGGATTCAGGTCAGAGAACCCATCAATGGTTCCATTAAAGACATCAGCACCAGGTAAGAAAGTTAAGTGGGCTTGAGATGCCTCAAAAACTTGTTCCTTTAATTTTGCTATATCCAGTGTGGGTTCACGCCATTCTCCTGCCTCAGCCTCCCAACTAGCTGGGACTACAGGCGCCCGCCACCACACCTGGCTAATTTTTTGTATTTTTAGTACAGACTGGGTTTCACCATGTTAGCCAGGATGGTCTCAATCTCCTGACCTAGTGATCCGCCCGCCTCGGCCTCCCAAAGTGCTGGGATTACAGGCGTGAGCCACCTTTCCCTCTAAATGGTGTTTAACCTTATCCCAATGAGGCACAGAGGCATTATAAGATTGAGGAGTAATGCAAAAATCAGAAGTATTCCAATCACCCTGCATTTGTATTCTATGCTCCAAGTTCATAATTCGATCCCCCATCCACCGTACTGTTTGACAAAGATCGTTAATTTGATTAGTTAATTTTTGATCAATTTGCGTCTGTGTATTCCAAAGCTTGGAAGAATTCTTTTGCTACTGGTTAACATAATCAGCAGTTTGAACAGAAGAATGTAAAGCAACACCTGCGGCTGCGGCCGTGGCGGTAACAGCAATAATGCCCATGATTATTGCTATAAGAGTAAAAATAAATCTCTTTGTTCTGTTTAACATTCCCTTTAGAATTTCAGTTACTATGTGTATAGAAGGAGAGGCTTCCCAAGGTCTATTAAGGGAAACAGGTATCCCAACTCCCTCTCGGGCTCTGACAAGCAAGATACTGTTATTCTTATCAATTGTAGAATCAATGCAAGTGAAAAGACAACAGTCAAGACATGATAGAGTTTGAGAATCAGGTAGAATATTGATTTGTCCTACTACTAACATAAAAGGAGGTTTAACACAACCCTGTAATGGGGTTGTCCGATTGGAGGTCAAAGCTACAATATATTGAAGTTTTTTACTATGGGTTTATTTTTTTTTTAATTTATTTACTTATTTTTGAGAGAGTCTCGCTCTGTCGCCCAGGCTGGAGTGCAGTGGCGTGATCTCAGCTCACTGCAAGCTCCACCTCCCGGGTTCACGCCATTCTCCTGCCTCAGCCTCCCGAGTAGCTGGGACTACAGGCACCTGCCACCATGCCCGGCTAATTTTTTTTTTTTTTTGTATATTTAGAAGAGATGGGGTTTCACCGTGTCAGCCAGGATGGTCTCGATCTCCTGACCTCGTGATCCGCCCGCCTTGGCCTCCCAAAGTGCTGGGATTACAGGCGTGAGCCACTGCGCCTGGCCGGGTTTATGTTTTATATTCTCCTTTCCAAATCTGTACGGGGTTTGGACCATCATTAATTTCCACAGTTCTGGGTGTTCTGGGCTTACTGTTGGATCAATCATTTTAGGGCGTGGAGGAGCCATACTGCTGCCTTCCCAGAAGATAGGAAAGTCGCCTTTTATTCTGTACTTTTGGGTAGGTGCCTCTTCGGAATAGTCAACTGGGAAGCCGCGCTCTTGACATCCCTTGGGCCGTCCAGTACAATTTACTGCAAATCGCCCCTTAGGGGTCCAGTCAATGACGATTCCATAGGAGTTATTTTCCATCACCACGGCACTATTTGCAATGCAATCTTCCCAGGCCAGCTCCTCAGCTTCCTTAGACCATACTGTCAATTGTTCTGGGCATTTTTTCTTTCTTGGTCTAAATTGATTAGTAAGAATATTAGCTACACGATAGGAATTTCCTGAGGATATGACTTTAGTTTTAGATTGAAAGCTCCTTCCACTAACTATATGAATAGAGGCCTCTGACCCATTATGCGCAGGGACATAAACCATCCAGCTTTGTTTGTCATAATCTAAACATCCTGCTGCAGGCCCCAGACATACAGGAGGAGAGCGATAACCAATGGATGCATTTATTAACATTCCTTCCTCCTCTGGATGAATAGGGCCTTGGTTATCAGTTGGTCCAGGTGTCCAAACACTATCATTAACGTAAACCTCAACCGGGGGTTCCAACCAAGTGACAGGCCTAATTAAAGGCGGGAATGGGCCATATGCCCAACAGGTATAATTTTGTGCTGCTGTAGCCCCATGGAGACTTACCACCATAGCAATTACTGCAATTATAGCCACCATCATGAGTGAATCCCAACTTCTCCCCCTTTTTTGTTTTCTGTGTTAGGGTTTTTTGGTTGCAGGGCGTAGATATATGCAGCCACAGGTTTGTCAGGCGAGGAGGTCACTGCTCTTATTCCAGCTTTGCATCCCAGGATTAGTAAATAACAGAAGACAAACCTGAGTATAATTAGCAACATTTTTTTTTCCAGTCAAAGAGTGACCTGTAGTGTTACTTGGCATCTTAGTTTACTATACAGTATTAATGAGGAACCCCACTGGGGGTATGTTAATTTATTTTAGCTAAGCAGTTATGTTATTAGAAGCTGAGGGGTGGGGGGTTGTTAAAGTAACAGGGAAGAAGAAAGGCGGATTTAAGATATGAGCTTAATAGAGTGTAGTAGGTATAGGTAGTAGGCAAAGTGAGAGAATTAAAAATGAATGAATTATTTGGCTTAGTCTTCGCTTCTTCAGCACAATGTCTGGGGCCTATGTTGTTTGCGGAAGCCGCATTTTTGAGGCTACAGTTCCTGTAGGATCTTTCTTAGGCTGGCTCGAATTTTTTCTTCTTTCCGTCATTTGATGAGGACGTAGTCTTCAGGCTGGTACTGGAAATTCTAGGAGTGGTGCCTGTGCTGAGAGACTTTTTACCATCTTTAAAGAGCAGGTTAGTGTTTTAAGAAAAACTTGTGCTTTATTTTAATGTTTAGTTTATAGAAAAACTGGATGATACCTTTTTAACTTTAGCAAATGTTTACACACAATTTTTTACAATTATCATTTTAAAACTTGCTTAGACCTTCAAAACAAAAATTATACAACCTTTCTTGCACAAATTCCTTTTTATAACATTTTTCATGACTTTCACAGACAATCTTCAACATGCCTTAACTTTCTTCTTTTTTTTTTTTTTCTTTTTGAGACGGAGTCTTGCTCTGTCACCCAGACCGGAGTGCAGTGGCAAGAACTCGGCTCACTGCAAACTCCGCCTCCCGGGTTCACGCCATTCTCCTGCCTCAGCCTCCCGAGTAGCTGGGACTGCAAGCGCCAGCCACCACGCCCAGCTAATTTTGTGTAGTTTTAGTAGAGACGGGGTTTCACCATGTTAGCCAGGATGGTCTCGATCTCCTGACCTTGTGATCCGCCTATCTCGGCCTCCCAAAGTGCTGGGACTACAGGCGTGAGCCACCACACCCAGCCAACATGCCTTAACTTTGTATGTTTTATAACTTTCCTTACTAAAGGTACATTTTTATAACTTTCTTAATATTTCCTTTCCCTTCTTCCTACTTCATTTCTTTCCTTAGTCTTTCTTTTTGCATCTTTTTCTGATTTCTGTCTCTTCTAGTCTCTCTCTTATTTTTTTCTATTTCTCTTTCTAATGTACAATAATTAGATGAGTGTTGGTAACAATGGATATATGTACATATCTTAGTTTCCAAAATTTAGGGATGTGTTTAACATCTGTTTGCCACAACTGATTAGGTTCCAATCCTCTAGGGTTAACACCTGTTTAAGGAGGAAACGTGCCTGTCAGCTGGTAATCTGGGCATTGTAGGATAATTTGTTTAGCCAGTCTCTGGGCTAGTTGAAATTGTTTAGATAAGTTTCTCCAATTTTGGTGGAAAAATTGATGTGATTGGGTGGCTTGGTCAAGCAGTGATGTCATAACCTGAAGGTCTGCTTGATCTTGCCACAAGCCAATGGGCCAGGCAGAGATCTGTGGGCTCAAACGTGTGTAATAAAAATAGGATGTGTACCTTGGTCCGGCAATTGCTGAAGTTGAAGAAAAAGAGGCACACAGAGTGGGCTCCAGAGCGAACTTAAGGCTGTAAAAGTAATTTAATAAATAAACAGAACAGCCTCAGCTCTCCGAATGCTAGTAAATTTAGATCCAGTGATTGGATTACGTGGTCTCCACCAGACTGCCGCTTTTCCATCTTTACCAGACCCATTAGTAAAACCAGTCACAGCTCCCGCCGGGCGCGGTGGCTCATGCAGGTAATCCCAGCACTTTGGGAGGCCGAGGCGGGCGGATAACGAGGTCAGGAGATTGAGAACACGGTGAAACCCCGTCTCTACTAAAAATACAAAAAAATTAGCAGGGCGTGGTGGCAGGCGCCTGTAGTCCCAGCTACTGGGGAGGCTGAGGCAGGAGAATGGCGTGAACCGGGAAGGCGGAGCTTGCAGTGAGCCGAGATAGCGCCACTGCACTCCAGTCTGGGCGACACAGCGAGACTCCGTTTCAAAAAACAAAAACAAAACAAAAAAACCAGTCACAGCTCCTTCCAAAGGGGCATCACGAGTAATTTTCGGAGGAACCCATGTAGTTAATTTTAAGAACTGGAAAGTTTTATTTTTAGGATAATGATTATCAATACATCCAACAAATTCTGCTAAATAAACTTGCCATGTAACTGAATTAATAAATGCCTGTTTAACCTGATTTTTATTTATAGGAACTATAATCTTATTAGGTTCAGTGCCACAAAGTTTAACAACTCGCATACGAGCCTGTCCAATTAAAATTGCCATCTGATCTAAATATACTGTAAGTGTTTTTATGGTATTACGTGGCAAAAAGGACTATTCAACTAAATCATTATTTTGAACAATAATCCCCGTTGGGGAGTGTGAAGTAGGGAAAACAATGAATTGTAAAGGCAAGTCTGGGTCAATCCTACTGACCTGGGCTTGCGGAATTTTTTCTTCAATTACTCTTAACTCTTTCATGGCCTCGGGTGTTAGTTCTCTTTTACTGTGTAAACTGGAGTCTCCCCTCAGTATTGAGAAGAGATTAGACATAGCATAAGTAGGAATTCCTAAGGTGGGCCGAATCCAATTAATATCGCCTAACAATTTTTGAAAATCATTTAAGGTTTATTTGGTTTTTGTTTTTGTTTTTGAGACGGAATCTTGCTCTGTCCCCCAGGCTGGAGGGCAGTGGCTTGATCTCGGCTCACTGCAAGCTCCGCCTCCCGGGTTCACGCCATTCTCCCGCCTCAGCCTCCCGAGTAGCTGGGACTACAGGCGCGCAGCCACCACGCCCGGCTAATTTTTTGTATTTTTAGTAGAGGCGGGGTTTCACTGTGTTAGCCAGGATGGTCTCGATCTCCTGACCTTGTGATCCGCCCGCCTCAGCCTCCCAAAGTGCTGGGATTACAGGCGTGAGCCACTGCCCCCCCGCCCATTTAAGGTTTTTAAAGAAGCTTTTCTAATTTGAACCTTTTGAGGCTTAATGCTCTATCCTGTACTTGCATTCCCAAATACTGAAAAGGAGTGGTTGTTTGAATTTTGTCAGATGCTTTAAGCAATCCAGCGTTTGTAATTGCCTTTTGCAAAGATGAATAACATTGAATAAGTTGGCCTCTATTTTTTGCTGCACACATCTGGAAATTGATCTCTAACAGGCTGGATAGTTCTGCCTACAAAAGTCTGACAAATTGTGAGACTGTTTAACATACCCCGAGGTAAAACCTTCCAATGATATCTGGCTGCAGGTTCTTTATTATTAACTGCAGGGATGGTAAAGCCAAATTTTTCGAAATCTGCCTCTGCTAAAGGAATTGTAAAAAAAAAAAAAAAAAAAAAAAAAAAAAAAAAGCAATCTTTTAAATCTATAATAACAAGCGGCCAGTCTTTAGGGATTATAATGGGGGATGGGAGCCCTGGTTGTAAAGCTCCCATCGGTTGAATTACAGCGTTGACCGCTAGTAAATCGGTCGGCATGCGCCATCTGCCGGACTTTTTCTTAATTACAAATACTGGGGAATTCCAAGGAGAAAAAGTGGGTGTGAAACATGTCCTTTTTCTAGTAATTCTTTAACTATTTCATAAAGCGCCCCCAATTTTTCCTTAGGGATCGGCCACTGTTCGACCCAGACAGGGCGCTGGGTCATCCATTTTTAAGGGAAATTGCTCCTTCCCCGTAATGAACGGCAGGGCGAGCCTGAATTTTAATTAACTGGTGGCTGAGCCTGAATCATCCCTTTACCGTAATTAACGGCAGGTTTTGCAACAATGGGCGCGGCGAACCGCGTCTCAGGCTTCCATGCCCGCAATTCACAAGGCTTAGGCGCGGGTGGCCATTCCGGAGCTTCCCCTGAGGGTGCGGTAGGTTGGACGGTCTCTTTCATATGTGTTTGGTTAGCATATATAACCTCCTGATTCTCCGCCTTTTTTAAACTGGAGCTAGATGGTGCACTCTCCTGACCGTCAAACTCGTCTCCTTCATTTCCAAATGCTGGTTCCTCCTCAGTCTGCAAAGGCTCACGTGCTGTTTTCACTGCCGCCCACACAGACCAAGCGGAGAAAGGAATTTCTTGACCCTCTTTTTGTGCCTGTTTGAAGTCAGCCCTTATTTTTTCCCAGTCTTTCAAATCCATGGAGCTGTGTTCCGGGAACCAAGGAGAATATTGTTCTATTAGCTGAAACAGGGACAGAAGATTTTGGGTGCTCACGTTTAACCACAGTGGCACAATAACTGCCGCACCAAACTCAAATAATTATTATGTCTACTCTCAGCCTGACCCACAATTTCCTGTTGTTACCCTGGAATTCTCCGAGCGCCCCGCTTACCTGCAGAGCTTAAAAGTCTTTTCGTTGGCCGGCGCGGTGGCTCACGCCTGTAATCCCAGCACTTTGGGAGGCCGAGGCGGGCGGATCACGAGGTCAGGAGATCAAGACCATCATAGCTAACATGGTGAAACCCCGTCTCTACTAAAAATACAAAAAGTTAGCCGGGCGTGGAGGCGGGCGCCTGTAGTCCCAGCTACTTGGGAGCTGAGGCAGGAGAAGGGCGTGAACCCGGGAGGCGGAGCTTGCAGTGAGCCGACATCGAGCCACTGCACTCCAGCCTGGGTGACAGAGCGAGACTCCGTCTCAAAAATAAATAAATAAATAAATAAGTAAAAATTAAAAAAAAACTTTTCGTCCTTGGGAGTTCTCCATCTGTCGGTCCTTCATTTTCGACGCTCCTGCATTCCTTCACCCGGTTGTTTTGGAGATACCACGTTGGGCGCCAGATGGTGGGGTCCAGCCTCAACACTACCCGTGGGTACCTGAAGTCCGGTGGCGACAAAGGAATGAGAAAAGACAAGTTAAGATTTTAAAGCAGGCCCAGGGGGCCAGTTGCTAGAGTGAAGGCTGCAAAACGCCCAGAGTTCTGGTTGCCTGACGATTTATTGAGCACAATCTTTTGATCTAAGAAGCAGCTGGGATGAAACGGTGAAGGAGCGGGAGCGTACGTCATTGGAAAGATGTAGAGCAGTGGCGGTTATATGAATTTCCTTTAAGCTAAAAGCATATGTCTAACTGCTAAGACAGTCTTTAACTTATCGGGCTGCAGCTGGTGGGGGCCGGTTTTACAAGGAGCTAGGATGTCTGGTCACGTTCCAACACTTCAAGGGAGTGTGTCAGCCCAGAGCATTCTGTGTAAAGCCGCAGAGCAGGTCATGCCCTCTGGCCTGGGAACTTAATGGCTTGCGGAGATGATTCTCCTAAGGGCCCCCTACAGTTTTCCATAGGTGTCCTACACAGGGGTGACTGACTAAACTGGCACCCCATAAACCTTTCCACCAGCACTTTTGTTTCAGGCTGCTGGCTCTGGTGAGCTCTTCTTTTTTGTTTTGTTTTATTTATTTATTTATTTATTTATTTACTTTATTTTTTTTGAGACACAGTCTCGCTGTCTCCCAGGCTGGAGTGCAGTGGCGTGATCTCAGCTCACTGCAAGCTCCACCTCCCAGGTTCAGGCCATTCTCCTGCCTCAGCCTCCGGAACAGCTGGGACTACAGGTGCCCACCAGCACGCCCAGCTAATTTTTTGTATTTTTAGTAGAGACGGGGTTTCACCATGTTAGCCAGGATGGTCTTGATCTCCTGACCTCGTGATCCACCCGCCTCAGCCTCCCAAAGTGCTGGGATTACAGGTGTGAGCCACCGCGCCTGGCCTCATTTATTTGTTTTTTAGATGGAGTCTCACTCTGTCACCCAGGCTGGAGTGCAGTGGCACAATCTCAGCTCACTGCATCCTCCACCTCCCAGGTTCAAGGGATTCTCGTGCCTCAGCCTCCCTGGTAGCTGGGATTATAGGTGTGTGTCACCATGCCCGGCTAGTTTTGTATTTAAAAATAGGCAGGATTAAAAAGTAGGTGGGGTTGATCCAACCATTATCTACATGATTGAACCCCACCTTCAGCCCCTTCCCCTTCCTGGAGGTCAGGTGGCTAAAAATCCCAACCTTGGTGGTTGGTGTTTCTGGCATGACCAGCCCCCATCCTGAGTCACCTCCTTGGTATAAGCTCAGTTATGGTCCAGGGCCCCCATGAATAATAAAGACGCTTCTTTTTTTTTTTTATTTCCATAGGTTTGGGGGAACATGTATTTGGTTACATGATTAAATTCCTTAGTGGTGATTCATGAGAGTTTGGTGCACCCATCTCCCAAGCAGTATACACTGCACCTAATTTGTAGTATTCTATCCGTCAGCTTTCCACCCTTTCCCCTTGAGCCCCCAAAATCCACTGTGTCATTCTTATGCCTTTGCATCCTCATAGCTTAGCTCCCACTTATGAGTGAGAGTATACAATGTTTGGTTTTCCATTCCTGAGTTCCTTCACTTAGAATAATGGTCTCCAGTCCCATCCAGGTTGCTGCAAATCCCATTAATTCATTCCGTTTCATGGCTGAGTAGTATTCCATTTTATATGTATGCCACAGTTTCTTCACCCATTCGTTGACTGATGGAAATTTAGGTTTGTTCCACGTTTTTGCACTTGCGAATTGTGCTGCTATAAACATGTGTGAACAAGTATCTTTTTTGTATCATGACTTCTTTTCCTCTGGATAGATACCCAGTAGTGGGATTGCTGGCTCAAATGGTAGTTTTACTTTTAGTTCTTTAAGGAATCTCCACGCTGTTTTCCATAGTGGTTGTACTAGTTTACATTCCCACCAGCAGTGTAAAAGTGTTCCCTGTTTGCCACATCCACACCAACATCTATTATTTTTTGAGTCTTTGATTATGGCCATTCTTGCAGGAGTAAGGTGGTATCACATTGTGGTTTTGATTTGCATCTCCCTGATCATTAGTGATGTTGAGCATTTTTCCATATGTTTGTTGGCCATTAAGACACTTCTATTACTTGGAAAATTCCAAGAGTTTAGACGCCCCCTGCCAGGAACCAGAGGTAGTGACTAGACAGATTATTTAGCACACAATATCTTTCTATCTTAAAATCGCAATCATATCTGCAAAGTCTCTTTTTGCCATATAAGGTGACATTCATAGGATCCAGGGATTAGGACTTGGATATCTTTTTTTTTTTTTTTTTTGAGAAGGAGTTTCACTCTTGTTGCCCAGGTTGGAGTGCAATGGCATGATCTCAACTCACTGCAACCTCCACCTCCCAGGTTCAAGTGATTCTCCTGTCTCAGCCTCCTGAGTAGCTGGGATTACAGACATGCACCACCACACCTGGCTAACTTTGTATTTTTAGTAGAGACAGAGTTTCACCATCTTGGTCAGGCCGGTCTCGAACTCCCGACCTCAGGTGATCCGCCCGCCTCAGCCTCCCAAACTGCTGGGATTACACATGTGAGCCACCATGCCTGGCCAGGACTTGGATATCTTTGCAGGCCATCATGCATCCTAGCTCAAAGAGTAACTAGCTGAGAAAGACTCCCAGGTGGGGGATGGAAGTCGAAATGCGTACCTGGTGGCCTAACTGCTTGCTGAGCTGGGTTAAGTGGCAATTTGGAAGATCCACAGACAGATCTAGTCTAACTTACTGATGATCAAGTGGAGATCTCTGACTCACTGAACAGCAACAGAGACGAACTGACAGGATTGACTTCCAGGCTGACTGACAACCTCAACGGCAGAGCCTCTTCCAGGTTGTAGTGACAAATGTACAATGGAAGCACAGGTGGACAGGAGAAGCCCAGGAGTCTCTTCCTGGGGGTGGAGCTGAGTAAGTACCGGCTGTGGCTGGGGCAGAAGGAAGAGGCCCCCAGGTTAAGCTGGAACTTCCCCAGGATCCTGTCCATGGCTCACGCATGCCCTCGAGCCCCTGGTACTCCAGGCTTAGATGCTGGGGCAGCAGGGCTGGAGGGAACCTCAGGGCAGGAGCCCAGAGAGCCAAATAACTGGATTCAAAGGGTCCATCCTCCCTTCACCATTGGCCTCAGGCATACCTGATCAATGCACAGGTCCCAGCTTGCAGTCTCCTGGCTCTAACTGGCTGGTGTTAGAGCAGATCCATAAAGACCCCAAATAAGAGAGTCAGGACCAAATTGTCCTCCCTGGCCCTTGGCCCCAGCCCACCCCCCTGCCCCACTCCCCAACACACAAGAGTCAACCTTCCAGGGAAGAAAGGAATCCCTGGAGCCTATCCCTCATCCTAGAACAGATATTCAGTCAGCTTTTATGGTCCTGGAATATTGGTCTTGCTAGAAAGACTATTCTAAATGCCAACAGCTGGCCGAGTGTGATGGCTCATGCCTGTAATCCCAACACTTTGGAAAGCTAAAGTCAGTGGATCACTTGAGCCCAGGGGCTCAAGCTCAGCCTGGGCAACATAGTGAGACCCTGTCACTATAAAAATAGTTTTTTTTGAGGTGGAGTCTCGCTCTGTCGCCCAGGCTGGAGTGCAATGGCGTGATCTCGGCTTACTGCAACCTCTGCCTCCTGGGTTCAAGCGATTCTCCTGCCTCAGCCTCTTGAGTAGCTGGGATTACAGGCACACCCCACCACACCTGGCTAATTTTTGTATTTTTAGTAGAGACAGGGTTTCACCATGTTGGTCAGGCTGGTTTCGAACTCCTGACCTCAGGTGATCCACCTGTCTCAGCCTCCCAAAGTGCTGGGATTACAGGCATGAGCCACTGTGCCAGGCCTGTTAAATGACTTTTCTAAACTACTTCTGTAAAGTCTATATTCTCTGTCATGGCTACTGAAGTCTTTGCTCAGTTAGCTTCATGGTTAGCTAGTGGTTGGACAGAGATTTCCTTGAATGTCTGGAATCGGAAGTCTGCCAGTCTTTGCCAGGGAGCTCTGTGTACTTATTAGGGACACACCTTCAACATTCACCCAGGAAATTTACAACTGTGCTTTAGCTCTCACTTCCTGCTTACACAGAGCCTCGAAGTCGGCCAGCGGTGTGAGCTTAGGGCTGTCTCAGGTCTTTCCTAAGCATGTGGCCTTCCATATCCCCAGAAATATGTCAGAATTTTTCAAAAGTCCCTCCGAACATCTAATGTCTTCATTTTTCCTTCTAAGATTTTTTTTTTTTTTTTTTTTGAGACGGAGTCTCGCTCTGTGGCTCAGGCTGGAGTGCAGTGGCGCGATCTCGGCTCACTGCCAGCTCCGCCTCCTGGGTTCACACCATTCTCCTGGCTTGGACTACAGGCGCCCGCCACCACACCCGGCTAATTTTTTGTATTTTCAGTAGAGACGGGGTTTCACCGTGTTAGCCAGGATGGTCTCGATCTCCTGACCTCAAGTGATCCTCCCGCCTCGACCTCCCAAAGTGCTGGGATTACAGGCGTGAACCACCGCGCCTGGCGCTTTTCCTTCTAAGATTTTTAGTTAGGCTATTATTTCCCCAACTGTTAAGTATTGCCACAGGCAGCTGCAATGTTAAAACATTTAACAAATAGCCCCTGGGGAGAAATGTTTAGCATCCGGCAAGTTCAAGTGAGGTCAGGTCTTTCAGAGCAGGGTCTTCCAGAGTACCAATAAATAGGTCAATAAATGACTCTTCTTGGCTGGGTGCGGCGGCTCACGCTTGTAATCCCGGCACTTTGGGAGGCCGAGGTGGGTGGATCACTTGAGGTAAGCAGTTTGAGACTAGCCTGGTCAACATGGTGAAACCCTGTCCCTGCTGAAAACACAAAAATGAGTCAGGCATGGTGGCGGGCACCTGTAATCGCAGCTACTCCGGAGGCTGAGGCAGGAGAATCGCTTGAACCCAGGAGAAGGAGGTTGCAGTGAGCCGAGATCACGCCACTGCACTCCAGCCTGGGCGACAGAGCGAGACTCTGTCTCAAACACACACACACACACACACACACACACACACACACACACACACACACACCTCTTCTTGAATGATCCTGAATGAGGTTTTGAAGGAGCCGCACCTCTGTTCTTTTCCGTATGGTATCAAGATTGTGGGCTGTTATTTTTCAAGGCTACCCTCTGAGCTGGAGAGCCAGGAATAAGACTAGAGTGAGTTAAAATTCTACAGAGCTTGCTGTTTTTTTATGTGTTTTTTTTTTTAATTAAATGCTCTGCAAATTACTGTAAGCTTTTGGTTAATTTCCAGAGTTGTGAAAATGTTGATTCTGTCAAATTTTGCCAGTTTTTTTCATTGCTTTTGTAGAAAGGCAAATTTTACTCTGCCATTTTGCTGACGTTCTTTTTTTTCCCCTTCGATGCTTAAATTATCTTTAATTTGGCCAGTGAAAGCTTTTCTCTCTGGCTTCTGGGTCCTTTTGACATATTCCTATTGGTTTTTTGCTGATCGTTTTTTCTTCCTTCCTGGCCTAACTAGATGTTCTAGGCTTTTGTCCCCCCCAACCCTGCCTCAGCCTCCCAAGTAACTAGGACTACAGGAGCACGCCACCACGCCTGGCTAATTTTTAAATTTTTTGTAGAAATGGGTCTTGCTATGTTGCCCAGGCTGCTCTCATTTTTCCAAAAAGCCCTGGGCTAGGTGGAGATTGGCAGTTAGAAATGATCTGGGTGTTAAGTGTGCCCATTGTTACTGGGGTATGTGGCTCCCAGGTCCTCTTAGTAGATAAATGGGAACACACACACACACACACACACACACACACACACACAAACTTATTTCTATATTTATCTTTATATTTTGAAAACCATGAATTCACCTCAGTACCTCCAATTCAATAGGGTTTATTCTTGTTTTTTTTTGTATCTTTTCTTTTTTTTTTTTCTTGAGACCGAGTCTCGCTTTGTCACCTGGGCTGGAGTGCAGTGGCGCAATCTTTGGCAGTCTCAGCTCACTGCAGCCTCAACCTGCTGGGCTTGAGGGATTCTCCTGCCTCAGGCTCCTGAGCAGCTGGGACCACAGGCTCACGGCACCACACCCAGCTAATTTTTTGTCTGTAAAGACAGGGTCTCACTATGTTTCCTGGGCTGGTCTGGAACTCCTGGACTCAAGCGATCCTCCCACCTTGGCCTCCCAACGTGCTGGGATTACAGTGGCCGGGTGCAGCGGCTCACGCCTGTAATCCCAGCACATTGGGAGGCCGAGGCAGGTGGATCACCCGAGGTCAGGAGTTCGAGACCAGCCTGGCCAACATGGCAAAATCCCATCTCTACTAAAAATACAAAAATTAGCCGGGCTTGGTGGCGGGAGCCCGTAATCCCAGCTACTTGGGAGCCTGAGGCAGCAGAATCGCTTGAACCTGGGAGGTGGAGTTTGCAGTGAGCCGAGATCTTGCCACTGCACCCAGCCTGGGTGACAGAGCAAGACTCTGTCTCAAAACAAAACAAACAGAAAAACAAAGTGCTGGGATCACAGGCATAAGCCACCACACCTGGCCTCTGCATCTCATGAGCATTTATTTTGTGCTATGTGTTTTTTGGATATGACCTCAAAGAATCCGGTAACACAGCCGCCCTCATTCTCATTTTACCTATGAGCATAGTGGCTCAGAGATGAGTCACCTGCCCACAGCCCATCAGCTGATAAACACTGGAGTTGGGTTTGAAACTGTGAAAGCAATGAGGACCACATCATTTTCACTTCCCTTCGTGGCCCCAACTCAAACCAACCCAAAACCCAAGAAAGAAGATGTGGAGATTGTGTTGCCTTTCATAACTGGGAAGCGCGGGTGAGTGGAGGGGACCAGATTCAGGATCTGCTTTTCTTTCTTTCTTTTTTTTTTTTTTTTTTTTTGAGACGGAGTCTTGCTCTATCGCCCAGTGGAGTGCAGTAGCGCGATCTCGGCTCACTGCAACCTCCACCTCCCGGGTTCACACCATTCTCCTGCCTCAGCCTCCCGAGTAGCTGGGGCTACAGGTGCCTGCCACCACGCCCGGCTGATTTTAGCATCTGCCTTTCTTTATCTGTCTATGATCTGTTTGCTCCAGAATGTAACCTTCTAGACCAAAGGTTGGCAAACATTTGAAAAGGGCCAAATAGTAAATATTTTTGGGCCTCGAGGGCTCTCTGCTGCAACTCTGCTATTCTAGCACAAATGCGTCACATACAATACATAAATGCATGGGCAGAAAACAATTTGTTAGCCGGGCACAGTGGCTCACGTCTGTAATCCCAGCACTTTGGGAGGCCAAAACAGATTAGGGTTTTCCAAGGCTGCAGGAAGGCAGGAATGTGGAGTGACTGCTTAGTAAGTATGGGGGGCTGGGCATGGTGGCTCACGTCTGTAATCCCAGTACCTTGGGAGGCCAGGGGAGGAAGATTACTTGAGGCCAGGAGTCTGAGACCAGCCTAGGCAACATAGCAAGGCCCCATCTCTACAAAACATTTGAAAATTAGCTGACCACGGTGGCACATGCCCACGTCCCCAGCTACTCAGGAGGCAGAGGTGGGAAGATTGCTTGAGCCCAGGAGGCTGAGGCTGCACTCAACCATGATTGTGCCACTGCAGTCACCCTGGGTGACAGAAGAAGACCCTCTCTCAACAAAAACAAAAATAAATAAATAGGCCGGGCGCAGTGGCTCATGCCTGTAATCCCAGCACTTTGGGAGGCCGAGGCGGGTGGATCATGAGGTCAGGAGATCAAGACCTTCCTGGCTAACACGGTGAAACCCCGTCTCTACCAAAAATACAAAAAATTAGCCAGGCATGGTGGCAGGCACCTGTAGTCCCAGCTACTCAGGAGGCTGAGGCAGGAGAATGGCATGAACCCGGGAGGCGGAGCTTGCAGTGAGCCGAGATTGCACCACTGCCCTCCAGCCTGGGCGACAGAGTGAGACTCCGTCTCAAAATAAATAAATAAATAAATAAATAAATAAATAAATAAATAAATAACTATGGGGTGTCCTTTTGGGGAGATGAGAATGTTCTGGAACTAGGTAGTAGGGATGGTTGCACAACATTGTAAATGTACTAAATGTCACTGAATTGTATACTTTAAATGGTATGCTTTAAATGGTAAAGTTTATGTTATGTGTATTTTACTACAATAGAGGAAATGAAGGGAATCCTTCAGGATGAAATGAAAGAACACTAGACAGTAACTCAAATCCATATGAAAGGCCAGGCGTGATGACTCTTGCCTGTAATCCCAGCACTTTGAGAGGCCAAGGCCCACCTGAGGTCAGGAGCTTGAGACCAGCCTGGCTAAACATGATGAAACCCCGTCTCTACCAAAAAATACAAAATTAGCTGGGTGTGGTGTCGTGTGCCTGTAGTCCCAGCTACTTGGGAGGCTGAGGTAGGAGAATCACTTGAACCCCGTTGACGTGAGCTGAGATCACACCACTGCCCTCCAGTCTGGGCGACAAAGTGAGACCCTGTCTCAAAAAAAAAAAAAGTCCACATGAAGAAATAAAGAACCCCTTCCCACCACTGGCATTTTCCGCAACTGCCTCCCATATAAATTCCTCTTGTCCTCAAATTTGGGTCTGCTTAGTGTACTGATTAAGCATGGACTTGTGTCAACTTGCCTAGGTTCGAATCCCAGCCCTACCACTTACAAGCTGTATGACCATGGTCAATTGTTAACCTCTCTGTGTCTCAATTTTCTCCTCTGTAAAGCAGGATAATAACTGTGCTTTTCTTGTAGTGTTATTGTGAAGACTGTTAGTGTCTCCCTCACCCACCCAGTCAAAAAACACCAGAATCACACATGTGGTTGAACAAATGTCTTTGCCTCCCCTCCCCTCCCCTCCCATCCTCTCCCCTCCCCTCTCTTTTCCTTTTTCTTTGAGACGGAGTCTCGCTCTGTTGCCCAGGCTGGAGTGCAGTGGTGCAATCCGGCTCACTGCAACCTCCACCTGCCAGGTTCAAGCAATTCTCCTGCCTCAGCCTCCTGAGTAGCTGGGACTACAGATGCGTGCCACCATGCCCGGCTAGTTTTTGTATTTTTAGTAAAAACAGCGTTTCACCATGTTGGCCAGGCTGGTCTTGAACTCCTGACCTCAAGTGATATGCCTGCCTCGGCCTCCCAAAGTGCTGGAATTACAGGCATGAGCCACCATGCCCAGCCAGTTGAAAAAATTTCAATGTATTACTTGTCACAGCGAAGGAGAATACACACCACGGGTAGCTGTTACTGAAACACCAGTTCAGTCGGCTGCTTGCCACACAGAAAGCCAATCACTGAGACACTAGTATTGCCCATGAAGAAGGCTTTAATTAGGTGCCAACCAAGGAGATGGGAGATCAGTCTCAGATCTATCTCCCTGACTGATTGAAATTAGGAGTTTAGGCTGGACGTGGTGACTTACGCCTGTAATCCCAGCACTTTGAGAGGCCGAGGCAGGCGGATCACCTGAGGTCGGGAGTTCGAGACCAGCCTGACCAACATGGAGAAACCCCATCTCTACTAAGAATACAAAATTAGCCTAGGGGTGGTGGCACATGCCTGTAATCCCAACTACTCAGGAGGCTGAGGCAGGAGAATTGCTTGAACCTGGGAGGCAGAGGTTGCGATGAGCTGATGTCGTGCCATTACACTCCAGCCTGGGCAACAAGAGCGAAACTCCATCTCAAAAATAAATTAGTTAATTAAAAATTAGGGGTTTATATAGCAGGGAAGAAATGTGACAATATGTGAGAAAACAACAGTTAGGTAGGGGTAAGGAAGAGAAGTTGGTCAACAGGAAGCAGATCGTCAATTGGGCAATCATGATGGGTGAGGGGTCTGACATCTCATTGTCCAGGTGTGATCTGCTAAGTTTCAGCTCCTTGATACTATCTGGGAGTCCTGATGGTTCGTTTCCTGGGAAAGGAACTCAGATAAGACAAATGTAACTTTCTCAAGTCAATTCTATGTTTATTGAAAGAAACTATTAATATAAGTTCTATGGGATGATGGGGCTAGTTTCATAACCATGGGGTATCTCAGTAGGAGAGTGTAATAAATGACTTATTATATGATTGGGGCTTGTGTTAAGTTCTTTAGGGGAGGATTCTAGGTTGGATGCTATCAGGAAGAGGGGGTAATCTTATGACTAGGCATTCTAATAAGTCTTTTAATTTAATTTTTTTTTTGAGACAGAGTCTTGCTCTCTTGCCGAGGATGGAGTTCAGTGAGGCAATCTCAGCTCATGGCAACCTCCTCCCCCCAAGTAGCTGGGATTACAGGCTCCTGCCACCACGGCCAGGTAATTTTTTGTATTTTTGTAGAGACAGGGTTTCACCATGTTGGCCAGGCTGGTCTCAAACTCCTGACCTTAAGTGATCCACCCACCTCGGCCTTCTGAAGTGCTGGGATTACACGCATGAGCCACTGAAGAACAAATAAATCTTATATGCAAGGAGTAAAGACTAGACTGAGGCTAAAGCCATGATTGATAAAAGAGAGTGCTATGAGCTGAGTGTTTACCTCTGAAATTCATATGTTGAAATCCTAACCCCTAAGATGATGTTATTAGGAGGTGGTAATTTGGGGTTAGTAATTAGGTCATGAGGTCAGAGCCTTCATTAGTGTCCTCATAAAAGAAACCCTAGAAAGCTTCCTTCACCCTTTCCACCATGTGAGAACACAGCAAGAAGGCACCATCTATGAATCAGGAAGCAGGCTCTCACCAGCCACCAAATGTACCAGCACCTTGATAGCTGGAAGTGCTGGGCAAAGTTCTAGCAATGCTATGATCAGCTGCAGGACCAGACCAGCTCCTAGAACACCATGGTCACCTAGGAAGGCCAGGGCAGCTCCTAACAACACCAAAGCCAGCTGTGAGCTTCAGGCCTGCTCTTGACCACTCTTCTTCTCTCGGGATTAAACTAGCTATGTTATGTAGAGCATGTAGAACAATGTCTGATAAATCTTTTATCGAGACTTGCTCTTTCTAGCCTCCAGAAGTGTGAGCAATAAATTTCTACTGTTTATAATCCACCCAGCCTATGATGTTTTATTAGAGCAGCCCCAACAGACTAAGAGAGAAAGGTTGTTCCAATTAGCCAGAATATAGGAATGTTTGGTTATGTCTGGTTTGGACAGTGCTCACATTTTGTCTGTGTTCAGACATGCTTACAGAGTGATCTCACTTTTGTCTTGCTATGTACACATTTACAGCTACAAACGTTTTTGCTTGATGTTGATGTTCTGTGAAATTGTTTATATTCAAGAGGACAACATCATAACCTAGGTGGAAGTGCTGGGTAAAGTTCTAGCCATGCCATGATCAGCTGGAAGACCAGACCAGCTCCTAGAACACTCTGGCCACCTAGGAAGCCCAGGGCAGCTCCTAGCAACACCAAAGCCAGCTGTGAGCTTCAGGCCTGCTCTTGACCACTCTTCTCCTCTCAGGATTAAACTAGCTATGTTATGTAGAGCATGTAGAACAATGTCTGATAAATCTTTTTTCGAGATGGAGTCTCACTCACTCTATCACCCAGGCTGTTTGCTCACTGCAACCTCTGACTCCTGGGTTCAAGCAATTCTCCTGCCTCAGCCTCCCCAGTAGCTGAGATTACAGGCATGCATCACCATGCCCAGATAGTTTTTGTATTTTTTATTTTTTTAATGTTTTAGCAAACTTTGTTGTACAGAACAAAAAAAAATACATCATGATTCTGCATGATTTTCTCTCCCACAAAAGCATGGGTGAAAACCAGTAACTTACTTATAAAAATATTTTATTTAGGACTCTAATAAGATAATATGTACATTCATACCTTGTCTCCTGAGTATTTAAATGGGGAAAGGTTCACCTGAAAAAAGTTTTCCCCAGGAAACCCATAGTTTCTTGGCTCAACTGACCCATTAAAAAAGTCCACCTAGAGCCAGGTGCGGTGGCTCACACCTGTAATCCCAGCACTTTGGGAGGCCAAGGCGGGCAGATCACGAGGTCAAGAGATTAAGACCATCCTGGCCAACATGGTGAAACCCCGTCTCTACTAAAAATACAAAAATTAGCTGGGCGTGGTGGCATAAACCTGTAGCCCCAGCTAATCAGGAGGCTGAGGCAGAAGAATCGCTTGAACCCAGGAAGTGGAGATTGTAGTGAGCCAAAATCATGCCACTGCACTCCAGCCTGGTGGCAGAGCAAGACTGTCTCAAAAAAAAAAAAAAAAAAAAAAAAAAAAAAAGTCCACCTAGGCGGGGCTCAGTGGCTCATGCCTGTAATCCCAACACTTTGGAAGGCCAAGGCAGGTGGATCACCTGAGGTCAGGAGTTCAAGACCAGCCTGGCCAACATGGTGAAACCCCATTTCTACTAAAAATGCAACATTTAGCCAGGCATGGTGGCACACACCTGTAATCCCAGCTACTCAGGAGGCAGAGACAGGAGAATTGCTTGAACCCGGAGGCAGAGGTTGCAGTGAGCCGAGATCAAACCATTGCACTTCAGCCTGGGCGACAAGAGCAAAACTCTGTCTCAAAAAAAAAAAAAAAAAAAAAAAAAAAAATCCACCTGTATCAACTTTCTGCCAGTCTGGAGAAGATTTGTTTTCTTTGATCTGACATCATGTGTTCACAAGCTTCCAAAATGTTTGCCAAAATTAAAGTTTGATGGATGGTTTTTGTTTTGACCCATATTCTTCCATTCATTCCAAATACTATCTCCAGGGAATAAAGTTTTCCCACTTCCTGTATGATTCCACAACCTGGAGTTAATAGCTTTCTAACTAAGCCCAAAGTCACTTTAAAAAGCAGACCATCAGGGCCAGGCACGGTGGCTCACGCCTGTAATCCCAGCACTTTGGGAGGCAGAGGCACGCAGATCATCTGAGGTCGGGAGTTCGAGACCAGCCTGACCAACATGGAGAAACCCCGTCTCTACTAAAAATACAAAATTAGCTGGGTGCAGTGGCGCATGCCTGTAATCCCAGTTACTCAGGAGGCTGAGGCAAGATAATTGCTTGAATCTGGGAGGCGGAGGTTGCGGTGAGCCAAGATCACACCATTGCACTCCAGCCTGGGCAACAAGAGCAAAACTTCATCTCAAAAAAAAAAAAAAAAAAAAGCAGACCATCCTGTCCAATGACACCCATTCCATTGGCTCGTCCTCAGCTGTCAATACACACCATCTCTAGTTCCATGTCTTTATTAGCAACCACAAAGTGGCCATAGATGAGATCTCCAACCTACACATATGGTCTGTTTCTTTTAGTTGCACCTTCAAACGCCAAGTAAAACAAAGAAGCTGGCTCACTCCCTCCAACATCAGCTCTGAATGTATCTCCAGATTTAGCTGTCACTATGCCAATCACATGGTCTCCTTTCACTCGAACATACTCATTCCCGGGGCTGCAGCACTTCCAACCCGGCGGTGTCTCAGCTTTCCCAGTCCTCGTTCTTGTGTTTTTTAGTAGAGACAGGGTTTCACCATTTTGGCCAGTCTGGTCTCGAACTCCTGACTTCAAGTGGTCTGCCCACCTCAGCCTCCCAAAGTGCTGGGATTACAGGCATGAGCCACCGGGCCCAGCGTGATAAATCTTAAGTGCTGTAATTACTGAGTATCCATCATTCAAATAGGCAATTTATACCTATTACTAGTGCACTGTATTAAAACTCATAGTAACATGGCCAGGCATGGTGGCTCACACCTGTAATCCCAGCACTGTGGGAGGCCAAAACAGGTGGACCCACCTGAGGTCAGGAGTTCAAGGCCATCCTGGTCAACATGGTGAGACCCCGTCTCTACTAAAAATACAAGAATTAGCCAGGCATAGTGGTGCGTGCCTTTAATCCCAGCTACTCTGGAGGCTGAGGCAGGAGAATCACTTGAACCCGAGAGGCAGATGTTGCCGTGAGCTGAGATCACACCACTGCACTCCAGCCTGGGAGACAGAGCGAGACTCCATCTCAATAAATAAACAAATAATAAAAAATAAATAAAACTCACAATAACAGTGTGAGGCAGTGTAGTTGTCTCATTTCACAGCTGAGGAAACTGAGACTCCCAAAAAGTGAGGCTCAAGGTGTCAGCGTTGTATATGGGTTCAGATAGAGTCTTTTGGCACTGGAATTTACTGGATAGTTTCTGCCTGCCCTCTAAATGACTCTCCTCTGTGTCAGGTGCTTCATCTCTCACCCCACTTTTCAGGAAGGGTGTGTCTCCATCCTGTTCCTTATTCTTCTTCCTGGCTTGGAGAGATGTGATTCTGAGGGGCTGCAATGCATGGGGTTATAAAAACCCACAGTCCAGAGAGGGGATGGAGAGAGAAGGGAGTAGAGAGGAGAAGATGGAGGAAGTGTGCGAGCCCAAGGGGCCAGGCAACCCTGGTGAGGCTGCCCCACCCCTTCCGTGGGATGTTGGTAGTGAAACAGAAAAGGTTCCCTTGTCCCCCTTGCAGGGCGTGTGACGGGGGGTGTGGCTCACATCTTCTGTGCCCCGCTGCTCAAACCTCCAGGGGAAGCATGCAGACAGGCAGGTTGTGGGGCTCCAACCCCATGGCAGCGTCTAGGGGTGAATGCTTTACAGCTCATGAGGGCCCCGTGGGAATGTGTTACAGCGTGCTCTTTCAGTTTTGCCGTCCGCAATTGGCTGATGTTCATCAGCTCAGTTAGATGCTCTGCCTTATTGCAAGGACAGACGACTTTCTCTCTCCCAGGGTTCTTGCCTTAGTGAACTGGAAAAATTGGATCCCATGTGATCCAATTGGGTGATCCGATTGGAGGGTGGGTGAAAGTTTTTTTATGGAGTGGTGGTAGCCCTCAGTGAGGTGCTTTTCTGTTTCACTGTCAACATCCCACAGAAGGGGTGGGGCAGCCTCACCAGGGTTGCCTGGCCCCTTGGGCTCACACACTTCCTCCATCTTCTGAACCCATATACAACGCTGGGAGTGGTGGCTGTAGTCCCAGCTACTTGGGAGGCTGAGGTGGGAGGATCACTTGAGCCCAAGAGTTTGAGGCTGCAGTGAGCTATGATCACACCACTGCACTCCAGCCTGGGTGACAAAGTGAGACCTCGGTCTCTACAAAAGGAAAGAAATAAAAGAAAAAGGGCTGTCTAGCAAAGACATGGAATCAACCCATCAATGATAGACTGGATAAAGAAAATGTGGTACATATATACAATGGAGTACTATGCAGCCATAAAAAAGAACAAGATCATGTCCTTTGCAGGGACATGGATAAAGCTGGAGGCCATTATCCTTAGCAAACTGATGCAGGAACAGAAAACCAAATACCGCATGTTCTCACTTATAAGTGGGAGTTAAATGATGAGAACACATGGACACATAACGGGGAACAACACACACTGGGGCCTATTGCAGGGTGGAGAGTGAGGAGGGAGAGGATCAGGAAAAGTAACTAATAATCTGTACATGTCATATGTTCACCTGTATAACAAATCTGCACATCCCACACATATACCCCTGAACTTAAAGTTTAAAAAAAATCACATCATTACTCTTTAAAAAAAAAAAAAGAAAGAAAGAAAGAAAAAGAAAAAGGGTTGTCACTTCTGCCTTCATCTGCTCCCTCTAACCCTCTGATGGCTGCCCCACCTGCCACCACTTTCCTGAAATGACCAAGGAGAGTAACTACCGTTCCTTTGTGAAAGCCAACCAGACTTGTTTCTATCTTGTTTCCACTCATTAATGGGGTGGCCACTCCCTCCCTCCTCCTTGAAACTCCTCTCTCCCAAGACTTCCCTGATGGCCTCACCTCCTGGTTCTCCTCCTGTCTGCCTGACCGCTCCTTCTCCATCTCCTTCATGGGCTCCTCTTCTGCCTGCCCTCAAAATGTCCCTGTCATTTACAAGTCTTTACTATCCAAATTCACTCCTGCTACTGGGAAGGCAAGAAGGAAAGACAGTCACAGCTGGACTGTCTTTCAAGTTTCTCCAGAGCTGGAGCCAGTGAGGTTACACTGGGTAGCAAAGTCAGAGGAAGGAGCCAAGGCAGGAACTAAGTGAGAAACCAACCAAGTTCCAATCAGCCAAGAGTGAAAGTCCAAACTGGTTGTAGAAACTAAATGGCCATGGCTGGGTGCAGCGGCTCATGCCTGTAATCCCAGCACTTTGGGAGGCCAAGGCGAGTGGATCTCTTGAGTTTAGGAGTTTGAGACCAGCCTGGGGAACATGGTGAAACCTCATCTCTACTAAAAATACAAAAATTAGCTAGGCATGGTGGTGCATGCCTGTAGTTCCAGCTACTCAGGAGGCTGAGGTGGAAGGATGGCTTGAGCCTGGGAGGTGGAGGTTGCAGCAAGCTAAGATTGTGCCACTGTACTCCAGCCTGTGTGACACCATGAGGCCCTGTCTCAAAAAAAAAAGAAAAAAGAAAGAAACTAAATGGCCACAAGGTAGGGTATGGAGACAACCAGGGTGAGCCCATAAAACTATCTGGGCCTGGTGCCTTTCTTCTTATTAGATCTCTAATTACCTTCTTTTCAGCTGTTTTCAAATTGCCAAAGCATCCACAAAGTTGCCAGATCTAGTCAGCCTGCAAGCTGACCACAGATGGGCTCCTATAATATCTAATCTGTTCAGGTTTCCTATTTCAGATGATTTGTATCACTCTGTGATTAATTTCCAAATTATTACTATGTTTGTTTCAACTCCGCCTCCCCCCACCCCACACCTAATAGTTATTGATTGCCACAAACAAATTGCCACAAATGGCCCAGCTTAAACAACATACATTTATTATTTTATAGTTTTTATGGGTCAGGAATCTGGGCATGACTTGCCTGGATCCTTTGCCTGGGGTCTCTCATAAGACGGCAATCAAGGAGATGGCCAGGATTAAGGTTTCATCTGAAGGCTCAACTGGGGAAGGATTCACTTCCTAGCTCACTCATGTGACTGTTGGCAGAATCAGTTCCTTTTGTGCTGTTGGGCAAATTATCTCAGTTCCTAGCTGGCTGTTGGCCAGAGGACACCCTCAGCTTATTGCCACATGGGTTTCTCCAACATAGCAACTTGCTTCATCAAAGCCATCAAGGGGAAAAGTCTGCTAGCAAGATAGAAGTCAGAATATTTTGGAATATAATCTCAGAAGTGACAGTTTCTCAATGATGAAGTATTCTATTGGTTAGAAGCAAGATAATCACCAGTAGAGGATCACAGAAGGCCATGAATACTAGGAGGTGGGGACCATTTCAGAAGCTACTTACTACACCCCACCAGCATATAAATATATAAGTCTATTAGAGCAGGAACACTTTGGTTCATGTTAACCATCACTTCTCCAGTGTTTTAATGAGTGAATGGAGGCTGGGCATAGTGGCTCACACCTGTAATCCCAGCACTTTGGGAGGCTGAGGCAGGTGGATCACCTGAGGTCAGGAGTTCAAGACCAGCCTGGGCAACATGGTGAAACCCTGTCTCTATTAAAAATACAAAAATTAGCCAGACATGGTGGCGTGCACCTGTAATCCCAGCTACTCAGGAGGCTGAGACACAAGAATCACTTGAACCTAGGAGGCAGAGGTTGCAGTGAGCTGAGATCATGCCATTACACTCCAGCCTGTGTGACAGAGTGAGACTCTGTCTCAAAAAACAAACTGAAAAAAGAGTGAATGGCATATAGTAGGTGATAAATTAATATTGGTGAAATGAAAGATTCAATGGGGTAAGCTATGTGGTCTTAGAGTGGAATAGCTAGAGATTGCTTCAATTCAACAATTTTTTATTACGTTCAGGAATTCTATTCACAGAATAGTCAAGGAGCAGTGGATGGGTGTAATTGTCATGACAGGTAAAACCAGGGGTGATAAACTGTGGGGTGAACACAGACATAGAAGAGTCACTGGATAAATCTGCTGGCTTGCATCACTGTGTAGGGGTCCTGGATGTGGTCGGCCAATATTAGGCTTAGTGAGTATGCTTGTAGGCATACACCTACAAGGATGTATCAGTTCGCTATTGCTGCATAACAAAATGCTCCCAAAATTAATGGCTTGGGCTAATAATTTATTTGGTACATGATTGTGTGGTTCACCAATTTGGGTCAGATTCAGCTGGAAAGTTCTTCTGGGTATAGCTGGGCTCATTTATGCATCTGTGGTCAGCTGATGGATTGGCTAAATCTGGCTACTCTTGAATGCTTTGGCAACTTGAAAATGTAGCTGAAAATACTTTAACAAAGCTCTTCTTGAGAGGCAAACTCACTATCCCCTCCCCTTGAATCTGAGCAGGCTTGGATTGCTTCAACCAATAGAGTAGAGCAGAAGTGATATTATATAACCTCCAAGGCTAGATCATAACACATCATGCAAGCTTCTGTCTTGTTTGCAGGAAGATTCACTTCCAGAGCCTTGAGACAACATGTAAAAAGTTCAACTACCCTGAGACTGCAGTGATGGAGATGTCATGTGGAGAGACCACATGGAAAGTCCCTGAAGCTACAGGAGGAGAGCGAGAGAGAGAGAGAAAGAGATCGATCCCCCAAGAGACTTCAATCATTTGAGTCATCCCAGCCCAGGAACCAGACATGTGAATGAAGAAGCTACCAGATAATCCCAGCCACCAGATACCAGCTCCCAGCCACTGGAGGCACTCCCCCACTCTTCAAGTCTCCCCACCTTAAGCCCTAGATGTCATGGATCAGAGACAAACCATCCCCACTATGCCCTGTCCAAACTTCAGACCCACAAAAACCATGAGCATATTAAAAATGATTGCTGTTTTATGCCACTGAGTTCTCGGATGGTTTCTTACACAGCAATCGAAAACTGGAACACGGCTGGGTGCAGTGGCTCATGACTGTAATCCCGGCACTTTGGGAGGCTGAGACAGGTGGATCACCTGAGGTCAGGAGTTCAAGACCAGCCTGGCCAACATGGTGAAACCCCATCTCTACTAAAAAAAATACAAAAAATTAGCCAGGCGTGGTGGCGTGAGCCTGTAATCCCAGCTACTTGGGAGGCTGAGGCAGCAGAATTGCTTGAACCCGGGAGGCAGAGATGGCATTGAGCCAAGACCACACCATTGCACTCTAGCCTGGGCAATGAGACAGAAGCTGCATCTCAAAAAAAAAAAAGAAAGAAAGAAAGAAAAAAGAAAAGAAGAAAGGAAACTGGAACAGATAACCTCACTCACAGCTGGAGGTTGGTCGGCTGACAGTTTAGGCCATGAGGGTGACTGAGCCATGTGCCTCTCACCTTTCAGGCTACCTCTGGCTTGTTCACATGATGGTTAAGAGTGGCAAGATCAGTGCAAAATGACAAAGTAGACAGTTCCAAGCCCGCGTTCCCCACAGAAACATCAAAAAACAAGCAGAAACTGTCAGATACAACTTTGTCAGAACTCTGGGAAACAGTCAAAGGTTTACGGTAGTCCAGTGAATGCTGAATCAAGAAGAAAGACAACTTCAAAATGATCAAAAGCTTTTGATATTTCGACTTGCGTTTGCCCCACTTGCCACTGCCCTCCCTTGTGTGACAGCAGTAGTGGGAAGAGGGAAGCCCACACTCCCAGCATGAGACTCTCATTCCTCCTTCCAGAGGGAGCAGAGCAGACTTTATTTGTAGATGATAGTGTATGTCCGCTCTAAGCTGTCTGGGAGCCACCTGAAGGACAAGGTGCTCATCTCTGGTCTTCCTGCCTCGGAACTCAGGCTGGAAAAGTGGTGGCACTGCTCAAAAACACTGCAAGCCAAACTAACAAACCACAGATGTCTGTTCCAAAGATTACAATCAAAACACACAATAGACGGCCTAAGGCTCAGGAGCAAAAGCTGGGGAGAGTTTCCTGGGGAAATTAGAAGCACCTGCATGCATAGGGGGATTTATAAACACAGGGTTATGCCCACAGCAAGATGCATGCTCAGAAAAGACCTGAGAAGACCCTAAGTTATGCTCAGCTGATCCCTAGGCTCAGGGCAAGCTGGGTTAAATGTTGAAAGAGTGCTCCAGCACAGGGCCAATCTGCAAAGACTGAGCGAGGGAAAGATTTTTTGTTTGGTTGGTTTGCTTGCTTTTTTAGCTCCTGGTATTCAAGAAAATCTGTCAAAACACTAGCTGAACACAAGCTAAGGAATAGAGACTTCAGTGACCACATGCGACAAGTAATATAGTCTTTGCAAGAATAGTTTTGGAAAGTCATTAAGCCAAAACTACTACGGTCTTTAACAATAAAACAAACAACAAACCAGCAAACCCTGGGACAGTGGGAGAATCTGACATCCAAATTTATCACATTACAAATATTCAAATGTCCAGTTTTTAACAAGAAAAATCACAAGGTATACAGAGAAAAAGGAAATTATGGCCCATTGAAAGGGGAAAAAAAATAACAAATTGAAAGGAATTATTCCTGAGAAAGTCCAGATCTGAGACTTACTAGACAAAGACTTTAAAATAATTGTCTTAAATATGCTCAAAGAGCTAAGGGAAAACATGGACAAAAATCTAAAGGAAACCAGGAAAACAATGTATGAATAAAATGAGACTATCAATAAAGAAATGGCCAGGCGTGGTGGCTCATGCCTATAATCCCAGCACCTTAGGAGGCTGAGTTGGGTGGATCACTTGAGGTCAGGAGTTCGAGACCAGCCTGGCCAACGTGGGGAAACCTCATCTCTACTGAAAATATAAAAATTAGCTGGTCATTGTGGCAGGCACCTGTAATCCCAGCTACTCAGGAGGCTGAGAGAGGAGAATCACTTGAACACAAGAGGCGGAGGCTGCAGTGAGCTGAGATTGCGCTACTGCACTCCAGCCTGAGTGACAGAGTGAGATCCTGTCTCAAAAAAAAAGAAAAAGAAAAAAAAGTATGAAGGCCAGAAGACAGTGTGATGACATACTTAAATTGCTGAAAGAAAAAAAATCAACCAATAATTCAACATCTTTCAAAACTCTTTCAGGCCAGGCGCATTGGCTCACACCTGCAATCCCAGCACTTTGGGAGGCCAAGGCGGGAGGATGACCTGAGGTCAGGAGTTCGAGACCAACCTGACCAACGTGGAGAAACCCCATCTCTACTAAAAATACAAAAACTAGCTGGGCATGGTGGCACACGCCTGCAATCCCAGCTACTCGAGAGGCTGAGGCAGGAGAATCACTTGAACCCAGGAGGCAAAGGTTGCAGTGAGCCAAGATCGCACCACTAAACTCCAGCCTGAGCATCAAAGTGAGACTCTGTCTCAAAAAAAAAAAAAAAAAAAAAAAAGCAGAGTTTGGCAGAATAATTTTATTTTTTTATTTTTTTTTTTTTGAGACAGAGTTTCCCTCTTTTTGCCCAGGCTGAAGTGCAATGGTGTGATGTCAGCTCACTGCAACCTCCGCCTCCCGGATTCAAGCGATTCTCCTGCCTCAGCCTCACAAGTAGCTGGGATTACAGGCACCTGCCACCATGCCTGGATAATTTTTTGTACTTTTAGTAGAGACGGGGTTTCACCATGTTGGCCAGGATGGTCACGATCTCTTGACCTCGTGATCCACCCACCTCGGCCTCCCAAAGTGCTGGGATTACAGGAATGAGCCACTGCGCGCGGCCTAGATTGGCAGAATAATTTTTTAAAACATGATCTATGTCTTTTTTTTTTTTTTTTTTTCGAGAGGGAGTTTCACTCTTATTGCCCAGGCTGCAGTGCAATGGAGCGATCTCGGTTCACTGTAACCTCTGACTCCTGGGTTCAAGAGATTCTCCTGCCTCAGCCTCCCGAGTACCTGGGATTACAGGCACCCACCACCATGCCCAGCTAAGTTTTTATATTTTTAGTAGAGGCGGGGTTTCATCATGTTGGTCAGGGTGGTCTCGAACTCCTGACCTCAGGTGATCCGCCTGCCTCGGCCTCCCAAAGTGCTGGGATTACAGGCATGAGCCACCACGCCCAGCCTAAACATGATCTATGTCTTGTCTACAAGAGACTCACTTTAGATGCAAAGATACAAACAGATTGAAAGTGAAATGATGAAAAAGATATTTCATGTGGCCGGGATTTATATATAAATTTAAATATATATATATAATTTAAATATATATATAATTTAAATATATATTTAAATTTAATATATATTAAATTTAATATATATTAATTTAAATATATTATATTTATATATATATTAAATTTAATATATATATTTAAATTAGCGAGGCATGATGGTGCACACCTATGGTCCCAGCTACTCGGGAGGCTGAAGTGAGAGGACTGCTTGAGCCCAGGAGGACAAGGCTGCAGTGAGCCATGATTGCATCATGCATTCCAGGCTAGGTAACAGAGCAAGGCTCTGTCTCAAAAAAAAAGAAAGGAAAGAAGGAAGGAAGGAAGGGAGGGAAAGAGAGAAAGAGGGAGGCAGAGAAAGAGAGAGAAAAAGAGAAAGAGAGAGAGAGAAAGAGAAAAAAGGGAAAGGAAGGGGAGGGGAGGGGGATGGAGGGGGAGGGGTGGAGGGAGGGGAGGGGGATGGAGGGGGGAGGGGGGAGGGAGGGGAGGGGATGGAGGGGGAGGGGGAGGGGAGGGAGAAAAGGGAAAGGAAGGGGAGGGGAGGGGAGGAGGGAGGGGAGGGGAGGAGGGAGGGGAGCGGAGGAGGGAGGGGAGGGGAGGAAAAGGGAGAAAAGACAACACACCAAAACTTATGAGATGCAGCAAAAACAGCACTGAGGCTGAGGCAGGAGAATCACTTGAACCCCGGAGGCAGAGGCTGCAGAGAGCCAAGATCGCACCACTGCACTCCAGCCTGGGCAACAAGAGTGAAACTCCATCTGAGAAAAAAAAAAAAAAGAAAGCCTTCCAACAAAGAAAAGCCCACGACCAGATGGTGAATTCTACCAAACATTTAAAGAATTAACACTAATCCTTCTCAAACTCTTCCAAAAAATTGAAGAGAAGGAACACTTCCAAACTCATCCTACGAGGCCAGCATTATCCTGTTACCAAAGCCAGATACAGACACACACACACAAAAAAAAACCCCTACAGATCAATATCCCTGATGAATATTGATGCAAAAATCCTCAACAAAACCGTAGCAAAGGCTGAGCGCGGTGACTCAAGCCTGTAATCCCAGCACTTTGGGAGCCACGTGCAGGATGATTGCCTGAACCCAGGAGTTCCAGACCAGACTGGGCAACACAGCAAGACCCCCATCTCTAAAAATAAAATAAAGGACAGGAGTGATGGCTCACGCCTGTTATCTCAAAACTTTGGGAGGCTGAGGCAGGCAGATCACTTGATGTCAGGAGTTTGAGACCAGCCTCAACAACATGGTGAAACCTCGTCTCTACTAAAAATACAAAACTTAGCCAGGCATGGTGGCACATGCCTGTAATCCAAGCTACTCAAGAGGCTGAGGCAGGAGAATTGCTTGAACCTGGGAGGTGGGGGTTGCAGTGAGCCAAGATCGCCTCACTACACTCCAGCCTGGGAAACAGAGTGAGACTCTGTCTCAAAAAATAAATTAAAAATAAAATTACAAAAAAAAAAAGGAGACTTTTTTTTTCTTTGGATTACAGGCGTGTGCCACCACACACAGCTAATTTTTTGTATTTTTAGTAGAGATGGGGTTTCACCGTGTTAGCCAGGATGGTCTCCATCTCCTGATCTCATGATCCGCCCATCTCAGCCTCCCAAAGTGCTGGAATTATAGGCATGAGCCACCACGTCCGGCCTTTCTCTTTTTTTTTTTTTTTATTAGACAGAGTCTCACTCACCCAGGCTGGAGTGCAGTAGCATGATCATGGCTTGCCAGAGCCTCAAACTCCTGGGCTCATGCAATCCTCCCACCTCAGCCTCCTGAGTAGCTGAGACCACACGTGCACATTCAGAAGACTACTTCAACATAGTAAGGACTGTATATGGGGACCAGGTGCGAAGGCTTACCCCTGTAATCCCAGCACTTTGGGAGGCTGAGGCAGGCAGATCACCTGAGATCAGGAGTTCGAGACTAGCCTGACCAACATGGAGAAACCCCGTCCTACTAAAAATACAAAATTAGCTGGGCGTGGTGGCAGGCGCCTGTAATCCCAGCTACTCAGAAGGCTGAGGCAGGACCCAGGAGGAGAGGTTGCAGTGAGCCGAGATCGTGCCATTGCACTCCAGCCTGGGCAACAAGAGCGAAACTCCGTCTCAAAAAAGAAAGAAAAATAAAAAGCAAAACAGTCTTTAATAAAAACAAAGTCAGGCCGGGCATGGTGTAATCCGCTTGTAATCCCAGCACTTTGGGAGGCTGAGGCTGGCAGATCACCTGAGGTCAGGAGCTCGAGACCAGCCTGGGTAACATGGTGAAACCCTGTCTCTATTAAAAATACAAAAATTTTGCTGGGCACGGTGGCTCACGCCTGTAATCCCAGCATTTTGGGAGGCCGAGGCAGGTGGATCACGCGTTCAAGAGATCGAGACCATCCTGGCCAACATGGTGAAACCCCATCTCTACTAAAAATACAGAAATTAGCTGGGCGTGGTGGTGGCGCACACCTGTAGTCCCAAATACTCGGGAGGCTGAGGCAGGAGAATCACTTGAACCCGGGAGGCGGAGGTTGCAATGAGTGGAGATCATGTCACTGCACTCCAGCCTGGTGACAGAACAAGACTCTGTCTCACAAAAAAAAAAAAAAAAAAATTAGCTGGGTGTGTTGGTGGGCGCCTGTAATCCCAGCTACTCAGGAGGCTGAGGCAGGAGGATCTCCTGAGCCTGGGAGATCGAGGCTGCAGTGAGCTGTAATAGCACCACTGCACTCCAGCCTGGGTGACAAAACGAGACACTTTTTTTTCGAGAAAAAAAAAAGTCTTGGAGAAGATGTGAAGAAACTGGAACTCCCGTTAATCGGTAGGAATGTAAAATGGTGTGGCTACTGCAGAAAACAGGCTGGTGGTTCCTCAAAAAGCTAAACATAGGGCCAGGCATGGTGGCTCATACCTGTAATCCCAGCACTTTGGGAGGACAGGCAGTGGATCACCCGAGGTCAGGAGTTCTAGACCAGCCTGGCCAACATGGTGAAACCCCGTCTCTACTAAAAATACAAAAATTAGCCGGGCATGATGACAGGTGCCTGTAATCCCAGCTACTCAGGGGGCCGAGGCAGGAGAATCGCTTGAACCCAGGAGGCAGAGGTTGCAGTGAGCTGAGATTGTGCCATCACACTCCAGCCTGGGGGACAAGAACGAGACTTCGTCTCAAAAAAAAACCAAAAAGCTAAACATAGAATTATCATATGATCCAGCAATTCCACTTTAGATATCTACCCAAAAGAACTGAAAACAGAAATGCAAACAGATATCTGTGTGTGCCCAGGTTCATAGAGGCATTGTTCACAATAACGAATGGTGGAAACTACTCCACTTATCCATCTACAGATGAATGAATGAACCAAACGTGGTTTATACATATGATAGAATATTATTCAGCTATAAGAAGGAGGGAAATTCTGGCCAGGCGTGGTGGCTCATGCCTGTAATCCCAGCACTTTGGGAGGCCGAGACGGGCGGACCACAAGGTCAGGAGATCGAGACCATCCTGGCTAACACGGTGAAACTCCGTCTCTACTAAAAATAAAAAAAAATTAGCTAGGCGTGGTGGCGGGCGCCTGTAGTCCCAGCTACTCCGGAGGGTGAGGCAGGAGAATGGAGTGAACACGGCAGGCAGAGCTTGCAGTGAACCGAGATCATGCCACTGCACCCAGCATGGGTGACAGAGCGAGACTCCGTCTCAAAAACGAAAACAAACTAAGAAGGAGGGAAATTCTGACATGTGCTACAACATGGATGAAACTTGAAGACAATATGCTCAGTGAAATAAGCCAGGGCCGGGCGTAGTGGCTCACGCCTGTAATCCCAGCTAGTCGGGAGGCTGAGGCAGGAGAGTCGCTTGAACCCAGGAGGAGGAGGTTGCAGAGAGCTGAGATCACGACACTGCACTCCAGCCTGCACAGCAGATTCCATCTCAAAAAGAAAAAAAAAAAAAAGTTAGCCAGGAGCAGTGGCTCACGCCTGTAATCCCAGCACTTTGGGATGCTGAGGTGGGTGGATCACCTGAGGTCGGGAGTTCAAGACCAGCCTGACCAATGTGATGAAACCCCATCTCTACTAAAAATACAAAAATTAGCCAGGTGTGGTGGCATGCGCCTATAATCCCAGCTACTCTGGAGGGTGAGACAGGAGAATCGCTTGAACCCGGGAGGCGGAAGTTGCAGTGAGCCAAGATGCACCATTGCACTCCAGCCTGGGCAACAATAATGAAACTCCATCTCAAAAAAAAAAAAAAAGTTTAACTCAGAAAAAAAAATGATCATAAAATTTGTTATTAATCTGGCTAAACCCTGGCAGAAGAGTCTTTTAATAAACTTCCATGCGCAAAGTTTGATTCCAAAGAAATGACACTCATCCTAAGAAAACTTCACAATGGTAAAATCAACAGTTCATAAAAACTGTATGAAAACAGCCTGATTTGTGCATCAAATGTTTACTGTAAGGAACACCCCGAAAAATGTTCCTGATAAAAATGAATTCTATCAAAAAAAAACTTTGGAAACAGTTTCACTGCACTGTATAGAAAAGGGATCCAGGAATTTGACTGGCTTAATGCGGTGTTTGATGGAAAAGTCTTTTCCAACAGAAATGTGTTGGATTTATTTTTTTCCCACTGCGCTTATAAAAATGGAATCAAAGTGTCCTGGGAATGAAACCATTTTTTGTGTGAAAATGGTAGTGCAAAGAGGGGGTCAAATGTTCTGTTCATTTGCCTTAGGCTTGGTTTTATCCCCCAGACACCAGCTGTTGAGTGTCTCCTAGGCATGGTCCCAGAAAAATAACTGGTCACGACCTCTTCCTAGGGAGGTTCTGGACCCCACCTTGGCCTGAACCTCCGCAGACCACTCTGTCTCCCACATTCCTGCTAGTATTCTAGGACCAGAGACCCCAGGACTTTTCTTTTCTTTCCCTTTCTTTCTTTTCTTTCCTTCCTTCCTTTCTTGCTTGCAGAGTCTCGCGCCGTCACCCAGGCAGGAGCGCAGTGGTATGATCTCTGCTTACCGCAACCTCTGCCTCCCGGGTTCAAGTGATTCCCGAGCTTCAGCCTCCTGAGTAGCTGGGATTATAGGCGTGCGCCACCACACTTGGCTAATTTTTGTTTTTGTTTTTGTTTTTTTTGAGACGGAGCCTCGCTCTGTCGCCAGGCTGGAGTAGAGTGGAGCGATCTCAGCTCATTTTAACCTCCGCCTCCAGGTTCAAGCGATTCTGCTGCCTCAGCCTCCCAAGTAGCTGGGACTACAGGCACCCGCCTCCATGCCCAGCTAATTTTTGTATTTTTAGTAGAGACGGGGTTTCACCATGTTGGCCAGGATGGTCTGGATCTCTTGACCTCGTGATCTGCCCGCCTCGGCCTCCCAAAGTGCTGGGATTACAGGCGTGAGCCACCGCGCCCGGACCCTGGGGAGGTTTATTAACAGTTCCAGAACGTTGGCAGATGCAAAATAGACAGGAAGAGGGAGGGAGAGGCAGAGAGAGCTGGACAGAGGCCGGGACCATACGTGGATGTCAGTCACTGCTTGCAAGGCCACACAGAGTCTCCTACTACAGAGAAGGTTGAGCTCTCAGACCTTAGGAAGTCCTGACGTGCCCCTCCCTGGGTCCAGCCTTCCCTTCCCCATTCTGAACTTAGGACATCTAGCTGGGCGAGGTGGCTCATGCCTGTAATCCCAGCACTTTGGGAGGCTGAAGTGGGAGAACCTGGCACCAGGAGTTTCCGACTAGCCTGAGCAACATACCAAGACCCCAGCCTCTACCAAAAAAATTAGCCGGGCATGGTGTGCACGCACCTGTAGTCCCAGCTACTGGGGAGGTTGAGGCGGGAGGATCATTGGAGTCCAAGAGTTCGAGGCTGCATTGAGCTATGTTCGCATCACTGCACTGCAAACTGGGACACAGAGCGAGACCCTGTCTCTGAAAAATAAATAAATAAAAACACACTTATGACGTCACCCTCTCTGCTATGACAAGGTCCTTCCCTGCCCCACCCCCTCCAGGGCCCATCCCTACATCTTGGGGAGGAAATAAGTCCATTTTGGTCAGTCTTGCCCGCTGTCAGTAACTGTCCCTACGAATTCCTCTCTAGCTTGAAGGATTCTCCACCTCTCCCTTCTCTGTTAAAAGAGTCACGGGCCCATTTTCATTCATTCATTCATCAAATGTTTATAAGCAGTTTCCATGCTGGGGACCTGGAAGAGACCCGACCTAGGCCCTGCATCCCGACTCCCCGAGGATCTATCAGCCTGGGAGGATGGGGAATGGGAGGGCCTATCCCTCCCCACGATCACGGCGCGAACCGAGCTTTGATGGAGAAACACGCGGCTCTGTGAGCTTTAGAGAACACATTTAACCTGGCCTGGAGTAAGACAGGGGACGGGCCTGAATCTTTTATGGGACCCGCCCCCAATATCAACCGCCCCGTCCCCAGCACAGAACTGGGCTCCTAGACGACACGGTGCCATCACGTCCCCAGTGAGTCTTCAGGATTTCTGGCCACGCCCCTTCTCAGACCCAACCCCCGAGCCCCTCCCTTGCTTGACCCCGCCCCATCTCTGGCCTAGGCCACGCCCTCCTCTTAGCCCCACCCCCATTTCATTCAACCCAGGCCTCAAGCCCCACCGCCCAGGACGCCAATGCTCCCACCAATCTCACATACCCATTGGTCAGAGAGTGTCACTTTCCCGCCCTCCTTCAGTAGCATTGGTTCCCTAGGTGTCAATCTTCTTTATGGCGCCCCCAGCAGTTGCCAGGGCCCAGGTTTGAGGGGCAGATAATAATGGACGTCTCGGGGCGTCTCGTTATTGGGCAGAAAGCCCGGCTCTGGGCGGGGCTTAGTGCCAAACGCTTGGCCGCGTCTGCCTGGTGTTCCTCAGGGCCGCAGCCTTTCCTCACGGACACACCCCCACTTTCCTTGCTATTGGTCTTATCAGGTGTTGATCAATAGGATTCCTCATTCCGATACGCAAAACTACCTGTCCTTCACCGCTTCCCTCATTTCAATTCGCTCTCTCCTCAGAGGCGGCAACCTTCTGAACGTAGCCAGGGCCCGCCTCACGGAATGGCCACGGAATGGTCAGACACCCCGTCACTCCTGGCTGGTGGGCGGGGCCAGGGCGCCTGGGGGCGGCGAATTGGCGGATGGGGCCTCGGGGGCGGGGCAGCGGCTCCTGTCAGCGGGTGAAATGGCAGCGGCGGAGCCGGCGGCGGCCGCGGTCCCGGGGGGCGGCTGAGGGGGCCGGGCCGGGGCTGCGGGGCGAACGGCGCGGCTAGGATCCGGCGGCTCAGCCCGGGGCGGCGAGGCTCGGCACGGAGATGGCGGCGCGCTCGGCGCAGGTAGGGCGGCGCGGGCCGGGCCTCCCGGGCGCCTGCTCAGGCCGGCGGCTCCGTGATGCGGCCCGCGGGGAACCGGCAGGACCGCAACTCGGGCCGTCGTGCCCCGGAACCCGCGCTGGGAGCCTCGGCATCCCCAGCCCGGGACCTTCGGAGGACCCTGGCCCCTGCCCACCCTCGTTGCCGATCCCTCCGGACCCCTCCCCAGGAGCTCCTGCAGGATCCCCCTCCCCCACTCCGTCCCCTCCCCATGAGGACCCCGCAGGCCCAGGACCCCCGTCCACCCTTTGCAGTGACCCTCAGGACTCCTCTCCGGGAACCCCCTCAGGGCTCCCCATCCCCCCACTCCGCCGATCAGCCCCTCAGAAGCGCCCCCCAAGCCCAAGAACCCCCGTCCACCTTCTGCCCTGATCTCTCAGGACCCCTCCCTTCTGGACAACACTTGCCACCCCCTCCCCGCACCCCCTCACTTCACGTCCTCCTATCTTGGGCCCAGAACTGCCCCCACCTCTCCCCAAGGAGACCAGCCTCAGGGCCTACCCGCCCCCCATGCTGACCCCACAGGACCCCTCTCTGGCCTCTGTAAGTCGGATTTCCTACCCCTGCCCACAGCCCTCAGCTCAGCCTGCTAGCCCATCTCCCACCCCAGCTGCCACATGCCCAAGGGCACCCCTAAACACCACTCCCCGGCGTCCACCCAGCACACTGTGGTAGCTCCACTGATCCTGCCCCATCTGGATCCTGGCTCCTGGATCCTGAAAAATCCACCCATGCTCAAGACCTCCCGTTGGATATTCTGAACCACCCCACTCCCCATCCAGAGCCACCCATCTTTCTGAAAACCCCAAACACACACACACACACACACACACACACACACACACACACACACACAGTCACTTAGATCCCCCAGCACACACAGAAAAACTTAAGAGCTCCAACATAGACCCCAGGCATATCTGCCCCTGCCCCCACCCACTCAACACTTCTGCACCCCTCCTCAGATCCCACCTGTCCAGGCCCTCCCAGAGTCCCCGACAGCTCCCCCAGCTCAAGCAGAGATTCCAGAGACCATGAGGTGCCTGCCGCACCCCAGGAAGCCAACTTGCCCCTCCACCAAACCAGCGCCCACACTGGAGCCTTGGAGGGTGACAGGGCCCCAGAATCCCCCAGCACCTACCCCTGTGGGAACCTGCCCCAGGCCTCTGCCAAGTTATCCATCCTTCCCTGCTGTGCCCTTTCAAAGGGAAGGACGCTCACTTTCTCTCCTACACTAGTGTCCCGAAGGAACCACTGCCCGCCCCCTGATTTATGCCACCCCCTGGCGGGAAGGGAGAGGATTCACAGCTCCTGGCTTCCGTCCTGAAGTCTGCCCCCAGCCTCCTGACCCCATCACGCCTACTGGCCTCAAATGCCAGAGCCAGCAGGGCGGTCCAGGTTGCTCCTCAGAGCTGGCCCCTGACAGCCCGAGAGTTCTTTCACCCACAACTAGTGTGTTTGGCCAAAACAAAACAGCTTCCTTCTATCTTGGCATTTGAGACCTGGGTCGGGGCCTGCCAGAAGCAGGCAGCTCTTTGTTAAGGAATATTTTCAGAAGGGAAAAATGTGCTGAAGAGGCTCGAGTGGAACATGAATGAGTTGTCTGCTTCGTTTTATTCCCCCTCGGCCGGGATGTGATTGAGCTAGAGGACCCGTGTCCCTGTGTCTTTCCGTCTTTTGTGGCTCTTCCCATCCATCCCGCCGCCCTCCCCACTCCCAGCTCTGGCCTCAGGGTCCAACCTGTAGGTTCCTCTGGGCTTCTGTGGTCAGCGGAGGGTGGTTTGGAAGGGATCGCAGGTGGCTTGGCCCTGGCACAGGGATGAGACAAGACAGGAGAGGAGATGCTGGCGCGACACTGTGGCCAGGACTGCAGGGGGCGAGGAGCCGGGCCGGTCCAGTCCCGCGCAGCCTGGGCACTGTGCGTCTGGGGTCCTTCTGACAACATAACTGTGCTCAGAAACCCTGAGATAAAAGGCCCAGGCTTCCTTGTGGATATTCACTAGCGGATTGTGGACCATCCAGGAAAAAGCTCATTGCGGCTCAGTACCTCAACTTCCCCATCGGAAACTGGGGTGCGGGGAGAGCGGCTAAATTTTTAGAACAGAACTTGGAACTGCAGGAAGGCTAGGGTGTGGCCCTGTGTGTTCCCCCAGTGCCGTGTGGAAGGGGACAGCAAGGTCTCGGAGGGGAGTCCTATGGGCTCCTGTGAATCACTGGCCACCCAGGTCCCTGCGAGGGTCTTAGTTGACACTTCATTGAAAAGTGGCCATCTTCCTAGGGCTGAGCTGTATTGCAGGGAGCCAGCTCGAATCAGAGCTGGAAGAATGGAGATGAGAGATGGTCTGCTGCAGGACTTGTGGTTATACACAGGGTCTTCCCAGGAGGACCACGGGGAACAGGGTGGGCATGAGGGGCTGTCGGATAGCCATGCTGAGGCCCCACATAGATCTCTGATGCCCCACATAGACCTCTGACACCGGGTAGGAAGAGGTTTGTTCTGTCCACTTGCTGAAGGAAGGCGTGGAGGAAAAGACTCCTGAAGGTCACGTGGTATCTCTCACGCACAGGAAACTAAACTCTACAGCCTCCCCAGGGTGGAATTTTGTGCAGAGACAGTGGGGTATGAAGGCTTCCCAGGATGACTGTGAACTCTATAGGAAACCACGAGGAGGACTTGTCAGTGATACGAACGCAGTTTTACCCGAGACTGGGCTCGTGGAGCTGCATCTTTGTTTGAGCTTTGAGGGGGCAGACGGATGAGGAGGAATGTATATTTCAATTTCCTCTTGCAGAATAGAGATGCCAGTTGTTACAGGGAAGCCCTGGGCCTGGAGTCAGATGTTGGGGTGTGAAGGAATGTAAGATGTGTACAATGTGGTCCCTGCTCTGCGTCTAAAGTCCTCTCACTGGCATGCGGCGGCCCCCGCCATGTGCTCAGCACCATGCCAAGCACCATTGACATATTATCTCATTTAATCCTCCCCAAAACTCGGAGGAACCAGGATTGCAGCACGCGCCCTTGCCATCCTGGCCTGAGGCCTGCTGCGGGGAGCATGAGACAGAATTATGTACAGCAGGCTGCAATGGGAGCCCGGAAAAAAAGCCTGATGCATCCCTGGGGTGTTGGGGAAGGCACAGCAGGGATGACGTATGGACCAGGTCACAGGCAGGCGTGGCAGGGAAGGGTGTTCCAGGCAGCAGAAGTGCTTGGACACACGCCCAAGAGGCAGGAGCAAGCGTGGTGCGCTCAGGGAGGCGTGTCCCTGTACTTCCTTTGATAGGCGTCTTACTACAAGCCCTTGTGTCCCCAGTGCCATCTGTACACTTGGCACACATGGTGGGGGGCTCCCCAGCAAAGGGGATCCCTAGTTGGGAGAACTTGGAAAGGCAGCAAAGCCGCCCTTCCCAGGGAAGACTGCAGCACACACATGCTAGCAGCCCGGGCAATAGAAGGAAGGAGGTGAGTTTAGGAGAACTAACTCAGCTCATCAGGGTCAGGGAGAACTAACTCAATTCATCAGGGTTAGGGAAGAGACTTACCCTTTTGAGGGAGATTTGGAAGGCCTCATTGGCATGACTCACCTGCACTTTCATTCATTTCTCAGCATGCCACGATATGCTTGTGAGAGTGTTTGATTGAAATCTGAGGCCCGGCACGGTGGCTCACGCCTGTAATCCCGGCACTTTGGGAGGCCGAGGCGGGTGGATCACCTGAGGTCAGGAGTTCGAGACCAGCCTGGCCAACATGGTGAAACCCCGTCTCTATTAAAAATACAAAAAAATTAGCAGGGTATGGTGGTGCACACCTGTAGCCCCAGCTCACTTGAACCTGGGAGGCAGAGCTTGCAGTGAGCCAAGAACGCGCCACTGCATGCCAGCCTGGGCAACAGAGCGAGACTCCATCTCAAAGAAATAAATACAAATTTTAAAAATTTTTAAAAAAAGAAAAATGAGGGTTTTGCCAGAAGGGAACCTATTATAATAGCCAAAAGTAATCTGGTCAGATGACAAGAAAGAAAATTTTTTTTTAGGTCAGAAAGGATTCTGCAGGTCAGAATGGTTCACTTCTCAGATTTTAGCCAAAGGTGTGTGCTGCTGTTGCTGCTATTGTTATCAATAAAGATTATTCTAGTTTTACTGTGTTTACTCTTTAAACAGGATCACCACAGAAAGGGAGGGCCTGTTGAAGAGGGGAAGTTTATTTATCCCACAAATATGGGATGCCTACTAGACTCTGAAGATCCAATAGTGGGCTAGACAGCCCCAGCCCCTGCCCTAGTAGAACTTTTCATCCAGAAGGGAATAAATATCACAGGTCAGGCTTGTCCTAAGCACATGACAGGTTTAAGCTCATTGATTCCTTCCAACAAAAACTGTGGGGTAGATACTGTCATTAGCCCTGTTTTCAGATAATGAAACTGAGGCAGGCCAGGTGCAGTGGCTCACGCCTATAATCCCAGCACTTTGAGAGGCCGAGTCAGGGAGATAACTTGAGGCCAGGAGTTTGAGACCAACCTGGGCAACATAGTGAGACTCTCTCTCTGCAATAATAATAATAATAATAACAAAATTAGCTGGACATAGTGGCAAGTGTCTGTAGTCCCAGCTACTTGGGAGGCTGAGGCAGGAGAATCACTTGAGCTCAGGAGTTGGAGCCTGCAGTTGGCTATGATTGTACCACTATACTGCAGCCTGGGTGACAAAACAAGACCCTGTCTCTAAAAATAAAATAAAAATAAAAATAAACAAAAAAAATTGAGGCAAAATACATCATACCCAAGGTTACAAAGATAGAAAGTGGTAGAGGAGGCCAGGAGCGGTGGCTCACACCTGTAATCCCAGTACTTTGGGAGGCTGAGGCGGGTGCATCACCTGAGGTCAGGAGTTCGAGACCAGCTTGGTTAACACAGTGAAACCCCGTCTCTACTAAAAATACAAAAATTAGCGAGGTATAATGGCGGGCATCTGTAATCCCAGCTACTCAGGAGGCTGAGGCAGGAGAATTGCTTGAACCCAGGAGGCAAAGGCTGCAGTGAGCCAAGATCGTGCCACTGCACTCCAGCCTGGGTGACAGAGGTAGACTCGGTTTCAAAGAAAAAAGAATAAAAAGAAAAGAAAGAGGTAGAGGAAGGATTTGAACCCAGGCTGCAAGCTCTGAAGTTCTCACCTGGAGCCAAGAGATCTGGGATAACAACCTACATTCCAAGGCCAGGGATATGGAAACTTCCAGAACCATGTGGAGGAGCAGCTAGACTGGGCGCAAGAAGAGATCAGGCAGGGACCTCTGAATTCAAGCCGCTGTTCTTGTTATCCAAGGGGCAGCTCACCTGTCAGTTGTCCGCCCACACCTTGCCAAGGACGAGAGGACCTAAGGTGCTAGGTTGGGCCATTTCCCCAGAGGTCAGAGCCAGCCAAGACAGCAGCAGTCTGTCAGGCTAGACAAATCGGGGTCACATGGCATCTTGGGCTTTAGATTCCGAAATGAGTCTGTGTCCCTGGTAATCATTAGACATGGAGGAATCAGAAATGGGGGGTAGGGCCGGGCGTGGTGGCTCACACCTGTGATCTCGGTACTTTGGGAGGCCGAGGCGGGAGGATCACCTGAGGTTAGGAGTTCAAGACCAACCTGGCCAACATGGCGATACCCTGTCTCTACTAAAAATACAAAAATTAGCCAGATATGGTGGCACGCACCTGTAATCCCAGCTACTCGGGAGGCTGAGGGAGGAGAAGTGCTTGAACCCAGGAGGCGGAGGTTGCAGTGAGCCAAGATCGTGCAACTGCACTCCAGCCTGGGCTACAGAGCAAGACTCTGTCTCAGAAAAGAAAAAAAGAAGGAAATGGGGGGTAGGGGAGTAAGGGAAACAACATGGAAAGGAAACTCGGGGTCTTCATTGCTGTCTCTGAAAATGCCACAGACTGAAAGATGCATCATATGTGCTCGCCCTCTCTCACCGTTGAAAAATAATGACTGTTTTCACTGAGTAACCCCTGCACTTGGGGTTTCACATACGTGTATCATTCCCAAAGTAAAAGAATACAGACAGAGCTGCAGCACAGCGGGTGGATTTAGGGCAAAGGCTATACAGTCAGAAATCCAAGTTCAAATCCTTCTTCCTCCTCAGCCTAGTCAAGGGACTCTCTGTGCCATATGGCACTTGTGTGTTAAAGCCGTCGTTGGCTTTTCTGCTTACACTGTACAGAAATTTCTATTTTTATTTTTTTCATTTTTTTTTTTAGACGGAGTCTCTCACTCTGTCATCCAGGCTGGAGTGCAGTGGCGTAATTTCAGCTCACCGCAACCTCTGCCTCCTGGGTTCAGCCTCAGGAGTAGCTGGGATTATAGCCATGCGCCACTACACCTAGCTAATTTTGTATGTGTGTGTGTATTTTTAATAGAGACAGGGTTTCACCATGTTGGCCAGGCTGGTCTCGAACTCCTGACCTCAAGTGATCTGCCCCCCCTCAGCCTCCCACAGTGCTGGGATTACAGACATGAGCCACCGCACCCAGCCTTTATTATTATTTTTAAAATAGACTTGGGCTGAGGCAGGAGGATCCCCTGTGGCCAGGAGTTCAAGACCAGCCTGGGCAGCAGAGTGAGACCCCTGTCTCAAAAATAAAATAAAATGGCCAGTTGTGGTGGCTCACGCCTGTAATCCCAGCACTTTGGGAGGCTGAGGCGGGCGGATCACCTGAGGTCAGGAGTTCAAAACCAGCCTGGCCAACATGGTGAAACCCCATCTCTACTAAAAATACAGAAATTAGCCGGGCGTGGTGGTGCGCACCTGTAATCCCAGCTACTTGGGAGGCTGAGGCAGGAGAATCACTTGAACCTGGGAGGTGGAGGTTGCAGTGAGCCGAGATCACACCACTGCACTCCAGCCTGGGCAACAGGAGTGAAACTCCTTCTCAAAAAATAAAAAATAAATAAAATAAAATAAGACTATTTTGTAGAACACTTTGAGATTTATGGAACAATTGAGAAGACGATACAGAGTTTCCATATGCCCCATACCCAGTCTCCTCTATAGTTAATGTCTTCCATTCATATGATACATTTGTTGTAGTTAATGGGCCAGTATTGATATATTATTATTAACTAAAGTCCACCTTTCATTCAGATTTCCTTTGTTTTTTCCCAGTAACCTTCTTCCATCCCAGGATCCCACATGACATTTAGTCGTCATGTCTCCCTAACCTCCTCTGGGCTGTGACAGTTTCTCAGACTTTCCTTGCTTTTCGTGACCTTGACGTTTTTGTTTGTTTGGTTTGGTTTGGTTTTTGTTTTTTGTTTTTTGAGATGGAGTTTCGCTCTTGTTGCCCAGGGTGGAGTGCAATTGTGGTGCAGTCTCGGCTCACCACAACCTCTGCCTCCTGGGTTCAAGCGATTCTCCTGCCTCAGCCTCCCAAGTAGCTGGGATTGCAGGCATGTGCCACCACGCCCGGCTAATTTTGTATTTTTAGTAGAGACAGGGTTTCTCCATGTTGGTTAGGCTGGTCTCGAACCCCTGACCTCAGGCGATCTGCCTGCCTCAGCCTCCCGAAGTGCTGGGATTACAGGTGTGAGCCCCCATGCCCGGCCAACCTTGACGGTTTTGAGGAAGGTGGAGTAGGTGTTGTGTAGAATGTCCTCTAATACTGATCTGTCTGGTGTGTTTATTTTTTTTTTGGTTGGTTTTTTTTTGTTTTGTTTTGTTTTGTTTTTTGAGACGGAGTCTCGCTCTGTCACCCAGGCTGGAGTGCAGTCGTGCAATCTCGGCTCACTGCAACTTCCGCCTCCTGGGTTCATGCCATTCCCCTGCCTCAGCCTCCTGAGTAGCTCAGATTACAGGCATGTGCCACCACGCCCAGCAAATTTTTTTGTATCTTTAGTAGAGACAGGGTTTCATCATGTTGGCCAGGCTGGTCTCAAACTCCTGACCTCAAGTGATCCGCCGGCCTTGGCCTCCCAAAGTGCTGGGATTACAGGTGTCAGCCACCATGCCCAGCCACTCTGGTGTTTCTCATGGTTAGACTGGGGTCTTGGGGAGGAAGACCACAGGGGTGAAGGGTCCTTTCTGTCACATCCTATCAAGGGTACGTGTTAGCCACGTAACTTATCACTGTTGATGTTGACCTTGATCACCTGCCTAAGCGACATGGAAAGTTTCATCTTCATTTATTCAACAAACGTTTGTCGAGCATGTACTGAATGCCAGATAGTGCATTAGGGGCTTGGAATAGAGAATTAAGAAGAGAGGCTCTTGTCCTCAAATCGTGCATGACCCTAGGGCAGGCAGGCAGGCAGGTTTAGAAATAATTGCCATAGAATGTGCATTGGGCTTGGGTGTAGGCAGAGGGGTGGATGTTTTCAGGGAGAGAGAGGGGGAAAAGCGAGCCAGGATGCTGGAAGAAGGGAGGTTGACAGAGAAGTTTTCACAGAAAGAATGGCCAAACCGGCCAGGCACAGTCCCAGCACTTTGAGGAGCCGAGGCGGGAAGATTACTTGAACCCAGGAGGTCAAGTCTGCAGTGAACAGTGAGCTATGATCATACCAGTGCACTCCAGCCTGGGAGACAGAGCAAAACCCTGTCTCTAAAAAGAAAAAAAAAAAAATCCTTGGCCAGGCACGGTGGCTCACGCCTGTAATCTCAGAACTTTGGGAGGCCAATGCGGGCAGATCACAAGGTCAGGAGATCAAGACCATCCTGGGTAACACAGTGAAACCCCATCTCTACTAAAAAATACAAAAAATTAGCCAGGCGTGGCGGTGGGTGCCTGTAGTCCCAGCTACTCAGGAGGCTGAGGCAGGAGAATGGCGTGAACCCAGGAGGCGGAGCTTGCAGTGAGCCGAGATCGCGCCACTGCACTCCAGCCTGGGCGACAGAGCAAGACTCCATCCATCTAAAAAAAAAAAATCCAAACCGGGTCTTGGAGAATGCCCTTCCAGTCAGAGGGAACAGAGTATGCACAGACACTGGCAGACATCAGGAGACCCATGTGCCTGGAGGACTGAGTGTGCCAAGCAGGGATGCAGAAAGAGGCGAGGCTGGGAAGGGCATGCACGTCTTGCAAAGACATCTGGGCTCCATCTCACCATTGGGAGCTGCTAAAGGGTCTTAGGCAGGCAATGACGTGGCAAGAGCTGCAGTTCTGTATGGTTCTGGTGGCCCCATGGACAGAGCATCAGAAAGGACAGAAAGTTCAATGGACGTGGCAGGCGCCATCAAGACAGCAGCTTTGGTGGGGCACGGTGGCTCACACCTGTGATCCCAGCACTCTGGGAGGCTGAGGCAGGAGCATCACTTGAAGCCAGGAGTTCAAGAGCAGCCTGGGCAACATAGTGAGACCCCAAGTCTCCAAAATTAGAAAAATTGGCAAGGCATGGTGGCGAATATCTGTGGTCCCAGATACTCAGGAGGCTGAGGTGGGAGGATCACTTGAGGCCAGGATCTCGCACCACTGCACTCCAGCCTGGGAAACAGAGCAAGACCTTGTCTCTAAAAGCAACAACAACAACAAAAAGACAGCAGCTTCCAGCCTGGAGAGCAGAGGCCAGTTGGGAGTGAGGTGTGGGATGTGGGTGGTAGACTTGGCTGAGCTCTAGAACATGAGAAGGGAGGAGGGGAACACCCAGGCCTGGCCAGAGTGGGTGGGTGGAGGTGGCAGGTGGCACCGGGGACCCAGATAGATGCACCCGCAGTAGGACAAGGGGCCTGCTTCTGTCAGGAAAGCATTGAATTTGAAGAGCATCTCCGCATGAGGGGCCAGAAGGGTCTTTCTAAAATGCAAACCTAGGCCACGGGCAGTGGCTCACGCCTGTAATCCCAGCACTTTGAGAGACCCAGACGAGTGAATCACTTGAGGTCAGGAGTTCAAGACGAGCCTGGCCAACATGGCGAAACCCTGTCTCTACTAAAAATACAAAATTAGCCAGGCATGGCGGCACATGCCTATAATCCCAGCTACTCGGGAGGCTGAGGCAGGAGAATTGCTTGAACCCGGGAGGTGGAGGTTGCTGTGAGCCAAGATCATGCCATTGCACTCCAGCCTGGGCAACAAGAGCAAAACTCCATCTCAAAAAAAAAGAATCACCCCAATTAAAGCTTACAGTTTGGTGGCATTTATTCCAACTGTGTTGTGCAACCATCACCACTATCTAATTCTGGAACATTTCTATCACCCCAAAAAGAAACCTACACCCATAAGCAGTTTCTCCCCATTCCTCCCTCCCCCTGGCCCCTGGTGACCACAAATCCACTTTCTGTCTCTATGGATTGCCTATTCTGGACATTCCGTATAAAGGGAGTCACACAGTGTGTGGCCTTTGGTGTCTGGCATCTCTCACTGAGCACCTTGTTTTCAAGGTTCATCCATGCTGTGGCCTGTCTCGGTGCTTCACTCCTTTTCATGGCTAAGTAATATTCCACTGTCTGGGTGGACCATGTTTTGTTGATCCATTCACCCGTTGATGGACATGTGGATTGTTTCTGCTTTTTGGCTGTTGTGAACAATGCTGCTGTGAACAGATGTTTGCCGTTCTCTTGCGTTGAGCCCTACGAGTGGATTTGCCAGGTGGCGTGGTGACAGTGTGTTTAAGTCTTTGAGGAACCGCCTGACTGTTCTCCATCCTACCGTATTGTTTACTGCAAGCATTTATCTCAATCTGTGAAGGAGGGTCTGGGTGATTGTTTCTTGGTCTCTGCCCCGGACACTCCAAGAGGGCACAGGTGATTCCTGCCTCTGCGGGGGAAACACAGAACATGGAATGGTGGGTGGGCTGGGGGCTGATGGAGCTGTTCTGGCAACTTGGGCAACTTTGGCCAGTTCTTGAGAGAAACGAAAAGCTGGTGACATACATTTGGTCATTTAAGCCCCAAGAATGAGATCCCCAAGGGCATCAAGATCAAGGCCAAGGAGGGACCCAGGGAGGAAGAGATGCCACGTGGGAGAATGAGAAGTCCCGGCCAGAGAGGCAGGAAGGAAGCCAGGAGCCCAGTCCTCATCAGCCAGGTGGGAGGGGGCTTAGGGAAGGAGGAAGCATGCGCGGCAGTGCCCCCGAGAGGGAAAGCCAAACGGAAGTCGAAGATGACCAGCATTCCAGCACTTTCCGTCCCCACGCCCCCCACAACCCCCAAACACAGCCCCTTTCCAGTGCTCTGGCCTGGCTCAGCTTCCTAAGCTGTAGGTGGCCCTGTGGAGGTGTGGCTTGAGTGGGTGCTGGCAGGGGCAGGGTCCAGGACCCCCCTTCAGATGGCTGAGGAGCAGTTGAGGGTGAAGCATTGAAATTAAGGACACGGAGAGGCTGGGACCCCAGACCCAGAGGCCAGTGGGTGGGTTGCCAAGGCCTGTGCCCATCCAGCATAGGGAGATGGAGATGGGGCCTCCCCTGCCTCGCTCCCTACCATGTCTCCTGCCTAGACAGTGGCCGGCCCTCAGGTGGCCCTCAGTCAGCACCAGGAAGGAGTGATTGAGCCAGTGAGGGTCATGGCACAGTGGGAGGGGTGCAGGGTCGCCCACAGAATCAGGACAGCAGCCCACCTCCACCCCAAACCTGCTCTGTTCCCAGGGGGTGAGCGCTGCTCGGTGCAGGAAGTGTGTGAGCGCGTGTGTGTAGATGGGTGGGAATGAATGTGTGTGTGCCTGAGTGCGGGTGCAAGAGTGTGTGTCAATGGGTATGTTTTGTGTTGAGAAGTGTGAAAGAGTATGTGTGTATGCCTGAGTGTGTGAATGTATGTCATGTGCATGTGTATGAGGTGTGTACTGTGTGTGTGAATGTGCATGGGTGTGTGTGTTGTGTGTGCATGTATATGTGTGTGTGTGAATATGCATAGGTGTGTGTGCATCAAGTGTGTGCATGTGTACATGTGTATGAATGTGCATGGGTATGTATCCAGTGTGTGCGTGTGTGAGAATGTATGAATGTATGTATCAAGTGTGTGCATGTGTGTGTGAATGTGTATCAAGTGCGTGCATGTGTGTGCATGTCTGTGAGAATGTGAGTGTGTGTGTATCAAGTGTGTGCATGTGTGTGCATGTCTGTGAGAATGTGTGAATGTGTGTGTATCAAGTGTGTGCATGTGTGTGGGGATGTGTGAAAGTGTGTGTATCAAGTGTGTGCATGTCTGTGAATTGGGGTGTATCAAGTGTGTGTATGTGTGTGAATTGTGTGTGTGCATGTATCAAGCATGTGTGAATGTGCATGGGTGTGTATCAAGTGTGTGCGTGTGTGAAAATATGTGAATGTGGGTGTTTATGTATCAAGTGTGTGCATGGATGTGTGTGCAAATTGTGTATCAAGTGTGTGGATGTGCACGAGTATGTGTGTATTGTGTGCATGTGTGTGAAGGTACTGGGTGTGTGTGTATATGAGTGTGCGTGCACAAATATGCATAAGCATGTGTATATCGAGTGTGCACATGTGTGTGTGAAGGTATATAGGTGTGTGTATCTGAGTGTGTCCATGTGTATGTGTGAATGTGCATGGGTATGTGTGTATTGAGTGTGTGCATGTGTGTGTGAAGGTACCGGGTGTGCGTGTATCCGAATGTGTGCATATGTGTAAACGTGTGACTATGGATGAGCACGTGTGTTGAGTGTGTGCATGTGTGTATAGGTGTGTGAGCGTGTGTGTGAGAGAATAGGCATGGCTGTGTGTCGAGTATGTGCATGTGTGTGTATAGGTGTGTGAGTGTGTGAGAATAGGCATGGGTGTGTGTGTCATGTGCATGTGTGTGTATAGGTGTGTGAGCGAATAGGCATGGGTGTGTGTGTTGAGTATGTGCATGTGTGTGTATAGGGGTGTGTGTGTGAGAATAAGCATGGGTGTGTGTCGAGTGTGTGCATGTGTGTATAGGTGTGTGTGAGAATAGGCATGGGTGTGTGTGTCATGTGTGCATGTGTGTGAGAGAATAGGCATGGGTGTGTTGAGTGTGCATGTGTGTGTATAGGTGTGTGAGTGTGAGAATAGGCATGGGTGTGTCGAGTGTGTGCATAGGTGTGTGAGTGTGAGAATAGGCATGGGTGTGTCGAGAGTGTGTGTGTATGGGTGTGTGAGTGTGTGTGAGAATAGGCATGGGTGTGTCAAGTGTGCATGTGTATAGGTGTATGAGTGTGTGTGAGAATAGGCATGGGTGTGTCGAGTGTGTGCATGTGTGTATAGGTATGTGAGTGTGAGAATAGGCATGGGTGTGTGTCAAGTGTGTGTGTATAGGTGTGTGTGAATAGGCATGAGGGTGTGTGTCGAGTGTGTGCATGTGTGTGTATAGGTGTATGAGTGTGTGTGTGTGAGAATAGGCATGGGTGTGTGTATCCAAGTGTTTGCATGTGTATGTGTGAGAGTTTGTATGTGAGTGGGGGTGGGTGTGAATGTGTGTACATGCGTGAGGGAGTGGGGTGGCTGTGAAGAGTGTGAGAGTGCATGTGTGTTGTGCGTGCACACACGCTTCAGGAGGATGGTTTCCACTGAGAGAGTCTGGGGATGAGTGGAGAGAAAGTTCCGGTGGGATCAGAAGGTTCCTGCCTCTCAGACTGCAAGTTTCAGCCCTGTGTATTTAATACATTTCACTTCCTGTATGAAATACACACACATTCGTGATAAATAGCTGAACAACCTCTGCTGGTGGACGGCTCCCGGGTTTGGGGGATTTTTAAAATCAGAAACTGAGGCTCGGCTGGGCGCGGTGGCTCACATCTGTAATCCCAGCACTTTGGGAGGCCGAGGCAGATGGATTCCGAGGTCAGGAGTTCGAGACCAGCCTGACCAACATGGTGAAACCCCGTCTCTACTAAAAATACAAAAATTAGCTGGGCGTGGTGGCACGCACCTGTAATCAAGCAGGAGAATCGCGTGAACCCGGGAGGTAGAGGTTGCAGTGAGCCAAGATTACGCCATTGCACTCCAGCCTGGGCAACAGAGCGAGACTCCGTCTCAAAAAAAAAAAAAAAAAAAGAAAGAAAGAAAAGAAACCGAGGCTCGGGCAGAGATTGGGTGGGGCTGATGCCCTGAGCTTGGGTTTCTTTGGTTCTGAAGCTCTCACTGCTCCCCAACTCCATCTGTGGTTCTGAGGCTCCAGCCTCACCTCCACCACCTCCTCCCCATTCTCCCAGCTCTGAAGCTACCCTCCCAGCCCCTCCCTGCCCAGAGAGGTCCTTCTGATCAGCACTTCTTGTCCACAGCCCCCGTCTCTGTCCGGGCAGACTTTGACTCTGTGGGAGGCCCCAAAGTGGCCCCCACTGTCCCTGCCTCGGGAATGATTAACTCCTGATTAGGTGGTGCCCAGCAGCTTGGTCTTTAGGGCAGGTGGCCCTGGCCCACTTGGCAATGAGAGTTCCTTCCACTCCCCAAAATCCAAAACCCTCAGCACCCGGCAGACTAGGGGAACGCTTGAGGGCCCAAGGTAGAACCAGTAGCCTTGGGGAGCCACAGAGGCCTGGAGAAAGAGGGTTCTGGGTCCCCATACAGTGAAAAAAGAATGGCGCACCTCCCCCAACCCTATTCCAGGAGGACTGGGGTGGCCAGGGTCAAGTCCATCCAACCTGTAGGCCCTCAGGGGTTGGTTGGGGGCTGAGTTTGGGCTGTGGGAAGGTGCCCAGTGACCCAACGGTAGTCAGGCAGGTATAGAGTGGTCTGCTATGGTCCCGCCAATGTCCCCCTGCTGCCTGGGGATCCAGATATCCCCACTCCAAGGACCCAGCGAGGCCCTCTCTGTAGGTGGAGCTGTCAGCCAGGTCAGGTGGGGTCAAGTGGCACACGGCAGACTCCTGCTACAGAGCGTGCCGGGCAGTGGGCGGGCATGAGGAGCCGTGCAAATAAGGAGGCAGGAGGCAGGGTTTCCTTCCTGCCATCAGGACCCTAGGTATCCCCATCTTCTCAGACGCTGGAGGTGAGCCTGGGCTCACCAGGAAGAAGCATGAAGGAACACCATCCCCAGCCGCTGCCTCCACTCCCATAGCCGTCCCTTTCCTCTAGGGCCCCCTGCTAGGGGTCCCCTGGCCATCAGTCCCCACACAGGCCACAGCAGAACCCAGGAGCCCTGGCTCCAGGATGGACAGTGATAGCCGATGTCCGTGGGGCCATCACTGAGTGTCAGGCTCTGTTCTGACCAGGTTATGTGCAGTCATGTGCTCAGTTTCCACAGCCACCCTTGAGGCTAGGTCCTGTATGATCTCAGTGTACGGAGGCTCAGAGACACCAAGTGACTGGCCCAAGGTCACACAGCTGGTTGAGGGGAGCCATGCTTCAGACGCAGATCCATTTGAGCCCAGTACCTTTGTTTTTGACATGGCATTGATCTGCCTCCACCAGGGTGGCAGAAGGCGAGAGGCCAGTGTCCTTGAAGCCCCCAGAAGGGTCGGGCCAGATGACACGGCAAAAAGATAGGAGAGATGTGCCTGGGACTCACCTGGCACGTGGCAGGCCAAGATCTGGATACGGATCGGAGCCCACAGCTCTGGCTCTGTGTCTGCCAGGGCACAGATTCCCAGCACTCTGCCACGTCCCTGGCTTCTCAACCCAAGGGGAGTCGACTCTTCTGGCCATTGGCAGCGCCAGACAATTAACAGTCGAAAGTAATTGCTCTTGGCCGTGCCAGCAGCCCACTTTGGTTGATGAGATGGGGAAGTCAGACACTGATATGGGGCTCCCAGGGCAGGCCGTGGCGGGGACGGGGACAAAGCTATTAGGAAGGGCCAGAAAAGCAGGGGGCTCCTGCACCCCGAGGTCCCAGCAGGGTCCATGGAGCCCCGAGTGACAGGGAGCCTCTGCTCCGGGCCCTGCTCCAGCCTCAGGGGTGTCGAGTTGAGCCTTGGCCTTCATGCCCAGGGACAGCAGGACGGCTCACATCCTGGCAACAGTCCTCCCATCTCCATCCAGACATCCGGCCTGATGACACAGGCAGGGATCCCAATCGCCAGGGTCTCGAACAGAAGGGGCAGCATGGCTGTCAGCTGGGCTGGGGCGCATGGGGATGAGGGGTGCACGGACGGGGGTGGACCAGAGGCAGGAAGCCCAGGGTGAGGAAATGTCCCGAGGGTGGGCAGGCAGGATGGAGTGGGCTCCCACCCAATGCCGACCACGCATGTCTCTGGCCCCCAGACAGAGCTGTGAACCAACCCCGCTCACGGCTAACAAGCCCACCCACCATGGCGAGCCCCACTCTGAGCCCCGACTCCTCATCCCAGGAGGCCCTGTCGGCCCCCACCTGCTCCCCAACCTCTGACTCCGAGAACCTCAGCCCCGATGAGCTGGAGCTGCTGGCCAAGCTCGAAGAGCAGAACCGGTGAGTTGGGGGCTGGGGGATGGGGTGAAATCTTGGGGTGCAGTCTGGGCCCCCACAGGAGTTCCCAGGTGCCCTCACATTCAGAGCCAGGCCCAGTGTGTGCAATGTGACAGCCACCTCCAGATGCTGGATGAGGGACAGACACCTCCTTTCATCCTCCCAACCCTGGCTGAATATATGTGTCCCCACCCTGTTCAGATGAGACTGAAGGTTTGAGAGGTCAAGTGAATCTGTGAATCCGCCGCGGTTAATGGAGCCAGGACTGGAGGAAGAGTCGATTCGGGCCTTCCTGCTTTCTTCCTCTGACCCTACCCCCATTTAAAATGCAGGTTTTAGGCTGGACGTGGTGGCTCACACCACCGAACACTTTGGGAGGCCGAGGCAGACGGATCACTTGAGGTCAGGTGTTTGAGACCAGCCTGGCCAACATGGTGAAATCCTGTCTCTACTAAAAACACAAAAATTAGCTGGGCATGGTGGTGGGTGCCTGTAATCTCAGCTACTTGGGAGCCTGAGGCAGGAGAATCACTTGAACCCGGGAGGCGGACGCTGCAGTGAGCCAAGATCACGCCACTGCACTCCAGTCTGGGCAACAAGAGCAAAACTCCGTCTCAAAAAAAAGGGGGCGCTGAGGGCAGTGGCTCAAGCCTGTAATCCCAGCAGTTTAGGAGGCTGAGGCAGGTGGATCACCTGAGGTCAGGAGTTCGAGACCAGCCCGACCAACATGGTGAAACCCCATATTTACTACAAATATAAAGTTAGCCAGGTGTGGTGGCATGCACCTGTAATCCCAGCTACTCAGGAGGCTGAAGCAGGAGAATTGCTTGAACCAGGAGGCAGAGGTTGCAGTGAGCTGAGATCACACCACTGCACTCCAGCCTGGGCGACAGAGCAAGACTCCATCTCAAAGAAGAAGAAAAAAAAAAGAACAAGAGGGACCTAATCCCTGGTGTCCTCTAAGACCCCCAGGAGGGGGAGGATGGGCTGGGCTCGCCAAGGATCCCTGTCCCCAGGGAGTCACTGGTTCCCCTCTGTCGGCCCTTCCTGCCCAGGCTCCTGGAGGCCGACTCCAAGTCCATGCGCTCCATGAATGGCTCGCGGCGGAACAGTGGCTCCTCGCTAGTGTCCAGCTCCTCGGCCTCCTCCAACCTGAGCCACCTGGAGGAGGACACGTGGATCCTGTGGGGCCGGATCGCCAACGAGTGGGAGGAGTGGCGGCGCAGGAAGGAGAAGCTGCTCAAGGTGGGGGGCGGCCAGGCAGGCAGGGCTGGGCCGACGGCGTGGGCAGGTGGTGCGGTCACTCAGCCACCAGGCAGCGCCAGGGTCTGCGGGGCCCCAGCCTGGGCACAGCGGCAGCAGTGGAGATGTGCAGGCACTTTCAGGGTGTCCTGCCAGAGCACAGGGACAGGAGAGAGTGAGTCAGGGTGGTGCTGGACAGGCCCTGCACCCTCGAGTGCCCATGTGCTTGCTGCCCTGTAGTGCCCATGAAGGATGGGGGTGTGGTGGCTCACGCCTGGAATCTCAGCACTTTGGGCGGCCAAGGTGGGAGGATCGCTTGAGGCCAGGAGTTCGAGGCCAGCCTGGGCAACGTAATGAGACTCCGACTCTATAAAAAGTTTAAAAATTAGCCAGGTAGGCCGGGCGCAGTGGCTCACGCCTGTAATCCCAGTTCGTTGGAAGGTCGAGGCAGGCAGATCACCTAAGGTCAGGAGTTCAAGACCAGCCTGGCCAACATGGCGAAACTCCGACTCTACTAAAAATACAAAAATTAGCTGGGCGTGGTGGCGTGCACCTGTAATCCCAGCTACTTGGGAGGCTGAGGCAGGAGAATCACTTGAACCTGGGAGGCAAGAGGTAGCAGTGAGCCAAGATCACGCCACTGCACTCCGGCGTGGGCAACAGAGTGAGACTCCATCTCAAAAAAAAAAAAAGTTTAAAAATTAGCCAGGCGTGGTGGTGCACAACTGTAGTCCCAGCTACTCAGGAAGCTGAGGCAGGAGGATCGCTTGAGCCCAGGAGTTCAAGGCTGCAGGGAGCTATGATCGCACCACTGCACTCCAGCCTGGGTGACAGAGGGAGACCCTGTCTCTGAAAAAAGGGGGTAAAAAAAGGATTGGGGACCATGAGTTCTGTGCCATGCTTGAGGCCTGGATGAGCCACGCCTGAGGAGCTGGGCTGGGTGGCCACGGGGAGGCTGCGCTGGGACCGAGTCCAGCCCCCGCTTCCCGCTCCCGTGGCCAGGAGCTGATCCGCAAGGGCATCCCCCACCACTTCCGGGCCATCGTGTGGCAGCTTCTGTGCAGCGCCACGGACATGCCCGTCAAGAACCAGTACTCCGAGCTGCTCAAGATGTCCTCGCCGTGCGAGAAGCTGATCCGCAGGGACATCGCCCGCACCTACCCGGAACATGAGTTCTTCAAGGGCCAGGACAGCCTGGGCCAGGAGGTCCTCTTCAACGTCATGAAGGTGAGGCCCAGGGCTCCCCGCTCCCTCGGTCCCAAAGGAAGGAGAAGTTCCCCAGTTCACCGGCTGTGCTGGACGGCGGGACCCTGCTCTCAGGACTTGTTCCCTTCTAGGCATACTCGCTGGTAGACCGGGAGGTGGGCTACTGCCAGGGAAGCGCCTTCATCGTGGGCCTGCTCCTCATGCAGGTAGGTGGCTGGGGGGTGGCTGGGCTCCTGCCAGACAACAGCCCACCCTGGGCTCGGCCCCCAAGAGATGGACAGAAGTGGCGTGTCCTCCACCCAGCGTCTTGCTAGGGGTAGATCCTCCTTCTCCATCCACACCCGTGACCTCTGCCAATCGCCAGGCCAAGGCCCAGTGAGTGGCACCTGTCTGGTTGGGTCCTGTCTGCTGTACCATCCAGGACAGAGACCGGGTTTGGAGGGATAGGCTGTCTCTCTCTGCCACATCTCAGGGTTGGACAGGAACCTCAGGCTGGGGACTTAAGCCATCCAGCGTGGTGTTTATGGGGCTTGGGGGTCTCCTCCAGAGAAATCGGGAGGCTGACAGGGAGAGAGGACGCAGCTGGGACAGGAGGTATCCTAACCAGGGGGATGCTGGCAGTGGCCAGCCCTGGGTTCAGGTCCAGCTCCCCTGTTTCCTGCCGAGTGGCCCTTGGCAGGTGACCTCAGCCTCAGGTCTTCCATCAGTAAAACAGCTTGTGAGGACACAGGGACCAACAGTGTGTCATGAGAGTCTAGGGAGCCAGGTACCGACATGGACATGGGCCCCTGTACCCCAGGGCCCTGATGAGCAGCGAGATGCCCCTCCCCGCTGCGCTGCCCTGAGCCCCCCCACCTGCCCGTCCCCCCTAGATGCCTGAGGAGGAGGCCTTCTGTGTGTTCGTGCGGCTGATGCAGGAGTACCGGCTGCGGGAGCTCTTCAAACCCAGCATGGCCGAGCTCGGGCTCTGCATCTATCAGTTCGAGTACATGCTGCAGGTGAGCAGGGCCGCAGGAGAGCAGGGCTGCAGGAGGGCAGGGCCACAGGTGGGCAGGGCCGCAAGGGAGCAGGATCGCAGAAGGGCAGGGCTGGCACCCTAGACCATACCCGGGCACCTCTTGGACTGAAAATTCCAAGCCTGTGAAATCACACCTGGACGTTCCAACTCCAAAAGGCACTCCTCTTTCCATGCAGCACTGCCCTGAAGGATGCTTGGAGGAACAGGAGAGCCACCACTGAAGGGGGGCTCCCAGGGCTGCTGAGGCAGAGGGGTGGGGCAGGCTCACATCGGACACAGCCACAGCCACCTCCCTGTCTGCTCCAGAGTGTGGTGGAAGGAGGGAGTGTTGTCTGCCTGCCTGATTACTGGAGAGCCGCAGACGTCTGTTTATAAATAGCAGCCCCCGCAGGGCCTGCTCCCGGCTGGCAGGCAGAGCCGCCAAGGCCGTTTGCGAACATACACACACCCGCATGCATACACACACACGCAGACACACACACACACACCGGCCCGCCTCAGCTGCCATGGCAGGTGGGGCTGTGCAGTCATCCCTGGATGTGACAGCCCCACTCCCTGGGCCTGGATCATGGACGGTGCTGTAGCCTTAGGGGGCCTGGTAGTGCCACAAGCAGGAGGCCTGGGCTGCAGAGAAGGCACCACCCCACCTCAGGCTGGGTAGCAGAGCCCTCCCACAGCCAAGCTTGCAAACTCAGGGCGCAGAGAGCCCCTGGCGCTGGGAGGAAGCCCGGGATCCTAACGCCTTCTCCGGCCTCAGTTTCCCCAGCCGTCTGCCACTTTCTGGCTGTCTAGAGTTCAGGCCAATCCAACACAGCTTGCACAAAGCTTTATGCTGGGGTCCAAGGGAGGTACAGTGGCTGGCAGGTCACGTAACAAGGTGGGGGGGGGGCTCCCCCCAGGGCCAGAGGCTGCCACTTGCCCATGCTCCACCTCTGGGTCTCAGGGTGTCTGTGGGGAGTGACCCAACTCCCCCAGCCTCAGACACACCCTCTCAGGCTGTCGTGAGGACCCCATGAGCTGCCACGGGCGCATCACCTACCCAGGGTGGGCCCCCAACACAGGCGGCTACAGATCTTGCCATCCCTGCCTGTCCCCCACCCCGTGCTACTCAAAGCTCGGGGGTGCTTCGGCCTCCCTCAGACAGAGTGCTGAGGGAGCACCAGGAAGGGAGCCTCAGGCTGCCCAGCGCAGGTCCAGGAAGGCTCCCTGGAGGCGGGGACACTGAGGCCCAGCACCCCCCGGTGGGAGGGCGTCCCCCTCACTGTGCCCACCCGGCCTCCCACCCCTGCAGGAGCAGCTCCCAGACCTCAACACCCACTTCCGTTCCCAAAGCTTCCACACATCCATGTATGCCTCGTCCTGGTTCCTCACACTGTTCCTGACCACCTTCCCACTCCCCGTCGCCACCCGGGTCTTTGACATCTTCATGTATGAGGTGAGGACCGATGGTGCCTGGGGAGGGAAGAGAGCCCCTTGGGGGTGGTTGGAACAGGAGCCTCCCTGCCCTCCACCTCCCACTGCCTTTGCCGCCTTTGCAGGGGCTGGAGATCGTGTTCCGAGTGGGCCTCGCCCTGCTGCAGGTGAACCAGGCAGAGCTGATGCAGCTGGACATGGAGGGGATGTCCCAGGTGGGCCGGGAGGGCCAGGGCCGGTGGGGCTGCCCCCAATCAGGGGCTTCGAGTCACAGGATGCCCTCACAAGTGACAGAGAGGGCCCGGCTTCGAGGGTGGAAGGTGGTGTGCCTGACATCCCTGATCTGTTCCCATCCACTCTGTTCCCCTGAGGTCTCCCTAAGGGACCAGAGGACCCCCTAGGCTCTGCCAGACACAGTCAGGGGCCAGCAGCCTGGCCGCAGGGAGACAGGAGGCCCAGGCTGAGCCCTGGGAGCCCCACTGCCCACCTCCTGCCCCCAACCCCGCAGATGCCCCAAAGCCTGATGGCAGATCATGACTGACTGACCATGAGGGCATCCCCACCCTGCCGCCCAGCCTGGTGAGGGCACAGGAGGGAGTTTGGGGGTCTAGGCAACCTCACGCCTTGCCCCGCCCCAGCCCGGCCTGCCTGGAGGCCCTGCTGCTGGCCAGCCTGCCTCCCACCGCTACTTCTCTGCTGTGCGGGCCCCTGCCCCCTCCCCGCGTCCTCCAGCTGGTGCTTCAGGGAAGAATGCACAAAGGCCACGGTTGTGTCCGTGAACATGGGCAGGCATTGTCCACAGCTACCAGAGGGGGCCAGCTGGGCCGGGTGCAGGAGCTGTGTCCCCCCTGGGCTTACCTTAACCCTTTGCACAGGCCCGAGGCCCCCGGCATACCCATCCTCCTTCCCCCACGAAGGTCCCCTCTGTCAGACCCCCCGACCCTCAGCCTTCACTCCCAGGAGAGCCTCCTTGGCCTGCTTTTCTTTTTTTCTTTTACCTTTTTCTTTTTTTTTTTAAGTCGGAGTTGCTCTGTGGCCCAGGCTGGAGTACAGTGGTGCAGTCCTAGCTCACTGCAGCCTCCACCTCCTGGGCTGAAGCGATCCTCCCGCCTCAGCCTCCTGAGTAGCTGGAACCAGAGGTGTACATCACCATGTCCAGCTAATTTTTTTTTTTCAGAAATGGGGTCTCACTATGTTGCCCACACTGGTCTCAAACTCCTGGGCTCAAGCTATTTATTTCTCCCACCTCAGGCTTTTAAATCATTGGGATTATATGAATGAGCCACCACATCCAGCATCTGCCAGCTTTTCTTCTGGAAACTAAGGCTTTGGCTGCAGGCAGTCCCCCATTCCCTCCCCTCACGCTCAGTCTTTCCATTGCTCCACAAACACTGAGGACACGGCGTTGAGGACATGGCGACACCCCGGGCAGACCCGTTCCTGCCCCCCTCCAGGGCAACAGGGCTCGGGCGGCCCCCGGTGGTCAGGGCCTGCATGTTGGTGACCAGGTGACCGGCTGTGTCCCCACAGTACTTCCAGAGAGTGATCCCCCACCAGTTCGACAGCTGCCCGGACAAGCTGGTCCTCAAAGCCTACCAGGTCAAGTACAACCCCAAGAAGATGAAGAGGTCGGTGCCTGCTGGGCAACCAGGGTACTGGTAAGAAGGGGGGACCCCCGAGGGCATGACAGTAACCACGGGGCCCTCCCGATCTGCAGGCTGGAGAAGGAGTACGCAGCCATGAAGAGCAAGGAGATGGAGGAGCAGATCGAGATCAAAGTGAGTCCAGGGGCCCAGGGGCGGGGACAGGGATGGGAGGCCTTTGGGGGCTGCCCTCCGTACTCTAAAGATCGGCCGCTAGGGGGCGGGCCTTCCCAGCGCACAGGCGGACCCGGCGGTCCTTGGCGGACAGGCCTCCGCCCACCTGCGCCGTCCTTCACCTGTTAGGCCAGCTGTGAGCGCCTCCCCCGCCTGACGCCGCGGTAACCAAGACAGTCAAGGTCCCTGCCCCGCTGGGCCGCCCAGCGTCATGGGGAAGCAATCAATAAACCACTGAACTAGAGTGCGGACTCTAAATGCTCTGGACAAGGATGTGCACGCGGTGGGCAAGGCTGACTTGGGCAGAGGCTCCGGGCCCAGGGTGTCGAGGGCTAAAGGCCCAGGGCAGCAGCGTGCCTTGGGGGCTGGAGGAATTCCAAGAAGGTTGCAGTGGAGGACCCCGCAAGGGGACCGCCCTCTGGGGAAAGATGGAGCACGCAGGGCCCAGACACCAGGGTGTGTAGGGCAGGGTGTGGGCACTCACCCGGGGCCCCTGGTTCCTGGGGCAACTGGCCCACCAGCCCTGCCAGGTCAGGGGGTTTCCTGAGTGTGCAAAGCTTCTCTCTCCTTCCTTGCGCATTCTTCCCTTTACACGTGATTTTAGTTATTTACTCAACAAGCATTTATTGCCGGGCGCGATGGCTCATGCATGTAATCCCAGCACTTTGGGAGGCGGAGGCAGGTGGATCACTTGAGGTCAGGAGTTCGAGACCAGCCTGGCTAATGCAGTGAAACCCCGTCTCTATTAAAAATACAAAAATTAGCTGGGTGTGGTAGCACACACCTGTAATCCTGGCTACTCGGGAGGCTGAGGCAGGAAAATCACTTGAACCCGGGAGGCGGAGGTTACAGTGAGGCAAGATTGTACCGTTGCACTCCAGCCTGGGCGACAGAGTGAGACTGTGTCTCAAAAAAAAAAAAAAAAGAAAAGAAAAGAAAAAAAACATTTATTGAGCACCTGCTGTGTGCCAAAGTCACAGCTGAGACTGAGGGCGCACCAGTGATAGGAAGGGACACAGACACAAACCCAACACAGCCTGGCTCCATGCTCTTCAGGGGCAGAGCCGCACAGTGGCTAACACTGGAGTCCAACAGACAAGGATTCAATTCCAGCTCCAGCGGCACAGTGGCTCACACCTGTAATCCCAACACTTTGAGAGGCTGAGGTGGGAGGGTGGCTTGAGGCCAGGAGTTGGAGACCAGTCTGGGCAACATAGCAATACCCCGTCTTTACAAAAATATAGAAATAAATACAAAAGGTGTGCCCAGCTCCTGCAAGGATGGCTGTGCTTGGTGCTGTGATGGGTTGAAGCCAGAGAGATGATAGGGAAACCCAGGGGCCAGGGATCAGGGCTCCAGATTGCTATGAGGACCAGAGACCTGAAATAGCTCTGACCCAGCTGAACTGAGGGACTAGGGCAATGCCCTGCCCCACTCTGACTCAGTTTCCCCACATGACATGCATCAATGACTGTCAAGTCTGCGGTTCTGTCTGACTGCATTTGCTTCCTGGGAATGTTCTAGGTGTTTCCATCACCTTTTCTCCCCAGAAGAAACCCAGGAAATATTCTGTGTGACCTGCAGTGTGGCAGGGCCCTCACTCACCTGCCAATCCAAACAATTTCTGTACCACCTTAGTATCAAGCAAGGGGGCACAGGTACAGTCGAGATTCAACTCGTTTGCAAACCTCACCTGCTCCCCAGAGTGTCCTGGGGGAACCTAAAGTGCAAATATCTTTTTCTTTTTTTTTTTTTTTTTTTGGAGATGGAGTCTTGCTCTGTCACCCAGGCTGCAGTGCAGTGAGGTGATCTCGGCTTACTGCAACCCCTGCTCCCGGGTTCAAGTGATTCTCCTGCCTCAGCCTCCCCTGTAGCTGGGATTACAGGCATGCACCACCACGCCTGGCTAATCTTTGTGTTTTTAGTAGAGGCTGGTCTCGAACTCCTGACCTCAGGTGATTTGCCTGCCTCGGCCTCCCAAAGTGCTGGGATTACAGGCGTGAGCCACTACACCTGGCCTAAAACCGCAAATATCTAGCCAAAATCCATCAGCACAGAATGGAAGGCAGGAGCAAGGGAGACGTCTTCGAAACCCCAGCCAGGGAACAGAGAAAACCACTGGGGACAGGTTGCTCTCAGCAGGTCATGGGAATGTAGTTGTCGAGAAAGGATGCATGATCAGCACGCTGGACCCAGACTCAAAGAGGAGCCTGCCCCCGGAATTGAACCCGGGTGCTTGGGGCAAAGCAGCGAGGGGTGGGTGGTGGCTGCTCGACAGCTGCTTCCCCCACTGATTCCCGCACAACCCTTGGCAGACTGACCCACGTGTGGGAAGGAGTCTTCTGAGGGGGCGTGGGTACTGACTGGCCCCCAAACACACACACAGCCACGAAGGCACTGACGTTATTTTTACTGAACCCAGGTTTGTTTTAAAACTTTATTTTTTTGTAATCAAGCCAGTCTGAACAGGAATTGGCCCTGTTTTCTGAAATCGCTGACCCAGAACGTAAGATGCTGGCTGTGCCCTGCCCGGAAAAGTGGCCTGGCCCTAAGGGGACTGACCCCGGCAGTGGGTAAATGAGGGGTGCATGTAGACAGGCGTGGGGGGCGGGCTATGACGTGATCTCCCCCCACCCCCATAGAGACTTCGGACGGAGAACCGGCTCCTGAAACAGCGGATTGAAACCCTAGAGAAGGTGAGGGGCGTGGCCACTGTGAGGACATGGTCGCCATGGGGTGTGACCCACCATGCGGGGCATGGCCGCTAACCTGGGGTGGACTCCTCCAAGTCTTCTCCTCTCTGGAGGACTAAGCAGCCCTACCTTCCTGCCCCAGGACCCGACCTGAACCCGATTTGGAGTGCCCTGCAACTGGGGGCGACTCGTATGGTGATTAATCCTGGAGTGGGGGCGAGTTACAACCCAGTGGCCTGCAGCCACGGGAATCCATTTGTGTTCTGTGCCCTCCCCGGCTGCACAGACGGGGAGGGGTGAGGAGGAGGGAGAACTGCCACTTTGATGGACGAGCCCCGTAATTGGGCCACAAGCCACCCCACCCTGTAATTTGGAAGTCTTGCCCTCAAAAGAAAGGAAAGGAAACCCAGTGGAGGAGAAGCGTGGCGCCATGGTGGGGAGCCACAGCCCGGACTCTGCTCCCCAACATGCTAAAGATGGGGGTGGAATTGGGGGCTCACTGAGCCCCAGCCCCGGGAGCCCCCAATTCCTGCTCCTCACTCGTCCTCACTTGACCCTCCACTGGCCACAGGAAGTGGGTTGGCAGCCGGATTTGGTTGCCCTCACCCCAAAGCCTTGTTCTGCCTTAAAATTACAACGCACCCCCTCCTCTCCCACTCTCCAGGAGGTCCGCACGAAGCCAAAAGTCCCCCTGCCCCCCACAGTTTTTCCAGCCAGCAGCGGCCCGGCTGACCCTGGAGGGTGGGACAGTGGGTTTCCCAGCCCTGCGGCCTCCCCCACAGCCGCGGGCACCCCCGACCTCCCCGCTCACACCGAACCCCTCTCCAGGACGGAGCTGGCTCTAGCTTTGGTCTTCCTCCGGGTCCTCTCCTGCTGGTTCTCTGGTCTTCCCTCCTCTCTCCCCCGCTTCTAGAGATAGTCCACTGCGTTAGTGACAAGTGGTTCTTGTCTGTCTCCCCTCTCCTGTCCCCGCGCCTTCCGCTCTGCCTCCTCCCCCTGTCGCTGGGAACCCCCTTCGCCGGGTAGGAGAGCGCTGCTCTGGCTGATAGGTTAATCCAGGTACTGTAGCTTTTTATCCCCTCTCCGGATTCCTTCCTGGCCCCTTCCCTGCACCCTGCACATGACAGCCAGTAACCGCCTCTTCCCTGCCATTCTGCGGGCAGGCCTGGCGCCATGCATGGAGCAGCTGGGGACCGCTTCTGGGGGACACAGAGGCTTCCCGGGGGGGCGGGGCATGTGAAGTGGGGAGAAGGGTGTGTGTGGAGGGGCTGTGAGTGCGTTTGGGTGTGAATGTCCACATGCATGTACAGAAAGCTTCCTCCGGGCGACACAGGGTGGGGACCCAGGAGGGCTGGGGAACCTAAAACCATATTCACATAAGGCCCTGGTGTGTGCAGTGCTGCGGTCACACACACACACAACACATGCACACACACACACGCACACACACGCCCGGCCCTCACGCTGCTGCTCTCTGCTCCTACCTGCAATGCCTGCTACCACCTTCTCTAGCTCACCTGCTCCTGCTGCCACCTCATCTTGAATGGCTTTATCTGGAAGCTGCCACCCGCCACCTGGTGGCTTTGAGCCTGGAATGGGGGGCCCAAGTTGGGTAGGGGACAAAGATGAGGTGGGGGAAAAAAGGGGGTCTTAGCTCCAGGCAGGTGGAGGCCCCAGAGCCCAGGACTAGAGAAGATGCCGCTGGGAGAGGTGAATGCCCTGGGGAGCCCAGCCCTCTCCTGCCGGGGCCTCAGCTGTCCCCAGATCCTCACCCTCACCGGCAGAGTCTGGCATGAATAGGCACAGGTGGCCTCGCTGTGCCCCTGGATAAGGATCCCAACTGGGGCAGAGACTGAGAGCCAGAGTGGGGAAGGAGATGGAGCTTTCCAAGCCCAGGGCTAGCTCTGTTCCTCCCGGGCTCCTCCAGGTGTCCTATTCCTGCCTGTCACCCACCCACGTCCCCAGGCCCAGTGGGACGCTCATCCCAGGCTCTGAGTACGGGAGGCCCCCACCTCACTTCCCCCCACCTCCACTCTCTGGGCCTCCCCCTGTGGCGGGAGGCAGGGCCTTGGGTGGGAGCCGAGGGTCACGGCCTCCCCCTGCCCCCTGTCCTCGCTGTTCTCAGGGGCAAGTGACACGGGCGCAGGAGGCGGAGGAGAACTACGTCATCAAGCGGGAGCTGGCGGTGGTGCGGCAGCAGTGCAGCTCGGCGGCCGAGGACCTGCAGAAGGCACAGAGCACCATCCGGCAGCTACAGGAGCAGCAGGTAGGGGCGGGTGTGCGGGGCTGCTGGGCGGGGCCATGACCCGCGCCCCCGCCCCCGCCCAACGGTTTTCTTTCAGGGCTCATAATCTGCCCCGCCTCAGCACCTGGCCCTCCTGTTCCTTTCTGGGGTAAGGGGAACCCAGAGACAAGCGCAGATTCTCCCCCAGCAGCTCCACATTCTGAGACATCCTGATATCCATTTCTTGCCACCTCATAGTGTGTCTGCAGTATCTGACTTCCCAACCCCCAGCCTCAGCACGGAGGCCTCTGAAGACCGGGCTGTCCCTGCAGGGTTTCCTCTGTGTCACAGGCAGCAGACAGGGCTGTGACTCCTTACGGAGGCTCTTGCCTGTCCCCAGGGTCTGAAGGATTGTTAGGTGTCCCTGGGGGGCCAGCCATGGAGAATGGGAGCAGGGCAGTCCGGGACTGTTTGGGGAGCTCTGAGCCAGCAGGGTGGGGCTGAGGGGGCACCTTGAGTGTCTTGAGGGCCATGAACTTTGGGTCCCATGATGGGCAGGCCCATGAGTGGGGCCCCACCCCAAGATTTTCTTCTCCTGAAAGCTTTTAGAACTTAACTGCGACCTGGTGCAGTGGCTCACGCCTTAATCTCAGCACTTTGGGAGGCTGAGGCAGGTGGATCACCTGAGGTTAGGAGTTCGAGACCAGCCTGGCCAACATGATGAAGCCCCATCTCTAATAAAAATACAAAAATAAGCTGGGTATGGTGGTGCGCACCTGTAGTCCCAGCTACTCAGGAGGCTGAGGCAGGAGAATCACTTGAACCCGGGAGGTGGAGGTTGCAGTGAGCCAAGATGGCACCACCGCACTCCAGCCTGGGTGACAGAGCAAGACTCCATCTCAAAAAAAAAAAAAAAAAAAACTTAACTGCAGCTGCACTCAGCAGTTGGCCTTCCTGATCGCAGGGACCCCCAGTGGCTGCAGTCCTAAGCCCTGCAGGCCACAGGGACACATGCCCTGGAGGGGCCGGGAGCGACGCTGTAGGTCCCGCTGCCATCCTGGCCTGACCCAGCAGGGCCTGGCAGTGGGGTGTAGGTTGGAGAAACCATGGAGTGCTTGAGAAAGAAGAGCCATCCAATACAGAGGTGCCCCCTCCGCCCCCAGGCCCAGAGACTGTGGCTCAAGCCTTGGCCCAGGGATTCTAGCGGATCCACTGCTCCTGGGGAGAAGGAGAGCTTCACTGTTTCTCACTTGTCCCCATGAACCACATCCGTATGATGCTGGCGTTGTGGCCCTCAGAGTCTGTGAGCACTCTTGTCCCACCTTGCTCTGAGGCAGCATGGACATTAGGGAAACTGAGGCTGGGCTCATCCCACCCACTGCATGAGGCCGCCTTTCAGGCTCGTTAGAGAGACTCCACCAGCCACCCCTGAGCTCCAACCTTGGGGGGATGCAGAGATCGGGGAGGCCCAAGGCCACCTCCTCAGGCCCAAAGGGAGGCCACTGCAGGCAAGATGAGGTGGCCCAGAGGAGCCACATGGGGCCTGGAGGCCATCTGGGCCGAGGCAGAGCCACCGTCACACGTGGATCTCAGAGACCCACAGGAAGAGGATGGTGGCTGGGAGGGCTGAGGCAGTCCCCCAGAGAACTGTCCTGCCAGGCCACAAGGTCAGTGAGAGGGAGCCCGGCTCCCACCCCAGGGACCAGGTGTCCTTTTTCAGGTCCAGGTGGCAGTGTCCATCACTCCAGGGGCCCCCACTGGGGAACTTCTGAGAAGCCAGGGCATGGAGCAAGAGGGTGATACCCACAAACTCTTTCCTCATCCTTCCCTGATTTGAAATGGAGGGTGGGATGCAGAGGAGAGAGGTGGAAAGACAGGTGCACAGCCCCAGGCCTCTCCCCCACCCCCTGCCTCGCCCACCATGTGGCTGGAACGGTGACCACCCAGCAAGAACCCATCTCCCACCCTCACCAGTGATCCCGGAAAACCAGTCACTGGGGTCCCGCGGGGCATCCGAAGGCCAAGGCAAGTCACCTTTCAGAATGTCCCCTCTGTGCAGCCTTTCCAGGAAGGAAGCTGGACCGGGCCAGCTGCATGGATGCCAGGACCTCTAGGCCCTGAGCATCAGGGGGTCCAGCCCAGGACACCCCAAGCCTGGGCCCCTCTCCCTGCTGAAGGGCTCTGGGGAGGCGGGGAGAAGCCAGCAGGCATGGAGGCTGCCCATCCCCCAGCCATGGCCTGGGGCCCCACGCAGCTCTCTGCCTCCCCCAGGAGAACCCCCGCCTCACAGAAGACTTCGTGTCCCACCTGGAGACCGAGCTGGAGCAGTCGAGGCTGCGGGAGACGGAGACACTGGGGGCCCTTCGGGAGATGCAGGACAAGGTTCTCGACATGGAAAAGGTGCAATGGGGAGGCAGACGGGCAGGTGTCGGGGGGACCCTGGGGCACAGGAGGGGTCCTGGATAAGCTTTGGGAGTGACCCCAGGTCAGAATCCCCCACCCCCATGCACACACAACCATACATATGCACACACACAGCACAACCCCACGCGGGGCATGCCCACGCTCCTGTATGAGGCAAACTCCAGCAGCGTGGCAGCTTCTATGAGCTTCCCGGATACCTGCATCCCACCTGTGTGTGTTTCCCCCAGTACTGGGTTCCAGGAAGGAAGGGAGGAGAGAGGGGGATGGGGGAGGGGGACAGGAAGGAGAGAAAGGAAGGCCCAGGCCCATTGTGGCTGCCTCCCTACACATTCCCATGCAGACACCATCCCAGGGCTTCTGGGTTCCTCCCCAACTGCTCTCTGACTTGGCATCGACTCCACTCTCCCACGGAGCTCCCAGAGGAAGGAAAGCACCCAGGGACCCATTCACACATTCAGCAGGAGCCATTCCCCACCCCCTCGAGCCTGCACTATTTTGGGAGTCCTCCCAAATGGAGGACTGAGAGGCCATCTGCTTCCAGGCCCTCATCACCAGCCAAGAGCTGGGCTCCGCTCCCGCCTCCCTCCACTTCATAGGGAAGTGTGCCTCCAGGACATGCTGCTAGATCTGTCCCAGCCCTAGACCCAAACACGGGTCAGTGCGGACCTCATCCAGAAAGCTGGATTTGGGTCCTGGAGCACAAATCCTCCATCAATGAGCCCTGGGACACCAGGACAGGGCCAAGGCTGGCACTCAGCCTGTTCCCAGGGAGAGGGACTGCCTGGCCTGGTGTGGCCTGGCCTGGGGGCCAGAGGGCAGACAGGGTGTTTCTGCTGGGGCAGGTCCTCCACCTGATCATGTCCCTGAGGGGATGGATCTCAGACCTCGGGGAGTCAGTGTGTGCAGCGCGGCGTTTATGGGGGTTGCCCTAGGACACCCTGTGAGAGTAGGTGCTGTTACTACACCCATTTTATAGCTGAGGAACTCCAACCGGGTTCCACAGGCGAGTCCGCTCCCCGTGGGCCTTGTCAAGGGGGTCGCCCTCCCCCATCTGAGCCGCCCAAGGCAGAGCTCAGGAGGAAACGTGGCTGGGGGCGTTTGTCCTGCAGGAAGGGCCATGCGGCTGCGCTGCTCCCCCAGGCCCTGACCCCACTCTTCCCGCAGAGGAACAGCTCGCTGCCCGACGAGAACAATGTGGCGCAGCTGCAGGAGGAGCTGAAGGCGCTCAAGGTGCGGGAAGGCCAGGCGGTGGCCTCGACGCGAGAGCTTAAACTGCAGCTGCAGGAGCTCTCGGACACCTGGCAGGTGAGGGCCGGGTGGGCGCCGGCGGGCAGAGCGCCCCCTAGGGCCATCCCCTCGGGGTTCTTGGGCGGAGGCTGACCGCCGGCTTCTCGGCTTCACCCCCCAGGCCCATCTGGCCCGCGGCGGCCGCTGGAAGGAGTCCCCACGGAAGCTGGTCGTGGGCGAGCTGCAGGACGAGCTGATGAGCGTGCGTCTGCGCGAGGCCCAGGCCCTGGCCGAGGGCCGCGAGCTGCGGCAGCGCGTGGTGGAACTTGAGACGCAGGTGGACTCGGGGGGCCTGCTCGTTGGGGAAGGGGCGTGGTGTCCGTGGCCAGCCCCTGAGTTAGGCCCTGACCGCCGCCGTCCTCCGTCCTCCCTTCCTCCCTATCCCAGGACCACATCCACCGCAACCTTCTGAACCGCGTGGAGGCGGAGCGCGCGGCGCTGCAGGAGAAGCTGCAGTACCTGGCTGCACAGAACAAGGGGCTGCAGACGCAGCTCAGCGAAAGCCGCCGCAAGCAGGCCGAGGCCGAGTGCAAGGTGCAGACCCCCGCGGCCCCGCCCTGCCCGTGGCACCGCCCCCGGACGCGCCCCTACATGAGGCCCCGCCCCCAATCCGCCTCTGCCGGCGTCCTGCCTCCCGATCTGCCCCTGCCCGCGGTCCTCCCGCCCCCGCCCGCGGCCCCGCCTCCTGACCTGCTCCTGCCCGCGACCCCGCCTCCTGATCCGGCCCCGCCTCCTGACCACCCCCCCCCGCGGTCCCGCCTCCTGATCCGCCCCCGCCCGCGGCCACGCCTCCTGACCCGCCCCCGCCCGCACCTCCCTTGCCCGCGGTCCCGCCCCTGCCCGCGGTCCTGCCTCCTGACCCGCCTCCGCCCGCGGCCCCGCCTCCTCATTCGCCCCTGCCCGCGGTCCCGCCCCCTGATGCGCCGCGCCCCCTGACCCGCCCTCCTTTCCCCCCAATCCCCCGACCCCAGAGCAAGGAGGAGGTGATGGCTGTGCGACTGCGGGAGGCGGACAGCATGGCTGCGGTGGCCGAGATGCGGCAGCGCATTGCCGAGCTGGAGATCCAGGTGATCGGCGGGGCCGGGGTCGGGGGGCGGGGGCGGGGGCAGGGCCCGGGGCAGGAGCGGGGCCGGACCCCAGGCCCAGCATGGCACTGGCCCCGCGTGACCTGGCGCACCCCGCAGAGGGAGGAAGGCCGCATCCAGGGCCAGCTGAACCACTCGGACTCATCGCAGTACATCCGCGAGCTCAAGGACCAGATCGAGGAGCTGAAGGCCGAGGTGAGCCGGCGCGGGGATGCCGGGGACAGGCCTGGGTGTCGTCGGCCTGGGACGAGCCGAGCGCAGGTGCCTTGCGGAGGATGCGGCTGGGAGGGCGGGGCAGAAGGCCGGTCCACGCCTGCAGCGCCGGTCCCCCGCCCCAGGTGCGGCTGCTGAAGGGCCCGCCGCCCTTCGAGGACCCGCTGGCTTTCGATGGGCTGAGCCTGGCGCGGCACTTGGACGAGGACTCGCTGCCGTCGTCGGACGAGGAGCTACTTGGCGTAGGCGTGGGCGCTGCCCTGCAGGACGCATTGTACCCTCTGTCCCCGCGCGATGCGCGCTTCTTCCGCCGTCTGGAGCGGCCGGCCAAGGACAGCGAGGGCAGCTCAGACAGCGACGCCGATGAGCTGGCCGCGCCCTACAGCCAGGGTCTGGACAACTGAGGCCATGCCCAGCGCGCCCGGAGTCAGGAGGCCGCAGCCGCGGGGGGCGCCCGGGCAGTCCGCGTTCTGCTCCCCACCTGCCGCACTTGACAAACTACGCGCCCTCTGTGGCTCGGCCACCCCTAAAGCGAGGCCCGGCGAGGCAGCGCAGAGGGTAGGGTCCGACCTGGGCTCCTCAGGGCCCCGGGGCAGGCTCTCTATCCCCAGCAGTGTTTACCCATCTTGGTCTGTACCCCTCCGGGCCCTCTGGCGTTCCAGGGGTGCCTGGAGGGGCTGACTGCTCTCTTAACAGGAGGGCAGAGGGCAGGGGACAGACGACCCAGAGGTCCCAGCACTGAATGAGCAGGCAGCTCCCACCTCCTGGCAGGCTTCCTTCTGGGACAGGGGCGACATTGCTGGGAAGTGCTCAGGAGGTAGCCGAGGCCTGAGGAAGGAGAGCGCCAGCTCTGGGCTGGACATCAGCACCCCACAACACTCCTCGGGATGAAGTGACCCTTGACTAGCCCCTGGCCATCTCTAGGGGAGTCAGGCCGCTGGGGACAGATGGCCAGGCCGGCCTCTCCTGCCTGGCGCAGGCACCGTGGCCCCTGCAGCGGAAACCAAAGTCCCCCTACTATGTGCGGGGCGCCTGGGGACTGAGTGGCTAACGGGAAGCCTCCCTGCTTCTCTGGGGCCAGAGCAGCTTCCAGGAAGTGAAGAGACCCCTCTCCCCAGTGCCCCACATCTTTCTCTGGGAGACACTCGCGCCCCCTATCCTGGCCAGTGATGGAGGGGTATCTCTACAGGGGTCCTCGGTCTCCATCTACTTCCCTTTCTTCATGTGTTTCCAGCCCCACCCTCAGCCAGAGCCAGGCCCCCAGGCAGGAGCTTCCCAGCGAGCGGCCTCCCCTCACTTCCTCCTGGTGGTCCCGTTGTCTCTGCTGAATCAGAGCTGAGAACGGTGCCAAAATCCAACGATGCCCCCCAGGCCCCTTCCTCCCTTCCCCCGGCCCCCCGGGCCTCATGACCCTGGGGGCTGCCCCCCTCGGTGCTCCCGGAGCCTCCAGTAGAGTAGCGTCACAAGCAATCTCCCTGGCGCTTCCTGGGTGGGGACCCCTGCTCCGTCCCCGCTTCCTAGCTGCCCACTTTTCAGTGTTACGAAGCCTGGGGACCGGGGCAGGCACCCACGGGGCTCTCCACACGCCCCCTACACTGCCCGCCACCATTTTGCACACTGCCTGTTCACATGTCGCCCAGGCGGGAAAAATGGAAAATAAAGTGTATTTACACAGTCACGGACTGGCCTGCGGGCTGGGAGGAGAATCACAAGCAGCGGTGGGTGCCCAGCCCAGGGACCAAAAACCGTGCTGAGGGAAGGTGGGGCTGTCCTTGCCCTTAGGAGCTCCCCACAGTCTCATAGAATGGGGGTGGGAGAGGATAGAAGGGCATTCAGTTTGGGGGCAGGGCATGATTTCCCACCTGGGTGAATCAACTTGGGCCTCCCCTGAAGGAGAGAGGCATGCCGAATCGCTGGGCTTCAGGAAGCACAGGACCCGGTTGCATTCATTCTGCTCACGCCTCCAGGGGTAATGTGGGGTACTCTGCCCTGTGCCTGGCTCTGAGGGGGTCTCCAGTGGAGCAGAGGAGACAGGCACTGGGCAGGGGGAAGCCTGCACTAATGTGGTAGGTGCTCAATAGACAAATGTGCAGGGAGATCAGGGAAGGCTTCCTGGGGGAGGTGGTGTCAGGGCCTCTTCGAGGGGTAAAAGCATAAAGATCAGACCAACAGGAGGCATACCATACCTAGGAAGGAAGAACAGGAAAGCCTGGGCGTGGTCAGACTAAGAAGGGACTGCTTACGTCAGGTGAGGGAGTTTGGGCTTTGAACTGGGGGCCATTGGGAGCCCATGGAGGGCTTAGGTAAGAGAGCCCCATCAGATGGACCACAGAGTCTGTGAGGGGGCCAGTGCAGGGAGGACAGTGAGTAGGGGGCAGAAATAGTCCTTTGTGGGGTTCCCCACAGAGCTGAGGCAGAGTCCCAGCTGCTGGGTGGCGGTGGGTGGCGGGGTGGAGGACAGAGCCAGGAGTGGCAAAGCAAAGCTTCCTAGAGGAACTCAAGGCAGTCGACTCACTGAAACGTCCATCTCCTGGGTTCCAGTGATTCCCCTGCCTCAGCCTCGAGAGTAGCTGAAACTGTAGGCACCTACGACCGTGCCTGGCTAATTTGTTTCGTTTTGTTTTTTGAGAGGGAGTCTCACTCTGTCACCCAGGCTGGAGTGCAGTGGCACGATCTCGGCTAACTGCAACCTCTGCCTGCTGGTTTCAAGTGATTCTCCTGCCTCAGCCTCCTGAGTAGCTGGGACTACCGGCGCCTGCCACCACATCTGGCTAATTTTTTTTTTTTTAGACGGAGTTTCACTCTTGTTGCCCAGGCTGGAGTGCGATGGTGCGATTTTGGCTCACTGCAACCTCTGCCTCCCAGGTTCAAGCAATTCTCCTGCTTCACCCTCCCAAGTAGCTGGGATTACAGACATGTGCCACCACACCTGGCTAATTTTGTATTATTTTTAGTAAAGATGGGGTTTCACCATGTTGGCCAGGATAGTTTTGAACCCCTGACCTCAGGTGATCCACCCGCCTCCCAAAGTGCTGGGATTACAGGCATGAGCCACTGTGCCCGGCCCAATTTTTGTATTTTTTTTTTTAAGTAGAGACTGGGTTTCACCATATTGGCCAGGCTGGTCTCAAACTCCTGACCTCAGGTGATCTGCCCTCCTCGGCCTCCCAAAGTGCTGGGATTACAGGCGGGAGACACGGTGCGCAGCCCCTAGAGGCAGAAACATAATTGGGTTCAGGCAGATGCTAGCCAGGACCTGCCCTCTGCACCCAGTGTGGGTCCACAAAGTGCTCCCTACCCCCATGCCTCACAGCCAAGCAAAGGACATGACACTGCTTGTGTACTGAGACAGCCAAGTCCCATGTACTGTCGTATCACATGCCACAGCTCTCCTGGCCACACATGGTGCAGATGTAACCCTGGGGACCCTCACAGTCACTGTCCGTGCCTCCTGCTTCCATGGTAATTCCACCCCCGCTGGCTGCCCAGGTCAGGGCAGGACCGCAGAGGAATTGTCTGAGGTTCTGCCCTGTCCTTCCCGGCAGCTGGCCTTGAGCCCCAGCTCCCCAGCATGTCAGGAGTCGGCCTTGGGCTTGTCCCAGAGTCTGGAAACAAAGACACCCAGGTCCCCAACCCCACCAGGGCCCAGCTTGAGAGGACACCTCTATGGTTTGCCACAAAACTCTGACCGAAGGACTGTGCTGGCGTCCTCCTCCTCCACCTCCCAGGGGTGCAGGTGGCAGTGCCCCTCCAGGCCAGAGCCCATTTCTCCTCAGACCCCAGGCTAGGAGGTGCCTTGTCTGGGATGGGGACAGGCAGGACTTGCTGGTCTGTGACTGACAGGAACCTGGTCACAGGATGGTGTGAGGGTACTGGGTCCAGGGGCAGAGGCAGGGCTGAGGGCCCAAGGCCAGATCCTACTCTGTCTTCTTACCCACTTGGGGATGTCACCATCATTCTTGGTGCCATGCAGGAGACCCGGGGGAGGAAAGGCCTAGCAGGGGAGCTCTCTGCAGGGGCACTGGGAACAGGGAGAGACTGGCTAGGGTTTGAGAGGCTCCAGAGCTGGGGGTTAGGGTTAGGGTTCATTGGGGGAGGAAGGGCAGGAAACTCTGATTGGAGGGGGCCTGTGAAGATGTTTGGGAATCTGATAAGGACGCCTGAGGAAGGGGTTAGGGCAAGGATGCCATGGGGGTGGGATGCACCAAGTGGCACTTGTGTAAGGACACTTGGAGACAGGGTGCAGTGTGAGGACTCCCCCATCTCCCACCTAGACCTGGGAGAGGCCACTTCTTCCTGCAATCCCCTACCAGGGCAGTTGGCCCGGGACCCTGCACCAGCCGAAGGGCCATGGGAAGGGGTCCCCCATCCTTGCCTCAGTGCCCTCCAATCTTCCCACCTGTTCCCCAGGAGTGCTAGTTCCCCGCATCGAGTTTGAAAAGTGTGTCAGGCCAGGCGCGGTGGCTCACGCCTGTAATCCCAGGACTTTGGGAGGCTGAGGGCAGATCACCTGAGGTCAGGAGTTCAAGACTAGCCTAGCCAACATGGTGAAACCGTGTCTCTACTAAAAATACAAAAATTAGCCGGGTGTGGTGGCGCGCACCTGTAATCCCAGCTACTCGAAAGACTGAGGCAGGAGAATTGCTTGAACCCGGGAGGCAGAGGTTGCAGTGAGCCGAGATAGCACTATTGCACTCCAGCCTGTGCAAAGAGAGCAAAATTCTGTCTCAAAATAATAAAAAAACAGGCCAGGCGCGGTGGCTTATGCCTGTAATCCCAGCGCTTTGGGAGGCCAAGGGGGTTAGATTACGAGGTCAAGAGATCCAGACCACCCTGGCCAACATGGTGAAACCCTGTCTCTACTAAAAATACAAAAATTAGTTGGGCGTGGTGGCATGTGCCTGTAGTCCCAACTACTTGGGAGGCTGAGGCAGGAGAATCGCTTGAACCCGGGAGGTGAAGGTTGCAGTGAGCCGAGATCGCGCCATTGCACTCCAGCCTGGCGACAAAGGGAGACTCCGTCAAAAAAAAAAAAAAAAAAAAAAAAAGAATTAGAATAGAATAGAAAAGGGTTCCAGTCGCTCCTTCACCTCGGCCACGCACTGACTCATCCACTCGGGCGCACAGCCCCTGCCAGGCCCCTCCTGCACCGAACGTTTCCACCAGAAGTCGGATACCAAGAAGCCCAAGTTCACACACGTGGATGGGTGCGCGGCACCAGATGGCCGGGACTCGGCATGGCCCCGCCCTAGCCCCACCTGGCCTGCCCCTTCTCTCCCAGAAGAGGAAAACCGCACTTTATCCAGAGCTCCAACCGGTTCGAGCACAGCCGCCAGCAAGGCCTTATCTGGCCTGGCCCCCCGCGCCGCTCAGCCTGCTGGAGGCCCCCAGCCCCAGTCCTCTCTGTGACAGCGAAGGTGTGCAAGTCCCAGTGTCCCAGTTTTATTGCAAACTCAGGCTGTGCGGGGTGGGCAATACACTGCACACGGGGCGGGACTCGGGGAAACGGGGCGTGTCCTAGGCCAAAGGGGCGGAGCTCGAGGGGCGGGCCTAGGTCAAAGCTGTGGGTAGGTCCCGAGCCTCCGAGGCCAAAGGCTCAGGCTCTAGGGAGCTAAGACTAATCCACCCAGCGGGGCTCCAGGGCAGTGGAGGCGGGGTCTAAAACAAACGGCGTACCCGGAGGGGCGGATCCTAAGGCAGGGGTGGGGTGTAGCAGGCGGGGCTGTGGTCTGGCTCAGTGGAAGGTCTCCACCTCCACCACGGTCCAGTCACCCTGCGGGGAGGCCACGTCGTCCGGAGAGAAGCTGGTGACCGAGGTGATGCTGGCACGGGACTCGTCCAGGGGAGACAGTAGTTCGGCCCAGCGGCCGAGTTCGGCGTCGCTGAGTGCAGCCCGGGCGCCCCCTGTGACGCCACCACCCTCCGCACCTCCTGGGCCCCCGCCGCTGCCGCCCGCGGCACCCTCGGCAGCCGCCAGCAGCAGCGTCCGGCTCAGCAGGTGCTGCACGACGCTCGCCTGCAGCGCCCCCAGTGGCAGCTCGCCCAGGCGCGCCTGCTTCGGGCTCCGCGAGGACGCCCCGGCCCCGGCCCCAGCCGCCGCCTTCCCACCGCTCGTGCCGGGACTGGGCCCCGGATCCAGTGCGCCAGGGGCGGGGGTCGCCGACTCGGGCCCTTCAGTCTCGTAGATGGTGCACAGACCGTCAGCAGAGCCCGGTCCGGTAGCGGGAGGCCACGGCAGGGGCGCACCTGCGGGGAGAGACGCCAGGTGGGCCGTGGGGGTGATAAGCCCCGCCCCTGCCTCAAGGTCCCGCCTCCTTGTCTAAGCTCCGCCCCGGACCCAGCTGTCCCGCCCCTGAGCTGCGAAGCCTCGCCTCCGACCCCGCCCACAGCCAGGCCGGGTCTGGGGTGCCCCTTACCTGGGGCTCCGCGGAAAGCCAGCGGCGGAGCGGGGCCTCGACTCCAGGCAGCCGGGTGGCAAGCGGCGAGCTCTGCGTCGGGGGGCGGGGAGGCTGCGGCACCGCCCTCGGGCCCGCTGTCGTAGCCACGCAGCTCCTCTGGCGTGCTCGTGGCGCTGCTGCTGTGGCCGGCCAGGTCTGGGCCGCTCAGCGTGCTGGACGGGCTGCGCGAGGGCGGCGGCGGCGGGCCGGGGGCCAACGCCAGGGTCAGCCGTGGGCCCGAGACGGAGGTATCCGGACCCGGGGTCGGGGGGCGGCGTGGGGCCTGCAGGGTGGGTGAGGCAGGGGGAGAGGGAGGGACCTGCAGAAGGGGCGCTGCCAGAACAGGTGGGGCCTGTGGAGGAGGCGTGGCCAAAGGAGACATTGGGAGTGAGGCAGAGGGTGAGAAAGGGGCCTGCCCAGGGAATGAGGCAGGCGGAGAGGGAAGGGCCTGCAGAGGAGGTGTGGCCAGAGCAGGTGGGGCCTGTGGAGGGGGCTTAGCCAAAGGAGACATTGGGAGTGAGGCAGGGGGAGAGGGCGGGACCTGCAGAGGAGGAGCGGCAAGAAGGGGTGGGACCCGTGGAGGGGGCGTGGCCGAAGGAGACATTGGGGGAGAGGCAGGGGGAGAGGGTGGGACCTGCAGAGGAGGCGCAGCGAGAGGGGGTGGGGCCTGTGGAGGGGGCGTGGCTGAAGGAGACATTGGGGGAGAGGCAGGGGGAGAGGGTGGGACCTGCAGAGGAGGTGCGGCTAGAGAGGGTGGGGCCTGTGAAGGGGGCGTGGCCGAAGGAGACACTGGGGGTGAGGCAGGGGGAGAGAAAGGGGCCTGCACTGGGGGTGAGGGAGGGGGAGAGAAAGGGGCCTGCAGAAGGTGCACTGCCAGAGCATTTGGGGCCTGTGGAGAGGGTGTGGCCAAAGGAGACAGAGGGGGTGAGGCAGGGGGAGAGGGAGGGGCCTGCAGAGGAGGCAAGGCCAGGGCAGGTGGGGCCTGTGGAGGGGGCGTGGCCAAAGGAGACAGAGGGGGAGAGGGCAGGCCCTGCAAAGGGGGTGAGGCCAGAGCAGGTGGGGCCTGTGGAGGAGGCGTGGCTATGGAAGAGGGCGTCTCCGGAGGGGGCGTGGTCAATGGCGAAGGTGGTGCTTGCAGAGGGCATGGGGCTGGACAAGGTGGAGTCTCCAGATGGGGTGTGGTCAGGGGAGCAGAAGCTGTCTGCAGAGGAGGCGGGGCTAGAGAAGGTAGGTTCTCCAGAGGGGGTGTGGTCAGGGGAGCAGAAGCTGTCTGCAGAGGAGGCGGGGCTAGAGAAGGTAGGTTCTCCAGAGGGGGTGTGGTCAGGGAAGCAGGAGGTGTCTGCAGAGAGGGTGGGGCTAGGGAAGATTGGGTCTCCAGAGGGGGCATGATCAGGGAAGAGAGAGGTGCCTGAGGAGAGTGGGAGGCCAGAGAAGATAGCGCCTGCAGAGGGTGTATGGTCAGGGGTGAGCTTAGGGGTGAGACAGCAGGAGAGAGAGAAGTCTGCAGAGGGGGTGAGGCAGGAAGGGAAAGAGGGGCCTGCAGAGGGGGTGAATCAGGGGGAGTAGAGGCCGGCCGAGAAGGTGAGATCAAAGAAGCTTGGGTTTGCCTAGGGGACATTGTCAGGAAAGAATGTGTGGCCTGCAGAGTGGGTGAGCCCAAAGAAGTTGTGGCCTGCAGAGAGGACAAAGCCAGAGGAGAGGGAGGTGCCTGCAGAGACGGTGAGGTCAGAGAATGTGGGACCTGTATTGGGGGAATGGTCTGGAGAGAGGGCGGGGCCTGCATAGGGGGCGTAGTCATAGAAGGTGGGGCCTGTGGGTGGGGCGGAGCCTGCAGAGGCGGTGAGGCCAAAAGAGAGGGAGAAACTAGAGGAGGATCCTGCAGAGAGACTGTGGTCAAAGGAGAGGGAGAGGCCTGCAGAGGCAATGTGGCCAGAAGAGGAGAGTCCTGCAGAGGAAGAGTGGCCAGAGTGTGGGGCGTGGCCTGGAGAGAGGGCGGAGACGGGGAAGGACTGGCCTGCGGAGGGGGCGTGGTCAGAGCAGAAAGGCCTGGCTGAGGGAGTGCGGCCAGGGGAAAAGCCGAATTCCCCAGAGATGTTGCCGGAGAAACAGGGCCTTGTAGAGGAGACATGGCTGACAGAGGAGGTGTGGCCAAGGGAGAGAGGAGAGTCGGAAGAGAGGGCAACGCTGGATTAGCTTGGGTGGGGGGCATACTCTGCAGAGGGGATGAAACTGATGGAGAGACTGAAGCCACAAAAGCGGCTGTGGCCAGGGAAGAGACGCCTGCTTCTGGAAAGGACATAATCAGCTGTGTGGGTGGAACTTGCGAGGGGGGCGTGGCTGGTGGAGAGGGGAGGGTCTGCAGAGAAGGTGGAGCAGAGGGAGAAGGAGGGGCTAGAGGAAGGGGCGTGGCCAACTGACAGGTAAGGCTCGACGAGTGGGGCGTGGCCGGCAGGGTGGGCGGGGCCTGACTTTGGAGAGCGGCTGGCGGAGGGGGCGTTACCGGTGGAGAGGGAGGGAGCGTGGCTGGCAGGGGAGTGGCTGCATTGTCGGGAGGCGGTACGGGTCTTGCCTTGGTACCCGATGGAGAGGGTGTGGCCAAAGGAGAGGAAGAAAGCGGTCCTAGTGCTGGGGCTGCGTCCTTCCTTGGGGGTGTGACCTGAGGGGGTCGCAGAGCCTGCAGTCCTTTCGGCTTGGGCTGCGAGGGATGCGCAGGAGCCCTGGGTGTTCCGCGGGCTGAGGGCCCAGAACGGGCTGGGGAGGAGAGAGGGGTGGCGCTGGAGCTCAGGGAGCGCGAGGCCGGCCTCTGGAGACCCCCACCGGCGCTGGGCCGCCTCCTGGCAGCCGGGCTTGGCTCGGTGGTACTGTGCTCCGAGGCGCTGCTCACTGATTTCCGGGGGCCCTCTGTCGGGGGCCGTGGCCGGGCACTCGGAGCTGGCCGGGGGAGCCCCACCTCGGTGCCCGCAGCCCGGGACCGACGGGCCATGGCCGGGGACGGGGTTCCTGGGGTAGGCCCGGAAGTGTCTGGAGAAAAAGTAGAAGGCCAAGGGTCACCGATACCTCTGAGGCGGCTCCCCTTGCTGCCCAGGAACCCCACTCTTCTCCAGGTCACGTACCTCTCCGTGCCCCAGCGCTGAGGGCACTCCTTTTGGGAGCCTCTGTAGCTTTTCCTCTGGCCACAGTTTCCTCCGCTGAGATCCGGAGTCCCTTCTGGCCAAGAGGGCCTGGCCTGGAGACAGAAGGGGCCACGCTCAGGCCTAGGTCTTTGTTTGGCTTCCCAAGTCTCTATTTTCCCATCTGTGAAATGGGCATGTGCCCTCTCTGAGGACCAATAATGGCTTTCACCCAATTTGTGCCCAGTGACCTGCAAGTGCTCCCGCGCCCCAACTCGTGTAAAATAAAAGGTTCCAGACTCTGTGACGCTAACCCTGGCTTAGGAGACTGGGGGAGAGGGAGCAGGTTACCTGGTGGTCCCGCTGGCACGCCCTGGGCTAGAAACAGGGCCTGGGCTGGTGTTCTTGGCAGGAGGAGCTCTCTCCCCTCTCCCAGAGGCTGGGGGCCTGGAGGCTGCGGGGAGAAGGCCGAGTCACAGGTGCCCCGGAGAGGTGGCAGTGGAGGTGAGACTGGACAGGTATTGGAAGGGGGAGGGAAGATGGGGGCGGAGCTGAGGAAGGAGGCTGGGGTACCAGGGTTTCGGGAACTTGTCCCAGCACTCCGCGTTGGTCCCGCTCGGGGAGCAGACTCGGGAATAGTGGCCCCGCCGATGCCCCCCGCTCGCTCTGCCAGAGGCTTTCGCCCCACTGCTCCCGCAGCTCCCAGAACTCGGAGGGCTGCGGGAGTTACTGGGGGAGGGGGTCGAGGAGAGCCTGGGGGCCTGGGGGTCAGAAGTCCAGGAGCGCGAGCAGCCGGCGTCCGCGCGGCGGCCCCTGCCTTCGCCTTGTCTCTCTTGTTGTCCATCTTGCACCTGAAGAGACAAACCGGTCCGCATCCCAGGTTCTGGACAGCTACGCCGCCTCCAGAGACCTGGACCCTGCTACCTCACTGCCCTTTCGCAGCATCGCCACCCATGGACACTCAAACCTCGGCCTCGGCTTCCATCCGCTCGGCTCCCACGCACCTACACCCACTCGCCAGCCCCACTGCTCCTCGCTGTCCCCAAGTCCCACCCCCCACCGCTTTTCCCTAAAGCGAAGAGGCCCTGCCCGCCCCAGCCCACCGCCTCCCCCGCCTCGGCTCCAATTCAGGACCGATCTCCACGCCCCTGCCCCTTGCCCCTTCAGGGACTCAGACCGCCAGCCTCGAGAGCGGGGGACTGCCACGGGCTCAGGATGTCGCATCCCTCCAGACCCGGAGCGCACGCCCGGGTCTCCCCGCCAGCCCCCATCGGCCTCCCCTGGCCTCCCCGAGGGATGCCTGCACCTGCCGGGAGGCAGAGCGGCCCCGCTGCCCGCGAACGGGCTCCGGGAGACAAAGAGCCGCGTCCCGGGCCCGACCCCTCCCCCAGCCGGGCCTGGCCCGCGCCCAGCCTCTCCACCTGCTCGCGTCGCGCTCACCTCCGCCTCCGGCCTCCGGCCGCTCCTCACAGAGTCGCCTGGGGTGGGGCCCGGGCCGGAGCGACGCGGTGGCCGCCAGCGGCGAGGAGGCGAGGGGAGGGGGCTGCGGGCTGCGGCGCCGGGGGAGCCGAGCCGGTCCCGCCCCTCGGCCGCGGGCGGGAGAGCCGGGGGCGCGCGCTCGATCCGGACCCGGGAGCGCGGCCGGCGGAAGCGCGCCGAGGGGGATGGGGGAGAAGCGCGCTTTGGAGAGAAGGGTGGCTTCTCTGCGGTCCGGGGGAAGCCTGTTTCCCCAGCTGCGCCTGAGGAACCCAGATAGTCAACGGTTGGGACTGGGGGAGCAAATCCCTGGGGTCCTCCACTGTCCTTCCCAACACATACACCTGCCCCGACCCCCACCACAACCACCTGGCACCAAGGACCGCCTGGACGCGGATAGGCTGGGCCCTGGCAACCAGGAGGCGGGACCACCGCGCCTCTGGCCCACACACCAATCCGGCCGCTCGGTGGCCCTGGCACTATCCAGTCCTTCGCGTCTGCGAAAGCTAGGCCGCCCAGGGTCTCTGGGGGGCAGCCGCCCTCCGCCCCACACCCGAAGGTGTTCCCCAGACGCCAGGAAACCCCTTATCTGGTTGGGGGGTCGAGGGACTGCTAAGAGAATGCTGCCCTGGGAATTTCAGGATGCAAGGTAGACCCCAGATTTTGGGGAAGATAAAGAAAGGAATAGGAGGGAGAGCGACAGGAGACACAGTATATTCTGTGAGAGGTGACCCAGCCGTCTGCAGGGTAGAGCACGCCCACCCTCCACACCCTCCCAGCTAACGGGATGTCAAGTCAGCCCAGACTTCCTGGCAGAGCTGGGCTTCCGGGGGACAAGGTTCTGTCGACCTAGCAGGTGTCAAAACAAGTGCATAAGGCCGGGCGCGGTGGCTCACACCTGTAATCCCACTGCTTTGGGAGGCTGAGGCGGGCGGATCACTTGAGCTCAGGAGTTCGAGACCAGTCTGGCCAACATGGCGAAACCCTGTCTCTACCAAAAAATACAAAAATTAGCCGGGCATGCTGGCGAGCACCTGTAATCCCAGCTACTCGAGAGGCTGAGGCAGGAGAATCGCTTGAACCCGGGAGGCGGAGGTTACAGTGAGCCGAGATTGCGCCACTGCACTTCAGCCTGGGCGACAGAGTGAGACTCTGTCTCAAAAACAAAAACAAACAAAAAAACAAAAACACAAGTTCATGAAGGACGCAGAAGATCCTTTACAAGGGTCCCAGCCCAGCCGGAGCGAGTGGGAGGTGTCCTGTTGCTGACTTCAGCCAGGGCAGGGGCCTCGGTGGAGAGCGGTGCTCCAGGACTGTGGCATGAAGAGGGTGGGAGCCTGAGGGTGGAAATGGCCATTCCTCAGCTCCCTCTCCTTATAAGAAGAGTCTGGGCCGGGCATGGTGGCTCAGGCCTGTAATCCCAGTACTTTGGGAGGCCGAGGTGGGCGGATCACAAAGTCAGGAGATCGAGACCATCCTGGCTAACACGGTGAAACCTTGTCTCTACTAAAAATACAAAAAATTAAACGGGCGTGGTGGTGGGCGCCTGTAGTCCCAGCTACTCGGGAGGCTGAGTATGGCCTGAGTATGGCTGAGAATGGCGTGAACCCAGGAGGCAGAGCTTGCAGTGAGCCGAAATCGTGCCACTGTATTCCAGCCTGGGCGACAGTGCAAGACTCTGTCACACATGCACAAAAAAAGAGTCTGGCCTTGTCACCTCTGTCGGCCAAGTCCCCTCCTCATATGGCCTCCATGAGCTTTCCGCCTGGATGTCGCATCCCTCCAGACTTACAGCCACTTTTTACCCCATTCCAGGAAACCAGCGCCCTGTGCCCCACTGCTAACCCCATCGCAAGCTCATATGCACAGTTCACTCCCTCCTGGAAATCAGGGGGCCTCCATGCACAGGAAACAGATAATGCAACTTGGCATCGGGTGAACTGGGGTTGGGGGGTAGGGACGTTGCGCCCATTTGAGGTTGCAGAAATGGAAGGCAGAGAAAAATGACAGAGCTGAATGCCATGCTTTGACCTCCAGATTGGATCATCCTAGGCCTTATCTTCTCCCTCAGTCTAGCAATGATCACCCGTGTGAACCCCTTGTGGCATGACACCAGCCTGGTTCCCTGTCTACCCACCCACACCCAGTGCCTCCTTCCAAATCACATCCACCAACACAGATCCCTGCCCTCCTATTTATTTATTTTTGAGACAGGATCTCACTCTGTCACCCAGGCTGAAGTGCAGTGGCACGATCATCACAGCTTCACAGCTCACTGCAGCCTCGACCTCCCAGGCTCCAGTGATCCTCCCACCTCAGCCTCCCAAGTAGCTGGGACTATCAGCCGAGGCGGGTGGATAATTTGAAGACAAGAGTTCAAGACCAGCCTAGTCAACAGGGTGAAACTCTGTCTCTACTAAAAATACAAAAAAATTAGCTGGGTGTGGTGCCTATAGTCCCAGCTACTTGGAAGGCTGAGGCGCGAGAATCGCTTGAACCCAGGAGGCGGAAGTTGCAGTGAGCCGAGATCATGCCACTGCACTCCAGCCTGGGTGACAGAGAGACTCCATCTCAAAATAATAAAAAATAAAAAATAAAAATAAAAAACAAAACCCAGATCACTTGAGGTCAGGAGTTCGAGACCAGCCTGGCCAACATGGTGAAACCTCATCTCTACTAAAAATACACAAATTAGCCGGGCATGGTGGCCATGCACCTGTAATCCCAACTACTCGGGAGGCTGAGGTAGGAGAATCGCTTGAACCTGGGAGGCAGAGGGTGCAGTGAGCCGAGATCACGCCATTGCATTCCAGCCTGGGCGACAGAGCAAGACTCCATCTCAAAAAAACAAACAAAAACAAAAACAACAACAAAAAAACAAGTAGCTGGGACTAAAGCCTACCCCACCATATCAGGCTAATTTTTAAATTTTTTGTAGAAACAGAGTCTCGCTGTTACCCAGGCTGGTCTTGAACTCCTGGGCTCAAGTGATTCTCCCACCTCAGCCTCCAAAACTGCTGGGATTACAGGCAGGAGCCACCTCACTCAGCTTCACCTGCCTTCTGACTATGATGCAAGGGTTCCTCCAGGGTACACAAAACCCACCCTGTAATTAATTGGGATCTGGACTCTGCCCTCTTATAAAAACACTCCCAAAACCTCCATCAACAAGAGGGATGAGTAACATGAATCAAAGTGTCCCCTACAATGGAATGAAACTTGGCAACAGAAAGGAACAGACTATGCTACTCTCAAAACAGGGACTAATCTCAAAAGCACACCGAACAAAAGAAGCTACAAAAAACACGCACTGTATGATTCCATTTATAGAACATTCCAGAAAATGCGACTAATCTGTAGTTACAGACAGCACATCAGTGGTTGCTTGGAACAGGTGGGGGAGGGACATTGAATGAACTGCCCAGCGTAGCCACTCTTAGGCATGTGACTCTCAGGTGAGGGCCAGGCGACTGTAGTCCCAGCTACTGGGGAGGCTAAGACAGGAGGATCCCCTTGAGGCCGGGAGTTTGAGGCCAGCTAGGGAAATATAAGGAGACCCCGTCTCTAAAAGAAAAATAAATAAATCACAAATATATATGTATATGTGTGTGTGTATATATATACATATATACATATATATACATATATACATATATACGTATATACGCATATATACATATATACATATATACGTATATACGCATATATACATATATACATATATACGTATATACGCATATATACATATATACATATATACGTATATACGCATATATACATATATACATATATACGTGTATACGCATATATACATATATACATATATACGTGTATACGCATATATACATATATACGTGTATACGCATATATACATATATATACATATATACATATATATATATATTTTTTTTTTGAGACAGAGTCTCACTCTGTCACCCAGGCTGGAGTGCAATGGCGTGATCTTGGCCCTAATTTTTAATTAATTAATTTATTTTTGAGGCGGAGTTTCACTCTTGTTGCCCAGGCTGGAGTGCAATGGTGCGATATCAGCTCACCGCAACCTCTGCCTCCCAGGTTCAAGCGATTCTCCTGCCTCAGCCTCCTGAGTAGCTGGGATTACAGGCATGCGCCACCATGCCCGGCTAATTTTGTAGTTTTAGTAGGGATGGGGTTTCTCCATGTTGGTCAGGATGGTCTCGAACTCCTGACTTCAGGTGATCCACCCACCTCGGCCTCCCAAAGTGCTGGGATTACAGGCGTGAGCCACTGCACCTGGGCATATATATATATATATATATTTTTTTTTTTTTTTGAGGAAGCAATTTCTTTAATTTTATCAGAATCCAGGACACAACAAGAAAAGCACCCAAAAACCACATGGAGACAGAAGATGAGACACAACTCCTCCCCCACCCCTTCCCTGCTCTAGAGTGGGGACAAAGTCAGAGTGAGACAGCTTGGGGGAGACCTGAACCTCAGTCCAGCCCTACAGGCTCCAGGCCTGCAGGGAAGGAGGGTAATGGGGAGGCAGGGCCCAGCCCCCCAGTTTGGGGAAACAGCTGAGGGAAGGCCCCCCTCAAAAGGCTCCACCTCCTCACCAGCACTCCTGCCCAGGGACAGGGAGCCCACAGCAGCAAGGGGACCTCAGGGCCATGGCCACCTTCATGACTGAGAAGTAGCTGAGTGGAGGCAGGAGACACACGATTATCTGGGCAGAATCAGTTAGAGCAGGGGCCTGGAAGGGCCCCATGGGCCAAACCCTGAGGTCACAGGAGGGGCCCCAAAGCGGGGCTAGTGAGTGAGGTCCTGAGTGAGTGGGTCAGCAGCTGGGCCCCTTTCTCTAGCTTCCTGTAGCCCCTCCAATACTGCTGCCAGGGAGGCCTGCCTCCAGGGAAATGGGATAAGAAAGCAGCCTGCCCCTGCTGCAGACAGAGCCAGGTGGCTGAGGCCAGGAAGGAAAGCCCGGCCAGGCCTTGCCACCTGCCCCAGAGGCCTGTGGGAAAAGGACAGGCCAGGAAGGGTGGGGACAGGGGCTCGACTGGCTCAGATCCAAGATGGTGCCACGCTTGCTTGCTGAGTCCCCCATGAGCTGGGGCACCGCACTGGGGCCAGCGACTAGTTAGACAGAAGGCAGCAACTTCTCCAAGAAATTCCTTCACAGCTGCCATCTCCTGAGGACAGCAGCTGTGCATGACACCCGAGTATGTCTTGAACTGGACCCTGGCAGGTGTGACAACAGCCGTCAGGGTCCCAAACCGTACGGGCACCATGGGGTCCAGCTCCCCATGGCACTGGAGGATGGTCAGGCCCTTGCCACTGCCTTTAGCTGCCTGGGGGAAGGCCCGGTGCAGAGGCAGCCAGCAGCTCGATGCTACGATACCAGCCAGCGGGTGGGGGCAGGTGAGGGCCGTGTAGAGGGACAGGGCCCCGCCCTGTGAAAAGCCTCCCAGGACGATTCGATTGGCAGGGATCCCGTTCTTCATTTCATGCTCAATCAAGGCCTTGATGTTCTCTGCTGCCTTCTTGATGCCAGCCTCGTCCTCTGGGGCATCTGGACTCAGCCCCATCAGGTCAAATCAGGAAGGTGTCACCATCTTCATGTTGAGAGTCACAGGGATCCTAGGCACATGGGGACAGATGGAATTGACGTGAGGGAGCCGGACGGTGGAGAGGGCGTCAGCCCAGCTGTGCCCTGTGTCTCCAAGTCCATATAAAAAACTAACCGCGGCTGTTTCCCGCTCAGCTCCAGACACCGCGGCAGCATCAGTGAGAGGGGCGTAGACGTGGTGTTACCACACATACACCACATGGCTCCACGGCGGGAGCCTCCACTCCCTGGGGCTTCCGAGGCCGCTTGGGCGATTCTCCTCTTTCTCCCGCAGACACACACTCTTCCCCCTCGGCCACCCCCACTCCATATATATATATGTATATATAAATATATTATATATATAAATATAAAAAAATATATAAATATATTATATATAAATATAAAATATACATATAAATATATTATCTATAAATATAATATATATAAATATATTATCTATAAATATAAAATATATATAAATATATTATCTATAAATATAAAATATATATAAATATATTTATATATATATAATATATTATATATATATAATATATTATATATATATAAATATATTATATATATAAATATAAAATATATATAAATATATTATATATATAAATATAAAATATATATAAATATATTATATATAAATATAAAATATATATAAATATATTATATATAAATATAAAATATATATAAATATATTATATATAAATATAAAATATATATAAATATATATAAATATAAAATATATATAAATATACATATATTTTTTTTTTGAGACTGAGTCTCGCTCTATCACCCAGTCTGGAGTGCAGTGGCGCGATCTCGGCTCACTGCAAGCTGCTTCCCAGGTTCACGCCATTCTCCTGCCTCAGCCTCCTGAGTAGCTGGGACTACAGGCGCCCGCCACCATGCCCGGCTAATTTTTTGTATTTTTAGTAGAGATGGGGTTTCACCGTTTTAGCCAGGATGGTCTCGATCTCCTGACCTTGTGACCCACCCACCTCAGCCTCCCAAAGTGCTGGGATTACAGGCGTGAGCCACCGCGCCCAGCTATATATATATTTTAAACAGTGAGGGGCTGTTTTGTTTTGTTTTGTTTTTTGGTTTTGTTTGTTCGTTTGTTTGTTTGGATGGAGTCCTGCTCTGTTGCCCAGGCTGGAGTGCAGTGGTTTGATCTCAGCTCACTGCAACCTCCACCTCCTGGGTTCAAGTGATTCTCCTGCCTCAGCCTCCTGAGTAGCTGGGATTACAGGTGCCCACCATCACGCCCGGCTAATTTTTTGTATTTTTAGTAGAGACAAGTTTTCACCCTGTTGGCCAGGCTGGTCTTGAACTCCTGACCTCACGTAATCCACCCGCCTCAGCCTCCCAAAGTGTTGGTATTACAGGCGTGAGCCACCGCGCCCAGCCCCTAATTTTGTATTTTTAGTAGAGACGGGGTTTCGCCATGTTGGCCAGGCTGGTCTTGAACTCCTGGCCTCAAGTGATCCACCCACCTTGACCTCCCAAAGTGCTGGGATTACAGGCGTGAGCCACTGCAGCCCAGCCAATACATACTTTTTTAAAGCTAGTAAATTTTTGGGTAATTTGTTACAAAGTAATAGCTAACTCACATTCCAAAATCTTAGAAGCTGGATAGTAAATAACAAGTACTGAGGGGCGATGTGGAGAAATTGGAACACAGGTGTCCTGTTGATGGGAATGTAAACTGGTACAGCTAAACCCAGTGCAGTAGCTCATGCTTGTAATCCCAGCACTTAGGGAGGCTGAGGCAGGCCGATCACTTGAGCTCAGGAGTTCAAGACCAGCCTGGCCAACATGACAAAACCCCGTCTCTACTAAAAATAGAAAAATTAGCTAGGCGTGGTGGTGCATGCCTGTAATCCCAGCTACTTGGGAGGCTGAGGCAGGAGAATCACTTGAACCCGGGAGGCGGAGGTTGCAATGAGCCGAGATCACACCACTGCACTCCAGCCAGGGCGACAGAGTAAGATTCCATCTCAAAAAAAAAAAAAAGAAAGAAAGAAAAGAAAGAAATATTTGTACCCTCGTGTTCATAGCAGTAGTATTCGCAAGAACCAAAAGGTGGAAGCAACCCCCAAGTGTCCACCAGCAGAGGGGTAAATAGATAAAATGTGGTTCATCCATGCAATGGAATATTATGCAGCCCTGAAAAGGCAGAAAATTCTGATGCATGCTGTGACATCGATGAACCATGAGGACATCATGCTCAGGGGAATAAGCCAGACACAAAAGGACAAATCCTGTGTGATTCCACTTGTAGGAGGTCCCTAGAGGAGTCAGATTCATGGGAGACAGAAAGTAGAATGGTGGGTGCCAGCAGCTATGGGAGGGAGGTGGGGAGTTAGTGTTTCATGGGGACAGAGTTTCAATTTGAGAAGATGAGAAAGTTCGGGAGATGGATGTTGGTGATGGTTGTACAACCATGTGAATATGCTTAATGCCACGGAGGTGCACACTTAGAAATGGTTACAATGGCTGGGCACAGTGGCTCATGCGTGTAATCCCAGCACTTTGGGAGGCTAAGGCCAGAGGATCGTCCGAGACCAGAAGTTCAGGACCAGCCTGGGCAATATATCAAGACCCCGTCTCTACAAAAAAAAAAAAAAAATCTAAAAAATAGCTGGGTGCGGTGGCACACACCTGTAGTCCCAGCTACTTGGGAGGCTGAAGTGGGGAGGATCACCTGAGCCCAAGGGTTCGAGGCTACAGTGAGCTATGATGAAACCATTGCACACCAGTCTGGGTGACAGAGCAAGACCTCATCTCCAAAATTAAAAAAAAATTAAACTGGCCAATTTTATATTATATTGGACCAAAATTTAAATTTTTTTCTTTTTTCCTTTTAATTTCAGGAGAAACCTTAAAAGCCAATTGAAAAAATATGTCTTCTTTCTTAGAGACGATGCCTCACTCTGTTGCTCAGGAAGGAGTACAATGGTGCAATAGTAGCTCACTGTAGCCTCAACTTCCTGGGCTTAAGCATTTCTCCCACCTCAGTCTCCCAAATAGCTGGAACCACAGGCATGCGCCACTGTGCCCGGCTACTTTTTTTTTTTTTTTTTTTTTTGTAGAGACGGGGTCTCAGGTCTCACTGTTGCCCAGGCTGGTCTCAAACCCCTGGGCTCAAGCGATCCTCCTGCCTCAGCCTCCCAAAGTGCTGGGATTACACGCATGAGCCACCGTGACTGACCCATATTTTTTTTAAGCTAGATATTATCATGTGGAAAGACTCACACAGTAGCAATGGGAATGTAAAGTGGGCAGCCTTTCTGATAAATAATTGGAAAGGATTGAGTATTGGTGTGCTATGACTCAGCCATCCCACTCAGCATCTATACCTGCAGCAGGTGCATCTATACCTGCGGCAGGTGCATCTATACCTGCGGCAGGTGCATCTATATCTACAGCAGGTACCATACCACCCTGTCTATATCCCTGAGCACTCACAGTCCCTGTGGGCAGGGAACTCAGAAGTGCCAGAGAGTTAACACCTCTCCACCTCCCTTCTCTGGAGCAACCCTTAGGCAGGGACAGACAGGAGCTGGTGGAGAAATACTTCAATTTCCTCGACCCTGTAATCCCAGCTACTCAGGAGGCTGAGGCAGGAGAATGGCTTGAACCCGGGAGGCGGAGGTTGCAGTGAGCTAACACCACTGCACTCCAGCCTGGGCAACAGAGCTAGACTCTGTCTCAAAAAATAAAATAAAAAAGATGCTAGGCCGGGCGCGGTGGCTCACACCTGTAATCCCAGCACTTTGGGAGGCCGAGGCAGGCGGATCACCTGAGGTCAGGAGTTTGAGACCAGCCCGGCCAACATGGCAAAACCCCATCTCTACTAAAAATACAAAAATTAGCCAGGTGTGGTGGCACGTGCCTGTAATCCCAGCTACTCAGCAGGCTGGGAGACTCACTTGAACCCAGTGAGGTTGCAGTGAGCTGAGATTGCACCACTGCACTTCAGCCTGGGAGACAGAGTGAGACTCCATCTCTCAAAAAAAAAAAAAAAAAAGCTTATTTCAGCATGTGGTTGCAAACATCCCCAGGGCACAGATCCCAAGAAACCTCTCAGAAGACAGGAAGTAGGCCAGGCATGGTGCCTCATGCCTGTAACCCCAGCACTTTGGGAGGCCAAGACGGTAGGATCTGCTTGGGCCCAGGAGTTTCAGACCAGCCTGGGCAACATAGTAAGACTCTGTCTCTATAAAATAAATAAATAAATAAATAAATAAATAATTCAGCAGATGTGGTGGTGCATGCCTGTGGACCTAGCTACTTGGGAGGGAGGGTGAGGCAGGAGGATCACCTGAGCCCAGGAGTTCAAGGCTGCAGTGAGCTAGGATCATGCCACTGCATGCCAGCCTGGGCAACAGAGGGAGAAAAAAAAGAAGAATGAAGAAGGAGGAGGAGGAAAGGAGAAGGAGAAGAAGGAGGAGGAGAACAGAAAGTGGAGGAGGAGAAGGAGGGGAAAGAGGGAGGAGGAGGAGGGGCAAAGAAAAAGGAAAGGAAAGAAAGAAAAGAAAGGAAGGAAGGAAGGAAGGAGAGAGGAGGGGGAGGAGGAGGGGGAGGAGAAGGAAGGCAAGGAGGAGGAGAGGGAGGAGGAGGGGGAGGGGGAGGAGGGGGAGGAGGAAGATGGGAGGGGGAGGGGGAGGAGAGGGAGGAGGAAGATGGGGAGGGGGAGGGGAGGAAGGGGGAGGAGAGGGAGGAGGAAGATGGGGAGGGGGAGAGGAGGAGGGGGGAGGAGAGGGAGGAGGAAGATGGGGAGGGGGAGGGGAGGAGGGGGAGGGGGAGGGGGAGGAGGAGGAGGAGAAGGCGAAGGCGAAGGCCTAGTGCAGTGACTCACACCTGTAATCACAACACTTTGGGAGGCTGAGGCAGGAGTTCAACACCAGCCTGGCCAGCATGGCAAAACCCTGTCTCTACTAAAAATACAAAAATTAGCCAGGCACAGTGGTGGGCGCCTGTAATCCCAGCCACTCTGGAGGCTGAGTTAGGAAAATTGCTTGAACCCAGGAGGCGAAGGTTGCAGTGAGCCCAGATCGTGCCATTGCACTGCAGCCTGGGCAAGGACTCCATCTCAAAAAAATAAAGAAAGAAAAAGAAGGCCAGGTGCGATGGCTCACGCCTGTAATCCCAGCACTTTGGGAGGCCGAGACAGGCAGATCACCTGAGGTCGGGAGTTCGAGACCAGCCTGACCAACGTGGAGAAACTCCATCTCTACCAAAAATACAAAATTAGCCGAGTGGTGGCGCATGCCTGTAATCCCAGCTACTCGGGAGGCTGAGGCTGGGAATTGCTTGAACCCCGGAGGCGGAGGTTGCGGTGAGCAGCGATCACGCCATTGCACTCCGGCCTGGGCAACAACAGCAAAACTCCATGAAACAAAGAAGGAAAGAAAGAAGAAAGGAAGGAAGGAAAGAAGGAAGGAAGGAAGGAAGGAAGACAGGAAGAGTCACTCCAAAGGAGAGACAACCTTTCTCACAGGTCCCTTCCTCAAAGCGGTCTTCAAGGAACCCCTTGTCCCTTGCTACCGCTTCACCTTGCTTTGTTATATATACAACATTTGTCACAAACTGGCATTACCTTGTTCTTCCGTTTGTCTTTTGTTTTGTTTTGTTTTTAAAAGCCAGGTTCTGAGCTGCCACCCAGGCTGGAGTGCAGTGGTGCAATCATGGCTCACTGTAGCCTCCAACTCCCAGGCTCAAGTGATCCTCCTGTCTCAGCCTCTCAAGTAGCTGGGACCACAGGTGCACACCATCACACCCAGCTCATTTTTATTTACTTATTTATTTATTTTTGAGACGGAGTCTCACTCTGTTGCCCAGGCTGGAGTGCAGTGGTGCAATCTCGGCTCACCACAACCTCCGCCTCCTGGGTTCAATCGATTCTCCTCCCTCAGCCTCCCGAGTAGCTGGGATTACAGGTGCGTGCCACTACGCCTGACTAATTCTTCTATCATTTTTATTTATTTTTTGTAGAGATGGGATCTCACTATGTTGCTCAGGCTGATCTCAGACTCCTGGGCTCAAGCGATCCACCCACCTTGGTCAGCCTCCTAAACTGCTGGGATTTAAGGCGTGAGCCACCCCACCTGGTCTCCTTTATTAGTTTACTTAGTGTATCTCTCCCACCCACTAGGACAGAAGCTCTCAGAGAGTAGAGAGCCTTGCTGGTCTTGTCCTGCAAGGAAGCTGCAGATGCCGACAGACAACAGGTGCTCTTAAAGCTCTACTAAATCCAAAAGGAAGTTTTGTCTTTGGACTCCCTGTGGCGGTGCCCAGAAGGTCCCTGACTTACAAGTTTCCAACCCTAGAGGTTTCCAGTCGCAGGCCCAGACCTGGTCAATGTCAGGGCTTTTTTTTTTTTCTTTTTTCTTTTGAGACGGAGTTTTGCTCTTGTTGCCCAGGCTGGAGGGCAGTGGCACGATCTCGGCTCACGGCAACATCCGCCTCCTGGGTTCAAGCGATTCTCCTGCCTCAGCCTCCCAAGTAGCTGGGATTACAGGCTTGTGCCACCACACCCAGCTAATGTTTTGTATTTTTAGTAGAGATGGGGTTTCACCATGTTGGCCAGGCTGGACTCGAACTCCTGACCTCAGGTGAATCACCCGAGTCGGCCTCCCAAAGTGCTGAGATTCTAGGCATGAGCCACCGCGCCCGGCCAAGTCAAGGCTTCTTTTACCCTGTCAGGGAGAACTCTCCGTCTCCCATCCTAAGTCCAGGTAGGAACATTTCCATGGATGGTTTGGTTTTGTTTTGTTTTGTTTTGAGATGGAATCCTGTTCTGTCGCCCAGGCTGGAGTGGGGTGGTGCAATCTCAGTTCACTGTAACCTCCACCTCCCAGGCTCAAGCGATTCTCTTGTCTCAGCCTCCCAAGTAGCACAAGCCACCACACCCAGCTAATTTTTGTATTTTTAGTAGAGACAGGGTTTCACCATGTTGGCCAGGCTGGTCTCAAACGCCTGACCTCAGGTGATCCACCCTCCTCAGCCTCCGAAAGTGCTAGATTACAGGTGTAAGCCACTGTGACCAGCCCAAGCCTACAGCACCCGGTATTCCTAGGTGGTCTCCCATCCAAGTACTAACCAGGTCCGACACTGCTTAGCTTGCGAGGTGAGACGAGGATCAGATGCTTTTAGGGTGGTATGGCCATAGATACATCCAAGGTTTTTCTTTTCTTTTCTTTTTTTATCTTTTTTTTTTTTTTTTTTTTTGAGATGGAGTCTCACTCTTCGCCCAGGCTGGAGTGCAGTGGCGCAATCTCGGCTCACTGCAAGCTCTGCCTCCTGGGTTCACGCCATTCTCCTGCCTCAGCCTCCTGAGTAGCTGGGACTACAGGCGCCCGCCACCACGCCCTGCTAATTTTTTTGTATTTTTGTAGAGACTGTGTTTCACTGTGTTAGCCACGATGGTCTCGATCTCCTGACCTCGTGATCCACCCGCCTCAGCCTCCCAAAGAGCTGGGATTACAGGCGTGAGCCACTGCACCCGGCCTCCAAGGTTTTTCAGACGGAGAACAGATCAAGGTCCACCTCCACAGATTTGCTCATCTAAGACCCAGCTCAGGCCTCCCAAGTGGGGCGGCCAGGGTGGGGGTGGGGAGGCAGAGAAGCTGGGCCCCCCAGGACTTCGGAGCTGCTTGTGCCCCACTCCCCACCTGGAGGGCAGACCACAGTGTTGGGCAGGGACAGACAGGAGGGCATCCCCACTCTACTCAACTTCCGTTGGTTCAGCCCAGTTCCCGCCCATGGCCAGAGCTTGAAGGGAGAAGCCGTCCCCTCCCCGTCCTCTCCTCCCGCAACTCCACTCCCAGCACCTGAAAACTGCAGTCACCTGTGCCTTGGCTGGGCTTTAAGGCCAGGTGACTGGGCCTTGCGGGGTTAGAAGGAGCCCTTCCGCACTTCCTCTTTTTCTTTTTTTTCTTTTGGAGACAGGGTCCTTCTTGGTGGCCCAGGCTGGAGTGCAGTGGCATGATCGTAGCTCGCTGCAGCCTCTCAACTTCCCAGATTCAGGTGATCCTTCCACCTCGGCCTCCAGAGTAGCTGGGACTACAGGCACACACCACCACACCTGGCTAATTTTTAAAATTTTGTTTTTGTAGGTTTTAAAATTTTTTGTAGAGATGTGGTCCCACTATATTGCTCAGGCTGGTTTCAAACTCCTAGGCCCAAGGTATCCTCCTGCCTCGGCCTCCCAAAGTGTTGGATTACAGGCGTGAGTCACAGAGCCCGGCCTCCACATTTTCTCGACAGGGTCCGTAAGACCTGGTTCCCAGAAAGGTGGCCGTAGAATGGCTTTGGGAGTTCAGCGTCCCCAGCTCCCTCAGTTTCCCCAGCTGCCAGGGTCCAGCCAGACTGCAAAGTTGCAAAGTTCTAAGACCCCTGCATCTCCCGCCAGCCCCGAGCCCACCAGGGCAAAGCAGCCTAAGACGGCTGTCTTCCCCCAACCCTGCTGATCGCGCGGCGCCTGGAGTAGGGTCGACCTGGGCGCGCCTGCGGCGAGGCGGGGCCGAGTCGTCCGGGGGCGGGGCGGGGCGGCTCCGGGTCTCCTGTCCCCGCCTGCCCTGACTCACCCTCGCGGCCCGCCCGGGAACTCTGCGGGAGTCGCGGCAGCTCCGCTCCCAGAGACCCAGGAGTTGGGCCCAGCGTCCCTCCCGGAACGGTGAGTAGGTGGCTCTTTGCCTCTGGACACCCCACGAGGTGGCAGGGTGGGGGTCGGGCTGGGAGTCCCCGGGTCTGGACAAGGGGCAGAGCCGCTCCAGGTGCGCCGGCCCTGTGGCCGGGGCAGGCCGTCCCGACACACCAGGAGCTGGGGTGGGGGTGCCGGCCGGTGCAAAGGGAAACCTGGCCCACGAGGTGCCCGTCCTGGGAGCCAGGCAGACGCGGCCAAGTCTCAGAGTGAAGATAAACAGGCTGAAGATAAACTTGACTTTGGGGGTCTCAACCACTTTCCCCTCCCCTTGGCATCTGGGAAGACATTGACAACTCATCCCCGGGAGACTCTCAGAGCTCCAGAACCTACCACTTGGGGTGGGTTCAACCAAGCCTGACCTCTGGTGCTCTTGAACTTACACATGTCCCAGATCTTCAAGTCTGCTGGCAGAGGCGGCTTGGAAAACCACTCGGCTGGGAATCCGCAGGCCTGGGGCCTGACCCAGGACGGGCTACAAAGATGCCACCCTCCCCCACCCTAGACCCTCAGTTTCTCCCTTGCATAAATGGTTGAGGCTCAGCCGGACACCGTGCCTTACGTCTATAATCCCAGCACTTTGGGAGGCCGAGGTGGGCAGGTCACCTGAGGTCAGGTGTTTGAGACCAGCCTGGCTAACACGGTGAAACCCCATCTCTACTAAAAATACAAAAATTAGTGGCGTGTCCCTGTAGTCCCAGCTACTGGGGAGGCTGAGGCTTGAGTACTGCTCGGACCCAAGAGGTGGAGGTTGCAGTGAGTTGAGATTGGGCCACTGCACTCCAGCCTGGGCAACAGAGCGACACTCCATCTCAAAAAAAAAAAAAGATTGAGGCCAGGCACAGTGGCTCACACCTGTAATCCCAGCACTTTGGGAGGCTGAGGTGGGAGGATTGCTTGGACTCAGAAGTTCAAGACCAGCCTGGGCAACATAGCGAGACTCCATCTCTACAAAAAATCTAAAAGTTGGCTGGGCATGGTAGCACGCACCTGTGGTCCCAGCTACTGGGGAGGCTGAGGCAGGAGGATCACTTGAGCCCAGGAGTTCGAGACTACTATGAGCTATGATCGTGCCACTGAACTCCAGCCTGGGTGACAGAGCAAGACTCTATCTCTCTCTCTCTCTCTTTTTTTTTTTTTCAAGATAGAGTCTTGCTCTGTTGCCAGGCCGGAGCGCAGTGGCACGATCTTGGCTCACGGCAACCTCCACCTCCCAGGTTCAAGCGATTCTCCTGCCTCAGCCTCCTGAGTAGCTGGGACTACAAGCATGTGGCACCATACCCAGCTAATCTTTGTATTTTTAGAGATGGGGTTTCATCATGTTGGCCAGGATGGTCTTGATCTCTTGACCTCGTGATCCACCTGCCTCAACCTCTCAAAGTGCTGGGATTACAGGCGTGATCCACTGTGTCCGTCAGGACTCTATGTCTAAAAAAAAAAAAAGGTTGGGCCTTGTTTTCTACAAAACCCCTCTTAGGGCTGAAAACTGCTGGATGTTTCTTGCTTCTTCCCTGCCTCTTAGCATGGGCTGTGGGTGTGGAGGGTCTCACTCTCCCACCCTTCCCCCAGCAGGAACTCATCACCACATTTTTTGGAGGCAAGTGGCTTGAGGAGGACCTGGGAGGGAGGAGGGGTGAGGCATGGGTGGATGGAGCCAGGGCTGGTGGGAGCCACATGGTCTCAGGCTGGAAAGCCTTCCAGCCTGGCCTGCCACAATGCAACACCGCTCTTAGGTGCTTTTGGCAAAGATGCTGTGGTTTTTTTGTTGTTGTTTGTTTTTTGAGATAGAGTCTTGCTCTGTTGCCCAGGCTGGATTGCAGTGGCGCAATCACGGCTCACTGCAACTTCCACCTCCTGGGTTCAAGAGATTCTCCTGCTTCAGCCGGGCACGGTGGCGCACGCCTGTAATCCCAGCTCTTTGGGAGGCCGAGGCAGGCAGATCATGAGATCAGGAGATTGAGACCATCCTGGCTAATACAGTGAAACCCCGTCTCTACTAAAATTACAAAAAATTAGCCGGGCGAGGTGGCGGGCGCCTGTAGTCCCAGCTACTCGGGAGGCTGAAGCAGGAGAATGGTGTGAACCCGGGAGGCGGAGCTTGCAGTGAGCCGAGATCACACCACTGCACTCCAGCCTGGGCGACAGAGTGAGACTCTGTCTCAAAAAAAAAAGAGATTCTCCTGCTTCAGCTTCCCCATTAGCTGGGATTATAGGTGCCCACCACCACTCCAGCTAATTTTGTATTTTTAGTAGACATGGGGTTTTACCATGTTGGGCTAGCCTGGTCTCAAACTCCTGACCTCAAATGATCTGCCTACCTTGGCCTCCCAAAGTGTTGGGATTACAGGCGTGAGCCACCGTGCCTGGCAAGATGCTGCATTTTAATTAGAGGCTGTCTCCCAAGAGGGAACAGAGCAGTTGCAATCCTACAGGCAGGACCTGGAGGTTGGATGGGTCAGGCTTCGAATGCCGCTTGGAACTGTAGAAGCTTGAGCAAGTTATTTCTCTCCCCTGAGTCTGGAAAGCAAAGTCTCCGACATCCACGCTGCCTGGGTTGGGATAAAATGAGGCATTCAGTGTCTGGTGGAGAAAGCTGAGCGTATACGTCCCATCGTTTTATTTTCCCTGGCTCTGCCCCAATTCTTCGAGCCCCTGTTCCTGGACCTTCCCACCAGCCCTGCTCAGACAAAGTGGGGGCCTATTTTATGTCTGTGGAAATTTAATGGCAGGTTTGTGAGGATCAAGTTTGAGTCATGGAGACAGATAATGATAGCCCCTGTGGCTGCCCCCCGGTCCCCTGAGTGTTGCTGCCTTCTTGTCTGCGATTGTGCACCTGGGATGGCTATTGGTGGAGCTTACACCAGGGTGGCAAGGACAGGAAGTTGGTCCCTGCTCGGGTGTGTGTGTGTGTGTGTGTGTTTGTGTGTGTGTGTGTGTGTTGTGTGATTTCTTCTGCAGCCTCCAGAGTCAGGAGTTTTTGTTTTGTTTTGTTTTTTTGAGACGGAGTCTCGCTCTGTCGCCCAGGCTGGAGTGCAGTGGCGAGATCTTGGCTCACTGCAGCTTCTGTCTCCCGAGTTTAAGCAATTCTCCTGCCTCACTCTCCTGAGTAGCTGGGATTACAGGCATCCACCACCATGCCTGGCTAATTGTTTTTGTATTTTTAGTAGAGACGAGGTTTCACCATGTTGGCCAGGCTGGTCTGGAACTCCTGACCTCAAATTATCCGCCTACCTTGGCCTCCCAAAGTGCTGGGATTACAGGCGAGAGCCACCGCGCCCGGCCCCAGTCAGTAGTGTTTTGCTTGCTGTGTTTGAGATAGGGTCTTGCCCAGGCTGGTTCATGGCTCACTGCAGCCTCTAACTCCTGGGTTCAAGCAATCCTCCCACCTCAGTCTTCCAAGTAGCTGGGACTACAGGCATGCACCACCACACCTGGCAAGATTTTAGATTTTTTTTTTTTTTTTGAGACGGAGTCTCGCTCTGTCGCCCAGGCTGGAGTACAGTTGTGCAATCTTGGCTCACTGCAGGCTCTGCCTCCCAGGTTCACGCCATTCTCCTGCCTCAGCCTCCCAAGTAGCTGGGACTACAGGCGTCTGCCACTATGCCCGGCTAATTTTTTGTATTTTTAGTAGAGACGGGGTTTCGCCGCATTAGCCAGGATGGTCTCAATCTCCTGACCTCGTGATCCACCCACCTCGGCCTCCCAAAGTGCTGGGATTACAGGCGTGAGCCACCGCACCCGGCCCAAATTTTTAGATTTTTTTGTAGAAATGGGGTCTGACTATGTTGTCCTGGCTGCTCAAACTCCTGGGCTCAAGCAATCCTCCTGCCTCAGCCTCCCAAAGTGCTGGAATTACAGGCCTGAGCCACTGCACCCAGCCTGGGGTCAGCATTCTTAGGTAAAGCAACTGAGCAGTGTCCCTGCAGGATCCTTGGAGGACTCAATGGATGGCCGGAACCAAAACAGGACGTGAGGGTCCCTGGTGCTGGGTCCCTCCGAAGCTCAGTGTGTGTACTTGGACTTTATACCCTCGTGCACAAATATGCATGACCCAAAATGACCCCAAGCGTCCATTTTGGTGGGTGCAATGTACATATTCTTCCCCTGGGGACAGTTGAGCTATCCTGGTATGTTTCTACCAGATTACATACTGGTGACCCAGGCAGACTGGGATATTTGTAGTCGGGTTTCTTTTCTCTTCTCTTCTCTTTTTTAGAGACAGGGTCTTGCTCTGTCGCCCAGGCTGGAATGCAGTAGTGCAATCTTGGCTGACTGCAACCTCCGCCTCCCGGGTTCAAGGGGTTTTCGTGCCTCAGCCTCCCGAGTAACCGGGACTACAGGCACCCTCCACCATGACTGGCTGTTTTGTATTTTTATTTTTATTTTGTTTTAGTTTTGAGACAGAGTCTTGCACTATTGTCTGGGCTAGAGTGCAGTGGCGCAATCTCAGCTCACTGCAACCTCTGCCTCCCAGGTTCAAGCGATCCTCCTGCCTCAGCCTCCCTAGTAGCTGGGATTACAGGCACCTGCCACCACGCCCAGCTAATTTTTTGTATTTTTAGTAGAGACGGGGTTTCATCACGTTGGCCAGGCTGGTCCCTAACTCCTGACCTTGTGATTTGCCTGCCTCGGCCTCCCAAAGTGCTGGGATTACAGGCGTGAGCCACCGCACCTGGCTAATTTTTGTATTTTTAATAGAGACGGAGTTTCACCATGTTGGCCAGGCTGGTCTCGAACTCCTAACCTCAAGTGATCTGCCCACCTCGGCCTCCCAAAGTATACTTGGCTTTTTGCTTAGGGCAGGGAGTGTGAATGAGCATGAGGGCCAGGCCATGGTGCGAAGGACCCTGTGCTCTGGGCACCCCCTTGCATGGATCTGGGTCTGGGTGAGTCACTGCCTGAGTCAGGGAACCCATGACTTTTTTTTTTTTTTTTCCCGAGACAGAGTCTCGCTCCGTCTCCCAGGCTAGATTGCAGTGGCACGATCTCAGCTCACCACAACCTCCGCTTCCCGGGTTCAAGCGATTCTCCTGCCTAGCTGGGACTACAGGTTCATGCCACCATGCCCGGCTAATTTTTGTATTTTTAGAAGAGACGGGGTTTCACCATGCTGGCCAGGCTGGTTTCGAACTCCTGACCTTGTGATCCGCCTGCCTTGGCCTCCCAAAGTGCTGGGATTACAGACGTGAGCCACTGCGCCTGGCCCAACCTATGACATTTTACACTTGCATGGTGAGTCCCCGTGTGGGCAGGCTGTACCCACACCCTTGCCTGCCTATCTGATTCCCCAGACTGAAGTGGGGGCCTCTGAGGGGGTAAAAGGATGTGGTCTTTCGGGACTGCTTGGCCTTTAGCTTGGTGGGTGGAGCCTGTATCCTACCTTGTTTTAACCCAGGAGTCACCCCAAAATATGGGGGGGACACAAACTGAAAAGGGAGGCTCAGACATGTCAGAACCATTGGCTGAGTCGTGGGTCAGGGGACCAGGGTTTCCCTAGATTCTTCCTGGGGAGATGGATGGGGAGCCAGAGATAACTCCCTGATGGGCAGATGCCCTCCTTCTTGGCCCAACTCCTGTCCCGTTACAGATTATCTTTGTCTTTTGTTTTGTTTGTTTGAGATGGAGTCTCACTCTGTCACCCAGGCTGGAGTGCAGTGGCACGGTCTCACTTCACTGCCACCTCTGCCTCCCCGGATCAAGACCCTCCCACCTCAGCCTCCAGAGTAGCTAGGATTACAGGTGTGTGTCACCACACCTGGTTAATTTTTTGTGTATTTTTAGTAGACTCTGGGTTTCACCATGTTGGCCTCACTGGTCTCGAACTCCTAACCTCAAGTGATCCACCTGCCTCAGCTTCCCATAGTGCTGGGATTACAGGCATGAGCCACCGCGCCCAGCCCCAGTTACAGATTATCTATCTGGACAAGGACAGGAGGCTCCCAGGAGTGGGGGAACTTGGATGTTGGCAGAAGTGGGCTGGTCTAAGGTTCCCCACCTTCCTTGTTCCACCTCCAGCCTCTGGGGAAGTAGGTACCTGCCTGGGAGAGTGACATCTCAGCTCATGCCCCACGCCCCAGTGTGATTTGTGGCTGGCCTGTCTGTATCTGTAATAGTGATAGCTTGGTCTAAAAGGAGACCCTGGGAACAGACAGAGTGGGCCGGCCAGGAGCCTGACAGCACAGCCCTAGCCTGGTCGCAGATGTCACCTGACAACTTTCCATTTGCAAATCCTCCTTCCTCCTCGGACATCCGGACACCCCATTGCCCCCTCTCAGAGCCCAGGTCTCTGGTTTCTGCCTGTGATTCTGGGCTGTAGCCCCTTTAGAAACTCAGGTGTCCTGGTCACCTCCTACCCCCAGGGCTGACTAGCCTTCAGCTTGGCAGTCCCTGCCCCTGGGGCCCTAGTAACCAGAGCCAGGCTCCAGCCGGCTTTTCCGGTTAGAGGTTGGAGGTGGTGCCCAGAGTGCCCCTGGAGGGGGTGGAGGGGCCTACGCCCCGGAAGTCCTGAGCCTTGGAACGCTTTCAGGCCTGGTGGCGGTGGGAGCCGGGGCTGGCCCAGACGCTGAGTGTCTGCAGTCAGGGAGCATCGAGGCAGATGTTTTCAGGCCTTGGTGTCAGGGGTGGGAGAGGGATGCCTCGTTTTGGGGAGGGGGCCACCCGAGGAGGCTGGAGGGCGGCGGCCCTGTGGACTATCCCTCATGTGCTCTTCGAGGTCAGACAAGTCAGATCAGGTGCAGGGGTGCCCAGAGGGGAACAGTGGCCGCTTGGTTCTGGGCAGGTGGTGACGTCTGCATGGAGGGTGACTAAGGCCAGGCTAAGAGGGAAGTGGGGGCACACACTTTGGTGGTTTGGACAAGTTTGGGCAGGGAGGGTCACAGGCCTGCCTGTGTCCGGCTCCTCGGAGGACCCCCTGCAGAGCCTCCCATCCTGAGGGTCTCTCTCTACACCCCCCGTCTCGTCCCGTCCCACAGGCAGCATGATCCCAGTGGCCGAGTTCAAGCAGTTCACGGAACAGCAGCCTGCGTTCAAGGTGCTCAAACCCTGGTGGGACGTGCTGGCCGAGTACCTCACCGTGGCCATGCTCATGATTGGGGTCTTTGGCTGCACCCTCCAGGTGAGGCCCTCCCCTGGCAAGGGGGTGTGACCAGAGGGGCGGGGCAGGTGTCTGGGGAAGTCGGGAAGCCTTCTCATCACCCAAGAAAGAGAGGAAACTGAAGACAGAGCCCCACTCAAAGGCCAATCCAGACCCCTTATCTTCCTTACCTCCATAGCCAGGAGCACCGGAGTCCCCACATTGCTATGCCATTCCATATCTTTTTTTCTTTTTTGAGACGGAGTCTCACTCTGTCACCCAGGCTAGAGTACAGTGGCATGATCTCAGCTCCCTGCAACATCTGCCTCCCGGGTACAAGCGGTTCTCCTGCCTCAGCCTCCTGAGTAGCTGGGATTACAGGCGCCCACCACCACGCCTGGCTAATTTTGGTAGTTTTTTAGTAGAGATGGGGTTTCACCATGTTAGCCAGGCTGGTCTCGAACTCCTGACCTCAAGTGACCTGCCTGCCTGGGCCTCCCAAAGTGTTGGGATTACAGGCCTGAGGCACTGCACCTGACCCTTTCTTTTTTTTTCTTTTTTTTTTTTTTCTTTTTGGCTAAAAAGAGACAGGGGCCGGGCATGGTGGCTCACACCTGTAATCCCAGCACTTTGGGAGGCCAAGGTGGGAGTATCACTTAAGGCCAGAAGTTTGAGACCAGCCTGGCCAACACGGTGAAAACCCGTCCTTACTAAAGACACAAATATTAGCCAGGCATGGTGGTGGACACCTGTAATCCCAGCTACTTGGAAGGCTGAGGCAGGAAAATTGCTTGAACCTGGGAGGTGGAGGTTGCAGTGAGCCGAGATCATGCCACTGCACTCCAGCCTGGGTGACAGAACGAGACTCCATCTTAAAAAAAATAAAATAAAATAATTGAAAATTAAAATAAAGAAACACGGTCTCATTCTGTCATCCAGGTTGGAGTGCAGTGGCATGATCACAGCTCACTGCAGCCTTGAACTCCTGGACTCAAGTGATCTTCCCGCCTCAGCCTCCAGAGTAGCTGGGATTACAGGCACACACCACCACGTCCAGCTAATTTTTAAATTTCTTGTTGACACAGGGGTCTTGCTATGTTGCCCAGGCTTGTCTCGGACTCCGGGCCTCAAGCCATCCTCCCACCTCGGCCTCCCAAAGTGCTGGGATTACAGGTGTGAGCCACTGTGTCCAGCCCCATATTTTCACAATGCTCAGTTTTATCCCTAGAATCTGGAAAGGACTGCAGTTGCTATATGAGTTTGTTACTTCTGTTGTAACAAAGTAGCAGGGATTGAGTGGCTTAAATAACCAGAAATGTTTCCTCTTCTGGGTCTGGTTCTGGAGGCCAGAAGTCTGAGATCAAGGCGTCAGTTGTCAGTGAGGGAGAATCTTCCAAGCTTCCCTCCTAGATTTTTGCAGCTCCAAGAGTTCCTTGGCTTGTAGATGACATTCTCCCAGTATTTTTCTTTTTCTTTTTCTTTTTTTTTTAGACAGAGTCTCCCTCTGTCGCCCAGGCTGGCATGCAGTGGTGCGATCTCGGCTCACTGCAACCTCCGCCTCCCGGGTTCCAACAATTCTCCTGGCTTAGCCTCCCAAGTAGCTGGGATTACAGGCGTGTGCCACCACGCCCGGCTAATATTTTTTTGTATTTTTAGTAGAGACGTGGTTTCAGTATGTTGGCCAGGCTGGTCTTGAACTCCTGACCTCGTGATCAGGATCAGCCTGCCTCTGTCTCCCAAAGTGCTGGGATTACAGGCATGAGCCACTGCGCCTGGTCGAGACAGTTTTTTTTTTTTTTTTTTAAGCAAGCTCTGTCACCTAGGCTGGAGTGCAGTGGCGCAATAATAGCTCACTGTAACCTTGTACTCCTGGCCTCAAGCAATCCTCCTCTACCACCCCCGCTTGGCCCCCCCTCCCACTGCCTCCCAAATCACTGGGATTACAAGCCTGAGCCACCGCACCCAGCCTCTCCCTGTATCCTCACGTCATCTTCTGTCTTTGTGTCTGTCTCTGTGTCTATGTTTCCCCTTTCTCTAAGGCGCAGTCATACTGGGCCCACCCTACTGGCTTTGTCTTGACTACCTCTGCAAAGACCCTATTACCAAACAGGAGCCGCCTGACCCAGCTCAAATAATACCACATTCTAAGGATTCGGAGTTGGGACTTCAACATCTTTTGTGGGGACACGATTCAACCCAGCTCCTTTTCTCAGACAAAGACCAGTGCTTTGTCAGTTGTGGTGGCTCATTCCTGTAATCCCAGCACTTTGGGAAGCTGAGGCAGGGGATCACTTGAGGCCAGGAGTTCGAGAGCAGCCTGGCCAACATGGTGAAACCCCATCTCTACTAAAAATACAAAAATTAGCTAGGCGTGGTAGTGCGTGCTTGTAGCCCCGGCTACTCAGCAGGCTGAGGCAGGAGAATTGCTTGAACCAGGAGGGGAAGGTTGCAATGAGCCAAGATTGCACCACTGCACACAGCCTGACAGAGCGAGACTCTTGTCTCAAAAAAAAAAACCAAAAAAAAAAAAAACAGTGCTTAGAGGTTTAGCAAAACTCTTCCAAAATCACAGCTGGCTGGCAACAGTCAGAGATGGGGGGTGCGGGGGGTCTCCCACCTTCAGCCTGCTTTTTCCCCATCCCCCTCATTTTCTCTCTTTTTTAAATTAATTTATTTTTGAGACAGAGGCTCACTCTGTCACCCAGGCTGGAGTACAATGGCGCGATCTCGGCTCACTGCAACCTCCATCTTCCGGGTTCAAGCGATTCTCCTGCCTCAGCCTCCCGAGTAGCTGGGATTACAGGTGCCCACCACCATGCCCGGCTAATTTTGTATTTTTAGTAGAGACAGGGTTTCACCACGTTGGCCAGGCTGGTCTCGAACTCCTGACCTAAAGTGATCCACTCGCCTTGGCCTCCCAAAGTGCTAGGATTACAGCCCTCATTCTCTTTTGCTCCTCAGGTGACACAGGACAAGATCATCTGTCTACCCAATCATGAGCTCCAGGAGAACTTATCAGAGGCCCCGTGCCAGCAATTGCTGCCTCGGGGGATCCCTGAGCAGATTGGGGCCCTGCAGGAGGTTAAAGGCCTTAAGAACAATTTGGACCTGCAGCAATACAGCTTTATTAACCAGCTGTGTTATGAGACGGCCCTGCACTGGTATGCCAAGTACTTCCCTTACCTCGTGGTCATTCACACACTCATCTTCATGGTCTGCACCAGTTTCTGGTTCAAGTTCCCTGGCACCAGCTCCAAGATTGAACACTTCATCTCCATCCTGGGCAAGTGTTTCGACTCTCCATGGACCACCAGGGCCCTATCCGAGGTCTCCGGGGAGAACCAGAAGGGCCCAGCAGCCACCGAACGGGCTGCGGCCACCATAGTGGCCATGGCAGGGACCGGGCCGGGGAAGGCAGGGGAGGGTGAGAAGGAGAAAGTGCTGGCGGAACCGGAGAAGGTGGTGACCGAGCCTCCAGTTGTCACCCTGTTGGACAAGAAGGAGGGTGAGCAAGCCAAAGCCCTGTTTGAGAAGGTGAAGAAGTTCCGCATGCACGTGGAAGAGGGCGACATCCTGTACACCATGTACATCCGACAGACGGTGCTGAAAGTGTGTAAGTTCCTGGCCATCCTGGTCTACAACCTGGTCTATGTGGAGAAGATCAGTTTCCTGGTGGCCTGTAGGGTGGAGACGTCAGAGGTCACGGGCTACGCCAGCTTCTGCTGCAACCACACCAAGGCCCACCTCTTCTCCAAGCTGGCCTTCTGTTACATCTCCTTTGTGTGCATCTACGGACTTACCTGCATCTACACGCTCTACTGGCTCTTCCACCGGCCCCTCAAGGAGTACTCCTTCCGTTCCGTGCGGGAGGAGACTGGCATGGGGGACATTCCTGACGTCAAGAATGACTTCGCCTTCATGCTGCACCTCATCGATCAGTACGACTCCCTCTACTCCAAGCGCTTCGCCGTCTTCCTGTCCGAGGTCAGCGAAAGCCGTCTAAAGCAGCTCAATCTCAACCACGAGTGGACGCCCGAGAAGCTTCGACAGAAGCTGCAGCGCAATGCCGCGGGCCGGCTGGAGCTGGCCCTCTGCATGCTGCCGGGTCTGCCCGACACCGTCTTTGAGCTCAGTGAGGTGGAGTCACTCAGGCTGGAGGCCATCTGCGATATCACCTTCCCCCCGGGGCTGTCACAGCTGGTGCACTTGCAGGAGCTCAGCTTGCTCCACTCGCCCGCCAGGCTACCCTTCTCCTTGCAGGTCTTCCTGCGGGACCACCTGAAGGTGATGCGCGTCAAATGCGAGGAGCTCCGCGAGGTGCCGCTTTGGGTGTTTGGGCTGCGGGGCTTGGAGGAGCTGCACCTGGAGGGGCTTTTCCCCCAGGAGCTAGCTCGGGCAGCCACCCTGGAGAGCCTCCGGGAGCTGAAGCAGCTCAAGGTGTTGTCCCTCCGGAGCAACGCCGGGAAGGTGCCAGCCAGTGTGACCGACGTTGCTGGCCACCTGCAGAGGCTCAGCCTGCACAACGATGGGGCCCGTCTGGTTGCCCTGAACAGCCTCAAGAAGCTGGCGGCATTGCGGGAGCTGGAGCTGGTGGCCTGCGGGCTGGAGCGCATCCCCCATGCAGTGTTCAGCCTGGGTGCGCTGCAGGAACTTGACCTCAAGGACAACCACCTGCGCTCCATCGAGGAAATCCTCAGCTTCCAGCACTGCCGGAAGCTGGTCACGCTCAGGCTGTGGCACAACCAGATCGCCTACGTCCCTGAGCACGTGCGGAAGCTCAGGAGCCTGGAGCAGCTCTACCTCAGCTACAACAAGCTGGAGACCCTGCCCTCCCAGCTCGGCCTGTGCTCAGGCCTCCGTCTGCTGGATGTGTCCCACAATGGGCTACACTCCCTGCCACCCGAGGTGGGCCTCCTGCAGAACCTACAGCACCTGGCCCTCTCCTACAATGCCCTGGAGGCCCTGCCCGAAGAGCTCTTCTTCTGCCGCAAGCTGCGGACGTTGCTTCTGGGCGACAACCAGCTGAGCCAGCTCTCGCCCCACGTGGGTGCCCTCAGAGCCCTCAGCCGCCTGGAGCTCAAAGGCAACCGCTTAGAGGCGCTGCCAGAAGAACTTGGCAACTGTGGGGGGCTCAAGAAGGCGGGGCTCCTGGTGGAAGACACGCTTTACCAGGGTCTGCCGGCAGAAGTGCGGGACAAGATGGAGGAGGAATGAAGCTGGGGTGGGGCCGTTTTAGGTAGAGCCTTAAAAATGCTTCTGCCCTGGAATCTCAACCATTGTCTTCCAAGATAGGAAGCCAAGTGGGTCCAGGCCAGGAGATGGGGGGGGCGGGGGCAGCTGTGTCATCTTTCTGGGGCCCAGGAGGATCTGGGCTGGTTTGTCTGGGGAGACAGACAGGATGTTGTGGAGCTGGGGTGGAACCTGGTATGGAGGGATTAACTCAGTCATGGCATTCTCCGACCAAAACCACACCTGTGTCTCTGGCAGGCTGGCTGGCCTTGCTCCCATCCCTAGAACTGCTGCCTCTCCCTGGATATTCCAGCTCAATTAGTGCCACATATGGGGGAAACGACACATCCCAGTGGGATTTCCAACACTCCCCCTCCCCATGCAACAAAGCAACTTACTTCTGGAGTTCTCTCCCAAGGAGAGGACACAGACACAGTTGTTTGCTGTGTTATATGTTAGCTCCGAACAATGGTTCTCATTTGGCTAAGCATCAAAATCACCTAGGGAGTCGGTGCAAAACAAAATATCCCAGTCCCCTCCCCTGAAACACTGACTCAGGAGGTTTGGTTGGGGGCCAGGAGTCTGTTCCTAAATATTCCAGGTAGTTCTGGTGCAGGTAAGTGGCCCTGAGACAGTATGTTGGGAAATGCTGACGTAAAGGTATCAGGGCCGGGCGCTGTGGCTCATGACTATAATCCCAGCTGTTTGAGAGGCCAATGCAGGAGGATGGTTGAGCTCAGGAGTTCGAGATCAGCCTGGGTAACATAGCGAGACCCCACCTCTGCCAAAAAAAAAAAAAATAGGGTATCCAAATATCTAGATTCTGATCCCTTTTGAGGTCCTAGACCCTTTGAGAAACTGATGAAGCCAGGCACCTCCTTCCTCAGGAAAATGCTGGTGTACAAATACACACAAAGCTCTTCAGGCAGCTGATAGATTTCCCCCAGAGAGCTATTCAAGGACTTCCTAAGGTGGGTGGACTGCAGGGTTAGGACACCTGCTATAGAGGTGACATTTTTCCAAGGACAAGCAGGGACTTTGGTCTTGACTGTTCTCTGGGTGCTTAATAAATAATACTAATTATGCAAGTTCTAGTTTTGATCTCTTATGTGCACTCCTGTCATTGTCTAACACCGTCCATTAGGGCCAGACATAGTGGCTCATGCTTGTAATCCCAGCGCTTTGGGAGGCTCAGGTGGGAGGATCGCTTGAGCTCAAGAGCTTGAGACCAAACTGGGCAACATAGTGAGATCTCATCTCTACAAAAACATACAAAAAAAAGTTGGCCAGGTGTGCTGATGTGTGCCTGAGGTCCCAGCTACTAGGCAAGCAGAGGCAGGAGGATTGCTTGAGCCCAGGACCCAGGAGGTTGAGGCTGCAGTGAGCTGTGATCACACCACTCCACTCCAGCCTGAGCAACAGAACAAGACCCTGTTTTTCTTTCTTTTTTTTTTTTTTGAGACGGAGTCTGGCTCTGTCACCCAGGCTGGAGTGCAGTGGCGCAATCTTGGCTCACTGCAACCTCCGCCTCCTGGGTTCAAGCAATTCTCTGCCTCAGCCTCCCAAGTAGCTGGAATTACAGGCGCCTGCCACCATGCCCGGCTAATTTTCGTATTTCTAGTAGACACGGGGTTTCACCATCTTGGCCAGGCTGGTCCTCTCCTGACTTCGTGATCCATCCGCCTCGGCCTCCCAAAGTGCTGGGATTACAGGCGTGAACCACCATGCCCGTAACCTTTTATTTCATGTGACCAAGTAACACCCGTGTGCCAGAATCAAGGATGAGTCTCATGTTCTCAGAGCAGAGGCACAGAAGGCTGCCTGGAAGACGGAAAGGTAAAGACCTCAGCTATAACTCTACACTTGTGTGTGCTCCACCCACAAATCGTCACCAGAGGAGTTCCGACAAGCCGGTAACTCTCATCCCAAAGTGTTCCCTCGTTGGACCAGAAGCTGGAAGGGCACTTGGCAGAGTCTGCCTGGCCCTGGCCACCTCCCGGGTGTCCGCAAAATCAGAACTTCCTTCTCGCATCTAAGAGCAGAGGGAAGCCGCTCTTGGGGGGATCCCTGGGTTCCAGATGGGACATTTCCCCAGCACCCGTCGGACCACTTAAAGGAGTGGTTTAGGCTGCCGGGGGCCCAAGCACTGGCACCTAACCCCAGCGCCCCTCCTCAGATAGGAATTCTCCACGTCCAGGCGCTGGGCTCACGTTCCGGGTGCGAGAGAGATAAGGGGGGTGTCTTGAGGTTCTATGTGGGTCTGGCCAACAACTCTGGCCTTGACCTTGGCCCCGTCGCCGAGGGCAGGGGTCACACCGCTGGGTTCCCATGGCCGTCCCCTCCCCCCTGGCTTCGGCCAACTCTGAGCCTGCTGGGGCTGGCAAGAAGGGAAAGGGCTCTCGACGGAGCCTAATTACGGTGAGGAGGCGGCACCCCGCTGCCAGCAGGAGGCTAGGAGGTAATTAAGCACAAGAGGAATCCTAATAAAGCACCATCAGTGAGGAAGGCATTCCGAAGGGACGCCCAAGCCGACCGTGAAAAGCGAGGAGGCTGAGGCTGCACCGCCGTGGAGACCAGGGATCGACTGCCGCTTTGGGAACGAGGTTCCAGGAATGCGCATGCGCAAAAGCCACGCGGGCGAACACGGCTTCGCCTCGCTAAGCATGCGCGCCGTTTTCCCCGCCCACCGTCCTCAGAAGAATGGTGTTTCCTCGCAGCGCCTCTCTCAGGAGCGATCGGGAATTGGCGCATGCGCACTACGGTGGTGGTGGCGACGAAGGCGGGGGTTGCACGTTGCCTGCCTCGAGCTCTAGGTGGCGTCATCCTTCGGGCTGAGCCGAAGCACGCACGCGCGGAGGTTCGCACGCGGAGAAGGGCGGGTGCGCGCCGCGGGCATGCGCGGTGCGGGGCGAGACGGCGGCTCGACGGGGTCATCCGGGCGCAGGCGCAGTGCGGTGTTTGTCTGCCGGACTGACGGGCGGCCGGGCGGTGCGCGGCGGCGGTGGCGGCGGGGAAGATGGCGGCGTCCTCCCTGGAACAGAAGCTGTCCCGCCTGGAAGCAAAGCTGAAGCAGGAGAACCGGGAGGCCCGGCGGAGGATCGACCTCAACCTGGATATCAGCCCCCAGCGGCCCAGGCCCAGTAAGCACGGCGGCGTGGGGGAGGGGGCGGGCGGGCGGGGCGGGGCGCGCGCCGCGGGAGGCCCCGCCCCCACCACAAGGCCCCGCCCCCGCTTCCGGGGCGCTCGCTCTCCTCTCCGCCCCCCCCGCTGCGGGCTCGCGGGGCGAGGGTCACGGTGACCCGGGGGGCGTGGAGCCGGCGAGCTCCGGGGGGTTCGCACCCTCAGGGCTTGGGAGCCCAGTTCCCGGACCCAGGCGAGGCCCCCAGCTGATGACCCGCCCCCATCGCCGTGATCCTCTGGGTCGGGCTTCCCCGACTCCACGCGACAGTGACCACATCCAGGTCGCCCCGAAAACACAGACACGTCCCTGTTGACCTGATGCTACCACTCTCGTCATCTCAGGGACTGTCTGGCGCCCCCCTCCCCCGGCCTGGGGGCTTGTCAGCCCCGTGCAGCGACGATCTACGCACACGCGCACGCCTGGCTCGGGGACACCTGAGGTTACTTGACCACATAGAGCCCCTCCCCATCTCTTCTGACCCGAGGATTCTCCCTCTCGCTCTCCCTGTGACCGTGTCTGAGGTGGGGGGACGGGAGGGGGTCCCTTCTCCCCCTCTTGGCGACAGTGACCATGGCATTGGGCTCAGCAGACCCCCTCCCACATACACCAGGCCCCGCAAATCCCTGTGACCAGTTTCACTGCCACCATCTTGGTGAGCGTGTGGTGTCTGACCTCCAGAAATGCACATCGACCCCCAGCCAGCCCGGTGACTTTGTCACCTGTGTTCAAGTGATGGCTCCCCTTCCCTTCACACCCACACCCACCTGACCTGGGGACACCTGGGGCCAGTGTGACTCTAGGCCTGCTCCCGCCGCGCCCCAGCATACATCCACCTGCTTTCTGATCAGTCCCACCACCTCGGTACCTACCTCCCTGACACCTTGTCATCCTAGATCAGTACCTCTCGCTTCACACACACCTGGCCTGGGAACACTGACCATATCTAGTCTCCCGGCTTTTTCCCCAAGATCCTGGTCTCTAAATCCTCTGGGCTGGAGGAAATTAGATTTTCAAACCCTGTGAACACCACCCCTGACCCATGATCCTTTTTGTGTCTTTCTTGACCCAGTAAAATTCTCTCTTGTCTCCTCTGATGTGACCTTCGTAGTTTATTTAGTTCTCTCTATGGAGTCATTATGGCAGGCGAGAAAGGTACCCCCGTATCTGGGCACCCCACCCATTCCCTGGTCACCCAGCCTGACCTTCACAGCCTGACACCCTCCTGTCCCTCCCTCTCCTGACCTGAGTCAGCGTGGGTTCCTCCTTGGGGAGTCTCTTGGGGGTCCAGAGAAATCATGGAGGTGGGGATTCTGGTGCAGGACACTGCCTGAGACAAGAAGCCCAGCCAAGACACGGGTCCCTGCTAGCCCCTGGGGGCCGCCCTCCCTGGCCCCTGAGTGGATGAGACAGGGTTGAGTCCAGGATCCCGGGTGCCTTCAGGGGTGGCCGTTCCCATGCAGAGCTAGGAGGCCGGTGGCAGGCAGGCCCCCGAGGAGTCCCCTCCAGGCGTCTCTGTCTGTGTCAACTCCATCCCATCCTCCCCGCCCTCCCCATCTCTGTCGGTTCCTAGCCATCTCTGCAGTTCGGTGCCTCCCCCTCCTCCTCGTTTATGATTTGATTTCTTTTCTTTTGGACGAATCAGTCGTTTCTGTTGTGATTTATCGTGGTGTTGTTTTTTTCTTCCTTTTCCCCATCCAGTTATTGTGATCACTCTAAGCCCTGCTCCTGCCCCGTCCCAACGAGCAGGTACCAGCCTTTTTATCATCGCTGCTTGGACATCTGCACCATTGACCTAACCGCTGCCCCGGCCGCAGAATGGCGTCCCCCAGCCCCCATGCTCTGTGTGTGTCCCCATGTCCCTTCCCCTCACTCTCACTTTCTCTCTCACTCCACTCAAGCAGCGGTCAGCCCAGCCCAGCCTCCTCTGCGTCCTCCCTCCTCCTCCCCCTCCCTTACTCCCAGCTCCACTTTGGACTCCCTGGAGGAGGAGGTGGGCTCCCCCACTGAATGGGAGTCTGTGGCCTCCGGGGGTGGGGGGGGTGCACGCCTGTGTGTGTGTAACTGAGAGAACGAGAAAGTTGGGCCTGGTGGGTGGGTGGCCTGTGCCTATGGATCTCTCTCAACAACTAGGTGAACACATAGCACCCCCCGGGTTCCATACCAGCCCTGGGCGCCAGGGACACAGCAGTGAATAGAACAGATGGAGCCCCTCTCCTCTGTAGCGGGGGGCTGCAATAGGGGGGCCCACTGGACAAGGAGCACATTCCCACCAGAGAGAACATTCTAGCTGGGTGAGCGGCCCTGCAGGGGGCCAGCCTGGGGGAACCTCTGGAGACGGTGGGAATTGAACAAAGCCTCTGGGGAGGCCAGGCACGGTGGCTCACACCTGTGATCCCAACACTCGGGGAGGTTGAGGCTACAGGGAGCCATGATCACACCACTGCACCCCAGCCTGGGTGACAGCGAGATCCTGTCTCAAAAATTTAAAAACTGGGCCAGGCGCAGTGGCTCATGCCTGTAATTTCAGTACTTTGGGAGGCCAAGGAGGGTGGATCACTTGAGGTCAGGAGTTCGAGACCAGCCTGGCCAACATGGTGAAACCCTGTCTGCATTAAAAATACTAGAGATTAGGCCAGGCACAGTGACTCACACCTGTAATTCCAGCACTTTGGGAGACCGAGGCGGGTGGCTCACCTGAGGTCGGGAGTTCGAGACCACCCTGACCAACATAGAGAAACCCCGTCTCCACTAAAAATACAAAATTAGCCGGGCATGGTGGCACATACCTGTAATCCCAGCTACTCGGGAGGCTGTAATCCTAGCTACTCGGGAGGCTGAGGCAGGAGAACCGCTTGAACCCGGGAGGCGGAGATTGCAGTGAGCTGAGATCGCACCATTGCACTTCAGCCTGGGCAACAAGAGCAAAACTCCATCTCAAAAAAAAAAAAAACATAAAAGATTAGGTGGAGGTTGCAGTGAGCTGAGATCGCGCCACTGCATTCCAGCCTGGGCAACAGAGCAAGACTCCGTCTCAAAAAAAAAAAAAATTTAAAAAGCGTCTTGAAGGAGTTGGGGGGGGAGAGAAGACAGGGCCGCCAGGGCTCTGAGCGCAGCGCCAGCCTGTGTGGGGCATGCAGGCTGTGCCCCACGCCTGTGTTGGGAGAGAGAGTAGATGGGGTGCCTGGCCCTGTGAGTGGTTGTGAGTATGTGTGTCCGAGGGCAAGGGGGACTCTGTCCCGGCTGCATGGGTGTTAGGTCCACGGCATGCCCCGGGTGTGTGTTGTGCGTGCGTGCACTTGCACGGCATGTGCGTGCATGTTGACATGGCAGCCGGTGCACCTGTGGCTCCTGTCGGCAGACACGTGCCCTCCAGCCTCTCGCTCTCTCTCATCCGTTCTCTTTCTCATCCTCACCCTCTTGCTCTCACTCCACCCTCCTGAGCTGCCATGTGGCCATCACCACCTCTGTGGCCTCTGTTCTCAGGGCCTTTGTGTACCTCCTTCCCCCAGTGCCTACCTGAACCCTCCCTTCCATCCCCCCATGCTCCAGTCTGTGGTCCGGCAGCCTCCTCCCCAGGCTCCGGGGCCACCCTCGGAAGGCCTGGTGGGCTCTGTCAGGGAAGGGGCCCACAGGACTCCTCGAGGGCTGTGGTCGTCAACCGCTGAGTGCAGGGTGTGAGCGGGACTCGGATACTCTCTGAGGGCGGGAACTAGGCAGTGTCTCAAGAGATGCCAGGTGCACAGGGGTTGGGGGCTGGGTTGGGGGGAGCACAGGCCCTCGGGAGCCAGAAGGGGACTGGGGCTGTGGCTCAGGCCATGGACAGAGCAGAGGCGCAGGGACCTGAAGAAGCAGAGGGAGAAGCCTGGCCAACATAGCGAGACCCCATCTCTACTCAAAAGACAAAAATTAGCTGGGTGTGGTGGCGTGTACCTATAATCCCAGCTACTCAGGAGGCTGAGGCAGGAGAATCACTTGAACCTGGGAGGGGGATGTTGCAGTGAGTTGAGATCACGCCACTGCACTCCAGCCTGGGTGACAGAGCGAGAACCTATCTCAAAAAAAAAAAAAAACAGTGGGAGGTGACGTGGTGCTGCAGAGGCGGCAGTGGCCAGGACAGCGGGAGGGGCACGGGAGGTGAGGCCTCTAGGCCAGTCATGAACGCTGGGCCTGGCTGTGTCCCAAGGTCCCCAGAGCCCTTCCCCTGCTCCTGCCTGGTCCTCCAGGAGGGGAGCTAGGGGGCACAGCTCCTGCAGGGGCTGGCAGGACCAGATAGGGGCAATGCTGGGCCTCCTGCATTGGGACTGAGGCGTCTTCCTGCCCCTCCTACTGGCTGAGATCAGGGTCCTGGGCACACGGGAGGGACGGGGTTTAGCTGCCAGCATGGAGCGGGTTTGTCTGTTCATATTAGTCCCTGGGCACCAGTCACCAGGAGCCTGCAGAACTGTGGGGAGAAAAGGTGGACGAGGCAGGAGGAAAAGAGGGGAGAGGGGCTTGTTGGCTGAGGGCTTTGGAGAGCGGCAGGCCCCAGCTCCTGTGGGAGGGGCACCTTGGTAGGTGTGTGTAGCCGTTGTCAGGGCCTCTAGGATGTGACGTGTCAGGATTGGCTCCTCTGGAGGCCACGTTAGCATCCCGGCCTCTGTTCCTGCACCCTGTTGCCAGCCCAGCCAGGGAGACCCTAGCTCCTCCGGGAAGCTGCCCTCCTGTCCCAGGCCCCTCTCTGGCCTGTCTCTGCAGCGCCTCCTCTGGGCACCTGGGCCCTAGTCTTGGTTCCTGTCTGTCTGTCTGTCTCCTGCCCTCCCACCCCTAATGCCGCCTGCCCACCCCAGGGTGCCTGCTGCCTGCCCGCCGCCTGCCCACCCGCTGTAGCATGCCCGAGCTGCCCGCATGCAGGCTGCTGGATGAGCCAACCCCCGCCTGGCCCAGCATTGGCCCCACCTGGTCCCGCCAGCCCCTGCAGGAGCTGTGCCCCCGAGCTCTCCTCCCAGAGGATGCAGGCCCCCTGAGGTCCTGTCCTGCCCCCATGGGCCCCAGCTCTGCAGGCCAGGCCAGGAGGCCCTCATGTCAGCCCACTGGCCCGAGGGGGGCCCTCCCTGACCCCGGAACAGAAGATAGGGCAAGGCAGCCTGAAGCCTGGGTCTCGTGCCCGCTGCCTCCCCAGCGTGGCCCTGCTCGCTCTTGTCTGGGAGCCAACTTCAGTGCTACCAGCAGAGCCACAGCCTGGGCCAGCCCTGGCAGGCACTCCGCCCTGGCCTATCCATCCTGTGGGTGCTGTGGCCCTGGGCCTGCTTCCTGGGCAGAAGTGGGAGGAAGTGCACACACCTGTCAGGGAGGCCCCCTGGCCGAGGGACACCTCAGGTCCCCATCTCGTTTCTCCGTCAGCGTAGACTTGGGGCTCCCTCTCCCCTGCTAGCCTCCTCCATCTCTTTCCAGGTCAGGGGATGAGACAAGGGACCCTGAGAACAGTCTGGGGTGGGAGGGAGACCCCAGCTCCTCCAGCCCAGCAGGGCAGGGGGCTGTGCCAGCCTAGCTCGGGAAACCCAGGAGGGGAAGGTGAGGGTCCCGACCCCTCCCTGGAGTGCCAGATGTGGAGCTGACACCAGCTGGGCGCTGACCCCCCTCCCTGCCACTGGTTCTCACCCCCCTAGCCCTGCAGCTCCCGCTGGCCAACGATGGGGGCAGCCGCTCGCCATCCTCAGAGAGCTCCCCGCAGCACCCCACGCCCCCCGCCCGGCCCCGCCACATGCTGGGGCTCCCGTCAACCCTGTTCACACCCCGCAGCATGGAGAGGTGAGCCAGGGGCCCAGCAGGGTTGGGTGGGAAGCAGCATTGAGGGGCCACCGTGCCAGCCCTGGGAGGAGGGTGGTTAAACCGGTGGGAACCCCGGTATGGGGGACTGGGGTGGCCAACCTAAGGTCAGGACCCACCTCCACCGGCACCTGCTCCATGTCCCCAGCATTGAGATTGACCAGAAGCTGCAGGAGATCATGAAGCAGACGGGCTACCTGACCATCGGGGGCCAGGTACCACCTTCACTGTGGCGGGGAGAGGGAGGAGGCCCAGCCAGGCTGGACCCATCCTGGGAGCGCCAGTGGGGGGCAGGGGGCGGTGGCAGAGGCCCCAGGGACCCTCCAACCCTCCCTCTCCTCCCAGCGCTACCAGGCAGAAATCAACGACCTGGAGAACTTGGGCGAGATGGGCAGCGGCACCTGCGGCCAGGTGTGGAAGATGCGCTTCCGGAAGACCGGCCACGTCATTGCCGTTAAGGTGAGCCTTGGCGGCTACCCCGGCTGCGCCCCACACCCCAGGCCGGTGCTGAGGCTCCCTCCTGTCCCTGCCTGTGCAGCAAATGCGGCGCTCCGGGAACAAGGAGGAGAACAAGCGCATCCTCATGGACCTGGATGTGGTGCTGAAGAGCCACGACTGCCCCTACATCGTGCAGTGCTTTGGGACGTTCATCACCAACGTGAGTACCTGGCCGCGCCCTGCAGCGTCTCCTCCTCCCTCACCCCTGCCCCTTCCTAGGGAGCAGAGCCTCTGGGGGGTGGGCCGGAAGACACAGCTCCCCCGGGTGCCCCTCTCCCTGCAGACGGACGTCTTCATCGCCATGGAGCTCATGGGCACCTGCGCTGAGAAGCTCAAGAAGCGGATGCAGGGCCCCATCCCCGAGCGCATTCTGGGCAAGATGACAGTGGCGGTGAGTGACCAGGCGGGGCTTGCACTGGGCAGGATGACAGAGGCGGTGAGTGACCAGGCGGGGCGTGCACTGGGCAAGATGACAGTGGCGGTGAGTGGCCAGGTGGGGCGTGCACCGGGCAGGTGGCCTTGGGTCTGTGCCCCCTGCCACATGCACCCCCCTCTGCGTGCCTGCAGATTGTGAAGGCGCTGTACTACCTGAAGGAGAAGCACGGTGTCATCCACCGCGACGTCAAGCCCTCCAACATCCTGCTGGACGAGCGGGGCCAGATCAAGCTCTGCGACTTCGGCATCAGCGGCCGCCTGGTGGACTCCAAAGCCAAGACGCGGAGCGCCGGCTGTGCCGCCTACATGGCAGTGAGTGGGGGCCCCCCAGCGGGGGAGGGGGTGGGGGCTGGGAGGCCGGCCCCAGCCTTGGAGATACGTCTTCTCCTCCCCCCCCTGCAGCCCGAGCGCATTGACCCCCCAGACCCCACCAAGCCGGACTATGACATCCGGGCCGACGTATGGAGCCTGGGCATCTCGTTGGTGAGTTGGGGCCCTCCCCTGTTCTCCAGCCAGGAGTGAGGGCTTCTGGGGGACTCGGAGGGAGGAGAACATAAACCTGTCCAGCCCTGCCCGTCTCCCTCCCAGGTGGAGCTGGCAACAGGACAGTTTCCCTACAAGAACTGCAAGACGGACTTTGAGGTCCTCACCAAAGTCCTACAGGAAGAGCCCCCGCTTCTGCCCGGACACATGGGCTTCTCGGGGGACTTCCAGTCCTTCGTCAAAGACTGGTGAGAACCTCCCTCCACTTGGGAGGTCAGGGACAGCCCGCTGCTCTGGGCAGCTGGGGAGGCAATGGCAGGAGGGGAATGGAGGCCGCACCCTGGGATGGGCGGATGCGACTGTGGGCGGGCTCCTGGCTGGCGGCTGCCACAGGAGCTGGAGCTGGTGCCCAGGGAGCCATGAGCTGGGTTTGGACCTAGCCTGAGGGGACAGCCAGCCCTGTGGCATTTGGCGGGGTGGCTGTTGGAGATTGTGAGCACGCTTCTGCAACAAGCACAGCTACAAGTTCAGGAGGGCCATGTTCGATTCTCTCAGGGGAGCCCCACCCACCTTTCTGGGGGACCTCAGCCAGCTCTGGCCCCCCAAGCCAGGCCCTTGCCACCTGGCCCTAGGCCAGGAGGCTCCGGGACTCACAGTTGCTCCCCGCTGTCAGCCGGGGTCCTGAGGACATCCACAGCTCCTTCCCCCACACACATCTTGGGGACCCCTGGCCCCTTGGGGAGGGCCTGAGCACAGGGGTGGGGCCGGCATCCCCTCCTCCCTCGTTCTCACATCTGTCTTCCCTTCTCTTGCTCTAGCCTTACTAAAGATCACAGGAAGAGACCAAAGTATAATAAGCTACTTGTGAGTACCTGAGCCCTCCCAGTCCCCGTCCTGTCCCTGCGGAGGCGCGAGGCCAGGAGGGAAGACCGTCTCCTCCTAAGCCCCACCCCCTCGGGCCCACAGGAACACAGCTTCATCAAGCGCTACGAGACGCTGGAGGTGGACGTGGCGTCCTGGTTCAAGGATGTCATGGCGAAGACTGAGTCACCGCGGACTAGCGGCGTCCTGAGCCAGCCCCACCTGCCCTTCTTCAGGTAGCTGCTTGGCGGCGGCCAGCCCCACAGGGGGCCAGGGGCATGGCCACAGGCCCCCCTCCCCACTTGGCCACCCAGCTGCCTGCCAGGGGAGACCTGGGACCTGGACGGCCACCTAGGACTGAGGACAGAGAGTGGGGGGTGCCCACCCACCCCCCCCGCCCCGGGCCTACCAAGCCCCCGCCCTTCCCACCCCGGGGTCAGCCGGCCGTGTGCGTCCCCCGACAGACACTGTGAACGGAAGACAGCAGGCCGCGATCAGAGTCGCTGTTCATTCAGCCGCAGCCTCTGGGCCGGGGCGGCCCCCAGGGGCCAGGAGAGAGCCCTGGAGTCCCGCAGCCACCATGCACGCTCCCAGCGTGCTGTGTCCTTCGCCACTCCCACGCGCCCGTTCCTCTTCCGTCGCCCTCTGTCCCCTGCTCTACCTCTCTGTCCTTGTCTGGCTCTCCCGTCACCCTCCCTGCCTCTGTCTCTCTTCTGGCCTGAGCCTGGGCCCAGCCACCTCCTGACGGGTCCCCTGGGTCTGCATAGGTCTCCCATGGCGCAATGAGTCAGTGGCCCCCAGCCAGGCAGTGTGGGCATTGCCACTGCGGCTGGACGGGGCTGCGCGCTCGCGCTCTCTCTCTCTCTCTCTCTCTCTCTTTGATCTCAGGGGGTCCTTTTTGGAGTTTATTGTATTTTATTGTACTTGGTGGGGTGTTTGGGGTGGGGGCGGAGGAGAGCTTGTTCTCGTGGGGTTGTCGGTACCTTCAGAAACTTTTACCAAAGTCACGATTAGCTGCTTGTGGTGGGGCCCCAACCGCCCTCGGGCACTGGGGAGCTGGGCTGGGGCTGCTGCTCTGGGGTCTCCGGGGGCCACAGCTTGGGGTGAGTTGAAGACCTCAGGGGATGTGGAGGGGTCTGCGGGGCCCTGGCCGCACAGGATGGCCTTCAGGGAAGGTGGTCTTGGGGCATGGTGCAGAGCAGGTGACCGGAGGGAATCGGTGACGGAGCGGGGCCAAGGGAGGGGTCCGGAGGGAGTCAGGGATGGAGGGCAGAGGGAGTGGATGTGGGGGTTTGAGGACGTGTGACAAGCTCCAGCAGGGGTGGGGGCCGGGCTGAGGGTGGGGGTGCGAGGTGGTCACTCCCATCGTGCCCCTGGCCGTCCCTCCACTCACCCACACCTGGCCCAGTCCACGTTGAGGTCCAGGACTGGGAAGGACCGGGTGAGTGCACCGGGGACCCAGGCCAGGTGCCCCCCGGAGCCTGCTGGGGTGGCCAGAGCAGGAGGGGGTGTGTTTCCTTTTTGTGGGTGTTGCATGCAAATCAAGTGGACAAGAAAAAATAACAAAACAAAAAACAAGAAAAAAAAAACACAAAACCCCGTAAAATCACAAAGAAAATCCAACACCAAAGGCGCAGAAGCCGGCTGGCCGTGGTGGGGGCAGCGTAGGCGTAGCATCCCTCTCCTCTCACTTAGCCTGTTGACTCTTGTTATTATCATGATATTCACAAAACGCCGCATGTTTAAAAAGTCATAGATGTCATCTTCTCTCTGCCCCCAGGGAGGAAAGCCACCTTCTCTTGCCCCTTGGCCCCTTTGTCAGGGGCCAGGGGTCTGCCGGGTGGGGGTGCCAACAGGCCTGGCCCTTTCCTCCCCTGCATCCAGCCATGGGGGCCTCTGCGATTGCCGGAAGGTTGCATGGCTGGTCCCAGGGCCAGCACAGGCCCGAGGCCGGGCTGCCTGGTTTTATTTTTATTTAACTTTATTTTCTGTTTTATGAGTGTGTGTCCGCCCACCCCCACCCCCTTCAGTGTTAAGTGGGGAGCCCTGGGGGAGTCTCTCCTGCCTCCCAGCCTCTCCCAAGACCTCCCCCCTCGTCACCAGCCATCCCTCTGGACCAGGCAGAGGGCGGACCGGGTGGGCAGGGGCCTGAGGGTGGCTCGGGCCAGCCCACCAGCCAATGGACCCCTCCTCAGGCCGCCAGTGTCGCCCTGCCCCTTTTTAAAACAAAATGCCCTCGTTTGTAAACCCTTAGACGCTTGAGAATAAACCCCTTCCTTTTCTTCCACCGAGTCTGTGGTGTGTCATGGGCCTGGCAGGGCGAGGTGGGAAGGGGGTGGTTGCGGGGGGAGGTTTCTGCATTGAGGGGAGACTGAGGCAGGTTTGGGAGCTAGACGGGAGGTGTTTGTAGTGACTTGCCGATGGGTATCAAGCAGCTGGTGTAAGGGACCCCCTGCCCCCAGTGGCCACAGGTCGGGCAGCAGAGGATCCCTTAATCCCCTCAGGCCTTGGGCATTGGCTCTGGTGTCAGCCCCTCAGTCTGCCACCCCCGCTCCCTGCCTCCCTCCTTGCCAAGGACAGGGCCGCCTGCCCACGTGCGGGACCTGGGTGCAGCCCAGCTGGTGTCTGCTCTGGCCCCAAACACTCCGACCTCAGCTGGTCCAGCATGCTGGGCACCGTGCTGCTGCTGGCCCTGCTCCCAGGGATCACCACCTTACCCAGCGGGCCACCTGGTATGTATGGGCAGGGAGGTGACGGGTCTGTCATGCTTCTATCCCTGTTTCACCCTCTTTATTTTTTTTGAGATGGAGTCTTGCTCTGCCACGCAGGCTGGAGTGCAGTGGCGCAATCTCCACTCACCGCAACCTCCGCCTCCCCGGTTCAAGTGATTCTCCTGCCTCAGCCTCCTGAGTAGCTGGGACTACAGGCACGCACCACCACGCCTGGCTAATTGTTGTATTTTTAGTAGAGACAGCGTTTCCCCATGTTGGCCAGGCTGGTCTCGAACTCCTGACCTCAGGCGATCCGCCCGCCTCGAACTTTTCAAAGTGCTGGGATTACAGGTGTGAGCCACCGCGCCCCACCGATGTCACTCTCTTTCAACTAGACCTTTGGTGGTGGTCCTCATGGGGGTGGGGACAGGGCAGGGGAGTGGGGTGGGGTCTCTGTCCCCCATCCCAAGGGTGGCTCACATCCCCACTTCGGCAAAGCTCCCTGCAGCCACGGAGAGGGCCAGAGTTGTGGGAGGGGGCCAGTCTACCCAGGTGCTCTTCAGAAGTGGGTGTGGTGTGCGGATGGACAAGGGGGCTCATGCCTGTAATCCCAGCACTTAAGAGAGGCTGAGGTGAGAGGATCGCTTGAAGCCAGGAGTTCCAGACCAGCCTGGGCAACATAGACCCCGTATGGCCGTGGTAGCGAGTGGCTGTGGTCATAGCTACTCGAGAGGCTGAAGCAGGAGGATGGCTGGAGCCCAGGAGGTGGAGGCTGCAGTGAGCTGTATTCGCACCACTGCACTCCAGCCTGGGCGACAGAGGGAGACCCTGTCTCAGAAAACAAGAAAAATGGATGTGCAGGCAATCTTTCGTATTTGGAGATTAGCCGTTTTACCAGGACCCCGCTCAGCACCTGAAGGCAGACATCAGCGTGTGTTTAGGGGCACGAAGAGGGGAGGGGTCCCATGGCTGCCTCAGCCTGGACAAGTGGAAGCGTCTCAGATCTTGGTGGCCTGGCTGGGCTTTGGCTGTGCCCAGGAGAGCCTCTTGGGAGGGTATCCTCTTCACTTCCCTTCCTCGTTGGTGACAGCACCTATCTCCCCTTAGAAAGGGGAGCCGCCTGTCCTGCTGCGTCCCCAAGAGCAGCCCTGGGGAAGGTGGGGGAGCTCTGACTTCACCCAGCCGGACCCCACCATCGGGTGCTCCTCACCGCTTCTCTTCCGCCCCAGGGAGGGCTTCGCCAGCTTCGGAGGCTTCTCTAGGGGCGCATGGCTCTGCAACCGGCTCAGTTGCTGGGCTGTGCGAGTCCCAGGGGTCGCCAGGGGGCACATCACCGTCAGGGGGGAAAGTGGCGCGGAGCCCATCATGGGTGAATCGGCCGCCGCAACCGCATCCCTTTTCCAAAGGCGGCGGCGGGGGCGAGGTGGTCGGGTCACTTTTCCCGGAGGCCTAAAGGGCAGCGCGCGTTTTCTCTCCTTTGGGCCGCCCTTCCCCGCCCCGCCAGCTCCCCCGTTCCCCGCGGCGCCCGGCCCCTGGCTGCGCAGACCCCTCTTCAGCCTGAAGCTGTCCGACACAGAGGACGTCTTTCCTCGCCGCGCGGGGCCGCTCGAGGTCCCGGCCGACAGCCGCGTGTTCGTGCAGGTGGGGACCCCGGGGACACCAGGGGCGGATGGGGGCCGGTGGGGACGGGCGATCCCTGATGGCGCCTCCGTCCCCCAGGCGGCCTTGGCCCGTCCCTCCCCGCGCTGGGGCCTGGCCCTGCACCGCTGCTCAGTGACGCCGTCCTCACGCCCGGCCCCGGGGCCCGCCCTGGCTCTGCTGCGTGAGGGCTGCCCCGCCGACACCTCTGTCGCCTTCCCGCCACCGCCGCCGCCGAGCCCGGGTGCCGCCCGCCCCGCGCGTTTCAGCTTCCGCCTGCGCCCGGTCTTCAACGCCTCGGTGCAGTTCCTGCACTGCCAGCTGAGCCGCTGCCGCCGCCTCCGGGGAGTCCGCCGGGCGCCTGCGCCTCTGACGCCGCCGCCGCCGCCGCCGCCATCGCGGGTGCGCGGGCGCAGAGCCTGGAATCCGGGCGCTGGGGCCCTTCGGGGGCTGGGCACGGGCGACTCTGGCAGTGGAAAGAGGATACTCTCGGGGTCTGAGGATCTGGGGGTTGGGGGAGGTGGGGCGCAAGGGTCCATCTCTGCCGACAGAGTTTCTCCGGGGACAGTGTGGACACTGGGTTCCCCCATGGACAGCTCTGGAATCCTTCAGGGCTGGGGGTTGGATGCAGAAGGCCACTAAGGGGACACATTTCTGGGAACCTGGTGCTGGGCCTCACATGCTAGGTGCTGGGAGACGCGGACCATGCGATCTTGTGGGGCTGGGATTTGGGGTCCTTAGGGGCTGGGCGGCTAGCCACTTGTATGCGTAGGGGCTGGGCTCAGGGCACCCTAAGGGGCCGGATTTCCAGGGGTCCCATCTTGGCTGTGGTGGAGAGCTGGACTCAGGTCTCTCTTGGGGGCCCTGGGGACCAGAGCCACGATCCCGGTGCCCTGATGTCCCCGTCTCTTCCCCACCTTCCTCTCCCCCAGTGTCTGCCTCAGGACGAGGCGTGCGCCGACACTGGCAGTGGCAGCGCCGAGGGCCTGGCTGCTGACGGCCCCCACCTGCACACGCTGACGCAGCCTATCGTGGTCACCGTGCCGCGGCCGCCCCCCAGTGAGCACGCAGTCCTCCTCCGCATGGGGCCGTGGGGCGGCAGAGCGGGTGGGAAGGACGCCTGGGAGCTGGACCCAGTCTCAGCGTGGCACTTCCCACAGGGCCGCCCAAGAGTGTCCCCGGCCGTGCAGTGCGCCCTGAGCCTCCCGCGCCGGCCCCCGCGGCCCTGGAACCCGCGCCGGTGGTGGCGCTGGTGTTGGCAGCCTTCGTGCTGGGCGCCGCGCTGGCCGCCGGGCTGGGTCTCGTCTGTGCGCACTCAGGTACCGACGACCTCCGCCAAGCCGGGCCCCCAGTCTAATCCCGCGCGTCGGGACCCGGGGCGGCCGCGATCCCGCCTGCGGGGCCTGATCAACCCTAGCTAGGCCTGCCTCCGCGATGCCCGCAGCAGCCCCCAGGGGCCGCCCTTAGCCTGGCGTGGCGCGCAGCAGCCCTTCTGCAGCTCGCCTCTCCCTTCCAGCGCCCCACGCCCCTGGCCCGCCCGCGAGAGCCTCGCCCAGCGGTCCCCAGCCCAGGAGGTCCCAGTGAGGAAGGTAGGTATGGAGGTGGAGGGAGCTGGGTGAGGTAGGAGATCTGACAGTGACGCTTCCTAGCGCTTAGTTCGTGCCAGGCACTGTGGTTTTTTTGTTTGTTTGTTTGTTTGTTTGTTTGTTTTTTGAGACGGAGTTTCGCTCTTGTTGCCCAGGCGGGAGTGCAATGGCGCGATCTCGGCTCACCGCAACCTCTGCCTCCCGGGTTCAAGCGATTCTCCTACCTCAGCCTCCTGAGTAGCTGGGATTACAGGCATGCGCCACCACACCCGGCTAATTTTGTATTTTTAGTAGAGACGGGGTTTCTCCATGTTGGTCAGGCTGGTCTCGCACACCCGACCTCAGGTGATCCTACCGCTTCGGTCTCCCAAAGTGCTGAGATTACAGGCGTGAGCCACTGCGCCCAGCCTCCAGGCACTGTTGTAAATGTTTTACGCCTATGAACTAACTTAATCCCCTTAACCTCTAGGCGGACACTATTATAATCCCCATTTTAGAGACGAGAATGATGAGGCATTCTCTGAATTAAGTAACTTGTCAAAAGTCACAATACTGGGTGGAGCTTGGATTCGAACTCAGGCAGTGGGTCACCCGCGGCAGGCGCGGGCTTTGGGTCGAGCCAGGGGCATTAGGTGAGGAGAGGCACTAGGCGAGGAGAACTCAGCATTCGGACCCGGCTCCCACTCTCACCCCGGCATGCAGACCGATGGAAGAGGCTAGTGGTCTGCTGGGAAGGGAGGTGGCCCGCGTAGCGTCCCCTCCCTCGCTGAGCCTCAGCCACCCCTCCCAGGGATGGTGCGCCCCCAACATGGTCCGGAGATACACCCAGCTACCAATTCGGGACCAGGACCAACAGGACCGGACCCGCCTCCCTGGACCTCGGACCTGATGAGGCCACGACCCCTGCGCTTCTCTCCTCCCCCTGTCCCTCCCACCTGTGCTCAAAATAAACCTCTGGACTGACCGGCTAAGTTCTGGTGCAGTCAGTGAGCGCGCAACGTGCGGGGTGGGGGATAGGTGGGGAGGCTTGGGGAGAAAGCTGGGAGCAGGACTTGGGGGGTATTCCTGAGAAATCGTGACTTACAGGGGTGGAGCCTGGGGACGGGGCCCATATGCCCATATACCCGTGTGCACTCCCAGGCCATGGGAGACTGTAGGGCGTTTTGTCTCAAACAGAAAGCGACACCCGGCCGGGCGCGGTGGCTCCCGCCTGTAATCCCAGCACATTGGGAGGCCGAGGTGGGTGGATCACTTGAGGTCAGGAGTTCCAGACCAGCGTGGCCGACATGGTGAAACCCCGTCCCTACTAAAAAAAGTAACAAAAAAAGAATTAGCAGGGCGTAGTGGCGCGTGCTTATAATCCCAGCTGCTGGGGAGGCTGAGGCAGGAGAATCGCTTGAACCCAGGAGGCAGAGGTTGCAGTGAGCCGAGATCGCGCCATTGCACTGCAGCCTGGGCAACAAGAGCAAAAATCTGTCTAAAAAAAAAAAAAAAGCGGCACCCAACCCCACAAGCGTAAGTTTAAAATAAACCTTCCCCCTCCCTCCTCTCCTTACCCGGACACCTGCCCATCTGCCTCCTGCGATCTTTCTCAAGCCAGGCCTTCTCCGCTCTCCATTACCCCCGCCCGGACCCTGCCCTAGCTCCGCTTCGACCTTCTGCCTCTGCTCCAGTTCCCTCCTGGTCTGGACTTCGCCCTCCTCTTAGATTGTCAGTCTAGTCTAGAGCTCCTTAAATCCCTCCTGCCCGAGCTCCACTCTACCTTACACAGACAAGAGTGGGACTATCAGCCCCAGTCTACAGAGGAGGAAACTGAGGCTCGGCAAGGCTAAATCACTTGCCCAAAGTCCCCAGGCCTGTCTGACCCCAGAGCCCAGGCTCTTGACCGACTGGATCTTCGGACTTGACCTTTCGGCCAGAACCCACCCCTCTGCGAGAAGCAAAGCACACAGTAGTAGCTTCATGAGTTAGTCCAGCAACAGAGGGAGGGCATGGGATCCAAGGTGTCGTCTCCACTTCATGAATGAGATAAAGTGCAGGCTGAGGGTCTCCTTCGCCCCGCCCCAGTTCCGGTGCCGATCTCCCCTTCACTTCCATTGGGGCGGTTCCCCGGGCCTCCAAACGCGAAGCCACGCCCCCACGCGCGTCCGCCTCCGCGCGGTTCTTTCTGACCTCGGCGGCCCCCGTAGCTCCGCCCATCGGAGAAGCGACCTTACAGCGCCTGCCTCTTTCTGAGCGGCATGAAGCCACCTCCCAGGCGGCGAGCGGCCCCGGCGCGCTATCTGGGCGAGGTGACCGGTCCCGCGACCTGGAGCGCTCGCGAGAAGCGGCAGCTAGTGCGACTCCTGCAGGCGCGGCAGGGCCAGCCGGAGCCGGACGCCACCGAGCTGGCCCGGGAGCTGCGGGGCCGGAGCGAGGCTGAGGTGAGATGCGGTTCTCGGGACCGGAGCCAGGCTGGAGGCGGGGCTGGGGTGGGGCGGAGAGTGGGCGGGGCTGCGGCAGGAGCCAGCGGGGCGGGGCCAGGAATGTAAGCGAGCGGGGGCGTGGCGTGGGGCTGAGTGGCGGGGCGTTAGTGGGTGAGCCTGGGCGGGGTGAGGGGCGGGGCGTGGACGGGAAGAGAAGACCTAGGGGCGGGGCGAGCTTGGGAGCTAGACGTGGGCGGGGCATAAGTGAAGCGGAGGGGCGGGGCGATGCCGGGGGCGGGGCGTGCGTGCCGCTGAGGTTTGGAGAGTGGGTGGGTGAGTTTGAGGGGCAGGACGAGCCTGGGGGCGGGGCGTGGGCGGGTTAATAGCAAGACTTAAGGGCGGGGCCGTTTTGGGAGTAAGGCGTGGGAGGGGCGTGGGCGGGATGAGGGCAAGCTTTAAAGGCGGGGCGAGCCTCGGGGTAATGCGTGGGTGAGGCGAGGGCTAAACGGGCGGAATGAACTGGGAGTAAGATGCTGCCGAGTCCGGGCGAAAAGCAACGCATGCTGTTGGACAGGATACGAGCTTGAAGTGAGAGGGAATAGAGAAGAGGGGACGAAGAAGGGAGTTGAACGGGGTAGTAGTCAGCATAGGGTTGGGCCCTGGCTGCGTGAAGGAGCCGGAACTGGCCTGGGCCTTACAACTTCCTTAGGTAGCTGGTCACGCTCTGGGTGGGGTAGGGGCCTTGGCAGTCACTGGGACTCCTAACACCGGGCCAGCAGGAGACTAAGGCGCAGTAGCGGGGCCCAGAGCATACAAGGGATTGGGCTTTGGCTTCTCTGCTGCAGCCCTGAGCTCATAGAAGCCTCATTCCGCCGCCTCTTTCCTTTCTAGATCCGGGTCTTCCTCCAGCAGCTCAAGGGCCGCGTAGCCCGGGAGGCCATTCAGAAAGTGCATCCGGGTGGCCTTCAGGGACCAAGGCGCCGGGAGGCACAGCCCCCAGCCCCCATAGAGGTGAGGCAGATGAACAGGGTGAGGCTGTCCAGGGCAGGTCCCTGGTGGGTAGGTGGGAGTTGCGGGGGATAACCTGATTAGGGGATCCCCAGGAGGAGCAGGGCTTGGGGGGCCATTGCAGGCTGATCCCTGGGCTGACCCTGTACCTCTGGCTTCACTCAGGTCTGGACGGATCTGGCTGAGAAGATAACAGGGCCACTGGAAGAAGCCCTGGCAGTGGCTTTCTCGCAGGTACCGCCATTCCCCCAGGCAGGTCAGGGTGTCCCAGAGGACAGGGTCACATGGGCCAAATCATGTGAACCTGGGTCCTGGGCCCTTTTGCCAGCTCTGTGGACTCCGTCAGTCACTGGACACCTCGAGCCTCAGTGTCCCTGGCTCTGAGGCCATCTCTTGTCTGAGGAGCATCTTAGGGTGGCAGGGAGGATGGGGGAATGTGTAGACGGTGAGAAGACTTCCCAGCTCCTCTTCCTCCCTGATTGTTCTGCCTGCCAGGTGCTCACCATCGCGGCCACGGAACCGGTCACCCTCCTGCACTCCAAGCCCCCCAAGCCCACGCAGGCCCGTGGAAAGCCTTTGCTCCTGAGCGCCCCTGGAGGACAGGAAGACCCCGCCCCTGAAATACCTAGCTCTGCCCCTGCTGCACCTAGCTCCGCACCCAGGACTCCTGACCCTGCCCCTGAGAAACCTTCTGAGTCGTCGGCTGGTCCCTCCACTGAAGAAGACTTTGCTGTGGACTTTGAGAAGATCTACAAGTACTTGTCCTCTGTCTCCCGAAGTGGCCGCAGCCCCGAGCTCTCAGCAGCTGGTGAGAAGGGTGAGGGAGGGGGCAGGAGCAGAGGGATCAAGGGTCCCTGGCAGCAGGCAGGGGTGTCCCCTTACCCCTCTCCTCCATCCATCACTAGAGTCCGCTGTGGTCCTCGACCTGCTCATGTCACTTCCAGAGGAGCTGCCACTCCTGCCCTGCACAGCCCTGGTTGAGCATATGACGGAGACGTACCTACGCCTGACAGCCCCCCAGCCCATTCCCGCTGGAGGGAGCCTGGGGCCTGCAGCAGAAGGGGATGGGGCTGGCTCCAAGGCACCAGAGGAGACCCCCCCAGCCACCGAGAAGGCCGAGCACAGCGAACTGAAATCGCCTTGGCAAGCAGCTGGGATCTGTCCCCTGAACCCGTTCCTGGTGCCCCTGGAGCTTCTGGGTCGGGCAGCCACCCCTGCCAGGTGAGGGGCATGGCGGGCAGGAGGCCACACCAGGCCCCCCGCCCTGCCCCTCGGTTCTGCTCGGCTGGCCCTGGCTCTTTCTGAGGATCCCGTCATGGGGGAAGGTCCTTGAGATGATGCTCAGCTGTGGGGCGGGCCTCTAAGATGCCCCATACTTTGGGGGTCTCAGAAATGGAACCCCCGTTGTACAGGGGTTGGGTGGGGGTTGCAGGACTCCACTCACAAGCCTCCTGATGTCAAGGACAGGCGGACAGGGCTGGCCTCCCCCAGTCCCCAAGCCCCACTGTGCCTTGTTGTCTGCTGGGGGGCCATAGCTGGCACTGCCCACCGTAAAGGCCCTCGCACATTTTCCCCCTTCCTGTACACCTCGGGGCCAGCATCCTCACCTTCTTCAACTGACCAGTCGTGGTTACTCCCTGCTGCCAGGTCCTTCCCCTTCCCGGGGGTATTCTGTGACCATGAATAAAGTTATCATTCTCTTTCTCTTTCACCTGTGACTTAAAGATGGAAGTGGGGGCCCTGAAGTGTCAGAGCTTGGGGGTCACAGGGCTGGGGGTGTGTGCCAGGGAGGAGAGCTGCCACCTGACTGGTGTGATGAGGCCTGGGGTGAGGAGCCCCTTGGTGACTGTGAAGCTGACAAGTGTGGATGGGGAGAGCCGGCAGGGCACCTTGGGGACAGGCGTCAGGGATGGGTTTCAGAGTAGGGCAAAATCACATCGCACAGGTGGAGGGGAGAAGGCAGCAGAGAGTGGGGGTGACCCGGTGGAAGGAGTTGAGCCCCAGGCTGGGCGGTTAGAGGAAGATAGATAGGGGTGGGCTGCCCCGAGTGGCAGGAGGCTAGTGGGAGTGGAGTGTCCCCTGGGGTGGCTTTGGGACCTCAAGGATCCCTAGAAGGCGGGGAGGGAGGGGTACTGGAGTCAGGGCTGACCCCAAACCCCTGGGGGTGCTGGGACCCCGCTTGAGGCCCCCTCCATCAGCTTCACCTGCCCTGTGGGTGTGGACCGAGGGTCGGGTCCTAGAGAGGGAAGCAGATGTCCTCCCACGGCACCGCGTCCCACGCCCAGCTAGTAATCCAAGTCGGTAAATTCTCCGTTCTCGGAGCCTGTGCATTCACCCAGCCTGCCTTTTATAGAAACGCTCATTCCTCCCCCCACACACTGCACACGGCTCCCCTGGGGTGCACATCTCTTGGGAGGGCCTTGGAGCACAGCCAGCCCACTCCGTCCGTGGTCACCGCCCCACCGCACCAGACCCACAAACGCTGCCAATGGTGGTGGGCAGGGGGAGGAGGCTTAGGCTGCAGGTACGGTCGGTCGTCGGAGCCTCCCTCCAGGGCTGGCAGAGGGTGCGCCTCCCAGTTCCCCACAGGGCTGAGTCTCTCTCACCACCCCCGGCGCCTCCCCAGATCAACAGAATTGTGTGTGGAGGGGAGGCAGCTGGGGGTTACACATCAGCCCCCCCCCCCAAAGCCGGTGAAAGGTGCTTGTGATCTTGGTGTCTTTGCAGCCCTGGGAAGCTTTAAAAACATGCAAAAGCCAGACCTGGGTTCCACTTCCAGCCCTACCAGACTCTAGCCATGTGACTGTGGGCAAGTCAGTCACTGGAGCTGCCTGGCCCTCGGTCTCCTGGCCTGTAGAATAGGGATGCTAACAGGGCCTGGCTCATTCTCACGATCCCGAAGAGGAGACAGGCTATAAACAGGAGGTGCCAACTCAGCACGCTACTTGGCATGCAGTAAGCGCTCAATAATAGCTTTTATTATCATGTTCGGCTCAGAGGCAGGGAGGAGTGGAACGGCATGGGAGGGCTGCGGGAGGCACGGCAGGGGGGTCAGGGGCAAGTGGCAGGAGGGCGGATGGGGGGCAGCGGTGGGCACCGGGGCAGGGCGCGCTGACCTGTCCTGGGGCCCGGGTTGGGGGCAGAAATGAGCCTGCCCACGCTGTCCCGCCACGGCAGGCGCCACGCATCCTCGACACAGCCGCCATGGCAGGCCTTCGGGCTCCGTCTCCGGGACAGGCGGTGCAGGGCAAATTGGTATGCAGCGTCCGCCCCGTGGGCCCGGGAGAGCCTGCCCCGCAGGGACCAGAGCCCAAGGACGGGCTCAACACTCAGTCAAGGTGGGGTTGACGACGGCCAGACAACAGGGGAGGGAGGAGGGACAAGGGGGTCCCCACTTCCAGGGACGCACAATAGCAGAGCCACTTACACGCTGGGGAGGGGGCGGTGCGGGGGTCCTCCTCCCGCCCGGGATTCAGAGTCGGGGGTGGGGGCCAGCCGGGCGGGTGAGATGCGCAGAGAGGAAGGGACAGGGCGGATAAAGGCACGAGGTGGGGCTCCGGCCAGGCCAGGAAGGGACATGGGAGGGGTCTCGAGGGGGAGGGGCTGGGCTTCTCCCAACTCCCTCCCCCTCTCCCCCGGGCTGGGGGCTCCGGGGCGGGATCCTGAGCGCAGTCCTGGCCCCGCGGCGCCCCCCGCCGGGCCGGCCCTCTGAGACCCCGGCGCAGGGCCGGCTAGGGGGCGCCGCGCCCCTCACACCAACGCGTAGTCGAACTGCCCGCGCTCGAGCGCCTCCTTGTGGTCGGTCCAGGACGAGGCGGGCATGCGGCTGTAGGGGTCGAGCAGGATGCGCACGCAGCGCACCATCAACAGCACCAGCACCACGAGCAGGCAGAGCACGAAGGCGAACACCGTGCGCTGCTCCGCGTCCAGGCCCGCGCCCACCGGGGGCCCCGTCGACGGCGGCAGGGGCTCCGGCGACAGCGTCCACGTCGCGCTCATGGCTCACATCGCCGCGCGCCCTGCGGAGGAGGGGACCCGCCCCGGGCGCCGGGGATGAGGCTGCGCCCTCCCTCCCGCGCCTCCTCCGCTTCGCCCCCTCCTGCCGCCGCCGCCGCCGCCTCCCTTAACGTGCCCGACCCCATCCCCCGCCCGCGCCTCGGTCCCCGGGCTACGCCCATGCCCGGCCCGCCGGATCGCCGCCACCACCACGCGGGGACCCAACTCTGGCCGTGCGCGCAGGTGGGGGCGCTGAGAGCCGGGAAACGGAGCCGCGCCCGGCCTGGGCCGCACACAACAGGTGCGAAAGCGCGGCCGCGGCCCGGGCGCGCGGCGTGGGGACGGTCCCCGCGGCCCCTGCCCCCGCTCCCTTTGTTCTCGGCGGCCTGGGACCCCCTCCCCCACCGCCCCCGCCCCGGCGCGCCCCTCACCCTGGCTTCGACCCGGACGGGGACCGACCGCCCGGCGGCCGCGCTCTCTCAGGGACCCGCGCCGGCTGCGCGTTCGGCCTCTCCCCGGCGGCGGCGGCGGCGGCCCGGGCTCCGGCTCAGCCCACCCCACCCGCCCCTGGAGCGGCGGAGACCGAGGCAGGCAAGCAGCGCGCGAGCCGGGCCGCCGCGGCTGTTCCTATGGCGACGGGGGCGGGGCCGCCGCGGGGGGCGGGGCTGCAGGGGGCGGAGGCTGCGCAGGGAGCGGCGCGCGAGCCAGCGACCCCGCCCGGGCCTGCGGGAGGACGGAACCCCAGCCCCGAGGACCCGCGAGCACCCACGACCTCGCCGGGGAGTGGGCAGCTGCCACTCCCACCTCCCCTGGCACTTCGGGCCCCCCAGCCTGCCCTGTGCCTGCATTCTCCTCCGCGATAGACCCCACTCGAGACTCCCTGTTTGTGGGGGGACCTCAGTGGCCCTAAAACACTCATATGGGCACTCAAGCTCCCCCGGCCCTGGGGACCTCAATTCTCAGAGAGCTCAGGCAGGTCACTGGGATGAGTAAGTCCCCCTAGTTTTGTCTGTCACTGGCCTCGTCTTCCAACTCAGGGTCCAGCCCTGGGCAAGGCGTCCACCCACTGCGGCTGCAGTTCCTCACTCGACCTTGACCGCCTCCCACAGCAGCCGCCTGCTCCCACCCCCACCATCGCCTCGGCCACTCCCGCGCCAGAGAAGACACTTCAGACTCCGTAGCTGCTCTTCTGCAATTCGGTGTTTTATTCTTTCCAAATCTCAGGCTTATGCACAAGATGGAAGAGCACTGTTAAAATTAAAAAATGGACCTAAAGTGGCTTGGCTGACGTGGCTAGCGGGCCACTGAGCCGCGGGTCCCGGGTCCCACCCTGCTGTGGGGGGAGTCCCTGGGCCCTGGGGCCTCTTGGCACTGTGTGACCTGTGTGCACCCCAGGTGACCAGGCGCCGGGACCCCTGCAGGGCAGAGCAACAGGGCAGGGGTTGGCCCTGCGGGGGAGTGTCTCCAGCTGCCGCGCACCCGCAACAGCCCGTTGTCCCCTCCCGGGCCAGCTGGTCTTGCAGCCGTCCTGGCAGAGCTGGGGGCAGAGCCCGCAGTCTTGTTCCCAGAGGTCTGGAGTTGCCGCAGGTGGTGTTGCGGTGCCTCTGTGCCTGATGACCCAGGCCGGGGCTACCTGGCTCCGGCACCACACTCAGAGAATCTGCTCGGTGCTGGAGGCCGAGATGTCCAGGAGCCGCCAGGCCGCGTAGGGGTTGAGCTCGTCCTGGTCTCGGCAGAGCGCCCACACGTACAGCATCCGCAGCACCTTGTCCTGCAGGGTGGGGTGGGAAGGGCACTGTTGAGAGGGTTGAGGTGACCCAGGCAGCTCTGGGGGGGGGCCAGGCTCTGTGGGGCAGGAGCCACCGGCAACTTCCCCAGGGGCTGGGAGCAGAGGCCAGCACAATTGCCTAGACTCAGGAACCACTCAGCCTTGGTAAAAACAGACAGGTCTGCTGGTCTCCGACCTCCCTCAACCCCAAACTCTGGCCCAGAGGTTTCTCCACATCCCCACCCAGTCCCAGAGCTTCAGGGCTCTGAGCTGGGGTCTCTGCCAGGTGGCCACACACAGATCTTGGGGACAGGCGGTGTCATGTGCCTGCCCCATCCCACTCCCTCACTCACCGGGTCACCCTCCACCACCTCGCCTTTGGGGTTCCTGACCACCATCACCAGCTGTGCCTGGAAGGTGATGATCAGCACCGGCCCCTGCTCCATCATCTTGCCCATGGCCAGCTGCAGAGGGGCCGAGAGGGGGGATGTGCCTCAGAGGACAGCCCGGCTGCTCCCCTGGAGGTGAAACCCCTGCGCCTAGGCCCTGCTAGGAGAAGGCTCCAGCACCAGGCCCAGCACCGGTCCCTCCCCGTGGGCCTTGCCTCTCAGGCCAGGACCAGGCCTCCCTCGAGACCCTCCCCTTGGACAAGCCCAAGACCTCTTGGATCAGCCCATGGCCCCCAGCCCCTGGCAAGGCCACCTCCTGGGCCTTGTCTGGGCCATAGTTCCCACCCCCGATGGTGGCCCGGGCCCCCACTGCGAGGTGCTTACGTCGACGTTGTCAATGTCTAGGATGCGAGAATGGAACTGGAGACCCAGTGCCTTGGCCTGCTGGATGGGGTGGGCCAGCTGGCTGTAAGTCTGCAATGAGAGGCCGACACGCCTGCGTGATGCCACCCAGGGTGGGCACCACGCCACACAGAGCTGCTGCCCACACACCCTGGCGCCCAGGTGCCCTGCCGCCAGCCAGCAATGGCAGAGGCCAAGAACCCAGGTCCAAGTGGGGAGGCAGGTGCCACCCACTTACTGGCCCAGATCACACGCTTCCCACTCCTGGGAACAACACTCTATCCAGATGACCCAATGAAAACAGGATTAATCAGCAAAGTGGGTGATTCTCTTGGAACAAAATCCCAAATCTACTCCCAGGGCTAAGCTGGCGGCCCCTTGGCTGATCTTTAATACTTCCATATTCGCCGCACTCTGAATCTTGGCCTGAGATCAAACGCCTCTTCTAGGATCTGTCCTCAGCCTGAGGCTGCCTCTGTCACTGACCAGCCCCCAGTGTCACCCTCAACCCCCTGCGCCTGTGCCAGGCACAGGAAGCAGCCCCCGAGACACGTTTTCGCTGGAGGTTTCTCTGGGCTTGGCATGAAACCATGAGAGAAAAGATGTTCTGATAGCATCTACTTTTTATGGAAATGACTGATCCGCGGAGGGGAGAGAAAAAAAAAACAGAGCCAATCCTACTTGTTCGGTTTCTTAAAGGTGACATTTTAAAAACACTTCTGTGGACGTGGCTGGAACTTCAGCTGTGTTTCCAGGGCACCAGCAGCTCCCTGGCAAAGCGAGTCAGCTGTGGCGTAATGGTCCCAAGGTAAAAACAAAACAAAAAACCAAAAAAAAAAAAAAAAAAAAAAAAATCCACATCGAAACTCATAAATGCCTGCTGGATTAGTCACCATGCAGGGGAGTATTTAAAAAGAAAATCTGACATCTTCTCCTCTGCTTTTTCCAAGTTGTTTATGAGCTGGGTGCAGAATAGAATTAGCCAAGAACGATTCTGGATCGCTTAATACGAAGAAGCCAGGGGAAAGAAACACACAGGTCGGGGAGCGAATAGGGTGAGATGAGGTGGCCTGAGGAGATGAGAGCTGGGAGCCCCACAGGGATGGACTCGGGCAGGGACAGGGAGGCTGCCAGGGATGGGGCAGACAGCTAGACCAGACCCCAGGTACGCGGTGCTGCTGGTGGCCCCCGAACCCCAAGCTTTGACTCTGAGAAGCAGCTGAGGCCTCATCAGGACACAGCTCCTTCCTGGTGTGGGAAGACTATCGATGTTTTGTTTGGATCTATGTTTCAGGATCATGTCGTGAGGACAGCTAGAGGCTCCCAGGGCCTGGGGAGGGGCACCCACTGCCGCAACCCCATCCGTGCCCCATAGGTGGCGGCCCCGGGTCACCGATGAAAGCTCCCCCAACTCTTCCAGGGGCTGTTTGGTTACCAGGGTTACCTCTGTGGGTTCCCTCTGGCCCGGGGCCAGCACTGCCCTGGTTTCTGTGATCACACTTCATTCTCACGACCCGTGGGAGGTGAGCACAGGGACTCTGCTCTGGCCTGGGAAGTGGGATGGGTGACACCTTCAAACCCCACTTGACTCCCAGCCCCCCCCCAGTCATGTGGGAGACCCACACTGTCCCTGACCCCCGGCCCCAGCCTGCACCCCAGGCCACTGCAGCCACCTGAAATAGGGCAGTCGGCCCCCAGACACCTCATTTTACTTCATGGCTGCAACCACCTCTCCTGGGACTCTCCTTCCCTAAATTATTATTTCTTTTTTTTTAAGACAGTCTCGCTCTGTTGCCCAGGCTGGAGTGCAGTGGTGCAATCTCGGCTCACTGCAGCCTCCGCCTCCTGGGTTCTAGCGATTCTCCTGCCTCAGCCTCCCGAGTAGCTGGGATTACAGGCGCCCACCACCAGGCCTGGCTAATTTTTGTATTTTTAGTAGAGACAGGGTTTCACCATGTTGGCCAGACTGGTCTCGAACTCCTGACCTCAGGTGATCCGCCCGCCTCAGCCTCCCAAGGTGCTGGGATGACAGGCGTTAGCCACCGTGCCCGACCTATTTCCTTAGTGACAGTGTCTTGATCTGTCACCCAGGCTGGAGTGCTGTGCTGCGATGACTCACTGCAGCCTTGACCTCGTGAGCTCAAGTGATCCTCCCACCTCAGCCTCCCTAATAGCTGGGACAACAGGTGCCTGCCTCCATGCTTGGCTCTTTTTTTTTTTTTTTTTTTTTTGGAGACAGAATCTTGCTCTGTTGCCCAGGCTGAAGTGCAGTGGCGCGACCTCAGCTCACTGTAACCTCCACCTCCCGGATTTAAGCAATTCTACTGCCTCAGCCTCCCCAGTAGCTGGGATTACAGACATGCACCAGCATGCCTGGCTAACTTTTTATTTTAGTAGAGATGGGGTTTCACCATGTTGCCCAGGCTGGTCTCGAACTCTTGAGCTCAGGCAATCGCCTGCCTTGGCATCCCAAAGTGCTGGGATTACAGGCATGAGCCACCGCACCCTGCCACTTGGCTCATTTTAAATGTTTTTGTAGAGACGGGATCTTGCTATGTTTCCCAGGCTAGTCTTGAATGCTTGGGCTCAAGCAATCTCCCGCCTTGGGCTGCTGGGATTGAAAGCATAGGCCACCGTGCCCAGACCTAACCAAAATTATTTTAAGATTGGAGGGAAAAAAAAGGCCCAGTAAAATTGGCAGCTTTGTGATCTCTCACAGGCCCAGGGGACACCCCCAACCAGCCATCTCTTAGACACCAGCCCAGAGAAGGATTCTCCCTAACAAAGTTTACAGTCTGGGAGCAAAGGACTGGCGGGTGACCCGGTGTCCAGCCTGAGAGCCCAGATGTGTCACATGCTGAGGAATGGAAAGGGGCAGGGGGGGATGTCAGGCTCTCGGAGGGTGAGACGTGAGGATTCCCCCACCGGGAGCCCAGGTCCTGCCTGTTGGGAGCTACCCCAACGGAGCCACCGAAGTGGAACTTCTCCATGGTGATTTTTTAGGCCTTAAAAAAAAAAAAAGAAAAAGAAAGGAAGTACTCACAGCTTCATAGCACCAGTCTTTGAGAATGTCAAGCTCTCCAGAAATCATGGCCTAAAAAGGAAGGGAAAATAAGCACCAGAACGAGAGTGGGCTTTTCAGGCAGCAGGCGAGGTCCTGGGAACATTCTCCAGTGGTGCGGGGTGGGGAGTTTCCTCAGACACCCCCGGCTGCCACCTGTGGGGCGCGGGTGGAGCTGTGGCACTGGGTGTCCCCCCCAGGCCCGTCCCTGCTGGTGTCAGTGCCTGGCTCTGGCCTAGGCACAGGCGGAGGGCGGCCTGCGGGCGACCACCCAGGAGGCACCCCACAGGGGGACCCCCCTGGAACCTGGTGGAGGAAGAGAAAGGTGGCTGGGGACCCAGCTTTCAGCCTGGTCAGGAATCCAAGCCAGGGAGATGAGGACCCAACTCCGGCTCCCGCAGTGAGCCCATGTCCTCTGTCCCCCCAGGGGACCACATTTCGGACTGCAAGGCCCACCATGGGACCGGCTGCCTCCTAACTGCTGGGGGCAGCGAGAGGGAGGGGTGGGCTGCAGGGGGCGTGCCTGGGCTGGGAGCTGCTTCCACAGGATCCTGGAGCCTGGGCCGGATCCGATGAGGGGGAGGGAGGTGCCTGGAGCGGGGAGAAGAGCGGGAAGGAGCCGGATGCTGGTGGTGAAAGCTGTGAGCGGCAGGGGGCGGGTGGCCAGAACACTTGGCACCCATCACCCATCCCGGAAGGCACTGCGGTGCTCAGGCTGCTGTTTTGGGGCATGGCGCCCATCCGCACCACCTCCCAGCCCTGCCCGAAGTGGCGGGAAGGATACGGGAAACTGGAGGAGGAAGAGGACGTTGGGCGGAGGCCGGCGGGGCCAAGGATGGAGAGTCCCATGAAGGGCCTTCCAGAGGCCTGGCCCGACTGGGCCGAAGGTGTCCAGGCTCCTCCTGCATCCTGGGGGCTGCAGAGAGGCAGAGGCAGCAGGGAAGACAAGAGGCCACCAACCTCAGGGAGAGGCTTATAGGGGGCAGGCTGCAGCATGACCTTGAGCAAGATACCCTCATCTATAAGCCCAACAAGGGTCTGGTTGCCAGGGACAGCACCGTGAGGGAACCTCACGGCTGCAGCTCTGGGTCAGACGTGGCCTGGGGCCAGCTCTGATGTCTGAAGACAGACGCCCACTTCTCCCAAGGGGTGAGGGGCTCCAGGCACCTGAGACAATCCCTAGCCTCCAGCAGCTGCTCCCAGCAACCTCAAAGGAACAACAGCCTCAGGCAGGAGGAGTGAGGGAAACAGACCTGGAGGTACCGGAGGTGCCGGTAAGGCCCAGGAAGGGCTTCGGGCACAGCTCATGGGGCAGCTGCAGCCGGGCAGGAGCCCGTGTGCAACCAGCCTCCTCAGAAAACAGCCTCGGCAGCAGAGTTCCCTGGCAGCACCCAGGGTGCCGGCTGCGGCGGGGGAGGTGGTGGAGCCAGGACCTGCCGCCTGGGAGGGGTCCTGGGGGTGTGGCACCCACCTCCAGGACATTGGGGATGATGTCGTTCTCGCACTGTTTCAGAAACCGGTCCTTGTCAAAGGCCGGGTCCACCCGGAGGATCTCCGTGAGCACCTCCGACATCTCTGTCTTGGAGAACAGGCCCCCTGCAGGGAGCAGAGCCGGGAGTTCGGGGGGAAGGCCGGGGACCCCGCCCCACCACCAGCCTGCGAGGTCCAGGGATGACTCACTCACCCAGCAAGTCGGTGACCTTGTCCGTAAGGGCCCGGGATGCCCGGATGAACGCGTTGTCGCTTTCGTCATACTTCATCTTCATCTCGAAGAACCCTGTGGAAGATGGGGTAGGTGCTGGAGAAGGGGCCCCTTCCAGAAACACAACCCTCCCTCACAGCTTCTAGAGGCTCCCTGTGACCCCTGCGGGATCCACCCTGACACGGGTGGGGTCAGGGAGGGGACGGCTGTGGACCTGCATCCTCATCTGTGCTTGGGGACCGCTGCCTGCCCACCTACCTGGCCAGGCGCAGAGGCCCCTCAGCTGCGGCCCTAATGGGGCTGTGTAAGTTATGGGCCGCCACCCCACTGGCTGTTGCTTTCACTACAAAGGAAACACAGGCCTCTAGCAGTCCTCACAGGACAAGGGACAGGGGCCTGCGGCTCGTTTCGGGGCCCTGACTGTGCTTATGAGGGAGCACCTGGCTTCTGGCGGCAGAATCTACAGCCCCACCATCATGTGACCGCAAAGAAGTGACCGGCCCACTCTGACCCCGATCTCCTCCTCTGCAAAACGGGGCTGTCTTGTGCCCAATGCAGGGGGATCACCTTGCGGTCCACCAACTGCCCGGGACACAGTCACCTGCCCTCCAAGACACCTTCACTCACGGTTAAACACCACGTTGTTCTCCTTGAAGTCCTTCCACTGCTGGTACCACTTGGAGTCCTTGTGCAGCACGACCCCCAGGGCCTCCCTGGGGAAGAGGGTGGGCCCTGGGGTGAGCGGCGGCGCCAGGGCCACCCTGTGCCCTCCTGCGGCTGCAGGCAGGGGGCAGTACAGGACAGCAGGCAGCTGAGACCTCAAACCTAGGGGCTCTGAGGACCCCGCCCTCACCTCTCACCCTCAAATTCGAGGGAGCCGGGAACCTTGGGCAGAAGGCAAACTCAAGAAACGGACTCAGGAGGGAACCATTGGTGGGCTCCCGAAATGGACAGCAGTGAAAGCTGCCCAAAATGGGGGCAGCGAGGGCCACGGGCTGGTACCTACTCGTTTGGCTCAAACACTTTCTCCTCCTTGAACTTATCTCCCGCAAACTCCGTTCTCTTCCGGAGTCGCTGGGGCCTCCGGTAGGGCCCGGTCTGTCCCAGGACGCTGTCGTCAATTTCCTTCTTCACGGACTCCACCCCCTGCGAGGGAGGCACAGCGGGGCTGGGGTGGGTGTCTGGGTTCGGCCGCCCCAGGCTGCATGCCCTAGCCCAGGACTGGGCTCACCTGGGAGAGGGCTCTGAAGGCCGCTGTCCTGCCCAGCTTCTCCCCGCCTTTGGATACCGACTCGGCCGACTGCTTGGCCGTCTTGGCTGCTTCCTCCACGCCCTCCTTGATTTTCCGGCCGAGATCACTTTTACTGACTTCGTGAAGGCTCTACTGAGACAGACACAGAGAGGGGGCGTTGGCACCGGCCCTGGCGGCCGGGGGGCGGGGCAGGAGGAATGAATTCCTGCCGGAGAGAAGGGCGGATCTGGTTCCCCGAGGCCGGCAGAGGCCTTCTGTGCTCCTGTGGTACGCGGCACCCCCAGAGCCATGAGCACAACGGCACCCCCAGAGCCACGAGCACACCGCCACCCCCAGAGCCACGAGCACACCGGCACCCCCAGAGCCATGAGCACACCGGCACCCCCAGAGCCATGAGCACACCGCCACGGCTTCCGGGATGCTGGCCCTGGGCTCTGGGTGAGACGCTGGGTCTGCTGGCCCCTTTCCAAAATGGGCAGGAGTCCTCTGGAGACCCGGGAACTGCCTGGCAGCAAGGATTCCCAAGGAGGGGACCCCGGGGAAAGAACGGCGGTGAGGGCGCCCCATGCTGCGCAAAGCTGGACAGAACAGACAACCGAGGAGAGCCGCAGCACCCCAGGAATCCTGCCTCCCGCCTCTACCCTCGGGAGGGGGTGGAAGCGGCCCCTCTCCTCCTATTTTTAGGCAGGAAAAACATTTTCATGTTCTCCTCGAGTCCTGGCTAGCAGCACTTACTGCTGCCGACTCCCTGGGTCAACGGTCATGCAAGGTTGCCAGTCTGACCTCACCCTGCATGTGCCGGGAACTCCTGAAACCTTCCCGAGGGTGGCAGCACGCCCCATGCCACCCACTGCTGCCAAGCCACCCCCACCCAGGAGCCGACTCTTCCTCCAGCCTCCAGCGGCCAGGGGACTTTGATGGCCCCAGCGGCTCCAGGCGGGCGTGGAACTGTTACCTCCTTCACGGTGCCCGTCAGCTCCCCAAGCTTCTTCCGTAGCACCTCGCTCGTCCGCACGGTTTCTGACTCGATGGTTTTCTAGGTAAAGAGCGCTGTGTCCTTTTTTTTTTTTTTTTTTTTGAGACAATGTCTCCGTTGCCGAGGCTGGAGTACAGTGGCACGCTCTCGGCTCACTGCAACTTCCTCCTGCCAGATTCAAGCGATTTTCCTGCCCCAGCCTCCCGAGTAGCTGGGACTACAGGGCCCACCACCATGCCTGGCTAATTTTTGTATTTTCAGTAGAGACAGGGTTTTACCACGTTGGCCAGGCTGGTCTCAAACTTCTGACCTCAAGTGATCCACCCGCCTCGGCCTCCCAAAGTGCTGGGATTATAGGTGTGAGCCACTGTGCCTGGCCAACCGTTGTGTCTTTAAGTCTGTATGTTCTGACACGGCAGTGACATTTCTCTTACAGCCAAAGGTCCAAGAAGCATCTTCTCCGCAGCCCCTCCCTCCCCGCACCTGCCAGCATGTGCTGCCTCCAGGGCCCCCGGCTGCCCACATGGCTTGGATTGAGGGTCTCAGCAGCGGTGAGCTCCTTGCTCAGAAGGCCGGCAGACTCGGGTCCCCGCTTGGCAGCTACCTCCTGAGAACAGGAGGCCCAGCCTTCACCTTTCACCGGGTGGTAGGAGGTGGCCTTGCCTGTCATCACTGTGCCCCTCATCCAGCCTCCAGCCACCACAGCTTGGTCTTATGTCTCCCGCTCCATCCATCCCACTCCAAACTCAGCCTGCTATGTCTTCAGATGACCCCTGCATTAATGATAAAGAGGGGCTGGGCATGTGAGCTGTAGTCCCAGCTCTTTGGGAAGCTGAGATGGGAGGATCGCTTGAGCCCAGAGAGTTCGAGACCAGCACAGGCAACATGGCGAGACCCTGTCTCTAGAAATATAAAAAAATTAGCCAGGCGTGGTATCCCATGCCTTTAGTCACAGCTACTCAGGAGGCTGAGGTGGGAGAATCACCTGAACATGGGAAGGTCAAAACTGCAGTGAGCTGTGATCACACCACTGCACTCCAGCCAGGGTGACAGAGCAAGACCCTGTCTCAAAAAACCAAACTAGGCTGGGCACGGTGGCTCATGCCTGTAATCCCAGCACTCTGGGAGGCCAAGGCGGATGGATCACCTGAGGTCAGGAGTTCAACACCAGCCTGGCCAAAGTGATGAAACCCCGTCTCCACTAAAAATACAAAAATTAGCCTGGCGTGGTGGTGGGCGCCTATAATTCCAGCTATTTGGAAGGCTGAGGCAGGAGAATCGCTTGAACCCAGGGAGGCGGAGGTTGCAGTGAGCCGAGATCGCACCATTGCACTCCAGCCTGGCTGACAGAGCAAGACTCCATCTCAAAGGAGAAAAACAAAAAACGAACAAACAAAAAAACACAAATGAAACCAAACCAAACCAAAATGCAAGGGACCCGTGGCAGGTGCCTGCATCTCTGAGGCTCAGCTGCTCATTGGTAAAATGGGGACACTGTAACTGCCTCGCAGGGCCCTTACAAATAAAGGAATGCAGAGCCATTCCCAGAAGCCAGGGCTTGGCAGCTGCTCAAGAAGAGAAGTGACAATTAATAATGACAGGCTGGGAGCAGTGGCTCACACCTGTAATCCCAGCACTTTGGGAAGCTGAGACGGGCAGATCACTTGAGGCCAGGAGTTTGAGACCAGCCTGGCCAACATGGTGAAACCCCGTCTCTATAAAAAGATATATAGGGCTGGGCGCACTGGCTCACACCTGTAATCTCAGCACTTTGGAAGGCCAAGGCAGGTGGATCATTTGAGGTCAGGAGTTCAAGGCCAGCCTGGCCAACATGGTGAAACCCTGTCTTTACTAAAAATACAAAAATTAGCTGGGCAGTAGTGGTGTGTGTCTGTAATCCCAGCTACTCGGGAGGCTGAGGCAGGAGAATCGCTTGAGCCTAGGAGGCAGAGGTTGTGTTGAGCCAAAATCGTACCACTGCACTCCAGCCTGGGCAATGGAGTAAGACTCTGCTTCAAAAAACAACAACAACAACAACAACAAATCAGCTGGGTGTGGTGGCGGGCGCCTGTAATCCCAGCTATCCGGGAGGCTGAGGCAGGAGAATCAGGAGCTGGAGGTTGCAGTGAGCCAAGGTCACGCCACTGCACTCCAGCCTGGATGACAGAGCAAGACTCCATCTCATAAAATAAAATAAAATAAAATAAAATACCAGCACCATCACCCAGTTTCCACCAGGCTCCACTCAGAGGGCTACAGCTGGGAGCTCTCAGGAGCGCTGCATCCCATAGCTGGTGTGCATGCGTTGCCTGGGGGCCTGTGAAGATGCGGGCGCTGGCCTGGCAGTTTGGGAGGGTGTGAGCCTCTGCACTGCTCATCCACTCCCAGGAGGAGCCACTGCTGCTGGTCTGGGGACCACGCTTCAAGCTGCACAGAACGCTGCATGGTCTCATGGCAGAACCCAGAGGCCTGGAGACCCGCACCTGTCCCCTGGCTCCCTCTCATTAGTGCATCAGAGCAGTGACCTCACTTCCTCACGAGCCACCCTGCCCCCAACCGTCCAGCCCTGAGCTCCTCTGGCTGTCCCTGGCCTGGAGAAACCCTGGCCCTGGAAACAAACATGTCAACCAAGAAAGGTAAGAAGCAAAGGGGCCCAACGCGGTGGCTCACGCCTGTAATCCCAGCACTTTGGAAGGCTGAGGCGGGCGGATCACTTGAGGTCAGGAGTTCGAGACCAGCCTGGCCAACATGGTGAAACCTCTTCACTACTAAAAATACAAAAATTAGCTGGGCGTGGTGGTGCGCGCCTGTAAGCCCAGCTACTCAGGAGGCTGAGGCAGGGGAATCACTTGAACCTGGGAGGTGGAGGTTGCAGTGAGCCGAGATCGCACCACTACTCTCCAGCCTGGGTGAGGGAAAAAAAAGCAGCAAAGAAACTCACGTATTTCCTTCTGGCCTCCTGGAGCACGTCTGATTCTTCTAGCCTTCTGGCCTCGTCACGGAATTTTTTTATACTTTCTTTCATTTCTTTGTTTTTGGCTAATTCTTGTTTGACATTATCTAGCAAGCCGGACAGAAAGCCTTTTCTGTTTCCAGAAGAATATGATTTGGACTAGAAAGAATGTACAAGAAAAAAAATTTAAAGAACATAGTAGAACATAGAATGAAATGCCCCACAGAGGGACTCAGGGATTTTTTTAAATGTTCTCTTTTCGGTTGATATACATTTAATGATGATTAGCTATCTCTTTTATAATAATCATAAAAAACAAAGAAACAGCAGGTGATAAAAGTGTGGTATATCCAGACAACAGAATATTATTCAGTGCTGAAAAAAAAATGAGCTCTCAGCCACTTTAGGAGGCTGAGGAGGGAGGATTGCTTGAGGTCATGAGTTTTAAGACCAACCTGGGCAACACAGCACCCTATTTAAAAAACAGGCTGGGCGCGGTGGTTCACGCCTGTAATCCCAGTACTTTGGGAGGCTGAGGCGGGCAGATCACCTGAGGTCAGGAGTTCGAGACCAGCCTGGCCAAAATGGTGAAACCTCATCTCTACTAAAAATGCAAAAGTTAGCTGCGCATGGTGGTGTGTGCCTTTAGTCCCAGCTCCTCAGAAGGCTGAGGCACAAGAATTGCTTGAACCCAGGAGGAAGAGGCTGCAGTGAGCCAAGATTATGCCACAGCACTCCAGTCTGGGTGACAGAGCGAGACTCCATCTCAAATAAAATAAAATAAAATAATTTAAAAAACAAGCAAGAAATATGCTCTCAAGCTGTGAAAAGACACAGAGGAACCTTAAATGTATATTGCACTAAGTGAAAGAAGCCAATCTGAAAAGGCTACATACTGTCTGATTCCAACTATAGACCGTTCTGGAAAAGGCAAAACTAAGGGGACAGTAAAAGATCAGTGGTTGCCAGGGGTTTGGTAGGAAGAGGGTGAGATGAGTAGGGGGGAACACAGAAAAATGTTAGGGCAGTGAAACTACTCTTATGATACTGTAATCACAGAGAATGTACACCACCAAGAGGGAACCGGAAGGTAAACCATGCATTTATTAATAATAATGTATCAACATCCTGTCAATTGTGACAGATGCTCCACACTAATGCAGGACGTGAAGAATAGAAAACTGTGTGCCAGATGGGAGAGGAGGGGCATGGCAACTCTTTGGACATTCTGTTGGATTTTTCTGTAAACCTAAAACTGCTCAAAAGATAAAGCCTTGTGAAAGCAAAACAAGGCCGGGCGCAGTGGCTCCTGCCTGTAATCTCAGCACTTTGGGAGGCCAAGGTGGGTGGATCACTTGAGGTCAGGAGTTCCAGACCAGCCTGACCAACATAGTGAAACCCCCGTCTCTACTAAAAATACAAAAATTAGCTGGGCGTGGTGGTGGGTGCCTGTAATGCCAGCTACTCAGGAGGCTGAGGCAGGAGAATCACTTGAACCCAGGAGCCGGAGGTTGCAGTGAGCCAAGATTGTGCCACTGCACTCCAGCCTGGGTGATGGAATGAGACTCCATCTCAAAAAAAAAAAAAAAAAAGCAGGCTGGACACAGTGGCTCATATCTGTAATCCTAGCACTTTGGGAGACCGAGGTGGGCGGATCACTTGAGGCCAGGAGTCCGAGACAAGCCTGGCCAACATGGTGAAACCTTGTCTCTACTAAAAATACAAAAATTAGCCAGGTGTGGCGGCGCCTGCCTGTAGTCCCAGCTACTGAGGCAGAGGCAGGAGAACTGCTTGAACTCGGGAGGTGGAGGTTGCAGTGAGCGGTATCTCGCCCCTGCACTCCAGCCTGGGCGACAGAGTGAGACTCTGTTTCAAAAAAACAACAGAGAAACAGTTTAATGAATGATCATACAATAATCCAATCAGGCGGAAGGGGCCGCCTGTGGTCAACTTTTCCACAGCTGTGTTGGGTATACCAGCTCCAGGTGGGATCCCCCTCCCTGGCTCCTGTCAAGCTACAAGAGAAAGCTGCATCCAGCCTGGTGCTCAGGCCCCGTGGAGTCACACACCTGTGGTCCCAGCTACTCAGAAGGCTGAGGTGGGAGGATCGCTTAAGCCCAGGAGTTCAAGGCTGCAGTGAGCCGTGATAGTGCCACTGCACCCCAGCCTGGGCCACAGAGTGAGACCCTATCTTAAAAAAAAAAAAAAGCCCAGTGCTGCTCCCCAGGACAGGTGGCCAGGCCTCCTGTCAGCAGGCTGCAGTCCCATTCAGATGCCACCCTGGCCAGCCTTTCTCCAGGGGAAACCCAGGTTCTAAGTAAAATCATCCAGGACCACACAACCTTATCGCAGCCCTACCAGAGACTCTTGGGCTACAAACCATGGGAGTGAGTGTGTGGCGGGGGACTAGACAAGAAAGGGAAAGAGTCACAGGTCCTGTCCCACACCCACGATGGCCCCAGGACAGGACTGGAGAGGTAGGTAGCTGCCTCCAAGGAGGCAGCTGAGCTGAGGCTCTGGGCGCAGAGAGAGAGGGAGACAGAATGTACGCGCTGCCCGAATGTACAGGTCTGGGGAAGGGAGTCAGGTTTTGGGCTTCTGTCCTCACGATGCTGAGACACCAACAGAAGCACAGTTGAAGAGGAATGACCAGGAGAAACTGAGGTCTGGTTGTGACAAGGTGACTCTGTACCAATGATCAAAGGGCTATCTTCTAGAAAAGGAAACAGCTATGCTTGGTGAGGTACCCACGGGCAGAGGTCACAGGGAAGTAGAATTCAGTTCAATACAGGGGTCTCTTCCAAGCATTAGAGCCAACATAAAGGGCTATTCTGACAGCACCTTATCCCCTTACGACATCAAGCAAGAGGCAGGTCAAGTGTTTCTGGGACCGAGAAGGCCAGGCACACTGGGATCTGTCATTCTGAAAGCCCCGGACACAGAAGGCCCACCACCGAGATGGTACGAGCCACCTCTACAGCCCCACCCCTCCCTCCTGCCAATGGGATCTGAATTTTCGGGCCTCCCCTGTGTCTGCTGGCCCGAGCATCCTGAGTCACTCACCAGTGGCAGCTCTCCGCCCGGCCGGCGCATCTGATAGGTCGACCCATGGGGTAGGTTGTGGCTGGAAAGAAATTGGATTCCACTGCCGAGGCATCTCTAATTGGGGGGAGAGAAGAGAAAGATCCATTCTAACAAGAGGTTGACTGAGAAGTAAGCAGACCACACACAAAACAGCAGGGTCACCTGCAACTCACTGGCCATTTTTTTTTTTTTTTTGAGACGGAGTCTCAGGCTAGAGTGCAGTGCTGCGATCTCAGCTCCCTGCAACCTATGCCTCCTGGGTTCAAGCGATTCTCCTGCCTCAGTCTCCCGAGTAGCTGGAATTACAGGTATGCGCCATCACATCCGGCTAATATTTGTATTTTTAGGAGAGAAGCGGTTTTGCCATGTTGGCCAGGCTGGTCTCGAACTCCTGACCTCAGGTGATCCACCCCTCCCCCGGTTTTCCAAAGTGCTGGGATTACAGGCATGAGCCACTGCACCTGGCCTCACTGGCCAATTTGTATCTTATGCCTGATGCATGCCGGGCACTCTGTAATCTTCCCAAAGTCTGAGAAGCAAGCAGAAGCTGGTGGAAAGAGAAAATGCTGTGTCTGTACCTCCAGGGCCTACATCTATCCTCGTGCCCCTGAAACTGGGGGAAAACGGACAGGTCCCAGGAAATGCCAACCCATGGGGGGAAGAAGGCTAAATGTACAATTTAATCCCTTAGTCTGAAAGTAGGCACTCTAAGCTTCTATGCTAGTGGCAAGCAGTCTTCTCTTGCGAGCCCACCCCATTTCTGCCAGCCTCCAAAGATGAGAGAACTGGATTTTTCAGACACAAACATCGATAATGTGTTGCCCCAGGGACAACTCTGGAATAAACCTACAATGTCCTCCTCAAGGGTTGAGCTATAAACAGAGTAATTTAGGGGAGTCGCTCTGGGCAAAGACTGGGCTGATCTCATGTAAAAGGCACTTGCTGGCTGGGCGCGGTGGCTCACGCCAGTAATCCCAACACGTTGGGAGGCTGAGGTGGGAGGATCACCCGGTCAGGAGTTCGAGATCAGCCTGGCCAACATGGTGAAATCCCGTCTCTACCAAAAATACAAAAATTAGCCGGGCGTGGTGGCACACACCTGTAGTCCCACACACCTGTAGTATTGCTTAAACCCGGGAGGTGGAGGGTGCAGTGAGCCGAGATCTTGCCTTAAGTTCTGTGCAGGCACTGAGCTGGTGGCTCATGCCTGTAATCCCGATACTTTGGGAGGCTGAGGCGGAAGGATCGTTTGAGCTCAGGAGTTTGAGACCAGCCTGGGCAACATAGCTAGACCCTGCCTCCATAAAAAATTGGGGGAAAAAAAAAAAGCTCTGTGCAGGTCCTGTTCAGCTCGGCACCCTGTCACCCAGCACAGAACCTGGCGTGTTGATGTCAAAAGACCAGGTACAACTTCTCCACCATTTCCACATTTCCTGGGCCGTTTTTCTCTCTGTTCTCTGCCTCCTACCTCTGAGAACCCTATGCAACATCCCAAACTTACACAGGTGCCTACTATCTCCTGTATTTACTTGAGGATAACTTTTTTTTTTTTTTTTGAGACGGAGTCTCCCTCTGTTGCCCAGGCTGGAGTAAAGTGGCAGGATCTCGGCTCACTGCAATCTCCGCCTGCCGGGTTCAAGTGATTCTCCTGCCTCAGCCTCCCAAGTAGTTGGGATTACAGGAGCGCGCCACCATGCCCGGCTAATTTTTTTGTATTTTTAGTACAGATGGGGTTTTAGTAGAGATGGGATTTCACCATGTGGGCCAGTGGATCTCGAACTCCTGACCTCAGGTGATCCACCTGAGGCTGAGGCAGGAGAATCGCTTGAACCCGGAGGCAGAAGGAGGCAGAAGTTGCAGTGAGCCGAGATCGCGCCATTGCACTCCAGACTGGGCGACAAGAGCGAAACTCTGTCTCAAAAAAAAAAAAAAAAGAGAAAAAAGAAAAAACGAAGAGCACGAGCAATATGAAGTACTACTTTCTGAGTGCGCCTTACACGTCTTGACTGCCACTGCCCTGTGGACCCAAGAGCCTGCTAGGGCGCGAACCACCTCTCGCACATCCACAATGAACGTTAGAAGAAACGAGACAAGAAATGCTCTCGGTAGAGAACTTGGCATTTAACCGCGAGCTGTGAATTTCACGTTTTTTTGCCTTCCCCTCTACTTTTTTCCACGGGACGCCGCCGCCCCGGCTACCATTCTCTCTCCTGTATACGTGGAGTCTGATCAGAGGGCGAAGGGTGATCAGCTCCCTCCCAGGTCCCGCGCATCGCCGCCCCCTGCCCGGTAAGCTCGGTCCCCGCCCTCAGGCCACGCTCTGTGCCCCCTGTCCTGGCCTCTGCTACCCAAAGATCTAACCCCAAGCTTTCTAAGGAGCCCAAGCAAGGGTCGCGAAGGCCAAGGGTCTGAGAAGAAAGCCTTGGTGGCCGAAGGCCCAGAAGACCCCTAAGCTCGCCCTGCCAGCGCCGCACCGCCGCTCACCCGTGGACAGCGGCACCAGCCACTCCGCAGGGCCGCCGCCGCCATGTTGGAGAATCGTGTGACCTTCTCGCGGCGCGGCCCGGTTGCGTCATCCGCCGCTTCGGCCTAGAGCCGCGCAAGCCTGAGAAAAGCCGCTCCAGGAGCGGGGTTTCGGGTAGGGAGAGCCCTCCGATTGGGTCCGTCATAGGGCGGGGCATTAAAAGGGTAGGGAATGCCTAGAGAGCTTGACCTCTGATAGGGCAGTGTTTTGGAAGGACGGGGCCCGTGACTGGATGTGGCCCGGGGGAGGGCACTCCTGGGAGGGTCAGATCTGTGATTGGGCGCGACTACGAGGGGGCGGAGCCCAGGGGCGTGTATTCCGTCACTTGCGGTGATTCGGCTACAGAACGCGCCGGGCGCTGGTGGCAGGTGGTACAGGCACGTGGATCCACCGACCACAAGGACGGATTCGATTGGATTCTGATTGACCGGCGGACCAGCTCCAGAGTAATTGTCTATGGCTGCCCCTGCAATGACTGATTGATTGACAATGGCTGAGAGACCAGCAAGTGAGTCGCTCCGAGAAAGCGAAGGAGCCCACTCTTGTGCGGCGCTTTGGGAAGACGCCTGTTGGTTTTGACCCCGAATAAGAAGAGGAAGCTGAGAGCGGGCTGACTGTGGTCCAGTCCTACTTCGATTCAGTGTGAACTGACACTCTGATCTGAAGACGCTCAGGCCTTTGTCATTTCAGCACCCCAGATGCTATTTTCCATTCGAAGAATGCCGCCACCAGGTGGCGGTATTTTAACATGGCCATGCAATCCGGGTATGAGGAGGAGGGTTGGTCCCCTGGGAGAGCTAATGTATGTTGCTGTTGCTGTTTGTCTTATTGGATCCTTTTTTTTTTTTATAGAGCCAGAGGCTTGCTCTGTCACCCAGGCTAGAGTGCAGTGTCGTAATCTAGCTCACTGCAGCCTCCAATTCCCAAGCTCAAGCGATCCTCCTGCCTCAGCCTCTGAGTCACTGGGATTACAGGCGTGAGCTACCGCACCCGGTCTTTTTGCATTACTAACCTGTGATATGGGTTTATGGGACTTCATTATTTCAAAGGGAGGCAGCTTGGCCCCGGAGAGCATGCATTCCTGGCTTCTGCGATGGATAGACTTGTGTTCTCCATCTCAGGAGCTCCCCCTCAAGGTGGGGGTAAGAGATGAGGGCTTCCACTCTGGCTTTGTTCGAGATGTCTTGATGCCAAGAGGAGCAAACTAGTTAAGCGGTTGGTGTACACAGGTGTGTTGCTAAGAATAAGGTCTGGGCTAGAAATATGGATTCTTAGTTGTGGTTGAAAGTACGGAGTTTGGCCGGGCGCGGTGGCTCATGCCTATAATCCCAGCACTTTGGGACACTGAGGCGGGAGGATCTCTCCAGCCCAAGAGTTTGAGACCAGCCTGGGCAACATAGTGAAGACCTCTTCTTTACAACAAATACAAAACATTAGCTTGGCGTGGTAGCATGTGCTTGTAGTCCCAGCTACTCAGGAGGCTGAGATGGGAGGATCGTTGAGGCCCGGGAAGTTAAGGCTGTAGTGAGCCGTGATCGTGCCACTACACTACACTACACTACACTACACTACCTGGGCAACAGAGAGAGACCTTGTGTCAAAAAAAAAGAAGAAGAAAGAAAGAGAGAGAGAGAAAGGAAAGAAAGAAAACTACAGCATTGGACACTCAGAGGCAGTGTGTCATATAAGCATGTCAAAGACCCAAAGATAAAGTGGAGATAGAAGACTCCTTTAAGCCAGGATCCGTGGCTCAGTCCTATTATCCCAGCAACTCAGGAGCCTGAGGCAGGAGCATCATTTGAGCCCAGGAGTTACAGACCAGTCTGGGCAACATAACGAGACCCTATCTCTACAAAAATAAAAAAATAAGCCAAGCATGGTGTCTCTCGCCTGGAATTCCAGCTACTTAGGAGGCTGAGGTGGGAGGATCTCTTGAGCCCATTAGTTAGAGGCTGCAGTGAGCTATGATCACCCACTGCACTCCACCCTGGGTGACAGCATGAGACCTCCATCTCTTTTTTTGTTGTTTTGAGACAGAGTCTCACTCTGTCGCCCAGGCTGGAGTGCAGTGGCACGATCTTGGCTCACTGCAAGCTCCGCCTCCCAGGTTCACACCATTCTCCTGCCTTAGCCTCCCGAGTAGCTGGGACTACATGTGCCTGCCACCACACCCAGCTAATTTTTTGTATTTTTAGTAGAGACAGGGTTTCACCATGTTAGCCAGGATGGACTCGATTTCCTGACCTCGTGATCCGCTTGCCTCGGCCTCCCAAAGTGCTGGGATTACAGGCGTGAGCCACCACACCCGGCCTTTTTTTTTTTGAGATGGAGTTTTACTCTTGTTGCGCAGGCTGGAGTGCAATGGCGCGATCTTGGCTCACCGCAGCCTCTGCTTCCCAGGTTCAAGTGATTCTCCTGCCTCAGCCTCCCAAGTAGCTGGGATTACAGGCATGTGCCACCACACCCAGCTAATTTTGTGTTCTTAGTAGAGACGGGGTTTCTCCATATTGGTCAGGCTGGTCTCGAACTCCTGAACCTCAGGTGATCCTCCCACCTCAGCCTCCCAAAATGCTGGGATTACAGGCATGAGCCACCATGCCCCCTCGAGACCTCCATCTCTAAAAAACAATTTTTTGTTGTTGTCGTTGTTTTGAGACTGAGTCTCAGTCTGTCACCCAGGCTGGAGTGCAGTGGCGTGATCTCGGCTCACTGCAAGCTCCACCTCCCAGGTTCATGGCATTCTCCTGCCTCAGCCTCCCGAGTAGCTGGGACTACAGGCGCCCGCCACCATACCCGGATAATTTTTGTATTTTTAGTAGAGACGGGGTTTCACCATCTTGGCCGTGCTAGTCTCGAGTCCTGACCTCGTGATCCACCTGCCTTGGCCTCCCAAATTGCTGGGATTACAGGCGTGTGCCACTGCGCTCAGCACTGTGGGAGGCCGAGATGGGCAAATCATGAGGTCAGGGGATCAAGACCATCCTGGCTAACATGGTGAACCCCCATCTCTACTAAAAATACAAAAAATTAGCCGGGCGTGGTGGCAAGTGCCTGTAGTCCCAACTACTTGGGAAGCTGAGGCAGGAGAATCGCTTGGACCCAAGAGGTGGAGGTTACAGTGAGCTGAGATCACACCACTGCACTCCAGCCTGGGCGACAGAGCAAGACTCCATCAAAAAAAAAAAAAAAAAGGAAGACAATCTGGAGGAACTTGGAGAAGGCAGATGGAAACAGCAGAGGCGAGTGCTGCACAGTTCAGGCAAGGCAAGGACAGAAATGTAGCCACCGCCATTGCATTTTGCAATATGGAGGTCATTGGTGAGATAAGCAAGAGGGGTTTTGGGTGAGTGGTGGGCCTGGGAGCCAGATTTCAGTGAGTGGAGATGGTTTTACAGAGGCATGCTGGGGCCAGCTTGCACTGACTCGCAAGAGCCAGCCGGCACATCTTCAAGAATTCAAAGCCTCTTGTTAAACATGGCCAATATGTAAACAATTAATTGTATAAACTTAAGATCAAATAGATTATATTAGAACAAAAGTAATAATGCAAAATTCATCACTTCCTAATTATGCTGCTACATGTTACTACTATCTGTGCTCTTGAGGGTTTTTGTTTTTGTTTTGAGACAGTCTCACTCTATCGCCCAGATAGGAGTGCAGTGGCACCAGCACGGCTCACTGTAGCCTCGACCTTCCAGGCTCAAGTGATCCTCCCACCTCAGCCTCCCGAGTAGCTGGGACTACAGACATGCACCATCACGCCCAGCTGATTTTTGTATTTTTTTGTAGAGACAGGGTCTCTCTACGTTGCACGGGCTGATCTCGAACTCCTGGGCTCAAGCGATCCTCCCACCTTGACCTCCCAAAGTGCTGGGATGACCAGCACAAGCCACAGAGCCTGGCTACTTTTTAAAATTTTTTGTAGAGACAGGCTGGGTGCAGTGGCTCACACCTATAATCCCAGCACTTTGGGAGGCCGAGGTGGGTGGATCACTTTAGGCCAGGAGTTTGAGACCAGCCCAGCCAATATGGTGAAACCCCGTCTCTATTAAAAATACAAAAATTAGCCAGATGTGGTGGTGCATGCCTGTAATCCCAGCTACTCAGAAGGGAGGCTGAGGCAGCAGAATTGCTTGAACCTGGGAGGCAGAGGTTGCAGTGAGCCAAGATTGCACCACTGCATTCTAGCCTGAGTGACACAGCGAGACTCTGTCTCAAATAAGTAAATAAATAATCTTTTTGTAGAGACAGAGTCTTGCTATGTTGCCTAGGCTGGTCTCAAACCCCTGGGCTCACTCGATCCTCCCACCTCGGCCTCCCAAAGTGCTGGGGTTACAGGCATGAGCCACTGCACCTGGCTTATCTTGGGGTTATTTACATATATGATGTCTGCGTGCTGGAAATACTATATTATGTGAGTCACTGCATTGTGTACCAGTTCTGTTTGATGATGCCATCTTTGTAGCTTGAAATCACCTACAAGCAGATCAGCCACAAGTGGTGGGAGTATTTACACCACAGGAATTGGCAGACATTCCAAGTCAGGAGCTCTTTGGTTGGTTTGTTTCTCTGGTGAGCCAGTTATTAAACATTTCACCAGCACAGCGGTGGTTGAGAATACTGGGACACAGAACACAGACTCTTCCCAGGAATATTCACTGTGCACAGAAGGTGAAATGATGGCAGCTGGAAGAACATATGGGAAGGAGCGAGAGTGCTTTGTTTTCCCCAACTTTTTATTTTGCAAAATTTCAAAGCTACAAAAAAAAAATTGCAAGAATAGTATACGAGGCTGGGCACGGTGGCTCACACCTGTAATCTCTGCACTTTGGGAGGCCGAGATGGGCGGATCATCTGTGGTCAGGAGTTCGAGACCAGTCTAGCCAACATGGTGAAACTGCGTCTCTACAAACAAAACAAAACAAAACAAAAAAACAAAAACAAAAATTAGCCGGGCATGGTGGCGCACGTCTGTAACCCAGCCACTCGGGAGGCTGAGGCAGAAGACTCACTTGAGCCCAGGAGGTGGAGGTTGCAGTGACCCAGGATCCTGCCACTGCTCTCCAGCCTGGGTGACAGAGTGAGACTCCATCTCAAAAAAATTTTAAAAATATTGGCTAGGCGCAGTGGCTCACGCCTGTAATCCCAGCACTTTGGGAGGCCGAGGCGGGCGGATCACGAGGTCAGGAGATCAAGACCATCCTGGCTAACACGGTGAAACCCCATCTCTACTAAAAATACAAAAATTAGCCAGGCATGGTGGCAGGCGCCTGTGGTCCCAGCTACTCGGGAGGCTGAGGCAGGAGAATGGCGTGAACCCGGGAGGCAGAGCTTGCAGTGAGCCAAGATCGCGCCACTGCACTCCAGCCTGGGCAACAGAGCAAGACTCTGTCTCAGAAAAAAAAAAAAAAAAAGATCAAATGTTTAGCCAACCAAAATTAGTTTAAATTATACAACCCGACCCCAGCCAATAAAAAAGGGTACAAAAACAAAACTTGCATCAAAAATAAAGGCTCTCGTGCCCCTTTGTTCAAGTATACTCATAACAACTGGCCAAAAAAACACCCCCCTGCACAAAAATAAATTACTTTGCTAAAAATTCTTCGTTCAAGTGTTCAATTTCCTTAAAATTTTAAGCGTTATTCCTAACAGTTTGCACTCCTATGAGAATCTAATGCCGCTGCTGATCTTACAGGAGGCTCCAGTGATGGGGAGCGGCTGTAAATACAGATGAAGCTTTGCTGCCTGCCTGCTCACTGCCTGCCTGCTCACCTCCTGCTCTGCGGCCCAGTTCCTAACAGGCCACAGACAGGTACCAGTCTATGGCCCAGATGATGCAGACCCCTGTCTTAAACAAAAACAAAAAACCAAAGCACACTTAATGTGAGATCTACTCTCTTAGCAAAATTTTTGTTTTTGTTGTCGTTGACACGGAGCCTCATTCTGTTGCCCAGGCTGGAGTGCAGTGGCGCGATCTCGGCTTACTGCAACCTCCTTCTCCCGGGTTCCAGCGATTCTCCTGCCTCAGCCTCCCGAGTAACTGGGATTATAGGCAACCACCACCACGCCTGGCTAATTTTTGTATTTTTAGTAGAGATGGGGTTTCCCCATGTTGGTCAGGCTGGTCTTGAACTCCTGACCTTGGGTGATCCACCCACCTCGGCCTCCCAAAGTGCTGGGGTTACAGGCGTGAGCCACCGTGCCCGGCTACTGTGATGTGATTATTATACATCGTATGCCTGTATCAACATATGTCCTGTAGACCATAAGTATATACACCTACTACGTACCCACTAAAATTAAAAATAGGCAGGGCACGGTGGCTCACACCTGTAATCCCAGTACTTTGGGAGGATTGCTTGAACCCAGGAGTTCGAGAATAGCCTGGGCAACACAGTGAAACTCCGTCTCTACAAAAAAAAAACACAAAAAAATTAGCCAGGTGTGGTAGAGAGTGGCTGTTGGTCCCAGCTACTCAGGAGGCTGAGGTGGGAGGATTGCTTGAGCCCAGGAGTGAGAGGCTGCAGTGATTGCACCACTGCACTCCAGGTAACTAAAGTACAATGGGGCCGGGTGTGGTGGCCCTTGCCTGTAATCCCAGCACTTTGGGAGGCTAAGGTGGGTGGATCGCTTGACGTCAGGAGTTCAAGGCCAGCCTGGCCAACATGGTTAAAACGTGTCTCTACTAAAAATACAAAAATTAGCCGGGTGTGGTGGCGGGTGTCCGTAGTCCCAGCTACTCGGGAGGCTGAGTCAGGAGAATCACTTGAACCTGGAAAGCGGAGGTTGCAGTAAGCTTAGATCGCACCACTGCACTCCAGCCTCAGCAACAGAGAGAGACTCCGTCTCAAAAAACAAAAATAGAGGCCAGGCACAGTGGCTCACGCCTGTAATCCCAGCACGTTGGGAGGCTGAGGCGGGTGGATCAAGAGGTCAGGAGATCAAGACCATCGTGGCTAACACGGTGAAACCCCGTCTTTACTAAAAACACAAAAAATTAGCTGGGCGTAGTGGCGGGCACCTGTAGTCCCAGCTACTCGGGAGGCTGAGGCAGGAGAATGGCATGAACCCGGGAGGCGGAGCTTGCAGTGAGCCAAGATCGCACCACTGCACTCCAGCCTGGGTAACAGAGTGAGACTCTGTCTCAAATAAAAATAAATAAGTAAAATAAAAGTATAAATAAATAAATAAATACATTACAATGAGGTTATTAGGGTATGAGCCCTAATCCAGAAAAACCGGTGTCCTTATAAGAAGCAGAGATTGGGCCGGGTGCGGTGGCTCACGTCTGCAATCCCAGCACTTTGGGAGGCTGAGGCGGGCGTATCACTGAGGTTGGGAGTTCGAGACCAGCCTGAGCAACACGGAGAAACCCTGTCTCTACTAAAAATACAAAATTAGCTGGGCGTGGTGGCTCACGCCTGTAATCCCAGCTACTCAGGAGTCTGAGGCAGGAGAATTGCTTGAACTCAGGAGGCGGAGGTTGCAGTGAGCTGAGATCGTGCCATTGCACTCCAGCCTGGGTAACAAGAGGAAAACTCCATCTCAAAAACAAACAAAACAAACAAATGAACAAACGAAGCAGAGATCAGCCGGGTGCGGTGGCTCAAACTTGTAATCCCAGCACTTTGGGAGGCTGAGGTGGGCGGATCACAAGGTCAGGAGTACAAGACCAGCCTGGCCAACATAGTGAAACCCCATCTCTACTAAAAGTACAAAAATTAGCCGGGCGTGGTGGCGGGCGCCTGTAGTCCCAGCTATTCTGGAGGCTGAGGCAGGAGAATCACTTGAACCTGGGATATGTAGGTTGCAGTGAGCCAAGATCACGCCACTGCACTCCAGCTCGGGTGACAGAGTGAGACTTTGTCCCCTCTGCAAAAAAGGAAGTGGAGATTAGGACACAGATACACACAGAGGGATGACTGTGGGAAGACACGAGAAGACGGCCATCTGCAAGCCAAGGAGAGAGGCCTCAGAAGAAAGAGACCCTGCTGTCACCTTGATCTCAAACTTCCAGCCTCCAGGACTGTGAGGCAATGCATTTCTACTACTTAAGCCACGCGGTCTGGGTGCTCTGTTACCTGCAGGCCGAGCAAACCAATGCAGGTGCCCCTCAGCCTCTTCCCTCTGGCTCCCAGCCCCCACCCACTCGCATTGGCTGTTGCGTGCAGGCCTCTGCCATCTGTCTGCCTTCTGTCTGGCTTCCTTTCCACTTCTGTACCTTCTACCCAGCGGACTCCTCCATCTCCGGTTCTCCTTCTCGAGGTATAATTATAGCTGCTGGCACTAGTGCCTGTCTCCTCTGTGCCAAAGTGTGTTCCTGGCCATCAGAGGCCGTATCTTATTAACACCAACCCGGTAACCCTGGGAGGCAGGAGCTATCATTAGCTCTCTTATACCAAAGCGATGCAGCACCCAAGGCTTCCAGAGAGGAAGGGGGATGCCCAGGGCCACGCAGCTAGCATGTAAAAGATAATCTGTCACCTGGGCATGGTGGCACATGCCTGTGGTCCCAGCTACTCAGGAAGCTGAAGTGGGAGGAGTGATTGAGCCCAGGCGTTCGAGGCTACAGTGGGCTGTGATTGCACCATCGCACTCCAGCCTAGGCGACAGAGGGAGACCCTGTCTCAAAAATTAAAATAGAAGCCCGGCACGGTGGCTCACGCCTGTAATCCCAGCACTTTGGGAGGCCGAGGCAGGTGGATCACGAGGTCAGGAGTTCAAGAGCAGCCTGGCCAAGATGGTGAAACCCCGTCTCTACTAAAAATACAAAAATTAGCTGGGCGTGGTGGTGGGTGCCTGTAGTCCCAGCTCCTCAGGAGGCTGAGGCAGAGAATTGCTTGAACCCAGGTGGCGGAGGTTGCAGTGAGCCGAGTTTGTGACACTGCATTCCAGCCTGGGCAACAGAGTGAGACTGCGTGTCAAAAAAAAAAAAAAAAAAAAGAATTAAAATACAGTAATAAAATAAAATAAATAGCAGGGTGTGGTGGCATATACCTGTAGTCCCACGTACTCAGGAGGCTGAGGTAGGAGGATCGCTTGAGCCCGGGAAGTCAAGGCTGCAGTGAGCTATGATGCTGTCCACTCTAGCCTGGGTGACACAGTGTGAGACACTGTCTCTAAAAAAATTCAAAACGGGCTGTGGCCAAGGCATCATTTCCTCCTGCCTGGATTCCCGACTTTCCGGAGGCCCTTAGCCCTACCGGGGCAGTTCGGGCATCTCTCCTGAGAGGTCCCAGGTCCATTACAGGCTATTTCCACGGTCTCGACATCCCCAGCTCTTTGACGCTGGCCACTGGCCGGCCACGGGCTGTGGGTTGGGGGATCCGTGGCTTTCGCTGAGGACCCGCAGGCCTGTCTCCATGAGGCTTGACTTGATAGAAACTGGCACTGGGGCCTGTCCTGTCATACCTCCCCTTGTCAACTGCCCCTTCCTAGGTGCACCCTTCCCCCAATCTCTTATCCTAGGTTCTGTCAACTGGAAAGGAGCCTGATTCAGTGGCCTTGCCCAGGCCTGCTTCCTCTCCTCCCACCATGCGCTGGCTCTCTCAGCTGCAATTTCCTCTCCTTACCCATGCCCCACTCACTCCACGGGCCCTCGGCCAGCTGCCATTCCATTCCTCCTACCTCTCCTCCTCCACCTCCTCCTCCCTCTCCTTCTCCTCCTCCCCCTTCTCTCTCTCCTCCTCCTCTTCCTCCCTCTCCTCCTCCTCTCTCCTATTCTTCCTCCCTCACCTCCTTCCCCCTCCTCCTCCCCCTCCTCTCCTCCTCCTCCTCCCCCTCCTCCCCCTCCTCTCCTCCTCCTCCTTCTCCTCCTCTTCCTCCCTCTCCTCCTTCCCCCTCCTCCTCCCCCTCCCCCTCCTCTCCTCCTTCTCCCCCTCCTTCCTCTCATCCCCCTCCTCCCTCTCCTCCTTCCCCCTCCTCCTCCTTCTCTCCTCCCCCTCCCCTCTCCTTCCTCTCCTCCCCCTCCTCCCCATCCTCCTCTTCCTCTTCCTCCACCATCCCCCAGCATTAACATCCCTCACTGTAAGAAAACCAAACAGACAAAATGCCATCCTTGCAATGAAGGTGAAAGGCCACGGTCTACAAGAAGTCCTAAGATGAACTGAAAAATTCTGAGCGGAGACTCGATTGCATCAGGTATTTGGGAGAGAATTCCCCAGCCAGGCCTTCAGCAGCTACCGGGAGGGACCCTGGGGGGAGGAGGCTGCCCTGGAGGCGGAGGGAGTGCAGGGGAGGTTGGCAGGTGCTCAAGGGCCCCCGGCTTGGGTTAATGCTTTCTGTTGCCATTTTGAAATTCTTTTTCTTTTTTTGAGACGGAATTTTGCTCTGTCACCCAGGCTGGAGTGCAGTGGTGCGATCTTGGCTCATTGCAACCTCTGCCTCTCAGGTTCAAGTGATTCTCCTGCCTCAGCCTCTCGAGTAGCTGGGATTACAGGCGCACGCCACCAGCCTCCCAAGTAGCTGGGATTACAGGCGCACACCACCACGCCCAGCTAAATCTTTGTATTTTTAGTAGAGACCAGGTTTCACCATGTTGGCCAGGCTGGTCTTGAACTCCTGACCTCATGATCCACCTGCCTTGGCCTCCCAAAGTGCTGGGATTACAGGCGTGAGCCACCACGCCCAGTAACAATTTTGAAATTCTTAGTCATCTTCGACCAACAGGCCCTGCACATTTTTCCTTTCCTTTTTTTTCTTTTCTAGCTGATTGCAGCCTCGAACTCCTGGGCTCAAGTGATCCTGTTACCTCAGCCTCCCAAGTAGCTGGGAATACAGGTGCATGTCACCACTCCCGGCCTTTTTTTTTTTCTTTGAGAGAGAGTCTTGTTCTTGTTGCCCAGGCTGGAATGCAATGGCGTGAACTCGACTCACTGCAACCTCTGCCTCCCGAGTTCAAGCGATTCTCCTGCCTCAGCCTCCCAGGTAGCTGGGGTTTCAGGCGCCCGCCACCACGCTCGGCTAATTTTTGTATTTTTAGTAGAGACGGGGTTTCACTATGTTGGCCAGGCTGGTCTTGAACTCCTGACCTCAGGTGATCTGCCCATCTCAGCCTCCCAAAGTGCTGGGATTACAGGCGTGAGCCACTGTGCCTGGCTTTTTTTTTTTTTTTTTTTTAATAGCGTCTTGCTCTGTCACCCAGGCTGGAGTGCAGTGACATGATCTGGGCTCACTGCACCCTCCACCTCCCAGGTTTAAGCGATTCTCCTGCCTCAGCCTCCCAAGTAGCTGGGACTACAGGCACACACCACCACGCCCAGCTAATTTTTGTATTTTTAGTAGAGACAGGGTTTCACCATGTTGGGCAGGCTGGTCTCGAACTCCTGACCTCGGGTGATCTGCCCACCTCAGCCTCCCAAAGTGCTGGGATTACAGGTGTGAACCATTGTGCCCGGCCTCATTTTTACATTTTTTATAGAGATAGGCTCTCATGATGTTGCCCAGGCTGGTTTTGAACTCCTGAGCTCAGGCGATCCTCCCTCCTCATACCAGTTCTCAGGACAGGTTGCTGAGAACTCCTCAGGCTCTGAGGACACTGAGGTGGGAGGGAAACCGCGCTCTCCCTGCCCCTTGCCCCCCAGCGAAAACACTCTCATGTCAGAACTCGGCTATTACTAAACACAAACAGTGGTTCTCCGGACAACGCAGGTGTCTAGGTTTCTCCTTCTCTTCCAGAAATCCTTTTAAATTGTGCTAAGAAATTACTGAGGTTGAAAGACACACACAAAGCCCAGGGAAAAAAGGATGCAGGCCTCAGACCCTTGACCTTGAAGGGAGCAATGGAAATAGCCCCCCCCCAGAGGCGGGGGTCCAGAGGGGACTGGTGGAACTCGAACGTCCCCCACAACACACAGGGCCCTGGCTTGGGGCTGGGCCTCTCGGGCTCTGAATTCTGGGGTGAGGCGGGGATCGGGAGCCGTCTCTTCTCCTTGGAGGAGCTCGGGGGGTGGATTTCCTTGCTTGGTTGGGGGTGGCCGCAAGGCCTGTGGTGAGAGCATGGGGGGTGTCCAGGCCCCCTGGTGTCTGATCCTGAGCCCCTGAGCCCTGTCTACCCCTGCAGGTCATGCAGGCAGTACTCAGCCTCCTACCCACCCTCAACTTTCCATCCATGTCTAAACCCTGAAACAGATAGTTCAGAGGCACAAAACTAAGGGGGCGGCCGAAAGCCAGGATGCTCTACGCCAAACTAAGAAAATAATCACCAGCACAGCGTGTTTTCCAATCCGCCAAGTTCTGCTGTGTCATCTGTGAAATAGGTGCATGAACGGTAAAGTACTGTGTAACGCAAAAAGCTAACATTCACTATTGGGTCCTTCCTGTTCCAACGTCACTCCCTTAAGGGCCCTGCCCCTGCTGCCCAGAGCGTCCAGGCATTCAGCACCCCTACTGTGTGGGGCAGGCGTGCCCGGTCTGTTCTCCCTGCTGCCCAGTGGGTGGGCCCTTCTGGGTGGAGTAGAACATGTTTAAGCCCTTAACCTGGGACCAGCGCTCCCTCGTCCACAGGGCTGCTGTGGGACGTCAAGATGGTTTCCTGGCCAGGTGAGGTGGGTGGCTCACACCTGTGATCCCAGCACTTTGGGAGGCCGAGGTGGGACAATCACCTGAGATCAGGAGTTCGGGACCAGCCTGGCCAATATGGTGAACCCCATCTCTACTAAAAAGACAAACAATTAGCCGGGCGTGGTGGTGTGCGCTTGTAATCCCAGCTACTCGGGAGGCTGAGGCAGGAGAATTGCTTGAACTGGGGAGGTGGAGGTTGCAGTGAGTTGAGATCGCGCCACTGAAGTCCAGCCTGGGCGACAGGGCAAGACTCCATCTCAAAAAAAAAAAAAAAAAAAAAAAAAGGCTTCCTGAAGTTGTTGTGGCAGAGGATCAGGGACAGCAGAGGGTGAGATTCGCTGCGCTCCCCCCCACCCCAATAAAAACACTCTCATGTCACAGCTTGGCTCTCGTATGACTAAACACAAACCGTGGTTCTCCAGACAACGCAGGCATCTGTTTCTCCTTCTCTTCCAGAAATCCTTTTAAATTGTGCTAAGAAATTACTGAGGTTGAAACACACACACGCAAAACCCAAGGACAAAAGGATGCATGCCTCAGACCCTTGACCTTGAAGGGAGCAATGAAACTAGTCCCCATAGAGGCAGGGGTCTGGAGAGGTCTGGTGGAACGCAAGTGTTGCCTGCCATGCACAGGCGCCTCACTGGGCCTCTTGGGCTCTGAATTCTGGGGTGAGGCAGGGATGGAAGCCATCCCTGGAGCAGAGGTGGAGATGGGGGCTGTCAGGTTTCATTAAGGTTCGTCCCACACAGGGGACTCTTCTAAACTTCTTGCTTCTCACGGTGAGTCTGACACTGGCGTCACCAGGGAGAAATACAGGTTCTCAGGCCAGGCGCCGTGGCTCACGCCTGTACTCCCAGCACTTTGGGAGGCTGAGGAGGGCAGATCACCTGAGGTCAGGAGTTTGAGGCCAGCCTGGCCAACATGGTGAAACCCCGTCTCTACTAAAAATACAAAAATTAGCCAGGTGGCGTGGGCCTGTAATCCCAGTTGCTCGGGTGGCTGAAGCAGAATTGCTTGAGCCCAGAAGGTGGAGGTTGTAGTGAGCCGAGATCGCGGCAGTGCACTCCAGCCTGGGCAACAGAGCGAGACTCTGTCAAGAAAGAAAAGAAAGAAAGAGAGAGAGAGAGAAAGAGAGAAAGAGAGAAAGAGAGAAAGAAAGAAAGAAAGAAAGAAAGAAAGAAGGAAGGAAGGAAGGAAGGAAGGAAGGAAGGAAGGAAGGAAGAAAGGAAAGAAAGAAAGAAAGAAATGCAGATTCCCAGGCCCACACCAGACCTGCAGAAGACGAATCTGCTTTGAAATGATGCTCCCCCATGGGAGGCAGATGCATTCTTAAGTTTGGGAGGCGCAGACGCCCGGACCCTTTCTCCTGGGTTCACAGGTGGGGCGGTCAGGAGATCCATTAGCCTGAGCCAGTGGAGCTGCCCAGAGGCCGCAGGAGCCCCAGCTGTCGGCCCCTGGGGTCTGAACACCTGGGGGATGGCCCCGAGCGCTGTCAGGGCTCTGGCTGGAGCACAGCCCTGGCCCTTTGGCCCCAGGTGGTGTCAGACAACATGGGTTTTTCCTGGAAGCCGAGGGATCATTTAGTCACGTCTGGAAGAGAAGGTGATGAACACAGACCCACAAGACACACAAGCAATAGAGAAACTAGCAACTTGAAAACGGGCTCCGTAAATGCTTTCCGAGAGACCGGGCTGCGGGCCCATGTTAGCTCAGCTCTCTGGGTGCTGGGCGCGACCATCCAGTCCTTGGCTGATTCTTGGTAGCAACTGTCACCATCCCTACTTGATCTCATTTTCCTGAGGATCTGGAGGGGGTGGGCAGCGTGGACCCATTTCACAGAGGGTAGAGCGGAGACTCAAGAGAGCCAGGGACTTTCCCCTGGGTGGCACGCTGGGGAGTGGTGTCAGAGCCAGGATTTGAACCTGGACTCTCTGACCTTGAGACCCCTAACCATTCCCATCCCAAAGGAGACAAAGGAGATCAGTCTCACGGAGGGGACACTGAGGATGGCCCCAGGGCTCGGGAGTGACTATGGTTCCACATACAGACGAGGGAAGAGGCAGGATCCCCGGGTCACTGTTGGGGGAGCACTGGTGTGGGAAGCAGATGGAGGGGGGCCATACCCAGGGGCCACTCGGTGGGCCCACTGACCTGTGAACCTGGAGAAGAGGGGCATCTGGGTGGGAGCTGAAGGGCCGTGGGTCAGCCAGCACAGGGCACACCCGAACTGGGTGTCCCCTCGTGGGCTCCCGGGACCTGGCACAGGCTTACCTCGGAGGGAAGAGGTCCCCATCCCCTGGCACTCTATTACTGGGCTGTGGGCTGCTCACAAGTCATACACCATCACCCCTACACCAGCACATCGCAATGATCCCACTTCATTTATTACCAAAATATCACAGAATTCCAGTCATAGTTAACATACAGCGTTTAACACGAACCTGATACCTGTAGAAAGAACTGAGTATCGGGACAATTGAGTCGTTGGAACTGTAAGCCACGCCCCAAACCGCATCACTCCGTACTTCAAAAATACGATTTTTTGAGAGCTTTGGAAACTGAATTAAAATGTCTACACAGCTATGAACAATTGTTTAATAAAACTTTTTCATGTTTCCATTACATGTAAATATATCAATTTGGCATCTCTATAAAAACTCTGAAAATGGTGCAAAAGTTTCATTCTCTTTGAGAAAGCCATTGACAAAAAATATTCACACTTCACTAAAATTTTGAAAAATGGTCTTCTTTCAAAGCTTCTTTATTAATCTGAAGTCTTCTGGGTTATCAAAATCTAGGTTTGCTTTTTCCTCCTAAAACACTAAAGAACATTTATTCACAAGGATTAAAAAAAAAAAATAAAAAGGCAATGGGCTGATGGAAAACTGATAAGGGCTTTTCTTTTTTTTTTTCTGAAAATAATTTAAAAAGCTTAAAAGTTACATAGGCATCTTCAAAAGAACACAATGGGATTCATTTTATTGTTGACTTTTGGACACCAGTGTCAGACTTTATTGAAAACAAACCCATGTAAAAACAAAGTTAAAATGAAAAATGGCACCTGAAAAATAAATTATTTTATATAAAACAAATCAATAACTTAAAACACACTAATATACAAAAGGTCTAACCATCTACTGTACAACATGGGAATCGGTTAAGAGAGCCTCCCCTCCCCCAAAGCAAGTCACTGTAAACGGAACATCACATGGTCATGGTCAAAGAGGTGGCCCCAAACCAACGGAAAAGGCTTCTCTTCTGGTGGAAGAAAAATCCAGTCCTGTCAAAGTCTCCGTTAGCCTAACTTAGGTACTGGCGGTGACTTACAAGTGAGAAAAAAAAAATTTGTTTTTTTAAATGGCCAAGAAAGAAACCTGAACGATGTCACTGAAAGGTTGTAGAAAAATAGGATCCAGCCATTAGAGGTCAGGGGAAATCAAAAAGGTTTGGAAATGTGAACCCTGCCTGGGATCCGAGATTCAGATTCTACTGCCATCATTACACGCCAATTGCCAATGCCACTTAAAAGAAAGCACTTGTGACTTCAGGGCTGTCTTGCGAAGTTTGGGGACAGGAACCCCTGACCCCCAGAGTCAGCTAAACCCCAGGGGTCTCTGCTAAGGAGCTGCCTCAGGTCCTAGTAGGTGAGGTAGGTCTGGGGAAGATGGGAGGGGATTGAGGTGGAGGGTGGGGTGGAGGGACAGGATAGAGGCCTCCTGTCAGCTGAATTCTTATTCTCTTTCATCCAACACAGGAAGGCTGCGAAAAGCACATGGAAATAAAAGGGGGCTGAATCGGATGTGAAATGTAACAGCTGAGTGATGTCAATTTCGATTTTTCAAGTCCGATGCCGGACTGGGTAAGTCATGTCTTTTCAATGCCTGGTGGACAAATGGCCTTCATTTGGAAGCAAACCGGGTCAAGGAATTGCCACTAACCGTCTTCGGGTGCTTCTATTTCTCTGATCCAGCAGGGACCCCTGGGCTGCCGGCTCCAAAGGGCCGGTCTTGGCTCCCAACAGCAGCACGGTTCAGTCCCTGGAGGCTGGGTCTCCAGGACTAAGGCCAAGCGCAGACTCTCAGAGGTTAAGGCAGCTGCCCTTGGCCAGGAAAAGGCTCACCTTCCAGGAGAAGGTGGCGGAACCCACCCAGCACCACCTGCGGGCGGGCCCCCGAGGAAGCCCATGAATTTCAGGATATTCACGCAGGATGGTGGCCGGGGAGGGGACTCAGCACCCGGGAGGGAATCAGTCACAGAGCTGCGACTAGAGGCACAGCCAGCACAGAAAACTGCGGCTTGGCAAATTACACTGAAAACGAAATAATGGCAGAGCCAAGGGGGAACAAGGGAGAATTCATCAGGAAGCAGGTTCACAAATTCGGAGCTGCCTGGGGTCTAACTACCAGAGGAAGTTACACACGGGTCAAAAGGGAATTCAATCAAAGCCTCTTTGGTATTTCCCAAACCAGATTTTTGATAAATGAACATTATCTACTCTGAACGCTTTTTCATCGAAATTCCCAAATAAAAGCAGAGCACTCATTTTTGCTAAATAGAAATACAACTGATCTATGTAAAATTTTTTAAGAAATGGTTTCTTTTGGGTTGAGCCTTTTTTAAGAAAAGGGATCTCCCCTTTGCAAACAGGCCTTGATAAGATGTAATGAACTTTGAGGACACAGGGCCAGCAACTAGAACCTTGATGGAACAGAGATTGCTTTTCAGGAGTGACAGTTGTTAAGCTAAATCCTTCCACAAGCTTGCAAGCTAAGACTCCCAAATAAAGGCTTTGGAATTTTTTAGCTAGAAGGCTGTTCAAACAGCGGAGACCACATACAATGAGAATGTTCCTGAACTGAGAAACTTCAGGGAACTTTCAAAGGCTCATATACTTCACAGTTTCTTCTCACCTGTCCCAGCATCAGAATAATTGATAGGATTCAGATAAAAGGGGGCGAGGAAAGAAGCTGAGGTGCTACAAGCCCGTCATCATTTTCACAGTTGAAGCTTAAGACAGAGTTCTCTGTTGAATGCTAGCTATGGGCATGTGTGGGAGTGAGACTCCAGGGGGAGTTTCAGAAGCGGGAATCCCGCCTTCCATCAGAAGGGTGTTGGCTCCCACCTTCCATCAGAAGGGTGTTGGCTCCCACCTTCCATCAGAAGGGTGTTGGCTCCCACCTTCCATCAGAAGGGTGTTGGCTCCCACCTTCCATCAGAAGGGTGTTGGCTCCCACCTTCCATCAGAAGATGCTGGCCCAGGGAAACCTGAAAGGCTTCTTTTTCCAGGAAAGCATTCTGGTCCCAGGATGCAGACTGCTCTCGGGCAACAGAGCAGGGACCCTCTTTTGTGTCGAATCCGGGCAATGGGCCTCGGTTTTGGCTTTTCCTGAGGATCTGGGATTCTGTGGGAGAAAGGAGGTCCTCTCTGGCACCAGGCCGACTTTTATGAGACACAGCCTGGGTACGGATGGCAACATCATCAATTTGCAAGGATCGCGCACACAGCCCCTCAGTAAAAGATCAGGGAAAGGGGAGGGGATGGGCATCCTCAATTGTCCAGGGGCCTCTCGAGACGCTGACCTGCTCTGGGGACGGTGGTGCCTGCCTATTGCTCAATTTCACACTTCAATAAATAAATACATAAATAGGTATAAATAAACAGATAAATACAGCCATCATCTCATGAGAGCAATAACTAAAAAACAGCCTACGGTCACGTTTTAGTCTCACGTCAAGGTTAAAAACTGCTGGTACTAAGTTATCCTGTTTGTGATTCTCTCTGTAAACTAGTTATTTATAAACGCCAGATCCCAGTCCTGAGGAGTTTTGGGTGATCTGGCCCTGCCTATTTCACAGGCTTTCTCTTTCACCCTTCCTCCGGGCTCCTGGTTTAAAAGCCACCAGCCTGTAACTGCACATTCTTGCGTCACAGATTCAGAAATGCTTTTGCTTGAGGCAAGGATTGGTTTCTTAAGATCTTACGACTCCTCCCTGAATGCTGGGCCACCTGCACCTTCCCTAGCCAAAAAGAAAGAAAAGGTAAAATAAAAAACAAAACAAAATTCGAGCAAAACAAAATCAAATTTAATGGTCTTAAATGCAAAAGTAAAAACAAACAAAAAACACAAAAAAGCAAAAGAAAATTAACAGAACAGAACAACCCAAAATGTCAAGGCAGTTATGAAGAGAACTTTGAGGGTTAATCTTTAAAACTACAAATCAAAGGTTTTGGTTAATAGATAACTGGCAAGAAGTAAGTACTTTTCTGCTGAGTGTTCATACAAAAGCAAAATTCCAAAACAAAATCCGACTAAAATAGAAAAAGGTCTAAGCGCTCACGAGAAGGGATGCGAGAAATACAATGCTCAAATGTTTCTGTGTTATTAAAATACAGAGCCATTTTACGCCTCCAAGCTATGTTAAATGCTCTGGAAAACGGGAGAAATTATCGTGAACAACAGTATCCAATGTGTGGGGCGCTGTGCATGCAATGTGTGGACAGAAACTCGGGATGTCAGAGTAGCAACACATCTTCAGGCGTGCCTGGAGCTTAGATCTGACTCTGGAATATACTGGAGTTTCCCTGAAACTCTTTGGTCCATTCCCATTGGTGCCTGGGCTTACGAAACACGTTTGTGTCCTTCTCTGGAGGGCCCGCCCAGCATGCAGCCCGTGGCCCCCGGCCCCAGTGGTGGCCCACGCTGGACGGGCCCGCCGCCATTCCCAGGACCACTCGGCAGAGCCCGGGACTGAGTGAGCAGGAGGTGGCAACGGGACCTGCCTGGAAAAGGAACTTCCTGTCAACCAAAGCATACATCGCTTACAATGTTGAAGCGGTTGAGAAAACGCACACTCAGCATCTGTCTAACATCTTTAGATTAAAAACTAAAACTAAAAGGTGATTTTTTTGCTACCCAGTCTGTGGAGACATTGAATGAAACGCGTGTTAGACAGTCTTAGAGGTTAAAGCATGCTTCAGGTTCACCACCATCCAGAGGGACTGGTTAGTCAATGCAGTTCTACTTAGATTTCTGTTTAATATATATCTTAAAGGAAATAACTTACGAAACTTAAGATTGGTCTAACATTGTGGGATTTCAAACATTTGAACATGTCGGTTGCATCCCAGAGTATAAAAACCTTCTCACTTCTCATTCAGACAAAGACAAACACTTGTGAAAATTGGCGCAAAATGAGTTGTACACTAACAAGAAAAGTTTCAACTCCTTCACTCTTAATTATCTATTCCGTACAAAAAAAAGCATGAGCGAGTTATTTGTGGGACTTGTTGGTTTTGAAGGAAACCTGTAAGATTTTGTCCCCCAGGCGGTAGCCGTTCAGGCTGGCTATGGCCATCGCGGCTTCTTCATAGTTTGTCATGGTCACAAAGCCAAACCCTTTGCACTTGTTGGTGTTGAAGTCGCGGATCACTTTCACATTGGTGACGGCACCAAACGGCCCAAACATCTGCCAGAGGATCCCCTCGTCGGCATCCTGCCCCAGGTTGTAGATGAAAATGCACCAGCCGGAGGAGGCGTTTCCTGGCACGTTGACGCCAGAGAGCCCGCTCATGTGATCGACGCCCATGGGGGAGAACCTGGCAGACAGAGAGCAAGCGTCAGGCCACGGTCAGCGCAGGCGGCCTGGGGATGGGGCAAGGCCTGGACGCATGCTGACCATGGCCGCTGGGCCCCATCCCGCTCTGCGCAGCCACGAGGTGCTCACGGTTGAGACACCTGCATGGGTCAAAACCCTGGGAGGAATTAAATACAGTAGTGGAGGGGCGGGACCCTGTTCTGTAGGGAGCTGACTCTGAGGGGCTGGTTGGTGCCCTCCACTCCTCCCACTGTGTATGTCGGGGTTTCTGTTTAGGGGTTCCTGCGGTTCCCCACATTTTAGATGATGGGCGCTTCTCCTGGTCCTCCGTTGAAGGTAGAAATGCTCTGCAGGCCTCTGACAGCCTCAGTTCTCCCTGGAGGAAACTCTCCTCGTACTGTGGGGTACGTGCAGGGGCTGAACTCCTTTTTCCAAATTTTGCACCTTCCCCTTATCATGACCCGCCCCCAAGCGTTGACAGCCCAGTGGTCTCTGGTTAGAGCACGCCTTTGCCAGGGCCACTTGTAGGGCACAAGAATTCCTTCCCAAGCACCAGGCAACCAACCCTCTGTGGCTAGAGCTCAACATCCCCTGAGGGTCAGGGGCCAAACCACTGAGGACTGAGAACTCAAGGGACAGGGAAGGGCCCTGGGACACCAGCAACGGCAGGCTCACCAAACTTGACCACACACGTGGGGCTCTTTCCACAGTGATACTTTTATTTACATAAAAAATAAGCCTTTCTGGGCCAGGCATGGTGGCTCAAGCACGGAATCCCAGGACTTTGAGAGGCCAAGGTGGGAGGATCACTTGAGGCCAGGAGTTTGAGACCAGCCTGGGCAACACAGAGAGACCCCATCTCTAGGAAAAAAACAAAAACCTCAGAAAACAAAAACTAAACTAAACTAAAATAAAATAAAGCCTTCTGAAAATGTACAGATGCTGTAATAAGGATTAAGGTATATGACAAAACAGTTCCTAAAGCTATGTTTCCCTCTGGAACTTTCTCACATTAAAAAAGTAAAGGTCTGAGGGTCAGTTTGGGAATATCTGAGTAGCATACATTTGTGAAGCCGGCATCTGTGAAGCTGCGTGATGCATGCAGAGAAGCATTACCTGCTCCAAAATAAAACTGGGCTTCAGGCTATGGCCCTATCAGCCAAGCGCAGCCCTGCAGGCCCCAGCCGGGGTAAACGAGTGCCTTCAAGCGCTGTTAAACAGATTCACCCTCTCGACAGACACGAGAGGACACCAGCTGCCATGGGGCAGCTCACTAGCCCAACGGTGATTTTCTTTATTTTTGAGAGAGGGTCTCACTATGTTGTCCAGTATGGTCTCAAACTCTTAGGCTCAAGTGATCCTCCTGCCTCCTGAGCAGCTGGACCACAGGTGTGTGCCACCATGCTGGCTAATTTTTACATTTTTTGTAAAACCATTTTCAGGATGGAAAGACTAAGAAGAAAGGGTCTATGTTGTCCAGGCTGGTCTCAAATTCCTGGGCTCAAGTGATCCTCCTGCTTTGGCCTCCCAAAGCGTTGGGATTACAGGCGTGAGTCAATGCGCCCGGCCTTCTTAGGAATTACTCTTGTTGGTAGTTTTTCTCCTGCTGATTTCTCTGGTCTTGACAGTCATAAATCTTCTCCTCTCTTCCTCCAACCCAATTCTTTTCCATCCCTTATCTCTGGGCTTTTCTGGACGTGATAGGGACTGACTGCAAACTCACTGCAGTCTGGGTCTTTCTTCCTCCTCTTCTCTCAGCCTCCTGAGCGAATCTTTCCCTCCAGACTCTCCCGCCCTCCCCACTTCCTTCCATCACTTTGTCTTAGTGGTTGCCCTGCCACTCACTTTTCCTGCTCGACCAGAAATGTCCACTTCTCCGGTTTCCCCTTTCTTTTCTTGTCCTCATTACTGGGACCAGAGTCCCATGTCTCCTCCAACCTTCCCTGTTTTCCTTCCAGGCTAAGGAGCAGTTCACCCAACCCCACCGCCCATATAGCCCGCCCCATCAAGAGCAGGACCGACTGTATGATGGGATTTCTAGAGCTGGATTTTAAAATTCAGCTCCATTCCGTCCAGAGAAGCTTCCCCAGCCTTGTCTTCAAGCCAGAAACCTCAAGGAAGGCAGGCCAGCTTTGGAATTTGAGCCAGGCTGAGAATGCTGGGTAACTCAGCCATGAGAATAACACCTCTCACAGCAGCATGTGTGGCACTGGGCAGCGCCCACCCAGCTTCACTGTTAAAACAACGATGGGGCCGGGCTCACGCCTATAATCCCAGTACGTTGGGAGGCTGAGGTAGGAGGATCACTTGAGGCTAGGAGTTTAAGACCAGCCTGGGCAACACAGTGAGACCCCATCTCAACAAAAAATAAAAACATTAAAAATTAAAAAAAAAAGGGAAATCTATCCTTGTCATACCTGAGATAAGCCCTCGATGCCACTCCTTGAGGTTTTGACAAAAACAAAACAGCCCTGACACTGAGACCTCTGCTGTTTCTGAGGCGACAGCACACCACATCCTGGAGTCCAAGGCCCTGACTCTCATCGCCTCTATCCCACTTCATCCTGGCAGCCAGAACCATTTTCAGGATGGAAAGACTAAGGAATCCGGGAAAACTCCTCCCCTCTAGGACAGGGCTTATAAACAGAATGCATACATACAACATTCACCAATACAAATGACTCCACGAGGCAGGTGTTTGAAAAAGGTTTGCCTTAGGGCTGCTGATCAAATGTCTAAGAATGCTGGAAGATCTACTCTCACCCGAGTATACCTAAGGCAGCATCTTTTCTCCCACAGATATGAGACGTTCATTATTCATTTATTTTTTAGAGAAAGGGTCTCACTCTATCACCCAGGCTGCAGTGCAGTGGTGCAATCATAGTTCACTGCAGCCTCCACCTCCTGGGTTCAAGCGATCCTCCCACCATGGCCTCCTGAGTAGCTGGGACTAAAGGCCAGCATCACCATGCCCAGTTTTTTTCATTACTTTTTGTAGGAACAGGGGTCTCACTTTGTTGCCCAGGCTGCTCAAACTCGGGGCTTCAAGTAATCCTCCTAACTCGGCCTCCTGAGAGCTGAGATTACAGGTGTGTGCTCCCCCACACTGGGCATGAAACCATCTTTAAAGCTCGCGGCTCCGTTCTGCTGTTACTAGGAACTGCGTGCTGAAGCTCTAAGTGCTCACGCTCACAGCAACTGGTGGGGACTGGTGCTGTCTTTTTTTTTTTTTTAATAAAAACAAAAAAAGACAGGTTCTGGCCCTGTGGCCCAGGCTGGAGTGCAGTGGTATGATCACAACTCACTGCAGCCTCAACCTCCTGGGCTCAAGCAATCCTCCCACCTCAGCTTCCTGAGTTGCTGCAACTACAGGAGCGCACCGCCATGCCTGGCCAGCTTTGTATTTTTTGTAGAGATGGGGTCTCGCAATATTGCCCAGGTTGGTCTTGAACTCCTGGGCTCAATCGATCTTCCTCTCTCAGCCACCCAAGGTGCTAGGATTACAGGGATAAGTCACTGTGTCCAGCCTGGAGTCACTGTTTTGATTCCCATGAAAGACAACGCCCAATCGGAAGTAAACGGCTTTCCTACAGACACCTTTCTGATGGAGGTTGTGGTGTGGAGCTGCAGAATGATTCTGAAACGCGCTCTCTGACGGGATCAGTCTATCATCCCCGTGGTTTCTATTCTGTGGCTGTGCCGTCGCCTGCCAGCGGGGCTAAGTATGGCTTTCAGGAGCGCGCACCCTCCCGACCCACCTGAATCTCTGCGCCTGGTGGTGAACGGGGCCTCCGAACCGTCGCGCTGGCGAGTGGTACAGCTGCGAGAGGAGTGCCACGTTTTTGTTCTGGTTGGGGTTGGCTGCAAACTTCACTGTGATGGGCTCAGAGGAACCTGGGGGTTTATGACCATTGAAACTGGTAATTGCCTCTTCTGCCTCCGACCGTTTGTCAAACCGGATAAACGCAACCCCTCTGGACAAACCTTTTCAACAAATCAACAAAAACGGAGTTAGGGGGAAAAACGCTAGGACTTTCAAAACTGAAAAGCAAAAGTCAGGTCAGTCTACTGTGGGCCAGGCTAGAAGTCTGGTTAAGGAAATAAACAAAAATTAAACCTAAAAGTGAAAACAAATGGATGGAGTAAAGAAAACCAATGACTAACAGAAGATTAAAGCTTCAGACTTTCTTCCCGGCTGAAGCCATGACTCCACAGTGTTGGCGCCCAAAGATATTTTGGTGACAGACATCCCCAATAGACACCCAGGCCTCTTATTTGGAAGAAAGCAACATTAGGAAACAGCACATCCACCGTCACTATTTAGCTGCCAGGTGTCCGCCACAGAGTGGGTGCGTGGGTGTGGTGTGTGGTTGGTGGGTAACAGGGTTGGAGTGGGGACTGCGTCTGAGAGATCCTCCCTGGGCTCAGGGGCCACTCTCCTGGCTGCTGTCTCTGGGCCCGCTGTGACAGCAGGCCTCGTGGCCGAGCCTGCTGCAAAGGTGCCCAGCTCAGCCTGCATGCCTTCTCCTTCATGCCAGGAGGGAGTAGGGTCCTGTGGCCACCCCCTGCCAGCTCCATGCTGCTGCTGTCACCTCACTCCTGTCTTGGGATACTCCACTCTAAGGTCCTACACCCCTCCCGTGGGCCCCAAATTGCCATCAGAATCAAATGAGGCCAGAACACTGCCCAGGCTCATACAGCAGAGCTGAACCTATCCACAGGCTCGCCAGGCAGGCCTGGGGTCCCTGTATGGGAAGGGCCAGGGCCCCAGCAGCCAAGCCCAGAGGGCATCTTCTCTTGCCACCTCAACTGAGCCACCCAAGGGCCAGTCCCGGGTTCCCGGCTAAACCCAATCCCTGGACGGAGCAGTGTGAGACCTGAGGACCGTCCTGCTATGGGGGACATTGGTCAGCTGGGCATGGGTGTGAGATGCTGAGCAAGGCGGGTGGAAGGAGAGCATGGCTGTCCTGCACCCCTGCCTGTCCATACACTAGGCCCGGGAGGGAAACATGAGTAGCCCGTCCCTTGAGGAACCTGGGAAGCGGGCTGGAAACTGGATGAGGGGGATGGGGATGAGGGCACACTGAGCAGCGCACTAGCTCCTTCTCTGGGGGCAAGGACATGATGGAGTCAGGGGAAGGCCCAGGGGTGGGAGAGGTGACAGCTGAGAGGCCAGTCTGAGAGTGACATCACTAGGCGGGAGTCACGGGTGTGTCCCAGTGGGAGAGGCCGTCACAGACAGCCCAACCCAAACACCCTGGTTCTCAAGACTTTTAGTCAAGCCAGGCCAAGGCTCATGCCTGTGGTCTCAACTACTCCAGAGGCTGAGGCAAGAGAATCGCCTGAGGCCAGGAGTTCAAGACCAGCCTGGACAACACAGTAAGATCTCACCTCTTAAGGAAAAAGAAAGACTTCCAGTCAAAGGGTGTCTTAAGTCAGGTTTCTTCTCCAGGCAAAGGCCTCTGGTGCATGGTAACAAACAACGACCAAAGCCAGGCAGCCCGGGGCCTTGGGTGACCTGTCCAGCGGGCACCCAACTGTCCCCATGTCCTGTCTCCACGCCTCACACGGCACCTTACTCCACCACTTCCCAGAGGGTCCCGCCAGCTGCCCCCACAATCGCGACACTGCAGGCCCCCCGTGAGCACAGAGACAGCAGCTTTAGTAAGGTCAGACCTAGCGCTACGCACACGTGCCAGGAATATTCTGGGGCTCAAGCTCATTTCTGAGCTGCTGCTCAGAAGGAACACCTGAAAACACAACCCTGACAGATGCTGTTTTCTTTGAGTCTCTCACGACACGAATGACAGCTTAGTCAGTCTTGGAAACCTAAATGAAAATCGAACTTTAGGCAAATACGACTGAGAGCTGACGCTGGCCGGCTCGTAGGGAAGCTGGCTCCAAGCAGATGGCTTCATTCTGTTTCTAAAGACCCTGCGGCCCAGCGGAGAGAAGGCACGTGTGCAAGTGTGGCTTCCTCGTCTGGGGTTGTAGAGTGGCTTTCAAATGCAAACTGCCTGAGTGAAAGGAAGAAAGCTCTAGTAAGGGGGGCAGGAGGGATGCTGTTTAGCAGAGGGGGATATCAATTCACTCAATTATTTAATGGATGTATACTTTCTGAAGATGGCTCTGCATTTTTTGTTTTTTTCTTCCCCTAGTGTTTTTTATTTTTAATTTTTTTTTTAAGATGGAGTCTCGCTCTGTCGCCCAGGCTGGAGTACAATGGCACGATCTCAGCTCACTGCAACCTCCACCTCCCCGGTTCAAGTGATTCTCCTGCTTCAGCCTCCCGAGTAGGTGGGACTCCAGGCGCCTGCCACCATGCCTGGCTAATTTTTATTTTATTTTACTTTATTTATTTATTTAGAGATGGAGTTTCGCTCTTTTTGCCCAGGCTGGAGTGCAATGGTGCAATCTCGGCTCACTGCAACCTCCGCCTCCCAGGTTCAAACGATACTCCTGCCTCAGCCTCCCCAGTAGCTGGGATTACAGGTGCCTGCCACCATGCCTGGCTAAGTTTTTGTATTTTTAGTGGAGACGGGGTTTCACCATGTTGGCCAGGATGGTCTCGACCTCTCGACCTCGTGATCCGCCCACCTTGGCCTCCCAAAGTGCTGGGATTACAGGCATAAGCCACCGTGCCCGGCCTATTTTTAGTACAGATGGGGTTTGCCATGTTGGCCAGGCAGGTCTCGAACTGCTGACCTCAGGTGATCCACCCACCTTGGCCTCCCAAAATGCTGGGATTACAGGCGTGAGCCACGGCCCCCGGCCCCCTTGTGTTTTTTAGAATTTAACAGCAGAGTCCAAGAAACGGCATAATCTCCAGATGAATACACTATAAAGTTCACAATTAAGGTGGATATAGAAGCGAAGGAATACAAAAAATTAAGCTCTGTCAGCTCAGGGTGGGATTTTTTTTCTCTTTTTTTAAAAAAAGAGTTGGGGGTCTCGCTATGTTGGCCAGGCTGTTCTGAACTCCTGGGCTCAAGCAATCCTCCCACCTTGGCCTCCCAAAGTATTAGGATTACAGGCGTGAGCCACCGCGCCCGGCCATCCTCATCTATTTAACACTAAAAAGCCCGTCACAGGAAGGCAAACTCCACACAGGCTGGCCTGCCACACACACTCTGTCTCCAGCAGAGGGAGCTACAGCCCTGGGATGGGAGCCTCACCTTCCCACCAATTCTGCATCCTGGGGTGGGAAGCAGAGCCGGGAGACCCTCCTGGCTCCCTTCTCTCTGCCTCCCTCACTGCTCTGCAAAGATGACAAAGGTTCCTTAGGCCACCTTGAGGTTCACAGCCGACCCTGGGGGCGCAATACTAAGGTGCCCCCAACACCCTGGGAGACACTATCTTGCAGAGGGAAAGGAAGCAATGCCCCCAGCAGCTGTGTGCAGAGGTGAGTTCCCCCTGCCTGTGGCCCGTGTGTGCCTGAGAGACTAGGGAAGGCCCCAAGAGAGTTGGGTGGCTGGAGGCATGTTCTCAGGCATTGGGGGCTCCAAGTGGAGCACAGGCTTCCCTCATCAGGGCCATACTGGACACAGACAGGCCGAGGCAGAGCAGTGCATGTGGGGTCTAGAGGAGGAGGGGAGTGGACTGTGGGCCAGTGAGGTTGGTTCCCCCGGCCCTGGGCCCTGCACAGCCAGCTCAGATGCCCCAGTGCAGAATGGGGGGCAATAAACCCACACACTGGCCCACTGACAGGATCATTCGCTCAGCTGGCACTTAAGTGAGAGGACTTCAGGGACCACAGGAGACTCTTCTGGTGCAGACCAGGGGAGTTTACACCGAGTAACTGGCATCCCCCGACCCTCTCCCCAGAGCAAAGGCAGAATGGCGGCGGCCGTGCGAGTGAGCCCTGTCCTTCGGCACTGCCCGGTGCCAGGGCGCGAGTCTGTGCTAGGCTACAGGAAGCTCCCAGGGCCCCCATGAAGTGCAAAGGGGCCCTTCCCCTCCTCGGGCCCCAGCGGGAACGAAGGCCGGCAGCGGCAGGGCCAGTGCATGCCAGGTGGGGTTCCTACAGCCGGAAAGGAGGAGGAAGAGAGACTGATAAGGCCGCCCACCCCAAAGCACGCAGCTCAGGGGACGCAGGACAATGTGCATGCCCCTCTAGCCTGCAGGCCAGGAAGGCCCCACCTGTGTGCACATGAAAGGCGAGGCTCTGGGCTGCTGGGGGAGTGCTGCTGTTCTCTCAAAAAGAGGTCACCTCAGAGCATGACTTTCTGTGGCCCAACTACTCGGTGTTATTTCAACATCACAGCCAAGGTGCGGCACACACAGTCTGTGTGGGAAGAATATGAAAACCACCCATACAACGCATGGGCCTCACTAGGCTCAGGGAGTGGATTCTTCCCTGCTGGTTAGTTAGCAGACTCCTGCTCCTGCCCCAAACAGAGCTGAGCGATCCTAAATCCCCTCAGGGTGGCCCGAGCTCCCTGTCCCCCAGGCGGGGCCACGTGCAGGGCTTGGCAAAGGATGTGGTGGGGCACTAGTTCCTAGCCTAGTGCGGCAGGCGGGCCAGGCAGTAGGGCCGGAGCACAGCCGTGGGCGTGCACATGTCCCCTGCTCATCTCTGCCTGACGGCATCACACAAAGCCCAGAGCCCACATCCAGTGCCAAGACGGACTGGGAGGGCCAGCAAAGTGGCCAGGATTGCCTGCCCATTAGAGGAATTCGCTGCCATGTGCTCTGTGCACTTTAGATGTGCTCCCCAGAGAGGGGCATCCGAATTCTGGGGATTTGGGCCATCAGACTACTGCACCCCAAATGCCTGCAACGAAAGCCACAGTGGACAAATGTGCAGCAGCCTTTTTTTTTCTTTTTCTTTTTTTTTAAGAAACAGGGTCTTGCTCTGTTGCCCAGGCTGAAGTGTAGTGGCGCGATCACGGCTCACCACAGCTGTGAACTCCTGGGCTCAAGCAATCCTCCCACCTCAGTCTCCTGAGCAGCTGTGATGACATGCCCGCGCCACCGCACCTGGCTGCAGTATCCTTTTTTTTTTTTTTTTTTTTTTTTTTTTTGAGATGAAATCCCGCTCTGCTGCCCAGGCTGGAGTTCAGTGGCGCAATCTCGGCTTGCTGCAATCTCCGCCTCCTGGGGTCCAGGCGATTCTCCTGCCTCAGCCTCCCGAGTAGCTGGGATTACAGGCGCCTGCCACCACACCTGGCTAATTTTTGTATTTTTAGTAGAGATGGGGCTTCACCATGTTGGCCAGGCTGGTCTCAAACTCCTGACCTCAGGTGATCCGTCCACCTCGGCCTCCCAAAGTGCTGGGATTACAGGCGTGAGCCACCACACCCGGCCTGCAGTGTCCTTTTCACCCCATTCATGGGCAAGGCCAGCACATTTGGGTGCCTGAGGGAAGGTGCTAGAATCTCTTGGCGTTTTCACTGTACATGAAATGCTGGCCTAATCCCCAGCTTTTTTTTTTTTTTTTTTTAAGACGGAGTCTCGCTCTGTCACCCACGCTGGAGTGCAGTGGCAAGACCTCGGCTCACTGCAACCTCCGCTTCCCGGGTTCATGCCATTCTCCTGTCTCAGCCTCCCGAGTAGCTGGGACTACAGGCGCCCGCCACCATGCCCAGCTAATTTTTTGTATTTTTAGTAGAGACAGGGTTTCACCATGTTGGTCAGGCTGGTCTCCATCTCCTGACCTCGTGATCCACCCACCTTGGCCTCCCAAAGTGCTGGGATTACAGGCGTGAGCCACCACGCCCAGATATCCCCAGCTTCTTTTAATGCCATCTTACCTCCTCAGCCTCCTCAAACCAAAGCCAACGTCTTCTCATTTTGGTGCTGTCCTCGTTTGCGGAATAACTAATGACATTTAAAATCAAACGGTGATCTGCCTTCCCTAGAAAACCCAGCCCCCACCTAGAGAACACCCTCCCCACGCGTCTGGGGCCCCTCTGGTACCTGTAGTCTGATCCACGAGGACCCGCGAGTTGATGATCCGCCCAAACCGAGAGAACATGTCTTCTACGTCCTTCTGGGTCATGGTCCGCGGGAGCCCGCTGATGTACAAGTTGGCGTCTTTGATCACCTCTGAGCTCGGGCGAGCATACGACACCTTGGGAACACAACCACTTTCCGAGATTAGTACAGGCACGTGGCCAAAGCATTGAGGAGGGTGTTGAATGCTGGGTTAGGAAAAGCCAACACTGTGTGTTAGAAATCATGCAGGGAACGATTATCATCACTGACGCTCACCGCCTGCAGCCGCATGGTGGCAAGCTCACTGAGGGATGGGCCGTGAGCCAGGATGCCTGGCAGTGCTTCCTCACTGGGTGCTCACCATCCTCAAGGAGGCAGGCGTGACTCCTATGTCACAAAGCCCAGCAACTGAGGGCCCGCAGCTTGTGTGTGGCTACCTCTCTGATGTGCTGGACAGTGAGCCGGTGCCAGAGAGGTCCTGGTGCCTGAAAGCAGCCCGTGCTGCAGCGGGCAAGCAAGCTGGGAGCTACTGGGAACACAGGAGACTCCCCTGCCAAAGAGCAAGCTCGCCACAGAAGCCCTGACAGGGGCTGTGAGTTCTGGGAGGACCCCGAGTTTGTACTCAAATCCACTCAAGTGTTCAATATTAAACGACTCAATGCCTTTTGGATTTATATTTTGCAAAATCAAAGAAAACTGAAGAGAACCTTCTGGGTGCTTTGACAAAATGGTACATTCATCATTCGTGTGGAGAGGGTGGTGAGGGGAGCCCGGAGGCCAATGCAAGACAAGGTCTTCGGTGCTTTCTCAGGTTGGCGCTGACGGCCGTGCAGACCCCATGGGCCCAGAAGGAAGAAAAGGACCACAGTGGAACCCCTCTGCCTGTGAAGGGGCAGCCTGGCAGGACTCACAGCCTCGTCAGGAGGCTGGGATATGGAGGAGGGAGCAGGAGATGTGTTCCCGAGAAGGGTGGGGACTTGAACCTGTGCGAAAGGAAGTTCATTCCCTTTGAGTGAGGGGCACAGAACTGATGAGCCAAGGTAACTGAGACCAGAACGCAGGGAGAAGCCGCCACTCAGGAGTCACTGGGCAGAATCTGCGTGCTGAGAACACACACACAGCATCCTCTGAGAAGCTCCTATCATGTTCCAGAGAAGGAACAACAGACATTGCCCCTGCTCATAGGGCAGTGGGCGGCCCAGCAGGGGAACAGGACAGCCCCACGAGGAGAGGAGTGTGGGGCTGGAGGCCAGCTCTGCCTGGTAGCGGTGGGAATCGAGGGAGCATGTCACTACGGAGCCCATGAGGTCTCTGGGGAAGCCGTGCTGCTCCCAGGCCCGGGGCACCTCCATCAGCCTGTGGACAGGAGCTCTGGGGACACTTGCTCACCCCATGATGTGGGTCAGGGGCTGCCAGTGCTGTCCCCAGAGAAAAAGAGGCTGCCTTGGCCCCCAGCCTCCCCTAGTGTCCGGGCTTGCCCTGGCTCCCTGCAGACCTGTCTGGACTGGGGCAGTATTTGGGGGCCTGCCAAACCATGACCCTGGCGCCAGTGGAGCGGAGCTGAGGCTGGCACTGACTGGACCTACTGCCGTCCCTGGATGAAGCCCCAGAGGAGAAGTGCCCTAGAGCCAAATGCTGGGGAAAGCTCTGATGCCTCCCAAGGACAGGTGTCTCCAAGGACCATGGGAACTCTGCTTTCCTCTTCTCTCTGGACACTGTCATGTTCAGTCAGGCTAGAATCAGAACAGCTGGCGCACAGCAGGCGTGCACTGACCTGGGGCTCCCCGGCCCCTCGGCCAGAACCCTCTTTCCTAAGCTCCCAACATCGCTTGCTCTTTGGCCTCAATCAGGTCTTTTTCTGGCTGCCCATTCTCAAGAATTCATCCAGTGAGGGGTTCAATCGTGTTCCCCCCACCCCACAATCCAAATTCATATGCCGAAGTCCTAACCCCTTGGGACCTCAAAACGTGACCTGATTTGGATACAGTCATTGCGGATGTAATCAGTTAAGACGAGGTCACACTGGTATAGGGTGATCTCTAATCAAATGTGACTGATGTCCTTATAAAAGAGGGAAATTTAGGCCAGGTGTGGTGGCGCAGGCCAGTAATCCCACTGTTTTGGAGGCTGAGTGGGAGGATCGCTTGAACCCAAGAGTTCAGCCTGGGCAACATGGCAAGACCCCATCTCTACAAAAAAAATTAGCTGGTCGTGGTGGGGCATACCTCTATTCCCAGCTACTCGGGAGGCTGAGGTAGGAGGATCACCTGAGCTCAGGAGTTTGAGGCTGCAGTGAGCCGTGATCACATCACTGCAGTCCAGCCTGGGTGACTGAGTGAGGTCCTGTCTTTAAAAAAAAAAAAAAAGTATTTTTTTTTGGCTGGGCGCAGTGGCTCATGCCTATAATCCCAGCACTTTGGGAGGCCGAGGCGGGTGGATCACGAGGTCAGGAGATCGAGACCATCCTGGCTAACATGGTGAAACCCCATCTCTACTAAAAATACAAAAAATTAGCCAGGCATGGTGGCAGGCGCCTGTAGTCCCAGCTACTCGGGAGGCTGAGGCAGGAGAATGGCGTGAACCCAGGAGGCGGAGCTTGCAGTGAGCCGAGATCGCGCCACTGCACTCCAGCCTGAGTGACAGAGCAAGACTCCATCTCAAAAAAAAAAAAAGTATTTTTTTTGAAAACATAAATTCAATTTAGAAAGGCGGGAAATGTGGATACAGGCACTCTCACAGGGAGAAGTCTGTGTGAAGATGGAGGCAGACACTGGGGTGATGCTTCTCTAAAGCAAGCAGTGCCAGAGACCACCAGCCTCCACCAGAAGCTGTGAGAGAGGCCTGTGACAGATCCCTTCCCAGTGCCTTCAAGAGAAACCAACCCTGCTGACACCTTGGTCTCGGGCTTCCAGCCTCCAGAACTGTGAGTTGATACCCTTCTTCTGTTGAAGCAACCTGGCCTGTGGGGCTTTGTCATGGCAGCTGAGCAAACTCCTGACCACTCAGCTTGCCACAGATCCCTCCACTGGCATCAACGCCCAGTTCCTCCTGTCCCTATTTAGTTCTTGACTGCGTTGATCATGACCTGACACGCTACATTTTTTTTTTTTTTTTTTAGTTTTTTTTGTAGAGACAGGGTCTTGCTATGTTGCTCAGGTTAGACTTGAACTCCTGGGCTCAAGTGATCCTCCTGCCCCAGCCTCCCAAATGCCCTGGATTACAGGCATGCACCACCCTGCCTGGCATCTATTTTACTTATTTAACTTTTAACTTTGCAAACAGACTCTGTGAGGGCCAGACTTGTGTGTCTCCTGCCATATCCAAAGCACTCAGAGCAGCCTCAGGTGAACGGCAGGCATCTGGGGACCGCTGCTGCGTGAGTGGAGTGCGCAGTAGCCACTGCTGTGAAGAACGCCTGCCTATCTGCACTGCAGTCCCCGGCGCCGGCTTCTGTGGGTGACAGGAGTTCTGCTGTTCTGGTTCCTGAGGCTTGGATCTCACAATGTGCTGGGGAAGCCTCCAGGTGACAATGTTAAGTGCCTGTAGCCACATACAGCACCCGGTTTCACACCCTGGCTTTGCCCCTCCATCCCTCCGTGACCTTGGCAGAGCTGTTTCACTACTCGAAACATCAGCTTCTTCAACCCGAATCTGGGGACCATTTTTTATGGGGCTGTGGAGAGGGCACGTGAGATACAGGATGGAAGGTCTGGCCCCGTCAGCCTTTGATAAGCACTGGCTGTGTGTGGCACACAGGGACCCAGCAGTGATGAAGAGCTGCACACAGAGACTGTGCAGCATCCCAGCAGGGACACTGAGCTGCATCTGGGACATGCTCAGCCTGTCGCCTCCATGCAGGACCACTCCCACTGTGGCTGCCTGGGCTGCTACTATGGGAAAAAGATAGATAGGGATGAGGAGACAGGACTCCTCCTTCTCCACTCTGCCACCAAGGGAATGACATCAGGACCAAAGAGGACAGAGCGGACGGGGTGAAGGCAAGGCACGTCTGCGCTCTCTGTGCAGGGCTGGGGCCTCAGAGCCCAGGATGAGCACAAGGCTCCAGGAGGCCCTGCCTGCAAGGGAGGAGCGGGGCAGAGGCTTGGGGCCAGCCTGCAGTTCCCATGATGTGCCTGGCCACTGGGTCTCCTCTAGGATGCGGCCCTTGCCTTGTGCCCCTGCAGGTCCTGCTGCTCAGAATACCCTCATCTCCACCCTGGTCTGGCTAACTCCCTCTCCTCCTCCAGATCTCAACTCTGGCTTTCTTGAGGGAGCCTCCTCTGGCACTGGCCACTATTATAGGCTCCTAAGCCCACCCTGGGACCACCTTACAGAGAATGGTGGGCACAACTGGGCTCCCCGAGGATGGACCATGGGCCAGTGACCCCCAGCACCTGGCAGAGGGCTTGGCCCTAGCCCGTATTGTCATAAAGGATTTGTCTGGTCTCTGTCCCAGATTCCTAGGAGGAAGCTTGTAAAACTCCTGGAATTTCTGTCTTTGTTACCATAAGGCCTTGGATCCCACTTGAGTTTGTGCTAAGTGATGGCTCAGGATGGGCTCCGACACCAGAAAGACCAAGCATGTGACTAGACGGCTGGGGCTGTGAGCTGGGCGATACCGGCCTGACCTCCAGGGTGGGGGAGGGGAAAGGGGTGCTGGGGATGGAGTTCGATCACATGGCCAAAGAGTCAATCGGTCATGCATTCGTAATGAGCCCAGTAAACACGGCAGACACCAAAGCTCCACGGAGCCTCCTGGCAGGTGCACAGGTCACATGCAGGGAGGACTAGGCACCTGATCCCACCAGGTGCAGACATGTGAGCTCTGTGCTTGGGACCCTCCCTGTGTGGCTCTTCATTTGGCAGGCCCTGAGTTGCAACCTTTATAAACAAACTGTCATCAGAAGTGTGAGTTCCAGGAGTCATTCTAGTGAGTCATGCACCCTGAAGGGGTGGCGGGAACCCTGAATTTGTAGCCAGCTGGTCAAAAGTGCAGGGGCCTGGGGTCCCCCAAAGGGTGACTGGCATCTGAGGTGAGGGCGGTCTTGTTGGGGACCGTGGCCTTAAATGTGCTGGGGCTGTGCTAACTCTGGGTGACTGGTGTCAGAATAGAACTGCAGGACACCAGGTGGCATCAGACCAAGATGCAATAAAATCCAGGATCAGTTGAACGCACAACTCCATCCAGGCCCTTATCACACTGCACAGATCAGTCACCTTTAAACTGGGGATGGCAGGGGATCCGAAGTCCCTCAGTATCAACGTATCTGGCCCAGCACCACACTGGCCAGGGGCTCAGTAAAGGTTTGCGGAATGAACACACTTGGAGCACAGAGGACCCCAGGGCTGCGCCGGGGGAACTGCTAGAGGAGCCAGGCCCAGGGAGCCTCGGGGAGACCTGGGGAGAAATTACTTAGGGCTGTCACGTCCCCATGAGGCTGGCCTGTTTCTGCAGAACTAGGACAGTGGTGTGAAGCCACTGAGAAGCAGACTCTGCCGGCAGAGGGCAGGGCCGCCGAAGGTGAGGCAGGCTTCTGCATGCATGGCCGGGATGACAGGGAGGGACACCTGCCCAGGCCTGGGCCCCTGGGGTCCCGTGAGGCTCTGGCTCCAAACTCAGGCAGCCACTCCAGCCTTTCCCACCAACATCAATCCTAGAGAGGCAAGACAGTCCTGTTTACACACTGGGCACCCGGCTCCTGCATCTGAGTAAACGGAACAGCTGTGCAGGAATAATCAAGCGTTCTGCTCCACACCTCAGCCTGGCTGCCTCAGAAACAAGAACCTTCACACATTTTCTAAATAGGGGAGAGAATTCCTAGATGGGGAGTCCAGGGCCAAGGATAAGCCACCTGGGGCTGGAGGCGAGGAAGGGCTGCCCCTGCTCAGGTGGAATCCCATGGCGCTTGGCTGCCCTCACCAGCCCCCACCGGGGAAGGTGCCTCTGAGGACCTGCACTGGACACGAGGAGGCAGGAGTGGCGCGCCTGCCCTCAGGGAGCCCACTGCACACCACGTCCATGCGGCATGGGGCAGGTCTGGGAGAGCTGCTGCTGAGCCAGGGTTTGGCCACTGAGTAACCAAGATCATGGGGCAGTCTGAAGGCAGGGACAGAGGCCAGCTGTTGGCTGAAGGTGCTGTCACTGTCAGGTCACAGAACCCCTCTTGGTGGGCAGGCAAAAATCCAGGCTCCCAGGCCCACCCTGCAGTGACTCAGGAGGCCCCCCTGTGACCATGGAATCTATATGTTACAGCTCCCCAGGAGGCCCTAATAATTGGCAGGTCCAAGAGGGACCCTTCAGGGTGCCTGATGTGACTCAGGGAGCACCTTTCTCTGGGGCAGGGGAATCTAGCAGATCTAAAGGCTCACACAGGACCACCTCATTCCAAATGGCCTTGGAGCAAGAGAGGGGATTCTGGCCGGGAAGCCCTTACGTCTGTGGGTATCTTGTGAAGGCGGGCACTGAGGGCGGGTGGGTGCAGTGGCTGCTGCAGGAAGCCCAGTTGCAGGGGCCTGCCTGGGGCACGGGAGGCTCAGGGAAGGCTCAGCAGTACCCAGGACTGACAGGAGACCAGGGAGCAAAGGTCGGAAAGACACGAGGCTTGATACAGGTGGCAGGAGCTGCCCACGAACCCAGGAGCCAGAAGGCAGACACGTGGGGACGGGGGTAAGTGGGGCTCGGGGTTGACAGCCCCAGTGCACGAGAGCGCGGGTCAGATGATGAGGACAGAGGAAATCCATCTGTGTGACCTGGAGGACCTGCAACTCATCCCAGGAAGCCACTATGGCCCTGCTGGAGGTGCTGCCCCTGGGCTGCTGCACAGTTGGCTTCCTCAAGTCACCTGCCGCTGTGAAGCCTCCACACACGGCAACTGCCGGTCACACATGGCTATCCTCTGTCTTGTTTACTGTCTGCACCCCCGACCCACGGGGGCACTGAATTTGTCTGTTTTGGTCACTGTGGGGCACACAGTAGGTGCTGAGTGAGGTGCTGGGTGAGGGAAGGGTTACAACTGGCCCCAAGGAGCGCAGAGGGAGCACTGGGCAGGCTGGGGGTGGATGGAGCTGTCCAGGGATGGGAACACAGAGAGCCAGGCAGGAGAGACGACAGGGGAGGCCTGGGAGCTGACGCAACCTGGGGGCACCCTGGGCGGGGAGTGGGTCCTGAGACACTCATGTAAGGCCTGGGTCAGATACACCTGACCAGGGTATCTGATGGGAGCCCCCGAGGAGCGGCTGTGCTCATAGTCCCTTGGAGAGTGACTGTGAGGCTGGGCGGGGCTCAGCACAGACCTGTGCCCAGGGCAGGAATGGATGCGGTGGTGATCAGATCCCTTTACCTTAATGGTTTTTGACTGGAGCCTCAAGCCGTTCAGCGTGTTGATCGCTCTCTCTGCATCCTTCGCGGTCACGTAGTTCACAAAGCCATAGCCCAAGCTGTGTCCTGTGCAAGAGAACATGAAGACATTGGTAAGCCAACCGTCTGCGAGTGAGGGACAGGGAGGTCGGGAAGCACTATATCTGCCTGGCCTTTGGGAAATGGGATTACAGGTGCTAGCAAACTTTATTTTCTTTGGCAAACACGTACATTTTCTGCAATGAACACAGGTTCCTTTTTTTTTTTTTTTTTAAAGAGATAGGATCTTGCTCTGTCACCCAGGGTGGAGTCCAGCGCTGTGATCACAGCTCACCGCCACCTCAAATTCTTGGGCTCAAGACAGCCTCCCACCTCAGCCTCCAGAGTATCTGGGACTACAGGCCCGCTCCAGCAGGCCCAAGCTAATTGTTAAAATTATTTTTAGAGATGGGGTCTCACTATGTCACCCAGGCTGGTCTAAAACTTCTGGGCTCAAGCAATCCTCCCACCTCGGCCCCACCTCGACCTCCCAAAGTGTTGGGATTACAGATGTGAGCCACTGAGCCTGGCCAAGAGGTTTTACTTTTGTAATTAAAATAACCCCAAAAGTTATTTACAAAGGAGTATTTTTTAAAAATACTGTGCTACGGACAGCATCTTTCTGAAAGACCAGTCCCGTGGGTGCCGGCCGCTCTGTGGGGCCTGGGTGGTGAGGATGAGGAAGGCCACGGCAGTGGACAGGCTGGTGGGACCCCAGTTTGTGTCACTGCTGTTTCTCTGCCACTTCCTTGTCCAGAGCAGGAGGGCCTGCTGGCACCACCCACCACCAGTTCCATTTACCTTTCCAAGCCTGAGACCAGCCCGACCCCGCTGTGGGGCAGAAGAGTCCAGGGAGAGGCCAGGGGCTGAGAATCCCCAGCCCTGCCAGACAGTGGGGGAGAACCAGGTTCACAGGCAGATGTCCCTGTACCCCCTTTGTGAAACACTCAGCACAGGTACAAGTGAACACCCACTCACTGGATACCATGGGAGGGACTCGGGAGGGCAAGGGCAGGACCAGAGGGGACAGCCTCTGGGGTCAGGGTTCAGAAGGAGCTTCACAGGACATTTGGCCAAATGCTCTCACTAAAGGGGAAGTGAGGAGGCACAGGGAAGAGCGCAATCCCCGTCTCCCGCAGCTTATCCATGCACTTGCAAGGCTGCTGAACATCTGCTGTGGGCCTGAGCCTCACCCAGCACTGCTCCATTCCCCCAGCCGGCAGAGCGCGACAACGAGCAGGTCACCGAACAGGAGGTGGCCTGGAGCCCCACTGAGGCAGAGATCCTCCTGGCAGCTGGGCCAGGGACATCCAGATCCATCTCACCGACAGCAAGATTACAAATCCAGCAGAGAGCCTAACCCAGGTTTGCCACTTTCTTTTTAAAATGAATTTTATTTTTCAGAACAGTTTTAGGTTTACAGAAAAATTACAAGGATAATACCAAGTTCCCATATGGCCCCCTCCCAGTTTCCCCTATGGGTACCACCGCAAGTGAGTATGAAATGCTGGTGACGATGAATGTTCCCATTACCTCTAGTCCACGCCCCAGCCGCTTCCTTAGTCTTTCCCTCATGTTCTTTCCTGCCCCAGGACCTCATCCAGGATCCCACGTGACATTTAGCAGTCACATCCCCTCAGGCTCCTCTCGACTATGACAGTTTCTTGTTTCTCGTGACTGTGACGGTTTTGAGGACTGGTCGGACATCCCGTAGACTCTCGATTGGGTTTGCTGGAGTCTGTCACAGCTGGAGCGCCCTTCTCGTCACACGATGTCAAGGGCACAGGCCGTCAACGTGACTTATGGCTGCTGGTGCTGACCGTGATCACTGGGCCGAGGCAGTCAGTTTGCCAGGTTTCTTGGCTGTAAAGTGACTCCCACCCCTTTCCACACTGCCCTCCGCGGAAGGAAGTCAGGACGCCCAGCCCACACTTAAGGCATGGCCCTGACGTAGCAGCTATAGAAATGACGTGCAGTTAGTTCTGCATGGGGCGCTCTCTTTCCTAAAGAACAAAACCAAAATCAGATCCTCTAGACTCGTATTTCTAATAAAACTCCTCAGGGCTAAGAGACTCAGCTCTGGGGCCCTGGACAAAGTGAGAACCCAGAGCACCAAGACCGTAGGACCAGGCCCGTGTGGAGCGAATTGGGATCGCAGCTTGGAGAACAAGCAACGGAGCAGTGCAGCCAGGTCAGGACTGCCAGGGCCTCTGCAAGTGCTCCAGATGGCAGTGTGAAACTGGCAGGTGTCCCTGCACCCCCTTTGTGACACACTCAGCACACGTACAAGCGAATACCCACTCACTGGACACCACGGGAGGGACTCGGGATGGCAAGGGCAGGACCAGAGGGGACAGCCTCTGGGGTCAGGGATTCCTGTGATATGGATTCTTGACCACGACGCCAGCCTGGCTGGGTTTTTTTCACTCCTGAACACCTGCTCTCGAAGTGCTCAGCGCCTTCTGCATCCGGGCCCCATCTTTCTGCTCCATAAACAAGCCTGGACCACCTGCCTCCTTGGCTGCGGCGCCTCAGGCAGCCTAAGTGCTGCTTGAGAAAGTCACACACTGATAGGGACTCGAGCACCAATGCCCGTTCCTGTGTCCTCAGCCACAGCCGGTTCCTCTCAACACAGAAACATGGTCCCTGCTTGGACCAAGTCCCTGCTTCCTCATCTCCCAGGTGCTGGGTGATCCTGACTGGTCCCCTAGGATGGTCACTGCCCTGGGGACCGTTTCAGGATGTGTCCCCTGAGCTTTCGGCAGCTCAGGGTAGGGCCTACCCTCTTGGGACACCCCTCCTCCAGGATGTGGAAACCACACCAGGTTTCCGTCTCCCTGGCTGTCCCTCCTCAGGCTCCTCACTCCCTGTCCATTCCATGGAGACCCATGGGCCCTGAGGACCCACCTTTGGCCCTTGTCTCTGCCACATGCTCTTCCTCACCACACATGCCCACACCTGCCAACATCACCGAGGGAGTCGCACACCCCTGGGCTGCCCGTCACCTTCCATGGTCAAGCTCTTCTCTGTCCTCAAGGAGCTGACGCATTAACTGAGCACCTACTATGTGTCAGGCCCTGTGCTTGGCTGGGAGTTAGTGATGCATGACAGAGGACGGTCGCTGCCATCATGAAAGCCATCACATCCCTGGGGGCAAGTCAGACAACATGGTGGTGAGAAACTGACAAGCATTAAGACAGGGGTCAGGAGGGCCCGTCGCAGAGGAGATATTTTAAACCTCTGCGTGGCTGACGTGAGCATTCCAGACAGAAGAGCAGGTGCCAAGTCTCCGAGGCAGAGACAATGCCAGTGTATTCCCAGAAAGTAGAGGTGGCCCGTGTGGCAAGGGCCTAGGAAGTGGCCACTGGCAGCAGGGCAGAGCCAGTGTGGAGCCAGCGGGCTGGTGATCTAATCCAGATGGGAGATGCAGGCTATGTGCACAGGCCAGGGCAGTAGAGGAATGCCCCACCCAGAGGACAGGTAGTGGGGGCAGGCCCCTGATCTCCCTACAGGCTGAGCCTTGTGAGTCAAGGCCTGGCTTCATCCCCAGAATCTGCTCTCCTCTCTGTGGTAGGTGCCTGGAGGCAGCAGGAAGGCAGGCAGGTGAGGGATGAAGGTGCCCTGGTTTCCACCCGCTGGGTGAGGCCATCACTGGAAGGGCTTTGTCCAGCACCTGACCACCCACCTCCACCTTTGCCTCCAATAGAAACAAATCTGGACAGCTTTCTAAGCCACCACTGACTGCCCAGGCGACACCCCCAACCAATGAAGTCAGAAAAGGAGGAGGTGGGGGGGTTGCCAGTTGGCCTCAGTGGTTTTAAGTCAGGGTCTCAGTCTGTTGCCAAGACTCGGCTCACTGCAACCTCTGCCTCCTAGGCTCAGGCGATGCTCCCACCTCAGCCCCCCAAGTAGCTGGGACTAGAGGGGCACGCCACCATGCCCAGCTAATTTTTTAATTTTTTGTAGAGATGGGGTTTCGCCATGTTGCCCAGGTTGGTCTCAAACTCCTGAGCTCAAGCGATCCTCCCACCTTGGCCTCCCAAAGTGCTGGGATTATAGGCGTGCGCCACCGCGCCCAGCCTCCTCAGTGGTTTTTAAAGCTCCCTAGTGATTCCAGTGCATGAGGGGCATGGGGCTTCCCATGGTTATGCAGAGGAGAGGAGGCCTCCAGAGGAGAAGTGCAAACGGGCCCCCAAGTTACTGTTTCTCCAGGCAGGGTCCACAAGCCACCTGCACCAGGGGCATCTGGAGTTCAAGGCAACAACTTGGCTCCCTAGATACCCCTACCCCATCCCGGGACCCAGGATGTCAGGCAGGTGTGGGAATCCACATCCCCAAACTCCTTACAGATGCTCCTCCTGCCCACCAGTGGCAGAGCTTGCCAAAGCCCCTGCCTGGAGATGGGAGATCAGCCCTGAGACAGGAGGCCTGAGGGTTTGCGAGGGAGCAGGAGGACAGGGAGCCAAGCTCAGAGGGGCCTGGCTCCTGCACAGGCCGTGGTGGGCCTGCCTGGTGTCAGTGCTCGGGGGGCAAACGGGGCCCCTGGGATGGGAGATGGGATGGAGAGGGTGTGGGTGGGAGATACGGGGAAGCAGGAAGGAGACTGGCAGGGAGGAATGCAGGATGCAGAACCCGGGAGTGAAATGCAGGGCTGTCCCAGAGGCCAGTGCATGCCCGGCTCTCACTTCCCTCAACTGGAGGAAGAGCCTCCTCACCCTTTCTGGCCACAAGGCAGGGTCTGAGAGTCACATTTCCCCAAGTATCCTGATGCTGCTGCTGGCCCAGGGACTGTACCCTGAAAGCTGCTGCCTGGAGAAGACAAAGCTGCCTCTGCGGGGAGCACCATGGTTGCCTTACTGGGCACCCATACACCGCCCACACTGGGCAAACACTGGCCAGTGCTCTCGAACTTCCAAACACATTTCTCCCTCTCTTTGGATGAGGGTTAAGACTGGAGAGCTGCTTCCTTGTCTTATGCTGCCAGACACAATGCTTCCATCCCTCCATGCTTCTTGCAGCTGGAAGCGCCCTGACCTGACACGGGGTGCAGGGCTGAGGGGGCGAGTGCCCTGTGGGTGAAGCCCTCCTCTGCACCGTGAGGGCAGGTCCCGTGAGTTCTCTCTTTAAAGGCTCAAGGGAAGACCTCACTGAGAGACAGAGACTGGAGGTGGAGACTGAATTAATTCAGCAATAAATAAGAAACAGCAAAGGTCTGCAAAAGAAAAGAAACAGGCGAAGGACAAGAAGGGTATTTTACAAAAGTAGTACAAACAACCACTAAATAGAAACAGTGATGAACTTCACTCGAAATAGGAATCACCCTGATCGGATGTCGCTCGTCCCTCACAGGGTGGCAAAGGTGAGAAATCCTGCCAAGGCTAGCGGATAGCAGGGCTGGACAGAAGGAAGGGTGAACTAAGCGTCCCCTAGAGAGCGAGTTAGCGACAGGGACCAAGAGCCTTTAAAAGGTGCGCTCTCCCATCTGCCGCTTCACCGGCAGGAAGACTTTCTATGGAAATAACCAGTGAGCAAAGATTTGTGCCAGGACATTTATGTCAGCAGGGCTTTCAAATATCAACAAATGGGAAGCAGAATACTATGCGACCGATGATGATGGGATCGCGAGATGTTCAGCGAAGTGGAAAAATGTCCAGATACAGGAAGGGAAGTTTATCCACAGCCTGAGAGAAGAGCCCATTCTGTAGAAGTACGTGGCTGCTTATGGCCATGAATACGTAAAGAAAATCATTTGGAGGGACATGTGCCCAAAAGCTAACAGCGGTATGATTGTGGGTGATTTTTTGTTTGTTTGTTTCTGCTTGGCTCATGCTTAAGTTTTTTTTTCTGTGAGGAGCAAACATGACTCATATTAAGAAAAAAGCCATCAGGCTGGGAAAGTCCGGAAGGACATTCCTGCAGAGGGAACAGTGTTCAGAGAATCACAAGCGCCCAAGAGTAGAGCCTGACCGGGGGGTGCCGGGGGGGGGGGAGGGTGCAGCAAGTGGGGAGAGGGGGCAGGCGCCCAGGGGTGTCCCTACCCTCTTGGGACACCCCCTCCTCCGGGATGTGGTTAAAGCCTTGGGCAGCGGTGTGGGCTTTAACCCGACCAGAGATATACAGCAAGACAGAAGCCGTGAATGGGGCTGCAGCCTGGTGGCTCCGGCATGACAGGTCATCCATGAGGGTAGAGGGCTGACTCCTTCTGATCCCCCGAGGGACATATGGGGCCACTGTGGAGAGACCAGACACTGGGGCAGGGCTGCCCAGGAAGGCAGCGGGCAGGACCACCGGGCGCTGCAGTGGCCTCCTTAGCTGGTGTTTGTGGGTGGAACAGCCAACAACCAACCAACGCCATATCCCCAACATAGGGACCAGGGCCAGGCCAGCCAGAAACATTCCGAGTCTTGAGAGCAGCACATGGGGCAGTCCCTTCCTCCCAGCCATCATCACGCCCCTCCTTCCTCCCGCCACCAGTGCCCAGCCCATGGCTGGCACTCAACCAGTATTTGCTGAATGATGATCTGCACTCTCCCCCATCCCCAGCACCACTCATTCATTCATTCCTTCCTTCACTCTGCAAACACCGACTGGCTATGTCTAGGGCTACGGAGATTAACAAAGCTCCTCCCTCCAGGAGAGATACTCATGTGCTGGACCAGAAAGCTCCAGCTCAGTGCCAGGTGGAAACCCCACAGTGCAGGTCGGCCCAGGTGCCATAGGAACCCACAGCGGAGCATCTGACACTTGGGCCAAGGGAGGCCTCCTTAAGCAAACACGACCAGGACCTGAACGGTTTGAGGAGGGGAGTGACAGGGTCACATGCGGGCTGTCAAACAGGCCCCTCTGCTGCAGTGAGGACAGTGGTCTTCAGGGAGCATAGGAGGCCAGTTAAGAGGCCAAAACGACAGTGCAGGCCACCAGCAGTGGTGTCCTGGGCTAGAATGGTGGCTGAGGAGAGAGGGGAAAGGGATGGACTGAAGCAACACCCAGGAGGATGAGAGCCAAGGACACGCCTAGATTTCTGAGCAGAGCTACCAAGTGGATGGTGGTGCCATCGGCTAAGGTGGGGACAACTGGAAACGAGTGGCTGGCTTTAGGGAGAGTCAGGTCAGTTAGGAATATACTGAATTTAAGGGGCCGAGGGCTTCTGGAGCTCAGGACAGCCTTCTGGTCAAAAAGGAGGTGGCAGACAGAGGGCAGCTGGGAGCCATGAGGTGACTCTGCCCACCGTGAGTGTCAGCTTTGGAAGAAGAGGAGAATGACATAACCCTCTGAGCATAACCCTCTGGCATAACCGGCTGAGTCAAAGGCTGGGGAAAGGCGCTAAAGACAGATGGGGCATGGCCTCAGGGGCAGTTAGACAGGTGGGAGGAGGAGGTGCTCCTGAAAGCCAATGGGAGAGGATGCTTCTGGAAGGAGGTGGAGACAGGGAACAGGACAGTATGTGGGTGGGAGGCCAACACACACAGCAGTGGCTCTCGCTAGGGGAGACTCTGCCTCCCAGGGGACATGCGGCAATGTCAGGACATTTTTGGGTTTCACCACTGGGATGTCACTACTGGGACCACGTGGGTGGAGGCCAGGGATGCTGCTCAACACCCTGCAGTGTCCAGTGCGGCGTCCAGCCCTGACATCAGGAGCCACAGATGTGGAGGAACTCCGAGCTAGAGGAAGCTGGAAGTCTGGAAGGAATTCCTTTCAAGACACTCGAAGCCCAGGAAAAGTGGGCACTTGGAGAGCCTGAGGCTCTTGGGAAGCCGGGAAGGGAAGGGAAGGGAGGATCGGGGCTGGAGAGCTGGAGACGCTATTAGTTCCACTGCGAAGCGGGAGGTGGTCATCAGCTGAGGGTGAAGGGGGTGGTCAGAGGACCGAGGAGGGTAAACACGGGGAAATGGCTGCTGTGGGGCTCGGAGACACCCGTGTTGTGAGCTGAGCTAGGCCAGGGATCAGATTCGCCGGGGTGCCTGCCTGGCCGGGTGAGAGGCTGTCTTGGGAGGCTGGGAGAAAGCCGTTGGCTGGGGAGAGGGGTGGTGAGACCTAGCGCCGTGCCCCGGGCCCTGCCAGCGAAGAGGTTTGCCCACACTGGCGGCAGGCTGAGCAAAGCCAGGTTGCAGCATGTTCTCCGTAAAGCTCCAGTCACTTGAAGGGCTGCTAACAAGAGGCTGGGCCAAGATGAAAGCCCAGGCCCAGCCACTCCACAACTCCTGGTGCGCCAGTTACTAACTACTGTCCAAAGATAAGACAGGGCTCACCTCCGAACTGAAATAATTTCCAAATTACACTTTTGCAGCCTTCACTGATTCTCAAAACCAGTTCTCTCCAGACTGAGCCAAATCTAGGTGTTCCTTTAGCATAGCTCACATTCCTGTGAAAACCACAAGGGAACAGACAAAGAAGTCAGGTTGCAGGAGAATAACTGCAAATTCCATGGGAATGCTTGCAATATCTCTGGTGCTCAGGAATATCAAGGAAAATTCCCTTCCACCAGAAAGAGGAAAAAGGTGAGAATTGTTAGTGGCACAGGAGAATTTTAAAACCCTTCTCTTATTTAGGATGGTCTCCTGGAGCAGGAGAGAGATGCTGGCTTCTAGAACATTCTAACACTGCTCAAGTTTGTATACTGTGTAAAATCCCCATTGAGAAGGCGTTTATTAAATCAGACTCTTGGAGTTGGAAGGAGAGAAGGCTTTCTTATTCAGTGCCTGCATCTGAAGAGCTAATTCCCTGTAGAGCGGCCAGACAGGCTCTTTGGGAGTCATGTGGGGGTCAGGTGTCTTAAGGTTACTGGGGAAATGTTGAAGATAAAGTGCAATGATGGGTACATCAGGTTCAACACATCACTCTATGTTCATGTATGCCTGAAATGTTTCATAATAGAAACTTTTGTTAACTTTTTATTTTTGAGACAGAGTCTCACTCTGTTGCCCACACTGGAGTGCAGTGGCACAATCTCAGCTCATTGCAACCTCCGCCTCCCAGGTTCAAGTGATTCTCCTGCCTCGGCCTCTTGAGTAGCTGGGATTATAGGCGTGCGCCACCACGCCTGGCTAATTTTTGAATTTTAGTATAGACAGGGTTTCACCATGTTGGCCAGGCTGGTCTCGAACTCCTGACCTCAGGTGATCTGCCTGCCTTGACCTCCCAAAGTGCTGGGATTATAGGCATGAGCCACCGTGCCCAGCATTCAACTTTTAAATTAGTTTTTTTTTTTTTTGAGACAAGGTCTCACTATGTTGCCCAGGCTAAAGTGTAGAAGACACTTTAGTACCAAGTGGTACTTGGTAAGGTGCAATCTCAGCTCACTGCAACCTCAACCCCCGAGACTCAAGCAATTCTCCTGCCTCAGCGCCCCCAAATAGCCAGGACCACAGATGCGGGCCACCACGCCCAGCTAAGTTTTTGTATTTTTCGTAAAGATGGGGTTTCACCATGTTGCCCAGGCTGGTCTTGAACTTCTGAGCAAGTGATCCTCCCACCTCGACCTCCCAAAGTGCTGGGATTATAGGTGTGAGCCACTGTGCCCAGCCTGAAGTGAGTTTTCAGTATAGGGAATCACAGTCCCCAAATCCAGGGTGGCAGACAGAGCCCCGAGAGGACTGGCCGCTCCTTGGCTTCCTAAAGCAGGGCGGAGACAGAAAGGAAGGCAGGGGGGTAGGGGTGGGTAGAGGGAAGAGGAGGAAGAGGGGCCATTGGGAGAGGAGGAGGAGGAGAGCTCCGCACATGGTCTGTCCGTAATTCTCTCCCGAGTCCTTGAAGCCATGCTCTCAGAATGGAGGCCACTCTGTAAGGAAGGCCTTCACAAGTGCCAGGACCTCTGCAAACACCTACGAGGTAGGGACCACCAGGATGTAGAAGCCACAATCTCCACATTCCGGATGGGGACACAAAGGCTTAGAAGTCCCACTGTGAGGGAGTGGAACAGCAGGGCTTTTAGCTGCCAGGCTCCTGCCCCTCTGAGAGTTCAAGCTCAGCATGGTGCAGAAGTTCAAGTTGATGGTGTTGACAGTAGACAGAGCAGCCCAAACATAACGAAGGGCTGTCCACAAGGTCCTCGGTGTTCTGCTGACCTGGGCCTGACCAAGAGTGGGGGCCTGGACAGACAGGGGCAGGCCTACCTGCACCTGCCCTGGACAGTACACTCGCCAGGGTCCCTTCCACACGTGGGACCCAATCAATCTGCCCAGGCCAAGCCAGGTCAGGCTGTGGTTCTCCAGCCCCTTCCAGCTCTCAGAATGCCCTGTCTCTGGTTCCTTCCTCTCCTCCCACTGTCTTATTTTGTACATGCTCTCTGTCTTACAATGAATTTTTCCTCTTTTGGGAACTTATGTCCGATCTTATACAAGAGCAATGGACAGAGTTTGAAATAAAAATGAAACTTCACAGCCATCGTTTCAAGGCTGTAGTTATCCTGCACTGAGGAATGCCACAGAGTCACAGGCAAAGGAGACAGTGCCCAAAGGATGGCCACCAATACCCGGTTTACTAAAACGCCTCCATTTCTTTACCTGCTACTTTATCCCGAATAAGTTTTGCAGATTCAACTTCACCAATGCTGCTGAACAGGCTTCGTAACTCATCCTGGGTCATGTTCTGAGGGAGGTAGTTGACGATCAAATTCGTTCTCCCGATGTCACCCCTGCAGTCTTCGGCCATGTGGTCTTCATAACCATTAGACATTGTATTTTTCAAAAATCTGCCAAGAGAAAAAGAGCAAGTAAATTCAAAATGTTCATATTGCAGTATATGAAGGCAAAACTAGTAACTGCATTTGCACTTAGAGATTTTCTTTCTTTCTTTTTTTTTTTTTTTGTTTTGTTTTTGAGACAGAGTCTCACTCTGTCACCCAGGCTGGAGTGCAGTGGCACAATCTCGGCTTACTGCAACCTCTGCGTCCCAGGTTCAAGTGATTCTCCTACCTCAGCCTCCTGAGTAGCTGGGATTACAGGCGTCTGCCACCATGCCCAGCTAATTTTTGTATTTTTAGTAGAGACGGGGTTTCGTCGTGTTGGCCAGGCTGGTCTCAAACTCCTGAACTCAGGTGATCCACCTGCCTCGGCCTCCCAAAGTGCTGGGATTAGAGGCATGAGCCACAGCACCTGGCCCTGCACTTAGAGATTCTTTTCTATGCTGCATGTTAACTTACAGCCACACAAAAATCTGCACATGGATGTTTACAGCGGCTTCACTCATAATTGCCAAAACCTGGAAGCAACCAGGATCTCCTCCAATGGGTGAATGAATGAACAGACTCCATTCATGTGGTTCAGCTGCACAGGGGCATATTTTTTGATGATAAAAAGAAATGAGCTATTAAGCTAGGAAAGACATTTAAAGGAACTTTAAATGTATACTGTTAAGTGATACACTGTATGATTCCAACTCTATGACCTTCTGGAAGAGGCACACTACAGAGAAAAAGATCAATGGTTGCCAGCGATGCAGGTCGGCGTGGGGGGGACAACAAATAGTGGAACACGGGATTGTCAGGGTTTTAGGGCAGTGAAACTATTTTGCATGATATATAGTGGTGGATGTGACAATACATGTTTGTCAAAACCCACAGAATGAACAATATACAGAGTGAACTCTAATCTGAATTACGTGCTTTAGTTACTAATAATGTGTCAATATTGATTCACCAAGAATAACAGAGGTACCATGTGAATGTGAGATGCTAATAATGGGTGTGGCGGCGCCATCACAGCTCACAGCAGCCAAGGCTCCTGGGAGATCCTCAAGCGATCCTCACACCTCAGCCTCCTGAGTAGCTGGGAACGCAGGCATGTGCCACCACGCCCGGCTGATTTTTAAAACTTTTTGTAGAGATGGTATCTTGCCCAGGTTAATTTTGAACTCCTGGCCTCAAGTAATCCTTCCATCTCACCCTCCCAAAGTGCTAGGATTACGGGCATGAGCCACTGTGTCCGGCTTCTTTCTATTTAAAAAAAATTTTATTCAGTCAATACTTCATTGTAATGCTACAGAACGAGTGTTCTCCACAATTTTTCTGTAAACCTAAAACTGCTCTAAAAAATAGTCTATGGACACAAAACAGAACAACTCCAAGTTCACTAAGAGGGCTTCGGAGAGACCTACAAACAATTCCAGCACCACAATTTAAGATCCTGTAAAAAAGCCTTTGGGTTGTCTCTCGAGAGAATTCCAGATTTCCGATTGCTTTCTCCCCATGTCCAGAGCCTGTGGGGTGTACCTGAACCCCACCCCTGGACACCCTGCTGCTGAGGGGGCAGGTAGGCAATGGTCCTCTGCACCTGTTTATTCCCAAAGACACAGTGAGTGAGCTGGAAAGAGGTGAGGGTTTCTCTACCAGTCAGAGGAACTTGGTCTTCACAGTTTGCAGGCTTTGAAATGTCTTTCTCAGTTGCTGAAGTCTTTCCTTTCAGTGATAAACATCAGAGCCAGTGATGACTTTGGAGAAGAGTCCAGATCAATGCGGCCAAGTATGCCGAGCCCGCCCTGCTGAAAGTGCGCCGCACACTGGGCTCACTTCTCAGAGGCCCCTCATCCCTGCCTCTAAACACACAGGTAGTCATCCCTGTGGATGGCCACCCGCCTGGAGGTCTCGGTGAGAGCCCATCCCTTTCCCCAGATCCCTGTTGCTCAATTCTGTTATGTTTGAACACCCAGTGCCCACGGTCATGCGCCTTTGGCCTTCTTTAAAAATAGCCTTGCCAGCAGTTACATAAAAATCTGAACACACCTCTCATGTGGAGATTTCCTACCTACTCCCTGAATCAACGCCGAGGGAAGAATTAGGTCTGGTTTCTTTCTTCCTGGTAGAAACATCCAGGTCTTCCCTACCCTCCTACTAGTCTCAGACAATGTGGAAAATCAGTACAATTTCCTAACATTTCTTTTATTTGAGGATGTCCTATGCTCCCTGCTCTTTAAAAAGTAGGTTAGCATCAAAAGCCATAGAAAAAAAGACTGAAAAGTGAGACTCCATGAAATTAAAAACCTCTGTACAGCAAAAGGCATCACAGACCTAGACGAAGAGGAGTAGCCTAGAGAAAAGATTCACTGCATATTCTATTATTTAGACCTGTGGTTTTCACACTGGGCCATTCTGCCCCCAAGGGGACACAGGGCAATGTCTGGAGACATTTTTGGTTACTGTGACTTGGTCAGGGCCAGGGGTCGGGGGAGGGGGTGCTACTGACACCTGGTGGGTAGAAGTCAGAGAGCTGTAAAGCATCCTTCAGGGCACAGGACGGCCCCACAACCAAGAATTATCTAACCCCAAATGTCAGTACTGCCGAGGTTGGGAAAACTTGATTCGGAACATCTACAAATTGGTAAGGGATAAAAGAAGAGACGTAACCAAGAGGGAAGTAGGCAAAGGATGTGAGCAGCAATTTATAAAGGCCTTAAATTCAAATGGCTCGTAAGTCCAGAAAAAGACACTGAACTTCATCTTCGTGAACAATGAGGAAAATGCAAAAGAAAACCAGATGCTATTTTCTGCCAGTCACATGGAATAAAATCCAGCGCAAGATCACCTGCTACTGATCTGAGTATGAGATGGTAGAACCTTCTGACTCACAACTGCAGGATCTTTCTACAGAAATAATCACGCAAGTGCAGGAGTTCAAGACCAGTCTGGACAACAACGTGAGACCCTGACTCTCAACAAAAAATAAAATAATTTAGTGGGCATGGTGACCCATGCCTATAGTTTCAGCTACTCGGGAGACAAAGGCAGGGAGGATCGCTTGAGCCCAGGAGATCAAGGCTGCATGAGCCATGATGGCGCCACTGCACTCCAGCCTGGGCAACAGAGTAAGACTCTGTCTCAAAACAAAACAAAACAAAAAGTGCAAGGAAGGCACTACCTCATGGTTCATAAGAGTATAAAACTGGATAGAATTCTAAATATTCGTTAATGGGAAATGGCTAAATTTCAACTTTCAGTAGCAGCTCGGGACCTATAGACTTTAATCATGAGAAACTCCACGTGTCTGTTACACCATCTGTGGCCACGAGATTTTAGAATAGATCACTGGCTCAAAAACAAACAAACAGACAAAAACATTTGCTGGAAGCTGATCCAAACAGACCACAAGGGTTAACACTGAAGAATTAAAATGCACATTGAAGCTTGCTCAAAATGTAATTCAAGCATTTCCCTTCTTTCTTTCTCTTTTTTCCTTTACCTTTCCTTCTCCTCGCCCTTTCTCTAAGAGTTAGGCATCTACTTTGCTTTTTCCCTCATTCTGCTTTCATGGACGGTGAGATGGACAATGGCTGTCCCAGGCTTACTGTCCACAGTGTGGTATCCTCTAGGTCTGGGAAAAGTGGACCTCCTGAAACACACATCATGGCCTGTGGTACAAATCTGGCCCATTGCCTGTTGTTATAAATAAAGTTTTATTGGAATACAGCTTGTCTCATTTGTTTATGTATTGTCTGTCTATAGATAGTTTTGTACTACAATAACACAGTTAAGTAGTAGCAACCGTATGGCCAAAAAAGCTGAGAATATTTACCATCTGGCTCTTCACACAAAAAAAATCTGCCGACCTCTGTTTTAAAATGTAAAAACATAAAATTTCTTGGAGAAAAATCTTTGTGGCATTGGGCTGGGGAAAGATTTCTCAGACACAACACCAAAAGCCCACTTCGTTAAAAAAAAAAAAAAATGGATAAACTGGATATCATCAAAATTTGAAACTTTTGCTCTGTGAAAGATACTGCTAGGAGAATTAAAATCCACCAACTGGAGTAAACATTTGCAAAAGGGACTTGTAGTCAGAACACTTTTTTTTTTTTTTGAGTCAAAGTCTCACTCCACTGCCCAGGCTGAAGTGCAATGCCATAATCATAGCTCACTGCAGCCACAAACTCTTGGGTTCAAGCAATCCTCCTGCCTCAGCCTTCTGGCTAATTTTTTATTTTTTGTCGAGATAGGGTCTCACTATGTTGCCCACGCTGGTCTTGAATTCCTGGTGTCAAGTGATCCTCCCATCTTGGCCTCTCAAAGTATTAGAATTATAGGCGTAAGCCACCTCACCCAACCCAGAACCCTTTTTTTTTTTTTTTTGAAATGGAGTCTTGCTCTGTCACCCAGGCTGGAGTGCAGTGGCATGATCTCCGCTCACTGCAAGCTCCACCTCCCGGGTTCATGCCATTCTCCTGCCTCAGCCTCCCAAGTAGCTGGGACTACAGGCGCCCGCCACCATGCCCAGCTAATTTTTTGTATTTTTAGTAGAGACGGGGTTTCACCGTGTTAGCCAGGATGGTCTCCATCTCCTGACCTCGTGATCTGCCCATCTGCCCACCTCGGCCTCCCAAAGTGCTGGGATTACAGGCGTGAGCCACCACGCCTGGCCCAGAACACTTTTTTTTAAGCTCTCAAAACAGAAGCAGGCTAGTGTGCTGGCTCATGCCTGGAATTCCAGCACTTTGGGAGGCCGAGGTGGGTGGATCACCTGAGGTCAGGAGTTTGAGACCAGTCCGGCCAACATGGTGAAACCCCATCTCTACAAAAATACAACAAAAAAAAAATTAGCAAGGCGTGGTGGTGGGCATCTGTAATCTCAGTTACTGGGGAGGCTGAGGCAGGAGAATCGCTTGAACCTGGGAGGCAGAGGTTGCAATGAGCCGAGATGGCGCCACTGTACTCCAAACTGGGCGATAGGGCCAGACTCCATCTCCAAAAACCAAAAACAACATAATGAGCAAACAACCTGGTTTCAAAAATGGCAAAAGATTTGAACAGATACTATACCAAAGAATATATATGGATGGCAGACAGGCACATGAAAAGATGCTCAACATCATTAGTCAAATTAAAACCACATCGAGACACCGCTACCCACTTATTAGAATGGCTAAAGCAAAATAAAACAAAAAACAACCAACAGCAACAAAACAGACAATGTCAAGTGCTGGCAGGGATGTGGAGAAGCCAGAATATTCATGCACTGCTGGTGGGAATGCAAAAATGTGAAATGTGACAGCCACTTTGGAAAACAGATTGGCAGTTTCTTATGGTGAAATATACACTTAGCATGGGATCCAGCAATCCTACTCCTAGTATTAAGGCAATAGAAAGGAAAATCTATATTCACACAAAAATCTGTATATAAATGTGCAGAGCGGCATTATTCATAATCATCCAAAACTACAACAACCCAAATATTCTTCAAGCCATTCATGGATAAACTGGGATACACCATACAACAGAATACCACCTGGCAATAAAAGGTATCACCAATTCATGCTACTTGTGTGAATCTCAAACACATCTTGCCACATCATTTCTGTGCCTTCCTGGAAAAGGCAAAACCATAGGGATGGATCTGTGGTCGCTGGGGTTAGGGAGTGAGGGGAAAAGTCGATTACACAGGGACAGGAGGAGGGAGTATTTCTGTTTGTGGGAGAGCGAACTTTCCAATCTTTATTATGGTGGTAATCAAACAACTTTATCCGTTTGTCAAAACTCAGAGAACTCTACTCGAAAAAATGAATTTTCCTACATGCAAATTTAAAAATAAATTGTCTGAGTGTGGCGACTCATGCCTTTAATCCCAGCGCTTTCAGAGGCCAAGGTGGGAGGACTGCTTAAGCCTGGAGTTCAAGACCAGCCTGGGCAGCACAGAGAGATGCCATCATTACAAAAAAAAAAAAAATTAAAAATTACCCAGGAATGGTGATGCACACCTGTATGCAATCCCAGCTAATCGGGGGGCTCAGCTGGGAGGATCACTAGAGCCTGGGAGGTCAATACTGCAGTTAGCTATGATTGTGCCACTGCAGTCCAGCGTGGGCGACAGAGTGAGATCCTGCCTCAAAAACAACAACAAAACCACAATAAAAATAAATTTTAAAAGGTTTAAAAAGAGAACTTCTGCTTTGCGGCCCTGTTCCTCCTGACACTCTGAGTCAAGGCTGAGCAGCCCCTGCAGGTCAAGTTCTTGGTCAACTAGTAACACGGGAGAAACCAACAACCTGCCCTGCAAAGCAGTTTCATGACGTTTCTGGGCCCCCACCCCACTCTCTGGAGGCCCTTCCCTTGACCTTCTCCAAATCTGCATCATCAATCCTGGGCCAAATCAGCTTCTATCCCACAAGCTCCAACCACAACTGGGCCTTGTCACCACTCAATTATCACTGACTCCCAAGTCGTAGCCACTTCTGTCTCTCGAGGTGCAAGGCCTGCACTGTCCTGCAATCAAGATGCTCACCCCTCTGGTATTCCCTGTCAGTGGTCACCACCCATTGAGGCTCGGCGGTCACACGATGATGCTCACGGTCAGGCATGCCATTAATAAGTGGCAGGGCCAGGCCTCAAGTTGTCATGACAATGCAACTGTCAAACTGGCAAGGCCCTTCACAATCGGACCCAGGTGGTTCTCCAGCCTCAGTCGCCACCCTCCCTTCCCGCTCACTCCAGCTTCTTGCCAATATGCTACAGGCCTCTGCTTTGGCTGTTCCCTCTGCAGGGCACTAGTGTCCTCTCCTTCACTTCCCAGCTCATTTTTTAAAATTAGTATTTTTTTTTAAAGAGATGGGGGTCTCTCTTTGTTGCCCAGGCTGGTCTTGAACTCCCAAGCTCAAGTGATCCTCCTACTTTGGCCTCCCAAAGTGCTGGAATTGCAGGTGTGAGCCACCATGCCTGGCCTCCCAGCTCACTTCTATTTTTACTTATTTTTCTTTTGAGAAAGGGTCTTGCTCTGCTGCCAAACTAGAGTGCAGTGGCATAATCACGGCTCACTGCAGCCTCAAACTGCCTCAGTTTCCCAAGTAGCTGGGACTACTGGTGTGTGCCACCATACCTGGCTGATTTTTAAATTTTTTTAGAGACAGGGGTCTCATTTTGTTGCCCATGCTGGCTTCAAGTCATCCTCCCACCTGGGCCTCCCAAAGTGCTGGGATTATAGGTGAGAGCCACTACACCAGGCTGGCTCATCTTTAAAAAGCTACCTTCCTGGCCTGGCGTGGTGGCTTATGCCTGTAATCCCAGCAATGTGGGAGGCCGAGGTAGGCGGATCACCTGAGGTCAGGAGTTTGAGACCAGCATGGCCAACATAGTGAAACCCTGTCTATACTGAAAATACAAAAATTAGCTGGGCGTGATGGTGCATGCCTGTAGTACCAGCTACTCAGGAGGCTGAGACAGCAGACTCACTTGAACGCGGGAGGCAGAGGTTGCAGTGAGTCAAAATCACGCCACTGCACTCCAGCCTGGGCAACAGAGTGAGACTGTCTCAAAAAAATAAAAAATAAAAGGCCACCTTCCCCCAGGACAACAGGTTACTTACTCTAGTTCTCAGTGCCTCCATGCCATTGCTGTAAACCTTTGTTACTGTCCCAACCACTCCTATCATTATTTGCCTTACACTCAATGACCAATGTCAGTGGTGAGAACCTTGAGGGCCCAGGTTATACCATTGCCATCTAAGAGTCCCCAGGCAAAGCCAGGGTGTGTCACACAGCAGTACAGGAGGCTGCTGGCTCTCAGACCAGGCTGGAGTGCAGAGGCATGATCACGGCTCACTGCAGCCCCGGCCTCCTAGGCTCAGGTGATCCTCCCACCTAAGCCTCCCAAGTACCTAGGACTGCAGGTGCGTGTCACTACGTAGTCCTACTAAGTCCTCTATGTAGTTCTGTCTAAGCTTTTTTATGTTTTGCAGAGAGGGGGGTCTTGCTTTGTCACCCAGGCTGGAGTGCAGTGGTGCGATCTTGGCTCACTGCAACCTCCGCCTCCTAGGTTCAAGTGATTCTCCGGCTTCAGCCTCCCGAGTAGCTGAGATTACAGGCACCTGCCACCACGCCCGGCTAATTTTTGTATTTTTAGTAGAGACAGGGTTTCACTACGTTGGCCAGGCTGCTCTGGCACTCCTGACCTCAGGTGATCCACCCGCCTTGGCCTCCCAAAGTGCTGGGATTACAAGCATGAGCCACCACGCTTGGCCGCTTTTTTATGTTTTGTAGAGGCGGGGGCGGGGGGGTGTCTCGCCATGTTGTTCAGGCTGGTCTTTAACTCCTGACGTCAAGTGATCCTCCTACCTCAGCCTCCCAAGCACTGGGCTTAGAGGTGAGAGTCACCGTCGGTGCCTGGCCTCTGGGAGAAGTCTTGTTTGGATGATCTCTGAAGGTTTTTGACTCCAATGCACTATTTTAAACAATCCTGGTTGTCTATGTGACATCAGTGATGTTGTTCACATCCGTCGATCATCTAGCGCATATCCAGGGGAGAGAGATGTGTGTGTCTTTATGTGTGACAGAAAAAGAGTGAAGCAGTGAGGCTGCTTTCCACCAGGCAAGCATGAGAATCACTTTCATTGCACCATGACGGAGCAGGTATTCTAAACCACTTGAGCCAGAGCAAAACTAGAACAGTCAAATCTATCTTCAGGCTCAATCTTGACACTTCACACATCATCTGACAGGGCTTGGACCCAATAATGTTTAAGGTCCTTTCCAGATGCAACATTCTGAGTCTTCCAGGTAAAAAAGGCTTAGGTCATTCAGGAAATGCTCTGCTGCCAGAAAAAACCCAAAGCACCACCTGACCCAGTTATAAATGCCATGCAAGGCAAGGTCTCAGGTGGACATGGCACCAGCTTCTTCCAAGCCCCTGCCCATGGCCCACAGAAGGGCAGGATGCCTGGCTGGAGCAGCTCCAGCTAAGTGACAATTCCCTTTCAGCCAGGCTGAGAAGCCCGGGGCAGGAGCAGGTCAGGTGTGGCTGGCCTGTGGCCCAGTCCAGGCACCCCACAGCCCTGCTAAGGGCTCTGGCTTCTTTCTGGCTGGTCAAGGCCAAAGGCCACTGCAGGGATCTCACACAGAAGTGCAAAGCAACAGGGCATGGCAGGAAAAAACCCTGAGCTCTGGAGCCTGGCAGGCCCGAGCTGGGCACTAAGTCTCCTGCTCATCAGCTGAACTACTGTGCAGAAGTCGCTCCCCTTCCCAGAGCTTCAGCTTCCTCCACTGGGGATGTCACCCCTTGCTCCACAGTGCCTGGTACAGTGAGTACCTGTCTCTAGTCCCACTTCATGAACAAAATCAAGGCGAATGTATGTCTCCCCAACCTCCCTGTCTGCAGCTACAAACACCTTCATCTCCTCTCCTCCTGTCCTTGCCCTCTCTTCAAACCGCCTCCGCCCCCTGAATTACTTCATTTGGTGGCATAGCCCCACCTGTCCCCCAAGCCACCTCTCTCTAGCCCTTGGACCTAATCAAGCACCATGTCCTGCCAGTTTGACATGTGAGATCTCTCACCGTCCTGCCACCTCTCTGCCACCATCCCTATTCAGATTCCTGTCACCTCCTGCTAGACCGACTCCTAAGTGGGATTGCAAACTCAGTGTCTCTAAACCCAGCTTCATCTTCTTCCTCCTAGTCACTCCCCTTCCTTGAGTCTGCCTGTTTCTGTTCATGGTGACATGAGTCTGGCCATCGAGCTGTTCAGGATTGTTCCCTCTCCTGTGATTCCTTCCCCTGACATAAACGTCTCACTCTTAAAAAAAATTTTTTTTTTTTTTAGAGATGGGATCTCGCTATGTTGCCCAGGCTGGTCTTGAACTCCTGGCCTTGAGCAATCTTCCACCTTGGCCTCCCAAGCTGTTGGGGTTACAGGTGTGAGCCACTACACCCAGCCACAGATGTCTGTTTGACAGGTACCTGGATCCAGTCGCTTCTGAGTAGTCTGCCAATCTTTCCTTTCCCTGGCACAGACAAAATATCAACCACGTGCCAGGCACAGAGCAAAGCATCAGGCATACAAAATATAGAAGCAGTCCCAGTCCTGACCCTCAAGCGGTTCAGCCATTACGGGGCCACCTCAGTACTGCAACAGCCTGTGACTGGTTTCTCCTTGTCTCCCCCCAGCCTCTCCACCAGGGTGAGCAGTGAACTAAAACTGCTCAGTAGCCACCCCTGGCCTACCTGCAGGGTAACAGCCAAGCCCTCTGCCCAGTGGACACCTGAGCACTCCTGCCACCACTACCCATCTCAGCCTTCTTGTCCCTAAAGAACCCACGTGGTTCTTTGAACACACGATGTTCTCTGAACACTGCGATGTTCCCACCTCCGGGCTTGGCTGTATCCTAAAAAGCCCCACCCTATTGTCTTTGCCTGGTTAGCTCCTCCCCACCGCTACTGCCTCCTCTCCTCCAGGAAGCATTCTGGGCTCTCCTGTGCCCACCCAGGTCCCTTTTCTGGGCTTCCACATCAGCCAGGGCATAATTCTCACAGCACTCATCAGAGTGGGCTGAGATGACCTACACACATCATGCACACTCTCCAGAGCCTAGCGGGGGCCCAGGACACAGCAGCGGAGCAGGGAGAGTCGTTCAGAGGAGGGAGCGAGCCTCACTTCCCTCCCACAGGCTGGCTTCCGTTGGTCTTCCCCTGACCCACAGCTCGGGTCGGCCGCACCGCCTCGCTACTGCCACCTAGGGGCGCCAGCCGGGCGCTGCGCTTCTCTCGCCATTCAGCCTTGAATTCGATTCAATAAACTGAATGGGATGGGAACACTAAGGAGGGAACAGTTGATTCCGGTGCGGGTGGAGGAAGAGTGGCAGTCAGACGAGGCTTCAAACGGCCAGTGAGCTCTGGGCTGAGCCATGGAGCATAAGCAAAGGATCTCCAGGTGGAAGAGATCTGTCTCCAGGTGGAGGCTGCAACAGGCAGGGAGGGTTAGAGTTTGGGGTCTACGTGCAGGGGCGGGGAGGGTTAGGGTGTGAAGGAACTGGCACTCCAAACTAAGGGCTTCTAGCTTTATCTTTTAAGCCACCAGAGAGGTCAAGAAAACGTGTCTTTTTTCTGCACAAAGATTTTAAATCAGAAGGGATACAATTAGATGTGCATTTACAGAACAGAACTCCTGCTGGAGTGTGGAAAGAGGGAAGAGATGGGAAGCGGAGAGTGAGAGAGGCAAGAAATTTTCATAAAGTTTTTTCATAATTCTCTCATTTCTTTTACTTGAAATAGCACCATGGGCTGGGCGCGGTGGCTCACACCTGTAATCCCAGGACTTTAGGAGGCCAAGGCGGGTGGATCACCTGAGGTCAGGAGTTCGAGACCAGCCTGCTCAACAAGGCGAAATCCCACCTCTACTAAAAATGCAAAAAATTAGCTGGACGTGGTGGCGGCTGCCTGTAATCCCAGCTACTTGGGAGGCTGAGGTTGCAGTGAGCTGAGATGGCACAACTGCACTCCAGCCTGGGCAACAAGGGTGAAACTGTCTCAAAAAAAAAAAAAAAAAAAGAAAAAGAAAAAAAAAAAAAAAGAAATAGCACCATGGTCCGGGCGCGGTGGCTCACGCCTGTAATCCCAGCACTTTGGGAGGCCGAGGCGGGCGGATCACAAGGTCAGGAGATCGAGACCATCCTGGCTAACACGGTGAAACCCCGTCTCTACTAAAAGTACAAAAAATTAGTCGGGCGTGGTAGCCGGCGCCTGTAGTCCCAGCTACTCGGGAGGCTGAGGCAGAAGAATGGCGTGAACCCGGGAGGCGGAGCTTGCAGTGAGCCGAGATCGCACCACTGCACTCCAGCCTGGGCGGCAGAGTGAGACTCCGTCTCAAAAAAAAAAAAAAAAAAGAAATAGCACCATGATCTCAGACTCAACACATCCAGACTGAAACTCTGTCTGCTCAAAACCAATGCATCAACATAAACAGTATTATTTCCTTCCACATTTGAGACGTTCGTGTATCTCAACCTCTTTGTGGGCCTCGAAGTTGCAGAATTTGATAATAGATCCCAGCACAGAACTTTGCACACAGAAAATATTCGATGACAACTGGAGTGCCCTGGAGCCTTGTGATTATAGGAGCAGTACAATCGAGTGGTTAAGAGTAAGGGTTTTGAATCAGAGGGCCCGAGTTCAAACCCTGGCGCAGCCACTTTAGTGCATGAGACTGGTCACATCAAGTGACCCATCTAAGCCTCAGTTTCTTCATCTCTAAAATGGAAATTAATGGAAATTATAACATCACCTGCCTCAAGGACTGCAGACAAACGTCCACAAAGTGTCAAGCACATAGTAAATCCTCAATAAATACTGGTGGCTATGTACAACATCATTTATTCAGTGCCTACCAGGCACAGACCACGCACAACGCAACGGGATTTCCACCCTCTTCAATTTGCACCACACTTTTGTCCTTCCCATTTTATAGATAAGAAAACTAAGGCTCAACAGAGTCAAGCTTGTTCGAGGTCTTGGGAGCATCTCCCAGGGCATTAGAACTTTTGGAGGAAGAGCATTTAGTTCAGTAATGGTTCTCACCTGTGCGTGTGAGAGTGGAAGAGACCCCTCCCCCGCAACCCGAGCCATCTGGCAATGTTTGGAGATACTTTTGATCCTCACGACTTGGAGCATGGGGATACTGCTGGCATCTAGTGGGTAGAGGCCAGGAATACGGCTCAACTTCCTACATTGCACAGGGAAGCCCCCACTACCACCACAACCAAAAACTATCTGACCCCAAACATCAGTAGGGCCAACGTCGAGAAACCCTGCTCTAGACAGATCATTCTCCTCATCTTCCCATTTCTGGCCATCCGGATCTTAGATGAACACTTTCTAGCAAGGGGGCTCAGTCCCACCACGGGAAGCCCATGCAGAAGTTGTGCAGAAGTTCTTCTCCACCTGCCCTGCACACAGTAGGGACCAAAACCCATTTTAACAAGCCCCGCAGCCCAGAGCACCGGAAAAGGAAGGAAGGGCATCCATCCCCCATTGTTCAACTGTGTGCAGCTTGTGTTTCCAACAGGCACACACACATATTTTACAAATCCTAACGTCCCACGCCCCACAAACAGCTTTGTTAGAGATGGCGCTCAAAAAAAGATGCAGTTTAGATTTTTTTTTTCCCCCAGGACTCCCGTGTATCTACTGAAGGGTTTGCACACTTCTCAAAGGACCTCGCACCGGCCGCGGTGCTCTGACAACGACCACAAAAGAATCTGTGGGATTTCCCGGGGGAGCAAGCCCGTGGGCCGTGACCTCTGCGCGCTCAAAGCGTTCCCGGCGCTCCCCCGTAGCTGGCCCCACTCTCCCGCCCCCGGAGCCCGGGCTTCCAAGGCGACCGGGGCCCCCGGCCGTGCAGCCCGGCCCCCCGGCGCATGCCCACGCCGTATCCCCCTCGCCCGTCCCTCGAGGCGCCAGAGGAATCCGGCCCCGGGGCCTGTAGCCGGCGCCCACACCGGCCCGCCCCGACCCGCCCGCCGCGGCCCCAGCGCGCGTCCCCTCCCCCGGTCCGGCGCGGCCTGGGCCTCGGCCGGTGCAGGCCCGCGGGCGCCCCGCGGCCAGGCCAGGCGAGCTCAGGCCTGCCGCGGCCTACCCCGTCGGGCGCCGCCGAAGGCCCCCCACCGCCTCACCTGGATGCGGGCGGGCGGGCCCGGGGCTGCTCCGGGGCGGGCGGGAGGCGGCGGCGGCGCGGCGCTAACGGCTCCGCTCGGCCTCGGTAGCGGTGGCGGCGGTGGCGGCGACGGCGACGGCGGCAGCGGCTCCTCCTCAGCGCGCACGACCCGCTCCGGCCCGCGGCCCGGACACGCCCCCCCCGCGCGCGAGCCCATTGGCCGACGTCCGCCACGGCGCGCTGCTCATTGGCCGGCGTAGCTGTCGCGGCGCTCCGGGGCGCGCGGGAGAGGCGGGACTTCCGGTCGGCGCCGCCTGCGAAGTGCTCCGCGGCCGGCGGAGACGCGGGCAGCCAGCGATGGCCGCGGAGGGGGCGAACTGGGTTCCGGCCCTCGGAGGCTGACGGAAGGCGGTGGCTGAGGAGCGGCGCCTCTGGTTGAGCGCTCGCCGTGTGTCCCGCACCTGTCTGTCCTGCCGCCGCCCGGTAAGGTAGGAAAGGTCAGCGCGCCGGGGTTACGGGTACAGAACCTGGGTTCGAATCCCGGCCCCGACGTTTCCGCACTACGTGCCGTTGGGCAGGAGCTGACGTCACCTTGCCGGGCCTCAGTTTCCTTCTCTGGTGCGCTGAGGAGGCGGGGCATGGAACGTGGTCAGCGCTTCATCGGTGCTGGCTCTTTGAGCAAGCCAGTTCCCGAAGGCTCAGCATCTCATTCATTCATTAAAATGTCATTGAGCGCCTACTGTGTGTCAATCACTGTATGGGCAGTGAGCAGAAAAAAAATACCTGGTCTTATTGGGCTAACATTCTAAACCAGCGCTGGCCTAGAATGCCCTAGTAGAAATACATGCAAGCTACATGTTTAATTTTTTTTTATGTAAAGATGGGCTCTGGTTCTGTTGCCCAGGCTGGTCTCGAACTCCTGGACTCAAGCGATTCTCCTGCCTCCGCCTCCCAAAGAGCTGGGATTACAGGCATGCCTGCACTCTGCCTAATTTTTTCTTTTTTTTTTTTATGATCTGAAAATAATAGTCTTTTTATTTTTATTTATTTATTTATTTATTTGAGACGGAGACTCGCTCTGTCGCCAGGCTGGAGTGCAGTGGCGTGATCTCCGCTCACTGCAACCTCCGCTTCCCAGGTTCAAGCGATTCTCCTGCCTCAGCCTCCTAAGTAGTTGGGCCTACAGGCGCTGCGCCACCACAACCAGCTAATTTTTGTATTTTTAGTAGAGACGGGGTTTCACCGTGTTGGCCATGATGATCTGTATCTCTTGACCTCGTGATCTGCCCGCCTCAGCCTCCCAAAGTGCTGGGATTACAGGCTTGAGCCACTGCGCCTGGCCTACAATTTTGTTTTTCTTTTTTTTTTTTTTTTTTTGAGACAGGATCTCACTCTGTCACCCAATTTGGAGTGCGGTGGTATGATCACAGCTAACTGCAGCCTCAACTTCCCCAGCTCAGGCAATCAATCCTCCGGCTTCAGATTCCTGAGTAGCTTAGACTACAGGATGTGCCACTATGCCTGGCTAATGTTTTATTTTTTTGTAGCGATGAGGTCTTGCTGTATTGCCTAGGCTGGTCTCAAACTTCTAGACTTAAGTGATCCTCCTGCTTTGGCCTCCCAAAGTGTTGGGATTACAGGCGGGAGCCACGGTGCCCAGCCTGTTTCTTTTTTTAATCATATTTTCTTAGAAGTTTTTTTTTTTTTTTTTTTTTTTTTTGGAGACAGGGTCTCACTCTGCTGTGCAGGCTGGAATGCAGTGGTGTGATCTCAGCTCACTGCAACCTCTGCCTCCCTATTCAAGTGATTCTCGTGCCTCAGCCTCCCAAGTAGCTGGGATCACAGGCGTGCAACATCACACCCAGCTAATTCTTGTGGTTTTAGTAGAGATGGGGTTTTGCCATGTTGGCCAGGCTGGTCTCAAACTCCTGGCCTCAAGTGATCCACCCACCTCGGCCTCCCAAAGTGCTGGGATTACAGGCATGAGCCACCACCCGGCCTAGGAAAGCTTTTTAGAGATTGGGTCTCACTGTGTTGCCCAGGCTGGAGTGCAGTGGCTGTTCACAGGTGCAATCATCCCACAGGTTTAACTCCTGACCTCAAGCAGTCCTTCTGCCTCAGGCTCCCAAGTAGCTGGGATTATAGGCACGTGCCACCACACCTAGCTCAATTAAATGTTAAATTTAACATTTAATTGTTAAATTTTATAGTAGCCAGCATTCTGGGTCATCACGGTGCAATAGAAGTATAAACAAAGCAGGCCAGGCACAGTAGGTCACGCCTGTAATCCCAGCACTTTGGGAGGCCGAGGCGGGCAGATCACCAGGTCAGTAGTTCGAGACCAGCCTGGCCAACATGTTGAAACCCCAGTCTCTACTAAAAATACAAAAATTAGCTGGACGTGGTGGCAGGAGCCTGTAATCCCAGCTACTCGGGAGGCTGAGGCAGGAGAATCGCTTGAAACTGGAAAGTGGAGGTTGCAGTGAGCCGAGATCCCGCCACTGCACTCCAGCCTAGGTGAAAGAGGGAAATTACATCTCAAAAAAACAGTATAAGCAAGCCACAGATTTGTCAGCGAGGTATGTAATTTAAATTGGTACATTGTTAGCCATGTTTAAAAATAAGTAAAAAGAAACGGGTGATGTTAGTTGTAATGTGTTTTATTTAACTCAGTAGGTTGAATATGTTATTATTTAAACATGTAGTCAATATTTTAAAATACAGGATGTTTTGCATCTGTTATCTTTCCAAAATAGAAGATACTTTGTGTCCTTTTTCTTTCCTGCATGCTTTTTTTTTCTTATTTTTTTGAGACAGAGTCTCACTCTGTTGCCAAGGCTGGAGTGCAGTGGCGGGATCTCGGCTAACTGCAACCTCCCCATCCCGGGTTCAAGCGATTCTCCTGCCTCAGCCTCCCGAGTAGCTGCGATTACAGACATTTGCCACCATGCCCGGGTAATTTTTTGTGTTTTTAGTAGAGACAGAGTTTCACCATGTTGCCCAGGCTGGCCTCGAACTCCTTACCTTAAGTGATCCACCCGCCCTGGCCTCCCATAGTGCTGGGATTACAGGCGTGAGCCACCGCGCCTGGCCCCTGCCTGCTTTTGAAATCTAGTATGTATCTTATACTCCACAGCACAGCACAGCACCGCACATCTCCAGTCGGACTGGCTACATTTCAAGGGCTCAACCATCACGCGTTACCAGTGGCTACTGCATCAGACTGTGCAGTGCTAGATGGGGAGTCAGAAGAGAAACCAAGTGATTTCCATGTCAAGTGGTGAACAGGCTAAGAAGAAAAGTAAATTGGGGAAAGAGCATGGGGAATGTGGGGGTTGCTGTTTGAAAGAGGATGGTTGGGAAGGCTGAAGAGCTGTCATTCGCAGAGGGACCCAAAAGAGGTGAGAGCACTGAACAAATAGTTACATTCTTCATTGTCTGCCGCAGTGCTGTCCAGAAGAGCTTCCCACGATAATGGGCATGTTCCATATCAGCACCGTCCAATTCAGTAGCCCCTGGCTCCATGGGGTTTTCTCTCTTTGTTTTTTTCTGTTTGTTTTTTTTTTTAAGACAGAGTCTCACTCTTTTGCCAAGGCTGGAGTGCAGTGGTGTGATCTTAGCTCACAGCAACCTCTGCCTCCTGGGTTTAAGCGATTCTTCTGCCTCAGCCTCCTGAGTAGCTGGAACTACAGGCATGCACCACCACGCCTGGCTAATGTTTATATATATATTTTTTGCTTTGTTTTGTTTTGTTTTGAGATGGAGTCTTGTTCTGTCGTCCAGGCTGGAGTGCAGTGGTGTGATCTCGGCTCACTGCGAGCTCCATCTCCCTGGTTCACGCCATTCTCCTGCCTCAGCCTCCCGAGTAGCTGGGAATACAGGCGCCCACCACCACACCCGGCTAATTTTTTCATGTATTTTTAGTAGAGACGGGGTTTCACTGTGTTAGCCAAGATGGTCTCTATCTCCTGACCTCGTGATCTGCCTGCCTTGGCCTCCCAAAGTGCTGGGATTACAGGCGTGAGCTGCAGCGTCCGACCTATATTTATATTTTTATTTATTATTATTATTATTATTATTATTATTATTATTATTATTATTATTATTTTGAGATGAAATATTGCACTGTCGCCCAGGCTGGAGTGCAGTGGTTTGATCTCGGCTCACTGCAACCTCCGCCTCCTGGGTTCAAGTGATTCTTGTGCCTCAGCCTCCCAAGTAGCTGGGACCGCCTGCTACCACACCTGGCTAATTTTTTTGTATTTTTAGTGGAAACAGGATTTCATCATGTTGACCAGGTCAGTATTGAACTCCCAACTTCAGGTGATCCACCAACCTCGGCCTCCCAAAGTGCTGGGCTTACAGGCATGAGCTGTTGCACCTGGCCTCCATGTGTGTTTTGTAGGGTTTTTTTTTTTTTTTTGCACTTGGCACATGGTTGGTACCATTAAAGAACTGACTTTCTGGCCAGACAACGGTGGCTCATGCCTGTAATCTCCAGCACTTTGGGAAGCCAAAGTGGGAGGATAACTTGAGGCCAGGAGTTCAAGACCAGCCTGGGCAACATAGCAAGCCCCCATCTCTACCAAAAATAAAAAAATAAGCCAGGTGATATGGTGTGGGCCTTTAGTCTCAGCTGCTTGAAAGGCTGAGTTGAGAGGATTCCTCAAGCCCAGGAGTTCGAGACTGCATTGAGTTGTGATCATGCCACAACATTTCAGCCTGGGCAACAGAGCAAAACCCCATGTCAAAAAAAAAAAAAAAAACTGAGCGTAAGTTTTTAATTAATTCAAATTTAAATAACCATATAGGGCTAGTCGCTCCTATAGTGGACAGCATAGGGTTGGTATAGTGTTGACAAGTCCTCTGAATTAAGTGGGTCCTTCATGGCAAATGCTTTATGGACATCCTCCTGTGAAATCCTAGAAATAGGCCAGGTGTGGTGGCTCACGCTTATAATCCCAGCACTTTGGGAAGCCGAGGCGGGCAGATCACGAGGTCAGCAGTTCAAGACAAGCCTAGCCAACATAGAGAAACCCCATCTCTACTAAAAATAGAAAAATTAGCCAGGCATGGTAGTGGGCGCCTGTAATCCCAGCTACTCGGGAGGCTAAGGCAGGAGAATCGCTTGAACCTGGGAGGTGGAGGTTGCAGTGAAACGAGATCACGCCACTGCACTCCAACCTGGGCAACAAAAGCCAAACTCCATATCAAAAAAAAAAAAAAAAGGGAAAAGGAAACGTTTTAAACTGAGATTGGGGTGATGGGCAACAGAGTGAGACTCTGTCTCAAAAAAAAAAAGACCTTATTTTTTAGAAAAATTTAGACCCAGCACAGTGGTTCACACCTGTAATCCCAGCACTTTGGGAGGCTGAGGCAGCAGGATCTCTTGAGGCCGGGAGTTTGAGACCAACCCAGGTAATATAGCAAGACCCCCATCTCTAGTAAAAATTTAAAAAATTTGCTGGGTGTGGTGGCACACACCTGTGCTCCCAGCTACTGGGGAGGCTGAGGTGGGAGGATTGGTTAAGCCTGGGAGGTCAAGGCTACAGTGAGCTGTGATTGCACCACTGCCCTCTATTCTGGGTGACAGAGTGTGACCCTATCTCAAAAAAAAAAAAAAAAAAAAAGAAAAAAGAAAAATTTTAGATTTACAGAAATACTTCCAAAGTAGTAGTAGAGAGTTACCAGGCCTGGTGCAGTGGCAGGTACTTATAATCCCAGCTACTTGGGAGGCTAAAGTGGGAGGATCTCTGAGCCCAGGAGTTGCAGACCAGCCTGGGCAACATAGCCAGACCCTGTCCTTTTTTTTTTTTTTTTTCTTTTTTTTTTGAGACCGACTCTCACTCTATCGCCCAGGCTGGAGTGCAGTGGTGTGATCTTGGCTCACTCCTATCTGCGTCTTCTGGGTTCAAGCGATTCTCCTGCCTCAGCCTCCCGAGTAGCTGGGATTACATGCGCCCACCACCATACCCAGCTAATTTTTGTATTTTTAATAGAGATGGGTTTTCACTGTGTTGGCCAGGTTGGTCTCCAACTCCTGACCTCAGGTGATTCACCTGCCTTGGCCTCCCAGAGTGCTGGGATTACAGGCGTGAGCCACCAGACCCTGTGTTAAAAACAAACAAAAAAACAGAGTTACCATTATTCTCTATTAGTAACATATTTTAGTTACAAATGAGTAACATATTGGTAACAAATTAATAATGATAATTTGTTGCAGTTAATGGACCAATACTGATACTTTGCTATTAACTGAAGGTCAGAGTTTATTTAGTCTTCCTTTGTGTTGCCCTAGTATCTTTTTTCTCTCCCAGGATCCCACCCAGGAGACTATCTCACTTTTTTTTTTTTTGAGACAGAGTCTCGCTCTGTCACCCAGGCTGGAGCGCAGTGGCGCGATCTCGGCTTACTGCAGCCTTCACCTCCTGGGTTCAAGTGATCCTCCCGTTTCAGCCTCCTAAGTAGCTCGGACTTCAGGCACCTGCCATCATGCGTGGCTAATTTTTGTATTTTTAGTAGAGACGGGGTTTCGCCATGTTGGCCAGGCTGGTCTTGAACTCCTGACCTCAAGTGATCCACCTGCTCGGCCTCCCAATGTGCTGGGATTACAGGCATGAGCCACTGCGCCTGGCCAGTCCATCTCACTTTTAGTTCTCTTATCTCATTAGGCTCTTCTTGGCTATGACAGATTCTCAGATTTCCCTAGTTTTTGATGATCTTGACAGTTTTGAGGAGTGCCGGTCAGGTATTTTGGTAAGAGTGTCCCTCTTTTGGAATTTATCTGGAGTTTTTCTCATAAGATACACGTTTTTGGCAGCAAGATCAAGGTAATAAAGTATCAATTTAATCACACCATATCAAGGATACATCCTATCAAATTTATTATTTATTTATTTAAAGAGACAGGGTCCCGGCCGGGCACTGTGGCTTACGCCTCTAATCCTAGCCCTTTGGGAGACAGAGGCAGGTGGATCACTTGAGGTCAGGAGTTCGAGACCAGCCTGGCCAACATGGTGAAACCCTATCTCTACTAAAAAAGTATAAAAATTAGCTGGATGTGGTGGTACACACCTGTAGTCCCAGCTGCTCTGGAGGCTGACGCATGAGAATTGCTTGAACCTGGGAGGCGGAGGTTGCAGTGAGCCAAGATTGTGCCACTACACTCCAGCGTGGGGATTACAGGTGTGCACCACCATGCCTAGCTAATTTTGTATTTTTCAGTAGTGACGGGGTTTCACCATGTTGGCCAGGCTGGTGTTGAACTCCTGACCTCAGGTGATCCACCCGTCTTGTTCTCCCAAAGTGCTGGGATTAGAGGCATGAGCCACCGTGCCCAGTCCTTTTTTTTTTTTTTTTTTTTTTTTTTTTTTTTAATACTGTGGAAGGAAGTCACTATGCGTAGCCCACACCTAAGTTGTGGAAGGTTATACTCTATTTATTTAAGGGTAGACTGTCTACATAAATTTTTTTTAATTTTAGAGACAGAGTCTTGCTGTGTTGCCCAGGCTGGAGTGCAGTGGTGTGATCATGGCTCACTGCAGCCTCAACTTCCTAGGCTCAAGAGATCCTTCCACCTCAGCCTCTCTAGTAGCTGGGACTACAGGTGCACGTGATCACATCTGGCTACTTTTTGTATTTTTTTGTAGAGCTGGGATCTCACTATGTTGTTCAGGCTAGTCTGGAACTCCTGGCCTCAAGCACTCCTCCTGCCTTGGCCTCCCAAAGTTCTAGGGTTATGATTTGCATCGCTACATCTGGCCCTACATAAATTATTATTATTTTTTAAGCTTGTCCACAGCTGAAACATAAGTTTTCTAGAATCCTTCCACGTGGGAGATTTATCTCGCTCTCCCCCACTTACTAGGTCATTGAATTATATCAGGATGGAATGCTGGATATTTATTTATTTATTTATTTTACTCTGGAGATGGAGTTTTGCCCTTGTTGCCCAGGCTGGAGTACAATGGCATGATCTCGGCTCACCACAACCTCCACCTCCTGGGTTCAAGCGATTCTCCTGCCTCAGCCTCCCAAGTAGCTGGGATTACAGGCATGTGCCACCATGCCCGGCTAATTTGGTATTTTTAGTAGAGATGGGATTTCTCCATGTTGGTCAGGCTGGTCTCGAACTCCCGACCTCAGATGATCCGCCTGCCTTGGCCTCCCAAGGCAGTGATTACCGGGATTACCGGCATGAGCCACTGTACCTGGCCTGGATGTTTATTTTATGCTTTGTGTTATAACCCAATACTACTGTATTTTGTCGGTCAAATTGTTCCAGCTTTGGCCGTCTACCACTCTTTAATTTGGCTCCTGTGGCCCTTTGACATATCCCCATCAATGTGTTTTTCAGTGGTTTTTTTGTTTGTTCGTTTTATTCGAAGCAGTTCCTTAAACTTTGTGGCAACACAAAATGCTGCAGGCCTATCTTGTGTATTTCTGCCCTTCGTCCTAGAAGCAGCCATGTCTCCAAGGGGGCCCTGGTTCCTTTTAGTAGAGAATGATATTGAAAACCAGGATCTGGGGTACTGGAAGTGCTCATTGCTACTGGAATGTTGTTTCTTTAGATCTTTAGATCACCAATAGCTTTTTTGTTTGTTTTTTTGAGACGGAGTCTCGCATTCTCGCCTAGCCTGGAGGGCAGTGGCGCGATCTTGGCTCACTGCAAGCTCTGCCTCCCGGGTTCACGGCATTCTCCTGCCTCAGCCTCCCGAGTAGTTGGGACTACAGGCGCCCGCCACCACGCCTGGTTAATTGTTTTGTATTTTTAGTAGAGACGGGGTTTCACCATGTTAGCCAGGATGGTCTCGATCTCCTGACCTTGTGATCCACCCGCCTCGGCCTCCCGAAGTGCTGGGATTACAGGCGTGAGCCACTGTGCCTGGCCTTTTTTTTTTTTTTTTTTTTTAAGACAGGGTCTCACTATGTTGTCCAGGCTGGAATGCAGTGGTGCCATCTTGGCTCACTGCAGCCTCAACCTCCTGGGCTCAAGCCATCCTCCCACCTCAACGTCCCAAGTAGCTGGGACTGCAGGTGTGTGCCACTGTGCCCACCTAAATTTTTGTATTTTTTGTAGAGACAGGGTTTTACCATGTTGCCCAGCCTGGTCTCTAACTCCTGAGCTCAACTGATCCACTCACCTTGGTCTCCTGAAGTGCTGGGATTACAGGCGTGAGCCACCAAACCCAGCATCAATAGCTCTTTTCTTTTCTTTTTCTTTTTTTTTTTTGTTTTTGTGAAAGGGTCTGCACTCACCAGCAGTGTGACCTTGGGCGAGTCATTTAATCTCTCTGAGTTTTAGCTTCCTCATCTCTAAAATGGGGGTGGGCCAGATGTGGTGGCTCATACCTGTACTCCCAGCACTTTGGGAGGCTGAAGTGGGCAGATCATTTGAGGCTAAGAGTTCAAGACCAGCCTGGCCAATATGGTAAAACCCCATCTCTACTAAAAATACAAAAATTAGCCAGGCATGGTGGTACACACCTGTAATCCCAGCTATTCTGGAGGCTGAGGCAGGAGAATCACTTGAACCTGAGAGGGAGAGGTTGCAGTAAGCCGAGATGGCGCCACTGCACTCCAGTCTGGGCAACAGAGTGAGACTCTGTTTCCAATAAATAAAAATAAAATAAGGCCGGTGTGGTGGCTCACGCCTGTAATCCCAGCACATTGGAGGCAAAGGCAGGCAGATCATCTGAGGTTGGGAGTTCGAGACCAGCCTGACCAACATGGAGAAACCCTGTCTCTACTAAAAATACAAAATTAGCTGGGCGTGGTGGCGGGTGCCTGTAATCCCAGCTCCTCGGGAGGCTGAGGCTGGAGAATTGCTTGAACCCAGGAGGCAGAGGTTGCGGTGAGCCGAGGTCGCACCATTACACTCCAGCCTGGGAGACAAGAGTGAAACTCCGTCTCAAAAAATAAAATAAATAAAATGGGGGTGATCACAGTACAGGTGATCCTTGAACAACCTGGGTCTGAACTGCACAGGTCCACTTACAGCTGGATTTACTTCCACCTCTGCCACCTGTGAGACAGCGAGACCAACCCCTCCTCCTCCTCTTCCTAGCCTACTCCGAGTGAAGATGATGAAGATGAAGACCGTTATGATCCACTTCCACTTAATGAAAGATGAATATATTTTCTCTTCCTAATGATTTTTTTTTTTTTTTTTTTGGAGACAGAGTCTCGCTGCATCCCCCAGGCTGGAGTACAGTGGTATGATCTTGGCTCACTGCAACCTCTGCCTCCTAGGTTCAAGTGATTCTCCTGCCTCAGTCTCCCGAGTAGCTGGGATTACAGGCGCCCACCACCATGCCCGGCTAATTTTTGTATTTTTAGTAGAGATGGGGTTTCACTATGTTGGCCAGGCTGGTCTCAAACTCCTGACCTCAGGTGATCTGCCTGACTTGGCCTCCCAAAGTGCTGGGATTACAGGCATGAGCCACCTTGCCTGGCCTCTTCCTAATGATTTTTTAAAGTACATCTTGTTTTCTCTGTCTTACTTTATCATAAAAATATATGATACAAATAAAATACAGAATATGTGTTAATGGACTGTGTATGTTATGAGTAAGCCTTCCAGTCGACAGTGGGCTATTATTGGTGGTTAAGTTTTGGGGGAGTGTGTGTTCAAGGGTCAACCGCACTTCCTGAGGGCACTGTGAGAACTAAGTTAAATAACCCACTTTTACAATCTTTGGAACCGGGGGCAGGTGGCTGGGGCTCACACCTGTAATTACAGCACTTTGGGAGGCTGAGGCAGGAAGATCCCTTGAGGCCAAGAGTTTGAGACCAGCCTGGGCAACAAAGCAAGACTCTGTCTCTACAAAAATTTTTAAAACTTAACCAGGCAGCTGGGCGCGGTGGCTCACGCCTGTAATCCCAGCACTTCGGGAGGCCGAGGCGGGAGGATCACAAGGTCAGGAGATCGAGACCATCCTGGCTAACATGGTGAAACCCCGTCTCTACTAAAAATACAAAAAATTAGCCGGGCATGGCAGCATGCGCCGGTAGTCCCAGCTGCTGGGGAGGCTGAGGCAGGAGAATGGTGTGAACCCGGGAGGCGGAGCTTGCAGTGAGCCGAGATCGTGCCACTGTACTCCAGCCTGGGCGACAGAGCGAGACTCCATCTCAAAAAAAAAAAAAACTTAACCAGGCGTGCTGGCATGTGCCTGTTGTCCAGCTAGTCAGGTGGCTGAGGTGGGAGGATCCCTTGAGCTCAGAAGTTTGAGGTTGCCATGAGCCGTGATCGTGCCACTGCACTCCAGCCTGGGTGACAGCAAGACCCTGTCTCTAAAAAAAATTTTCTAAAAAAACAAAACCCAGGTCTGCTTGGTCTCAAAGATCTTTATTTGCCTGCTCTGATTGTGAGATAGGAAGTTCTTATCTGATTTTGCCCTTTTATTTATTTATTTTTTTTTGAGATGGAGTCTGTCTCTGTCATCCAGGCTAGAGTGCAGTGGCACAATCTTGGCTCACTGCAACCTCCGCTGATAGCAGATTACACTTTTATTTTTAGTTTTTTATGAGATGGAGTTTTGCTTTTGTCGCCCAGGCTGGAGTGCAATGGCAAGATCTCGGCTTACTGCAACCTCCGCCTCCCGGGTTCAAGCAATTCTTCTGCCTCAGGCTCCCAAGTAGCTGGGATTACAGGTGCGCACCACCATGCTCAGCTAATTTTTTTGTATTTTTAGTAGAGACAGGGTTTTGCCATGTTGGCCAGGCTAGTCTCGAACTCCTGACCTCAAGTGATCCACCCGCCTTGGCCTCCCAAAGTGCTGGGATTACAGGCATGAGCCACCACATCTGGCTCTGTTTTGCTTTTTTTTTTTTTTTAAATGAGAAGCATAGTCTTGATCCTGGGGAGTAGGAATCGGCCACGGTAGTTCGGGGTACTCTTGCTGTCCCTCTCAGTCCCTGTCTGTTCCTTCAGCACAAGCTATTGTGAGTCCAGGAGGTCAGGAGACAGAGAAGCTGACTGAGCCCAAGTCCCTGTTCTAGAGGACATCACTGCCCTGAGGCAACGATGGACACGTGGACACATAAATCCACCCAACGTGACAAGGGACGGGCACAGATCGGCCTCCCATGGAGGGCAGTGTTGGGGCCACATTAATCCATGAGGAAGGGTCGGCTAGGCAGAGAAGAGAGGTGGGGAGTTCCAGACAGAGGGACCGACAGGAGTAACGGCACAAATTTGTCAGGGAGGATCATTCAGGGAGCAGGGGTGCCGGTTCGGAGGGGAGATCACAGTGAGGTGGCACTGGCCTTGAGGAGCCCTGGAAAGTCGGGCAGAGAAGATCTGATGTGATCCCATAGCCCACGTAGTCAGCCCACAACAGCCCGATTCAGCCCATGCCTGTTTTCCGGCGGCCCGTGAGCCAAGAATGATTTTTCCACAGTTGGAAAAATAACAGTAGCGTTTTGTGACATGTGAAAATTACATGAAATGCAAGTTTCAGCGTCCATAAAGTTTGACAGTAACACAGCCACGCCTCTCCTTTGTGTGTGGCCAGGGGACGCTCTTGAGCTGTCATAGAGGCGGAAGTGGTGCACAGGACGCGCTTCATGGATGTGCACACTGCCTCACACGGGGCCCTGCCCTTCCACTGTCCCTGTTCTGAAGTTCTTTATGATTGAAGGGCCCCAGGTTTTTATTTTGCATCAGACCATGCACATTATGTCATGTAGGGTACACAGCAACAGAGACCGTGTGCCCTAGAAAGCCCCGAGTATTTGCTGTGAAGCCCTTTTCAGAAAACACTGGTGGATCCCCCGCAGAGACTTCCATGTCCTGATACCCTGGAACCCATGAATATGGTACCTCACACGGCAGGCTTAAGGGTCTTTTTTTTTTTCTTTAAGAGATAGGGTCTTGCTCTGTCACCCAGGCTGGAGTGCAGTGGCACGATCACAGTTCACTACAGCCTCAAAACTTTTAGTCTCAAGTGATCCGCCTGGCTTAGCCTCCTGAGTAGCTGGGGCTACAGACATAATGCCCAGCTAATTAAAAAAAAAAAAAAATAGAGATGGGGTCTCACTATGTTGCCCAAGCTGGTTTTATTGAACTCCTGGCCTCAAGTGATACTCCCAACTCAGCCTCCCAGTGTTGGGATTACAGGCATGAGCCACCGTGCCCAACCTGGTTGAAGATTTTGAGATGGGCCAGGCATGGTGGCTCATGCCTATAATCCCAGCACTTTGGGAGGCTGAGGCGGGCGGATCATCTGAGGCCAGGAGTTTGAGACCAGCCTGGCCAACATGGTGAAACCCTGTCTCTACTAAAAATACAAAAATTGGCCAGGTGTGGTGGCACACGCCTGTAGTCCCAGCTACTTGGGAGGCTGAGGTTGCCGTGAGCCAAGGTCGCACCACTGCACTTCAGCCTGGGCAACAGAGTAAGACTCCATCTCAAAAAAAAAAAAAAAAAAAAGAGATGGGAGATCATTCTGGATGATGTGGGTGACCCAATGGCATCACAGGGTCCTTATAAGAGGGAGGCAGGATGGTCAGAATCAGAGATTGGAAGAGGCTGCACTGCTGGCTTGAAGGTGGAGGAAAGGGCCACAAGCCAAGGAATTCAGGCGGCCTCTAGACGTTGGAAAATGCAGGGAAATGGATTCTCCCTTGGAGCCTCTAGAAGGAACCAGCCCTGCGCACACCTTGATTTTAGAACCTAGTAAGAACTAATTTCAGACTTCTGACCCCAGGATTGTAAGATAATAAAAATGTGCTGCTTTGGGCTGGATGCGGTGGCTTATATATGTAATTCCAGCATTTTTGGGAGGCTGAGGTGGACAGATTGCTTGAGCTCAGGAGTTTGAGACTAGCCTGGGCAATGGTGAAACCCCATCTGTACAAAAAATAAAATTAGCTGGGCGTGGTGGCATGTGCCTCTAGTCTTAGCTACTTGGGAGACTAAGGTGGGAAGATCAACTGAGCCCAGAAGGCTGAGGCTGCAGTGAGCCATGATCGCACCACAGCATTCCAGCCTGGGCGACAGAGTGAGGCCCTGTCTAAAATTAAAATAAATAGCTGGGCACGGTGGCTGACGCCTGTAATCCTAGCACTTTGGGAGGCTGAGGCGGGCAGATCACGAGGTCAGGAGATCAAGACCATCCTGGCTAACACAGTGAAACCCCGTCTCTACTAAAAATACAAAAAATTAGCGGGGCGTGGTGGTGGGCGCCTGTAGTCCCAGCTACTCAGGCTGAGGCAGGAGAATGGCGTGAACCCGGGAGGTGGAGCTTGCAGTGAGCCGAGATTGCGCCACTGCACTGCAGCCTGGGCAACAGAGCGAGACTCCCATCTCAAAAACAAAAAAAAACCACCACCACCACCAACAACAACAAAATTAAAATAAATAAAATAAAATAGTTGTTTTAAGTCACCAGGGTTGTGGTTATTTGTTACAGTAGCCGCAAGGAACTAAAAGGGGGTGGGCATTGAAAATTTATTGGCCGGGCGCGGTGGATCACGCCTGTAATCCCAGCACTTTGGGAGGCTGAGGTGGGCAGATCACTTGAGGTCAGGAGTTCAAGACCAGCCTGGCCAACATGGTGAAACCCCATCTCTACTAAAAATACAAAAATTAGCCGGGCTTGGTGGCGGGCGCCTGTAATTCCAGCTACTCTCAGGAGGCTGAGGCAGGAGAATCGCTTGAACCCGGGAAGTGGAGGTTGCAGTGAGCTGAGACCATGCCACTGCATTCCAACCTGGGCAACAAGAGTGAAACTCCATCTCAAACAATATATATAAAAATACAAATACAAGTACAAAAATTAGCCGGGCATGGTGGCACATGCCTGTAATCCCAGCTACTTGGGAGGCTGAGGCAGGAGAAAGGCAGGAGAATCGCTTGGACCCAGGAGTCGGAGGTTGCTGTGAGGTGAGATCGTGCCACTGCACTCCAGCTTGGGCGACAGAGTGAGATCTGTCTTGAACAAACAAACAAACAAACAAAGAATTTATCTTTTAACTGAAAGAGTTTAAAACTGAGAGACTTACGTGAGTCTCTCTCTCTTTTTTTTTTTTTTTGAGACGGAGTTTCGCACTTGTTGCCTAGGCTGGAGTGCAATGGCGTGATCTTGGCTCACCGCAACCTCTGCCTCTTGGGTTCAAGCAATTTTCCTCCTGCCTCAGCCTCCCGAGTAGCTGGGATTACAGGCATGTGCCACCATGCGGGGCTAATTTTGTATTTTTATTAGAGGTGGGGTTTCTCTATGTTGATCAGGCTGGTCTCGAACTCCCAACCTCAGGTGGTCTACCCACCTCGGCTTCCCAAAGTGCTGGGATTACAGGCGTGAGCCATGGTGCCCGGCCGTCTCTGTCTCTTAATTTCTCTCTTTCTTTCCTTTCTTTCTGTCTCCCTTCCTTCCTTCCTTTCTTTTCTTTTCCCTCCTTCCCTCCTTTCTTTCTCTTTCTCTCTCCTTCCTTCCTTCCTTCCTTTTTTCCTTCTTTCCGCGGGAACCTGGGGCAAGTAGAAGATACAACATGAGAAGGGGGAGGCCTCCAGGGAGGCCATCTAGACAACTGAAAGAGAGACGGCAAAGTGGACTGGTGGCCGGAGGAGTGCTGGAGGGTTCTGGAGAGAAGGAGGCTGATTCCAGATGTTTAAGATGTGGGGTCAGCAGGACCCTGGGTGACCAGTGAAATGTGGAGAAGGTGGCAGCCAGGTCAATTAGAGACAGATGTGGGGGAAAGCCATTCTCTCTCAGAATTCTGGAGGGTTCCATATATGGGATGGAGTTATTCTGGGGACATCATAAGAAATGGGTGTGCCTGTCAGGCGAGCAGTTCACTTGTCAGCCCCCACACAGAGCTGAAGCATCATAGCCCACCCCAGTTCACTGCCCACTCTGAAAACAGAAGCCGGGCAAGCTCCAAAAAGCCGGAAGAACCTTCTAGAAGCCCTGTGTTCTTCTGAGGCCCAACTTCAATCTGATGCCATCTCAAGCGCCAGTGAGATCGGTCATAGAAGATTAGAGGCTTTATTTTTTCTCAGGCAGTTGAGTTTATTTTCAGGTTAGCAGCAGTTTGGAGTTCGCTTCCTGGATGAGGTCAGAGTTGGAGGGGCAGGTGGCCACAGTGTGCTGTGTGCAGAGTCCTTGCAGCCACGACACTTTGGCCGTTCTACCTTGTGCACAGTTCTGTCTCAAAGAGACTGGCCCCAAAGCAGGCACAGAAATACCAGGCTTACTTACTTACTTACTTTATTTATTTGTTTATTTTTGAGATGGAGTCTCACTCTGTCGCCAGGCTGGAGTGATCTCGGCTCACTGTAACCTCCGCATCCTGGGTTCAAGCGATTCTCGTGCCTCAGCCTCCTGAGTAGCTGGGATTACAGGCACGTGCCACCACACCCAGCTAATTTTAGTGTTTTTAGTAGAGATGGGGGTTTCACCCTGTTGGCCAGGATGGTCTTGATCTCCTGACCTCATGATCCGCCTGCCTCGGCCTCCCAAAGTGCTGGGATTATAGGCGTGAGCCACCGCGCCTGGCCTATTTATTTATTTAAGACAGGGTCTTGCTCTGTCACCCAGGCTGGAGTGCAGTGGCATGATCTCTGCCCACGGCAACCTCTGCGTCCCAGATTCAAGCGATTCTCTTGCTTCAGCCTCCTGAGTGGTTGAGATTACAGGTACCCGCCACCATGCCCGGCTAATTTTTTTGTATTTTTAGTAGAGACGGGGTTTCACCATGTTGGGCAGTCTGGTCGCGAACTCCTGATCTCAAATGATCGGCCCGCCTCAGCCTCCTAAAGTGCTGGAATTACAGGTGTGAGCCACCGTGCCTGGCCACCAGGCTTAACTTTAGGAATTACTTCACTTTCCCCAGCCGCAGTTCGTTTATTTGTACAAGGCAGGCAGTACCGGTGCCACCACCTCGAGAGCCTGTTTAAAGCAGGCACCGAGCAGGGCACTTAACGCACCTTCTTGGTGGCTGTCCAGTAAACAACGTGGGGGTCAGCGACCCAGAGGGCAGCACAGACCTCTCCACCGCTTGTCACAGAATTGCAGCCTCTCTAACACCACGCACAAGATAACACGGGTCACTGGCCTCAGCCAGCTCGGGACGTTTTCCAGAGTTCACTTTCTGGATCCTACCTATAACCCTTCCATTCCTCTCTCTTTCTCTCTCTCTTTCTTTCTTTCTTTCTTTCTCTCTCTCTTTTTCTCTTTTTTTTTTTTTTTTTTTTTTTTTTTTTGGAGATAGAGTGTCGCTCTGTCGCCCAGGTTAGAGTACAGTGGCGTGATCCCGGCTCACTGCAAGCTTCGCCTCCCGGGTTCACGCCATTCTCCTGCCTCACCCCCCAAGTAGCTGGGACTACAGGCACCCACCACCACGCCCAGCTAATTTTTTGTATTTTTTAGTAGAGACGGGGTTTCGCTGTGTTAGCCAGGATGGTCTCGATCTCCTGACCTTGTGATCCACCTGCCTCGGCCTCCCAAAGTGCTGGGATTACAGGCGTGAGCCACCGCGCCTGGCCTCTTTTCTTTTTCTCTCTCTCTCTTTCTTTCCTGCTTTCTCTTTCTTTCTCCCTTCCTTCCTTCCTTCCATCCCTCTTTCCCTCTCTCTCTCTTTCTTTCTTCGATGGAGTCTCATTCTGTCACCCAGGCTGGAGTGCAGTGGTGCAATCTCGGCTCACTGCAACCTCCGCCTCCTGGGTTCAAGTGATCCTCCCGCCTCAGCCTTCCGAGTAGCTGGGACTACATGTGCGTGTCACCACGCCCAGCTAACTTTTGTATTTTAGTAGAGATGGGATATCTCCGTGTTGGCCATGCTGGTCTCAAACCCCTGACCTCAAGTGATCTACCTGTCTCGGCCTCCGAAAGTGCTGAGATTACAGGTGTGAGCCACTATGCCCGGTCTCCAGAATATTTTCATCGCCCCAGAAAGAAACCCTGTACCCATTACCTGTCACTCCCCATCCCTGGAACCCACTGGTCTACTTCCTGACTCCACGGATTTTTTTACTCCGGATACTTCATATAAATGGAATCTTATCCAGTGCATTATTTTGTGTCTGGCTTCTTTCACTGAGCATGTTTTTAAGGTTCACGTGCTATTGTAGAAGGAGTTAGTACTTCATTCCTTTTCAGGGTTGAATGTAATTTCATCCTATGCCGGAGGCTGAGTCAGGAGTGTTACTTGAAGCCAGGAGTTCCCTTAGGCAACATAGCAAGACTCTAACTTTAAAACATCTTTGAAAAATTAAGTCCGGGCTGGGTGGTTCATGCCTGTAATCCCAGCATTTTGGGGGGCCAATGCAGGCAGATCACCTGAGGTCAGGAGCTTGAGACCAGCCTGGCCAACATGGTGAAAGCCCATCTCTACTAAAAATGCAAAAATTAGCCAGGCGTGATGGCGGGAGCCTGTAATCCCAGCTACTGAGGAGGCTGAGGCAGGAGAATTGCTTGAACCTGGGAGGCAGAGGTTGCAGTGAGCCAAGATTGCACCACTGCACTCCAGCCTAGGCGACAGAGCAAAATTCCATATCAAAAAATAAAAATAAAATAAAAATTAGCTGGGGGTTGGCAGGGTGCAGTGTCTCACCCCTGTAATCTTAGCATGTTGGGAGGCCAAGGAGGGCTGATCACCTGAGAATTGCTTGAACTCAGGAGGCGGAGGTTGCAGCGAGTGTAATGGTGCGAGCTTGGCTCACTGCAACCTCTGCCTCGTTGGTTCAAGCGATTCTCCTGCCTCAGCCTCCCTGAGTAGCTGGGACTACAGGTGCCCGCCATCACACCCAGCTAATTTTTTTTTGTATTTTTAGTAGAGACAAGGTTTCACCATGTTGGCCAGACTGGTCTTGAACTCTTGACCTCAGGTGATCCTCCCGCCTTGGCTTCCTAAAGTGCTGAGATTACAGGCATGAGCCACCATGCCTGGCCTTTTTTCTTTTCTCTATTTTTGAGATGGAGTCTCACTCTATCGCCAGGCTGGAGTGATCTTGGCTCACTGCAATCTCCAGGGTTCAATTGCCTCCAGGGTTTGAGCAATTCTCCTGCCTCAGCCTCCTGAGTAGCTGGGATTACAGGCATGCACCACCACACCAGTCTAATTTTTGTGGTTTTTATTTTTATTTATTTATTTTTTGAGATAGAGTTTCTCTCTTGTTGCCCAGGCTGGAGTGCCTCGATCTCAGCTCACTGCAACCTCCACCTCCTGGGTTCAAGAGATTCTCCTCCCTCAGCCTCCCGAGTAGCTGGAATTATAGGCGTCCACCACCATGCCCAGCTAATTTTTTGTGTTTTTCGTAGAGAGGGTTTCACCATGTTCGCCAGGCTGGTCTCAAACTCCTGACCTCAGGTGATCCACCCGCCTCAGCTTCCCAGAGTGCTGGAATTACAGGCATGAGCCACCACGCCTGGCCTAATTTTTGTATTTTTAGTAGAGATGGGGTTTCACCATGTTGGCCAGGCTGGTCTTGAACTCCTGACCTCAGGTGATCTGCCTGACTTGGCCTCCCAAAGTGCTGGGATTATAGGCGTGAGCCACCATGACTGGACTTCTTCCTATTTTTTTTTTTGTTTTGTTTTTTGAGACCGAGTCTCGCTGTGTCGCCCAGGTTGGAGTGCAGTGGCGCGATCTCGGCTTACTGCAAGCTCCACCTCCCGGGTTCATGCCATTCTCCGCCTCAGCCTCCCAAGTAGCTGGGAATACAGGCACCCGCCACTGCGCCCGTCTAATTTGTTGTATTTTTTTAGTAGAGATGGGGTTTCACCGTGTTAACCAGGATGGTCTCAATCTCCTGACCTCGTGATCCGCCTGCCTTGGCCTCCCAAATGCTGGGATTACAGGCGCGAGCCACCGCGCCCGGCCCCTTCTTCCTATTCTTTCAAAGCCACCAGTTGCCCTCCTATGATAACCCATTATCTATTAACCCATGGATCTGTTAACCCAGGAATGGATTAATCAGTTCATGAGGGCAGAATTCTCATGACCCAGTCACCCCTTAAAGGCCCCACCTCTGTCAACACGGCCACATCAAGGATTAAGTTTCAACGTGAGTTTTGGAGGAAACGAACATTGAAACTGTGGCACCAGGTGTTATCAGTCTATTAAGAGCTCATGCAAATTGATAAGCACCAAAGGTGCAAAGATCAGAAACAGACAATTCCCAGGAGGATAAGCGGGGGGTCTAGGAGCCTAAGAGTGGATGTATTGGGCATCAAGGGAGGGCCTGTTGGCCAGGGTTGGTCACAGCAAGGATCATTCCAATGCTGCCGGGACCCCAACACTTGCTTTCTGGCCAGGCGCGGTAGCTCACGCCTGTAATCCCAGCACTTTGGGAGGCCGAGGTGGGTGGGTCACGAGGTTAGGAAATCAAGACCATCCTGGCTAACATGGTGAAACCCTGTCTCTACTAAATGTACAAAAAATTAGCCGGGCGTGATGGCGGGCGCCAGCTACTTGGGAGGCTGAGGCAGGAGAATGGTGTAAACCCGGGAGATGGAGATTGCAGTGAGCAGAGATCATGCGACTGCACTCCAGCCTGGGTCACAGAGTGAGACTCCGTCTCAAAAAACAAACAAACAAACAAAAAACACTTGCTTTCCAAAGGGGTGGCTGCCACTTCAATTGGAAAGACCCTTTGGACAATGCACACCCAGCATATAAGAGGGTTCATAGGCCAGGCGTGGTGGCTCACACCTGTAATCCCAGCACTTTGGGAGGCTGAGGCAGGAGGAGAATTGCTTCAGTCTGGGAGTTCAAGACCAGCCGGGGCAACATAGCAAGATCCTGTCTCTATGGATAAAAAAAAAAAAGGTCGGGCCCAGTGGCTCACACCTGTAATCCCAGCACTTTGGGAGGCTGAGACAGGCAGATCACCTGAGGTTGGGAGTTCAAGCTCAGTAGCTCTCTAAAAATACAGATCACCTGAGGTCAGGAGTTCGAGCTCAGTAGCTCTGTAAAAATACAGTAATTAGCCGGGCATGGTGGTGCACGCCTGTAATCCTGGCTACTGGAGAGGCTGAGGCATGAGAATCACTTGAACCTGGGAGGCGGAGGTTGCAGTGAGCCAATTGCGCCATTGCGCTCCAGCCTGGACAACAGAACGAGACTCCATCTCAAAAAAAAAAAAAAAAAAAAAAAAGAGGGTTCGTAGTCTGAGCTTGTGATTATACCACTGAAAATTACCCCAAGCCACTTGTGGAAGGGCTGCCTGCAGAAGGACGTGTCTTAGGCTCTTTAATAAGTTACCTTCTGGTTGGAAACTACCTAAACGCCCAGCACGCAGGCTGGCCCGGTAAATCACGCACCCATAGGAGTTATGGTCAGGAGGCCTGTGACTCTGTAGAGTGGTAGTGGCTCCCGGGCCCTGGGCCAAGCGCTGTACTGATGCCCTCAAATCCTCATGGTAACAGCCTGTTCAGTTCTGTTCACCCCATTTTACAGCAAGGGGCTGCTCTGGGGGCAGGGAGGAGCCCAGCTGGGTGGGAGATCGTGGGTTCATGGTGGCATCTGTGGGTACTCCATCCAATCAAGGGTCTGAGGCTTAAGAAGCTTAAATTTGGGGGAGATAGGGACATTCTCAATGGTGCAGTTAAAGCAGTGGCTTCAGATTCTGGTGGGAGAGGAAGGAACTGAGGCTGGGGAAAGGGATGTATTGGTCTTTTCTTTGGAAACAGTCTTGCTCTGTCGCCTAGGCTGGGCTGGAGTGTAATGGCACGATCTCGGCTCACTGCAACCTCCGCTTCCCAGGTTCAAGCGATTCTCATGCCTCAGCCTCCTGAGTAGCTGGGATTACAGGCATGTGTCAGCACGCCCAGCTACTTTTTGTATTTTTAGTAGAGACAGGGTTTTGCCATGTTGCCCGGGCTGGTCTTGAACTCTTGGGCAACAGTGATCCGCCCGCCTCAGCCTCCCAAAGTGCTGAGATTACAGGCATGAGCCATCGCCCAGTCTCACTGGTCTTTCATCTTTGTTCCATCCTCATTCCCATTCAGCACCTGATGTACTTCTCTCTTACTGGGGTGCACCCCAGGGGACGCATGACTGTGCTACAGCCCACGGGGTTTCAGCAGGGTGCGCAGAGGACCTCAGGTGGCCCTTGTTACCCACACTCATTCCTTGCCAGGTCTTCCACAGGTCAAGGAGCCAGGATTCTGGGGTTTGGACACCCCATTCTCTGGCGGATGGGGCTGGCCTGGAGCCTGGGTGGGAGTACCGGGTTTCATACATCGGGGGCTCAGGCTTGGGGAGGGGTCACATGGAAGTCACCTGGCTGGCCAGAGCAGTTGCAGCCACAGCAGGTAGAAGGCAGGAGCCAGGACTGGGTGGGCCTGCGTGGGAGGGACGGCCAAACCCTGAAACTAGCCTCCACCCTCCAGGGTACAGGGGCTTCCCTGGACACACACTGGCCTTCCTCGTCCTCCTCTTTATACCATTGCACCCAGGTTTGTTTGTCTGTTTTTAGTGACAGAGGCTTGCTGTGTCACCCAGGATGGAGTGCAGTGGCACATTCTCAGCTCACTGCAACCTCTGCCTCCCAGATTCAAGCAATTCTCCTGCCTCAGTCTCCTGAGTAGCTGGGATTATAGGCATGTGCCACCGCATCCGGCTAATTTTTGATTTTTTTTTTTTTTTTTTTTTTTTTTTTTTTTAGTGGAGACGGGGATTCATTATGTTGGCCAGGCTGGTCTTGAACTCCTGACCTCCAGTGATCCACCTGCCTCGGCCTCCCAAAGTGCTGGGATTACAGACATGAGCCACTGCACCCAGCCCCTGGGGTTTTATTTACCCAGATCCCCACTGCCTTTCCTTCCTGTGGCTGACATCTCCCTACACTGTCCCCCAGAAACACAGCTGTTTTGCCCTCAACCACAGCTCCTGCATCCAGTGCAGGGCCTGGCTCTTGACTGAGACATCAGCAAATGTGAGCCCTGCTCTCCTGGGTCAATGCAGGCTCCTTCAGGAAGGAGGCGGGGATCTGTCCCCCTTGGCATCCCCAGTGCCCAGCATGGGGGGCCTGGCACCCATGAGGCAGCCAAGGCTTTCAGACCAAATGAACAAGCAGTGAGCCCTGCCTTCGAGGGCCCGTCTTGAGGACACCAGGTGGGTTTATGACATCCCAGTGGACATGAGGCCCCCAGGGACCAGTTCCTCTCCGGCATTGGCACCAGGGCCCCTGCCCCACTGGATCAGACCTCCCAAGCTTGGGGTCCCTTTTCCAGTAGGCAAGAGAGGCACCCGACTCCTGCTTCAGCCCAAGGAGAACCTGCCGACTCCAAGGGGTGGCCATTGAGGGGATCAGTGACGTAAGTCCTTCAGAGGCAGCAGGGACAAGGAGCTGTAGGGAAAACAGGGCAGGCCTGGGGTTGGGGGGTGTGGGGTGCTGACAAGGTGCAGACCCACCACCCCAACCAAGCCCCTCCTCCGCAGATCCATCACCTCTGCCCCGTGCCCCATGAATGAACCAGCTCATTCCCCGGCCCAGTGACCAGCACAGGCTCCAGACGTTTCCCTCGGACATTGTCTGCCTGACCACCTCTTCCAGCACAGTGAGGGGCCTGGGATCTGGAGGCCAGAGTGGGCCAGGCCTAGGGGTGGGGGGAAAAACGTCACTATTCTTAGATCCCTCGTCCTCCAGGGCCCAGGCCAGGCGGAGCAGTCACATTCCAGAGGTAGAAACCATCAGCCCACACAAATGCTTGTGTTCCCTGAGGAGGCCAAGGGTCACCAGGAACTAAAATCAGCTTTTCCCAAGAAAGGCGGGAGACAGGGTGGGGGGCGGGGGGCAGGGTTAGAAAGGCCAAAGGTCACCCAATAAACCCTTCCAGCTGCCCCTGGTGGAAAGCCCCTCTGAGTCCGGAGGGATGAGGACAGAGGGATTCTCGCCCTCTAAGCTACTCTGCGGGCTGGCTGATTCTTCCTGGTAGGGGGCGGTCCTGTGCAGTCTAGATTATTTAGCAGCTCTCTGGCAGCCCACCGCCCCCCCAGCCTCCCAGTGGTGACAGCCAAATCTCTCTCCAGGCACGGGCCAGGTGTCCCCTGGGGAAAAATCGACCCCAGATGAGAACTGTACTTTCCCAAACAGAGCTTCCAGGTGGCGTCTGGGGTAGATATTTAGGATCCTGCTGTTCTATGGACTCTGTTCTCTCAGCCTGGAATCCTCTTCCCGCATAGCACAATCCCCCACCAGCCCTGCAATCTTCCAGAACTAAACCCACACATCACCTCCCTCAGGAAGTGTCCTGTGGGCCCCCCATCTTATGATTTTGGCCCCCACGGATGCTGTGGTAGGTAAAATAAAGCCCCTTTGGCCAGATATGGTGGCTTACACCTGTAATCCCAACATTTTGGGACGCCGAGGAGGGAGGATCACTTGAGCCTAGGAGTTAGAGACCAGCCTGGACAACATAGCAAGACACAGTCTCTACAAAAAAAAATAAAAAAATTAGCTGGGGCTGGGCGCGGTGGCTCACGCCTGTAATCCCAGCACTTTGGGAGGCCAAGGCGAGCGGATCACAAGGTCAAGAGATCGAGACCATCCTGGCCAAGATGGTGAAACCCTGTCTCTACTAAAAATACAAAAATTAGCTGGGCGTGTTGGCACGTGCCTGTAATCTCAGCTACTCTGGAGGCTGAGCGAGGAGAATTGCTTGAACCCGGGAGGTGGAAGTTGCAGTGAACCGAGATCGCACCACTGCACTCCAGACTGGCGACAGAGAAAGACTCCGTCTCAAAAAAAAAAAAAAAAAAATTAGCTGGGGCCGGGTGCAGTGGCTCATGCCTATAATCCCAGCACTTTGGGAGGCCGAGGCGGATGGATCCCTTGATGCCAGGAGTTTGAGACCAGCCTGGCAAACAAGGTGAAACCCTGACTCTACTAAAAATACAAAAATTAGCCGGGCGTGGTGACACATGCCAGTAGTCCCAGTTCTACTTGAGAGGCTGAGGCAGGAGAATTGCTTCAACTCAGTGGGGGCAGAGGTTGCAGTGAGCTGAGATTGAGCCATTGCACTCCAGCCTTGGCTACAGAGCAAGACCCTGTCTCAAAAAAAAAAAAAAAAAAAAAATGCTGGTCTTGGTGGCTCACGCCTGTAATCCCAGCACTTTGGGAGGCTGAGGCGGGCAGATCACCTGAGGTTGGGAGTTCGAGACCAGCCTGCCCAACATGAAGAAACCCTGTTGCTACTAAAAAATCAAAATTAGCTGGGCGTGGTGGAGCATGCCTGTAATCCCAGCTACTCAGGAGGCTGAGGCAGGAGAATTGCTTGAACTCGAGGGGCAGAGGTTGCAGTGAGATGAGATGGAGCCACTGCACTCCACCCTTGGCTATAGAGTGAGACTCTGTCTCAGAAAAAAAAAAATGAGGAGGCAGGAGGGTCACAGTCAGAAAGAGACTGGAAGAGGCTGCGCTGCTGGCCGTGAAGGTGGAGGAAGGGGCCCCAAGATGAGAGCTGTAGGTACCTCTAGAAGCTGGGAAAGGCTGAAAATGGAGCCTCCAGGAGGAACCAGCCTCATCAACACCTTAATTTTAGGACATCTGACCTCCAGTGCTGTAAAATCATAAATCTGGGTTGCTTTAAGCTGCTCTGTTTCTGGTCATTTGTTTCAGCAGCCACGAGAGACTCATACCAGCCTCTTCTCTGCAGCCCCGAGTCAGCCCTGGAGAGCTGCCGGGCAGTCGGCCTGGCATTTGCCTTTCCTGGCATGAGCTTTGTAACCCGGCAGAGCTGCTGGCCGTGGCAAGCATCTCCTAGGAGATGGGAGAACTCAATGGAAAAAGGTTTCAGAGTCAGGGCTTGGGTGGACCACATTCCTTCAAGCTTTATACCATAGAGAGCTTTGTTAGGGAGGTGGAGAAGCAGACAAAGTGACTCGTGTTCTCTCCAATTTATTTATTTATTTAATTTATTTATTTTCAGACGGACTCTCTCTCTGTTGTCCAGGCTGGAGTACAGTGGCTTGATCTTGGCTCACTGCAACCTCTGCCTCGTGAGTTCAAGTGATTCTCCTGCCTCGGCCTCCCAAGTAGCTGGAATTACAGACATGCACTACCACACCCAGCTAGTTTTTTGGTATTTTTAGTGGAGACAGAGTCTCACCATGTTGGCCAGGCTGGTCTCCAACTCCTGACCTCAAGTAATCCGCCTGCCTTGGCCTCCCAAAGTGCTGGGATTACAGGCGTGAGCCACCATGCCCAGCCCAAATAATTGTTTTAAAAGGCCAGGCTGGTGGCTCATATCTGGAATCCCAGCACTTTGGGAGGCTGTGGTAGGAAGATCACTTGAGCCCAGGAGCCCGGGATTCCCAGGCTGTAGTGAGCTATGATCGGGCCACTGCACTCCAGTCTGGACGACAGAGCCTACCCCCATCCCTGCCCCCCGAAAAAGTTATTCCTATAAAGACCCAAGGGCCCAATCTTTGTTTCATGGTACCTTTGTTCTTTATTTCTTACTACTTATTCATTTTTAAATATTCTGAATAGTCAAAGTCAAGATGTAGCTGACTTTGAAATGCTTCCCTGCCAGGTGCAATGACTCACACCTGTAATCCCAGCATTTTGGGAGGCTGAGGCAGGAGAATTGCTTTAGCTCAGGAGTTCAAGACCAGCCTGGGCAACATAGCGAGATCCCTGTCTCTACAAAAAAATGACAAAGTTAGCTGGGCATGATGGTGCACACCTGTAATCCCAGCTACTTGGGAGGTTGAAGTGAGAGGGATCACTGGACCCCAGGAGTTTGAGACTGCAGTGAGCCATGATCACACCACTGCACTCCACCCTGGGTAACAGAGTGAGACCCTGTCTCAATCAATCAATGAATCAACATTTTAAATATGAAACATTTTCCACATTCTTCAACATGTCCTAGGGCAGTCCTTGTTCCCTTTCCCTAGGACAGCTCATTTTTGAATTTTAGAAGCAATGCTAAAGGGAAAATGTGTCTGTGTGTTTTTTTTTTTTGTTGTTGTTGTTGTTTGTTTTTGTTTTTTTTGAGACAGAATCTCACTCTGTTGCCCAGGCTGGAGTGCAGCGGCATGATCTTGGCTCACTGCAACCTCCACCTCCTGGGTTCAAGCCATCCTCCTGCCTCAGCCTCCCTAGTAGGTGGGACTACAGGCATGCGCCACCATGCCTGGCTAATTTTTGTATTTTAAGTAGAGATGGGGTTTCACCATGTTGGCCAGGCTGGTCTTGGACTCTTGATCTCGTGATCTGCCCGCCTCAGCCTCCCAAAGTGCTGGGATTACAGGCGTGAGCCACTGAGCCCGGCCGGGAAAATGTGTTTTAAGTTTCAGTTAGGCCAGGTGCAGTGGCTCACGCCTGTAATCCCAGCATGTTGGGAGGCCTGTAAGAAATAAAGAGGAAAGAAACACAAAAGTTGGCTTGCCAGTCAACACAGGTTTATTTTAGAGAAAACAAACCTGAGAGGAGTATTCCAGGCAAGTTGAGTCAGAGGCAAACTCTCTTACAGACTAAGAGGTTTTTTTGTTTTTGGGTTGTTTGTTTGTTTCTTGTTTTTGTTTTGAGACAGAGTTTCGCTCTTGTTGCCCAGGCTGGAGTGCAATGACGTGATCTCGGCTCACTGCGACCTCTGCCTCCCAGGTTCAAGCTATTCTCCTGCCTCAGCCTCCTGAGTAGCTGGGATTACAGGCATGTGCCACCATGCCCGGCTAATTTTTGTATTTTTTAGTAGAGACGGGGTTTCACCATGTTGGCCAGGCTGGTCTCGAACCTCGTGATCTGCCCACCTCAGTCTCCCAAAATACTGGGATTACAGGCATGAGCCACCGAGCTCAGCCCAGACTAAGAGTTTTAAGGATTCAGGGTGGGAGAGTTTATCAGAGGCTTGGACTGCTTCTGTGTCTCTTTGTTGTGCTTATCTGGGAGGGAGAGTTGCGTGTCTGTCCCCATACATCTTCTTGCAGCTGCAGGCATACCCGCCCCCCAAAAACCCCCACCGGGAGTCTGCCTTTGGCTTCCCTGTTTCAGTGCACCTGAAGGGAAAGGAATGTGCTTATTAAGTAAGGCCCCACTGTTTTACTGGGGCCCATTGTATGAGGGTGAAGTTTGGCAATTACCCAACAGACTTTCCCCCTATTTCCCTCTGTGCCCGAGCTGTCTTATCTGTGTTTTACTGCCTGCTCTTTCTGGCTGCTTGTAGTTAGAAGATAAGTGATATCCTTGAAATGTAAGAGGCTAGAGAGGGAGCTGGAACTTAAAGTGGTGGGGTTTGTCCAAGATGACAGTGCTTCTGCTCTGTCATTCCAGACCCTATAGTTGTAAAAGGACAAGGGGCGACGTGTTCTTTCTGGCTACTTCCTGCTGTTGTGGGGTGGAGGGGAGACACGGAGAGTTTTTTGGTCTTGGATTGCCTGCAGGAGCAATATTGTGTGTAGATGTTTTGGTAGTTGTCTACGAAATGGCCATAAAGGGTAAAAACATTAGTCCTAGGCTTTTCAGCAGCGTTTTTTTTTTTTTTTTTCTTTTGAGACGGAGTCTCGCTCTGTCGCCTAGGCTGGTGTGCAGTGGCGCGATCTCAGCTCATTGCAAGCTCCACCTCCCAGGTTCATGCCATTCTCCTGCCCCAGCCTCCCAAGTAGCTGGGACTACAGGCACGCGCCACCACGCCCGGCTAATTTTTTGTATTTTTAGCAGAGACGGGGCTTCACTGTCTTAGCCAGGATGGTCTTGATCTCCTGATCTCGTGATCCGTCTGCCTCGGCCTCCCAAAGTGTTGGAATTACAGGCGTGAGCCACTGCGCCTGGCCTTCAGCAGCGTTTCTTATTAGGCCTAATTGGTTGAGACAGAATCAACATTTTTTTCCCAATGACAGGCAGAGGCGCATGTTTGGGAAGACCCATGTGTTATTTGTTTGTTAGCAACTGTTATTCCTGGTATGAGGATAATAACTAAGCCAAATGCTACGGTAATTGAGACTCTGTGTCCGATATTCCACCCTGAGGGTACTACAGTATATAGTCCTTCTGCAAATAGTAGACTAAAGCAATTCCCATGAGGGTGGCATAGTAAATAATTTCCATTAAAAAGGTTTTAATATTTGGCTTAAAAGGAGATGTAGAAATGACAAAAAGTATTTGGTGAGGTAGGGGTGAGACTGAAATGAGTAATTTCCACTTAGTTACTTATCTTTTTTTTTTTTTTTTTTTTGAGATGGAGTCTTGCTCTATCGCTCAGGCTAGAGTGCAGTGGCGTGATCTCAGCTCACTGCAACCTCCGCTTCCCGGGTTCAAGCAATTCTCCTGTCTCAGCCTCCCGAGTAGTTGGGATTATAGGTGTCCATATAGGTGTTCTATTTTTAGTAGCAACGGGGTTTTACCTTGTTGGTCTCAGGCTGGTCTCAAACTCCTGACCTCAGGTGATCCACCCACCTCAGCCTCCCAAAGTGCTGGGATTACAGGTGTGAGCCACCTTGCCCAGCCACTTATCTTTTATGATTTTCAGGTTAAGATTTGTTATTTTTTTTTACATTGATAGGACCTTTCTCTAGGCTGTTAGGGGTTGCTTTCTCCACTCTTTAGGCTTTGAGTGTAATGTATCCAGGAGTTGATTTCTGTAACACATATAATTTAAACTGTAGAAAATAATAAAAATTGAAAAACATTAGGCAAGACTAGAATTTAACAACAGGTGTGCTATAGTTTCTGAAACATAATTTTCACTCTTCAGTTTCCCATTTTTATTAAAAGATAAATCATGGTAGGACTGGTTTGCTTTATTATATTTGGCTTAATTATTTGCATAGAGTGCAGCAAGAATAATTATTTGCTACATAGGCCTTTTTTTTCTCTTTTTTTCTTTTTCTCGAGACAGAGTCTTGCTCTGTCACCCAGGCTGGAGTGCAATGGTATAATCTCAGCTCACTGCAACCTCCGCCTGCTGGGTTCAAGCATTTCTCCTTCCTCACCCTCCTGAGTATCAGGGATTACAGGTGCCAGCCACCAAGCCTGCTAATTTTTTGTATTTTTAGTAGAGATGGGGTTTCACCATGTTGGCCAGGCTGGCCTTGAACTACTGACCTTGTGATCTGCCTGCCTTGGCCTCCCAAAGTGCTGGGATTACAGGCATGAGCCACCACACCTAGCCGCTACACAGGCCTTTTAAATCAGCTTTGATGGAACTTTGTTATATAGAAGGAATTTGAGATAAGACTTGTTTAAGCCAAGCCCAGCCATGGATTTGTAACATGAAATACCTATGAGTTGGGTGAATTCCTCTCCTCTTGAGGTTTTAAGATAACTTGGGGTTCCTGGCCTGTCAGAAAATGACCTTCTTTACTTACCACAGATCAGAAACCCTGTACAGGAACTGTATACACAAAATATAAGGCCAGTTTCCAAGGGCTTTATTGACTCCATAAGTCACTCAAGGTTAGGAGTTCGAGACCAGCCTGGCCAACGTGGCGAAACCCCGTCTCTATTAAAATACAAAAATTAGCCAGGTGTGGTGGCATGCGCCTGTAATCCCAGCTACTTGGGAGGCTGAGGCAGGACAATCCCTTGGATCCAGGAGGAAGAGGTTGCGGTGAGCTGAGATCGCACCACTGCACTCCAGCCTGTGTGGCAGAAGGAGACTCCGTCTCAAAAAAAAAAAAAAAATTAGCTGGGCATGGTGGCGGGTGCTTGTGAATTGCTTGAATCCAGGAGGCAGAGGTTGCAGTGAGCTGAGATCGTGCCACTGCACTCCACCCTGGGCAACAGAGGGAGACTCTGTCTCAAAAAAACAAACAAAAGAAAGGAAATTCACAGTCAAATGGACACCTACCCTATGCAGCACCCTTAACCCTTTCAGTAGCAGCTAAAATAGGAAGATCAGGCTGTGTTGCCTTGGCGTCCCCTGGCCTCCGCTATCAGCCCGGGGGTCCACCATGCCTCTTCCTGATGCCAGAGATAAGGAGGGCTGGGGGCACCACCTTGAACAAACAGCCTCACGTCAGAGGTGATGGAAAGAAGGCTGTGATACAGACACTCATGGGGCCGTGTTTCTGCAGCTGAAAGAGTGAGAGCTGTAAGGAGCGGGGGCTAAGGCTGTTCAGCTTAAATTGGGAGCCAGTGCAGGGGTTTAGGACCAGGAGGCGAGAGAGGGGACAATGAGGCAGGATGGGATGGGGGAGCTGGATTTCTTTGGCATGGGGGAAACTTGAGAGCAATCCTGGCATTTATCCATCTGTTGCCAGAGGGAGCAGCTGTGGAACCAGGGAAGGGAAAACAACAGGTGGTCATGGAAGAGAGAGGGTGATGTATGAATCGTGGTTTTAATTTTCTGTGCTTATGATACTTTAGATCTAGGGCTTTGAAGACCAGGAGAGGGACGGACGGTCCCTTCTGGGGCTGGCCAGTTCCTAGAGATAGAAACACTTCCCTCCAAGTGTGCCTTTTCTATTCTGTTCTGTTCTGTTCCCTTTCCTTTTCTTTTCTTTTCCTTTTCCTTTTCTTTTCTTTTCCTTTTCCTTCCTTCCTTTCCTTTATTTCCTCCTTCCTTCCTTCCCTCCCTCCCTTCCTCCCTCCTTCCTTCCTTTCTTCCTTCTTCTTGGCTTTCTTTCTTCTTTCTTTCTTTTTTTGGCTCTGTCACCCAGTCGCCCAAGCTGGAGTGCAGTGGTGCCATCTCAGCTCACTGCAACCTCTACCTCCCGGGTTCAACAATTCTCCTGCCTCAGCCTCCCAAGTAGCTGGGACAACAGGCGCACACCACCACACCTGGCTAATTTTTGTATATTTTTTAGCACAGATGGGGTTTCACCATATAGGCCAGGCTGCTCTCAAACTCCTGACCTCAAGTGATCTGCTTGCCTCAGCCTCCAAAAGTGCTGGGATTACAGGCGTGAGCCACTGTGCCCAGCTTCTTCTTTCTCTTTTCTCTTTTCTTTCTTTCTCTCTCCCTTCCTTCCTTCCTTTCTCTCTCTTTCCTTCCTTCCTTCTTTCTCTTTCTCTCTCTCTCTCTTTCCTTCCTTCCTTCCTTCCTTTCTTTCTTTCTTCCTCTTTCCTTCTTTTTTGAGACAGAGTCTTGTTCTGTAGCCCAGGCTGTAGTGCAGTGGTGCAATCACAGCTCACTGCAGCCTCAACTTTCCAGGCTCAAGCAATCCTTCTGCCTCAGCCTCCCTAGTAGCTGGGACTGCAGATGTGTACAACTATGCCCTGCTCATTTTTTTTTTAAAGATGGGGTTCTGCTATGTTGCTCAGGCTGGTCTTGAACTCCTAGGCTCAGGTGATCCTCCTACTTCAACCTCCCAAGTAGCTGGGATCACAGATGTGTGCCACCACACCTGGCTAATTTTTAAATTTTTTGTAGAGACAAAGTCTCACTGTGTTGCCCAGGCTGGTCTCAAACTCCTGGGTTCAAGTGACCCTTCCACCTCGGCTTCCCAAAGTGCTGGGATTACAGGTGGCAGCCACCGTGCCTGGCTGGGAAGCATTTCAAAGTCGGCTACATCTTGACTTCTACTATTCAAAATATCAACAATAAATAAAAAATAAGGAACAGGCCGGGAGCAGTGGCTCATGCCTGTAATCCCAGCACTTTGGGAGGCCGAGGCGGGTGGACCACCTGAGGCTAGGAGTTCAAGACCAGCCTGGCCAACATGGTGGTTCACTCTCCAAGCTCTCCAAGCTGGTGACCTTGGGAGCTATATGTTAAAGATGGCAGAGCCAGAAGACGGAAGGGACCTGTGTTCTGGAAACAGCCCTCAGAGAAGCCCTACCTGCCAATCAGGAACATTCATCATGGACTTTACATGACTGTGGTGGATGGTATCATTTGTTCACAATTGCCTTTGTTTAAATGTATGTGTCCCTCCAAAATTCATACATTGGAACTAAAAACCCAAGGTGTTAGTATTAGAAGGTACAGCCTTTGGAACATGATTAGGTCATGAGAACTCTGCCCTCATGAATGGGATTAATCTCATTAGAAAAGGCTGGGTGAGGTGGCTCATGCCTGAAATCCCAGCACTTTGGGAGGCTGAGGAGGGAAGGATTGCTTGAAGCCAGAAGTCTGAGAGCAGCCTGGGAAACACAGCAAGTCCCCATCTTTGCAAAAAACAAAAAAGTTAGCTGGGTGTGGTGGCATGCTCCTGTAGTCCTAGCTCCTTGGGAGGCTGAGGACTTGATGATTGCATGAGCCCAGGAGTCAAGGTTACATTGAACTATGATCACACCCCTGCACTCCAGCCTGGGCAACATAGCAAGACCCTGTCTCTAAAAAAAGCAAGAGAGGGGGGTTGAAGGGGAGCAGGTAGGTCCTTTTTACCTTTCTGCTGTGTGAGGGTGCAGCAAGAAGGCTCCACCTTGGGAGGAGAGAATGAGCCCTCACCCAGGTACTGAATCCTCCAGTAACTCCATCTTGGACTTCCCAGCCTCTAGAACTGTAAGCAATAAACTTCTATTATTGACAGATTACCTGGCCTCAGGCATTTTGTTATATCAGCACAAAGAGACTAAGACAACACATCTTCCTCTCTTCCTCCCCTGATCACTGCTCCCTGTGGGTGGGGTGCACTCCCCATTCTCCAGCTTAGGGTGTGGCCATATGACTTGTTTTGGCCAATGGAACCTGCATGGAAGTGACCCTCATCAGATCGGAGACAAAGGCTGAGGAAGCATCACGTGGTCCCGCCACTCTGCTTGCATGTCACCTTGCCATGAAACAAATATGGGCCCTGATGGGTCACCTGAGGTCAGGAGTTCGAGACCAGCCTGCTTACCATGGTAAAACTCTGTCTCTACTAAAAATACAAAAAAATTAGCTGGGCACGGTGGCGGATGCCTGTAATCCCAGCTACTTGGGGGGCTGGGAAAGAATGAAACTCCATCTCAAAAACAAAAAAACAAATATGGGCCCTGAAGCCTCTGAATGAAAAGTCACATGGAACAGATGCAAATCCAACTCACAGCCTGGAGCAAGTTCCAGTGGGGCTACAGGTGACCCCCAGACCCACAAAGGGAAAATCATTGCTTTTTATTTATTTATTTATTTATTTATTTATTTATTTACTTATTTATTTATTTATTTTTTGAGACAGACTCTGCTCTGTTGCCCAGGCTGGAGTACAGTAGCATGATCTCAGCTCACTGCAAACTCTGCCTCCGGGTTCAAGCGATTATCCTGCCTTAGCCTCCTGAGTAGCTGGGACTACAGGTATGCACCACCACGGCCCAGCTAATTTTTGTATTTTTGGTAGAGATGGGGTTTCACCATGTTGGCCAGGCTGGTCTCAAACTCCTGACCTCAGGTGATCTGCCCACCTCGGCCTCCCAAAGTGCTGTAATCCACCATGGCCAGGCTTATTTTATTTTTTTAAAACAAAGCCAAACAAAACAAAAAAAACACTTGGGGCCAGGTATGGTGGCTCACGTCTATACTCCCAGCATTTTGGGAGGCCAAGGCGGATGGATCACTTGAGGTCAGGAAAAATGTCTCTCCTAAAAATACAAAAATTAGCCAGGTGTGGTGGTGGGCGCCTGTAATCCCAGCTACTCAGGAGGCTGAGGCAGGGGAATCACTTGAACCAGGGAAGTGGAGGTTGCAGTGAGCTGAGATTACACCACTGCACTCCAGCCTGGGTGACAGAGTGAGACTCTGTCTCAAAAAAGTAACAACAATACTTGGCTTGGCTACCCTGATCAAATCACAAATTCCTCATGTGTAGAATGGGAATAAGTATATTGTTTACCTTAATGTGTCACTGTAAGCATCTATTGCAACAATGCACATGAAATTAGCCCAGAACAAGGGAGGCACACAAGTAAGTGTGGGGTGTAGGGGGAAGTGGGAAAGCTGGGGGAAAGGGGGGCCTGACAAGAGTTTTTTTTAATTTTATTTTTATTTTTATTTTTATTTTATTTTTTTGAGACAGAATTTTTCTCTTGTCACCCAGATTGGAGTGCAATGGCACAATCTTGGCTCACTGCAACCTCCGCCTCCTGGGTTCAAGTGATTCTTCTGCCTCAGCCTCCTGAGTAGCTGGGATTACAGGCACAAACCACCATGCATGCTAATATTTTTGTATTTTTAGTAGAGATGGGGTTTCGCTTTTTTTTTTTTTTTTTTTTTTTTTGAGACAGAGTCTTGCTCTGTAGTCCTGTTGCTCTGTCGCCCAGGCTGGAGTGCAGTAGCACGATCTCGGCTCACTGCAACCTCTGCCTCCCAGGTTCAAGCGATTCTCCTGCCTCAGCCTCCTGAATAGCTGAGATTACAGGCACGTACCACCACGACCATCTAATTTTTGTATTTTTTGTAGAGACGGGGTTTCACCATGTTGATCAGGCTGGTCTCAAACTCCTGACCTCATGATCTACCCACCTCGGCCTCCCAAAGTGCTGGGATTACAGGTATGAGCCACTGTGCCTGGCCTGGGTTTCGCTTTTTTTTTTTTTTTTGTATTTTTAGTAGAGATGGGGTTTCGCTATATTGGCCAGGGTGGTCTCGAACTCCTGACCTCAAGTGATCCACCCGCCTCGGTCTCCCAAAGTTCTGGGATTACAGGCATAAGCCACTGCACCCAGCCAGGACTGAGAAGAGTTTATAGGCCTGTGAAGGGCTGGACAAGCTGAGAGCTCCCTTGGGCACTTGGGGGCCTGCAGCAAGGAGGCTTGGTCCACTCTCAAGTCTGAGGTGCTTGCTCAGCCTCTATTGGTGGGGAAGGGGAACATCACAGGCAAAGGGATGACTGAAGTACATCCCTTCCATGAGGTTTGATGGCCTTGAAGTGGAGGCACGTACACAATAAGATTTCAGGGGCAGACAGAGATGAATAGGGCAGTCCCGGCCAGGCAGGTGACTCACGCCTATAATCCCAGCACTCTGGGAGGCCGAGGCGGGTGGATCACATGGTCAGGACTTGAGACCAGCATGGCCAAGATGGTGAAACCCCATCTCTACTAAAAATACAAAAATTAGCCAGGCGTGGTGGCAGGCACCTGTAATCCCAGCTGCTCGGGAGGCTGAGGCAGAAAACTGCTTGAACCCGGGAGGTGGAGGTTGCAGTGAGTTGAGATCATGCCACTGCACTCCAGCCTGGTCAAAAGAGTGAGACTCCGTCTCAAAAAAAAAAAAAAAAGAAAGAATAGGGCGGTCCCAACATGTGGCCCAGGGTGACAGGGTGTCAGAGCTCGAAGCTGAATACATAATCCCAGCCATGCTGGCTGCCTGGAGATGGGCAGAGGGAGGGCTTGCCAGGCAGAGTGCGCTACTAGGGCAAAGGCTCAGCAGGAGACAAGCGGAGGTGGGAGCCCTGGGGGAACAGCAGGTGCCGTGAGAGAAGAGGCAGGAAAGAGGAACCGTGGTGACCCAATCTTCCTCCCCAGCCTCCTCTCCAGCACCTCGCCCCCAGGACTGAGTGGGCAACTGGCAGATCTGAATCCACGTGCTTAGAACAACCAGGAGAGGCCAGAGAAGGTGGCTCATGCTAGTAATCCCAGCACTGTGGGAGGCTAAAGTGGGCAGATGGTCTGAGCCCAGGAGTTGGAGGCTCCAGCAAGCTGTGATAACACCAGCACTCCAGCCTGGGCGATAGAGTGAGACCCTGTCTCTAAAAACAAAAAATTGGCCAGGCCACGGTGGCTCACGCCTGTAATCCCAGCACTTTGGGAGGCCGAGGCGGGCGGATCACAAGGTCAGGAGATCGAGACCATCCTGGCTAACACGGTGAAACCCCGTCTCTACTAAAAATACAAAAAATTAGCTGGGCATGGTGGCGGGTGCCTGTAGTCCCAGCTACTTGGGAGGCTGAGGCAGGAGAATATCATGAACCTGGGAGGCGGAGCTTGCAGTGAGCCGAGATCACACCACTGCACTCCAGCCTGGGTGACAGAGCAAGACTCTGTCTCAAAAAAAAAGAAAAAAAAAGAAAAAGAAAAAGAAAATATTGGCCAGGCACGGCGGCTCATGCCTGTAATCCCAGCACTTTAGGAGGCTGAGGCAGGTGGATCACTTGAGGTCAGGAGTTTCAGACCAGCCTGGCCAACATGGTGAAACCCCATCTCTACCAAAAATGCAAAAATTAGCCAGGTGTGGTGGTGCGCACCTGTAATCCCAGCTACTCAGGAGGCTGAGGCAGGAGAATCACTTGAACCCGGGAGGCAGAGGTTGCAGTGAGCCAAGATCCTGCCACTGCACTCCAGCCTGGGCAACAGAGCAAGAATCTGTCTTAAAAAGGGCCAGGCACGGTGGCTCACGCCTGTAATCCCAGCACTTTGAGAGGCCGAGGTGGGCAGATCACGAGGTCAGGAGATCGAGACCATCCTGGCTAACACGGTGAAACCCCGTCTCTACTAAAAATACAAAAAGAAATTAGCCGTGCGTGGTGGCGGGCGCCTGTAGTCCCAGCTACTTGGGAGACTGAGGCAGGAGAATGGCGTGAACCCGGGAGGCAGAGCTTGCAGTGAGCGGAGATTGTGCCACTGCACTCCAGCCTGGGCAACAGAGTGAGACTCCATCTCAAAAAAAAAAAAAAAAAAAAACAGAAAAAGAACCACAGGAAGACGGGTTGGAGGAGCAGAGGTGAAAGCGCAGACAGATTCCCTAATCCTATAGGCACTGACAGCCTCCTGGGTTCCCTTTGTATGCATGGCCGGCCTACTGGACTGCCAGGGTTCCCACATTTGAGAAGTAGGTAGCAGTGGGAGGGAGGTTTGTCTGATTCTCCAGGGAGCTAAGGAGGCGGCTCAGATCGCCCCCGTCATTCCAGAAAGAGAGACCTAATTCTAGGATCTGCCCACCTTCACCCAGTGGGTCCAGCATGCCACTTTCTTTTTTTATTTTTAATTAATTATTTTTTGAGACTGAGTCTCGCTCTGTCACCCAGCCTGCAGTGCAGCACGCAGCGCAATCTTGGCTCACTGCAACCTCCACCTCCCGGGTTCAAGTGATTCTCCTGCCTCAGCCTCCCGAGTAGCTAGGATTACAGGCACCCGTCACCATGCCTGGTTAATTTTTGTATTTTTGGTAGGGACAGGGGTTTCACCATGTTGGTCAGGCTGGTCTCGAACTCTTGACCTCAAATGATCCACCCGCCTCGGCCTCCCAAAGTGCTGGGATTACAGGTGTGAGCCACTGCGCCCCATCCTGTTTTTATTTTTTTCAGAGGCAGAGTCTAACTGTCGCCCAGGCTGGAGTGCTGTGGTGCAATCATAGCCCACTGCAACCTTGAACTCCTAAGCTCGAGCAGTCCTCTTGCCTCAGCCTCCCGAATAGCTGTGACAACAGGTCCACACTACCATGCCCTACCATGCCTGGGCTGTTGAATCTCCCTGCCCTCACCTCACCCTCTGCGGCATCTTCCAGATGACCTTGGCAGAGCTCAGATGCAGACCTGACCACAACCCTCCCCTGACTAAATACATCTATTCAGGGTGGGTGCGGTGGCTCATGCCTGTAATCCCAGCACTTTGGGAGGCCAAGGCGGGCGGATCACCTGAGGTCAGGAGTTCGAGACCAGCCTGGCCAACATGGTGAAACCCCGTCTCTACTAAAATTACAAAAATTAGCTCTGCGTGATGGCACGGGTCTGTAATCCCAGCTACTCGGGAGGCTGAGGCAGGAGAATTGCTTGAACCCAAGAGGCAGAGGTTGCAGCGAGCCGAGATCACGCCACTGCACTCCAGCCTGGGCCGCAGGACTCTGTCTCAAAAATAAAAATAAAAATAAATAAATCTTTTCGGCAGCTTCTTCTTGGCCTCTGGATGAAGGTCACCCTTCTGGGCTTGGCACGTGAGGCTCCAAATAGCTTCTCCCTGCCTACCTCATCTTCCGCTATCCACCCCCGCACCTCCTGCCCCAGATACTCTGCACTTGGCAGTTCCCTCTAGCGTCCTGCCCTGCTGGTCTCTGACTAACACGAGGTTGTCCTTCAGGTCACCATTCAGCTGCAGGTCCCCCTGGAGACAGGTGGGATGCCCTTCACATCCCCACAGCCTGATGCAGATGTTCCTCCAGGAATGTCTGATCAGGAGACATGGCAGCCTAAGGCAGAGCAAGGTGGCTCAGGCCTGTAATCCCAGCACTTTGGGAGGCCAAGGCGGGATGATCCCTTGAGCCCAGGAGTTCAAGACCAGCCTGGGCCACATAAGGAGACCCTGTTTCTACAAAAAGTTACAAAATTAGTCGGGCATGATGGCATGTGCCTGTAGTCCCAGCTACTTGTGGGGCTGAGGCAGGGGGATCGCTTGAATCCAGAGGTCAAGACTACAGAGAGCTGTGATCATACCACCGCACTCCAGCCTGGGCAACAGGAACATTATCTCGGCCAGGCACAGTGGTTCATGCCTGTAATCCCAGCACTTTGGGAGGCCAAGGTAGGCGGATCGCTTGAGGTCAGGAGTTCGAACCAGCCTGGCCAACATGGTGAGACCCCATCTCTACTAAAAATACAAAAATTAGCCGGGTGTGGTGGTGCGTGCCTGTAATCCCAGCTACTGGGGAGGCTGAGGCAGGAGAATTGCTTGAGCCTGGGAGGCGAAGGTTGCAGTGAGCCAAGATCGCACCACTGCACTCCAGCCTTGGCAACAGAGTGAGACTCTGTTTCAAAAAACAAACAAACAAACAAACCAAAAAACAAAAAAAAACCCAAAACCAAAAACAAATCAGAGACATTATCTTGAAAAAAAAATCCTCCTATTAGCTGTGAGGGCCACTTGGAGAGTGGTATTATCTGCCTTCTGTCTCCAGCTCTCTGCACATCACTGGGCACCTGTTTTTACTTACTTAATTAATTTGTTTAGAGACAAGCGACTTAGTCAAGTTACTTGGTCAAGCAATGTAACCTCTCTCAGCCTCGGTTGATTGTTCTTTCCCTATAAAGTAGGAATGAATTTTAACCTAATAAGGTTCTTGTTACCTCAAGCCACTCTCTTTAAAGGCATCCACTAGCTGGGCGTGGTGGTACATGCCTGTAATACTTAGGAGGCTGAAGTGGGAGAATCACTTGAGCCCAGGAGGTGGAGGTTGCAGTGAGCCGAGATCGCACCACTGCACTCCAGCCAGGGTGACACAGTGAGACCCTGTCTCAAAAAAAAAAAAAAAAAAAAAAAAAAAAAACGGCATCCAGCCCATCCCTAGTCTCTTCCAATCACACCAGCATTGGTGACAGTGATCCTCATCTGAAAATTGTTTTTAAATTTTTTTTAAATTAAAATTTGTTTTTCCTTGTCAGCAGAAAGTCACATCTGAATGTCTTGCTTCATTACTTGCTGCTTCTCTTGTCTGCAATGCTACTAGGCACTGAGCACGTGGGACTGACTCCTTCACTGCTTGTCCCCAGCACCCAGCTCAGTGCTGGGCACATAGAGGGTGCTCAATAAGTGTTTATTGAATGAATAACAAATGGTCCCACATAGATGTTCCATGAGGCATCTGTGACATCAACATCATCATTTTTTTTTTTTTTTGAGATGAGTTCTTACTCTGTTGCCCAGGCTGGAAGGCAGTGGTGCAATCATAGCTCACTGCAGCCTTGAACTCCTGGGATCAAGCAATCCTCCTGCCCCAGTCTCCTGAGTAACTGGGACTATAGATGCCGGTCACTTTGCCTGGCTATTTAAAAAAAAAAAATTTTTTTTTTTTTTTGTAGAAATGGGGGTCTTACTATGTTGCCCAGGCTGGTTTCGAACTCCTGGGCTCAAGTGATCCTCTTGCCTTGGCCTCTCAAAGTGTTGGGATTATAGGTGTGAGCCACCACGCCCAGCCAGCGATCATCATCTTTGATAGTTGCAATGTGTCGGCTTGCTCACTGCTGTCACCCTGGGGCACCCTGGGGCCCCGCATGTGGCTGGAACATAAGGGATACTCAGAAAACAGATGTGGAAAGGGTGAGTAGAGCTCAGCACGTTCAAAGAGGGACTCAGGACCCTATGGGACCCTCTCCCCAAGGCCTGCCACCCTCTCTCTCCATGCAACCCCTCCTCTAGCCCAAGGCAGCAGGGCCAGGATCAGGCAGTCACTCTTCCCAGCTGTCTGGCCCCCGCACATCCTGCAGGGGCAGGACAAGTACAAGGATGAAAGCCAAGGTCATGAGCTCGGTAATACCAGTAGTCTGAATCCCTCTGGAGAACCACGGCCCCTGCCCAGGCCACTGCTACAGCTGTCCCCTGGAAGACAGAGGCCTCAGGTTAGCCTGGGGTGGGGATCCCCTCAGAACTGACTTTCCAGGAGCCAGCAGAGCCAGCTACATCAGGGACTTAGGGTTCAGGTTAGAGTTAACCAAATTCTCGAACATCAGGCCAAGGGCTTGCAAGACATCCTGGAAAAACCCTTCTTCCTTCCTCCTCCTTCTCCTCCTCCTCCCCATCCTCCTCCTCCCCCTCCTCCTCCTTCTCTTCCCACTCCTCCTTCTCCTCCCCCCCCTTCTCCTCCCCCTCCTCCTTCTCCTCCCCCTCCTCCTTCTCCCCCTCCTCCTCTTCCCCCTCCTCCTTCTCCTCCCCATCCTCCTTCTCCTCCTCCTTCTCCTCCTCCTTCTCCTCCTCCTCCTCCTCCTCCTCTTCCTCCTCCTCTTCCTCCTCCTCCTCCTCCTTCTCCTCCTCCGGTTGCTGGGCAACCACTATGCATCTGGACCAAAGCAAGAGGCAGCTGGTTTAAAGACACACATAGACTGAAAGTGAAGGGAGGCAAAAAGATATTCTTTGAAAATGAAAACCGAAAGAGATCAGGGGTAGCTGTACTTGTATCAGATAAAATATTTTTTAAGTCAAAACTCTAACATGAGAGGAAGAAGGTCATTATAGAATGAAAAAGGGGTCAGTTCATCAAGAGGATAAAACAATTATATATATATGCACCTAACATCAGAGCACCTAAATATATAAAGGAAATATATATAAAGGAAATATGAACAGATCTGAACTGCAATACAGGAATAGTACTGCACTTTCAACAATGAACACCAGCCTGGGCAACAGGCCACAAAATTAAAAATATACATTTGTGGGTTGTGGTGGTGCATATCTGTAGTCCCAGCTACTTGGGAGGCTGAGGCAGGAGGATTGCTGGAGCCCAGGAGTTCAAGGCTGCAGTGAGCCATAACAACATCACTGTACTCCAGCCTGGTGGACAAACTGAGACTCTGTCTAAAAAAAAAAAAAAAAAAAAAAAAGGCAACGAACAGATCCAGGCAGATAATCAGTAAGGAAACATTGGATTTGAAATGCACTGTAGATCAAATGGAACTAATGACATATGTAGAACATTCCATTTGACAGCAGCGGAACGCACATTCTCCTCAAGTGCACAGGGGACATACTCCAGGATAGATCATGTTAGACCACAAAGCAAGCCTGAACAAATGTAAGATTGCCAGGTGCGGTGGCTCACACTTGTAATCCCAGCACTTTGGGAGGTCAAGGCGGGTGGATGACGAGGTCAGGAGATCGAGACCAGCCTGACCAACATGGTGAAACCCCGTCTCTACTAAAAATACAAAAAATTAGCCAGGTGTGGTGGTGGCGGGCGCCTGTAGTCCCAGCTACTTGGGAGGCTGAGGCAGGAGAATGGCGTGAACCCGGGAGGTGGAGCTTGCAGTGAGCCGAGATGGTGCCACTGCACTCCAGCCTGGGCAACAGAGTGAGACTCCGTCTCAACAACAACAACAAAAAAACAAATGTAAGATTGCGATTGTATCAAGTATCTTTTCTGACCACAGTGATACGAAACTAGAGATCAATAACAGGAGGAATTCTGGAAAATTCACACGTGAGAATTCAACAACACTCTCCTAAACAACCAATGTGTCAAAGAAGAAATTAAAACGAAATTAAAAAATATCTTGAGGCCAGGTGCAGTGGCTCACGCCTGTAATCCCAACACTTTGGTGGCTGAGGCAGGAGGATCACCTGAAGCCAGGAGTTCAAGACCAGCCTGGGCAACATAGTGAGACGCTCCCCCCATCTCTACAAAAAATAAAAATAATTAGCCAGGCATGGTGATGCTCACCTGTAGTCCCAGTTATTTGGGAGGCTAAGGTGGGAGGAACACTTGAGTTGGAGGCTGCAGTGAGCTACGATTGTGCCACTGCACTCAGCCTGGGTGATAGAGGGAGATGTTTCTAAAAACAAAATAAAACAAACAGAAACAACAACAACAAAAAACTTGAGACAAACTGAAATGGACATACAATATACCTAAACCAATGAATGCAGCAAAAGTGGTTCTAAGAGGGAAGTTTATAGCAATAAATAAATGCCTACATAAAAAAGAAGAAAGATCTTTCAAATAACCAAATTCTCTTTAAAAAGAGGTAACTGGAGGCTGGGCATGGTGGCTCAAGCCTGTAATCCCAGCACTTTGGGAGGCCAAGGCCAGCAGGTCACTTGAGGTCAGGAGTTCGAGACCAGCCTGGGCAACATAGTGAAATGTAGTCTCTCCTAAAAATACAAAAATTAGCCAGACATGGTGGTAGGCGCCTGTAGTCCCAGCTACTCGGGAGGCTGAGGCAGGAGAATCGCTTCAACCCGGGAGGTGGAGGTTGCAGTAAGCCAAGATCCTGCCACTGCACTCCAGCCTGGGCAACAGAGCAAGACTCTGTCTCGAAAAAAAAAAAAAAAAGAGGCAGCTGTGGGTACAACAGGAGTCCAGGCCTGGCAGACGGGGCTCCTGGGGTGTGGATTGCTCCCTACAAGACTCGTGACCATGCAGGGCAGTGGGGGCCCATCAGAAGCCAAGAGTCTCATCAGGGACCTGGAGGCACCAGAGTTCAGGAGAGCTGCAGGCAGCTGGGGTCTGATATGCAAAAGTGACTACAGGAGGACCCCCACTTCTGCCCATAGTGTTCTCCCAGTGCCCCTGAGCCTTTGCCGATGACCTCCCAGTCATCTGCTCTATGGCGCTTCCCCATTGGGGGACTGTCCTTTTCTTCACAGTATTTAAGAAATAAAAATTAGATTTTCCTGGCCAACAAAAAAAGTAAGTAACTTGGCTTCTCTGACCCTCAATCTCCTCCTTTGCACAGTTGGGCCAATGGTGAGCACCCAGGAGCATCCTTCATCCCACTAGAGGTGCCTGCCACTGGGTAGGGCAGATGTGGTGGTGGCTGGTGCAGGCTTCCCAGAACATCTCATCGCCCCTGCCCACCACCTGGCCACTGCAACCAACTGGGCTTGTCTAGAAAGACACCTGCCTACCCACCCAACCCTGCAGGCTCTGGGGTATTGGTCTCTGAATTTGGCTGAGCTACAGGATGGAGACCACCCTCAACTGCTCCCATCATCAGAGGTGCAGAACAGAAGTCGGTGTGGGGGGCACTTGTTCCCCCCAGCTGTGCTGATTTCACACTGGCGGAGAAGAGGACCCTTGCTGATAGCGGACTGCTCTTTTATTTTTTTATGAGATGGAGTTTTGCTCTTGTTGCCCAGGCTGGAGTGCAATGGCAAGATCTTGGCTCACTGCAACTTCCACTTCCTGGGTTCAAGCAATTCTCCTGCCTCAGCCTCCCAAGTAGCTGGGATTACAGGTGCGCACCACCATGCCCGGCTATTTTTTTTTTTTTTTTGTATTTTTAGTAGAGATGGGGTTTCACCATGTTGGCCAGGCTGATCTCGAACTCCTGACCTCAGGTGATCCGCCCGCCTCGGCCTCCCAAAGTGCTGGGATTACAAGTGTGAACCACTGCTCCCGGCCGATAGCGGATTACTCTTAATGCCCCCAGCTGCTGCAGGAGTGGAAGAGGCCAGTCCAGCCCCGACTGTGAAGGTCTGGCCTTTACTCAAAGCAACTGTGGTCCTCAGAACTCCGGGATCATCCCGTTTCTTGCTCCAACCCCTGGGTCCCAGGTCCCCAGCGCGCCCACCCCAGTGCTCCGTGCTTGCTGGTCCCTGGAGGGCCCCCTTACTGGGAACCCTTCCTCCCCGTGAAGGCTGCCGGCGGGACAAACAGTGAGGGGTGAGGCAGGGAGGGAGACTCACGTTGGGGACCTCCCCCAAGTCTGGGTAACACCGTCTTGGCCGCGGCCCGCGGGTTGGGAAGGTAGGGGGCAGTGAGCCGTAGCGGAGAGGCTGGCCCCAGCCCGCCACGCCGCTTCCCCACGCTCGCAGCCACGCGGAGCCGCGTCCTGGTCCAGCCTCACCCACCCAGAGCAAGAGGCGGAGGAACTGGAACAGCGCCCCGGCCCGTGGGCTGCCACTGGCCGCAGCAACGGGACGGGTGAGAGCACCTGCCCCCGACGCGTCTTAACTGCTCTGGTGGGGCGGGGCTGACCGTGCAAGCCCCGCCCCAGTCTAAGCCCCTCCTACAAAGCCCGGCCCCTTACCATAAGCGCCATCTGTCAGGCTCCGCCCACTGTCTTAAATCCCACTCACTCTGCCCTGCCCCTGACTCGGAGCCATATAGCAAGCCCCGCCCATAGCCATAAGCCACGCCCACCCAGCCCTGCCCCTGGGCTCTAAGTGTCATTTATCTAGTCACGTCCCCGGCTAGAAGCCACACCCACCAGGCCCGGCCCCACCTCTAAGCCCCACTCACCCGGCCATGTGGTTTGGGACAGGGAAGTAGGCTAGGGGCCGCCGCCTCTGGGCTCCCAGTGGAAGGGGAGAAATGAGAAAGGAGTTTAGGATGTGATAAATACCCACAGAGGTCAGATGTAGCTATGGATGCAGGCGATAAAAAGTTTAAAGCAATCAGCTGTGCGGCCTCTGCAGCGCTCCTTTCGCCCTCCCTAATCTTCACCTCGTGTCTCCCCCAGTCCCTGTGTCCTGGCTGGGTCCTGCTGCCCCAGGGAAAGAAGACATGCCTTCTCCCATCCTGGCTAACATGGTGAAACCCCGTCTCTACTAAAAATACAAAAAATTAGCCAGGCGTGGTGGCGGGAGCCTGTAGTCCCAGCTACTCGGGAGGCTGAGGCAGGAGAATGGCGTGAACCCGGGAGACGGAGCTTGCAGTGAGCCGAGACAGCGCCACCGCACTCCAGCCTGGGCAAAAGAGCAAGACTCCGTCTCAGAAGAAAAAAAAAAAAGACATGCCTTCTCGGTGAATGTTGCTTTGCTTCCTGAGGGCATGGCTACCCGGGGCTCCTGGCTTTTCTTCCAAAAACAAAACATTTCTTCCATTTTTTCTTTTTCTTTTGTTTTTTTTTTTTTTTTTTTTTTTGAGACAGAGTTTCACTCTTGTCGCCCAGGCTGGAATGCAGTGGCCCAATCTCGGCTCACTGCAACCTCCGCCTCCCGGGTTCAAGCGATTCTCCTGCCTCAGCCTCCTGAGTAGCTGGAATTACAGGTGCCCCCCCACCACACTCGGCTAATTTTTGTAATTTTAGTAGAGATGGGGTTTTGCCATGTTGGCCAGGCTGGTCTCGAACTCCTGACCTCAGAGGATCCGCCTGCCTCGGCCTCCCAAAGTGCTGGTATTACAGGTGTGAGCCACTGTGTCCGGCCACCGTTTTTTTTTCCATTTTTTGAGACAGGGTCTTGCTCTGTTGCCCAGGCTGGAGTGCAGTGGCATGATCACAGCTCACTGCAGCCTCAACCTCCAAGGCTCAAGCAATCCTCACACCTCAGCCTCCTGAGTGGCTGGGACTACAGGTATGCACTACTACGTCAGGCTAATTTTTTAAAAAATTTTTGTAGTGACGCAGGTCTCTCTATATTGCCCGGGGTGGTCTTGAGCTCCTGGGCTCAAGCAATCCTCTGGCCTCGGCCTCCCAAAGTGTTGGGCTTACAGACATGAGCCACCATGCCTGGCCTAGAGAGTTTCTTTCTTGTTGGGGTTGTTCACCGGTGGGAGGTGCACCATTGTGCCGTGCTGACTATATTCATAGAGTTATGTAACCATCACTCTCATCTAATTTCAGAACAAAAGGAAACCCATACCCTCTCACAGTCAGTCCTTCATTCTCCCCTCCCCCCATCCTGTGGCCACCGCTAATTTACTTTCTGTTTCTATGGATTTGCCTGTGATCACAACCAGAGGATTTCTGTGACATGCTAAGTTACCTAACCATGGTGTGGAAGGAGAGGGAAATGGAGTGAAGTTGGGGACCCACCAGGGAACAGGTGGCTTGAGGGCGGGGGGAGCATGAAGGTAAGGGCTTGTTTGGGGGCTCAAGGCAGTCTGAGCCTTGTTCGCAGGCAGCCAGTGTCCACCAGGTGTGTGCAGGTGAGGGAAACAGGGGAAAAGGCCCTTTCTGGAGACAGTAGGGGTGCTGGCTGGGAGGCCTGGGATGGGGAGTGGGGAGGCAAGGGGGCCTGTGGGTCGAGGTTGGAGCTTGCTGTAGAAGAGGGAGAATTCCAGAGGCTGAGAGTGCAGGTGGAGAGGAGGAGGAAGGGAGGAGGGCGGGCAGGGGGTGGCTGGGTGGGGCTCTGTCTATAAAGAGTGAAGCTCAGCGTGTTGGTCCTGCAGATGGGACAGCTTGGCCTACAGCCCGGCGGGCATCAGCTCCCTTGACCCAGTGGATATCGGTGAGTCTTTTCCTTGAACATGACTGAGATGAACAGCTTTTCCCTCCAGCACAACTTGTTCCTACTTTATACAACCTCCTTCCCTTGCCATATGCCTGGGGCTTAAGAGGGGGGATGTTCCCAGTACCCACTCCCCTCCTCTTCCTCAGTCCTTACCACTTCCCTCCACGACCCCAGGTGGCCCCGTTATTCGTCCAGGTGCCCAGGGAGGAGGACCCGCCTGCAGCATGAACCTGTGGCTCCTGGCCTGCCTGGTGGCCGGCTTCCTGGGAGCCTGGGCCCCCGCTGTCCACACCCAAGGTACTGTGTTCGGCAATGCCTACCACCAAGTGCCCCTCTCCCCATGCCCCCACCCCACCCCTTTTGTCTCTTATCTCCTCCGGAAGTCTCCCCAATCCCATCTCCACTGAATTCTCCCGCTCCTGACATGCAGGAACTCCTGGTGTTTGGTTAGCTCTTGGGATGGGGTCGGGGAGATGGAGAGTCCCCAGTTCCTTCTTCGAGAGCCCCATGGAGTCTTTTGCAAGACTCCTAAAGATGTGAGGGAGCAGAGGGTGGCTTCCAGCTGTGGGCAAAGCCAGTTACTGCCAGGGATGTATTGTAGAATCCTAATCCTGCCGAGCCAGGGGTGGGGTTGGAGATCAGGGCCCTGGAGACTGACAAGAGTGGATTCCCATCCTGGTCCCTCCATGCAGTCCAGCTGAGAGTTAGTTGCTCCTAAACCATTTTTTTTTTTTTTTTTTTGAGACAGAGTCTCACTCTGTCACCCTGGCTGGAGTGCAGTGGCGCGATCTTGGCTCACTGCAACCTCCGCCTCCTGGGCTCAAGCGATCCTTCTGCCTCAGCCTCCCAAGTAGCTGGGACTACAGGCGTGTGTACCATGCCCGGCTAATTTTTGTATTTTTTAGTAGAGATGGGGTTTCACTATGTTGGCCAGAGTAGTCTCGATCTCCTGATCTCAGGCGATCCGCCTGCCTCAGCCTCCCAAAGTGCTAGGATTACAGGTTTGAGCCACTGTGCCCGGCTTCCTAAACCTTTAGGAGCCTCCGTTTCCTCAGCTGCAAAGTGGGAATCTAAAATTCCCACTGCATGGCTCTGACTTGAGGGTCCAGTGAGCTCATGCCTGCAAAAGACTAGGCCTCATGTCTGGCGGCGGCAATAGTAACTGTTCCTGTTATTAATAGGGAACTCTTTCCTTCTTCCCCACTCCCTACCGCAGAGCAAGCACTTGAGGATTTCAGTCGCCAAAGGACAATTCCTGGGCCTGGGGTGTCCCCACGGGAGCCCTGACACTGGGTCCTACATCCTCTGAGTTTCAGCAGCTGGCCAAAGCAGGGTCCCTGGCTGGGCGGCAGACCCAGGGTCCCACCCTCCTTCCCTGTCTGCCCCCACCTGACCCACCTGCCCCTCGGCTGGGTCTGATGGGTCCAAGTCCTTGGCCTTTGCCTGGGAAGGGGGTTGGGCTGTGGTCTGATTGTTTTGCTATCAGAGCCAGGCCCAGCCCAGCCCTTCGATCCTGGCCTCCAGCCTTGGGAACTACCTGCCTGGCACTGCAGTCCGAGGTTCCAACAGAATGCGCTGCCCCTTGCCCTCAGAGGCCGCGGTTGGGAGACACCTGGAGGGCTCGAGTCCTCCCTTTCCCTGCTCCTGCTGGGCTGGGCTCTGCAGGGACTCAGACTCGGCCTCTGGAGGTTAGTTCTGGCAGAGGTGAGATTGCAGAGAACTCCAAAGGCCATTTAGGCAGAGAATTGCACCCCAGCTTCCTCCACTATCTCATCAGCTCATCCTCGGCTCATTCATTCCACCTGCTCATCCCCCCAGAACTTTCTGGCATCACCTCCTCCTCCTCTGGGCACCCCCCACAGTGCCTGTGCTTCCCCCTTTCTGCAGAGATCAGTTTCCCGGGAGCTCCCTGAAGACAACACTAGGTCTAATTCATCTGTGTGTTTCATCTCTGCTTGTCTAGACATTGACATTTACTGAGAGCTCTTTACTTTGTATTAAAACAATTTTTTGTTTGTTTGGTTGGTGTTTTGTTTTGTTTCATTGAGACAGAGTTTTGCTATTGTCGCCCAGGCTGGAGTGCAATGGCGTGATCTCGGCTCACTGCAACCTCCACCTCCTGGGTTCAAGTGATTCTCCTGCCTCAGCCTCCAGAGTAGCTGGGATTAAAAGCGCCCACTATCAGCCAGGCACAGTGGCTCACGCCTGTAATCCCAGCACTTTGAGAGGCCAAGGCGGGTGGATCACAAGGTCAAGAGATCAAGACCATCCTGGCCAACATGGTGAAACCCCGTCTCTACTAAAAATACAAAAATTAGCTGGTCGTGGTGGCGGGCGCCTGTAATCCCAGCTACTCGGGAGGCTGAGGCAGGAGAATCGCTTGAACCCGGGAGGCAGAGGTTGCAGTGAGCTGAAATTGAGCCACTGCACTCCAGCCTGGGTGACAGAGTGAGACTCTGGAAAAAAAAAAAAAAAAGGCGCCCACCACCATGCCTGGCTAATTTTTGTTTTTTGTTTTGTTTTGTTTTGAGACGGTGTCTCACTCTGTCGCCCAGGCTGGAGTGCAGTGGCGCGATCTCGGCTCACTGCAAGCTCTGCCTCCCGGGTTCACGCCATTCTCCTGCCTCAGCCTCCCGAGTAGCTGGGACTCCAGGCGCCCACCACCACACCCGGCTAATTTTTATATTTTTAGTAGAGACGGGGTTTCACCGTGTTAGCCAGGATGGTCTCAATCTCCTGACCTCGTGATCCGCCCACCTTGGCCTCCCAAAGTGCTGGGATTAAAGGCATGAGCCACCGCGCCCGGCCTAATTTTTATATTTTTTAGTAGAGACGGGGTTTCACCATATTGGCCAGGCTAGTCTCAAACTCCTGACCTCAGGTGATCCACCCACCTCAGCCTCCCAAAGTGCTGGGTTTACAGGCATGAGCCACTGTGCTGAGCTGCCAATCAGCTCATTTTTAGGAGGGAAGAACTTGGCTGGGGAGGGGTGGTGTTGGCCCCTCCTCACAGTGCACCTGCACTCCGAGTCACCCTTTTCCCCAGAGCAGGAGTAGAGGTGGCCTTGGTCCGTTCATTTGCTGGTTCCACACCCTTCCCAGCCGGGACCCAAGGGTCCTCTCCAACCTCTGGCTGTCCCAATATCCAGGGATAAGGGGTGAGCCAGGAGGCTTTTTCTTTCCTAAGGCTGTTCCTCAGCCTCTGCCGGGCCTGGAAGGGTTGTGGTATGAGCAGACAGGTATGCAGACAGGTGCCCTTGCCTGTGGCTGGCCCTGCCAAGTTAACATGCAAGGGTGCGAGTATCTGGGCGGCTGTGTGGTTGCAGGTGTCTTTGAGGACTGCTGCCTGGCCTACCACTACCCCATTGGGTGGGCTGTGCTCCGGCGCGCCTGGACTTACCGGATCCAGGAGGTGAGCGGGAGCTGCAATCTGCCTGCTGCGATGTGAGTGGGGCCGTGGGGGCTGGGGGGGTGGGGTGCACACACAGCCTTGCTGCCAGCCTACACCCTAACCTGGGCACCCCCCTCTGCTCACCACAGATTCTACCTCCCCAAGAGACACAGGAAGGTGTGTGGGAACCCCAAAAGCAGGGAGGTGCAGAGAGCCATGAAGCTCCTGGATGCTCGAAATAAGGTTTTTGCAAAGCTCCACCACAACACGCAGACCTTCCAAGGTGGGCAAGACCTCTGCTGGGCATCTAGGGGGCCTGCCCTCCCTGCCTGCAAGCCCATGTGTGGTTCAGACCCCGAGGGAGGGAATTGGAGACCAGAATACTGACACCTGCCTGAACCCCAAACAAAGCCAGTTGCTGGTGAGTGGGGCACCAAGTGAATGACCAACTGATTGAGTCATTGTCCAGTTTTTGTTTCTGGAGATGGGGTCTTGCTCTGTTGCCCAGGCTGGAGTGCAGTAGCATGATCATAGCTCACTGCGGCCTCAAACTTGTGGGTTCAAGCAATCCTCCCACTTCAGATTCCCCAAGTAGCTGGGATTACAAGTGTGTGCCACCAGTCCAGCTCTTTTATTATTATTTTGAGACAGAGTCTTACTGTGTCACCCACGCTGGAGTGCAATGGCGCCATCACAGCTCACTGAAGCCTTGACCTCCCAGGCTCAAGCAATCCTCCTACCTCAGCCTCCTGAGTAGCTGGGACTACAGGCATGCTCCACTAATCCAGCTCATTGTTATTTTATTTTTTATTTTTATTTTTTGAGATGGAGTCTTGCTGTGTCATCCAGGCTGGAGTGCAGTGGCACGATCTCGGCTCACTGCAACCTCTGCCTCCTGAATTCAAGCGATTCTCCCGCCTCAGCCCCCTAAGTAGCAGGAGCACAGGCCCACGCCACCACGCCTGGCTAATTTTTGTATTTTTAGTAGAGACGGGGTTTCACCATGTTGGCCAGGCTGGTCTCGAACTCCTGACCTCAGATGATCTGCCCGCCTTGGCCTCCCAAAGCACTGGGATTATAGGCATGAACCACCATGCCTGGCTCCAGCTCATTATTATTATTATTATTTTGAGACAGGGTTTTACTCTTGTCACCCAGGCTGGAGTGCAGTGGCACAATCACATCTCACTGCAGCCTTGTGTTCCTGGGCTCAAGCAATCCTCCCACGTCAGCCTCCCAAGTAGCTGGGATTACAGGCACACACCACCATGCCTGGGTAATTTTTTATTTTCATTTTGCAGAGACAGGTTGTGCCATGTTGCCCAGGCTGGACTTGAACCCCTGGACTCAAGCAATCCACCTGCCTTGGCCTCCCAAAGTGCTGGGACTACAGGCATGAGCCACTGCACCCAGCCAGTCCAGCTCTTTTAATCAGGACACTTTCCACTGGTACAGATGGAAAGCTCAAGCACATGGGAGACTCATTGGCTTAAATAACCAGTCAACAGCTTCAGGCTCAGCTGGATCCAGGAGCTCAAAGGATGATGGCAGAGCTCTTGCTTATTTCTCTCTCCATTTCTCCAGCAGGCCCTCATGCTGTAAAGAAGTTGAGTTCTGGAAACTCCAAGTTATCATCGTCCAAGTTTAGCAATCCCATCAGCAGCAGTAAGAGGAATGTCTCCCTCCTGATATCAGCTAATTCAGGTAAGGACTCTTGGTCATGTGACTGTCTCCCATCCATCACCTTTGCTGAGGGTTGAGGGCTCGTGATTGGCTCACACTGGGACAGGAGATTCACCTCCAGGACCCAGGAGAGGTGGTTGTGCGGTCAGTGCCGCAGATTCACAGGGGAGGGTCCTCGGTGGCTGTCCACTGCTGTGACTCAGCGCAAAGACACCACAGCAAGTGAGAAAGTAAAGCCCCAGGGGAGTGGCCCAAGAGCTCCAGGGCCCCCCAAAGCCAGCAATTCTCCAGCAGGGACCGGGTGGTTGTCCTGTAATTCTACTGAATTCTGACATTGTGTGTGTGTGTCTCTCTCTATATATACATATAAAATATATATAAGTAAATATATAATATATAAACATATATAATATATAAGTAAATATATAATATATAAATATATATAATATATATAAGTAAATATATAATATATAAATATATATAATATATAAGTAAATATATAATATATAAATATATATAATATATAAGTAAATATATAATATATAAATATATATAATATATATAAGTAAATATATAATATATAAATATATAATATATATAAGTAAATATATTATATATAATATATAAATAATATATAATATATAAATACATATAATATATAAAAATAATATATAATATATAAATATATAATATATAAATAATATATAATATAAAGTATATATAATGTATAAATAATATATAATATATAAATATATATATTTATTATTATTTTTTTTTGAGATGGAGTCTCACTCTGTTGCCCAGGCTGGAGTGCAGTGGCGCGATCTTGGCTCACTGCAAGCTCCACCTTCCGGGTTCACGCCATTCTCCTGCCTCAGCCTCCCGAGTAGCTGGGACTACAGGCGCCCGCCACCACGCTGGGCTAATTTTTTGTATTTTTAGTAGAGACGGGGTTTCACCATGTTAGCCAGGATGGTCTCGATCTCCTGACTTCGTGACCCACCCGCCTTGGCCTCCCAAAGTGCTAAGATTACAGGCGTGAGCCACCGCGCCCAGCCTAAATATATAAATATATAATATAAATATATAAATATATAATATAAATATATAAATATATAATATAAATATATGTAATATATAAACATATATGTAATATATAAATATATATAATATATAATATATATAATATATATAATGTATATATTTATATATAATATATAAATATATATAAATATATATTATATAATATATAATATATATAATATATAATATATATAATATATAAATATATATATTATATATAATTAATATTTTTTTATGGCAGGGTCTCACTCTGTTGCTGAGGCTGGAGTGCAGTGGTGCCATCTCGGCTCACTGCAACCTCCGCCTCCAGGGTTCAGGCGATTCTTGTGCCTCAGCCACCCAAGTAGCTGGGATTACAGGCATGCATCACCACGTCTGGCTAATTTTCATATATTTATTAGAGATGGGGTTTCGTCATGTTGCTTAGGCTGGTCTCTAACTTCTGGCCTCAAGCAATTCTCCCACCTCGGCCCCCCAAAGTGCTGGGATTGCAGGCATGAGCCACTGTGTCCAGCTGACATTGTCTATCTGGAGGTAGTGACACAATCCACAGGTTAAGGACTCAGTCCCACAAGACTGCCCCCATTTCAGATGCTGGTTGCAAGTAGCAAGTTGTCACTTTATTTCTGACTGATTGTCTGTAAGTCAGGGCTTCCACCTCTGGTTGGATCATTCGATAGAACAGCTCACAGGACTCATGGAAGCGCTCTACTTGTGTTTACCATTTTATTGTAAAAGATTACAAAGGGGCTGGGCATGGTGGCTCACGCCTGTAATCCTAGCACTTTGAGAGGCTGAGGCAGAAGGATCAATTGAGCCCAGGATGGCCGGGCGCGGTGGCTCATGCCTGTAATCCCAGCACTTTGGGAGGCGGAGGTGGGTGGATCACGAGGTCAGGAGATCGAGACCATCCAGGCTAACATGGTGAAACCCCAACTCTACTAAAAATACAAAAAATTAGCCGGGCGTGGTGGCAGGCATCTGTAGTCCCAGTTACTCTGGAGGCTGAGGCAGGAGAATGGCATGAACCTGGGAGGCGGGCCTTGAAGTAAGCCGAGATCAAGCCACTGCACTCCAGCCTGGGCAAAAGAGCGAGACTCTGTCTCTAAATAAATAAATAAATAATAAAAAAATTGAGCCCAGGAGTTTGAGACCAGCCTGGGAAACATAGCGGGACCCTGTCTCAAGAAAAAAAAAAACAAATTTAAATTAGCTAGTTGTGGTGGCATGCACCTGTAGTTTCAGCTGCTTGGGAGGCTGAGGTGAGAGGATTACTTGAGCCCAGGAGGTAGAGGTTGCAGTGAGCTATGATCATACCATTGGAACTTCAGCCTGGGGGACAAAATGAGACCCTGTCTCGAAAAAAGAATAAAAAGATATTACAAAGGATAGGGATGAATAAGCCAGATGGAAGAGATGCTTAGGTAGGCAAAGACTGGAAGGGACTCAAGTGTAGAAGCTTCTGTTCCCGTGGAGTTGCAGTACACCACCCCTCCCACACACGGATATGGTCACAAGACCCTGAACCCCATAGTTCAGGCTTTCTTTTTTTCAGAGATGAGGTCTCACTCTCTCCGCCAGGCTGGAGTGCAGTGGCGCAATTGTAGCTCACTGCCTAATTGAGCAGCTAGGACTACATAGCTCACCGCCTCAGCCTCCCGAGTAGCTGGGACTGCAGGCCAGTACCCTCAGCTTACCAGGGATTTTTTTTTTTTTGAGATGGAGTCTTGCTCTGTCACCCAGGCTGGAGTGCAGTGGCATGATCTCGGCTCACTGCAAGCTCTGCCTCCCGGGTTCACGCCATTCTCCTGGCTCAGCCTCTGGAGTAGCTGGGACTACAGGCGCCCGCCACCACGCCTGGCTAATTTTTTGTATTTTTAGTAGAGACGGGGTTTCACTGTGTTAGCCAGGATGGTCTCGATCTCCTGACTTCATGATCCACCAGCCTCAGCCTCCCAAAGTGCTGGGATTACAGGTGTGAGCCACCATGCCCGGCCTAATTTTTTTTTTTTTTTTTTTTTGAGACAGAGTCTCACTCTGTCACCCAGGTTGGAGTGCATGGTGCAATCATAGCTCACTGCAACCTCTGCCTCCAGGGTGGGTTCAGGTGATTCTCCTATCTCAGCCTCCTGAGTAGCTGGGATCATAGGCATGCACCACCACTGCCGACTAATTTTTGTATTTTTAGTAGAGATGGGGTTTTGCCATGTTGGGCAGGCTGGTCTTGAACTCCTGACCTCAAGTGATCTGCCCACCTCAACTGTCCAAAGTGCTGGGATTACAGGCGTGAGCCACCACGCCTGGCCTTCACCAGCAATTTTTTTGTTTATTTGTTTTTATTTTTAGTAGAGACGGCGTTTCACTATGTTGGCCAGGCTGGTCTCAAACTCCTGACCTTGTGATCCACCTGCCTTGGCCTCCCAAAGTTCTGGGATGACAGGCGTGAGCCACCATGCCCAGCCAACCAGGGAATTTTTTAGAAGCTTCATCACATAGGAGTGAAGGATGATTAACTCCATTGCCAACCTTCTTCCCCTTCCTGGAGAATGGGACCAAAAGCTCCAAGTTTCTAATCAATGGCTTGGTCTTGCTGGTGACCAGCCCCCACCCAGAAGCCAACCAAGAGTCACCTCATTAGAATAAAATATGTCCCCATTACCCAGGACACTCCAAGGGATCCAGAGCTCTGTGTCAGAAACAGAATTCAAAGACCAAATATTAGCACAAAAGGCCAGGTGCGGTGGCTCACACCTGTAATCCCAGCACTTTGGGAGGCCGAGGTGGGCAGATCACAAGGTCAAGAGATCAAGACCATCCTGGCTAACACGGTGAAACCCTGTCTCTAAAATACAAAATTAGCTACTAAAAATACAAAATACAAAAATACTAAAAATACAAAAATACAAAAAATACAAAAATTAGCCGGGCATGGTGGTACTCGCCTGTAGTTGCAGCTACTAGGGAGGCTGAGGCAGGAGAATCGCTTGAGTCCTGGAGGCGGAGGTTGCATTGAGCCGAGATTGCGCCACTGCACTCCAGTCTGGCGACAGAGCGAGACTGTCTCAAAAAAAAAAAAAAAAAAAAAAGTTAGCATAAAAGATTCTAGCACTCCTATTACTCAGAAATTCACAAGGGTTTTAGGAGCTGTAGGGACTGGAGGTAGAGACAAATGCATATAGTTACTATTATTTTACAGCCGTCAATTTTACTTCGGCCTCTCTCATTGCTTCTGCAGGACTGTGAGCCGGCTCATTTCTGGGCTCCATCGGCACAGGAGGGGCCGGATCTTTCTCCGATAAAACCGTCGCCCTACAGACCCAGCTGTCCCCACGCCTCTGTCTTTTGGGTCAAGTCTTAATCCCTGCACCTGAGTTGGTCCTCCCTCTGCACCCCCACCACCTCCTGCCCGTCTGGCAACTGGAAAGAGGGAGTTGGCCTGATTTTAAGCCTTTTGCCGCTCCGGGGACCAGCAGCAATCCTGGGCAGCCAGTGGCTCTTGTAGAGAAGACTTAGGATACCTCTCTCACTTTCTGTTTCTTGCCGTCCACCCCGGGCCATGCCAGTGTGTCCCTCTGGGTCCCTCCAAAACTCTGGTCAGTTCAAGGATGCCCCTCCCAGGCTATGCTTTTCTATAACTTTTAAATAAACCTTGGGGGGTGATGGAGTCATTCCTGCCTGTTACATTTCTTTTTTCTTTTTTTTTCTTGCCTGTTACATTTCATGATGAGGTGCAAGTTGCTGCTGCCCTGCCCTGGGGTGAAGCCAATGCGATCTTTGCCACCCCAAGCTCTCCTAACAGACGGCTCTCCAGGGGCCAAGCATTGGTCACTGGTTGCAGAATGCACTTCCCAGCTGGTGACCTTAAACCAATTGCTGACTCTCTGGGTACCTCTCAGCTTGTCTGTAGAATAAGAGTCACTGTGCTTGCTCTACTTAGATTCCAGGGCTGTGGTGAGTCCAGCCGATGGACACAGAAGCCCTCTGCAAGCTCTTATAGGCTGCCTGGAGGCCACTGGTAAGCCAGGACCAGACCAGGGACAGAGCTCTGGTACCAGGCGCTAGTGACAATTCTGCAGGTGGAGGCCTGAGTCACCACCCGATGATGCTGTCTTCAGTCCTTGGCAACCTCAGTTTCCATCACAACAGAGAATGATCTGGATGAAAACCAATGCACATTGGGCCGGGCACCGTGGCTCACTCTGTCATCCCAGCACTTTGGGAGACCAAGGCGGGTGGATCACCTGAAGTCAGGAGTTCAAGGCCAGCCTGGTCAATATGGTGAAACCCCATCTCTACTAAAAATGCAAAAATTAGTCGGGCGTGGTGGCAGGCACCTGTCATCCCAGCTACTCGGGAGGCTGAGGCAGGAGAATTGTTTGAACCCGGGAAGCAGAGGTTGCAGTGAGCCGAGATCACGCCACTGCACTCCAGCCTGGGTGACAGAGTGAGAGTTTGTCTCAAAAAAAAGAAAGAAAGAAAGAAAGAAAACCAAGCACATCATCTCTTAGGGGACACCCTGGTGGTTTGGGATCAGGGACCGGGATGAAGTTGCAGAAGAAACGGAGTCACGTTCAGTGTTCGGGCTCTACCGCGCACTATGTGGGTGACCCGGACAGGTTCCACAAGCTCTCTAAGCCTCAATTTTGCCCCCCTGGAAAATGGGGGTGATAATACTGCCTGCCTCATAGCGCTTTGTTGGAGACCAAAGACACTGTGATGTGTGACACGCACAGCACACAGTACATGCTAACTGTGTGTTTATTAACACAATGAGTACCCTGGCCATCGAATTGGAGTCCGCCTGGAACCATGCATGGTGGTGTGGGGGCTGATGGCCTGGGAACATGCCCACCTTTTTTTTTTTTTTTTTTTGAGAGAGTCTTGCTGTGTCGCCCAGGCTGGAGTGCAATGGCACGATCTCCGCTCACTGCAACCTCCGCTTCCCGGGTTCAAGTGATTCTCCTGCCTCAGCCTCCTGAGTAACTGGGATTACAGGCACGTACCACCACCCCTGGCTAATTTTGGTATTTTTAGTAGAGATGGGGTTTCACCAAGTTGGCCAGGCTGGTCTTGAACTCCTGACTTCAAGTGATCCAGCCTCCTTGGCCTCTCAAAGCACTGAGGTTATAGGCGTGAGCCACTGCACCTGGCTGCCCAACTTCCTCCCCTCCCCTCCCCTCCTCTTTTTTTTTTTTTTTTTTTGGTGGAGTCTTGCTCTGTTGCCCAGGCTGGAGTGCAGTGGCATGATCTCAGCTCACTGCAACCTCTACCTCCTAGGTTCAAGCGATTCTCCTGCTTCACTCTCCTGAGTAGCTGGGATTACAGGCGCCCACGACCACGCCTGGCTTTTTTTTTTTTTTTTTTTTTGTATTTTCAGTACAGATGGGGTTTCGCCATGTTGGCCGGGCTGGTCTCAAACTCCTGACCTCAGGTGATCTGCTCACCTCAGCCTCCCAAAGTGCTGGGATTACAGGTGTGAGCCACCACACCCCGCCAGGCCACCCAACTTTCAACCTGGCCTGACCTTGGCCAAAGTGTTTAACTTCTCTGAGCCTCAGTTTTCCCTGTAAAATGGGGATGGTAATAGCATCTATTCCGTGAGGTTGTAGTGACAATCAAAGTGGTCAATAATGGTAAAATACTTGGATACTAACACCTGTAATTCCAGCACTTTGGGAGGCCAAGGCAGTAAGACCACTTGAGCCCAGGAGCTCAAGATCAGCCTGGGCAGTATAGGGACATCCCCATCTCTAAGAAAAATAAATGTTAGGCCAGGTGTGGTAGCTCATGCCTGTAATCCCGGCACTTTGGGAGGCCGAAGCGGGCCGATCACCTGAGGTCAGGAGTTTGAGACCAGCCTGGACAACATGGTGAAACCCCGTCTCTACTAAAAATACACAAATTAGCCAGGTATGGTGGCACACATCTGTAGTCCCAGCTACTCGAGAGGCTGAGGCACGAGAATCACTTGAACTCGGGAGGCAGAGGTTGCAGTGATCCAAGACAGCGCCACTGCAGTCCAGCCTGGGTGACAGGGTGAGACTCTGTCTCAAAAAGAAAGAGAAAGAAAAAGAAATTTAAAAAAATTAGCTGGGTGTGGTGGCGTGCACCTTTGGTCCCAGCTACTTGGGAGAGGCTGAGGTGGGAGGATTGCTCGAGCCCGGAAAGTGGCGACCACAGGGAGCCACGATCGCGCCACTGCACTCCAACCTAGGCAACAGAGCAAGACCCTGCCTCAGAAAAAATAAAAAAAAAATCGAATGGTGTCTGGTATGTAGTACGTGGTCAGGAAGCGTGAGCCATTATTACCATTCTGGGGAGCCCATAAGGCCTTCTGCTTCCCCAGGCACAAGATCTGCCTCGCCCAGTCCAAGGGCAGCATCTACTTACTTCAAGAACTTGCCAAAGGGCAGGCAGACTTAACCCAAAATAACTTTATTATCGTCTCCACTTTTGATATAAAAGCATTCTCCAAATGGGGGGCAAATGTGGCAAGTCACTGTGGAGTCTGGGCCCCCTGTACACCCTTCTACTCCGAGGAATAAGCCCTGTGCCCACCCCAGTTGCCCATTGCCATGTCCTGCCAACCCCCTGCCCCCCGCCAGGGCAAGCCACAGTGCAGTACAGAAGTGAAAGCCTGAGATTGGCCAGACACGGTGACCACAGGGCCTCTTCCTGACCTTGGCTGTGGGGGCAGGGGGATTGCACATTGCAGCTTCTTGCTGTCTCCAGGAAAGACTGAGTAACTGGGGGGCCCCCGGGGCTGGCACAGAGGCCCAGGCAGAGGCCGGGCTTGCCTGAGGTTGTCGTGTAGCATTTCACTCTTCCTGAGTTTCGGGGTTCAATCTGGTCAGCCATCGCTTCTGGGGATCAGTCCTTCCCAGTTCCAGAATCCCCCTTCTCTGGACAGCTGGGGCCCACTGAGGCTCCTCCCAACTAAAGCAACTGCAGCTGCACCTTCAGCCTCAAGGCCTGGCCCCATGGCCCTGGCTGCCCCTCTGGCTGGACACCCCAGGGTCCTGCCATGTGGCTCACCACCTCCAGCCGGTAGGTTCCAGGCCCCGGCCGCCTCCGCCCCAGCTGCAGGGAGCTGACGCCACGGAGGTGATGCATGCGAAAGAAACCTTGCTCGTTTCCGCGGACGATGACGTAGCGGATCCGGCCCTCTAGACCCTCCAGGGCCGGCCGGAGCTCCAGGATGCGCTCGGCCCGGCCCAGGTGTGAGAGGTTCAGGCCCAAGGTCAGCAGGGCCTCGGAGTCAAGGGTGGCCAGGTTCACCTGGGAAGAAAGGCCAGGTGTGTGGTCAGAGCCCAGGAGAATCGGGATGTGGTGTGGGTAGGGGGTCCTCGGATTGTGGCCAAAGAGGAGATTCTGGCCAATCTCTAAAGTGAAGGAAAGAGCCATAAAAAGGAATGAAATCATGCCATTTGCAGCAACGTGGATGCAGCTGGAGGTCATTATCCTAAGCTAATTAATGCAGAAACAGAAGACCAAATACGGCATGTTCTCAGTTATAAGTGGGAGCTAAAAATTGCATACCCATGGACATAAAGATGGGAAGCACAGACACTAGGACTACTAGAGCAGGGAGAGAGGGAGGGAGACAAGAGTTGGGAGGCCGGGCGCAGTGGCTCACGCCTGTAATCCCAGCACTTTGGGAGGCCGAGGCGGGTGGATCACAAGGTCAGGAGTTCGAGACCATCCTGACCAATATGGTGAAACCCAGTCGCTACTAAAAATACAAAAATTAGCTGGGCGTGGTGGCGGGCGCCTGTAGTCCCAGCTACTTGGGAGGCTGAGGCAGGAGAATCGCTTGAACCCGGGAGGTGGAGGTTGCAGTGAGCTGAGATCACGCTACTGCACTCCAGCCTGGGCAACAGAGGAAGACTGTCTCAAAACAAATAAATAAATAAATAAAAGGAAAACTACCTATTGGGAACTATGTTCACTGTTTGGATGATGGGATCAGCAGAAGCCCAAACTGCCTCATCATGCAATATATCCATTTATTAATAACAAACCTGTACCCTCTCAATCTAAAAAAATAGGATGGGCACAGGGGCTCATGCCTATAATCCCAGCACTTTTGGAGGCTGTGGCAGGAGGATTGCTTGAGGACAGGATTTCTTTGTTTCTTCTTCTTTTTCTTTTTTTTTTTTTTTTGAGATGGAGTCTTGCTGTCGCCCAGGCTGGAGTGCAGTGACACGATCTCGGCTCACTGCAACCTCTGCCTCCTGGGTTCAAGTGATTATCCTGCCTCAGCCTCCCAAGTAGCTGGAATTACAGGTGCCTGCCATCATGCCTGGCTAATTTTTGTATTTTCAGTAGAGACAGGGTTTCACTATGTTGGCCAGGCTGGTCTCAAACTCCTGGCCTCAAGTGATCCGCTCACCTCAGCCTCCCAAAGTGCTGGGATTACAGGCGTGAGCCATTGTGCCTGGCCAAGGCCAGGATTTTGAGGTCAGCATGGGCAACATAGTGAGACCTCATCCACCCACAAGAAGTGAAAATATTAGTACTGGTGTGCACCTGTAGTCCCAGCTACTTAGGAGGCTGATGTGGGAGGTCCCAGGAGTTCGAAGCAGCAGTGAGCTGTGATCACACCTCTGCACTCCAGCCTGGGTAACAGACTGAGACCCTGTCTCAAAAATATATATATGTTTATTAGGCACCTACTGAATTCCTGGCAATCTTTGAGGCACTGGGGATTTAGCAATGAGCAGATAAAAATCCTTCCCCTCAGGGAGTTTACCTTCTAGTAAAGCAAAGCAGATAGTAGACAAATAAATGGAAAATGTAAAAGTGACAAGATGTGCTACGAAAAGACATGAAGTTGGCTGAGGGCCAAGGTGGACAGATTGCTTGAGCCCAGGAGTTCGAGACCAGCCTGAGTAACCTGGTGAAACTCTGTCTCTACTAAAAATACAAGAAATTAACCAGGTGTGGTGTTGCACACCTGTAGTCCCAGCTACTAGGGAGGCTGAGGTGGGAGGATCCCTTGAGCCTGGGAGTTCAAGCTGCAGTGAGCTATGATTGCACTGCTGCATTCTAGCCTGGGTGACAGAGTGAGACCCTGCTCCCCAAAAAAAAGAAAATAAATTGATTTTAAAAATCAATAAATAGGCTGGGCGCAGTGGCTCACACCTGTAATCCCAGCACTTTGGGAGGCTCAGGCAGGTGGATCACGAGGTCAGGAGATTGAGACCATCCTGGCTAACAAGGTGAAACCCCATCTCTACTAAAAATACAAAAAAAAAAATTAGCTAGGCGTAGTGTCAGGTGCCTGTAGTCCCAGCTACTCCAGAGGCTGAGCCAGGAGAATGGCATGAACCCAGGAGGCGGAGCTTGCAGTGAGTGGAGATCACGCTGCTGCACTCCAGCCTGGGCGACAGAGCAAGACTCCGTCTCAAAAAAAAAAAAAATCAATAAATAGGGTGGGCACGGTGGCTCATGCCTGTACTCCCAGCACTTTGGGAAGCTGAAGTGGGTGGATCACTTGAGCCCAGGAGTTTGAGACCAGCCTGGGCAACATGGTGAACCCCGTCTCTACAAAAAATACAAAAATTAGCTGGGCAGGTGTGGTGGTACATGTACCTGTGGTCTCAGCTACTTGGGGGATTGAGGCGGGAGGATTGCTTGAGCCCAGGAGTTCAAGGCTGCAGTGAGCTATGATTGCGCCACTGCATTCCAGCCTGGGTGACAGAGTGAGACCTTGTCTCAAATAAATAAATAAATAAATAAATAATAAATCAATAAAAAAATAAAGTGGAGGAAAATACTGCTTCCCTTGGCATCTCAAGTCTGGTTGTTCATCCGCAAGGTCAGCTGGATCTGTAGACTCAGTGGCATAAGGCTGAGGCTGCTTCTGAGAGAGGCAGGGAAACGGCCACTGTTACACACTACAGACCCCTAGTCCCAGCTGAGGGACCTTGCTCAGACCCCTGCCAGCCTGGGCCAAAGGTATCAAAGATTTGCTCTCAGAGACCCAGCAGCCAGGGGATTATTCAGATGACATTGCGACCCAGAGCCCTAAGGTCACTCAGAAATGTCTTGGGATGGCTGGTGTTAGGAACAAGGGCCTTTCAGCAGAAGCCAGCCCCTAAAAGAATGCCAGAGCTGACAGTGAGAGAAACGGGATGCCAAGCAGGGCTGGAGAGGAGAGCGTAAAGGACCAGACAGAAGAGCCGCCTGATAGCTTCCGCTGTGCTTCCTGCATCTGGCCCTCTTTGAGAGCCCCTTGTGTGCCAATGACAAACCCTTCTTTATTTAAGCTCCTCTGAAGTGCCTTCCTGGTCTTGGCAGCTGGACAGGGCCCTGAATAAGACAGCGAGCCTCAATGGCAGGCTACCCCAGGGCTGGGTGACGTATCCAACCCCACAGAAAGTCATCTGTGTTTTCTTTGCCTTTGTTTTAGGGAGCACTGTGTTGGTTTGGCCTCATTTACATGCCGACGGAGTGTTTTGCTGTTGCATTCAAGTGAAAGTTATTCCTGTTCCCCAGCCCCTCAGTTCTGGAGATCTCAGGCCTTCTTCCCACGGAATGTTGTTAAGACTTATGCTCTTACTGACCCCTGCTGGCAGTCAGTGGGTATTGCAGGCAAAGGCACAATACAGCCCTATTTTTGAGACAGGGTCTGTCTGTCACCCAGGCTGGAGTGCAGAGGTGTGATCACAGCTCTCTGCCGCTTTGAACTCCTGGGTTCAAGCAATCCTCCCGCCTCAGCCTCCCAAGTAGCTGGGACTACAGGCACATGGCACCACAGCTGGCTAATATTTTTACTTTTTGTAGGTGGAGGGGGTCTCACTATGTTACCCGGGCTGGTCTCAAAATCCTGGCCTTGACTGGGCACAGTGGCACACACCTGTAATCCCAGCACTCTGGGAGTCTGAGGTGGGCTGATCACTTGAGGCCAGGAGTTTGAGACCAGCCTGGCCAACATGGCGAAACCCCATCTCTACTAAAAATACAAAAATTAGCCCTTCTCTGTCTTGATCTACTTCTGCCCTGGGACCCTGACAACCACTCACTCACTCTTATTGAGTACCAAGGGGTACCAATACAGTAGTAAATCCTACAGACACAGCTCTACCCTTATGAAGTTTACAGAAAATATCAGTAACTATGGGATAATATATACATCCACAGTTTTTCCTAGCAAGGGGGAAAAAATAACTAGAGGGGAAAAAGGGCCTTTCAGTAATACAAAGTAATACACTCACATTTTATCTAATATAGAAAGCCTCTCAAGCCCAATAACCCTATCCCATGTCTCACTTTGTTTTTCCCCATAGCACTTATCATGTATCATATTTGTCATGTGTTATAAAAGATGATATGTTTTACATGTTGATTTCTTGTGTGTCTCCCTTTTAGAATATCAGCCTCACGAGGGCAGGTGTTTTTGTTGTTGTTGTTGTTCACTGTTGCTCCATTACAGTGCCCAGCAGTGGTATTCAGTAAAATCTGTGGAGTGAAGAAGCTTCGACCTAAATGTCTGCAGTGGGGGTGAGTTTGGGGTAATGGTTTCCATGCTCAGTGATAATTGTTTGGGAAACAATGTAAAGTGATGGCTTCGGAAGACAGAGGGGCCCAGGATGGCTGGCCATGGATGCCAAGGCTGCTTGTAAAGAGAAGTCCACGTGCCATATCCATGGAATCTCTGAACCACCACGTTCAAGTTCTGTAACTTGGGCATGTGCCCTAACCTCTCAGAGCCTCAGTTCCTCCATCTGTAAAATAGGGATAATAGTGGCATCTAGGCTGGGTGCAGTGCTTCATGCCTGTAATCCCAGCACTTTGGGAGGCCGAGCCGGGTGGATCACCTGAGGTCAGGAGTTCAAGACCAGCCTGACCAACATGAAGAAACCCCGTCTCTACTAAAAATACAGAATTAGCTGGGCGTGGTGGTGCACGCCTGTAATCCCAGCTACTCGGGCGGCTGAGGCAGGAGAATCGCCTGAACCCAAGAGGCAGAGATTGCGGTCAGCCGAGATCACGCCATTGCATTCCAGCCTGGGCAACAAGAGTGAGACTCTGTCTCAAAAAAAAAAAAAAAAAATAGTGGCATCTACACCTCCCAGGGTTGTCATAAACATTGAGAGGCTGTGAACAGAGAGCACTTGGAGTGATACCTGCATACAGCAGGTGTTTAATACATTTTTGGCTTTCAGATCCCTTGGGTGATGGCTGCAGGACTGACCCATAGTCAGGGACTCTTCAGTTGAGGGGCAAGCAGCTGGCATCTGTGGCAAAAATGCCCTCTCTGCACACCTTGATGGGGTGGCCCGAGAGGGAAGGAGGGATGGAGCCATAGGCCTGCCCTACGGCTACTGAGTGGTGTGTTGAAGATCCCTGAGATTCCTAGAGACAAGGCAGGTTCAGGAACTCCAGGAGCACCTCAGGCACAAGAGGGGTACAGGGCAGATGCTGAGTGGGTATGTCAGGTTGGGGCCCTGGGGCTCCTAAGGGGAGCCTCTGCTGGGGTCCCCAGAGAAAAGACTCACCTCCCCAAGGCTCAGACAGGGAAGGGGCTTGGGCTTAACTTGGCCTAAGGGTTTGTGAGAACAGCCCAGAGGGATGCACAGAAGAGTTGAGATGGGCAGAGCTGTGGTACAAAGGCCACTTAGGGCCCCATTGGAACTAAATCCCAAAAGGTCCCAAGGGAGGCCTTCACCAACCAGGAGGTGAGGGGGTGACAGATTCCAGGGTGCAGGCAGGGTTGGAGGGGCCCAGGTATTTCCCTGCATCCAAGTGCCTTTATAAAAGGGACCCATAGAAAGCATCACAGCCCGGCCAGGGTCTGTATGGAAGACGCCTGACTTGTCACCAGGAGTGAGGCAGAGTGTCCGGGAGATGTGTCCCCCAGAGACCCCCCCCAAGAAAAATCCCAGGGCTGAGAAAGCACAAGAAGGCCCTAAGCCGGCACCATGACATGGGGAACCTGTTGGGATCTGGAGCCTGGTGCTCCTTCTTGGGGGGGCTGACATGACTAAGTCGGGTCCACAGCCTCTTTCCCACACTCACCCATTCCCTGGCCACCCCTGCCTAGTGCAGCACCCATGTCACCTGGTGGTCCCTGTGGGCACTGCGTCGTGGCCGGTCCCGAGGGGAGAGGCCATTGATCTTGCATTCGTAGCAGGCTTCAGACGAGAGCAGCTCCTCTTTGTCCGGGGTGTCCTGGGGTCCGGGGCTGAAGCCCAGGCCGGAGACACAGTGCCTGGGCCAGGATGGGCAGGGTGGAGGGGTTTCAGAGGCGGGCTGATGGGACCTCCCCAGCCACGCCGCTCCACCCCATACTCCGTTCTGAGTCATGCTGCAAATGCCCACGCACACAAATGCCTCTGAGCATGTGCTGGTGTGGCTCCGTGTGCACGAGTGTGTGTGCACCACATAAGGGTGTGCATGTGTGTCCCTTGGTTCATTTGGGCATAGGTGTGAACACAGGAGTGAGAGGACGTGCACAGGCTGGGATGGATGAATGGACATGAGCATACCCAGGGGCATGTGCGTGTGCCAACCTGTGTGTTCACATGGGGAATAACTCATGCAGGCACATGTGTGCTCGTAGGAATGTGTGAATCTCCCTGAGTGTGCCTGGGGATGTGTGTATAGTGTGAGCACTCACAGATGGCTGACGCGTGCTTCCTCACCTGTGCAAACCAGGATGTAGCAATGGCACTGTGCCCCCAGGGATGTGGGCATGCATGAGCCTGAGTGCACACTGGGACATGCGCGCGTGCACACACACACACACACACACACGTGTGCATGCTGGGATCTGTAAATGCACAAGGGTGCCCACGCATGCTGGTACGGGTGTGTGCCATGTGGACAACTACATGTGAGTGCTGTGAGGATGTGTGTGAATAGATACAGGTGCCACTGTACCTCTGCGTGTCCAGGACTCTGTGCATATGTGGGCAAATGCCTGCATGCACAGGCTGAAGGAGCTCTTCTGGTAAATTCTTGGCATGCACAAAGCCCCGTGTGTGTGTGTGTGTGTGTGTGTGTGTGTGTGTGTGCGTGCGTGCATGGACGCTTGCGGGGCATGGAGTCTGCTTGCCCCACTCCAGCCTCTCACCCTTGCCCAGCCCGGAAGTAGCCTTGAGGACAGCCGCACAGGAAGCCACCAGGCGTGTTGGCACAGCTGTAGCTACAGGGGCCACGCCGTCCGGCGCACTCATCCACCTCCTGGCAGCCCCCGAGGGCCTGATCAAAGTCAAAGCCAGAGGGGCAGACGCAGCGGAAGCCACCAAGAGTGTTGCGACAGGAGGCGCTCCCGCAGGTGGGGGGCGACAGGGCACACTCATTCTCATCTGTGGGAGGAAAGGAGGAGGAGAGGGAGGACGCAGAGGTGGGGCAGTGCAGCCTTCACACCCCCAGAGCCCTCCACCTGGAATGCTGTATGTTCAGAGCCCAAGTCCAATGCCAAACTCTTCAGCAAGCTGGCAGTGAGCCCTGAGACTAGATCGGCCCCATAGCCCCGCTGCCCCAAACCCTGTGGTTCTCCTTCACAACATCTCTCAACACTTCCCCTAAACCCCAAAATGTGGGATGATCTAGAACAAGCTTTCTCACCCTCAGTGCTATTGACACTTGGGGCCAGATCATTCTCTAGGGAGGAGGCCTCCTTGCACTGTGGGACATTGAACAGCATCCCTGGCTTCCACCCGCTTGACACCAGGAAAACCTATCCGCCTCCAATTGTCTGTTTGGAGTTGGGAGTCTCACTCTGTTGCCCAGGCTGGAGTGCAGTGGTGCAACCATAGTGCACTGCAGCCTTGACGTCCTGGGCTCAAGGGATCCTCCTGCCTCAGCCTCCTGAGTAGCTGGGACTACAGGTGTGCACCAACATGCCTGGCTAATCTTTTAACTTTTTGTAGAGATGGGGGGTCTTGCTATGTTGCCTAGGCTGGTCTTGAACTCCTGGCCTCAAATGATCCCCCTACCTCAATATCCCACAAGAGTGAACTACCATGGCGGATCCCAATTGTGATGATCAAAAATGTCTCGCAGACACTTCAAAATGTACTATGGGGGTAAAATGGTCCTCTGTTGAGAACCTAGTTAGGGGTCTAATTAATCTCTGTTTCCTTTGCTGGACTGAAAAACTCAAGGCAGAAATGGTTTTTCAGCTCACTTCTGCATCTGAGCTCAGGGCCTAGTGAAAGGCAGGTCCTTGGCAAACAGTTGGGGAAAGAATGAATGAGTCAGTACGGGGGGAGGAAACAAGTTGAGGAAGAGTTGCCAGCAAAGGCCAATGGTCTGTGGGATCCCCAAGATCCCCAGGGGACAAGCAGCTTGCCTGGGGGGTGGGGTCGTGTGGTGTGGGAAGCCCAAGAAGAACTTAGCTAAAGACCCACCATGACAGACAAAAGGAGGGGGCAGAGAAGGCAGTGCCTGTGAGGCAGTGGGAGAGCAGGGATAGCCACATCACAAAGGCCACAGGAGAGAGTGTCCAGGAGCCTGAAGGGGCAGACTGTGGTGCCCAGAGCAGTGGAGGTAGAGGATGGAGGCCGAGGAGAGGTCTCAGGAGAGAGCAAGTGGGCCTGAAAATGGTAGAGGGTGAAAGCTGCACTGCAGTGGAGGAATGAAAAGAGCAGTGAAAGAGGCTGCTAGGAGGTCCTAGAGCAGCCAGAAGATGGGGGAAGGTTGGGGGGCAGAAGGCTAGCCCCCCAAATGGAGGGCCTCTGCAACAGCTATGGCAATGACATAGCATGCACACCTCCATTGCCCCTTGCAGCATCCATAGCAGACATCACTAATCACACTCGTGGCAGACATCACTAATCAATCACAGCACTCTTTCCCTGTGATCACAAAATTGCAGACTTCAGGTCTCAGAATCTTTCTCAACTGAGTCCTCCAGGCCACCATGCCCTAAGGAATGAACTCAGACACTTTTTGATGCTTATTCTGCTGCACCTTGACTCCCCAGCAGTGGGGAACTCACTACCTTCTGGGCTGGCCTGTTCAATCTTTAGATAATTGTGCTTGTCACATCATCTTGCAGGGTGGCGTCTGTTAGTCGCCTGCTCTGAGCAGATTCTGGTGGAGGGCCCAGCTTCTTCCCAGCCCTTTTCACTCACCCACACACTGGGCCCACTGGGAGTGCTGGGTGAAACCCTGGGGGCAGCTGCAGCGGTAGCCCCCTAGCTGGTTCTGACAGCCATGCTGGCAGCGGTGGGGCCCATCACATTCATTCACATCTGAGACATAGAGAGAGGGAGAGAGGGTTTACCAGACGGCTCTCAGGACCAACACCCCCAAACACTAGACCCCAGCCAAAGCTGGGCTGTACCTTCACAGCCATGGCCTGAGCTGACCAGGGTGAAGCCTTGGTGGCATTCACAGCGGAAGCTGCCCGGGGTGTTGTGGCAGTGCCCGTGGGCACCACATGGGCCAGGCTGGGCTGAGCACTCATCATTGTCTGCAGAGGAGAGAGATCAGGCAGGGTTGCCTGCTGGTTAAGGAACTCGTGTCAGGTGACACAATGCCAGTCCCACCACTGTGTGGCTTCAGGCAAGTTGCTCACCCTCTCTGTGCCTGTTTCCCACTCTGTGAAATGAGATCTGTAACAGTTCCTGACTCAGAATAGGCACCAATGTTTGAGATCCTGCACATAAAGAATCTCATCTCCACCGCCTCGAAGCTGTGTGTCCTTGGGCAACTTACCTACCCTCTCTGTGCCTCGATGTCCTCAGCTGTATATGGAGATGATAATGTCTACCTCATTGCATTTTTGTGTGCATGCGAGAATTAAATTAACCTAATCATGTAAAAGGCTTAGGGCAGTGCCCGGTAAAAGAGTAAAAGATAAACAAAGCCTCTTTTCCTTCTCCCATGGAAAAATGACATAGGGTTGCCTGTTGAGTTTTGTTCCCATGGAAACCTGACAATAGTGTGAGGTCAGCCGGTGCCATGGATTGAATGTTCGTGTCTCTCCAAAATCCTATGTTGAAGCCCTAACCCCCAGTGGGCTGGTATTTGGATATTAGGTCTTTGGGAGGTGATCAGGGTTAGATAAGGTCATGAGGGTAGGGCTTTTATGATGAGAATAGTGCCCTTATAAGAGACACCAGAAAGCTTGCTCTGTCTCTGCCAAGTGAGGACACAGCAAAAAGGTGGCTGTCTGCAAACCAAGAAGAGAGCCCTCACAGAACCAGCCGTGCTGCCACCTTGATCTTGAACTGCCCAGCTTCCAGAATGGAAAAAAAAATAAATCTCTGTAGTTTAAGCCAACCAGTGTATGGGTTGTCCGTGTGCGTGTGTGTGTGTGTGTGTGTGTGTGTGTGTGTAAGCTATTGTTTTAAACTGAATAGTCTGTGATCATCTTTCTATGTCTTTAAATATTCTTACTATTCTTGGGGGCTGGGTACAGTGGCTCATGCCTGTAATCCCAGTGCTTTGGGAGGCCTAGGGAGCCTCCGGATCACCTGAAGTCAGGAGTTCGAGATCAGCCTGACCAACATGGTGAAGCCCCATCTCTACTAAAAATACAAAACAATTTAGCCAGGTGTGGTGGTACACGCCTGTAGTCCCAGCTACTCGGGAGGCTGAGGCAGAAGAATCGCTTGAACCCGGGAGGCGGAGGTTGCGATGAGCCAAGATTGTTCCACTGCACTCCAGTCTGGGTGACTGACAGAGTGAGATTCCATCTTAAAAATATATGTATACATACACATATATATATATTTTTCTTACTATTCTTATTTGCATAATTTTAAATGGCCACCACATCTTCACTTGGTGTGGATTTGCTCTGCTTCATTTAACCAACTGTTAATTTTGGTTTTTTTAGATAGGATCTCATTCTGTCCCCTGGGCTGGAGTGAAGTGGCACAGTCTCAGCTCACTGCAACCTCCGCCTCCTGGGCTCAGGTGAGCCTCCTACCTCAGCCTCCTGGGTAGCTGGGACTACAGGTGCACAAGACCATGCCTGGCTAATTTTTGTATTTTTAGTGGGGACTACGTTGTCCACTATGTTGCCCAGGCTGGTCGCAAACTCCTGGGCACAAGAGATCCTCCCAACTCAGCCTCCCAAAGTGCTGGGATTACAGGTGCAAACCACTGCGCCCGGCCCAGTTTTTGGATTTGAATTTGCTAAATCCCACACTTGCAGTCTATGGTATTTTGTTATGGCAGCCTGAGCTGGCTAAAATGGCCAGGTTGCTACGATGGTAGGAGGGCATTGGTACAATGGCCAGAGAGCATTGCTACAATGGTGGGAGCCCATGGCTGGTATACTGCATTTGAACTGGGATTTTGAGGAATGAACAACAAATTCCTGGTGGAAAATCCTGCTTTTAGCTTCCTTGAGTACAGAGATTCTTGACACTAAGCACATATCTATGGAGATGTAGAGTCTCTCTTGGGGTCGGGCACAGTGGCTTATGCCTGTAATCCCAGCACTTTGGGAGGCCGAGGCGGGCAGATCACCTGAGCATGGGAGTTTGAGACCAGCCTGACCAGCATAGTGAAACCCCATCTCTACTAAAAATACAAAAATTAGCTGGATGTGGTGCTGCATGCCTGTAATCCCAGCTACTTGGGAGGCTGAGGTGGGAGAATCGTTTGAACCCAGGAGGCAGAGGATGCAGTGAGCCACGATCACGCCCCTGCGCTCCAGCCTGGGCGACAGAGTGAGACTCTGTCTCAAAAAACAAAAACGAGCAAACAAAAAGTGAATATCTCTTGGGAACAACAGACATGGGAACATGAAGCTTCTAAGTAGGAGTGGCCCCTGCGGCTGCCTGAGCTGTCACTTGAGGGGCCACAGAGAATAGCTCTAGACTCTGGCCAGAAGAAATGTCTGGCACAGCCAGGCACCGTGGCCTGCAATCCCAGCACTTTGGAAGGCCGAGATGGGCAGATTGCTTGAGCCCAGGAGTTTAAGACCAGCCCGGGCAACATGGCAAAACCCCGTCTCTACAAAAAATACAAAAATTAGCCGGGCGTGGTGGCACACACCTGTAGTCCTAGCTACTTGGGAAGCTGAGGCAGGAGGATCGCTTGAACCTGGGAGGTGAGATTGCAGTGAGCTGAGATTGCACCACTGCAATCTCCAGCCTGGGCGACAGAGCAAGACTCCATCTCAAAAATTAAAAACAGAAATGTCTGCCACCACCCACAATTTCTTTCCCTTACATCTAGCAAAGCAAACCAAGTGTCAGGCTGGCCTACTGTGGCCATGTGAGTTTGCTCTTCTATTAACAGTTTAGTCATTAGCAGACAGGAACACCCTGAGACAAAATCCAAGCCACTGTCTGTTGTATCAATAAAGTTTATTGGGACACAGACACGGTCTTTCATTTACGTATCTCTCCAGCTGCTTTGATGCTAGCATGGTAGAGTCCAATCGTGGCGACAGAGACCATCTCAACTACAAAGCTGAAAATATTTACTCCTCTTGAGCCCTTTGCAGAAAAAGTTTGTGACTTTTGATCAAGTTGAGCCTCACACCACCATCTGCCTGGCTGAGAATTTAAACTCATTTCTAGTGAGAGAAGCAGTCACGTGTGACCTTGCTCCACGGATGTTACCCATGTGATGCACGGCCCTGGTCCATGCAGCTGCTCACACATCCAGTGAAAACCTTACTTTTTTTTTTTTTAATAGAGATGGGGTCTCACTGTGTTGCCCAGGCTGGTCTCAAACTCCTGAGCTGAAGCAATCCTCCTGCCTCAGCCTCCCAAAATGCTGGGATTACAGGTGTGAGCCATTATGCCTGGCCACAGACTTTAATGTTGCAGAGAAACAGAAATGCCTCTTGTTTCAAGAGTCTTTGTTCAAATGTTCTCTCTCTCTCTCTTTTTTTTTTTTTTGAGTCTTGCTCTGTCCCCTAGGCTGGACTGCAGTGGTATGAACACTGCTCACTGCAGCCTCAACCTCCTGGGTTCAAGAGATCCTCCCACCTCAGCCTCCTAAGTAGCTAAGACTACAGGCAGGTGTCACCACCTCTAGCTAATTTTGTATTTTTTGTAGAGATGGAGTCTTGCCATGTTGCCTGGGCTGGTCTCGAACTCCTGGCCCTAAGCCATCCTCCCAAAGTGCTGGGATTACAGGCATGAGCCACAGTGCCCAGCCAAATGTTCTCTTTTGGTGATACTTGACCTGATCCCTCTCTTAAAACTGAAGCCCTCTCAGGAGGCTGAGGTGGGAGGATCACTTGACACCAGGAGTTTGAGGCTTCAGTGTGCTGTGATCACATTTGTGAATAGCCACTGTACTCCAGCCCGGGCAACAGAGTCATTAAGAGACTCCATCTCTAAGAAACAAAAAACAAAACAAAAAACCCAGATGTGGTGAGCCTGTAGTCCCAAGTACTAGGGAAGCTGAAGTGGGAGAATTGCTTGAGCCCAGGAATTTGAAGTTTCAGTGAGCTGCGATCACATTGCTGTATTCCAGCCTGGGTGATGGAGCAAGACTCCATCTCTAAAACAAACAAACAAACAAACAGACAGACAACATAACCAAAAACAACCACCACCAAACCTCTCCCTACCCTCCAAAACAACCCTGTGGCCCTCTCCTTCTTTCCTGAACTCCTGCTTTTACTTTTTCTTTCTTTCATGACACACATCACCTTTGAACACACTATTCTGTTAATTGTTTGTTTGTTTGTTTGTTTGTTTTCGAGACAGAGTCTTGCTGTGTCTGAGTGCACTGGCACGATCTCGGCTCACTGCAATCTCCACCTCCCAGGTTCAAGTGATTCTCTTGCCTCAGCCTCCCAAGTAGTTGGGATTACAGGCGCCACCACCACACCCGGCTAATTTTTGTATTTTTAGTAGAAACGGGGTTTTGTCATGTTGGCCAGGCTGGTCTCGAATTCCTGGCCTCAAGTGATCTGCCAGCCTCAGCCTCCCAAAGTGATGGGATTACAGGCATGAGCTACCACACCCAACCACACCATTCTGTTAATTTCTTGTTATGTCTGCCTCTAGTCTTGATTCTGTGCTAGAAGGAAAGTTCCATGATGGAAGATCCCTGCCTTTTATGTTTGTTGCTGTACCCCCAGGGTCTATAACAGGGCCCGACAAACCATTTCTGTTTCTGTAACAGGCTCTGTCCCAAGACTCTTCTCTGCCAATATAGTGCAAAAGCAGCCACAGGTGATTGTAAGCAAGCGGGCTTGGCTGTGTGTCAATCAAACTTTATTAACAAAAGCAAGCAGGGGGCCGGGCTTGGCTGGCAGCCTGGAGTTTGCCACCCTTTGGTCTAGAGCACTGCCTGGTACACAGTAGGTGCTGTCTGGGCAGATTAGTGGGCGCGTGAAAGGGGCCACCCTTGACTAGGCTCTGCCTTTGGGGAAGATTGTGTTCCCTGGGGGCCACGAGACACTAAGAAACAATGATGGTAGCAGATGCCCTTGTGGCTTTAGCTGTTGAACTGATTTCCTCCTGGGACTATGTGAGACCTGGGATTTCAGGAGCGCTCTGGGGAGGCTCTGGGAGGGAGATCCAGCAGGGACTTGTCAGGGGGAAGGCAAGATGCCATAAGCCAAGGCGAGAGGGCCTCTCTCCTCCCAAAGGAGAGGAAGGAGGTTCTAGATGCCTCCAGGAAGCGAGCACTAAGGAAGTAACGACTTTGTTCTGATCACCCCCATGTCCCCAATGTCCAATACACACCGGGTGCTTGATACTATTTTTTTTGAGACAGAGTTTCGCTCTTGTTGCCCAGGCTGGAGTGCAGTGGCATGATCTCAGCTCACTGCAACCTCTGCCTCCCGAGTTCAAGCGATTCTCCTGCCTCAGCTTCTCGGAGTTGCTGGGATTACAGGCACCTGCCACCATGCCAGGCTAATTTTTTTGTATTTTTAGTAGAGACGGGTTTTCACCATGTTGGCCAGGCTGGTCTTGAACTCCTGACCTCAGATGATCCACCCGCTTCAGCTTTCCAAAGTGCTGGGATTACAGGCGTGAGCCATTGCGCCTGGCCAACTTGATATTTTTTTGGTGAGCAAAATAACTAATGCTGGGGTCATGGGTCACCTCCCGGTGAGGGGCAAGGGTCACTCACCGAAGCAGGCCTGGTGGTGCTGGGTGAAGCCGGGCGGACAGCGGCAGGTGAAGGCGCCCACAGTGTTGACACAGAGGAACTGACAGTTGTGCTGCCGGGAGGTGCATTCGTCCAGGTCTGCAGCACGGATGGTCCAGCAGGCTCAGGGCAGGGCCCAGTGGGGGATTAGGGGCTTCCCAGGGGCTGCCCTTGCCACCTCCAGGCAGAGGGGTGACAAGAGAAAGACCTCGGAGATGGTGCTTGACTCCATGCAGATGGGAGGGGGTGAGATTGCAGGGGACATGTCTTGGGCATCCCTTTGGGGCCCTAGACTGCATGCAGTGGTGGGAGTGGGGGAGAGTTGAAAGGACATCACCTTTGCAGGTCCTGCCATCCTCCTCCAGCAGGTAGCCTCGGGGACAGCTGCACAGGAAACTGCCCTTCGTGTTTTTGCAGAGGAAGGTACATGGCTTGGGGACCTGGCTGCACTCATCCATATCTGGGGAAGGACAGCGTGGGTAGTGGGGCGGGGTTAGACAGACATTCCCTGGGGGTGTTCAGGGACTGAGGTCTCCACCAGACCCCGACCATCTGAAATCTGTGGACTTACACAGGAATGAACACTTCTTTCTGCAAAAAGCCAGGTGGGAAATACATTTGGTTTTGCAGGCCACACCATCTCAGATACAACTACTCCATGTGGCCTTTGTACTAGCAAAGCAGCCATTGAGGGTAAGCAGACAAATGTGCATGGCTGTGTGCTAATAAAACTTTATTGACAAGAACAAATGGAGGGCCAGACTTGACCCTCGGGCTAGAGTTTTCTTCCCGCTGACTTAGATGTACGCTTGCTACAAAACACAACTGAAAAATATCAGGATGTGCAAAATAAAAGGAAGAAATAACAGCAGGAAAGTGGCCCAAACAGGGTGGGGGTGGGAGAACGAAAGGATCCTCCCTCCCTCCCTCCCTCCCTTCCTTGTTTCTCTCTTTCTTTCTTGAGACGGAGTCTCGTTTCATCACCCAGGCTGGAATGCGATGGCGCAATCTCAGCTCACTGCACCCTCCGCCTCCCAGGTTCAAACAATTCTCCTGCCTCAGCCTCCCAAGCAGCTGGGATTACAGGCACATAACACCTGGCTAATTTTTTTTCTTTTTTTCTTTTTTTTAGTAGAGACGGTTTCATGATGTTGGCCAGGCTGGTCTCAAACTCCTGGCCTCAAGTGATCCTTCTGCCTCAGCCTCCCAAAGTGTGCTGGGATTACAGGCGTGAGCCACCTCACTTGGCCTTCCTTCCCTTCCTTCCTCTCCCTTTCTCTCTTTCTCCCTTTCTCTTTCTTTCTTTCTGTTTCTTTCTCTTTCTTTTTGTCTCTCTCTCTTTCTTTTTTCTTTCTTTCTCTTCTTTCTTCTCTTTTTTCTCTTTCTCCCCTTTCTCTTTGTTTCTTTCTCTCTCTCTCTCTTCCTTCCTTCCCTTCCCTTCCTTCCTTCCTTCCTTCCTTCCTTCCTTCCCTTTCTTTCTCTCTTTCTTTCTTGACAGAGTCTCACTCTGTTGTCCAGACTAAACTGCAGTGGCATGATCTCAGCTCACTACAACCTCCACTTCCTGGGTTCAAACGATTCTCCTGCCTCAGCCTCCCGCGTAGCTGGGATTATAGGCATGCACCAGCACGTGCAGCTAATTTTCGTATTTTTAGCAGAGATGGGGTTTCACCATCTTGGCCAGGCTGGTCTTGAAATCCTGGCTTCAAATGATGTGCCCACCTTGGCCTCCCAAAGTGCTGGGATTACAAGCATGAGCTACTATGCCTGGCCTGTTTTTTTTTTTCTTTCTTTCTTTTCTTTTGTTTTTCATTTTTTAAGAGACAGGGTCTCACTCTGTCACCCAGGCTGGACTGCAGTGGCACAATCAGCTCACTGCAGCCTCAGACTCCTGAGCTCAAGCAGCCTCCCAAGTAGCTGGGGCTACAGGCGCATGTGGGACTACAGGCCACCATCCTGGCTAATTTTTTTTAGCGATGGGGTCTTGCTATGTTGCTATGGAACTCCTGGTCTCAAGTGATCCTCCCACCTCGACCTCCCAAAATACTGGGATTACAGTAGCGAGCCATCACACCTGGCCCTCAGTTGTCTGTATGGTTTGGGCACCACTTTGTAAATGAAAGCCTAACATTGCAAAGTGGAAAGTCTCAGGGAAGTTGAGTTCAGGGGCTGCACAGAAGGTGGCCAGGCTGGGCCAAGGGTGCAGGTGCAGAGGGCTGGGCTCACCCAGGCAGGTAGTAGCAGTAGCATCCGGTGTGTACCCGGCCTGACAGTGGCAGCGGAAGGAGCCAAGGCTGTTGATGCACTCCCCATGAGCACACAGGTGAGCAAGCATACGGCATTCATCTACATCTGGGAAAAAGTAGGGTGCAAATGGGGCTGGCTGGCTGCTTCGCGCCTCCACCGAGGAATGTCTCCTTCTCTCTGCCCAGCAGCCGTCTCCTCGGAGGAAAGTCCAGCCTCCCTTCCACACCGGCCACTGCACCCCAGCCCACGTGGACCCCATCCTCAGGCTGCGGATGACACCTGAGCCCGCAGGACACGCCCATGAAGCTTCCAGGGAAGGGGACTCACACCCACCCCTCCCCAGCCTCAACAGCGACACCTCCTCAGTGCACCAACATGCAGAACAGAGACACACAGTGCATGCAACATGATACACTAGCCACACACCTAGATGCTCCTGCAGAAACACGGGAACACACGCCAACACTCAGGGACTCCCGAGTCTCCCCCCAGCCACACCCCCAAAAAGCCATTTCCTCCCCAGTCCTACTATTTTTTCTTTTTTTTTTTTTTTGAGACAGAGTCTCGCTCTGTCGCCCAGGCTGGAGTGCAGTGACACGATCTCTGCTCACTGCAAGCTCCGCCTCCCGGGTTCACGCCATTCTCCTGCCTCAGCCTCCCAAGTAGCTGGGACTACAGGCACCTGCCACCACGCCCGGCTAATTTTTTGTATTTTTAATAGAGACAGGGTTTCACCGTGTCAGCCAGGATGGTCTCAATCTCCTGACCTCGTGATCTGCCCGCCTCAGCCTCCCAAAGTGCTGGGATTACAGGCGTGAGCCACCGCGGCCCTCCCCAGTCCTGTTGATGCCACTGCTGGTCACATGGATAACCCATCTCACTATCAGTGACACACTCAGTGAGACGCACTGATGTCCTTATGCTCGCTCACACGCAGACACTCACATACCTGCCCTTGTACACTCACCCAAGTCCACAACACACAGGCCGCTGGCTCCCTCTCACTGCCTTCTACTTCACAGATGAACATGGTGTATACTTCTCACCCAGCTGACACACACAGACACACACCAGCTCCCACGCAGTCCGGAACGAGCTCTCACTCACAAAGAACACACACTGGGCCGGGCGCGGTGGCTCATGCCTGTAATCCCAGCATTTTGGGAGGCTGAGGTGGGCGGATCACTTGAGGCCAGGAGTTCGAGACCAGCCTGGCCAGCATGGCAAAACCTCATCTTTACTGGCCATGGGAGAGCCAGCCTCTCCCACGGCCCCAAAGAGATCCTTTGGGTCTGTTAAGGCCCTCTTGCTTTTTATTTTTATTTATTTATTTTTTTGGGACAGAGTTTCTCTCTGTTGCCCAGGCTGGAGTGCAATGGCGTGATCTCGTCTCACTGCAAGCTCTGCCTCCCGGATTCAAGGGATTCTCCTGCCTCAGCCTCCCGAGTAACTGGGATTACAGACACACGCCACCAAATCCAGCTAATTTTTTGTATTTTTAGTAGAGATGAGGTTTCACCATGTTGACCAGGGTGGTCTCAAACTCCTGACCTCAGGTGATCCGGCCGCCTCAGCCTCCCAAAGTGCTGGGATTACAAGTGTGAGCCACTGTGCCCGGCCTATTTTTATTGCTTTTGGAGACGAGGTCTTGCTCTATCACCCAGGCTGGAGTGCAGTGGCACTATCTTAGCTCATTGCAGCCTCAAATTCCTGGGCTTAAGCAATCCTCCTTCTTCAGCCTCCCAAAGTGCTGGGATGACAGGTATGCTACTGGGAGGCAGAGGTTGCAGTGAGCTGAGATTGCACCACTGCACTCCAGCCTGGGTGTCAAAGTGAGACTCTGTCTCAGAACACATACACACACATTGGCTCACACAACTGCTCCCTCAACCCCCCGAGTTCTTCCATGCATATGGTGCACACGTACTGGTTCTCATATCTGCTAGCACAAAGACACACACACACACACACACACACACACACACACACAGTGTGGCTCACACATTCCAGCACCTGCTGCAGTACAGACACATGACCCTGAGCAAACTCCCCCGTTTCTTGCCTCCCTGGGGGTCCTGAGGGCATGGGCACCCACCTCGGCCCTCAGCAGTGTAGCCTGAGCCATGGGGGCACAGCTTCCTGTAGGCAGAGGTGCCGGGCAGGGGACAGAGCTCGCAGCGGGGCCCCCAGCCCCGGCCACCCCCACAGCAGCACTCGGCCCTGGTGACAGCCTCACTGCTGCTGGACAGAGACCGGCACATGGTCTGCAGCACCTCGGCAAAGCAGGGCCCCTGCCGGATGTCTGCAGAGAACAATGGGAAAGACAACGGTCACTCCAGGAGGCTGGTTTGGGGGCAAAGACTGAGCTTGCTTTGGGGCAAGCTGTATTTTGGGGGTGTTGGGGACAGGGGTGTCCAGGAGGGAGTTGGATACACAGGACAGATGGCCCTAGTGGGTCACCGGCTGGGGTTAGCTCCCCAGAAGTGGGAGATCTGGGGAAGGTTGGTTCCGGGGTGTGGCGCCAGTAAGTTGGAGGAGGCATGGAGGGAGCGTCCCGCTCTTCCAGTATTTAACAGAAGGGACAGAGGGAAGAGGGGCAGCAGGGGAGCACTGGACATGTGTGTCCGGATTAGCTCAGCAACCCCCTGGGTTGCCCGTCAGTGCCGCAGGCCCCGTCCCTGCCTTGGAGGGCTCCCAGACAGTGGGAGGGACAGGCAGTGGGAGGGACAGGCAGTGGGGGGACAGGCAGTGGGAGGGACAGGCAGTGGGAGGGACAGGCAGTGGGGGGAACAGGCAGTGGAGGGAACAGGCAGTGGGAGGGACAGGGAGTGAAGGGGGCAGGCAGTGGGGGGAACAGGCAGTGGGGGGGGACAGGCAGTGGGTGCCACATGGTAGGTGGTTGCAACCACTGTGCGTGTCCAGCCACACTCACCGTGGCACTCGGTAAGGGTGGGGCTGGGCTGGAATCCCTCATCACAGTCGCACCGGAAGCTGCCCGCGGTGTTGACACAGCGGCCGTTGACACAGAGGTCAGGCTGAGCGTGGCATTCATTGTCATCTGAGATGGGAGGGGTGAGGCAGGTGGGCGGGGAGGCCACAGGCAGCCAGCCTCTCCCACAGCCCCAAAGGGCCCCTTTGGATCTGCCCAGGCCCTCTTGCTTATTTTTATTTTATTTATTTTTATTATTATTATTATTATTATTTTTTGAGACAGAGTCTCGCTCCGTTTCCCAGGCTGGAGTGCAATTGCCTGATCTTGGGTCACTACAACGTCCACCTCCCGGGTTCAAGAAATTCTTCTGCCTCAGCTTCCCAAGTAGCTGGGATTACAGGTGCCCGCCGCCACGCCCAGCTATTTTTTTTTTTTTTTTTGTATTTTTAGTAGAGACGGGGTTTCGCCGTGTTGTCCACCCTGTTCTCAAACTCCTAACCTCAGATGATCCAACCGCCTTGGTCTCCCAAAGTGCTAGGATTACAGGCGTGAGGCACCGTGCCCAGCCTTATTTTCATTTTTATTGTTTTTGGAGATGGGGTCTCACTCTGTCGTCCAGGCTGGAGTGCAGCGGCACTGTCCTCCCACTGCCTGTCACCTCCACTACCTGTCCCTCCCACTGCCTGTCCCCCCCCACTGCCTGTCCCTCCCATTCATTGAAGCCTCAAATTCCTGGGCTCAAGCGATCCTCTCGCCTCAGCCTCCCAAAGTGCTGGGATGACAGGTATGAGTCACCGTGCCCGGTCCAACCCTCTTGCTTTGACCTCTCCCTTCCACAAGGAGTTTCCTGCACCCATGAAGCTCCAGTGCCCCATACCTGTGCAGCCCTCCCCAGAGCCAGGCAGGGGCCGCATGCCTGGGGGACAGACGCACGCGAAGGTACCGATGAGGTTCTTGCACTCCATGCCCCGGGCGTGGCAGTCCTGCTGACCATCTGCACACTCGTCCACATCTTCGGATGACCAGAGACAGATGGTCAGTCAAGGCCAGGCACCCTATGGCTGTGGGGACCTGGATTCCACCCTGCGTCAGCCCTGTGGGACCTGAGTGAGTTCCCTGCAGACCCTGTCAAATGTCTATCCCTCTTAGGAAGGGAGCCCCCAGCTCCTGCCCAGCCCCAGCCTCCAAGAAGCTGAGGGAATCAGGAATTGTCCCCCAAAGCTTGCATCCCCTGCCCATGTCAGGGTCTGTGAGTCTGCTCATGGCCCCTGGAACACTGACCCTGAAACAGCCCCAGAGACACTGAGTCCCAGACCAGGGTCTCCCACGCTTGACACTATGAACATTTGGGATAGGAAAGTTCTTTGCGGTGGGCGGCTGTTCTGTGTGCATTGCAGGATTTTTTTTTTTTTTTTTTTTTTTTTGAGGCGGAGTTTTGCTCTTGTCGCCCAGGCTGGAGTGCAGTGGCATGATCTCGGCTCACTGCAACCTCCGCCTCCCAGGTTCAAGCGATTCTCCTGTCTCTCAGCCTCCCAAGTAGCTGGGATTACAGGCGTGTGCCACCATGCCCAGCTAATTTTGTATTTTTAGTAGAGACAGGGTTTTACCATATTAGTCAGGCCTACCTCGACACATGGCCCCATCCTCCCGCAGGGTGTAGCCGGCTGGACAGGTGCACAGGTAGGAGCCCTCGGTATTGTGGCAGCGGAAGGCACAGAGCAGCGGGTTCAGGGAGCATTCGTCGATGTCTGGGGAGGCCAGTGGAGGTGCCAGCTGGGTAGGGACTGAGGGCGGGACCTCCACTCCCTCCCCCAGGCATCTCCGTCACACGGCCCAGGTCCTGGGCAAGCAGAGTTGTACCCTCGCAGGTCATCATGAGGCCAGGCTCAAAGCCGTCAGCACAGGCACATTCGAAGCCTCCGATGACATTGGTGCATGTCCCTTGCCCACAGGGGTGGCCGACAGAGCACTCGTCTGTGTCTGGGTGGGAGTAAGGGGGTGGTCAGCACCTGCAGAGGGTCCCCCATCCTCAGTAGCATCCCATCTGCCTGCCTGTTGACCACCACAGATCGGAGGGGGCCAGATCGAATGCACCTCTAGTCTGGCTATGGGGCAGGCAAGCGGTATGTGTTTAGTGAATGAATGAGTGAATGTGTGAGCAAGTGGGCAGGTAAAGGAATGCATGAGTGAGCAAGGGAGTGAGTGAATGAGCAAGAAGTGAATGAATGAGCCAGTGAATGAAGGAGTGATTAAACCAGTAACTGAAACTGAGGCAGGAGGGTCATTTGAGCCCAGGAGTTCCAAAAGAGCCTGGGTAACATAGCAAGACTTCATCTCTAAAAAACATATAAATGAGTAAGTGAATGAATGGTTAAATGAATAAGGGAATGAGTGAGTAAAGGGGTGAATGAGTGGGTGAATTACTGAGTGAGTGAATGGAGAAATCAGCAAGGAAGTGAATGAATGAACAAGAGGGCAAATGAGGAAACGAATGAGTGACTGAATAAGTGAGTGAAAGCATGAATGAATGAGCAAAGGAATGAGTGAGTAAATGAATAAATGAGTGATTGAATGGGTGAATGAGCAAGGAGACAAATGAAGGAACAAATGAATGAGTGAACAAACAAGCAAGTGAATGAATGAGGGAGCAAACGAGTGAATGAGTGAATGAGTAAATGAATGAGTGAGTGAATGAATGAGCCAGTGAATAAATGAGGTGTGAATGAATGAGGGAGTGATTGAATGAACAAGTGAATGAATGAACAAGCGAAGGAATGAGTGAGCAAAGGAGTGAATGAGTGAGAGAATTAGCAAGTGAATGAGTGAGGGGGCAAATGAGTGAATGAGTGAATAAGTGAGTAAATGAATAAGTGAGTAAATGAATAAGTGAGTGAATGAGCAAGTGAATGAATGACGTGTGAATGAATGAGGGAGTTAGTGAATTAATAAGTGAATGAATGAACAAGTGAAGGAATGAGTGAGCCAAGGAGTGAATGAGTGAGTGAATTGGTAAGTGAATGAATAAGGGAGTAAATGAGTGAGTGAATGAGTGAATGAATGAGAAAATGAGTAAGTGAGTGAGCAAGTGAATGAATGAGTCAGTAAATGAATAAGTGAATGAGTAAATGAATAAGTGAGTGAGTGAATGAATGAGCAAGAAAATGAGTGAGCAAGTGAATTAATGAGTGAATGAAGCACAGAGGGAGAAAAAGTGAATGGGGGAGAGAGGCAGTGGTTAAGGACAGGATCTCACCCACTGCCTGGGGGTGTCTTCCCTGCCCTGCTCTGCTCCTTCCTGTCCTGGGAGGGGCCTGGGACAGAGCTGGGGAAGGGCTGGCCACTCACCCACACAGTTGATGCCAGTGAAGTCCAGGCTGTAGCCAAAGGGACACTCACAGCGGAAGGATCCATCGGTGTTGACACAGACGCCGTTAGTGCAGACGCCAGGGTTCTCTGCACACTCATTCACGTCTGCGGATGGCAGGCGTTGCAGACATGGCTTCTGTCACCACACAATCGCCAGAGCCCTGGCCACACTCAAGGCCCCAAGGGGACAAAAGCCCAAGCCCCAGGCTGGCAGGGTCCAGGGCCACCCAGGCTCTCAGGGGGAGCCTGAAACTCAGAGACCCAGGCAGTGCGGAGATGGATCTGGGTGGCCCAGAAGGGGCTCTTAGCATGTGGGTGAGGGGCTCACCTTCTCGGGAGTCATCCGGGCCTGGGACTGCCCCGTGGCCAAAGGGGCAGAGCTCCTGAAAGGCAGCTGGACGGAGAGGGGGAGGGGAGTCAGAGTCAGGGCCTAGGTGCAGCCCCCAGGTGTGTGCAGGGAAGGATGAGAGAAGAATGAGAGAGGAAGGTGAGGGCACATCATCCAGGGAGCCTGGACAGGGGTGGGCACTCACCGCTGCCCTCCTGGGGACACAGTTCGCAGGGGTCTCCCCAGCCCTCCCCAGGCCTCTTACTGCAGCAGCAGCGGGTCTTGGTGGTGTTGAAAGCTTTGGGCACCGAGCACTTCCCAGCCTCAAAACGGGTGAAGCAGAAACTCTGCCGTGTGTCTGTGGGGTGGGGGCTCCATTACCCTGATTGAAAGCCGCTGGCAGTGCCCACCTGCCCCTGTGACCTCCCGCACCCCAGTCCTGGTGAATGGGTTGTGCTGATCCTGCCAGTGGCCAATCAGAACATGCCATGCCCCTGGTCATGGTGATTGGTTTGAGTATGGACATGTGACCTACTCTGGGCCAATGAGGATCTGCCCTGGGTTTTTAGTTGTTGTTGTTGGTGGTGGTGGTGGTTTTTTTTTTTTTTCAGATGGAGTCTTCCTCTGTTGACCAGGCTGGAGTGCAGTGGCACGATCTCAGCTCACTGCAACCTCTACCTCCCAGGTTCGAGTGATTCTCCTGCCTCAGCCTCCCAAGTAGCTGGGATTACAGGCATGTGCCACCACACCCGGCTAATTTTTGTATTTTTAGTAGAGACGGGGTTTCACCACATTGGCTAGGCTGGTCTCAAACTCCTGACCTCAGGTGATCAGCCTGCCTCAGCCTCCCAAAGTGCTGGTATTACAGTCATGAGCCACCGCCCCTGGCCTGCCCTGGGGTTTTGAGGGGACAGCTGGAATCCCACCCCACTTCATTGCTTTGGGGTGTTCTCATGCCAGGAAGAAAGATCAAACTTGGTGGTTACTCTTGGATCAAAAACCCCTTCCTGGAGAGGCAAAACGACTGATTCCAGAAAGCCCGAGGATCCAAACCCCCAATCCTTGGCTCTGGACACCTATCAAGTCCTCACCAGCAGGCTGGGGTCCCAGCCTCCCAGAACAGCAAATATTCGCTGAGGTGAACTGCATGCTCTGCTCTCACCCTTATTGCCCCTGACCTGTGAGAGAACAGGCTGGCTCAAGCTGGGTGAGGTTAGCCCACAGTAGACAAGGCTAGCCCAGCTGAAACGGAGCCAGCCCAGAGTAGTCTAGGCTAGCTCAAACTGGACAAAACCAGCCCATTGACAGCCTACAGTCATGTGACCAATACAAGGAAAACCTAAATAAGCACACACCTAGCTCAGAATGGACCAGGTTAGCCCTCCATAGACATGACCTCTATAGCCAAGAGGTTGCTGGCACTAGGATAACTCTGCTAATGCAAACAGACACCTCTGCCTGGTCAGAGCTCCCAAAGGGTCACACAAGAAACCACAGCCCTCTTTTCTGGGCAATCTGACCCTTCCCCGCCCCACTTCCCACCCTCTTCCCTAAGCCCTGTGTGGACTTACCAAAGCAACGGTGCCCATTGTCAGAGAGGACAAAGCCAGGTGGGCAGAGGCACTGGAAGCTCCCAGGGCTGTTGGTACAGGTGCCAAAGAGGCAGAGGTTGGGCTCCTCTGAGCACTCGTCGATATCTGGAAGGGCAGGGACATGAGCTGGGTGGGGGGCAAGTAGGACCTCCATCAGTGGGGAGAGGACTCAGCTGTGAGAAGGGACAGATGGAGTGCAGGTCCAGCCAGGGGCTGCAGTGGGGCTGGGGTCCTGAGAGCTCAGTATGAGCTTCAGCACGAGGTGGGCATTGTGTGTGCACGTAGGTCCTTCCCGGAAGGCATCTCCAGAGTAAAGGTCATGGTCAGGAATAGTTCATGATTGGAGACTGAAACTGCACATAGTACAACCTCTATGGAAAACAGTGTGGCGATTCCTTAAAGAACTAAAAGTAAGGCCGGGCGCGGTGGCTCATGCCTGTAATCCCAGCACTTTGGGAGGTGGAGGCGGGTGGATCACCAGGTCAGGAGATTGAGACTATCCTGGCTAACATGGTGAAACCATCTACTAACAATACAAAAAAATTAGCCGGGTGTGGTGGTGGGCGCCTGTAGTCCCAGCTATTCTGGAGGCTGAGGTAGGAGAATGGCATGAACCCGGGAGGCAGAGCTTGCAGTGAGCTGAGCTCATACCACTGCACTTGAGCCTGGGTGACAGAGCGAGACTCTGTCTCAAAAAAAAAAAACCAAAAAACTAAAAGTAGAACTACCATTCAATCCAGCAATCCTACTACTGGGTATCTACCCAAAGGAAAGTAAGTCATTATATGAAAAAGACACACGCACATGCATGTTTATAGCAACACAATTCACAATCGCAAAAATCTGGAGCCATCATATTTATAAATGCCCATCAGCCAACGAGTAGATAAAGAAAATGTGGTATATAATACACCATGGAATACTACTCAGCCACAAAATGGAACGAAATAGGCACAGTGGCTCACACCTGTAATCCCAGCACTTTGGGAGGCCAAGGCTGGTGGATCACTTGAGATCAGGAGCTGGAGACCAGCTTGGCCAACATGGTGAAACCCTGTCTCTACTGAAAATACAGAAATTAGCTGGGCATTGTGGCGGGGCGCACCTGTAATCCCAGCTACCAGGAGGGTGAGGCAGGAGAATCGCTTGAACCCGGGAGGTGGATATTGCAGTGAGCTGAGACTGTGCCACTCCAGTCTGGGTGACAGAGTGAGACTCCACCAAAAAAAAAAAAAAAAAAAAAAAAAAGGAACAAAATAATGTCCTTTGCAGCAACTTGGATGGGGCTGGAGGCCGTTATTCTAAGTGAAGTAACTCAGGAATGGAAAACCAAATATCGTATGTTCTCACTTATAAGTGGGAGCTAATCTATGAGGATGCAAAGGCATAATAATGATATAAAGGACTTTGGGGACCCCCAGGGAAGGATGGGAGGGGGGTGAGGGATAAAAGACTACATACTGGGTACAGTGTATACTACTTAGGTGACAGGTGCACCAAAATCTCAGAAATCACCACTGAAGAACTTATCCATGTAACCAAAAACCACCTGTTCCCCCATAACTATTGAAATTAAAATAAGAAAAAATAGAAAAAAAAAATTTAAACCTTAAAAAAAGAAAATTGCACAAAGCTAACTGAGACTGGATATATTTACCCTACACCGGACAGGGTTAACTCATGTTGTACTAAGCTAGCCCAAATAGAATAGATCAGAATAGGCCGGGCATGGTGACTCATGCCTGCAATCCCAGCACTTTGGTAGGCTGAGGTGGGAGGATCGCTTGAGGTCAGGAGTTTGACACCAGCCTGGCCATCATGGTGAAACCCCGTTTCTACTAAAAATACAAAAATTGGGCCTGGCGCAATGGCTCATGCCTGTAATCCCAGCACTTTGGGAGGCCAAGGCGGGCAGATCACGAGGTCAGGAGATCGAGAGCATCCTGGCTAACATGGTGAAACCCCGTCTCTACTAAAAATACAAAAAAATAGCCGGGCATGGTGGCGGGCGCCTGTAGTCCCAGCTATTTGGGAGGTTGAGGCAGGAGAATGGCGTGAACCTGGGAGGCGGAGCTTGCAGTGAGCCGAGATTGTGCCACTGCACTCCAGCCTGGGGGATAGAGTGAGACTCCGTCTCAAAAAAAATAAACAATTAGCCAGGCATGGTGATGAGTGACTGTAATCCCAGCTACTCAGGAGGCTGAGGCAGGAGAATCTCTTGAACCCGGGAGGTGGCGGTTGCAGTGAGCTGAGAGTGAGACTCCTCTCAAAACAAAACAAACAAAAAACAAACAAACAAACAAAACAAAACAACAACAAAAAAAGGATAGATCAGAAGAGCCCAGGCCAGACTGGTCCACGTTAGCTCAGGTTATACAAGGCTAGCCCAGATGGAAGCCTGGATCAGAGGTATTCAGGCCAGACTGGTTCAGGTTAGCCCAGGCTAGCCCATCTGCTCAAGCCAGACTGGTCCAGGTTAGACCACAGTGAACAAAGCAGCCCATCTGCTCAGCCCAGGCTGGTCCAGGTTAGCCCACACTCTCTGAGGCTAGTCCAAGTGGATAAATGGACCAAAGGAGATTAGGCCAGACTTGTTAGTCCAGACTGCATGAAATCATCTCTATGGGTGATTACACCGGTGAAGCTTAGGCCAGACTGGTCCTTGATCTCCAGTTAGCAAGTGAGGAGCTCTACATTTGGGTGCACTGAGAAACGGTGAGACCCCACACCCATGTCAATTTATAGGATTCATGAGGAAGCCTGTGGGCACTAGAGACAAAGTCCTGAGTGCAGAGTCCAGAAACAATCAGAATGACAATAATAGTTTATGAAGCTGTGTTTGACGCTGCGTTAAGTACATCTCCACCTTCATCACAACCCTAGCTGGTATTCCCATTTTATGGATGGAGAAAGAGAGGCACTCCCTGGCGCCAGAAACGGGAGTGGGGCTGGACACTCACCAATGCAGTGGTCACTCTGCACCTGGAAGCCAGGGGGACAGATGCAGCGGAAGGAGCCCTCGAGGTTCTGGCAAGTGCCGGGTAGGCAGGTTCCTGCAAGGCTGAGGCACTCATTGGTGTCTGTGAAAAGGAGGAAGAAAGGTCCTTGTGCCAGCCAGGATGCAGGGGGCTCACTTGGGACTGGGACCAACACCTGCAATCACTGTGTGATCACTGAGGGCCCCAGGACAAGCCCTCCCAGTGGCAATTCTGGCTCCAGGGCAAGGGCTGAGACTCAGGACGACAGGGACAGCTGGGGAAGGATTATCTGACTCTCGTGGGGTTATAGGTGGGGCAGATGGTGTCCAGTGGAAAGAGGTAGCAAGATTCCTAATCTGGCACCACCAGCAGATTCCTTCCATGGTATCTATTTAGCGCTTCTACTATTCTTTGCTTCTGGAAAGTTACATTTTCAAGACAGCCTCACCCTACACAACAAACCCCATACATAGAAACATAGGTTTGATGTGCTGATTTTATAATTATTTTATTTATTTATTTATTTTGAGATAGGATCTTTCCCTGTTGCCCAGGCTGGATGCGGTGGTGTGATCATAGCTCACTGCATCCTCAAACTCCTGGGCTCAAGTGATTCTCCTGCCCCAGCCTCCTGAGTAGCTAGGACTACAGGCAATAGCCACCACTCCTGGCTAATTTAAATTTCTTTGTAGAGACGAGGACTCACTATGTTGCCCAGGCTAGTCTCAAACTCCTGGCCTCAAGCAATCCTTCTGCCTCAGCCTCCCAAAGTGCTGGGTATTTTTTTTTTTAAATCTTAAAATAAATGCTTGGGTAGTAAATGGATCTATGCTCACCCAGAAGTACCAAACTGTGGTGTACATGGAGCAGGGGCTGGCTGAGATGCCTCCGAGCACCATAGGCAGACTCACCCACACAGTTCTTCCCATCAGCTGTGAGCTCAAAGCCATCCTGGCAGAGGCAGTGGAAGGAACCAGCTGTGTTGAGGCAATGGCCAAATCGGCACACCTGCCCCACCAGGGTAGTACACTCATCAAAATCTGTAGAGGGGAGATGGGCAGGCCAGTTCACCCACAAAACTTGAAGGGATCAAACCTTCCTTGTACTTCTGTCCACAACTGAGTTGAGCTGACAGCATTGGCTTCAACTTGAGCACTCATGTATAGACTATGTATATTAGCCTTCTACCTATCTTATGAGGTAGTTGCTGATATTTTCTAATATAACCATGTAATGCTATGAATTTGCCTCTAAGTGCCCCCTTAGCTGCATCCTATGTATTTTCATATGTTATGCTTTCATTTTCATTTTCTTTTACTTCAAAATATTTTCTAATTTTCCTTATGATTTATTTGACCTATGGATTATTTAGGAGTATGTTATTTAATTTCTAAATAATCGGGGACTTTCTGGGCATCTTTCTGTGGCCAATTTCTAGATTCACTTCCTTAGATTCTGAGAACCCACTTTGTGGCCAGCCTGCCACCTGAGCCGACTCACCCACACAATCCCCATTGTGTGTCACCACAAAGCCAGGGAAGCAGAGGCAGTTGTAGGAGCCAATGATGTTCTTGCAGGTCCCATTTCCACAAGGCTGCCGGTCACACTCGTCAATGTCTGCAGAAGCAAAGCCGAGAGCCCAACCCAGCTCACCCAGGGCATTGGGGAACTTGGGGAGTGAGAGGCCAGCTGGACCTAGCACTCCTCCCCTGCACCTAGCCCTGCCTAGATGACTGGGCAGTGACCCCTGGCGGTGATGGCTGGGAAGTACTCCTGGTATGATATATCACCCCCATTTTACAGATGGGAAAACTGAGGCACAGGGAGGCAGATCAACCATTTACCCAAGATCTTAATCTCAGGACCCAAACTTGGATCTCTTTGTGAACTAGGATGGACAGAAACACCACTTCCATCCCAGGGGAGGTTTAGACCCCAGGCAGCCTGGCTTGAAAAGGAGGGGGAAGATAAGGGTCTCACCCATGCACAGGGTCTGGTCTGCAGAGGCCTGGAATCCACGGTGACACAGACACATGTAGCTGCCTTCTGTGTCCATGCAGTCACCATGGCTACAGACATTCGGGATCTCCCGACACTCATTCCGTCCTGGGGGTGCAGAGAGCATGGTGTTCCCAGGGCTCCTACCACAGTGTTTGCCTGAGCTCTCCCTACTGCAATGGGGAAGCCAGAATCTGCCTTGAAGTTCCCCACTCAAACTTCCACCAGGGGCGTCAGGCTGTCTGCATGGACCTGAGCTCTCACCTCTATCACATCCTATTAACAGACACTCTCAATACATCCCCCACCCCCCTAATAGTATAGAAAAGGAGAAAGACCTGGACAGAGCCATACCCCATCTAAGTCCCCATGGGTGACAGAGCCCAGCTCCCTCACCTCCTCCCAGGGACCCTGCTCACCCACACAAGCCCCGCCTGGCGACAGTTTGTACCCTCGGGTGCACTTGCAGCGGTAGCTACCGGGGATGTTGATGCAGTCAGCATTCTGCTGGCAGGGACTCTCCCTGCTGCCACACTCATCGACATCTGGGAAAATACAGCAAATGAGGTGGGGGTGACAGAGAAGCCCATCCTGACAGAATCAAACGTGAAACCCAGTCCACTGCTTCGGAGCAGGTGGTTTCTCTGGAAGCAGCCAGAGCTGGAGTAAGGGTGGTTATATGAGATGGAGGCCCTTGGAAAGGTGTTAGCCCATTATACATACAGGGAAATGGAGGCTTACAGAGTTTTAGTTACTCGCCCAGATTGCACAGTGGCGGACATGCATCCCACCCAGGCCCCAGGGCTGGGAACAGGGAGAGGTGGCACCTTCACAAGCCAGCAGGATGCTGTTGTAGTTGAAGCCTGCGGGGCACTCGCAGCGGAAACTCCCGATCTGGTTTATGCAGATGCCATTGGCACAGATGGCGGGGATCTCCCCACACTCATCAATGTCTGCAGAAGGCATCTGCCATCAGGGGCAGCCCAGCCCCCTGGGACTTCCAGCGATGCTGAGCGAAGGGACCCACTAGCCCTGCAATCTGGTTGAGGCTGTTGTGGCCACAAACCAGCACACACTCAAGAAAATCTTGCTGTGACCAAAATACATCCGCTCACACCAGAAAGAGGTGAGGAGTGGGAGGAAAGACAAGAGCAGAGAGACTGTGTGTGTTTTTCTCAATTAAAAATACACACTTCCTGTGACCCAGCAACCCTGCTGGAAAGAAATGGCCTTAAGCGTAAGCAGGACAGCGGTATGAGATGCTATTTAGCAAGAAACTGGAAACATCAACTGATGAATGCAGAGCAAAATATGGGATGTCTGTACCATGGAATATTCTTCAGCCTTATTAAGGAGTAAAGCCCTGTAACATGTGACAATGTGGTTGAAACCTAAAATCATTCTGCTAAGAGAAGCCAGACATGAAAGAACAATATTGCATGACTCCATTTAAAGGAAATGTCCAGAAGTAGCAAATCAATAGAGACAGAAAGTCGATTTGTGGTTGCCAGGGGCAGAAGGGAGGGGCTAAAGGGAGAGACTGCTAATAGGCACAGGGTTTACTTTTGTGTGATGAAAATGTTTTAAACTTAGATTGAGGCGATGGTTGTGTAACACTGTGAATGTACTCAAAACCACTAAAGAGGGCACTTTAAATGGGTGAAGTGTGTGGTATGTGAATTATATCTCAATAAAGCTGTTATATATAAACAATCTAAATGTCCATCAGTAGGGGACTGGAAACAACCTAAGTGTCCATCAAAAGGGGACTTGAAAGAACCTAAGTGTCCATCAATGGGGGACTGAAAACAATATAAGTGTCCATCAGTAGGGGACTGGAAACAAACTAAGTGTCAATCAATGGGGGACAGGAAACAACCTAAGTGTCAATCAATGGGGGACTGGAAATAACCTAAGTGCCCATCAATAGGGGACGGGAAACAACCTAAACAGGCATCAGTGGGGGACTGGAAACAAACTAAGTGTCCATCAGTGGGGGACTGGAAACAAACTAAGTGTCCATCAGTGGGGGACTGGAAACAAACTAAGTGTCCATCAGTGGGGGACTGGGAACAAACTAAGTGTCCATCAGTGGGGGACTGGAAACAACCTAAATATCCATCAGTGGGGGACTGGAAACATACTAAGTGTCCATCAATGGGGGACTGTGATGAAAATGTTCTTTTTGTGTGATGAAAATGAGTTCTAAACTTATACTGAGGTGATGGTTGCATAACTCTGTGAATGTATTCAAAACCACTAAACAGGGCACTTTAAATGGGTGAAGTGTGTGGTATGTGAATTATCTCTCAATAAAACTGTTATAAACAATATAAGTGTCCATCCAAAGGGGACTGGAAACAATCCACCTATCTATCAATAGGGGACTGGAAACAATCCAAGTGTCCATCAAAAGGAGATCTGAAACAACCTAAGTGTCCATCAGTGGGGGACTGGAAATTACCTAAGTTCCCATCACTGGGGGACCTGGGATGTATCTGCACCATGAAACACTTTTAGGCAGGGCAAAGAGAGAGGCTGCACAGCAGATAGTAACCTGGCCGGTTCTTCAAGACACAATTTGGACGAAAAAAGCAAGTTGTAACCAACATGTCAAGCATTACATCATTTACGTAAAATGCCCCAGAAACCAATGTCATATATTTTCAGTGGGGGACCTATTATGTAATGAAGGAAGAAAAAACTAGAAAGAAATATTCCAGCCATAAAGCATAAGAACGTCCAGAGAGGGAGAAAAGAGACAGAGTTGAGGTGATGACTGGAGGAGAAGTGGGTTTTATTTGTCATGGTTTGATTTTTTTTTTTTTTTTTTTTTTGCAACGGAGTCTTGCTCTGTCGCCCAGGCTAGAGTACAGTGGCACGATCTCGGCTCACTGCAAGCTCCATCTCCTGGGTTCACGCCATTCTCCTGCCTCAGCCTCCCGAGTAGCTGGGACTACAGGCGCCCGCCACCACGCCCGGCTAATTTTTTGTATTTTTAGTAGAGACGGGGTTTCACCTTGTTAGCCAGGATGGTCTCGATCTCCTGACCTCGTGATCCGCCTGCCTCGGCCTCCCAAAGTGCTGGGATTACAGGTGTGAGCCACCACGCCCGGCCGCCATGGTTTGATTTTTTTAAAAAATAAGGAGAATATATTCAGAGGATTAAAACAAATGAAAATGAATTCATCAGTTAAACACTGCATAGTTGACATTTGGGATGCAGGTGTTAAATTATGCAATACGTTGTTAAAAAGGGAGTATTCTGGCCAGGCTCAGTGGCTCACACCTGTAATCCCAGCACTTTGGGAGGCTGAGGTGGGTGGATCACCTGAGATCAGGAGTTCGAGACCAGCCTGACCAACATGGTGAAACCCTGCCTCTATTAAAATACAAAAATTAGCCAGGCATGGTGGCAGGTGCCTATAATCTCAGCTACTCGGGAGGCTGAGGCAGGAGAATCGCTTGAACCCAGGAGGCAGAGGTTGCAGTAAGTTGAGATAGTGCCATTGCACTCCAGCCTGGGCAACAAGAGAGAAACTCCATCTCAAAAAAAAAAAAAAAGGGCATGGAGCAATTTGACACAAACTGCAACACGGATGCACCTTGAGGACATCATGTTCAGTGAAATAAGCCTGACACAAAACAACAAATCCTACGTGGTTCCACTCACAGGAGGTCCCTAGAACCGTCAGATTCACAGAGTCAGAAAGTAGAATGGTGGGTTCCAGGGACTGAGGGGGATGGGGAGTGAGAGTTTCATGGGGACAGAGTTTCAGTGGGAGGAGATGAGAAAGTTCCGGATGGTGATAGTTGCAAAACAGTGAAAGTGTACTTAATGCCACTGAACTGCACACTAAAAATGGTTCAAATGATACTTTCTCGGAGACAAAAAAAAAAAAGTCTTACTCTATCCCTCAGGCTGGAGTGCAATGGCGAGATATCGGCTCACTGCAACCTTTGCCTCCTGGGTTCAAGCAATTCTCATGCCTCAGCCTCCCGAGTAGCTGGGATTACAGGCATGCACCACCATGCCCAGCTAATTTTTGTATTTTTAGTAGAGACACGGTTTCACCATGTTGGCTAGGCTGGTCTCAAACTCCTGACCTCAGGTGATCCACCCACCTCGGCCTCCCAAAGTGCTGGGATGACAGGCATGAGCCACTGTGCATGGCTCGAATGGTAAATTTTATGTTGCATATATTTTACTATCATTTTAAAAAATGGATAATGGTTTAATAAAAATAGTGTCATTCTTTTTTTAAAAAGAAGTGTTATTGAGGGCAGGATTCCTGGGGAGTTGGAGGTGTGTGGAGCGAGGAGGAGGGGAGGATGGAGGAGTGGATGTAAGGAAAAGAGCTGTTGAGGAGGGGAGGGGTGGGAGGAAGCAGACCCAGGTGGATGGGTGCCCAGGGATAGAGCAGGGACCACTCACTCACCAAGGGGCTTCCCCGTGTGGATGTCAGTGAGGAATCCCGGGGCCTGATTTCCACACAGGATCTGGTAGTCAGCTGCGCAAAGGGGAACAAAGCTGAGTCTGGGGCTGCAGGCCTGACCCCAGCCCGCTCCCAATCTGGAGGGGACACCTCATCCCTGGAGCCCAGCCCTCACCTGGCCACCTTGAACTTTTTTTGCTCTCCCCACCCTTTCCCTCCTTCCACTTATTTAATTTAATTTTTTTGAGACAAAGTCTCGTTCTGTCACCCAGGCTGGAGTGCACTGGTGCAATCACGGCTCACTGCAGCCTTAACCTCCCAGGTTCAGGTGACCCTCCCACCTTAGCCTCCCAAGTAGCTGGGATTACAGGCGTGAGCCACGACGTCTGGTTTTTAAAGCCACCTAGTTTGCAGTAATGTTTTGCAGCAGCTCTGGGGAATGAATACAGCTATAAGCCCCTAGAAGTCCCCTTCCCATCACTGTCCCATTCCTGCAGCTCCTCCTGGTGCCTGGGCTGGCTGCTAGATCATTCCAACAGGACTCATTCCTGCTGTCAACACACTCTGTTCAGTCCTGCCTCCAGGCCTTGGCTCCTGCTGTGCCCCTGCCTAGAACGCCTTCCCTCATCCTGACCGATGTTCCCATCAGGGTCCCAATCTTGGCTCTGAGCTTCTCCAGGTCTGCCCCTTCCCCAGCCCAGGAGGTCTATGGTATCTCTAACCAGCTGTGCTTTCCTCCCTGGCCTGGGACATTTACCGACCCCCTCCCACCCTATCCCAGCCCAGGAGGTCTATGGTATCTCTAACCAGCGGTGCTTTCCTCCCTGGCCTGGGACATTTACCGACCCCCTCCCACTTTATCCCAGCCCCAGCTACTCCTGTGAATCTTCAAGGGCCTTTCCCACCAATGAAAACTCCATTGATCCATCCTGAATTCTCGAAATCTGCAAAATGGAAGAAAAGCTGCCTTGCTCACTTTAAAATATTGCCTTCCATACATGGGGACTGACACAGTTTGGCTGTGTCCCCACCTAAACCTCAACTTGAACTGTAGCTCCCATATCCCCACATGTCACGGGAGGGACCCGGTGGGAGGTAACTGAGTCATGGGGGTGGGTCTTTCCCATGCTATTCTCGTGATAGTGAATAAATCTCGTGAGATCTGACAGTTTTATAAAGGGCAGTTCCCCTGCACGCGCTCTCTTGCCTGCCACCATGTAAGACGTGCTTTTGCTCCTCCTTCACCTTCTGCCATGATTGTGAGGCCTTCCCAGTTATGTGGAACTGCGAGTCCATTAAAGTCCTCCTTTTTTTTTATTTTTTTATTTTTTTTTTGAGATGGAGTCTTGCTCTGTCACCCAGGCTGGAGCGCAGTGGCATGATCGCGGCTCACTGGAAACCCCACTTCCCGGGTTCAAGCGATTCTCTTGCCTCAGCCTCCCAAGTAGCTGGGATTACGGGCCTGCGCCACCACACCCAGCTAATTTTTTTGGTATTTTTAGTAGAGACAGGGTTTCACTGTGTTGGCCAGGCTGTTTTCGAATGCCTGACCTCAAGTGATCCACCCGCCTCGGCCTCCCAAAATGCTGGGATTATAGGTGTGAGCCACCACACCCAGCCAAACCTCTTTTTCTTTATAAATTACCCAGTATCCAGTATTTCTTCACAGCAGTATGAGAATGGACTAATAGAGGGACAAAACTTCAACTCTCTGGCTCTCATCAGAACAAGGAGGATTAATCTAAGAACCCTAAGGGCACTGTGTTTCCTTAACCATTATGCTAGGAGGGGCCAGGCTGGGAAGAAGGTTGGGGAGGGTTACTCACGACTGATGGGAGTGGGGCAGGCCTCACAGGGTCTATTCCAGGCCTGGCCAATGTTGTAGGAGCAGCAACACATTTTCCGGGTCACGTTGAAGGCCAGCTCATTTTGACATGTGCCGTTATAGTGCCGGAAGCAGACACTCTTCCTCATATCTGTAGTTGGCACAAAGGAGAAGAATGTGGGTAAGGGTCACCTAAATCAGTGGAAGAGGGAGCCAAAGAGATAGGAACTCCTTAACTGATTCATTTGAAGATTACTGGCTTGTCCAGGCACAGTGGCTCATGCCTGTAATCCCAGCACTTTGGGAGGCGGAGGCGGGCGGATCACTTGAGGTCAGGAGTTTGAGACCAGCCTGGCCAACATGGTGAAACCCTGTCTCTACTAAAAATACAAAAATTAGCTAGGTGTGGTGGCACACGCCTGTAATCCCAGCTACTTGGGAGGCTGAGGCAGGAGAATCGCTTGAACCTGGGAGGTGGAGGTTGCAGTGAGCCGAGATTGTGCCACTGCACTCCAGCCTGGGTGACAGAGTGAGACTCTATCTCAAAAAAAAAAAAAAAAAAAGATTACTGGCTGGCTTGATTGGCTTGATGTCTCTCCCCCAACACACTTGGGGGATCCATTCACTTTTTTCAGCCTTTTTTGAGCAGTGCACAACCTGAGCAACTGTTCATGGCAGCTCTGGGCTCCTGAGTCCTGCAGCTTTGTTTACTGCCACATGTCAGCACTTCATATATGCTTACCCTCCCTCTCCATAGGCTTGAAGGCTCCCAGCAGTTCCTCCCATGCCCAGGTGCTGCTTCTGTGACTGCCAGTTCCCTAGGTCATCACGCTTCTTACCCATGCAGTTGTTGCCACCATTGACTTGGAGGTACTCTGCAGGGCAGACACAGGTGTAGTTCCCCAGGGTGTTGTAGCAGGTGCCAGGGCCACAGATGCCGGAGTGTGTGGAGCATTCGTCAATATCTGCAGGGAAAGAAGGGGTGGAGGGGAACAGTGGGCAGCGTCCAGGAATTGTCTGAATAACTCCACTCCAGAGACCCAGCAAGGCCACTTCACCAGGGACCTAAGTTTGGTTTCAAAATCAGTTTAAAACGCACACACATCTTAGTGATGAAGAAAGCTATAATATGGGCTGGGCATGGTGGCTCATGCCTGTAATCTGAGCACTTTGTGATGCTGAGGTGGGAGGATCATTTGAGCCCGGAGTTCGAGACCAGTCTGGGCAACATAGCAAGACCCCATCTCTACTAAAAATTTTAAAAAATTAGCTGGGCATGGTGGTGCATGCCTGCAGTCCCAGCCACTTGGGAGGATCACTTGAGTCCAGGAGGTTAAGGTTGCAGTGAGCCGTGATCACGCCTCTGCACTCCAGCCTGGGTGCAGAATGAGATCCTGGCTCTAAAAAACAAACAAACGAACAAAAACAATATGACATTAAGTGAAAAAAAAAAAAAAAAAACATTTACAAGCTGGATGCAGTGGCTCATGCCTATCATCCCTGCTTTGGGAGGCCAAGGCAGGAGGATCATTTGAGGTCAAGAGTTTGAGACCAGCCTGGGCAACATAGTGAGGTCCCATCTCTACAAAAAATGAAAATTTAGCTGGGCATGGTGGCACACGCCTGTGGTCCCAGCTACTTGAGAGGCAGAGGTGGGAGGATCACCTGAGTCCAGGAGGTCAAGACTACAGCAAGCTGTGATTACACCACTGCACTCCAGCCTGGACAACAGAGTGAGACACTGGCTCTAAAAAAAAAAAAAAAAATTCCTAAAAATAAAGTTGATGATGATACTGCTTCTATTAGGAACAAAATGACCTGAGTTCATGAGTCAGTTTTATAATCACCAAGAAAGGATCATCCATGTCTTCCTAATATGATATGATAGGAATCAAGGACCTTATGGATAAAGTATTCTTGGGGGAAAAAAATTGATTCTCAATCTGGTCATTACTCTAGTCCAGGGGTAGTAAGCTTTTTCTGTAAAGGGCCAGAACATTTTGGTTTTGCGGGCCAAACTACAGTGTGCCATGATTATTCAATCTGCCAATGTAGCAAGAAAGCAGACACAAACAATATGCAAACACACTGTGGCACTGGCTGTGCTCCAAGGAAATTTTATTTATGGACCCCTGAAATTTGAATTTTATATAACTTTCTTTTCTTTTCTTCTTTCTTCCTTCTTCTCTTTCTTTCTTTCTTCTCTTTCTTTCTCTCTCTTTCTCTCTCTTTCTTTCTTTTATTTTTTTTGAGACAGAGTCTCACTCTGTTGCCCAGGCTAGAGTGCAGTGGCCTCATCTTGGCTCACTGCAACCTCCGCCTCCCAGGTTCAAGTGATTCTCCTGCCTCAGCCTCCCGAGTAGCTGGGACTATAGGCATGTGTCACTATGCCCGGCTAATTTTTGTATTTTTAGTAGAGATGGGGTTTCACTATGTTGGCCAGGCTGGTCTCGAACTCCTGACCTCGTGATCTGCCCACCTCGGCCTCCCAAAGAGCTGGGATTACAAGCATGAGCCACTGTGCCCAGTCTTTTTTTTCTTTTTTTTTTTTTTAAGACAGGGTCTCGTTCTGTCACCCAGGCTGGAGTACAGTGGCACAATCACGGCTCACTGCAGCCTCGACTTCCGAGGCTCAAGTGATCCTCCTGCCTCAGCCTCCCAAGTAGCTGGGATTACAGGCGTGAGTCACCATGCCCAGCTATTTTTTTAATTTTTTGTAGAGACAAGGTTTTGCCATGTTGCCCAGGTGGGTCTTAAACTCCTGGCCTCAAGCAATCCTCCCACTTCAGCCTCCCAAAGTACTGGGATTACCAGCTTGAGCTGCCACGCACCCAGCCTTGAATTTCATATAATTTTCATGTGTCACAAAATGTTATTCTTCTTTTGGTTTTTTCAACCGTTGAGAAAAGTGTAATAAAGTATTCTTAGCTAGCAGGCAAAAATAGGTAGTGGAATATTAGCATGGTAAGAGTGATGTCACCAAAAATAGCAGAGCAGGGAACTCCAGGGCTCCATTCCTCCACAAAAGCAACTATTGAGCTGGCAAAACAGACAAAAATAAACTTTTGCAGAACTCTGGAATCAGTCAAAAGCTTACAACATCCAGACAAAGATATGGTGAAGAAGGAAGCTGCTGTACTTCATAAGGGAGTGTCGTGGCATTTTAAAGGGTCTATCTACCATCCCCCACACCACAGATCCACAGCAGCCATGAACATCTTAAAGGCAGCAAGAGAGAACTGACAGATCATGACAAAAGAGGAGGCAGGGGGCAGAAGCCTTTCCATGAGGCCTTCCCTCCTCTACCCTTGTGAGGCTTGGCAGGGCAGGAAGGCAGGGAGAGAGCGGAAGAGCCTGACCCACCCCAAAGAGAATCCATGCTCACCCTCACAGATGCGGGTGTGCTCACTGAGGTGGTAGCCAGGTGGGCACTCACACTGGAAACTGCCAAACGTGTTGACGCAGTCACCCCCCTGACACAGCCCTGGCAGCTCTTGGCACTCGTCGATGTCTGTCAGGAAGTAAGGAAGCCAAGCTTGGGAGCTAAACCCATGCAGAGGACTTAAGGGGCACCCACACCATGCTCTGGGTTCTCCAGGGCCCTCTCGAGGATCCCCAAGTGCTGTCCATGACTGATAGACATTTAAAGGGTCTATCTTGATGGCTGGACACAGATTCTCTTGAGTTAATGTTACCCTAAATTCAACTCCATTCCCTTCATCTGTTAGTCCATTCTCCCATCCACCACATAGTTTCCTCTAGATAGAGAAATAGATAGTTTTCTTCCTCTAGATGGAGAATAGTCTTCTCCAACCTTGTCACTCCCTATAGAAAGGATGGATGGGAGGATGGATGAATGGATGGATGAGTGGATGGATGCATGGATATGAAACAGTGGATGGGTAAATAAGCAAGTGGGTCAATGAATAAGATGATGAGTGAGTGGATGGATAGGAAGGTGGATGGATAGGTGAGTAGACAGGCAAATGAGTGAATGGGTGGATAAGTGGATGGATGGATGGATGGATGAATGGATGAATAGATGGGAGATAGAAGATGGATGGAAGGGTGGATGAATGGGGGAATAGAAAGGGAGTAGGGAACGGGTGGATGGGAAATGGGTGGATGGATGAGTGGATGGATGGATGTATTGAGGATGGATGGGTGAATGGGGGATAGATGGATGGGTGAATAGATGGATAGAAGAATGAGAGATAGGTGGGTGGGAGATGGATGGATGGGAGAGTGGGAAATAGGTTAATGGATGGGTGAATGCGGGCTAGATGAAGGATGGGGGGTGGATGGATGGGTGAATGGATGGATACAAGGATAGCAGAGGGATGAGTGATGAATGGATGAATGGGTGGATGGGGCATGGTTGGATGGAAGGATGGAGGGATGGATGGAAGGATGGATGAATGGAAGGATGGATGAATGGGTAGATAAAGGATAGTTGGATGGAAGGAAGGATAGATGAATGGGTAGATGGGGGATGGTTGGGTGGAAGGATGGATGGATGGAAGGATGGGTGGATGGAAGGATAAATGGACAGAAGGAGGGGGGATGGATGAAAGGATGGAGGATAGATGAAGGATGGGGGATAAATGGGTGAATGGATGGATAGAAGGATAGGAGGGGAATAAGTGGGGGGATGGATGAATGGGTAGATGGAGAATGGTTGGATGGGTGGAAGGATGAATGGATGAAAGGATGAGTGGAAGGATAGATGAATGGATGGATGGTCGAGTGGAAGGATGGATGGATGGATGGATGGATGGATGAATGGATGGAAGGATGAGTGGAAGGATGGATGAATGGATGGATGGTCGGGTGGAAGGATGGATGGATGGATGGATGGATGGAGGGATGAATGGACAGAAAGATGGGGGATAGATGAAGGATGGGGAATGAATGGTTGACTAGATGGATGGATAAAAGGATAAGAGAGGGATGAGTGGAGGATGGATGAATGGGTAGATGGAGGATGGTTGAATGGAAGTATGGAAGTATGGAAGGAAGAATGGATGGAGGATGGCTGGATGGAAGGATGTATGGATGTACTGGATGGATGGAAAAAATGGAAGGATGGATGGATGGATGGATAGATGGATGAATGGCTGGATGGATGGGTAGAAGGATGGATGAATGGATGGAAGGATGGGTGGATGGAAGGATAAATGGACAGAAGGATGGAGGATGAATGGAAGGATGGGGGACAAATGAAAAGATCAATAAACCAACAAGTGGAAGAAATGGCTGAAAGAACAGATAAAAAAAATTAAACACAAACTAAAAGCATAGTGTGGTCCTGCTGCTCAGCCTCCAGGTGGAAAGATCTGCCCCATCCCAGGACAAAACTACTCAACTCTACACTTTGGTGAGGTGGGGATGAGAGAAAAGTCAGTCTCTAGGCAGACAGATGGATGGATGATCTGCCAGGAACTCACCTTCCAGAATGACAGTGATGCGGTTAGGCTGGAAGCCCTCACCACCCGGGCACAGGGTTCTGTACTCAGCTGTAAAGGGAAACAGGCTCCTGTGAGGTGGGGTATTGGGGCAAAGCTTAGGGGAAACAGGGGAGCAACAGCAGGAAGCCTGAAAAGGGCTCAAGAGTGGGCTCCCATCCTTCTACTGTACTAACGACATCCCCATATCTCTTTAGCCTCTTGGGGCCAAGAGACTTTGGCCAGTCCTGGGGCTGCTTGCGTGTGTGTGTGCATGTGCGTGTGCATGCGTGTGTGTGTGTAAATGTGGGTTCCCATTCAACATGTGAGCAGAGTTATGTGGTAGTGGCTGGGGGTAGGAGGGAGAGAAGATTATTCCTTCTGATCCAAAACCATATCCTAGTGTAACTGCAAGTTTTCCCCATGCAAGGAAGACCTTGGACATTCACACACGCATACACCTGAATAGGTGGACAGGTACCTCCCTGTTTCACACCTGAGGCCTTTGCACATACTGTTCTCACTGCATTGCACATCATTCCCCCTACTCTGCTAGGAAAACTCCTACACATCCTTCAAAACCTCACTCAAGCCTCCTCCCCTGGAAAGCCTTCCCCAGAGCTTTCACTTCCCCACAGCTTTCTCCTGAGCTATGGGTATGCCTCAAAGAAAACCCTTAGGACAGTTCTACTCTCACAGTCCTGAAACTGTTGATTTAAGGGTGAGGGAGAAGCAGCGTGCAGAGGCTGTGGCTCATCCTTCTCTGAGTCCCCAGTCCCCAGCACATGACACAGAGGAACTCTCAATATTTGTTGACTGACTGAGTGATCAAGTGACTATAAACACAGAGAATTTACAGAAAGCGACCTTGGAGAGAGGCCCAGCCAATGAACTACCAAGACGTACACTGTGTGACCCAGGATGAGCCCCTCTCCTCCCCCAGTTCTTGGTTTTCCTGTCGCCTAAGCCCCCCACCACCGCCATTAGCAGAGGTGACCCCCTAAGCTCCCGGGCCTCGGTGGCTTAGGTCACGGTGTTCAACTGCCCCGCAGGGACTCACTGGTGTTGGCCATAGGGCACAGCTCACAGGGATTGCCCCAAGCCCGGCCCAGGGAGCAACAGCAGGAAGCTCGGGTGACACCAACTCCGATCTCGGCACTGCAGGAAATGCCACTGTCCCCTCGGTCATGCGTCTCCAGGAAACAGTTCCCGGCCCGAGTGTCTGAACAGGCAGAAGGGGATGGTTAGTAGGTGTCAGAGGGAAAGCTGTATGTGTGCGTGTGCATGCATGTGTCTATTTCAACAGGTGACAAGGACAACCACTCTTGCAGGAGACCAGCAGATGTCCCGTTTGTCAGGAGCAGGTAGATTTGAACACGTTGACATCTGAGTTAACCCAGTGGGGCAATCCCACCCACCTCTGCTGACCCCAGAACCCTGATCTGGAGTTGAGCATGGACTCACCCACGCAGCCCACTCCGCTGGGGTTCAGCTCAAAATCCTGGGGGCAGCTGCAGAGGTAGCTGCCGGGGGTGTTAATGCACACGCCGTTGATGCAGTTTACTGGGTCTGCACACTCGTTGATGTCTGTAGGGAGGAAGCGCGGTCCTCAGCAGGGAGCCCCTTCCTCGGCCCCCCTCCCTCCTAGCTTCATCCTGGGAAGCTACAGCCCTCGCTCAAGGTCAACTCCTGGGCACCAGATTGTGGGACAATGTCATGTCCTTCCCTGGGAAGAAACCTAAGGGGACAGGAGCCTCCAGTCTGTCCTGTCCCCTCCAACCCCATTCCCTCTCCTGCTCTGTTCTGCCTGGCAGAGTTTTGTTCATTGAACTCTACCTGCCCTGGGTTCCATGCAGTCAACATATGAAAATCATATCTATTTTATTTCCGTAATTTATTGATGTTTAGAGACAGGGTCTTGCTGTGTCGACCAGGCTGGAGTGCAGTTGCACAATCACGGCTCACTGCAGCCTCAAACTCCTGGGCTCAAGCGATCCTTCTGCCTCAGCCTTTGGAGTAGCTGGGACTACAGGTGTGCACCACAATGCCCAGCTAATTTTTTATTTTTACTTTTTAGAGATGAGGTCTCGCTATGTTGCTCAGGCTGGTCTCCAACTCCTGGCCTGGAGTGATCCTCCCACCTCAGCCTCCCAAAGTGCTGAGATTATGGGCATGAGCCACCACTCCCAGCCAAAACCCATATATAGAAAATACTTTCAAACCATGGGTTAGCAAATTCCAACCTGTAGGTCAAATCCGGTCCACCACCTGTTTGTGTCAATAAAGTTTTATTGGTACAGGGGCCACATTCATTCATTTACATATTGCTTGTGGCTGCTTTTGAGCTACAATGGCAGAGTTGAATCATTGTGACAGAGACTGACTGTGTGGCCTGCAAAGCCAAAAATATTTACCACCTGCCCATTTCTAAAACACACAGAGGTAGGAGACCCTTTCAGCAGCTAGCGTGGAGGGGCCACTTCAATCACAGAACTTATTTAGCAGGCGAACAGGAACGGGAAATGATGGGGACATCAGGCAAGGCGCCCCCCACCCCCCAGCAAGACTGCAGGGGAGGATGCTTGAAAAGAGATCTGAGGGCAGTGAGGGAGTGAGCCATGTCCCCTGCCCCAACTCCTGCTCTCTCCTCTCCCCTTCCAGCCCAGATGACCTCACACCTGTGCAGTTGCCACCCCCTCGGTCCAGTTCGTAGCCACCATTGCAGATGCAGCGGAACATTCCAGGCAGGTTCTCACAGCTCCCAAATGCACAGAGGTTCCCTTGCGCACACTCGTCCACATCTGCGGGGACCCTGGGTCAGCCTGCCCCACCCAGAGTCTGCAGGGGGGACCTACCCACTCTGTCCTCTGCCCTGGCGGGCCCAACCTTACCCTGGCAGGCCCGGTGGTCCTCGGTGGGGTCAAAGCCCATCTCACATTCACAGCGGTACCCGCCGGGCGCATTGAGGCACTGCCCGTTGTCACAGAGGTCCACGTTCTCGGCACATTCATCCCTGTCTGAGGGGCCCCAAGATTCGGAGGGCTGGAGGCCGGTGGACCAGGACCCACACAGGGTGGGCAGGAGGCCCCAGTCACTGGAACACTTCGCTGTCAGCCAGAGTCCCAGGCAAGTAGCCCTGGGGACTCAGTCCCTGACTTGGGGGTGGGAGGCGAGTGACCGAGGCAGGGACAGGGAGGGGAGAGGTGGTCTGGACTCTTGGACTCCAGAGAGGGGACCCAGTCTCTCTGGATCCAGGGAGGAGGGCAGCCAGGAAGGAAGCGTCTCATGCACTTAAGTGTTCAAGGGAGCCGTGGGCAGGCCGCAGCACCGCCTGGGCCGAGGACACAGCCTCTCCAGCACCCACAGAGCGGCGATTGAGTCAGAAGGAGTCAGGAGGTCGAGTGACCATGGCAGCCACCGTGAATTCAGCCCCCGTGGCTGTCCCTCTAGGGCCCCTGCCCTCCCACCCCTCTAATCTCACCTTCGCAGAAGAAGCCATCCCCGGCAAAGCCCTGGCGGCAGGTGCAGCGGTAGGAGCCAGGGACATTGAGACAGTCACCTCTTGGGCTGCACCGGTGCTCCTGGGAGACGCATTCATCCAGGTCTGCAGGAGATGGAGCCCAGACCCCCCACCCCATGGTGTGTGCATTGGGTGGGCGCAGAAGGGAGAAAGACCCATCAACCCTCCAACCCTGACTGCCCCCCTGCAGACACTCCCGGATCCCACCCTCCCACTGCCTTGCCCCCCACCGCCTTGCCCCCCACCTACCTCTACTGCTTTGCCCCCACTCCCTGCCCCCAGGTACTCACCGTGACATTCGAAGCCATCCCCCACCCAGCCTGGCAGGCACCTACAGCTGAAACTCCCCGGGATGTTGAGACAGGAGGCGTGACTGTCACAGTTGTGTCCTCCAACCTCGCATTCATCCACATCTAAAGGGAGAGGAGGCACGACGCCAAGACCCAGTCACAGAAGGAAAGACTCGATGCAATAGCAGCGGAAAGGGCAGGGACTCTTCCTCTCTAGGGGAGAGCTGGCCCAGAAAGCCTCCTCCCATTCACCTGGGGAGCTTCCATCTTTACCCAGAGCCCAAGAGGAAAACCCCGAAACCCAACAGACATGACTCTCAGCAGCCCTCAGAAATGGCCTGAAATAGCAGCATGAAAGACTTGGGGTAGATATTAAGAGTGACTGTCCAGCCGGGTGCGGTGGCTCACGCCTGTAATCCCAGCACTTTGGGAGGCCGAGGCGGGTGGATCACGAGGTCAGGAGATCGAGACCATCCTGGCTAATGCGGTGAAACCCTGTCTCTACTAAAAATACAAAAAAAAAATTAGCCAGGCGTGGTGGCAGGTGCCTGTAGTCCCAGCTACTCAGGACGCTGAGGCAGGAGAATGGCGTGAACCCGAGAGGCGGAGCTTGCAGTGAGCAGAGGTTGTGCCACTGCACTCTAGCCTGGGCGACAGAGTGAGACTCCGTCTCAAAAAAATAAATAAATAAAAAAATAAAAAAGTGACTGTCCGTATGAACACGCCCCTTTTCCAAGCCAGGATTTCCCTGTCCACCAGCATTTCCAATCCAGAGTCAATTATGCCTCACCCTTATGATCTCTGCCATGTTAAACCTTGGTGAGCTGCTGTTACTAAACATTTCTTTCCCACACTTCTGTTTTCCCTGACATAAATTGTGTTTTAAAAGACAATTTTGGATCAACATCAACAACCTCTAAGAAGTCATAGGCTTGATGCTCTGTTATGTAACACTTGTTTCTAATACACATTAAAATAACCATGTAACTGGAGTGGATAGAATTGTGTCCCCTTAAAAGGTATGCTCAAGTCCTAAACCCTGAAACTGGTGAATGTGACCTTATTTGGAAACAGGGTCTTCGTAGATGTAACTAAGTTAAGATGAGGTCATCCCGGATTAGTGTAGGCTCCCATCCAGTGATGAGTGTTCTTTTGAGAAGGCTGTGTAGCCAGATGCAATGGCTTACACCTGTAATCCCAACTACTTGGGAGGCCAAGGTGGGAGGATCGCTTGAGGCAAGGAGTTTGAGACGAGGTTGGGCAACATAGTGAGAACCTGTTTCTACAAAAACACTTTTTTTTCCCCCTGAGGCATGGTTTCACTCTGTCACCCAGGCTGGAGTGCAGTGCAATGGTGCAATCATAGCTCACTGCAGCCTGGATCTCCTGGTCTTAAGCAATCCTCAGCCTCTTGAGTAGCTAAGACTACAGGTGAGCGCCAGCATGCCTGGCTATTTTTTAAAATTTTTATCTCAAACACCTGAGCTCAAGAATCCTTCCACCTCAATCTCCCAAAGTGCTGGCATTACAGAAATGAGTCACCATGCCTGATCAACAAACACTTTTTTAAAAATTAGCCCAGCTTGGTGGCATGCACCTGTAGTCCCAGATACTCAGGAGGCTGAGGCTGGGAGGATTGCTTGAACCCAGGAGTTTAAGGCTATGAACTAGTTCATGAGCTATGATCACACCACTGCACTATAGCCTGGGCGACACAGCGAGACCTCATCTTTACAAATTAGATACTACTGGGTGCAGTGACTCGTGCCTGTAATCCCAACAAATTGGGAGGCCGAGGCAAGAGGATTACTTGAGTCCAGGAGTTCAAGACCAACCCGGGCGACATAGTAAAACACTATCTCTACAAAAAAAAAAAAAAAAATTAGCTGAGTGTGGCGGCACGTGTGGGAGGCTGAGGTGGGAAGATCACCTGAGCCTGGAGAGGTGGAGGCTGCAGTGAGCTATGATTGTGTCACTGCACTCCAGCCTGGGAGACAGAGTGAGACACTATCTCACAAAAATAAATAAATAATAAATAAAATGTAAAACATGAAAAATAAAAAAAAATAGATACACAGAGAGAAGAAGGCCGTGTGAAGATGGAGACAGAGACTGGAATGACACATCTACAAGCTGAGGAACAGCAAGGAGGCATGGAACACTTTCTGCCTCTGAGCCCCCAAGAAGGTACTAACCCTGTAGACACCTTGATTTCAGACTTCTGGCTTCCAGAACTATTATTCTAGAAGGAGAATCAATTTCTTTTTAATTAAAAAAAAGTTTGTTTTTTTGAGATGGAGTCTTGCTCTGTGGCCCAAGCTGGAGTGCAGTGGTGTGATCTTGGCTCACTGCAACCTCCGCCTCCTGGATTCAAGTGATGCTCCTGCCTCAGCCTCCCAAGCAGCTGGGATTACAGGCGTGCGCCACCACGCCCAGCTAATTTTGTATTTTTAGTAGTGACGGGGTTTCACCATGTTGGCCAGGCTGGTCTCAAACTCCTGACCTCAGGTAATCCACCCACCTCAGCCCCCAAAGTGCTGGGATTACAGGTGTGAGCTACCCTGCCCAGGCTAATTTTTAAAATTTTTAATATAGATGGGGTTGCTGTCTCTATTAATGTTGCCATATGGCCGTGTTGTGATGTATCCATGTCACCCAGGCTGGTCTCGAACCCATGGGCTCAAGCAGTCCTCCTGCTTTGGCCTCCCAAAGTGCTGGGATTACAAAAGTGTGAGCCACTGCACCAGGCGGAGAATCATTTTACTTATTTTCTTTTTTTTTTTGAGACGGAGTCTGGCTCTGTCACCCAGGCTGGAGTGCAGTGGCTCGACCTCGGCTCACTGCAAGCTTCGCCTCCTGGGTTCACGCCATTCTCCTGCCTCAGCCTCCTGAATTTACTTATTTTCTTTTGAGACGGGGTCTCACTCTGTTGCCCAGGCTAGAATGCAGTGGTGCTATCTTGGCTCACTGCCACCTCTGCCTCCCGGGTTCAAATGATTCTCCTGCCCCAGCCTCCCGAGTAGCTGGGATTACTATGCCTGGCTAATTTTTGTATTTTTAGTAGAGATGGGTTTCACCATGTTGACCAGACTGGTCTCGAACTCCTGACCTCAGGTGATCTGCCCGCCTCGGCCTCCCAAAGTGCTGGGATTACAGGCATGAGCCACCGCGCCCGGCCCAGAGAATCAATTTCTAAGCCACCAATTGTGTGATCATTTGTTATGGCAGCCACAGGGAACTAACACAGTCACTATTCAAATGTTTAAGTGTTCATCCCTGTATTGCATCAAATTATGAGGGATTCACGTTTCAGAAATGCTGCTGCAGACACTTGGGGCTTCCCTTCCTGAGCTGTTCAGGGGACCCCCCGGGGCACTGTATAGGACTCTGTTCTTGCTTTAACACAAGAAGCCATCCGTGGAAATCTATGAGAATGAATTCTGGCTGTGCTCTGCCCTGGGGGATGGAAACAGACCCCATGATTCCCAAAATGGCCCCGGGGAGTCCCCTCTGCCTGCACCGCTGACCGCCGGCTCACCAGAGCAGCCTGTGGCCCCCTTCCTGACCATGTAGCCCAGCTGACAGTGGCAGACAAAGGAACCCTTCGTGTTCTCGCAGTCCCCATGGAGGCAGATGTGAGGGTTCAGGTCACACTCATCCACATCTGTTGGGGAAGAGAGCATGAGGTCTGAGGACTGGGTGCAGGGGTGACAGGAGAGGAAGTAGGTGAGGGTGGGAGGGAGATCACCAGCATTCCTGACTGTCCCGCCGCACAGGTCCTCTCTGCTAGGACTCTCTTTCTTTTCTCCAGGGGCGGGGAGCTCCCTCTATGTCCACTACTGGGCAATTGGGAATGTTCTGTGAGCGTTTCACAGTGTACATTCCAAGGAACACACCAGGAATGTGTTTCCAAAAGTATTTTATGGTCAAATATATTTAGAGAAGGCTGAGATCCACAAAGCTAACCAGGGTTTCCTCCTGCAGGACTTTTCAGAGCCTTTATGCCAATATGCACAGTGGGTCTGCAACAGGGGCATGGAGCAGACTGCATTCCCTAAATGCATTTGTTCACAAGGCCCATCGCTGAAGCACTTGCTCTCTGAGACTCCTATAAACTGCAACTCTCTAAGCTCTTTAAGCTTCACTCGGTTTCTTGGCCGGGAGTTACATTGTTACTTCCCGGAACTTCCACACTCTGGCCTCAGCTTTGTCCTGATAGGGTATGCAGTACACATCTGCTCCCCAGGCCCTAGGACAACCTGTAGCCAGGTGAGGACAGCAGTCGCCACCTTAGAGAACAGAGTTCTGAGTCTCTTTCCTGCCTTGTCCACTGTCCTCTGCCAGAAACCCCTTTGTCTTCAGTGATCTTAAAGCACAGCCCTTGAACAGGACACAATCCTCTGATAGATGTTGGGTATGTCATATTAAACAAATGCCATTTAAAAGAGCAAGGTTTGGGGAATTCTGCTTCTGTTATATAAATGGGATCTCATGGGCTTTGGAGAGCAGACTTGGGGTGCTGGGGACCCTTATGTGGAGAAGCAAGTGCTGTTACAAAGCCTCATCTTCCTACCTGCGAATGGCAGGGGTGGGGCCTGGCATTTTTCATGCCTATGTGCCACCTTGTGGAAGACCTGGTGTGTGAATTCTGACACTGCCTCCTCCACCCGCCCCGCCCCACCGTCCCGGCTCCTCACCAACACATGTCCTCATGTCTGGCGTGGCCATGAAGCCATCATAGCACAGGCAGCGGTGACCCCCTGGCATGTTGGTGCAGTGGCCTTGGTCACAAACGCGGGGGTTCTCTTCACACTCGTCCACGTCTGGGGGAGCAGGGTTGGGGACTGTGCTTAGCTTTGCCCTGATAGACCACCCAGTACACATCTGCTCCCCAGGCCCCAGGACGACCTGTAGCCAGGTGAGGATAGCGATGGTCACTCGAGTAGTCTGGGGGCGCTCAAGCAGTTCTGAGGTTCTTTTCCACCTTATTCACCCTCCTCTGCAAAAATCCCAGGGGCTCTCCCACAGGGTGAGCAGCCTGCCTGGGGCCAGGACCACAGGCCAGGCAGGGGGTGCCTCGGGTCTGGCTGGCTTCACTATGCTGTGCTGGGCTCTGGGCCAGTGCAGGACCCAGCCAACACCTCCTCCTCACCCTCCACACCAGGCAGTGGGAAGAAGTTGTGCCCACCTACCTGCACATGCCCTTCCGTCGGGCATCAGCGAGTAGCCCTGCCCACAGCTGCACCGGTAGCTGCCCTCAGTGTTAATACAGTGCACGTCACACCCACCATTCTGGACCCGGCATTCGTTGATGTCTGCAGGATGCAGGGCAGACAGGGGCTGGGGCTGGGGGGAGGGGTCCAGGATGGGGAGGGGGCTGGTTTGGGGGTGGGAGCAGAGTGGAGTTGAGGTGAGGACAGGAGGAGCTACCACTATGTCTGGGACTGTGGTTGGTGCCCAGGGGCCAGCAGGTGGGCACAGTCTCACCCACGCAGCCCTGGCGGTCAGGTGTGCTCTGGAAGCCGGCATGGCAGGAGCACTGGAAGGCACCGATGACATTGACACACTGGCCATGGGGACACAGGCCATCACTCAGGGAGCACTCATCGATGTCTGTGGGGGAGTGCAGGTGAAAGACGGGCCTGTGCCCCATCTGCCGTCTGTGTGACCATGAGACACACTGGGGGCACACATGCATGCTAAGGAGCTCACACTGCCAGCATTGGCACAGCCCCGCATGTGCCTATCCGTACACTTGCATTCACTCACATGCAAATACACTCACTCTCCTATAAGCACAGACACCCATATACACACCCCACGTGCCCGCTCACACAGACTCACAAACACACCCTGGCACCCACTCACGTGTGAACACACTCACCCTTGACAGACACACACAGGCACACTCAGATACACACTCACACTCAAGTGCACACTCCTAAATTCACAACACACCTTATATCCACTTGCACACAAATACACTCACCCATGTGTAAATACACATCCACACCCAGGGGCACACTCACACCCATGTGCACACACAGACACACAAACACCCAATGCACACTCACACATACACACACACCCATGTGCACACTCACACAGACACACACATAAACACACCCTCAAACATACCTGTCCTTGTGCAAACACATGTCCACACCCAGACACCCACACCCAGAGGTACACCCACACAGACCCACTCAAACACATTCTCACACCCACTCACACACAAACACACCTCTATAAACATGCATTTGCATCCAACTACACATCACATTCTCTTACACACACACACACAGACTTACGTACAAACACACCCACTCAGAAATTAGCCAGGCATAGTGGCGCATGCCTGTAGTCCCACCTACTTGGGAGGCTGAGATGGGAGGATCACCTGAGCCCAGGAGGTGGAGGCTGCAGTGAGCTGTGATTGTGCCACTGCACCCCAGCCTGGACAACAGACTGGGACCCTGTCTCAAACAAAACAAAATGAAACACACCTACGCACATGCAAACACACTTGCCCTTGGTAGAGACATTCATAGCCAAATACACACTCAAACCCTCTTGTGTGTTCACACAGACGCACACACACACTCACTCCTCACATACAAACACTCCCCCTTGTACAGACACACAGTCACACAAATGCACAAACGCTTGCCCTTGTACAGACACTCACACATGTGCGTGTTCATCTAGACACACAAACACACTCCCGCCATCTTGCATATAAACCCACTTACACACACAGATACACACACACACTTGCACGCTCACACATAGGTATGGCCTCAGAAAGACAGATACACATGCCCACCCTCTCACTCATCCAGCCCACATTCACCAGACATCCACTCACTTTCACACACATGGGCTAACACTCACACTTGCACACCCAGATGCACACTTACCCTCACAGGCAGTGCCCTTGGCCGTCAGCTCATGCCCAGGGGGACACTGGCACTTGTAGCTCCCATCCGTGTTGGTGCAAGTGCCTCCCCGGCAGAGCAGCGGGTCCCTTGCACACTCGTCCACGTCTGAAGGTTTGTGTGGAAAGAGAGAGCAGGCATGAAGGTGCTGATGCAGGGAGGGGGTGATGAGGCTCATGCTGGCTTCTCTCCGCCACCTCCCCAGCCCCCTTCACCCCAGCGGGAGCCAGGAGAGCCTGGAGGCTCCGGGTTGGGATGACCCAGGGGAGTGGGGTCTGCACCAGGAGCAGAGACCAGCCAGATGGGGAGGGAGGCTGAGATTCTCAGAAGAACAAAGGCCACGAAGCTGACACTCTTGGGGCCACTAGAAACGGCACTAAGAGGCCTTCCTCCACTCCCTGCAGGACACGCCAGAAAGCTGAGGCTCAGTCCCGCCAGGACTCAGGGCAGGGAGCAGGCAGCCTCGCCATGGCCTCATCACTCTTCAGCCACAGAGGCATCATCCTTCCATCCCTCAGGCCCACCCCAGGGCCTTTGCACATGCTGTTCTCCAGTGTCTTCACCCTTTTCACCCCCACTCCATTCTTTCTTTCTTTCCTTTTGTTGTTGTTGTTTTTGAGATGGAGTCTCGCTCTGTTGCCCAAGCTGGAGTGCAGTGACACGATCTCGGCTCACTGCAACCTCCGCCTCCTGGGTTCATGCAATTCTCCTGCCTCAGCCTCCCAAGTAGCTGGGATTACAGGCATGCATCACCAAGCCCAGCTAATTTTTGTATTTTTAGTAGAGACAGCGTTTCACCATGTTGGCCAGGCTGGTCTCAAAATCCTGACCTCAAGTGATTCACCTGCCTCAGCCTCCCAAATTGCCAGGATTACAGGTATGAGCCACCGAGCCCAGCCTTTTTTTTTTTTTTTTTTTTTTTTTGAGACAGATTTTCACACTGTTACCCAGCCTGGAGTGCAGTGACACGATCACAGCTCCCTGCAGCCTCCACCTCCTGTGTTCAAACTATCCTCCCACTTCAGCCTCCTGAGTAGCTGGGACTACAGGCAGGCACCACCATGCCCGGCTAATTTTTAAATTTTGTGTAGAGACGGGGCCTCTCTATGTTGACCAAGCTGGTCTTAAACTCCTGGTCTCAAGCAATCCTGTCTCAGCCATCTCTCATCAGATCATGTGGCCCTTTTAAGGGCTTCTGACAGTGGCAATTTTGCATTTTTTTCTTTTCTTTTCTTTTTCTTTCTTTCTTTCTTTTTTTTTTTTTTTTAATTTGGAGACAGAATCTCGCTCTGTCGCCCAGGCTGGAGTGCAGTGGCGCGATCTCGGCTCACTGCAACCTCCACCTCCTGGGTTCAAGCAATTCTCCTGCCTCAGCCTCCTGAGTAGCTGGACCTACAGGTGCACGCCACCACACCCAGCTAATTTTTTGTATTTTAATAGAGACGGGGTTTCACCATGTTGCCCAGGCTGGTTTCAAACTCCTGAACTCAGGCAATCTGCCCACCTCAGCCTCCCAAAGTGCTGGGATTACAGGCATGAGCCACCATGCCTGGCTTTTTCCTCTTCCTTCCTTCCTTCCTTCCTTTTTTCTTTAGACAGGGTCTCACTCTGTCACCCAGGCTGGAGTGCAAAAGTGCGATTATGGTTCACTGCAGCCTCAACCTCCTGGGCTCAAGGGATCCTCCCTCCTCAGCCTCCCGAGTAGCACGCGCCACCATGCCTAGCTAATTTTTAAAAAACTTTATAGTGACAGGGTCTTGTTATGTTGCCCAGGCTGGCCTCGAACTCCTGGACTCAAGCAATCCTACTGCCTCAGCCTCTCAAAATGCTGGGATTACAGGCGAGGGCCACTGCACCCAGCCCAGTTTTGCATTTCCTCAGCGATTCATGTTATTCATGTCTGTCTTCCTGTTAGGCTGTGAGCTCCAAGGAAAGAGGGCTCCCTGGAGCTAGAGCTCCCTGCAGTGCCTCTAGCTCAGAGGATGCATGTGAAATGCTCATCAAATGAATAACGAAGTCAATGATGGGGACGAGAGGCCTCATAACCGGCAGTATTTCCCAGGCTTCTCTGAGGGTCCCTGTCCTCTACCCAAGCTACACACCCTCCCTGGGAGACCACACCCCAGTGTGCCGGCCACCCCCAGGTCTCAGGCCCCAGGTCTCTCTCCTAAGGACGAGGCCTCATGGAGCCCAGACTCACTGTACCTCAGCTAATTTACAGCTCCTCCCTCCTCCTGCCCCCTCCATCCACGTCCACACAGCAACAGCCGTCCCCACCCTCCCTCTCCTCAATGCCCTCCCTGCCCAGGGCGCCCACCACACCCCTGCCCGGCAGTCACCGACCCATGCAGTTCTTCATCAGCATGAAGCCACTCTCGTAGCCGGGAAAACACTCGCACTCAAAGCTGCCCGGCGTGTTGACACAGGTGCCCTGGCCGCAGAGGTCAGGAGAGATGCGACACTCGTCGATATCTGTGGGGAGAGGGGGCAGAGGCCGGAGGCGCCATGTGGGCCGCATCATGGGGCACGAGGCAGGGGGGTCCCTGTCCTTTGATGGAGGTGTGGGCTAGAGGAAGCCCATCTGCAGACATAAGGAGGCACAGGCCAAGAGGGGAGGCATGATGCAGGCATGATGGGGTGCCGTATGGGGTCATCGAATCTGTAGATATGACAGGCAGAACAGAAGCCCCCAAAAGGAGCCGAGGAAATGGAGGAACCCCAAACTAAACATGACAAGGGCAGGCAGTTTTCTCACAGACGGGAGTTCTCCATTTTCTTTATTTTGATGGTAGATTTGTTTGTTTGTTTTATTTTATTTTATTTTTATTACTTATTTATTTATTTACTTTTTTAGAGACAGAGTCTTGCTCTGTCACCCAGGATGGAGTGCAGTGATGCAATCTCGGCTCACTGCAACTTCTGCCTCCCAGGATCAAGCGATTCTCCTGCCTCAGCCTCCCGAGTAGCTGGGATTACAGGTGTGTGCCACCATGCCCGGCTAATTTTGTATTTTTAGTAGAGATGGTGTTTCGCCATGTTGGCCAGGCTGGTCTCAAACTCCTGACCTAAAGCAGTCCACCCGCCTTGGCCTCCCAAAGTGCTAGGATTATAGGTGTGAGCCACTGAGCCTGGCCTGTTTGTTTTTCACTCAGGCTGGAGTGCAGTGGTGTGATCACAGCTCACTGCAGCCTCAACCTCCCAGGGCCTCAAGGGATCCTTCTACCTCAGCCTCTCGAATAGCTGGGACTACAGTTAATGCAATAATAATTTTTTTATTTTTTGCAGAGATGGAGGTCTCGCTGTGTTACCCAGGATAGTCTCAAACTCTTGGGCTCAAGCAATCCTCCCACCTTGGCCTCCAAAAGTGCTGGGATCACAGGCGTGAGCCACCATGCTGGCCCTGGAGGCCTCTAAAGGTCACCTTTGCCAGCCCCTTCTTTTATGTTTTATTTACTTATTTATTTATATTTGAGACACAGTCTCGTTCTGTCACCCAGGCTGGAGTGCAATGGCACAATCTTGGCTTACTGCAACCTCCGCCTCCCGGGTTCAAGTGATTCTCCTGCCTCGGCCTCCCGAGTAGCTGGGATTACAGGCGCCCGCCACCAGGCCCAGCTAATTTTTGTATCTTTAGTAGAGACGGGGTATTGCCATGTTGGCCAGGCTGGTCTCGAACTCTTGACCTCAAGTGATCCATCTGCCTTGGCCTCCCAAAGTGCTGGGATTACAGGTGTGATCCATCGCACCTGGCCCAGCGCCCCCTTTTTTTTTTGAGATGGAGTCTCTGTCGCCCAGGCTGGAGTGCAGTGGCATGATCTCAGCTCACTGCAAGCTCTGCATCCCGGGTTCACGCCATTCTCCTGCCTCAGCCTCCCGAGTAGCTGGGACTACAGGTGCCTGCCACCACGCTGGGCTAATTTTTGTATTTTTAGTAGAGACAGGGTTTCACCGTGTTAGCCAGGATGGTCTCGATCTCCTGACATCGTGATCCGCCCGCCTCAGCCTCCCAAAGTGCTGGGATTACAAATGTGAGCCACCGCGCCCAGCCCAGCCCCTTCTTTTATAGTCAGGGTCCCTGCAGCCCAAGGAGGGCAATCACCTGCCCTAGGTCACACAGCACAGAGGCAGACACAAGAAGTGCCCAAAGAACAGGTGTTCGCCAGGCACAGTGGCTCACACCTGTAATCCCAGCACTTTGGGAGGCCGAGGTGGGCGGATCACCTGAGGTCGGGAGTTCAAGTCCAGCCTGACCAACACGGAGAAACACTATCACTACTGAAAAATACAAAATTAGCCAGGCATGGTGGCACATGCCTGTAATCCCAGCTACTTAGGAGGCTGAGGCAGGAGAGTCGCTTGAACCTGGGAGGCGGAGGTTGCAGTGAGCCGAGATCGTGCCATTGCACTCCAGCCTGGATAACAAGAGTAAAACTCCGTCTCGAAAAAAAAAAGAAGAAGAAAAAGAACAGGTGTTGTCTCTACGTCTTATTTGAGGCCCCTATCCCTGCCAAGGATCACGCTCTCTCCAAGAGGCAGAGGTGGCACCTACCTGTGCAGTTCCGTTCCTGGGCATCCAGGGCGAAGCCCCCCGCACAGGCGCAGTGGAAGCTGCCCACCGTGTTTCTGCAGGTACCGTGCGTGCAGAGGCCAGGGAACACCTTGCATTCATTCACATCTGAAGTACAGGGGCATCAAACCACCCTGACGTCCCCAAGCTCAGGATCCATACACCAAGCCCTCCCTGGGTTCTTAGTGCCTCGCCTTACCCACATCCCCTTTTCCCCCAAACACACTTCCCATCTCCAGGCTTTTGCCTATGCCGTGCCCCTCCCCATCCTTCCAGGGGCCTGACCCCTTCCCCAACCGCACCTTTATAGAATGGTCGGCCAGACAGGAAGTCCCGGCTGGCGAAGCCCAGCCCCCGCGGGCACAGGCTGGCGAACTCCAGAGACTCGGGATCCGGGCAGGCCTCGCACTCGACTCCCCACACGGCCCCGATGGAGCAGCAGCAGACGTCCATCCGGTACTTGCCAGGCAGGGTGACCCCACACTCATCCTCATCCCATCGCAGGAAACATGGTTCCAATCTCACATCTGCACGGGGGACAGTCACTGCGTCCCCACCCCTGCCACACTGTGCCCACTGCGGGACAGGCGTGCCGCTCAGTCACTCCCATCGGAAACTTTCTCCCGGACGTAGTCAGGTCGAGGGCCAGAGTGGAAAGGGGTGACTTCCTCCAGGCACTGTCTGGGAGGGTACTATGTGTACTGTTCTGTAGCACTGTTCTAAGCCCCTCTATCCATATTTTTTTTACGTGATTGATTCATTGGTTGATTGATTTCTTTTGAGACATAGTCTTGCTCTGTCACTCAGGCTGGAGTGCAGTGGCACAATCTCAGCTCACCATAACCTCCACCTCCCAGGTTCAAGCAATTCTCCGGCCTCAGCCTCCCGAGGAGCTGGGATTACAGGTGTGTGCCACCACACCCGGCTGACTTTTGTTATTTTTTAGTAGAGACTCGGTTTCACCACGTTGGCCAGGCTGATCTCGAACTCAAGTGATCTGCCCGCCTCAGCCTCCCAAAGTGCTGGGATTACAGGTGTGAGCTACCGTGCCTGGCCAATTTTTTTTTTTTTTTTTAGACGGAGTCTTGCTCTGTCCCCCAGGCTGTAGTGCAGCGGCACAATCTCAGCTCACTGCAACCTCCGCCTCCCGGGTTCAAGCGATTCTCCTGCCTCAGCCTCCCGAGTAGCTGGGATTACAGACACCGCTACCACGCTCACCTAATTTTTGTATTTTAGTAGAGATGGGGTTTCACCATGTTTACCAGGCTGGTCTTGAACTCCTAACCTCAAGCAATCCACCTGCCTCGGCCTCCCAAAGTGCTGGCATTACAGGCGTGAGCCACCATGCCCGGCCACTAAGGATTTTTAGGGCAGAGAAACTACCCTGTATGACACTACAATGGTGAACATACGTCATTATACGTTCGTCCAAACCCATAGAATGTCCAATACACCAAGGGTAAACCCTAAGGTGCTCTATGGACTTAGAGATGACAATGCTGTACCCGTGCAGTTTCATCCATCGTAACAAATGCACCTTCTAACCCCAGTGCAAGATGTTGAGAGTTGGGGAGGCTGTACGTGTGTGGAGGTGGGGGCTATGTGTTCATATTTGCTGTGAACCTAATACTGTCCTCAAAGATAAATCCTGGCTGGACTTCCAGCACTCCGGGATGCTGAGGTAGGGGGATCCCTTGAGGCCAGGAGTTTGAGACCAGCCTAGGCAAGAGAGTGAGACCCTGTCCCTACAAAAATATATATAGATATACCAATAAATAAATAAATTAGCGGGTGTGGTGGTGCACACCTGTAGTCCCAGCTGCTCAGGAGATCAAGGTACAAAAATCAGTTGAACCCAGGAAGTGCAAGTTGTAGTGAGATGAGATTGCGCCACTGCACTCCTGCCTGGGTGACAGAGTGAGACCCTGTCTCAAGAAAAAAGAAAAAAAAACCCACCCAAATGTCTTTCATGATATGTTAGCCAGAGGCAGAGGATCCCAAAGGATGCCTGAAATCTCTCCTGTTCAGGCCAGGCGTGGTGGCTCACGCCTGTAATCCCAACACTTTGGGAGGCCGAGGCGGGCAGATCACCTGAGGTCAGAAGTTCGAGACCATCCTAGCCAACATGGTGAAACCCCATCTCTACTAAAAATACAAAAATTAGCTGGGCGTGGTGGTATGTGCCTGTAATCCCAGCTACTCAGGAGGCTGAGGCAGGAGAATCGCTTGAACCCGGGAGGCGGAAGTTACAGTGAGCCGAGATTGCGCCACTGCACTCCAGCCTGGGCGACAGAGCGAGACTCCATCTCAAAAAAAAAAAAAAAAATCTCTCCTGTTCCTCAAGTCACTGCGGGTGGAGGGAACAAAGGAAGAACGTGTGGCCCTGTATGCGGACCTCGCCTGGACTCACCCACGCACAGCCGGCCTGAGGCGTCCAGCATCAGGCCCTCTGGACACTCACAGCGGAAAGACCCAGCAGTGTTGACGCAACGCCCGTTGGGACAGACTCCCGGGAAGGACTCACACTCGTTCACATCTGGGTAAGGAGGAGGGAAAGCCGGAGGGTCCAGGGAGGGGAAGGGTGCTGGCTGGCCATTCCCCTGGGGTCTCAAGTTGTCCTTGAGGAGGAAGGAAGGGGACGGGGACACGGGGACTGGGGACTTTCAAGAAGGCCTGGGGACCAGGTAGGGAGAACGTCTGTCCCCATCGCAAAAGACTCCAGGGCGGGGCCGGAGGTGGCACCCATGAGGGTGGTGCGCCTGGTTGTGTGCGGGCTCTGGAGTAGGGGGTGAGCTGGACACGGGCAGGCAGTTACCATCGCAGGTGACACCCGTCATCCGGGCAAAGCCCCGGGCACAGGCAGGGTCTGCAACTGGGAGAACAAGAGTGAAGAGAGGAGTCATTTTCTCATGCCAGCCCAAGGGGGGACCCGCCCCATGGAGGGCTTTTCCCATGGGTGCCTGGGAGGCCTCAAGGAGGATACTACCGATCTCGCAGCGTTCGCAGGGGCTCCCCCAGGCTGCCCCGAGGGTGGCGCAGCACTCAGACCGCAGGCTGGCTCCCTGAAGGTTCACCTCACAGCGGCTCTCCTGGATCTTCAGCCAGCAGGTGCCCTTGGTGCTGTCTGGGGAGAAGAGGCGGGTCACCTGTCTCACCTGCCGGCCCTACACCTGCACCCTGACCCATAGACGCCCAGCCTCTGGAACGCCGTCGGGCTCCGGGGCCGCTCACCTAGACAGAAGGTACCAGAGGGGTCCAGCCGGCTGCCAGGGCCACATTTGCAGGTGTAGGAGCCGGCCAGGTTCCGACAGACGCCACTCACACACGGGCTGGACAGGCATTCGTCGACATCTGTGGGGACAGCCCCCCACCAGGTCCTGAGCTGCAGGAGGAGTTGCCTTACCTGGCCAGGACCCCTCCTCCCCAAGGGGCCGCCGCAACCGGTGGCACGGGGTGCACCCAGATGCACAAGCATGCAGAGGGCACTGGAATCAAATGTGCATGCAAGCACATGTGTGTGCTGAGCTGTGTGTGTACATGCTGTAAGAGACAGGAAATGCCAAACTGTTTTTTTTTTGTTTTTTTTTTTTTTTTGAGACAGAGTCTCGCTCTGTCACCCAGGTTGGAGTGCAGTGGCACCATCCCGGCTCACTGCAACCTCCGTCTCCCGGGTTCAAGCGATTCTCGTGCCTCAGCCTCCCAAGTAGCTGGGACTACAGGCATGTGCCACCATGCCTGGCTAACTTTTTTTGTATTTTTAGTAGAGACAGGATTTCATGATGTTGGCCAGGCTGGTCTCAAACTCCCAACCTCAGGTGGTCCGCCCGCCTCAGCCTCCCAAAGTGCTGGGATTATAGGCGTGAGTCACTGCACCCAGCCAAAACTGTATTCTTACTCTCACCTTCAACACAACACAGAATACATCAGTGATCAGACATGGGGTTTTTTGTTTGTTTGCTTTTGCCAAGCTGCCCAATTCTCCGACACCAGCAGGGTGCCCTATAATTCAATTCTGACGCTTTCTGCCTGGAGTTAAAGTCTGACTCCACAGGTTGAGGGCTCAGTCCCACAAGACTGTCTTCCACACCAGATGCCAGTTGCAAATCGGGGCCTCCAGAATTTCTGCCTTCTCCTCGGGCTTGATCATCCGCTAGAGGGGCTCACAGGACTCAGGGAAATACTTAACTTACGTTTACTAGTTTATTATAAAGGATATCACAGGCTGGGCGCTGTGGCTTACGCCTGTCATCCCACCTCTTTGGGAGGCAGAGGCGGGTGGATCACTGAGGTCAGGAGTTCGAGACCAGCCTGGCCAACACGATGAAACACCATCTCTATTAAAAATACAAATTAGCTGGGCGTGATGGCACACGCCTGTAGTCCGGGCTACTTGGGAGGCAGAGACAGGATAATCTCTTAAACGGCGGGAGAATTGCTTGAACCCAGGAGGTGGAGGTTGCAGTGAGCCGAGATCGCCCCATTGCACTCCAGCCTGGGTGACAGAGCGAGACTCTGTCTCAAAAAGATAAAATAAAAAAAATAAAGGATATTACAAATGATGAACAGCCAGATGGAAGAGATGCACGGTGCAGGGTATCTGGGAGGAGATGTGGAACTTCCGTGCCTGCTCTCGGCATGCCGCCCTGCCAGCACACAGATATGTCCATCCACCTAGAAGCTCTCCAAACTCTGTAGTTCGAGTAGGACTTCTGGGATGTGTGTATAACTGTGTGCCCCTGAGTGTGTACAACCATGTGTGACTGGGACTGCAAGTGTGGGAAGTGTGAGAATGAGTGTATGGGCCAGGTGTAGTGGCTCGCGCCTATAATCCCAGCACTTTGGGAGGCTGAAGCAGGTGGATCACTTGAGGTCAGGAGTTCGAGACCAGCCTGGCGAACATGGTGAAACCCTGTCTCTACTAAAAATACAAAAATTATCTGGGCTTGGTGACGGACGCCTGTAATCCCAGCTACTTGGGAGGCTGAGGCAGGAGAATCGCTTGAACTAGGAGGCAGAGGTTGCAGTGAGCTGAGATCGTGCCACTGCACTCCAGCCTGGGTGATAGAGCAAGACTCTGTCTCAAAAAAAAAAAAAAAGAATACGTGTGTATGTAAATGTGAGTATATATGTGTCTTTGAGTGTGTATGTGTGAATGTAGGTACATATGCAAGTGTCTTTGAGTATGCATGTCTGTGTACACATGCACACAGCATGTCTGAATGTGTGTCTGTGTATACACGGCATGTGCAGCGTGTCTGGGTGTATGTATGCATGACACATGCAACGTGCATGTCTGAGTGTGGTTGTGTACAGGATGTTTCTGAGCGTGTGCATGTGTGTCTTGTGTACACACCTCATGCAACATGTGAGTATCTGAGCGTGTGCATATATGTGTGTGTGCACACTACATATAGCATGCGTGTGTGAATAGAGGTAACATGTAAGCATCTTTGAGCGTGTGCATGCCTGTGCGTGCACACGCCACATGCCAAGTATGTTGGAGCATATGTGTGTGTGCAAACCCACGTGAGCCCGGGACCCAGTACCTTTGCAGATCTCCGTGTCCTGCCAGAAGTGGAAGCCGGGGGGGCAGGAGCAGCTGTAGCTGCCAGGGCTATTCTGGCACCACCCGTTGTCACACAGGAGGCTGTTGAGGGCACACTCATCCACGTCTGTGGGGTGGGGGTGGGAGAGAGGGGTGAGGGGTCTGCAGTGGGAGAGGCTGCCCACACATCCGCCCGCCAGGTGGCATGCTCACCTGTGCAGTCCTTGCCTGAGGCACCTGCCTCATAACCCAGGTTGCAGACACAGCGGTAGCTGCCCCGAAGGTTCTCGCACACGCCATTGGCACAAACCTCAGGATCCAGAGCACACTCGTTGATGTCTGCGGCAGGAGGAGGGTGTGTCAGCAGCAGCAGAAGGAGGGTGTGTCCGAGGCAGGAGGAGGGTGTGTCGCGGCGCACCAGGGGTCTCTAGAAGTCAGATTCCCCAAGGCCATAGCTCCAGCCCAGACCCGGCCTCATTCTGCTCTAAACCGAGGTTTCTCAGCCTGGACACTGCTGACATTTGGGGCCAGATCATTTTTTGCTGTGAGGGGCCATCCCACGCATTTTAGGATGTCGAGCAGCTCCCGTGGCCTCCACCCATGAGATGTCAGTAGCACCCACCGCCCCAGTATTACTCCAGACATTGTCAAATGACCTCGGTGGGGCAGGGGCCAAATTATCTCCAGTTTGGAAATAGTGGAGCAGACATCCATACAGTGGCACTGTCATAAAAATAAAAGCAATTATAGGCCAGATATGATGGCTGTCACCTATAATCCCACCACTTTGGGAGGCTGAGGTGGGAGGATTGCTTGAGCCCAGGAGTTTGAGACCAGCCTGGGCAACATAGCGAGACCCATGTCTATAAAAAGCAATTTTTTTTTTTTTGAGATAGGGTCTCACTCTGTCGCACAGGCTGGAGTGCAGTGGTGCGATCTCGGCTCACTGCAACCTCCACCTCCCTCGTTCAAGTGATTCTCATGACTCAGCCCCCCAAGTAGCTGGGATTACAGCCGCCTGCCACCACGGCTGGCTAATTTTTCTATTTTTAGTAGAGATGGGGTTTCACCATGTTGGCCAGGCTGGTGTGGAACTCCTGACCTCAAGTGATCCACCTCCCTCAGCCTCCCAAAGTGCTGGAATTACAGGCGTGAGCCACCGCATCTGGCCATAAAGTAAATGTTTTAAAAATTGGCTGGGCATGGCAGCTCGTGTCTGTAATCACAGCACTTTGGGAGGCCAAGGTGGGTGGATCACTTGAGGCTAGAAGTTTGAGACAAGCCTGGGCAACATGGCAAAATCTCATCTCTACTAAAAAAAAAAAAATACAAAAATTAGCCGGGCATGGAGCTGCATGCCTGTAATCCCAGCTATTTGGGAGGCTGAGGCAGGAGAATTGCTTGAACCCAGGAGGTGGAGGTTGCAGTGAGCCAAGATCACGCCACTGCACTCCAGCCTGGGTAACAGAGCAAGACTCTGTCAAAAAAAAAAGAAAGAAAGAAAGAAAAGAAAGAGAAAGAAAGAGAGAGAGAGAGAGAAGGAAAGAAAGAAAGAATGAAAGAAAGAAAGAAAGAAAGAAAGAAAGAAAGAAAGAAAGAAAGAAAGAAAGAAAGAAAGGAAAGGAAAGGAAAGGAAAAGAAAAGAAAAGAAAAGAAAAGAAAAGAAAAGAAAAGAAAAGGAAGAAAAACAAATGAGCAGGTCATGGTGGTGAGTGCCTGTAGTCCCAGCTACTCAGGTGGTATCACTTGAGCCCAAGAGGTCGAGTTTGCAGTGAGCCGTGATTGCACCACATCACTCGAGCCTGGGCAATAGAGTGAGATCTCACCTCTAAAAAAGGGTGGGGGGAGTTTTGGACACAGACACGCATACAGGGAGAACACCATGTGAAGATGGAGGCAGAGATGGGGTGACGCCTCTATGAGCCAAGAAATGCCAAAGATTGCTGGAGCCACCACCAGAAGCTGGAGAGAGGTCCGGGACAGATTCTCCCTCAAAGCCTCCAAGGGAACCAGCCCTGCCCGCACCTTGATCTCCGACCTCTGGCCTGCAGGAGTGTGAGAGAATCAGCTTCTGTTGTTGAAGCCGTCTGGTCTGGGGCACTTTGTTACGGGAACCCCGGGCCAACTCCTACAGCCTCCCACCACAGCTCTCCCCACATCTGGTAGGGGCAGGCTGGCTGCTGTTTGGAGGGGCTGGGCTCCACTTACCTCGACCATCCGTGGTAATGCCAAGCCCACTGCTGCACAGTGCCTGGAACTCAGCTGGGGATGGAGGGACAGAGTGAGACGGGTCAGGGAGCTTAGCCATGGCTCGGATTCAGCCACAGGCAAGGATGAGGCCCTCTGGTCTTGGGCAAGAGTTTGGGACTAAGACACAACTCCAACCCCGGGGAGGGAGCAACTCCCTTCAGCCTCTTTTTGGGAAGAGCCCCCACTCCATGGCAGCCATGACCCCCCACCAGAAGCGAGAACCGATGGAGGCATTCAGACCAAGGAGGCGATGGGGACCGGGCAGCCGGATGCTCACCGGAGTCTTTGGCAGGACAAAGCTGGCAGGGCTCCCCAAAACCGTGGTCCGGATTGGCACAGCAGCACTCGGACTTGGTGACAGTGCCAGGGAAGGGGCGGGCACAGGAGCCCTTCTCGATGGCCCCATAGCAGGTGCTGCGCACGTGGGTGTCCACGCACACGCGGCCATCCGTGCCTACCGCCAGCCCCCCCAGGCACTGGCAGCGGAAGGAGCCCTCGGTGTTGGTACAGTGGCCGTTCACGCAGATGCCGGGCGTCTGGCACTCGTCAATGTCTGCAGAAGCAGTGGCGGCACGGGGATGGGTTCCAGCGTGCTCCCTTCCTCTCTCCCCTCCCCATCTCCCAACATTTCCATCTTCCCAGCCATTCTATTTCTTTCCTTTCCAGTTTCTTGTCTTTCCAGTTTCCTGTTGTCTGTGTCTCTGTCCTCTCCTCCTCTTGTCTCCTTCCTCTTCTCCTCTCCCATTATTCCCCATCTTTCTATCTTTCTCTCCACCTTTAAACAAATTTTTTAAACGCAGGGTCTGACTTCCAGACTGGAGTGCAGTGGCGTGATCATAGCTCACTGCGGCCTCCAACTCCAGGGCTCAAGTGATCCTGCTGCCTCAGCCTCCCGAGTAGGAGGGACTACAGGGGTTCATCTCCATGTTCGGCTAATTTTTAAAAATTTTTTATAGAGACGGAGTCTCATCATGTTGCCCAGGCTGGTCTCAAACTCCTGAGCTCAAGTGATCCTTCTGCCTCAGCCTTCCAAAGTGCTGGGATTACAGGTGCATGCTACCATGCCCAGCTAATTTTTTTTTTAGGTAGAAATGGCGTCTGACTATGTTGCTCAGGCTGGTCTCGAACTCCTGTCCTCAAGTGATCCTCTAACCTCAGCCTCCCAAAGTGCTGGGATCACAGATGAACCTGGCCCCTCCCCACCTTATAATGCATCACTTTTTTTTTCTTCTGAGACGGAGTCTCACTCTTGTCACCCAGGCTGGAGTGCAATGGCGCGATCTCGGCTCACTGCAACCTCTACCTCCCAGGATCAAGTAATTCTCCTGCCTCAGCCTCCCAAGTAGCTGGGATTACAGGTGCCCACCACCATACCTGGCTAATTTTTGTATTTTTAGTAGAGATGGGGTTTCACCATTTTGGCCAGGCTGGTCTTGAACTCCTGACCTCAAATGATCCATCTGCCTCGGCCTCCCAAGGTGCTGGGACTACAGGCGTGAGCCACGGCACCTGCCTCTTCTTTTCTTCCTTTTCTTCTTCTTCGCTTCTCCCCTTTTCCCTCCTCCTCCTCTTTTTCTCCCTGCCCCTTCTCTTCTCCTTCTCTCATGCTCGTCCCATCCCCGTCCGGTCCCTCTCCTCTTCCTCGCCGTCCCTCTGCTTCCCCATCTCCCTTCTCCCCTCCGCTGGCCAGTCTGGCTCCAGGCTCACCCATGCAGTAGTGGCCGCCAGGCGCCAGCAGGAAGCCGGGTTTGCAGAGGCAGGAGAAGCTGCCATCCTCGTTGAGACACACGCCGTTGACGCACATGGTGCTGGTGGCACACTCGTTGTGGTCTGGGGACAACAGCAGAGGCTGGGTCCAGGCAGGGACCACACTGGGACCCTCTCTCTCCCTCCTCCAGGCTCCAGGGCTGACCCCCCAGGATCCCTCCCTGGAGTGTGGGAGGCAAACAAGCTGTGGTTGTCTGTGACTGTGTGAGCTTGTATATTAGTCCGTCCGCTGGGACGTTGAGTTCCCCGGGGCACGACCCCTGTCTTACTCAGGCTGCAATACAGTAGGTGCTGCATAAATAATTGCTCAAAGCTGAATAAACGTGGTGGTTTTTGCACAACATTGGAAATTTATTAAATATCAGTGAATTGTTCATTTTAAAATGTTTAAATATTTTTTAAAAGACAACAATTTTTTTTTTTTTGAGACAGAGTCTCGCTCTGTCGCCCAGGCTGGAGCACAGTGGTGTGATCTCAGCTCCCTGCAACCTCCGCCTCGCGGGTTCAAGCGATTCTCCTGCTTCAGCCTCCTGAGTAGCTGGGATTACAGGCATGTACCACCACGCCCGGCTAATTGTTTTTGTATTTTTAGTAGAGACGGGGTTTCACCATGTTGGCCAGGCTAGTCTTGAACTCCTGACCTCGTGATAAGCCCGCCTCGTCCTCCCAAAGTGCTGGGATTACAGGCGTGAGCCACCGCGCCCAACCTCTTGTTCACTTTTAAATGATTAAATTTAGGTTGTGTGAATCTTACTTCAATTTCATAAAAAGGAAATGGAAATAAAGTTAGTAAGACCATGGTCTAATTTAATGGAAGGTGGCAGGGGCAGAAATGAGTTGTTTTCCAAAATGTCAGTTTTAAACAATAAAGGACTGAACATACATTTAAAAAAAAAAATGTGGCTGGGTGCGGTGGTTCACGCCCGTAATCCCAGCACTTTGGGAGGCCGAGATGGGCAGATCACGAGGTCAGGAGATCGAGACCATCCTGGCTAACATGGTGAAACCCCATCTCTACTAAAAATACAAAAAAAAAAAGAAAAAAAAAATCAGCCGGGCGTGGTGGTGGGTGCCTGTGGTCCCAGTTACTCGGGAGGCTGAGGCAGGGGAATGATGTGAACCCGGGAGGTGGAGGTTGCAGTGAGCCAGGATCACGCCACTGCACTCCAGCCTGGGTGACAGAGTGAGACTCCATCTCAAAATAAATAAATAAATAAAATAAATAAATGCATGAAATGCCACCACAAAAATATGCACATGAGCATTCACAGAAGCATTATGCCTAACAGCAAAAAGTGAAAACGAACCAGTGTCCTACTGAATGGATCGACACACTGTGGTCTATTCATGTAATGGAACATTATTCGGCCATGAAAAAGAATGAAGAAGCCAGGTATGCTGGCTCATGCCTGTAGTCCCAGCTACTCAAGTGGCTGAGGCGGGGACATTGCTTGAGCCCCCCAGGGCCCCTCCCTGGGGTGTGGGAGGCAAAGAAGCTGTGGTTGTCTGTGGCTGTGTTTGCTTGCATATTAGTCTGTCTGCTGGGATATGAGTTAAAGTCCAGCCTAGGCAACACAGTGAGACCCAATCACAAAAAAATAAATACATGGCCGGGCGCAATGGCTCACGCCTGTAATCTCAGCACTTTGGGAGGCCAAGGCGGGCGGATCACCTGAGGTCAGGAGTTCGAGACCAGCCTGGCCAACATGGTGAAACCCCATCTCTACTAAAAATACAAACGTTAGCCGGGCACAGTGGCGCACACCTGTAATCCCAGCTACTCAGGAGGCTGAGGCAGGAGAATCACTTGAACCCGGGCAGCAGAGGTTGCAGTGAGCCAAGATGGCACCACTGCACTCCAGCCTGGGAGATAGAGACTCAAAATGAATAAATGAATAAATATATAAATAAATATAAATATATATATTTTACATATATATATATATATTTTTTGAAACAAGGTCTAGGTCTGTCACCTAGGCTAGAGTGCAGTGATGCAATCACAGCTCACTGCAGCCCCGAACTCCTGGGCTCAAGTGATCCTCCTGCCTCAGCCTCCTGAGTAGCTGGGACTACAGGCACCTGCCACCATGCCAGGCTAATTTTTGGGTTTTCTGTAGAGACAGGGTCTTGCTGTGTTGCTCAGGCTGATCTTGAACTCCTGGCCTCAAGCGATCCTCCTGCCTTCCAAAGTACTGGGATTACAGTTGTGAGCCACCAAGCTTGGCATAAAAAAAAATTTTTTTTTTTTTGAGACTGAGTCTCTCTCTGTCACCCACACTGGAGAGCAGTGGTGTGATCTTGGCTCATTGCAGCCTCCGTCTCCTGGGTTCAGGCAATTCTCCTGCCTCAGCCTCCCGAGTAGCTGGGATTACAGGTGTCTGCCACCACGCCCAGCTAATTTTTTTGTATTTAGTAGAGATGGGGTTTCACCGTGTTGGTCAGGCTGGTCTCGAACTCCTGACCTCGGCCTCCCAAAGTGCTGGGATTACAGGCGTGATCCACTACACTCGGACTTCTTTTTTTTTTTAGGAGATGGAGTCTCGCTCTATCAGCCAGGCTGGAGTGCAGGGGCACGATCACAGCTCACTGCAGCCTCAACCTTTTCAGCTCAAGAGATTCTCCTGCCTCAGCCCCGCAAAGTGCTGGGATTACAGGCATAAGGCACCAAGACTGGCTCCAAAAGGTCCTTTTTTGTGATTCACGGAATAAATTCAGGAAGGAGGAAATGAAGGGGAGAGTCAGGGTGGTCAGGGGATAAGAAGAGTCTCAGGTGGGCTGCTGGGTTCAGAGGTGAGCAGAGGAGACGTCGTAGGGAGGGAGGTGGGTTTGGGGGCACAGTGAAGATTTGAGGTGGCTGTAAAAGGCAGCTAGTGGGGCCCGGAAGCCCCTGCCCACCCGCCCACCCCCAACTCACCCACACAGTTCTTGCCGTCAGGGCTGAGCTCGAAGCCTGCATTGCAGACACACTGGAAGCTGCCCTCTGTGTTGACACAGCGGCCCAGGTGACAAAGGCCACCACTGACAATGCACTCGTCCACATCTGCGGGGAAGGCAGGCGGGCAGTCAAGAGGTGCTCCCCACCCTCCAAGCCTGGGCCAGAACCCCCAACAACATCACCCCTACTCTTGGATGGACAGCCGTACCCACGCATGCCTGCCTGGTGGGCGTGGCCTGGAAGCCCGGGTAGCACCGGCAGTGGTAGGTGCCGGGGATGTTGACGCAGTCACCGTGGTGGCAGGGGCTGCTGGTGCATTCGTCTACATCTGAGGGGAGAGGACCCTGAGCCCTAGCACGAGCAGGGCAGTGAGAACCGCCCCCCCTTCCACCTGGCCGCGGCTCACCAATGCACTCGCCGCGCACGTCCTGGGTGTAGCCCACGTTACACTCGCAGCGGTAGCTGGAAGGCGTGGGCAGGCAGCGGCCATTCAGACACAGGTTGGTGAAGTGTCGGCAGATGTCAATGGTCTGGTTCAGGGTAGCAGTGCCTACGGGTGGGGCCGGCAGAGGCATCTGAGCAGTGGCTGGCCCCGCCCCAGTCTGGAGCCTGGGCTTCACCTCTCTAGGCCCAGATACCCCCTCTAAGGCTGGGACCCTGCCCTGGCTCAGATCCTGCCCTCTTTCTCATGGAGAGTCCTGCCTTAGATTCAGAACTCCAACCTGGGATCTAGATCCCTCCAACCTGGGACCTAGATCCCTCCAACCTGGGCCTGGATCCCTCCAACCTGGGGCCTGGATCCCTCCAACCTGGGCCTGGATCCCTCCAACCTGGGGTCTAGATACCTCCAACCTGGGGCCTGGATCCCTCCAACCTGGGACCTGGATCCCTCCAACCTGGGCCTGGATCCCTCCAACCTGGGGCCTGGATCCCTCCAACCTGGGCCTGGATCCCTCCAACCTGGGGTCTAGATACCTCCAACCTGGGGCCTGGATCCCTCCAACCTGGGGCCTGGATCCCTCCAACCTGAAGCCTAGATCCCTCCAAACTGGCACCTCGATCCCTTCAACCTGGGACCTGGATCCCTCCAACCTGGGGCCTAGATCTCTCCAACCTGGTGCCTAGATCCCTCCAACCTGGAACCCAGATTCCTCCAACCTGGTGCCTAGATCCCTCCAACCTGGAACCCAGATTCCTCCAACCTGGGGTCTAGATCCCTCCAACCTGGGGCCTAGATATCTCCAACCTGGGGCTTAGATCCCACCAACCTGAAGCCTAGATCCCTCCAACCTGGGACCTGGATCCCTCCAACCTGGGCCCTAGATCCCTCCAACCTGGGGCCTTAGATCCCTCCAACCTGGGGCCTTAGATCCCTCCAACCTGGAGCCTAGATCCCTCCAACCTGGAGCCTAGATCCCTCCAACCTGGGGCCTAGATCCCTCCAAAATGGAGCCTTAGATCCCTTCAATCTGGAGCCTAGATCCCTCTAACCTGGTCCCAGAGATGCCCAGACTCCCACTCTGGGCCCAAATCCTCATTATGGGGCAAGAACCCACCCCAGGCCTAAATCCTACATGACAGACCCCCACACCAGGCCCAAACTCCCCACCCAAAGCCCGAACTCTGACTTATTTATTTATTTATTTATTTATTTATTTATTTTTAGAGACAGGGTCTCACTCTGTCACCCAGGTTGGAGGGCAGTGACACAATCACAGCTCACTGCAGCTTCCAACTCCTGGGCTCCAGCAATCCTCCTGCCTCTTCCTCCTGAGTGGCAGGGACTACTGGTGGGCATCACCACACCTAGCTAATTTTCAATTTGCTGTAGAGACAGGGTCTTGCTATGTCACCCAGGCTGGTCTCGAACTCCTGGCCTCAAGTGATCCTTCCACCTCGGCCTCCCAAAGTACTGGGATTATAGGCATGAGTCGCTGTGTCCAGCCCAAAACCTAACTCTGAGGACCAGATTCTCCAGTTACCTCCATCCCCATCCACTACTAGCACTGTCATCCCTACTAGCCAGGCCAGGAGTTCCCCCTCCAAAGCCCTAACCCTCTCTCTGAGGCCTGGACACCGTCCCCTGTTTGGAGCTCTCTCCCCAGATCCAGGACCATCCTTCAAGTCTTGGAATGTTCCTCCCAAGCCCCAGGCCTCACCAATATTAGAGTTGCCAGGGCCCAGGCTGGGGATCCCACGCGCATCAGAGCCATGGGGGTTGAGTCGCGCTGGCCCAAGAGGGGGACCCATGCCATTGGATCCGAAGCCCAGGAGGCCAGGGAAGAGGCCAGGGTGGCCGGGTAGCAGCGGCAGCCGCTGGGCGCACAGTTGCTGGAATTCATCTGCAAGGAAGCAGGGTTGAGGCCAGGCCCTTGGCCCTCCCCTGTCCCCTCCTCACCCACAGCCCTGCAGGCTGCAGCTCTTACTCACTGGAGCCCCGAGGAGGACACAGCTCAGGGACCGGGCCAGCTGCCCAGCACCTGCCCCTGTCACAGCAGCACTGCCTGCGAGTGTAGTGGCCGGCGAGGTCTCCAGCACAGCGGCCCCCGAAAAGCACTGAGAAGCAGGCGCCGGCCCGGTAGTCTGCAAAAGATCAGAGGGTGAGCCCATGAGCACAGGACATCAGTGACCAGACCTGGATCCAAATTCCAGCTGTAGCAGCACTGCCTGTAGGACGGGTCTGTTTGCCGCTCTGTGCCTCAGTTTCCTCTCCATAAAATGGGGATGCTTGGAGCATCCACCTCACCCGGGAAAAGTATTACCTGGATGAAAAGTCTGACATAGTCCAGATGCAGTAGCTCACACCTGTAATCCCAGCACTTTGGGAGGCTGGGGCGGGAGGATCTCTTAAGGTCAGGAGTGCAAGACCAGCCTGACCAACATGGCGAAACCTCATGTCTACTAAAAATACAAAAATTAGCCAAGGGTGGTGGCAGGCACTTGTAATCACAGCTACTTGGGAGGCTGAGGCAGGAGAATCACTAATTGCTTGAACCCAGGAGACAAAGATTGCAGTGAGCTGAGATCATGCCACTGCACTCCGGCCTGGGCAACAGAGCGAGACTCCGTCTCAAAAAAAATAAAGGGCCGGGCGCAGTGGCTCACGCCTGTAATCTCAGCACTTTGGGAGGCTGAGGCGGGTAGATCATGAGGTCAGGAGTTCAAGAAGAGCCTGGCCAACATGACGAAACCCAGTCTCTACTAAAAATACAAAAATTAGCCGGGTGCGGTGGCGCACACCTGTAATCCCAGCTACTTGGGAGGCTGAGGCAGGAGAATCACTTCAACCTGGGAGGCAGAGGTTGTAGTGAGCCAAGATTGTGCCACTGCACTCCAGCCTGGGCCACAGACCAAGATTCCGCCTCAAAAATAAATAAATAAATAAATAGAAAAGTTTGACATATGGCCAATGCTCGCTCAGTGCCATCTCTTGTTACCAAGATTCCAAGTTATCGCACAGAGGTAGTGAGCTCCCCGTCGCTGCAGGCATCCAACCACACTAAGGAAGACCCATTGGCGGGGAAGGACTACCCCAGTGGGATACCAGGCAGGGACACGGAGATCTGCAGCTGTGTGTCTTTGCTTGCTGGCTTCAGGCATTATGCAGAAGCCTACGAGACTGTGAATTTCAGAGAGGGGCCCCAAGGAGTCGAGGGGTGGATTGACGGCTACAGCCCCCGGGGTGACTGAGGCAGACAGGCTCCCCAGGTATGAGAACCACCAACACTCTTCCACTTCCCACTGCGCCCTCAAGGTCAATGGCTTTATGCAGCGATCAGATTTCTCAGGCTCTGGCTTAAAGAGCATATTTTTAGGCTTAAAAATGCACAAACCTTGGCTGGTGGCCCACAGTTTAAAAAACTCCTCCCAGCAGCTGGGAGGGCCACTGAGAGCCACCCCTGACCTGCCCCGAGCTGGGAAAACATGCAAATGTTTCTACCTCCCTGGTCCCCTCCCCTTGCACCTGGGGGCCCCCCAGGTACGTGCGTGGGAGTCAGGGTTTTTCGTTCTCAGCCTTATCATAGCCCCTCAAAGGGGACTGGGCCTGCCCAGACGAGGAGAGATCAACAGACTCCTCCAAAGTCACACAGCTGCAAAAGCAAGAGGAGGACGGGAAACTCGATTTCCCAATCTCAGGGGACCCAACAGGCAACAGTCCCTCAAGCAAGAGAGACAGAATATAAGAATTTCAACAAAAATGCTCAGCCACAGTGGCTCATGCCTGTAATCCCAGCACTTTGGGAGGCTGAGGCGGGTGGATCACCTGAGGTCAAGAGTTTGAGACCAGCCTGGCCAACACAGTGAAACCCCGTCTCTACTAAAAATGCAAAAATTAGCCGGGCATGGTGGTGGGTGCCTGTAATCCCAGCTACTGGGGAGGCTGAGGCAGGAGAATCACTTGAACCCCGGAGGCGGAGGTTGCAGTGAGCCGAGATCGTGCCATTGCACTCCAGCCTGGGGGACAGAGTAAGAATGTGTTAAAAGAATTTTAACAAAAATGATCCTGTCATTGCTGTAAGTACATACTGTGAGCTAAGTGGCCACAGCCCCAACATTACCTGGTGTCCATGAATGTGTATTAAGTATCCTCTAGGTACCAGCCCTCTGCAAATTACTCCCCAAATGATATCTTACTCAATCTTCATTGAGCTAGGTACTGCTATTATCTACCATTTTACAGATGGGGAAACTGAGGCACAGAGCGGTTAAGTCACTTGCCCAAGGCCACAGGGTCTGTGAGCAGCTCTGGGTGGGAGCCCCAGACTGATTCCAAAGCCTATGTTCAGAGGCTGGTTTGTCCAATCCAAGGACTGGTCTTTAGCAGCTGAGAGAGGACCCCCCGCAGTCCAGGGGATGTATCCACAGCTACCCCCAATGCCAGCTGTGATGGCCCCCAGTGGTGGAGACCTAGAAAGTCTGGAGTTGGCCAGCCGGGCGCGGTGGCTCACGCCTGTAATCCCAGCACTTTGGGAGGCCGAGGCGGGCGGATCACGAGGTCAGGAGATCGAGACCATCCTGGCTAACACGGTGAAACCCCGTCTCTACTAAAAAAATACAAAAAAATTATCCGGGCGTGGTAGCGGGCGCCTGTAGTCCCAGCTACTCGGGAGGCTGAGGCAGGGGAATGGCGTGAACCCAGGAGGCGGAGCTTGCAGTGAGCCGAGATCGCGCCACTGCACTCCAGCCTGGGCGACAGAGCGAGACTCCGTCTCAAAAAAAAAAAAAAAAAAAAAAATTAGCTAGGCGTGGTGGCGTGCGCCTGTACTCCCAGCTACTTGGGAGGCTGAGGCAGGAGGATCTCTTGAACTGGGAGGCAGAGGTTGCAGTGAGCTGAGATCACACCACTGCACTCCAGCCTGGGTAACAGAGTGAGACTCTGTCTCAAAAAAAAAAAAAAAAAAAAGAGAGAGACAGACAGCTGAACAAGGGGTCTCTCTCCTACCCACTCTCTCCCGCTCCAGCCCCTCGGTTCACTCAGGCAGTGGGTGCCATCCAGGCTGCTGGCAAAACCTTGGGAACAGGTGCACACGTAGCTCCCGACAGTGTTGGTGCAGTCACCCCCAGAACAGAGGCCGGACAGGCTGAGACACTCATTCACATCTACATAAACAGGGACAAGGTCAGAACTGGGCACCTCACCAGCCTGACCCCTCTGCCTTCCTGCAGGGGAGCCTGAGCCCCCCAGGTCATGAGTCACAGAGGAGGTCTCAGGTTGTCCCCCTCCAGTCACCCACCTTCACATGCGGCGCTGCTGTCACTGAGCCGGTGTCCAACTGGACAGCGGCAATGGAAGGAGCCCACCATGTTGACGCAGCTGCCTCCCTGGCACAGGCCTGGCACAGCCTGGCACTCATCCACATCTGCAAGGACAAAGCCCGGCAGGGGAGTGAGAGGCCCATCGGAGGGAAGAACCAAGGCAGCTAAGGCCTCCCACTCAGCCCTGACCCCACTATTCACCTTGGCAGGCCCCCGTGTGGATATTGGGGATGAAGCCGCGGCGGCAGGGGTGTGGCTGTGCAGGGCAAAGTTCACATGGAAGGCCCCAGGCACGGCCCACAGTGGCACAGCAAAGTGCCTTGGTGCACACGAGGCCCGTCAGCTGATGCTGGCACCCCTCGGGGCCTACTTGGCCAAAGCAGGGTCCCGTCCGGTAATCTGCAGGGCAGACAGATGTGGGTACCTGGCTGAGGGCTGCCCCTGTCTGGAGATCTCTGCGTCTCTAACACCTTCTCAGCGGCCCCTGCACCCACAGACCAGGCTTTACTTATGCTGCTCCCTTACTAAATAGAATATCTTTCCTCCCCTTTCCCTACCTAACGAACTCCTATTCACCCTTCAAAACCCTTTTTCTTCAAAGCATTTCCTGACCAACTTCCAAGAGACCAGCACCTCCAAGCCAATAAAGCTCAGGGCCTGTGTGAACACCCTGTCTGAACTGATGGGACTCCTTCCCCAGGCCTATCCTCCCTTCAGGCCTGGGCAGGGACCCACGGATGCCCAGCTAAAAAGCATGTCTAGTCCTTGAGCACACGCCTGGCCCTGCCATATCGCCCAGATTTGGGGAAGGATCTGTTATCTGCCTAAATTCTCTGGACCCCCAACATCACATCCCCAATCCCCATCAGGCCCAGCCCAAGGTGACCGCATTGGTTCCCCCAACCCCAGTACATGAGCCCAGATGTGACTTCTTGGCTCTCTTCTCCCAGATGTTTCCAATAAAGGAGTTAGCTCTCAAACAAGGGCAGCCGCTCCCAAGAGAAGAAGCCAAACTCACCCCCAACTCAGGCCCCGTAAGGAGGAGGGGCTTCACAGAGACCCCCACCCCCCAGCTGTCCTGATGCCCCAAGCCAAAACGTAATTCCTGGCAGCTCCCCCACTCCCCCTCCCCCTCACTCTTCTGCCACCCAGAGCTTGGCCCGCCTCCAACAAGCCCATGTTCTAATTCTGCAGTTTCCAGAAGCCCACCCTCAAACCCAGGTCACTTCCCCAGCCCCTCCAGCTTCTAGTCCCCGGGTCGTGCCCATCCTCACCTTCCTGGGCTGAAACACCACATTAGGCACCCAGATGCCTCTGCATCTGAAAATCTCACAAGCCTGGATGTCCCTGACGCCACCCACTCCGGTTCTCTTTCTCTTTCTCAGCCTCCTGTGGGCTCGGTTTTTTCTGTCCAGGCTTAAATGCCCAGGTGGCTGTCTCTGCTGGCCCTTCCTTCTCTCACGGGGATCCTCAGCGGCACCCTGGGCTTCAGTCCCCATGGATGGGGCAGCCCACGCCGCCATCTCAGCCCCAGGCCTGAGTGTCCAGCTGCTTCCCAGACAACTTGCAAGTCCCTCGGCCAACACTGAGCTCAGAGTCCTCCTCCTCCCTGCCAGGGTGCGCCACTACCTTCCCTCCAGTTTTCACCAGGTCTTGGGTTCATCCTGACTCCCTCCTTCTTCTCTCCCCGTCCCTGCCACACCTCACTGCTCACAAGAAAGACATCACTGTGTCCGTTCTCCTTTTTTCTTTTCTTTTCTTTTTTTTTTTTTTTTTGAGACAGGGTTTCGCTCTGTCTTCCAGGCTGGAGTACAGTGGTGCGATCTTGGCTCACTGCCTCCCAGGTTCAAAAAATTCTCATGCCTCAGCCTTCCAAGTAGCTGGGACTACAGGCACGCGCTACCACACCCAGTTACATTTTTTTGTGTATTTTTAGTAGAGATGGCTTTTGCCATGTTGGCCATGGCTGGTCTCAAACTCCTGGCCTCGAGTGATCTGCCCGCCTCGGCCTCCCAAAATGCTAGAATTGCAGGCATGAGCCACAGTGCCTGGCCTCTTTTCTTTCTTTCTTTCTTTCTTTCTTTTTTTTTTTTAAGAGACAGAGGGTCTGGTTCTGTCACCCAGGCTGGAATGCAGTGGCACCACCACGGCTCACTGCAGCCTTGAACTCCTGGGCTCATGCAATCCTCCCACTTCAGCCTGAGACTACAGATATGCACCACCATGCCAGGCTAATTTTTTACTTTTTTTAGAGAGGGGGGGTGTCTCACTATGCTACCCAGGTTGATCTCAAACTCCTGGTACATCCACCCTCTTAATTTTGGTAACAACCTCTCAGCAGGTGACCCCACCTATCTTAGCCGTCTTAAAAATGGGATCATTTTTAAGAGTTAGGGTGACTGGGTGTGGTGGCTCATTTTGGGAGGCTGAGACAGGCAGATCACTTGAGGCCAGGAGTTCGAGGCCAGCCTGGCCAACATGGCAAAACCTCATCTCTACTAAAATTACAAAAATTAGCTGAGCGTGGGGATGCCTGTAATCCCAGCTACTCGGGAGGCTGAAGCGGGAGGATTGGTTGAACCTGGGAGGCAGAGGTTGCAGTGAGCCGAGATCATATCACTGCACTCTAGCCCGAAAGAGCAAAACTTTGTCTCAAAAAAAAAAGAGAGAATTAGGGTGCAATAAAGAGGGGGTTTGCCCATCTCATGAAGTCCAGTCCACCCTACCAGATCCAGCTGAGGGGTCCCCTCCTCCAGGAAGCCCTCCCTGACTCCCTTCCATGGAGCAGATGGTTTCTCTGTCCTTCACATGCTCCAGGGCTGCCCCAACCCTTGTCTTAGCCTTGACACCCCCAGATAAGAATCTTCTGCTTGCAGTTTCTTCTCCCTGCCCCTCAGACTGGCACATCCTCTCTCTTTCCTACCAGACTCCAACACAGGTGCTCGCTCAGAGCCAGTGAATAGCAGATGTTTTGGAGAACAGATGAGCAAATGAAAGAAATGTCCTCAGACTGCCCCAAATGCGGGAAGGAGGCCAGCTGGTTCCTTTCAAGGCCTGGCCATGTCTCAGGGACTTCCAGGAAACCCCCTTTCCTCCATCGAGTCCCCTGTCTACCTCCCACCCGCGCATGCTTGGTACCTCTCTCACATTGAGGTCCCATGAAGCCATACACACAGGCGCAGCGGTTGGGCCCAATGCAGCGACCCCCATTGTGGCAGCCGCGGTCACAGATGGCTGTGGAGGAGAGAGGGTGATGGCTGGAGGTCCCCCAGCAGCAGAGAGAGCTGGGGTTCACAGCAAGCCTGTCTTCACCCAGGAATCCCCAGGATCTGGCCCAGGTTGAATAAGACTGAGGCTGAGCTGAGTGGCTAGCGCCTGTAATCCGAGCGCTTTGGGAGGCCAAGGCAGGTGGATCACCTGAGGTCAGGGGTTCGAGACCAGCCTGTCCAATATAGTGAAACCCCATCTTTACTAAAAATACAAAAATTAGCCAGGCATGGTGGCCGGCTCTTTTAATCCCAGCTACTCAGGAGGCTGACACAGAAGAATTGTTCAAACCTGGGAGGCGGAGGTTGCAGTGAGCTGAGATGGTGCCACTGCATTCCAGCCTGGGCAACAGAGCAAAACTCCATCTCAAAAAAAAAAAAAAAAAAAAAAAAGGGCCGGGCACGGTAGCTCACGCCTGTAATCCCAGCACTTTGGGAGGCTGAGGCGGGCGGATCACGAGGTCAGGAGATCAAGACCATCCTGGCTAACACAGTGAAACCCCATCTCTACTAAAAATACAAAAAAATTAGTCAGGCAAGGTGGCGGGCACCTGTAGTCCCAGCTACTCGGGAGGCTGAGGCAGGAGAATGGCGTGAACCTGGGAGGCGGAGCTTGCAGTAAGCCGAGATCTTGCCACTGCACTCCAGCCTGAGTGACACAGCGAGACTCTGTCTCAAAAAAAAAAAAAAAAAAAAGAGACTGTGGCAATAAACGTCCCCTGCAATCTCCAGTCCAGGAAGAAGGAACCCTGGGCAGTGGGCAGGTGGCAGCAGAGACTAATACTCTGGGATCACAGTCCCAGGTGTGCAAAGAGGGGAGTCCCATGGGGATACTCACGCTGCCCACACACGGTGCCTGTGTAGCCCTTCTGACACAGACAGGACGCCCCCCGGCAGGTGCCCCCATTCATACAGCTCACACTGCACCCTGACCCTGGGGACAGGAAGGCAGGACGCATAGTAATGTGGAGATGGGCCCCGAGATGCCCTCCTAGGAAGGCTGCAGGACTAGGCATGCTCAGCCCCGCTCCTGTCCTTCAACAAAAGCAGCCCAGGCTCCTCGTGGCAACCAGAACCCTGTGAACTTCTTCTCCCTCCCGCAAGAGGCCGCTTCCCGCTCACCTCGGCTCACCCCGCAGCTGGGAGCCAGCGTCCCATCCGCACAGGTGCACAGGTTGGGCTGGGAGCAGAAGCCTTCACCGCAGGCGCGCCTACAGATGGCTGGATGAGTGCAGCGGGTGGCAGTCAAGACCAGGACCGAGCCTGGGCCGTCCCTGCTCCATTGGTGTCCGGGCTGGCCGGAACACCTCAGTGGACGCTGCTGGTCATCTGCATCCCCGGCTCTGCTCATAGCACACCCCACCCCTGTTTTCATGGGATGTCCCCCCACTCTCGGGCTGGGCTGGGCAGGGTGTGTGACCCAGGCTGTGGGTTGGGGACTCTGCTAGAGCCATGGGGAGAGAATGCTCTTTGGGCCAGAGCTGCTGAGCTGTGAGGACAGAGCTGGAGGTGCTGGGGTCCTGGATACTGAGGTTGGGTGTCTCCTGGGAAGTGGAGTCAGATTCCAGAGACAGAAACAGAAAGAGAGGGTGAGGCCAGAGAGAGACAAACAGAGAGAGACTCAGAGAAACAGAGAGAGAGAGAATCAGTTAGATAGAGAGACAGTAACCAACAGAGAGAGGCCAGGTGCAGTGGCTCACACCTGGAATCCTAGCACTTTGGGAGGCTGAGATGGGAAAATCGCTTGAGGCCAGAGTTTGAGACCAGCCTGAGCAACACAGAGACCCCCATCTCTAAAAATAATAATAATAAAGAAAAGAAACCAACAGAGAGAGACATGAGCAGAGATGAATAGAGAGAGGCAGAGACAAAGCAAGGGAACCAGAGAGACAGACAGACACAAGGAGGTTGTAGGGCAAAGGAAATGAACATGGCAGGTTGGCCTGGAACCCTGAGGACAGACGCAGATGCAAGGGCCATTCCTGTGGTTCAGCCAGAGGTCCCTGGCTAAGTCCCCGTGTAAACAGAGCTGAACCTGCAGGCAGGTAAGAGTGTCCCCGGCCTGTGCCCCCCCACCTCCAGACGGCGGTAGCACTCACGTACGACACACTGGCTCCTGCCAGGGAATGTCCTCCAGCCTGGACAGCAGTAGGCATGGAACCGGGAGCCGCACACATTCGGCCTTCGGGGACAGCGAGATGGGTCTGGTGAGCCCCTGCCCGTGTGGACATCCCCCCGGGTATTCCGCTGGCCCCAGGACAGCCCAATCCACACCGAAGGGGTCTCCCAGCATCCCAGGTACCACGCACCCCTGCAAGATGCCTGGGCTGCCCCGCCTCCGCACACGTCCAGGACCTGCAGCCTCCAAGGCCCCGTCCCAGCGGCCTTGGCCACCTGCCATGCACAACAGGGCCGACCAGGCCAGCAGGAGCCGGGCCAGGGGGCCCCTTGCCAAATACAGACCCTCCAGAGTCATGGCGTGTCCCCTGGAGGCTGCGGAGAGGAAGCAGAGTCAGCCCTAGATGAGCCCCCCACCCTAGCCATGGGGGACCCAACACAACGAGGAGGGCAGGGTGGTTGCCAAATGGGGCAGCCCCGGGGCCTCTGGGAGCCCAAGGAGGCATCCAGCCCCAACCGGGAAGCGGTGAACAGTCAGAGGAGGCTTCCTGGAGGAGGTGTGATGTTAGAGAAGGGTCTTGGGGCTGAGGGTGCACAGCCAAGGCAAGACGGGAGTGGGAAGTGGAAGGGAGGGGAGAGAGGGCCAGGTGGGGCCAGGTGGGGCCAGGCGTTGCAGGAGTGGGCATAGCAGTGTCATGCAGCTTTTGCTCATTCGTCAAGGACAATGAAGAGCCCTTGAAAAGCTTTGAGTGGGAGGAGCAAGGTCAGAAATGCATGTTAGGTGGTGTGGGGAAGGGCAGCAGGGTCCCGGGGGGGAAACAGGGTGTCAGAAGGCTGGGGGCTGTCCAGATGGGAGAGAGAGGAGAGGAATGGGAGGCTCATGTCGTGGGAGGTGGAGGGCATTGAGGAGATTCCCAAAGTTCTAGCTGGGACGGTGGAGCCCAGAGAGCGTCCAGGGTAGGAGGAAGATGGTAAGTCGTGGAAGGCAACAACCCCACTGTCCCTCTGTGACACAGATACCCCCACTCCTGCAATGCCTGGCCCCACCTGGCCCTGTGTCCCCTCGCCTCCACATCCCACGCCGGTCTTGCCTGGGCTGTGCACCCTTAGCCGCAAGACCCTTTTCTAACATCACACCTCCTCCAGGAAGCCTCCTCTGACTGTTCACTGCTCCCAGGTCAGGGCTGGATGCCTCCCTGGGCAGGGGGCCCAGGCAGGGGCTGGAACTTCCCAATGCAGAGAGTAACCCTGTGCCCAGCAGGGAAGGGACCGCTTCTGTGCCCATTTCACAGATGCACAAACTAAGGCCATCACACCATGAGTGAGGGGCTAAGCCGGAGCTTAAGCCCACGAAGAGAAGAAGGAGGGGAAGAAGATCAGGAACGGAACTCGCTCCTGCCCCCCTTGGCTGGGTCTTTCCTGGGCCATGAAGGACGGGAGGGAGAAGACCGGGACAGGAGACGACCGTTTGGAGGGTGGAGGCAAAATACTTGAGGGAGAGAAGCCAGACCAAGTGGCCTTCCTGTTCCATTCAGGTTCCAGGGAGGAAAGGAACCGGCCCTAGGTGGAGAATGGGCGGGGAGCCCTGCTGTGTGGTCTTGGCCACGCCCCTCTCTGGGCCAACCTGGTTGTCCAAAGGCCCCGGAGAAGGGAGAGACCCCTGTCAACGTTGGAGGGTTGGCTGGCTGGAGAGGGGCGCCCTCTTTTTCTTCTCAGTTGTCCGGGTCAGTCCGCACTCTGAGGCTCCGTGGACTCCAAGCAGCCTCGGGGCTTGCAAGCCCTCCTCCCCCACTCCCTCCGCCCCAGCCCCCTGCCTCGGGTCGGGTGGGGGAATTAGGTGGGGGGAGTCTCTGGCCTGATTTGCCTCGGTCCCCCCTACACACCGCTGCTTCTGCGAGCCACACCCTGGAGTTTGTGGAATGAATGAGCAGAGAAGGCGCGCCCGGCACGGGGTGTGGAGGCTGAGGGCCAAACAGCGAGGGATACCAAGCTTCGCCGACGGGGAGGGGGCGCCCCCGGAGCCCGCGGGGCGCGATCTCCACCCGGCAGGGCCCCCGGCCGCGACCACGCTTGGCTCCGCCCTCACCTGTGGGGTCAGGGGCCCCGCGCCCCGGCCGAGCCCCTCCCGCCGGGTCCCCGCGCCCCCACTCCCCACTGCGGCGGGCGCCACTAGAAGGCGGAGAGGGGAGGGGGCTGGGCCCGGGGCTGCCCGGCTGCGAACAAAGGAATCCTCTCCCCCTCCCCCTGCCGGCCCCCCCGCCCCCGCCTTCTCCACCCTTCAGCGCCCGCGATCTCGCCCCGCCGCTGGCCCCGCGCCTTCACCTACCTGCGAGGCGGCGCGCGTGGAGGCGGGCACGGCAGGCGGACGCGCGGGACTCAGCGCTGCAGGGCGGGCTCCTGCGGCGCCGGGGACCCGGGGCGGGAACGCAAAGCCGAGAGGCCGACCCCGCCGCGTTCCCAGCCCAGAGCTGCCACTCGGGGGGGAGTTGGGGGCGGGAGGAGTTGGAGGAGGGCGCGTTTGCACCTCTTAGCTCCCGGGGCGGGGACGGGGGGCTCCGATCCGGGGCGGGGAGAGAGGCTGCGGCTCGGGGGAGGGTCCGGGGCTCCGAGTGAAAAACTCCGATGGACTGGAGGGATGTGAGGGCGGGCTGGGGGCGCCTAGTAGGGGCTGCCGGGGCCGCGTTTTCGGATCGAGACTAAGGTGGAGGTGGGGCTCTGACTTTTGGAGGGCCTGGACGACAGCCTGGGCAGAGAAGTCCCGGGACTCACCTGGGCGGCCCTCTCAGGGCCTCCCAAGCCGCCACCCCCTCCCTCGAGCAAGGAGAATTGCGAGAGTGACGTTGGAAACTCACCTGGCTCTTGGAGCCTGGATTCTTAACTAGGCTGAGATCAGGGGCCCCTAAATATGTTGACAAAACATTGGGCAAAGCTGTATTTCCCAGGGAGAAGGGCCCAGGTTTTTCATCTGGTTCTCAAAATGAAGAGGTTAACAATTCAAACGGTGTAAACTTTCAAATCTCTTTGAACCTGTTTGTCCACCTACCAAAGGGACCAGACAAGAATTTTGGCTCCCTATCTGTTGTCAGTACTCCAAACAAAAATTTCTAGGCTTTTCCACTACCTTCATACCTTTGAGAATAGACCCTTAACATGGGGATCTGTCAGAAGCTGTGCGTTGGGCCTGAAGCTGTTACTCCATCCAGCAAACTCCTACGCATCTGTCAAAGTCCAGTTCAAAAATTCCCTCCCTATCCGCAAATTGTGAGTTTACTCTATTGAACTCCCAAAGCTGATTGTGCTGAATATCCCCCCACCACAGTACTTCCGGAATCTAATAAATAAGTAAGCCCAGTGGGCTTGAAACCAGGAGTTCGAGACTAACCTGGGTAACATAGTGAGACCCCATCTCTAAAAAAAAAAAAAAAAAAAAAATTAAAAAGAATTAGCCAGGCCTGGTGGCATGCATCTATAGTCCCAGCTACTCAGGAGGCTGAGGCAGGAGGACTGCTTCAGCCTAGGAGGTTGAGGCTGCAGTGAGTTATGATTGTGCCACTGCACTCCAGCCTGGGCAACTGAGCAAGACCCTATCTCCAAAAATTGGAGACCCTGTCTCCATTCCGGAAGTGCTATGGTGGGAGTATATTCAGCAAGTCAGCTTTGGGAGTTCAATAGGGTAAACTCACAATTTGCAGGGAGGGAGAGGATTTTGTTTATGTTTTGTTTTGTTTGTTTTTTGAGACAAAGTCTTGCCCTGTCACCCAGGCTGGAGTGCAATGGCACGATCTTGGCTCACTACAACCTCCACCTCCCAGGTTCAAGCAATTCTCCTGCTTCAGCCTTCCGAGTAGCTGGGATTACGGGCTTGTGCCATCATGCCCGGTAAATTTTTTGTATCTTTAGTAGAGACGGGGATTCACCATGTTGGCCAGGCTGGTCTCGAACTCCTAACATCGTGATCCACCTGCCTCGGCCTCCCAAAGTGCTGAGATTACAGGCGTGAGCCACCGAGTCTGGCCCAGAAGGGGATTTTTGAAGTAGGTTTTGACAGTTGCATAGGAGTTTGCTGGAGGAAACAGAACAGGCAAAGGCCTGGAGAAGGAGAGAACTTAGAACAAACATGCCTGGATGGAGTGAGGTTGGAACTTTAGGAGAGAGGAGAAGGGGAGGGAGCAAGAGGAAAGCAGGAAACATAAGAAGAGGCTAGAAGCACCGAGGAGCCCTCAGCAGGCTCCCCCCCCACCTCTGAGGGGAGACACGGTGGACTCACAGAAAGGGGAGGTTCTCCCAAGGCTCCACTTCCAGGTCTTAGACTGTGTCCGGGGAGCATTGAGGGCCCCAGGGCTGGGCTCGGGGAGCATGGGACAGACGCCGACTTCAGGGACAAGATCCAGTCATCCTGGCCAAGGGAGGGGCCCGTGGACCCTGTGAGAAGGGTCAGGTGGGGTGCTGGGGCATGGGGAGGGTGGACTGGGGAGGGAACCCCAGGATGGAGGTGGCCCAGCAGAGACAGGGGGGTGGGGTTCCTGTTGGAGGGTGGGCCCAGGGGCTATTGTGGACAAACCAGTTTCCCCGGCCACCTTGGACACCTCTTTCCAGGCTCCTCTGCCAAGGTCCACCCAGATTTGTTCTGCAACAAATGAATCTTACATGGGCACGGGGACAAGCACCGGGTGCCCTAGAAGCAGCCCAGCATAGGTGCAAAAGGTGGGGAGAGATTGTCCCATCCCAGGGACACTGCACAGCCACTGTTGCCATGGCTAAGTCTGGAGGAGGGCTTTCCTGGAAGAACTGTGGGCCAGGGAGCGACTCAGTCCTAGAAGTCTCCCTACCTGCCCTCCAGAAGAGAGGGGAGAAGGAAGCCGGAGGGTGTGGCAAGACCAGGATGTGGAGCTGTTGGAAGTCACCGCAACTGAAGTGCTCGAAAACGGCAGATAGTGGGCATTGGTTGTTCACAGCCCCCAACCCAAGCTACTGTCCACACCGCGTGCTGTAGTTTCAGACTTCCCATGGTGCCACCCTGGTCTGTTATGTTATTGCCAGTTATTGATGTGGTATCACAGACAGTGTCACCCCCCACTGTACCCTTATTACATCACACTGTTAAGAAGGGACATTTAGGCTGGGCATGGTGGCTCACGCCTGTAATCCCAACGCTTTGGGAGGCCGAGTTGGGCATATCACGAGGTCAGGAGATCAAGACCATCCTGGCTAACACAGTGAAACCCCATCTCTACTAAAAATATAAAAAATTGCTGGGCGCGGTGGGTCACACCTGTAATCCCAGCACTTTGGGAGGCTGAGGCGGGCGGATCACGAGCTCAGGAGATCAAAACCATCCTGGCTAACATGGTGAAACCCCGTCTCTACTAAAAATACAAAAAATTAGCTGGGCATGGTGGTGGGCGCCTGCAGTTCCAGCTACTCGGGAGGCTGAGGCAGGAGAATGGTGTGAACCCGGGAGGCAGAGCTTGCAGTGAGCCGAGATGGTGCCACTGCACTCCAGTATGGGCGACAGAGCGAGACTCCATCTCAAAAAAAAAATAAATAAAATAAAAATAAATAAAAAAATTAGCCAGGCACGGGGGCACACACCTGTAGTTCCAGGTACTTGGGAGGCTGAGGCAGGAGAATCGCTTGAACCTGGGAGGCAGAGGCTGCAATGAGCCAAGATCACGCCACTGCGCTCTAGCCTAGGCGACAGAGCGAGACTCCATCTCAAAAAAAAAAAAAGAAGGGACATTTAGGCTTTAAATCCTACCGCATATCACAGTCCCCCCACCCAGGACTGTACAAAACACATGCATGGTCTCTCCGTCAAAACTGCATCATCAGCCAGGCGCTGTGCCTCACGCCTGTAATGTCAACACTTTGGGAAGCCAAGGTGGAGGATCCTTTGAGGCCAAGAGTTCAAGGCAAGCCTGGGCAACATAGCAAGACCCCATCTCTACAAAAAAATAGAAAAATTAGCTGGGCATGGTGGCATGTACCTGTAGTCCCAGCTACTTGGGAGGCTGAGGTGGGAGGAGTGCTTGAACCCAGGAGTTTGAGGCTGCAGTGAGCTATGATGTTGCCACTGGACTCCAGCCTGGATAACAGATCATGAACCTGTCTCTAAATATGTATGTATATCATCATCATCACCATGTTCCTATTCTACAGTCACTTGTCCCTATGACCCTGTCTCATTGTCACCTGTCCATGTGACACCCTGCTCTTTTCTGGTTGCTCCGCTACCTGGGACATGCATGTCTCCTGTCACCTTTACACCTTCACCTTTCTGCTGTGACACAGTCCCCGGCTCATGGTCATACCATTACCCAGAATGTCAGGGTTCTTAACATCACAATTCACTGGCATCAGCAACAACCGGGCTCAGCAGAAAGAGTGACCAAGCGTGGTGGTGCCGCAGCCAACCACATTCACACACATCACATGCAGATCGGGCCCCAGGAAGACACCATTCATTACCATCTGGCACCCTAAGCCCTGATGCTGCTCAGTGATCCGAGATGCTGGCACCAGTTCCCCCCACCCTCAGTAAAATGAGGTCCATGGGGGCTCCAATGGGGATCTGGTGTTTTAAAGTTTTTGTTTTTGTTTTTTTGACAGAATCTTGCTCTGTCGCCCAGGCTGGAGTGCAGTGGTGCAATCTCAGCTCACTGCAACCGCCTCCCAGGTTCAAGCCATTCTCCTGCCTCAGCCTCCCAAGTAGCTGGGACTACAGGCACACATCACCATCTAGTTTTTTTTTTTTCTTTTTCTTTTTCCTTTTTTTTTTTTTTTTTTTTTTTTTAGATGGAGTCTTGCTCTGTCTCCCAGGCTGGAGTGCAGTGGTGCCATCTCGGCTCACTGCAACCTCCACCTCCCAGTTTAAGTGATTCTCCTGTTTTAGCCTCCTGAGTAGCTGGGATTACAGGTGCCTGCCACCACGTCTGGCTAATTTTGTATTTTTAGTAGAGATGGGGTTTCACCACATTGGCCAGTCTGGTCTTGAACTCCAGACCTCAGGTGATCCACCTGCCTCGGTCCCAAACTGTGGGGATTACAAGTGTGAGCCACCGCGCCTGACCCCTAGTGGATGTTCTCTTTTTTTGGTTTTTGTCCTCCCCGGACCGCCCCCGCCCCGAGATGCAGTCTTGCTCTGTCACCCAGGCTGGAGTGCAGTGGTGGGATCTTGGCTCACTGCAACCTCCTCCTCCTGGGTTCAAGGAATTCTCCTGCCTCAGCCTCCTAAGTAGCTGGGATTACAGGCGTGTGCCACCACACCCGGCTATTTTTTTTTTTTTTTTTTTGTATTTTTAGTAGAGATGGGGTTTCACCATGTTGGTCAGGCTGGTCTCGAATTCCTGACCTCATGATATGTCCGCCTTGGCCTCCCAAAGTGCTGGGATTACAGGTGTGAGCCACTGCACCTGGCCCCTAGTGGGTTTTAAAATTACAGTGTCACCTGTTGCTGTCACCTGTTGCCTTCCCATCATTCCCAGTTCCTGTGACGTTGTCACCTGTTGCTGTCACATTGTCACACTATTAATGTCCCCCAGAACTGTCCCCCCCCGCTGCTGCCACTGTCATCCCGTTAAGGTCACTGTGAGTCACGCCAGCCCCACCCTCCGTTTGACTTTCTGAGCAGCCATGGAGCCCCCCCTCATAGGCGGGACTTGACTGTGTGCACCCAGAGCCAGCAGACCCCAGATGTTCATTAGCATGAGCTCGAGGAAGGCATGGAGACAGGAGTGGGCAGGGTGTGCCCAGGAGCACAGGGTCAAGGCTGGGGACAAGGAGATGGGAGGAGGGACGGGGAGATGCCTGCAGTCTATGGTGTGTGGAGTGCGCTGGGCCAGCCTAGGCCAGGGTGGCTTGGGGACAGAGCCCTCTTTGTATAAGCACAGGAAGCAGCTGGGAGTCAAAGCATTGCATACAACGCCAGGAGTTTGGCCACGTGCCCAGGAATGAGGCTTGGAGCGGGGAGGGAAGCCGCAGAGGACCCAGGAAAGCTCTGAGGAAGAGATCAAGCTGGATCCTCACAAGAGACCCTGAAGACAGGCTCTGATATCATCCCATTACACAGATGAGGAAACTGAGGCACAGAGCCACCACATCGCCCACTGGGACCCCACCACCAGGAAAGAATACAGGCAAATCTGAACCCAGGCCACAAAGCTGGAACCTTCCCCGTGGCCTTGGGCCCCCAGCCACACCCTCACCCCATTGCCTTGATGTTCTAGCTGGGGGACCTGTCTAGGGTCCATATACAATATATTATTTCTCTTTCTAATAAACACACATGTTTGCACCTTTATACATTGTTCTGTATTTGCCCTATTTCCTCTTTGTAAAAATAATTAAAAACAAACAAACAAACAAAAAAACAGGGTCTCCCTCTGTCACCCAGGCTAAAGTGCAGTGGGGAAGATAACAGCTCACTGCAGCCTCGAATTGGGCTTAAGCAATCCTCCCACCTCAGCCTCCAGAGTAGCTAGGACTACAGGCACATACTACCTGTCTAATTTAAAAAAATTTTTTTTTTTAGAGATAGAGTCTCACTATGTTGCCCAGGCTGGTCTCGAACTCTGGGATCAAGTGATCCTCCCAACTCATCCTCCCAAAGTGCTGAGATTACAGGCATGAGCCGTCACACCTGGCCTCTTTCTCTTTCTTTCTTTCTTTCTTTCTTTCTTTCTTTCTTTTTTTTTCTTTTTTTGTTCAGACAGAGTCTCGCTCTGTCGCCCAGGCTGGAGTGCAGTGGTACACTCTCAGCTCACTGCAACCTCCACCTCCCAAGTTTAAGCGATTCTCCTGCCTCAGCCTCCTGAGTAGCTGGGAGTACAGGCGCCCACCCCACACCCTAATTTTTGTAGTTTTAGTAGAGACGGGGTTTCACCATATTGGCCAGGCTGGTCTCGAACTCCTGACCATGTGATCTGCCCGCCTCCGCCTCCCAAAGTGCTGGGATTACAGGCGTGAGCCACGGTGCCTGGCCTCTTTCTCTTTCTAATAAACACAAATGTTAGCACCTTTGTATCTTGTTCTGTATTTGCTTTTTCTCATCTTTGTAAAAAAAATATATTTTTTTCTTGCAAACTAAATCAATCCCTCTCAATTACCATCTTCTTTTTACTGTTTTCTTTTACTGAGATCAATTTCACACAACATAGCACTTACTATGTTCAAGTGTACAATTCAGTAGCGTTCAGTACACGCAGTATGTGCAGCCACCCCCTCTATCTAGTTCCAAAACGTACTCATCACCCCAGAATGAAATCCTGTCCCCATTAGCAGTTGCTCCCCATTCCCCATACCCCAGTCCCTGGCAAACACTAATCCACTTTCTATTCTCTGTGGATTTGCCTGTTCCGGACATTGCACGTATTTATTTTATTTTATTTTATTTTATTTTATTTTATTTTATTTTATTTTGAGATGAAGTCTCCCTCTGTCACCCAGGCTGGAGTGCGGTAGTATGATCTTGGCTTACTGCAACCTCCACCTCCCAGGTTCGAATGTTTCCCTGCCTCAGCCTTCCGAGTAGCAGGGATTACAGGTGCACACGGCACCGCGTCTGGCTATTTTTTTTTTTTTTGGTATTTTTAGTAGAAACGGGATTTCATCATGTTAGCCAGGCTGGTCTTGAACTCTTGGCCTCAAGTGATCCATCTGCCTTGACCTCCCAAAGTGCTGGGATTACAGGCATGAGCCACCGTGCCTGGCCTAGACGTTTCACGTAAATGGAATCACACACTAGGTGGCCCTTTATTTTATTTTACTTTTTTTTTTTTTTTTTTTTGTGACAGAGTTTCTCTCTGTCACCCAGGCTGCAGTGCAGTGGCGCGATCTCGGCTCACTGCAACTTCCGCCTCCCCTGTTCAAGCAGTTCCCCTGCCTCAGCCTCCCAAGTAGCTGGGACTACAGGCACACGCCACCACACCTGGCAATTTTTTTTTTTTTTTTTTGTATTTTAATAGAGACGGGGTTTCACCATGTTGGCCAAGATGGTCTCTATCTCCTGACCTCATGATCTGCCTGCCTCGGTCTCCGAAAGTGGTGGGATCACAGGCGTGAGCCACCACGCCCAGCCTCTTTTAACTTCTTATTACATCTTGGCAATATTTCCATGTCGAGCCGGGAGCGGGGGATCACACCTGTAATCCCAGCACTTTGGGAGGCCAAGGCAGGCAGATCCCTTGAGTGCAAGAGTTAGAGACCAGCTGGGGCAACATGGCAAGCTCCGTCTCTACAAACAACACAAAGATTAGCCAGGCCTGGTGGCATGAGTCTGTAGTCCCAGCTACTCAGGAGACTGAGATGAGATCACTTGAGCCCCAGATGTCTGGGAGCCCCAGATGTCACTGTAGAGGCTACAGTGATCCGAGATCACATCACTGCACTCCGGACTGGGAGACAGAGCAAGACCCTTTCAAATAAAAAGAAAGACAGAGAGATAGAGAAAGAGAGAGAAGAAAAAGGAAGAAAGAGGAGAGGAGAGAAGATGCGCAGTGGCTCACGTCTGTAATCCCAGCACTTTGGGAGGCTGAGGCAGGTGGATCATGAGGTCAGGAGTTCAAGACCAGCCTGGCCAAGATGGTGAAACCCCATCTCTACTAAAAATACAAAAAAAATTAGCCAGGCGTGGTGGTGGGCACCTGTAATCCCAGTTACTTGGGAGGCTGAAGAAGAGAATTGCTTGAACCCGGGAGGCGGAGGTTGCAGTGAGCAGAGATCATGCCACTGCACTCCAGCCTGGGCGACAGAGTGAGACTCTGTCAAAAGAATGGAGAAAGAGAGAGAGAGAGAGGAGAAAGAGAGGAAGGAAGGAAGGAAGGAAGGAAGGAAGGAAGGAAGGAAGGAAGGAAGGAAGGAAGGAAGGAAAGAAGGGAGGGAGGGAGGGAGGGAAAGAAAGCAAGAGAGGCCGGGATGCAGTGGCTCAAGCCTGTAATCCCAGCATTTTGAGATGCCAAGGTGGGCTTTGAGGTCAGACTTCAACTGGATTAGGATTAGCCCTGCTGGGAGAAGAGAGGACTCTGGCACCCACTGCCAGTTCTGCCATCTGCACCCATTTATCTGGGGCCCCAATGCCCGCCCAGCCTCTCTCCCTCTGGTCTCATCCTTGCGGGCTAAGGGTGCACTTGCAGCTTTCCACTCTGCCCTCTGAAACCTTAAGGGTGCCATTAGTTAAGTCAGACAAGAAGACTGACACTCAAAAATAAAGTTGGTTAAGTGCAAATTGTCAGACCCAGAAACCTGAATATCACTGATCTTCAGAAAACGCACATGTGCCAGGGCCTTCATTGGCACTCAATAAACGCTGAATCGATGGATCAGTAAATGAATGAATGGTGAGCAAATCTGATATGACCGGAAGGAAGGAGTGGAAGTTGCTTGTGGAGAGACGAGCAGGACTCAGATTGAAAGGAGTCTTGAAAACCAGGAGCGTGGACATGACCTGGCGGCAGCAGGGAGCCACGGTGGGTTCTAGGCAGGGAGCGACGCCATCTGATTTACCTTTGAGGACCTCATTGCCAAGAGGAAGTTAATCAAATCTGTCACTAGGGGGCACTCAAGTCTTCCCATAGATTGTTAGGTGGCCACTGGTCACAGGGAGCTTTTGAGCATTTGAACCAGTTCTATGGAGATATAAGTGTGAAATCCACACGGAATCGCAAGCACTTCATACAAGAGAAAGAATGTAAGATGCCTCAAATAGCAATGACAGGGGTGAAATGCTGATATTTTGGGTACACTGGACTAAGTAAATTATATTATTAAAATTTCATCTGTTTCTTTTTACTTTTTAAAATGTGGGTTCTAGGCCACTCGGTGGCTTACGCCTGTAATCCCAGCACTTTGGGAGGCCCAGGTGGGCGGATCATGAGGTTAGGAGTTTGAAACCAGCCTGGCCAACATGGTGAAACCCCATCTCTACTAAAAATACAAAAAATTAGCTGGGCATAGTGGCAGGGACCTGAAATCCCAGCTATTCGGGAGGCTGAGGCAGGAGAATCGCTTGAAACTGGGAGGCGGAGGTTGCAGTGAACTAAGATCGTACCACTGCACTCCAGCCTAGGCAACAGAGTGAGACTCCGTCTCAAAAATATATATATAAATAAGTAAATATATATGAAATAAAATGTGGGTTCTAAAAGAGTTAAGATTGTCTATGTCGGTTGCATTAGTTTTTATTTTATTTCTTTTTTATTAGGCAAGATCACGTTCTGTTGCCCAGGCTGGAATGCAGTGGTGTGATCATGGCTCACTACAGCCTCAACCTCCCAGGCTCAAGCAATCCTCCTACCTCAGCCTCCCGAGTAGGTGGGATTACAAGTGCCGCCACCACACCCGGCTAACTTTTGTATGTTTTGTAAACACAAGGTTTCATCATGTTGTCCCAGCTGATCTCAAACTCCTGGGCCCAAGCGATCCTCCTGCCTCAGCCTCCCAAAGTGCTAGGATTATGGACATGAGTCACTGAGCCTGACCTTGCATTTATATTTCTATTGGACAGCACTGATTTAGAAAAAGAAGTTACTATTTTTTTCAACAGTCATCAGGGGTTGAACTACCCTCTCTTTTTCTCTTATTTCCTCTTACTTTGGTCATTCTTCAAGTTAACAATCTACCAGGTTGTTCTCTTTGTTCATTAAACGAAGGTAGATATTCATAAATACATAGACCAAAAAGAGAGGATGGGGTCATTGTTTCATAAATATGGAATCATATTGAACATACTTTTTTATTCACAGGACTTTCTGGAAACTTCTTAGACCACCTACTAAAATCTGAATTCATTCTTTTTAATTGCTTGATAATCATCTATGGTGTGGATGAACCTTCATTTATTCAACCACATCCCCACTGATGAGTTTTCACTTGGTTAACAGGTTTTATTCCCCACCACTACCAAAAAGTAAGCAAAAAATGCTGCAACAAGAATTTTTTGGCTGGGTGCAGTGGCTCTCACCTGTAATCCCAGCACTTTCGGAGGCCAAAGGCAGGAGGATCGCTTCAGACCAGTTCAAGACTAGCCTGGACAATGTAATGAGACTCCTGTCTTTACAAAAAAATTTTTAAAAACTAGCCGAACATGATGGCATCTGTAGTCCCAACTACTTGGAAGTCTGAGGTGAGAGAATCACTTGAGCCTGGGAGGTTGAGGCTGCAGTGAGCCATGATCACGCCACTGCACTCCAGCCTGGGCATTAGAGCGAGGCCCTGTCTCTACAAAAATTAATTTTTATACCTATGCCCATACGTGCTGACGATTTTCTTTCCAAGGGAAAGATTTCTAGCAATGAGGTTGCTGGGTGAAGGATCTCTCTCTCTCTCTCTCTTTCTCTCTCTCTCTCTCTCTCTCTCTCTCTCTCTCTATATATATATATATATATATATATATATATATATTTTTTTTTTTTTTTTTTTTTTTTTTTGAGACCGAGTCTCGCTCTGTCACCAGGCTGGAGTGCAGTGGTGCAATATTGGCTCACTGCAACCTCCTCCTCCCAGGTTCAAGCAGTTCTCTGCCTCAGCCTCCCGAGTAGCTGGGACTACAGGCGCGTGGCACCACGCCCAGCTAATTTTTGTATTTTTAGTGGAGATGGGGTTTCATCATGTTGGCCAAGATGATCTTGCTCTCTTGACCTCGTGATCTGCCTGCCTCAGCCTCCCAAAGTGCTGGGATTACAGGCGTGAGCCACCGTGCCCGGCCTATATTTTTAATTTTAATAGATGTTGCCAGGTTGTAGATATTGACAAACTGATCCTAAAATTGATACAGAAAGACAAAGACTGAGAATAGCCTACAAAATATCAAAGAAGAACCAAGTTGGAGGACTGTCACTACCCAATATCAAGACGTTCTGGAAATCTGCAATAACCAAGACAGTATTGGCAAAAGAAGACACACAGATCAACAGAACAGAAAGTCCAGAAATAAATCCACACCAATATAATCAATTGATCTTTGACAAAAGCTCACAGGCAATTCAACGGAGAAAGGACAGTCTTTTTGCTGTCTATGCAATCAATGTGTTCCCTGCCCAATGCACATACAGGCCAATACATGGCACCAGCTTTTCAGAAAATAAAAGCTTTATTGCAAGTCGACTGCACGGAGACAGGAAGAAACATTCAAATCTGTCTCCGGGAGCTGCAGGCTGGGGCAGCTTTTATAAGCATAGGGTAATGAGGCGTGTTCTGATTGGATCTTGCACTGAGGTGATGCCGGGAGGCATGATCTGATTGGATCCGGCCATGGGATGATGTCAGGGCTCACTCTGATTGGATCCTGGGTCCTGTCATGCAGTGTCTGCTTCTTAATTCAGTCTCCACCCCTCTCTCCTCAGTGGGAGCACTTAGGTTCTGCCTGTGGTTACACAGTTGGTTCACCTGGACATGCTCAGGTTATGCGACCTTCTACCTGGGGGTCCGTGGCAACTGAAAAACAACTCACAACTCTGCTACATAAAAGTTGAACTGACCGGGCGTGGTGGCTCACGCCTGTAATTCCAGCACTTTGGGAGGCTGAGGCGGGCGGATCACCTGAGGTCGGGAGTGCAAGACCAGCCTGACCAACATGGAGAAACTCCGTCTCTACTAAAACTACAAAATTAGCCGGGCGTGGTGGCACATGCCTATAATCCCAGCAACTAGGGAGGTTGAGGCAGGAGAATCGCTTGAACCTGGGAGGCGGAGGTTGTGGTGAGCCGAGATCCTGCCATTGCACTCCAGCCTGGGCAACAAGAGTGAAACTCCTTCTTGAAAAAAAATAAAAAATAAAAAGTTGAACCATTGGGACCGGGCGCGGTGGCTCACACCTGTAATCCCAGCACATTGGGAGTCCGAGGCGGGCAGATCACGAGGTCAGGAGATCGAGACTAGCCGAGACCATCCTGGCTAACATGGTGAAACCCCGTCTCTACTAAAAATACAAAAACAAAATTAGCCGGGTGTGGTGGCGGGCACCTGTAGTCCCAGCTACTCCAGAGGCTGAGGCAGGAGAATGGCGTGAACCCGGGAGGCGGAGCTTGCAGTGAGCTGAGATCACGCCACTGCACTTCATCCTGGGTGACAGAGCGAGACTCCAAAAAAAAAAAAAAATTGAACCATTGGGAGGCCGAGGCGGGCGGATCACCTGAGGTCAGGAGTTTGAGACCAGCCTGGCCAATATAGTGAAACCCCATCTCTACTAAAAATACAAAAATTAGCCAGGTGTGGTGGTGCTCACCTGTAATCCCAGCTACTCAGGAGGCTGAGACAGGAGGATCACTTGAACTCAGGAAGCAGAGGCTGCTGTGAGCTGAGACTGCGCCACTAGACTCCAGCCTGGGCGACAGAGTGAGACTCTGTCTTCAAGAAAAAAAAAAAGGTGAACCAGATTGGTCTGGTGTGGTTACATTTTCCACAGATGGTGCTAGAACAATCAGATGTCCATACGCAAAAAATAGGCACAGACTTTACACCTTTCGTAAAAAATGAATGCAGCCAGGTGCAGTGGCTCACGCCTGTAATCCCAGCACTTTTGGGGGCTGAAACAGGAGAATTGCTTGAGCCCAAGAGTTCGAGACCGGCCTTGAACAAGTGAGAACCCCTCTCTACAAAAAATTTTAAAACTTTTTAAAAATCTAAAAACAAAACAAAACAAAAATGAACACAGACCAGGCACAGTGGCTCACACCTGTAATCCCAGCACTTTAGAAGGCCAAGATGGGTAGATCACCTGAGGTCAGGGGTTCAAGACCAGCTTGGCCAAGATGGTGAAACCCCGTCTCTACTAAAAATACAAAAATTAGCCAGGAGTGGTAGTGGGCACCTGTAATCCCAGCTACTTGGGAGGCTGAGGCAGGAGAATCACTTGAACCTGGGAGGTGGGGGTTGCAGTGAGTCAAGATCGAGCCACTGTACTCCAACCTGGGTGACAGAGTGAGACTCAAAAAAAACAAAAAAATGAACACAAAAGGGACCATAGTGAGGTACCTAGAATTGGAAAATTCACAGAGACAGAAAGTAGAATGGAGGTTACCAGGGGCTGGGGGAAGAGGGATGGAGTGTTATTATTATCATAATTATTATTATTTTGAGACAGTGTCTCACTCTGTCACCAGGCTGTAGTGCAGTGGCATGATCTTGGTTCACTTCAACCTCCGCCTCCCAGGTTCAAGAGATTCTCCTGCCTCAGCCTCCTGAGTAGCTGGGACTACAGGCATGCGCTACCACGCCCGGCTAATTTTTTTGTATTTTTAGTAGAGACGGGGTTTCACCATGTTGGCCAGGATGGTCTCGATCTCTTGACCTCGTGATCCACCCGCCTCGGCCTCCCAAAGTGCTGGGATTACAGGTGTGAGCCACAGCACCCGGCCAGTGCTATTATTTAATAGGTACAGATTTCCCGTTTGGAAAAAGTTCTGGAGATGAATGGTGAAGATATTATGGGAAAGGGCTCCCAGTTCAGACTCCAAGAGAGGGTTCTTAGATCTCGCACAAGAAAGAATTCAGGACAAGTCCATAAAGTGAAAGCAAGTTTATTAGAAAAGTAAAGGAATAAAAGAATGGCTATTCCATAGACAGAGCAGCCCCGAGGCCTGCTGGTTGCCCATTTTTATGGTTATTTCTTGATGATATGCTAAACAAGGGGTGGATTATTCATGCCTCCCCTTTTTAGAGCATAGAGGGTAGCTTCCTGATGCTGCCACGGCATCTGTAAACCGTCATGGCACTGGTGAGAGTGCAGCAGTGAGGACAACCAGAGGCCACTCATGTCGTCATCTTGGTCTTGGTGGGTTTCAGCTGGCTTCTTTATTGCAATCTGTTTTATCAGCAAGGTCTTTATAACCTGTATCTTGTGCTGACCTCCTGTCTCATCCTGTGACTTAGAATGACTTAACCACCTGGGAATTCAGCCCAGTAGGTCTCAGGCTGATTTTACCCAGCCCTTATTCAAGACGGAGTCGCTCTGGTTTACATACTTCTGACAGTGATGGTTGCAAAACAACGCGAATGTACTTAATACCACTGAGTTGCATACTTAAAAATGGTTTGAGAACTAAGCTCCGATATTTTTTATCTTGCCCAGATTCCTATCTAAGGGGCCTGCCCCACAAACCATAAATCCTCATCAGATGGGTTTTATTTAATCCTATATATCGTCACTTACTTTCCAACCTGACTCTGCCATAACATTATGTGGCAAAGAAGAAAATAAAAGTATTTTACCCCAAAACATGTTTCTTTACCATATTTTGAAATGGCCTTGGGCCAGGTGTGGTCGCTCACGCCTGTAATCCCAGCACTTTGGGAGGCGGAGGCAGGCAGATCACCTGAGGTCAGGAGTTCGAGACTAGCCTGACCAACACGGAGAAACCCCATCTCTACTAAAAATACAAAATTAGTCTGGCATGGTGGCCCATTCCTCTAATCCCAGCTACTCAGGAGGCTGAGGCAGGAGAATTGCTTGAACCCGGGAGGCCGAGGTTGCAGTGAGCCAATATCGTGCCATTGCACTCCAACCTGGGCAACAAGAGCGAAACTCTGTCTCAAAACAAACAAACAAACCTTGGTCTCCATAATCTTTTATCTGAACCTGAACATTTCCTTTCTATTAATCCCAGGTCTTTATTTTGTTTGTTTGTTTATTTATTTATTTATTTATTTAGAGACAGAGTCTCACTCTGTTGCCTAGCCTAGAGCACAGTGACATGATCTCGACTCGCTGAAACCTCCATCTCCCGGGTTCAAGAGATTTTCCTGCCTCAGCCTCCAGAGTAGCTGGGATTATAGGCACCTGCCACCATGCCCGGCTAATTTTTTTGTATTTTTGATAGAAACAGGGTTTCATCATGTTGGTCAGGCTGGACTCCAACTCCTGACCTCAAGTGATCCACCCACTTCAGCCTCCAGAAGTGCTGGGATTACAGAGGTGAGCCACCATGCCCAGCTTAATCCCAGGCCTTTAGACAAACTCAACCAATTGTCCACCAGAAAATGTTCAAATTTACCTATAGCCTGGAAGACCCGCCACCTCCTTTGAATTGTCCCACCTTTCTGTACCAAACCAGCGTATTTCTCAGATGTGTTTGATTGATGTCTCTTGCCTCCCTAAAATGTATCAAACCAAGCTGCTCCCGAACCACCTTGGGCATATGTTCCCAGGACCTCCTGAGAGCTATGTCATGGGCTATGATCACTCATATTTGCCTCAGAATAAATCTCTTCGAATATTTTAAAGTTTGACTCTTTGCGTTGACAGGTTAAAATGGTAAATTGTGGCTGGGCGCGGTGGCTCATGCCTATAATCCCAGCACTTTGGGAGGCCAAGGCGGTCGGATGACTTGAGGTCAGGAATTCGAGACTACCCTTGCCAACATGGCCAAACACCATCTCTACCAAAAATACAAAAATTAACTGGGCGTGGTGGCGCCCGCACCTGTATTCCCAGCTATTCGGGAGGCTGAGGCAGGAGAATCGCTTGAACCCAGGAGGCGGAGGTTGCAGTGAGCCGAGATTGCACCACTGCACTCCAGCCTGGGCGACAGAGCAAGACTCTGTCTCAAAAAAAAAAAAAAAAAAAAAAAGGGTAAATTGTATGCCATATATATTATACCATGCAAACAAACACAAAGAATTGTAGACCTATATGTCAAATACAAAGCTATAGGTGATGGTGCAAGAGGAAGGTGGAGAATGGAAGGGAGAGAAAACAAAAATAAGGAAGGAAGGAAGGAAGGAAAGAAAGGAAGGGAGGAAGGGAGGAAGAGAGGGAAGGAGGGAGGGAGGGAGGGGGAGGGGGAGGAGGGGAGGGGGAGAGGGAAGGAGGGAGGAGGGAGGAGGAGGGAGGAGGAAGGGAAGGAGAAAAAACTCTACAAAACTCTACAACTTCTAGAAGAAAATCTAGGTGATCTTGGCCGGGCGCAGTGGCTCACGCCTGTAATCCCAGCACTTTGGGAGGCCAAGGCGGGAGGATCACGAGGTCAGGAGATCGAGACCATCCTGGCTAACACGGTGAAACCCCGTCTCTACTAAAAATACAAAAAATTAGCCAGGCGTGGTGGCGGGCACCTGTAGTCCCAGCTACTCGGGAGGCTGAGGCAGGAGAATGGCATGAACCCGGGAGGTGGAGTTTGCAGTGAGCCGAGATTGTGCCACCGCACTCCAGCCTGGGCGACAGGGTGAGACGCCATCCCCAAAAAAAAAAAAAAGTCTCATTGGTCCTTTGGTTGTATAGGCAGCTGCTGCTATTTTCTTTTCTTTTCTTTTAGATGGAGTTTCACTCTTGTTGCCCAGGCTGGAGTGCAATGGCGTGATCTCGGCTCACTGCAACCTCCACCTCCCAGGTTCAGTTCTCCTGCCTCAGCCTCCCAAGTAGCTGGGATTATAGGCACCCACCACCATGCCCAGCTAATTTTTTGTAATTTTAGTAGAGCTGGGAAGTCACCATGTTGGCCAGGCTGGCCTTGAACTCCTGACCTCAGGTGATCCACTGGCCTCAGCCTTCCAAAGTGCTGGGACTACAGGCGTGAGCCACTGTGCCCGGCCAGCTTAGATTTTCTAATACGATTTTTATTCTTTATATATATTTTGTATTTTATATGTGTATCTATATGTGTTTAGAGATGGGGTCTTACTTTTTTTTTTTTTTTTTGAGACGGAGTTTTGCTCTTGTTGCCCAGGCTGGGGTGCAATGGCACCATCTCAGCTCACTGCAACCTCCACCTCCCAGGTTCCAGTGATTCTCCTGCCTCAGCCTCCTGAGTAGCTAGGATTACAGGCCTGCGCCAACACGCCTGGCTAATTTTGCATTTTTTAGTAGAGATGGGGTTTCTCCATGTTGGTCAGGCTGGTCTTGAACTCCCGACCTCAGGTGATATGCCCGCCTCAGCCTCCCAAAATGCTGGGATTACAGGTGTGAGCCACCGCGCCCGGCCGGGTCTTGCTCTTTTGCCCAGGCTGGAGTACAATGGCATGATCACAGCTCACTGAAGTCTAGACCTCTAGGGCTCAAGCCATCCTCCCACCTCAGCCTCCTGAATAGCCAACACCAAAGGTGCATGCCACCACACCTGACTAATTTTGTTTATCTTTTGTAGAGACAAGGCCTCACTATGTTGCCCAGGCTGGTCTCGAACTCCTGGGCTCAAGCAATCCTCCCACCTTAGCCTCCTGGGGACCTGGCATGCAATCACAGATGTGTGCCAGTGTGTCTTGGCACAGGATTCACTTGCTTTCCAGCAAATTGCAACAGGAGGTCACAGAGCAACAGAACCGAGATCTGATCCAAGTGTCTGTGGAGGGTGCAGCTGCCAGACCCTGTGGCGAGGTCAAATGTGCAGGTGGGTGGCTAACTTGGGTTCTGTCCCTTAGCCGTAGTAACACATGAAGGGGGAAACCCCTTTCCCTTGCTGCTTGGCCAGCTCTCTGGGGACACAGGAGCCAGGTAGGGCAGGGGAACAGACCCTAGGGAAAGCAAGGTGAAAGGGAAAAGCCTGGACTAGTGGCACACACCTGTAAGTCCCAGCCACTCGGGAGGCTGAGGTGGGAGGATTGCTTGAGCCCAGGAGTTCAAGCCTGCATTGAGCTATGGTTGCACCACTGCACTGCAGCCTGGGCACAGAGTGAGACCCTGACCCAAATAATAATACATAAAAATACAGAAAGAGAAAGAAATGACAACATGTGGAAGAGCCTACAGAGAAGAGAAACAATAAAGTGCTTCCTAGTTTGGGGGTCGTCAGAAGACGGGGCCCCACAGGAGGGGACTGGTCTTTCTGTGAGGTTCACTTGAGGCCAGGAGTTTCTCTGTTTCCTGATGTTTTGGCATCTTGGGCCTTGCTAATGCCGGAAAGACAGCTTCTCCCAGGGTTTGCCGATTTCTTCAGGGTTAGCTAATTTGTTGGAGAGTTTGCAAACAACTGGCTTGTCCAAGAGCACACGGTTCCTATGGAAAGCTCACACCCCACAACCACCTTTTTTGCAGAGCTGTGACAATCCAAGCCTGTTGCCCTGACCTGATTACTTTAGGGCCATGTGCCAGGCAATTAGGGACAGCACGTATGCCCCAGAGCCTGGAGAAATTATTCAAAATAGCCCGTGGCAACTTTCATCTGCCTCACTGTGCCTGTCCCATGGAAACTATAATAAAGGCTCTTACCCACATTTTCTCCTGCTCTCTCCGCCTCCTTTTTTTTTTTTTGAGACGGAGTCTGCTTCTGTTGCCCAAGCTGGAGTGCAGTGGTGCAATGTCAGCTCACTGCCACCTCCGCCTCCCAGATTCAGTGATTCTCCTGTCTCAGCCTCCTGAGTAGCTGGGATTACAGGCAGCCGCCACCATGCCCGGCTAATTTTTGTATTTTTAGTAGAGATGGGGTTTCACCATGTTGGCCAGGCTGGTCTCAAACGCCTGACCTCAGGTGATCTGCCTGCGTCGGCCTCCCAAAGTGCTGGGATTACAGGCGTGAGCCACTGCCCCAGGTCTCTCTCTCTCTCTTTTTTTTTTTTTTTTTTTTTTTGAGAACAGGGTCTTGCTCTGTTGCCCAAGCTGGTATGCAGTGGTGCAATCACAACTCACTGCGGCCTTGACTTCCTGGGCCCAAGCAATCCTCTCACCTCAGCCTCCCAAGTAGCTGGGACCATGGGGCATACACCATCATGGCCAGCGTGTAAAAATGGGATCTTGCTATGTTGCCCAGGCTGGTCTCGAACTCCTGGCCTCAAGCAATTCTCCCACCTTGGCCCCCCACAGTGTTGGGATTACAGGTGAGAGCCACTGTGTCTGGCCTCCTGCTACATTTTAAAATAAGAAGCAGGGGCCGGGCGTGGTGGCTCACGCCTGTAATCCCAGCACTTTGGGAGGCCGAGGCGGGCGGATCACGACGTCGGGAGATCGAGACCATCCTGGCTAATGCGGTAAAACCCCGCCTCTACTAAAAATACAGAAAAATTAGCCGGGCGTGGTGGTGGGCGTCTTTAGTACCAGCTACTGGGGAGGCTGAGGCGGGAGAATGGCGTGAACCCGGAAGGCGGAGCTTGCAGTGAGCCGAATCGTGCCATGCACTCCAGCCTGACGAGACTCTGTCTCAAAAAAATAAATAAATAAATATAAAATAAAATAAGAAGCAGGTCAGGCACAGTGGCTCATGCCTGTAATCCTAGCACTTTGGGAGGCTGAGACAGGCAGATCACCTGAGGTCAGGAGTTTGAGACCAGCCTGGCCAACATGATGAAACCCTGTCTCTACTAAAAATACAAAAAATTAGCTGGGCATGGTGGCAGGTGCCTGTAATCCCAGCTACTCAGGAGGCTGAGGCAGGAGAATCGCTTGAACCCAGGAGGTGGAGGTCGCAGTGAGCTGAGATTGTGCCACTGCACTCCAGCCTGGGTGACCAAGCAAGATTCCATTAAAAAAAAAAAAGGCTGCTGGTTGAGGTGGCTCACGTCTGTAATCATGTCACTTTGAGAAGCTGAGGAGGGAGGATCGCTTGAGGCCAGGAGTTTGAGACCAGCCTGGGTGGCATAGCAAGACTCCATCTCTAAATATAAGGTTTTTTTCAGCCAGGTGTGGTGGCTCATTCCTGTAATCCCAGCGCTTTGAGAGGCTGAGGTGGGTGGATTACCTGATGTTAGGAGTTCAAGAGCAACCTGGCCATCTCCAGCCTGGGCAACAAGAGCGAGACTCCATCTCAAAAAAAGCAAAACAAAAAAAATACTTTTTTCTAAGAGACAGTGTCACCTAGGCTGGAGTGTCACCCAGGCTGTGTCACCCAGGCTGGAGTGCAGTGGCATGATTTCAGCTCACTGCAGCCTCAACCTCCTGGGCTCAATCAATCCTCCCACCTGAGCCTCCTGAGCAGCTGGGACCGAAGGCATGCACCACCACACCCGGCTAACTTTTGTGTTTTTTGTAGATGCTGGGTTTCGCCATTTTGCCCGGACTGGTCTCGAACTCCAGAGCTCAAGACATCCTCCTGCCTTGGCCTCCCAAAGTGCCAGGACTACAGGCGTGAGCCACTGAACCCAGCTGGCTAAATAAACTTCCTAAATTGATTGAGACCTGACTCAGATACTTTGAGTTTACACAGCTCAATTCATATCTGTTCATGCATTAAATGAATGGATTTTCTTTTTCTTTTCTTTTTTTTTTTTTTGAGATGGAGTCTCGCTCTGTTGTCCAGGCTGGAGTACAGTGGCACTATCTCGGCTCACTGCAACCTCTGCCTCCCAGGTTCAAGTGATTCTCCTGCCTCAGCCTCCCGAGCAGCTGGGATTACAGGCATGTGCCACCATGCCCAGCTAATGTTTGTATTTCTAGTAGAGACGGGTTTTTACCATGTTGGCCAGGCTGGTCTCAAACTCTTGACCTTAAGTGATCTGCCCACCTCAGCTTCCTGAAGTGCTAGTATTACAGGCATGAGCCACCGCGCCCAGACTTTTTTTTTTTTTTGAGACAGAGTTTTGCTCTTTTTGCCCAGGCTGGAGTGCAATGGCACGATCTCAGCTCACTGCAACCTCCACTTCCCAGGTTCAAGTGATTCTACTGCCTCACCCTTCCGAGTAGCTAGGATTACAGGCACCCGCCACCATATCTGGCTAATTTTTGTATTTTTAGTAGAGAAAGGGTTTCACCATGTTGGCCAGGCTGGTCTTGAACTCCTTGACCTCCAGTAATCCACCCGCCTCGGCCTCCCAAAGTGCTGGGATTATAGGCATAAGCCACTGCACCCGGCCTAAATGAATGGATTTTCTGCTCCTGTTCAGGGGCTTGGGTAAAGCTGTCATGAGGATAAAAGGATCAGAGAGATGAAGGGGTTATAGAAGTGGGAGTAGTGCCAGGCACGGTGGCTCAAGCCTGTAATCCCAGCCCTTTGTGAGGCTGAAGCAGTCAGATCACTTGAGGCCAGGAGTTCAAAACTAACCTGACCAACATGGTGAAACCCCATCTCTACAAAAATACAAAAATTAGCCAGGTGAGGTGGCAGGCGCCTGTAATCCCAGCTACTCAGAAGGCTGAAGCAGGAGAATTGCTTGAACCTGGGAGGCGGAGGTTGCAGTGAGCTGAGATCGTGCCATTGCACTCCAGCCTGCACAACAGAGAGAGACTCTGTTTCAAAAGACAAGAAAAGACAAGACAAGGCTGGGCGCGGTGGCTCACACCTGTAATCCCAGCACTTTGTGAGGCCGAGGCGGGCGGATCATAAGGTCAGGAGATGGAGACCATCCTGGCTAGCACGGTGAAACCCCGTCTCTACTAAAAATACAAAAAATTTGCCGGGCTTGGTTGCAGGTGCCTGTAGTCCCAGCTACTCAGGAGGCTGAGGCACGAGAATTGCTTGAACCTGGGAGGCGGAGGTTGCAGGGAGGCGGAGGTTGCAGTGAGCCGAGATGGTGCCATTGCACTCCAGCCTGCACAACAGAGCGAGACTCTGTTTCAAAAGAAAAGAGAAGAAAAGAAAAGACGGTAGTTACAGGTCATAGGGAGTGGGATTCTGGGCGTGGGCTATGCCATATTTCACAGGGGTGTCAGCGGGGTTGGGAGCTCCGGGAATTGCCCTCAAGTCACAGGTTCCTGCTTTGTGGGTCCTGAGGCTTCCCTCTGCCAAGGAAAATTCGGGATTTCTTTCTGCTAATGTCTGGGATCATTGGCCACTGCCCAGGCTGCCTCAGTTTCCCCTGGGAGACCAAAAACACAAGGGTGGGGGAAGCCACAGAGCACGGGGTTTGCAGCACCTTTCTCAGGCAGGTCAGGGGCCTCTTGTGACTGGATGAGGCTATTTTGCCTACCCTGAATTCACACTAGGAGAAAATCGTGCCTTTCCCGGAGTATTTACCCACCAAAGAGGAGTAGGGCTGTGAACAGCGTCCGGAGTGAGGTGTCCAGGTATGAATTATGTCTCTGGCCACATGACACTAGACAAATTTAGAGATTCCCCCTAAGCCTCAGTTTTCTCATCTGTGACATGAGAGAAATAATACTAGGTTGGTGCAAAAATAATTGCGTTTTTTGCCATTACCTTTTTGTTTTAAAGACAGAGTTTCGCTCTGTTGCCAGGCTGGAGTGCAGTGGCATGATCTTGGCTCACTGCAACCTCCACCTCCCGGGTTCGAGCGATTCTCCTGCCTCAGCCTCCCGAGTAGCTGGGATTACAAGTGCGCGCCACCACACCCAGCTAATTTTGTATTTTTAGTAGAGATGGGGTTTCACCGTGTTGGTCAGGCTGATCTTGAACTCCTGACCTTGTGATCCACCTGCCTCAGCCTCCCAAAATGCTGGGATTACAGGTGTGAGCCACTGTGCCCAGCTTTGCCTTTACTTTTAATTGCAAAAACCGCAATAACTTTTGCACCAATGCAATATTTGCTTCTGGAGAGGATAGTGTAGGTTAAATGAGATGTTGGTGGATAACCCTTAGCAGAGGGGCTGGCATGATCCATTGTGGACCCTATAAATAGCCTAGAAAATTAGAAGAGAAGCTGGACGCAATGGCTGATGCCTATAATCCAAGCAATTTGGGAGGCCGAGACGGGAGGATCACTTGAGGCCAGGAGTTTGAGACCAGCCCGGGCAACATAGTGAGACCCCATCTCTAAAAATAATCTTTAAAAATTAGCCAAGATGGCCGGGCACGGTGGCTGACGTCTGTAATCCCAGCACTTTGGGAGGCCAAGGCAGGTGGATCACCTGAGGTCAGGAGTTCAAGACCAGCCTGGCCAACATGGTGAAACCCTGTCTCTACAAAAATACAGAAAAAAAATTAGCCGGGCATGATGGCAAGTGCCTGTAATCCCAGCTACTCGGGAGGCTGAGGCAGAAGAATAGCTTGAATCTGGGAGGCAGAGGTTGCAGTGAGCCATGATCCCACCATTGCACTCCAGCCTGGGCGACAGAGAGAGACTCTGTCTCAAAAAAAAAAAAAAAAAATTAGCCAGCCATGGTGGCATGCACCTATAGTCCCAGCTACTTGGGAGGCTGAGGTGGGAGGATCGCTTCAGCCCAGGAGTTCAAAGCTGCATTGAGCTATGACTGGGCCACTGCACTCCAGCCTGGGCAACAGAGTGAGACCCTGTCTTAATAATAAAAATACAGAAAGAAAAAGAAATGACAGTGTGTGGAGGAGCTCATAGAGGAGAGAAACAATGAAGGGCTTCCTAGTTTGGGGGGTCTTCGGAAGATGGGGCCCCATGGGAGGGGACTGGTCTTTGAGTTGTTGAGGTAATTTAATTCATTGTTCTTTCGTGAGCTAATTGTATGTGGAAATTTATGTAAATCTTTGGTAATCATCCTTTGAGGAATCTGCTGCTATCAAGAAAGAAAAAGTCAGTGTCAACCAGCAAAAAAATGGAAAAAATCAAATAGTGATTGCTGTTTTTTTTTTTTTTTTGAGACGGAGTCTTGCTCTTTCGCCCAGGCTGGAGTGCAGTGGCACTATCTCAGCTTACTGCAAGTTCTGCCTCCTGGGTTCATGCCATTCTCCTGCCTCAGCCTCCCAAGTAGCTGGGACTACAGGCACCCGCCACCATGCCCAGCTAATTTTTTGTATTTTTAGTAGAGACGGGGTTTCACCGTGTTAGTCAGGATGATGGTCTCGATCTCCTGACCTCGTGATCCGTCTGCCTCAGCCTCCCAAAGTGCTGGGATTACAGGCGTGAGCCACCACGCCCGGCCTTTTTTTTTGAGAGTGTCTCACTCTGTCACCCAGGCTGCAGTGCAGTGGCATGATCTCAGCTCACTGCAACTGCCACATCCTGGGTTCAAGTGATTCTCCTGCCTCAGCCTCCTGAGTAGCTGGGAGTACAGGCATGCGCCACCATGTCTGGCTAATTTTTGTATTTTTTTTTTTTTGTAGAGATGGGGATTCACCATGTTGACCAGGCTGGTCTTGAACTCCTGACCTCAAGCCATCTGCCCACCTCAGCCTCCCAAAATGCTGGGATTACAGGCATGAGCCACCGCGTCTGGCCTATTTGAATTTTTTTAATCCATACTGCAATGCTAGTGGAGAAGGAGAATGAGTTTTATGGTGTGGTTTCAAGAGCCCTGCAGAAAAAGTAAGTATCTTGAAGCAGGTTGTTATTATTATTATTATTATTATTATTATTATTATTATTATTATTTTCTGGAGACAGTCTCGCTGTGTTGCCCATGCTGGAGTGCAGTGGTGCGATCTCAGGTCACTGCAACCTCCGCCTCCTGGGTTCAAGCAATTCTCCTGTCTCAGGCTCCCAAGTAGCTGGGATTACAGGCCCAAGCCTCCACGCCCGGCTAATTTTTGTATTTTTGGTAGAGACAGGGTTTCATCATGTTGGCCAGGCTGGTCTTGAACTCCTGATCTCAAGTGATCCACCCACCTCAGCCTCCCAAAGTGGTGAGATTAAAGGTATGAGCCACTGCACACAGCCTATGTTGTTTGTTTGTTTGTTCGCTTGTTTATTTCTGAGACAGAGTCTCACTCTGTCGCCCAGGCTAGAGTGCAGTGGCACCATTGCAGCTCACTCCAGCCTCGACTTCCTGGGCCCAAGTGATCTTCCCACCTCAGCCTTCCAAGTAGCTGAGACTACAGGCATGGGCACAAAATGTTGAATAAAATAACACAGCCTTCGTTACCAGGAATCCTCAGTAAAGCAAAGCTCATCTACTACTATTTAGTTTTCGGTTTATTTGTGGACTCTTCGGTTCTTGCAGTGATGTATGTACTCATGATGAATTCTTCTTGGACACTGAACCATATCCTCTCACTGTGGAAAGCTGGGAATTACGCTAGTATTGTTCATCCACCACGTGGTATGCGGGCATTTCTGAACATTCCCTGACTTCAGAAAAAGATGACCCCAGGACATTTGGTGGTTTCTGTTGGCCAGTTCAGACCTGAAATTAATCTTCCTTTGCAGATCAGAGCTTTTGAGAAATAGTTAAACAAGATGATTGAGGCCAGGCGCGGTGGCTCATGCCCGTAATCCCAGCACTTTCGGAGGCTGAGGCAGGTGGGTTACCTGAAGCCAGGAGTTCAAGACCAGCCTGGCCGACATGGTGAAACCATGTTACTACTAAAAATACAAAAAACATTAACCAGGCATGGTGGCATGTGCCTGTAATCCCAGCTTCTTGGGAGGCTGAGGCATGAGAATTGCTTGAACCCAGGAGGCGGGGTTGCAGCGAGCTGAGATCGTGCCACTGCACTCCAGCCTGGGTGATAGAGCAAGACTCTATCTCAAAAACAAGATGGTGATTGAGTCACCTCCTTTATTGAAACCTGTTCTCATTAGAGATTGTTGTACCAAAGATGATGAGACTTCAGATGAACCAACTAAGAAAGCTGTCTGAGGATTTAGGAATTTTAAAAGGTGTGGAATTTCAAAGAAATATTCCATTTTGATGAAGTAAAGGTTAAAGAAGTGCTTGTCTGAAGAGACAGTTGATCTGCATACCACGCAGAACAAGTATTTTGGGATGGGTGTTGTGAAAGTTTTGGCCAACACAATTTTTTTTTTTTTTTTTGAGACAGAATCTTGCTCTGCCATCCAGGCTGGAGTGCAATAGCATGATCTCGGCTCACTGCAAGCTCCACCTCCCAGGTTCAAGCGATTCTCCTGCCTCAGCCTCCTGGGTAGCTGGGACTACAGGCAGGTGCCACTATGCCCGGCTAATATTTTGCATTCTTAGTAGAGACTGGGTTTCACAGTCTTAGCCAGGATGGTCTTGATCTCCTGACCTCGTGATCTGCCCACCTCAGCCTCCCAAACTGCTGGGATTACAGGCGTGAGCCACCATGCCGGCCTTTTTTTTTTTTTTAAGAGATAGGGTCGGTCCAGGCCAGGTGCGGTGGCTCACCCCTGTAATCCTAGCACTTTGGGAGGCCGAGGCAGGCAGATTGCCTGAGCTCAGAAGTGTGAGACCACGCTGGGTAACATGGTGAAACCCCGTCTCTACTGAAATACAAAAAATTAGCCAGATGTAGTGGTGTACGCCTGTAGTCCCAGCTACTCGGGAGGATGAGGCAGGAGAATTGCTTGAACCCGGGAGATGGAGGTTGCAATGAGCTGAGATCACTCCAGTGCACTCCAGCCTGGGTGACAGAGTGAGACTCCATCCCCCAAAAATATATATATAAATAAATCCAATAAATAAATAAATGAGATAGGGTCGGTTGGGCATAGTGGCTCACACCTGTGATCCCAGCACTTTGGGAGGCCGAGGCGGGTGGATCACCTGAGGTCAAGAGTTCGGGACCACCCTGGCCAACATGGTGAAACTCCGTCTCTACTAAAAATACAAAAATTAGCCAGGCGTGGTGGTGCATGTCTGTAATCGCAGCTACTCGGGAGGCTGAGGCAGGGAATTGCTTGAACCCGGGAGGCGGAGGTTGTAGTGAGCCAAGATCGTGCCACTGCCCTCCAGCCTGGGCGACAGAGCAAGACTCCATCAAAAAAAGAAAAAAAAGACTGGGTCTTTCTGTCACCCAGGCTGGCGTGCAGTGACATGATTATAGCTAACTGCAACCTCGACCACTGCGGCTCATGTGATCCTCCTGCATCAACCTCCTGAGTAGCTGGGACTACAGGTGCACACAACCACACCCAGTTAATTTTTAAAGTTTTTGTAGAGATGAGGTCTCAATATGTTGCCAGAGCTGGTCTCAAACTCCTGGGCTCAAGGAGTTCAAAAGTTACGAAAATTATAAGTTACCTTTTTGAGAGAGAGAGAAAGTCTTGCTATGTTGCCCAGGCTGGAGTGCGGTGGTTATTCACAGACAGGATCATGGCACACTACAGCCTTGAACTCCTGGGCTCAAATGGTCCTCCTGCCTCAGCCTCCCAAGTAACTGAGAATACAGGTACATGCCCAGCTAAAAGTTACTTTAATTAAAGGTAACTATCTAGGCCGGGCACAGTGGCTCACGCCTGTAATCCCAGCACTTTCGGAGGCCGAGGCGGGCGGATCACGAGGTCAGGAGATCGAGACCATCCTGGCTAAGACAGTGAAACCCCGTCTCTACTAAAAATACAAAAAATTAGCAGGGCGTGGTGGCAGGCGCCTCTAGTCCCAGCTACTTGGGAGGCTGAGGCAGGAGAATGACGTGAACCTGGGAGGCAGAGCTTGCAGTGACCCGAGATCACGCCACTGCACTCCAGCCTGGGCAACAGAGCGAGACTCCATCTCAAAAAAAAAAAAAAAAAAAAAGGTAACAACCTAGGCAGGGTGCGGTGGCTCATGCCTATAATTTCAGAACTTTGGGAGGCTGAGGCAGGCAGATCACGAGGTCAGGAGATCAAGACCAGCCTGGCCAACACGGCAAAACCCCATCTCTACTAAAAATACAAAAATTAGCTGGGCGTGGTGGCACCTGCCTGTAATCCCAGCTACTCAGGAGGCTGAGGCAGGAGAATTGCTGGAACCCGGGAGGTGGAGGTTGCAGTGAGCTGAGATCGTGCCATTGCACTCCAGCCTGGGTGACAGGACAAGACTCCGTCTCAAAAAAAAAAAAAAAAAAAAAAATCTATAGTAAATGCCTTCTAAAACCGTATCTTTATCACTGCCCTATAACTCTATATAGATTCTTGGCTACTAAGCCAATAGCTGGGATGATATAAATGTAATGCAGCTGCTATCTGAATAACAAGCATGGAAAAGTGAATATGTGTGTGTGCAGATAATGCTCTACAAACATACAACTTATGACATTTTCTGTAACCATAATCAATTTCTTGTAGTTCAGTGAGTTGACCCCCTTCATGATCAGTGTTAGGGGCATGTGAAAGAGGTGATTGGTTGATTGATTGATTGATTGATTGATTTAGAGACAGAGTCTCTGTCTGTCACCCAGGCTGGAGTGCAAAGGTGTGATCTTGGCTCGCTGAAACCTCCGCCTCCTGGCTGCAAGCAATTCTGCTGCCTCAGCCTCCCGATTAGCTGGAAATACAGGCACCTGCCACCACGCCCAGCTAATTTTTGTATTTATATTGAAGACGGGATTTCACCATGTTGGCCAGGCTGGTCTCAAACTCCTGAACTCAAGTGATCCACCCACCTCGGCCTCCCAAAGTGCTGGGATTACAGGCATGAGCCACCACACCTGACCAAAGAGGTGTATTATTCTTTTGCAATTTCCTTTTAACCAGCTGGTTTTGTTATCTACTTCTGATTATGTCGCTGATACAGGCCATTTTCTGTTATCAGATCAAAAAGCAGCAAAGCCAGGCATAGTAGTGCACAACTATAGTCTCAGCTACTCAGGAGCCTGATGGGAGAATTGCTTGAGCCCAGATTGAGGCCACATTGAGCTGAGATGGCACTACCATACTCTAGCCTGGGTGACAGAGCGAGACCCTGTCTCAATTAAAAAAAGAAAAGAAAAGAAACAGGCCAGGCGCGGTGTCTCACGCCTGGAATCCCAGAACTTTAGGAGGCCGAGGCGGGTGGATCATTTGAGGTCAGGAGTTTGAGACCAGCCTGGCCAACATGGTGAAACCCTGTCTGTACTAAAAATACAAAAATTAGCCAGATATGGTGGCAGGCGCCTGTAATCCCAGCTACACAGGTTGCTGAGGCAGGAGAATCGCTTGAACCCAGGAGGCAGACAGAGGTTGCAGTGAGCCGAGATTGCGCCATTGCACTCCAGCCTAGGTGACAGAGTGAGACTCCATCTCAAAAAACAAACAAACAAAGAAAACACAAAACTTTTATGGAATTCCAGAATCCTTTCTTCCTTCACTACTTCCTCTACTTTTGCTCTATTTCAAATTATTTATTTTTGACCTCATAATTTTTTGTGTGTGGATGGGTAGGCAGAATGAATTAACAGTACAAATCTTACCTCAAAGACTAGCTATAAAATAAGAAAAAGCGCCAAGCCAGAGTTTGAACTTCCAGGTTATAATACTGATTCTGTCATCAAACAGCTTTGTGACACCAAAGGAGTTTACTAAGTTCTTTGGATTTATTTATTATTATGTTAGATGGAGTGTCACTCTATTGCCCAGGCTGGAGTGCAGTGGCACAATCTCGGCTCACTGCAACATCTGCCTCCTGGGTTCAAGCGATTCTCCTGCCTCAGCCTCCCGAGTAGCTGCGATTACAGGCATGTGCCACCTTGCCCAGCTAATTTTTGTCTTTTTAGTAGAGACGGGGTTTCACCATGTTGGCCAGGCTGGTCTCAAACTCCTGGTCTCTAGTGATTTGCCTGCCTTGGCCTCTCAGAGTACTGAGATTACAGACGTGAGCCACTGTGCCCAGCTGGAAATGGATTTTAAATCTCTGAGATGTGAAAGCATTTTCTAAGCTTAAGAGCAGAGGGCAAAATGGTCAAGCAATGTACTGAGTTGTCTCTCTTTAAAACTTAAAGAGGAATTCTTAGCCAGGTGCTGTGGCTCATGCCTGTAATCCCAGCACTTTGGGAGGCCAAGGTGAGAGAATCACTTGAGCCCAGGAGTTTGAGACCAACTTGGGCAATGTAGTGAGACCACATCTCTGCAAAAAATAAAAATTAGCTGGGTATGGTCGCACATGCCTGTAATCCCACCTACTTGGGAAGCTGAGGTGGGAGGATCACTTGAACCCAGGAGGCTGAGGCTTCTGTGAGCTATGATAGTTCCACTGCACCCCAGCCTGGGCAACACAGTAAGACTCTATCTCTAAAAAAGAAAAGAGAATGAGACATCTTTTGTCTATTTTAATCTAACCTTTTTTTTTTTTTCCTGAAGACTCTTACCCCAGCTTGCAGCTTTTTTTTTTTTTTTTTTTTTTTTGACAGAGTTTTGCTTTGTCGTCCAGGCTGGAGTGCAGTGGCGTAATTTCGGCTCACTGCAACCTCTGCCTCCCAGGTTCAAGTGATTCTCCTGTCTCAGCCTCCCTAGTAGCCAGGATTACAGACACACACCACCATGCCCAGCTCATTTTTGTATTTTTAGTAGAGATGGGGTTTTGCCATGTTGGCCAGGCTGGTCTCAAACTCCTGGCCTCAGGTGATCCACCCTCCTCAGCCTCCCAAAGTGCTGGGATTACAGGCATGAGCGACTGTGCCCGGCCAGCTTGCTGCTTTTAGCATAAATTTCAGGCTTCTGGTGAGCTCTTGGCAACATGTACCAAGAATCATAACGTGTTTGCCTTTTTCCAGCCAGTATTTCCACTGCTGGGAATCCATGAGAAAGAAATATGAGAAATAGGCAAATATTTACATATAACAATGCTTCTGTTATTGTTATTTTAATATTCAGTTAGTGCAAAGCCTGAGGTATCCGGTACGCTGTGTACAATCACGTGATAAGATCCAATATGCAGTTATGAAAAATGTTTGTAGATTTTCTTTAACAATATGTAAAATATTTTCATACTATTTTTACAGAAAAAAGCAGGATATTGGGAGGCCAAAGCAGGCGGATCACTTGAGGCAAGGTGTCCAAGGCCAGCCTGGCCAACATGGTGAAACCCCATATCTACTAAAAATACAAAAAATTAGCAGAGTGTGGTGGCACAAGCCTGTAATCCCAGCTATTTGGGAGGCTGAGGCAGGAGAATTGCTTGAACCTGGGAGGCAGAGGTTGCAGTGAGCCGAGATGGCACCATTGCACTCCAGCCTGGGTGACAGAGTGAGACTCCATCTCAAAAAAAAAAAAAAAAGAAAGAAAAAGAAAAATGCAGGATATAGGATAAAACATTTTTTTCTAGATGTTGCCGTAATTAAAAATTTTGTTGCCTATATGGCCAGGAGTGGTGGCTCACGCCTGTAATCCCAGCACTTTGCGAGCCGAGGTGGGTGGATCACTTGAGGCCAGGAGTTCGAGATCAGCCTGGGCAACATGGTGAAACCCCATCTCTACTAAAAATACAAAAATTAGCCGGGCGTGGTGGTGCATGCCTGTAATGCCAGCTACTCGGGAGGGTGAGGCATGAGAAGTGCTTGAGTCCGGGAAGTGGAGGTTGCAATAAGCTGAGATTACACCGCTGTGCTCCACCCTGGGTGACAAAGCAAGACTGACTCAAAAAAAAAAAAAAAAAAAAAAGATGTTTCCTATATAGCAACAGGAAATCTCACTCTTTGCTGAGAGAAATGCCAAACAGTACAGCCACTCTAGAAGACAGTGTGACAGCTTCTTACAAAACTAAACATACTCTTACCATATAACCAATTAATTTCACTCCTAGATATTTACCCAAACGAGTTGAAAGCTCATGTCTACAAGAAAACCCGCACATGGGCCAGGTGCAGTGGCTCATACCCGTAATCCCAACACTTTGGGAGACCGAGGCGGGCAGATCACGAGGTCAGGAGTTCAAGACCAGCCTGGCCAATATGGTGAAACCCTGTCTCTACTAAAAATACAAAAATTAGCTGCGCGTGGTGGCATGTGCCTGTAGTCCCAGCTACTCAGGAGGCTGAGGCAGGAGAATCACTTGAACCCGTGAGGCAGAGGTTGCAGTGAGCCGAGATCACACCACTGCACTCCAGCCTGGGCGACACAGGGAGACTCCGACTCAAAAAAAAAAAAACAAACTGGCCGGGTGCGGTGGCTCATGCCTGTAATCCCAGCACTTTGGGAGGCCGAGGCGGGAGGATCACGAAGTCAGGAGATCGAGACCATCCTGGCTAACACGGTGAAACCCTGTCTCTACTAAATATACAAAAAATTAGCCGGGCATGGTGGCAGGTGCCTGTAGTACCAGCTACTCGGGAGGCTGAGGCAGGAGAATGGCGTGAACCCAGGAGGCAGAGCTTGCAGTGAGCCGAGATGGCGCCACTGCACTCCAGCCTGGGCGAGAGAGTGAGACTCTGTCTCAAAACCAAAAAAACAAAACAAAACAAAACCTGCACACGGATGTTTACAGCAGTATTATTCATAATTGCATAAAACTTGGAAGCAACCAAGATGCCCTTCGGGAGTTGAATGAATAAATAAACAGTGGTACTTTCAGACAATGGGAACTCATTAATTAAAATAAATGAGCTCTTGCTGGGCACAGTGGCACAAGCCTGTGGTCCCAGATACTCAGGAGGCTGAAGTGGAAGGATTGCTTGAGCCTAGGAGTTCCAGGTCAGACTGGGGGACAGAGAAAGACCATGTCTCTAAATAAATTAATTTAAATTACAATATATTTTTTCTTTTCTTTTCTTCTAACACAGAATCTCACTCTTGTCACCCAGGCTGGAGTGCAGTAGTGCTATCTTAGCTCAGTGCAGCCTCCGCTTCCCAGGTTCAAGCAATTCTGCCTCAGCCTCCTGAGTAGCTGGGACTACAAGTGCGTGCCACCACGCCCGGCTAATTTTTGAATTTTTAGTAGAAACAGGGTTCCAACAAGTTTGCCAGGCTGGTCTCGAACTCCTGACCTCAAGTGATCTGCCCACCTTGGCCTCCCAAAGTGCTGGAATTACAGGTGTAAGCCACTGTGACCAGCCTAAAAAAATTTTTTAATTATCCAGGCATGATGGTGCACCTGTAATCCCAGCTACTCAGGGAGGCTGAGGCAGGGGGATGGCTTGAGCTGGAGAGGTCGACACTGCAGTGAACTGTGATGGTGCCACTGCACTCCAGCCTGGATGACAGAGAAAGAGCCTGGCTAAAAAAACATATAACTAGCCGAGCAAAACTCCTTCTCAAAAAAAAAAAAAAAAAAAAAGTGAGCCCTAATGTAGGCTGTGGACTCGGGGTGATGAGGACGGGTCCCTGGAGATTCATCAAGTATAACCAATGCACCACTCTAGTGGCGGACATTGATAAGGAGGAGGCTGGGCTTGGGGAGCAGGGTAGATATATGGGAAATCTCTGTACTTTCCACTCAATTTTGCTGCAAACCTGAACTGCTATAAATCAGAACGTTTATGGGCTGGGTGCAGTGGTTCACGCCTGTCATCCCAGCACTTTGGGAGGCCAAGGCAGGAGGATCGCTTGAGCCCAGGAGTTTGAGACCACCCTGAGCAACATAGCAAGGCCCCATCTCTACAAAAAAAAAAAAAAGAAAGAAAATACAAAAATTAGCCAGGTGTGGTGGTGTGCATCTGTAGTCCCAGCTACTCGGGAGGCTGAGGCAGAAGGATGGCTTGAGCCTGGGAGGTGGAGTTGGCACTGAGCTGTGATTGCATCACTGCACTCCAGCCTCAGTGACAGAGCCAGACCTTGTCTTAAAAAAAAAAAAGCCCATGGGAAAACAAATACTGTTTTCCTCTGCTTGAGTGAAAGAAGCCAGTCTCGCTGGGCGCGGTGGCTCACGCCTGTAAGTCCCAGCACTTTGGGAGGCCGAGGTGGGCAGATCACCTGAGGTCGGGAGTTCGAGACCAGCCTGGCCAACATGGAGAAACCCCGTCTCTACTAAAAATACAAAGTTAGCTGGGCATGGTGGCGCATGCCTGTAATCCCAGCTACTCGGGAGGCTAAGGCAGGAGAATCGCTTGAACCCAGGAGGTGGAGGTTGCAGTGAGCCGAGATCGTGCCATTGCACTCCAGCCTGAGCAACAAGAATGAAACTCCATCCAAAAAAAAAAAAGAAAAGAAAGAAAGAACCCAGTCTCACAAGGCTATCCAGTGTGTGACTGATTCCATTTATACAACAGTCCCGGAAAGGCTAAATTATGGCGACAGAGAGCCGATCAGTGGTTGTCAAGGAGAAGGAAGGAAGGATGTGACTCCTAACGGGCAGTGTAAGGGAATTTTACGGGGTGATGAAGTTGTTCTTTTTCTTTCTTTCTTTCTTTCTTTTTTTTTATTTGAGACAGAGTCTCGCTCTGTCACCCAGGCTGGAGTGCAGTGGATCTCGGCTCACTGCAACCTCCATCCCCTGGGTTCAAGCAATTCTCCTGCCTCAGCCCCCCGAGGACCTGGAACCACAGGTGTGCGCCACCATGCCTGGCTAATTTTTGTATTTTTAATAGAGACGGGGTTTCACCACATTGGCCAGGCTGGTCTCAAACTCCTGACCTCAGGTGATCCACCTGCATCAGCCTCGCAAAGTTCTGGGATTACAGGCATGAGCCACCCCATCCAGCATTTTTTTTTTCTTTTTTTTTTTCTTTTTCTTTTTCTTTTTCTTTTCTTTTTTTTTTTTTCTTTTTTTTTTTTTTTTTTTTTTTTTGAGACAGTCTTGCTCTGTCGCCCAGGCTGGAGTGCAGTAGTGTGATCTCAGCTCACTGCAACCTCTGCCTCCCAGATTCAAGTGATTCTTATGCCTCAGCCTCCCAAGTAGCTGGTATTACAGGCATGCGCCACCATACCTAGGTCATTTTTGTATTTTTGATAGAGATGGGGTTTCCCCACGTTGGCCGGGCTGCTCTTGAAATCCTGACCTTATGTGATCCGCTGGACTCGGCCTCTCAAAGTGCTGGCGTTACAGGCATGAGCCACAGCGCCCAGCCAGATTTTAATTTTTTTTTTTATAGATAGGGTCTCACTACATTGCCCAGGCTGGACTCCAACTCCTAGGTTCAAGCAATGCCGCCTCGGCCTCCCAAAGTGCTGGGATTACAGGTATGAGGTGCTGCATCCAGCCTAAAAAATTGATTTAATGCAAAAAAAAAAAAGAAAATCCTGGTGCCTGACCCCTGGCTGTCCTCAGCTGGCCCATAAGACCCTGATGACTTTTGAGCTCTGAATCAAGGGTTGGCATATCTAGACCTGCTGCAAGCTACAGATACTCAGAACCATGCACGAGGTTGCAAATCCTACATATGATTTCCAGAATCCACATCCCATCTGCACTCTTTCTGGTAGAGCACACCTTGTTCCTGGGGCTCCAGGACAAATGGGTGCATCAAAGCTAACTTCCGGCCCTGGGCAGTGGCTCACGCCTGTAATCCCAGCACTTTGGGAGGACGAGGCAAGAGGATCACCTGAGGTCAGGAGTTCAAGACCAGCCTGGCCAACAAGGTGAAACCCCATCTCTACTAAAAATACAAAAATTAGCTGGATACGGTGGCCCATGCCTGTAATTCCAGCTACTCAGGAGGCTGAGGCAAAAGAATCGCTTGAACCTGGGAGGCGGAGGTTGCAGTAAGCTGAGCTCATGCCACTGCACTCTAGCCTTGGAGACAAAGTGAGATTCTGGCAAAAGAAAAGAAAAGAAAAAAAGCTACCTTCCACCAGCCACAATGGCTCACGCCTGTAATCCCAACATTTTGGGAGCCCAGGAGTTTGAGACCAGCCTGCAGCCTGGGCAACATAGCAGGAAACTCTCTCTAAAAAGGAAGAAAAGAAAAATTCGCCAGGCATGGTGGCGCACACCTGTAGTCCCAGCTACTTGGAAGGCTGAGGTGGGAAGCTGGCTTGAGCCTGGGAAATTGAGGCTGCAGTGAGCTATGATCATGCCACTACACTCCAGCCTGGGCAACAGAGTGGGACCTTGTCTCAAAAGAAAAATAAAAAGTCTACCTTCTACGTGGTCTCTCTGGCTACCTCAGTCATACTGATCCCTTGGCTATACTGATCATTCAGTCACATCCCACTCTGACCCCTGGACTCCCCTGGCCACTGACCTATAGTGACCTGCTCTCTTTGGTCCCTGCAGGGAGACACATTTGAAACCTACAAGTACCCAGGGGAAAAAAAAAAAAAAAGGCCATTACTTCCTTAATCTGTATCTGTTTTTAAGTGGAATTGTATCCATAAGCAACCCAGAGTGCTATTATGTTTCAAATTTATATAAACAGTATCACACTAAACTAACATTGCACAACTTGAATTTCTTTTTGAAACAGCACCACATTAAGATACATTTATATTGACATAGAGTAGAGCTGGAGAGAGTGAGAGTGAGAGCAAGGCAAGAGAGAGAAAGAGAGACACACAGACAGGGAGAGTTACTTATTCCTTTTCACTCCTGTTTAATATTCCATTACCTTACCATTACATTTCGTTCTCCTTTCATTTCTCTACTCCCTCATTGATGGACGTTCTGATAGTTTCTTTTTTTCTTTTCTTTTTTTTTTTTTTTTTTTTTTTTGAGGCAGAGTTTTGTTCTTGCTGCCCAGGCTGGAGTGCAATGGCGCGATCTTGGCTCACTGCAACCTCCACCACCTGGGTTCAAGTGATTCTCCTGCCTTGGCCTCCCAAGTTGCTGGTATTACAGGCATGCGCCACCACGCCTGGCTAATTTTGTATTTTTAGTAGAGATAGGGTTTCTCCATGTTGGTCAGGCTGGTCTCCAACTCCCGGCTTCAGGTGATCTGCCCGCCTCGGCCTCCCAAAGTGCTAGGGATTACAGGTGTGAGCCACTGCGCCCAGCCTTTTTTGTTTTTGTTTTTGTTTTTGTTTTTGTTTTGTTAGAGATGGGGTTTTATCCCGTCACTTAGGCTGGAGTGCAGTGGTGTAAACATGGCTGACTGCAGCCTCGACTTCCTGGGCTCAGGTGATCTTCCCACCTCAGGCTCTTGAGTAGCTGGGACCACAGGTATGCACCACCATGGCCAGCTAATTTTTAGTTTTTTTAGAGATGGAGTCTTGCTATGTTGTCCAGGCTGGTATTGAACTCCTGGACTCAAGCATTCCTCCTGCCTCAGCCTCCCAAAGTGCTGGGATGACAGGTGTGAACCACCGAGCCCAACCTAGTAGTTAAGTTTTGAGGAGTCAAAAGTTATATGTGAGGGGCTCGGCACAGTGGCCTGTCATCCCAGCACTTTGGGAGGTGGAGGCTGGCAGATCACTTGAGGTCAGGAGTTCAAGAACAGCCTGGCCAACATGGCAAAACCCTGTCTCTACTAAAAATACAAAAATTAGCCAGGTGTGGTGGCACGCACCTGTGGTCCAGCTATTCTGGAGGCTGAGGCATGAGAATCCCTTGAACCCAGGAGGCAGAGGTTGTAGTGAGCCAGGATTGTGCCATTGCACTCCAGCCTGGATGACAGAGTGAGACTGTCTCAAAAAAAGAAAAAAGAAAAAAAGTTATATGTGGGTCCAGGTGGGGTGACTCATGACTGTCATCCCAGCACTTTGGGAGGCCAAGGTGGGAGGATCACTTGAGTCCAGGAGTTCAACACCAGCCTGGAAAACATAGCAAGACTCCTGTCTCTACAAAAAATTAGCTGGACATGGTGGCAGGTGCCTGTAGTCCCATCAATTCGAGAGGCTGAGGCAAGAAGATCACTTGAGCCCAGGAGGTCAAGGCTGCAGTGAGCTATGATTGCACCACTGCACTCCAGCCTGGGTGACAGAGAGAGAGAGACAGAGAGAGAGCAACGGAAGGAAGGAAGGAAGGAAGGAAAGAAGGAAGGAAAGCGATAAATGAAAAGGAGGCCAGGCACAGTGGCTCATGCCTGTAATCCCAGCACTTTGGGAGGCCAAGGAAGGTTGATCCTCTGAGGTCAGGACTTTGTGACCAGCCTGGCCAACATGGTGAAACCCCGTCTCTACTAAAAACACAAAAACTAGCTGTGCATGGTGGTGGGCGCCTGTAATCTCAGCTACTTGGGAGGTTGAGGCAGGAGCATCACTTGAACCTAGGAGCCGGAGGTTGCAGTGTGCTGAGATTGTGCCACTGCACTCCAGCCTGGGCAACAAGAGTGAAACTCTGTCAAATAAAAGAAAAAAGAGAAGGAAAGAAAGAAAGGAAGGAAGGAAGGAAGACAGAGAAAGGAAGGAAGAGGAAGAGAGAAAGGGAGGGTAGGGAGGGAAGGAAGGAAAGAAAGAAAATGAAAAGGACAAAAACTCCAAAGGACAAATGAGTCTTTCACAAAAGGTGATCTCCAAATGGCTGATAAATGAAAGAGGGCTGACCTCATGAGTCATCAGAGAAATGCACATGAAACCCAAAATGCTAGCGGGGCGTGGTGGCTCACGCCTGTAATCCCAGCACTTTGGGATGCCGAGGCCAGTGGATCATGAGGTCAGGAGTTCGAGACCAGCCTGGCCAAGATGGTGCAACCCCGTCTCTACTAAAAAATACAAAAATTAGTCGGGTGCGGTGGCGGGTGCCTGTAATTCCAGCTACTCGGGAGGCTGAGGCAGGCGAATCACTTGAACCCAGGAGGCGGAGTCTGCAGTGAGCCGAGATCACACCACTGCACTCTAGCCTGGTCGACAGAGCAAGACTCCATCTCAAAAAAAAAGAAAATTTAATATCAAGTTATACTCCCACACTCTGGAGAGCGTGTGAAATGGTACAACCGCTTTGGAAAACCCTGGCAATATCCAGAAAGCTGAACAAACACCTACACAATATGAATCAGCATTTCTACTCCTAAGTATAAACTTAAAGAATATACATTGTTGCATTCATCCAGAAACTGGCCAGAATGTTCACAGCACCTGTGCTTATCACAGCCAGAAATTGGAAACAACCCAAATGCCTAAAAAAGTTTAGGTAAATAAACTGTGGTAAGTTCACAAAAGGGAAGACAGCGGTTCTCAACCGGGTGGTGATTTTTTTTTTTTTTTTTTTTTTTTTTTGAGACGGAGTTTCACTCTTGTTGCCCGGGCTGGAGTGCAATGGTGTGATCTCAGCTCACCGCAACCTCCGCCTCCCGAATTCAAGCGATTCTCCCTCCTAAGCCTTCTGAGTAGCTGGGATTACAGGCATGCACCACCGCGCCTGGCTAATGTTTGTGTTTTTAGTAGAAATGGGGTTTCTCCATGTTGGTCAGGCTGGCCTCGAACTCCCGACCTCAGGTGATCCACCTGCCTTGGCCTCCCAAAGTGCTGGGATTACAGGCGTGAGCCACCACGTCTAGTCGACTGGGTGGTGATCTTATCGCTTCTAAGGGAATATTTGGCAATGTCTAGCGATGTTTTGCGTTGTCAGAACCGAAGGGAGGAGTGTTACTGTCACGCTGTGAGTAGAGGCCTGGGATGCCGCTAAATACATACAATGTGTAGGAACAAAGATTATTCAGCTCCAAATGTCAACAGCAGTTGAGAAACCTTGCTATACCAAATGGCAACGGGCTGGACGCGGTGTCTCATGCCTGTAATCCCAGCACTTTGGGAAGCCAAGGCGGGAGGATCACTTGAGGTCAGGAATTTGAGACCAGCCTGGCCAGCATGGTGAAACCCTGTCTCTACTAAAAATACAAAAATCAGCCGGGCGTCGTGACACAGTCCTGTGGTCCCAGCTATTTGGGAGGCTGAGGCAGGAGAATCACTTGAACGTGGGAGGCAGAGGTTGCAGTGAGCTGAGATGGTACTCCAGCTTGGGTGACAGAGCGAGACTGTCTGAAAACAAAACAAAAAAAAAATGGCAAGGAACAATAACTGTAACCTACAAAAATATGGATGAACCACACAAACCTGGTGTTACACAAAAGAAACCAAACATAAAGGAAACGTCCTGCTTGTTTTCATTTATATAATGTTCAAATAGCAGACAGAGTGATTCTAGACTGTTAAAAATCAAGATAAGGGCTGGGCACGGTGGCTCGCACCTATAATCCCAGCATTTTAGGAGGCTAAGGCATGAGGATTGCTTGAGGCCAGGAGTTCCAACCCAGCCTGGGCAACATAGTGAAACCCATCCCTACAAAGAAATGCAAAAATTTGCTGGGCGTGATGGCGTGTGTGCCTGTAGTCCCAGCTACTTAGGGGGCTGAGGTGGGAGGATCACTTGAGCCTGGGAGGTCAAGGCTGCAGTGAGCCGTGATCGCACCACTTCACTACAGCCTGGGTGACACAGCAAGACCCTATCTCTTAAAAAAAAAATGGGGTTACCCTTTGTGGAGAGTAGCAGGGCAGGGTACAATGGGGGACTTCTAGGGGCTGGTGATGTTCTGTTCTTTTTTTTCCTTTTTTGAGATGGAATCTCACTCTGTCGGCCAGGCTGGAGTGCAGTGGCATGATCTCCACTCACTGCAAGTTCCGCCTCCCGGGTTCACGCCATTCTCCTGCCTCAGCCTCCCGAGTAGCTGGGACTACAGGTGCCTGCCACCATGCCCGGCTAATTTTTTTGTATTTTTAGTAGAGACAGGGTTTCACCGTGTTCGCCGGGATGGTCTTGATCTCCTGACCTTGTGATCCACCCGCCTCGGCCTCCCAAAGTGCTGGGATTACAGGCGAGAGCCACCGCGCCTGGACTGTTGTTTTTTTTTTTTTTTTTTTGGTTTTTTTTTTTTTGAGACAGAGTCTCACTCTGTCGCCCAGGCTGGAGTGCAGTGGCTTGATCTCGGCTTACTGCAAGTTTCGCCTCCCGGGTTCACACCATTCTCCTGCCTCAGCCTACCAAGTAGGTGGGACTACAGGAGCCCGCCACCATGTCCAGCCAATTTTTTTGTATTTTTAGTAGAGACGGGGTTTCACCATGTTCGCCAGGATGGTCTCAATCTCCTGACCTCGTGATCCACCTGCCTGGCTTCCCAAAGTGCTAGGATTACAAGTGTGAGCCACTGTGCCCGGCCTTTTTTTTTTTTTTTTTTTTTTGAGACAGAGTCTCACTCTGTCAGCCAGGCTGGAGTGCAGTGGTACAATCTCGGCTCACTGCAACCTCTGCCTCCTAGGTTCAAGTGATTCTCCTGCCTCAGTCTCCCAAGTTGCTAGGACTACAGGTGCCTACCACCATGCCCGGCTAATTTTTTTGTATTTTTAGTAGAGACAGGGTTTCACCATGTCGGCCAGGATGGTCTCAACCTCTTGACCTTGTGATCCACCTGCCTCGGCCGCCCAAAGTGTTGGGATTACAGGTGTGAGCCACAGCTCCCGGCCTATGTTCTGTTCTTGACCTAATCTAGGTCCTGGCTATACCCTACATTCACATGATAAAAATTCCTTAAGGCATATATTTATGATTTTGTTCTTGTTGTTGTTGTTTGTTTTGGTTTTTGTTTTTTTTGAGATGGAGTCTTGCTCTGTCGCCCAGGCTGGAGTGCAGGGGTGTGATCTCGGCTCACTGCAGCCTCCACCTCCTGGGTTCCAGCAATTCTCCTGCCTCAGCCTCCCAAGTAGCTGGGATTACAGGATGCCCAGCTAATTTTTGTATTTTTAGTAGAGACAGGGTTTCACCATGTTGGTCAGGCTGGTCTTGAACTCCTGACCTCAGGTGATCTGCCTGCCTCGGCCTCCCAAAGTACTAGGATTACAAGCATAAGCCACCACACCTGGCCACATTTATGAATTTATGCATTGTTTTCTTTACTAAAAGTGTGCTACACTTTTCTTCCTTTCTTCTTCTTCTTTGTTTGTTTTTGAGACAGGGTCTCACTCTATCACTCAGGCTGGAGTACAGTGGCACAATCTCCACTGACTACAAATCCCAGGCACAAGTGATCCTCTCACTTCAGCCCCCCTCGAGTAGCTGGGATTACAGGTGTGCACCACCATGCCTGGCTAATTTTTGTATTATGATAGAGATGGGGTTTTGCCATGTTACCCAGGCTGATCTCAAATTCCTGGGCTTAAGCGATCTACCCACCTCAGCCTCCCAAAGTGCTGGGATTACAGGCATGAGCCACCATGCTGGGCCTTATGTGTGCTATATTTAAACAAAAGCTTCTAAAAATTAAAAAAAAAATTATCCTATCTTCCTTCCACCCCTCTGTCCTGTTTAGACCTTACCCACGCTGCACTGGGTGACTTCACTTCTCCTACCTGCCCCCTCTCCTACAGCCCCTCCGATAGAAAACAACCAGGAATGGCCAGGCATGGTGGCTCTTGCCTATAATCTCAGCACTTTGGGAAGCCCAGGTAGGAGGATCACTTAAAAATTAGATGAGGTGGCATGCCCCTGTAATCACAGCTACTCAGGAGGCTGAGGCAGGAGGATCACTTGAGCCTGGGAGCTGGAGGCTGCAGTGAGCTACAATGGTAACACTGCACTCCAGACTGGACAAAGACAAATACACCCTGTCTCAAGAAAAAGAAAGAAGAGAGAGAGAGAAAGAAGAAGAGGAAGAGGAAGAGGAAGAAGAAGAAGAGGAAGAGGAAGAAGAAGAAGAAGAGGAAGAGGAAGAAGAAGAGGAAGAGGAAGCAGAAGGAGGAGGAGGAGAAGGAGGGGAGGGAGGGAAGGAAGGAAGGAAGGGAGGGAGGGAGGAAGGAAGGACCCACACAGTGGCTCACACCTGTAATCCCAGCACTTTGGGAGGCCAAGGTGGGAGGACCACCTGAGGTCAGGAGTTTGAGACCAGCCTGGCCAACATAGTGAAACCCCATCTCTAGTAACAATACAAAAATTAGCCTGGCATGGTTGTGCATGCCTTCAGTCCCAGCTACTTGGGAGGCTGAGGCAGGAGAATTGCTCGAACCCAGAAGGTGGAGTTTGCCCTGAGCCACGATCGTGCCACAGCACTCCAGCCTGGGCAACACAGCGAGACTGAGTCTCAAATAAAAAACAAAAAAAGAGAAAAGAAAATAAAGCAACCAGGGGAATTCCTGGGGCACACAACTAAGACTATGTTCCTTCCTGCTCTAAACTCTCCCATGGCTCCCTATTACCCCCAAGATTAGATCAAAGTCTTTATTGAGACTCCCAAGGACTTTCTCTACTTCAGCTCTGGTTGTCTTGCAGCCTGATCTCTACCTGCTCTTGCTGCTTCTCACATCATTAACCTTGGGCCCTGAAGGTGCAGCTTCCAACTTCTGGGCCTTTGCACCTGCAGTCAGCTTTGCATAATTGCCTGACTGCCCCTGGCACATTCTTGTTCTTTGAGATTCAGCTTGAATGCCTCTGCTCTGGGAAGCATCCCTCTCCTTCAGACCCTCCCTCCCACCCCTACCCGGATCTAGGGGCCCAGGAGGCTTTGGGCTGGGAAGATTAAGAAGACGATGATGAATAAGTTGGTTCTAGCAGTTCCTTCCTTCCTTCCTTTTTCCTTCGTTCTTTCTTTCTTTCTTTTTCTTCTTTCTTTCTTTCATTTTTCTTTTCCATTAAGCATTTAACCCCCTTGTACACAATTCACTCTTTTTAAAGAAAAAAACTGAGGCCGGGCACAGTGGCTCATGCCTGTACTCCCAGCACTTTGGGAGGCCGAGGTGGGTGAATCACAAGGTGAGGAGTTCAAGACCAGCCTGGCCAACATAGTGAAACCCCATCTCTACTAATAATACAAAAATTAGCCGGGCGTGGTGGCTTGTGCCTGTAGTCCCAGCTACTCGTGAGCCTGAGGCAGGAGAATCGCTTGAACCTGTGAGGCGGAGGTTGCAGCAAGCTGAGATCACGCCACTGTACACTAGCCTGGGCGACAGTGTGAGACCCAGTCTCAAAAAAAAAAAAAAGAAAGAAAAGAAAAAATTGAAATGTAAGGCTGTGTAAGATTTGTTTTGAAACTACACAGTGTCTTTTTTTTTTTTTGTACAGTTAATGCACTACTGAATGTGTCTTTAGATAGCCCTGTCCTGGTGGTATTTTCAACAGCCACTAACCTTGCCTGGTATAATATGGGGGTTGTAAATTGCAATGGAAATTTAAAGCAGGTTCTTGTTGGTGCACAGCACAAATTGGTTATATATGGGGATAGTAGGTTTTTTGGGTTTTTCGTTTTTTTTTTTTTTTTTTTAAGACTGAGTCTCGCTCTGTTGCCCAGGCTGGAGTGCAGTGGCATGATCTCAGCTCACTGCAGTCTCTGCCTCCCAGGTTCAAGCGATTCTCCTGCCTCAGCATCCTGAGTAGCTGGGATTACAGGCACCCGCCACCAAGCCCAGCTAATTTTTGTATTTTTGGTAGAGATGGGGTTTTCTCATGTTGGCCAGGCTAGTCTCAAACTCCTGACCTCAGGTGATCCGCCCACCTTGGCCTCCCAAAGTGCTGGGATTACAGGCACGAGCCTCCGTGCCTGGCCTAGGTTTCTTTTCTTTCTTTTTTCTTTTTTTTTTTTTTGTAGTCAGTGCACACATATCACACATACACTGGGGTTTTACAAAATAAGAGACAAAGCTCTGAGTCAAATGCAAAAGTTTAGATGCTCACTCCATGGTCCTTTCCTCCAGGGAAGTCCCCACTCCCTGAGCCACCCCAGGGGACTCCTGGGCTGGAAAGAACTGAGAAACCCCAGGCCTCTTGCTCCTCCAGAGTTGCAGGGGGACAAGGCAGAAACCCCAAAGGTCCCGAGACCCTGAGCTTGGACACTGCCCCTCTTTTCCTGCAGCCTCTTCCTGTGTCCCCAGCCCTGCACTCCCATCCCCTCCCCCAACTCTGCTGGCCCAGCCCTGGCCTCCCTCCCGCACTCATTTCCGGAGGATGCCCCAGCCTGTTGCAGACATGGGGGAAGTCCAGCCTAGTTGGGGATGTCACAAGGGGGTGGGGTTAGGGCTATTTCTTTTATTTTTTATTTTTTTATTTTTTTATTTTTTTTGAGATGGAGTCTCGCTCTGTCACCCAGGCTGGAGTGCAGTGGCACCATCTCGGCTCACTGCAACCTCTGCTTCCCGGGTTCAAGCAATTATCCTGCCTTAACCTCCCGAGTAGCTGGGATTACAGGCACACGCCGCCACGCCCGGCTAATTTTTTGTATTTTAGTAGAGATAGGGTTTCACCGTGTTGCCCAGGCTGGTATCGAACTCCTGAACTCAGGCAATCTGCCCACCTCAGCCTCCCAAAGTGCTAAGATTACAGGCATGAGCCACCGTGCCCAGTCAGGGCTGTCTTATGTCTAGTTCATACTCTAAATGTTCAGACTTGACATGCCCCAGCCTATCTCCAGCCACCCTCCTCCACCGCCCAGCCCGGCAGCCCACATCCTCACTGACACGGATATCAGGCAGGCTTCCTTCAAGACCGCTGTTTTTGCCCGTTCTCAACTAGAGCCCATAGCCTTGCTCAGACACACAGGCTTGGAAGGCCACTAACTCACTGCCAGACCTTGGGCAAGTCGCTCCACCTCCCTGATCCTGCCCTTCTGCATCTAAAAAGTGAAGTATTAAAGGAAAATGCATCTGTCTGCACGAAAGCAGAAACACAGCTCCTAGGTTCTGGTTCCAGCGGCTCACAGGCTGTGTGACTTTGGGCCAGTGTCCTAACCTCTCTGGGCTTCGGTTTCCTCACCTGTCAAAGAGGAATTAAGAGGACCCACCTCACAAGGCTGTTGCAGGATCAGATGAGTTCATTTCAAATAGTGTCTGCAGCCTGAGCAACTTAGTGGGACCCCATCTCTAACAAAATTTAAAATGTGGCATGAACCTGTAGTCCCAGCTACTTGGGAGGCTGAAGATGGCTTGAGCCTGAGAGCTGGAGGTTGCAGTGAGCTATGATTATGCCACTGTACTCCAGCCTGGGCAACAGAGTGAGACCCTGTCTTTTTTTTTTTTTTTTTTTTTTTTGTGACAGAGTCTCACTCTATCGCCCAGGCTGGAGTACAGTGGCATGAGAGATGAAACACACCCCAACCAGGTGTCTGCCTTGCAGCTGGGACTAGCTTCTCCCCATACTTCCTCCTGTCTTTACCCAAGGGGCCTTCAACTACCGTGCACCTCCCTTCTGAGCAGACACCAAGGACATCCTGTCTCCAGCCCAGACACACACTCTGAGCTTCCTCTATGTGCACCTCCCACAGCCCCCTGGAGATCTGCACCTTCTAACATCCAATGCCACATCTTCCCTCCAGATCTGCTTTCACCCTGTGCTCCCTGCCCAGAGATGGGCACCGAGCCAGGCCCGCCTGCCCAGCATAGTCCAGGCCTGGGGGGTAGACCTTCCCATCCTCTGCCTCCCCCTCCTCCCTTCCCTGGGTCCCCCAGACTCCAGACACCCTCATCTCGGAACCGGACTCTGTTTTGCTCCGTTCTCTCCACTCACCTCCCACCCTGCAGCCCTGGTCACTCTATTTTTTTTTTTTTTGAGACGGATTCTCGCTCTGTCACCCAGGCTGGAGTGCAGTGGCGCGATCTTGGCTCACTGCAAGCTCCGCCTCCCGGGTTCACACCATTCTCCTGCCTTAGCCTCCGGAGTAGCTGGGACTACAGGTGCCCACCACCACGCCTGGCTAATTTTTTGTATTTTTCCTAGAGACGGGGTGTCACCGTGTTAGCTAGGATGGTCTCGATCTCCTGACCTCGTGATCCACCCGCCTCAGCCTCCCAAAGTGCTGGGATTATAGGCATGAGCCACCACGCCTGGCTTAATTTTTATTTTTATTTTTTTGAGATGGAGTTTTGCTCTTGTTGCCCAGGCTGGACTGCAGTGGTGCGATCTCGGCTCACTGCAGTCTCCACCTCCCAGGTTCAACCAATTCTCTTGCCTCAGCCTCCCGAGTAGCTGGGATTACAGGAACCCTCCACCATGCCTGGCTAATTTTTGTATTTTTAGTAGAGAGGAGGTTTCACCATGTTGGCCAGGCTAGTCTCGAACTCCTGACCTCAAGTGATCTGCCTGCCTCGGCCTCCCAAAGTGTTGGGATTACAGGCATGAGCCACTGCACCTGGCCTTGTTGTTTTTTTGAGACAGGGTCACCCATGCTGGAATGCAGTGGTACCATCATAGCCCACTGCATCCTAGAACTGTGCTCAATCGATCCTCCCACTTCAGCCTCCCAAGTAGCTGGGGCCGAAAGCACGTGCCGCCAGGTCTGGTTTTGTTTGTTTGTTTTTGTAGAGATGGGGTCTCTATGTTGCCCAGGCTGGTCTCAAACTCCTGCCCTTAAGCAATCCTCCCACATTGGCTTCCCAAAGCATGGGAATTACAGGCATGAGCCACACTACACCGGCCCAACTTTTGTTTCAGTGGAGCCCCTTCTCTCCTCCACAGCTCCTCTTCACACTCACCCACCCCCTCAGCTGAGGGACACTTCCTCTTTGGGATCCTACTCATGCCTCGAACATCCTGTTCTCACCCACACCTCCCCATCAAACGCCCCCAGTACTGACCTGGATTGACCAAGGAGCCTGTTCATTAGCTTTGGCTCACTGATCCCAGAAAAGAAGCCCCCTCTAATTAAACACGCACGAAAACCCCAGAACAGAGGCAAAAAGCATTGATGGGAAAGAACTGTATCTTCTGGAAAGTACCAATATGACAATGAATCCATTCCATGCTGTAGTTAACAAGATGCGGGCTATAATGGAGATTACAAGCTAACTCTCAAAACCAAAAAAAGAAATAATTCATTGAAAGGTTTTTTTTTTGAAGGGAAGGCATTTTTTTCCTCTGCAAATTTGTATGCAATAGTTTACATTTAACTTTCCAGCATGATTCTAGAGAGTCAATTTTTGGAAAAATGAACACATTTAAAAAAAAATGCAGCCAGGCGCAGTGGCTCATGCCTGTAATCCCAGCACTTTGGGAGGCCGAGACGGGTGAATCACGAGGTCAGGAGATCGAGACCATCCTGGCTAACATGGTGAAAACCCGTCTCTAGTAAAAATACAAAAAATTAGCCAGGCGTGGTGGCGGGCGCCTGCAGTCCCAGCTACTCGGGAGACTGAGGCAGGAGAATGGCGTGAATCCGGGAGGCGGAGCTTGCAGTGAGCCGAGATCAAACCACTGCACTCCAGTCTGGGCGACAGAGCGAGACTCTGTCTCAAAAAAAAAAAAAAAAATGCTTGTAGGTAGTGTGGTTTGAATTGTGTCCTCCAAGGAGATTTGTTAAAGCTGGGCACGTGTGAATTTAACCTTATTTAGAAACAGAGTCTTTGCAGTTGTAACCAAGTTAAGATGAGGTTATCCTGGATTAAAGTGTGATATGATCCAATGATTGCTGGCCTTCTAAGAAGGTCATGCATGGCCTGACGTGGTGGCTTATGCCTGTGTCCCATCTACTCAGGAGGCTGAGGCGGGAGGATTATTTGAACCCAGGAGGTCCTGGCTGCAGTAAGCTATGATCTCACCATTGCACTCCAGCCTGGGCCACAGAGCAAGACACTATCTCTGAAAAACAAAACAACAGAAAGAAAAGAAACAAAAAGCCGGCCAGGTGCAGTGGCTCATGCCTGTAATCCCAGCACTTTGGGAGGTGAAGGTGGGCGGATCACAAGATCAGGAGTTCGAGACCAGCCTGGCCAACATGGCGAAACCTGTCTCTACTAAAAATACAAAAAAAAATGAGCCGGGCATGGTGGCTCGTGCCTGTAATCGTAGCTACTCAGGAGGCTGAGCCAGGAGAATCCCTTGAACCCAGGAGGTGGAGCTTGCAGTGAGCCGAGATCGCGCCACTGCACTCCAGCCTGGATGACAGAGCAAGACTCTGTCTCAAAAAAAAAAAAAAAAAAAAAAAGCCCTTCCCCACACTGAAATACACTCAAATTATTATTATTATTATTATTATTATTATTATTATTATTATTTTGAGACAGAGTCTCGCTCTGTCGCCCAGGCTGGAGTCCAGTGGCGCGATCTTGGCTCACTGTAAGCTCCACCTCCTGGGTTCACGCCATTCTCCTGCCTCAGCCTCCCAAGTAGCTGGGACTACAGGCGCGCCTGCCACCACACCTGGCTAATTTTTTTGTATTTTTAGTAGAAATGGGGTTTCAACATGTTAGCAAGGATGGTCTCGATCTCCTGAACTCGTGATCCACCCGCCTCAGCTTCCCAAAGTGCTGGGATTACAGGCATGAGCCACCGCACCCGGCCTCAAATTATTTTTAATTTTTATTTTTCTTCAGACAAGAGTCTCACTCTGTCACCCAGGCTGGAGTGCAGTGGTACAATCACAGCTCACAGCTCACTCCAGCATTGAACTCCTGGTCTCAAGCAATGCTCCCACAGCCTCCCAGAGTGCTGGGATTACAGGTATGAGCCATGGGGCTTAGCCGCAAAGGCTTTTTTTGGGGTAGGTCGGGGGCTGATGTACAACTGAATGCACAGGAAAGGCCTTTCTAAGAATAAAATAAACATAAAAGTCACCAAAGGGCTGGGCATGGTGGCCCAAGCCTGTAATCCCAGCACTTTGGGAGGCTGAGGCAGGTGGATCACCTGAGGTCAGGAGTTCGAAACCACCCTGACCAAAATGGTGAACTCTGTCTCTACTAAAAATGCAAAAATTAGCTGGGCATGGTGGTGCACGCCTATAATCTCAGCTACTCGGGAGGCTGAAGCAGGAGAATCTCTTGAATCCAGGAGGCAGAGGCTGCAATGAGCCAAGATCACACCACTGCACTCCAGCCTGGGTGACAGAGCAAGACTCCATCTCAAAAAACAACAACAACAAAAAAAAAAAATGGAGGAAGAAGATTGAAGCTCACAGAATAAGAAGTAATTTCTTTAATACTAAAAAGAGCTTCTATATATATTTTACCACAGTAAAAGTAAAGAGGCTCTATAAATCAATAACAAAAAGGCTGTCGCCTGCAGAAAAACAAACAAACAAACAAAAAAAAAACGTTTCCAGGGAAAGACTAGAGGTCCACGTTTAAAAATGTTTTATTTTAAAGGCCAGACATGGTGGCTCATGGGAGGCTGAGGCGGGTGAATCACCCGAGGTCAGGAGTTCGAGACTAGCCTGGCCAACATGGTAAATCCCTGTCTCTACTAAAAATAGAAAAAATTAGCTAAGCATGGTGGCGGGCACCCGTAATCCCAGCTACTTGGGAGGCTGAGGCAGGAGAATCTCTTGAACCCGGCAGGTGGAGGTTGCAGTAAACTGAGATCACACCATTGCACTCCAGCCTGGGTGACAGAGCAAGACTCCATCTCAAAAAAAAAAAAAAGTTTTACTTTAGAGACAGTGTCTTGCTCTGTTGCCCAGTCTAGAGGGCACTGGTGCAATCATAGCTCACTGCAGCTGCAAACTCCTGACTCAAGTGATCGTCCTCCCTGAGCCTCCTGAGTAGCTGAGACTACAGGCATGAGCCACCACGTCTGGACAAGATCCACTTACAAATGTGTATATAGAAAGACAGAACCAGGCTGGGCACAGTGGCTCACACCTGTAATCCCAGCGCTTTGGGAGGCTGAGGCAGGTGGATCACAAGGTCAGGAGATCGAGACCATCTTGGCTAACACGGTGAAACCCCGTCTCTACTAAAAAAAAAAAATACAAAAAAGTAGCTGGGTGTGGTGGCAGGCGCCTGTAGTCCCAGCTACTCGGGACGCTGAGGCAGGAGAATGGCGTGAACCTGGGAGGCGGAGCTTGCAGTGAGCTGAGATCGCGCCACTGCTCTCCAGCAGCCTGGACGAGAGTGCGAGACTCCGTCTCCAAAAAAAAGAAAGACAGAACCTAACTATTTCCCAGGCTCATCTCAAACTCCTGACCTTAAGCCATCCTCTGGCCTTGACCTCCCAAAGTGCTGGAATTACAGGCATGAGCCACCGTGCCTGGCTCTGAGATCCAGTTTTTAAACACAGAGATGTTCAACCTCACTCGAAATAATAAAAATGCAGGCCAGGCGCGGTGGCTCATGCCTGTAATCCCAGCAGTTTGGAAGACCGAGGTGGGCAGATCACCTGAGGTCAGGAGTTCAAGACCATCCTGGCCAACATGGTGAAACCCCGTCTCTACTAAAAATATAAAAATTATCCGGGCATGGTGGCAGGCGCCTGTGGTGCCAGCTACTTGGGAGGCTGAGGCAGGAGAATCGCTTGAACCAGGCAGGTGGAGGTTGCAGCGAGCCGAGATCACGCCATTGCACCCCAGCCTGGGGGACAAGAGAGAGACTTCGTCTCAAAAAAATAAATAAATAAATAAAATAAAAAATAAAAATGCAAATGAGAACTACATACTTTTAAACCTCTCAGTTAGCAAAGATTAGAATGTTTGATAACATGTGGAGGATGAGTCCTTTGTGGAGAAACCTTTGGCAATAGTTATCCACGATACACCTGCTCACACCCTTTGACAAGTAATTCCACTTCTAGGAATTTACTGATGAGATCTCTTCATGCTGGGTTGACATATGACCTCTACGGCAGGTTATTCAATTCATCGTTGCTTGGATCAAAAACAACCGCCTAGACCAGGCGTGGTGGCTCAGGTCTGTAATCCCAGCATTTTGGGAGGCTGAGGCGGACAGACCATCTGAGGTCAGGAGTTCGAGACCAGCCTGACCAACATGGCAAAACCCCGTCTCTACTAAAACCACAATAATTAGCCGGGCTTGGTGGCAGGCACCTATGATCCCACCTACTGGGGAGGCTGAGTCGGGAGAATTACTTGAACTGGGGAGGCAGAGGTTGCAGTGAGCCGAGATCGTGCCACTGCACTCCAGCCTGGGTGACAAGAGCAAGACTCTGTCTCCAAAAATGCAACCAAACAACAACAACAAACAACGAAAATCGCCTAGTCCATCAATAGGAAACTGATAAGCAAAGTCTGGCTCAACCGTGGCATCCTATGTAGCCGCTAAAAAGAACAATATGGGGACAGGTGCACTGCCTCCCACCTGTAATCACAGCACTTTGGGAGGCCAAAGTGGGAGGCTCACTTGAGGCCACAGGTTTGAGACCAGCCTGGGCAACACAGTGAGACCCCATCTCTACAAAACTTTAAAAAATTAGCTGGCCATGATAGTGCACACTGTAGTCCCAGCTACCCAGGAGGCTGAGGTGGGAGGATCACTTGAGCCCAGGAGGTCGAGGCTGCAGTGAGCTATGATCACACCACTGCACTCCAGCCTGGGCGAAAGAATGAGACCCTATCTCTGAAAGAAAAGAAAAAGAAAAACAAAACGAAACAGAAAAAGAGCAAAGTGGTTCCCAAAGTATGCATATATCAAAAGATCACACTGTACCTGGTAAGTATATACAATTAATATTTGTCAAATAAAAGAAGAACAAGATGGTGAGAACTGCTGAACTCTGTGAATGGATCAAAAACCTTCGACTTGAAAACTTGAAATAGGCAAACTGGATGGTATGAAAATTATATCTCTAAAGCTGTTACCAAGCAACACAAAGTAAAACACTCAGTTTCCCAAGAAAGAAAAAGGCAGGAAGGAGACCCCCATCTCTACAGAAAATAAATAAATACATAAATGAGCTAGGTGTAGTGGTGCATGCCTGTAGTCCCAGCTATTCTAGAGGCTGAGGCAGGAGGATCACTTGAGCCCAGGAGTTGTGGAGGCTTCTGTGAGCTATGATTGTGCCACTGCCCTCCAGCCTGGGTGACAGAGGGAGATCCTGTCTCAAAAAAAGAGGCCGGGCGCGGCGGCTCACACCAGTAATCCCAGCACTTTGGGAGGCGGAGGTGGGTGGATCACAAGGTCAGGAGATCGAGACCATCCTGGCTAACACAGTGAAACTCCGTCTCTACTAAAAATACAAACAATTAGCTGGGCGTGGTGGTGGACGCCTGTAGTCCCAGCTACTCGGGAGGCTGAGGCAGGAGAATGGCGTGAACCTGGGAGGCAGAGCTTGCAGTGAGCCGAGATCACGCCACTGCACTCCAGCCTGGCGACAGAGTGAGACTCCGTCTCAAAAAAAAAAAAAAAGCAAGCAAGAAAGAGGGAGATAGAGAGGGAAGGAAGGCAGGAAGGAAGGACAAAAAGAAGGAAAGAAAGAAAACAGGAATTCAGAGGGAAAGGGTGGGGAGGGAGGTGAGGGATAAAAGACCATATATCGGCCAGGCGCGGTTGCTCCTGCCTGTAATCCCAACACTTTGGGAGGCCGAGGCGGGTGGATCACCTGAGGTTGGGAGTTCAACACCAGCCTGACCAACATGGAGAAACCCCGTCTCTACTAAAAATACAAAAAAAATTAGCCAGGTGTGGTGGCGCTTGCCTGTAATCCCAGCTACTCAGGAGGCTGAGGTAGGAGAATCACTTGAGCCCCGGAGGCGGAGGTTGCAGTGAGCAGAGATGGCGCCACTGTACTCCAGCCTGGGCAACAAGAGTGAAACCCCATCTCAAAACACACACACACACATATCGGGTACAGTGTATACTGCTCAGGTGACGGGTGCACCAAAGTCTCAGAAATCACCACTAATCAATTCTTTAGTGGTTATTTGGCCATGTAGCCAAAAACCACCTGTACCCCAAAAACTATTGAAATGTTTTTTAGAAAGGATATTTTGACACAAAGAGAAAAAAACCCAACTGCTTCCAGGGTTACCCTAAAGTCCTCCCCATCGAGTCTAGGAGAGGGGATGGTGTCTTAAATAGGCGAGTGCTGGCACAGGGGCGCTTGTGGTAGCTGTGTGACCTTGGGCAAGTCATCTCACCTCTTGGTGTTGTACTTGAGCGAGTTAGAGAAAACGCCACACTTTGAGACGAATTAAGAGTCCGTTTATTTAGCTGGCGGCCAAGAGACGGCTAACGTTTAAAGTTTTCTTGGCCTTGAAGAAGGGACTAGATTTTCTTTTATACTTTGGTTTAGAAAGGGGAGGGGGGGTCTAGTTAAAACAATTTTACAGAAGTAAAGTAGGCAAAAAAGCTAAAAGGATAAATGGTTATAGGAAAGTAAACAGTTCTAGGTGCAGGGGCTTTAAGACTATTGCAAGGTGATAGACGCGGGGCTTTGGGCGTTATCAATCAGACGAATTCCTGGGAACTGCAGATATTGCTCGCCCCAGTATCTTATCGATTAATTGCATTCTTGGATGTGCTGGGAGTCAGCTTGCACAAGTTAAGTCTTTGAGGAAGAGGCTGCTAGTGAAAGAGCCAAGATGGAGTCTGTCTGGCTCTCTTAGCTAAGGGAGAGTCAATTCAGGTGGAAACAAGGCTAGGTGATTAAAGGAAAGGGAGAGTCTAAAAACAGGGTTAGTAAAAACAAGGTTGGGCATTACATTGGTAGGGTGACCAAGCGTCATGGTTTGCTTGGGACTGTCCTGACATTAGCCCTAAAAATTCCATGTCATGCGCATCCATGTGAAGAGACCGCCAAACAGGCTTTGTGTGAGCAGTAAAGCTTTTCAATCACCTGGGTGCAGGCGGGCTGAGTCCAAAAAAGGAGTCAGCGAAGGAAGATGGGGTGAGGCTGTTTTATAGGATTTGGGTAGGTAGTGGAAAACTACAGTCAAAGGGGTTTGTTCTCTGGTAGGCAGGGGCGGAGGTCACAAGGTGCTCAGTGGGGGAGCTTCTGAGCCAGGAGAAGGAATTTCACAAGGTAATGTCATCAGTTAAGGCAGGAACCAGGCATTTTCACTTCTTTTGTGATTCTTCAGTTGCTTCAGGCCATCTAGAAATACACGTGCAGGCTTGGACTCGGAGGCTTGACATTCTGTGTTGCAGGAAATTCCTCAGTCCCCAGAACGTGGGATAGCTGGTGACAATGCAGCTGGCTCCAGGTTTTGTTTTTGTGGTTTTGTCCTTTTTTTTTTTTTTTTTTTTGAGATGGAGTCTCACTTTGTCACCCAGGCTGGAGGGCAGTGGTGCGATCTCACTGCAACCTCCGCCTCCTGGGTTCAAGCGATTCTCCTGCCTCAGCCTCCTGGGTAGCTGGGATTACAGGCATGAGTCACCGTGCCCGGCCAAGGTTTTTCTTCTTTGCTGAATGGAGATAATGGCAGGCAGAGCTAGGTTAAAAGCACCTCCTCCCAGTTCATCCACCTTGTGGCTGTGTGGCTTTGTGTAGCTTCCTGCACCACTCTGGGCTCATCTCTAAAATGGGATTTTTCTTTTTTTTTTTTTCTTTGAGACAGGGTCTCGCTCTATTACCCGGGCTGGAGTGCAGTGGCGCAATCATGGCTCACTGCAGCCTCGACCTCCTGGACTCAAGTAATCCTCCTGACTCAGCCTTCCAAGTAGCTAGGACTACAGGTACATGCCAGCTAATTCTTAAAATTCTTTAGGCTGGGCGTGGTGGCTCATGCCTGTAATCCCAGAACTTTGGGAGGCGGGCGGACTACCTGAGGTCAGGAGTTTGAGACCAGCCTGGCCAACATGGTGAAACCCCATCTCTACTAAAAATACAAAAATTAGCCAGGCATGGTGGTGCACCCCTGTGATCCCAGCTGCTCCTGAGGCAGTAGAATCGCTTGAACCCAGGAGGCAGAGGTTGCACTCCAGCCTGGGTAACCAAGTGAGACTCCGTTTCAAAAAAGAAAAAAATGAAAAACCTCTTGGGCTCAAGCGATCTTCCCACCTTGGCCTCCCAAAGTGCTGGGACTACAAGGCTTGAGCCATCACAGCTGGCCTAAAATGGGAAGTTTAAGTGCACCTGCTTCACAGAGAGGGCCGGTCATATCCATCTTTTTACATCACTTTGCACAGGCCCTGGCACTGACCAGGTTGTCACTGCTCCAGGACAAGGTTTGCCACTGCCCTCTCCTCACCCAGGGTTCTAGGGCTGTGATTCCACTCAACCACTAGGAACCTCAGGTGGGTGCAGGGCCTGGCTTGGCAGGAGACATCATCAATGAGAACCGGTTAGCCTGCTTGCTGGACTCATGCTGGGTTGCCAAGTGCCCTGGGAAGCTGGGCAGGGGACAGGTGGCAGGTGGGAGAGATCAGGTGCCAAGTACCTATTCGGGTAGATGAGGATATTTAGGCATGGAGCAGGGGGGACCCTTGGAGAAAGGCGAGCAGAGGAGGTGGCCCTCACTGCCACCACTAGCCTCCCCTCATCGCCTGAGTTCTGGTAATTTTACCTCTAAAGCCCCCTGGAATCCCTCCCTCTTCTCCTATTCATCACCCCCGAACCAGGCCCCAGGTCCTCCCATCCAGCTGCCCACGGTAGAGTGACACCTTCCCAGCCTCCCACTCTGTTCTTTCCTAATTTTAAGTCCAATTGTTGGCCAGGTGCATTGACTCATGCCCATAATCCCTTGAGGGATCACTCGAGGTCAGGAGTTCAAGACCAGCCTCTCCAACATGGTGAAACCCCGTCTCTACAAAAAATACAAAAATTAGCCGGGCGTGGTGGTGTGCGCCTGTAATCCCAGCTACTCGGGAGGCCAAGGCAGGAGAATCACTTGAACCTAGGAGGCAGAGGTTGCAGTGAGCTGAGATCGTGCCACTGCACTCCAGCCTGGATGACAGAGTGAGACTCCATCTCAAAATAAATCAGTAAGTCCATTGGTGCCTCTCCCTGGAGAGAACCCAGGAGGGCTTATTGTGGCTGGGCCAGCCCTGCTGTCCTCCCAGGAAACTTCCTCTCAGTATAGTTCCCCCACCCGCTCATTTCTCAGGGCTCAGATGTCACCTCTTCCAGGAAGCCTGCCTTGAACACCCACTCACTCTCAAGCTTGGGGTCCGGCCTGAGCTCCATGGTCAGGGATCGGGGTGGAAGGTGAGGACAGGCGAGAAGCTGCCCAACTGCAGAAGGTGCAGCCTGGGTCCCTTCCTGCCTGGCTGACCCCAGGTGTCTTCCTCCAGCTTCCCAACCTTTGCCCCATGTGGTACCTTCCACCTGAAATCTCTCTCCAGCCCTGGCCTGCCCAGGTCCTCTTTTGAGCTCCCCTACTCCACTTCTCCGGAGTCCTGGGGCTTCTCCACTGGGGCGTGGACTCCACCATTCCACCATGTATCCTGTATTATATTATCGTTATTGTTTGTAGATACCGGGGTCTCACTATGTTGCCCAGGCTGGTGTCTCTTTTTTTTTTTTTTAATTGAGACAGGATCTCACTCTGTTGCCCAGGCTGGAGTTCAGTGGCATGATCATAGTTCACCTCAGCCTTGACTTCTGGGCTCAAGTGATCCTCCCACTTCAGCCTTCTGAGTAGCTGGGACTATAGGAGCACACCACCACGCTTGGCTAATTTTTGTATTTTTGGTAGAGATGGGGCTCTTGCCATGTTACCGAGGCTTGTCTCAAACTCCTGAGCTCCAGCAATCCACTCACCTCAGCCTTCCAAAGTGCTAGGATTACAGGTGTGAGCGACCAAGCCCGGTCATATATTATTATTAATACAAACAAATGCCATGCTCTGAGCACCCTGGAGTATGCGACATGTGATATTCAATAACTCCCTAGTCACAACAACTGAGAAGAGTTGCTTTATTATCTTTCTTTTCCAGGTGTGCAAACAAGCTCTTGGAGGGAAGGAGAGGAGAAAATAAACAGGTGAATATGGTGGGGGTGGGGTAAAGCAGGCAATGGAGGAAGGAGGAGGGGACTGAGGCTCAGGGAGAAGTATGTATGCATTTGAAAAGGGAAAGAGGCTGGGGCACAGTGGCTCTTGCCTGTAATCCCAGCACCTTGGAAAGCGGAGGCGGAAGGATCACTTGAGCCTAAGCGTTCCAGACCAGCCTGGGCAACATAGCAAGACCCCACCTCTACCAAAGTTTTTTTTTTTGTTTTTTTTAATTGAGACAGAGTCTTGCTCTGTCACCCAGGCTGGAGTGCAGCGGCACGATTTTGACTCACTGCAACCTCCGCCTCCTGGGTTCAAGTGATTCTCCTGCCTCAGACTCTCGAGTAGCTGGGATTACAGGTGCGCAACACCATGCCCAGCTAACTTTGGTATTTTTAGTAGAGAAGGGGTTTCGCCATATTGGCCAGGCTGGTCTCGAACTCCTGACCTCACGTGATCCACCTGCCTCGGCCTCCCAAAGTGCTGGGATTACAGGCATGAGCCACCACACCCTGCCTACCAAAGTTTTTTTATTTAAAACAAAAAAAAATTAGCCGGGCATGGTGGCAGGCATCTATAGTCCTAGCTCCTCTGGAGGCTGAGGTGAGAGGACTGCTTGAGCCCTGGAGTCCCAGGCTGCAATGAGCTGGGATCATGACATTCCATTCTAGCCTGGGCAACAGAGTGAGACTCCCATCTTTAACGAAATTTTTTTTGATAGAGTCTCACTCTGTTGTCCAGGCTGGAGTGCAGTGGCACGATCTCCACGCACTGCAACCTCTGCCTCCTGGGTTCACGTAATTCTACTCCAGGCTAATTTTTGTGTTTTTAGTAGAGATGGGATTTTGCCACGTTGGCCAGGCTGGTCTCAAACTCCTGACCTCAGGTGATCCACCCGCCTCAGCCTCCCAAAGTGCTGGGATTACAGGTGTGAGCCACCGCACCCAGCCTCTAACAGATTTTTTTAAAAAAAGAAAAGAGAAGGTCGGGCATGCTGGCTCACGCCTGTAATCCCAGCACTTTGGGAAGCCAAGGCTGGTGGATCACGAGGTCAGGAGTTTGAGATCAGTCTGGCCAACATTGTGAAACCCCCGTCTCTCCAAAAAAAAAAATATATATATATATAAATTAGCCGGGTGTTGTGGGCGCCTGTAATCCTAGCTACTCGGGAGGCTGAGGCAGGAGAATCGAATGAAACCAGGATGCAGAAGTTGCAGTGAGCCGAGATCATGCCATTGCAGTCCAGCCCGGGCCACAATGCAAGACTCCGTCTCAAAAAAAAAAAAAGAAAAAGAAAAAAGAAAAGAGAAACAGTGTAGCAGAGGGAAGGCCAAGTGCAAACGCCAGGAGTCTGAACTTGGAGGGACAGGTTCTTCCACACTTGCAACAGAGGTCTCCTGCCTCCCTGACCGCCCCGCCCCCCGCGCCCCTGTCTGTGTGAGGAAATCAAATCTCAGCTTGCCTAGGGCCCTGTGGCAGGGAGGCCCCAACTTCACCCCATGGGTCTTGGGTCTGCTGAGCTGAGTCAGAGAAAGGTTTATTATCCCCATTTTACAGAGGCTTATTGTCCAAAGGCGAAGCCACTTGCCCAGAGTACATGCGGTGGGCCAGCGACTATGAAAACCCCTGGGGCTGTCCTCTGTTCAGGGATCGCCCAGGCTCCCTGCCCCTGCGCGCTGCTGAGACTGGGTCATTTTCGGTTCTACCAGGCAAGCGGGGGACCCAGCCCCCACTGCTGCTGCCCTCAGCCAAAACCAGGGCTGCGCCACCACCCACCCGGCCTATCTCCCATCTTATCTCCCCAGCTCTGTCGCCTGACCCCTGCACCCCACCAAATCGCAGCCTTTGCCCGGTGCCCTCACCGCCTCGGTTGGCCCCCGCGCGCGCCTCGGGCGAACCCCTGGACTGGCCCTCCAACAGGGCCCCAGACTCGGGGTACCCAGGGTGGCCGCTGAGGCCTGGAGAAATCTGGGCCTCCCCTGTGCACCATCCAACTGCGCGCCCCAGAGGCTCAGGGCGCCCCGGGAGTGTGGGGGTGTGGACAGATGAGCAGAGCCAGAGCATCTCGGGCAGAAGAGGGGACCTGGGAGGGGGCCGGGGAGACAGACAGCGAACAGGGGTGAAGCCGGGGCCGGACGGAGCGCGCAGCGGACAATACTGGGTTCAAAGGGGAGAGATAAGGCGCAGACTAGAAACGCTAGGCTGGACCCGGGCCAGGCGCGCCGCGGGGCAGAGATGGGCGGAGCGGGAACGGGGGCGGGGGCGAGAATGGGGGGGCGGGGACGGGGGCGGGGATGGGGTGCGGGTGCGGGGTCGGGGGCCAGGGAGAGGCCTAGTTGCGTCGAGGGGGGCAAGCGCCTGGAGGACCCGGCGCCCGCTCCAGGCCCTGCCCCTCCAAGTCCCCCGCCCCGCGCCAGGCCCCGCCTCTCCAGGGCCCCAGCCCCGCGCCAGGCCCCACCGTTCCGGGGCGCGTGCCCCGCCCAGGCCCCGCCCCCACGGCCCCGCCCCGGGCTCCCCCCACTCAAGCCTTTTTTCCCCTGCTGGGGGCCGAGGCCCGGCCAGGAGCAGAGTCCGGCTGCCTGGGGCGGGCGGCGCGTGTCTGCAGCTGCTCCGGGTAGCCCGCTAGGCGCGCCGTCCCCAGCCCCGCCGCCGGCCCTCGGTGCGCCCGGCCGCCTGCACCCCCAGGTAAGCGAGCACCCCGCGCCGCGAACACCGCCCCGAACGCCACCCTCACGGCGGTCCCCGGCCCCGCCTCCGCGGCCATGGCGGCCCCAGCCCGGCCCCCACTCGCAGCTGGGCTCCAGCCCCCATCACCCCGCCGGGGACTGTCCCCCTCGGGGCTTCCCATCATGGCCGTCTCCCCGAGCTATCCGCGCTCCCCCACGAGGGCCGGGGCGCAACGGGTGCCCGAGGACGCGGCTGTGAAACGGGCTGGAGCGAGTAGGGGCGATCCTGGCCTCGTGACGCGGGGGAATCCGGATGTGTGAGCCGGGGGAGCGCCCCGTTTCCCCGACGTGCCAGGGCTGGGGACGCAGCTGGGGCCCTGGCCTCGGAGTCCGCAGCCCGGCCGCGTAGACGGCTTCTGAGAACCGCTTAAACACGTCATTCCAAGCCCGAGCTAACCCATCAGGCGGCCGGGGTGAGGTGGAGGTGCCCAGGCGGGGATAATGTCATTTGGCCTGGTTGGACCAGCCAGCGAGGGCTTTTTAGGCCCAGGGCCTAGCCGGGAGTGTGTGCGGAGCAGAAAAGAGGCCAGCCTGGCTGAAACGCGGAGAGGGAGGGTCTGAGGTGGAGAGAGGTTGGCCGGGGCCTGGGAAGCGGCGAGGAGAGTGTGGAACCCGTTCTCGGGGCGGTGGGGACCAGGGAGGCTTGGAACAGCAGGTGCATGGCGTGATCGGATTGTGTCTTAAGAACATCCCGTAGCCGCTGTGGGTAGGAGAGATGGGGATACTTGGAAGGGGGCTTCTGGCTTGACCTGGCTGGAAGGTGTGATAGGAAGTGGGTGAACTGAAAATTCGCTTTGGCAGAGTAACATCGTCTAATTCTGTCTGTTTGCAAGTGGAGCGTGGGGGACCGATGTTTCTCCTGGGTAGTTAGGAGTATATAGAAGAGGCTTTCATTGCTGGGTTGGGAGACTTGAGGAGAAGCTGCTCTGGGGGACACAGGAAGGTGGGCAGGGGGAGAGGCTGTTGTGGTTTGCAAAACCTACCAGATGGGGGAATGCTCCCATCGACTCCAGTCTGAGCTCAGGCAAGGTCTCAGGCATCTGAGCGCAGAGGCCAGGGTGACCCCACTGGGGCGACCTGGGTCTGTTATATGGGGATAGGGTTCCTGGACTGTGGAATTGTCTTTGAAGCCCTCGGCCTCCCCCAGCCTCAAATGGGTCTGCCTTCCAGGAGCAGCTGCTGTGAATAAACACAGAAGTGGAGCTGGGGGACTGATTAGAAGCCTCATTCAGTGCACCTGGGCCCCAGCAGGCCCAGCCAGGCGTGGAGGAAGAGGCATTGAGGACTTTCCTTACCTGTTTTTCCAGCTCACCCACTGCCAGCAGAGGTACTTTGAGCCTGGGGTGTGGGGGGTGGGGGGCGGCCTTGGTCGTTGAACTGGCTGTAGGGCCCCCAGGGAAAGGTTTCTGAGCTTCAGTTTACCCATCTGTAAAATGGGTCAGTAGTATCTGAGCCTGGGAGTGTTCATGGATCGATGAAAGCCGAGGCTAGGCAGATCTCGGTGGCAGCCACACCCCTAAGGAACCGGAGAGGGTTCTAACGCCCGGTGGGAGTTCAGGGGGATGTATGGGCTTCCATTTCTCCTCTGAGAAATTCACAACAGTGTCCACCTCCTGACCCAGGGCTGTCTGCAGGTTGAATAAAGCGGTTGACCCAGTGCGTGGCACAGAATGTCTTGGCTCAGGAGCCACTGGGATGCCTGTAGTTGGCAGCAGAAGTGGGCCCAGGTTCCCTCCTCCCACCCGTGGGATGGCACAGAAAGGCAGGTGCCTTGGGAGCTCGCTGCCCTGTCCCCTTCTCTGAGCACCACAAGCTTCTCCCTTTCCGACTGGCTGGGCTTGAGCCTGACCACCCCCCAGCCCTGTCCTGCCACTTTGAGTTGAGGGCCTCCGGGCTACTGACTTCACCACTTCCTGCTTCAGTTTCTCCACCTGTAAAATGGGATAATAGCAGTCATGACCTATAGGTAAAGAGCTGAACACAGTGCCTGGCTGGTTGTGAATACGTGCTAAACAGGCTATTAAAATATCACGAGAATATCACAGAGCTGGAGGCTATTAAAATATCACGGAGGGGCTGGGCGTGGTGGCTCACGCCTGTAATCCCAGCACTTTGGGAAGCTGAGGCAGGCAGATCACCTAAGGTCAGGAGTTCGAGAGCAGCCTGGCCAACATGGTGAAACCCCATCTCTACTAGAAATACAAAAATTAGCCGGGCGTGGTGGCATGTACCTGTAATCTCAGCTGCATGGGAGACTGAGGCAGGAGAATCTCTTGAACCTGGGAGGCAGAATTTGCAGTGAGCCGAGATCGCGCCACTGCACTCCAGCCTGGGCAACAAAGTGAGACTATCTCCAAAAAAAAAAAAAAAAAAAAAAATTCAGAGTCATGCCTGGGGTCAGGGGGAGTCCAGAGGAGTCACCTGACTCAGCCTAAGGAGGAGTCAGGGAAGGCCTCCTGGAGGAGGTGACAGTTGGCTGGGTCGCTAAGGGTAAGGAGGAGTTAACCAGGCCAAGAGACCAGTGGGCAAATTGCAGAGGAGAGAAACTGCCAGGGTGCTTGGATGAAACAACCACAAAGCCAGGGTTGTAAGATCCAGAAGAGGGGAGAGGAAGAAGGGCAGAGCCAGCCTGCCAGCCTTGAACAAGCATTTGGCATTATTTAGAGCTCAGGGAACAGACTGCAGGGGTCGAAGGCAGGAGCCTGGAGACCAGGATGGAAGGGACTGCACCAGGCCAGGGGAGTAATGGTGGGGCTGGACCAGGTGAAGGCGTGGACGGGTGAGACTTGGGTGGATCTTGGAGAGATATGGAGAGGCCGGGGGAGGGAGCAGCTGCTCATGGGGGAGAAGCTTTAGGTGTAAGTCAGCAATCTGTTCTCAGCATCTGGAAATTGCCATGCTGCTAGACACCCAGGTGGTACGGCGTAGGATGGGCTTTAAAGCAAGCTGGGAGCTTGGGAGACAGCAGAAAGAGGGCAGAAGGAAAACCAGGAGTGGGTGGCAAGCTGGGAGCCAAGGGAGCTGGGGCTGTCATAGGAGGAAAGGGTCTTGAAACCCCTGTTTGATAATTCAGTAGCAGGCATCTTACTGTTTTTTTAATTATTATTTTTTTTATTTTTTGGAATGGAGTTTCGTTCTTGTCGCCCAGGCTGGAGTGCAATGGTGCGATCTCGGCCCACTGCAACCTCCACCTCCCGGGTTCAAGCAATTCTCCTGCCTCAGCCTCCTGAGTAGCTGGGATTACAGGTGCGAACCACCACACCTGGCTAATTTTTATATTATTAGTAGAGATGAAGGGGGGTGGGTTTCACCATGTTGGCCAGGCTGGTCTCGAACTCCTGACCTCAGGTGATGCACCTGCCTCGGCCTCCCAAAGTGCTGGGATTACAGGTGTGAGCCACTGCGCCCAGCCCGTCTCACTTTCTTTTGTGGCTGCTCTTTACCAACCCTGTTCTGTTCCCCATGCCTTTCAGTACAAGCTCTTTTCTTTGCTTTTCTTTCTTGTTTTTGTTTTGTTTTTTCAAGACAAGTTCTGGCTCTGTTGCCCAGGCTGGGGTGCAGTGGTGCGATCTTCGCCCACTGCAACCTCCACCTCCCAAGTTTAAGCAATCAGCCTGGGACTACAGGCATAAGCCACCACACCTGGCTAATTTTTGCATTTTTTTGTAGTGATTTTGTAGAGTTTTGCCAGTTGCCCAGGCTGGTCTGAAACTATTGAGCTCAAACGCCTCAGCCTCCTAAAGTACTGGGATTACAGGCATGAGCCACTGCACTCGGCCTCTTTCTTTCTTTCAAAGGCAGAATCTTGCTCTGTCGCTCAGGTTGGAGTGCAGTGGCATGATCATAACTCACTGCAGCCTCGACCTCCTGAGCTCAACCTCAGCCTCCTGAGAGCTGGGACCACAGGCATGCACCACCAGGCCTAGCTAATCCTTAAAAAAAAATTTTATACACATGGACAGGGGTCTTACTATGTTGCCCGGGCTGGTCTTGAACTCCTGGCCTCAAGCGAGCCTCCAGCCTCAACCTCCCAAAGCACTAGGATTATAGGCATGAGCCACTGTGCCTGGCCAAGCGCAGGCTTTTCTTTGCCATCCTTGAATAGGCCCCTCAGACCCATCATGGCTCTGACCAGAGTAGCATAGAGAGGCCCGGCGCGGTGGCTCACGCCTGTAATCCCAGCACTTTGAGAGGCCGAGGCGGGCAGATCACCTGAGGTCAGGAGTTCGAGACCAGCCTGGCCAATATAGTGAAACCCCGTCTCTACTAAAAATATAAAAATTAACCCTGTGTGGTGGCATGCTCCTGTAATCCCAGCTACTTGGGAGGTTGAGACAGGAGAATTGCTTGAACCCAGGAGGCAGAGGTTGCAGTGAGCCAAGATCGCACTACTGCACTACTGCACTCCAGCCTGGGTGACAGAGCAAGACACTGTCTCAAAAACAAACAAACAAAAAACAGAGTAGCATAGAAGAGACCTTCCCCTCCCTGAGTCTGGACTTTATACCTTTGTTAATAGGATGCTGTCACACACACACACACTGAACCGCCTGGAGCTCAGCTCAGCTTTCCCTCCCTACCCCCTCCTGGACTCCCAGAGACAGATTTTAATCCAGGGTCCCATGACACTGTGTCTGAAGAGTGATCATTTCCTATCAGCTATGCCCTGGGGACCCCTTCTGCCCTGTGCCTGGCCCCACTTTCCTCCCACCCCTGTCTGTCTGTCTGTCTGTCATTTGTTCATTCAGCACAGACTTAGGAAGTGTCTGCAGTGGGAGGCACTGGGGACAGACAGCCACAGGAAGCCTTACGGAGCTGATGTCCCCGCAGGGAGAAGGTGATGGGGACAAGGATGAGGCTTGAAGGAGCAGCTAGACATCTGGAGGAAGAGTGCTCCGGGCAGAAGGCCCAGCAGGTGCAAAGGCCCTGAGGCTGGAACAGGCATGGTGTGTTGGAGGAATGCAATGAGGCTGGGGTGGCTGGAGCAAACTAAGCAAGGAGTCATAGAGTAGAGAGAGGAGTAGATGAAGAGACTGAAGGTCCTTGGGAACCCCCAGTCCAACCACAGCATACCCTGGAGAGTCCTTGCTCAAGGGGACTTGAGGAGTGAAAGGTTATGGGACCCTACTGCTTTTGCACGGTTACTTTGTCGTCCTGTATGTGCAGTGGTCACCTGTGCTGGGGTGCTCGAACCTTGAAGGCTGAGGAAGCTGGCAGGAGGAAGGAGAGGAGGACTACGCAGTGGCCAAGACTTCTCCTCCTCCCCTCCACACAATGGGGCTCAGCTGAACTGGGAGAGGGAAGTAGCCAGGGAAGGGTACTGATGAGCGTATGGAAGCAGAGGAGATGAAGGGCAGTGGGGAGGAGGTGGGAGGGGAGGAGGAAGAGGAAAGGGAGGAAGACGAGGGGGAGGAGAGGGAGGAGGGGGAGGAGGAGAAAAAGGAAGAGGAGGGGGAGGAGAGGGAGGAGGAGGAGGAGAAAAAGGAAGAGGAGGGGGAGGACGAGGAGGAAGAAGCAACGGCAGCAGCCAGTGGGCAAGCAGCCAGAGCTGGATGGAGGAGCCAGGACGTTCTCAGATAGGTGATGGGGGAGCCCTAGGGATGCAGGGATGGTAGCCTCGATCAGGGGCCTAGAGGACAAACAGCAAAAGCCAAGCAGCAGGGCCAGGCGCGGTGGCTCACACCTGTGATCCCAGCACTTTGGGAGGCCGATGTGGGTGGATCGCCTGAGGTCAAGAGTTCGAGACCAGCGTGGCCAACATGGCGAAACCCTGTCTCTACTAAAAATACAAAAATTAGCCAGGTGCAGCGGTGTGTGCCTGTAGTCCCAGCTACTCAGGAGGCTGAGGCAGGAGAATTGCTTGAACCAGGGGGGCGGAGGTTGCAGTGAGCAGAGATCACACCACTGCACTCCAGCCTGTGCAACAGAGCAAGACTCTGTCTCAAAAAAAAAAAAACAAAAAACAAGCAGCGGGTGTGTCTGGGGGATGGGCCAGCCTCTAGCCTGCAGTCGCTCCCTTCCCAGGCAAAAGAGAGAGAACTCGGTCCCCTCTCCCTGTACCCCACAAGAGCCTGGGCACCCTCCCCACTCCCACCACGAACCTGGGCTTCACTGGGAGGGAATTTAGACACTTGGATGCTGGAGCCTAGATCTGAGGTTCTGTTGAGCCACGGCACTGTGACCCGGACTGTCCCCTCCATCCCCGTCCAAACTGGGAGGGGGCATCCCTTGTCCCTGGCACTCCTCTGTGATCTGGCAGGTGTGATGAGCCACAGCAGGGACAGGGGAATAGGGGCTGGGCTTTTTAGGGTGATGGCACCCAGACGGTAACAGGACGGGAGGGAGGTGGTCCTCTGGGTTTTGTTTCTCCATCTGGGATGTTGGTGAGGGCAGGCATAAGCCACCTCTCTGTGCCTCGAGTCCAGGATGCCTGGCCCTGCCTCAGGGCCTTTGCACTGGCTCTTCCCCCTTTCTAGAATGTTCTATCATCAGGGTTTCCTCCCTCACCTCCCTACCTTCTCAGGGAGGGCTTCCTGACCTCCCTCTTTAAAATTGTAGCCCTGCCAGGCACCGTGGCTCACACCTGTAATCCCAGCACTTTGGGAGCCTGAGGTGGGCAGATCACCTGAGGCCAGGAGTTCAAGACCAGCCTGGCCAACAAGGTGAAACCCCGTCTCTACTAAAAATGCAAAGATTAGCCAGGCGTGGTGGTGGGCGCCTGTAATCCCAGCTGCTTGGGAGGCTGAGGCAGGAGAATCACTTGAACCTGGGAGATGGAGGTTGCAGTGAGCTGAGATGGTGGCACTGCATTCCAGCCTGGGCGACAGAGAGAGATTTTGTCTTGGAAAAAAAAAAAAAAAGAAAATTACAGCCCCCACTGCCTGACTCCTCATTCCTTTTCCTGCCTTATTTTTCTCTCCACCTGACAATAACAAAACAAACAAATTATCAAAATGCAGGGCCAGATCAGGTGGCTCATGCCTGTAATCCCAGCACTTTGAGAGGCAAGTTGGGCAGATCACTTGAGCCCAGGAGTTCAAGACCAGCCTGGGCAACATAGCAAGACCCCATTTCTGAAAAAAAATTAAGATATAGAGTCTTTGCCACTCCCTCATCTCCACCATGTCCAGAATATTGGCTCCATGGAGTGAAATTTCTTGTCTACTCTGTTCTCTGCTGGGATCCCAGTGTGTAGTTGGTATGCAGTGGGCACCCGATAAATGTGAAGTGATGTCAGCCATCCTGGGTCCTTATGGCTGCAGCCTGAGAGGTTGGACTTGGGGGGCGGATGGCGTTGGGGGTAGCGTACCTCGGGTGGCAGGTAACAGGCAGGTTCTGGAGACAGGCAGGCTTGGGTCCAAGTCCCAGACTCTACTCCCTACTTTATGACTTTGGATGACTCCATGCCTCACTTTCCCCAGTTGCAAAGTACAGATGACAGAGGGACCTGGCACTTAACACATGTCAGCTTCCCGGGGACCTTGCTGGAGTCTGGAAGGAGCTGGGGGCCAATCTGAGGCCTCCAGAGGGTCAGACTCTGAGACAGGACATTTATGACTTTCCCACCCACTCCTAGAATTTTCCAGAAATGTGATGAAGAGCAAGGAGACGTTACTTTATTTTGGGCAGTCAGGACCCCTCTGAAAAGGCGACATTAGGGCTGGGGCCTGAGTGGGAGTGAGTGATGGGCTGAGACAGGAATTGGACTTGTTTACTGCCCTCCCAGAGACCCCTCATTCAGTGGGGAGACAGACGTGTCTTTGGGCAGTTACAAGGCAGATTAACCAGGGTACAAGGAAAACAATCAGAGACACTGAAGGCAAGGAGAGGCTCGTTTTTTAATTTTTTTTTGAGACAGAGTCTCGCTCTGTCGCTCAGGCTGGAGTGCAGTGGCGCAATCTCGGTTCACTGCAATCTCCGCCTCCCGAGTTCAAGCGATCCTCCTGCATCAGCTTCCTGAGTAGCTGGGATTACAGGTGTCCACTACCACACCTGGCTAATGTTTTTTTTTTTTTTTTTGAGATGGAGTCTCGCTCTTTCACCCAGGCTGGAGTGCAGTGACTCCATCTCGGCTCACTGCAAGCTCCGCCTCCCGGGTTCATGTCATTCTCCTGCCTCAGCCTCCCCAGTAGCTGGGACTACAGGTGCCCACCACCACGCCTGGCTATTTTTTTTGTATTTTTAGTAGAGACGGGGTTTCACCCTGTTAGCCAGGATGGTCTCGATCTCCTGACCTCGTGATCCGCCCGCCTCGGCCTCCCAAAGTGTTGGGATTACAGGCGTGAGCCACCGCACCTGGCTAATTTTTGTATTCTTTTGTAGAGACGGGGTTTTGCCATGCTGGCCAGACTGGTCTCGAACTCCTGATCTCAAGTGATCTGCCCGCCTCATCCTCCCAAAGTGCTGGGATCTACATTTGGCCTTCTTTTTGTTTTTGCTTTTATTTTGAGACAGAGTCTCACTCTGTCGCCCAGGTTGGAGTGCAGTGGTGCAATCTTGGCTCACTGCAACCTTTGCCTCCCGGGTTCAAGCGATTCTACTGCCTCAGCCTCCCAAGTAACTGGGATTACAGGCACGTGCCACCATACCCAGCTAATTTTTGTATTTTTAGTAGAGATGAGGTTTCACCATATTGGCCAGGCTGGTCTTGAACTCCTGACCTCAGGTGATCTGCCCACCTTGGCCTCCCAAAGCACTGGGATTACAGGTATGAGCCACTGTGCATGACCAAGGAGAGGCTCTTGACCCAGGCTGGGAGTCTTCAAGACTTCCTGGAGGCAGCCACAGGCAAGCTGCCCACTTGAAGGTTTAACCATGCCAGGCATCAGATAACGGAATGCTGAACAGTGATTTAGAGGGAGCGGCCCAGGCAAAGGCCTGGCATCCGGGAATGGCATCGGAGCAACATTCCTAAAATTGAAGCAGACTCTGGGAATCCACCCGTGGAGACCCTAGGCTGAGAACCTCGGAGTCAGGGTGGCTGCGGGAGGGCAGACAGGGAGGCCAGGACAGGGCAGTGCGTTCGGCCAGGTCACAAAGGCCTCGAATGCCAGGTCAGGAGCCATGGGGAGCCTCCGAGGAGATCTTGAGATGGGGAAGGGACAGGCTGGTACTCAGAGCCACTGCTGAGAGAGGGATGGACTCCATCTGTGTGTATCCCAGAGGAGGGGCGGTCCTGGACCGTCATCTGAGAGGAAGTGCTTTGCCTCCAGTTACACAAACACCTCCGGTCCTTAAAGGGACGATAGGTAGCCTCTGCCTCCCCACTGGGGGCCCTTCTCTGTGCCAACCCATCCAACCCAGAGGGCTGATGGAAGACGTGTGCTCTGCAGGGGCTCTCTGTGGCTTCTTGCTTCACTGGGTGGATGGGTATCAAGATGGTGACTTGAGGCCGGGAGCCGTGGCTCATGCCTGTAATCCCAGCACTTTGGGAGGCCGAGGCGGGAGGATCACTTGAGGCCAGGAGTTCGAGACCAGCCTGGCCAACGTGGTAAAACCCCATCTCTACTAAAAATACAAAAATTAGCTGGGCATGGTGGCGGGCGCCTGTATTCCCAGCGACTTGGGAGGCTGAGGCAGGAGAATCACTTGAACCCAGGAGGCGGAGGTTGCCGTGAGCCTAGATCGTGCCATTGTACTCTAGCCTGGGTGACAGAGCGAGACTTCATCTCCCGCAAAAAAAGGTGGTGACTTGATTTCACAGAGAACTCCAGCTGCCTGAGCCACCCTGCAGGATAGGAGCAGGCTCTGAGGTCCACAGTTTGCTACTGTCTCAACCCACTGCCCCCAGCTCCTCTGAGACCCAGGCAGGACTGCAGGCCCATGTAGGTTCAGATGGATGCCTGGAGGCCGGACACGGTGGCTTGCACCTGTCATCCCAACACTTTGAGAGGCTGAGGCTCAAGTATGGCTTGAGGCCAGGAGTTCGAGACAAGCCTGGGCAACATAGTAAGACCCTATCTCTATAAAAAATATATATTTTAAAATTAGCTGGGTGAGGGCTGGGCACAGTGGCTTATGCCTGTAATCCCAGCACTCTGGGAGGCCAAGGCGGATGGATCACCTGAGGTCAGGAGTTTGAGACCAGCCTGACCAACATGGTGAAATCCCGTCTCTACTAAAAATACAAAAAAATTAGCCAGGTGTGGTGGCACATACCTGTAACTCCAGCTACTCAGGAGGCTGAGGCAGAAAAATCGCTTGAACCCGGGAGGTGGAGGTTGCAATGAGCTAAGACTGTGCTTCTGCACTCCAGCCTGGGCAACAAGAGCGAAACTCTGTTTCAAAAAAAAAAAATTAGCTGGGTATAGTGGCATGGGTGCCTGTAGTCTCAGCTATTCAGGAGGCTGAGGCAGGGGGATCATTTGAACCCAAGAGTTTGAGGCTGCAGTGAGCTATGATCATGCCACTGCACTCCAGCCTGGGCAACAGAGTGGAATCCTGTTGTCTCTTAAAAAAAAAAAATTTGTTAAGTGGATACATACCTGGGGACCCTGGAGCTCCACGGCTGCTGCCCTCACCCTGTTGTTTTCCTCCCTCTCGGATGATGCCATCTTAGAATTCCATGCCTGGAATTTGCCCACCGGCTCTCCTCGCCCCCTCCCACCCCTCGGCTGTGTGTCCCCTTATTCCTGCCCAAGCAGGCAGTTCCCAGATCTACCCCAGATACTCATCCCAATCTGCCACCCCCACCCCTTGAAGATACCCTACCCGGACCTCAGCACCCCTCCCCGAGGCTCCTGTCTCTGCCACCCTCCACCTTCAGCCTCCCTCTCTCTTCTTTTCTGGAGACAGCACCATGCTCTGTTACCCAGGCTGGAGTGCAGTGGTGCGATCTCGGCTCACTACAATCTCCACCTCGCAGGTTCAAGTGATTCTCTTGCCTCAGCCTCCTGAGCAGCTGGGATTACAGGCATGTGCCACCATGCCCAGGTAATTTTTATATTTTTAGTAGAAATGGGGTTTCACCATGTTGGCCAGGCTGATCTGGAACTCCTGGCCTCAGGTGATCTGCCCGCCTCGGCCTCCCAAAGTACTGGGAATACAGGCATGAGCCACCGCGTCCGGCTGAGCCTCCCTACCTGTTCTGACCCAGCTTCCCCACTCTGGCTGCTGTCACCTGCAAGAGGCCAGCCAGCCTCTGAGTGACCTCCAGGGATGGGACAACCTCCAAGGGCAGCCTGTGTTGCCAGGAGAACTCCCAGAATCGGTCCCTCCCGAAATCTCTGCCGCCTTCCCATGGCATCAAGGCTGAGGGCTTCTGTTACCACTGCTGTTTTGTGTTTTTTTTTTTGTTTTTTTTTTGAGACGGAGTCTCGCTCTGTCACCCGGGCTGGAGTACAGTGGTGCAACCTCGGCTCACTGCAAGCTCTGCCTCCTGGGTTCATGCCGTTCTCCTGCCTCAGCCTCCCGAGTAGCTGGGACTATAGGCGCCCGCCACGGTGCCTGGCTAATTTTTTTGTATTTTTTTTAGTAGAGACGGGGTTTCACCCTGTTAGCCAGGATGGTCTCGATCTCCTGACCTTGTGATCTGCCCGCCTCGGCCTCCCAAAGTGCTGGGATTACAGGCGTGAGCCACTGTGCCCGGCCTGTGTATTTTTTTTTTTTTTTTTAAACAGAGACAGGGTCTCGCTATGTTGCTCAGGCTGGTCTTGAACTGCTAGGCTCAAGCAATCCTCCCACCCCAGCCTCCCAAAGTATTGGAATTACAGGTGTGAGCCACTGTACCTGGTTCTGCTGCTGTGTCCTTCAAGGCATGGTAACAGACACTTGGTAACCTCCCCTTGAATCTGGAGTGCCCGAGGGCCTGGGCTGGCAGCCTTGCCAACATCGGGAACTGGTCAAGACTGCACTTTGTTTTGTGTTCATTGTATTTGTTTTCACGGCTAGCCTCTGCACGTGATGCCAATGCTGGCTTGCTCTTTCAGGGAGAGAGGGAGGGAGAGAAAGTGTCTTCTGAAAATAAATGTATTTCGGTAAACAAACAATGTGAGCCTTTTAACTTTTTTTTTTCTTATTTTTTTTTTTTGAGACGGAATCTTGCTCTGTCACCCATGCTGGAGTGCAGTGGCACGATCTTGGCTCACTGTAACCTCCACCTCCCAGGTTCAAGCGATTCTCCTGCCTCGGCCTCCCAAGTAGCTGGGATTACCATGCCCAGCTAATTTTTTTGTATTATTAGTAGAGACGAGGCTTCACCATGCTGAGGTCGAACTCATGACCTCAAGTGATCCGCCCTCCTCAGCCTACCAAAGTGCTGGGATTACAGGCATGAGCCACCACACCCAGCCTAAAATTTTATTTTATATTTACTTACTGACTTATTTATTTTTTTATGTTTTTTTTTTTTTTTTTTTTTTTTTTTGAGACAGAGGCTTGCTCTGTCGCCCAGGCTGGAGTGCAGTGGCATGATCGTGGCTCACTGCAAGCTCCGCCTCCCGGGTTCACGCCATTCTCCTGCCTCAGCCTCCCAGTAGCTGGGACTACAGGTGCCTGCCATCACGCCCAGCTAATTTTTTGTATTTTTAGTAGAGACGGGGTTTCACCGTATTAGCAAGGATGGTCTCAATCTCCTGATCTCGTGATCCACCCGCCTCAGCCTCCCAAAGTGCTGGGATTACAGGCGTAAGCCACCGCGCCCGGCCCTATTTATTTTTTTTTGAGATGGAGTCTCGCTCTGTCACCCAGACTGGAGTGCAGTGGCGCAATCTCGGATCACTGCAACCTCGGCCTCCCGGGTTCAAACGATTCTCCTGTCTCAGCCTCCTGAGTAGCTGGGATTACAGGCACCCACCATCATGCCCAGCTAATTTTTGTATTTTTTTGTAGAGATGGGGTTTCACCATGTTGGCCAGGCTGGTCTTGAACTCCTGACCTCAGGTGATCCTCTTGCTTCAGCCTCCGAGAAGTGCTGGGATTACAGGCGTGAGTCACTGTGCCTGGCCAGCATGAGCCTTTTTTATTTATTTATTTTTGTTTTTGAGACGGAGTTTTGCTCTTGTTGCCCAGGCTAGAGTACAATGGTGTGATCTTGGCTCACGGCAACCTCCGCCTCCTGGGTTCAAGCAATTCTCCTGCTTCAGCCTCCCGAGTAGCTGGGATTACAGGCATGCGCCACCACACCTGGCTAATTTTGTATTTTTGGTAGAGACGGGGTTTCTCCATGTTGGTCAGGCGGATCTTGAACTCCTGACCTCAGATGATCCACCCGCCTCGGCCTCCCAAAATGCTGAGATTACAGGTGTCAGCCACTGTGCCTGGCCAGCACGAGCCTTTTGAAGGAGAGCAGTGAGTGCCTCACAGCACAGGTGGAAGACGGACAGGTGGCCATGAGGGTGGTGGGAAAGCCTGAAACTGGAGCTTGGTTGTTCTCTGGAATCCTGGGTGCCCGGTCTCAGTTGAGCCTTTTACTCATTTGTGCAGTCGGTGGACAGTTTCCTGCTACCCGTTGTGTGTCAGGTGCTGGGAAAATGGAGAGGTCCTAATCACCAGGATATGGGGGAAGATAGTTGTCCCTGGCTGGGTGCAGTGGCTCACATCTATAGTCCCAGCACTTTGGGAGGTTGAGGTGGGAGGATCACTTGAGGCCAGGAGTTTGAGACCAGCCTGGGCAACATAGGGAAACCCTGTCTCTGCCAAAAAAAAAAATTAGCTGGGCATGGCGGCATGTACCTGTAATCCCAGCACTTTGGGATCCTGTTGAGGCATCAGGATCACTTGAACCCAGGAGTTTGAGACTAGCCTGGGAAACATAGTGAGACCTGGTCTCTACAAAAAAATTTTCTTTTTTAATTGGCCGGGCCGGGTGCAGTGGTTCATGCCTGTAATCCCAGCACTTTGGGAGGCTGAGAGGTGGGAGGATCACTTGAGCTCAGGAGTCCAAGACCAGCCTGACCAACATGTTGAAACCCTGTCTCTACTAAAAAAATACAAAAGTAGCTGGGCATGGTTGCACACGCCTGTAATCCCAGCTACTTGTGAGACTGAGGCAGGAGAATCACTTGAACCTGGGAGGCGGAGGTTGCAGGGAGCTAAGATTGCACCATTGTGCTCCAGCCTAGGCAACAAGAGAGAAACTCTGTCTAAAAAAACAAAGACAAAATTAGCCGGGCGTGGCAGTGCACGCCTATAATCCCAGCTACTCAGAAAGCTGAGGTGGGAGGATCACTTGAGCCTGGGAGGTCGAAACTGCAGTGAACCTTGATCATGCCACTGCACTCCAGCCTGGGCAACAAAGCAAGACCCTGTCTCAAAAACAAAAACACAAAAAACAGTTGCCCGTGGCTGGGTGCAGTGGCTCATGCCTGTAATCCCAGCACTTTGGGAGACCGAGGCGGGCGGATCATTTGAAATCAGGAGTTCGAGACCAGCCTGACCAACATGGTAAAACCCCGTCTCTACTAAAAATACAAAAAAAATTAGCCGGGCATCATGGTGCGTGTCTGTAGTCCCAGATACTTGGGAGGCTGAGGCAGGAGAATTGCTTGAACCTGGGAGGTGGAGGGTGCAGTGAGCTGAGATCACACCACTGCACTCCATCCAGCCTGGGTGACAGCAAGACTCCGTCTTTAAAAAAAAAAAAAAAAAAAAAAGGCCAGGCACGGTGGCCCATGCCTGTAATCCCAGCACTTTGGGAGGCCAAGGCGGGCGGATCACGAGGTCAGGGGTTCGAGACCAGCCTGACCAACATGGTGAAACCCTGTCTCTACTAAAAATACAATAATTAGCCGGGTGTGGTGGCACGCGCTTGTAATCCCAGCTACTCAGGAGGCTGAGGCAGGAGAATCGCTTGAACCTGGGAGGCGGAGATTGCGGTGAGTAGAGATTGTGCCACTGCACTCCAGCCTGGGTGACAGAGCGAGACTCCATCGCAAAAAAAAAAAAAAAAAAATTGTTGCCCCAAAAGTTCTGAGAAAGATGAGGTAGGAGAACCCAGGAGGGGAGTGTCCCCTAACCCAGCCCAGCGGCGATTGGTCGGCCCTCCTAGAGGAAGTGTCTGTTGAACAGAGTCGTGAAGAGCTGGGAGGAATTTGGCAGGCTGAAGGGAGGGCATTACTGGTAGGGAATGGCATGTGCCAAGGTCCATTTGCTGGGGAGCACCGTGCCAGGCCAGTGGGAGCACTTGCAGGATTCAAAGCTGCGGGTCTGATTTGCAGGCAAGAAGAAAGACCTGGGTGCTGAGTGGGGAGGCGGCCACCATGATTCAATCAAGAAATGGGAGCCGTGGAAATCGGGCAGAGGAGGGACTGTCGCGGGAAAGACGGACGTAATCGTAGGGCTTAATGAGGAGCTGAGTGCCGAGAGGGTGTGAGATGGAGTCAGAGATGACTCTCAGAATTTTGTCCCTGAAGACTGGGTGGAGGGTGGGATCTTGGCCAAGAAGCCAGGGGAGGAGGAAAGAAGGCTCTGTGGGAGATGACTTCAGCCCTGACGTGTCTGGACAGCGCGCAGACGGGAGGTATTGGGGCAGCAGGTTTGGCTTTGGCGGGATGGTGACCTGGGAGCAGCAGAAATCTGGAAACTGACAGCATGGACGTGCTGGCCGCAGCTTCCAGGCAGGTGAATTTCCCAGGGAGAGCAGATGGTGTGAGGGGATCCAGGACTGGCATAATTTAGGGAGAAAAACCAGCACAAATTAGAGAAAACAGCAGAGAGGAGGGGAACCAGGAGGTCATGATTCTGGGAAGGAGGGATGGACAAGGGGAGGAGATGCTACTAGAGGGTCCCAGTTTCATGCTTAGAGGAATTGACCACTTGGGATTGGCCATGGGAGGCTGCGACTGATGGCCAAAAGCCAAAGGCTGGAGTAGTAGGGTGGGGACAGAGAGGTGGCAGTGGACAGTGAATAGAAGCAGGAAGGCAAGTCCTGTTTTCCAATAATTCTTTTTTTTTTTTTTTTTTTTGAGACAAAGTCTCACTCTTGGCCCCCCAGGCTGGAGTGCGCAATGGAGCGATCTCGGCTAACTGCAACCTCCGCCTCCCGGGTTCAAGCGATTCTCCTGCCTCAGCCTCTCGAGTGGCTGGGATTACAGGTGCCCGCCACCAAGCCCAGCTAATTTTTGTATTTTTAGTAGAGATGGGGTTTCTCCATGTTGGCCAGGCTGGTCTCGAACTCCTGACCTCAGGTGATCCACCCACCTCCGCCTCCCAAAGTGCTGGGATTATAGGCGTGAGCCACCGTACCCGGCCGTGTTTTCTGATAATTCTGAGGCTACTGCTGATGAGCTGAGTGTCTCTGGGCCCATGTCTGTCTGGAATGCCTGGTGCCACAGAGCTGGGGTCAAATTACTGCCTGGCCATTTGTCAGCTATGTGACCCTGTGTAGGTGATCCGGCATGTCTCCAAGACTCAGTTTGTTCATCTGTGAAATGAGAATGGTGACCGGGCAAGGTGACTCACGCCTGTAATTCCAGCACTTTGGGAGGCCAAGGCGGGCGGATCATTTAAGTACAGGAGTTCAAGACCAGCTTGGCCAACATGGTGAAACTCCGTCTCTACTAAAAAATGCAAAAATTAGCCAGGTGTGGTGGCGCATGCTTATAATCCCAGCTACTTGGGAGGCTGAGACGGGAGAATCGCTTGAATCCGGGAGGCAGAGGTTGCAGTGAGCCGAAGTCACACCACTGCACTCCACTCCAGCCTGAGTGACAGAGCAAGACTCTGTCTTAAAAAAAAAGAATGGTAACAGTATCTTCCTCAGGGTGTGACTGATATTTCCAATGCAGGGAGGTAAGGGCTTGTCCCTGGGTAAGCGTCTGATGGATAATACCTGGGATGGTACCAACGCTATTGGTCACTGGTGCCTTAGGATAATCCTGGTGTGGGTGTGGGCAAAAGCCTGCTCTCCCACAGAACAGTCTGGCTTTGCACCTGCTTGGCCCTATATGAATCTACCTCCATGTATGCTGTCACCAGGGAGCAGCACAGGGGCCCAGCCAACAGCTGGTGGGAGGAGGGGCAGATGTTAGAGCAGGTTGAGTGAAGGAAGGATCCCATCAGAGCATAACCCAGATTTCACAATTATCTCCACCCTGGAAGGTGGGCAGGGACATCACCAAAGGGGCTGATCTTGATGGAAAATTGGTTTCTTGGCCCGTGTAGTGGCTCATGCCTGTAATCCCAGCACTTTGGAAGGCCGACGTGGGCAGATTGCTTGAGCAAAAGAGTTCAAGACCAGACTGGGCACAGTGGCTCACGCCTGTAATCCTAGCACTTTGGGAGGCTGAGGCAGGCGGATTGCCTGAGGTCAAGAGTTCGAGACCAGCCTGGCCAACATGCTGAAACCCCGTCTCTACTAAAAACACAAAAATTAGGCCAGGCGCAGTGGCTCACACCTGTAATCCCAGCACTTTGGGAGGCCGAGGCAGACGGATCACCTGAGGTCAGGAGTTCGAGACCAGCCTGACCAACATGGAGAAACCCTGTCTCTACTAAAAATACAAAATCAACTGGATGTGGTGGTGCATGCCTGTAGTCCCAGCTACTTGGGATGCTGAGGCAGGAGAATTGCTTAAACCTGGGAGGTTGATGTTGCCGTGAGCCAAGATTGCACCATTGCACTCCAGCCTGGGCAACAAGAGCGAAACTGTCTCAAAAAAAAGAGAATTGGTTTCTTAAGTAGTGAGGTGGGGGTAGAGGGCTCATTCCCTACCAAAAATGCCCCCTCTCCTGTATCAACCCTGTCTCCTGTATCAAACACACCTTCAGTGGAAATCTTTTCATTTTCATGTACTATAATTTTCTATTTAAAAAGTCACCCTTAATATATATACATACACTGGAATATGATTCAGGTTTTTTTTCTTCTTTTTCCTTGAGACAGAGTCTCACTCTGTCACCCAGGCTGGAGTGCAGTGGTGCGATCTCGGCTCACTGCAACCTCTGCCTTGATCTTGGCTCAAGCAATTCTCATGCCTCAGCCTTCCAAGTATCTGGGACTTACTTGGAAGTAAGCTGGCCACCACGCCTAGCTAATTTTTGCATTTTTAGTGGAGATGGGGTTTCACCATGTTGCCCAGGCTGGTCTCGAACTCCTGATCGCAAATGATCCACCCGTCTCAGCCTCCCAAAGTGCTCGGCTTACAGGCATGAGTCACTGCACCCAGCCTGATTCAGCCTTAAAAGGGAAGGATGTAACATGTCATGTGGGTGAACCTTGAGGACATTATGGTACATGAAATCAGCCAGTCACAAAAGGGGAGATACTGTGTGATTCCACTTACATGAGGCCCCTAGCGTCACCAGATTCACACAGAGAGAAAGTAGAATGGTGGGTGCCAAAGGAGAGGGAACAGGGAATTATTGATTATTAGGCATGGATTTTCAGGTTTTTGTTGCTGTTGTTTTGAGACGGAGTCTCACTATGTTGCTGGGCTGGAATGCAGTGGCGTGATCTCGGCTCACCGCAACCTCTGCCTCCTGGGTTCAAGCGATTCTCCTACCTCAGCCTCCCGAGTAGCTGGGATTACAGGCGCCCGCCACCACGCCCAGACAATTTTTGTATTTTTAGTAGAGACGGGGTTTCACCATGTTGGCCAGGATGGTCTCGATCTCTTGACCTCATGATCCGTCCATTTCGGCCTCCCAAAGTGCTGAGATGACAGGTGTGAGCTACTGTGCCCTGCCAGAGTCTCACGATCCGTCCGCCTCGGCCTCCCAAAGTGCCGAGATGACAGGTGTGAGCCAACGTGCCCTGCCAGAGTTTCAGTTTTACAACATGAAAGAATTCTGGAGCTGGATGGTGGTTATGGTTACACAACCATGTGAAATATTTAATGCCACTGAACTGTATAATTAAACACGATTAATGGTAAATGTTGAGTATTTTACCACAATTAAAAAAAATTTTTAAATATGTCAGCCGAGCATGGTGGCTCACACCTATAATCCCAGCACTTTGGGAGGCCTAAGTGGGCAGATCACCTGAGGCCAGTAGTTTGAGACCAGCCTGGCCAGCATGGCGAAACCCCATCTCTACTAAAAATATAAAAAATTAGCTGGGTGTGGTGTAGGTGCCTGTAATCCCAGCTACGCAGCAGGCTGAGGCAGGAGAATTGCTTGAACCTGGGAGGCGGAGGTTGCAGTGAGCTGAGATCCCGCCGTTGCACTGCAGCCTGGGCAACAAGAGCAAAACTCCGTCTCAAAAAAAAAATTTTTTTTTTAAGAAGTCACCCTTAAACCCACTCCTTATAAAAAAAAATCAGTGAAGGCCGATCATGGTGGCTCATGCCTGTAATCCCAGCACTTTGGGAAGCCAAGGTGAGAGGATCACTTGAGATCAGGAGTTCAAGACTAGCCTGGCCAACATGGTGAAACCTTGTCTCTCCTAAAAATACAGAAATTAGCTGGGCATAGGGGCACATGCCTGTAATCCCAGCTACTTGGGAGGCTGAGGCAGGAGAATCACTTGAACCCCTGGGGCGGAGGTTGCAATGAGCAGAGATTGCGCCATTGCACACACCAGCCTGGGCCGGTGAGACTTCATCTAAAAAAAAAAAAAAATCCATGAATGCCAGGTGTGGTGGCTCATGCCTGTAATCCTAGTACTTTGGGAGGCTGAGGCAGGCGGATCCCCTGAGTCCAAGAGTTTGAGACCAGCCTGGCAACATGGTGAAACCCCATCTCTACAAAAAATTAAAACAGTAGCTAGGCAAGGTAGTGCACACCTGTAATCCCAGCTACTTGGGGAGCTGAGCTGGGAGTATCACCTGAGCCCAGGAAGTGGAGGCTGCAGTGAGCTATGATCAGTAAAACACAAGACAGGTTCACTGGCTCCCATCCCAACCCGGACCAGCTCCCTAGTATAACAACTCACATGCATGTGGACTATACCCTTAGAGCCTTCTTCTTCTTTCTTCTTTTTTCTTCTTCTTCTTTCTTCTTTTTTCTTCTTCTTCTTCTTCGTGTGTCGCTCTCACCCAGGCTGGAGTTCAGTGCGATCCCAGCTCACTGCAACCTCCGTCTCCTGGGTTCAAGTGATTCTCCTGCCTCATCCTCTGGAGTAGCTGGGATGACAGGTGCCTGCCACCACGCCCAGCTATTTTTTTGTATTTTTAGTAGAGACAGGGTTTCACCATGTTGGCCAGGCTGGTCTCGAAATCCTGACCTTAGGTGATCTGCTGCCTGCCTTGGCCTCCCAAAGTGCTAGGATTACAGGTGTGAGCCAACATGCCCAGCCTTTTTTGTTTTTTGAGAAAGGGTCTCACTCTGTCAGACAGGCTGGAATGCAGTGGCATGTTCAGGACTCACTATAGCCTCAACCTCCCAAGCTCAAGTGATCCTCCTGCCTCAGCCCCTAAAGTAGCTGGGACTACAGGCATGTGCCAACACACCCAGCTAGTTGTTATTTGCTGTTGTTGTTGTTTTAATTTTAGTAGAGACAAGGTCTCACTGTGTTTCCCAGGCTGGCCTCGAACTCCTGAGCTCAAGTGATCTTCCCGCCTCAGCCTCCCAAAGTGCTGGGGTTACAGGTGTGAGCCACCACATCTGGCCTTACAGCCTTCTTCTGTGTGTTTATGTGCATATATGTAGCCATAGGGAAAAAAATCAAAATCCTTTGGTGTTCTTTCTTATTTTTTCAAATATTTCACCTGCCCCATTCTCTTTCCTTTCTCCTTCTAGTACTCCCATTGCATGCAAGTTAGACCTTTTTTTTTCTTTTTTTTTCTTTTTTTTGAGACGGAGTCTCGCCTGAGCTGGAGCACAGTGGTGCGATCTCAGATCTCGGCTCACTCCAGCCTCTGCCTCCCAGGTTCACATGATTCTCCTGCCTCAGCCTCCCGAGTAGCTGGGATTACAGGCATGTGCCACCACGCCTGGCCAATTTTTGTATTTTTATTAGAGAGAGGGTTTCATCATGTTGGCCAGGCTGGTTTCAAACTCCTGGACCCAAGTGATCCGCCCAATTCAGCCTCCTAAAGTGCTGGGATTACAGGCGGGAGCCACTGTGCCCAGCCATAAGTTAGATCTTTTGATATCATCCAGAAAATACCAAGGCTCTATACAGTTTCTAAATTGAGGTAAAATATATGTAATATAAAATTAACCATTTTAAACATGTTTAAGTGTGCAACTTAGTAGTATTCAGTACATTCAAAGTGTTGTGCAACCATTACCACTATCCATTTTTACTTAAACTTTTTTCTTCTCTGTTCTTCAGTTTGGATATTTGCTATCAATCTGTCTTTAAATTTGTTAGCACTTTCTTTTATCATCTCCAATGCGCTATCAAGCCCAAACAGTGAATTTTTAAATTTCAGATTGTGTATATTTTTAAGTTTTATAATTTCCATTTGTTTTTTGTTTTGTTTGTTTGTTTGTTTTTGAGACAGGGTCTCACTCTGTTGCCCAGGCTGGAATGCAGTGGTGCAATCACAGCTCACTGCAGCCTCAACCTCTTGGGCTCAAGTGATCCTCTTGCCTCAGCCCCCCAAGTAGCTGGGACTACAGGCTTATGCCACCACGCTCAGCTAATTTTTGTATTTTTTGTAGAGACGGTGTTTCACCATGTTGCCCAGCTGCTCTTGAACCCCTGAACTCTAGTGATCCACCCACCTTGGCGTCTCAAAGTGCTGGGATTACAGACATAATAGCTGCCTCAAACACCTTTCTGCTAATTCCAACATCTGGGTCACCTCAGAGCCAGTCTCCTTTAACTTCCTTCTTTCCTGAGCATGGGCCATGTTTTCCAATTTTGTGAGATGTCAAGAAATTTTGGATTGAGTGCTGGATATTGTGGAAGATATGTTGTAGAGTCTCTGGATTCTGTTATGTTCCTTTGAAGAGCAATGATTTTTTAAAATTTAACTATTTTTTTATCAGGCAGTTAACCTGGCTGGACTCAGACTCCAAAGTCTGTTTCTCCTGTGGTGGGTAGCAGATGAAATCTTGGCCTAGTTCTGTTAGCCTCAGCAAGGCTAGTTGGAATACGTTCAATATCCATGGGCTAAGAGTCAGCAAGAGATGTACACAGACTTTTAATGTAGAATATGGGGCTTTCCATCTCTGGCTCTTTTCTTTTCTTTTTCTTTTTTGAGATGGAGTCTTGCTCTGTCGCCCAGGCTGGAGTGCAGTGGTGTGATCTCGGTTCACTGCAAGCTCCACCTCCTGGGTTCACACCATTCTCCTGCCTCAGCCTCCCGAGTAGCTGGGATTACAGATGCCCGCCACCATGCCCGGCTAATTTTCTTTTTGTATTTTTAGTAAAGACAGGGTTTCATCGTGTTAGCCAGGATGGTCTCGATTTCCTGACCTCGTGATCCGCCTGCCTTGGCCTCCCAAAGTTCTGGGATTACAAGCATGAGGCACTGTGCCCAGCATTTTTTTTTTTTTTTTTTTTTTAGAGACAGTCTCCCAGGCTGGAGTGCAGTGGTGCAATCATAGCTTCTGGGCTCAAAGGATCCTCCCACCTCAGCCTCCTGAGTAGCTGGGACTACAGGCATGTACCACCTCACCCAGCTTTTTCTTTTTTTTTTTTGGTAGAGACAGGGTCTCACTATCTTGCCAAAGCTGGTCTCAAACTCCTAGCCTCAAGTAATCCTCCCACCTCAGCCTCCCGAAGCAGTGGAATTATAGGCATGAGTTACGACACCCGGCCCTATCCTCTTAATCTTTAAGCCAGTTTTTATCTCCAATGAATAGCAATAAAAATGAGAAATTCACCCAGTGCCATTTCTTTCTTCCATTTATAGATTCCCTTCCGATTGCTACTTGTTTTTCCTCTTTAGAGTGATACTGTCCAGTAGAATTTTATTTCTTTTTTCTTTTCTTTTTTTTAAGACAGAATCTTGCTCTGTCACCCAGGCTGGAATACAGTGGTGCAATCTCGGCTCGCTGCAACCTCTGCCTTCCAGGTTTAAGCGATTCTCCTGCCTCAGCCTCCCTAGTAGCTGGGATTACAGGCACGTGCCACCACACCCGGCAATTTTTTTGTATTTTTAGTAGAGACGGGGTTTCTCCATGTTGGTCAGGCTGATCTCGAACTCCCGACCTCAGATGATCTGCCCACCTCGGCCTCCCAAAGTGCTGGGATTATAGGCATGAGCCACTGTGCCCGGCCTAGAATTTTCTACAATGATGGAAATGTTCCATATCTGAATTCTGCAAAGTGGTAGCCACTGGCTACATGTGGCTATTGAGTATACAAATGTTGTTAGTGCAACATATTTATTAAAACCTTTTTATTTAAACCTTTTTTTTTTTTTTTGAGACACGGTCTCACCCTGTTGCCCAGGTTAGAGTGCTGGTGGTGTGATCACAGCTCCCTGCAGCCTAGATCTCCCAGGCTTGTCATCCTTCCACCTCAGCCTCCTAGAGAGTAGCTAGGACTACAGGGAGACACCACCATGCCTCGCTGATTTTTTTTTTTTTTTTTTTTTTTTTTGAAGTGGAGGTGAGGTTTCACTATGTTGTCCAGGCTGGTCTTAAACTCCTAGGCTTGAGTGATCCTCCCGCCTTGACTTCCCAAAGTGCTGGGGTTACAGACATAAGCCACTGCAGCCAGCCTGAATCTTTTTATTTTATTTTTTTTAAGAGATGAGGGTCTCTCTATGTTGTCCAGCCTGGTCTCAAATTCCTGGCCTCAAGCAATCCTCCAACTTCAGCCTGGGATTACAGGCAAAAGCCACCACACTCGGCTAATTTTTTTTTGGGGGGCGGAGTCTTGCTCTGTCACCCAGGCTGGAGTGCAGTGCTGTGATCTTAGCTCACTGCAACTTCCGCCTCCCAGGTTCAAGCGATTCTCCTGCCTCAGCCTCCCGAGTAGCTGGGATCACAGGCACGTACCACCACACCCAGCTAATTTTTTGTATTTTTAGTAGAGACGGGGTTTCACCATGTTGGCCAGGCTGGTCTCAAACTCCTGACCTCAGGTGATCCGCCTGCCTCGGCCTCCCAGAGTGCTGGGATTACAGGTGTGAGCCACCGTGCCTGGCCCAGGTAGTTGTTTTTTTATATTTAGCTCAGTGTTTATCATTGTTATCTATGAAAGAGCTGGCCTGATGTGGCTGACTTCACCATTACCAGAAGGAGAATTCTTGTGGTTTTCCATTGTATAAATTATCAGGCCATTAGTGTCTCTCTGTACTTTGCTTTTATTTTTTTTAACTCCATAATCCTCCCAAGCCATTGAACATAGCTCTTCCTCCACCCCATACCTCCTTTAGTAATTTTTAAAATTAAAAAATTTTTTAATTGTGGGGCCGGGCGCGGTGGCTCACGTCTGTAATCCCAGCACTTTGGGAGGCCATAGCAGGTGGATCGCTTGATTCCAAGAGTTTGAGACCAACCCGGGTGACATGGCGAAATCCTGTCTCTACAAACAAACAAAAACACAAAAATTAGCTGGGCATGGTGGCACACGCCTGTAGTCCCAGCTGCTCAGGAGGCTGAAGTGGGAGGACCACTTGAGCCTGGGTGGTGAAGGTTGCAGTTAGATAGCACCACTGCACTCCAGCCTGAGCAACAGAGACCTCGTCTCAAAATAAGAGAGTCGGCTGGGCGTGGTGGCTCACGCCTGTAATCCCAGCACTTTGGGAGGCCGAGGCGGGCGGATCACGAGGTCAGGAGATCGAGACCATCCTGGCTAACACGGTGAAACCCCGTCTCTACTAAAAATACAAAAAATTAGCCGGGCATGGTGGCAGGTGCCTGTAGTCCCAGCTACTCGGGAGGCTGAGGCAGGAGAATGGCGTGAACCCAGGAGGCAGAGCTTGCAGTGAACTGAGATTGCGCCACTGCACTCCAGCCTGGGCGACAGAGTGAGACTCCATCTCAAAAAAATAAATAAGACAGTCTCCCTCTGTCTCCAAGGTTGGAGTACAGTAGTGCAGTCATAGCTCACTGCAGCCTCCAACGCCTGGGCTCATGCAGTCCTCCCGAGTAGCTGCACCACAGGCATGAGCCACAGCCCCCAGCTTCCAGAACCTTTTTGTTTTCCAAAACTGAAATGCTGTACTTTACCCATTCAATTTTAACTCCCCATTTCCCTTCCCCTGGCACCCACCATTCTATTTTTTTTTTTTTTTTTTTTTTTTTTTTGGAGACAGAGTCTTGCTCTATCCCCCAGGCAGGAGTGCAGTGGCTTGATCTAAACTCACTGCAACTTCTGCTTCCCGGGTTCAAGCAATTCTCCTGCCTTAGCCTCTCAAGTAGCTAGGATTACAGGCACGCATCACTATGCCCAGCTAATTTTTGCATTTTTAGTAGAGGTGGGGTTTCACCTTGTTAGCCAGGCTGGTCTCGAACTCCTGACCTCAGGTGATCCACCTGCCTCGGCTTCTCATAGTGCTGGGATTACAGGCATGAGCCACCACGCCCGGCCCCATTCTACTTTCTGTCACTATGAATGGGACTATTCTAGAGACCTCATATAAGTGGAATCATACAGGATTTGTCCTCTTGTGACAGGTTTATTTCATTCAGCATAACGTCCTCAAGATTTATCCATATTGTATCTTTCTCTTTTTCTTTCTTTCTTTCTTTTTTTTTTTTTTCAGACAGAGTTTCACTCTTGTTGCCCAGACTGGAGTGCAATGGCAGGATCTCGGCTCACTGCAACCTCTGCCTCCTGGGTTCAAGCAATTCTCCTGACTCAGCCTCCCGAGTAGCTGGGATTACAGGCACACACCACCATGCCTGGCTAATTTTTGTATTTTTAGTAGAAACGGGGTTTCACCATGTTGGCCAAGATGGTCTTGATCTCCTGACCTCGTGATCTGCCCCCCTCAGCCTCCCAAAGTGCTGGGATTACAGGCGTGAACGACCGCACCTGGCATAATAGGGACGAGGTTTCACTATGTTGGTCAGGCTAGTCTCAAACTCCTGACCTCAGGTGATCCACCTGCCTCGGCCTTCCAATGTGCTGGGATTACAGGGCCATCTTTTTGCTTTTTTTTCCCCATTTGCTGTTTTAAAACTTCTAGTTCAGGCCGGGCATGGTGGCTAATGCCTATAATCCCAGCACTTTGGGAGGCCGAGGGAGGTGGATCTCCTGAGGTCAGGAGTTCGAGACCAGCCTGGCCATCATAGGGAAACCCTGTCAAAAAATAAATAAAAAATACAACTTCTAGTTCAGGCTGGGTGTGGTGGCTCATGCCTATAATCCCAGCACTTTGGGATGCCGAGGTGGGAGGATTGCTTGAACCTAGGAGTTTGAGACTAGCCCAGGCAACATAGTGAGACCCTCCCCCCAATCTCTATAAAGAATTTTAAAATTAGGCAGGCTGGTGGCATGTGTCTGTGGTTCCAGCTACTCAGGAGGCTGAGGTGGGAGGATCACCTGAGCCCCAGGTGGGTTGAGGCTGCAATGAGCTGTGATCGTGCCACTGTAGTCCAGCCTGGGTAACAAGAGCAAGACCCTATCCCAAAACAAAAACAAAACAGGCCGGGCGCGGTGGCTCACGCCTGTAATCCCAGCACTTTGGGAAGCCGAGGCGGGCAGATCACGAGGTCAGGAGATCAAGACCATCCTGGCTAACACGGTGAAACCCCGTCTCTACCAAAAATACAAAAAAATTAGCTGGGCATGGTGGCGGGCACCTGTAGTCCCAGCTACTCCGGGGGCTGAGGCAGGAGAATGGGGTAAACCGGGAGGCGGAGCTTGCAGTGAGCCGAGATCGCGCCACTGCACTCCGGCCTGGGTGACAGAGTGAGACTCTGTCTCAAAACAAACAAAAAAATGCCTTCTAGTTGAAAAGGTTTTACATGTCCTATTTCATGACTTGTCATTTGGTGTACCAGAGTTTTGTTAGTTCAAATCGAGAAAGACGTTTCCTAACATGACATATGCGTTAGTAAGGTTTTCTTTGGAGGGGGAACTCTGTATATGCTAGGTGTTTCTTAAACTTTCCCAAGAGTTTGGGTCAAATTTCTGCTTATGGCTGGGCGTGGTGGTTCATGCCTGCAATCCCAGCACTTTGGGAGGCCAAGGCAAGAGGAACGCTTGAGCCCAGCCTGGGCAACATGGTGAAATCCCATCTCTACAAAAAAGTACAAAAATTAGCTGGGTGTGGTGGCACCCGCCTGTAGTCCTAGCTACTTGGGATGCTGAGGTGGGAGGATCACTTAGGCCCAAGACGCAGAGGTAGCAATGAGCCGTGATCTCGCCACGGCACTCTAGCCTGAGCAACAGAACCAGGCCCTGTCTTCTAAAAAAAAAAAAAAAAAAAAAGAAAGAAAGAAAAAACAGGGCTGGGCGTGGTGGCTCATGCCTGTAATCCCAGCACTTTGGGAGGCTAAGGCAGATGGATCACTTGAGGCCAGGAGTTTGAGACCAGCCTGGCCAACATGGCGAAACCCCATCTCTACTAAAAATACAAAAATTAGCCAGGCATCGTGGCATGGACCTATAATTCCAGCTACTCAGTGTGGCTGAGGCAGTAGAATCGCTTGAACCAGAGAGGTAGAGGTTGCAGTGAACTGAGATCAGGCCACTGCACTCCAGCCTGGGCAACAGAGCGAGACTCTGTCTCAAAAAAAAAAAAAAAAAAAAAAAAACGAAAAGGAGAAAAGAAAGAAATCTGTTTATTTCTTAGCTTGCAAGTCACCTTGCTGTTAGTTCTCTCACAGTTATCTGCCCCAGGAACACAGAGACGATTATAGATAAAGATCCTGTTACCTTGGACCTGGTAAAGGCTGCTGGACTAGGTGTAGCTCACTCAGCCTCCAGCTTTCTGTTCATTATCTTGATTGAGGGGGTGATTTCATGGGTGTGTACATATGTCAAAATGTGTTGGAACTGCTGGGTGCCGTGGCTCATGCCTGTACTCTCAGCACTTTGGGAGGCGGAGGCGGGCAGACCACCTGAGGTCAGGATTTCAAGACCAGCCTGGCCAACATTGTGAAACCCCATTTCCACTAAAAACACAAAAAAAGTTAGCCACGCATGGTGGTGGATGCCTGTGATCCCAGCTACTTGGGAGGCTGCGGCAAGAGGATCACTTGAACCCAGGAAGTAGAGGTTGCAGTGAGCCAAGATCATTCCACTGCACTCCAGCCTGGGCATAGAGACTGCATCTCAAAAAAACAGAAAAAAGTAGGCCAGGCATGGTGGCTTATGCCTGTAATCCCAGCACTTTGGGAGGCTGAGGTGGGTGGATCACAAGGTCAGGAGATTGAGACCATCCTGGCTAACATGGTGAAACCCCAACTCTACTAAAAATACAAAAAAATTAGCCGGGCGTGGTGGTGGGCGCCTGTAGTCCCAGCTACTCAGGAGGCTGAGGCAGGAGAATGGCGTGAACCCGGGAGGTGGAGCTTGCAGTGAGCCGAGATTGCGCCACTGCACACCAGCCTGGGCGACAGAGCGAGACTCCGTGTCAAAACAAAACAAAAAAAAGTGTTGGATCTCACACTTTAAACACGTACAGCTTCTTGCCTGTTGATTATACCTCCGTAATGCTGTTTTTATTTTTATTTTTTTACCATTAATAGCCCAAGTGGGCCCCCTCACACTCCCACGTGTATACTTAATCCTGTCTCTGTGCGAGTAACAATCAGATGGTAATCCCCCCCCACAATCCCTGCTCCACTACTCCACCTCTGGGGCTGGGGACTGCTCATTTTTTCCCTCCAACCCCCCAGAGACCAGATCCTCTCTCCTCCCTCACGGACCTCCCCACTTTACTCTGGGATGCTGGGGGCCCCTGGAGATCTCACCCTGGCCTGACCATCACTAACTGGGGAGAGACTTAGAGGCAGACTTGAATACTCCAACCTCCAGGGAGCCAGGGCTGGCTCAGAAGAAAGGTCTAGGGGCAGGGAGGGGTATTGGCTGGGGAGGGGACTCTGCCTAGCATAGGAAGAGCAGGGGAGGCCTCTTAAATAGGGATTTTAATCTGATCCAGGACTTGAAAGGCAAGTGGGAACTGGCCCAGGGAAGAGGGCGGAGGCATGTTGGAAAAAGGGCACTGATGCAGAGGCCTGGAGGCTTGGGGCTGGTCTTGGGAATCATACCATCTGGATGGCATGGGGCTGAGGTAACCAGAGCTTGAATAGAACTGCAGAAGAGACAGATGATTCCAGAAGGGTAAGGAGGTGGAGGCCCCTCTTTACTTCCTTCCCACAGCAGGCACCAGGCCAGAGTTGGGTGGGCACCTGCTGGGGGATCCTCATGGTCCAGTATTGGTTGTAGGTTTTGAGGGGGCTGACAGGAGAGGTGGTTGCCAGGGAATGGTTCCAAGAAGATGCAATAGGGGAGGAGGCTGGGGATACCCAGGGGACATGGCCCAGCTTACGGAGGCTCCTGAGCTTCCAGGGGCATAGACATTAAGAAATTGCACGCTGAGCCCGAGTGTGGTGGCTTGTGTCGGTAATCCTAGCACTTTGGGAAGCCATAGTGGGAGAATGGCTCAAGACCAGGAGTGCAAGACCAGCCTGGGCAACATACCAAGACCCTATCTCTACAAAAAAATAACAAAAATTAGCTGGGTGTGGTGGCATGCTCCTGTAGTCCCAGCTGCTTGGAAGGCTGAGGCGGGAGGATCACTTAAGTCCAAGAGTTCAAGGCTGTAGTGAGCTGCAATGGTGCCACTGCACTCCAGTCTGGGCAACAGAATGAGACCCCATCTCTTTAAGAAAGAAAAATTGTGGCCAGGTGTGGTGGCTCACACCTGTAATCCCAGCACTTTGGGAGGCTGAGGCAGGTGGATCACCTGAGGTCAAGAGTTCGAAACCAGCCTGGCCAGCATGGTGAAACTCCGTCTCTACTAAAATAAAAATTACCCGGGCATGATGGCAAACACCTGTCATCCTAGTTATTCAGGTGGGTGAGGCAAAAGAATTGCTTGAACCCGGGAGGCAGAGGTTGCAGTGAGCCGAGATCGCGCCACTGTACTCCAGCCTGGGCAACAAGAGCAAAACTCCGTCTCAAAAAAAAAAAAGAAAAAGAAAAAAGAAAAATTGCATGATTAGCTTCTAGTACCCCGAAAGCTTAGAGGGCAAGTAGAAGGAGGAGCTTGCTTTTTGGGGAAACTTTAATCAGCAGAGGTAGGCCTGGGGAGGCCTCCGCAGGACCGTATGAACCCTGAGCCCACTGTGGGAGCAGAGCAGCCCCCTCCTCACCCAAGGAAGCTTCTATCCTTGACTGTCCCCCTTGCTGACTGAGTGACCTGTGATCTGTCTCTAGTCATTTCTTGCTTTGAGCCTTGGGCTTCCCAGTTCCCACGTTTCCTTTATGGGAATGTTTATGGAGATCAAGCCAACCATGCCTGTTAAGGGTGGGTTATTTTTCTAGAGAGTTTGACCACCTGAGCTAACATCCTTGCACCCTCCCACCTGTCCATCTGTCTATTCTACTCATTCATCCATGTAGCAAACATTTATGTGGCATCTAATGTGTCCAGCCCTGTCTGAGGCTCTGAGGATACAGCAGTGACTCAAACAACATTCTTTTCTTTCATGAAACTTATGCCTTGGGGTGAAGAAGACACCCCAATGAAACAGATCAACTGGGACAAGAGGGTTGAAGGAACTACACAGGATCAGGAGACAGAATAATATGGTGGCCTCTTTGGTGGTAGTCTGAGAAGTCTTCTTGGAGGAGGTGACATTTGAGCTGAAATAAGAATGATAACACAGTCAGACATGTATGTGACTGTCTGGGGTGCAAACATGGTACAAGTGAGCTTGGTGAGTTGGAAGCCCAGCAAGCAGCAGTTGCTATGGATTAAGCTGGGGAGGCAGAGGTGGGGAGGCAGCAGGGCCAGAATGTAGAGGGCAGGAATGTGTGCAGAAATAAGGGGCTCAGGTAAGGCGGAACCTTGAACTTGGGGTCCACCTTGGGGTCTTTGGGGGGAGTGGTACCTCAACCGGCAGCATCTCTGGTCACTAACACCCTGTGGGACCTCTGCTCAGAGAGGCTCAGAGTGGAAGAGACAGGTCCGTCTGGAAGGGACAGCCAGGACCCGGTGCAGAGGCAGGCTGTGGTTATCTGCAAACAGCCCCCTTCCTTCCAGCATGTCACGTGCTCCCGCCTGAGCCTCTGGCCGCAGGAATCAGGTGACCCCAGGCAGCGGGCCAGGCTGCAGGGGCGGGTGAGTGAGTCAATGTATGCAAGTGTGTGTGTGTGTGTGTGTGTGTGTGTGTTTTCATCTCTGGGAGGCCCAGACATCTGGGGTCTGAATTAATTGCCTTTTTCACAACCATGGACAAGTCCTGTATTTCCAGCTAGATTGAAAGCAAAACAAAACAAACCTATGTGCATAGCTCTGATCTGCTGAGCAGTGCCAGGGTCCTTGGGGGTTCGGGGAAGCCGTGGGAACCAGTCCTTCTCACTCAGACCCCTGAAGAGGGGCAGGGATCCTCTACTCATGCCCCCTAACCCACCTCCCGTGTCAGTACAAAGCCCCATTCTCTCTCTTTCCCCCAATCTGGGGCTATTTTTAGCCACTAAGAAGGATTATCAGTTTGGTTCCCAGGTGGCAGGGGCCAAGCTGGGAGTGGGGCCAGGGAGGCTTCAAACAGCAGCCAGGCTTGGGGGCGGGTGGGGTGAGGGGAGAAGAGGCTGGTCACACTGGCCCTGCCACCCACGCGGTGGCTCTGCAGATGACCCTGAAGCTGCTGTCGTCCAGCCCAGCCCAAACACTTCAGCTGCAGCTTTAAGGGAAGGTGGCAGGGGCAAGGAAAGCTTCCAGCAGCCTTAGGCACCTCAGATGCTGGAAACCGTCCTAAGGGCTTGGAAGAACCATCTAGAAGCCTCCATAGGCCAGCACCCCTTCTTTCCAGACCACTCCCCATCCTGCCCCCACCTCCTGTCTAGCAGTAACTATCACAGTCTAAGCTGTTTTTTGGGGGGTTTTTTTCCGAAACAGGATCTGCTCCGTCACCCAGGCTGGAGTGCAGTGGTGTGATCACAGCTCACTGCAGCCTCAAACTCCTGGGCTCAACCAGTCCTCTCACCTCAGCCTCCTGAGTAGCCGGGATTACAGGTGTGTGTCACTATGCCCACCTAATTTTTAAATTTTTTTGTCTTGCTATGTTGCCCTGGCTGGTCTCGAACTCCTGACCTTAAGCAATCCTCCCACTTCGGCCTCTCAAAGTGCTGGGTGTGAGCCACTGCACTCGGTCCTCTAAATTTTACTAGGTGCTCACTCCACCTCAGGTGCCATTCCGAACCACTCCATGTGGAAGAGGGGCTATTGTTTGTTCCATTTTACAGATAAAACTGAGGCACAGATAGGCCACGTTCCATGCCTGGTAAACGGGTGAGGCAGGAATCAGGAATCAGATCCGTTGTGATATCAGCATGGAGTGTTTATAAACTGCCCGCCTGCCCTGAGCCTCACAATAGCCTGGTAGAACAAGGAGGGAATCTAGCTGTACCCATTTTTCAGATGGGACAACTGAGGCCCAGGAAGACAGAGGATGACAGGGAACAAACAGAAGAACTGGATCCAAAAGAGAAAAGCTAGAAATTGAGGAACACATCCCTCAGCCTCATTTCCTCCCTTCCCTCAGGAGAAGTTGAGCCTTGCTGGCCTGAGGTGCCTGGTTATAGCCATGCCTGAGCCCCTCCCATATGCCAGACTCTGCCTCAATGCCCCAGGTGCAAGGTCTCTGAGCTGCTTAACCACCCTTCAGGGAGGGCACCTGTCCCACCAACAGGTGACGAAATTGAGGCTCCCAGGGCTTTGAAGCATTGCAGCTAGGACTCCAGCCAGTCTGCTGGGCTCCAGACCCTGTTCTTTTCTCAAACCACAGCATCTTTTATTTATGCTTTAAGAGGGAGAAGAGGGAAGGGACGAGACAGAGACAGGTTGGTGAGGTTAGTGAGAGAGTAGGACCTCTGGGGCCAGACCTCTGCAATCAGGGCATATCAGTCTGAAGCCTCCTTGGAGAGCTCCCTGGTTTAGAAAGTGCATCTGTTCCCCTTTCTGTGCCACTCAGGAAGCAATGGGCATGATTCAGCAGAGGAGAGGAGAGTTTAGAACTGGTTATGCTTCCTTCTCCAACCCTCCCTGCAAAAACACTGGCCAGCTCCTGACATCACAGTAAGACAGGGTTGCGGGAGGGTGCTTTAACAGGATCCAAAGCAGGGCAATTGGGCTGCTTTCAGGAGGAGGTGACAACTGAGCTGGGTTTTGAAGGATGCATAGGAGTTTGCCAAACAGAGAAAGAAAGCGTTTAAGCTCTTCAGGGCAGAGATGTTGCTTGTTTTCCCCACCATTTTGTGTCTTCAGCACCCAAATACTAAATGAGCATTCTAGGCAGAGGCCAGTATTTGTAAAGGCTAGGATGTGTGAAACGATATGGTCTGGTGGGAGCAGAGTATCAGTCAGTAAACTGGTGGGCATTGAAGCTGGGCACATCAGCAGAGGCAAGGCTTGAGATTGTGAGAAGCCATTGCTCCTGTGGTTCTCCCTCATCCCCTACACTCATCATGACTTGAATGTACCAAGGTGTGCAAGGATGCATCCAAGACCCTTGGGTGAGGGGAAAACATGGAGCTGGGGGTCTGGATGCCTGGGCCTTCCTAGGACACCTAGTCCCCTTCCATCTGCACCTTGGGGTCTGTCAGAAAGGTAGCAGGGTCTCTGAGAAAGCTGCACCAGTGACTCAGAAGGCTGAGGTGGGAGGATGGCTTGAACCCAGGAGTTTGAGGCTGCAGTGAGCTATGATCAGGCCAGTGCACTCCAGTCTGGGTGACAAAGTGAGACCCTGTCTCTAAAAAAAAAAAAAAAAAAAAAAAAAAAAATAGGGGATTGCAGATACCCTGCAGTGGTCATGGCTTTGGCTGTGAGAGCTGAGTACAGTTGGGACCAAGAGTGCCAAGCTGGCCATGTGTCCTTGAGCCCCCACGGGCACACGGGATCAAGCCAACCTTGTCTGCTAGTGAAGATGATTTCTTTTTCTTGAGAAATCAACCACCTGGGCTGAAGTCCCCACATCCACCCAGCTGTTCATGTGTCTACTCTGTCTGGGATGCCTGGGCCTCGTTGTAGGTCTAGACTAGCTGCTATCCCACACCCTTGACTGCTTGTTGGGTCACTGACTTCTAGTGCCCCTCCCCAACCAGAGTATCCAATGCTAGCAACAGCTTCTAATACTTCACTGATGCCTAAATGTCAGTTGCCCCATAGCATGGTACTTAGCCTGCCCCTTCATGTGCAGTCTCTTCCTTTTTTTTTTTTTTCCCCCAAAACAGGGTCTTGTTGACCCCTTGCTGATAGATAGAGGATTCCATCCATCTTCATGGATTTCAACAGCAGCCACTCACTGACAAGTCCTACCCAGGCCCCACCCACCCCAAGCCTGTGCCCCAAACCTGAGTAGCTCCTGCCTCCTCCACACGCCCACGGGAACATTTTAGCTGCCCTCCCCCACACCCACAATTTGTGTTGTCTGACACTTAGCCTGACTCCTGTCCTGAAATCAGCTCATCCATTCTGGTTCATCCAGTTCTTCAGACTGGAAGGCTGACAGCTTCAGTGGCCAAGTGGGGTGAGGCTGAAGATGGAATTAAGGTTGTTAATCAGCTGAGCTTGAGATGGGAGATCATCTGGGTGAACCCAGTGTCATCACAAGGGTCTTAAAATGAAGAAGACGGAGGCAGGAGAGACACTGTCAGAATGACAAGGTGGGAGAAAGACCCAACTAGCCACTGCTGGCTCTGAAGATGGAGGAAGGGACCAGGAGCTGGAGGGTGCAGGCAGCCTCTAAAGCCAGAAAAGGCAGGAAATGGCTGGGTGTGGTGGCTGGAGCCTGTAGTCCCAGCTACTCGGGAGGCTGAGGCAGGAAGATGGCTTGAGCCCAGGAGATCGAGGCTGCAGTGAGCTATGATTGCACCGCTGCATTCCAGCCTGGAAGACAGAGTGAGAGATTGCCTCCCTGCAGAAAATGTAGTCTCTTAGCAATTTTCCAGTATATACTATATTATTAACTAAAATCATCATGATGTACAGATCTCTTGGACTTACTACTGCTGCTAACTGAAATGTCATATCCTTTGACCAATATCTTGCCAATTTCCTCTCCCAACCCTTCTCTTTTCTGGCTCCACTTTGGAAAGCATTTGGCTCTTGGGGGGCCCCACCTCTAAAATGTCTCTGGAATCCCCTTATCTCTACCTTATCTCAACTGGACATGCCAGAGCACCCTCTTCTGGCCTCCAAAATGCTACGCCCTGCATGGCAACCAACACCTGAGAATCCCTGCATTATTCAAAATAGAACCAAGGGCAACGGAACCCTCACATTCTCCTGCTGGGAGTGTAAGATGGTGCAGTCCTGCCTTGGAAAGCAGTTTGCCCACCTTGGCCTCCCAAAGTGCTGGGATTACAGGGGTGAGCCACCACCCCCGGCTGCCCCCTAGGCTGGTCTTGAACTCTTGGCTTTGGCCAGGCGCGGTGGCTCTCACCTGTAATCCCAGCACTTTCGGAGGCCAAGACAGGTGGATCACGAGGTCAGGAGATCTAGACCATCCTGGCTAACATGGTGAAACCCTGTCTCTACTAAAAATACAAAAAATTAGCCGGGCGTAGTGGCGGGCACCTGTAGTCCCAGCTACTCGGGAGGCTGAGCTTGCAGTGAGCTGAGATCGTGCCACTGCACTCCAGGCTGGGCGACCGAGCGAGACTCCATCTCAAAAAAAAAAAAAAAAAAAAAAAACACTCTTGGCTTCAAGCAATTCTCCTGCCTCAGTCTCCCAACGTGCTGGAATTACAGGCATGAGCCACTGCACCTGGGTCTATTTTTTATTTTATTTATATATTTTTATTTTTTATTGATTTACTCTGTTTTTGGAGACAGGTATCACTCTGTCATTTAGGCTGAAGTGTGGTGGCATGATCACAGCTCATTGCAGCCCCAAACTCTTGGGCTTAAGCAATCCTCCTGCCTCTGCCTCACGAGTAGCTAGGATTATGGCCACATGCCACCTTGCCCGGCTAATTTTTGTATTTTTTGTAGAGACAGTTTCGCTATGTTGTCCAGGCTGGTCTCAAACCCCTGGGTTCAAGCAATCCTCCTGCCTCAGCCTCCTAAACACTGGGGTTATGGTATTTTTATTTTTATTTATTTTATTTATTTTTGAGATGAAGTCTCGCTCTCTCACCCAGGCTGGAGTGCAGTGGCACAATCTTGGCTCACTGCAGCCTCCGCCTCCCGGGTTCAAGCAATTCTCCTGCCTCAGCCTCCTGAGTAGCTGGGATTACAGGTGCCCACCACCACCCCTGGCTAATTTTTGTATTTTTAGTAGAGACGGGGTTTCACCGTGTTGGCCAGGCTGGTCTCAAACTCCTGATCGCAAGTGATCCACTCACCTTGGCCTCCCAAAGTGCTGGGATTACAGGCTTGAGCCACCATGCCCGGCCTATTTTTATTTTGTAACATGGCAAGGTTATCATGAAGAACTGACAAAACTAAGCTTTGATGACAAAAAAAAAAAAAAAAAAAAAAAAAGCTGGTGGGGGGCAGGGCAAGGTGGCTCATGCCTATAATCCCAGCAATTTGGGAGGCTGAGTGGGGAGGATTGCTTGAGCCCAGGAGGTCAAGTGTGCAGTGAGGTATGATGGCACCACTGCACTCCAGCCTGGGCCACAGAGTGAGACCCTGTCTAAACAACAACAACAACAAAAAAACAAAAAAACTGGAATGGTTGTTACTTTTGGATGACAGGACAGGGGTGGAGGTTGACTGGGAAGAGGTATGAGGGAAGTTTCTAGAGGAAATATTTGTGATAGGAGACTGGATTAGTCAGGTACATAGTTTTGTCCAAACTCAGTGACTGTACCCTTAAAGATGTGTGCGGGCCAGGCGCAGTGGCTCATGCCTGTAATCCCAACACTTCGGGAGGCCAAGGCGGGAGGATCGCTTGAGCCAGGGGTTTGAGACCAGCCTGGATAACATAGGGAGACCCTCTCTCTACACAAAAATTTAAAACATTAGCCAGTCATGGTGGTGTGTGCCTATGGTCCTGGCTCTGCGGGGGCTGACATGAAAAGACCACCCGAGCCCGGGAGGTCAAGGCTGCAGGGAGCCATGATCGCTGCATTCCAGCCTGGGTGACAGAGTGAGACCCTGTCTAAAAAAACAAAAAGTCTGCATTTCACTTGGGTAAATTTTACCTTGAAAGGAAAAACCCATAAGCAAATATTGAACCCTAGTTAATGATCTGTGTGCTGACATGTGTAGGGGCGATGTGGCCTGAGGTCAGCTGCCTACTTTGAAATGCATCGGGAACAAGCAGATAGACTGATGGTGGATAGAGGGATGGATGGGCAGAGGCAGATGGGTGATGGAATAAACAGAATGGAATGCAAAGGGGAGAATCTAGTGGTGGGAATACAGGTATTCACTGTAAAATTCTTTCAACTTTTGTGTAGGTTTGAAATGTTTATTATAAAACATTGGGGGAAGGCCGGGCGCGGTGGCTCATGCCTATAATCCCAGCACTTTGGGAGGCTGAGGCGGGCAGATCACTTGAGGTCAGGAGTTTGAGACCAGCCTGGCCAACATAACAAAACCCCATCTCTACTAAAAATATAAAAATTAGCCAGGCATGGTGGCGCATGCCTGTAATCCCAGCTACTCGGGAGACTGAGGCACGAGAATTGCTTGAACCCTCAAGGTGGAGGTTGCAGTGAGCTGAGATCGTGCCACGGTACTCCAGGCTGGGCGGCAGAGTGAGACTCCATCTCAAAATGTTGGGGGAAATAATCCAGATTCTTCCCTGCGGCCCCCATGCCTTGCAGGCTCTGTGCTGCCCCTCATCACCTCCCTGCCCTCCCCTCCTCCCTCTCTCCCCCTTGCTCACTGCACCAGCCACACGGACCTCCTCACTGTTGCTCCAACATCCCAGGCATGGTCCTGCCTCAGGGCCTTTGCACCTGCTGCGTATTTATCTAGAAAGCCCCTCCCCCAGCCCCACCTTCTTGTGTGAAAAACCCACAACCTTCTCATCTTTTTTTTTCTCATAGGGTCTTGCTCTGTCCCTCAGGCTGGAGTATAGTGGTGTGATCGTAGCTCCCTGCAGCCTCAAACTCCTGGGCTCAAGTCGTACTCCCACATCAGCTTCCTGAATAGCTAGAACTACAGATACGTGCCAGCACACCTGACTACTTTTTAAATTTTTTGTAGAGACAGGGTCTTGCTATGTTGCCCAGGCTGGTCTTGAACTCCTGAGCTCAAGTGATCCACCTGCCTCGGCCTCCCAAAGTGTTGGGATTACAGGCATGAACCACTTTGCCTGGCCTGACCTCCGCATCTTTTTTTTTTTTTTTTTTTAAGATGGAGTCTTGCTCTGTTGCCCAGTCTTGAGTGCAGTGGCATGATTTCAACTCACTGCAACCTCTGCCTCCCAGGTTCAAGTGATTCTCCTGCCTCAGCCTCTCAAGTAGCTGGGGTTACAGGCACATGCCACCACACCTGGCTGATTTTTGTATTTTTAGTAGAGATGAGGTTTCACCATGTGGGCCAGGCTGGTCTTGAACTCCTGACCTCAGATGATCCACCCGCTTCAGCCTCCCAAAGTGCTGGGATTACAGGTGTGAGCCACCGCACCTGGCCTGACGACCTCATCTTTAAGTCCCAGCTCAGGTGGCGCCTCCTTAGAGAGCCTCTCCTTGATCACATTTAAAATCACGCCACTCTGTTATCTACCCGGCCCGTTATACTTTGGCATCTCATTCATTTATGAATCTGTTTACTTGTTTATTGGCTGCCTTCTCTGTTGGTCTGTGAGCTGGGCAGGAATGTGTTGGCTTTATTCCCCTGCTGTGTCGCCAAGGCCCAGCCCTGACCTGACATGTACAAGTCAATTGGAGAATATCTCTTGCCTGGATGGATGGATGGACAGACAGACGGATAGATGCAACGACAGATGGATAAATGGATGGATGGAAGGGGAAATGGATAGATGGAAGAAAAGATGGACAGAAGGATGGGTGGGTGGAAGGACACACAAGTGAGTGATGGATGATGAGCGGATAGATGTTTAGATGGGTGGACAGATGGATGATGAATGGATGGATGATGGGTAGATGGACAGATTTTTGGATCAGTGGATGGATGATGGCTGGGTGGACAGATGTTTAGATGGGTGGACAGATGGATGATGGATGGATGGGTGAATGGGTAGGTGGATGGATGATGGGCAGGTGGACAGATGTTTGGATGAGTGGATGGATGATGGGTGGGTGGACAGATGGATGGATGAATGGATGGGGAGATGGATGAATGGGTGGGTAGATGGATGACAGATGGACGATAGGTGGATGGACAGGTGTTTGGATGGATGGATGGATGATGGGTGGATGGATGAATGGGTAGGTGGATAGATGATGTTTGTATGGGTTGATGGATGATGGGTGGGTGGACAGATCTTTGGATGGGTGGGTGGATGGATGGTGGGTGGGCAGATGTTTGGATGGGTGGACATATGGATGATGGGTAGATGGATGAGTGGATAGGTGGATGATGGATAATGGGTGGATGGACAGATGTTTTGATGAATTAACAGATGAATGATGGGTGGATGGACAGATGTTTGGATGGGTGGATGGATGGATGATGGGTAGATGAGTGGATAGGTGGATGATGAATAATGGGTGGATAGACAGATGTTTTGATGGGCGAACAGATGGATGATGGGTAGATGGATGATGAGTGGGTGGACAGATGTTTGGATGGGTGGATGGATGATGGGTGGGTGGACAGATGTTTGGATGGGTGGATGGACGATGGGTGGATGGATGATGGGTGGGTGGACAGATGTTTGGATGGGTGGATAGAGGGATGGATCGGTAGATAGATGGACAGGGGGATGCGTGGACAGACGAATGAACGAACAAACTTTCTGAGTGGGAACCACTGTGGTAGGCTGGACCCTTGGCTCAAGATCTCAGGGAAGGGAGCAGCTCTTTGGGCTCCTCAAGCAGGCTGGGACACGCTGGCCGGAGCTGCCCCACCTCGACCGCCACTCCATTATCAGGCAAGCTCAGTTATGCAGTAGGCTCTCTTACCCTCTTGCTTTGTGGGCTCTGGGATAGCAAGAGACCCCCCTGAAATTCCCACCTAGAGAGGAGCCTACCTTCCATAGATGGCCAGGAAAGGAACTCTGGATTTTTTTTTTTTTTTTTTTTTTGAGACAGAGTCTTGCTCTGTCACCCAGGCTGCAGTGCAGTGGCCTGATCTCTGCTCACTGCAACCTCCGCCTCCCGGGTTCAAGCAATTCTCTGCCTCAGCCTCCCGAGTAGCTGGGATTACAGGCGCACACCACCATGCCTGGCTAATTTTTGTATTTTTAGTAGAGACAGGGTTTCACCATGTTGGCCAGGCTGGTCTTGAATTCCTGACCTCGTGATCCACCTGCCTCGGCCTCCCAAAGTGCTGGGATTACAGGCAGTGAGCCACTGAGCCCGGCCTCTGGATTTCTTTAAATCCTTCATCTTTGGGGGCTGCTTCAGAGGCAGCTTCCTGCAGTGGAAAGAAACCTTCCTGGACGTTTGAGGACTCAAGTTCTTTTTTTTGAGACAGTTTTTCTCTGTTGCCCAGGCTGGAGTGCAGTGGCATGATCTCGGCTCACTGCAACCTCCTCCTCCCGGGTTCAAGCGATTCTCCTGCCTCAGCCTCCTGAGCAGGTGGGATTATAGGCGCCTGCCACCACGCCCGGCTAATTTTTGTATTTTTAGTAAAGATGGAGTTTTGCCATGTTGGCCAGGCTGGTCTCAAACTCCTGACCTGAAGTGATCTGCCCACCTCAGCCTCCCACAGTGTTGGGATTACAGGCATGAGCCATGGTGCCCGGCCACGACTCAAGTTTCTGACCCCAAGCAGCCACTCCCTTGACTTCTGGCTACCATCTTGGCATCAGTTAAGTGCAGAGTAATAACTACTATTTTGGGCTGTGTTATTATTACTCTTGTTAAAGATCAATCGGCCAAGCACTTTAGGTTGAGAAGCCTGGGTATTACTGTCTCTGTTTTTTTGTTTTGTTTTGTTTTGTTTTTGAGATGGAGTCTTGTTCTGTCACCCAGGCTGCAGTGCAGTGGCACGATCTCGGCTCACTGCAACCTCCGCCTCCCAGGTTCAAGTGATTCTCCTGCCTCAGACTCCTGAGTAGCTGGGATTACAGGCATGTGCCACCACGCCCAGCTCATTTTTGTATTTTTAGTAGAGACAGGGTTTCACCATGTTGGTCAGGCTGCTCTTGAACTCCTGGCCTCGTGATCCACCCACCTTGGCCTTCTAAAGTGCTGGGATTACAGGCGTGAGCAACTGCGCCCGGCCTACTACTCTGTTTTACAGATGAACTTGAGGTTCAGAGAGGTCAAGTCATTTGCCTGAGGACACACAGCCCAACTCTGCCTTTTAACACTGACCAGGCAATGGAGTGGGAGTGATGAGAATGAAGTGGTGGCTCTTCTGGGACCAGAGGACAGTTCCAAAGTCCCAGGCAAGGGGAGTTCCATCTTCCAGTCCTGCCTCCTGGTTGTCAACTGCGCTGATAGGGGCCCGAGTAGGAGTTCTGAGGCTCCAGCCTCTCAGGCCCCACTTGCCCCACCCATTCTGCTTGCAGACCTCCCAGCTAACTGGAACCTGTGTCCACAGAATGCTGTCCAGTTTCAACGAGTGGTTTTGGCAGGACAGGTTCTGGTTACCACCCAATGTCACGTGGACAGAGCTAGAAGACCGGGATGGCCGTGTCTACCCCCACCCCCAGGACTTGTTGGCAGCCCTGCCCCTGGCGCTGGTCCTCCTGGCCATGCGCCTTGCCTTTGAGAGGTGAGTGTCTGCCCTGCCGCAATCCATTGCCCCCGCAGTCGCTCCAGTATGTGCTCGTGCCCTGTGTGCAATTTGCCATTGCAGCATGTCCCGAGTAGAAGCTGGCTTTGCACCAAAGCGCGTTCCCTGGCTCCAGCCTGCCCCCAGCCGCCACCACCCACACTTCTGGCCTCTGATGGCTGGTTTATAGGAACACTGACTGCAGCTGGTTTATAGGAACACTGCACTGCCTGCAGCCTGCAGCTGGGTATGCCAGCATCTTCATAAAACAGGGATGGGAGGCCGGGCACGGTGGCTCACGCCTGTAATCCCAGCACTTTGAGAGGCTGAGGCGGGTGGATCACTTGAGGTCAAGAGTTCGAGACCAGCCTGGCCAACATGGTGAAACCCTGTCTCTGCTAAAAATACAAAAATTAGCTGGGCGCAAACCTGTAATCCCAACTACTCAGGAGGCTGAGGCAGGAGAATCGCCTGAACCTGGGAGGTGGAGGTTGCAGTGAGCCAAGATTGTGCCGCTGCACTCCAGCCTCGGCAACAGAGCAAGACTCCATAAAAAAAAAAAAATGTGAGCTGGGGTGTTATCCCATCCCAAAGGCATCCCAGGGCCTCTGTGAAGGACAGTGGGGTGGGCGGAGGGTTTTCCAGTTTCAAACGCAGGGGTTTTAGCCCTTAAAAAAAATTTTTTTTTGAATCTAGGCCAGACGTGGTAGCTGATTCCTGTAATGTCAGCAATTTGGGAGGCTGAGGTGGGTGGATCACTTGAGTCCAGGAGTTCGAGACCAGACTGCGCAACATGGTGAAACCTCATCTCTATTAAAAAAAAAAAAATACAAAAATTAGGCTGGGTGCAGTGGCTCATGCCTGTAATCCCAGCACTTTGGGAGGCCAAGGTGGGCGGATCATGATGTCAGGAGTTCAAGACCAGCCCGACAAACGTGGTGAAACCCTGTCTCTACTAAAAGTACAAAAAATTAGTTGGGTGTGGTGGCACATGCCTGTAGTCCCAGCTACTCAGGAGGTTGAGGCAGGAGAATTGCTTGAACCCAGGAGACAGAGGTTGCAGTGAGCTGAGATCATGCCAGTGCACTCCAGCCTGGGCAACAAGAGCAAAACTCCATCTAAAAAAAAAAAGAACAAAAGCCTCATCCCCACCAGTAGCTGGGACTGTAGGCATGCCACCATGGCTGGCTAACTTTTTTTTTTTTTTGAGACAGAGTCTTGCTCTTTCACCTTGGCTGGAGTACAGTGGCACAATCTCAGTTCACTACAACCTCTGCCTCCCAGGTTCAAGCGACTCTCCTATCTCAGCCTCACAAGTAACTGGGATTACAGGCATGTGCCACCACACCTGACTAATTTTTGTATTTTTAATAGAAACGGGGTTTTGCCATGTTGGCCAGACTAGTCTCAAACTCCTGACGTCAGGTGATCCACCCACCTTGGCCTCCCAAAGTGCTGGGATTACAGGCAAGTGACACCACAACCCAGCTAAATTTTGTATTTTTAGTAGAGACAAGGTCTCACCATGTTGCCCAGGTTGGTCTTGAACTCCTGAGTTCAAGCAATCCTCCCGCCCTCCACCTCCAAAATGAGACTTTAAGAGGCAGGAGGCAGGAACAAAAACCAGAATCCTGAGTTCAAATTTCAGGTCTTTCACCTGCTCACAGTGTCACCTTGGGCATGTCTCTGAGCCTCAGTTTACCCATTAGGACAATAGGAACTGAGTTAGGGTTAGACGAGCCAATGTATCACATGGACTTGGCCCCATGCTTAGCAGATAATAAGCGCTCATTCTCTCCGCATCATGATTTATTCTGCAATGAGTTCCTTGCTAGGCTGCTCTGAGCCTTTCACCAAATGAGGCAGGATGTTAGGAGGGATGGTGGATATAAAATTCGGTCCCCACCTGTGGTGTTGGCGCGCCCTCTTGTGGGCAACGTGGCCATTGACCAGGGTCCCTGATCTCCAAGCCTCTACCCCGGAATGGGGGATGCTGGGAGGAGGGGCTTGGAGCGGGAACAGCCCCAGCCCCTGCCCATGGGGAGCCCCTAGACTGGCGGGGGGTCAGACCAGGACCCAGGCCACAGTGAGACAGGCAGTGAAGAGACTCTTGTCCCTGGTTTGGGATTGGGCAAAGGTACCTGGGTACCCCAAGAGTTGGTCTGCACACCCTCACCCTACAGACAAAGGTCCAGCTGCCTTTTTTTTTTTTTTTTTTTTTTGGGGAGACAGAGTCTTGTTGCTCTGTCACCCAGGCTTGAGTGCAGTGGTGCGATCTCGACTCACTGCCAGCTCCGCCTCCTGGGTTCACACCATTCTCCTGCCTCAGCTCAGCCTCCCAAATAGCTGGGGCTACAGGGGCCCGCCACCTCGCCCGGCTAATTTTTTGTATTTTCAGTAGATGCAATCCTGGCTCACTGCAACCTCCACCTCCAGGTTCAAGCAATTCACCTGCCTCAACCTCCCGAGTAGCTGGGATTACAGGTGCACGCCACCACACCCAGATGATTTTGTATTTTCAGTAGAGACAGTGTTTCACCATATTGGTCAGGCTGGTCTCGAACTTCTGACCTCACGTGATCCGCCCACCTCAGCCCCAAAGTTCTGGGATAACAGGCATGAGTCAGCTGCCTTTCTTATGTTTGGTCTAACGCAGCAGCCAGGCCACCCCTCCAGGGCCCCAGGGGATGAGGCCAGGAATAAGTGGAAAATCGAGTCCTGCCCCACGAGCCTTTCTGACTCTGGGCCTCCAAACCCTCTGATCAGATGGAAAAGAAAGACCAAGTCTTAGGCCGGGCGCGGTGGCTCACCGCTGGTAATCCCAGCCCTCTGGGAGGCCGAGGTGGGCAGATCACGAGGTCAGGAGATCGAGACCATCCTGGCTAACACAGTGAAACCCCGTCTCTACTAAAAAATACAAAAAATTAGCCGGGCGTAGTGGCGGGCGCCTGCAGTCCCAGCTACTCGGGAGGCTGAGGCAGGAGAATGGCGTGAACCCGGGAGGCGGAGCTTGCAGTGAGCCAAGATCGCGCCACTGCACTCCAGCCTGGGTGACAGTGCAATACTCTGTCTCAAAAAAAAAAAAAAAAAAAAGTCTTACACACCCTGCCATGTGCCAGCTGTGCTCTCTGAGCCTGTAACTTTGCCCCTCCGAGACTTGGTTATCCCACCGGCAGCATGTCTGCCCCCACACACAGGCAGTCCCATCTCTTCACCTGGGCTGATAGGCTCTGTCTCCTTTGCACCCAGATTCATTGGCCTGCCCCTGAGCCGGTGGCTGGGTGTGAGGGATCAGACCAGGAGGCAAGTGAAGCCCAACGCCACGCTGGAGAAACACTTCCTCACGGAAGGGCACAGGCCCAAGGAGGTGAGAGCCCCCCATGCCCTCCGACCCGCACTACTGCCCTGGGGGTGGGGCGTGGGGATGGTGTGTGGCCCATTTGTTGGGGCAGGAGAAGCCAAGGTGGCTGCAGGCACCCCTGCAATGCCCCTACTTTCCACTCTTCATCCTCAATTCCCTGGGAAAGGGCTCTACCCCCCAGCCTCCCTGGGAAACGACGCCCCACCCCTCCCAGCATCCCTGGGACATGGAGCCCCACCCTTCCAGCCTCCCTGGGAGATGAGGACCCCCCCCTTCCCAGCCTCCTTGGGAGATGGGGCCCCTCCCCTCCCAGCCTCCCTGAGCCTTAGTGGGCACAGTTGCACAATGGACAGATTCTAGGAGAGTGAGAGTAGTTGCTTGCTCTCCTATCCTGGGGAGGAATGGAAGGTCTGAGCTGATAGGGAATGGAGTAACAGAAGCAGCCCTGTGACCCTCCCTCCATTCCCGTCTCTGGTGTGGCTGCCCGCTGGACAGGGTCTGTGCTGTGGAGGCGTGGCTGCGTCCTGAGTGGGGTGGGGAATGGTGAAGACCACATACCCTAGAGGCGACAGGGCAGCTTCCGCAGAGCTAGACGTGACTCCCCCTTTACTTGTCAATTTCCCTCTTCAGGTAGGGCTTGGGGCTGGGGCAAGGTCTCAACTGCCTGTCTAGGTTGGAGGTGAGAACTGACCGTTCTGGAGGGACGCAGGGAAGCCTATCCGGGGGTAGGGGATGCTGCACGCCAGCATCTCTCTTAATCCCATCCCCGTCAGCGACCTGCCTGCCCTATGAACAGGATTTGCTTCTCTTAGGGCCCAAGTGTTCTGCAGGGCCCCACGCTGGGACCCCCAACACTGCCCCTCCATATAGACATGGTCACCCTGTAGGCAAGATGTGGGCCTGCAGTGGAGAGGGCAGAGCCAAGTCCTGTCTGGGGACATGGGGGAAGCCACCACAGGGCCTCTGTGACCCTTGTCCTCATCACCCCCTCCCCAGCCCCAGCTGTCTCTCCTGGCCGCCCAGTGTGGCCTCACGCTGCAGCAGACCCAGCGATGGTTCCGGAGACGCCGGAACCAGGATCGACCCCAGCTGACCAAGAAGTTCTGTGAGGCCAGGTAAGCCCAGGATGGGGCTTCTGGGGTGCAGGGAAGCGGGCCGGGGTGGGGCGGGGCGGGTGTCTGCTATTTTCACAGCTCCCTCCCCATCCACAGCTGGAGGTTTCTCTTCTACCTGTCCTCCTTCGTGGGCGGCCTCTCGGTCCTGTACCACGTGAGTATACCAGAGTATAGCTGACTGCTCACCTGCCCCATCCACCTGGCCTAGATCTGGCAGGAGTGGGGGTGTGGAGTGGTGCAGCCAGAGAGGAAAACATGCAGCTGAGGAGAGAGCGAGCTTTGCAAGATGGTGGTGAATGTTCACTCAACAGGTATTTGGATTTACTATGCACCAAAAGTTGGGGTTCTGCAGTGAATGAGCCCCCCAGTCGAGAGTGAGAAGCAGGAAAAAGCAGGGCTGGGTGAAGGTAGCATCTATGTGACTGTGGAAGGAGAACCAAAGAGACCGCAGACCCAGGGTGGGAGGTTGGATTCTCACCTCTGCACAGCCTGACACCCATTTCCCTGCAGGAGTCATGGCTGTGGGCACCAGTAATGTGCTGGGACAGGTACCCAAACCAGGTGAGTGGCAGAGTGTGTGTGAATGCTTGGAGGGTGAGGGCGATGATCACAGTTGCTGCAGCCATGGGCATGGGACCCGAACCCTGACACTACACTGTCATTCCCCACTGAGTCCCACGCTCTTTGATTCCTCTGGGGAATAGAGAGGGGCCAGAAAACCAAGCAGGAGCTTCCACCAAACCACTGCCCTTGATTACCTCCAGGGATGGGGAGCTCACTCATTGGGATTCAAGTATCCTGGTTTTGAGCAAACGGAGTGGGCCCGGAGCCATACCCCTGCCCGATTGGAGCCTTCGCTCCCCACAGCTAACCTTGTCCTGTCCTGCTGCAGACTCTGAAGCCATCCCTGTACTGGTGGTACCTCTTGGAGCTGGGTTTCTACCTCTCACTGCTAATCAGGCTGCCCTTTGATGTCAAGCGCAAGGTGAGGCCAAATAAGAGTCTGGAAGACCCAGTCTCTGGCCGGGATGCTGGGGTGCTGGGGGGTAGGGCAGCCTTACAACCGCACCTTGAGAGCTCCCTGGTGCCTCCTGCAGGAGATATAGAGGCCATGGGCCCAGAGGCCACACCAACCCCCTGAAAGGACCCACTTCTTGGCCCATAGGGTGGGGGACCTTCCAGCATCAAGCCTCGTCCCCACTATGACCCACCGTCTACTGCAGGATTTCAAGGAGCAGGTGATACACCACTTCGTGGCGGTCATCCTGATGACCTTCTCCTACAGTGCCAACCTGCTGCGCATTGGCTCTCTGGTGCTGCTGTTACACGATTCCTCTGACTACCTGCTGGAGGTGGGCCCGACCCCTGCCTGACCCTTCCCAGCTGCTGTACCCAGCCCTCCCAGGTGCCCCAGAGATGAGGTCCCATTCCTCCCAACCTTCCTGGGAGATGGAGCCCCACCCCTCCTGTCTTTCTCGGGTGATGAGGCCCTGCCCCCTCTGTCTTCCAGGCTGATAAGGCCCCACCCCCTCTGTCTTCCTGGGTGATGAAGCCCCACCCTTCTTGGCTTCCTTGGGCAGAGGCCCCCGCCTTCTCAGCTTCCTTGGGAGATGAGGCCCTGCCCCCCATCTTCCTGGGAGATAAAGCCCTGCCCCTCTCAGCTCCCTCCTTGGAGGATAAAGCTACACACATGTGCACACACGCATGTATTCACATTTTTTTTTTTGAGACGGAGTCTCACTCTCTTGCCCAGGCTAGAGTGCAATGGCACACACTGCTCACTGCAACCTCTGCCTCCCAGGTTCAAGTAATCTCCTGCCTCAGCTTCCCAAGAAGCTGGGATTACAGGCACTTGCCACCATGCCAGCTAACTTTTGTATTTGTAGTAGAGATGGAGTTTCACCATGTTGGCCAGGCTGGTCTCGAACTCCTGACCTCAGGTGATCTGCCTGCCTCAGCCTCCCAAAGTGCTGGGATTACAGGCGTGAGCCACCATGCCCAGCCTATATTCACACTCTTTACCTTTCCTGAAAAGGTAGGTAGTTCCTGGAAACAAGGCCCCACCCCAACTCACCTGGTCCCATCCTATAGCACCTTCTCTTTGAGACCAGGGCCCTGGTCCTGAGCCCATTTCTCCCTGCTGCCCTTTCCAGGCCTGTAAGATGGTCAACTACATGCAGTATCAGCAAGTGTGCGACGCTCTCTTCCTCATCTTCTCCTTTGTCTTCTTCTACACCCGACTGGTCCTCTTTCCCACCCAGTGAGTCAGCCCTCCCATGGGGGTCAGGGAGGTGGGAGGGCGTGTCTGAGATTCCAGGACTGCCTCACCATTGGTACCCTGCCCCAAGGAGCTGGGGATCTTGGCTGGGAGAGTTCCAGGAGGAGGCAGGGAAGGGTGTGCCAGGCACAGGGCACGGCATATGCAAAGGCGCAGAGGTGAGACAGAGAATTATTATTACTCAGCGTGCCTGGACCATGCAGTGGGAGGAAGGGTCAGGGCTGCCAGCGCACCAAAGTCTGCCCAGTAAATATTTGTGGGGGCCTCTTGAGTGTGCTGGTAACACAGCAGAGGCCACAGTTCAAAGATCCCGGCCCTTGTGAGCAGACATTGCATGGGTGGGAGCAGATGGTAAGTGAGGCAGCCACGTGAACTGCACAGCATGCGAAGGAGAGATTTACTAACAAGAAAATAAATTTGACGGGCCGGGCGTGGTAGCTCATGCCTGTAATCCCAGCACTTTGGGAGGCTGAGGCGGGCGGGTCACTTGAGGTCAGGAGTTCCAGACCAGCCTGGCCAACATAGTGAAACCCCATCTCTACTAAAAATACAAAAGTTAGGCTGGCCACAGTGGCTCACCCCTGTAATCCCAACACTTTGTGAGGCTGAGGCAGGAAGATCACGAGGTCAGGAGTTTGACACCAGCCTGGCCAACATGGTGAAACCTTGTCTCTATTAAAAATTAAAAATTAGCCGGACGTGATGGTGCATACCTGTAATCCCAGCTACTCGGGAGGCTGAGGCAGGAGGATCACTTAAACCCAGAAGGCAGAGGCTACAGCGAATCAAGATTGTACCACTGCACTCCAGCCTGGGTGACAGAGGGAGACTTTGTCTTAAATCAAATTGGCCAGGTGTGATGGCTCACGCCTGTCATCCCAGCACTTTGGGAGGCCAAGGTGGCTGGATCACCTGAGGTCAGGAGATCGAGACCACTTTGGCCAACACAGAGAAACCCTGTCTCTACTGAAAACACAATAATTAGCTGGGCATGGTGGCACACGCCCGTAATCCCAGCTACTCGGGAGGCTAAGGCAGGAGAATCACTTGAACCCAGGAGGCAGAGGTTGCAGTGAGCTGAGATCACACCACTGCACTCCAGCCTGGGCGACAGAGCAAGACTCTGTCTCTAAATAAAAAAAAGTCAGGAAGGGAGCAGGAAGTATGGGAGAGGTGGGTAGTTGGAATTAGAATGGCAGGTAATGCCTCGCTGGCAGCGTTTGTACCGAGAGATGGGAGGGAGGTGAGGGACAGAACCACGTTGATCAGAGGGGAAGTGTGTTCCAGGCAGAGAATAGCATGTGCAAAGGGCCTGAGGCAAGACCATGCCCGGCATGTTAGAGGAAGAGCAAGGAGGCCTGTGTGGCTGGAGCAGAGTGGGTGAGGGGGAGGGTAGGCAGGAGATGGAGTAGGCCGTGCAGGTCCTTGAGGGCTGTGGGCAGGACTTTGGCTTTGACCCCGGGGGAGATGGGAGCCATGGAGGTTATAAGCAGAGGGATTCAATCTGACCTAGGTGTTCTGGGTGCCCTTTGGCAGCTGCAGGGGAAACATCATGGGAAGTGTGGGCAGGAGTGAGGGGACCCAGGGTAGGCGAGAGAAGTGGGCAGACTTAAGGGGATGCCTCTGGGATCAGGAGGTGGGAACAAGCACAGAAGGAACTGCTCGAGGCAGCAGGAGCTCAGCCCTGCTGGGTTTGAGGGGTCTGTGGCCTCAGAGGAGACATGGAGAAGGCAGTGGGCATGCCAGTCTGGGCTTCTGGGGAAAGAGGTAATGTAGGAGTTGTCAGTCCATGGCTGGTATTTGCAGCCAGCAGCCTGGATGGCATCACCTAGGGACCAGGTATGGACAGAGAGTCTCAGTCCTCGGGCTTCCTGATGTTTGCAGGTCGAGAGAGGAAGAACAGGGCCCATGGAGCATGAGAGTCAGATTACATCCCTCCTCTGGCTGCCATCCTCCATGGCTCCCACCTGTCTTGGTTTCAAGGCCTGAGGAGATTAGGCAGAAGTGGCTGTGAGATGGGGAGATGGTGGGGTGCGGGGAGCCAGAGAGGGAAGGGGCCCAGGGAGGAGGGAGGGCTGCTGGCAACCTGTTGTGCCAGCTGGTGGGGCTGCAGGGCTGAGCACTGTGGAGTGAGGAAGGCGAGGTCGCTGGTCACCCTACAGCTGATTGGGGGGTAGGAGAAACACAGCAGCTACAGCCAGTACTTTTTGAGATGGAGTCTTGCTCTGTCACCTAGACTGGAGTGCAATGGCGTGATCTCAGCCCACCACAACCTCCGCCTCCCGGGTTCAAGCAATTCTCCTGCCTCAGCCTCCTGAGTAGCTGGAATTATAGGCACACACCACCACACCTGGCTAATTTTTGTATTTTTTTTTTTTTTTTTAGTAGAGATGGGGGTTTCACCATGTTGGCCAGGCTGGACTCGAACTTCTGACCTCGTGATCCACCCGCCTCCACCTCCCAAAGTGCTGGGATTACAGGCGTGAGCCACTGTGCCCAGCCCAGCCAGTACTTTCAAGGAGTTCCAAGGAAAAAAAAAAGCCTACAGGGAAAAGAAATAAGTTGGTGCCCAGAGGGGCAGAGTAAAGAGTGAGCTTTTTGTTTTTTTCTTTCTTGTGTGAAATAACAGTGGGATTGGAGTTGATGATAAAGAACCAGCAGGAAGGCTGGGTGCGGCGGCTCACGCCTGTAATCCCAGCACTTTGGGAGGCTGAGGTGAACAGATCACTTGAGGTCAGGAGTTCCAGACCAGCCTGGCCAACATGGCAAAAACCACCTCTCTACTAAAAATACAAAAATTAGCTGGGCGTGGTGGCAGGGGCCTATAATCCCAGCTACTTGGGAGGCTGAGGCAGGAGAATCGCTGGAACCTGGGAAGCAGAGGTTGCAGTGAGCCGAGATCACGCCATTGCACTCCAGCCTGGGTGACAGAGCAAGACTCCATCTCAAAAAAAAAAAAAAAAAAAAAAAAAAACAAGAACCACAGCTGAGTTTGAGAAGAGGATGTGGTGGGAGCTGGGCTCCAGGACAGTGTCCCAGGCAACAAGCAAGGAGGAGTTCGAGGGAAGGAGCAGTGCTGGGGAACATTCTTTCCAACTGGCTTGGGTTGCACAGTGAAAATGAAGCCCCGCCCCTCCCAGCCTCCGTGGGAGACAAAGCCCCACCTCTGTCCGGCTACCCGGGAGATGAGGCCCCACCCCTTTTTTACTCCTTGGGAGATGAGGCCCCGCCCCTCTTAAACTCTGGGAGATGGAGCCCTGCTCCCTGTGTCTTCCTGGGAGATGAGGCCCCACCGCCTGCCTTCCTGACATGAAGCCCCTCCCCTATGAGGTGAGTAGGCAGTCGCCTGCTGATGAAGGGGAGGTGATGGGGGTCTGAGGAGTAGAGAGAAGCTGCCAGAGTGCCACCCAGGAAAGCAGCTGAGTTCATAAGTACCCGCTTGGGTGGGGTTCATAGTCATGAATGGCCAGTCAGGGAGCTCGTGTGTGTGTTCTGCTCATTTAGTACAAGCGAGAGGGGGCCTCGCGTGCCCAGCTCAAGAGTGTTAGGTATCATGGGGTGGGGGGCACTAGGGAGCCATAGGTGGTTATGGAGCAGGGAAGGCCATGCCAGTTAGAAATTCTTAGGACTGGGGGCTACAGCGGCTGGTCAAACCCCAGCCTCCTCCTCTCCCCCTGGCTGTAGGATCCTCTACACCACATACTACGAGTCCATCAGCAACAGGGGCCCCTTCTTCGGCTACTACTTCTTCAACGGGCTTCTGATGTTGCTGCAGCTGCTGCACGTGTTCTGGTCTTGCCTCATTCTGCGCATGCTCTATAGCTTCATGAAGAAGGGCCAGGTATGGCTGGACCTCCCCGGGGGCCCCAGCCCTAAGCTCCTCCTTCCTCCCTGCTCTGAGCTCCATCCCTCTCTCTGTTCCCCAGATGGAGAAGGACATTCGTAGTGATGTAGAAGAATCAGACTCCAGTGAGGAGGCGGCGGCGGCCCAGGAACCTCTGCAGCTAAAGAACGGGGCAGCTGGAGGGCCCAGGCCAGCCCCCACTGATGGCCCTCGGAGCCGGGTGGCCGGGCGTCTGACCAACAGGCACACAACAGCCACATAGCCGGGCGGGGCTGGCTGTAAGGGGTTGCCCCCCCGCCAGTGCCTTGGATATTTCTGGGGTGACTGGACTGGCGCCCCTGGGCCACCTTTCTGGAGACAGGGAGGGCCCCACCCGGGGTGGGTGGGAAGGCTGATGATCTGTCTCCAGCCCCTTCCTTCTGCCCACCCACCCTTCTTCCCTCTGGGCAACTGGACAGATCTGGGAGCCAGCAGCTGGATGCTGTGGCTGGCCAGAGACACCTCCAGGCTGTGGCCTGGGGGCTGGGGGGAGCCCCAGGCTGAAAAGGGTCCAATTAAAACAAATGGAGCCAAATTTTCTGCCTGAGAACTTGGGTCCCTATCAAAGTTCCTTCTTCATCCCCAGAGACCCCCGAGGGAGCCAGGCCTCTGCTTACATACCCCACCTACGGGATACTCACTGCCACCCAAGGATGCAGGGCCCCAGGGGCCCCAGACAGCAACAGAGCTCAGAGACCACCCGCTCCCCACGCTGTTCCCAGATGAGCCCCTGACTCGCCAGCCAGTGACTCAAACAAGCCCCTCCCTCCACCCTTAGGGTACCCTTGGGTCAGCCTCTCAAAGACCCCCTTGCAGACTAGCTCTGAAAGGTCAAGTCCTTTGCCCAAGCTCACAGGTAGGTCACAGACCAGGCCTGTCTCTGCAGTCCTTTCTTAAGTCCGGTAGATTGCCCACCTTTGTGGTCCCTGGATCCTTCCTTGGGACAGTGGAGGGAGTGGGCTGAAATCCCACAGACTTCCCAAGGGTTAGCCTGGGGAGGTCACTGTCTCTTCAAGAGCTCCAAAAATAAACAGAGGCCAGGCCTGGTGGCTCACACCTGGAATCCCAGCACTTTTGGAGGCTGAGGCAGGGGGATCACTTGAGGTCAGGAGGTCAAGACCAGACTTGGCAACATGGTAAAACCCCATCTCTACTAAAAATACAAAAACTAGCAGGGCAGGGTGACCCACACCTGTAATCGCAGTCACCTGGGAGGCTGAGGCAGGAGAATCGCTTGAACCCGGGAGGTGGAGGCTGCAGTGAGCCAAGATCACGCCACTGCACTCCAGCCTGGTCAACAGAGCAAGACTCCATCTCAAAACAAAACAAAAGCCAGGCGTGGTGGCTCGCGCCTGTAATCCCAGCACTTTGGGAGGCCGAAGCGGGCGGATCGTGAGGTCAGGAGATCTAGACCATCCTGGCTAACATGGTGAAACCTCACCTCTACTAAAAATACAAAAAATTACCCAGGCGTGGTGGTGGGCGCCTGTAGTCCCATCTACTCGGGAGGCTGAGGCAGGAGAATGGCGTGAACTCAGAAGGCGGAGCTTGCAGTGAGCCAAGATCTCGCGCCACTGCACTCCAGCCTGGTTGACAGAGCAAGACTGTCTCAGATAAACAAGAAATTGGACAACAAAGTATTGGAGAGAATGTGGGGGGTCAATAATCTCACATTATCGGGGGAATATAAATTGTTACCAACACTGGAAAAACCATTCAGCATTGTGTATAATAGTTGACCTTTTATAAAGCTCAAAAGCAACCCAAATGAGATAATATATAGGCATGAATACCTAGCTAGTAGAACTGTAATAAAATATAAACACAAAATTCAAATTAGTAAATTACCTTTGATCTGGGAAGGTAAGGGAATGGGATTCAGATAGATATCAATTACTATCACTGTTCTAGTTTTTGAAGTGAGGTGAAGTTTTTTTTGTTTTTTGAGATGGAGTCTCTTTCTGTCACCCAGGCTAGAATGCACTGGTGCCATCTTGGCTCACTGCAACCTCTGCCTCCCAGGTTCAAGTGATTCTCCTGCCTCAGCCTCCCGAGTAGCTGGGACTATAGGCACGTGCCACCACACCCGGGTAATTTTTGTATTTTTAGTAGAGAGGTGGTTTTGTCACGTTGGTCAAGCTGGTCTCGAACGCCTGACCTCAAATGATCCACCCGCCTCAGCCTCCCAAAGTGCTGGAATTACAGGCGTGAGAGAGGTGAAGTTTTTGAAGTGAAGTGACACACTCATTAAATACAATTTTTAAAGGGATATGACAAGCTACAAAATGGAAGAAAATATTTGCATATGATATATCTGAAGAGGTTCTAGCATCCAAGATATATAACTCTTACAACTCAATAACAACAAAAACCCTAATTTAAAAAATGGGTGACTGGGCACGGTAGCTCATGCCTGTAATCCTAGCACTTTGGGAGGCCAAGGCAGGCAGGTCACCTGAGGTCAAGAGTTAGAGACCAGACTGGCCAACATAGTGAAACCCCATCTCTACTAAAAATGCAAACATTAGCCAGGCGTGGTAGGGGGTGCCTGTAATTCCAGCTACTCGGGAGGCTGAGGCAGGAGAATCACTTGAACCTGGGAGGTGCAGGTTGCAGTAAGCCGAGATCATGCCACTGCACTCCAGCCAGGGCAACAGAGCCAGACTCCATCTCAAAAAAAAAAAAAAAAAAGGGGGGGGGGGCAAAGAGACCAGGTGTGGTGGCTCACCCCTATAATCCCAGCACTTTGGGGGCTTAGGCAAGAGGATCAGTTGAGTCCAGGAATTCAAGACCAGCCTGGGAAATATAGCAAGACTCCCTTCTCCACAAAAAAAGAAAAAAATAGGCAAAGGACTTGAATAGAAATTTCTCGACTGAGTGTGGTGGCTCACACCTGTAATCCCAGCACTTTGGGAGGCTAAGGCAGGTGGATCACCTGCGGTCAGGAGTTCGAAACCAGCCTGGCCAACATGGTGAAACCCATCTCTACTAAAAATACAAAAATTAGCCGGGCATGGTGACACGTGCATGTAATCCCAGCTACTCGGGAGGCTGAGGCAGGAGAATCGCTTGAACCCGGGAGGCAGAGGTTGCAGTGAGCTGAGAGCGCGCCACTGCACTTCAGCCTGGGCAACAAGAGCAAGACTCCATCTAAAGGAAAAAGAAAAAGAAAAAAAAAATTCCCAAAAAGAAATGGCCAATAAGCACATGAAAAGATATTCAACATTGTTAGTCATTAGGAAAATGCAAATCAAAAACACAATGAGAAACCACTTTACATCCACAAGAGTGGGTATAATAAAAGAAGTGTTGGCCAGGTGCAGTGTAATCCCCTCATGCCTGTAATCCCCAAACTTTGGGAGGCTGAGGCAGGTGGATCACCTGAGGTCGAGACTTCGAGACCAGCCTGACCAACATGGAGAAACCCCTCTCTCCTAAAAATACAAAATTAGCCGGGCATGGTGGTACATGTCTGTAATCCCAGGTACTTGGGAGACTGAGGCAGGAGAATCACTTGAACCTGGGAGGCAGAGGTTGCAGGGAGCCAAGATCATGCCACTACACTCCAGCCTGGGTAACAAGAGCGAAACTCTGTCTTAAAAAAAAAAAGTGTTGGCAAGGATGTGGAAAAAATGAAACAACTGTATTCACTGCTGGTGGAAATGTAAAATGATCACTGTGGAAAATCGTTTGGTGGTTCCTCAAGAAATTAAATAGAATTACTATATGATCCAGCAATTCCACTCCTAGGAATAGACCCAAAAGAATTGGAAGCAGGTACTCAAATATTTACACATGAATGTTCATAGCAGCACTAGTCACAATAAAGGTAGAAACAGCTGATCACAATGGTTCACTCCTGTAATCCCAACACTTTGGGAGGTCGAAGTGGGAGGATTGCTTGAGCACAGGAGTTCAAGACCAGCCTGGACAACATAGTGAGACATGGTCTCTGCAAAAAAATAGAAAAATCAGCAGGGTGTGGTGGCATGCACGTATACTCCCAGCTACTCAGGAAGTTGAGTGAGAGGATTGCCTGAGCCCAGGAGTACAAGACTGCTGTGAGCTATGATCATGCCACTATACTCCAGCCTGCGCAACAGAGAGACCCTGTCTGGAGGGGTGGGGGGAGAAAAAAACACCATAGAAACAACCCAAATGTCCAATAACAAATTGTAGTCCATCCATACAATGGACTACTACTCAGCCATGAAAAGGAATACAGCACTCACATATGCTGCATGTGAATGAACCCTGGAAGCATTATGCTCAGTGTAAGAACCCAGACATAAAAGGTCACACATTTTATGATTCCACCTATATGAAATATCCAGAAGAGGTAAACCTATAAAAATAAAATGTATATTTATAGCTGCCGGGGGCTTCAGGGTGAAGGCATAGGAAGAAACTGTTTAATGGGTACGGAGTTTTATCTTGCAGCGGTGGAAATGTTTTGGAACTAAAGTCGTGGTTCTACAACATTGCAAATGCACTCGATGCCACTGAACTGTTCACTTTAAGATGGTTCGTTATGTAAATTTCATCTTAATAAATGCATGAAGAAAGGGATTTGTATGTATCAACTACAGTGTCTCATGAAGCAAAGATTATAATTATTCCATTTACCTGGTGTTTCCCTATCCAATAATTCCCATTTCCTCCAAAAAAACAAATAATAGGAACCTCATGGGTTGAAAGAGAGCCCATAATGAAGATTAGAAAATACACTCCTATAGATGAATAGCAAAGGCCGGGCACAGTGGCTCACGCCTGTAATCCCAGCACTTTGGGAAGTCAAGGTGGGCGGATCACGAGGTCAGGAGATCGAGACCATCCTGGCCAACATGGTGAAACCCCGTCTCTACTAAAAATACAAAAATTAGCTGGGTGTGGTGGCACATGCCTGTAATCCCAGCTACTCGGGAGGCTGAGACATGCCAGCACTCCAGCCTGGCAACAGAGTGAGATTTTGTCTCCAAAAAAAAAAAAAAAAAAAAAAAGATGAATAGCAAAAATATAAAAATATTACATGTCAATGTTTGTGGAGTGTAGCTTAAGCAATCCTTTGGAGGAAGTTTGCAGCCTAACAGGCTTATATTAGAAACGAAAAAAAAAAAAAAGCAGCCTGGCGTGGTGGCTCACACCTGTAATCCCAGCACTCTGGGAGGCCAAGGGGGGTGGATCATGAGGTCAGGAGTTTGAGATCAGTCTGACCAACATGGTGAAACCCCGTCTCTACTAAAGATACAAAAAAAAAAAAAAAAATTAGCCAGCAGTGGTGGCACGTGCCTGTAATCCCAGCTACTCAGGAGGCTGAGGCAGGAGAATCGCTTGAACCCAGGAGGCAGAAGTTTCAATGAGCCAAGATTGTGCCATTGTACTCCAGCCTGGGCAACAGGGTGAGACTCAAAAAAAAAAAAAAAAAAAAAAAAAAAAGAAAAAGCTCAAAAATAATTAGCTAAGCATTTAAGAAGATTTTAAAGAACAGTAAAATAAGCTCAATAAAAGAAAAAACAGGATAAGTGTTAAAATTAGGATCATCAAACCTAAAAGTTAGTTATTTGAATGACTAACAGACGAACATCTGGCAAGATTAATAAAGAAAAATAAAAGAAGTCACAGAAAAAAATATAGAGACAGGCCAGGTGCGGTGGCTCATACCTGTAATCCCAGCACTTCTGGAGACCAAGGGAGAGGATCACTTGAGCCCAGGAGTTCAAGATCAGCCTGGCAACATGGCAAGACCCCCATCTCTGCACAAAATTTAAAAATCAGGCATGGTGGTATGTGCCTGTAGTCCCAGCTACTCAGGAGCTCAAGGCAGGAGGACCACTTGAACCAGGAGTTCAAGGCTGCAGTGAGCCGTGATCTTGCCACTGCACTCCAACCTGAGGAATAGTGGAAGGCCCCAACACTAAAAAACAAAAATAAAGCATCATACATGTCAAATGTTATATTTAATGTCATATTTAATTGTTGGGTACATAACCCTTAAGGTAAGAAATAAGACAATAGCTGCTATCGCCACCCTTATTCAAAATTATTCTGGGAGTTCTAGTTAACAATAAATCAAAAAAGGCCGGGCGCGGTGGCTCACGCCTGTTAATCCCAGCACTTTGGGAGGCCGAGGCAGGCAGATCACCTGAGGTCGGGAGTTCGAGACCAGCCTGACCAACATGGAGACACCCCATCTCTACTAAAAATACAAAAAAATTAGCCGGGTGTGGTGGCGCATGCCTGTAATCCCAGCTACTTGGGAGGCTGAGGCAGGAGAATCACTTGAACCTGGGTGGCGGAGGTTGCAGTGAGGCGAGGTCACGCCATTGCATTCCAGCCCAGGCAACAAGAGTGAAATTCCGCCAATTAAAAAAAAAAAAACCGTAAAACAAAAAAAGATATCAGTAGGAGAAATAAAGAGAATAAAACTGCCCATTATTAGTCTATGACATATCTATATCAAAAACCCAGGATGTAGAAGGCAGCACAAGATAACAGAATAGAAGGCTCCACCAACCATCCCTCCAACAAGGACACCAATTTAACAGCTACACACAAAAAAGCACTTTCCCAAGAACCAAAAATCCCAGCCGGGAGCAGTGGCTCATGCCTGTAGTTCCAGCTACTCAGGAGGCTGAGGCAGGAGAATCACTTGAACCCGGGAGGCAGAGGTTGCAGTGAGCCGAGATCGCGCCACTGCACTCCAGCCTGGGCGACAGAGCAAGACTCTGTCTCCGAAAAAAAAAAAAAAAAAAAAAAAAAAAAAAAAAAAAAAAAAAAAAAAAAAAAAGAAGAACCAAAAATCAGGTGAGCACTCACAGTACCCGGTTTTAACTTTATATCACTGAAAGACACACTGAAGAAACACACTGAAAGTCCTGAATCTCTGACACCACCTCTCCGCCACCCCTGGCAGCATGGTGTGGAGAGTGCCTTTGTGTGTTGGGGAGAGGGAGGGGGCAGCAATTGTGAGGCATGGAACCCAGCGCTGTCCTTTTAGAGCAGAAAGAAAAACCCGACCACACTCAGCTGATGCCCACCCATAGAGGGTGTGGGCGGCAAGCCACCCAGGTGCCGAGGCAAGAGACTGAGGGCACAAGTTGTTCCAGTAAAATAAAAAATATATATAAAATAAAAATAGTTACACCAGAAGACAAGAGTGCGAGCCCTCTGTTATGCCCGGACAGGGCCACTAGAGGGCTCCATGGTCTAGCGGTAATGCCGGCGCCTGGGAAGGCACCCGTTACTTAGCAGACCGGGAAAGGGAGTCTCCCTTTCCTTGGGGGAGTTAGAGAAGACTCTGCTCCACCACCTCTTGTGGAAGGCCTGACATCAGTCAAGCCCCCACCATCCCCACCTGCCAACAGCCATCCAGAGGCCTAACAGTCTAGCCTCTGTCATGCTGTGCTTCAGCGGTCACGCTCCTGTTTCACTTTCATGTTCCACCCTGTACACCTGGCTCTGCCTTCTAGAAAACAGTAGCAGAATTAAGTGAAAGTATTAAGCCGTTGACCTCTCCAAGAAATAATGACATAAGCTGTCCCCTCTCTCTGCCTCGGCTACCAAACAGGGAAGGGCCCCCTGTCCAGTAGACACATGACTCACGTGACCTTACCTATCACTGGAGATGGCTCAACACTCCTTACCCTGCCCCCTTGCCTTATATCCAAAAAATAACAGTGCAGCCAGGCATTCAGGGCCACTACCGGTCTCTGCGTCTTGGTGGTAGTGGTCCTCCAGGCCCCAGCTGTCTTTCCTTCTCTTTGCCTTGTGTCTTTATTTCTACGATCTCTCATCTCCACACACGAGGAGAAAAACCCACAGGCCCTGTAGGGCTGGTCCCTATAGAGGGGGCATTTAAACCAGCCCTAACAAGAGGGAAATTATGGATCCCAGTGGAATTTGAGTTCCTGCAAACTTTGCGACCCACCATGGGCTAAAGTGCTCTGGGTCTCTAAGTAAATTTGAAAGTCAGTCTAGGCTATCAGTGCAACTCCTAGGCAAGTCCTAGTGAGGTAGAAGATAAGATTTGACTTCAGAGGTGGGGCTCAGACACCAGACCATATTGAGGACTAGCTAAAACAGGTGAAGGAAAAGGGAGGGGGAAGCAGCTTTCGATGAGACATGCCTGCCAGTGTGCCGTGTCAATTTCACATTACCATGCTAACATCAAGGAATTACTGCCCCTTTCCAGGCAATGCCCCAATGATTAGTACCCCCTTCCCTAAAAGTTTCTACATAAACTGCCCCTTAATCTGCATGCGATTAAAAGTGGGTATATGCCAGGCACAGTGGCTCACGCCAGTAATCTCAGCACTTTGGGAGGCTAAGGCAGGTGGATCGCTTCAGCCCAGGAGTTCAAGACCAGCCTGGCCAACATGTCAAGACCCCATCTCTGCTAAAAATACAAAAACTGGCGGGGCAGGGTGGCTCATGCCTGTAATTCCAGCACTTTGGGAGGTTGAGGAGGACAGATCACAAGCTCAAGAGATCGAGACCACCCTGGCTAATGCAGTGAAACCCCGTGTATACTAAAAAATACAAAAAATTAGCCAGGCCTGATGGTGGGCACCTGTAGTCCCAGCTACTCAGGACGCTGAGGCAGGAGAATGGTGTGAACCCAGGAGGTGGAGCTTGCAGTGAGCCAAGATCGTGCCACTGCACTCCAGCCTGAGCGACAGAGTGAGACTCCATCTGAAAAAATTAGCCAGGCCTGCTGGTGCCCGCCTGTAGTCCCACCTACTTGGGAGGCTGAGGCAGAAAAATCACTGGAACCCAGGAGGCGGAGGTTGCAGTAAGCTGTGATCACGCCATTGCACTCCAGTCTGGGCAACATGAGCGAAACTCCGTCTCAAAACTAAAAGAAAAGATGAAGATGAAAAGAATACCTTTATGGAAAAATATAAAATGCAAAACTTGCACCAAGAGGTACCAAAAAACTTTACTAAATCCATAAATATTAATGAAATGGAAATAACTTGGGGGAGGGGGCAGACAATATGGTTCATGCCTGTGATCCCAACATTTTGGGAGGCTAAGGTAGACAGATCACTTGAACCCAGGTGTTTAAGACCCATCTGGTCAACATAGCGAAACCTGGTCTCTACAAAACAATTTAAAAATTAGGCCGGGCGCGGTGGCTCACACCTGTAATCCCACCACTTTGGGAGGCCGAGGTGGGTGGATCACAAGGTCAAGAGATCGAGACCATCCTGGCTAACATGGTGAAACCCTGTCTCTACTAAAAATACAAAAAATTAGTTGGGCGTGGTGGCGGGCACCTGTAGTCCCAGCTACTCGGGAGGCTGAGGCAGGAGAATGGCCTGAACCCGGGAGGCGGAGCTTGCAGTGAGCCGAGATTGCGCTACTGCACTCCAGCCTTGGCGACAGAGGAAGACTCCATCTAAAATTTAAAAAATAAAAATAAATAAAAATTAGCTGGATATGGTGGTGTGTGCCTGTAGTCCCCACTACTCGAGAGGCTGAGGCTGAAGGATCGCTTGAACCCAGGAGGTCAAGGCTATAGTGAGTCATGATGGTGCCACTGCACTCCAGCCTGGTTGACAGAGGGAGACCCTGTTGAAAGAAAAAAATGAGAGAAAGAGAGGAAGGGAAGGGGAAGGGAAGAAACAAACTACCTTCCGCTAAAGGACAAAACCCAGAGGATTTTTCAACCAAAGTTTTTGGGGTTTTTTTTTTTTTTTTTTTTTTTAGACGGAGTCTTGCTTTTTTTTTTTTTGAGACAGCGTCTCGCTCCGTCGCCCAGGCTGGAGTGCAGCGGCGCGATCTCTGCTCACTGCAAGCTCCGCCTCCCAGGTTCACGCCATTCTCCTGCCTCAGCCTCCCGAGAAGCTGCGACTACAGGCGTCCGCCACCACGCCTGGCTAATTTTTTTCTATTTTTAGTAGAAATGGGGTTTCACCATGTTAGCCAGGATGGTCTCGATCTCCTGACCTCGTGATCTGCCCGCCTCGGCCTCCCAAAGTGCTGGGATTACAGGCGTGAGCCACCGTGCCCGGCCCCAATCAAGTTTTATCAACATTTCAAGTAACAGTTATTTCTCATCTAATTCAGGCTGATACCAAGAAGAGGGGGAGGGAAAAAAAAGAGGGAAAGGGGGAGAATATCCAATTTCTTTTATTTTTAAATTTTTTATTTTGGAGACAGGGTTTTGCTCTGTTGCCCAGGCTGGAATGCAGTGGTGTGATCACAGATCACTGCAGCTTCCAACACTTGGGCTCAAGCAATCCTCCTGCCTCAGTCTTCCCAGTAGCTAGGATGACAGGTGCACACAACCACACCCAGCTAATTTTTTTATTTTTGGTAGAGATTAGGCCTTGCTATGTTGTCCAGGATGATCTGAATCTCCTAGCCTCAAACCATCCTCCCACCTCGGCCTCCCAAGCACTAGGATTACATGTGTGAGTCACCAAAATGAGTACAGGGCTTCCTTTTGGGGTCATGAAAATATTCTGGCAGTAGATAGATATGGTTGCACTGCACTGTGAATGTACCAAATGCCACTGAATCATTCACTTCACAATGGTTAATTTTATGTTATATGAATTTCACTTTGATAAAAACAGATGTGGCCGGGCACAATGGCTCATGCCTGTAATCCCAGCACTTGAGAGGCCAAGGCCAGTCGATCACCTGAGGTCAGGAGTTCGAGACCAGCCTAACCAATATGGTGAAACCCCATCTCGAATCTCTACTAAAAATACAAAAATTAGCCAGGCATGGTAGCATGCACCTGTTGTCCCAGCTACAGGAGGCTGAGACAGAAGAATTGCTTGAACCTGGGAGGTGGAGGTTGCAGTGAGCCAAGATCACACCACTGCACTCCAGCACTCCAGGTTGGATGACCGAGCACAACTCCATCTCAAAAAAAAAAAAAAAAAAAAAAAAAAAAAAAGAGGAGGCCAGGCACTGTGGCTAAATTCTATCATCCCAGCCCTTTGGGAGGCCAAGGCAGGTGGATGACTTGAGGCTAGGAGCTTGAGACCAGCCTGGGCAACATAATGAGACCCCATCTCACAAACAAAAAAGATTTCTTGGCCAGGAATGGTGGCTGACGCCTGTAACCCCAGCACTTTTGAGAGTCTGAGGCAGGTGGATCACAAGGTCAGGAGTTCAAGACCAGCCTAGCAAACATAGTGAAAACCCCATCTCTACTAAAGATACAAAAAATTAGCTGGGCGTGGTGGCACGTGCCTGTAATGCCAGCTACTCGGGAGGCTAAGGCAGGAGAATCACTCTAACTCAGGAGGCAGAAGTTGCAGTGAGCTGAGATCACAGCACCACTGCACTCCAGCCTAGGCAACAGAGCGAGACTCTGTCTCAAAAACAAAAAACAAGAACAAAAACAAACAACAGTTCTAGAGATGGGTGGTGGTGATGAGTGCACAACATTGTAAAAATACTGAATACCTTTGAAGCCCACTTTAAAATTGTTAAAGTGGTCAATTTTATGTTATTTTTAGGTATAATACTTACGTACTTTTTGTATTTTTTTCTATTATGTATTGATATGTATATTTAACAGTAGAAAAAAAATGATGGTCACTCGATCGGAAACAGAAAAGGTTAAAGCAAAAGTAAAATGCATGAAAACCAGGGAGAACTGCCAGATAAGCACATGGTCAGTGACCCTGGATTAGCCCGAGGCTGACTGGGTGTTGGACATGGGGAACGACCACCACCTAGGGGCAACTTGCCATCTGCCGCTATGTTCTTTCTGGGACTTGGAAAAACATGCATTACTAGGAACTTCCCCTACTGTTATTCCCTGTTTCCCCCGCCACCCCGCCCGAGACAGAGTCTTACTCTGTCTCCTAAGCCGGAGTGCAATGGCCGATCTCGGCTCACTGCAACACCCGCTTCCCGGGTCCAAGCGATCCTCCTGTCTCAGCCTCCTGAGAAGCTGGGATTATAGGCACAGGCCACCATGCCTGGCTAATGTTTGTATTTTTAGTAAAGACGGGATTTCGCCACGTTGGTCAGGCTGGTCTCGAGCTCCTGACCTCAAGTGATCCGACAGCCTTGGCCTCCCAAAGTGCTGGGATTACAGACGTCAGCCACCGCACCCGGCCTGTTATTTCCTCTTAATACTGACATCATCCTCCTGTTTACCAATCTTTGTCACAGACCAGGTGGCATCTCTGAGAAAACAGAAATCAGCAGGAGAGACCTTCCAGAGCCACTGCCCTCCATCAACCTGCAGACCTGCATCAGGACCCAGACGCAGTGGCTCTTCCTCTTGCCCTGTGAGAATCAATTTGCCCTGGATGCAGCAAAACCACGCCCCCTTCTCCACCAACTCCTCCACCCCTTCATGGGCCTAGACAAGCACCTACCTCAACAACCTCCCCGCACCCCTGGAGCATTCCTATCAGCACACAAATAGGTTGATGCATTTTTCCCTCCTTTGTTTTTATTATTAAGGTGAAACTCACACGGCATAAAATTAACCTTTGTTTTTTTTCCTTTTTTTTTTTTTGAGACTGAGTCTCGCTGTATTGCCCAGGCTGGAGTGCAGTGGCGCGATCTCGGCTCACTGCAACCTCTGCCTCCCAGGTTCAAGCGATTCTCCTGCCTCAGCCTCTCAAGTAGCTGGGACCACAGGCTCGTGCCACGACACCTGGCCAATTATTGTATTTTTAGTAGAGACAGGGTTTTGCTATGTTGGCCAGGCTGGTCTCAAACTCCTGACCTCAAGTGATCCACCTGCTTCAGCTTCCCAAAGTGCTGGGATTACAGGTATGAGCCACCATGCCCAGCCCCTTCTTTTTTTGAGAGAGAGAGAGAGAGACACAGACAGACAGAGTCTTTGTCACCCAGGCTGGAGTGTAGTGACTCGATCTCAGCTCACCACAACCTCCACCGCCCGCCTCAGCCTCCTGAGTAGCTGGGACTACAGGCACACGCCACCATACCCTGCTAATTTTTGTATTTTTTGTACAGAAAGGGTCTTGCTATGTTGCCTAGGCTGGTCTTGAACTCCTGGCCTCAAGGGATCCTCCTGCCTTGACCTCTCAAATTCATTTTCTTCTGAGGGCTTCTATTCCATGCAAAACTTCTATTAAGTAAATCTGTATCCTCTCCTGTTAACCTGTTTTTGTTTGTTTTGTTTTCTGAGACAGTCTTGCTCTGTCACCCGGGCTAGAACACAGTGGCACAATCTCAGCTCACTGCGACCTCCGCCTCCAGGGTTCAAGCAATTCTCCTGCCTCAGCCTCCCGAGTAGCTGGGATAACAGGCACCAGCCAGCACGCCCAGCTAATTTTTTGTATTTTTAGTAGAGATGGGGTTTCACCATGTTGGCCAGGCTGGTCTCAAACTCCTGACCTCGTGATTTGTCGACCTCGTGATTTGCCTGCCTCGGCCTCCCAAAGTGCTGGGATTACAGGCGTGAGCCACTGTGCCATGCCTGGCCCTATTTTTTTTTTTTTTTTTTTTTTTTTTTTTTTTTTTTTTTTTGGTAGGGGGAGATGGAGTTTCCTCTTGTTGCCCAGGCTGGAGTACAGTGGTACAATCTTGGCTCACCACAACCTCCGCTTCCTGGGTTCAAGCAATTTCCTGCCTCAGCCTCCCAAGTAGCTGAGATTACAGGTGCCCACCACGACACCTGGCTAATTTTTGTATTTTTAGTAGAGACAGGGTTTCACCATGTTGGTCAGGCTGGTCTCGAACTCCCGACCTCAGGTGATCCAGCTGCCTTGGCCTCCAAAAGTGCTGGAATTACAGGCGTGAGCCACCACGCCCTGCCTGTTAACCCATTTTATGTCAACTTAATAATTCTCAGGCCTAGAGGGATCCTAAGAGAACAGAGGTGAATTTTTGCTGCCGGACCTGCTGCTATGAACTTTAATCTATGAGTTTTTTTTTTTTTCTCGAGTTAGTATCTTGCTCTGCTGCCCAGGTTGGAGTGCAGTGGCAAGATCAGGGCTCACTGCAGCCTCAACCTTCTGGCCTCAAGCATTCCACCTAGTTCAGCCTCCTGAGTAGCTGGGACTACAGGCAGGCACCACCACACCCAAATAATTTTTGTATTTCTTGTAGAGATGAGGTCTCACTATGTTCCCAGGCTGGTCTCAAATTTTCGGGCTGAAGTCATCCACCCACCTTGGCGTCTCAAAGTGCTGGGATTACAGGCGTGAACCATCACGCCCAACCCTTTTTCCTTTTTAAGATACAGCAGGGTCTCACTCTGTTGCCCTGGCTGGAGCACAGTGGTACAATAATAGCTCACTCCAGCCTTGACCACCGGGACTCAAGCAATCCTCCCATCTCAGCCTCCCAACTAGCTAGGATTAAACATGTGAGCCACCATGCCCCGCTTCCATCTCTTTTTCATTTTGTCTTGTTTTTTTTTTTGTACAGAATATTGCTCTGTTGCCCAGGTTGGAGTGCAGTGGCATGATCTCTGCTCACTGCAACCTTCTCCCAGGTTCAAGCGATTCTCCTGCCTCAGCCACCCGTGTAGCTGGGATTACAGGCACCCGCCACCACACCCGGCTAAATTTTTCATTTTTACAAGAGACCGGGTTTCACCATGTTGGCCAGGGTGGTCTTGAACTCCTGACCTCAAGGGATCTGCCCGCTTCAACCTCCCAAAGTGTTGGGATTACAGGCGTGAGCCACCGCACCCAACTTTTCATCTGTTTTCTGATTCTTCCTTAGCTCCAAAACATCTAAGGTTTGGCTGCATTCACTCCTCTCCAGCCCACAGACGCCCAACTGGGCCAATTCCCAAATTCATCATTCTAGCCCAAACCCTAGGGTCCAGTGCCTTCTCAGCCTCTGCCACAAGGGGTCCTCGCAGGCCGCTCCAGTGTTGCAGGTCCCAATCTGGACTCCTAGGGGTTTCCCACCCAAGCCTTGTCCGAGCGTCCTCTCCCTCTCAGTTAGCACCATCTTCCCAGGCTCTGCTCTGACAGTTCTGAGGCATCCACGCCTCCTCCCACCTGCATCCAATGTGTCTGCCAATCCTACAGCCCCCATCGCCTTTTCCTTCAAAACAGACCTAGAAGCCAGTTATCACTGACCACCTGCACTTGCCAGCTAGGTCCAGCCCCTTCCTGACTTCTGGGGATCAGTGCAGTTGTCCCCTCCCTGGTCTCCCTGCAGGTTCTGTTCTCCCCACTGCAACCAGAAACACCTTCTCTTTTTTTTTTTTTTTTTTTGAGACAGAGTTTTGCTCTTGTTGCCCAGGCTGGAGTGCAATGGTGCAATCTTGGCTCACTGCAACCTCCGCCTCCCGGGTTCAAGCGATTCTCCTGCCTCAGCCTCCCTAGTAACTGGGATTACAGGTGTCTGCCACCACGCCCGGCTAATTTTTTGTATTTTTAGTAAAGACGGGGTTTCACTATGTTGGTCAGGCTGGTCTCGAACTCCTGACCTCAGGTGACCCACCCACCTCAGCCTCCCAAAGTGCTGGAATTACAGGCGTGAACCACCACGCCCAGCTCTTTCGTTTTCTTTTGAGACAGAGTCTCGCTCTGTCGCCCTGGCTGGAGTACAATGGCATGACCTCGGCTCACTGCAGCCTCTTGCCTCCCAGGTTCAAGCGATTCTCCTGCCTCAGCCTCCTGAGTAGCTGGAATTACAGGCATGCACCACCATGCCTGGCTAGTTTTGTACTTTTAGTAGACCGGGTTCGACCATGTTGGCCAGGCTGGTCTCGACCTCTCAAAGTGCTGGGATTACAGGAGTGAATCTCCGCACCAGCTTTTTTTTTTTTTTTTTTTTTTTTTGAGACAGGAACTTGCTGTCACCCAGGCTGGAGTGCATTGGCGGATTTCGGCTCACTGCAGCCTCTGCCTCCCAGGTTCAAGCAATTCTTCTGCCTCAGCCTCCTGAGTAGCTAGGATTACAGGCATGCACTACACCACATCCAGCTAATTTTTTTTTTTTTTTTTTTAAAGACAGTTTCCCTCTTGTTACCCAGGCTGGAGTACAATGACAAGATCTCGGCTCACTGCAACCTCTGCCTCCTGGGTTCAAGCAGTTCTCTAGCATCAGTCTCCCAAGTAGCTGGGATTACAGGCGCCTGCCACCACACCCAGCTAATTTTTGTATTTTTAGGAGAGACAGGGTTTCACCATGTTGGCCAGGATGGTCTAGAACTCCTGACCTCAGGTGATCTGCCCACCTCAGCCTCCCAAAGTGCTGGGACTACAGGCATGAACCAGTGCACCCAGCTACTAATTTATTTTAGTAGAGATGGGGTTTTGCCATGTTGTCCAGGCTGGTCTCGAACTCCAGTCCTCAGGCGATCCACCTGCCTTGATCTCCCAAAGTCCTGAGATTACAAATGTGAGCCACCGGGCTCAGCCCTATTTTTTCAGGGCTATTTTGTTCATGGTTAGAACCAGGAACAGCACTGATACATAGTAGCATTCAACAGATATATTTTATTGTTGTTTTCTAGAGACAGGATCTTGCTCCATTGCCCAGGCTGGAGTGCAATGGGTGATCATAGCTCACTGTAGCCTCCATCTCCCAGGCTCAAGCAATCCTCCCACCTCAGCCTCCTAAGTAGCTGCAACTACAGAAACTTCAGGTATGTGCCACCATGCCCAGCTATTTTTTTTGTTTTTTAGTATAAATGAGATCTCACTATATTGCCCAGGCTGATCTCCAACACCTGGGTTCAAACAGTCCTCATGCCTCAGCCTCCCAGAGTGCTTGGATAACAAGTGTGAGCCGCTGCACCTGACCATCAACAAGTATCTTTTTTAACCAGCTTTTACCAGTCGGGGTCTGGCCATGTTGACCAATCTGTATGAAACATTTTTTTGTTTTGTTTTAAATTAGCTGGGCACAGTGGCGCAGACCTGTAGTCCCAGCTAATCAGGAGGCTGAGGCGGGAAGATCTCTTGAGCCTGGGAGGTTGAGGCTACAGTGAGCTATAATTCTATAACTGCACCACCGTACTCCAGCTTGGGAGCCAAAGCAAGACCCTGTCTCTAAGGAAGAAAAAAATGAAAAAAAGAGTTTCTGAGCTATCATACTAGCTTCAGTTTGCTAGGGTGGCCATAACAAAATACCACAGCTTGGGTAGGTTAAAAACAGAAACTTACATTTCTGGAGGCTGACGTCCAAGATTAAGATGTCATCAGGGTTGGTTTCTGCTTTTCATTTTTGAAACGGAGTCTTGCTCTGCTACCTAGGCTGGAGTGCAGTGGCACCATCTTGGTTGCACTGCAACCTCCACCTCCCAGATTCAAGCAATTCTCGTGCCTCAGCTTCCAGAGTAGCCCCAGGTTCAAGCAATTCTCGTCCCTCAGCTTCTCGAGTAGCTGGGATTACAGGCGCCCACCACCACGCCCGGCTAATTTTTCTATTTTTAGTAGAGATGGGGTTTTGCCGTATTTCCGGGATGGTCTCTAAATCCTGACCTCAAATGATCACGCCTGGGATTACATGCGTGAGCCACCGCACCCGGCCCAGAGCTGGTTTCTACTGAGCCCCCTTGCTTTGTCTTACAGAGCCGCGGCCGCCTCCTGCGTGCCCTCACATGCTCTCTTCTCTGCATGCACCCTTCGTATTTCTTAGTGTCCATATTTCTTCTTCTTGTAGGGACACCAGGCAGATTGGATGAGGACCCGATGTAGCAGTGTATCCAGAATTGGTGGGGTCTTGGTCTCACTGACTTCAAGAATGAAGCCACAGACCCTCGTGGTGAATGTTACAGTTCTTAAAGGCAGCGTGTCCACAGTTTGTTCCTTCTGATGTTCGGATGTGTTCGTAGTTTCCTCCTTCTGGTGGGTTCGTGGTCTTTCCGGCTCAGGAGTGTAGCTACAGACCTTTTGCAGTGAGTGTTACAGCTCATAAAGGCAGTGTGGACCCAAACAGCGAGCAGCAGTAAGACTTATTGCAAAGAGAAAAAGAACAAAGCAACCACAGCATGAAAGACAACCCAAGTTGCCACTGCTAGCTGGGGCAACCTGCTTTTATTCCCTTATCTGGCCCCACCCACATCCTGCTGATTGGTCCATTTTACAGAGAGCTGACAGGTCTGTTTTACAGAGAGCTGATTGGCCCATTTTGACAGGGTGCTGATTGGTGTGTTTACAATCCCCGAGCTAGACACAAAAGTTCTCCAAGTCCCCACAGAGCACTGATTGGTGCATTTACAAACCTTGAGCTAGACACAGGGTGCTGACTGGTGTATTTACAAACCTTGAGCTAGACACAGAGTGCTGATTGGTGTATTTACAATCCCTTAGCCAGACATAAAGGTTCTCCAAGTCCCCACCAGATTAGCTAGATACAGAGTGCTGATTGGTGCAATTACAAACCCTGAGCTAGACACAGGGTGCTGATTGATGCATTTACAATCCCTCAGCTAGACATAAAGGCTCTCCAAGTCCCCACTAGACTCAGGAGCCCAGCTGGCTTCAGGCAGTGGAACCCGCAGGGGGTCAGAGGTAGAGCTGCCCACCAGTCCCTTGCCACACGCCTGGACTCCTCAGCCCTCTTGGCTTGGGCAGTCGATGGGACCAGGCGTCGTGGAGCAGTGGGTGGCGCTCATGAGGGAGGCTCGGGCGGAGCAGGAGCCCAGGGCAGGGGGAAGCCTCAGGCATGGGGGGCTGCAGGTCCTGAGCCCTGCCCAGCCGGGAGGCAGCTGAAGCCCCGCGAGAATTCGAGTGCAGCGCTGGCGGGCCGGCACTGCTGGGGGACCCGGCACACCCTCCACAGCTGCTGGCCCGGGTGCTAAGCCCCTCAACTGCCTGGGGCCGGTGGCACCGGCTGTCCGCTCTGAGTGCGGGGGCCCACGCCCACCCGGAACTCGCGCTGTCCCACGAGCCCCTTGCGCACAGCCCGGGTTCCCGCCCGCGCCTCTCCCTCCACACCTTTAGCAAGCAGAAGGAGCTGGCTCCAGCCTCGGCCAGCCCAGAGAGGGACTCCCACAGTGCGGTGGTGGGCTGAAGAGCTCCTCAAGCGCGGCCAGAGTGGACGCGGAGGCCCAGGAGGCACCGAGAGCAAGCGAGGGCTGCCAGCACGCTGTCACCTCTCAGCAGCTTCTTTTTTTTTTGAGACAGGGCCTTGCTTTGTCTCCCAGGCTGGAGTGTAGTGGCGCTAACAGCTCAGTGCAGCCTCCTGGAATCAAGCAATCTTCCCACCTCAGCCTCCTGAGTAGCTGGGACCACGGGTGCACACCACCAAGTCCTGCTAATTAAAAAAATTTTTTTTCTTTTCTTCTTTTTGAGACGGAGTTTCCCTCTTGTTGCCCAGGCTGGAGTGCAATGGTACAATCTCGGCTCACTGCAACCTCCGCCTCTCAGATTCAAGCAAGTCTCCTGCCTCAGCCTCCCAAGTAGCTGGGATTACAGGCATGTGTCACCATGCCCACCTAATTTTGTATTTTTAGTAGAGACGGGTTTCACTATGTTGGTCAAGCTGGTCTTGAACTCCCGACCTCAGGTGATCCACCTGCCTCAGCCTCCCAAAGTGCTGGGATTACAGGCGTGAGCCACCACACTTAGGCTTTTTTTTTTTTTTTTTTTGAAACAGACTCTCACTCTTTTGCCCAGGCTGGAGTGCAGTGGTGGGATCTTTGGCTCACTACAACCTCTGCCTCCTGTTCTCAAGTATTTCTCGTGCCTCAGCCTCCTGAGTAGCTGGGATTCAAGTGTGCACCACCACACCGAGCTAATTTTTTGTATTTTTAGTAGAGGCAGGCTCTCCCTATGTTGCCCAGGCTGGTTTCAAACTGCTGGCCTTGTGCAATCCACCCACCTCAGCCTCCTGAAGTTCTGGGATGACAAGTGTGAGCCACCACACCTGGCCTTAATCACCCCTTTAAAGACCCTGTATCCGGCCTGGCATGGTGGCTCACGCCTGTAATCCCAGCACTTTGGGAGGCCAAGGTGGGTGGATCACCTGAGGTCAAGAGTTCGAGACTAGCCTGGCCAACATAGTGAAACTCTGTCTCTACTAAAAATACAAAAATTAGCTGGGCGTGGTGGTGAGCGCCTGTAATCCCAGCTACTTGGGAGGCTGAGGCAGGAAAATGACTTGAACCCGGGAGGCGGAGGTTGCAGTGAGCCGAGATCGCGCCACTGTACTCCAGCCTGGTGGCAGAGCAAGACTCTGTCTCAAAAAAAAAAAAAAAGAAATTAACCGCTGCTCACAGCTGTGCTAGCTTACAGGAACAAAGGCCAAGTGCCAATAACCACAAATGAGCCACAAGATGAGAGCTGACCTCAGCAGTGCTCCATAGGCCTGATTCCTCACTCCACTGGCATAATAAAATCTCCACAGCCAGGGTGCACTGGCTCCCAGCTGTCATCCAAGCACTTTGGGAGGGTGAGAAAGGCGGCTGGTCTCAAACTCCTGACTTCAAGTGATCACCCACACCTCAGCCTCCCAAAGTGCTGAGATTACAGGCGTAAGCCACCACACCCGGACTATAACATCCATTCTTTTAGGGAGCCCCAGAACCTGTGAAATTAATCTCTGCTCTGGCCGGGCATGGTGGCTCACACCTGTAATCCCAGCACTTTGGGAGGCTGAGGCGGGTGGATCACGAGGTCAGGACATCGAGACCAGCCTGGCCAACATGGTGAAACCTGGTGTCTACTAAAGATACAAAAAAGTAGCCAGGCATGGTGGTGTGTGCCTGTAATCCTAGCTATTTAGGAGGCTGAGGCAGGAGAAATGCTTGAACCTGGGAGGCAGAGGTTGCAGTGAGCCGAGATCACACCATTGCACTCCAGCCTGGGCAACAGGGCGACACTCTGTCTCAAAAAAAAAGAAATTAACCCCTGCTCACAGCTGTGCTAGTTTACAGGCATGAAGGCCGGATGCCATTAACCACAACTGAGCCACAAGATGAGAGCTGACCTCAGCAGTGCTCCATCTGCCTGAATCCTCACTCCATGGGCAGAGTAAAATCTCCACAGCCAGGGCACAATGGCTCCAAGCTGTCATCCCAGCATTTTGGGAGTGTGAGGAGGGAGGATTGCTTAAGTCAGAGAGTTCAAGACCACCCTGGGCAACATGGTAAGACCCTCTCTTGGCCTGTAATCCCAGCACTTCAGGAGGCCAAGGTGGGCAGATCACGAGGTCAGGAGTTTGAGACCACCCTGGCCAACATGGTGAAACCCTGTCTCTACTAAAAATACAAAAAAAAAAAAAATTAGCCGGGTGTGGTGGCACGCGCCTGTTACTACTCAGGAGGCTGAGGCAGGAGAATTGCTTGAACCCGAGAGTCAGAAGTTGCAGTGAGCTGAGATTGTGCCACTGCACTCCAGCCTGAGCGACACAGCGAGACTCAGTCTCAGAAAAAAAAAAAAAAGACCCTCTCTCTACAAAAAATAATGTAAAAATTAGCCGGGCGTGGTGATGCATGCCTGTAGTCCCACCTACTTGGGAAGCTGAGGCAGGAGGATTGCTTGAGCTCAGAAGGTCGAGGCTGCAGTGAGCTACGATCGCACCACTGTACTTCAGCCTGAGCAACAGAGTGAGGTGCTGTTTCAAAAAAAAAAAAAAAAAAAAGCTGGGATTATATGGGTCACACCTATAATCCCAGCTACTCAGGAGGCTAAGGCAGGAGAATTGCTTGAACCTGGGAGGCGGAGGTGGCAGTGAGCTGAGATCGCCCCACTGCACTCCAGCCTGGGTGACTGATCGAGACTCTGTCTCAAAAAAAGAAAAACCAAAAAAAAAAAGTCTTCAGTGGGGAGAGGTGCACTTTGCTAAGCACATATAATGCCAGGTACAAAAGAAAAGAAAGGCTGAACACTTCAGTGCCCCCTAGAAAGCCCCACCTCTTTCCAGGAATCCCCACCCCCAGTCTGCATCTACATGCCCTAGGAAACTTTAAAACTCCCCTCATCACACCTGCAGGGAGTAGGCACTTTGAGCAGGAGTTCCTCCCTTTCTCCATTCATTGATTGACGAATAAAGTTTCTATCTTGCTTTACTGAACCTGGTCTTGTTCTGTTGGTGCAAATGGCAACCCGCAGAGAAAGGACTCATTAGTCTCAAACAATCCCCTTAAGAGTGGGTAACAGCGGACACCATGGCTCACACCTGTGATCCCAGTGCTTTGGGAGGCTAGGGTGGGAGGATCACTTGAGCTGAGGAGTTAAGAGACCAGCCTGGGCAACGTAGAAAGACCTCATCTCTAAAAAAAAAAAAAAAAAAAAAAAAAAGGCAGAGGGGAGGGGGGCGGGCGTGGTGTCTCACGCCTGTAACCCCTGCACTTTGGGAGGCCAAGGCAGGCAAATCACCTGAGGTCGGGAGTTTGAGACCAGCCTGACCAACATGGAGAAGCCCCGTCTCTACTAAAAATACAAAAAATTAGCCAGGCATGATGGCACATGCCTATAATCCCAGCTACTCGGGAGGCTGAGGCAGGAGAATCACTTGAACCCAGGAGGCAAAGTTTGCCGAGATGGAGCCATTGCACTCCAGCCTGGGCAACAAGAGGGAAACTCCACCAAAAAAAAAAAAAAAAAAAAAAAAAAAAAAAAAAAAAAGGCGAGGGGGAGGAGGGAGACTTTAAAAAAAGAAAAATAAAAAAAGTTTTTTTTGGCCAGGCACTGTGGCTCACGCCTGTAATCCCAGTACTTTGGAAGGCCGAGGTGAGCGGATTGCCTGAGGTCAGGAGTTCGAGACCAGTCTGGCCAACATGGTGAAACCCCGTGTCTACTACAAATAGAAAACAAATTCGCCTGATGTGTTAGTGCAGGCCTGTAGTCCCAGGTACTCAGGAGGCTGAGACGGGAGAATCGCTTGAACCCGGGAGGCAGAGGTTGCAGTGAGCCGAGATTGCACCACTGCACTCCAGCCAGGTAGACAGAGCAAGGCTCCGTCTCAAAAATAAATAAATAAATAAATAAATAAATAAATAATGTTTTTGAGATAGTCTCAAAAGGGTGTTCAGGCCCTTATGTGTTCCCCCCACTCACACACACACACACACACACACACACACACACACACACACACAGGATCTGGGCTGACCTGGACTCCACTGAATCCACAGAATACAGCATCGGCAACATTGACCCAGCAGTCTCTCTGCTTTGTGTGTTGGGGAACCCCAAGTCACCGTGGCAGGAGTGTGGCCACCTTGCTCAGGAGTCCACGTGGAGAGGCCACATGGAGAGGTCAGCTATCCCAGACATGACAGACCTTCTGGATGGGACATCCAGCCAGCCCGGCCCCCAGATGATGGCAGCCACTGTCACATGGAACAAATGAACCCCCAGTGAGCCTGGTCAGCCCAGAGCCAGGAGAGAGGATGCGACAACAGGTGTTTGGAGCCAGTGGGCATGGGGCGGTTTGCTCCACTGAGAACAAGAATGCATGACAGTCAGGACGGTCCAGAGCCTAGAGGTCCACTTAGGTGGCATGTGGCACCCACACCAGCCTCACAGCCGGGCACACATATCCCTGACATACCCTGTTGTCCGTCGAGGCTGACTCGTGACAGAGAAAACGTTAGAGAAAAAACCTGGCTGGATGCAGTGGCTCACACCTGTAATCCCAACGCTGTGGGGGGCCGAGGTGGGAGAATTCCTTGAGATCAGGTGTTGGAGGCCAGCCTGGGCAACATAGACCAACCCTGACTTTACAAAAATAAAAAATTAGCTGGGTGTGATACATGTGACTGTAATCCCAAAACTCGGGAGACTGAGGCAGGAGGATTTTTCTTTTTTTTGAGATGGAGTCTTGCTCTTGTCACCCAGGCTGGAGTGCAATGGCAGGATCTTGGCTCTCTGCAACCTCTGCCTCCCAGGTTCAAGCAATTCTCTTGCCTCAGCCTCCCAAGTAGCTGGGATTACAGGCGCCTGCCACCACACCCGGCTAATATTTCTATTTTTAGTAGAGATGTGGTTTCACCATGTTGGCCAGGCTGGTCTCGAACTCCTCACCTCAGGTGATCCGCCCACCTTGGCCTCCCAAAGTGCTGGGATTACAGGCATGAGCCACCGTGCCCAGCCCAGGCAGATCTCTTGATCCCAGTTCAAGGCTGCAGTGAGCTGTGATCACACTACTGCACTCCAACCTGGGCAACAGGTCCATCTGAGTCCATCTCTAACGGTCCCAGGGAGGTCACTCCCCTGCAAGGAGGCTACTGTGGCCCCCAACATCCCATTCAGAGATTTAGAAGCTGAGGATAAGGGAGGAACTTTGCCCTGTCACCCAGAAGTCAGGGTGTGAATTAACTTTACCGGTCACCAACCTTTTTGGCAGCAGGGACTGGTTTCATGGAAGACAATTTTTCCACGGACCAGGGGTGGGGATGGTTTCAGGATGATTCAAGTACATTACTTGTTTTTGTTTGTTTTTTGAGACAGTCTTGCTGTGACACGCAGGCTGGAATGCAGTGGCCTGATCACGGCTCACTGCAGCCTGGACCTCCCAGGCTCAAGCAATCCTCCTACTTCAGCCTCCCAAGTAGCTGAGACTACAAGTGCACACCACCACCCACAGCTAGTTAAAAAAAAATGTATAGGCCAGGCACAGTGGTTCACGCCTGTAATCCCAGCACTTTAGGAGGCCGAGGCGGGCGGATCACCTGAGGTCGGGAGTTCAAGACCAGCCTGACCAACATGGAGAAACCCCTTATCTACTAAAAATACAAAATTAGCCAGGTGGGGTGGCACATGCCTGTAATCCCAGCAACAAGAACGAAACTCTGTCTCAAAAAAAAAAAAAAAAAAAAAATTTGCAGAGATCCCTATGATGCCCAGGATAAATAATAAAACCTTTTTTTTCTTTTTTGAGACAGAGTCTCACTCTGTCACCCAGGCTGCAGTACAATGGCGTGATCTCAGCTCACTGCAATTTCCACCTCCCAGGTTCAAGCGATTCTCCTGTCTCAGCCTCCCGAGTAGCTGGGATTACAGACGCCTGCCACCACACCCAACCAATTTTTTGTATTTTTGGTAGAGACAGGGTTTCACCATATTGGCCAGGCTGGGGGGGAGGGAAAAAAAAGAGGGAAAGGGGGAGAATATCCAATTTCTTTTATTTTTAAATTTTTTATTTTAGAGACAGGGTTTTGCTCTGTTGCCCAGGCTGGAATGCAGTGGTGTGATCACAGATCACTGCAGCTTCCAACACTTGGGCTCAAGCAATCCTCCTGCCTCAGGCTTCCCAGTAGCTAGGATGACAGGTGCACACAACCACACCCAGCTAATTTTTTTATTTTTGGTAGAGATTAGGCCTTGCTATGTTGTCCAGGATGATCTGAATCTCCTAGCCTCAAACCATCCTCCCACCTCGGCCTCCCAAGCACTAGGATTACATGTGTGAGTCACCAAAATGAGTACAGGGCTTCCTTTTGGGGTCATGAAAATATTCTGGCAGTAGATAGATATGGTTGCACTGCACTGTGAATGTACCAAATGCCACTGAATCATTCACTTCACAATGGTTAATTTTATGTTATATGAATTTCACTTTGATAAAAACAGATGTGGCCGGGCACAATGGCTCATGCCTGTAATCCCAGCACTTGAGAGGCCAAGGCCAGTCGATCACCTGAGGTCAGGAGTTCCAGACCAGCCTAACCAATATGGTGAAACCCCATCTCGAATCTCTACTAAAAATACAAAAATTAGCCAGGCATGGTAGCATGCACCTGTTGTCCCAGCTACAGGAGGCTGAGACAGAAGAATTGCTTGAACCTGGGAGGTGGAGGTTGCAGTGAGCCAAGATCACACCACTGCACTCCAGCACTCCAGGTTGGATGACCGAGCACGACTCCATCTCAAAAAAAAAAAAAAAAAAAAAAAAAAAAAAAAAAAAAAAGAGGAAGCCAGGCACTGTGGCTAAATTCTATCATCCCAGCCCTTTGGGAGGCCAAGGCAGGTGGATGACTTGAGGCTAGGAGCTTGAGACCAGCCTGGGCAACATAATGAGACCCCATCTCACAAACAAAAAAGATTTCTTGGCCAGGAATGGTGGCTGACGCCTGTAACCCCAGCACTTTGAGAGTCTGAGGCAGGTGGATCACAAGGTCAGGAGTTCAAGACCAGCCTAGCAAACATAGTGAAAACCCCATCTCTACTAAAGATACAAAAAATTAGCTGGGCGTGGTGGCACGTGCCTGTAATGCCAGCTACTCGGGAGGCTAAGGCAGGAGAATCACTCTAACCCAGGAGGCAGAAGTTGCAGTGAGCTGAGATCACAGCACCACTGCACTCCAGCCTAGGCAACAGAGCGAGACTCTGTCTCAAAAACAAAAAACAAGAACAAAAACAAACAACAGTTCTAGAGATGGGTGGTGGTGATGAGTGCACAACATTGTAAAAATACTGAATACCTTTGAAGCCCACCTTAAAATTGTTAAAGTGGTCAATTTTATGTTATTTTTAGGTATAATACTTACGTACTTTTTGTATTTTTTTCTATTATGTATTGATATGTATATTTAACAGTAGAAAAAAAATGATGGTCACTCGATCGGAAACAGAAAAGGTTAAAGCAAAAGTAAAATGCATGAAAACCAGGGAGAACTGCCAGATAAGCACATGGTCAGTGACCCTGGATTAGCCCGAGGCTGACTGGGTGTTGGACATGGGGAACGACCACCACCTAGGGGCAACTTGCCATCTGCCGCTATGTTCTTTCTGGGACTTGGAAAAACATGCATTACTAGGAACTTCCCCTACTGTTATTCCCTGTTTCCCCCGCCACCCCGCCCGAGACAGAGTCTTACTCTGTCTCCTAAGCCGGAGTGCAATGGGCGATCTCGGCTCACTGCAACACCCGCTTCCCGGGTCCAAGCGATCCTCCTGTCTCAGCCTCCTGAGAAGCTGGGATTATAGGCACAGGCCACCATGCCTGGCTAATGTTTGTATTTTTAGTAAAGACGGGATTTCGCCACGTTGGTCAGGCTGGTCTCGAGCTCCTGACCTCAAGTGATCCGACAGCCTTGGCCTCCCAAAGTGCTGGGATTACAGACGTCAGCCACCGCACCCGGCCTGTTATTTCCTCTTAATACTGACATCATCCTCCTGTTTACCAATCTTTGTCACAGACCAGGTGGCATCTCTGAGAAAACAGAAATCAGCAGGAGAGACCTTCCAGAGCCACTGCCCTCCATCAACCTGCAGACCTGCATCAGGACCCAGACGCAGTGGCTCTTCCTCTTGCCCTGTGAGAATCAATTTGCCCTGGATGCAGCAAAACCACGCCCCCTTCTCCACCAACTCCTCCACCCCTTCATGGGCCTAGACAAGCACCTACCTCAACAACCTCCCCGCACCCCTGGAGCATTCCTATCAGCACACAAATAGGTTGATGCATTTTTCCCTCCTTTGTTTTTATTATTAAGGTGAAACTCACACGGCATAAAATTAACCTTTGTTTTTTTTCCTTTTTTTTTTTTTGAGACTGAGTCTCGCTGTATTGCCCAGGCTGGAGTGCAGTGGCGCGATCTCGGCTCACTGCAACCTCTGCCTCCCAGGTTCAAGCGATTCTCCTGCCTCAGCCTCTCAAGTAGCTGGGACCACAGGCTCGTGCCACGACACCTGGCCAATTATTGTATTTTTAGTAGAGACAGGGTTTTGCTATGTTGGCCAGGCTGGTCTCAAACTCCTGACCTCAAGTGATCCATCTGCTTCAGCTTCCCAAAGTGCTGGGATTACAGGTATGAGCCACCATGCCCAGACCCTTCTTTTTTTGAGAGAGAGAGAGAGACACAGACAGACAGAGTCTTTGTCACCCAGGCTGGAGTGTAGTGACTAGATCTCAGCTTACCACAACCTCCACCGCCCGCCTCAGCCTCCTGAGTAGCTGGGACTACAGGCACACGCCACCATACCCTGCTAATTTTTGTATTTTTTGTACAGAAAGGGTCTTTCTATGTTGCCTAGGCTGGTCTTGAACTCCTGGCCTCAAGGGATCCTCCTGCCTTGACCTCTCAAATTCATTTTCTTCTGAGGGCTTCTATTCCATGCAAAACTTCTATTAAGTAAATCTGTATCCTCTCCTGTTAACCTGTTTTTGTTTGTTTTGTTTTCTGAGACAGTCTTGCTCTGTCACCCGGGCTAGAACACAGTGGCACAATCTCAGCTCACTGCGACCTCCGCCTCCAGGGTTCAAGCAATTCTCCTGCCTCAGCCTCCCGAGTAGCTGGGATAACAGGCACCAGCCAGCACGCCCAGCTAATTTTTTGTATTTTTAGTAGAGATGGGGTTTCACCATGTTGGCCAGGCTGGTCTCAAACTCCTGACCTCGTGATTTGTCGACCTCGTGATTTGCCCGCCTCGGCCTCCCAAAGTGCTGGGATTACAGGCGTGAGCCACTGTGCCATGCCTGGCCCTATTTTTTTTTTTTTGGTAGGGGGAGATGGAGTTTCCTCTTGTTGCCCAGGCTGGAGTACAGTGGTACAATCTTGGCTCACCACAACCTCCGCTTCCTGGGTTCAAGCAATTTCCTGCCTCAGCCTCCCAAGTAGCTGAGATTACAGGTGCCCACCATGACACCTGGCTAATTTTTGTATTTTTAGTAGAGACAGGGTTTCACCATGTTGGTCAGGCTGGTCTCGAACTCCCGACCTCAGGTGATCCAGCTGCCTTGGCCTCCAAAAGTGCTGGAATTACAGGCGTGAGCCACCACGCCCTGCCTGTTAACCCATTTTATGTCAACTTAATAATTCTCAGGCCTAGAGGGATCCTAAGAGAACAGAGGTGAATTTTTGCTGCCGGACCTGCTGCTATGAACTTTAATCTATGAGTTTTTTTTTTTTTCTCGAGTTAGTATCTTGCTCTGCTGCCCAGGTTGGAGTGCAGTGGCAAGATCAGGGCTCACTGCAGCCTCAACCTTCTGGCCTCAAGCATTCCACCTAGTTCAGCCTCCTGAGTAGCTGGGACTACAGGCAGGCACCACCACACCCAAATAATTTTTGTATTTCTTGTAGAGATGAGGTCTCACTATGTTCCCAGGCTGGTCTCAAATTTTCGGGCTGAAGTCATCCACCCACCTTGGCGTCTCAAAGTGCTGGGATTACAGGCGTGAACCATCACGCCCAACCCTTTTTCCTTTTTAAGATACAGCAGGGTCTCACTCTGTTGCCCTGGCTGGAGCACAGTGGTACAATAATAGCTCACTCCAGCCTTGACCTCCGGGACTCAAGCAATCCTCCCATCTCAGCCTCCCAACTAGCTAGGATTAAACATGTGAGCCACCATGCCCCGCTTCCATCTCTTTTTCATTTTGTTTTGTTTTTTGTACAGAATATTGCTCTGTTGCCCAGGTTGGAGTGCAGTGGCATGATCTCTGCTCACTGCAACCTTCTCCCAGGTTCAAGCGATTCTCCTGCCTCAGCCACCCGTGTAGCTGGGATTACAGGCACCCGCCACCACACCCGGCTAAATTTTTCATTTTTACAAGAGACCGGGTTTCACCATGTTGGCCAGGGTGGTCTTGAACTCCTGACCTCAAGGGATCTGCCCGCTTCAACCTCCCAAAGTGTTGGGATTACAGGCGTGAGCCACCGCACCCAACTTTTCATCTGTTTTCTGATTCTTCCTTAGCTCCAAAACATCTAAGGTTTGGCTGCATTCACTCCTCTCCAGCCCACAGACGCCCAACTGGGCCAATTCCCAAATTCATCATTCTAGCCCAAACCCTAGGGTCCAGTGCCTTCTCAGCCTCTGCCACAAGGGGTCCTCGCAGGCCGCTCCAGTGTTGCAGGTCCCAATCTGGACTCCTAGGGGTTTCCCACCCAAGCCTTGTCCGAGCGTCCTCTCCCTCTCAGTTAGCACCATCTTCCCAGGCTCTGCTCTGACAGTTCTGAGGCATCCACGCCTCCTCCCACCTGCATCCAATGTGTCTGCCAATCCTACAGCCCCCATCGCCTTTTCCTTCAAAACAGACCTAGAAGCCAGTTATCACTGACCACCTGCACTTGCCAGCTAGGTCCAGCCCCTTCCTGACTTCTGGGGATCAGTGCAGTTGTCCCCTCCCTGGTCTCCCTGCAGGTTCTGTTCTCCCCACTGCAACCAGAAACACCTTCTCTTTTTTTTTTTTTTTTTTTTTTTGAGACAGAGTTTTGCTCTTGTTGCCCAGGCTGGAGTGCAATGGTGCAATCTTGGCTCACTGCAACCTCCGCCTCCCGGGTTCAAGCGATTCTCCTGCCTCAGCCTCCCTAGTAACTGGGATTACAGGTGTCTGCCACCACGCCCGGCTAATTTTTTGTATTTTTAGTAAAGACGGGGTTTCACTATGTTGGTCAGGCTGGTCTCGAACTCCTGACCTCAGGTGACCCACCCACCTCAGCCTCCCAAAGTGCTGGAATTACAGGCGTGAACCACCACGCCCAGCTCTTTCGTTTTCTTTTGAGACAGAGTCTCGCTCTGTCGCCCTGGCTGGAGTACAATGGCATGACCTCGGCTCACTGCAGCCTCTTGCCTCCCAGGTTCAAGCGATTCTCCTGCCTCAGCCTCCTGAGTAGCTGGAATTACAGGCATGCACCACCATGCCTGGCTAGTTTTGTACTTTTAGTAGACCGGGTTCGACCATGTTGGCCAGGCTGGTCTCGACCTCTCAAAGTGCTGGGATTACAGGAGTGAATCTCCGCACCAGCTTTTTTTTTTTTTTTTTTTTTTTTTTGAGACAGGAACTTGCTGTCACCCAGGCTGGAGTGCATTGGCGGATTTCGGCTCACTGCAGCCTCTGCCTCCCAGGTTCAAGCAATTCTTCTGCCTCAGCCTCCTGAGTAGCTAGGATTACAGGCATGCACTACACCACATCCAGCTAATTTTTTTTTTTTTTTTTTTTAAAGACAGTTTCCCTCTTGTTACCCAGGCTGGAGTACAATGACAAGATCTCGGCTCACTGCAACCTCTGCCTCCTGGGTTCAAGCAGTTCTCTAGCATCAGTCTCCCAAGTAGCTGGGATTACAGGCGCCTGCCACCACACCCAGCTAATTTTTGTATTTTTAGGAGAGACAGGGTTTCACCATGTTGGCCAGGATGGTCTAGAACTCCTGACCTCAGGTGATCTGCCCACCTCAGCCTCCCAAAGTGCTGGGACTACAGGCATGAACCAGTGCACCCAGCTGCTAATTTATTTTAGTAGAGATGGGGTTTTGCCATGTTGTCCAGGCTGGTCTCGAACTCCAGTCCTCAGGCGATCCACCTGCCTTGATCTCCCAAAGTCCTGAGATTACAAATGTGAGCCACCGGGCTCAGCCCTATTTTTTCAGGGCTATTTTGTTCATGGTTAGAACCAGGAACAGCACTGATACATAGTAGCATTCAACAGATATATTTTATTGTTGTTTTCTAGAGACAGGATCTTGCTCCATTGCCCAGGCTGGAGTGCAATGGGTGATCATAGCTCACTGTAGCCTCCATCTCCCAGGCTCAAGCAATCCTCCCACCTCAGCCTCCTAAGTAGCTGCAACTACAGAAACTTCAGGTATGTGCCACCATGCCCAGCTATTTTTTTTGTTTGTTTTTTAGTATAAATGAGATCTCACTATATTGCCCAGGCTGATCTCCAACACCTGGGTTCAAACAGTCCTCATGCCTCAGCCTCCCAGAGTGCTTGGATAACAAGTGTGAGCCGCTGCACCTGACCATCAACAAGTATCTTTTTTAACCAGCTTTTACCAGTCGGGGTCTGGCCATGTTGACCAATCTGTATGAAACATTTTTTTGTTTTGTTTTAAATTAGCTGGGCACAGTGGCGCAGACCTGTAGTCCCAGCTAATCAGGAGGCTGAGGCGGGAAGATCTCTTAAGCCTGGGAGGTTGAGGCTACAGTGAGCTATAATTCTATAACTGCACCACCGTACTCCAGCTTGGGAGCCAAAGCAAGACCCTGTCTCTAAGGAAGAAAAAAATGAAAAAAAGAGTTTCTGAGCTATCATACTAGCTTCAGTTTGCTAGGGTGGCCATAACAAAATACCACAGCTTGGGTAGGTTAAAAACAGAAACTTACATTTCTGGAGGCTGACGTCCAAGATTAAGATGTCATCAGGGTTGGTTTCTGCTTTTCATTTTTGAAACGGAGTCTTGCTCTGCTACCTAGGCTGGAGTGCAGTGGCACCATCTTGGTTGCACTGCAACCTCCACCTCCCAGATTCAAGCAATTCTCGTGCCTCAGCTTCCAGAGTAGCCCCAGGTTCAAGCAATTCTCGTCCCTCAGCTTCTCGAGTAGCTGGGATTACAGGCGCCCACCACCACGCCCGGCTAATTTTTCTATTTTTAGTAGAGATGGGGTTTTGCCGTATTTCCGGGATGGTCTCTAAATCCTGACCTCAAATGATCACGCCTGGGATTACATGCGTGAGCCACCGCACCCGGCCCAGAGCTGGTTTCTACTGAGCCCCCTTGCTTTGTCTTACAGAGCCGCGGCCGCCTCCTGTGTGCCCTCACATGCTCTCTTCTCTGCATGCACCCTTCGTATTTCTTAGTGTCCATATTTCTTCTTCTTGTAGGGACACCAGGCAGATTGGATGAGGACCCGATGTAGCAGTGTATCCAGAATTGGTGGGGTCTTGGTCTCACTGACTTCAAGAATGAAGCCACAGACCCTCGCGGTGAATGTTACAGTTCTTAAAGGCAGCGTGTCCACAGTTTGTTCCTTCTGATGTTCGGATGTGTTCGTAGTTTCCTCCTTCTGGTGGGTTCGTGGTCTTTCCGGCTCAGGAGTGTAGCTACAGACCTTTTGCAGTGAGTGTTACAGCTCATAAAGGCAGTGTGGACCCAAACAGCGAGCAGCAGTAAGACTTATTGCAAAGAGAAAAAGAACAAAGCAACCACAGCATGAAAGACAACCCAAGTTGCCACTGCTAGCTGGGGCAACCTGCTTTTATTCCCTTATCTGGCCCCACCCACATCCTGCTGATTGGTCCATTTTACAGAGAGCTGACCGGTCTGTTTTACAGAGAGCTGATTGGCCCATTTTGACAGGGTGCTGATTGGTGTGTTTACAATCCCCGAGCTAGACACAAAAGTTCTCCAAGTCCCCACAGAGCACTGATTGGTGCATTTACAAACCTTGAGCTAGACACAGGGTGCTGACTGGTGTATTTACAAACCTTGAGCTAGACACAGAGTGCTGATTGGTGTATTTACAATCCCTTAGCCAGACATAAAGGTTCTCCAAGTCCCCACCAGATTAGCTAGATACAGAGTGCTGATTGGTGCAATTACAAACCCTGAGCTAGACACAGGGTGCTGATTGATGCATTTACAATCCCTCAGCTAGACATAAAGGCTCTCCAAGTCCCCACTAGACTCAGGAGCCCAGCTGGCTTCAGGCAGTGGAACCCGCAGGGGGTCAGAGGTAGAGCTGCCCACCAGTCCCTTGCCACACGCCTGGACTCCTCAGCCCTCTTGGCTTGGGCAGTCGATGGGACCAGGCGTCGTGGAGCAGTGGGTGGCGCTCATGAGGGAGGCTCGGGCGGAGCAGGAGCCCAGGGCAGGGGGAAGCCTCAGGCATGGGGGGCTGCAGGTCCTGAGCCCTGCCCAGCCGGGAGGCAGCTGAAGCCCCGCGAGAATTCGAGTGCAGCGCTGGCGGGCCGGCACTGCTGGGGGACCCGGCACACCCTCCACAGCTGCTGGCCCGGGTGCTAAGCCCCTCAACTGCCTGGGGCCGGTGGCACCGGCTGTCCGCTCTGAGTGCGGGGGCCCACGCCCACCCGGAACTCGCGCTGTCCCACGAGCCCCTTGCGCACAGCCCGGGTTCCCGCCCGCGCCTCTCCCTCCACACCTTTAGCAAGCAGAAGGAGCTGGCTCCAGCCTCGGCCAGCCCAGAGAGGGACTCCCACAGTGCGGTGGTGGGCTGAAGAGCTCCTCAAGCGCGGCCAGAGTGGACGCGGAGGCCCAGGAGGCACCGAGAGCAAGCGAGGGCTGCCAGCACGCTGTCACCTCTCAGCAGCTGCTTTTTTTTTTTTTTTTTTTTTTTTTTTGAGACAGGGCCTTGCTTTGTCTCCCAGGCTGGAGTGTAGTGGCGCTAACAGCTCAGTGCAGCCTCCTGGAATCAAGCAATCTTCCCACCTCAGCCTCCTGAGTAGCTGGGACCACGGGTGCACACCACCAAGTCCTGCTAATTAAAAAAATTTTTTTTCTTTTCTTCTTTTTGAGACGGAGTTTCCCTCTTGTTGCCCAGGCTGGAGTGCAATGGTACAATCTCGGCTCACTGCAACCTCCGCCTCTCAGATTCAAGCAAGTCTCCTGCCTCAGCCTCCCAAGTAGCTGGGATTACAGGCATGTGTCACCATGCCCACCTAATTTTGTATTTTTAGTAGAGACGGGTTTCACTATGTTGGTCAAGCTGGTCTTGAACTCCCGACCTCAGGTGATCCACCTGCCTCAGCCTCCCAAAGTGCTGGGATTACAGGCGTGAGCCACCACACTTAGGCTTTTTTTTTTTTTTTTTGAAACAGACTCTCACTCTTTTGCCCAGGCTGGAGTGCAGTGGTGGGATCTTTGGCTCACTACAACCTCTGCCTCCTGTTCTCAAGTATTTCTCGTGCCTCAGCCTCCTGAGTAGCTGGGATTCAAGTGTGCACCACCACACCGAGCTAATTTTTTGTATTTTTAGTAGAGGCAGGCTCTCCCTATGTTGCCCAGGCTGGTTTCAAACTGCTGGCCTTGTGCAATCCACCCACCTCAGCCTCCTGAAGTTCTGGGATGACAAGTGTGAGCCACCACACCTGGCCTTAATCACCCCTTTAAAGACCCTGTATCCGGCCTGGCATGGTGGCTCACGCCTGTAATCCCAGCACTTTGGGAGGCCAAGGTGGGTGGATCACCTGAGGTCAAGAGTTCGAGACTAGCCTGGCCAACATAGTGAAACTCTGTCTCTACTAAAAATACAAAAATTAGCTGGGCGTGGTGGTGAGCGCCTGTAATCCCAGCTACTTGGGAGGCTGAGGCAGGAAAATGACTTGAACCCGGGAGGCGGAGGTTGCAGTGAGCCGAGATCGCGCCACTGTACTCCAGCCTGGTGGCAGAGCAAGACTCTGTCTCAAAAAAAAAAAAAAAGAAATTAACCGCTGCTCACAGCTGTGCTAGCTTACAGGAACAAAGGCCAAGTGCCAATAACCACAAATGAGCCACAAGATGAGAGCTGACCTCAGCAGTGCTCCATAGGCCTGATTCCTCACTCCACTGGCATAATAAAATCTCCACAGCCAGGGTGCACTGGCTCCCAGCTGTCATCCAAGCACTTTGGGAGGGTGAGAAAGGCGGCTGGTCTCAAACTCCTGACTTCAAGTGATCCCCCACACCTCAGCCTCCCAAAGTGCTGAGATTACAGGCGTAAGCCACCACACCCGGACTATAACATCCATTCTTTTAGGGAGCCCCAGAACCTGTGAAATTAATCTCTGCTCTGGCCGGGCATGGTGGCTCACACCTGTAATCCCAGCACTTTGGGAGGCTGAGGCGGGTGGATCACGAGGTCAGGACATCGAGACCAGCCTGGCCAACATGGTGAAACCTGGTGTCTACTAAAGATACAAAAAAGTAGCCAGGCATGGTGGTGTGTGCCTGTAATCCTAGCTATTTAGGAGGCTGAGGCAGGAGAAATGCTTGAACCTGGGAGGCAGAGGTTGCAGTGAGCCGAGATCACACCATTGCACTCCAGCCTGGGCAACAGGGCGAGACTCTGTCTCAAAAAAAAAGAAATTAACCCCTGCTCACAGCTGTGCTAGTTTACAGGCATGAAGGCCGGATGCCATTAACCACAACTGAGCCACAAGATGAGAGCTGACCTCAGCAGTGCTCCATCTGCCTGAATCCTCACTCCATGGGCAGAGTAAAATCTCCACAGCCAGGGCACAATGGCTCCAAGCTGTCATCCCAGCATTTTGGGAGTGTGAGGAGGGAGGATTGCTTAAGTCAGAGAGTTCAAGACCACCCTGGGCAACATGGTAAGACCCTCTCTTGGCCTGTAATCCCAGCACTTCAGGAGGCCAAGGTGGGCAGATCACGAGGTCAGGAGTTTGAGACCACCCTGGCCAACATGGTGAAACCCTGTCTCTACTAAAAATACAAAAAAAAAAAAAATTAGCCGGGTGTGGTGGCACGCGCCTGTACTACTCAGGAGGCTGAGGCAGGAGAATTGCTTGAACCCGAGAGTCAGAAGTTGCAGTGAGCTGAGATTGTGCCACTGCACTCCAGCCTGAGCGACACAGCGAGACTCAGTCTCAGAAAAAAAAAAAAAAAGACCCTCTCTCTACAAAAAATAATGTAAAAATTAGCCGGGCGTGGTGATGCATGCCTGTAGTCCCACCTACTTGGGAAGCTGAGGCAGGAGGATTGCTTGAGCTCAGAAGGTCGAGGCTGCAGTGAGCTACGATCGCACCACTGTACTTCAGCCTGAGCAACAGAGTGAGGTGCTGTTTCAAAAAAAAAAAAAAAAAGCTGGGTGCGGTGGGTCACACCTATAATCCCAGCTACTCAGGAGGCTAAGGCAGGAGAATTGCTTGAACCTGGGAGGCGGAGGTGGCAGTGAGCTGAGATCGCCCCACTGCACTCCAGCCTGGGTGACTGATCGAGACTCTGTCTCAAAAACAGAAAAACCAAAAAAAAAAAGTCTTCAGTGGGGAGAGGTGCACTTTGCTAAGCACATATAATGCCAGGTACAAAAGAAAAGAAAGGCTGAACACTTCAGTGCCCCCTAGAAAGCCCCACCTCTTTCCAGGAATCCCCACCCCCAGTCTGCATCTACATGCCCTAGGAAACTTTAAAACTCCCCTCATCACACCTGCAGGGAGTAGGCACTTTGAGCAGGAGTTCCTCCCTTTCTCCATTCATTGATTGACGAATAAAGTTTCTATCTTGCTTTACTGAACCTGGTCTTGTTCTGTTGGTGCAAATGGCAACCCGCAGAGAAAGGACTCATTAGTCTCAAACAATCCCCTTAAGAGTGGGTAACAGCGGACACCATGGCTCACACCTGTGATCCCAGTGCTTTGGGAGGCTAGGGTGGGAGGATCACTTGAGCTGAGGAGTTAAGAGACCAGCCTGGGCAACGTAGAAAGACCTCATCTCTAAAAAAAAAAAAAAAAAAAAAAAAAGGCAGAGGGGAGGGGGGCGGGCGTGGTGTTTCACGCCTGTAACCCCTGCACTTTGGGAGGCCAAGGCAGGCAAATCACCTGAGGTCGGGAGTTTGAGACCAGCCTGACCAACATGGAGAAGCCCCATCTCTACTAAAAATACAAAAAATTAGCCAGGCATGATGGCACATGCCTATAATCCCAGCTACTCGGGAGGCTGAGGCAGGAGAATCACTTGAACCCAGGAGGCAAAGTTTGCCGAGATGGAGCCATTGCACTCCAGCCTGGGCAACAAGAGGGAAACTCCACCAAAAAAAAAAAAAAAAAAAAAAAAAAAAAAAAAAAAAGGCGAGGGGGAGGAGGGAGACTTTAAAAAAAGAAAAATAAAAAAAGTTTTTTTTGGCCAGGCACTGTGGCTCACGCCTGTAATCCCAGTACTTTGGAAGGCCGAGGTGAGCGGATTGCCTGAGGTCAGGAGTTCGAGACCAGTCTGGCCAACATGGTGAAACCCCGTGTCTACTACAAATAGAAAACAAATTCGCCTGATGTGTTAGTGCAGGCCTGTAGTCCCAGGTACTCAGGAGGCTGAGACGGGAGAATCGCTTGAACCCGGGAGGCAGAGGTTGCAGTGAGCCGAGATTGCACCACTGCACTCCAGCCAGGTAGACAGAGCAAGGCTCCGTCTCAAAAATAAATAAATAAATAAATAAATAAATAAATAATGTTTTTGAGATAGTCTCAAAAGGGTGTTCAGGCCCTTATGTGTTCCCCCCACTCACACACACACACACACACACACACACACACACACACACACACACAGGATCTGGGCTGACCTGGACTCCACTGAATCCACAGAATACAGCATCGGCAACATTGACCCAGCAGTCTCTCTGCTTTGTGTGTTGGGGAACCCCAAGTCACCGTGGCAGGAGTGTGGCCACCTTGCTCAGGAGTCCACGTGGAGAGGCCACATGGAGAGGTCAGCTATCCCAGACATGACAGACCTTCTGGATGGGACATCCAGCCAGCCTGGCCCCCAGATGATGGCAGCCACTGTCACATGGAACAAATGAACCCCCAGTGAGCCTGGTCAGCCCAGAGCCAGGAGAGAGGATGCGACAACAGGTGTTTGGAGCCAGTGGGCATGGGGCGGTTTGCTCCACTGAGAACAAGAATGCATGACAGTCAGGACGGTCCAGAGCCTAGAGGTCCACTTAGGTGGCATGTGGCACCCACACCAGCCTCACAGCCGGGCACACATATCCCTGACATACCCTGTTGTCCGCCGAGGCTGACTCGTGACAGAGAAAACGTTAGAGAAAAAACCTGGCTGGATGCAGTGGCTCACACCTGTAATCCCAACGCTGTGGGGGGCCGAGGTGGGAGAATTCCTTGAGATCAGGTGTTGGAGGCCAGCCTGGGCAACATAGACCAACCCTGACTTTACAAAAATAAAAAATTAGCTGGGTGTGATACATGTGACTGTAATCCCAAAACTCGGGAGACTGAGGCAGGAGGATTTTTCTTTTTTTTGAGATGGAGTCTTGCTCTTGTCACCCAGGCTGGAGTGCAATGGCAGGATCTTGGCTCTCTGCAACCTCTGCCTCCCAGGTTCAAGCAATTCTCTTGCCTCAGCCTCCCAAGTAGCTGGGATTACAGGCGCCTGCCACCACACCCGGCTAATATTTCTATTTTTAGTAGAGATGTGGTTTCACCATGTTGGCCAGGCTGGTCTCGAACTCCTCACCTCAGGTGATCCGCCCACCTTGGCCTCCCAAAGTGCTGGGATTACAGGCATGAGCCACCGTGCCCAGCCCAGGCAGATCTCTTGATCCCAGTTCAAGGCTGCAGTGAGCTGTGATCACACTACTGCACTCCAACCTGGGCAACAGGTCCATCTGAGTCCATCTCTAACGGTCCCAGGGAGGTCACTCCCCTGCAAGGAGGCTACTGTGGCCCCCAACATCCCATTCAGAGATTCAGAAGCTGAGGATAAGGGAGGAACTTTGCCCTGTCACCCAGAAGTCAGGGTGTGAATTAACTTTACCGGTCACCAACCTTTTTGGCAGCAGGGACTGGTTTCATGGAAGACAATTTTTCCACGGACCAGGGGTGGGGATGGTTTCAGGATGATTCAAGTACATTACTTGTTTTTGTTTGTTTTTTGAGACAGTCTTGCTGTGACACGCAGGCTGGAATGCAGTGGCCTGATCACGGCTCACTGCAGCCTGGACCTCCCAGGCTCAAGCAATCCTCCTACTTCAGCCTCCCAAGTAGCTGAGACTACAAGTGCACACCACCACCCACAGCTAGTTAAAAAAAAATGTATAGGCCAGGCACAGTGGTTCACGCCTGTAATCCCAGCACTTTAGGAGGCCGAGGCGGGCGGATCACCTGAGGTCGGGAGTTCAAGACCAGCCTGACCAACATGGAGAAACCCCTTATCTACTAAAAATACAAAATTAGCCAGGTGGGGTGGCACATGCCTGTAATCCCAGCAACAAGAACGAAACTCTGTCTCAAAAAAAAAAAAAAAAAAAAAAATTTGCAGAGATCCCTATGATGCCCAGGATAAATAATAAAACCTTTTTTTTCTTTTTTGAGACAGAGTCTCACTCTGTCACCCAGGCTGCAGTACAATGGCGTGATCTCAGCTCACTGCAATTTCCACCTCCCAGGTTCAAGGGATTCTCCTGTCTCAGCCTCCCGAGTAGCTGGGATTACAGACGCCTGCCACCACACCCAACCAATTTTTTGTATTTTTGGTAGAGACAGGGTTTCACCATATTGGCCAGGCTGGTCTCGAACTCCTGACCTCAGGTGATCCGCCCACCTCTCGGCCTCCCAAAGTGCTGGGATTACAGGTGTGAGCCACTGTGCCCGGCCAAAACGCAGTCTCTAAAAACATAATTAAAAAATAATTAAAACAGGGTGAGTCTGAGACCATCCCAGGAAACCTGGCTTCCACTGCACTGAGGAGGAAGCCACAGTGGGTGGGGGTCCCCAGACCTGGGAATGGGAAGGCACTGCCCAAGCTCTGCTCTTCTTCCAAGAATCCTGATGTTAACGCAGACTCCCCACCCCAGCCCTGCTGCCCCTGCTCCCAAAAAGCAAGCAGCACAGTAGCTGCACACAGGGCTGGGTGTCCATGTCCCACCTTCTATGGGCTGGGCTCTCATGGAGGAGGGGCTGCAGCAGCGACCCCAGGCTGCCCAGGCCAAGGGAGACAGAGACCCAGAGGCAGGCGGAGGATGTGAAGCAACTTTAATTGCCACCCTCAGACGGGGCAGCAGGAGTGTCTTAAGCACAGGGCCGTTCTACCCCCTGGGAGCTGCCTGGGGCCAGCCCCTCAGTTCTGGCTGTGGCAGGTTCCCCATCCTAGCTCCCCGGATCTCCATAGGGAGTGTCCAGGGACCCTCAATCTCCAGGGCCACTTCTGCAGGAGCTCGGGTTCGAGGTTCCACGTGGCCAGAAGAGCTCAGGTCTCTGAGGGCTGGTGTGCCCGGGTACCCATCCGCATCACTGCTCTCCTCCTGTCCGGCTACGCCCAGGGCTGAGTGACGGTGGTGGCAAGTGCTTGTCCTCAGGGCAGCGAGGTCTTCTGTTCTGACAGCAGCAGGGACTCCTTCATGGCCACCAGTAACCCCAGTGGGCGGAGGCGCTCCTGGGCTCGGAGCCAGGACAAAAGGAGGAGGGTGGCGGTGACCAGGCTTGCACTGAGCACCGCTGTGGGGAACAGATGGACAGAGGAGTAAGGAGGGGGAAGGCAAGAGCCCCCACACCCACCAAGCTCCATACACATGGGGATGGGAGTTCTGCAGCTCATCCCTCCCCACCCACCTCCCCTGAATCCCCGGAGCTCTAAGCCCCCAGCATGGGAGGGTAAGTCCCTCTTACCAGCAGCTGCAATAACCCCATAGGCAGTTGGGCTTCCAGACTGGTCTCCGGCAGAGGAGGATGTGGCATTCCCGACAGAGGGGACACTCTCCAGGGTCACAGGGGGCCCCATGGTTGTGGCATTCCTGAGAGAGGTGACACTCTCCAGGGTCACAGGGGGCCCCATGGTTGTGGCATCCCCTTCCGGGAGGATCTCATTGGTTCCTGCAATAAGCCCAGGCGTTCAGTAGTTGAGGAGAGAGCACTGAAGGCGTGAGGGGGCCAGATGCCCAGGGGAGCCCTTGGGGTTTATCCTCAACCAACCAGGCTGGGTGAAGCTGACTGCCCGTAATTATGTCTTTTTTTTTTTTTTTTTTTGGAGAGGGAGTCTGGCTCTGCCACCCAGGCTGGAGTGCAGTGGCGCAATATTGGCTCAGTGAAACCTCTGCCTCCTGAGTTCAAACAATTATCCTGTCTTAGCCTCCCGAGTAGCTGGGATTACAGGTGCACGCCACCACGCCTAGCTAACTTTTGTATTTTTAGTAGAGACAGGATTTCGCCATGTTGGCCAGACTGGTCTCGAACACCTCACCTCAGGTGATCTGCCTGCCTCGGCCTCCCAAAGTGCTAGGATTACAGGCGTTAGCCACCGTGCCCGGCCTTTTTTAAATTTTTTTGAGACAGAGTTTTGCTGTCACCCAGACTGGTGTGCAGTGGCCCAATCTCAGCTCACTGCAACCTCTGCCTCCCAGGTTCAAGCGGTTCTCCTGACTCAGCCTCCTGAGTAGCTCGGATTACAGGTGTGTGCCACCATGCCCAGCAAATTTTTTTGTACTTTTAGTAGAGACGGGGTTTCGCAGTGTTTGCCAGGCAGGTCTCGAAATCCTGACCTCAGATGATCCGCCCACCTCAGCCTCCCAAAGTGCTGGGATTACAGGCGTGAGCCACCGGGCCCGGCCCCTAATGATGTCTTGATTCCCCCACAGGGATGCAGGCACGGGCAAAGGCATGTGTCCACGCCCCCAGCCTGGCCACGCCCCAGCAGGCAGTGGGTGTCCCCATCTACCCACGAGTCCACCCCAGCCCCGCAGGTGCATACCACAGCCGAGCTCGTCGCTGGAGTCGGGACAGTCTGGGTGGCCGTCGCAGCGCCACGTGAGTGGAATGCAGTCATCGCTCAGCGTGCAACGGAGCTCGCCTGCTAGGCAGGCCAGGCGGCTGCAGTTGCGCAGTTTCTTGTCAGTTCCCCCAGAGCAGTCACTGACGCCGGTGCAGGGGCAGGGGAGGCCAGGGGGCGGTGGGCATTGCCCTTTCTGGGTACATGGCTCAATCCCTGGGGCACAGGGTTGGTCAGGTCCCAAATGCCCACCCAAGAAGGCCCAGGTACTCCCTGAAACCCCATCCCCTGCAAGCCCCACCCTCTAAGAACAGCTGAGCCCAAAAAAATGCTCCCTTCCTAAGGCTCCGCCCCCTGCAACTGTTAACTCCACTTTCTAAGGACAGGCCTCCCTGCAAGCTCTTCCCCTGAGACCCCACTAGCTCTACCTTCCTACAAGCCCACTTTATTCTATTTGTTTGTTTGTTTCTTTCTTTATTTTTTCTTTTGAGACGGGGTCTCCCTTTGCTGCCCAGGCTGCAGTGCAGTGGCGCAATCTCGACTCACTGAAACCTCTGCCTCCCAGGGTCAAGTGATTCTCCTGCCTTAGCCTCCTGACTAGCTGGGATTACAGGGGCCTGCCGCCACATCCAGCTAACTTTTGTATTTTTAGTAGAGATGGGGTTTCACTGTGTTGGCCAGGCTGGTCTCGAACGCCTGACCTCAAGTGATCCGCCTGCCTTGGCCTCCCAAAGTGCTGGGATTACATGTGTGAGCCACCGTACCTGGCTCCCTCCCTCTCTCTTTCCTTCCTTTCTTTCCTTTCTTTCATTTTTCTTTTTTTTTTCTTTTTCTTTTTTTTTCCTGAGACAGTCTTACTCTGTTGCCCAGGCTGGAGTGCACTGGCACAATCCTAGCTCACTGCAGCGGCAACCTCCCAGGATCAAGTGATCGATCCTCCCACCCTAGCCTCCCAAAGTGCTGGGATTGCAGGCGTGAGCCACTGCGCCCAGCCCAAGCCCATCTTAGACCCCGCTTCTTATGACCCACAGACCCAAGTCGCACCCATCCCTGCGGCCCTGCCTTTCCCACAAGCTCCACCTCCGCGTGCCTGGCCCCTGACAAACCACCCTCAGGCCCCGCCCCCTGTAAGCCCCGCCAAGGGGCGTGGCCACTCACTGCACTCCTCCTCATCGCTGCCATCGCTGCAGTCCAAGTCCCTGTCGCAGCGCCAGGTGAGGGGCACGCATAAGCCACTGGTGCGGCACTGGAACTTGGTGGGTGGGCACGAGCCTGAGCTGGGGCCTGCGAGATGGATGCAAATGAAGCCTGGGAAGCTGGAGGCTGGACCTTTCTCCAAGAGCACAGTAGTCACTGGCTGTGATCCGCAGGAGACAGGCGAAGTCCCGGGATATAGGAACCACACTGGCGGCTGCTTGTTACTGAGCCCCTAGTACGAGTGGGGTTCAGAGTGTAGCAGTTCCTGGGCTCAAGAGCCCCACTGGGCAGGTGCTACTGCACTCCCCAGGTTACAGAGAAAGGAACCAAGAGGAGGCCATACAGCTGGTGGCAGAGGCTGGGTGCAGTGGCTCACGCCTGTAATCTCAGCACTTTGGCAGGCCGAGGCAGGTGGATCACTTGAGGTCACGAGTTCGAGACCAGCCTGGCCTACATGGAAACCCCGTCTCTGTTAAAAATACAAAAATTAGCCGGGCGTGGTAGTGCACGCCTGTAATGCCAGCTACTCGGGAGGCTGAAGCATGAGAATCGCTTAAACCTGGGAGATGGAGGTTGCAATGAACCGAAATCATACTGCTGCACTCCAGCCTGGGCGACAGAACGAGACTCCGTCACCACAAAAAAGAAAAAAAAAAGAGCTGGTAGCGGAGTTGGGCTTCGAACTCAGGTCTCGCTGATCCCAGAGTCTTCACCAGGCTCCTCATAGCGAGATGATCTGCCAGGGAGACCTCCAAACTCAGTGGTTAAAGAGACTGAGGGACGGGCCATTTTTCCACATGCCCTGGGTCAGGCTCCCGGGCTCAGGTCAGCAGGGAGGGTCTATCTCCTCTGCGTAGCAAAAGGGAAACTGAGGCAGTGGGTGGGAAACTGAGGCACTGGGTAGAAAATCTGCTCAGTCACCAAGTCCTGTTGCCCCGCCTCCTGAATTCCTCCCAGACCTATCACTCTCCCCATCCTAAATGTGTCAGCTCCTCACCAGAGCCCCAGGCCCCAGGCCCCAAGGTCCATTAGGACACCAGAGACTTGCCTTTCCCTCTCTCCTCCCTACACCCTGTGTTTTCCCCTCAATTTTCAGATCTCAGCTGATTTCCTGGGAGGGTTCTCATGTCCCTCTTGGAGACCTAGGAAGCACTGCCTCCCATGTCTAACAACTGTCCTTAAAGCCCTGGTCATGCCTGTCCACCCACAGACTGGACATTCTGTGGAGGTCAGGGCTGTGACCTGGCCGCCTAAACCCAGGGCAGTGCCTGATTATAAGTGGACACAGGTCACATAAGGGTCCAAGCTGGGTCCAGAGAAGATCCCGGCTGTCCTAGATTCTGAGCAGGGAAGCTCAGCTGCTTGCCGACCTGGAGGGGCACGGAGGGGCCCGCAACCTGGGCCAAGGGACAGAGGAAGGGAGTGGCCTTTACGGCTTCCTCCTGGGTGCGGCCAGGGGAGGTGGCAAATCCGCCACCCTGGCTTAGCTTCACTCTGCCAAGGCCTTTAACCTCTTCCACCTTTACCCACCAGCCATGAGCCTCCAACCCCCCACTCCCCACTGCCAGCCCCTCCTCGGCCTTCAGGCCTAATTGCACCTACTTGCCACAGGGTCCCTGAGCTCTATGGATCCCAGAAGAGCTGTGGACAAACCGGTGCCTGCTTCCTTCCCCGCCCCCGGGAGATCTGGCAGCCTCCAGGTGTGGCTCTCCACCCAGGCGCAGACTTCCACAGCCCTGACACCTCTGACCTCCCTTCGCTGGACTGCGGGAGTGTGTATCCCTCTGCAAAGTGGACAGTAGAGCACAGCAGTCCCCGCCTCATAGGGTGTAAGCCTGACAGGAGTTACAGTGACCAGTGACTTTCTCTCCTGGCCTCAGTTTCCTCACCTGTAAACGGGGTATGCTGGGAATCCCTACCTCAACATCCTGAGAAAAAAGAGACTGTGTATAGAGTTTTGTCCTGTAATCCCAGCACTTTGGGAGGCTGAGGCGGACAGAACACTTGAGGTCAGGAGTTCGAGACCAGTCTGGCCAACATGGTGAAACCCCATCTCTACTAAAAATACAAAAATTAGCCGGGCATGGTGACGGTGCCTGTAGTCCCAAGCTACTCGGGAGGCTGAGGCATGAGAATTGCTTAAACCCGGGAGGCGGAGGGTGCAGTGAGCCAACATTGCACTGCACTCCAGCCAGGGCGACAGAGGGAGACTCAAAAAAAAAAAAACAAAAACTTTTGTACTTGGTTAACGTGAACGCTGCCTCCTTAAAAAAAAACAAACAAAAAAAAACCCAGGAACATTTAACGTGAATGTCAGGGACTTTGGGATGAGTCCAGGGACCTAGAAGTGCGGAATGCACAAAGGAGCTGGGAAAGTGTGTGAGCCTGAGCCCAGGGCTGCAAGTTGGGAGTGCCTGAGTGCACAGGGAGGCCACTCCAACCCTCCAGCTGCCTCTAGGGGTATCAGAGAGGGAGCCCGTCCCCACTGGCCACCAATACCTCTTAGGCCAGGGCGAACACGTCCACGGGGGTATATTCAACTTGTGACCCCAGTCTCTGCGAGAGCCTGCAGTAGCATGGGGGGGAGAGACCTCGCGTTCTCTAAGGATGGAGGACAAAGGAGGAGAGACTGGGAGGGCAGGGACGGTTGCGGAACGGTCACAAGGCCTGGGCGCGAGGGTTTGGAAGGCAAAGGTGCGAGAGGCACCAGGTGACCCGTCCTGCGTGATTAGCGGTCGGACAATCTGAGCCTGCTAAGAGCTTTCCTGACCACGCTGGTATGAAGGGCGGCTTGGAGGTGACAATGGGGGACGACAGGGCACAGCAGGTGTGGAGACGGTGTGCAGGGCCGGAGCAAAACCGTTAAAGGCAGGTGGAGACACCCTCCTCCCCTCCCCCAGCATGGGGTCTTCCTAGCACCAGTGCGCGCCTTCCCACAAGCGATGAAGTCCAAGTCCACGTGCTGGGGGAGTGTCATGAACTGACGTGCGGTGCAGCCAGTGACTAGGCGTTGTCGGTGCGCGGCGGCGGGGCGAAGCCTCGCGAGGGGTGGGAGCCCGCGCTGCGGGGCGTCACTCACCTGCGGCCTGGGCAGAGGTCGGGGTGGAAAGCGGGCTCGCGGCGGCCTCCAGGCCTAGTCCGAGGCCGAGCAGCAGCAGCAGCGCCAGGCCCAGAGCCCCTGTTCGCCACGCTCCAACCTGCGCCATCCAACCGCCGCTCATGCTGTCCCCACAGCGGCGCCGGCCACGCGCTGTCCAGACCGCTCTCTTATCCCTGCGCACGCGCACGCGCGGGGTTGGGGCGGGGCCCAAGCCCCTGAGTTCTGCGGCGCCCGCGGCTACGCGTACCGTAAATGTCAGAATAGCAGGGAAAAGAGAATTAGAGGCCCGTCCCCACTTTCCCCAGTGACCAGATCAGTTGAAAGGTATGGAGCCCGCTTGAAGTTAGAAACTTCTGGGGATGGGAAGGAATTTGTTGGTGTTCATTTGCATTATTTCCCGTTCCAAATGAGGACTGCTGCAAATGTTACTGCCTCGTGATCTTCTTTAATATGGCAGCCACGCCCCTCAGGCACTCCGCATTTCCTCCCTCATCCCACTGCTTTTGTGGCGCCGACAGGTAATTTATTTTATTTACTTATTCTGGTTTGTTGTCCGAGTCCCCATAGAATGCTAGCTACTGGAGGGCAGGGATCTTCTGTTGCTCACTGCTTTATTCTCAGGATCTGACACATAGTGCTTGACTCATAGTAGGCTCTTAGTAAACATTTGGTGAGTAAATGAATAAATGAAACGTCCATTCTCGGAGTCGGGTTGCTTGGGGGGGAAAAAGGAAAGGAAATCAATTAATTAATTAAATTTAATAATAAAGGCCGGGCGCGGTGGGTCACGTGTGTGATCCCAGCATTTTGGGAAGCAGAGGCGGGCAGATCGCTTGAGCCCAGGAGTTCGAGATCAGCCTGGGCAACACAGCAAGTCCCCGCCCGCCTCAAGAAAAAAGAAAATTAGCTGGGCATGGTGGCTCTAATTTGTAGTCCCAGCTACTCAGGAGGCTGAGGTGGGAGAATCACTTGGGGCTGCACTCCAGCGTGGGTGACAGTGAGACCCCATTTGTTAGAAAAGTTGGCCGGCGCGCTGGCTCACGCCTGTTAACCCCAGCACTTTGGGAGGCCGAGGCAGGCGGATCACGAGGTCAGGAGTTCTAAACCAGCCTGGCCAACATAGTAAAACTCCCGTCTCTACCAAAAATACAAAAATTAGCCGGGTGTGGTAACATGCTCCTGTAGTCCCAGCTACTAGGGAGGCTGAGATGGGAGAATCGCTTGAACCCGGGAGGCGGAGGTTGCAGTGCGCCGAGACCACATCATTGAACTCCAGCCTGGGTGACAGAGTGAGACTCTGTCTCAAAAAAAAAAAAAAGTTGTGGTCATAAAACTTGGTTCAGATGCCGTCAGCGGCATGCCTTGCCTAGGGTCTTGCCCTCCTTGTGGCCTCTGCACACCCTGCCTAGTCTTTCCTTCCCTCCTGACCTTTCTGAATCTGATTCATCCTTTTGCCCCAAGCAGAATCCCACCTTCTCCAGGAAGGTGTTAGCCTTTGTAGGACCCACTCTGGGACACTGGTACCTGCTGCCTGTAGCCGTGGCCTTTCCCCTTCCAGAGGGCAGGGCGGTCTCAGCACCCTCTTGGTCCACAGCTGATCTTTTTTAGCTGCTGAAGGGTCTGGGGCTGTGCCCTGGGGAAGCCATGACACTCCCCTGCGTAGGGTCACTGGGTGGCTCCTGCAGCCAGACTTGGACACCCTCCCTTTGCAGATTTCTGTCTCCTCCCCAGGAACCAGCTGCCTTCCTTCTGGGGCGAATTCATTCTTATCCCACAGCCCCAGCATAATGGGATCTGGCTCAGGGAGGCCTTTCCTGATCTGCCCTAGGTTTGCCTTCCCTGTGAGCAGCCCTTACTGTCCTCTGCCTTCCCCGTTGAGCTGCAGGGTGACCATGGTCAAGCAGGAGCCTCAGTGGGAAGGTGCTGAGGAAGGTTCATGTGAGAAGTGGCTGTGGGAGCCCTCAAGAGATGGAAGTTAGGCCAGGCGCGGTGGCTCACGCCTGTAATCCCAACACTTCGGGAGGCAGAGGTGGGCGGATCACTTGAGGTCAGGAGTTTGAGACCAGCCTGGCCAACATGGCGAAACCCCGTCTCTACTAAAAATACAAAAATTAGCTGGGCTTGTGGCAGGCGCCTGTAATCCCAGCTACTCGGGAGGCTGAGGCAAGAGAATCACTTGAACCCAGGAGGCAGAGGTTATAGTGAGCCGTGATCGCGCCATTGTACTCTAGCCTGGGCAACAAGAGCGAAACTCTGTCTCAAAAAAAAAAAAGAAGTGAGAAGTCTGTGGCTGGCCTACTGAGTGTCCGCACATACACCCCTTACCCCACCTGACTGGTCTTCACAATCAATGCTCCCCAACAGCCAGCGGTCCTGGGAGTCCAACCTCCCAGAAGGATCACCCACTCCCACCACTCTCAAGGTCAGAGCCTGGCCTTTGGGGGAAAGGGCAGTGCTGTCTCCAGGGCCTCTGCACCCAGGGACAGTGTCTGTCCCACCCCTGGAGTGCCAACAGAGTTGGGAGACTCAGCACTGACTTCACCCCAAAATCCAAGTAAGCTGGGTATTGCTTAAAATCAGGGGCCAGGCGTGGTGGCTCACACCTGTAATCCCAACACTTTGGGAGGCCAAGGCGGGCGGATCACCTGAGGTCAGGAATTTGAGACCAGCCTGGCCATCTCTACAAAAAAAAAAAAAAATTAGCGGGTATGGTGGTGCACACCCGTAGTCCCAGCTACTCGGGAGGCTGAGGCAGAATTGCTTGAGCCCAGGAGGCAGAGGTTGCAGTGACCTGAGATCGTGCCGTTGCGTTCCAGCCTGGGTGACAAGCGCGAAAACTCTGGCTCCTGCAGCCAGATTTCTATCTCCTCCCCAGGAACCAGCTGCCTTCCTTCTGGAGCTAACTCATTCTCATCCCACAGCCCCAGCATAATGGTTTCTGGCTCAGGGAGGCCTTTCCTGATCTGCCCTAGGTCTGCCTTCCCTGTAAGCAGCCCTCACTGTCCTTTGCCTTCCCCGTTGAGCTACAGGGTGACCAAGGTCAAGCAGAGGCCTCAGTGGGAAGGTCTAAAAAATAAAAATAAAATCAGGCCAGGTGTGGTGGCTCATGCCTGTAATCCCAGCACTTTGGGAGGTCAAGGCAGGAGGATCGCTTGAGGCCAGGAGTTCAAGATCAGCCTGGGAAACATGGTGAGACTCTGTCTCTATTTTTTTATTTTTTAAAGTAAAACTAGAAGTGATACCTGAGCTCTACGTATTTGTCATAAATTAGGTCACATTCTCCCTGGAGGAAATCCAAGGAGGCAAAGTAGTCGGGTGGCCGTGAGGGTGCAGTGTCACAGGTAAGGCTGGTCCGAGGACAGCTCCCACCTCTTTATGGGAGGAGCTGGAGTCACCGCCTTCTTCTCAGTGGCAGCTACAGCAGAGCTGGAGGAGGGAAAGACTTCAGTGAGGGTTTCCAAAGAACAGTGTGGAAAGATCTGAGGGAGCCCACACCTGCCCCGGGACAAACACACCCACAGGGACTTTCTGGACCTGCAGGACAGACAGCAGGGTGTTCCAGAATGCCAACCCCTCCAACGCAGCCCCTCAGAGGATCAGCCAACGCCAGGTGGGAGCTAGCAAGCCTCCTCTCTCCCCTGAGCCCTGTATGAACCCCCTGCTGTGGCCCCCAGGCCCAGAACCCACTGTGGAGAGCTGGGCTCCTCCCTTCCCACTTTTGGTCTCCAGCGTACACAAGGCCCCCACCCCCATTCCTGCTGCCCCTCAAAACAGGATGCTGGCAAAAGGGCCAAGCGATCAGGTGACAATGGCCTCCAGCTATTCCTGCCTCAGACTGGGCAAGAACTGCATGGCAGGCGCTACTGTGTGGGCGCAGAGCCAGGAAGATGGGGCACCGCCCTCAGGAAGACTCAGGCTGGTGGGGCTGAGAATCCATGCGCAAATGGCAACTGCAAAACGCATCTCTGGCCCAGAGCTGGCCAAGAGGGAGCCCCCAGGAGACCCTGTGCCGGCAAGTCCAGGACGAGCACCCTCCCCTCTCACCCCACCCACCTGAGCCTGTGGAGCTCACACACTTCACAGCCTAAGCAAGAAAGGAAGCAGGAGGGTGGGGTGATGGAGGAGGCGCCCCAGGGGTGGAGGCACAGGACCTCCCAGGAGCCTCAAGGAAATGGAAAAGGCAGAAGTGGCCTCCCTGGGAAATGCACACATCTCTGGGGGCATGGCAAGGGGCTGTGTGGGAACAAGGTATCTTGCCACACTCTGGTGCTGGACTCCAGTGAATCAGAAGGTGACAACAAGGACCACTCCACTGAGTTCCTTCTTTTTGAGACAGACTCTTGCTCTGTCACCCAGGCTGGTGTGCAGTGGCACAATCTCAGTTCACTGCAACGTCCGCCTCCCAGGCTTGAGTGATTCTCTTGCCTCAGCCTCCCAAGTAACTGGGATTACAGGTGTGCACCATCACTCCCGGCTAATTTTTGTATTTTCTTTCTTGTTTATTATTTATGAGACAGGGTCTCACTTTGTCACCCAGGCTGGAGTGCAGTGGCGCAATCTCAGCTCAGTGAAGCTTCCTCGACCTCCCAGGTTCAAGAGATCCTTCTGCCTCAGCCCTTCAAGTAGCTGGGCCTACGGGTGCACACCACCACACCCGGCTAATTTTTGTATTTTTTGTAGAGATGGGGTTTCCCCATGCTGCTCAGGCTGGTCTTGAACTTCTGGGCTCAAGCGATCCACCCGCCTCGGCCTCCCAAAGTGCTGAGATTACAGGCGAGAGCCACAGCGCCCCTAACTTTTGTATTTCAGTAGAGGCAGGGTTTCGCCCTGTTGGCCAGGCTGGTGTCGATCTCCTGACCCCTAGTGATCCTCTCACCTCGGCCTCCCAAAGTGCTGGGATTACAGGCGTGAGCTACCATGCCCAGCCTAAAAAATTTCTAATAGAGACGGGGTCTCGCTGTGTTACTCAAACAAGTCTAGAACTCAAGCAATCCTCACACCTCAGCTTCCCGAGTCACTGGGATTACAGGCACACACCACTGCGCCTGGCCTATTCACAGAGTTCTTTTTTTTTTTTTTGAGACAGAGTCTCACTCTGTCACCCAGGCTGGAGTGCAGTGGCGCGATCTCAGTGAGCTGCAAGCTCCGCCTCCCGGGTTCACACCACTCTCCTGCCTCAGCCTCCCGAATAGCTGGGACTACAGGCGCCCACCACCACACCTGGCTAATTTTTTGTATTTTTAGTACAGACAGGGTTTCAACATGTTAGCCACGATGGTCTCGATCTCCTGACCTGGTGATCCGCCCTCCCCGGCCTCCCAAAGTGCTGGGATTACAGGCGTGAGCCACCGCGCCCAGACCTCACAGAGTTTTAAGTACAGAGCAGGCCCTGCCTGACCTCATCACCTCCCAGATCTCAGCACACTGCAAGTCTAGCATCCCTATTTTATATGTGAAGAAACCAAGGCTCAAGAAGGCTGAGGGACTGCCCACACCGTGAGTTGGCTGTAGAGCCCAGACCCCAACAGGAGTCCAGGAAAACTGGTTTGAAATCCTGCTTCTGCTTACTGCTGCCTGTGTGGCCCAGGCCAGTCACTTGGCTTCTGTGAGCCTCGATTTCCTCTTCTGCAAGAGGGGTCATCACCATCTAACTGGTGGAGTTATTAGGAGGTAGGCAGGACACTGACTCTGTGCCAGGCTCCAAGAGTTTACAAATATTAATTATGAGGACTAACCCTCGTAACAGCTTTCTGAAGTAGATGCTATTAGAGTCCCCATTTAATTAAGAGAAGACACCTGAAACCAGGGACCAAACTGCTTTTTGAGAGGAGCCCAAGGTTTATACACTTCTGTCTCTGAGAAGAATACATGGCTGGGCATGGTGGCTCACACCTGTAATTCCAGCACTTTGGGAGGCCGAGGCCAGAGGATCACATGAGGTCAGGAGTTCAAGACCGGCCTGACCAACATGGTGAAACCCCATCTCTACTAAAAATACAAAATTAGCCTGGCATGGTGGCATGCGCCTGTAATCCCAGCTACTTGGGAGGCTGAGGCAGGAGAATCACTTGATCCTAGGAGGTGGAGGTTGCAGTGAGCCGAAATCGCGCCACTGCACTCCAGCCTGTGCAATAAGAGTGAGACTGTCTCAAAATAAATAAATAAAATAAGAATTCATAATTATATCAACAGTAATGTCTCAGTTTCTCACAGGACCCTTGGAGGGACCCCGGACTTCATCTGTTTTGTAGGATGCAGAGTCCTGGCTGAGGCGCTAACTTCTACCCTCCCCTGGGTTGGACTAAATGAGCTCTTGCTGAGCATGGTGACTCTCACTTGTAGTCCCAGCTACTCGGGAGGCCAAGGCAGGAGGATCGCTTGAGCCCAGGAGTTTGAGAACGGCCTGGGCAACAAAGCAAGACCCCATCTCTACGAAACATTTAAAAATTAACCCAGCATGGAGGCCGGGCATGGTGGCTCACGCCTGTAATCCCAGCACTTTGGGAGGCCAACGCGGGCAGATCATGAGATCAGGAGATCAAGACCATCCTGGCTAACACGGTGAAACCCCGTCTCTACTAAAAATACAAAAACTTAGCCAGGTGTAGTGGTGGGCACTTGTAGTCCTAGCCACTAGGCAGGCTGAGGCAGGAGAATGGCGTGAACCCCTGGGAGGCAGAGCTTGCAGTGAGCCGAGATCACACCACTGCACTCCAGCCTGGTGTGGGGATAAGAAAGAGAAATCAGATTGTTAATGTGTCTGTGTAGAAAGTAGACATAAGAGACTCCATTTTAATCTGTAATCTTACCCCCAACCCTGTGCTCCCTGAGACATGTGCTATGTCAACTCAGAGTTAAATGGATTAAGGGCAGTGCAGGATGTGCTTTGTTAAACAGAAGCTGGAAGGCAGCATGCTCCTTAAGAGTCGTCACCACTCCCTAATCTCAAGTACCCAGGGACACAAAACACCACAGAAGGCCACAGGGTTCCCTGCCTAGGAAAGCCAGGCATTGTCCAAGGTTTCTCCCCATGTGATAGCCTGAGATGTGGCCTCGTGGGAAAGGAAAGACCTGACCGTCCCCCAGCCCGACACCGGTAAAGGGTCTGTGATGAGGAGGATTAGTAAAAGAGGAAGGAATGCCCTGTTGCAGTTGAGACAAGAGGAAGGCATCTGTCTCCTGCCCTTCCCTGGGCAATGGAATGTCTCGGTGTAAAACCCGATTGTATATTCCATCTACTGAGATAGGGGAAAACCGCCTTAGGCCTGAAGGTGGGACATGCGGGCAGCAATACTGCTCCTTAAGGCATTGAGATGTTTACGTGTATATGTATCTAAAGCACAGCACTTAATTCTTTACATTGTTTATGATGCAGAGACTTTTGTTCACGTGTTTACCTGCTGACCTTCTCTCCACTATTATCCTATGATCCTGCCACATCCCCCTCTCACACATCACACCCAATAATGATGAATAAATACTAAGGGAACTCAGAGGCCGGGTGGATCCTCCGTATGCTGAGCGCTGGTCCCCTGGTCACCCGATTTCTTTCTCTATACTTTGTCTGTGTCTCTTTCTTTTCCAAGTCTCTCATTCCACCTAACGAGGAACACCCACAGGTGTGGAGGGGCAACCCACCCCTTCAGCCTGGGCGACGCAGGGAGACTCCATCTCAAAACAAAAACAAAAACAAAAACAAAACAGGCCAGGCACGGTGGGTCACGCCTGTAATCCTAGCACTTTGGGAGGCCGAGTCGGGTGGATCACAAGGTCAGTTCAAGACCAGCCTGGCCAAGATGGTGAAACCCCGCCTCTACTGAAAATACAAAAATTAGCTGGGTGTAGTGGTGGGCACTTGTAACCCCAGCTACTTGAGAGGCTGAGGCAGAGAATCGCTTGAACCCGGGAGGTGGAGATTGCAGTGAGCCGAGATCACACCACTGCACTCCAGCCTGGGTGACAGAGTGAGACTCCGTCTCAAAAAAAAAAAAAAAAAAAAAATTGACCCAGCATGGTGGCACTAATCTGTAACACCAATTACTGGGGAGGCCAAGGAAGGAGGGGAGGATCACTTCAGCCTAGGCGTTCAAGGCTGCAGTGAGTGATGATTGCGCCATTGCACTTCATCCTGGGCAACAGAGCAAGACTCTGTCTCTAAAAACGAGTAAATGAGCTCTCGGACAAAAAGCTCCCAGCAGCACAGTTCCTGCGCAACTGATGCTTACTAAGTAGGATCTTGACAAGCACCCTTTCCACAAGTTGGGAGACAGAGTGGGTTGCAGGAGGGGGCATGGGGGCTGTGGTGAGCAGCGCTGGAGATCCTCACCTCTCTGCTGGCTTGCCTGACACCAGCGCCTTCTGCGACGACATGATGATGGAAGGGGGCACAGATTCCCGGCGGCCATCGCGAGTGCAATAGTAATTGTTGGAGAGCTTGTGGCTAGGACCCACAGGGAGCTTGGGAGGAGGCTGAGTTCTGAGGGGAAAAAAGATGAGCACTGAAGCAAAGAGACAGTCACTGTCATGGCCCCGCTGTGGGCCCCTGTCACCTCAGTCACAAAATGTGGGATCTACAGCCAGCCACTGGGATAAGCCACAGGCTGGGGGTGTCCCTTGGTACACTGGCAGGGACATATGCCTGGGGAGGGGTCCTGGGGCCAGAAGCAGATGGTGGACCCTGCTCTGGATGTGAAGATGCCACCCCCAGGGACCCCACCTGTCCCAAATGTGGAGGGTACAGAGGACCCTTTCTGAGGCTCCCAAGGCCCGGGACATGTCCCCATGCCCCCCACCCCACGGCTGAGCTTGGCAGCCAGCCTCACTTGACTTTGTCCACTCTGAGTGGCTTTTTCCCCTAAAGCCAGGCTCTGGACGCCCTGCGTTTCCTGTTATCTCAGGAAGTCTCTGGAGAACCCTGCTAGGATCAAGGCCCATTATTCAAGAACACCTTAGCCTTGGAGCCTGTCAAGATCTCTGCATTTCCTGCCACCATGTGGCCAGGCAACTCCTCTCTGGAGCCCAGAGAGGGGTGAACAGAGCTCGGTCTTGGCTTGAACTAAACCCTGGGCTGGATTTACCTGGAAGCCTGAGGCCTTAAAAGAAATGCTCAAAACAAGGATGGGCAGGGTGGCTCATGCCTGTAATCCCAGCACTTTGGGAGGCCGAGGTGGGTGGATCACTTGAGGTCAGGTGTTCGAAACCAGCCTGGCCAACACTGCAAACCCCATCTCTACTAAAATACAAAAATTAGCCAAGCATGGTGGTGGGAGGCAGAGGTTGCAGTGAGCTGAGATCACGCCACTACACTCCAGCCTGGGCGACAGAGCGAGACTCCATCTCAAAAAACAAAAAAAGCTCAAAACAAAAGACGGGCTTTCCAGAGAGAGGGAGGAGAGAAGACAGCAAAAACCGTAAATTGATCTGTTTCCACTTAGCCATGTTTCTAAGTCACTTTTTTGTCTGGGAACTGTTTCCCGGAATTTAATTTTTTTCTGAGGCAGTGATCATATGCACTGCAGCCTGGATGATATATGCAATCATATGATCGCTTGAGGTGTGATCATAGCTCACTGCAGCCTCAACCTCCTGGGCTCAAGCAATGCTCCCGCCTCAGCCTCTCAAGTAGCTGGAACTACAGGCGCACACTACCACATCTGGCTAAAAACAATTTTTCTATTGTTTTTGTGGAGTCGGGGGTCTTGCTATGTTGCCCAGGTTGATGTCGAATTCCTGGCCTTAAGTTATCCTCTCACCTTGGCCTCCCAAAGTGCTGGGATTACAGGCGTGAGCCACCACTCCTGGCCTTTTTCTTAAAACAAGTGTTAGTCACTGTATTTTTTAAAAATAAGAAACATAAAGTAAAAAATGTTTAATATTAAAAGCAATATATTATGTGAAAGACTTTGCTTAAGGAGGCTGGATGTGGTGGCTCATACCTTGGGAGGCCAAGGTGGAAGGATTGCTTGAGGCCAGGAGTGTTTTTTTTGTTTGTTTTTTTTTGAGATGGAGTCTCGCTCTGTCGCCCAGGCTAGAGTGCTGTGGTGCGATCTCGGCTCACTGCAACCTCCGCCTCCCAGGTTCAAGCGATTTTCCTGCATCAGCCTCCCAGGTAGCTGGGAATACAGGCGTGTGCCACCATGCTGGCTAATTTTTGTATTTTTAGTAGAGATGGGTTTTCACTATGTTGGCCAGGCTGGTCTCAAACTTCTGACCTTGTGATCCGCCTGCCTCGGCCTCCCAAAGTGCTGGGATTACAGGCATGAGCCACCATGCCCAGTCAGAGGCCAGGAGTTTAAGACCAGCTTGGGCAACATGGTAAGACCTTGTCTCTATACAAAAATTTAAAAATTAGCCAGGCACGGTAACATGTGCCTGTAATCCCAGCTACTTGGTACGCTGGACCAGGAGGATCACTTAGGCCTGGAAGTTCGAGGCTGCAGTGAGCTATGATTGTGCCACTGCACTCCAGCCTGGGTCACAGAAACCCAGTCTTACAAAAAAAAAAAAAAAAAAAAAAAAAAAAGGCCAGGCGCGGTGGCTCACACCTGTAATCCCAGCACTTTGGGAGGCCGAGGCGGGCAGATCACGAGGTCAAGAGATCAGACCATCCTGGCAAACATGGTGAAACCCCGTCACTACTAAAAATACAAAAATTAGCTGGGTGTGGTGGTGCACGCCTGTAGCCCCAGCTACTCGGGAGGCTGAGGCAGGAGAATCACTTGAACCCGGGAGGCGGAGATTGCAGTGATCTCAGATCCGCCACTGCACTCCAGCTTGGCGACAGAGTGAGACTCTGTCTCAAAAAAGAAAAAAAAAAAAAGACCAATAAAACATCCAGATGAATCACTAGAGGGTGCCGTCATCCTAAAAAAGTCAAAACTTTCACAAAGCCATTTCCTCAACTGGCCCACAACTACCCTGATAGAAAGCCAACTAGGGGGGTCGGGGGTTGGGGGGGAGAGAGCATCAGGAAGAATAGCTAATGGATGCTGGGCTTAATACCTAAGTGATAGGTTGATCTTTGATCTTTGCAGCAAACTACCATGGCACGTTTACCTTTGTAACAAAACTGCAAATGTACCCCAGAACTTAACGTTAAAGTTGAAAACAAGCCGGGCGCAGTGGCTCACACCTGTAATCCCAGCACTTTGGGAGGCCGAGGCAGGCGGATTATGAAGTCAGGAGTTCGAGACCAGACTGGCCAACATGGTGAAACCCCGTTTCTACTAAAAATACAAAAAATTAGTCAGGCGTGGTGGCACATGCCTGTAATCCCAGCTACTTGGGAGGCTGAGGCAGGAGAATCGCTTGAACCCGGGAGATGGAGATTGCAGTGAGCTGAGATTGTGCCATTGCACTCCAGCCTGGGCAATAAGAGCAAAACTCCGTCTCAAAAAAAAAAAAAAAAAAAAGTTGAAAACAAAGTTTGATACTTCTAATATTTGGAATTAGTCACAACATATAGGCATTTACATAAATTTCATTATTTTAATGCTATTTTTCTTCCTTTCATTATAATCCTCAATGACTGCCTTACCTCTGCCTACCCTTTGACTTCATAGATTATACCATTATCCCTTTCCCTCAATGGGTTCCATCCATACTGGCCTCCTTCCACTCAGGCTCTGTCCAGCCTGACACTCTTAGCCCTTCCTGTTCCCTCTGCTCAGAATGTTTTTTCTTTTTTATTTTTTTGAGACAGAGTGTTGTTCTGTCACCCAGGCTGGAGTGCAGTGGTGCGATCTCAGCTCACTGCAATATCCACCTCCTGTGTTCAAGCGATTCTCCTGCCTCAACCTCCCGAGTAGCTGGGACTACCCGCGCGCGCCACCACGCCCGGCTAATTTTTGTATTTCTAGTAGAGAGGGGGTTTTACTGTGTTTCACTGTGTTGGCCAGGCTGGTCTCAAACTCCTGACCTCGTGATCCGCCTGCCTCAGCCTCCCCAAGTGCTGGGATCACAAGCGTGAGCCACCGCGCCCGGTCAGAATGTTTTTTCAATAATTATTCTTTGAATGGGTCCTTCCCATCATTCAGGGGACTCAACTGTCAATTTCCAAAGAAAGATCTTTCCCAATCATCTGACTTTACGTAGCCACCCTCCAGCTTCCACTTATTTTGTTTTGTCTTCAAAGCATTCCAGAACAATACTACCTGCTGTGTTTGTTTCCCTACTATGCTTCTCCCTAGAATGTGGCGTCCATGAAAGAATGTGGATAAGAACTTTCCTGGTTCACAAAGTTAAACCCAAGGCTGAGGTCATACATGACGGGGGCTTGTAAATATCAACTAATATTTTAATATAAATGAGTCTGAAATCAGGACACTTCTGGGTTCAAGTCCCCGCTGCCACTTTTTAGCTTCTGAGTGACTTGAGGCAAATGATTTCGCCTCTCTGGACCTCTTTTTTCATCTGTAGCTTGGGGATAACACTGACTAACATGGCCACGCTGAGCACTGCAAATCTAGCCTGATTGCCAGTCAGAATGCACGCCCGGCCTCGCTGTTTCAGGAGGGCTGTCCTCCGGAGTTCAGCAAGGTTAAAGGCAAACCTCTGCCTCCACAGCCTGGCAGGGGACTGGTGGCAGGATGTCAGCCCTCCGTTTCAGGGGTCTAAAGGAACACAGATTTCGTTTTTGGTGGAGAAAGGACAGAGCCAGAGGCTGGGCAGCGAGCGGGGCCTGCTCACCGCTTGGAGATCTCCTGGTAGCGTAGCTGCAGCTTCCCCTGCAGGTCATGCTGTGGGAAGAGGAGAGGAGAGGTCGGCCTGCAAGGCACCCCAGGAGAGAGGAAAGGAGAGGGCAAGGGACCAGGGATGGTCCGGGGATGCGCATTTTAAGGGAAGGCAGGGGATGAACACTCGGGGAAACGGATGTGGGTCCTGCAGGTGAAGAGCAAAGCCAGAGTCCGGGCCCACAGATCCAAGGCTAAGAAGGTCGGGGACTGGGGAAATCCCAGGCCTGAGTGGTTCCCAGGCCAGGAGAGGGTCCCGGGCTGAAGGGGTGACTAGCTGGGGGTTCCCAGGGAGATTCGGGGAGAGCGAAGGGTCCCGGCTTAGGAGGGAGGTGAGGAGCAGGAGCGGGTCCCGGACACACGGAGCCCGAAGCCCCCCATGGTGCAGCCCTGTCCGCCCCGCGCACCCCGGACGCCCAGTTCCGCAGCCGCTGGATGAGACGGGTGGCGGACGCCATCTTCCGTCCGCGATACTGAAGGGCGCAGCCGGTGACGTCTCCACCGCTGGGGCTGCTGGGAAAGACGCGGCGTGGTATCGCGAGACGGGAGTGGGCGGTGCTAGAACGTCCTATAAAGGCTCTCCCCGAAGCACGTGACTCCTCTCCGCCAGACCGCCGCCGCGCCGCCATCATGGACACCAGCCGTGTGCAGCCTATCAAGCTGGCCAGGGTGAGGTGGGGGCCCGAATTTGGGGGCAGGGGGAGGGATTAGAGGAGCCAAACGGGCCGGGTCTGAACCCAGCTTCTTTCCTCCAGGTCACCAAGGTCCTGGGCAGGACCGGTTCTCAGGGACAGTGCACGCAGGTAATCGGGTGGGGGCATTTGGCCGACTGCCGGCGACCTAAACCCTGATGTGACCTCTACCCTGCCCTAACCCCTGCCAGCCGGAATCCGGGAGCCGATTCTCATTTCATCACGGGGTTCTGATGGTTCCCTTTAACGATCTGTATTCTGGCCCCGACACGTTCTCTGAATTCATATCTGCTTCCCACTCCGCGGTGCCTTTCCGCGGCCCGCCCTTACTTCTTCCTCCACTCCGGTGGGGACCCGTAGGTGCGCGTGGAATTCATGGACGACACGAGCCGATCCATCATCCGCAATGTAAAAGGCCCCGTGCGCGAGGGCGACGTGCTCACCCTTTTGGAGTCAGAGCGAGAAGCCCGGAGGTTGCGCTGAGCTTGGCTGCTCGCTGGTGGGTGCAAAGAGGACACCCCTTTGATAGACCTTTGGTTGGTGGTAGGGAGGCTTCGTTAAGCCCAGGGTGAGAGGGTTTGGGAGGCAGAGTCTACATACAGAGACTGACAAGAGGGAGGCGGGAGTTTGCCAATTGCTGCGGGGCCTGTCAACATCTCATGTTTGGGTCTGTTTACAGGGTCTTGGATGTCGGGTTCGACCACTTGGCCGATGGGAATGGTCTGTCACAGTCTGCTCCTTTTTTTTGTCCGCCACACGTAACTGAGATGCTCCTTTAAATAAAGCGTTTGTGTTTCAAGTTAACTCAGGTTCTTGTCTGGGTTATACGACTAGGGTTTCTCCAGGTTTCTTGAGTGGCTCCCAGGCGGTCACCGATCCTCCGCACTCTGGAAATCCTGGCCGTGCGGTCTTGCCAAACGAAGCTTTTCCTTTTTGAGGCGGGGGGTCGTGTTTGTCGATTGCACCCTCTACCCCAAACAAAACACAAGCGTAGTAGGAATGTTTTATTAGCAAAGAAGTTTCAGAGAGTGGGTGGATCAGGGCTCTATCACTTGGTCCCCACCTCACCTTGGTGGGGCCAGAGTGAGCCCCTTCCTGCCACAGTCACCCCAACTGAAATTGCCTTTCTCTTCGGCCAGTGTTAGCCTCTGAGCAGGGGACCCTGGACCCTTCTGTGCGCCAAAGGCTGAGGTGACTGACGAGGAGATCTCCCCACAGCTAGGTGTAGTGAGCCAGACGAGGCAGCTTACTGAACCTGGGGGTTCTCTCCATTGTCACCGCATTCTCCTTCACCAGGTGTGGCTGTCTGGGAGCCAGGGGGTGACTCGCTCTGGAGAGAGGGGAAAAGAGGGGGGCCTGCTGCAATCTCCTTGAGGCAGGAAACGTGGGATTCAGCCCCAGCCTCACTTAGTGGAGGTTCTTTTACCATGGACCCAGGCTGCCTGGTTTGTATCCAACCTCTGCCCCTTCTGACCTGGAAGAGGCGCTTGACCTTCCTCCCACATCCCTTCCAGTGGGGTGAGTACAGGTGTTCCTCAGTTTACAATGGGTTACATTCCGGTGAGTACATCATAGGTTGAAAGTATTGCAAGTTGAAATGTGTTTAATACACCTAATCTCCCAAACATCACAGCTTAGCATGGTCCATCTTAAGCTTGTTCAGAACGCCTTAGCCTGTAGTTGGGGAAACTCGTCTAACACGAAGCCTGTTTTAATAAAGTATTGAATGTCTTATGTAATTTATTGAATACTCTGCTGAAGTGTGGTTTTTACTAAGCACACATTGCTTTTATGCTATCATGAAGTCAAAAAATTGTAAGTTGTGCCAGGCGCGATGGCTCACAGCTGTTGTAATCCCAGCTACTTGGGAGGCTGAGGCAGGAGAATTTCTTGAACCTGGGAGGTGGAGGTTGCAGTGAACTGAGATTGTGCCGCTGCACTCCAGCCTGGGTGACAGAACGAGACTCTTGTCTTCAAATGAAAAAAAAAAATTAGCTGGGCATGGTAGCACGTGCCTGTAGTCCCAACTACTTGAGAGGCTGAGGCAGAAGAATCGCTTGAACCCCAGAGGTGGAGGTTGCAGTGAGCTGCAGTCGCCCCACTGCACTCTAGCCTCGGTGACAGAGGAAGACTCCATCTCAAAAATAAATAAAAAATGGTAAGTGGAGCCATGGTAAATTGGGGTCAACCTGTACAGGATGAGTGGGCTGATTAGATAACTTGGATTATGAAAGTGCTAAAACATCCTGGCACTTGGCCATCAGAGTATAGTGGTGTTGGGGGTTAATGTGTTCTGCAAACTCACCCAGTCTCCAGTTCTGAAGCTCTGGACCCCCTTCCCCACCCTGCCTGATGCCAAAGGGCTCCTTTTTCCTTTGATAAGAGCCTCCCTGGCAGTAGGTAACAGGAGCCCAGGGGCATGCATGAAAGGTCTTAGCTAGGTCTCTGTGACCTTAGGTTACTTCCCCCCTTGAGGACTCAGTCTCATGACCTGGGGTAGTGTCAACCTCACTGGGGTTTTGCTGCTTTCACATCAAATCCCAGCCCCTGCCAGGCGCTCTGGTTTCACACCTGTAATCCCAGCACTTGAGGATGCTGAGGCAGAAGGATCCCTTGAGCTCAGGAGTTTGTGGCTGCAGTGAGCTCTGATCACACCACTACACCCCAACCCGGGTTACAGAGTGAGACCCTGTCTCCCAAAAAAGAAAAGCAGCCACATAGGAGAATCCAGACACTGGTTCTGCACCCCTGGTGCCACCTTTGGGGAGCAGAAAGGGAGGCTCAGGGCATATTTACTATCCTCTGCAAACTGAATTTGCAGCTGGGAAAGTTTGTTTCTTCCAGAGCTGTGCTCACCTGGGTGTCGGGCTGGCCCGAGCTCAGGTGGGCATGTAGCAGAGCGGCCACCTCATCCTGCTCAGCCTCCAGGGCGATGGCCAGGGCACTGGTGCCCTCCTGTGGAACGTTAGGGACAGTCAGATCCCTGAGCCAAGCCATGGGCACCCCCCAAGATGCCAGCCCCATTGTGGGGTCTTACATTGTCCAGGATGGCAGGGTCACAGCCTGGCTGGGTGAGCAGCAGCCGCACGGTGTCCAGGCGCCCATACTCACTGGCACACATCAGCGCTGTGGCCCCATCCGCATCCTGCGCATTCACATCAGCCCCACACGCCAGTAGGGTTGCCACCATGTCCTGTCGGCCATGGCTGATGGCCAGCATGAGGGCTGTCTGCCCCGTCTGGGGAGTGGGGAGGAAGAGGGAACAGGCTGGGGTAGGCTCAGGGAAGGGAGGTCACAGGTTGACTCCCAAAGTGGAAGTGACTCCTGGCTGAGAGCCACAGTGGGGGCGCCCACGCACCTGACTGGCCTTGGCATTGACATCACCCATGCAGAAGAGTCTCTGGACCACAGCCATGTCCTCCTCTTCCTGCCTCACAGAGGTGAGTGCAGCCAGCATGAGGGCCGAGTAGCCGGCTCGGTTCTGGCGGTTGACCTCGCAGGCCCCTGGGAGAGAAAAGGGGGCCGTCCACGGAGATGCCAACACCGCGGCCCGACTTGATCCACTCACCTCCCTGCAAGCCTCGGGCACAGCACCTGCATATGGGGTGGTCTCAACGTTCTCCCCACAATAGCTACCTGGTTCCTCCCTCACTAAGGTGTTGCTCAAATACCATCTGCTCAGTGAAGGACCTTCCTGTTTCATCTTTTTTTTTTTTTTTTTTTTTTTTTTGAGACATAGTCTCGCTCTGTCACCCAGGCTGGAGTGCAGTGGTGCGATCTCAGCTCACTGCAATCTCCACCTCCGGAGTAGCTGGAACTACAGCATGTGCCATCACACCCAGCTAATTTTTGTATTATTTAGTAGAGACAGGGTTTCACCATGTTGGCCAGGCTAGTCTCGAACTCCTGACCTCAAGTGATCCACCCACCGTAGCCTCCCAAAGTGCTGGAATTAGAGGCATGAGCCACTGGCCCAGTGGCTATTTCAAATCAAGTCCCTGTTTCAAATCAGGCAGGGACTTGGTTTTGTTTGCTTCTGTATCCCTCAGTACTTAGAACAATACTTGGCACATAGTAGATGCTCAGTTAAACATTTGTTGACTGAATAATAAAAGGATATGTTTATTTTCATGGCCACCACCCGCCAAGCCACCATCATTGCTCCCCTAAAGAACAGTGCCAGCCTCCACCCTTCTCTCTGAATCCACTCCAGGTTCCACACAGCAGCCAGGAGCAACTATTTATTTATTTAGAGATGGAGTCTCATTCTGTCGCCCAGGCTGGAGTGCAGTGGCACGATCTCAGCTCACTGCAACCTCTGCCTCCCAGGTTTAAGCGATTCTTCTGCCTTGGCCACTTGAGTAGCTGGGATTACAGGCATGCACCACCACGCCCAGCTAATTTTTGTATTTTTAGTAGAGACGGTTTCACCATGTTGGTCAGGCTGGTCTCGAACTCCGACCTCATGATTCGCTTGCCTCAGCTTCCCAAAGTGCTGGGATTACAGGTGTGAGCCACCGCGCCTGGCCAAGAGCAACAATTCAAAATGAATTTGGTTGCCAGGACACTGGCTCACGTCTGTAATCCCAGCACTTTGAGAGGCCGAGGTGGTTGATCACTTGAGGTCAGGAGTTCGAGACCAGCCTGGCCAATGTGGTGAACCCCATCTCTACTAAAAACACAAAAAATAGCCAGGCGTGGTGGCAGGCACCTGTAATCTCAGCTACTCAGGAGGCTGAGGCAGGATAATCACTTGAACCTGGGAGCTGCAGTGAGCCAAGATCACGCCACTGCACTCCAGCCTGGGTAACACAGTGAGACCCTGTCTCAAACAAACAAACAAAAACACCTGCCAACACCTTGATTTCAGACTTCTGGCCACCTGTTGTAAAAAAAAAAAAAAAAAAAAAAAAAGCCAGGTGCAGTGGCTCACGCCTTTAATCCCAGCACTTTGGGAGGCTGAGGCGGGCGGATCATGAGGTCAGGAGATTGAGATCATCCTGGCTAACTCAGTGAAACCCCGTCTCTACTAAAAATACAAAAAAAAAAAAAAAATTAGTCGGGTGTGGTGGTGGGTGCCTGTAGTCCCAGCTACTCAGGAGGCTGAGGCAGAAGAATGGCATGAACCCGGGGGACGGAGCTTGCAGTGAGCCGAGATTGCGCCACTGCACTCCAGCCTGGGTGACACAGCTAGACTCCATCTCTCAGAAAAAAAAAAAAAAACCTGCCAACACCTTGATTTCAGAAGTCTGGCCACCTGTTGTTTGAAGCAGCTCACAGTGATACTTTGATGGCAGCCCTAGGAAGCAAAACAGCCTGGTCAACACTGCCTATCCTGAATGAAACACAAACGTGAGCTCAGTTTCCTCTGGGATCAGTTCTGTTACCATCCTGGTCCCTGTTCCTCACAGTGCCTGTTTGGATGATATTTCCTGGAGTGGCTGTTTTAATCCCTGTCTCCTGCCATTCTGAAGGCTCTGAGGATTGAGGTAGTTTAAGGAAATGAATGAGAAGCTTGGGGAAAGGAGCGGGGTCGGGGTCATGAGATGGATAACCTAGTGAGGAAGGAGAGCTGAGATGAGGGACTGAGGAGTAAAGGGTTAAGTCAAATGACAGCAAAAATGGAGGCCAGGCATGGTGACTAACGCCTGTACACCCAAATGCTTAGGGAGGCCAAGGCAGGAGGATCACTTGAGGCCAGGAGTCTGAGGCCAGCCTGAGCAACATAGGAAGACCCCCCCATCTCTTAAAAAATTTGGCCGGACACGGTGGCTCACGTCTGTAATCCCAGCACTTTGGGAGGCCAAGGCAGGCAGATCACAAGGTCAAGAGATCAAGACCATCCTGGCCAACATGGTGAAACACCGTCTCTACCAAAAATACAAAAAATTAGCCAGGCGTGGTGGTGTGCGCCTGTAGTCCCAGCTACTTGAGAGGCTGAGGCAGGAGAATCACTTGAACATGGGAGACAGAGGTTGCAGTGAGCCAATATCACACCACTGCACTCCAGCCTGGTGACAGAGCGACACTCTGCTCCCCGCCAAAAAAAAAATTAGCTGAGTGTGGTGGTTCATGCCTGTGGTCCCAAATACTCAGGAGGCTGAGGTGGAAGGATCGCTTGAGCCTGGGAGGTTGAGGCTGCATCACGCCACTACACCCCAGCCTGGAACAAAGCTGTCTGTAAAAAGGGGTTGGGGGGACGTTCCCTGTTTGGGTGGCATGCTGTGTGGGTGTCCATGCCTTCCACTAAGACACCGTGTAAGGCGTCAGGTGGTCAGGGAGGAGCACCCAGAAATAACCAGAGTGGGGTCCTTGCAGGCTAGCCAAGGACCCACCTATCTTCCTGCTCCCTCTCCCTTTTCTCTTGCAGCTACCTTGACCTTGCTTAACTAAAGAATCACCCTGGCTAGGCACAGTGGCTTACGCCTATAATTCCAGAACACTGGAGGCCAAGGCAGGAGGATCACTTGAGCTCTGGAGTTCGAGAACAGCCTGGACAACAGAGCGAGACCTCATCTCTACTAAAAATACAAAAATTAGCCGGGTGTGGTGGAGAACGCCTGTAATCCCCGCTACTTGGGAGACTGAGGAGGGAGGATCAATTAGGCCCAGGAGTTGGAGATCAGCCTGAGCAACATGGTGAAACCCCATGCCTACAAAAAAATTTAAAAAGAATCACCCTTTGTTGACTTCATCCCCTGGTTGTCTTCTGCTACGGCCCTTACTAGCATTTGAAATTATTTCACGTTTTTACTTGATAATCGTCTCTCTCCACTCTTCACTCACCACCCCCACCACACACACACACACACACACACACACACACACACACACACACACACTCAAAACTACACATTCCTGAAAGTTCTGTGGGAGCAGGCATTTATTCAACACTTGACGGTTTGCTGTGGGTTTGTCAGGCAGGCAGGTAGGGTCGGGTGAGAGAGGGGTATGGAGAAGAATCCACAACAGGCTGAAGGAGGATGACAGAGGCAAAGAGACAAGGGGTGGGGGCAGTGAAACGGAGAGGGAGCAGTGGGTAATTGTCCCCGCAAGGTCCAAGGATTACTGGAGTTGGGGAATGGGAGCCTGTGAGCCGAGAAGCTGGGAGGTGAGGGTCGGGAAGTGGGGAGCTGAGAAGTGAGATTCTGTAACGGGCACAACTATTAGGGACATCAAGGTCTGGGGCTGATGTTATACCTGTAAAGCTGATGTGGGGCAGAGTCAAGGTCAAGGAAGGAGAGCAGCCAGGAGGTTGCAGGGATCATGGGGGAGGATGTTGAAATTGACAAGTGGGCCGAGCGCGGTGGCTCACGCCTGTAGTCCCAGCACTTTGGGAGGCTGAGGTGGGCGGATCACGAGGTCAGGAGATCGAGACCATCCTGGCTAACACGGTGAAACCCCATCTCTACTAAAAATACAAAAAAAATTAGCCGGGCGTGGTGGCGGACACCTGTAGTCCCAGCTGCTGGGGAGGCTGAGGAAGGAGAATGGCATGAACCCGGGAGGCAGACCTTGCAGTGAGCCGAGATGGCGCCACTGCACTCCAGCCTGGGTGACAGAGCGAGACTCCATCTCAAAAAAAAAAAAAAAAAGGAAATTGACAAGTGCCGGCTGGGTGCGGTTGCTCACTCCTATAATCCCAATACTTTGGGAGGCTGAGGCGGGCAGATCACCTGAGGTCAGGAGTTAAAGACCAGCCTGGCCAACATGGTGAAACCCCGTCTCTACTGAAAATACAAAAATTAGCCGGGCATGATGGCGCTTGCCAGTAATCCCAGCTACTCGGGAGGCTGAGGCAGGAGAATCACTCGAACCCGGGAGGCAGAGGTTGCAGTGAGCTGAGATCTGAGATCACACCACTGCACTCCAGCCAGGCAACAGAGCAAGACTCGGCCTCAAAAAAAAAAAAAAAAAAAAAAAAAAGACTAACTATAGAATGCTCTGGAAATGCAATCTTGAGATAAGGAGGAACTGACTGGAACAGCCTAGGCTCTGTTCCTGTCCCCATCTAGAAACAGGTTGTCCTTTAATGCATTAGCCCAGCAATTCCTGTTCCCCAGGGTATAAAACCTAGAGTGGGCCGCTTTCCAGGGTCCCTCACCTGCCGTGCAAGTGGGGCACCTGCAGACCAGATTCCATACACCTTGGGCAGCCTTCCTGAGCCTTGGGGGATTGGCTCACTGTCAATCTTAGGCTTCTGCTGTCCCTTGCTGCCTATCTGTAAATAAGGAACCTGCTTTGTGTAACTTGTTATGTGAATGAGTATTCTACCTTACCAGACTCAGGCAGGTAGGAAAAGCACATTCCTAGGTGCAATGGGCTGAAGGGGTAACCAGTGCACAGTGGACCTGCTTTGCAGCAAGGATTAGGCTGGAGGGAGAGAGGGAGAACTGGCCAGGAGCTAAAGTTCAAGAAAGGAGGAGCTACTTGAGGTCAGAGGTAGAAGCCAGAGAGGCAGAGTGAGGAGGGGCCTAGTCAGTGACAAGATGCTCCAAGGTAGGGTTTGAGAAGGAAGAGGGTGAAAGGTCTGGAAGTGGAGAAGAAGAGCAAAGTGCACACCCACGTACCTCCAGACTCTGGATTCCAGGGGATGAAAGAGGAAACAGCCCCTGAATGCAGGGGCGTTAGTGTATGTGACAGCAAGCAAGTACAGGCAGAGGGGAGATGAGTAAGAACCAGGGGAAGGTCTGGAGAGGTGGAGCCAAATGGGAATTAGAGGCTGGGCACACTGGCTCACGCCTATAATACCAGCACTTTAGGAGGCCTAGGCAGGAGGATCACTTGAGGTCAGGAGTTCAAGACCAGCCTGGCCAACATGGTGAAACCCATCTCTACTAAAAATGTAAAAATTGTCTGGGCACGGTGGCTCACACCTGTAATCCCAGCACTTTGGGAGGCTGAGGCAGGCGGATTACCTGAGGTCGGGAGTTTGAGACCAGCCTAACCAACATGGAGAAACCCTGTCTGTACTAAAAATACAAAATTAGCTGGGTGTGGTGGTGCATGCCTATAATCCCAGCTACTCGGGAGGCTGAGGCAGGAGAATCACTTGAATCTGGGAGGCGGAGGTTGCAGTGAGCCGAGATTGTGCCATTGCACTGTAGCCTGGGCAAAAAGGGCGAAACTCCATCTCAAAAAAAAAAATACAAAAATACAAAAATTAGCTGGGTGTGGTACACGCGCCTGTAATCCCAGCTACTCAGGAGGCTGAGACATAAGAATCACTTGAACCCGGGAGGTGGAGGTTGCAGTGAGCTGATATTGCACCACTGCAGTCCAGCCTGGGCAACAGAGCAAGATCTGTTCGAAAAAACAAACAAGGCCGGGCAAAGCGGCTAATGCTTGTAATCCCAGCACTTTGGGAGGCCGAGGCAGGCAGATGAGTTGAGGTAAGCAGTTTGAGCCTGGCCAACATGTTGAAACCCCGTCTTTACTAAAAGTACAAAAATTAGCCGGGCGTGGTGGCGGGCGCCTGTAGTCCCAGCTACTCGGGAGGCTGAGGCAGGAGAATGGCGTGAACCCGGGAGGCGTAGGTTGCAGTGAGCAGAGAGATCATGCCACTGCACTCCAGCCTGGGCGACAGAGCAAGACTCCATATCAAAACAACAACAACAAAAAAGGGGTGGGGGGGGGATTCAAATGTAGGAGATAAAGGGGCCAAGGAGCCTGGGGCCTCTTGCAGTGACCAACGACGCCTACTTCCTTGCCGCAGCCCCAGCCCCCTTTAAGGCATGAGATGCCCAAAAAATTCACTTAGATTCATTCACTGTCCCCTGTCTCCTACAATGCCCCAGCTTCCAGAGCAGCTATATCCTTTCCTAGGTCATAAAGACCTGCAGGGATGGGAGGGATCTGCGTGTTTAGGGGGTTGGGGGCAGGCAGTGGGACCCGCCTCAACCTGCAGTTAGTACCAGAGGTGCCCAAAGGCTGACTCAGAGGTTTCTGAACCTGCAGGAGGGTACCTGGAGGGAGGGGGCTCCTGGTGGACAGCGATTTGTTTACCACCCACCAGACCCTTTGTGCCCAGTTTATCAGGGCAAGCAGCTGGAGGTGGGTGGGGCACAGTGCCCCATCCCAGGAGGAGTCAGAGCCCTGCCTGGTGAGTACCTCCCCTCCAGGCTGGACACTGGGGCTCAGGAACTCGGTGAGTGCTCCAGCTGGAGATTCAGGGACAGAGCACATGCTGGCCATTTACTGATCTCGTACTACCTGTATTATCATAGGTACCCAGGGAGGGAGGCCTTGCCAACCCCATTTCACAAGCAAGATTAAATAATGCCCCTAAACTGAGGTTTACCTAAGTCCAGAACTGTGTATTCCCTCCAGCTGCAAAGTAGGAGGAGCCTCAGGGCAGAACTAGGGGTATGGTGGGGCCAAAAGGCCTCTTTTTTTTTTTTTTTTTTTTTTTTTTTTTGAGATGGAGTCTTGCATTGTGGCCCAGGCTGGAGTGCAGTGGTGCTCACTCTTGGCTTACTGCAACCTCTGCCTCCTGGGTTCAAGTAATCCTCGCACCTCAGCCTCCCGAATAGCTGGGATTACAGGTTCCCACCACCACGCCCAGCTAGTTTCTGCTTTTTTGTTTTGTTTTGTTTTTGTTTCTGAGACTGAGCCTCACTCTGTCGCCCAGGCTGGAGTGCAGTAGCACGATCTCAGCTCACTGCAACCTCTGCCTCCCAGGTTCAAGCAATTCTCGTGCCTCAGCCTCCTGAGTAGCTGGAATTACAGGCATGTACCACCACACCCAGCTAATTTTTGTATTTTTAGTAGAGATGGGGTTTTGCCATGTTGGCCAGGCCGGTCTCGAACTCCTGACCTCAAGTGATCTGCCCACCTCGGCCTCCCAAAGTGCTGGGGTTAAAGGCATGAGCCACCATGCCTGGCTCAGAGGGCAGAAGGCCTTTGGGAACCCAGACAGGAAGAGGTTTAAAACCCAAGGAGGTTGGCTGGGCGCAGTGGCTCAGGCCTGTAATCCCAGCACTTTGGGAGGCCGGGGCAGGCAGATCACGAGGTCAGGAGATCAAGACCATCCTGGCCAACATGGTGAAACCCCGTCTCCACTAAAAATACAAAAATTAGCTGGGCATGGTGGCGCACATCTGTAGTCCCAGCTACTCGGGAGGCTGAGGCAGGAGAATCGCTTGAACCTGGGAGGCGGAGGTTGCAGTGAGCCGAGATCGCGCCACTGCACTCCTGCCTGGTGACAGTGTGAAACTCCGTCTCAAAAATAAAATAAAATAAAATAAAATAAAATAAAATAATAAAATTAAAATAAAATAAAATAAACTCAAGGAGGAGTGGTGCCCTGTGCTGGACAGCCATTCTCTGCTTTCCTCTCCAGAGTCTTTGAGCCTAGGTCAGCCCCTGCCCTCTCCCCCCACCCATTTCCTGGTGTCCCACCCACCCTCCCTTGGCTCTGACCCGTATCCAGGAGCAGGCTTGCGATGGCCAGGTTCCCGTGGGACACACTGTAGTGCAGGGCCGTGTTCCCGTTGCCATCCGCCAGGTTCACCACGTGCGCCAGCAGTTCGGGTCCCAGGCGCCTCACCCCTTCCAGCATCCTGGCCACGGGCTCCGCCTGAGAGCGCCGCTGGCTGGACACTCGAAACCACTCCTGGGCCACGAGGCGCACTGCGCCCTGCAAGGGACAGGGGCCAAGATAACATCGGCGATGGTCCACGGCGGCGCCGTGGTGGGGGAGCTGGGGAGGGGCGGGACTGGGAAGAGACCCATTTGGCGTTTCCAGGCAAGTAAGGAAGGTCACTCCTCGTCCAGGTGGGGAGCCATGCGAACCCAGATGGAGGGCTGGGGCCACACCCCTATCGGAGGGCAAACACGGGGGAAGGGGGTCCTTTCCTTCCAGGGAAGAATTTGCGGGAGAACATGGAACGGGGAAAGGCAATGAACGCTTGCCCTTGGGGAGTCCGGGAGTGGGGCTGGGGCCGGGCCTTTTTGGGGAAACCAAGGAAAGATCGGCGCTGTCCTGGGAAGGAGATCCCTTCGGAGAGCCTGGGGTCAGGCGAGGTGCCTGGCGGGAAGGGATGGAACCCGGTGTGCTCCCCTAAGTGGGCGTCAGAGGTCCTTGGAGGCTCCCACGCCACTCCCTGGTGCTGCGCTCCCGGGGCACTCACGCCGTCGCTGGCTACTCCGCGGGGCCGGCTCAGCTGCCGCTGCAGCGCTACGCACGCCTCCCTCAGACGCGGGCTCAGCTCGCACCTGCAGAGGAGGCCAGGAGAGACTCAGGATGGATCGGGGACAGCGCCGACCAGGAGGAGGGCAGCCGCCTCCTCTCCAAACAACTAGCGAGCGCCGCTCACCTCCCCTGTGCCACCTGCTGAGGCTCTGCCTCCGCCTCGGGCTCAGGGTCCCGGATGTCCCCGCCGCTGGGAGGGCCAGGGGTGCCCGAGTCGGATCCCCCGCCGCTGTCATCCCCGGAGCCCGAGGAGCTACCCGGGGGCTCGGCGCCACCGTTCTCGCTGTCGCCATCGCTGTCGCTGGCGTCCTCGCTGGAGGAGCTCTCGTACCTGGGGGCAGGGTGGGAGGTGTCTGCTAAACCTCCCCTGTGGGCTCGTTCTGGAGTCCTGCGATGTGGGTGTGGCCGTTCCCATTTAACGATGAGGAAACTGAGGATTGCCCAGACCACGCTGCCAGTAGAGGGGCAGAGCTGGGGTTCCAACCCCAGTCTATGTCCCGGCAGAAGCTGCCACAGGAGGGGAAAGGCGCTCACTCTCCGTTGAGGACCCCAACAAACTGCAGGCTCTTGGGTCCGGAGCTGGGTTGGGCACCAGGTGTGCCGTCTCTCTTCTTCATGATGGATTTGAGGATGCCTGGCGGGGATGAGATGAGGGCACTGAGTTCGAGTCCGGCGCCGAGTAAGCCAGGGCCCAGCGACGGGGTCGGGACTCACCCGCGGGCGCCACGGCCCTGTCTCCGTCCATGGATCCGGGCGAGCTCTCCTGAGTCAAGGAGGGCGCCTCTGCCGGGGACTCGGTCTGCGCGGCCTTTTCGGCACAGCTCCACGGGGTCTGGGTGGTGGCCTCGCGTAGCTGGGCCCGGGCCCCCGCCGCTGCCTCCTCCGCAGCCTCGCGGGCTTCCTCCAGCTCCCGCAACCGGCCCCGCAGAAGCTCACTCACCCCGCGCTGGTGCTCCAGACTGGCGCGCAGCAGCTCTAGCTCGCGCTCGGCGGCCGCAGGCAGCCCCAGCAGCGCCTCGGTCACCCACGCGTCCGCCTCCACGGTCTCGGGGGCAGCCTCCACGCCGGCCTCCCGGGTCTCCGGCACGGCCTGGGCACCCGCTTCTCGGGTCTCGGGCACGGCCTCGGCGGCCACCTCCCGGGTCTGGGGCGTCCCATCGAGACTCCCGACCTCCCCGTCGAGGACCTGGAGCGCGCCCTCGCTGCGCCCTGCAGCCAGGCCGTCTGGGCTGTCAGCCCGGGGGCTGGCCCTGGCACGGCCGCCGCGCTCGGAGGTGGCCAGGCGCTCGGTGAGCCGCCGCAGCTGGGCGAGCTTGTCCGGGCGCGTCTCAGCCTCCCCGTCCGGCTCGGGCTGCGCGCGCCCGGCCAGCAGCCGCGCCTTCTCGGCGCGCAGCGCGCGCACCTGCTCCTGCAGCTCGGGCAGCGTTCGCGCCTGGTCCTCGAGCTCGCGCAGGCGCCGCAGCGCCGCGGCCATCTGCTCGCGCACCAGCTGCAGTTGGGCAGGGCCGGGCGAAGCAGGGGCAAGGTTAGGGGCGGGGCTGCTGCGGCCGGACCCGCGTGGGCTGCGCGGGACCCCGCGGCCGGGGCTGGGCGCGCGCTCGTGTGTCTGCGCCAGCTCCAGCCGCCGGCTGGTCTCCCGGAGCGTGTGCTCGACGCGCGGGTTGCGCACGGGCGCGCGCGGCGACAGCGGCTGCATCAGGAGCCCCGAGGGCGCGCCCTGGGAGAGTATGCCCGGTGCTCCACCGTCGTCACTGGCCAGGGACTCGCTGGATGTCCAGGCGCCTGGGCTACGTGCGCCCGCGAGGCCGGGCCGGGGCGCGCGGGGACGGCGCGAGGTCGGGGGTCCCGGGGCGCGGCGGGCAGCGGGGCCACGCTCCAGCTCCTCTATGTACTTGAGGAAGTCCAGGTCCAGGTGGAAGCCGTAGGGCGTCTCCACCGAGTAGGGCGAGCTCGGGCTGCGTGCGCCCCCGGCGGCGGGGACCGGGCACAGGCGGGGGCCGCCCAGGTCTGGAGGCACGACGGGGGCACGGGGAGGGCGCATCAGAACGGGGAAACCCGGGAGATACTAAACAAACCGAGCGTGTCCCCCACCCATGCCCACGCTTCACACCTATCTGTACCCAAGTATTAACTCAATCGCTTGTTTAATGAGCACCTACTCTGTGCTAAGCAAGTTTCTAGGCCCGGGGGACACAGCAGTGAGCAAGACAAACATCCCTGTCCTCCTGTAGAAAGCAGATAAGCATCCTTCCAAACGATGCCTACGGCAATGGTAATAATAACAGGGAATAAACGGAGGAGGCCCGATTTAGCGTTTGGTTGCCAGGGAAGCTTTCCTGTGAGGGGACTTTCCTGTGGAGTGGAGCCCTGGCCCGGCGTGTGGTTCGCGCCTGTAGTCGCAGCATTTTGGGAGGCCGGCACAGGCGGATCACCTGAGGTCAGGAGTTCCAGACCAGCCTGGCCAACATGGTGAAACCCAGTATCTGCTAAAAATACGAAAATTAGCTGGGCGGTAGTGGCGCGCGCCTGTAATCCCAGCTACTCCGGAAGCTGAGGCAGGAGAATCACTTGATCCTGGTAGGCGGAGTTTGAGGTGAGCCGAGATCGCACCAATGCACTCCAGCCTGGGCGACAGAAGAGAACCTCTCAAAAAAAAAAAAAAGTAGCCCTGGCCGGGCGCAGTGGCTCACGCCTCTATCTCAACACTTTGGGAGGCCGAGGCGGGTGGATCGCTAGAGCTTAGGAGTTCGAGACAAACCTGGGCAACAAAGTGAGACCCCATCTCCAAAAATATATATATACACATATACATATATATACATAGCTGTGCATAATGGTGAGCTACTCAGGAGGCTGAGGTGGGAGGATCACTTGAGCCTGGGAGGCAGAGGTTGCAGTGAGCCGAGATTGCACCACTGCACTCCAGACTGGGTGACAGAGTGAGACCCTGTCTCAAAAAAAAAAAAAAAAAGGTTGGCGAGGGGAAGCCCTGCACGATGAGGAGGAAGCAGCTGGGAAAAGGTTTCTAGAAGAAAACAGCCCATGGAAATACCCTGGGGTAGGAGGGAGGAGGGTCAGCTGGAGTCACAGCGAGATGGAGACCAGGGTGTCCCGAGCAGAGTAAAGAAGGCAGGGGGAAGAGGAATGGACGCACAAGGGCCACACTTCCCTGGTTTGAGGGCTACCTGGGGTGGCAGGGGGTATAGTCCACTTGCGATTAGTGCCATAGGTGGGGTGTTTTTTGTTTTGTTTTTTTCTTTTTTTTGAGACGGAGTCTTGCTCTGTTGCCCAGACTGGAGTGCTGTAGTGCGATCTTGGCTCATTGCAGCCTCTGCCTCCCAGGTTCCAGCAATTCTCCTGCCTCAGCCTCCTGAGTAGCTGGGACTACAGGCACGCGCCACCATGCCTGGCTAATTTTTTTTTTTTTTTTTTTTTTGAGACGCAGTCTCGCTCTGTCGCCCAGGCTGGAGTGCAGTGGCACAATCTCTGCTCACTGCAAGCTCCGCCTCCCGGGTTCAAGCCATTCTCCTGCCTCAGCCTCCCGAGTAGCTGGGACTACAGGGGCACCACCATGCCCGGCTAATTTTTTGTATTTTTAGTAGAGATGGGATTTCACCGTGTTAGCCAGGATGGTCTTGACCTCCTGACCTTGTGATCTGCCCGCCTCGGCCTCCCAAAGTGCTGGGATTACAGGCATGAGTCACCACACCGAGCCGTGCCTGGCTAATTTTTGTATTTTTAGTAGAGACAGGGTTTCACCATGTTGCCCAGGCTGGTCTCAAACTCCTGATCTCAAGTGATCCGCCCACCGTGGCCTCCCAAAGTGCTGGGATTACAGGCATGAGCCACCGCACCCGGCCATGATTGATGCCATAGGTGGTTTAAAGCAGGCTCATGACATTGGAGAGGACTGCACTCTAGGGCTGTAGGCTGCGTCCACACACAAGGGCATCAAGCGTTTCTCTGTGCATGCGCACACACACACACATCTCTCTTTTTGCACACTCACCGGGCAGGTTCTGATTCAGGGCAAACTTGGCCATGTTTCCTGCAGCAGCTGTCAGAGGCACCCTGCAAAAGGGGTGAAGGTGGGGCTGGGCGCTGTCCCTCTGGCTGGAGCCTCTGGGGCCTGCCTTTGAGTCTAAGCAAACAGGACCCAAGAGCTCTCCTCCACCCAGCCACCTCCCTCCACACATGGCCTCTCCTTCCTCTTCCCTAAAGAAACCTTGAAACTTTTTTTTTTTTTTTTTTTTTGGGACAGAGTCTCGCTCTGTCACCCAGGCTGGAGTGCAATGCCACAATCTCGGCTCATTGCAGCCTCCCCCTCCCGGGTTCAAGTGAATCTCCTGCCTCAGCCTCCCAAGTGGCTGGGATTACAGGTGCCCACCACCACGCCTGGCTAATTTTTGTATTTTTGGTAGAGATGAGGTTTCACCATGTTGGCCAGGCTGGTCTCGAACTCCTGACCTCAAGTTATCCGCCTGCCTCGACCTCCCAAAGTACTGGGATTATAGGCATGAGCCACCGTGCCTAGCCGACCTTGAAACTTTGGATGGAATGAATGATCCCCAGGTGTCAGATGTCAGCCTGCTGGGCAGGAGGAAGCAGGAAAGACATCAAGCAAAAAGAAGAAGGTGACCAAGAAAACAAGGGTAGCTGGGAGTTGGGGAGGCATTCCAGACCTGCTGGGTTTTCTGATAATCTCTGGGGAAAATCAGAAATGGACGCTCTATGTAGTGGACTATGAGCCTTTAGGAAAGAAAGACCAGAGTTGGAAGCCCTTCACAGGATCATTAAAAACTCATCTAGGCTGGGCGCGGTGGCTCACGCCTGTAATCCCAGCACTTTGGGAGGCCGAGGAGGGCGGATCATGAGGTCAGGAGATCGAGACCATCCTGGTTAACACGGTGAAACCCCATCTCTACTAAAAATATAAAAAAGTAGCCGGGCGTGGTGGCAGGCGCCTGTAGTCCCAGCTACTCGGGAGGCTGAGGCAGGAGAATGGCGTGAACCCGGGAGGCGGAGCTTGCAGTGAGCTGAGGTGGCGCCACTGCACTTCAGCCTGGCAACAGAGCGAGATTCCGTCTCAAAAAAAAAAAAAAAAAAAAAAAAAAGGATGTAATTGTGCATCCAAATTTTTACCAAGGTCAGTTGTGAAACTCTTGCAGGAATGATGGGGAATTGCGGGCTGGATGCACCAAAGATCCAAATCAACAAATCAACGGATACTTGTCTCCCTGGAATGTCGCTAGCGGAGTGTCACAGGCTTGATCCTTGGCTTGTAAGAGTTTGTAATGCAAACACAAAACACCTGGGTTGTCAGAGCTGTGACTATTCATGGGGCTGCCTGGGAAAGTGACTGTTTGGATGACATGATGGAGGCTGTAAGAAAGTGAGGAAGATTGGGCCACATATAATAATGTGATATTTAACAAGGACAAATATTGAATCCAGAACTTTGGTTCAAAAAGCACAGGGTGAAATCTCAGCACTCTGGGAAGCCAAAGCAGAAGGATCGCTTGAGCCTAGGAGTCAAGACCCACCTGCGCAACATAGCGAGACCCTATCTCTTTTTGTTTTTTTTTTTTTTTGAGACAGAATTTCCCTCTTGTTGCCCAGGCTAGAGTGCAGTGGCACAATCTTGGCTCACTGCAACCTCTGCCTCCTGGGTTCAAGTGATTCTCCTGCCTCAGCCTCCTGAGTAGCTGGGATTACAGCCACTGCTACTATACCTGGCTAATTTTTTGTATTTTTAGTAGAGATAGGGTTTCATCATGTTGGCCAGGCTGGTCTCGAACTCCTGACCTCAGGTGATCCACCCACCTCGGCATCCCAAAGTGCTGGGATTACAGGCATGAGCCAAGGTGCCTGGCCACTATCTCTTTTGTTTGTTTGTTTTTAAATAGTGAAACCACCAAGCACAGTGGCTCACAAGCCATTGCTCTCCAGCCTGGGCAACAAGAGCGAAGCTCTGTCTCTAAATAAATAAATAAAATAGCGAAACCCCATCTCTACAAAAAACACAAAAATTAGCTGGATGTGTTGGCATGCACCTGTAGTCCCAGCTACTCAAGAAGCTGAGGCAGGAGTATCTCTTGAGTCCAGGAGATGCAGGCTGCAGTGAGTTATGATCATGCCACTGCATTCCAGCCTGGTTGACAGAGCAAGACCTTGTCTCAAAAAAAAAAAAAAAAAAAAAGAAAAGAAAAGAAAAGAAAAGCACAGGAACATGGAGTGGGAAAGATGGGCTTTGGAAAGCCCACATGGAAAACCTTCAGGGAGGGGAAAGTGCCTACGGTGTGCCCTTCCTGATTAAATGTCATCGCCATAGCTGGACACAATGGTGCATGCCTGTAGTCCCAGCTACTCAGGAGGCTGAGGCAGGAGAATCGCTTGAACCTGGGAGGCAGAGGTTGCAGTGAGCTGAGATCATGCCACTGCACTCCAGCCTGGGGGACAGAGCCAGACTCCGTCTCAAAAAAAAAAAACCATATATATATATATATACACACACACACACACACACACACACACAGCCCCCATACAACACTTTGCATACTGCAAAGTAGTATTATTATTCATATTTTACAGATGGAGAAACTGAGGCACAGAACAATTAAATCAGTTGCCTGTGGGAAGCACCCTCAGATTGGGCTCTGCCCATCTGCGGAACCCTTGTCAGCAGGTCCCTGCCACAGCTTCTGACTGCCCTTTACCTGTCCAGTCCTCCACTGACAGGCATCTGCCAAACCCACTTCATCCTCTCCCTGGGCCACGGCCCGTCTGTGCTAACCACATGGCAACACTCCCAGCCACCCCTTCTGGCTTCTCGAATCCCTGGGACCACCTGTGTGCCTGATGCTATGAAGCACTGAGCACCCACCAGCCCTCCTGACTCATTACCCTACTCCACCGCTGGGGAAACCGTAACTCCATTTCCCACTTCTGTCTGGCCGAGGTCCCTGACCTCTCCCTTCCCACTCCAAGGCCAGGCAGGGGGCCTCTTCCAGTCCCCAAGCAGCTGTTTCCCGTCCCTTCACACCAGCTGCAAGGGGTGGATCAACAGGCCAGCGGGTCATCGCAGAGGACAGCCAATGCCGTTCATCACTTGTTTTCAGGAAATTGCCAGGGAAGAACTGGGTTGTGGAAAAAGTCCAGATCAAGGGTTGGGGGGTCTGGGTCTACTTCTCACACAGCTGGCCGTATGACGCAATGGGGTCAGCGTCCTCCTCCGGTGACCTGGTCACACCCAAATCCCAGGCCCTGGGATCTCAGAAGACAGCTGTGGGCCATTCCTAAGACCTAAACTAGCTGAAGCAGTTGGATCCAGAGGCTGGGCTAAGAAAGGAATGGATCCCTCCAGAATGTCAAATAATAACAACGCTTTTGATATTTACTATGGGCCAGCCTCTAGTCTAAGGAATTTATGGATATTTACTTTTTTTTTTTTTTTTTTTAGAGGCAATGTCTCGCTCACTCTGTCACCCAGGCTGGAGTCAGTGGCTCGATCATAGCTCACTGTGGCCTTGAACCCCTGAGCTCAAGTGATCCGCCTCAGCCTCACAAATAGCTGAGACTACAGGAATGGACCTCTACACCTGGCTAATTCAGGCTAATATTTTAAATTTTTTGGTTTTTTGTTTTAGATGGAGTCATGCTCTGTCGCCCAGGCTGGAGTGCAGTGGCACAATCTCAGCTCACTGCAATCTCCGCCTCCCGGGTTCAAGTGATTCTCCTGCCTCAGCCTCCCAAGCAGCTGGGATTACAGGTGTGCACCACCATGCCTGGCTAATTTTTGTATTTTTAGTAGAGACGGAGTTTCACCATGTTGGCCAGGCTGGTCTCAAACCAGGCGTGAGCCGTGCCCGGCCTAATTTTATTTTTTGTAGATACAGGTGTCTTGCTATATTGCCCAGGCTGGCCTCCAACTCCTGGGCTCAAGCAATCTTCCCAGTTCAGCCTCCCAGAGTGCTGGGATTACAAGCATGAGCTACTGCACCTGACCTTGACTTATTTTTTAAAATCCTAGCTAAATCCACTGAGGTTGGATTTCCTATGATCATTGTCCCTTCCCCTATTGTACAGATGGAGAAACTGAGACACAGAACAGTTTAGTGTCCTGCCTGGGTCCTGTCATAAACAGGCAGAGGCAGGTTTTAAACCCAGGCAGGTCTTCCAGAGTCCTTGCTTTGGCCACTACACTTGAATGCTTTCTTTTATTTTTATTTTTGAGACGGAGTCTCTGTCACCCAGGCTGGAGTGCAGTGGCAGGATCTCGGCTCACTGCAACCTCTGAGCCCAGGGTTCAAGCGACTCTCCTGCCTCAGCATCCTGAGTAGCTGGGATTACAGGCACTTGCCACCACAGCTGGCTAATTTTTGAATTTTTAGTAGAGACGGGTTTCATCATGTTGGTCAGTCTGGTCTCAAACTCCTGACCTCAAGAGATCAGCCCTACTTGACCTCCCAAAGTGCTGGGATAACAGGCATGAACCACCAAGGAGCCTCAGGGGGCTTGTCCCTCCCAGCCTACACCTGTGTCAGACTCTGATTGGGGGCGGAGGTGCCCACCACCTCTGCGGCTTCAGGGGCTGGGGCCTCACTAAGTGGGGCGTTTAGCTGCCTTCCCTCTCCTCCGCTCCCTGCCCTGACTGTCACAGCTAGATCCGGATTCTGTGCCTGAGACCCCCTCATTAGGCCGTCAGAGCCGACGCCACACGCCCCCTCTCCCGCCCCAGGGACTATTTTGGGACGCAGAGCTGTGATCACCAAACCGGAGTGGTGGGGGCCACGGCAGGCCAGTGAGGATCCCAGTCCTGGGGAGAGGGCGCCTTCCAGGAGGCCCTGAGTACTGGCAGCCCCTGATGTCTGCTGGGACTCTCAGACTCTTGAGGTGGGTGGGTGGGGGACCGGTGGCGGCAGGAAGGTGGGTGTTAAAGTCATCATCACCCGTCCACCCCCAGGTCGTCCTAGCCGCACAGAGACAGAGCAGTTTCCTACAGGAAGCGCCGCCGGGCGGTTCCATCCGCTACCCATTGTCTGCGGGTCCGGGGGCCGTGCGTCCCTCCCCAAAACACCATTTCCGTGACACGCTCCCACACCCAGCCCAGCGCGAGGGGCTGGCTGGGGTCCCCAGGCCGTCCCGGGAAAGGGTCCCAGGGCCGGTTGTGGCATTAGGGAGCGAACGAGCCCCGCAGTGAGCTCCCGAAGGGCGAGAGGGGGGCAAGCCCACGCCTCCAGAGCCCCCCACTCTGCTCGCTACCCACCTGGGACTTCCAATGTGGGAGGGGTCCCGGCCAGAGGACACGACGCCCGCCCCGTCGCAGCGGGCAGAGCCCTCAGTGGGGCTGGAAACGCAGCGCAGCGCCGGGTCCCGGTGCGTCCCCGAATCCACCCACCCAGGGGTCCCCCATCCGTGTCCCCGCAAGCTGGCAATTTACCTGAAGCCGCAGCCCCAGCCGCGCCCGCACCCGAGCCCGCCCCCTCGAAGTCCGGGGACTGATTATCAAGGCCTTCGCCCTAACTGACGGCCACGCCAGCCAACCAGCACCCGAGGCTCTCCAAGCCGCCCAGTGGGACGGTGGGGTGGGACAGGCAGGCGGGGCCTGGAATGTAGGGGTGGTGACTGAGGGCGGGCCCTGGAGTGACGGTCGCCGAGCGCTGGCTGGCGGCATTTCTGCACCAGCAGAGGTCAAGTCTCTGCCCAGCGCCGGGCCAAGGAGCTTGGATTTGATCCACAGGCACGAGGGAGCCATGGGAGAACTATGAGTAGAAGAGTAACCCGGTGGGATTTCTATAACTGGCACTTATTTCGCAGTGCCTGGGTGAAGTATCAGGTCCCGGATCTTCCCCACCGCAGGGCCTCTGCACATGCTGTTCCACCTACCTGAAATGCTTTCCCTTGCACCTGTACACGTAGGTACTTTTTGAGGCTCCCCTACTGTTTTTTGTTTTGTTTTGTTTTTGTTTTTTGAGACGGAGTCCCAGGCTGGAGTGCAGTGACACTCACTGCAACCTCCGCCTCCTGGGTTCAAGCAATTCTCCTGCCTCAGCCTCCCGAGTAGCTGGGATTACAGACACACACCACCACGTCCAGCTAATATTTGTATTTTTAGTAGAGATGGGGTTTCACCATGTTGGCCGGGCTGGTCTGGAACTCCTGACCTCAAGTGATCCGCCCGCCTCAGCCTCCCAAAGTGTTGGGATTACAGGCGTGAGCCACCGCGCCCGGCCTTCCCTACTTTCTGAGGTTCAGCTTTTGTGTTGCTGCCCCCTAAATTCCTGACATAGCCCCTCCCCAGTTAGTATTTTTCTCATCACTCTATTGTATTAACCTAATAGCTACTTTTACTATCTGGAAAAAAAAAAAAAAGCAGACTCTGTTATTGGCAGGCGCAGTGACTCACGCCTGTAAATCCAGTATTTAGGGAGGCATAGATGGGAGGATAGCTTGAGCCAGGAGTTGAGACCAGCCTGGGCAACATAGCAAGACCTAGTTCTCAAAACAAAAGAAAACAACAAAACAAAAAGACAAAAACGAAACACTCAGTTATTTATTTGGTTTATTTTTTAATTTAATTTAATTTTTTTTTAGACAGAGTCTCGCTCTGTCCCAGGCTGGAGTGCAGTGGTGCGATCTTGGCTCACTGCAACCTCTGCCTCCTGGGGTTCAAGCGATTCTCCTGCCTCAGCCTTCTAAGTAGCTGGGATTACAGGCGCACACCACCACGCCCAGCTAATTTTTGTATTTTTAGTAGAGACAGGGTTTCACCATGTTGCCCAGGCTGGTCTCGAACTCCTGACCTCAGGTGATCCGCCCACCTCAGCCTCCCAAAGTGCTGGGATTACAGGCGTGAGCCACCATGCCTGGCTGGTTATTTATTGGTTTACCTGCTTGCCATCTCACTAAAGTGTCGGCACCAAGGCCAGGTGGGGTGGCTCATGCCTGTAATCCTAGCACCTCCTGAGGCTGAGGTGGGAGGATCTTTTGAGCCCAGCAGCTCAAGACCAGCCTGGGCAACAGAGTGAGACTCTGTCTCTAAATTAAGTGTCAGCACCATGGGAACAGGAAACTGGTTTTGATAACTGCTTTATCCAGCGACCCTAGTACACAGTAGATGCTTAATAAATGTTTGCTGAAATAATGTTTTCTTTTTCTTTTTTGAGTCAGGGTCTCATTCTGTTGCCCAGGGTAGAGTGCTGTGGCACAATATCTCAGCTCACTACAAACTCCGCCTCCCAGGTTAAAGAGATCCTCCTGCCTCAGCCTCCCAAGTAGCTGGGATTACAAGTGTGTGCTACGCCTAGCTAATTTTTTTTATTTTTAGTAGAGACGGGCTTTTACTACTTTGCCCAGGCTGGTCTTCAACTCCTTGGCTCAAGCAATCCACCTGCCTTGGCCTCACAAAGTGCTGGGATCACAGGCATAAGCCACAGCACCTGGCCAGAATATAGTAATATTTTAAAATGTATTTTAACATCTGATACTTTTTAAAAAAAAACAAAATTCCTGGGCTATTTTAATTGGTTGATTCTTTCAGTTAAAACTGTGGAATTCTGTCGCGTTTCCCCACAGAAACTCCATTGGAATTTTCTTCTTTGTTCCTTTGAGACAAAGTTTACTCTGTTGCCGATGCTGGAGTTCTGTGGCAAGACCTATGGCTCACTGCAGCCTTGAACTCCCAGACTCAAGCAATCCTCCCACCTCAACCTCCCGAGTAGCTGGGACTACAGGCATGTGCTACCACGTCCAGCAGGTTTCTTATTTTTGTAAGGACAGGGTCTCTCTATGTTGCCCAGGCTGGTCGCAAATTCCTGGGTTCAAGTGATTCTCCTGCCTCAGCCTCCCTAAATAGTGGCATAACAGGCATGAGCCGCTGCACTTGGCCTCCATTGGAATGTTTAAAATATATGTGTGTGTGTGTGTGTGTATATATATATATATATATATATATATATATATATAATTTTTTTTTTTTTTTGAGACGGAGTCTTGCTCTGTCACCCAGGCTGGAGTACAGTGGTGTGATCTCCACTCACTGCAAGATCCGCCTCCCGGGTTCATGCCATTCTCCTGTCTCAGCCTCCCGAATAGCTGGGACTATAGGCACCCACCACCACACCTGGCTGTTTTTGTATTTTTAGTAGAGACGGGGTTTCACCGTGTTAGCCAGGATGGTCTTGATCTCCTGACCTCGTGATCTGCCTGCCTCAGCCTCCCAAAGTGCTGGGATTACAGGCGTGAGCCACCGCACCCAGCCCTAAAATATTTTTATTGTGGCCGGGTGCGGTGGCTCACGCCTGTAATCCCAGCACTTTGGGAGGCCAGGGCAGGCAGATCACCTGATATCGGGAGTTCGAGACCAGCCTGACCAACATGGAGAAACTCCGTCTCTACTAAAAACACAAAATTATCCCAGTGTAGTGGTGCATGCCTGTAATCACAGCTACTTGGGAGGCTGAGGCAGGAGAATCACTTGAACCTGGGAGGCAGAGGTTGCAGTGAGCCGAGAGTGAGCCATTGCATTCCAGCCTGGGCAACGAGAGTGAAACTCTGTCTCAAAAAAAAAAAAAAAAAAAAAAAAATATATATATATATATATATATATATATATATATATATATAGTTGTAAAATAAAGCGTCCATAGATGCACACACACAGCAGATTCAAGAAACCACATAAAACAAATGTATACTCTTTCCCTAAGTGGCCTGAGGTAATCTGGGAAAATGGTTCGCTATTTACTTGACCCAGAGAACCCCACAAAATCATGCAAATCAAGAGGTTCAAATCTTCATGTTCACTTGGAGAACACTCATGAAACTGCCCAGGCCATCAAGGGTATGTATATATGAAAATCCACGAAGTATCTGAAAGATGTCACTTTACAGAAACTGTGTGTACCATTCCAACATTACAATGGTGGAGTTGGCAGGTGTGCCCAGGCCAAGCAGTGGGGCTGGACACAAAGTCAGTGGCCCAGAAAAAGTGCTGAATTTTTGCTGTACATGCTTAAAAATGCAGAGAGTGGCCGGGCATGGTGGCTCACACGTGTAATCCCAGCACTTTGGGAGGCTGAGGTGGGCGGATCACCTGAGGTCAGGAGTTCGAGACCAGCCTGGCCAACACGGTGAAACCCCATCTCTACTAAAAATACAAAAATTAGCTGGGTGTGGTGGCACGTGCCTGTAGTCCCAGCTACCAGGGAGGCTGAGGCAGGAGAATTGCTTGAACCCGGGAGGCGGAGGTTGCAAAGCCGAGATTGTGCCACTGCACTCCATCCTGGGCAGTAGAGCGAGACTCCGTCTCAAAAAAAAAAAAAATGCAGAGAGTAATGCTGAACTTAAGGGTTATATGTAGATTCTCTGGTCATTGAGCATATCCAAGTGAACAAAGTACCTAAGATGCGTCGCCAGACCTACGGAACTCCGGTCGGATTAACCCATGAATGAGTTCTCCCTGCCACACTGAGATGATTCTTACTGAAAAGGAACAGATTTTTCCTAAGCCAGAGGAGGAGGTTGCCCAAAAGAAAAAGATATCCCAAGGCCGGGCGCAGTGGCTCACGCCTGTAATCCCAGCATTTTGGGAGGCCGAGGCGGGTGGATCACCTGAGGTCGGGAGGTCGAGACCAGCCTGACCAACATGGAGAAACCCCATTTCTACTTAAAATATAAAATTAGCCGAGCGTGGTGGCGCATGCATGTAATCCCAGCTACTCAGGAGGAGGCTGAGGCAGGAGAATCATTTGAACCCGGGTGGCAGAGGTTGCGGTGAGCCGAGATCGCACCATCGCACTCCAGCCTGAGCAACAAGAGTGAAACTCCATCTCGGAAAAAAAAAAAAGAAAGAAAAAGATATCCCAGAAGAAACTGAAGAAACAAAAACTTATGGCATGGGAGTAAATTCAGCATTAAAATAAATGCAATTAAAAGTAAAAAACAAAAACAAAAAACAAAACAAAACCAACAACAACAACAAAAAACCCCACAAATGTATAGTTTAAGGAGTTCCTCCAGGGGGTAGTTCTCAACCAGGAGTGATTTTGCCCCATGGGAGAATGTTTGACAATATCCAGGAGCACTTTTGGGTAATGAGGAGGCGGGTGTTTTTGGCCTCTAGAGGGCGGAGGCCAGGAATGTAGCTAACCACCCTGCAATGCACAGGCCATCCCCAAGGACCAAGAATTATGTGGCCTGAATGTCAAGAGTGCTAAGTTTCAGAAACCCAGTGCTGAGATGAAGGTCATCGTCGCCTCCACCCGGGCCAACCAACTGCACTTGCCAGCTACCCCAGAAGCGCCTCCGTGGACTATGTCCTAGTCACAGCTGCCCCTCACTCCCTAAGTAACCACTGTTTTGTGACTTTTATTTATTTGTTTGTTTATTTATTTATTTATTTTTGAGACAGAATCTCGCTCTGTTGCCCAGGCTGGAGTGCAGTGGCATGATCTCAGCTCACTGCAGTCTCCTGGGTTCAAATGATTCTCCTGCCTCAGCCTCCTGAGTAGTTGAGATTACAGGTGCCCGCTACCATGACCAGATTTTTTGTATTTTTAGTAGAGATGGGGTTTCACCATGTTGACCATGCTGGTCTTGAGCTCCTGGCTTCAGGTGATCCACCTGCCTCGGCCTCCCAAAGTGCTGGGATTACAGGCATGAGCCAACACGCCCGGCCCTGTGTAGGTTTCTGTTTGTTTGCTTATTTATTTATTTCGAGACAGAGTCTCACTGTATTGTTCAGGCTGGAGTGCAGTGGTGCAATCAATGCTCACTGCAGCCTGGAACTCCTGGGCTCAAATGATCCTTAGCCTCCTGAGTAGCTGGGAGACAGGTGAGCGCCACTGCACATGTATAGTTTTATTATCCAAATGTGAATCTGTAGACACTGGAGTTTAGTCTTGCCCATTCAAAAAGAAAATGATATGTCTTTTAAGCTCCCCCTGCCCGTTTTTTTTTTTTTTTTTTTGAGACGGAGTCTTGCTCTGTTACCAGGTTAGAGTGCAGTGGCGTGATCTTGGCTCACTGCAACCTCCATCTCCCAGGTTCAACCGATTCCCCTGCCTCAGCCTCCAGAGCAGCTGGGACTACAGGCACAAGCCACCATGCCCAGCTAATTTTTTGTATTTTAGTAGAGATGGGGTTTCACCATGTTGGTCAGGATGGTCTCGATCTCCTGACCTTGTGATCGACCAGCCTCAGCCTCCCATAGTGTTGGGATTACTGGCACGAGCCACCGCGCCCGGCCTAAGCCTGTTTATTTATTTATTTATTTATTTTTAATTTTATTTTTTTGAGATGCAGTTTCACTCTTGTTGCCCAGGCTGGAGTCCAGTGGTGCAATCTTGGCTCACTGCAACCTCTGCCTCTTAGATTCAAGCGATTCTCCTGCCTCAGCCTCCTGAGTAGCTGGGATTACAGGCATGCGCCACCACGTCCGGCTAATTTTTGTATTTTTAGTAGAGATGGAGTTTCTCCATGTTGGCCAGGCTGGTCTGGAACTCCCGATCTCAGGTGATCTGCCCACCTGGGACTCCCAAAGTGCTGGGATTACAGGTGTGAGCCACCGCGCCCGGCCTAAGCCTCTTTTAATTCACAGGTTCCTCTCCATCCCTCCCTTTCCCTTACAATAGAAGCATTGCATGCCTGGGCATGGTGCCTCACACCTGTAATCCCAGCACTTTGGGAGGCCGAGGCAGCAGGAACGGTTGAGCCCAGGAGTTCGAGATTATCCTGGGCAATATAGTGAGACCCCCCATCTCTACAAAAACTACAAAAATTAGCTGGGTATGGTGGCATGCACCTGTAGTCCCAGCTACTGGGGAGGCTGAGGTGGGAGGATCGCTCGAGCCCAGGTGATCAAGGCTGCAGTGAGCTGTGATCACATCACTGCACTCCAGCCTGGGAAACAGAGTGAGACCCTGTGAAAGAAAGAAAGAAAGAGAGAAAGAGAGAAAGGGAGGAAGGGAGGAAGGGAGGAAGGGAGGGGAAGGGAAGGAGGAAGGAAAGAAGGAAGGAAGGAAGGAAGGAAGGAAGGAAGGAAGGAAGGAAGGAAGGAAGGAAGGAAAAAAAAAAAAAGGATCGCACAATTGGCTGCTTGTCCTGAAGTGTTTCCTATGGTCTAAATGTTGCTGATCCTACACTCATTGTGTAGTTAGTTCAGGATGTTCTTCTGTCCTTGGTATTCCCTGCAAATTGGCGGTTGCTTCTAGAACTGGGGTCAGACTCAGATTTGATTACTTTGACATGACTACTGATGGCGTTCTGTTCTTTCACTAGGAGGCTTGTGATGTTTGGCTGTGCCTCCTTTCCTCAGTCCAGTAGCCATCGAGAATTAACTCCTTAGAGATTACAAAATAGTGATGTCATATCTCTTGTGTTTCTTCCTTCTTTATTTACTTATTTAATTTTTTTTATGAGATGGAATCTCGCTCTGTCACCCAGGCTGGAGTGCAGTGGCACAATCTCAGCTTACTGCAACCTCTGCCTCCCAGGTTCAAGTGATTCTCCTTCCTCAGCCTCCCTAGTAGCTGGGATTACAGGCTTGTGCCACCACGCCTGGCCATTTCGTCCTTATTTGTTAGTTGAATTCTTTTTTTTTTTTTTATGCAAGATACTTCTTCTTATGTACTATCTGGTTTTCCAGTGACACTTTTAGAGAAGAAAGGCAAGATAAAAACCTGATTATTGGCCAGGTGCAGTGACACATTCCGGTAATCCCAGCACATTGGGAAGCTGAGGCAGGAGGATCGCTTGAGCCCAGGAGGTCGAAGTTGCAGTGAGCCATGATTGAGCCACTGTACTGCAGCCTGGGCAACAGAGTGAGACCCTGTCTCATAACATAAAATCATTATGGCTGGCACAGTGGCTCACGCCTGTAATCCCAGCACTTTAGGAGGCTGAGGCGGACAGATCACTTGAAGCCAGGAGTTCGAGACCAGCCTGGCTAACATGGTGAAACCCTTCCTCTACTAAAAACACACAAAAAATTTAGCCAGGCATGGTGGTGCATGCCTGTAGTCCCAGCTACTCCAGAGGCTGAGGCATGAGAATCACTTCTCTTGAACCCAGGAAGCAGAGATTGCAGTGAGCCAAGATCACACCACTGCACTTCAGCCTGAAAGACAGAGACTCTGTCTCAAAATAAAAAAGAAGAGAAAGGTAGGAGGGTCAGAGTTATAGAAGGTGTTATGATGGAAGCAGAGGGGTGTGTGTTTGTGTGTGTGTGTGTGTGTGTGTGAGAGAGAGAGAGAGAGAGAGAGAGACAGAGAGAGAGAAAAGGAGATTGGAAATTGCGGCCAGAGTGGTGGCTCATGCCTGTAATCCCAGAATGTTGTGAGGCTGAGGCAGGCGGATCACTTGAGTTCAGGAGTTCGAGACCAGCCTGACCAATATGTTGAAACCCTCGTCTCTACTGAAAATACAAAAATTGGCCAGGCGCGGTGGCTCACGCCTGTAGTCCCAGCACTTTGGGAGGCCAAGGCAGGCGGATCACGAGGTCAGGAGATTGAAACCATCGTGGCTAACACGGTGAAACCCCGTCTCTACTAAAAATACAAAAAATTAGACGGGCGTGGTGGCGGGTGCCTGTAGTCCCAGCTACTCAGGAGGCTGAGGCAGGAGAATGGCATGAACCCGGGAGGCGGAGTTTGCAGTGAGCCAAGATCGCACCACTGCACTCCAGCCTAGGTGACAGAGCGAGACTCCGTCTCAAAAAAAAAAAACAAAATTTAGCTGGGCATTGTGGCGTGCGCCTGTAATCCCAGCTCTTCAGGAGGCTGAGGCAGGAGAATCACTTGAACTCAGGAGGCAGAGGTTGCAATGGGCTGAGAGTGCAGTATTGCACTCCAGCCTGTGGTGGTGGGCGCCTGTAATCCCAGCTACTCAGAATCCCACCACAGGTGCTCAGCACACAGTAGACACTCAATAAATTTTCACTGAATGGAAAGATTGAAAGGTGATTTCAAGCTCCCTGCAGACCAAGAATTTCTGAAGAGTATTCCTGCCTAGCTAGCCAGTGGGGAGAGGTATAAGAAAGAAAAGGGGCCGGGCACGGTGGCTCATGCCTGCATGCCCAGCAATTTGGGAGGTTGAGGTGGGCGGATCACCTGAGGTCAGGCGTTGGAGACCAGCCTGGCCAACATGGCGAAACCCCATCTGTACTAAAACTAAAAAATGTATCCGGGCATGGTGCTGTGCACCTGTAATCCCAGCTACTCAGGAGGCTGAGGCAGAGGTTTCAGTGAGCGAAGATCGCGCCACTGCACTCCAGCCTGGGTGACAGAGCGAGACTCTGTCAAAAAAAAAAGAAAGAAAGAAAAGAGAGACAAAGAAAGAAAGAAAGAAAGAAAGAAAGAAAGGAGGGAGGGAGGGAAGGAAGGAAGGAAGAGAGAAAGGGGGGAAAAGAAGAAAGAAAAAGAGGGAGGGAGGGAAAGAGAAAGAAAGAAAAAGAAGGAAAGAAAAAGGAAGAAAGGAGGGAGGGAGGGAAGGATGGAAGGAAGAAAGAGAGAAAGAGGGGAGAAAAGAAAGAAAGAGAGAGAGGGAGGGACGGAAATAGAAAGAAAGAAAGAGAAAGAAAGAAAGAAGGAAAGAGAAAGAAAGAAAGAAAAGGAATTTTGCTTGCGTGGGTGAGGAAGATGCTCTTAGACCTCTTAAACAACTTCCCTCCTCCCCCACATTCCTAATACCCTGGGTGTTCATGGTAGAAAATGTGACCCTTCTCTCTCCCACCCTGTCCCAGGCTGAGGCTTGAGTCAGAAAAGAAAAGAGAGAGGGAGGAGGTTCCCGGGCACTCCAGAATACATTGAACCCCTTGGGAGCCACTTTCAGCTCCTTTGCCATTTTAGGGGCCTCCTGGAAACTCCAAGGCACCCCTGCCCCCATCTGGAATGCTTAACTGCCCAGAGAGACTGCGCCTGTCTCTGAACAGTTTTTTTTTTTTTTTTTTTTTTTTTTTTGAGACAGTCTCGCTCTGTCGCCAAGGCTGGAGTACAGTGGCGCGATCTCAGCTCACTGCAAGCTCCGCCTCCCGAATTCAAGCAATTCTTCAGCCTCAGTCTCTCCAGTAGCTGGGATTACAGGCACCTGCTATCAGCCCAGCTAATTGTTTGTATTTTTAGTAGAGACAGGGTTTCACCATGTTGGCGAGGCTGGTCTCAAATTCCTGACCTCAGGTGATCCGCCCACCTCTGCCTCCCAAAATGCTGGGATTACAGGCGTGAGCCATTGTGCCCGGCCTGTCTCAGAACATTGACACCCCTGACATGAGAGCTAATTGGCCCCAGTCAGGAGCTTCAAAAGACAGCATTGGCCAGTTGTGGTGTGCATGCCTGTAATCCTAGTGCCTCGAGAGGCTAAGACAGGAGAATTGCTTGAGGCTGAGAGTTTGAGACCAGCCTGGGCAACAAAGCAAGACCCTGTCTCTAGAAAATTTATTTATTTATTTTTGAGACAGAGTCTTGCTCTGTCGCCCAGGCTGGAGTGCAGTGGCGCAATCTCGGCTCACTGCAAGCTCCGCCTCCAGGGTTCAAGCAATTCCCCTGCCTCAGCCTCCCTAGTAGCTGGGATTACAGGCACCTGCCACCATGCCTGGCTAATTTTTTGTATTTTTAGTAGAGATGGGGTTTCACCGCATTAGCCAGGATGGTCTCCATCTGCTGACCTCGTAATCCACCCGCCTCGACCTCCCAAAGTGCTGGGATTACAGGCATGAGCCACTGCACCCAGCAGACATTTTTAAAAATTAGCTGGGGATGGTAGCATGTTCCCGTAGTCCCAGCTACTCAGGATGCTGAGATGGCAGAATTGATTGAGCCCAGGAATTTGAGGCTACAGTAAGCTATGATCACGCCACTGCACTGCAGCCTGGGCCAAGAGCAAGACTGTCTCAACCGGGGTGCAGTGGCTCACGCCTATAATCCCAGCAATTTGGGAGGCTGAAGCGGGTGGATCACTTGAAGTCAGGAGTTTGAGACCAGCCTGGCCAACATGGTGAAACCTCATCTCTACTACAAATACAAAAGTTAGTCGGGTGTGGTGGCGTGCGCCTGTAGTCCCAGCTACTTGGGAGGCCAAGGCAGGAGAATCCCCTGAACCCGGGAGGTGTAGGTTGCAGTGAGCCGAGATCGCGCCACTGTACTCCAGCCTGGGCGACAGAGCGAGACTCTGTCTCAAAAATCATCATCGTCGTCATCATCTCCACTTCCCCCTTGATTTACTCAGTCTTCTCGAGCCTCCCACAGCGGGCGGGCAGCCGCCAGGAGGCCTTGAACTTCCTCTCAGGCGCCTGGGATCAGCGGGAAAGGAGCGCGTCTGAGCGGCCAGAACAGCTGCTCTCGAGTTCACCACCAGAGGGCGCTGCTATCTAGGGTAAACCCCCCGGGGCCGCGGTTGTCAAACCGGGTATATACAGAGAAGGAATTTTCGGGGTGGGGGGTAGTGGGGGAATCTATCTCTAGCTTTTTCTTATTGTTGTAAAAATAATTTCCCAAAAATAAAAATAGGCTGGGCGCGATGGCTCACGCCTGTAATCCCAACACTTTGGAAGGCCGAGGCGGGTGGATCACTGGAGATCAGGAGTTCAAGATCAACATGGTGAAACCCAGTCTCTGCTAGAAATACAAAAATTAGCCGGGCATGGTGGCCAGCAGCTGTAATCCCAGCTACTCAGGAGGCTGAGGCATAAGAACCCCCTGAAGCTGGGAGGCATAGGTAGTAGTAAGTCGAGATCGCCCCACTGCACTCCAGCCTGGGTGACAGAACAAGACGCTGTCTCAAATAAATAAATAAATAAATCGTAAATTACAAAACAATGACAAGCTTTAAAAATAGGCCAGGTACGGTGGCTCACGCCTGTAATCCCAGCACTTTGGGAGGCCGAGGCGGGCGGATCATGAGATCAGGAGATCAAGACCATCCTGGCTAACACGGTGAAACCCCATCTCTACTAAAAATACAAAAAATTAGCTGGGCCTGGTGGCGGGCACCTGTAATCCCAGCTACTCGGGAGGCTGAGGCAGGCGAATGGCATGAACCCAGGAGGTGGAGCTTGCAGTGAGCCGAGATAGTGCCACTGCACTCCAGCCTGGGCGACAGAGTGAGACTCCGTCTCAAAAACAAAACAACAACAAAATTAAATGAAAAATAAAATAAAAGAGGTCACGGTTTTGGGCACCGTTAATTCCAGCTAGTGAGCAGGCTGAGATGGGAGGATTTCTTGGGCCCAGTAGTTCCAATCCAGCCTTGGCAACACAGCAAGACATCCCACCACCACCCCACGTGCCCTCCCCCGCCACCGTCTTAAAAGACAGAAAGAGAGATTCAATGGTTTGGAACTAAAGAGAACTAGGTTCAAATCTTTTTTTTTATCTCTTTTTTTGAGATGGATTCTGGCTTTGTCACCCAGGCTGGAGTGCAGTTGTGCGATCTTGGCTCACTGCAGCCTCTGCCTCCTAGGTTAGAGCGATTCTCCTGCCTCCGCCTCCCAAGTAGCTGGGAGGTAGCACTCACCACCATGCCCAGCTAATATTTTGTATTTTTAGTAGAGAGAAGTTTTCACCAGGTTGGCCTGGCTGGTCTCAAACTCCTGATCTCAGGTAATCTGCCCACCTCAGCCTCCCAAATTGCTGGAATTACAGACATGAGCCACCACGCCTGGCCTAGGTTCAAATCTTGACCCTTCTGAGCTGTGTGACTTTGTCCAAATTCCTAAAGGTCTCAGAAGCTCAATTTATCTCCTTTCAGGGACCGACTTGAGGTTGAGATAAAATGGATTACACAAGTGTCTGATGGTGTAAAGGTGGCACTAAATAAATGTACGCTGCTACAGTTATTATTTCCTTAGTGACTTCATAGCTGTCTGCCCTGCAATGTACAAGTTCCCAGACTGGAAGGAATTATGGGGAAAAGCTAATAGGGGAGGGTGGAAAGGCAACCCCGTTCCCTTCTGAGCACCAGCCCAGATTCTGAGTCATCCTTTCTGCCCTGAGTGTTTGAGGTCCTGCTCTTGGGCTGACCTTTCTTGGTGACCTGGATGTGAGTACAGTGTGGCAGGAAGACTGTGGTTAGTTGCTGGGGGCGGTAGAGGCCAGTCACTGGACACGATGTGCCATTACATAGTCCTAACAACCTTGTGGGCTTGTCTGAGAAGAATCCTGCATGTCTCAAGCCAGAGAGAATTTTTCATGCTCTTCCTTGAACCTGAGTCATCTATTTCCTGTACACTTTGTCTAGGACTCTGTCAAGCATCTCTCAGTCTTAGGACCCCTGCTCCAGGAATCCTTACCTAATGGGATTGACATCTTTTCTATACTCTTCTAGGCCTGTGTGCTTACCCCATTGCAGCATTGACCATCTAGGATTCAACTTATGTAGTTAAATCTTAGCACCATTCATGGTGCCAATGAGCAAACAGATATCATGTGCCTCCTGATATCATACACTGAGAAGGACACAACATCACTGCCAAAAATACATAACAGGCACCTTAAGGGGAAGAAACATCTGCATCAGACAAATGCAAAATGGAGGACGTGCTACAAAAAACCGGTGTGTACATCTCGAAAATATCAGTGTTTGGCCAGGCATAGTGGCTTATGCCTGTTGTCCCAGCTACTCAGGAGGCTGAGGTGGGAGGATCACTTGAGCCCAGGAGGTTGAGGCTGCAGTGAGCTGTGATCTCACTGCTGCACTCCAGCCTTGGTGACAAAGTGAGACCGTGTCTCAAAAAATGCCAGTGCCCTGCCTGGTATAGCGAATGCACCTGTATTCCCAGTTACTCAGTAGGCTGAGGCAGGAAGATTGCTTGAGTCCAGATTTGAGACCAGCCTCGGCAACATAACAACGACCCTGTCTCAGATTAAAAAAAAAAAAAAAAAGGACCAACAGGATATGACAATGAAATGCAGTGGATGATTCTGGATAGGGTCCTGCTCATAAAAAACATGGCTGTGAGGCCGGGCGCGGTGGCTTACGCCTGTAATCCTAGCACATTATAGTGTATCCGGGAGGATCATGAGGTCAGAGTTCGAGACCGGCCTGACCAACATAGTGAAACCCCATCTCTACTAAAAATACAAAAATTAGCTGGGCATGGTGGCGTGTGCCTGTATTCCCAGCTACTCAGGAGGCTGAGGCAGGAGAATTGCTTGAACCCAGGAGGCTGAGGTTGTGGTGAGCTGAGATCATGCCACTGCATTCCAGCCTGGGCAAAAGAGGGAGACTCAGTTTTTTTTAAAAAAACAAAACAAAACAAAAAACAGCTGTGGCCAGGCACAGTGGCTCATGCCTGTAATCCCAGGTCTGTGGGATGCCGGGGTGGGAGGATCGCCTGAGTTCAGGAGTTCAAGTTTGAGACCAGCCTGGGCAATGTAACTAAACCCTGTCTCTACCAAAAAATACCAAAATTAGCCTGGTGTGGTGGCATGTGCCTGTAGTCCCAGCTGCTCAGGAGGCTGAGGCAGGAGGATCACTTGAGCCCAGGAGTTGGAGGCTGCAGTGAGCTATAATCGCACCACTGCACTCCAGCCTGAATGACAGAGTGAGACCCTGTCTCCAAAACAAAGGAAAACAAACAGAAACACAAACCACAGCTGTTCAGGTCATGCTTGACACAATTGATGAAACTGGAATATGGACCATAGATTAGATAACAGTACTATGTCAGGGTCAAATTTCCTGAAATTGCTAGCTGTACCACGGTTATATAAACACTTTTTTTTCTTAGTAAAGGGCAAAAGGCACACGTTATGTGTGCAATATATCCTTAAGTGGGTCAGAAAAAGAAGATGTACAAAAAAGTGTGTATTATCTCACCCTGCATGAGTGTATTATATAAATATATAAGAATACGTCTCTATGTGAGTGTATTTTATCTATCTATGCACTTATGCACTTATGTATTACGTATACGTGTGTGTGTGTTGTTGTTGTTTTGTTTCTTGTTTTTTTTGTTTTTGAGACAGAGTCTCGCTCTGTTGCCCAGGCTGGAGTGCAGTGGCCTCATCTCGGCTCACTGCAAGCTCCACCTCCTGGGTTCACGCCATTCTCCTGCCTCAGCCTCCTGAGTAGCTGGGACTACAGGTGCCTGCCACCACGCCTGGCTAATTTTTTGTATTTTTAGTAGAGACGGGGTTTCACCATGTTAGCCAGGATGGTCTCGATCTCCTGACCTCGTGATCCACCCGCCTCGGCCTCCCAAAGTGCTGGGATTACAGGCGTGAGCCATCGCGCCCGGCCTTTTTTTTTTTTGAGATGGAGTCTTGCTCTGTCACCCAGGCTGGAGTTCAATGGCGCAGTCTTAGCTCACTGCCACCTCTGCCTTCCAGGTTCAAGCGATTCTCCTCCCTCAGCCTCCCGAGGAGCTGAGTTTACAGGCCTGAGCCACCGTGCCAGACCTCTTTTTTTTTTTTTTTTTTTTTTGGGACAGAGTCTCACTCTGATGCCCAAATGGGAGTGCAATGGTACGATCATAGCAGACTGCAGCTTCCACCTCCTGAGCTTAAGTTGTCCTCTTGCATCGGCCTCCTTGAGTACGTGTGGGAGTACGGGTAGGCACCACCACACCTGGCTAATTTTTTATTTTATTTATTTTTTTATTTTTATATTTATTTATTTATTTTGAGATGGAGTTTCGCTCTTGTCACCCAGGCTGGAATACAATGGCACAATCTTGGCTCACTGCAACCTCTGCCTCCCGGGTTCAAGTGATTCTCCTGCCTCAGCCCCCCAAGTAGCTGGGATTACAGATGCCACCATGCCCGGCTGATTTTTTTTTGTATTTTCAGTAGAAATGGGGTTTCACCATGTCAGCCAGGCTGGTCTTGAACTCCTGACCTCAGGTGATCCGCCTGCCTCGGCCTCCCAAAGTGCTAGGATTACAGGCGTGAGCCGCCACGCCCAGCCCTAATCTTTTATTTTTTGGAGGGATGGGGTCTCACTTTGTTACCCAGGCTGGTCTGAAATCCCTGATTTCAAGCAATCCTGCCACTTCAGTCTCCCAAAGTGTCAGGATTACAGGTGTGAGACACCCTGCCCAGCCTGTTTGTGTATGTTATATATATGTATCTCTCTGTATGTAAGTGTGGCTCTCTCCATATATGTATATATATATCTTTATGTGTATTGCATATGTATGTGTCTCTGTGTGTATTATATATATTTATATTTTATGTCTCTATGTGTGTTTATTTATTTTTTGGATACAGGGTCTTGATCTGTCCCCTAGGCTAGAGTGCAGGGGTGCAATCTTGGCTCACTGTAGCTTTGAGCCTCGACTTCCCAGGTTCAAATGATCCTCCCACCTCAGCCTCCCAAGTAGCTCATACTACAGGAATGTGCCACCACGCCTAGCTATTTTTTTTTTTTTTGAGACAGAGTCTTGCTCTGTCACCCAAGCTGGAGTGCAATGGTACGATCTCCGCTTACTGCAGCCTCCACCTCCTGGGTTCAAGCGAATCTCCCACCTCAGCCTCACAAATAGCTGAGATTACGGCCACACACCACCATGCCTGCTAATTTCTGTATTTTTAGTAGAGATGGGGTTTCACCATGCTGGCCAGGCTGGTCTCGAACTCCCAGACTCAAGTGATCCACCCACCTCAGCCTCCCAAAGTGCTAGGATTACAGGTGTGAGCCACCATGCCGGGCCCCAGCTAATTTTTTTTTTTTTTTGAGACAGAGTCTCGCCCTGTTGCCCAGGCTGGAGTGCAGTGGCGCAATCTCTGCTTACTGCACCCTCTGCCTCCCGGGTTCCAGCGATTCTCCTGCCCCAGCCTCCCGAGTAACTGGGATTACAGGCGCGCGCCTCCACGCCTGGCTAATTTTTACATTTTTAGTAGAGACCGGGTTTCACCATGTTGGTCAGGCTGGTCTCGAACTTCTGACCTCACGATCTGCCCACCTTGGACTCCCAAAGTGCTGGTATTACAGGCATGAGCCACCGTGCCCAGCCTGGCCCCAGCTAATTTTTTAAATTTTTTGTACAGACAGGGTCTTGCCATGTTACCCAATCTTGAACTCCTGGGCTCAAGCAGTCCTCCCACCTTGGCCTCCCAAAGTACTGGGATTACAAGCATGAGCCACCTTGCCTAGCTTAATGGCATTTACATTTGTAGTGAAATACACATAACAGGCTGGGCGCAGTGGCTCATACCTGTAATCCCAGCACTTTGGGAGGCCGAGGTAGGCGGATCACCTGAGGTCAGGAGTTAGAGACCAGCCTGGACATGGCGAAACCCCGTCTCTACTAAAATACAAAAATTAGCCAGGCGTGGTGGTGGGCACCTGTAATCCCAGCTACTCGGGAGGCTGAGGCAGGAGAATCATTTGAACCCAGGAGGTGGAAGTTGCAGTGAGCAGAGATTGCACCACTGCACTCCAGCCTTGGCGACAGAGCAAGACTCTGTCTCAAAAAAAAGAAAAAAAAAAGAAAAGAAAAGAAAAAAAAGAAAAAGAAAAAAAGAAATATACATAATATAAAATTGGTCATTTTAACAATTTTTAACTATGTTGGCCAAAGTAGCCCACGCGTTGGGATTGGAGACCCGGTCTTGCCCACCGTGATCGCCCCAGTACAGTGCCTGGCATATAGTAGGTGCTCCAGGAACAATTGATCAGGATGACTTTGTCTTTGCTGGGTAAGAGGCCACATTCTAAAGGTCAGTTTTTGGCCAGGCACAGTGACTCACACCTGTCATCCCAGCACTTTGGGAGGCCGAGGCGAGTGAATCCCTTGAGCTCAGGAGTTCAAGACCAGCCTGGGCAACACGGCAAAAATCCTGTCTCTACAAAATCTACAGAAATTAGGCAGGTCTGGTGGCACATGCCTATAGTCCCAGCTGCTTGGGAGGCTGAGGTGGGAGGATCACTTGAGCCTGGGAGTTTGAGGTTGCGGTGAGCTGTGATTGTGACACTGCACTCCAGCCTGGGTGAGTGAGACCCATCTCAGAAAAAAAAAAAAAAATACATAAAACAGGGCTGGGCGTGGTGGCTCATGCCTGTAATCCTAGCACTTTGGGAGGCTGAGGTGGTGGATAGCCTAAGCTTAGGAGTTTGAGACCAGCCTGGGCAACATGGCGAAACCCCACCCCCTCTACTAGAATACAAAAAATTAGCGGGCGTGGTGGTGGGCACCTGTAGTCCCAGCTACTCAGGAGGCTGAGGCAGGAGAATGGCGGGAACCTGGGAGGTGGAGCTTGCAGTGAGCCGAGATGAGGCCACTGCACTCCAGCCTGGGCAACAGAGCAAGACTCTGTCTCAAAAAAAAAAAAAAAAAAAAGGCTAGGCCAGGCACAGTGGCTCACACCTGTAATCCCAGCACGTTGGGAGGCCGAGACAGGTGGATCACCTGAGGTCAGGAATTTGAGACCAGCAGAGCCAACATAGTGAAACCCCGTTTGCACTAAAAATACAAAAAATTAGTCAGGTGTGGTGGTGCACACCTGTAATCCCCGCTACTCGGGAGGCTGAGGCTGGAGAATCGCTTGAACCTGGGAGGCAGAGGTTGCAGTGAGCGGAGATTGCGCCGTTGCACTCCAGCCTGGGCGACAAGAGGGAAACTCCATCTCAAAAAAATAAATAAATAAAATAAAAAATAGGCTGGGCGCGGTGGCTCATGCCTGTAATCCCAGCACTTTGGGAGGCCGAAGCGGGCGGATCACGAGGTCAGGAGATCGAGACCATCCTGGCTAACATGGTGAAACCCTGTCTCTATTAAAAATACAAAAAATTAGCTGGGCATGGTGGCAGGTGCCTGTAGTCCCAGCTACTCGGGAGGCTGAGGCAGGAGAATGGCACTAACCCGGGAGGTGGAGCTTGCAGTGAGCCGAGATTGCGCCACTGCACTCCAGCGTGGGCGACAGAGCGAGACTCCTTCTCAAAAAATAAATAAATAAATAAATAAATAAATAAATAAATAAAAAATAAAGAGCAGTTTTTAGAATAAAATCTAGAGCCAACTTGAGGCGACAGTATAGACTCTTTTGTAGATTGCTCACAGCAGGTGCCCTTAAGACCCTGGGTCTGTGATGTGTTTTGTGCTGTGGGACACATGGCTCCAAAGAAGTCCCTGAAAATCAGATCATGAAAAGGTCATCAGGTTGGGGAAGTAATTGATCAGTTCTCTCAGTTTAAGAAGGTGGGGAAGAGGAGGAGCTTGCATTCTGGGATAGCCTGGGATAGCTGTGTCCCTACTCAGAGAGAGGCTGGGGGCTTGGGGGTGGACAGGCCAGACGGTGACCATCTGAACCTACTCCTCACTGGGGTTTTCCTCCCTCCCTTTCCTGTCCACTGCTGCTGGGAGGGATTTGCTGTCCTGGCATCTGGCCCAGCTGACGGGGCCAAGTGTATGAGTGGCAGCCTGCACGTCAGCCCTTGGGTGTGCAGTTTCAGATTCCAGAGAATGAGCTGGCTTGGAGCCCTGCTGAGTCAATGCCCTTCTCCTTGCCAGTGCTCTGAGCCAACCTGCCCCGAGTTCTTCCTGGCAGGCTGGTTTTCTGTGCCAGCCTCCCCTTCCTGACAGGGTATAGGGGAATGGGTAGGGAAGAGGCAGAGGAGATCGGTGCAAGTTTGAATGAACACTTAGCCCTGTGGAATGAATGTGGTCCAGCCCTTTAGCCTCACTCAGTACTTCCTTTGTCCCAACTCTATCCCTACCCCAGGCTCAGAATGTTGGGGTATCTCCACCTGCCTGAGAACTTCAAACATACAGGGGCTGGGCTTAGAGGGCAGCAGCACCTTCGTTCAGTGCATGAGTGAATGAATGAATGAGGGAGAGAAAGAGGAAGGTCTTCCATGTCTGAAACTTTTTTTTTTTTTTTTGACACACAGTCTCACTCTGTCACCCAGGCTGGAGTGCTGTGGTGCAATCTCAGCTCACTGCAACCTCCGTCTCCTGAGTTCAAGCGATTCTCCTGACACAGTCTCCCGAGTAGCTGTAAGCACGTGCCACCACACCCGGCTAATTTTTTATTTTTAGTAGAGACGAGGTTTCACCATGTTGGCCAGGCTGATCTCGAACCCCTGACCTCAGGTGATCCGCCCCCCCCCCCCTCCCACCACCCGGCCTCCCAAAGTGCTGGGATTACAGGCGTGAGCCACCGCGCCTGGCCACAGACTTTTATTTTATTTCTTTTTTAGAGACAGGATCTCACTCTGTTGCCCAGGCTGGAGTGCAGTGGCACCATTGTGGCTCACTGCAGCCTCTACCTCCTGGGCTCAAGTGAGCCTCCCACCTCAGGCTCCCAAGTAGCTGCGACCACAGTCATGGGCGACCGCCCTGGTTCCTCCCTTCCTTGTGTCTCCTCTTTCTGTTCTCTAAGTTCCTGCTTTATTATAGGCAAAGCTCAGGACATTAAAGACCCTGGCGGTAGAGGGTAGGCTATGGGGGTGAGGCCCTGATCCAAGTCCTGCCGCTAAGGCACTCATAATTTCGGGCTCAGGGGAGAAATGGAAGTCAAAGAATCTCATAAACACAGCTGCGATGACGAACCCTTTCACGGGAAGGAACATGCGAGCCCAGAAAAGTCTCTCCTGGTCTTGGGATGGAGGTCACACGAAGCCTCCGCAAGGCAAGGACTTTTGGTGAGTTCCGGGCTCCGCTGAACTCAGCTCTTTTTCTTTTCCTTCCTTTCTTTCCTTCTTCCTTTCTTTCCCTCCTTCCTTCCTTCCTCTTTCTCTCTTTCCTTTCTCTCTCTCTTTTCTCTCTCTCTCTCCTTCTTCCCTCCCTCCCTACCTCTCTCTCTTTTCTTTTTCCGTCCTTCCTTCCTTCTTTCCTTCTTTCTCTCTCTTTTCTTTCTTTTCTTTTCTTTTCTCTTCTTTCATTTTGAGACGTACTCTGGCTCTGTCGCCCAGGCTGGAGCGCAATGGCGCCATCTCGGCGCACTGCAACCTCCACCTCCCGGGTTCAAGCGATTCTACTGCCTCAGCCTCCCGAGTAGCTGGGACTACAGGCGCGCACTACCAAGCCCGGCTAATTTTTTTTTGTATTTTTAGTAGAGACTGGGTTTCACGATGTTGGCCGGGCTGGTCTGGAAGTCTTGACCTCAAGCGTGCGCCCTCTCCGCCACTGGGTAAGGCGGGGGCGGAATAGGGGGCTTGCAATTTCACACTAGAGGCGGGCACCGTGGGGGAAAGAAGAGTCACGTCTCCCACGGTTCGTAGAGGAAGGCCTGCCTGAGCCTGGAGCGGGGGCGGGAGAGCCACAGTTTGGCATCCCCAGGGCATCCCCCAGCCCGCAGACTACCAGGCCTCCAGAGGACAGGACCCCACCCCCGGCCACAGGCCCTGCCCCCAGCACTCCCCGCACCCCGCCTCCAAGACTCCTCCGCCCACTCCGCACCCAACTTATAAAAACCGTCCTCGGGCGCGGCGGGGAGAAGCCGAGCTGAGCGGATCCTCACACGACTGTGATCCGATTCTTTCCAGCGGCTTCTGCAACCAAGCGGGTCTTACCCCCGGTCCTCCGCGTCTCCAGTCCTCGCACCTGGAACCCCAACGTCCCCGAGAGTCCCCGAATCCCCGCTCCCAGGCTACCTAAGAGGATGAGCGGTGCTCCGACGGCCGGGGCAGCCCTGATGCTCTGCGCCGCCACCGCCGTGCTACTGAGCGCTCAGGGCGGACCCGTGCAGTCCAAGTCGCCGCGCTTTGCGTCCTGGGACGAGATGAATGTCCTGGCGCACGGACTCCTGCAGCTCGGCCAGGGGCTGCGCGAACACGCGGAGCGCACCCGCAGTCAGCTGAGCGCGCTGGAGCGGCGCCTGAGCGCGTGCGGGTCCGCCTGTCAGGGAACCGAGGGGTCCACCGACCTCCCGTTAGCCCCTGAGAGCCGGGTGGACCCTGAGGTCCTTCACAGCCTGCAGGTACGTGTCCCCAGGGCTGGTTCTCCGCGCCCCTAGTGGCTCTCCTGGCTTGGAAGGGTATGGACAGGAGTGGGGCGTGGGGGCGGGGTGCGCAACTGTGGCTCCCTGGGCTTCCCTGCGTCAAGGGATGGGCTCCCCCCTTAGGAAGCCGAGGAGGGAGGTTCGCTCAAGGCCAGGAATTCAAGACCACCTAAAGCAAAATAGCGAGACCCCCGTCTCTTCTACACACACACACACACACACACAAAATAAATAAAATAAAATAAAATAAATATAAAATTAAAAAACGACCGGGCGCAGTGGCTCACGGAGCCTCCACCTGCTGTCGAGACTAGCCTGGCCAACATGGAGAAACCTCGTCTCTACTAAAAATACAAAAAATTAGCCTGGCATGGTGTGCATGCCTGTAATCCCAGCTACTTGGGAGGCTGAGGCAGGAGAATCTCTTGAACCCGGGAGGCAGAGGTTGCAGTGAGCCGAGATCGCAGCACTGCACTCCAGCCTGGGCAACAGAGTGAGACTCCTCAAAAAAATAATAGCGATAAAATAAAAATAAAGCCAGGTGCGGTGACTCACGCTTGTAGTCCCAGCACTTTGGGAGGGCGAGGCCAGTGGATCACCTGAGGTCAGGAGTTCAAGACCAGCCTGACCAACACAGTGAAACCCCGTCTCTACTAAAAATACAAAAATTAGCTGGGTGTGGTGGTGGGCGCCTGTAATCCCAGCTACTGGGGAGGCTGAGGCAGGAGAACCTCTTGAACCCGGGAGGCGGAGGTTGCAGTGAGCCGGGATCATGCCATTGCACTCCAGCCTGGGCGACAGAGCTCGACTCCATCTCAAAATAATAATAATAATAAATAAAATAAAATACAAATACAAAAATTAGCCAGGTGTGGTGGCAGCTACTTGGGAGGCTGAGACACAAGAATCACTTGAGTCTGGGAGGCAGAGGTTGCAGTGAGCCAAGATTGCGCCACTGCACTCCAACCTGGGTGACAGAGCGAGACTCTGTCTGAAAAAATAAAAAATAAGCCAGGCATAGAGCTGCATGACTGTAGTCCCAGCTACACAGGAGGCTGAAAACAGGAGGATCGCCTGACCCCAGGAGTTGGAGGCTGCAGTGAGCTGTGACAGCACCACTGCACTCCAGCCTGGGCGAGAGAACGAGACCCCGTCATTGGGAAAAAAAAGAAAAAAGAAAGACTCCCTTGCCTGGCCTCAGCGGATGGAGATTTGGAAGGATGGATGAGTGGATGAATTAAGAGGTTGGGGTAGGCAAGCTGGGTCCTCACCAAGGTTTTCACCCCTCCCCAGACACAACTCAAGGCTCAGAACAGCAGGATCCAGCAACTCTTCCACAAGGTGGCCCAGCAGCAGCGGCACCTGGAGAAGCAGCACCTGCGAATTCAGCATCTGCAAAGCCAGGTAACCCTAGGATCAAGGGAGAAAAGGTCCCTCTGATAGCTGGACCCCAGGTTGAGAGGGAGGTGGTGAGAACTGGACGTGTGGCTGGGGACGTGGGGCCAGGCAGGACCTGACACCCTCCTCCCGTCCCATCCTAGTTTGGCCTCCTGGACCACAAGCACCTAGACCATGAGGTGGCCAAGCCTGCCCGAAGAAAGAGGCTGCCCGAGATGGCCCAGCCAGTTGACCCGGCTCACAATGTCAGCCGCCTGCACCGTGAGTGTCTGCCCCTCGATGCTCTCCGGTGGCCACCCCTACCCCGCCACTTGCCATTGCTGGTCCTCTCCTTGTCAGGTCCACCTTAAGGAGAAGATGTCCTGGCCTGGAGTCCCTGAGGGCTCACCAGTCTCTGGGTCAAAGCTGATGGGAGCACCTCCTTCCTCAGCCCTGACCTGGCCCAGCCAGGCCACCCAACCCTTCTCCTCTGCAAGCCAGTGGGCTGTCCCTGAAGCCCTGCTGATCACTGATTGGAACAGAGGTGGAGAAAGAGGTCTTGAGGGACTTGAGCTGCAGGGGTGCTGGAGAAGGTAGAAATGGGGTTCGGGGTGCCATCCTGAAGGTTAGAACCTTCTAGGGGAGGGTGTCATGGAGGAGGGGGTGCCAGGTAGTAGTGTTTGTAGATTTGGGCCCTCCACAATGTCTTGGGGTATGTGGGAATTAGGGCTGGGAACCCCCAGCTCCCAGACCAGAAACACTCTTGTATCTTACAAATCCAATGCTCCAGGTCCCTGACCCCTCTTCCTCCTTCCTCTCTTGTTCTCCTCCTCCCTCCCCGCCCCCGCCGGCCCCCTCCCCACCGCAGAAAGTGGGCTTTTGCTGCCACCACAAGTTGTAGGTGCTTTATTCCCAAATCTCCGTTCATCTCGAACCACAGCATGTCCACGTGTGTCCGATGCAGACTCGCGGTTCTCTAAGTTCACGGCCCCACACGGTTTCTCTGTGGTCCTCATCCTTCCCTGCATCTGTGGCTGTCCACAGCCAACTGGGTGAAAGTTTGGATCCCCCTCTCACACCCTAGGGTCAGTGGCAGGCTTCCAGCACTGTAGACCTGAGGGTTCTCTCCTCCCCAAGCTCCCGCTCCTTCCCACCTCCGTGCTGCCCGCCCCCAACCCCGCCAGGCTAGCATCTCAGCGTGGTCAGGGTCCTGTCCACCCTCCCAAAGCCACCATCCCAGGATGAGGGGCTTCTGGAGGGTGACGGGGGAAGGCACAAGTCCTGGCTGGGAAATGCGGTGGAAGGGGGCAGGGGTTCTGTGGGTTCGGGACTCCCAGACTCTTGGCTCAGGCCCGCCAAGTAGGAGAAAGTTCAGAGCTGGGAAGGCGAACAGCTGGCATTCATGGAAGCCACACTGGTGGTTTGGCCGCGTGCCCATCCTTACTGGATGGGAGGAAAGTAGGGGAAAGGGGAGATGCCTGAGGGGCCGGAAAGCGTCTTCCTGGTCACTCTGGGCCCGCCCCCACCCCCACCGTGCAGACTCATTTCGACCTTTCCCCTACTTTTCCGGCTGGGCTGGGGGCGGTTCCTCCCAGTCTGGAGCGTCTGAGCCTCCAGACGTGCTCAACGCCATCCTCCCCTCCTCCCTCCCTCTTTCTTTCCTCAACCCTGCCTCCTCTCCCTCTAGGAGCTGGGACCCCAGGCAGAGCCTCTGAGATGCTCCTGCTCAGCACAGTTCTTCCCGTTCTGGACCTGCTGCCTCATTCATTCATTCATTCATTCATTTGTCAAGACTGTTTTGTTTGCTTTTTGAGACGGAGTCTCGCTCTGTTGTCCAGGCTGGAGTGCAGTGGCGCAATCTCAGCTCACTGCAACCTCTGCCTCCCACTGGGTTCAAGTGATTCTCCTGCCTCAGCCTCTCAAGTAGATGGGATTATAGGCGCCTACCGCCACCACGCCCAGCTAATTTTTATTCATTTATCAAGTCTTTTTTTTTTTTGAGACAGAGTCTCACTCTGTCACCCAGGTTGGAGTGCAATGGTTCAACCTCAGCTGACTGCAACCTCTGCCTCCCGGGTTCAAGTGATTCTCCTGCCTCTGCCTCCTAAGGAGCTGGGATTACTGGCGTCCACCATCACACCCAGCTAATCTTTGTATGTTTTACTAGAGATGGGGTTTGGCCATGTTGACCAGGCTGGTCTCAAACTCCTGACCGATCCGCCCGCCTCCCAAAGTGCTGGATTACAGGCATGAACCACTGCGCCCGGCCCATTCCTCAAGTCTTTATTGAGCAGCTGCTATGCGCTGGGGCCTGCGTGGATGCTGGTGCCAGGCTGTGGGCAGAGCTGCTCCTTGTCCCCAGCCTCATGGAGCCTCCATTGAGTCAGAGGAGAGACCATTAGATGACCTCAGTGTCCAGGAGTGGGAAGTCCTTGCTCAATTCCCATTTGGGGTGTTCTGGCCTGGTCTGGGGGTGAGGCAAGGCAGGGTGTCCTTCCAGAAGCTGGGACCCAGAGAGAGAAGTGAGGAAAGAGAGTCCCGCCGGGCGCAGTGGTTCACACCTGTAATCCCAGCACTTTGGGAGGCCAAGGCTGGCGGATCACGAGGTCAGGAGATCGAGACCAGTCTGGCCAACATGGTGAAACCCCCGTCTCTACAAATAATGCAAAAACTAGTCGGGCGTGGTGGCACATGCCTGTAGTCCCAGCTGCTCCGGAGGCTGCGGCAGAATTGCTTGAACCTGGGAGGCGGAGGTTGCAGTGAGCCAAGATTGCGCCACTGCACTCCAGCCTGGCGACAGAGCGAGACTCCGTATCAAAAAACAAAACAAAAAAAGAGAGTCCCAGGCAGGGGGAACAGCATGTGCAAAGTCCCTGTGGCAGGACGGTGTGTGGTACAAGGGTGGGAAGAAAGCCTGTGTGCCAGAGAGGGTGTGGGTACAGCATGGCAGGAGGAGGATGGGCACGGGGGCTGGTCCTCCAGGTGCCTTGTGGACCATGCTGAGGAAGGACATAGGGAGCCATGGAAGAGGTTAGGCAGATGGCAGAGAGGTGGTCATGAGATAAGATTTGCCTTTTACTTCCCTGGTCATCCACTGTTAAGCCCCCAGATATGCCTGGCTCCTGAGACCCCCCCCAGGGGCTGCCCTCCTGTTTCAAGTCTCCACTTTATCTCCCTTCAGGGCTGCCCAGGGATTGCCAGGAGCTGTTCCAGGTTGGGGAGAGGCAGAGTGGACTATTTGAAATCCAGCCTCAGGGGTCTCCGCCATTTTTGGTGAACTGCAAGATGACCTCAGGTAGGGTGTGTTAGTCCACCAGGGGCCCCTCTCCCCATAGGCCCTGTTGTCTTTCTTTAAATTGAAAACAAAACAAAACAAAAAAATTAAAGGCAGGGTCTTGCTATGTTGCCCAAGCTGGTCTTTTTTTTTTTTTTTTTTTTTGAGATGGAGTTTTGCTCTTGGAGCTGGAGTGCAATGCCACGATCTCAGCTCACTGAAACCTCCGCCTCCCGGGTTCAAGCAATTCTCCAGCGTCAGCCTCCCCAGTAGCTGAGACTACAGGTGCGAGCAACCACACCCAGCTAATTTTTGTATTTTTAGTAGAGACTGGGTTTCACCATGTTGGTCTGGCTGGTCTCAAACTCCTGACCTCAAATGATTTGCCGACTTTGGCCTCCCAAAATGCTGGGATTATAGGCATTAGCCACTGCTCCTGGCCTCTTTTCTTTAAAATGCAGCCCTTGTCTGGGTGTAGTGGCTCATATCTGTAATCCCGACACTTTGGGAGGCCTATCATGAGGATCACTTGAGCCCAGAAGTTCGAGACCAGCCTGGACAACATAGTGAGAGCTCATCTTTACAAAAAATTTTGTAAAAGTAAAAAAAAAGGCCAAGTGCAGTGGCTCACACCTGTAATCCCAGCACTTTGGGAGGTTGAGGCAGACAGATCACGAGGTCAGGAGTTCGAGACCAGCCTGACCAACATGGTGAAACCCCGTCTCTACTAAAAATACAAAAATTAGCCGGGCATGGTGGTGTGCACCTGTAATCCCAGCTACTCAGGTGGCTGAGGCAGGAGAATCTCTTGAACCTGGGAGGCAGAGGTTGCAGTGAGCTGAGATGACGCCACCGCACTCCAGCCTGGGCGACAGAGCGAGACTCCGTCCCCCCATCAAAAAAATAAAAAAGAGAAAATAAAATAAAATAAAATAAAATTCAGCCCTTGCTGGGCATGGTGGCACATGCCTGTAGTCCCAGCTACTCGGGAGGCCAAGGCAGGAGGGTCACTTCAGCCCAGGAGTTAAAGGCTGCCGTGAGCCGTGATCACACCTGTGAATAGCCACCGCACTCCAACCTGGGCAACACAACAAAACCTCGTTTCTAAAAAAAAACAAAGGCTGAGCACGGTGGCTTACACCTGAAATGCCAGCACTTTGGGAGGCTGAGGCGGGCAAATCACTTGAGGTCAGAAGTTCAAGACCAGCCTGGCCAACATGGTGAAACCCTATCTCTACCAACATAAACATTAGCCGGGCGTGCCTGTGATTCCAGCTGCTTGTGGGGCTGAAGCACAAGAATCGCTTGAGCCCCGAAGGCAGAGGTTGCAGTGAGCTGAGATTGCGGCACTGCGATCCAGCCTGGGCAACAGAGTGAGACTCCATCTCTAAAAAAAAAAAAAAAAAAAAAGAAAGCTTTTTTTTCCACTGAGAAGTCCTTTCCATTACAAGAGGTTACAACACGGGGTTTTACCCAGTTCAGCTGGCCCAGAGAGGCTTTGCAGATTTCCACTGCCTACTCCCTCCCACACTCAGTCCCTGCTGGGTTCTTGGGACAAAGATCTTCCCAAGGCCAGCCCATAATATTCCTCCCTCTGACCCACCCTCCTCGAGTCCTCCAGGGATGAGTGAGGGAGCTGCTGTCTTCCTGGGTTTGGAGGGGGTTTGGTGCTTGGCAGCCAGATGAGGGAGTGGGGTCGTCTGTGAAGAGGGACTTCCTGGTGACCTTGTACCTTTCTGGGCAGATGGAGGCTGGACAGTAATTCAGAGGCGCCACGATGGCTCAGTGGACTTCAACCGGCCCTGGGAAGCCTACAAGGCGGGGTTTGGGGATCCCCACGGTAGGTGTTTCTAGTGGGGACAGAGGCAGGGGAGGAAGAGGGACCCTCAGAAGTGGCCCTGCCTCATGGAGTGGCCTCTCCCACTCCAGGCGAGTTCTGGCTGGGTCTGGAGAAGGTGCATAGCATCACGGGGGACCGCAACAGCCGCCTGGCCGTGCAGCTGCGGGACTGGGATGGCAACGCCGAGTTGCTGCAGTTCTCCGTGCACCTGGGTGGCGAGGACACGGCCTATAGCCTGCAGCTCACTGCACCCGTGGCCGGCCAGCTGGGCGCCACCACCGTCCCACCCAGCGGCCTCTCCGTACCCTTCTCCACTTGGGACCAGGATCACGACCTCCGCAGGGACAAGAACTGCGCCAAGAGCCTCTCTGGTGAGCAGGCCCTGCCATGCCACACCCAGCCAGCAGCTTCCCTCCTTATCTTTCTGCTGCTCTGTCCTGCCTTCAACCCCACATTGCATCTGTTTCCTGCCCCCACCTCTTCCTTACATGCCGTGTGTGTGATTGGGCCACTAACTTAGCCTATCTGGCCTCAGTTTTCCCATCCTGAAAAGGGTCTTGACCGTCTTTACTTTTATTTACTTATGTGTTTGTTTATTTATTTATTTATGTATTTATTTTTTGAGACGGAGTCTCACTTTGTCACCCAGGCTGGAGTGCTTTGTGGCACGATCTTGGCTCACTGCAAGCTCCACCTCCTGAGTTCACACCATTCTCCTGCCTCAGCCTCCCGAGTAGCTGGGACTATAGGTGCCCACCACCACGCCTGGCTAATTTTTTTGTATTTTTAGTAGAGATGGGGTTTCACCGTGTTAGCCAGGATGGTCTCGATCTCCTGACCTCGTGATCTGCCTGCCTCAGCCTCCCAAAGTGCTGGGATTACAGGCGTGAGCCACCGCGCCCGGCCTACTTATTTATTTTTTGAGACAGAGTCCCGCTGTGTCTCCCAGGCTGGAGTGCAAGTGACGTGATCTTGGCTCACTGCAGCCTCCGCCTCCTGGGTTCAAGTGATTCTCCTGCCTCAGCCTCCTGAGTAGCTGGGATTACAGGTTCCCGCCACCATGCACAGATAATTGTTTTGTATTTTTAGTAGAGACGGGGTTTCACCATGTTGGCCAGGGTGGTCTTGAACTCCTGACCTCAAGTGATCTGCCCACCTCGGCCTCCCAAAGTGTTGGGATTACAGGCGTGAGCCACAATACCCGGCCACAAACATCTTTATAATGGTGCTCCACAGGATTCTTTTTTTTTTTTTTTTTTTGAAACAGGGTCTCACTCTGTTGCCTAAGCTGGAGTGCAGTGGTGCGATCTCGGCTCACTGCAACCTCCACCTCCCGGGTTCAAGCAATTCTCAAAAAAAAAAAAAAATTAGGCACGGTGGCTCACACTTGCAATCCCAGCACTTTGGGAGGCTGAAGCGAGTGGATCACTTGAGCCCAGGAGACCAATCTGAGCAACAGGGCGAAATCCTGTCTCAATTAAAAATACAAAAAACTAGCTGGGCATGGTGGTGCCTGCCTGTGTTCCCATCTACTTGGGAGGCTGAGTTGGGAGGATCTCTTGAGCCTAGGAGATAAGGCTGCAGTGAGCTGAGACTGCGCCACTGCACTCAAGCCTGGGTGACAGAGTGAGACCCCTGCCTCAAAAGAAAAAGAAAAAATGCAGGCATGGTGGCTCACACCTGTGGTCCCAGCTACTTGGGAGGCCCAGGTACAAGAATCACTTGAGCCCGTAAGGTTGACGCTGCATTGAGCCATCACCACACCACTGCACTCCAGCCTGGGCAATGGAGCCAGGCCCTGTCTCAAAAAAAATTGTTTTTAAACTTAAAAATAAGGCCGGGTGTGGGGGCTCACACCTGTAATCCCAGCACTTTGGGAGGCCGAGGTGGGTGGATCACCTGAGGTCAGGAGTTCAAAACTAGCCTGGCCAACATGGTGAAACCCTGTCTCTACTAAAAATACAAAAATTAGGCCAGGCGCAGTGGGTCATACCTGTAATCCCAGCACTTTGGGAGGCTGAGGAGGGTGGATCACATGAGGTAAGGAGTTTGAGACCAACCTGGCCAACATGGTGAAACCCCCTCACTACTAAAAATACAAAAACTAGCCAGGCGTGGTGGCGGGTGCCTGTAATCCCGGCTACTCAGGAGGCTGAGGCATGAGAATCCCTTGAACCTGGGAGGCAGAGGTGCAGTGAGCCGAGATTGTGCCACTGCACTCCAGCCTGGGAGATAGAGTGAGACTCAGTCTCAAAAAAAAAGACCAAAAATTAGCCAGGTGTGGTGGCAGGCGCCTGTAATCCCAGCTACTCGGGAGGCTGAGGGAGGAGAATCACTTAAACCTGAGAGACGGAGGTTGCAGTGAGCTGAGATCGCACCACTGCACTCCAGCCTGGGTGACAGAGTAAGACTCAATCTCAAAAAAAAAAAAGTCAAGTCCAAAGCCCAGCCTGGTCCCCAACCTGCCTCATCCTCAACCCTATCCCTATCTCCTTTCAGCCCCATCGGTGGCTCAAAGACCTGACCATGTTCCCTCTCCCCTGACCCCGGCAGGAGGCTGGTGGTTTGGCACCTGCAGCCATTCCAACCTCAACGGCCAGTACTTCCGCTCCATCCCACAGCAGCGGCAGAAGCTTAAGAAGGGAATCTTCTGGAAGACCTGGCGGGGCCGCTACTACCCGCTGCAGGCCACCACCATGTTGATCCAGCCCATGGCAGCAGAGGCAGCCTCCTAGCGTCCTGGCTGGGCCTGGTCCCAGGCCCACGAAAGACGGTGACTCTTGGCTCTGCCCGAGGATGTGGCCGTTCCCTGCCTGGGCAGGGGCTCCAAGGAGGGGCCATCTGGAAACTTGTGGACAGAGAAGAAGACCACGACTGGAGAAGCCCCCTTTCTGAGTGCAGGGGGGCTGCATGCGTTGCCTCCTGAGATCGAGGCTGCAGGATATGCTCAGACTCTAGAGGCGTGGACCAAGGGGCATGGAGCTTCACTCCTTGCTGGCCAGGGAGTTGGGGACTCAGAGGGACCACTTGGGGCCAGCCAGACTGGCCTCAATGGCGGACTCAGTCACATTGACTGACGGGGACCAGGGCTTGTGTGGGTCGAGAGCGCCCTCATGGTGCTGGTGCTGTTGTGTGTAGGTCCCCTGGGGACACAAGCAGGCGCCAATGGTATCTGGGCGGAGCTCACAGAGTTCTTGGAATAAAAGCAACCTCAGAACACTTTGTTCTTTGTTCTTGTTTGTTTTCTTTCTTTTTTTTCTCTTTCTTTAGTTCACAGATCTAGTAAGTTACCCTCAGTTTGTTTTAAAAAGTGAACAAAGTCCATGTAAACATGTTCCCAGGGCCAGGCACGGTGTCTCGTGCCTGTAATCCCAGCCATTTGTGAGGCCGAGACAGGCAGGTCACTTGAGGTCAGCAGTTCGAGACCAGCCGGGCCAACATGGTGGAACCCCCATCTCTACAAAAAAATACAAAAATTAGCCGAGCATGGTGGTGCACGTCTGTAGTCCCAGCTACTCTAGAGGCTGACGCAGAAGAATCACTTGAGCCAAGGAGGCAGAGGCTGCAAATAAGCCGAGATTGCGCCACTGCACTCCAGCCTGGGCAACAGAGCAAGACTCCATCTCAAAACAAAAATAATTTTTTTTTCGTAGAGGCAGGGTCTCATTCTATTGTCCAGGCTGGTCTCAAACACCGAGACTCAAGGGATCCTCCTGCCTTGGCTTCACAAAGTGATGGGATTAAAGGTGTGAGCGCCACTGCACCCACCCCTGAAGGCTCTAATTCTACATCTGTGTTTTGTTAAAAAAAAAAAAAAAAGATGGCGTGGTCGCTCATGCCTGTAATCCCAGCACTTTAGGAGGCCGAGGCAGGTGGATCATCTGACATTACGAGTTCCAGGCCCGCCTGACCAACATGGTGAAACCCCGTCTCTACTAAAAATACAAAAATTAGCCGGGTGTGGTGGCGGGTGCCTGTAATCCCAGCTACTCAGGAGGCTGAGGCAGGAGAATCACTTGAACTCGGGAGGTGGAGGTTGCGGTGAGCAGAGATCATGCCACTGCACTCCAGCCTGGGTGACAGAGCAAGACTTGATTTCAAAAAAAAAAAAAAAAAAAAAAAGAATAGGGCTGGGCGCATTGGCTCACACTTGTAACACTAGCACTTTGGGAGGCCAACGAGCGGATCACCCGAGGTCGGGTGATCCCGCTGTATTGCTCTATATAGTGAGATCCCTATATAGGGTCTCACTCTATTGTCCAGGCTGGTCTGGCCTGGCCAATGTGGTGAAACCTCATTTCTACTAAAAATACAAAAATTAGCTGGGCATAGTGATGCGCACCTATAATCCCAGCTACTCAGGAGGCTGAGGCCGGAGAATTGCTTGAACCCAGGAGGTGGAGGTTGCAGTGAGCCGAGATGGCGCTGAGAGGTGACAGCGTGCTGGCAGTCCTCACAGCCCTCGCTCACTCTCTGCGACTCCTCTGCCTGGGCTCCCACTGTGGCGGCACTTCAGGAGCCCTTCAGCCCACCGCTGCACTGTGGGAGCCCCTTTCTGGGCTGGCCAAGGCCGGAGCTGGCTCCCTCAGCTTGCAGGGAAGTGTGGAGGGAGAGGCGCGAGCCGGAATCGGGGCTGCGCGCGGTGCTTGTGGGCCAGCTGGAGTTCCGGGTGGGCGTGGGCTTGGCGGACCCTGCACTCAGAGCAGCCGTCCGGCCCTGCTGGCCCCGGGCAATGAGGGGCTTAGCACCCGGGCCGGACAGCGGCTGCGGAGGGTGTACTGGGTCCCCCAGCAGTGCCAGCGCACCGGCGCTGCGCTTGATTTCTCACCAGGCCTTAGCTGCCTTCCCGCGGGGCAGGGATCGGGACCTGCAGCCCGCCATGCCTGAGCCTCCCACCCCCTCCATGGGCTCCTGTGCGGCCCGCGCCTCCCTGACGAGCACTGCCCCATGCTCCATGGTGCCCAGTCCCATCCACCACCCAAGGGCTGAGGAGTGCAGGCGCACGGCGTGGGACTGGCAGGCAGCTCCACCTGCAGCCCCGGTGCAGGATCCACTGGGTGAAGCTAGCTGGGCTCCTGAGTCTGGTGGGGACGTGGAGAACCTTTGTCTAGCTCAGGGATTGTAAATACACCAATCATCACCCTATGTCTAGCTCAGGGTTTGTGAATGCACCAATGAACACTCTGTATCTAGCTACTCTGGTGGGGCCTTGGAGAACCTTTATGTCTAGCTCAGGGATTGTAAATACACCAATCGGCACTCTGTATCTAGCTCAAGGTTTGTAAACACACCAATCAGCACCCTGTGTCTAGCTCAGGGTTTGTGAATGCACCAATCGACACTCTGTATCTAGCTACTGTGGTGGGGCCTTGGAGAACCTTTGTGTTGACACTCTGTATCTAGTTAATCTGGTGGGGATGTGGAGAACCTTTGTGTCTAGCTCAGGAATTGTAAACGCACCAATCAGCGCCCTGTCAAAACAGACCAGTGGGCTCTACCAATCAGCAGGATGTGGGTGGGGCCAGATAAGAGAATAAAAGCAGGCTGCCCGAGCCAGCAGTGGCAACCCACTTGGGTCCCCTTCCACACTGTGGAAGCTTTGTTCTTTTGCTCTTTGCAATAAATCTTGTACTGCTCACTCTTTGGGTCCCCACTGCTTTTATGAGCTGTAACACTCACTGCGAAGGTCTGCAGCTTCACTCCTGAGCCAGTGAAACCATGAACCCACCAGAAGGAAGAAACGCTGAACACACCTGAACATCAGAAGAAACAAACTCCAGACGCGCCACCTTAAGAGCTGGAACACTTACCGCAAGGGTCCATGGCTTCATTCTTGAAGTCAGTGAGACCAAGAACCCCCCAATTCCGGATACAGTGCCACTGCACTCCAGCCCAGGCAACAGAGCGAGATTCTGTCTAAAAAATAAATAAATAAATATGAAATAAAATAAAAATTGTAATAATTGGATACCCTACATCTAGGACATGTATTTGAGGAAAACCACATCTGTCCATTTTCTGAACCCCAGCTGCTGTTAATTTTTTTTTTTTTTTTTTCCGAGACAAGAGTCTCACTCTGTCACCCAGGCTGGAGCGCGGTAGTGCGATCTCAGCTTACTGCAACCTCCACCTCCCGGGTTCAAGCGATTCTCCTGCCTCGGCCTCCCGAGTAGCTGAGATTACAGGCGCCTCCCACTGCACCCAGCTAATTTTTGTATTTTTAGTATAGATGGGTTTGGCCAGGCTGGTCTCAAACTCCTGACCTCAAGTGATCTGCCCGCCTCGGCCTCCGAAACTGGTGGGATTACAGGCGCAAGCCACTGTGCCCGGCCTGTTAATTTATTTTTGCCCCAGTATCTCCCTCCAAATATTCCTTATAGATGTCTCTTGGGGAGGTGGTGGGGGTTCTTGCGCTAGAAGAAAAAATATCTGTGATTTCCTTGTCTTGACCCTTCCTGGCAGGTGCTGGGGACACAGCTGTTTCCCTGGGGCTGTGGCTGGGTATAGGTGACAAACTTTTTAGCTTTGTAGAGGTAGGTCCTACAGCTGCCAGGCCAGGGAGGCTAGAGGCTGCCCTCTCCAGGTTCCTTGTTTGCCTGTGTCCTGTACTGAGCAGGCTTAGAGGATCTCCTCTGAGCCCACTGTCACTGGAGCTGGTGGTGAGTCCAGTCTGCAGGAGAGGGGGTTCCTCTAGCCACACCCTCTTCATTTCCAGGCTCTGCCAATGATGGGCTCATCTCTTCAATGTCATCCTTTTTCCTGCAGCCACCTTGACCTCAAAGCATTTCCTGCCCCTCCAACCTGGGGAACGACAGAAAAAAAAAAAAAAAAACCACCACCTGGGCACGGTGGCGCACTCCTACACTCCCCGCACTCTGGGAGGCTGAGGTGGGTAGATCACAAGGTCAGGAGATCAAGACCATACTGGCTGACACGGTGAAACCCCGTCTCTACTAAAAATACAAAAAATTAGCCAGGCATGGTGGCACATGCCCGTAGTCCCAGCTATTCGGGAGGCTAAGGCAGGAGAATCACTTGAACCTGGGAGGCGGAGGTTGCAGTGAGCTGAGATTGCACCACTGCACTCCAGCCTGGGTGACAGAGCAAGACTCTGTCTCAAAAAAGAAAGAAAAAAAGAAAGAAAAGAAAAACACCATGGCAGGAAACTAACAAGGGGCCAGGAAGCTGGGATGTGAACCTGGACCTGTTAAACTCCAGAGCTGCAGCTGTAAATCACATCCCTCTCCTGGACCACAGGAGCTCACTGGCCCCAGTTCCTGCATTTGGAAAATGGGGATGGTTTTGACACCCCACCCCTCCATGCCACCATCCCTTCCTGGCCTCATGGTGTGGGGAGGGGGTGGTAAAGAATTAATAAGGCATTAATATTCATCACAGGCTGGGTCCAGTGCCTCGCGACTGTAATCCCAGCTCTTTGGGAGGCTGAGGCTGGAGGACCTTGGAGTTTGAGACCAGCCTACGCAACACAGCAAGACCTCATCTCTACGATAAATTTTTAAAAAGTCCGGGTGCAGTGGCTCATGCCTATAATCCCAGCACTTTGGGAGGCCAAGGCGGGTGGATCATGAGGTTAGGAGTTCAAGACCAGCCTGGCCAAGATAGTGAAACCCCATCTCTACTAAAAATACAAAAAAATTAGCCAGGTGTGGTGGTGGGCGCCTGTAATCCCAGCTACTTGAGAGGCTAAGGCAGAGAATTGCTTGGACTCGGGAGGCAGAGGGTGCAGTGAGCCGAGATCATGCCACTGCACTCCAGCCTGGGCAACAGAGTGAGACCCTGCCTCAAAAAAAAAAAAAAAGAATCAAGAGAAATTTCAGAGGGAGGAGAGACAGAATAAGGCAACTGAGGATGATAGAGGGAGGGAGGCAGAGAGGAGAAGATGAGACAGAAGTCCATGTCCTCTGGGTTTGATGGGAGGGAGGGAAGGAAGGATGGAGACACAAGAGGGGGAGTGGATATGGGGAAGGAGTCAAATTTGTTTATGGGATTGAGAGGTGAAGCCGGCTAGGCTTCTGGGTCGGGTGGGGACTTGAACTTTTCTGTCTAGCTAAAGGATTGTAAACGTACCAATCAGCACTCTGTGTCTAGCTAAAGGATTGTAAATGCACCAATCAGCACTCTGTGTCTAGCTAAAGGTTTGTAAATGCACCAATCAGCGCTCTGTGTCTAGCTAATCAGGTAGGGGACTTGGAGAATTTTCTGTCTAGCTAAAGGATTGTAAATGCACCAATCAGCACTTTGTGTCTAGCTAAAGTTTTGTAAATGCACCAATCAGCACTCTGTCAAAATGGACAAATCAGCACTCTAAAACGGAACAATCAGCACTCTGTAAAATGGACCAATCAGCTCTCTGTAAAATAGACCAATCAGCAGGATGTGGGTGGGGCCAAATAAGGGAATAAAAGGCCACCCGAGCCAGCAGCAGCAACCCACTCAGGTTCCCTTCCACGCTGTAGAAGCTCTGTTCTTTCACTCTTCGCAATAAATCTTGCTGCTGCTCACTCTTTGGGTCCGCACCACCTTTATGAGCTGTAACACTCACCGCAAAGATCTGCAGCTTCACTCCTGAAGTCAGCGAGACCACGAACCTACCAGAAGGAATAAACTCCAGACACATCCAAACATCAGAAGGAACAAACTCCAGACACACCATCTTTAAGAACTGTAACACTCACCGTGAGGGTCCACAGCTTCATTCTTGAAGTCAGTGAGACCAAGAACCCACCAATACTGGACACATTTTGGCGACCACGAAGGGACTATCGCCTATCACCAAGCGGTGAGACTATCGCCTATCACCAAGCGGTGAGTACCATCGGACCCCTTTCGCTTGCTATTCGTCCTATTTTTCCTTAGAATTTGGGGGCTAAATACCGGGCACCTGTCGGCCAGTTAAAAGCGACTAGCGCAGGTGCTGGACTAAAGACATGGGTGTGAGGCTTTCTGGGAAGGGGCTCTCTAACAAACCCCGACTTTTTGGAGTTGGGAGCGTTAGTTTGCCTGGAACCAGCTTCCGCTTTTCCTGTACTTCTGGGCTGAGTCGAGGGTTGACAGGAAAGCCATTCAGCTCTGGGGTCTTGACAACAAGTTGGTTGATCCTGTGGCCATGAGCAGAACTCTCAAAGTCATGTCGCCCAAGTGAGACTCGCCCATCTATCCTATCTGTCCTGACCCTTGCCTCCTGGGTCCTAATGCCTGTCAGACAAACTTCCTCTCGCCTCTCTTCTCCGAGGCTAGTCCCACCTCTAAAAACCACTCCCTGTCTCTGGTGCTTTTCTAGTTTCTCCTATAAGAATGACTTCTAGTATAAACTTCAGGACTCTGTTACCTTCTTTAGGCACCTAGGCTCACTAATCAGAAAGACATAATTTTTGCCCAAAGCCCTGTTGTAGGGGGGCTATCTGGAATTTTAGGATCCCTCCTCAGACAAGCAGGACTAATAAAAGCTATTCCTGAAGCTAGGATATGGGGAGCCTCAGAAATTGTATTCTTCCTATTCATATAAGTGAGGACAAAAGGTGTCACTCTTCCAACCCTGGAGATCCCTTCCTTCCCTCATGGTATGGCCCTCCACTTCATTTTTGGGGCATAACATCATTGTAGGAAATTGGTAAGGTCCCAATACTAAAAGGAGAATGCTTAGGACTGTAACAGGTTTTCGAGAATGTGTTGGTAAGGGCCACTAAATCCAATTTTTCTCGGTCATCTTTGTGGTCTAGGAGGACAGGCAAGGGTGCAGGTTTTTTGAGAATGCGTTGGTAAGGGCCACTAAATCCGACCTTCCTCGGTTCTCCTTGTGGTCTGGGAGGAAAGCTACTGTTTCTGCTGCTGCGTTGGTGAGTGCAACTATTCCAATCAGCAGGGTCTAGTGACCATTACGGGTTCTTGGGCAGGGGTTGTTTCTGCTGCTGCATCAGTGAGCGCAACTATTCCGATCAGCAGGGCCCAAGGACCATTGTGGATTCTTGGGCAGGGGGAGAAGAAAAACACACCAAAATCGTGGGTGGTTTTGTCTTTCAGATGGGAAACAGGCATCAACAGGCTCACCCTTGAAATGCATCCTAGGCCATTGGGACCAGTCTGACCTGCAAACCCTGAAAAAGAGGCAGCTCATTTTTTTCTGCACTGTGGCCTGGCCCCAATATTCTCTCTCTGATGGGGAAAAATGGCCATCTGAGGGAAGTACAAATTACAATACTATCCTGCAGCTTGACCTTTTCTGTAAGAGAAAGGCAAATGGAGTGAAATAGTTATGTCCAAGCTTTCCTTTCATTAAAGGAGAATACACATCTATGCAAAGGTTGCAATTTACATCCCACAGGAGAACCTTTCAGCTTACCCCCATATCCTAGCCTCCCTACAGCTCCCCTTCGTATTAGTGACAAGCCTCCTCTAATCTCCCCTGCCCAGAAGGAAATAAGCAAAGAAATCTCCAAAGGACCACAAAACTCCCCTGGGCTGTCGGTTATGTCCCCTTCAAATTGTAGCGGGAGGGGAATTTGGCCTAACATGGGTACATGTCTACTTCTCCCTCTCTGATTTAAAGCAGATCAAGGCACACCTGGGGAAGTTTTCAGATGATCCTGATAGGTACATAGATGTCCTACAGGGTCTAGGGCAAATCTTCAATCTCACTTGGAGAGATGTCATGCTATTGTTAGATCAAACCCTGGCCTTTAATGAAAATAATGCAGCTTTAGCTGCAGCCCAAGACTTTGGAGGTACCTGGTATCTTAGTTAAGTAAATGATAGAATGACAGCTGAAGAAAGGGACAAATTCCCTACTGGTCAGCAAGCCATCCCCAGTATGGATCCCCACTGGGACTTCAATTCAGATCATGGGGACTGGAGTCATAAACATCTGTTGACCTATGTTCTAGAAGGACTAAGGATAATTAGGAAGAAGCCCATGAATTATTCACTGATGTCCACCATAACTCAGGGAAAGGAAGAAAATCCTTCTGCCTTCCTCGAGTGGCTACAGAAGGCCTTAAGAAAATATACTCCCCTGTCACCCAAATCACTCAAGGGTCAATTGATCCTAAAAGATAAGTTTATTATCCAATCAGCCACAGATATCAGGAGAAAGCTCCAAAAGTGAGCCCTGTGCCCTGAACAAAATCTAGAGGCATTATTAAACCTGGCAACCTCACTGTTCTATAACAGGGACCAAGAGGAACAGGCCCAAAAGGAAAAGTGAGATCAGAGAAAGGCCGCAGACTTAGTCATGGCCCTCAGACAAACAAACCTTGGTGGTTCAGAGAGGACAGAAAATGGAGCAGGCCAATCATCCAGTATGGCTTGTTAGCAGTGTGGTTTGCAAGGACACTTTAAAAAAGATTGTCCAATGAGAAACAAGCTGCCCCCTTGTCCATGTCCCCTATGCCAAGGCAATCACTGGAAGGCACACTGCCCCAGAGGACAAAGCTTCTCTGGGACAGAAGCCCCCAACCAGATGATCCAACAACAGGACTGAGGGTGCCTGGGGCAAGTGTCAGCTCATGTCATCACTCTCACTGAGCCCCAGGTAACTTTAACCATTGACAGCCAGGAAATTGACTTCCTCCTGGACACTGGTGCGGCTTTCTCAGTGTTAATTTCCTGTCCTGAACAGCTGTCCTCCAGGTCCGTTACCATCTGAGGAATCCTGGGACAGCCTGTAACCAGGTATTTCTCCCACCTCCTCAGTTGTAATTGGGAGACTTTGCTCTTTTCACATGCCTTTCTTGTTATGCCTGAAAGTCCCACACCCTTATTAGGGAGGGATATATTAGCCAAAGCTGGAGCTATTATCTACATGAATATGGGGAACAAGTTTCCCATTTGTTGTCCCCTACTTGAGGATGAAATCAAGCCTGAAGTCTGGGCATTGGAAGGACAATTTGGAAGGGCAAAAAATGCCCACCCAGTCCAAATCAGGGTAAAAGATCCCACCACATTTCCTTATCAAAGGCAATATTCCTTAAAGCCTGAAGCTTATAAAGGATTACAGGATATTGTTAAACATTTAAAAGCTCAAGGCTTAGTAAGGAAATGCAGCAGTCCCTGCAACACCCCAATTCTAGGAGTACAAAAACCAAATGGTCAATGGAGACTAGTGCAAGATCTTAGACTCATCGATGAGGCAATAATTTTTCTATATCCAGTTGTATCCAACCCCTATACCCTGCTCTCTCAAATACCAGAGGAAGCAGAATGGTTCACTGTTCTGGACCTCAAGGATGCCTTCTTCTGTATTCCCCTGCACTCTGACTCTCAGTTTCTCTTTGCCTTTGAGGATCCCACAGACCACACGTCCCAACTTACGTGGATGGTCTTGCCCCAAGGGTTTAGGGATAGCCCTCATCTGTTTGGTCAGGCACTGGCTCAAGATCTAGGCCACTTCTCAAATCCAGGTGCTCTGGTCCTTCAGTATGTGGATGATTTACTTTTGGCTACTAGTTCAGAAGCCTCATGCCAGCAGGCTACTCTAGATCTCTTGAACTTTCTAGCTAATCAAGGGTACAAGGCATCTAGGTCGAAGGCCCAGCTTTGCCTACAGCAGGTCAAATATCTAGGCCTAATCTTAGCCAGAGGAATCAGGGCCCTCAGCAAGGAACAAATACAGCCTATACTGGCTTATCCTCACCCTAAGACATTTAACAGTTGCAGGGGTTCCTTGAAATCACCAGCTTTTGCTGATTGTGGATCCCCAGATACAGCGAGATAGCCAGGCCCCTCTATACTCTAATCAAGGAGACCCAGAGGGCAAATACTCATCTAGTAGAATGGGAACCAGGGGCAGAAACAGCCTTCAAAACCTTAAAGCAGGCCCTAGTACAAGCTCCAGCTTTAAGCCTTCCCACAGGACAAAACATCACAGAGAGAGCAGGGATAGCTCTTGGAGTCCTTACTCAGACTCATGGGATAACCCCACAACCAGTGGCATACCTAAGTAAGGAAACTGATGTAGTAGCAAATGGCTGGCCTCATTGCTTATGGGTAGTTGCAGCAGTGGCTGTCTTAGTGTCAGAGGCTATCAAAATAATACAAGGAAAGGATCTCACTGTCTGGACTACTCATGATGTAAATGGCAACCTAGGTGCTAAAGAAAGTTTATGGCTATCAGACAATCGCCTACTTAGATACCAGGCACTATTCCTTGAGGGGCTGGTGCTTCAAATATGCACATGTGTGGCCCTCAACCCTGCCACTTTTCTCCCAGAGTATGAGGAACCAATTGAGCATGACTGCCAACAAATTATAGCCCAGAATTATGCTGCCCAAGAGGATCTCTTAGAAGTCCCCTTAGCTAATCTTGACCTTAACCTATATACTGATGGAAGTTCATTTGTGGAGAATGGGATATGAAGGGCAGGTTATGCCATAGTTAGTGATGTAACTGTACTTGAAAGTAAGCCTCTTCCCCCAGGGACCAGCGCCCAGTTAGCAGAACTAGTGGCACTTACCTGAGCCTTAGAACTGGGAAACGGAAAAAGAATAAATGTGTATACATATAGCAAGTATGCTTACCTAATCCTACATGCCCATGCCGCAATATGGAAAGAAAGGGAGTTTCTAACCTCTGGGGGAACCCCCATTAAATACCACAAGGAAACCATGGAGTTATTGCACACAGTGCAAAAACCCAAGGAGGTGGCAGTCTTACACAGCCGAAGCCATCAAAAATGGGAAGAAGAGGGGAGAACAGCAGCATAAGTGGCTAGCAGAGGCAGGGAAAGACCAGCAGAAAGGAAAGAGAGAAAGAGACAGGAAGTCAGAGAAAGAGAGAAGAGAGGAAGAAACAGAGAGACAAAGAGAAGGAGACAGAGAGGAAGAGACAGAGACAAAGAAGAAGTCAAAGAGAAAAGGAGATAGAAGTAGTAAAAAAAAAAAAGTGTACCCTAGCGTAAATTTAAAACCTATAATTGATAATTGAAGGTCTTCTCTGTAACCTTATAACACTCCAATACCACCTTGTTGTCAGTGTAAACAAGGGCATAGCCGGAAAGCACTGAGGCCACTGACAACCTGTAGCCTTCCTATCAAAAATCCTTAACCCAGCAGGTTTCCTAACAGGAGATCTAAATCTTAATTAATTACCATACAAAGGTCTGACCAGATCTAGGAGGAACTCCCTTCAGGACAGGATGATAGATGGTTCCTCCCAGGCGATTAAGGGAAAAAGACACAATGGGTATTCAGTAAGTGATAAGGAAACTCTTGTAGATGCAGAGTTAGGAAAATTGCCTAATAATTGGTCTGCTCAAACATGCCAGTTGTTTCCACTCAGCCAAATCTTAAAGTACTTACAGAATCAGGAAGCAGCCATCTATACCAATTCTAAGTTAATATGGACTGAACAAGGTCTTACTAATAGCAAAGAATAATTGAAATCCCAAACTTACAAGGTTTTCAACAAAAGTAAAGTTTGCTAAAAAAGTTAACAGTGTAACATGTATTATCCTAACTTCTAATCTTATGGAAATCAGACCGTATCTGTGCCCCTCAAAGCTCAAGTCTATCAGCGCAGGGCCATACAACTAATATCCCTACTTATAGGGTTAGGAATGGCTACTGCTACAGGAACCGGAATAGCCAGTTTATCCACTTCATTATTCTACTACCATACACCTTCAAAGGATTTCTCAGACAGTTTGTAAGAAATAACAAAATCTATCCTTACTCTACAATCCCAAATATACTCTTTGGCAGCAGCAACTCTCCAAAACCACTGAGGCCTAGACCTCCTCACTGCTGAGAAAGGAGGACTCTGCACCTTCTTAGGGGAAGAGTGTTGTTTTTACACTAAACAGTCAGGGATAGCACGAGATGCCACCTGGCATTTACAGGAAAAGGCTTCTGAAATCAGACAATGCCTTTCGAACTCTAATACCAACCTCTGGAGTTGGGCAACATGGCTTCTCCCCTAGGTCCTGTGGCAGCCATCTTGCTCTTACTCACCTTTGGGCCCTGCATTTTTAACCTTCTTGTCAAATTTGTTTCTTCTAGAATCGAGGCCATCAAGCTACAGATGGTCTTAAAAATGGAACCCCAAATGAGTTCAACTAACAACTTCTACTGAGGACCCCTGGACCGACCCACTGGCCCTTCCACTGGCCTAAAGAGTTCCCCTCTGGAGGACACTACAATTGCAGGGCCCCTTCTTCCAGCAGGAAGTAGCTAGAGTGGTCATCGGCCAAATTCCCAACAGCAGTTGGGGTGTTCTGTTTAGAGGGGTGATTGAGAGGTGAAGCCGGCTGGGCTTCTTGGTTGAGTAGGGACTTGGAGAACTTTTCTGTCTAGCTAAAGGATTGCAAATGCACCAATCAGCGCTCTGTGTCTAGCTAAAGGTTTGTAAATGCACCAATCAGCGCTCTGTGTCTAACTAATCGCGTAGGGGACTTAGAGAACTTTCCTGTCTAGCTAAAGGATTGTAAATGCACCAATCAGCACTCTGTGTCTAGCTAAAGGTTTGTAAATGCACCAATCAGCACTCTGTCAAAACGGACCAATCAGCACTCTGTAAAACGGACCAATCAGCACTCTGTAAAGTGGACCAATCAGCTCTCTGTAAAATGGACCAATCAGCAGGATGTAGGTGGGGCCAAATAAGGGAATAAAAGCAGGACACCGCAGCCAGCAGCGGCAACGTGCTTGGGTCCCCTTCCATGCTGTGGAAACTTTGTTCTTTCACTCTTCCCAGTAAATCCTGCTGCTGCTCACTCTTTGGGTGCGCACTGCCTTTATGAGCTGTAACACTCACCGCAAAGGTCTGCAGTTTCACTCCTGAAGTCAGCGAGACCAAAAGCCCACCAGAAGCAAGAAACTCTAGACATGTCTGAATATCAGAAGGAACAAACTCTGGACACACCATCTTTCAGAACCGTAACACTCACCGGAGGGTCTGTGGCTTCATTCTTGGAGTCAGCAAGACCAAGAACCCACCAATCTGGACACAGGATGTGTTATACAAAACTTATAGGAGGCTATTACTTTGGACTGACTTCCTACACCAGGCCCAACAAACTAAACCAAAATGGAGTCACTCATGCTAAAGTTTTACGTGATCAAAAAGAAACTAAGTTGTTTATCTGACCTTCTACAAAATCAGGAGAGAGAGAGATGGGATAGCCAAGTCTCCCACCAGGTCAGTTTTAGCCATCATGATAAGGATGTCCTCTCTGCTTTAACCTTTACAAGAAAAGTAACTTTGGGCTGAGTGCGGTGGTGGCTCATGCCTGTAATCCCAGCACTTTGGGAGGCCAAGGCAGGAGGATTGCTTGAGTTCAGGAGTTCAAATCCAGCCTGGCCAACAAGGCAAGACCCTGTCTCTGGAAAAAAAAAATTAGCTGGGCATGGTGGCACACACCTGTGATCCTAGCTCCTCAGGAGGCTGAGGTGGGAAGATTGCTTGATCCCAGGAAGTTGAGGTTGCAGTGAGCTATGATCGCACCACTGCACTCCAGCCTGGGTGACAGAGCAAGACTCAGACTCCAAAAGGAAACTTTAAAATGACCAATCCAAGTTTTCTTTTCTTTTTTTCTTTTTTTTTGAGTCGGAGTTTTGCTCTGCTCTCCCAGGCTGGAGTGCAATGGTGTGATCTTCGCTCACTGCAACCTCCGCCTCCCTGGTTCAAGTGATTCTCCTGCCTCAACCTCCTGAGTAGCTGGGATTACAGGCACCTGCCACCGCGCCCGGCTAATATTTTTGTATTGTTAGTAGAGATAGGGTTTCATCATCATTATCATGTTGGTCAAGCTGGTCTCGAACTCCTGACCTCGGGTGATCTGCCTGCCTCGGCCTCCAAAGTGCTGGGATTACAGGCATGAGCCACTGCACCTGACCTCCACGTTTTATTTTCTGTTTGTGCTTTACTTGGCCCTTTTTCTGCCTGTAAAACCAACCTACCTGCTCAGCTCATGGGAAAATTAGTTTCATTTTGTGAAATGAAGTGTTGCCCGATTGTAGAATTGCAAATAAAATCAATTAAGATCTTTAAACTAAATGTGTTGTAATTTTGTTTTTTTGACAGATGCCCAATGAACACCCTGGGAATGAGATCCAAGAGGCGATAATGGCATCTGCTCTAATAACTAGTACATTGACTCTAGGCTTAGATTATTCACCACTGAATAAATAAACGTATTTATTCAGCAGTGGGGAACTTACAGCAATGATGGGGACAGATACAGTCCCTGATGTCATCAGGCTGATATGCTGCTGACAGAGGACAAAAAACAAACAGATCAATGGGTCAGGAAAGCAAGGCTTTTTTTTTTTTGAGACAGGGTCTTGCTCTGTTACCCAAGCTGGAGTGCAGTGGGGTGATCATGGCTCACTGCAGCCTCGATTTCCCAGGCTCGAATGATCCTCCCGCCTTGGCCTCCCAAGTATCTGGGACCCTGGCATGATGCACCACATCTGGCTAATTTTTGTTGTTGTTCTTTTCTTTTTTTTCCTTTTCTCTTTTTTTTCCTTTTTTTCTTTTTTTTTTTTTTTTTTTGAGAGACTGGGTTTTGACATGTTGCCTAGGCTGGTCTCTAGCTCCTGGCCTCAAGTGATCCTCCCACCTCAGCCTCCTCAAAGGGCATGTTTTTAGGCATAAGCCACCGCAGCCAGCCAAAACAAACAAACAAAAAGTAACGTATACTTTGTGTTAATAATTTTGCATAGTATATTGAAAATTTGCCAAGAAAGTACATTTTAGATACTCTCACTACACACACAGTTAATTATGGAAGGCAATGGATAGGTTAATTGCTTAACTCTCATAATTGGCCATGTGTGGTGAAAATGCCTGTAATCCCAGCACTTTGGGAGGCCAAGGTGGGCGAATCACCTGAGGTCAGGAGTTCGAGATCAGCCTGACCAACATGGAGAAACCCCGTCTCTACTAAAAATACAAAAAAATTAGCCAAGCATGGTGGTGCATGCCTGTAATCCCAGCTATTCGGGAGGCTGAGGCATGAGAATCGCTTGAACCCGGGAGGCAGAGGCTGCAGTGAGCCGAGAGCACACCATTGCACTTCAGCCTGGGCAACGACAGCAAAACTCCGTCTCAAAAAAAAAAAAAAAAACTGTCATAATTATTATTTCACTGGGTACATGTGTATCAAAACACACGCTGTACACCCTAAATATATAAAACAAACACATACTGTATTGTCAGGTAGTGATAAATCCTATCACTACCTGACAATACAGCAGTATGTGTTTTATTTTCTATATTACCTATTTTTATATTTTACCTATGTGGCAAAATATAGGACAAAAGAGGGGTAGTGGTAGGAGGTCCTGTTGGAGAGCATTGGTATCCAGTAAGGATTTAAAAGTATTTATTTAACAAAGAATAGCAGAAAGTGGACGGTTGATTCACACTTGGTGCAATCTCGGCTCACTGCAACCTCCACCTCCCAGGTTCAAGCGATTCTCCTGCCTCAACCTCCTGAGTAGCTGGGTTTACAGGCACCAGCGACCACGCCCGACTAATTTTTGTATTTTTAGTAGAAACGGGGTTTCACCATGTTGGTCAGGCTGGTCTCGAACTCCTGACCTCGTGATCCGCCAGCCTCGGCCTCCCAAAGTCCTGGAATTACAGGCGTGAGCCACCGCGCCTGGCTGATCTGGTTATTTTCAAAAGATTCCATGAGACGGGTTTCTTCAGTTTACAGAGGAGGAAACTGAGGCACAGAAGGATAACCCAGTGAGTCCCAATATAGAGATGGAGACTGCAACCGAGAAAGGGGACCCAGCGCTGAGGTCCCCGGAAATGGTCATTTATGGGCTTGGGGGGCGACCAGGGCAGCGCGCGCTGACCTATGACGTCATCGGGACGTTAAGCATCGTAGCATTACCTGGACGTAGCCCCATTTCTCTTCCCGGACAGGTCCTCTGATAGTCGGGTAGGTTCTCAATCAAGCCTCTCATTAGTTATTTGGTCTGTCAATCCATTTCATTCCTGCAGTCTTCCGCCCCGCCCTCTTGAGCTCGCCCCTGATAGGCTGGCGCGTCCGTCACTTCAAAAAGGTCCGCATTCCTTCCGCCTTTCTCCAGGACACCGAGGGCGAGGAGGGTGGTACCAAGCGGCGCCCACCCTCAGAGCACTACTTCCATCTCTGATTGGCTTCGCTGGGTGCCCGTCGCTACTCCACTCGCCGCTGATAGGCCATTCAACCGCCGCTCTGCGCGGCGCCGGCTCCGCCCCCGTCGGGTGTTTGTGGTGGGGCTGCGGAGTCGCCGATCCCGCCGGAAGCGCCAGGACAATGGGGACCCGGGACGACGAGTACGACTACCTATTCAAAGGTGCGGCCGGTGGGGCACAGACGGGCGAAGTCGTGGCGGCGAGGCGGCGGGCAGACGGGCCAAGGCCGCGCTCCAGGCCGCTGGGCCCAGGCCGGAGCCCGGGGCTTGGGGCCCGGCGGGTCAGGCAGCCGGGAAGGCCGGAGCCGACCGGGCAGCATCAGCTTCGGGCTAGGATGCGCGGCTATACGGAGCCGGAGGCCCGGAGAGACCTGGGGGACCTAGGACGCGCCGGGGCGGGGCCAGAGCCTAGAGGGGGTGGGGCCCGGAGCGGTGGGAGAGGCTGTTAGGGCGGGGCCTCCGCAGGGGGTGGAGCTTTCCCAAGATTTGGCGGGCCGGGCTGGGCTGAAAGCGTGATTCGGGATGGGGGCGGGGTTTTTAGGGGCGGGGCTAAGGCGTGATGGGCGTGACCAATAGGTGGGTTGGGCCTGGGCAAACGGAGGCGGGGCTCTCACGAGGCTTGTCCTGATTGGGGCAGCGTGTTTGGGGGTGGGGCCCGGGAGAGGCGGGGCAGGCAATGGGGGCTGGGCCGAGATGAGGGCCTGGGGGTGAGGTGTGTGGTGGTGGGAGCCTTGGATTGGGGTGCAAAGCTGGGATTGAGTGGAAAGGCACCCGTGTGTGCAGCAAGAATTCCATCTCTTCACTCAGAACTCTCAACAGTGCTAAGCCAGTACTTGCACTTTTCTGAGCACTTTACCCGAATTAACTAAAATCCTCACTGCAGCCCTTTGAGGTTGATACTAACCAGCCTCTCTTTTTACACGTTGGGAAACTGAGGCCCAGAGTGACAAAGACACAGTTTATAAGTGTTGGAACCCGATTGAGCCCAGGCCACCTGTAGGCCTTACCACTTAGGAAGCGTGTCTTAGGGGGCTTGTGGCCAGCATCTGGGACTTTGGGTTGTTGGACCAACTTCTTCCAACACGTGCGCACTGATGGCCGGGGCCCCAGCCAGCCTGCTGGAGGGTCTTCCCCGCCCGAGGGACTGAGGGGGCTCTAGGAGCATCACATAAGGCCTAGGTAGATCAGGCAGCCATTGCCCATTTAGGGACAGCTGGAGGAAGCCGGAGTCCCTTGTTTCTCAGCTGAGCCTTCTGTGCCCAGCTACACTTTGGCCTAGTGGTCTGCCCTGGTTGCTGGGCTCCCTGGCTGACAATGGCAGCCCTTGAGGGCTAACCCCTGGATCCAAGGTGCCTTCACCCTGCGGCCTGCTCTATGAGGGCCTGCGTCGCACATCAGCTGTTGGTATCCTCACCTCGCTGAGCCGTTCCTCCGAGTGTGCTCTGTGGCTTGCACCAGGCCTAGCTGGGCCTTGTGTCTGGTCTCATCCAGCGTCTTCTGATTGTGGGGAATGAGGCAGAGGTCTCCCCACCTGGGCTGTCCGTGTGGCGAAAGCCTTCCGGGGGGAGGGAGAGGAAGTGCCTCTACAAGGGCCTAGAGTCGTCCTGTGGCACTGAGGGCTCTGGCAGCTGCACACAGGTTGATAATGTCACTGGTGGGTGAGGCTCTGTGGTCAGCAGGTGCCCGGCCCAAGGTCTCGCCCCTCGTGGCAGGAGGAAGCTTTGGAAGGGTTTTGGAGACTGGGATTCTAAGGGGCCGTCTGGAGACAGGGGGACTAAACTTTGGGTCCTGCTGATCGGGTGCCATCTCCACTCAGCCCACCGTGAGGCAGCTGCTCCCAGGTCCTGGCTGGGCACCCACCCAGACGTGGCACTGCCAGGGCAGGGGTGTTGCTCCCCACATGCCCCATCCAGGTTTCTGTGGTTATCCCCTGCTTGTTATTTTTGCCCTTTTGCTGTGTTAAATGACCCAGCTCCGAGTGCTTGCTCAAGTCATGGTTTTGCCCTTTAGATTATTTCCTTGAAGTGCGTTCCCAGCAGAACAGTTACTGGGTCAGGAGCAATGGAGAGGCTGTGTGGTTCCCGGGACTTGTCTGCAGAGACTGCTTCCTGGAAACACTGATTTAGCTTCTGCGGCATCTGGCATTTGGCGGGCAGGCGGTGTGGGGTGGGGGGGGGCGGTGCCTGCCCTGCTGCCCTCCCCACACTGGCCTCCTTTTACTGAGTCTAGCAGGTGCCCTGCTGACCTTCTCAAGCTAGTTGGTAGCAAAAATCTAACCCACAAGTTCAGCTTTTCCCAAACTGGTCATCTGCCGTCTCACCTTCACAGCTGTGCCTCATCAGAGGACCTCCTCTATTCTCTTTCAATATTTTTCTTTTCCTTTTTCTTTTCTTTTTTTTTTTTTTTTTTTTTTGAGACAGAATTTTACTCTAGTCACCCAGCCTGGAGTGCAGTGGCGCAATCTCGGCTCACTGCAGCCTCCGTCTCCCGGGTTCAAACGATTCTCCTGCCTCAGCCTCCCGAGTAGCTGGGATTACAAGCACCCACCACACCCGGCTAATTTTTGTATTTTAGTAGATACGGGGTTTCACCATGTTGGCCAGCTGATCTTGAACTCCTGACCTCAGGTGATCCACCTGTCTCGGCCTCCCAAAGTGCTGGGATTACAGGCATGAGCCACCGTGCCTGGCCTCTGCATTTTTTTTTTTTTTTTTGGTGGCCACATCACGCACTGGCTCCCTTGACTTCAGCGGCCAAGGCCAGCAGATCCCCCGGGTGATGCCCCGTGTGCCATTTGTTTTCCTTCGTGAATGTTCTTTCCTTCCCCCAGGAATGACACTGTTGATTTGTACCTAATTATAGAGCCTCACATTTATCCTCCTAACATTTTCTCCTTTAGCCATGGGCCATTTTCATAGCCTGCCACTAATTGCCGTGGGACCCCAGATTTCTTTTCTGATGGACTCGGTACTCCATGGTTGCAGCTGTGTCCCCAAGGGCCACTGAGGTCCTCTCAGAGCCCTTCCCCTACCCTAGAGGCCCTGGCCAATCAGGGCTCACCTGGCCCTGGAGGACATGGGTCGTGGGGGAAACGGGCCGCAGCTGCCCCAGGCCCTGTCCTCTGGGTCTTGTCCACCCCTCCCCTGCCCAAGGACAAGGTGGCCCCTGTCCCCAGGGAAGGGGCCTGCCTGGTGCTTCCCTTTCTGTGCTGAGGCTCCTGAGGCAGCTCCCAGCCCTCAAGCCTGGGCAGACCTCACAGTGGGCCTGCTGTTCCAGTTGCTGTTTGGGGACCCAAACATACCATCTTCCCCATTTAGAATGGGGGTCCCTCCAGTGCCCTGGCTCTGTACACCTCCCCATAGAAGAGCTGAGACAAGAGTGGCCCCCAGTGCCGGTCCCTGGGGCCTAGGATGCTTAGGACCAGCTTCCAGGGGAGGGATGGGGGCACTGCTTGGCTCCGCCAGGCTCTGCCGGAATGGGGGCACCATTCCCCTGAAGAGTCTCTCAGTCTGCCTGAGCATTAGGGTCTGGGCCCCCAGGGCCACCACACTGTCATGGGGCAGGCCAGGGCACCTAGGACTTCTCAGAGGTGCCAGTTCTTTGTTTTTGCCAACCGGGCTTGCCTGCTCTGTCAGCCAAGTGGCGTGTCTGGGGTAGGGGGGTCGCTTCCCAGCCAGTGAAGCCACCAACTTCTGTGGAAATGCTCGGAGCTGTGTCCTCAAGGGCTCTTTATTTCCCCAAGACAACAGATTGCTTGTGTCCTAGACAATGAAGTTTTCATCCCCAGCCTGCATCCTGGACCAGCCCGCCACTGCCCCGCTGGCCACCTCTCTGCATCGGGCACCCAGTGCCAGGGACTGGTTGGGCAGCTCAGCCTCTTTGCCATTCACCTGTTTTGTCACCCAGACTGGAGTGCAGTGGCTTAGTGTCAGCTCACTGCAACCTCCGCCTCCTGGGTTCAAATGATTCTCCTGCCTCAGCCTCCTGAGTAGCTGGGATTACAGGTGCCTACCACCATGCCCACCTATTTTTTGTATTTTTAGTAGAGACGGGGTTTCGCCATGTTGACAGGCTGGTCTCGAACTCCTGAGCTCAAGTGATCCACCCGCCTTGGCCTCCCAAAGTGCTGGGATTACAGGCGTGAGCCACTGCACCTGGCCTGTCATTGATCTGTTCAGTGGCCATTTGGCCTTTGCTCTGACTTGGTCACTCTGGGTTGAGTGTCCCCAGCTGTTCAGGGAGAATGATAATATTTACATCTGTCCCTGGGGCAGCCCTGAGAATGTGGACAGCTGAGGCCTGCAAAGCACTGGGGACCCAGCCTGGCCAAAGTGCTTGAGGGCAAAACTGATGGGGCTGGGTGCCATGGCTCACGCCTGGAATCCTAGTACTTTGGAAGGCCGAGGTGGGTGAATCACTTGAAGTCAGGAGTTTGAGACAGCCTGGCCAACATGGCAAAACCCCACCTCTACTAAAAATACAAAAATTATCTGGGCGTCGTGGTGCACGCCTATAATCCCGGCTACTCGGGAGGCTGAGGCAGGAGGATCTCTTGAACTCAGGAGGCGGAGAGTACAGTGAGCTGAGATTGTGTCAGTGCACTCCAGCCTGGGCGAGGGAGATTCCATCTCAATACAAACAAACAAAAACAAACAAACTGATGGGGCTGAGGAGCCACTAAGGCTGTACAGCTGGGGCAAGGCTGGAATGGTGTGAAGGTGTCGGGAATGCCTGGGCAGGGCCCGAGTTTCCTGTCTTATTTCCTGAGGACGTGAGAACTGAGCAGACCTCCCTGGCCTTGGCCAGGCTCCCGTAGCTGCCGTGGAAAGGAGGTTAAGGTTGGTGGTGTAGATGGGGGCCCTCACAGTGAGTCCATCTTGGCCCCCAGTGGCCTGGGAGCCGATTCTCATCCCTACTGGCTTGGTTGGGAGGTGCTGGGCCACACGCCTACATTCACTCCACCTCTTTCCATCTTTCTTTTTTTTTTTTTTTTTTTTGAGATGGAGTCTCGCTGTGTCGCCCAGCTTGGAGTGCAGTGGCACGATCCCGGCTCACTGCAACCTCCGCCTCCCAGGTTCAAATGATTCTCTTGCCTCAGCCTCCACCACCACACCCGGCTAATTTTTGTATTTTTCATAGAGACGGGGTTTCACCATGTTAGTCAGGTTGGTCTCAAACTCCTGACCTCAAATGATCCGCCTGCCTCGGCCTCCCCAAGTGCTGGGATTACAGGATTACAGGCATGAGCCACTGTACCCGGCCATCTTTCTGTCTTTCTCTGAAGTCCACTTGGTAGCCCTGTGCGGGGCACCCATGGTGACGTGAGAGAATGCCAGCCCCGTTGTCTTAGGTCTTTCACGCCAGGCCAAGCAGTGGTCTTTGGGGAGAGGAGAGGTCTGAGCCGAGGGGTCTTGAAGGATGAGTAGGAGTTTGCTGGCCGCCCCAGGGGGACAGGCTGCCCTATGCGGTGGGAGCTGGGGTGCCCAGAGCCTCAATGCCCACCCCATAAGGCAGAACCACGACTCCCGAGCCACGTGCTGGGGTTTGGGGTAGGACAGTGAGTGTGGCAGTGAGTTGCGAAGGAAGAACTTGGACTGTGGATGCAGAAGACCTGGGTTCAAATCCTGCCTGGCTCACTTCCCAGGCGGTGGCTCCAGACAAGTCACTTGGGGAGCACCGTTGGGAGGTGAGGGCGAGCCCACAAACATGCATAGCTTCAGGGTCCTGCTCTGCCCCGCACCCCGTTCCCCATCCAAGCCTCAGTTTCCTCATCTGTAAAAATGGGCTACAGGAGGCTTCTGCGAAGTAACGCACATCAAGAGCTTTGTTAGCACAAGCTCATCGAATATTCTCCTTGTTCTTGTTATTCTTGGCTTCCAAGCAGCCAACCAGAGCGGGTACCAGGTGGGGTTGTAGGGGCTGCCTGATCCTGCCCTCCTCACCTGTGGCCCAAGGGTGGTGACCTGGCATCCTCTAGGTATGGGGCAGGCGGCATGCGTGGGAGGCTCTGCCAGCCTTTTTGGCATTTTGTTTGTTCACTTGACAGACATTTTCTTGGGTGTTTATTGTGTGCCAAGCACTGTGCCAGGACCTGATTCCTGCCCTTGGGGCAGACTGGCAAAAGATAAATGCCACCTGACAGGTGAGAGAGTGGCAAGAGTGACGGAGGAAGAACTGGGTCCGGGAGCAGGGTAATTCGGAGAGTAGAGTTTTAGTAGCATAGCAGGGAGGGCCTTCTTGGCCAAGTGGCATTTAAGGGGCCACACGAAGGGGATGAGGGAGGGAGCCAGGTGTGTGCCTGGAGAAGAGCGTTTCTGGCAGCAGGAGCAACCCGTGCAAAGGCCCTGAGGCAGGATCGCACCTGGCGTGTTGGGGGAACAGCATGGAGGCCTGTGTGGCTGGAGCAGAGTGAGCCGGGGGGGGGGCGGGAGGGAGGAGGGGAGGGCCCTGTGGGCAGCGGGGAGGACTGTGGCTTTTCCCCTGCGGAAGGTGGGGGCCACGGAGGGTTGTCTGCAGAGGAGGGAGGGAGGTGCCCTGGCTCGGCACTCACGGGCGCTCTCTGGTGGCTGCTGCAGGAGGACAGCGTTTTGGTTGGTGATGAGCGTGAACACAGGGACCGCACAGACAATACCTTCCAGGGTCTGAGAGTCTGGAATGGAATCGCCCAGGGAGACATGGTGGGGTGCACCCCTCGTCCTCCCTTCTCTTGGATCTGTTTCGGATGTGCTGAAGGATTGATTCTGAGATGCGAGAGAAAGGAAGGAGTCGAGAATGACTCCAGGTTTCTGGCATGAGTGCCTGGTAGGACCAAGCCAAAGTTAACCAAGATAAGGAGGGTAGGTGAGCGGTGGGTGAGCAGGCTTAGGGAGTGATCGGGAGCTTGGCTCTGCTCTTCTGGGTATGAGGGGCCTGGGGCCCCTGAGGAGACATGAAGGAGACAATGGGCACGCCAGTCTGGGCTTCTAGGGAGAGAGGTAATATAGGAGTTACCAGCCCATGGCTGGTATTTACAGCCATGAGCCTGGATGGGGTCACCTGGGGACTGGGTGTGGACAGAGATGCCTGTCCTGAGGCTCCCTGAGGTTCGAAGGTAGAGTGGGAGACTGAGTGGGAGTGACTGTGAGGAGAGGAGTCGGGGTGTGGAGCCCCTGCAGGCAGGGAAGGAGGGAGAGCTGGCTGGGTGCCTGCTGCACAGGCCCGGGGGAGTGGGGGTAGCTGAGGCTGACACTGACTGTGGGGGCGAAAGCGTGCTTGGTTTGAGTTCTAGGACTGGGGGACAGGAGGTGGAGTGAGTGAGTGTAGATGATACCTTCCAGTGCCCGAGGCAGGAAGTTGGGTCAGGAGAGAATGTTTTCTAGAGGGAAAATTCCAAACGTGTAGGTACAGCCCCACAGTGTGGCCAGGGGAAGGGCAGAGGAGGGCTGCCTGGTGGGCTCCAGGGCCTGCTCCCTCAATGTAGCAGGGGTCCCGAGTGGGGCCAGCGGACCTCTGGGTCAGCCAGGGCTCAGCCTGGCTGCCAGCACCTCCCCGAGCTCAGGAGGAACAGCCATACCCATCTCTTCCCAGACAAGGAAGCCTCATCCTCAGTGGATGCCCCCTAACTCCCTGGGACCAGGGATGACCAAGCCACTGAGCCAACCCACCCTCAGGTGCCGGGGCCCAAGGCCCACACTTGGGGGTCCACGGGGCTTCTGGCTGGGGCGTCTGGTTGGCTGTATTCAAGTGCACACACACACACTGATCTTCCCCACATGGTATGTTCTGGGTCTGGGGACAGCTCACCCAGACCCCACCCCAGAGCCTGGGGCGGCTGGGCCCATAGGGACAGTGCTTCCATGGCTGGGACAGGAAACAGTTTACAAGGCAGCTCACCCCTGGCCTGACCAGCAGGCACCTGCTCTGCTCAGGGAAAGTGTTCCTGATGCTCCTTGGCCAGCATGAGACAGGCCTGCTGCACACCCCGTGTCGACTGGGCTCAGGCCCCCGTCCCTGGGTGCTGTTGCCCACAAACCCTCATCTCTGTTCTGTCCACGCTGCGCTGACTCCTTTCTGGGCCAGGGTTTGCATCTTGGCAAGCTGCTCTGCTGTGCACCCCCCTCCTGGGACAATGCATACCTGTGTTGGAGCCTTGTGAGGAGCTGTGCACACACGTGGACTGCCACACGGACTGCCCCTTGAATGAGGACTTAGCCTTGGCTGGAGCTCCCTGCAGCTCAGCAGGGGACCTGACCCTGGGGACAGGGGTGGTGGGAGGTGGCTGCAGGCTCTTTCCTCCGGGCTGCGTCCTCAGGGCACATTCCTGTTTCCCACTCAGCCATCTGTGCCGAAGCTGGATGTGGGTTTGCTGCACCAGGAGAGGTGGGGGTTGAGGTGGGAGTAGCTCCTCATGTCCTGTCACTTACATACCTGGAGCAGTGACCCTTCCCATGCCCTGACCAGAAACCACAACAACCGTGACAGCTGCCTACTCGTGTCCCTTCCTGTGCGATGCCTGCTCTTTTCGTGGGGGGAGACAGAATCTCTGTTGCCTAGGCTGGAGTGCAGTGATTCGATCTCGGCTCACTGCAGCCTCCACCTCCTGGGCTCAAGCGATTCTCCTGCCTCAGCCTCCTGAGTAGCTGGGGCTACAGTAGCCACCACGCCCAGCTAATTATTATTATTATTATTTTTTTTTTTGAGATGGAGTCTCGCTCTGTCACCCAGGCTGGAGTACGGTGGCGTGATCTCGGCTCACTGCAAGCTCCGCCTCCCGGATTCACGCCATTCTCCTGCCTCAGCCTCCCAAGTAGCTGGGGCTACAGGCGCCCGCTACCACACCCAGCTAATTTTATTGTATTTTTAGTGGAGATGGGGTTTCACCACGTTAGCCAGGATGGTCTCGATCTCCTGACCTCGTGATCCACCCGCCTCGGCCTCCCAAAGTGCTGGGATTACAGGTGTGAGCCACCGCGCCCGGGTACTTTTTGTATTTTTTATAGAGACGGGATTTCACCATGTTGGCCAGGCTGGTCTCGAACTCCCGACCTCAAGTGATCCGCCTGGCTCATCCTCTCAAAGCATTGAGATTACAGGCGGGAGCCACCGTGCCTGGCCATGCCTGCTCTTACTTCCTCCTCCTGTGACTGCCTTCCTGTTCACACATTTGGAAAAAGTAGTCCAGAGGTGAAGTGACTTGCCCAAGGTCACCCCGCTCAGGAGCCTTCTCAAGCCGTGTCTGGCTGCCCAGCCACCAGGCTGCAGGTGGAGGCTCAGGGTTGATGGATCTCAAGCTGCTCTGCCTGCCTGGCTGCCTGGGTCCCCTTGCCCCAGCTGGGACAGCCCTGCTCTGAGGACCAGACACAGGCAGGTGTTGTGCTATCCGCAGTGGCTGTTTCTGGAAGGCAGGAGCCTGCCTTCACTTCTGCACCACTTAGCACAGTGCCTGCAGGCCCTGGGCTCCAGGCATCTCTCGACTCCTCCACACCGTTGGCAGCCGCGTTGGTGCAGCACCCAGGGAACCGGCGGGAAGGTTGTGGGGGCAGTCGTGGGTGGAGTGTGGGGATTCACAGAACCTCGCCTTCCCGCCCAGTGGTGCTCATCGGGGACTCAGGCGTGGGCAAGAGCAACCTGCTGTCGCGCTTCACCCGCAACGAGTTCAACCTGGAGAGCAAGAGCACCATCGGCGTGGAGTTCGCCACCCGCAGCATCCAGGTGGACGGCAAGACCATCAAGGCGCAGATCTGGGACACCGCTGGCCAGGAGCGCTACCGCGCCATCACCTCCGCGTGCGTGTCGGCAGCCTGGGCAGGGACGCTGAGATTCGGGGGCGTGGGCTTGCAGCGCGTGGGCTTGGAAGGATGTGTAGGAGTTGGGCAGGAGAAGGGGAGAGTGTGCTCCCAAGACCAGGGAGTGAGGCTGGAAGAACGCTTTAGCCATGCGCCGTGGGACCCTCAGGCTGACCAGCGCCCAGCCTTCGCCACACCAGGGTATCTCTGGGTACCAAGTGCAGTGAGGACCTAGCTCAGGCCACTCCGCCTTGCCGCTGCCCCTGCCCAGCCAGCATCCCAGCCTTCCTCCTCCCTCAGCTTCCCTCCTCACTGGTGCCCACACCTGGTCCCACACGCCTCCTGTCCTCCCACCTGGGCCTGGCCTCCATTCCCTGCAAAGGCTTCCCAGCCATCAGGACCCACTCAGCTGCCTTTTTCTGGACCCCTCCCAAGCCCCCCAGCCATTCCCACCACCGTCTTGAGATCCTCTGGGCTCCCTCCCATCTCCTTCATCCCTCAGGTACATCTGTCTCTCTGTCACCTCCTCTTGTTTTTTTTTTTTTGAGATGGAGTTTCACTCTTGTCGCCCAGGCTGGAGTGCGATGGCACGATCTCGGCTCACTGCAACCTCCGCCTCCTGGGTTCAAGCGATTCTCCTGCCTCAGCCTCCCAAGTAGCTGGGATTATAGGCACATGCCGCCATACCAGGCTAATTTTGTATTTTTAGTAGAGATGGGGTTTCTCCACATTGGTCAGGCTGGTCTCAAACTCCCGCCCTCAGGTGATCCACCCTCTCGGCTTCCCAAAGTGCTGAGATTACAGGTGGCGTGAGCCACCGTGCCTGGCTGTCGCCTCCTCTTTTTTGGAGACAGACAGGGTCTTGCTCTGTCGCCCAGGCTGGAGTGCAGTGCCACAATTGCAGCTCACTGCCCCCTTGACCTCCCAGGCTCAAGCGATTCTCCTGCCTCAGCCTCCTGAGTAGCTGGGGCTACAGGCCTGTGCCACCATGCCTGGCTAATTTAATTAATTAATTTATTTATTTTTTAGTTTTAGTTTTTGAGACAGAGTCTCACTCTGTCGCCCAGGCTGGAGTGCAGTGGCGCAGTCTCAGCTCACTGCAAGCTCTGCCTCCCAGGTTCACGCCATTCTCCTGCCTCAGCCTCCTGAGCAGCTGGGACTACAGGCGCCCACCACCACGCCTGGCTAATTTTTTGTATTTTTAGTAGAGATGGGGTTTCACCGCATTAGCCAGGATGGTCTCGATCTCCTGACCTCATGATCTGCCCGCCTCGGCCTCCCAAAGTGCTGGGATTACAGGCGTGAGCGACCCTGCCTGGCCTATTTATTTATTTTTTTGAGATAGAGTCTCACTCTGTCATCCAGACTGAAGTGCAGTGTCACAATCTCGGCTCACTGCAACCTCCGCCCCCCGCCCCCCAGGGTTCAAGCAATTCTCCTGCCTTAGCCTCCCGAGTAGCTGGGATTACAGGCGCCTGCCACCACGCCTGGCTAATTTTTGTATTTTTAGTAGAGATGGGGTTTCACCATCTTGGCCAGGCTGATCTTGAATTCCTGACCTCGTGATCCACCTGCCTCGGCTTCCCAAAGTGCTGGGATTACAGGCATGAGCCACGACCCCCGGCCAATTTTTGTGTTTTTCTAGTAGAGATGGGGTATCGCCATGTTGCCCAGGCTGGTCTGAAACTCCCAGCCTCAAGTGATCCACCCGCCTCAGCCTCCCAAAGTGCTGGGATTACAGGCATGAGCCACCATGCCCAGCCCCTTCTTCCCTTTTTTTGATGACCTCACGGTATCTTCTATTTCCAGCTCCCAAACTCCCTCCTCAGACCCCCACATTTCAGAGCTGGATCCAGGGAGCAGCGCTGGGGCCTCCAGACACACACCCTTCCCTTGAGGCCACAATGACTGCCCCTTGGCTCGGCCCTGGACGACCCACCCTGGGCGTGATGTGTGCTGTTATCCCGTGAGGCTGCCGCTGCCCATGGTTGTCCTCCAGAGAGGCTCATGGGCCCCTGACCCTGCAGGTACTACCGTGGTGCAGTGGGCGCCCTGCTGGTGTACGACATCGCCAAGCACCTGACCTATGAGAACGTGGAGCGCTGGCTGAAGGAGCTGCGGGACCACGCAGACAGCAACATCGTCATCATGCTGGTGGGCAACAAGAGTGACCTGCGCCACCTGCGGGCTGTGCCCACTGACGAGGCCCGCGCCTTCGCAGGTGAGCAGACGGAGACGCAGGCATCAGAGAGGTGTCTGGAAGGCAGGAGGCCCCTCACAGTGTTGGGGCCCTGGCCACAGCCCTGGCTTCCCTTCCCTGAGGAGTGGCCTTGGGATGGGCCAGGTGGGTGGGCGGGGTCCCTGAGAGCATGTGGGAGCCTGTCACCCTGCCTCCCCACTCACCTAGGCAGTATTCTTTGTTCCAGAAAAGAACAACTTGTCCTTCATCGAGACCTCAGCCTTGGATTCCACTAACGTAGAGGAAGCATTCAAGAACATCCTCACAGGTGGCCGGGGACCAGATGGGTGTGGGTAGGGCACCAGCCAGGCAGGGTGGAACACGGCCTCTGAACCTTCGCTTGTTTTGTTCGTTTGCTTGTTTTTTTCTTTTTTTTGTCGGGGCAGGATGGATTTTTGCTCTTTGCCCAGGCTGGAGTGTGGTGGCTCGATCTCAGCTTACTGCAACCTCCGCCTTCCAGGTTCAGGCAATTCTCCTGCCTCAGCCTCCCGAGTAGCTGGGATTACAGGTGCCTGCCACCACACCCGCTAATTTTTGTAATTTTTAGTAGAGACAGGATTTCACAATGTTGTCCAGGTTGATCTCGAACTCCTGGGCTCAAGTGATCCTCCTGCCTCAGCCTCCCAAAGTGCTGGGATTACAGGCGTGAGCCACTGCACCTGGCCTGTTTGATTTTTTTCCACCACCACCCCTAACCTTTGCTTTTTAAACCTGCCGGTCCACCTGGACACTTCACAGGGTCAGACCAGGTCTAGCCCTTGCTGGCACTGGGGACACAGAGACCCCCTGGCCCCAGTTCCTGGGGATGGGCCCTGCCTTAACTCTTGGCGCTGCGGGGAGGCGGGTAGCCTCAGGGACCTGGAGCCTTTTGGCTTCTGGGAGTTTACCTCTGAGGGAGGAGGGCGCTTCTGATCTTAGGGAGCGAGAGGCCGGGGCTGGCTGTGACCAGATGTGGGTCCTGGCTGGGTGCGCAGCCCCTGTCCTTGTTACCCCTGATGTGATGGGGGCGCTGTGGGGGTCTGGAGAGGGCCTCTGGAGTCCTGCAGGGAGGGGTTCCCCTCGGCAGGCAGGGCACGTGCTGGCTCACCCCACGTCCCCCTGTACCCCCTTTGCAGAGATCTACCGCATCGTGTCACAGAAACAGATCGCAGACCGCGCTGCCCACGACGAGTCCCCGGGGAACAACGTGGTGGACATCAGCGTGCCGCCCACCACGGACGGACAGAAGCCCAACAAGCTGCAGTGCTGCCAGAACCTGTGACCCCTGCGCCTCCACCCAGCGTGCGTGCACGTCCTCCGCCCGCCCCCGCCACGGTATCCTCTGGCCCCTCCCTGCTGTCCCTCTGTGGCCGGCTCGTTCCAGCCCTCCCAGTGAGCTCTGCACGGCCGGGCCGGGGCCCAGGAAGGACAGGAGCCAGTGCTACCCCGTCCTGCCCGGGGAAAAGCTAGAAGCCCCGGTTTGCTGCACCCATGAAACTCGGGTCCCCACAGCGTCTTGGCGGGGTGGGGAGGGCGGCAGGATGGACGGGGCTGGCCAGAGGCGAGGAGGACGGGCGGACGGCGCCGCCTTCTCCCCTTTTCCTTGGCCGACTCTAGGGAGCGATTGCCTCCCTCCCTCCGTGACCGGGTGGCCCAGCCAGCCCGTCGTCCCCACCCAGAACCGTGCTCTGGGCCAAAGCCCGAAGAACCAGGCAGCGGGGGCCGGGGCAGGCGGACCCCCCGGGCTCTCAGCGCCCACCCGCTCCTCCGCACACAGCAGCTCGCACAGGCCTCCCACCTCTGCCTGTTGATTGATGCAGGGAGAAGCCCGTCCCCCCCTCTCCCCTCTCCCCTCCCCTCTCCTGCACGCAACGCGCCCTCTCGGCCCTCCCTGTCCCCCTCCTCTGTCTCGTCTCCCCATCTGGTCTGGAACCTGTTTGCAAGTGAAGCAATATCTCCGTGTTTTGTATATACAACCGCTCTTGTAGCCTTTGGTTTTTGTTAATGTAGAGAAACACAGATTCTTTATACACTTTGTAAGATTTACGCCAAACCCCAGCTCTCGATCTCTTCTTCTCCCTGTGGCCCCTGCGCTGTTGCCCCGTCCCCGTCACCCCGCCCGTTACTGAAATGTATAATCTGACTTCCTGTACAGAAACCTGCCGCTGCGCCTCTGTCTTCTTTCTTTTCCGCCAGGCGCCAGCTCCTAGGCTGAGGCCCCTCTCGCTGCACGTTCCCCAATGCAGGCCAGACCCCCCGTCTCCCCAGCCCACCCCACAGGAAGCGAGAGGACCCCAGCACCTGCCAAGGGCAGCGTGGAAGTCAGCCAGCGCAGTTGGGGTGGGCCCTGGTCAAGCTGCCCCTGTGGCAGGGAGGGATGGAAGGCTGCCGCTTGTCCTTGACTTTAAACTCCTGGGTCCTAGGACCTCAGGCCTGCGGGCGTCCCCTGATGGGGATGGGAGCCAAGAGCAGTGGCCAGGGTTCATCACTTTGTCTCCTGCCAGGGCCTCCCCTCCCCTGGGGTCCTGACGAGGGTGACTTGCCCAGTGGATGTTGGTGATGCCAGATGTCTCCACCCTAAACTGACACCGGAGGAGGGCCCAGTGGGGAAATGCCAGGGACAGCAAAATGTGTGGCATGGAGTTCCTCTTCCCAGGATCCAGCGTCTCCCTCCACCTCACCCCTGCAGTGACCTTGGGACCAGTGTGAGCTGCCAGCAGCTGTCCAAAAGCTCCAGCCTCTAGCTGAAGAGGCCACCCACACCCTGAAGACCCTGGGGACCCATGAGAGAGGACAGCACCACTCCCTCTTGATTCTAGACTGGCTGCCCTGCCTGGAGGGATAGGGGATCACAGACACCTTTTCCCAGAAGAGCTCCAGGTCGCTGGGAGCTGTGTAGACACAGGAGTTGGAATGAGCCAAGGTGTGCGCTCCAGGCCCAGGGAGCAGCCTGGCACAGAGCTAACTGGCAGAATTGGAGGCACCTGGGCACCCTGGGCTCCAAGGCCCATTCACAGAGACCCCTGGGACATGGATTCCCCTGGGTTTGGGCAGGGCAGGTCATGTGGTGGACAGAGGCATTGGGTGCTAAGCAAGAAAGCACCTTGAGCTTTTGTTTGTTTGTTTGTTTGTTTTGAGACAGAGCCTTGCTCTGTCACCCAGGCTGGAGTGCAGTAGTGTGATCTTGGCTCACTGCAACCTCCACCTCCCAGGTTCAAGGGATTCTCCTGCCTCAGCCTCTGGAGTAGCTGGGATTACAGGCACATGCGACCACACCCAGCTTATTTTTGTATTTTTAGTAGAGACAGAGTTTTGCCATGTTGCCCAGGCTGGTCTCGAACTCCTGACCTCAGATGATCTACCCGCCTCGACCTCCCAAAGTGCTGGGATTACAGGCGTGAGCCACCGTGATTGGCCTTAGCACCTTGAATTTCAAGCAGTCAAAAGATCAACAAATATTTCTAGAGCCGCCATTATCTGCTAGGCCTGAGATGGGGACTGACTGACATACTCTATGTCCCTTTAAGAGTCAGAAGCCAGCAATGCCAGTTTAATTACTCTGATTTCAGTGATTTAATAAGCACGTCCTGCTCACTCTGCCAGACTCTGTTCTTAAATCTTTTATTATTATGGTAACATACACATAACATAAAACTTAACTTTTTTTGGCCAGGCGCGGTGGCTCACGCCTGTAATCCCAGCACTTTGGGAGGCCAAGGTGGGTGGATCACGAGGTCAGGAGATTGAGACCATCCTGACTAACATGGTGAAACCCCGTCTCTACTAAAAATACAAAAAAAAATTAGCCAGGCATGGTAGCGGGCGCCTGTAGTTCCAGCTACTCGGGAGGCTGAGGCGGGAGAATGGCGTGAACCCGGGAGGCGGAGCTTGCAGTGAGCAGAGATTGTGCCACTGCACTCCAGCCTGGGCGACATAGCGAGACTCCGTCTCAAAAAAAAAACTTTTTTTTTTTTTTTTAAGTCAGGGTCTCGCTCTGTCGCCCAGGCTGGAGTGCAGTGGCATGATCTCACTACAACCTCCAACTCCCAGGCTCAAGCCATCCTCCCACCGCAGCCTCCCAAGTAGCTGGAACCACAGGCACACGCCACAACGCCTGGCTAATTTTTGTATTTTTTGTAGAGGCAGGGGTCTCACTGTGTTGCCCAGGCTGGTCTCGAACTCCTGGGCCCAAGAAATCCACCCACCTCAGCCTGTCAAGATGTTGGGATTACAGGCTTGAGCCACCATGCCTGGCCCATATGGCAATTCTACGTTTACTTTTCTTAGGGACCGTGTTAAATCTTTCACACATCATTATTTGTTATTTGCAACAACCCAACGAGGTGGGCATAATATACTGGCCCCTTTTACAGAAGTTAAGTGATTCCCCTAAGGTCTCACAATTAGTAAGATGCAGACAGGTTTCAAACCCAGAACTGTGTGTAACCGCTAAGTTATGAGGCTTCTCTGAGCATTTATTGAGTACCAGCTATGAGCCAGAAAACTCTAAGAAGTGGATAAAATGCCCAGATAAAAGGCTGGGAAGACAGCCGGGCACAGTGGTGTGACCTGTAGTCCCAGCTACTCTGGGTCTGAGACAGGAGAATTTCTTTTTTCTTTTCTTTTTTTTGAGATGGAGTCTCGCTCTGTCGCCCAGGCTGGAGTGCAGTGGCTTGATCTCGGCTCACTGCAACCTCCCCCTCGCCTCCTGAGTTTAAGCAATTCTCCTGCTTCAGCCTCCTAAGTAGTTGGGATTACAGGCACATGCCACCACACCCGGCTGATTTTTTTTTGTTTTTTTTTTTTTTGGTAGAGATGGGGTTTCACCGTGTTAGCCAGGATGGTTTCTATCTCCTGACTTTGTGATCCGCCCACCTTGGGCTCCCAAAGTCCTGGGATTACAGGCGTGAGCCACCGCGCCAGGGCAACAGGAGGATTTCAAGTAGAAACTGCCAATGAAAAAAGAGAGAGAGAGAAGGATCACTTGAACCCAGGAGTTACAGTCCAACCTGGGCAACACAGCAAGACCCAGTCTCTAAAAAAATAATAAAGAAACGCTGAGAGCATGGCTCACGTCTGTAATTACAGCACTTCAGGAGACCAAGGCAGGCAGATTGCATGAGCCCAGGAATGCGAGACCAGCCTGGGCAACATGATGAAACCACGTTTCTACAAAAAATACAAAAATTAGCCAGGCATGGTGGCACGCACCTACTTAGGAGGAGGAGATGGGAAGATCAATTGAGTCAGGGAGGTAGAGAATGCAGTGAGCTGTGATCACACCACTGCACTCCAGCATGGGCAACAGAGGGAGACACTGTCACAGTGAATGAATGAATGAATGAATGAATGGAGACTGGGAAGAAGTATACCAACTTTTTAAAAATGTTTTATGGGGTGGGTGCAGTGGCTCATGCCTGTAACCCCAGCACTTTGGGATGCCGACGCAGGCAGATCATTTGAGGTCAGGAGTTCGAGACCAGCCTGGCCAACATGGCAAAACCCCATCTCTAATAAAAATACAAAAATTAGCTGGGCATGGTGGCAGGTGCCTGTAATCCCAGCTACTCCAGGGGCTGGAGCAGGAGGATCACTTGAACCTGGGAGGTGGAGGTTGGAGTGAGCAGAGATAGTACCACTGCACTCCAGCATGGGCAACTGAGTGAGACCCTGTCTCAAAAAAAAAAAAAAAAAAAAACCACCTAAAGGTTTGATTAGAGTCAGGACTGGATTGAGCGCTGCCTAACTAGTGTCGTGTACATACATTAGAAGACACATTACATTAATGTTTCCCTCTTTTGTGGCATTAGCAGCTGCTAATGAGCATTACCAAGCTTCATAATCCATTAGCGGCTACAAAATGGTGATATGCAAATTGTATTCCTTCTCTTATTTCTGGAATACTTTTTTTTTCCTTTTTTTTGAGATGGAGTCTCACTCTGTCGCCAGGCTGGAGTGCAGTGGTGAGATCTCGGCTCACTGCAACCTCTGCCTCCCAGGTTCAAGCGATTCTCCTGCCTCAGCTTCCCCAGTAGCTAGGACTACAGGTTCACACCACCATGCCAGGCTAAATTTTTGTATTTTTAGTAGAGACGGGGTTTCACCATGTTGGCCAGGATGATCTCCATCTCTTGACCTCGTGATCCGCCCGCCTCGGCCTCCCAAAATGCTGAGATTACAGGCGTGAGCCACTGCACCGCCCAGCCAGGTTACTTTTTTTTCCTTTGAGACGGGTCTTTTTTTTTTTTTTTTGAGTCAGTCTCATTCTGTCTCGGCTCACTGCAACCTCCACCTCCTGGGTTTAAGTGATCCTCATGCCTCAGCCTCCCAGGTAGCTGGGATTACAGGCATATGCCCAGCTAATTTTTGTGTTTTTAGTAGAGATGGGATTTCACCACATTGGCCAGGCTGGTCTCGAACTACTGGCCTCATGTGATAAACCTGCTTTGGCCTCCCAAAGTGCTAGGATTACAGGTGTAAGACACCGTGCCCAGCCTTCTTTTTTTTGTTTTCTTTTTTGTGTATTTATTTATTTATTTATTTATTTGAGACAGAATGGCTCTGTCACCCAGGCTGGAGTGCAGTGGCACAATCTCGGCTCACTGCAACCTCTGCCTCCCAGGTTCAAGCAATTCTCCTGTCTCAGCCTCCTGAGTAGCTGGGACTACAGGTACACACCACCATGCCCGGCTAATTTTTGTATATTTATTATAGATGGGGTTTCACCATATTGGTTAGGCTGGTCTTGAACTCCTGACCTCAAGTAATCCACCCACCTCAGCCTCCCAAAGTGCTAGGATCAGGAATTTGACACCATCCTGGCCAACATGATGAAACCCCGTCTCTACTAAAAATGCAAATTCTAGATGGGCATGGTGGCAAGTGACTGTAATCCAGCTACTCAGGAGGCTGAAGCAGGAGAATTGCTTGAACCTGGGGGCAGAAGTTGCAGTGAGCCAAGATCGTTCCATTGCACTCCAGCCTGGGCGATAGAGTGAAACTCCATCTCAAAAATAAATAAATAAATAAATAAATAATAAATAAATAAATGAAATTATCTGCCAGGCACAGTGGCTCACGCCTGTAATCCTACCACTTTGTGAGGCCGAGGCAGGAAGATCCTTTGAGCCCAGGAGCTCAAAACTAGCTTGGGCCTCATAGCAAGCCCCGTCTCTATTATTTAAAAATTAAGGCCAGGCACAGTGGCTCACGTCTTTAATCCCAGCACTTTGGGAGGCCTAGGCAGGTGGATCACGAGGTCAGGAGTTTGAGACCAGCCTGGCCAATACGGTGAAACTCCGTCTCTACTAAAAATACAAAAAAACTAGCTGGGCATGGTGGCGTGCACCTGTATTCCCAGCTACTTAGGAGGCGGAGGCAGGAGAATCGCTTGAACCCAGGAGACAGAGGTTGCAGTAAGCCAAGATTGCACCACTGCACTCTAGCCTGGGCAATAGAGGGAGACTCCATCTCAAAATAAAATAAAATAAAAAATTGGCTGCGCGCGGTGGCTCAGGCCTATAATCCCAGCACGTTGGGAGGCCGAGGCGGGCAGATCACGAGGTCAGGAGATCGAGACCATCCTGGCTAACATGGTGAAACCCCGTCTCTACTAAAAAATACAAAAAAATCAGCCGGGTGGGGCGGCGGGCGCCTGTAGTCCCAGCTACTCGGGAGGCTGAGGCAGGAGAATAGCGTGAACCCGGCAGGCGGAGGTTGCAGTGAGCCGAGATCACGCCACTGCACTCCAGCTGGGCGACAGAGCGAGACTCCGTCTCTAAATAAATAAATAAATAAATAAATAAATAAATAAATAAATAAAATATCATTCGCCACTAAAATGAACCAGGGCTCTTCGGAAAAATGGTTGAGTCCAGGCCTGGGGCAGGCAAAAGACAAGACAAGTCAGCCTGGAAGAGTTTGTTGAGCCAGTTAGTAAGGAAATGCCCCAAGATGGAATTAGAAAATCACCATTTGGGGCCGGGCGCGGCGGCTCACGCCTGTTATCCCAGCACTTTGGGAGGCCAAGGAGGGCGGATCACCAGGTCAGGAGATCGAGACCATCCTGGCTAACACGGTGAAATCCCATCTCTACTAAAAAAAAATACAAAAAATTAGCCGGGCGTGGTGGCGGGCGCCTGTAGTCCCAGCTACTCGGGGGGCTGAGGCAGGAGAATGGCGTGAACCCCGGAGGCGGAGCTTACAGTGAGCCGAGATCGCGCCACTGCCCTCCAGCCTGGGCGACAGAGCAACGCTCCATCTCAAAAAAGAAAATCACCATTTGGTTGCTATTATGGTAATAACTGACTCAGGCAAGGGTCATCAATTGATATTAAGCTCTTGGAAACGGCGTGTGTTGAGGAACAGGCTATTTAATTACTTTCGAAGTATCTCCCCAGAAAGCACTTATTAACAAAGTGTAAAGTCAGGTGCCGTGGCTCATGCCTGAGGTTAGGAATTTAAGACTAGCCTGGCCAACATGGCGAAACCCCATCTCTACTAAAAATACACAAATTAGCTGGACGTGGTGGTGCGGGCCTGTAATCACAACTACTCAGGAGGCTGAGGCAGGAAAATCACTTGAACCGGTGGCGGAGGTTGCAGTGAGCAGAGAGGGCGCCACTGCACTCCAGTCTGGGCCACAGAATGAGACTCCATCGCCAAAAAAGAAAAAAAAAATTGGTCGGGCGTGGTGGCTCCTGCCTGTAATCCCAGCACTTTGGGAGGCGGAAGTGGGCAGATCACTTGAAGTCAGGCGTTTAAGACCAGCCTGACCAACATAGTGAAACCTGCCTCTACTAAAAACACAAAAATTAGCTGGGCGTGGTGGTGCGGGCCTGTAATCCCAGCTACTCGGGAGGTGAGCCAGGAGAATCCCTTGAACCTGGGAGGCAGAGGTTGCAGTGAGCTGAGACCACACCATTGCACTCCAGCCTGGGTGACAGAGTGAGACTCTGTCTCAAAAAAAAAAAAAAAAAATTAAAATTAAATAAAATATTAAAAACAACAACAACAACAAAACACCACAGTGTAACATACTAACCTCACACTGGAGAAACTGGCAGACACCATTTGAACCAAGTTAGCACAATCGATAGTGGACAAAATCAGCATTGTATGCATCCTGAAAACACAACGTCACATCTGTTTCCTGCCACAAATGCAAAATCATGAGAAAGTATTAGACAAATAGCAATGGAAGGACTTCCTGCAAAATTACTAGCCTGGAATTTTTGAAAAATATTGATGTCATGGAGAGAAGGTAAGATTGATAAAATGTTCCAGAAAGAGAGACTAAATTAGAGTCGTTAACAACAAAATACAATGCTTGATCCTGGGATGGATTTGGGATTTTTTGTTTTTTGACACAGGATCTTGCTCTGTTGCCCAGGCTGGAATGCAGTGGTGAGGTAATGGCTCACTGCAGCCCAGAACTCCTGGGCTCAATTGATCCTCTCACTTCAGCCTCCCAAGTAGCTGGGACCACAGGAGGATGCCACCACAACTGGCTAATATTTTTATTTTATTTTGTAGAGATGGGGTCTCACTGTGCTGCCCAGACTGATCTCAGACTCCTAGACCCAAGAGACCTTCCTGCCTTGGGCTCCCAAAGAGCTGGGATTGCAGACATGACTCACTGTGCCTGGCCTGGACTTTGGATTTTTAAAGGACTTTATTGGAAACTTTTCTTTTCTTTTTTTTGAGACAGAGTCTGGCTGTGTTGCCCAGGTTAGAGTGCAGTGGCAAGATCTCCGCTCACTGCAACCTCCACCTTGCAGATTCAAGCAATTCTCCTGCCTCAGCCTCCTGAGTAGCTGGAATTACAGGTGCCCACAACAAAACCCAGCTAATTATTTGTATTTTTAGTACAGACAGGGTTTCACCATGTTGGCCGGGCTGGTCTCGAACTCCTGACCTCAAATGATCCAAGTGCTGGGATTACAGGCATGAGTCACTGCACCTGGCCTTTGAATGGGCTCTGGGAATTACATGATAATATTAGATGAACATTAATTTTCTGATTTTGAAGGTTATACTGTGATTATGTGCAAAAGTGTGCTTATACTAAGTGAACATATAGTGCAGTATTTTTTTAAAAATTGATCTGTCTTAGAGATGGGGGTGGGTGAGTTTACTATGTTGCCCAGACTGGCCTCGAACTCCTGGGCTCAAGTGATCCTCTTGCCTCAGCCTCCAGAGCAGCTGGGACTACAGGCCTGGGCCACCACACTTGGCTAACTTTTATTTTATTTTATTTTATTATTTATTTATTTATGTATTTATTTGAGACAGAGTCTCACTCTGTCACCCAGGCTGGAGTGCAGTGGCGCGATGTCGGCTCACTGCAAGCTCTGCCTCCCGGGTTCACGCCATTCCTCTGCCTCAGCCTCCCGAGTAGCTGGGACTACAGGCGCCCGCCACCACGCCCGGCTAATTTTTTTGTATTTTTAGTAGAGACGGGGTTTCACCGTGTTAGCCAGGATGGTCTCGATCTCCTGACCTCGTGATCCGCCCGCCTCGGCTTCCCAAAGTGCTAGGATTACAGGCGTGAGCCACCGCGCCCATCCTTTTAAATTTTTTGTAGAGACGGGAACTCACCATGTTGCCCAGGCTGGTCCCCAACATCTGGCCTCAAGCGATCCTTCCGTCTCGGCCTCCCAAAGTGCTCCGATTACAGGCATGAGCCACTGCACCCGGCCAGTCTCAAAAAAAAAAAAGTTAAATTCTGCAGAGGTTTTATTTATTAGAGGACGCTGGCCGTCTGCAGGTGGCGCAGCAGCACCCCCTCGTGCCTGGGGCGGGGCTGGGGCGGGGCCAGTGCTGGGGCGGAGCCGGAGCTGGGGGCGGAGCCAAGACGCGGCAGGGGCGGAGCCAGCAGCTGCGGCACAGCGGGGCCTGTGCGGCCCAAGTCGTCCCTGTGGCCTCCGGCCCCGCCTCTTAGGGCGGGACGTGCAAGGCGATTGGCGAATGCAGGCGAGAGGCGGTCGCTATTGGTCCGCGGCGCTGTCGGCTCGGCGGGCGGTGCCCGGACGCAGGTGCCGGCCGGAGCGGAGCTAGTGGCGCCGACGGGCCGGGCCGGGCCGGGACCGGGGCCGAGGCGAACCGAGGGGCCTGTGCGGCCGCCCGGCCCGGCCGCGGATCAGGTAGGCACGGGCCTGCAGGTAGGGCCGGAGGACGCCAGTCCGCGGGCCGGCCCCGGGTTCGAGGCCGGAGCTCGGCACCCGGGCGGGACGGCTGGGCTCGATCCCTTGGCCACAGCCTTCTCGGGGACGCGGGGACCTCAGTTCCCGTGTCAAGGCCGGTGGGAGGTCTCCGGGGTCCGGCACACATAGGCGCCTCTCCGAGCCTCGGTTTCCCCACCTGTGAAACTGGGTCATCCCATTGCCAACCTGATGGGGCTTCTGGGAGGATTCAGGAGGTGGCTGGTGCAGAAAACGCCTGACACACAGTAGGCAACTGCTAAGTGGCCAATGCCCTTCCCCAACCTCCTTCTCAGAGCGGCTCTGCCTGCAAAATAGTAAGTTATAATATAATGACCCAGCCACTTTGCACAAAGATGCTGAAACAGGATGCCCTGTGCTATGTGGGTGCTCAAAACGGGGTAGTCAAATGGGCATGTTGAGCTCATTCAGTTCTTTTGAAACCATACTGAGTAGGTGGAAGCAGTAGAAATGTCCCCTGTTATACAGTTGAGAGAGTCCAGGCTCAAAGAGGTTAAGTGTCTTGCCCAGGGCCACACAGCACATAAGGAGTAGAGCTGGGATTGGAACCTTGCTTCTCATGCAGGGAGGAATGAATGCAATAACAACCTCCACATTTACCCTAAAAAATATTAATAGAGCTTTTATTGAGCACTTACTGTGTGTGCCAGGGTTGACTGTGTGACCTCTCATCAACAACTCTGTAAGCTGATGATAGTAATTATAATAAGAGCTAATAGTTATTAACTTCTTAATTTTTTACTAATTTATGAACTACATATCATTATGACTCCCCGTCTTTTTTTTTTTTAGACAGAGTCTCTCTCTCTTGCCCAGGCTGGAATGCAGTGGCACGATCTGAGCTCATTGCAACCTCTGCCTCCCAGATTCAAGCGATTCCTACCTCACCCTGGTCAAGTAGTTGGGATTACAGGCCCCCGCCACCGTGCCTGGCCAATTTTTGTCTTTTTAGCAGAAACGGGGTTTCACCATGTTGACCAGGCTGGTCTCGAACTCCTGGCCTCAAGTGATCCACCTTCCTTGAACTCCCAAAGTGCACAAAGTGCTGGGATTACAGGCGTGAGCCACTGCGCCCGGCCTGTAACACTCATTTTAGAGATGATAATACTGAGGCTGAGAGAGTAAAACAGCTGCCTGAGACCACAATGTAGGGAGTTTTAGGGCCCTCTGATTCCTCTGCCCTCTGTTTCCTACCTTCAGGAAAAGGAGCCTGGGCAGGTATGGAAAAGACTGGGGGGCCTCAGTGCCACCCTAAACAAGCCTAGCTAAGGGTGAGCTTTACTGGATGAATTCAGCCTGGAGGCTCCTTCTCAGGAGACCCCTCCACGGACAGAGTCCACCAGCTCCATCATTAGAATGAGGCCCAGAGAAGCAAAGTGACTTGAACCAGGACACCCAGCATCGGTGGCATAGCCAGGAGGGCCAGGAGTTAAAGAACCCAGGTCTCTTGAGGTCCAGAACCACTCCCTGGACTGTTTTAAGTTCAAATTCTGACACCACCCCTTCCTAGCTATATGACCTTGGGAAAGTAGGTGCCTCTCTCCGAGCTTCAGCCTCTTTCCCCATCATAGGGTGTAATTATTGGTTTGTTGTGAAGACTCAATGAGATCTATCTCCAGGCCGGGCGTGGTGGCTCATGCCTGTAATCCCAACACTTTGAGAGGCCAAGGCGGGCAGATCACTAGGCCAGGAGTTCAGGACCAGCCTGGGCAACTTGGCAAAACACCATTTCTACAAAAAAATACAAAAATTAGCTGGATGTGGTGGTGTGCAGAGCTACTCAGGAGGCTGAGGTGGGAGGATCACCTGAACCTGGGGGCGGTGGAAGCTTCAGTGAGCTGTGATTACTACACTGCCCTCCAGCCTTTTGGGTGACAGATTGAGACCCTGCCTCAAAAGAAAAAAAAAAAAAAACAGACAAAAGAAAGAAAAGAAATAGGCCAGGCGCGGTGACTCATGCCTGTAATCCCAGCACTTTGGGAAGCCAAGGCGGGTGGATCACCTGAGATAAGGAGTTTGAGACCATCCTGGCCAACATGGTGAAACCCCGTCTCTACTAAAAATACAAATAATTAGCCAGCTGTGGGTGGAGGGCACCGGTAATCCCAGCTACTCTGGTGGTTGAGGCAGGAGAATCGCTTGAACCTGGGAGGCGGAGGTTGCAGAGAACCGAGGTGGTGCCATTGCTCTCCACCCTGGGCAACAAGAGTGAAACTCCATCTCAAAAAAAAAAAAACAAAAAAAACAAAAAAAAAAACCAGACAAAAGAAAGAAGAGAAATAAATCTCCTGGGCACTGGGCCAAGTTTGCTGGAGCCATCAGATCACTCTCCCATTTCAGCAGCCTCAGAGCTGAGTCCGACTTGCAGTCACCCTCTCTTTGTGTCCAGCCTCAAGTTTGGCCTCTTCCAGGCCTGGGCCTCTGTGGTTTGAGTGGACCTCTAGCCTCTAAATATCTCTGATGCCCACCACAGGGGCTGGCCGACCAGGATCGGAGGGTCAAGAGATGTGGCTCTCTCACGCTGTTCTTAAACGGAGTGAGGATTGAGAAATGACTACAACATGGCCAGGCACAGTGGCTCATGCCTGTAATCCCAGCACTTTAGGAGGCTGAGGTGGGCGGATCACGAGGTCAGGAGTTCGAGACTGGCCTGGCCAACATGGTGAAACCCTGTCTCTACTAAAAATACAAAAATTAGCCGGGTATGGTGGTGGGTGCCTGTAATCCCAGCTACTCGGGAGGCTGACGCAGGAGAATCCCTTGAACCCAGGAGGTGGAGGTTGCAGTGAGCTGAGATCGGCCACTGTACTCCAGCCTGGGCGACAGAGCGAGACTCTGTCTCAAAAAAAAAAAAAAAAAAAAAATGACTGCAGCAGCAACCAGAAATGCAGCAGCTCTGGGCTAGACAGAGGGCCAGGTGCTGGGGACAGCGGGAGGCAATCTGACAGGGTCTCTTTTTTACAGAATTCACTGTAGGGTAGGACAACAGACGTGGCTAAATACGTAGGTGAATAAGTAGAATGTTTCAGACAGGGACACATGCCACGAGTGGAATCAAGTGGACCCCATTGGCACTTCATTGATTGATTGAGACAGGGTCTTGCTCTGTGGCCCAGGCTGGAGTGCAGTTGTGTGATCATGGCTCACTGCAGCCTCAACCTGGGTGCAAGCGATTCTCCCACCTCAGCCTCCTGAGTAGCTGGGATTACAGGCGCACATCACCACACCCGGCTCATTTTTGTATTTTTTGTAGAGACGGGGTCTTGGTATGTTGCCCAGGCTTCTCTCAAACTCCTGGGCTCAAGCGATCCTCCCACCTCAGCCCCCAAAGTGTTGGGATTACAGGCATGAGCCAATGCGCCAGGCCCCAGACAGCATTGTCGAGAAGGCTTCTCCAGGAAGGTGACCTTTGAAGGAGACACTTATAACAACTGTTTCGAGTTCAGTGAGATGATGACTATGTATGGAGATTGCTTGGCATAGTGTCTGGTTCTTAATAGATAGAAGCTGCTAGTATAATTTTGGTGGTTTGCAGGCCTTGCATTAAGAGATTTACCTGTGGTTTTTTTTTTTTCTCCCTGATAGAAGAAATATTAGAACACCACATGCAGGAGCTGGGATAGTTCCTGTAATATCCAGTTATTTGCAGAAATGTAAAGACCAGGCCAGGGGTGGTGGCTCAAGCCTGTAATCCCAGCACTTTGGGAGGCCGAGGCGGGCAGATCACTTGAGATCAGCAGTTGGAGACCAGCCTGGCCAACGTGGTGAAACCCTGTCTCTACTAAAAATACAAAAACGAGCTGGGTGTGGTGAAACACAGCTGTAGTCCCAGCTACTCGACAGGCTGAAGCAGGAGAATTGCTTGAACCCAGGAGCCTGAGGTTGCAGTAAGCTGAGATCACACCACTGCATTTCAGCCTGGGTAACAGAGTGAGACCCTGTCTTTTTTTTTGGGCGGGGGGATGAAGTCTTGCTGTCACCCAGGCTGGAGTGCAGTGGCGTGATCTCAGCTCACTGCAAACTCCATCTCTCAGGTTTAAGCGATTCTCCTGCCTCAGCTTCCCAAGTAGCTGGGATTACAGTTGCCCGCCACCATGCCCAAGTAATTTTTGTGCTTCTAGTAGAGATGGGGTTTTGCCATGTTGGCCAGGCTGGTCTCGAACTCCTGACTTCAGGTGATCCGCCCGCCTCGGCCTCCCAAAGTGCTGGGATTACAGGCATGAGCCACTACGCCCGGCCAATACCCTGTCTTTTTTTTTTTTTTTTTTTTTTTTTTTTTTTGAGAAAGAATTTCACTCTTGTTGCCCAGGCTGGAGTGCAATGGTGCGATCTCGGCTCACTGCAACCTCTGCCTCCCAGGTTCAAGTGATTCTCCTGTCTCAGCCTCCCGAGTAGCTGGGATTACAGGCATGCGCCAACATGCCTGGCTAATTTTTTTGTATTTTTAGTAGACACGGGGTTTCTCCATGTGGTCAGGCTCGTCTTGAACTCCTGACCTCAGGTGATCTGCCCACCTCGGCCTCCCAAAGTGCTGGGATTACATGCATGAGTCACCACGCCCGGCCAAGACCCTGTCTTAAAAAAAAAGAAATGTAAAGACCTAGCCTCAGAAGGGCTGGGCTGGAGGAAAGGACTCGCCTCTGCCTGCCTTCCCGTAAAGAGCCCAGCCGCTTCCCCTTTGGCCTCTGAGCTTAAGGTTCTGGTTGCAGGGACTTGGGAGGGAGAGCAGCAGGCACCCTGTGTCAGGCCCGGCCACTGCCCTGTGGGTGTTATCTCAGGCCTGCAGTCTTCCTCTTGGGTCCCTGCCTTTGGGCAATACTTGCTTATCTGGCCTGCAGAGGCCTGACTATGATGCTCAGAAGAACATGTGAGGCCAGGAAGGCTGCTGGCTGAGCTGTTTAGAGGGCATTTATCCAGCAGTGAACCGTCCTAGCGCAAGAGTTAGTAATTGCTCCCCTGTTCCTTCACCTCCCCACTTTGGAGCTCAGATTTGTTTTTTTGTTTGTTTGTTTGCTTGCTTTCTTTTGTTCTGTTTTAGAGACTGGAGACTGGGTCTTGCTCTGTTACCCAGGCTGGAGTGCAGTGGTGTGATCATAGCTCACTACAGCCTTGAACTCCTGGGCTCAAGAGGTTGAGGCTCCCTCCTCAGCCTCCCAAGTAGCTGGGACTACAGGCTTTCAGCACCATGCCTGGCTAATTCAAAAAAACCTTCAGAGAGATAGGGTCTCTCTATGTTGCCCTAGCTCGTCTCAAACTCCTGGCCTCAAGTGATCCTCCTGCTTGGACCTCCCAAAGCGCTGGGATTACAGGTATGAACAACTTCCCCTGGCCCAGGGCTCGGATTTTGATTGGCAGTTTACAAGCTGACTTGGGGTGGGGGTGGGAATACTTCGCTGAGTACTTGATTGCCTCTCTTGCTTGGACTTTCTGAACACTTTAGGGGCTGCAGGGGCTCTGGACATTGTAGCTCTTGGGGGTTGGACAAGCTGGGAACAGAGATCCTTGGCTCCAGGGCACCTGTATTGGCTTCAAGGAGGTCTCCAGAAAGGGCCCTTGTTTCTTCAATGAAATTCTCTGCCGGGCCGGGTGCAGTGGCTCACACCTGTAATCCCAGCACTTTGGGAGTCCGAGGCAGATGGATCACCTGAGGTCAGGAGTTTGAGACCATCCTGGCCAACATGGTGAAACCCCATCTCTACTAAAAATACAAAAATTAGCCGGGCGTGGTGGCTCATGCCTGTAATCCCAGCACTCTGGGAGGCCAAGGCAGGAGGATCACAAGGTCAAGAGATCAAAACTATCCTGGCCAAAATGGTGAAACCCCATCTCTACTAAAAATACAAAAATTAGCTGGGCATGGTGGCGCATGCCTGTAGTCTCAGCTACTCAGCAGGCTGAGGTAGGAGAATCATTTGAGCCCGGGAGGCGGAGGTTGCAGTGAGCCAAGATCGCGCCATTGCACTCCAGCCTGGGCAACAGAGCCGGACTCCATCTCAAAAAATAAATAAATAAAATACAATAAAAATAAAAATAATTGGCCGGGCGCGGTGGCTCACACCTGTAATCCCAGCACTTTGGGAGGCCGAGGCGGGCGGATCACGAGGTCAGGAGATCGAGACCATCCTAGCTAACACGGTGAAACCCCGTCTCTACTAAAAATAGAAAAAATTAGCCGGGCGTGGTGGCGGGCGCCTGTAGACCCAGCTACTCGGGAGGCTGAGGCAGGAGAATGGCGTGAACCCGGGAGGCAGAGCTTGCAGTGAGCTGAGATCAGGCCACTGCACTCCAGCCTGGGCGAAAGAGCAAGACTCCGTCTCAAAAAAAAAATAAATAAATAAATAAATAAAAATAAAAAATAAAAATAAAAATAAAAATAATTGCCGGGCGCAGTGGCTCACACCTGTAATCCTAGCACTTTGGGAGGCTGAGGCAGGTGGATCACAAGGTCAGGAGATGGAGATCATCCTGGCTAACATGGTGAAACCCCGTCTGTACTAAAAATTCAAAAAATTAGCCGGGTGTGTTGGCGGGCGCCTGTAGTCCCAGCTACTCAGGAGGCTGAGGTAGGAGAATGGTGTGAACCCAGGAGGTGGAGCTTGCAGTGAGCTGAGATCGCGCCACTGCACTCCAGCCTGGGCGACAGAGTGAGACTCCGTCTCAAAAAATAAATAAATAAATAAATAAATAAATAAATAAATAATTAGCTGAGTGTGGTGGTGGGCCCCTGTAATCCCAGCTACTTGGGAGGCTGAGGCAGGAGAATCGCTTGAACCCGTAAGGTGGAGGTTGCAGTGAGCCGAGATCATGCCATTGCACTCCAGCCTGGGCGACAAGAGTGAAACTCCATCTTAAAAAAAAAATAAATAAATATAAATAAAAATACAAAAACTAGCCAGGCATGGTGGTGCATGCCTGTAGTCCCAGCTACTTGGGGGGCTGAGGCAGGAGAATCGCTTGAACCCAGGAGGTGGAGGTTGCAGTGAGCTGAGATCGTGCCACTGCGCTCCAGCCTGGGCAACACAGCGAAACTCTGTCTCAAAAAAAAAAAAAAAAAAAAGAACTGGTTCTGATACCTTATCTGGAAAGGTGATATTAGTTGAAAGGTGGTCCTGGCCCTGGAGGCTTTGAGGGTAAGAGGAGGCCTAGCTTTTCTTGTCTTCTCTTTTTTAGAGACAGGTTCTCACTCTGTGGCATAGGCAGGAGTGCTGTGGGCACCGTCATAGCTCACTGCAGCCTCAAACTCCTGGGCTCAAGTCATCCTCCCACCTCAGCCTCACAAGTGGCTGGGACTATAGGCTTGTGCTACCATGCCTGGCTAATATTTTTGGTTTTCTTTAGTAGAGCCAGGGTTTCACCATGTTGCCCAGGCTGGTCTCAAACTCCTGAGCTGAGGCAATCGGAGGCAGGCGGATTGTCTTGAATCCAAAGTGCTGGGATTACAGGTGTGAGCCACTGCTCCTGGCCTAATTTTCTCATTTTTTATAAAGATAGAGTCTTGATGTGTTGCCTAGGCTGGTCTCAAACTCCTGGGGCTCAAACAATCCTCCTACCTTGGCTTTCAAAGCACCGGGACTATAGACATGAGCCACCACACCTGGCCAGGCCTAGCTTTCCTGTTTTTTTTGGGTTTTTTTTTTTTTTTGAGACAGAGTCTTGCTCTGTCGCCCAGGCTGGAGTGCAGTGGCGTGATCTCGGCTCACTGTAACTTCCCCCTCCTGGGTTCAAGCGATTGTCCCGCCTCAGCCTCCCAAGTAGCTGGGACTACAGGCGCGTGCCACCAAGCCTGGCTAATTTTTTGTATTTTTAGTAGAGATGGGGTTTCACTGTGTTAGCCAGAATGGGAAACCTAGCTTTTCTTTTTTTTTTACTTTTTTCTTTCTTTTCTTTTTTTTTTTTTTTTTTGTATTTTTAGTAGAGACAGTGTTTCACCATGTTGGCCAGGATGGTCTTGATCTCTTGACCTCGTGATCCACCCGCCTCAGCCTCCCAAAGTGCTGGGATTACAGGCGTCAGCCACCGCGCCTGGCCAGGGAAGCATAGCTTTTCTTAGGAGAGTGAGAAATAATACAACCCAAGCTCCTGCTGTATACCAGCCTTGTGCTGAGTTACATGCATCGTCTCCTTGAATCCTCACTGGCCCTACAGAGGCCCATTTTACAGATGGTGCAAACTGAGGCTCAGAGATGTAAATGGTCTAGTGGTCCCTACAGCCTTGACAAGAGGGGACTCAAACCTTAGTCCGTCAGGCTCATTAACCTTGCCCCTAACCTCCGCACTGGCCTGTTCCCAGGCTCCTGGAACCATGGGCCTCAGGCCCTGAGGATACGGGGCTCCCGGTGGCCATGACGACGGGTGACTGCTGCCACCTCCCCGGCTCCCTGTGTGACTGCTCCGGCAGCCCTGCCTTCTCCAAGGTCGTGGAGGCTACGGGCCTCGGACCGCCCCAGTATGTGGCACAGGTGACTTCAAGGGATGGCCGGCTCCTCTCCACCGTCATCCGTGCCTTGGACACACCGAGGTGAGTGGTGACTGCGTGGATATCCTGGCCTTTGTTGCCTCTTCTCTCTGGGCGCAGTGAGTTTCTCCCAGCCTGGGGTTAGAAGTCCAACCGTTGACAGAGGGCCAAGTGGGTAAATAGAGAAAGAGACACAAACAGTTATCGCCTTGTGGAAACAGAGGCCTAGCTTTGGCCGGGTCTGATTCTTTAGGAAAAGCTGAAATTCCAGATTATTATGTGAAATCTGAAGGTCAAATGTTGTCAAGTAACACACTTTTGGGAGGCAGTATAGGGGGCGGTCAGGAGTGCAGGCTGTGGGCTCAGTGCCTCGGCCCTGACCCTGAGTGGACACCTCTCTCTCTCCCAGAGTGACCTGGGACAAATTACTTCACCACTGTATCTCTCTTTTTTTTTTGAAACAGAGTCTCATTTTGTTGCCCAGGCTGGAGTGCAGTGGCGCAGTCTCAGCTCACTGAAACCTCCGCCTCCCAGGTTCAAGTGATTTTCCTGCCTTAGCCACCCGAGTAGCTGGGATTACAGGCACCCGTCACCACACCTGGCTAGTTTTTGTACTTCTAGCAGAGACGGGGTTTCGCCATGTTGGCCAGGCTGGTCTCAAACTCCTGACCTCAGGTGATCTGCCCGTCTCGGCCTCCCAAACTGCTGGGATTATAAGTGTGAGCCACCGTGCCCAGCCTCTTTTTAAATTTTTTTTTTTTTTTTTTTTTTTAGAGAGTCTTGCTTTGTCACTCAGGCTGGAGTACAGTGGCGTGATCTCGGCTCACTGCAACCTCCGCCTCCCGGATTCAAGCGATTCTCCTGCCTCAGCCTCCTGAGTACCTGGTTCTACAGGCACGCGCCACCACACCCAGCTAATTTTTGTATTTTTGGTAGAGATGGGGTTTCACCATGTTGGCCAGGCTGATCTTGATCTCTTGACCTCATAATCCACCTACCTCAGCCTCCCAAAGTGCTGGGATTACAGGCGTGAGCCACCGCGCCTGGCCGTGCTCAACAAATATTAAGGCTTTTTTTTTCCTCTCTTCTCTGAATTTGTTTTTTTGTTTTGTTTTGTTGTTTTGGAGACAGAGTCTCACTTTGTCACCCATGCTGGAGTGCAGTGGCATGATCTCAGCTCACTGCAACCTCTGCCTCCTGGGTTCAAGCGATTCTCCTGCCTCAGCCTCCCAAGTAGCTAGGATTACAGCCCCCCCGCCCCGACCATGCCCGACTAATTTTTGTATTTTTTTAGTAGAGACGGGGTTTCACCATGTTAGTCAGGCTGGTCTCCTGACCTCAGATGACCCACCCACCTCGGCCTCCCAAAGTGTTGGGATTACAGGCATGAACCACTGTGCCTGGCCTCTTCTCTGAATTTGCTCTCCCAAACTTTTTCACAGTTTCCCAGAACAAGCTCCAAACTGACATGATTCTTCCTCAAGATTCTCGTCACTTCTGTTTCCCTGGGTTGGTTTCCGGACAAAGGGTTCCTTTTTTGTTAACTTTGTTTGTGTGTGTACTTGGGGGAGGGTGGGATCGGGGTATGGGTTCAGAAAGGAGGCAGGCAGGCATGCCCTTTTGCCATTGCAGGAGGAAATAGCAGTCCAGGGACAGGACTGTTGAGAAAGCAGCCATGAGCAGCCTGTTGGGCTCTTTTTAAAGCCGCCCAACTCCACCCCGCAGCATGAGAATCTGAGAAAAGGATAGAAAACAGTCATTTCCAGGCAGGCGTGGTCGCTCATGCCTGTAGTCCCAGCACTTTGGAAGTCCAAGGCTGAAGGATCGCTTGAGCCCAGAAGCTCAAGACCAGCCTGGTCAACATAGTGAGACCCCCCTCTCTAGAAAAAGTTAAAAAATATTAGCTGTGTGGCGTGGTGCCACCTGTAGTCCCAGCTACTCGGGAGACTGAGGCAGGAGGATCGCTCGAGCTAGGGAGTCCGAGGCTGCAGTGAGCTGTGATTGCACCACTGCACTCCAGCCTGGGTGACTCAAAAAAAAAAAAAAAAAAGAAAGAAAAAAAAATACAGTCTCTCTGAGAGGAAATTGGCGTTGTCTGGAAAATAGCTCTTCTTTGTGTGACCTCACAGTCTGCCTTCTGGCCAGAAATGTTTGGGAAACAGTGACTCATGGCTGTTTGGCCTCTGGGCCACGCCCCCTGCCTCCTGAGCTGCCCTGGGAAGGACCCGGCATCCCCAGAGACTGGGCCAGGGCTGGAGACTTTTCCGAGGCAGCTTTCTGCAGATGCTTTTTATTTCTATTTCCCCCTCACAAGGGCAGAGGAGCAGGTGAGCACTTCTCTCTGGATGCACAGGTTTCTCAGGTAGCACGGGCTTCAGGTGTGATTAGATCCAGGGGCCCGCAAAGATGTCCTTAAGAATCTACCTTTCCCAGGCCTTGCGCAGTGGCTCACGCCTGTAATCCCAGCACTTTGGGAGGCCGAGGCGGGTGGATCACGAGGTCAGGAGATCGAGACCATCCTGGCTAACACGGTGAAACCCCGTCTCTACAAAAAATACAAAAAATTAGCCGGGCGTGGTGGCCGGCGCCTGTAGTCCTAGCTACTCTGGAGGCTGAGGCAGGAGAATGGCATGAACCTGGGAGGTCGAGCTTGCAGTGAGCCGAGATCGCGCCACTGCACTCCAGCCTGGGTGACAGAGCAACACTGTCTCAAAAAAAAGAAAAAAAAAAATCTACCTTTCCCTGTCTCTTGGCTCTGCTCTCCTCTGTGCTGGCATCATTCACAGGCTCCACACAGACTAGGCAGCTGCAGGAGCTCCAGGCTTCTGTCAGCCTTGTGGCCGACAGTTCTGGAGTTTACGGGGAAACAAAGAATTTTAGGAATAGATTATCGGTGACTCTGATGGTATCATACAAGCCTGAGTTGGTTGCATGAGCAGGGGTGCGTGCTGTTCTATTTTCTTTTTCTTTTTTTCAAATGGTCTCACTCTGTTGTCCAAGCTGGAGTATAGTGGTACAATTATGGGTCATTGGAGCTTTGAACTCCTGGGCACATGTGATCCTCCTGCCTCAGCCTCCCAAGTAGCTGGGACCACAACATGTACCACCACGCCAAGATAAGTCTTTAAAAAAAATTTTGGGACCGGGCGTGGTGGCTCACGCCTGTAATCCCAGCACTTTGGGAGGCTGAGGCGGGCAGATCACGAGGTCAGGAGATTGAGACCATCCTGGCTAACACGGTGAAACCCCGTCTCTACTAAAATACAGAAAAAAAAAAAATTAGCTGGGCATGGTGGCATGTGCCTGTAGTCTCAGCTACTCGGGAGGCTGAGGCTACTCGGGAGGCTGAGGCAGGATAATCGCTTGAACCTGGGAGGTGGAGGTTGCAGTGAGCTGATATCACACCACTGCACTCCAGCCTGATGACAGAGCGAGACTCCATCTCAAAAAAAAAAAAAGAAAATTTTTTTTTTATAGAGATGAGATCTCACTAGGTTGCCCACACTGGCCTTGAACTCCTCGGCTCAAGTGATCCTCCCGCTTCAGCCTTCCAAAGTGCTAGAATTACAAGCATGAGCTACTGCTCCCGGCCTGGTGTTCTGACTGGTCCAGTATGAGGCCTGAGGTCATGAGGAGTGTTGTCTGCTCTGCCCTAGTCCTTGAGGATTTTTTTTTTTTTTTGAGACGGAGCCTCACTCTGTCACCCAGGCTGGAGTGCAGTGGTGTAATCTCGGCTCACTGTAACCTCTGCCTTCCAGGCTGAAGTGATACTCCTGCCTCAGCCTCCCCAGTAGCTGGGATTACAGGCACCTACCACCACGCCCAGCTAATTTTTGTATTTTTAGTAGAGACGGGGTTTCACCATGTTGGCCAGGCTGGTCTTGAAATCCTGACCTCATGATCCTCCTGCCTTGGCCTCCCAAAGTACTGGGATTACAGGAATGAGCCACCTCACCCAGCTGGTCTTTGAGGATTAAGAGTCGAGGATTGGGGGCCGGGTGCGGTGGCTCACGCCTGTAATCCCAGCACTTTGGGAGCCTGAGGCAGGCGGATCACAATATCAGGAGATCGAGACCATCCTGGCTAACACGGTGAAACCCCGTCTCTACTAAAAATACAAAAACACAATTAGCCGGGCGTGGTGGCAGGTGCCTGTAGTTCCAGCTACTCGGGAGGCTGAGGTGGGAGAATGGCGTGAACCCGGGAGGCGGAGCTTGCAGTGAGCCGAGATCGCACCACTGCACTCCAGCCTGGGTGACAGAGCGAGACTCTGTCTCAAAAAAAAAAAAAAAAAAAAAAAGAGTTGAGGGTGGGGAAGTTGTGCAGGACAATCAGGGTGGGTATTTTAGGGAAATTTGGAGAGGACATGGGGGCGGGTATAACAGATGCCCATCTTGGGTCTGAGAGGGTGCTGCAGGGTCCCTGGGAAGGGAACACATCACTCCACCTGTGGGAGTCTGGGAAGGCTTCGCAAGGTTACCTTCCCTGCATCTCCTTCCCAAAGGGAAGGACATTTAGAGCTGGGCATTGAAGGATGAGTAGGAGTTCACTAAGTGGCAGCATGGGGTAAGGGTGAGCTTGTGATCCAGTGGGTAGTGAAGCAGGTATAGACAGAAAGCCCAATCATTGCTCATGGGTCCTATCTCTGTGTCCAGTGATGGTCCTTTCTGCCGGATCTGCCATGAGGGAGCGAACGGGGAGTGCTTGCTGTCCCCGTGTGGCTGCACCGGCACGCTGGGTGCCGTGCATAAGAGCTGTCTGGAGAAGTGGCTTTCCTCATCTAACACCAGCTACTGCGAGCTGTGCCACACGGAGTTTGCAGTGGAGAAACGGCCTCGACCCCTCACAGAGGTACCCTTAAGAGTCTGAGACTGCGGTGGGCAGTGGGGAGAGGGCAGACATGGGGGCCAAAGGCAGGAGCTGCCCCGGGCAATCTGGTGGTCCTCCTAGGGCAGAACTCCCTACCGCCCCTGTCCACCAGGTGGGTCTGCTGATGGTGTGTCAGAAACCAGGCCTAGGGTTTAAGAGCTCCCAGACCCATTAACCTCTCCCTGTTTTCATTCAGTCTTTCTTCTTCTTCTTTCTTCTTCTTCCTTCTCCTTCTTCTTTTTTTTGAGACAGAGTCTAACTCTTGTCCAGGCTGGAGTGCAGTGGTGCGATCTCGGCTCACTGCAACTTCTGCCTCCCAGGTTCAAGCGATTCTTCTGCTTCAGCCTCCCAAGTAGCTGGGATGACAGGCGTGCGCCACCATGCCCAGCTAATTTTCTGTATTTTTAGTAGAGATGCGGTTTCACCATGTTGGCCAGGCTGGTCTCGAACTCCTGACCTCAAGTGATCTGCCCACCTCAGCCTCCCAAAGTGCTGGGATTACAGGCATGAGCCACCGCTCCCAGCCTGTGTCTTTCATTAGCAGAGATTTCCTGGGCACCTCCAGCATGCCCAGCACTCTGTTAGGCACTGGGGACCCAGCCACCAACAAGACACGTAGGGCTGGGCACTCATGGAGATTAAAGTCCAGTAACTTTAATCTGGACTTCAAAGCATCGCTTCTGATATGAGGTTACAGAAAAAAAAAAAAAAAATCAACGAAGCAACTGGTTTCTGGGAGCAATAGTGCAGTAAGGGAAAAACATGTCACAGGGGGTGGGGCAACTTGGGGTGTCAGGCAAGGCCTCAAAAGGAGGTGAACCCCCCAGCTGAGGCCTGAGAGATGAAAAGGAACAAGCTGCCGGGCGCGGTGGCTCATGCCTGTAATCCCAGCACTTCGGGAGGCCGAGGCGGGCAGATCACTTGAGGTCAGGAGTTCGAGACCAGCCTGGCCAACATGGTGAAACCCCGTCTCTACTAAAAATACAAAAAATACAAAAAAAAAAAAAAAAAGTCCAGACACGGTGGCTCACGCCTGTAATCCTAGCACTTTGGGAGGCCAAGATGCATGGATCACCTGAGGTCAGGAGTTAAAGACCAGCCTGGCCAACATGGGAAAACCCTGTCTCTACTAGCTATACAAAATTAGCCAGGTGTGGGCTGGGCACGGTGGCTCATGCCTGTAATCCCAGCACTTGGGGAGGCCGAGGCGGGCGGATCACGAGGTCAGGAGATCAAGACCTTCCTGGCTAACATGGTGAAACCCCATCTCTACTAAAAATACAAAAAATTAGCCGGGCGTGGTTGCAGGTGCCTATAGTCCCAGCTACTCGGGAGGCTGAGGCAGGAGAATGGCCTGAATCCAGGAGGCGGAGCTTGCAGTGAGCTGAGATCAGGCCACTGCACTCCAGCCTGGGCGACAGAGTGAGACTCCATCTCAAAAAAAAAAATTAGCCAGGTATGGTGGTGGGTGCCTATAATCCCATCCACTAGGGAGGCTGAGGCAGGAGACTGGCTTGAACCCTAGGGAGGCTGAGGCAGGAGAATTGCTTGAACCCTAGGGAGGCTGAGGCAGGAGAATTGCTTGAACCCGGGAGGCGGAGGTTGCAGTGAGCTGAGACTAAGCCACTGCACTCCAGCCTGGGTGACAAAGCAAAACTCTGTCTCAAACGATGAGGAAAAAGCTAGGTGTGGTGGCGCATGCCTGTAATCCCAGCTACTTGGGAGGCTGAGGCAGGAGAATCACTTAAAGCTGGGAGGCGGAGTTTGCAGTGAGTTGAGATAGCGCCACTGCACTCCAGCCTGGGCAACAGATTGAGACTCTATCTCAAAAAAAAAAAAAAAAAAAAAAAAAAAAAAAAAACCAAGGCTGGACGTGGTGGCTCACAATCCCAGCACTTTGGGAGGCAGAGGTGGGTGGATCACCTGAGTTCAGGAGTTCGAGACCAGCCTGGCCAATGTGGTAAAACACCGTCTCTACTAAAAATACAAAAATTAGCTGGGCATGGTGGCGGGGGCCTGTAATCCCAGCTTGAACCCGGAAGGCGGAGGTTGCAGTGAGCCAAGATTGCACCACAGCACTCCAGCCTGGGCAACAAGAGCGAAACTCCGTCTCAAAAAACAAAAAACAAAAACCCTAGAAAAGCCCCTGGCCCACCTAGGAGCCAGAGTGTAGGGAGAAAAGTGGGAGGGAGGTCCAGCCCCTTCACACACCCTCCCACACCCACTTTGGTCTCCGTGCTACAGCCACACAGCCCCCTCCCCACACATCTTGTCTAGGCCGCCTCCCCCTATCCCAGGGCCTTTGCATCTGCCGCCCCTGCAGCCTAGAGCCCCATCTCCCCCATTCTTCACGTGGTTCCTTCTGTTCATTCCGTTCTCTTCAATGTCACCTCCTTGGCAAGGCCTTGCCCCATGTGACCGTTCACCCATTTCATACCTCCACTGCCAGCATGGGAGGGCAGGGGCCCTTTCTGTCTCATCCACCAGAATTTCATGAATTAAGCCCATTTCTTGGCTGGGTGTGGTAGCTCATGCCTGTAATCCCAGCACTTTGGGAAGCCAAGGTGGGAAGATCACTTGAGGCCAGGAGTTCAAGACCAGCCTGGGCAACACAGCAAGACCCTGTCTCTACAAAAAAATCAAAGAAATGAAAGAACTTATTATTATTATTATTATTATTATTATTATTATTATTATTTTGAGACAGAGTCTTACTCTGTCACCCAGGCTGGAGTGCAGTGGCACGATCTTGGCTTACTGCAACCTCCACCTCCTGGGTTCAAGCAATTCTCCTGCCTCAGCCTCCTGAGTAGCTGGGATTATAGGTGCGTGCTACCACGCCCAGCTAATTTTGTATTTTTAGTAGAGGCAGGGTTTCTCCATGTTAGCCAGGCTGGTCTTGACCTCCTGGCCTCAAGTGATCCACCCACTTTGGCCTGCCAAAGTGCTAGGATTACAGACGTGAACCACCACACCAGGGCTTTTTTTTTTTTTTTTTTTTTTTAGCCCATTTCTTTTGGCCTGTCATCTGGGGAAGGCCAAGCGTAGTAGATTAGTAGCCAAAGACGCTTCGGCCCTGGAGCAAGACTTCCCAGGTTGGAACCCCAGCTTTGTGGACTATGTAGCTGTGTGAGTTTGCTCACTTGAGTTAATTCCTCTGTGCCTCAGTTTCCCCATCTGTAAAATGGGGGTAAATGTGCCCAGCACCTGGCAGGGCCTGGCTCCTCATGGGCTCAATAAATGTTTGAAAGAAGGAAAGGGCCAGGCGTGGTGGCTCACACCTGTAATCCCAGAACTTTGGAAGGCCGAGGTGGGCAGATCACTTAAGGTCACAAGTTCGAGACCAGCCTGACAAACATGGTGAAACCCCATCTCTACTAAAAATACAAAATTAGCAGGGCATGGTGGCGCTTGCCTATAATCCCAGCTACTCGGGAGGCTGAGGTGGGAGAATCGCTTGAACCTGGGATGTTGAGGTTGCAGTGAGCCGAGATCGTGCCACGGCACTCCAGCCTGGCTGACAGAGCGAGACTCTGTCTCAAAAAATATATATACATACAAAATTAGCCGTGCATGGTGGCGCTTGCCTGTAATCCCAGCTACTCCGGTGGCTGAGACAGGAGAATTGCTTAAACCCAGAAGGTCGAGGTTGCAGTGAGCCGAGATCACACCATTGCACTCCATCCTGGGCAACAGAGTGAGAATCTGTCTCAAAAAAAAAAAAAAGAAAGAAGGAAAGGACAGAGGGAGGCCTAGGCCTGGAGGTCCTTACCCCTCCCCCTCAGTAGCCCCTTCTCTGCCCCCTCTCCTCTGCCCCCTATCCTCTCCCCTGCAGTGGCTGAAGGACCCGGGGCCGCGGACGGAGAAGCGGACACTGTGCTGCGACATGGTGTGTTTCCTGTTCATCACACCGCTGGCCGCCATCTCAGGCTGGTTGTGCCTGCGCGGGGCCCAGGACCACCTCCGGCTCCACAGCCAGCTGGAGGCCGTGGGTCTCATTGCCCTCACCATCGCCCTCTTCACCATCTATGTCCTCTGGACGCTGGTGAGTGGCTGTGGTTGTGCAGCACGCGTCTCGAGCTCTGCCGCTGGGAGCAGCAGGGCCAAGGATTTGGCCCCTGGCTTGTGGGGCACGGGGCTCCCTGGCTGCCTCTGTCTATGGCCGTGGGTGGAAGAGAGCTTCTGAGGTCACCCTGCCTCTCCAGGAGCTTGAGATTCCAAATGTGACAAAGGTCTAGGGAATCCCTGAGCCAGGTGTGAACCTTGACCTGAGTGCAGGAACCCCCATCCATGAACCCCCAAGATTAGGAGTGGGGCAGAGAGGAGCAAAAGCCTGAGAGAGAGATCGGGGGAGAACAAGATAGTGGGGAAATATATATTGATTAAGAAATTGAGGCTGGGCATGGTGGCTCACGCCTGTAATCCCAGCACTTTGGGAGGCCAAGGTGGGTGGATCACCTGAGGTAGGGAGTTCAAGACCAGCCTAACCAGCATGAAGAAACCCCATCTCTACTAAAAATACAAATTAACCAGGTGTGGTGGCACATGCTTCTAATCCCAGCTACTTGGGAGGCTGAGGCAGGAGAATTGCTTGAACTCGGGAGGCGGAGGTTGCAGTAAGCCTAGATCATGCCATTGCACTCTAGCCTGTGTAAAAAGAGCGAAACTCGATCTCAAAAAAAAAAAAAAAAAAAAAAGGAAAAAAGAAAAAAGAAAGAAATTGAAAGGGAAAACCCAGGCACAGTGGCTTACTCCTTTAATCCCAGCACTTTGGGAGGCCAAGGCAGGTGGATCATCTGAGCCCAGGAGTTCAAGACCAGCCTGGCCAACATGGTGAAACCTTGTCTCTACTAAAAATACAAAAATTTAGCTGTGCGTGGTGGTGGGTGCCTGTAATCCCAGCTACTCGGGAGGCTGAGGCAGGAGAATCACGTGAACCCGGGAGGCAGAGGTTGCAGAGAGCCGATATTGCGCCACTGCACTCCAGCCTGGGCGACAAGAGCAAAACTCTGTCTCAATAAAAATAAAAACAAAAATAAATTGAAAGAGGAAAGCCAGGTGCGGTGGCTCATGCCTGTAATCCCCATACTTTGGGAGGCTGAGGCAGGCGGATTCCTTGAGGTCAGGAGTTTGAGACCAGCCTGGCCAACATGGTGAAACCCCATCTCTACTAAAAATACAAAAAATTAACCTGGTGTGGTGGCATGTGCCTGTCATCCCAGCTACTAGGGAAGTTGAGGCAGGAGCATCGCTTAAACCCAGAAGCCAGAGGTTGCAATGAGCTGAGATCCTGCTACTGTACTCCAGCCTGGGCGACAGAGTGAGATTCTGTCTTTAAAAAAAGAAAAAGAAAGAAAGAAAAGAAAAGAAAAATTGAAGGGGAAGAGAGAGAGGAACTGAGATGAAAACACTGAGTGAGGCCAGGCCCAGTGGTTGTAACATCTGCAGTCCTAGCACACTGGGAGGCTGAGGCAGGAAGATTGCTTGAAGCAAGAAGGTTCAAGACCAGGACGGGGCAACAAAGCCAGATGCCCATCTCTATAAAAAATTTAAAAATTAGTGGTGGTGTGCACTTACACTCTCAGCTACTCTGGAGGCCAAGGTGGGAAGATCTCTTGAGGTTAGGAGTTTTAGACTAGCAGGGCAACTTAGGGAGACCCCATCTCTACAAAAGGAAAATAATTAGCTGGGCATGTTGGCTCACACCTGTAATCCCAATATTTTAGGAGGCCGAGGTGGGAAAATCCCTTGAGGCCAGGAGTTCAAGACCAGCCTGGGCAACATAGAAAGACCCCGTGGCTACAAAAAATTTTAAAAAATTAGCTGGGCATGGTGGCACATGCCTGTAGTCCCAGCTACCTGGGAGGCTGAGTCAGGAGGATCACTTGAGCCCAAGAATTTGAGGCTGCAGTGAGCTGTGATCACACTACTATACTCCACCCTGGGTGACAAAGCAAGACCCAGTATCAAAAAAAGATAAAAAGCCTGGGTGCAGTGCTTCTGCCTGTAATCCCAGTATTTTGGGAGGCTGCAGCAGGAGGATCACCATAGCCCATGAGTTCAAGATCAGCCTGGGCAAGATGGTGAGACCCCATCTCAAAAAATAATAATAGGGGCTGGGCATGGTGACTCACGCCTGTAATCCCAGCACTTTAGGAGGTTGAGGCAGGCAGATTGCTTGAGCTTACGAGTTTGAGACCAGCCTGGGCAAAGTGGCAAAACCCCATCTCTAGAAAAAATACAAAAGTTTGTCGGCCGTGGTGGTGCGTGCCTGCAGTCTCAGCTACTCCGGAGGGTGAGGTGGAGGATCGCTTGAGCACTGGAGGCAGAGGTTGCAGTGAGCCGAGATTGCACCACTGAACTTCAGCCTGGGTGATAGAGCCTGACCTTGTCTCGAAGAAAATAATAATATTAATAAAAGAAAAAGGAAAAAAAAAAGGCTGGGTGCAGTGGCTCATGCCTGTAATCCCAGCACTTTGGGAGGCTGAGGGGGGCATATCACTTGAGGTCAGGAGTTCAAGACCAGCCTGAGAAACATGGTGAAACCCCGTTTCTACTAAAAATACAAAAAATTGGCCAGGCACGGTGGCTCACGCCTGTAATTCCAGCACTTTGGGAGGCTGAGGCGGGTGGATCACGAGGTCAGGAGTTCAAGACCAGCCTGACTAACATGGTGAAACCGTGTCTCTACTAAAAATACAAAATTAGCTGTGTGTGGTGGCACATGCCTGTAATCCCAGCTACTCAAGAGGCTGAGGCAGGAGAATCGATTGAACCTGGGAGGCAGATGTTGCAGTGAGCTGAGATTGCACCATTGCACTCCAACCTGGGCAACAGAGCAAGACTCCGTCTCAAAAAAAAAAAAAAAAAAGAAAAGAAAAGAAAAGAAAAATTAGCCAGGTGTGGTGGCACATGCCAGTAATCCTAGCTACTCGGGAGGCTGAGGCACAAGAATCACTTGAATTTGGGAGGTGGAAGTTACAGTGAGCCAAGATCGTGCCACTGCACTCCAGCCTGGGTGCCTGAGTGACAGAATAAGACTCTGTCTCAAAAAAAAAAAAAAGAAAAAAAGCCTGAATGAGAGACAGACAGAATGATGGGGGTGTGAGGTATTGTTCTAGGCCTCTGGTAGGCAGCAGAACCCTTGCTTAGAGGCAAAAGCTCCCCCAAATCTCACCCCTCAGACATAACCACTATTGTCCAGCTGTAGGGGAGTCCCTGCCTCACAAAGTATTTTTCAATGAACCTACCAGCATTTCTTTTTTTTTTTTTTTTTTTTTGAGACGGGGTCTTGCTCTGTCACCCAGGCTAGAGTGCAGTGGCACAATGTTGGCTCACTGCCATCTCCGCCTCCTGGGCTCAAGCGATTCTCCTGTCTCAGCCTCCTGAGTAGCTGGGATTACAGGCATGTGCCACCACACCCAGCCAATTTTTATATTTTTAGTAGAGACGGGGTTTCGCCATGTTGGCCAGGCTGGTCTCGAACTCTTGACCTCAGGTATCCACCCACCTTGGCCTTCCAAAGTGCTGAGATTACAGGCATGAACCATCGCGCCCTGCCCCTACCAGCATATTTTAAAATATGTAAATAGGATGAAATCATAGCTACTGTTTTAGCATCTGCTTGTTTTCATTTTGCTGGTGTTCTTTAAAAAAAAAAACCCACACACACAACGAGGCAGCCACCCAGCAGACATTCATTGTATGGGTGGACCATATTTATTTAACAAATCACTTTTGACAGGCACTGGGATTTTTTCCAATGTGTGTGTGGTTTTATTTCTACTTCCTTGTTTTTTCCATTATGAACAGTGCTTTGGGACTGTCCATGCAAATGTTTCTTGGGAACTTGCTTGGTCAAAGGATGTGAACCACTGACCTTTATTTATTTATTTATTTATTTAGCCGGAGTCTCACTGTGTCGCCCAGGCCAGAGTGCAATGGTGCAATCTCAGTTTACTGCAACTTCCGCCTCCCGGGTTCAAGCAGTCCTCATGCCTCAGCCTCCCGAGTAGCTGGGATTAAGGCATCTGCCACCATGTCTGGCTAATTTTTGTATTTTTAGTAGAGACGAGTTTTCACCATGTTGGCCAGGCTGGTCTCGAACTCCTGGACTCAGGTGATCTGCCCACCTTGGCCTTCCAAAATGCTGGGATTATAGGCGTGAGCCATTGCGCTAAGCAACATTTATTTTTTAATTTTTTTTTTTTTTTTTGAGACAGAGTCTCGCTCTGTCACCAGGCTAGAGTGTAGTGACGCGATCTTGGCTCACTGCAACTTCTGCCTCTCAGGTTCAAGCAATTATCCTGCCTCAGCCTCCCGAGTAGCTGGGACTACAGGTGTGCGCCACCATGCCCAGATAATTTTTTTTATTTTTAGTAGAGACAGGGTTTCACCATGTTGGCCAGGATGGTCTCGATTTCTTGACCTCGTGATCCGCCCGTGTCTGCCTCCCAAAGTGCTGGGATTACAGGTGTGAGCCACCACACTAGGCCATTTTTAAATTTTTTTATAGACTAATTTTTAGAGCAATTTTAGGTTCACAGCAAAATTTAGCAGAAAGTACAGAGAGTTCCTGTATATCACCCTGCTCCATACGCACACAACTTGCACAGCCTCCCCCACTATTAACATCGTTTACCCAAGCAGTGCATTTGTTACAATCAGTGAACCTTCATTATCCCTTTAAAGCCATAGTTCACATTAGGATTCACTTCTTTTGTTTGTTTGTTTTGAGATGGTATCTCGCCCTGTCTCTCAGACTGGAGTGCAGTGGTGTGATCTCCGCTCACTGCAACCTCTACCTCCTGGGCTCAAGCGATCCTCCCACCTCGGCCCTCCCAAGTAACTAGGACCATAGGTGCCCACTACCACACCTGGCTAGTTTTTGTATTTTTTGTAGAGACAGTGTTTTGCTATGTTGTTGTATCTGGTCTTAAACTCCTGGGCTCAAACCTTGGCTTCCCAGAGTGCTGGGATTATAGGTGTGAGCCACTGCACCTGGCCTGTGTGTGTGTGTGTGTGTGTGTGTGTGTGTGTGTGTGGCGGGGAGGGGATAGGATTGTTCTTTGTCACCCAGGCTGCAGTGCAGTGTGGCGTGATCATGGCTCACTGCAGCCTCAACCTCCCAGGCTCAATTGATCCTCCCACCTCAGCTTCCTGAGTAGCTAGTATTACAGATGTGTGCACCACGCCTGGCTAATTTTTGTATTTTTTTGGTGGAGACCGGGTTTTGCCATGTTGCCCAGGCTAGGAGTTGACTCTTGCTGTTGGACATTTATAAGTTTTGATGAATGTATAATGACATGTATTCACTATTTTTTTTTTTGGGGGGGACAGAGTCTCACTGTGTGCCAGGCTGGAGTGCAGTGGTGCGATCTTGGCTCACTGCAACTTCCGCCTCCTGGGTTCAAGCGATTCTCCTGCCTCAGCCTCCCGAGTAGCTGGGACTACAGGCCTGTGCCACCACGCCCAGCTAATTTTTGTATTCTTATTGGAGATGGGGTTTCACCATGTTGGCCAGGATGGTCTCGATCTCTTGACCTCGTGATCTGCCCACCTTGGCCTCCCAAAGGGCTAGGATTACAGGTGTGAGCCACTGCACCCAGCCATATTCACCATTATAATATCAGACAGAGTAGTTTCGTTGCCCTAAAAGTCCTCTGTGCTCTCTCTATTCATGCCACCCTCCTTTTCCCCAAGCCCTATCCACTGCTGATCTTTTTACTGTCTCCATGGTTTAGCCTTTTCCAGAATGTCCTATAGTTGGAGTCATTCAGTATGCAGCATCTTCAGGTTGGTTTATTTCATTTGGTGATAAGCATTTAAGGTTATTTTCGTGGCTTAAGGGCTTTCTTTTTTTTTTTTTTTTTTTTTTTGAGGCAGAGTCTCGCTCTTTCACCCAGGCTGGAGTGAAGTGGAGCGATCTCGGCTTACCGCAGCCTCCGCACCCCTCCCCCACAGGTTCAAGCGATTCTCTTGCCTCAGCCTCCTGAGTAGCTGGAATTACAGGCACCCGCCACCATGCCTGGCTAATTTTGTATTTTTAATAGAGATGGGATTTCTCCATGTTGGTCAGGCTGGTCTCAAACTCTGGACCTCAGGTGATCCACCCACCTTGGCCTCCCAAAGTGCTGGGATTACAGGTTTGAGCCACTGCGCCCAGCATTTTTTTTTTTTTTTTTGAGACAGGATCTCACTCTGTTGGATTGCAGTGGCGTGAGCACAGCTTGCTGCAGCGTCAACCTCCAGGGCTCAAATGATTCTCCTACCCCAGCCTCCTAAGTAGCTGGGACCACAGGCCTGGGCCACCACACCTGGCTAATTTTTAAATATTTGGTAGAGACAAGGTCTCGCTATGTTGCCTAGGCTGGCCTTCGACTCCTGAGCTCAAGTGGTCCCCACGCCTCGACCTCCTAAAGTGCTGGGATTACAGGCATGAGCCACCTTACCCAGCTTCGTTTCTTTTTAGCACTGAATAAGATCTCATTATCTGGAAGCACCACTGTTTATTTATTCATTCACCTATTTTTTTTTTTTTTTTTTTTGAGACGGAGTCTCGCTCTGTCGCCCAGGCTGGAGTGCCGTGGTGCGATCTCGGCTCACTGCAAGCTCTGCCTCCCAGGTTCACACCATTCTCCTGCCTCAGCGTCCCGAGTAGCTGGGATTACAGGCGCCCACCACCACGGCCGGCTAATTTTTTGTATTTTCAGTAGAGATGGCGTTTCACCGTGTTAGCCAGGATGGTCTCGATCTCCTGACCTCATGATCCACCTGCCTTGGCCTCCCAAAGTGCTGGGATTACAGGCGTGAGCCACCACGCCTGGCCTCATTCACCTATTGAGTGACTTTTTTTTTTTTAAACTTTTTTTTTTTGTTTGCACGTTCTGGTTGCACGTTTTGGCAATTATGTGACTGATTTACATTAAAAAAATTTTTTTGAGACAGGGTCTCACTCTGTCGCCCAGGCTGGAGTGCAGTGGCGTGATTTCGGCTCACTGCGGCCCATATCTCCCAGGCTCAGGCGATTCTCCTGCCTCAGCCTCCCAAGTAGCTGGGACTACAGGTCCGTGCCACCACGCCAGGCTAATTTTTGTATTTTTAGTAGAGACGGGGTTTTTAGTAGAGACAGGGTTTCTCCATGTTGCCCAGGCTGATCTTGAACTCCTGAGCTCAAGTGATCTTCCCCCGTGCCCGGGCTCCCAAACTACTGGGATTACAGGTGTGAGCCACCTCGCCCGGCCTGATTGATTGACATTTAATGCCTTCCAAGAGGCTGTTTCACTCCTTTCCCACTGAGAGGCAGGAAAGGAGCTCCCGTTTGCTTCCTGCTGGTGTGTGTGGGGTGTATCTTGTCTTTGCAGGACTCTGGAAGCTGGTGGGTGTCACCAGGAGTGTGAATGGGTCTGTGTGTGTGCACTTTGTGGGAGGAATGTTCATAAGCCAGCTCTGCTTCTGGAAGCATGAGCCCCAGCCATGGTTTGGGCCAACGCAGGTGCCACCACGGCGACTTGTTTTCCTCCCTTGCGGGTGGAGGCCTCCGCTCACTGCAGGGCTGCCCCACAGGTCTCCTTCCGCTACCACTGCCAGCTGTACTCCGAGTGGAGAAAGACCAACCAGAAAGTTCGCCTGAAGATCCGGGAGGCGGACAGCCCCGAGGGCCCCCAGCATTCTCCACTGGCAGCTGGACTCCTGAAGAAGGTGGCAGAGGAGACACCAGTATGAATGCTGGGCTCTCCGGACCCTGCAGCAGAGAGGCCAGAGGTAGCTGGTGATACCCTGTCCTGTGGAAGGACTTCCACTTCAACACTTCCACTTCAACAGTTCCCGCACGGCCTGAACGCTTCTTAGGCCAAGAGACACCATGCAGAGCCTAGTCTGTGATCCTGTGTGAAGATATTTTCAGGGTTTTTTTTTTTTTTTTTTTGCATATGGAGGACAGGTGGACATGGTCCTGAGCTCTGGACGGAGCAGGCACCCTGATCTCATTCTGAGGTCCACATGGCACCTTCTGGGCCAGCAGCTGTGGCCGGTGTATCAAGGGCGCCCTTAAAGCTGGAACATTCCAGCAAGCTTCTTGCGCTTCTCTGCACCCGGCAGGCCCACTTTCCTGGCACCCTCGACTTTATATAAAAGTTGCACTGCGTTTCAAAAACCCACCCCTGAATGAATAAAAGGAGCCCTGGCTGGACAAAATGGACTTGTCAGTTATGTTTCTCAAAGGAGGCCTCCCAGGGAGGGACCACATGGAGGTAAAAAAATAACACTGGCGGCCAGCCAGGTGTAGTGACTCACTCCTGTAATCCCAGCACTTTGGGAGGCTGAGGTGGGTGGATCACAAGGTCAAGAGATCGAGACCATCCTGGCTAACATGGTGAAACCCTGTCTCTACTAAAAATATAAAAATTACTTGGGCATGGTGGTGCGCGCCGGTAATCCCAGGTGCTACACAGGAAGCTGATGCAGGAGAATCGCTTGCACCTGGGAGGTGGAGGTTGCAGTGAGCTGAGATGGCGTCACTGCACTCCAACCTGGCGACAGAGAGAGACTCCATCTCCAAAACAAAACAAAACAAAACAACAACAAAAAACACTGGTTGGCCAGGCACAGTGGCTCATGCATGGAATTCCAGCACTTTGGGAGGCTGAGGTGGGCGGATCACAAGGTCAGGAGTTCGAGACCAGCCTAGCCAATATGGTTAAATCTCGTCTCTACTAAAAATACAACATGAGCCAGGCGTGGTGGCAGATACCTGTAGTCCCAGCTACTCGGGAGGCTGAGGCAGGAGAATCGCTTGAACCCGGGAGGCAGGGGTTGCCGTGAGCCAAGATCGCACCATTGCACTCTAGCCTGGGTGAGACAGCGAGACTCTGTCTCAAAAAAAATAAAATAAAATAAAAAACAATAAAAACCACTGGCTTGTTTTGAGGGATCTGTTCTGAAGCCCATGGGAAGAAGCAAAGGCTCAGTCTTCAAGTAAAAATCAGGTAGCAGGGTTATAAAAATGATTTTTAAAATATACATACGGGCTGGGCATGGTGGCTCATGCCTGTAATCACACTTTGAGAGGCCGAGATGGGTGGATCACCTGAGGTCAGGAGTTCGAGACCAGCCTGGCCAACATGGTGAAACCCCATCTCTACTAAAAATACAAAAATTAGCTGGGCGTGGAGACGCACACCTGTAATCCCAGCTACTCGGGAGGCTGAGGCAGGAGAATGGCTTGAACCTGGGAGACAGAGGTTGCAGTTAGCTGAGATCAGTTGCACCACTGCATTTCAGACTGGGTGACATCGTGAAACTCTGTCTCAAAAAATAAAAAATAGAAAAATAAAATAGACATAAGAACAATTTCCTCTTACTTTGCATCTGCCAGTCCACAGACCATGCTGGCCTCTGTTTTTCTTTTTTTGAGATGGGGTCTTGCTCTGTCACCCAGATTGGAGTGCAGAGGCACAATCACACAGCTCACTCCAGCCTCGACCTCCTGGGCTCAGGCAATCCTGTCTCAGCCTCCCTGGCAGCTGGGACAACAGGCATGCACCACTGCGCCTAGCCACTGTTAGTTTTTAGTTAAGTGTAGAGAGTCCAGCATGGGCCAGGCCTGGTGGCTGATGCCTGTAATCCCAGCATTTTGGGAGGCTTCGGCAGGAGGATCAGTTGAGCCTAGGAGTTTGAGACCAGCCTTGGCAACATAGTGAGACCCTGTCTTTACTAAATAAATAAATATATAAATATATATATATTAGCTGGGCATGGTGGCATGCACCTGTGGTCACAGTTACTCAGGAGGCTGAGGTGGGAGGATCCCTTGAATCCAGGAGTTCCAGGCTGCAGTGAGCTATAATTATACTTCTGTTGTCTATTCTAGGCAACAGGGCAAGACCCTGTCTCTAAAGCAAACAAACAATTTTTTAAAAATGGTGACAATATCCACGCTGACTTAGGGTGACTATAGATTAGGCATAGTTCCGAGTCTCTCCCTCCTTTGACTGTCACTTGTTAGGGAAGAAGTGGTTATTACCTACATTTTACAGGTGAGAAGACTGAGGCCCAGGGCAGGGAAGCCTTAATCTAAGGTCTCAGAGCTGTAGGAAGTGGAGCCGGGGTGACACCAGGACTCCTTTTGGAGGAAGACTCAGGAAAGATGCAGAATACGTGTTTTTTTTTTTTTTTTTTTTTTTTTTTGAAACAGAGTCTTACTCCATCACCCAGGTTGGAGAGCAGTGGCGTGATCTTGGTGATCTTGGCTTACTGCAACCTCTGCCTCCCGGGTTCAAGTGATTCTCTCTTGCCTCAGCCTCCCAAGTAGCTGGGACCACAGGCAGCTAAGTTTTGTATTTTTAGTAGAGATGAAGTCTTGTCATGTTGACCAGGCTGGTCTCGAACTCCTGACCTCAGGTGATTCACCTACCTCGGCCCCCTAAAGTGCTGGGATTACAGGCGTGAGCCACCGAGCCTGGCCCAGAATGCAGTTAATCTAATAACAACACCTACTTCTTCAGCGCTTTCTGCCTGCCGATTCTTTTATATTTAAAGGCTCTTGGCATCTGTCTGCTTTTAAAGCTCAGGGCAACCCTGAAAGGTGAGTTCTGGTGCCTTTCTTTCTTTCTCTCTCTCTCTCTCTCTCTTTCTTTTCTTTCTTTCTTTCGACGGAGTCTCGCCCTGTTGCCCAGGCTAGAGCGCAGTGGCACTATCTCTGCTCACTGCAACCTCCACCTCCCGAGTTCAAGCAATTATCCTGTCTCAGCCTCCTGAGTAGCTGGGACTACAGGCGCCAACCATCATGCCTGGCTAATTTCTGTATTTTTAGTACAGATGGGGTTTCGCCATATTGGCCAGGCTGGTATTGAACTCCTGACCTCAAATGATCCACCTGACTCGGCCTCTCAAACTGCTAGGATTACAGGCGTGAGCCACCGTGCCCAGCCTGGTGCATTGCATTTCTTATTATCCATATTTTCAGTTAAGCAAACTGAGCCTCAGAGTGGAGGAGCTGATTGCTCAAGGTCTGTTTTCCATATGAATCCCTGCCTGGTATGTAGCTCACTCACAAAGGAAGAAAAACTTTCTGCCTGGACTGGAAGGGCAAGGAGAAGCCTGTGTGGCCATGGGAGTGGAGGAAACAGCTAAGCACAAAGGCCCAGAGGCTGGAAACTGCTTAGCCTGTAGGAAGAGCAGCAGGGAGGAACCCCAGGGCTGGAGCAGTGTGATTGAGGGGCAGGTGGCTGGAGAGATGGGCAGGGCCTCCTAGGCATGGGGTGACTGACGCACCAGTGGTCTGCAAAAACGGAGCATCACACCAGTGCGCATGAGCTCTCCTGCCCCTTGGGGGGGCCTTCCTTGCTCCTGCAGCTGAACTCCCTACACAGCCTGACACCCATCTTTCCTCAGGCCAACTTTGGCCTGTGGTGCCCCAGGAGTTGATGTACAGATGCCTCAGGACATGCCATGAGGAAGAGAGAGACGAGATGGGGTGACTCATGCCTGAAATCCCAGCACTTTAGGAGGCCAAGGCAGGAGGATTGCTTGAAGGCTGGGAGTTAGAGACCAGCCTGGCCAACATAGCAAGACCCTGTCTCTACAAAAAGAGAAAGAAACAGAGAGAGAGAGAAGGAAAAGTGTTTTCTTTGCAAATCTATTCTAATACTTTCATAGAGAAGAGTTTTAGTTTGGTGTTAACCTGTCTTTAATAATCCTCTAAGGACCAGCACAGTGGCTCACGCTTATAATCCCAGCACTGTGGGAGGCCAAGGCTGTAGGATCCCTTGAGCTCAGGAGTTCGAGACCATCCTGGGAAAAACGGCAAGACCCTATCTGTACCAAAAAATAAAAATAAAAAATTAGCCAAGTGCAGCGGCGTGCACCTACAGTCCCAGCTACTTGACAGGCTAAGCAGGGGAGGATCGCTTGAGTTCAGGAGTTCAAGGTTGCAGTGAGCTATCATTTACAAAGGTAGATTGAAATATTATTGATAGGCTGGGCACGGTGACTCACACCTGTAATCCCAGCACTTTGGGAGGCTGAGGTGGGCAGATCACCTGAGGTCAGGAGTTTGAGACTAGTTTGGCCAGCATGGCAAAACCCCATCTCTACTAAAAAATACAAAACTTAGCCAGGCGTCGTGGTGTGCACCTGTAATCCCAGATACTTGGAAAGCTGATGCAGAAGAATCGCTTGAAATCAGGAGGCGGAGGTTGCAGTGAGCTGAGATGGTGCCACTGCACTCCAGCCTCTGTGACAGAGCAAGACTGTCTCCAAAAAAAGAAAAAAATATATTATTGATAATCGCTGCATTGAAGGCCAGGCGCAGTGGTTTACGCCTACAATCGCAGCACTTTGGGAGCCTGAGGCAGGCGGATCACGAGGTCAGGAGTTCGAGACCAGCCTGACCAATATGATGAAACCTTGTCTCTACTAAAAATACAAAAGTTAGCCGGGCGTGGTGGCATGCACCTGTAATCCCAGCTACTCGGGAGGCTGAGACAGGAGAATCGCTTGAACCCAGGAGGCGGAGGTTGCAGCGAGCCGAGATGGCGCCATTGCACTCCAGTCTGGGCAACAAGAGCGAAACTCCGTCTCAAAAAGATAATCGCTGCATCTTACTGCCCAAGTTGCCACAAGCACACGTAACATCTGATGGTGCCAATTCGACTGTCTGCACTTGGAAAATGGCACATTGGAGGCTGCACAGCACCATAAAACTGATGCCACGAATGCACACAAAAATAAGACCATACAGCATTATGCCTAGTACAGAATACACCCTGAATTCTGTCACAGTTCACTTTATGCAACATTGCAAGAGTCCTCTCGCTCTTTATTATTATTTTTAATTTTTTTGAGATGGGGTCTCACTCTGTGACCAGGCTGGAGTGCAGTGGCCCGATCTTGGCTCACTGCAACCTCCTCCTCCTGGGTTGAAGCGATTCTCCTGCCTCAGGCTCCCCAGTAGCTGGGATTATGGGCGCCTGCCACCACACCCGGCTAATTTTTGTATTTTTAGTAGAGACAGGGTTTCATCATGTTGGCCAGGATGGTCTGATCTCTTGACCTCGTGATCCACCCGCCTTGGCCTCTCAAAGTGGTAGGATTACAGGCGTGAGCTGCCGCGCCCAGCCATTAATTTTTTTTTTAATTTTGTTTTTAACTTTTAGGTTTGGGGGTAAATGTGAAGGTTTGTTAAATAGGTAAACACTTGTCATGGAGGTTTGTTGTACAGATTATTTCATCACCCAGGTATTAAGCCCAGTACTCAATACTTATCTTTTTGTTTTTTGAGATGGAGTCTCAGTCTATCTCCCAGGCTGCGGTGCAGTGGCGTGATCTCGGCTCACTGCAACCTCCGGCTCCTGGGTTCAAGCGATTCTCCTGCTTCAGCCTCCCGAGTAGCTGGGATTACAGGCGCCCGCCACCACGTCCAGCTAATTTTTTTATTTTTAGTAGAGACGCGGTTTCACCATGTTGGCCAGTCTGGTCTCGAACTCCTGACCTCAGGTGATCCGCCGCCTCGGCCTCCCATACCCAAAGTGCTGGGATTACAGGAGTGAGCCATCGCGCCTGGCCCCATTATTAGTGAATTTTAACAGTTTTCCGTTTCTTCTGGACGAACTGTTTGCAATTATAATGCGAATTACGGATAATACTCTGATATTATTCCATGCCGTTCCGTTGTTGCCTACAAAGTTCGCGCTGGAGAACCGCGCAATTGCGTTACAAAAAGAAAAAAATCACACAAAAAGACACAATGTTTTAAGAAAGTTTACGAATCGTGTGCCGGACCGCGGGTTGAACAAGCTTCATCTAAAACTTCCAGGAATCTCTAGACAGGATCATTGCTTCCCCTCTGCTCCAGCTCTGGTTACAGAAAGCTGAGAGTGACTAGGTCTAGGTGTTTGTGTGGGGTGGGGTGGGGAGATGCCTCCTCTATCGGACTCAGAGGACGCGCGCCGGGAACAGCCAGTCGGTGCCTAACGCGAGTGTATCTCGAGAGAGAAGCGATCAACAGCTGCCGGTCTGCGCCTGCGCGCGGCGGGGGCGTGGCCCGGGGCGAGTGGGGCCAAGGAGGCAGCCGGGAGCGGCGGGCGCAGGTGTTACTGGTTGCGTCGGGTCACGTGGGCGCGCAGGCGCAGCGCGGTGCAGCCCGTTCGCTCACACAAAGCCCAGACGCGGAGAAAATGGCGGCAGGGGTCGAAGCGGCGGCGGAGGTGGCGGCGACGGAGATCAAAATGGAGGAAGAGAGCGGCGCGCCCGGCGTGCCGAGCGGCAACGGGGCTCCGGGCCCTAAGGGGTGAGTATCCCACGGTCCTTTGCCACGGGTAAGGGTTCCTCTCCGCGGCCGACGCGGGCGGCGGCTCCGTTAGGTCTGTTGGCGGCCTAGCCCCGGCGCGGCCTCGGCCCCGGCTGTTCCCGTACCGCCTGCTCAGGGTAGCGGCGTCTAGGGCCGTGAGCGGGGAGCCGGGGGAGCCTCCAGAATCGTCCCCTACACCGGGCCTCGAGCCTCGCCACCCTCAGTCCCTCCAGGCCGGGGCCAACCCCGTAGTCGAGGCCTCAGGCCCAGCTGCTGCGCATGGGGGTTGATGGCGCGGGCCCGGACCGGAGAGCCTCCGAGGCCTACCCGACCGCTCCCCGGGAGGGTGACCTCGGGGGCCGGGTTTCAGCCCCCCGTCCCCTCTCCTCCCGGGGTCTGTTTTCTGATCCGTAACGTGGGGGGAGGAGAGAGGGTGCGCGCCCGGGAGGCCTCGCGCGCAGTCAGCCCGAGTCAACGGTAACCGAGCGAGGGAAGCGTCAGGAAGGGCCGCGAAGCCGGGTCGGGGGGCTCCCCTCCTGCCCCGCCCCTTAGTCCCCGCGCGCCGACCGCGCTCCGCGGGAAGTGCCTCCCTCGGAACCGCCCCTCGCCCCACGCTCTGGCCCTGGCTCAAGTCCCTCGCCGTTTCCCGCTCCTCCTCCCCGGGTGCGCCGCAGGTATTAGTGGAGAGATGGGATCTGCTGCTTAGCGTTCACCCTCGGAAGCAGACAGATACGAAGTCGGGGGAGGAATCCCCTTTTTCCCGTGTTTCGGGGAAGCTGTTCTGTCAGGAGGCGGGTTCATTTACTTCCAGACTTCATCAGCTTTTCGAGTCCTGCTTGGGGCTCTTTGACTCCTTGGCTTTTAAAAGTTTCTTTAAAGGAGGAAGCATCGACTTGTGCCCCGGTGAAACTCATTCATTCTGATTACAGACACTTAAGAGAGACAGAGAGGTTTTGGCTCCAAGATCAGCGGCCGGGAAGGAAGGGGAAGCCTGGGTACACATTGAATTTCCCAGACATTTATTTCATTGTGGTAAAATAGACATAACGTAGACTTTGCCATTTTAACCATTTTTTAAGCGTATAATTCAGTGGCATTGAGTATACTGACTCAGTGTGCTGTAACCGTCACTGCTTCATGTCCAGAACTTTTTCATCATCGGAAACAGAAAGTGTAGCTATTAAATACTAACTCCCTCCGTTTTCTTTCCTTTCTGTCTGTGACTTTGCCTTCCTCATATTGTAATGTGTGAAGCTTAGTTTATGGAGATTAAAAGTGAATGCGGTTGAGCACTTATATATTTAATTTTTTTCTTTGAGACAGGGTCTCCCTCTGTTACCCAAGCTGGGATGCAGTGGCACGATCACAGATCACTGCAGCCTCGAACTCCTGGGCTCAATCGATCCTTCCATCTCAGCCTCCTGAGTAGCTGGGATCACAGGCGCGGCACCACCATGCCCGGCTAATTTTTTGAAGAGAGGAGGTCTCCGGGTGTTGCCCAGGCTGGTCTGAAACTCCTGGGTTCAAGCCATCCTCCTGCCTAGGCCTTCCAAAGTGCTGAAGTTACAGGCATGAGCTACTGCGCCCTGCCTAGTTGAGCGCTTAGGTTAAGAACGTTCCCTAAGTGCTAGCTATATTGGTAGATAATAAATCCGGAGAAAATTCCAGATTCTTTCCCTCCTTAAGTAGGGAGAAATAAAATACCATGGTTACTGGCCCTTAGAAATGAGAAAAACTTCCTCTATTCCCAGCATTTTACTATTGAAAACTCTGGGAAGGAATGTGTTAATTTTGACTTTTTCAGCGTCTATCTACGGAAGCTGGTAGGATTTCTGAGGGTGGTATTTGGAGGGCTTTAAGATAAATTTATTTACCGTATGCAGGAAGGAGTGCTGGTAGAACCTTGCTAGATGATAGGGTAAATTAATAGATTACAAATTTTCCCTTTTCCCCTGTCCATTTTCAAATAGTCATTTTGTGACTGAGTCATTTTACAAATACATGTGGACTGTTGGAACCTGAAAATTGTAGAATAAAATAGCCGTTGTGAGAAAGAGGCTCAAAGTCTCAAAGTCTAGTACTAGCTTCATAGAGGATAGTTTAGGAAGCTGGCAACACTTGGATATTTTTGATAGGGCCTGTGGAAAACTTTTTTTTTTTTTTTTCATTACAAGTCTTAAGGAAATCTCTTTAGAAGCCTATACTTTTGCACTCCATGCAGAGTGGAGAGGCCATTAACATATTTGTATGTTATGTATGTTATGTAATTACCATAACATAAGGTAATTATGCTGTGATAGAAGTTAGTGGAGTTGCTTGGTAGAAAGAATGGAGGAGGTGACCTCCGCCACCTGCTGGGGGCAGGGACCTGTTCCTCCATGACAGGAAGACGTGTGGAAGTGGAGGAGAAGAAGATGGTTGGGGAGGGGCAGGGAAGAGAGTATCCAAAGAGCAGAGATTTGAGTGTATGCTTTATCGAGAACTGAAGTTGTGCTGGGTGTAGTGGCTCACACCTGTAATCCCAGCACTTTGGGAGGCTGAGGTGAGAGGACTATTTGAGCTCAGGAGTTCAAGACCAGCCTGGGCAACATGGTGAAACCCTGTCTCTACCAAAAAAAAGAAAAAACAAAACAGGCTGGGCCCGGCGGCTCACGCCTGTAATCTCAGCACTTTGGGAGGCCGAGGCGGGCAGATCACGAGGTCAGGAGATAGAGACCATCCTGGCTAACACGGTGAAACCCCGTCTCTACTAAAAATACAAAAAATTAGCCGGGCGTGGTGCCGGGCTCCTGTAGTCTCAGCCACTGGGGAGGCTGAGGCAGGAGAATGGCGTGAACCTGGGAGGCAGAGCTTGCAGTGAGCCGAGATTGGGCCACTGCACTCCAGCCTGGGCGACAGAGCGATACTCCTTCTTCAAACAAACAAACAAACAAGAACACTGAAGTTGCTATAGAGTTTTAAGGTTGGAGCACTGGCAGCCAGCTGATGGGCAGTGAATTTGGATTTTTATCTTGAAAGCCTTTGAGAGACAGGAGAAAAATAGAAACTTGGTTCTTTGGAATTCTTTCTCTACCAGGAGTGGAGTGTGCAGTAGACCACAAATGCAGTGAGCTAGCAAGCTTGATCTGGGAACCCAGGTTGGAAATCTTGTTTTGCAGTTACTTCTCTCCTGGGTGTGAGAATAGGATTTGCTTAATTTTGATGAGAAGTCTGTTCCAATTAAAGTCAGCAAAGATTCAGAGTTAGGGTATAGTCAGGGAAAAAAAAGTTCATTTTAGGGGAATGTATAGGTTTTTAAAATTTTTTTAAATGTAGTATCATATATAAAATAAATGACTTAACCTGCTCCCCTTCCTGAGTAATTTTTTTTTTTTTTTGAGATGGAGTCTCGCTCTGTTGCCCAGGCTGGAGTGCAGTGGCGCGATCTCAGCTCACTGCAAGCTCCGTGAACCGCTTCCCGGGTTCACGCCATTCTCCTGCCTCAGCCTCACGAGTAGCTGGGACTACAGGCGCCCGCCACCATGCCTGGCTAATTTTTTTAATATTTTTTTTTAGTAGAGATGGGGTTTCACTCTGTTAGCCAGGATGGTCTCGATCTCCTGACGTCGTTATCCGCCCGTCTTGGCCTCCCAAAGTGCTGGGATTATAGGCGTGAGCTACCACACCTGGCCCCTTCCTGAGTAATTTTGTGGGTGAATAAGAAACAGATGGATTGGTTATTTATAAAAATAAAAATATATATTTAGGGTAGATTCCTGAGGAGGTACTGTTAGAGTTGACTCCATTTGACAATCAAGAAAACTTTCGTTTTAAACACTTAAACCCAGGTTCAGGAACCTGACCTAAAGACTCCAGGGGAGGCCCTCCTGACTCCCAGGCAGCTTGCTGCTTTCATGATACTACCTTGGTAACCACTCAGTAAACAGCCGTTTGAATTGTTTTATTTAAATCAGATTCTCTATACAATGCATTTGAGTGTTTGCTGTACTTTAAAGAGTGATTGTTTATTCAAAAAGGATTTTGGAGACACGTCAGATTGTGAGCTCAAGATTAGAAGACAGGGTTTTGGATTATTTGAATGCATGCTGCCAGGCCTTTGCTTTCACTCAGCTCTTTGATTTTATTCTGGTTAGGGAAAGAGATACTAGCCTGCAAAGATTAGCTTGCTTGTTTTTTTGGGAGGGGGGGTTCTCCAATGGACTTCCCCATTACCATATTTTGCAGTCATAGGGTTGAAAGCTAAATTGTCCCTTTGCTAGTCTGTAATGATTATGATGCCTAGGTTTTCTCAGCCTTGGCTCTGGTTTGCTAGTTTTAAAGCCTGAACAGTAGAAGGCTAGGAGTGAATCAGTCCCCCTCTCTACCCTTCTCAATAAAATTATTGGTAGAAAAATACATCATTGCCTCACTGTGTGCTAAGAGTCTCTTTTTTTTTTTTTTTTGAGACGGAGTCTCGCTCTGTCGCCCAGGCTGGAGTGCAGTGGCGGGATCTCGGCTCGCTGCAAGCTCCGCCTCCCGGGTTCACGCCATTCTCCTGCCTCAGCCTCCCAAGTAGCTGGGACTACAGGCGCCCGCCACTACGCCCGGCTAATTTTTTGTATTTTTAGTAGAGACGGGGTTTCACCGTTTTAGCCGGGATGGTCTCGATCTCCTGACCTCGTGATCCGCCCGCCTCGGCCTCCCAAAGTGCTGGGATTACAGGCGTGAGCCACCGCGCCCGGCCTAAGAGTCTCTTTTAAAGCTGTAAGCGTGTAGGTAGTAGCCTCCATAGGACCGAGGCCTAGTGACGACATGGTGACCCCAGCTCTTAGCCACATGCAGTACTGCTTCCCTAGATGAGCTGCTTTTTGTTTTGCCATTCTTTGTTGATTGTCACAGTGTCCCTCTGAGCTACCATGCATACAGGTTGCGCTGGTTTTGCTGGTAAAGCGCTAGAGACAGAAAGAGCTTGAGTCATGTGGGTAGTTCAGTGGTGGCCTTGGAGCTGGAATGGTGCTGTGAATAGTGCTCTCCACACCTTACATGCATTAGAGCAGCGCAGGACTTGAGGGATTTCTGTGAAGAATCACTTTATATAAGGGATGGTTCTCACACGGGCAGAGGGGTCCTTGTCCCTCAGGAGATGTGATCACAATTTCAGGGTATTGGGATTGCCATTTCAAACTGCACCCTTTCCTTGATTAGAAACTCCAAAAGTAGTGAGTGTTACGCATGGGAACTGCATGGAGACCTTAAGAGAGGGTAGGCAGTCACTATTTGGTGGTGGTCTTTTGCAGATTAGGCACTCAATCTTTTTATTAGGGTTTTTTTGTTTTTTGAGATGGAGTTTCACTCTTGTCCCTCAGGCTGGGGTGCAGTGTACGATCTCTACTCACTGCAACTCCAGCTCCTGGGCTCAAGCGATCCTTCCACCTCAGCCTTCTGAGTAAATAGGACCACAGGCACATGGTACCATGCCTAGCTAATATTTTGTAGAGATGGTGTTATACCATGTTGCCCAGGCTGTTCTTGAACTCCTGAGCTCAAGTGATCCGCCCACCTTGGCCTCCCAAAGTGCTGGGATTACAGGCATTAATCGTATTTTTAATTTAATTTAATTAATTATTATTATTATTATTTTTTTTTTTTTTGAGATGGAGTTTTGCTCTTGTTGCCCAGGCTGGAGTGCAGTGGCGCTATCTCACTTCACTGCAACCTCCGCCTCCCGTTCAAGTGATTCTCCTGCCTCAGCCTCCCAAGTAGCGAGTAGCTAGGATTACAGGCACCCGCCACCATGCCCGGCTAATTTTTGGTTTTGTTTTGTTTTGTTTTTGAGACGGAGTTTCACTCTTGTCGCCCAGGCTGGAGTGCAATGGCATAATCTCGGCTCACTGCAACCCCCGCCTCCTGTGTTCAAGCAATTTTCCTGCCTCAGCCTCCCGAGTAGCTGGGATTACAGGCGCCTGCCACCACGCCCAGCTAATTTTTGTATTTTTAGTAGAGACGGGGTTTCACCATGTTGGCCAGGCTGGTCTCAAACTCCTGACCTAAGATAATCCACCTGCCTCGGCCTCCCAAAGTGCTGGGATTACAGACGTGAGCCACCGTGCCTGGCCTAATTTTTGTATGTTTATTAGAGACAGGTTTCCACCATGTTGGCCAGGCTGGTCTTGAACTCCTGACCTCAGGTGATCTGCCCGCCTCGGCCCCCCAAGGTGTTGGGATTACAGGTGTGAGCCACCGCGCCCAGCCAAAAGTTAAAAAGACTTGCAGAGTTAAGTTTTTATATGTACGTATACATATACATGGACTAGAGAAGAATCTTCCCCTAATTTTGTCCTGAAGATAGTGAGAAAATAGGATTGGACATGTTAAAAAAAGAGCTTTTCAGGACATCACTTTTATACTATCACATCATCTAAACTTGAATATGTCCCTCCCCTTCCCCTTCCCCTTCCCTTGCCGAGACAGGGTCTCCCGCTGTTACCCCCGGCTGGAGTGTAGTGGTGCAATCATGGCTTACTGTACCCTTGACCTCCTGGAGCCAGACTGTCTTCTTTCTGCATAGCTGGGACCGCAGTTGTGCACCAACATACCTGGCTAATTTTTTGTATTTTTTTTGTAGGGACACGGTTTTGCCATGTTACCCAGGCTGGTCTCAAGACTCCTGGATTCAAGCACTCAGCTCACCTCAGCCTCCCAAACTGCTGGGACTGCAGGCATGAGCCACCATGGCCAGTCTGCTTGAATATGTGTCTCGAATGATATTTCTTTGAGGGTCATTCTCTACAAGTCTGTCAAGAATTAGTTGGTGGTGGTAGATTTCCAAAAAGGTCAATTTTTTAAAAGTTGGAAATGACAAGAGATAGTTCTAATCTCTTTACTGAGGAAACCTCTCAGAGGGAATGATTAGCCAGGGAAGGATTTGTTTGCAGAGGTGCTGTGCCCATTAAGCATGGTGAGAGCCGCTTTCTCAATGGTGAGTCATGTGATGTGGATTAACCCCAAACCAAATGCTCAGCTTCTGTGGTTAGATTGGATAGTTTATTCGTAGCCATGGTATGCACCTGTGGAATATAGGTTAGACACTTTGTTACCTGCTTTGGCTGTAATTATTTATTTATACATTTCGTAGTTTATAGGTGAGCTTAAGCAGTCTGGTGAAAGACTGGAAATAATTCATCATGGACTCTGTCAGAATGTTTTTTATTGTAAATCTTAAAGTATTTGGGACTTCAAAAGTAACAATATTAAAATTCATTTCCATCTGTGAATCCTCTGGTGGACCATGATGTGTAGATTCTGTTATGTTTTATGATTTTTTCTAACACAGTCGTCGTCATTTTCCAGGAAAGAGTAGGAGATGATTTGGCAGATAGATTTTGTTTGGCAGACTTTGGTGAAGGACTTTCTTTTGGAGTAGACAAGTGGCCTGGGTAACAGTTGTAGGTCTCCTGTGGGACCTGCTTTGTGGTGTGAAGCCAGTCTTGTGGACTCAGGTAGATTGCGTTCTAGGCATCTAGGGATTGGAGCTGCCATAACATCACCTTATCTGCCAGCCCGTGGGAAGGGAAGCCTGTTGATTGTGTATTGGTATAGTTGAGAGATCACAGAGGAAGCTGCTTTCCTTGGTTTTACCTTGTGTTGATTTGGGTGTGGCTCACACCAGTGATACCTCTGCTGGGATACCACTTGGCACTCTTGTGTTTGGGGACTACACAAAGTTGCTGACTTTAAAATTTTTCCAAGTAAATACGTTACTATTTTTGAGACAGGGTCTTGCTTTGTCAACCAGGCTGGAGTGCAGTGGTGCAATCATAGTTCACTGCAATCTTGACCTCCTGGACTGGAGCCATCCTCTCAGCTCAGCCTCCTGAGTAGCTGGGACTACAGGTGCACAACACCACACTCAGATAATTATTATTATTTTTAAAAATAAAGACAGGGTCTTATTTGTCGAACTCTTGGGTTTAAGTAAGATTCTCCTGCCTTGACCTCCCAAAGTGCTGGGATTATAGGTGTGAGCCACCATACCTGGTCTCAAGTGAATACTTTTGTTTGTTTGTTTGGAGACAGAGTCTCATTATGTCACTCAGGCTGGAGTGCAGTGGTGCGGTCTCAGCTCACTGCAACCTCCGCCCCCCGGGTTCAAGCGATTCTCCTGCCTCAGCCTCCTGAGAGGTGGGATTGCAGGCATGTGCCACCACGCCCAGCTAATTTTTGTATTTTTAGTAGAGATGGAGTTTCAGCATGTTGGCCAGGCTGGTCTTGAACTCCTGACCTCAAGTGATACACCTGCCTGAGCCTCCCAAAGTGCTGGGATTACAGATGGGAGTTACCACACCTGGCCTCAACTAAATAACATTTTAAAATAGTAGCTTCTCCAGCTACTATCTGGTGTTTCTTCCACGGAAGAAAGTTACATCCCAGAATAAAGATCGGCTCTTCAGTTAAAGATACTTTTATAAATCATTAATACTGTAGTCTTGGCTTTTTGGTTTTTTTTCCGGTTTTGTCATGGATTACAAATTCTGTAGTAGAGCCCGTGGTCTGGGAGTCACTGGATTCTCACTGGCGGGACACACAGGGCTGGGGAAGCAGAAGGTGCAAGGCTCAGTTGCTTAAGAAACTTGAGGTGGCTTCTGGCTCCTCACTTGTTCCTGATCAGCTCTAATCTGTGCCTCCCTGTAGTCAGAGGGGTTGCGCTTGAGCTGGCAGCTGAGGAAAGCGCCCTGTCAGCCAGTGCCCGGGCTTCCAAGCCTGATGGCTGCTACCTAGAGATGGTTAGTGTTAACAGTGTGGTGGCACCTAGCACACAAAGGTAAAGAGTGCAATGGGAAGGCCGTGCCAGAAAAGCAGCCACCCTTCTTTGCCAAAGGTGGGATTGTCTGCATGCTGTCTTCCACCTCCCAGGGTTGCTCAGACCCAAGTTTCCCAGCTTCAAAGTAGTAGGATTGTGTAGGGAGTGGTTTCTTTTCCACCTTTCTGGATTTTTAAAAAGTGGTTAAAATATACATAAAATAGACCATTTTAACCATCTTAAGTGTGCAGTGAAGTATGATGTTTTGCAGCAATCTGCACATTCCTGGAACTTTTATTCTCATCCCACATGAAATTCTATGCTCAGTATTTAATAACTTCCCATTTCTACCTCCCCCTAGGCCCAGGTAACCTCTGTTCTACTTTCTGTGTATGGATTTGCTTATTATAGGTATTTAATAAGTGGAATCATACAATATTTGGCCTTCAGTGACTGGCTTATTTCACTGAGCATAATGCCCTCAAGGTTCATGCATGTTGTAGCCTTTGTCAGGATTTCCTTCCTTTTTGTGGCTGAATAATATCCCATTGCATGGATAGTCCGTGTTTTGTTTATTCCATTCATCTATTGGTAGACACTTGGTTGTTTCTACCTTTTGGCTTGTGTGAGTAGTGCTGCTATGAACATTGGCATATGTGTATGAGTCCCTGCTTTTAATTCTTTTGGGTGTATACCTAGCAGTGGAATTGCTGGGTCATAGTAATTCTGTGTTTAATTTTGAGTGACTACCTAACTTTTCCATGGCGGCTGCATCATTTTATGCCCCCCCCCCCTTTTTTTTTTTAACACTATGAAAGACACTTATTTGTGAAGCTAAAATTGGATGGGCCTATGTGTACTACCTCATATTTCCATTCTATGAAGTCTTAGAAATCATCCCTCTCTTCTCCTGTTTCTGTCTTGGAATTAACACACCTTGGTCAGGGAGTTGGCCTCACCATTGTCTCTGTTACTGTCCGTAGGAGTATTTTGTGAGCCCAGGAAGGTGTACCTTTCCTTGGGAATGCTTTCTGCCCTGTGGAGCCTTGAGTTTGAATGTCTTAATTCAAAACCAACATTAGTCTTGTCTTTGCTTTTTTTGAGACAGGGTCTCGCTCTGTCACCCTAGGCTGGAGTGCAGTAGGGTGATCATAGTTTGCTGGAGCCTCGAACTCCCGAGTTTAAGTGATCCTCCCATCTCACCCTCCCTACTAGCTAGTACTGCAAGTGCACCACCACACCTGGCTAAGTTTTATATATATTTTTTTGTTGTTTTGACAGGGTCTTGCTATGTTGCCCAGGCTAGTCTTGAACTCCTGGCCTCAAATGATCCCCCCTTCTTGGCTTCCCAAAGTGCTAGGATTACAGGTGTGAGCCACCGCATCTGACCAATACTAGTCTTGTGTCATATGTAACTTTGTGTGGAATTGTAAACCTGGCAAATCAAATAATTATCTTTCACATTGTGCTGACATATAAACCCTTTACCTTTTTTTCCTCTCTCTCGAATTCAGTGAAGGAGAACGACCTGCTCAGAATGAGAAGAGGAAGGAGAAAAACATAAAAAGAGGAGGCAATCGCTTTGAGCCATATGCCAATCCAACTAAAAGATACAGAGCCTTCATTACAAACATACCTTTTGATGTGAAATGGCAGTCACTTAAAGACCTGGTTAAAGAAAAAGGTAATGGTACTGGTGATTGAGTAGGGTGAGAAGGTTGGTGTGTCATCTTTTCTGTGGCTAATTCCTTGGTTATTTTTGGTCAGTGGAAGCGGCTCTGGGTAGAGCATGTTCTTTCCAGGCTTAAGAGTGAAGCCCCCTTACCCCACCTCAGTTTTTTTTTTTTGTTTTGTGTTTTTTTTTTGTTTTGTTTTGTTTTGTGGTCATACCCCTGTGTGTCAAACAGGATGGTTTGTATGGTCCTTTGGCCTACAGATGATTTTACTGGCTTAGTATGGTTAATAAGGCTTCGATTAGGCTTCCGGGGAGCCTTTTCGTGTTGAAATTTTTTGAATTTTGCACGTTAGGTGGGAGAGATTTTTCCTTTCTTTCCTTTTTTTTTTTTTTTTAAGCTTTTTAAGTTTCACAGGAAGATAGCTTGTTTAAAATTTTGTGGATGTCTTCCTGGGATCAAAATGTGGTAGCTGGACCTTATGCTTCTCAGATTCCAAACTATAAAACATTAGCTTGTATTTTAACTTTTAGGCTTTTTCCCCTCTGGGAAAAAATAGAGTAGACTGGCCATTGGAGAGCTCAAAATAAGGTATCTGCTTTGTAACGCGGTGCCTTAGGATGTGGATTGTCATAGCCTAGGTGTCCACCTTCCAGCCGAGGGCAGGGGAAGCAGCCAAGCTCTGCTGCCACCAGGAGGCCCGAGGAGGCCTGCCTCTGTGATCCTCACCCCCGTGCACACTGTGGTGTCCTCTCTCTCTCCTTCTTCCCTCCTGTGCTGCTATCGTCTTCCTTTCTTTCCTGATTCTTGGCCCTGCTGGTGGCACTTAGGACTAAAGAGACTGCTCAGCCCTGGGTTAGACAACACCGTGGTAGAGAACAATTTGTATATTGCCTTGAGGCGCCCTCCCCGCACCCCGACCTAGACTCAAACTACCCTTCATGGAGTCTTTGCATGACTGAAAGGTATTGGTTTTCTGGAGCATTCATTATGAAAAGAGATGTGAGCTTGATTTGTCAAATGATTTAACATTTCAGTGACAGAGATGCCCCGTGGATAGGCCATTTTGGTATGTGTACTGGTGCTCCCTGCATTGGATTTTGAAATTATGAATGGCACTGCCATCATTGTCCCATCCCTTATTTTGACCATGACATGCAAGAAGCACTAGGCACTGTGAACCTCTCCGTACAGTCACGCGTGCTGCTCCCACGTGGCATTTCTCCAGATAACACAGATGGAAAAACGTTTTGGTGTGAGATTGATGTGCCTGCCTTGATCAGCCAAATCATTCCTGCCAATGCTCCTAGGGCAAGAGTGCAGTTTCTTCTTTTTGTCTGAGGGTGTGTCATGCTGCATCCCAGATGCAGTGTTCTTGGTTTTTGGGACTGCTGCTTCAATAGAAGCTTAGAATTTCTGTACAGTACAGTTGGGCCTCATTCGAATTAGCTTTTGGAATAACCTCCAAATTTGTGTTCTCGTGATTTGGTTGAACCGCTGAATTGCTATTTCCATTGATAATAAGGTATAGTAGTTCCAAGAACCAGGAATGTGGCTTTGAAAATGCAATTGTTAGAATTTTGTAAGAGATTGCAGGCCAAATTATTTTTTCATTTTTAGGAGTGTGTGAACCAGTTTTGGGACATGCTGGATGAAGTAGGTGACATTTTTACTGCTTTACCATTCAGTAATTCGGTTTGGGAAACCTTAAAGCTGGTAGTAGCAGCAGCAGCCATGGTGTTTCTGGATGTAGAAGCAGTTCACCTCAATTCACTATTTTGCACTCTTAAGTGTGGAGCCAGCCTGGTGGTTGATTGGGATACTTCCAAACTGGTTCTCATATTCCCCTGGCATACTGCTACGAATGCCTGGGCTCAGCCCTCTCAGTGTATTTTTGGTGGTGTAATTTAGAATTACAGGTGTGCAGTAAATCAGTTATTTTTAATGAGCCTTAAAATGTTCTTGTTTAGAGCTCCCCTGTACTGGTTAAATTAATTACTTTGCTGTTTAATTAAATTATTAGCGGTATAGGATTGTGGGTAAAGTGACTCAGAAAGGTAATCTTTTTATGATAATGCTTATATTCAGTATGTGAGGTCTAAAGAAATTTACTGTGTTTACATACATATGACTTCTTAAGAAATACTCTTCTTATTACGTGCTTTCAAAAAGACGTTTTTATTCCCGTTTTGGTGTACAAAAAATGTTTAAGTGGTTAGTTTAAATCTGAAATATTTACTTGAAATTTGTTGCGCATAAGTTTTAAGTGTTTTGAAGACTTTATACATAGGAAGAACTGGCAGATAGAGGCACTTACAACCCTAAAAGTATTAGTCTCAATTCCAAAACACAGAGATCTGGGCTGTTGTAACCTAAGCACTCTTTATCAGTCTGTGTTTTAAGGTCTGATGAATCTTAGCCTTGTTTCAGGAAATGAGTAGAACAAGAACTGGAATTAGTTGTCCTCAACTGAAATTTTCTGTCATTATAGCACTATCTAATTGCAGCCTCTCAGAACTAAAGTAGCTAGCTTTGAGAGGCCCAAGAGGGGAGCTTTTTTTCTAAGGATACTCCGGGGGGAGATTGTCTCACATGCTCCTCCCTCACTCTTGATCCTCTTCCCCATCTTTCATACCAGCTGCATATTCTCCAGCTTTAATTTTAGCATTTAGCAGCATTCTAGCATTTCCTATTAAAAATCCACATAGGAAGTAAACTGGTCATTTATGCCTTTGAAAGTGACTTAACAGGCCACAGCTCCCCAGGTTGTATCCTGACAGGTAAAGGGATACACATCTTAAAGTGATTGACCATAAGGACTGGGTGGAAAAAATAAAGATTTCTGTGAGAAAAGGCGATCTTAGGCTTTTAAACTTAGTGTCGTGCTACATTTGTTTGAGACCAAGTCCTGTATGAGTGGAGGAAGCTCCTTGCTGGGCTGCTTCTCTTGACCTCACCAGGCAGCCGGCAGCACCCAGGTGGGGCAGTGCCACCAGAGCAGGACTGAGCTGCACCTGCAGTGAGTAAATAGAGCCCAGGTTGAGGAAGAAAGGAAGGTCAGGGATGTAGTTTACCCTCAGTCGATCCGAAGTTTAGCAGCAGTCAGTTCAACTTGTGTAAGCAAAGATTTCTTTTAAGCACTTAATCCTTCTGTTAGTATAATACACCACTTTAAGTAAATTTCAAATTGCATCTGACAGAAAACTAAGGCCCAGAGGGCAAGTGTAGTCCAGTAGAAAACCTCCATCTTGGCTCCTGGAGATAATTTGCATTGTGGGTCTATTAGGCAGAACTGTATTTTCAATTTAAATGATATTCCTACCCAGTCTACTTGCTTCTTCATATTTTCCTCTGTTGGAAATGCAGCCTGTATTTTATTTATTTTGTTTTTGAGATGGAGTCTTGCTCTTTTGCCCAGGCTGGAATGAAGTGGTGTGATCTGCAACCTCTGCCCCCTGGGTTCAAGTGATTCTCTTGCCCCAGCCTCCCAAGTAGCCGGGATTAGGCACCCACCACCACGCCGAGTTAATTTTTGTATTTTTAGTAAGAGATGGGCTTTCACCATGTTGGCCAGGCTGGTCTTGAACTCCTGACCTCAGGTAATCTGCCTGCCTTGGCCTTCCAAAGTGCTAGGATTACAGGCCTGGCCGCAGCCTGCATTTTAGAAAGGCCTGTTATGCTAAAGCGTTCATATGTATGAATACTTAGGTTGAGCCCCAGCAGTGCAGCCTGTCTGGCTTACCCCGTGTGGTCTCTGGTGTTAGGGAAGCAGTAACGTTCTGTTATTGCCACGCAATTGAGGAGCGTGGGCTCAGTCATTTCCTAACATGTCCATAAGCCAAGTAGGTGTGTAGAATAATTATTTTGCCATGTTTCAAGGTGTCTTTATATTAAAGAGTGTGCATGTGTTCTGTGCACTCCCCTCGCCCAATAGAGTGGCAGCCTGAGAATTGACCGTTATGAGATGAAGAATGTTTGACAACATGCCTGACTTTCAAGTCCCCCCAACTCCTGTTAAAAAAAAATATATAGGTCTTATAACATGTGAATTCTCTTCAGTGAAGCTTCGGCACTGTATTCCCTCTTTTTTTCTTTTTCAGACTTGAGCAGTAAATGGGAACACAAAAACAAATACTCATTTGGCTAAAGGTCTGTGCAGGAGAGTGAGGTCACAGTAGCTCCCAGGGACCGCCTGAGTTCTTTTTGGGTTGCTCATCTGCTTATCCTCCTGATGTGTTTTAAGAATAAGGCAGTCTTTTTAATAATTCACTTAAATGTTGGTCAAAAATGATTTCTTAGAGCATTTTAAATAGAGGTAGATAACAGTTGGTGTTAGATTTTTTAATGTCTTAGTTTTTTCAATATTTTGATGTTTTAAGCTGCAGTAGAATTTGTCTTAGCAGCCTACTCTTGGGATTCCATGAATTCCATCCATGTTTACACAGGGGGAGGAGCAACCGTATTTTTTATTAATAACTGTGAGTGCCGTTTCTGTAAGACTGCTGCTACTGCCAAGCTGTCACCTCTACCCCTGAGTCCTGACTGTGTGATCTGCTCTGGATGGTTTGCTCGTTAAACTTCACTTCATGGAATGTGACCAGACTGTTTACTTGACAAATTTTGCCCTCACATTCTTGTCGATAGTTGTACTGACTACATAAAATAAATCTTTGCTTTGCTATTGTAGAACCAAAAGGGAGGTGGTCTTTTAAAGGCTCCATTTTCCTATAGGAAAGTATGAATTAGCAGCTATTGCAGATCCCTTAACACTTAATGGATGGTCTCTCAGGGTAGAGGTTGGAATTTTATGAGTTTGTGAGGAGGATGGGCATTACTGATGATCTCAGGGACAGCACTACTCATGCTGGACCCCCGGGTGACTGCTAAATGATGATACCACTTGAGGTAAAAAGAGGGAGAACGTTTTAAGCAAATTTTTAATACAAAGGATTGAGTCAGGTGTGCTATTTCTAGACTAGACTGTTACGTGGAAAAAGTCCTAATTTCTAAACCTCTCTTTTTGTTAAAGTGGTTATGGCCATGGGAAAAAGTTTGGTTTGGATTTGCTTGGTTTCTGGGTTGCAATTACAGCTTTTTGATCCAAGCGTCTTATGGACACAGACTAGAAACTTCCCATGCAACTGGGACTTGAATTTCGGCAACATGGTTGCAGCTGTTTTGAATTAATTATTGTGAGTCTTTTATTTTTTAAAGGTTATTAGGTGGTAGTCATAGCTGGTAGGAAATCAACTTGGGGCCTCTTCAGTCACTATTTTGACACTATGTGGCATTTTCATCAAAGTGGAGACAAGGGTTGGTGGTCCTTGAATGGCTGCTGCTCTTGAAACAAATGGCTTTTTAACATGGCCTCAGGGCGGCTGCATTTTTGGAACTGCTTTACTTTTTAAGGGTTAAATAAAGCCGCTTTGTACAACTGTCCCTTGGCTGTGATCATTTTTCAGTTTGCCCCACAGGAGTACATACTCTAAAAGTAAATTGTACTGATCCCTCATATTTCCGTTCTTCATTTCTTTGCACTGATGATTCTCCTGTTTTGTACAAAGTGTCAGTTTCGTTCTGAAACATTTCAGGAGAGGACAAAGAGGGTGAGGCTCTAGATGTAAACTTTGGACACTTGGCTTTCTTGCCTTCAACCAATGTGCAGAGCCATTAATAAATATGTCCTTCAGATCTTTAAATTTTTTGTAAAATAATTTTACCTTGTTTTTCATTAAAAATTTTTCTTCCTATAGCCTCATAATTTTAATGTCCTTTAAACAAAAGAGTTGGAATAGGCATGACTTGTTGAGGCCGTTAAGCGGGTTATTTTTACCCTTGTACTGCTAAACCAAACCGATCCAGAGGACAACAAAAGCCCATTTTTTGCCTTTGGAGAGTCTGGTTAGAGATAGTTTTCTCCAGGGTAACACTTTACATTTGTTTTCTGTGTGCCATCTTCAAGTTCAGCAGCCATTTTGGTGGTTGTCTTGATGGATTCTAACATCTGGTCATGGTGGTCATGAATTGGCAATCCAAACCTTGAGGAAAATCTGCAGAAACTTTTGAAATGCTTTGGTTTTTTCCCTTTTGTGTAGATTAGAATCATATGAGTCTGTTTAACTGTTTAGATACAAAATCTGAGCCCTAAATTTGAATTTATTTGTGTCCTTTAAATGGGGAGGTTTAGAAAGCGGCAAGAATGAAGCCTGGCCTAATTCACTGAAGAGAATCCAGATGCTGCTCTGGTTTTGTGATCTTATTATATTCAAACATTCTGCCTCTACAGATGTGGAGCCTAGTGCTGTGTGCAGGACCAGCTATAGAATTTGTGGGGCCCAACACAAAACGAAAACAAGGGGCCTCTTGTTAAAAAAAAAAACTAAGAATGTCATGGCAGCGATAACAGCATTAAACCAAGCTCAGGGCCCCTGAGTGCGGGGCTCTGTACAATTGCACGAGTTGCTCACCTGTGAAGCTGGCCCTGCGGCCGTGTGTGCCTGTGAGCTTATACCTTCGCATACGTGCGTCCTTGTATTTATAGCATGTGAGCTCAGCCCGATGGCATCGCAATTTGTATGCATTTCACCTGCTTGCCACCAATGAGAGCGTATGTGTAAAACCTCCTCCCTTCCCCAGAAAAGTAAATCACGCAGACTTCTTTCCTATAGATTTGGATTGCCTCTAGTCATGAATGAGTCTTCCAGACAGGGAAATTGATACGGAAATCTGTGGAATAGCTTGTTTGTGGTGGGAGGAAAATCAAGGACATATTGTTAACGTGTTTTCACCTACTTTTACTGCACACCTGTAATGCCTAGTTCGGTGGTTTAGAGAATATGGAGTGTTTCTGGGCTTTCTTATAAGGCAGAGGCTCCATACAAGGTTGCTGATGATTGTTCTAAATTCCCATTGTTTTCTTGGCTTTTCTCCCTTGGTTTATGTGTCGTCTGGAAACTGATTTGTAGTTGGTGAGGTAACATACGTGGAGCTCTTAATGGACGCTGAAGGAAAGTCAAGGGTAAGTGTCTGAGAGAATTTCTTCTGTGGATTTACTACATGAAAAATGTAACTGTATGGTGGCGTGGAATCGAATGAAATCAGGAAGGCAGTGAGTGCTCATGTTACAGTAGCTATGTTTGATTTTGCCAAACATTTGAGTGGGGTGGGAGGGGATTTGCAAATGGGAGTCCCGCTTTTCCAAATGGCTGGCCAAAGAGCTTTTTGGTATTCTGTTTGGATGCCCAATTTGGATAACTGGGGACCAATAGCAGCATTGTCTCTTTGTTAACAGAGGAATTGGCTGTGTGTGAATTATGCATGGAATTTTAGCGGTGGTATAATTAATGTAAAACGTGTGTTCTTGTCTAGAAAATGTTACTCTTGGTTGTTTGCTGAATTTGAAAGTTGTGTGAACCAAAGATTCCGAAAAGTTGCCTTTGTGCCAGTAAATTGTAAACCAAATATTAAAAACCTGAATGTTCAAAATTGGCCTAGTTTAAAGAGAACATAAACTATTTTCTGTCGTGCAATAGAATGGCTTAGAATAATCAAAAGGATGAGCTTAACTTACGGAAGGGATGGATTTAGGAGGAATATGGTAAGGACTCGATTGAGTACAGAGGGAAGCAGATCTAAAGTTGGTGTGATTTCTTGGAGACCCTGAATTTAGGTCTGCTTATTAAATGTCAGCAGCTCTAGTGCAATGCTGGTAACGCGTAGGAGAAGGAGATATTAAGGAGCCCAGCTTTTAACAAGGAAGGCGAGGCGAGGCACTTCTGTCAGCTTCCCCTTAGAAGGGTTCATTTTAAAAGACTAACTTTGTGACATAAATCATATTTTTAGTTTGTTTATAACTGTCATTGATATTTACTATTTTTTTCTTTTCTTTTTCCCCTTCCTTGCTCTTCTGACTGGTCTCTGGCTTCCTCCAAAGGGATGTGCGTAAGTATCGTCTAGTTACTTATTGGTATTTGAGCCTTCTAACTTGTAGGACTGGTTTCACTCGACTCGTTTCCTTTTGACTCTATAGTGTTGTTGAATTCAAGATGGAAGAGAGCATGAAAAAAGCTGCGGAAGTCCTAAACAAGCATAGTCTGAGCGGAAGACCACTGAAAGTCAAAGAAGTAAGCTCTTGCTTAACACTGCGGATACTGTGTGTAATTGTTGAGTGATCCTACTTTGGAATTAGGGAAAGACGGTCATGGTCCCAGACGGCATTTACAAAGCAAGTGCCAGCCTGTTGTTTCTAATGAAGAGTGTCGGTCATAGCCTACAGCAGCCATTCCCTGCAAGGACTTTGGGGTGGTGGCCAAGCAGATCCTGAGTGGCTGCTGACCACCTTCTAATATCTGTGATTTGTCTGAGGCCTTGTTGTCTCAGGGACTCTCAAACCATGAGCCCGTGGGTTTGTGCCATTAAGTTTTACTCCATCTGACCCTTCTTCTTGGCCCATCTTTTTTCTTTTTTTAAAAAGTGAGTTTGTTCCAGCCTGGGCAACATGGTGAAACCCCCTCTCTACAAAAGGTACAAAAATTAGCCAGGCATGGTGGCGCATGCCTGTAGTCCTAGCTACTTGGGAGGCTGAGGCAGGAGGATCATTTGAGCCCAGGATGTGGAGGTTGCAGTGAGCTGAGATTGCACCATTGCACTCCAGCCCGGGCAACAGTGAGACCCTGTCTAAAAAATAAAAAAATAAAGTGAGTTTGTTATTCCTCAAACCTGCTTTCACATCTCATCTGAATCAAATATATTCCTTGAGGAAGAAGGTTTTTTTGTTGATTAAATCCCTCTTGGCTGGGCGCAGTGGCTCACGCCTGTAATCCCCAGCACTTTGGGAGGCTGAGGTGGGTGGATCAAGGTCATGAGTTCAAGACCAGCTTGACCAACATGGTGAAACCCTGTCTACTAAAAATACAAAAAATTAGCTGGGCGTAGTGGGGGGTGCCTGTAATCCATCTACTCGGGAGGCTGAGGCAGGAGAATCGCTGGAACCCAGGAGGCGGAGGTTGCAGTGAGCCGAGATCGCGCCATTGAACTCCAGCCTGGGCAGTAAGAGCAAAGCTCTGTCTCAAAAAAACATCCCTCTTAACTTCTTTTCACCTCTTCTCTTGGGGAGGAAGATGAGTAGATTCAGAGTGAAGCTTGGTAGGGTCTAAGGTCTCTCATGTGTTATGATGTCTTTTTTAGTGCTGATGGTGGTAATTGACAGGACAGAGAGTTGAAGAAGAGAGTCAGTACAGAGCTTCACAGACCTTCCCAGATGTTGTTTTACTGCGCAGCCCTCACACACACGCCTCCAACACCTGAAGGACTTGAAGGATGGGGGCGCTTGTGTGGTCTAGAACTGTTTCTCAAACTTCTGGAAGCCATTGACGGGGTTTGCAGAAGTTACAAAACCCCATTGATGAATTAGTAAGATTCAGCTATACCAAGCCCATGAAGCTCTAATTTCAGTCTGGCGGTTCTACATTATATCAGCTAATCATGTTTCCCTCCCTACCCTGCTTTTCTTTTTTACTTAGTGCAATTGAGAGCTGTGTTTTTAGTGCTACACTTCATGCCTTTTCTTCCTTTCCTATTTCTTTAGCTGGACTCTTCTAAGCTGGTAGTTGAGTTCATTTGACTTTCTTGTTAATAGATTTGAGAGATGCTTTCCAAACAACCTTTCAGTTTCTAAGTCTTGAGAATATCATTTACTGTGCAAGCATGGTTTGCGTTGTACTGGGTCAGTTAAACGTAACACCTTTTGTGCTTGTTTTAGGATCCTGATGGTGAACATGCCAGGAGAGCAATGCAAAAGGTGATGGCTACGACTGGTGGGATGGGTATGGGACCAGGTGGCCCAGGAATGATTACTATCCCACCCAGTATCCTAAATAATCCCAACATCCCAAATGAGATTATCCATGCATTACAGGCTGGAAGACTTGGAAGCACAGTATTTGTAGCAAATGTAAGTAAACAGAACCATCGTCTAAAGTAGAAAATCAGAACTTTATGAAATGACCTTGTCAATATGTTATAAAAGTAATTCTCACATTTGAGAAGAAAAATGTAAAGAAGGGTTTTGTTCTTGATTTCTTTAAAAATCAGCCTTATAGGCGGGCTTTGTCTGCATTCCTAAGTCACAGGCTTGACCGTGGTCTCGTTGGGGCTGTGATTCCTGAGTTTCGCAGGTGTTTCCGCAAGCAGTAACCGAGTCTGCATTCTCCGTTGGTTTATTTTATGCAGTTTTGGTGCAGAGTAAGACTGTACGAGCAGAAGTGCACTGACACCTTCCTCTTGTTGTGTCTGGGGTGAATGATAATACCTCCACCATCTGCAAGGGGAAATATTTTTAGAATAAAGTAGGTTGGGTGGGGTGGGGAGTGGTAAAGCTTATCAGGGAAACAATTTTTTAAAAATGTTCAGAAAATGAGTATTAATTTGAAGTATGAGGTGACTTAAGTTTCTGAGAAAAGAGACAATATATTTACTATAGGTACAGTTTATTTACAGTGAAGGCCAGGCTTTATAATCCTATTTTAAAATTTCCATTGCAGTTGATTAGTTTTTGTGACATTATTTCCTAATACTTTTTTCCAACCAAAGCATGTATCATTCATGTAGTAAAAATGTTGTGTTTCTTAAGATGTTTACATTGAGGTTTTTACCCCGTTCTCTCTCGATTAGCTGGATTATAAAGTTGGCTGGAAGAAACTGAAGGAAGTATTTAGTATGGCTGGTGTGGTGGTCCGAGCAGACATTCTTGAAGATAAAGATGGAAAAAGTCGTGGAATAGGCACTGTTACTTTTGAACAGTCCATTGAAGCTGTGCAAGCTATATGTATCCTTCTGCAGGAATTCAACTTATGAACAGTTTGACCTAAATTGCTGTGTTAGTAATGTAGGTTTGTGTGAGGAAGAGGTGACTGTGTGTATTCATGTTTTTTATGTGACTAGGGGGAGTGCATTACTGTGGAATTAAGAGGTTCTCTGGGCCGGACCGGTCACGGTGGCTCACGCCTGTAATCCCAGCACTTCGGGAGGCCAAGGCGGGCGGATCACTTGAGGTCAGTTCGAGACCAGCCTGGCCAACATGGTGAAACCCCGGCTCTACTAAAAAATGCAAAAATTAGCTGGGCGCAGTGGTGGGTGCCTGTAATCCCAGCTACTCGGGAGGCTGAGGCACAAGAATCGCTTGAACCCGGGAGGTGGAGGTTGCAGTGAGCCGAGATTGCGCCACTGCACACCACCAGCCTGGGTGATAGAGTGAGACTCAGTCTCAAAAAAAAAAAAAAAAAAAAAAAAGGTTCTCTGGGGGTGGAATTGATTCAATACAGTGTGGATAGAGGGGATGGTTACAACATGGGCATATGCCCATGAGTCTTTCTACTGTTTTCTTTTCAGAAGAGTCTAGGTTTGAAGGAGGAAGTCCAAAGAATGTGCTACTAGAGAGAAAGTGGGGTTGTTGTTTCATGTGTAATACATCCTTATAGGACCTCACTCTTTCCAGTGAGTAGACATCATTTTGGAAGAGGCCACTTCTCCTTGACCCTAGGCTTAGCCTAGAGTTTTTAATCCCTTGGAGAGTACCCCACAGGAGCACATTCATACAACTCAGACAAGACCGTCACTGCATGTCTTACCCAGAAAACATGGTCCTTCAGTTTAGATAGTGGTAGATGCCTGGCCCATTGGTCACATTCAGAGAACCTTGATGCCACTGCTTAAGAGGATGGTTTGGTGAAATTGTAAGGTTACGAATGAAGCTTCACACCTAAGGAATAAGCGGAAGTTGTCTTGTCCTCCCCGCCAGCTTTATTTATTGTTCCTTTTATGTTTATTGTTGAAAGTATAATGAAGAATTGAAATTGCTCATAAATTCATCACTTAGAGGGACTGGTAGCAGTTGGAGTATTTTTCTTTCTTTTTGTATTTCTCTTGTGCACATTTTTAGAATTGCAAGAAATAGCCTTAATTGTAATACCAGCTATGTTCAATGGCCAGCTGCTATTTGATAGACCAATGCACGTCAAGATGGTAAGTCAGTAGGATCTTTCTCTGTGATATACTCAAGTCTAGCAAAAACATGGAATTAATAAGAGTGTACATATAGCCACTATGAAATATTTGTGGATTAGTCTAAGTTAAATAGGGTGCAGTATGTTGAGCAAAATTGTGAGAGAAATAACATTTTGCTGGTCAGGCGTGGTGGTTCACGCCTGTAATCCCAGCACTTTGGGAGTCTGAGGCAGGCGGATCATGAGGTCAGCAGTTCGACACCAGCCTGACCAACGTGGTGGAACTCCTCCGTCTCTACTAAAAATACAAAAATTAGCCGGGCGTGGTGGCACGCGCCTGTAGTCCAGCTACTCGGGAGGCTGAGGCAGGAGAATCACTTGAACGTGGGAGGCAGAGGCTGCAGTGAGCCGAGATCGTGCCACTGCACTCCAGCCTGGGCAACAGAGTGAGACTCTGTCTCAAGAAAAAAAAAGAAGAAAAAAAAACATTTTGCTCATGGCAGCTCTTGACTGCATTAGATATTTTTCCTTTTGCACAGTTGACTGTTCATGGCGCATTCAGGAAGTCACCTGGGTATCCTGGTTGAGCAAGTGATCCGTTTCAAAGAATGGTTATATATGTGGGGTTCCAGTTTTTCAAAGTATTACAGTATAATGTTTGGTTAGCATCAAATCTGTTGTGAACATAATTAAGTCATTGATTCAGACAGCTTTTAAAGGTCTGTTGGAGCACTTCAATCTTAATAAACATTTGCTCTGCCGTAACTGTGCCAAAGATAATAATTACTACAGGCATGACTGGAACATGCTGAGGGCAGTCTAGTTGGGACTCAAATTCAGGAAAAAGATAAACTATAAAGCAATTTTTTCATTACTCTAAATAGAGTAGGTAAGTTTTTTGAATAGATGATAGATTCACGTGACTCAAAAGTCAAAAGGCATGAAAAGGTAGTGTGAAGATAGTGTGAGTCCTACTTGGACTTCTTGCCCAGGTCCCCATCATCCCCCACAATAATATCCATGTGTCTTTTCCCTTGACATAAAATAGGAAGCATGCTCCGCATGCCTTTCTACCCTTGCGTATTACTCCATGGCGTGGATAATGTGTTTAGCTGGTCCTCTCTTGATGGGGGGCCATTTCAGTCTTTTGCTGTTGCAAACACTGCTGCACTGGATACTGAGATTTGTTTGTTTTCTTTCTCTTTCAGGATGAGAGGGCCTTACCAAAAGGAGATTTCTTCCCTCCTGAGCGTCCACAACAACTTCCCCGTAAGTGTTTCAGTGATTAGGGCTGAGAGTTTGAATTGGAGTTACACTAATAAACAGAAAATTACCATATGGTTTCACTTGAACCTGTGCCAGGTTAGCCCTCAGTTCTCTTGGCCAGTTCTTTTCTATAGATTTTTCAGGGTGAGAAATGAGCAGAGATTCACAACTTGAGGATATTGTTAGGATTACCTCATGGTAATCCTAGGATTGTAATACCAGGATGTAGAGGATGTGGTTAGGCATTTTGAAAGTGTCCTGGGGAAGGAAGAATCAGAACCTGTGAAGGGAATGAAAACCAGGCTGCACTCTAATTCAGAAGATACTGGTTAGTCCCATGTGGGCTAGCAGTGCACACTAGACATCTGCACAGAAATTCGCACGCAGATGTTTGCAGCAGGATGAAAGACACATGCTGCAGTGTGGATGAACCTCGATTTCATCTACAGGAAATGCTCCGCATAGATAAATGCATAAAGGCAGAAAGTAGATTAGTGGTTGCCTGAGGCCGGGAAGGAGTAAGTAGGGACGGGACTGCTAATAAGGTTGGATTTCTTTTTTGGGTGATGAAAATGTTCTGGAATTAAATGGTAGTGATAGTTGCATATCTCTGAATATACTAAAAACCACCGAATACTTTGAGTTTTATGGTATGTGAAGTGTCTTGAACAAATAATTTGTATGCAGAGGGGAAAGGGATCAGCTATTTGTGACACCCAGGTGAAAATCTGTCTCGTGACAGGGAAGGCTAGTTGATGGGCTACCACATAGGTAGAAGTGGCAAATATTAGTGCAGAGTCATAGATAAGCCAGAGGCTGGAAGCAAGAACCTCAGTGCATACAGCGGTGGGACGACTCAGGGAATCACTGGCGCAGGTAAAGCTCTCCTGGAGAAGAAAGATGGATGAGGGTGAGAGGCCTGTGTGTGCTGTGCTGGGGTGACCTCCACCAGGCGGGTTGAGGGGGCCTGGTCTGGAGCAGCAGCTCAAGCTCAGGGCCCTACTCACTGAGTTGGATGGGAGCCCAGGCCAGAGCACCTTTGCAGCGTAGCATTATGGCAGCATGACAGATGTATCTTGAAGGGAAATCTGTGGCTTCATGAGAAGGCTCATCTGTTGAAAGGCAACATTAGTTAGAGAAGGATTGCATTTCCTGGACATAACATACTCATTTCCCAAATAAATTGTCAGTGTGCTCACCTGAGCAGTGGTCACCCTGGACCATGGCGATGGCTCTTGTTGACTCTTGTGCTGGAGCAGGAGGAGGAGCACACTGCTCCAGGGAGCCTGTTATCCATGGCTCTTGGTCTCCCGGCCATTTCGGAGGCTTGACTTCAAAGCCTTCAGTGCTTTGGGAGAGTAAGTCACCGTGGCGATCTCTTGCTGCTGTTGCTATGCAATTAAAGATGGAATGTTCATCAGATGAAACGCCTGGGAAGTGGTGGCAGGTTTTATTTACTTTTTAAATGAACTTTGTTTGCTTTCTTTCCTTCCTTTCTTCCTTTTTCTTTCTTTTTGATGGAGTCTCGCTCTGTCGCCCAGGCTGGAGTGCAGTGGTGCGGTCTTGGCTTGCTGCAACCTCCATTTCCTGGGTTCTAGTGATTCTCCTGTCAGCCTTCCAAGTAGCAGCGATTACAGGCATGTGCCACCATGCCAGGCTAATTTTTTTTTTTTTTTAGTAGAGATGGGGTTTTGCCATGTTGGCCAGGATGGTCTCGAACTCCTGACCTCACGTGATCCACCCGCCTTGGCCTCCCAAAGTGCTGGGATTTCAGGCGTGAGCCACTGCGCCTGCCCTTGTTACGATTTTTAAAAGCTTACCTGGTTGTAGTTTAAGCCTCAGATGGTGGTTACCCCAGATATTGCAAGTGTCAGCTCTTTTGGCTGTTTCCAGAGACCAGCCTGTATTTCTGTGTCCCTGTCTGTGTTGGTAGGGCATGGAGTTGAGTGTGGGCTGGGTATCCAGTTGTGGGTTGGGAAGCTTTGGGGGAAGGAAGATAGGTTCTTTGAATACATACATTAGCTTCATTGTTACTAAAACCACCCAGATTCAGAGAGTAGTGGACACCCAGGATGTTGATTGGCTGGTTTGTAACGTGTTTTTTCATGAGAAACATCCTTTGGGCTACTAGGGATTGGGCACATTTGTGCTGCTTGCCACCTGATGTCTTGAGTCACCTTTTTTGATCAGACAGTTCTCAGTCCATGGGTTAGTGAAACAAATAGGCTCTCAAGAATCTTAGTGTGGGGGTTGTTAACTTTCCCGTGTTGGTTTTCAGCCGCCTTTGTTGTATACACACATATCCCAAACGCCGGAACAAGGCTCTGTTTCCAAGTGTGCCGATGTTGAATTTTGCATTGGGCCCTGAGGTCACTGGTGGGTGGGGGTGGGTAGGCTGAAGTGGATAGCTGCAACTCACTAAACACTCTTTTCCTTTGAGGGTCAAGGTTTGCTAAATAGGGGAAAACTAAGCTTCTTTCTCTTTTCTTTCCAGATGGCCTTGGTGGTATTGGCATGGGGTTAGGACCAGGAGGGCAACCCATTGATGCCAATCACCTGAATAAAGGCATCGGAATGGGAAACATAGGTCCCGCAGGTGAGAATGACAGTGCACCTTGCTTGGTGGTTTGGGGAAGTGAAAATTATTAATTATTGGGACAACTGGACTTTGAGTAGTTTAAATGGAATAAATATTTAACTGGGACAAAATTCCCTCCTTATTCATCTCTGCCTCATTTTGAATAAAGGCAGTATTTTGTATTTTTATCAAGTTGAGTCATTTTTTAAAAAGTCATTATGCTTTTTCATTGTAACCTGACAACAACCTTCTAAGCTGAAATAGTTGTGCCATTTGATAAGAGGAGGCAAGCCAGAGAGTTGATCTTGCTCAAGGTCACACTGTCAGTTACTGACAGGCTGCAGGTCTCCTGACCACGGGACCATAGCACTGCCGCAGTGCCCTGAAAAGTGTCTTACCAAGACCCCTTTGGGCCCTCCTGGTGTTTGCACAGCTGCTGCTAGAGAGCTAGGGGCATTGATAGATGCAAAAAAGGTGGAGAGGCCAGGCACGGTGGCTCACGCCTGTAATCCCAGCACTTTGGGAGGCCGAGGTGGGCGGATCACAAGGTCAGGAGTTTGAGACCATCCTGGCCAACATGGTGAAACCCCATCTCTACTAAAAATAAAACAATTAGCCGGGCGTGGTGGCGCACGCCTGTAATCCCAGTTACTCAAGAGGCTGAGGCAGGAGAATTGCTTGAACCCGGGAGGCGGAGGTTGCAGTGAGCTGAGATCACATGACTGCACTTCAGCCTGGCAACAGAGCGAGAGTCCGTCTCCAGAAAAAAAAAAAAAAAAAAAACCTGCATGAAAGCTTTGATGTGTAGAATAAACTCAGGCTTTGCTGTTTAGCATTTTCATTGCTGTGTAATGATGTATTTTGATTCTATTAAGGAATATGTCATTTTTATGACCTTAGACTTTGGTCTTTGTTGGAATCCTTTGAAATTGGAATATGGAAGCCCCTCTATCCCACCATTGTCAGTGTTGCATATCCCTAGACTCTCTTCCAGAGTCACCCTGGGGCTGACTTAAATTCTGGGCCACAACTTCAAATGGCTGTTAACGTTTCCCCCGACCCAAAACACACACACCCCATGTCTGACATCTAAACAGAAAGACTGGGGGTTGGGGAGGAAGTCTTGGTGTTTTTAGGAACTGGTTTTTATTTTGAAGATTTTACCTTTAACAGGGATTGATTTATTGAGACGGAATTTTGCTCTTGTTGCCCAGGCTGGAGTGCAGTGGCTCAATCTCAGCTTACCGCACTCAATCTCTGCCTCCTGGGTTCAAGTGATTCTCCTGCCTCAGCCTCCCAAGTAGCTGGGATTACAGGCATGTGCCACCACACCCAGCTAATTTTTTGTATTTAGTAGAGACAGGGTTTCACCATGTTGGTCAGGCCGGGCTGGAACTCCTGACCTCAGGTGATCCACCCGCCTCGGCTTCCTGAAGTGCTGGGATTACAGGCGTGAGTCACCACGCCCACCCTTAACAGGGATTCTTAAAAAAAATCTACTTCTGTTCCCTAAAATTTTCTAAAAAGTTTATGTTCCATAGAATGTGTCTTATAATTCTATTTCATGTTTAATACTGCCTAACTTGAGGCCTGGTGTGGTGGCTTATGCCTGTAATCCCAGCAATTTGGAGGCCGAGGGTTTGAGACTAGTCTAGGCGACATAGACTCCATCTCTACAAAATATAAAAAAAATCAGCCAGGTGTGGTGGCGTAGTCCCAGCTACTTGGGAGGCTGAGGCAAGAGGATCACTTGAGCCTGGGATGTTGAGGCTGTAGGGAGCTGTGACCATGCCACTGCATTCCAGCCCCAGTGACAGAAGGAGACCCTGTCTCAAAAACAAAAAAAACACAAAAACCCTGCCCGACTGGGTCATTAAAGTATGTAGATCCCTCAGAAAAAGATTAGCCAGGCGTGGTAGCAGGCGCCTGTAATCTCAGCTAGTCGGGAGGCTGAGGCAGGAGAATTGCTTGAACCCGGGAGGTGGAGGTTGCAGTGAGCCAAGATTGTGCCATTGCATTCCAGCCTGGGTGACAGAGCAATACTGTGTTTAAAAAAAAAAAAAATAGCTATATGATATTTGACAGTTGAAATGGTAAGGGCTTTTTTTCTTGCTGATTAAAATATATAAAATATACTTGTCATCAGGGATTTTCTTTTGAGTTCTTTTGCTGGTTTGGAATTATGCTTTTTAAGTTCAAACGTTATTTACTGCTTTGACATAATTTTAGTTTGCATTGACTTTTTCTTTTTAAGGAATGGGAATGGAAGGCATAGGATTTGGAATAAATAAAATGGGAGGTAAGAAATTTAAAATGAAGTACAAGCATAATCACTTTTAGGCATAGTTTTCTCTCTTTCCTCTTTTCTTTCTTGTTTAAACCCTGCATGAAATTCTCTTTGGTTTCAGTTTGAGTCTAGAAATGACTTCCTCCTGCCTGTCCATCCTTCCAGCGGGTGTCTTGGCTTTTGGTTCTGGCTGTCTCACTAACTAGCTCTGTGACCTTGGGCAGACCACTCCATCTCTATGCCTCTTTTTGCTTGTCTATTCATTGAGGGGGTTGGATCAGACCAGCTTTTTGAAGATGGGTGATTTTTAAACAAGGGTGCTAGCATTTTTTTTGTTTTTCAAAAGCCTTTAAACTTGGTAAGTTCTTGGCAGAAGATACCCCAGTTGAAACATGTGATAGAATTTTTCTTTCCCTGCTTAGTCTAAGCAGTCTTGTTGGATGATGCTGAAATGTGAACCTCTCTTGCAGGAATGGAGGGGCCCTTTGGTGGTGGTATGGAAAACATGGGTCGATTTGGATCTGGGATGAACATGGGCAGGATAAATGGTAAGCATCGTGTTTTCTTCCTGCTTTCACTCACCCTTTGCCGGCTGTTGCCTCTCAGGTGACTTTTAGGCTGCAGACCCACTGAATAAGTGGTTTCTCACTTCTGCTTTTCAACCGAATCAAATGTCTTTTGAATTGCCTTAAATATTTCAAAAACTAGACATAATAGTAGACTTACTTCACTTGGTCGCTAGTCTTTTGAGATGTCCTGTGTTCCCAAGCTCTGCAGTAATTTTCGAGTACAGTGTTAAAAAGCATGTACACGTTCGTGGTTATGGTCTCCGAGTATGAGGGATTCTTTAAAGTTTGTAATCAAGTTTGTCTCTGGGAGTGCTGCAAAGGGTTGTTCTTGGTCATCTGCCCCAGCTACAAGTTGTCTATAGAGGCGTTAATAAAAATCACAGGCTCTTTTAATTTAGCATTTACATAATGCAAATTCTGGTTTAGTATAATTCAAATCCTCCACCAACTTTTTTTTTTTTTTTTTTGAGACAGGGTCTCACTCTGTCACCTAGGCTGGAGTGCAATGGTGCGATCTTGGCTCACTGCAACCTCCGCCTCCCAGGTTCAAGTGATTCTCCTGCCCCAGCCTCCTGAGTAGCTGGTATTACAGGTGTGTGCCACCATGCCTGGATAATTTTTATATGTTTAGTAGAGTCGGAGTTTCACCATGTTGGCCAGGCTGGCCTCGAACTCCTGACTTCATGTGATCCGCCCGCCTCAGCCTCCCAAAGTGCTGGGATTACAGGCGTGAGCCACCGTGCTCGGCACCTGCCCCCAACTTTTTAGCAGAAATATAATAATATAATAACAATGTAGTATTTCATTTAGTCCTTGTGAGAACCACATGATATGTACATACTGCTATCCTTGTTTCATCTGAAACTGAGGCACAGAGAGTGACATGCCTAGGTCAAGTGACTGGTAAACAGTGGTGCCTGCATGTGAACCCAGGCTGTCTGGCTCCAGAGCCTGGCACTTCATCATGTGGGAATCCTGCCTTTTAGAAGTGCCTCCAGCACAGCACTTGGCCCAGGGCACCAGCAGGGCTGTAGAGTGTGCATGAGAAATTGTAAATTTTCCTTTTTGAAATCCTTTATGTGTTGGTGACTCTTTGACCTTCCCCTTCACTGCAGGAAAGCTGCTGCTTTTTTACACAGAAACTTTCTTGGACTGAGAAGTCATTAGGGATTTAGGTATAAACCTTCCTTTGCGGGTCTGCCATAACAAAGGATGTGAAAATGGTACAAGGACAGACATCATTGTCAGGCTTGAAAGGCGGCTGTCCCTGATGATCAGGCCCTTCTTCCGGTGCACAGGGAGCAGTGGGGCATGATGTGTGTTGCCCTCTTCATGGGTGCCTTGTTCTAGAAGCTGGTAAAAGGATGTAGGAAAGTTGTCACCATTAGTAATAAAGCAACAGAGGTCTGCGTTTCCAGTGTACATTCAAGCTTGCCTGTAACTTGTGTGTGCATGGGATTTTAATTTTTAAAAAAAGTTTCAGAAATCTGGCTTGGTAAAATGTTACTCAGAGCAGATTAGTCTGGGTGTGCTGGCTCACGCCTGTAATCCCAACACTTTGGGAGGCTGGGGTAAGAGGATTGCTTGAGCTCAGGAGTTCAAGATCAGCCTAGGCAACACTGCGAAACCCCATCTCTCTCTTTTTTTTTTTTTTTTTTTTTTTTAAGAACAGATTAGTCATTAGGGAATTTGAGTTGTTGCTGTGAGGAGTAGAGTGATGCAGTTTAGAAGTAGATGGAAATCAGGATGGGTTGGCCTGGGAGCTGTGCTGAGCCGTGTGACACAGTCGATGGTGAACTGGCAGGTGTAATCTCGCAGTCAGGATTCAGAGCCTGGGGTACGCGGTGGCAAAGGATTCCAAGTGCTGATTCTCTGGAGAACCACAAATGGAGTGTGTTTTCCTAGACTGTTCTTAGATGTTCTGAGATACGGCACTCGGAGTGCTCCCCACACCCTCTACAGCTGAGAACAGGGACTCCTTCCCACTTGACCAGCATTCTTTGGTTTGGGTGGGATGAGCTCTAGAGCCCTTGGGCACTGCAAGGAAACTGTACATCACACTGGAGGAAGAATTGAAGCAGACGTTTGGGTTTAATGAAATGTTAATTCATGACTAGAGTGTAGCCATTATGGTCATGGGTGCTCCCATCAGACTGCTGGTCATGCAGGTTCCCAGGACCCACACTCAGCATGAGTCAAATCTTGATAGAGTGGCTATAAAAATGTAAATCAAAAGATTGTTAAATGTCGGCCAGGCGCGGTGGCTCACACCTGTAATCCCAGCGCATTGAGATTAATGTTAAAAAAAAAAAAAGAGAGATTGTTAAATGTCAAAAACTGACTGTAGTGAGGCAGTGTTTGACAGTGAAAATGCTACCCTTTGTGGGTGTAAATTGGAGTTCACGGTGCTCCCTGAGCTCTGGGGCCCTGTTGACAGCCAGTAAGATGAGTTATGAGGTCCTTGCCAACATGCTGATGCCAGCCTGTGGCATGCTTGTCTGGAGTGGGGTGCTGCCTTCTTGCAGACAGGTGGCAGGATGGAAGGAGAGCAGCAGAACTCCATGAGGATGCCGCTGCGGGGCTGCAGGGTTCTGTCCCTGCCGCCGTCCCCCCCACCCTCCCACCACCACCGACTCCTGGGCTCTGCTATCCAGCAGATAGCACCCATGAGGAGCATGCTGACCCATGAGGTCACTTGGGTTAATTCAAACTAGGAATGTTAAGCCCACCATTGGCAGCCAGTCCTTGTTAATTCATAATGTGCTGCTGCTGCCACATCTCTAATGGAATTGCTTATTTTATTGAAAGATAGGGACTCTGGCTGTATAATGCAAGGTGTTCATTACATCGCACCTATCTTACCTGACATTTCTAAGGAGTGAGATGATTAATAACTAGATTCTTCAAGGCCCTCTCAGCATGGGAGGGAGAGATTCTTCAAGGACCTCGCAGCATGAAAAGTGTGATCCCCATTTCAGCCTGCGTGAGATGGATGCACAAGGAAAGAAGTGGCCAGCAGTAGGAATCACGAAAGGCTTATCAAGCAAGTGACCACTGTGGTGGGCCTTTCCCGGCAGAAGCTAGGACCTTTGTTTTAAAAGACATTGTAAGGCTGGGTGTAGTGGCTCACACCTGTTATCCCAACACTTTGGGAGGCTGAGGCAGGAGGATCACTTGAGCTCAGGAGTTCAAGACCAGCCAGGGCAACATAGTGAGACCTCCTCTCTACAAAAAATAAAATTAGCCGGGCATGATGCCGTACACCTGTGCTAGCTGCCTGGGAAACTCAGGTGGGAGGATGACTTGAGCCCAGGAGGTCGAGGCTGCAGTGAAGCATGATCACGCCACTGCATTCCAGCTTGGGAGCTTGGGTTGACAGAGTGAAACCCTGTCTCAAAAAAAAAAAAAAAAAAAAAAAAAAAAAAAAAGAACCTTACAAAATATGAGAAAGTTGTGACCCAAACCCCGTTATGTAGATGCAGCCACTGCAGTTGTCAGCAGAGAGGTCTTTCTGTGCAGACATACGTCTCGCCATGCACACGCATTTCTGTGTTAGGGCACAGGCTTCTGTATTAGAGGATGGGCTTCTGCACTGGATTTGAGTCCCAGCCTTTGCCTCACCTCTCACCAGCATGTGACCTTGGTCAAGTTACTAAATTGTGTGAGCCTCAATTTCTTTTTAAAGTGGTAGTGGTGGTGGAGGGTAACAGGCGTGCGTGGCATGGTTGTGAAGAGTTGATGGAATTATACACAAAGCCTTTGGGGTAGGGCATGTGTTGAGTGCCTAGTAGGTGTTACCTTCTGCAGCCTACGTTTGATTTAGCTGCACTGCAGGGGACCTCTTGGTTACTGTGGTAGCGAATGCTTGGTGTACCCAGTATTGTGGTTTGTGTGGCTGTAATGGAAGTTGTTCATTGGTCCTTGATGGACTTATGTTAGGTAGGTTGTTCAGGGATTCAGTTGCAGTGACTTTGTTTTTTAGGGAATGAAGAATGAATAATGGTTTCCTGCAGAAGAGTTAAACATGCTGACTTGGTGGTGGCTGTCGTGTGTATACATTTTGTTTTGTTTTTGATGTCTCAGACACAGTGGTATTCCTGGAAAGGCCTAGGGTGATTTTTCCACAGAGATGGAGCGTGGCATGGGTGGAGGACTTGAAAGAGACTTTGCCAGGAAGGAGATGGGGATATCTCGAAGCTTTGGAGAGCCTCTTGGCAGAGGAATGAGTAAGAAGGCCCAGTGGGCCTCAGTGGCTGGGGTCCGCCCTCTGGGGTGCAGGCTGCCAGGGTTTACCTGATGTCCCTGCTCTCTTAGAGTCAGCTGGTTTTTTTTAAGCTTTTAAAAAAGATGTTGTTTTAGACCTAGGTAAAAAATTTAGGTCTTTTAGTGTTTTATTGCTATATCAGTAGCATTATTTGTCTTTAAGTCTTTTCAGATGGCTTTTTAAAAAATTGGCATAAGGTTGTGCAGGCTGTGGGAATGGAAACTGCTGCGTGTACTTGACTTTCTGGCCCCCTAGGCCTGGAGAGTGTTTCATGGCCCTCTGGCTCCCTAGGCCTGGAGCGTGTTTCAAAGCCCTGCTAATTGGGGCAGGAGTTTCCTTACCCCAGGGTGCTGTGGTGTCCAGTCCAGTTAGCAGGATGGAGTGAGTTGTGCACTTGCTGATGCCTTTGACAGAGGCATCTAGACCGACTAGAGAGGTTTTCTAAAGTTGGAAGGTCTTGAGTATTTAGGCCTATCCGTATGCAGAGAAATTATTTTTTCAGTTTTGGTTAGGTGGCAGAGCAATTTCCTCCTCTTTTTTCTTTCTTTCTTTTTTTTTTTTTTTTTTTTTTTTCAAGACAGAGTCTCGCTTTGTTGCCCAGGCTGGAGTGCAATGGTGCGATCTCAGCTCACTGCGGCCTCCACCTCCCGGTTTCAAGTGGTTCTCCTGCTTCAGACTCTTGAGTAGCTGGCACTGCCGCCACCACACCCAGCTAATTTTCTTGTATTTTTAATGAGATAGGGTTTCACTGTGTTGGCCAGGCTGGTCTTGAGTCCTGACCTCAAGTGATCCACCTGCCTCTGCCTCCCAAAGTGCTAGGATTACAGGTGTGAGCCATCACGCCAGGTCTGTTGATGTCCATTTTATGTTAGCTGTATTCTTCAAATTTATGAAGGCCCTAGAAAGGTGGTCATTAGATTCATCCTTCAGCTCATCAGAGGGGCAAGATTCTTTTTTAATACAGTCTCTCCCTGTCATCTGGGCTGGAGTACAGTGGGTATGATCTCACTGTAGCAGGCTGAAGCAATCCTCCTACCTTTGCCTCTGAGTGGCTAGGAACACAGGCACATGCCACCATGCCCAGCTAATTTATTTTTTTGTAGAGACAGAGTGTATGTTGCCCAGGCTTATTACAAATTCCTGGGCTCAAGTGATCCTCCCGCCTTGGCCTCCCAAGGTGCTGGGGTTATAGGCAACAGCCACTATGCCTGGCCAGCGGTGTATTTAAAAAAAAAAAAAAAAATTTTTTTTTTTTTTTTTTTTGCGACAGAGTCTCGCTCTATTGCCCAGGCTGGAGTGCAGTGGCACAATCTTGGCTCACTGAAAGCTCTGCCCCTCCAGGTTTAAGCTGTTCTCTGCCTCAGCCTCCAGAGTAGCTGGGATTACAGGCGCGTGCCCCCATGTCCGGCTAATTTTTTGTATTTTTGTAGAGATGGGGTTTCACCATCTTGGCCAGGCTGGTCTTGAACTCGGGACCTCGTGATTCACACGCCTCGGCCTCCCAAAGTGCTGGGATTACAGGCATGAGCCACCGCACCCGGCCAAAGAAATATTTTAAAACTTACTGGCCGGGCGCGGTGGCTCATGCCTGTATTCCCAGCACTTTGGGAGGCCGAGGCTGGTGAATCACGAGGTTAGGAGTTCAAGACCAGCCTGGCCAATGTGGTGAAACCCCGTCTCTACTAAAAATACAAAAATTAGCCGGGCATGGTGGCGGGTGCCTGTAATCCCAGCTACTTGGGAGGCGGAGGTTGCAGTGAGCCGAGGTCAAACCACTGCACTCCAGCCTGGGTGACAGAGTGAGACTCCATCTCAAAAAAAAAAAAAAAAATTAAAACTTACTGTCATTTGCCTGCAAATACTAATTTGTGGATAGCTATGGCAAGAATAGATGGCATGTGGCTGGGCAGGTGGATTACAAGGTTAGGAGTTTGAGACCAGCCTGGCCAACATGGTGAAACCCCGTCTCTACTACAAACACAAAAAATTTAGCCGGGCGTGGTGGTGCATGCTGTAATCCCAGCTATTCAGGTGGCTGAGGCAGAATTGCTTGAACCTGGGAGGTAGAGGTTGCAGTGAGCCGAGATGACACCACTGCACTCTAGCCTGGGCGACAGAGTGAGACTCTGTCTCAAAATTAAAAAAAAAAAAAAGGCATCTTTACTTCTGTAGGAACTTTTTCTTGCTAAGAGCCTTCAGCTTCTTGCCACTCTGCAGCACCTCTCGCCTAATTCCGCTTTTTGGAGTGGCACATGAGTGGCACAGAGAGGTGGATGTGGGCTTCTTGCCTTTGAGGTCACTTCATGTGGCCACAGGAAACTGTTCCTGTCCTGACCGGCAGGGCGCCACCTCTCCCGCTGCGGTTACACCTTCTTTCTGATTGGGACTGTGCGATCTCTGTCCCGGAATTCCCTCCTGCCGCTGTGATCAGACCTACATGAGTAAGGTGATCTCGTCAGGTTCTCAGAGTGGTTGGGTTGGTTTTTCAAGATTCAATTCTTGACCTCTTTCCCGTGTCCTTTGCCATGAGAGGTGAACCATTGTGGTGCTCCTTTCCATAGTGCTTTCCTACTCGGTGCCCCTTCCTGTGCCTAGGCAGTAGATCTTTGCACTCCTTTGTGCAAACAGCTGTACTTGCTGCTTCAAAAATTTGGATAGGCCTGTGGTCTTTGGCCTTCAAGGATGAGGTGTAGCTGAGGCGATACTAAGGGTGGCTTGGGACATCGCCAGAGGTCTGTGCATCCAAGTGGCCTAGTGAGGACGCTGGTGGAGACGTTGGTTGCCAGATGCTGCTCAGGGCATTGGCTCTGCTAGGGGGCTCAGCAGGCTTGGCACAGGCAGCAGGTGTGCGCAGATAGAGCGGCTGGCGGCGGTGGGTGCAGGTCTCTGTGAGGCAGGGGAGGAGCATGGGCAGAACAGGCTCCAGTTGTGGTCTGTGGGGAGGCCTGTGAATGCCGATGGGAGAATTCCGCCATTCTCTGCAAATCAGTGGCATGTTGGTTGAAAGCTTTTGCAGCTGTCTTGCAGGTGTGTTAGTTGGAAGCTTGATCTAGTTCAGGGGTGTGCACGGGAGAATATAGTCATGGGTTCTCAGTTGGTTTCTGTTTGGGTCAGTAAAGCCCCTTATCCCTCTTTTCCACTTATTACTAGAGACAGAAACTTAAAAACCATGGTTTCAGGCTGCCAAAAAGCCTAAAACAGAACAAAGCAAAGTAAGACGTGTTGGACAAGCTTGGTCTAGGTGCTGGAAAGCCAGCCTCGGCTCAGGCATGCCGGGCAGGATCGCAGGCGTCCCGGGAGAATGAGCTGTACCTGCTGGTAGACTGAAGTCTGTGTCTCTTGGTGAACTTTCCCACCTTGTCCCACAGCAGTTAGTTGGGATATAAGAAGCAGCTGTGTGGGGTGCAGGTGCTTTTGTTGTTGTTGTTGTTTGGTGTCTTTTTTTTTTTTTTTTTTTTTCTTAGAGACAGAGTCTCACTCTTGCCCAGGCTGGGGTGCAGTGGCACGATCTCGGCTCACTGCAACCTCTGCCTCCAGGGTTCAAGCGATTCTCCCGCCTCAGCCTCCTGAGTAACTGGGATTACAGGCACCTGCCATCATACCCGGCTAATTTTTAGTAGAGACGGGGTTTCACCATGTTGGCCAGGCTGATCCTGACCTCAGGTGATCCACCCGCCTTGGCCTCCCAAAGTGCTGGGATTACAGGCATGAGCTACTGCGCGGCCGGGGGACAGGTTTTAATGGCTTTGTGGCCGTGGTCATAAAGCGAAATGTGCCTCGTGGCTAATGTCCAAGTTGCTGAGCATATACTTTGAGACCAGAGCGGGTGGGTACAAGTGTCTTCTACATAGCAAAAGATGGACCAGAAGCTTGGAAAGGTAATGCTATGATAGCATCAGACAAACCTTAAAGAGGTGTGGGTGCACCGTGGGCAAGTGAGCAGCAGCACTGTGTTTGGGATACTTGGTGGGGGGTGCAATTTAGGTATTTTCCTGAAACCTTATCTGTTGCCTAGTCACAGCACACCCAGCTCATTTCAGGCAAGGCTGGCATGCTCAAGGATTTCCGCGCAGAGCTCATTTGTTAGCGTTGAGGTTGTCCGTGGAGCTGCAGCTTTAATTTGCTCTATGATAATGAGAGGTGCCTCTGGGTGGATAAATGTGGGCTCCAAGTGGGTGATGCTGGGCGGTCTTCTGAACAAGAAGTTGGCTGGGGTGGGGGTGGGGGCTTACTTTCCAGCTCAGGGGAGGCAAGGAAGCCTCAGTCCTGAGAGCCTGGACCAGCTTTAGAAAACTGCCGCTGAGCGAGACCCGATGGCCCTCTTCTTGCTCTGGCTCTCAGTTCATGAATGCATATGACTCCTATCTCTGCTGGGCGCATTCGCAGGTGACCCCGCACGCTGGGCCTCAGACTCTGGAGCTACGTGGGGTCTTGGCATCGTGACCCAGCATCAAGGACTCTCCTAGTTCTCTGTAAAATGATCTTGTCTGTGCGTGTGTTTCTCAAACCCCTTTCCCTTTATCTTGTCATTTTTATTAGTAGTATTTCTACTCTGGAATCTGTAATGAGCACATTTCTATTGCCATAGAGGAATTTGGCTAATTTTTTTTTCTTCCTGATTTCCTTAGAAATCCTAAGTAATGCACTGAAGAGAGGAGAGATCATTGCAAAGCAGGGAGGAGGTAGGAACCGCTTAGTTTGATGTTTTGTTTTTTTAGAACAGGCTGTTATCGCTGGGGACTGTAGAGCTTAGTGGTGAGAAGTGCGGGTTCTGACACAGACTGCCCGGGGTGGGAGCAGCTCTGCCTTTTTCTAGCTGTGTGACGTTTGGCAAGTCACTGAACCTCTCTGTTTCTCATAGCACTCATTTGTAAAATGGGGGTGTAATAGTACCTGCCTCAGGGATGCTGTGGAGAGTGAATGCATGTGAAAGAGTGCTTCCGCACGTGCTGTGCACAGGCCGACCATCTTCATTGTTAGAGTACCTCTCTTTTGGGGGTTTTGTTTTCCACATTATAAATTCCTAAAAGTAAATATATTTTCCTTAGACTTGATGATAAGACTGAAAGCACACCACCCAACAAGTAATAAATGCTTGTAAAATAGATAAATGTACTCATTAGGAAAATATGAAGAAAGTATGGTCTGAAACCCCATCGCCCAGTGATGACTGCCGGAAACATTTTGTTCTGAATCTTTCATTCATACACAGCTTTATGGATACTGAGAACAAAATGTACTTTTTGAGCATTTTTGGAGACAGTCTCGCTCTGTCTCCCAGGCTGGAGTGCCGTGGTGCAGTCTCTGCTCACTGCGGCCTCAACTTCCCAGGCCTAAGCGATTCTCCCACTTTAGCCTCCCAAGTAGCTGGGACTACAGGCGTGTGCCACCTGGTTTGGCTAATTTTTTGATTTTTTTTGTAGAGATGGCATTTTGACATGTTACCCAGGCTTATCTCAAACTCCTGGCCTCAAGTGACCTGCATACCTCCAGAGTGCTGGGATGACAGATGTGAGCCACCACACCTGGCCCAAATGTACTTTTTCAGCCTGATTTTCCCTCTGAGTATCTTGGCATCTCACCTCCTGACTTCTGTGTTGGGCTGGCTCTGGAGCTCCACGCTGGTACCATTTCCTCCCATTTCTTTTTTTTTTTTTTTTTTTGAGAGACGGAGTCTCACTCTGTCGCCCAGGCTAGAGTGCAGTGGCACGATCTCGGCTCACTGTGACCTCCGTCTCCTGGGTTCAAGCGATTCTCCTGCCTCAGCCTCCCAAGTAGCTGGGACTACGGGCGCACGCCACCATACCCAGCTAATTTTTGCAATTTTAGTAGAGATGGGGTTTCACCATGTTGGCCAGGCTGGTCGCGAACTCCTGACCTTGTTCCGCCCGCCTTGGCCTCCCAAAGTACTGGGATTACAGGCATGAGCCACCACACCCAGCTGCCCCACCTCATTTCTGATGCCTTTGGGCAAAGTGCCCATTCTCGCTAGGTTCCTTATACTGTGGGGAAGTTCTGAGACGTCTCCCCTCTGAAAGTCACACATTCTTAGAGTCGGGCCTGCTTTGGCCGCTCACTGTGTGCTGTGCAGCTAGAGAAGCAGGCGCGGTGTGGCCAGTTACAGAGCCAGTTAGAGAAACTGCCCAGTTTCCTCTTGAATTGGTATCTTTGACTAGGCTGCTTGGGTCGGTCACAGGCTGGCTCTGGGCTGATGGCCACTCTCAGAGGCAAGCGACAGGGTTTCGGGGAGGAGCCCCAAACTCGGCATGTGGAAAGGGGTGGCCTTGCTGACGGAGCCAGACCCTGCTTTCCAGAGTTGCAAGCACCACGGGTGGGGGCGTCCCTTCGTTCTGCTGACTGACCCCCAGCCGCTACCAGAGCCCACTCTGCAGTGCCATCAACATCTTCTTTCCAAAGCCAGCAAGTCATTTGGTTTCCCTGACAATAGGGTCCCCAAAAGTGGCCAGCTGTGTGCATTTGTACACAGAGGATCTCTCGGTGTGTGTTTTTTTGACCTCTGCTTGATGGTGTGGCCGAAAATCCTTTCTCTGTGCCCTGGGAGCGCTGAGGAAATGCAGCCAGAGTGGCCCCCAGCAGAGCATCCTAGAGGGACAGGCTGGGAGGGGAAGGTGGGAGTGACTCCGACTTGTCTCCACATAACTCCTGTTCATTACCCTGGGTGGCCCCCCGAGTGGGGGGTGTCCATGCCTCCCCCTGGAGCATTTCTCAGTGTCTGCTGATGGAGAAACCTCAGATGTCTCAGGAATTGACGTCCATGGTTCACAAAGCTTGTCACAGACACTAGCACCTCACAGACACACATACAGGGGTGTTCTTTAGAAGTTGTGTTATGGAAATCTCAGCTGTGGCATAGAGCAGAGAGAATGCTGGGAGGCCCCCATGTGCCCACCACACAGCTGTAGCTGTTGTCAACATTTGAGGGGTGTCTTAATGGTAAATTATGGTGGGCCTTTACCCCTGATCCATGCCCATGAGCTGAAGTGGTCTGGCGTGTTGTGCACACGCACACTCAAGTTCTTGACACCCACCTGTGTTTTGTGTCCCTGTTTCAGGTGGAGGTGGAGGAAGCGTCCCTGGGATCGAGAGGATGGGTCCTGGCATTGACCGCCTCGGGGGTGCCGGCATGGAGCGCATGGGCGCGGGCCTGGGCCACGGCATGGATCGCGTGGGCTCCGAGATCGAGCGCATGGGCCTGGTCATGGACCGCATGGGCTCCGTGGAGCGCATGGGCTCCGGCATTGAGCGCATGGGCCCGCTGGGCCTCGACCACATGGCCTCCAGCATTGAGCGCATGGGCCAGACCATGGAGCGCATTGGCTCTGGCGTGGAGCGCATGGGTGCCGGCATGGGCTTCGGCCTTGAGCGCATGGCCGCTCCCATCGACCGTGTGGGCCAGACCATTGAGCGCATGGGCTCTGGCGTGGAGCGCATGGGCCCTGCCATCGAGCGCATGGGCCTGAGCATGGAGCGCATGGTGCCCGCAGGTATGGGAGCTGGCCTGGAGCGCATGGGCCCCGTGATGGATCGCATGGCCACCGGCCTGGAGCGCATGGGCGCCAACAATCTGGAGCGGATGGGCCTGGAGCGCATGGGCGCCAACAGCCTCGAGCGCATGGGCCTGGAGCGCATGGGTGCCAACAGCCTCGAGCGCATGGGCCCTGCCATGGGCCCGGCCCTGGGCGCTGGCATTGAGCGCATGGGCCTGGCCATGGGTGGCGGTGGCGGTGCCAGCTTTGACCGTGCCATCGAGATGGAGCGTGGCAACTTCGGAGGAAGCTTCGCAGGTTCCTTTGGTGGAGCTGGAGGCCATGCTCCTGGGGTGGCCAGGAAGGCCTGCCAGATATTTGTGAGAAATGTAAGTGGCTCTTGGGGAACTTCTTGGTGGTGGTGAGCATGAGGGGACAGGGGAGGCAAAGATCAGCAGGATGAAGTCAGAGGTGGCGCCCTTCAAAGGGGACCACACCTCCTTGCCACTGTCCCAAACGTTTTATGCTAGTGGGACAAGTAAGGAATGTGAGAACTGTGGGTTCTGGAAGAGCCTGGGCTTCTCCACTGTGCTAGAATATGGAGCAGACGCTGAGCTCAGAGACTCCAGTTTCTGATTGGTTGGCTTGAAGAGGCACTATGTGTTGCACGATGGTCCAGGGAAAGAAGTGGCTGTAACGGAATTATTTTCCCCAGCTCAGCCACCCTTAGCCACTATTTAGTGACTGTGGGCTGCGCACCGCAGGCCTGAGTGTCCCATCCTGCACGGTGCTCCCACAGGCAGAGCCCCAGGGAGGGAGCTGGCTGTGCCGCTTCACAGCCTTGTCCCACATGTATCTATTAGTTTCCTGCTGATCGCCTCAGTCTGAAGGGCAGCCAGCTTCTCGGTATAGTGAGAAATCTAGCATGGCCCTCAGAGCCAGCTGCAAGGCATGCCTTAGGATTTGGTTTAATCACGCATCAGTCTCCCTTTTCTTCTCCCCTTCAGCTGCCATTCGATTTCACATGGAAGATGCTAAAGGACAAATTCAACGAGTGCGGTAAGTGTTGGGAACGGCTTTGTAGGTGCTTCCCTCGTGCTTGTTGGTGACGCAGCCGAGTCAGCAGCAAAACCTCCCTCCCAGCCCCCTCCGTCGGCTCAGGACCCATGGCCTTGCCATGTTCTGCCCACGCCAATGCTCAGGCAGGTTGTTGAGTGTCCTGTGATGTGTCACATGTTTTTCAGCTGTGTTCTCATTTCATCCTTACTTCCTTTTTTCTTTTTGAGTCTTTGAAACAAGGTAGTAGTGTCCCCATTTCACAGATGAGTCAGGCAGAGTCTTCCTTCTGAGGTTACCTGGCTTCTAGGTGGCAAGGCTAAATAAATACATCCCAGACGAGGTCGCTTTCCCCTCAGCACAGCTGGTGTGGGGCCTCGGAGAGAACACAGCCCAGCAGGTGCCATGGGGAGGCGGTGCAGGCTCTGGGCACACAGCAGCTCCTGTGAGGGTGAGGCTAAGGTCTTGTGGTTTCCTGGCACATCGGGCAACTCTTCTGGAGGGCTCTGTCTGTGGCTGAAAGCAAGTTGTCTTCCTTCCCTGCCCTCCAGGGTGAGCCCCCACCCCGCATGCACCACCTCTGTTCTTTTTAGCTAGAGGGGCCTGAGCTAGAGGTCTGGGCAGCTGCTTCCGCACTGTCCTCCCGCTTCCTGTTTCAGCAGTGGCTCCGATTTCACCACCATTGCTGCTTCTCCATGGTTCTTGGGGCAAGCCGTTGAGTCATGATCTGCCTCTTTGCTCCATTCTTCACCTCTTTCCCCACTCCTGAGTTCCCATGTTGTAGCTAGATATTCTGAAAAGGCCAGTGGGATCACAGCGCCCCCAGCCCCCACTTTTGCAATGCCTGGAGCGGCCCTGTGCCTTCAAGAGGAAGTCCAGACTCACAAGCCCCTTGAAGACCTGGTCCTATCCTCCTCCATCTCCCTCCTGTCCCAGAACCTGAGCGGCAAGTGCTGCACGTGTCCCGCAATGCTCTCGTGTGAGCCAATTACTGGCAAGTCTTCTTTCTGGTGAATTTCTGTGTAAGCTCACTCAGAACTTGCCCCTGAGGACCCCTCCACCCTACCTGCCCTGGGCCCTCTCTTAGGCACTGAGTTCCCACCTCTGGCATTGTGGCCCTACCACCTTTGGTACTCCTGGAGTAGAGCCTTTGCCCTCTAGGGCTCTGTCCACGGCGTTGACACATATCTGGATGCTTAACGGGTGCTCAAATGAATAAGTGAAACCTGCTGGCTTTCATTTGGACAGTACAGACGTGTCCATTGGATTGCGGATGGCTTTGTAACCAGGGGCGGTGGCATATCAAAAATGAAGACTTTGTAAAATGTATGGGAACTTTCTGCCTATAAAGCTGGCTTTACACTGCGCCTTCTTTTTTGAACTTCCTGAAGCGTAAAGGCGTGCATTGAATCCGCCAGGAAGGCTTTTCATGGGGCAGGGGCAGGCTCTGTTAGCAGAAGAATGGCAGTGTGGCTGAGGGGGCCGTAGTCATTGGTTCTCGCCATTGTATTCTGAGCCTTTGTGCTCTAGGCTTCAGGGCCTCTCCTTTTTGACTCTGTCCACCAAAATCTAACAAAATCGGGACTGAGTGTCGTCTCTTCTTCCCTCCCTGTCCTAGGCCACGTGCTGTACGCCGACATCAAGATGGAGAATGGGAAGTCCAAGGGGTGTGGCGTGGTTAAGTTCGAGTCGCCAGAGGTGGCCGAGAGAGCCTGCCGGATGATGAATGGCATGAAGCTGAGTGGCCGAGAGATTGACGTTCGAATTGATAGAAACGCTTAAGCAGTTGCCTTTTTTAAACATCGATACGAGACCTCTGAATTTGTATTTTTTCTTGTTAACCATTTTAATTTGTTGGCTGGATGTATAAAGATGTTTAAAAAATTCAGTTGCTTTTTGGGGTAATTTGAATTACTTTTTTAATGACTGGGGTTCCATTTGACTGTTTGCATTGAGATTGCAATGTGCGCAATTTTTTTTGTAGTTGTGGCATCTTGTTGACATCGAATATGACTTTGATAATAAATACCGGTTCCTGAAAACGGCCTGCTTGTGTGTGCTGTGTGGGCAACCACGCGAGGTGTGGGGAGCTGGGGTCACTCGAGCTTCCAGTCCAAGCAGCAGGGATCTCATCCCCTCTCTTGCTTGTCTGAGGCCCCAGGGGTGGGTGCCTGCCCACAGATGGGGGGAGACTCTTCCCTGGAAACTGCCTTCCTGTGGGCTGTAATCCCCCGGCTTACAATGGAGCGTTTGGCTGTTTAGAGCCTTCTGAGGCCAGGCGCGGTGGTTCATGGCTGTAGTCCCAGCTACTCAGGAGGCTGAGGCAGGAGAATCACTCGAACCCAGGAGGCGGAGGTTGCAGTGAGTGAGATCGCGCCACTGCACTCCAGCCTGGGCAACAGAGCAAGACTCCGTCTCAAAAAAAAAAAAAAAAAAGCCCCCCGAAAGCCATCCTGTCTCCCTGTTGTGAAGTTAACGCCCTGGGGCACAGGCCCTGCCTGAGTCAGGCTTGTTCTCTGGCTTTTTTTTTTTCCTGCTGAAACAGACCAAACTGTGTGCCACCTTCCATGCGTGTTCAGTCCTGCCAGAGGCTCAGGCCAAATCTGATTGATACCTGGGCTCTGTCAGAATTGGGTATAGGCCCCACCCCTTCCCCCAGTGAAGCGCTCTCAGGATCCACTCAGGCCAAGCAGGTGTGCATACCTGGCAAGGAGGCCTGGCTGCTGCTGTTCTGTTGGCTGTGGAGGGGCGCGTCCTGCCCGGCTGCCTGCCTGGTAGCACATGCTGTTCTGATCACCCGGAGCCCCCCTTGCTCACCAGCTTCTTGCCACCCTTTTCTCCCCACTGGCTTTTATCCCTGAGGGGTGAGACCATGGCAGGGTGACCCCAGACACACCCCCTTTTGTGTTTGGTCAGGGGGTTCCCGTGCCTTTGCTCCACTGTGTGCCAATCAGGAGGGAAAGAAAAGACAAGAAGCAGGGACTGCTTTAAACTGGGGCTTTATGTGGCCAGGTACAAGCCCAGGCAGCTCTGTGACTTTCCCGCGCCGGGATCCAGGGCTCCTGGGTGAGCGGGCGCTGGGCTGGCTGGCTGTCCTGGCCCCACGCCTACCGGTCTTACCGTCCCAGGGGGAGTGGTTGGTTTTCCAGGGGATCTGCCGAGGAAGCGTGACTTCCATGGACCCCTCTCCCCAGAAGCCCAATAGTGAGCAGCGCCCCCGGGGAATCGCCAGGGTCCCTCCAGCCCTCCCAGAGTGTCCACGTACCGCAGAAGTCGACATCATCGTACACCTCCGTCTCCCTGGCAGAGCACAGTTGGGTCAGCAAGGGGCACCGTGGCCCATTCCCCCCACCCTGCACCACACACCCCGCACTCCCCCACCACGGTCAGGGCTGGCACTCACAGGGGCAGGAGCGCTGTTCTGGGCACGTAGCCATCTGTGGAGAGAGTGGGCATGGTGGGTTCTGAGGCCCAGGGTGGCGGCGGGGACCTCCCGGGGCTGCGGGGCCGGGCGCACTCACATTTGCCTTTGGGGTCCCGGCACAGCATCTCCTCATTGCTGGTGAACTCGATCACCTCCAGGATCTCCCCGCGCCGGATCCCGAGGTGCTTGCCACCCCCGCGACGTGTCTTAGCGTTGGGGTCGATCATCATCTTCGTGTGAACCACGATCTCCCCTTCAAACTGGGGCGCGAGATGTTAGGGCCTCTGCTTGTGCTGCCGCCCTTGGGCCCCTGTCTTCTTTCTGAGCCTGGGATCGGTGGGACCCTGGTCTCCGCCCTGCCAGGACTCCTGCTTAGCTCAGAGGCCTCACCTTGAACTTCTTCCGGAACTCCCTCTCGGCCTTCTCTGCCTTCCTCAGCTGCTTCAGCAACTTTGGGTCCATGGGTGGCAACTGCTGTGGCTGGGGATCCTTCTCCTTCCTGATAGCCCCCACCAAGGAATTGTGTGCTCGTGAGCAAGTTGTGCTCCTCTGGGGGTTCCTGGAGCTCGCCCCCCGTCTGCCCACCCCCTCTGCCCATGGCACCTGAGCGCTGGGTCTTGTGGTGGCCTCCTGGCGGCTTGCTGAACTGAGGGCGCTTCATCTGGGGACAGTCAGGACTCCGAGTCAAGGCAGGGCCCGCCGGCTCAGCCTTTACCCTGGTAGCTGTTTTTTGTTTGTTTTTGTGTTTTTGTTTTGAGACGAAGTCTTGCTCTGTCACCCAGGCTGGAGTGCAATGGCACAATCTCGGCTCACTGCAACCTTCGCCTCCTGGGTTCAAGCGATTCTCCTACCTCAGGCTCCCGAGTAGCTGGGATTACAGGTGTCCATCACCACACCTGGCTGATTTTTGTATTTTTAACACAGACAGGTTTCACCATGTGGGCCAGGCTGGTCTTGAACTCCTGACCTCAGGCAATCCACTCGCCTCGGCCTCCTAAAGTGCTGGGATTACAGGCGTGAGCCACTGCGCCTGGCAGGTGGCTGGATCTTGAGTAAGGCCTCCCTGTGTCAGTTCTGAGGACTCCCCAAATCCCACCAGGTCCCCTCCCAAACCTCTCCCTGCCCACCTTCTTCCGCAAGCCTTTCTCAGGGGTCATGGGTTCTTCTGGATTGCCTTCCATTCCCTTAACTCCTGCCACGTGCTCAGCATGGTGGGAACTGCTGGGCCACGCCCCTCATGGCAGCCCTCTCAGCAACCTTGTTCATGCCAGTAGACGCCACTGTCATGCCCAACTTGTCCACAAGGAAATAAAGGCTCAGAGAGGTCAAGCAAACTGCCCAAGGTCACCCAGCTGGTAAATGGTAAAGGCAGGATTTATCTGTAGGCTTCGAGGCCATTTCACTTCTGCCTCCTAGAGCAAGTTGGGTCTAGGGTTCTTTTTTATTTTTTGAGACGGAGTTTTGCTCTTGTTGCCCAGGCTAGAGTGTGCAATGGCGCGATCTCAGCTCACTGCAACCTCCACCTCCTGGGTTCAAGCGATTCTCCTCCCTCAACCTCCCAAGTAGGTGGGATTACAGGCACATGCCACCACACCCGGCTAATTTTTTTTTTTATTTTTAGTAGAGACGGGTTTCACCATGTTGGCCAGGCTGGTCTCAAACTCCTGACCTCAGGTGATCCACCCGCCTCGGCCTCCCAAAGTGCTGGGATTATAGGCGTGAGCCACCGTGCCTAGCCGTTTTTTTTTTTGTTTCTTTTGTTTTTGTTTTTGTTTTTGAGACGGAGTTTCATTCTTGTTGCCCAGGCTGGAGTGCAATGGCATGATCTCAGCTCACTGCAACCTCTGCCTCCTGGGTTCAAGCGATTCTCCTGCCTCAGCATCCTGAGTAGCTGGGATTATAAGCACCCACTGCCACACCCAGCTGATTTTTGTATTTTTAGTACAGATGAGGTTTCGTCATGTTGGCCAGGCTGGTCTCTAACTCCTGACCTCAGGTGATGCCCCTGCCTCAGCCTCCCAAAGTGCTGGGATTACAGGCCTGAGCCACTGCACCCGGTAGGTTCTGGGGTTCTACTGTAATGAGATTTGGGTGAAAAACTAAGGCAGAAGGGAGGATGAGGAGAGGCTGGCCCATGGGTACAAAGTTACAGTTAGGAAGAAGAAATTGGGTGTTCCATTGCACAGGAGGGCAATGATAGTTGACAGTAAAATATCATGGCCAGGCATGGTGGCTCATGCCTGTCATCCCAGCACTTTGGGAGGCCAAGTCGGGCAGATCACTTGAGGTCAGGAGTTTGACAGCAGCCTGGCCAACATGGTGAAACCCTGTCTCTACTAAAAATACAAAAATTAGACGGGTGTGGTGGTGGGCGCCCATAATGCCAGCTACTCAGGAGGCTGAGGCAGGAGAATCGCCGGAACCTGGGAGCTGGAGGTTGCAGTGAGTCAAGATGGCGCCGCTGCACTCCAGCCTGGGCGACAGACCAGGACCCTGTCTCAAAATAGTAAATAAAAATAATTTTTAAAAGATGCTGCTAGGGTAAGCGTCCTGGACTGGTGACTGATGATGAGACTCTGGACTGAGGGGTCTCCCATGGTGCCAGTCTCCCTGTGCCACTTCCTGGCAAATGACCAGGCTCCCAAGTCAGAGCCCTGCTGGCCAAGGAATTGGCTTCAGGTGGGAGCCCCAGGAACCCTGGTGAGTGAAAGATCCAGAACCCAGAGCCCCAGCATGTCCTTTCCGAATGGCTCAAAGTATCCCGCCGGACATTTCAGGCCTGTAGTCCCTCCAAGCAGCCCAAGGAGCAGCACCTGAATCGTGCCCGCCAGATACCAGGCATGGCCATCCACAGTCTCACCTGGAACACACAGCCCCTCCAGCTGCTCCTGCCTCTCAGAGGCTTCCCTGGCCGTGAGCAGTCACTCCACCAGGAGCGAACCTGACCTTGGCACTCCAGGGTCCCTGCAAACCCGCCACATTAGAGCACCTCTTGGCACCGCCATGCAGGCAGCCCTGGTTCATCCACAGCTGACCCAGAGCAGGCCTCTGCCCGCCTTCCCCGCATGGCCAGCTCAGATCCCTGGGAAAGGCTGGGCTCTCCCCACCTGCAGAGGAGCCCCCTGCCTTCCAGGAACCTCTGCAGTGGAGCTGCCACTGCTCCAAGTAAGGCAGACAGTGGGAAAGGGGAGTCCAGAGTCCTGGCCCCAAGAGACCTAAGCTGCCTTTGAGAAGCTGCACCCACAGTGAGAAGCCCACGCCACTCCTGAGAAGCGGGAGATCCAGGGAAGTGGGACCTTTTTTTTTTTCTTTTTTTCTTGAGACAGGGTCTCGTTCTGTTGCCCAGGCTGGAGTGCAGAGGTGCAATCTCGGCTCATTGCAGCCTCCATCTCCTGGATTCAAGCGATCCTCCCACCTCAGCCTCCCCAGAAGCTGGGACTACAGGTGTGCAACACCATGTCCAACTAATTTTTGTATTTTTAGTAGAGACGGGGTTTCACCATGTTGGCCAGGCTGGTCTCGAACTCCCAACCTCAACTGATCCGCCTGCCTCCACCTCCCAAAGAACTGGGATTTTAGGCATGAGCCACCGCGCCCGGCCCCTTTTTTCTTTTTTCCTATCAGAACCTCAAATGACTGGCAAGGAAGGGGGAGAAGGTTATTTGGTGACAGGAACAATGGGCCAAGGGTGGGGACTGTATGAAGTTTGAGGAGAGGCAGATGCTCCTAGCCTCGGAAGAGGTGGGGGATTCCAGCAGGGCTTCTGGGAGTGGTTGGAGGCAGGCTGTCACTAGCCCAGGCGCTCAGCAGCCCCACTCCTGGCCATCCGCATCCCCAACGGTGGCCCCCAGACCCAAGCCACAGAGCCTCCCCTAGAGCGGAAGCAGAAGGGGCCCCACCAGGAAGCTGTGTGCTCACAGGGAGGTGTTGCAAGAAGCTCAGGGAGAAAGCCCAGGAGAAGCAGAGGGGGCCTCTCTGCCCCAGGCCCTCTGAGGCTGTCAGCGAGAGCAGGAGCACCTTAGAAGCTCAAGCTCTGGCCCCCGCTGAAAGCCCTGCCACAGATCCAGCTCGTGGACCAGCTGTGCAAGCCAGGGCAAGCCCCATCCCAGAGCCTCAACCTTGCGTACCTATTTTTTTTTCTTTTTTTTTTTTTGAGATGGAGTCTCACTCTGTCACCCAGGCTGGAGTGCAATGGCAGGATCTCAGCTTACTGCAACCCCTGCCTCCCAGGTTCAAGCGATTCTCCTGCCTCAGCCTCCCAAGTAGCTGGGATTACAGGCGCCTGCTACCACACCCAGCTAATTTTTTGTATTTTTAGTAGAGACAGGTTTTCACTATGTTGGCCAGGCTGGTCTTGAACTCTTGACATCAGGCAATCCACCCGCCTTGGCCTCCCAAAGTGCTGGGATTACAGGCGTGAGCCACTGCGCCTGGCCTTTTTTTTTTTTTTCAACTGAGACAGACACAGAGTCTCACTCTGTCACCCAGGCTGGAGTGCAGCGGCGCGATGTCAGCTCACTGCAACCTCCACCTCCCGGGTTCAAGGAATTCTCCCACCTCAGCCTTCCGAATAGCTGGGATGACAGGTGCATGCCACCATGCCCGACTCATTTTTTTTTTTGAGATTGAGTCTCACTCTGTCGCCCAAGCTGGAGTCCAATGGCGTGATCTTGGCTCACTGCAACCCTTCCTTCCCAGGTTCACGCGATTCTCCTGCCTCAGCTTCTCTAGTAGCTGGGACTACAGGCACGCACCACCACACCTGGCGAATTTTTGTATTTTTAGTAGAGATGGGGTTTCTCCATGTTGTTCAGGCTGGTCTCGAACTCCTGACCTCAGGTGATCCACCCGCCTCGGCCTCCCAAAGTGCTGGGATTACAGGCGTGAGCCACCACGCCCGGCCCCAGCTAGTTTTTTTATTTTTAGTAGAGATGGGTTTTTGCCATGCGGGCCAGGCTGGTCTGGAACTCCTGACCTCAAGTGATCCGCCCACCGGACCTCCCAAACTGCTGGGATGACAGGTGTGAGCTGCCACGCCGGGCCAGCCTTGTGCATCTGTAAAATGGGGGTGCATTGCCTTACTGCCCTGTGGGGATTTGGGAGTGGAGGGTACGGATTTAGGGACAGGCAGGCAAGGTGCTTGCCTGGAAGCTGCTTGTGTTTTCATGAAGGCATTAACTTTGGAGTGGAGGGTACGGATTTAAGGACGGATTTAAGGACAGATTTAGGGACATGCAGGGAGTGGAGCGTACAGATTTAGGGACAGGCAGGCAAGGTGCTTCCCTGGAAGCTGCTTGTGTTTTCATGAAGGCATTAACTTTGGAGTGGAGGGTACGGATTTAAGGACAGATTTAGGGACATGCAGGGAGTGGAGGGTACAGATTTAGGGACAGGCAGGCAAGGTGCTTGCCTGGAAGCTGCTTGTGTTTTCATGAAGGCATTAACTGTGGAGCTGGGCAGGAGGTGCGGGCCTGCTCCCTATTCACCCAGCACAAACTTCTAAGAAACCTTTGGCAGCCTCCCTCCCCTGCCACTGCCACACCTGCCTGCAGGCCACACCTCCCCCTGAGTTTCAGGCCCAAGTTCTGCCTGGACATCCCCTCAGCTACCTTGAACACAACAGGTCTAAGTAAATCAGGCTGGGCGTGGTGGCTCACGCCTGAAATCTCAGCACTTTGGTAGGCTGAGGTGGGCGGATCACGAGGTCAGGAGTTCAAGGCCAGCCTGGCCAATGTAGTGAAACCCCAGCTCTACTAAAAATACAAAAATTAACTAGGCATGGTGGTGGGCGCCTGTAATCCCAGCTACTTGGGAGGCTGAGGCAGGAGAATCGCTTGAATCCAAGAGGCAGAGGTTGCAGTGAGCTGAGATGGCACCACTACACTCCAGCCTGGGCGATAACAGAGCGAGACTGTGTCTCCAAAAAAATAAAAAATAAAAATATAAGGCCGGGCGCGGTGGCTCATGACTGTAATCCCAGCACTTGTGGAGGCTAAGGTGGGTGGATCGTTTGAGGTCAGGAGCTTGAGACCAGCCTAGCCAACATGGTGAAACCCCATATCTACTAAAAATACAAAAAGTAGCTGGGCTTGGTGGCACGTGCCTGTAATCCCAGCTACTCCAGAGGGTGGGACAGGAGAATCGCTTGAACACGGAAGGCAGAGGTTGCAGTTAGCCAAGATCACGGCACTGCACTCCAGTCTGGGCAACAGAGCGAGCCTCCATCTCAAACAAAAAAACGAATACATAAATAAATAAGGGTCAGGCGTGGTGGCTCACGCCTGTAATCCCAGCACTTTGGGAGGCCAAGGCAGGTGGATCACGAGGTCAGGAGATCGAGACCACGGTGAAACCCCATCTCTACTAAAAATACAAAAAAATTAGCTGGGCGCGGTGGTGGGTGCCTGTAGTCCCAGCTACTGGGGAGGCTGAGGCAGGAGAATGGCATGAACCCGGGAGGCGGAGCTTGCAGTGAGCTGAGATTGCTCCACTGCACTACAGCCTGGGTGACAGAGCGAGACTCCATCTCAAAAAATAAATAAATAAATGAATGGATGGATGGATGGATGGATGAATGAATGGAACCTAACATCTTGTCGTCAACCCAGGGGCGGCTCTGTCATGCCCTTGGGTGCTAGGCTTGAAACTTCCCTGCTTTATATACCACCAAATCCTGCTTTTTTTTTTTTTTTTTTTGAGACAGGGTGTTTGCTGCCCAGGCTGGAGTACAGTGGTGGAGTCACAGCCTCACTGCAGTCTGCAGTCTCGACCTCCTGGACTCAAGCAATCCTCTTGTCTCAGCATCCCAAATAGCTGGGACTACAGATGCTTGTCACACCTGGCTGATTTTTAAGTTTTTTTGTAGAGATGAGGTCTCGCTCTGTGGCCCAGACTGGTCTGGAATCTTGGGCTTACGGGATCCTCCTGTCTTGGCCTCACAAAGCCCTGGGATTGGCTCAAACGATCCTCCTGCCTCGGGCTCCCAAAGCTCTGGGATTACAGGCATGAGCCACTGCACCCGGCCTGATGCCTGCTTTTGATTACTGAATTCACCCACTGCTCCCACATCTCCTGCTGCCAACCTGGGCCACACCTCTGCCTACAACAGCCTTCTCACTGGTCCTTCGCCTCTGGGCTCCCCTTATGTAGTTCCACCCAGCAGGAGCCAGCAGGTCCTAAAATGTTACTTGCTCTTACACCAGGAGCATGGCAGAAAATGGCCTTGCCCCGAATGTTTTGCAGGGACTCGGGCAGGCCACCAACAAACCTCTGCCCTTGGGGCTGGGGCTGGAGTCATCTCTGGGTTCCACATCGTCATACAGCTCGTAGATCTCATCTGGGACCCTGCGGGGATACCTGAGATGAGGCCTCTTCTTTTTTTTTTTTTTTTTTTTTTTTTGAGACGGAGTTTTTCTCTGTTGCCCAGGCTGGAGTGGTGCAGGGGCATGATCTCGGGCTCACTGCAGCCTCCACCTCCCGGGTTCAAGCGATTCTCCTGCCTCAGCCTCCCAAGTAGCTGGGATTACAGGTGCCCCCCACCACACCGGGCTAATTTTTGTATTTTTAGTAGACGGGGTTTCACCACGTTGGCCAGGCTGTTGTCGAACTCCTGACTTCAGGAGATCCGCCCACTTCAGCCTCCCGAAGTTCTGGGAGCTCCAGGCCGAGATGAGGCCTCTTTGAGCCCCACAATCCGCACCCACCTCCGCTTCCTCCCCACACTCACTGCGGGATGTCTTCAGGCTGTCGGTCCTGGAAGTGGAGCCCAGCGGCCGAGCGGGTCCTCCGTAGATCTGTGGGGTAGAGAGTAGGGCAGGGAAGCCGGCACTGCCTGGGACCTCAGCCCCCGCTCCTGCCGGTGCCGCCCGCCCTCACCCACCTATGGATGCTGCAGAGGGTCTCCGAAAGCTCTGCATATCCACGGGCCCCGGGGGCAGCGGGGGCTTGGCTGGAGGGTGTCCCAGGCTGCTGGCAGGGGGCAGAGGCCTCCGCCGGGGTGGATGGCTGGGTCTGAGGCCTGGCCTGGCCCCTCCACTGTGAACCAGGCCTCCTGACCTCCAGCGGGGTGTCCCAGCCGCTCCAAACCCAGGGCTGAGCGGGTGCCGGGAGCTGAAGCCGGCCACGGCCGCAGGCAGTGAGCTCTCGGAAGCGGAGCTGGGGAGTGGAGGCTTTCGAGGGAGATCACCGAAGAACTCAGGCTGCGGGTGTCTCTTGAGGACAGCGCTGGGCTCAGGCTGTGAGAACTTGCGGGGTGGCCCCCGGCGCTCCGGCTGCAGCAGCTTCCTGGGGAGTGAGTTGAACTCGGGCTCTGAGGAGGTCCTGGGGAGGCCGCCCAGCTCGGGCTGCGGGGGCTTCTTGGAGAGCGCTTTGAATTCGGCCGGCCGCGGCCTCTTGGGAAGCACGCTGACTTCGGGCTCTGAGGAGGTCCTGGTGAGGTCCCCAAGCTCAGGCTGCGGAGGCTTCTTGGGAAAGTCACTCAGCGGAGGCTGGGAGGCCTTTTTGGGAAAGGCGCTGGAGTCGCGCTTCGGCTCGCTGGACTGAGGCTTCCAGAGGGGAGTCTGAGCGGCCTCGCTGAACTCAGGCTGCGGCACGGACTTCTTAGGGAGGCCACCGACCTGAGGCTGCGGAGGCTTTTTGGGGTACACGTTGAACTCAGGCTGCGCAGGCTTCTTGGGAAAGGTACTCAACTCAGGCTGCGGGGACCTCGGGGTAGCCTCACCGGCCTCGGGTTGCCAGAGCTTCCTGGGGAATGCGCCGGATTTGGGTTCGGAGGGGGGTCTGGCGGGGTGACTGAGTTCGTCGGGCTGCAGGGGTTTCCGGGCCGGCGCACCAGGCTCCGGCAGCGAGGCCTTCAAAGGGGCCTCACCGACCTCAGGCTGCAGGGGCTTCCTTGGAAACGGAGTGGCCCCCAGCTGTGGGAACTTCTTGGAGAGGTCACTCAACTCCAGTTTGGACGGCTTCTTGGGGAGGTCAGTGACCTCAGGCGGCGGGGGCTTCTTGGGGAGGTCAGTGACCTCAGGCGGCGGGGGCTTCTTGGGGAGGTCAGTGACCTCAGGCGGCGGGGGCTTCTTGGGGAGGTCAGTGACCTCAGGCGGCGGGGGCTTCAAGGACACTGCACCAAACTCAGGCAGCGGGGCCTTCTTGGGGTGCTCGCTTAGCTCAGGCTGGGAGAACTTCTTCAGTTTACCAAACTCAGGCTTCGGAGGTTTTTTGGGCAGGTCGCTGGGCTCCGGCTGAGAGGCCTGGAACTTTGCTTTGATGCTCCGGAAGTCCTGATGGCTCTCCTAGGAGACGCAGAGCCAATGAGGCAGGGGCTCAAACACACAGAAGGGGCATGGAAGGATGGGCCTGGGGACCCTCAGGCACAGCCCACAACCACCACCCCTGCGCCCAGGCCCGGTCAGCCCTCAGCTCTTTCCCAGGAGCCCCCATGGATCCTAGGATCCTGGGACCGACACCCCTCCCTACTTCTCCATTTAGTGCTGATTCCACACCCAACCTCCTCTAGCAGCACTGGAGATCCCGACATCCCTCCTGCAGCCTCCAGTCCCACTGCCCTCCCCCCATGGGTGGTACCCCACCCCCCCAGCATCCTTGACCCCCTCATTCTTTCACCCCTCCCACTGCATGTCTCCAGTCTCGTTCCATTGCCCAGGCTGGAGAGCAGTGGTGCAATCATAGCTCACTGCAGCTTGCAACTCCTGGGCTCCAATGATTCCCCCGACCTCGGCCTCCCCAGTAGCTGGGATTACAGGCTTGAGCCGCCGCGCCCAGGCCCCCAGTCCCTTCTGTGCTAATTTCAAAACACATCCGGAATCCAACCACTTCTCACTGCCTTCACCACTGTCACCCCAGGAGGTAGTGGGAGGCAGTGTCTGCCCTCCCCCAACCAATTGCCTGGATTACTCTAACAAGCCCTTCCCTGGGCCTCTGCCTACCCCCTTCCCTGGTCAGTTCCCCCCATGGCAGCTGGAGGGAGAAGCCTGTTGAACCCTGAGTCTGTTTGTGTCCCTCTGCTCAAAACTCGGCAATGCTTCCTCATGTCCCCACAGTTCAAGCTAAATGCCTCATAAAAGCCTGGGCGAACCAGCCTCCCTACCCAGCCACCTTCTCCTCCCTGCACCCTGAACACTTCCCTCCGACCTCGGGGCCTCTGCCCTGTCCCTGACCCAGGACATGTCTCTGCACCACCTGGGTCTCTCCTTTTCCTCCTCCCAGCCTCTGTTCTCATATTTTCTTATTAGAGAGGCCATCCAAGGCCACCCTATTTGTTTATTTTTATTTTTTGAGATGGAGTCTTGCTCTGTCACCCAGACTGGAGTGCAATGGCGCGATCTCGGCTCACTGCAATCTCCACTTCCCAGGTTCAAATGATTCTCGTGCCTCAGCCGCCCAAGTAGCTGGGATTACAGGCACTCGCCACCACACCTGGCTAATTTTTGTATTTTAACTAGAGACAGGGTTTCACCACGTTGGCCAGGCTGGTCTCAAACTCACGACCTCAGGTGATCCACCCTCCACCCGCCTCAGCCTCCCAAAGTGCTGGGATTACAGGTGTGAGCCACCGTGCCCAACCTAGACCACCCTATTTTTCTTTCTTTCTTTTTTTTTTTTTTTTTTGAGACGGAGTCTCACTCTGTCACCCAGGTTGGAATGCAGTGGTGGAATCTCGCCATACTGCAACCTCCGCCTCCTGGGTTCAAGCGATTCTCAGCCTCCTGAGTAGCTGGGATCACAGGTGTCTGCCACGACGCCTGGCTAATTTTTTTTGTATTTTTAATGGAAACAGGGTTTTACCATGTTGGCCAGGCTGGTCTCGAACTCCTGACCTCAAGTGATCCACCCACCTCGGCCTCCCAAAGTGCATGAGCCATCACGCCTGGCCTAGACCACCCTATTTTAAATGGATCACCCCATCCCACTACTGCCCTGCATTCAGCATGCATGATTTTCTCCATCGTACCCACCCCTACGTATTATACTATTTTACATTGTTTTTAATGTGTCTTGATTTTTTTTTTTTTTTTTTTTTGTCTCTCTACACCACAACTTCCCTCAGTTCCTCAGCCTCTGCAAGGCAGAGACTTGGCTCATTCATTGCTGTCTTCCCAGGGCCTGGAACATGGTAGGTGCTCAGTAAATATTTGCTGAAATAAACAATATTCAGGCAGCACAAAGACAGCCATGTACTCAGCCTGACCATCAGGAAAACACAGAGATGCCTGGAGACGGCCATGCGGTCCCTCTCACACCGTCTCTGACATGCGGGCTGATGGTCAGGAATGCTCACAGTTGACAGTGCCTGAGAGGATTGGTGCAGACACCGTGGGCACAGGCGCTGTCTCCTGCATACCCAGCTGTCCCAGCTGCCCTCCTAGCTGGCCCTGCAACCACTCCTCACAGAGGTAGGCAGATTCACAAGAAGGCCAGGCCTCCTTAGTCCTACAAACGCCCCTTTCACCTGTGGTCAAGGAGATTGGGGGAGGGAAAGGGCAGAAACGTGTGGCCTTTGCTTCCTGCGTGTGCCTCACTTTCCCCATCCAGAGGACCAGAGACCAGGATTGCTCCTTGGAAAGGCAGCAATTCCCACCTGGGGCCTGAAGTGCCCCTGTCAAAGCCCCGAGTGGTTTGAAGGAAGTGCTCCCGGGCGACCACAGGGCTAGATAAGTCAGGGTTAGCAGGTCACAACTTGGGTGACTGGACGGGGGAGGGTCATGACCCACTTTGTCACCCCGCAGGAAAGCACTGCTCTCACCCCAGCAGCCCGTTCCCACATGGCTGCTCATGTTGACCTGGGGAGACGGGAGTTGTCCCCCCGGGGAGTCCCATCTGTCCCCCTCGCAGTCCCAACCTGAGCGTGAACCCCCAGGAGCCCGCGCTGTCCTGGGGTGTGCCTGGTGGCCGCCTACCTCGGGTCCTTTTTGCCGACCCTTCCCGTTTCCCAGATGTCTTTCGCAGCCACCCCCCGCCCCCCCGCCCGCCCCTCCACAGGTGGATCCTATCCTTCTGGGAACATCTGTGTCCCTTGCTTCCCAGCCAGTGAGGCACAGGCCTCTTCCAGCACTCACCATGGCTGCAGGCAGGTGATGGGCCATGGGATGAGTGGGACCCGAGCTGGGGCCGCTGCCTTCAGGAAGTGACTGTGGCTTCTGCTCCACGGTCAGCACACAGGGTGGGGGCTGCTAGAGGTGGGGCGGGGGAGGGCAGAGGAGGAAGGGAAGGAGGTGGGGAGGCTCCAGTCCGTCTCCAGATCCTGCCAGCCACTTCTTTTTTTTTGAGACTGAGTCTTGCTCTGTCGCCCAGGCTGGAGTGCCATGGTGCCATCTCGGCTCACTGCAACCTCTGCCTCCCGGGTTCAGGCAATTCTTTTGCATCAACCTCCTGAGTAGCTGGGATTACAGGCGCGCACCACCGCTCCTGGCTACTTTTCGTATCTTTAGTAGAGAAGGGGTTTCACCATGTTGGGCAGGCTGGTCTCAAACTCCTGACCTCAAGGGATCGGTCCGCCTCGGCCTACCAAAGTGCTGGGATTACAGGTGTGAGCCACTGCCCCGGCCCCTGCTGGGCACTTCTATTTCGCTTGAATTCCTGTCCTGCCTGCTACTGTCCCAAGCTTGGGGCACTGGTTGCCCGCATGTTCCTAACATGGTCACTAGTTTCTTTCTTTTTTTTTTTTTTTTTTTTTTTTTTGAGACGGGGTATCACTTTGTTGCCCAGGCTGGAGTGTAGTGGCGCAATCTCGACTCACTGCAACCTCCGCCTCCCAGGTTCAAGCGATTGTCCTGCCTCAGTCTCCTGAGTAGCTGGAATTACATGCATGTGCCACCACTGCCGGCTAATTTTTTGTATTTTTAGTAGAGACGGGGTTTCACCATGTTGGTCAGGCTGGTCTCAAACTCCCAACCTCAGATGATCTGCCCGCCTCGGCCTCCCAAAGTGCTGGGACTACAGGCGTGAGCAACCACGCCTGGCCAACTAGTTTCTTACTCTCTATAGTCCCCATCATTCCTACTACTTTGGTGTCCCCATCTCTGGACTCCAGGGAGGACTCCATGCCAGGCCCTGGTGACCTCCTGGGCTAGAGAGCCACAGGATGGGGAGATCTCAGCAGATCAGGGGTACGGACAGCTCTGGGGTTTAGGAGGCTCCTGGGGAGGCCCAGAGGCCCAGGACGTGGGGGCCCATGTGACCGGGTGAGGCCTCTGCTGTCTGCCCTGGTTGGCTCATCCGCCTTCCTCATTTCAACACTTCCATGAAATCCAATTCCCGGCTCTGAGCAGGACTCACTTGTTCTGGGGCAGATATCACAGGCCATGGATGTCCCAGGCTGCCGCCCTGGGCAGAAAGCTTAGCTGGTACAGCAGATTTGGGGGTCGGTGGGTGAGTGGTGTCAAAGGCCTTGCACCTGGGCCACGCACGGTGGCTCACGCCTGTAATCCTAACACTTTGGGAGGCTGAGGCAGGAGGATCACTTGAGCCCAGGAGTTCAAGACCAGCTTGGGCAATGTAGCAAGACTCCATCTCTACAAAAAATATAAAATTAGCCAGGTGTGATGGTGCACGCCTGTGGTCCCAGCTGCTTGGGAGGCTGGGGTGGGAGAATCACTTGAACCCTGAAGGCGGAGGTTGCAGAGTCAAGATCACGCCACTGTACTCCATGCTGGGTGACAGAGAGAGACTCCATCTCAAAAAAAAAAAAAAAAAAAGGCTTTGCAGTTCTGGAGGAGTGAGGGGGTCTGAGGACCCGAGGACACACCAGATTCCCAGAGGTTAGAGGTAGTAGAGAGAAGAGGAACCAGGAGACAGAGACAGGGGCCAAGAGGGGGTGAAGGCAGTCACTTGTGGTGCCGAGGACTGGCCAGATAAGGACAAGCCCTGACCACAGAGCTCAGCCCACAGGAGATCAGTAATCTCCGTCACGGTAGACAAAGGGAGAAAACACCTGCTAAGAGAGTAGAGAGCCCTGGTTTTCAGTTTGAGCACATGTTGGAATTGCCTGAACAGTTAAAAAAAAAAAAAAAAGAACCGGCGGTTGGGCAGTGTGGCTCACGCCTGTAATCCCAGCACTTTGGGAGGCTGAGTCGGGTGGATCACCTGAGGTTGATCACCTGAGGTTGGGAGTTCAAGACCAGCCTGGGCAACATGGAGAAACCCCATCTCTACTAAAAATACAAAAATTAGCTCGGCGTGGTGGCGCATGCCTGTAATCTTGGCTACTTGGGAGGCTGAGGCAGGAGAATTGCTTGAACCCAGGAGGCGGAGGTTGCAGTGAGACGAGATGGCTCCACTGCACTCCAGTCTGGGTGACAGAGCAAAACTCCATCTAAAAAAAAACAAAACAAAAAACAGAACCTACAAGAAACTCTGACTTAATCAGTCTGGGGTGTGGCCCGAGCAAGTATTTTTAAAACATTTTAAAATTTTTTTTTTGAGACAAAGTCTTGCTCTGTCTCCCAGGCTGCCTCCCGGCTTCAAGTAGCTGGGATTACAGGTGCCTGCCAACATGCCCGGCTAATTTTCTGGATTTTTAGCAGAGCTGGGGTGTCACCATTGGCCAGGCTGGTCTCAAACTCCTGACCTCAAGCAATCTACCCACGTGGGCCTCCCAAAGTGCTGGGATTACAGGCCTTAGTCACTGCGCCTGGCCTGCCTGTTTTCACGCCTCCTTTAAGAGCACAGACATCAGGATTCTGCCATCTCTGTTGTGCCTTTGCATCCTGTCCTGGGGCACAGTTCCCAGATGTGGGTTGCCCTCCCAAAAAGGAGTCTCGGGAGGACAGTATGGGCTCTCTGTGGGTCTCCAGAACCTTGGCAAGTGAAGGAAAGAATGAAAGAAAGAACAAGTGGCCAGGCGCGGTGGCTGACGCCTGTAATCCCAGAAGTTTGGGAGGCCAGGCGGGCGTATCACCTGAGGTCAGGAGTTCGAGAGCAGCCTGGCCAACATGATGAAACCCTGTCTCTACTAAAAATACTGTTTGTGCACACCTGTAATCCCAGGTACCTGGGAGGCTGAGGCGGGAGAATCGCTTGAACCCGGGAGGCGGAGGTTGCAGTGAGCTGAGATTGCGCCATTGCACTCCAACCTGGGTGACAAGGCGAGACACCGTCTCAAAAAAAAAAAAATTAAATTAAATAATAAAAATAAGTAAATAAATAAATCAAGCAATGCTTGGCCACAGTAAGGAGCTCAATCAAGGTAATTAAAGGATTGGATGACAGCTGATGGATTCCCAGGTGCCTGGGCTGGTCACTACCCGTGCACTCTCGCAGCTAGGAGGGTCCAGCCAGGGCGCGCGCACCAAGGCCCCACGGGGGCGCCGTGGGGGTGAAGCGCAGGTCCCGGAGCTGTAGTCATGGTGCGCCTCCCCGCCAACTACCCTTTGTGTATTTGGCGCCTCCGTAGGGGCTCCCGGCAGGGTTCCGCGCGGCGCGGCTGCAGACAGGGACAGATAGGGTTACCGGAATCCCGGAGAAGGGAGCCCGGACCAGGGGAGTGAGAGTTCGTTAGGGCGCGCCTTGGGGAATCTGCGGGGTCGGAAACGCGAACAACGGTGTGCAGGGGGAGGAGCCCGGGGAGCACGTGGGCGGCGGATCCCAGGGCCGCAGGGCGCCCTCCACCTCCCCGCTCCTGGCCCGCAATGAGGGTAACCGGACCGGCACCTGCAAGTGACAGCTGGGGCTGGACAAATGCCGGGCACGGGCCTCTGGCCGGCCTCAGAGCTGTTCAGCGCGAGCCCGCGGCTTCCAGCCAACCTGCCCGCTATCCCCACTGCTCTCCCGGCTTTCATTCCCCCGAGTCTGAGATTCCTGGGCGCCCCCTGCTGGGCGGAGCCGGGGCCCAAGAGGGCTGGGCTCCTGTGCATGGGGGTTGGGGGCCGGCTTGAGGGTAGGAGGTCGTTTCTGCAGTGGACAGGGTGAACGGTGGAGGACAGGTGGTGAGCCAGCTCCCCAGGCCTCGCGGCAGTCAGTTCACTCCAGAGGGTAGTGTGGTGGCCGTGGGCCCGCTGTACACACAGGAAGGGCTGTCCCATCTCCGTGGGTGATGGGGTAGGGGAGAGGTCCCTGGACGGACGTGTTGGCTCTAGGTTTCTCTGGAAAGATACTGACAGACTGGGAAGAGGCGTGGCCTAGATCTGGGGGTGGCCGAATAAAGAAACTGATGGGGACAAAGACTCCTGGGGGCCCCCGGGACCCTGGAGAGGGGTTAGGGGCCTGGGGGACAGAGAACACAGCGCTGTCCCTGGAGATGGGGGAGAGGCTTGGACTACAGCCAGATCTAGGGACCTGCAGAATGCGGGAACAGGGGCGTGTCCTCTGGACCTGCTGGCAGGGTTTTCTCTTCTCGTGGTAACCGTGCGCAGCTCCCAAGATGGTGCAGAATCAGTGCCGCTGACTGGGAACTGGGGCTGGCTAGAGGCCTCCTAGCCTCACCTTCTCTATATATCTGTAAAATGGGCCCCTTCACCCTGTCCCACCCTCCTCCCCAGGTCGAGAGAGTCCCAGGCAGCCATGGGCTCGGGACGTGAAGTTCTCAGCAGACATTTCCCAAGCCCCTCCTCTCCCTGCAGCCTCTCTTTTCATCCTCGCGTCCACCCCAAAGGACTCACCAGTCATCATGACACCCTTTTAAGGACGAGGGAATTGGGAGGCAGGGAAGTCGACTCTTTTCCAGGGTCCCACAGTGGTGGTTTCAAGGCTTCTGGCTGAGAAGGGGGAGCTTAGGGGGCCTCCTGATGGCCTGTCCTACCCCATCCTGACAACCACCTCAGCTGGGGCCTACAGGTTCTGGGAGAGTGGACACCCAGCCCAAGCCACGTCAGCTGAGGCTGCTGCCCCGTCACATCACAGCCCCATCAAGGACAGAGCAGTCTTCAGGCCCCTGGTGAGGCGGTGGGCAGTGGGGCAGACAGACGGGTCCCAAGGGCCTGAGGATCCCCTCCTGCCCCTTGCAGTGGCTGAAGGGCTTCTGGAGCCCAGAGCTGTCCATCTTTGAGGTGACATGGCACTGAGCAGGTGTGGGGCAGGTGGCCCTTGGCTTGTCTACCTGGATGGCTTTGACTCAGAGCCTGAGGTGGACACGTTGGTGGATGAAAAGTCCAAGGAAGATAGGTGCGGTGGATCACGCCTGTAATCCCAGCACTTTGGGAGGCCGAGGCGGGCGGATCATGAGGTCAAGAGTTCGAGACCAGCCTCGCCAACATGCTGAAACCCCATCTCTACTAAAAATACAAAAAATTAGCCAGGCATGGTGGAGGGCACCTGTAATCCCAGCTACTTGGGAGGCTCAGGCAGGAGAATGGTGTGAACCTGGGAGGCGGAGGCTGCAGTGAGCTGAGATGGTGCCACTGCACTCCAGCCTGGGTGACAGTGCGAGACTCCATCTTCCAAAAAAAAAAAAAAAAAAAAAATCTGAGGAAGACAACAAGGAGGGTGGCGGGGGGCAAGGAGAAGGTGGGAGGGCAGTGACGGAGGAGTGGGGTCTGGGGGCCCCGCCCAGGGGTTACTGGTGTCTCGGCTGCAGATACCAGGATGAGGAGGTGAGGGGGAACCCCGAAGTGGATTCAGAGAATGGAGAAAGGAGGAGGAGGTAAGGATTGAGACAAGGTGGACTGCGTGAAGGAGGTCCCTGGGTTCTTGCTCACAGGATGTCTGTATATCCAGGAGGATGAGGGAGACAGTGAGTGTTGTTCTGGGAGGGGACCGAGAGGTTCAAGGTAGGGCCTTGTGGGCTACTGGGAGAACAGGATCTTCATCCAGAGGGCCATGGGAAGCCACTGAAGGGTGCCGGGCAGGAGAGGGGAACAATCAGAAGAGACCCTGGCAGGGCGTGGTGGCTCACACTTGTAATCCCAGTACTTTGGGAGGCCAAGGTGGGTCGATCACCTGAGGTCAGGAGTTCGAGACCAGCCTGACCAACATGTTGAAACCTCATCGCTACTAAAAATACAAAAAGTTAGCCGGGGTGGTGGCAGGCGCCTGTAATCCCAGCTACTTGGAGGCTGAGGCAGGAGAATCATGTGAACCCAGAAGGCGGAGGTTGCAGTGAGAGCTGAGAGTGTACCATTGCACTCCAGCCTGGCACTGCCATTGCACTCCGGCGAGACTCTGTCTCCAAAAAAAAAAAAATAAATAAAATAAAAAGAGGAAGAAGAGACTGTTTTCTGTTTTCAGTCTTGGGGTAAGGGCAGGTTGGGGAGAGTAGGGGGTGGGCTAGGGGACCCTGGGGCTGGCGAGATGAGGATAGAAGGGAGAGGGATCATGGAGGTAAAACCAGCTTCCAAGGGATGGCTGTGGATATCACCTGGGACTTCCATACCTGGGAGGCTGGCTTCAGGGGTGAGGAGAAAGACCAGGCCATGGAGGGCTGGCCTTGACCCACCCCACTCCTCAGAGCTGGGACATGGTGGAAATTGGTCTGGCAGACAGCAAGGAGGATGAAGACCTGAGTCCCCAGCCTGCCTCCCCAATCCCAAAGGATTCTTCCCCTTAAGTCAGTATGGGGTTCAGGGTCTGGGGGTCTTCAGGCCATCCTGGCCAGTCCCTGCACTTTCTCAGGACCAGCCTTCCAGCCTGTCCCCGAAGCTCCTGGGATTTTTTCTTTTTTTGTCTCCCAGGCTGGGGTTGCAATGGTGTGATGATGGCTCACTGCAGCCTTGAACTGCTGTGCTCGTGATCCTCCTGCCTCAGCCTCCCAGGTAGCCACCACGGCTATTTTTTTTTTTTTTTTTTTTTAAGACAGAGTTTCACTCTATCACCCAGGCTGGAGTGCAGGGTCTTGATCTCGGCTCACTGCAACCTCCATCCCACCGGGTTCAAGCGATTCTCCTGCCTCAGGCTCCCGAGTAGCTGGGATTATAGGTGCCCACCACCATGCCCGACTAATTTTCATATTTTTAGTAGAGATGGGGTTTCACCATGTTGGCCAGGCTAGTCTCCAACTCCTGACCTCAAGTGATCCACCCACTTCGGCCTCCCAAAGTGCTAGGATTACAAGCATGAGCCACCATGCCCAGCCATGCCTGATTATTTTTTGTATTTTTTTTGGTGGGCGGGGAGGTAGAGATGCGATCTTGCTAGGTTGCCCAAGCTGGTCTCGAACTCCTGGCCTGAGGCGCCCCTCCTGCCTCAGCTTCCTAAAGCACTGAGACTGCAGACATTAGTCACCTCTCCTGGTTACGGGATTGCTTTTTAATTTTCTTTATTTTTGAGATGGAGTTCCACTCGTATTGCCCAGACTGGAGTGCAATAGCACAATCTCAGCTCACTGCAACTTCCACCTCCCAGGTTCAAGTGATTCTCCTGCCTCAGCCTCCCAAGTAGCTGGGACTACAGGTGTGCGCCACCACACCTGGCTAATTTTTTGTGTTTAGTAGAGATGGGGTTTTACCATGTAAGTCAGGCTGGTCTCGAACTCCTGACCTCAGGTGCTCCACCTGCCCCAGCCTCCCAAAGTGCTGGGATTACAGGCGTGAGCCACTGTGCCCGGCCGGGACTTCTTAAAAGAAAACTGGAGACCGGGCGTGGTGGCTCACGCCTGTAATTCCAGCACTTTGGGAGTCTAAGGCGGGCGGATCATGAGGTCAGGAGATCGAGACCATCCTGGCTAACGCGGTGAAACTCCATCTCTATTAAAAATACAAAAAATTAGCCGGGCATAGTGGTGGGCACCTGTAATCCCAGCTACTTGGGAGGCTGAAGCAGGAGAATGGCGTGAACCCAGGAGGTGGAGCTTGCAGTGAGAGGAGATTGTGCCACTGCACTCCGGCCTGGGAGACAGAGCAAGACTGTCTCAAAAAAGAAAAAAAAAAAAAGAAAAAAAAAAAAAAAGAAAACTGGAGAGTCCCCATCCCATTTGGTTTCTGGACAAGGGAGAACGCTGCCACAGTGGGTACTGGGGACCTCAACCACAGCTGGAGGTGGGGACCTGGGTCCCAGGATTGGGGTGATGGGAAGACAGGACACAGGTGGGCTGTGAGGCCTGCACCTGTGGACCCAGGTGGTCCTCCCAAGATGTGATCAATCCATGACTGCTGGGCTCGAGCCCACTATGCTTTGGATGGACAAGGGATGGGAACACAGCATAGGCTGGCTCATGGCGCCTTCTTTATTGTCCACCCCAGCCCCCCTTCCCTGCAGCCCCCTCCAAATGACAAAACTACCCACATCCCATGGCCCACCCCCAAAGCGGCGGGATTCAGAGCTGCGAGAACACTGGAAGCTCCCCCTCTGACAGCAGCGGCGACACCTTGGGTGCAAGCGGGGCCGGATCTGGGTGGGGCAGAGGAGGGGGGCGCCTGAGCCTCAGCGCCTTGGGCCCCCGCCCCCCTCTCCACCCGCGCATTCCTCGGCCTTACCCGCGGGGGCGTCGGGGCGCGGCGGCCCGGCCGCGGGGGCCGCGGGGGCGCCGGGGCGGTGGTCCTCCAGGTGCAGGGTCATGGCGGGCCGCGAGGCCGTGGAGAAGGCGCACTGCATGCACGAGTAGCGGCCGCGTGTGTGCTCCCACACGATGCGGCTCGGGGCCGCGTGCCCTGCGGGCAGGCGGGACCCCGTCAGTCCCGGGCTCCCCCAGCCCAGAAGACCCGTGCGCCAAGGATGGAGGACGCCGGCGAGGGTGGGTGGGACTTTTTCCCGCCCCCCATCAGCTTCCGGGCGCCTAGTTCAGTTTCTCCCGGGTCTGTCTGCCCCTAGAGTTGGGGGCACCCAACTTGGCTTCTCCGCGTCCCCTACTATCATCCCCAGATTCACTGTTGGGGAGAAGCCCGCTCCGAGGTGAACGGTGAAAGGGGCGCAAGGTTTATACGGGAACGCCGGCGCAGATGAAGGCGCAGGTGCCAGTCATTTTTAAGGCAAAAATCCTGTATTTCGGGACGGTGGCATTTGTGCCCCCTGGGAAGGGGATGAGCACTGCTGCCTCCTGGTATCCACCAGACCCCGCAGGGCGCAGGAAAGAAAGCCCCTCCACCCCTCCCTGGTGGTCACCTGCACGCACCTGAGGGCGCGTCGGAGCCGCCCTGGGGTCTTCGGGGGCTGCTGCCAGCACCTGCGGTAAAGGGGCGGGTCAAGTTCAGAGTCAGGGCGAGCCCAGCCAGCCCTCCTGGAGGCCCCCGACCCCACACTCACCTTGGCTCTTTTTCCAGACGGCGGCGCTGGAAGCCGGCGGCCCGGGTGCAGCGGCCAGGAAGGGGCGCAGGCGCGGGGGGCTTAGGCCAAAGGGCGCAGGGTTCAAGTAGGGCAGGAACGGTCCGGTGGGGGCAGGGGCGGGGGTCGTGAAGGGTTCCAGCAGCGGGAACGGCAGGCCCGGCGCTGATGCGGGGTCAACCTCCGGGGGGCGCTCCGGCGCGGGCGGCTCTCGGTCCAGGGCCGGGGGTGGCGGCGGGGCTGGGCTCTGCGCATGCTCCGCGCAAACATGCAGGTGCTTGAAGAGCGAGCGGTGCGTGCGGAAGCGCAGGAGGCAGTTCTCACACCTGGAGGTGGGCAGAGGGCTGGGCTGGGCTGGGCCTCCAGGGGCACCAGGGAGAGTGTCCTGTGCAATGCCACCCGCCCTTCGAGCGTGGGAACGGAGCCTGGGCACTAATCACCTCCCCGCTCCTGTACAACTGTGGCAGCGACCCTTCCTGACCACTTCGGGTGGGAACCTGGGGAAACCCGGAAAGAAGTCTCAATTTTAAGTTAGGCGGCCGGTTTTCCACTTGGGAGGTAAAGCCTGGCTGGGTGGGGCCACGCCCACGTATGCCCCGCCCCATCCAGGGAGTTGAGGGCGGGGCTTCCCCAAAGGCCCACCCACATCAAGTCCCGCCCTCCAACACCCTGACCAGGAAGGGAGGAAGGCCTGGAGCCCACACATAGGGTGAGGCTAGGGCAGGGCGGAGCTCAAGAGGTCAGGGTCTCACTTGAAGTAGCGATTGGGTTTGTAGTGCAGTTTGCTGTGAGCCACCAGCTCCTGCATGCTGGGGAAGGTCTCGGTGCAGCTCAGGGCTGAGCAGCGGAAGAGCTTGCCTGGTAGGGATGAAGGACAGAGAAGTGGAGACAGGTGGCCAAGGCTGGCTCCGAGGGGCTCCGCCTGTTTCCCACCCTAACCTGCCTCCCCATTACCAGTCCTGGCCCTACCTTCCAGGGACTGTGTGGGCGGGCAGTGGGTTCGCAGATGCTGTGCCAGGTCACGGACGCTGGGAAAACTGAGGCAGCAGCCAGGGCTGGAGCAAGGGATTTGCTTCCCTGCAGGACGCACAGAACAGTGGTCACTGGTCCCTTCCTCACTAGTGCTGTCCCTGACCCCAGGGTTCTGCCCCAGAGAAGCAAATATGATGTGCTGGGGCCTTTACTCTCTGCCTACCACAACAGACTGGTCTGCCACAGTGCAGGGGCTGGACTGGCCAGGCTCACCATTGGAGCCACAGCCTGGCATCCACCGGCTGCTCCGTAAAATGATGAGTGGCATCCCTCTAGAAAGGCCCTGAGGTTAGAGATTCTCTACGTCTCGCTTCTATTGTTTCAGGGACTGTGATTCCCCAGAAGACCCCATCACAGATCACCTGGAGGTGGGCGTCGTCTGGGAGGCCGCAGGTCCTCGCTGGTCCCGGAGACTATGCTGGTCAGGCCAGGGCTGGGTCCGGGGCCAGGCTGGCAGCTGTCTGGGGCTGGGGAGGAGCCCTGCTGCATCCCTCCAGCCCCTCCACGTTCCCACACTGGCGGTGTGGCTGCCTGCTCAGGGCCTGGCTCCTCCGACATGGAGGAGGAAGGGGCTGCAGCTGGCACAGCCGGGGACAACACCTCCTTGTCGGTCTCACTGGAGCTGGGCTCTGCAGTGGCCAGCATGTCTGGGATGGGCCCTGAGGGTTTCTCCTCCTGGTGGAAGGAAGAGGCGGAGAGAACCCTTCTGGGCTCTGGGTCAACCCAGTCGGCCCCCATCCTAAGGAATCACCAGCAGGAGAGGATAGGGGAATACGTAAGGGTGGACTAAGCTCTTTTTTTCTTTTTATAAAGATGGGGTCTCGCCATGTTGCCCTCACTGGTCTTGAACCCCTGGTCTCAAGTGATCCTCCTGCCTCAGCCTCCCAAAGTGCTGGGATTAGAGTCGTCAGCCACTGCACTGGCCCGGATTGAGCTCCTTATGCATACGGGAGAAACATCTGCTCTCCTCAACTAGGATAGGTGGGAGCCCCAGTATGCACACAAGCGTGGCCTAGAGGGAGTGGGCGGGGCCAAGGCTACGGAGGCGGGGCTATGGGCAGGCATGGACTGGGAAGATGCTAGAGGAGCTAGACATGGATTGTCTGAGGACCGAGACCGGCCGGCCTCGAGCAGTGTGGACAATCTTGGAGGTGCTGGGGGCCCGGATGTAAGAAGTTTAGGGGCGGAGTCCTAGCCTGACGGGCGTGGTCCATTCCGGGCCGGGCCCGGAAGTAGGGCGCTCTCCGAGTGACAGCCAGCGGCGGACGGGTGCCCGGATGTGGGGGCGGGGTCGGCCGGAGGCTGTAGGCGCGACAGGGCCGCTCCCCGCCAGTCCCCGCAGCTCCGCCGCGCCCGCGACCCCGGTGCCGCGCTCACCATCTTCGACACGGCTCGGCCTCTTGTTTCTGCGGCTCCGGCGGCTGCAGCTTAGGCGGCGGCCACCCTCTGGGCAGTGCGAGTTCGCGCTCACGTCAGCGCCATTTTCCACCTCTCAGCTCTCGCGAGACTGGGGGCGGGGCCTGCGCAGGGCGCTCGGAGAGGGGGCGGGGCCTGAGGGCAGAGTCACCCTGGAGCTCAGGTCGGACGCTGGTGCAATCTTGCTATCTATCCCCGGGCAGTCAGCGCGCACTTCAGCAGACTCCGTGCACGGAGATCCGGGATGACCTCGCTGTCCTAGTCTTCAAAGTGGGCACCTTCATCCCTCTAGTCTTGTCCCAAGATCAGCCCTGGACAGGCGATAAACAGCAGTTCTTTCTTTATATTTTTTATTTTTTTTTGAGACAGAGTTTCGCTCTTGTTGCTCAGGCTGGAGTTTAATGGCGCGATCTCGGCTCACTGCAACCTCCGCCTCCTGGGTTCAAGCGATTCTTCTGCCTCAGCCTCCCAAGTGGCTGGGATTACGGGCGCCCACCACCACGTCTGGCTAATTTTTTGTATTTTTAGTAGAGACTGGGTTTTACCATGTTGTCCAGGCTGGTCGTCACCTCCTGACCTCAGGTGATCCACCCGCCTCGGCCTCCCAAAGTACTGGGATTACAGGCGTGAGCCACCGCGCCCGGCCAGTTCTTTATTTTTTATAGTGTTGAGACAGGGTCTTGCTCTGTCGCCCAGGCTGGAGTGCAGTGATGCGATCATAGCTCGCTACAGCCTTGACCTCCTGGGTTCAGGCGATCCTCCCATCTCAGCCTCCCGAGTAGCTGGGATTACTGGCGTGTGCCACCATGCCCAGCTAATTTTTAAATTCTTTTTAGAGACAGGGTCTCTCTGTGTGTTGCCCAGGCCGGTCTCAAACTCCTGGGCTCAAGCGATCCTCCCGCCTTGGCCTCCCAAATGTTAGGATTGCAGGCGTGAGCCACCTCGCCTCCCCTTGCACTCACATTTTAAAATGGGGAAACAGCATCGCTCGAGCCAGGGACGTCGAGGCTGCAGTGAGCGTGATGGCACCACTGCACTCCTGCCTGGTCGAAAAAGCGAGACCCCCATCTCTAAAAGTTAAATAAAAATGGGGAAATAGTAAATCAACAAGTGCAAAAACAATCTTTTGTCCTATTCAGAGCAATGAAGGAAACAATGAAATGTCGAAGTGATGGGTCAGGGAAGCCACTCTGAGGAGGTGACTTCGGAGCTGTCTCCAGATGATCAAGGAGTGAGCTGGTGGAAAGCCCGAGGAGCAGGGGGCTCTACCGGATAGCTGGTGGTGATGTCCTGGAGTGGGGCAGGACGGGCTTATTTTGGTCAAAGAGCAGCGAGGTGGCCAGGGCACCACTGGAGCAGAGTGGAGGCGGGGTGTGGAGGTCAGAAAGCGAATATGGTGCGCGGCAGGTCACGCAGGGCCATGGGAGTGGTGCAGAGAGAGGAGTGTGGTTTATGTTGTAACCACTGATGAATTTTTAGCAGGGGGAGGCGCATCATCTGATTCCTGGCAGTCACTTGGAGTAGGATGGGCTGTTGAGAGGGCGGTAAGGTAGATCTAACATCTTAGATCTCTCTGCTGCCATATCATCTAAGATGAGATCATCTTAGATCTCATCATGCTGCCATTCAAGAGGTATTCGTTGAGTTCTAGGCAACTGTAGGGTTTTTTTTGTTTTGTTTTGTTTTTTTTGGACGACATCTTGCACTGCACCCAGGCTGGAGTGCAGTGGCGCGATCTCAGCTCACTGCAACCTCCGCCTCCTGGGTTCAAGCGATTCTCCTGCCTCAGCCTCCCAAGTAACAGGGATTACAGGCATGTGCCACCATGCCAGGCTAATTTTGTATTTTCAGTAGAGATGGGGTTTCTCCATGTTGGTCAGGCTGGTCTCAACTCCCGACCTCAGGTGATCCGCCTGCCTCAGCCTCCCAAAGTGTTGGGATTACAGGCATGAGCCACTGCACCTGGCCACAATTGTAGGTTTTATGTGCAGTGTATTTCCATCTGCAAAGCAAGTTGTACCTATGCACTTTTTTTTTTTTTTTTTGAGACAGAGTCTCACTCTGTCCCCCAGGCCGCAGTGCAGTGGCATGATCTTGCAAGCTCCGCCTCCTGGGTTCAAGCAATTCTCGTACCTCAGCCTCCCAAGTAGCTGGGACTACAGGCTTGTGCCACCACGCTCAGCTAATTTTTTTTGTATTTTTAGTAGAGACGGGGTTTTGCCATGTTGGCTAGGCTAGTCTTGAACTCTTGGCCTCAGAGATCCACCTGCCTTGGGCTTACAAAGTACTGGGATTACAGGCATGAGCCACTGCATCCGGCTTTTTTGTTTGTTTTTTTGAGACACAGTCACACTCTGTTGCTTAGGCTAGAGTGCAGTGATGTGATCACAGCTCACTGCAGCCTCAACCTCCCTGGGCTCAGGTGATCCTCCTACCTCAGCCTCCCTAGTAGCTGGTACTAAAGGTGTGTGCCACCACACGCAGCTAGTTTTTATATGTTTTGTAGAGATGGGGTTTTGTCACATTGCCCAGGATGTTCTAGAACTCCTGGGCTCAAGTGATCTATCTGCCTCAGCCTCCCGAAGTGTTGGGATTTCAGGTGTGAGCTACTGTATCCAGCCCCCTATGGGCTTTTATATGCAGAGAATACCTTTAGGAGATATTTAAAAACTGGGGAGAGGAACAGGGATGTTTGAGTGGGAGAGAGACTGAGTTTTCACTTTTGTGTTTTTTGAATTATTATTATTTTTTTCTGTCCAGGCATGGTGTCTCAAGCCTGCAATCCCAGCACTTTGGGAGGCTGAAGTGGGAGGATCACTTGAGGCCAGGGGTTTGAGACTAGCCTGGGCAACAGAGCAGGACGCCATCTCTACCAAAAATAAAAAGATTAGCTGGGCATAGTGGCACATGCCTGTAGTCTCAGCTTCTTGGGAGGCTGAGGTGGGAGGATTGCTTGAGACCAGAATTTAGAGGCTGCAGTGAGCTGTGTTCATGCCACTGCACTCCATCCTGGGCAACAGAGCAAGACCGTGTCTCTAAGAAAATAAAACAAAAGGCCAGGCACGGTGGCTCACGCCTGTAATCCCAGCACTTTGGGAGGCTGAGGCGGGCGGATTACGAGGTTAGGAGTTCGAGACCAGCCTGACCAACATGGTGAAATCCCATCTCTACTAAAAATACAAAAATTAGCCAGGCATGGTGGCACGTGCCTGTAATCCCAGCTACTCGGGAGGCCGAGGCAGGAGAATCGCTTGAACCCAGGAGGCAGAGGTTGCGGTGAGCCGAGATCATGCCACTGCACTCTAGTCTGGGCAACAGAGCGAGACTCAGTCTCAAAAATAAATACATACATACATGCAAAAATAAAAAATAAAACAAAAACAAATTAAAATTTTTTCTTTTAATTATTATTCATTCAGTTGAAAACTCATTTCATTTAAAAAACAAAGATCATTTTAATGCAGGGTAAGGATGTGTGTGTGTGTGTGTGTGCGTGTGTGCAGGGGAGGCTAGTGCAATCTGGGGAAGGATGGGGTGAGGTGGCAGAAGGGACAGGGACCCAAGGAAGGAAGGGAGAGGAGGGACTGGACTTAAGAAATTTTGTAAAAGAGTCAACAGGATGTGGGGGTGAGCAGCAGGCGGGGCACACATGACTGAGGTCTGCAGTCTGAAGATGCCTGTAACCTAGATAGGAGATGATTATCTTTTAGCATATGCTAAACGTTTAAGATAATGGCCATGGTGCCGTGCACAGTGGCTCACACCTGTAATCACGGCACTTTGGGAGGGTGATGCGGGATCATGATTTGATTCTGGGAATCCAAGGCTGCAGTGAGCTATGATCATACCACTGCATTCCAGTCTGGGACAACAGAGTGAAACCCTGTCTCAAAACAACAGCAACAAGAATCAGATGCTGGAGTGCAGTGGTGTGTGCCTGTAATCTCAGCTACTGGGGGAAGGCTGAAGTGGGAGGATCGCAGGAGCCCAGGTGGTCGAGACCAGCCTGGGCAACACAGTGAGACCCCATCTTCAAAAAAAGAAAAGGAAATTCAGAGATGGAAAGCACTAGGGCCATTCAAGAGATTGCTAAATGCTTTTGTGTCATCATTGAGCAATAAAAGGGCCCTTGAGACCCGGTTGCAGCCTTGAGAATTTTTTCCAGCCATGCTCAGCTTCCCAAGACAGGCACAGAAGGGAGAATAGATTCTGCAGAAGGTTCTGCTGGCCATTCTTGCTGTCTCTCTCTCTCTCTCTCTGTGTGTGTGTGTGTGTGTGTGTGTGTGTGTGTGTCACAGTCTTGTTCTGTTGTCCAGACTGGAGTGCAGTGGCACAACCTCGGCTCACTGCAACCTCCACCTCCCGGGCTCAAGCGATTCTCCTGCCTCAGCCTCCCGAGTAGCTGGGACTATAGTCGTGCGTATCATGTCCAGCTAATTTTTGTATTTTTAGTAGAGATGGGGTTTCACCACGTTGGCCAGGCTGGTCTTGAACTCCTTACTTCAAGTGATCTGCCCACCTCAGCTTCCCAAAGCCCTGGGATTACAGGCGTGAGCCACCGTGCCCGGCTGCTAGTCTTGCTTTGATTCCTGGCTCTACTGGGGATTCCCGATGCCCCATTCTTCCGTTGGGTAGGTATTCTGTGCCCGCAGTTCGCTCATCACAGCTTAGATCACTCTGTGCAGTGCTTGTCAACCAAATCTGCTGAGACCGACCCTCTCCCACCTTCCTGGCTCCTGCTGCAACGCCCATTCCACCTCTGAATTCCCCTCGCTTCTGTGGGCCAGTCCTCACCTCACCAGTCAGCCCCATCTCTACTGGACTGGCTTCTCTTTGAGGGGCTGAGCACAGAGCGGGTGTCCATATTAGAAAGCTACAATTAATTATTATTATTATTATTATTATTATTATTTTTAGAGAGAGACAGGGTTAGCTCTGTTGCCCAGGCTGGAGTACAATGTTGTAATCAGCTCACTGCAGCCTCGACCTGCTGGGCTCAAGTGATCCTCCCATCTCAGCCTCCTGAGTATCTGGGAATACAGGCATGACACTAGCTTTTTTTTTTTTTGAGATGGAGTCTCACTCTGTCACCCAGGCTGGGGTGCAGTGGCGCCATCTCGGCTCACTGCAACCTCCGCCTCCCAGGTTCAAGCAATTCTGCTGCCTCAGCCTCCCGAGTAGCTGGGACCACGGGCGCGCACCATCACGCCCGGCTAATTTTTTGTATTTTTAGCAGAGATGGGGTTTCACTGTGTTAGCCAGGATGGTCTCGATCTCCTGACCTTATGATCTGCCCGCCTTGGCCTCCCAAAGTGCTGGGATTACAAGTGTGACCCACCGTGCCCGGCCAATTTTAAAATTTTTTTGTAGAGACAGGGTATTAGTAGGTTGCCTAGGGTGGTCAAACCTTAAGTGATCCTCCTGCCTTGGCCTCCCAAAGTGCTGGGATTACAGCTGTGAGGCACCATGCTTGGCCAGGATTTGGTTTATTTTAGTATTAGAGACAGGGTCTTGCTGAGTTGCCCAGGCTGGAGTGCAGTGACGCGATCATAGCTCACTTCAGCCTTGAACTCCCGGGATCAAGTGATCCTCCAGCCTCGGCCTCACAAAGTGCTGGGACTACAGGCATGCACCACCACTCCCAAAATTCAGGAATTTTTTTTTTTTTTTGAGACAGAGTCTCACTCTATTGCTCAGACTGGAATTCCATGGTGCAGTCTTGGCTCACTGCAGCCTCCACCTCCTGCCTCAGCCTCTCAAGTATCAGGGACTACAGGCACGTGCCACCATGCCCAGCTAATTTTTGTATTTTTAGTAGAGACAGGGTTTCACCATGTTGGTGAGGCTGGTCTGGAACTCCTGACCTCAGATGATCCGCCCGCCTTGGCCTCCCAAAGTGCTGGGATTACAGGCATGAGCCACTGCGCCCAGCCCAAAATTCAGGATCTTTAGGCTCAGACCATAGCAGGACTCCAGTCTTAGTCCCAGTTAGGTGAAGACTAAGAGGGCACAGAAATGGGATTGGGGTGCAGGGGGCAGGAGTGACCCAGAGTGCATTGAGGGTGGGAGCATGTGGCATGTGGGACCTGCCTCTCTCCATAGGTCCCAGATGGGTTTGGCGGCTGTAGCTTCAAGACTAACAGGACCTGCTGGACCATTTGGGATGCAGATTTTGGAAGGGAAACTGAGACAAATTCTTTATTTTCTTTTCTTTCTTTTTTTTTTTTTTGAGATGGAGTCTCGCTCTGTTGCCCAGGCTGGAGGGCAGTGGCGCAATCTCGGCTCACTGCAAGCTCCTTCTCCCAGGTTCATGCCATTTTCCTGCCTCAGCCTCCCGAGCAGCTGGGACTACAGGCGCCCGCCACCACGCCCGGCTACTTTTTTGTATTTTTAGTAGAGACAAGGTTTCCCCATGTTAGCCAGGATGGTCTCGATCTCCTGACCTTGTGATCTGCCCGCCTCGGCCTCCCAAAGTGCTAGGATTACAGGTGTGAGGCACCGCGCCCACCTCCTCCCTCCCTCCCTCCCTTCCTTCCTTTCTTTTTTTCTGAGACAGGGTCTTGCTCTGTTGCCCAGGCTGGAGTGCAGTGGCATGATCTCGGCTCACGGCAGCCTCTGCCTCCCGGGTTCAAGTGATTCTCCTGCTTCAGCCTTCCCAGTAGCTGGGATTACAGGCAGGCACCACCACACCCGGCTTTTTTTTTTTTCTTTTTTAAATTTTTAGTAGAAACAGGGTTTTGCTGTGTTATCCAGGCTGGTCTTGAACTCCTGGTCTCACGTGATCTGCCCGCCTCAGCCTCCCAAAGTGCTGGGATTACAGGCGTGAGCCACTGCGCCCAGCCCAAACTGGGACAAATTCAAGCTTTATGGTCACATATGAATGCAAGGCATGGCTCTGTGCAGTCTTGGGTCAGTGAACCTCTCTGAACCTCCATTGTTCCACCTGTAAGATGGGGTCCTTCACAGCTCCTACCTCACAGGGCTGTGAAAACATCGTCCTTGTTGGGCACTTAGTAAGTTAACTCGTGCTTTCACCTGGCAAAGGTTTATTGCCTTAGTGATGACAGAATGAGCAAAGTCACGCTTGTTAAGGACCCCCCCCTCCCCAACTGTGCCTGGCACTTTGCCAACAGCACAGGACTCAAGACCCATTTCTTAATCACATGGCAGTTGGGAGGTAGATTCTGCTGTTAGTCCCCTTTGACACACACAGAAATGGAGAATGGGCAGCAGGTGTGATGTTGGAGGAAGACCAGGGCCCAGGGGCGGGGGCTGCAGCAGTGACCTGGTGACCCAGGGCCTGGGCAGGACTGGAGGCCAAAGGACTGGACTTTTAGGCTATTGCAGCCCAGGTAAACGAGGCTCTCATTGGCAGGGCCTGGCTCCCCACCAGGCCGGCAGGCAGATAGGCGGGCGAAAGAGAAGGCAGTATCCCAGGGCCCAGCTCAGATCTTCTCCACGTAGTTTCCTGGGAAAAGGCCCTCCTGGCCGTGAAGCCGGCCCTTCCACCAGCCCGAGGGATCTGTGGGAGAGAGGAAAGCTTGAGGTGCCCCTAGCTGGCCCTGGAGAAAGCTCTCATGCCTGGTCTGTCCATCTTGTTCATGGGGACTCCCTATGTTGTCCAGGCTGGTCTTAAACTCCTAGGCTTAAGCCATCCTCCTGCCTCAGCCTCCCAAAGTGCTGGAATTACAGGTGTGAGCCACTGCATCCGGCCATTTCTACTCTTTAAAAGTTTTTTTTTTGTAAATCTTTTGTAGAGATGGGGTCTTGCTAGGTTGCCCAGGCTTGTCTCAAACTCCTGACCTCAAGTGATCCTCCTGCCTCAGCCACTGAAAGTGCTGGGATTACAGGTATGAGCCACCTCGCCCATCTGTTATCTCTGTTCTCCCGTGGGGAGGGTGTGCAGTGGTGGGGTCTGCCTGGCAATGTCAGTCAGGGTTCTTTTTTTTTTTTTTTTTGAGACGGAGTCTCGCTCTATCGCCCAGGCTGGAGTGTGTTGGCGCAATCTCGGCTCACTGCAAGCTCCGCCTCCCGGGTTCATGCCATTCTCCTGCCTCAGCCTCCCGAGTAGCTGGGACTACAGGCGCCCGCCACCACGCCCGGCTAATTTTTTGTATTTTTAGTAGAGACGGGGTTTCACTGTGTTAGCCAGGATGGTCTCGATCTCCTGACCTCGTGATCTGCCCGCCTTGGCCTCCCAAAATGCTGGGATTACAGGCGTGAGCCACCGCGCCCGGCCGATGTCAGGGTTCTTACCACTCCCCTCACCCCAGCTTCTGCCCTGGTACACACACCTTCCATGAGGATCTCAATGACCTCGTTCACGTTGAAGCTCAGCTCGTCCACATCTTGGCCCACGTACTGGTATAGGGCCCGGCACCTGGGACCATGTGTCCGAGGCTGGGGCTTGGGTCGGCCCACACCAGGCACTGGCCGTTGCCCCACGCTGCGCTTCCTCTGCATGCTGTGGGCACAGGGGGTTTGAGTCACAGCCCCAGACACTCCCCTACCCCCTGCCCACCTCCTGGAGCTGCCCTCCCACCCCACCTACCCGGCCATGCCCTGGTCAGGCACGTTGAGGAATTCTGTGTTGTGCTCTGAGGGCGGACGTGCCCGGGGTCGTCTGCTGGCTCCCAGGGATGTGGACGGAGGGCCCCGGGGAGGCCTGTGGGTGCCCCCTCCAGACATGATCTCCAGGGGCAGGGGGCCCCCTCTGGCAGAGGGGGGCACCCCATTGCGATCCATGCCTGTGGCAGGAGCAAGGATGAAGACATGTATTAGGGTGATGCTAGGAGGATTTGAGGAGGACTTGGCTTCAAGTTCTCAGGCTGAGGGAGGAGACTGCGACACTCTCAACCCAGTGTGGTAAGGATTGGGCCAGACGGAGGGACTCTGCCGCTAGGAGGGCCTAGACAGAAGCTTTTTTAAGCATAATTTTAAAATTATTTTTTACTTTTTTTTTTTTTTGAGATGGAGTCTTGCTCAGTCGCTCAGGCTGGAGTGCAGTGGCGCGATCTCGGCTCACTGCAAGCTCCGCCTCCTGGGTTCACGCCATTCTCCTGCCTCAGCCTCCCGAGTAGCTGGGACTACAGGCACCTGCCACCACGCCTGGATAATTTTTTAAATATTTTTAGTAGAGACGGAGTTTCATCATGTTAGCCAGGATGGTCTCGATCTCCTGACCTTGTGATCCGCCCGCCTTGGCCTCCCAAAGTGCTGGGATTACAGGCATGAGCCACCGCGCCTGGCCAATTATTTTTTACTTTTATTTGTTTATTTTGAGACATGGTCTCACTCTCGCCCAGGTTGGAGTGCAGTGGTACAATCGTAGCTCACTGCAACTCTGACCTCCTGGGCTCAAGCAATCCTCCCTCCTTAGCCTCCTTTTAAGGGGAGCTGGGACTACAGGTATGCTCCACTATGCCCAGTTGATTTTTATAATTTTTAAAGTAGAGATGGGGTCTCACTATGTTGCTCAGGCTGGTCTCAAACTCCTGGCCTCAAGCAATCCTCCCACTTCGGCCTCCCAACATGCTGGTTTTACAGGCATGAGCCACTGTACTTGGCCTTATTTATTTTTTATTTGTTTAGAGACAGGGTTTTGCTCTGTGGCCCAGGATGGAGTGCAGCAGTGAGATCATAGCTCACTGCAGACTCCAACTCTTAGGCTCATGATATTCTCCCCTCTCAGCCTCCTAAATAGCTGGGACTATAGGCACACACCACCATGCCCAGCTAATTTAAAAAGAATTTTTAGGCTAGGCGCGGTGGCTCACGCCTGTAATCCTAGCACTTTGGGAGGCTAAGGTGGGCTGATCACGAGGTCTGGAGTTTGAGACAAGCCTGGCCAACATAGTGAAACTCTGCCTCTACTAAAAATACAAAAATTAGCCAGGCATGATGGCGTGTGCCTGTAGTCCCAGCTACTCGGGAGGCTGAGGCAGGAGAATTGCTTCAACCTGGGAGGTGGAGGTTACAGTGAGCCAAGATCACGCCACTGCACTCCAGCCTGGGCAACAGAGCAAGACACCGTCTCAAAAAAAAAAAAAAAAAAAAGGCCGGGCGCGGTGGCTCACACCTGTAATCCCAGCAGTTTGGGAGGCCGAGGCGGGTGGATCACGAGGTCAGGAGTTCCAGACCAGTCTGGCCAACATGGTGAAACCTTGTCTCTACTAAAGATAAAATTAGCTGGGCATGGTGGTGCATGCCTGTAATCCCAGCTACTGGGGAGGCTGAGGCAGGAGAATCTCTTGAACCCAGAAGGTGGAAAGTTGCAGTGCGCTGAGACCGCACCATTGCACCCCAGCCTGGGCAACAGGGCTAGACTCTGTCTCAAAAAAAAAAAAAAAAAAAAAATCTAGGCGTGGTAGCACACGCCTGTAGTCCCAGCTACTCAGGGGGCTGAGGCAGGAGAATCGCTTGAACCCAGGAGGTGGATGTTGCAGTGAGCCAAGATCATGCCACTGCACTCCAGCCTGGGTGACAGAGCGAGACTGTCTCAAAAAAAAAAAAAAAAAGAAAGAATTTTTGGTAGAGACAGGATCTTGCTATGTTGCCCAGGCTGATCTTGAACTCAAGTGATCCTCCTGCCTTGGCCTACCAAGAGTGCTTGGATTACAGGTGTGAGCCATCTTGCCTGGCCAGGAGTGGCTTTGCAGGGGCAAGTTTCCCTCCTCCTATCCTCTGTAGGAGAGCTTCTGTGGGTACGTCTTGGTGGATAAATAAGAGCTCAACGAATGGAATGGGAATTTGAGAGAGAAGCAGAGAAAACGGCCCAAAGGCCTGGAGGTAAGAATAAATTTTGTGAATTGGGAAAATAAGATGTAGTTTGAGGCCAGGCGCCGTAGCTCATGCTTGTTAATCCCAGCACTTTCGGAGGCCGAGACGGGCGGGTCACCTGAGGTCAGGAGTTCGAGACCAGCCTGAACAACGTGGTGAAACCCTGTCTCTACTAAAACGATACAAAAATTAGCCGGGCGTGGTGGCGGGTGCCTGTAATCTCAGCTACTCGGGAGGCTGAGGCAGGAGAATCGCTTGAATCCAGGAGGTGAAGGTTGCAGTGAACCGAGATCGCTCCACTGCACCCCAGCCTGGGAGACAGAGTTGGACTCCATCTCAAAAAAAAAAAAAAAAAAAAAAAGATGTAGTTTACAGGGCAGGAGTGTAGGGTAGGAGGAGAGAAGATGTCAGTGGTTAGCTGGGTTTGGGTTTTGAAGGGCTCTGAATGCCAAACTAAGTTTAGCCTTTATTCTGCGGGAGATGTGGAGCTACGGAGAGTCCTGGACAGAGAAGTGAGTGGTAAACTGTGTTTGTTAGATTTCGTTTGCTGAAGGTCTGGCTTAGGCCATGGGACCCACAACAGACAAGGGAATATAGCAAGGGACGCAGCTCCTCACCTCTGGGGGGCGCAGGGGCCGCCCGGGTAGGGGCTTGGGACGACCTCCGAGGTTTTCCCTTGGCCATTCCCTTCCGCGTAGGCTCTGAAAGAAGAGTGTCAGGGAGTTGAATGACAGACAGACCACGCTCTTTGCCCCGCCCACAAATCTAGTCCATTCTGAGGCTCCGCCGCACCCCGCCCCCTCAGGCTCTCCCATTAGCACCGCCCCTTAGGTACAGTTACACTGGCTCCGCCCACTAATTGGCCTCGCCCCCCAAGGGCCCAACACCTCACTGGCCTTGCTCTTTGGGCCCGCCCACTTTAGGTCACTCCTTCATCACTACCCAGTTCCAGGGTTGCCGCTCTGGCCGCACCCCTCTACATTTCTCGCCCCCGCATTGGTCATGTCTTCTCCTTAACAGTCTTTCTCTCTCTCTAGACCCGCCCCTTCCTTGCTGTTGCCCTCTCTGGTCCAGCCTGCTGGCCCCGCCCCACTATTTTGATTGGTTTCCTCCATGGCCACGTCCCTCCTCCACATTTCACGCCCACTAATTGGTTGCGGCCTTTGTTTAAAAGTCTGTCTCTCTGGCCGGGCGCAGTGGCTCACGCCTGTAATCCCAGCACTTTGGGAGGCCGAGGCGGGTGGAGCATGAGGTAATGAGTTCAAGACCAGCCTGGCCAAGATGGTGAAACCCCGTCTCTACTAAAACTACAAAAATTAGCTGGGCGCGGTGGCAGGCGCCTGTAATCCCAGCTACTCGGGAGGCTGAGGCAAGACAATCGCTTGAACCCGGGTGGCGGAGGTTGCGGTGAGCCAAGATCGTGCCACAACACTCCAGCCTGGGCGACAGAGTGAGACTCCGTCTTAAAAAAACCACAAAACTCAAAAGTCTCTCTCTCTCTCTCTGTAGACACTCCCCTTCCTGGCCTTCGTCCACTCTTAACCAGCCTCGCTGGCCCCGCCCCCTCTGCCCTAGTTCCGCGCAGACTCACTGGAGCTCTTGGGCAGCCCATCGCCCACGCTGACCGTGAGGGTCCGACCGCCAACCTTGAGCACTGCCAAGTCGCCGAAGCCGCGGGAGAAGGTGACGCTGCGGGTGCCGCCACCGCCCCAGCCCTCCTTCTTCACCCGAAACTGTAGTCTATGGGGAGAGAAGAAAGCTTGGGGGCGCTGGCTGAGGTCCCCCGCCCCACCCAACTCTCGCTGGTTGGGGCAGGGGCGGGGCCGCGGCCGGGGCCGAAGCGCAGTTCGGCCGGGTCGGTGGGGCGGGAGAGGGTGCGCCGCGCCGAGACCACCCCGAGATGGTGCTGGGGTTGGCGGGGCCGTACGTGTCGCTGAAGGTGAGGGGCAGGGGCCTCCGCGTCGCCTCCTCGAAGCGCTTGCACAGAAGGCTGACAAACTCGGTCTTGAAGACGCTCTCCAGGAAGCTGTCGGCGGCATCCTCTTGGAGGATGAAGAAGTCGTCCTGTCGCGTGCTGGGGAGGGGCGGGTGAGAGCGTCAGGTGGGACACAGGTGAGGGCGACAGGTGAGAGAGACAGATGAAGGTGGCTGAAGGTGGATTTAGGGAAGGGTCAGCTAAGGGCCAAGTCAGCGGTGACCAGGTAGGAGAAAAAGGGGGATGTGGCAAGGAGTGGAAGAGGTGGTTACAGAAGAGGGCCAGGTGAGGTCTAGTAAGAGGGTAAGGTGCAGGACGGAAGGATTTGGCATCTAAGGATCATGAGCATAGGGGGCAGGTGAACATGACAGGTGGGGCCAACAGAGGGCTACAGGCATGGCACCAGGTAAGATTGTCAGGGTAACAGACGGGGTCACTAGAATGAGGGCAGCCAGGGGACAGGTGAGAGTGACTGTGCGGCAGGTAAGGACCTGGCTTCACCTGAGGGAGACTCCCCGCAGAGCCTGGATGTCCACTTTCTTCTTCAAGACTTCACACACCTGGCCCTTCTCAGGTCCCTTCTTCACTTTCTCTCGCCCAATCACATACACACACTTGGGCGTCAGGATCAAGTCCCGCTTGATGGGCTGTGGGGATGCAGGATTAGAGGCTGATGCCTGTAGCCTGGCCAGCCTGGCCACAGAGGATCCACCCCAGGCAGAGGGGTGGTGCTGGCAGGTCAGGTGAGGAAGGTGGGAGCCCTCCAGGTGAAGGTGTATGAGTCGTCTGTTTTGTAGACAGGGTCTCACTCTGTCGCTCAGGCTGGAGTGCAGTGGTGCCATCATAGCTCACTGCAACCTCCCCCTCCTGGGCTTGAGTGATCCACCTGCCTCAGCCTCCTGAGTAGCTGGGACCACAGGTGCGCACCACCATGCCCAGCTAATTTTGGTATTTTTTGTAGATTCAGGGTTTTGCCCTGTTGCCCAGGCTGGTCTTGAGCTCCTGATCTCAAGCAAACTGTCCTCCTTGGCCTCCCAAAGGGTTGGGATTACAGGTGTGCGCCACCACGCCTGGCCATGAGTTGTTATATAAGAAACAGAAGGAGGGCTGGGTGCCATGGCTCACGCCTGTAATCCCAGCATTTTGGGAGGCCGAGGCGGGCAGATCATGAGGTCAGGAGTTTGAAACCAGGCTGACCAACATGGTGAAACCCCGTCTCTACTAAAAATACAAAAATTAGCTGGGCGAGGTGGTGGGCACCTGTAGTCCCAGCTACTCAGGAGGCTGAGACAGGAGAATCGCTTGAACCCAGGAGGATGAGGTTGCAGTGAGCCGAGATCCTGCCACTGCACTCCAGCCTGGGTGACAGAGCAAGACCCTGTCTCAAAAACAAACAAACAAAAAATAACAGATCAGGCGCGGTGGCACACGCCTGTAATCCCAGCACTTTGGGAGGCTGAGGTGGGTGGATCACAAGGTCAGAAGATTGAGACCATCCTGGCTAATACCATGAAACCCCATCTCTACTAAAAATACAAAAAACTAGCTGGGCGTGGTGGCACATGCCTGTAGTCCCAGCTACTCGGGAGGCTGAGGCAGGAGAATTGCTTGAGCCTGGGAGGCAGAGGTTGCAGTGAGCCGAGGTTGTGCCACTGCACTCCAGCCTGGGCGACATAACAAGATTCTGACTCAACACACACACACAAAAGAGCAAAACTCTGTCTCAAAAAAACAAAAAAGAAAAACAAAAAAGAAACGAGGTCAGATGGGAATGTGTTGGTTGGTTGGTTGGCTAGAAAAGGGTGTTTGGGTCAGTGAACAGGTGCTGGGTAGGTAAGGCACCTGCTGGACATGGGTTCCCGGGCCAGATGAGAACACTTAGACCAGGTGAAAGTACTTGGGTCATGTGACTGTAGCCAGCTCAGGTAAAGGTATTATGGTTCAGGTGAGGGTGTACAAGTCAGGTAAATAGGAGTATCTGGATCATGAGAGGAAGTGAGCGGGTGTGTATCTGAACTCTATGAGTTTGTACAGGAAGGCAGGTGAGGGTGTACCTGGTAGAAGGGTGAATGTGCAAGCCGGTTGAGCTGGCCTGCGGTCAGAGTTCTCTGGGTCTAGTGGGGATACCTGTCTCAGTGAAAACATTTAAGGTGATGGTATACAGGTCACCTGAGAGGGCATACCTGCCACACAGACCTGTCCAAAGCAGGTGGGTGGATCAGGTGAAGGTACCCAATAATGTGTGTCTGGTATGTGAAGTTGTACAGATCATGTGAGGAGGCACCTGCCACATAAACTTGTCCAAGGTAGGTGAGGGTGTCCAGGCCATATGAGACTATCCATCCAGGTAAAGATGGTATATAGGTGATCTCAGTGTGTACCTGCCACACATAGGCCTCTCTAAGGTGAGGGTAGGGTGAGTTACTGGGCTAGGTGACTCTCTGGGACATGAGATATGGGTCAAGTGAGTGTGTACCTGGCCCGCCCAGGTACAGGTGACGGTAAACAGGCCAAGTCTGGGTGTACCTGTGGACAGGAGAGTCCAGGCTAGGTGATTAGAGTACACGTAGGTTCAGGGCTGTCTGGGGCAGAAGAGGATGTGTCTGTTGGTGGAGGTGCCCAGCTGTCTATGCCAAGCATGAATGCACGGGTCAGGTGATGTATCCCTGTAGAGAGCATGTACCTATGGACTAGGCTGCCTGGGCCAGGTGAGAGTGTACCTGTGGACAGGTGTGTCTGGGCCAGGTGAAGGTATATCTAATTTCCAGGTTGAAGGTAGAGTGTACCTAATGGATGGGTGTGTCTAGGATAGGCAAGGGTGGCCTCGTGGTTGGGGCTTCTAGACAAGGTGAATGAATGTGTGATTGTTGAGAGATGCATCTGGCCAGGTGAGGGTGTATCTGACAGGTGTGTCTGGGCTACAAGTGCATGTTTGATGGACAGCTGTGTCTGCTATACTTGAGTGTATACCTGTGGGCAGGTGTGTCTGTGCCGGGTAATGATGTACCTGTGATGGAACAGATTGATCTAGGCTGGGGGATAGATACCTGTGGGCAGGTGTGCCTGGGCTAGGTGAGGATATACCTGTGATGGAACAGATGGATCTAGGCTGGGGGATAGATACCTATGGACAGGTGTGTCTGTGCCAGGTGAGGGTATACCTGTGATGGAACAGATGGATCTAGGCTGGGGGATCTATGCCTGTGGGCAGGTGCATATGGGCCAGGTGAGGGTGTACCTGTGATGGAACAGATGGATCTAGGCTGGGGGATATCTGGCTGTGGGCAGGTGCATCTGGGCCAGGTGAGGGTGCCAGGCTGTAGTCAGGGTCTTGCTGTGCCCACCCACTAGTGCCTCACCTTGAAGCGGCGGTCGTACTTGGTGACCGAATCGGCGAAGTCCACCCGCTCCCTCTTGCCCAGGAACTGACGCAGCTCGGGCCGCTCCTCCAGCCCCAGGTAGTCCCCGACGAAGTTCCGATTGATGCTGTTGCGCCTCCGCTCCTTCTTGTTCAGCAGGATGTTGGAAGCTGCGGGGACAGAGGGTGGAGGGCAGAGCTCCTGATACAGCTCCTCCAGGTCCTTGTGCCCCCACCCCGCGCCGTTTACCCGAAGCCTCTCACCTTCCTCCCGCATCTCCTCGTACTTCCGGACAGCCACGTGGCGCCGCCAGGCCTTCTGGATGGTTCGGGCAAAGCCATCGAACTTTCGCTCTCGCACCTCCTCCAGGAGGAAAAGCTGGGCGGGGGTCGTGGGGGGCAAGGGTGAGTCCTGGTGTCTCCCCAGGGGCTGCAGTTCCGGGTTTTCCCTGCGCTCACCCTACTCACACGCTTTTGCTCACCCATCCCCACACATGTGCTAATTTTTTTAAGAGGCGGGGTCTTTCTAGTGACACTCGTTCATAAAGAAAAGAAGAAAAAGGGGCCGGGCGCAGTGGCTCACGCCTGTAATCCTAGCACTTCGGGAGGCCGAGGCGGGTGGATCACCTGAGGTCAGGAGTTTGAGACGAGCCTGACCGACATAGTGAAACCCCATCTCTACTAAAAATACAAAAAGAAATTAGCTGGGCATGGTGGTAGATGCCTGTGATCCCAGCTACTCGGGAGCCTGAGGCAGGAGAATCACTTGAACCCGGGAGGCGGAGGTTGCAGTGAGCTGAGATCGCGCCATTGCACTCCAGCCTGGACAACAAGAGTGAAACTCCATCTCAAAAAGACAAAAAACAAAAACAAAAAAAGCTGGTGGCTCATGCCTATAATCCCAGCGCCTTGGGAGGCTGAGGCGGGAAGATCGCCTGAGGTCGGGAGTTTGAGACCAGCCTGATCAACATGGAGAAACCCTGTCTTTACTAAAAACATAAAATTAGCCGGGCATGGTGGCACATGCCTGTAATACCAGCTACTCAGGAGGCTGAGGCAGGAGAATCACTTGAACCTGGGAGTTGGAGGTTGCGGTGAGCTGAGATTGTGCCATTGCACTCCAGCCTGGGCAACAAGAGCAAAACTTCATCTCAAAAAAAGAAAAAAAGAAAAAGACAGGGTCTCGCTCCGTCGCCCAGACTGGAGTGTGGTGGTGCAGTCATAGCTCACTGCAGCTTCAACCTCTTGGGTTCAAGTGATCCTCCCACCTCTGCCTCCTGAGTAGCTGGGACTACAGCTGTGAGCCACCATGCCCAGCTAATTTTGTGGTGATGTGGTCTTGCCATGTTGCCCAGGCTGGAAAAATTTTTATCTTCCTCCAAATGACTGGACCTCCCTGTGCGTCTCTCCCCATGTGGGGTACACACTTCTGCCTTACATGATAACAGTGAGTCACTAGCTTCAGATCACAGCTGTGCCACTTACTACCTGTGTGCTTTTGCAAGAAACGGTATGATGTCACGGTTTCTTACACTGTTACTCGACACTATCCACGAGGTACACTGCCGTGTCAGAGATGGTAGAAATAGGAACCAGTGTGCATCTTGGAAAACCAATAAAATACAGTAAATATGAAAATGTGGCCGGGTGCAGTGGCTCAAGCCTGTAATCCCAGCATTTTGGGAGGCCGAGGTGGGCGGATCACCTGAGGTCAAGAGTTTGAGACCAGCCTGGCCAACATGGTGAAACCCCGTCTCTACTAATAATACAAAAGTTAGCCGGGTGTGGTGGCGCATGCCTGTCATCCCAGCTACTCGGGAGGCTGAGGCAGGAGAATCGCTTGAACTCGGGAGGTGGTGGTTGCAGTGAGCGGAGATTGCGCCACTGCACTCCAGCCTGGGCGACAGAGTGAGACTCAGTCCCCCGACCCCTGAAAAAAGAAAAGAATGAAACTCCATCTCAAAAAAAAAAAGAAAGAAAAAGAAAATCTGATGTGTAGAACTGTGATGTGACTAGCAACCGTGTGGTTGGGCAGTGTACAACCTGCACAGCCATCCGTAGCAGGCCCAGAAAGGAAGCTTTTGCAGAAAGCAGAGAAAAGGGTTTTGAGTTGTAAAAGTCTAGACCCAGAGGGGACTTAGAGAATGAATTACATTACAGCAAGTCAAAGTACAAAGTCTAAGAGGAATGTCTACTCATTTGTAATAACAGCAGGTGAACAAGGTGAGGAACCTACTGGATATTAAAATACTGTAAATCTATAGTAATAAAAACAATAGCATGCCTGTCAGAGAATAGAATGATTAACTGGAATAGGGCAGATGCTTGAGAAACATCCTACTTCAAAGAGAAACTGTGATCAAAGGGACAATATTGTCAATTAGTGAAGATGGGAAATAATGCAAATATAGGCTGGGTGCGGTGGCTCATGCCTCTAATCCCAGCAGTTTGGGAGGCTAAGGTGGGAGCATTGTTGAGCCCAGGAGTTCAAGACCAGCCTGGGCAACATAGAAAGACCCCGTCTCTACAAAAACTAAGCAAAAATTAGCTGAGGGTGATGGCACGCATGTGTAGTCCCAGCTATTCCGGAGGGTGAGGTGGGAGGATTCTTTGAGCCCAGGAGGTTGAGGCTGCAGTGAGCTGTGATTGTGCGACTGCACTCCAGCCTGGGAGATAGAGTGAGATCCTGTCTCAGAAAAAAAAAAAAATACACACACACACACACACACACACACACACACACACACACACACACAATTGGGCTTTATTTAGAAAAATTAGCACTTCACCCAGAGTGCTTTCCCAAGTCCATAGGTAGCACATTGCTGCTAAGAGCCTTGCTCCCTGCTCTGCTGACCAAAATAGTTTTAATTTTTTCAGAGACAGGGTCTTGCTCTGTTTCCCAGGCTGGAGTGCAGTGGTGCGATCTCGGCTCCCGGGCTCAAGGGATCCTCCCACCTCAGCCACTCAAGGCTAATTATGGTATTATTATATATATATTTTTTTGGTAGAGAGGTAGAGTTGGGGTTTTGCCATGTTGTCCAGACTCGTCTGGAACTCCTGGGCTCAAGGAATCTACCAGCCTTGACCTCCCAAAGTGCTGGGATTACAGGCGTGAGCCAGCGTGCCCAGCCTCAGATTCTTCTTCTTCTTCTTCTTCTTCTTTTTTTTTTTTTTTGAGACGGAGTCTTGCTCTGTCGCTCAGGCTGGAGTGCAGTGGTGCGATCTTGGCTCACTGCAAGCTCCGTCTCCTGGGTTCACGCCATTCTCCTGCCTCAGCCTCCCGAGTAGCTGGGACTACAGGCGCCCGCCACCATGCCTGGCTAACTTTTTTGTATTTTTTTAGTAGAGACATAGTTTTGCTGTGTTAGCCAGGGTGGTCTCAATCTCCTGACCTCATGATCCGCCTGCCTCGGCCTCCCAAAGTGCTGGGAATTACAGGCGTGAGCCAGCACGCTTAGCCTCAGATTCTTCTTTAAAACCTTTAGAGAGTATGGCCATGCCAACACCTTGATTTTGGACTTCTGACCTGCGGAACTGTGAGAGAATAAATTGCTGTTGTGTTAAGCCATGGAGTTTGTGGAACTTTGTTTCAGCTGTCCCAGCAGACTATTATAACATACCTGGGATGCTGGGCCACAAAGGCCAACAGGCAGATAAAATGTTTGAGGATGGCCCAAACCATGTTCATAAGAAAATCAAAATAGGGGCCGGGCGCGGTGGCTCATGCATATAATCCCAGCACTTTGGGAGGCTGAGGTGGGCAGATCACTTGAGGTCAGGAGACCAGCCTGGCCAACAGGGTGAAAACCCATCTCTATTAAAAACACAAAAATTAGCCTGGTGTGGTGGCGGGTGCCTGTAATTCCAGCTACTTGGGAGGCTGAGGCAGGAGAATTGCTTGAACCAGGAAGGTGGAGGTTGCAGTGAGCCAAGATTGCGCCATTCCACTTTAGCCTGGGTGACAGAGCGAGACTCTGTCTAAAAAAAAAAAAAAAAATTCATCCCAACATGAATGCATTTTTGGTTGAGAAAGGCTCCAACTCCATTAAGCTAATTTAATTTCTTGATTACTTTTTAAATATAGCACAGTTAAACCGTTGGCTATTTTTCTTTTCTTTTCTTTTCTTTTTTTCAGAGTCTCACTTTGTCCCCCAGGCTGGAGTGCAGTGGCGCAATCTCAGCTCACTGCAACCTCTGCCTCCCAGGTTCGAGCAATTCTCCTGCCTCAGCCTCCCAGGTAGCTGGGATTACAGGCACGTGTCACCATGCCCGGCTTATTTTGTATTTTTAGTAGAGATGGGGTTTCCCCATGTTGGCCAGGCTGGTCTCGAACTCCTAACCTCAAGTGATCCACCACCCTGGCCTCCCAAAGTGCTGGGATTACAGTTGTGAGCCACCGTGCCTGGCCTTTTCTTCTATTTTCATTTTACTAATTTTTTTTTTTTTGAGATGGAGTCTCACTCTGTTGCCCAGGCTAGAGTGCAGTGGTGCGATCTCGGCTCACTGCAACCTCTGCCTCCTGGGTTTGAGTGATTCTCCTGCCTCAGCCTCCTGAGTAGCTGGGATTACAGGTGCGCACCACCACACTTGGCTAATTTTTTGTATTTGTAGAAGAGACGGGGTTTCACCATGTTGGTCGGGCTGGTCTTGAACTCCTGACCTCGTGATCCACTCGCCTCGGCTTCCCAAAGTGTTGAGATTATAGGCGTGAGCCACTGCACCCAGCTTATTTTACTAAAATTAAATTACTGTTGCCCAGGCTTGAGTGCAGTGGCACGATCTTGGCTCACTTCAGCCTCTGCCTCCTGGGTTAAAGTGATTTTCCTGCCTCAGCCTCCTGAGTAGCTGGTATTACAGGTGTGCACCACCACGCCCAGCTAATTTTTGTACTTTTAATAGAGAAGGGGTTTCACCATGTTGGCCAGGCTGGTCTCAAACTCCTGACCTCAAGTGATCCATCCACCTCAGCCTCCCAAATTGCTGAGATTACAGGTGTGAGCCAGTGCGCCTGGCCAGCAAGATTATTTTCATCAGGATTATTTTCTTTCTTTTATAAATATTCAGTCTGTCTTTGTTGTTGATGTTCTTATAGGATTTTACCACTAAGCATCTGCCATCGTGAATTTCATTATTTCTACCCCGTCCGTCTTCTCCAAATCAAAATCTATAGACTGAAATTTTTGTCTAAATTAAATTTTACTTTATATAGTCTTTGCTGGTGATAGTTATTTTTCTTTTTTCTTTTTGTCTTTTGTAGAGACAGGGTCTCACTATGTTTCCCAGGCTGGTCTCGAACTCCTGGCTTCAAACCATCCTCCTGCCTCAGCCTCCCAAAGCACTGATATTACAGGCATGCGCTACCACACCTGACTTGGTGCTAGTTTTATTTTGCCTTTTTTCTGTTCTATGTCAAAATTTTTGGTCTATTTCTTCCAGAGTGTCTCTCTCAATCTCTCTCTCTCAATCTCTCAATCACATTCTTTCTTTCTTTTTTTTTTTTGAGACGGAGTCTCGCTCTGTCGCCCAGGCTGGAGTGCAGTGGCGTGATCTCGGCTCACTGCAACCTCTGCCTCCTGGGTTCAAGCCATTCTTCTGCCTCAGCCTCCTGAGTAGCTGGGACCACAGGTGCCCGCCACCATGCCCGGCTAATTTTTTTTGTATTTTTAGTAGAGACGCGGTTTCACTGTGTTAGCCAGGATGGTCTCGATCTCCTGGCCTTGTGATCCGCCCTCCTCAGCCTCCCAAAGTGCTGGGATTACAGGCATGAGCCACCGCGCCCGGCAGTCGCAGTCTTTCTTAATCTCTCGCTCAGTCTCTCTCAGTCTCTTACTTTCAGTCTATTAATCTCTCACTTGCTTTCTCAATTTCTCTCTCAACCTCTATCTCAGTTTCTCTGTCAATCCCTCTCTCTCAATCTGTTTCTCAATTTCTCAATCTATCAGTCTTTCTCTCAATCTCTGTCTCCCTCTGTCTCTCTCTCTCTCTCTCAGTCCCTCTCTATACCTTTCTCTCTCTTCCCCTCTCCTTCTCTGCCTGTCCCTCAAACACACTCACCGACTCTGGGTTCTTGACAAAGACCTTGGTGCTCCCCATCTGGTACTGGTCGGGCTCCATGTTGACCGCCCGAAGCAGGTGCTGGACGCCCTGGCGTTCGTCCCCACGCCACCGCGGCCACGTCTCGGGGGTCAGAATGGCATACCTGAGGGCGGAGGGCTGGGGTGTGGGAGTGCTCATAGCAGACAGGCCTGGCTGGGCGTTCTGATGAAGGGGATGGCGAGGGCGGGGGTGGAGGGCTCCTCACCTCTGCAGGAATTTGGCGAACTGGCGGCGGTAGGCGAAGCCGGCTCTGCGCACCCTGATGTTCTCCTTCAGGCCCAGGTATTCCACCTGGTGCTTGACTCTGGTGGGGAGGGTAGGCTGAGTCCCCTCGGGGTGGGGAGTCACCAGTCCTGGGGGTGGGTGGGAGGTGCTGGAGGTGGGGGACCTGGGGGGATCTGGATTCATGCTGAGGGAAGTTTGGGGGGTGAGTTCTGTGGTCTGGGGGGGCTTCGGGGGTCAGCCTGGGGACTGGGGGGAGGGATCTTGTCCTGATGGTCCCTTCTGGGGTCAGTTCTGCAGGTGGGGGATTGTGGGAGGGGCTGTGCTAGTCCCTGGGTCATCCTACAGGAGGTCAGGGAGGTGTCTCGGTCAGTTCTAGGGGTAACTGCAGGGCCTGGGGGGAATGAATCTTGGATTGGTTGGGGGGGATCACCTGTTCTCCTCCCAGTCTCGGGGCCTCTTGGTCTCGTTGGGTTTGATGCAGCGGATGTAGTGGGGTGTGCACCTCATCAGTGTGGCCACCAGGTCGTTGGCTTGTTTCTGAGGCAGAAGTGAAGACGGGTGGGTGGGGGGCACAGAGATGGGACCCTCTGGCCCCTCTTTTTTCCACCCTGGATACAGTCCCAATAGACAGAGACTGGGGGTGGGTGAGGGCTGGTAACAGATAAGCCACAGGGGCCAGATGTCCCTGGTCTGTGTGCACCTCCACTAGTGCACACCACACTAGTGGGACTGATGTGGGGTGTCTGCCTGACCCTGGAACCCAAGACAAGGAGCTCTCACGTCTACCGCACTCACCACTTACCTTGGCACATAGTAAGTGCTCAGTAAATGTTTGTTGACTGAGTAACAGAGCCCTTATGAGAGCATTTCTTTTTGTCCTTTGGGGAGATAGGTACCTTGGGTGTTTGTTTTTTTTGTTTTGTTCTGTTTTATTTTGTTTTGAGATGGAATTTTGCTCTGTCACCCAGGCTGGAGCGCAATGGTGCCATCTTGGCTCACTGCAACCTCCACCACCTGGATCCAAGAGATCCTTCTGCCTCAGCCTCCCAAGTAGCTGGGATTACAGGCATGTGCCACCACACCCGGATAATTTTTAGTAGAGACAGGGTTTTGCCATGTTGGTCAGGCTGGTCATGAACTCCTGACCTCAGGTGATCCATCCACCTCTGGCTCCCAAGGTGTTGGGATTACAGGCATGAGCCACTATACCTGGCTGGGTGATTTTTTTTGAGACAGGGTCTCCCTCTGTCACTCAGGCTGGGGTATAGTGGCGCCGTGATAGTTCACTGTAGCCTCAGCCTCCTGTGCTCAAGCGATCAACTGCCTTAGCCTCCGGAGTAGCTAGGATTACAGGTCTGAGCCACTGTGCCTGGCTAAGACATGTACTTTGGAGGTAGGGAAACTGTGTGTATGCCTGAGAGGTTTGCCTTGGGTTTTGCATTTTGTTTTATTTTTATTTTTATTTTTATTTGGAGACAAAATCTCGCTCTGTTGCCAGGCTGGAGTGCAGTGGCATGATCTCGGCTCACTGCAACCTCCGTCTCCCAGGTTCAAGTGATTCTCCCACCTCAGCCTTCCGAGTAGCTGCCACCACACCCAGCTCCTTTTTTTTTATATATATATTTTTAGTAGAGACGGGGTTTCACCATGTTGGCTGGGCTGGTCTTCAACTCCTGACCTCAGGTGATCCACCTGCCTCAGCCTCCCAAAGTCCTGGGATTACAGGCTTGAGCCACTGTGCCTGGCTTGCATTTTTATTTTATTTTATTTTAGTATTTATTTATTAATTTATCTGAGACAGGGTCTTGCTCTGTCATCCAGGCTGGAGTGCAGTGGCTCTTGGCTCACTGCAACCTCCATCTCCCAAGTTCAAGCAATTCTCCTGCCTCAGCCTCCTGAGTAGCTGGGATTACAGGCATATGCTGGCTAAATTTTGTATTTTTAGTAGAGATGGGCTTTCACCATGTTGGCCAGGCTGGTCTTGAAATCCTGACTTCAAGTGATCTGCCCGATTCAGCCTCTGAAAGTGCTGGGATTACAGGTGTGAGCCATTGCTCCCGGTCTGATTTTTTTTTTTTTTTTTTTTAAGAGACAGGGTCTCACTCTGTTCCCAGGCTAAAGTGCCAGGGTGCAATCATGGTTCACTGCAGCCTCGACCTCCTGGGCTCAAATGATCCTCCTGCCTCAGCCTCCCAAGTAGCTGGGACCACAGGTGTGCACTACTATGCTTGGCTAATTTTTAATTTATTTTTTATAGAGACGGGGTCTTGTTTTGTTGCCCAGACTAGATTTGTTGTCACATTCATAGCAACAGAATGGTGAGTGCCAGGGACTTGGAAAGCAGATAGGCAGTGTTTCCTGGGGACACAGTTTCAGTTTGGGAAGATGAGAAAGTTCTGGAGATGGGTAGTGGTGATGGTTGCACAACCATATGAATGCACTTAATACCACTGAACATTAAAACTGGTTAAAATATTATTAGATAGGCTGGGTACAGTGGCTCACGCCTGTAATCCCAGCACTTTGGGAGGCTGAGGTGGGCGGATCACCTGGGGTCAGGAGACCAGCCTGGCCCACATGGTGAAACCCCATCTCTACTGAAAATACAAAATTAGGCCGAGCGCGGTGGCTCACACCTGTAATCCCAGCGCTTTGGGAGGCTGAGGCAGGCGGATCACCTGAGGTCGGGAGTTCGAGAATAGCCTGGCCAACATGGTGAAACCCTGTCTCTACTGAAAATACAAAATTAGCCGGGCATGGTGGTGCATGCCTGTAATCCCAGCTACTTGGGAGGCTGAGGCAGGAGAATCACTTGAACCCAAGAGGCAGAGGTTGTGGTGAGCCGAGATCACGCCATTGCACTCCAGCCTAGGCAACAAGAGTGAAACTCCATCTCAAAAAAAAAACCAAACCAACAAAAAAACAAAATTAGCTGGGTGTGGTGGCGCATGCTTGTAATCCCAGCTACTTAGGAGGCTGAGGCAGAAGAATCACTTGAACCCAGGAGGCGGAGGTTGCAGAGGGCCCAGATTGTGCCACTGCACTCCATCCTGGGTGACAGAGCAAGACTCTGTCTCAAAAAAAAAAATTATTGGATATTATTAAGATGATAAATTTTATGTCATGTATATTTTACCACAAATTTAAAAAATGGTAAATGACTAAAGACCAAACAAAAATGTATTAGAATAATGGTCTACTTCTGCATTGAAGGAGTTGATGGAGACCTCCAAGAAGCTGGTTCAAGCTCCCTAAACCCAGAGCTGGAGGAAGACCCTGCTGAACAGATGACGTCACAGTCAGAGGCAGAAGCCCCAGGATTGGTAGACAGACAGACGTTGGAATGAGAGAAACAGAGTCCGGACCCCAGGTAGGGTGGAACTCAGCCCTCTGCAGGCCCAGCTCCCCGTTGTACACCCCAGGCCCACCTTGATCTTGGAGCCGGCGGTGCTGGGGCGCCCCTTCTTGTCTCCATCCAGCTTCTCGGGGAAGAGCATCCGGAGGAAGGCCCTGGGTAGGAAAGGGGAGAGGAGGAGTTGGAGGTATGGCTAGACTTTCGGGTACTCTTCCTCCAGGGGTGGGGCAGCCTCAATGCCGCAACGCAAAATATGGTTCTCTCAATGTGGAGGGGAGCTGTGATGGGTGAGATGCAGAGGGTTGGTTTTTTGGTTTGTTTTTTGAGGCAGGGCCTCGCTTTGTCCTCCAGGTTGGGGCGCATTGGTGCGATGATAGGAACTGCAGCCTGGAACTCCTGGGCTCAAGCCAATGTGTGAATGTATTGAATGCCACTGAATTGTACATTTCATTTCATTTTATCTTATTTTATTTATTTATTTATTTCCTTTATTTTTTCTTTGTCACAAAAAGGGAACAACACGGATAAATTGTACATTTTAAAATGGTTAATAAGGCCGGGTGCGGTGGTGCATGCCTGTAATCCCAGCACTTTGGGAGGCTGAGGCAGGTGGATCACCTGAAGTCAGGAGTTTGAGACAAGCCTGACCAACATGGTGAAACCCTGTCTCTACTAAAAATACAAAAATTAGCGGGGCATGATGGTGGGCGTCTATAATCCCAGCTACTCGGGAGGCTGAGGCAGGAGAATCGCTTGAACCCAGGAGGTGGAGGTTGCAGTGAGCCGAGATCGTGCCACTGCACTCCAGCCTGGGCGGCAGGGTGAGAGACACTGTCTCCAAAAAAAAAAAAAAAAAATCGGATTGTGGTGATGGTTGCGCAATTCTGTGAATTTGCTAAACGTCATGGATTGAGACACTGCTTAAAGTGGGTGGATTTAATGGTAAGTGCTGCTGAAACCCTTACGTGCACATGGATCCCTGGGAGGCATGGGTGCATCCTGGCTTAAAGATCAGGTTAGGTTCCGATAGTTCTAAACCTGATTGTTCAGATTCTGATAGTTCAGAATCAGATGCAGATTCTGATTCTGGAGGTCTGGGGTGGAGTTTGAGGTTCTGCCTTTTTTTTCCCCTCAGAGATAAGGTCTGTTGCCAAGGCTGGAGTGCAGTGGTGCAATCACGGCTCACTGTAGCCTCCACCTCCTAGGCTCAAGTGATCCTTCTATCTCAGCCTCCCGAGTAGCTGGGACTATAGGCATGTGCCACCACACCCAGCTAATTAATTAATTATTATTATTTTTGCTGGCAGAGTAGACAAGCATTTAAAAAAAAGAATTTTTTTTTAAGAGACAGGGGTCTTGCTATGTTGCCCAGGCTGGTCTTAAACTTGGGACCTCCAGTGATCCTTCTGGCTAGGGAGATTCTGCACTGGAAACAAGGCCCAAGGATGCTCAGGTTGCTGGTCTAAGAACCACATGTCAAACACTTTAAGGATCCCCGTCTTATTACTTTACATCTAATGCTATGTTCTTTGTGTGTGTGTGTGTGTGTGTGTTTTTTTTTTTTTTTTTTTTTGAGACAGAATCTCCCTCTGTCGCCCAGGCTGGAGTGCAGTGGCACAATCTTGGCTCATTGCAACCTCTGCCTCCTGGGTTCAAGAGATTCTTATGCTTCCACCTCCTGAGTAGCTGGAATTACAGGTGCGCGCCACCACGCCTAGGTAATTTTTATAATTTTAGTAGAGACAAGGTTTTGCCATGTTGCCCAGGCTGGTCTCAAACTCTTGGCCTCAAGAGATTTGTCCACTTCGGCCTCCCAAAGTGCTGGGATTACAGGCGTGAGCCACTGCGCCCGGCCTCTGGAGTTACTTTTTACATCAGAACTAGTCCATAGAAACACCATCCTGGCCGCACAGCCACTCCCCTCGAGTTTGTGGCGAGATGGCAGTTCTGGGTAAGATGGAGTGGGGCCCGGTCCTCCCTCCATCCCCTTGGGGGGTTGTAGCCGGAGGTCCCCATGCCTGGGACCACTCACTGCTCACTGGTCTGCATCAGCTCTATGAGGTCGGAGAAGAGAACGTCTCGGTTCCTCTCGCAGAAGCCGCTGACGTCGTAGGAGACCTGGAGGGGACAGTGCTGAGGACAGTGAGGGACTGAGAAACCTGGCTGGGAGGGTGGGCGTGGGGTGCTTACAGCCCAGGTGGTCAAGGCTTTCCTGGGGCCTGCTGTGGGGTGAGAGGATCAGGCAGTGTCTACAGCGCTGGCTGGGGGGTATCTACAGTTCAGAATAGGGGATGGGGGGCGGGCTTCCTGGAGAGCTGATGTTCAAGTTGAGGTTAGAGGATCGTGGCTGTATCCCAGGTCAGAGGTAAGGGGAGGTGGGGGTTACAACCTAGATGAGCCAGGAGAGAGCTGCAGCTTGCATCAGAGGCCGGGGGGCGGTGAAAGTTATAGCTCAGATTGGTGGGTGGGGGGCTGCAGCCTGGCGGGGGGGTCCCTGGGAGTCAGAGGTCAGATTGGATATCTGTGACCTGGTCAATCAGGGGCCAGTGCAGGGGGCCTGTGTCAGGAGGGTAACAGCCCTGTCTCAGGGATCTCTGGGGGCATTTCAGCCAGGGTTGGGGGCTGGAGCTGCTACCAAAGGTTAGGGCCCTCTGTAGTTCTGAGCAGGGCTTTTGCAACCCTGGCTGAGGGAACATGGGAGCTCCAGCCGTTTTTGTTTTTGTTTGTTTGCTTTTTTTTTTTTTTGAGAAAGAGTCTTGCTCTATCACCCAGGCTGGAGTGCAATGACACGATCTCAGCTCACTGCAACCTCCGCCTTCCGGGATCAAGTGATTCTCCTGTCTCAGCCTCCCGATGAGCTGGGATTACAGGCGTGTGCCACCACACCTGGCTGATTTTTTTTTTTATTTTTAATAGAGACGGGGTTTCAATATGTTAGCCAGGATGGTCTCGATCTCCTGACCTTGTGATCCGCCCGCCTCAGCCTCCCAAAGTGCTGGGATTATAGGCGTGAGCCACTGCACCCGGCCCTGTTTGCTTTTGTTTTGTGAGATGGAGTCTTGCTCTGTTGCTCAGGCTGGAGTGCTGTGGCACAATCTTGGCTTACTGCAACCTCCACCTCTTGGATTCAAGTGATTCTCCTGCCTCAGCCTCCTGAGTAGCTGGGATTACAGGTGCCCACGACCACGCCCGGCTGATTTTTGTATTTTTAGTAGAGACTGGGTTTCACCATGTTGGCCAGGCTGGTCTTGAACTCCTGACCTCAGGTGATCCACCCGCCTCAGCCTCCCAAAGTGCTGGGATTACAGGCGTGAGCCACCACTCCCAGCCTCTCCAGCCCATTTTAGGGGCACTCCTAGGAACTTCTGCTCTCATGTTGTGAGATCCTTGGATCACTGCCTGAGAGTGTAGTCCTGTCTTTTGGGGAGTGGGGCTGCGGGCATGGTTAGAGTCCAGTGGATTTCTGTAGCCTTCGGTAGGGGTCTGTAGGAGGCTTCAGCACATTTTGAAGGCTGGTGGCTCACAGGAGGGGCCTGGGGGCTTTGGGGATTTCCTCTCCAAATTGGGATCAGAAGGTGGGGGGCTGTGTCCTAGTCAGGGGGTTATGACTCACATTGGGGCTTATCTGAACATAGGCAGTCTGGTACCCAAGCTGGTGTTAATCGGGGGGAATTCTGTTCCCTCTGTTAGGGGAGTTGATGTGTAAGGGAAGCTGTGGCCTGGATCAGAGGTCAGGGTTTCTGCAGCCCTGGCCCAGGGAACACGGTGGTGGTGGTGGTGCTGGTGGTGGTGGTGGTGGTGCTGGTGGTGGTGGTGGTGGTGGTGGTGGTGGTGCTGGTGGTGGTGGTGGTGCTGGTGGTGCTGGTGGTGCTGGTGGTGGTGGTGGTGGTGGTGCTGGTGGTGCTGGTGGTGCTGGTGGTGGTGGTGCTGGTGGTGCTGGTGGTGGTGGTGGTGGTGGTGGTGGTGGTGGTGGTGGTGGTGGTGCTGGTGGTGCTGGTGGTGCTGGTGGTGGTGGTGGTGGTGCTGGTGGTGGTGGTGGTGGTGGTGGTGGTGGTGGTGGTGGTGCTGGTGGTGCTGGTGGTGGTGGTGGTGGTGGTGCTGGTGCTGGTGCTGGTGGTGGTGCTGGTGGTGGCGGTGGCGGTGGCGGTGGCGGTGGCGGTGGCGGTGCTGGTGGTGGTGGTGGTGGTGGTGGTGGTGTCCAGACAAGTTTGGGGCTTAGAGAGTTCCTGGGGGGTCAGCCGGAAGGGTCTGTAGTTCTGGTTAGTAGGGGGTGGATTGAGGCGGGGGACAGTGGAATTCTACAGCCCTGGATAAGGGTCCTAGCAGGCTCTTTCCAGCCTGGGTGCTGGAGGGTGGGGGCTACAGCCTGGAGCCCTGGGGGTCTGCGAGGAGGCACAGGGTAGGGTAGGGGCAGGGGGCGCACCTTGCCAGCGTAGTGGTGGATGACGAAGCCGGCGCTCCAGCTGTTGAAATGCTCGTGGGTCCCCACAGCCGCCTGCAGCTTCTGCAGCAGTGTCTGGTCTGCTCCCCCGCCCGTGGCGTGCATGGTGGCGCACACGTCGTCCAAGACGCTCATGATGCCTGGGGGGCTCTGCGGGGCGAGCGGGAGCCAGCAGCGGCTCAGTTTGGTCTGCCTTGCCTCCCCACAGCTCGTCAGTGCAGAGATTAGGGGAGGGAGGGGGTGGAGGAGTGGAGGGAGCTAGAGCTTTGGGGGTGGGGAGGGCACCAGGGGCTTCAAATACAAGCACAAAAGGCGTTGCAGGGGTCAGGGATGGAAGGGATAGGGGGGCAAGGGTGTGTGGGGCTACTGTGGAAGCTCGCTGAGGTGCAGAAGTGGGTGGGGACCCCTCAAGAGATTCAGGCCCCAGACTAGAATCCCTTGGTAGGGGGACCTGCCTTATGTATTTATTTATTTATTTAGAGACGGAGTCTTGCTCTCTTGCCCAGGCTGGAGAGCAGTGGCGTGATCTCAGCTCACTGCAGCCTCCATCTCCCAGGTTCGAGTGATTCTCCTGCTTCAGCCTCCTGAGTAGCTGGGATTACAGGCATGCCGCCACCATGCCCGGCTAATTTTTGTATTTTTTAGTAGAGATGGGGTTTCACCATGTTGGCCAGGCTGGTTTCGAACTCTTGGCCTCAGGTGATCCACCTGCCTTGGCCTCCCAAAGTGCTGGGATTACAGGCATGAGCCACCATGTCCCGCCTAAATACGTCTTAAATTTAATTTTTTTTGAGACAGGGTCTTGTTCTGTTCCTCAGGCTGGAGTGTGGTGGTGCAATCATAGCTCACTGCACCCTTGACTTCCTGGGCTCAAGTGATCCTCCCACCTCAGCCTTCCGGGTAGCTGGGATTACAGGCGCCTGCCACCACGCCTGGCTAATTTTTTGTATTTTTAGTAGAGACAGGTTTTCACCATATTGGTCAGGCTGGTCTCGAACTCCTGACCTCAGGTGATCCGCCCACCTTGGCCTCCCAAAGTGCTGGGATTACAGGCGTGAGCCACCGGCATGGAATCTGCAAATTTGACTCTAACTGTGAGCTGGGGTTCCCGGGGAAATGTTTATTGAATGATTAAGTGAAAGGTGGACAAGTAGGCGGAATGAATGGATGAGGGGCGGAAGGGACATTTTGGTTGTTATCTGTCGCTGGAAGTCCTGAGTGTAGGGTAGAGAAGGGCCTGAGGATGCCATAACACCCTTGGCCCTCCCCCTCATCTTCCAGACTCAGCTCAGGGGACCAGTGAGACGCCCCCGCCAAAGTTGACCCAGCCCTCACCAGCTTGTTTTCGATGAGGTCACAGACGACCTTGTTGTTGAAGTACTGGATTGGAGTCCAGCGGATGCCTTCCTGCACATACTCCTCCTGGGGTGGAAAAGGGGGTGGATGTGGGGGCCAGTGAAAAAGTTGTGGCCACCCTTCCCCCCATGTCCTCTCCCCTTCTCCATCTCATCACTTAGGACTGTCTCTGGTAACAAAGCCCGTCACTCCTATGTGGGCAAGGCTGGAAGTGCCAGGGAATTACATCTGGTTTCAGCAGTCCTTGACCAATAATCAACAGGAGTGGGTGGATAAATACCCCAGCTCCCTCGCTTCTCCGCTCTATGAAGCCTCCTCGAGTCCCAGTGCAGTTGCATTCCGGTTGTCCACAGCATAACGTGCTCATTAACACACTATTTTGACTCTTTTTTTTTTTTTTTTTTTTTTTTTGAGATGGAGTTTCACTCCTGTTGCCTAGGCTGGAGTGCAATGGCACGATCTTGGCTCATCGCAACCTCCGCCTCCCGAGTTCAAGCGATTCTCCTGCCTCAGCCTCCCGAGAAGCTGGGATTACAGGTATGTGCCACCACGCCGGACTAATTTTGTATTTTTAGTAGAGATGGGGTTTCTCCATGTTGGTCAGGCTGGTCTCGAACTCCCAACCTCAGGACATCTGCCCACCTCGGCCTCCCAAAGTGCTGGGATTACAGGCATGAGCCACCGCACACAGCTTGCTTTTTTTTTTTGAGACCGGGTTTTGCTCTGTTACCCAGGCTGGAACTCAGCGATGCGATCCTAGCTCACTGCAACCTTGACCTCCAGGGTTCAAGTGATCCTCTCATCTCAGCCTTCCGAGTAGCTGGGACCGTAGGAGCACACCACCATGCCTGGCTAATTTTTATGTTTTTTGTAGAGATGAGGTCTCACTATGTTGTCCAGGCTGGCTTTGAACCCCCAGGCTCAAGCGATCCTCTTAACTTAGCCTCCTAGATAGCTGGGACTATAGGTGTGAGTGATTGTGTCTGGCTCGGTCTGTCTCTCTCTTTTTTTCTTTTCTTTTTTGAGACAGGGTCTCATTCTGCTGTTGCCCAGGCTGGAGTGCAATGGCACAATCTCGACTCACTACAAGCTCTGCCTCCTGGGTTCAAGCAATTCTCCTGCCTCAGACTCCTGAGTAGCTGGGATTACAGGTGCCCAGCACCACACCTGGCTAAGTTTTATATTTTTAGTAGAGATGGGGTTTCACCATGTTGGCCAGGCTGGTCTCAAACTCCTGACCTCAGGTGATCCACCCACCTCAGCCTCCCAAAGTGCTGGGATTACAGGCGTGAGCCACTGCACCCAGCCTCTCTCTCTCTCTTTGTTAAAAAAATCCCTGTCTCAGGACTGGGCATATTAACTCATGCCTGTAGTCCCAGCACTTTGGCAGGCCAAGGCAGGAGGATTGCTTGAGGCCAGGAGTTCAAGACCAATCTGGGCAACAAAGTGAAACACCAACTCTACAAAAAAGTTTTAAAATATTAGCCAGGCATGATGGTGTGTGCCTGCGGTCCCAGCTACTTGAGAGGCTGAAGTGGGAGGATTGCTTGAGCCCAGGAGGTGTAGACTGCAGTGACCTGTGATCACACCACTGCACTCCAGCCTGGACAACAGAGCGAGTTCCTGTCTCAAAAAAAAAAAAAAAAAAAAAAAAGCGGGGAATGGTGGCTCCCATCTGTAATCCCAGCACTTTGGGAGGCTGAGGTGGGTGGATCACGAGGTCAGGAGTTTGAGACCAGTCTGGCCAATATGATGAAACCCTGTCTCTACTAAAAATACAAAAATTAGCTGGGCATGGTGGTGGGTGCCTGTAGTCCCAGCTGCTCGGGAGGCTGAGGCAGGAGAATCACTTGAACTCTGGAGGCGGAGGTTGCAGTGAGCCGAGATCATGCCACTGCACTCCAGCCTGGGTGACAGAACGAGACTTTGTCTCAAAAAAAAAAAAAAAAATCCCTGACTTACTTCCTCAGTCTCCTCTTGGAGCTTCCTGGGATTGCCTCCCAGAAAAACCATTTGTCTCTGAATCCTTGCCTCAGGCTCTGCTTCTGGGGGAGGGGCAAAATGAAGACAGCAGGGACTATTGCCTTATTGTTCATGGCTGTGTCTCCAAGCACCCTAAACAGTACCTGGCACACAACAGGTGCTCAATAAATAATTGCTGAATGAATGAACTAAGAGGCACGGTCCTTCCCAAAGCTTTAGAGGCAGAAGGAAGTATCACTATGGAGCCTGGGTAGGTTGGCACAGAGAGGTGGGAACGCGGTGGGGAGGGCTGGGGTGTCCCCTAGTTGCTAAGGGATCCTCATGGTCCTTCCACCCCACCCCCACCCCAGGATCCCCCATCCCTGACTGCTTGGCCGCCCACCTGCTCGGCCTTCAGGGTAAGTTCGATAAAGATTTGCTGCAGCTTCTCATTGACGAAGTTGATGCAAAACTGCTCGAAGCCATTTTTCTGCAGAAGGAGGAAAAGGGTCCTTCCCTCAATGTCCTGGTGCTGGAAGTTCTTGTGGCCACCCTGGGCTGCCCCAGGGAGGACAGGATGTGGGCTGGAGGCAGGGGGCCGTACCTGGAAGATCTCGAAGCCGTAAATGTCCAGCACACCGATGCTGTACTCTTCCTGGGGTTTCTGCATAGCACGGTTGATGGCCTGCGGTGTGGGTGGGGACAGGAAGTCAGTGGGCATCGGTCAGATCTGAAGCCCCTGCCCACCACTCCTTAGACACACGCCTAGCCAACTTCATGGGTGATGTCCCCTCATGCCAGTTTCCCTCCAGCCCTCTTTAGCTCTGCCCTTCCTGGCTCTGTGTACAGTCTCCCCACCCCATAATCAGTCACTCAGAGGAGAAACCCAAGTGTCAGTGTATCAGGGTCCCTGACTCCAGAGCTGACTCTGCCCCTGAACCTCTCTGCACCTCTATTTTCTTTTTTTTTTTTTCTTTTTTTTTTTTGAGACGGAGTCTCACTCTGTCGCCCAGGCTGGAGTGCAGTGGCATGATCTCGGCTCACTGCAAGCTCCGCCTCCAGGGTTCACACCATTCTCCTGCCTCAGCCTCCCAAGTAGCTGGAACTACAAGGGCCTGCCACCACGCCCGGCTAATTTTTTGTATTTTTAGTAGAGACGGGGTTTCACTGTGGTCTCGATCTCCTGACCTCGTGATCCGCCCGCCTCGGCCTCCCAAAGTGCCGGGATTACAGGTGTGAGCCACTGCGCCCGGCCTTGCACCTCTATTTTCTTATCTTTAAAAGGGGTTGATAATAGCAACTACCTTATGGGGCTTTTTCTTTTCTATTTTTTTTGAGATGGAGTCTCATTCTGTTGCCCAGGCTGGAATGCCAGTGGCGCAATCTCGGCTCACTGAAACCTCTGCCTCCAGGATTCAAGAGATTCTTCTGCCTCAGCCTCCCAAGTAGCTGGGATTACAGGCATGCGCCACCACGCCCGGCTAATTCTTGTATTTTTAGTAGAGACGGGGTTTTGCCATGCTGGCCAGGGCTGATCTTGAACTCCTGACCTTGGGTGATCTGCCCGCTTTGACCTCCCAAAGTGCTGGGATTACAGGCATGAGCCACTGCACCTGGCCATACATTTTATACTTTATTTATTTTTATTTTTTATTTTGAGACAGGGTCTCAGTCTGTTGTCCAGGCTGGAGTGTAGTGGCTTGATCATGGCTCACTACAGCCTCAACCTCCTGGGGTCAGGGATTCTTCCACCTCAGCCTCCTGAGTAGCCGGGATTACAGGCACCAGCCACCATGCCCGGCTAATTTTTGTATTTTTGTAGAGACAGGGTTTTGCCATGTTGCCCAGGCTGACTCCATACATTAAAAAAGTTTTTATTTTATTTATTTATTTATTTTGAGACAGAGTCTCTCTCTGTTGCCCAGGCTGGAATACAATAGCACGATCTCAGCTCACTGCAACCTCCACCTCCCAGGTTCAAGTGATTCTCCTCCCTCAGCCTCCCAAGTAGCTGGGATTAAAGGCATGTGCCACCACTCCCGGGTAATTTTTAGTAGAGAGGGGGTTTCACCATGTTGGCCAGGCTGGTCTCAAACTCCAGACCTCAAGTGATCCATCCACCTCAGCCTCCCAAAGTGCTGGGATTACAGGCATGAGCCACTGCATCTGGCCAAAAGTTTTTTTTAGAGACAGGGTCTTGCTCTGTCACCCAGGCTGGAGTACAATAGCGCAATCATAGCTCACTGCAGCCCCAACCTCCTGGGTTCAAATGATCCCCCAACCTCAGCCCTCTGAGTAGCCAGAACTACACATGCACACCACTACACCCAACTAATTTGAAATTTCTGTAGAGATGGGGGTCTTGCTATGTTGCCCAGGCTGGTCTTGAACTTCTGGCCTCAAAGAATGCTCCCAACTCAGCCACCCAAAGCATTGGGATTGCAGCCGTGAGCCACTGCACTCAGCTTCCATAAATGTTTGTGACCCCAGAGCATCCACTCTGCCTTCCAGCCCCAGCCCCACTCGCCTCCACGAGGAAGTCGAAGAGGCGGGCATAGAGCCCCTTGGCCAGGGCATCACGGGTGTAGGCTGCCTGCTCCACGTTGAGGGTCACATTGATGGACTCGCTGCGCCCGCCCCAGCGGCTGTCCATCTTGCGGCTGGTCAGCTTCTCCTGCAGTCGCCCGCTGTCAATGCCCAGCAGGTAGGCGGGAAAGGCCAGGACTACCAGGGCAAAGGTCAGGGCAAAAATGGGACAGTTGGTTGGGCTCTTGTGCCTCCTGCATGGGCCTCCTATTATCCCCATCTTGCCCAGTGACACCCACATTTTTTTCCTCGTGGGCTTTCAGCTTCCTGGGGGCTGAGCTAGGAGGACGCAGTTCACCCACCCACAGGCCTCCATCCAGCCCTCCCTGATACCCACACTCACGGTCCACACTCTCCACTCGGGCGTAATTCCCGTCTTCACAGAAACTGATGTTCCCCAGGTGCAAGATCCCCGCCACGAGCTGCAGGACCAGCTGCTGGATGCTGGGCGGGATCCCAATAACCTGCATAGCACTCTGTGGTACAACGGGGGCAGAAACTGTGCCGTGAATCCTGGCCTCCAACCTGCCTCCAGGGGCAGGCTTGAGGGACCACAGCACGGACTCAGGGAGTGAGCACCCTTGGGTCCCTGTCCTACCCCTTTCAGTCACTTGCCGCGTGACCTTGGGTAAGTGCCTGCACCTCTCTGGGCTTTGTTTTTTATTATATTTTTTATTTTTGAGACAGAGTCTCCCTCTGTTGCCCAGGCTGGAGTGCAGTGGTATGATCTTGGCTCACTGCAACCTCCTCATCCCAGGTTCAAGCGATTTTCCTGCCTCCGCCTCCCGAGTAGCTGGGATTACAGGCGTGAGCGTCGTGTCCGGACTGGGCTTTGGTTTCCTATTTTTTTTTTTTTAGAGTCTCACTCTTTCACCCAGGCGGGAGTGCAGCGGCGCTATCTTGGCTCACTGCAACCTCCACCTCCCGGGTTTAAGCGATTCTCCTGCCTCAGCCTCCCTAGTAGCTGGGACTACAGGCGCATGGCATCATACCCGGCTAATCTTTGTATTCTTAATAAAGATGGGGTTTCACTATGTTGGCCAGGCTGGTCTTGAACTCCTGACCTCAGGTGATCTACCTGCCTCGGCCTCCCAAAGTGCTGGGATTACAGGTGTGAGCCACCGTGCCTGGCCTTTTTTTTTTTTTTTTTTGAGATGTAGTCTCACTCTGTTGCCCAGGCTGGAGTGCAGTAGTGTGATCTCGGCTCACTGCAACTTCCACCTCCCGTTTTCAAGCAATTTTCCTGCCTCTGCCTCCCCAGTAGCTGGGATTACAGTCACACGCCACCACATCTGGCTAATTTTTGTATTTTAAGTAGAGACGGGGTTTAACCACGTTGGCCAGGCCGGTCTTAAACTCCTGACCTTAAGTGATCTACCTGCCTCGGCCTCCCAAAGTGCTGGGATTACAGGCTTGAGCCACATGCCTGGCCTGGGCTTCGGTTTCCTAATTTGTAACTCAGGAGGGTTTCTGGGGCTGAGGTCTGCCTGGCCGGGGACTGGAGTAGAGGCCGGTGCTCACCAGAGTCTCACCAAAGTCGCTTCTGTCGTCCGTGCCGTCCACCTGGTAGGTGTCCGATTGGTTGAGGTAGTAATAGTAGTCCGGTGTCATGAGGCCCAGGTTCTGCCTTTGCTCCTGGGAGGCCCCTTCCAGCAGCTGGAGGGTGTGCCATGTTCATGCATCTGGTGCTTGCCTGGCTCAGCCCCTGTGATCCCTCATCTGCCCTGCCATGCCCCCCTAGGTGTTTACCTTCCCATTGTCCACCCCGCTGGGCTCCAGGTGGTGCTCCCTCTCCCCCGGCCCCTTCCCTGCACCTGGTAGTAGATGTGGAAGTTCCTCTCATTTTCATTTTGCATGACCACGCGGGACTTCTCCAGCAAGAAGTTGGAGATCTTGCCCCCATCTGGCTCCCCACCTCGGCTGAACTGGATCTCAAAGTACTTGCCCTGAATCCGAGAGAACCATGTCAGCACCCCAGTGTCCTGGGGTGCAGGTGGGGGAAGGGTTGGGGATGGGTCTTATGAGCCTTGCCTCTCTTCCCTTCTTCCTTTTTTTTTTGAGACAGAATCTGACTCTGTTGCTCAGGCTGGGATTCAGTGGCGCAATGTCGGCTCACTGCAACGTCCACCTCCTGGGTTCAAGTGATTCTCCTGCCTTAGCCTCCTGAGTAGCTGGGACTACAGGCACCCGCCACCATGCCCAGCTAATTTTTGTATTTTTGGCAGAGCTAATTTTTGTATTTTTCATCATGTTGGCCAGGCTGGTCTTGAACTCCAGACCTCAAGTGATCCGCCTGTCTCAGCCTCCCAAAGTGCTGGGATTTCAGATGTGAGCCCCCACACCCAGCCCAAGGGTATGGAATTTATTAAACCATGTCCATGTGCAGGTGTAATACTGAAGTCTATGAGATGGATATTAACATCGTCACCATTTTATGGATGAGCAAACAGAGGAAACTCAGGAAGTTGCATAGATTTTTTTCCCCCCCAGGCTACACAGCTCACAGTGATAGAATCAAACCCTGAATCCATATCTGTTTACCTATCCTGACTTTCACTGGGCCCAGCGCAGCACCCACACAAAGAACGAGTCCCAGAACTATTGTCGAAAGAAGGAATGGATGAGGGAATAAATTGGACCTGAAATGTGAATGGGAACAATGTAGCATGGCTGCAGCCGGGGGAGCATTTAAGAATGTTACACAGGGGTGTCATGGCCTCCACAGTTCTGCCAATGGGGGACTCTCTTTTGAAAGGGACCATGAGCAGGAAGTGAGTCTCCCCTTCAGGAGTAGGTATTTCCTGCTGGGTTTTCAATGGACTCTTGTCTTGGCAATACGGGTGTGTGTATGTGTGGGTGTGTGTGTAGAAAGGTCAGCACGGAGGGAGCAGCTGCTCCAAGCAGGTCTGCAGAGACTTACAAAGCGGCTGGAATTGTTGTTGCGCACAGTCTTGGCGTTGCCGAAGGCCTCGAGCAGCGGGTTGGACTGCAGGATGATATCTTTGACGTGCTGGGGCAGAGGCAGGTGGAGTGGGAAGAAGTCAGACTGAGGCAGGAGTGCAGATGGGTGGGGCTGCACTACCATGCAGGTGAGGGCGACCCAGCTTATCCTTCTGTTTTCCTCGTCTCACCTGGACCTTCTCGCCTCCGCCAGACACCTTGGAGATGTAGCCCATGATATATTTGGCTGCCACTGTCTTCCCAGCTCCACTCTCTCCACTGGGGATGAATGGAGGAATAAATGATCAGTGGTTGGGGAAGAGCCCTTTTTAGTGCCTGACCATTCATTCATTGAGCACCTACTGTGTGCCTGCCAGTATTCCGGGTACTGGGGATACTGTAATGAACAAGACAGATAAAATCTCTGCTCTCAGCCGGGCATGGTGGCTCCTGCCTGTAATCCCAGCACTTTGGGAGCCTGAGGAGGGCGGATCACTTGAGGTCAAAAGTTAGAGACCAGCCTGGCCAACATGGTGAAACCCAGTCTCTACTAAAATACAAAAATTAGCCGGACATGGTGGTGGGCGCCTGTAATCCCGGCCACTCAGGAGGCTGAGGCAGGAGAATTGCTTGAACCTGGGAGGCAGAGGTTGCAGTGAGCTGAGGTTGTGCCACTGCACTCCAGCCTGGGTGACAGACTGAGACTCTGTCACACACACACACACACACACACACACTCTCTCTCTCTCTCTCTCTCTCTCTCTCGCTCTCTTTCTCTCTCTCTGCTCTCATAGAGCTGGCATCGATTGATTGACTGAGATGGGGTCTCACTCTGTTGCCCAGGCTGGAGTGCAGTGGTGTGATCATAGCACCTGTTCCTGCCTGGAACTCCTGGGCTCAAGCAATCCTCCCTCCTCAGCCTCTTGAGTAGCTGGGGACTACAGGCGTGCACCACCGTGTCCGGCTAATTATTATCTATACAGAGACAGGATGTTGCCATATTGCCCAGGCTGGTCTTGAACTCCTAGCCTCAAGAGATCCTCTCGCCTTGGCCTCCCAAAGTGCCAGGATTACAAGCATGAGCCACTACACCTGGCCTGAGGTGACATTTAGAGGGGACAGACAGACAATAGCAGAATGAATCAATAAAATACATCGTGAGTCAGATGGTGACAAGGAAAATAAAACAGAGTGAGGGCAGAGAGGGACAGCAGGGCAATGTTCAGATTGGGAGTTTCAGGCAAACCTCCCTGGGGGTGGTGATGTTTCAGCAGGGGCCCGGGCAGCAGGGTCTGTGGCCCCCCAACTCTGTCCATACCTAATGATGACACACTGGTTCTCACAGTCGATAAGCATGTTCCGGTACATGTTGTCCGTGAGGGCGTAGATGTGCGGGGGATTCTCATACTGGGCCTGGCAGGGGAGGTCAGGTCTCAGCCCAGGGCTGGGGGCCAGGAGTCTGGGGGCTGTGCCTCCCACCCAGCCCCAGCCTCACCGCGCCCTGATAGAGGTCGATCTCACGGTCGGTGAAGTAGGGCATCTGCTTGAAGGGGTTTACAGAGATGAGCACAGAGCCGATGTAGGTCTGAGGGATGGTTAAGGGTCGTGTGGTGTCCTGGTAGGTTTTGTCCTCCCTGTCCCCTCATCCTGCCCCCACCCAGGGCTTCCTAAAACTCCATTGCTTGGAGGTGGAAGAGATGGAGATAATGGATGCACCTCGAGTCTCTTGGAAAAAACAGGGCTGGCCGGGCGCGGTGGCTCATGCCTGTAATCCCAGCACTTTGGAAGGCCGAGGCAGGCGGATCACTTGAGGTCAGGAGTTTGAGACCAGCCTGGCCAACATGGTGAAACCTTGTCTCCACTAATAATACAAAAAATTACCCGGGCATGGTGGTGCATGCCTGTAATCCCGGCTACTTGGGAGGCTGAGGGAGGAGAATCGCTTGAACCTGGGAGGCAGAGGTTGCAGCGAGCTATCGTGCCATTGCACTCCAGCCTGGGCAACAAGAGCCACTCAGTCTCAAAAACAAAACACAAAACACAAAAAGCAAAAACAAAAAAATTAGCCAGGCATGGTGGCGCATGCCTATAATCCCAGCTACTTGGGAGGCTGAGGCAGGAGAATCATTTGAATCCGGGAGGTGGAGGTTGCAGTGAGCTGAGATTGTGCCACTACACTCCAGCCTGGAACCTGGGCGACAGAGCAAGACTCCGTCTCAAAAAAAAAAAAAAAAAAAAAAAAAAAAAAGAACAAACAGGGTTGGATCCGGAATGGGGGAAATGGAACACGCTGGGGCTGAGCTTCCCCAGGACAGAGGGAGCAGTGGCAGCCACAGCTGCCCCCAACCAGAGCCCTGCTGTCACTCTGTCTGTCCTCTGTGTCACCACTTGGTGCTCTCCCGGCCCATTCCTCCCTCTGCTCCTTCACCCTCCTCTCCGTCCATGGCCCAGCCATTCATTCCTTCCCTGCCTGCCCACCCCCAGCCTTGGCCCAGGGTACGAAGATGTAGTCGTCCATGAAGCGCTTCCGGAGGTTGGCGGCAATGGCGTCTTCGGTGATCTGGGGAAGAAGCACCATGTCATCCACGCCGCTCTGCTTCACGTTGTGGCTCTGCCAGTGGAAGCGCTCCTTGCTGCCCTGGGGGGTGAGAGGGGGGTCGGGGTGAGCCCTTGCACGGGGATGCGGCACCTGGCTCACCGACGCTATCAGCTTCTGGGTTCTGTCCCACCTCCCCCGCCCCACCTCCATTCCTCCTTCCCCATCTCCAGGAGAGGCTGGCAGGGTCCAAGCCAGGCCCCCTGCCCCAGACAGAAGTTGCACTGCTCGGATCCAGCCCTCAGCCCTCTATTTTTTTTTAATTTTTAATTTTTATTTATTTATTTATTTTGAGACAGAGTCTCACTCTGTCAGTCAGGCTGGGGTGCAGTGGCGTGATCTCTGCTCACTGCAACATCCACCTCCCGGGTTCAAGCGATTCTCCTGCCTCAGCCTCCCGAGTAGCTGGGATTACAGGTGCCCACCACCATGCCCGGCTAATTTTTAATATTTTTGGTAGAGATGGGGTTTCACCATGTTGGCCAGGCTGGTCTGGAACTCCTGACTTCAAGTGATCCACCCGCCTCAGGCTCCCAAAGTGCTGGGATTACAGGCGTGAGCCACCGCACCCGGCCTCTTTTTTTTTTAATTAAAAAATTTTTTAATGCCAAGTGCAGTGGCTCATGCCCGTAATCCCAGCACTTCGGGAGGTTGAGGCAGGAGGATCGCTTGAGGCCAGGAGTTCGAGACCAGCCTGGGCAACATAGCGAGGCCCCGTCTCTATAAAAAAAGAAAGAAAGAAAGAAAGAAAGAGAAAGAAAGAGAAAGAAAGAAAGAAATGAGATCTCAAGCCATGAAAAGACATGGAGGAAACTTAAAGGCATATCACTAAGTGAAAGAAGCCAATCTGGGGCCGGGCACAGTGGCTCATGCCTGTAATCCCAGCACTTTGGGAGGCCAAGACGGGTGGATCACCTGAGGACGAGAGTTCGAGACCAGTCTGATCAATATGGAGAAACCCCGTCTATACTAAAAATACAAAATTAGCCAGGTGTGCTGGCACATGCCTGTTATCCCAGCTACTCGGGAGGCTGAGGCAGGAGAATCGCTTGAACCTGGGAGACAGAGGTTGCAGTGAGCCGAGATTGTGCCATTGCACTCCAGCCTTGGCAACAAGAGTGAAACTCTGTCTCAAAAAAAAAAAAAAAAAAAAAAAGGAAGCCAATCTGAAAAGGCTATTTACTGTCTTATTCCAACTATAGGATATTCTGGAAAAGGCAAAACTATGAGGACAGTAAAAGATCAGTGGGGCCAGACGCAATGGCTCACACCTGTAATCCCAGCACTTTGGGAGGCCGAGGCGGGAGGACTGCTTAAGGCCAGCAGTTCAAGACCAGCCTGGGCAACATAGTGAGACCCCCATCTCTACAAAAAATAGAAAAATTAGACGAGTGGTGGCATGTGTCTGTGATCATAGCTACTCTGGAAGCTGAGGTGGGAGGATCACTTGAGCCCAGGATGTGGAGGTTGCAGTGAGCTGATATTTCGCCACTACACTCCATCCTGGATGACTCTGTCTCAAAAAAAACAAACAACCAAACAAACAACAAAAAAAGTTTTGAGACAGGGTCTCACTCTGTCACCCAGGCTGGAGTGCAGTGGTGTGATCACAGCTCCATGCAGCCTCAACCTCCTGGGCTCAAGCAATCCTTCCACCACACCACAGCCTCCTGGGTAGCTGGGACTACAGACGTGCACCACCATGCCTGGATAATTTTTGTATTTTTTTGTAGAGATGGGGTCTTGCTATGTTGCCCTGGCTGGTCTTGAACTCCTGGGCTGAATGGATTATCTGTCTCAGTCCCCCAAAGTGGTGGGATTATAGGCGTAAGCTACTGCACCCAGCCCCTCAGCCCTCTCCTTTGGTCTCTCTTTCCATCTGTCACTCCACCTAGTACCCCTCACTTCCCATGAAGGATGCCAGGCTTGGCGGGCAGGGCACAGAGTGCTTGGGGTTCTGCAGGCTGTAGGAGCAGAGCAGGGAGACCGGGTGACTTGGTGGGAAGTGGGCGCATCCCAGTTCTCACTTCCTGCCAGCCTCCCAGCCTCTCCCTTTCACATCCCCCGTCCCCTCCCCAGGCCCAGGCCAGTCCCTGACTTCTCTGTGGCATTTGATCCACTGCTGCCAGGCCCCTTCCTTCTCCCTCCTACCTCTCCTCTTCTCTTGTGGTCACACATACCAGCTGGTCCCTTTGAGCTCCTCCAGGCCACCATGTGCTGTGACCTCTGCCCTCTGTGCCTGTGTATGACTTTGTTCCTCAGCTCTACCCTCTACTCCCAGCCCTGCCTCCCTGCTGCCCCTGCCGTGGCCTTCTCCTCTGTGTCCCTTCACCTTGCCCCTCAGCAGTGCCAGCACCTTCTTAGGTTGCCATTTTTTTCATTTCATTTCCTCTCTCAGTTTTTCTTTTTCTTTTCTTTTTTTCTTTTGAGTCAGAGTCTTGTTCTGTCACCCAGGCTGGAGTGCAGTGGCGGGATCATAGCTCACTGTAGCCCTGACCTTCTGGGCTCAAGAGATCCTCCCACCTCAGCCTCCTGAGTAGCTGGGACCACAGGTGTGTGCCACCATGCCCAGCTAATATTTAAATTTTTTTTGTATTGATGGGGTCTTGCTCTGTTGCTCAGGCTGGTCTTTAACTTCTGGCCTCAAGTGATCCTCCCACCTCAGCCTCCCAAAGTGCTGGAATTTCAGGCATGAGACACCTTGCCTGACCCAGACGACACTTTCTTTAGGCCCCATGGAGGAGACTGAGGCACATGCTCTCCAAAATCTCCTCTTCCAGGAAGCCTGCCCTGGTTGCTCTCCTTTTAGCCCGACTGAATTTATCTAGTGCCTTAAACACCCTGGCTTTCTCAGGCTCACTCTGTCTCTATTCAACACATCTCTGCAAAGGAGTAGTCTGACAGATAGGAGTGATGGCAACTTGGAGCTACCCCATTTGGTGAACTGATGGTCAGATAAGATGTCTCTCCTCCTGGAAGCCCCCCATCCCCAGGCCAGGAGCTCCTGGAGACAGAGACTGGGGCTGAGTCTTTTCTCTGTCAAATGAACAGGGGACAAAGGTAAAGAAAGAAACCCAGATTCAGAGCAAAAACCACCAGAGCAAACAAAGCTGGGAATTGAAGTATTTTTGTATTTTTGAGATGGGGTCTCACTGCTTTGCCCAGGCTGGATGGAGTGCAGTGGTGAGACCACGGCTCACTGCTACCTCTGCCTGCGGGGCTCAAGCGAGCCTGTCACCTCGGCCTCCTGAGTAGCTGGCACTACAGGCACACACCACTAAGCCCAGCTAATTTTTTGTATTTTTGGTAGAGACGGGGTTTCACTGTGTTGCTCAGGCTGGTCTTGAACTCCTGAGTTCAAGCGACCTTCCTGCCTCGATCTTCCAAACTGCTGGGATTACAGGCATGAGCCACCGCTCCCAGCCCAGGATTGAAGTCTTTAAAGTGGACTGTGTTTGCCAGTGGATTCCAGGGATACAGGCAGGGCACAAGCAGAAGTGTCCACGTGGGCAACTGTAAGGCAGAAGTGGAGCCAGTCTCTCCTGGGGGTACTGGGGAGCCACGGAATGTTCTTGAGGGGGTGGGGGGTGGGGGGTGGGGGTGGAGGTGCATGATCAGATTCTGGACATACTGACAGTTAGAGGTTGTTGAGGGATGCCCATGGGCATTAAATAAGCCCAGCCTTTGGCATAAGGGTAGATCTGGGTTCTGATCCTGACTGGGCAAACAGATGCTGCTGTGAGTCTCCATCGTCTCATCTATAAAAAGGAAGAGGCAGCTCCACTTCCCAGGGTTGATGAGAGGATGAACTACTCTGGGGGAACAAGGTGGGATGGGAGGCTGGTGCCCCTCCCCAAGCCTGAGTGGTCGTGAGGATAGACCGAGGCTGAGGGGCATTTGAAAGAATTAACACGACCGGGCGCGGTGGCTCACACCTGCAATCCCAGCACTTTGGGAGGCCGAGGCGGGGAGATCATCTAAGGTCGGGAGTTTGAGACCAGCCTGACCAACATGGTGAAACTCCATCTCTACTAAAAATACAAAAATTAGCTGGGCGTGGTGGCGCACGCCTGTAATCCCAGCTACTCGGGAGGCTGAGGCAGGAGAATCGCTAGAACCCAGGAGGCGGAGGTTGCGGTGAGCCCAGATTGTGCCATTGCACTCCAGCCTGGGCAACAAGAGCAAAACTCCATCTCAGAAAAAAAAAAAAAAAAAAAGTAAAGAATTAACACTCAGCGAGCACCTATGCTGTGCCTGGTTTGGGGGATGTAGATGGTTGATACTGGCAGCCATCATCACACCATCTCAGTGTGGGTAGGCTCGAAGGGAAACGGAGGCTGGAGAAGTACAGCAGCTTCCTTAAGGACACGGGACTAAAGATACAGGTATTGTTTCCAAGGGTGTGGGGTTTGAACCTGGGTCTATTCAACAGCAAAGAACAGGTTCTTGGCTGGGCGCGGTGGCTCACGCCTGTAATCCCAGCACTTTGGGAGGCTGAGGCGGGCGGATCATGAGGTCAGGAGATCGAGACCATCCTGGCTAACATGGTGAAACCCCATCTCTACTAAAAATACAAAAAAAGTAGCCGGGTGTGGGGGTGCGCGCCTGTAATCCCAGCTACTCAGGAGGCTGAGGCAGGAGACTCGCTTGATCCCGGGAGGCAGAGGTTGCAGTGAGCCGAGATTGCACCATTGCACTCCAACCTGGGCAAACATAGCGAGACTTGGTCTTAAAAAAAGGAAAAAAAAAAAAGAACAGGTTCTTGCCTCTGTCTACACGCACAGGAGGCTGGGCTGGTGCTGAGAAGGATTTTTTTGTTTTGTTTTGGTTTGGTTTTTGAGACAGGGTCTCACTCTGTCTCCCAGGCTGGAGTGCAGTGGCAAGGTCATGGCTCACTGCAGCCTTGACCTCCTGGGCTCAAGTGATCCTCCTGGTCTCAGCCTCCTGTGTAGCTGAGACTACAGGCACATGCCACCACGCCTGGCTAATTTTTTTTTTTTTTGAGACAGAGTCTTGCTCTGTCGCCCAGGCTGGAGCGCAGTGGCACGATCTCGGCTCACTGCAAGCTCTGTCTCCTGTGTTCACGCCATTCTCCTGCCTCAGCCTCCCGAGTAGCTGGGACTACAGGCGCCCGCCACCACGGCGGCTAATTTTTTGTATTTTTGGTAGAGACGGGGTTTCACTGTATTAGCCAGGATGGTCTCAATCTCCTGACCTTGTGATCTGCCCGCCTCGGCCTCCCAAAGTGCTGGGATTATAGGTGTGAGCCACTGCGCCTGGCCACGCCTGGCTAATTTTTAAATATTTCATAGAGACATGGTCTTGCTCTGTTGCTCAGGCTGATGTCTATAACTCCTGGGCTCAAGTGATCCTCCCACCTTGGCCTTCCAAAATGCTGGGATTACAGGTGTGAGCCACTGTGCCTGGCCTGAGAAGGGTTTTGATAAACAGCTGGGAGAAAGGGTGCACCAGTCAGGGTTAACTGTCTGGGGAAAGGTGTGGAGGTGTGGCTGCAGCAGGGACAGAGAATGGAATGCAGGGGTAGTCAGGGCTTCAACCCCTCACACTGCTCCTGGCCTGAGTAGTCAGCATGAATTCCCTCCCTCCCTCCCTCCCTCCCTCCCTTCCCCCCTTCTTTCCTTCCTTCCTTTCTCCTCTCCCTCCCTTCCTTTCTCCTCTCCCTCCCTTCCTTCCTCCCTCTCTCCCTCTCTCTCTCTTTCTTTTTCTCTTTCTTTCGTTCTCTTTCTTCTCTCTCATTCTTCTCTCTTTCTCTCTTCTTTCTTCCTCTTTCTTTCCCTCCCTCCCCTCCTCTCCCTCCTTCCTTCCTTCCCTCCCTCCCTCTCTTCTCTTTTTTCTTTCTCTCTTTCTTTCTTCTTTCTTTCCTTCTTTCCTTCCATTTTTTCTTTCCTTCTTTCCTTTCTTCCCTTCCCTTTTCCTTCCTTCCTTCCTCCTTTTTTTCTATCTTTTTTTTTGTTTGTTTGAGATGGAGTCTCGCTCTGTTGGCCAGGCTGGAGTGTAGTGGCGCGATCTTGGCTCACTGCAAAATCTACCTCCCAGGTTCAAACGATTCTTCTGCCTCAGCCTCCCGGGCAGCTGGGACTATAGGCGCGCACCACCACACCCGGCTAATTTTTGTATTTTTAGTAGAGATAAGGTTTCACCATATTGGCCAGGCTGGTCTTGAACTCCTGACCTCGTGATCCACCCATGTCGGCCTCCCAAAGTGCTGGGATTACAGGCATGAGCCACTGCGTCTGGCCCTTCCTTCCTTTTTCTTTTTTTTTCTTTTGTTTTTTTTGAGATGGAGTCTTGCTCTGTCGCCCAGGCTGAAGGGCAGTGGCACAATCTCGGCTCACTGCAAGCCTCGCCTCCAGGGTTCACGCCGTTCTCCTGCCCGGCTAATTTTTTCTTTTTTTTTTTGTATTTTTAGTGGAGACGAGGTTTCACCGTGTTAGCCAGGATGGTCTTGATCTCCTGACCTCGTTACCCGCCCGCCTTGGCCTCACAAAGCACTGGGATTATAGGCATGAGCCACCGCACCGGCCCTTCCTTTCTTTTTCTTGTCTTTTTTGAGACAAGATCTCACTCTGTCACCTAGGCTGGAGTGCACTGGTGCGATCATACCTCACTGCGGCCTCGAACTCCTGGGCCCAAGCAATCCTCCTGCCTTGACCTCCTGAGTAGCTGGGCCTATGGGTGGAAGCCACTGGGCCCAGCTGGGAGATTTTAGTTTTGTTCAGTGTGCTAAGAGCTCAACACTTTGTTTATTTTAAAAATTTATTTACTTATTTATTTTTTTGAGGCAGGGTCTTGCTCTGTTGCCCAGGCTGGAGTGCAGTGGTGTAATCATAGCTAACTGTAGCCTTGACGTCCAGGCTCAAGTGATCCTCCCACCCCAGCCTCCTGAGTAGCTGGGACCACAGGCAAGTACCACTGTGCCCAGCTACTTAAATTTTTTTTTTACAGATGGGGTCTCCCTATGTTGCCCAGGCTGGTCTCTAACTCCTGGGCTCAAGCAATCCTCCTGCCTCAGTCTCCCAGAGTGCCAGGATTACAGGCATGAGCCATGGTGCCTGGCCAAGTTAAACATTTTGGAAACTCACTTCGTTGAAAGTCATGCCGGTGGTGGCGTTAAAAATGACCTGTAGGTGGGACTGTCATACTTGTTTACAGGTGGGAGCACCTGGTGGCTCTCCTGGGCCTTCTTGGACCGCTGACCTTAGCACCTTCTTTCCTTCTTTCCTTTTTTTGTTTTGATACCGAGTCTCACTCTGTCGCCCAGGCTGGAGTGCAGTGGTTTGATCGCAGCTCACTGTAACCTCTGCCTCCCGGGTCCAAGTGATTGTCCTGTCTCAGCCTCCCGAGTAGCTGGGACTACAGGCACCTGCCACCATGCCTGGCTAATTTTTTGTATTTTTAGTATGGATGGGGTTTCACCATGTTGGTCAGGCTGGTCTTGAACTCCTGACCTCAGGTGATCCACCCGCCTCGGCCTCCCAAAATGCTGGGATTATAGGCATGAGCCACTGTGCTTGGCCACTTTTTTTTTTTTTTTTTTTTTGAGACACAGTCTTGCTCTATCGCCCAGGCTGGAGTGCAGTGGTGAGATCTCAGCTCACTGCAACCTCTGCTTCCCGGATTCAAGCGATTCTCATGCCTCAGCCTCCTGAGTACCTGGGATTATAGGCGTGCACCACCACGCCCAGCTAACGTTTTGTAATTTTAGTAGAGACAGGATTTTTCTTTTTCTTTCTTTCTTTCTTTTTTTTTTGAGATGGAGTGTCTCTCTTGTTATCTGGGCTGGAGTGCAATGATGTGATCTCAGCTCACTGCAACCTTCGCCTCCCGGGTTCAAGCGATTTTCCTGCCTCAGCCTCCCTAGTAGCTGGGGTTACAGGAGCCCATCAACACGCCCAGCTAATTTTTTTTGTATTTTTAGTAGAGATGGGCTTTCACTATGTTGGTCAGGCTGGTCTGGAACTCCTGACCTCAGGCGATCCCCCTGCCTCAGCCTCCCAAAGTGCTGGGATTACAGGGGTGAGCCACCGCGCCTGGCTTGAGACAGGGTTTTTCTATGTTGGCCAGGCTGGTCTCAAACTCCTAGCCTCAGGTGATCCACCCGCCTTGGCTTCTCAAAGTGCTGAGATTATAGGCATGAGCCACTGCGCTTTGGCCTGACCCTAGCACTCTCATATTTGGACACACATTTTATTGTAAGGTCTTCATTACAGGCAATCACATTGATTCTTTTTGAAACTATGGGAGTTGAGTGTGTCCATTGTCTGAGGTTAATGTCGGGATTTAAAGGAGGCCTAATTAGGTGTTTTTATAAGAAGTGGGTGCTGGCCGGGCATGGCGGCTCATGCCTATAATCCCAGCACTTTGGGAGGCCAAGGTGGATGGATCACTTGAGGTCAGGAGTTCGAGACCAGCCTGGCCAACATGGTGAAACCCCGTCTCTACTAAAAATACAAAAATTAGCCAGGCGTGGTGTCAGGCGCCTGTAATCCCAGCTACTTGGGAGGCTGAGGCAGGAGAATCGCTTGAACCCAGGAGGCAGAGGTTGCAGTGAGCCAAGATCATGCCATTGCACTTCAGCCTGGGCGACAGGAGTGAAACCCTGTCTTGAAAACAACAAAAAAAGAAGGAGGTGCTGACTGGGATGCACTGAGAGTCCCTGGGGTGCGTCAGGAGATGACAGAATCCTGGGGAGCAGTGGCATGGAGGGGTTGAAGTTGACACCCACCACAGACTGGCTGAGTAGGAACTGCCAGGGAAGTCAGAGGCAAAACCCGGACCAGGCAGGGGAGGCCCAGATGGGACGAGGGTGGGTTAGGAGCCATCGACTCAACCCTGAAGAGCGTCTGAGCTCACTGGAGACTAAGAGGGGCCCCAGGGTCAGAAGCAGGATTGGGAGGCTAGGAGGTATAGACAGGAATGAGGATCTGGCTGAGAAGGGGAAGAGGGAGAGAGGCTGTGGGGGAGAAGTGGGGTCAGGGGAGCCCGTGTTTCCTGTTTTTTTTTTGTTGTTGTTTTGAGACAGAGTCTCGCTCTGTCACCCAGGCTGGAGTGCAGTGGTATGATTTCGGCTCACTGCAACCTCCGCCTCCCGGGTTCAAGTGATTCTCCTGCCTCAGCCTCCCAAGTAACTGGAATTACAGGCGCCTGCCACCAAGCCAGGCTGATTTTTGTGTTTTTAGTAGAGACAGGATTTCACCACGTTGGACACGCTCATCTCGAACTCCCAACCTCAGGTGATCCGCCCACCTCAGCCTCCCACTGTGCTGGGATTACAGGCATGAGCCACTGTGTCCGGCCAGAGACAGGGATTTCACCATGTTGGCCAGGCTGGTCTGTAACTCCTGACCTCAAGTTCAAGTGATCCACCCACCTCAGCCTCCCAAAGTGCTGGGAGTACAGGCGTGAGCCACCACGCCTGGCTCATTTCATTTTCAAGATGGGGAGACCAGATGGTTGATGAGAAGAGACAATAAAAATTGTGGGCAGGTTGGGTGCAGTAGCTCACGCCTGTAATCCCAGCACTTTGGGAGGTTGACTCGGGCAGATCAACTGAGGTTGGGAGTTTGAGACCAGCCTGACCAACGTGGGGAAACCCCGTCTCCACTAAAAGTACAACATTAGCCAGGTGTGGTGGCGAGCGCCTGTAATCCCAGCTACTCGGGAGGCTGAGGCAGGAGAATAGCTTGAACCTGGGAGGCAGAGGTTGTAGTGAGCCAAGATTGTGCCATTGCAAGCTAGCCTGGGCAACAAGTGCGAAACTCTGTCTCGAAATAATAATAATAATAAAAATTAAAAAATAAATAATTGTGGGCAAAGTGGCATCATTCATGGGCCTAGTGGGGCAGGAGCAGGGTCGTGAGTGGTGAGGGTCTGTTCTTTTTCTAAACAGGTATTTGGGGAGAGGCTGGGGACAGGCACAGCTGTGTCAGTGGGTGGGGACACGGGAAGTGCATTTTGTCTCTGAAGAGCTTAAGGGTGGAGATTGGATGGAAATAACAACAATAGAAAACAATGACAACAACAGTTAACACCTGGCCGGGTGGTGGCTCACACCTGTCATCCCAGCACTTTGGGAGGCTGAGGTGGAAGGATCACTTGAGGCCAGGTGTTTGAGACCAGCCTGGGCAACATAGTGAGACCCCCATCTCTGCAAAAAAAAATAAAAAATAAAAAATAAATAAAAATTAGCCAGGCATGGTGGTATGCGCCTGTAGTCCCAGCCACTCAGGAGGCTGAGGCAAGAGGATCACTTGAGCCCAGGAGTTCGGAGTTACAGTGAGCTGTGATTGTGGCAGCACTCCAGCCTGGATGACAGACGAAGACCCAGAAAAAAAACCCAAACACCAAACTAGCACTTATTCTGTGTACCAGGCTCCAGTCTATGTCTTTTTTTTTTTTTTTTTTTTTTTTGAGATGGAGTCTTGCTTTCTCGCCCAGGCTGGAGTGCAGTGGCATGATCTCGGCTCACTGCAAGCTCTGCCTCCCGGGTTCACGCCATTCTCCTGCCTCAGCCTCCCATGTAGCTGGGACTACAGGCTCCCACGGCCATGCCCAGCTAATTTTTTGTATTTTTAGTAGAGATGGGCTTTCACCGTGTTAGCCAGGATGGTCTCGAGCTCCTGATCTCATGATCCACCCGCCTCGGCCTCCCAAAGTGCTGGGATTACAGGCGTGAGCCACCGCGCCCGGCCTGGTCTATGCTTTTTAAAAAAAATTTTATTTTTATTTATTTAATTTAATTAATTTATTTATTTTTGAAACAGAGTGTTGCTCTTTCGCCCTGGCTGGAGTGCAGTGGCATGATCTTGGCTCACTGCAACCTCTGCCTCCCTGGCTCAAGCGATTCTCCTGCCTCAGTTTCCCAAGTAGCTGGGATTACAGGTGCATGCCACCATGCCCAGGTAATATTTGTATTTTTTGTAGAGATGGGGTTTCACCATGTTGGCCAAGCTGGTTTCGAACTCCTGACCTCAAGTGATCCACCCGCCTCAGCCTCCCAAAGTGCTGGGATTACAAGCATGAGCCACCATAACTGGCCTTTATTTATTTTAATATATATATTAAATAATATATGTTTACAAACAGAGATAGAGTCTCGCTATGTTGCCTAGGCTGGTCTTGAACTCCTGAATTTCAAGTAATCCTCTTGCTTCAGCCTATGAAAGTGCTAGGATTACAGGCGTAAGCCACCAGGCCAAGCCTGGTCTAAGCTTTTTATGTGAATTACTTCATCTTATCCTTTCAACACACGCTGGCTGAGGTTAGTCCTATCACTGGGTCCAATTTTTTTTTTTTTTTTTTTTTGAGATTGAGTCTTGCTCTGTCGCCCAGGCTGGAATGCAGTGGTACGACTTTGGCTTACTGCAACCTCCGTCTCCCAGGTTCAAGCAATTCCAATTCTCTGCCTCATCCTCTCGAGTAGCTGGGATTATAGGCACCCACCACCAAGCCTGCTAATTTTTGTATTTTTAGTAGAGATGGGGGTTTCACCATCTTGGCCAGGCTGGTCTTGAACTCCTGACCTTGTGATCCACCTGCCTCGGCCTCCCAAAGTGCTGAAATTACAGGCATGAGCCACCGTGCCCGGCCCACTGGGTCTATTTTTTTTTGAGACAAAGTCTTGCTCTGTTGCACCCAGGCTGGAGTGCAGTGGCACGATCTCAGCTCACTGCAACCTCCACCTCCTGGGTTCAAGCGATTCTCCTGCCTCAGCCTCTTGAGTAGCTGGGATTACAGGCGCCTGGCTGATTTTTGTATTTTTAGTAGAGACAAGGTTTTACCGCGTTGGGCACGCTCATCTCGAACTCCCAACCTCAGGTGATCCTCCCACCTCGGCCTCGCAAAGTGCTGGGATTATAGGCGTGAGCCACCGCACCCATCCTGGGTCCATTTTATAGAAGAGAAAACTACAGCACAGAGAGGTTAAGTGTCCTCTTCAAGGACACACAGCAGTGCAGAGAGGACCTTGGGGAGGACCCACGAAGCTGTCCTTCCCCAGGCTGGTCTGTATCAGAGATCGCCGGGGTTGCTGCTGAGGTCAGATGAGGATGGGTTGGGGAGAAGATGGGTCATGTCTACAATTTCCCCTTTGGGGGCCAGTGCAGGCTTCAGCCTGCCAGGCCACTCAGGCTGAACTAAGACCCCAGGCCACTTCCCCTCACTGGGGTCAGCTGTGTCTGGCTAGGCCCATCAGCCCTCCTGGCTCTCCCGGCTCTGACGACTTGGTTCCTCTTCCTGCCCTTCCCCTCTTTCCTCATCTGGCAGAGTGGCCCTCTTCTCTGACCATTCTCTCCCTCTCTATCCTGCCCCAGGCACTAGAGGCCCTCAGACACTCCATGCTCCAGCCACCTGTAAAATCACAGGCTGGGCCGGGCACGGTGGCTCACACCTGTGATCCCAGCACTTTGGGAGGCCGAGGTGGGTGGATCACGAGGTCAGGAGATCGAGACTATCCTGGCTAACACGGTGAAACCCCGTCTCTACTAAAACTACAAAAAATTAGCCAGGTGCGGTGGCGGGCGCCCGTAGTCCCAGCTCCTCGGGAGGCTGAGGCAGGAGAATGGCGTGAACCTGGGAGGCGGAGCTTGCAGTGAGCTGAGATGGTGCCACTGCAGTCCGGCCTGGGTGAAAGAGTGAGACTCCGTCTCAAAAAAAAAAAAAAAAAAAAAAATTAATCACAGGCTGTTTGCATCGAAGGGAGAGAGGGTTTTGCTCAAGTGAATATCGTGTGGGGAGGATAGTCGAGAATTTTGGCATGTGATGGATTGGGGTCAAAGCCTGGCTTGACAGTTGACTGACTGTGTGACTCTGGGGAGGTCACTTCTCTTCTCCAAGCCTCAGTTTCTCCTCTTTGCAAGTGGATTTGGCCGCGCATGGTGGCTCACGCCTGTAATCCCAGCACTTTTGGAGGCGAGGCAGGCAGATCACTTGAGGTCAGGAGTTCAAGACCAGCCTGGCCAACATGGTGAAACCTCATCTCTACTAAAAATACAAAAATTAGCCCGGCGTGGTGGCGGGTGTCTGTAGTCTTAGCTATCCGGGAGGCTGAGGCAGGGGAATTGCTTGAACCTAGGAGGTGGAGGTTGCAGTGAGCCAAGATTACGTCATTGCACTCCAGCCTGGGCAACAGAGCGAGACTCCATCTCAACAACAACAAATAACCAAATGGATTCCATAATGACCCTTGTGTGGGGTCTCTGAAACAAGTACAGGAGCGAACAAAGAGAAAAAATGCGCCGAGATGCCTCAGGAAATGTCATCTGTGACCTTGAGAGGATTTAAGGCATCAGTGTTGGACAGAAAGCCTGGTCAATACATACTTGTTGAATGAATGAATGAATGAATGAAGTCCTATTGGGATGAGACTGCCCCCTGCCCTGTCTCCCAGATATCTCTCTCATTCTGTGGCCTCCAAGTCTCCATGGGTCAAGTCAAAACTGTTTGTTTGTAAGTCTCTTCCTTGGGGGTGGGGATGCAACGAAGAGCTTGTGGTCACAGTTGACCACAAGCTGAATATGACTCAACCTGCTGGAGCTCTTGTGAAAGGCAGTCAGGGGCTTGAGGTGGGTGGGGTAGGAAGGACGGGTAGCTTCTTCCTTCAGCTCTTCAGAGAGGTCTCTCTACCCCAAGGCTGAAGGCAGAACTAGGGCAGGCGGGGACAACCTTCCTGGTATCACACCAGGGAGGGGCTGTTTGTGGTGAAGGTGATGGTGCCTATGGGGCTGGGGGATGTGTGCCATGGAGGGAACACACTTCCTGGGCCCCTACTGTGCATGGAGGTAGGTGGAGACCAGGCTTAGGTGGACCAGGCCCAGAACCTGCCCTTGGGGGGCTCGGTGTTCCCCAAGTGGTGTCTCAGTTGCCCAGAGGAGACCATGGCTGGAAAGTACTGTGGAGAGGTGAGAGGGCTTCCTGTAGAAGGCACGTCTTGCAACATGAACTTTCCAGGCAGCATCAGTGGTGGCTGCAAGAGACATCAGCCAGAGAGGCCTTGGGTGTGTGGTGGACACCAGGATTCTAGTCTGTTTGGAATGGAGGGTCATGGTCCTGGAGGGATAGACAGCCCAGGCCATGTGGGGTCAGCACATAGTCCTGCTGGCCTCTCATTGCTTAGGAGGACAGGAGGCTGTGGTCAAGGTGCCTGTTATTTTTTTTGGACAGAGTCTTGTTCTGTTGCCCAGGTTGGAAGGCAGTGGTTTGATATCACTGCAGCCTTGACCTCCCAGGCTCAAGCGAATCCTCCTGCCTCAGCCTCCTGAGTAGCTGGGACCACAGGTGCATACTACCACGCCTGGCTAATACATTTTTTTTTTTTTGAGATGGAGTCTTGCTCTGTTGTTCAGGCTGGAGTGCAGCGGCATGATCTAGGCTTACTGCAACCTCTGCCTCCCAGGTTCAAGTGATTCTCCTGCCTCAGCCTCCCAAGTAGCTGGGATTACAGGCGTGCACAACGCCTGGCTAATTTTTGTATTTTTAGTAGAGACCAGGTTTCATCATGTTGGCCAGGCTGGTCTCGAACTCCTGACCTCAGGCAATCCACTCATCTCGGCCTCCCAAAGTGCTGGGATTATAGGCGTGAGCCACTGCACCCAGCCACATTTTTTTTTTTATTTGAGATGGAGTCTCGCTCTTGTTGCTCAGTCTGTGAGTGCAGTGGCATGACCTTGGCTCAACCTCTGCCTCCCAGGTTCAAGCAATTCTCCTGCCTTAGCCTCCTGAGTAGCTGGGATTACAGGTGCACGCCACCACACCTGGCTAATTTTTGTGTTTTTAGTAGAGACAGGGTTTCACCACGTTGGCCAGGCTGGTCTTGAACTCCTGACCCCAAGTGATCTGCCCGCCTTGACCTCCCAAAGTGCTGGAATGACGGGCACTGGGATGAGCCACCGCACCCAACCACATTTTTTTTTTTTTAAATAGAGACAAAGTCTAACTATGTTGCTTAGGCTGGTCTCAAACTCCTGGACTGCTGATCCTCTTGCCTTGGCCTCCCAAAGCGCTGGAATTACAGGTGCAAGCCGCTGTGCCCGGCCAAGATGGCTGTTAATAGTGTGGCCTTGGGAGTCACTGAGTCAAAATCCTCTTTCATTTTAGATTGGGCAGCTCACCTAACCTCTCTGCCTCAGTTTCCTCATTCGGAAAATGGGAACATCGAGGGGTGCAAATCTCACAGGCTGCTCTGCAGATTCAACGAAGCAAAGGTTGTCCAGTGTAAATGCTAGCGTTCCTCACTGTCCCCATCAATGGTGGCCATGAGCTGGCCAGGAGGAAGGGCTGGAGGAGGGAGCTTTTGCAACTCACCCCATGGGCTCCAGGCTGTCTGCTTTTTCTGGGCGTGATGAGCAAGAGCTCTAGATTGAAGACAGCAAACAAACAGCCACTTCCTTCCTCACCCAGGTCCTGCGAGCTGTGGTTGCCGGGAGGAGAGCTAAGCCTCCGTAGCTGCTTCTGGAGCCAGCTCTCAGCTCCCAGACCCTGCCCTGGTGCCTGAGGGTGGCCCTGGAGCCTTGCCCCCAGCTCAGTGGGGCTCTGGGGCCACACCCTGCGTCCATGCACTGTGCAAACAACATTCTCACCTCCAAAGGCTCCATCCCTCAGGGGAGCAGGGGGACTGGACTCTGTTTCTTTTCTTTTCTCTCTCTCTCTCTTTTTTTTTTTTAGATGGAATCTCACTCTGTTGCCCAGGCTGGAGTGCAGTGGCATGATCTCGGCTCACTGCAACCTCCACCTCCTGGGTTCAAGCGATTCTCCTGCCTCAGCCTCCCGAGTAGCTGGGACTACAGGCGCCCGCCACCGCGCCCGGCTAATTTTTTTTTTGTATTTTTGTATTTTTATTGTTTTGAGACGGAGTCTTGCTCTCTCACCCAGGCTGGAGTGCAGTGGCGCCATCTCGGCTCACTGCAAGCTCTGCCTCCCGAGTTCACGCCATTCTTCTGCCTCAGCCTCCCAAGTAGCTGGGACTACAGGCACCCGCCACCACGCCTGGGTAATTTTTTGTATTTTTAGTAGAGACGGGGTTTCACCATGTTAGCCAGGATGGTCTCGATCTCCTGACCTCATGATCTGCCCGCCTCGGCCTCCCAAAGTGCTGGGATTATAGGTGTAAGCCACCGCGCCCAGCCCCTGTATTTTTAGAGACGGGGTTTCACTGTGTTAGCCAGGATGGTCTCGATCTCCTGACTTCGTGATCCGCACGCCTCGGCCTCCTAAAGTATTGGGATTACAGGCGTAAGCCACCGCGCCTGGCCTTTATACGTGGGGACCCTTGTCTTTCTGGAGCTGGGCTCTTTGTCTCGTCGCTGGAGATTGCTGACAGTCGGTGGCTACCGTCTCAAACATCTCCACGCAGAAGCTGGAGCTGGGGAACCCTGGTCTTGTCCCTCCTGCTTTTTGGGGAAGATCCTCTGGGATGTGGTCCCCAACCCCCAAGACAGAAACCTGCCTGTCTCTGATTCATTGTTACGTTCACTCTTTGCATCCAATCAATTATGGGCATTTTTTTTTCCCCTCTGAGACAGAGTCTCGCTCTGTTGCCCAAGCTGGAGTGTAGTGGTGCGATCTCAGCTCACTGCAACCTCTGCCTCTCGGGTTCAAGCGATTCTGCTGCCTCAGCCTCCTGAGTAGCTGGGATTACAGGCACATGCCACCCCGCTTGGCTAATTTTTGTATTTTTAGTAGAGATGGGGTTTCACCATGGTGGCCAGACTGGTCTCGAACACCTGACCTCAAGTGATCCACCTGCCTCGGCCTCCTAAAGTGCTGGGATTACAGGTGTGAGCCACTGTGCCCGTGCCCAGTTAGTGGTCTTAACTGATTCTTTCTCCTAAATTCCTTTTGACTCCCAGCCTTTCCTGTCCATCCTCATGGCCACTGATTCTGGACCCAGCAGCCACTTCACTGGTCTCCCTGCTTTGTGGCTGTATCTTATTTATTTGTTTAGAAACAGAGTCTGTCTCTGTTGCTCAGGCTGGAGTGCAGTGGGGCCATCACAGCTCACTGCAGCCTGGAACTCCTGGGCTCAAGTGATCTTCCCACCTCAGCTTCCCAATTAGCTGGTACTACAGGTCCATGCCACCATGCCTGGCTAACTTTTAAATGCTTTGTAGAGATGGGGTATTGCCATGTCTCCCAGGCTGGTCTCGAACATCTGGCCTCAAGTGATCCTCCCACCTCCGTCTTCCAAACTGTTGGGATTACAGGCATGAGCCATTGTTCCTGGCCCTGTGACTGTACCTTAGAAACAATCACTATTGGCCAGGTGTGGTGGCTCACGCCTATAATCCCAGCACTTTGGGAGGCTGAGGCGGGCAGATCACGAGGTCAGGAGATCGAGACCATCCTTGCTAACACGGTGAAACCCCATCTCTACTAAAAAAATAGAAAAAAATTAGCCAGGCATGGTGGCGGGCGCCTGTAGTCCCAGCTACTCGGGAGGCTGAGGCAGGAGAATGGCATGAACCTAGGAGGTGGGGCTTGCAGTGAGCCAAGATCATGCCACTGCACTCCATCCTGGGTGACAGAGCGAGACTCTGTCTCAAAAAAAAAAGAAGAGACAATCACTATTATCCTCACATGACCACCATCACCAACCAAAGGCAACCAGTGAACGTCTTCACTCTCTCTCCTACCCTTCTCAAAGACAAACAGAAACTGCTGATAACTCCAATACCATCATGACTAGCCAATGTCAGACAGGTCCCATGAGCAATTCCAGCATCAGCCTTCCTTACATTCTCCCACGATCACCACCACCACCACCACCACGCTATAATAACCAACCACCATCTAGTCATCGGCCAGGCACAGTGGCTCACACCTGTAATCTCACACTTTGGGAGGCCAAAGCGGGTGGATCACTTGAGGTTAGGAGTTGGAGACCAGCCTGGCCAACATGGCGAAACCCCGTCTCCACTAAAAGCACAAAAATTAGCTGGGTGTGGTGGCAGGTGCTTGTAATCTCAGCTACTTGGGAGGCTGAGGCACGAGAATTGCTTGAAGCCAGGAGGTGGAGGTTGCAGTGAGCCGAGATTGCACCACTGCACTCCAGCCGGGGTGACAGAGCGAGACTCTGTCTCAGAAACAAAACAAAACAAAAAAACAATACTAGCCATCAACAACCACACATAACCAACTACCATTAGCAACCACAGAAAGCAGCAGTCACCAGTCCTATCCTGTTCAAAACCCAACATTGAACCAGCACCACCATTGCTGATCATCATCTTACCAGAAACCAACAATAAACTACCAGCAGCAAATGAACGCTACTACCAACACCTTTCCTCTCCAAATAACAGCAACCACCGATGGTCATCATTCCACTGGTCACCAAGCATCTCCAGAATTTCCAGCTGAAAACAATCCACCACCAACGAACAACATTAAACACCAACCGCCACCACCACCAGCCCACCTGCAAGAGCCATTATCACCACGAACCTGCAACAAGAAACAGCCACAACCACCACCACAACCAATGACACCAACAACCCAGCAATGACCACTCGCAGCAACTCCTCCCCAATTACCACAATCGTCACCTCCGTCCATCCTCATTGCTGAATCCAGAAATGAATGGACATCCCAGCTAATGGCAGCTACCATGGATCAAGTGCATGTTATGTGCTCTGTAAAGCAATGGTCCCCAACATTTTTGGCACCAGAGACCGGTTTAATGGAAGACAATTTTTCCATGGACCATGGAGCGGGGCATTAGATTTTCTTTTCTTTCTTTTCCTTTATTTCTTCTTTTTTCCCTTTCTTTCTTTCTTTCTTTCTTTCTTTCTTTCTTTCTTTCTTTCTTTCTCTCTCTCTCTCTCTCTCTTTCTTTCTTTCTTTCTTTCTTTCTTTCTTTCTTTCTTTCTTTCTTTCCTTTCTTTCTCTTTCTTCTTTCTCTCTTTCTTTCTTTCTTCCTTTCTCTTTCTCTCTTTCTTTCTTTTTCTTTCTCTTTCTTTCTTTCTTTTTCTTTCTTTCTTTCTCTCTCTCTTTCTTTTTTTTTTGAGATGGAGCCTCTCTCTGTGGCCCAGGCTGGAGTGCAGTGGCGTGATCTCGTCTCATTGCGACCTCTGCCTCCTGGGTTCAAGTGATTCTCCTATCTCAGGTTCCCGGGTAGCTGGGGTTACAGGCGCGCACCACCACGACTGGCTAATTTTTGTATTTTTAGTAGAGACAGGGTTTTGCCATGTTGGCCAGGCTGGTCTTGAACTCTTGACCTCAGGTGATCCGCCCACCTCGGCCTCCAAAAGTGTTGAGATTACAGGCATGAGCCACTGCACCCTGCCAACGGCATTAGATTTTCTTTTTCTTTTTTTTTTTTTTTTGAGACGGAGTCTGGCTCTGTCGCCGAGGCTGTAGTGCAATGGTGTGATCTTGGCTCACTGCAACCTCCGCCTCCCGGGTTCAAGCGATTCTCCTGCCTCAGCCTCCCGAGTAGCTAGGATGACAGGCATGTGCCACCACACCCAGCTCATTTTTGTATTTTTAGGAGAGACGGGGTCTCACCACGTTGGCCAGGATCGTTTCTATCTCTTGACTTCGTGATCTGCCCGCCTCGGCCTCCCAAAGTGCTAGGATTACAGGTGTGAGCCACCGCACCCGGCCGGGCATTAGATTGTCATAAGCAGCATGCAACCTGGATCCCTCGTGTGTGCAGTTCACAACAGGGTTTGCGATCCTGTGATAATCTAATGGCGCCCCCGAGAATCTGAGAGGAGGTGGAGCTCGGGCTTGCTTGCCTGCCACTCATCTCCTGCTCTGTGACCCGATAGGGCTCATGGTTTCTAACAGACAGACCATGGCCCGATAGCAGTCCATGACCCCGGGGGTTGGGGACCCTGTTGTAAAGGACTTCAGAAATACTGTTTCATTGAATCCTTCAGCGATCTTCCTGGCATTCACCACTCCTCCAGGAAGATTTCAGCATCCCCAGACAGAGGTGGGTGTCATTTTTTTCTCTTCTATCATCCTCTGCGATACGGGTGGCCCCTCCCAGACCTTGTCTGCCAAGCCGACTGTTGACTAAGCATTTTCAGAGGGCTTCCTTGGGGAGGGGTTGCCTTTCTTTCAAGTAGCAAATCACTTCCTGTGTTCTTTTGATCAAAGCCCTGCCCATCCCAGGACCTGAGCCTCCCTGGCTTGCTTCTCATCTTGGAAGAATTCCCACCCCAACAGTCTCAGAGCTCCAGCTGATGGTTTGGGTGTGAATTCCGGGATGCCCAATTTCTCATCAGCTTTCCTTTTTTGAGACGGAGTGTGCTCTGTCACCCAGGCTGGAGTGCAGCGGCAGGATCTCAGCTCACTGCACCCTCCGCCTCCTGGGTTCAAGTTATTCTCTTGCCTCAGCCTCATATGTAGCTGGGATTACAGGCGTGTGCCACCACGCCCAGTTAATTTTTTGTATTTTTTAGTAGAGACGAGGTTTCACCACGTTGGCCAGGCTGGTCTCGAACACCTGACCTCAAGTGATCTACCTGTCTCAGCCTCCTAAAATGCTGGGATTACAGGCATGAGCCACTGTCCCTGGCCCTCACTGGCTTCCTGAAAGAAGGTGTTGTCTCTCAGACTAACACCACCTCTGCCTCTTGCCCTATGTCCCTGACTCCACCCTAGTAAGCTGTACCTGCCAAGAATCCTGCAGTGGCCGCTGTCACAGCCACATGCTCTCATCCTCACTGACTGAATGACGAGAAATGAAAGCTGAAGTGGTCTACACAGCAGAGAGCTGTGGGGTGGGGTCAGCCCTGGCCACCTCTTACTTTGCGTCTTATGGTGGTACGATACTGCTAGGAATAGCGCCATGATCACGACAGTCTCCCCGTTGCTATCATCGACAGACCTCAGACTTGACAGGCAGCAACACCTCTGGCTGCCATCCTCCTCTTGGGATAAGGGATGCCCACCAAAGGGTGGCATGGACGTATTCAGCCTCTCCTGCCTCTGCTGCAGCCATACCGCCCGTCACCGGCACAGGGAGGGCGTCAATCCACCCCATCGCTTGTTAGACATAGCTTCCCATCTCAGCCGAGGACTCTGTGGCAGAACCCACAGACCTTGAGAATGTTGCAACTGAAAGACCCCTGAAGAGCAACTTCCGCATCTAGACGGATTTCCAAATATGACATCTGTGGGAACCGGGGCCAAGAGAGGGGAAGTGACTAGCCCAAGGCTACACAGGGAGACGAGAGACTGGGCTGGACTGGGAAAGGGCTCCCTTAATTTGCAAGCAAAGGAGGCTATGTCCTTGTCCCTGCAGACTCTGTGATTCTCCCTGGGCCACCTTCTGTCTTCCAGGTCCTGCCCTATCCTTGGATCCAGGGATACCACCCTGGCATCCCCACCACCTACAGATGGGAGCTTGCTCCCTGGTAAGGGATGCTGGAGGCACCTGAGCTGCACTGAGAGACACCCCACCCCCACAGAAGTCCACCATGCCCCTCCCCTCACCCCAATTTCTGATGGTCATTTTTAGGACACCTCCACCTGGCTGGTGTCCCTCCTCTTTCTTCTTCCAGATCCCACCCTTGAAGGACTTACCATGGTGGGGGGCTGGTGTCTGGGCTCCTGGAGGCTCCTGAATGGGTCGTGATGGAGGTGCAGGTTCAGGGGGATCTTGGGGGTGGCTTGGGCATGGCCCTGCTTCTGCCCGTTCACCGGACTCCCGGCTTTAGTTCCTCTTACAACAGCCCCTTCTCACTTCCTTTGGCGGGAGGGGCCGAGGCCATGGGGGAGGGAAGCTGGGTGTGGAGGGGGGCGGGGAGCTGGCTGTTTGGGGCTCTGAGCCTGAAGGGAGGGGTCAGAACTTGATGGCAGCCACTACTGGACCTCAGAGGCCTCTTCCCCAACTCCTTGGGGACAGGGCTGCTGCAGGAACATTTGGGTCAGCTGGCTGCAGGACGAACCACCTCTTTTCAGGGCGATTCAGGAAGCATTTGGGCTTCCCGGGTCTCTTTTTAAAACCAAGGAAGGGGCCCAGGGGAGGTGGCTCACGCCTGTAATCCCAATACTTTGGGGGGCCAAGGTTGGAGGATCGCTTGAGTCCAGGAGTTTGAGACCAGCCTGGGCTATATAGCATGACCCCATCTCTACAAAAAATGAAAAGAAAAAAAATTAGCTGGGCATGGTGGCATGAGCCTGCAGTCCCAGCTACTCAGAGGGCTGAGGTGGGAGGATTGCTTGAACCTGGGAGGTGGAGGCCTCAGTGAGCCCTGATTGCGCCACTGCACTCCAGCCTGGGCGAAAGAGTGAGACCCTGTCTCTAAAAACAAACCAGAAAAAACAAAAAAACCAAAAAAACAACAACAACAGGGAAGGGTGCCTTCTTCAGCTGTGTCTGCTCTGGGCATCCCTGGGCAACCTCCTTCATTATTATTATTGTTATTATTTTGAGACGGAGTCTAGCTCTGTCACCCAGGCTAGAATGCAGTGGTGCAATCTCAGCTTACTTTAATCTCCGCCTCCTGGGTTCAAGCGATTCTCCTGCCTCAGCCTCCTGAGTAGCTGGGATTACAGGTGCCCACCGCCACACCTGGCTAATATTTGTATTTTTAGTAGAGACGGAATTTCGCCATGTTGGCCAGGCCGGCCTTGAACTCCTGACCTCAGGTGATCCTCCCAACTCGGCCTCCCAAAGTGCTGGGATTACAGGCATAAGCCACCACGCCTGGCCCAACCTCCCTCTTTAGATGACCCTCAGAAGTCACACGTGTTTGTGTGCAGAAGTGGAGGGTACTGGGAAGCAGGTGCATCTGAAAGGTCCCTGACTTTGGATGTCACATCTAGATTTAACAGCCTCCAGTTTGGCTACTTCCTGGATGACTTAGTTACTCCCTTTTCTCATTGTAAAATGGGAACGTGGGTCCCCCCAGCAGAGCCTGGCCCAGGTACGTGTCAGCCTATGAGCTGGTCTTTGGGACACCAGCCAACCACCTGAGGCTCCTCTTGACATGTGAGGAAATGGCAGTTCTAATAGGTTGTTACTTCCCCACACCACCCAGCAAGGAGGTGGCCGAGGCAGGACCCGACCCTGGGAGACCCTGGGGGACCCATGTTCAGATCTATCTTTGGTCCAGGGCGATAAACCCGCATCCCCCTTGAAGATGTTAATATGCAGCGCCCCTAGTGGCCACAGCTGGGAAGGAGCCCGTCTCTGCTGGAATCTCCTGAGCGAGTTTGCAGAATTGACGGGCTTGGGGCATGCAATTCTCAGCAATGTCTCCAGGCACTCAAGAGTGAATATGAATGGGTAAGAGGACCCCACTTTGTTGGGGGCCATCAGGGGAGGCTTCTAGGAAGAGGCAACGTTTGTGCTGACACCGGCGAGTAAGCTGGAGTTAAAAAAGGTAAAGGGGCAGGAGCGTGCACCTGGCCATGCTAAGCGCTCAAGCAAAGGCCCAGATATGGGAAAACCATAGGGCAATTGAGGAAGTTCGGGGAGGCTGGTGTGGCTGGAGCATGCGGAGTGACGGAGAGTGTGATGGCCAGGGTGGCAGGTGCTAGACCGTGTGGCTTTAAGAGCCTCTGTGAGGGCCAGGCATGGTGGCTGATGCCTGTAATCCCAGAACTTTGGGAGGCTGAGGTGGGAGGATCGCTTGAGCCCAGGAGTTCCAGACCAGCTTGGGCAACATAGCAAGACCTCGTCTCTACAAAAAATTAAAAAATCAGCTAGGTGTGCTGTTGCACCTATAATCTCAGTTACTTGGCAGGGTAGGCAGGAGAATCGTTTAAGCCCAGGAGTTCAAGGCTGCAGTGAGCTGAGATCGTGCCACTGAACTCCAGCCTGGGCTACAGAGTGAGACCCTGTCTCAAAAAACAAAAACAAAAAAGCAAAACCCTTCCACGAGAAGCTGTTGTACTTTTCTCCTAAAATCCCTGGGTTCCTGTCTGCAATGTTAAAAGTCCCCTTCTGGCTGGGCACGGTGGCCCATGCCTGTAATCCCAGCACTCTGGGAGGCCGAGGCGGGCAGATCACGAGGTCAGGAGATCGAGACCATCCTGGCTAACACGGTGAAACCCCGTCTCTACTAAAAAAGTACAAAAAATTAGCTGGGCATGTTGGCGGGCGCCTGTAGTGCCAGCTACTCGGGAGGCTGAGGCGAGAATGGCATGAACCCAGGAGGCGGAGCTTGCAGTGAGCCGAGATCGTGCCACTGCACTCCAGCCTGGGCAACAGTGCAAGACTCCGTCTCAAAAAAAAAAAAAAATAAAAAAAAAAAATAAATAAATCAGCTGGGTGTGGTCGTGCACGCCTGTAGTCCCAGCTATTCAGAAGGTGGAAGTGGGAGGATCACTTGAGTCCAGGAGATCAAGGCTGCAGTGAGCTATGATAGGCATAGCTGGGCGACAGGGACCGTCTCAGGAAAAAAAAAAAAGAAGTCCCCTTTTGGCTGTTGGGTAGACCTGGGAGAATGGGTGGTCCTTTCCAGACCTGGGTGGGGGCTACTGGATGCACTGACACACACACACCGCAATTCGTAGAAATCTACACAAGACAGAACTTTATTGATGTAGGGCTTCCTGGCAGGAGTGTGTGGGCCCCAGGGCAGGGTCTGTAGCACCATGAGGGGGTGGCCTGGATGTCGGGGTGCCCCTGGGGCGGGCAGGGCAGAGGTTGGGGTGGATCCTCCCCCTAGTCAGGTCAGGGGAGGGTGTCAGGGAGGTGGTGCTACCCCCCCCCCTCCCATAGCAGACACAGATTCCCCCCCAGCTCGGAGTGGAGGGGTAGGGCAGTGCTGGGGGGCAGGGCACCGGCAGACCACCTCCCCACCCCTACTCTTCACAGTACATATTCCGATCAAAGGAGGGGGGGAGTGTTGGGGACTCCCTAAGGGTGGGTTCAAAGGGTGCTGGGGTGAACAGCTGTCCCCTCCCCAGACCCACCCTGGAGGGGGGGTCTCACTATGTGAACTGGAAGGGGCGGATGCTGAAGAGGGGCTCTGGGGGGATAGCCAGCCCCTCTCCATCCCCCCAGCCAGGGCCCTGCAGGGGTTCCCAATAAATAACTTCCGGCTCCGTCTCACCCTTCCCTCCCAGTTCCCGCCCCCCCGGGGCCCCCTCTGGCCGGCCCGCTGCAGGGCTGGCGGCGGAGACCCCGCCAGCTGTGGCTCCGGGTGCCGCGCGCCCCCTAGTGGCCATGGCAGGTTTTGCAGCACATCTGGCGGAAGTAGGCTCGGCTGCAGAACTGAAATTTGAGCACCAGGGGGCAGTAGGCGACCTTGTTCACATCCTTGCACTCTGCGGGGACGGGAGAAGGAAGGAAAAATCAGGTCTCAGCTGCCCTCCCCGCAGGGCTGCACACACGACCTGCAGTGCTTCCTGGCCAGTGACTTTCTGTGCCTTGGTTTCTTTCTTTTTAAATTTACTTTTTTTTTTTTTTTTTTTTTTTTTTTTTACAGATGTTATCTTGCTATGTTGACCAGGCTGGTCTCCACCTCTTGAGCTCAAGTGATCCTCTCACCTCAGCCTCCTAAGTAGTTGGGACTACAGGTGTGAGCAAACCACGCCTGACTTCTGTGCCTTAGTTTCCTCAACTATCAAAGGGGGCTTATAATAGCACCGATGTCACTAGGCTGTTTTGAGGATTTAAGAGAGAGAGTGTAGGGTTGGGGGCCAACACAGACACATTAGTAATGAGAAAAGGGCCGGGTACAGTGTATCATGCCTGTAATCCCAGCACTTTGGGAGACCAAGGCAGGAGGACTGCTTGAGCCCAGGAGTTTGAGACCAGCCTGGGCAACATAGTGAGAGCACTGCATCTACAAAAACTAATTAAAAGAAAAAAATAGGCTGGGCATGGTGGCTCATGCCTGTAATCTCAGCACTTTGGGAGGCCGAGGCAGGTGGATCACTTCAGGTCGGGAGTTTGAAACCAGCCTGGCCAACGTGATCAAACCCCATCTCTACTAAAAATATAAAAATTAGCTGGGCGTGGTGGCGGGTGCCTGTAATCCCAGCTACTCGACAGCCTGAGGCAGGAGAATTGCCTGAACCCGGGAGGCAGAGGTTTCAGTGAGCCGCGATTGCACCACTGTACTCCAGCCTGGGAGACAGAGCGAGACTCTGTCACAAAACAAAACAAAAAAACAAAAAAACAAAAAAAAAAAAAAGGAAAAATTAGCCGGGTGTTGTGGCATGTGCCTGTAGTCCCAGCTACTCAAGAGGCTGAGGCTGGAGGATCGCTTGAGCCCAGGAGGTGGAGGCTGCAGTGAGCTATGATGGCACCACTGCACTCTAGCCTGGGCGACAGAGCGAGACCCTGTCAAACAAACAAACAAACAAACAAACAAACACGACCCAATAAAACAAAAGAAGACAAATATTCCCTTTCCTTTCCATTGTTCCTTTTCATAGCACCCAGGAAAAAATGTCCATTTGGGGCTGTAATCCTCACTCGTTTTCTTTTTTAATAAAGTGAAGATAGGCCGGGCATGGTGGCTCACGCCTGTAATCACAGCACTTTGGGAGGCTGAGTCGGGCGGATCATGAGGTCAGGAGATCGAGACCATCCTGGCTAACATGGTGAAACCCCGTCTCTACTAAAAATACAAAAATTAGCCGGGCGTGGTGGCAGGCGCCTGTAGTCCCAGCTATTCAGGAGGCTGAGGCAGGAGAATGGCGTGAACCTGGGAGGTGGAGCTTGCAGTGAGCGGAGATTGCATCACTGCATTCCAGCCTGGGCGACAGTGAGACTCCGTCTCAAAACAAAGCAAAACAAAAACAAACAAAACAAAACCTGAAGCTCTTGAGTCCCAGCTGAGTGGGTGAGTCAGGGTATTTTTCAGAACATTGACTATTTTGTGTGATCATGATGTCTGTTGATGACTATGGATGGATATGAGCTTCCATCTAGCGGCCAGTGATTTATGGCAGGACCAGGGGCGAATTAAAAGCTACAGATGGATTTTTTTTTTTTTTTTGGTCGCCCAGGCTGGAGTGCAGTGGCACAATCTTGGCTCACTGCAACCTCCACCTCCTGGGTTCAAGAGACACTCCTGCCTCAGCCTCCCGAGTAGCTGGGATTACAGGCACATGCCACCACCCCTGTCTAATTTTTGTATTCTTAGTAGATCTGGGGTTTCGCCATGCTGGCCAGGTTAGTCTCAAACTCCTGACCTCAGGTGATCTGCCCACCTTGGCCTCCCATTGTGTTGGGATTACAGGCGTGAGCCACCACGCCCAGCCTAATTTTATTTTTTGTAGATACAGGTGTCTTACTATGTCTCTCAGGCTGGTCTCCAACTCCTGGGCTCAGGCAATCTTTCCAGTTCAGCCTCCCAAAGTGCTGGGATTACAGGCATGAGCCACCTCGCCCGGCCTGGGTGGATCATTTTATTGCATCTCCCTTCTGGGGCACCCCTCAAGTGAATATATCATTTACATCCCGTGACAGATAAAGAAACAAAAACACAGAGGTGGAAGATGAACCCAGGTAGTTTGGTTGCAGTGCCCAGACTAAGGAATTAATTGTTCTCTATCAAAAATAAATTTATGGACCTGGCGCGGTGGCTCATGCCTGTAATCCCAGCACTTTGGGAGGCCAAGGCGGGCAGATCACCTGAGGTCAGGAATTCGAGACCAGCCTGGCCAATATGGTGAAACCCCATCTCTACTAAAAATACAAAAATTAGCTGGTCATGGTGGCACGTGCCTGTAATCCCAGCTGCTCAGGAGGCTGAGGCAGGAGAATCACTTGTACCCAGGAGGTGGAGGTTGCAGTGAGCTGAGATCATGCCACTGCACTACAGCCTGGGTGACAGAGTGAGACTTTGTCTCAAAACAAGAAAAAAAAAAATTTACAGCCAGGCGCAGTGGCTCACGCCTGTAATCCCAGCACTTTGGGAGGCCGAGGCGGGTGGATTACTTGAGGCCAGGAGTTCAAGACCAGCCTGGGCTACATAGAAAAACCCCGTCTCTATCAAAGAATACAAGAATACAAAAATTAACTGGGCACTGTGGCTCTTGCCTGTAGTCCTTGGGGAGACTTGGGGCTGAGACAGGAGGATCGCTTGAGCCTGGGAGGTGGAGGTTGCAGTGAGCCGAGATCGCTCTACTGCACTCCAACGTGGGTGACAAAGTGAGTCCCGGTCTCAAAAATAAATAAGTAAATAAGGCTGGGCATGGTGGCTCACGCCTTTAATCCCAGCACTTTGGGAGGCCAAGGCCGGCGGATCACAAGGTCAGGAGTTTGAGACCAGCCTGGCCAACATGGTGAAACCCTGTCTCTACTAAAAATACAAAAATTAGCTGGGTGTGGTGGCGGGCACCTGTACTCCCAGCTACTCAGCAGGCTGAGGCAGGAGAATCGATTGAACCCAGGAGGCGGAGGTTGCAGTGAGCCGAGATCAGGTCACTGCACTCCAGCCTGGGTGACAGCGAGACTCCATCTCAAAAAAAAAAAAAAAAAAAAAAAGTAAATAAAAAAATAAAAAAAATTACCTAGGCAGAAAAAAATGTGTATACTTAAAAGCAGTGGTTCTCAAGGGAAGTGATCGATTTTGACCCCCAGGGGACATTGGGCAATGTCTGGAGACGTTTTTAGTTGTCATAACTTGGGAGAAGGCTGCTACTGGCACCCAGTGGGTAGAAGCCGGGGATGCTGCTGAACATCTTACAGGCTGGCACAAATCCCAGCACTTTGGGAGGCTGAGGTGGGAGGATCGCTTGAGCCCAGGAGTTGGAGACCAGCCTGAGTAACACAGCAAGACCCCATCTCTCCAAAAAAGAAAAACAAACAAACAAAAAACCCTACAATGTGCTGGACAGCTCCCCACGGCAATCATCTAGCTCAAAATGTCACTAGTGCCTGAGGTTGAAAAACCGATTTAAAGGAAAAATATTCAGGAAATTGTGCTACAGGTGGAGATGAATAGGTACAGGTTATGAAAGTGACTGGGGAAATGTCACAAGTTTGGGTGCACAGAAGGGTCAGGTGCCTGAAACACTCAGCATACAGTGGCACTTAATAAATGCTTGCAGGGAGGGGATGGTGAAGGATGGCCTGGCAGAGACACAGCAATGCATTTCCGAGGTTCCAGAAGTTCTAGGATGAAGTCAGGACCCCCAATGCCCTCTGTGGCTGCCTCTGGCCAGGACCCTCCTGGCGCACCCTGGCTGGTCACCCACATACCTTCAGGGCCGTCCCCGGGGGTTGGGCTGTCGCACTTGGCCTCACACTGCTGCGTGGTGGGCGGCCGCAGGGCCTCCGTGCACTCGTGCGACGCCTGGCCCGTGTGGCTGGTGCAGCGCACCGAGCGCTGCCGCTGCCCGACGCCGCACTGTGCAGAGCACTGCGAGGGGGCACCACTCAGTTGCTGCCCCGCAGCCCCTGCCCTGGCCCCCACCCCTCTGGGGCGCGCCCTCCTACCTCACCCCACTCGCCAGCCACCCAGCGGGCCGGGGGGCAGCGGCGCAAGTTGCAGCGCATGGTGGCCGGTGGCTTGGCGGCGGGTGAGCAGTGCGCCGGGGGCAGCGTGGCGCGGTGGTCTGCGCTCTTGCAAAGGACCACGCGGTGGCGGAGGCCCGGCCCGCAGCTGGGGGTGCACTGCAGTTGGAAGGGGCGTTTCGTGCTCAGGGTGCTGCCCCAGTGCGAAGTGAGGAGGGGACAGCTAACCTGGAGACCGCGCAGAGGCGTCTCCGTGGACACCCCACCTGGGCATCCCAGTGGGCGCGAAGGAAGGGGGCGGCTGACCTCAGACCAGTCGAGGGCCGCCCACTCCGGAGGGCAAGTGGGGCCGTGGCAGGCCTCCAGTACAGGTGGGCGCGGCTGCGGGCATGCGCTGTCGTCCAGCGCCTTCTCCTCCGCGGCAGAGACGCGGCGCTGGCACACGACCGAGCGGCTGCGCACGCCTGCATCGCAGCTGCGGCTGCAGAGCGACCAGTTCCCTACAACCCAGCTGTAAGAGATGAAGGGGTCTGAGCAAGTAAGCAGGGCAGGGGGTCCCAACACAACAGCAGGGGGCACTATAGCCTACCCCCACCCTTCCAATCACCCAGCCTCATATGGAAACTGGCACCAGGCACCTCCACATTCCACACTTGGGGCATCGTTAGCCTGCACCCAGACTGGGGGCAGAGAGGTGCATTACCCTAAGGAGAAATAAATCTTTGGACAATGCGAGTGACCAGGCAGCGCCATCATTCTGACTCCAGGGCCATGCAGCTTTGACCGCCACCTTGGGGGCACTATTACCTTGGACTCCCCCATAACTCCTATAGAACCATCACTGCAGCACTCGGCCCACTGTCACTCCGACTCTGCACTAATCTGCTCCCCACCCCCCTGGAGCACTCGCTCTTGACTCCAGGGAGTACTCTCCTCTCACCCTGAGCAACACTGCCCCCTGGCGGCACTCACTCTGGAGGGCAAGGCTCCGTGTTGCAGGCGCGCTGCCTTTTGGGCAGCTTGCTGTGGGCACTGCAGTAGTGGGGGGCGACCGCGGAGCTGTCCAGCTGGTTGCGGCACTCCACCGCCTGCACCTGGCTACCTGGAGGGGAGGGTGAGAGGCCTGCTCAGCCCCTCCCGGCCCAGAGAACCTCAGCCCAGGTATCTTGTGCCTTCCCCCACCCCCGGCCTCACCGCCTGCACACTGGGCCGAGCACTTGGTCCAGGGCGCATAGTGCCAGGAGTAGGGGGGCAGCGAGTCACGGGCGATGGGGGCATTGAAGCGGTAGCGGAGGGCAGGCAGCTCGGTCCGGGCCAGCACCTGGAGAAAGGGGGCGGCAGCCAGTGGAAGGATCGCATGGAGTCTCTAATTCCAAAGGCTGCACCTTGCCCCCAGTCTCCCTGTTACCATGACGATGAGAGATGCATTAATCGGTCCCAGGGCTTCGAGGCTCTGGACCTGGTCTGGCCCCTGTCGCAGTTGAAAGGTGGTCCCAGCTAGAGGCAGACGGTGGGGCTGGGGGGTCCCAGGCAGCCCCTCCAGCAGCAGGGACTCCTGGTCTCCCTTCAGGGCTGGGGGACGATGCAGGGTTCAGAATTCTAGTCATGCTGAAACCGCCCTCCCCACTGACCCCTAATCCTCATCCCCTCCCCACCATCTGCTCACCCAAGTGACTGAGAGAGAGGTTCAGATCCTGGATGAAGATGTGGACGGAGCCTTTGGGAATCCAGACGACATCCTCGTACCCTGAACAGCAGAGCTCAGATGTCACCCACTTGGCATGTCCCCAACACCTGCCTGCCTCCCCTGTCCCCGGCCCATGAGGATAACAGCTAACTATTACTGCGCTAAACACACATCTAACTGCACCCCTGCCCCACCCTTGTGAACCAGGTGTTTCATTATCCCCATTTTAGGGCTGACAAAACTGAGGCTCAGAGAAGCTAAGGAACTTGACCAGGTTTTACAGCTAGGAAATGACTGGGTTAGGATTTTTCTTTCTTTCTTTCTTTCTTTTTTTTTTTTGGAGACAGGATGTCTCTGTTGCCCAGGCTGGAGTGCAGTGAAGTGATCTTGGCTTGCTACAGCCTCAGACTCCTAGGCTTAGGTGATCCTCCCACCTCAGCCTCTGGAGTAGCTGGGACTACAGGCGTGAGCCACCACACCTGGCTAACTAAAAAACCTTTTTTTTTTTTTTTTTTTTTTTGTAGAGTTGGGGGTCTCCTTAAGTTGCTCAGGCTGGTCTCAAACTCCTGGGCTCAAGTGATCCTCTTGCCTCAGCCTCCCAAAGTGCTGGGAGCACCGGTATGAGCCTGGCCAGCTTTTTTTTTTTTTCAGACAGGATCTCACTCTGTCACCCAGGTTGGAGTGCAGTGGTGCGATCATAGGTTACTGCAGCCTTGACCTCCTGGGCTCAAGGGATCCTCCTGCCTCTCAGCCTCTCGAGCAGCTGGAACTACAGGTGTACACCACCACACCCGCCTAATTAAAAGAATTTTGTAGCCGGGCACAGTGGTCACGCCTATAATCCCAGCACATTGGGAGGCTGAGGCGGGCAGATCATGAGGTCAGGAGATTGAGACCAACCTGGCTAACACGGTGAAACCCCATCTCTACTAAAAATACAAAAAATTAGCCAGGCGTGGTGGCGGGCTCCTGTAGTCCCAGCTACTTGGGAGGCTGAGGCAGGAGAATGGCATGAACCTGGTAGGTGGAGCTTGCAGTGAGTTGAGATGGCACCACTGCACTCTAGCCTGTGTGACAGAGCGAGACCCCATCTCAAAAAAAAAAAAAAAAAAAAGAATTTTGTAGAGTTTGGCCGGGTGTGGTGGCTCACACCTGTAATCCTAGCACTTTGGGAGGCTTAGGTGGGTGGATCGCTTGAGGTCAGGAGTTCCAGGCCAGCCTGGCCAATATGGTGAAACCCCATCTCTTCTAAAGATACAAAAATTAGCCGGGCATGTAGTGCATGTCTGTAGTCTCAGCTACTTGGGATGGTGAGGCAGGAGAATTTCTTGAACCTGGGAGGCAGAGGTTGCAGTGAGCCGAGATCAAGCCACTGCATTCTAGCCTGGGTGACAGATTGAGACTCTGTCTCAAAAAAAATTTTTTTTTTTGTAGAGTTGGGGTCTCCCTAGGTTGCCCAGGCTGGTCTCAAACTCCTGGGCTCAAGGGATCCTCCCGCTTCAGCCTCCCAAAGCCCTGGGATTACAGGTGTGAGCCACCGTGCCTGTCTCACTTTTGATGCCAGCGGCCAGGCTGCTTATTATAAAACCCCAATGGGACTCTACCTGGGGACTGAAACTCACACTCTGCAACCTACTCCTGCCTCACCTGGACACACTCCCTCCCTCTGACAGTGCCTACGGCTTCCTCAGCCTTCCAGATATTTCCTGAGCCTCCTCCCCTCTTGCCCACTCCCTGGGCTCTCTGTCACTTGCCCAAAGCCCAAGCTGGAAAAGGTGCTTTCTACATTCTCTGAATATCCCCTCCCGTAGTAAGCCTTTCCCTGCTAGCACAGAACATTCATTCTCGCAGCTCCTCTGGCTCACAGAGGATGGAAAGTGATGCTTGCTTCCACCCAGACGTGGCATGAGCTTCTCCAGGAGGCAGAGGAGACAGATTCGGGCTCCTGTCTCCTGAGACACTCTTTTTTTTTTGAGACAGAGCCTCGCTCTGTCGCCCAGACTGGAGTGCAGTGGTGTGATCTCGGCTCACTGCAACCTCCACCTCCCAGGTTCAAGCAGTTCTCGTGCCTCAGCTTCCTGAGTAGCTGGGATTACAGGTGCTCGCCACCACGCCCAGCTAATTTTTGTATTTTTAGTAGAAACAGGGTTTCACCATGTTGGCCAGGCTGGTCTCAAACTCCTGGCCTCAAGTGATCATCCTGCCTCGGCCTCCAAAAGCGATGGGATTATAGGCTTGAGCCACTTCACCTGGCTGAGCCCGCAGGACTTTTGGGGACTCCTGACACTCCACGGGGCCCCTGGGGTCTGAGGAGTTAGTGATCTCAGCTACTGCACTGGGATCAGTTCCACCTGCAGTCAGCTGGCCCATGCAGGGAGTGTGGGAGGGAAGCTGGAGACTCTCACCGGCCCCAGGTGAGGCTGGGCTGAAGACGCCCTCGATGGTCTCGCAGGCACTGCCGTCACCGCCACACACTCGGCACTTGTCCTCCCGCAGGTCGGAGCCCAGGACTCGGTCGCAGCCCACGTGCTGCGTGGAGAAGGCGTGAGTGAGGCGACCCCCTAACCCACCCCCGCTCCCCATCCCCTCTCCACCTCCCTGGGAGTCCCCTCCACCTTGCATTCGCCACTGACGCAAATGTCCACCGTGTCTGGACGGCAGGGTGTCCCGTCCACCACGGCTGCCGCCCTCTCCGTGTAGAAGTTGAAGCCTTCCGCTAGGCACGTGAGCGAGCAGGCCTTCACGCCCCCTGGGGGGCACGGCCCCGTCACACCACGGGCCAGGCCACCCCGGAACTCTTTGCTTGCTCCCTGGGGGAGTGAGGCCAAGAGGGACAGACCCCAGACCCAAGAGGAAGGGCAGCTTGGGCAGAGGGAGTGGGGGCTCCCAGCGTCACGTTGAACCCCCATGGTACCGTATCCCAGGTACTCTGTCTCCCCGGGTGGGGACAGGGCTCAGGGCAGACCCCGGGATGCTGCATTCATCCACCTGCTGCTGGACACTCCCACGGCTGCCCTTCACGGCCCCACAGCCTTTGGAGTCCCACACTCACCTCCCCGGTACGTTTTCCACTTGTAGAATTTCCCACGGAAAGGGATGCTGTCAAATTCAGAACACTGCACTTCTCTGAAGTCCTGGGAGCCAGGGGGACAGTCCTGGGGGCAGGAGAGGAGAGATGGAGGGAGGCCAGGCTTGGGGGGATGGAGTCAGAAAAGGGGTGCTCAGAGAAAGATGGGCTGGAGGAGGGAGGCTAGAGGCAGGGAGGCCAGGGAGGAGGCTGTGGTGGTCTGCGTGAGACTAGGCCTGGAAGGTAGCCTGGGCTGGGCGTGTAGACACATCTGGGATAGGACTGGATCCCTCATTAGAGGTCTGAGGGTGAGCTGGGCAGGACACACCTGGGTTTCTGGTTCCAGGCTATGGAATCTTTCTTGCTTGCTTGCATTTTTTTTCTTTTTTGAGACAGAATCTCACTCTGTCGCCCAGGCTGGGGTACAGTGCATGATCTTAGCTCATTGCAACCTCCATCTCCTGGGTTCAAGCAATTCTTCTGCCTCAGCCTCCCGAGTAGCTGGGATTACAGGTGCATGCCACTATGCCTGGCTAATTTTTGCATTATTTATTTATTTATTTATTTATTTTTAGACAGAGTTTCGCTCTCGTTGCCCTAGTTGGAGTGCAGTGACACAATCTCGGCTCACTGCAACCTCCGCTTCCTGGATTCAAGTGATTCTCCTGCCTCAGCCTCCCAAGTAGCTGGGACTACAGGCGCGTGCCACCACGCCTGGCTAATTTTTTGTATTTTTAGTAGAGACGGGGTTTCACCATGTTAGCCAGGCTGGTCTCGAACTCCTGACCTCAGGTGATTGACCCGCCTCGGCCTCCCAAAGTGCTGGGATTGCAGGCATGAGCCACCTCATCCGGCCTAATTTTTGTATTTTTAGTAGAGATGGGGTTTTGCCATGTTGGCCAGGATGGTCTCGAACTCCTGACCTCAGGTGATCTGCCTGCCTCAGCCTCCCAAAGTGCTGGGATTATAGGTGTGAGCCACTGCACCTGGCCACATGGAGTCTTTCTTGAGAGAGAAGGTCTGGAAGGGATCAGGGTTTATAGAAAGTGCTAGCATGTGGATTCTCTGAAGACCTGGTTCCCCCCAGCTGGGAGGCTGAAAAGTCCAAAGCTCTCACTGCCCTCTAAAACACCCCCTCCCCAGTAAACTTCTCACTGCTCACTGATGGTTGCAGGTCAGCTGAGGGCACAAGCAGAGGACAGACACCTGTCACTGGGTTTGGTGAGAGGAAGCTTCAGCTACAACTTTGGGGGATGACAGAAGGCAGGGGTAGGACTCTTCAGGGGAAGTTGGGCTGTAAAGGGAGGGGAGAGACTGGATGGTAGGGGGTTGTGAGGGCCAAGCAGTGATTTCAAGGTGGGGGCTTGTAGTCTAAATGTAGGAGGAAAAGAGAGCTGGAAGGAGCCAGGTCTTTAAGGAGGAGGGGTTGGGGACGAGAAGGTGGTGGGGGTCAGGGAGAGGAGGGAAGAGAGGGGTGGCGGCTGCAGGTTCCCCAGGAGGCAGCAGGTGCCTGGATGAAGCACTCTGATAGCGTTTTTGTTTTTTTTTTTTTTTTTGAGATGGAGTTTCGCTCTGTCACCCAGGCTGGAGTGCAGTGGTGCGATCTCGGCTCACTGCAGCCTCCGCCTCCCGGGTTCAAGCGATTCTCCTGCCTCAGCCTCCCGAGTAGCTGGGATTACAGGCGCCTGCCACCACGCCCAGCTAATTTTTGTATTTTTAGTAGAGACGGGGTTTCACTATGTTAGCCAGGATGGTCTCGATCTCCTGACCTCGTGATCCGCCTGCCTTGGCCTCCCAAAGTGTTGGGATTACAGGCGTGAGCCACGGTGCCCGGCCTCTGATAGCTGTTTTTAATGCTTCCTCCCCCCACCCCTCAAGGGGTTTGGGGGAACTCACATCCGTGTTGCAGGAGCGGTGCCGCCTTCTCTCACCCAGACAGTACTTGCCCCCGATGGTTGGCCTGGAAAGGGTGGTGGGATAGGAGAGGGATGAGGCAGTGGGCGATGGGGGCAGGGGTCGCGCTGCCCTCCCGGGTGGGGGTCCTGAGGGCTGACCTGGGGCTGTCGCAGTGACGGCTAGAAGAGGACACGCCGCCGCCACAGGTCCGGCTGCAGTCGCCCCATGGAGTCCACGGCCCCCAGGCTCCGTCCACACCCTCTGGGCGCGACCCAAAGGGGACACAGACCCGTTTGTAGCACCACTGGGTGGGGGGAGACAGGAAGGAGTGAGTCCAGCCCGGAGGACACTCGTCGGCCCCATGCACCGTTCCCCACTCCAGGCCCCAGCCAGAGATATCAGCCTCTCCGGGATGGGCAGAGGCGGGGTCTGAACATGCGAACAGAGTCAGGTTACGTAGGAGAGTGGTCTGGGAGACAGACCAGGTACAAGCGAGAGGCGTGGCCTGAGCACAGGGTGCTTAACGGGGAGGGGTGTAGACAGGACCACGATAAGCGTGGAGACGAGGTGGGGCGTGGCTTCAGGCTGGGGAGGGGAGGTCTACAGGCAGTAGGCGTGGCCAGAGCCGAGGGCAGCACAGGGGATGGGCGTGGCCAATGAGGGAGAGAGCAAACAGTAGGCGTGGCCAGAGCCGTGGGAATCATTACACGGTGGGCGTGGCCAACGCGGGAGGGAGTTAAACAGTAGGCGTGGCCAGAACCAAGGGACGCATAGACGGTGGGCGTGGCCAACGCGGGAAGGAGCAAGCAGTAGGCGTGGCCACAGCCGAGGGAGCACAAATGGCGGGCGTGGCCAATGTGGGAGGGAGCAGATAATAGGCCGAAGGACAGGCGGGTAGGCGTGGCCAACGCGGGAGGTGGCTCAGGGGGCGTGGCCCAGTTGGGGGCCCTGGCCGGCGCTCACCCCCTTGTCGATGGTGTGCGTCTGGCACAGCGTGCCCTCGGCGGCCGGGATGCTGTTGGTGATGCACCGGTTGCTCTTGCTCAGACACCACAGCTCGCTGCAGACCTCCTGCGGGCCGAGGTGCCCGCTCAGGCTCGCCCCCCTCCCTTCCTCCCTGGGGCAGCCCGCCCGGCTTGGGAGGACCCAGATGTCCGGCTCACTGCCGGTCCCAGAGCAGAGAGCCCGGTGCTCCCTTCCTGGCTCGCGGTGGGTCTTCGTGCATCCCCTTGCGGGGCATGGCCTGTGACTTATACTCTCCCAATAAGCTCCATTTATGGAGCACTTTATACATGCCATATACCTCTTTAGGCAGTACTACCCCATCTTACTGGGAGAAAACCAAGCTTCAGACAGGTAAGGTCACACAGCTACTAAGGGAATAGCCTGGAGTTTAACCCAGCTCTTTAATTCAGAGTCTGTGCTCTAACGAACTTTGCAATTCAGTTCCTGGTGCCTTCTGAGTTTCTGGAAGGAAACGTGGGAACTGCTGAGGAATGAACAGGAAGGATTTGGGGTTCTTTTATGGGATGGGCAAAGTAGCCGAAGAGAAAGTGGTGGTTCTGAGAAATCGGCCTGGATGATGACTAGGCCAACGGCCTCATCTCTAGTTTTTTCCAGCTGTTGGTTCTCTTTGTTCCCCCATCTAAACTGGAGAAGCCCCCAACACTTTTAAGCTATGTGGAGGGGTGGGAGTTTGGGAGGGGACAATGCCGAGTTAGGTCTGTGTGGGACATGCCTCTCTTTCTCCAGGTGAAAAATCAGCCCCACCTTCTTCCCGTCTGAATCCTGGATGGGCTGAACTAGTCCCAGGGACTCACTCTGACTCTTAAAGTCCAGGTTAATATCCCTGGAGAAGCCCCAGTGAGTTCAGGTGAAGCAAAATCTCTGACCCTCTTGGCCCACATCCTAAGCAACCTCCCAGCGTCTTTCCTCTAAAAAGTAGGTGGTCCTCTCTGACCCTCTTGGCCCACATCCTAAGCAACCTCCCAGCGTCTTTCCTCTAAGAAGTAGGTGGTCCTTCTGTAATTATCAAGTGTAATCCCCGCTTTGAACCCAATTCTTGTAAGCTTTCCAGATGTGGGACTGGATCGATCAATGGCCACAGGAAAGGACCCTTCCTAGGTCAGCCCCTGAGAGATACCTGTACATATGTAAGAAGCTGGAAGAGTTGTTCTCAAATACATTCTCCCTCAAAGGTCCTCTAGAATCTCTGCCTTCTGCCTTATAGAGGACATTTCTCAGCTAAAAACTCAGACTGTGTCCTCTTGGCCATATCTAAAAATATCACATCAGTCCTGTCGCAATCCCACTTCTGACACCTCTTCAAGATAATGATTTCAGCTCTGCTTTTGTCCTCCTCTCCACAAGGAGGCACTGTGGCATATTTGAGTTGTGCAGAGACCTCAATTCTGCTACCAACTTGCAATATATTTCCCCTCTCTGGGCCTCAGTTTACTCATCTACAAGATGGGCAGCCTAATGCCTGTCTTGCCTATATAAATGGCTATGAGGCACGTGACAGGATAGATAAGAAAGGACTTGCACCAATGCCATTATGGGGTAACAATGACCACCACTATCTCTGGACCAGGCACCAGGCTGAACCCTTTACATATATTAACCAGTTCACATTTAGTAAATAAATCCCCCTTTGCCAAGATGGCCTGAAAGATGTTCCTTCAAAAACTAAAAGGAAGGCTCAATTCAACATATAGCCAGTGCCAGCCCAAGCTTGATATTTTGACAGCTCCTCCCCTCCCCTGCCCCTTTGTAAAATTTAGAGAGTCATGAGAGACCTGGATTTAAATCCCAGCTCTGTCATGGTCTCAAACTGTGGCCTTGGACAAGTCATCCTCCCTATGCTATGGCTCAGTCCCTTCCTCTGTAACGTGGGGGCTAGCAGGATTGTCAGGAGTTTAGATGGTGACACACAGCACATGCTTAGCCCATAGTGAGAGCTCAGTAAATGTCAGACACCATGATCATTGTTAGGATACCTGGGTCACAGCAGATGTTGAGGAGTAGCTTCAGAATTCTTTAGGAATTCCTTAGAGGGTGCTGCAGTTACCAGCTAAGTTAGGATGTTGGGGGGTGTCAAGGGTGGAATGTCAGTGAAATAGAAATTGTTCCAGGGTTTGTCTCTGTCTTGCAGTGGAATGAAGGGAGGGCAATTTGGCAGCTGCTTGCCCTCTGCTTTGCATTAACATGGCATCACAAAAACTCTGATCGTTTGAGTTGTGATAGTGTGAAGAACTGGGGCTGAACCTGGGCCCCTAGGGCTGAGACTGTGAGGAGCTTAGGGGTGCATTTAGGGAATCGAGGCAGGTGGGCAGAGGAGGAGCAGATCCTGGCTGAACCTTGGTGGCTGAAGCAGGAAGCCAGCAGGTCTTCAGCTTCCTGGGGGGAGCTGGGAGTGGAACCTCCTGCCCCCCAATGCCCTTCTCTATGCACGAATGGGGCTTTGGGAATCTAAACCTCAGGAAAGGGTGGGGAGAGGTCAGGAGGCTCAGAGCTCCTCCAGACAGGGAGTCCCTGGAAGGTTCTGTCTAGTTCTTTGCCAAGTAGGAAAGATGGCTCATCCCCAGGGAAATTATTTCCGTCAGGACTGGATGTTTAGTTAAAAACTGCCCCGTGAGAGGTCTTGAGACTTTGATCCTGCTGTAGCCCACAGGGGGTGTGATGTGCCAGACAGAAGCTGGCCCCCCAGCCCAGCCCTCAAATCAGGGGTCTGGAGAAGCAGGTGATCCCATTTTTGTTCCCAAGCACTGTCTGATTGCTTAGGACATTTTGCACACTCCATGCACCTCTGTCCTCCCAGGTCACCATGGGGGCTCACCTCACCCCCCTTCCCGGTTCTCCCACCCCCTCACTTCCCAGGTGGGTGCCCTGGTGGAGTTCCCTCCCCCAGCCCCAGCGGCCCCCTCCCCTCCCAGGAAGGAAAGCAGGAAGACTCTCTCTACCCCGTATTTACACTGACGCGATTTGACTCCATGCTGAAAGCGGCATTGCTCATCTGCATCGTAGGCTTGGCCCGGTGCCACTGTCGGGTACACAAAGTCCTGTCTGGGGGGCCGGTTGTTCAGGCAGAGCCCCAGGCCCGAGCTGCCTCGAGAGAAAAGCAACTGTCATGCTAGGTGGCTGCAAATCAAGAGCTCAGGAGCCTCAGCTGGATGGGGGTCCCAGGGAGCATCCCTGATTTCTATCGTCTCCCGTGTACCCTGCCCCACCATGAGTGTGACCCGCTCTGAGGGACACCCAGGTGCATCCTCACTCTAGAAAGCTGGTGATGTAGTCACGGCTGCAGGATGACCACACGAATGGGTTGGTCTTCATGGTAATGTGGGCAGCCATGAGCTTGGCTGGGTCCTGACCACGGGCCCCACAGCTGTTTCCCACGCCGTCATGGTTCATGCCGAATCTGGGGAAAGGGGTGTCGGCTCTGCCGGGCGCTGAGGGACCCGCCCAGCTCCTCCCCTCCTCCCCCTCTTGTGTGCCCTGGCCTCACGTGTGCCCGATCTCGTGGGCAATGGTGAACGCTGTGGCCAGGCCAATGTCCTCATTGACGCTGCAGCTTCTCTCGCGCTCACACATTCCGCCCACCGGGGCCAGGCCTGGGAAGACGGACATGTGGGGATGGGGCTGGGAGGCTCAGGACGGTGCTGGCTGGCCCCATCCACCTGCCAGGTCTCACCCCAGCCCACTGCCTTCATAGGCGCCTGAAACCTACGGGGCTCGGGTACCTAGTGTGCCGCAGGGTTTGTTCTTGTAGATGCAGATGTCATAGCTGTAAAAGGAGACAGGGTCAGTGAGGGGGCTGGGCTGTCTCCCTAAGCCCTGCTGATGCCACCATGCCCAGCTCTGGGGGTTGAGTCCTGCCTTGGAGGCGCCATCTGCCTCTCACCTGAAGCTGCATACAGGAGTGACTGACCACATGAATGAATGAATGCATGCATGCATGCATGAGTGGGAGAATAAGTGAATGAGGGCATCGGTGCCCAAATGGTCCCAAACCTCCCTTACCCATTATTCTCAAGCAGCCCCTCCCCATCCCTGGCTCCCTCATGGGCAGCCCAAACTTCTCTGCTCCTCCTGACCCTAGCAGAAGTGATCTCTGTTTGGACTCTCATGGTTCCCTGGACCATCTGTTTTCTCAGCCCCAGTCCTAGACCTCTCCTGTCCCCTCACCGTGTGATGAGCACTGCTGTGTCATGGTTAGCCACACCGTTCTCTGGAATGGCATTGCCATGGCCGCTGTGGTTCACGATGGATTTCTGCCACTTACAGAAGCTGTCCAGGGACTTCCCGGCATGGTGGGTGATCTCCAGAGTGGGCTGGGGATGGACAGAGGGAAATGCATGGGCACCCACCACCCAGGGGACGGCAGGACATGCTGGTATGAAGGGGAAGGGGAAGGGGAGGAAGTCCCCCGCACCTGGTCCTCCGTGAGCAGGATGAGGCGAGTTACGAGGATGTTAACGGTGCTTCCCAGACTCGAGTCCTGGAAAAGTTTGGCAACCTGACCTCCAAGAAACAAGAGAGACCGAGTCTTAAGAGGAGCCCAGGGTAGAAAATGAAAAGCAAAAACAATGATAACAGCTTGCTTTCATCAGGCACCTACTGTGTGTCGGGTCTTAGGCTAAACCTGCTATTAGGGTTTTTTGTTGCTGTTGTTGTTAAAGATGGGGGTCTTGGTATGTTGCTCAGGCTGGTCTTGAACTCCTGACCTCAAGTGATCCTCCTGCCTGGCCTCCCATAGGGCTGGGATTACAGGTGTGAGCCACCATGCCCAGCCATGTATCAGTCTTTTCATGAATAGGTAATATTTGCTGTTGTTACTATTTGTTGTTGTTGTTTTTTGAGATGGAGTCTCGCTCTGTTGCCCAGGCTGCAGTGCTGCGGTGCAATCTCAGCTCACTGTAACCTCCACTTCCCAGGTTCAAATGATTCTACTGCTTCAGCCTCCCAAGTAGCTGAGACTATAGGCGCACATCACTATGCCCACTTAATTTTTTTTTTTTTGAGACAGAGTTTTGCTCTTTTTGTCTAGGGTGGAGTACAATGGTGTGATCTCAGCTCACTGCAACCTCCGCCTCCTGGGTTCAAGCGATTCTCCTGCCTCAGCCTCCCGAGTAGCTGGGATTACAGGCGTGAGCCACCGTGCCCAGCCATGCCCGCCTAATTTTTGTATGTTTAGTAGAGACTGGGTTTCACCATGTTGGCCAGGCTGGTCTTGAACTCCTGACCTCAAGCGATCCTCCTGTCCTGGCCTGGCACAGTGCTGGGATCACAGGTGTGAGCCACCATGCCTGGCCATGCATCAGTCTTTTCATCAACAGGTGCTATTATCATCCCCAATTTACAGATGAGGAGACATGCAAACAGAGGTTAGGACACAGCTGGTAGGTGTCAGAAGTGAGACTCAAGTCTGGATTGCTTACCAGAACATTTCTTTCAGACTCCTCCAAGCTCAGCTTATCTACTTGTCCCCCAACCCCTGCTTACCCCCCTGACTGCCTCAAGCATCTTTGTCCAGAGGCGACCTGAGGGATATACATGTCTGAGTTCATTCCACAGCTGTCTGAAGGTACCAATTTGCCCATCACCACAGGAAAGTAAAACTGTGAGGGCAGGAGGCTCTGGAGACAGTGGTCAGAGGAAAGGAGGAAGCAGCCCCAGGGATGAGCTGGCACAGAAGACAGAGGCCAGGCTGTGCAGGGATCTTGGAACCCTGGGTAATCATTTCCCCGTCTGGAAATCCCCAGAATTTTTTTTTTTTTTTTTTTTTTTTTTTTGGAGATGGAGTCTCACTCTGTTACCCAGGCTGGAGTGCAGTGGCGCAATCTTGGCTCACTCACCTCCACCTCCCGGGTTCAAGCGATTCTCCAGCCTCAGCCTCCGGAGTAGCTGGGACTACAGGTGCCCGCCACCACGCCCAGCTGATTTTTGTATTTTTAGTAGGGACAGGATTTCACCATGTTGGCCAGGCTTGTTTCGAACTCCCGACCTCAGGTGATCCACCCGCCTCGGCCTCCCAAAGTGTTGGGATTACAGGCGTGAGCCACTGCACCGGGCTGGAAACCCCCAGGAAATTCTGAAAGCCCTAGGGAGAGAGGCCAGGCTCAGGCACAACTGAGGGCCATCAGAGACGACACTACACAACATTTTGGACCCTCTGCCTGTCTGCTAAACTTTTTGTTTTCCCTTTTGCTTCAGTGAAACAAGAGCACCATTCATCAAGCCCTTACTATGTGCCAAATAGCCTACCTGGCTTCCCTTCCACCAATCCTTACTCTCTAGGGTAGCTACCATTATATCTCCATTTGATACACTGGTACGCTGAGGCTTAGAGAGGTCAAGAATCTCGCCTGAGATCTAGGATGGAAATGGACTATATCTGAAGGTGGGTTGGGGAGGTCAGCCTGTAGGAATTTATAAGTAGGTGCTTGTGCAAGAATGCTGCGTGAATACGGATGTGTGCCTGTGTGTGTACTGCTAACCTCAACGAGTACCTGTGAGCTACCTATCTATCATCTATCTATCTATTTTGAGATGGAATTTCCCTCTTGTTGCCCAGGCTGGAGTGCAATGGTGCGATCTTGGCTCACTGCAACCTCTGCCTCCCGGGTTCAAGCGATTCTCCTGTCTCAGCCTCCCAAGTAGCTGGGATTACAGGTGCCCACCACCACGCTCAGCTAATTTTTGTATTTTTAGTAGAGACGGGGTTTCACCATGTTAGCCAGGCTGGTCTTGAACTCCTGACCTCAGGTGATCCACCCACCTTGGCCTCCCAAAGTGCTGGGATTACAGGTGTGAGCCACCGTGCCCAGCCTACTGCGATTTATTTATTTATTTATGAATGAATGAATGACAGGGATTATAACCCACTGCGTCTCAAACTCCTGGGCTCAAGTGATCCTCCTGCCTCAGCTTCCTGAGTAGCTGGGACTACAGGCATGTGCCACCATGCTCTGCTAATTTTTAAATGTTTTGTAGAGACGGGATTTCACTATGTTTCCCAGGCTGCTGTGTACTTATTTTTTTATTTTTTTTTGAGACAGAGTCTTGCTCTGTTGCCCAGGCTGGAGCACAGTGGCGTGATCTCAGCTCACTACAACCTCCACCTCCCTGGTTCAAGCGATTCTCCTGCCTCAGCCTCCTGAGTAGCTGGGATTACAGGTGCCCGCCACCACGCCCGGCTAATGTTTTGTATTTTTTAGTAGAGACGGGGTTTCACCATGCTAGCCAGGCTGGTCTTGAATTCCTGACCTCAAGTGATCTGCCCACCTTGGGCATGAGCCACTGTGCCCAGCCTGTGTGTATTTTTACACACAGCAAACACTTATATGCCACCTACTGCATGCCAAGAACTGTTCTACATGCTTTATGAATGCACTGGATCTACCTTAGCTTTATAAAGTAGGTACCACAATTATGCCCATTTTACAGATAGGTAAGACAAGGCAGAGAGGTGAAGTAACTTGCTCAAAGGCAGACAGTTAAAAAGTGGCAGAGCGGAAATTTAAGCCCAAGCAGGTTCCCTCTGCCCCAGGGCACCTCTGCATCTAGTCACTGTGCTTATGCTCTTTCTCCTCCTCGTTCATTGCCATATGCAACCAACCTACCTACCTACCTTCCTTCCTTCCTTCCTCTCTCTTTCTTTCTTTTCTCTTTCTTTCTGTCTTTTCTTTTCTTTCTTTTCTTTTTTTTTTTTTTTTTTGACAGAGTCTTGCTCTGTCGCCCAGGCTGGAGTGCAGTGGCGTGATCTTGGCTCACTGCAAGCTCTGCCTCCCAGGTTCACGCCATTCTCCTGCCTCGGCCTCCCGAGTAGCTGGGACTACAGGCGCCCGCCACCACACTCGGCTAATTTTTTGTATTTTTAGTAGAGATGGGGTTTCACCGTGTTAGCCAGGATGGTCTCCATCTCCTGACCTTGTGATCTGCCCGCCTTGGCCTCCCGAAGTGCTGGGATTACAGGTGTGAGCCACCGCGCCCGGCCTGCAACCTTCCTTTCTACCCCTGTCCCCACGTCAGGGATTGGGGTGGGATGGTAGCCACCCCCTTGCCTAACACTGCAGGCTGGCTCCAAGTCCTCAGGGCTGCGTGCCCAGGGAGGGGAAGGCACTTACAATGTTCATGATGGCCAGGACATACTGCTCCACATCCCGGCGCCCGTGATAGGCCACCATCATCTTGTCAGCCACCACCAGGGTCTCCACGTAGCGCTCTCGGCTGACCGATCGCTTCAGGCCTGGCTGGCCACGCTCTGTTTCATTCCCCAGGGGCCTGGCAGGCGGTGGCTTCAAGGTCCGCAGCCACCATGGCCGCCCTTTCCACGGTTTCTCATCTGGGGAACCCAGTAGAGCAATTAAGCCCTGCCCTGCTGGTGGGACGCAGAGCTGCCTGACAACTGTCTTGTCCAACCTCTGACTGGCTACCTCTCTACCCAACAGTCTGGACAGACAATTTCTGGTCATTCTGCTGCCTTCTCTTGTTGTCCAGCTACCTGTGTGATGGTCTGTCTGCCCAATGGGCTGCCAAACACCTCATCGTTTTTCTTATTCTTTTTTTTTTTTTTTTTGAGACGGAGTATCATTCTGTCACCCAGGCTGGACTGCAGTGGTGCGATCTTGGCTCACTGAAACCTCTGCCTCCCAGGTTCAAGCGATTCTCCTGCCTCAGCCTCCCGAGTAGCTGGGATGACAGGCATGTGCCACTATGCCTGGCTAATTTTTGTATTTTTAATTGAGACTGCATTTCACCATGTTGGCCAGGCTGGTCTCGAACTCCTGACCTCAAGTGATCCACCCGTCTCAGCCTCCCAAAGTGCTGGGATTACAGGTTTGAGCCACTGCGCCTGGCTGCCTCATTGTTTTGTCTATAGGGCATCTTGGCGGTACCATCTCTTTTTTTTGTCAGTGTCCTACTACCTGAGAATATTGTAGTCTACCATGATGTCACTGTCCCTCTGCCAAACTGTTGAGTTGAATAACAGCCTGACTTCTCCCACTGTTGGTTGTATGGCTGTTCCACTGCCTGTTTGCCAACCTGTTCAGCTACCAGCCTGCCCCGCTGCCCAAATGTCCAACTGAACACTTGCATGACTGTCCCACAGCTAAGCTGGTTGGTTGAATCACTGTCCCATGATGACCAGCATGATTGTACAATCCACTGACAATTCCACTGCCCGAATGGAATGGTGTGAACCAGCCTGTTTTGCAATTTGAACTGTGTGCTTGGACAACGTGTTGTCCTTCTAGCTGAGCAACTTTCCAATCAATGCACTGCCCAATTAGATCAGTTAGTTCTAACTGCATTGCAGTTAGAACAATCATACTGCCTGATGTACTACAACCAGATGGTCTCATGGACCACCCAACTGTGACATCGTACGTCATCCACCTTTTTTCTGTCTGTACTGCTGACTGTGGCTGTATGTCTACCACAGCATCCTACTCATAGAGTATCTGATTATATACTTAATTCAATATCACACTGTTCTGCTTTTCCATCTAACATTCATCTGATTTTCTTTTTTGAGACAGAGCCTCACTCTGTCGCCCAGGCTGGAGTGCAATGGCGAAATCTCAACTCACCGCAACCTCTACCTCCCGGGTTCAGGCGATTCTCCTGCCTTAGCCTCCCAAGTAGCTGGAATTACAGGTGTGTGCCACCACGCCTGGCTAACTTTTTTGTATTTTTAGTAAAGACGGGGTTTCGCCATGTTGGCCAGGCTGATCTCAATCTCCTGACCTCAAGTGATCTGCCCATCTCGGCCTCCCAAAATGCTGGGATTACAGGCGTGAGACACTGTGCCTGACCCTGATTTTCTATATATATATTTTGAAACAGGACCTTGCTCTGTTGCCCACGCTGGAGTGCAGTGGTGTGATCAAGGCTCATTGGAGCCTCAATCTCCCTGGCTCAAGTGATCCTCCTGCCTCAGCCTCTCAAGTAGCTGGGACTACAGGAGCACACCACCACACCTGGCTTATTTTTTCTATTTTTGGTTGAGATAGTGTCTCACTATGTTGCCCATGCTGTTCTCAAACTCCTGGGCTCAAGTGATTTTCCCGCCTCAACTTCACAAAGTGCTAGGATTACAGGTGTGAGCCACCATGCCCGAACTGACCTGGTTTCCTAGCAGTACGATTGTGTTGGTAAGTATTTTGTTGGTGTATAGCTTTCCTTCTCTCTCATTTCTTAAATGCCTGATTGTACAACCATCCTCCTACCAGTCTGATCGTAAATCTGGCCTTTTGGCTGTATAACTGCTGGAGTATCTGATACAACCACCACACCGTCTAACTGTCTGATCAGATGATAATCCTAGAGAAGGAATGGTTTTATACCTGAACACCTTTCTGGCTGTCTTACTCAGTGCTGGGCTAGGTGACTATAGCAGGGATAAGATTATTCCATAGCTCCACTGGTTCGCCGTCTGAGGATATGTCTCTGCTGTCCCCTGGATAGAACTCCCTATTTTTTCTTTTTGAGACGGAGTCTTGCTGTGTCGCCCAGGCTGGGGTGCAATGGCGTGATCTCTGCTCACTGCAACCTCTGCCTCCCGGGTTCAAGTGATTCTCCTGCCTCAGCCTCCCGAGTAGCTGGGATGACAGGCATGCGCCACCACGCCCAGCTAATTTTGTATTTTTAGTAGAGATGGGGTTTCGCCATGTTGGTCAGGCTGGTCTTGAACTCCTGACCTCAGGTGATCCGCCCACCTCGGCCTCCCAAGGTGCTGGGATTATAGGTGTGAGCCACTGCACCCGGCCGGAACTCCATAATTATATCACTGTGTCCCCTTCTCAGCAGCTCCATTCTTCCCCTCACATAACTGCCTGCTGACTTTCTGGATAAAAAGACACTGCTGCCTCAAGGGAAAGATACTGTGTAGCCCTCTGCCCATCCCCAGAAAGACCGATGTACCTCTCACTCCACAGGCTGTGTCCAGGTGGGGGTGACGCAGAGAGGAACGCTTGTACACCACATGTGGTCCACTTTCCTCCGGGCTCCGAGAACCCTTGGGCCCACCGTGCAGGGGCTCAATCAGGTACTCTTCCTCGTCTGCCACGATCAGGCCGTGCTGGGTTTTGAGAAGTGGGATAGAAAGCTCTCAGGATCAGGTTCTGGAGCTTAGGACCCCTGGGACCTTCTCTCTGTCTTTATGATTTCATTCTTATCAGGTTTATTTTGCTATTTCTTTTTTTTTTTTTGGCATAGGTAATTAGTGTCCATGCTATTTATTTATTTATTTATTTCTTCTTTTGGAGACAAGGTCTTACTCTGTCATCCAGGCTGGAGTGCAGTGGTGCAATCGTAGCTCACTGCATCCTCAACTTCCTGGGCTCAAGCGATCCTCCTGCCTCAGCCTCCCAAGGATCTGGGACTATAGGAGCACACCAATATGTTTGGCTAATTTTTAAAATTTTTAATTTATTTTTCATAGAGATGGGGTTCCACTATGTTGCCCAGGCTGGTCTCGAATTCCTGGCCTCAAGTGATCCTCCTGCCTCGGCCTCCCAAAGTGCTAAGATTAAAAGCATGAGTCAGCATGCTCAGCCTCTAATTTCTTTTTATTTTAAAATTATATATGTGTGTATGTGTATAGTATGTATGTATGTGTATACATACACATACACATATATAATTATATATTATATATATTTATAAATATAAAAAATATATATATATATTTAAAGAGTCAGGGTCTTGTTCTGTCACCCATGCTGGAGGGCAGTGTTGTGATCTCAGATCACTGAGACCTCCCCCTCCTGAGTTCAACTGATTCTCCCACCTCAGCCTCCTGAGTAGCTAGGATTACATACACATACCACCATGCCTGGCTAATTTTTATATGTATTTTTAGTAGAGATGGGGTTTCACCATGTTGGCCAGGCTGGTCTCGAACTCCTGACCTCAAGTGATCTGCCCGCCTCACCCTCCCAAAATGCCAGGACTACAGGCATAAGTCACCATGCCCAGCCTCGAATTTTTTGAGATTGATGTTTAGCTCATTAATTTTCAGCCTTACCTAAGGCTATACATTTTCCTTTAAGTACTGCTTTAGCTGCATCCCCAAAGCACTGATTGGCTCAAAACACTTAAAAAACATCCCACTATCATTCCTTCTCTGCCCTCTATGTAGAAGTGTTTTTCTTAACTTCCAAACTTATGGGCATTTCCCCCCGCGTTCCAGAATCCTCAGCTCACCAGGCCTCCACAGGTGCTGATGGCCACATGGGAGCTGCTGGCCTGGCCCTGCAGGTGACCAGCGTAGAGGCAGTGGGGCCGGGCCGCCCTCTGCCAGGCCAGGCCCTCCCGTGTCCAGTACTCCACGGAGACGTGCCCTGCCAGTAGACGGGAGCTGCGGGTCAGGTTCAGCAGGAAGTGGGTGCTGGGCGAGGCCACTTTGTAGAAGAGGCGGGACTCGGCTGTGGCCCCCGTGCCGCGGCGCTGCCTCCGGGGAGGAGGTGGCGAGAAGGCCAGCAGTGCCCCGTTGTGGTCCACGCGGGTGGGGAAGGCGATCTCATAGCTCTCCAGACTGGACAGGAACTCATCTGTGGGTGAGGGTCAGAGGCCTGGGGTGGGCCCTGGTCTTATTGGACCCCTGTGTCCTGGCTGTTAGGCTGCTGGAGCAAGTGATGCTGGCCTCACTGACCCCCGAAATCCAGGGAGTTGGCTGCAAGGCTCCCGCCTATTGACCCCAGGGCCTTCCCCCATTGACCCCCATCCCAGCCCCCTGATGCCTCTTTCTGTTGGAGCCCAACTGGTCTCTTACATTTTTCGCTCCCTCCCCACCGCCACCACCAGACTTCCCCTACCTTGAGACCGGAAGGCGTGCGTGACCTCGAACATGAGGCCCAGCCCCAGGGCGAGGGCCCAGCGGAGGATCTGGCAGGCGGGAGCCATAGAGGCCACGTGTCCACATGTCTCTCCCCAGCCCCGGCTGCCGGCAGCCCCCACAGTGCCGCCTCCCCTGTTCACAGCCTTCGCAGCATCACCGGGCTCCTGGGAGGGGGGAGCCAGGTAAGGGGGCGCCTGGTCCCGCTGTCCAGCACAACCAATGCCAAGGCCAATCATGGCCAAAGCTTTTCACCTGACTCTGAAGATTCTGAATGCATTTTCTCACTCAGTCACTCCCCTCTCCCCACCTCCCCTTCCAATCCTTCCTACACTCCTACAAGAGGACAGACAGGGACTGGGACGCTGGGAGTATCTCCTATGTGCCAGCTACTGGCCCTAGTTTTCACACCACTGCATTTCTGTTCTTTTGTTAAGAGACAGGGCGTTGCTCTGTCACCTAGGATGGAGTGCAGTGTTGTGATCATAGCTCACTGCAGCCTCCACTGCCTGGGCTCAAATAATCCTCCTGCTTCAGCCTCCCAAGTAGCTGAGATTGCAGGTGCAAGCCACCACACCTGGCTAATGTTTTTGTTTTTTTGGAGAGACGGGGGTCTCACTTTGTTGCCCAGGCTGATCTTGAACTCCTGGCCTCAAGGGATCCTTTCACCTCAGCCTCCCAAAGCACTGGGATTACAAGCATGAGCCACTGCACCCAGCCCACCGTATTTCATTTCCAAAATAACTGAGAAGTCATGGTCATCACGCTCTTTTTTTTGAGATGGAGTCTCACTATGTGACCCAGGCTGGAGTGCAATGGCGCAATCGCGGCTCACTGCAACCCCCGCCTCCCGGGTTCATTTGATTCTCCCGCCTCAGCCTCCTGAGTAGCTGGGATTACAGGCACGCATCAACACGCCCAGCTACATTTTTGTATTTTTAGTAGAGATGGGGTTTCACCATGTTGGCCAGGCTGGTCTTGAACTCCTGACCTCGCATCACACTCGTATCCCTCATCTTTTTATAGATGAGGAAATAGACTCAGGAGTGATAGAGTTTGCCGTGGGTCACATTGCTAGAAAGTGGTAGAACCTGGGTTCATTCATTGGGTTATAGCCTCCGGTGGAGGGTGGACGGGGGCATGACAGCCAGGCATGCTAAGGATAGCAACCCCTACTTGCCCTAGCCCTGTGGGGTTCCATCTCTTAGGAGTGACAGATGACAGTCAAGTGAATGGAGAATAGTTCAGATTGTGACATGTTCTCTAGAAGGTATCAATGGGGAGACTGGGAAGCAGAGGTTCAAAGCATAAGAAATCAATGGTGTGAAGAGACAGGCGAAGGTGCACCAGGAGGGGAAACAGCAAGGTCAAAGGCCTGGAGGTTGGGTAGAGCCTGGCATGAGCCCAGACAGGGTGGGTGCAGGAGAGCAAGGGGAGGCTGGCATCAGAGGCACTTGAAGGGGGGGCTGGTCGGTGTGAATTTTCAAGCCAGATTAGAGCTAAGGCTCCCACCCATGCATCTACTGTCCTGGGCCCTGTCTTTGGATTATCTGAAATGGGTAGCACCATTCAAGCCAGATTTTTAAAGCTAAGGCTAGTATTCCAGTCCTGCAGACTTTCATATGCCCACCCACGCACCCACTGTCTTGGGCCATCTTTGGATTCTCTGCACTGGGTAGCACTATTCACTCCCACCTCCCAGGCCTCTCCTCCACCCTGTGTTTCTGACCCCGTCCTCCATTCAGATTCTTTCAAGGCTCCAAGCCAGCCCGCCCCGCAGGTCTCAGTCTCTCCAGCATCTGCCCCAGGCCAGCCTGCCGCAGACACCACTTTGGGCCACCACCCTGTGCCAAACCCTCTTCCCCCACCCTGCTGTCTCCACCCTCCTCCTCCTCTGTGCAAAATCCCTTAATCACAGAGTCTTGTTTTCTTTGCAGCCCAGCCAAGTCTGAGAGTCCAAGTCTGAGAGTCAATCCCCAAACAGGGCAGTTCAGCCCCAAGGGAGGGAGCCAGGTTTTTGCCAAGTTGCTGATGGACCAAGAAGCCCACATTCCCCACTTCTGCTTGGATCCCTCTAGTGACGGGGAGCTCACTCACAGATATTCTGTGACCCCTGTTGCACTCTTTAGCTGGGCTAATGTCCATTCCTTCTGTTGTTGTTCTCTCTCTCTCTCTCTCTTTTTTTTTGAGACGGAGTCTCACTCTGTCGCCAGGGTGGAGTGCAGTGGTGTGATCTCTGCTCACTGCAACCTCTGTCTCTCGGGTTCAAGCGATTCTCCTGCTTCAGCCTCCCGAGTAGCTGGGACTACAGGTGTGCGCCACCATGCCCAGCTAATTTTTGTATTTTTAGGAGAGACGGGGTTTCACTATGTTGGCCAGGATGGTCTCGATCTCTTGACCTCATGATCAGCCCGCCTTGGCCTCCCAAAGTGCTGGGATTACAGCCGTGAGCCACAGCACCTGGCCTCTCTCTCCTTTTTATTTTTTTTACCTTTTGGGGGCTTCGGTTGGTGGAGTAGTGTTGGGCCCCTGTACGGATCCTTCCCTCGCCTGCTCCCTGCACCTGGGCCTCCCTCTCTGGGCCTTGGTTTCTTCTTCTTTGGAGCCTGGGCAGGGAGGGGTCAAAGAGGAGGAGCCGGGCTGGTCTTCAGCACTGAGCTGGGTCTGTAGTTGAGGGATCACTGAGGAAATTCTGACCCTCTCTCTGCCCCTGGAGAACTTCCTCTTAGACTTCTTCTTTCTTCTGTTCCTAATGAACCCCCTCCAACAAAAACCCACCTCCTCTCCCTCTCCCTCTCTTCTTGCTTCTTCTTCCCTATTCCTTCTTTGGAAGTGTCAGCCAACTCCCAGATCAAGGCCCTTCCTGGTTGGGCACCTCTGACCCCCGCTCCTGCCCTGAGCCACCCCTGAAAGGTAGGAACATTCTCATTGCAAGTGAAGCAGGGACCTCACCCCTTTCTCCCACTGGCTCCCTCCCTCCTCTCCTGTTCTTGCATTGCCAGGCCTGGTGCCCCATCCTCCTCCTTCAGGGGCTCTCTCTGGTCTTGTCTAGAGTGTCTTTGGGTCTGTCCTGGTCCCCCTAAGACCCTCAGTCCTCATCACTGTCCTCTGAAGTGAGGCGCTCCTCCCAAAACCCTCACACCCCCTTCTGTGCTTTGGGCTCAGGTGGGGTGTGAGGGACAAGGTTTGGGACATTGTGGAAGGACCCAGCACAGGGGGTGAGGACAGGGGAAGGGGACTCACCTGTGCACAGTGTATGGGGTAGGGGGAGGAGGGGGGTCTGCAGAAGGCTCACAGGCGTCTGAGCTGGGGGTCCAGCCCACAGGGTGGTGTCGAGGTGTGACACAGCCCAGGGCACCAGGTGGTGGGGGGACATGAACAAGGCAGTGGGTCTGGGGCCAAAGATGAAGCTTGAGAGAGGCTCAGGGACAGAGACGGTGGTGGCCAACAGGATGTCAGTGAGGGATCTGCACTGTGGCGTGTGTGTGTGACTGCATGTACATTACAGCATGTATGTGAGTGTGTGTGACCCTGTGTGTGATTGTGAGCGTGTGACTGCATGTGCATTATGGCTTGTGAGTGTGTGTGACCCTGTGTGTGTGTGTGTGTGTGTGTGTACCCAGGCCTGGCCATTCCTCCAGCCCCTCCTCCCCGAAGGCAGGAGGGAGGTGGCCAGCGTGGGGGAGGGTGCCAGGCCTGGAGGAGGAAATGCCTCCGGGAAATGGAAATGGCTTAGAAACAGAGGCTCTGTCCCATCCCATCCCATCCCGGGGATCCTGAAGGGACCCTAAGCTCCACACCCAAACCTCTCCGGCCAGGCTGCGGGGACAGGGCCGACGGAAGGTCCCCCGTGGAGGCCAAGGCCGCGTCTCCCCAGGCAGAGGCCCCAGCCTGCCGGCCTCCTCCCGGCTGCACATCTGGCCGGGCCGGCAGGAGGCAGTCCCTGCCGGAGAGCAGACAAAGGCCCAGCCGGGGCCTGCGGGAGGAGGGGGCCGGCGCCCGGGCTGGTCCCCCACAACCGGCCGCTAATTAAAGGCCCTGAGCCCGACCGCTGGAGACACCCTGAGACAGACGGCTGTGGCCTCACTGACCAACTCAGGGGAAGTGGGCGGCGCCACTCCCACACCCAGACACACAAACACACACTGGCAGCGACACACACCCCGCGCAACCAGAGACCGGCGCTCGGGCACTGTAGACCCACAAAAGACGCAGGACGCCTCCACCGCAGACACACACGCCGACAGGCTCAGTGCACACTCACACACCCGGAGACAAACACATGGAGACACACAACCACACACTCCCAGACATGTGTAAACACACACTCATTTACACGCGCACACACGGGACAAGACAGAGAAACACGCGGACACACAAATACACGCACCCGGGGCCTACACAAACAGAAACACACACATACATACACAGACAACCCAAGGAGACAGACACACAGGCCTACACGCTGACACATACACACTCATTTGCATGCTCACACCAAACCAGAGACAAACTCACAAGTCCCACAGACCTAGACACCCCCCCACACCAGACACACACACACAGGTATTTACACACTCATCACGGTCAGAGACAAACGCACACATGCTTGGGGACACACACACAAACCCAGACACACACACACTCGCCTCCAGATCTGCGCGCACATAGCAAACCCCTATGCGCACACACTGTCCAAACACACAGACACACAAGAGACTCATCCCCAGGCACTGACACACACATGTAATGCACAACCACTCTGCCCCTACGTGGACGGACACACACACACACACACACACACAGCGCAAACAAACCCACGGCAACCCCGGGCGTGATCAGTGGCGCGCGCACTTGCGGACCTCAGGCACCGACCGGAGTCGCACAGCGGGATGCCCTCCCCCATCCAGGGCACCACAGCCCCACGCCCTCACAGCCCGATGCGGACACACAAAGTCCCACTGAATCACGCACCCCCGGGCCCCCCGCCCGCGCCGCTACCTGCGCCGCGCCCGGGGCCTCCGCGCCGTCGCCGCCGCTGTCTCGCCGCCCCGCGCGCGCAGGAAGGGAGGGAGCGAGCGAGCGCGGCGGCGTGGCCAGGGGAGGGGGCGCGGGGAAGGCACTTCCTGAGCCGCCTGCCAGGGTTATAAAAAAACCCCCAAACTGCGCGCGGCCAGAAACCCCGCCCGCCTGCCGCCGCCCGGCCTGGGCCGCGGGCTGGACCCCAGCCAGGGACCCGGGAACTCGGGCCGCCCCGCCCGGGACCAGCGCCCCCGCCGCGTGGGAGGGGGCTGGGGAACCGCGGGGGGCGGGGAGGGGACGAAGCGGGAGAAATCGAGTGGCGGCGGGGAGAATGGGTGGGGGAGGGGAGAAAGAATCAGGTGGGGGATGGGGATGGAGGCAGAATTGGGTGGGTGGGGGTTCGGGGAAAGGGAGGAAGAGAAGGGAGAGGTTGGGGGAGGGGGAAGTTTGAATGGGAAGGGGTAGGGGGAGATGGAGGCCTGGAGGAAGGGGCTGAGTGAGGTGGGGGGAGGTGGGGGCCTGGAGGAAGGGCTGAGTGGGGTGGGGGGAAGTGGGGGCCTGGAGGAGGGGCTGAGTGGGGTGGGGGGAGGTGGGGGCCTGGAGGAAGGGGCTGAGTGGGGTGGGGGGAGGTGGGGCCCTTGAGGAGGGGCTGAGTGGGGTTGGGGGAGGTGGGGCCCTGGAGGAGGGGCTGAGTGGGTTGGGGGGAGGTGGGGGCCTGGAGGAAGGGGCTGAGTTGGGTTGGGGGCCACGGGAAGGAATGGAGGGGGGTAAGGAATGGGGCTGGAGGGGGGATGGGAGCATGAGATGCTGGGGTTGGGGAGGGGAGAGCCCACTTCCTCGCCAGCCTCTGCGGCATCAACAACAGCTGTTATTTATTGAGGGCTGGGCCTGGCTCAAACAAGCATTTATTGGGCGCCTCCCGTGTGCCAGGCACGGTGCCCGGGGCGGGAAATAAGTCCCAGCTCGGCCCCGCCCTCTCCGAGCTCTCAGGGGGGTTTGATCGGTCCTGGGCCTGGCCTTGGTCTCTGTGCCTTAACTCCTTTGCGGTGACGTAGGCTCAGCTGGTCCCATTTCACAGATGAGGAAACTGAGGCCACAGAGATGGGGAGAGTGAAAATTCTGTTGGAACCGGAGCCCTCTTGGTCTTGGTCACTCTGGGTCTCGCTCCATAAAATGAACGAATGCGTGAATGAGGAGGACCTGGATGGTTGGGGCAGGGCTGGGATTTGAATCCCAGGCGCCTGGTACAGTGCCTGGTTCCAGGGAAGGGCGGTGACCCCCAGGCCTCACAATTGCAGGCATTTCCCAGGAACGCCCCCCCCCAGGGAGCTGGCCAGAGCCTTGGCCTTGGCTTTGTCTGAGTCTGGGTTTACTCATCCACACAGTGGGGGTAATAACAGCCTTCCCAGGGCTGGAGTAGGGGGTGGAGGAGGGGTTTCATTCTGCAGCAAAGATTTGTTGTTATGTGCTGGGTTCCAGGGACACAGCTGAGACCAGGAGGGCAGCTTCCCAACTCGGAATTTTTCCTTTTGAACTTGGAATGACCTGTCATTACTCACGCATACAGCAGGTGCTGCATAAATACCAGACTCCTGGAGTTCCCACCACACTACCTTACCCCAACCTCCTGGGACTCCAGGCTAGACCAGAGGTGCAGCCCCCACCCTCCTGTTTGCTCCCCACACTCCCTCCTTCCCACCAGGGCCTCTCGGGCCCCCATTTGAGGAACGAGTCTAAGTCAGCCATTTCTGGCCTCTGTTAGCTGTTCTTCTACTACCTATGGGGCCCTCTTTCTCCATCAAAGAGGTGGTGGCTTCCTTTCTTTGCTGTAGATACTAAAGGCTCCCACTGTTAGCCTAGTGACTGGTCCAGCCACCTGTCCCTACTTTTTTTTTTTTTTTTTTTTTGAGATGGAGTCTTGCTGTGTTGCCCAGGCTGGAGTGTGGTGGTGTGATCCTGGCTCACTGCAACCTCCGCCTCCCGGGTTCAAGCAATTCTCCAGCCCCAGCCTCCCGAGTAGCTGGGTTTACAGGCACCTGCCACCATGCTCGGCTAATTGTATTTTTAGTAGAGATGGGGTTTTACCATGTTGGCCAGGCCAGTCTTGAACTCCTGACCTCAAGTGATCCGACCACCTTGACCTCCCAAAGTGCTTGGATTACAGGCGTGAGCCACTGCACCCAGCCCACCTGTCCCTCCTCTTAAGGATGGGTGGTTTCCAGACCGCACTGGGAATTTCAGGGTTGCTTTGAGCCAGGCGCTCCTAGGTTCTGGCACTCCTAGGTTCTGGCACTCCTAGCTGTGAAACCTCTCATTATAATTACTCTGTGAAACTTTGACAGTTCTACACCCACTACTTCCCACCACAGCCCCAGACTTCACTGGGGTGGGGGGGTCTCTTTATTTCCTCAAGGGCGTGTGGCCCTCTAGGGCCTGGCCGATTGTTTAGGGGATGCACCTTCCCCACCTGAAGCCTCCAGTGAGCTGTGTTGAGGCATTTGTGATGAGTCTTGGGAAACAAACTTTTGTGTCTTTTTCTTTTTCCTTTTTTTTTTTTTTTTTTTTTGAGATGCAGTCTCGCTCTGTTGCTCAGGCTGGAGTGCAATGGCGCGATCTCGGCTGACCACAACCTCTGCCTCCTGGGTTCAAGCAATTCTCCTGCCTCCGCCTCCCGAGTAGCTGGGACTACAGGCACGTGCCACCACGCCTGGCTAATTTTTGTATTTTTAGGAGAGATGGGGTTTCACTATCCTTGGCCAGGCTGGTCTCAAACTCCTGACCTCGTGATCTGCCTGCCTCGGCCTCCCAAAGTGCTGGGATTACAGGTGTGAGCCACCACACCCGGCCCTTTTCTGTCTTTTTCTTTTGAGACAAGATCTTGCTCTGTTGCCCAGGCTAGAGTGAGGTGGTATGATGATAGCACACTGCAGCCTCGAACTCCTGAGCTCAGATGATCCTTCTGCCTCAGCTTCCTGAGTATCTGGGACCACACATGTGAGCCACCATGCCCGATTAAGTTCTTTTTTTTTTTTTTTTTTTGAGACAGAGTCTTGCTCTGTCGCCCAGGCTGGAGTGCAGTGGCGCGATCTCGGCTCACTGCAACTTCCACCTCCCGGATTCAAGCGATTCTCCTGCCTCAGCCTCCCAAGTAGCTGGGATTACAGGCATGAGCCACCCACGCCCGGCTAATTTTTGTATTTTTAGTAGAGATGGGGCTTTGCCATGTTGGCCAGGCTGGTCTTGAACTCCTGGCCTTAAGTGATCCGCCCACCTCAGCCTTCTAAAGTGTTGGGATTACAGGTGTGAGCCACTGTGCCTGGCCTCAAATTGTAGAGACAGGGTCTCTCTCTGTTGTCCAGGTTGGTCTTGAACTCCTGGCCTCAAGCAATCTCCCTGCCCCGGCTTCCCAAACTGCTGGGATTTACAGCTGTGAGCCAACAAGTCTGGCCTGACTTCTGTGTCTTGAGTGGGATGGATTTGAAGCTGAGTCCCTATCTTAGACAACAGAGGGAGGCCTCTTATAAGAATGAAGCCAGCTGGGAATGTGGGTTCACTCCTGTAATCCCAGCACTTTGGGAGGCCAAGGCAGGTGGATCGCTTGAGCTCAGGAGTTCGAGACCAGCCTGGACAACATGGCAAGAGCCCATCTCTATTAAAAAATACAGAGAAATAGCCAGGGCGTAGTGGTGCATGCCTGTGGTCCCAGCTACTCGGGAGGCTGAGGTGGGAGGCTTGAGTCCAGGAGGTGGAGGTTGCAGTGAGCTGAGATTGGGCCACTGCACTTCTGCCTGGGTGATGGAGTGAGACTCTTTCTAAAAAAAAAGAGAAAAAAAAAGTTAAGTAAATAAATAAAATAAAAATAAAAAATGAACGAAGTCACCAGATGGAGCAGATGGAGGAGAGTAATGGCCTTGGGGCCATCATCATTTGAGCCCTGAGCAAGCTGTTCCTGAAGCCCATAGATGGGCTTTAATCCAGTCACACTCTTTATTGAGCACTATATTGTATCAGGTGCTGATCCAGGTACTGGGGACATGGCAGGAACAACAATCTCCATCCCACAAAGGTCACCGTCCTGCCTCAAGGCCTTTGCACTTGCTGTTCCCTGTGCCTGGAACACCCTCCCTCCCCAACCCCCTTATTCCATGGCCAGCTCTGTTTTGTCTTTGCAAATTTTTTTTTGTTTTTGAAACAGAGTCTTGATCTGTCACCCAGGCTGGAGTGCAGTGGCGTGATCTGTGGAGTGCAGTGGCACGATCTCAGCTCACTGCAACCTCTGCCTTCTGGGTTCAAGCGATTCTCCTGCCTCAGCCTCTTGAGTAGCTGGGATTACAGGCGCATGCCACCACGCCTGGCTAATTTTTGTATTTTTAGTAGAGATGGGATTTTGCCATGTTGGCCAGGCTGGTCTCAAACTCCTGACCTCAAGTGATCTGCCTGCCTCAGCCTCCCAATGTGCTGGGATTGTAAGCGTGAGCCACTGCACCTGGCCATCTTTCAAGTTTTGACTCAAACATCGTTTCCTTAGGGAGGCCTGCACTGATCCCCTCACTTCAACATGACACCCCAACGGGCTTCCTTTCCCACTCCCTGATTTATTTTACTCTTAGTGTGAGTCACTACTGGACCTACTCTATGGAATACTTATATCTGCTGGCTTCCTGTGTCTCCCACCGGAATGCCGGCTCCGTGAGGGAAGGGGTTTTTGTCTGTGTGGTCCACAGCAGTATCCTTGGTGCCTAGCAGGGTCTCACCCACAGTTAGTGCCCACCGTTGAATAAATAGGCTCACTAGTAAATAAAAGGGCTCTCAGAAGAGGTGACAATGATGTTGTGGTTTGAATGTTAAGAAAGAGAGCCTGTTACTGGAAAAAAAAAAATTAGCTGGGCATGGTGATGCGTACCTGTAGTCCCAGCTACTTGGGAGGCTGAGGCGGGAGGATCACTTGAGCCAGGGAATTCGAGGTTGCAGTGAGCTGTGAACATGCCGCTGTACTCCAGCCTGGGAGACAGAGTGAGACCCTGTCTCAAAAAAAAAAAAAAAAAAAAAAAAAAAAGAGGCAGTGTGAGGGTGAAGGCGTTCTAGGAGGAGTGCACAGTAACTGCAAGGTTCCTGTGCCCATTCTCTTTTTATTTAAACCAGTCTGGACTGACTTAAAAGAAAAAATTGTTTTTCAGATTCTTTGCAACCTTTAGAACCCGGAGTGGTTGTGCCTAGGGATGCAGTACTGCAGCTCTGCCACAGGAGGGCGCAATGGAACTCCATTGTTGCCCTTGGAAAGTAGGAACTAGGAAAATAGAAGTAATGATAATCGGCAGGGCGCGGTGGCTCACGCCTGTAATCTGTAATCCCAACATTTTGGAAGTCCGAGGCGAGCGAATCACGAGGTCGGGAGTTTGAGACCAGCCTGCCTAACATGGTGAAACCCCGTGTCTACTAAAAATACAAAAGTTAGACGGGCGTGGTGGTGTGCACCTGTAATCCCAGCTATTCAGTAATCCCAGCTACTCAGGAGGCTGAAGCGAGAGAATCGATTGAACCCGGGAGGCGGAGGTTGCAATGAGCCAAGGTCGTGCCACTGCACTCCAGCCTGGGTGACAGATTGAGATTCCGTCTCAAAAAAAAAAAAAAAAAAAAAAAAGAAGAAGCAATGATAATGGTGATAATGATGGTGATGGCGATGGAGCAGGGGCTGTGAGGTCTGTCTTAACTTCACGACAGCCTTACAAGGTAGGTGCCCATTTTGCAACTGAGGAAACTAAGCCCAGAGAGGTTGAGTAACTTGTTCAAGGTCTCTCAGCTAGGATTGGTAGAACCAGAATAGAGCAACCAAGGTAAAAGTCACCCATAATTTGACCATTTAGGGGGAAGGCAGGTGAACTTTGAGGCTGAAGACCTTCCCCTAGGATCGGGGGAGGAGGGAGTCCTGGGGGGGCCCTGGGATCATTGTGCTGAGGGCTGACTCTTTTCCCAGTGGGTAGAGCTCCCATCTCTCTCTTTCTCTTTTTTTTTTTTTTTTTTTTTTTTTTTGAGACAAGGTGTTGTCCTGTTGCCCAGGTTGGAGACGAGTGGCACACTCATGACTCACTGCAGCCTCAATTTCCCGGGCTCAGGCAATTCTCCTACCTCAGCCTCCCAGGAAACTGGGACTACAGGCATGCTCTATTTTGTCTGGCTATTTAAAATTTTTTTTTCTTGTAGAGATGGGGACTTGCTATGTTCACCAGGCGGTCTCAAACTCCTGGGCTCATGAGATCACCCCACCTCAGTCTCCCAAGTAGCCGGGACTACAGCATGCGTCACCATGCTCGCTTAATTTAAAAATTTTTTTTTGTGGAGATGGGGTCTTGCTGTGTTGCCCAGGCTGGTCTTGAACTCCTAGGCTCAAGTGATCCTCCTGCCTTGGTCTCCCAAAGTCCTGGGATCACAGGCATAAGTCACTACACCTGACAATGGAGCTCCTAACCCTTAGCCCATCTGCTGGGCGTTTTCCCCCAGCTCTGTGGCTTGGTATCTTCTTAAATGTGGAGATAAATCACGCCTTCTCAAGGTCATTTGAAATCAAAATTCATCTCCAAGTTTCAGGGGCAGGGAAGACTTAGGCAGTTAAAGACGGGGAGGAAGGGAGTTTCAAGCTGGGGGCATGGCCTGCCCAAAATCCTGGACGTGGGAGAGAGGGAAGGGCAGGTCTCAGTTTCCTATGAGATTCTCTTGGAGTGAATATTTATTTACTCAAACCCCTCCTGGCAGAGGCAACGCAACTCTCCCACCCCCACCCCCCTTCCTCTTGAAATTCAAAACACACATTTGGCCAGGCGCAGTGGCTCACGCCGGTAATTCCAGCACTTTGGGAGGCCCAGGCAGGCGGATCACCTGAGGTCAGGAGTTCTAGACCAGCCTGGCCAACATGGTGAAACCCCTGTCTCTACTAAAAATACACAAATTAGCCGGGTGTGGTGGTGCGCGCCTGTAATCCCAGCTAATCGAGAGGCTGTGGCAGGAGAATCGCTTGAATCCGGGAGGCAGAGGTTGCAGCAAGCCGAGATCGCCCCGTTGCACTCTAGCCTGGGGGACAAGGCGAGACTTCATCTCAAAAAAACAAAACAAAAAACACATTAATCGGCCTTCATTTGGATATCACAGATAATCTTATCTTGCAAGCTGAGCCCAGAATGATCTGAGGGCTGGGTCCACCCCCTTCACCCCTGCCCCATGCAGTTTTGGGGCCCAAAAGGATTCGGTGGCTGCCAGGTCAGTGTCCTACAACAGTTGAAAGTCCCCATGGCCGGAAGCCCCCAGCTATCTGGAGGTTTCTCAACCCACATAGTGCCTAAATGTTCCACGTGCAACATACTTGCCTCAAGCCCCTCTAGACCTAAACCTTTACACCTCTGTAAGGCTGGTCCCTCTGTAGCGTGATATTTCACAACTAACGTTTCACCCTCCTTCATCTTTTAATACTGAGGACTGGGGGTTCAAATCCCACCTTGCCGATCTTTGTCCATTATTTAAACTTCTCCACACCTCAGTTTTCTCATCTGGAAAATGGGCTTAATCAGGTGGCTGTGAGGATTCAACACTATTAATGGTAAAGTGCTTATTACCATAGTGCCAGGCACAAAGTAAGTGGTAGCTATTATGATTAGTTCTGGTTTTGTTGTTACTATTTCTTATTTTGTTTTGATTTTTAATTTTTTAAAGTTAAACAATTTTTTCTTTATCTTTTTTTTTTTCCTGAGACAGAGTTTTGCTCTGTCACCCAGGCTGGAGTGCAGTGGTGCGATCTCGGCTCACTGCAACCTCTGCCTCCCGGGTTCAAGTGATTCTCCTGCCTCAGCCTCCCAGGTAGCTGGGATTATAGGCACCCGCCACCACGTCAGACTAATTTTTGTATTTTTAGTAGAGAAGAGGTTTCACCATATTGGCCAGGCTGGTCTTGAACTCCTGACCTCAGGTGATCCACCAGCCTCGGCCTCCCAAAGTGTTAGGATTACAGGCTTTTTTTTTTTTTTGAGACAGAGTCTCACTCTGTCGCCCAGGCTGGAGTCCAGTGGCGCCTTCGTGGCTCGCTGAAACCTCCGCTTCCCAGGTTCACGCCATTCTCCTGCTTCAGCCTCCTGAGTAGCTGGGGCTACGGGCACCTGCCACCACGCCTGGCTAATTTTTTTTTTTTGTATTTTTGGTAGAGACAGGGTTTCACTGTGTTAGCCAGGCTGGTCTTGATCTCCTGAACTCATGCTCTGCGCGTCTCAGCCTCCCAAAGTGCTAGGATTACAGGCATGAGTCACTGCGCACGGACTGTTTTTTTTTTTTTTTTTTTTAAAGAGACAAGGTCTTTCGCTGTCACCCAAGCTGAGGTGCAGTGGCACCATCACAGTTCACTGCAGACTCCAACTCCTGGGTACAATTAATCCTCCTGCCTCAGCCTCTTGGGTAGCTGGGATTACAGACATTCACCACCACAACTGGCTAATTTTTAAAAATTTTTTGTAGTGACAAGGTCTCACCTACCCAGGCTGGTCTCAAACTCCTGGCCTCAAGTGATCCTCCCACCTCAGCCTCCCAAAGTGTTGGGATTACAGGCAGGAGCCACCGCGCCCAATCTGTTTTTGGTTTGATTTTTTTTGTTTATTAATCTTACTTGCTTTTTGTTTTGATTTTTAAAATGCTTTGTTTATTAACATTTGTTTGTTTTTGTTTTGATTTTTAGAAATGTTTCTGTTTATTAATCTTTATTTTTCTTTATTTGGTTTTAATCTTTGTTTAAATTTTTTTGTTTGTTTTTAAATATTTGTGGTTATTATTATTCTACTCTGTTCTTTCCCTGAGCAAGGGCACTGGTCTCATATCCCCAAGAAGGGGGTGTCCACCTTGGAAAAAGAGAGGCATTTTCTGGACCCGAAGTTCCACAGTGCCTACGGGGATAGGGAAGGCTTCCAGCAAAAACAGCTTTGAGAGAATGTTTTTATTTTTATTTTTTTTGGGATGGAGTCTCGTTCTGTCGCCCAGGCTGGAGTGCAGTCCTGGTGCAATCTCAGCTTTCTGCAACCTCCACCACCCAGGTTCAAACAATTCTCATGCCTCAGCCTTCCGAGTAGCTGAGATTACAGGCATGCACCACCATGCCTAGCTAATTTTTGTATTTTTAGTAGAGACGGTGTTTCACCATCTTGGCTGGGCTGGTCTCAAACTCCTGACCTCAGGTGATCTGCCCGCCTTGGCCTCCCAAAATGCTGGATTATAGGTGTGAGCCAGAGAGAATCTTGTATAGGAAACAAGTAGGCCGGGTGTGCTGGCTCACGCCTGTAATCCCAGCACGTTGGGAGACTGAGGCGGGCGGATCACTAGGTCAGGAGTTCGAGACCAGCCTGGCCAACGCGGTGAAATCCCATCTCTACTAAAAATACAAAAATTAGCCGGGCATGGTGGCGTGCCTGTAGTCCCAGCTACTTAGGAGGCTGAGGCAGGAGAATCACTTGAACTTGGGAGGTGGAGGTTGTGGCAAGGCAAGATCGTGACACTGCACTCCAGCCTGGGCAACAGAGCCAGGCTCCGTCTCAAAAAAAAAAAAAAAAAAAAAAAAGAAAGAAAGAAGTATCCCAGCCCAGAGTCTAGGAAAGAGATTTTCTGCGTGGGGAGAGGAAGAATAGAGACTTAGGGAGGAAGTCTCTGGATGGGAGGCTGGAGTGTGGGCATGGAGAAAACCTCAGGCAGGCTGGGGACCAGGTCACAACAGGTGGGCTGGACAGCTCTGTGCAGGTCCCTGAGGCCACATGGAGGGAGCAGTGCTGGTGAAGTGGATAGAAAGGGCGGAAACAGATCGTGGAGCGGGCGGTCCCTACAGGTCCCTGGTCCCAGGGAGCAGACGTGAGGTTTGTGTGCCTGGCCCAAGTGTGAGGTGGATGCTGTCACAGTTCGGGGGTGGGGGGTGCCCCAAACCGCCCAGGTGTCCAGGCTGCATGGGACAGGAGGAAGATGAGGATGAGGCAGGAGGGGATGTTTGATTGGGTGCAGCTGTGTTGAGGAGGTCTACGTGCTGGGTACTGGGGAGATGCCCTGTCTCTGCGACTTCATGCAATGTTAATTTCTTCTGATCCTTCTTTGATATCCTCCTGACTGCATCCGGTCTCTTCTGGGCATCCCTGGCTTCCCGGTCTCAGCCCGTCCCAGGAGATGCTCTGATCCTGCTTCACGTGTTTCCCGCCCTGGCTGGCTCCCATCTTGGCTCCTGGTGTGATTATCCCACAGACCTGGCCTGGGGTTGGCTTCAGTTTCCCCTCTGCAGCTGGGGCAGATGCGGTGCAGCTCCCGGCATCCCCCATGATTTTCCTCGATTTCCCCGCGCTTTGTGATTTCGATGTAAACTTCAAACACTGCTCCCTTTCTTGTCCTGTTCTGGGTGGGCCTCTGTGCCGCCCCTGGTGCACCTGCTGGGGTGGCTGTCTTTGCACCTTCTGGTCCTGTTCTGCCACCTTGACCACCCCAGAGGTTTCAGGGGACACTTGGCAGAAGGTGACTAAAATTTCCCATCCCCAGCTGGGTGTGGTGGCTCATGCTTGTAATCCCAGTACTTTGGGAGGAGGAGGCGAGAGGATTGCTTGGGCCCAGGAGTTGGAGGCTGCAGTGAGCTGTGATTGCACCATTGCATTCCAGACTGGACAACAAGCAAGACCCTGCCTCAAAAAAAAAAAAAAAAAAATCCCCCACCCCTGAGTGAGAGACCCTGGGGTGTGACCTCCTTACCCCTTGCTTGGGGTGGAGGGGTGGTGAGTGAGCGGGGAGGAAGGTATCGGACTGCGGGTCCAACTTCAGAAAAACCCGAGTTGGCTTCTGGGGCTCCAGTTCTTCATCTAGAACCAGCTGTCTTTGGTGCTGAGGACCAGAGATGCCCAAGTGGTTTGCTTGCCCGGGCATCCATCTCCCAGTCCTCCAAGGAAGTCATGCCTGGATGGAGTAGCCCTTGGCCACCTTTTCTGGGGTGGCCTGGGTCTGGTAGAAGGGGCCAAGTATTTTTTTTTTTTTGAGATGGAGTCTCGCTCTGTCGCCCAGGCTGGTCTCAAGGTCCTGACCTCAAGCAATCATCTTGCCTCAGCCTCCCAAAAGTGCTAGGATTACAGTGAGCCACAAAGTCTGGCCTTTGTGAGCATTTAAAACCCTGCCCCACCAGCCCTCCAACAACGACCAGGTGAAGACGCAGAGAGAAGGTGGCCATCTACAAGTCAAGGAGAGAGGCCTCAGAGGAAACCAACCCTACTGACACCTTGAACTTGGACCTCCAGCCTCCAGAACTGTGAGAAAATGAATTTCTGTTGTTTTAGCCAGGTCTGTGGTGCATTTTCTTGGCAGCCCTAGCAAGCTCATATGCTTTTTTTTTTTTTTTTTTGGAAACAGAGTTTCGCTCTTATTGCTCAGGCTGGAGAGCATGGTGTGATCTCAGCTCACTGCAACCTCCACCTCCCGGGTTCAAGCAATTCTCCTGCCTCAGCCTCCCAAGCAGCTGAGATTACAGGCACCTGCCATCACGCCTGGCTAATTTTTGTATTTTAGTAGAGATAGGGTTTCACCATATTGGTCAGGCTGGTCTTGAACTCCTGACCTCAGGCGATCCACCCGCCTCGGCCTCCCAAAATGCTGGGGATTACAGACGTGAGCCACCATGCCTGGCTGCTCATACATGTTTTAAGTTTGAATGATATTCCATTGTACATGTAGACCATGATTTGCCCCCTCTTGCTTCCATGCCAGTGTCCCCTGGAGCCGTCTCCCTGCTGTCTCCTGCTGTATCTGGGCTGGGCTGGGACCTAGTCTCAGCTGCAACTGTCTCCCCTGAACCCCCCCGTCTCCAACAGGCTCTGACCTCCAGACCCACCCCCCCTTCCACAGTCCCTAAGCCTTTTCCTATCTCCACTTTTCAGCCACAGAATCTGAGACCCAGATTGGAAGCTCCTTGTGGTGAGGGTTAGATTAAATATGTAATTCTTATAAGAGACTTAGAATGGTGCCTGGCACAGAAGCTATTATTACTATTATTATTATTTTGTGTGTGTGTGTGTGTGTGTGTGTGTGTGTGTGTGTGTGTGACAGAGTCTCTCTCTGTCTCCCAGGCTGGAGTGCAATTATATGATCTTGGCTCACTGCAACCTCTGTCTCCCGGGTTCAAGCAATTCTCCCGCCTCAGCCTCTCATGTAACTGGGATCACAGGTGCCCGCCACCGTGCCCAGCTAATTTTTGTTATTTTTAGTAGAGACTGGGTTTCACCATTTTGGCCAGGCTGGTTTTGAACTGCAGACCTGTGGTGATCCACCCGCCTCAGCCTCTCAAAGTGCTGAGATTACAGGCAGGAGCCACCGTGCCTGGCCTTTTATTTACTATTTTTTTTTGAGACAGGGTCCCACTCTGCCACCCAGAGGCTGGAGTGCAGAGGTGCCATCATAACTCACTGCAACCTCAGACTCCTGGGCTCAAGTGGTCCTCCAACCTCAGCCTCCTGAGTAGCTGAGATTACAGGTGCCCACCACCATGCCCAGCTAATTTTTGCATTTTTATTAGAGATAGGGTTTCACCTTTTGGCCAGGCTGGTCTCGAGCTCCTGACCTCAGGTGATCCACCTGCCTCCGCCTCCCAAAGTGTTGGGATTACAGGTGTGAGCCACCATGCCCGGCCACTCTGATATTATTAATTAGCTGATTGATTCAACAAACATTTATTGGGCCCCTACTCTGTGCCTTGTTCAGGCAGAAGAAGAGAACAACATCTCCACTCTCATAGCACTAGAAAAAGACAAAAGAACCAATAAACGAATACACACAGAGTAGATTCTCTTTACTTGTGGTAGTTCTGTTCTTTAATGTCGCCATGGACACTGAATTAGGGAACACTAAACTGTTGTTCCTGGGGAAATAAAAGGTTAGGTTCCTATGACTCTCTGGTCACAGCATTTTAATCAACTGATCAATACATAACCTTGGTTTATATGTGTTATTTAATTTAATTTAATTTTATTGAGACAGAGTCTCGCTCTGTTGCCCAGGCTAGAGTGCAGTGGCAGGATCTTGGCTCACTGCAACCTCTGCCTCCCAGGCTCAAGTGATTCTCATGCCTCAGCCACCAGAATAGCTGGGACCACAGGTGCGCACCACCATGTCTGGCTAATTTTTGTATTTTTAGTAGACATGGCATTTCGCCATGTTGGCCAGGCTGGTCTTGAACTCCTGGCCTCAAGTGATCTGCCCACCTTGGCCTCCCAAAGTGCTGGGATTACAGGCGTGTGAGCCATTGCACCCGGCCCTATATGTGTTTATTTATTTTTTATTTTTTGAGATGGAGTTTCGCTCTTGTTACCCAGGCTGGAGTGCAATGGTGCAATCTCGGCTCACTGCAACCTCTGCCTCCCGGGTTCAAGTGATTCTTCTGCCTCAGCCTCCCGAGTAGCTGGGATTACAGGCACCCGCCATCATGCCCGACTAATTTTGTATTTTTAGTAGAGACAGGGTTTCTCCGTGTTGGTCAGGCTGGTCTCAAACTCCCGACCTCGGGTGATCTGCCTGCCTCGGCCTCCCAAAGTGCTGGGATTACAGGCATGAGCCACTGCACCCGGCCTATATGTGTTTATTTTTAAAGACACCTTGTTAAATATATATAGTTGCTTCATTCACATTGAACTCATGGCTAACAGCAAGACCACTCGCGCCTGAATGAAGCTTCTCTAACACATGGATTTTCTCTGTGAGATTCATCACAGTCTTCTGTATACTGTGGTTTGAATGTGTCCCCACAAAAGACATGTGTTGGAAACTCAGTCCCCAGTGCAACAGTGTTGGGAAGTGGGGCCTAAGGGGAGGTGTTTAGGTGATGAAGGTTCCACCCTCATGAATAGATTAGGAACAATTTGAAAAGGGGTTGAGTGCTGGGTACAGTGGTTAATGCCTGTAACTCCAGCACTTTGGGAGGCTGAGGCAGGAGGATCCTTTGAGGCCAGAGGTTTGAGACCGGCCTGGGCAACATAGCAAGACCCTGTCTCTACAAAAAAAAAAAAATTAGCTGGGTGTGGTGGCATGAGTCTGTAGTCCCAGCTACTTGGGAGGCTGAGGCAGGAGGATCACCTGAGCCCAGGGAGGTTGAGGCTGCAGGGAGCTGTTATTATACCACTGCATTCCAGCCTGGGCAATAGAGGAAAACTCTATCTCAAAAAAAGGGGAGGATTAGGCTGGGTGCGGTGGCTCATGCCTGTAATCCCAGCACTTTGGGAGGCCGAGGTGAGTGGATCACCTGAGGTTGGGAGTTCGAGACCAGCCTGACCAACATGGAGGAAACTCGTCTCTACCAAAAAAATACAAAATTAGCTGAGTGTGGTCACGCAGGCCTGTAATCCCAGCTACTTGGGAGGCTGAGGCAAGAGAATCGCTTGAACCCGGGAGGTGGGGGTTGCAGTGAGTTGACATCGCGCCATTGCACTCCAGCCTGGGCAACAAGAGTGAAACTCTGCCTCAAAAAAAAAAAAAAAAAAAAAAAAAAAAAGAGGAGGATTGAGGCTATGAGCCTGATTTTTCTTGTTCTCTCACACTCTCTCTTTGCCCTTCCAACACATGAATTTTGGGGCACACGTTCACACCATAGCACCATCTAATGGAGCTGTGGTAAGGATTAGATTAAATACATGATTCTGGCCAGGCGAGGTGGCTCATGCTTGTCATCCCAGTGCTTTGGGAGGCTGAGGCAGGAGGGTTGCTTGGGGCCAGGAGTTTGAGATCAGCCTGGGCAACATAGCGAGGCCCCGTCTCTACAAAAAACAGAAAAAGTAGCCAGGCAGGGTGGCACATGCCTGTAGTCCCAGCTACTTGGGAGGCTGAGATGGGAGGATCACTGGAGCCAGGGAGGTCAAGGCTGCAGTGAGCCAAGATTTTGCCACTGCACTCCAGCCTGGAGGACACAGTGAGACCCTGTCTCTGAAACAAAACAAAACAAAACAAAACCAAATGGAAAAGTGTGATTTTTCTTTTTATTTCTTTTATTTTTTAATTTTTGAGACAGAGTTTTTGTTCTGTTGCCCCAGCTGGGGTGCAATGGAGTGATCTCGGCTCACTGCACCCTCTGCCTCCTGGGTTCAAGAGATTCTCCTGCCTCAGCCTCTCGAGTAGCTGGGATTACAAGCATCCACCATCATGCCTGGCTAATATTTGTATTTTTAGTAGAGACGAGGTTTTACCATGTTGGCCAGGCTGGTCTCGAACTCTTTTTTTTTTTTTTTTTTTTTTTTTTTTTTTTGAGACGGGGTCTTGCTCTGTCGCCCAGGCTGGAGTGCAGCGGCGCGATCTCGGCTCACTGCAAGCTCCGCCTCCCGGGTTCACGCCATTCTCCTGCCTCAGCTCCCGAGTAGCTGGGACTACAGGTGCCCGCCACCACGCCGGCTAATTTTTTTTATTTTTAGTAGAGACGGGATTTCACTGTGTTAACCAGGATGGTCTCGATCTCCTGACCTTGTGATCTGCCCGCCTCGGCCTCCCAAAGTGCTGGGATTGCAGGCATGAGCCACCCGACTGGTCTGGAAAAGTGTAATTTTTCTAAGAAACTTAGCCATGGGATGATGGGACAAGAAGGCCCTTGCCAGGTGCAGGCCCCTTGACCTTGGACATCCCAGCCTCCAACTGTAAGAAATAAATCTCTGTTCTTCATAAACTACCCAGTCTATGGAATTCTGTGATGGCAGCACAAAGTGAAATAAGACATTGTGCGCAGGGACACAGGACTCCACACCAGCATTGTGCTTGGAGCCAATGTGAACAGCAACATCACCAAAAAAAAAAAAAAAAAGCACAAAAATGAAAAAAAAAAACAACCCCAAAAACCCAAAAAAACCCAGCACCACTCGATAGACTCCAAAAGGGCACTTGTTTGTATGATGAGAGCTGAGACAGGAAGGCAGAGTGTCGCCTTGTGTGACCTCAGCTGGGGACAGGTGTGTAGCGCCACTCAAAGTTTTTGCTGCTCCATCTGCACATGACTGAGAATGGCTTTGAGAACCCCACCAGTAATGATTTGGGGGTTAAATACATTTTAGCAAGCAGGCCAATTTGTTTTGTTTTGTTTTTGTTTTTTTGATGCTTTGTCACCCAGGGTTGGAGTGCAGTGGTGTGATCTCGGCTCACTGCAATCTCCGCCTCCCGGGTTCAAGCGATTCTCTTGTCTCAGCCTCCCAAGCAGCTAGGATTACAGGCACCTGCCACCACGCCCAGCTAATTTTTGCATTTTTAGTAGAGACGGGGTTTCACCATGTTGGCTAGGCTGGTCTTCGACTCCTGACCTCGGGTGATCCGCCTGCCTTGGCCTTCCAAATTGCTGGCATTACAAGCATGAGCCACCACACCCGGCCAAGCAGGCCAATTTGTGATGCCAGAATCCATGAATAATGAGTATCAACTGTATCATATTACAGGTGGAAGTGAATGCTGTGCGGGAAATAAAAGGCTGGGTTGAAAACAGACTCACGCCTTTAATCCCATTGCTTTGGGAGGCTGAAGTGGGAGGATCATTTGAGGCTAGGGGTTTGAGACCAGCCCAGGCAACATAGCAAGACCATGTTTCTGCCAAAAGAATGTTTTTTAGAAGAATAGCTGGGTGTGGTGGCATGTGTCTGTAGTCCCATCTACTTGGGAGGCTGAGGCAGGAGAATCGCTTGAGTCCAGGAGTTTGAGGCTGCAGTGAGCTATGATTGCACCACTGTACTCCAGCCTGGGTGACAGAGCAAGACCCTGTCTCTAAAAAGATAAAAATAGGCCTGGTGCGGTGGCTCACGCCTGTAATCCCAGCACTTTGGGAGGCCGAGGTGGGCAGATCACGAGGTCAGGAGATCGAGACCATCCTGGCTAACATGGTGAAACCCCGTCTCTACTAAAAATACACACACACACACACAAATAGCCGGACGCGGTGGCCGGGCACCTGTAGTCCCAGCTACTCTGGAGGCTGAGGCAGGAGAATGGCATGAACCTGGGAGGCGGAGCTTGCAGTTAGCGGAGATTGTGCCACTGCACTCCAGCCTGGGGGACAGAGTGAGACTCTGTCTCAAAAAAAAAAAAAAAAAAAAAAAGATAAAAACAGGCTGGACGCGGTGGCTCACGCCTGTAATCCCAGCACTTTGGGAGGCCGAGGCTGGTGGATCACCTGAGGTCAGGGGTTGGAGACCAGCCTGGTCAATATGGCAAAACCTGTCTCTACTAAAAATACAAAAATTAGCTGGGCATGGTGGCACGCACCTGTAATCCCAGCTACTTGGGAGGTTGAAGGAGAATTGCTGTAACCAGGAGGCAGAGATTGCAGTGAGCCGAGATGGCAGCACTGCACTCCAGCCTGGTCGACAGAGCGAGATTCTATCTCAAAAAAAGAGAGAAAGAAAAAAAGGATAAAAATACATAAAATGAAAGAAAAGAAAACAGGGAGACAAGGGGAGAGAGTGTATGTTAGTTACCTAGGACTGCTATAACAAAATACTAGAAACTGGTGATTTTTGACAATAGAACTTTATTGTACAGTTTGGGAGACCAGGAGTCCAAAATCAAGGTGTCGACAGGGCCATGCTCCTTCTGAAGGACCCTTCCTTGCTTCTCCCTGGCTTCTGGTGGTGGCCAGCTATCCTTGGCTTGCAGCTGCATCACTCCAATCTCAGCTTCCGTCGTGTAGCCTTCTTTGCGTGTGTCTGCCTCTGTTTCTGAATTTCCTCCTTCTTCTTTTTTTTTTCCTTTTTGAGATGGAGTTTCACTCTTGTCACCCAGCCTGGAGTGCAATGGTGTAACCTCGGCCCACTGCAACCTCTGCCTCCTGAGTTGGAGTGATTCTCCTGCTTCAGCCTCCTGAGCAGCTGGGATTACAGGTGCCCACAACTCTGCCTGGCTAATTTTTTTGTATTTTTAGTAGAGACGGGGTTTCATCATGTTGGCCAGGCTGGCCTTGAACTCCTGACCTCAGCTGATCTGCCCACCTCAGCCTCCCAAAGTGCTGTGATTACACAGGCATGAGCCACCAAGCCTGCCATTTCCCTCTTTTTTTTTTTTTTGAGATGGAGTTTCGCTCTTGTTGCCCAGGCTGGAGTGCAACGGTGCAATCTGGGCTCACTGCAACCACTGCCTCCCAGGTTCAAGTGATTCTCCTGCCTCAGCTCCCAAGTAGTTGGGATTACAGGCACCCGCCACCACGTCTGGCTAATTTTGTATTTTTAGTAGAGACGGGGTTTCTCCATGTTGGTCAGGCTGGTCTTGAACTCCTGACCTCAGGCGATCTGCCCACCTTGGCCTCCCAAAGTGCTGGAATTACAGGCGTGAGCCACTATGCCTGGCCATTTTCGTCTTCTTATAAGGACACGAGTCACATTGGATTAGGACCCACCATAACGCAGGAGGACCTCATCTTAAGTTGATTTCATCTGCAAAGACTGTATTTCCAAATAAAGTCTCATTCACAAGTTCCAGATGGGCATGAATTTAGGGGAGGGGACACTATTCAACCCAGTCCAGGGGGCTCTTTTAGAGAGGGAGTTCATGGAAGCATGGAAGGCTTCTTGGAGGAGGCAATATATGATCAGAGGCCTGATTGAAGTCAAGGGGATCTGGGGCAGGAGCATTCTAAGTGGAGGGAACAACGTGTGCAAAGGTCTTGGGGTTGGGCTGTGCCTGTTTTGTTATCTGTTCTGGCATCATAACAGGGTCTGTGTGTACAGCTGGAAGGAAGTGAGTTGATGTGGGAGAGGTGAGGACAGGGAGGTGACAGGGACAGGTCATGAAGGGCCTTGTGGGCTGCAGGAAGGACTTGGGCTTTTACCCTGAGGAGGTGGGAGCCATGGAGGACTGTGGACAGAGGAAGGATGTGAGACCCCAGAGAAGGACAAGACAGCACAAGGGCAGGCTAGGGTCCGGGTTTGGTATCTCACAGAAACCCCACAATCTCCTGGTGTTGGACACTTTATCTCACTCAGATAAAAATACATAAAATGAAAGGAAAGATAAAAATAAATAAAAAGAAAGAAAGGATAGGCCAGGCACGGTGGCTTACGCCTATAATCCCAGCACTTTGGGAGGCCGAGTCGGGTGGATCACCTGAGGTCAAGAGTTAGAGACCAGCCTGACCAACATGGTAAAACCCCGTCTCTACTAAAAATACAAAATTAGCCAAGTGTGGTGGCACATGCCTGTAATCCCAGCTACTTGGGAGGCTGAGACAGGAAAATTGCTTGAACCCAGGAGGCGGAGGTTGCAGTGAGCCGAGACTGTGCCATTGCACTCCAGCCTGGGCAACAAGAGTGAAACTCCATAAAAAAAAAACAAAGAAAGAAATGATAAAAATAAATTAAAGAAAAGAAAACAGGGAGAGAAAGGGAGAGAGTGTATGTTAGTTACCTAGGACTGCTATAACAAAATACTACAAACTTCCAGATGAGGTCTGGTGAGTTTAACTCCCCAGGATCACACAATTGCTCAGTGGTAGATGCACAGTTCAAATCCACACTGGTGTGTGGCATCAGGAATAACCTATGAGAGTGTTCATAGTGTCCATGAACATTGTATTCACTAGCTTCAAACTCCTGTCACTGATAGTTATTTATTTATTTTTGAGTTGGAGTCTCACACTGTCACCCGGGCTGGAGTGCAACAGCATGATCTCTGCTCACCGCAACCTCTGCCTCTTAGGTTCAAGTGATTCTCTTGCCTCAGCCTCCTGAGTAGCTGGGATTATAGGCACGTGCCACCGCGCCTGGCTAATTTTTTGTCTTTTTAGTACAGACGGGGTTTTACTACGTTGGCCAGGTTGGTCTTGAACTCCTGAGCTTGTGATTCACCTGCCCGGGCCTCCCAAAGATCTGGGATTACAGGCGTGAGCCACCGCACCCAGCCTATCACTGATATTTATGATGTCACCTCCATGGCACTTTGTTGGTTGACAATACCTGGGATATCTCCATTATAGCCCTGTTCGTGGGCACAGAGTTCTCTGCCATGGCTGGGGACTAGGAAGTGGGAAAGAGCTCTAGGGGAACCTGAGGGCTTGGGTGGAAGACTGGAGAGCCAGGAGGAGCAAGGAGCAGGAAGCAAGGTGGTAATGATGAGAGGCTGAGTCTTCCTTCCCATGCCTTGGGTGGGACATTTCTGGTCTCTGACACAGGAGGGCATGCAGACCTGGGTTAGGCTCCTCTCTCCCCCACACAGGTCCGGTTGGATCAGCTTATTCCCCCTGCAGCTTAACTACCTCCATCTCCCTTCTGGGATCTCATGATTGCCTTTAATTGGGGCCTTGGATGCCCGGGTCGTGTTGCATGGAACTGCGGCCAAGTGAGGGGATTAAGCAAAGCTGACTAGGATCGTTTCATGCAGATCTTTTCAGAGCCTTTAATAGACACCTGTGCTTTGCACAGCTTTCTCAAACTTACTTAACTCCTTTGATATTTTTTCCTCTGTAGCATTTTGGGGTACCAGGGGTTTCTGGAAGGGATACAGGAATCATTGCTTTAACTCAAAGAGGGTGCCTGAATGGTGGAATTTCAGGCAGGGACTTCTGGCTAAGCATCAAAGGTTTCCTCCTGCTCCTCCCTCTCTGCTTTCCCTTCCCAGGACCCGGGCACTGAGAACAAGGCTGGCACCCCACAGCTCTCTCAGGGGTGGCCCAGTGGGGTTGCAAATTCTAGGCAGGCCAAATTAGGAGCTCACAGGGAGGCTGGAGGGGGTCAGCCCAGGCAGGGCTGGGGGCTGGGCTTGGGATGAACAGGGGGACTGAACAGAGAGGCAGCATTCTGAACTGGAGTTCTGTGCCTGTCCCTTGATCTCTGGGGGGTCTGGAGGCAGGCGTGTCTTCTGGGAAGGCAGCGGAGTCCCCTGGGACAAAGCCCAGGGATTAGCTCAGTAGACAAACATCTGAGTCTTGGCCCCCTCTTCCCCCGAGTCCAGGGTCACAGTGGGAGGCCGCAGATTGGCCCTGTTCTTCTGAAAGTAAACAGGCAGTGCTGGCCTGGCTTCCCCTACATCCAGCCGCCAGGCCTTCGTGTCCAGCCCCTTTGTGCGGCGGCTCCAGCCTCTCAGCCTCCTGGCCTTTCACTTTCTGCCTCCTCCGTCTACACCCGCTGACCTCTTGAAGCGTCTCTAGTGATGGGGACCCTGGGGGCTTGGTCACTCCAGTCCTCGCTTTTGTGTGTGTGTGTGTGTGTGTGTGTGTGTGTGTGTGTTTTGTTTGTTTGTTTTTTTGAGATGGGGTTTCGCTCTTGTTGCCCAGGCTGCAATGCAGTGGCTCGATCTCAGCTCACTGCAACCTCTGCCTCCCGGGTTCAAGCAATTCTTTCGTCTCAGCCTCTCCAGTACTGGGATTACAGGTGCCTGCCGCCACACTCGGCTAATTTTTGTACTTTTAGTAGAGATGGGGTTGCACCATGTTGGTCAGGCTGGTCTCGAACTCCTGACCTCAGGTGATCCACCTGCCTTGGCCTCCCAAAGTGCTGGGATTACAGGCGTGAGCCACCGCGCCCGGCCGCCCTTGTGTTTTATTACTGGGATGCTCTAGAGGAGCCAGAGGGAGGCAGGTTCAGGGCTGACTGCCCCGCCATACAGTGTGTGTGTGTGTGTGTGTGTGTGTGTGTCAGGGGGTTATTTTTACCGCTGTTGTGTCAGAGACTTGTGAACCAGAGTGACTCCATCTTGAATAGGGGCTGGGTAAAATGAGCCTGAGACTTACTGGGCTGCACTCCCAGACAGTTAAGGCATTCTAAGCCACAGGATGAGAGGGGAGTTTGGCACAAGATACAGGTCATAAAGACCTTGCTGATAAAACTGGTTGCAGTAAAGAAGCCGGCCCAAACCCATCAAGACCAAGATGATGACATGAGTGACCTCTGATTGTCCTCACTGCTACACTCCCACCAGCCCCCTGACGGTTTACAGATGCCATGGCAACATCAGGAAGTTACCCTCTATGCTCTAAAAACGGGAGGTATGAATAATCCACCCCTTGTTTAGCATATCATCAAGAAATAACCATAAAAATGGGCAACCAGCAGCTCTTGTCTGTGGAGTAGCCATTCTTTTATTCCTTTTTTTTTTTTTTTGAGACGGAATCTCGCTCTGTCCCCCAGGCTGGAGTGCAGTGGCACGATCTTGGCTCACTGCAACCTCCGCCTCCCAGGTTCAAGCAATTCTTCTTCCTCAGCCTCCTGAGTAGCTGGGATTACAGGCACACACCACCATGCCCAGCTAATTTTTGTATTTTTAGTAGAGACAGGGTTTCACCATGTTGTCCAGGCTGGTCTCAAACTCTTGACCTCAGGTGATCCGCCTGCCTCAGCCTCCCAAAGTGCTGGGATTACAGGCATGAACCACTGCACCTGCCTTTTTTTTTTTTTTTTTGAGACAGAGCCTTGCTCTGTCACTCAGGCTGGAGTGCAGTGGTGTAATCTTGGCTTACTGCACCCTCTGCCTCCTGGGTTCAAGGGATTCTCCTGCCTCAGCCTCCTGACTGATTGAGATTACAGATGTGCACCACCATGCCCAGCTAATTTTTTGTATTTTCAGTCGAGACGGGGTTTTACCGTGTTGGCCAGACTGGTCTTGGATTCCTGACCTAAGGCGATGCACCCACCTCGGCCTCCCAAAGTGCTGGGATTATAGGTGGAAGCCAACGCGCCCGGCCTCCTTTACTTCCTTAATAAGCTTGCTTTCACTTTACTCCGTGGACTCTCCCTGAAATCTTTCTTGCGGGGGACCTAAGAACCCTCTTTTGGGGTCTGGATCGGGACCCTTTTCCAGTAAAAGTTGGTGTTATTGGCAGTGAGGTAGGGAAGCTGCGGCTAAGCTGAGGCTGCACAGGGAAGGTGTCTTGACCTTGAACTTGACACCTTGACCTTGGACCCTTGCCTAGGCTCTGAGGGCCAGCTCCTTTCCCTCTCTCTACCTTCCCCCACCTCTGGCTCTTGGAAGTGCACCTGCAGCTGCTGTGGGAGGAGCCCTCCAGCCGCCCTGAGGATGGTTTCCTGCCTCCCTTCCTGCCCCCTCTGAAGACCAACTTAGCTATGCCCAACTCAGCTCTTGTCCTGGGACAAGGCCCCCTGCCTCCTGGTCAAGGGAGCAGGGTCCTGGGGAGGGAGAGACAGATGTCGAGGCTGGACAGGAGGTTGTGGAAGGGGAGGAAGTGGATTTGGGAGTATAGCTTTCTTTCTTACTCAGTTATCATTAGTATAACTTTTCTCCCTTCCTTCCTTCCTTCCTTCCTTCCTTCCTTCCTTCCTTCCTTCCTTCCTTCCTTCCTTCCTTCCTTCCCTCCCTTCTTTCCTTCTCTCTCTCTCTTTTTTGCTTTCTTGCTTGCTTTCTTGTTTCCTTTTTTTTTTGAGATAGAGTCTTGCTCTGTCACCCAGGCTGCAGTACGGTGGCGCCATCTCGGCTCATTGCAACCTCCACCTGCCAGGTTCAAGCGATTCTCCTGCCTCAGCCTCCCAAGTAGCTGGGACTACAGGTGTGTGCTATCATGCCCAGCTGATTTTTGTATCTTTGGTAGAGAAGGGGTTTCACCATGTTGGCCAGGCTGGTCTTGAACCCCTGGCTTCAAGTGATCCACCCCCTTGGTCTCCCAAAGTGTTGGGATTACAGGCGTGAGCCACCCTGCCTGGCCTCTTTTTTTTTTCTTTTTGAGACAGGGTTTCACTCTGTTGCCCAGGCTGGATTGCAGTGGTGCAATCCAGCCTTGAATGTCTGGGCTCAAATGATTCTCCCACATCAGCCTCCTGAGTAGCTGGAACTATCGGCGCATGCCGTGACACCCAGCTAATTTTTATTTTTTGTAGAGATGGGATCTCTCTCAAATTCCTGGCCTCAAGTAATCCTCTTGCCTCAGCCTACCAAAATGCTGGGCCTTATTATTGTAATGTTTTTTCCTTTCATTTAAGTAAAAATTAAAGTGTAATTTACTGGCCAGGTGTGGTGGCACAGGCCTATAGTCCCAGCACTTTGGGAGGCTGAGGCGGGCGGATCGCTTGAGCTCAGGCATTGGAGATCAGTCTGGGCAACACAGTGAGACCTTGTCTCTACAAAAAACAAAACAGAAAATTAGCTGGGCATAGTGGTGTGCATTCGTAGTTCCAGCTAATTGGGAGGCTAAGGTGGGAGGATCACTTGAATCCGGGAAGTCGAGGCTGCATCAAGCCAAGATGGCCCCACTGCACTTTAGCCAAGACCCTATCACAAACAAACAAACAAACAAACAAACAAACAAACAAACAAAAAAACAAAAAAACCAGTGTAATTTACTGACAGTGAAACCCATACATATTAGTATACGATTCTGTGATATTTGACAAACCACACAACCCTATAACCACAACCTCAATAGAAATACAGAATACCGGCCAGGCCTGGTGGCTCACACTTGTAATCCTAGCACTTTGGGAGGCTGAGGCGGGTGGATCACTTGAGGTCAGGAGTTCAAGACCAGCCTGGCCAACATAGTGACTCTCTGTCTCTACTAAAAATACAAAAATTAGCCGGGCATGGTGGTGGGCACCTGTAATCCCAGCTACTCAGGAGGCTGAGGCAGGAGAATCGCTTGAACCTGGGAGGCGGAGGTTGCAGTGAGCCGAGATCATACCACTGCACCTCAGCCTGGGCAACAGAGCAAGACTCCATCTCAAAAAAAAAAAAATTAAAAAAAAAAAAAAAGAAATACAGAATACCTTTTTCCCTCCCAATTCCTGCAATTCCTGCGTGCCCCTCTGGAGTCAATTTCTCTCCCTCAGTCCCAGCCCCTGGCCCCTGCTGACTTCCTCTCTGTTGCTATATTTCTGCCTTTTCCCAGGATATTATGTCAATGGAATCGTACCATAGGCAGCTTTTGGCGCATACTTCTTCCAGGCAGCAGAATGCATTTGAGGCTTATTCACGTTGTTGGGTGTAGCATTTTTTGTTTCTTTTACTGTTGAGGAGTCCCTGGTATGGATGTGTCACCATGCATCCATTCATTTGTTGACAGACACGTGAGTTGTTTCCAGTTTTGGTGACGAATGCCCAAATTCATAGGCGATGATAAATAATGTGCCAGACGTTGATGTGCAAGTTTTGGTGTGAGGGTAAGTTTCCATTTCTCTACGGTGAATACCTATGAGTCCTTATTCTCTCTCTCTGTCTCTGACTTTCTCTTTCTCTCTTTATTTATTTGTTTATTTATTTTTATTTATTAGACAGGGTCTTGCTCTGTCACCCAAACTGGAGTGCAATGGTGCAGTCTTGGCTCATTGCCACCTCTGCCTCCTGGGCTCAAGCTATTTTCCTGTCTCAGCCTCCAGAGTAGCTGGAATTACAGGTGCGCACCACCACACCCAGCTGATTTTTGTATTTTTAGTAGAGAGGGGGTTTCACCGTATTGCCCAGGCTGGTGTTGAACTCCTGGCCTCAAGTGTTCTACCCGGCTCATCCTCCCAAAGTACTGGTATTACAGGCATGAGCCACCACACCCAGCCAAAACCAGCCTTTTAAAAAAATTTTATTTTCGGCTGGGCGCGGTGGCTCATGCCTGTAATCTCAGCACTTTGGGAGGCCGAGGCGGGTGAATCACGGGGTCAGGAGTTCGAGACCAGCCTGACCAACATGGTGAAACCCCGTCTCTACTAAAAATACAAAAATTAACTGGGCATGGTGGCACACGCCTGTAGTCCCAGCTACTTGGGAGGCTGAGGCAGGAGAAATGCTTGAACCTGGGAGGCGGAGGTTGCAGTGAGCCGAGATTGCGCCATTGCACTCCAGCCTGGGCAACACAGCGAGACTCCATCTTTTTTTTTTTTTTTTTGAAACAGAGTCTTGCTCTGTCGCCCAGGCTGGAGTTCAATGGCGCCATCTCGGCTCACCGCAACCTCTGCCTCCTGGGTTCAAGCAATTCTCCTCCCTTAGCCTCCTGAGTAGCTAGGATTACAGGCATGCACCATCATGCCCAGCTATGTTTTTTTTTTTAATTTTTATTTTTAGTAGAGACGGGGTTTCACCATGTTGGTGAGGCTGGCCTTGAACTCCCGACCTCAGGTGATCAGCTTGCCTTGGCCTCCCAAAGTGCTGGGATTACAGGCGTGAGCCACCATGCTTGGCTAATTTTTGTATTTTTAATAGAGGTGAGGTTTCACCCTTTTGCCCAGGCTGGCCTCGAACTCCTGACCACAAGTGATCCGCCCACCTTGGCCTCCCAAAGTTTTGGGATTACAGGCATTAGCCATTGCGCCTGGCCTATATGGAGGCTTTTGTATGGAGAGACAGGACACTGGTCCCCTGGATACTGGAGGGGGACAGTCAGGGATAGAGCTGGGGCCAAGGGGAAGATATAGAAGTGCGAATCAGGTGAGGTATAGGACAGGGTGCCTGGAGGGGAGGCCAGAATCTTCATTCTAACCAAATCCTTGCCTAGTTTTTAAAAAAATGGGCAAGGCTGAATGTGGTGGCTCATACCTGTAGTCCCAGTACTTTAAGAGGCCAAGGCAGAAGGATCACTTGAGCCCAGGAGTTCGAGGCTGCAGTGAGCTAGGACTGTGCACTCCAGCCGGGTGTGATGACGCACACATATAATCTCAGCTCTCAGAAGGCTGAAGCAGGAGAGTCACTTGAATCCAGGAGGCAGAGATTGTAGTGAGCTGAGATCACACCACTGCACTCCAGCCTGGGCAATAGAAAAAAAACCAAAACCAAACCAAAACAAAACCTTAAACACAAAGTTACCATAGAACTCAGCAACTCCTGAGGTCAGGAGTTCGAGACCAGCCTGACCAACATGGTGAAGCCCCTTCTCTACTAAAAATACAAAAATTAGCAGGGAATGGCGGTGCATACTTGTAGTCCCAGCTACTTGGGAGGCTGAGGCAGGAGAATAGCTTGAACTGGGGAGGTGGAGGTTGCAGTGACCCGAGATTGCACCACTGCTCTCCAGCCTAGGCGACAGAGTGAGACTCCATCTCAAAAAAAAAAAAGGCCGAGTGCAGTGGCTCACGCCTGTAATTCCAGCACTTTGGGAGGCTGAGGCATGTGGATCACCTGAGGTCAGGAGTTTGAGACCAGCCTGACCAACATAGTGAAACTCCATCTCTACTAAAATACAAAAAATTAGCCAGGCATGGTGGCAGATGCCTGTAATCTCAGCTACTTGGGAGGCTGAGGCAGGAGAATCACCTGAACCAGGGAGGCGGAGATTGCAGTGAGCTGAGATTGCGCCACTGTACTACAGCCTGGGCGACAAGAGCAAGACTAAAGATGGTCTCAAAAAAAAAAAAAAAAAAAAAAGAAAAGAACAGAAAAAGAAAAACAAAAAGCCTCCACATAGTCCCCTTGCTCTTGTAGAACAGAGAAGGACTTCATAGACCTTTCCCCAACACAGGTTAGTGCCAGCATGACCTTGCCAGGCCACCTTAATAGAGCAAAGATCAGTAGATGCTATGGGAAGTCAAATTTTCTCAACATTAGAAACTCTTTCCAACACACAGAAAAATGGAAAGAATTGGGCACAGGCACACTCACCCCTAGATTCTACAACGAACTCATTGCCATTCCGCGGTAAACGCTAAGCCAGGCGTCACACGCTATGCTGTGTGATGCTAGAAGTGCGCACACTTATCCTGTTGGTGGTGGAATTTACACGTGCGTTCATGAGTGTGCACGTGCGTTAGCCGCTGTGTGCATTTGTGGGCGTGCAAAGGGATGTGCCTGGGGGAAAACCTCACACAGTGGTTAGGAAGCCTGTGCAGTTGAACTGTGGGGGCTCCCGTCTTGCTTCTGCCACTTAAGGACTGTGGGGCCTTGGGCGAATTGCCCAACTTCTCTCCTGCCCGTTTCCTCTTTCAGTGTGGATTCATTCATTCAACAAATATTTACGGAACGAACACCTCCTGCGTGCCAGGCTCCATTCCAAGCACTGGGGGTTGCAGCGGCGAACAAAACAGACCCAAATGCCTGCCCTGGTGGGCCAGGAAGGCAGAAATAAAGATGAAGAGTTGGTCAAGTCTGCAGTATGTCACAGGGTGGTAGGGCTGCGTTTGTGTACATGGGGAAGAGGCTGCAGCTTTAGAGGTGGGGGGACCTCCCGGGGAAGGTGAGGAGAGTGAGGTGCTTCTAGGGGGATGGAGGGGAGGGGAGAGTCTTTCTGGCAGAGGGCAAAGCAAGTGCAAAGGCCCTGAAGCAGGAATTTACTTTGCTGTTTTTTTTTTTTTTTTTGAGATGGAATCTCGCTCTGTTGCCCAGACTGGAGTGCAGTGGCACAATCTTGGATCACCGCAACCTCTGCCTCCCGGGTTCAAGGGATCCTCCTGCCTCAGCCTCCGAGTAGCTGGGATTACAGGCGCACACCACCATGCCCAGCTAATTTTTTGTATTTGTAATAGAGACAGGCTTTCACCACATTGGCCAGGCTGGTCTCAAACTCCTGGCCTCAAGTGATCTGCCCGACTCGGCCTCCCAAAGTGGTGGGATTGCAGGTGTCAGCCACTGAGCCCGGCCTACTTGGCTGTTTAAGGAACAGTGAGGAGGTCCATGTGGTTGGAGCAGAGTGATAGAAGGGGTGAGAGGAAGGAGGGCAAAGGCAGAGAGGTGACAGTGGGTGTTGTGGGGAAGGAGAGCTTGCAAGATCTCAAGAGTTACAGGCATGGCAGGCCAGGCATGGCGGCTCACACCTGTAACCCCAGCACTTTGGGAGGCTGAGGCAGGAGGATCATTTGAGCCTGGAAGTTTGCGACCAGCCTGGGCAACATAGCAAGACCCCTGCCTCTACAAAAACAAAACAAAACAAAACAAAACGCAACAATTAGCCAAGTATGGTGGCATGTGCCTGTAGTCCCAGCTACTCAGGAGGCAGGAAGATCGCTTGAGCCCAGGAGTTTGAGGCTGTAGTGAGCTATGATCGCACCACAGCAATACAGCCTGGGTCACAGAGCCAGACCATCTCTTAAGAAAATTAAAAAAAAAAAAAAAAGATTTGCAGAAAGTACTCAAGCTTTTACCCTGGGATGTGTTGAGGGTGTCCTCTCTGGCTGCTGGGTGGATGATAATAGCACCTACCTGAAGGAGTTGTTGGAAGGACGACATGAATTAATATGTGTAAAGTGATAGGCCAGTGTCTGGCATATACCACACATGGGGTAAGGATTAGTTTATTTTTATATGCGGTAGGCGTGTGTGTGTTGGGTGTCTCTGGGCGGCAGCTGAGCCAGGTGGCCATTAGTGAGTTTGTTGTTGTGAAAGAATCTCTCTAACACTATTTAAAAAACCCTGCTGGGTGTTTAAAAGCCCTACTGGGGTTGCCATGTTTTGGCTGGGTCCCGGCTCTTTTGTATAACAGATGTTACCCAGATGTCAGCTGGGGTCAATAGAGCCTCAGAGATTTGGCGTCTGCCTCTCTCCCACGACCTGTGGGAAGCCTGGTGCCCTCTGTGAGATGCTTGTGAATTCCCAGGGCCTCTGTTCTCATGGTTGCGTCTTGGCCTGAGTTCCTGCCCGCTGAACTCTTGCCCTCACCCACCTTCCTGGGGCCAGTGCTTTGCGGGTGAACCGGTCCTGTGTTCTTGATTTTCCCCCAGATCACTCTTGCACATGGACTGCCTGCAGGTTGCCTCTCAAGATACTGTGCTCTCCCAGTCTGGCCAATGTAGCAAGAACCTATTGTTCCTGCTGTAGTTTTTTTTTTTTTTTTTTTTACCATTGCTTGAGCTTCTGCATAAGATGTTGCTTGACAAAGCATTCCACCACCAACAGGAAAAGTTTACACACTTGTTGCATAACACAGCATAGAGCGTGATGACCGGCTTGGAGTTTACCAGGCTGTCCTGTGAAGGGGAAGTTCACTTAGGACACCCGGGGCCAATGGCTGTGAGCAGCAGAAGGTGCCTTTGATGTCAAGCTGTCTTGAACGCTGCTGCTCCCGGGTGGGTAAGAGCTGGCACAGTCCAGAAAAATTGAGGCGGCGACACGATGAGAGACAGCAACCCATCCCCAGACAAACCTCAAGAGACCAGAAGCAGCCACATTGCACCAGACTTCTGGAAAATTAGGCAAGCGTTGGCAACAGAATATGTTGTGGACTCTTCTCACAGTTTCTGTAATCATTAACTGCTTTCTCAGGGTGTGGATATTCAAGGACCAGAGGTCAAAGTTACAGCAACAGCACCTTGCAAGGGGCAGGGGTGAGGAGAACCTCCTTGGGCAGGTCGTGCTGTATGGGATAAGCCCAGAACTGGTTTAGTTCTGAGACGAGGGTGCAGATAGTATTGGAAAGATGCATATCACTCAAGCCTGGAAGAAGACCAGGGTTACACTTAACCTTGACTGCAGTTCAATGCCTCGGTAATATGGACTGAATTGTAACTAAGACTGTTCTCTGCAAGGTTTGCTTGGTTTCTGCATCTTTGTAATTGTAGCATTTGGTGTTCACTTGAAGGATGGGTCTTCAAGAGCATATTCTCCAATGTTTCTTTCTCACGGCTCACCACAACCTCGACCTCCCAGGCTCAAGTGATCCTCACACCTCAGCCTCCCGCGTAGCTGGGACTACTGGCATGCACCACCACACCTGACTAATGTTTGTTTTTTTTTTGTAGAGATGGGGTCTCCTTATGTTGCTCAGGCTGGTCTTGAACTCCCAGGCTCAAGCAATCCGCTCACCTCAGCCTCCAAAAGTGCTGAGATCACAGGCGTGAGCCATCATGCCTGGCCTCTCCAGTGTTTCTTAAATGTTTCTGGACCACATACTTGTTTAGGAATTCACCCAAATCTAAAGACCACTGCTGGCCCATTGCCAAAATTCCTCCCACCCCAAATATATTTACCCAAAAGATTTTGCAGATAGTTGTATGGTATTGTGGTGCTGCAAAATTTTATCCACAGAGCCCATTCCAATTCTGGGTTCATAACCTCTGATCTAGCTTGGTTCTCTTATTTTACACATGGGGAAACTGAGTCAAAAGAGCACAAAGACTTGCTCAGGGTTATGAAGACACTTCATGACAGCCCTTGGTGTCAGAGTAAGAACTGGATGTGAGTTCCCTTACCAGCTGAGATGTCTTCTCTCTGTGCCTCAGTTTCCCTATCTGCAAAGCCAGGATAATAATAGCACTTACTTGGTAGGGATGCTATGAGGATCACATGACACATATGTGAAGCATTTAGAACCAATGCCTTAATAAATGATAGCTTTTTTTTTTTTTAGAGAGAGCTTCTCACTCTGTTGCCCAGGCTGCTGGAGTGCAGTGGCACAATCACACCTCATTGCAGCCTCAAACTCCCAGGCTCAAGGGATCCTTCCATCTCAGTTTCCTAAGTAGCTGGGACCACAGATGTGCACCATCATGCCCAGCTAGTACTTTTTTTTACATTTTATGTTTTTTGTAGAGACAGGGTCTTGCTATGTTGGCCAGGCTGATCTTGAACTCTTGGGCTCAAGTGATCTTCCTGCCTTAGCCTCCCAAAGTGCTGGGATTACAAGTGTGAAGCCACCATGCCTGGCCTATGGCTCTAATTTTTATCACCGTTCTCTTTTTTTTTTTTTTTAAGTGTAGACCCGAGTTGATTCTTTAGCCTGTAGCTAAGTCAAAGTTTGAACCAAAGAACTCCTGCCACCTAGTGGTTCTGTGATGAATAAAGTAGGGTTTGCAGCACTGAAACATGGTGATCACATGCATGTCTTTGCCTGTGTGGTTATTGTTGGGGAATTAGTGGCTATGTCTCTTTCCAAAGAGAGTGTGTTTACACATTGTATCTGTTAGCCTTTGCTGTGTAACAAACTACCCTATGGATTGCAACCATAGCCACTTATTAACCCTTGATTCTGTGGGTTGGCAACTTGGTTGAGTTTAGCCAGGCGGTTCTTCTGTCGGTCTTGCTTGGGCCCATGCATGTGGCTACAGTTAGCTGGTGGGTTGGCTGGGGCTGACTACCTTGGATTGCTTCACTCATGAGTCCATTAGCAGGCTGTTTGCTGGGGTGCCTTGGTTCTCCTCCACGTGGCCTCTCCGGTGGGCTTGCTCAAGCTCATTCCCATGGTGGTTGCAGAGTTGCTAGGAAAAGCAGAGAATATAGCCCTAATGCGCAAGAACTTCCCCTTGTGTCATGTTTGGTAATGTCTGATTGGCTAAAACAAGCCATATGGTCAAACCCAGACTCAGGAAGTAAGGAAACAGAATCTATCTCTTGACTGGAGGAAATGACAAATATTGTAAATATTGGGGCTGTTCTTCCCACTCCCCAATCTGTCACACATGTTTGCTGGCGAGTGGTTGGGTGTTGAATCGTCAGTTTCAACTTAAAGGATTTTGACTCTTTTTTTTTTTTTTGAGACAGGGTATCTCCCTGTCACCCAGGCTGGAGTGCAGTGGTGTGATCATAGTTTACTGCATCCTCAACCTCCTAGGCTCAAGCTCTCCCCCCACCTCAGCCTCTTGAGTAGTTGGACCCATAGGCATGCACCACCACACCTGGCTAATTTGAAAATTTTTTGAAGAAATGGGGTCTCCCTCTGTTGCTCAGGCTGGTCTCAAACTCCTGGGCTCAAGTGAAGTTCCTGCATCAGCCTCCCAAAGTGCTGGGATCACAGGCGTGAGCCATCACACCCAGCTAAGGATTTTGACTCTAAAGATATGTTTTCACATGTTTTCACTTCTCAAAAGAAGAGAGTTTATAAGTAGAGACCATAACTTCCAGGCTAGCCCACCAGTCTTATGATGGAAAATAACTTCCTCTCTATGGGATGTGATGGTTAATTTTATGTGTCAACTTGACTGGGCCATAAGACACCCAGATATCTGGGTTAAACATTATTTCTGAGTGTATCTGGGAGGGTGTTTCTGGGAGAGATTAGCATTTGCATTGGTGGACTGAGAAAAGCAGATGGTGCTCCCCAATGTGGGCAGACCTCATCCAATCTGTTGAGGGCCAGACTAGAACAAAAAGGCAGAGAGGAAGGTTGAATTCTGTCTGTGTCAAACTGTGGAATAGGGACATTGATCTTCTACCCCTGGTGCTCCTGGCTCTCAGGCCTTCAGACCTGGCTTGGAATCTGCATCATTGGCTCTCAGGCTCTCCAACCTTTGAACAATACCATGAATCTTCCTGGGTCTTCAGCTTGCAGAAAGCAGATCATAGGATGTCTCAGCCTCCATAATCAGATGAGCCCTGTAATTATATAATCCTTATAATAAATCTCACCCTGGATCTCTCTATCTCTTTCTGTTGCTGTCGCTCTCTCTCCACCTTTCTGATCAGCTATTGATTTTGTTTCTTGGGAGAACTCTGACTAATTCACAGGACATTTCCATTTCTTCGTTTATTGTGGGGTTCTCTCTCTCAGCCATTTGCATTCCCCCAACACCTCCTTCCCTCATTATGGATTGAATTGTTCCACCCCAAATGCACGTATTGAAGCCCCAAACCCCAGTGTGACTGAATTTGGAGATAGGGCATTGATTGATTGATTGATTGATTAATTGAGATGGAGTCCTGCTCTGTTACCCAGGCAGGAGTGCAGTGGTATGGTCTTGGCTCACTGCAGCCTCCACCTCCTGGGTTCAGATGACTCTCATGCCTCAGCCTACCAAGTAGCTGGGATTACAGGCGATTGCTACCATGCCCAACTAATTTTTGTACTTTTAGTAGAGACAGGGTTTCACTATGTTGGCCAGGCTGGTCTCCAACTCCTGACCTCAAGTGATCCACATGCCTCAGTCTCCGAAATTGCTGGGATTACAGGCATGAGCCACCGTAGCTGGTAATAGGGTCAACTTGTACATGTATTTCAACTCATTTCCAGCGGAGGTCAGTCAAGAATCTCATTCTATTAAAGTCAGTCTATGCTATGACTTTGAAGTCTGTTGCCCAGGCTGATTGCAGTGGAGACCATGGCTCACTGCAGCCTCAACCTCCCATACTCAAGAGATCCTTCTGCCTCAGCCTCCTGAGTAGCTGGGAACACAAGTGTATGCTACCATGCCTGGCTATTAAAAGAATTTTTTTTTTGTAGAGATGGGGGTCTTACCGTGTTGCCCAGGCTGGTCTTGAACTCCTGGGCTCAAGCAATCCTTCTGCCTCGGCCTCCTAAAGTGCTGAGATTACACTCTTAAACCACCATGTCCAGCCAGATGACTTTTTTTTTTTTGACTGAGTTTTCGCTCTTGTTGCCCAGGCTGGAGTGCAATGGCATGATCTCGGCTTACCACAACCTCCGCTTCCCTGGTTCAGAGGATTCTCCTGCCTCAGCCTCCCAGTAGCTGACATTACAGGCAAACGCCTCCATTCCTGGATAATTTTGTATTTTTAGTAGAGATGGGGTTTCGCCATGTTGGTCAGGCTGGTCTCGAACTCCTGACCTCAGGTGATCCCACCCTCCCCCCATCCCCCACCTCAGCCTCCCAAAGTGCTGGGATTACAGGCATAAGCCACCGCACCTGTCCAGCTTTCCATTTTCTTACTTATCAATTATCTCACTGTATGAGATACAATTTCCTTAATTCTGTTTTATTTTAAGAGACAGGGTCTTGTCTGTCGCCCAGGCTGGAGTGCAGTGGTGCAATCATAGCTCACTGCAGCCTCAAACTCCTGGGCTCAAGTGATCCTCCCACCTCAGCCTCCTGAGTAGCTGGGACCTCATGTTTGCACCACCACACCTGGGTGATTTTTTTTTTTTTTTTTTTAAGATATGGGGGTCTAGCCATGTTGCCCAGGCTGGTCTTCAACTCCTGGCCATAAGCTAATCCTCCTGCCTAGGCCTCCCAAAGTGCTGGGATTACAGGCATGAGCCACAGTTCCTGGCTCCTACATTACTTTTTCTGATCATGTTGTCCCCAGCCTCAGCTGTGATTGGCTCCAAACCCCAGCTCCCAGCCAACACCTCATCTTTTGGTTACAGTGATTGGCTCAGGAGTGAGTGTGTAACACACCCAGAGCCAATGAGAGGCAAGGACATTTGCTGGGGATTCTGGGAAAGTACACCTCCCTTTTTCTTTCTTGGGAGCAATTGAAAGAGACCCTCGAGCTGGCCCTAGAGGGTGTGGGTAGGAGAATGGGAGAAATGGCAGTGACTGCTTTGTGGACTACTGGGGAAGGATTGGGGCGTTAGCTGCAATGTGGAGCCTGAACATAAAGCCCAGGCAGCCAGTGATGGCAGAGGAGAGGCACCAGAGCCTTGGTGAGGTCTGGTGGATGCCTGGATCAAGCCTCACCTGAAGCAGCTAGCTTTTCAGTTATGTGGGTCCATATTTACTGTGAAAACGAAGATGATATTAGGTTGATGCAAAAGTAATTGTGGTTTTTGCCATTAAAAGTAACTGGAAAACCACAATTAGTTTTGCACCAACCTAAATAATATGTGACATTGTATAGCTCCTACTACATGCCAGACCCTTATTTTTTTTTCTTTTTTTTTGGGGGGGATGGACTCTTGCTCTGTTGCCCAGGCTGGAGTCCAGTGGCGCGATCTCGGCTCACTACAACCTCTGCCTCCTGGGTTCAAGTGATTCTCCTGCTTCAGCCTCCCGAGTAGCTGGGATTATAGGTGTGTTCCACCACACCCAACTAATTTTTATACTTTTAGTAGAGATGGGGTTTCACCATGTTGGCCAGGCTAGTCTCGAACTCCTGACCTCAAGTGATCTGCCCACCTCGGCCTCCCAAAGTGCTGGGATTACAGGCGTGAGGCACTGCGCCCAGCCTAACCACTTGCCTTGTATTAATCTCCATTGCACAGATGAGGAAGCTGGGGCGCAGAGAGGTTAAGCAATTTGTCCAAGGCCACACAGCTGGCGTGGCCAGAACCAGGATTCCTGGACCCCTCACCTTGTGTTCAGTTCTGCCACTTGCTTCTGTTTTTACACCCAAAGGAGTTCTGACTGTTTCCCAGTAATGCCAGAGGCTGCATAACTGGAGAGAGGAAGTAAGAGCCACTCTTCCTTTGCCTAGAACCGTCAGTGGCTCCCCGAGGCCCCTGGGTTAAAGACCACAATCCCCACTGTGGCCGGCAAGCCCTGCACAATGCAGTTCCCTCTATCACTTCCCGTCCTGTCTCCCACTGCTGTCCCCACGTCACTCAGCCCTCACCGAGCTCCTCTTTGTCCCTCCAATTTGCCAAACACCTCAGGACCTTTGTCTGTGCTGTTCCCTCTGTCTAAAATGCCCTTCCTCTGCTGCTCCTCCTAAACCAAGAGCAAATGCGTATCCTCAGAGAAGTGACCCCTCACAGCCTTCCTCCTGACCCGGATCTAGGCTAGGAAAACCCAGGCAGGAAGAACACAGGCCCTGAGGCAGCTGGCCCCAGTTCAAATCCGACTCCATGACTGCCTTGCTGTGTGACCTTGGGCGGATACCTTGATCGCTCTGTGCCTCAGTTTCCTCATCTGTAAAATAGGATGTTAATAGGCAGGTACTCCTGCCTTATAAGTTTGGGTGAGGATCAGAGGAGGCTATTATGTGGAACGTGATTAGAACAATGCTGAACTCAGTTATGCAGGCAGCTAATAACAGTAGTGTAAAGGCAAGGGTTGGTGCACTATTCACAATAGCAAAGACATGGAATCAGCCCAAATGCCCATCAATGATAGACTGGATAAAGAAAATGTGGTACATACACACCGTGGAATACTATGGAGCCATACAAAGGAATGAGATCGGCCAGGCGCGGTGGCTCATGCCTGTAATCCCAGCACTTTGTGAGGCTGAAGTGGGTGGATCACCTGAGGTCAGGGGTTTAAGACTAGCCTAGCCAACATGGTGAAACCTTGTCTCTACTAAAAATACAAAAATTAGCTGGGCATGGTGGCAGGCGCCTGTAATCCCAGCTACTTGGGATACTGAGGCAGGAGAATCACTTGAACCCAGGAGGTGGAGGTTGCAGTGAGCCGAGATCGCACCACTGCACTCCAGCCTGGGGGACAAGAAGGACATTCTGTCCCCGCACCCCCCCCCCCAAAAAAAGGGAACGAGATCATGTCCTTTGCAGGGATGTGGATAGAGCTGGAAGCCATCATTCTCAGCAACCTAAACCAGGAACAGAAAACCAAACGCTGCATGTTCTCACTTATAAGTGGGAACTGAACAATGAGAACACATGGACACAGGGAGGGGAACAACACACACACACACACACACACGCACACATGCGCGCGCGCGCGCGCGCACACACACACACACACACACACACACACACACACACACACAACTGGGGCCTGTTGGGGGAGGGCAGGGTGGGAGAGCATCAGGAAAAATAGGGAAGCCAGGTGCGGTGGCTCGTGCCTGTAATCCCAGCACTTTGGGAGGCCGAGGCGGGTGGATCACGAGATCAGGAGATCAAGACCATCCTGGCTAACACGGTGAAACCCCGTCTCTACTAAAAATACAAAAAAAATTAGCCGGGCATGGTAGCGGGTGCCTGTAGTCCCAGCTACTTGGGAGGCTGAGGCAGGAGAATGCTGTGAACCTGGGAGGTGGAGCTTGCAGTGAGCCGAGATTGAGCCACTGTACTCCAACCTGGGCATGAGCGAGACTCCGTCTCAAAAAAAAAAAAAAAAAAAAAAAGGAAAAATAGGGAATGCCGGGCTTAATACCTAGGCGATGGGTTGACAGGTGCAGCAAACCCCCATGACACACGTTTACCTATGTCACAAACCTGCACGTCTCGCACATGTACCCTGGAACTTAAAAAAATAAATAAATAAAGGGAAGGGAAGAATGGGAAGCTAGTGTTTAATGGGTATGCTGTTTTGGTTTTGCAAGATGAAGCATTCTGGAGGCGGATGGTGGTGATGGTTGCACAATGTGAGTGTGCTTAATGCCTCTGAACTGTATGGACGCTGAGAAATGATTAAAATGGTTAGTTTTACATTATGTATATATTACTACACAAAAAAGGCAGATGTGGCTGGGCATGGTGGCTCATGCCTGTAATCCCAGATCTTTGGGAGGCCGAGGCTGGCAGATCACTTGAGGTCAGGAGTTCAAGACCAGCCTGGCCAACATGGTGAAACCCCATCTCTGTTAAAAATACAAACAAAACAAAACAAACAAACAAACAAAAAACCCAAAACTAGCCAGGCGTGGTGGTGCATGCCTGTAATCCCAGCTACTTGGGAGGCTGAGGGCAGGAGAATGGCTTGAACCTGGGAGGTGGAGATTTGCAGTGAGTCAAGACCATGCCATTGCACTCCAGCCTGGGCAACAAAGTGAGACTCTGCTTAAAAAAAAAAAAAAGGCAGATGTAAAAAAAGTAAAATTGTGATTTCAGGAAGCCCCTATCTTTTCTTTCAAGGCCCTTATCTCACCCTATAATTAAGCATATTTATGTATTTTTATTTATTTAGTTTTGAGACATGATCTTGCTTTGTCACCCAGGCTGGAGTGCAGTGGCATGATCATGGTTCACTGCAGCCTTAGACTCCTGGGCTCAAGTGATCCTTCCACCTCAGCCTCCTGAGTGGCTGGGACCACAGGCAGGCACCACCACACCTGGCTGACTTTCGTATTTTTTTTTGGAGAGATGGGGTCTTGCCACGTTGCCCAGGCTGGTCTTGAACTCCTGGGTTCAAGCAATCCTCCCACCTTGGCCTCCCAAAGTGCTGGGATTACAGGGGTGAGTCACCACACCTGGCAATTAAGCAATTTTTTTTTGAGACAAAGTCTCGCTCTGTTGCCCAGGCTGGAGTGCAGTGGTGTTATCTTGGCTCACTGAAACCTCTACCTCCCGAGTTCAAGCGATTCTTCTACCTCAGCCTCCTGAGTAGCTGGGATTACAGGTGCATGCCATCACGCCTAGCTAATTTTTTGTATTTTTGTTAGAAACGGGATTTTGCCATGTTGGCCAGGCTGGTCTTGAACTCCTGACCTCAGGTGATCCACCTGCCTTGGCCTCCCGAAGTGCTGGGATTACAGGCGTGAGCTACCGTGCCCGGCATAATTAAGCATTTTCAAAGCATAATTTTTCCATGAGCGCCTGTCTTGCCGGCTCTGCTGTATGGGTCCTGTTTTACTGAACTTTGGTTTTCTTGGTCCAGCCCAGTCCCTGGGCAGGGTGGGGAAAGCAGTTTGCCTCACATTGTCTGCAGAGAATTGAAAAGCAAGAATAAAAATCACCAGAAGGCAGTCTGCTTTTATCATTCACATATGCCCAGAATTCTAAAGAATGTTAGTAATAAAATACCCTGAAAAAAAAAATCTTTTGGCCGGGCGTGGTAGCTCACGCCTGTAATCCCAGCACTTTGGGAGGCTGAAATGGGCAGATCACCTGAGGTCAGGAGTTCGACACCAGCCTGCCTAACATGGTGAAACCCCGTCTGTACTAAAAATACAAAAATTAGCCGGTCTTGGTCGTGGGCGCCTGTAATCCCAGCCACTTGGGAGGCTGAGGCAGGAGAATGGCGTGAACCCGGGAGGTGGAGGCTGCAGTGAGCTGAGATCATGCCACTGCACTCCAGCCTGGCCAGCTGAGCAAGACTCCGTCTGAAAAAAAAAAAATTGGTTCCAAAAAATTACTGCGGTTACAGCTGAGGTTTTTTTTTTTGTGGTTGTTTGTTTTGATAACTTTTACATTTTGAAATAGTTTAAGACTTACAAGAAGCTGCAAAAATAGCACAGAGCTCTCATGTCCCCTGCACCCAGCTTCCTCTAACAAGATCTTACATGACCACAGTCCAGTGTCAAGATCAGCACATTGCATGAGTGAGTTAGCCCTACATGGATGGGTATAAAGAAATTAATAGAGGCTGCGTGCGGTGGCTCACGCCTGTAATCCCAGCACTTTGGGAGGCCAAGGCAGGGGGATCTCCTGAGGTCAGGAGTTTGAGACCAGCCTGGTCAACATGGCAAAACCCGTCTCTACTAAAAATACAAAAATTAGCCGGGCGTGGTGGCACGCGCCTGTAATCCCAGCTACTGGGGAGTCTGAGGCAGGATAATTGCTTGAACATGGGAGGCGGAGGTTACAGCGAGCAAAGATTGAACCACTGCACTCCAGCCTGCAAGATGGAGTGAGATTCTGTCTCAAAAAAAAAAAAAAAAGAAGAAAGAAATAGAAATAAAAGGAAACTCATGCTAAAAAAAAAGATCAGGACATTGATGCTGATAGAATATGACTGATTCTCTCCAGTACAGAATTTACTTGGATTTCTCTAGTTACTATTTATTTTCATAATTTACGTATTTATTTATTTGAGGTTTCATAATGTACATGTAAACTTCAACTTAGCGCATTTTCATCATTTATTCTTGGTGAACTTTGTGTTCTCCATGGAAATTAATTCAGAGAAATTCCCATGTACAGAGGCAGTCCACATAAGCGGATTTAATTATCCACTTTCTTTTTCTTAAATTTATTTTTAGTTATTGTGGAACCATAATAGGTGTACATATTTATGGAGTATATGTGATATTTTGATAAAAACATACAATGTGTCCTGATAAAATCAGGGTAATTGTGACGTCCATTACCCCAAACATTTATTTGTGTTAGGAACGTTTCAATTACAATTGTTTAATTATTTCAAAATATATAATAAGCTTTTTTTTTCTTAGATGGAATCTTGCTCTGTTGCCCAGGCTGGAGTGCAGTGGAGTGATCTCAGCTCACTGCAACCTCCGCCTCCCAGGTTCAAGCGATTCTCCTGCCTCAGCCTCCTGAGTAGCTGGGATTACAGGTGCCCACCACTAGGCCCAGCTAATTTTTGCATTTTTAGTAGAGACGGGGCTTCACCATGTTGGCCAGGCTAGTCTCAAACTCCTGACCTCAAGTGATCCACTCGCTTCAGCCTCCCAAAGTGCTGGGATTACCGGCGTGAGCCACTGCGCCCGACCTTCAATAAGTTATTGTTAACCATGGGTGCCCTATTGTGCTACGGAACACTAGGTATTATTTCTTCTATCTAACTTTTTTCTTTCTTTAGAGACAGGGTCTCGCTCTGTTGCTCAGGCTGGAGTGCAGTGGGGAGATCACAGCTCATTCCAGCTTTAAATTCCTGGACTCATGCGATCCTCCTACCTCAGTCTCCTGAGTAGCTGGGACCACAGGTATGTGCCACCATGCCTGGCTAATTTTTAAACTTTTAATAGAGATGGGGATCTCACGATGTTTTCCAGGCTGGTCTTGAACTCCTGGCCTCAAGTGATCCTCCCTCTGCGGCCTCCCAAAGTGCTGGGATCACAGGTGTGAACCACTGTGCCCGGCCTCTAACTATATTTTGGACCCATTAAACATTCCTTCTCCCTCTTCCTCCTCACTACCCTTCCTGGCCTCTGGTAGCCATCCTTCAACTATCTACTTTCATTTGGAGAAACAATGGTTTGGAATGGCTTGAGTGTCTCTAAACCTCATGATAGTATAATACATCTACGTCTTCCTGGATTTAGACTAGAAAGAAATAATAAAAGATGATTTAAAGATGAAAACACAGAACTTGAATGACTTCAATTCTGTACTTTGCTGTGACCACTGGGAGATTTTTTTTTTTTTTTTTGAAACGGAGTCTTGCTCTGTCGCCGAGGCTGGAGTGCGGTGGCGCGATCTCGGCTCACTGCCAGCTCCGCTTCCCAGGTTCACGCCATTCTCCTGCCTCAGGCTCCAGAGTAGCTGGGACTACAGGCGCCCGCCACCACACCCGGCTAATTTTTTTGTACTTTTAGTAGAGACGGGGTTTCACCGTGTTAGCCAGGATGGTCTCGATCTCCTGACCTAGTGATCCACTCGCCTCGGCCTCCCAAAGTGCTGGGATTACAGGCTTGAGCCACCGCTCCTGGCTGGGAGATTTTATTTGTATTGAAACCAGCGGAGCATTGCAAACCGTTAGGTGTAGATGTTTGCAAGTGTAAATTTTAGTTCATACATGAACTCTAGTGCCGAATTCGAATGATATCTTTAAAATGGCAACTTACGCTTTAAAATTTGTTCATTGTTTTCACGCTAAAGAATGAGGCAAGAAAATAAAATGTTACATCATTTTACATCAGTCTTTACACCATTGATTTAGTGACTTGCTGGAATTGCGCTGCTTGCAGATATTTCGGTTTTATTAAAGTTCCCTTAGTTATTGGACAATTATTTACATAAAATACGATTATATCAGACATTAACCAAATTTTCAGTGTCTGCATTTCTTTCTTTCTTTTTTTCCTTTCTTTCTTTTCTTTCTTTCTTTCCCTCCCTCCTTCTCTCTCTCTCTTCTTTCTCACTTTCTCTTTCTTTCTTTCCTTTTCTTTCTTTTCTTACTTTCTTCCCCCTCCTTCCTTCCTTTCTTTCCCTCCCTCCTTCTCTCTCTCTCTTCTCTCTCTCTTTCTCTCTTTCTCTCTCTTTCTTTCCCTTCCTTCCCTCCTTCCTTCCTTCCTTCCTTCCTTCCTTCCTTCCTTCCTTCCTTTCTTTCTTTCTTTCTTTCTTTCTTTCTCTCTCTCTCTCTCTCTCTCTCTCTCTCTCTCTCTCTCTCTCTTTCTTTCTTTTCTCTTTCTCAGAGTTTTGCTCTTGTTGCCCAGGCTGGAGCGCAATGGTGCGATCTTGGCTCACTGCAACCTTCGCCTCCCAATTTAAGTGATTCTCCTGCCTCAGCCTCCCAAGTAGCTGGGATTATAGGCACGCACCACCACACCCAGCTAATTTTTGCATCTTTAGTAGAGACAGGGATTCGCCATGTTGGCCAGTCTGGCCTCGAACTCCTGATCTCAGTTGATCTGCCCACCTTGGCCTCCCAAATTGCTGAGATTACAGGCATGAGCTACTGCGCCTGGCCTGCATTTATTTCATGGTTATTGTTTTATTTCATGATTATTGCTGAAGATGAGTCTATTTTATAGAGAGGAGAAATTGAAAAATGATCCCAGCTGGTGTCAAATACACCAGGAACGCTGCTCGAAATAAATGTTCAACTGCACGCATGTTTTTTCCAGCACAATTCACAATTGCAAAGATATGGAACCAACCGGTGTGGCCATCAATCAATGAGTGGATAAAGAAAACGTGGTATATATACATCATGGAATATTATTCAGCCATGAAAAGAATGAAATAATGTGTTTCGCAGCAATTTGGATGGAGCTAGGGCCATTATTCTAAGTGAAGTAATTCTGGAATGGAAAACCAAATACCGTGTGTTCTCACTTATAAGTGGGAGCTAAGCTATGAGGATGCAAACGCATAGAATGGCATCATGGATTTCAGGCCCTTGGGGTGGGAAAGGTTGGGAGGCGGATGAGGGATAAAAGGCTACATGTTGGGTACAGTGTACATTTTCAGGTGACGGGTGCTCTAAAATCTCAGACTTCACCGCTAAACAATTCATCCATGTAATCAACACCAGGCCAGGCGTGGTGGCTTACACTTGTAATCCCAGCATTTTGGGAGGCCAAGGCAGGTGGATCACCTGAGGTCAGGAGTTTGAGAACCAGCCTGGCCAGCATGGTGAAACCCTGTCTGTACTAAAAACACAAAAAAATTAGCTGAGCATGGTGGCAGGTGCCTGTAGTCCCAGCTAATCCGGAGGCTGAGGCAGGAGAATCACTTGAACCTAGGTGGTGGAGGTTGCAGTGAGCTGAGGTCGTCTCATTGCACTCCAGCCTGGGCAACAAGAGTGAAATTCTGTCTCAAAACAAACAAACAAAAACAAACAAACAAACAAACCAAAAAACCAAAAACCAAAAACAAAAACCACTTTTACCCCAAAAGCTACTGAAAAAAAAAAAAATTATGGCTGGCAGTGGTGGCTTATGCCTGTAATCCCAGCACTTTGGGAAGCCAAGGCGGGAGGATTGTTTGAGCCCAGGAGTTCGAGACCAGCCTGGGCAACATGGCGAGGTCCCATCTCTACAAACCAGAAAATTAGCCAGGCACGGTGGCACACATCTGTAATCCCAGCTACTAGGGAGGCTGAGGTGGGAAGATCACTTGAGCCCAGGAGGTCGAGGCTGCAGTGAGCTGTGTTGGCGCCACTGAACTCCAGCCTGGGTGACAGAGAAAGCGAGCCTTGCCTCAAAAAATATTTATTAAAAAATAGAATAAAAAAGAAAAATTAAAAGAAAAAGAAAAAGAAATAAATATCTGTTGAATCAACCAATGAAGGAGGGTGCAGTTCCATACAGCGCCCACCAGGTGCCGCTGCTCCCAAGCCTAGGCCGGCTCAGCGACTCTGCAGGGTGAATCTCAACCCCAGCCCCGCCTCGGGGTCGCACCTCAGGACGTCTCCTTTTCCAATCTGCAGCGTGGCTCGGCCTCCTCCCTCATCGCAAGGCTCCCACTCTGCCCCTGGAGTCCAGTCAACCCCGCAGCCACTTGCAGAAATTTTCCTATAAGCAGTTCTGACCACATTCCTCCACTTCCTGTTGGGTTCCTGGGACAGGTTCCTGCCGACTCTTACCTCTGGGCCTTTGCTGCTCCTTCTGCCTGGGATGCCCTTTCATTAGAAAACTCATATAGTACTTAGCTCCACTTCTTCCTGGGGGCATACCACTTAATTGCTCCATGCCTCAGTTTCCCCTGATGCAGAGGCTGGACAGAGAGGCTTTGTCCAAGAAAAGTTCAGGGCCAGGAATTAGACAATCTGAAAGGCAATGGGGAGCCATAGAGGGTGTTTGAGCAGGAGAGTGTCCTCAGATGTAAGGAAGGACAGAGCCTCCTTCCCTTTGCCCCTGGATCTTTCTAGAAGGGCCTTACGGGGTTGGAATGGGAGACTTTAGCTGTGGCCAGCTCAGACTCCACTTACTGGGCTCCCAGGGGCTGGACAAGCAGGTCTTCCTCCCCCTGTACCCTCCTGGTGGGGCTGTTTACTCTCCAGTGATGTCCCTGAGTCTGGGCCATCCCACAGCACCTGCTCCCTGGGCAGACACCAGGTGCGGGGACACCCCTGGAGGGAAAGCCACAAGCTTCAGGCTGGGGGCCCGGGTGTCACCTTTACGGAAGCGCCGGTGACTACCTCCACCGCGGGAGGTTCCACAAGGCTGATGAGGCTCACGTGGGACTCACCGGGGAGACAGCGTCCAGAGCAGGTGAGGACGGCATGCTGGGCTGGCCCGTTCAGGGGGCTGGAGGACATTCAGGGACCCCACACCCAGCTGCTGCCCCCTGCCTGTCTCAGGCCCTCTCTCTGACTCTGTCTCCCCATCTCTGTCCCCTCCACCCTCTCAACTCTGTCCTTTCTCTCTGGCGCTGTCTCTCTCTGGGTCTTGTTCACTGTCTTGGAGCTCTCCATGCTGTGTCTCTTTCTCTCTCTGTGTCTCCCCATGTCTCTCTCGCTGTCTCTGGCCCTCTCTCTCCCTGGGTCTCTGGTTCAGGGGGGGTCTCTGTCTCCGTTTGAGTCTCTGTCTCTCTCTGTGTCTCTGCCTGTCCCTGTCTCTGCTGCCCCATCCAAGCCCTGCTCTCAGGGTGGGGAGAACAGGTTCTACCCTCTCCGAGGTTCTCTTCCTCATTGGCTTACTCTGACCCGGTCCCTAAGGGGGACCACCAGGCACTGCCCAGGAAGGAGGAGGGAGCACCAGGCTGCAGAACCCCATGCTGCCTCCATCTGAGAAGGCCCTCCATAGCCACGTTCTCCCTACAGCCCACCTTGTGCACAAAGCCAGTGTTCTCCCTGCAGCCCACCTTCTCCCAGAAACCCTCCTGCCTTCTCCACGCAGCCCATCTTCTCTCTGAAGCCCACCTTCTCCCCACAGCCCACCTCCTCCCGCAGCGCACCTCCTCCCTGAAGCCCCCTTCTTCCTGAAGCCCACCTCTTCCCTGAAGCCCACCTTCTCCCTGAAGCCCACCTTCTCCCGCAGCCCACCTTCTCTCTGAAACCCACCTCTTTCCGCAGCCCACCTTCTCCTCGAAGCCCACCTTCTCTCTGAAGCCCACCTTCTCCCGCAGCCCACCTTCTCCCGCAGCCCACCTTCTCCTGCAGCCCACCTTCTCTCTGAAGCTCCCCTTCTCCCCGCTTGTTTTCCCACCTGGCTCCAACCTCCTGTCCTGCCTTTTTACTTCTACGGGTGCAGCCCCCGTACCTGGCCCTGCTCCCCACACAGCACAGCTGCCGCCGCCCAATGTTTCCCTGCTGCGCCCAGGCCTGTGCTAGGTGAATGGAAGAGCATGGCCTCCTTGCACTTCTGCAAAGCAGCTAATCCTGGGCCCCTATGGGTGGCAACACCTGTGTGTGTGTAGCAGGGAACTGAAGGGGGGTCTGGAGGTCTCCAAAGATGATGCCTCATGCACCAGGGAGGGTCTGGCTGTTGTGTGGCTGTAGGGGTCCTTATTCTTGGGACCTGCTCCAGGGGAGGTGGGGGAGTCCAGCTTGGCTCTGTAAATCTGGTGGTTAGGTGGGTCCAGTCACCGTGCTGAAGGTCTTTGTCCTGGGGGTTGTCTGTGGTTGGCGTTTGACTATTGAGGGGATCCAGTTGTTGTAAGGATTTGGGGTGCAGTATTCTGGGGGCTCTGCTGTTGAAAGGAGTCTTGTTCCTGTGCCTGTCTGGGGTGGTTTTGTGGAGGGGGGCGGTTTTCGCTCCGGTGGGAGGTCCAAATCTGTGGAGATTGGCGATTGCTTTTTTTTTTTGAGACGGAGTCTCACTCTGTCACCAGGCTGGAGTACAGTGGTATGATCTCGGCTCGGCTCAGCCTCCTGAGTAGCTGGGGTTACAGGCACGCGCCACCACACCCAGCTAATTTTTTTTTTGTAGAGAGGGGGGTTTCATCATGTTGGCCAGGATGGTCTCGATCTCCTGACCTCGTGATCCACCCGTCTCGGCCTCCCAAAGTGCTGGGATTACAGGCGTCAGCCACCGCGCCTGGCCTGGCGATTGCTTTTGTCTGCAGGGGGTCGTTGGGGACTCTGGCTGCTGCAGGGTCCTGTTGCTTTAAGATTGATGGTTGCGGGGACGTGACTGCTGTGAGTGACAGTTGCTAAGGGGTTGGGAGTATTTGTTGCAGGCAAGTTAGGGACACAGACCTCCAGCTGTTGTCTGCTGGAGTCTGATCGCTGTGTGTGGGATTGTAGTTAGTGGGTGAGTGACAGTCCTCTCTCACTGTAAATCTCTCTCCGTCTCTACCTCTTTCTCTGTCCCTCCACACCGTGCTTTCATTCAAAGATTTGTTGAGGAATCATTGGAATAATTACGGTGAGGCCAGTGTCTGACTGCAGCAGGTTTCTGGGGGGCTCTCAGCCCTGCTCAGACGGGGAGAGGAGGCAGGACACCCCTCATTTTCCCCACCACCTGTGATCAGCCCTGGGGGTGGGAATCACTGGCTCACATGGGCCAAAAGAGCTAGATGTTTGGGTCTCAGAGACCACACCCCATTCTGACCTTGTTCTCAAACTTCAAGGCTGAGGCTGAGGGGCTTGGTGGGTTTGGCAGGACTGGCGGTCTTGGGTGGGTGCAGGGACTCTCCCTGGCGAGGGGGGAACAGAGAGGGTTACAGGCATTGGGAGAGAGGACCAGCCATGCAGATATCTGGCAGGAGCATTCCAGGCAGAGGGCACAGCCAGCATGTGCAAAGGCCCTGAGGCAGGACAGTGCCTGGTGTGTTGAGGGAAGAGCAAGGAGGCCTGCGTGCCTGAAACAGAATGATCAAGAGGTAGCAGGATGATTTGGTGTTACAACCACCACTTCCGAGCCGGGAGCTCCTGGGCCCAAGCCTCTTTGGGGTGCACATCTTCCTAACAGGCTCAGCTGCGGGCACTTCCCCTACAGCTGGGGTTCTCCACCATGCCCTATTGATATTTGGGGCCAGGCAGTCTTTTGTCTTGGGGGGCTGCGTTGTGCATTGTAGGATATTCAGCAGCGTAAATATTTAGAGACCAGTAGGGGCACCTGGTCTCTACCCACCAGGGGCCAGTAGCACTTCCCAAGTGAGGATAACAAAAAACATTGACAACTTTCCCCTGGGTTTAGAACCATTGTCCTAAAGTTGGAAGTGGGGCCGAGAGTGGGAGGCTGCCTGGGGGGACTGGGGTGGGAGCTGCACAGGACAAGTGAGGATTTCTGGTGTGACCTTAAGTGAACAAGCTTCATTCTCCTCACCTATCAAATCAGAGTCTGGGGTGATGAGAGGATTCTATTCATTCATTCATTCATTCATTCATTCATTCAACAAGTATTTATTAAGCATCTACTATATGCCAGCCCCCACAGTGAGGATATACCACGAGGAAGAAAGACAGGCAGTGGCGTCATGAAAGAAAGAGAGACGTTAGTTGCTGGGCGCAGTGGCTCATGCCTGTATTTCCAGCTGTTCAGGAGGCTGAGGTGGGAGGATCGTTTGAGCCCAGGAGGTCGAGGCTGCAGTGAGGTATGATTGCACCACTGCACTCCAGCCTGGGTGACAGAGCAAGACCCTCTCTCTAAAAAAATTTAAAGGCTGGTTGCCGTGGCTCATGCCTGTAATCCCAGAACTTTGGGAGGCCAAGCTGGGTGGATCACCTGAGGTCAGGATTTCGAGACCGGCCTGGCCAACATGGTAAAACCCTGTCTCTACTAAAAATACAAAAAATTAGCCAGGTGTAGTGGTGTGTGCCTGTGATCCCAGCTACTCGGGAGGCTGAGGCAGGAGAATCACTTGCACCTGAGAAGGCGGAGATGGCAGTGAGCCGAGATCACACCAGGGCACTCCAGCCTGGGTGACAGAGGGAGACTCCATCTCAAAAAAAAAAAATTTTTTTTTAAAAAGAAAGAGACATTAATGAAATAATTACACAGATACCTGTAAAATCGCAACAATACTAAACGCTGAGAAGCAGAAGCACCTGACTTAGTCTGGTAGGTCGGAGAGGGCTTCCCAGAGAATATGTGATCAGAGGAGGGGGATAGAGGAATTAGGGGAGAGGAGGAAGAGCGTTGCAGGCACTGGAGCTGCAGGTGCCGAGGCCCTGCGGTGACTCCGAATGGTGGGAAGGCCAGTGTGGCTGGAGTAGGGTCAGGATACGCTCCATCTGGATCTCCCAGGCCCTGTGAGTGGGGGAAGAGAGTGCAGTCTTGATCCGTTAAAGGTTTTAAGCAGGAAAGTAGCATAATCTGATATGCATGGTAAAAAGATCCCTCCAGCAGATAGTGTCTGTGAAGTGCTTAGCATAGGCAGTGTAAGGGACTCAGAAATGAGTTGGATGATGCCAACGGGTATTTTGGGGACCCAGAGGTGTCACAGGCTCCAATTCGTGCCCTCTGAGTCCCCACGGATGAAGCTCTGGCCTGTTTCCAGGAGCCCATGGTATATTCTAGGCTTGGGGTGAGGGGGTGGAAAAGAAGAATTTCCCTGTTTTGAGCATAGTTTCGGAGATGGGGGAAGGACGGCCACCTCTAGGGTGGTGGGGGGAGGGCTCCAAGGGCCGGAAGACACTTCTTTCAGTGAACTCCTGGGCCCGTTTCACAGAAGGGAGACTGAGGCCCTGGGGCCTCATGAGCACCCAGTCCTGAGCTACAACACCGGCCACTGCCCTGTGGGAGGTCCCAGAGGAGCTGTGTCTTGGCATCAAAGGCGCTTTTGGGACCTGCTCACAGTTCAGGCCACATCTCAGGCTTGGCAGGGTAGGCCCTGGGCTCCGGCTGCCCAGGCACCAAACCCACCTGTGACTAGCTGTGTGACCCTAGGCAAGTCGGTGCATCTCTCTGGGCCTCCGGGGGAAAAAGAGATGTGGAGTCTCCCAAGGGTGTTGTGAGAATTAAACAACATTGTTTACATTCCTTCATTCAACAAACAGTTATTAAGCACCTACTGTGTGTCAGGTGCTGTTTTGGGCACTGTAGACACAGAGGGGGAATGGTCCCTGTTCTCGGGGGCTGGTGTTCTAGCGGCAGAGACATACACCAAGCAAATACGACCATCGGTAATGATAAAGTAAGGAAGTTCATCCACGTTGTCTCAAATGGCAGGATTTTCCTTGCTTTTCAAGGCTAAGTAGTATTGAATTGTGTATACATATCACATTTCCTTCCTTCCTTCTTTCCTTCTCTCCTTCCTTCCTTCCTCCCCTCCCTCCCTCCTTCCTTCCTTCCTTCCCTCCTTCCTTCTCTCCTTCCCTCTTCCCTCCCTCCCTTACTTTTTTTTTTTTTTAAGATGGAGTTTTGCTCTTGTTGCCCAGGTTGGAGTTCGATGGTGCAGTCTCGGCTCACTGCAAGCTCCACCTCCCAGGTTCAAGCGATTCTCCTGCCTCAGCCTCCTGAGTAGCTGGGATTACAGGTGCCCACCACCATGCCTGGTTAATTTTTTTGTATTTTTAGTAGAGACAGGGTTTCATCATGTTGGCCAGGCTGGTCTTAAACTCCTGACCTCAGGGTACCTGCCCGCCTCAGCCTCCCAAAGTGCTGGGATTACAGGTGTGAGCCACCATACCTGCCCTCCTTCCTTCCTCCCTCCCTCCCTCCTTTCTTGCTTTCTTTCCCTCCCTTTTCCTTCCTTCCTTTCCCTTCCCTTTCTTTCCTCCCTCCCTCTCCCTCCCTTCCGTCCCCCTCCCTCCCTTCCTTCCCCCTCCCTCCCTTCCTTCCCCCTCCCTCCCTTCCTCCTTCCTTCCTTCCTTCCTTCCCTCCCTTCCTTCTTCCTTTTTCCCTTCCCTTTTCTCTCTCTCTCTCTTTTTTTCTTTCCTCCTTTCTTTTTCTCTGTCACCCAGGCTGCAGTGCAGTGATGCAATCATAGCTCACTGCAGCCTCGACCTCCTGGGTTCAAGCAATCCTCCCACCTCAGCCTCCCAAGTAGTTGGAACTACAGGCATGCACCACCACGCCTGGCTAGTTTTTTGTATTTTTTGTAGAGATGGGTTTCGCCCAGGCTTATACCATATTTTCTTTATCACTTCATCCATCCGTGGTCACTTAAATTGCTTCCATATCTGTGCTATTGTGAATAGTGCCTGGAGTGCCAGTACCTCTTCATACTGATTTCAATAAGTGTATGAGCTGATGGGTTTGTTAACGAGCCTGGTTTAATCATTCCACACAGTACACATACATCAAAGCCTCACATCATACTCCACAAATATCTGCAATTATTATTTGTCAATTAAAAATAAGAAACCAGGGCACAGTGGCTCATGCCTGTAATCCCAACACTTTGGGAGTCCGAGGAGGGTGGATCATTTGAGGTCAGGAGTTCGAGACCAGCCTGGCCAACATCGTGAAACCTTGTTTCTACTAAAAATACAAAAATTAGCCAGGCATGGTGGCGTGCGTCTGTAATCCCAGCTACCCGGGAGGCTGAGGCAGGAGAATCGCTTGAACCCAGAGGTTGCAGCAAGCAGAGATCGCGCCACTGTAATCCAGCCTGGGCGACAGAGTGAGATTCTGTCTCAAAACACAAACAAACAAAAGATACAGTAAAATAGGCCAGGCGAGGTGGTTCACACCTGTAATCCCAGTGCTTTGGGAAACTGAGGAAGGAGGGTCCACTGAGGCTAGGAATTGGAGAGCAGCCTGGGCAACGTAGCAAGACCCAGTCTCTACAAAATAAAAATAAAAAAAACTGGCCAGGTGTGGTGGCACATGCCTGTAGTCCCGGCTACTTGGAAGGCTGAGACAGGAGGATTGCTTGAACACAGGAGGGTGAGGCTGCAGTGAGCCATGATTGCACCACAACACTCAGGCCTGGGTGACAGAGCAAGACTCTGTCTTAAAAAAAAAAAAAAAGGTGAAAAAGTAAAGGAGGGGAGCAAAAGTGTCTGGAATAAGCAGAATAAGGAGAGAAAGTGAGTGTGTAAGTGTGTAAGTATGTGAGTGTGTGTGAATGTGTGGGTGGCTGTTTAGGCTGGGGGTCAGGGGAGGCTTGCTGAGGAGGTGACATTGGAGGAGAAAGACCTAAAGGAGGTGAGGGAGGAGCGATGTGAGTGTCTGGGGAACAGCATTCCTGGCAGAGGGAACAGCCTGTGCAAAGACCCTGAGGCAGGACTGCATTGGGGTGTTGGAGGAACACGGAGGAGGCCCATGCGGCTGGAGTGGAGTGAGTGAGTGAGTGTGGGAGGGGATGTTGCAGTTGTCCAGTTACGTGAGGAGAAGAGTCCAAGAGAGGTGGCAGGTGGAAGGATCTTAGATGAAGTTTTCCTTTTCTTCCTTTTTTTTTTTTTTTGAGATGGAGTCTTTCTCTGTTGCCAGTCTGGTGTGCAGTGACACGATCTTGGCTCACTGCAACCTCCGCCTCCTGGGTTCAAGCAGTTATCCTGCCTCAGCCTCCTGAGTAGCTGGGATTACAGGCACCCGCCACCATGCCCAGCTAATTTTTGCATTTTTAGTAGACATGGGGTTTCACTGTGTTGGCCAGGTTGGTCTTCAACTCCTGACCTCTTGATCCGTCTGCCTCCCAAAATGCTGGGATTACATGCATGAGCCACCGTGCCTGGCCTAAATTTTTCTTTTTCTTTTTCCTTTTTTTTTTTTAAGAGACAGCGTCTCACTTTGTTGCCAGGGCTGGTGTGCAGTGGTGAGATTATAGCAGACTGCAACCTTGACCTCCTGGGCTCAAGCGATCCTCACGCCTCAGCCTCCTAAGTAGCTGGGACTACAGGCATGTGTCACCATGCCTGGGTTTTGTTTTGTTTTGTTTTTTGCTTTTTTAAGAGATGGGGTCTTGCTATGTTGCTCAGGCTGGTTTTGAACTCCTGGCCCTAAGTGATCCTCTAGTCTTGGCCTCCCAAGGTGCTGGGATTACAGGCATGATCCACTGTGCCTGGCCTCTATGGCAATTTTTGAAGGTGAAGCCAGTAGTTTCCTGAGTTGGGCTCAGATTTGGGGGTGAGAGAAAAAGAGGAGCAGAGGACAAAAGTAGGGGTTTTGGCCTGAGCACTTGCAGGGCTGGTGGCAGTGGGGGATGGAACTGCCATGAACTGAGGTGGGGAAGGTGGAGGGGGAGCTGGTGGTGGGGAGGGGTGGAACTGCCATGAACTGAGATGGGGAAGGTGGAGGGGACGCTGGTGGTGGGGAGGGGTGGAACTGCCATGAACTGAGATGGGGAAGGTGGAGGGGGCGCTGGTGGTGAGGCACATCACTTGCTGGGTTTTGGCCACGTTGAGTATTTGATGCTCGCGGGCGTTGGGAGGTAAATGTCCCACGAATGCTGAGTTTGGGGTGAAGCCAGCTGGGAGTCACAATCTCCTGGGCTCAGCGTAGAATTAACAAGGTGTGGTGTGTGTGTGTGTTTGTGTGTGTGTGTGTGTGTGTGTGTGTGTGTGTGTGTGTGTGTGTGTGTATGTATGTGTGTTTGTTGTGGGGGGGACTTGGTGGCCTGAGTGGGGTCCAGCCACCTGCTCTGGGGGATGTAGGGACTCAGGTGCCTCGAAGAGAGACCCTCCTGGCTGGCGTTTTAGTGGGAGCTGGGGCTTGGCCTTGGATGGACACGAGGTGCCTCTGAGCTTCCTTCCTTTGAGGCTGTGTGGTGACTGAGGCCAGTGCCCTGCAGAGAGGGAAAGGCAGAACCTGAGGGGCCCGTTGGGCCAGAGACTGTGGGCTCCAAGACCGAGATGAATTTTGCTGGGAGTGAGTTTAAGGAAGTGAATTTCCACTGCACGGCATCCATGCATAACAGCCCTGACGTCACATCAGACCCCGTGAGCCCTGGTGAGCCTCCCTTGGAGCTCGGGTGTCCAAGAACTGAGTATCTGTTATGTTGGTGAACAATGTATGTACCGGGTTACCTGTTCAGCCTTTGCTGCAAACCTGTGCCCATTTCACAGTTCAAAGAACTGAGGCTCAGGAAAGAGGAGTCACTTGTCCAAGTGTGTCTTTGGCAGAGCAGGGACTGGGTCCTTGGCCTCACCGGCTCTGGACACCCCTGCCCACCCCCCACTTCCTGCCCATCAGCCTGTTCCTGGCACTCGGGACCCCAGATGGGCTTGTGGGCTGGGCACGGGAGATACCAACGGCTTCCGGTCTCTTCCCCTGAGGCTCAGGAGGTGCCGGGGGAGGGGGAGGGCGGGCCACGGCTCCCAGGGTGCCTTGCATTTTCCCCTTGAAGACTGAGTTCCCACAGAAGCGTCTCGGTTTTAGAGATCGGTTTCGCTGGGGGCTTTTATGAGGCAGGGGCTCCATCAGATTGAGAGTGCAGGGCCCCGAGGTTCCATTGGGTTCCCTGAACCCCGTGGAAATGTGGCCCTTCCGAGAAACCTGGGCTGGGCTGCCCAGGGCCGTGGGAATAGCCTCTATGGGTCCCTGGTTCTCCTTGGGCAGACTTTTGAGTCAGAGGAAAGCCAGCTTGGGGAGGAAAGCAATTTCCTCATCTCAGGCCCCCCAAGTCTGGGCAGGAGGGGTGGAGAAGGCAGAGAGCTGGACCTAGAGAAGTAGTCTCCAACTCCCTGCTTGCACACCCCCTGTGACGGGCAGCTCATTACCTATCAAGGCAACCTTGCTTGGTTAGTGAGCTGGAATTCTTACAAAATCCTTTCAGATGCTGGTTCAAAACTGCACCTTCATCCCTCTCTCTGTGGTCCTTACCTAGCTTTCTGGACCACACGGAGCACACCCCCTTCTCCAAATATCTCACACTCTTATATTTATTCGACTGTCTATTCAGGAGATGTGTGGACACAGGGGCAGACCCAGAGAGATTGCTGCAGCAATGGTGGAATCCCACTGGGTCCTGGGAACCTAGAAGGCGCTTCTGGCCTATCTGAGAGGAATCAATTTGGTGGGCTTCCTGTAGGAGGTAGCATCTAAGCTGTGTCTTAAAGGACAAATATGATTTGGCTTAGGGAAGAGGTGAGGGAAGAATGCTTCAGGCAGAAGAAACATTATGTGGAGGTGAGGGACCATTCTTTCATGAAGTAAAAAATGGTCTACGTGGCTGGAGTGGTGTGTTTGAGGAGGGCTAAGGGGGTACTAAGGCCAGAAAAGGGATAGAGAAAAGCCTGGAGCAGTGACCCAGGTAGCAGAAAAACAATACCCTCATTCTTCAAACAGGGTATGAGTCCAAATTTGTTTTGTATTTCTTAAACATTTTTTTAAGAGAGATGGGGTCTTGCTATGTTGCCCAGGCTGGTCTCCAGCTCCTGGCTTCAAGTGATCCTCTCACCTCAGCCTCCCAAAGTGCTGGAATTACAGGCATGAGCCTTCATGCCTGACTCATTTCACATTTCTCAATTGCTTTGCCAGGAAGCAAGGTATACCTTCTAGGTACACAAGTGCCCATCTTACTGCATCCTTGCTAGCATTAGGTTTTATTGTTTTTAAGAAATCTTTGCCAATTTCGGCAGGAAAAATTGGTATCTCATGTAAATGAAAACAAATGAGTATTTCCCTTGTAAGCGACATGCCTAAACAATTTCTCCAGACATGCATTGGCCTGGCAAATGCTACCTTTTGCCTGAGTGTTAAGAAATCTTACACTCGCTGGAGAGTTTGCAGTCATTTTTAGCTCCTCTCTTAGAGCAAAAGAAAAGCTTGTGGGCTACCCTCTGGCCACATGGGTGGAGGAATTTGTGAGGCAGCCTCCTCCCTTCTCCTTTGATTCATCTTTCTTTTTCTCACCTTTTTTTTTTTGTCCTTTTAAACTTCTCTGTACTCTGTTGGCCTCTGAGTCTTCTGGTAACTGTAGCTTCATCTTCATCTGGGGTGTCTTTGGGCTCAAAAAAGAGGGTTGGCAAACCACAGGAAGACTCCCCAAGTCTTCATAGGAGACTATGCTGATATGCTGAGTATCTTCTTCTTCTTCTTATTTTTGAGACAGGGTGTCACTCCTATCATCCAGGTGGGAGTGCAGTGGTGCCATCACAGCTCATTGCAACCTTGACCTCCTGGGCTCAAGCAACCTCCTGCTTCATTTTTTTTTTTGATTTTTTTGTAGAGACAAGGTCTCACTATGTTGCCCAGGCTGGTCTTGAACTCCTAGGCTCAAGCGATCCACCTGTCTCAGCCTCCCAAAGTGTGAGATGACAGGTGTGCGCCACCGTGCCCAGCCTATGCCAGGTATCTTATATCTTATAGACACATCTTACCATTTTAGTTCTCACAACATCTGCCTATGATGATAACCTTGAACCCCTTTTATAGATGAGGAGCTGAGGCTTAGAGAGGTTAAGTCACTCAGTCAGTATCCCATGGCCAATATTGGCTATTTCTCTTAGTTTCACTCAATAAATTACTCTTATGACATTAAGATTTTATTAAATTCTAATTTAGGAGCAGAGGGTTGGCCATTTATCTTTCTCTTTCTGTCAATCTCTCTCTCCTTTTTTGAGACAGAATCTCACTCTGTTGCCCAGGCTAGAGTGCAGTGGTGTGATCACAGCTCACTACAGCCTCGACCTCCCCAGGCTCAGGTGATCCTCCCACTTCAGCTTCCCAAGTAGCTGGGACCAGAGGTGCACACCACCATGCCCGGCTAATTTTTGAAAACTTTTTTTTTTTTTTTTTTGTAGAGACAGGGTTTTGCCACATTGCCCGGGTTGGTCTCGGACTCCTAAGTTCAACTGTTCCTCCTGCCTCGGCCTCCCAAAGTGTTGGCATTACAGGTGTGAGCCACCTCGCTCGGCTGTTGGCCATCTCTCTCTACCCACTGTCCCACCCTGCCCTGTCAGGGGATGGAAGCCCCATTCCTTATTAGGGAGGGACTGTGGAGTCCAGTTCAGCACCAGCCTTACAATGCAAGGAAAGAAAAGAAAACAGGAAAGAGGGAGGGGAAACCACAAACAACCCTTAGAGAGCCACAAGTGGCTCCAGGGCTCAGTTCCTGAGTTAGACCTCGGTTTTGGGCTGCTAAATTCTAAGCTCCAAGCTCTAGTTCCATCTCTGCCACTAAAACCCCATATGACCTTGATAAATTCTTTACCAGCTTTGGGTCTCAGTTTTTCCTTCTACGAGTCAACCCATCTCTTGGATTTTCTGGGAACTACAGTCATCCCTTGATATCTGGGGGGGATTGGTTCTGGGGTCTCCCTTGGATATTAAAATCCATGGATACTCAAGTTTCTAATCTAACATGGTGTAGTATTTGCATATAACCTATGCATATCCTCCCAAATATTTATTTATTTATATTTTTATTTTTTTGAGATGGAGTCTCGCTCTGTTGCTCAGGCTGCAGTGCAGTGGTGCGATCTCGGCTCACTGCAACCTCCGCCTCTCGGGTTCAAGTGATTCTCCTGCCTCAGCCTCCCAAGTAGCTGGGATTACAGGTGTCCACCACTACCCGGCTAATTTTTGTATTTTTAGTACAGACGAGGTTTCACCATGTTGGCCAGTCTGGTCTCGAACTCCTGACCTCAAGTGATCCCCCAACCTCGGCCTCCCAAAGTACTGGGATTATAGGCGTGAGCCACAGTGCCCTGCCCTCCCATATACTTTAAATCATCTCTACATTACTTATGATAACTAATACAATATAAATGCTATGTAAATAGTTGTTATACTATATATGTATTTTTTATTTTATTTTTATTTATTTATTTATTTTTTGAGACAGAGTCTTGCTCTGTCACCCAGGCTGGAGTGCAGTGACAGTGGAGACTTACTTCAGCCTCCACCTCCCAGGCTCAAGTGATTCTCATGCTTCAGCCTCTCCAGTAGCCGGGATTACAGGCATGTGCCACCGTACCCAGCTAATTTTTGTATTTTTAGTAGAGACAGGGTTTCACCATGTTGGCTAGGCTGGTCTCCAGCTCCTGGCCTCAAGTGATCTGCCTGCCTTGGCCTCCCAAAGTGCTGAGATTATAGGCCTGAGCGACTGTGCCCGGCATATACATATATAATTTTAAATTTGCATTATTTTTATTGTTGTCTTGTTATTTTTTTCAAATACTGTATTTTCAATCTGTGGTTGGTTGAATCCATGGATATGGAACCCGAGGATACAGAGGAATGATGGTATACTTTTCATATCTGAGCTCTAACTGGTTCTTTTTATATCTACATGTTTTTCTTTCATAACCTCCTGTTCTTGTTTGACAGTTGTCATTCCTTCCTTTATCTTTCTGAGTCACCTAACATATTCATTGTACAGCTCTTTCAAGATTAAACTGATATTCTCTATTTCCTCAGATGTAATATCTTCTAGTTGGGGAGTTTGTGGGAATTTCTTGAAGTGGCCACAGATTCATTATCTTCTTTAGGTTATTTCTCCTTGGTCTGGGCCTTCTGCACGTGCATGCTTTTGACCTTATATATTAGGGGACTCTGCACTTCCATGCGTGGGAGACTTTTATCCTTGTCATTGGGCATCTCTGCTTTGGTCTCTGGTTCAAGTTAGCATTTTCCCACCATTTCTCAGTGTCTGGGAGGAATGGGGAGGTTTTGGTGTGTATTTGGTCTCGAGTGGATAGTCAATTTACCATCTGTAAACAGATACAGTTGTGTTGGGTGATGTCCGAAGGTTCTCAGAGACATTTTCAACACAGATAGTACAGAGTGTGGCCGGAGAAGTCCAGTGGGAGAGGATTCTTTTATTTTTTGAGACAGAGTCTCACTCTGTCACCCAGACTGGAGTGCAGTGGTGCAATCTCGGCTCACTGCAACCTCCATCTCCAGGCTCAAGTGATTCTCCTGCCTCAGTCTCCCGAGTAGCTGGGACTACAGGCGTGCACTACCATGCCCGGCTAATTTTTGTATTTTTTAGTAGAGACAGGGTTTCGCCATGTTGGCCAGGCTGGTCTCGAACTTCCCACTTCAGGTGATCTGCCCACCTTGGCCTCCCAAAGTGCTGGGATTACAAGCATGAACCACCAAGCCTGGCCAAGAGAGGATTCTAACAACAATAAATGAAAAATAGCTATGTGGGTTATTTATTATTATCAGGTACCAGCTCTTAACACATCTTACCTTATTTATTCCTTATACAACCAATGAGGTAGGTACTGCTATTATTCCCCTTTTGCAGATGAGACATTGGAAGCTCATAGAGGTGACCTGACTTGCCCAGGCACACTTAGCTAGGGAGGAAAATTTGAACCCAGTTAAAGCAGGTGTTCTTAATCCTGCCTATTTCATTGCATCCTGACAGCATGGATACTAATCTCAGCCTTGCCGTATTGTTAACTGTGTGGTTTCTTGACCCTTTTGTTCCTCTGTGGAAACCAACCTCTACCCTTCAGAGGTGCTATGCAAACTCAAAACTGTGTCCTCACTGAAACAAGTGGAAGTATCTGGGGACATTTAACCTGGTGCATTAGGAAGGGTTTGGGTACTGGATCCCATTGTACCTGGATTCTGGCTGTGCGACCTCAGGCAGGTCACTTGACCTCTCAGAGCTTTGCTTTCCTGATCTGTCAAATCAGGATGATAGCCGTGCTTTACTTTCCTCTCTGGGTAGTGGTGAGTGAAAAGTGAGATGTTCCATGTACCTGGCATACAGTAGGTGCTCAATACACAAGAATTGTTTTCCCTGGAGGAGAGCAGGCTGTTGTGGGAATAGGGAAATGTCAGTGTCAATTCCTCAAATCCCCAAAGGGTTCTAGGGTCCAGAGGAAGGGGAGATTCTCCACGGATGTTAAGGAAAGAATGAATTCTAGCAGGGATGGGTCCAGCAAAGGTGGCTTCTAGCTCTACTCCAGGAAAACTTTTTGGACCATGAGAGCTCACCTAATCTGACAGGTGACTTTTTTTTTTTTTTTGAGGCAGGGTCTCACTCTGATGCCCAGGCTGGAGTGCAGTGGTACATCACAGCTCACTGCAGCCTTGACTTCCTGGGATCAGATGATTCTCCCACTTCAGCCTCCTGGGTAGCTGGGACTACAGGTAGAAACCACCACACATGGCTAATTTTTGTATTTTTTGTAGAGACATGGTTTCATCATGTTGCCCAGGCTGGTCTTGAACTCCTAGGCTCAAGTGATCCACCTACCTTGGCCTCCCAAAGTGTTGGGATTATGGGTGTGAGCCATTGCACCTGGCCCCATATTTTTTAGAATAAACCATTAAACGTATGAATATTTTGGGAATGAACCAATAAATGCATGAATAGTTGAATAAATTAAAGAATGAGTGAAATGTGAGTGAGTGAATGAATGAATGAGCAGATGAAATAATACTCAAAAGGCAGGCGCCATGAGACTGGAATACAGTCTGATTGGATCCTCTCTTTCCCAAAGGGGTGGATGCCGGAGACCTTCCAGTGACTAGGAGTTCTTGCTGGGTTGGGTGACTATAGAATCCTGCAAGGCTTTTACTGTTTGTTTTCTGAGCTCAGTCAAGATTTCCAGACATGGCCAGGCGCTCTGGCTCATGCCTGTAATCCCAGCACTTTGGGAGGCTGAGGCAGGTGGATCACCTGAGGTCAGTAGTTTGAGACCAGCGTGGCCAACATGGCAAAACCCCGTCTGTACTAAAAATACAAAAATTAGTCAGGCGTGGTGGCAAGCATCTGTAATCCCAGCTACTCGGGAGGCTGAGGCAGGAGAATGGCTTGAACCTGGGAGGCGGAGGTTGCAGTGAGCTGAGATTGCACCACTGCACTCCAGCCTGGGTGACAGAGTGAGACTGTCTCAAAAAAAAAAAAAAAAAAAGATTTCCAGACATGGGAACCTCTTGAACACATGAGCAGGCCACATGGTGTGGCAGAACATTCTCTCTAGTGACTTTAGAGGGGATGAGCTCCCTGTTACAGAAGAGGACCAAACAGAGCTTTGATGTCACTGGTCAAGGCAGCTGCGGAGGCTGCTTGGCTGGGGTGGGGCTGGCCTGCGATGGGGCCATCTCTGAGAGAGACCCTTTTCCTGTTTCTTCATCCCCCTCCGGCCACTGCAAGGAGTGCTGCCTGTCTCGCCACCCTCCGTTAGCACTTCCTCTGCGACCACAGGAAGGCCCAGCCCAGCTCTTACTGTGTTTTCTTTAAATAAACTCGGGCAGCAGAACTATCTGCTGCCCCATCTCCCTCTGGGTTCCTGTGGAGGTGTAGGGGGCGGTGGTTAGGGGGGTTCAGGCCAAGCCACAGACGGGAAGGACTCAGACCACAGTGATAACAAATTTTCCTCTATCTCAGTGGTGTGGCCTGAGAGCTGACTGCTCAGAGTCACTCTGGCCTGTCCTTTCTTTATGTGACTACCAGCCCACACTCACTTCTCTTCCTTGGGCATTGCTGATTCTGGTGTGGCTCTTGGGGACCCCTGGGCTGTGTTCCTCTTCCTTTCCAGCCCAGCTGTGTTCATCTCGGAGCTTGCCTACCACTTCTGTCTTCTCTCCTAGAGCCAAGGTGGTACTTTCTAGATGCTGGCCCCAGAGCTCCGGGATGTGCCGTGGACCTCTACACAGATGTTCATCAATTCCTGGGCTCTGGTCAACATCCGTTGAAGTTGGAATGGTTGTTGGGACCCCCTCTGATGTCCCCCCAAGACAGGGCCAGGAATGTGGCAGGGGAATTCTGTGGCTAGTGGGGGACCCCAAGTGAGGGCTTGTCTGGGGTCTTGTCTGGGGCTCAGGTGAGCTGTCTGGGCAGTGGAAGACCCAGGCCCAGCCCTTTGTGGGGAGAGAGGACCCATTCAGGCTCACTGCACCTCACTGTTATGGGTTCTGCCCTTTTGAGTATTCCTTCATCTGCTCATTCATTCATTCATTTACCCACGCTTCACTCAATTTTAATTTATTCAAATATCCATGCATTTATTAGTTCATTCCAAAAAGATATTCATGCATTTGTTAGTTCATTCAAAAAATCCATGCATTTATTAGTTCATTCTAAAAAATAGTCATGCATTTATTAGTTCATTCAAAAAAATCCATGCATTTATTAGTTCATGCAAAATAATCCAGGCATTTATTAGTTTATTCAAAAAAAATCCATGCACTTATTAGTTCATTCAAAAAAAATCCATGCACTTATTTGTTCATTCAAAAAAACCACACATTTATTAGTTCATTAAAAAAATTCATGTGTTTATTAGTTCATTCCAAAAAATATTCATGCATTTATGAGTTAATTCAAAATAATCCATGCATTTGTTAGTTCATTCAAAAAATCCATGCATTTATTAGTTCATTCAAAAAAAATCCATGCACTTATTTGTTCATTCAAAATCCATACATTTATTAGTTCATTAAAAAATTCATGTGTTTATTAGTTCATTCCAAAAAATATTCATGCATTTATTAATTCAAAAAAATCCATGCATTTATTAGTTTATTCAAAAAAAATCCATGCATTTATTAGTTCATGCCAAAAATCCATGCATTTATTAGTTCATTCAAAAATATTCAGGCATTCATTCAAAAAATATTTATGCATTAAATAGTTTATTTTAAAAAATATTCATATATTTATTAGTTTATTCCAATAAATACTTTTACAGGGCCTTCCTCCTTCATTCCTGATCCTGGGGTGGAGGTGAATTGAGGAACATATGAACACTGGTTTTAGGAGTCTAAGATGCTTATACTTTCATAAGCACACCCCAGAGGCTTTTAAGCAAAGGATAAATGGAATTTCAAAAAGCTACCTCTGGGCTCATGGTGGGTTTGTGGGGGACAAGGGTGGAGGCTGGTGGGGGCCCAGGTGGGATAGAAAATGCTTGGGCGGGGACCAGGGCTGTGGGGACTGGAGAGAGGGGTGGATGCAACTGTGGAGGAGCGATTAGTGGGAGGTGGCATGAATGGGGCCAGGGGAGAAGGATTTGAGGGGTGTCAGTGGCAGCTTTGGGGCCAGAGTTGGTGGCGGTACTCACATGCTAGGAGAAGAATGCTGCTTACTTTTGGAATCTCTGACTGTCCCTGGGTCAGCCACTTAACTTTTCCTGAGCCTCAGTTGCATGGTCTGTAAGTGGGGATGATATGCTCCTGACAGAGGGTATGGTAGCCCTAGGTGTCTATAAGGGCTCAGTGAACTTGGACACCTGAGCAAGGTTATGTTATTAGCCTGGCTACCAGGAACAAAGCTCAGAGACAGCTGCAGGAAATTGCAAACCCAGGGCGTCCCGTCTGGCACCTGTGGACCAGGGTTCACCTAACTGCAGCTGCTTCCCCAGCCCATGTGATGTGGGCAGGTGTGGAGCCGCCTACCACTACAGCAAGTGGCAACAGGTGGGGAGGTGGTCCAGATGTCTTTCGGCTTCAGAGTTGGTCCTGGACTTGGGTTCTGGAGTCTCCCCAGTGACCAGGATTTCTCAGAGGGGGTCCCAGGTATGGACACTGCAGACCCTCCTGTGACTAGGAGTTCTTAGAGGAGGTCCTGGGCATGGGCACTGGAGTCCCTCCCATGAATAGAAATTCTCAGAGGAGTTCCTGGGCATGGGCACTGGAGTCCCTTCTGTGACTAGGTGGTCCTGGGCATGAGTGCTGGAGACCTTCCAGTAGCTAGGAGTTCTTGTTGACTTGGGCGACTGCAGAACACCACAAGGCATTGATTGATTGATTGATTGATTGAGATGGAGTCTTGCTCTGTCGCCCAGGCTGGAGTGCAGTGGCGCAATCTTGGCTCACTGCAACCTCCGCCTCCCGGGTTCAAGTGATTCTCCTGTCTCAGCCTCCTGAATAGCTGGGACTACAGGTGCATGCCCTCATGCCTGGCTAATTTTTTGTATTTTTAGTAGAGACAGGGTTTCACCGTGTTAGCCAGGATGGTCTTGCTGTCCTGACCTTGTGATCCGCCTGCCTCGGCCTCCAAAAGTCCTGGGATTACAGGAATGAGCCACCGCGCTTGGCCTTATTTTTTATTCTCCAAGCCCAACCAAGATTTCCAGACATGGTGGCCTCCTGAGCACATGAGCAGATCACATGGTGTGGCGGAGCAGACTCACACATTAGACAGATTTGAGTTCAAATCTTAGTCCTGCTGCTGACTTACTGTGTGATGTGAGCAGATGAAAGACCTTCTCTAGACATATTTTCTTCTTTTATTATAATTTCACTCAACTTTTCCATGAGACTGGGAGATTTGTGAAGGCTGGGAGGCAGTTTGATTTTCTTCTTTTGTCTACCTTACAACCTGGCACAGTGAATGAATGAATAAATATGCACCTCAAATTGTTTTGTGAAGTATAGTAAGCATTTCTTGGGCAAATAAATTTGAGAGCCTCTAAGTCACAAAACTAAACTTTTTTTTTTTTTTTTGCAGGATTTCTCAGAGCCTTCAATGTACTTTGTGATTCTCCTATAAGGAATAAGGTATGCAATATTTCTCAAACATTTTTGTATTCTTTTTCTGAGGGCGCGTCATCTTTGGCACTGGGGTTCCTAGGAACATACTTTGGGAAATGTGGACTTAGGATCATTGTCAGAGGTCCTTGGAGTGTTGCTATTTGTCTGGTTGTATATTCCTTTATCCTCTGTCAAACATGACCTGAATTATGTCACATAACCATGTAGCAACAGAAACTAAGGTCAAGGGCTGTTAGTGAAGAATAAAAGACTAAATTAGAATGTTGGGGAAGAAAAACCTATACTCCCAATTTAGGAAAGTTACTACGGTTTATCTTAAAACTCAACACTGAGTTTCTGCCAAAGTGAACAGAAAAATGTGGTGTCTTTCATGGTTTCTTGGGTGGGAGTTCAGCAAGGGGGTTAAATGCTCTCCAGCTGTGAACAAGGTTGTTTTCATTCATGTGTTCATTCATTAAGTCATTAATTCATTCAACAAGTGTTTATTTACCACCTGCTATTTACAAGCACAATGTTAGGTACCAGGGATACAAGAGTAGACCAAAAAAGACATACATATGCCCTTATGGAGATGACAGTCATCGGTTTTCAGAACAAAGATGATCGGTTTTCAGCCCTCAGTGCCCCTTCTTTCCTGAAGTTTGTTCTGAATTTTTAGACAGGCTCCTTCCGCCTTGCTGTGGTTTTTCTCTCCACCTGTTTTGTATCTGAATCACAGAAGGTGAAGACATCCCCCAGGTGGTTAGTAGAACCCAGATCTTTGTGTTAGAGTCTTCATGAAAACCAGTGTGAGAAACTGGGCTGAGGCAAGGGAGGTAGTCTTCCATCCTTGCTATATCTCTGGGACACTGGGCATCTTTTCTGGGCTCCACCCTAGGGGTTGGGAATCTAATAACTTTGATTTTTTTTCTCTACCCCCAATTACCAACCCTCTAATTCTTCAACACTAGGCACATGGGAATTGTGTTTTGTTTTCAAACCTGGGCAACAAAGTGAGACCATGTTCCTACAGAAAATTTAAAAATAGCTGAGCATAATGGCATACAAGTGTAGTCCCAGCTACTTGGGAAGCTGAGGCATGATGATTGCCTGAGCCCAACAGTTCAAGGCTGCAGTGAACTATGATCCCATCAATGCACTCCAGCTTGGGTGACAGTCAGACCATGCCTCTAAAAAAATTGCTTTTTTGTTGGTTGGATGAATGGATGGACCCATGGATGAATATATAGATGAATGAATGGATTTGTAGAAGAGTGACTGACACATAGGAGGGACATTTGGATGAATGAAAGAATGGAGGAATAGATGGTGGATGGTTGAGATCAGCAAATGAATATATGGATGAAAAGATGCCTAGTAAAGGCACAATGTGATTTAAAAAAAATGAATCTCTCAGTGAATCAATGGACGGTTGGATGAATGGATGAGTGAGTAAGTGGTAGATGTGATGGAGAGTTGCACAATGAAATGGGGAGATGGGTTTGAGTGAATGGATGGTGAGTGAGTGAATGAATGGATAAATGGATAGATGGTGAGTTGGGTAGAGGGATGGACAAATGGACAGTTGAGTGAATGGGTGAGTGATTGGATTACCCGATGAATGGGTGGGTAGTTGGATGGATGGAAGGGCAGGTAAAAAATTCTGGCCACAAACTGAAGCGATCTTGGGGTACAATCTGGGCACAGTTTAGGTGAATAGCAGCTTATTTTCTGATCCCAAATTGGCTCTGTTTACCTCCATGGATACATATTCTCTATTTCTAGGTTCAGTCATCCTTCTGTCTCCCTCTGGGTTTCCAAGAATCTTACCTTGGAACTCCAATTGAACTGAGCCCTGGGCTTGTCTGCTGACCTTCTCAACAGTAAGGAGAACACCCCTGGAAGAGCATGTGTCCTTCTGAGGGTACAGGGTTGAACCAGCTCTTCATGATGACGGTGGTCTGCTCTTAAGCCTTTCTAGCAGTTTCTTGTTTTGTGGCCTCACCCAATCTTCACTGGGCATCAAACAGATGAAGATCGAACCTTGGTCTCCAGCTCAGTTCCAACTCCACCTGTCCCCTCCATGGGTGATGGTGGAGACAAAGGATAAATTAGAGAAAGGGGTCATCCAGGTCCACCCTTTGCCATTACTCCAAGAACTCTTTCCTTTTTCCCAGGTTCTCCAAGCAGCTATGGATGTGGGTTTCTCGGGCCTGCCAGATGTGTCTCAGAGTCATAGCAAGACCTTGTGGGGGGCTCGGGGCAGGGGCCCCTCCATACGTCGCCAGCGGGAGTTCATGCCAGAAGAAAAGAAGGACACAGTTTACTGGGAGAAGCGGAGGAAGAACAATGAAGCAGCCAAGAGATCCAGGGAAAAGCGACGTCTCAATGATGCAGCCATTGAGGGCAGGCTGGCTGCACTGATGGAGGAGAATGCCCTGCTCAAGGGTGAGCTGAAGGCGCTCAAGCTTCGCTTTGGCCTCCTGCCCCTGACTGGTGGGCCCCGGGCCTTGCCCCTGCAGGCTCTGCTATTGGAAGCCCCCTGGACTGGGGACCCCCGGCCTGGGGCTGAAGCACTCTCATCCTTGTCTGGCTCTCACAGCTGCCTCTTAAGGCCACGTTCCCTGGATGCTGGGATTCCAGGATGTCGGGGCTGCCTGCTGGCTCCCAGATGGACTGGCTTGGCCACTTCTCCTAGGTCCCCCCAAGAGTCTGCATCTCCTACCCTCAACAGAATTGACATGGCCTTGCAGACTGCCCTCCCACCTGCCCTCTTCAGCTGTCACCTCTTGGAGGGGCATGTAGGGTCCAGACCAGAGCTCAGACCCTGCTGGGGGCTGTGGTCACCAGTGCCCTCTGGATGCCGGGCTTCAGGGCCATCAGATGTGTTGCTGACACCCACTGCTGATCCCATGGGTCTGTCTCCTGGGGTGACCTGCCCTGCCCCAGGGAACAGTCCTGAGGGTCTGGGTCAGCCCTCTCTGCCCCACAAACTGCGCATCAAGTCCCGAGCCTCAGGCAGGGTACCTCGTGGCTGGGAGGGTGGTCAGGCGCCCCTCTGAGGGCTTCCTCTGGGAAGGGCTAGGCTTGCAAGGGGGTGTTTGGGGGCGGAATATAGGTTTGTCTGAGGGATGAGTAGCTTGGTCTTGATCAGCAATCTGGGAAGGCCTGTAGGAAGTAGGGGTGCCCTGGCTTGGAAGGTCCACTTCACAGCTTCCATACCAGACCTCCTAGGGGTGGAGTGGATGGGAGCCCATCTTGGATTCTACCATGGCTCTTGCCTTGCCTTAAAATCTATGCTTTGGGTTGTCACTTTTCCCTCTTCCTTCCTCCTTTCCATTTATCTATTCTTCCCTATAGCCATCCATTCATCCATTCATCCTCATTTATTCATCCATTCATTCATTCATCAATCCTTATCCATCCATCCATTAGTCCCTCCATCCTTATCCATCTATCCATCCATCCATCCATCCATCCACCCATCTATTCATCCATCCATCAATCCATCCATCCATTCCATCCATCCATCCATCCATCCATCCATCCATCCCTCCATCCATTCATCCACTTGTCCGTCCATCCATCCATCCATCCATCCATCCATCCATCCATCCGTCCATCTATCCATCCATCCATTCATCCATCCGTCCATCCATTCAGCCATCCATCTGTCCATTTATCCATCCTCCATTTATCCATGCATCTATTCTCATTCATCCATGCATTTGTTCTTCCTTCTTTCTATCTAGCCATCCATTCTCATTCATCCATGCATTTGTTTTTCCTTCTATCTATCCATCCATCCATTCATTCATCCACCCATCCACCTATCTATGCATGCATCCATCCATCCTCATCCACTCATCCACCCATCCTCACCTATCCATCCATCCACCCATTCTTTCTTGCTTCTATCCATTTTCCCATCCACACACCTATCCATTCATCCATTCATACATCAATTTATTCTCCATCCATCCATCCATCCTCATCCATTCCCATTCATCCATCCATCCTGTCTTCCTTCCTTGCATCCACTCATCCTCATCCATTTACCCATCCATCCATCCATCCTCACCCATCCATCTACACATCCTTCCTTTCATCCACCCATTCATCTACTCATCCACCCATCCATCCTTTCATTCATTTATTCATTTAGCCACTCATTTATGTGCTAACTTGTTTATTCATTCATTCTCTTACTCATTAATTTACTTATAATTCACTTGTCCCCTCACCCACCCACTCACGATCTTTAGACCTTCCTTTTGTGCCCAGTTAGTGACAAGTGAGAAGACACTTTTCTGGTCTTGGGTTTCCTGTCCTGGGGTAGGAATGGGTGTTTGGGAAGAAACATACTGAAGACCAGACTGAAGGAGGAGGTAACGTCTAGGGTGTCTGAATCCCCCTTCTTGGTGTCCCCTGGGGGGCTTGCTTACCACCCAGTTTGAGGGGCAGACATATTGGCTTCTTCTGTGTCTTGGATCAGGCCTTGAGCTGCTGGAACAGGAGCAGCTGTGTGAGGGCATCAGTGTCCTCTCTCTCCCTGGCTGCCCCCTGCCCCTGAGAACCAGGTATACACCCACCCAGGTGGAAGGGTCCATTCTGCAGGGAAGGTCTTCCAGGGGCCTGGAGCCCAAGGACTTATCAAGGCTCCCTCCTCCTCAGTTTCTCACTCAGCCCCTCTCCCATTATTATTATTATTATTATTATTATTATTATTATTACATCAGGGATCTTGTTAGATTCTAGATAAAAATACTCAAACTCCAATCATGGGGAGAGCTCATGGGATGGGGGGCTCATCTGGACTGGTACTGACACTGAGAACCAGATGCCCCTGGCCAACTGGATCACTTGGACTCAGGAGCATCGCCCACCCCCACCAGATCTGGGGGCTGGGCTAGTTCTTGGCTACTCCAAGTTTATCAGAGCCACAAATGTGTGCAGGGTGAGGACGTACAAAGTGCCTCTCTCTCACTAGTACAACAGGTGGGCAGTATCACCAAACAGGCCAAGAGCTCCCCTGTGACTGGGCATCCCTAGAATCCTGCACATCACAGGTAGGACCTCCTCTACTTGCTCAGCCTTTGGTTCTGGTCCAGGGCAGGGATTGGGCAAGATCAGCCCTTCTCCTTCCCTCCATGCCTGACCTTCCAGCAGGTGGCTTTTCTCATGTCACTGAGCCTCCCTTATACATCTATAAATGTTTACCTATAAATGAGCCCATTCCCTAGAAATATATTGTGAATATTAAATAAGAGGCAGTAAATAAATTGCCCGGTATAGGGGCTTCTCTGGACTGTTTTATCTTCATAAATAATGTGAATCCTGGAGGGCAAGGTGGCTCATGCCTGTAATCCTAGCACTTTGGGAGGCCAAGGCAGATGGATCTCACTTGAGGTCAGGAGTTCGAGACCAGCCTGGCCAACATGATGAAGCCCCGTCTCTAGTAAAAATACAAAAATTAGCCGGGCATGGTAGCGAGCGCCTGTAATCTCAGCTACTTGGGAGGCTGAGGCATGAAAATCACTTGAACCCAGGAGGTGGAGGCTGCAGCGAGCTGAGATTGCACCACTGCAGTCCAGCCTGGGCGACAGAGCGAGACTCCATCTGAAAAAAAAAAAAAAAAAAAGGAAAAAGAAAAAATCCTGTTTCCCTTTTTGCTTTGCCCACCAAGGAGCTCAGGGCCGAGCTTGTGGCTCAGCTATAACAGCATTTTCATTCATTCATTCATTCATTCATTCATTTTTTAATTCATTTGCTTATTTAGCAAATTTTCTTGATCATAAGTTTCTCATTGTTTCATTTTATTCAAGGCATGTTTTGTTGTAAAAAGTCTGAAAATCATATGCAGCCGAGTTGGCAGTCTTTTCTTTTGTGGTTTGTACATTTTTGTCATGTTTAAGACAACTTCCATGTCTCAAGATCATAAAGATAGTCTCCTATCTTTATGTTCCAGGTACTGGGGAAAGAGAAGTGAACACAATAGATGTGATTCCTGCCTCTATGGTACTGATAACCCAGGGAAGGAGATAGATTAAAAAATAAGAAAAACATATAGTAGGATCAATGATGATACGTGTCATGGAGAAAAAAGGGAGGCTTGGGAAAGGTAGGTGTGGGTGCGTTGTAATAATTGAAATAGGGAGATCAGGATTGAAATAGGGGGATCTCAGCCTTGCTGAGAAAGTGACATTTGAACAGAGACTTGAGAGAGATGAAGGGGGGAGTCATGCATGTATCAGAGGAAGAACATTTCCTAGTCAGAAAGAACAGCCTGTGCAAAGGCCCTGAGGTGGGATAGTGCCTAGTGTTTTGAGGAAGATTGAGGAGGCCCATGTGGCTGGAGTGGAGTGAGTAAGGGGGAGAGAGGGAGGAGGCGAGGGCAGGGAGGTGATGGAAGCAGGTTGTGGAGGACTTTGTGGGCCAAGGTGAGGACTTTGGCTTCCTTTCTGAGTGATATGGGCATGAGGGGGACGTTTCCAAGTATATTTCTGTTGTAGTTCTCCCCTTACCTCCATCCTGTGATGTGTGAGGCTGAGTGAAAATAAACCCACCACATAAGTGCAGGAGAGCTGGCTCATTGTCTGGGGTGGGGATAGGTGGGGACTGACCACAGTGTTGCTGTGACTCATGTCCCCCTAAATGGCCACATTCTCCCTGCGCTCAGAGCCAGGGTGCTCATCCCATCCCTGCTTCTAAACTTCTCTGAGATATGACGGACAGGGCAGGTAAAGCTACTCCATGAGGTGGAATCATGGAAGAAAAACACAGATGGTTCTTTTTTTTCTTTATGAAGCTGTCTTCCACTAAATAATTATTTTTGACAAGTGTGGGAGAAAGGGTAATCAGATGCATGTGGGGGATGCTGGAAGGGCAAAGGGATGGCTGAGGTGGGAGATGAGTCAGTGAGGAAGTGGCCAGGAATAGTTCTCAAGGCATTGCATGGTAGGTAAACAGGAAGGTAAACAGCTCAGGCAAACAGGAAGAGCTGGAGATAAGTTGGAGATAAACTGGTTACTCTGGGGAGGAAGGCCATGGAGGGGAAAGGAAGTAAAGGCTTCAACTTGCCCTGCAAATACCATGACTCCTGAGGGTCTGTCACCTATGACAAGCAGACTCATTTCTTGGCTGCCTAGTCTGGGCCAGTGGTTGTGCTGGTGATTTATCCTAGATTTTGTTTGACCCTCTGAAAAAGCCTTCATTATTATGATCTCCATTAACAGATGGGGAAACTGTGACTCAGAGCAGTTATGTATCTTGCCTAATATTACTTAGTTGGTGACTGGGCCACTTCCCGCCTCATCACTGCACCAGTGTCATTGGCTAACTTTCTATTCCTTGAGATTCTTTCCTGCCTCAGGTCTTTGCATTTGCTTTCCCTCTGCCTGGAATTTCCCTGAGTCTTTAAATGACTCTTTTTTCCATCTTCAGGTCTCGGTTCCAATGCCACCTCCTCAGAAAGGCCCTCCCTGTACATCCAGTCTAAATAAGAGCCCCAGTTATTTGTGTTGAGCATGTACCCATAGTAGGTGTTCAATAAATACTTGTTGAACAAATCAATGAAGTGAATAGGTTCAGATGAGCCTCTTAGTAAAAGCTTCCATTGTAGCTCTTACTTAATTCAAGAGTTAGATCCTGTGTCACCAGGTTTTATGATCTGGAGGATGAGGATGGGGATTCTTCTGTTGCATTCACCCAAAAAGCTTTTGTATTTGGGACAGAGCCTGTCATGCAAGTGTGTGAGAAATATTGTTGAATTGAATCTGAGGTTTGATAAGGAAACAGGAGCCATGTTATGGGGCAGAGGGAGACAAAGAAGGAGGGTGTCACGTAAGTCTTTCCTTCATTCATTCACTCACTCATCTGTCCACTCATTCACTCACTCATTTATTCTTGCACTCATCCACTCACTCATTCACTTACTCATCATTCATTGATTCACTCACTAATTTATTCATTCAGCCACTCATCCATTCACCCACTCATTCATTCACTCATTCATCCATTCACCCACTCATTCACTCACCCACTAATTCAATCCCTTCCTCCCTTACTCATTCATTCATGCACTCATGTATTCATTCATGCACTCCAGTCCCTCACTCATTCATCCACTCACTCACGAATTCATTCATTCATCCACTCACTCACTAATTCATTCATCCACTCACTCACGAATTCATTCATTCATCCACTCACTCACTAATTCATTCATTCATTCACTCACTAATTTGTTCACTCTCTCATTCACTCACTCACTCATTCACACATTCACTCACTCATCCACCCATCCATCCATGCGTTCATGCACCCATCCATCCATGCATGCGTGCATGCATTCATCCATCCATCCATTTATTTATTCACCCACAACCTTCCAGAAACAATGAAATCTATTCCTTTTGGAATAGATTTCAAAGGGTGGCCCTTACAGAACCTGCCCTTTGATAAGAAGATGGACAACCTTCAGGTGAACAAATAGACAATCAGTACTGTGTCAGATGCTACTGAGGGCTGTGAGCTTATGGCTGGGGCATTCGGGGACTGGGCAGGTCAGGGAAGGTCCCTCTGAGGAGGTGACATTTGAACCAAGACCTAGAAAACCTTAGTAAGTGAAAGAAGCCAGCCACAAAAGGACATATGTTGTCTGACTTCATTTGTGTGAAATATTTGAAACATGATTCTTAGAGACAATAAGCAGATTGGTGGTTGCCAGGGGCTGGGGGAGAGGTGGGAATGGGAGTGACTGCTAATGGGGATGGGATTTCTTTGAGGATGATGAAAATGTTTTGGCTGGAGGCACTCACTGCACACCATTGTGGCAGGCGAGAATTCTACCACTGAACCACTGATGCCTGACTGCACACCATTGTGAAGGCACTAAAGGCCACATTGGATTGGACACTTTAAAATGATTAATTTTATGTTATGTAAATTTCACCTCAATTAAAAAAATGCTAATGAGGCCGGGTGCGGTGGCTCACGCCTATAATCCCAGCACTTTGAGAGGCTGAGGTGGGTGGATCACTTGAGGCCAGGAGTTCGAGACCATCCTGGCTGACGTGATGAAACCCTGTCTCTACTAAAAATACAAAAATTAGCTGGGCGTGGTGGTGGGTGCCTGTAATCCCAGCTACTTGGGAGGCTGAGACTTGAGAATCACTTGAACCCAGGAGGCGGAGGTTGCAGTGAGCCAAGATCGTGCCGCTGCACTCCAGCCTGGGTGACAGAGCAAGACTATGTTTAAAAAAAAAAAAAAAAAGCTAGTGAGTCTGCCATGCCCAGAGGAAGGCCTGCACCTGAGATCAAAAGGGACAGAGAGATCAGGGAACAGGGCGCAGAGTATGAGGATATGGGAGGAGAATCACCCCTTGTTGGCCCCCACTTGGAAATGGGGGCGTGGGAGCCCTGCCAGCCCTGGCTTTGTGGGTATGCCAGGGTGACAGGGTGTGAAGCGCCTGGACCTGCCTGGGTAGGGAAGTAACTCACATGCACACACACTCCCGCCCCTTTTTGCGTGGGAGACACAGCATATGCGTGTTCACGTATGTGCTCAGATCAGGGCGTGTAGGTGTGGGCATGATACCTACATGTATACACATGTGTGCTTGAGCCTGGGGGTGAAGGAACCGCCTCAAGTCTCTCCATATGCCCCCCCACAAGCCGTGTTGTGGGGCTGAAGCCTTGCGGAGGATGTAGGGGATGGGGGAGAGTTGAGTTCCCTCCCCTAAGGCCACTGGTGTGCCCCCTCCCCCATCACCCCATCTCTCCCGCCTATGAAGGACCTGGGAGCAGCCCCAGCCTCCCCTCTCCCCCATACTGTAAATTCTGAGAAATCCTGTCCTGTGGTTTGGCCTAGGCCGTCCTCGCCCGCCTTCGTCCCCAGCAGGGCTGCCCTGGCCACTGTCTTCCTGTCTTGGGGCCTGGGTTTGGGGTCATGGGGAAAGACTAAGAACCCCCGTCCCAGCCTGGGTTCTTAGACAGAGGGGAGAGGGCTCTGCCCTGCTTCTCACGACTTTGCTTTGCCTCTCTGGGCCTCAGTTTCCTCTTCTACAGAATGGGGATAATTGTAGTTCCTACCCCCCGAGGGCTGTGGGAGAAGTCGAGGAGGTGACACCCACGGGGAGGTGAGAGCTGAGTCTGGCAGGTCCTAACGCACCTGCTACATGCTGGCTGTCACTGTTATTCATTTTCTGCATCTTGCTTTACTCCAGACTCCACACTTTTATCCTCGCTGTTCCCTTACACAGAATGTCCTCATCCCTCTCCTCCTTGGCAAACCCAGGAATAATCCAAATCCTAACTCAAATTCCATTTCCTCCGGAAACAGGGGAGGGTGGTGAGATGAGCTGGATCTGGCAGGCAGGAAACCTGGGATCTCAACTCTGCCACGGACATGCTGGATGGCTTTGAGCAGGCCACTGTGCCACACCGTGACTCAGTTTCCCCATTCGAGCTCTGATGCTCCAGGGTTTTTTTTTTTTTGAGTCTCTTTTTTTTTGAGTCTCTTTTTTTTTTTTGAGTCTCTTTTTTTTTTGAGTCTCTTTTTTTTTTTTGAGATGGAGTCTCGCACTGTTGCCAGGCTGGAGTGCAGTGGTGCGATCTCTGCTCACTGCAACCTCCCCTTCGTGGGTTCAAGCGATTCTCCTGCCTCAGCCTCCCAAGTAGCTGGGATTACAGGCATGTGCCACCATGCCTGGATAATTTTTGTATTTTTAGTAGAGATGGGGTTTCACCATGTAGGCCAGGCTTGTCTCGAACTGAGGTCAGTTGATCTGCCTGCCTTGGCCTCCCAAAGTGCTGGGATTATAGGCGTGAGCCATTGCACCTGGCCCGCAGTGTTCCTTTTTTTTTTTTTTAATGTTTTCTTTTTTCTTGACACATGGTCTTGCTCTGTCACCCAGGCAGTGGCATGATCATAGCTCACTGCAGCCTTGAACTCCTGGCTCAAGTGATCCTCCCACCTCAGCCTCCCAAGTAACTGGGACTACAGGCGTGTGCCACCATGCCAGGCTAATTTTTTAGCTTTTGTAGAGTCAGGGTCTTGCTGTGTTGCTCAGGCTGGTTGCAAACTCCTGAGCTCAACTGATTCTCCTGCCTCTGCCTCCCAGTGTTGGGATTACAGGTATAAGGCACTGCACCTGGTACTTGGTGTCAAATTGTAAAATGAAGCCAAGCTTGCCCCTGCATCTGCTCAGCCTGAATTGGTGGCCTCAACATCATCTCTGCTGGGTTCATCATTTCCCTAGTGGAATAACCCTGTCTTCTCCAAATACTTCCTCTCCTGGGCCTCGCAATAAACAGGGGCCCTCTCTCTCTGCTCAAACCCTTGAGAGAGGGTGTCCAGGTCCTGGGTTGCTGTCTGTCTGTCTGTCTGTCTGGAGGGTGAGTCCAAGGCTGGACTCGGGGGTCCGTCTTTGGCACGATCTAGTTGCAACAGCAGCCCCACCATCTGTTGAGAGCTTGCTGTGTACTAAGCATGCTAAGTCCACTTCATGCATTAGTCAAAAAGCAGTTTTAAAAATTTATGTCTGGCCAGGCGCGGTGGCTCACGCCTGTAATCCCAGGACTTTGGGAGGCCGAGGCGAGCAGATCATTTGAGGTTAGGAATTCGAGATCAGCCTGGCCAACATGGTGAAACGCTGTTTCTACTAAAAATACAAAAATTAGGCTGGGTGTGGTGGCAGCGCCTGTAATCCCAGCTACTCAGGAGGCTGAGGTAGGAGAATCGCTTGGACCCAGGAGGCAGAGGTTGCAGTGAGCTGAGATTGCACCACCGCACTCCAGCCTGAGTGATAGAGTGAGACTCAGTCTCCAAAAAAAAAAAAAAAAAAAAAAAAATATTATGTCTATGGAGGCATTTGCATCATAAAACATTCAAACAATTACATTCATATATAAACTCAAAAGATTCCAGCCTCCCATCTTAAAGGTGACTGAAATTTAAGAGATGTCCTTCTACACTGCCCAGAGAGCCTGCATGAGCTCATTTTATCTTCATAAAACTCCCCTGAAGTGAGCGCTGACATGGCTGTATTTTTCAGGTGAGGCTCAGAGAGGTCAGGCCACTTGTCTAAGGTCACACAGCGTGGGAGGAAGCTGCCTGGAACCCAGGCCTGTCTGACTCCAATGCCCAAGGAAGAGAGGGGAAGTGGCCTCCCACGGAAGAGGATTCTTCTTGGCTCATTCATTCAGTCACTCAATGATGTTTGAATGTTTTGAATCATTCAGTCATTCAACAAACATGTATTGGGCATGACTGTGTGATGAGTGCTGTTGAAACTGGGGACATAGCAGTGACACGGGGGGGGCCTGTCCTCATGGAACTCGTGATAGGGATGGTGACACCATTGATTAACAAGAAATTAAACAGAAATTTGATGGTCACAACTAGGGAGAAGATTAGGAAGGAAAAAGAACTGTCTGGGTGGACACCAGAGGAACCTAAAGCAAACATCCATATTTTAAAATATACTCATGGCCAGGCATGGTGGCTCACATCTGTAATCCCAGCACTTTGGGAGGCTGAGGCAGGAGGATTGCTGGAGCTGAGGAATTCGAAACCAGCCTGGGTGACATAGTGAGACCCTATCTCTACATAAAATTAAAAAAAAAAATCCAGATGTGGGGGCATGTGCCTGTAGTGCCAGCTACTCAGAGGGCTGAGGTGGGAGGATTGCTTGAGCTGGGTTGGAGGAGGTTATAATCATGGCTGCAGTGAGCCGTGACTGTGCCACTGTACCCAGCCTGGGCAACAGAGTGAGACCCTGTCTCAAAAAAAAATATGTATTACATATTTATATTCACATGGTTCAAAATGTAAATACTTCAGTTGGGCAGCTATGCAATATATCCATCATATTAAACTTTCATGGCAGGGGAGGAACTAGGATAAACATGTTTAAAAAGCCTCCTTAGGGGTAATAATGAAATGAAAGCTGAGAAACACTGGCATAGAAGCTGCCGCCGTTCAATTTTTCTTTTTGTGATCTTTGAGATAGTCTAGACATTTTATTTTTTGCTTTATCTTTTGATTTTTTTTTTTTTGAGAGGAGTCTCACTGTGTCACCAGGCTGGAGTGCAGTGGCACGATCTCAGCTCACTGCAATGCCCGCCTCCCGAGTTCATGCGATTCCTCTGCCTCAGCCTCCCGAATAGCTGGGACTACAGGCACGTGCCACCATTCCTGGCTAATTTTTTATATTTTAGTAGAGACGGGGTTTCACCACGTTGGCCAGGATTGTCTCGATCTCCTTATCTCATGATCTGTCTGCCTTGGCTTCCCAAAGTGTTGGGATTACAGGCGTGAGCCACTGCACCTGGCCTAAAAAAATTATTTTAATGAAAAACATTTAAAAAAATTTGTTTTGTAGAGATGTGTTCTCACTTTGTTGCCCAAGCTGGTCTCGAGTTCTAGGCTCGAGTGACTGTCTCCCCTCAGCCTCCCACGATTACAGGTGTGAGCTACCACTCCCAGCCTATTCTAGACTTTTTAAAAAATTTTTTTTTTTATTGAGACAGGGTCTTGCTCTGTTGCCCAGGCTGGAGGGCAGAGGTGTGATCACGGCTCACTGCAGCCTCAAACTCCTGGGCTCGAGCCATCCTCCTGCCACAAACCCCTGAGTAGCTGGGATTACAGAGGTGCACCACCACCCCCGGCTAATTTTTGTATTTTTGTAGAGACTGAGGTCCCACTATGTTGCCCAGGCTGGTCTCGAACTCCTGGCCTCAAGCAGTCTTCTGGCTTCTGCCTCCCAAAATGCTGGGATTACAGGTGTGAGCCACTGTGTCTGATCTATTCTAGACTTTCTTTCCTTCTTTCTTTCTTTCTTTTTTCTTTCTTCCTTTCTTTCTTTTCTTTCTTTCTCTCTCTCTCTCTTTCTTTCTTCTTTTCTTTTCTTTCTTTTTTTTTTTTTTTAAATCTTGCTCCAGGCTGGGCGTGATGGATCACGCCTGTAATCCCAGCACTTTGGGAGGCCGAGGCGGGTGTGTCATGAGGTCAGGAGATCGAGACCATCCTGCCTAACATGGTGAGACCCCGTCTCTACTAAAAATACAAAAAATTAGCCGGGCGTGGTGTTGGGAGCCTATAATCCCAGCTACTCGGGAGGCTGAGGCAGGAGAATGGCGTGAACCCGGGAGGCGGAGCTTGCAGTGAGCAGAGATCGCGCCACTGCACTCCAACCTGGGTGACAGAGCGAGACTCCGTCTCAAAAACAAACAAACAAACAAAAACAACAACAAAAAAAACTTGCTCCAAACCTCAGAATGTTCTAGACATTTTAAAGCAAATGCCCACATCTCCTTTTATTCCTCTTTTTATGTTAATGATAACATACTGTTCTGGGCTTTCTTTTTTCCCAAACTATATCTTGGGGATCACTCCATGTCAGAACACAGCTTGCTCATTTCTTTTAAAACCCGTGTAGTATTTCTCTTCTGTTGGAATACAATTTATTTAATCGGTTTGTCTGGATGGTCGCGTGTCTTGTTTCCAGTGTTTTGCGGCCAGAAAGCGCCGCGTCACGGATGATGGATAACTGCATTGACGTCATTTCGCGTAAAAGTTGATTGTATCAGAAGGAGAGGTTCCTGGAAGTGCCATAGCTGGGCCAGGTGTTTGCGGCTGGAATATGTCCTGTATAGGGTTGTACCAATTTCCCTCCCCACTTTCAAGGCAAAACAGTACTAGTTTCCCCAGAGTCTCACCAACGGTGAGTATTATCAAATCTTTTGATCGCCAATCTGATGGGTTAAAAACGACATCGCAGTATAGGTGTAGTGTTCATTTCCCTTATGAAATTGAGCATCTTCTCCTGTGTCTAAGAACCGTTTGTCCGTCTTTCTTAATGAGCTGTGTGTTCATATCCTTTGCTAACTTTTTCACGGACCCTTGAGGTATTTTTCCTATTGATTCTTTCTGAGAGCTCTTTATATATGACAGACATTATTCCTTTGTGTTATGAGTTTCAAGTATTTTTTTCCATTTGTCATTACAAATTATTATTTATTATTATTATTATTATTTTTGAGACAGAGTCTTGCTGTGTCACCCAGGCTGGAGTGCAATGGCTTGATCTCAGCTCACTGCAACCTCCGCCTCCTGGGTTCAAGAGATTCTCCTGCCTCAGCCTCCTGAGTAGCTGGGATTACAGGCGCCTACCACCACACCTGGCTAATTTTTGTATTTTTAGTAGAGACAAGGTTTCACCATGTTGGCCAGGCTGGTCTCGAACTCCTGACCTTGTGATCCACCCACCTCGGCCTCCCAAAGTGCTGGGATTATAGGCGGGAGCCACCGCCCCGACCTATTTATTATTTTTAAGTGGTCATTTGTCTTTTGACTTTGATGAGGGTGATTTTTACCTTGCGGAGTTTTTGGGGGTGTTTACACAAAGTCAACTGTTGTAATCATTTCTTTTGTGGCAGCTGAGATTTGTGGGGCTACCTTTGATAAGATGGGAGAGAGAGATTGAGATTAATTTATTTTTTATTTCAATTTTTTTCAGTGCTTTTCAAACCTTATTTATTTATTTTTTTTAGACAGAGTCTCACTCTGTTACCCAGCCTGGAGTGCAGTGGTGCTATTTCAGTTCATTGCAACTTCCACTTCCCGGGTTCAAGAGATTCTTTTGCCTTAGCTTCCTGGGTAGCTGGGACTACAGGCACCTGCCACCACACCCAGCTAATTTTTCTTTTTAATAGAGATGGGGTTTCGCCATGTTGGCCAGGCTGGATTCGAACTCCTGACCTCAAGCGATCCACCTGCCTTGGGCTCCCAAAGTGCTGGGATTACAGGTGTGAGCCACCATGCCTGGCCGCTTTTCAAACTTTAATGTGCTGAGGAATCCCGTGTGGATTTTGTTAAAATGACTCAGTGGGTCTTGAGTAGGATCTGAGATTCCCCTTTTATTTTCTTTTCTTCTTTTCTTTTCTTTTCCTTTCTTCCCAGGATCTTTCTCTGTCACACAAGCTGGAGTGCAGTGGTATGATTATAGCTCACCATAGCCTCCAAGTCCTGGGCTCAAGCAATCCTCCCGCCTCAGCCTCTTGAGTAGCTGGGACTACAGGTGCACACCATCACATCTGGCTAATATTTTTATTTTGGTAGAGATAGGATCTCACTATGTTGCCTAGGCTGGTCTCCAACTCCTGGGCTCAAGTGATCCTCCCACCTCAGCCTCCCTAAGTGCTGGGATTACAGGCACGAGTCACCATGCCTGGCCTAATAAACCTTATGTTACATGATAAGAGAAGGGATAAGACAAAGGTATTTTATATACATGTAAACATATTCATAGCAAGTTAAGGAAGACATATTGGTGACAGCTACAGTCTTCATTTCTGTAACTGGTCACGTGGTTATAGCTGTTATTTTTAACTAACTTTAGAACAATTCTTGGTATCAAAGTTTGCGTTCGTTTGTTCAGGCTGTAAAGTATCCCAGACTGGGTGGCTTAAACAACAGAAATGTATAGCCTTACAGTTCTGGGGGCTGGAAGTCCAAGTTCAAGGTGTCAGCAGGGTTGATTCCTTCTGAGGCCTCTCTCCTTGTAGATGACTGTCTTCTCCGTGTCTTCACATGTTTGTCCCTCTGTGTGTGTCTATGTCCCAATCTATTCTTTCTCTCTCTTTCTTTTCTTTTTCTTTCTTTCTTTCTTTCTTTCCTTTCTTTCTCTCTCTCTTCCTTCCTTCCTTTCTCCCTGTCTCTTTCTTTCTGTTTCCTTCCTTCCTTTCTTCCTTCCTTCTTTCCTTTCTCTCTCTCTTTCTGTTTCCTTCCTTCCTTTCTTCCTTCCTTCTTTTCTTTCTTTCTCTCTCTCCTTCCTCCTTCCCTCCCTTCCTTCCATTCCTTCCCTCCCTCCCTCTTCCCTTTCTGTCTCTCTTTCTTTCTTTCTCCTTCCTTCCTTTATCCCTTCTTTCATTTCTTTCTCTCTCCTTCCTCCCTCCCTCCCTCCCTCTTTTCTTTCTTTCTTTCTTTCTTTCTTTCTTTCTTCTTTCTTTCTTTCTTTCACTTTCTTTCTTGATGGAGTCTCATTCTGTCACTCTTTCTTTCTTTCGAGATGGAGTCTCATTCTGTCCCCCAGGCTGGAGTGCAGTGGCACAATCTCGGCTCACTGCAATCTCCGCCTCCTGGGTTCAAGTGATTCTCTAGCCTCAGCCTCCAGAGTAGCTGGGATTACAGGCATGTGCCACAACTCCTGGCTAATTTTTTCTATATTTTTAATAGAGATGGGGTTTCACTATGTTGGCCAGGCTGGTCTTGAACTCCTGACTTCAAGTGATCCGCCCATCTCAGCCTCTGAAAGTGCTGGGATTATAGGCATGAGCTATCATGCCTGGCCCCAATCTCTTCTGATGTCCAATCAGTCATACTGGATGAGGCTGCACCCTGAAGACCTCATTTTCACTTAATTATTACTTGAAAGTTCTAATCTCCAAATACAGTCCCATTCTCAGGTACTGGGGGTTGGGCTTTCAACATATGAATTTTGGCGGGACATAGTGCATCCCATAACTGGAAGAGAAAGGCAGGCAGTGTGGCTGGAGGTAAAGGGGATTAGGAGGGATGCCAAGGAGAGGTTTAGAGAGATCAGCAGAGGATTCAGGGCCATAGGAAGAACTTGGTTTATTTGCACGAAATGAAAAGGCATAGGCTGGCTGAGCATGGTGGATCATGCCTGTAATCCCAGCACTCTGGGAGGCCGAAGCAGGAAGATTGAGCCCAGGAGTTTGACAAGAGCCTGGGCAACATAGTGGGACCTCATCTCTACAAAAAAACTTAAAAAATAGCTGGTTGTGGTAGTACACACCTGTAGTCCCAGCTACTCCAGAGGCTGAGGTAAGAGGATTACTTAAGCCCAGAAGTTCAAGGTTACAGTCAGCTATGACTGAGTCACTGCACTCTAGCCTGGGTAACAGAATGAGACCCTGTTTCAGAAAAGAAAAAAAGAAAAGAAAAGAAAAGAAGGAAGGAAGAAAGGAATGAGGGAAGGAAGGAAGAAAGGAATGAGGGAAGGAAGGAAGAAAGGAATGAGGGAAGGAAGGAAGAAAGGAATGAGGGAAGGAAGGAAGGAAGGCAGGCAGGCAAGCGACTAGGATGTTCTTAGCAGGGAATAACATGTTCTGTGTTTTGCAAAAGCCCTATGCATACAAGGATCTTCTGAGAAGGTGACTGGGACACCAAGGAGGAGGCGCCTTCAGTCATTCAGCTGATCCCTGGGCTGGGATCAAAAGGATAGAGAGAGGTGGATGGCTCCAGGGGCATTGAGAAGGAAAGGACTTGTGAATCGGTGTGCAAAACAGATATGAACCAGTTGAAAGTTCGTGATGGAAGAAACATGTCTATACAAGTGAAGTGACGAATCTGCCTTCTCAAGTTAAACCCTTCAAGGAGGATCCGGTGGGCAGACACATCATTTATTTTTCTTTTCTTTGAGACAAGGTCTTGCTCTGTTGCCCAGGCTGCAGTGCAGTGGCACAAACACAGCTCACTGCAGCCTCGAACTCCTGGGCTCAAGGGAGCCTCCCACCTCTGCCAAGTAGCTGGGACTAAGGCGCCACCACGCTTGGCTATTTTTTTTTTTTTTGAGACAGACTCTCGCTCTGTCACCCAGGCTGGAGTGCAGTGACGTGATCTTGGCTCACTGCAACCTCCACCTCCCAGGTTTAAGCAATTATTGTGCCTCAGCCTCCTGAGCAGCTGGGATTACAGACAGCTGTCACCACGCCTGGTTAATTTTTGTATTTTTAGTAAAGACGGGGTTTCACCACGTTGGCCAGGCTGGTTTCGAACTCCTGGCCTCAGGTGATCCATCTGCCTCAGCCTCCCACAGTGCTGGGATTATAGGCGTGAGTCACTGCGCCCTGCCGAATTTTTTGGATTTTTAGTAGAGATGAGGTCTGGTTGTGTTTCCCAGGCTGGCCTTAAACTCCTGAGTGCAAGTGATCCTCCCACCTTTGCCAAGTGGCTGGGACTAAGGTGCCACCATGCTTGGCTAGTCTTTTTGATTTTTAGTGAGATGAGATCTGGCTATGCTGCCCAGGCTGGTCTTGAACTCCTGAGCTCAAGCAATCCTCTCGCCTTAGCTTTTCGAAGTGCTGGCATTACAGGTGTGAGCCACCATGCCTGGCCCCATTTCTTGTTTGCTGTGGTTTCCTTACATTTTGGAGCAGTACTGGGCACATAGTGGGTGATCAATGAATGTTTGTGGGATCAATGTATGAATGACTTAAATCAAAATTGAAGAAATCGGGGACCCGGGAGGCTGAGGCAAGAGGAAATTGGGGAACTGGGAGGCTGAGGTGAGAGGATCACTTGAGCTCAGGAGTTCAAGACCAGCCTGGACAACATGGCCAGATCTCATATCTACTAAAAATAAAAAAGATTAGCCAAGTATGGTGGCAGACCCTGGGGGTGTGTGTGGGCATGGAGGGGGCGGTGGTCGGGGTCTTGAGTTCTTGGTGCTCAGGGTTAGGGGCGGATGGCAGGTGGAGGCTTACCTATCAGTCATAGGAGGAGGTGAGATTTCTAACAACAGCTTTGAGGTAGTGAGCTCCCCATCTCTGGGACTGTGTAAATGGGAAAAGCACTTGTCCAGAGAGTTGTAGAGGAAAATTCTGCCCCAGGGAAGGTCTGGAGCTGAGGGAACAGGGAACCTCAGTCTGCTCTAAATGAGGATTCATTGGGTTTCCCAGGAGCCCAGGGGTGACAGGGTTTCTGCATCTCCCTCACTTCCTGTGGTATCTGAGACTCAGCCTGTCTCACATACCTTCTGTGCCTTGTGGCTGGAGCTTGGAGTGGGTCTCACTTGGGGTCTGGGTGTCTGGCTTGCTCCAGGCATCAACGTTCTGAATTCCATGCCCTTGAGCTTGGAGGTGCTGCCCCCTGGTGTGGAGGAGAAGAAATGTCTCCTCAACACCCCATGACCTCCTGGTAGGGGATTCTGTGCATTCTATAGGTTGAGTCTACCTTGGGGAGAGCCCGGCTGGGTCAGAGCGGGTCCAACCCTGAATATTTGTGATCTGGAGATCTTGGCCTGTCAGTGGGGGCCCCCCACCCCTGAGCTGAGGATCTCACACTAACCCAGGGTGAGCCTGGAGCCACAGCCTACTCTCCAGGACACAGTGGGACAGGGTGGGTGGGGAGTTTCTCACGGCTGACTTGGAGGGTAGGGGAGGTCGCCTCACTGCTCCACAGATAAATGCATTTCCACTCTGGAAAATTCCATCCATAAGCATGGTTCTTGCAGGTGAGTCAGACGGAGAGGAAGAGAGAGAGAGAGAGAGAGAGAGAGAGAGAGAGAGAGAGAGGCAGGTAGAGACAGAGACACACACGCTGGTTTAGGGAGAAAGAAACACATCAAGTGAGGCCAGGTGTGGTGGCTCACGCCTGGAATCCCAGCACTTTGGGAGGCAGGGGTGGATGGATCGCTTGAGCCCAGGAATTGGAGACCAGCCTGAGCAACATGGTGAAACCCCATCTCTACTAAAAATACAAAAAATTAGCCAGATGTGGTGGCATGCACCTGCAGTCCCAGCTATTCGGGAGGCTGAGGTGGGAGGATCACCTGAGCTGGGGGAGGCTGAGGCTGCAGCGAGTCATGATCATGCGGCTGCACTCCAGATGGGGTGACAGAGCGAGACCCTGTCTCAAAAACAAACAAACAAACAAACAAACAAACAAACAAACAAACACAGCAACTGAGCACAAAACTCCTGAAAAGTTAGCAATGCACAGAAAGACACAGCAGGAGCCTACAGATCCTGTGAGTGATGCTCCTTAAATAGTGACTGGCTGAAAGAATGAATGAATGAGTGAATGAATGATTTCTTGGGCTGAGCAAAAAGAGGACTTGACACAGACATGGATAACCTCCAGCAGCTCCTGTCTACTGTGTTGATAAACTGGGGGTTGTGTCCAGACTGCTGGCTGGAGGTCCGGATGTCCTTCAGGCTGGGCTAGGGGGCATGAAGACAGAGGGTCCTACCTCCAGAGGGGACCCAGGACGCTCGCCATCCTGAGAGGCTGGATTCCCCCTCCCGACCCTGGCAGGGACAGGGTGGGGTGGGAGAGGCCTCCTCGAGCATCCTCAGTGCACAACCCAGAGAAAGCTCATGGGACTGAGAGGAACAGGCTGAGAGATGGACTTTTAATGGAATGGAGGGAGATGGGGATGCATAGCCTGGGACACATGGGCCCTGGGTGCCTGTGCTGGGGCGAGTGAGAGAGCCAGTGTCCAGGTGAAGCTCCTTGCCTGGGGCATCTGCCCCATGACTGCAGTGGACTGGGAAGCCCTTAAGAGTATCACTACCCACTGATGTCCAAGTCTTGCTTGATAGTATGGTGTCCAGGGAATGGTCTTGGGGAGTGGGTTCCGGAGAGCCTGTGAGAGTTCCAGGGCGGGGTGCACATCATGGGGTGCCTGGGAGGGTATCTTTGGGAGAGTCTGTGGAGGAGGGAGTTGGGAGGTGTTGGAACACAGAGGAGGGCCTAGGGTCTAGTGGGGTCGTTATAGGATGCTCATGGGGACCTGAGCATGACATTTGGGAGGCTGGCTCTTTCCTGGGAGGAGCTGGGGGCTGAGGAAGAGGGTCAGGAAGTGTCCTGTGAGAGAGAACATTTGGGAGTATTTCGGGCGGAGACACAGTGCAAGAAAGTGGTCTTAGAGCAACAGGGGTCCACCCTGGGGTTTCGGGGGTGGATCTCAGAATGATGTGTTTTGGGAAGATGGATGGGGGATGGGTGATGGGACCACCTGGTCAGTGGAGGTGGGGCCAGGGGAGGTCTGGGGGAAAAATCCTGAGGGGAGGGGAGAGTTCTGCAGGGATGATGGATGCCAGGGGCATCCCATGGTGGGACCATTGTAGGAGAAACCCTTGAAAGTCAGAATTCAGGTCTCTGTGATGGATCTGGGGGGTCAGCACTTGTGGGGGGCATCCTAGGGGAAACCAATGAAGAGGTGGATTTGGGGTGCTGAGAACCAGGGGTATCTTGACAAGTGGAATCTTGACAAGTGGAATTTAAGAGTGTGTTTGGGGGGATTAGAAATAAGGGGAAGATTATGGGGGTGCACCCAGGGGTTGGAGCACTCACGGGAAGATTCTGGGAGGAGGTTGGAGCATTCCGGGGTAGAGACTGGGTTGGGGGGTCCCTGAGGAGCATACTAAGGGGGGTGGCAGTTTGGAGGGTTTGGAGCCCAGGGGTATTTTGGGATGCTATATCAAAAGCAATAGATAATGGGGTGAGATTAGGGAGTCAGTATTTGAGGATGTCTTGGGCACATAGTGGGTAATTAATGAATGTATGTGGGATCAATGCATGAATCACTTAAACTAGAAATGGAAGGAATTGGGTATGTGGCTTGGGTATGTGGCAGACCCTAGGGGTGTGTGTGGGCATGGGGTGGGTGGTCAGAGGCTTTCATGTTCTTCATGTTTGGGGTTGGGGGCAGGTGCCAGGTGGAGGCTTATCTATGACTCATAGGAGGAGGTGATATTTCTAACAATAGCCTTGAGGTAGTGAACTCCCCATCTCTGGGAGTGTGTAAATGGGAAGGGCACTTGTCAGAGGTGGTCTGGGGAGGGGGTGTCCCAACCCAAGGGTGCCTGGGGAGGGGCACAGATCACAGGAGGATGGGTTGACAGGATTAGAACTTAGTGGTCTGTTGGGAGTTATTCATGGGGAAGGTGGGTTTAGGGGGTCAGGATTGGGGTGTCTCAGGGCATGCATCACAGGAGGTGAGTTAGGTCAGCCTGTGGGGCGAGGTGCCCAGGAGTGGATGGGGCAGGCCCTGGAGGAAGGACAGGACAGAGCCGGCTGTAGCAGAGGCTTTACTGCCCCCACGCCCTCCCCAGCTCTGCCCTGGTCAGTAGCATTTGCGGTACACGATATAGGGACCCTGTTCCTCGTACTGCTCCCGCAGGACCCAGCAGGACTGGAAGGCGCGCAGGGAGGCCAGGATGGAGCCCCCGATCCATACGGAGAAATTCCTGGTGGGCTGGGCAGCCACCACCACGTGGGTCTCGGCTGGCAGAGCGCGCAGCAGCTCTGCCCGGAAGCGACCCTCGAAGCCGGTGAAGAGCGAGGACCCACCGCAGAGAAGCACGTTTTGGGCCAAGTCCGCGCGCATCTCCAGTGACAACTTGCGGAGACTCTGCTTGGCCATGGTGGAGAGGCCGACGGGTGACAGCCCCGGGACCTCTGGGGGGTTGAACAGCAGCTCCGGACACTGGAACAGCTCCTTGCCCAGGGTGACCGTGCGCCCATCGGGCAGCTTCAGAGTCCGCTTGTACTCCTGCTCCGGCCGGGCCTGCTCCTTCTGGAAGTCGGAGGCCACGTAGCAATAGTGGTGCTTAATGTTCTCCACTAGGTCCAGGTCCTGCTGTCCCAGGGGCAGGCCGGCCTGGAGCAGCATCTCCGCCAGGAAGGCGGTCAGGTTGTTGCCCGCCAGGTCCAGACGCTCCGTGGCGTGGAGCAGGTTGTAGCCCTGGAAGACGGGCACTGTGTAGGTGACCCCGTGTCCCGTGTCCACCACCAGCCCGCTGACACGACCGTGGGCGTAGACAGACAGCACCGACTGCGATGCCACGTACATGGCTGGGGAGCGCAGCGACTCGAAGGCCACCTCCACTAGCTTCTCGCGGTTGGTGGCCGGGCTGAAGGGTGGGTCGGAGAACAGCAGCGGGTGGTCGTGGGTGGCCACTCGGAGGTCGTGCTCCAGCAGGTGGCGCCAGATGAGCTCGGCGGCATCCCAGTCCACGACGATGCCGCTGCGCAGGGGTTGCACCAGCGTCAGCTCTGGGAGCACGCGGGCTGCCTCGCCGATGAACGTCTGCAGCCCGGACTGCCCCGAGGTGGCGGGTTTCTTGGGCTGGCAGCCCAGGATGGTGGCCACGGTGTAGGTGGGGCTGGCCTGCCCAGCAAAACCTACCTTACAGGTGCCTGTGCCCATGTCAATAACCACCGCGCCGGTCTTTGGTGGCAGCCTGTCGGCCACCATGCCGGGGGAGTCCCGCTGCAGGGGCTTGTTCACCACGTTGGGACTGGGGTTTGGGCCGGGCCTGGGGGCCTCCAGGGAGGACTGGGATTCCGAGGACTTGGGGCGACTTGCATCCATGGTTGCGGGACGCCAGGTGAGGGGGCTTTTCCTCTGGGGTTGGGGTTGCGGGGAGAAGAGGTTGAGGCCCGGCCAGTGGGGAGGGCAGGCAGACAGGGGGAGGGGTGGGCCCGCAATCTATGACGTCACGGTGCCCCTTCAGTCTTCTTAAGACATCACAATGCAGCCAAGAGGATGGGTCCCTGCCCAGCCCTGCCTGCCCAAAGGCTGTCATCTCTTCTCTGAAGAGCCAAATTTGGAGGAGGAGATGAGCATCTCAGAGCAGGGCCCTCTTAACACATTTCTGTCGGATGCGCTAGAAGCTAATACGATGGCACCTGGTTTTTGAGAAAAGACAAGCTTTTTGTTGCATGTCAACCCACTGGGAGCTAGGAATCCAGCACAAGTCTGTTTCTCAGCTGGCTTTAAGGCAGTAATTTTATTAGAAAAGTTCTGGGGCCGGGGGCTGTGGCTCACACCTGTAATCCCAGCACTTTGGGAGACCGAGGTGGGAGATCACCTGAGGTCAGGAGTTCGAGACCAGCCTGGCCAACATGGTGAAACCCGTCTCTACCAAAAAATACAAAAATTAGCCTGGCATGGTGGCGCATGCCTGTGGTCCCAGCTACTGGGGAGGCTGAGGCAGGAGAATCACTTGAACCCAGGAGGTGGAGGTTGAAGTGAACCAAGATCATGCCACCGCACTCCAGGCTGGGGGATGGAGTGAGACTCTGTCTCAAAAGAAAAAGAAAATAAAAGAAAAAAAATTAGCCAGGCATGGTGGCACATGCCTGTAGTCCCAGCTACTAGGGAGGCTGAGGCAGGAGAATCTCTTGAACCCGGGAGGTGGAGGTTGCAGCGAGCCAAGATCATGCTACTGCACTCCAGCCTGTATGACAGAGCGAGACTCATCTCAAAACAAACAAACAAACAAACAAAGAAACAAACAAAAAACCCTCATAAGTGGAAGGCATTTCAGCAAGTTGTTTCTTTTTTGATCTGCCATTCTGCAAGCTCAAACATTTCTTTGGGGCATGGTTTCACTAAAAACATGCAAAATTGGTTTCTCTAACTCTTTGGGCCACGCTTTCAGGAAGACCCAGGAATCCTCCTCTGGGTACCTCGCCATGAAGCTATTTACAGCCTAGTGGCAGAGAGCTTGCCACAGGCCTCCCTAGAATATTAGAATATTCCTCCTCAGAATATTAATTAGAAGGTGGGGCGGGCTAGCATGGCTTCCTGGTTTCCAAATGGAGACAGAGGCCAGCCTTGGTTGGGGATGGAGAGAGGCAGGGAGAGACAGGAACACCCCTGTCCTAGATTCTTTGCTTCCTCTGCTATATTCACTGCCTGAATCATTCTCCCTGTCCCATTCCTGCCAAGAAGGAATTTGCCTCTTCAAATCTCAGTCTGATGCCACCTCCTCCTGGAAGCCAACCCTGATTTCTACTCTGTACTCCAACTAGATGAGGGATGGGGGAAGTCTGCCTTCTCTCCAGGGGTTGTTACCTGCTTCCTCCTGGCAGGAGAGGGGCTCAGTGAGATACAAGAAGGGGTTTCAGTATAGATAAAAGGGGAGAGGGTGCATTTGGGAGGAAGGAATTATCTCAACAATAAATAGCAGGCTTCAAAATGCATTAGGAGAGTTGCTTCAAGACCATGGCTGTTTTTGGTGATATCAGATATCACCTGTTAGTTAAAGCAAATAAAAACGTTTTTCTTAGTGTATGTTCATGCATGTGGTGGTAGAAATCACCAGGAATAGTGCTAGTGAATGTCTTATGGGATATCTAAATGAAAGAGGTTTAATTTTCTAGTTGTGTCTAGATTTATTACTCTGCCAGAGTGTGGTTTATTGAGCATTTTAATTAATTATTGATTTACTGGTATGTGTGGTCTAATCCATGCTTTTGGAAATATTTACTCAGCAATTTATTGAGGGTCTGTTTTTTGGACTGTTCACAACAACCAGAAATACACTAAGTGATAACACTTTATTGTTTTCAATTTTTTTTTGAGACTGGGTCTTGCTATATTGTCCAGGCTGGAGTGTAGTGGTGCAATCACTGCTCACTGCAGCCTCCTTAACCTCGTGGTCTCAAGCAATCCTCCCACTTCAGCCTCCAAAGTAGCTGGGACTATAGGCATGTGCTACTATCTCCGGATAAGTTTTTAATTTTTTGTAGAAATGGGGTCTTGCTATGTTGCCCAGGCTGATCTTGAGCTCCTGGGCTCAAGTGATCCTCCTGTCTTAACCTCCCAAAGTGCTGGGATGACAGGGATTAGCCACCATGCCTGGCCTTTCTTCATTTTCTGATTTTAAAACATGGCAACTTCTTATGGCAACTTTATGACTTAGGAATGGGTACTATGTCTATTTTTTTGATGGAAAAGAAGCTCAGAGAGGTCAAGTGATTGTTCAAAGTCACAACTGGTATGAGACAGAGGCAGGAGTTGAGCCTACATCTTTGACTTACTTCAGTGGCTGACTGTGAGTCTGGGAAATTGTGAAATCTAAGATCCACCCAAAACAGCCAGGCATGGTGGCTCACATCTGTAGTCCGAGATACTAGGGATGCTGAGGTGGGAGGATCACCTGAGCCCAGGAGTTGGAGGCTGCAGTGAGCCAAGATCACACCACTGCACCCAGCCTGGGTGACAGAGCGAGACCCTGTCTCAAGGAACAAACAAACAAACAAACATACAAACAAACAAGAAAAACCCACTAAAAATAGAACAGAAACAAAGGTTGGGACTCTGTGAGCCTCCATTTCCTCTCTTCTTGGATAAAATGAGGATACCTTGTCTGGCACTTAATAGATGCTAGCTTCTGAGATACTGAAGCAACAATATAGGAAAATATCGTGATTATAGGCAACAAAGCCATGATGTGCCTAAGGCCACAGATCCGGGGCCAGGCTTCTGGAATTTAAGCCCTGACTCCTCTGCTTAATAGCTGAGGCAAACTACTAACTGTGACTCAGTATCCCCATTTGCAAAATGGGAGTAATAATAGTGCCACCTTCAAAGTGCAGCTATGAGGATGGGCAAGTTATTGTTTTCTAGTGTTTAGGTCAGTGGTTCACACATAGTAAGTGCTATGTGAGGGTTTGTTACATCAATGATAAGTACTGGCTGGACGCGGTGGCTCACGCCTGTAATCCCAGCACTTTGGGAGGCTGTGGTGGGTGGATCACCTGGAGGTCAGGAGTTGGAGATCAGTCTGACCAACATGGAGAAACCCCGTCTCTACTAAAAACACAAAAATTAGCTGGGCGTGGTGGCACATGCCTGTAATCCCGGCTACTCGGGAGGCTGAGGCAGGATAATTGCTTGAACCCGGGAGGCGGAGGTTGCAGTGAGCTGAGATCGCGCCACTGCACTCCAGCCTGGGCGACAGAGCGAGATTCTGTCTCAAAAAAAAAAAAACAAAAAACCAAAAAAACTTCCTAGGTCAGCCTGCTGTGCCTTTAGTGCCGAGAACCACTGATTTCTTGAGCAGTCTTGTCACAAACCCTGGAGAACAAAAAGGAATGCTGTATTCATCGTCTTTTTATTCTGTCCTTTCTAGGCAAAAGAAATGCTGTATTCACCGTCTTTTTATTCTGTTCTTTCGAGGCTGGGGCATTTTGGAGCCTTGCTGAGCCTGCAGAGACTGCTCCTCCTGACTACCCAACGCTTAGAGATAGTCAATAATTTGTTTGCAACTTCAGGTTTCCTGTGCAAACAAACAAATCCAGAGCCCATACTCCCCAGCCACCTCCTTGTCAGGCTCTTGCACTCCAGCCCACTCTCCTCTTGCCCCAGTCACCCCAGATAACCAGGAACAGCTCCCACACCCCAGAGCCTACTGAAATGATTCATATTAGCCAATTCTAAGCCTGCTCACCCTGCCTTGCCTGTTCCTTCCTGGGGAAACCACAATAAAATCTCTTGCCCACAGTTTCTCTCACTCCCTTTGCTTCCTGACCACCCATGGTGCTTTCCCCATGTCCCGCCCCCGCCACCCACCCCCCACGCACTGCCCCCGGCCCTATGGCATGGTGTGCCTCCTCCTCTTAGAAACTGTAGTAAGTTATCTTTCAATTGCAATCATCTCCCAATCTCTTGGCCTTGCCATATGTGCATAATAATAAAACCTACATTTAATTTTTTTTTTTTAAGACAGAGTCTCTCCCGTCACCCAGGCTGGAGTGCAGTGGCATGATCTCGGCTCACTGCAACTTCTGCATCCTGGATTCAAGCAATTCTCATGCCTCAGCCTCCCAAGTAGCTGAGATTACAGGCACCCGCCACCATGCCCAGCTAATTATCATATTTTTGGTAGAGATAGGATTTCTCCATGTTGGCCAGGCTGGTCTCGAACTCCTGACCTCAGGTGATCTGCCCACCTCAGCCCCCAAAGTGCTGGGATTACAGACACACGCCACCACGCCCAGCCTAAGTTTTGTATTTTTAGTAGAGACAGGGTTTCTCCATGTTGGCCAGGCTGGTCTCGAACTCCTGGCCTCAAGTGATCCACCTGCCTTGGCCTCCTAAAGTGCTGGGATTACAGGCATGAGCCACCGCACCCCGCCAAAACCTACATTTAAAACAGAAGGCTTCACTCATTCTTCTTACTTGAAATGCTCAGGGATGTTTAATTATCCAACACTTCTTGGATGTTCTTGGCAAACCTCCTTCCTTCATTCCTGCAGTTAATTAAAACCGAACCTAACAGTTTTTTCATGCTCTCCTGGGGCCAATTTTAGATATAGAGCACGTGACTCCCACTGCAATTAATTTTTTTCTCTGCAGTTGAAACGGGAGGCTGGAAGAGGATTTGAATGTAACGCCTTTATCCCTTGACAGTAGCTCAATACTGCTTGAGTGAAGATGGTGTTAGTGGGTTAAGCACTTGGAAACAGTTCTTATCTCAGACAGGCAACCAAAAGCCCCCGTCCTTTATGCCTTCCAGCTACTGTTTTGTCTAGGTTTACAAAAGTGATTTTAGGCCGGGCGCAGTGGCTCATGCCTGTAATCCCAGCATTTTGGGAGGCTGAGGCAGGCAGATCATTTGAGGTCAGGAGTTCGAGACCAGCCTGACCAACATGGTGAAACCCCCGTCTCTACTAAAAATACAAAAAAATTAGCTGGATGTGGTGGTGCCTGCCTGTAGTCCCAGCTACTCCAGAGGTTGAGGCAGGAGAATGGCTTGAACCCGGGAGGTGAAGGTTGCAGTGAGCTGAGATCGTGCCAGTGCACTACAGCCTGGGCAACAGAGTGAGACTCTGTCTCGAATAAAACACACACACACACACAAAACAAACAACAAAAAAAGCGATTTTATCCTGGTGTTCCCTGAAAGGGCTAAATATGCAAAGTGGGCCCCGAATGCTGAAAGACCTGAGAACCAAAGAATGAGGCAGACAAATCCAGTCTGTAGGTAAAGATTGTTTGATTGGGGGAAATTACAGACAGAAGTGTGGTCTTGCGCGGCTGCAAGACAGGTAGGTCTCTGCACTGTTACTCCTCAGACCCAAGGCTTATATACCATAGGGAAAGACTATATTTGCTCAAGCAAGACAAAGAAAGGCAGCCCTCCAAAAAAGGCAGGAGAACTACATGCATCATAACTTATAATTTGTGCTATAGTGACATCAAAGTTGACATGTTCTTACACTAAGGACAGTATTAAATAAAGTTCTGATGGGTGTCTCTCACTGAGTATGCTCATGGGTATGCCTTGGTGGGCTCAGAACAAGGTCAGGAAAGACATGTGACTTTTACTTTTGTGCAAAAAAACAGGATACGTAGGACTGTGCAATGCTGGAGGCTGTCTTCCCAGCCTACGGATCAAATACCTGGGAATTTCACTGTATCACTCTTTTTTTCTTTTTTTTTGTTTTTGAGATAGAGTCTCACTCTGTCACCCAGGCTGGAGTGCAGTGGCACCATCTTGGTTCACTGCAATGTCTGCCTCCCGGGTTCAAGCGATGATCATGCCTCAGCCTCCCGAGTAACTGGATTACAGGCACCTGCCAGCACGCCTGGCTAATTTTTGTATTTTTAGTAGAGAACGGGTTTCATCATGTTGACCAGGCTGGTCTCGAACTCCTGACCTCAGGTGATCCGCGCCCAGCCTTCATAGTATCTCTCAATCTTAAGTCCACAGCAGTGTGTATTTTGGGGAAAGGCAGGGATTCAGACGTGATACAGACAGTTCCACCCTCATGTGTGTGTCCTCCCATCACCTGTGTTCAGGTGTTATTGGTATCAGCAGTGAGTTTTGGATAGTTGTGTTGGTGAGAGACTGAATCTGTTTCCTCCCCAAAGCAGCATTCTCGGTTGGTGTGTGGAAGTTGCAGATACCAGGTGTGGAGACAAAAGTGATTCCATCTCGGATGATAATCTGCTGGGTTGACTTCTGATTAGCCTCAGTTCCATGAATGCCTCCTGCTCCCTACCTTATTTATTTATTTATTTTGAGAAGGAATCTTGCTCTTGTCACTCAGGCTGGAGTGCAATGGCACAATCCTGGCTCACTGCAACCTCCGCCTCCCGGGTTCAAGCGATTCTCCTGCCTCAGCCACCAGAGCAGCTGGGATTACAGGCGCCCGCCACCACATCTGGCTAATTTTTGTATTTTTAGTAGAGATGGGGTTTCGCCATGTTGGCCAGGCTGGTCTCAAACTCCTGGCCTCAAGTGATCCACCTGCCTCGGCTTCCCAAAGTGTTGGGATTACAGGCATGAGTCACCGTGCCCTGCCTCTACTTTATTTAATACTGTCTTTAGTGTAAGAACATGTCAACCTTGATGTCACTATAGCACAAATTATAAGCTATGACTCATGTAGTTCTCTTGCCTTTTTTGGAGGGCTGCCTTTTTTTGTCTTGCTTGAGCAGATATACCCTTTCTCTATGGTATATAAGCCTTGGGCCTGGGGAGTAACAGTGCAGAGATCTACCTGTCTTGTGGCCTCCCAAGACCATGCTTCTGTCTGTAATTTCCCCCAATCAAACAATCTTTACCTACAGACTGGATTTGTCTGCCTCATTCTTTGGTTCTCAGGTCTTTCAGCATTTGGGGTCCACTTTGCATATTTAGCCCTTTCAGGGAACACCAGGATAAAATCACTTTTGTTAGACACAGAAAAAATAGGGCCCGGAAGACACCAAGGAGGAGGGCTTGTGGTTGCATGTCTGAGATAAGAACTGTTTCCAAGAATTTCTAAAAACCCCACAAGAAATTTCTTCCTGTTCTTCACACATCACCTGCATTGCAGACTTGCATGTTTTACACGTGTGCTTATGTTTCTATGACAAGATTTATCACCAGGCATTCTTTAGGAGTGCAGTAATTCAGAGAAGGTGCTCTTGGAAGGACGTTTGCCCGGTAATAGCATCTCCACTAACGAACTGATGACAACTCTGGCTTTGAGCCTCTGGAACCAATGAACTCTGTTTCCAAGCAGTTTACAAGAACTTCTCCCTTTTTGCCTATAAGACCTTTCCTTTACCCTTCCCTCACTGGATGCACTCATGCTTTGCCATTTGGTGAATCCTGGATTAGAATCTTCTTTTCCTGCTCCTGAATAAATTCAACATATTTGGAGATAGTTTTCATGCATATATATGTATAGACATAACCTTGGTATATATATGTATAGACATAACCTTGGTATATATATGTATAGATATAACCTTGGTATATATATGTATAGATATAACCTTGGTATATATGTATAGATATAACCTTATTATCTATACATATATCTGAAAACTCTATATAAAATAAATTATATGTGAGAAACTATATATAACTGTATATATTATATTATATATTATATATAATGTATATAGTTCTGTATATATTGTATATATAATATATGTAGTTCTATATATAATATATAATATGTATTATAACATATATAATATGTATTATAACATATATTATGTATTATAACATATATTATATATTATAACATATATAATATACAATATATAATATATGTTATAATATATAATATATGTTATAATATATTATATATAATATATACAGAACTTTATATATTATATACAATATATAATATAATATACACAGTTATATATAGCTTCTCACATATATAACCATGTAACTATATATTATATATAATGTATTATATAATGTAATTATGTAATGTACATTATAATATATAGTACATATATAATGTAACTATATAATAATTATATATAATATATAGTTGCATGGTTATGTATGTGAGAAACTATATATATGTGAGAAACTATATATAATGTATATTATATATTATATATGATATAATAATTTTATATAATATAATATAATTTTATATTATATAATATATAAGATATATAATAATATATATAATTATATAATATATAATACATATAATTATATAATATATTTTTATATTATATAATATATAATACATATAATATATAATATATTTTATATTATATATTATATAATATATATAATATATTATATAATATATAATATATATAATATATTATATAATATATTATATAATATATTTTTATATTATATAATATATAATATAATATATAACATATATAATATATAATATATAACATATAACATATATAATATATAATATATAGTTCTAAATATAGTTGTATATAATATATAATATAATATATAGTTCTAAATATAATTACATATTATATATAATATATAGTATAATATATACAGTTATATATAGTTTCTCACATATAGTTTGTTTTATATAGAGTTTTCATATATATAGATAATAAGGTTATATCTATACATACATAACAAGGTTATATCTATACATATATATACATGAAAACTATCTCCAAATATGTTGAATATAGTTATATATAGTTTGTCACATATATATGAGAAACTATACATTATGTATAAATATATAGCTGTAAATATATCATATATGTTATGTAATATTATATATATTATTATATATTATGTTCTTATATATGTACATATAATATGATATATACAGTTACATATAATATATATGAGAAACTATATTACATTATATATAATATATAGTTACATGGTTATTTATATAGTTTCTCATATATAGTTTACTTTTATATATAGTTTTCATATACATGTTTAGATATAACCATTTATAGTTTCTTATATAAACTATGTATATATATAAGGTTATATCTATACATACATATATATATGCAAAAAGTATCTCCAAATATGTTGAATTTGTTCAGGAATGGAAAAAGAGGATTATAATCCAGCATGTCTATTTATATATCTTATATCTGTATATGAGAAACTATATATATATGTATATGAGAAAAATAATATATATTTATGTACATGAAACATGATATATATTTGAAATATGATACATGATATATATTTTTTATTATTATACTTCAAGTTCTAGGGTACATGTGCACAACGTGCAGGTTTGTTACATGTGTATACATGTGCCATGTTGGTGTGGTGCACCCATTAACTCGTCATTTATACCAGGTATATCTGCCAGTGCTATCCCTCTCCCCTTCCCCCACCCCATGACAGGCCCTGGTGTGTGGTGCTCCCCACCCTGTGTCCAAGTGTTCTCATTGTTCAGTTCCCACCTATGAGTGAGAACATGACGTGTTTGGTTTTCTGTCCTTGAGATAGTTTGCTCAGAATGATGGTTGCCAGCTTCATCCATGTCCCTACGAAGGACATGAACTCATCCTTTCTTATGGCTGCATAGTATTCCATGGTGTATATGTGCCACATTTTCTTAATCCAGTCTATCATTGATGGACATTTGGGTTGGTACCAAGTCTTTGCTATTGTGAATAGTGCCGCAATAAACATACGTGTGCATGTGTCTTTACAGCAGCATGATTTATAATCCTTTGGGTATATACCCAGCAATGGGATGGCTGGGTCAAATGGTATTTCTAGTTCTAGATCCTTGAGGAATCGCCACACTGACTTCCACAATGATTGAACTAGTTTACAGTCCCACCAACAGTGTAAAAGCGTTCCTATTTCTCCACATCCTCTCCAGACCCTGTTGTTTCCTGACTTTTTAATGATCGCCGTTCTAACTGGTGTGTGAGATGGTATCTCATTGTGGTTTTGATTTGCATTTCTCTGATGGCCAGTGATGATGAGCATTTTTTCATGTGTCTGTTGGCTGCATAAATGTATTCTTTTGAGAAGTGTCTGCTCATATCCTTTGCCCACTTTTTGATGGGGTTGTTTGTTTTTTTCTTGTAAATTCGTTTAAGTTCTTTGTAGCTTCTGGATATTAGCCCTTTGTCAGATGGGTACATTGCAAAAATTTTCTCCCATTCTGTAGGTTGCCTGTTCACTCTGATGGTAGTTTCTTTTGCTGTGCAGAAGCTGTTTAGTTTAATTAGATCCCATTTCTCAATTTTGGCTTTTGTTGCCATTGCTTTTGGTGTTTTAGTCATGAAGTCCTTGCCCATGCCTATGTCCTGAATGGTATTGCTTAGGTTTTCTTCTAGGGTTTTTATGGTTTTAGTTGTGACATTTAAGTCTTTACTCCATCTTGAATTAATTTTTGTGTAAGGAAGGGATCCAGTTTCAGCTTTCTACATATGGCTAGCCAGTTTATATATATATATCACTTTAATATAAATAATATATTTTATATACATGAAATATTATATATATTTGATATATGATACATGATATATATTTGATATGAGATTATTTACATATATGAGAAATGATATATATTTATATTTAATGTATAAGCTTATGTGTTTATATTTATATAACAATACAAATATATAGTATAAATATGTATTGAATATATTCTTAAATATAGTCTTATTTCTCATACATATGAGAAACTCTATCTATCTATCTATCTATCTATAAGGTTATATATATATATAAAGTTGCAAAGTGTTAAAGAACAGAGCATGGGGATCCATTCTTGGTTAGGTCATCGTCATGGAGAAATAACTGAATCACCTTGACCATTAGCCTTCTTTTGACCTCTTCTTTCACTAGAGTGTTAGGATTTGGGCATTGTTAGGTTATTCGGAGCCCTGGTTTGAATTCCTAAATCCCAGAATTGTGTTTCCCACTAAGCAGGGGTTGGACCATCTGTATACGGAGCCATTAACCACACACAACAGCCAGGGATGGTGAGAGAGCCCCAGCTTTCCTCACTCTGTTGAAGGAAGCATGTCTTGGAGTTGTTCATCTCTTCTGCACTTTTGCTTCTCTTTCCATGACTTGATATCTGCCTTTAATAGGTTCCTGCGCTTTCAGGTTAAATGCCCATTCCTTGGACTTAACCCAAGGATATATTGGCTGCTTTGGCCTGATGCTCAGCACTGCCAGGTATGAACAGCACCGTGGGTGACATTGGAAAGCAGCAGAGGCTTTCTCAGCCCTGAGATAAACTTCAGTTCTGACCTGCTCGGGAAAAGGCTATGAGATGCAGCGAAAGAGAAACATCTTCCTCAAAAGATAAGCTGAAGTTGGCCAGGTGCCGTGGCTCACGCCTGTAATCCCAGCACTTTGGGAGGCTAAGGCGGGCAGATCACCTGAGGTCAGGAGTTTGAGACTAGCCTGGCCAACATGGGGAAACCCCGTCTGTACTAAAAATACAAAAATAAGCCTGGCGTGATGACGCATGCCCATAGTCCCAGCTACTCAGGAGGCTGAGGCAGGAGAATCGCTCGAACCTGGGAGGTGGAGGTTGCAGTGAGCTGAGATCACGCCACTGCACTCCAGCCTGGGAGACAGAGCGAGACTCCGACTCAAAAAAAAAAAAAAAAGATAAGCTGAAGTCAAAACCACAGTGAGATGAGTTGCCACCTTATCCTCATTAGGATGTCTACTGTAAAAAACTCCCCCAAACCAAAAAAAACCACAAGTGTTGGCAAAGATGCGGAGAAATGGAAACCCTTGTGCATGTTGGTGGAAATAGAAAATGGTGCAAATATGATGGAAAACGTATGGTGGTTTCTCAAAAATTTAAAAATTGAATTACCATATGATCCAGCAATTTTACTTCTGGGCATATACCCAAAAGAATTGGAAGTAGGATCTTAAGGAGATGTTTGTATACCTATGTTCATAACAGCGTTATTCACAGTAGCCAAAATGTGGAAGAAACCCAAAAGTCCATTGATAGATAAAAGGATAAACAGGCGGGGCACAGTGGCTCACGCCTGTAATCCCAGCACTTTGAGAGGCCAAGGCGGGCAGATCACCTGAGGTCAGGAGTTCGAGACCAGCCTGGCCAACATGGTGAAACTCAGTCTGTACTAAAAATACAAAAATTAGCTGGGCATGGTGGTGGGCGCCTGTAATCCCAGCTACTTGGGAGGCTGAGGCAGGAGAATGGCTTGAACCCAGGAGATGGGGATTGCAGTGAGCCAAGATTGGCCGTTGCACTCCAGCCTGGGTGACAGAGTGAGACTTTCTCAAAAAAAAAAAAAAAAAAAAAAGGATAAAGAAATGTGCTATACTTATACAGTGAAATATTATTCAGCCTTAAAAAGGAAGGAAATTCTGCTCATGCAAAGCCATGAATAAATCTTGAGGACATCATGCAAAGTGAAATAAGCCAGTCACAAAAAGTCAAATACTGTAGGATTCCACTTATACGAGGTATCTACAGTGGTCAAACTCATAGAAACAGAAGGTTGAATAGCAGGTGCCAGAGGCTGGAGTTGCGGAGGTGAATAGGGAGTTATTTAACAGGTACAGAGTTTCAGTTTTGCAAGATGGAAAAGTTCCAGAGATTTGTGGCTCAACAACATAAGTATAGTTAACATTACTGAACTGTACATTTACAGGTGGTTATGATGGTAAATTTTATGTTTGTGTACTTTACTATTTGAAAAACAATCTGGGAAAGAAGAAAATGTTAACAGGCCAGAGGCAAGGTAGAAGTGGATTGCTTACAAGCCTCACAGATAATGACAGTAGCAGGGTACGGTGGTGTGCACCTGTAGTCCCAGCTACTCAGGAAGCTAAAGTTGAAGGACAGCTTGATTCCAGCAATTTGAATCCAGACTGGGCAACATAGCAAGACCCCATCTCTAAAAAAAGATAGTAATAATATCAAACACTGTTACAGCCTCAATGTTCCCAGTTACTTTCTAAGTGGGTTACAACTGTTAGCCCATTTAATCTTTATTCTCACATTACAGGGGAGGAAAACCAGGCACAGAGGTATTAAGCAGCTTGCCTGGAATCTAATAGCTTATGAAGAGTAGAATCAAATTTTCAACCCAAGAAGTCTGCTTCCAAGTCTTCATTCTTGCCAAGTATGCTACACTTCCAGATACACACAATTGCAACATAAACCAAGTTGAACATTAATGGATTCTTTAAACAAGGTCAGGTGAATCTGTCAGGAAGAGTGTCAGGTGGGAGAAACCAGGATGGTCTTCGCTGAGAAGGTGGCATTGCAGGTAGTCTTTGATGGCTGGCCCCATTTTGAAAGGTGCTGGCAATGGTGGGGTGGGCGAGTGGTAGAAGAAGAAGGTGTGAAGGAAGAGAAAGGAACTTTATTGTGTGTCGGTGATATTCAAGGCCCTTGAGGCTGTTATTTCTGCAAATATTTATGCTTTGGTGACACAATGGGGGTGTCCAAGATAAAAGACCTATAGTTTTCTTAAAGTATCTTTTTCTGGTTGTAGTGTCAGGGTAATTCTGGCTTTGTAAAATGAGTTTGGAAGTGTTCACTCCTCTCCATTTTGTTTTTTTAAATAAGAGTTTGAGAAGGACTGACATTAATTCTTCTGTACATTTGTTTGGTAGAATTCATCAATAAAGCCATTTGGTCCTGGGCTTTTCTTTCCTTTTTTTTGAGATGGAGTCTCGCTCTGTCGCCCTGGCTGGAGTGCAGTGGCGTGATCTTGGCTCACTGCAAGCTCCGCCTCCTGGGTTCATGCCATTCTCCTGCCTCAGCCTCCTGAGTAGCTGGGACTACAGGCGCCTGCCACCATGCCCGGCTAATTTTTTTTGTATTTTTGGTAGAGACGGGGTTTCACCGTTTTAGCCAGGATAGTCTCGATCTCTTGACTTTGTGATCCACCCGCCTCGGCCTCCCAAAGTGCTGGGATTACAGGCGTGAGCCACCGGGCCCGGCCAGGTCCTGGGCTTTTCTTGGTTATAAGGTTTTTGGTTACTGATTCAATATCCTTACTAGTCATATATCTATTCAGATTTTCTGCATCTTCATGATTCAGTCTTGGCAGGTCATGCATTTCTAGAAATGTATCAATTTCTTCTAGGTTATCTAATTTGTTGTTATATAATTGTTCATAGTAGTCTCTTATGACACTTTTTATTTCTGTGACCTCAGTTGTAATGTCTCTTCTTTCATTTCTGATTTTATTTATTTGCATCTTCTATCTTTTTTCTTAGGTAGTCTAGCCAAAGATTTGCCAGTTTTGTCCATCTTTTCAAAAAACAACTTTTAGTTTCATTAATTTTTCTATTGTTTTTCTGTTTTATTTATTTCTTTTTTTTTTTTTTTTTTTGAGACAGAGTCTCACTTTGTCACACAGGCTGGAGTACAGTGGCACAACCTTGCCTCACTGCAACCTCCGCCTCCTGGGTTCAAACCATTCTTCTGCCTCAGCCTCCCGAGCAACTGGCATTACAGGTGCCTGCCACCACGCCTGGCTAATTTTTGTATTTTTAGTAGAGACGGGGTTTTTCCATGGTGGTCAGGCTGGTCTTGAACTCCTGACCTCAGGTGATCTGCCTGCCTCGACCTCCCAAAGTGCTGGGATTACAGGCGTCAGCCACCATGCTCTTCCAAATTTTTTTTTTTAAAACCCTGGGCCGCACAACATGAGGATGAACTGAGAGCGGCGGCCGTGCCTCCAGCCATCTCTGGCTGCGTATCTAATTTATTTCTGCTCCAATCTCCGTTATTTCCTTTCTTCTGCTAACTTTTGGCTTGTTTTTCTTTTTCTAGTTCTAGTTCCTTGAGGCTTAAAGTTAGGTCATTTATTTGAGATTTTCCCTCATTTTTAATGTAGTAATTTATCACTCTAAACTTCCCTCTTCGTCTGCTTTTGTCGTATCCCATAAATTTTAGTATTTTGTGTTTTCATTTTCATTGTCTCAAGATATTTTCTATTTTCCCTTTTGATTTATTCTTTTTTGAGATGGAGTTTCGCTCTTGTCGCCCAGGCTGGAGTGCAGTGGCATGATCTCGGCTCACTGCAACCTCCCTCTCCTGGGTTCAAGCGATTCTTATGCCCCATCCTCCCAAGTAGTTGGGACTACAGGCACCTGCCACCACACCCAGCTAACTTTTTTTTGTATTTAGTAGAGACGTGGTTTCACCATGTTGGTCAGGCTGGTCTCGAACTCCTGACCTCAGGTGATCCACCCACCTCAGCCTCCCAAAGTGCTGGGATTACAGGCGTGAGCCACCTCACTGGGCCCTTTTTGATTTATTCTTTGACCCATTGGTTGTTCGAAGGCATATTGTTTAACTTCCACATATTTGTGAAATGTTCAGTTTTCTTTCTGCTACTGACTTCTAGTTTCATTGCATTGAGATTGCAAAGGATACTTGACAACGATTTCCACCTTCTTAAATGTGTTACGTTGTGTTTTGTGAGATAACGTGTGATCTATGCTGGAGAACGTCTCACATGTACCTAAGAAGAACGTGTATCCTGCTATTGTTGGAGAGAATGTTCTGTATATGTCTGTTAGGTCCATTTGCTCTTTAGTATCGTTCAAGTGCTTTGTTTCCATATTGATCTTTTGTCTGAATGTTCTATCCATTATTGAAGATGGAATGCTGAAATTCCCTACTCTTATTGTGTTGCTTTCTATTTATCTTTTCAGTTCTGTCAATGTTTGCTTCATATATTTGGGTGGTCTGGTGCTGAGTGTGTATATATTTATACGTATTATATCTTCTTGGATGAGATGATGCTTTTATCATTATACAATGTCCTTGATTTTTGATTTAAAGTCTATTTTGTCTGATGCAAGTATGGCTATCTTTGCTGTGTTTTGGTTACCGTTTGCATGGAATATTTTTTTTCTATCCTTTCATTTTCAGCCTATTGTGTTTCTTTAAAGCTAAAGTGGGTCTCTTGTAGACAGCAATACTTGAGTCTTAAAAAATATGCTCAGCTACTGTATGTCTTTTGGTTGAAGAGTTTAATCCATTTACATTTAAAGTAACTATTGATAGGGAAGGACTAGGGCAATTTTGTTCATTGTTTTCTGTCTTGTAGTTTTTCATCTCTTTTCCTCTCTTGCTATCTTTCTTTGTATTTCATTGATTTTTTTTTATGGTGACATGTTTTGATTTTTTTTCTCATTTTCTTTTGTGTATCTACTATAAGTATTTTCTTTGTGGCTAAAATGAAACTCCTATAAATATATTTATAACAATCTATTTTAAACTGATAACTTCAATCACATATAAAAACTCTACACTTTTACTCCCCCTAGATTTTGTTATTGATGTTAAAAATTCAGTCTTTTCTATATTGCATATTCATTAATATATTTTTGAAGTTATAGTTTTTAAAAATATTTTTGTCTTAAAACTTCTATGCCAGAATGAATAGTGATTTAAACACTACTATTGTAGCATTTTCACCTGATGGACTCTTTCAGCATTTCTTGTAAGGCAGAACTAGTGGTAATGAACTCCCTCAGCTTTTGATTATATAGAAAAGTCTTTATTCAGTTATGAAGGGTAGCTTTGCCAGATATAAGATTCTTGGTTGGCATTTTTTCTTTTAATCCTTTGACTATATCATCTTACTCCCTTCTGGGCTGCAAGATTTCTGCAGAGAAATCCTCTAATAGTTTTATGCAGGTTCCCTTGTATGAAATGAGTTGCCTTTCTCTCACTGCTTTCAAAAATCTCTTGGTCTTTAGCTTTTGATAATTTGATTATGTGTCTTGGTGTGGATTTCTTTGGGTTTATCCTAGTTGAAGTCTATTAGGCTACTTGGATCTGGATGTCCATTTCCTGTCTCAGGTTTGGAAGGTTTTTAGCCATTATTTCTTTAAAGAAACTATCTGCTATTTTTCTCTCTTTTTTCTAATAATCTCATGATGTGTATATTGTTCGGCTTGACAGTGTCACATAAGTCCCTTAAGGTTTCTTCACTCTCTTTCATTTTTTTTTCTTTTTGTTCCTCTGATTGGATATGTTCAAATGACCTGATTATTTCTTCTGCTTGATCAAATCTACTATTGAACCCCTCTATTGAATTTTTTAGTTCAGTTACTATATTCTTTAGCACCATAAATACTATTTGGTTGAAAACTGTTTAAATCTCTTTATTGATATTTTAATTTTGTTCATGCATCATTTTCTTGAGCTCATAGAACACCTTTATGATGGTTATTTTGAACTCTTTTTCAGGTAATTTACCTCAATTATTTAGAATCCGTTTCTGGAGATTTAGTTTCCTTTTTGGGGAACCATCTTTCCTTTTTTTAATTTTATCTTATTATTATTACACTTTTAAGTTTTAGGGTACATGTGCACAATGTGCAGGTTTGTTACATATGTATACATGTGTCATGTTGGTGTGCTGCACCCATTAACTCGTCATTTAGCATTAGGTATATCTCCTAATGCTATCCCTCCCCACTCCCCCCACCCCACAACAGTCCCCAAAGTGTGATGTTCCCCTTCCTGTGTCCATGTGTTCTCATTGTTCAATTCCCACCTATGGGTGAGAACATGCGGTGTTTGGTTTTTTGTCCTTGCTATAGTTTGCTGAGAATGATGGTTTCCAGTTTCATCCATGTCCCTACAAAGGACAGGAACTCTTCATTTTTGGTGGCTGCACAGTATTCCACGCTGTATATGTGCCACATTTTCTTAATCCAGTCTATCGTTGTTGGACATTTGGGTTGGTTCCAAGTCTTTGCTATTGTGAATAGTGCCGCAATAAACATACATGTGCATGTGTCTTTATAGCAGCATGATTTATAATCCTTCGGGTATATACCCAGTAATGGGATGGCTGGGTCAAATGGTATTTCTAGTTCTAGATCCCTGAGGAATCGCCACACTGACTTCCACAATGGTTGAACTAGTTTACAGTCCCACCAACAGTGTAAAAGTGTTCCTATTTCTCCACATCCTCTTCAGCACCTGTTGTTTCCTGACTTTTTAATGATCGCCATTCTAACTGGCGTGAGATGGTATCTCATTGTGGTTTTTATTTGCATTTCTCTGATGGCCAGCGACGATGAGCATTTTTTCATGTGTTTTTTGGCTGCATAAATGTCTTCTTTTGAGAAGTGTCTGCTCATATCCTTTGCCCACTTTTTGATGGGGTTGTTTGTTTTTTTCTTGTAAATTTGTTTGAGTTCATTGTAGATTCTGGATATTAGCCCTTTGTCAGATGAGTAGGTTGTGAAAATTTTCTCCCATTTTGTAGGTTGCCTGTTCACTCTGATGGTAGTTTCTTTTGCTGTGCAGAAGCTCTTTAGTTTAATTAGATCCCATTTCTCAATTTTGGCTTTTGTTGCCATTGCTTTTGGTGTTTTAGACATGAAGTCCTTGCCCATGCCTATGTCCTGAATGTTATCAAGCTACCTGACTTCAAACTATACTACAAGGCTACAGTAACCAAAACAGCATGGTACTGGTACCAAAACAGAGATATAGATCAATGGAACAGAACAGAGCCCTCAGAAATAATGCCGCATATCTACAACCATCTGATCTTTGACAAACCTGACAAAAACAAGCAACGGGGAAAGGATTCCCTATTTAATAAATGGTGCTGGGAAAACTGGCTAGCCATATGTAGAAAGCTGAAACTGGATCCCTTCCTTACACCTTATACAAAAATTAATTCAAGGTGGATTAAAGACTTACATGTTAGACCTAAAACCATAAAAACCCTAGAAGAAAACCTAGGCATCTTTCCTTTTTTATTTGTGTTTCCTGACACCATGCATTTGAGAAAACTATGTCTTATAGTCTTTACAGGCTGGCTTCTTACAGACAGAGCGAGAACTTCACCAATCAATCTGACTGTCTGTAGTCTGGGGGCCTTTCAAGCCCTTTCTGTGGATGCGTCTTCTCTAGATGTGTGTGTGTGTAAATTCTCAATGAAAGGTCACAAAGATCATACATTGTATGATGCTGTTTGCATGAAATATCCAGAATAGGTAAATTTATACTTAGAGAAATCAGACTGATGGTTGCCAGAGGCTGAGAGGGAAGGAACGGGGAGTGAATGCTTAATGGATACAGAGGTTTCTTTGGTGATAAAAATGTTTTCATTTTTATCTAGAAGCTAGATAGAGTTGATGATTGTACAACATAGTGAATGTACTAAATGCCACTGAATTATACACTTTAAAATAGCTAATTTTTATGTTACGCATATTTCCTTATTATTAATTTATTTATTTTGAGATGGAGTCTCACTCTGTCGCCCAGGCTGGAGTGCAGTGGTGCAATCTTGGCTCACTGCAACCTCCGCCTCCTGGGTTCAAGCGATTCTCCTGCCTCAGCCTCCCAAGTAGCTGGGATTACAGGCACCCACCATCATGCCAGGCTAATTTTTGTATTTTTGTAGAGAAGGGGTTTCACCATGTTGGCCAGGCTGGTCTTGAACTCCTGACCTCAGGTGATTTGCCTGCCTTGGCCTCCCAAAGTGCTGGGATTACAGGTGTGAGCCACCATGCCCAGCCTGTGAATTTCATCTGAATAAAATAATGTGTGCGTTTATACGTATATAAAGAGATAAAACAATGGGCAAAAGATTAACAATTGTTGGAGGGTATATGGGTGTTCATTCAACTCTTCTTTTAGTCTAAAATATTTTAAGTAAAAGTTAGAAAAACGGAGAGAATACTTGGTGTTTAATTTTTTAGCCATTTCCATCATTTTCAGTTTATCTCTTCTGAAGGCAAAAAGTGATAGCTTATAAATTGTATAATGTCAGCATAAAAGATGAAATTAAGTCAATTCTAAAAAAAAAAACAACTAAAAGTGAGTAATTTTAAAAATATAGGTATCTTTCTGGTTAAGTTTTTCCAGTAGAATGCCAAATCTCTCGGTGTTAATGCACAAAGTTTATAAAATGTGTGTTTCTTTGAATATAATGTTCTCTGGCCTATGGTTTTATGGGAAACGTTTATATTTACATCTAAATAAATACAAGATTGTTTTTTGAGAGAGAGTCTCACTCTGTCACCTGGGCTGGAGGCAGCAATCATAGCTCACTGCAATCTTAAACTCCTGGGCTCAAGCAATCTTTGCCTCCCAATAAATACAAGATTTTACGTAAAATGACATGAAGAAAAAGTGTCCCAAGTGATAACAAAAGAGAGTGTGTGTCTCAGATATTGCTGGTCCTAAGACATGTTATCATAATGTCACACTCAGTGTGAAGCATTCTTTTTTTTTTTGAGTTGGAGTCTCCCTCTGTCACCCAGCCTGGAGCGCAGTGGCGTGATCTTAGCTCACTGCAACTTTTTTGTCCCAAGTTCAAGCGATTCTCCTGTCTCAGCCTCCCGAGTAGCTGGGATTACAGGTGCACACCACCACACCCAGCTAATTTTTGTATTTTTAGTAGAGACAGGGTTTCACCATGTTGGCCAGGCTGGTCTCGAACTTTTGACTTCAAATGATCCACCCTGCCTTGGCCTCCCAAAGTGCTGGGATTGCAGGGGTGAGCCACCACTCCTGGCCCAGTGTGAAGCATTCTATACTGTTGTGCTCTTGTCCTGAGTTTATTTCCCCAAGGCTTTCTATATTTTGGCAAAAGCAAAGGTTAATGTTCTGCAATGAGTTTCCCAAAAGCTGAGAGAGTGAAAGAAAATCTTGGAAAAGGAAGCCATGAAGAGAAATATGACCTCATATCAAACTAACCATTTCATTTTTTTGGTTAACAGGAAGCAGTATTTTAAATATTTCATATCCTAACATGACAGTTTGTTACTGATTACTGATACACAAGCCTTTTACTAGTTTCAGCTATATTCCAGGAAATTATTTGAGACTTTTGGGTTGAGGTACAATACAGCCTTTTCACATTTGAAATAATGGAATATAGAGTCCCAGTGGACAATTTTGTGAGCATCTGCTTTTCAGAAACGTATAATTGACATTAAGCAGGAGTTACCTCTATCAAGACAATGAATGTGGATGGCACACAGCAATGGCAAAAAATGGAGCTGGAATTCAGAGGATTAATATTAATCCTTTATTACTAATAATAATTTATTAATATTTGAGGCACATGTCGAGAGTATTAACATGTTTTCTCTGTCATGTTTTCTCTTCCCTTGTTCTTTATAATGACATGGTGTAGTCAAAAACAATTTTCATGGTTTGTTCTATATATTTCTATACCCTTTCATCCATCATCAATTCATCCTCCACCCCTCCATCCCTTCACTCATTCCTCTACCTATCCATCCATCCATCCATCATCCATCCCTCTAACCATTTATCTATCCATCCATCCATCCATCCATCCATCCATCCATTTATCCATCCATCCATCCATCCATCCATCCATCCATCCATCCATTTATCCATCCATCCATCCATCCATCCATCCATCCATCCATCCATTTATCCATCCATCCATCCATCCATCCATCCATCCATCCATCCATCCATTCATTTATCCATCCATCCATCCATCCATCCATCCATTTATCCATCCATCCATCCATCCATCCATCCATCCATCCATCCATCCATCCATTCATTTATCCATCCATCCATCCATCCATCCATCCATCCATCCATCCATCCATCATTGGTGCCAGTCAATTTGTGCTAGGTGTTGAGCATCCAAATCCCACTGCTCATTTCTCCATATCTTGATTTCTTTTTCTAAACTCCTGTCTGTTTCAGCCCTTCCTATTTAGTAAACATTAATGTGTCCATGTCCCTTGGTCACCAGTTATACAAAAATGAATAATTGCAGGCTCTTGCCATTGAGGAACTCATGGTCTATGGCAGTGCCACTCAAATTGTGGTCCATGAACTGTTACTGACCCTTGTGAAGAAATTAATCTTGGACTAAAGCAATTCTTTAACCTCAGCCTCCCAAGTATCTGGGAATATGGGACTACAGGTGTGTGCCACCATGCCCAGCTAATCTTTAAAAAATGTTTTTGTAGAGGCAGGGTCTCTCTATGATCTATCTGTCTCTGGACCATTGCTTTGCCTGAGTCTTGGAAGCCCCTCAAGGATGGAACTCAGTGGAAGAAATGTCCTGACCAGGGAATCTGCCTCTTGGCTGTGCCACCACCATCACTGCCCCAGTATTTAATGCAGAAAAAAATCTCCTGGACATCAGATTTCCTTTGGAACATGAGGGTCCCTTTGTAGTAATGGATTCCCTCATCTCCTTTCTCTTCTTAGATCCAAGCAAAAGGACTTGGGTATCTGCCATATCCAATTATCTGCATCAGTGTTGCCCATTTTCCCCATGGTTAATTGAGAGATGAGTAAATGTTTTTCCACAATCCTCCAGGGACAATCCAAGTATCATGGGCTCTAGGCTCCCACTGAAACTATTTTTTTTTCCTAACAGAAAGGGAGACCCAGAGGGGTTCTGATGCAAAAGCTGTCCCTGGAGCCTCGATCCCCAGACAAGGATGTCTATCTTTGCATAGACCAAGGTGGCACTGATTAAACCCAAGATGCTGGAGCCTGGGGAGGTTTTTTTCAGGAGCTGTCTTGCAATGAAGGGAGTTGACATGCTCATGGGGCATTGAGAGGGATCCATCACTCTGTCTGCACACAGACCTTGGTGACTGGGGGTGAGAGTTTGGAACCCAGCCTTGTGGAGATCTTGGGGGTCTGGGCATAATTTAGAGACTAGTATTAGTGGCAAGATGGGCCCCCAGAACTGCTGGTATTGTGTTTCACAAGCTCATTGGGTTGAGCTTGTACAGGTATTTGGATGGAAAGATGAATTTTTGTCTACCTCTTGGACATTTGCCAACCTGCACGCTGGATGCATCTTACCTTGTCTGTTATTGCTGCTGTGAATCCAAGCAGGCTGGACCTCTAGATAGCAGAAGGTCACCCATGTTGACGTTCATTCCAAACCTTCCATAAAATGTGCTGGAAGCAGCAAGGGGTGGGCACCTCACCTTGGCCATGGGGCCGGGACTAGAACAACCCATCTGGCATGGGCTGGAAGCACCTTCAGCTCACTTTCTGGAGACTGTGACCATCCTACAACAGTGATGCTCTGGAGGAATTCTCAGCTCAGAATTCCAGGGAAGATGAGTTGAGTGTTAAGTCCAAGAAAGAGACAGTGTCCAGAATAGAGACAGCTCAGGATCTGAAATCAAACTGGGTTCAAATCCCAGTCTACCCTCTTCTTAGCTGTGTGACTTTAGGTAAGTCACTTACCCTCTCTGAGTCCATTTGTCTTTAACTTTAGTTCCAACAATCATTATTTCCCTTGCAGGACGTATTCATTTAACAACTATTTACTGAGCAGGCTCTGCTGTGGATCCTTGAGATGTGAGAATGTGAGAAATAAATAAATAATATAAGTGAATTAAATTATTTTATTAAGTAAATTATATTATATATTAAATTAAATAATATAAGTGAATATAATATAAGAGAATGTGAGAATTTAATAAATAATATAAGTGACAGTTTGTCCTGCAAACTGTCATGTGATCATTTGGCTACTAAAGTGACCAAGAGTCCAGATCATGCCTGGTCATAACGGACTGATGTGAGTTTTATTGGCAACAAGAAGATAAATAATGTAGCTCCTTTCTTCTGGTCACTCAGTGTCAGCAAAGGGACCACTCTAGACCCACATTTTGGCATCCCTGAGGAAAACGGGAAAGGGACAGGTAAAACCACAACTTTAAAACTTTTCAAAGGGACTCTCCTCCCACCCAAAGAAGGACTGATTTAGGAATCACTGTGAGATGTTCCAGCCCAGATTAGAGTAAGTCATGGCTACTTTTTCCAGCTCTGCCTGTCTGACTGTGGGGCAGCAGGTGAGAGAGGTTGGATGGGTGGAACATTTTTTTCTGAAAGAGATTTCAGTGGGAAACAGTGTGCCAAAAGCTCAGGACATAATCCCAGCACTTTGTGAGGCCAAGATGGGGAGGTATTATTTAAAACTGGGATTAAGGGACCAGCCTGGGAAACATAGCAAGACCGCATCTCTACAAAAAAATTAAAAAATAAAAATTAGTCAGGTGTGGTGGTGCACACCTGGAGTCCCAGCTACTCGGGAGGCTGAGGCAAGAAGATGGCTTGAGCCCAGGAGTTGAAGGCTGCAGTGAGCTATGATTGTGCTACTGTACTCCAGCCTGGGTGACAGAGTGAGGCTCTGTTCCCTCTACCAAAAAAAGCTCAGGACACAAAGGCATTACAATGGAATTAGAGGAACTGCTAGAGATCCCCAAAACCAGGGGTTTTTATTTTTTTCAGATGCATCAAAGACAGTGGGACCACCTGGGCACCCTGAAAGGAAAGGTGAGTTTGGGGGCACACAGGAGTGTTGCCTGGGTTTCTGCCTGCAATCATGTTTTATGTCTTACTCTTGGGTGGATTCTGTTATCCACCAGTCCATACAGTCCGGATGCTCTATTACTTCTGCCTGGAATAAACTTCCCTCCTCTAGCTCTCTGGAAACCTTCCCTCCTCTACCTGACCTTCAAAACTTCCATGCCTCCTTCTCTGTGAAGCCTTCCCTGATCCCATCCCAGGCAGAGTTTCATCCCCTGGGTACCCAAATCATCATGCATGTATTTTTATTACATTGCTCATCAGACTATGCTGAAATGAGTTGCACAATGTTCATGTTCTCTCTCAAACTCTAAATTCTATAACTGCAGGGCTAAATTATCTGACTCCCGTACATCTTTGGTTGACTCTGGAAAATGCCACCAATGAGGCACTCCATTTCATTTTTGGTTGGATTTTACACATACAGTGCGTGTGTGTGTGTGTGTGTCACCAGATAAGGGTCTGTGAAAACAGAAGAAGAATTACAGAAACCAGTGGTGGGGCGATGACACTGTTCTAGACCCAAATGTCAACCTGTGTGGTTTCTTCCCAAGAGTGCTCTGCAGTTTCAAGGCAGGTCCTGCAGAGTTGTTGGTGCAGAAGCCTTCCCCACCATCCCAAAGGGCCACAATGCCTGAAACCAGGGGAAATGCCAGTCCTAGAACAGTTCTAGGGTGGACCATTGGCCCTGAGGGTTGGCAAGTGTGGCTTCTCTACCAGACCAGGGTGGGACATGATCACCCATTAGCCAGAAATCATAACTTAGTGGTGAAGGGGAGTCTGTTTGTGTGTGTGTGTGTGTGTGTGTGTGTGTGTGTGTGTGTGTGTATGTGTGTGTGTGTGTGTGAAGCAAATCTTGAATATCTATTACAGTGTTTGGAGATGTGTGAAATGCCGATGCAAGAACAAGGACTTTGGAATTAAATCTCATTTTGTTAGAATCTTGACTTGGTTACCTTCTTGCTGGTTCATCCTGGACAAGGCACTGCACTTCTCAGATCTCTGTCTTCTCATCCCCAAAATTCATAGAGGTATTAATACCTATGGTCATTTTTTTTTAATTGAGAGAGGGTCTCACTCTGTGTTCTGTTGCCCAGGCTGGAGTGCAGTGGTGTGATCACAGCTCACTGCAGCTTCCACCTCCTGGGCTCAAGTGAGCCTCCCACCTTAGCCTCCCAAGTAGCCGGGACTATAAGCATGTGCCACCATGCCTGGCTAATTTTTCTATTTCTTGTAGAGTCGGGATCTTGCCATGTTGCTCAGGCTAGTCCCAAACTCCTGGGCTGGTCCCAGCCTCCCAAAGTGCTGAGATTACAGATGTGAAACACCACACCCAGCCTAATAGTGTGGTTATTGTTATTGTCATTGTCATCAAGGGCTTGCTGAATATTTCTATAACAGCTTCCCCAGCCACCTCCATTCCCACCATCCTCACTTCTCTTCCCAAAAACTTAGATTTGCATTTCATTCTTTCATTTTTTCCATTTTCGGGGCTCAGGGGTTGATGAAAGACAGATGCTCGACCACCTTCAATTATCCACCGACAGACTTCTCTTCATTACTGAGAATGGGGTACAAAAAGTGTGTCCTTGGGTAGGAGGTGATAGGCTTAGAGGAGCTGCCCAGCTCTCAGAAAGCTCTCCTTGCTTCCAAAACACAGCTGGAGGAGTGGGTGTGAAAACTATTGCCTGGGCTTCTGCCTGCAAGCCTATTTTATGTCTTACTCCTGGGTGCATTTTCTTAACCACCAGTCCATAGAGTCCAGATACTGTATTATTTCTGTCTGGAACAACCTTCCCTCTTCTAGCTCTCTGGAAAATTCCTACCTGACCTTCAAAACTCAGCTCCAATGCCTCCTTCTCTGTGAAGGCTTCCCAGATCCCATCCCAGGCAGAGTTTCATCTCCTGGGTACCAAAAATCATCATGCATGTATTTTTATTAAATTGCTCATCAGACTATGCTGAAATGAGTTCAACAATGCTCATGTTCCCTGTCAAACTCTAACTCTAAATTCTATAACTGCAGGGCTAAATTGTCTAACTCCCATACATCTTTGTTTTTCTTTTAATTTTTTTTGTGTTGGAGTCTCGCTCTGTTGTCCAGGCCGGAATACAGTGGAATGATCTCGGCTCACTGCAACCTCTGCCTCCTGGGTTTAAGCAATTCTCCTGCCTCAGCCTTCTGAGTAGCTGGGATTACAGGTGCCCGCCACCACACCTGGCTAATTTTTGTATTTTTTGTAGAGACAGGGTTTCACCTTGTTGGCTGGGCTGGTCTTGAACTCCCATCCTCAAATGATCTGCCCGCCTCAGCCTCCCAAAGCATTGGGATTACAGGCGTGAGCCACTACGCCCAGCCAAACTCCCATACATCTTTGATTGACTCTGGAAAAATGCTACCAATGAGGCACTCCATTCCATTTTTGGTTAGATTTCACTGTTAGAAAGTTCTTTGCTAGGTTGAACCACACAGCTGCCCTCATTAACATCCACCTTCCAGTAGTATAAAGCAGGCAATTCTACTCTTCCCCTCATGAAGGTCATCAGATAGCAAGGTCAGTGTATTAGTCTATTCTTGCATTGCTTTAAAGAACTATCTGAGATGATTGGGTAATTTATAAAGAAAATATGTTTCACTGGCGATGGTTCTGTAGGCTGTACAGGACGTATAATGACTTCTGCTTCTGGGGAGGTCTCAGGGAACTTACAATCATGGTGGAAGATGAGGGAGAAGCAGATGTCTTACATGGCAGGAGTAGAGGCAGAGGGAGGTGCTACACACTTTTTTTTGGTGGGTGGAGGAGACGGAGTCTCACTCTGTGCCCAGGCTGGAATGCAGTGGCACGGTCTCGGCTCACTGCAGCCTCCGCCTCCTGGGTTCAAGTGATTCTCCTGCCTCAGCCTCCCGAGTAGCTGGGATTACAGTCACCTGCCACCACACCTGGCTAATTTTTTGTATTTTTAGTAGAGACAGGGTTTCACCGTGTTGACCAGGCTGGTTGCAAACTCCTGACCTCGTGATCGGCCCGCCTTGGCCTCCCAAAGTGCTGGGACTACAGTTGTGAGCCATCATGCCTGGCTGGTGCTACACACTTTTAATGACCAGATCTCGCAAGAACTCACTCACTATCATGACCAAGGGGGATGGTACTAAACCATTCATGAGAAGCCACCTCCATGATCCAATCACCTCCCAGCAGGCCCCACCTCCAACATTAAGGATTACAATTCAACATGAGATGTGGGTGGGGACACAGGTCCAAACCATACCAGGCAGCTCTCACCTGTCTCAAGAGGCTTCCCTGACCACGTCTTGTAGTGTCCTTAGCTATTACCTACAGGGCATCCTGACCACTTCACCCCTGCACTTCCCCCTATCACAAAGGTCTTGTGCATTTATCTTCTTGTTGGTCATTGGTCTCCTGATGGAGATGGTGGAGTCCAGAGAACCGGGGATCTTGCCTGGATGATTCACCTCTGAATGTTTTATGCCCATTCTAGGGCATGACACATTTTGTTGAATGCATGGATGAATGGTAGAGAGGAGCTTGGATGGAATGAGAAAAATCAGGATGGCGTATAACTAAAGACAGCCTTGCAGGCCATCATCTGAGTGAGGAATAATTCCACAGGCAGCCTCATGACAAAGAGCTCCAGGGAGGCCTTCAGTAGAATCTACTTGCTCTTAAATGATCAGTCTTGCTGCTTTTTTCTTTTTTTTTAAATTTAACCCCATGCACTCTTTTATTTATTTATCTTTTTCTTAAAATTCCATTTTCCTTTTGAAACAGGGTCTCGCTCAGTCTCCCAGGCTGAAGTACAATGGGGTGATCATGCAGCCTCAGCCTGCTGGGCTCAAGCAATCCTCTTGCCTCAGTCTCCCAAGTACCTGGGATGACAGGCTTGTATCACCCCGCCCAGCTAACTTTTGTAATTTTTTTGTAGAGATGGAGGCACCCTATGTTGCCCAGGCTGGTCTCAAACTCCTGGGTGCAAGCGATCTTCCCACTGCAGCCTCCCAAAGTGCTGGGATTACAGACGTGAGTCAGTGCAGCCGGCCTCCATTGCACTCTTAGTAATGCCATGAAGCAGCCACTTTGGGCAGCTTTTTGTGTTGTCTGAGAGACACTCTTCCTCAGCCCCTGGTCACCTCTGTTGAAAACTCTTCCTGGCTGTCTGGCATGCTGGGAATCAGCTCTATTTGTTTTGCCCTGAAGATGTGTTTTATTCATAACTCACTCTGACTCCTTAGAAAACAATTCAATAAAAACTCAGACGAGTTAATGGGTGCAGCACACCAACATGGCGCATGTATACATATGTAACAAACCTGCACGTTGTGCACATGTACCCTAAAACTTAAAGTATAATAATAATAATAAAAAAAAACAACTCAGTTGAGGACGGGCACAGTGGCTCACGCCTGTAATCCCAGCACTTTGGGAGGCCAAGGCGAGCTGATCACTTGAGGTCAGGAGTTTGAGACCAGCCTGGCCAACATGGTGAAACCCTGTCTCTACTAAAAATACAAAAATTAGCTGATTGTGATGGCATGTGCCTGTAATCCAAGCTACTTGGGAGGCTGAGGCAGGAGAATTGCTTGAACCGGGGAGGCGGAAGTTGCAGTGAGCCAGGATCACGCCACTGTACTCCCGCCTGGGTCACAGAGCAAGACTCTGTCTCAACCAAAACAAAACCAAACCAAACAAAAAGAAAACACCTCAATTGGGTTGAGCAGGGATGAGGATGCTATCTTCCACTCACCTTGAGCAGGAATGAGAAATAGAATCTTATTTTATAAAACATACGAATAATAAAACAGCCCTGGTCATATAGCCCAAAGTGGATAAATACTGGCGTAAAGCAAAAGTGCTAGCTCAGACCATTTCTCTGAGAGAACCACTCCTGTCCTCTTTGCTTTTTCTTTTCCTTTTTAGCATGCTTCTTAACCATCCACAGTTGGGAAAGAACATTCACCAGGTCCTGCATTTTCCATTGCTGGAGTTGTGGGCACTGCATGGTCTTTCAGAATAATCTGGCTTTGTCTGGGAGCTTGGAGGTTGCCGAAGAGAGGAAGTATTCCTGATTTAAGTGTGCAGCTCTTCCTGGTTCTTGGCCATCCTTCTTGTTCACCTCATTCACTCAGGCAATACTTAGGGACATAAAATCTTCTAGAGCTAGTGTCTCATAGTAGTCCTTGAAATTGAGTCAGACTACCCACAGGCCGCTGCTCTCCCATCCAATGCAGTGAAGCCACCAGTAATAGCTGAGCTCAGCAGCAACTGCCCCTCCCCAGGCCATTCAACCCCCTCCTGCTGTCATTGTGCCTCTATGGTTTCCTTTCTTTAGATTTATACCCTAAATGTTTTTCTTCTGTTAAATACGTTTGGGGGTACATATGCAAGGTGTGTTACATGGATATATTGCATGATGCTGATTTGGGTTTCAATTGAAACTGTCACCCAAATTGCGAACATAGTACCCAATAGGTAGTTTTTTTTTTATGGTGAAAAGATATACATATATTTAGAATTAGCCAGCTGGACTCAGTTTAGATGATCCCAATTTTGTTGGCAACATCCAAAGCATCATAATCAGGAGCCAGTCGAACATATGCCTTCTTCTCTTCATCAGGCTGAATCAGGGTGTTGACCTTGGCCACATCCATGTCATAGAGCTACTTCACATGCTGTTTGATCTGGTGCTTGTTGGCTTCAATGTCCACAATGAACGAAAGTGTGTCATTGTCTTCTATCTTCTTGATGGTGGACTCAGTGGTCAGCGGCAACGTGATGATTGCAGAGTGGCCAAGCTTGTTTCTCCTGGGGGTGCTCTTTCGAGGATATTTGGGCTGCCTCCGGAGTCACAGTGTCTTGGGCTGCTGGAAGGTGGGTGACATGTGGGATCTTTTTTTTAGTGGCTGTGGACACCTTTCAACACTGCCTTCTTGGCCTTTAAAGCCTTCACTTTGGCTTCGGCTTTAGGAGGGGCAGGAGCTTCCTTATTTGCTTTCGGCGCCATCTTGTGAAAAGGGCCCAATAGGTAGTTTTTTAACCCTTGCTTCCCTCTGAAGTCCCCAGTGTCTGCTGTTCCCCTATTTATATTCCTGCGTACCCAGTGATTAGCTTCCACTGATAAGTGAGAACATGTGGTATTTGGTTTTGTTTCTGCCTTAATTCACTTAGGATAATGGGCTCCAGTTGCGTCCATGTCACTGCAATGAACAGGTTTTTTTTTTTTTTTCTAAGACAAGGTCTTGCTCGGTGGCCCAGGCTGGAGTGCAGTGATGTGATCATAGCTCACTGCAGCCTCGACCTCCCAGGCTCAAGTGATCCTCCTGCCGTAGCCTCCCCAGTAGCTGAGACTACAGGCAGTCACCACCAAGTCGAACTTTAAATTTTTTGTAGAGATGGTTTTTTTTTTTTTGACGGAGTTTTGCTCTTGTTGCCCAGGCCAGAGTGCAATGGTGCGATCTCGGCTCACTGCAACCTCCGCCTCCTGGGTTCAAGCGATTCTTCTGCCTCAGCCTCCCGAATAGATGGGATTACAGGCATATGCCACCACGCTCAGCTAATTTTGTATTTTTAGTAGAGATGGGGTTTCTCCATGTTGGTCAGGCTGGTCTCGAACTCCTGACCTCAGGTGATCCACCCGCCTCGGCCTCTCAAAGTGCTGGGATTATAGCCATGAGCCACCATCCCCGGGCTCCAAGATGGGGTCTTGTCATGTCACCCAGGCTGGTCTTGAACTCCTGGGCTGAAGTGATCCTCCTGTCTTGGCTTCTTAAGGTGCTAGGATTACAGGCATGAGCCACTGTGCCCAGCCAATTGTATTCTTTTTTATGGCTGCATAGCAATCCATGGTGTCTATATACTACATTTAAAAAAATCCAGTCCACCACTGATAGGCACCCCGGTTGATTCAATTTCTTTGTTATTGTGAATAGTGCTGTGATAAACATGCTCATTTGGTAGAATGATTTATTTTCCTTGGGCATTCCCTCAATTTGATTCCAGTGCTGGCTCATCACAGATTTCTCTTTGCTTCAGATTCTCATCCACGCATTTAGACCCAAGCAAGCCCTTCTCTCTGTTTTCTTACTTAGCTTGTTGCTTCAGTTTCATCATCCCGTTTCACCTCCCAGCCCTTTTGGTATCTGACCTCAGCTTTGGTTAAGGACCCCTGGGATGAGGGGTATTGAAGCATTCCACCATCTATGTGGCTGTCTTTAACTTGAACCGCATTTTTTTTTTTGAGATGGAGTCTCGCTCTGTTGCCCAGGCTGGAGTGCAGTGGCATGATCTCGGCTCACTGCAACCTCCACCACCCGGGTTCAAGCAATTCTCCTGTGTCAGCCTCCTAAGTAGCTGGGATTACAGGCGAGTGCCACCACACCCAGCTGATTTTTGTACTTTTAGTAGAGACGAGGTTTCACCATATTGGTCAGGCTGGTCTCGAACTCCTGACCTCGTGATCCACCTGTCTCGGCCTCCCAAAGTGCTGGGATTACAGGCGTGAGGCACCACGTCCAGCCGAACCTCAAATTTTTCACTATAGGGAGCAGTGGGTAGCTCTTCATTGGAGTGTGGCCAAGCGTCTCATTCAGAGATGCCAGCTGCTTCTTTCCCATCCCATGCCTTGGATAGACACTAACTGATTAAGTTTTCTCCCTCCAGCCTACTGATTCTAGCTGCAGCCTCATTACTCTTCTCAAGACACCATCCCAGGAAGCCACTACCAATCAATGATGATTGGCATGTGAGATGAAAATTATTTGCCACCCCATGCAGGCTTCTTGCCATAGTTCAGCTGTTCTTCCTGCAGCTAAAGTGCATTGTGTAAAACATGGGGGATGTGAATCAGTCGGTGGCCTCAGACTTCATTCTGGTGGGCCTCTTCAGTCACTCAGGATCACGCCAGCTCCTCTTCTCCCTGGTGGCTGTCATGTTTGTCATAGGCCTTCTGGGCAACACCGTTCTTCTCTTCTTGATCCGTGTGGACTCCCGGCTCCACACACCCATGTACTTCCTGCTCAGCCAGCTCTCCCTGTTTGACATTGGCTGTCCCATGGTCACCATCCCCAAGATGGCATCAGACTTTCTGCGGGGAGAAGGTGCCACCTCCTATGGAGGTGGTGCAGCTCAAATATTCTTCCTCACACTGATGGGTGTGGCTGAGGGCGTCCTGTTGGTCCTCATGTCTTATGACCGTTATGTTGCTGTGTGCCAGCCCCTGCAGTATCCTGTACTTATGAGACGCCAGGTATGTCTGCTGATGATGGGCTCCTCCTGGGTGGTAGGTGTGCTCAACGCCTCCATCCAGACCTCCATCACCCTGCATTTTCCCTACTGTGCCTCCCGTATTGTGGATCACTTCTTCTGTGAGGTGCCAGCCCTACTGAAGCTCTCCTGTGCAGATACCTGTGCCTACGAGATGGCGCTGTCCACCTCAGGGGTGCTGATCCTAATGCTCCCTCTTTCCCTCATCGCCACCTCCTACGGCCACGTGTTGCAGGCTGTTCTAAGCATGCGCTCAGAGGAGGCCAGACACAAGGCTGTCACCACCTGCTCCTCGCACATCACGGTAGTGGGGCTCTTTTATGGTGCCGCCGTGTTCATGTACATGGTGCCTTGCGCCTACCACAGTCCACAGCAGGATAACGTGGTTTCCCTCTTCTATAGCCTTGTCACCCCTACACTCAACCCCCTTATCTACAGTCTGAGGAATCCGGAGGTGTGGATGGCTTTGGTCAAAGTGCTTAGCAGAGCTGGACTCAGGCAAATGTGCTGACTACATAGAAACTGCTGGTGAGATTCCAGCGGTCCTCGATCCCACCCACCTTCCCAAAGTATGCATTTGGCATTCAATTGCCAATTTGTGCAACTGGCCAAATATCCAGCCATTGCCCAAGGTGCAACTTTTTGAGAAAATGTCTGCCTTTTAAATTGAGGTAGAATACACGTAACATAAAATGAGCCACTTTGAAGTGTAAAATTCAGCTGCTAAGTGCTTATGTCCAAGGCTAAGTGTCTGCCCAGTTCCTCCCTGCTCACGCCGAGTTCCTCCCTGCTGATGACTAGCTGGGTTCATGTTTTCCCTCATGGACTTGTGGAAAGCAATGGTAATCATCCCAATCACATTCAGCATATTTTTTTTCTCTCTCTTTTTTTTCTTTTTGTAACGGGGTCTCACTCTGTCGCCCAGGCTGGAATGCTGTGACATGGTCATAGCTCACCGCAGACTAGAACTCCTAGGCTCAAGGGGTCCTCCTGCCTCAGCCTCTTGAGTATCTGGGACTACAGGCATGTGCCACCACGCCCAGCTAATTTTGTTCATTTTTTGTAGAGATGGGGTCTCATGATGTTGCCCAGGCTCGTATTGAATTCCTGGACTCAAGCAATCCTCCCATCTCGGCCTCCCAAAGTGCTGGGATTACAGATGTGAGCCATTGTGCTCAGACAGTATATTATTTCTGTAACAATGTACCCCCCCCCCCATTTTTTTTGAGATGGAGTCTCATTCTGTCATCTAGGCTGGAGTGCAGTGGTACAGTCTCGGCTCACTGCAACTTCCACCTCCCGGGTTCAAGCAATCTTCCCACCTCAACCTCTCAAGTAGCTGGGATTACAAGCGTGCGCCACCATGCCTAACTAATTTTTGTATTTTTAGTATGGATGGGGTTTCACCATGTTGACCAGGCTGGCCTCAAACTCCTGACTTCAAGTAATCTGCCCTTCTTGGCCTCCCAAAGTCCTGGGATTACAGGTGTGAGCCACCACATCTGGCCAGAAATATCAATATATTATAAAGCTAATATTTAAACATTATAAAGCTAACAAAACTCTGAAGAAGTGTCAGCACCAAAGCTGGCCCTGAGAAGAAAACAGAAAATAAATCAGGTGTAACTTAGATATTTTATTAAAATATGTATATTTACAGTGTCTACTGGGTGATAAGTAAAATATACAAATTAATTAAAAATATACAAGGAGCTCCAGTAACTCAGTAGGACAAAATCTTTTTTTTTTTTTTTTTTTTTTTTTTTTGAGACAGAGTCTCATTCTGTTGCCCAGGCTGGAGTGCAGTGGCTCGATCTCGGCTCACCTCCACCTCCACCTCCCAGGTTCAAGCAATTCTTCTACCTCAGCCTCCTGAGTAGCTGGGATTACAGGTGCCTGCCACCACCCCTGGCTAATTTGTGTATTTTTAGTAGAGACGGAGTTACACCATGTTGGCCAGGATGGTCTCGAACTCCTGACCTCATGTGATCCGCCCACCTGGGCCTCCCAGAGTGCTGGGATTACAGGTGTGAGCCACCACAAATCCTCACCCTGAAGCCCCACAAATTCACTCCATCTCCTCACCTTTCATTCAAGGTCACAGACTTGTTATCTACTTCCTGTGAGACCTGCTCCCAATCTGTCCTAACTCCCAGCTGTTCTTGTTCTCACCCCGTCTACCTGTGGTGGTGTGGTGGCTCATGACTATAGTCCCAGCACTTTGGGAGGCCGAGATGGGCATATCACTTGAGGTCAAGAGTTCGAGACCAGCCTGGCCAACATGGCGAAACCCCATCTCTGCTAAAAATACAAAAGTTAGCTGGGTGTGGTAGCGGGCACCTGTAATCCCAGCTACTCAGGAGGCTGAGGCAGAAGAATTGCTTGAGCCCAGGAGGCGGAGGTTGTAGTGAGCCAAGATGGCACCACTGCACTCCAGCCTGGGCGACAGAGTGAGACCCTGTCTTAAAATAAAAAAAGTTATAAACATGGAATCACCACACAACCCAACCATTCCGCTCCTTGGTGTATACCCAAAAGAAGTGTGCTTAAACAAATTCTTGCTCATGCATGCTCACAGCGGCCTACCTCTACAGCCAAAGGTGGAAAAAACCCAAACGTCCACTAATGGAGGAATGCATAAACAGAATCAATATAATGGAATGTTACTTGGTCATAAAAAGGAATGAAAGACTGGCTGTGGTAGCTTGCACCTGTAATCCCAGCACTTTGGGAGGCCAAAGTAAGAGGATTACTTGAGGCCAGGAGCTTGAAACCAGCCTGCTCAACATAGTGAAACTCCATCTCTACAAAAAGTAAAAAAAAAAAAAAAAAGTCCAGGCTGTGGTGGCACGCACCTGTAGTCTTAGCTGCTTGGGAGACTAAGGCAGGAGAATCACTTGAGCCTGGAAGCAGAGGTTGCAGTGAGCCAAGATCACACCACTGCATTCCAGCCTGGGTGATAGAGTGAGACCCTGTCTTGCAAAAAAAAAAAAAAAAAAAAAAAAAAAAAAGAAAAGAAAAGCAAAAAAGATATCTGCTACCATGTATATAAACCTTGAAAATATTATAATAAATGAAAGAAGCCTGACACAGTAGATAGCATGTGGTATAAATTCATTTATATAAAGTATCTAGAATAGTTAAATCAATAGAAAGAGAAAGCAGATTGATGATGGCCGGTCGTAGTGGCTCATGCCTGTAATCCCAGCACTTTGGGAGGCTGAGGTGGGCGGATCACCTGAGGTCAGGGGTTTGAGACCAGCCTGGCCAACATGGTGAAACCTTGTCTCTCCTAAAAATAAAAAAATACAAAAATTAGCCGGGCGTGGTGGTGCATGCCTGTACTCCCAGCTACTCAGGAATCTCAAGAGAATCAACTGAACCGGGAGGTGGAGGTTAAAGTGAGTCGAGATTGCGCCATTGCACTCCAGCCTGGGTGACAGAGCCAGACTCTGTCTTAAAAAAAAAAAAAAGAAAGAAAGCAGATTGATGGCTACATGATCTTAGAGGTGGGTGCAGAGGGGAATTGGGGTTGATTACTTAATGGGTAAGAGTCTGATTTTGGGTGGCAAAAATGACTTGGAACTAGAGAGAGGGGACAGCTGGGGCATCACTTCATGAATGTACCAGATGCTGCTGATTTGTTCACTTTAAAATAATTAGTGTTTTATTATGTCAATTCCACCTCAATACCAAAAATTATTCTCAAGTTTGATATTAGGAAAAGAAAACTTAGAGCAAAAGCAATAACACAAAGCAGTAAATCGATGGAGGAACATTTGTTTTTAGAACCATTTCTGTCCTGAAAACCTAGTGTGTGATAAAGATAGAATTTCAAAACATCTCGACAATGATGATTTAATAAGAGTCCTGTGGACAATAGATTACACATGTGTAAAAGAATTTTGCTCGACTAACTTTTGAATTTAGGAAAACTCCTCAATATGTTAGAAATATTAATATATCATCAAGCTAATATTTAAACATTATAAAGCTAACAAAACTCTGAGGAAGCAAGAAGAAAACAAACTAAATCATGGGCAACTTAGATATTTGATCAAAATATGCACATTTACAGGGTCTATCAGGTGATAAGTAAAATATAGAAATTAATTTAAAATACAGAAGGAGCTCAAAAAACTCAATAGAACACAATCTTTTTTTTTTTTTTTTTTTCCTGAGACAGAGTCTGTTGCCCAGTCTGGAGTGCAGTGGAACAATCTCGGCTCACCCCAACCTCCACCTCCCAGGTTCAAGCAATTCTCCTGCGTCAGCCTCCCGAGTAGCTGGCCCTACAGGCACCTGCTACCATGCCCGGCTAATTTGTGTATTTTTAGTAGAGATAGGATTTCACCATATTGGCCAGGCTGGTTTCAAATGCCTGACCTCAGGTAATCTTCCCACCTCAGCCCCTCAAAGTGCTGGCATTACAGGTGTGAGACACCGTCCTTGGCCCAATAGGACAAAAATCTAATAATTAATAATTTGATTTTGAAAATGGGCAAAAGACATGAATAGATTTTTTTTTTCAAGACAGAGTCTCACTCTGTCACCCAGACTGGAGTGCAATGGCACGATCTCAGCTCACTGCAACCTCCGCCTCCCAGGTTCAAGCGATTCTCCTGCCTCAGCTTCCCAAGTAGCTGGGATTACAGGCACCAGCCACCACGCCCAGCTAATTTTTGTACTTTTAGTAGACAAAGGGTTTCATCATGTTGGCCAGGCTGGTCTCAAACTTCTGATCTCAGGTGATCCACCCACCTTGGCCTCCCAAAGTGCTGGGATTACAGGCATGAGCCACCGCGCCCGGCCTCTGAATAGACGTTTTTCAAAAGAAGATATACAAATGGCAAACAGGCTTATGAGAAGGTACTCAACATCACTGATCATCAGAGAAATGCAAGTCAAAACTGTGAGGAGATATCATCTTACCCCAGTTAGCTTACATCCAAAAGACAGACAATAATACATGCTGGTAAGGATGTGGAGAAAAAGGAACGCTTGTACAGTGTTGGTTAATTCAATCACTATGGAGAGCAGCAAGGGCCACACAGTGAGACCCTCTCTCTTAAAAAAAATTACAAAAACAGGCCTGGTATAGTGGCTCACACCTGTAATTCCAGCACTTTGGGAGGCCTAGGCAGGCAGATCGCCTGAGCTCAGGAGTTCAAAATGAGCCTGGGCAACTTGGCGAATCCGATTCTCTAATAAAAATACAAAAATTAGCTGGGTGTGGTGGAGCACGCCTGTAATCCCAGTTACTTGGGTGGCTGAGGCACGAGAATCGCTTGAGGCTGGGATGCAGAGGTTGCAGAGAGTCAAGATTTTACCACTGCACTCCAGCCTGTGCGCCAGAGTGAGACTGTGTCAAAAAAAAATGGTGAATAGAAGAATAATTGAATAACTGCCTCAGACATTTATACAGTTCTCATCTCATTCTGGGCACACGGAAGATCATGTTGGCCTCATCTCCTTGATTTTAAAAACAGTATTCTAAAATCAAGGAGACTAGATGTATCACTTCTAGGCCAAATCATGAAGGAAAATGTGTAAGAGTTTCATGTGCTCTTCATCTCTGTGATCAGAATTGAAGAAGGCATGAGTTTGAGATGCTGCATCACCAAGATCGTGGTGATTCCATTATCATTACCCTTGTAACTTGTGAGCATCCTTACTGCCAGCAATCATTATTAGATATCAAATTTGAGATAGGAGTTCATATTTACTGTATGAATATCTTGGTCTGGGAGTGGTGGCTCATGCCTGTAATCCCAGTGCTTTGGGAGGCAGAGGAAGGAGGCTCACTTGAGCCCAAGAGTTTGAGACCACCCAGGACAACACAGGGAGACCCCATCTCTACAAAAAATGTAAAAATCAGCCAAGTGTGGTGGTAGGTGCCTGCAGTCCCAGCAATTTGGGAGGCTGATGTGGGAGGATCCCTTGAGCCTGGGATGTCAAGGCTGCAGAGAGCCGAGATCATGCCACTGAACTTCAGCCTGGGCAACAGAGCAAGACTCTCTCTCAAATACAAAACGCTTTTTCCTTTAGGCTTAAATTCTAACCCTCAAACCTCCAATGTGAAGGTATTAGGAGGTGGGGCCCTTGGGAGATGATGAGGTTGTGAAAGTGGAACCCTCGTAAATGGGATTAGTGCCCTTCTGAAAGTGGCAGAAGAGAGCTCGCCAACACCTTCCATGTGAGGAGACAGGGAAGATATGACAGTCTCCAACCTGGAAGAGGGTCCTCACCAGACCCTGATCATGCTGGCACCCTCATCTTGGAATTCCAGCCTCCAGAACAGTGATAAACAAATGTCTGTTCTTAAAAAAAAAAAACTGTGGAAAGCAATGTTAATGTTCCCAATCACTTTTGGTACATTCTTTCCTTAACTATGTCTTAATGCATAGTTGTGTTGGATGGCCTACTTTGTAATGTTAGAATATGCATGTTAGTGAATTAACAAATACAGCAGTAAAGAATGCTCTTCGGGTTGGGAATGGTGGCTCACGCCTGTAATCCCAGCACATTGGAAGGCCAAGGTAGGCAGATAACCTGAAGTCGAGAGTTCGAGATCTGCCTGATCAAGAGAAATCCGACTCTACTAAAAATACAAATCAGCCTGTCACAGTGTCGCATGCCTTTAATCCCAGCTACTGGGGAGGCTGAGGCAGGAGAATCACTTGAACCTAGGAGGCAGAGGTTGTGGTGAGCCAAGATCACACCATTGCACTCCAGCCTGGGCAACAAAAGCCAAACTCTATCTCAAAAAAGAAAAAAAAAAAAAAAAAGAAATGCTGTTTGTTGACCATTTGAATGGCTAGTCTTGGTGCTTCCTGGTGGGTGAGGAGAGCCCTGCCCCATTCCTACCCATTCAAGTAGACATGGCATAAGAGTGATTCTCACTTTCTCCTATAGCCTCCTTATCCATTGGCTGAAAAGATTGTTTTTTAACGTGTCTTATAAATGCTTCCATAGCAAAAAAAATGAATTGACTTTTATAGTGACTCTTTCGGGGATTGTTACCCATAATTCCGTAATTTGTTTGAACTCCTAAAAAAGGGAAGTATGCCGAGCACAATGGAGATTTCGTCTCAAAAATAAATAAATAAATAAATAAATAAATAAATAAATAAATAAATAGAAAAGAAAGAAAAGGAAGTAAAGGGAAATATACAAATATACAAGGTGTTATGAGAGAGTTGCTAATTGTGATTCCCTCTTAATTGTCCAAAGAGACCACCTCTGGGGATCTATTCCTAAAAGACTCGTTAGAAGTGCAGACTCGCTCTCTCCCTCTCCCTCTCCCTCTCCCGTCTCCCCACAGTCTCCCTCTCCCTCTCTTTCCATGGTCTCCCTCTGATGCCGAGCCGAAGCTGGACTGTACTGCTGCCATCTCGGCTCACTGCAACCTCCCTGCCTGATTCTCCTGCCTCAGCCTGCGGAGTGCCTGGGACTGCAGGAGCGCGCTGCCACGCCTGACTGGTTTTCGTATTTTTTTGGTGGAAATGGGGTTTTGCTGTGTTGGCCGGGCTGGTCTCCAGCTCCTAACCGCGAGTGATCCGCCAGCCTCGCCTCCCGAGGTGCCCGGATTGCAGACGGAGTCTTGTTCACTCAGTGCTCAATGGCGCCCAGGCTGGAGTGCAGTGGTGTGATCTCAGCTTGCTACAACCTCCACCTCCCAGCTGCCAGCCTTGGCCTCCCAAAGTGCCGAGATTGCAGCCTCTGCCTGGCCGCCACCCCGTCTGGAAAGTGAGGAGCGTCTCTGCCTGGCCGCCCATCGTCTGGGATGTGAGGAGCCCCTCTGCCCGGCCGTCCAGTCTGGAAAGTGAGGAGCGTCTCTGCCCGGCCGCCATCCCATCTAGGAAGTGAGGAGCGTCTCTGCCAGGCCGCCCATCGTCTGAGATGTGGGGAGCGCCTCTGCCCCGCCGCCCCGTCTGGGATGTGAGGAGCGCCTCTGCCCGGCTGCCCTGTCTGAGAAGTGAGGAGCCCCTCTGCCTGGCAGCCGCCCCGTCTGAGAAGGGAGGAGCCCCTCCACCCGGCAGCCACCCCGTCTGGGAAGTGAGGAGCATCTCCGCCTGGCAGCCGCCCCGTCCGGGAGGGAGGTGGGGGCGTCAGCCCCCCGCCCGGCCAGCCGCCCCATCCGGGAGGGAGGTGGGGGGGTCAGCCCCCCGCCCGGCCAGCCGCCCCGTCCGGGAGGTGAGGGGCGCCTCTGCCCGGCCGCCCCTACTGGGAAGTGAGGAGCCCCTCTGCCCGGCCAGCCGCCCCGTCCAGGAGGGAGGTGGGGGGGTCAGCCCCACGCCCGGCCAGCCGCCCCGTCAGGGAGGGAGGTGGGGGGTCAGCCCACCGCCCGGCCAGCCGTCCCGTCCGGGAGGGAGGTGGGGGGGTCAGCCCCCGCCCGGCCAGCCACCCCATCCGGGAGGTGAGGGGCGCCTCTACCCGGCCAGCCGCCCCGTCTGGGAGGTGTACCCAACAGCTCATTGAGAACGGGCCATGATGACAATGGCGGTTTTGTGGAATAGAAAAGGGGGAAAGGTGGGGAAAAGATTGAGAAACCGGATGGTTGCTGTGTCTGTGTAGAAAGAAGTAGACTTGGGAGACTTTTCATTTTGTTCTGTACTAAGAAAAATTATTCTGCCTTGGGATCCTGTTGATCTATGACCTTACCCCCAACCCTGTGCTCTCTGAAACATGTGCTGTGTCCACTCAGGGTTAAATGGATTAAGGGCGGTGCAAGATGTGCTTTGTTAAACAGATGCTTGAAGGCAACATGCTCCTTAAGAGTCATCACCACTCCCTAATCTCAAGTACCCAGGGAAACAAACACTGCGGAAGGCTGCAGGGTCCTCTGCCTAGGAAAACTAGAGACCTTTGTTCACTTGTGTATCTGCTGACCTTACCTCCACTATTGTCCTATGACCCTGCCAAATCCCCCTCTGCGAGAAACACCCAAGAATGATCAATAAAAATAAAAATAAAAAAATAAAAAAAAGAAGGGCAGACTCATGCATTTAAGAATCACTCAGGGAAATCTGAAGATGACCTGTGGTGGGGGTATAAATGGATTCTTAAATGTGTCTTGTGATTATGTGAGAGTGTGACTGTGTGACTGTGTGTGTGTGTGTGTGTGCTGTCATCTGTGGAGTGGGGGATCCTCTTTTGCCTTGAGAAAGCTCATCTCTGTCCACTTACTCTGGGCTCTACCATCTGTGCCTTGTATCCAGTAGAAATAAAACAGTTTGCGGCAGAAATGGAGTTTTATTTTATTTTACTTTTTTATTAGGATTATTTGTAGACCGGGTCTCACTCTGTCGCTCAGGCTGGAGTGCAATGGCACGATCTCAGATCACTGCAACCTGTGCCTCCTGCACTGAAGCCATCCTCCCACCTCAGCCTCTGGAGTGGGGAGATCCCACACCTGTGTAATTTTTGCATTTTTTCTAGAGATGGGGTTTCCTCATGCTGCCCGGGCTGGTTTCCAACGCCTGGGCTCAAGTGATCCACCCGCCTCAGCCTCCCAAAGTGCTGGGATTACAGGTGGGAGCTACTGTGCCCGGCCAGAGATGGAGATTTTTGTTCTTCTTTTGATGAGACGGAACCTCGCACCGTGGCCCAGGCTGGAGTGCAGTGGAGTGACCTCGGCTCACTGCAAGCTCTGCCTCCTGGGGTCATGCCATTCTCCTGCCTCAGCCTCCCAAAGAGCTGGGACTACAGGCGCCCGACACCACGCCCAGCTAAGGTTTTTGCATTTATTATTTTTTTTTTTTGTAGGGACGGGCTTTCACCGTGTTAGCCAGGACGGTCTCGATCTCCTGCCCTCGTGATGCACCCGCCTGAGCCTCCCGAAGTGCTCGGATTACAGGCATGAGCCACCATGCACGGCCCAGAAATGGAGATTTTTGAGCAAACACATTAAAGAAAAGAAACGCAAATAGACGAAACTCATTTTAACATTTTTATTTAACCCAAGGAATACAGATATAATCAACACCAATACAATTGATGTCACAATGATGACTAAGATACATGCTACAATCCTTCATTCTCAGATGCAAAATCTAGTATGTGTTTTACAGCAAACGTCAGTTGGAAACTGAACGTCGATCACACATGCTTGATGTGCATGTCAATTTCATGAGAGTTACAATCTCAGGAGAAGTCTCACATAGCGTAAGAGTCCAAACATACCTTCAAGTGTTTTGACAAGTTCTTCACTACTCATTCTTAGAACTGAATTTACCAACAACAATCCCAGCCTATTCATTGCTGAACTGCATCCCATTGAAAGAATGGGTCACAGTTCCTCTCTCTAGACACTGTGGAACGACATTGAAGGCCCTTCCATCTTTTGGCGATTGTGAGGACAGGTGCTAGAAGCCTCTGCCCTCAGCCTTGTCCACGTGAGTTCTAATTCCTTTAGAACAACTATCTCAGGGTGGGAAAGATGGTTCCAATGCTAAGTGCCTATTGCATTGATTATGAATCAATGAAACTCTTTCTCCCTGGGGGTTGTCCCAGTTGGATTCCAAGCAGCACTGTCAGAGTGTTCCAGCTTCTCCACATGCTCCGCAGCCCTTGGGATGGTGAGTGATTGTCACGGTGGCTTCTGGGAGAGCTTCTTGGTTGTTGTTGAAGGTGTATTTGACGTGCATTTCCCCAGGGGAGGGACAGTGAACGCTTTTTGAAGTGGTTCTTTACATCCCCTTTGAGGAAATGTCTGCTCAAGTCTCTGGCTGGGTTTTGAACAGAATCATTTGTTTGTCCCATTGGAGTTTTGACAACTCTGTGTATTCTGAGTATGAGCAGTCCTTGCACGTATATGAGATTTGCAAATATTTTGTGCCCCAATCTCAAGGTTGCTCTTTGATACAAATCAAGAGCATCTGAGGCAGAGCAAAGGTTCAGGTGAGAGGACGGAGCATTTCTCCACCTCTCCAGCATGCGCAGCATCTCTCTCCTCCGAGATGCCGAGACATGTGTGCAGGGAGACACCATGAAAAAGCAGGTGTGCTTCATTCTGAATAGAGCGTCTCTGATTCCCGTCTGGTGCCTGAGGGTGCATGGCCCATGAGCCTTAGAAGAGACGTCTTCGGGCCTTGCACGTTGGCCTCCATAGAAACTTGTGGCAAATTCTGGGCTCCGGACTGGGTGATGGAGGTAGAGGTCTGAGGGCAGAGGTGGGCAGGGGCTCCAGGCCATGGAGATCCAAGTGGAATTCTTCAGGCAGAGCCTGTCTCCAGGGACTAGGCTTGGGCATTTGGGATGAGCCCTGGGGGACGGCCGCTCTGTAGTCAGGTTTGAGGTAGAGGACACGCCAGGAAGAAGGGCTGACTCCATGCACAAGGTTTGCTGGGGGTCCCATCAGGGGCAGGAAGCCTTGGGGAGCCTCACCCTCTTCTACTGAAGGCGCCACACACACATTCTCTGCTCTCTGGGCTCTCACAGATCCATTTTCAATGTCAATCTCCCAGACAGTCTCTGTACTAGTGAGCAGGAGCCAGCGGGCATGGGCAGGGTACAAGAGATCCTTCAGGGACATCAAGAGTTGCTCAGGGACCACCAGGAGCTGCACATTGAGGAGGCTGAGTCGCAGGGCTCCCTGTGGGTCCAGCCCCAGGAACTCCTGCCCCAGGCGCAGGTGCAGGACCATTCCTGGTTCCAAGACCGCGATGATCATCTTCCTCTGGGGAAGCTGTGGGCCCTGGGGGAGAAAAGCCGTGGGTCAGTCATTGTCCTCTGAGGGTGGCTCAAACAGGGAGAGAGCAAGGCGGGGAGCTGCCAGTAACTTCCCCAGGCATAAATGAAACCCCGCAGGGACACCCAGAATTGGCACCTGTATTGACGCCCCTTGGGACGGTGATTTCCTGCAAGTCCCCTAGGGCCTGGAGCTCAGGCAGACCTGTCTCACCCACGCCCACCTAGGTGGTGTGACCTTACCTGGGGCAGCTCCAGGGGCAGCTGTGCAGGGTGGTGGGGAGCTGGCTGTACCGGAGCTGGTTCTGCACCTGTGGAGAGAGCAGAGTGTGCAGGTGAAAGCCCTTGTCATGCAGGATGCCCTTGAGGGTTCAAGGTGCCTCCGTGAGAAAGACCAAATACAGAAGAAGCCAGGTACAGGACACCCAGCCACGGAGCTGCAGGAGGAAGCTCCCGACACTCTGGACAGCACAGCTGCTCGCCTCATGACGTGACGGGACACTGGCTTGGTAGCAGGGGACTCAGGATGAAAAAGAGAAGATGCCTCACCTGGATGAGGACCCAGCTCCTCCACTTTCTGGCGTTTTGGGGCATTTGATGGCGTGCCGCTGGAGCTGTAGGACAGAGAGACACAGTCAGATTTCGGGCAGTTCCCTAACGTCCAATTCCCTGAATCCCCACAAATTCACTCCACTTCCCTGCCTTTCATTCAAGGCCACAGACTCGTCATCCACTTCCTGTGAGACCTGCTCCCAATCTGTCCTAACTCCCAGCTGTTCTTGTTCTCACCCCATCTACCTGAGCTTCCCTGGGTGAAGAAAAGGCAGGGAAGGAGGGTCGGTGCCCACAGGGAGCAGTTTACCCTTTCAGGAGCTCATGCAGATGAGAGTTGGAAAACTCTCCTTGGGTGTGAGGAGCTGGAGAAAGATGTTGAGATCCCGGAGAGGTGGCACCTCTGTCTACACAGGTAACAAAGGAATGGGGTCTTAGGATTCGAATCACAGCAGGAGAAGAGGAAGGAATTTGTCGGGCATGACGGCATGCGCCTGTAATCCCAGCACTTTGGGAGGCCAAGGTCGGAGGATTGCTTGAGTCCAGGAGTTTGAGAGCAGCCTGGGCAACATGGTGAAAGCTAGTCTCCACTAAAAATACTAAACATTAGTGGGTCATGGTGGTGCATGCCTGTGGTCTCACCTACTCAGGAGGCTCAGGTGGGAGGATCACCTGCGACTCAGAGGTGGAGCCCGCAGTCAGCTAAAATCACGCCACTGCACTCCAGTGTGGACCATCGGAGTGAGACGCTGTCTCAATAAAATAAATCAGTAAATAAGACAAATAGAAAAATTAAAAATGAAAAAAGGAGGAAACTGTTTTATTTTTCCTAGTAGATCTTGAAACTCTCACATCATGTCCTACAATCTCCCTTCTTGCAGAACACAGAACCCATTCCCTGTGGAGCTGGTTGGGTGGATTGAAAGTGGGGCTGCCCTGAGATATGTGTGTGGTTGCGATGTAGAAGCCTTCCCAGCACCCTGTGATGACTTACGGGCACCTCACTTCCCTCTGGCCCCAAATTCAAAACATCCAATCTCATGGCAGGTTCATGCACCCTTTTCCCTTCCCCTCTCTCCAACACACACCCACACATCCCACAGGCAGGTCACCCCGCAGGCGTCCCCAGCACATAGCAAAGCTCACCCGCTCTCTCCTGCGTGGTCGCTCTTGGATTCGGTGCAGGAATCACTGGGGCTTCTTGGGCGCCGGGAACCTTTCATGGTGAAAATTTCCAGGGTTCTCCAAGTCAGCCACTGCCAGTGTTTGTCTGTCTCCTGCAAAGATTTCTTCTTGGCTCCCGAATCCTTTAGTTCCTTTGAGAGAGTGGTGTCAGCCCCAAAGCTGCTCCCGAAGGCTTGGGTTGTGTAGCGACGGGGCTGTGGCCAGCGGCAGGTGGATGAGGCTCTGACAACTGAGCTCTTGGGGGAATCTTGTACACTGTCAGCAGGGGGTGGAGCCAGGGGATTTGTCAGCAGGAACTGATGTGATTGGCTGTTCCTGGTATGACAACGGGAGGGGCCCTCATGGAGGATTGGGGCGTAACTCAATCGATAGATGACCGATCAACAGAACCTGCCTAACCCCATCAAGAGCCAACCTGTTTCCTGTCCCCTCCCATCCTCTAGGTCTTGCCTAATAATGATAGACACTTTCTGTCATACCCAATTCATCCATCGCTGAAATAGTTTTTCATGTGTGCCTTTTATATTTTCATGCAAAAAAAATATGTTAATTTTCACGGGGGCTATCCTGGGGAATGCTATGTACATGAAATGAAGTGTCAAAGGAGCAGAAGCAGAAGGAAATTCACAAGCTTCTCTGAGCGTCTCTGCTTGAATTCCTGCCATGTTTCCTAAACATGTTGGCTTCTTTCTTCCTACCCAAGTAAGAAGGTGCTTCAGAAGATCAATCTTAGGGCATTTGACAAACGCTGCTGAGAATTTCAGGATGACACGAAGGAACCTTTGATTGGATTTGTGGATGTGCCTGTGAAAGCGTGTGTGTGTGTGTGTGTGTGTGTGTGTGTGTGTGTGTGTGAAGCCAGGATGAAGTGGCTGTTCCTGGGGTGGAGACCCTTCTTTCTCTTGAGAATGTTCATTGCTGTTGACTCATTGTGGGTTTTGGAGATATTTTCTCTCTTTCTTTCGTTCTTTCAGACATTTTTTGCTTTCTCCCTCCCTCGATCCTAACCACCCTCCATCCCCCCCCTCACTCCCTCCCTCCCGCTTTCCATCCTTCCTCCCTCCCTTCCCTCTTTCCTTCCTTCCTGCCTTCTTCCATTCCCCTTCCCCTCTTCCTTCTGTCCTTCCTTCCTGTGTGTAAAAGAAAAATTGGTGAATAGAAGAATAATTGAATAACTGCCTGAGTCACTTATACATTTCTCATCTCACTCTGGGGACACAGAAGACCGTGTTGTACTCATCTCCTCGATTTTAAAAACAGTCATTCTAAAATCAAGGATTCTAGATGTATCACTTCTAGGCGAAATCTTGAAAGAAAATGTGTAAGAGTTTCATGTGCTCTTCATCTCTATGATCACAATTGAAGAAGGCAGGAGGTTGAGATGCTGCATCGCCAAGATCGTGGTGATTCCATTATCATTACCCTTGTAACTTGTGAGCATCCTTACTGCCAGCAATCATTATTAGATATGGAATCTGATATAGGAGTTCATATTTACTGTATGAATATCTTGGTGTGGGAGTGTTGGCTCATGCCTGTAATCCCAGTGCTTTGGGAGGCAGAGGCGGGAGGCCGAGGCAGGAGGCTCGCTTGAACCCAGGAGTTCGAGACAAGCCGGAAGAGCATGGCGAGACCCTCGTCTCTACAAAAATGTAAAAATCAGCCAAGTGTGCTGGTAGGTGCCTGTAGTCTCAGCTCCTTAGGAGGCTGAAGTGTTAGGATCGCTTTCGCCCGGGATGTAATGGCTACAGGGAGTCGAGATCTTGCCACTGAACTTCAGCCTGGGCAACAGAGCAAGACTCTCTCTCAAAAATAAAATGCTTTTTCCTTTAGGCTTAAATTCTAACACTCAAACCTCCAAAGCGGAGGTATTAGGAGGTGGGGCCCTTGGGAGATGATGAGATTATGAAAGTGGAACCCTCGTAAATGGGATTAGTGCCCTTCTGAAAGTGACGGAAGAGAGCTCGCCAGCACCTTCCATGTGGGGAGACAGGGAGGATATGACAGTCTCCAACCTGGAAGAGGGTCCTCACCAGACCCCGATCATGCTGGCACTCTCATCGTGGACTTCCGGCCTCCAGAACTCTGATCAACAAATGTGTGTTCTTAAAGAAAAGAAAAGTGTGGAAAGCAATGTTAATGTTCCCAATCACTTTGAGTACATTCTTTCCTTAACTATGTCTTAATGCATAGTTGTGTTGGATGGCCTAGTTTGTAATGTTAGAATATGCATGTTAGTGAATTAATAAATACAGCAGTAAAGAATAGAGTTGTGGTTGGGAATGGTGTCTCACGCCTGTAATCCCAGCACAATGGCATGCCGAGGCGGGTCAATCACCTGTAGTCGGGAGGTGGAGATCACCCTGACCAACATGGAGAATTCCCGACTCTACTAAAAATACAAATCAGCCTGTCATAGAGGCACATGCCTTTAATCCCAGCTACTCGGGAGGCTGAGGCAGGAGAATCACTTGAACCTAGGAGGCAGAGGTTGCGGTGAGCCGAGATCGCGCCATTGCACTCCAGCCTGGGCAACAAAAGCTAAATTCTATATCAAAAAATTAAAAAAAAAAAAAGAAGGCTGTTTGTTGACCATTTGAGTGGCCAGTCCTGGTGCTTCCTGGTGGGCGAGGAGAGCCCTACCCCATTCCTACCCATTCCAGTAGTCATGGCATAAGAGTGATTCTCGCTTTCTGCTATAGCCTCCTTATCCATTGGCTGAAATGATTGTTTTTTAATGTGTCTTATAAATGCTTCCATAGCAAAAAAATTTGAATTGACTTTTATAGGGACTCTTTCGGGGATTGTTACCCATCATTCCATAATTTGTTTGTACTCCTAGAAAAGGGAAGTATGCCGAGCACAGTGGATATTTCGTCTCAAATAATAAATAAATAACCAAATAGAAAAGAAAGAAAAGGAAGTAAAGGGAAATATACAAATATACAAGGTGTTAGGAGAGAGTTGCTAATCGTGATTCCCCCTTAATTGTCCAAACAGACCACCTCTGGGGATCTATTCGTAAAAGACTCGTTAGAAGTGCAGACTCATGCATTTGAGAATCACTCAGGGAAATCTGAAGATGACCTGTGGTGGGGGTGTAAATGGATACTTAAATGTGTCTTGTGATTGTGTGAGAGTGTGACTGTGTGTTTGTGTGTGTGCTGTCATCTGTGGAGTGGGGGATCCTCTTTTGCCTTGAGAAAGCTCATCTCTGTCCACTTACTCTGGGCTCTACCATCTGTGCCTTGTATCCAGTAGAAATAAAACAGTTTGCGGCAGAAATGGAGTTTTATTTTATTTTACTTTACTTTTTATTAGGATTATTTGTAGACCGGGTCTCACTCTGTCACTCAGGCGGGAGTGCAACGGCACGATCTCAGATCACTGCAACCTGTGCCTCCTGCACTGAAGCCATCCTCCCACCTCAGCCTCTGGAGTGGGGAGATCCCACACCTGTGTAATTTTTGCATTTTTTCTAGAGATGGGGTTTCCTCATGCTGCCCGGGCTGGTTTCCAACGCCCGGGCTCAAGTGATCCACCCGCCTCAGCCTCCCAAAGTGCTGGGATTACAGGTGGGAGCTACTGTGCCCGGCCAGAAATGGAGATTTTTGTTCTTCTTTTGATGAGACGGAACCTCGCACCGTGGCCCAGGCTGGAGTGCAGTGGAGTGACCTCGGCTCACTGCAAGCTCTGCCTCCTGGGGTCATGCCATTCTCCTGCCTCAGCCTCCCAAAGAGCTGGGACTACAGGCGCCCGACACCACGCCCAGCTAAGGTTTTTGCATTTTTTTTTTTTTTTTTTGTAGGGACGGGCTTTCACCGTGTTAGCCAGGACGGTCTCGATCTCCTGCCCTCGTGATGCACCCGCCTGAGCCTCCCGAAGTGCTCGGATTACAGGCATGAGCCACCATGCACGGCCCAGAAATGGAGATTTTTGAGCAAACACATTAAAGAAAAGAAACGCAAATAGACGAAACTCATTTTAACATTTTTATTTAACCCAAGGAATACAGATATAATCAACACCAATACAATTGATGTCACAGTGATGACTAAGATACATGCTACAATCCTTCATTCTCAGATGCAAAATCTAGTATGTGTTTTACAGCAAACGTCAGTTGGAAACTGAACGTCGATCACACATGCTTGATGTGCATGTCAATTTCATGAGAGTTACAATCTCAGGAGAAGTCTCACATAGCGTAAGAGTCCAAACATACCTTCAAGTGTTTCGACAAGTTCTTCACTACTCATTCTTAGAACTGAATTTACCAACAACAATCCCAGCCTATTCATTGCTGAACTGCATCCCATTGAAAGAATGGGTCACAGTTCCTCTCTCTAGACACTGTGGAACGACATTGAAGGCCCCTCCATCTTTTGGCGATTGTGAGGACAGGTGCTAGAAGCCTCTGCCCTCAGCCTTGTCCACGTGAGTTCTAATTCCTTTAGAACAACTATCTCAGGGTGGGAAAGATGGTTCCAATGCTAAGTGCCTATTGCATTGATTATGAATCAATGAAACTCTTTCTCCCTGGGGGTTGTCCCAGTTGGATTCCAAGCAGCACTGTCAGAGTGTTCCAGCTTCTCCACATGCTCCGCAGCCCTTGGGATGGTGAGTGATTGTCACGGTGGCTTCTGGGAGAGCTTCTTGGTTGTTGTTGAAGGTGTATTTGACGTGCATTTCCCCAGGGGAGGGACAGTGAACGCTTTTTGAAGTGGTTCTTTACATCCCCTTTGAGGAAATGTCTGCTCAAGTCTCTGGCTGGGTTTTGAACAGAATCATTTGTTTGTTCCATTGGAGTTTTGACAACTCTGTGTATTCTGAGCATGAGCAGTCCTTGCACGTATATGAGATTTGCAAATATTTTGTGCCCCAATCTCAAGGTTGCTCTTTGATACAAATCAAGAGCATCTGAGGCAGAGCAAAGGTTCAGGTGAGAGGACGGAGCATTTCTCCACCTCTCCAGCATGCGCAGCATCTCTCTCCTCCGAGATGCCGAGACATGTGTGCAGGGAGACACCATGAAAAAGCAGGTGTGCTTCATTCTGAATAGAGCGTCTCTGATTCCCGTCTGGTGCCTGAGGGTGCATGGCCCATGAGCCTTAGAAGAGACGTCTTCGGGCCTTGCACGTTGGCCTCCATAGAAACTTGTGGCAAATTCTGGGCTCCGGACTGGGTGATGGAGGTAGAGGTCTGAGGGCAGAGGTGGGCAGGGGCTCCAGGCCATGGAGATCCAAGTGGAATTCTTCAGGCAGAGCCTGTCTCCAGGGACTAGGCTTGGGCATTTGGGATGAGCCCTGGGGGACGGCCGCTCTGTAGTCAGGTTTGAGGTAGAGGACACGCCAGGAAGAAGGGCTGACTCCATGCACAAGGTTTGCTGGGGGTCCCATCAGGGGCAGGAAGCCTTGGGGAGCCTCACCCTCTTCTACTGAAGGCGCCACACACACATTCTCTGCTCTCTGGGCTCTCACAGATCCATTTTCAATGTCAATCTCCCAGACAGTCTCTGTACTAGTGAGCAGGAGCCAGCGGGCATGGGCAGGGTACAAGAGATCCTTCAGGGACATCAAGAGTTGCTCAGGGACCACCAGGAGCTGCACATTGAGGAGGCTGAGTCGCAGGGCTCCCTGTGGGTCCAGCCCCAGGAACTCCTGCCCCAGGCGCAGGTGCAGGACCATTCCTGGTTCCAAGACCGCGATGATCATCTTCCTCTGGGGAAGCTGTGGGCCCTGGGGGAGAAAAGCCGTGGGTCAGTCATTGTCCTCTGAGGGTGGCTCAAACAGGGAGAGAGCAAGGCGGGGAGCTGCCAGTAACTTCCCCAGGCATAAATGAAACCCCGCAGGGACACCCAGAATTGGCACCTGTATTGACGCCCCTTGGGACGGTGATTTCCTGCAAGTCCCCTAGGGCCTGGAGCTCAGGCAGACCTGTCTCACCCACGCCCACCTAGGTGGTGTGACCTTACCTGGGGCAGCTCCAGGGGCAGCTGTGCAGGGTGGTGGGGAGCTGGCTGTACCGGAGCTGGTTCTGCACCTGTGGAGAGAGCAGAGTGTGCAGGTGAAAGCCCTTGTCATGCAGGATGCCCTTGAGGGTTCAAGGTGCCACCGTGAGAAAGACCAAATACAGAAGAAGCCAGGTACAGGACACCCAGCCACGGAGCTGCAGGAGGAAGCTCCCGACACTCTGGACAGCACAGCTGCTCGCCTCATGACGTGACGGGACACTGGCTTGGTAGCAGGGGACTCAGGATGAAAAAGAGAAGATGCCTCACCTGGATGAGGACCCAGCTCCTCCACTTTCTGGCGTTTTGGGGCATTTGATGGCGTGCCGCTGGAGCTGTAGGACAGAGAGACACAGTCAGATTTCGGGCAGTTCCCTAACGTCCAATTCCCTGAATCCCCACAAATTCACTCCACTTCCCTGCCTTTCATTCAAGGCCACAGACTCGTCATCCACTTCCTGTGAGACCTGCTCCCAATCTGTCCTAACTCCCAGCTGTTCTTGTTCTCACCCCATCTACCTGAGCTTCCCTGGGTGAAGAAAAGGCAGGGAAGGAGGGTCGGTGCCCACAGGGAGCAGTTTACCCTTTCAGGAGCTCACGCAGATGAGAGTTGGAAAACTCTCCTTGGGTGTGAGGAGCTGGAGAAAGATGTTGAGATCCCGGAGAGGTGGCACCTCTGTCTACACAGGTAACAAAGGAATGGGGTCTTAGGATTCGAATCACAGCAGGAGAAGAGGAAGGAATTTGTCGGGCATGACGGCATGCGCCTGTAATCCCAGCACTTTGGGAGGCCAAGGTCAGAGGATTGCTTGAGTCCAGGAGTTTGAGAGCAGCCTGGGCAACATGGTGAAAGCTAGTCTCCACTAAAAATACTAAACATTAGTGGGTCATGGTGGTGCATGCCTGTGGTCTCACCTACTCAGGAGGCTCAGGTGGGAGGATCACCTGCGACTCAGAGGTGGAGCCCGCAGTCAGCTAAAATCACGCCACTGCACTCCAGTGTGGACCATCGGAGTGAGACGCTGTCTCAATAAAATAAATCAGTAAATAAGACAAATAGAAAAATTAAAAATGAAAAAAGGAGGAAACTGTTTTATTTTTCCTAGTAGATCTTGAAACTCTCACATCATGTCCTACAATCTCCCTTCTTGCAGAACACAGAACCCATTCCCTGTGGAGCTGGTTGGGTGGATTGAAAGTGGGGCTGCCCTGAGATATGTGTGTGGTTGCGATGTAGAAGCCTTCCCAGCACCCTGTGATGACTTACGGGCACCTCACTTCCCTCTGGCCCCAAATTCAAAACATCCAATCTCATGGCAGGTTCATGCACCCTTTTCCCTTCCCCTCTCTCCAACACACACCCACACATCCCACAGGCAGGTCACCCCGCAGGCGTCCCCAGCACATAGCAAAGCTCACCCGCTCTCTCCTGCGTGGTCGCTCTTGGATTCGGTGCAGGAATCACTGGGGCTTCTTGGGCGCCGGGAACCTTTCATGGTGAAAATTTCCAGGGTTCTCCAAGTCAGCCACTGCCAGTGTTTGTCTGTCTCCTGCAAAGATTTCTTCTTGGCTCCCGAATCCTTTAGTTCCTTTGAGAGAGTGGTGTCAGCCCCAAAGCTGCTCCCGAAGGCTTGGGTTGTGTAGCGACGGGGCTGTGGCCAGCGGCAGGTGGATGAGGCTCTGACAACTGAGCTCTTGGGGGAATCTTGTACACTGTCAGCAGGGGGTGGAGCCAGGGGATTTGTCAGCAGGAACTGATGTGATTGGCTGTTCCTGGTATGACAACGGGAGGGGCCCTCATGGAGGATTGGGGCGTAACTCAATCGATAGATGACCGATCAACAGAACCTGCCTAACCCCATCAAGAGCCAACCTGTTTCCTGTCCCCTCCCATCCTCTAGGTCTTGCCTAATAATGATAGACACTTTCTGTCATACCCAATTCATCCATCGCTGAAATAGTTTTTCATGTGTGCCTTTTATATTTTCATGCAAAAAAAATATGTTAATTTTCACGGGGGCTATCCTGGGGAATGCTATGTACATGAAATGAAGTGTCAAAGGAGCAGAAGCAGAAGGAAATTCACAAGCTTCTCTGAGCGTCTCTGCTTGAATTCCTGCCATGTTTCCTAAACATGTTGGCTTCTTTCTTCCTACCCAAGTAAGAAGGTGCTTCAGAAGATCAATCTTAGGGCATTTGACAAACGCTGCTGAGAATTTCAGGATGACACGAAGGAACCTTTGATTGGATTTGTGGATGTGCCTGTGAAAGCGTGTGTGTGTGTGTGTGTGTGTGTGTGTGTGTGTGTGAAGCCAGGATGAAGTGGCTGTTCCTGGGGTGGAGACCCTTCTTTCTCTTGAGAATGTTCATTGCTGTTGACTCATTGTGGGTTTTGGAGATATTTTCTCTCTTTCTTTCGTTCTTTCAGACATTTTTTGCTTTCTCCCTCCCTCGATCCTAACCACCCTCCATCCCCCCCCTCACTCCCTCCCTCCCGCTTTCCATCCTTCCTCCCTCCCTTCCCTCTTTCCTTCCTTCCTGCCTTCTTCCATTCCCCTTCCCCTCTTCCTTCTGTCCTTCCTTCCTGTGTGTAAAAGAAAAATTGGTGAATAGAAGAATAATTGAATAACTGCCTGAGTCACTTATACATTTCTCATCTCACTCTGGGGACACAGAAGACCGTGTTGTACTCATCTCCTCGATTTTAAAAACAGTCATTCTAAAATCAAGGATTCTAGATGTATCACTTCTAGGCGAAATCTTGAAAGAAAATGTGTAAGAGTTTCATGTGCTCTTCATCTCTATGATCACAATTGAAGAAGGCAGGAGGTTGAGATGCTGCATCGCCAAGATCGTGGTGATTCCATTATCATTACCCTTGTAACTTGTGAGCATCCTTACTGCCAGCAATCATTATTAGATATGGAATCTGATATAGGAGTTCATATTTACTGTATGAATATCTTGGTGTGGGAGTGTTGGCTCATGCCTGTAATCCCAGTGCTTTGGGAGGCAGAGGCAGGAGGCTCGCTTGAACCCAGGAGTTCGAGACAAGCCGGAAGAGCATGGCGAGACCCTCGTCTCTACAAAAATGTAAAAATCAGCCAAGTGTGCTGGTAGGTGCCTGTAGTCTCAGCTCCTTAGGAGGCTGAAGTGTTAGGATCGCTTTCGCCCGGGATGTAATGGCTACAGGGAGTCGAGATCTTGCCACTGAACTTCAGCCTGGGCAACAGAGCAAGACTCTCTCTCAAAAATAAAATGCTTTTTCCTTTAGGCTTAAATTCTAACACTCAAACCTCCAAAGCGGAGGTATTAGGAGGTGGGGCCCTTGGGAGATGATGAGATTATGAAAGTGGAACCCTCGTAAATGGGATTAGTGCCCTTCTGAAAGTGACGGAAGAGAGCTCGCCAGCACCTTCCATGTGGGGAGACAGGGAGGATATGACAGTCTCCAACCTGGAAGAGGGTCCTCACCAGACCCCGATCATGCTGGCACTCTCATCGTGGACTTCCGGCCTCCAGAACTCTGATCAACAAATGTGTGTTCTTAAAGAAAAAAAAAGTGTGGAAAGCAATGTTAATGTTCCCAATCACTTTGAGTACATTCTTTCCTTAACTATGTCTTAATGCATAGTTGTGTTGGATGGCCTAGTTTGTAATGTTAGAATATGCATGTTAGTGAATTAATAAATACAGCAGTAAAGAATAGAGTTGTGGTTGGGAATGGTGTCTCACGCCTGTAATCCCAGCACAATGGCATGCCGAGGCGGGTCAATCACCTGTAGTCGGGAGGTGGAGATCACCCTGACCAACATGGAGAAATCCCGACTCTACTAAAAATACAAATCAGCCTGTCATAGAGGCACATGCCTTTAATCCCAGCTACTCGGGAGGCTGAGGCAGGAGAATCACTTGAACCTAGGAGGCAGAGGTTGCGGTGAGCCGAGATCGCGCCATTGCACTCCAGCCTGGGCAACAAAAGCTAAATTCTATATCAAAAAATTAAAAAAAAAAAAAAAAGAAGGCTGTTTGTTGACCATTTGAGTGGCCAGTCTTGGTGCTTCCTGGTGGGCGAGGAGAGCCCTACCCCATTCCTACCCATTCCAGTAGTCATGGCATAAGAGTGATTCTCGCTTTCTGCTATAGCCTCCTTATCCATTGGCTGAAATGATTCTTTTTTAATGTGTCTTATAAATGCTTCCATAGCAAAAAAAATTGAATTGACTTTTATAGGGACTCTTTCGGGGATTGTTACCCATCATTCCATAATTTGTTTGTACTCCTAGAAAAGGGAAGTATGCCGAGCACAGTGGATATTTCGTCTCAAATAATAAATAAATAACCAAATAGAAAAGAAAGAAAAGGAAGTAAAGGGAAATATACAAATATACAAGGTGTTAGGAGAGAGTTGCTAATCGTGATTCCCCCTTAATTGTCCAAACAGACCACCTCTGGGGATCTATTCGTAAAAGACTCGTTAGAAGTGCAGACTCATGCATTTGAGAATCACTCAGGGAAATCTGAAGATGACCTGTGGTGGGGGTGTAAATGGATACTTAAATGTGTCTTGTGATTGTGTGAGAGTGTGACTGTGTGTTTGTGTGTGTGCTGTCATCTGTGGAGTGGGGGATCCTCTTTTGCCTTGAGAAAGCTCATCTCTGTCCACTTACTCTGGGCTCTACCATCTGTGCCTTGTATCCAGTAGAAATAAAACAGTTTGCGGCAGAAATGGAGTTTTATTTTATTTTACTTTACTTTTTATTAGGATTATTTGTAGACCGGGTCTCACTCTGTCACTCAGGCGGGAGTGCAACGGCACGATCTCAGATCACTGCAACCTGTGCCTCCTGCACTGAAGCCATCCTCCCACCTCAGCCTCTGGAGTGGGGAGATCCCACACCTGTGTAATTTTTGCATTTTTTCTAGAGATGGGGTTTCCTCATGCTGCCCGGGCTGGTTTCCAACGCCCGGGCTCAAGTGATCCACCCGCCTCAGCCTCCCAAAGTGCTGGGATTACAGGTGGGAGCTACTGTGCCCGGCCAGAAATGGAGATTTTTGTTCTTCTTTTGATGAGACGGAACCTCGCACCGTGGCCCAGGCTGGAGTGCAGTGGAGTGACCTCGGCTCACTGCAAGCTCTGCCTCCTGGGGTCATGCCATTCTCCTGCCTCAGCCTCCCAAAGAGCTGGGACTACAGGCGCCCGACACCACGCCCAGCTAAGGTTTTTGCATTTATTTTTTTATTTTTTTTGTAGGGACGGGCTTTCACCGTGTTAGCCAGGACGGTCTCGATCTCCTGCCCTCGTGATGCACCCGCCTGAGCCTCCCGAAGTGCTCGGATTACAGGCATGAGCCACCATGCACGGCCCAGAAATGGAGATTTTTGAGCAAACACATTAAAGAAAAGAAACGCAAATAGACGAAACTCATTTTAACATTTTTATTTAACCCAAGGAATACAGATATAATCAACACCAATACAATTGATGTCACAGTGATGACTAAGATACATGCTACAATCCTTCATTCTCAGATGCAAAATCTAGTATGTGTTTTACAGCAAACGTCAGTTGGAAACTGAACGTCGATCACACATGCTTGATGTGCATGTCAATTTCATGAGAGTTACAATCTCAGGAGAAGTCTCACATAGCGTAAGAGTCCAAACATACCTTCAAGTGTTTCGACAAGTTCTTCACTACTCATTCTTAGAACTGAATTTACCAACAACAATCCCAGCCTATTCATTGCTGAACTGCATCCCATTGAAAGAATGGGTCACAGTTCCTCTCTCTAGACACTGTGGAACGACATTGAAGGCCCCTCCATCTTTTGGCGATTGTGAGGACAGGTGCTAGAAGCCTCTGCCCTCAGCCTTGTCCACGTGAATTCTAATTCCTTTAGAACAACTATCTCAGGGTGGGAAAGATGGTTCCAATGCTAAGTGCCTATTGCATTGATTATGAATCAATGAAACTCTTTCTCCCTGGGGGTTGTCCCAGTTGGATTCCAAGCAGCACTGTCAGAGTGTTCCAGCTTCTCCACATGCTCCGCAGCCCTTGGGATGGTGAGTGATTGTCTCGGTGGCTTCTGGGAGAGCTTCTTGGTTGTTGTTGAAGGTGTATTTGACGTGCATTTCCCCAGGGGAGGGACAGTGAACGCTTTTTGAAGTGGTTCTTTACATCCCCTTTGAGGAAATGTCTGCTCAAGTCTCTGGCTGGGTTTTGAACAGAATCATTTGTTTGTTCCATTGGAGTTTTGACAACTCTGTGTATTCTGAGCATGAGCAGTCCTTGCACGTATATGAGATTTGCAAATATTTTGTGCCCCAATCTCAAGGTTGCTCTTTGATACAAATCAAGAGCATCTGAGGCAGAGCAAAGGTTCAGGTGAGAGGACGGAGCATTTCTCCACCTCTCCAGCATGCGCAGCATCTCTCTCCTCCGAGATGCCGAGACATGTGTGCAGGGAGACACCATGAAAAAGCAGGTGTGCTTCATTCTGAATAGAGCGTCTCTGATTCCCGTCTGGTGCCTGAGGGTGCATGGCCCATGAGCCTTAGAAGAGACGTCTTCGGGCCTTGCACGTTGGCCTCCATAGAAACTTGTGGCAAATTCTGGGCTCCGGACTGGGTGATGGAGGTAGAGGTCTGAGGGCAGAGGTGGGCAGGGGCTCCAGGCCATGGAGATCCAAGTGGAATTCTTCAGGCAGAGCCTGTCTCCAGGGACTAGGCTTGGGCATTTGGGATGAGCCCTGGGGGACGGCCGCTCTGTAGTCAGGTTTGAGGTAGAGGACACGCCAGGAAGAAGGGCTGACTCCATGCACAAGGTTTGCTGGGGGTCCCATCAGGGGCAGGAAGCCTTGGGGAGCCTCACCCTCTTCTACTGAAGGCGCCACACACACATTCTCTGCTCTCTGGGCTCTCACAGATCCATTTTCAATGTCAATCTCCCAGACAGTCTCTGTACTAGTGAGCAGGAGCCAGCGGGCATGGGCAGGGTACAAGAGATCCTTCAGGGACATCAAGAGTTGCTCAGGGACCACCAGGAGCTGCACATTGAGGAGGCTGAGTCGCAGGGCTCCCTGTGGGTCCAGCCCCAGGAACTCCTGCCCCAGGCGCAGGTGCAGGACCATTCCTGGTTCCAAGACCGCGATGATCATCTTCCTCTGGGGAAGCTGTGGGCCCTGGGGGAGAAAAGCCGTGGGTCAGTCATTGTCCTCTGAGGGTGGCTCAAACAGGGAGAGAGCAAGGCGGGGAGCTGCCAGTAACTTCCCCAGGCATAAATGAAACCCCGCAGGGACACCCAGAATTGGCACCTGTATTGACGCCCCTTGGGACGGTGATTTCCTGCAAGTCCCCTAGGGCCTGGAGCTCAGGCAGACCTGTCTCACCCACGCCCACCTAGGTGGTGTGACCTTACCTGGGGCAGCTCCAGGGGCAGCTGTGCAGGGTGGTGGGGAGCTGGCTGTACCGGAGCTGGTTCTGCACCTGTGGAGAGAGCAGAGTGTGCAGGTGAAAGCCCTTGTCATGCAGGATGCCCTTGAGGGTTCAAGGTGCCACCGTGAGAAAGACCAAATACAGAAGAAGCCAGGTACAGGACACCCAGCCACGGAGCTGCAGGAGGAAGCTCCCGACACTCTGGACAGCACAGCTGCTCGCCTCATGACGTGACGGGACACTGGCTTGGTAGCAGGGGACTCAGGATGAAAAAGAGAAGATGCCTCACCTGGATGAGGACCCAGCTCCTCCACTTTCTGGCGTTTTGGGGCATTTGATGGCGTGCCGCTGGAGCTGTAGGACAGAGAGACACAGTCAGATTTCGGGCAGTTCCCTAACGTCCAATTCCCTGAATCCCCACAAATTCACTCCACTTCCCTGCCTTTCATTCAAGGCCACAGACTCGTCATCCACTTCCTGTGAGACCTGCTCCCAATCTGTCCTAACTCCCAGCTGTTCTTGTTCTCACCCCATCTACCTGAGCTTCCCTGGGTGAAGAAAAGGCAGGGAAGGAGGGTCGGTGCCCACAGGGAGCAGTTTACCCTTTCAGGAGCTCATGCAGATGAGAGTTGGAAAACTCTCCTTGGGTGTGAGGAGCTGGAGAAAGATGTTGAGATCCCGGAGAGGTGGCACCTCTGTCTACACAGGTAACAAAGGAATGGGGTCTTAGGATTCGAATCACAGCAGGAGAAGAGGAAGGAATTTGTCGGGCATGACGGCATGCGCCTGTAATCCCAGCACTTTGGGAGGCCAAGGTCGGAGGATTGCTTGAGTCCAGGAGTTTGAGAGCAGCCTGGGCAACATGGTGAAAGCTAGTCTCCACTAAAAATACTAAACATTAGTGGGTCATGGTGGTGCATGCCTGTGGTCTCACCTACTCAGGAGGCTCAGGTGGGAGGATCACCTGCGACTCAGAGGTGGAGCCCGCAGTCAGCTAAAATCACGCCACTGCACTCCAGTGTGGACCATCGGAGTGAGACGCTGTCTCAATAAAATAAATCAGTAAATAAGACAAATAGAAAAATTAAAAATGAAAAAAGGAGGAAACTGTTTTATTTTTCCTAGTAGATCTTGAAACTCTCACATCATGTCCTACAATCTCCCTTCTTGCAGAACACAGAACCCATTCCCTGTGGAGCTGGTTGGGTGGATTGAAAGTGGGGCTGCCCTGAGATATGTGTGTGGTTGCGATGTAGAAGCCTTCCCAGCACCCTGTGATGACTTACGGGCACCTCACTTCCCTCTGGCCCCAAATTCAAAACATCCAATCTCATGGCAGGTTCATGCACCCTTTTCCCTTCCCCTCTCTCCAACACACACCCACACATCCCACAGGCAGGTCACCCCGCAGGCGTCCCCAGCACATAGCAAAGCTCACCCGCTCTCTCCTGCGTGGTCGCTCTTGGATTCGGTGCAGGAATCACTGGGGCTTCTTGGGCGCCGGGAACCTTTCATGGTGAAAATTTCCAGGGTTCTCCAAGTCAGCCACTGCCAGTGTTTGTCTGTCTCCTGCAAAGATTTCTTCTTGGCTCCCGAATCCTTTAGTTCCTTTGAGAGAGTGGTGTCAGCCCCAAAGCTGCTCCCGAAGGCTTGGGTTGTGTAGCGACGGGGCTGTGGCCAGCGGCAGGTGGATGAGGCTCTGACAACTGAGCTCTTGGGGGAATCTTGTACACTGTCAGCAGGGGGTGGAGCCAGGGGATTTGTCAGCAGGAACTGATGTGATTGGCTGTTCCTGGTATGACAACGGGAGGGGCCCTCATGGAGGATTGGGGCGTAACTCAATCGATAGATGACCGATCAACAGAACCTGCCTAACCCCATCAAGAGCCAACCTGTTTCCTGTCCCCTCCCATCCTCTAGGTCTTGCCTAATAATGATAGACACTTTCTGTCATACCCAATTCATCCATCGCTGAAATAGTTTTTCATGTGTGCCTTTTATATTTTCATGCAAAAAAAATATGTTAATTTTCACGGGGGCTATCCTGGGGAATGCTATGTACATGAAATGAAGTGTCAAAGGAGCAGAAGCAGAAGGAAATTCACAAGCTTCTCTGAGCGTCTCTGCTTGAATTCCTGCCATGTTTCCTAAACATGTTGGCTTCTTTCTTCCTACCCAAGTAAGAAGGTGCTTCAGAAGATCAATCTTAGGGCATTTGACAAACGCTGCTGAGAATTTCAGGATGACACGAAGGAACCTTTGATTGGATTTGTGGATGTGCCTGTGAAAGCGTGTGTGTGTGTGTGTGTGTGTGTGTGTGTGTGTGTGAAGCCAGGATGAAGTGGCTGTTCCTGGGGTGGAGACCCTTCTTTCTCTTGAGAATGTTCATTGCTGTTGACTCATTGTGGGTTTTGGAGATATTTTCTCTCTTTCTTTCGTTCTTTCAGACATTTTTTGCTTTCTCCCTCCCTCGATCCTAACCACCCTCCATCCCCCCCCTCACTCCCTCCCTCCCGCTTTCCATCCTTCCTCCCTCCCTTCCCTCTTTCCTTCCTTCCTGCCTTCTTCCATTCCCCTTCCCCTCTTCCTTCTGTCCTTCCTTCCTGTGTGTAAAAGAAAAATTGGTGAATAGAAGAATAATTGAATAACTGCCTGAGTCACTTATACATTTCTCATCTCACTCTGGGGACACAGAAGACCGTGTTGTACTCATCTCCTCGATTTTAAAAACAGTCATTCTAAAATCAAGGATTCTAGATGTATCACTTCTAGGCGAAATCTTGAAAGAAAATGTGTAAGAGTTTCATGTGCTCTTCATCTCTATGATCACAATTGAAGAAGGCAGGAGGTTGAGATGCTGCATCGCCAAGATCGTGGTGATTCCATTATCATTACCCTTGTAACTTGTGAGCATCCTTACTGCCAGCAATCATTATTAGATATGGAATCTGATATAGGAGTTCATATTTACTGTATGAATATCTTGGTGTGGGAGTGTTGGCTCATGCCTGTAATCCCAGTGCTTTGGGAGGCAGAGGCAGGAGGCTCGCTTGAACCCAGGAGTTCGAGACAAGCCGGAAGAGCATGGCGAGACCCTCGTCTCTACAAAAATGTAAAAATCAGCCAAGTGTGCTGGTAGGTGCCTGTAGTCTCAGCTCCTTAGGAGGCTGAAGTGTTAGGATCGCTTTCGCCCGGGATGTAATGGCTACAGGGAGTCGAGATCTTGCCACTGAACTTCAGCCTGGGCAACAGAGCAAGACTCTCTCTCAAAAATAAAATGCTTTTTCCTTTAGGCTTAAATTCTAACACTCAAACCTCCAAAGCGGAGGTATTAGGAGGTGGGGCCCTTGGGAGATGATGAGATTATGAAAGTGGAACCCTCGTAAATGGGATTAGTGCCCTTCTGAAAGTGACGGAAGAGAGCTCGCCAGCACCTTCCATGTGGGGAGACAGGGAGGATATGACAGTCTCCAACCTGGAAGAGGGTCCTCACCAGACCCCGATCATGCTGGCACTCTCATCGTGGACTTCCGGCCTCCAGAACTCTGATCAACAAATGTGTGTTCTTAAAGAAAAAAAAAGTGTGGAAAGCAATGTTAATGTTCCCAATCACTTTGAGTACATTCTTTCCTTAACTATGTCTTAATGCATAGTTGTGTTGGATGGCCTAGTTTGTAATGTTAGAATATGCATGTTAGTGAATTAATAAATACAGCAGTAAAGAATAGAGTTGTGGTTGGGAATGGTGTCTCACGCCTGTAATCCCAGCACAATGGCATGCCGAGGCGGGTCAATCACCTGTAGTCGGGAGGTGGAGATCACCCTGACCAACATGGAGAAATCCCGACTCTACTAAAAATACAAATCAGCCTGTCATAGAGGCACATGCCTTTAATCCCAGCTACTCGGGAGGCTGAGGCAGGAGAATCACTTGAACCTAGGAGGCAGAGGTTGCGGTGAGCCGAGATCGCGCCATTGCACTCCAGCCTGGGCAACAAAAGCTAAATTCTATATCAAAAAATTAAAAAAAAAAAAAAAAGAAGGCTGTTTGTTGACCATTTGAGTGGCCAGTCTTGGTGCTTCCTGGTGGGCGAGGAGAGCCCTACCCCATTCCTACCCATTCCAGTAGTCATGGCATAAGAGTGATTCTCGCTTTCTGCTATAGCCTCCTTATCCATTGGCTGAAATGATTCTTTTTTAATGTGTCTTATAAATGCTTCCATAGCAAAAAAAATTGAATTGACTTTTATAGGGACTCTTTCGGGGATTGTTACCCATCATTCCATAATTTGTTTGTACTCCTAGAAAAGGGAAGTATGCCGAGCACAGTGGATATTTCGTCTCAAATAATAAATAAATAACCAAATAGAAAAGAAAGAAAAGGAAGTAAAGGGAAATATACAAATATACAAGGTGTTAGGAGAGAGTTGCTAATCGTGATTCCCCCTTAATTGTCCAAACAGACCACCTCTGGGGATCTATTCGTAAAAGACTCGTTAGAAGTGCAGACTCATGCATTTGAGAATCACTCAGGGAAATCTGAAGATGACCTGTGGTGGGGGTGTAAATGGATACTTAAATGTGTCTTGTGATTGTGTGAGAGTGTGACTGTGTGTTTGTGTGTGTGCTGTCATCTGTGGAGTGGGGGATCCTCTTTTGCCTTGAGAAAGCTCATCTCTGTCCACTTACTCTGGGCTCTACCATCTGTGCCTTGTATCCAGTAGAAATAAAACAGTTTGCGGCAGAAATGGAGTTTTATTTTATTTTACTTTACTTTTTATTAGGATTATTTGTAGACCGGGTCTCACTCTGTCACTCAGGCGGGAGTGCAACGGCACGATCTCAGATCACTGCAACCTGTGCCTCCTGCACTGAAGCCATCCTCCCACCTCAGCCTCTGGAGTGGGGAGATCCCACACCTGTGTAATTTTTGCATTTTTTCTAGAGATGGGGTTTCCTCATGCTGCCCGGGCTGGTTTCCAACGCCCGGGCTCAAGTGATCCACCCGCCTCAGCCTCCCAAAGTGCTGGGATTACAGGTGGGAGCTACTGTGCCCGGCCAGAAATGGAGATTTTTGTTCTTCTTTTGATGAGACGGAACCTCGCACCGTGGCCCAGGCTGGAGTGCAGTGGAGTGACCTCGGCTCACTGCAAGCTCTGCCTCCTGGGGTCATGCCATTCTCCTGCCTCAGCCTCCCAAAGAGCTGGGACTACAGGCGCCCGACACCACGCCCAGCTAAGGTTTTTGCATTTATTTTTTTATTTTTTTTGTAGGGACGGGCTTTCACCGTGTTAGCCAGGACGGTCTCGATCTCCTGCCCTCGTGATGCACCCGCCTGAGCCTCCCGAAGTGCTCGGATTACAGGCATGAGCCACCATGCACGGCCCAGAAATGGAGATTTTTGAGCAAACACATTAAAGAAAAGAAACGCAAATAGACGAAACTCATTTTAACATTTTTATTTAACCCAAGGAATACAGATATAATCAACACCAATACAATTGATGTCACAGTGATGACTAAGATACATGCTACAATCCTTCATTCTCAGATGCAAAATCTAGTATGTGTTTTACAGCAAACGTCAGTTGGAAACTGAACGTCGATCACACATGCTTGATGTGCATGTCAATTTCATGAGAGTTACAATCTCAGGAGAAGTCTCACATAGCGTAAGAGTCCAAACATACCTTCAAGTGTTTCGACAAGTTCTTCACTACTCATTCTTAGAACTGAATTTACCAACAACAATCCCAGCCTATTCATTGCTGAACTGCATCCCATTGAAAGAATGGGTCACAGTTCCTCTCTCTAGACACTGTGGAACGACATTGAAGGCCCCTCCATCTTTTGGCGATTGTGAGGACAGGTGCTAGAAGCCTCTGCCCTCAGCCTTGTCCACGTGAGTTCTAATTCCTTTAGAACAACTATCTCAGGGTGGGAAAGATGGTTCCAATGCTAAGTGCCTATTGCATTGATTATGAATCAATGAAACTCTTTCTCCCTGGGGGTTGTCCCAGTTGGATTCCAAGCAGCACTGTCAGAGTGTTCCAGCTTCTCCACATGCTCCGCAGCCCTTGGGATGGTGAGTGATTGTCTCGGTGGCTTCTGGGAGAGCTTCTTGGTTGTTGTTGAAGGTGTATTTGACGTGCATTTCCCCAGGGGAGGGACAGTGAACGCTTTTTGAAGTGGTTCTTTACATCCCCTTTGAGGAAATGTCTGCTCAAGTCTCTGGCTGGGTTTTGAACAGAATCATTTGTTTGTTCCATTGGAGTTTTGACAACTCTGTGTATTCTGAGCATGAGCAGTCCTTGCACGTATATGAGATTTGCAAATATTTTGTGCCCCAATCTCAAGGTTGCTCTTTGATACAAATCAAGAGCATCTGAGGCAGAGCAAAGGTTCAGGTGAGAGGACGGAGCATTTCTCCACCTCTCCAGCATGCGCAGCATCTCTCTCCTCCGAGATGCCGAGACATGTGTGCAGGGAGACACCATGAAAAAGCAGGTGTGCTTCATTCTGAATAGAGCGTCTCTGATTCCCGTCTGGTGCCTGAGGGTGCATGGCCCATGAGCCTTAGAAGAGACGTCTTCGGGCCTTGCACGTTGGCCTCCATAGAAACTTGTGGCAAATTCTGGGCTCCGGACTGGGTGATGGAGGTAGAGGTCTGAGGGCAGAGGTGGGCAGGGGCTCCAGGCCATGGAGATCCAAGTGGAATTCTTCAGGCAGAGCCTGTCTCCAGGGACTAGGCTTGGGCATTTGGGATGAGCCCTGGGGGACGGCCGCTCTGTAGTCAGGTTTGAGGTAGAGGACACGCCAGGAAGAAGGGCTGACTCCATGCACAAGGTTTGCTGGGGGTCCCATCAGGGGCAGGAAGCCTTGGGGAGCCTCACCCTCTTCTACTGAAGGCGCCACACACACATTCTCTGCTCTCTGGGCTCTCACAGATCCATTTTCAATGTCAATCTCCCAGACAGTCTCTGTACTAGTGAGCAGGAGCCAGCGGGCATGGGCAGGGTACAAGAGATCCTTCAGGGACATCAAGAGTTGCTCAGGGACCACCAGGAGCTGCACATTGAGGAGGCTGAGTCGCAGGGCTCCCTGTGGGTCCAGCCCCAGGAACTCCTGCCCCAGGCGCAGGTGCAGGACCATTCCTGGTTCCAAGACCGCGATGATCATCTTCCTCTGGGGAAGCTGTGGGCCCTGGGGGAGAAAAGCCGTGGGTCAGTCATTGTCCTCTGAGGGTGGCTCAAACAGGGAGAGAGCAAGGCGGGGAGCTGCCAGTAACTTCCCCAGGCATAAATGAAACCCCGCAGGGACACCCAGAATTGGCACCTGTATTGACGCCCCTTGGGACGGTGATTTCCTGCAAGTCCCCTAGGGCCTGGAGCTCAGGCAGACCTGTCTCACCCACGCCCACCTAGGTGGTGTGACCTTACCTGGGGCAGCTCCAGGGGCAGCTGTGCAGGGTGGTGGGGAGCTGGCTGTACCGGAGCTGGTTCTGCACCTGTGGAGAGAGCAGAGTGTGCAGGTGAAAGCCCTTGTCATGCAGGATGCCCTTGAGGGTTCAAGGTGCCACCGTGAGAAAGACCAAATACAGAAGAAGCCAGGTACAGGACACCCAGCCACGGAGCTGCAGGAGGAAGCTCCCGACACTCTGGACAGCACAGCTGCTCGCCTCATGACGTGACGGGACACTGGCTTGGTAGCAGGGGACTCAGGATGAAAAAGAGAAGATGCCTCACCTGGATGAGGACCCAGCTCCTCCACTTTCTGGCGTTTTGGGGCATTTGATGGCGTGCCGCTGGAGCTGTAGGACAGAGAGAGAGACACAGTCAGATTTCGGGCAGTTCCCTAACGTCCAATTCCCTGAATCCCCACAAATTCACTCCACTTCCCTGCCTTTCATTCAAGGCCACAGACTCGTCATCCACTTCCTGTGAGACCTGCTCCCAATCTGTCCTAACTCCCAGCTGTTCTTGTTCTCACCCCATCTACCTGAGCTTCCCTGGGTGAAGAAAAGGCAGGGAAGGAGGGTCGGTGCCCACAGGGAGCAGTTTACCCTTTCAGGAGCTCATGCAGATGAGAGTTGGAAAACTCTCCTTGGGTGTGAGGAGCTGGAGAAAGATGTTGAGATCCCGGAGAGGTGGCACCTCTGTCTACACAGGTAACAAAGGAATGGGGTCTTAGGATTCGAATCACAGCAGGAGAAGAGGAAGGAATTTGTCGGGCATGACGGCATGCGCCTGTAATCCCAGCACTTTGGGAGGCCAAGGTCGGAGGATTGCTTGAGTCCAGGAGTTTGAGAGCAGCCTGGGCAACATGGTGAAAGCTAGTCTCCACTAAAAATACTAAACATTAGTGGGTCATGGTGGTGCATGCCTGTGGTCTCACCTACTCAGGAGGCTCAGGTGGGAGGATCACCTGCGACTCAGAGGTGGAGCCCGCAGTCAGCTAAAATCACGCCACTGCACTCCAGTGTGGACCATCGGAGTGAGACGCTGTCTCAATAAAATAAATCAGTAAATAAGACAAATAGAAAAATTAAAAATGAAAAAAGGAGGAAACTGTTTTATTTTTCCTAGTAGATCTTGAAACTCTCACATCATGTCCTACAATCTCCCTTCTTGCAGAACACAGAACCCATTCCCTGTGGAGCTGGTTGGGTGGATTGAAAGTGGGGCTGCCCTGAGATATGTGTGTGGTTGCGATGTAGAAGCCTTCCCAGCACCCTGTGATGACTTACGGGCACCTCACTTCCCTCTGGCCCCAAATTCAAAACATCCAATCTCATGGCAGGTTCATGCACCCTTTTCCCTTCCCCTCTCTCCAACACACACCCACACATCCCACAGGCAGGTCACCCCGCAGGCGTCCCCAGCACATAGCAAAGCTCACCCGCTCTCTCCTGCGTGGTCGCTCTTGGATTCGGTGCAGGAATCACTGGGGCTTCTTGGGCGCCGGGAACCTTTCATGGTGAAAATTTCCAGGGTTCTCCAAGTCAGCCACTGCCAGTGTTTGTCTGTCTCCTGCAAAGATTTCTTCTTGGCTCCCGAATCCTTTAGTTCCTTTGAGAGAGTGGTGTCAGCCCCAAAGCTGCTCCCGAAGGCTTGGGATGTGTAGCGACGGGGCTGTGGCCAGCGGCAGGTGGATGAGGCTCTGACAACTGAGCTCTTGGGGGAATCTTGTACACTGTCAGCAGGGGGTGGAGCCAGGGGATTTGTCAGCAGGAACTGATGTGATTGGCTGTTCCTGGTATGACAACGGGAGGGGCCCTCATGGAGGATTGGGGCGTAACTCAATCCATAGATGACCGATCAACAGAACCTGCCTAATCCCATCAAGAGCCAACCTGTTTCCTGTCCCCTCCCATCCTCTAGGTCTTGCCTAATAATGATAGACACTTTCTGTCATACCCAATTCATCCATCGCTGAAATAGTTTTTCATGTGTGCCTTTTATATTTTCATGCAATAAAAATATGTTAATTTTCACGGTGGCTATCCTGGGGAATGCTATGTACATGAAATGAAGTGTCAAAGGAGCAGAAGCAGAAGGAAATTCACAAGCTTCTCTGAGCGTCTCTGCTTCAATTCCTGCCATGTTTCCTAAACATGTTGGCTTCTTTCTTCCTACCCAAGTAAGAAGGTGCTTCAGAAGTTCAATCTTAGGGCATTTGACAAACGCCGCTGAGAATTTCAGGATGACACGAAGGAACCTTTGATTGGATTTGTGGATGTGCCTGTGAAAGCGTGTGTGTGTGTGTGTGTGTGTGTGTGTGTGTGTGTGTGTGTGTGAAGCCAGGATGAAGTGGCTGTTCCTGGGGTGGAGACCCTTCTTTCTCTTGAGAATGTTCATTGCTGTTGACTCATTGTGGGTTTTGGAGATATTTTCTCTCTTTCTTTCGTTCTTTCAGACATTTTTTGCTTTCTCCCTCCCTCGATCCTAACCCCCCTCCATCCCCCCCTCACTCCCTCCCTCCCTCTTTCCATCCTTCCTCCCTCCCTTCCCTCTTTCCTTCCTTCCTGCCTTCTTCCCTTCCCCTTCCCCTCTTCCACGCCTGTAATCCCAGCACAATGGCATGCCGAGGCGGGTCAATCACCTGTAGTCGGGAGGTGGAGATCACCCTGACCAACATGGAGAAACCCGACTCTACTAAAAATACAAATCAGCCTGTCATAGAGGCACATGCCTTTAATCCCAGCTACTCGGGAGGCTGAGGCAGGAGAATCACTTGAACCTAGGAGGCAGAGGTTGCGGTGAGCCGAGATCGCGCCATTGCACTCCAGCCTGGGCAACAAAAGCTAAATTCTATATCAAAAAATTAAAAAAAAAAAAAAGAAGGCTGTTTGTTGACCATTTGAGTGGCCAGTCTTGGTGCTTCCTGGTGGGCGAGGAGAGCCCTGCCCCATTCCTACCCATTCCAGTAGTCATGGCATAAGAGTGATTCTCACTTTCTGCTATAGCCTCCTTATCCATTGGCTGAAATGATTGTTTTTTAATGTGTCTTATAAATGCTTCCATAGCAAAAAAAATTGAATTGACTTTTATAGGGACTCTTTCGGGTATTGTTACCCATCATTCTATAATTTGTTTGTACTCCTAGAAAAGGGAAGTATGCCGAGCACAGTGGATATTTCGTCTCAAATAACAAATAAATAACCAAATAGAAAAGAAAGAAAAGGAAGTAAAGGGAAATATACAAATATACAAGGTGTTAGGAGAGAGTTGCTAATCGTGATTCCCCCTTAATTGTCCAAACAGACCACCTCTGGGGATCTATTCGTAAAAGACTCGTTAGAAGTGCAGACTCATGCATTTGAGAATCACTCAGGGAAATCTGAAGATGACCTGTGGTGGGGGTGTAAATGGATACTTAAATGTGTCTTGTGATTGTGTGAGAGTGTGACTGTGTGTTTGTGTGTGTGCTGTCATCTGTGGAGTGGGGGATCCTCTTTTGCCTTGAGAAAGCTCATCTCTGTCCACTTACTCTGGGCTCTACCATCTGTGCCTTGTATCCAGTAGAAATAAAACAGTTTGCGGCAGAAATGGAGTTTTATTTTATTTTACTTTACTTTTTATTAGGATTATTTGTAGACCGGGTCTCACTCTGTCACTCAGGCTGGAGTGCAACGGCACGATCTCAGATCACTGCAACCTGTGCCTCCTGCACTGAAGCCATCCTCCCACCTCAGCCTCTGGAGTGGGGAGATCCCACACCTGTGTAATTTTTGCATTTTTTCTAGAGATGGGGTTTCCTCATGCTGCCCGGGCTGGTTTCCAACGCCCGGGCTCAAGTGATCCACCCGCCTCAGCCTCCCAAAGTGCTGGGATTACAGGTGGGAGCTACTGTGCCCGGCCAGAAATGGAGATTTTTGTTCTTCTTTTGATGAGACGGAACCTCGCACCGTGGCCCAGGCTGGAGTGCAGTGGAGTGACCTCGGCTCACTGCAAGCTCTGCCTCCTGAGGTCATGCCATTCTCCTGCCTCAGCCTCCCAAAGAGCTGGGACTACAGGCGCCCGACACCACGCCCAGCTAAGGTTTTTGCATTTATTTTTTTTTTTTTTGTAGGGACGGGCTTTCACCGTGTTAGCCAGGACGGTCTCGATCTCCTGCCCTCGTGATGCACCCGCCTGAGCCTCCCGAAGTGCTCGGATTACAGGCATGAGCCACCATGCACGGCCCAGAAATGGAGATTTTTGAGCAAACACATTAAAGAAAAGAAACGCAAATAGACGAAACTCATTTTAACATTTTTATTTAACCCAAGGAATACAGATATAATCAACACCAATACAATTGATGTCACAGTGATGACTAAGATACATGCTACAATCCTTCATTCTCAGATGCAAAATCTAGTATGTGTTTTACAGCAAACGTCAGTTGGAAACTGAACGTCGATCACACATGCTTGATGTGCATGTCAATTTCATGAGAGTTACAATCTCAGGAGAAGTCTCACATAGCGTAAGAGTCCAAACATACCTTCAAGTGTTTCGACAAGTTCTTCACTACTCATTCTTAGAACTGAATTTACCAACAACAATCCCAGCCTATTCATTGCTGAACTGCATCCCATTGAAAGAATGGGTCACAGTTCCTCTCTCTAGACACTGTGGAACGACATTGAAGGCCCTTCCATCTTTTGGCGATTGTGAGGACAGGTGCTAGAAGCCTCTGCCCTCAGCCTTGTCCACGTGAGTTCTAATTCCTTTAGAACAACTATCTCAGGGTGGGAAAGATGGTTCCAATGCTAAGTGCCTATTGCATTGATTATGAATCAATGAAACTCTTTCTCCCTGGGGGTTGTCCCAGTTGGATTCCAAGCAGCACTGTCAGAGTGTTCCAGCTTCTCCACATGCTCCGCAGCCCTTGGGATGGTGAGTGATTGTCACGGTGGCTTCTGGGAGAGCTTCTTGGTTGTTGTTGAAGGTGTATTTGACGTGCATTTCCCCAGGGGAGGGACAGTGAACGCTTTTTGAAGTGGTTCTTTACATCCCCTTTGAGGAAATGTCTGCTCAAGTCTCTGGCTGGGTTTTGAACAGAATCATTTGTTTGTCCCATTGGAGTTTTGACAACTCTGTGTATTCTGAGTATGAGCAGTCCTTGCACGTATATGAGATTTGCAAATATTTTGTGCCCCAATCTCAAGGTTGCTCTTTGATACAAATCAAGAGCATCTGAGGCAGAGCAAAGGTTCAGGTGAGAGGACGGAGCATTTCTCCACCTCTCCAGCATGCGCAGCATCTCTCTCCTCCGAGATGCCGAGACATGTGTGCAGGGAGACACCATGAAAAAGCAGGTGTGCTTCATTCTGAATAGAGCGTCTCTGATTCCCGTCTGGTGCCTGAGGGTGCATGGCCCATGAGCCTTAGAAGAGACGTCTTCGGGCCTTGCACGTTGGCCTCCATAGAAACTTGTGGCAAATTCTGGGCTCCGGACTGGGTGATGGAGGTAGAGGTCTGAGGGCAGAGGTGGGCAGGGGCTCCAGGCCGTGGAGATCCAAGTGGAATTCTTCAGGCAGAGCCTGTCTCCAGGGACTAGGCTTGGGCATTTGGGATGAGCCCTGGGGGACGGCCGCTCTGTAGTCAGGTTTGAGGTAGAGGACACGCCAGGAAGAAGGGCTGACTCCATGCACAAGGTTTGCTGGGGGTCCCATCAGGGGCAGGAAGCCTTGGGGAGCCTCACCCTCTTCTACTGAAGGCGCCACACACACATTCTCTGCTCTCTGGGCTCTCACAGATCCATTTTCAATGTCAATCTCCCAGACAGTCTCTGTACTAGTGAGCAGGAGCCAGCGGGCATGGGCAGGGTACAAGAGATCCTTCAGGGACATCAAGAGTTGCTCAGGGACCACCAGGAGCTGCACATTGAGGAGGCTGAGTCGCAGGGCTCCCTGTGGGTCCAGCCCCAGGAACTCCTGCCCCAGGCGCAGGTGCAGGACCATTCCTGGTTCCAAGACCGCGATGATCATCTTCCTCTGGGGAAGCTGTGGGCCCTGGGGGAGAAAAGCCGTGGGTCAGTCATTGTCCTCTGAGGGTGGCTCAAACAGGGAGAGAGCAAGGCGGGGAGCTGCCAGTAACTTCCCCAGGCATAAATGAAACCCCGCAGGGACACCCAGAATTGGCACCTGTATTGACGCCCCTTGGGACGGTGATTTCCTGCAAGTCCCCTAGGGCCTGGAGCTCAGGCAGACCTGTCTCACCCACGCCCACCTAGGTGGTGTGACCTTACCTGGGGCAGCTCCAGGGGCAGCTGTGCAGGGTGGTGGGGAGCTGGCTGTACCGGAGCTGGTTCTGCACCTGTGGAGAGAGCAGAGTGTGCAGGTGAAAGCCCTTGTCATGCAGGATGCCCTTGAGGGTTCAAGGTGCCACCGTGAGAAAGACCAAATACAGAAGAAGCCAGGTACAGGACACCCAGCCACGGAGCTGCAGGAGGAAGCTCCCGACACTCTGGACAGCACAGCTGCTCGCCTCATGACGTGACGGGACACTGGCTTGGTAGCAGGGGACTCAGGATGAAAAAGAGAAGATGCCTCACCTGGATGAGGACCCAGCTCCTCCACTTTCTGGCGTTTTGGGGCATTTGATGGCGTGCCGCTGGAGCTGTAGGACAGAGAGACACAGTCAGATTTCGGGCAGTTCCCTAACGTCCAATTCCCTGAATCCCCACAAATTCACTCCACTTCCCTGCCTTTCATTCAAGGCCACAGACTCGTCATCCACTTCCTGTGAGACCTGCTCCCAATCTGTCCTAACTCCCAGCTGTTCTTGTTCTCACCCCATCTACCTGAGCTTCCCTGGGTGAAGAAAAGGCAGGGAAGGAGGGTCGGTGCCCACAGGGAGCAGTTGACCCTTTCAGGAGCTCATGCAGATGAGAGTTGGAAAACTCTCCTTGGGTGTGAGGAGCTGGAGAAAGATGTTGAGATCCCGGAGAGGTGGCACCTCTGTCTACACAGGTAACAAAGGAATGGGGTCTTAGGATTCGAATCACAGCAGGAGAAGAGGAAGGAATTTGTCGGGCATGACGGCATGCGCCTGTAATCCCAGCACTTTGGGAGGCCAAGGTCGGAGGATTGCTTGAGTCCAGGAGTTTGAGAGCAGCCTGGGCAACATGGTGAAAGCTAGTCTCCACTAAAAATACTAAACATTAGTGGGTCATGGTGGTGCATGCCTGTGGTCTCACCTACTCAGGAGGCTCAGGTGGGAGGATCACCTGCGACTCAGAGGTGGAGCCCGCAGTCAGCTAAAATCACGCCACTGCACTCCAGTGTGGACCATCGGAGTGAGACGCTGTCTCAGTAAAATAAATCAGTAAATAAGACAAATAGAAAAATTAAAAATGAAAAAAGGAGGAAACTGTTTTATTTTTCCTAGTAGATCTTGAAACTCTCACATCATGTCCTACAATCTCCCTTCTTGCAGAACACAGAACCCATTCCCTGTGGAGCTGGTTGGGTGGATTGAAAGTGGGGCTGCCCTGAGATATGTGTGTGGTTGCGATGTAGAAGCCTTCCCAGCACCCTGTGATGACTTACGGGCACCTCACTTCCCTCTGGCCCCAAATTCAAAACATCCAATCTCATGGCAGGTTCATGCACCCTTTTCCCTTCCCCTCTCTCCAACACACACCCACACATCCCACAGGCAGGTCACCCCGCAGGCGTCCCCAGCACATAGCAAAGCTCACCCGCTCTCTCCTGCGTGGTCGCTCTTGGATTCGGTGCAGGAATCACTGGGGCTTCTTGGGCGCCGGGAACCTTTCATGGTGAAAATTTCCAGGGTTCTCCAAGTCAGCCACTGCCAGTGTTTGTCTGTCTCCTGCAAAGATTTCTTCTTGGCTCCCGAATCCTTTAGTTCCTTTGAGAGAGTGGTGTCAGCCCCAAAGCTGCTCCCGAAGGCTTGGGTTGTGTAGCGACGGGGCTGTGGCCAGCGGCAGGTGGACGAGGCTCCGACAACTGAGCTCTTGGGGGAATCTTGTACACTGTCAGCAGGGGGTGGAGCCAGGGGATTTGTCAGCAGGAACTGATGTGATTGGCTGTTCCTGGTATGACAACGGGAGGGGCCCTCATGGAGGATTGGGGCGTAACTCAATCCATAGATGACCGATCAACAGAACCTGCCTAATCCCATCAAGAGCCAACCTGTTTCCTGTCCCCTCCCATCCTCTAGGTCTTGCCTAATAATGATAGACACTTTCTGTCATACCCAATTCATCCATCGCTGAAATAGTTTTTCATGTGTGCCTTTTATATTTTCATGCAATAAAAATATGTTAATTTTCACGGTGGCCATCCTGGGGAATGCTATGTACATGAAATGAAGTGTCAAAGGAGCAGAAGCAGAAGGAAATTCACAAGCTTCTCTGAGCGTCTCTGCTTCAATTCCTGCCATGTTTCCTAAATATGTTGGCTTCTTTCTTCCTACCCAAGTAAGAAGGTGCTTCAGAAGATCAATCTTATGGCATTTGACAAACCCTGCTGAGAATTTCAGGATGACACGAAGGAACCTTTGATTGGATTTGTGGATGTGCCTGTGAAAGCGTGTGTGTGTGTGTGTGTGTGTGTGTGTGTGTGTGTGTGAAGCCAGGATGAAGTGGCTGTTCCTGGGGTGGAGACCCTTCTTTCTCTTGAGAATGTTCATTGCTGTTGACTCATTGTGGGTTTTGGAGATATTTTCTCTCTTTCTTTCGTTCTTTCAGACATTTTTTGCTTTCTCCCTCCCTGGATCCTAACCCCCCTCCATCCCCCCCCTCACTCCCTCCCTCCTTGTTTCCATCCTTCCTCCCTCCCTTCCCTCTTTCCTTCCTTCCTGCCTTCTTCCCTTCCCCTTCCCCTCTTCCTTCTGTCCTTCCTTCCTGTGTGTAAAAGAAAAATTGGTGAATAGAAGAATAATTGAATAACTGCCTGAGTCACTTATACATTTCTCATCTCACTCTGGGGACACAGAAGACCGTGTTGTACTCATCTCCTCGATTTTAAAAACAGTCATTCTAAAATCAAGGATTCTAGATGTATCACTTCTAGGCGAAATCTTGAAAGAGAATGTGTAAGAGTTTCATGTGCTCTTCATCTCTATGATCACAATTGAAGAAGGCAGGAGGTTGAGATGCTGCATCGCCAAGATCGTGGTGATTCCATTATCATTACCCTTGTAACTTGTGAGCATCCTTACTGCCAGCAATCATTATTAGATATGGAATCTGATATAGGAGTTCATATTTACTGTATGAATATCTTGGTGTGGGAGTGTTGGCTCATGCCTGTAATCCCAGTGCTTTGGGAGGCAGAGGCAGGAGGCTCGCTTGAACCCAGGAGTTCGAGACAAGCCGGAAGAGCATGGCGAGACCCTCGTCTCTACAAAAATGTAAAAATCAGCCAAGTGTGCTGGTAGGTGCCTGTAGTCTCAGCTCCTTAGGAGGCTGAAGTGTTAGGATCGCTTTCGCCCGGGATGTAATGGCTACAGGGAGTCGAGATCTTGCCACTGAACTTCAGCCTGGGCAACAGAGCAAGACTCTCTCTCAAAAATAAAATGCTTTTTCCTTTAGGCTTAAATTCTAACACTCAAACCTCCAAAGCGGAGGTATTAGGAGGTGGGGCCCTTGGGAGATGATGAGATTATGAAAGTGGAACCCTCGTAAATGGGATTAGTGCCCTTCTGAAAGTGACGGAAGAGAGCTCGCCAGCACCTTCCATGTGGGGAGACAGGGAGGATATGACAGTCTCCAACCTGGAAGAGGGTCCTCACCAGACCCCGATCATGCTGGCACTCTCATCGTGGACTTCCGGCCTCCAGAACTCTGATCAACAAATGTGTGTTCTTAAAGAAAAAAAAAGTGTGGAAAGCAATGTTAATGTTCCCAATCACTTTGAGTACATTCTTTCCTTAACTATGTCTTAATGCATAGTTGTGTTGGATGGCCTAGTTTGTAATGTTAGAATATGCATGTTAGTGAATTAATAAATACAGCAGTAAAGAATAGAGTTGTGGTTGGGAATGGAGTCTCACGCCTGTAATCCCAGCACAATGGCATGCCGAGGCGGGTCAATCACCTGTAGTCGGGAGGTGGAGATCACCCTGACCAACATGGAGAAACCCGACTCTACTAAAAATACAAATCAGCCTGTCATAGAGGCACATGCCTTTAATCCCAGCTACTCGGGAGGCTGAGGCAGGAGAATCACTTGAACCTAGGAGGCAGAGGTTGCGGTGAGCCGAGATCGCGCCATTGCACTCCAGCCTGGGCAACAAAAGCTAAATTCTATATCAAAAAATTAAAAAAAAAAAAAAGAAGGCTGTTTGTTGACCATTTGAGTGGCCAGTCTTGGTGCTTCCTGGTGGGCGAGGAGAGCCCTGCCCCATTCCTACCCATTCCAGTAGTCATGGCATAAGAGTGATTCTCACTTTCTGCTATAGCCTCCTTATCCATTGGCTGAAATGATTCTTTTTTAATGTGTCTTATTAATGCTTCCATAGCAAAAAATATTGAATTGACTTTTATAGGGACTCTTTCGGGGATTGTTACCCATCATTCCATAATTTGTTTGTACTCCTAGAAAAGGGAAGTATGCCGAGCACAGTGGATATTTCGTCTCAAATAATAAATAAATAACCAAATAGAAAAGAAAGAAAAGGAAGTAAAGGGAAATATACAAATATACAAGGTGTTAGGAGAGAGTTGCTAATCGTGATTCCCCCTTAATTGTCCAAACAGACCACCTCTGGGGATCTATTCGTAAAAGACTCGTTAGAAGTGCAGACTCATGCATTTGAGAATCACTCAGGGAAATCTGAAGATGACCTGTGGTGGGGGTGTAAATGGATACTTAAATGTGTCTTGTGATTGTGTGAGAGTGTGACTGTGTGTTTGTGTGTGTGCTGTCATCTGTGGAGTGGGGGATCCTCTTTTGCCTTGAGAAAGCTCATCTCTGTCCACTTACTCTGGGCTCTACCATCTGTGCCTTGTATCCAGTAGAAATAAAACAGTTTGCGGCAGAAATGGAGTTTTATTTTATTTCACTTTACTTTTTATTAGGATTATTTGTAGACCGGGTCTCACTCTGTCACTCAGGCTGGAGTGCAATGGCACGATCTCAGATCACTGCAACCTGTGCCTCCTGCACTGAAGCCATCCTCCCACCTCAGCCTCTGGAGTGGGGAGATCCCACACCTGTGTAATTTTTGCATTTTTTCTAGAGATGGGGTTTCCTCATGCTGCCCGGGCTGGTTTCCAACGCCTGGGCTCAAGTGATCCACCCGCCTCAGCCTCCCAAAGTGCTGGGATTACAGGTGGGAGCTACTGTGCCCGGCCAGAGATGGAGATTTTTGTTCTTCTTTTGATGAGACGGAACCTCGCACCGTGGCCCAGGCTGGAGTGCAGTGGAGTGACCTCGGCTCACTGCAAGCTCTGCCTCCTGGGGTCATGCCATTCTCCTGCCTCAGCCTCCCAAAGAGCTGGGACTACAGGCGCCCGACACCACGCCCAGCTAAGGTTTTTGCATTTTTTTTTTTTTTTGTAGGGACGGGCTTTCACCGTGTTAGCCAGGACGGTCTCGATCTCCTGCCCTCGTGATGCACCCGCCTGAGCCTCCCGAAGTGCTCGGATTACAGGCATGAGCCACCATGCACGGCCCAGAAATGGAGATTTTTGAGCAAACACATTAAAGAAAAGAAACGCAAATAGACGAAACTCATTTTAACATTTTTATTTAACCCAAGGAATACAGATATAATCAACACCAATACAATTGATGTCACAATGATGACTAAGATACCTGCTACAATCCTTCATTCTCAGATGCAAAATCTAGTATGTGTTTTACAGCAAACGTCAGTTGGAAACTGAACGTCGATCACACATGCTTGATGTGCATGTCAATTTCATGAGAGTTACAATCTCAGGAGAAGTCTCACATAGCGTAAGAGTCCAAACATACCTTCAAGTGTTTCGACAAGTTCTTCACTACTCATTCTTAGAACTGAATTTACCAACAACAATCCCAGCCTATTCATTGCTGAACTGCATCCCATTGAAAGAATGGGTCACAGTTCCTCTCTCTAGACACTGTGGAACGACATTGAAGGCCCCTCCATCTTTTGGCGATTGTGAGGACAGGTGCTAGAAGCCTCTGCCCTCAGCCTTGTCCACGTGAGTTCTAATTCCTTTAGAACAACTATCTCAGGGTGGGAAAGATGGTTCCAATGCTAAGTGCCTATTGCATTGATTATGAATCAATGAAACTCTTTCTCCCTGGGGGTTGTCCCAGTTGGATTCCAAGCAGCACTGTCAGAGTGTTCCAGCTTCTCCACATGCTCCGCAGCCCTTGGGATGGTGAGTGATTGTCACGGTGGCTTCTGGGAGAGCTTCTTGGTTGTTGTTGAAGGTGTATTTGACGTGCATTTCCCCAGGGGAGGGACAGTGAACGCTTTTTGAAGTGGTTCTTTACATCCCCTTTGAGGAAATGTCTGCTCAAGTCTCTGGCTGGGTTTTGAACAGAATCATTTGTTTGTCCCATTGGAGTTTTGACAACTCTGTGTATTCTGAGTATGAGCAGTCCTTGCACGTATATGAGATTTGCAAATATTTTGTGCCCCAATCTCAAGGTTGCTCTTTGATACAAATCAAGAACATCTGAGGCAGAGCAAAGGTTCAGGTGAGAGGACGGAGCATTTCTCCACCTCTCCAGCATGCGCAGCATCTCTCTCCTCCGAGATGCCGAGACATGTGTGCAGGGAGACACCATGAAAAAGCAGGTGTGCTTCATTCTGAATAGAGCGTCTCTGATTCCCGTCTGGTGCCTGAGGGTGCATGGCCCATGAGCCTTAGAAGAGACGTCTTCGGGCCTTGCACGTTGGCCTCCATAGAAACTTGTGGCAAATTCTGGGCTCCGGACTGGGTGATGGAGGTAGAGGTCTGAGGGCAGAGGTGGGCAGGGGCTCCAGGCCGTGGAGATCCAAGTGGAATTCTTCAGGCAGAGCCTGTCTCCAGGGACTAGGCTTGGGCATTTGGGATGAGCCCTGGGGGACGGCCGCTCTGTAGTCAGGTTTGAGGTAGAGGACACGCCAGGAAGAAGGGCTGACTCCATGCACAAGGTTTGCTGCTCCAAGTCAGCCACTGCCAGTGTTTGTCTGTCTCCTGCAAAGATTTCTTCTTGGCTCCCGAATCCTTTAGTTCCTTTGAGAGAGTGGTGTCAGCCCCAAAGCTGCTCCCGAAGGCTTGGGTTGTGTAGCGACGGGGCTGTGGCCAGCGGCAGGTGGATGAGGCTCTGACAACTGAGCTCTTGGGGGAATCTTGTACACTGTCAGCAGGGGGTGGAGCCAGGGGATTTGTCAGCAGGAACTGATGTGATTGGCTGTTCCTGGTATGACAACGGGAGGGGCCCTCATGGAGGATTGGGGCGTAACTCAATCCATAGATGACCGATCAACAGAACCTGCCTAATCCCATCAAGAGCCAACCTGTTTCCTGTCCCCTCCCATCCTCTAGCTCTTGCCTAATAATGATAGACACTTTCTGTCATACCCAATTCATCCATCGCTGAAATAGTTTTTCATGTGTGCCTTTTATATTTTCATGCAATAAAAATATGTTAATTTTCACGGTGGCTATCCTGGGGAATGCTATGTACATGAAATGAAGTGTCAAAGGAGCAGAAGCAGAAGGAAATTCACAAGCTTCTCTGAGCGTCTCTGCTTGAATTCCTGCCATGTTTCCTAAACATGTTGGCTTCTTTCTTCCTACCCAAGTAAGAAGGTGCTTCAGAAGATCAATCTTAGGGCATTTGACAAACGCTGCTGAGAATTTCAGGATGACACGAAGGAACCTTTGATTGGATTTGTGGATGTGCCTGTGAAAGCGTGTGTGTGTGTGTGTGTGTGTGTTTGTGTGTGTGTGAAGCCAGGATGAAGTGGCTGTTCCTGGGGTGGAGACCCTTCTTTCTCTTGAGAATGTTCATTGCTGTTGACTCATTGTGGGTTTTGGAGATATTTTCTCTCTTTCTTTCGTTCTTTCAGACATTTTTTGCTTTCTCCCTCCCTCGATCCTAACCCCCCTCTTTCCCCCCCTCACTCCCTCCCTCCCTCTTTCCATCCTTCCTCCCTCCCTTCCCTCTTTCCTTCCTTCCTGCCTTCTTCCCTTCCCCTTCCCCTCTTCCTTCCGTCCTTCCTTCCTGTGTGTAAAAGAAAAATTGGTGAATAGAAGAATAATTGAATAACTGCCTGAGTCACTTATACATTTCTCATCTCACTCTGGGGACACAGAAGACCGTGTTATACTCATCTCCTCGATTTTAAAAACAGTCATTCTAAAATCAAGGATTCTAGATGTATCACTTCTAGGCGAAATCTTGAAAGAAAATGTGTAAGAGTTTCATGTGCTCTTTATCTCTATGATCACAATTGAAGAAGGCAGGAGGTTGAGATGCTGCATCGCCAAGATCGTGGTGATTCCATTATCATTACCCTTGTAACTTGTGAGCATCCTTACCGCCAGCAATCATTATTAGATATGGAATCTGATATAGGAGTTCATATTTACTGTATGAATATCTTGGTGTGGGAGTGTTGGCTCATGCCTGTAATCCCAGTGCTTTGGGAGGCAGAGGCAGGAGGCTCGCTTGAACCCAGGAGTTCGAGACAAGCCGGAAGAGCATGGCGAGACCCTCGTCTCTACAAAAATGTAAAAATCAGCCAAGTGTGCTGGTAGGTGCCTGTAGTCTCAGCTCCTTAGGAGGCTGAAGTGTTAGGATCGCTTTCGCCCGGGATGTAATGGCTACAGGGAGTCGAGATCTTGCCACTGAACTTCAGCCTGGGCAACAGAGCAAGACTCTCTCTCAAAAATAAAATGCTTTTTCCTTTAGGCTTAAATTCTAACACTCAAACCTCCAAAGCGGAGGTATTAGGAGGTGGGGCCCTTGGGAGATGATGAGATTATGAAAGTGGAACCCTCGTAAATGGGATTAGTGCCCTTCTGAAAGTGACGGAAGAGAGCTCGCCAGCACCTTCCATGTGGGGAGACAGGGAGGATATGACAGTCTCCAACCTGGAAGAGGGTCCTCACCAGACCCCGATCATGCTGGCACTCTCATCGTGGACTTCCGGCCTCCAGAACTCTGATCAACAAATGTGTGTTCTTAAAGAAAAAAAAAGTGTGGAAAGCAATGTTAATGTTCCCAATCACTTTGAGTACATTCTTTCCTTAACTATGTCTTAATGCATAGTTGTGTTGGATGGCCTAGTTTGTAATGTTAGAATATGCATGTTAGTGAATTAATAAATACAGCAGTAAAGAATAGAGTTGTGGTTGGGAATGGTGTCTCACGCCTGTAATCCCAGCACAATGGCATGCCGAGGCGGGTCAATCACCTGTAGTCGGGAGGTGGAGATCACCCTGACCAACATGGAGAAATCCCGACTCTACTAAAAATACAAATCAGCCTGTCATAGAGGCACATGCCTTTAATCCCAGCTACTCGGGAGGCTGAGGCAGGAGAATCACTTGAACCTAGAAGGCAGAGGTTGCGGTGAGCCGAGATCGCGCCATTGCACTCCAGCCTGGGCAACAAAAGCTAAATTCTATAGCAAAAAATTAAAAAAAAAAAAAAGAAGGCTGTTTGTTGACCATTTGAGTGGCCAGTCTTGGTGCTTCCTGGTGGGCGAGGAGAGCCCTGCCCCATTCCTACCCATTCCAGTAGTCATGGCATAAGAGTGATTCTCACTTTCTGCTATAGCCTCCTTATCCATTGGCTGAAATGATTCTTTTTTAATGTGTCTTATTAATGCTTCCATAGCAAAAAAAATTGAATTGACTTTTATAGGGACTCTTTCGGGGATTGTTACCCATCATTCCATAATTTGTTTGTACTCCTAGAAAAGGGAAGTATGCCGAGCACAGTGGATATTTCGTCTCAAATAATAAATAAATAACCAAATAGAAAAGAAAGAAAAGGAAGTAAAGGGAAATATACAAATATACAAGGTGTTAGGAGAGAGTTGCTAATCGTGATTCCCCCTTAATTGTCCAAACAGACCACCTCTGGGGATCTATTCGTAAAAGACTCGTTAGAAGTGCAGACTCATGCATTTGAGAATCACTCAGGGAAATCTGAAGATGACCTGTGGTGGGGGTGTAAATGGATACTTAAATGTGTCTTGTGATTGTGTGAGAGTGTGACTGTGTGTTTGTGTGTGTGCTGTCATCTGTGGAGTGGGGGATCCTCTTTTGCCTTGAGAAAGCTCATCTCTGTCCACTTACTCTGGGCTCTACCATCTGTGCCTTGTATCCAGTAGAAATAAAACAGTTTGCGGCAGAAATGGAGTTTTATTTTATTTTACTTTACTTTTTATTAGGATTATTTGTAGACCGGGTCTCACTCTGTCACTCAGGCGGGAGTGCAACGGCACGATCTCAGATCACTGCAACCTGTGCCTCCTGCACTGAAGCCATCCTCCCACCTCAGCCTCTGGAGTGGGGAGATCCCACACCTGTGTAATTTTTGCATTTTTTCTAGAGATGGGGTTTCCTCATGCTGCCCGGGCTGGTTTCCAACGCCCGGGCTCAAGTGATCCACCCGCCTCAGCCTCCCAAAGTGCTGGGATTACAGGTGGGAGCTACTGTGCCCGGCCAGAAATGGAGATTTTTGTTCTTCTTTTGATGAGACGGAACCTCGCACCGTGGCCCAGGCTGGAGTGCAGTGGAGTGACCTCGGCTCACTGCAAGCTCTGCCTCCTGGGGTCATGCCATTCTCCTGCCTCAGCCTCCCAAAGAGCTGGGACTACAGGCGCCCGACACCACGCCCAGCTAAGGTTTTTGCATTTTTTTTTTTTTTTTTGTAGGGACGGGCTTTCACCGTGTTAGCCAGGACGGTCTCGATCTCCTGCCCTCGTGATGCACCCGCCTGAGCCTCCCGAAGTGCTCGGATTACAGGCATGAGCCACCATGCACGGCCCAGAAATGGAGATTTTTGAGCAAACACATTAAAGAAAAGAAACGCAAATAGACGAAACTCATTTTAACATTTTTATTTAACCCAAGGAATACAGATATAATCAACACCAATACAATTGATGTCACAATGATGACTAAGATACATGCTACAATCCTTCATTCTCAGATGCAAAATCTAGTATGTGTTTTACAGCAAACGTCAGTTGGAAACTGAACGTCGATCACACATGCTTGATGTGCATGTCAATTTCATGAGAGTTACAATCTCAGGAGAAGTCTCACATAGCGTAAGAGTCCAAACATACCTTCAAGTGTTTCGACAAGTTCTTCACTACTCATTCTTAGAACTGAATTTACCAACAACAATCCCAGCCTATTCATTGCTGAACTGCATCCCATTGAAAGAATGGGTCACAGTTCCTCTCTCTAGACACTGTGGAACGACATTGAAGGCCCCTCCATCTTTTGGCGATTGTGAGGACAGGTGCTAGAAGCCTCTGCCCTCAGCCTTGTCCACGTGAGTTCTAATTCCTTTAGAACAACTATCTCAGGGTGGGAAAGATGGTTCCAATGCTAAGTGCCTATTGCATTGATTATGAATCAATGAAACTCTTTCTCCCTGGGGGTTGTCCCAGTTGGATTCCAAGCAGCACTGTCAGAGTGTTCCAGCTTCTCCACATGCTCCGCAGCCCTTGGGATGGTGAGTGATTGTCACGGTGGCTTCTGGGAGAGCTTCTTGGTTGTTGTTGAAGGTGTATTTGACGTGCATTTCCCCAGGGGAGGGACAGTGAACGCTTTTTGAAGTGGTTCTTTACATCCCCTTTGAGGAAATGTCTGCTCAAGTCTCTGGCTGGGTTTTGAACAGAATCATTTGTTTGTCCCATTGGAGTTTTGACAACTCTGTGTATTCTGAGTATGAGCAGTCCTTGCACGTATATGAGATTTGCAAATATTTTGTGCCCCAATCTCAAGGTTGCTCTTTGATACAAATCAAGAGCATCTGAGGCAGAGCAAAGGTTCAGGTGAGAGGACGGAGCATTTCTCCACCTCTCCAGCATGCGCAGCATCTCTCTCCTCCGAGATGCCGAGACATGTGTGCAGGGAGACACCATGAAAAAGCAGGTGTGCTTCATTCTGAATAGAGCGTCTCTGATTCCCGTCTGGTGCCTGAGGGTCCATGGCCCATGAGCCTTAGAAGAGACGTCTTCGGGCCTTGCACGTTGGCCTCCATAGAAACTTGTGGCAAATTCTGGGCTCCGGACTGGGTGATGGAGGTAGAGGTCTGAGAGCAGAGGTGGGCAGGGGCTCCAGGCCGTGGAGATCCAAGTGGAATTCTTCAGGCAGAGCCTGTCTCCAGGGACTAGGCTTGGGCATTTGGGATGAGCCCTGGGGGACGGCCGCTCTGTAGTCAGGTTTGAGGTAGAGGACACGCCAGGAAGAAGGGCTGACTCCATGCACAAGGTTTGCTGGGGGTCCCATCAGGGTCAGGAAGCCTTGCGGAGCCTCACCCTCTTTTACTGAAGGCGCCACACACACATTCTCTGCTCTCTGGGCTCTCACAGATCCATTTTCAATGTCAATCTCCCAGACAGTCTCTGTACTAGTGAGCAGGAGCCAGCGGGCATGGGCAGGGTACAAGAGATCCTTCAGGGACATCAAGAGTTGCTCAGGGACCACCAGGAGCTGCACATTGAGGAGGCTGAGTCGCAGGGCTCCCTGTGGGTCCAGCCCCAGGAACTCCTGCCCCAGGCGCAGGTGCAGGACCATTCCTGGTTCCAAGACCGCGATGATCATCTTCCTCTGGGGAAGCTGTGGGCCCTGGGGGAGAAAAGCCGTGGGTCAGTCATTGTCCTCTGAGGGTGGCTCAAACAGGGAGAGAGCAAGGCGGGGAGCTGCCAGTAACTTCCCCAGGCATAAATGAAACCCCGCAGGGACACCCAGAATTGGCACCTGTATTGACGCCCCTTGGGACGGTGATTTCCTGCAAGTCCCCTAGGGCCTGGAGCTCAGGCAGACCTGTCTCACCCACGCCCACCTAGGTGGTGTGACCTTACCTGGGGCAGCTCCAGGGGCAGTTGTGCAGGGTGGTGGGGAGCTGGCTGTACCGGAGCTGGTTCTGCACCTGTGGAGAGAGCAGAGTGTGCAGGTGAAAGCCCTTGTCATGCAGGATGCCCTTGAGGGTTCAAGGTGCCACCGTGAGAAAGACCAAATACAGAAGAAGCCAGGTACAGGACACCCAGCCACGGAGCTGCAGGAGGAAGCTCCCGACACTCTGGACAGCACAGCTGCTCGCCTCATGACGTGACGGGACACTGGCTTGGTAGCAGGGGACTCAGGATGAAAAAGAGAAGATGCCTCACCTGGATGAGGACCCAGCTCCTCCACTTTCTGGCGTTTTGGGGCATTTGATGGCGTGCCGCTGGAGCTGTAGGACAGAGAGAGAGACACAGTCAGATTTCGGGCAGTTCCCTAACGTCCAATTCCCTGAATCCCCACAAATTCACTCCACTTCCCTGCCTTTCATTCAAGGCCACAGACTCGTCATCCACTTCCTGTGAGACCTGCTCCCAATCTGTCCTAACTCCCAGCTGTTCTTGTTCTCACCCCATCTACCTGAGCTTCCCTGGGTGAAGAAAAGGCAGGGAAGGAGGGTCGGTGCCCACAGGGAGCAGTTTACCCTTTCAGGAGCTCATGCAGATGAGAGTTGGAAAACTCTCCTTGGGTGTGAGGAGCTGGAGAAAGATGTTGAGATCCCGGAGAGGTGGCACCTCTGTCTACACAGGTAACAAAGGAATGGGGTCTTAGGATTCGAATCACAGCAGGAGAAGAGGAAGGAATTTGTCGGGCATGACGGCATGCGCCTGTAATCCCAGCACTTTGGGAGGCCAAGGTCGGAGGATTGCTTGAGTCCAGGAGTTTGAGAGCAGCCTGGGCAACATGGTGAAAGCTAGTCTCCACTAAAAATACTAAACATTAGTGGGTCATGGTGGTGCATGCCTGTGGTCTCACCTACTCAGGAGGCTCAGGTGGGAGGATCACCTGCGACTCAGAGGTGGAGCCCGCAGTCAGCTAAAATCACGCCACTGCACTCCAGTGTGGACCATCGGAGTGAGACGCTGTCTCAGTAAAATAAATCAGTAAATAAGACAAATAGAAAAATTAAAAATGAAAAAAGGAGGAAACTGTTTTATTTTTCCTAGTAGATCTTGAAACTCTCACATCATGTCCTACAATCTCCCTTCTTGCAGAACACAGAACCCATTCCCTGTGGAGCTGGTTGGGTGGATTGAAAGTGGGGCTGCCCTGAGATATGTGTGTGGTTGCGATGTAGAAGCCTTCCCAGCACCCTGTGATGACTTACGGGCACCTCACTTCCCTCTGGCCCCAAATTCAAAACATCCAATCTCATGGCAGGTTCATGCACCCTTTTCCCTTCCCCTCTCTCCAACACACACCCACACATCCCACAGGCAGGTCACCCCGCAGGCGTCCCCAGCACATAGCAAAGCTCACCCGCTCTCTCCTGCGTGGTCGCTCTTGGATTCGGTGCAGGAATCACTGGGGCTTCTTGGGCGCCGGGAACCTTTCATGGTGAAAATTTCCAGGGTTCTCCAAGTCAGCCACTGCCAGTGTTTGTCTGTCTCCTGCAAAGATTTCTTCTTGGCTCCCGAATCCTTTAGTTCCTTTGAGAGAGTGGTGTCAGCCCCAAAGCTGCTCCCGAAGGCTTGGGTTGTGTAGCGACGGGGCTGTGGCCAGCGGCAGGTGGATGAGGCTCTGACAACTGAGCTCTTGGGGGAATCTTGTACACTGTCAGCAGGGGGTGGAGCCAGGGGATTTGTCAGCAGGAACTGATGTGATTGGCTGTTCCTGGTATGACAACGGGAGGGGCCCTCATGGAGGATTGGGGCGTAACTCAATCCATAGATGACCGATCAACAGAACCTGCCTAATCCCATCAAGAGTCAACCTGTTTCCTGTCCCCTCCCATCCTCTAGGTCTTGCCTAATAATGATAGACACTTTCTGTAATACCCAATTCATCCATCGCTGAAATAGTTTTTCATGTGTGCCTTTTATATTTTCATGCAATAAAAATATGTTAACTTTCACGGTGGCTATCCTGGGGAATGTTATGTACACGAAATGAAGTGTCAAAGGAGCAGAAGCAGAAGGAAATTCACAAGCTTCCCTGAGAGTCTCTGCTTGAATTCCTGCCATGTTTCCTAAATATGTTGGCTTCCTACTTCCTACCCAAGTAAGAAGGTGCTTCAGAAGATCAATCTTAGGACATTTGACAAACGCTACTGAGAATTTCAGGATGACAGGAAGGAACCTTTGATTGGATTTGTGGATGTGCCTGTGAAAGCGTGTGTGTGTGTGTGTGTGTGTGTGTGTGTGTGCGTGTGAAGCCAGGATGAAGTGGCTGTTCCTGGGGTGGAGACCCTTCTTTCTCTTGAGAATGTCCATTGCTGTTGACTCATTGTGGGTTTTGGAGATATTTTCTCTCTTTCTTTCGTTCTTTCTGACATTTTTTGCTTTCTCCCTCCCTCGATCCTAACCCCACTCCATCCCCCCCTCCTCACTCCCTCCCTCCCTCTTTCCATCCTTCCTCCCTCCCTTCCCTCTTTCCTTCCTTCCTGCCTTCTTCCTTTCCCCTTCCCCTCTTCCTTCCGTCCTTCCTTCCTGTGTGTAAAAGAAAAATTGGTGAATAGAAGAATAATTGAATAACTGCCTGAGTCACTTATACATTTCTCATCTCACTCTGGGGACACAGAAGACCGTGTTGTACTCATCTCCTCGATTTTAAAAACAGTCATTCTAAAATCAAGGATTCTAGATGTATCACTTCTAGGCGAAATCTTGAAAGAGAATGTGTAAGAGTTTCATGTGCTCTTCATCTCTGTGATCACAATTGAAGAAGGCATGAGTTTGAGACGCTGCATCACCAAGATCGTGGTGATTCCATTGTCATTACCCTTGTAACTTGTGAGCATCCTTACTGCCAGCAATCATTATTAGATATGGAATCTGATATAGGAGTTCATATTTGCTGTATGAATATCTTGTTCTGGGAGTGGTGGCTCATGCCTGTCATCCCAGTGCTTTGGGAGGCAGAGGCAGGAGGCTCGCTTGAGCCCAGGAGTTCGAGACAAGCCGGGACAGCATAGCCAGACCCTCGTCTCTACAAAAATGTAAAAATCAGCCAAGTGTGCTGGTAGGTGCCTGTAATCTCAGCTACTTAGGAGGCTGAAGTGTTAGGATCGCTTGCGCCCGGGATGTCAAGGCTACAGGGAGCCGAGATCGTGCCACTGAACTTCAGTCTGGGCAACAGAGCAAGACTCTCTCTCAAAAATAAAATACTTTTTCCTTTAGGCTTAAATTCTAACACTCAAACCTCCAATGTGGCGGTATTAGGAGGTGGGGCCCTTGGGAGATAATGAGATTATGAAAGTGGAACCCTCGTAAATGGGATTAGTGCCCCTCTGAAAGTGACCGAAGAGAGCTCGCCAGCACCTTCCATGTGGGGAGACAGGGAGGATATGACAGTCTCCAACCTGGAAGAGGGTCCTCACCAGACCCCGATCATGCTGGCACCCTCATCTTCGACTTCCGGCCTCCAGAACTCTGATCAACAAATGTGTATTCTTAAAGAAAAAAAAAGTGTGGAAAGCAATGTTAATGTTCCCAATCACTTTGAGTACATTCTTTCCTTAACTATGTCTTAATGCATAGTTGTCTTGGATGGCCTAGTTTGTAATATTAGTATATGCATATCAGTGAATTAATAAATACAGCAGTGAAGAATACTGTTCTCGTTGGCAATGGTGGCTCTCGCCTGTAATCCCAGCACAATGGGTGGGCAAGTCGTGTCAATCATCTGAAGTCGGGGGTTGGAGATCATCCTGACCAACATGGAGAAATCCCGACTCTACTAAAAATACCAATCTGCCTGTCATAGTGGCACGTGTCTTTAATCCCAGCTACTTCGGAGGCTGAGGCAGGGGAATCACTTGAACCTAGGAGGTAGAGGTTGTGGTGAGCTGAGATCGTGTGCGTGCAGTCTATCCTAGGCAACAAAAGCTAAACTCTATCTGAATAAAGAAAAAAAAAATGTAATGGTGTTTGTTGACCATTTGTTCAGCTAGTCTTGGTGCTTCCTTGTGGGCCAGGAGAGCCCTGCTGCAGCCCCCATTCATTCCAGTAGACATGGCAGAAGAGTGATTCTCACTTTCTGCTATAGCCTCTTCATCCATTGGTTGAAATGATTTTTTTATATGTCTTATAAATGTTTCCACATTAAAAAACGAATTGAATTTTATAGTGACGCTTTTGGGGATTGTTACCCATAATTTGTTTGAACTCCTAAAACATGGAAGTATGCCAAGCACAGTGGCTTATGCCTGTAATCCCAGCGCTTTGGGTGGGCGGATGACCTGATGTCAGGAGTTCACGACCAGCCTGACCAATGTGGGAGAAATCCTAACTCTACTAAAAATACAAAAATTAGCCGACGATGGTGGTGTGTACCTGTATTCCCAGCTACTTGGGAGGCTGAGACAGGAAAATTGCTTGAACCCAAGAGGCAAAAGTTGCAGTGAGCTGAGATGGTGCCATTTCACTCCAGACTGTATGACAGAGGGAGATTCCATCTTAAAAAAATAAAAAAAGGAATTAAAGGGAAATATATAAGATGTTGTGAGAGAGTTTCTAATTGTGATTCCTCCATAATTGTCCAAACAGACCACCTCTGGGGGTCTATTCACAAGAGACTCTTTAGAAGTGGAAACTCATGCATTTGGGAAACGCTGGGGGAAATCTGAAGATGACCTATGGTGGGGGTATAAATGGATTCGTACGTGTGTTTTTTGATTGTGTGAGTGTGTGTGTGTGTGTGTGTGCTGTCATCTGTGGAGTGGGGGATCCTCTTTTGCCTTGAGAAAGCTCATCTCTGTCCACTTACTCTGGGCTCTACCATCTGTGCCTTGTATCCAGTAGAAATAAAACAGTTTGCGGCAGAAATGGAGTTTTATTTTATTTTACTTTACTTTTTATTAGGATTATTTGTAGACCGGGTCTCACTCTGTCACTCAGGCTGGAGTGCAATGGCACGATCTCAGATCACTGCAACCTGTGCCTCCTGCACTGAAGCCATCCTCCCACCTCAGCCTCTGGAGTGGGGAGATCCCACACCTGTGTAATTTTTGCATTTGTTCTAGAGATGGGGTTTCCTCATGCTGCCCGGGCTGGTCTCCAACTCCCGGGCTCAAGCGATCCACCCGCTTCAGCCTCCTAAAGTGCTGGGATTACAGGTGTGAGCTACTGTGCGTGGCCAGAAATGGAGATTTTCTTTTTTTTCTCCTTTTTTTTTTTTGAGGCGGAGTCTTGCACTGTTGCCCAGGCTGGAGTGCAGTGGAGTGACATTGGCGCCCTGCAAGCTCTGCCTCCTCGGTTCACGCCATTCTCCTGAGGGGAGGGAGGGAGGGAGGGAAAGAAGAAAGGGAGGGAGGGAGGAAGGGAGGAGAAAATGTCCGAAGGAAAGAAAGAAAGAAAGAAAGAGAAAGAAAGAAGGAAAGAAAGAAAGAAAGAGAGAGAGAAAATGTTCACAAAACCCACAATGAGTTACCAGCAATGAACTTTCTCCAGACAAAGAAGGGTCTGCACCCCAGGAACAGACACTTCTTCCTGGCTACACACACACACACACACACACACACACACACACACACACACACACACACACGCTTTCATAGGCAATCCAGATATCCAGTCAAAGATTCCTTATTTATTTCCCTTTACTTCCTTTTTTTTTTTTTTTTTGAGACAAAATCTCCCTCTGTCTTCGAGGCTGGAGTGCAGTGGCACCATCTCAGCTCACTGCAACTTCTGCCTCCTGGGTTCAAGCAATTGTCTTGTCTCAGCCTCCCAAGTAGCTGGGACTACAGGTGCACACCACCATGGTTGGCTAATTTTTATATTTTTAGTAGAGTTGGGGTTTTCCCACATTGGTCAGGCTGGTCTTGAACTCCTGACATCAGGTGATCCGCCCGCCTCAGCCTCCCAAAGTGCTGGGATTACAAGCATGAGCCACTGTGCTCGGCATACTTCCATTTTTTAGGAGTTCAAACAAATTATGGGTAATGATCCCCAAAAGAGTCACTATAAAATTCAATTCTTTTTTTACTATGGAAACATTTATAAGACACTTTAAAAAAATCATTTCAGCCAATGGATAAAGAGGCTATAGCAGAGAGTGAGAATCACTCTTATGCCATGTCTACTGGAATGGGTTGGGGGTGGGGCAGCGCTCTCCTGGCTCACCAGGAAGCACCAAGTCTAGCTGATCAAATGGTCAACAAACAGCATTCTTTTTTTTTTTTTTTTTAATTTTTTGAGATTCAGTTTAGCGTTTGTTGCCCAGGCTGGAGTGCAATGGCGCGATCTCGGCTCACCACAACCTCTGCCTCCCAGGTTCAAGTGATTCTCCTGCCTCAGCCTCCCGAGCAGTGGGATTAAAGGCATGTGCCACTATGGCAGACTGATTTGTATTTTTAGTAGAGTCGGGATTTCTCCATGTTGGTCAGGCTGATCTCCAACTCCCGACTACAGGTGATTGACCAGCCTTGGCCTTCCATTGTGCTGGGATTACAGGCGTGAGCCACCATTCCCAACCTGAACAGTATTCTTTATTGCTGTATTTATTAATTCACTAACATGCATATTCTAACATTACAAACTAGGCCATACAACACAACTATGCATTAAGACATAGTTAAAGAAAGAATGTACTCAAAGTGATTGGGAACATTAACACTGCTTTCCACGCTTTTTTTTTTTTTAAGAACAGACATTTGTTTATCCCAGTTCTGGAGGCTGGAAGTCCAAGATGAGGGTGCCAGCATGATCGGGGTCTGGTGAGGACCCTCTTCCAGGTTGGAGACTGTCATATCCTCCCTGTCTCCTCACATGGAAGGTGCCGGCGAGCTCTCTTCTGTCACTTTCAGAAGGGCACTAATCCCATCTATGAGGGCTCCACCTTCATAACGTCATCATCTCCAAAAGGCCCCAGCTCCTAATACCTTCACATTGGAGGTTTGAGGGTTAGAATTTAAGCCTAAAGAATAAAACATTTTATTTTTGAGACAGTCTTGCTCTGTTGCCCAGGCTGAAGTTCAGTGGCACGATCTTGGCTCTCTGTAGCCTTGACATCCCAGGCTCAAGGGATCCTCCCACTTCAGCCTCCCAAATAGCTGAGACTACAGGCACCTACCACCACACTTGGCTGATTTTTAAATTTTTTGTTGAGATGGGGTCTCGCTAAATTGTCCTGGCTGGTCTCGAACTCTTGGGCTCTTGGGCTCAAGTGAGCCTCCTGCCTCTGCCTCCCAAAGCACTGGGATTACAGGCATGAGCCACCACTCCCAGACCAAGATATTCATACCGTAAATATGAACTCCTATCTCACATTTGATATCTAATAATGATTGCTGGCAGTAAGGATGCTCACAAGTTACAAGGGTAATGATAATGGAATCACCACGATCTTGGTGATGCAGCATCTCAAACTCATGCCTTCTTCAATTGTGATCACAGAGATGAAGAGCACATGAAACTCTTACACGTTTTCTTTCACGATTTGGCCTAGAAGTGATACATCTAGTCTCCTTGATTTTAGAATGACTGTTTTTAAAATCAAGGAGATGAGTCCAACACGGTCTTCCGTGTGCCCAGAATGAGTTGAGAACTGTATAAATGTCTGAGGCAGTTATTCAATTATTCTTCTATTCACCATTTTTTTTTGACACAGTCTCACTCTGGCACCCAGGCTGGAGTGCAGTGGTAAAATCTTGACTCTCTGCCACCTCCACGTCCCAGCCTCAAGCGATTCTCGTGCCTCAGCCACCCAAGTAACTGGGATTACAGGCGTGCTCCACCACACCCAGCTAATTTTTGTATTTTTAGTAGAGACGCGGTTTCGCCAAGTTGCCCAGGCTCGTTTTGAACTCCTGAGCTCAGACGATCTGTCTGCCTGGGCCTCCCAAAGTGCTGGAATTACAGGTGTGAGCCACTGCGCCAGGCCTGTTTTTGTAATTTTTTTTAGAGACAAGGTCTCACTTTGTGGCCCTTACTGCTCTGCATAGTGGTTGAACTAAGCAACACAGTACAAGCGTTCTCTTTTCTCCACATCCTTACCAGCATGTATTATTGTCTGTCTTTTGGATGTAAGCTAACTGGGGTAAGGTGATATCTCCTCATAGTTTTGACTTGCATTTCTCTGATGATCAATGATGTTGAGCACCTTTTCATAAGCCTGTTTACCATTTGTATATCTTCTTTTGAAAAACGTCTATTCAGAGGCCAGGCGTGGTGTCTCATGCCTGTAATCCCAGCACTTTGGGAAGCCAAGGTGGGCGGATCTTCTGAGGTCAGGAGTTTGAGACCAGCCTGGCCAACGTGATGAAACCCTGTGTCTACTAAAAGTACAAAAACTAGCTGGGCGTGGTGGCGGATGCCTGTAATCCCATCTACTTGGGAGGCTGAGGCAGGAGAATCGCTTGTACCTGGGAGGCGGAGGTTGCAGTGAGCTGAGATCGTGCCATTGCTCTCCAGTCTGGGTGACAGAGTGAGACTCTGTCTAAAAATAAAAAAATAAAAAAATAATCTATTCCTGTCTTTTGCCCATTTTCAAAATCAAATTATTAGATTTTGTCCTATTGGGTCAAGCACTGTGTCTCACGCCTGTAATGCCAGCACTTTGGGGGGATGAGGTGGGAGGATTACCTGGGGTCGGGCGTTCGAGACCAGGCTGGCTAATATGGTGAAATCCTGTATCTACTAAAAATACACAGATTAGTCAGGCGTGGTGGCAGGCACCTGTACTGCCAGCTCCTCAGGAGGCTGAGGCCGGAGAATTGCTTGAACCTGAGAGGTGGAGGTTGGGGTGAGCTGAGATTGTTCCACTGCACTCCAGACTGGGCAATAGACTCTGTCTCAGAAAAAAAAAAAAAAAGGTTGTGTGCTATTGAGATGTTTGAGCTCCTTTTGTATTTTGAATCAATTTCTATATTTTACTTATCACCTGATAGACACGCTAAATGTGCATATTTTGATCAAATATCTAAGTTGCACATGATTTAGTTTCTGTTTTCTTCTTGCTTCCTCAGAGTTTTGTTAGCTTTATAATGTTTAAATATTAGCTTGATGATATATTAATATTTCTAATATATTGAGGAGTTTTCCTAATTCAAAAGTTAGTCGAGCAAAATTCTCTTACGCATGTATAATCTATTGTTCACAGGCCTCTAATTAAATCGTCATTGTTAAACTGTTTTGAAATTCTATCTTTATCACACATTAGGTTTTCAGGAGAGAAATGGTTCTAAAAACAAATGTTCCTCCATCGATTTACTGTTTTTTTTTTTTTTTTTGAGACGGAGTTTCACTCTAGTTGCCCAGGCTGGAGTGCAGTGGCGCGATCTCGGCTCACTGCAACCTGCGCCTCCTGGGTTCAAGCGATTCTCCTGCCTCAGCCTCCCGAGTAGCTGGGATTACAGGTATGAGCCACCGTGCCCAACCATCTCAGGTTTTTCTGAGCTTGGATCCAGTGTGTTACTTTCTAGTGTCCCGCACACTACAGTCCCTTCCCTGGGATATGTGGTGACCCTTCCAAGTCCTCATTATTTTCAACAAACTTCCTTCTCAGCTGTCTCCTTTGTGAGGCTTTTGGGTCTGTCTGCTTCTTGCCTAACCCAATATCCCCTAGCCCCAGGCAGATGCTGGTAGTTTGTGTCTTTCAATCCTTCAGTAGACACTATCCTTGCCTGGAAAGTCATGCTAGAGTTAACTTTAAAACTAATTGTTACATTACTAGCCAGGCATGGCAGCTCACACCTGTAATCCCAGCACTTTGGGAGGTCAAGGCAGGCAGATCACTTGAGGCCACCAGGAGTTCGAGACCAGCCTGACCAGCATAGTGAAACCTCATCTCTACTAAAAATACAAAAATTAGCCGGGTGTGGTGGCACACACCTGTAATCCCAGCTACTTGGGAAGCTGAGGCAGGTGAATCACTTGAACCTGGGAGGTGGAGGTTGCAGTGAACCGAGATCATGCCACTGCACTGTGGCCTGAGTGACAAGAGTGAGACTCTGTCTCAAAAAACAAAAACAAAAACAAAAAACCAAAAAGAGATCTATGTTCTATTTGAGATAATGGAAAAAGGGATTTTACTGACCACACACAACAAGGAATATAGTCTTTCTAAAAATAGTTGGAAAAGTCACTGAACAAATGGAAAAGGGGAGCCCAAAGCAAGCCACAACAACAAAACCTGGGGAAGGGGGAGAATCCCCCTACAAATACTTTAACACAACTATCTTAAATATGTTCAAAGAGCTAAGCAGGCATGTCCAAGGGAGAGAACATAGTCATGTGTTTTTGTTTCTGTTTCTGGTTGGGCCAGTAAAGCCCCATCCTCATCCCTCTTTTCTGCTTATCACTAGAGACAGAAACTAGAAACCATGGATTCAGGCTGCTAAAAGCCAAAAACGAAAGAGAACACCATCACCAAAATAAGGCAGGTCAGACAAGCTTGAAAGAAAACCCTTGACAAAGATGTCTCAATGACAGAGCAGGTGCATTGCCATCTTGGACAAACACCACTATTTTAAGTTCCCTTTGATTAAAAATCGCCTAAATCCAGCCCCTAAAACATGAGTCTAATGGCTAATCTCAGCTTGACCATAAACCATAAATGACACCTTTGACCAGAAACATTCCAATGCTGAGATAAACTCTCCTCCACTCAGAAAACATTCTGAACCTGTGATAAGCTCTCCCTCACTAAACTTTTCTTTTTGAGATGGAATCTTGCTCTGCTGCCCAGGCTGGAGTGCAGTGGCGTGATCTCGCATCACTGCAACCTCCGCTTCCCAGGTTCAAGCGATTCTCCTGCCTCAGCCTCCTGAGTAGATGGGATTACAGGCACGTGCCACCATGCCTGGCTAATTTTTCTATGTTTATTTTTATTTATTTATTTAATTATTATTATTTTTTCAAATAAATTTTTTTATTATTATACTTTAAGTTTTAGGGTACATGTGCACAATGTGCAGGTTAGTTACATATGTGTACATGTGCCATGCTGGTGTGCTGCACCCATTAACTCGTCATTTAGCATTAGGTATATCTCCTAATGCTATCCCTCCCCACTCCCCCCATCCCGCAACAGTCCCCAGAGTGTGATATTCCCCTTCCTGTGTCCATGTGTTCTCATTGTTCAATTCCCATCTATGAGTGAGAACATGCGGTGTTTGGTTTTTTGTCCTTGTGATAGTTTACTGAGAATGATGATTTCCAATTTCATCCATGTCCCTACAAAGGACATGAACTCATCATTTTTTATGGCTGCATAGTATTCCATGGTGTATATGTGCCACATTTTCTTAATCCAGTCTATCATTGTTGGACATTTGGGTTGGTTCCAAGTCTTTGCTATTGTGAATAGTGCCCCAATAAACATACGTGTGCATGTGTCTTTATAGCAGCATGATTTATAGTCCTTTGGGTATATACTCAGTAATGGGATGGCTGGGTCAAATGGTATTTCTAGTTCTAGATCCCTGAGGAACTGCCACACTGACTTCCACAATGGTTGAACTAGTTTACAGTCCCACCAACAGTGTGAAAGTGTTCCTATTTCTCCACATCCTCTCCAGCACCTGTTGTTTCCTGACTTTTTAATGATTGCCATTCTAACTAGTGTGAGATGGTATCTCATTGTGGTTTTGATTTGCATTTCTCTGATAGCCAGTGATGGTGAGCATTTTTTCATGTGTTTTTTGGCTGCATAAATGTCTTCTTTTGAGAAGTGTCTGTTCATGTCCTTCTCCCACTTTTTGTTGGGGTTGTTTGCTTTTTCCTTGTAAATGTGTTTGAGTTCATTGTAGATTCTGGATATTAGCCCTTTGTCAGATGAGTAGGTTGTGAAAATTTTCTCCCATTTTATAGGTTGCCTGTTCACTCCAATGGTAGTTTCTTTTGCTGTGCAGAAGCTCTTTAGTTTAATTAGATCCCATTTGTCAATTTTGGCTTTTGTTGCCATTGCTTTTGGTGTTTTAGACATGAAGTCCTTGCTCATGCCTATGTCCTAAATGGTAATGCCTAGGTTTTCTTCTAGGGTTTTTATGGTTTTAGGTCTAACGTTTAAGTCTTTAATCCATCTTGAATTAATTTTTGTATAAGGTGTAAGGAAGGGATCCAGTTTCAGCTTTCTACATATGGCTAGCCAGTTTTCCCAGCACCATTTATTAAACAGGGAATCCTTTCCCCATTGCTTGTTTTTCTCAGATTTGTCAAAGATCAGATAGTTGTAGATATGTGGTGTTATTTCTGAGGGCTCTGTTCTGTTCCATTGATCTATATCTCTGTTTTGGTACCAGTACCATGCTGTTTTGGTTGCTGTAGCCTTGTAGTATAGTTTGAAGTCAGGTAGCATGATGCCTCCAGCTTTGTTCTTTTGGCTTAGGATTGACTTGGCGATGTGGGCTCTTTTTTGGTTCCATGTGAACTTTAAAGTAGTTTTTTCCAATTTTGTGAAGAAAGTCATCAGTATCTTGATGGGGATGGCATTGAATCTATAAATTACCCTGGGCAGTATGGCCATTTTCACGATATTGATTCTTCCTACCCATGAGCATGGAATGTTCTTCCATTTGTTTGTATCCTCTTTTATTTCATTGAGCAGTGGTTTGTAGTTCTCCTTGAAGAGGTCCTTCACGTCCCTTGTAAGTTGCATTCCTAGGTATTTTATTCTCTTTGAAGCAATTATGAATGGGAGTTCACTTATGATTTGGCTCTGTGTTTGTCTGTTATTGGTGTATAAGAATGCTTGTGATTTTTGTACATTGATTTTGTATCCTGAGACTTTGCTGAAGTTGCTTATCAGCTTAAGGAGATTTTGGGCTGAGACAATGGGGTTTTCTAGATATACAATCATGTCGTCTGCAAACAGGGACAATTTGACTTCCTGTTTTCCTAACTGAATACCCTTTATTTCCTTCTCCTGCCTAATTGCCCTGGCCAGAACTTCCAACACTATGTTGAATAGGAGTGGTGAGAGAGGGCATCCCTGTCTTGTGCCAGTTTTCAAAGGGAATGTTTCCAGTTTTTGCCCATTCAGTATGATATTGGCTGTGGGTTTGTCATAGATAGCTCTTAGTATTTTGAGATATGTCCCATCAATACCTAATTTATTGAGAGTTTTTAGCATGAAGGGTTGTTGAATTTTGTCAAAGGCCTTTTCTGCATCTATTGAGATAATCATGTGGTTTTTGTCTTTGGTTCTGTTTATATGCTGGATTACATTTATTGATTTGTGTATATTGAACCAGCCTTGCATCCCAGGGATGAAGCCCACTTGATCATGGTGGATAAGCTTTTTGATGTGCTGCTGGATTCGGTTTGCCAGTATTTTATTGAGGATTTTCGCATCAATGTTCATCAAGGATATTGGTCTAAAATTCTCTTTTTTGGTTGTGTCTCTGCCCGGCTTTGGTATCAGGATGATGCTGGCCTCATAAAACGAGTTAGGGAGGATTCCCTCTTTTTCTATTGATTGGAATAGTTTCAGAAGGAATGGTACCAGTTCCTCCTTGTACCTCTGGTAGAATTCGGCTGTGAATCCATCTGGTCCTGGAATCTTTTTGGTTGGTAAGCTATTGATTATTGCCACAGTTTCAGCTCCTGTTATTGGTCTATTCAGAGATTCAACTTCTTCCTGGTTTAGTCTTGGGAGAGTGTATGTGTCGAGGAATTTATCCATTTCTTCTAGATTTTCTAGTTTATTTGCATAGAGGTGTTTGTAGTATTCTCTCATGGTAGTTTGTATTTCTGTGGGATCGGTGGTGATATCCCCTTTATCATTTTTTATTGTGTCTATTTGATTCTTCTCTCTTTTTTTCTTTATTAGTCTTGCTAGTGGTCTATCAATTTTGTTGATCCTTTCAAAAAACCAGCTCCTGGATTCACTAATTTTTTGAAGGGTTTTTTTGGTCTCTATTTCCTTCAGTTCTGATCTGATTTTAGTTATTTCTTGCCTTCTGCTAGCTTTTGAATGTGTTTGCTCTTGCTTTTCTAGTTCTTTTAATTGTGATGTTAGGGTGTCCATTTTGGATCTTTCCTGCTTTCTCTTGTGGGCATTTAGTGCTATAAATTTCCCTCTACACACTGCTTTGAATGTGTCCCAGAGATTCTGGTATATTGTGTCTTTGTTCTCATTGGTTTCAAAGAACATCTTTATTTCTGCCTTCATTTCATTATGTACCCAGTAGTCATTCAGGAGCAGGTTGTTCAGTTTCCATGTAGTTGAGCAGTTTTGAGTGGGTTTCTTAATCCTGAGTTCTAGTTTGATTGCACTGTGGTCTGAGAGACAGTTTGTTATAATTTCTGTTCTTTTACATTTGCTGAGGAGAGCTTTACTTCCAACTATGTGGTCAATTTTGGAATAGGTGTTGTGTGGTGCTGAAAAAAATGTACATTCTGTTGATTTGGGGTGGAGAGTTCTGTAGATGTCTATTAGGTCTGCTTGGTGTAGAGCTGAGTTCAATTCCTGGGTATCCTTGTTAACTTTCTGTCTCATTGATCTGTCTAATGTTGACAGTGGGGTGTTAAAGTCTCCCATTATTATTGTGTGGGAGTCTAAGTCTTTTTGTAGGTCACTCAGGACTTGCTTTATGAATCTGGGTGCTCCTGTATTGGGGGCATATATATTTAGGATAGTTAGCTCTTCTTGTTGAATTGATCCCTTTACCATTATGTAATGGCCTTCTTTGTCTCTTTCGATCTTTGTTGGTTTAAAGTCTGTTTTATCAGAGACTAGGATTACAACCCCTGCCTTTTTTTGTTTTCCATTTGCTTGGTAGATCTTCCTCCATCCTTTTATTTTGAGCCTATGTGTGTCTCTGCACGTGAGATGGGTTTCCTGAATACAGCACACTGATGGGTCTTGACTCTTTATCCAATTTGCCAGTCTGTGTCTTTTAATTGGAGCATTTAGTCCATTTACATTTAAAGTTAATATTGTTATATGTGAATTTGATCCTGTCATTATGATGTTAGCTGGTTATTTTGCTCGTTAGTTGATGCAGTTTCTTCCTAGTCTTGATGGTCTTTACATTTTGGCATGATTTTGCAGGGGCTGGTTCCAGTTGTTCCTTTCCACGTTTAGTGCTTCCTTCAGGGACTTTTTTAGGGCAGGCCTGGTGGTGACAAAATCTCTCAGCATTTGCTTGCTTGTAAAGTATTTTATTTCTCCTTCACTTATGAAGTTTAGTTTGGCTGGATATGAAATTCTGGGTTGAAAATTCTTTTCTTTAAGAATGTTGAATATTGGCCCCCACTCTCTTCTGGCTTGTAGAGTTTCTGCTGAGAGATCCGCTGTTAGTCTGATGGGCTTCCCTTTGTGAGTAACCCGACCTTTCTCTCTGGCTGCCCTTAACATTTTTTCCTTCATTTCAACTTTGGTCAATCTGACAATTATGTGTCTTGGAGTTGCTCTTCTTGAGGAATATCTTTGTGGCATTCTCTGCATTTCCTGAATCTGAATGTTGGCCTGCCTTGCTAGATTGGGGAAGTTCTCCTGGATAATATCCTGCAGAGTGTTTTCCAACTTGGTTCCATTCTCCCTGTCACTTTCAGGTACACTGATCAGATGCAGATTTGGTCTTTTCACATAGTCCCATATTTCTTGGAGGCTTTGTTCATTTCTTTTTATTCTTTTTTCTCTAAACTTCCCTTCTCACTTCATTTCATTCATTTCATCTTCCATCACTGCTACCCTTTCTTCCAGTTGATTGCATCGGCTCCTGAGGCTTCTGCATTCTTCACGTAGTTCTTGAGCCTTGGCTTTCAACTCCATCAGCTCCTTTAAGCACTTCTCTGTATTGGTTATTCTAGTTATACATTCGTCTAAATTTTTTTCAAAGTTTTCAACTTCTTTGCCTTTGGTTTGAATTTCCTCCTGTAGCTCGGAGTAGTTTGATCGTCTGAAGACTTCTTCTCTCAACTCGTCAAAGTCATTCTCCGTCCAGCTTTGTTCCGTTGCTGGTGACGAACTGCATTCCTTTGGAGGAGAGGCGCTCTGCTTTTTAGAGTTTCAGTTTTTCTGCTCTGTTTTTTCCCCATCTTTGTGGTTTTATCTACTTTTGGTCTTTGATGATGGTGATGTGCAGATGGGTTTTTGGTGTGGATGTCCTTTCTGTTTGTTAGTTTTCCTTCTAACAGACAGGACCCTCAGCTGCAGGTCTGTTGGAGTTTGCTCGAGGTCCACTCCAGACCCTGTTTGCCTGGGTATCAGCAGCCGTGTCTGCAGAACCGCGGATTTTCATGAACCACGAATGCTGCTGTCTGATCGTTCCTCTGGAAGTTTTGTCTCAGATAAGTACCCGGCCGTGTGAGGTGTCAGTCTGCCCCTACTGGGGGGTGCCTCCCAGTTAGGCTGCTCAGGGGTCAGGGGTCAGGGACCCACTTGAGGAGGCAGTCTGCCTGTTCTCAGATCTCCAGCTGCATGCTGGGAGAACCACTGCTCCTTCAGAGCTGTCAGACAGGGACATTTAAGTCTGCAGAGGTTACTGCTGTCTTTTTGTTTGTCTGTGCCCTGCCCCCAGAGGTGGAGCCTACAGAGGCAGGCAGGCCTACTTGAGCTGTGGTGGGCTCCACCCAGTTCGAGCTTCCTGGCTGCTTTGTTTACCTAAGTGAGCCTGAGCAATGCGGGCACCCTTCCCCCAGCCTCGCTGCTGCCTTGCAGTTTAATCTCAGACTGCTGTGCTAGCAATCAGCAAGACTCCATGGGCATAGGACCCTCCGAGCCAGGTGCGGGATACAATCTCCTGGTGTGCCGTTTCCTAAGCCCATCGGAAAAGCGCAGTATTTGGGTGGGAGTGACCCAATTTTCCAGGTGCTGTCTGTCACCCTTTCCTTGACCAGGAAAGGGAACTCCCTGACCCCTTGCACTTCCCGAGTGAGGCAATGCCTTGCCCTGCTTCAGCTCGCACACGGCGCACTGCACCCACTGTCCTGCGCCCACTGTCTGGCACTCCCTAGTGAGATGCACCCAGTACCTCAGATGGAAATGCAGAAATCACCCATCTTCTGTGTCGCTCACTCTGGGAGCTGTAGACTGGAGCTGTTCCTATTTGGCCATCTTGGCTCCTCCCTCCTAATTTTTCTATTTTTAGTAGAGACAGGGTTTCACCATGTTGGTCAGGCTAGTCTCGAACTCCTGACCTCGTGATTCACCTGCCTCGGCCTCCCAAAGTGCTGGGATTACAGGCATGAGCCACCGTGCCCAGCCCCTAAACTCTTAAATAGTTTTAGTCTGTAAGAGAGAATACTCCTGACCTAAATTGGCCAGAAGCCCCTCTCAGGTTTATTCCCAAAATAAACCTGTCTTTGACTGTTGAGCTGCTTTTCCTGTTTCTTTCTTCAACTCTTACACTCAACATATAGAGAACATCAAGAGTATCAATAAAGAGATAGAAATTACGAAAAGGAACTGAATAGAACTTGAACCATATCCCTGTATTTTCCCTGTCCAACTCCCCCTAAGCAACCACTAATCTACTTTCCATCTGTATAGATTTATCTATTTTTGACATTTCATAGAAATGGAATTACATATAGTTGGTCTTTTGTGAGTAGCGTCTTTCCCTTAGCACAAGGTTTTCATTCATGTAGACACATCCTTCCCACCTCTGTGGCTGAATAATACACAATGTATGAATATATCACATTAAAAACACTCATTTATAAATTGATGGGCATTTGGGTTGTTCTGGTCCATTTTTTGCTGGTCCAAGCTTCACCTTCAGATCAGTTACCTGTCTTTTTTTTTTTTTTTTTTTTTTTTGAGACAGGATCTTGCTCCACAGAACAAATCACAGCTCAATGCAGCCTTGACTTCCTGGGCTCAAGCAATCTCCTGCCTCAGCTTTTTGAGTAGCTGAAACTACAGGCACATGCCACCATGCCCAGCTAATTTTTTTTTGGTAGAGATGGGGTCTTACTATGTTGCCCAGGCTTGTCTTGAACTCCTGATCTCAAGTGATCCTCCTGCCTTGGCCTCCCAAAGCACTGGCCTTAAGGTGTGAGCTACAGTTCCCATCCTATTATTAAATATTTTCAAACAGGGAGATAATTTGAAATAATTTTACAAGTGAGCATCCACTTATAGACTGAATTGTCCCCATCCCCTCACCCCCCAAATTAATATGCTGGAGCCCTAACCCCAGTACCTCAGAATGGGACTCTATGTGTAAGATCAGGCTTTTTTTTTTTTTTTTTTTTTTTTTTTTTTTTTTTTGAGATGGAGTCTCACTCTGTCACCAGGCTGGAGTGCAGTGGTGCGATCTTAGCTCACTGCAACCTCCGCCTCCCAGGTTCAAGCGATCTCCTGCCTTAGCCTCTGAGTAGCTGTGACTACAGGAACGTGCCACCATCCCCAGGTAATTTTTGTATTTTTAGTACAGACAGGGTTTCACCATGTTGGCCAGGATGGTCTCAATCTCTTGACCTCATGATCCGCCCACGTTGGCCTCCCAAAGTGCTGGGATTACAGGCATGAACCACCGTACCCGGCCAAGATCAGGCTTTTAAAGAGGCAATTAAGTAAGTTAAAATGAGGCTTTTAGGGTGTGCCCTAATCCAGTTTGGCTGGTGTTTTTATAAGGAAATTAGGACATAATAGACCAAGAAGCATTGTGGTGCACAGACAGAAGGGGCAGCAAGGGGGTAGCCATCTGCAAGCCATGCAGAGACCTCAGGAGAAACCAACCTTGCCAGCCCCTTGATCTTGGACTTCCAGCCTCCAGGACTGTGGGAAAATAAATTTCTACTTTTTATTTATTTATTTTCTTTGAAATGGAGTCTCACTCTGTTGCCCAGGCTGGAGTGCAATGGTGCGATCTTGGCTTACCGCAACTTCTGCCTCCCAGGTTCAAGTGATTCTCTTGCCTCAGACTCCCAAGTAGGTGGGACTACAGGCATGCACCACCATGCCCACACGATTTTTGTATTTTTAGTAAAGACGGGGTTTTGCTATGTTGGCCACGCTGGTCTAGAACTCCTGACCTCAAATGATCCACCACCCTCGGCCTCCCAAAGTGCTGGATTACAGGTGTGAGCCACTGGGCCTGGCCCAAATTTCTACTTTTCACCAGCAAGTCTGTGGTATTTTATAGTAGCCCTACCAAACTAATATAATCTACCATCTAGATTCCATCAGTGATACTTTATTATACTTGCCTGACCACATTGATCTCTGTATCATTCATCAACCCATCTTTATTTTTATTTTTTTTTTGCATTTTGAAGTAGTTTGCAGACAGCAATAGATTTCTCCCCTAAACATTTTTAACATACATATCATTAATTAGAGTTCAAAATTTGGGGCTGGAAGATCTCTTTCCAAGGTGGCTCATCTTCTGCCTAGCAATGTGGTGCTGGAAAGTTGGTCCTTTGCCACGGCGCTGCTTGAGTGTCCTCATGGCATGGTGGATGGCTTTCTCCAGGGAGGGAGCAATTGAAGAAACCGAGGAAGCTTCAGTGTGTCTTATGACCTGGCCTGAGATGCCACACATGGTCACTTCAGCAGCAGCACTGTATTGATTATATGGGTCATCTGATTAAATATTGGGGTGTGTGTGGGGTGCTACACAGGACAGGAATCTCAGGTGGCAAGGATCCTTGGTGAGCATCTTGAAGGCTAGCGAACACATCCACCTTTCCTCCAGACCACCTCATCAGCCCAGAAATCCCCACCCCCTGTTATCTTTTTTTTCTGCTGTAGAGCCTGGTTTCATTGTAGCTGTCTGGGGCCTCTGGCATTTTTATGGCTGTGTTTGGGATAAGTTGCAAGGTTTCCTTTCCCCTTTCTCCCCTCTCTGTTCTTCTCAGCCTCACCCCCAGCTTCACCCTTCCTTTTCCTCTCAGGGCCTTTCTGAGCAGTTGATGCTCTGAGGGTCAGCTGGGAATGCAGCCTATAAGAGCGGTCTGCTGGGTGCAGAAAATGTTGGGGGAAGGTTTGCTTCCTGGGCTCCTGTCACCTCCTGTATTATGGGAGCTTGGGGGCATATGCTGGCATGTTGGGACTACTGTTGTCTTCCATGTTCTAACATTCCCTGGGAAAGGAGACACTTGGTTTGATGGGGCTCTACGTATCTGCTATCAGGTGGGGACAGACATCTGCATTGCAAGAGCAAGCTGAAGAGTTGCCTACTAGGGCTCAGCTGGTTTCTTGTGTTTGGAATAAAGAGGGCTCACTGAAGGGGCAGTCATCTTATGTTAGGGAAGACTTGAGGGACTCACACTGTGGGCTCTCCTCATTTATGTTGAGAGTGTTGCTTCCTGATGCTTCTGTCAACTCTTATTTTGTAATAATCGAATGAGAGGTAGAACCTGGCGGGTTGCCTGTTGAGATTCTCATGATTGTATTGGGGGAAGGCTGTGGTATCCTTGCTGGGGATATTTGTGTCTGCTCTTGGGGAGACAAGGGAGGCAAGCTAGGGTTTGTGTTGAGTGAGAGTGTTGTGGAATTTGGAGCTTTCTTTAGTATGTAGGGGATTGGAAATTGCCTTTTTGGGTTTCCTTCATCTAATGTTAGAGGAATATAGGGGGGTCACTTGAAGTTCTCATCTGATGGAATCCTCATTGTGTTGAGGGGTGTAACTAAGAGGCTGGAGGTACGAGCTCCTGTTTTTTAGGGCCTGGAGGATCACTACCTTTGACTCCCATTTTTTAAATATTGGGGAGTCAGGGAAGTGTACCTGGATGGAGGTCCCATTGTCTTAGTTTGGGAAGAAGATGGGTTGTTATTCTGTGGGGGTCCACTTATCTCTGTCCAGTGGGTTTGGAAGGGTCTCTTTTAACCTATTTTATCTAGTGTTGAGGGGGTTACTAGAGTCACTTTCTGGGTCTTCCTTATTATTGGTATAGATGAGGTAGGTCACTGGGCTTGGGATCCTCATTCTTTAGTGCTGAGGGGCAGCTGAGGAAGTCACTTGTGGGATTGCTGTCATTTCAAGTATCAGACATAACTGGAGGTGCTTATTGAAATTTCCATCAGTTCTAGTTTTGGGAGGATGGATGTCTTGCTTTCTCAGTATCTTTTGTGTTTGGGGATGACACCTGCTAACTGAGGTCTTGTTGCCTCTAGTTTTGGAGGGGCCTGATGACCCCTTACTAGGACTTCTATCATCTCTATTGTTGGATGCAGACTATACGCACCACTTGTTGGGCCTTCCATAATCACTAGTCTTGTGTGTTTGTGTGTGTTGGGGGAGAAATCTCCTGCAGTGCTTTCCACCACCTCTAGTTTGGGGAGATCAATGCAATGTGTTTTTAAAAGCATTTTATTTTGGAAAGTTTAGATATACATAAAAGTTGTAAAACTATACAGGGTTGTTTTATACAGTCAGTACTGATTTATATTTACTTGCATCTTATGTTTCCTGTTGATCTTAATTCCTGGAATTATGTATGTCTCTATGGAATCATTTTCCTGAAGCCTGAAGAAATCTCTTCAGTGTTTCTGAAAATACGGTTATGCTGTTAATTCTCTCAGCTTAAAAAAATCCCTCCCAGGCCGGGCGTGGTGGCTCACGCCTGTAATCCCAGCACTTTGGGAGACCGAGGTGGGCAAATCATGTGAGGTCAAAGGATCGAGACCATCCTGGCCAACATGGTGAAACCCTGTCTCCACTAAAAATACAAAAATTAGCTGGGCGTGGTAGCACACACCTGTAGTCCCAGCTACTCAGGAGGCTGAGGCAGGAGAATCACTTGAACCCAGGAGGAGGAGGTTGCAGTGAGCCGAGATCATGCCACTGCACTCCAGCATGGCGACAGAGTGAGACTCCATCTCAAAAAAAAAAAAAAAAATATTCCCTCCCATTGGAAAACATTGTTGCCTTCAGTTTTGAAGAATATTTTCTTAGGTTACAGAACTTTTGATTGACAATTTCCCCCTCCTCCAACCCATTTAACCCTTTATATGTCAGATGTCATTCATTGTCTTCTTGCTTCCATAGTTTCTTTTGAAAAGTCATCATTAGTCTTACTGATGCTGCTTTGAAAGCAATGTGTCCTTCTTCTTTGGTTGTTTGGTAGATTTGCAGTTTGTCTCTCATTTTCTATGGTTTGTCCATGTTTCCTCCATTTCCCTTAACATATTATTCTTGGTTATTTTAAAGTCTTTGTCTGCTAACTCCAATACCCAAATTGTCTCTGGATCTGCTATTGATTTATATATTCATAAATGGGGATATTTTCCTGTCTCAATGGATGAAGGAGAGTGAGGTCTGACCCTGGCTATTTCCTGCAGGAGGACCTGGGGCTGGATGCTATCGCTGACTGACCTCTCTCAGCTCCTGGAATGCAGCCCTCTCCTCTCGTCTCCAGATTCAGTTGCTCCCTCCCTTCGTCCCTTCAGGCTGTGAGGTGTTAGAGCTCTGCCCTGCTAAGCTGCTGGGTGCTTTACAACTTTTTGTGGTTTCCCTGGATCCTGTCCACAGGACTGAGTAGACCCTTTATGAAAACTCTACTTGAATTGTCCTAGTCTGTGGGTGTCAACCTGAGTTCCTGCTGGGACCCTGACTGATGTGCCAACTCACTGAAATAAGGAAAAGTCCTAACAATGTCTCAGAAAACCCAACAAGATCAGGATCTACCATGTCTCTGACCACATCATCTTTTACTGCTCCCTCATCACCCCTTTGTTCCACTCCAGCTGTATTGGCCTCCTTGTTGTGGGCCTTTGCATGCCAACACTACTCTTGCAAGACAAATTCATATGACTCACTGTCCCAACTTGTTGAGATCTCCGCTCAAATGCTCCTTACCAAGAGGCTTTCTTTTCCTAGTTATATAAAATTATTATTCCCAACCCCCCTTAACTCTCCTAAAATGCTTTTTTTTCCTATAACTCTATAATACCATATTTTCTTGATTTTTCTATAATCTGTTCCTCCTCCATTAGGTGAAGTATTTCAATGGCAAAACTTTGCCTGGCACACAGAACATACTCCGTTAATAGGGTAGTGGTTAAGTGCATGGACTGTCTGGGTTCAGATCTTGGCTCTACCATTTACCAGTCAGTGAATGCAGGCAAGTAACTTAAGTGTATCATACCAGTTTTCTCATCTGTAAACTGGGGATAATAACATTACATACTTAAGTTTATAATGCATACTGAGTTAATACTTATATGTCATTTAGAAGGGGGCCTGATCTATGGGAAGTGCAATATAAATGTCTGACCATCAGGAGTTCGAGACTAGCCTGGCCAACATGGTGAAACCCCATCTCTACTAAAAATATAAAAAAATTACCTGGGCGTGGTGGCAGGTGCCTGTAATCCCAGCTACTCAGGAGGCTGAGGCAGGAGAATTGCTGGAACCTGGGAGGCCAAGGTTGCAGTGAGCCGAGATCGCACCATTGCACTCCACCCTTGATGACAAGAGTGAAACTCCATCTAAAATAAATAAATAAATAAATAAATGTTTGACCATTTATTATTAATGCATTACAATACTTTGCTATGTAAAAATATCATCTCCACATAAAAAGGAATACAGAATACCTAATCCTGTATGCATCTAGTTACATAATGTCAAAATATATAAAAATGACAAAATTACAGTGTTAATACATAAACATAATGGAAGAGTTTACCACACCTCTATCACTAAATAAGGTTAGAAAAAGAAATCTGAACATACGTACTGTACTTGGAAATACAATTAAGTTGCATTAATGTTCATATACCCTATATCCAAATATTAGAGAATATACATTGTTTTCAAAGAAACAACATGGGTAAAACTTGACCAATTTATAGGTTTACCAGTTAGATTCTGCATCCTGCTGGAAGTTAACAGAACACCACCTCAAAAACAAACAACAGATCATGTTGGCTTCAATCAGTTAGGGGTTTCTTTTTTTAAAAATATTTATTTGTTTATTTTGAGATGGAGTCTCGCTCTGTTGCCAGGCTGGAGTGCACTGGCGCCATCTTGGCTCACTGCAACCTCTACCTCCCAGGTTCAGGCAATTCTCCTGTCTCAGTTTCCCGAGTAGCTGGGAATACAGGTGTGCACCACCACACCCAGCTAATCTTTATACTTTTAGTAGAGATAGGGTTTCACCACGTTGGCCAGGATGGTCTCAATCTGTTGACCTCATGATCCACCCACCTCAGCCTCTCAAAAGTGCTGGGATTAAAGGCGTGAGCCACCACACCCAGCCTAGGGGTTTCTTTTAGTCACATAAGAAGTATAAGAATAAGGAGTCCAGAGCAGATGCAGCCAATCGGAGGCTCCTGGAGAGCCCAAAGCATTGTGATTTTTGGCTGCACTTTGGTTTCTGTCATTGTGGTCAAAAAGAAGCTCTTCAAACTCTAGACCTTGAGGCCACTTTCCAAGAGACAGAATGGGTGAGGTGAATGGAAAATATGTGAGGAGAACAAGCCAGGAGATGTTCCACACAGTGACTTCGACTTACTTCTCATTGCCAGGGGAGTGCGAAAAAACCCGCCTGGGCTTCAGGAAAAACTATAAGATTGAGAACTTTCGATATTGTTCACAGACAACTTGAACAACATGTTTGTTTCTTTAAACGAATAAACTGAAGAGAACGGACACTGGGAAAGAAACCAACAGTATTTGGCATACCAAGATAGAGAGAAAATAATCAGTATCATAAAGCTCATGTACTCTGCCAAAAATACCACTACATTAGAAAAATGTGTTTATAAATACTAATTTCCATTATGATAAACTGAATCACTCAGAAGGTATTTGGAAATAACTTTTTGAATATGCAATGTGTGGATGTCTTTAACAAGCAAATTAATTATAATAAATACATTGCATTAAAATTATGAAATATGTTAATGTTTATTTTAGGGAACAGCTATACACAAATGTTTATATTAAAAGAAAAAAAGACTAAAAAAATTAATGAGCCAGCAGTCCAATCTACAGATGAGACACTGATAAAGGATATCCCACACTCAAAACAGTGATTATACTTTTTGTTCCCAGTGAAAATTGTGGCCACTCAGTGAAGAGTTCAGGCTGAGGCATCCTAACACTGATTACATTCCTAGGGGTTTCTCCATATAAGTTCTCTCATATACAAGAAAGAGAAGAATCACTGAAAAATTTTCCAATATTAATATACTCATAGGTTTTGCATCCAGGGAGAAGTTCCATATTTTCCCTAACACAGAGGCATCACTGAAGGCTTTCTCTTCTTCTTTATATTTCAAGTTTCTCTGTAGTGTGAATGCTCACAAGTTTCCTAACAAATGTAGAAAAACAGAAAGCTCTCCAATATTGATGATGTTCAATGGGGCATTCTCTCCAGAATTAATTCTCAAGTCCCTTAAAAACCGATAGAACATTCAAGGCTTTCCCATAGTCACTGCAGAATACCACACTATAGTTTGCTCAGTAATGTGAACACTTTTGCTGTAGGGTATTCCGCATTTCTGAGTGTTGTTCCATTGTGTGATTTCCAGTGCGTCTTAAGGGATGACTGTCACTGAAGCCTTCTGAGACCTTCACAGGTTTTCTCCCTTAGTGTGAGCTGTCACATGAATCCCTGCTGATAGCACTGAAGGCTTTCTACAGCTGTTCCATTCTTCAGGATTCTCTCAGTACATAATCTTCTGGGCCCATGAAGGTGAGAATTCGAGCTGAGAGCTTTACCATACAGATTGTCCTCAAAAGGTTTCTCTTCAGAGTGAATTAATAGGAGTTACTGAATGCTATTTCATATTGATTAGAGTAGAAGGATGATGTGCTGAGGGCTTTTCTTCATTAATTCCATGGCAAATTTCCCAGATGCTTCTGAGTTATCTGTTTCCTGGTATTCATACCTTCTGCAGTCTCTCACATTGTATCAGGATTGGTGTGTTGTGAGACCAACACAATAGGAAATAAGTGAAAGCTTAGCAGTCCTCCTGAGGATAGGTCATAAAAGCCATTTTGGCCTCTGTATTGGTCCTCTCTTGGATCACTAACCTTGGCGAGAACTTATTGCCAAATTGTCAAGGAGCTGGGCCTTGTAAAGAGGCCTACATGGTAATGACTGAAGGTCCCCTGACAACAACCAACATCAACTTTCCAGGCATGTGAATAAGTCATCTTGGAAGTGGACTGTTCATCAGTAAAGATGTTAGATGACTATAGCTTTGGCTGACATCTTGATTGTAAGTAAAGGCATGAGAGATCCTGCAGTGTAACTACAGAGATAAGCTGTTCTTGAATTCCTGATCTGTAGAAATTGTTAGAGAATAAACATTTCGTGTTTGAAGCCACAAAATTTGCGGGGATCATTTGTTATGCTGCAACAAATAACTTATATATCCAGTGTGAGCTCTCTCAAACTATCTTAGGGATGAAAGATCAATGAGTGCTTTCCTCCAGAAGTTCCTGCAGTAATTCATATCCATCTATTATGTATTCTCTTGTGCACAGAAAGATAGGAGTTACTTGTGAAGGATTTCCCACAATGATTACATTCATAGGGTTTTTCTCCAGTGTGAGTTCTTAAGTGTTTCTTCACAGCTGAGAGATTATTAAAGGCTTTTCCACAGTCACTGCACTCGTAGGGTTTCTCTCCGGTATGTATTCTCTTGTGCACAGTAAGAGAAAAGCTACTGCTGAAGGATTTCCCACACTCGTTACATTCATAGGGTTTTTCTCCAGTATGAGTTCTTACGTGCTGTGTCAGATAGGAGCTCTTCCTGAAGGTTTTCCCACAATCGTGACATTCATAAGGTTTCTCCCCTGTATGAATGCTATTGTGCCCAGTGAGAGAGGACCTTGTGCTGAAAGCTTTTCCACACTGATTACATTCATGGTGATTCTCCCCCGTGTGAATCCTCTTGTGGCTTTTGAGGTTACAACTGGTGCGGAAAACGTGAAAACACTGGTTACATTCATAGGGTTTTTCTCCAGTGTGAATTCTCAAATGCAGTCTAAGGGATGAGGGATCACTAAATGCTTTCCCACAGTGATTGCATTCATAGGGTTTCTCCCCATTATGGATTCTCTTATGAATAGTAAGGTAAGATCTGCTACTGAAGGACTTCCCACATTGACTACAGTCATAGGGTTTTTCTCCAGTATGAATTCTCTTGTGCTGAGTTAGGTTAGATTTCGTGCTGAAGACTTTAAAACACTGATTACATTCATTGAGTTTCACTCCACGATGACTTCTTTCCTGTGGATTAAGAGATGAATGATAACTATAATTTATAATATTTGAAATACTTAATGTTCTCCTAGGAATCTTCTCTCCCAGGAATTCTGTTACATTATTATAATTGATATTTTGGCTACTTTCAGTGGTTGTATGTGATTTCTGCCCAGTTTTAGCTCTAAGAAAGTTAAAAAACATAGATGCTTTGCCACAAGTCCTTATCAGATGCACAAAACATTTTCTGATAACGTGTGGATGAAGTTTTGTTCCAACAGTCAATATCTGAGCCACAGATAGGAAATATTTACTTGTGGGAACTCTCCGTGAAGAAATAAGTTTGGAGCTAACTCACACTTCTCTAAATATTTATAATTTTCACAGTGTCTCTCCAGGAACACAGCATTCTCAATTATAAATGACACTTTCCTTTAATGCCTCTCCTGGTTATTTTGTGCCCTTTCTAAACTTAAGGCATTCTCCTACTGTAGAAAACCAGAAATCACCCATGTTAGTCTTACCGTTTTTACACCTTTAGACTGTTCTTTTCTGAAAACATTCTTCTTAGGAGTTAACCATTTGGCTTTAAGTAGAGTCTCCAAATCTGAAACAAATTGAAAAGAAATTTAGGTTGATGGAGAAAAGAAATGGAAAAGTGTACACATGAGTAAAGGCAGATTCTGAGGGATCAGGGTTTTTGAGGATGTTTGCAACAAAGAGGATTTGGTTATGAAAATTTTAGGTATTAATTTTAAAAAAGGATTCTAGACAAATTGAGATTGATCACAGATTGACAAGAGGAGTGATCAGGAATGCAAAGTGGAAAGGAACTTGACTGAAATTTTCAAAAGAGTTGCATCTTTGTTTCTTCCCTGAGCCCAAAGTGAAGTATGAGATGATGACAAGGGAGTTAGAGAGAAAAGAAAGGACATGAGGAAGCTCACACCAAATGTTCTCGTGCATGTTTGTCAGGAACAGGGTATTTTACAAAGTTCCCTGATTGACATGAACTAATGTAATACTCCCAACCCCCAAGTCACTGGCCAGAGCTATTCCTCACAAGGGCTCATATCCACCTGGTGCTCACCTGGACAGGTGCTTGGTAGAATTCCTCTTTCCTCTGTCACCACCTTCTTGTCTTGTTCCAACTGGGATATCAGACTGGGTTTATTAACACGACACCCTATTTATGGAAACAATACACATGATATAGGTAACAGTGCTGGGGACAACCAAGTCCATGAAAGAAAGCCAACATTTATGAAGATGGAAAAGTGTGACTTTAGGAGCAGTGAAATAAATTATGCCTTAATTCTTTTCTTTTTTTTATTTATTTTGAGATGGAGTCTTGCTCTGTCGCCCGGGTTGAAGTGCAGTGGCATGATCTCGGCTCACTGCAACCTCTGCCTTCCAGGTTCAAGCGATTCTCCTGCCTCAGCCTCCCAAGTAGTTGGGACTACAGGTGCACACAACCACGCCCGGCTAATTTTTGTATTTTTAGTAGAGACGGGGTTTCACCATATTGGCCAGGCAGGTCTTGATCTCTTGATCTCCTGGCCTCGTGATCCACCCACCTTGGCCTCCCAAAGTGCTGGGATTACAGGCATGAGCCACCACGCCCTGCCAATTATACCTTAATTCTAGTGCATATGGTAACTCTCACTGAACAAAAATGCAACAAGCATATTCAACTAGATATTCAGGGTGATAGGGCATAAACAGCCCCAGAAGGCCATGCCTGAGTTCAAATGCACACTTCAGAGGCCCCAAAACTTTTAACCATGAAGAATATAAAGTCAGGACAAGAAATAGATCTTCAGTTCATAAGGCAGGAATTAGAGACTGCCCATGAGGGTGGGACCATATGGTCCCATTCATCACTGTACTCCCAAGTCACTGCACAGACCTAGGAACACAGAGGTGCTCAAGAAAACTTGAAAGAAGTGATGACAGTGACAGTGGTGGAGGACGGAATTCCAAACGTTCATCCCTCCACAAAAACAGTGAGTAAACTGGCAAAAGCGGTCCGAATCAACTTTATCGGAATTCTTGAAATGTATCAAAAGTCCACAGCAATCAGGAGAATGCCTTCTCAGAAAACCCAGCTGAATCTGGGTAAGAGAGCTTTATGATACTTTAAATGGACCTCTTTCCCCTGCTTTTTCTACAACCTTGAAGACAACAGCCTGCATTCCTAGTACTTGCAGGGAGCAGAACAGACCTTACTCTGTGGTTGCTCTTCCTGACCTGTCTGGTGGTTCCCTGAAGGACTGGCTCAAAGGGTTGTCTTTATTTATCTAACTCCAAATTCTTTCAGGACTGAGCTGGTTACCTGGAACACACGTGATCGACAGATGTAAAGGTAAATGTATTAGTCAGTACTGCTTGAGGCAAGAGAAAACAGTAGAAGCAAACAAAAGACTAACCGAAAAGCCTGAAAGGAAAAATGGGGAAAAAGATGTTTGGGGAGTAGGACTTTGAAAATCTTCCTCATATTCTTAAGAACCTGTAATTCCAAGCACATACTCAGGGCTGGGAGCATGCCCAGAAAATACCTGAGAAGGCACAAAACCCTCATCTTTTGGTGACCTTCAGGCTCTGCACAAGCCAGAAATGAAGGTCAAGGCACAGTTAAATGCCTACCTAAGTATTAAAGGCATGTCCCTATGTACACACAGAGCCCACGTAAAGAGACTAGAAGTTTTTTCCTTTTTTGTTCCAGGCCTTCAAATCACTATATGACCATTACGCTATCAGAAAAGAGACTTCGGTGGCCACACATGACAAATACAGACATTACAAAGTTAGTTCTGAAATAGAACTATTGTATATTCTAACAGGAGTTTACAATATATGATATTCTACAACTTTAGAACACACAATAGTTCTATTTCACAACTAACTTTAGAACTGTTGTATGTTCTATAGATACAATACCAACTACAACAAGTAAAACAAACTCTGGAGATGGGGAAAAGTCTGATTCCCAAATTGCTATATTATAATATTCCAAATACCCTAGTTTCAACAAAATAATTATGAGGGAGGCAAGGAAACAAACGTTGGGCCCATTACAAGAAAAATGAAGCTGGTAGAAATTGTCCCTTCAGAAGTTCAAACACTGGACTTAACTAGACAAGTAAAATAAGTCAACTATTTAAAATCTGCTAAAAGATGTAAAAGAAATATGTATAAAGAACTAAAGGAAACCATGAATACAAATTTTCATCAAATGAAAAACAGCAAAATAGGTACAACTATGGCATATCAAAAAAATACAAAAAATGGAAAACATTAAGAGACAGAAACTTTAGGAAGGCAAATAAAAAAATTTGAGTTGAAAAGTACAATAGCTGAAATGAAACATTCAGAACATATCTGAGCAGGCAGAAGACAAAATTGGTGACCATGAAGATAGGACAATCGATATTATCCAGTCTGAGGAGCAGAAAAAAGAGAGATGCCAGGTGCAATGGCTCATGTATAATCCCAGCATTTTGGGAGGCTGAGGCAGGAGGACTGCTTGCAACCAGGAGTTCAAGACCAGCCTGGGAAACATGGTGAGATCCTGACTCTACAAAAAATTAAAAAAATTAGCTGGGCATGGTGATGCACGTCTCTAGCCATGCCTCCCTATTTGGGAGGCTGAGGTGGGAGGATCACTTGAGCCCAGGAGGTCAAGGCTGCAGTAAGCCACAATCACTCTGCTGCACTCCGGCCTAGGTGACAGAGTGAGTGAGAACCTGTCTCAAAGATAAAGAGAGAGAGAGAGAGAGAGAGAATGTGAGTTTTAAAAAAGATGAACAGAGCCTGAGACCTTTGGGATACCATCGAACCTACCAACATATATAGGATGTGGAGAACCAGAGAGATGTAAAGAGAGAAAAGGGTGAGAAGGTTGAAGAAATAATGGCTAAAAACTTCCCAAAATTTGATGAAAGGCACAAATGTACAAATCCAAGAAGCTCAACAAACTCAAGTAGAATAAATTTGAAAAAATAGAGATTCATACTGAAACACACACACACACACACACACATTTTTTGAGCCAGGGTTTTATTCTGTCACCCACGCTGGAGTGCAGTGGTGTGATCATGGCTCACTGCAGCCTTAATCTCCTGGGGTCAAGCAATCCTTCCACCTCAGCCTTCCAAGAAGCTGGGACCATAGGTGTGCACCAGCACGTCTGACTAATTTTTTAATTTTTTGTAGAGACAGGGTCCAAGTTGCCCAGGCTGGTCTCATACTCCTGACCTCAAGGGGTCCTTCTGCCTCAGCCTCCCAAAGTGTTGGGATTATAGGCGTGAACCATTGCAGCCGGCATCAAACACATATTAATCAAACTGTTGAAAGACAAAGGCAGCATCCTAAAAACAGCAAGACGGAGATGACTTATGACGTAAACAGGATCCTCGGTAAGATTACAGTCAATTTCTCAATAGAAACCATGGAAACCACCAAGCGCTGGAGTGGTACATTCAAAGAGCTGAGAAAAAATGGCAACCAAGAATTCTATATCTGGCAAAACTCCCCTTCAAAAATAAAGAAATGAAGACCTTCCCATAAACAAAGACTGAGTGTTTGTCACTATTACATCTACCCTACAAAAAATGATCAAGGGTGACTTCAGGACAAAATGAAAAGATAATGGAGAGTAACTTGAATCCACAGAAGGAAGTGAAGAACACAGGTAAAGGTAAATACAGAGGTGAATATAAAAGTCACTGACAATGTGTTTTTGGTTTATAACTTCTCTTTTATTACTACATAATTTAAAGACAAAAGCATAAATGATTACACATCTACATTAATGGGCACACAATGCATACAGATGCAATTTGTGACAAAATTACTAAACAGAACAGCTACAGTGAAACAAAGTTTTTATATACTATTGAAACTAAGTTGCTATTAAACTAGATTGTTATAAATTAAAATGCTTATTAAAATTCTCAGGGCAACCACTAAGAAAATAACTAAAAAGATTAAAAAGAAATGAGAAGGGAATCAAAATGGTCCACTAGAAAATATCTAACACAAAACAACAATGAAAGAACTTAGGAACAAAAATGATATGACACGTAGAAAAAAGTAAATAGTTATAGAGCAAATAGTAAATAGGCAGAAGTAGCTCCTTCCTTATCAGTAATTACATCATTACAAGGTGGATTTTGGCAGAATGGATTTAAAAAATAACCCAATTACAGATGGTCCCCAGCTTACCATGGTATGATTTTTTAACTTTATGATGGTACAAAGATCATACGCATTCAGTAGAAAGCACACTTCAAGTACCCTACAACCATTCTATTTTTCACTTTCAGTACCATATTAAATATATAATTTATAATTGTTGAGATATTCAATACTTTATTTAAAATACACTGCTATGTTAGCCCACTGCCCAACTGTAGGCTAATGTAAGTGTTCTGAGCATGTTTAGGCTAGGCTAACTTATGATGTTCAGTGGGTTAGGTGAATTAAATGCATTTTTGACTTTTTTTTTTTTCATTGTTTTGCATTTTTGACTTATGGTATTTTTAACTTACAATGGCTTTATTGGGACATAGCCCCATCAAAGTTGCGGAGCATGTGTACATACTGTCTATAAGACACTTGCTTTATATTCAAAGACACAAATATGGCCAATAGTGAAAGAATGGAAAAAGATATTTCATACAATAAAAATTGTTATAAAACAGAGAAAGACATTATAGTTGTATAAAGCATCAATTTATGGAGAAAATGTAACGATTATAAACATATATGTGCCTAATAAGAACTCCAAAATGTATGAAGTAAAAACTGGCATAATTGAAGGAAGATATAGAGTGTTCTATAATAATCGTTTGAGACTTCAATACTCCACTTTCAATAATGGATAAAACAACATATTAGAAGATCAAAAAGGAAACAGAAGGATTAAACAATAAACTAACTAGACCTAACAAATATATAAAGAACACACCACCCAACAAGAGAATCCATATTCATCTCAAATGCACATGGAACATTCTCCAGGATAGATTATATGTTAGGCTATAAAAAAAGTCTGACTAAATTAAAAAACAATGAACTCATACAAAGTATCTTCCTTAACCACAATGGAATGAAATTAAAAATGAGTAACAGGGCCAGGCGCAGTGGCTCACGCCTGAAATCCCAGCACTTTGGGAGGTCGAGGTGGGTGGATCACGAGGTCAAGAGATTGAGACCATCCCGGCCAACATGGTGGAACCCTATCTCTACTAAAAATACAAAAATTAGCTGGGCGTGGTGGTGCGCACCTGTAGTCCGAGCTACTCGGGAGGCTGACGCAGGAGAATCACTTGAGCCTGGGAGGCGGAGGTTGCAGTGAGCCGAGATCGCACCACTGCACTCCAGCCTGGTGACAGAGTGAGACTCTGTCTCAAAAAAAATAATAAAGTTATGTATTGGAAGCCTTAATATTGTTAAGGTGACAATACTACCCAAAATTATCTACAGAGATAAAACAATCACTATCAAAATTCTGAGTTTTTTTTCCTTTCAGAAATACACAAACTGATCTGAAAATTCATGGCATTGCGAGGGATCTTGAACAGACAAGAAGTGAAAAAGAAGAATAAAGTAGAAAGATTTACACTTACTGTTATCAAAACTTACTACAATGTAACAATAATCAAGGCATTGTGGTACTGACCCAAGGACAGATACATAGACCAATGGAGCCAGGAGCAGTGGCTCATGCCTGTAATCCCTGCACTTTGGGAGGCCCAGGTAGGCGGATCACTTGAGGTCAGGAGTTCGAGATATACAGACCAATGGAACAGAATTGAGAGTATGTAAATAAACTCCAGTGTGTATGGCCACATAATTTTCAATAAGGGTACCAAGGTCATTTGATGGGGAAAGAATAAAGGTGGTGAGACAACTGGATATACACACATGCAAAAGAATGAAGTTGACCCTTTCTCCACACCATAAGCAAAATTCACTCAAAATCTATCACACAGCTGAGTGGAATTGTTAACACTAGAAAATTCTTGGAAGAAAACATAGGGGTAGATCTTCATGACCTTGACTTGAGCAATGGTTTCTTAGGTATCACACCAAGAGCACAAGCAAAAAAGAAAAACTAGATACAACAGACTTCATCACAATTAAAATTTTTTTTGTCTTCTGAGACGGAGTCTCGTTCTGTCGCCTAGGCTGGAATATAGTGGATCTCGGCTCACTACAACCTCTGCCTCCCAGGTTCAAGTGATTCTCTTGCCTCAGCCTCCCGAGTAGGTGGGATTACAGGCACCTGCCACCACGCCTGGCTAATTTTTGCATTTTTAGTAGAGATGGGGCTTCACTAAGTTGGCCAGGCTGGTCTTGAACTCCTGACCTTAAGTGATCCATCCATCTCAGCCTCCCAAAGTGCTGGGATTACAGGCGTGAGCCACTCTGCCTGGTCACAATTAAAACTTTTGTGCATCAAAGGACACTATCAAGAAAATGAAAAGACACCCAAAGAATAGAGAAATCATTTATGTATTATATTTTGAATAAGGATTTGGTACCCAGAATATAAAATGAACTTTTAAAATCCGACAACAAAAATAAACAACCCAAGTAAAACATGGGCAGAGGACTGGGAGCGGTGGCTCACACTTGTAATGCCAGCACTTTGGGAGGCCAAGGCAGGCGGATCATTTGAGGCCAGGAGTTTGAGACCAGCCTGGCCAACACAGCGAAACCCTGTCTCTATAAAAAATACAAAACAATTTAGCCAGGCATGGTGGCACATGCCTGTAATTCCAGCTACTTGAGAGGCTGAGGTATGAGAATCACTTGAACCCGGAAGGCAGAGGTTGCAGTGAGCCGAGATCGTGCTGCGCCACTGCACTCCAGCCTGGGCGACAGAGGGAGACTGTGTCAAAACAAGCAAACAAACAAATAACAACAATAACAAAAATGGGCAAAGGACTTGAATAGACATTTTTCCAAAGAAAAATACTCAACAAGTACATGAAAAGATGCTCCATGTCATTTGTCATTAGAAAAATGCAAATCAAAACAAGAACGAGATAGCACTTCATACCTACTGGTATGAGTATAATCAAAAAGGCAAGTGCTGGGAAGATGCAGAGAAGCTGGAACCCTCCTGCATTGGCGGGAACGTGCAATGGTGCAGCTGCTGTGGAAAAGTCTGGCAGTTCCTCAAGAAGCTAAACACAGACCTAGCCTTCCACTCCTAGTATATGCCCAAGAAAATGGAAAGTGGGCATTTAAACAAAAGCTCGTACACAAAAATTCATAGTATTATAGCATTATTCTTGATAGTCAAAGAGTGGAAACAACTCAAATGTTTCTCAATAGAAAAATGGATTGGCAAAATGTGGTATGTCCATACAATGGAATATCATTCAGTCATAAGGAATGAAGCGCTGGTACAACATACAACATAGCTAAGTTTTTTTGTTTTGTTTTTTTTGAGACACAGTTGTGCTCTGTTGCCCAGGCTGCAGTGCAATGGCACAATCTCAGCTCACTGCAACCTCTGCCTCCTGGTTCAAGCGATTCTCCTGCCTCAGCCTCCTGACTAGCTGGGGATAGGTGTGTGCCACCACGTCCGGCTAATTTGTATTTTTAGTGGAGATGGGGTTTCACCATGTTGGTCAGGCTGGTCTCGAACTCCTGCCCTCGTGATCCGCCCGCCTCGGCCTCCCAAAGTGCTGGGATTACAGGTGTGAGCCACCACACCTGGCCCATAGCTAAGTTTTTAAAACACTGTGCTACATGAAAAGTCAGACACAAAAGGTAATGTATTTTGTAATTACATTTATATGATATGTTCTGGATAGGTAAATTCCTAAAGACAGACACCAGATGAGTGGTTACCAGCAGCAGTGGGTAGGGAAAGTAACGGGTATTGGCTGCTTCATAGGGACGGGGTTTCCTTCAGGGTGATGAAAATATGGTGATATTAGATAGTGTTGATGGTTGCACAATACCATGAATGTATGAAAAACCACTGGACTGGATATCTTAGAATGGTTAAAAATGGTGAATTTTATGTTGTATGGATTTTACCACAATAAAAAAAGTAAGCAAAGCAGGCAAGTGTTGCCACTGGAGTCATTAAATAAATGCAGGAATGACATTAGGCTTACCTAGTGAGGCCAGGTTCCTGCAGTTCTCCAGCATCACATCCCTGTACAGTGTCCTTTGGGCAGGGTCCAGCAACGCCCACTCCTCCTGGGTGAACTCCACGGCCACATCCTCGAAGGTTACCAAGCCCTAAAGCATTGCAAACATCACGGCTTAGCCAAGGACCACCCCCACCAACGTGCACAGGAAGAGGGGCCAGGAGAACAGAGCCAGGGCTGGGGAAACCTGAGCACGAGATGTTGGGGGGGGTGGTTCTGAGCTCACCTCCCAGGGTTCTGAGCTCCTCTCCCAGGGTTCTGAGCTCCTCTCCTGGGGTTCTGAGCTCTTCTCCCTGGCTTCTGAGCTCAGCCCTCAATGCTTGTCTCCTTAGGCCATTCCCAGGTCCAGTGCACAGTACCACAGAGCAGCTGCCTTTTCTCACTCAGACTGGGAGCTCCTGTGATCTTATTTCCCTCAATCTCCAGGGGATCATGGGCCCGTGACATGGCAGAAAGCAGAGAAATACTTGGTAAGTGAATGACTGATTTCCGTGGCGTTTATTAATTGCTTGGGTTTAGAACATCATCACGTCTTTACTTGGCTTTCCCTTAAAACTCTCAGGAGCACATGATGTACTCAGGGACCCTGGAGGGAGCTCTGAACCTGCAGTAAATGTTGACACACACTGACATTTTCTGGGCAGCCCTCACCCTCCATCTGATGCCTGGAAATCCTGGGATGCCTGAGGACCTGGTTTGGCCATGAGGCTCCAGGCTGCTGGAAGGTATCAAGTCCAACCTTCTGGCCAAAGGAATAATGATTTGGGAAAAGGAACATCTGACTCACCCGTAGCCAGCTTGTCAGGAGCTCATTAACCAGCTCTCCGCCCTGTGTGTGTCCTTTTTGCTGAGAGGCTGGGAACAGGGAAGACGGAGCTGGAGGAGGAGAAATGAGTCCCATGGATTCAGGCTTGTCTGACACCCACAGATCTGCCCCTGATTGACCACACCCACCTCCCACACCCACACGGATGAGGCACCACACAGTGCCCACCTACGCTCCATGCAAACACCTACCCACAGCTCTCCTAAGATACCCAAACACAGCCCTGTCTCACCAACCAAAGACAATAGGGCTCAAGGTCTGACTGCACTTGGGGAAGGGATTATTCCCACTTCACAGATGAGGAAACAAGTTCCAAGGGCGTCACTGTGTTTTTATCAGATTCACAGAAAGAACTAAAGGGAGAATTCAAAAGCTCCAGCACATTCACCACACAGGTGACATCCACAGACACCCAAATGCCTAAGTCCCAAATCCCGAGAGCTGCCCGATCAGACACGGAGGACCTCTGGGCCCCTGGGGCTCCACTCCTGCCTCACCTGCTCTGCCCAACCCCGCTCGTGTCCCATGCTGTGGGTCAGAACCTTTCAAGGCTGGACTCTGAGAAATGTCAGGACCCCACGACTCACCAGCAGTCGAGGGCAGGATGACAGCCGCCATCCTGTGACTCCGACAGCAACAGGGCAGCCGGGAAGCAGGACGCTCCTCCTTTATCCCGCAGCGCTCTGGAAGAAACGGGAATGCTCCAAGTCTCCGTGGCCTCCTCCCTCTCGGGCTGCTGGGGATGGGCCCTCCTCAACCCATCCTTCCCATCCTTCTTCAAATGCAAGTTCCGGCTTCCACACTGGGCCTTTATTTTGCTGAGCAGGCAATGAATTCAGGGCCACCTGATGGAAAACTTGCCTTCCTCTGTCCCCAACACAACGACCAGTACCTCCCTGACCCACCCGCTTTGAGAACCTCGGCTTCACGCAGTCTCACGGCATGTTCTTCCCATCCAAGCGCACCACAAACGCATTCCCGGCTACTCCCTCCTTCCCCGGGGACTCCGGCGCCTCCATAACTCCTCCCACCTCCAGTCCCAGCTCCTGGAGGATGTCAGAGACCCCCAGAGTCTCAGGAGTTCCTCAGCTCCAGGGCCCTTTGTTCCTTCTCTCATCAGCCACATGTTTCCACAGGTCCCCTCAGCCTTGGTCATCACCGGGCACTGTCCCACCACCCAGAACAACGTTCAGAAACTCCCCTCTCTCTGAACCCAACCTCCCTCCTCAACTTCCACGGCGTTCACTCCTTTTTTCTCTCACCGCATGTCCTCCGACCACACGCAGGCCTCAGTCACCTCCTCCTGCCTCGGTCACCCCCCTCCTGCCTCAGTCAACCCCTCTCCTGCCTCGGTCACCCCCATCCTGCCTCAGTCAGCCCCCCTCCTGCCTCGGTCACCCCCCTCCTGCCTCGGTCACCCCCCTCCTGCCTTGGTCACCCCCCTCCTGCCTGTGCTCTGCCTCAGTTACCCCCTCTCCTGCCCATGTTCTGCCTGTTACCCCAACTCCTGCCCTTGGTCACCCTGCTCCTGCCTGTGCTCGGCCTCAGTCACCCCCCTCCTGCCTCAGTCAGCCCCTCTCCTACCTATGCTCTGCCTTGGTCACCCCCTCTCCTGCCTCAGCCACCCCCTCTCTTGATTTCATCCTCACCCAGCTTGGATGTCACTGTCCCTCATTTCAGCTGATTTCCTCCTCCCTACCCCCCACTGTCATGCCAGCCCAGCAGAACTCCAGCCAGGCGTGACTTCAATCATCCACCTGCTCCAGGGGACATTCGGGCAGACCACCCTGTGCAAAGGCTGTGACGTTGCCACTCTGGAATAACACGGTCACCAACGTGTAGAGAACCCTCAGCCTGCAGGGCGATCCCACAGGTCAGCATGGCTTCCCACTCGTCAAACCTCCTCTCCTCTCTTTAAACTTCACACCTCCTCCCCTGTCCCCTCTGTGGTAACTGCTTCCTAACGAGCCCTTGACGATCCCAGCCTCCCGGTGCTCACACCCTGTGTAGGCCCGACGCACACACGGAATTAGAGCTGACCTGTGTGACCAGCAGAATATGGCTGAGGAGACAGCGGGGGTGGGTGCAGGGGTGACTTTCAGGACCAGGTCTTGGAAGGCACTACAGCTGCTTCCGCCTTGGTCTCCTGGATGTTGCTCTAGAGGACACCAGTTGCCATGGTGGGAAGACGCTCAAGTGGCCCTGTGGAGAGGCCTATGTGGAGAGGAACTGAGGCCTCCCACCGACGGCCAGCTCTGACTCGCAGGCCATGGAGTGGCCCCCGGTACCCGTTGAGCCTTCAGATGATGCAGACCCAGCTGACAGCCTTCTGCAAGTTTCCAGCCAGAGCCTTCCAGCCAAGCTGCTCCTGAATTCCTGAAACACAAAAACAGTGAGAGACGATACATGGTCATTGTTTCAAGTGACTAAGGTTTGAGATCATTTGTTAGGCAGCAAGAGATGACAAATCATCTCATTTTCAGCAGACAATCCCGATCCTGCTTCTCAGGGTAAAGATCATGAGGAGGAATCTACTTTCCTGTGTTGCTGCCAGCACTGCAACCTGTGCCCCACCCTTCTGCCTCCTCCCATCGCAGACAAGGAGCTGCCTGCCTTCTCCGCAGGGCTTGCTGGGCAGTTCTGGCCTGGGGTCCACCCTCCTGCTTTTGAGGAGCTGTCTGTGCTCGAAGCTCTCTCCTCCGCCCTTTCCCTTCTAGCTCTCCCGTGCTGCTAGACCCTTCCTCATGCCCCTCAAGCCTGATGTGGCATCTTCTGTAGTGCGATGAGCCCATCCTTGGGGTACAGCTTTCTTTCCGGTTACTGCCCCGTCTGTATCCCCCATCCCAGCCACAGCTCTTCACTCTGTCCCCTTTCCTGAGTCCTCACACGGTGCAATCTGGCTTCCCTACTATCATCCCAAGGACAATACCCTTGATGGAATCGACAATGACCTTACTCACCAGGGAGACGTGGATTGCAGCAACTCTGGCGCTATTTCCTATCTGGCAGGTCAACAGAGACACAGTGGCCCACACTCTTCATTCTCACACACTGCTGGGGGTAACCCCTAGGGAAGGAAACGTGCTGATGTCAAGCAAACCTGCAAAAAACATTTGTTCTTTCCTAGAACCCACTTCTAGAAATCTATCTCAAAGGTACACAAATACTGAAAGACACGTGTAAGATGATTCGCTGTGGCACTTCATATAATCGCAGAGGATTGAAAACACCACAAGTGACCATCAGTAGGGGATTGGGTGAATAAACTATGTGATAGCTTTAAGGTTGGTGCAAAAGTGATTGCGGTTTTTGCCATTACTTTCGATGGCAAAACCTGCAATTACTTTTGCAGCAACTTAATAAATAACAAAGAAACATGTAGCCAGGAAAAAAAAACCCCAAACCAAAACCAAAACAAAGAACCCCTGAAAAGATTTCTAGGTATTCAGAGAGATTATCTCCAATAAATTTAAGTGAAAAAAAAATCAAGGTACAAAGCAATGTCATGTGTCCTTTTTATAAGACGAGAAAGCCTCCTTTCTCCAGATTTATAGAATAAAACGTAACTCCATAAAGCCAGCTTCTGGAGGTTTCCATGTGTGACCTCCATGACATGAACCCAAAAGATAAAAGGAGTGAAGGGTGTGAATGGGCAGGGATGGGGGCACTGGACATTCAGGGTGAGTTCGGGTTCCGTCAAAAAATCAAGTTGGAGGGAGTCTTTGGCTCTTGGGCCTCTGTGGTAGACAGATGATTAACTTCCTGCTCTCCCAAGAAAGGGGTCTGTGTTCTAATCCCCAGAACCTCTGGATCTACTCCCTTACATGGCAAAAGGGATTCTGCAGCTGTGAGGAAGGCAAGGATCCTGACATGGGGGATGATGCTGGGTGGGCCCACTGTGATTACAGGGGTCCTTATAAAAGGGAAACAGGAGGGTCAGTTCAAAGAAGGATGGGATGAGATGAGAGAAGAAGGGAGCGTGTGTGTAGCAGGGAGGAGATAACATACAGAGAGACTGGAAGATGCTGCCCTGCTGGTGTTGATGATGGAGGAACAAGCCACAGTCAGGGAAGGCTGGTGGCCTCTACAAGATGAAAAACGCAGGAAATGGGTTCTCCCCTAGAGCCTCTAGAGCAGTGGTCCCCAACCTTTCTGGTACCAGGGACTGGTTTCGTGGAAGACAATTTTTCCATGGAGCACGGGGCGGCAGTGGGGCTGGGCAGGGAATGGTTTCAGGATGATGTTTTATAAGCACATTACATTTATTCTGCACTTTATTTCTATTATATTACACAGTAATATATAATGAAATAATTATACGACTCACCATAATATAGAGTCAGTGGGAGCCCTGAGCTTGTTTTCCTGCAACTAGATGGTCCCATCTGGGGGTGATGGGAGACAGCAACAGATCATCAGGAATTAGATTCTCCTAAGGAGTGTGCAATCCAGATCCCTCACATGCAAAGTTCACAATAGGGTTTGGGCTCCTATGAGAATCGAATGCTGCCACTGATCGGCCAGGAGGTGGAGCTCAGGTGGTAATGCGAGCAATGAGGAGTGGCTGTAAATACAGATGAAGCTTCGCTCACCTGCCACTCACATCTTGCTGTGCAGCCCTGTTTATAAGCACTGGTCCGTGGCCCAGGGGCTGGGGACTCCTGCTCTAGAGGGAATGCAGGCCTTCCAGCTTATTGAGGATTTCTGACCTCCAGCAAGGCAAGAGGATAAATGTGTGTTGTTTTAAGTCCCTGAATTTGTGGTAGTTTGTTATAGCATCAATAGGAAACTAACATGCCTTTCACATCACACCTTCCCTTTGGGTGAGTTCAGCAGACCCAGGCAACTGCTGCAGAACTTCCCTACCCTCTACAGGGGGAAGTATCTCCTTTTTCCCCGTAACAGACCTAATGTGCAGGTAGGCACACAGTAGTTCCAGTCACTGAGCTGGGGAGTGAGGGGGGGTTGGCCTCCAGCCAGCTCACTGGGCCTCCAAGAAAAAAACAAGTAGAGAAGGTACCTGGGACATTTTCAGGCCCCAAGTCCCTATTCAAGGCTGTCTGGAAGCAGAAATTTCCCACTAGGACAGGAGGGGTCTCTTCAGTTTACAGATCCTGTGACACCTGCCCTGCCCTGGATACAGTGCTGGAGGATGGTCACAGCAGATGGGCCACTCTATGTCAGCTGCCCAACACAACTTCTGGTGATGATGGAAATGTTCTATAATTCTGCTCTAATACTTGAAATGTGACTAGTATGGCTGAGAAAATAAATTTTATTTTTTTTGGGAGCAATCATCTGATTCCTAAACTACCTCCAAACACCCCCTCTTTTGCCTCTTAAATGTCTTCCTTCTGAATCCTGAAGTCCTTGTTATCTGCATGCTTACACTACATGCAAATTGCATCACCCTCTGGCCCACAACTCTTTAGTGTCTTCCCACTGGCCTGAGAACAGAGTCTGAAGTGAGGCCTAGTATGGTTCTGCCTCCCTCTTGATCTTGGTCTTGGTCACACTTCTTTCCCTATTCTTTTTTTTTTTTTTTTTTTTTTTTGAGGAGTCTCACTCTTACACCCAGGCTGAATGCAGTGGTGCAATCTCTGCTCACTGCAACCTCAGCCTCCCAGGTTCAAGCAATTCTCTTGTCTCAGCCTCCCGAGCAGCTGGGACTACAGGTGTGCACCACCACACCCAGCTAATTTTCGTATTTTTAGTAGAGACGGGGTTTCACCATGTTGGCCAGGCTGGTCTTGAACTTCTGACATCAGGTGATCAGCCCACCTTGGTCTCCTAAAGTGCTGGGATTACAGGTGTGAGCCACTGCGCCCAGCTTCTTTCCCTGTTCTTGTCTCGGCTTCAGCCATCCCTGTGTTCCCAGTGCAGGGAGCGTGGCAGCCTCTCTCCTGCTGCAGGGCCTTTCCTTACACAGCTTCTTCGACGGCAGTGCTCTCTTGGACATAACCCTGTCCCCTCACTCTAGTCGAGCCCTATGACTAGCTACATCTGACCCCAACTTGGAGATGGAGCAGCAATTCCCTTTTTCAGGGGCCTGTGAACCCCAAGTGGGAAAATAAAGGAAAATCCTGAAGTTCCTTTAAGGGAAATTCCGAGCATCCAGCTAGCCCCAAAAGTAAATATGGAACTTGTTAAACAGGAAGGTAATAGTAACCTAAAACAACAGCCAAAGAAGTTAAGGCTCCAGAGATGTTCGCTTTCCCCATGGAAACTAAAGATAACATCTTAACATGCGTCCCTGAGTTGCCTTTCAGAGGCTGGGACTCCCACTGAGGACCCCACCAAATGGAGCTGCTGGCTCAGAGACCCCAGATAAGCGGGACATGAAGGCTGAGCTTCAGCGTTCTTTGTGCTAAGTTTCTTCTTGAGGGGCTTGGAGAAAGTCACTTCTCCCAGCCAGTTAACATTTTCCTACTGACTCTAAATTTTTAAACAAAGCTTCTTTTCTTTAACCAATTACAAATCAGAAAAATCTTTGAATCTACCTATGACAAGCTCCTGCTTCAAGACATCCTTGCCCTTTTAAGTCTAAACCAGTGTGTAACCTCCATGTATTGCTTTATGATTTTGCCTGTAGCTTCTGCTTTTCTGTAACTTACCATTGCCTTCAGAAATCCTTGCCTAGCCGGGCACGGTGGCTCATGTCTGTAATCCCAGCACTTTGGGAGGCCTAGGCAGGCGGATCACCTGAGGTCAGGAGTTTGAGGCCAACCTGGCTAACATGGTGAAACTCTGTCTCTACTCAAAATACAAAAAATTTGCCAGGTGTGGTGGTATGTGCCTGTAATCCTAGGGACTGGGGAGGCTGAGGCAGGAAAATCACTTGAACCTGGGAGGCAGACGTTGCAGTGAGCTGAGATCGTGCCATTGCACTCCAGCCTGGGTGACCAAGTGAGATTCTGTCTCATTAAAAAAAAAAAAAAGGCCGGGTGTGGTGGCTCATGCCTGTATCATCTCAGCACTTTGGGAGGCTGAGGCGGGTGGATCACGAAGTCAGGAGATTAAGACCAGCCGGGCCAACATGGTGAAACCCCGTCTCTACTGAAAATACAAAAATTAACCGGGCATGGTGGTAGGCGCCTGTAATCCCAGCTACTCAGGAGGCTGCGGCAGAACTGCTTGAACCCGGGAGGCCGGGGGTTGCAGTGAGCTGAGATTGCAACACAGTACTCCAGCCTGGGTAACAGAGTGAGACTCCATCTCAAAAAAAAAAAAATTCCTTGCCTAAAAGCCACTGGGGAGGCCAGGATTTGAACATTTAATGTCTGGTCCTCCTTGCTTAGTGCTGTGCAATAAAAGCCTTTCTATCTATCGTAGCAACCCTCAATATAGACATCTGGTTTCACTGCACCACCAGGTGAGCAGACCCCAGTTTGGTTCTGTAACAACTTAAGCTCTCAAGCTAAATATCCTTCCCAAGAAAGCTTCCCTGTTCCCTCTGATCAAGTTCACTAGTGCCAAGCTCCCACATCACTCCTGTCATTCATGGTTTAAAATTTATCTTCCCTGTTAGAAGGTAAACTTTATGTAGGACAGGGGCCATTTCAGGTCCTCCAGGGTCCCTGTGCATCTGACCTAGGACCTGACTCATGGAGGCGACCTGGTTTGCCAAGGATTGTCCCGGTTTGAACACTGGATGCCCTGTGCCCTAGCAAACCCCTTGGTCCTGAAAAAATGAGGATGGTTGGTCACCATTAACTGTGCACTCAAATAATATCTATTGCATGATAAGTAAACATTCCTTCAAGAATGCTGTAGGAAAGCTAGAATGGAAAAGGTGAACACACACACAATTAGTAGAAACCCCACAATTTAATACTAGATTACTTAACATGATTCTCTGCAATATGAATCACCATACTGTTATTTCAGAGAAGTTTTAAGAAACAAAGTTAATTCCTATTAGGAGGTGATATCGTTGGCTCTGTGTCCCCCCACCCAAATCTCATCTCGAGTTGTAATAATCCCTATGTGTCAGAGGAGGGTCCTGGTAGGAGGTGACTGAATCATGGGGGCGGACTTCCCCCTTGCTGTTCTCCTGATAGTAAGTTCCCACAAGATCTGATGGTTTAGAAGTTTGGCGTTTATGTCTTCTCTCTCTCTCCTGCTGCCATGTAAGACGTGCCTTGCTTTCCCTTTGCTTTCTGCCATGATCGTAAGTTTCCTGAGGCCTCCCCCGCCATGCAGAACTGAGTCAATTAAACTTCTTTCCTTTGTAAGTCACTCAGTCTCAGGGAGTTATTTATAGCAGTGTGAAAACTCTCAGGTAGTTCTTTATAGCAGTGTGAAAAAGGACTAATACAGGAGGCAAGGTGCAGAGGACAATCTTTTTGGAAACCAGTTCCCTACCCTTCAATCTATAAGTTGTTGCTTAATATTCTTCCAAATGTTTTCAAATCTCATTAGGAAAAAAAAAATCCCATTACTCAAAACACATCTGGTCGCCGGTCAATTTAATTTTAAATTTGTTACTAATAAATCATCCTTTTTACAAATGCCCTTATATTTTGAAGTTTGGTGGAGGGCCAATATGCCTTTAGAAATCAAATCAACAGCTGGGTGCGGTGGCTCTTGCCTGTAATCCCAGCACTTTGGGAGGCTGAGGTGGGCGGACCACTTGAGGTCAGGAGTTAAAGACCAGCCTGGCCAACATGGCAAAAACCTGTCTCTACTAAAAATACAAACAAAATTAGCTGGGCGTGGTGGCACTTGCCTGTAGTCCCAGCTACTCAGGAAACTGAGGCAGGAGATTTGCTTGAGTCTGGGAGGTGGAGGTTGACATGAGCCAAGATCGCGCCACTGCACTCCAACCTGGCCAACAGAGTGAGACTTGGTCTCAAGAAAAAAAAAAAAAGTCAAATCAAACAGGCCTGAAAAATGTTGCTAAGTAGTCCTGCTAGTTGTTAGTGGGAAGACTTGTAACACTACATATACATGTAAATATTTTCTATACTTATATAAAATTCAGAAACTTTTAGCATTACGGCATACCAGAAAATCTGTCTTTAGCTACAGTTACACATCTTTACGTTATTTGTATGTTTGTTTTGTGGATACTTATTTGCATGTAACTGTATTTACTTATTTACACACATGTAACCATAAACACCTCTGTCTTTTTACCTTGAACTTTCCTTAAGATACCTTCACTCTTAGTGACTTCAATGTGGTTACAACCCCAGCACAGGAAAAGCCCACGAGGAGTTCTTCTACACAGCAGAGCCTGCTGAAACCTTGTTGTAGGTTCCACACTGTACTCACCTGGTCACCCAAAAACCCACAACAACAGGTGGACCTTGTGGCAGGCTTCAACACGAATCTGAGCTTGAATGATGCTTTTCTCATCTGAAAAAAAAAAAAAGACACAAAGATTTCTTTCGAGGCTTTGTATAGGTTGTACAGTTGTTGGATACGGCTGCCGGAAACACCATCCCATTCACTTTTTTTGGGTACTCAATGATTAAATGTGTAATAAGGGCCCAGCCTGTGGGCCATGACTGGCTTTACCTGATTCCCATCTGGCCATCTGCTCCGTAAGAGGGGAGAAAGCAGCTTAACGCTGTGTGCATTTGACTTGCTCAACTTACTACGCTGGAGAGAGATTCTATGGTGACTCCACAGGCTTTAAAAATATCTTGTCACTTAGAGGCCCTATTAAGTGACTAAACTGAATTTTTAACAATTTATGTAGTTTATTCAGAACTGCAGAGATTTTTTTTTTAAGGCCCTAGAGCAGGGTTTCCCAACCTGGCACTACTGATAATTCTTTGTTGTGGGGGACTGTCCTGTACAACGTAGGATCTTTAAGAGCAAGCAGCGTCCCTCTTCCCCGGCCTCCACCCTCTAGGTGACAGTAGCAGCCTCCCCTCCCCACAATTTGTGAAAACCACAGTCGTCTCCAGCTACAGCCAAAAGTCCCCTGGGGTGCGGAATCGCCCCGGGTGAGGGCGACTGGGGTTCCCTGAGGAGGCAACAGCGGCGCGGGGCCCCGACCCAGGAGCAAGCAGCAGCTTCGTGCTGACCTAAGCTCACAGCCCGAGGCCTCATGAACCGAAACACGGCTCCCTGGAGGGACGCAGGGCCCGTGGCTGGCGGTGTCCGCGGCCCACGTCGCCCCCTGGACTCGGACCCGAGCCCCCGCCAGTCGCTCACCGAGCCCGGCCCCTCCCGCGGGGCCAAAAGCGCCGACTCGCGGGGACGGAGGGACTCGCTCCCCGCTGCCCCACGCGCGGCCCCTCCCACGGTACCGCCCCGCGCTTCCGCTTCCGGTCTGGGGAGAGGTGCGCTGCACGTCCCCTTCCGGCTCGCGCGGGCAGCCTCGCAGAGTCGAGCGTGTTGGGGGTTCGGCGCTTAGGCGACAGGCGCGGCGGGCGGGAGCGGCGGCCGCGAACCCCAGCCTTGGGCAGAGGTGTTCTAGTTTGCTTAGTGGGCACAAAGTTGGGCCCTGGCCTGGGGCAGTAGCGGGGGTAAGGTTGGCCCTGGGGGCGGGGCCAGGCTGTGAGCCGCACGAGGCCTGGGGGCGGGGCTGGTTGTGGGCGGAGATCAGTTCCGGGGCGGGGCTGAAGGCGGGGAACCGGCTGAGGCCGTACCAGGCCTGGAGGGCGAGGCTGATTGGGCAGAGACCAGTTCCAGGGTCGGGGCTGTGGGTGGGGCCCAGTTCTCGGGGCGGATGGTATAAGGCTTCTAGAGCGGGGATGACTGAGCAGAGACCAGTTACAGGGGTGGAGACCTCCATTTCCGGGGCGGGGCTGAGCGGGAACCAGGCTGTGGTTGTGACAGCCCTGGAGGTTGGGGCTGGCTGTGGGCGGAGATAAGCTCCGGGCCGGGCGGAGGGCGGGGACTAGGCTGTGGGTGTACCGGTCTTGGAGGGCAGTGGTGATTGGCAGAGAGCAGTTCTAGGGGCGGAGCTATGGGGTGGCAGCAAGCCTGGGGGCGGGGCTGACTGTGGGCGGAGACCAGTTCTGGGGGCGGGACTGTGGGCTGCACCAGGCCTGGGGAGGGGGCAGTGGGTGGAGACCAGTTCCAGGGGCAGGGATCTGGGTATGAATAAAAGGGTGTATGATGTGGGTGGGTTGGGATAGGCCCAGGAGCCAGGATTGTGGGAGATCAGATTCAGGGGTAGGGCCTTCCTTGGATCCCTAGATTGTTGATACAGTTACTGCCCCATGTTCATACAACCCAATAGGATCAGATTATGTATGCACATTTGTCTATAACTTGCTTTCCCAAGGCAGAACATAGTGATTTAACACTAAGAGTTTAGGGGAGCAGGAGAGGACTGGGTCATAGATACACATATAGGAAAACTTAAGAATGGTACAAAGTCAGTCAAATATTCTCCCACCACGGTCTTTCAGTTCTTTTGCTCAGAGGCAAAAATAATTTTCTCCTCTATCTTTCCAGATATAGTGTGGACATGTATGTGTGTGTATGTGTGTATGCCGTAGTCATATTCATGGAATAAATGCTATTACCTCCCCCCCAACAAGTCTCTGTTTTATACACCATGGATATAGACTGAACAAAATAGGTAAACGTCCTTGCCCTCAGAGAACGTGCATTTTAGTTGTGAGTTGGGCAGGAGAAATGGACAGTGAATGTGATAAATAGAATACATGGTGGGTTGGTGCGTTAGATACCACTAAGTGCTGGTTGGACCTGGTGGCTTACGCTTGTAATCCCAACACTTTGGGAGGCCGAGGCAGGCAGATCACCTGAGGTCAGGAGTTCGAGACCAGCCTGCCAACATGGTGAAACCCCGTCTCTACTAAAAATACAAAATTAGCCGGGCGTGGTGGCGGATGCCTTGTAATCCCAGGTACTTGGGAGGCTGAGGCAGGAGAATAGCTTGAACTCGGGAGGTGGAGGTTGAAGTGAGCCGAGATTGCAGCCGGTGCACTCCAGCCCGGGTGACGAGCAAGACTCCATCTCAAAAAACAAAACAAAACAAAAACCAAAAACCATAAACAAAAAAAGATACTGGTAAGTGCAAAGGGAAAAAATTTTATGTAAGAGAGTGGTAACATTTAAAATCAGCCAGGAAGAAATACTTTCAATGAATGATATTGTTTCATGCACCCGTCCTTTCAGAAAAAAATAGTTAGATCTCTGCTTCCCAAAAATATCCATTTTCAGGTGGCTGAAGGAAGTTTAAGCAAAAATGAACAAGTTCAAAATTCAATATACTAGGAAAGTTCACTGTGGAAAGACTGTTCTCTTCAACAAATTGTGCTGGGACAACTAGATGCCAATATACAAAAGAATGAAATTGGGCTGGGCGTGGTGGCTCACGCCTGTAACCCCAGCACTTTGGGAGGCTGAGGCAGGCAGATCACGAGGTCAAGATATCGAGACCATCCTGGCTAACATGGTGAAACCCCGTCTCTACTAAAAATACCAAAATTAGCTGGGCGTGGTGGCGGGCGCCTATAGTCCCAGCTACTCGGGAGACTGAGGCAGAAGAATCGTTTGAACCCAGGAGGTGGAGATTGCAGTGAGCCGAGATCACCCCACTGCACTCCAGCCTGAGAACAGAGCGAGACTCCATCAAAAAAAAAAAACAAACCAAAACCAAAAAAAAACAAAAAAAAAACCAACCAACCAAGAAACAAACAAAAAACAGAGAATGAAATTGGACCTCTACTTCACACCATGTACAAAAGTGAGCTCAAAATAGATCATAGACCTAAAGGTAAGAGCTAAAACTATAAACTTCTTGGAAGAAAACATAGGTGTCAAACTTTGTGATCTTGGGTTAGGCAATTGTTTCTTAGATATGACATCAAAAACAGGTGGCGAAAGAAAAAATATATAAATTGGACTTAACATTAAAAAACATTGATGCTTCAAAGGACACCATCAAGAAAAAAGACAAACATGGACTGGGTGAAGACATTTACAAATGATTTATCTGATACATGACTTGTATTCAAAATATATAAAGGCTTGCGACTCAGCAATAAAAAGATACCCAATTAAAAGTGAACAAAGAGTTTTTTTTTTTTTTTCTTTTTGAGGTGGAGTCTCCTTCTGTCACCTAGGCTGGAGTGCTGTGGCACCATTTTGGCTCACTGCATCCTCTGCCTCCTGGATTCAAGCGATTCTCCTGCCTCAGCCTCCCAAGTAGCTGGGACCACAGGCGTTCACCACCACGCCTGGCTAATTTTTGTATTTTTAGCAGAGAGAGGGTTTTGCCATGTTGGCCAGGCTGGTCTTGAACTCCTGACCTCAAGTGATCTGCCCACCTTGGCCTCCCTAAGTGCTGGGATTACAGGTGTGAGCCACTGCACCCAGCCTGAAAAATGAACAAAGAGTTCGAATCGTCATTTCTACAAAGAAGATACACAAATGGCAAATATATACATGAAAAGATGCTCGGCCCCATTAATCATTAGGGAAGTTAATATCAAAACTTCAATAAAATACTACTTCACACCCATTGGGATAATTAAAATTAAAAAGATAGCCAATAACAAAGATTGGCAAAGACAAGGAGAAATTGGAATTCTTATACATTGCTGTCAGGATTGTAAAATGGTGCACCCACTTTGCAAAATAGTTTGGCAGTTCCTCAAAAAGTCATAGAGTTGCCACGTGACCCAGCAATTTTATTTCCAGTATATGCCCAAGAGAAATGAAAACATGTGTTCACATGACAGCTTGTACATGAATGTTCATAGCAGCATTATACATAATAGCCCAAAATTTTGTATGTCCCAAATATCAGTCAACTGATGAATGGATAAATAAAATGTGGTATATCCACACAACGGATTATTATTCATCCATTAAACAGAATACATATTCCATGGATGAACCTTGAAAACATTACGGTAAGTAAAAGAAGCCACTCATAAAAAACCCACATTTTGTATAATTCAATTTAAATAAAATTTCCAGAATAAGAAAATCCAAAGAGACAATAGATTAGTGGCAAATGTTGGGGAAAAGGGAAATGAGGGGAAGTGGGTAATGGTATGGATTTCATTTTAGATGAAAATAAGATTAGATAGTGGTGACGATTGCGCAACTGTGTGAATGTACTAAAAACCATTTTACACAAAAGTGTAAAAACTGTACACTTTAAAAGGTTGAATATTATGGTAGCTCAATAAAGTTTTTATTTAAAAAATGTAGAATTATACACATAAATTCTTCAGTTAGGCATAATAAGAGAATAAAAGTGGAAAAATAAAATACTACATAAATATGAGTGCTTCTTCCTCAAAATAATAGAAGAAAAGTGGAAAAAGTAAAATACTACAAAAATGTGAGTTCTTCTCTTCTTCCTCTTCCTCCTCCTCCTTTCTTCCTTCTTCCTTACTCCTCCCCTTCCTCCTCCTCCTTGTCCTCCTCCTTCTTCTTTCTTCTTTCCTCCTCCTCCTTCTTCTCTTCCTTTTCCTCCTCCTCCCCCCCTCTCCTCCTCCTTCTTTCTTCTTTTTTCTTTTTTTTTGGAGACAGGATCTTGCTTTGTCACCCAGGCTGGAGTGCAGTGGTGCAAACATGGCTCATTGCAGCCTCGACCTCCTGGGCTCAAGTCATTCTCCCTCCTCAGCTTCCCGAGTAGCTGGGACTGCAGGCGTGCACCACCACGCCCAGCTAGTTTTTGTATTTTTTATAGAGACAGGGACTCGCCACACCACAGAGGCTAGTCTCGAACTCCTGAGCGCAAGCAATCCCTTTGCCTTGGCTGCCCAAAGTGCTGGGATTTTAGGCATGACCCCATCGTATCCAGCTTAAGTGTATCTTAATTTTCCACACCATCACATTATTAAATGGCAAAACAAACTGGGGATAAATAATTGTAAAAATCTATGACATGTGGGCTCATATCATTATTACATAAAGAATATTTTGGATAAATAAGCAAAAGATGAACAAGCCAGTAAAAACATCATCAAAGACAAAGGCTATGAACCACACACTCCTTTACAAATACATACAACTGCCCAATACTCTAATTAGCAAAGAGGCATAAATTAAAATAATGGCATTATGTTTGTGCCTCTCAAGTAATGCAAAACATTTTAAATGGCCAGTTTGTCAAGACATGAAGAAATGAATGACCTCGCCCTCTGCTAGCAGCATTGATAAGTACCAGTTTCTCAGCAGGTACTTGGTAACATATACCCAAAGCTGTACGAATGTGCATATTTATCAACCCAGCAATTTTACAGTGATCTAAATCAGAGAAATGTTTGAACCTTGTTAAAAAGGATTGATCATCTACCTCCTATTTAATATGACAGAAGATTAGTAACAATGGCAAAATAAGTACTGGTGTAGCCGTATGAAATGACATTCATGGGCCTTAAAACAACAATGTCAATGTACATTTAGTTATATTAAATTACAATCGGGATATATTGTTAGATGTGAGAAGCTGGCTGCAGAATGAAGTCGGCAGTGTGTATCCATGTTGTAACCCACAAAGTCTAGGAATATAAAATTCCAGGGCTCGACAACCACTTAATGCCTGGACCCTTTCTGCCTCGAATGGGGGTGGCTAGAAACTTCTCTGGCTGGAGGGCAGAAGGCAGAGTGCAAAGTTTTGCCTCAAGCCTTGTGACAGGGATAAAGACCCTCACCCTTCACACTGGCCTCATGGACAAGACAAGTTCTTGCTTTCCCACAGAGTACCTGAGATCTGAGGATACTTTATACTCTGATAGTCACTTCCGGCTACCTTAATTCTGCTAGAGTAAAAACAACTAGTAGCTTCCACCTAACCAGATGACGCATAAAATAATTGCTACTAAATATTTCATTCCATATTTTGGTTAGTAAGGAAGAGAAGGAGGTAAAGAAACTTGAAGTGAAACAACTGGAAGGGACCAAGATGGAGCAGGCAGAGTTCCTTATACACAGGAGACAGCAAGGCTGAAATTCTACCCAGAAGATCAGCAGCCCTGGCCAGGCACGGTGGCTCACGCCTGTAATCCCAGCACTTTGGGAGGCCGAGGCGGGCGGATCATGACATCAAGAGATTGAGACCATCCTGGATAACATGGTGAAACCCCGTCTCTACTAAAAATACAAAAAATAAGCTGGGCGTGGTGGTGCACACCTGTAGTCCCAGCTACTCAGGAGGCTGAGGCAGGAGAATCGCTTGAACCCAGGAGGCAGAGGTTGCAGTGAGCCGAGATCGCATCACTGCACTGCACTCCAGCCTGGACGACAGAGCAAGACTCCATCTCAAAAAAAAAAAAAAAAAAAAAAAAAAAAAAAGATCAGCAGCCCCACTATCACCTTCCTCCAGGGCAAGGCCACCTGTGGAAATGACAGATGTCAAATAATCCCCAAAGGAATTGCTAAGGATGGAGATGTCCCATGGAAACAAACTGCATATTGCCTAACCCTCTCCCGAGGACATGGATATATTGAGATAGTAAATGTTTTGAAGGCTATGCAACTCTGCAAACAACCAAGCATGCACAGAACACAGGCTGTCTGGTGATAACTCCTAGATAAGCACCAATATAGCACCTCAGCCACAGATGGCATGCCACACACAATGAATTCTAAAAGTCTATTTTAACCTGCGATGGCCAACATATTCTCATGTGTGCATGCAATCAATGTAAAAATTATTGAGACGTTTTAGGTGCGACTGGCTGGGGCTGGCATTGTTGGTGGTAAAATAATTTCCCAAGACAGTCGTAGGTAAAGAAAGACAGATTTATTAGAGAAGATATGAAGATAGGTTGCAAGGATGCAACAGGCAGCACAGAAGAGAAGGGGCCATTTGCAAAGAGGCAGAGGTTGGAGGGGATTTTATAGGGTCGTGCTGGAGGCGGCTATGTGCACGTGAGGTGTGCAGATAAGGTCGTGTTCCTGGGACTATGTGCAGACCGAGGTCTTTTGGAACAGAATGTCATGCCAGTGGGTTGTTTGCAGTTAGCCATCTCTCAGAACAATTGTTCTCCCCCAACCAGGGGCCCTTTCCTTGTTGTTGGTTACTTATCTTATTAGGACTCCACATGAGACCTTTTAAATGATTTTTGTTTTTTGTAATGAGTTCCAGAAATCCAGTTCGTACTTTCCACTGATGGCACATCTCAATTTGCGAGTTGAATGTTATCAGATGTACTTGCCCCGTATTTAGATTTTCTTTTTTTTCTTTTCTTTTCTTTTTTTTTTTTTTTTTGAGACAGAGTCTCGCACTGTCGCCCAGGCTGGAGTGCAGTGGCGCCATCTCGGCTCACTGCAAGCTCCGCCTCCCAGGTTCACGCCATTCTCCTGCCTCAGCCTCCTGAGTAGCTGGGATACAGGTGTGTGCCACCACACCCACCTGTATTAATATTATGGCTAATATTTTGTATTTTTAGTAGAGATGGGGTTTCACTGTGTTAGCTAGGATGGTCTCAATCTCCTGACCTCATGATCTGCCCGCCTCGGCCTCCCAAAGTGCTGGGATTACAGGTGTGAGCCACCGTGCCTGGCCATATTTAGATTTTCTAGGGTTCACAGCTGTAAAGTAAGATTCACATGTCCAGGTTGTTCCAAGCATACTTCAAAGCTTTCCACTTCAAGAGTCATGTCAGATGAATAATGAGAATTCCTTTGGGATCTAACAACAAAGGGGTCATTGTGGCCTTAGCAACAGAAGCAGCTGAGAACGGTGAAGGAAAACAGAAGTTTGGGGTGGCCTGAGGAGTTGCTGGAGGTGAGGAGATAGGAGACATAGATGTAGATGATCTTTTCTCAGTGGTTCATAGCTAAGGGGAAGGGATAGGCAGTAGTGGTGAAGGAGGGGGTCCCAGGAAGTTTAGGAGAGGAGTGTCTGTGTAGCTCGGAGAAACTTGAACATGTTTAAATGCCGAAGAAGGGATTCAGTAGAAAAACAGAAGTTAAAGATATGGGGGCATCTGTAATCCCAGCACTTTGGGAGGTTGAGGCGGGCAGATCATGAGGTCAGGAGTTCGAGGCCACTCTGGCCAACATGGCGAAACCCCATCGCTACTAAAAATACCAAAAAATTAGCTGGACATAGAGGTATGTGCCTGTAATCCCAGCTACTTGGGAGGCTGAGGCAAGATAATTGCTTGAACCCGGGCAGTGGAGGTTGCAGTGAGCCCAGATCATCCCACTGTACTCCAGTCTGGGCTATAGAGCGGGACTCCGTCTCAAAAAAAAAAAAAAAACAAAAACAGATGATACAAAGGTTACATTGCAATATTGGAAGCATAAAATTAACAAAAAGGAAGAAGGAATGAGGCTCAGATCACTCTTGGTGGATAAAGGAAACATATTTATGTATTTATGAGACAAGGTCTTGCTCTGTTGCCAAGGCTAGAGTACAGTGGCCTGATTGCCGCTCACTGCAACCTCGACCTCCTGGGCTCAAGCTATCCTCTTCACTCGGCCTCCCTCACTCAGCTGGGACCTCAGACATGTATCATCACCCCCAGCTAACTTTTTAATTTTTAGTAGAGATGGGGGTCCCCCTACGTTGCCCTGACTGGTCTCAAACTCCTGTGTTCAAGTGGCCCTCCCGCCTCAGCCTACCAAAGTGCTGGGATTAGATGTGTGAGCCACCATGCCTGGCAGGAAATCTCTTTAAATACAATTAAAGGAAATTTGGAAACATTCAATGCTTATCAGGGATATTTGCAGATTTGGCAACTAACGTCTTTGGGAACCATCAGGTAAGTTAAGGAGAATTAAATATCTATGAGGAAAAAAGAAAGCTGGAGAAAATTTTGCAACAGGTTTTGGGGAAAATCAAGGAGTAAACATGACAGTGCATACACAGAAAATAAAGTTTCTACGCATGATGGATTCTTCCCAGTTGATGGAGAATATTTTGTATTTATAGTGGCACTAAGACGTCATGTCACGTGATTCTTTTTTCAGCAGTGATCATATGACGGTGGTAGCCATGGCGTCACAGAGAACAGGGACCTTCCAAGTTTGAAGTTTTACAAGGCAGGTGTGATAAGTGGTAAGGAATTTTGGATTAATCTAAATGAATTTTTTTTTTTTTTTTTAGACAGGGTCTCATTCTGTTGCTCAGGCTGGAGTGCAATGATGTGATCTCTGCTCACTGCAACCTCCACCTCCTGGGTTCAAGTGATTCTCCCACCTCAGCCTTCCGAGTAGCTGGGACTACAGGTGTGCGCCACCACACCCAGCTAATTCTTTTTTTTTTTTTTTGGTAGAGATGGGGTTTCACCATGTTGGCCAGCCTGGTCTTGAACTCCTGGCCTCAAGTGATCCACCCACCTCGGCCTCCCAAAGTGCTGAGATTACAGGCGTGGAGCCACCGTGCCCGGCCTCTAAGGGAAATATTGAGGTCGCAGACCACAGAATCCAAGAGTGCTAGGAATCAGAGGAGAGAGAGGAAGGTGAAGATACGGAGGTCCGGAGTAATTCAAATACCCAAATCACAGATACTTGCTCCTCAAGGTATGTTCATCAAGAACAGGTATCTATGGTATGGGCATTTGAATTAAAAAACCTGGAAATCAGAAATTTATAGTGGGTGAATAAGTTTTCCGATTTATTTATTTATTTGTTTTGAGACAGTCTCGCTCTGTTGCCCAGACTGGAGTGCAGTGGTGCGATCTCGGCTCACTGCCACCTCCAGCTCCCGGGTTCAAGCTATTCTCCTGCCTCAGCCTCCCGAGTAGCTGGGATTACAGGTGCCCGCCACCATGCCTAGCTAATTTTTGTATTTTTTGTAGAGATGGGGTTTCGCCATGTTGGCCAGGCTGGTCTTGAACTCCTGACCTCAAGCGATTCGCCTGCCTTGGCCTCCCAAAGTGCTGGGATTACAGATGTAAGCCACTGTGCTGGGTCAGAATTATTTATTTTTGAGCATGGCTGTTTGGGTTGCTGAAAATGTCTGGGGTGTGGGATTAAGGCTCAAAGAGCAGAGCAGTTGATAATTTCATTATTGACTTACAAGCTGCAGGAACTGTGCAAACCAAGAGGTCAATGTGTTAAACAGATGAATAGTCAAGTAATGCATAAGAATGGCAGGATTTGGGCTGGGCACGGTCGCCCATGCCTGTAATCCCAGCACTTTGGGAGGTCGAGGGGGGGTGGATCACTTGAGTTCAGGAGTTCCAGACCAGCCTGGACAATATGGTGAAACCTCGTCTCTACAAAAACCACAAACAGCCAGGCATGGTGATGCACGCCTGTAGTCCCAGCTACGCGGGAGGTTCAGGTGGGTGGATCACTTGAGCCTGGGGAGGTAAAGGCTGCAGTGAGCTGTGATTGCACCACTGCACTCCAGCCTGAGTGACGGAGTGGGACAAAAAAAAAAAAAAAAGGCAAGATTTGAGATTTAGAAAAAGACTGTCATATTTGTCATGAGAGGGAGTATCAGGACTTGAGCATTTAAGAGTGACAAGGGCAGAAAGAGAATAAAATAGTACTCAAACAAGGAGGGGGTTTGCAGGATGATGAAGGAGATTTTGACCTTGAACTTTCTGTGCTTGACTCAAATCTGCCTGATGATGTCCCAGGAAGCAGGTCAGACCTATCCCCAGAGGGAGAGAGGAAGGATGAAAGTCCAGAACAGCTGAGATCCTTGTCCTGAGAAGGCAGGCTTCATTGATCAATTTGACCCCATTTCATGATTTATTTTAATAGTGTAAGAGGAAAAGAAGTGTGATGGCCAAGAGTTCACAGAGGAAGCAACGTGACTGTGTAAACCAATGCAAATCAAAGCCTGGCTTGAGCACCTCAATCCCTTTGAGAATGTCCAGTTACACATTCAAGAGGCCAGTAACGAGAATTACACCCCATCCTGGCAATGAGGTCAGATACCATCAATGGGAGGAGAGCTTGGAGAAGCCTCAGCAGGTCTGCTGGCAGAGGAGACTGCAGGGACTCCAGGCTTACAGCAGTGCAGGAGAACTTTCAAGCACTTTGGATCTTGCCAATACCTTGCAAAAACTTGTCCCTAGTTACACAGGTGGATCTCTGCTGGAGGATCTTGCCAGTGGTCTGGAGCACTCCTGCCCCATGCCCCACCTTGCCTGCTCTTCAGATGCGGTGGAGATAATTCCTGCAGAGGGAGTGGGTATCTCGCAGCTCCTCTGCAAACAATTTCTGGTTACTGAGGAAGATATCAGGAAACAGGAAGGGAAAGTGAAGACAGTCAGAGAGAGACTCGCAATAGCACTGATTGCGGATGGACTCGCTAATGAGGCAGAGAAAGTGAGAGACCAAGAAGGCCGTCCTGAAAAACGCTAAGAAAAAAAGGGAAGATAGTGCAGATGAAATAAAGTGTAATCCTTTATTAACATCTCTTTGCAGTGTCCCCAATGAGGTTTTTTTGCTTTAAGCTCTTGAAACTTTAAAATATGCCAATACTTAAAAAAAAAAAAATTAGGCTGGGTGAGCACCTAAGAGCACCTAAGTAAGTAAGCTCAGAACAGGGTGCGGTGGCTCATGCCTGTAATCCTAGCACTTTGGGAGGCTGAGGCGGGTGATCACTTGTGGCCAGGAGTTCAAGACCAGCCTGGCCAACATGGTGAAACCCCATCTATATTAAAAATACAAAAATTAGCTGGGCATGGTGGCAGGCACCTATAATGCCAGCTACTCGGGAGGCTGAGGCAGGAGAATCGCTTGAACCCAGAGGCAGAGGCTGCAGTGAGCCGAGATTGCACCACTCCACTCCAGCCTGGGTGACAGATTGAGACTCTGTTTCAAAAACAAAACAAAACAAAACAAAAAATTACACTCCTTTGTGTGACACAAGGGAATAAAGACAATAATTTCTTTTTGAGGTGAGAGATTGGGTTTCAGGTGGGCAGGGAAAGGAGATTTTTTCTTTTTCATGTTATACTCTCATTTTTATTTACTATGTATGTATGTATGTAGTCCAGGCTGGAGTGCGGTGGTGCCATCATGACTCACTGCAGGCCAGGTGCGGTGCCTCATGCCTGTAATCCCAGCACTTTGGGAGGCCGAGGTGGGTGGATTGCTTGAGATCAGGAGTTCAAGACCAACCTGGCCAACATGGTGAAACCTGTCTCTACAAAAAATACAAAACTTAGCTGGGTGTGGTGATGTATACCTGTAGTCCCAGCTATTCGGGAGGCTGAGGCAGGGGAATCGCTTGAACCCAGGAGGCAGAGGTTGCAGTGAGCCGAGATCACCCCACTGCACTCCACCCTGGGCAACAGAGCAAGACTCCATCTCACAAAACAACAACAACAACAACAAAAACCAAAAAACAAAACAAACAAAAAACCCCAAAACAAACAAACCAAAAAACCCAAACAAACAAACAAAACCTCACTGCAGTCTTGAACTCTTGGACTCAGGTGATCCTCCTGCCTCAGCCTCCTGAGTAGCTGGGACTACAGGCACATGCCATTACATCTGGCTAATTTTTTCTATTTTTTGCAGAGACAAGGTCTCACTCTGTTGCCCAGGCTGGTTTCAAACTCCTAGACTTAAGCAAACCTCCCACCTCAGCCTCCCAAAATGCTGGGGTTACAGGTGTGGGCCACCATGCCTGGCCAGTATTCTATCATTTTTAACACATCAATCTCAGAAACTGGTAAATCCATCAAACAAAAGCAAATTAATGATAAAGAGGACTGGAATAATTCAATAAGCTTGATCAGGCAAGTAGACAAATAGACTTTAACTCGTATTCCCAACAAGCAGAACGATGGTGCATCGTTAGATTCTTAACACTGAAAAGTCTCTCTCTCTTTTCTTTTTTTGAGACAGGGGTCTTACTCTGTCTCCCAGGCTGGAGTACAGTGGTGCGATCTTGGCTCACTGCAACCTCTGCCTCCTGGGTTCAAGCGATTCTCATGCCTCAGCCTCCCAAGTGGCTGGGATTACAGGTGCCCACCACCACACCCAGCTAATTTTTGTATTTTTAGTAGAGATGAGATTTCATCATGTTGGTCAGGTTGGTCTCGAACTCTTGACCTCTAGTGATTGGCCCACCTCAGCCTCCCAAAGTGCTGGGATTACAGGCGTGAGCCACCACGCTCGGCCTGAAAAGTTTTTCTTGATATTATTATCCCTCAAATTGTGTCGACTTTCCTGATTCAAATTTCAAACACATATAGACTTAGAGAATCAGGGAAAGTCTGGTAGTTCATTAAATGCAACTCTGAATTAATGGGCAATCAAGAACAGAAAAATAACTAGAGTTAGATAGCTTATTTGAGAACGTAGATATAAAAAACTCTTTCCTTAAATATTATTTTGGAATCCACTGGGATATTTCACAAAAATAATAATCAATTCTGATTGGGTAGGCTTTATCCTGTGATGATGAGGACAAAGCACTGAATAATTTTATAATCTTGAGTACTGCCTACTGACTTTAAGATAAGTGAATTAAGTCAGACACAGATAGAAAATGATGCATTGACCTCACTTCTGTGTGGAATCTAAAAAAAGTCATATAGACTGGATGTAGGCTATTGGTATTTTTTTTCAAGCAAACAAAACATTAAAACACATTCTAAGGCTGCACGCAGTGGCTCACACCTGTAATCCCAGCACTTTGGGAGGCTAACGTGGGTAGGTCACCTGAGGTCAGGCATTCAAGACCAGTCTGGCCAACATGGCGAAACCCTGTCTCTACTAAAAATACAAAAATTAGCTGGGTATGGTGGCACCCACCTGTAATCTCAGCTACTCAGGAGGCTGAGGCAGGAGAATCGCTTGAACCTGGGAGGCGGTGGTTGCAGTGAGCTGAGATCGTGCCATTGCACTCCAGCCTGGGCAACAGAGTGAGACTCCATCTCAAAACACAAAAGAAAACAAAACCAAAAAAATCCCCACATTCTAGGACACACATGATTACCACGTGGAAGCACAGAGCAGAAAAGATGAAATTTTAAAATAACAAATTTTTAGGGAAGCTATAAATAATATAGATATTGCACTCTATTTTTTTTTTTTAGAGATGGGGTCTCACTGTGTTGCCCAGACTTGGAGTGCAGTGGTGCAATCATACTGCAGCCTCAACCTCCTGGGCTCAAGGGATCTTCCTGCCTCCGCCTCCCTAGTAGCTGGGACTATAGGTGTGTGCCACCACATCCAGCTATTTTTTTCTTTTAGTAGAGATGGGGGTCTCATTATGTTGCCAAGGCTGGTCTCTAACTCCTGGCCTCAAGCGATCCTCCTACCGTGGTCTCCCAACATGCTGGGATTACAGGTTTGAGCTACTGTGCCTGGCCCATAGAACCATTTCTGACCCGTTTATGTCTTCTTGGTCTACTTCCCATTGTAGAGGACCCGTGAGATGGATAATATGCCACCCAGGGAACACTAATCTGGAAATTCTGGTGCATTTGAGTTTCAGAGAATGAAATAGTGGAAGAGAAACTTGCAACTGCCAGGGTTTCTTGGGGGCAGGGATGTGGGAATATAAAGGAACAGGATGGGTGTGATGGCTGGTATAGGAGTCAAGGGTGGGTGTGTACTGAGTGACAAAGGTGGGAGACCTTACACTGAAGTGGAATGTTGATTTTCCACCATGGCAATTTCTTTTTTCTTTTTTTGAGATGGAGTCTTGCTCTGTCGCCCAGGCTGGAGTGCAATGGCGCGATCTTAGCTCACTGCAACCTCCACCTCTCAGATTCAAGTGATTCTCCTGCCTCAGCCTCCCGAGTAGCTGGGATTACAGGCACCCACCACTAAACCCAGCTAATTTTTTTGTATTTTTAGTGGAGTTGGGTTTCATTATGTTGGTCAGGCTGTTCTTGAACTCCTGACTTCAGGTGATCCACCTGTCTTGGTCTCCCAAAGTGCTGGGATTACAGGTGTGAGCCACCGTGCCCAGCCTCCATGATGGCAATTTCTGTATCAGTGAAACAGGAGGATTCCCTGAGCTCCCTTGCAGGACATGTGACAGGGGTGTGGCTCATCTGTTTGGCTGCTGGGTGCACTCAAACCCCTTATGGGACGGGGAGCACACAGACAGGCAGGTGCAGGAGCCGGGGCCAGTGTCCCTGGGCTCTGGCCCCATGGCAGCATCCACAGGTGGGAGACTGCAACTCCCAAAGCCCAAGTGGCTGTGTGTTACAGTGTGCTCCTTAGCCTTGCTGTCTGTGGATGGCTCAAGTGTTAACCAGCTCAGTGCCCTCTTGGTACCCAAGTCCTTGTCCAGCATCCAGGAAGAATCAGGTCACACATAGACTTGAAGGATGAATGCCAGGGTTTTGTTGAATGGGGGAGGTGGTTCTCAGTGGGATGGATGGGGAGCTAGAAGGGGGATGGAGTGGGAAGATGATCTTCCCCTGGAGTTTGGCTGTCCAGTGGCTAGTCTCCTCTCTGACTGTCCCCAGTTGAACTCCTTTCGGCATTCAGATGCTCCTTCTCTTCTCTCTGCTGTGTCGTTCTGCCATTCTTCTGCTTGTGGAGCCTGGGGTTTGAGGTTTATATGGGTATAGGATAGGGGAGCATGGTGGGCCAAAAGGTGACTTTGGGGCATGAAAACAGGATTGTCTGTTCCCATTTAGGGCCACAGGTCTCCAGGCTTGAGGGTGGGGCCTTTGCTGGGGAACCTCCCTCTTCTACCCAGTATTTCCCTGTCTCCTGTCCATATCATCAGTAATGTAGTTTGGATATGTGTCCCCACCAAATCTGATGTTGAATTGTAATCCCCAGTGTTGGAGGTGGAGCCTGGTAGGCGGTGCTTGGGTCATAGGGGCAGATCCTTCATGGTTTGATGCTGCCTTTGCAACAGGGAGTCTGTACTTGTGAGATCTGGTTAAGTGTGTGGCACCTTTGCTCCCCCCAACTCTCCCTTGCTCCTGCTCTGGCCATGTGACATGCTGGCCCTCTCTTGTGACATGCTGGCCCTCCCTTGGCCTTCACCATGATTGGAAGCTTCCTGAGACCTCTCCAGAAGCTGATCAGATGCTGACATCATGCTTCCTGTACAGCCTGCAGAACTGTGAGCCAATTAAACCTCTTTTCTTTAAAAATTACCCAGTCTCAGGTATTTCTTTTTTCTTTGTTTTTTTTTTTTTTTTTTTTTTTTTTTTTTTTGAGACAGGATCTCACTCTGTCATTCAGGGTGGAGTGCAGTGGTACAATCACAGTTCACTGCAGCCTCAACCTCCCAGGCTCAGGTGATACTCCCACCTCTGCCTCCTGGGTAGCTGGGACTACAGGCACGCACCACCATGCCTGGCTATTTTTAAAAATCTTTGTAGAGACAGCATTTTGCCATGTTTCCCAGGCTGGTCTCGAGCTCTTGGACTCAAGCAACCTGCCTGCCTAGGCCTCCCATAGTGCTAGGATTACAGGCGTGAGCCACCGAGCCTGGCCAGGTATTTTTTTTTTTTCTCTTGTTCTTTTTTTGAGACAGAGTCTCGCTCTGTCACTCAGGCTGGAGTGCAGTGGCGTGATCTTGGCTCACTGCAACCTCTGCTTCCTGGGTTCAAGTGATTCTCCTGTCTCAGCCTCCCAAGTAGCTGGCATTACAGGCGTGGACCACCATGCCTGGCTAATTATTGTATTTTTAGTAGAGACAGGGTTTCACCAAGTTGGCCAGGCTCCGGTCTTGAACTCCTGACCTCAAGTGATCCACCCGCCTGGGCCTCCCAAAGTGCTGGGATTATAGGTGTGAGCCACTGCGCCCGGCCAGGTATTTCTTTATCACAGTGCAAGAACAGCCTAATACAATCATTTTCACCAATTCTGGTGTTCCCAAGGGATGACATGGTGCGAAACCACAACACACAACTGAGAGTTGCCTTTGGGACTTCACGAAGGTGGAAGACTGTTCTCTTAGTCCAACATGAACCAGTCAGGGGTCACGTCAAGGAAGGCTCAGAGACTGTGTCCGACCAATATGGTTTATTTCTGCCCCAGCCAAGCTTCTTTGGACCCTGGCTGGGGGAAAGGCACCCCAGGCACCGGCAAGTTCCAGTCATTGCAGATCCTCCAGGTCTAGGTGTGACTGGTAGTAGCCTGGGCACTGTTGCTGGACGTTGTATTCTCCTTCCTTCTTCCGCCGGCGGGTGGTCACCTATGAGGGTGAGGAGGAGGCGTGAGAATGGACTGGTCAGCCGTCCAGGGAGAGGAGACCACAGGGGTGAGAATATGGCCAAAGCCAGAGGCCTTATGCTTCCTCTGTCTCCCTTCATTGTTTCATTTAATTTCTCCCTCAGTTCTTTTCCTCTTTTCACCACTTTCTTTTCTTCTGTCTCCTTGTTTCACTCTCGGTTTAAAAAAATTTTTCCCCCTCCGATATCCCCTTCATTTCTCTCTCCTTTTGCCTCTGAATTTCTTTATCAATATATCACATATCTACCAATGATCTATTTATCTATCATCTAGCTATCAATATTTATCAACCTGTCAATCAATTATCTACCAATCAATAACCATCAATTATCTCTCACCTCTCAATCATCTCCTATTTATAATCCATCAATCATCTATCAATCACCTGTCATCCATCAATCATGTATTTATCATCTACTTATCAATATCTATCAACTATCTGTTACCTATCAATTTATTATCTACCAATTATCTATCAAAATAATCTATTTATCATCTACCTATCAGCTATCCACCAATCATCTGTCAACTATCAATCATCTATCGCCTGTCTTCTGTCTAAATACCATTTCTCTCTCATCTCATTCTCAGTCTCTTTCTCTCTGGCTTTTGGTCCTGATCTCAGCCCCCTCTCTCCCTCCCTTCCTCCTCTACATCTGTCCAGCTTAACTGAGGCATAACTGACATAAAATAAACTGCACACATTTAAAGTGAATGTTTTGATAAGTTCTGATCATAACTTATTGAATCGTCACCACAATCAACATAAGGAACATCCATCCATCATCCCCAAAACTTTCGTCCTGGCCAGGCATGGTGGCTCACTCCTGTAATCCCAGCACTTTGGGAGGCCAAGGCGGGTGGATCACCTGAGGTCAGGAGTTCGAGACCAGCCTGGCCAACATGGTAAAACCCCGTCTCTACTAAAAATACAAAAATTAGCTGAGTGTGGTGGTGCGCATGTGTAATCCCAGCTACTTGGGAGGCTGGGGCAGGAAAAACGCTTGAACCCGAGAGGCAGAGGTTGCAATGAGCTGAGATCGTGCCATTGCACTCCAGCTTGGGCGATAGACTAAGACTCTGTCTCAAGAAAAAACAAAAAAAAAACAACAAAAAAACTTTCTTCCTGCTCTTTTACAATTCCTTTTTCCCTGCCACTGCAAACACATTTTCATTCCCAGGCAACCGCTGATCTGATTCCTGTCCTTACAGATTAGTTTGTATTTTCTAGAATTTGTCTATTAAGGGAATCATATGGCATGTACTCTTTTCTTCATCTGGATTCTTTCACTAGGCATAACTATTTTGCAATTTATACATGTTGCTGTATAATTTATTAATGTATTAATAATTCCTTTTTGTTGCTGAATAATATTCCATTGTCAGGATATATTTGTTAATGGACATTAGGGTTGTTTTCAGAGTTTGGCTATTACAAACAAAGCTGTTATGAACATTTACTTGTGTACAAGTCTTCATATAGACATATGTTTTTATTTCTCTTAGATAAATTACTAGTAGTGGGATGGTAGGGTCTTACGGTAGGTGTGTGTAATTTTCAAAGAAATGGCCAAGCTATTTTCCACTTTCACTTTATGAGAGTTCCAGTTCTGTCACATTTTCACCAACACTTGTTATAGTCAATCTTTTCAATTTTATCCATTCTTGTGAAAAGTGGCCTCTCATTGTGACTTCCGTGTACATTTCCCTAACGACTAATTTTGTTACATTTTTCCCTCTTACATTATTTTATTTACACTCTTTGCAATCACTTTTTCTCTCAATATCTTGTAATCAGCATATAGGTTGTGAAGTTTTTGAGATCTGCATAACATAGTAACTATAGTTAATAATAATGTAGATTTCAAAATTGCTAAGAGTATAGGTTGCCAATGTTCACACCACAAAGAAATAATAAGTATGAGAGGTGAGGGACATATTAATTAGCTTGATTGAGTCATTCCATAATTGTACATATACCAAAGCATCACATTGTATCCCCTAAATATATGCATTCATTATTTGTCAATTAATTAAAAATAAAATTATAAAAAGAAAATAGGAAAGCCACTCCGTGAACTGGGAGAAAATATTTGCAAAACATATATCCAGCAAAGGACTTGTGTATAGTATAGTATGGTTTTATAATATATTAAGAACTCTTACAACCCAATTGTTAAGAAGACAAGCAACCCTTCCTTGCTCACCAGGACACCGCAGATCAGGCATGTGATGACTCCCAGGAGTCCTGCCAAGCCGATGAGGATGACAGCCCAGAAGGGAAGGTCTGGGGAGACAAGGGCTGGGGTGAGCCACCTCCTGCCACGTCCCAGGGCTCCTTCTTGGACCCTATGTGGCCTGAGGATGGGCACAGCCCTGGGGAAGAGAGCTTAGTGGCTCAACACCTCATGCCTCTGATGCCCCCAAAAACTGGGCCCCCAGAAAGCCAGGATCCCTGCTATCCCTTTACTATGCCTCAATAGTCTTTGCCATGGGTTGGCAATTTTGATCCTCATCCAAGACTCTGTGTGCCTGGTGCTCTTGGACAAGGCAAAGCACCATCAGGCTACCCCCTCCCTACCCTGGGCTGGGGCTTCTTTGAGACTTACCAGAATTCCCAGTTAAGGGCTCATTTCTGTTGGGAGAATACCCTAGAAATGAAAGAAATGGAGGGTGCATGTGAGTGTGTCTTTTTTTTTTTTTTTTTCTGGAGATGGAGTCTTGCTCTGTTGCCCAGGCTAGAGTGCAGTGGCGTGATCTTGGCTCACTGCAACCTCTGCTTCCCGGGTTCAAGCAATTCTCCTGCTTCAGCCTCCCAAGTAGCTGAGATTACAGGTGCCCGCCAAAATGCCTGGCTAATTTTTGTATGTAGTGATGGAGTTTTACCATGTTGGCCAGGCTGGTCTTGAACTCCTGACCTCATGATCCACCCACCTCGGTCTCCCAAAGTGCTGGGATTACAGGCGTGAGCCACCGCGCCCGGCCAAGTGTGTCTTATTCTTTTAAATACAATTTTACAAGCGTACAAAAAAGCAGAGAGAAGAGTATAATAAATATGCATCACCTAGATTTAGTGGTTTATATTTCCTCCAACTAAAACATATACATCCAATTTATGATTTATTGACATTTCAGTGAAAGTAAATGTTTTCACTGAAGTTTTAGAGGCCAGTAGACACCATGACATCTCACCCCAAATATTTCAATTTGTATCTCTAAAAAAATGACACATGGCTACATAAGCCCAAAGCCATTATTCCACCACAAGAGTGTCATAAGTTAAATTCATGCCTCTGGGCATGGTGGACCTAAATTGGGCTGGGCCCAAGGGCAGTGGTGGAGAGAATGGATCATCGCAGTTGGAAACTGATGGGACCTCTCTAAGTTTTAAAATTTTCACCCAAAAGGTTTTTCTTCTGCCTAAAAACACATTTAAGCTCTCCTTCACTTGGTGGTTTTATCGTCATCTTTTAGAATTCACCTTCAATGTCATTTCCTCCAGGAAGCCTTCCCTGATGACCACACCCATGTATGAATAGGTTCACATCAAATAATTTATAATTGACAACTGCCTGTTCTTGTTATTCCTCACGACAGCATAAACTCCATGAAGACAGGGATGTAAAGCCATCATCAGGCATGGCGAGAAGGGTTACTGGTTCCTCTACTTCTACAACCCTGTTATAGCCAACTTTTTTTTTTTCTCAAGATAGAGTCTCACTCTGTCACCCAGGCTGGAGTGCAATGATGTGATCTCGTCTCACTGCAACCTCCGCCTCCTGGGTTCAAGTGATTCTCCTGCCTCAGCTTCCTGAGTAGCTGGGATTACAGGCGCACCACCATGCCTGGGTAATTTTTTGTATTTTTAGTAGAGGCAGGGTTTTACCATGTTGGCCAGGCTGGTTTTTAACTCCTGACCTCGTGATCCGCCTGCCTCGGCCTCCCAAAGTGCTGGGATTACAGGTGTGAGCCACTGCGCCCAGCCCATAGCCAGCTTCTTAAAGATGTAGAAGACATACCAATGGCTAACAAGCATATGAAAAAATGCTCGACATTACTAATAATCAGAGAAATACAGATTAAAACCATGATGAGATACCACCTTACGCCAGTCAGAATGGCTGTTACTAAAAAGACAAAAAATAACAGATGTTAAAAAGGATGCAAGAAAAGTGAACCGTTACACACTGTTGGTGGGAATGTAATTTAGTATAATCTCTATGAAAAACGTGGAGATTTCTCAAATAACTAAAAATGAAACTACCATTTGATCCAGGAATCCCACGACTGGGTATCTACACAAAGGAAAATAAATAATTTTGTCAAAAAGACACCTGAACCTGTGTGTTTATCACAAAACTATTCACAATAGCAAAGATATGGAATCAACCTAAGTGCCCATCAATGGAGGACTGTATAAAGAAAATGTGATCTCTCTCTCTCTCTACACACACACACACACACACACACACAATGCAATACCACCCAGGCATAAAAAAGAATGAAATCATGTCTTTTGCAGCAACATGGATGCAAGTGAAGGTCATTATCTTAAGTCAAACAACTCAGATACAGGAAGTCAAATAGCACATGTATTTGACTAAATAATGCATAGACATGTCAATGCTAAATAATGCATAGGCATGGACATAGAGAGTGGAATAATAGACAGTGGAAACTTGGAAGGGTTGGGGAGTGGAGGAGAGTGGATGATGAGAAATTACTCAATGGGTACAATGTACATTATTCAGGTAATAGATACCCTAAAAGCCCAGACTTCCCCACTGGGCTATAAATCCATGCAACAAAATTGTACTTGTGCCCCTTAAATATATACAAATAATAATTTTAAAAAGTAGTGTGCAATATGGAGCAGCCACAAGTGGCTTTTTAAATTAAAATTAAATAAAATTAAAACTTCGGTATCTCAGTTACATTAACCACACTTCAAGCTTAGTAATCACACATGGCTTTGTGCTGAATAGCACAGATAGAAACATTTTCTATCACTGCAGAAAGTTCTATTGGATGGTACTGATTCAAGGCAAGGTTTGGCAAACTACAGCGATGCTGGGTCCATGGCCTGTTTTTAGAAAGCTTGTGAGCTGACAACAATTTTAATTAAAAAAAAAATTGGGGCTGGGTGTGGTGGCTCACGCCTGTAATCCCAGCACTTTGGGAGGCCCAGGTGGGCAGATCACGAGGTCAGGAGATCGAGACCATCCTGGTCAACATGGTGAAACCCTGTTTCTACTAAAAATACAAAAAAAATTAGCCAGACATGGTGGCAGGCGCCTGTAGTCCCAGCTACTCAGGAGGCTGAGGCAGGAAAATGGCATGAACCCAGGAGGCGGAGCTTGCAGTGGGCGGAGATCGTGCCACTGCACTCCAGCCTGGGTGACAGAGCGAGACTCTGTCTCAAAAAAAAAGAAAAAATAAAAACAAATAAAAAACAAAAACAAAACAAAACAATAACAACAAACAAACAACAAACAAAATTGGTAAAACAAGAAAAAGAAAAACCTGTGACAGGCATGTGAAAGGCTTGTTGATTCTGAAGGATCAACAGTGCTCTCTTGCACAACAATAATTCGGAATCAAGGACAGTGCACACAGGCATTGGAAGGTCCCGTCTAAAACGTTATTCGCATTTGACTTGAAAAGAACCTTGTATGAAATCTAGTTATTCCTTCTGCAAATATGACTTGAGTGTTTATTATGTGCCAGGCAGAATATGGGGTTCTTGGAATATAGTGGTGAAAGAGCAAACAGTTACTCTCTGTTATATTCCTGATACATGGTACAATGTATATAACTATTCTTTGAATGGGTAAAATTGGATATGCAAAGTTGAGCCACCTTGAAGCCATCTCTGGAGTTGGAAAATAGGTCCATCCTACCACATTTGTTGAGGATGAATCACATACAACTTGAAACTGGAAGCCCTCATTGACCTGCTGAGGCAGGAGGATCACTTGTGGCCAGGAATTAGAGACCAGTCTGGGCAACATAGTGAGACCCTGTCTCTACAAAAAATTTAGAAATTAGCAAGGCGTGGTGACACGTGCCTGTAGTTCCAGGTACTCAGGAGGCTGAGGTGGGAGGATCGCTTGAGCCCAGGAGTTCAAGACTGCAGTGAGCTATGATTGCACCACTGTACTCCATTCTGGTTAACAGAGCGAGACCCTGCCTCTAAAAGAAAAAAACAAACACAAAAAACCAGAACCAGCTGCAGTGGTGCCTGCCTGCCTGTAATCCCAGCACTTTGGGAGGCTGAAGCAGGTGGCATGCTTGAGCTCAGGAGTTCAAGACCAGCCTGGGCAATGTTGCAAAACCCCATCTCTAGAAAAAATACAAAAATTATCCGGGTGTGGTGGCGCATGGCTGTAGTCCCAGTTACTTGGGAGGCTGAAGTGGGTGGATTGCTTGAGTCCAGGGGTTGAGGTTGCAGTGAGCTGAGATCATGTCACTGCACTCCAGCCTAGGTGACAGAGTGAGACCCTGTCTCAAAAACAAACAAACAACACAACAACAATAACTAATCAGGGTAATTGTTTAACACTGCAGCTGCCTGGGGGTGGAGGAGCAATACCATCTAGGGCAGGCAAGATGGGAACCAAAAACCAAGTGGCTTGCTAAGTACAGAGAGATAAGAAGTCCAGAAAGGAGATGTGACTAGCCTGAGGTCACAGAGCTGGCCAGAAGAGGGCAAATGCCTCCCATATCCCTCGGGCGTCCTTTTCTTTCCTTCAATGATGGGTAAAGCTTAGGAGAACTAAGCCACTTTCTCCCAGTCTGAGAAAGCTCGATGACGAATCAACCCCAAGCCTTCAGATTCCCAGGGAAGGACCCAGGTGAGGAAGTGGGAGCTTCCACCTCAGTCCCAATGACCCAGGGAGCTTTACCATCCACAAGGACACTGCTCCTGTCCAGGGTGAAGTTCTGCAGCTGGGTACCATTCCGGGTCATCCGCAGAAATTCCTCATAGATGGCAACTCTGTCTACTCTCCGAGCCAGTGGCGAGAAGTTACACAGGGAGTCCACCCCGGTGTGGTGCCTGTTGGGGACAGACCTGGAAGGGGACAGGGATAAGCAAAGATATCTGCAATTTTATCATGATTCTAGGCTTTCTCCTTCTAGGCTCTTCCTGCAGAAACTTTCTGCAATGATGTAAACATTCTATGTCGGCCGGGCACAGTGGCTCACGCCTGTAATCCCAGCACTTTGGGAGGCCCAGGCAGGCGGATCATGAGGTCAGATCGAGACCATCCATACAAATCACGAGGTCAGGAGATTGAGACCATCCATACAAATATTAGCTGGGTGTGGTGGCACGTGCCTGTAATCCCAGCTACTTGGGAGGCTGAGGCAGGAGAATCACTTGAATCGGGGAGTAGAGATTGCAGTGAGACGAGATCACGCCACTGCACTCTAGCCTGGTGACAGAGCGAGACTCCATCTCAAAAACAAAACAAAAAACAAAAAAAAAATTCTACATCTGCACTACACAATGCAGCCATTAGTAGCTTCATGTTGTTATTAAATGCTTAAAATGCAGCTAGCGTGGGAGAAGAACTGAATTTCTAATTTTATTCCACTTAATTCATTTAAAAATAGCCACAGGGAGGTCAGGCACAGTGGCTCATGCCTGTTATCCCAGCACTTTGGGAGGCCAAGGCGGGTGGATCACTTGAGATCAGGAGTTCGAGACCAGCCTGGCCAACACAGTGAAACCCCATCTCTACTAAAAACACAAAAATTAGCCGGTGTGGTGGTGCACATCCATAATCCCAGCTACTTGGGAGGCTGAGGCAGGAGAATCGCTTGAACCTGGGAAGCGGAGGTTGCAGTGAGCTGAGATTGCGCCACTGCACTCCAGCCTGGGCAACAGAGGGAGACTCCGTCTCAAATAAATAAATAAATAAATAAATAAATAAATAAATAAAGTAATAGCCACAGGGAGAACATTTCTGGAATGTTGGGGTAACAACTTCTGAATACCCATAAAATCAATGAGAACATTGGCCAAAATAGTCCAAATCAATTTTTCCAGAAGTCTAGAAGTGAACCAAAGGCTTGCAAAAATTCGAGGGGTGTTTAGTTAAGGAAAGTGTTAAATCTCAGTAAAAAGAGCAAGCTTTGTGGCATTTTAACTTGCATTATTTCCACAGTGCTCTTTCAAGATCCTCAGTATTTTATTATTATTATTATTTGTTTTTTTTTTTTTGAGACAGGCTTTGGCTCTGTTGCCCAGGCTAGAGTGCATGGCACAATGTCAGCTCACTGCAACCTCTGCCTCCTGGGCTCAAGCCATCCTCCCACCTCAGCCTCCTAAGTAACTGGGACTACAGCACATGCCACTATGCTCAGCTGATTTTTGTATTTTTTGTAGAGATGGGTTTTCACCATATTGCCCAGGCTGGTCTCAAACTCCTGAGCTCAAGCGATCTACCCACCTTGGCCTCCCAAAGGGCTGGGATTACAGTCGCAAGCCACTGCATCCAGCAAGATCCTCGGTAACTTTGAAAACTGGCAGCCTCAGAATCATGATATCTGTGAAAACCAGCTGCCTAGCAGTCAAAATAGCTGTAGAGTTCTCCAGACATCAATCTGCAGAACATAGTCACTATTTGATCTGTTTGGCAGCTCCTTGAAAAAGCCCTATTCTCAGGGCTTATCTTTATTTGTTCTGATTCAGAATTTGTTTAGTGAGGAAAGCCTGTTCTCAAGGCAGTTGTCAAAAAAAAAAAATCATTGGTACCCCCCACCATTGGAAATGATACCTCTCATTGAAAAGCACAGTTAGGCTGCTAGATTCTAAGTAATCTGGTTTTAGTCCCCTCCTTCCCCCGTCTTCCATGGGTCCTGATTTCAGTAGCTGATGTCTTAATGTAGTAGATTCTACACTCTAGACTCCATGGCCTCAGCACCAGGTACCTTTATGTCTGCTGAGATTTACACCAGCTCTCTTGAGTGTTGAAGCCAGTTGGGCTCCAGCTTTAGGAAAAAGCTAGTTTTTAGTTAACAGCTCTCTATTTCTAGGGCTCTCTTCCATCAAAGCTATGGCTTGGGGACACTTCTATTTAAAGGACAGCAGAAGTTCCTAGAGTCATTAGGTCCTGAGTTAGAACTTACCTGAATGTTGAAACTTGACAGTCAGAAAAATAACTCTTGATGCTGCTGTTTCGGAAGAGTTGGTTGAGCTGAAAGACAGGGCGATGTTTCTTAGGTCAGAATCCTGGCCCCAGTAGCATCAGAGAATTTTCAGCCACTGAGCACACTTCTCCGTCTATTTTGCTTCTTGTCATGACAACCACTTGCCCAGGTATGTATATCAAAGGACATGCTCTTCTAGGGTATGACTTAGCTGTGTGACCTTGGGTCAGCTACTGAACCTCTCTGTGCTTGTGTATTAAATGGGAATAAGAACCTGTCTTTGTGGATTGTTATAAAAAGTCACCCTGTGGCTACCCAGTATGCATAAGTCAGTTTCTGCATGGCAACAGAGTGGACATACCACCCCCTTCTCACCGCATCCTCAATATTCCTTTTGTTCCTCTGGTAATTGGTGGTGCCTGGCTGGGCTTTGTCCTGGGAATATGGTAGGTTGGTGATGGTGAAATTCAGGTAGAAGTGCTGGGTGCTGGAGCTGCTTGTTGGTTGATAAACTGATGACTCCATTTCTAGAATTAAAAAAAAAGTATGTAAAAATCCACTATCAAGGCAGGGTTTTAAGAAAGAGATGATTCCAGCTAGCTTACTTATTCCTGACAGTGTGAGCTGAGCTAGGCTTTTCTTTTTTTCTTTTCTTTTTTTTTTTTTTTTTTTTTGGCAGGGGGGTCATTTGTTTTGTTTTTTGAGACAGTTTCACTCTCTTTGCCCAGGCTGGAGTGTAATGGCGTGATCTTGGCTCACCACAACCTCCACCTCCTGGGTGCAAGCCATTCTCCTGCCTCAGCCTCCCGAGTAGCGGGATTACAGGCATGCGCCACCCTGCCTGGCTAACTTTTTTTTTTTTTTGTATTTTTAATAGAGACAGGGTTTCTCCATGTTGGTCAGACTGGTCTCGAACCCCCGACCTCAGGTGATCCACCCGCCTTGGCCTCCCAAAGTGCTGGGATTACAGGTGTGAGCCACCGCGCCTGGCTGAGCTAGGATTTTAAAGGTGGGATGGAGGGTTTTAGGTAACAGCTCTATATTGGATGGAGGATCTTCCTCCATCCATCTGTCCAGCTTGTATCCATCCACCCATCTACCTGTTCAATTCTCTTTCTACCAAGCATTGTAAGAATTCTCTACAACATGGGGGAAAAGAGACTGGGTTTCTCTGGGGGTGTAGTCAGCAATTGCAGGTGCTGAGAAACCCAGAGTCTTCTAACTAATGATCATTGTTCCTAAAGGGTCTTCTTGCCTTTGCTCTTCTCTCCCCCCACCCTCCATTCTGCACACAGCACCCAGAGGATGAGCAGAATTCATTTCATTTTCTTTCTAAAGCAGAACTCATGAGTGTGTCATGTTCCTCCCCAAGCCATTCCAGTGCCCAACAAAGTCTCTGCCCACATCTTTGGCTTCAACTGTCACCTCTCCAGTATCAAAGTGGATGCTCCAGCTACACCAATCTTCTTAAACTTGCCCCAAAATGCCACTTTTTTTTTTTTTGAAATGCAGTTTTGCTCTTTTTGCCCAGGCTTGAGTGCAATGGCACAATCTCGGCTCACTGCAACCTCCGCCTCCCGAGTTCAAGCAGTTCTCCTCTCTCAGCCTCCCAAGTGGCTGGGATTACAGGCACGCACCACCATGCCTGGCTAATTTTTGTATTTTTAGCAGAGATGGGGTTTCATCATATTGGTCAGGCTGGTCTTGAACTCCTGACCTCAGGTGATCCACCCATCTCAGCCTCTGAAAGTGCTGGGACTACAGGCGTGAGCCACCGCACCCGGCCAGATGCCATATTCTTTCTATCTTCTAGGTTATAGATGCATGGAGCACAATTCTCCATCTATTACCCCTGGCTAGGTCCCATTCTCTGTCAGATCTCAGCTTCTTCACCCCTTCCTACATAAAACTTTCCAAGACAAGGTTGTGTGTTCCTCCTTGGGGCTCCCACAGGCCCCTGAAATTCCCTTATCATAGCAATGATCACACTGTGTTATCAGTACGTGTTTACTTCCATTGTTTATTTATTTTTTATTTTTATTTATTTATTTATTTTTGAGACAGAGTCTCCATCTGTCGCCCAGGCTGGAGTGCAGTGGCGCGATCTCGGCTCACTGCAAGCTCTGCCTCCCGGGTTCACGCCATTCTCCTGCCTCAGCCTCCCGAGTAGCTGCGACTACAGGTGGCCACCACCATGCCTGGCTAATTTTTTTTGTATTTTTAGTAGAGACAGGGTTTCACCGTGTTAGCCAGGATGGTCTCAATCTCCTGACCTCGTGATCTGCCTGCCTGGGCCTCCCAAAGTACTGGTATTACAGGCGTGAGCCACCATGCCCGGCCTACTTCCATTGTTTATTGAATGAATGAATTATTCATTTACTGATTCATTCATTTAATTGATCATTTTAATTGATCAATTAATCAATTAAATCAATTCTCAATTACATCAATTAATCAATTATGTACTGAATCATTTATTATTCATTAATTAAATGAATGAATCAATAAATTGATTCAAAATAAATGATCTATTGATTCATTCATTCAACACAATTCTTTTTACATGTAAAAATAGCTATTCTCTTAGATGCAATGGCTGGTGTTCTGTTCCTGCCTCGTTGGATGATCTACTGCCAGAGGTCACCTACATGGGTCTCCAGAAAGCCTCCCTTTCCCTCTCTAGAGCCTCCACCAATTCCACTGGTACCGAGAAGCCCCATCTTTCCTCATAACCCCACCTCTTCCAGTTAGGAAACCAGCCACCCCACCTTGTACCTGTCACATGGATGTCCACCAACTGGTAGGTGGAGCCCAGCCAATGGAATGAGGCATTCAGGGTCTTATCTAGAAAGACTTGCTCCACCAGGCTGGGGTCCAAATTGGAGGAGAACAATGCCTTGACAGTGACCAACACGGAGTCCATCCTAGGGACAGAGACCACAGGAATTCAGCCAGTACTCAGCATCAGCAGGGTCATCGGTTGCTGTCTTTAAAGAGCAAAAGATCTAGAGGCACCCACCCTCAGTCTAGAGAAGGGTTCTGATCAAAATGGGAGGCCTTCGGCTGGATGCAGTGGCCCAAGCCTGTAATCTCAGCACTTTGGGAGGCCGAGGCAGGCAAATTGCCTGAGGTCAGGAGTTCGAGACCAGCCTGACCAACATGGCAAAACCCTGTCTCTAATAAAAATACAAAACTTCACCGGGTGTGGTGGCGCATGCCTGTAGTCCCTGCTACATGGGGGGCTGAGGCAGGAGAATTGCTTGAACCCAGGAGGCAGTTGTAGTGAGCCGAGATCATACCACTGCACTCCAGCCTGAGCAACAGAGCATGACTCCATCTCAAAAAAAAAAAAAAAAAAAATGCTTCCAGGAATTACGTCTAGAAGCAATAACAGTAACAATAATCGATATTTATTGAACACTTTTTATAGATCAAGACCACTAAGAAGTGACTTATGCATTCTTCATCATCACTCTGGTGGAAGGTATTGTTAAAATTATCCCAATTTCTCCCACATTTTCCCTCTTGATTTCTACTTTTTATTATTTTATTTTATTTTTTGAGATAGAGTCTCGCTCTGTCACCCAGGCTGGAGTACAGCCTCCTAGGCTCAGGCGATCCTCCCACCTCAGCTTCCTGAGTGGCTGGGACTACAGGTGTGTGCCACCATGCCTGGCTAATTTTTGTATTTTTTGTAGAGACTAGGACTCCCTATGTTGCCCTCGCTGGTCTTGAACTTCTGGGCTCAAGAGATCCACCTGCCCTGGCCTCCCAAAGTGCTGGGATTACAGGCATGAGCCACTGTGCCCAGCCTACTTTTGATTTTATTTGTTTTTAATTTTTTGGGGTACATAGTAGGTGTTTTTATATTTATGGGGTATATGAGATGTTTTGATACAAGCATGTAATGCATAATAATCATCAGGGTAAATGGGGTATCCATCCCCTCAAGCATATATCCTTTGTGTTGCAAACAATCCAAGCATACACCTTTAGTTATATTTTAAAATGTACAGTGAAGTTATTTTTGACTACAGTCACCCTGTTGTGCTAGCAAATACTAGGTCTTATTCATTCTTTGCATTTTTTTGTTCCAATTAACCTTCTCCATATTCCCAGCTGAAATACAAAAATCTTTGAAGTTTAGAAATATACAAAGTCAGCCCTGTGTCCTGTGACCCTCCTCTTCCCAAGTATAGGTATCTTCATTCCTTCATCCAGTCATCAGAGACCTGGGTTCAAATCCCAACTTTGACAGTTCTTGGGAAGTTCACTTTTCTGACCCTCAGTTTTCCCATCTGCACAATAGGGATGATTTTTGCACTCAACTCATAGATTCTGTTGTGAGAATTAAATGAGAGGAGGCTGGTTGATGTTAAATATTATTATTGGGCTAATATTTTGAGTTCTACATCAAAAAGTTATATTTTCCCAAGTGTCCAGAAAAAAAAGAAGGTGTATGCTGGGAGTTGGTGGCCCCATGAGGTTAATCCTCACTCCCTACCTTGAGGATTTATGGGAGGAGATGGTAGGATTAGCTAGACAGGGATGTAGGGGAGAATGGGTACCCCACTGGGGACGTCTAGCTCAAGGGTGCTCAGAGACACAGCCACAAGCTTGGTCACTGCTTATGACCTTCAGAACTTACGTCAAGTTGGTGACCAGGCAGAAGCGGAATGTGTCATGTAGTTGACTGCCTTTGTAGAGTGTGGTGACCTAGAAAGATGGGTAGGGAGAGTGGGTGAGATGGAGGCCTCTTGGGGGTGGAGGGGCCGCTGATGCCAGTGGAAAAAAACACAGGACTTGGAGCAAAGGGGACCAGAGTTCAAATCCTAACTCTGTTCCTAAAGCACTGTATGACCCTAGGCACACCACGCCCCTTTCTGAGCCTCAGTTTGCCCATCTGTGAAATGGGAATGGTAGTCAAGAGAGTACTTTTGGAAACTGAGAGAGAACCCAGAATACATAGTGAAGTGAAGCATTTAAAGTGATCACTTAACAGAGAAATCAGGTAGAAGAGGGAGAGAAGCACACAGGACAGAGAAGACGGGAGGGGTGAGAGATGCCCCACCTTGTCCTGGATGTCCCTCAGCAGGGTGATGTACTCTGAGGATGTGGGGTCTGGATTACTGAGGTTCCAGTTGACAATGTGGAAATTTATCTGGTACTCGCCCCGGATTGATAAATTCTGGGGTGCATAGCCTGGAGCCACAGAGAAGAAGAAAAGGCAACATATGGTGGGGAAATGTTGATCACAAAATGCAGAGCCAAAGTTGCCCAGCAGTCCCCTGCCTACTGTCAGAATCAATTTCAGGTCCACACGCTGGGCATTGCAGGAGCTCTTAGACAGAAAGTTGCCCCAAAGAGAGGGAAAAATGGAATATTACACAGATTCTTCTGAGCTGAGCTTTCCTGCATGTGCTATGCAGTTCCCACTTCTAGGAATGCATCCTTTTCATTTCCTGCAAAACTCCTGCTCACGCTTCAAGAGCCCAGTGAGAGGGAGCTCCAGGACAGCAGAGGCCCAAGTCTGTCTTATTCATTATTGTGTCCCGGCACAGGGCCGGGTATATAACACCCTCCTCCAGGAAGCCCTCCTTAATTTACTCCTCCTCTCAGCTCCCATAGTACCCTGTTAATAACAGCAGTGGGGTCTTTGTTGTGCCCGTAATTTGTTGTTAACTTGAGTATGAGTTTTTCAGAGACAGAAAAATGTGTCTTCTATCTCCAGACCCAGTACAAGGCTTGGGGCAGAACAGCCACCCATATATGTTTGCTGAATGAATGAATTAATGAATGTGAGTTACAGCAGAGACACAAATCTTTAATTTGCTCACTCATTCAATGATTCTTTCCATACTATGATGTGCTGATGTACTGCGAACCGAGGGTACAGTGGCACTCATAATAGACCGTAATTTTGTTGAGTTCACAGGGTAAGGGGGAATCAGATAATTTAACAAGTAATTACAGTAAAGTGTGATAAATGTCAGCCTTGTGCCCACCTAAGAACTTTGAGACCATGTACAACAGGATTTCTCACCCTTGAAATTATTGGCATTTGGGGCTGGATCATTCCCTGGGGTGGTTGTCTCCTGTGCACTGGAAAATGGGCTACCGACCCACTAGGTGCCAGTTGCACCCTCCTTCCCTCCCTGAGTTGTGATACCCAAAAATGATTTCGGATATTGCCTAGAGTCTCCCAGTTGGGGGGTGGGGTGGGGCAGAAGTGCAGAATTGTCCCCTGGTAATAACCACTGACACAGAGGATCCTTATATAGAAGGGACCTGCTATCCTGTCCCAAAGGATGCCACGACTCAGCCACTTGGGTTTTGAATTGAAATTCATTATGGATGTACCTGGGGGGGGTTCATTATGCTAAGTGAAATATACCAGATAGAGAGAAACAAATACTGCATGATCTCACTTATATGTGGGATCAGAAGTCAAACTTACAGAAGCAGAGAGTAGCATGATGGTTATCAGGGGCTGGGGGCATGGGGGTGGTGATAGAGAAAATGGGGAGATGTTGGTCACAAAATACAAACTTTTAGTTACAAGATGAATAAGTTCTGGGGATCGAGTATAAAGCTTGATGATTATAGTTAATAATACTGTATTGTAAACCTGAAATTTTCTATGAGGGTAGACCTTAAATGTTCTCTTTCTCTCTAACTCACACAGACGCACACAGACACACGGTAACTATGTGACATGAAAGCAGTGTTAACTAATTTGATCATGGTAATCATTTCATAAGCTACACATATATTAAATCACTGCATTATACATCTTAAATACATACAATTGTATTTGATAGTTATACCGCAACCAAGTTGGAAACAAAAGTGAAGGAGAAAGAGACAAACAATTTATGACATTAATTTGGTCAAAGAATTTCATGCTATTTACTCAAAATAATGGGAAAGACCCTCCCCTTGGTGGTTTGGGGAAGGGTGTCCCCCAGCCAGGCCTTGGGCTATTTTTTTTAGAGAGGAAAGGGCATACAACAGGGACAAATAATAGTCATGGTGGGCCGGGCATGGTGGCTCATGCCTGTAATCCTGGCACTTTGGGAGGCCAAGGCAGGTGGATCACCTGAGGTCAGGAGTTCGAGACCAGCCTGGGCAACATGGTGAAACCCCATCTCTACTAAAAATACAAAAATTAGCTGAGCGTGGTGGCATGCACCTGTAAATCCCAGCTACTTGGGAGGCTGAGGCAGGAGAATCACTGTTGCAGAGCCAAGATTGCACCATTGCACTCCAGCCTGGGTGATAGAGTGAGACTCCATCTCAAAAACAAAGAAACCAACTCCCCAAAAGTCACTGTAAATCCAAGTTCAGCCTGACACTCACCATTGATGAAGAGGCTATCCCTGTCCAGGACATAGAAGCCCAGTTGGGTGACACCATGGGTCAGCTGACTCAGCTCCCAGTAAAGCTGCTGTATGTCCAGCCCGGGGCCCACAGGGTCAGGGTGGTAGGTGCAGGTGGTGTCCACACCAGTGGCTGCCCCATCCTTCTCAGGCCTGGGGAGAGAGGCATTTGAGGACTCTAGAGAGGTCCCGAGACCTCTGCAGGTAAAGAGCAGTGGAGGGAGGAGCAGGGGAAAGCTGAGGAAGGGGTGGTCACAAAAGGGGTGGTTGTTACTGGCAAATGGCCAGGAAGTGGTCTCACCTGAGGGAGATCAGTTGGCAACCCAAGTAGAAGGGGCCCATGCTGCTCTTCTGGAACAAGGGTCTGAGCTTGAGAGGAAGGAGGAAGAGGGTAAGCCGAGGAACAGAGGTTGGGGGTAGGATTTATCCCACCAGGAGCTGCTGGGACCAGGGTCTCACCAGGTGCTGAAGGACCCCCTCGGTGGAGTTGAATGTAGCTGAGCCCTTGCCCATATCTGGTGAATACTGGAGATTGGAGATGGTGAAGTTGAGTGTGAGGGTCTTCAGGTGGTACCCCATGGCTGCAGGAGGGGAGGAGAGACGTCTGCAACTGAGGGCTGGTCTGAGACTAGATCAGACTGCGCTCATTATTAACTAGTGTGGCCATCCAAGTCAGAAGCTATGTGTCTTCTCCCCTCCAAGTAACACCAATTCTCTTTACTGAATATTCATCACATATATCCTCTCTCTCCTCCCCTATCCCAGTTCAGGTCTTATTTTCTCTCACCCTGATTAGCACCTGGCAGACTCACTGGATGCCCTGTCTAAAGGACATTCTCTATACTGAACACAAGAAGAATCTTTCTGAAATGACAATCTCACTATGGCTGCCCCTGCTCTAGTACCATCCACAGCTCCCTATGGCCTTCAGTGTTAAGTTCAAATTTCTTGACTTGGCATTCAAGGCCCTTCCCAATCTGGCTCCTGCTGACCTTTCAGTCTCACTTATCCATCCACTCTGGGTTAAGCTTTATGTTTCATGCAAACCAAATTTCTCTCACTTCTCCCTATACTCTATGCTGTTTCTGGCCACTGAGGCTTTGCTCACAGATTCCCCTCTTTCAGTTATACTATTCATGCCCTATTTGCCTGAATCACTCTTAGTCATCCTTAAAGACTCAGTTCAGGTGAAACTTTCTCCAGAAAGCCCTCCTCCTTCCCAACTATGCCAGGTATCTCACCCCAAAACATCTGACATTATGATGGTCTATTTATTTCATAAAATCTGGGACTCCACGAGGGCAGGTGTCTGATTGAAATGCTATTCTAATCTTCGAGGAGGAAAAATGGCCCCAAATACCTGTTGTGGCTTCTGACAGAGGAGGCAGGAATGTGGTGGCTGGCTTGGGAGCTGTGGAAGGAACAGTCCATCAGAGAGGACAAAAGCCCACCACCTAGTGGGAGAAGCTCCCCTGGGCTTCATCAGTGGTCCAAGCCAGGACAACCATTCACAGGTGGGCCATAAATGAGACTGAGGGAAGGAGTGATTGTGTGAGTGGAGGAGTGAGCAAGATGGATGGATGGATGGATGGATAAAAGGACAGGTGGAAGGAAGGACAAGCAGGTGAATGGGCAAGAGGATGAGTGGGTGGATGGGCAGATGGATGAATGGATGGAAGGACAGAAGGAAGGAAAGACAAGCAGATGAATAGGCAGGAGGATGGATGGAGAGATGGAGGGATGGTTGGAAGGACAGAAGGAAGGACAAACAGGTGAATGGGGAAAAGGATAGATGGATGGATGATGGATGGATGGATGGTTGGAAGGACAGAAAGAAGGACAAACAGGTGAATGGGGAGAAGGATAGATGGATGGATGGATGGGTGGATGGATGGATAAAAGGACAGATGGAAGGAAGGACAATTGAGTGAATGGGGAGGAGAATGGGGGGAGAGATGGCTGGCTGGATAGATGGATGGATGGAAAGACAGAAATAAGGAAACAGGTGAATGAAGAGGAGAATGAATGGAGAGATGGGTGGATGGTTGGAAGGACAGAAGGAAAGACAAACCAGTGAATAGGGAGAAGGATGGATGGATGGATGGTGGATGGATGGAGAGATGGATAAAAGACAGATAGAAGGAAGGACAAGCAGGTGAATGGGCAGGAAGATGGGTGGATGGATGGATGGAAGGACAGAAGGAAGGAGGGGCTAGCGAGTGAGTGGGCAGAAGGATGGGTGGGTGGTGGATGAGTGGATGGGTGGATGGATGGATGGATGGATGGATGGATGTATAGAAGGACAGAAGAAAGGAGGGACAAGCAGGTGAATGGGCAGGAGGATGGGTGATGGATGAATAGATGGATAAAAGGACAGATGGAAGGAAGGACGAGGAGGTAAATGGTCAGGAAAATGGGGTGGATGGATGGATGGGTAAATGGATGGACGGATGGATGGATGGAAGGACAGGTGGTGTCTGAGAGATGACTGGAAGGATAGAAAAATGGATGGCTGGAAAGATAGACGAGTGGATCACTGGATGAGGCAATGGGCAAATTTAGCCAAAACCAGTAGCCAGCAGAGTCTGCAGCTTGACCATGAAGCCTCTGCTGGGGCACTTGGAGGAGATTTTCTTATCAGGAGGTACAGACTAACAAGGTCATCATCTGACCTCAACCTCTATCCCTGTAGGGAATGCTTGTTCAAACTTCTTCCTCCAACCCAGAGGGACATGGAAAATTCACAAAGCCAAGACTATGGCTGCAGGTCTAAAAACAGGCCAAGGACTCAGCATTCTTCCTCCCACTGAGACAATGCCCCTCACCACCTCAGGGGACCAGCCCGAATTTGGGGCAACCTTCCTTCATGAATGAGGAGAAAAGCTTGAACCAAGACCCATGGAGATTGAAATGGGCACTAGATTCAAAGACACGTACTTGTAGGAGGCTCATCTGGACCAGGTTCATTGTAACCTTGAAACAAAGAAGTCACACGTAAGAGGAGGTGGTGGAACCGTCCCAGATACTCCATGCCTTTGTCCATATGGGGCCCCTGCCTGGATGCCTTTCCCTTTGTGTATCTAGAGATTATGGATACATTTATGTATCATCTAATATTTGACTTAAATGTGTTCACCACTAGAAAGAATTTCCTGATATTTCAATTAGCACTGACCCTTCCCTACTCACGTCTCCAGCATGCCTCCAATGAGAGGCTCTCACTACCTTTGTGTTCACAAGTCTATCCTCCTATCCATCCATAACCCCCGCCTCCCCTTCCAGGCCTCCTCCAATCTATTCCTCCACCCAATGAATGTTTATTAAGGGCTTAGTATGTGCAAGGCTCCCTTTACATTTGGGGAATATAGGGTAGAACAAAACAGTCTCCGCCCCCCTGGAGATTACATTAGGACAGGATGCACATGTAACCTATCTCTGTTCCTGGGGCGAGGCACATTGTGGCCTGGTTAATAGTAGCTGCTTGGTAAATCTAAATGAAGGAACAAAATGAAGCACATAAGCTGTGCAGTTTACAAGGGGGAACAGCTCCCTGCAATAGCCAAGTTGAAGGGACTGGATGTTAACTGAGATCATCAAGACCCAACCCGCACCTGTGTGTTTATCACAGCACTATTCACAATAGCAGAGATGTGGAATCAACCTATATGTCCATCAGCAGATGAATCCATAAAGAAAGTGTGGTATATATGCACAATGGAACACTATTCAGCCATAAAGAGAAATAAAACCATGCTGCTGAGGTTGCAGATAAAAAGGAGTGTTTATACACTGTTGGTGGGAGTGTAAATTAGTTCATCCACTGTAGAAAGCAGCAGGATGATTCCTCAAAGAGCTAAAAACAGAACTACCGTCTGACCCAGCAATCTCATCACTGCATATATGCCCAAAGGCATATAAATTTTTCTATCATAAAGACACCTGTTCACTGAAGCACTATTCACAATAGCAAAGACATGGAATCTACTTAAATGCCCATCAAGGATAGACTGGATAAAGAAAATGAGGAACATATACACCATGGAATACTATGCAGCTATAAAAAAGAATGAGATCATGTCCGTTGCAGGAACATGGTTGGAGCTGGAGGTCATTATCCTTACCAAACTAATGCAGGAACAGAAAACCAAATACTGCCTCTTCTCACTTATAAGTGGGAGCTAAATGATGAGAACACATGGACACATAGAGGGGAACAACACACACTGGGGCCTGCCTGAGGTTGGAGGGTGGCGGGTGGCGGGTGGAGGGTGGGAGGAGGGAGAGGATCAGAAAAAATAACTAATGGGTACTAGGCTTAATACTTGGGTGGTGATGAAATAATCTGTACAACAAACCCCTGTGACATGAGTTTAACCATATAGAAAATCTGCACGTGTATGTCTGAACTTAAAAGTTAGAAAAAAAGAATGAATCCATGTCTTTTGCAGCAACATGGATGAAACTGAAGTTACCTTAAGTGAAACAAGTCAGACACAGACAGACAAATATCACATGTTCTCAATCATAAGTGGGAGCTAAACAATGTGTAGACAAGAACTCAGAGAGGGGAATGATAGATAAAGGGGGCTTGGAAGGGTGAGGGGGTAGGAGCAAGGTGGATGATGAGAAAGGACTAAATGGATACAATGTATGTTATTGGAGTGGTGGATACTCTGAAAGCTCTGACTTCACTACTGTGCCATCTATGCATGTAACAAAATTGCACTTGTACCCCATAACTGTATACATACAACGATGATCATGAGGAGGATAGTAATAATAATAATAAAGAACATCAAGACCCAGACTAGCCAAAAACTCGCTGTGGGCATGGGCAAGTCCCTTCCCTTCTCTGTGCCTCAGTTTCCCTCTTTGCTAAAATAAGAGTAATGAAAGCCCAGGATGTCTCTCCACATCCCGGTACCTACCTAAAGGTACCTCATATAAGTGATATGGGGTGCCCACCTCATGGGGTCATGATGATAAGCACTGTTCTTGGGTTGGCGGTGGAGGGGATGAAAGGCGAGCTATTTTGTCAATTCTCCACGGTCATGCTTTGCCTCTCAGAACCCCATTTAGGGGATGCCTTCTTAAATGCTATCTTATCCTGAGTTCTAGACCAATGCTGAGGCCCAGTGTGCCTGAAGATTAGATCCCATAGATCTTCCTGGTATAGGGGGCCTCAGGTAGGAGAGAAGCCCATCCCTCGTCAATGGTGAGAAGAAAGCAGGGAGGGGAAATTGTTTTGTTTTGTTTTGAGACAGAGTCTTGCTCTGTCACCAGGCTGGAGTGCAATGGCACAATTTTGGCTCACTGCAACCTCTGCCTTCTGGGTTCAAGCGATTCTCCTGCCTCAGCCTCCCGAGTAGGTGGGACTACAGGCGTGCGCCACCACACCCAGCTAATTTTTGTATTTTTAGTAGAGACAGGGTTTCACTATGTTGTCCAGGGTGGTCTCAATCTCTTGACCTTGTGATCCGCCCGCCTTGGCCTCCCAAAGTGCTGGGATTACAGGTGTGAGCCACTGCTCACAGCCGGAAATGTGTTTTTTGTCCCCCAAGTGCCCCCACCAGGAAGACTCTTCTGTGAGTTAAACATGTGGAGTGGATCATAGCACCGAATGCTGACAAGTGGAGTTCATATCCTGGTTCCACCACTGTCAAGGTAAATTGCTTAGCCTGTCTAAGCCTCAGTTTCTTCATCTGTAAAATGGGATTAATCAAAGTCCAACCTTGCATTGTGGTTATGGGAGGGCCAGTGGTAATGCCAAGACTTGAACCCCAAGTCTTTCCCTAGAGAACCGGCAAACAGACACCCTCCTGGACTGCAGTGGGGGCTGGGGGGTGGGGCAGGGAGATGGGGCTGATAGCTGCTCACCGTTAAGGTAGAGGCTGTCTTTGTCCAGAGAGTAGGGGCCCAGCCGGGTGATGCCATGGGTCTGCTGGCTCAGCTCATGGAACACCTGCTTGATAGGCAGACCTGGGCCGCTGAGGGGCTGCAGGTAGGTGCAGAGGAGGTCCACCCGTGTCTCAGCACCGTTCTTCACAGACCTGAGGAGGGAGAGGTGCAGCTTTGGGGGATGAAGGCCACCTAGCACCTCTCCACTTGTGGTCACTGCACAACTCACAGTCCATATTTTGGTCTCATTGACAGTTTGCACTTTCTCCACCTGACCTTATCTATCATCTCAGGATCTTTGCAATTGCTGTTACTTTTGTCTGGAAGCTTCTCCCCATTTCTCCTTACCTGGATAACTTCCTGGTCATCCTCCAGGTCTCAGCTTAGAGGACTCCCTCCTCCTCCTCCTCCTCCTCTTCCTCCTCCTCTTCCTCCTCCTCTTCCTCCTCCTATCTTCCTAGGCAAGGTCAGGAGCCTCCTCTGGGTCCCACAATCCTCCACTCTTCCCCTGTCACTGCCCTGGTCACCCTCTATGTAATCATAAATTATTTGTTCCTGTTCCTACCAGAACATGGTCTCCACGAAGGAGGAAATGAACCAGTTTAGCTTACTCTTATTATATTGAAGCCCCAGAACCCAGCACCCCTTGACAACTCCCTGCAAAAATCAAAGTCCTAATGAATGGAGAAACACAATACAGCATTTACATACAAGTGGAAAAGGAAGGGAATTCTGACACATGCTACAACATGGATGAACTTTGAGGACATTATGCTTGGTGAAATAAGCCAGCCATACAGTATAAACCAGGACATATACCATATGATTCCTCCATTCATAGGAGGTCCTCAGAATCATCAGATTCACAGAGACAGAAAGTAGAATGGTGGGTGCCAGAGGCTTGAGGAGGGGGATGAGGAATGAGTGTTTCATGGGGATGGAGTTTCAGTTTGGGAAGATGAGAAAGTTCTGGAGATGGATGATAGTGGTGATGGTTGCACAATAATGTGAATGTGCTTGATGCCACTGAACGGGAAATATAGCTAAAATGATCAATTTAATGTGATGTGTATGTTACCACAATATAGAAAAAAAAAATCCAAGCCAGGTGCAGTGGCTCACACCTATAATCCCAGCACTTTGGGAGGCCGAGGCGGTCGGATCACCTGAGGTCGGGAGTTCGAGACCAGCCTGACCAACATGGAGAAGCCCCATTTCTACTAAAAATACAAAATTAGCCAGGTGTGGTGGCACATGCCTGTAACCCCAGCTACTCGGGAGGCTGAGGCAGAGGAATCGTTTGAACCCAGGAGGCGGAGGTTGTGGTGAGCCGAGATCATGCCTGGGCAACAAGAACAAAGCTGTCTTAAAAAAAAAAATCCAAGTCCTCCAAGGCCCTTCAAACTTGCTGATGTCTTGAGTCTCATCCTTTCTCTCTTTTCTTCTTGCTCTCTCTCTGCTCCAGCCACACTGGCCTCTTTGCTGTTCATAGAACATGCCAAGCTCATTTGCACCTCAAGACCTTTTCTCATGCTGTTCTCCCTGCCTGGAACAGTTTTCATGGCCATTTGGGACACAGCCCAAGATTCATCCTGGGTAAAGTTGCTCTACCCATCACTTGCTATTTATTTATGTTTCATATCACTTTACTCCATTTGAAGCCATTTTACTTAGATATTTATGTTCCTGTTTAGCATCTGTTCTTCTCCACTGGGTGAGGGCAGGGACAGCATCTGTCTTATCACTCTAGTACCCAGCACCTGCCTCAGAGGAGCGGTGCCATGGGCATCAGTTGACTAAAAATATAAATGGAGAAGTAAATAGTAAATACCAAGAGAGTGCAAACTGACCCAAAGAAGTCAAGTTGGCAAGGATGCAAGAAAAGGAACTCTTATACATGGTTGGTGGGAATGGTAGAGGAGTGGTGTTATGGGCATGGGTTGAGTAAAAATATAAATGGAGAAGTATCTAGTAAATACCATGAGAGTGCAAACCAACCCAGAAAACTCAAGTTGGCAAGGATGCACTGAAAGGAAACCTTTTTTTTTTTTTTTTTTTTTGAGATGGAGTCTCGCTCTGTCGCCTAGGTTGAAGTGTGCAGTGGTGCGATCTCAGCTCACTGCAAGCCCCGCCTTCAGGGTTCATGCCATTCTCCTGCCTCAGCCTCTCCAGTAGCTGGGACTACAGGCACCCGCCACCACGCCCGGCTAATTTTTTGCATTTTTAGTAGAGACGGGGTTTCACCATGTTAGCCAGGGTGGTCTCGATCTCCTGACCTCATGATCCACCCACCTGGGCCTCGCAAAGTGCTGGGATTACAGGCATAAGCCACCATGCCCGGCCTAGGAAACTCTTATACACTGTTGGTGGGAATGTAAATTAGTACAACCTCAAATGAAAAACAGTATGGAGATTTCTCAAAAAACAAAAAAAAAAAATCAGAACTACCATTTGACCCAGCAATCCCACTGTTGGGGATCTACCCAATGGAAAAGTATTAGAAATAAATAGTGGTGATGGCTGTATGACATTGTGAATATAATCAATGTCACTGAATTGTACATTTAAAAATGGTTAAAATGGCAGATTTTATGTTACATGTATTTTTGCCACAATATAAAAAAAATGTGATCTTAAATAGATGCAGAAAAGGACCCTCTGAGAATAGCTCAACCCATATATATCTAAAAGAAATGAGGCCATGTGTGGTGGTTCATGCCTGTAAAATCCCAGCACTTCAGGAGGCTGAGGCAGGTGGATCACTTGAGGCCAGGAATTTGAGACCAGCCTGGCCAACATGGCAAAACCCCGTCTCTACTAAAAATGCAAAAAAATTTAGCCTGGTGTGGTGTTGGGCGCCTGTAATCCTTGCTACCTGGGAGGCTGAGGCACGAGAATCGCTTGAACCCGGGAGGCACAGGTTGTGGTGAGTGAAGATTGCACCACTGCACTTCAGCCTGGGCAGCAAGAGCAAAACTCCCTGGGAGGTTGAGGCACGAGAATCGCTTGAACTCAGGAGGCAGAGTTTGCAGTGAGCCAAGATTGCACCACTGTACTCCAGCTTGAGCGACAGAGTCAGACTCTGTCTCAGAAAAAAAAAAAAGAGAAGAAAGAAAGAAATGAAACCAGTATCTTAAAGAGATATCTGCACTCCTATGTTCATTGCAGCACTATTCAAAATAGCCAAGATATGGAAACAAGCTAAATGACCTTCAATGGATGAATGGGTAAAGAAAATGTGGCATACACATATACAATGAAATATATAAGAAAGATGAAAATCCTGCCACTTGGGATAACATAGATGGAGCTGGAGGACATTAGGCTAAGTGAAATAAGCCAGGCACAGAAAGACAAATACCGCATAATCTAACTTATAGGTGGAATCTAAAATTGTCAGACTCATAGAAGCAGAGAGTAGGATGGTGGTTGCCAGGGGCTGGGAGGAGGAGCAAATGGGGTGATGCTGGTCAAAGGGTACAAACATGATAACTATGTAGAGATAATAGATATATTAATTAGCTGAAATGTGGCCATGATTTAACAATGTATACCAAAATATCAAGTTGTACACTTTAAATGCAAGCAATTTTTATATGTCAAAAATCAAACTGTCATGAATAAATAAAAAAGTTATTAATACCAGTCAGAATAACTATTACTAAAAAGACAAAAACCAACCAACCAACCAAACAAACAACAAACAACCAGATGCTGGCAAGAATAAAAGAAAAGGGAACTCTTATACACTGTTGGTGGGAATCCAAATTAGTACAATCTATGGAAAATGGTATGAGGATTTCTCAAAGAACAAAAATGTAGAACTACCATTTGACCCAGCAATCCCACTATTGGGGATCTACCCAATAAAAGAAATCGTTATATCAAAAAAAAAGAAAGAAAAAAAGAAATCATTATATAAAAAAGACACCTGCACGTGTATGTTTATTGCAGCACTATTCACAGCAAAGGTATGGACCCAACCTAAGTGTCCATCAGTAGAAGACTGGATAAAGAAAATGTGGTATATATATATACCACGAAATACTATTCAGCCATAAAAAGAGTGAAATCATGTATTTTGCAGCAACATGGATGGAATGGGAGTCCATTATCTTAAGTGAAACTCAGAAATAGTCAAATACCGCATGCTCTCACTTATAAGTGGGAGCCAATGGACTCCATGTCCATTAGCTCATGGTGGAATACCATACGTTCTCACTTATACGTGAGAGCATGGACCTGGAGTGTGGAATAATAGACACTGGATACTCAGAAAGGTGGGAGAGTGGGAGAAGGGTGGGGAACCTCACTTAATAAGTACAATGTACACTATTCGGGTGATACACCAGAAGCTACTGTCTGGAAGTCTACTGTCTGCAGACTTCACTATGGAATATATGCATGTAACAAAAACTGCATTTGCACTCCTTAAATTCATTTAAAAAAAAAGAATGGGGCCAGATATGGTGGCTCACGCCTGTAATCCCAGCACTTTGGGAGGCTGAGGAGGGTGGATCACCTGAAGTCAGGAGTTCAAGACCAGCCTGATCAACATGGAGACACCCCATCTCTACTAAAAATACAAAACAATTAGCCAGGCATGGTGGTGCCTGCCTGTAATCCCAGCTACTGGGGAGGCTGAGGCAGGATAATCACTTGAACCCGGGAGGCAGAGGTTGCAGTGAGCCAAGATCGTGCCATTGCACTCTAGCCTGGGCAACGAGAGCGAAACTTCATCTCAAAAAAAAAAAAAGGAAAGATAAAAAGATTTAAAAAAATATGTAGCCCACCCCAACCCAAGAGGGACCTCCCAGTCAGAACTCTAAGTTCTTGGTGGTGCGCTGTGGGTGGGGGAGTTTCTCACCTTAGTGCGATGACCCTGCAGCCTGTGTACCGTGCACCCAGGCTGCTCCTCTGGAACAAAGGACTGAGCTGCAGAGGGAGAAGGGAGCTTGGGTTGGTCAGAGGCAGGCAGGCAACAGCCCTAGGATGGGCATGGCAGGGCTGCAGCGGGAGGCAGGCCTCTCACCAGGTGCTGCATGACGTTGTCTGTGATGTTGAACTTGAGGGAGCCGGGTTGGCCCATGTCCGCCATGTAGCGCAGGTTGTTGATGGTGAAGTTCAGTGTGAATGGCTCCTCGCTGACCACCCCGGCTAGGGCAGGGGGAAGAGAGAGAGAGATGAAGCTCTTGGGGAGGATGATGGGTGGGTGGGGGGTGGTGTGGGACAGGGTGGGGGCAGTGTGTTCTAAGGACCCTGTGTCCGCCTCTTAATAAACCCAACGGTGACTTTTAATGGAGACAACTCCAGCAGCCAGTAAGGGTGTGCTTAATGATTTGGGATGTCCAGATGGGGTCCTTCTACCCAAATGCAGGAAGGGAAGATTCTGTAAAAAGTACCAATGGTTCTGATCTTTCCCAGGGTAAAGGCTGCATATTACCACACTGATGCGGAAGTCATGACTCTAGACATTTTTAAAAAATTTATTCTCTCTCTCTCTCTTCCTCTCTCCCCATCGATCCTTCTCTGCCTTTCTCCCATTTCTCTCTCTCTCCTGCACTCACAACCAGGTATGCTAATCTTCTATGCATTGGTTAACATGGCCAACAATCTTTGCAGCCATAACCAACCTCTCAGCACTTCAGTTTACTCATCTGTAAAATGAGATGACAATGGTTCACAATGATGTTTCCTGCCTCAACCGTTGTTATGAAGCTTAAACAAGTTAATCATTGTAAATCATGTAAGCACTGCTGGGCACACAGGTCAATATGGTGTACATGTTTATTATATAAAATATATCAGCAAATGCTTTCTAATCACTCCCTGTGTGTGGAACTTTATGAAAGTATGAGTTAAGGTTTTTTTTTTTGTTTTGGTTTGGTTTTGTTTTTTGTTTTTGTTTTTTTGTTTTGTTTTTGTTTGAGACAGAGTCTCACTTTGTCGCCCAGGCTAGAGTGCAGTGGTGTGATCTTGGCTCACTGCAAGCTCTGCCTCCCAGGTTTTATGCCATTCTCCTGCCTCAGCCTCCTGAGTAGCTGGGACCACAGGCATGCACCACCACACCTGACTAAATTTTTTTTGTATTTTTAGTAGAGACAGGGTTTCACCGTGTTAGCCAGGATGGTCTTGATCTCCTGACCTCATGATCCACCCGCCTCGGCCTCCCAAAGTGCTGGGATTACAGGCGTGAACCACAGTGTCCAGCCAAGCTAAGGTTTAAGACAAATCTCTAGAAGAAAAGTTTACTTCTCCTTCTCTCCCTGCCTTTCTTCTTTTCACCACTCTTGAACTTCCTTCTGTTCATTCTTCCTTCTCTCTTTCCATCCTTTCTTCTTCCCTTCCATCTTTCATTCTATTAATGCATCCTTTCTTTCTTGCTGGCTTCCTTCCTTTCATTGTACCTTCTAACATCTGTCTATCCTTCCTCTTCCTTCTCTCACTTCTTTCCTTCCTTTCACCCATCCATCCATTTATCCATCCATCCATCCATCCATCCATTCACTTATCCATCCATCTATCCATCCATCCACCTACCCACCCATCTGTCCATCCATCCATCCATCCACCTACCCATTTATCCATCCATCCATCTATCCACCCACCCATCTGTTCATCCATCTGTCCATCCATCCATTCATCCCTTCACCCACTCACCCACTGATCCATTCATCCATCCATCATCAATCTTTCCTTTCTTACACCTCTCTTTTCTTCCTTCCATCTACTTATCCATCTTTCCTCCTCCTTTTTTCTTTCATCCATTTTTTTCTTTCTTCAATCCACTCATCCATCCTCTCTCCCTTCCTCCTTCCATTTATCACTTCTTCTTTCCATCTGTCACTTCTTCCTTCCATCTATCCACCTTGCCTTCCTTCCATATATACAGTATTGGTCCTACACCGCTCCAGGAACATTGGAAGGGGAGCAGGGGGGCGGGGTACAGAAATACTCTGGCCCTTCCATAGCCCCGCCCACCATTGTCCCACCAATGCCTCCTATTGGCTGAACCTAACAGGAAGCTAGTTAGCATGGGAGCCTGGGAAATGTAGTTTTCATGAGTCAGACGTCTATCCCACAGAGCACGGGAAGGCTGGAGGAGGTTGGAGAATGGATCCGAGGACAAAAACAAAACAAAACAAAACAAAACAAAACAAAAACCCATATGTGGTATAATAGAGAAAGCCCATAAGAAGTCACATTCCTATAAAAGAGAAGCAGACAACAGAATATAAACAAATGAGTTCAAAAAAGTGGGAGAAGTATTGTGAAGGATTAACAGAAAAAAAAAACCCCAGGATCTCATTTGGAAGTAGGAGTGAGACAAATTCGTATAAGAAATTGACTTTTCCTTCACAGTCAGTAGAGTAAACAGACAACCCACAGAGTGGGAGAAAATCTTCACAATCTATATATCCAACAAAGGACTAATATCTAGAATCTACAACGAACTCAAACAAATTGGCAAGAAAAAAACAATCCCATCAAAAAGTGGGCTAAGGACATAAATAGACAGTTGTTGAAAGAATATATACAAATGGCTAATGAACATATGAAAAAAATGTTCAACATCACTAATGACCAGGGAAATCAAAACCATAAGGTGATACCACCTTACTTCTGCAAGAATTGCCACAATCAAAACATCAAAAAATAACAGATGTGTGACTCTGGGGGCCAAGATGGTCGACTATAAGCAGCAGCGCTCAGAGGCTCACATTGAAAAAAACTGTAATAAGTGTGTGATCCTTCCTGGCAACCAAAATGTCCAGGTTCCCTCATCAAAATTGACTAGAAGGCTGGCAGTGACCCACAGAGAGAAGGAAGAGCAGTGTGGTGTGGTGGCCCACCTGAGAGACACACGGGGAAGGGGAACCCCCTCCTTCCAGCCAAGGGAGGTGGTGAGTGAGCGGGCTACCCAAGAGGGGGAAACTGTGCTTTTTCCACGGAACTGTGCAACTCACAGATTGGAAGATCTCACTCGCGAACCCATGCCACTGGGACCTAGTGTCCCAACCCCAGAACACGCAGATTCTTACAGCTGGAATCTGCCTAAGCCTACGGAACTCCCCGGGGGAGGGGCGACCAGCACTGGCTGCGGCTGCCTGCTAAGTCTTTTTTGTTCCTTGGGGAAGGGGCGACAGCCAGCACTGGACTCACAACTGCCTAACACGCTAAGCTCCCTGGGCGGGGGAAGGGCGGCACCCCTTTCAATAGCTCCAGGCTGTACTTTTCCCCTGCTAGAGCCGGGTAGGCTGGACGGCTTGGTCCCAAGACTTGTCCCCACAGCCCAACACACCGGCTGTGGCAGTCTGCAGCCAGAGTGCCTCTTCAGGGCTAACCCTGACCCATCCTTCCTCAGTGGGCAGAGCTTCCTTGCAGGATCTCCAAAGACTCCAGCCAGAGGCTCAGAGACAGAATTTGGACTCCCTGGGCTTGGGCCCCTAGTGGGAGGGATGGCTGTAGTCTCTGTGGACCAGCAGACTTAGCCTCTCCTCTGGTAGTTCTGAGGAATCCAAGCAGCCCAGACATGTGGTTTCCCCCCAGTGAAGAACCCCCTCTCCACCAGGGGACAAAGTGCTTCATTAAATGGGTCCTGCTCTCCATGCCAGTCAACTGGGCGAAACCCTCCAACAATAGTTGTCAGACACCCTACACAGGAGCGATCCTACTGGCATCAGGTTGGTGTCCCTCGAGGTCAGAGGTCCCAGAAGAAGCAGGCACCTATGTTCGCTGCTCTCCAAGCCTCCTTGAGTGACACCTCCAGACATGGGAGCGAATCAGATGAATAGGGCCTGAAGTGAACCCCTAGCAAACTGCAGCAGCCCTACAGAAGAGGGACCTGACTATTGAAAGAAAAACAAGCAGAAAGTGACAATAACATCATCATCATCAACAACAACAACCAAAAGACCCCCATAAAAACCCCATCCAAGGATCAGCAGCCTCAAAGCCTGAAACTAAAACTCCTGAAGATGGGAAATAATCAACAAAAAAATGCTGAAAACCCAAAAGGCCAGAGTGCCTCTTTTCCTCCAAATGACCGCAACATCTCTCCATTAAGGGTGCAGAACTGGATGGAGGATCAGATGGATGAATTGACAGAAGTAGGCTTCAGAAGATGGGCAATAAAAAAGTACGATGAGCTAAAGGAGCATGTTCTAATGCAATGCAAAGCTAAGCACCTTGATGAAAGGTTAAAGGAATTGCTAACTAGAATAACCAGTTTAGAGAGGAACATAAACCAACCGATGGAGCTGAAAAACACAGCACAAAAACTTCGTGAAGCATACATAAGTATCAACAGCCAAATCGACCAAGTGGAAGAAAGGATATCAGCAATGACCAAGCTGAGCCTGAGCTGAGCCTTCTAGGAAAACCAAAGAGCCAACTACACATCATCAAGGAACCTAACTCTCTTGAATTCTGTCCCATAATCCTGAGTCAGCTCCAATTGAATTGGTAGCGACTGAATTTTTTTTTTTTGGTAACCATTCTGAAGCTGTTTTGAACTGAGAGAAAATGAATGCTATTATCAATTGGTGATGTCTGCCATGAATGCTGCAATCAATTAATGATGTCTGTCATGGATGAGGGAGTGGAGCAGATGCCATATAGTTTTCCAGTGTAAACTCTGGCAGACACTAAAGTTGAACCAAGGCAGAAGAGGAAAGTTTCCATACATTATAAGAAAGCATACTTCATTCCTTCCTTCCCTGGGAAAATCCATATTTTCCTGTAGATCTAAATCTGTCGATCTACCATGTACAAGGTCCTGAAGCAGATACTAGGGAAGCACAAGGGAGTAAGACACAGTTGCTCCAATCAGCAGGTTTATGCACTATTGGGGTGACTGGATATAAACACAATGTTCAAAGCAGAGAAACTGTGTTTGCAATTGACTTAAAAAATATGCAATAGGACTTAAAGTGAGTGACAAAATAAAAGGTTCCCATGATTCTTCTGCCTATAATAATTCAAGATTTTTTTTAGAAATCATATTAAATAGTACTAGTTAAACACTGAGCATAGCACTTTGGTGCATATTCAGTAGCCAATAAGTTCATATATTATCCATTAACTTTGTTATCACCACCACCATCATAATCATCACCATCCCTGTCACCATCACCATCATTATTGTCATAATCACCACCATCATTACCAACATCACCATCATCATCATTACCATCATCACCACCACCATCACCATTGTCATCATGGTCATAATCACCATCAACATCATCATCATTGCCACCATCAGTATCATCATAAAAATAGCTCTCTGAGAGGAGAGATTATTAATTGTTTCATGATCCATGCCATATCCCCAGGATTTGGCAGAGCCCCAGGGCTTGTCACAATGCTCAATAAAGTTTGTTGGTTGGCTCATCATCACTAGATTTATAAAGAATTTCCATCTTTATTTGACTGAATAATGGAAGAGATGTTTACACTCATCAGCCATGCTCTAACAGAGGTGCCATTGGCTGGTACTTATTCAAGGGACCAGTAGAAGGGGTGGATCCCCAGAGTTTCCCAGGTCCACTGTGGTAGTCCCAAGAGCTACAGAGAAACCCTCTTCAGGGGAAGCATCCAAGCCTCTCATGGCAGAAAGGTCAGCAAATAAAACTATTTACAGGCCTTGCTGCATATCGGGCCTGAGCTGGGTCTCTCTCTGGAGCTGGCCAGAAGGGAAAGGGAATAACTTGTGCCCTCCCAGCCCCTTCCTTTATGAAGAGGACATAGGGGCATAGGAAGACAGGACAGCTCCTGCCCTGCTTGGTGTATAATTGGGGCTACTGGAGCATCGGTTGAATACTCACTGCTGGTGGTGGGTACAGAGCTCCGATGGGTGAAACCTGCACAGAGAAGGAGGGAGGAGAGTGGGTAAGGGTTAAGGGAGAGGTGGGGAATCAAATAGGGGTCACAGATACCCTAGTGGAATGGAAGAAGTTTCAAGGAACAGGGGCCTTTGAAGATTCTCTATCAGTACCCTCAGATCAGGGAAGAAGGTACTGAGGATGAACTCAGTCCAAGATGAAGAAACTATGAAGTTCAGACATCAGTCATCACATACAGACAACATAGCCAAGACGTCAATGGCCAGTCAGGGAGTGTGACCTCAAGTCAGAGAGTAAGAAGCTGTCCAGCAAAGAGGAAGAATCTCCAACCACATCACAGCCGCTCACCATTGACATAGAGACTGTCCCTGTCCAGTGTGTAGGGGCCCAGCTCAGTGATGCTGTGGGTCAGCTGGCTCAGCTCCAAATACAGCTGCTCTCTGTCCAGCCCAGGGCCTGTGGGGTCAGGGCGGTGGGTGCAGATGGCATCCACTCCGGTGGCTTCCCCATCTTTCTCTGGCCTAGGGAGGGCAGATAAGGGGGATGACATTAAATAGATTGCCTATGGGGAGGCATCCTGAGATTCCTGGGGGCAGGACAGGAAGGGGACAGAGGAAATGAGAATCCTGGTAGACAGGTGAGAAGCCATACTAAGATTCTCTGAATGCACCAACTTCCAGGCAGCCTGGGAATGTGAGTAGAGTCAGGAATACAAGAATTTTATAAAATTGCATTCTCATGGTATGGGGACAGGAGAGCCCAGACTTGAGAAATATTAAGAGCTGGAATTGGGGATGAAAGCAAGTGGATGGGGGATGTTTATCTTGAGAGAAACCTTGGAAGAGAATTTAACACCTGAAGGAGAGGGAGGTAGGGAGAAGTAAGAAATTCAGAAGGATGACCAAAGTAGAAGCCTGATCTGGCTGATGGGCCCTGCAAATTCTCTCGATTGATGGGGGAGGTGGTAGGATCAGCAGATATGTTCATCCTGGAGCCACCAACGCCTGAATTCCACTTGTGCTGAGGACTTCCATAGGGAGGGAAGGAAGAAAGCTGATGAAACTCCTTGGGCCTGGGAACACTTGGGGTAGCCAGACTGGTTATTCTCAGTTCTCACCTGAGCAAGGTCAGCCTGCAGCCAGAGTACAGAGGGCCAACACTGGTGTTCTTGAACAAGGGCCTTAGCTGTGGAGGAGGAAGAGGGAGGTGAGTAAGATGGCTGAGGACATAGAAGTGAGGAAGATGTAAGGTGGAAGGGGCTGTAATCAGGGGGCGGGGCTATCTCTCAGGTGAGGGGAGGTGGGTGAGATCTTCTTCCATGCCTTGGAATGGGTGACGTAGGTGGAACAAGACAAGGTGGGCAGGGCAGAGTGAGGTGGGCAGGGCTCTCACCAGGCCCTGAAGGACCCTCTCTGTAGTGTTGAACTTCCTGGAGCCAGGCCACATGTTCTCCTCATACCGCAGGTTAGTGATGGTGAAGTTGAGGGTGAATAGTATCAGGAGATGGCTGGCAGCTGTAGTGGAGGTGGGAAATAAACACTATGTTCAAAAGTAGAGAACATTTAAGAGTTTGTAATAGATTTATTTCTAAACATATGCAACCAGATTTAAAGAGAGTGATAAAATAGAAGGTTTTCATGCCTCCCTTGACTATAACGATCAAAGTTTTTCATAGAGCATGCTAAATAATAATAGTTAGATGCTGAGCATAACCTTTGGTGATGTTCTGTGTTCCATAATACTAGACACTATCTATTACCTTTGTTATCACCACCATCATCATCACCAACACTGTGACCATCATTTTCATTATTGTCATCACCACCACCATCAGGACAAAAACCATGATCTTCATAATCCCTATCATCTCCACCACCATCACCATCATCATCCACATCATCACCTGCACCATCACCACCAGGAACATGGTCACCAACACCATCACTGTTTCATCCTTACCATCATGACAATCACCACCATCATCCTCATTATCATCATGATCACCACCATCACCACCACAACCACAACCATGACGGTCCACATCACCACCACTAGTACCGTGATCACCAACACCATCATCACATCATCCTTAACCATCATAACCACCACCACTATCATCATCATCCTCATTGTCAATATCACCACCACATTGTCAATCACCACCACAACCACCACCATCACCACCACCACTGTCATCCTTCCCATAATCACCACCACCACTATCATCATCATCATCACATCATCATTACTGTCAAAACCACTACCATCATCAATATCATCATCATCATCTTCATAATCACCATCATCATCACATCATGGTCATAAGCATCACCATCATTATTGTAATCATCTCCAGCAACATCATCATCACCACTATCCCACATCATCCTCAAAATAAAAGAAGCTCTCTGAGGGCAGAGATTTTTACCTCTTTTGTGTTCCCTGCCTTATCTCTAGGGCCTGGCAGAGAGTGGGTACTCAAAGAAGTTTGTTGGGTGACTCATCATCAGTAAATTTGCTATGATTTTTAATCTTATTTGAGTGAAAAGGACAGAGATGTTGACACTCATCATGCATACTCTAATAGAGGTGCCATTGACTGGTACTTACCTGAAGGGCCAAATATCGAGGCTGGAGTCTTAGATGCTCCCAGATACACTGTGGGGGTCCCAGGAGCTGAGGAGAAGCCCGCATTGGTTAAAGCAGCATAAGCTCTTTCATGGCAGAAATGCCAGCAGATAGGAATATTTCTGCATGTGGGGCTTGAGATTAGTGTCTCTCTGGAGCTGGGCCAGAGGGAAAGGGAATCACTTGTGCCCTCTCAGATCTTTCCCTCATGAAGAAGATATAGGGGCATAGGAGAAGGGGGTCAGCTCCTGTCCTGCTTGGAGTAGGACTGGGGTTACTGGAACATTAGTAGAATACTCACTGCTGGTGGTGGACACAGAGCTCCGATGAGTGAAACCTGCATAGAGAGGGAGGGAGGAGAGTGGGAAAGGGTTAAGGGAAAGGTGGGGGACCAAAAGGGGTCAGTGCTACCATGGTGCAATTGAAGGAGTTTCAGGGAACATGGGCTTTGAGGATTCTATACAAGTACACTCAGATCAGGGAAGAAGGTCCTGAGGATGAAGGTCTCCAGTACAAGATGAAGAAGAAACGGTGAAGTTCATATCAATCATCAAATACAGACAACATGGCCAAGACCAGTGGCCAGGCAGGGAGAGTGACCTCAAGACAGAGAGTAGAGGCCTGCTCAGCAAGGAAGAAGAAACTCCAACCACATCACAATTGCTCACCATTGACAAAGAGGCTGTCGTTGTCCAGGGCATAGGGGCCCAGCTCAGTGATATTGTGGGTCAGCTGGCTCAGCTCCCAATACAGCTGCTCTCTGTCCAGCCTAGGGCTTTTGGGGTCAGGGTGGTGGGTGCAGATGGCATCCACTCCAGTGGCTGTCCCATCCTTTTCAGGCCTGGAGAGGGCAGGTGAGGGGAATAATAATAAAGTTTTGTCTAGGGAGGAGTCCCAAGATTGCTGAGGGAAGGACAAGAAGGGGCCACAGGAAATGAGAAGCCTGGTACACAGATGAGAAGCCACACTTAGATTCTCTGAGTGCACTGACTACTGTCCAGCTTGGGACGGTGAGCATACTTGTGGATAAAAGAATTTTTCTAACATTTCAGTGTGGTTCTTGCATTCTCATGGCATGGGGACAGGACAGCCTAGACTTGAGACAGGTGACAAGCTGGAATTGGGAATTAAACAAGTGAATGAGGCACATTTGTCTTGAGAGAAATCTTAGTTAGAGAATTTAACACCTAAGGGCAAGGGAGGTGGGGAGAAAAGAGGGAATTCAGAGGGATGGCCAGGGTGGAAGTCCAATCCTGCTGATGGACCCTGTGGAAACTCTCAGTCAATTTGGGTGTGATGGCAGGGGGCAGTGGTAATATTGGGAGACAGGTTAGTCTTGGAGCCACTGTTCCTTGAGTTCCATCTTTGATCAGAATAACCACAGAGAGGGCAAGAAAAAAGAAGTCCACACTCATGGAGACTGGGAACAATTGGGGCAGACAGGTTGGCAATTCTAAGGTCTCACCTGAGCAAAGTCAGTCTGCAGCCAGAGTACAGAGGGCCAACACTGGTGCTCTTGAACAGGGACCTGAGCTGTGGGAGAGGGAGAGGGAGGTGAGTAGGATGGCTGAGGGGGTAGCGTCAGGGGACTAGTCATTGGGGCTGGCACCAGTAGGCGGGCCTGGCATCAGTGGATGGGGGCTCACGGCTCTGGGTGTGAGAGGAGGTGGGTGAGATCTTCTTCCATGCCCTGTCATGAGTGAGACAGGTGGAACTAGACAAGGTGAACTGGGCAGAGTGAGATGGGCGGGGCTCTTACCAGGCCCTGAAGGACCCTCTCCGTGGTGTTGAACTTCCTGGAGCCAGGGTGCTGCATGTTCTCCTCATACCGCAGGTTGGTGATGGTGAAGTTGAGAGTGAATAGCACCAGGAGAGGGCTGGCAGCTGTCGTGGAGGTGGGAAAGAAACAACATGTTCAAAAGTGGAGAACTTTATATATTTCCAAAAGGCCTACTTCTAAACATATGCAACAGGATTTAAAGAGAGAATAATATAAAAAGTTTCCATGCGTCCCTTGACTATAACAACAGAAGTTTCTAACAAAGCCTACTAAATAATAGTAGTAGTTAGCATACCTCTTGGTGCATATTCAGAGTTCTATAATACTAAATATTATCTGTTACCTTTATTATTACCATTGTCATCATCAATGTCACCAACACTGTGACCCTCACTATTATTGTCATCACCACCAGCATCAGCACCACCCACATCAGCACCAAAATCATGACCAACAGTGTGGTAGCATCCCCACTACCATCATCATCATCATCACCACCACCACAATCATCATCATTTGCATCATGATCACCAGCACCATGATTACCAACACCATTGTCGTATCATCATTATTCTCATCACCACAACCACCATCACAACCATCATCATTATAATCATCATTATCTTCATTGTAACCATCACAATCACTATTGTCAATCACTACCACAACCGCCACCATCCTTACCACCATCATTCTTCCCATAATCACCCCCACAACTGTCCTGATCATCATCACATGATTACCATCATAACCACCACCACTACCATCATCATCATTATTCTCATTGTCAACATCGTCATTACTATTGTCAATCACTACCAAGACTACCACCATCACCAACACCACTATCATCCTTCCCATAATCACCACCACCATTGTAATCATCATCACAGCATCACCATCATAACCCCTGCCACCACCATCATCATCATCACCACCACCATCTTCATAATTATCATCCTTATCACCATCATCATCACTAGCATCACCATTCTTATTGTCATCATCTCCAGTAACTTCACCACCACCAACTCCCATCACCCTCACAATAAAATAAGCTTTCTTGCAGCAGATATTTTTAACTGTTTTGTGTCCCCTTCCTTATCCCTAGAGCCCTGCAGAAACTAGGCACTCAATTAAGTTTGCTGGATGACTCCTCATCCGTAGATTCACTAGGATTTTTTATCTTTATTTAAGTGAAAATGGCAGAGATGTTGACAGTCATCAGGCATGCTCTAACAGAGATGCGATTGATTTGTACTTACCCGAGGGACCAGGTTTAGAAACTGGAGTCCCAGATGTTCCCAGGTCCACTGTGGGGGTCCCAGGAACTGAGGAGAAGGCCTCATTAGTGAAAGTGTTGAACCCTCTCATGGCAGAAATGCCAGCAGGTAGGAGTATTTATGGACCTTGCTGCATGTGGGGCTTGAGCTGGGTCTCTCTCTGAAGAGACTTGGGCCAGAAGGGAAAGGGAGTAACTTGTGCTGTCCCAGCTCCTTTGCTCATAGAGGACATAGGGGCATGTGAGGAGGGGTCAGTTCTTGCCCTGCATGATGTAGGATCAGGAGCACTGGAAATCAGTGGATACTCACTGCTAGTGGTGGGCACAGAGCTCCGCTGTGTGAAACCTGCATAGAGAGGGAGGGAAGAGGGTGGGTAAGGGTTAAGGGAGTGGTGGGGAACTATATAGGGGTCAGGGTACCCTGGTGCAATGGAAGGAATTTCCCAGAACACGAACCATTGAAGATTCTCTATCAGCACCCTCAGATCCAGAAAGCAGATCCTGAGGATGAACTCAGTCCAAGATGAAATAGAAACCATGAAGTTCCAACCTCAGCCATCACATACAGACAACATGGATGAGCATTCAATAGCCAGGCAGGGAGCGTGACCTCAAGGCAGAGAGTAGAGGCTGCCCAGCAAGGAGGAAGAGACTCCAACCACATCACAACTACTCACCATTGACATAGAGACTGTCCCTGTCCAGGGTGTAGGGGCCCAGCTCAGTGATGCTGTGGGTCAGCTGGCTCAGCTCCCAGTATAGCTGCTCTCTGTCCAGTCCAGGGCTTTTGGGATCAGGGCGGTAGGTGCAGATGGCATCCACTTTGGTGGCTGCCCCATCCTTCTTGGGCCTGGGGAGGGCAAGATTGGGGAAAGACAATACACGGATTGCCTAGGGAGGGGTTCTGAGATCCCACAGGGCAGGACAGGAGGGGGCCAGAGGAAATGAGAAGCCTGGTAGAGAAGTGAGAAGCCATACTTCCATTCTCTGAGTGCACTGACTCTTAGCAACTATGAGCAGAATCATGGATGCAAGGATTTTTATAAAATTGCAAAGTGGAAACTGCATTCTTGTAGCATGGGGTAAGGAGAACTCATACTTGAGACAGGTGAAGAGCTAGGTTTGGGGATGAAAGCAAGTGGACGAGGCATGTTTTTCTTGGGAGAAATCCTGGGAACAGAATTGAACCACTTGTGGAAAGGCAGGTAGGGGAAAGGAGGGAATTCAGAGGGATGACCAAGGTAGAAGCTCAGTCCTGCTGATGGGCTCTGCATCTCTCAGTTGAGGTGGGAGGTGGTGGGAACAGGAAGCACATTGGTCTTAGAGCCACTGCCTCCTGGATTCCACCTGGCTGCGGACATCTCCAGGGAGTGCAGAAGGGAAGCAGGTCAAACTGCTCAGATCAGTCAGACTGGCTGTTCTCAGTTCTCACCTGAGCAAGGTCAGTCTGCAGCCAGAGTACAGAGGGCCAACACTGGTGTTCTTGAACACAGGCCTGAGCTGTGGAGGAGGGAGAGGGAGGTGAGTGGGAGGACTGAAGTCATAGGGGTGTGGTAGAAGGGAGGTGGGCAGGGCTGGCAACAGTTGGTGGGGCTGGCATCAGTGGTTGGGGTATGCATATCTGGGGGCAAGATGAGGTAGATGAGATCTTCCATGCTCTGCAATAGGTGAGGTGGGCAGGACTAAACATGGTGAGTGGGGTAGAATGAGGTATGTGGGGCTCTTACCAGACCCTGAAGGACTCTCTCCGTGGTGTTAAACTTTCTAGAGCCAGGGTGATGCATGTTCTCCTCATACCGCAGGTTAGTGATGGTGAAGTTAATTGTGAATAGCACCAGGAGAGGGCTGGCGGCTATAGTGAAGATGGGAAATAAACAGTGTTCAAAAGTAGACTAACACTTAAGAATTTGTGATAGAATTGTTTCTAAACATATGCAACATGATTTAAAGTGACAAAATAAAAGGTTTTCACGCCTCCCTTCACTGTAATGGTACATAGTTCTCATAGAGCATACTAAATAATAGTAGTTAGATGCTAAGCACAGCTCTTGGTGCATATTCAGTATTCCATACTACTAGACATTATCTACTACCTTTGCCAACACCACGATCATCATCAACATCAGCAACACTGTGACCATCGCTATCATTATTGTCATCACCACCAGCATCAGCACCAAAACCATGACCATCATAATCCCTATGATCCCCACCCATCATCATCATTACACCACCAGCACCACAACCATCATCATCCATATAATCACCACTAGCACATGGTCACTAACACCATTATCATATCATTCTTACTATCATAACCACCATCACCACCAACATCATTATCATCATCACCACCATCATTATCCTCATTGTCAACATCATGATCACATTGTCAATTGCCATCAGAACCATCACATCACCACCACCACTATCATCCTTCCCATAATCATCACCACCACTATCATCATCATCACCATCAAAACCACTACCACCATCATCATCATCATCACCATCATCAGCAACACCATCATTGTTGTCATCATGTCCATCATCCCTATCATTATCATCATCATCACAACAATATAACCTTCCTGAGGATAGAGATTTTTATTTCTTTTGTGTTCCCTGCCTTATCCCTAGGGCCCCGAAGAAGCCAGACGCTCAACAAAATTTGTCGGTTGACTTGTCATCACTAGATTCACTAGGACTTTTCATTTTTATTTGAGTGAAAATGGTGGAGTTGTAGGCCAGGTGCGGTGGCTCACGCCTGTAATCCCAGCACTTTGGGGGGCCAAGGCAGACAGATCACGAGGTCAGGAGTTCGAGATCAGTTTGACCAATATGGTGAAGCTCCACCTCTACTAAAAATATAAAAATTAGCTGGGCATGGTGGCATGCACCTGTAATCCCAGCTACTCAGGAGGTGGAGGCAGGAGAATCGCTTGAACCTAGGAGGCAGAGGTTGCAGTGGGCTGAGATCACGCCATTGCATTCTAGCCTGGGTGACAGAGCAAGACTATGTCTCAAAAAAGAAAAAAAAGAAAGAAAAGAAAATGGCAGAGATGTTGACACTCCTCAGGCATGCTGTAATAGAGATGACACTGAATAGTACTCACTCATGGGTCCAGACAGGGAGGCTGGAGTTCTCGAGGTTGCCAGGTGCATTGTGGAGGTATCAGGAGCTGAGGAGAAGGTTTGCTGTATTAGTGAAAGCAGCAAACCCTCTCATGGCAGAAACACCAGCAGGTAGGAGTATTTATGGCCCTTGCTGCATGTGGGGCAGTATCTCCATCTGGAGCTGGGCCAGAGGGAAAGGGGAATAACTTGTGCTCTCTCTTCCTTCCCTCATGAAGAGGATATAGGGGCATAGAAGGAGAGGTAAGCTCCTGCCCTTTATGATGTAGGATCAGGAGCACTGGAACATCAGTTAATACTCACTTCTGGTGGTCGTCATAGAGCTCTGATGGGTGAAACCTGCATTGAGATGGAGGGACGAGAGTGGGTAAGTGTTAAGGGAGTGGTGGGGTACCCTGGTGCAACAGAAGGAATTTCCCAGAACACGGGCCATTGAAGATTCTCTATCAGCACCCTCAGATTTAGAAAGCAGATCCTGAGGGTAAATTCAGTTTGAGATGAAGAAGAAACCACGAAGTTTTGACCTTAGCCACCACATACAGACAACATGGTTGAGCCTTCAATAGCCAGACGGGAAGTGTGACCTCAGGCCAGAGAATAGAGGCTGTCCAGCAAGGAGGAAGAGACTCCAACCACATCAAAGTTGCTCACCATTGACATAGAGACTGTGCCTGTCCAGGGTGTAGGGGCCCAGCTCAGTGATGCCGTGGGTCAGCTGGCTCAGCTTCCAGTACAGCCGCTCTCTGTCCAGTCCAGGGCTTTTGGGGTCAGGACGATGGGTGCAGACAGCATCCACTCTGGTGGCTGCCCCATCCTTCTCAGGCCTAGGGAGGGCAGATGAAGCAAATAACAATTTAAAAATTGCCTCAGGAGGAGTTCTGAGATTTCCTGGGGCCAGACAGGAAGGGGCCAGAGGAAATGAGAAGCCTGGGAAAGAGGTAATAAGTCACATTTAGATTCTCTGAGTGTCCCGGCTGCCAGCCAGCCCAGGACTGTGAACAGAGTCATAGATGCAAGAACTTTTTATAAAATTGCAAAGTAAAGCCTGCATTCTCATGGCATGGAGACAAGAGTACTCAGACATGAGACAGATGAAGAGCTGGAATTGGGGATGAAAGCAAGTGGATGAGGCATGCTTGTCTTGTGAGAAATCCTGGGGACAGAATTTAACAACTGGAGGAAAGGGAGGTGGGTGGAAAGGAGGGAATTCAGAGGGATGACCAAGGTAGAAGCACAATTCTCCTCATGGACTCTGCAGAATCTCGCAGTTGATTGGGGTGGTGCTGATGGTATCAGGAGACAGATTAGTTTTGAAGCCAATGCTTCCCGAATTCCATCTGTTGTGAGGACATTCACAGGGATGGCAGGAAAAAAAAAAACAATCCAAACTCTTTGCGACTAGGAACAATTGGGGCAGCTAGGCTAGCTCTTCTAAAGTCTCACCTGAGCAAGGTCAGTCTGCAACCAGAGTACAGAGAGCTGACACTGGTGTTCTTGAACAAGGGCATAAGCTGTGGAAGAGGGAGAGGGAGGTGACTAGGAGGGCTGGGGATATAGTGGTGGGGCACAAGTGTGGCGAGTGCAGCTGGCACCAGTGGGCAGGGCTTGTGTCTCTAGGGGAGATGGATGAGATTTTCTTCCATGGCCCTGGCATGGGTGATGTTGTTGGGACCAGGTAACGTGGGAGGGGCAGAGTAAGTTGGACAGGGGTCTCACCAGACCCTGAAGGACCCTCTCCGTGGTGTTGAACTTCCTGGAGCCAGGGCGACGCATGTCCTCCTCATACTGCAGGTTAGTGATGGTAAAATTGAGGGTGAATGGCAGCAGGACAGGGCCAGTGGCTGTAGTAAAAGGTGTGGAAACAAACACTATTGTGTTTGTTTGTATTTTTAATCTGTTGCATATAGTTAAAAATAAGTCTATTGCAAACTCCTCAAGTTTCTCGACTTTTGCAATAGACTTGAAGAGTTTGCAATAAGTTTATTTTTAATCATATGCAACAGAATTTAAAATGAATGACAAAATTAAAGGTTTCCATGCCCTTCTTGATAGAAATTATTTTTTTAAAAAGCATATTACATAATATTTGTTAGATTCTGAGCCCAGCTTTTGGTGCATATTCAGTGCTGAAAAATATCAGATATTACCTGTTACCTTTGTCATCACCATTATCATCATCATCATCATCATCATCACCATTATTGTCAGCATCAGCACCAAGACCATCACCACAACGATAATCCCCATCAATACTACCACAAACATCATTATCACCATAGTCATATCATCATTACCATCATAATCATCATCACTGTCATTATCTGAATAATCATCATCACGATCATTGTCATCATAATCACTATCGCCATCACTATTGTCATCCTCACCATCACGAATGTCACAATCCACATCAACACCACCACAAACATCATCATCATCACCATAATCACATCATCATTAGCATCATAACCAGCAACATTACTGTCATCATCCAAACAACCATCATCATCTTTACCATCATTGTCACCATTGTTATCATCACCACTCCAACATCATCACCACAATCAACACAACCGTCATCATCATCATTATTATTATCATTATTGTCAAAATCCCCATAATTATTGTCAATTGTAATCCCCACCACCACCATCATTCTTCCCATGATTACCACCAGCATAATCATCATTATCCTTACCATCACCACCACCACCACCACCACTGCAATCATCATCACCGCCACCCCCATCATCATCATCATCACAATAATATAAGCTCACTGAGGGCAGTGTTTTTTCTTTTTTTGTTCCCTGATGTATATCCAGGTCCTGATACAGAGGCAGTGCTCAATGAACTGGGTTGGTTGACCTATGGTTACTACATTTACTATGAATTTCCATCTTTAGTTGAGTGAATAATGACAGAGATGTTTACACTCATCAACCATGCTCTAACAGAGTATAAACAGAGATGTTTACACTCATCAACCATGCTCCAAATACCATTGACTGGTATTTACCTGTGGGGCCAGGGAGGGATGATGGAGTCTCAGAGGTTTCCGGCTGTACTGTGAAAGTCCCAGGAGCTGAGGAGAAGCCCTCAACAGTGAAAGGAGCAAGTGCTCTCATGGAAGTAATGCCAGCAGGAGGGACTATTCATGGGGATTTTTGCCTGTGGGGCTTCAGCTGGGATTCTGATTAGCTGGGGCAGTGGGGAAGGGGAATAATTTGTGTCCTCTATGTTCCTTCCCTTATGGAAAGGACATAAGGGCTTATGAATAGGGGTCAGCTCCTGCTAAGTTTGTTGTAAGATTGGGGCCATGGGAACATCAGTAGAATACTCACTGCTGGTGGTGGGCACAGAGCTCCGCTGGGTGAAACCTGCATAGAGAGGGAGGGAGGAGTGTGGATAAGAGTCAAGGGGGAGGTAGGGGGTCAAAAAAAAGTCAGGGCTACCCTGGTGGAATGAAAGGAGTTTCATGGAACAGGGGCCTTTGGAGATTCTCTGTCAGAATCTGAGTATCAGGGAAGAAGCTACTAAGGATGAAATCAGTTCAAGATAAAGAAGAAATCATGAAATTCTGACATCAATCACCACATACAGACGTGTCCTAGCCTTCAGTGTCCAAGCAGGGCATGTGACCTCAAGTAAGAGAGTAGAGGCTGCCCAGGCAGGAGAAAGAGACTCTAATCACATCAGAGCTGCTTACCATTGACATAGAGACTGTCCCTATCCAGGGTGTAGGGTCCCAGCTCAGTGATGCTGTGGGTCAGCTGGCTCAGCTCCCAGTATAGCTGCTGTCTGTCTAGCCCAGGGATTTTGGGGTCAGGGCGGTGGGTGCAGATGGCGTCCACTCTGGTGGCTACTCCATCCTTCTCAGGCCTGGGGAGAGGTGGTGAGGGGAATGGCAATAAATGAATTGCCTAAGGAGAGGTCTTGAGATGGCAGAGTGTAGGACAAGAAGGACAGAGGAAGTAAAAAGTCTAATACAGAGGTGGGAAGCAATACTTAGATTCCCTGAGTGTACTGGACTGCTTGGGACTGTGAGCATAGTTGTGGATATAACAGTTTTCCCAAAATGGCAGGGTGGATCCTGCATTCTTAAAGCATGGAAACAGGAGAGCTCAGACTTGAGATAGCTGAAGAGCTGGAATTGGGGATGAAAACAAGTGGTTGAGGCATGTTTGTCTTGAGAGAAATCCTGGTTACAGAGTTTAACACCTAAAGTCAAGGGAGGTGGGGGGAAAACAGGGAATTCTGAGGAATGGCCAGGGCAGAAGTCCAGTCCTGTTGATGGACTCTGGAATCTCTCAGTCAGTTTGGAAGTGGGGGCGGGGGCACTGCTAATACCAGGAGACAGGTTAGTCCTGGAGCCAGTTTCCTGGATTCCATCTTTGATAAGAATAATCACAAAGAGGACAGGAAAAAAGAAGTCCAAACTCATTGAGACTAGGAATAATCGGGGCAGCCACACTGGAAATTCTAAGGTCTCACCTGAGCAAGGTCAGTCTGCAGCCAGAATACAGAGGGCCAACACTGGTGCTCTTGAACAAGGGCTTGAGCTGTTGGGGAGGGAGAGGGAGGTGAGTGGCAGGGCTGAAGAAGTAGAGGCACGGCAGAAGTGAGGTGGGTGGGGCTGGCTGTAGTTGGTGGAGCTGACATCAGTAGGTTGTATGGGGCTTTTATCTCTTGGGGTGAGGGGAGGTGGGTGAGATCTTCCATGGCCATATAGGTGACATAGGTGGGACTAGGTAAGGTGGATAGGGCAGAGTGAGATAGGTGGGGCTCTTACCAGACCCTGCAGAACACTCTCCGTGATGTTGAACTTCCTGGAGCCAGGGTGACCCATGTTCTCCTCATACTGTAGGTTAGTGATGGTGAAGTTGAGTGTGAATGGCACCAGGAGAGGGCCGGTGGCTATAGTGAAGGTGGGAAATAAACACTATGTTCAAAAGTAGAGAAAATTTAAGAGTTTGCAATAGACTTATTTCTAAACATATGCAACAGGATTTAAAGTGAGTGATAAAACATAATGTTTTCATGCCTCCTTTGACTATTATGATAGCTGTTCTTGAGAGAGCACATTAAATAGTAGTTAGAGGCTGAGCATAGGTCTTGGTGCATATTCAGTGTTCCATAGTGCCAGATACTATCTAGTGCCGTTGTTAACACCACCTTCATTTTCAACATCACCATGATTGTCTCCATGAGTATTATTATCATCACCACCATCAGCACCAACCCCAACACCACCACCACCATCATCATTATCACCATTAACACCACAACCATCATCATCCCAATCATCACCTCCATCACCATTATCATCATCACCATCATCACTGTCAATATCACCATGATTGCCACCATCAGTAGTATTATTGTCATCATCACCACCACCATCATCATCATCATCATCACATAAACAGAAGCTCACTGAGGGCAGAGATGTTTTTACTGGTTTTATTTTCCTTGCTGTATCCCTAGGGTCTGGTACACTGTAGGTGGCCAATTAATTTTTTTGGTTCACTCACTATCACTAGACTTATTATGATTTTCTATCTTTATTTGAATGAAAATGGCACAGACGTTTACATCAGGCATGCTCTAACAGAGATGCCATTGACTGGTACTTACTTGTGGGGCTGGGGACGGGGGATGGAGTCCCTGAGGTTCCAAGGTCAACTGTGGAAGTCCAAGGAGCTGAGAAAAAGTCCTCATCAGTGAAAGCAGGAAGCACTCTCATGACAGAAATGGCAAGAGGGGAGACTATGGGGTCCGCTGCCTGTGTGGCTAGAGATGGGTCAGTCTTTGGAGCTGGGGCAGAGCAGAGCTTGAGTAACTGCTGCCCTCTTATCTCCTTTGCTGAAGAAGAGGACCTATGGGTTTATGAGGAGGAGTAGCTCCTGTTCCGCTTGGTGTAGAATCAGGGGCATGTGGACATGAGTTGAATACTCACTGCTGGTGGTGAGCCCAGAGCTCCGATGGGTGAAACCTGCATAGGGAAGGAGGCAGGAGAGTGCGTAAGGGTTAAGGAGACATTGGCAACCAAATAGGGGTCAAGGCTACCCTGGTGCAAAGGAATGAATTTCATGGTACGGGGCATTTGAAGATTTCCTATCAGCATCCTCATATCAGCAAAGAATGCCCTGAGGGAACACAATCTACGGTGATAAAGAAACTATGAAGTCCAGAACTTAGTCATCCCATGTAAAACAAGTGACAGAATTTTCAATTGCCAGGCAGGAAGTGTGACCTCTAGTTAGAGATTAGCTGCTGCTCAGCAAGGAGGAAGAGACTTCAACCACATCACAGCCACTCACCATTGACGTAGAGACTGTTCCGGTCCAGGGTGTAGGGGCCCAGCTCTTTGATGCCATTGGTCATCTGGCTCAGCTGCCAGTACAGCTGCTCCCTGTCCAGTCCAGGGCTTTGAGGGTTAAGGTGGTGGGTGCAGATGGCATCCACTCCAGTGGCTGCCCCATCCTTCTCAGACCTGGGGAAGGTAGGTGGGGAGAATGACAATGAAAAGATTACCTAGGATGGGTCTTGAGATTGCTGAGAGAAGGACGGCAAGGAACCAGAGGATATGAGAAACCTGGGAAAGAGGTGAGAAGCCACACTTAGATTCTCTGAGTGCGCAGACTACTGGCTTGTTAGAGACTGTGAGCAGAGTCATGAATACAACAGTTTTGATAAAAGTGCAAGGTGAGGCTGGGTATGGTGTCTCACGCCTGTAATCCCAGCACTTTGGGAGGCCGAGGCAGGTGGATCACCTGAGGTCAGGAGTTCAAGACCAGCCTGACCAACATGGAGAAACCCTGTCTCTACTAAAAATACAAAATTAGCCGGGTGTGGTGGCCCATGCCTGTAATCCCGGCTACTCGGGAGGCTGAGGCAGGAGAATCGCTTGAACCTGGGAGGCAGAGGTTGCAGTGAGCCGAGATTGTGCGATTGCACTCCAGCCTGGGCAACAAGAGTGAAACTCTGTCTCAAAAAAAAAAAAAAGTGCAAAGTGAATTCTGCATTCTCATGGCATGGGGACAGGAGAGCCCAGACTTGAGGCCAGTGAAGAGCTGGAAATGAGGATGAAAGCACGTGGCTGAGGCATGATTGTCTTGAGAGAAATCCTGGGGACAGAATTTAACACCTAAATGAAAGGGAGGGGCAGGGAAAGGAGGGAATTCAGAGTGATGACCAGGGTAGGGGCTCAATTCTGATGATGGACAATGCAGATTCTCTCTGTTGAGGTGGAGTGTGGGGGTGTTACTATCAGGAGACACACTGGTCCTGAAGCCAGTGACTGCTGAAACCCACCTTTGGTGAGGATATCTCTAGGAAGTGCAGCAAGGAAGCAGTGCAAAGCCTTTTGGAGTGAGAATAATTGGGACAGCTAGGCTGGCTATTCTAGCCTCACCTGAGAGAGATCAGTCTGCAGCCAGAGTACAGAGGGCCGACACTGGAGTTCTTGAACAAGGGACCAAGCTGTGGAAAAGGGACAGAGAGATGAGTAGGAGGGCTAAGGTCCCTGTGTGTGGGTGCAGAAATAAGGTGAGTGAGGCAGGGCCTAGTGGGTGAGGCTAGCTTCAGTGGGCGTGGCTGGCCTCAGTGGGTGAGTCTTGCATCTCTGGGGGCAAGGACGAAGTGGGTACATTCTTCTCCCATTACCCTGGCTTGGATGTTGTAGGAGGGACTGAGTATCTTGGTCAGGGCAGAGTGAGGAGGGCAGGGCACTAACCAGACCCTGCAGGACCCTCTCTGTGGTGTTGAACTTCCTGGAGCCAGGGTGACGCATGTCCTCCCCATACTGCAGATTGGTGATGGTAAAGTTGAGGGTGAACGGCACCAGGAGAGGAACAGCTGCTGTAGTGGGAGGGGGAAATAAACACTATGTTCAAAGGAGAGAAAATAGGAGTTTGCAATATAGTTATCTTTAAATATAGGCAGTATTTAATTGACTGACAAAATAAATATTTACCATGCATCCCTTGCCTTCAATGACAGAATTTATTTTTTAAAGGATATTATATAAAATAGTAGTTAGATGCTGAGCATAGCTCTTGGTTCATATTCAGTGCTCAATATTCTCTGATGTTACCTGTTATCTTTATTATTGCCATCATCATCATTGCTATCATTGTCACAATCACAATCTTTATTATCACCACCATCATAATAATCCCCACCATGACCACCACAAGCATCATCATCACCACACTCAACACATCACTATTATCATCATAACCCCATGACCATCTCTGGCATCATCCTCACCACCATCACCAGTTATTGTCATCAACATCACCAGTTTCATCATCATCATCATAAATAGCACCACCACCACCACCATCATCATCACTAACATCATAACCGTCACTGACATCATCTTCATATCCATCATCATCATGGTCGGCAACATCAACACCATTATCATCAACAGCATCACTATCATCATCATCATCATCATCATCAACAGCACCACCACCATCATCAACAGCATTACCATCATGATCATTACCATGATCATGATCATCATCATCATCAACAACTAGCACCACCACCACTATCATCATCACATGAATAAAAAAGCTCACTGAGGGCAGAGACATTTTTATTGGTTTTGTTTTCCTTGCTGTATCCCTTGGGTCTGGTACACAGTAGGTGGCCAACAAATATTTTTGGTTCACTCACTATTACCAGATTTACTATAATTTTACATCTTTATTTGAGTGAAAATGGCAGAGATGTTCACACTCATCAGGCATGCTGTAATAGAGATGTCATTGACTGGTACTTACTTGTGGGGCTGGGGAGGGAGGATGGAGTCCCTGAGGTCCCAAGGTCCACTGTGGAGGTCCCAGGAGCTGAGGAAAAGTCCTCATCAGTGAAAGCAGAAGCACTCTCATGGCAGAAATGGCCAAACAGGGGACTATTATGAGGTCTGCTGCATGTGGGCATGAGCTGGGCCTGTCTTTGGAGCTGGGGTGGAAGGGAGCTTCAATAACTTCAGCCTTCCCAGCTCCTTTGCTCATGAGGAGGACTTATGGGTTTATGAGGAGGGGCAGCTTCTGCTGTGCTTGGTGTAGGATCAGGGGCATGTGGACTTGAGTTGAATACTCACTGCTGGTGGGGGCCACAGAGCTCCGATGGGTGAAACCTGCATAGAGAAGGAGGGAGAAAATTGTGTAAGGATTAAGGAGATGTGGGGGATGCAATAGGGGTCATGGCTATCCTGGTGCCATGGGACAGGGACCATTAAAAGTTTCCTATCGGCATCCTCACAACAGAGAAGAATGCCCTGAGGGAATGCAGTTCACGATGACGAAGAAACCATGAAGTCCAGAACTTAGTCATCCCATGTAGAGCACATAACAGAATTTTCAATGGCCAGGCAGAGAGTATGCCCCCAAGCCAGAGATTAGAGTCTGCTCAGCAGGGAGGAAGAGACTCCAACCACATCACATCTGTTCACCATTGACATAGAGACTGTTCCTGTCCAGGGTGTAGGGGCCCAGCTCTTTGATGCCATGGGTCAGCTGGCTCAGCTCCCAGTACAGCTGCTCTCTGTTGAGTCCAGGGCTTTTGGGGTCAAGACGGTGGCTGCAGATGGCATCCATTCCAGTGGCTGCCCCATTCTTCTCAGGCCTGGGGAAGGAAGGTGGGAGGAATGCAATCAAAAGATTAACTAGGAAGGGTTTTGAGATTGCTGAGGGAAGGACTGCAAGGAACCAGAGGAAATGAGAAGTCTGGGAAAGAGGTGAGAAATCACACTTAGATTCTCTGAATGCACCGACTACTGGCTTGCTTTGAACTGCAAGCAGGGTAATGAATACAAGAATTTTTATGAAAGTGCAAAGTGGCTTGGCACAGTGCCTCATGTCTGTAATCCCAGCACTTTGGGAGGCCAAGGCGGGCAGATCACTTGAGGTCAGGAGTTCAAGACTAGCCTGGTCAACATGGTGAAACCCAGTCTCTACAAAAAATACAAAAATTTGCTGAGTATAGTGGTGGGTGCCTGTAATCCCAGCTACTTGGGAGGCTGAGGCAGGAGAATCACTTGAACATGGAAGGCGGAGGTTGCACTGAGCTGAGACCAGCCTGGTGTGCAGTAAGACTATGTTTCAACAATGAAATAATAAAATAAAATAAAATAAAATAAAATAAAATAAAATAAAATAAAATAAAATAAAATAAAATAAAATAAAAAAGTGCAAGTTAAAACCTGCATTCTCATGGCATGGGGACAGAGACACCAGACGTGAGACCAATGAAGAGCTGGAAATGGGCATGAAAGCCTGTGGATGAGGCACGATCATCTTGAGAGAAATCCTGGGGACAGAATTTAAGACCTAAAGGAAAGGGAGGTGCAGGGACAGGAGGGAATTCAGAGGGATGATCAGGGTAGAGGCTCAATCCTGATGATGGGCCATTCAGATTCTCCCTGTTGAGGTGGGGTTTGGGGGTGTTACTATCAGAAAACACATTGGTCATGAAGCCAGTGACTCCTGAATTCCACCTTTGGTGAGGATATCCCTAGGAAGTGCAGCAAGGAAGCAGTGCAAAGTCGATTGGAGTGAGAACAAGTGGGGCAGCCAAGCTTGATCTTCTAAGGTCTCACCTGAGCAAGGTCAGTCTGCAGCCAGAGTACAGAAGGCCGACACTGGTGTTCTTGAACATGGGACCAAGCTGTGGAGGAGGGAGAAGGAGATGAGTAGGAGGGCTAAGTTGCGTGTGTGGGTGTGTAGGGCAGAAGTCAGGTGGGCAGAACAGGCATCAGTGAGTGGGGCTGGTTTCAATGGGCATGGCTTGCATCTCTTGGGGCAAGGGTGAGGTGGGTATGATCTTGTTCCATCACCTGGCATGGATGATGTAGGAGGTACTGACTCTCTGGGGTGGGGCGGAGTGAGGAGGGTGGAGCACTAACCAGACCCTGCAGGACCCGCTCCGTGGTGTTGAACTTCCTGGAGCCTGGGTGATGCATGTCCTCCTCGTACTGCAGGTTGGTGATGGTGAAGTTGAGGGTGAATGGCACCAGGAGAGGGCCAGCAGCTGTAGTGGAGGTGGGAAACAAACACTATGTCCAAAGTAGAGAAAATAGGAGTTTGCAATAGACTTATCTTTAAACATATGCAGAATTTAAATTGAGTGACAAAATATTTACCATGCTTCCCTTGCCTAAAACAATACAATTTATTTTTACAAAAATATATTATATAATAGTATTTAGATGCTGAGCACTCCTCGTGGTGCATATTCAGAGCTCAATATTGTCTGATGTTATGTACTATCTTTATTGCCATCATCATCCTTGCTATCATTGTCACCATCACCATCATTATTATGACCATCACTGCCATAGTAATGCCCATCACGACCACCACGAACATTATCATCACCACATTCAACACATCATCATCATCATAACCCCACACCATCACTGGCATTATCCTCATCACCATCATTGTCATTGTCATCAACATAACCACGACCAACATCAATATCATCGGTACCACGGTCAGCATCCTAAACAGCATCACCACAGTCATCATCATCATCACACTTAACACATCATCATTATCATCATAATCTTCACGACCATCACGGACAATATCCTCAAGTCCATCACCATCATCATCAGTAATATCACCACCGCCATCATCAACAGCATCACCATCATCAACAGCATCACCATCATCAACAGCATCACCATCATCAACAGCATCCCACTCAACATGTCATTATTACTATCATAACCACCATCACTATCATCGTCACATGAACACAAGCTCACTGAGGGCAGAGATGTTTTTATTGGTTTTATTTTCCTTGCTGTATCCCTAGGGTCTGGTACAATGTAGGTGGCCAATACATTTTTTTGGTTCACTCAGTATCACTAGATTTACTATGATTTTCCATCTTCATTTGAGTGAAAACGGCACAGATGTTCATATTCATCAGGCATGATCTAATAGACATGTCATTGACTGGTACTTACATGTAGGGCTGGGGAGGGAGGATGGAGTCCCTGAGGTCCCAAGGTCCACTGTGGAGGTCCCAGGAGCTGAAAAGAGTCCTCATCAGTGAAAGCAGAAAGCACTCTCATGGCAGAAATGGAAAGAGGGTAGACTATTATAAGGTCTGCTGCATGTGGGCTTGAGCTAGGACTGTCTTTGGAGTAGGGGCAGAGGGGAGCTTGAGTAACTTCTGCCTTCCTAGCTCCTTTGCTCAAGAGGAGTTCTTATGGGCTTAAGAGGAGGGGCCAGCTCCTGCTCCACTTAATATAGGATCAGGGGCATGTGGACATGAGTTGAATACTCACTGCTGGTGTTGGGCGCAGAGGTCTGATGGGTGAAACCTGCGTAGAGAAGGAGGGAGGAGACTGGGTAAGGGTTAAGGAGATGTGGGAGATGCAATAGGGTTCAGGGCTACCCTGGTGCAATTAAATGAGTTTCATGGGATGGGGCCATTAAGATTTCCTATCAGCATTCTCCCAAAAGGGAAGAGTGCCCCAAGGGAATGCAGTTCATGATGATGAAGAAACCATGAAGTCCAGAACTTAGTCACCCCATGTAGAGCACATGACAAAATTTTCAATGGCCAGGCAGGGAGTGTGCCCCCAAGCCAGAGATTAGAGGCTGCCCAGCAAGGAGGAAGAGATTCCTACCATATTGCAGCTCCTCACCATTGACATAGAGACTGTTTCTGTCCAGGGTGTAGGGACCCAGCTCTTTGATGCCATTGGTCAGCTGGCTCAGCTCCCAGTATAGCTGCTCCCTGTCCACTCCAGGGCTTTTGGGGTCAAGACGGTGGGTGCAGATGGCATCCACTCCAGTGGCTGCTCCATCCTTCTCGGACCTGAGGAAGGTAGGAGGGGGAATGACAATGAAAAGATTGCCTAGGACTTGTCTTGAGATTGCTGAGGGAAACATATCAAGGAACCAGAGGAAATGAGAAATCTGGGAAAGAGGTGAGAATCTGCACTTAGATTATCTGAGTACATAGACCACTATCTTGGTTGGGACTGCAAGCAGAGTCATGGATATAATAATTTTTATAAAAGTGCAAGGTGAAACCTGCATTCTCATGGCATGGGGACAGGAGAACCCAGACTTCAGACTAGTGAAGAGCTTGAAAGGGGGATGGATGTATGTGGATGAGGTATGATTGTCTTAAGAGCAGTCCTGGGGACAGAATTTAACACTAAATGAAAGGGAGGGGCAGGCAAAGGAGGGAATACAGAGGAGTGATCAGGGTAGTGCCTCAATCCTGATGATGGATCACGAAAATTCTGCCTGTTGAGGTGGGGAATGGTGGTGTTACTATCAGGAAACAACTGGTTCTCAAGCCAGTGACTCCTGAATTCCCTTTTTGGTGATGATATCCCTAGGAAGTGCAGCAAGGAGACAGTGCAAAGTCTTTTAAAGTGAGAACAATTGTGGCAGCCAAGCTGGCTCTTCTAAAGTCTCACCTGAGCAAGGTCAGTCTGCAGCCAGAGTACAGAGGGCCAACACTGGTGTTCTTGAACATGGGACCAAGCTGTGGAGGAGGGAGAGAGAGGTGAGTAGGAGGGCTAAGGAGTGTGTGTGTTAGGGGCAGATGTGAGGTGGGAGGAGTAGGCACCAATGAGCAGGGCTGGTCTCTGTGGGCGGGACTTCCATCTCTCAGGGGCAGGGGTGAGGTTGGTGCTATCTTCTTTCATCACCTTGGCATCTATGATGTAGAAGGGACTGGATATCTGGGGCTGGCAGAGTGAGGAGGGAAGGGCACTAACCAGACTCTGCAGGACTCTCTCTGTGGTGTTGAACTTCCTGGAGCCAGGGCAATGCATGTCCTCCTCGTACTTCAGGTTGGTGATGGTGAAGTTGAGGGTGAACGGCACCAGGAGAGGGCCAGCAGCTGTAGTGGGAATTGAAAATAAACACTATGTTCAAAGTAGAGAAAATAGGGGTTTGGAATAGACTTATCTTTAAACATATACAAAATTTAAATTGAGAGAAAAATATTTATGTCTCCCTTGCCTATAATAATACAATTTATTTTTATAAAAATATATTATATAATAGTAGTTAGATGCTGAGCATAGCTAGTTGTGCATATTCAGTGCTCAATATTGTCTGATGTTATCTGTTATCTTTATTATGGCCATAATCATTGTTGCTATCATTGTCACCATCACCATCATTATTATCATCATCACCATGATAATCCCCATCATGATCACCACAAACATAATCATCACCACACTCAACACATCATCATTATCATAATAACCACATGACCATCACTGGCATCATCCTCATCACCATTATTGTTATTGTCATCAACGTCACCACTACCATCATCAACACCATCAGTACCATGGTCACCATCATCAACAGCACCACCACCATCATCATCATCATCACACTCAACACATCATTACCATCATAACCTTCACAACCATCACTGACAACATCCTCATGTCCGTCATCATCATTGTCAGTAACATCACCACCACCATCATCAACAGCAACACCATAATCATAAATTATCATCAAACTGAATATGTCATTATTACTATTACCACCACCACCACCATCATATCATCACATGAACACAAGCTCACTGAGGGCAGAGATGTTTTTATTGGTTCTATTTTCCTTGCTATATCCCTAGGGTCTGGTACACTGTAGGTGGCCAATACATTTTTTTTGGTTCACTCAGTATCACTAGATTTATTATGATTTTCCATTTTCATTTGACTGAAAATGGCACAGATGTTTGCATTCATCAGGCATGATCTAATACAGATACCATTGGCTGGTACTTACTTGTGGGGCTGGGGAGGGAGGATGGAGTCCCTGACCCAAGGTCCACTGTGGAGGTCCCAGGAGCTGAAAAAAGTCCTCATCAGTGAAAGCAGAAAGCACTCTCATGGCAGAAATGGCAAGAAGATAGACTATTATGAGGTCTGCTGCATGTGGGCTTGAGCTGGGTCTGTCTTTGGAGCTGGGGCAGAGGGGAGCTTGAGTAACTTCTGCCTTCCCAGCTCATTTGCTCAAGAGGAGGACTTATGGGTTAAAGAGGAGGGGCCAGCTCTTGCTCCACTTGATGTAGGATCAGGGGCATCTGGACATGAGTTGAATACTCACTGCTGCTGGTGGGCACAGGGATCCAATGGGTGAAACCTGCATAGAGAAGGAGGGAGGAGACTGGGTAAGGGTTAAGGAGATGTGGGGGACGCGATAGAGTTCAGGACTACCCTGGTGCAATTAAATGAGTTTCATGGGACAGGGGTCATTAAAGATTTCCTATCAGCATCCTCACAACAGGGAAGAGTGCCCAGAGGGAATGCCTCTCATGATAACAAAGAAACCATGAAGTCCAGAACTTAGTCATCCCATGTAGAGCACGTGACAGAATTTTCAATGGCCAGGCAGGGAGTGTGCCCCCAAGCCAGAGATTAGAGGTTGCACAGCCAGGAGGAAGAGACCCCTACCATATCACAGCTGCTCACCATTGACATAGAGACTGTTCCTGTCCAGGGTGTAGGGGCCCAGCTCTTTGATGCCATTGGTCAGCTGGCTCAGCTCCCAGTATAGCTGCTCCCTGTCCACTCCAGGGCTTTTGGGGTCAAGACGGTGGGTGCAGATGGCATCCACTCCAGTGGCTGCTCCATCCTTCTCGGACCTGAGGAAGGTAGGAGGGGGAATGACAATGAAAAGATTGCCTAGGACTTGTCTTGAGATTGCTGAGGGAAACATATCAAGGAACCAGAGGAAATGAGAAATCTGGGAAAGAGGTGAGAATCTGCACTTAGATTATCTGAGTACATAGACCACTATCTTGGTTGGGACTGCAAGCAGAGTCATGGATATAATAATTTTTATAAAAGTGCAAGGTGAAACCTGCATTCTCATGGCATGGGAACAGGAGAACCCAGACTTCAGACTAGTGATGAGCTTGAAAGGCGGATGCATGTATGTGGATGAGGCATGGTTATCTTGAGAGAAATCCTGGGGACAGAATTTAACACCTAAATGAAAGGGAGGGGCAGGGAAAGGAGGGAATTCAGATGGGTAATCAGGGTAGTGTCTCAATCCTGATGATGAACCATGAAGATTTTGCATGTTGAGTTGGGGCATGGGGGTGTTACTATCAGGAAACAACTGGTTCTCAAGCCAATGACTCCTGAATTCCCCTTTTGGTGAAGATATACCTAGGAAGTGCAGCAAGGAAGCAGTGCAAAGTCTTTTAGAGTGGGAACAAGTTGGGCACCCAGGCTGGCTCTTCTAAAGTCTCACCTGAGCAAGGTCAGTCTGCAGCCAGAGTACAGAAGGCCAACACTGGTGTTCTTGAACATAGGACCAAGCTGTAGAGGAGGGAGAGGGAGGTGAGTAGTGGGGCTAAGGTGTGTGTGTGTCGGGGCAGATGTGAGGTGGGTGGAGCAGGCACCAATAAGCAGGACTGGTCTCTGTGGGTGGGGCTTGCATCTCTTGGGGGGAAGGGGGGAAGTTGTTGCTATCTTCTTTCATCACCCTGGCATGGATGATGTAGAAGGGACTGGATATCTGGGGCTGGGCAGAGTGAGGAGGGAAGGGCACTAACCAGAGTCTGCAGGACCCTCTCAGTGGTGTTGAACTTCCTGGAGCCAGGGCGATGCATGTCCTCCTCATACTTCAGGTTGGTGATGGTGAAGTTGAGGGTGAACAGCACCAGGAGAGGGCCAGCAGCTGTAGTGGGAATTGAAAATAAACACTATGTTCAAAGTCAAGAAATAGGGGTTTAGAATAGACTTATCTTTAAACATGTGCAAAATTTAAATTGAGAAACAAAATATTTACCATGTCTCCCTTGCCTATAATAATACAATTTATTTTTATGAAAGTATGTTATATAATAGTAGTTAGATGCTGAGCATAGCTAATCATGCATATTCAGTGCTCAATATTGTCTGATGTTATCTGTTATATTTATGATGACTGGCCATCATGATTGTTGCTATCACTTTCACCATCATAAACAGCAACATCATCATCATCATCACACTCCACACACCATCATTACCATCATAACCTTCACAGCCATCACTGACAACATCCTTATGTCCATCATCATCATTGCCAGTAACATCACCACCATCATCATCAACAGCATCACCATCATCATCAATCATCATCACACTCAACATGTCATTATTACTATCATAACCACCACCACCATCATCACATGAACACAAGCTCACTGAGGGCAGAGGTGCTTTTATTAGTTTTCTTTTCCTTGTATCTCTAAGGTCTGGTACACTGTAAGTGGCCAATAAATTTTTTTGGTTCACTCAGTATCACTAGATTTACTATGATTTTCTATTTTCATTTGAGTGAAAATGGCACAGATGTTCACACTCATCAGGCATAATCTAAGGGAGATGCCATTGACTAGTACTTACTTGCGGGGCTTGGGAGGGAGAATGGAGTCCCTGAGGTTCCAAGGTCCACTGTGGAGGTCCCAGGAGCTGAGAAAAAGTGCTCATCAGTGAAAGCAGAAAATAATCTCATGGCAGAAATGGCAAGAAGGTAGACTATTATGAGGTCTGCTGCATATGGGCATGAGCTGGGCCTGTCTTTGGAGCTAGGGTGGAAGGGAGCTTCAATAACTTCTGCCTTCCCAGCTCCTTTGCTCAAGAGGAGGACTTATGGGTTTAAGAGGAGGGGCCAGCTCCTGCTCCACTTAATGTAGGATCAGGGGCATGTGGACATGAGTTGAATACTCACTGCTGCTGGTGGGCACAGAGGTCCGATGGGTGAAACCTGCATAGAGAAGGAGGGAGGAGACTTGGTAAGCGTTAAGGAGATATGAGGGACACAATAAGGGTCATGGCAATCCCAATGCAATTAAATGAGTTTCATGGGACAATGAGTTTCATGGGACTGGGGCCATTAAAGAATTCCTATCAGTATCCTCACAACAGGGAAGAGTGCCCTGAGGGAACACAGTTCACGACAATGAAGAAACTGTGAAGTCCAGAACTTTGTCATCCCATCTACACCACATGACAGAATATTCAATGGCCAGGCAGGGAGTGTGACTTCAAGCCACAGATTAGATTCTTTCCAGACTCTAGAAGGAAAAGACTCCAACCACATCACAGCTGCTCACCATTGACATAGAGACTGTTCCTGTCCAGGGTGTAGGGGCCCAGCTCTTTGATGCCATTGGTCAGTTGGCTCAGCTCCCAGTACAGCCGCTCTCTGTTGAGTCCAGGGCTTTTGGGGTCAAGATGATGGATGCAGATGGCATCCACTCCAGTGGCTGCTCCATCCTTCTCAGACCTGGGGAAGGTAGGTGGGGAGAATGACTATGAAAAGATTACTTAGGTTGTGTCCTGAGACTGCTGATGGAAAGACAGTAAAGAACCAGAGGAAATGAGAAACCTGGGAAAGAGGTGAGAAGCTACACTTAGATTCTCTGAGTGCATGGACTACTGGCTTGCTTGGGACTGTGCACAGAGTCACAGATACAACCATGCTTATAAAAGTGCAAGGTGAAACCTGCATTCTCATAGCATGGGGACAGGAGAGCCCAGACTTGAGACCAGTGAAGAGCTAGAAACAGGGATGAAAGCACTTGGATGAGGCATGATTGTCTTGAGAGAAATTCTGGGGACAGAATTTAACACCTAAATGAAAGGGAGGGGCAGGGAATTCCGAGGGATGATCAGGATAGAGGCTCAATCCTGATGATGGACCATGCAGATTCTCCCTGTTGAGGTGAGGTGTGGGAGTGTTACTATCAGGAAACACATTGGTCCAGAAGCCAGTGACTCCTGAATTCCCCTTTGGGTGAGGATATCCCTAGGAGGTGCAGCAAGGAAGCAGAGCAAAATCTACTGGAGTGGGAACAACTGGGGCAGCCAGGCTGGATCTTCTAAGGTCTCACCTGAGAGAGGTCAGTCTGCAGCCAGAGTACAGAGGGCCAACACTGGTGTTCTTGAATATGGGACCAAGCTGTGGAGGAGCGAGAGGAAAGTGAGTAGGAGGGCTAAGGTGCATGTGTGTGGGGCAGAAGTCAGGTGGGTGGAGCAGGCACCAGTGGGCATGGCTGGCCTCAGTGAGCAGGGCTTGCATCTTTTGTGGGCAAGGGTGAGATGGATACAATCTTCTTCCATAGCCCTGGCATAGATGATGTATCTGGGATGGGGCAGGAGTAAAGTGGGTGGGGCTCTCACCAGACCCTGCAGGACCCTCTCTGTGGTGTTGAACTTCCTGGAGCCAGGGTGACCCATGTCCTCCCCATACTGCAGGTTGGTGATGGTGAAGTTGAGGGTGAATGGTACCAGGAGAGGGCCAGCAGCCATAACTGGAATGGGAAATAAACACTATGTTCAAAGCAGAGAAAATAGGAGTTTGCAATAGACTTATCTTTCAATATATGCAGAATTTAAATTGAGTGACAAAATATTTTCCATGCCTCCCTTGCCTATAATAATATAATTTATTTTTGTAAAAGTATATTATATAATAGTAGATGCTGAGCATAGCTGTTGGTGAATATTTATTGCTCAATACTGTCTGACATTTTCTGTTAACTTTATTATCATCATCATCACCATCACCATCATTGTCACGTCACCATCATTATTATCATCATCACCACCATGATAATCCCCATCATGACCACCACAAACATCATCACTCTCAACACATCATCATTACCATCATAACCCCACCACCATCACTTGAATCATCCTTATCACCATCATCATCATTGTCATCGACATCACCACCACCATCAACATCAACATCAACACTATCATTATCATGATCATTATAAACAGCAACACTACCACCATCATCATCACCATCACACTCAATACGACATCATTACCATCACAACCTCCACCACCATCACCTGCATCATCCTCATCACCATCATCATTGTCATCATCACCACCACCATCATCAAGATCACCACTATCATCATTATAAACAGCAACACTATCACTATTATCATCACACTCAATACATCATAATTACCATCATAACCTCCTCTAACATCACCAGCATCATCCTCATCACCATCACCATCATCATCAACATCACTACTGCCATCATCAACAGTATGACCATCATCATCATCATCATCATAAACAATGTCACCACCACCATCATCATCATCCCACTCAACACATCATCATTACCATTGTAACTACCACCACCATCATCATCATCACAAGAATACAAGCTCACTGAGGGCACAGATTTTTTTTAAATTGATTTTCTTTTTCTTACTGTATTCCTGGGGTCTGGTACACAGTAGGTGGCCAAAACAAATTTGTCACAAGCATTCTTATACACCAATAATAGACAAACACAGAGCCAAATCATAAGTGAACTCCCATTCATAATTGCTTCAAAGAGAATAAAATACCTAGGAATGCAACTTACAAGGGACGTGAAGGACCTCTTCAAGGAGAACTACAAACCACTGCTCAATGAAATAAAAGAGGATACAAACAAATGGAAAAACATTCCATGCTCATGGGTAGGAAGAATCAATATCGGGAAAATGGCCATACTGCCCAGGGTAATTTATAGATTCAATGCCATCCCCATCAAGATACCGATGACTTTCTTCACAAAATTGGAAAAAACTACTTTAAAGTTCACATGGAACCAAAAAAGAGCCCGCATCGCCAAGTCAATCCTAAGCCAAAAGAACAAAGCTGGAGGCATCATGCTACCTGACTTCAAACTATACTACAAGGCTACAGCAACCAAAACAGCATGGTACTGGTACCAAAACAGAGATATAGATCAATGGAACAGAACAGAGCCCTCAGAAATAACGCCACATATCTACAACTATCTGATCTTTGACAAATCTGAGCAATGGGGAAAGGATTCCCTATTTAATAAATGGTGCTGGGAAAACTGGCTAGCCATATGTAGAAAGCTGAAACTGGATCCCTTCCTTACACCTTATACAAAAATTAATTCAAGATGGATTAAAGACTTAAACGTTAGACCTAAAACCATAAAAACCCTAGAAGAAAACCTAGGCATTACCATTTAGGACATAGGCATGAGCAAGGACTTCATGTCTAAAACACCAAAAACAATGGCAACAAAAGCCAAAATTGACAAATGGGATCTAATTAAACTAAAGAGCTTCTGCACAGCAAAAGAAACTACCATTGGAGTGAACAGGCAACCTATAAAATGGGAGAAAATTTTCACAACCTACTCATCTGACAAAGGGCTAATATCCAGAATCTACAATGAACTCAAACACATTTACAAGGAAAAAGCAAACAACCCCAACAAAAAGTGGGAGAAGGACATGAACAGACACTTCTCAAAAGAAGACATTTATGCAGCCAAAAAACACATGAAAAAATGCTCACCATCACTGGCTATCAGAGAAATGCAAATCAAAACCACAATGAGATACCATCTCACACCAGTTAGAATGGCAATCATTAAAAAGTCAGGAAACAACAGGTGCTGGAGAGGATGTGGAGAAATAGGAACACTTTTACACTGTTGGTGGGACTGTAAACTAGTTCAACCATTGTGGAAGTCAGTGTGGCGATTCCTCAGGGATCTAGAACTAGAAATACCATTTGACCCAGCCATCCCATTACTGGGTATATACCCAAAGGATTATAAATCATGCCGCTATAAAGACACATGCACACGTATGTTTATTGTGGCACTATTCACAATAGCAAAGACTTGGAACCAACCCAAATGTCCAACAATGATAGACTGGATTAAGAAAATGTGGCACATACACACCATGGAATACTATGCAGCCATAAAAAATGATGAGTTCATGTCTCTGTAGGGACATGGATGAAATTGGAAATCATCATTCTCAGTAAACTATCGCAAGGACAAAAAACCAAATACCGCATGTTCTCACTCATAGGTGGGAATTGAACAATGAGAACATGTGGACACAGGAAGGGGAACATCACACTCTGGGGACTGTTGCAGGGTGGGGGGAGGGGGGAGGGATAGCATTAGGACATATACTTAATGCTAAATGACGAGCAAATGGGTGCAGCACACCAGCATGGCACATGTATACATGTGTAACTAAACTGCACATTGTGCACATGTACCCTAAAACTTAAAGTATAATAAAAAAAGTGAAAAGGATGAGAAAAAACAAACAAACAAATTTGTCCACTCAGTATCACTAGATTTACTATGATTTTCCATCTTTATTTGAGTGAAAATGACAGAGATGTTTACACTAATCAGGTATGCTCTCATAGAGATGTCATTGACTGATACTTACTTGTGGGGCTGGAGAGGGAGGATGGAGTCCCTGAGGTTCTGAGATCCACTGTGGAGGTCCCAGGAGCTGAGGAAAAGTTCTCATCAGTGAAAGCATAAAGCACTCTCTTGGCAGAAATGGCAAGAGGGGAGACTATTTATGGGGTTTGTTGCATGTGTAGCTTGAGCTGGGTCGGTCTCTTGAGCTGGGCAGAGGGACACTTAAATAACTTCTGCCCTCCTAAATCCTTTGCTTATGAAGAGGACTTAATGGGTTTATGAGGAGGGGCCAGCTCCTGCTCCTCTTGGTGTAGGAACCGAGGCATGTGGATATGAGTTGAATACTCACTGCTGGTGGTGGACACAGAGCTCTGATGGGTGAAACCTGCATAGAGAAGGAGGGAGGAGAGTGGGTAAGAGACAAGGAGAGGTGGGGGACCAAATGGAGGTCAATGCTACCCTGGTGCAATGAACCGAGTTTCATGGTACAGGGACAATTGAAGATTTTCTATCAGCATCCTCACATCAGGAAAGAATGCCCTGAGGGAACACAGTCCATGATGGTAAGGAAACCATGAAGTCCAGACCTTAGTCATCCCATGTAGAGCACATGACAGAATTTTCAAAGGCCAGGCAGGGAGTGTGATCTCTAGTTAGAGATTAGAGGCTGCCCAGCAAGGGGGAAGAGATTTCAACCACATCACAGCCACTCACCATTGACATAGAGACTGTTCCTGTCCAGGGTGTAGGGGCCCAGCTCTTCAATGTCATTGGTCAGTTTGCTTAGCTCCCAGTACAGCTGCTCCCTGTTGAGTCCAGGGCTTTTGGGGTCAAGGCGGTGGGTGCAGATGGCATCCACTCCAGTGGCTGCCCCATCTTTCTCGGGCCTGGGGAGGGTCAGTGGGAAAAATCACAATGAAAAGTTTATCTAGGAAGGGTCTTGCGATTGCTGAGGGAAGGACAGCAAGGACCAGAGAAATGAGAAACCTGGGAAAGAGGTGAGAAGCCACATCGACTCTTAGTGCATGGACTATTGGCTTGCTGAGGACTGTGAGTGGAGTCACGGATACAGTGACAAGATGAAACTGACACTTTCATGGACGGGACGGGGAGCCGGACTTGAGCCCAGTGAAGAGCTCGAAATGAGGATGAAATCACGTGGATAAGGCATGATTGTCCTGAAAGAAATCCTGGGGACAGAATTTAACATGTAAAGGAAAGGGAGGCACAGGGAATGGAGGGAATTCAGAGGGATGATAAAGGGAGAGGCTCAATCCTGATGATGGGCCATGCAGATTCTCTCTGTTGAGGTGGAGTGTAGGGGTGTTACTGTCAGGAAACACACTGATCCTGAAGCCTGTGACTCCTGAATTCCACCTTTGGTGAGGATATCCCTAGGAAGTGCAGCAAGGAAGCAGTGCAAAGTCTTTTGGAGTGAGTACAAGTGGGGCAGCCAGGCTGGAAATTCTAAGTTCTCACCTGAGCAAGGTCAATCTGCAGCCAGAGTACAGAGGGCCAACACTGGTGTTCTTGAACAAGGGCTTGAGCTGTGGAGGAGGGAGAGGGCAGTGAGTAGGAGGGCTAAGTTTTATGTAAGAGCCAGGCAGAAGTGAGGTGGGCAGGGCTGGCCTTGGTGGGGGAGGCTTGCATCTCTCTCTTTTTTTCTTTTTTTTGTGAGATGGAGTTTCGCTTTTTTGCCTAGGCTGGAGTAAAGTGGCATGATCTTGACTCACTGCAACCTCTGCCTCCTTGATTCAAGTGATTCTCTTGCCTCACCCTCCCAAGTAGCTGGGATTACAGGCATGCACCACCATGCTTGGCTAATTTTTGTATTTTAGTAGGGATGAGGTTTCACTATGTTGGCCAGGCTGGTCACAAACTCCTGACCTCAGGTGATCCACCCGCCTTGGCCTCCCAAATGCTGGTATTACAGGCGTGAGCCACCGCTCCTGGCTGAGGCTTGCATCTCTTGGGGCAAAAGTGAGTTGGGTTTGATATTCTTCCATTGCCCTGGCATGGATGATGTAAGAGGGACTGGGTATCATGAGCAGGGCAGAGTGTGGAGGGCAGGACACTAACCAGACCCTGCAGGACACTCTCCATGGTGTTGAACTTCCTGGAGCCAGTGCGACGCATGTCCTCCTCGTACTGCAGGTTGGTGATGGTGAAGTTGAGGGTGAACGGCATCAGGAGAGGGCCAGCAGCTATAGTGGGAGTGTGAAATAAACATTATGTTCAAAGTAGAGAGAATAGCACTTTGTAATAACCATATGCAGCAATTAAATTGAGTGACATAATAAATATTTTCCACGCCTTTCTTATCTATGATACAATTCATTTTCTAAAGTAGATTATATAATAGTAGTTAGATACTGAGCATAGCTCTTGGTACATATTTAGTGCTCAATATTGTAAGGTGATATCTGTTATCTTTATTATCACCATCACCATCATCACTATCATTGTCATCATTATTATCATTATTGTCATCACAAGTACCACCAGCACCACCATGACAATCCCCATCATGAACCACAAATATCATCATCACCATCATCACATTCAACATATCATTACCATCATAACCCCACCACCATCACCGACATCATCCTCATCACCATCATTGTCACTGTCGTTGATATCACCATTACCATCATCAATGTCACTAGCATAATAATCATCATCATCATCAACACCACCACCATCATCGTCACACTCAACATATCATTATTACCATAATAACCCCCACCACCATCACCAGCATCATTTTCTTCAACATCATCATCATCATCATTGTCATCAACATCACTATCACCATCAACAGTATCACCAGCATCATCATCATCATCATCATCATCATCGTCATCAACAGCACCACCACCAACATCATCATCATGACAAGAATACAAGCTCACTGAGAGCAGAAATTTTGTATTGGTTTTGTTTTCCCTCCTGTATCTCTAGGATCTGGTACACACTAGGTGGCCAACAAATTTCGTTGGTCCACTCACTATCAGTAGATTTGCTATGATTTTCCATCTTCATCTGAGTAAAAATGACAGAGATAGCATGCTCTAATAGAGATGCCATTGACTGGTACTTACTCGTGGGGCTGGGGCTGGAGGATGGAGTCCCTGAGGTTCCCACATCCACTGTGGAGGTCCCAGGAGCTGAGGAGAAGTCCTCATTAGTGAGAGCAGAAAGCATTACCATGGCAGAAATGCCAAGAGGTGAGACTTTTATAGGGTTTGCTGCATGTGGGCTTGAGCTGAGTCTGTCTTTGAAACTGGGGCAGAGGGGAGCTTGAATAACTTCTGCCTTCCCAGCTACTTTGCTCAAGAGGAGGACTTATGGGTTTATGAGGAGGGGCAGCTCCTGCTTTGCTTGGTGTAGGATCATGGGCATGTGGACATGAGTTGAATACTCACTGCTGGTGGTGGGCATAGAGCTTCGATGGGTGAAACCTGCACAGAGAAGGAGGGAGGAGTGTGGGTAAGTTACAAGGAGATGTGGGGGACCAAATAGGGGTCAGGGCTACCCTGGTGCAATGGAAGCAGTTTCATGCAGCAGGGACCATTAAAGATTTCCTATCAGTGCCCTCACATCAGGGAAGAATGCCCTGATGGAATTCATTCCATGATGATGAAGAAACCATGAAGTCCTGGCCAGGTGTGGTGGCTCAAGCCTGTAATCCCAGTACTTTGGGAGGCCAAGGCAAGGTGGAGTAGAAGGTCAAGAGATTGAGACCATCCTGACCAACATGGTGAAACCCTGTCTCTACTAAAAATACAAAAATTAGCTGGGTGTGGTGGCATGCACCTGTAGTCCCAGCTACTCAGGAGGCTGAGGCAGGAGAATTGCTTGAATCCGGGAGGCGGAGGTTGCAGTGAGCTGAGATCATGCCACTGCACCTCAGCCTGGTGACAGAGCGAGACTCCATCTCAAAAAAAAAAAAAAAAAAAAAAAGATACCATGAAGTCCGGAAATTAGTCATCCCATGTAGAGCACAGGACCAAATTTTCAATTGCCTGACAGTGAGTGTGACCTCAAGCCAGTGATTACAGGCTGCTCAGCAAGGAGGAAGAGCCTCCAACCACATCACAGCTGCTCACCATTGACATAGAGACTGTTCCGGTCCAGGGTGTAGGGGCCCAGCTCCTGGATGCCATTTGTCAGATTGCTCAGCTCCCAGTACAGTCGCTCTCTGTCCAGTCCGAGGTCTTCAGGGTCAGGGCGATGTGTGCAGATGGCATCCACTGCCGTGGCTGAGCTATCCTTCTCTGGCCTGGGTAAGAACCTACATATGCTTAGTCCATCCACCTCTCCATCCTTTTGTCCTTCCTTTCCACTCTTTGTCAACCCCTAATGCAGACTCTGAGAAAATTGTGGTTAACAAGAATGTGGCTCTCAGGCTAGGCATGGTGGCTCATGCCTGTAATCCCAACACTTTGGGAGGCCAAGGCAGGTGGATCATGAGGTCAAGAGATTGAGACCATCCTGGCTAACATGGTGAAACCCCGTCTCAACTAAAAATACAAAAATTAGCTGGGCATGGTGGTACGTGCCTGCAGTCCCAGCTACTTGGGAGGCTGAGGCAGGAGAATTGCTTGAACCTAGGAGCCAAAGGTTACAGTGAGCCGAGATCGCGCCACTGCACTCCAGTCTGGGCAACAGAGTGAGACTCTATCTCAAAAAAAAAAAAAAAAAAAAAAAAGAATGTGGTTCTCATCAGAGAGATGCCCACCATAAACAAATTACTAGGATTATTAGTGGAAGCAGAAAGCATTACCATGGCAGAAATGCCAAGAGGTGACACTTTTATAGGGTTTGCTGCATGTAGGCTTGAGCTGTCTGTCTTTGGAACCGGGGCAGAGGGGAGCTTGAATAACTTCTGGCCTTCCCAGCTGCTTTGCTCAAGAGGAGGGCTTATGGGTTTATGAGGAGGGGCAGCTCCTGCTTTGCTTGGTGTAGGATCCTAGGATAATAATGCCAGGGATCTGCATGGCCCCGAATAAGCCTCCTGAAGTACTAGGTGTGCGACAGCTATACTTAGGGTTAATCTGTAATCCATGGCAGTGGCCCTTGTACTGGTGCACGTAGCAGTGGCCCTCCTACTGGTGCCCATGGCATGGCGTTTTCAAATGGTGGGATCAGAAGGTTCAAGTCATCCTCTCTAGATCCTATGGACCAGCAGGGCTAGGAGATTTGTTATGAGACTCAAGGGAGCTAAATGGCTTGGGGAAAATGCCCTTTTTGGCTGGTCCGTCTGAAACTGTGGCTGGTCCAACATGCAGTCAGAAGGTCTTCATGTCTCAGCACCTGTTCCCGGCCACAGGATGTGGACTCACCTACCTAGCCACCCACTATTGAGTGATTAGAGGGAAACGGGCTCTTTCCCTATGTCCCAGGGTTGTGAGTAGCTCTATAGTAGGAACGACTTTATAGTAACAACTACCATTTATTAAATACTTCCTATGCAGCAGGCCCAGCATTTTGTATTCATAATCACATATTTTCATCCTCAAACATCCCTATGGGTTGGTACTGCTCAATTCCCCAAGTCAGTACTATACTAATTATATTATGTATAACACAATTGTATATAACATAAAATATATAAAATGTAGATCTGTAAATATAAACTTAATATAGAAATATATGATATCGTTTTGCATTTTATACATTACTATATTATATAGTATATACAATATATATTATTATACCTCTACCTAACATATATTAAACTGGTTTATATATAACTATTTTATATAATTATATAACTCTATAACTATTATATAACTATTTTTTATATAACTACCATATACCTCTACTTAACATATATTAAACTGGTTTATATATAACTATTGTATATAACTATATAACTATTTTTATATAACTACCATGTACATTTAGATGCTTCTTGACTCATGATGGTATTATGTCCTGATAAACACAGGTTTTTTATTTTATTTTTTTGTTTTTGCTTTCTTTTGTTTTTGGAGATGGAGTCTCACTCTGTTGCCCAGGCTGGAGTTCAATGGTGTGATCTTGGCTCACTGCAACCTCTGCCTCCCAGGTTCAATCCATTCTCCTGCCTCAGCCTCCCGAGTAGCTGGGACTACAGGTACCCACCACCACATCCAGCTAATTTTTGTATTTTTAGTAGAGATGGGTTTTCTCCATGTTTGCCAAGCTGATCGTGAACTACTGACCTCAGGTGATAAACCTGCCTCAGCTTCCCAAACTGCTGGGATTACAGGCATGAGCCATGCACCCAGCCTGTTTTTTGTTTTTTGGAGACAAGAGTCTTGCTCTGTCATCCAGGCTGGAGTGCGGTGGTGTGATCTTGACTCACTGTAACTTCCATCTCCTAAGTTCAAGTGATTCTCACGCTTCAGTCTCCCGAGTAGCTGGAACTACAGTTGTCACACCACGCCTGGCTAATTTTTGTATTTTTAGTAGAGACAAGATTTTGCCATTTGGACAGCCTGGTCTCAAACTCCTGGCCTCAAGTGATCCACCTGCCTCAGCCTCCCAAAGTGCTGGGATGACAGGTGTGAGCCATCATGCCCAGCCCTGACAAATCCATTGTGAACTGAAAATGTCATAAGTCAAAAATGCCCTGTAGCCGGGCGTGATGGCTCACACCTGTAATCCCAGGATTTTGGGAGGCCAAGGTGGGAGGATTCCTTGAGCCCAGGAGTTCAAGGCCACCTGGGCAACATGGCAAGACCCTCCTCTCCACAAAAAAAAAAAAATTAAAAAAAAAATAGCCAGGTGTGGTGGCACACACCTGTAGTCCCAGCTACTCAGGAGGCTGAGGTAGGAGGATCACTTGAGCCCAGGAGTTCAAGGCTGCAGTGAGCTATGATCGCACCAGTGCATTCCAGTCTGGGTGACAGAGCAAGACTCTGTCTCAAAAATAAAAATAAAAATAAAAATCGACTATACCTAACCTACAGAACATGATAGGTTAGCCTATCCTACCTTAAACATGCTCTGAACCCTTACATTAGCCTACATGTGGGCAAAATCACCTAACACAAAGCCTATTTTATAATAAACTGTTGAATATCTCATATAATTTATTGAATATTGTACTGAAAGTGAATGACAGAATGGTTGCATGGGTGTTGAAGGTATGCTTTCTACTGAATGCATATTGCTATGGCATTATCACAAAGTTTGAAAAATCATAAGTTGAATCATTGTAATTCATGGACTGTTTATATATAGAATATATACTAGGTATATGTAGAAGTTGTATGTATCCACATGTATACTATATATAATATATATTTAAATATTACATGTATTTATACTTATATACTTTAATATATTATATATACACATTATATTATACATGATATACGTTATATGTAATATATATAATATGTCATATTATAACATATGTTATATGTTAATGTCAGATATGTTATATACATCACATACACATATATGTTATATACATTATATATAACATATAAGTTATACATATGTTATGTATGTATATATTACATTATATATAACAATACATAATGTATATGTTATATGTTGCATATAATACGTAACAAATACAATGTATGCATTATATATAACAATTATGTATAATATAATTATATATAATATATCATATATAACATACATTATATGTAACATAATGTATATTAAACTGATTTATAAAATATTATGTATATGTTACATATGACAGTATAAGTTATAACATATAATATTGTTATATTATAACATATATTATGTTATAACATATAATATTGTTATATCATATGTTATATGTTAATGTCAGATATGTTATGTACATCACACATACACATATATGTTATATACATTATGTATAACATAAAAGTTATACATATGTTATATATGTATATATTATATTATATATAACAATATATAATGTATGTTATATGTTGTATATAATATATAACAATTATATAATTATATATAACAACTATATATTATATATAATTATATATAACAGTTTTATATAATATATAATTATATATAATATATCATATATAACATATACATTATATGTAACATAATGTATGTGTTATATATAACTTGTACTATATATGCTATAACATATATAACATGTATACAATATAACAATATGTATAATATATACATTATATATAACATATGTTATATACGTATATAACATATGCATATAAAAATGTGTCTATAAACATGTTTATAAAATATGCCTCAATATGTATATAAAATATGTCTATATATAATATATGTATTTTATATATATAATATGTCAGGAAATAGGGCACAGAAGGCTTCAGGCACTTGCTCAGAGTCACAGATAGTAAATGGCAGAGCTGGGTTGGTTCAGAACTGAGGTCTGCCTGAGTTCACCAATGCTCTTAGCCACTAGGGCCCCCCTGTCCCCTCTTCCCCCTGGGAAGGAAAGGAAGCTGGAGGTAGATGACTGACACTCTCTCTTGGGAGAGCCACACTTGGAGATTCTGTGAGAGAGGTGTGGAAGGTGAGAATGCCAGGCAGGAAATGATATCAACCGCTGTCTACCCTAAAAGACCTGCCCTTTCCAGCACTCAGGGACAGTGCCCTCGGTGCCTCTCAGTCACCCTCAGACCGGCCAGGCCCTCTGTGGCTGCATCTGAGCCACTCAGGAGCTGACCTCCTGCCTGTAAGGGCTGAACGCCTTCCTTTCCTCCCCTCTTAGATTCTCTGGGCAAGTTCCCTTAGAGGGAAGTCAGATTGGGGTTTTCCACATGCTGCAAGTTCATAATGGGGGCAGAGGAGGAAGTGCCACCTAAGGGATAGGAGTTTGGATATAGAACCTGAAGTGCTGCAGTTGCTTTGTGTGTCCTGGCACAAGCCACTTAATCTGGGCCTCAGTTTCCCCTTCTGCTCCTGCTTCATGAGGCTGTTGCAAGCACTGATGAGGCATTAAATATAAAGTACATAATGCAGTGCCTTGGGTCTTAGGAATAGTTATCTGCTGCTGCTGGTGGTGATGCTTAGTATCCATGGGCAATAGTTGTTCCAAGTATGAACAGAGTCAGGGAGCCCAGAGACTAGGGTCATATTCACCTGTTGGGCTGTGTTTTTCTTAAGGAGCGTCTCACCTGAGTGAGGCTAGTCTGCAGCCTGAATAGAGGTATTCCAGACTGCTATTCCTGAACAAGGGTTTGAGCTGCAAGGAAGGAGAGGGGAGGTGAGAAACAACAGCTGCGGGAAGCCAGGAAGAGTGGGGCATTGGAGGGGTGGACCAGGGTGAGGTGGGCGTGGCTGAAATCAGTGGGCGGGGCAGGGAAAGGTGGGCGTGGCTGGCATCAGTAGGCTGGGTGGGGTGAGGTGGGCTTGGCTAAAATCAGTGGGTGGGGCAGGGAAAGGTGTCTGGGGTTGGATGAGGTGGGCGTGGCTGGCATCAGTGGGCGAGGCAGTGTGAGGTGGGCTGGTTTGTCTAAGTGGGCGAGGGAGGAGTACGGTGGGCGGGGCTCTCACCAGACCCTGCAGTTCTCTCTCTGTGGCGTTGAACTTCCTGGAACCAGGGTGCCGCATGTCCTCCTCGTACTGCAGGTTGGTGATGGTGAAGTTGAGGGTGAATGGCACCATGAATGGGACTGTGGCTGCTGCAAGGAAGGAGAAAAGAAGGCCACGCCTGAGTCAGATCTGAACTGACTGTAAGTCAATTTCTGAGGACCCAGACGGAGTGCTTGAAGCAAGAGTCTGAAGCAGACAGGTGGGTGCTTTAGTTTGGACGGATAATGGAAAGCCAGGTAAGGAGAAAAGTGGGATGTTCCTAAAATGCATTACCTGGGCCCAGAAGCAGGTTAGGGGACCAGAAGCAGGTTAGGGGACCAGGGTAGGTGTATTGGGTCAGAACGTGTGCCTACTGGAAGCTGAGGTCTCAGACTCTGCCAGGTGCCCATACCCGCCCTAACAAACTCTAGCTGAGAAGTTAAAAGGGAAAAGGACCGGAACAGTCTCATGCTTTGGGGAACAAGAAGGGAAAAAAGAGTCAACTCAATCCCATTGAACACTGAACAACAACAATAAAAATCAAACAGCAGTCCTTAAAGCAGACCTTCTCTCACCTGCTTTACTTGGCTACCCTTCCCCACTCAAGCCCAAAACTCCCAAAACTCCCAGAACTTGCCCTTCCTTTAATAAAGAGGAGACCACATGGTAGAGAGACATAGTTACCATGGTTACGGCCACACTAGTGAGTCAGATTTGGTTTCAAATCTCCTCTCTGCCCCTCACCAGCCAAGTGACCATGGACATGTTACCTGTCCATACCTCAGTTTCTTCCGCTGTAATACAATGGGCAATATGGGTCGGGCGCGGTGGCTCACACCTGTAATCCCAGCACTTTGGGAGGCCAAGGCGGGCAGATCACTTGAGGTCAGGAATTCGAGACCAGCCTGGCCAACACAATGAAACCCCGTCTCGACTAAAAATACAAAAATTAGCCAGGCGTGGTGGCATGCACTTGTAATCCTGGCTACTTGGGAGGCTGAGGCAGGGGAATCCCTTGAACCCGGGAGACGGAGGCTGCAGTGAGCTGAGATTATACCACTGCACTCCAGCCTGGGCAACAGAGCGAGACTCTGTCTCAAAAAAAAAAAAAAAAAAAAAAGGCGGCGAGGGGCATAATGATATTTTGGAGGGAAATTAGGAAGGTTACATGACTGTTAAAAAGAGCACATCTCCAGGGCATTACACTGAGTGGAAAAGAAGCCAATTTCAAAGGTGACATGTTGTACATTTCCATTTATATAACATCTTCAAAAGAAAATTGTAGAGACAGAGATGGAGATGGAGAGTAGAATAGCTATTCTATGCAATAGTGTTGGGCTCAGTGGGCATGATTACGAAGGCTAGCATGAGGGGAATCTTTGGGGGAATGGAACAGTTCTGAATCTTGATGGTGGTGGTGATTATAGGGCTATGCCCATGTGATAAAAATTGCATAGGGCTACCAACACACACGCACACACACATGCATGCACACACGTGCACAGACACACACACATGTGCATACATGCACACAGATGCACGCACGCACGCACGCATGCACACACACATGCACACATGCACACACGCATGCACACATGCACATATGCACACACAGGCGTGCATGCACACACATGCCTGCACACACACGCACATACACAAGCTCACATATGCACACACGCGTGTAAAACCAGTAAAATGGATTTTAACAATGTCAGTTTCCTGCTTTTGATATTGTATTAGAGTTATGTAAGATGTAGCCATTGGGGAGAAACTGGGTGAAGGATACAGGGGAATGCTACACTATTTTCGCAACATCTCCTGAATTTATTTATTATTTATTTCAAAATGAAAAGTTATTTATTATTTATTTATATTATTATTTACTTTATATTTATTATTTATTTCAAAATGAAAAGTTAAAAATAAAAAAAATACATAGCATATGGCATGCCATATAGTAAGTGCTCAATAACTTGGTTGTCTTTTATTGTCAATTGTAATTGCTTGTTCCATTTCAGTCTTGCCCAATACACTGTAAACTTGGTGAGGGGAGGGACTGCATTTGACTTAGTCAACATCTTATCCCCCCTGCCCAGCCCAGAATAGGTGCCTGATAAATATTTGTTAAACCAAATTCCCTGGTAGCCCCTGTGCTAGGTGTTCTTACGTAGAGTTGCATATAACATTTGCAAACAATTTATGAAATATTATTATCCTCAATTGGCAGGTGAGGAAACTGAGGTACTGAGAGGATGAGTAAATTGCTCAAAGTCAACATGGCTGGAGAATGAGGAGGACCCTTCTCCTGCTCTTGAGGAGTTCGGAGCAGAGCGAGGATTACCATGACTGCTCCAGGTTTCCTCACGCCATCCTTTACCAACATCTCCCAGTTATATATATAATGTGTATAACTATATATATAGAAATATATATATTTATATACAGAGAAACATACATATATAACTATATATAGTTACAGATATAGAAACTATATATATAACTATATATAGAGAGACACTATATATATATGTTTTATATATGTGGTTACTATATGGTAACTATATATATGGTTATATATAACTATATATATGGCTATATATAGTTATGGCTATATAAATAACTATATATAACATATATGTTATATGTATAACCATAAATATATTTTTATATAACATATAATATATGATATAACATCTATCTATCTAACCAAGTAGAAACTTTCGAACTGAAACATAAAGTAACTGAGATAAAAAGAATTCAATGGATGGGCAGAATGGAGCTGGTAGAGAAAAGGCTTGGTGATTGTGAAAATATTCTATAAAAATTATTAAACCTGGGCCGGGCGCAGTGGCTCACGCCTGTAATCCCAGCTCTTTAGGAGGCTGAGGCGGGCGGATCACGAGGTCAGGAGATTGAGACCATCCTGGCTAATACGGTGAAACCCCGTCTCTACTAAAAAATACAAAAAATTAGCCGGGCATGGTGGCGGGTGCCTGTAATCCCAGCTACTCCGGAGGCTGAGGCAGGAGAATGGCGTGAACCCAGGGGGCGGAGCTTGCGGTGAGCCGAGATCGCGCCACTGCACTCCAGCCTGGGCGACAGAGCGAGACTCCGTCTCAAAAAAAAAAAAAAAATTATTAAACCTGAAATTCGGAGAGGAAAAAAGATTGATAAATAACAAAATGAACAGAACCTCAGGGTCTCTTCGGGCAACATCATTTCATTGGAGGTCCGAAGGGGAGAAAGAATCAGAGCAGAAAATAAACACTTTGAGACTCAAGAAGCTGAGAACACTTTAAGCAGGATAAACTCAAAGAAAACCATGCCCAGACACATCGTAATCAAACTACTGAAAATCAATGATGAAGAACAAATTTTGAAAGCACCTAGAAAAAGTGACAGCATTGATCATGGAATGACTTGCTTTGTAATACATGTTACATACGTACAAGCCCAGAGGGGTTAGGCATGTCACATAAATGGTTGAATTGATTAGAGCAGAGCAGTGAGGAAGTGGAGAGTGAACATCCTGTCTACAGCATGTAAAAAGTTTGCAGTGTTGTGACTCACAAAACATAAGGCCTGAAGGCGGAATTTTAATTACGGGACACCAGGTTCTATCTCATAACTCCAGAATCACAAGGCAGGGTTAAGGGTTAGGAATGCCCGACCTCCGTCTTTTTTTTTTTTTTTTTGAGATGGAGCCTAGCTCCATTGCCCAGGCTGGAGTGCAGTGGCACAATCTCGACCACTGAGAAAATTTCTGGCTGAGGCAGGAAAATTGCATGAACCCGGGAGGTAGAGGTTGCAATGAGCCGAGATGGTGCCACTGCACTCCAGCCTGGGTGACAGAGCGAGACTCCATTTAAAATAATAATAATAATAATAATAATTTTAAAAAAATTAGAAAGTTGAGAAGATACCAACCATAGCTGGTCCCCAGGAATCGCTAGTGCAAAGCTCTCGAGGTTAGACAGAGGTTAGGGTGCTAGAAGACCACTCAAGGCAGGGTGGTCAAAATTTAGAGAGTGGGCCTGGCGTGGTGGCTCATGCCTATAATCCCAGCACTTTGGGAGGCCAAGGTGGGTAGATCACTTGAGGTCAGGAGTTCAAGACCAGCCTGGCCAACATGGTGAAACCCCGTCTCTACTAAAAATACAAAAAATTAGCCAGGCATGGTGGTGTGCACCTGTAATCCCAGCTACTCCGGAGGCTGAGGCAGGAGAATCACGTGAACCTGGGAGGCGAAGGTTGCAGTGAGCCGAGATCACACCATTCCACTCCAGCCTGGGTGACAGAGCAAGACTCCGTAAAAAAAAAAAAAAAAAAAAAAAAAAAAGAGAGAGAGAGAGAGTGAGAGGGCGAGTGGAACAGGCTGAGTCTGGGTGGTCAGCAGGGAACAGACCATGCAGTGTTAAATTTCATAGATGCCAGAGAGGAGCTTCCTACCTGTGGAGCTGGGGATGGAGGATGTGGAAATCCCTGGGGAGAATGTAGAAGTCACTGGAGCTGAGAAAAAAAGAACATGGAGAAATGATTGGGTGTCTTCCTAAAGGAATATGGGACAGGAACTGCTCATTGGAATTTGGACTTCTATCTTGACTCACACCAAGACCTTGACGGGTTAGGGGCTGCTCTGAGGCTGTGGCTGGGCACGTAGGGAGGGAGAATGATCAGTTTCTCTTCTGAGGAATGCACCTTGGGGAGGAAGGGTCCCAAGGGCATTGGAATATCACAGGTTTGAATACTCACTGCTGGTGGCAGGGGTCCAGTACCGACGGTTATAACCTGCAGATAGGGAGGAAAGAGTAAAGAAGGACAATTATGATGGGTGAGAGGTAGGGGAGGGGAAGATGGTAGATCCAGAAATGGAAATAATGGGAAACTTTCATGATGAGCCCATCTGGGCTATCCCTCAGCCAGCCAGAGGGAGGGGAGGGGCTTCCACCTTCGATGTGTGACTTCAGCTCGCAAGGGAACCTCCATCTCTCAGCCCAGAGTGGCCAAAGTTGAACAAGTCATGGACATTTCATTGAGAAGAGGTGGGGCCAAGATCTTTTGTGAATAAAGGATAATGGCTATATTTTATTTGGTACATATTTTGTGCTTTGTCCTTTGACAATAATGGTGGAAATCATCACTATTATTATTCCTGAAATAAAAATACCATAATAGCTGTCCCTATTTATTGGGAATCTAGTATATACAAACAATAATAATAAATACATTACAAGGGTGGAAAGACACATGTATGGATGAGTGTGCTTTCTACCCATAAAGATAATTTAGTTTGATTCTTACTCTCTCAGCTTACCTCCTTTCACAAAATTTCATGATAGTATAATTTTTTTCCAACTTACTTTCTCTGTGTGTGTGTGTGTGTGTGTGTGTGTGTGTGTGATGTAGAATTGACAAAAATGTGATGGGTGAAGGGAGTGGTGTTTTTAGGTAAAAGTACAGAGAAATGAGGGATAGAAACGGTTCATATGGGGCCGGGCTTGGTGGCTCACGCCTGTAATCCTAGCACTTTGGGAGACCGAGATGGGCAAATCACTTGAGGTCAGGAGTTCAAGACCAGCCTGGCCAACATGGCGAAACCCCGTCTCCACTAAGAACACAAAAATTAGCGTGGCGTGGCGGTGGGCGCCTGTAATCCCAGCTACTCAGGAGGCTGAGGCAAGAGAATCTCTTGAACCTGGGAGGCGGAGGTTGCAGTGAGCAAAGATCGTGCCATTGCACTCCAGCCTGTGCAACAGAGTGAGACCATGTCTCAAAAAGAAAAGAAAAGAAGAGAAAAAAGAAAGAAAGAAGGAAAGGAAGGAAAGAAAAGAAAGAAAGAAAGGTTTCATATGGTTTGGAATATTGGAGAAAATTTGGCAAAATAGGTGTGGTGGTAAAAACAAGAGACTTCAGGATGAGAGGGGTGGTGTTGCCATTGGAGCAAGAAAGGAACTGGGGAAAAGAGAATTTGTCCTGAGTGTTTCTCTAGGTCATGGATTGCATCTCCTTTGAGGCTCTGTGAGAGATACAAGGAAAGACAGAACCCAGGGCAGCCCTGTTATTTATCTGGGTTGTTCCTGAATTATCTCATTTGATTATCAGAACAATCCCACGTAGTATTTTTATTCCATTCCACAGAGGGGACACTAAAGTCTGGGGAGGTTACATGGCTTGTCCTGCATCCAACAAAACAGACATCTGTCTGTCATTCAATAGTACCACACTGTTAAGCCATGCCCTAAATTAGTCATAATCCTATGGACACAGAACAGGATGTGTACTTGATACTACAATGAAATACTTTCTGTGTATTATCTCCTATGTCAAGGATAGAGGAGTATATATCCTCTATTTCAAGTCAGATATAAAGGAAATCTCCAAGTGGATTCAGAAGGGAAGTAACAAATTCAGCATTAGGTTAGATCATTAGCATAGAGGCCATTCATGCCTCATTCCTGTCCTGAGATTGGGGCTTGCTCTATTTGGACGATCCACAGTGATGTCTTGTAGTTAGGAGCCTGGAGTTTTCATGAGTCTCCAATCTTCGGTTGGAGTTTTCATACTGTCCTGTGTCATAACTGAGTAATTCTGGGCTAATTACTTCCTCCCTGGATGCATAAATGCTCTCTGTAGAAATGAGTATAGTAACTCACGGAGGTTTGGGTAATATTAATAGGAGATAATGCATATAAAGTTCTCATCACAATTCCTGGCACAATTCCTTTTTTTTTTTTTTTCAGACGGAGTCTTGCTCTGTCGCCCAGGCTGGAGTGCAGTGGCACAATCTCAGCTCACTGCAACCTCTGCCTCCCAGGTTCAAGCAATTCTCCTGCCTCAGCCTCCCGAGTAGCTAGGATTACAGGCACATGCCACCAAGCCTGGCTAGTTTTTGTATTTTTAGTAGAGATGGGGTTTCACCATGTTGGCTGGGCTGGTCTTGAACTCCTGACCTCAGGTGATCTGCCTGCCTCAGCCTCCCAAAATGCTGGGAATATAGGTGTGAGCCACTGTGCCTGGCCCTACAGTTTCCTTTTGATGAAAATGAGCTGCTGTTATGGTTGCTATTCTGGTGGTGGCATTGCTGCTTGGGTCATTGTTGCCACTGATGTTGTGTAAACAGTTATTATTTGAGGGGTATTTGCTCAGGGTGGGGTTATTTCATGAAGTCAGTGGATTCCACTGGCCCATGGAAACTGAGAATTTGCCTTGAGTTGTCATGATGGAGAAAATGAAGGGGAGGAGGGTGAACTGGGCACCCAGGGCCCACTGCGGAGACTCAACCATAGGACCCTCCCTCACCCATTTCTTTCCCCGTCGTCTGCAAACTCCAGCTGGGCTCTTACAGGATCAAGGTGGAGGAGGAAACATTTCATACCAGGAGGTGAAAGGGAAGAGGAAATTGGCCTCCTTTGATGTGCTAGGCATTGAAAGATGAGCCCTCAGAGAACTACGAGATTTGTACCAGAACTTGGAATCTGTGTACAGCAGATGCTCAACCTCAGCCCTATTGACATTTTGGTCTGGATAATGTGTTTTGATAGGAGGCTGCTTTGTGCATTGTTGGATGTTTTGCAACATCTCTGGCCTCTACTTACTAGATGCCATTAGCAAATGGCCGGGCATCATGGCTCATGCCTGTAATCCCAGCACTTTGGGAGGCCAAGGCAGGCGGATCACCTGAAGTCAGGAGTTCAAGAGCAGCCTGGCGAACATGGAGAAACCTCATCTCTACTAAAAATACAAAATTAGCTGGGCATGGTGGCACATGCCTGTAATCCCAGCTACTCAGGAGGCTGAGGCAGGAGAATCACTTGAACCCAGGAGGCAGAGTTTGCAGTGAGCCAAGATGGCGCCACTGCACTCCAGCCTGGGCAACAAGTGTGAAACTCCATCTCAAAAAAAAAAAAGTTATATGTGGATTTTTGAATGCATAGGGGTCAGCACCCTGAACCCTCATGCTGTTCAAGGGCCCAGCTGTAGTAATAATTGCCAGGAAGGAAGTGAGCATAGAGGTAGAATAGAGATTGGCTGTGTGCAAGATGCGTATACGGGGGAAATGCTACTTTATAAAGGGTGATCCAAGCTGAGATTTGAAGGACAAGAACACCAGGTGCAAAGACTCTGAGGGTGGAGGGATGTTTGGACCCTGGAGGAAAAAAAAAATGAAGCTGATATGGCCAGAGATGATTGGACACAGCTTATTCACTTACTCCGTTCTAAAAATGGACACTGAAGCCTGGAGAGGTTACATGGCTCTTCCGGGGCCACACAGTGAGCAAAAGAGAGGACCAGGACTTAAAGCAAGACCTGTAATTTACCAAAACCTACACCATTCATTACTGCTTTTAAGTCAGAGTCGGTCTCAATGAATATATATATATATATATATATATTTTTTTTTTTGAGACAGAGTCGCTCTCTGTTGCCCAGGCTGGAGTGCAGCGGTGCGATCTCCGCTCACTGCAAGCTCTGCCTCCCAGGTTCACGCCATTCTCCTGCCTCAGCCTCCTGAGTAGCTGGGACTACAGGCATCTGCCACCATGCCCGGCTAATTTTTTTGTGTATTTTTAGTAGAGATGGGGTTTCACTGTGTTAGCCAGGGTGGTCTTGATCTCCTGACCTCATGATCCACTGGCCTCAGCCTCCCAAAGTGCTGGGATTACAGGCGTGAGCCACTGCACCCAGCCTCAATGACTATTGAAATACAAGTTTTTGGCCTGGTGCAGTGGCTCACACTTGTAATCCCAGCACTTTGAGAGGCCGAGGCTGGAGGATCACTTGAGGTCAGGAGTTCGAGACAAGCCTGGCCCACATTGCAAAACCGTCGTCTCTACTAAAAACACAAAAAATTAGCCGGTGTGATGGTGCGTGCCTGTAGTTCCAGCTACTCAGGAGGCTGAGGCAGGAAAATCGCTTGAACCTGGGAGAAGGAGGTTGCAGTGACCCGAGATCATGCCACTGCACTCCAGCTTGGGCAACAGACTGAGACTCTGTCTCAAAAAACCCCCCAAAAAACAAAAAAACAAAAATTAGCCAGGCATAGTGGCATGTGGCATGAGAATCGCTTGAACCTGGGAGGCAGAGGTTGCAGTGAACCGAGATTGCACCATTGCACTCCAGCCTGGGCGACAGAGTGAGACTCTGCCAAAAGAAGGAAAGAAAGAAAAAGACAGGAAGAAAGGAAGAAAGGAAGGAAGGAAGGAGGAAGGAAGGAAGGAAGGAAGGAAGGAAGGAAGGAAGGAAGGAAGGAAGGAAGGAAGGAAGAAAAGAAGGAAGGAAGGAAAGAAATGGAAGCTTTAAATCCAGGCAAAAAGAAAGTGTCCAAGGTGGTATAGTGAGGACATCATTAAACAAGCATTAGCTTAAATTGTTGGATGAGATTGGACAGAGGGGAACACGCTGAGACTTGGTGGGCATCAGGACTCAGACCACACAGCAATTAATCAGCCACTGAATGGCAGCCGACGTTTCATGGGAGCTGGAAGCCAGATTCCTACCTGTAGCGCTGGGGGTGGGGCTCACAGATACGAGAGGCCTTGGAGAGAACATGGAGGTCATCGGAGCTGAAAGAAAACGCAGCGTGAATCGGGTTTGTTGGGTCCTATCATTTAGCGAGGGGAGAATAGGACTCTTGGTGAGCACTGGCATCTGTGCCTTGGCTCAGCCTGAGACTTTTGCTATTCTGGAGTTTCTGTGGGGATGAGAACCTAGGGAATGGGGGATACTTTCCTCCTGGAAGGCAGGCTTAGGGAGGAAGAATTCCCAGGGCATAGGGACTTCAGGGCCATGTTTACTCACTGCTGGTGGTGGAGATCCAGGACCGATGGTTATAACCTGCAGAGAGAGAGGGAGAGGAAGGAAGAACGAATCAGAGTGAGAAGACAGGAGGAAGTTAAGAGAGGAAGGAGGGGTAGAACTCAAAACACAGGTGCACCAACCCTCCTGTGTGCTTTCTCTGAGGTTCATTCATGAATAACAACAGCTGGGGAGGCTGAGGCGGGAGAATCACATGAACCTGGGAGGCAGAGGTTGCAGTGAGCCAAGATTGTGCCGCTGCACTCCAGCCTGGGTGACAGAGCGAGACTCCGTCTCTAAATAAATAAATAAATAAATGAATAACAGCTAGTCTTTTTTTGTTTGGTTTAGTTTTTGTTTGTTTGTTTTGTTTTTTGAGACAAGAGTCTCTCTCTGTTGCCCGGGCTGGAGTGCAGTGGTTCAAGCTCATCTCACTGCAGCCTCCGCCTCCCAGGTTCAAGTGATTCTCCTGCCTCAGCCTCCCAAGTAGTTGTCATTACAGGCACACGCCACCACACCTGACTAATTTTTGTATTTTTGGTAGAGACCAGGTTTCACCATGTTGGCCAGGCTAGTCTTGAACTCCTGACCTCAAGTGATCCACCCACTTTGGCCTCCCAAAGTGCTGGGACTGCAGGTGTGAACCAGCACGCCCAGCCAACAGCTTGGTCTTATTAGTTAACTGCCTCCTACACTGATGCTCATGATATCCTCACCCTCATTATCATTAACAACAATGACAATAATCAATCGCCAGAGGCCCCTTCTTATTGTGGGGGTTCACTATGTGGCTGGAATACTGCCACCTTCATTAAATAAATGATGGGGACAAAATTTTCTGTTTCCAGCCTTATTTGTGTTTCCTTCATCCATTACGTATAATTTTGTCATTGCTGTCTGAGTTTCTCCTCTTTCCCAACTTTTCAAAGACAGGAAAGACTTTTGGCAGTATAGTTTCTGGAATTCTTTCGTGTGAAATTGAGATAATAAGAGGGGAGGGAAAGAGAGAGAGAGAGACTGACTATGGGGAGGGGAGAGGCTAGGGGGTCCGCAGGAGATGATAAAGTTGCAGAATGAGAAGAAATGAGGAAAAGGGGATTTTAGTAAGTAGGGTATGTTCTGAAACATGAATTAGATCCTCTTTGGCACTCTGTGAATAGTGCAAAGAAAATTTAGACTTATTTTACATTTGATGGTCTGACTGATTTTCTTGAAACTTCTGAGACTGGTCCAAGTGGAGCCCTGTGGTTTACTTGGGTTATTAGGATTTTATCTTATTTGATCTTCACAATAATCTTAGGTGACATTTTAAACATTAAAAAAAAATCCATTCCGAAAATAGGGCCAGGTGAGGTGGCTCCTACCTGTAATCCCAGTACTTTGGGAGGCCCTTGGGCGGATCACTTGAGATCAGGAGTTTGAGACCAGCCTGGCCAACATAGTGAAATCCCATCTCTACTAAAAATGCAAAAATTAGCTGGGCGTGGTGGCACGCGCCTGTAGTCCCAGCTATTCGGGAGGCTGAGGCAGGAGAATCGCTTCAGTCTGGGAGGTGGAGGCTGCAGTGAGCCAAGACCGTACCACTGCACTCCAGCCTGGGTGCCAGAGGGAGACTCTATCAAAAAAAAGAAAGAAAAAAAAAAAAGGACACTGAATCCTCTTGACAGGATTAGTAAGATCTAACAGATATGGCCGGGCACAGTGTCTCACACTTGTAATCCCAGCACTTTGGGAGGCCAAGGCGTGTGGACCACCTGAGGTCAGGAGTTTGAGACCAGCCTGACCAACATGGTAAAACCCTGTCTGTACTAAAAATACAAAAATTAGCCAGGCACGGTGGCGTGCACCTGTAGTCCCAACTACTCAGGAGGCTGATGCAGGAGAATTGCTTGAACCCAGGAGACAGAGGTTCAGAGGTTGTGGTGAGCCGAGATTGCACCACTGCACTAGGGAGAATGGGGAATGGGAAATTATTCCTTCAGTCCTGTTTGGGGTGATAAAAAAAGTTTTGAAAACAGATAGTGGTGAGGGTTGCACAACAATGTGAATGTATTAGTACTGCTGAGTTGTACAATTAAAATGTTTAGAATGGCAATTTTTATAGTATTTATATTTTACCACAATAAAAAAGTTATTCTTACTTGTTCTTGAGGTCACACTCTCAGAGGCCAAGGTGGACATCCCAGGTGTGGTCAGAGGAGTAAAGAGGCTTCCAGCCAGTGTATTGAAGGTGGTTGTTGTCTTGGCCACAGTGGGACTGGAACCTGTGGTAGCTAAATTAGTGGCTTCAACCATTGTAGTTCTCAAGATAGTGGTTGGACTCACTCCTTCTCCATGACTGGTTTTAGGTGGTGTTGGCATCTCTGATGGTATCAAGGTCATAGTGGTGCCTGTGACAGTCCTGGAAAATTCTGGGGGTCCAACTGAAGTTACAGATGGTGAGGTTTCTGTGTTCCAGGAGGTCACAGTTTGGGGCTTATCAGTTGTTATAGAGGCACTGGAAAGCCCAGAGACAGCAGGGGAAACAGTCAGAGTTAGAGTACTCGTGCTGGTCTCTGCTGAAGAGCTGGTGGCCAGTAAGCCTGTAGTCTCTAGTAAACCAAGGGAAAGAGTTGAAGTTGGAATCATTGTGCTGGTTTCTGTCCCTGGATGGGTGGAAAGTGGGGCTGTTTTTGCAGAAACACCAGGTGAAGCAGTTGGACTTAGATCAACTCTGCTGGTTCCAGTTACAAGTAGGGTGAAGAGAGAGGATGTTGTCTGAGTTGGGAGAGCTGTGCTAGTCTCTGCACCAGGTCTAATGGTGAGTGAGGCTGTGGTCTCTGATACTTGAGGAAACACAGTTGAAGCAGGAAATGTTTTACTTGTCTCTGTTCTGGGATGGGTGCTCAATAAGGCTGTGGTCTCTGGCATACCAGGAGAATGAGTCAAAGTTGGAACAGTTGTACTGGTTGCTGCCCCAGAACTAGTGATCTGTGAAGTCACCATCTCTGGTGCACCAGGTGAGATTGTTGTCAGTACAGCTGAACTGGCTTCTGTCCTAGGACTGGTGGCCATTACAGGTGTGGCATCTGGACTACTATGGGAAAAACTGGAGGTTGTTCTGGAAACAGGTGTGCTGGTCTGTGGAGGATGAGTGACCCAGGAAGCCATTGTATCTGGCTCACTAGAGGGAACAGTCCGAATTGGAACAGTGAAGCCAGTCTGTGTCCCAGGATGGGTAGCTGATGAGGCTGTGGTCTCTGGTTCACCAGGAGAAGGAGTCAAAGTTGGAATAGCTGTACTAGTGTCTGTTGCAGAACTAGTGACCTGTGAGGTCACTACCCCTGGTATACTGGGTGGGATGGTTGTAGTTGGAACACCTGACCTCGTGTCTACTCCAGGACTGGTGACCATTGAGGGTGCAGTGTCTGATCCCCTATGGGAAAAGTTGGGAATTGTCCCAGAAACCGTTGTGCTGGTTTCTGCAGGATGAGTGAGCCACGTGGCTGTAGTCTCTGGTTCATATGGGGTCTCACTCAATGTTGGGAAGGTTGTACTGGTGTCTGTCCCAGAACTAGGGACCAGTGAGGTCACCAGATCTGACATATCAGGTGAGATAGTTGTCGTTGAAACAGCTGAACTGGCTTCTGGCCCAGGACTGGTGATGGCTACTGGGAGTGTGGTGTCTGACTTACTATGGGAAAACTTGGGAGTTGTCCTGGGAACCATTGTGTTGGTCTCTGCAGGATGAATGAGCTGTATGGCTGTTGTCTCTGGTTCATATGGGGTCTCCGTCAGTGTTGGGAAAGTTGTAGTGCTGTCTGTCCCAGAACTGATGACCAGTGAGGTCAGCATCTTTGATGCACCAGGGGAGACAGGGAGAGTTGGAATGGCTGAACTTGTGTGTGTCTCAGAATAGGTGATAAATGAGGTTGTGGTCTCTGGCTCACCAGAAGAAAGAGTCAGAGTTGGAATAGTTATACTGGTGTCTGTCCCAGAACTAGTGACCTGTGAGGTTACCATATCTGGTACATCAGGTGAGACAGTTATTGTTGGAAAATCTGAAGTGGCTTCTGCCCCAGGACTGGTGGCTATTGATGGTGTGGTGTCTGGTTCACTATGAGAATAATTAGGGGTTGTCCTGGGAACTGTTGTGCTGGTGACTGCAGGATGAGTAACCCATGAGGCTGTTGCCTCTGATTCATGTGGGGACTCAGGCACTGTTGGAAAAGTTGCACTGATGTCTCTCCCAGAGCTAGTGACCAGTGATGTCAGCACACCTGGTATACCAGGTGAAATAGTTGTTGAAATGGCTGAGCTGGATTCTGCCTCAGGACTGGTGACTGTAGAAGGCATAGTGTCTAATTCACTGTGGGAAAACCTTGAGGTTGTCCTGGGAAGAGTTGAGCTACTCTCTGCAGGATGGGTGACCAATGAGATATTTGTAAACGGCTCACCAGTGGAGACAGTCAAAGTTGGAACAACAGAACTTGCTTCTGTCCCAGGATGAGCGACCCATGAGTCTATGGTCTCTGGTTGACTTGAGGCAACAGTTAGATTTGAAAACGCACTGGTCTCTGACCCAGAACTAGTGACCAGTGAAGTCACCAGCCCTTGTACAGTAGGGGAGACAGCTAAAGTTGGAATGGCTGAAATCATCTTTGCCTCAGAATGGGTGACCAATGAAGTTGTGGTCTCTGGTTCATCAGAAGAAATAGTCAGAGTTGGAATAGTTGTACTGGTTACTGCTCTAGAACTAGTGACCAGAGAGGTCACCATTCCTGGTACCTCAGGTGAAACAGTTAGAACAGCTGAGCTGGCTTCTACCCCATGACTGGTGGCCATTGAAGGTGTGGTCTCTGGCTCACTAGAAGAAAGAGTTAGAATTGGAATAGTTGTACTGGTCACTGCCCTGGAACTAGTGACCAGAGGGGTCACCACTCCTGATACCCCAGGTGAAACAGTTGGAGTTGGAACAGCTGAGCTGGCTTCTGCCCCATGACTGGTGGCCATTGAAGGTGTGGTTTCTAGTTCACCAGGAGAAAGAATCAGAGTTGGAATACTTGTACTGTTTACTCCACTAGAACTAGTGACCAGAGAGGTCACCACTCCTGGTACCTCAGGTGAAACAGTTGGAACAGTTGAGCTGGCTTCTGCCCCATGACTGGTGGCCATTGAAGGTGTGGTCTCTGGTTCACCAGGAGAAAGAGTCAGAGTTGGAAGAGTTGTACTGGTTACTGCCCTAGAACTAGCAACCAGAGAGGTCACCATTCCTGGTACCTCAGGTAAAACAGTTGGAACAGCTGAGCCAGCTTCTGTCCCATGACTGGTGGCCATTGAAGGTGTGGTCTCTGGTTCACCAAGAGAAAAAGTCAGAATTGGAATAGTTGTACTAGTCACTGCCCTAGAACTAGTGACCAGAGAGGTCACCACTCCTGGTACCCCAGGTGAAACAGTTGGAGTTGGAATAGCAGAACTGGCTTCTTCCCCATGACTGGTGGCCATTGAAGGTGTGGTCTCTGGTTCACCAGGAGAAAGAGTCAGAATTGGAATAGTTGTACTGATCACTGCCCTAGAACTGGTGACCAAAGGGGTCACTACTCCTGGTACCTCAGTTGAAACAGTTGGAGTTGGAACAGCTGAACTGGATTCTGCCCCATGACTGGTGGTCATTGAAGGTGTGGTGTCTGATTTACTATGGAAAAAAATGGAAGTTGTCCAGGGAACTGTTGGGCTGGTCTGTGCAGGATGCGTGACCAATGAAACTGTTGTAGCTGGTTCACCAGGGGAGTTTGTCAGAGCTCGATTAGTTGTACTTGTCTTTGCCGCCAAACTGGTGACCATTGAGGTCACCAACCGTGATACAGCAGGCGAGATAGTTGAAGTTGGAATGGCCGAACTTGTCTGTGCTTCAGGATGGGTGACTAATGAGGCTATCGTCTTTGGTTCACCAGGAGAAAGAGTCAAAGTTGGAATAGTCATATTTCTGTCTGTCCCAGAACTAGTGACCTGTGAGGTCACCAGATCTTCTGCACCAGGTGAGACAGTCATAATTGGAATAGCTGAACTGGTTTCTGCCCCAGGACTGGTGGCTATTGAAGGTGTGGCATCTGATTCATGATGAGAAAAATTGGGGATTGTTCTGGGAATAGTTGAGCTGGTCTCTGCAGGATGAGTGAGCCATGTGGTTCTTGTCTCTGTTTCATGTGGGGACTTAGTCAGTGTTGGGAATGTTGTACTAGTATCTGTCCCCGAAATAGTGACCAGTGGGGTCAGTGCATCTAGTTCACTAGGTGAGATATTTGTTGGAATGGCTGAGCTGACGTCTGCCCCATGACTGGTGGCTGTGGAAGATACAGTGTCTAATTCACTGTGGAAAAAATTGGGGGTTGTCTTGGAAACAGTTGGGATGGTCTCTGCAGGATGGATAACCCATGAAGCTGTTGTATCTGGCTCACTAGAAGAAACATCTAGAGTTTGAATAACCGGACTTCTCTCTGCCCCAGAACGAGAGACCAGTGAGGCTGTGGTCTCTGATTCTCTATTGAAAACAGATGGGGTTGTCCTGGGAAGAGCTGTGCTGGTTTCTGCTCCCAGGCTGGTAGCCAATGAGGATGTCGTTTCTGGAACATCAGGGAAAACATATGGGGTTGTGATCATCATTTCTGTGGGGATTGTGCTGGCCATTTGCATTGATGCATTGAGGGGAGTCAGTGTTCCCAAAGTGGGAGTATAGACACTGGTGGTCAAGGTGGCTCTGGAAGTGGTCTTCAGAGCTGTGGTGGTGGTCTTCAGAGCTGTGGTGGTGGTCTCCATTCTTTTTGTCCCTCCTGTGTGTAGTCCTGTAAATTGGGGAATGGGCACACAATTTGAACAAAATGATTACACTTACTGGACTTGCAATAGCTTATTTATTCTCCACAGGAGGAAAGGGAGAGAAATGTCTCTCGGTTACTAGGATGTGTCTGGGATGCTTCTGGAATGGGAAAAGAGATTGTGATTGGTATTCCCCTATCTTACCTTGGTCTGTAACTTGGTTGCATCTTCACCTATAACTCCTCTGTGAATTCTTGACCGCTACTCTATTCCCTCTTCCCATGTGTTTCCTGCACTGTCAGCCTCTGAGCCTTGTTCAAGCTCTTCTCTCTGCCTGAAGTGCCCACTTCTCATCAGATTCCTTAAGTTCTGCCATTATTGAAATCCAAGCCCACATCCACCTTTACAAATTCACTCCAGAACTCATCTTTGCTTCTCAATATTTCCTTATCACACTGTCTGAATCTGCGTTGTACCATCCTTCACAGTCTCATTTGTAACAGCTATTCACGTTTGACTGTTTGGCATACGGTAAGTGCTCAACTAATATTTGTTGAATGATTGAATGAATGAATATGTGGATGGATGTATACTTAAGTGGATCTCCTCTGACTTGAGAGAGATTAAGTATTGTGTATCATGTGTTTGAGAGCTTGGGCTCTGGAATAAGATAGCCCTGCCTGGGATTCTGGCTCTTTCTCTAAAGAGATGGGTGGCTCTTTAAGTTAAAAAATATTGCTGGACCTCCATTTTCCCGTCTATAAAGTGGGGATAAGTACAATGGCCATCTCAAAGTGTTGGTAAAAAGGCGCCAAGCACAGTGCCTCCTGGGTCACGATAAGACATTACTACTATTACCACGACTATGACCTGCTATTGCTACTGTTATTACTATCACTTCTCCACCTACCATTACTGCTGTTATTGCTACTGTTACTACTACCTATTGCAATGGTTATTACTATGATTACTACTACTAGTACTGCTACTACTGTTACTACCACTATTACTATTGCTACTGTTACTGCTACCACTGCTACTACTACTGTTACTACTACCACCACTCTACCTACCATTACTGCAGTTATTACTACTGTTACCACAACTATTACTACCTATCACTATGGTTATTACTATGGTTACTGCTACTTACTATTACTACTGCTGTTGCTATTACTATTATTACTATCACTACCACTTAATATTACTACTCTACCTACAGTAGAGTAACAGCAGTAATGGTAGTGCTCTGTCATTACTGCTGTTATTACTACTGTTACTACTAATATTACTGCCTATTGCTATGGTTATTACTATGTTATTACTATGGTTACTACTATTAATACTATTGTTGCTAGCACTATTACTTATGATTTCTACTGTCACTACTACCACTGCTACTACCTACTGCTACTACTGTTACTACCAACACAACTCTACATACCATTACTGCCATTATCACTACTATTACTACTAGTATTACTGCTTATTGCTATGGTTATTGCTACAGTTACTACTACTTACTAGTGCTATTGCTGCTATTGTTACTACCACTACTACTTACCATTACTACTGTCACTACTAATAATTCTACTACAAAATAAACATTTGCTAAATAGAATTCTCCACCAACCACACTAGACACTACCAGAGCTGACCAAGGTGACTGGAATACCTTTGAACAAGATTCCAGTAGCATTGATGAGACAGCAGCTGCTGACCAGGCTTTAGAAAATGGTTCCTAGGGAAGAGGAAGAACTAACTGGAGGCTTCTCTATAAAGCCCACAAAGCCTACTGGAGCTTGGTAGAGAAAGGGGGTAAAATGAAAGGGATTTTGACTCTGATTATGGAGCAGTGTCCCTGTGTTGCTGGATATCCTCTAAAAACAATATGTCTGAGAATGCACTCTCAAGTGCTTCATGTGTATCTAACAATAATGGTGACCATGATGGTGATTATGTTGATGGGAAGGAGGAGGAGGAGCAATTGCAAAGCACTTGACATGCACTGTCTTTTTAAACCTCACAAGAACATTAAATGGCACATTCTGGCCAGGCGCGGTGGCTCATGCCTGTAATCCCAGCATTTTGGGAGGACGAGGTGGGCGGATCACCTGAGGTCAGGAGTTCTAGACCAGCCTGGTCAACATGGTCAAACCCCATCTCTACTAAAAATACAAAAATTAGCCAGGCTTAGTGGCGTGCATCTGTAATCCCAGCTACTCGGGAGGCTGAGGCAGGAGAATGACTCAAACTCAGGGGATGGAGGTTGCAGGGAGCCGAGATTGCACCTCTGCACTCCAGCTTGGGTGACAGAGCAAGACTCCACCTCAAATAAATAAATAAATAAAGTGAGATAAAATAAAATAAAATGCACATTGTATAATTCTTGTCATTTTACAGGAGAGAAAGAGAAATCCAGAGACCACAATTTACCAAGGTCACACACAGCTATTGACAGGGCAAAAACTTGAACATCATCGTATCTAAATCCTAAACCCATATTATTAACCATTGCATTATATTAATTCACTAAAGGAACTTCTGGATCTTGTGGGGACCAGAATGGAAAGAGAATGAAGTGAGGTGAAAACGCCCATCTAGTAAGATGGATCTTAGGATGCATTCTCCAGTTCAGTGGTTCTCAACCAGGGGCAGTTTTGCTTCCAGGGGACACTTAACAATGTCTGGAGATATTTTTGGTTGTCACAACTGTGTGTGGGCAGAAGGTATGGCATCTAGAACAGAGGCCAGAGAGGCTGGTAAACATCCTACAACGCACAGCACAGCCCCCATCGCAGAGAAGTATCTGCCCCAAATGACAATAGTGTCAAAGTTGAGAAACCCAGATTTTTATTTATTTATGTATTTCATATTACTGCCTTTTAAAGTGAAAATTTTGTTTCAGACTTTATTCAAAACAGAAGGAGGAATTACTAAATATTGTGACAAAGAAAACATATAACAGTGATGTCATAAACCATCTTACATTTATATCGTGTTTTTATTCCCCCCATTGTACTTACATATTGTGATTTAGCTCTCCAGTGATGACAAACAAAAATAACCCAGGAGCTCACCCATCTTCTTTATTTAAGTGACAGTTAAAAAAAATGTACAGTTCCAAATTTTTCATCATGGGAGATATAATCCTAGATATTTTTGTGAAGTTTCTCTTACAAGAGAGTTATGTCTGTTTTTCAACCAGGGCATACATAAAGGCTGTTAATTTATACTTCCTTTTCCTACATTTGCTAGAACTATTGGGATGCATTTTCAGACATACTCTGTCTCTCTCTCTCTCTCTCTCTCTCTCTCTCTCTATATATATATATATATATATATATATATATATACATACATATATATATATACATACATATATATATACATATATATATAGTATATTTTATTTAAATAAAATATATATATATATATATAATTTATTTATTTATTTTTGAGCTGGAGTCTTGCTCTGCCACCCAGGCTGGAGTGCATTGGCACAATCTCAGCTCACTGCAGCCTCTACCTCCTGGGTTCAAGTGACTCTCTTGCCTCAGCCTCCTGAGTAGCTGTGATTACAGGTGTGTGCCACCATGCCCGGCTAATTTTTATATTTTCAGTAGAGATGGAGTTTCACCATTTTGGTCAGACTGGTCTCGAATTTTTGACCTCAGGTGATCCACCCACCTCAGCCTCCCAAAGTATTGGGATTACAGGCATGAGCCACTGCGCCCAGCTCATAGTAAGTTTTTAATGAGCATTTTTAAAATTTGGTTAATATGGACAAATTTGTGAATATTTGATGTTGGACAAAACTCACTCAGCATGCCATGAGGAGAAAGAGAAGTGGTAACATCTGCCTGGTAACCATTAGATAAAGACTCAGTTCAGACAGGGAAACCTATGACAACCACACACAATTCTCTCTCTAAAGAATACAAACATTTTGTCTCTCTGGAGGAGGAAATATGGTCACGAGTGGCATTACTGGGAGGTAAGCAAAGTTAAACCTACCTTTAGGACTGGCAGGCGAAGTGGATGTCTGAGGGCCTTTGACTGGTCTTATGGTACCTCTGTGTGCTGCTTCATTGGGTATTTTTGTGATGTGTTCCATAATGCCATCAGTTCCTGAAGATGAAGGTGGGGAGAAAAACTGGGGTAACTCATCTCATTCAGAAGAAGAGCACTGTCTAAATGGATCCACTTCATTGGCCACAAACACTCCTCAAGTCCATCAGTATGAACTGGAGCTGGGACTATGTGCCATAAGTGGCCACACCTGTCCATAGATCCATCCACCTACCTATAGATTTGTCCATCCTTCCTTTCATTCATCCCTAGATCTGATCATCTATTCTTCCATTTTTTCTTCCTTTTATTCTTTCCTTCTATCACCCATTCTTCCTTTTGTCTTTCCTCCCTTCTTTCCTTTCTCTTGCTTTTTAAAATTTTAATTTAAAAGTTTGTATTTCAATAGCTTTGAGGGTACAAGTGGTTTTTTCTTATATGGATGAATCATATGTGGTGAAGTGTGAGATTTTTTGTGCACCCTCCTTTCTTCTTTCCATCCATCTTTTCTTCAATCTTTACTTCATTTCATCCTTCTACCTTTCTTTCCTTCAATCTATATCCCCTTCAATCCTGTCTTCCATCATCTTTCTTTCTTTTCATCCTTCCTTCTGTGCATCTATCCTTCCTCCGCTTCATCTTTGCTTCCTTCCATTCACTCTTCTCTCCATTCTTCCTTTTATCCATCCAACTACACTTCTCCCTTCTCGCCATGCCATTCATCACTTGCTTACTGAACACCCGTGACTCAACTACTGAGTCACATAGTAACATATGGGTCAATAGCCACCAATGTGTCTAAATTTAGTGTGAATTACAAAATAATGTGAAGAAGGAGAGGGAGCAAATCATTCTCCTGGAGATATTGTCCAGTGAGGCAGAAACTCGAGTCGTTGGAGGGCCTCTTTGGATTTGTGTCCAGAACAAAAGTTGGTGCCAAGCTCAACCCTTTCAGAGGAATGGAATCCCCAAGAAGTTCCTTCCTTTATCTACTGACCTCTTGGAAGTAGTGTTTCCTCCTTCTAGGCTCTGGGTGTCTTCTACCTTCTTAGGTACTTTGTTCCCTCTATTTTCATTAATTCACTTTTTCCTTTCACTTATCCCTTTTGTCTCTTGCTCAACTCAAAGGGAGAAACCCTCCCTTACGTCTACGTAGTATTTTAGCTGTTCTTCTAATGCCCTATACCTCACTGATGCTCCCTTCATTAGAATCCCTGAGAACCCCCATGTTGCCAAAGCACTTCTCACCTCATTTCAACTTGGCAATTCTGTGGTATTTAACAGAACTTACCATTTCTCCTTCCTAAAACCCTCCCCTCCTGTGGCTTCTGTGATGCCAGAACTTCTTGCCTTTTCTGTTACCTCTCTGACCACTCCTGTTTAGCCCAGCAGTTAGGAGCATGAGTTCCTAGTGACACACAATTTGAGTTCTTATCCTAGTTCTATTGCTTTCTAGCTATATGGACTTAAGAAAGTTACTTAATCTCCCTGTGCCTAAATGTCTTCATCTCCAAAATAGGCTTCTAATAATCTCTACTTCAATTAGTGTTACAATTGAGGATCAAATAGCTTAATAAAACTGCACTTGAAACAGAGTAAGTACTGTTATAAATATTTTCTGTTGTCATTCTTATTGTCATCATCATCATTACTAGTAGTAATATTAGAGCACCTATCACGATACTGTAATGATTCAATTATTTGCTTATTTTTGTTTCTCCAATTCCTTAACCCAGTGCCTAGGAGTGAAATTAGATAAACACATGTTTGCTAAGAGAATTTCTGGTACAGGAATAAACTAGTTAACTCTTTTTTTGCTTCTTAGGAAGGGGTCATTTCCTATGAGCCCCCAATAATGGGATTGTAGGGGCTGTGGGTCCTTACTTGTCAACCGTGTTGAGAGTGAAGGAACTTGATAAGCACTTGTCACTGTTCCCAGCTCAACGCTCTCTGTCATTCTGGTATCCAAAATGGGTGATGAAGATGTCCTGCCTGGTTGGCTTGAAGTGTCCAAAGTACTGACCATAACCAAGCGTCCTTCAGTAGTGCTGCTCTCTGTCCCAAGACTGGTGTCCACTCTATATGGGGTAGCTGAAGAGGAAGTTATCTCATGGAGGGCTGGGATGGTTGAAGAATCAGTGGTAGTGAAGGTTGAAGAGGAGAATGGCACAGGAGTGGATGAAGGCAGGCTCTCTGCAATGGTGGACAGAGTAGCATCCCCAGGGCCTGACTCTGTCCTAGAGAATGGACTACCTGAACCTGAGATGGCTCGTGGAACTCCAGTGGTGGCAAATGAAGTCATGGCCTCTGATAGAGAAGGCATCACTGTGCCAGTGGAAATAGTCTCAGCTGAAGGCAGCAAATCTGTACTCAGATGATGAGTACTTTCTGTTACAGACATAGTAAACCTGGATTCTGGGAAGGAGGTTATCCCAGTGGACTCCGTAATAGATGGAGAAGCATTAAAGGGGGTGATTATGTCCACTGGAATTTCAGTATACTGTGAGGCTGGAGGCCAGTCTGGGGATGATGTTTTTGCAGAAGAGGTGAAATCAGTCTTGGAACTCTGTAAAAGGTGAGTGGACCCAGGAGAAGAAGGTGTATTTGTTGGTGTGACTGAGCTGGTGTCCAGGGACATGTTTGTCTTCCTAAATCCAGAAGTCAAATGAGAAAATGGCTCAGCCTCAAATCCTGTGGTCTCAAAATTAGCAGGCATTGATGTGGAAATAGAGGTTTCAGCCATGGAAGAGGGAGTACCCACTGGGTATGTAGCCTTGGATGGCTCCGAGTGGATTGAAACAGAGGAATATAGTTCATGTCCAGAACTGGTGGTTCCCACATTGGTCACTGCCATGCTTGAAGAAGGATGAATTTTCTCTGTATCTGTGGTGACTTCAGAGGCAGCCAGTATTTCAACTGAGGTGCCACTCAGATTTGGAGATAAACTGGTTCCAGGTTCTGTGCTTGTGTCTGTAGTCTTCACCATGCCTGGGGTGAGGAGTGAAGTCACAGAAAAAGAGGAGGAAGGGATACTCTGCGGTAATGTGGAAGAAACAGAAGGTGAGGTCGTGACAGGTAAGGACAACAGAGAAGATGAAGAGCTAGTTTTTTCCACAAAGAGAGAGCTCTTCCATGATGGATTTTCAGGACTCCTACTCATAAGAGTTGTCATCTCTGAGTGTAAAAATCTAGGAGGAACAGTTGAGTGGGTCCTTGCCAAGGGGGCTGTTGTTGTGGCCAAGGTAAGAGTACTCTGTGCTGTAGCCCCAGGAGAACTTTTTTGGGTGGTGATGGTCATTTGTGTTGATTCTGACATCATGGATGAGGAAGAGAGCCTGGTGATCACTTCAGTGATGATGTCTGGAGACATCGTGGACTGATCAGAGTCAGGGATGTGTATTCTATTAGAGGACATGATTTCTGTCATGGAGACTTCAGTAGTAGCACTAGTGGGCACTCCATAAAGGACTGCACTTGTTTCTGTGATTGAGGTGGTCTCTTCAGAGGTGCTAGTCTCCCTGAATCCAGGAGTCAATGAGAATGTTGGCTCTGTCGGAATCCTCCTAGTCTCAGAGAAGGCAGGATTTGATGTGAAAACAGTGGTATCGTCCACAGCGGAGGTGATACCCATTGAAGGTATGGTTATGGTTGTTTCTGAGTCAGCTAGGACAGAGGAATGAGATTCATGAACAGAACTGGAGGTCCTCACTTTGGCCACCGCTGTGTTTGAGGAAGGATGAATTTTCTCTGTATCTGTCATGATTTCAGAGGTGGCCGGTATTTCAACTGAGGTGCTGCTCAAATTTGGAGATGAACTGGTTTTAGGCTCTGAGCTTGTATCCAACACTTCTGTAGTCTTCACCAGGCCTGGGAGGATAAGTGAAGTCACAGGAAGAGGAGAGGAGGGGCTACTGTCTAGTAATGTGGAGGACACAGGAGAAAGTGAGGTCGTGAGAGGTAATGATGTCAGAGAAGAGGAAGATCTAGTTGTTTCCACAAAGCGAGGGCTCGTCCATGACAGACTTTCAGGACCCCTGCTCATAAGATTGGTCATCTCTGAGTGTGAAAGTCCTTGAGACATAGTTGAGTGGGTCCCTGACAAAAAGGTCATTGAGGTGCCCAAGGGAAGGGTAACCTGGGATGTAGCCAGAGAATAACCTGTTTGGGTGGTGATGGTTATTTCTGCAGATTCTGTCATGATGGGAGAGGTAGACAGCCTGGTGACAACTTCATCGGAGATGTCTAGTGACATTGTGGACTGAGCAGGGCCAGGAATGGATGTTCTGCTAGAGGGCATAACTTCTGTCCTGGAGACCTCAGGAGTGGCACCAGAGGGCATCTTGTAAAGGACAGTGCTTGTCTCTGTGGATGAGGTGATGTCCTGGGAGGTTCTGGTCTCCCTCAGTCCAGGGGTCAGAGATGACATTGACTCTATCTCAATCCTTGTAATGCCAGAGGAGCCAGGCATTGTTGTGGAAACCATGTTGTCTCTTATAGAGGAAGAGGTGACCACTGGAGATATCACTTTTGTTGGCTCTGAGAAGCCTGGGGAAGAGGAATAGAGTTCCTCTGTAGCACTGGTGGTTTCCACATGGGACGCTGCTGTATTTTCAAAAACGTGAATTGCCTCTGTCTCCGTGGTGGCTTTAGAAGCGGCCAGACTCTCATCTGAGGTGATATTCATATTGGGAGCTGAAGTGGTCTCAGGTTCCAAACTTGCATCCAACATGTCTGTGGCCTTCATCATGATAGAGGTGAAAAGAGAAGTGACAGGGACAGGAGAGGAGTGGCTACTCCCAGATGGTGTGGAATAAAGTGGCGAAGGTGAGGTTACTGAAGATGAAGATACCAGGGAAGATGGAGGGCTGTTTTTTTCCACAGACAGCGGGCTTGGCCATGACACATCCTCAGGACCTCTGCTCATAGGAGTTGTCACCACTGACTGTGGAAATCTCTGAGTTGTAGCTGAGTGAGTTCCTGGCCAGGAGGCTGTGCTTGATGAGTCCAAGGTAAAGGTACCCTGCGAGGTAGCCCCAGAAGGACCTGTTTTGGGGGTGATGGCCATGTCTGTTGATTCTTTCCTTGTGAGGGGGGTAGAAATTCTAGTGATGGTTTCCATGGAGGTGTCTGATGACATTGTGGATTGAGCAGGGCCTGGGATGGATGTTCTGCTAGAAGAGATGGCTTCTGTCCTGGAGACCTCAGTAGTAGCACCAGTGGGCACACTAGAAAGGACAGTGCTTTTTTCTGTGGCAGAGCTGGTCTCTTCAGAGATGCTGGTCTCCATCAACCCAGGAGTCAGTGAGAGCTTTGACTTTGTTTGAATCCTACTGGTGTCAGAGAAGGCAGGGGTTGATGTGAGAACATTTGTATCTCCTGTGGGGTAGGTGATACCCATTGAAGATGTGGCCTTTGTTGTCACTGAGTCAGCTAGGACAGAGGAAGGAGATTCATGTGTATAACCTGAGGTTACCACATTGGTCATCTCCAGTTTCTCTGTATCTGTAGTGACTTCAGTGATGGCCAGTATTTCAGCTGAGGTGCTGCTCAAATTTGGGGGTGAACTGGTTTCAGGTTCTGAGCTTGTGCCCAACAGCTCTGTGGTCTTCACCAGCCCTGAGGTGAGAAGTGATGTCACAGGAAGCGAAGAAGAGTGGATGCTGTCTGGTAATGTGGAAGAAACGGGAGAAGATGAGGTCATGACAGGTGAAGACAGTGAGAAAGAGGCAGAGCTGGCTTCTTCCACAGAGGGATGGCTTAGCCATGGCACATCTCCAGGAGTTCTACTCATAAGAGCGGTCATCTGTGAGTGTGAAAATCCTTGAGATGCAGTTGAGTGGGTCCCTGACATAAAAGTTGTTGAAGTGTCCAAGGTAAGGGTACCCCTTGATGTAGCCCCAGGAGAACCTGTTTGGGTGGTAATGGTCATTTCTGTAGATTCTGTCTTGATGGGGGAGGTAGAGAGCCTGGTGATCACTTCAGTGGATATGTCTTGTGACATTGTGGACTGATCAGGGCTAGGTCCTCTGCTAGAGGACATGACTTGTGTCATGGAGTCCTCAATCGTGGCACTAGTGAGTGCCTTGTAAGGAACAGTGCTTGGCTTTGTGGCTGAGTGGATCTCCTGGGAGGTGCTGGTCTCCCTTGGTGTGGGGGTCAGGGTGGATGTTGACTCCATCTCAATTCTTGTTATCTCAGAGGAAGCAGGTATGGTTGTAGAAACAATGTCTTTTATGGTGGAAGAGGTGACCACTGGAGATGTCACTTTGGATGGCTCTGGGAGGCCTGGATAAGAGGAATAGAATTCTTGTCTAGCGCTGATGGTGCCCATCTGAGTCACAGCTGTGTTTTCTGAAAGCTGAATTGCCTCTGTCTCCATGGTGGCTTTAGAAGTGGCCAGACTCTCATCTGAGGTGATATTCATACTGGGAGGTGAAGTGGTCACAGGTTCCAAGCTTGTGTCCAACATGTCTGTGGTCTTCATCATGACAGGGGTGAAAAGAGAAGTCACCCGGAGAGGAGATGAGTGGCTACTCTCAGATGGTGTGGAATAAAGTGGCGAAGGTGAGGTTACTGCAGATAAAGACACCAGGGAAGATGGAGGGCTAGTTTTTTCCACTGATGGGCGGCTTGGCCATGACACATCCTCAGGACCTCTGCTCATAGGAGTGGTCATCCCTGAGTGTGGAGATCTGTGAGTTGCAGCTGAGTGAGTTCCTGGCCAGGAGGCTCTGCTTGATGTGTCCAAGGTAAAGGTACCTTGTGAGGATGCCCCAGAATGACCTGTTTTGGGGGTGATGGTCATTTCTGCTGATCCTGTCGTGGTGAGGGGAGTAGAAATTCTAGTGATGGTTTCCGTGGAGATTTCTGGTGATATTGTGGATTGAGCAGGACCTGGGGTGGATGTTCTGCCTAAGGAGAGGGCTTCTGTTCTGGAGACCTTAGTAGTAGCACCAGTGGGCATTCCAGAAAGAGAAGCACTTCTCTCTGTTGCTGAGCTGGTCTCTTGAGAGGTACTGATCTCCCTTAATCCAGAAGTCAGGGAGGAAGTTGGCTGTGTCATCATAGTTTCTGGGAAGGCAGGAGTTGATGTGGAAACACTTGTATTCCCCAGAGTGGAGGTGGTAGCCATTGGAGATGTGGGTTTTGTTGTCACTAAGTCAGCCAAAACAGAGGAAGGGGATAGATGTTTATAAATCACAGTCCCTACATTGACTACAGGTGTGTTTGAGGAGGGATGAATTTTCTCTCTATCTTTGGTGACTTCAGACGTGGCTAATATTTCAGCTGAGGTGCTGCTCAAATTTGGAGGTGAACTGGTTTCAGGTTCTGAGCTTGTGCGCAACATGTCTGTGGTCTTCACTGGGCCAAGGGTGAGAAGTGCAGTCACAGGATGAGGAGAGGAGGAGATGCTCTCTGGTAATGTGGAGAAAAAAGAAGTTGAGGTCATGGCAGGTGAAGACAGTGAGGAAGAGACAGAGCTGGCTTCTTCCACAGAGGGAAGGCTCGGCCATGGCACATCTCCAGGAGTTCTACTCATAAGAGTGGTCATCTCTGAGTGTGAAAATCCTGGAGATGCAGTTGAGTGGGTCCCTGACCAAAAGGTTGTTGTTGAGGTGTCCAAGGTGAGGGTACCCTCTGATGTAGCCCCAGGAGAACCTGTCTCAATAGTGATGGCACTTTCTGCTGATTCTGTCATAATGGGGGAAGTAGAAAGCCTGGTGATCGCTTCAGTAGAGATGTCTGGTGATATGGTGAACTGATCAGGCCCTGACATGGATGTTCCCCTAGAGGATATCACTTCTGTCCTGGAGACCTCAGTGGTAGCACCACTGGGCACTTCAGAAAGGACAGTGCTTCCCTCTGTGGCTGAGCTGATCCTCTCAGAGCTGCTGGTCTCCCTCAATCCAGAAGTCAGGGAGGATGTTGGTTCTATCTGAATTCTGCTGGTCTCAAAGAAGTCAGAAGTGGATATGGAAACACTCGTTTCCCCCATGGTGTAGGTGGTACCCATTGGAGATGTGGCTTTGGGTGTCTCTGAGTCAGATAGGACAGAAGATTGTGATTCATGTCCAGAAATGGAGGTCCTCACGTTGGTCACTGCTGTGTGTGTGGAAGGCTGCATGTCTTCTGTATCTACAGTGTCTTCCAAAGTGGTCAGTCTCTCATGGGAGGTGCTGCTCAAATTTGAAGTGGAACTGGTTCCAGGTTCTCTGCTTATGCCCATCCTGTCTGTGGTTATCACCAGGCCAGGGTTGAGAAGAGAAGTCACAGGAAGAGAAGCGGAAGGGAAATCCTCTACTAATGTAGAGGAAACAGGAGAAGGTGAGGTCGTGGCAGGCAGAGACAGCAGGGAAGAGGCAGAGCTGGTTTCTTCCACAGAGGATTGACTAGGCCATAACATATCACCAGGGCTTCTGCTCACAAGAGTGGTCATCTCTGAGTGTGAAAATCTCTGAGTCACAGTCGAGTGGGTTTCTACCCAGTTGGGTGTTGTTGATATGTCCACAGTATGAGTACTCTCTGGTGTAGACCCAGGAGGATCTGTTTGTGTCTTGATCATCATTTCTGCTGATTCTGTCATTATGCTGGAGGTAGGGAGTCTGGTGATGGTTTCTGTGGAAGTCTCTGGTGACACTGTGAGCTGAGCAAAGCCTGAGATGGATGTTCTGCTAGAGGAGGTGACTTCTGTCCTGGAGACTTCAGCAGTGGCACCAGTGGGCACTCCAGAAAGGACAGTGCTCATCTCTGTGGCTAAGCTGGTCCCCTCAGAGCTGCTGGTCTTTCTCAGTCCAAGGGTCAGGGAGGATGTTGGTTCTGTCTGAATTCTGCTAGTCTCAAAAAAGCCAGGAGTTGATGTGGAGACACTCGTATCCTCCATGGTGGAGGTAATAACCATTGGAGATGTGACTTTGGATGTCTGTGAGTCAGCTAGGACAAAGGAAGTGGATTCATGTCCAGAACTGGAGGTCCCCACATCGGTCACTGTTCTGTTTGAAGAAGGATGAGTTTTCTCTGTATCTGTGGTGACTTCAGAGGTGGCCAGTATTTCAACTGAGGTGCTGCTCAAATTTGCAGGTGAGTTGGTTACAGGTTCTGAGCTTTTGTGCAACATATCTGTAGTTTTTGCCAAGCCAGACGTGAGGAGTGAAGTCACAGGAAGAGGAGAGGAAGAGATGCTCTCTGGTAATGTGGAGGAAACAGGAGAAGGTGAAGTTGTGGCTGGTGAAGACATCAGAGAAAAGGAAGGTCTAGTTTTTTCCAGAAGGGGAGGGCTCATCCATGATACATCCTCAGGACCCCTCCTCATAAGAGTGCTCATCTGTGAGTGTGAAAATCCTTGAGATATAGTTGAGTGTGTCATTGTCAAAGAGGTTGTGCTTGACGTGTCCAAAGTACTGGTGCCTTGTGTTGTGGCCCCTAAAGGACTTGTATGGGTGTTCATGGTTATTTCTGCTGATTCTGTCATGACAGGGGATGTAGAGAACCAGCTGACGGTTCTTGTGGAGATGTCTGGTGATATTGTGGATTGAGCGGGACCTGGGATGGAGGTGACGTCTTCCTTGGAGATCTCAGTAGTAGCACCAGTGGGCACTTTAGAGAGGACAGTGCTCATCTTGGTGCCTGAGCTGGTCCCTTCAGAGCCGCTGGACTCCCTCAATCCAGGGGTCAGGGAGGAAGCTAGCTCTGTCTGAATCCTCCTAGTCTCAAGGAAGGCAGGAGTTGATGTGAGAACACTTGTATCCCCCATGGTGGAGGTGGTACACATTGGAGATGAGTCAGCTAGGACAGAGGACTGTGATTTATATCCAGAGCTGGTGGTTGCCACATTGGTCCCTCCTGTGTTTGTGGAAGGATGCACGGCTTCTGTATGTGCAGTGTCTTTGTAAGTGGTCAGTCTCTCATGGGAGGTGGTGCTCAAACTTGAAGATGAACTGGTTCCAGGTTCTGTGCTTGTACCCAAGATATCTGTGGTTGTCGCCGGGCCAGAGGTGAGAAGTGAAGTCACAGGAAGGGGAGAGGGGGGGATATGTGCTAGGAATGTGGTGGAAACAGGATGAGGTGAGGTCACGGCAGGTAAAGACAGCGGGGAGGATGGAGGGCTGGTTTCTTTCACAAAGGGAGGGCTAGGCCATGACACACCTCCAGGACCTCTGCCCATGGAAGTGGTCATCTCTGGGTGTGGAAATCCCTGAATTACTATAGAGTGGGTTTCCACCCAAGAGGGTGTGGTTGCTGTGTTCAAATTAAGGGTACTTTCTAGTGTAGACTCCGAAGGACCTGTTTGGGTTGTGATGGTCATTTTTGCAGATTCTGTCAGGACAGAGGAGGCAGAAATCCTGGGGATGGTTCCTATGGAGATGTCTTGTGACATTGTGGACTGCTCAGGGCCTGACATGGATGTTCTGCTAAAGGAGATGGCTTCTGTCCTGGAGACCTCAGTAGTAGCACCAGTGGACACTTTAGAAAGAACAGTGTTTGCTTCTGTGGCTAAGCTGGTCTCTTCAGAGGTGCTGGTCTCCCTCAATCTGGTGGTCAGTGAGGAAGCTGGCTCTGACTGAATTTTCCTAGTGTTAGATAAGGCAGGAGTTAATGTAGAAACACTTGTATCCCCCATAATGGAGATGGTACCCATTGCCGATGTGGCTTTGGTTGTCTCTGAGTCAGGTAGGACAGAGGAAGGGGATTCATGTCCAGAACTGGAAGTTCCAACTTTGGTTACTGCCGTGTTTGAGAAAGGATGAATTTTCTCCGTATCTGTGGTGACTTCAGAGGTGGCCAGTATTTCAACTGAGGTGCTGCTCAAACTTGGAGGTGAACTGGTTTCAGGTTCTGCACTTGCGTCCAACACCTCAGTAGTCTTCACTTGGCCTGGTGTGAGAAGTGAAGTCACAGAAGCAGAAGAGGAGTGGCTACTTGCTGGTAATGTGGAAGAAACAGGAGAAGGTGAGATCATGGCAGATAAAGACAGCTGGGAAGATGGAGGGCTTGTTTCTTCCACAGGGAGAGAGCTGGGCCGTGGCACATCCCCAGCACCTCTACTCACAAGAGTGGTTATCTCTGAGTGTGGCAATCTCTGAGTCATAGTCGAATGGGTTATTACCAAGGAGGGAGTGGTTGATGTGTCTAATGTAAAGGTACTCTCTGATGTAGACCCAGGAGGACTTGTTTGGGTCTTGATGGTCATTTCTGATGATTCTGCCAGGATGGGGGAAGTAGGGAACTTAATGATTTTTCTTGTGGTGGATATTTCTGGCAACATTGTGGACTCAGCAGAACCAGAGATGGATGTTCTGCTAGAGGAGGTGACTTCTGTCCTGGAGATCTCAGTAGTAGCACCAATGGACACTTCAGAAAGGACAGCACTTGTCTCTATGGCTGAGCTTGTCTCCACAGAACTGCCTGTCTCCCTCAATTTAGGGCTCAGGGAGGAAATTGACTCTTTCTGAATTCTGCTAGTCTCCAAGAAGTGAGGGGTTGATATGGCAACAGTTGTATCCTCCTGGGTGGAGGTAATAAACATTGGTGATGTGGCTTTGGATGTCTCTGAGTCAGCTAAGGCAGAGGAAGGGGATTCATGTCCAGAGCTGGGAATCTCCACATTGGACGCTGCTGTGTTTGTGGAAGGATGCACAGCTTCTGTATTTGTGGTGTCCTTGCCAGTGGTCAGTCTCTCATCTGAAGTGTGGCTCAGCTTTGGAGGTGAACTGGTTACAAGTTCTGGGCTTGTGTGTAACATGTCTGTGGTCGTTACCGGGCTAGAGGTGAGAAGTGAAGTCACAGGAAGAGGAGAGGAGGAGATAGTCACTGGTAATGTGGAGGAAATGGGAGGAGGTGAGGTTGTGGCAGGTAAAGACAGCAGGGAAGGGAGAGAGCTGGGATTTTCCAGAGAGGGAGAGCTTTGCCATGACATATCTCCAGGACCTCTGCTCATGAGAGTGGTCATCTCTGAGTGTGGAAATCTCTGAGTCAAAGTTGAATGAGTCTTTGCCTGGGACTTTGTGGTGGATGTGTCCAAGGTAAGGGTATCCTGTGAGGTAGACCCAGAAGGACCTGTTTGAGTGGGGATGGTCATTTCTGCTGATTCTGTCATGGTGGGCGAGGCAAAGAGCCTTGTCATTGTTCTTGTGGATATTTCTGGCAAAACTGTGGACTGAGAAGGGCCAGGGATGGATGTTCTACCAGAGGAGGTGACTTCTGTCCTGGAGACCTCAGCAGTAGTACCAGTGGGGACTTCTGAAAGAACAATACTTGTGTCAGTGGAAAAGCTGGCATTTTGGGAAATGCTGGTCTCTCTCAGTCCAGGAGTCAAGGAATATGTTGACTCTCTCTTAATTTTTGTAGTCTCAGAGGAAACAGACATTGATGTGGAAACAGTTGTATGCCCCATGGTGGAGGTGGTATCCATTGGAGCTGTGGCCTTGGTTTTTTCTGAGTCAGCTAGGACAGAGGATTGTGACCCATGTCCAGAACTGGTGGTTTCCACATTAGTCGCTGCTGTGCTTGTGGAAGGATGCATGGCTTCTATAGCTGTGGTGTCTTCATCTGTTGTCAGTATCTCATGTGAGGTACTGCTCAAATTTGGAGGTGAACTGGTTGTAGGTTCTGGGCTTGTGCCCAATGTGTCTGTGGTCATCACTAGGCTAGGGGTGAGCAGTGAGGTCATAGGAGAAGGAGTGGTGTGAATGGTCTTTGGTAATGTTGAGGAAACAGGAGGTGAAGTCATGGCTGGTGAAGGCATCAGGGAAGAGGAGAAGCTGGTTTTCTCTATAGAAGGAGGGATTGTCCATGATAGAATCTCAGGGTCCTTGTTCATGACAGTGGTCATTTCTGAGTGTGGAAATTCCTGAGTCGCCATCGAGTGTGTTCCTGCCCTGGAGGATGTAGTTGGTGTGTCCAAGGTAAATGTGCCCTGTGATGTAGAGCCAAGAGGAGGACCTGTTCGAGTGATGATGGTCATATTTGAAGATTCTGTAATGCCAAGGGAGATAGGCAGGCTGGGGATCACTTCAGTGGAGATGTCTGGTGACTCTGTGGAATGATCAGGGCCTGGAATGGATGTTCTTCTAGAAGAGGCAACTTCTGTCCTAGAGGTCTCAGTAGCACCAGTGGTCAACTTGTGAAGGACAGCACTTTTCTCTGTGGATACGATGGGGTCCTGGGAGGTGCTGGTTCCCTTCAGCCCATGAGCCAGGGAGAATGTTGACTCCATCTCAATCCTTGTAATCTCAGAGGAGCCAGGCATGGATGTGGAAACAATGGTGTCCCTTATGTTGAAAGAGGTAACCATTGGAGAGGTGACTTTGGGTGGTTCTGAGTAGGCTGGGACAGACGAATAAGATTCCTTTTCAGAAGTGGTGGTCCCCACATTGGTTACTGCTATGTTTGTGGAAGGATACATTTTCTCTGTATCTTTAATGTCTTCTGAAGTAGTCGGTATCTTATGTGAGGTGCTGCCCAAGTTTGGAGGTAAACTGGCCACAGATGCCAGCATATCTGTGGTCTTCACTAGGCCAGAGGTGGGGAGTGAAGTCAGATGAACAGGAGAAGACGGCCTACTTTCTGGTAATGTAGTAGGTACAGGGGACGGTGAGGTTATTGCTGGTAAAGACAGAAGGGAAGAGGAAGAGCTGGTTTTTTCCACAGAGGGTGGGCTTGTCCCTGATATGTACTCAGGAACTCTACTCGTAAGAGTGGACAAATCTAATTGTGAAAATCCATGAGTCATAGCTGAGTGGGTCCCTGCCTGTGAGGTTGTGATTGATGTGTCCCAGGTAAGGGTACCCTGTGATGTCGCCCTATGAGGACCTGTTTGGGTGGCAATGGTCCTTTCTTCGGATTTTGTCAGGCCAGCAAAAGTAGAAAGCATGGTGACAGATCTTGTGGAGGTGTCCGGTGACATTGTGGGCTTTTCAGTGCCTTGGATGGATGTTCTGCTAGAGGAGGTGAGTTCTGTTCTGGAGACCTCAGTAGTAGCAGCAGTGAATGCTTTGTCAAAGACCGTGCTTGTGTCTGAGGATGAGCCAATTTTCTGGGAGGTGCTAGTCTCCCTCAGTCTAAATATCAGGGAGAAAGTTGTCTCAGACTCAATCTTTTTCATCGCAGAGGATCTAGGCATTGATGTGGAAACTATTGAGTCCCCCGAGGTGGAAGTGATAACTACTGCGGATGTGGCTTTATATGGGTCTGAGTCAGGTGAGACAGTAAAATAGAATTCATTTGGTGAACTGGTGGTCCCCACATTGGCCACTGCTGTGTTTATAGAAGGATGCATTGTGTGTGTATCTGTGGTGGCTTCTGAAGTGGCCAAGGTGTTCCTTAAATTTTGAGGTGAACGAGTCACAGGTTCTAAGTTTGTGTCCATGTCTGTGATCTTCGCCAGTGTAGGGGTGGGTACTGAGGTCACAGAAACAAGAGAGGAGGTACTGTGCTCTTGCAATGTGGAAGTTACAGGAGAAGGTGAGGTTGTCACAAGGAGAGGTGCCTGAGAAGAGAGAGAGTTGGCTTCTTCTGCAGAGAAAGGGCTTGTCTTCAACACATCATTGAGATCATTGTTCATGACACTGGTTGTTTCTGAATCTACAAAATCCTGAGTTCTGGCTGATGGAGTTCCTGCTGAGGTGGCTATGGTTGATGTGTCCAGGGTCAGTTGGCCAAGAGATGTCACCCCAGAAGGACCTGTTTGTGTGGCGATGGTCTTGTGTGTAGATATTGTCAAGGGAGGAGAGTTAGAATGACTGCTGCTGGCTTCAGGTGAAATGTCTGGGGACTTTGTTGACTGAGCAGAAGCTGGCATGAATGTAGGATCATAGTAGGTGACTTCTGCCCTGGAGACCTCAGTAGCAGCATCCAGGGACACACTGGAGAAAACAGTGTTTGACTCTGTAGTTGAGTTCATCACCAGGGCGGTGCTGTCCTCTTTCAGTTCAGGAGTCAGAGGGGATGTTGAGTCTCTGTCAACATTTTTAGTCTCAGGAGAACCAGGTGTTGATGTGGAAACAATAGCGTCCTCCATCATAGATCCAGTAACCTTTGGAGGTGTGTGTCCGGATGGCTGGGAGTGGATTGAGACAGAGGAATGTAGTTTATGCATAGAATTGGTGGTCCCCATATTGGTTTCTGCTGTGTTCTCTGAAAAGTGAATTGTCTCTGTATTTGTGGAGGCTTCAGAAGTGAGTATCTCACCTGAGAAGCTACTTGCACTTGGTAAGGAGCTGGTCACAAGTTCTGAGTGTGTGTCCAACATGTCTATGGTCTTCCTCCTGCCAGAGGTGAGAAGGGAAGTCACAGGGAGAGCAGAAGTGGGGCTACTTCCTGATACTGCGGAATAAAGAGATGAATGTGAGGTTATTGCAGGTAAAGGCACTGGGGAAGAAGGAGAACTGGTTTCTTCCACAGAGGGAGGGCTTTGCCATGACACGCCCTTAGTACTTCTGCTCATAGTAGTGGTCTCCTCTGAGTGTGGAAATCTCTGAGTCACAGGTGAGTGAGTCCCTTCCCAGGAAGCTGTGCTTGATGTGTCCAGGGTAAGGGTAGCCTGTGAGATAGTCCCTATAGGACCTGTTTGGTTGGTGATGGCCATTTCTGTGGATCCTGTTACAAAAGGAAAAGTGGAGAGCCTGGTGATGGTTTCTGTGGAGATGTAGGGTGACATTTTGGAATGATCAGGCCCTGAGATGGTTGTTCTGCTGGAAGTGATAACTTCTGTCCTGGAGACCTCAGTAGTAGTAGTAGTGGGCACTTCTGAAAGGACAGTGCTGGTCTCTGTCACAGTGTTGATCTCCTCAGACGTCCTGGTGTCCCTTAATCCAGGAATCAAAGAGGATGTTGATTCAGTCTGAATTCTAGTCTCAAAGAAGGCAGGAGTTGATGTAGAAACACTTGTATCCCCCATGGCGAAGGTGATACCCATTGGAGATGTGGCTTTGGATGTGTGTGAATCAGCTGGGACAGAAGATTGTGATTCATGTCCAGAAATGGAGGTCCCCACGTTGGCCACTGCAGTGTTTGTATGCATGGAAGCATGCATGGCTTCTGTGTGCGCAGTGTCTTTGTAAGTGGTCAGTCTCTCCTGTGTGGGGCTGCTTAAATTTGGAGGTGAACTCGTTACGGGCTCTGGGCTTGTTGTGCCCAATACATTTGTGGTTGTCACCAGAACAGAAGTAAGAAGTGCAGTCACAGGGAGAGGAGAGGAGGGGATGCTCTCTGGTGATGTGGAGGAAACAGGAGAAGGGGATGTCATGGAAGGTGACATCAGGGAAAACCCAGAGCTGGTTTCTTCCACAGGGGGAGTTGTCATCCATGACACATCTCCAGGGGTTCTGCTCCGAAGAGTGGTTATCTCTGAGTGTGGGAATCCCTGAGACACGGTTGAATGAGTCCCTCCCTGGAAAAGTGTGGTTGATGTGTCCCAGGGAAGGATACCCTGTGATGTAGCCCCAGGAGTAGTTGTTTGAGTGGTGACGGTCATTTCTGCAGATTTTGTCATGATGGGGGAGGTGAAGAGCCTGGTGATCATTCCTGTGGAGATGTCGGGTGCTATTGTGGGCCGATCAAGGTCTGAGATGGATGTTCTGCTAGAGGAGATTTCTGTTCTGGAGGCCTGAGTAATAGCACCTGTGGGCACATAAGAAAAGGCAGTATTTGTCTCTGTTGTTGAGCTGGTCTTCTCAGACGTGCTGCTCTCCCTCAGTCTAGGGCTCAGGGATGCTGTTGGCTCTGTTTGAATTTGGTTAGTCTGAGAGATATTAGGAGTTGATGTGGAAACACTTGTGTCCCCCAGGGTGGAGGTGGTACTCATCAGAGGTGTGGCTTTCGATGTCTCTGAGTCAGCTAGGACAGAGGATTGTGATTTATGTCCAGACCCGGAAGTCCCTACATTGGTCACTGCGGTGTTTGTGGAATGATGCATGGCGGCTTCTGTGTGTGCAGTGTCTTTGTAAGTGGCCGGTCTCTCATGAGTGATGCTGCTCAAATTTGGAGGTGAACTGGTTACAGACTCTGGGCTTGTTGTGCCCAACACATCTGTGGTTGTCACCAGAACAGAAGTAGGAAGTGCAGTCACAGGAAGAGGAGAGGAGGGGATGCTCTGTGGTGATGTGGAGGAAACAGGAGAAGGGGATGTCATGGCAGGTGAAGACATCAGGGAAGACACAGAGCTGGTTTCTTCCACAGGGGGAGTTGTCATCCATGACACATTCCCAGGACCCATGCCCATGAGAGTGGTCACCTCTGAGTATGGGAATCCCTGAGTCACAGTTGAATGAGTCCCTCCCTGGGAAAGTGTGGTTGATGTGTCCAAGGGAAGGGTACTGTGCGATGCAGACTCAGGAGGACTTGCTTGGGTGGTGATCGTCATTTCTGCAGATTTTGTCTTAATAGAGGAGGTGAAGACCCTGGGGATCTCTCCTGTGAAGGTGTCAGGTGGCACTGTGGACTTATCATGGTCTGGGGTGGAAATTTTGCTAGAAGAGTTGACCCCTGTACTGGAGACCTCAGTAATAGTACCAGTGGGGACTTTGGAAAGTAGAAAACTTGTGTCCGTGGGAAAGCTGGACTCCTGAGAGGTACTGGTCTCTCTCAGTCTAGGAGTCAAGAAATATGTTGGCTCTCTCTTAATGTTTGTAGTCTCAGAGGAACCATGCACTGGCATTGATGTGGAAGGAGCTGGATCTCCCACAGTGGTGGTGATAACCATTTGAGTTGTGGCTTTGGGTGTCTCTGAGTCAGCCAGTGCAGGGGAATGGGATTCATGTCCAGAGTTGTTGGCTTTCACATTGGTCTCTTCTGTGTTTATAGAAGGAAAAATTTCCTTTGTGTCTTTACTGTCTTTAGAAGTGGCCAGTATCTTATCTGAGGTGCTGCTGAAATTTGGAAGTGAGCTGGTCACAGGTTCCAAGCGTGTACGTAATATGTCTGTAATCTTCACTAGGCCAGAGGTGAGAAGTGAAGTCATAGGAGAGGAGAGCTTATCCTCTGGTAAGGTAGAAGAAATCAGGGAAGGTGTGGTCATTGCAGGTGAGGACAGAAAGGAAGAGGGGGAGCTGGTTTTATCCACAGAGGGAGGACTTGTCCATGATACATCCTGTGGAATTCTGCTCATAAGAGTGGTCACATCCAATTGTGAAAATCCATGAGTCATAGCTGAGTGGATCCCTGCCTGGGGGGTTGTATTTGATGGGTCCATGGTAAAAGTATCCTGTGATGTAGCCCCATGAGGACCTGTTTGGGTGGTGATGGTTATTTCTGCAGATTCTGTCATTATTGGGGAGGTAGACAGCCTGGTGTTGGTTTCTGTGGAGATGTCTAGTGACACTGTGGACTGATCAGGGCCAGGGAAGGATGTACTGCTAGAGGAAGTGACATCTGTCCTGGATACCTCGGTAGTGGCACCAGTGAGCTCTTTGTAAGGAACAGTGCTTGTCTCTGTGGACGAGGTGATCTCCTGGGAGATGCTGGTCTCCCTCAGTTTAGGAGTCAGGGAGGAAGTTGTCTCAGTCTCAGTTCTTGTAGTCTTAGAGGATTTAGGTATTGATCTGGAAATTGTGGTGTCTTCCATGGTGGAGGTGGTAACATTTGGAGATGTGACTTTAGATGGCTCTGGGTAAGCTGAGACAGTAGAATGTGATTCAAATGCTGAACCGGTGGTCCCCACATTGGTAACTACTGTGTTTATGGAAGGATGCGTTGTCTCTATATCTGTGGTGGCTGCTGAAGTGACCGATATGTCATCCAAAGTGTTGCTCATACTTTGAGGTGAACTGGTCACTGTTTCTAAGCTTGTATCCACCTTGCCTGCGGTCTTTACCAGTGAAGAAGTAAGAACTGAGGACATAGAAACAGGAGAGGAGGTACTGTGCCATTGCGGTGTGAAAGCAACAGAAGAAGGTAAGGTTGTGACAAGGACAGGTGCTTGAGAAGAGGGAGAGCTGGCTTCATCCTGAAAGGGAGGGTTTGTCTGTGACACGTCCTTGACATCATTGTTCATTGCAGTGGTTATTTTTGAGTGGGCAAACCCCTCAGTCACCACTGATGGAGTCCCTGCTGAGGTTTCCAAGGTTGATGTGTCTAAGGCAAGTGGAATCTTTGATGTAGCTCCAGAAGACCCTGTCTGGGTGGTGGTCATGTGGGTAGATATTGTCATGGGAGGAGAGTTTGAAAGTCTACTGCTGGCTACTGAGAAAATATCTGGGAACTTTGTTGACTGAGCAGGAGTTGGTATGAATGTTGCATCAAAAGAGGGGACTTCCATTTTTGTGGCTTCAGTAATAGCCCCCACAGACACATTGGAGAGGATGATGTTTGACTCTGTAGTTGAGTTCATCTCCTGGAGGGTGCTGTTCTCTTTTCGTCCAGCAGTCAGGGAGGATGTTGGCTCTCCCTCAATGTCTGTGGTCTCAGAACCAGGTATTGATATAGAAGCAAGAGCGTCCCCCATGCTGGAGGCAGGAACCATTGGAGATGTGGCTGTAGATGGTTCTGAGCTGACTGGGAGAGTGGAATGCAGTACATGTGCTGAACTGGCAGTCCCCATATTGGTCACTGCTTTGTTTATGGAAGGATGAATAGTCTCTATATCTGTGGTGGCTGCCAAAGTGGCCAGTATCTCATTTGATGGATTGTTCAAATTTTGAGGTGAATTGGTCACAGGTTCCATGCTTGTGTTCAACATATCTGTGGTCTTCACCAGTCCAGAGGTAAGAACTGAAGTCGCAGAAACAGGAGAGGATGTATGTTGCCCTTGTAACGTGGAAGTGGCAGGAGGTATGGTTGTGACCAAGAAAGGTGTCAGGGAAGAGGGATAGCTGGTTTCTGCCACAGAGGGAGGGCTTGTCCAGGACACATCCTTGGGACCTTTGCTTATGAGAGTGGTCTTCTCTGATTGCATAAAATCTGGAGTCACAGCTAATGGAGTCTCTGTCAAGTAAGGCATGGTTGATGTGTCCAAGAGATATGGACCCTGTGTTGCAGCTCCAGTAGGACCTGTTTGGGTGGTGATGGTCACTCCTGAAGATTCTGTCATTATCAGAGAGGTGGAGGGGTTGGTGCTCACATCTGTAAATGTGTTGGTAGAAGTTATAAACTGATGAGGGCTTGAGATGGATGTTCCGCTAGAGAAAGTGGCTTGTGTCTTGGTGACATGAGTAGTAGCATCACCACTAGACACATGGGTAATGACAGTGCTTGTCTCTGTAGCAGAGCTGGCCACCTGGGATGTGCTTCTCTCCTGAAGTCCCTGGTTCACAGAGGACACTGTCTCAATCTCTGTGGTCTCGGAGGAGCCAAATACTGATGTGGAAGAAGTGATGTCCCCCATGATGTGGGAGGTAACCAATGGAGATGTGGCTTTGGATGGCTTTGTATGGCCTGGGATAGGAGAATATTCAGAACTGGTTGCCTCCATATTCGTCACTGCTGTGTCTGCAGAATGATGAATTGCCTTTGTATCTCTGGAGGCTTCATAAGTGGATAACGCCTCACCTGCTGTACTGCTCAAATTGGGAGGTAAACTTGTGCCAGGTTCCAAGCTTATCCTCGACATGTCTGTGGTCTTCCCCAGGCCAGAGGTCTCAGACAAGAAAACTGAGGTCACAGGTGGAGTAGAGGAGGGACTGTGCCCTTGTGATGTCAACAAAATATTGGAAGGCGAGGTTGTAGCATGGATAGGTACCAGGGAAGAGGAAGAGCTGGTTTCTTCCACAGAGGGAGGGCTTGGCTGTGATGTATCCTCAGGACCTTTGCTAAAGAGAGTGGTCTTCTCTGAGTATGTAAATCTCTGAGTCGTAGCCAGTGGAGTCCCTGTCCAGGAGGCTGTGGCTGATGTATCCAAAGTAGGTGCACTTAGTGATGTAGCGCCAGGTGGACTTGTTTGCATAGCAAGGATCATTCCTCCAGATTCTGTCATGGCAGGAAAGTTAGACAGCCTGGTGATGGCTTCTGAGGGGCTGTCTGACGACCTCATAGACTGGGCAAGGAATGAGCTGGATATTCTCTTAGAGGAGGTAATTTCTGTTCTAGGCCCCTTGGTGATCGCAGTGGAACCTGGGGAAGAGATAATACTTGTTTGTGTGGTTGAGCTGGTGTCCATGTAAGGGCTGACGTCCCTCAGTTCAATAGTCAAGAAGGAATTAGGCTCTGTTCTAGCCCTTGTAGACTCTGGCCATGTGGTTGTTGACATAGAAACTATTGCTTGTTCCCTGGTGGAGGTTGTAACCACTGGAGATGTGAGTTTGGATGACGCTGAGTGGGCTGGGATAGTGGAATGAGAAGCATGTTCGGAACTTGTGACCCAGCCTGTGGTCTCTACTGTGTTTGTAGAAGGGTGAATTGCCTCTTTGTCTGTGGTGGACTCAGAAGGGGCAATTCTCTCATATGGGCTGCTTTTCCAACTTGGGGATGAAGTCGTCCCAGATTCCAAGTTTATGTCCAGCGTATTCAGGGTCCTTAATACACTGGAGGAGCTGGTAACCTCCTTGATGGTATCTTCTGAGACAGAATTCATCATCTCAGTGATCCAAGGTGCACTTGGGGTTGATTTTTCTTTCTCATTCCAGGAGTCAGATGTAGCTCTTGCCTCTGTTGTAAGAGCTGTCTGCCCTTGTCTCTGAAAAGTTGCATCTGGAGTTTTTGCTGTGTGTGGGATCACATCCAGAGTTGTTGCTGCTGATCTGGGCACCTGCCCTGGATGTGCAGAAGTGGTGGTGGGAAGCTGAGTGGAAGTCTGCTCTGCCTTTTTGCTTGTGGGATCTGGTCTTGAAAAAGTAACTCCAGAGCTCCTTGCCATTGCAGCTGGTGTGACTGCACTTGTAATGTGCCCTATAGAGAAGGGCAACTGTGAGGTAGCTGGGCTGATCATGGTTTCCAAAGTGAGTTCCTGGGGAGTTGTGGCCCCCTGAGGAGCTGAGGTAGTGGCTGTGGCTGATGACAGAGATCTCCCAGTGTCCCAGTCAAGAGTGGACAGAGAATCAAACAGAAAAGTGGACAGGGGCGTATTTGGGTCAGTCTTTGTACTAGCATGATCTGTAGAAACCATTGAAACAGGCACATCTTCTGCTTCTGTACTACTGGGAGTCCAACTTGTACTTAAAATGTCAGGAACTGAGATGCTCATCCTCTGGACACGAGAAAAAGTTGAGATGGGAGTAGATGCAGTTGTGTCTGAAGGACTCAATGTTCTTTCACTTGTACTGGTCTCTGTCTTTACAGCTGAAGCATCAGAGGATGGAGTGACCAGGCTGGTTCCAATGACAGTTATACGGCCATGGGGAGTAGACATGGAGTCTAATTCAGTGCTTGAGGCTAAGAATGAAGTTGTATGCATTGTGGAAATTGTTCCAGGAGATCTTGCAACTTTCAAGTTTGAAGTCATGTCTGTGACAGTCCAGGAATCTGATGCAGCTGTGGAAGACCAGGTGGAAGGGTGTTCTGTAGAAGTTGTGCGCCTCTCTGTGGCCGGGGTGCTGTCCATGGTACTCATACCCACTTCTGGGTTGGGTGTGGTAGTTGAGATTGAGTTGGTTCCCATGGTGGTGATGGTGGTGGAGATACCTGGAGTAGGAGCTGTGGTTACGTCCAGGATGCTCACTTCCGCAGGAGATGAAGTCTGAGATAGATGCCCAGCAGTAGGGGCAATGTCACTTTTCACTGCACTTACATTGGCCCTCAGAGTCTCAAGCCCTATTGAAGGAGATGTGACAGATGACGCAGAGCTTGTTTTTCCTCCTGAGGGATTGGTGAGGCTTGTAATGCCTTGGTCTCCAGAGGGCAGAGACACTAGTGAGGTGGTTTGTGCTGTGGAGGTGATGTATAATGTGTTTGTGACATCAGGAGATGCACCAAGGGTGATGTCACTCCCAGATGTCTGATCTGACCAAGAACTAGTTGATGAATAAGCCTCATCCACAGATCGACTTGTCTGTTGTTCAGCTGCCATTATCTTATTATTCAGGACAGTGGAGGGAATGGCTGTGGTGCTTACCCATGTCTCGGTTTTATGTTTGGATTTATCTGTCAATGAGCTCACAGAGTTTGGGCTGGTTACAGGGTCTTCAAGGATATTGGAAGATGTGCTCAGAGAGACATGTGTGTCCCCTGTGGTCCCTCCAGTAGAGCCATGCCACATAGAGAATTCCATTCCAGTTGTCTTTGAAACCAGTTCTGGACTGCTTTGCTGACCAGTCCCTGTGATGCTTCTAGCAGTTGGTGACTCTAGGGAGACAGAGGACATTGTGGCCAGTGACTGCCTGGTCCCTCCTGGAGTTCCAGAATAAAGGTTGGTCCAAGCCTCAGGTGGGGATGGGGAGAGGGAGACCCTTTCTGTAGCCAACATATTTTCTGTTGGTGACTTGGTTGGTGATGTGGTTCCTGTGGGCAGGTGAGAGATGCTGGTGCTGCCACTTCCTAGGGCTGTGGACTGAAGGGTGACTGGTTCCACTGTGGTCTCCATGGGAACAGTTGTTTCTGGAGTCTTCCAAGGAGAATTTCTCACAGTGGACCTGATCTCTGGGCTGATGCTGGGTTCCTTGGAGCTCATGATTTTGAGAGTGGTAGACATTTCTGGGCTTCCTGGGGATGTGCCTGTGATTAGAAAGTAAGTCAGTGGAGTATATGCAAATGGTACAGAAGATGAAGTTTTTTGGTTTGACACTATCATTCATTTCCTCCCGGGATTTCAATTAAAACTATTTCCTCCTTCTCTGGGAAAGAAAATGTTGAGCTTTTAATTCTCACACTTTAAGCCTCTGGACACCAGGGAACACATTAAACATTCCAAGGGAGATGGTGAAGTTAGAGCTTTGACCATCTGGCTTGCTCAGGAGAAATTATCACCTTTAGCTCAGTTTTTCCCCATGCCCCATATAAAAGGGCTCTTTGCATAAGGGAGGATGTGATGAACCAGGACTTCACCCATGCAAGAGGCTACCCCCAAACTATTTCCACTTTTGTCTTTGGAGCTTGCCCTTGCCAAACCAATTTCAGCTTCCAACTTTCAGCCTCCTCTAGGTTCCCCCAAATCTTAGTTCACTGCAAAGCTACTTAAGGATTTGAGAAGAAAGAGGATAAGGGAGATGAGCTCATTCTTTCTCGTCACCTTCATTTTCTTTCAAATTCATTCCTCCCTCTGAATCCTTTCCCTGTCCTTCAGGAAAATAACATCTACCTGTCAAAGGAGTGAGAAAAATGTGACATCCCAAGAGCACTCCTAGGGACCATATTTCACATTTTTCTAAGCAATTTGGCACTGCCAAGGACTTCAGCCCATAATCCCTTCTTCCGTAGTAACAAACGCAACATTTGCCATCTCAGGTTCACCTAGGCCCTCCCTGTGAACACAGTGATGGTCTCTGATTTAGAAAGATCCTTCACTCTGGAGCAGAAGAAAGTACAGAAAGAATCGACTCTGTAGCATTCTCTCCTGCTGAATTAATTGGCTATTGATCATGTAAATTAGTAAGTTGAAGCAACAGAAGTGTTCAATTAGTAACATCTATTGGGGAAAAATGATCAATATCCTCAGAGAAGAGTGTCAAGAAGTCAAAGGAACTTTTTTTTTTTTTAGATGGAGTCTTGCTCTGTCACCCAGGCTGGAGAGCAATGGCGTGATCTCGGCTCACTGCAACCTCCGCCTCCCAGGTTCAAGTGATTCTCCTTCCTCAGCCTCCCAAGTAGCTGGGATTACAGGTGTGTGCCACTATGCCCAGCTAATTTTTTGTATTTTTAGTAGAGACAGGGTTTCACTATGTTGGCCAGGCTGGTCTCAAACTCCTGACCTCGTGATCCGCCCACCTTAGCCTCCCAAAGTGCTGGGATTACGGGCGTAAGCCACCACACCCAGCCTAGGAACCTATTTTAAAACCTAGTCCTTGCTGGGTGTGGTGGCTCAAGCCTGTAATCCCAGTGCTTAGGGAGGCCGAGGTAGGTGAATCACTTGAGTCCAGGAGTTTGAGACCAGCCCAAGCAATATAGTGAGAACTATCTCTACAAAAAATTTAAGAAATACACACACAATTAACCAGGCTAATTGGTGATGATCACCTGCAGTTCTAGCTGTTGGGGGAGGCTGAAGTTGGAGGATTGCTTGAGACTGAGGAGGCTGAGGCTGCAGTGAACCATGAACACGCCATTGCACTCCAGCCTGGGCAACAGAGGGAGACCCTGTTTCAAAAAAAAAATGCGGTCTAGGCTGGGCACAGTGGCTCACACCTGTAATCCCTGCACTTTGGGAGGCTGAGGTGGGAGGATCTCTTGGAGCCAGGAGTTTAAGACCACCTTGGGCCACATAGTGAGACCCCATCTGTACAAAAAAAAAAATTTAAAAAAACAACAACAATAAGCTGGGCATAGCACAGAGGCTCTAGAGCCCAGTGAGTGAGCTGGACTGCTGCCCAGCTACTCAGGAGGCTGAGGTGAGAGGATAGCTTGAGCCCAGGAATTTGAGGCTGCAGTGAGTACAGTGAGTACTGCAGTAAATATACACCACTGTACTCCAGCCTGGGTGACAGAATGAGACCATGTCTCAAAAATAAATGAAAGAGAGAGAGAGAGAAAGAAGAGAAGAGAAGGAGAGGAGAGAGAAAGAGAGAGAGAGAGAGAGAGAAGAGAAGGAGAGGAGAGAAAGAGAGGAAGAGAGAAAGAGAGAAAGAAAGGAAAAGTTGCTAGCATTTACTTATAAAATAATGAAACTGAAGCCTTGTATATTTTTTCTTCCCAGAATCAATAAGCAGCACTTTTAGTCAGCAGCAAGCTGTCCTCCCACCTTGGCCTCTCGAGTAGCAGGGACTACAGGCCTGCACGATGCCCAACTTATTTTTTTTAAAAAAAATTTTTTTATAGAGGTGGGGTCTCACTATCTGGTCCAAATTGGCCTTAAGGCTTGGGTGAAAAAAATTAAGTAAAAAAATAAAAAATTTAAAAAGAACAAGAGAAAGAAAGAAAGAGAGAGAGAGAAAGAAGAAAGAAAGAGAAAGAAAGAAAGAAAGAAAGAAAGAAAGAAAGAGAAAGAAAGAAAGAAAGAAAGAAAGAAAGAAAGAAAGAAAGAAAGAAAGAAAGGGAGAGAAAGAAAAGAAAAGAAAAGAAAAGAAAAGAAAAGAAAAGAAAAGAAAAGAAAAGAAAGGCTTGGGTGGCATTAGCAGAGCAGAAATGGAAACAAGGTCTATATTTACCTGCTGGACTGCTCCCCGTCTCCTCTGCTGGGGCAGGCCACGTGGAATTTCCTTGTGCTGCCTGGCTTGACATCTTTATGGTGGTCACTAGCGTTCCATCAGTTGCTGAAAGAAAAGGGCAATAGGAAGGTTTAGCTATCCATTACTTCAGAATGTCAGTTTTTGAGCTTTCTTTACATTGACTGATCTTTCTATTTTGCTTCAACTCAGAGGCTCTAGAGCCCAGTGAGTGAGCTGGACAGCTGCCCAGGTGACCTCCCATCAAACACTAGTCTAACAGGACATGGTAGAAAGCAGACACCAGGCACCGTCACCAGAAAGACTGACAGATCTCAGATGGGAAGGGGTTCATTTTATAAGTAATCACAAATTAAAATGTGACAAGTGGCCAGGCACAGTGGCTTGCCCCTGTAATCTCAACACTTTGGGAGGTCAAAGTGGGAGGATTGCCTGAGCCCAGGAGTTTGAGACCAGCCTGGGTAGGATAGTGAGACACCATCTCTACAAAATAATTTTTAAAACTAGCTGGGCATGGTGATGTGCACCTGTAGTCCCAGCTCCTCTGGAGGATGAAGCAGGAGAATTGCTTGTGCCCAAGAGTTCAGGGTTGCAATGAGCTATGATCACTCCACTGTACTCCAGCCTGGATGACAGAGTGAGACTGTCTCTTTAAAAATAAATGAAATAAAATGGAGTAATATTCTGTTTAGAGCATGGATTCTTAACCTCTTTTTATTATAGGTCCCTTTGACAGGCTTGTGAACCATATGAATTCCTTTATAAATTAAAATAAAAATATAGAATAAAACATAAAATAACAATATAAAATATTAGATTACAAAGGAAATCATTGTGGATAAAGAAAATCTGGTACACATACACCTCGGAGTACTATGCAGCCATAAAAAAGAATGAAATCATGTTCTTTAAAGCAACGTGGCTGGAGCTGAAGGCCATCAACCTAAGCAAAATAACTCAAAAACAGAAAATTAAATACTGCACATTCTCACTTATAAGTGGGAGCTAACCAATGGGTACATGTGGACATAAAGATAGAAATAATAGACACTGGGACTCCAAAATAGAGGAGGCTGGGAGTGAAGTGAGGATTGAAAAACTACTTATTGGGCACAACATTCACTATTTGGCTGATGGGTTCACTAGAAGCCAAACCTCATCATTATGCAGTATATCCACGTAACAAACCTGCACATATACCCCTGAATCTAAAATTTAAAAAACAAAGGAAATGATTATATTGAAATGTTGTTATCAAGATCTTAATAAACAAATGTAATACAATAATACAGGCACTTATTTTACTAACTCATTAAATAAGATCTATTGAAAAGCCTAATAACCACTATAATTATGAATAAAGTCGTACATGATTTTTAAAAGTGCTTGCAACAATTGTCATAGGATATGAAAGTGTCCGGAATTTCTGTTGTTGGCAAAGGCACAGGCACTGCTAGGATTAATGTGGTTTGTTTTGTTACCTCTATTCATCAATAAAACAAATGCTAAATTTCAGTTCGAGGTTAGCAAAAATAAAGATGTAGTTTACAAATACCGCATGTTCTCACTCATAAGTGGGAATTAAACCTTGAGTACACATGGAGACATGTGAATTGAGGGTGGAGGCTGGGAGGAGGGAGAGGATTAAAAAAAATCTACTGATCAGGTACTAGGCTTATTACCTGGCTGATGATGTAATCTGTACCCCAAGCCCCCATGACATGCAATTTACCTATATAACAAACCTGCACATGTTCCCTGAACCTAAAATATTTATATTTTCAAATATAAAAGTTTAAAAAATAAAAAAGATGTAGTTTATTTCCAGATTCATCCCCAGCACACTTGGGGAAGGAGCAGGGCATTCTTACTTTCAACCAAGGAGGTCTTGGCAGGAACTGAAATAGAGCTTGCCCATGTTTCTGGAGAACTCTTTCTTCTGGCTGTGGGTTCTGTGGGAGAAGAGACAGGTAACAAGGATGTTGGGGTCTCAGATGGTGTGAAGGTTAACGTCTGTGTTTCAGCTGTTGTTCCCTCTTCTTCTGCAATGGTCTGGCTTGAGGTTAACTCAGGAGGCTCCTCCTGGGACATATTTAGAGTGGATGTTGGAGAAAGTGTCAGAGCTGAAGTCTGAAGATGCACCAATATGTTGGGCTGCCTTGCCATGGAAGGCCCAAGAAATAGTGAAGTCTTTCTGGAGGTGGATGCAGTGGGGGAAAGGAAGCTTGTTTCTTTCTCAGTGGATAGGCTTATGGGAGAGGAACTAGAACCAGACCTTGCTGCTTGACCTGTGCTGAAGAGAGTTGTGAGTTTTGATGCAAGAGAGGTCGATGTCATAGCTGATGATGCCTTGCTTGGGTCTGGATAAGACATGCTCTCTGAGGCATATCTAGGGTCCCCTGTTCCTGAAGTGGGGACTCTGGGTTCATGCCCTGCCATAGAAGGGGAGGCAGATCCCTCAGGGGTTTCAGTAAAACCTGTTGATTGAAATGAGCTTGCACTTATGGCCTTTGTGGAAGTCATCATCCTTGCCCTTGGGTTTTTTTCTGGAGACTTGGACAGTGAGGAAGATGCTGTGCTTGCATCTGAGTCTGGAATGGTGTTCAGGGACTGTCCAGGAGTTGGTAAAGAAGCGGACTTAGTATCCAAACTTGGGACCTCAGAAAACTCAAATGTCAAGGTAGACTGTGGGATCCCCCAAGTTGGGGGAGCTGTAGTCAGTGAGGCAAAGGCCTTTGATGGGCTTGAGGAGGCAGAGACAGGTGTTAGGAGGCCTGACTCAGCACTGGTGGGCTTCACAGGTATCCCTTTGGGTGCTGTTGATTGAGTAGCTGTCAGTCTGTTCGTGGTGATTTCAGACATGGCTGTAACCTCACCTGGGTTCATGGTCAGAGGGAGAGAAGAAAATGTTTTGGTTCCAGTTGAGTGAGTGGACCCACTTCTGATTCCTCCAGAGCTAGCCATACCCTGGCTTCCTGTGGTTAGTGGCATCACAGATGCCCTCTCAAGCCCAGCTGATGAGTCTACCAAAGCCGTTGTCTCTGAGTTTTCAGAACTCTGACTGAATACAAGGGAACCAGTAGTTCCCGCAGGCAAAGTAGAAAGTGCCACTGTGATCGAACCTTCATAGGTTGTATTCCGTGGAGCAACAATCTTAGAGGGGGAAGTGGAAGAAGGATGGAGTGGACTTTCTGTTACTCCTTGGATAGTGATTCCAGGGATGCTCCTATCTGGGTTACTTACTGTCTTAAGAACCAGTGCATCACCATTTGAGGTCTCTGACATGGTCAGGGTAGTCTCTGGGACTGTGCCAAGACTATCCGAAGCTATAGTCACCAGTGGGGTGGAATCAAAGGATGTAGCTAATGAACTTGTTGGCTCAGTGGCAGTGAGAGGGATGGCTGGAGTGTCCGGGAGTAAAGTAGGGAAGGAAGCTCCAGACAGAGTCCCCGTACTTGGAAATTTAGAAGGTGGCGTGGACACAGTTGAAAACAAGATGGTATCTGTGACCAAAATCTTTGAGGTAAGTGTTGTGTCTGAAGTCTCAGTGACTACCAAAAGGCTCTCAGGAGTAGCTGAAGTTTCCCAGTTTGCTCCAGAGGTGGGTGTAGTTGGGGTCTGTGGTGAAGAATGAATGGCTTTGCTTTCACTCGTAGTGAGAAGACTGGCTTCTGATGTAGCACTGGATCCAGTGACCACTGCTGCTGAGAGATGGGGAGTGAAGGCAGTGGCTGGTTCAATAGTTGATGCTAGAAGTGAGTGTGCCTCTCCTGCAGGACTTGTCTTGAGAAAGCCCATGGCAGGTAAGTCAGTAGTACTGCCTACACTGGTCCATGTACCTGGTGCTGGAACAGAAGTCACCACAGAATTGCTAGAGGTAGGATTTTCTCCGGAGGCAGTGTCAGTGCTGACCATGGTGCTGAAAGTTCTTACTGGTCTAGACCAGGCTAATAGGGCCGAGCTTGTCTCGACAGGGTGGGTGATTGTAAAGGGTGGTAAAGTGGATGGAGTGCCACCCACATTGGAGCCCCCATCAAGAGAATAGGTGTTACTGGAAACAGATGGAGAGGTGGCTGTATTTGTCTCTGTTGTAGATGTGGGAACCTGGGGTCTATCTGAAGAGAAGAGAGATGGGGAGGAACTTGCTGTCATTCCTGAGATGCTAGTGGGACTGATGGAGGCTGTTTTAGTGACATCCATAGTTGAAGAAGCTATGGAGGTGTTGATCAGATCAGAAGAAGAACTGCTATCTGAGGGGAGCTCATTTGTTTTCCGTGCGTCAAGGATATCTGAGGTTTTTACTGTAGTTTCATTATCCAGTGAAACTGTGCTGGTCTCTGTGAAACTAGCAGTGAGAACTATGGGGGAAGTGGTTGGAGCAGCAGAGGTGATTGTCCTTCTCTCTCCCAGTGTAATGGAGGGACTGGCTCCTGTGGGCTTTGTAGACATAGCTGAACTCATCCAATCCCCAGGAATAGGTGTCACTCTTGAAGTCAACTCATGAGTGAGAGATGAAATGGTTCTAAATGAATGAGTTGTCTTTTCTGGGAAATGTGAGATAGTTGTCACTTCAGTATCAGGGGAGGGGGAAAAGGAGACAGTGGGAATACTCTCAGCCCCATCTGAAGGTGTGTCAATTACATCTGATGCTACTGTGGACAAGCCAGGTGGACCTGCGCTGTTTACTGGGATGCTTGTTTCTGTATTAGTAGTTGGATGGGACCCCAAAGGGATTGACACTGTCCATGGATCCTTGTTCATTCTAAAGGAAACCAAAGACTCTGAAGTGGGCAGGGATATTGTCCTAGTTAATTTGGTCCCTGCTGAAGAGGCTGTGCCTAAACTCGGGTTAGCAGTACTCTCAGATGTAAGGCCAGAAACATCTGATCTAGAAGTTATGGCCATTGGAAGAGGGACTTCAGAGCTGATACTTGCCCCCACAGGAGTCTCAGAAAGACCTGTGACCGAGGATGCATCAGTGTTCAAAGTACTCGCGGCTGTATTCTGGGGACCATGGGTCTCTGTTTCTGGATTTCTTTGCTTAGCAGCAGATGTGGATGCAGCTGAAAAGAGTGGAAATTCAGTCGTAGTTGAACTTGGGTTTGAAACCCCAGAATGGCCTGAGGACAGTGCCTCAGATAAACTAGTACTTGGCCAAGTTGTAGTGGGGAGAGATGTAGTGAGGTCCCATAGCCAGGAAGTGATTGCATTCCTCCTACTGATTGTGGAATCCAAGGATTCAAGTGAGGCTGAGGAATATGGAGAGGATGTGCTGCTTCCAGAAGAGACTGAATTCTCATGGGTAGGGGAAGCAGACACTGCCACAGAGTTGACATATGGAGTTGACTGTGTCTGCACAGAAACTTTTTCTGAAGAAACTGCATGTAGTGGTTGAGTGGACTGTTCAATTGTGCCTGTACTGGTCCATACAATTGTTGGTGGGGTGATGGGAGAATGTGTCATGGGTGCTGAGTTGATGTCTGGTCCTGAGGTTATGCCTGTAGAAATGACTTCTTCCACTGGAATGGATGAAAAAGGCAATGTTAAGCTTATGGCCCTGTTTCCAGGAGTGGAAGTCAAAGTGGTCTCTGCTCCAGGAGCTGAGGTCTCAGGTCGGGGATGGATTGAAGAAGACACTTCACTCTTCTCTGTGTAAGTCATGGAAGTGTGAGTGCTGTTTCCCATAGACAGGGACTTAGAAGAGGTATCAGAGCCGTTTTCCAATCTGGAGGCTCTAGTGACACCAGTATTCAATGACCTGTCAGTGGCCAAAGTCCCTGCAGAGCTGGTGTGCACCCCATGGCTGAGGTCAAGTGAATCTGTGGTATTGGGGGCATTACTGAGAGTGAGAGAAATCCATGGTGTCACCTCCATTGATGGAGTTGGAGATGGAAGATCCATAGAGGCAGTTCTGAGTTTTTCTTTTCCTGTATTTTCAGTGCTTCCCAAAGCTGTGGACATAAGGGTAGCTGAGCTGGACTCTGTCCTTGCTGAAGACTTGGAGATGTCTGAGGTCATAACTGTGGTGACCTCCTTGGTCCAAAATGTGCTGCCCCCTATGAATTCCACATCAGGAGTTGTAGGAGATGAGGTTAGAGGGATGCTTGTGCTCATCTGGCTTCCTTCAGCATAGCTGGGTTCAAGAGAGGAGGAGAGAGCTGTATTTCCCTGTGTGTTCAGCCTTGGGCTGCTTCCCTTACTAGAATCTGTGACTCCTTCAGTAGTTGACTCAGAAAGGACAGAGGAAACTCTTCCTAATGACTGGCTGATGCTTCTTCCTGGAGCACTAGTAACAAGGAGTCCCATTGTCCCAGCCATAGAGACAGTGGCTGTAGAACTTCTTCTTTCCAGTGCCATGTTTGTGGATGTCTCAGCTGGGGAGGATGTTCCTATGGGAAGGTGGGCTATGCCCAGGGTGACTCCACTACTACTGCTCCCTGTTGTTGTGTTGTCCATGGGTGGAGTGGATTGAATGTTTGTTGGGCCAGTCTCAATCTCTCTGGACAGTGTGTCTGTAGATGGTTTCCAAAAAGTGGTTGCCTCAGAGGAGCTTCTCCCTTGTGTCCCGAGCTCAGGGTAGACTTCAGTAAGATGGGAAGGGGATGCTGAGGCTGGTATAGATGTTTGATCTTTGAGTGACTGTGTCACGTGAGTAGGACTCATCGTTGCAGAAAGGGTGTCCTGTGCTTGTGTTGAGTGTTCAATCACACTGGTCCACGTGGTTGTCAGTGGGGTGATAGGAACAGTTGTTAAGTCCCCAGTTCTGCCCAAACTCCTGATTCCTAGGTGCTGATCCAACGTTGTTGAATCTGTATTTCTAATGGCACTGGTATCTGCCTCTGACTTTGAAAGTTCATGAGAAGGTGTGGACATAGGTGGAAAAATAGCAAATGTACTCATGGGTGAACTTGGACTTGAAATATCAAGGTCTGTTGAAGCCATTTCCTCTGTCAAACTGGTACTCAGCCATGTTGCCATGGGGAGAGTGATTGTGGTCTGCTCACTGGGAGCAAGGACCAGGGGTTCCCCTGGGACATCAGAAGTTAGTTCCAATGTGCTGCTTCCAATGGTAGGGGAGGTAGGGATTACTACAGAGACAGGTCCTGGAGCTGACTGTGTCTCAAATCCAGATGATTTTTCTGCCAATTTTGTGTAATGTAATTGAGTGGAGTGTTCAGTTGTGTCTGTGATGGTCCATGCTTTTGTGGCCGGACTGGTGAGATTGGGTGAACTTGAGATTTTAGGACTTCCAGAGTAAGCAGCTGGGGTGGCGGACTCTGTCTTTGGATGGTTTTCTGTGGTTCTGAGTGTCCTCACTGAGTGGGGTGTAGAGACCTGAGCTGAACTTGTATCCTTAGGATCCGTAGTGGTGATGTAGGTGGTGGGGTCCCAGGTACTACCAGTGTTAGTCTCTCCAGGAGCTGTCATCTCAGGTGAAGACCCAGAAGAGTAAGCCATTCTGGCTGTTGATACATGAATGTGGGTCTCTATTGAGGGGAAGGTGAGAGGTGTGTAAGAGCCAGGTTTTACTACTGAAGCCATGGTAAGTTTGATGGTGCTTGGACTTTCTGAACTAGCGTGTGCTCCGAGGTGGATGCTGGGTGTGTTTGTTGATTCAGGGTAGGTGCTGAGGGTTGGAAGTCCCCCTTCTGATGCCTCCAATGATGTGGCTGGAGATGGAGTGTCCAAGGGAACCAGGGTGCTTTTTCCTATGGCACCACTTGTTGGAATATTACTTGGTGTCAAGGAAGTCGTGGAAGGTAAGTTGGGCATGTTCCACCGACTAGTTTCAACTGTGTCCATTATCATGCTTGTGGTGACTCTCTGAGTTGAAAATGTGGAGCTCATTGTGACTTTGGGAGTAGGAGAAGAAGGAGATGAGGACAAGATGCCAAGCCAGGTGCTTCTAGCAGAGCCAGGATCAGGAGATGGAGGGTGAGTTGCAGTCATTTGTGGAGTCAGAGCTGAGCTTGTTCCATCTCTAGGTATTGTAATTTCTCTGGATGTTAAATGATAGACATCATCAGAAAATGTGTCAACGAATTGGCTTGTCCTTCCTGGAGTGCTTGAGCCAGCAGCATCCATGGACTGAGATGGAGATACTGACATTGAGACACTTTCTTTGGCCATGGTAAAATCCATAGATGTCTCAGAGGAAGCTGTGGTTCCAATGGGCAGATGGCTTGTGTCCAATCTTCCTTCAGTAATGTAGCCCTTTCCAATTGGGATGTTGGTAGAAGCCACAGCCATAGAGCCTGGGCCATTCGTGGTCTCTGTTGTGAGGATGGTTGTTGATGGTTCCCTGATAGAAGTTGCTTCCATGGAACTAGTTGCTGGAGAAGTGAATTTAGAGACCATTACAGTAGCAGAGAGAGAAGTGGCAGAGGTTGAAACAGTGGTTGTTGCTGAAGGTAACCCTGTCTTGAATCTGGGACTAGTCTCTGGCCAAGTTGTGCTTTGGGGTGCAGCAGAGTCATTAAACGTGTCTCTATTGGTCTGTGACATTGTTGCCGTCCCAGTGAGGTGAGATATTTTAGGAAGAGCTGAACCAGTTGAGTTTGTAACTGAGGTACTGCTCGTAGCTCTGAGCTCACTCACTAGGTGGGATGAAGAGAACTGAGCTGAACGTGTAGGCCAGGTGTCCATGGTGGGGAATACTGGGGTAGGGACAGAGGTGCTGGCCAAGGTGGTCCTTACTCTGGAAACAGAAGTCTCAGGTTGAGACACAGATGGATTCGAAGTTTCCTCTGTTTCTTCTCCACTAGTAAATAGATGAGTGGAAGGAGTAGATGAAGAAAATGTGGTTTTGACTCCAGAGACACTTGGGAGGCTGAGAGTGCTAGGACTCTCTGACGATTCTGAAGTCAGTGTCCCAGTTGGGTGGATGTTAGGTGAGTCTGTAGTCTCAGCAGAGGTGCTGAGAGTGAGGACACTCCCTGCTGTCTCTTCCCCTGATGGAGATGGATGAGTCAGAGGGGAAGTTGCATTTCTGACTCTTTCAGGACTTGTTGCTGCATTGCTTAGGGTCATGGAGGAAAGAACGGCTGAGCTGGGCTTTGTCTTTGTTGAGATTTCAGGAGTCCCTGTGGTAATAGATGAGGTGGCTTTGTGGTGTGAGAATGTGCTGGTCGCTGACACTTTATCCTCAAGAACTGAAGCAGATGACAACAGAGGAATGCTGGTGCTTATCTTGGTGTGTCCTGCAGAGTCTGGTTCAGGGGAAGAGAAGGGATGTCTAGTGTTTAATGGAGTCAGTCCCAGGCTGGTTCCTTCCCTGAAAGCTGAGGACTGTAGAGATGATGTCTCAGGGATGACAGAAGAAACCATTGTATATGATGGCTTTGTCCCTCCTGGAGGACTTGAGCCAGCAGCCGTCTTGCTCACTGCTGGAGACACGGAGACTGGGACACCGTTCGTGGCCAGAGTCAAATCTGCGGATGTCTCAGATGATGCTGTGGCTCTGGTGAGTAGGTGGGTTGTGCCCTGGCTTCCCCTGGTGCTGCTGCCTCCTGTCATTGAAATCCCAGTGGGAACAGCAAACTGATGGGTGGTTGGGCCAGCTGTGGATTCTCCGATGAGTGTGTCTGCAGATGTTTCTTCAAGCCAAATCCCTTTTGTGGAGCTGGTCTTCAGGGTGGTGAAGCCAGAGACCACTGAGGGAACAGAAGTGGTGATAGGGGCTGCCACACTGGTTGATGCTGGGGGTCTCTCTGTTTTCATGCTAGGACTTGTCTCCACCCACTGTGTGTGCTGGGGTTCACTAAATTGCTGAGCTGTGCTTTCACTGGTCCATGATGATGCTTTTGAGGTGCTGGAAGTGGTTGCCCTCAGGATGTCAGAGCTCCCGTGGGCAGCTGTGCTGGAACTCTGCCTCCCAGAGGTGCTGCCTGTGGTTCTGAGCTCTCTTGTTGGGTGGGATGAAGAGACCTGAGATGGACTTCTGATCTTGCTGTCAAGAGTTGTAAAACCTAGAGTGGGGACCAAGGTGGCAGTCATTTCGGACTCTTCTCCAGGAGCAGAGGTCTCAAGTGGAGTCATAGATGTATTCAAAGTTCCTTCTGTTTCCTTTCCACTCGTGGAGTGATGGGTGTTGGTCTCCTCTGAGACTAAAGTGGTAGATGGAGATGTGGTTGTCAGCGCTGAAGTGCTGGTGCCACCAAGGGTACCTGGACTTCCCAACCATTCTGAAGCCAAAGTCTTGGCTATGTGGGTGCTGGGTATATCCATGGTCTCAGCGAAGGCATGGAAGGTAAGGATAGTCTCTGCTGTCTGCTTTGTGGATATTGATGGAGTCCCCAGAGAGGAAATTGTGCTTCTGACCCTTTCGGCACTTGTTTCTGCATTGCTTAGTGTCATGGAAAAAGGGATAGCTGAGTTGGGCATTGTGCTGGCTCTGGCCTCGGGCACCCCAGGAGACAGAGGGGAGGTGAGACTCTGGCCTGAGAATATGCTGGTCTCTGATATTTTATTATCGAGAACTGAAGCAGATGATGACAAAGGCGCACTGGTACTTATTCTGCTGTGTCCTGCAGAGCCAGGTTCAGGAGAGGAGAAGGGATATCCAGTGGTTGATAGAATCAGTTCCAGGCTTGTTTCACCTCTGGAATTTGGGGTCCCTTTAGGTGATAGGTCAAGGAAGGAAGAATAAAGTGTCCCAAATGATGGGTTTGTCCTTCCTGGAGTATGTGAGTCAGTAACTGTGGTCTCAGCTGGAGTCATAGACACTGGGGCATTTTCCTTGGATGCAGTTGAATCTGCAAATGTTTTCATTGGAGATGTGATTTTTACAGGAATATATCTTGTGTCCCAGGGGGTCTCTGTGCTGTCACCTTCAGTTGTTGAGGTCTCAGTGGGGACTGTGTACTTCTCAGTGACTGGGCCACTTGTGGTCTCTACAGTGAGTGTGTATGTAGATGCTTCTTTGGTAAAATTTCCTTCTGTGGAACTGGTCCTGGTCCTTGGGGAACTCAATCCTGAAACCATGCTTGTAGCAGGGTAGTTCCTAGAGGGAGTTCCATTGACCTGGGGACTCAGCGATGGGCTGGTTCTTTGCTCGGAGTGTGTCATTCCTCTAGAGGTTGACTCAGGGAGAGCAGAGGACATCACCCCCAAAGACTGGGTGGTTCTTCCCACAACCGAAGATGTAGGACTGGCCAAGGTCTTATCTGGGGAAGTAAAGGGCAGAGTATGTTCTGTCACCACGATTGCACCTGTAGATGTCTTAGGTGACAAGGTGGCTCCTGTCAGTCCTGAATCCATTTCTGGTGTGGCTTTAGTGCTCCTGCTCCCTGTCATCAAGGAGCGGGTGGGAGAAGATGACCCAGGAAGGCCTGAGGGTTTCAGCATGGACAGGTCAACATTTGCCTCTGGATGGAGGTCTAAGAAGAATCCCCTCAGAGAGGGTGGCCTCTGCAGAGCTTCTGAGCTCCCTGAAACTCCAAAATTTCTCAGGGTGGGAGATATGGCTGGGGTCCCCGCATTTGACCTGGGAAAACCTGTGTCTAGAAGAGCTGCCGTATGTATGGAGGTTGGGGGAATTGTGCAACGCTTCTAATTGAGAAGACCAAATCTCAGGGAGAGAAAGGAAAGGATAGTTCAACCACAGACAATTTCCTCAAATAAACACCTGATGATCTCAATTCTTCCCTTCAAACTTTTTAACGGATTCTCAGTGTCTGCAGAATAGAATTTCTTAGTGTATCATGTCTTAATGATCCTCTCTCTCTCTCTCTCTCTGAGTGTGTGAGTGTGTGTGTGTGTGTGTGTGTGTGTGTGTGATGTCTTAGAAACCAGGAACCAGGCTGGGCACGGTGGCTCATGCCTGTAATCCCAGCACTTTGGGAGGTGAGGTGGGAGGATCACCTGAGGTTGGGAGTTTGAGATCAGCCTGACCAACATGGAGAAACCCCGTCTCTACTAAAAATACAAAATTATTTTTAATTTTTTAAAAATAATTTTAAAAAAAATTTTAATAAAAATAAATATTGGGTGTGGTGGCATGTGTCTGTAATCCCAGCTACTTAGGAGGCTGAGGCAGGAGAATCACTTGACCCTAGGAGGCAGATGTTGCAGTAAGCCAAGGTCACACCACTGCACTCCAGCATGGGTAATAAGAGCTCTGTCTCAAAAAGAAAGAGAAAGAAAGAAAAGAAAGGAAGGAAGGAAGGAAGGAAGGAAGGAAGGAAGGAAGGAAGAAAGAAAGAAAGAAAGAAAGAAAGAAAGAAAGAAAGAAAGAAAGAAAGAAAGGAAGGAAGGAAGGAAGGAAGGAAGGAAGGGAGGGAGAGAAAGAGAAAGAAGGAAGGAAGGAAGGAAAAAAAGAAAGAAAGAGAAAGAAAGAGAAAGGAAGGAAGGAGGGAGGGAGGGAAGGAAGAGAGAAAGAAAGAAAGAAGGAAAGAAAGAAAGAGAGAAAGAGAGAGGGAGGGAGGGAGGAAGGGAGGAAGGAAGAAAGAAAAGGAAAGAAAGAGAGGACCGAGGGAGTGAGGAAGGGAGGAAGGGAAAGAAAGAAAAAAAGAAAGAAAGATGCAGATAGAGCCCCTACCTACACCCCCATGAGATGGAGCTAATGCTCAGTGTGTGATACTGGCAGATACTAAGGCTCTTGAATTGAGAAGTGGAGGTCAGAGAAGACACGGCACTTCTGTTCAGATCAGAGCAGGGGCCCACAGATGCACTCTCAGGAATCAGTGGAAGTTGCTCTTGATTAAAATCTCATGACCCTGGCCTGCTGGGCGTGGTGTCTCATGCCTGTAATCCCAGCATTTTGGGAGGCTGAGGTGGGCAGATCACGAGGTCAAGAGATGGAGACCATCCTGGCTAATATGGTGAAACCCCATCTCTACTAAAAATACAAAAAATTAGCTGGGTGTGGTGGCGCCCACCTGTAATCCCAGCTACTCAGGAGGCTGAGGCAGGAGAATCGCTTGAACCCGGGAGGCGGAGGTTGCAGTGAGCCAAGATCACACCACTGCACTTCAGCCTGGGCGACAGAGCCAGAGTCTGTCCCAAGAAAATAATAAATAAATAAATAAAATTTCATGACCCAGAGGGTGAAGAAGATGAGGTTGAATCATGTAAAGGTCTAGCGATGCTGATTTAGGACAGAAGAGGAAAAAAAAAAGAATTTCCTGGCAGCTCACTATCTCTGGCTGTTTTTGTTGAGGGAAAAGTGCAGGGAAGATTTTTCACTTTGGGCATTACTATGATTTGAATGTCCCCTCCAAAACTCTGTTGAAACTTAATCCCCAGTGTGGCAGTATTGAGAGGTGGGGCCTTTAAGAGGTGATTGGGTGATGAGGGCTCTGTCCGTATGAATAGATTAATCCATTCATGACTAACCCATGGATTAGTGGGCTAACATGGGAAGGGACTTGGTGGCTTTAAAAGAAGCTTTAGGCCATGCATGGTGGCTCATGCTTGTAATCCCAGCACTTTGGGAGGCTGAGGTGGGTGGATTACTTGAAGTCAGGAATTCGAGACCAGCCTGGCCAACATGGTGAAACCATGTCTCTACAAAAAAATACAAAAATTAGCCAGACATAGTGGTGCGCACCTGTGGTCCCAGCTACTCAGGAGGCTAAGAGAGGAAAATCACTTGAACCCAGGAGGTGGAGGTTGCAGTGAGCCAAGATCGCAGCACTGCACTCCATCCTGGGTGACAGATTGAGACTCCATCTCAAACAAAAAAAGAAAAGAAAAGCTTTAAAATAGGAAGTGAGACCTGTGCTATCACATTAGCGCACTCAGCTGTCTTGACGTGTGATGCCCTGTCTACCTCTGGATGCCACAGAGTCCCCACCAGCAACAGGGCTCTCACCAGGTGTGCCCCTCTGGATTTCAACTTTCCAGCCTCCATATCTGTAATAGATACATTATTTTTCTTTGTAAATTACCCAGTTTCAGCTGTTCTGCTATAAGCAATGCAATACAGACTAAGATAGGCATGGCTCATGGATTTCTCTCAAGATGAGGCCCACCTTGGTTCTAAGCTGCGTCTCCTAGGAATTGAGTTTTTCCCTAGGCCGGTGGGGTAAGTGAAACTATAATTCATTCCTCATGCTTTCCCAATCTTCTTTTCTACTCAGGAGCTACCAATTTTATCCAGGTCAAAATGATTGAAGAACCACGTCCTTTGCCCACTGTGTAATGTTTCTTTTGTTTGTTTGTTTTGTTTTTTGCTGGTTTTTTAAATTATAAATTCGTTTATTTTTTATTTTTTATTTTTTTTGAGATGGAGTCTCACTCTGTCACCCAGGCTGGAGTGCAGTGGTGCAATCTCGGCTCACTGCAACCTCCACCTTCCGGGTTCAAGCGATTCTTCTGCCTCAGCCCCTGGAGTAGCTGGAATTACAGGCATGTGCCACCATGCCCGGCTAATTTTTGTATTTTTAGTAGAGATTGGCTTTCTCCATGTTGGGCAGGCTGGTCTCGAACTCCCAACCTCAGGTGATCCGCCAAAGTGCTGGGATTACAGGTGTGAGCCACCACACCCGGCACGTTTCTTTTAGATGCTGGATATTAGACCTTTGTCAGATGCAAAGTTTGTAAAGCTTTTCTCCCATTCTGTAGATTGTCTGTTTACTCTGTTGATAGTTTCCTTTACTGTGCGGAAGCTCTTTAGTTTAATTAAGGGCCTATTGGAGGGTGGAGGGTGGGAGGAGGGAGAAGATCAGGAAAAATAACTAATGGATACTAGGCTTAATACCTGGGTGATGAAATAATCTGTAAAACCAACCCCAATGGCAAAAGTTTACCTATATAACAAGCCTGCACATGTACCCCTAAACTTAAAATAAAAGCTAAATTTTAAAAAAGAAAATAAAAGTCTTCTGATCCCAAATAAAACAACTTAGATGCAAAAAAGTGCTATAAGACATATACATTATTAGCTCACTCTTCTTCTGAACTAAGAGTTCCTGCTGGGCGCAGTGGCTCACGCCTGTAATCCCAGCACTTTGGGAGGCCAAAGCGGGCGGATCACCTGAGGTCAGGAGTTCAAGACCAGCCTGGCCAACATGGTTAAACCCCGTCTCTACTAAAAATACAAAAACTAGCTGGGCGTGGTGGCGGGTGGCTGTAATTCCAGCTACTCCGGAGGCTGAGACAGGAGAATCACTTGAACCTGGGAGGCGGAGGTTACAGTGAGCCAAGATCGCACCATTGCACTCCAGCCTGGGAGACAAAGAGCAGAATTCCATCTAAAAAAAAAAAAAAAAAAAAAAATCCTTCCAAGAGAGTCCTGAGGAGAGCAGATTACTTGAGGTCAGGAGTTCAAGACCAGCCTGACCAACATGGTGAAACTCCGTCTCTACCAAAAAATACAAAAATTAGCCGGGGGTGGTGGCAGGCGCCTGTAATCCCAGCTACTCAGGAGGCTGAGACACCAAAATTGCTTAAACTCGGGAGGCAGGGGTTGCAGTCAGCTGAGATTGTGCCACTGCACTCCAGCCTGGGTGACAGAATGAGACTCTGTCTCAAAAAAAAAAAAAAAAATCAGGGGTTATAGGCTGGGCTTCCTGTCCCCCAACTACTCTGGATTAGAATCTCAAAACAAGATAAAGATTAGAATTGCATACTTGTACATGGTCATAAAGCTGGAGGTTAAATAAAAAGTTAGGGAGCCCTGTAGCTGGGGAGCAAACTCCAACACAGGCGTCCCTTGCACTTCCCCTATGGAAAAGATCAAAAATGTTCGTCTTCAAAGAGATTAACAAAGCTCCGGGAGACCATAACAATGTGGAGGAGATGAGATTGGAGCATACCTGCAGGACTGATTGTTGATTTTTCTACCAGAGGGCTGCCTGTTGGCCATACTGAGGTTCCATGTGGGGATGACGAATTCTCCCCAGGCTCGTGAGTTCCTGTGAGGAGAAAAGGATGGAAAGAGCACCTAAGTAAGGAAGCTCAGAACAGGGCATGATGGTTCACACCTGTAATCCCAGCACTTTGGGATGCTGAGCAGTAGGATCACTTGAGGCCAGGGGTTCAAATCCAGCCTGGGCAATATAGAAAGACCCCATCTTTACAAAACAATTTAGAAAATTAACCAGGCGTGGTGGTGCTTGCCTGTAGTTCCAGCTACTCGCGAGGCTGATGTTGGAGGACCACTTGAACCAAAAATTAGCCAGGAGTGGTGGCACGTTCCTGTAATCCCAGCTACTTGGGAGGCTGAGGTAGGATAATTGCTTGAACCCAGAAGGCGGAGGTTGCAGTGAGCCGAGGTCATGCCACTGCACTCCAGCCTGGGCGACAGAGCGAGACTCGGCCTCAAAAAAAAAAAAAGAAAGAAAGAAAGAAAGCATGATTTGTAGACCAAAAAGGAATTGGGGAATTGGGGATGACAGTAGGTGAGGCATTCCAGGTTAAATAATGGCTTTGACCCAAGTAAGACATGAGAACATGATACAATGGGAGTCCTTCTACCATCTTCACAGATTGTTTTGCAAGTAGAGCATCAGCATGGGTGGAAGTAGCTACACCGTCTACATTGCATTGACTCAGGAATGGCACAGGAGACTGTCCTCAATGACTGAATCACTGAGCCAGGAGTAGCTGTGGTCTCAGCTGGGAGAATCCATACTCATGGCTGTATTCATGACTTTAGGAGGCTGCTGTTGTGAATCATCTGGATCCACTATGTGGTGTGGCTGTTGTGGATTTTGCAAATTCTGCTCTGGGTAGACGTGGCCTGGAGGGCAGTGGAGGTGGCTGTTGTCCCCATGGTGATGATTGCTGTTGACATCTACCTTGCAAAGGTCGCCTCAGTGATGCTATTTGTTGGGCAATGCTGGGCTCATTGGTTCCTCTGGTGACGACAGGCTTTCTGGTGCTTTGGGCAGCCAGGCTGTCACTGATGTCACACCTTTGGGATGTTCCTTTGAGTACAGAATGTGCTCTGATCTTTCCCTGTTGCATCGCTCTCTTGTCTACTGGGTCAAAACATTAGCAGAGAAGATGCTACATGCAGGTGTTATGTGGAGTGCCTTGGTCCTCACCACAACCTGGGGAGACAAGTGCTATCCTTCCCATTTTACAGCTGAAGAAACTGAAGTCTAAGGAGGTGAAATGACAAGCCTCAGGTCCCAGAACCAGGAAGTGGCAGAGTTAGGATTTTCTTTAGAGAGTTAACAATATATATATATATTTTTTTTTTTTTTTTGAGACGGAGTCTTGCTCTGTTGCTCAGGCTGAAGTGCAGTGGTGTGATCTCAGCTCACTGCAACCTCTGCCTTTTGGGTTCAAGCAATTCTCCTGCCTCAGCCTCCCGAGTAGCTGGAACTACAGGCATGTGCCACTATGCCTGGCTAATTTTCGTATTTTTAGTAAAGACGGGGTTTCACCATGCTGGCCAGGCTGGTCTCAAACTCCTGACCTCAGGTGATCTGCTGCCTCGGCCTCCTTGGATTACAAGCATGAGCCATTGCACCTGGCCGAGTTAACAGTATTTTCTTTAGAGAGTTAACAATGTTTTTAAAGTAAAGTTAACAATATTTAAACACCATGATATAAAGTTAATATGTTGCTTTAGAGATGGGGTCTTGCTCTGTTGCCCAGACTGGAGTGCAGTGGTACGATCTTAGCTCACTGTAGCCTCGAACTCCTGGGCTCAAGTAATCCTTCTGCCTCAGCCTCTCAAGTAGCTGGGACTACAGGTGGGTGCCACTATGCCCAGAGAATTTTTTTTTAATTTTTAGTAGAGTTGAAGTTTCACTATGTTGTCCAGACTGGTCTCAAACTCCTGGCCTCAAGTGATCCTTCTGCCTCAGCCTCCCAAAGCACTGGGATTACAGGCACTAGCCACCACACACCACACACAGCCAGAGTTAGGATTTATTATTTTATTTTATTTATTTATTTATTTATTTATTTTGACATGGAGTCCTTTTCTGTCGCCCAGGCAGGAGTGCAGTGGCATGATCTCGGCTCACTGCAACCTCCGCCTCCTGGGTTCAAGTAATTCTCTTGCCTCAGCCTCCCAAGTAGCTGGGATTACAGGCACGCACAACCATACCTGGCTAATTGTTTTGTTTTGTTTTGTTTTGTTTTGTTTTGTTTTGTTTTGTTTTGTTTGAGATGGACTCTCACTCTGTCGCCTAGGCTGGAATGCAGTGGCGGGATCTCGGCTCACTGCAAGCTCCACCTCCCGGCTTCACGCCATTCTCCTGCCTCAGCCTCCCAAGTAGCTGGGACTACAGGTGCCTGCCACCACGCCCGGCTATTTTTTTTTTTTTTTTTTTTTTTTTTTTGGTATTTTTAGTAGAGACAGGGTTTCACCGTGTTAGCCAGGGTGGTCTCGATCTCCTGACCTCGTGATCCGCCCGCCTCAGCCTCCCAAAGTGCTGGGATTACAGGCGTGAGCCACTGCGCCCAGCCTAATTTTTGTATTTTTAATAGAGACGGGGTTTCGCCACGTTAGCCAGGCTGGTCTCGAATTCCTGACCTCAGGTGATCCGCCCGCTTCGGCCTCCCAAAGTGCTGGGATTACAGGCCTGGGCCACTGCGCTTGGCCCAGAATTAGAATTTAACCAGTAGTTTTTGTAGATGCTACACCCCGCGAGGAAGACACAAGTGCCCCCTGCTGGCCAATCCTTTTAGTTTATCTTCTTGTATGTATCAGATTTAGTTATTATTTACGTAGCTAAAAGAATCTCGGGTCTATTTGGTTACTTTGGTTACCTAATACTTGACCTATTTGGAAATAGAAAAGGATGTTTCCTGTTTGTTTAGAGGCATTCCAAAGGTTCTACAGACAGTGATATTTCACTACCTAGTCATAGCCTTGTCCATGTCAAGTAGTTCGGGTGCTTTCTTACCTTGGGTCCTCACACATTCTTAGTTCTTAGCTGAATCTTCTATTTTTGAAACAGGGTCTTGCTCTGTCACCCAGGCTGGAGGGCAGAGGTGTGATCGTAGCTCACTGCAGCCCCGATCTCTTGGGCTCAAGCAATCCTCCCGCCTCGGCCTCCTGAGTAGCTGGGACTACAGGCATGCACCACCATGCCTGGCTAATTTTTTCTTTTTTTAATTGTAGAGATGCAGTCTTGTCATGTTGCCTAAAGTGATCTCCAACTCCTGGGCTCAAGCAATCCTCCCTCCTCAGCTTCCCAAAGTGTTGGGATTACGGGTGTCAGCCACCACGCCAGACCTCAGCTAAATCTTTTCTATCTTTGAAAATGCTACAGTACCCGATGTTTCCTAGAATTTAGATGGCAAGCTGTGTCATAGGGACATCTCGTGCAGGAGGGGAAAAGGGTGAAGGCATGACGCATTGCTGAACAAGACTAGTAGTAATACTTAGTTGGCGGGGGGGGCGGGTCTTGAAATTTATGGCCGGGCGTGGTGGCCCACACCTGTAATCCCAGCACTTTGGGGGGCCGAGGTGGGTGGATCACCTGAGGTCAGGAGTTCAAGACCAGCCTGACCAACATGGAGAAACCCCATCTCTACTAAAAATACAAAATTAGCCGGATGTGGTGGCACATGCCTGTAATCCCAGCTACTCTGGAGGCTGAGGCAGGAGAATCGCTTGAACCCGGGAGGTGGAGTTTGCGGTGAGCCGAGATCAAGCCATTGCACTCCAGCCTGGGCAACAAGAGTGAAACTCCGTCTCAAAAAAATAAATAAATAAAAATTAAAAAATAAATTTGGAAAGCCATTCCCAAGGGCATGTAGCCCTAGATGATTTTCCAGGGAGTCTGAAAAGCAATACTTACGAAGACAGTTAGTCAATTTGTAACCTTAGCATTGACTAGGAACAAGTAGAGCTTGAAAGGGCAGCTGAGGCTGGGCGCGGTGGCTCAAGCCTATAATCCCAGCACTTTGGGAGGCCGAGGCGGGCGGATCACGAGGTCAGGAGATCGAGACCACGGTGAAACCCCGTCTTCACTACAAATACAAAAAATTAGCTGGGCGCGGTGGCGGGCGCCTGTAGTCCCAGCTGCTCAGGAGGCTGAGGCAGGAGAATGGCGTGAACTCTGGAGGCAGAGCTTGCAGTGAGCCAAGACTGCGCCACTGCACTCCAGCCTGGGCGACAGAGCGAGACTCAGTCAGTCTCCAAAAAAAAAAAAGAAAAGAAAAGAAACGAAAAGAAAAGAAAAGGGCAGCTGAACCCCTGGAGAGGCAGAGAATGGGGCACTTCTGTCAATCAGCACCACAGTGGTAGATGTCTCTGCCCCAGTTCCTGTGGGTAGGTGGGCTGTGTGTGTATGGAGTCAGGATTGTTGTTCTCTAGTTCGAGGAACTGAATGGGAGATAGGAAGGACTATGCTCCCCATTGCCCCTCCCCAGCCCCCAGCACCCATTATTCTGCTTTCTGTCTTTATGAATGTGATGACTCTAGGAACCTCACATAAGTGGGATCATACAGAATGTGTCCTTTTGTGACTGCCTTATTTCACTTAGCACACTGTCCTCAACGTTCACCCACATTGTAGCATGTGTCACAATGTCCTTCCTTTTTAAGGCTGAATAATATTCCATTGTGGGGGCCAGGAGTGGTGGCTCACGCCTGTAATCCCAGCACTTTGGGAAGCCAAGGCAGGCGGATCACTTGAGGTCAGCAGTTCGATACCAGCCTGGCCAACATGGTGAAAGCCCGTCTCTCCTAAAAATACAAAAATTAGGCTGGGCACGGTGGCTCACGCCTGTAATCCCAGCATTTTGGGAGGCCAATGCCGGCGGATCACCTGAGGTCAGGAGTTCAAGACCAGCCTGGCCAACATGGTGAAACTCTGTCTCTATAAAAATACAAAAATAAGCCGAGCATGGTGGCAGGCACCTGTAACCCCAGCTACTCAGAAGGCTGAGACAGGAGAATTGCTTGAACCCAGGAGGTGGAGATTGCAGTGAGCCAAGATCTCGCCATTGCACCCTAGCCTGGGCAACAGAGCGAGACTCTGTCTCAAAAAAGAAAAAAATACATATATATGTTATATATATATATGCAAAAACTAGCTGGGCGTGGTGGTGCCCTATAATCCCAGCTACTCAGGAGGCTAAGATGGGAGGATTGCTTGAAGCCAGGAGGCGGAGGTTGCAGTGAACTGAGATCACGCCATTGTACTCCAGCCTGGGCGACAGAGTGAGACTCCATCTCAAAAAAAAAAAAAAAGAAAGAAAAAAAAATTCCATTGTGGGGATGGAATATATTTTTTTAATCCATTAATCTGCCAAAGGACATTTGGATGGTTTCTACATTTGGGGCATTGTAAATAATGCTGCTATGAGCACCGGTGTATAAATACCTGCTTGAGTCTCTGTTCTGCTTTCAATTCTTTTCAATATATACCCAGAAGTGGTGTTGCTGGATTATCTGGTAATTCTATTTCTAATTTTTTTTTTAGGAAGCATCATACTCTTTTCCACAGTTGGGGCACCATTTAGACTCCCACCCGCGGTGCACAAGTGTTCTAATTTCTGCACATCCTCAGCCTCATTTGTTATAATATTTTTATGTTTTCCTGTGTTGTTTTGTTTGTTTTTGTAGCAGCCACCTAAACGGATGTGAAGCTTACAGTGCTCACATGGTGAATAATCTCTCCCTCCTTCAGCAGTCACACTTAACTAATTAATGTAAGTTGCATCCTCATAGGATGCACATTAAAACAATTCCAGCTTTCACCAGGGTTAGGAAGAGGGGCTTTGCTTTGTGTCACTGGCACCCACCCTCCTATTTCTGACAACCAAAAATGTCTCCAGATATGACAAATGTCTCCTGGGAGACAAAAATCACATTCAGTTGATAACCACTGTTTGGAGGCAGCATGTAATTTAATTCAGATTTTACAGTTACTCGGTCACATAGGGCGTTTATTCCCAAGACACTGGAGGTTCAGAGAGGTTTCCTTATTTGTCCAGAAAGTAGCAGAGGTGGGATTTGAACCCAAGCTGTCCAATATCAGTGTCTCCTCTGTTAACTGCTCTGTTGTGCTGCTTATAAAGTCATCATCCCAATACAAGGTCGGGCGCAGCGGTTCACGCCTGTAATCCCAGCACTTTGGGAGGCCAAGGCAGGCAGAGTCAGAAGTTCAAGACCACCCTGGACAACATGGTGAAACCCTGTCGCTACTAAAAATACAAAAATTAACCTAGTGCGGTAGTGCACGCCTGTAATCCCAGCTGCTCAAGAGGCTGAGGCAGGAGAATCGCTTGAGCCCGGGAGGCGGAAGTTGCAAGAGAGTCGAGATCGCACCACTGCACTGCAGCCTGGGCGACAGAGCAAGATTCTGTCTCAACAAATAAAGGGAACAGAACTAGACTCCTAGGAAAGGGAGGACCTAACACCCAGAGGCAAGGAGCAGGAGGCAGCAGGAAGAACCTCAGCAGGGCTCCTGCCTTGAACCCCTTCTGCCTGCCTGGGCTGGTTCCCTCCAAGGAGACACCTGGGGAATCATCTCCCAGCAATGGGAAACCTGCCTGTTTATGTGACAGGGTTGGTGGCCACACTCACAGCAGCCCCATCAACGCCATCTGCCTCTAGGACACTGTGGATATGGAGAGAGAAGGTGAGCGGGTAGATGAGAGGGTCAGGGGGAGGATGAGGACCGGGCTGTCTCTCCTGCCTGCTCCTGAGGAAGCCAGTGTTTGTTCATTTTTTTTTTCCCCTCTTTTGAGACAGTTTTGCTCTGCTGCCCAGGCTGCAGTGCAGTGGTTCAATCATGGCTCACTACAGCCTCCAACTTCTAGGCTCAAGCAATCTGTCCGCCTCAGCCTCCCTAGTAGCTGGAAGTATAGGTGCATGCCACCATACCCACCTAATATATATATATATATGTGTGTGTGTATATATATATGTGTGTGTGTGTGTGTGTGTATATATATATATTTTTTTATGGAGATGGGATTTCACCATGGTACCCAGACTAATTTCAAATTCCTGGGATCAAGTGATCCTCATCCCTCAGCTTCCCAAAGTGCTGGGATTACAGGTGTGAGCCACTGTGCTTGGCCTGTTTTTTGTTTTTTGTTTTTGAGACAGGGTCTTTCTCTGTCAACCAGGCTGTAATGCAATGGTGCAATCATAGTTCACTGCACTCTCCAACTTCTGGGCTCAACCAATCCTCCTGACTCAGCCTCCTGAGTAGCTGGGACTACAGGCACTCACCGCCATGCCAGCCTGCCAATATTTGTGAGTAAGGCAGAAGACACAGAGTTTACTTACACAGTCCTCAGATTCAAATCACCTTTCTCTTTTTTTGGGGTGGTGGGGAGACGGAGTCTCACTCTGTCACCCAAGCTGGAGTGCAGTGATGCGATCTTGGCTCACTGCAACCTCCACCTCCTGGGTTCAAACGATTCTCCTGCCTCAGCCTCCTGAGTAGCTGGGATTACAGGCTGGCACCACTACATCTGGCTAGTTTTTGTATTTTTAGTAGAGAACATGGGGTTTCACCATGTTGGCCAGGCTGTTCTTGAACTCCTGACCTCAAGTGATCCACCCGCCTTGGCCTACCAAAGTGCTGGGATTACAAGGTGTGAGCCACTGTGCCCAGCCCAAATCATCTCTTGAAGACTCATTTTCTTTCCTTCCTAAAATCAAGCCAATTGCAATCTTCCCAGAGCAGGAAACAAAATGCACAGTGGGAGGAAAATGAAAGAAGTGGACTCAGTGGGACTCAAGTCCCAATTACTCACTGTGTGATCTGGGGCAAGTCACTTAACCTCTCTGAGCCTTGTCTCCTCATATGCCCAACGGGGATAACAGCAGAGGGCTGTTGAGATGATGCAGTGATGTGATCCACCATGCAGGGTGAAGGAATTAGGACTTAATAAACTCCTGTTACTGTTTTTTTTTGGGGCGGTGGGGCGGTTTTTTGTTGTCATTTTGTTTTTTTATTTTTGTTTTTTGTTTGTTTGTTTTGAGACGGAGTCTTGCACTGTCGCCAAGCTGGAGTGCAATGGCGTGATCTCGGCTCACTGCAACCTCTGCCTCCTGGGTTCAAGCAATTCTCCTGCCTCAGCCTCCCAAGCAGCTGGGACTACAGGTGTGCGCCACTACGCCTGGCTAATTTTTGTATTTTGAGTAGAGATGGGGTTTCACTGTGTTAGCCAGAATGGTCTTGATCTCTTGACCTCGTGATCCGCCTGCCTCAGCCTCCCAAAGTGCTGGGATTACAGGCGTGAGCCACCGCCCAGCCTGTTACTGGTTTTTATTATTTATTATTATTTAATTATTATTATTATTATTATTTATTTTATTATTACCTACCCACGGAGCTGATGAGTGACGCCGGGGAGGAAGGGTCGTGGGTCAACTGCCTGGTGGCTCCAAGTGTTCCTTGGTCTGTGGTTTGGGCAAAGACCACTGCGTCGAAAGGCAGCCCTGTGGAGGAAGAACCAAGTTGGTTATCCCAGCAGGAAGTAGAACGAAAAACATAAAAAAAAAATTTCTTCTGGACTTGCTCTTCTTTCCATAGGAATCTCTGCATAGTGACTCGTTCATTTACCATTTCATTTATTTAATATTTATTCCAGACCCTCAGTCACTCATTCATCCAACCAGCAAATATGTCTTGAGCACCTTTTATACGACAGCTGATTCTGAAACCAACCCGATAGTCTCATAGACAGTATTTATATACCTATTTAAATACTTGAAACTGACATTTGTTATTGTTTAACTATTTTAGGTTTGGGGCTACGTGTGAAGGTTTGTTATATAGGTAATCTCATGTCACGGGGTTTGTTGTACAAATGATTTTATCACCCAGGTATGAAGCCTAGTACCCAATAGTTATTTTTTCTGCTCCTCTCTCTCCTCCTAACGCTTACCATGAAGTAGACCCCAGTGTTTTTTATTCCCTTCTTTGTGTTCATGAGTTATCATCATTTAGCTCCCACTTCTAAGTGAGAACATGCAATATTTGGTTTTCTGTTCCTGGGTTAGTTTGCTAAGGATAATGGCCTCCAGCCCCATCCATGTTCCCGCAAAAGCAATGATCTTGTTCTTTTTTATGGCTGCATAGTATTCCATGGTGTATATGTATCACATTTGCTTTATCCAATCTGTCATTGATGGGCGTTTAGGTTGATTCCATTGTCTTTGCTATTGGGAATAGTGCTGCAATGAACATTCACGTGTATATGTCTTTATGGTAGAATGATTTATATTTCTCTGGGTATATACCCAATAATGAGATTGCTGGGTCAAATGGTAGTTCTACTTTTAGCTCTTTGAGGAATTGCCACACTGCTTTCCACAATAGTTGAACTAATTTACACTCCCACCAACAGTGTATAAATGTTCAATTTTCTCCACAACCTTGCCAGCATCTGTTATTTTTTGACTTTTTAATAATAGCCATTCTGACTATGGTGAGATGCTATCTCATTGTGGTTTTGATTTGCATTTCTTTAATGATCAGTGATAGTGAGCATTTTTTTCATATGCTTCTTGGCTACATGTATCTCTTCTTTCAAAAAGTGTCTGTTTTTTTTGTTTTTTGGTTTTTTTTTTTTGATACAGTGTCTCACTCTGTCGACCAGGCTGGAGTGCAGTAGTGATCGCGCCTCACAGCAACCTCCGCCTCCCAGGTTCAAGTGATTCTCCTGCCTCAGCCTCCTGAGTAGCTGGGATTACAGGCGTGCACCACCGTGCCCGGCTAATTTTTGTATTTTTAGTAGAGACAGGGTTTCACCATGTTGGTCAGGCTGGTCTCGAACTCCTGACATAGTGATCTGCCCGCCTTGGCCTCCCAAAGTGCTGGGATTGCAGTTGTGAGCCACCGTGCCCGGCCTTTGCCCACTTTTTAATGGTGTTGTTTGTTTTTCTCTTGTAAATTTACTTAAGTTCTCTATAGATGCTGGATATTAGACTTTTGTCAGGTGCATAGTTTACAAATATTTTCTCCCATTCTGTGGGAAACTTACATTTGTTTTATCTGAGTTCCTTCCTCATTAAAGGACCCCCAGTCCTCTCAAAAAGTATCAAAGAAAAGAAACTCAGCAGATCATCATATCCAGACAATGAGATGTCAGACCCCTCATTCCTCATGATTGCTTCCTGACCCCTCTTGATTTCCTGTTTTACTACACGTAGTCACATTTCTTCCCTGCTATATAAACCTGTAATTTTAGTTGGTCAGGGAGATGGATTTAAGACTGAGCTCCCATTTTCTCACTGCAGCCAAGGAGATTAAAGTCTTCTTCCTTGGTAATAATCGTTGTCTCAGTGATTGACTTTCTGTGTGGTGAGCAGCAGGACCTAGCCTGGACCCCTGGTGTTTTGGCAACAATTCCAAGTTTGGGGCACAGAGTGAGGAACAAGACAAGTCTTTACTCCCTCAAAAAGTTTATGTCCAGAACAGAAAACCAAATACTGCATGTTCTCACTCATAAGTGGGAGTTGAACAATGAGAACACATGGACACAGGTAGGGGAACATCACACACTGGGGCCTGTTGGGGGTTGGGGGGCTATAGGGGAGGTATAACATTAGGAGAAATACCTAATGTAGATGATGGGTTGATGGGTGCAGCAAACCACCATGGCACATGTATACGTATGTTTGTTAACCTGCACGTTCTGCACATGTACCCCAGAACTTAAAGTATAAAAAAAAAAGTTTACATCCTAGTGGAGAAAGCAGACAACGATTCATCCAACAGATAAATAATTAATGTCCTTGCAGAGAGTGAAGGGAATTTTGAAGTCACTCTACCAATGGGAGAGAAGCATAATTTTCCATAGAGTCATCAGGGAAGACTTCTCATAGGAGGTAATATTTAAGGAGGGCCCTGAGAGATGAGAAGGTACTTATCACAGGGGAAATGTGCTTGTGATGGAGGGAACTATATATGCAAAAGCCCAGAGGCTGGAATAAACCTGACCCACTCGAGAAATTTCAAGAAGGCCAGGGTGGCCAGAGTGCATTGAGAAAGCACTGGAGTGCTTTCTGGCTGGAGTGTAAGGCGAAACCAGCTGGGTAAGCAGAGGTCAGATCTAATGAGGAGAAAGAGGAGGAAGGGTTGTAAACCAGTGATGTATGAAGTTTAGATTTTCTTGGAAGTGCAATGGAAAGTCACGGAGGATTTGAAGCAACGGGTGAGGGTTGTGACCAGGTTAGCATTATTAAGAGATAATTCTGCCAGAAAGCAAGGAAGTGCTCAAAGACTAAGGAGATGATGTTACAAGGACAAAGAAGAGGCTATAAAGTCCTCAAGATTGGCCAGGCACCGTGGCTGATGCCTGTAATCCCAGCATTTTGGGAGGCTAAGGTGGGTGGATCACGTGAGGTCAGAAGTTCCAGACCAGCCTGGCCAACGTGAAACCCCATCTCCATAAAAATACAAAAATTAGCTGGGTAATCCCAGCTACTTGGGAGGCTGAGGCAGAAGAATCACTTGAACCTGGGAGGCAGAGGTTGCAGTGAGCCGAGATCATGCCACTGCACTCCAGCCTGGGTGAGAGAGCCAGGCTCCATCTCAAAAATGGATGAATAAATAAGCAAATAAAGTCCTCAAGATCAGAGGCTATGACTTCAAACTATACTACAAGGCTATAGTAACCAAAACAGCATGGTACTGGTACAAAAATAGACATATAGACCAATAGAACACAATAGAGAGCCCAGAAATAATGCCACATACCTACAACCATCTGATCTTCAACAAAACTGACAAAAACAAGCAATGGGGAAAGGACTCCCTATTCAATAAGTGGTGCTGAGATAACTGGGCTACCCATATGTAGAAGAGAGAAAAAAAAAAACAAAAAAGGAAAAAGACCATGGGATGTAAAAATGTGAATGACTGAAATTTTGGGGAAACTTTTATTGGATGTGTATTTTCATACCTACAGCCCTCACCAAGAAAATACACACAAACACACACACACACGGTCCTACTGAATGGCACTAAATTATCCACATACTCCTGATAGATTATTTCACTCCCTACAAACTTCTGAGATGGAAGAAGCCAGCTTCCTAGGGCTCCAGGGAGGAGAGGAATTTATGATAAGATAGAGCAATCCCAGTTTCTTAGACTAACTAGCCAAACCCCTGTCAACCTAAATAGCAAACAGAGACAGACTCTCTAAAGGAAAATATGTTCATTTGGGAATAGAACATTGCAGTGGGAATATGCATGCCACTGTAATATACGTGCCTATTCAGGAAGACAAAGCTTTTTAGAGGAAAAATTGAGGAGAATTGCATAATAGTTTTGAAATATTTGTCCTTGGCTACAAAGATCGATAACAAGGATAACACCTTTTCTGTAGAGACAGCGTCTTGGAAGGCTGGGCACGGTGGCTCATGCCTTAATCCCAGCACTTTGGGAGGCTGAGGCGGGCAGATCACAAGGTCAGAGTTTGAGACCAGCCTGGCCAATATGGTGAAACACTGTCTCTACTGAAAACACAAAAATTAGCCAGGCATGGTGGCGGGAGCCTGTAGTCCCAGCTATTCAGGAGGCTGAGGCAGGAGAACCACTTGAACCCGGGAGGTGGAGGTTACAGTGAGCTGAGATCATGCCACTGTACTCCAGCCTGGGTGACAGAGCAAGACTCCATTTCAAAAAAAAAAAAAAGAGAGAGAGAGCAGGCTGGGTGCGGTGGCTCAGGCCTGTAATCCCAGCACTTTGGGAGGCTGAGGCGGATGGATCACGAGATCAGGAGTTCAAGACCAGCCTGGCCAACATGGGGAAACCCCATCTCTACTAAAAATACAAAAAATTAGCCGGGTGTGGTGGTGCGTGTCTGTAATCCCAGCTACTCGGGAGGCTGAGGCAGGAGAATGGCGGTGAACCCAGGAGGCGGAGGTTGCTGTGAGCGGAGATCACGCCATTGCACTCCAGTTCCAGACTGGGCAACAGAGCAAGACTCCATCTCAAGGAAAAAAAAAAAGACAGACAGCGTCTTGGGTTCAAGGGATCCTCCTGCCTCAGCCTCCCACACTGCTGGGATTACAGGTGTGAGCCACCGTGCCCGGCCTGCAGGAGTATTTTTTGCGTAAGGTTGAGGTGGCCTTTGTGCAAGGTTGTGGCTTTTGGAATCTTTTGTGATAGTTGTTATCAGGCATACCAGCATGAGAACCCTCCTTTCATGGCCCTCCGTGACTCTATTTGCCCCCTTCATTCATGCAACACATATTTATTGCACAACTACTATGTGCCAGGTACTGCAACAGGCTGCATTTGGCAATGTCTGAAGACATTTTTGGTTGGTGGGAGTGCTGCTGCCATCCCGTTGTAGGGAACCTGGGATACTGTTTAGCACTTGACCAATATATGGGACAGCCCACCCTACCTCCCCAAAGGATTATGAGACCCAAATCCATTGACATTTGTGCTGGGATTGAGAAACCTCGCTTCAGTGGGATTGGTCCAGGTTGTAGCATACAGGGTTGTTGCCATGGAGACAGGCAGATAACGAACCTGTTCAGTGGGTTGAGAGCAGCATCCAAAATAAATAAATAAATAAGAGAATATAATAGAATTAAAAGGCATCAGGGGCTGGGCACGGTGGCTCACGCCTGTAATCCCAACAGTTTGGGACGCTGAGGTGGGTGGATTACCTGAGGTCAGGAGTTTAAGACCAGCCTGGCCAACATGGTGAAACCCCATTTCTACTAAAAATACAAAAAATTAGCCAGGCATGGTGGTGGGCACCGGTAATCCCAGCTACTCGGGAGGCTGAGGCAGGAGAATTGCTTGAACCCAGGAGGCAGAGGTTACAGTGAGCCGAGATCGCGCCATTGCGCTCCAGCCTGGGCAACAAGAGTGAAACATCTTCTCAAAAAAAAAAAAAAAGAAAAGAAAAAAGAAAAAAGTATTTTCATCATGCATCTATAAGCAAAACTGGTCACAATGGTAGGATGGTACTGGTACACTGGTACACAATACATTGCACACTGGTACACAATGTGCAATGTATTTCTTACCATGGATCCCAGTCTAAAAAGACTATTAGACTTTTTAGCTAATAGCTAATAATTAATGTTAGCTCCTGCATCAGCTCATCGTCTGATAGGCAGCACCTGCCTTCCTCCCTACCTCATCTCTTTGCCTCGTTCTCTCAATACTGGGAGTCACTGAGAAAGAGGATGTCTCAGATCACAGGGGAGCTGGGTCAGAATCACTAGGGTCTTACAGACCCAGTCTGCCCAGGGTCAAAGCCCAGCCCTACCACATAGCAGCTATGTGCCCTTGGACAGGTTGCATAACTAACTGCGCCTTGGTTTCCTTTTCTGCAAAATGGAAATGATAATAGGACGTACCTCCTATTGTCCTCCAAGTTGTTATGAGGATTTAATGAATTCATATCTGTAAAGAGCTTAAAAGAGTGCCTGGTACATGTTAGTGTTCCCTGTTAGCTATTATCATTATCATGACTTGCTCTAGAATAGCACTTACCCCAGAGTGTAATTCTTTTTATTATTAGGGGAAGGGGGCAATGTGGGTTCAGAGTCACTGAGAGGGGGTGGATCAGAGCCAGGATAAGGATGAGAAGCCCGGCTCAGATTCACTGTGTGTTGGGGACAGGGTTGGCAGAGCTGCAAGTGCTAGGACAAGTGCACCAAAACAGGTCTGACAAAGGGTTAAATGAAGCAGATGGGATTGTTCAGGGTGGGATGAAAGGTCCAGGGAGGGTGGGGACAATCAGGCAGGCTGCCTCCCTGCACCGCAGTGTTTGTTTCCTTGACAGGTGGGAGGCCCAGCTCCACTCAGGTATGTGGCCAGACCAGCCAGGGCAGCCCCCTGGACCTCTCATCCCAGGCAGAGATGAGGAGAGGGACAGGGTGGGGCCCTCCAGCCCAGGATGGCCCCGGCCCACCTCCTCTCTCCCACCCAGGAAGGGCTGAGCCACTTTGGACAATGGGCTGAGTCCCCTGGCCCCATTCAGCCCCACTGGCCTGGCCTGTCCCCACAGGGACTGCTGGAGGTCCTTGGGGGGATGTTGGCACCAACTGCTCCTTTGTCTTGCTACTTACCCTAGAAAGAACAAGCTAAGGGCTCTCCTCCCCAACTGAGGAAAGCAGGATATTTTGCCACGAGCGGCAAAGGAGGACCCCTGCTGCCCCAGAGGAAGAGGAGGGAAAACATATTTACCCACACATGCACACACACAAACACTCATGCACACTCTCTCACACTTATGCACACACAAAAACTCATTTGCATGCATGCACACACACTCTTACACACGGACACACATGCACGAATACAAACACTCATGCACACACTTAAACTTATGTACATACTCACACAGTCTCACACATGTGCAGACTCAGTCACTCATGCACACGCTAATACACACACAAATGCACATACATATGTATGCAAAATACATATGCACACACACACAGCTACACACTCACATGTAAGCATTCAAACACACCCACACATGGACACACATGCTGAAAAACAAGCACACCCTCATTCATGCACACCCACACACCTATGCACACATGCATACACACATGCACACACATATTCACACTCGCACACATATTCACACATGCTTATGCACACACGCTCAGTCACACCTGTGCACACTCAGACACTCATCGCACACACTTGTAGACACATAGGTGGATGCACACACAAGTATGCACGCAAGCACTAAGTTGCACACTCACACATGGACACGTGCACACACTTATGCACATTCACTCTAACACACACATGCTCATGCAGACACACACAAGGCACACACAGACACATAATCACACACTTATCCACACGCATACTCACTGGGCAGGAACTCAAGTCCTAGAGTTCTGGGTTTCATCCTGGTTCTGCCCCAACTCGCTTCACTGAGCCCCAGTTTCCCTACAGTTAAAGCAGAAATAGCAGCATACACCTCCCCAGGCATTGCAACAAGGTCAACCTGAGATGAGCTAGTCGTGAATCTGTAACAAGAACCCCACCCCTCAAGTCTTAGCTTCTCAGTGAGGGCCTTTCCTTGAACCCACTTTATTGGAAAGAGCAATGTGCCCCCACAACACACTCCAGCACCCCCGAGTCTCCATCCTGTTTCTTTTCTCCTTATTCCCTTCTTTTCTGGAGTGCAATGGCTCAATCTTGGCTCACTGAAACCTCCATCTCCCATGTTCAAGCGATTCTCCTGCCTCAGCCTCCCGAGCAGCTGGGATTACAGGCATGCGCCACCACACCCTGCTGATTTTGTATTTTTAGTAGAGATGGGGTTTCTCCATGTTGGTCAGGCTGGTCTCAAACTCCCAACCTCAGGGGATTCACCCGCCTCAGCCTCCCAAAGTGCTGGGATTACAGGTGTGAGCCACTGCACCCGGCCCCCTTATTCCCTTCTTAACAATGCATCACGTACTTACTCTGGTTTTGGTTTAAGGTCATCCCCCTTTGCTGAAAGTGTCAGCTCAGCAGGGATCTTTTGATTTGCTCACAGCCATCCCCTCATTGCCTAGAACAGTGCCTGCACACAGTAGGTGCTCAATAAATACTCATTGAACAAATTGAATGAATGAATCTCTTCAAAAGTATTGACTAAAGAGGTAAAGGGCCCTTCTTGATAGAGTAAAACTGCAAAGAGGACCCTTCCTTGATATCAGTGTGCAAAATCTCACATCAAGGGACCTCCCCTCCACAAAAAAAGAATAATAAAGAGTCCTTCTTTTCCAGGTTGAGAAAGGAGGGGATGTCTCCTCTCCTGGGAAGAGTGACGACATCTCTAGAAGCCAGGCATGAAAGAAGAGAATGAAAACTCCATCCGGTGTGGATTGAGGCAGAGACCCTACTCACTTCCTGTGGTTCCTCAAAAAATTAAAAATAGAACTATGAGCCGGGCACGGTGGCTTACACCTGTAATCCCAGCACTTTGGGAGGCCGAGGCGGGCGGATCACTTGAGGTCAGGAGATTGAGACCAGCCTGGCCAACATGGTGAAACTCCCCGTCTCTACTAAAAGTAGAAAAATTAGCCAGGCATGGTGGCAGGTGCCTGTAATCCCCGCTACTCAGGAGGCTGAGGCAGGAGAATCACTTGAACCCGGGAGGTGGAGGTTGCAGTGAGCTGAGATCACTCCACTGCACTGCAGTCTGGGCAACAGAGGAAGACTCCGTCACAAAAAACAAAAAAAGAAACAAAAAAAAAAAACCTGTGAGCTGAGCATGGTGATTGATGCCTGTAGTCCCAGTGACTTGACAGGCTGAGGCAGGAGGATGGCTTGAGCCCAGGAATTGGAGGCTGCAGTGAGCTATGATTGTGCCACTGCACTCCAGCCTGGGTGACAGAGCAAGATCTTGTCTCTAAAATAAATAAATAAATAAAAGTAGAACTACCATATGATCCAGCAATCCCACTTCTTGGAACATATACTGTGAAAGGAAAATAAATCTCGAGACCCCAAAATCACAAAGCCAAAGGGAAAAGTCAGGTTGAGAACTACATCAGGCAAACCAGCCTCCCATTTCATTCCCAAATAAGATAGCTACCAAATTGTTTGTTTGTTTGTTTGTTTGTTTGTTTTAGACGGGGTCTCCCTCTGTCGCCCAGGCTGGAGTGCAGTGGCTCAGTCTCGGCTCACTGCAACCTCCACCTCCCAGGTTCAAGTGATTCTCCTGCCTCAGCCTCCTGAGTAGCTGGGATTACAGGCGCGCACCACCACGCCTGGCTAATTTTTTTTGTTTTTAGTAGAGATGGGGTTTCAGCATGCTGGTCAGGCTGGTCTCGAACTCCTGACCTCGTGATCTGCCTGCCTTGGCCTCCCAAAGTGCTGGGATTACAGGCGTGAGCCACCGCACCCGGCCAATAGCTACCAAGATTTAAAAAGCAACATACCTCCCTCAAAATTTGCCCACAAGGAAATTCTTTGTGGGACTCAAGATATTTACCCTAAAACAGTTCTGTTGAATTTCACCTTGGCAATGTAAATGGACAGCTTATCTTTACAGATGCGGGACAGAAAGTCATCCCTCCGCTCGCCTGAGAGAAATGCATATCTGATTGCTTCCTCTGCCCTATTGTTCATGTAAAAATGCAGATTTATGGACCCAGACTAAGGTTTAAGTGACTATTCCTCTACCTCCCTCTCACGTGTAAACTGTGTATTCAGTGAAAGGCTAATCAAAGACTCAAAAGTAGCCGGGTGCAGTGGCTCACGCCTGTAATCCCAGCACTTTGGGAGGCTGAGGTGCGCGGATCACAAGATCAGGAGATCGAGACCATCCTGGCTAACACGGTGAAACCCCGTCTCTAGTAAAAATACAAAAAATTAGCCAGGCGTGGTGGCGGGTGCCTGTAGTCCCAGCTACTCAGGAGGCTGAGGCAGGAGAATGGCATGAGCCCTGGAGGCGGAGCTTGCAGTGAGCCGAGATCGCACCACTGCACTCCAACCTGGGCGACAGAGCGAGACTTAATCTCAAAAAAAAAAAAAAAAAAAAAAAAAAAGACTGAAAAGTATGCAACCATTTGTCTCTTACCTACCTATAACCTGGAAACCGGCCCCCTCCCCACCCCCCCGCCCACGCCGCTGCCACTTCAAGTTGCCCTGCCTTTCCAGACCAAGCCATTGTATCTTACACATCTTGATTGATGTCTCATGTCTCCCTAAAGTGTATAAAAACAAGCTGCACCCTGACCACCTTCGGCAAATGTCATCAGGACCTCCTAAGGCTGTCACAGGCGTGTTCTCAACCTTGGCAAAATAAACTTTCTAAATGGATGGAGACCTATCTCAAATACTTTGAGTTCACAATCCAAACAAAATCAAATCAGTATCTCCAAGAGACATCTGCACCCCCCACGTTCATTGTAGCATTATTCAGAGTAGCCAAGATATGGAAACAATTTAAGTGTCCACCAATGGATGAACAGACAAAAAAATTGTGGTTTATCTACAGTGGAATATTATTCGGTCTTTAAAAAGAAAGACATTCTGCCATATATGACATCATGGATGAATTGGAGGACATTATGCGAAGTGAAATAAGCCAGTCACAAAAAGACAATTACTGCATGATCTCACTCACGTGTGGAATCTAAAAAAGTCAACCTCGTGGACAGGTGCGGTGCCTCATGCCTGTAATCCCAGCACTCTGGGAGGCTGAGGCAGGCAGATCACCTGAGGTCAGGAGTTCGAGACCAGCCTGACCAACACAGTGAAACCCTATCTCTACTAAAAATACAAAATTAGCCAGGCATGGTGGTGCACGCCTGTAACCCCAGCTACTTGGAAGGCTGAGGCAGGGAAATCGCTTGAACCCGGGAGGCGGAGGTTGCAGTTAGCCAAGATCATGCCATTGCACTCCAGCCTGGGCAACAAGAGTGAAAATCCATCTCAAAAAAAAAAAAAAAGGAAAGAAAGAAAAAATGCTAAAAGAGTTGGTCTTAAATGTTCTCACAATCTCACTATTGCCCCTGCGCCGGCACTAACTGAGACTCAAACTCCTCGTTGTCGTATTTGTCGGAATAGTAAATTTGTTTGTGGGACATGACCGCTCCATCTGCGAGCCTTCAGCCCCAAGCTGCCAACCTCCAAGCAACTCCCAGCAGCAGGCAGGTATAAAGTTTTAGTTATGCAGGATGAACAAGTTCTGGAGACCTAATGTACAGCATGGTGACTATAGGTAGTAACACTGTATTATATACTTGAAATATGGTAAAAGAAGGCTGGGAGCAGTGGCTCACGACTGTAATCCCAGTACTTTGGGAGGCCAAGGCAAGCAGATCACCTGAAGTCAGGAGTTCAAGACCAGCCTGACCAACATGGGGAAACCCCGTCTCTACTAAAAATACAAAATTAGCCTGTAATCCCAGCTACTCAGGAGGCTGAGGCAGGATAATTGCTTGAACCCAGGAGGCAGAGGTTGCAGTGAGCCGAGATTGCACCACTGCACTCCAGCCTGGGCAACAAGAGTTGCTCCATCTCAAAGAAAAAAGAAAGAAAGAAAGAAACATGCTAAAAAGAGTTTATCTTAAATGTTCTCACAACATAAAAAAAGGTAATCATGTGAGGTGATGATGGGTATGTTAATTAGCTTGATTGTGGTAATCATTTCACAAGATGTACATATATCAAAGCAGTGTATTGTACATGTTGTATATGTATATGGTGGGATTGCTGGATCATATGGTAGTTCTACTTTTATATAAATACATGCAATATTTATTTTTCGAGTATAACTCAATACAGTGGGGGGTGGGGGGGAAGTAGTCTATTACCTTGTTAATTCATTCATTCATTCATGTAACAAATATGTCTTGTACACTTACTATGTGCCAGGTACTGGAACAGGCTGAAGAGAGGAAGTGTCAGGAAGGAAATCCGTATAGGAGAGCATCTGGGATGGAAGAGTGACCCTCATGTCCTGGTCTACCCAGGGCTTTCTTAGTTTTACTAAAGTCCCTCATCGAAGGAACTGCCTCAGGCTCAAGCAAACTGGGATATCCTACTGGTCATCCTACTGCGATCTGTGTCCTCCTGACCTGGCATTTGTCCCTGCGGCTCTGGGACTGTGATCAGTTTAGGTCCCTGGGCACAGCTCTGAGCTGCAGGAGTGAGGAGCTTTTGGGAGCACCTCCAAGGTGGAGAAGAAGAGGCTGGTACCTGGATTAGAAGTCGGGCCTGGATAATGGCAGGAAGATCAAGAGAATGGGTTCAGTTCTACCCTGGCTACCTGGGGGTCTTCTCTTTGAGCTTTTTTTTTTTTTTTTTTTTTCCTGAGACAAGGTCTCACTCTGTTGCCCAGGCTGGAGTGCAGTGGTGCGATCTCAGCTCACAGCAGCCTCTGCCTCCAGGGTTCAAGCGATTCTCGTGCCTCAGCCTCCCGAGTAGCTGAGGCTACAGGCGTGTGTCACCATGCCTGACTAATTTTTGTATTTTTTGGTAGAGACAGGGTTTCACCCTGTAGGCCAGGCTGGTCTCGAACTCCTGACCTCAGGTGATCCACCTACCTCGGCCTCCCAAAGTGCTGGGATTACAGGCGTGAGCCACCGCACCCAGCCCTTCCTCTTTGAGCTTCTGTTCTCTCATCTATAAAACGGGGATGGTCATCTGGACCACTGAATCTACAATCAGCATGAGTGCATGCTTGGATAATCTGCTATGTCTGGCCTTCTGGCCCTTGAGGCTCCAGAGAGGTAGGAAGAGTCTCCTTCACTTGCTCAATCCACCCTGGGAGAACCAAGTGACCAGACGAATCCACTGAGCATAAAGAATGCCCAGGCCGGCCGGGCACCATGGCTCAGGCCTGTACTCCCAGCATTTTGGGAGGCTGAGGCAGGCCGATCACTTGAGGCCAGGAGTTCAAGACCAGCCTGGCCAACATGTTGAAACCCCATCTTTACTAAAAACACAAAAATTACCTGGGTGTGGTGGCACACGCCTGTAATCCCAGCTACTAGGGAGGCTGAGGCAGCAGAATCACTTGAACCCGGGAGGCGGAGGCTGCAGTGAGCCGAGATCACGCCACTACACTTCAGCCTGGGCGACAGAGTAAGACACCGTCTCACAACACACACACACATACACACACACACACACACAGAGAGAGAGAGAGAGAGAGAGAGAGAGAGAGAGAGAGAGAGAGAGAGAGAGAGTACACCCAGCCAGGCCTGCCCCTCTTGGACCCATTGTCTTCCTTTGCTACCCAGCAACTGGGAAGAAAGGTAACTCTCTCTCCAGGATTGGAGGAAACAGTAAGCAAACCTTTCTGCTTTTTGGTGAACCAAAAGTGGTGAAAGATAAACTGTAACTCTGGCAAGGGCAGGTTAGACCAGGAACCCACCTCACAGTTCCACCCATGCCCACTACACACACCCACTCCCACCAATGCCCCCTTCCCTTCATAATCCAACTCCCTTAACTTCATATCCCCCTGGCCAGGCCTGGGCTGGGACAATGACCACTGTTCAGGGACCCAGGAAGGGGCTCAGCAGCGCACAATGAGATCTGCCTATGTTCTGTGTCTTCACAGCCCTTCTCCTGGGACGGGCAGTACAGAACTCATTTCCTCGGCGGTGTGGGGGGACTCACGTACCCAGAAACTGCCAGGAGAGGAGAAATCCTCAACCTTCAGTCTCTTCCCAGGCAAAGGATAAAAACCAGCATTTAGGAATCATCCAGAAACTGGAGTTGGAATCCTGGCCGTGTGACTTTAAACAAAAGGCTTAAGCTCTCTGAGCCTGTTTTCTCTTCTGCAAAATGGGGGATAACGGTGCCCCTGTGTTCACCCGTCAGGCAGGTTCAACGGAGACAACACATGTAAAGTGCAGGAACATATTACATAGAAGGTGGATCCTATAAAATGATGGTGGGCCGGGCGCAGTGCCTCACGCCTGTAATCCCAGTACTTTGAGAGGCTGAGGCGGGTGGATCACCTGAGGTCAGGAGTTCAAAACCAGCCTGACCAACATGGTGAAACCCCCATCTCTACTAAAAATAGAAAAAAAAAATTAGCTGGGCATGGTGGCAGGCACCTGTAATCTCTGCAACTCAGGAGGCTGAGACAGGAGAATTGCTTGAACTGGGGAGGCAGAGGTTGCAGTGAGCCAAGATTGCGCCACTGTACTCCAGACTGGGCGACAGAGTGGGACTCTGTCTCAAATAAATAAATAAAATAAAATGATGGTCACAGAGGTCCTTTGGGCTCTTGGAGTTTCTCAGCCACAGGGTGGAGGGAGAGGCAACTGGGAGATGGATTTCTCCAGCTCTGGAATTCTTCTAAAAATTGCTCTTTGGGGAGATGGAAATTCAGAGAGGTTAGATGTCTGGCTCAAGGACTCACAGCTTGCCAGCAGTGGGCTCAGATTTACGGCCAGGGATTAAGAGAGTCTTCTCCAGTGTTTTATGTCAAAAATCCCGCATGGTGTCTGGACTGACTCCAGGGGAATCCCTTGGGAAGGGACTGATGTGGCCAGAGGGGTGATGGGGATGGGGAGGGGTGTCAGCCCAAAGCCCAGTCCTCCCTGAAACAGGAGCAGGGTCTGCCCAATGCAAACAGCCCCCGGCATCAGACCCTGAGTGAACCTTGGGGACAAATGCAGTAAACAGCCTCTGTTGGTGGTGACCTGCTTTGAGTACAGGTCAGGGGGACACGCCCCACTGGAGGTGGTGGGGTTGTCCTATACAAACCCGCCCACCATTCAGGCCATTGTGTGGAGGCCTCACAATGGTGTCCAACCACAAAGCTCTCCCTCCGTCCCCGACTGCCCGGCCTCGGTGACTCAGGGCTGGGGGACTGGGGTGCCTTCCTCACCTGCTTCTCAGGCTAGATCCGGGGCCCGAGTAGGGAAGGGCATGGGGGCAGGTGAATCACAGTCTGTCTGCATCCAGGGCACCCCCCCTCCCCGGATGGAGGAGGTGGATGGGCCTCCCCCAACCCCAACCCCTTGAGGCCCCTCGTGGCCTCCGTTTCCAGGCCAAGCTGTGAGAAACAGTCCTTCCTCCTCCTCTGAGTAAATGAACAGACATCTGAGCACCCAGCTCATTATAGATCTCCTCTTCTGCAAGCCTCAGTTCATCTTGCACACGAGGGCTGTTTGGTGAAAAAGCCCCAACTTCCTGCCCTCGGAGGCAACCGGAGTAAAATAAGTTCTGGGTGGGTTTGGGCAGTCCTGGGTTCAGGTATGAACAATCTTGAAACTTCCCTGTAGGGAAGAGAGGCTGGCTCCCTTAAGCCCGCAACAACACACAGAAACACCAAGCTGGATGCCAGCCCTTCCCTGAGCCCAGGGTCTTTTCTCTGGGCAGTAATGTCCAGGCTAATCTCCTAAAATGACCAACAGTTCTTGAAAGACCCCTTTGGACCCAGGAACATGCCTCCCACAGCCCTCCCACGCTGCGTTTCTGCTTCCAGTCCTTCCCTCGGTATCTCCCCATCACGCAGCCCAGATACATGCAGCTCACAGGAAAGGACCCAGATACGCCTGATGGCTCCCTGCCTCCTAGTCCATGCCTACTCCGTCCCCGCTGCCGGGAACGCCCTTCTCTTTTGCTCCTAAGTGTGCCTGTAAAATTCCAACCCTGTGCAATTCAGATGCCACCCTGCAGTTTAAGACCCCTGCCCCCACCGCCACCACCCTTACCCCATCAATGCCTCTTAGCAAAGTTCCTGCTCAGCCCTGTACCCCGACTGACTGGACGCCCCAGTCTCTCTCGCCCACCAGATCGGAGCTCCTGGAACCCTGCGGCGGCGACTTGCTCATTTCTGTCCCTGAGAGCTGGGCACAGATACTGGGACTGGAGGTGCCGCTAAAACCCCCTCAGGGAGTGAGTGTGTGAGTGAGTCGGTGATGGAAGGAATCCTTGGGTGTTTCCACACTCATCTCGGCAGATACTCAATTCACAATACAGCGGTTTTGTGAACTCGCCCACGTCAGTCTGGTAAATGCAGATTCATTGGGTCGGGCTGGAGGAGGCATTTACAGAAAAGCAAAAGCAAAAGCAAAAGACCTCCTGGCTGTCCCTGCTGGGGCTTAGGAAGCACAAATCACCTGTCATACCAGCCTCTCTCCTATATGAATCCGTCCAGCTCCTCAGTGAGCCCCAGCCCAGTCCCACTTACCTGGCCAGCAGGTGAGGAGGAGGCTCACGGCCAGCGCTAGCAGGGGCCTGCGTCGGTGCCCTGGGTGTGCAGGGCCCTCCCGGCCCATCCTACTGCCTGCCCAGGCTGTGCTCCTCACCCCCCGAGAGAGTCCCTGAGACTGAACCCAGCCCAGTCTGGCCCCGGCTGCAGGGAGGGTGGTGAGGACACACCTTGCTGAGCTTCTCAAGAGGGGCAGGGCTTGCCCTAGAGGGAAGCAGTGGGTGCCTTCCTGGCAAAGGTCAGCTGGCATGATTCAGTGCACTCAGTGACTGACACCTGCAGGCTGATACCTTCCGAGAGCAGCGGCCCGAGGGAGCCCCCACCGCGGACAGAGCCTGACTCCAGAGTCTGTTGCCAAACTGGGGGTCCCTCTGGGCTTGAAGGAAAACAGGGACCCAGGCATAGACCTGTCCCGTTCTCCAAAGTCCCCAGGTTCTACCTGACCCCCTCCTGCGCAGGGACTGGCACCGCCAGACTGGAGCTGGGTGGACCCTCCTTGGGGGAGGCACAGCTGCCTCTGGAGGGTTTTGGAATGTTCAGGAGTGTACGCGAGGCTGCATTCCCACATAGGAACTCCCTGGCTGCCAGGGGAGCTGAGGGCCGGCCTTCTCGTACCCTTCCAAAGCCCCACAGAGCCACACCCGCTATACTCCTGCCGCGCTCTGAGTCCTACAAAACCACCTCGGGGCTGCAGTCCCTCACTCCCCGGTCAAGCTCTTCAGCTGCCCTTGACAGCAGCAGAGAGGCAAGGAAGGGGCTGGTGTGGGGTACAGGGAGGGGATTGGGGGTTCTTCCTCCTCCTCACCAGCCCTGCAATCTCCACCAGCTTCTTCTCACCCCAGGCCTGGGTGATGACAATAGTCATTTCAGAAGTAGGCTCTTCCCCCTCAAATCGGCCCAGCACAGATTGCAGGGTGATGTTTTTTAAGTACCATGCCCCTCAAGACACCCCCCTGCTGTCCCCCTTTGTCCAGGCACTCAAGAGACCCCCCACCCCTCTAGCCTCTAACAGTCAGAGGAAGTGGGTTTATCATCACCCATATCACCCATCTTTTTTTTTTTTTTTTTTTGAGATAGAGTCTCGCTCTGTCACCCAGGCTGGAGTGCAATGACGTGATCTCGGCTCACTGCAACCGCCACCTCCCGGGTTCAAGAGATTCTCCTGCCTCAGTCTCCCGAGTAGCTGGGATTATAGGTGTGCGCCACCACGCCCAGCTAATTTTTGTGTTTTTAGTAGAGATGGGTTTTTGCCATGTTGGCCAGTCTGGTTTCGAACTCCTAACCTTAAGATCCACCCACCTCGGCCTCCCAAAGCTCTGGGATTACAGGCATGAGCCACCGTGCCCGGCCTGTCATCACCCATCTTCAAGATAAGGAGACACCTGCAGGTGCCCAGTGTGAAGGAGGCAGGCAGTGGATTTGGACCTCAGCGTGCCAGACACCCCCACAGGGCCAACCACTTCTCCTGGGTCTTGTACCTGGAGCCAAACTCCATGGCCCTGTGGCTGGGCTCATGGCCCAGGGAAGTCTGTCAGCAACCCCTGGGGGCTTATGCTCTGTTCAATTTCCTATTAACCGTTTCTCTTCTCTCCTTGCTCTGTAGCCCTTCCTCTCAGCATAGACATACCTTGAGCCCCAGGAAACACCCTGGGCAGGCAATCTGGCCAAAACAGATAAATGAACAAGTACAGGTGATCAAGCTGGAAATGAGAGGTAGGTGGGAGATGCCAAACCCAGACTGGGAGGGGGCAGGGAATCAGGGAAGTCTTCCTGGAGGAGGTGGCACGTGCATCAAGATGGAAAGATAGGCTGGAGTCCTCCAGACCAGGGGAGATGGAGAGAAGGGAAGGGAAGGGAGTTTCCCAAGGAGGAGACAGTGGCTGGAAGCAACAGAAAGGAAAGCTGGAAGGGGAAAGTTGAGCCTAAGTTTTGTCCAAACTCCCACCCTAGTTCTCTCTCAAGGTACCCGTCCCTCACTTAAGAAAAATCATCGCAGAGAAACAGAAGGCAAGCCAGTGAGTTTTCTGGGCAATCACTGTATTCAATTTCGCCTACCTCAGAGATGGGAAAACTGGGCCCCTAAAAAGAGTATCACCTGTAATCCCAGCACTTTGTGAGGCAGAGGCGGGTGGATTACCTGAGGTCAGGAGTTCGAGACCAGCCTGGTCAACATGATGAAACCCCGTCTCCACTAAAAATACAAAATTAGCTGGGCATGGTGGTGCACGCCTGCGATCCCAGCTACTTGGGAGGCTGAGGCAGGAGAATTGCTTGAACCCAGGAGGTGGAGGTTGCAGTGAGCGGAGATCGTGCCATTGCACTCCAGCCTGGGAGACAATAGCAAAACTCCATTTCAAAAAAAAAAAAAAAAAACACAGAGCACCAGAATCTGCAAGATCAGCGACAGAACTGGAAACAGGCCCCAGGACTCTGGAGTCCACAACCAGTGCTCTTCCCGAGTAAGCAGTGCAAATCCTCTTTCTCTAGCACACAGCAGCAAGTATCCCTAAGCACCATAGTACATCATGCCTTAGGTCCAGGGGTCGCCCATTCTTATAAGGAGTGCATCTGGGAAAATGGGTTTAGATTCCAGATAGGTCATTAGAGCTCCTGGTTTTTGTTTTGTTTTGTTTTGTTTGTTTTGGTTTTTGTTTCATTTTGTTTTGTTTTTTGGGGATGGAGTCTCGCTCTGTCACCCAGGCTAAAGTGCAATGGCATGATCTCGGCTCACTGCAACCTCCACCTCCCGGGTTCAAGCGATTCTCCTGCCTCAGCCTCCCAAGTAGCTAGGATTACAGGCATGCATCACCATGCCTGGCTAATTTTGTATTTTTTTTTTTAGTAGAGACAGGCTTTCACCATGTTGGCCAGGCTGGTCTTGAACTCCTGACCTCAAGTGATCCACCCACCTCGGCCTCCCAAAGTGCTGGGATTACCAGCATGAGCCACTGTGCCTGGCCCTGTTATCCTAAATGAATAACCCAGGGACAGAAAATCACGTTCTCACTTATAAGTGTGAGGTAAACAACGGATATGTATGGATGTGAAGATGGGAACAAGAGACACTGGAGGGTACTACAGGTGGGAGGCAGGAGGCGGGGCTAGGGCTGAAAACCCACCTATTGAGTACTATGCATAGTATCTGGGAGACAGGTGCATTCGTACCCCAAACCTCAGCGTCATAGAATATACCCATGTAACAAACCTGAACATAATTTGTACCTCCTGAATCTAAAATAAAAGTGGAAATTATAAATAAATAAATAAATAAATGTTTTTAAAGTATGTTTTAAAAAATTAGGCCGGGTGCAATGGCTCACGCCTATAATCACAGCACTTTGGGAGGCCAAGGCAAGTGGATTGCTTGAGGCCAGGAGCTCGAGACCAGCCTGGCCATCAGGGTGAAACCTCATCTCTACTAAAAATGCAAAAAAATTAGCCAGGCATGGTGGTGCACGCCTGTAATCCCAGCTACTCAGGAGGCTGAGGCAGAAGAATCACTTGAACCTAGGAGGGGGAGGTTGCAGTGAGCGAGATCCAGCCTGGGCAACAGAGTAAGACTCTCTCTCAAAAAAAATAAAATAAAATAGCCTCTGACTGTTGGTGGTAATGTAAATTAGTTCAGCCCCTATGGAAAACAGTATGAAGATTTCCCAAAGAATGAAACATAGAACTACCATTCAACCCAGCAATCCCACTACTGCTCAAAGGGAAAAAAATCTGCCCAAAGGAAAAGAAATTGTCTTATCTAAAATACACTTGCACCTGTATGTTTATTGCAGTACTATACACAAAAGCAAAGTTGTGGAATAAGTGTCCATCAGTGGATGAATGAATAAAGTAAATGTGGTAAGTATACGCCATGGAATACTATACACCCATAAAAAAGAATGAAATCATGTCCTTTGCAGCAACATGGTGGAGATGGAGGTCATTATCCTAAGTGAAATAACTCAGAAACAGGATGTAAAATACCATGTGTTCTCACTTAAAAGTGGGAGCTAAACAATGAGTATACATGGACACAAAGATGGAAATAATAGGCACTGGGAACTCCAAAAAAAGGGAGGGTAGGAGGAAGAGTGAGGGTTGAAAAATTACCTATTGGCCGGGTGCGGTGGCTCATGCCTGTAATCCCAGTACTTTGGGAGGCCAAGGCAGGTGGATCACCTGAAGTCAGGAGTTCGATACCAGCCTGGCCAACATGGTGAAACCCCATCTCTACTAAAACTACTAAAATTAGCCAGGCATGGTGGCGCATTCCTGTAGTCGCAGAACTCGGGAGACTGACGCAGGAGAATCGCTTGAACCCGGGAGACGGAGGTTGCAGTGAGCCGAGATCACACCATTGCACTCCAGCCTGGGCAACAAGAGCAAAACTCTGTCTCAAAAAAATTTTTTTAAAAATTAAAAAAAAACTTGGATGATGAAATAATTTGTACAACACACCCCCGTGACATGAGTTCACCTTTGTAACAAACCTTCCCATGTACCCTTGAACCTAAAAGTTTTTTAAAAAAGGAACTGGGGGAGAAGTGTACAGATTTCTGGGTGCTCTCTTCTCAAAGGTCTGCCTGCCCCTTGTGGGAAAATGGAGAGGACCACAGCAGAATCAAAGACGAAGCAAGGCAACCTCTGTCTCCTGCTATCCCCAGACTGACCCGGCCTGAGCCAGCTTTGCTTATGTGATAACATCGCTAGGGGCAAAGAAGAGACGTCAGGGCTGGGTGGTGCTGGCCGAGTGAGACAGAGGGCTGAGGGACGCTGCTGAGTAGAGAAAAGGGAGAGAGATAAGTGGCGGAGACAGAGGAGGCAGGGTCAGAGAGCAGGAGGAGAAACCCACAGTTATCACTAAACAGCAAGGTGCAGTGGGGTTTGTTTGTCTGAGCTTTTTTTTTTTTCTTTTTTTGAGACGGAGCCTTGCTCTGTCACCCAGGCTGGAGTGCAGTGGTGTCATCTCGGCTCACTGCAACCTCTGCCTCCTGGGTTCAAGCGATTCTCCTGCCTCAGCCTCCCGAGTAGCTGGGGTTACAGGCACCTGCCACCATGTCCGGCTCACTTTTGTATTTTTGGTAGAGACGGGGTTTCCCCATGTTGGCCAGGCTGGTCTCGAACTCCCGTCCTCAAGTGATCCACCTGCCTCAGCCTCCCAAAGTGTTGGGATTACAGGCGTGAGCCACCGCACCCGGCCAGGGAGTGGATTTCAATGGCACGGGAGAGTCTCCCAGGGCAAACATCATGGAAAAGGTGGAACTAGAGGAAACTCAGAAAAGCTGTTGGCATTTCTTAATAAGATGGGGGTTTCCACGTAGGAGAACAGACCAGCCTGGATTGTCAGGCTTAGAAGTCACAGGGGACACTGGGCATGGTGGCTTATGCCTGTAATCCCAGCACCTTGGGAAGCCGAGCCTAGAGGATTGCTTGAGCCCAAGAGTTTGAGACCAGCCTGGGCAACATAATGAGACTCCATATCTACAAAAAATAAAATACAAAAATTAGCCAGGCATGGTGGTGCTCACCTGTAGTCTCAGCTACTCAGGAGCCTGAGGTGGCAGGATGGCCTGAGCCTGGGAGGTGGAGACTGCAGTGAGCCAAGATCACACCTCTGCACTCCATCCAGCCTGGGTGACAGAGTGAGACCTTGTCTCAAAAAAAAAAAAAAAAAAAAAAAAAGCCAGGCATGGTGGCTCATGCCTGTAATCCCAGCACTTTGGGAGGCCGAGATGGGAGGATTGCTTGAGGCAAGGAGTTCGAGACCAGTCTGGGCAATATAGTGAGACCCCATCTCTCTAAAAAAAAAAAAAAAAAAATCACAAGGGAATGACAGGGGAGCTGGAGGTAGTCTAGGTTCAAATCCCCACAGTAGAAGAAATGAACATGACCCTAAAAGTGTTTACCGAGAACTTAGTGTTTCCCAGGCATCCATCCGCGAAACCAGAAGAAAGGACACTGACATTAAATCACAGCATCCACAAATGACGTGAGTTCAATATTTTCTCTGAGCCACGCCCTTCCCAGAAGTGAATGGCTCTTCATTCTCGAGGTTTCTCTGTGAAGTGGTGCGTTTCATTGACCCATTTTACAGTGGTGGAAACTGAGGCACAAAGAAATTACATAACTCACACAAGATTGCACAGCTGGGCCCTGTATGTTTCCATTTGCAATGTGTTCAAGGACAGGCAAGAGGAATTGAGGGGAAAGAAGCCAAAAGAGTGTTCTGAGGTGGAGCGTGATGTCTCATGCCTGTAATCCCAGCACTTTGGAAGGCTAAGGCGGGCAGATCACGAGGTCAGGAGTTCGACACCAGCCTGGCCAACATAGTGAAACCCCATCCCTACTAAAAATACAAAAAAAAAAAAAATTAGCTGGGCATGATGGCGTGCACCTGTAATCCCAGCTACTCAGGAGGCTGAGGCAGGAGAATTGCTCGAACCCGGGAGGCGGAGGCTGCAGTGAGCCAAGATTGCACCATTGCACTCCAGCCTGGGAAACAGTGCAAGACTCCACCTCAAAAAAAAAAAAAAAAAAAAAAAAGGGTGTTCTGAGGATGGGGGCACTGTCTGTCTGGAAAAGGGGTTTGAAGGAGCTTTCTACAGCAGTGGTTTTCTTTTCTTTTTTTTTTTTGCGACGGAGTCTCACTCTGTCGCTCAGGCTGGAGGCAGTGGCGTGATCGCAGCTCACTGCAAGCTCTGCCTCCCGGGTTCAAGTGATTCTCCTGCCTCAGCCTCCCCAGTAGCTGGGACTACTGGCGCCTGCCACCACACCTGGCTAATTTTTTGTATTTTTAGTAGAGACAGGGTTTCACCGTGTTAGCCAGGATGGTCTTGATGTCCTGACCTCGTGATCTGCCCGCCTCGGCCTCCCAAAGTCCTGGGATTACAGGCGTAAGCCACCGCACCCGGCCAGCAGTGGTTTTCAAGTGAGGGCAATTGTGCCTCCCAGCTGCCATTTGGCAACGTCTAAAGATGTTGTTTTAACTGAGAGAGAAGGGGTGCTACTGGTGTCTAATAGGTGGAGGCCAGAGATGCTGCTAAACATCCTACAACACACAGGACAGCCCCTTACAACAAAGTATTACCCAGCTTCTAATGTCAAAAGCGCCAAGGCTGAGAAATCCTGTTCTAGAAAAAATGGGCCGCAGGTGGCTTATGTCTGTAATCCCAGGACTTTGGGAGGCTGAGGCAAGAGGATCACTTGAGCTCAGGAGTTCGAGACCAGCCTGGGCAACATAGTGAGATGGCCCCACTAAAAATAATAAAAAAAAAAATTAGCCAGGAGTGGTGGTGCACATCTGTCGTGCCAGCTACCCTGGAGGCTGAGACATGAGGACTGCTTGAGCCCAGGAGGTTGAGGCTGAAGTAAGCCATGACTGCCTCGCTGTACTCCAGCCTGGGTGCTAGTATGAGACTCCGTTTCAAAAAATAAAATTAAAATTAAAAAAAATAATAGAGGAAGGGAACATTTTACATCGTGGTGTGCAATGGTTACACATATGTAAAAATTCATTGACACGCACTTAAGATTCAGGCATTTTGTGCACACTTTACTTGTGTCTGTTACATTGCAACAAAAAGTTGTTTTTTTTTTTTTTTTGAGACGAAGTCTTGCTCTGTCACCCAGGCTGGAGTGCAGTGGGCCAATCTCGGCTCACTGCAACCTCTGCCTCCCAGGTTTAAGTGATTCTCCTGTCTCAACCTCCTGAGTAGCTGGGATTACAAGCGTGCGCCACTATGCCTGGCTAGTGTGTGTGTGTGTGTGTGTGTGTGTGTGTGTGTGTGTGTGTTTAGTAGAGATGGGGTTTCACCACGTTGGCCAGGCTGGTCTTGAACTCCTGACCTTAAGTGATCCACCCGACTCAGCCTCCCAGAGTGCTGGGATTACAGGCGTGAGCCACAGTGCTCGACCCCTTCTAAGTAATGACTCGGCCCACTGCCTCACCTCTGTTCATGCCCTCATCCTCTCTCTCTGCCTGCCTTCCCGAAATAGCTTCTTTACTCATATTCATCTTCTACCACCAGCTCCACCCTCCTCCAGTTCCCCTCCGCCCGCCCAGCCAACAGAGTGACCTTTCAAAAATGCAACACCGGCCATGCCCCGCCCCGGTCCGAATTCTTCAGTGCCTTCTCACCGCCCTCGGGACCAAGTCCAAACGCTGCAGCCTGGCGTTGAAGGCCCACCTTGAGCCGGGACCCGGCCTGCATTGGACTAACGTATGACTTCGCTTCTCACCCCGAAGCCTTTGCCTCGGCCGTTCCCTGTGCCGGAATTACCCTCCTTCCCTTTACCTGATTCTGTGTCCCCTAATTCTCTCCAGGCCTCCCCTACCTCCCTCCCCAGACAGAAAGCAGAGCTCCCCGCCCTGTTCCCAAAGCACCTTGTAACTTCCTTGTAAAATCGTTTGACCACAGGATCGCGTATCTGTGTTTTCATCTCTTATAACTCTCTCTAGTGTGTGAATATGAAGAGGGTACCTGACTATGATAGGTGTGTCACACAGACAAAAAAAAAAAAGTTTGTTGAATGATTTATTCATATATTGACCATTCACCAGGGACCAAGCGCTGGGGATAAAGAGAAGGAACAAGGCCGGGCGCAGTGGCTCACGCCTGTAATCCCAACACTTTGGACGGCCAAGGGGAGCAGATCACCTGAGGTCAGCAGATCGAGACCAGCCTGGCCAGCATGGTGAAACCCCGTCTCTACTAAAGACACAAAAAATTAGCCGGGCGTGGTGGCGCATGCCTGTAATCCCAGCTACTTGGGAGGCTGAGGCAGGAGAATCACTTGAACCTGGAAGGCAGAGGTTGCAGTGAGCCGAGATCGGCCCACTGCACTCCAGACTGGGTGACAGAGCAAGGATCTCAAAAAAAAAAAAAAGAGAAGAGAAGAACAAGGCCGGGTGTGGCGGCTCATGCTTGTAATCCCAACCCTTTGGGAGGTTGAGACTGGAGGATTGCTTGAGCCTGGGAGGAGTTCAAGACCAGCGTGGGCAACATAGTGAGACCCCGTTTCTACAAAAAAAAATTTTTTTTTTAATTAGGTGGGCCGGGCATAGCAGCATGGAGCCCGGCCGCCGCAGCACCTCTGCTCCGCGATCCGTGGGCATCCTCTTCACTGTGTCCATTGGATGTTTGCCTCCCAGACTGAGGGGGAGCTCAGAATGACCCAAATTCTCAAAACAAGTTTCCTCACCGGGCGCGGTGGCTCACGCCTGTAATTCCAGCACTTTGGGAGGCGAAGTCGGGTGAATCACGAGGTCAGGAGTTCAAGACCAGCCTGGCCAACATGGTGAAACCCCGTCTTTACTAAAAATACAAAAATTAGCCAGGCATGGTGGCGGGCACCTGTAATCCCAGCTACTCGGGAGGGTGAGACAGAATCGCTTGAGCTTGGGAGGCAGAGGTTGCAGTGAGCCGAGATGGTGCCACTGCACTCCAGCCTGGGTGACAGAGTGAGACAACGTCAAAAAAAAAAAAAAAAAGGAAAAAAAGAAAAAAGAAAAGTTTCCTCGAGCTACAGCTATCAAAGTCACTGACATTTCAAGAGGTTGTGGGGTCATGTATGAAATTAAAATTGAATCAGAAGAAGTTAAGGAGGAGAGAACTATTCAGCAGCACCAAATAGTGAATCAGTCACTACAAGAAGAAATCAAAGTGATGCATGGATTGCGGATATTTACCTCTGTCCCCAAACGCTCAGCACACCCTGGCTGCATAGATGCTGCTGCTTAAGACCTTGGATGAACTTGACTGACACCATTCTTCCCTAGGCATTTACCAAAAAATTTGTATATTTTGCTCGTATACATTTCCATATTATAATTATAGAAGATGTGTAATCTATTTAGATGTTAATTAAAGGAAACAACGAAAAAAAAATTAGCCAGGTTTTGTGGTGTGTGCCTGTAGTCCCAGCTACTCGGAAGGCTGAGGTGGGAGGATTGCTTGAGTCCAGGAAATGAAGGTTGCAGTGATCCGAGATCGCACCACTGCACGCCAGCCTGGGCAACAGAGCAAGACCTTGTCTCAAAGGAAAAAAAGAGAAAAGGAGAGAGAGAGAGAGGAGAACAAGATTCAGGAGGCTGATGCTAGAGGATCTCTTTGAGGCCAGGAGTTCAAGACCAGACTGGGTAGCATCGTGAGACCCCATCTCTAAACAAATAAAAAACTTAGCCAGGTGTGGTGGCACCAGCCTGAAGTCCTAGCTATTTGGGAGGCTGAGACAGGAGAATTATTTGAGCCCAGGAGTTCAAGACCAGCCTGGGCAACATAGTGAGATCCTGTCTCTACAAAATAAAAAAATAAAAAATTTAGACAGGCACAGTGTTACCTGTAGTCCCAGCTACTTGAGAGGCTGAGAAAGGAGGATCGCTTGTGCCCAGGAGTTGGAAGCTGCAGTGAGCTATGATCACACCACTGCACTCCAGCCTGGGTGACAGGGCGAGACCCCATCTCTTAAAACAAAACAAACAAAAAAAGAGAGATGAACAAAGCAGATGCCTTGTATTTTCTGTACCCCTTTGTTTTGTTTTCATTTTTGTTTTGAGATGGAGTCTCGCTCCGTCACCCAGGCTGGAGTGCAGTGGTGCGATTGCAGCTCACTGCAACCTCCAGCTCCTGGGTTCAAGCTATTCTCCTGCCTCAGCCTCACTCCACTTCCCAGGTATGACAACCAGAATGTCTCCAGATATTGCCAACTGTCCCCTGGGGGCAAAATCTCTCCTAATTGAGAACCACTGATTGATGTCAATACCAAAGAGTCTTTTTTTTTTTTTTTTTTTGAGACAGGGTCTCACTCTGCCCTCCAAGCTACAGTGCAGTGGCATGATCTCGGCTCACTGCAACCTCCGCCTCCCGGGTTCAAGCAATTCTCCTGCCTCAGCCTCCTGAGTAGCTGGGATTACAGGCACCCGCCACCATGCCCAGGTAATTTTTTGTGTGTTTAGTAGAGACAGGGTTTCACCATGTTGGCCAGGCTGGTCTCAAACTCCTGACCTCAGGTGGTCTGCCCTCTTCGGCCTCCCAAAGTGCTGGGATTACAAGCATGAGCCGCTGTGCCCGGCCAAAAGAGTCTAGACTAAAGAAAAGTCCGGTTATCAAGAAGAGACATGACTTCAAGTATAGTCCGGTGGCTAAAAGCTATGGCTCTCAGAACAGTTTATTGAGCACTTAAGATGTGTGGATTTTCGTGAGTATAAATTATACCTCCATATAAAGGGAAAAATAGAGGAGGATAGTATTCTATATCTTTCTGTGGTGATGCTGATGTTCTATATCTTAGTAGGGATTTGGGTTAGACAGATGTTTGCATTTGTCCAAACTTAGCCAACGTACACTTGAGGTCTGTGCATTTAATTGAGTATAAACTTGACCTCAAAAGATAAAATTCTATACGTGAATACTGACCTCTAGTTAATGCTCTGCGTGAAGAACTTTTTGTTTACTTTTATATTTATTTATTTATTTACTTTTAGAGACAAGGTCTTGCTATGTTGCCCAGTCTGTGGCGTGCAGTGGCACAATCATAGTTCACTGCACCCTTGACCTCCTGGGCTCAAGCAATCCTCCCATCTCAGCCTCCTAAGTAGCTGGGACTACAAGCATGCACTACCACGCCCAGCTAATTTTTTACTTTTTTGTAGAAATAAGGTCTCGCTCCATTGCCCAGCCTAATCTGGAACTACTCTCCTCCTGCTTCACCGCCGCCGCCTCTTCCTCCTCCTCCTTCTCCTTCTTCTCCTTCTTCTTCTCCTTCTCCTCTTCCTTCTTTTCTTTCTTCTTTCTTTCTCTTTCTTTCTTCTTTCTTTCTTTCTGTCTCTCTCTTTCTTTTTCTTTCTTTCTTTCTCTCTTTCTCTTTCTGAAACCTCTTCCTCTTCTTCCTTCTTCCTTCCTTCCTCGTCCTCCTCCTTCTTCTTTCTTCTTTTGTGAGACAGGGTCTCACTCTGTCACCCGGGCTCTGAGTGCAGTGACACAATCATAGTTCACTGCATCCTTGACCTCCTGGGCTCAAGTGATCCTCCCACCTTGACCCCCACCCAAAGTGCTGGGATTACAGGCATGAGCCACTGCACCTGGCCTGCAAAATTATTTCTATGTTTGAATTTTTTATGATAAGATTTTGGGGGAAATCCCTTGCATTTTTGCATGTTACTGCATACAAATTCTAATTTCACCTTCAAAAGGGGGAAAATAAGAGTATACATGGCTTTGAAGTCAGATTCACCTGAGTTCAAATCCCCAAAGGGCTTCACTTCTCACATGGCTATGCCCTTCCTTCTTCTGACCTGCTTTCTGTCCCATCAACCTGGGCTAATGATTTATTGAGGTGGGGTTTTAAGCACAAGCTAGGGAACCAGACACACTGGGTTTAAATCAAAGACCATTATTCTAAGTGAATTAATGCAAAACAGAAGACCAAATACCACGTGTTTTCACCTCTAAGGAGCTAAACACTGAGTACACACAGACATAAAGATGGGAATGATAGGCCGGGCGCAGTGGCTCACACCTGTAATCCCAGCACTTTGGGAGGCCAAGGCCAGTGGATCACAAAGTCAGGAGTTTGAGACCAGCCTGGCCAACATGGTGAAACACCGTCTCTACTAAAAATACAAAACTTAGCTGGTTGTGGTGGCGGGTGCCTGTAATCCCAGCTACTCAGGAGGCTGAGGCAGGAGAATTGCTTGAACTCGGGAGGTGGAGCTTGCAGTGAGCCGAGATCGCACACTGCACTCCAGCCTGGGCGACAGAGGAGACTCCGTCTCAAAAAAAAAAAAGAAAAGAAAGAAAAAAAAATGACAACTCCACCAGTTCCCAGGTGTGCCGTCTTGGGCAGTGACTTCAGTGTTTTGTGCATTTGAAATGGGTAATGACAGCACCTACTTTGCAGCATTGCTGTGAGGCTGAAATGAGGACTCCCGGTGCCCTTCCAGCAAAGCTGGTGAAGTGGCATCAAGCATGTTTATCTGTGAGAGGGTGCGAGACACCTGCAGTCACCCTGGGGGAGACTTTGAGAGACTTCAGAAAAGCAGGAGTGGGGCAGGGCCAAGGAAATATTTTCTTGCAATTATTTGCAATTACTAAATCTGTTTGCTTTTATCCTCCCCAGGCAATGGAACCTGAAAAACAGAGGTTTCAAAGGCACATCTGGGCTGGCACGGTGGCTCATGCCTGTAATCCCAGCACTTTGGAGAGCCGAGGTGGGAGGATCAGTAGAACCCAGAAGTTTGAGACCAGCCTGGGCAACATAGCAAGACCCCCATCTCTACAGAAAGTTAAAAAATTAGCCGGGCGGCCGGGTGCGGTGGCTCACACCTGTAATTTCAGCACTTTGGGAGGCCAAGGTGGATGGATCACAAGGTCAGGAGTTCGAGACCAGCCTGGCCAACATGGCAAAACCCTGTCTCTACTAAAAATACAAAAATTAGCTGAGTGTGGTGGTATGCACCTGTAAACCCAGCTTCTCGGGAGGCTGAGGCAGGAGAATCACTTGAACCCAGGAGGTGGAAGTTGCAGTGAGCCAAGATCATGCCACTGCATTCCAGCCTGGGCGACAGAGTGAGACTCTGTCTCAAAGAAAAAAAAAAAATTAGCCAAGCATGTTGGTGCACACCTGTACTATCAGCTACTCATGAGGCTGAGGTGGGAAGATTGTTTGAGCCTAAGAGTTCAAGGCTGCAGTGAGCCATTACCATGCCTCACTTCAGCCCGGGTGACGGGGCAAGATCTTGTCCAAAAATAATTTTTCTTTTTAAAAAGCACACCTGCTCTTTCCTGATTGTAAATCTTAAAAGCAGGATTAAGATGCCCGCCAGGACTTGCTGTGGGGTCTCCAGCCCTCAGCTCAATCCCCTATTATACTTATTAAGTCCATCTCTCCATATTTACTGAATTATGTAAAGGGTAGAGGCAAAGATAATTATGGTCTCAAGTATGGGTGACTCTGAAGCCAGAAGCCCCATGGTTTGAATTGTGTCCCCCTGAAAAATAGACGTTGATGTCCTAATGCCCAGTACCTCTCAGAATGTGACCTTATTTAGAAATATTGGAAACGAGGCTACCAGGGTGGGCTCTAATCCAATAGGACTGGTGTCCCCTTAAAAAGGGGAAATTTGAGGCCGGGTGTGGTGGCTCCCGCCTGTAATCCCAGCACTTTAGGAGGCCGAGGTGGGTGGATCACGAGGTCAGGAGTTAGAGACCAGCCTGGCCAACATGGTGAAACCCCATATCTACTAAAAATACAAAAATTAGCCAGGCGTGGTGGTACGTGCCTATAGTCCCAGCTACTTGGGGAGGGGGCTGAGGCAGGAGAATCGCTTGAACCCGGGAGGCGGAGGTTGCAGTGAGCCAAGACCATGCCATTGCACTCCAGCCTGGGTGACAGAGTGAGACTCCATCTCAAAAAAAAAAAAAGGTTGGGGAGGAAATTTGGGCACCAAGACAGACATACACAGAGATAAGCCCATATGAAGATGACGGCAAAGATTGGAGTGAGGTATCCACAAGCCAAGGAAACTTGAAGATTGTCAGCAAATAAGGCCGGGCGTGGTGGATCACACCTGTAATCTCAGCATTTTGGGAGGCCGAGGTGGGAGGATGGCTCGAGGCCAGGAGGCCAGCCTGGCTGACATGGCAATACCCCATCTCTACTAAAAATACAAAAATTAGCTGGGCATCGTGGTGGGCACCTGCAATTCCACCTACTGAGGAGGCTGAGGCAGGAGAATCATTGAACCTGGGAGGCAGAGGTTGCAGTGAGCCAAGATCGCTCCACTGCACTCCAGCTGGGCAACAGAGTGAGATTCTGTCTCAAAAAAAAAATAAAGTTAGCAAACAACCAGACGCTGGGAGAGAGACATAGGACAGATCCTTCCCTCCACAGCCCCAGAAGGAACCAACCCTGTCCACACCTTGATCCCGGACTTCTGGCTTCCAGAACAGTGAGACACTAAATTTCTGTTGTTGAAGTCACCTAGTCTGTGGTACTTTGTCACTGCAGCCCTAGGAAATTAAAACACGCTGTAAATAGCAGTAAAGGAGCTGGTAGTGGGGCGGGAGAAGAGGGGGCAATGACTCAGTTCACACTGTCAGATTTTTGCCAGGGGCTGACAGGTACCAGGGAAAGTGTCAGGTATGAGGACGTGACAGTGACTGAGGGTTACAGCCCCTGCCCCCAGGGGGCTCAGAGTGACATTGCCGAGGTGGGTGATGAATAAGAAATAGGTCCATGCCCCTTAGGTGACAACAGTGGGTTGGACCCACAAGGAGGGAGTTGACTCTAATCTGGGGCTCCATGCAACCTGAGGTTGGATGCCTAAAAGATGGGTAGTGTTGGCCAGGTGGAGTGGCTCATGCCTGTAATCTCAGCACTTTGGGAGGCCAAGGAGAGGACATCACTTGAGCTCAGGAGTTTGAGACCAGCCTGGCCAACACGGTGAAACTCCGTCTCTACTAAAAATACAAAAATTAGCCAGGCGTGGTGGCGCGTGCCTGTAATCCCAGCTACTCAGAAGGCTGAGGCAGGAGAATCACTTGAGCCCAGGAGGTGAAGCTTGCAGTGAGCTGAGGTCTCGCCACTGCACTCCTGCCTGGGCAACAGAGCAAGACTCTGTCTCACAAAATTAAAAAAATAGGCCGGGCCTGGTGGCTCACGCCTGTAATCCCAACACTTTGGGAGGCTGAGGCGGGCAGATCACTTGAGGTCAGGAGTTTGAGACCAGCCTGACCAACATGGAGAAAGCCTGTCTCTACTAAAAATACAAAATTAGCCAGGCATGGTGGTGCATGCCTGTAATCCCAGCTACTCTGGAGTCTGAGGCAGGAAAATCGCTTGAGCCCCGGGAGGCGGAGGTTGCAGTGAGCTGAGATCATGCCATTGCACTCCAGCCTGGGCAACAAGAGCGAAACTCCGTCTCAAAAAAAATAAATACATAAAAATAAGAAATAAAGAAATAAATTACCCAGTCTCAGGTATTTCTTTACAGCAATGCGAGAATGGCCTAATATGCCTTGCCTCCAGTGTGGGCTGAACCTAATGACTCCGTTCTAAGGAACAGAAACCGGCAAAAGCAATGGTGTGTCACTTTTGTGATTAGGTTACAAAAGACTGCGATTTCCATCTCACTGCACTCCATCTAGCTCCTTCTTGGCTTGCATGCTTTGAAAAAACAAGTGGCCTCCTGGGAGAAAGCCGCGTGGCAATGACACTGAGGGTTTTGTTTGGTTTTGTTTTGTTTTGTTTTGTTTTGTTTGAGACAGAGTCTCGCTCTGTCGCCCAGGCTGGAGTGCAGTGGTGCGATCTCCGCTCACTGCAACCTCCACCTCCCAGGTTCAAGTGATTCTTCTGCCCCAGCTCCCGAACAGCTGAGACCACAGGCACGTGCCACCACATCCGGCTAATTTTTTCTTTTTGTTTGTATGTTTGTTTGTTTTTGAGACGGAGTTTTGCTCTTGTTGCCCAGACTGGAGTGCAATGGCTTGATCTCAGCTCACTGCAACCTCCCCGTCCTGGGTTCAAGCCATTCTCCTGCCTCAGCCTCCCGAGTAGCTGGGATTACAGGCATGCACCACCACGCTCAGTAATTTTGTATTTCTAGTAGAGGTGGGGTTTCTCCATGTTGGTCAGGCTGGTCTCAAACTCCCAACCTCAGGTGATCCACCCGCCTCGCCTCCCAAAGTGCTGGGATTACAGGCCTGAGCCATCACACCCGGCTGACACTGAGGGCCTTAATCTAATAGCCACTGGGACTAAATCCTGCCAACAGGGAGCTTAGATGTCAGTCCTCCCCTAGCTGATCCTTACAGTGAGGACAGCCTTGGATGACATCTGGATACCAGCCTAGGAGAGACCTTGAGGCAGAAAACCCAGCCCAGAGTCCAGGCCCACTGGAACTGTAGATAATAAATGTTGTTTTGAGCCCATTCATTTTGGAGTAATTTGTTACACGATGATAGCTGATACAAATGCCACACACCAACTGACTCATGTCCACTTCATTGACTTCCCTGTTTTTGTGGAGGATGGAGGCCTTCACTTTTCCAAATAAATTTTTTTTATTTTTACTTATTATTATTATTATTTTGAGATGGAGTCTCGCACTGTCACCCGGGCTAGAACGCACGGGCGCAATCTCGGCTCACTGCAACCTCCGCCTCCTAGGTTCAAGTGATTCTCTTGCCTCAGCCTCCTGAGTAGCTGGGATTACAGGTGTGTGCCAACACACCTGGCTAATTTTTGTATTTTTAGTAGAGATGGGGTTTCACCACGTTGGCCAGGCTGGTCTCGAACTCCTTACCTCATGATCCACCCACCTCAGCCTCTCAAAGTGCTGCGATTACAGGCGTGAGTCACCGCGCCCGGCCTTCTTTTTTTTTTCAATTGTTTTTTCTTTTATAGAGGTGAGGTCTTGCTGTGTTGGCCAGGCTGGTCTTGAACTCTTGGCCTCAAGCAATCCTCCCACCTCGGCCTCCCAAAGTGTAGGATTACAGGCGTGCACCACTGCGCCCGAACTCCAAATGAATTTTTGTTGCTTATGTGAAGTCACTTCAAAGAGGCTCTTATTGACCTCTGCAGAATCAAAGAAGTTGGACTTTTCTGTTTGGATTTCATAATAGTAAGTGAACCTGCCACTGGGCATTCCTTTTGTTTTTGTTTTTTGAGACAGGGTCTCCCTCTGTCACCCAGGCTGGAGTGCAGTGGTGTTATCATAGCTCTATGCAACCTCGACCTCCCAGGCTTAAGCCATCCTCCCACCTCAGCCTCATGAGTAGCTGGGACTACAGGTGCACCCCACCATGCCTGGCTAATTTTTGTATTTTTTGAAGAGATGGAGTTTTGCCATGTTGGCTAGGCTGGTCTCCAACTCCTGGGCTGAAGCAAATCCTCCTGCCTCGCCCTCCTGAAGTGCTGGGATTATGGGTGTGAGCCACCACACTCCACCTGGACTTCTTAACTAATATCTAGAAGAGAGCTGTTACTTCGGAAAAAACCCTCAAGCTTTTTTTTTTTTTTTTTTTTTTGAGGCAGAGTCTCGCTCTGTCACCTAGGCTGAAGTGCAGTGGTGCGATCTTGGCTCACTGCAACCTCCGCCTCCCAGGTTCAAGCGATTCTCCTGCCTCAGCCTCCTGAATAGCTGGGACTACAGGCGCACACCACCACACCCGGCTAATTTTTGTATTTTTAGTAGAGACGGAGTTTCACCATGTTGGCCAGGCTGGTCTCGAACGCCTGACCTCAGGTGATCTGCCTGCCTAGGCCTCCCAAAGTGCTGGGATTACAGGCATGAGCCAGTGCGCCTGGCAAAAATCCACAAACTATTTCAAGGAGAGGGGAAACCAAGATGTTCTGAGTGGGTAGAGGAAGAAGGTGAGGATGGAGCTGAGCTGGACCCTGGATGAGGGCATTTCAGGAAAATCTGAGCCCCAAAAAATGACCCCGGTGGACACACTCTCCCCAGTGCTGCAGACACTGCAATAACCAAATATCTAGCTAGTCATGTGAAATCTTCAGAGTTAACAAAAATTCCCTAAGATGTTGACAATTTAATTAAAACATTTCTAATCTACTTAAAAAAAAAGGTTAACTGACACATATTGTATATATTTACAGAGTACAATGTGATATTTTGATCCGTGAACACATTGTAGACAGATTAAATCAAGCTAATTTTTGTTTTTGTTTTTGTTTGAGAAGGAGCTCCGCTCTGTCACCCAGGCTGGAGTGCAGTGCCACGATCTCGGCTCACTGCAACCTCCACCTCCCGGGTTCAAGAGATTCTCCTCCTTTAGCCTCCTGAGTAGCTGGGATTACAGGCATGCGCTACCATGCCTGGCTAATTTTTTTGTACTTTTGGTAGAGACGGGATTTTGCCATGTTGGCCTGTCTGGTCTCAAACTCCTGACCCCAGATGATCCGCCCACCTTGGCCTCCCAAAGTGCTGAGATTACAGGCGTAAGCCATCGTGCCCAGCCATAAATCAAGCTAATTAACATATCTATCACATCACCTACTTAGCACTTTTTGGGGAGACGAGAATGTTTAAAATAGGCTCTATTAGGCTGGACGAGGTGGCTCATGCCTGTAATCCTAGCGCTTTGTGGGGCTGAGGTGGGTGGATAGCTTGAGCCCAGGAGTTTGAGACAAGCTAGGGAAACACAGTAAAACCCCAACTCTACAAAAAATACAAAAATTAGCCCAGCATGGTAGCTCACACCTGTAATCCCAGCACTTTGGGAGGCCAAGGCGGGTGGATCACCTGAGGTCGGGAGTTCAAGAACAGCCTGACCAACATGGAGAAACCCTGTCTCTACTAAAAATACAAAATTAGCCAGGTGTGGTGGTGCATACCTGTTAATTCCAGCTACTCAGGAGGCTGAGGCAGGAGAATCGCTTGAACCCAGGAGGCAAAGGTTGCGGTGACCGAGATTGCGCCATTGCACTCCAGCCTGGGCAATAAGAATGAAACTCAAACTCAAAAAAAAAAAAAATACAAAAATTAGCCAGGTCTGGTGGCATGCACCTGTAGTCCCAGCTACTCAGGAGGCTGAGGCAGGAGGATCACCTGAACCAGGGAGGGAGAGGTAGCAGTGAGCTATGATCACACCACTGCACACCAGCTTGGGGGACAGAGTGAGACCCTGTCTCAAAAAAAAAAAGGCTTTGTTAGCAATATTTAAATATACATGATTGCTAACTATGGCCATCATCCCATGCAGTAGATCATTAAAGTGTGTTCCTATTGACTATTATTTAAAAGATACGCCGGGCACAGTGGCTCACGCCTGTAATCCCAGCACTTTGGGAGGCTGAGGCGGGCGGATCACGAGGTCAGGAGATCAAGACCATCCTGGCTAACACGGTGAAACCCCACCTCTACTAAAAATACAAAAAATTAGCTGGGCGTGGTGGCAGGCGCCTGTAGTCCCAGCTACTCCGGAAGCTGAGGCAGGAGAATGGCGTGAACCCGGGAGGCGGACCTTGCAGTGAGCCGAGATCGCACCACTGCACTCCAGCCGGGGTGACAGAGAGACTCCGTCTCAAAAAAAAAAAAAAGACAAAAAAATATTTAATAACAGATGTTGATGAAAATGCTGAGAAAAGGGAACGCTTGTACACTGCTGGTCAGAGTGTAAATTAGTTCGACCTCTATGGAAAACAGTATGAACATTTCTCAAATAGGCCGGGCGCGGTGGCTCACGCCTGTAATCCCAGCACTTTGGGAAGCCGAGGCGGGCAGATCATGAGGTCAGGAGATTGAGACCATCCTGGCTAATACAGTGAAACCCTGTCTCTACTAAGAATACAAAAAATTAGCCAGGCATGGTGGTGGGCACCTGTAGTCCCAGCTACTCGGGAGGCTGAGGCAGGAGAATGGCGTGAACCTGGGAGGCGGAGCTTGCAGTGAGCCGAGATCGCGCCACTGCACTCAAGCCTGGGCGACAGAGTAAGATTCTGTCTCAAAAAAAAAAAAAAATTCTCAAATAACTAAACAATAGAACTATCATTTGATCCAGCAATCCTACTACTGGGCATATACTCAAAAAAAAAAAAAAAAAAGAAATCAATATATCAAAAAGACTCCTGGCTGGGCATGGTGGCTAAGCATGTAATCCCAGCACTTTGAGAGGCCAAGGTGGACAGATCATTTGAGGTCAGGAGTTTGAGACTAGCCTGGCCAACATGGTGAAATCCCATCTCTAATATAAAATACAAAAATTAGCCAGGCGTGGTGGCAGGTGCCTGTAATCCCAGCTACTCAGAAGACAGAGGCACAAGAATTGCTTGAACCCGGGAGATGGAGGTTGCAGTGAGCTGAGATCACGCCATGCACTCCAGCCTGGGTAATAGAGCAAGACTCTGTCTCAAAACAGACAAACAAACAAACAAACAAACAGATACCTGCACTTGTAGGTTTATCACAGCACTACTCGCAATAGCAAAGATAAGAAATCAGCCTAAATGTCCATCCACAGAGGACTGGCTAAAGAAAATGTGGTACATATACACAGCGCAATACCACACAGCCATAAAAAAAAATCTTTGAGCCGTGAAATCATGTCTTTTGCTGCAACAGGGATGGAACTGGAGGTCATTATCTTAAGTGAAACAGGTCAGACACACAGTCAAATATTGCATGTTCTTACTCATACATGGGTGCTAAAAAATGTGTTCATGTGGATGTAGAGAGTGGAATGACAGAGCAGATGTGGTAGGGTGATGAGAAATTACTTAATGGCTATGATGTACCTTATTGGGGTGATGGATACCCCAAAAGCCCTGACTTCACCACTATACAATTTATGCATGTAACAAAATTACATACCCTCTCTAGATTTATTTATGTATTTACTTATTGAGACAGAGTTTCACTCTCCTTGCCCAGGCTGGAGTGCAATGGCATGATCTTGGCTCACTGCAACCTCCACCTGTAATCCTAGCACTTTGGGAGGCCAAGGGGAGCAGATCACCTGAGGTTGGGCGTTCGGGACCAGCCTGACCAACATGGAGAAACTCCATTTCTACTAAAAATACAAAATTAGCCAGGCATGGTCATGCATGCCTGTAATCCCAGCTACTTGGGAGGCTGAGGCAGGAGAAACGCTTCAACCCGGAAGGCAGAGGTTGCGGTGAGCCAAGATCTCACCATTGTACTCCAGCCTAGGCAACAAGAGTGAAACTCTGTCTCAAAAAAAAAAAAAAAAAGAGATGGGGTCTTGCTATGTTGCCCAGGCTGGAGTGCAGTGGCTATCCACAAGCAATCATCACAAACTACAGCCTCTAACTTCTGAGCTCAAGTGATTCTCCCACCTCAGCTTCCAAAGTAGCTAAGACTACAGGCACATGCCACGACCTGCAGCTGCATAGACTTTTTTACAACCTTTATCTTCTTGATTTTCTGCCTTGGCAAGGGCAGAAGCCCTGACCACATTGTTTACTGTACATCCCATGGTGTTTGACACAGGTGTTACCACCCAGCAGGTGCTCAATAAATATTTGCCAAACAAGCGAAGGAATGAATGAAGGAAGTTAGTGTCCACAAGACAGGTCTGCTTCACTCTTTGAGTTCGGAAACAAAGCAGATGACAGGAGCTGGTGGCACGTACACTCCCAAATGTCCAGTGCCAACACCTTGCCCTGCTCTTACTGGCTGGCCAGGTGGGAGCTGACTCGTACTTCCTCCAGCTCCCCAGCAGAAGCTGTATGGCACTTCCCAGCTGCTGGGAGGACCCCTTCTCATTGCACAGTTGGCCTCATGACAGCCTCGCCCTACTGCTCTTCATGGTCTCCTGGGCACACCTGTGGTGTTAGCCAGCTCAGGTAACATCATGACCAGCTGCTAATCTCAAGTGTTCACAGAAGCAGCTGAGAAGGACAGCAAGGAAGCGTTCCCGTGAGGCCAGACTGGGAAAGCCCAGAAGGCTGAGGTGCACTGAGCTCTCCTGAAATATGTAAAGAGCACATTTGGCTCTAGGAGGTAGTGACTTAGAGGGTCTTCAGCAAATGACTTAAAAGAGGCATCCTCTACCTGATGCTTTCAGTGAGCCAGGCATTGTGTTAAGTGTTTGCTTTGTGCTATCTCTCTGTCTCCTTTTTTTAGATGGAGTTTCGCTCTTGTTGCCCAGGCTGGAGTACAATGGTATGATCTTGGCTCACTGCAACCTCTGCCTCCTGGGGTCAAGCGATTCTCCTGCCTCAGCCTCCTGAGTAGCTAGGATTACAGGCGTGTGCCACCACGCCCTGCTAATTTTTGCATTTTTAGTAGAGATGGAGTTTCTCCGTGTTGGTCAGGCTGGTCTCGAACTCCTGACCTCAGGTGATCCGCCCACTTCGGCCTCCCAAAGTGCTGGGATTATAGGCATGAGCCACCGCGCCCGGCCTCTTTTTTTTTTTTTTTTGAAACAGGGTCTTGCTCTGTCACCCAGGCTGGAGTGGAGTGTAGTGACGCGATCTTGGCTCACTGCAACCTCTGCCTCCCAGGCTCAACCCATCCTCCCAAGTAGCTGGAACTACAGGAACCCTCCACCAAGCCTGGCTAATTTTTTTGTAGAGATGGGGTTTTACCATTTTGCCCAGGGTGGTCTTGAACTCCTGGGCTCAGGCAATCTGCCTTGGCCTCCCAAAGCACTGGGATTACAGGTGTGAGCCACCATACCTGGCCAATGTGCTATATCATTAAATGCTCTTAGAGCCACATTGAACAGATGAGCTGCTGAGAACCAATGGGTTCAGCAATGTGTTCACAACCAAGGGTTCAAATCCAGAACTCTGAAGTCAGAGATGTACAAGAATAACCACTGGCCTCCCTGTCCCTCCCTACCTTACATGTGCCTTGCTCTGGGACAGACCCTGGAAACGCTCTAAAGCAGCTCTTATGGTGGAAATGCAACGCAAGCCATATATGTGTTTTAAAACTTTCTAGCAGCCCCTCCCCACACACACACATAAAAAGAAACAAATGAAAATCACGTTAATAATATATTCCTGGCCAAGTGTGATGGTACACACCTGTCATCCCAGCTACTTGGGAAGCTGAGGCAGGAGAATCACTTGAACCTGGGAGGCGGAGGTTGCAGTGAGCCGAGATGGCGCCACTGCACTCCAGCCTGGGCAACACAGAGAGACTCTGTCTCAAAAAATAAATAAATAAAATAAAATAAAAAATAATATATTCCAGGTCTTGGCAAACTTTCAGTAAGGGCCCAGAGTGAGTATCTTAGTTTTCACAGGCCATGAGAACCCTGCTCTGTCTTCCTCTTTTGTTGTTGTTGATTTCCCCAATCCTTCAAACATGTAAAAACCATCCTATTTTTTTTTTTCTAAGACAGAGTCTCACTCTGTCACCCAGGCTGGAGTGCAGTGGCGTGATCTCAGCTCACTGCAATCTCTGCCTCGCAGGTTCGAGTGATTCTCCTGTCTCAGCCTCCTGAGTAGCTGGGATTACAAGCGCCCGCCACCAAGCCCAGCTAATTTTTTGTATTTTAGTAGAGATGGGGTTTCACTATGTTGGCCAGGCTGGTCTCAAACTCCTGACCTCAAGTGATCCACCTGCCTCAGCCTCCCAAAGTGCTGGGATTACAGGCGTGAGCCACTGCACCCGGCCAGTAAAAACCATCCTTAGCTTGAGATCTGGACAAAAAAGAACTACAGGCTTTGTCCATGACTGGAAGGACTCAAGAAACAAATAGTAATTCATTTTAAAAATAATTGAAGGAGGGCCAGGTGTGGCAGCTCACGCCTGTAATCCCAGCACTTTGGGAGGCTGAGGTGGGCAGATCACCTAAGGTCAGGAGTTCGAGACCTTCCTGGCCAATATGGTGAAACTTCATCTTTACTAAAAATACAAAAATTAGCCGGGCGTGTTGGCAGGTGCCTGTAATCTTAGCTACTTGGGAGGCTGAGGCTGGAGAATCGCTGGAACCTGGGAGGCGGAGGTTGCAGTGAGCCCAGATCATGCCACTGTGCTCCAGCCTGGGTGGAGCAAGACAGAGCAAGATCTGGTCTCGAAAAATAAATAAGTAAATAAATAAATAAAATAATTGAAGGAGGAGAAGAAGGGGGAGGAGAAAGGGGAAGAAGAGAAAAGAACGAGGGGAAGAAAGGAGGCGGAGGGTCAGGGAGAAAAGGAGAGGGAAGCAGGAGGAGAAGAAAAGGAGGAAGAAAGAAAGAGGAGGTTGGGGCCGGGTGCAGTGGCTCACGCCTGTAATCCCAGCACTTTCGGAGGCCGATGCAGGAAGATCATGAGGTCAAGAGATCAAGACCATCCTGGCCAATATGGTGAAACCCCGTCTCTACTAAAAATACAATCATTAGCTGGGCATGATGGTGCATGCCTGTAGTCCCAGCTACTCAGGAGGCTGAGACAGGAGAATCGCTTGAACCTGGAAGGCAGGGGTTGCAGTGAACTGAGATCCTGCCACTGCACTCCAGCCTAGCAACAGAGCAAGACTCTGTCTCAAAAAAAACCAAAAAAACAAAAAGAGGTTGGAAGGAGGGAGAAGAAACATCTACTAAACCCTTACATCATGTGGACGCCATCTTTGCTGGGTAACTCCTCACTGCAGCTTAAATTTCACTAGCAGAGAAACTCCTGATTCCCTCCCCTAGGTTCACCCTACCTGCCTGAATGCTACATACTTCCCCCATCCTCCACATCATCCTGTTTTATTGTGATACTTTGTTTCAAACTTGTCTTCACTAGTTGACTCTAAACTGCGTGAAGCTGCAACCAATTTGCCCATCCTCTGGCATCAGGCACAGTTTCAACGTCTACTAGACCAATAAAGAATCAAAGACATTTAAACACTGGCAGGGCCAATGTCTAGTTAGAAGATTAAAAAGGCAAGGACTTACTGTCTCCGGTCCTGGTGTGGGAATGTGGCTGGTGCCTCAGCCCTGAGTGTGCAGGATGTGACTGCTCAGTGGGCACGGGATACACTGGGATCCTGGGGCCTCCAGGGTCCCATCCCTGGCCTCTGGCGTCCAGCCTCCAGGAAGTCATAGGACCCTCTGGCCTCGCAGGTGACCTTGAAGGAACTGGGCTGAATGCTGCCCTTCTGATCAGCTTTCTCTTGTTTGGCTGCCTCTTGGTGTCCACAGAAGCATCATTCATGTTCCTGACTCTGGACAGTGAGCGTGTCCCCAGGGTTCTCCCACAGGAGATGGGCATATCAGGGCACAGGTCTTCTGCAGAAGGCTGAGATGTGGGTACATGGTGACCACCCAGGATTTCTGTGGCTGCAACCAGGCTTAGCAGGGCTCTGGTGTCCAGATGAGTAATTCCTCCTGGGGAGAGGAGAGAGAGGAGACAGGATCAGTGTTACCTCTTCAGTGATTTAGAAAACTCAGAGCCATAAGTATACTTCAGAAGAGGCAATCCTCTATAAGTGCTCCCTGAATAAGACCCCAAATTGCAAACAAACCTTGCAAACAAAGAGCTAGTCTAGGCCGGGCGCGGTGGCTCACCCCTGTAATCCCAGCACTTTGGGAGGCCGAGGCGGGTGGATCACCTGAGGTCAGGAGCTCGAGACCAGCCTGGCCAACATGGTGAAACCCCCCTTCTACTAAAAATACAAAAATTAGCTGGGCATGGTAGTGGGTACCTGTAATCTCAGCTACTCAGGAGGTTGAGGCAAGAGAATGACTTGAACTCGGGAGAAGGAAGTTGCAGTGAGCTGAGATCGTGCCATTGCATTCCAGCCTGGGTGACAAGAGCAAAACTCCATCCCAAACAAAAAAAAGAGCTAGTCTAGTGCTAATCTGTCCAATTCTGGAAGCTACAATAATAAAAATTGAAAATAGCAGTCCTACTATTTATGGAGTCACCAGTGTATGCCAGCATTGACCATGCTTCCTCCCAATCTTTTTGACAACTCTTGTCAATATTGGTAAAGTTTATAGCAGTATCCCTCAAGGTTTGATTCACATAGGAATCATTTGTTAAAATGCAGTTTCTGATACGGAAGATCCTGCGGAGATTCTTCATGTCTAACAAGACCCCAGGTGACCATTCTGCTTCACTTCACAGACCTCGCAGAGAGTTCAAGTGGATGTATTTGGGCAAACTGAGCATTTAGTGACTATTTGCTGGATGAATGAATGGATGGGTGGATGAGTGGACAGACGATAGATGGATGTATGAGCAGATAGATGGATTGATGAGTGGATGGATGGGTGGGTGGGTGGATGGGTGGAGGAATGAATGGGTGAATAGATGGATGAATAGAAGATGGATGGATTAATGAAAGATGGCTGCATGGATGGAAGAAGGGGTTGGTGGGTGAGTGCATGAATGGATAGATGGATGAGTGGATGAATGCATGGATGAGTGGATGAATGAATGGATCGGTGAATGGATGAATGGGTGGGTGGGTGGATGCAGGAATGAGTGGGTGAATAGATGAATAGAAGATGGATAGATGAATGAAAGATAGTCATCTTTATTAAATATCGGATGAATGAAAGAGGCAAGTTCCCCCATAAGCCTCTGAAATGTGGTTATTAGAAAATAATTGTGTCCTGGAAGCCAGCTCAGGGCCAGGCACATCATAGGTTCTTAGAAATAAACAAGCACCTTGGCACTTGAAAAAAATGTCCAAGGCATGAAGGTTATTCTCACATTTTTCTCTTCTCTCCTAAAGCAAGTTGTAAGACTCTCATGTGAGAGCAGCCCTCCCTATCCCGGGAGGAGAGGAACATCTTATCTCTGAAGACACAGGACACAGAGAAGAATCTGAACAAACAGGCCTGGCTAAGTTCCCCCAGTTTACTGGCAGAAGATCCTTTCTTTTTTTTTTTTTTTTTGTTTAACCCAATCCTACTTCTCTATGACTATCCACCTCTTTATCAGACCTAGCATAAAAAATTACACAGGTTGGCCAGGCGCGGTGACTCACCTGTAATTCCAGCATTTTGGGAGGCCAAGGCAGGTGGATCATTTGAGGTCAGGAGTTTGAGACCAGCCTGGCCAACATGGTGAAACCCCATCTCTACTAAAAATACACAAATTAGTCAGTGATTACAGGCATCTCAGCCCTTTTAGATCATGCTCACCAAGCATCCTCCCTGGCCACTGCATGGTTTCAATAACCTCCCACGCACTTGTAACATCCAAACCTATAACTCCAGCCCCGCTCCAGAATCAAATACTCAGCTACCCTGTGGAGATAGCTGACCGACTCCAAGCCTAATATGGGTGTGACAGAGCCGATCACTGCTCTAGGTGCCGCTTTTCCTCTCTTGCTGAATGATTCCAACATCCACTTATTTGCCCCAAACTCCTAGAGATTACTCCATCTTCTTCCCTCATCCTCAGCCCCAAATACTATATTTCCTTCATATAACACCTGCTGTCATTTACGGTAATCACTAACTGGAGCCCCTACCCCCCAATAACCTTAGAGCTCTGCAAACAAACAGATGTGGGGAACCAGACTACGCCACCCCAAAATATGCCCCTTTAGCATAAGGACTGTTGAACTGAAGGCAATTAAGAAGTGGGCATGGGCTGGACGCAGTGGCTCATGCCTGTAATCCCAGCACTTTGGGAAGCCAAGAGGGTGGATCACTTGAGGTCAGGAGTTCGAGACCAGCCTGGCCAACATGGTGAAACCCCGTCTCTACTAATAATATAAAAATTAGCCAGGCATGGTGGTAGGCTCCTATAATCCCAGCTACTCGGGAGGTTGAGGCACAAGAATTCCTTAAACCCGGGAGGTGGGAGTTGTAGTGAGCCAAGACTGCACCATGGCACTCCAGGCTAGAGTGAGACTCTTTCTCAAGAGAAAAAAAAAAGTGGGTGCAGAAAGGCTCTCTATCCTCTTTCCATTTGCCCAAAAGCAAATAGAGACACAGGACAGAGAGCTGACTGTACTTGGAAATTGCTAAGAGAGTAGATTTTGGGGGTTCTCAAAAAAAAGTATGGGAAGTAATATATATGTTTTGTTTTGTTTTGTTTTGTTTTTGAGATGGAGTCTCACCCTGTTGCCCAGGCTGGAGTGCAGTGGCACGATCTCGGCTCACTGCAACCTCCGTCTCCTGGGTTCAAACGATTCTCCTGCCTCAGCCTCCTGAGTAGCTGGGATTATAGGCACCCGCCACCATGCCCGGCTAATTTTTGTATTTTTAGTAGAGACAAGGTTTCATCATGTTGGCCAAGCTGGTCTCAATCTCCCGACCTTGTGATCTATCCGTCTTGGCTTCCCAAAGTGCTGGGATTACAGGCGTAAGCCACCGTGCCCAGCCAGTAATATGTATGTTAATTAGCTCAATTTACTCAGTCCACAATGTATACAAATTTCAAAACATCATCTTGTATATCATAAATATATACAATGCTTTGTCAATGTAAAAAATGAAAAAGTGCCGGGCACAGTGGCTCACGCCTGTAATCCCAGCACTTTGGGAGGCCAAGGCGAGCAGACCGTTTGAGGTCAGGAGTTGGAGACCAGCATGGCCAACATAGTGAAACCCCGTCTCTACTAAAAATATAAAAATTAGCCAGGCATGGTGGTGAGCGCCTGTAATCCCAGCTACTCGGGAGGCTGAGGCAGGAGAATTGCTTGAACCCAGGAAGCGGAGGCTGCAGTGAGCCCAGATCATGCCACCGCACTCCAGCATAGGCGATAGAGCAAGACTTTGTCTCAAAACTAAAACAACAACAATAACAAAACGAACACAAAAGAAACCAACGAAACCCTAACTCAATGCACTCCAACCTGGGCGACAGAGCGAGACTCCATCTTAAAAAATAATAAATAAATACAAAATTCAAAATTACACACCTGGCTCACATATTTCCACACTGGGTACTGCTATCTTGTAAGTATCCACATTTTACAAAGAATAAGATTGAAGACACAGAGAGGCTAAGCTCCCAGTGTAACACAGCTGATTAGTAGCACAGCTGAGACTTAAACCCAGACCACGTGGTTTCAAAGTCAGAGGACCTAGCCACTAGGCTACACTGCTGAATGCTGTTGCCTCCATATGCTTCATCCATTATTGTGGGAAGGGGTAACTGAGGATCAGATACCTGCTCCCCAAGGAAGCCCTTTCACCTCGATTGTCCACCCTGGACAGGAGTTGAGCAACATGTTTGGACTTGTCTGCCTCTCCCCTGCAGATTCTCAACCAGGGCTGATGTCAATCTTCTTCATTCACATCACACAAGCAAAAGGAAACTATTTGTGAGTGTCAGGTGGAAGAAAAAGTAAGGTGTGGAACAAAAAACAATTGTATTTCTGGATGGTTGCGTTTCAAATAAACGAAACTCACTCTCTGTGAGTGTGGCCCGAGGGACAGAACCAGGGTCACCACCCGGCTTCCAGAAACACCTATTTCCAGCAGAAGCGCCCTCAACGGATCAGGGTCACTGGGATTCAAGACCTGGCCCCTTCCTAGGACTTTAGGGGCTGGCCTCCCAGGGAGAAGATAGAAGAGGAAGGTGAGCTCTTTTCTTTGTCTTTTTTTAGAACACTTCTATCTGGAGCCACACGCCCCTGTCACTAACGCCACACCGACCCACAGTCAGAGTTACTCATGGTCAGACTCACCCTAAACCTATCCTACACGCCCAGATGCAGCCATTCCCAAGCCCTTACCCACCGCTGGTATGCTCCCTCAGGGACGTGCAGCCTCAGAGATATACTTCAACAGCATCTTCACACAACCCCCCGACCCTCTGAGACCCACCTGCTTACAAACATACAACCAGTTATTTGGCCCTACAACAGCATCATTTTCTTTTCTTTCCTTTTCTTTTAATTTAATAATTGCAAGGGAGCTTCGTAGTTCTGTTTCTGGTCACATATTCCCTTGCAAATCATGCCATAAAGGCTGGGTGCGGTGGCTCACGCCTGTAATCCCAGCATTTTGGGAGGCTGAGGCAGGTGGATCACGAGGTCAGGAGTTCAAGACCAGCCTGGCCAACAAGGTGAAACCCCGTCTCTACTAAAAACTACAAAAAAATTAGCTGGGTGCGGTGGCAGGTGCCTGTAATCCCAGCTACTCAGGAGGCTGAGGAAGGAGAATCGCTTGAACCTGGATGGCAGAGGTTGCAGTGAGCTGAGATTGTGCCACCGCATTCCAGCCTGGGCAACAAGAGTGAAACTGTCTCAAAAAAAAAAAAAAGAAAGAAAGAAAGAAAAAAGAAAAAGAAAAGGAGAAAGAAAATCATGCTGTCGTCATGCCTGTAACCCTGCACTTTGAGAGGTCGAGGCGGGTGGATCGCTTGAGCACAGGGGTTCGAGACCAGCCCAGGCAACATATGGAGACCTTGTCTATACAAAAATACAAAAATTATCTGGGGGTGGTGTCGCGTGCCTGTAGTCCCAGCTACTCAAGAGGCTGAGGCAGGAGGATCGCTTGAGGTCAGGAGGTCCAGGCTGCAGTGAGCTGAGATCACACCACCGCACTCTAGCTTGAGTGACAGCCTCTCGAGTAGCTGGGACTACAGTTGCGTAACACCACACCCAGCTAATTTTTCTATTTTTGTAGAGACGGGGTCTCCCCATGTTGCCCAGGCTGGTCTTGAACTCCTGGGTTCAAGCAATCCACTCTCCTTGGCCTCCCAAAGTGCTGGGATTACAGGTCTGAGGATGGCATCAAGGGAATACATGACTAGAAACAGACCTCCAAACCTCCCTTGCAATGATTAAATCTACCCTCCACATTGCAAGTCACCCCTTTATAGGATAAAAGCTTTAAGGAAACATGACCGGGCGCGGTGGCTCACACCTGAAATCCCAGCACTTAGGGAGGTCAAGGTGGGTGGATCACCTGAGGTCAGGAGTTTGAGACCAGCCTAGCCAACATGATGAAACCCCACCTCTATTAAAAATAAAAAACTTAGGCAGGCATGGTGGCACACACCTGTAGTCCCAGCTACTCAGGAGGCTAAGGCAGGAGAATCGCTTGAACCCGGGAGGCGGAGGTTGCAGTGAGCCGAGTTAGTGCCATGCACTCCAGCCTGGGCAACAGAGCAAGACTCCGTCTCAAAAATAAAAACAAAACAAAAAACAAGAAACATTTATTTTCTCACATAATTCGTGTGAGCCAGGAGTTGAAGGGCAGCTTAGATGGGTGCTTAGTGGCTTTCAAGAGGTTGAAGTCAAATGTCCTCTGGGGCTGCAGTCATCTGAAGGCTTGATGTGGGCTGGAGGATCCAGTTCCAAGGTGGCTCATTCATTTGCTTGGCAAATTAGTGCTGGTTGTGGGCAGAAAACCTCAGTTCATTGCCATGTAGGCCTCTCTATAGAGCTGCTTGAGTATCCTGGTGACAATATGGAAGCAGTCATGTCTTTTATGATGTAAATTAGTGCCAGGAGCTGGGCACGGTGGCTCACTCCTGTAATCCCAGCACTTTGGGAAACCGAGGCGGGCAGATTGCTTGAGTTGGAGACAAGCTTGGGCAACATGGCGAAACCCCACCCCTACAAAAGATACAAACATTAGCCAGGCTTGGTGGCGTGCACCTGTAGTCCCAGCTACTCTGGAGGCTGAGGCAGGAGGATTACCTGGGAACCTGGGAGGCGGAGGTTGCAGTGAGCCAAGATCCCAGCACTACACTCCAGCCTGGGTGACAGAGGGAGACTTCATCTCAATCGATCAATAAATAAATTAGGTACAGGTGTGGACGATGGTCCTCAGGTATTATACCTTAAACACCTTGAGTACGACTTCTCTTGATCTAAAGACCAATAAATTTGCCTTCACTCACTCTTCTTTCTTTTTGAAGTTCCGGGCTTCTCTTTGATATCATTTCCCTTCAGCCTCAATAACTCTCTTTACTGTTTCTTTTAGAGCAATTCTGTTGATGATGACTTCTTTTCATTTTCTTTTACCTATTTATTTTACTATTGTTCCTCCTAGATATTTTCACTGGTATAGAATTCTTAGTGAATCGTCATGTTCTCTCAGCATTTTAGAAACATTGTTCCATTGTGTTCTAGAGTCCATGGTTTCCAGTGAGAAATCCAGTCATTCAAATCATTGTTTGCTAGAGGGTGTTTGGTGTTTGGTGTTTTTCTTTTTTTTAAGAGATGGGGTCTCGCTATGTTGCCCAGGCTGGACTCAAACTCTTGGGCTCAAGCGATCCTCCTATCTCAGCTACCCAAATAGCTGAAACTACGGACATGTACTGCGTTATTAATTCAAGCCTCTGCATTTTGGGGTCGTTTCTTCTATAACAATAGATAACTGGGACAGGCGCAGTGGCTCACGCCTGTAATCCCAACACTTTGGGATGCCAAGGTAGGCAGATCGCCTGAGGTCGGGAGTTCAAGAAGAGCCTGACCAACATGGAGAAACCCCATCTCTACTAAAAATATAAAATTAACTGGGCATGGTGGTGCATGCCTGTAATCCCAGCACTTTGGGAGGCCACGGCCGGTGGATCACCTGAGGTCAGGAGTTCCAGACTAGCCTGGCCAACCTGGTGAAACCCCGTCTCTACTAAAAATACAAAAATTAGCTGGGCGTGGTGGCAGGTGCCTGTAATCCCAGCTATTCTGGAAGCTGAGGCAGGAGAATCACTTGAACCTGGGAGGCAGAGGTTGCAGTGAGCTGAGATCGCACCACTGCACTCCAGCCTGGGCGACAGTGAGACTCCATCTCAAAAAAAAAAAAAAAAAAAAAAGTGTGGGGATTACAGGCAGAGCCACCATGCCTGCTGTCTGTGTCTGTTTTGTTGAGCCACCAACAGGCTGTTAACTTGAGTACATTTCTTCTGCTCTCTGACTTAGTGTACTCATCTGGAAAATGGGGGTGAATGTGCTCCCACACTGCTGAGCTGTAGAGGGCCTTAAATGAGTTAATCTCTCCCTGAAATCTCTCTGTGAATGGCCCAACCGTAATCAGATTCCGTAAAGGGTAGCTGTGGTCATTCTTCTTTTTTCCCTCCTCCCCTCTTCCACTCATTCTGGTGACCCAAGATTTCCCAGTTCTTTACCTATGACTCACCCCACCTCAGAGCTTTTTCTTTTTCTTTTTTTCTTGAGATGGAGTCTTGCTCTGTCACCCAAGCTGGAGTGCGGTGGTGTCATCTCTGCTCACTGCAACCTCCGCCTCCCAGGTTCAAGCAATTCTCCTATCTCAGCCTCCAGAACAGCTGGGATTACAGATGCACACCAGCACGCCTGGCTAATTTTTGTATTTTTAGTAGAGACAGAGTTTTACCATGTTGGCCAGGCTGGTCTCGAACTCCTGACCTCAAGTGATTGGCCCACCTTGACCTCCGAAACTGAGCTTTTTTTTTCCCTTCCTTTTTTTTTTGAGACAGAGTCTCACTCTGTCGCCCAGGCTGGAGTGCAGTGGCGCAATCTCGGCTCACTGCAACGTCTGCCTCCCGGGTTCAAGAGATTCACCTGCCTCAGCCTCCCAGGTAGCTGGGATTACAGGCGAGCACCACCACGCCTGGCTAATTTTTGTATTTTAGTAGAGACAGGGTTTCACCATGTTGGCCAGGCTGGTCTGGAACTCCTGACCTCAAGTGATCTGCCCGCCTTGGCCTCCCAAAGTGTTGGGAATACAGACGTGAGCCACCACGCCCGGCCCAGAACTTTTTCTTACAGGCCTCTTGGACCACCTGACCCAGATACAGGACATTTCCTACAACTCCAGAGGAAAATCCCCTTCTTCCTTCCTCTACGGAAGTGACCGAGAGAAAGTAACACTCACTGTTTCCTCTCTTCCAGACCCTTCTGAAAATTCTAATTCCAGAAAGCTCATCTTATAAACCAAAAATAAAATTCTAAGCCCCCTAACCGACTTCATAGACCCCTCTTTTGGCCAAGAGGATCCCAAAGGAACCTGAAAAACTAGTTCAGCCCATGATAAGGAGAGGATTTGGACATCCCTCATTGTACCCCTCCCTTTGGAGTTTAAGCACAACTGACTAGCATTAACATTAAAACAGAGGCCCAGAGAGTTGGCCAATATATTGTCTTTTTGTTTGTTTGTTTTTGAGACAGAGTTTCGCTCTTGTTGCCCAGGCTGAAGTGCAGTGATGCGATCTCAGCTCACTGCAACCTCCACCTCCCAGATGCAAGTGATTCTCCTGCTTCAGCCTCCCAAGTAGCTGGAATCACAGGCACGCACCACCACGCCCGGCTAATTTTGTATTTTTAGTAGAGACGGGGTTTCACCATGTTGGCCAGGCTGGTCTCAAACTCCTGACCTCACGTGATCCACCCACCTTGGCCTCCCAAAGTGCTGGGATTACATGTGTGAGCCACCATGCCTTTTTGCCTTTCTAACGGAGCCCCTGGCAAATTCAAAAACTGTTTTGCTCTCTGTCTGCAAGTCTCCCTGGCAGATCCCTCAGTTATATTCGTACCCACCCCTTGAATGCTGTGGCTTCCAGAGATCCACCGGAACACCAAAGACTTCCATTCTCAACCACCTGAATCTCCGGAATCCCCTGCACCCACCTCCTCTCCCAGTGTTTCACGAATCAGCTAATCCTTCAAGGTCTTTAAAATGTATCCACGTCTTCCTCCTGGATTATTGCCTCCTGATAGCCTCTCTGATTTCTTTCCACCTTGTGCCCTAACAGTCTGCTCTTTGTACAGCAGCCAGAAGGAGGCTGTGAAAAATAAGAGTCAAAGCATGGGCTGGGCGTGGTGGCTCATGCCTGTAATCCCAGCACTTTGGGAGGCCATGGCAAGAGGACTGCTTAGGCCCAGGAGTTCAAGATAAACTTAGGCAACATAGCGAGACCCTGTCTCTACAAAAAAAAAAAAAATTAAAATAGGCCAGGCGCAGTGGCTCATGCCTATAATCCTAGCACTATGGGAAGCAGAGGCAGGCAGATCACCTGAGTTCAGGAGTTCAAGACCAGCCTGGCCACCATGGTGAAACTTTGTCTCTACAAAAATACAAAAATTAGCTGGGCATGATGACGGGTGCCTGTAATCCCAGCTACTCAGGAGGCTGAGGCAGGAAAATCACTTAAACCCAAGAGGTGGAGGTTGCAGTGAGCTGAGATCATGCCATTGAACTCTAGCCTGGGCAACAGAGCAAGACTCCATCTCAAAAATAAAATAAAATAAAAAATGAGCCAGGTATGGTAGTGCACACCTGTAGTCCCAGGTACTTGGGAAACTGAGGCAGGAGGATCACTTGAGCCCAGGAGGTTGAGGTTGCAGTGAGCTGTGATCAGCCACTGCACTGCAGCCTGGGGCACAGAGCAAGACCCTGTCCAAAAAAAAAGAAAAAGAAAATGATAGACCAGAGCTTAATGTCTTTCCATGGTTCTGCATATATGTCAGAGTCAAAACTAAATTCCCTCCAAGGACCTATTGGTTTGTCCCTGCCCTTATGTCCCTCCCCAGATTCCTTCTCTCCCACCTCGTTCACTCTGTTTCAGCTGCTCTGGTTTACTTGCTGTTTCTCAAACTCACTCCTGCCTCAAGTCCCTTGCATTTCCTGGAACATCCTTCCACCTACCCAAATACCTAAATAGTTCCATCCTCACTTCATTAAGTCCTCTGCTCAGATGTCACCTCTTCAAAGACTGTGCTACCTCACCCCTGAACCCTGACACCCACTACCTCTCTTGACATTGTAGGTGCTCAGTAATGTTTGTGGGATGAAAACATGATGGAAAAGAGCTTCTGCTCAAAGCTTTTTCTCCTTTTTTCTTTCTCTCCTTCCTTCCTTCTTTCCTTCCTTCCTGTTTTTTTTTTTTCTTTTTCTTTTTTTTTTTTTGATACATAGTCTCGCTCTGTCACCTAGGCTGGAGTGCAACGGCGCGATCTTGGCTCACTGCAACCTCCGCCTCCTGGGTTCAAGCGATTCTCGTGCCTCAGCCTCCTGAGTAGCTGGGATTGCAGGTGCCCGCCACCATGCCCGGCTAATTTGTTGTATTTTTAGTAGAGACGGGGTTTCACCATGTTGGTCAGGCTGGTCTCAAACTCCTGACCTCAGGTGATTCATCCTCCTCGGCCTCCCAAAGTGCTGGGATTGCAGGCATGAGCCACCACGCCTGGCCCTTCCTTCCTTCATTCCTTCCTTCCTCCCTCCCTTCCTTCTTTCTTTCTCTTTCTTTCATCTTCCTTCCTTCTCTTTCTTTCTCCCTTTCTGCTTCCTTCCTTCTTTTCCGTCCTTCCTTCTCTTTCTTTTTCTCTTTCTCCTTCCTTCCTTCCTTCCTCCCTGCCTCCCTCCCTCCCTCTTTTTCTCTCTCTTTCTCTCTTTCTTTCTTCCTTGTTTTGCCATGTTGCCCAGGCTGCTCTTGAACTTCTGGGCTCAAGGGATCCTCCCAGCTCAGCCTCCCAAGTAGCTAAGACTATAGGCACGTACAACCATGCCTAGCTAATGTTTTGTATTTTTAGTAGAAATGGGGTTTTCCCATGTTGCCCAGGCTGGTCTTGAGCTCCTGGACTCCTGGACTCAAGTACTCTTCCCACCTCTGCCTCCAAAAGTGCTAGGGTTACAGGTGAGAGCCACTGCGCCTGGCCCTCTCTCTCTCATCTCAGATTTTTCTCTCCACCTTAGCCACTCCCAGATGTTCTCCTCACTCCTGTCTCCTTCCGTTGAAAAACCACCCTCAAGCTACTGGTGGATGAAGGGTGTGGACCACCCCACCCCTGGATCAAACCCCCAAGCCCCACCTCTATCACCCACAGCTATATTTCCTTGAGCAAGTTGCTTAATCTCTCCAAGCCTCAGTTTCCTCAACTACAAAACATATACAAATAGAAAGTGATACATGACTGCTTCATTGTAGTAACCATTGCACCATCTGCATGTATCCCACAATGTCATGTAGCAAACAACAAAAATTATTAAAAAGAAAAAAAGACGATCTGATCTCACAGATCTGTTAAGAGGATTAAATGGGATTATTCATGTAAAGCTCTCCATTTGTGATGTCATAGTGTAAATATCAAATTAACGGTGGAACGAGCTGTTGTAATCAATTCTTATCTAAATACGACCAATAATAACAATGCTTAATGTGATTATTACTAACCATAGTTGTATTTCCTCTTATATTAACCTCTTAGTCTCTCCTTACCATATTATAGATCATCAATAAATATTTATTGAATGAACGATTGAATGAATGGTTATTGAATTTTTGTAAGGAGGAAAAGATCACGGACTTCTTATAAAAAATATAAAAGTCAGTCCAGATGCGATGGCTCATGCCTGTAATCCAGCACTTTGGGAGGCCGAGGTGGGCTGATCACTTAAGGTCAGGAGTTCGAGACCAGCCTGGCCAACATGGTGAAACCCTATCTCTACCAAAAAAAAAATTAGCCAGGTGTGGTGGTGTGCACCTGTAATCCCAGCTACTCGGGAGGCTGGGGCAGGAGAATCACTTGAACCCAGGAGGCAGAGGTTGCAGTGAGCCGAGATCATGCCACTGCACTCCAGCCTGGGCAACAGAGTGAAACTCCGTCTCAAAAAAAAAGAAAAAGAAAAGTATAAAAGCCAGGTCTGTGGCCAGGCACAATGGCTCAACACCTGTAATCCCAAGACTTTCAGAGGCCAAGGCGGGCAGATAACTTGAGGTGAGGAGTTTGAGACCAGCCTGGCCAACACGGTGAAACCCTATCTCTACTAAAAATACAAAAAATTAGGCCAGGCTTGGTGGCTCGTGCCTGTAATCCCAGCACTTTTTGGGGCCGAGGCAGGTAGATCACGAGGTCACGAGCTCAAGAGATGGAGACAATCCTGGCCAACATGGTGAAACCCTGTCTCTCCTAAAAATACAAAAATTAGCTGGGTGTGGTGGCGCGCCTGTAGTCCCAGCTACGTGGGAGGCTGAGGCAGGAGAATGGCTTGAACCCAGGAGGCGGAGGTTGCAGTGAGCCGAGATCACACCACTTGCACTCCAGCCTGGTGACAGAACAAGACTTCGTCTCAAAAAAAAAAGAAAAATTAGCCAGGCATGGTGGTATGTGCTTGTAATCCCAGCTACTAGGGAGGCTGAGGCAAGAGAGTCGTTTGAACCCAGGATGCAGAGGTTGTATGAGCTGAGATCACACCACTGCACTCCAGCCTGGAGGACAGAGTGAGACTCTGTCTCAAAAAGAAAAAAGAAACAAACACAACTGGGTCAGGCAAGGTGGCTCACACCTATAATCCCAGCACTTTGGGAGGCTGAGATGGGAGGATTGCTTGAGGCCAGGAGTTTGAGACCCACCTGGGCAACATGGTGAGACCCCAATTTCTACTAAAAGTATAAAAATTAGTGCCGGGCACAGTGGCTCATGCTTATAATCCCAGCACTTTGGGAGGCCAAGGTGGGCAGGTCACCTGAGGTCATGAATTCGAGACCAGCCTGACCAAAATGATGAAACCCTGATTCTACTATAAATACAAAAATTAGCCGGGCGTGGTGGCACTCGCCTGTAATCCCAGCTACTTGGGAGACTGAGACAGGAGAATCACTTGAACCCGGGAGGTGGAGGTTGCAGTGAGCCGAGATCGCGCCATTGCACTCCAGGCTGGGCAACAAGAGCGAAACTCCATCTCAAAAAAAAAAAAAAAATTAGCCAGGTGGCAGGGCACAGTGGCTCACGCCTGTAATCCCAGCACTTTGGGAGGCCAAGGCAGGCAGATCACAAGATCAGGTGTTTGGGACCAGCCTGGCCAACACGGTGAAATCCCATCTCTACTAAAAATACAAAAATTAGTTGGACGTGTTGGCGGGCGCCTGTAATCCCAGCTACTCGGGAGGCTGAGGCAGGAGAATTGCTTGAACCCGGGAGGTGGAGTTTGCAGTGAGCCGAGATCACGCCACTGCCCTCCAGCCTGGGTGACAGAGTGAGATTCCATCTCAAAAAAAAAAAAAATTAGCTGGGCATGGTGGTGCGTGCCCATAGTCTCAGCTCCTTGGGAGGTTAAGGCACGAGAATCGCTGGAACCCAGGAGGAGGAGGTTGCAGTGAGCCAAGATCGTGCCACTACACTCCAGCCTGGCTAAGAGAGAGACTCTGTCTCAAAAATAAAAACAAAAGAGTTATTGGCCTGGCGTGGTGGCTCACGCCTGAAATCCCAACACTTTGAGAGGCCAAAGCAGGTGGATCGGATCATCTGAGGTCAGGAGTCAGAGACCAGCCTGGCCAACATGGCAAAACCCCATCTCTACTAAAAAAATGCAAAAAATAGCCAGGCGTGGTGGTGCGTGCCTGTAATCCCAGCTACTTGGGAAGCTGAGGCAGGAGAATTCCTTGAACCCGGGAGGTGGAGGTTGCAGGGAGCTGAGATCGTGCCACTGCACTCCAGCTTGGGTGAAAGAGCTAGACTCTGTCTCAAAAAAAAAAGAAAAAGGTTCTTGTAAGGACTCTGTGAGATGGACCACAGGCATGGGTCTCGGCACAATCTGTTTGTTTGTTTGTTTGTTTGTTTGTTTGTTTGTTACGGAGTCTCGCTTTACCCCCCAGGCTGGAGTGCAGTGGTACGATCTCGGCTCTCTGCCACCTCTGCCTCCCGGGTTCAAGTGTTTCTCCTGCCTCAGCCTCCCAAGTAGCTGGGATTACAGACACCCACCACCACGCCCGGCTAATTTTTGTTTTTTTAGTAGAGACAGGGTTTTGCCATGTTTCCCGGGCTGGTCTCCAACTCCTGACCTCAAGTGATCCGCCCACCTCGGCCTCCCAAAGGGCTAGGATTACAGAAGTAAGCCAGTGCACCTGGCCAGCACAATCGTTCTTGCTCCCTAGATGTGAACTGCTGTTTTCACCAGCAGGAGCTAAGGGGCAGGCTGTCTCAGATTAGATGCTTTTTAGAGCACTCTGTAGTTCCTTAAATGGAGCTGCAAATCCACAGGTTGCTGCTCAATGTCTGACTAGCTTCTACTTTATTTCTGACTTTATTTCTCATCTGTCTCCACCACACCCCTCCCTTCCACATACCCTGCATTCCAGCAAAACTGACCAATGCATCACATGCCAGACACACCCTGTGATGTCTACCCCAGGACCCTTGCACAGGCTTCTGCCTCAAGAGAGCTCATGATCCAGTGGACAGGCGTGGGCATTGGAATCTCACAAGCCCAGATCACCTCCCAGTTTCACCTCTTCAATGCTATTGACCTTTGGGGACTGACAAAACCTCTCTGAACTTCAGTTTGCCCAGATATAGCATGGACTGAAAAAATGTGTACCTTCTAGGTACAAGTCATGCCTCACTCAGCAACGGGGATATATCCTGAGAAATGCATCACTAGGCAATTTTGTCATTGTGCAAATACCATAGAGTGTACTTATACAAACCTACATGGTATAGCAACTACACACCCAGGCTGTAGGGTATGACCTCTAGATTTTACATATATATATATATATATATATATATATATATATATATATATATATATATAAATATATATATTTTTTTTTTCCAGATGGAGTTTTGCTCTTTCGCCCAGGCTGCAGTGAAGTGGCACAATCTCAGCTCACTGCAACTGCTGCCCCCAGGTTCAAGTGATTCTCCTGCCTCAGTCTCCCCAGTAGCTGGGATTACAGGCACCTGGCACCTCACCCGGCTAATTTTGTACTTTTAGTAGAGATGGCGTTTCACCACGTTGGCCAGGCTGGTCTCGAACTCCTGATCTCAGGTGATCCACCCGCCTCAGCCTCCCAAATTGCTAGGATTATAGGTGTGAGCCACTGCGCCCAGCCTTAAAATTTATATTTTAACTTAAAATATATTTACAACTAGAGATGGGTCTCACTATGTTGCCCAGGCTAGTCTTGAAGTCCTGGGCTCAAGTGATCCTCTCACCTTGGCCTCCCAAAGTCCTGGGATTATGGATATGAGCCACTGCACCAGGCCAATGATAAGCGTTTGTGTATCTACATGTATTTAAACATAGAGAAAGGACAGTAAAAATACAGTATTACAATCTCTTGGGACCACTGTCATATATGCAGTCTGTCATTGACTGAAATGTTGTTATACAGCACATAATTGTACTGAATGAGGATTAAAGCTAATGGGACATTTAGCCAGGTGCAGTGGCTCACGCCTGTAATCCCAGCACTTGGGAGGCCGAGGTGAGCAGATCACCTGAGGTCAGGAGTTCGAGGCCAGCCTGGACAACATGTTGAAACCCCTGTCTCTACTAAAAATACAAAAATTAGCCGGGCGTTGTGGCAGGCGCCAACTACTCGGGAGGCTGAGGCAGGAGAATCAGTTGAACTCAGGAAGCAGAGGTTGCAGTGAGCAGAGATAGCACCACTGTAATCCAGCCTGGGCAATAGAGTGAGATGCTGTCTCAGAAATAAATAAATAAATAAATAAGTCGGGCGAGGTGGCTTACGCCTGTAATCACAGCACCTTGGGAGGCCAAGGTGGGTGGATCACGAGGTTAGGAGTTCAAGACCCGTCTGGCCAAGATGGTGAAACCCCATCTGTACTAAAAATACAAAAATTAGCCGGACATGGTGGCAGGTGCCTGTAATCCCAGCTACCCAGGAGGCTGAGGCAGAGAATTACTTGAACCCAGTAGGTGGAGGTTGCAGTGAGCCGAGATTGTGCCACTGCACTCCAGCTTTGGCGACAAAGTGAGACTCTGTCTCAAAAAAAAATATATATATATATTTATATATATATATACACACACACATATATACTTACAATACATAATAATATTAATAACATGATATAAATATTAACAACTTAGTATAATGATAGTAAGGATTTACCATGTCAGGCATCTTTCCAAAAACTCTTAATATATTAAATCATAGAATTCTCACAACAACTTTTTTTTTTTTCAAACGGGGTCTCACTCTGTCACCCAGGCTGGAGTACAGTGGTGCGATCTTGGTTCACTGCAACCACTAACTCCTGAGTTCAAGCGATTCTCCTACCTCAGCCCCCTGAGTAGCTGGGACTACAGGAGTGCACTACCATGCCCAGCTAGTTTTTGTGTTTTAAGTAGAGACAGGGTTTCACCATGTTGGCCAGGCTGGTCTCAAACTCCTGATCTCAAGTGATCTGCCCGCCTCGACCTCCCAACGTGCTGAGATTACAGGCACCTGGCACCGTGCCCAGCTCGTTTTTGCATTTTTAGTAGCGATGGGGTTTCACCATATTGGCCAGGCTGGTCTCGAACTCCTGACCTCAAGTGATCTACCTGCCTTGGCCTCCCAAAGTGCTGGGATTACAGGCATTATCTACTGCACCAGGCCCTCACAACAACATTTTGATAGTACTATTATTAAGCTCATTTCACAGATGAGGAACCTGAGAGAGGTAAGGAGAAGTACAATAATCTGCCTAAGGTCGTCGTGGAGCTACTAATTGGCTAAGCAGCTCCTGGAAGTCTCGCTAGAGAGTGTCACTGTTTAATGGACCGTTGGACATTTCCTAAGCCTTGGGTGTGTTTTACATCATTCACTAGCCATGCACAGCTAGTGAGCTCTTGCAATGCAGCTACTGGGGCTACCACAGTTGTAGCCATAATGCTATGTACTATGGGTGAGGAACTTAATTTTTTTTTTTTAATTTGTATTAGCCAAGCATGGTGATGTGCACCTGTAGTTCCAGCTACTCGGGAGGCTGAGATGGGAAGATCGCTTGAGCCTAGGAGGTGGAGGCTGCAGTGAGCTGTATTTGTGCCATTGCACTCCAGCCCGGGTGACACAATGAGATCCCATCTCAAAACAAAAACCAGGTCATAGGTAGATAAAGAGACAAAAGGTTGCCTTCTTTTGAGTTTCTGATGAGCCTCTCCAAAGGAGCCAATCAGATATGAATGTATCTAAGTGAGCACAGGAGGGACTCTGAATAGAATGAGAGGCAGGTTGGCCCTGAGCAGTTCCCAGCTTGACTTTTCGCTCTAGCTTAATGATTTTGAGAGGTGAAGCCCGCTGGGCTTCTGGGTCAGGTGGGGACTTGGAGAACTTTTCTATTTAGCTAAAGGATTGTAAACGCACCAATCAGCATTCTGTGTCTAGCTAAAGGTTTGTAAATGCACCAATCAGGACTCTGTAAAAACACACCAATCAGCGCTCTGTGTCTAGCTAAAGGTTTGTAAACGCACCAATCAGCCCTCTGTAAAAACATACCTATCCGCGCTCTGTAAAAACGGACCAATCAGCCCTCTGTAAAATGGACCAATCAGCGATCTGTAAAATGGACCAATCAGCAGGAAGTGGTTGGGGCCAAATAAGGTAATAAAAGCTGGCCATCTGAACCAGCAGTGCCAACCTGCTCATGTCCCCTTCCACATTGTGGAAGTTTTGTTCTTTTGTTCTTCATAATAAATCTTCCTGCTGCTCACTCTTTGAGCCCACACTACTTTTATGAGCTGTTAACACTCACTGTGAAGGTCTACAGCTTCACTCCTGAAGTCAGCCAGACCAGGAACCCACTGGAAGGAAGAAACTCCGGACACATCTGAACATCTGAAGGAACGAACTCGGGACACACCATCTTTAAGAACTGTAACACTCACTGCAACGGTCTGCGGTTTCATTCTTGAAGTCAGCAAGACCAAGAACCCACCGGAAGGAACCAATTCCGGACACAATCTGGGGACCCCGAAATTTACTTTCCCTTCACAGTCCCCTCCCTCTTCCTTCTTTCTCCTCCTCACTTCCTTTGTCTCTCTCCCCTTTCTCCTCACTCTTCCCTCATCTGATTCTCTCTCCATCTGTCTCCTTTTTTGTTGTTGTGGTGGTGGTTGTTGAGTTGGAGTCTCACTCTGTTGCCCAGTCTGGAGGCTAATGGCATGACCTTGGCTCACTGCAACGGCTGCCTCCCGAGTTCAAGCAATTCTTCTGCCTCAGCTTCTCAAGTAGCTGCGATTATAGGCACGCACCTGGATAATTTTTGTTTTGTTCTTTTTTTTGATGGAGATGGGGTTTCACTGTTTTCCAAGCTGGTATCGAACTCCTGGGTGCAAGTGATCCTCCCGCCTCCGCCTCCCAAAGTGCTGGGATTACAGGTGTGAGCCACTGCCCCCAGTTCCTTCTCTCTCTTCTGTCTGCCGCTTCTCATCCCTTCCACCCAACCAGGGCGGGAGAGGGAGGGGGATGAAACCAGGACGGGGAGGTGGGAGAGGGATGAAACCAGGGCGGGGAGGTGGGAGAGGGATGAAACCAGGGCGGGGAAGTGGGAGAGGGATTACAAACTCCCTCTATTTACTCTCAAGCTTCTCTGTTTCCACCTCCACTAACCCTGGAACCCTGAGGCGCCCCAGGCCTGCAGTGTATAAATGCCTTCCTGGCAGGCCTTGCTGAGACTTGAGCTCAGCAGTCCTCACCCTCCTTAATCCTAACCAAACAGGATCTGTCACTAGGCTCAGCGTGCAGAGGACGCCTCGGGTCCTTTTCCTCCTGCGAAACCACAGAGGCAGCCCTAGGGGCAAACAATAAAACAGTGTGGAGGGCTGGGGGATGAGGGTGGGAGCATGCCTGGCAGGGAACGTTTCTTTTTTTTTCCTCCTTCAAAAATTGGAGGGGAGGCCTGGCGCGGTGGCTCACGCCTGTAATCCCAGCACTTTGGGAGGCCGAGGCGGGCGGATCATCTGAAGTCAGGAGTTGGAGATCAACCAGACCAATATGGTGAAACCCCATCTATACTAAAAATACAAAAATTAGCCAGGTGTGGTGGTGGGAGGCTGTAGTCCGAGCTACTCAGGAGGCTGAAACAGAAGAATTGCTTGAACCCGAGAGTTAGGTGGCAGTGAGCCGAGATCGTGCCATTGCCCTCCAGCCTGGGTGACAGAGTGAGTCTCAAACAAACAAACAAGCAAAAAAAAAAAAAAAAAACAAGGAAGGGGATCAAAACTGTCAGTTGGGACAAATACAGGCTTTACTATGGTAATTCTCTGGCTTTGAGCCAAGGACTGCACCCTCCCCAGGGGGCAGCGCTGAGAGCTAAGTCACCCAGGATGGTTTAAAATTAAACTCAATTTTCAACATTGTAACTCCTCACAGACAAACACAACTGTGTTTACTAATAGCATTTCTCGGTTTTATCTGACTTTTGAGTTCTGAAGTCGGGAGATGTGGAGGCTGGAAGTATAAACTGAGACGAAGTGGGCAGAACAGCTCCCTCCCGGCTTCCCCATCCCCAGCCAGCCTCTCTGATTTTCTTTTTCTTTCTCTTTTTCTTTTTTTTTTTTGAGATGGAGGCTTGCTCTGTCACCCAGGCTGGAGTGTAGTGGCCCGATCTCAGCTCACTGCGACCTCTGCCTCCCAGACTCAAGTGATTCTTCTGCCTCAGCCTCCCAGGTAGCTGGGATTACGGGCACGCGCCATGATGCCAGGCTATTTTTTTATTTTTATTTATTTATTTTTTAAAGTAGCGATGGCGTTTCACCATGATGGCCAGGCTGGTCTCGAACTACTGACCTCAGGTGGTCCGCCCACCTCGGTCTCCCAAAATGCTGGGATTACAGGCATGAGCTCCTGCACCTGGCCCAGCCTCTCTGGTTTTGATCTAAGTCATGCCCAAAGCTTGGAAGCGGCTTTACACTACCTTTCTTTGCTCAAAAATTTGCCATCCATCTATCTGTCTGTCCATGCAATAAATATCTAGTGATCTAATAGAGGCTGAATTCTGTGCTAAAAGCTAAGGATTATGGTATTATTTATTTATTTATTTATTTATTTATTTATTTTGAGACGGAGTCTCTCTCTGTCACCCAGACCGGAGTGCAATGGCGTGATGTCGGCTCACTGCAACCTCCACCTCCCGGGTTCAAGCAATTCTTCTGCCTCGGCCTCCCGAGTAGCTGGGATTACAGGCGTGCCCCACCATGCCCAACTAATTTTTGTATTTTTAGTACAGATGGGGTTTCACCATGTTGGCCAGGCTGGTCTCGAACTCCTGACCTCGTGATCCACCTGCCTCAGCCTCCCAAAGTGCTGTGATTACAGGTGTGAGCCATCGCGCCCGGCCCTATTATTACTATTACTACTATAACAATAAAAACAGCAATTTATTTATTTATTTATTGCAAGACAGAGTCTTACACTGTTGCCCAGGCTGGAGTGCAGTGGCAGATCACGGCTCACTGCAGCCGCAACCTCCCAGGCTGAAGCTATCTTTCTGCCTCAGCCTCCTGAGTAGCTGAGACCACAGGTGTGTGCCACTATGCCTAGCTAGTTCTTTAATTTTTGTAGAGATGGGGTCTAGCTATGTTGCCAGGGCTAGTTTTGATTTTTTTTTCTTGTAGAGGTAGGGTCTTGCTGCATTGCCCAGGCTGGCCTCGAGCTCCTGGGCTCAAGCGATTCTCTCGCCTCAGGCTCTCAAAGTGCTGGGACTTTGGCTGGGATTACAGGCGTGCACCATCATGCCTGGCTAATTTTTGTATTTTTTGATAGAGACATGATTTCACTGTGTTTTCCCGGCTGGTCTCGAACTCCTGGCCTCAAGTGATCCTCCTGCCTCGGCTTCCCAAAGTGGTGGGATTACAGGCATGAGCCACTATGCCCAGCTCCATCTCTCTCTTCTATCTGCTGCTACTTCTAGAATACGTAGTGGGCGCAGAATAGGGACTATTTAAGTGTTTGCTGGCCAGACATGGTATCCCATGCCTGTAATCCCAGTACTTTGGGAGACACATAGCCCCTATTCTGTACCCACTACGTATTCTAGGAGTTGTTTATTTAGTCCTTCTAGAAACATTTCAAACCTGATGTGGTGGCTCACGCCTGTAACCCCAACACTTTGAGAGGCTGAGGCAGGAGAATCGCTTGAACCCAAGAGTTTGAGGCCAGGCTGAGCAATGTAGCAAGACCCTATCTCTGCAAGAAAAAAAAAATCAAAAAATTAGTCAGGCATAGTGATGCACCTCTATGGTTCCAGCTACTTGGGTGGCTGAGGTGAGAGCATTGCTTGAACCCAGGAGGTTGAGGCTTCAGTGAGCTGAGATCACCTTGCCACTGCATTCCAGCCTGGGTGACACAGCAAGACCCTGCCTCAGAAATAAATAAATAAATAAATAAATAAATAAATAAATAAATAAATAAAAACCCTTCTACATCTCCCATTTTATAGAGGAGGATACAGAGGTTCAGAGAGGCCCCCAAGTCGTATGGCTGAGCTGGGATTTGAACCCACAATGATGGGTGCTCTTCACCACCTTGCAGCTTGCCACTCTCATGAAAAACATACAGTCTGGTGCGGCACACATGATAACTACACAAACAAGGTAATTCAGATATTTAAATGCTCTAAAGATTCTACATCAGGTTATTTCCAGTATTATTTTCCTGGTCATCCCTGGAAGGATGAGAAGGAACCAACCTTCAGAAGAGCTGCAGAGAGAACACCCAGACAGAGTAAAAAGCAAGTGCAAAGGCCCTGTGGTCCAAACCACTTAAAAAGATTTGGAAGCAGCAGAGGTCAGAGTAGCAGGAAGGAAGAGACAAGAGGCAACAGAGCAGGATATGATGATTTCAGGCCACAGGGGGAGTTTGGGTTTCGTTGTTTCTTTTTTGAGATAGGTTCTGGCTCTGTTTCCCGGGCTGGAGTGCAGTGGTGCAGTTTCAGCTCACTGCCTATCTTCACCTCCCGGGTCAAGCCATCCTCCCGCCTCAGCCTCTCAAGTAGCTGGGATTACAGGCATGTGCCATCACGCCTGGCTAATTTTTTTTTTTTTTTTGAGACAGAGTTTTGCTCTTGTTGCCCAGGCTGGAGTGCAACGATGCGATCTCGGCTCACTGCAACCTCCGTCTCTCAGGTTCAAGCGATTCTCCTGCCTCAGCCTCCTGAGTAGCTGGGATTACAGGCATGTGCCACCATGCCCAGCTAATTTTGTATTTTTAGTAGAGACGGGGTTTCTCCTTGTTGGTCAGGCTGGTCTTGAACTCTCGACCTCAGGTGGTCCACCCGCCTCAGCCTCCCAAAGTGCTGGGATTACAGGTGTGAACCACCGTGCCAGGCTTTAATTTTTTTTTTTTTTGGAGATGGAGTTTTGCTCTTGTTGTCCATGCTGGAGTGCAATGGCGTGATCTCGGCTCACTGCAACCTCCGCCTCCCGGGTTCAAGCGATTCTCTTGCCTCCGCTTCCCGAGTAGCTGGGATTACAGGCGCCTGCCACCATGCCTGGCTAATTTTTTGTATTTTTAGTAGAGACGGGGTTTCACCATGTTGGCCAGGCTGGTCTCGAACTCCTGACCTCAGGTGATCCGCCCGCCTCGGCCTCCCAAAGTGCTGGGATTACAGGCATGAGCCACCGTGCCCAGCCGTTAATATTTGTATTGTTTGTAGGGGCATGGTCTTGCTATGTTGCCTAGGCTGGTTTGGGTTTTATCCCCAGTAGGACAGGATTCTAGGAGCACAGCAGGGATGGGGTGGCCATTTTACAAGCACTCCAGGGGTGGGGTTGGTAAAAGCGTCACGTCCCAGCTGTCCTCCCTCTAGGATGTTTATCACCCCTGTCCTGCAAGATCTAATTCTATGATGTCTTTGCTGCCCCTGAATGACAACAACAAGGCAGATTACCCCAACTCTTTCCCCTCTGCTGTATATTTAAGCACCTCCCCTTTGACTTTATATCCTGGACTAGTCTGTGTAAAGACAAAGAAAAACGAGAAACAAGAGGCTTAATTCTTCCTGTATTCTGGTTTCGGGGAAGGGTCAAAATATAACTTCAGTGGATGCCTTGCTCCAAATTGCAAAACTCCCTCCTGTCATGATGAAAGATGTGTTTTTCCCCTGGATAAAGCCAATTAGCTCACACCGTCGTCACAATGACTAGGTGGCTCCAGGATGAACTATGCGTTTGATAAACGGTGCTGTCAAGTTCTGTTACTGGAGAACTAATGATTATTTATCATGAGGCATGAAGGTGACAGGTTTATCTGCTTGGCTATAGAAAAAGGGTGAGATGTAGGCTGGACACGATGGCTCATGTCTGTAATCCCAGCACTTTGGGAGGCCGAGGTGGGCAGATCACAAGGTCAGGAGCTCGAGACCATCCTGGCAACACGTTGAAACCCCGTCTCTACTAAATATACAAAAAATTAGCCGGGTGAGATGGTGGGCGCCTGTAGTCCCAGCTACTCGGGAGGCTGAGGCAGGAGAATGGTGTGAACCTGGGAGGCGGAGGTTGCAGTGAGCCGAGATTGCGTCACTGCACTCCAGCCTGGGCGACAGAGCAAGACTCTGTCTCAAAAAAAAAAAAAGAAAAAGAAAGAGGGTGAGAGGCAGGCTGGACACGGTGGCTCATATCTGTAATCCCAGCACTTAGGGAGGATGAGGCAGGCGGATCACTTGAGGCTAGGAGTCTGAGACCAGCCATGGTAAGACCCCATTTCTACTAAAAATACAAAAATGAGGGCTGGGCATGGTGGCTCAAATGCCTGTAATCCCAGCATATTGGAAGGCCAAGGTGGGTGGATCGCTTGAGTTCAGGAGTTTGAGATCAGCCTGGCCAACATGGCAAAACCCCGTCTCTACTAAAAATAAAAAAATTAGCCAGACATGGTGGCGGGCGCCTGTAATCCCAAAAAAAATTAGCCAGACATGGTGGCGGGCGCCTGTAATCCCAGCTACTCCGGAGGCTGAGGTGGAAGGATCATTTGAACCGGGGAGGGGAAGGTTGCAGTGAGCCAAGTTCACACCACTACAATCCAGCCTGGGCGACAAAGCGAGACTCCGTCTCAAAAACAAAACAAGGCCGGGTGCAGTGGCGCATGCCTGTAATCCCAGCACTTTGGGAGGCTGAGATGGGTGGATCACAAGGTCAGGAGATCGAGACCATCCTGGCTAACACGGTGAAACCCCATCTCTACTAAAAATACAAAAAAATTAGCCGGGCGTGGTGGTGGGCGCCTGTAGTCCCAGCTACTCGGGAGGCTGAGGCCTGAGAATGGCATGAACCCGGGAGGCAGAACTTGCAGTGAGCCGAGATTGTGCCACTGCACTCCAGCCTGGGCGACTGAGCAAGACTCTCTCAAAAACAAAACAAAACATTAGCTGGGTATGGTGTCTCTTGCCTGTAATCCTAGCTACTCAAGAGGCTGAGGCAGGAGAATCGCTTGAGCCCAGGAGGCGGACCTTACAGTGAGCTGAGATCACTGAACTGCACTCCAGTTTGGGCGACAGAGCGAGACTCTGTCTCAAAAAAATAAATAAATAAAATAAATGAAAAAGGGCAAGATTTCTTTCTGCCTTTGCAATGTCCTAGGCCTTATCTACGACGTGCACCACACTCTGGATGAATGCTTATTCAGTGATAACATTAAGGGGTATTTTTTTCCTTTCCCTTCTACTTTTGTGGAGAGGTTTCCTGAGTTGAGAGAAGATTCTTGCATTTAGTTGTATTTCCACAACATCAGCACGTCCTACATTTTTTAAATCTGCCCAGCCAGCCTGAATTTCAGGAAGCCAGAGAGGCCCTAGTTGGTTGCTCTTATTTATTTACTTAGAGACACAGTCTCACTCTGTTGCCCCAAGCTGGAGTGCAGTGATGGAAATCTCCGCTCACTCCAACCTCTGCCTCGTGGATTCAAGTGATTCTCGTGCTTCAGCCTCCCGAGGAGCTCGGATTACAGGCACTGACCACCACACCCAGCTAATTTTTTTGTATTTTTAGTAGAGATAGGGTTTCGCCATGTTGGCCAGGCTGGTCTCGAACTCCCAACCTGAGTTGATCTGCCCGCCTCGGCCTCCCAAAGCGCTGGGATTACAGGTGTGAGCCACGGCGCCTGGCCTGTTGCTATAATTTTAGAGAAACACAGTGGGCTCTATCATTAGTCCTGGGTTCAAATCCTGTGTGGTCCTGGATAGGCCACTCAAATTCTGCCTGTTTCCTCTCTAGTAAATTAGGGTTACGTCTGACAGCATCTATTTTGGAGAGTCATTGCTAGGACTAATGGTGACAAAGAGCTTAATACAGATCCTAGCCCAGATCAAACAATTTTAGTTAATAGTAATAACCACCTTGCTTTTAGGATAGCTGAGACTCACTGGGCCAGCACCATGCCAAGCTCCTATCTTAGTAACAATGAAATGAGGCCTACCTTTACAATAAAAGCTAACATATCCTGTTGGCCATGTGGCAGGCACTGGGCTAATTCCTTTTTAGTTTTTTAAATTTTTTAGAGACAGGATCTGGCTCTGTCACCCAGGCTGGAGTGCAGTGGCATGATCTCAGCTCACTGCAACCTCTGCTTCCTGGGCTCAAGTCACCCTCCCACCGCAGCCTCCTGAGTAGCTGGGACTACAAGGGTGCACCACCACACCTGGCTAATTTTTGTATTTTTTGTAGAGACAGGGTTTCGCCATGTTGGCCAGGCTAGTCTTGAACTCTTGAGCTAAAGTGATCCGCCTGCCTTGGCCTCCCAAAGTGTGGAATTACAGGCGTGAGTCACCGTGCCTGGCTGTCTGCCTTTACTTTCTTTCTGTCCTTTTTTTTTTTTTTTTTTTTTTTGCTTTGAGACAGAGTCTCAATCTGTTGCCCAAGCTGGAGTGCAGCCGAACAATCATACCTCACTGTAGCCTCAACCTCCTGGACCCAAATGATCCTCCGACCTCAGCCTCCTGAGTAGCTGGGACTACAGGCACGTAACATCATGCCTGGCTAATTTTTATTTTATTTTTAGTAGAGAAGGTTTTGCTGTATTGCCCAGGCTGTTCTCAAACTACTGAGCTCAAGTGATCCTCCCATCTTGGCCTCCCAAAATGTTGGGACTGCAGGCCTGGCTAATTAAAAAAAAATTTTTTTGCAGAGATGGGGGTCTCACAATGTTGCCCAGGCTCGTCCTGAACTCCTGGGCTCAAGCAATTCTCCCACCTCGGCATCCCAAAGTACTGGGATTACAGGCAAGAGCCACTGCGCCTGGCCTCTCTTTGCATTTTTCTTTTCTTTTCTTCCTTTCTTTCCTCTCCCTCTCTCTCTCTCTCTCTCTCCCTTCTCTTTTTTGAGATCAAGTCTCACTCTGTTGCCCAGGCTGGAGTGCAGTGGCGTGATCTTGGCTCATTGCAACCTCCACCTCCCAGGTTCAAGCGATTATTGTGCCTCAGCAACCCAAGTAGCTGGGACTATAGGCGTGAGCCACCACACCTGGCTAATTTTTTTTTTTGTATTTTTAATACAGATGAGGTTTCACCATGTTGGCCAGGCTGGTCTCGAACTCCTGACCTCAGGTGATCTGCCCATCTCGGCCTCCCAAAGTGCCGGGATTACAGGCATAAGCCACCTAGCCCGGCCTGCATTTTTCAAGACTACAATAAACTGTCATTAACTATCGTCACCCTGCTATACAATAGATGTCTTGAATTTTTTCCTCCCATCTAACTGTAATTATGTATCTTTTTACCACCTCTCCTCATCCATCTTCCTCAACACCCTTCCCAGCCTCTGGTAACCACCATGGTAACCTGCAGACACCTTCATCTCCAACTTCCGGCCTGCAGAACGGAGAGATGATACATTTCTGTTGTTGAGGCCTCCAGTCTATGGTACTTGGTTATATCAGCCTCAGAAAACTAATGCAACCTCCAAATCCCTCATCGCTCCCTCTGAGTGTCTTGTCTACTTTTTCTCCAGTGTCCTGTAAGTCCTCAAAGCCTGCAGGGGCACATAGCAGGGGCTCAATGTACAAATGCCCATTCACTGACTACATGATCCTCCCAGGAGAGGTAGGAGAAACATGAGCCAGTTAAAGAAGAGAGACTGGGGTCGGGTGCGATGGCTCATGCCTGTAATCCCAGCACTTTGGGAAGATGAAGCAGGAGGATTGCTTGAGTCCAGGAGTTCAGGACCAGCTTGGGCAACATAGGGAGACCCTTTTTCTCTACTTTTATTTATTTTTATTTTTTATTTTTTTGGAGACGAAGTCTTGCTCCTGTCCCCCAGGCTGGGGTGCGATGGCATGATCTCGGCTCAATGCAACCTCCGCCTCCTGGGTTCAAGCGATTCTCTTGCCTCTGCTTCCTGAGTAGCTGGGATTACAGGCGCCTGCCACCACACCCAGCTAATTTTTGTATTTTTAGAGACGGGGTTTCACCATGTTGGCCAGGCTGGTCTCGAACTCCTGACCTCAGGTGATCCGCCCACCTCAGCCTTCCAAAGTGCTGGGATTACAGGCATGAGCCACCGCGCCCAGCCTCCTTTCTCTATTTTTATAAAAATTCTTGGGCTGGGCGCAGTGGCTCATGCCTGTAATCCCAGCATTTTGGGAGGCTGAGGTGGGCAGATCATGAGATCAGGAGATCAAGACCATCCTGGCTAACATGGTGAAACCCCGTCTCTACTAAAAAATACAAAAACAAATTAGCCGGGCATGACGGCGGGCGCCTGTAGTCCCAGCTACTTGGGAGGCTGAGGCAGGAGAATGGCGTGAACCCGGGAGGCAGAGCTTGCAGTGAGCCGAGTTCGAGCCACTGCACTCCACTCTGTCTCAAAAACAACCACCACCACCAAAAAAAAAAAAAAAAAAAATTCTTGGCCAGGTGTGGTGGCTTACGCCTGTAATCCCAACACTTTGGCAGGCTGAGGCAGGCGGATCACCTGAGATCAGGAGTTTGAAACCAGCCTGACCAACATAGTGAAAACCCATCTCTACTAAAAATACAAAATTAGCTGGGCGTGGTGGCACACGCCTGTAATCCCAGCTACTAGGGAAGCTGAGGCAGGAGAATTGCTTGAATCAGGAAGGCGGAGGTTACAGTGAGCCGAGATGGCACCATTGCACTCCCGCCTGGGCAACAAGAGCAAAACTCCGTCTCGAAAAAAAATAAATAAAATAAATAAAATAAAATAAGAATTATTAAAAAAAAAAAAGAGAGAGAGAGAAAGAGAGAAGAGATTGGGAACTGGCCCCACGTCTCCTGCTACAGGACCTTGGGAAAATCCTGAACCCTTTGAACCTCAGTTTGCTCCTCCATAAAACGGGGCCATCAGACCATCAGCCAATATCTCTAAGCTCCCCGTGGGATTGTGAATCCTACATGTCCCCCACCCCAGGCTTGCATGAAAAATAAGGTTTCTCTTGGGTGCCACACAGAGAGGATCCCTTCTGTGTCCCTCAAGCCATCTGTGACCGTCCCACTTCATAAAAGCAAAGGTCACTTGCTCATTGAAACTTCCTCTGTGCCAGGCAAGAGCTGCATCGCCCCAACAGGCCCCTCAAGCAAGATGCTATTATCATTATCATGATGCCCTTTTTGCAGATGGGGAAAAGTGAGGCTCAGAAAGACCAAGTCCGCAGGCCCCATCTCTACTGAAAATACAAAAACATTAGCGCCCGTAATCCCAGCTACTCCGGAGGCTGAGGCAGGAGAATTGCTGAGATCGCGCCATTGCACTCCAGCCTGGGCGACAAGACCAAAACTCTGTCTCAAAAAAAAAAAGAAAAAGAAAGTAAAGGGGGAGAAGGAAAGGAAGAGGGTGGTTGGGAACACAGAAGAGGTGACAATTGGGTAGGGACTCAAGCTGGAAAGGGGGACAAAGTGGAAGCTGGGTGCAGTGGCTCATGCCTGTAATCCCAGCACTTTGGGAGGCCAAGGCGGGAGGATCACTTGTGCCTGGGAGTTCTAGACCAACCTGGCCAACACAGGGAGACCTCGTCTCTGCAAAATATTTAAAAACAATTAGCTGAGCTAGGTGGCACACATCTGTGGTCCCAGCTACTTGGGAGGCTGAATTGGGAGAAGCACTTGAGTTTGGAGGTCTAGGCTGCTGTGAGCCGTGATCATGCCACCATACTCCAGCCTGGGCAACAGAGCAAGATCCTGTCAAAAAAAGGAAGGAAGGAGTGGGGTTGACATGCAAGGCCATTTGAGGATGGGCTGGGACATTGTGGACTCATTTCCCTCCTCCCCAGAGGACCAGAAGGAGCAAGAGATCCCCTTACCTGTGGGCAGCAGGTATCTCAGCATTAGTAACACCAGGGCCCACCGCCGGCCTCCAGGGGCACCCTGCCACAGGCCAGCCATTCACGGCTTCAGGAAGACTTGGGGGCTGCTCTTTGCCCTCGTTCCAGCCCCCCAGCCAAGCCCAGAGACATGTCCAGCAGCTCCAGGCGGCCAGGTGCCTAAGATCTGGCGGGTATCAAATGTGCCCAGTCAGCCTAATCCCTGCGAGGCTGGGCGGGGCTGGGAAGGATCCCCTCGCCTATTCCCAGGCCCTGATTGGCTCCCTGGGCCCTTGGTTCTGCCTGTCTGGGCTCCCAGGAAGACAGGGCTCCATGGGCATTGAGGGGAGCGGGAGTTTCAGCTGCCAGGCTCAGCTGCGGGTGTCAGGAAAAGTCTCCCTAGAATGTTCCCCAGACCCAGAGCTGCACTGCGACTTTCATGGGCCACAATCACTTTTGCAATTTACCCATTACTTTTTTTTTTTTTTTTGAAAGGAAGTCCTATTGTGTTGCCCAGGCTGGAATGCAGTGGTGCCATCTTGTCTCACAGCAAACTCCGCCTCCCGGTTCAAGCGATTCTTGTACCTCAGCCTCCCGAGTAGCTAGGACTACAGGCACACACCACCATGCCCAGCTAATTTTTGTATTTTTTAGTAGAGACAGGGTTTCACCATGTTGGTCAGGCTGGTCTCGAACTCCCTATCTCAAGTGATCCGCCAGCCTTGGCCTCACAAAGTGCTGAGATTACAGGCGTGAGCCACAGCGCCCAGCCTATACTTACATTCCTCCCTCCCCAGCTTTATTGAAGGATGATTGGCAAATAAAACATTAAATATCTTATAATTTGTAATAATTTTTGAGCAAAGAGGCTCCCATTTTCACTTTGCACTGGACCCTGCAAATCACGCCTCTGGTCCTGCTGCAAGCGGTAGTCTCTGCTATTCCACAGCAGCCTCATGTTCTCTCTCTGTGACGCTCTGAATTGTATCCCCCTCAAATTCACAAGTTGAAGCCTTTACTTCCGATGTGACTGCATTCAGCAACAGTTTTCAGGCTGGGCGCAGTGGCTCATGCCTGTAATCCCAGCACTTTGGGAGGCCGAGGAGGGTGGATCACCTGAGGTCGGGAGTTCGAGACCAACCTGACCAACATGGAGAAACCCCATCTCTACTAAAAATACAAAAATCAGCTGGGTGTGGTGGTGGGCACCTGTAATCCCAGCTACTCAGGAGGATTCAAGCGATTCTTCTGCCTCAGCCTCCCAAGTAGCTGGGATTACAGGTGCACGCCACTACACCTGGGTAATTTTTTTTTTTTTTAGATGGAGTCTTGCTCTGTCGCCAGGCTGGAGTGCACTGGTGCGATAGCTCACTGCAACCTCCACCTCCCAGGCTCAAGTGATCCTCCCACCTCAGTCTCCCGAGTAGCTGGGTTACAGGTGTGCACCACCACATCTGGCTAATTTTTGTATTTTTAGTAGAGACAGGGTTTCACCATGTTGCCCAGTCTGGTCTCGAACTCCTGAGCTCAAGCAATCCTCCCGACTCTACTTCCCAATGTGCTGGGATTATAGGCATGAGCCACTGCACTTGGTCATCTAAGTCTTATTGCTTATCTCCAGCACCTATCAACTTAGAATATGCTTGCTAAATGAATAAATATGTGAATTAAAGAATAAGTGGGCTGGGCATGGTGGCTCACACTTGTAATCCCAGCACTTTGGGAGGCTGGGTCAGGTGGATCATGAGGTCAGGAGTTCAAGACCAGCCTGACCAACATGGTGAAACCCTGTCTGTACTAAAAATACAAAAAATTAGCTGGGCGTGGTAGTGGGCACCTGTAATCCCAGCTACTTGGGAGGCTGTGGCAGAGAATTGCCTGCATCAGGGAGGTGGAGGTTGCAGTGAGCCGAGATCGTGCCACTGCATTCCAGCCTGGGAGACAGAGTGAGTCCGTCTCAAAAAAAAAAAAAAAATGAAAATAGAGTTGGCTTTGAGTGGAGAGAAATCAAGGAGGACCACCCAGAGGAGGTATTCAAAACCTTCCAGTTAAAATTTGCCCACCAGCTTTGCCATATAATGTGGAATCAGAGAGTGTGATGTCTCCAGCTTTGTTCATTTTGCTTGAGATGGCTTTGGCTATTTGGGGTCTCTATCAATGGATAAATGGATAAAGAAAATGTGTGTATATATATACACACACACACACACACACACACACACACACACACACACGATGAATACTATACAGCCTTAAAGAAGAAGGAAATACTGTCATTTTTGACCACACGGACGAACCTGGGGGACATTGTGCGAAGTGAAATAAGCCAGGCACAGTGAGACAAATACTGTGCGATTTCGCTTAACTGTGGTATCTGAAAAGATCAAATTGGTCGGGCGAGGTGGCTCACGCCTGTAATCCCAGCACTTCGCGAGGCCAAGGCGGGAGGATCACTTGAGGTCGGGAGTTTGAGACCAGCCTGGCCAACATGGCGAAACCCCGTCTCTATGAAAATTACAAAAAAAAAAAATTAGCTGGGTGTGTTATCGTACCTGTGATCCCAGTTACTTGGGAGGCTGAGGCATGAGAATTGCTTGAACTGGGAGACAGAGGTTGCAGTGAGCCATGATCACGCCACTGCACTCCAGCCTGGTGAGAGAGCAAGACTACATCTCAAAAATAAATAAGTAAAATAAAAAGGTTAAACTCATGGAATTAGAGAGTAGAATGATGGTTACCAGGGCTGGGGAAGTGGGAAGACTGAAGAGAGTTAGTTGGTCAAAGGACACATGTTTTAGTTAGCAGGAATAAGTTCTAGTGATCTATTGTAACTATAGGTCAAAATAATGTATTACATATTTCTTTTTTTTTTTTTTGAGACAGAGTCTCGCTCTGTCACCCAGGCTGAAGTGCAGTGGCCCGATCACAGTTCACTGAAACCTCCGCCTCGCAGGTTCAAGCGATTCTCCCGCCTCAGCCTGCTGAGTAGCTGGGATTACAGGTACACGCCACTACACCCAGCTAATTTTTGGATTTTTAGTAGAGACGGGGGTTTCACCATGTTGGTCAGGCTGGTCTTGAACTCCTGACCTCAGGTGATCCACCTGCCTCGGCCTCCCAAAGTGCTGGGATTACAGGTATGAGCCACCATGCCCGGCCCACATATTTGAAAATTGCTAAAAAGAGTTTATTTTACATAGCGACGTCGCTATTAAGAAAAAAAAAAGTTTATTTTAAATGCTCTTACCACACACACACACACACACACACACACACACACACACACACACGATAAGTAGGTGAGTTGATGGCTATGTTAATTAGCTTCTTAAATAATTCCACAAGATATACATACAAATATCAAAATATCAGATTGTACCCCATAAATAGATACAATTATTATTTGTCATTAAACTTTTTAAATAAAGAAAATTTAAAAATAAACAATTGTCCACCAGGTTCCTCTTTCTTTTTCTTTTCTTTTCCATTTTTTTTTTTTTTTTTTTTTTTTGAGACAGGGTCTCACTCTGTTCCTCAGGCTGGAGTGCAGTGGTGCAATCATAGCTCTCTGCAGCCTCAAACTCTTGGGCCCAAGCAATCCACCTGCCTCAGTCTCCTGAGTAACTGGGACTACAGGCATGTACCACCGTGCCCAGCTGATTTATACTTTTTTGTTTTGTAGAGACTGGGTCTGGATATGTTGCCCAGGGTTTTTGTTTTTTTTTATGTGGGGGTGGGTGGGTGGGGGGTGAGGACCGAGCCTTGCTCTGACACCCAGGTTTGAGTATAGTGGTGTGATCTTGGCTCACTGCAACCTCCGCCTCCCGGGTTCAAGTAATTTTCATGCCTAGCCTCCCAAGTAGCTGGGACTACAGGTGCTCGCCACCACACCTGGCTAATTTTTTTTTTTGTATTTCTAATAGAGACAAGGTTTCACCATGTTGGCCAGGCTGGTCTCAAACTCCTGAGTTCAGGTGATCTGCCTGCCTTAGCCTCCCAGAGTATTGGGATTACAGGTGTGAGTTCGGCTCCAGGCTGGATCTTGAATTCCTGGGCTCAAGCCATCCTTCTGCCTCAGCCTCCCAGAATGCTGGGATTACAAAGCTTGAGACAGCACCTTGGCCACCAGGCTCCTCTTTTCTTTTTTCTTTTTTTTTTTTTTTGAGACGGAGTCTCGCTGTGTCACCCAGGCTAGAGTGCAGTGGTGCGATCTCGGCTCACCGCAACCTCTGTCTCCTGGGTTCAAGCGATTCTCCTGCCTCAGCCACCTGAGTAGCTGGGACTATAGCCGCACACCACCAAGCCTGGCTAATTTTTGTATTGTTAGTAGAGACGGGGTTTCACCATGTTGGGCAGGCTGGTCTTGAACTCCTGACCTCGTGGTCTGCCCACCTTGGCCTCTCAAAGTGCTGGGATTACAGATGTGAGGCACTGCTCCTGGCCAGGTTCCTCTTTTCAAAGGCAGCTCCCGGGGGCACGGCTGACTTGTGTCTGGTAACTTTTTTTTTTTTTAAGGAAAACCATCTAGTTTTTTGGGAAAACCAGACTCAGAGCTCAGAGGATCTGAGCAGAGATTTAGGCTCCTGGGTCCTCCAGCTCCTTGAACCCACGGGGAATCCAGCAGCGGTTGCTCCCTTCCCCCCTAAGGAATGCAGGAACCCTGCCCAGAAGTGGCATTAGTAACTGAGCTCTCCCTTTGTCCCTAAGCTGCCATTCCATTGTCTTCCCCCAGTGATCACGGAAAAGGTCCTGGAGGGTGGAGGAGAGGTGCTCAGAATGGAGGAGGAGGAGGGGTGTTGGGACTGCTCAGCTCCTGCTGAAGTAAACACCTGCTCTGTGTTCCATAAGCTGGGACCCCAGGGTCAGGCCAAAGGGAAATGGATACCCCGGGTTTGGGTGGTCGCCACAAATTCTAATGCATGTACTACCTACATCATAGCCGCCCCCCCACCAAATAAGCCCAGTGATTAAGCGTACAGTTTCTGGAGCCTGGTGCCAGAGTTTGAAACCTCCTTTTTTTTTTTTTTTGGAGACAAGGTCTTACTCTGTCGCCCAGGCTGGAGTGCAGTGGCACGATCTCGGCTCACTGCAACCTCCACCTCCCAGGTTCAAGCGATTCTCCTGCCTCAGCCTCCCTAGTAGCTGGGATTACAGGCACCCCCCACTGTGCCCACCTAATTTTTGTATTTTTAGTAGAGACGGGGTTTTACCATGTTGGCCAGGCTGGTCTTGAACTTCTGACCTCAGGTGATCCACCCGCCTCAGCCTCCCAAAGTGCTAGGATTACAGGCTTCAACCACCACGCCCGGCCTAATTTTTTTTTTTTTTTTTTTTGAGACAGTTTCGCTCTTGTCACCCAGGTTAGACTGCAATGGCACAGTCTCGGCTCACCTCAAACTCCACCTCCCAGATTCAAGCGATTCTCCTGCCTCAGCCTCCGGAGTAGCTGGGATTACAGGCGTGCACCACGACGCCCAGATAATTTTTGTATTTTTAGTAGAGACGGGGTTTCACCATGTTGGTCAGACTGGTCTTGAACTCCCGACCTCAGGTGACCAGCCCTCCTTGGCCTCCCAAAGTGCTGGGATTACAGGCGTGAGCCACCACACCCGGCCCTCTTTAAAGTTCTAAAATGCTTCTAACCTTTAAGCTGTCCTTGTTCATTCCTGGGCTTAGGCCAAACTAACTTTGGGAAGGAATTCAGCTGATGGTTTGACTCTGAAACAAAACTGATAACAGCCCTTTCCCTAAAAGACCCACTTCTTGCCTGGGAACCAGTCTGCCTTTGCAGGACTAACAAATTAGCTACAAGATTAGAAATTACAGTTTAGGAGTCATGCAGCCTCTGGGTCCAAGAGTCTGAACGTCCCCAGATTGCTCCCAGAGGTAGCATCACTATTGTAAAACCTAAAATCAGTGCTTGAGATAGTTTGCAGACCCTGCACTCGATGGATCAGCTGACACCACCCAGACCATCAGACCAGACCAGTCAAGATCGCACCATTGCACTCCAGCCTGGGCAACAAGAGTGAAACCCCATCTCAGAAAAAAAAAAAAAAAAAAAAAAAAAAAAAAAGAAGGAAAAGAAAGAAACTCTACACTTCCTGTCCTTATTCCTGGGAATTTATTTAACAATTTAATTTCTCACCATACCCGAGGGAAGGCACAGCCTATTGCAAAGTCATTTTGCACGAAAGCAAACTGGGGCTCAGAGAACCAGGCCTCCAGTCAGTGCTGGTGTCATGGACAACCAGGCTGAGGGCCCATGGCAGAACCTGTTTTATGACATGGCTGCTCTCCCTGAAGCCAGTGAGGCACAAAGCCTAGGGGAGTGGACAAGGGACAGGAAGGTGTGGGTTTCCATCCTGCTGTGTGACCTTGGGGAAGTCACCTAACCTCTCTGAGCCTCATTTTTCTTTCTTTTTTCTTATTTATTTATTTTGAGACAGAGTCTCGCTCTGTCGCCCAGGCCAGAGTGCAGTGGCGCAATCTCAGCTCACTGCAAGCTCCGTCTCCCAGGTTCAAGTGATTCTCCTGCCTCAGCCTCCCGAGTAGCTGGGATTACAAGCGCGTGCCACCACGCCTGGCTAATTTTTGTATTTTTAATACAGATGGGGTTTCTCCATATTGGTCAGGATGGTCTCGAACTCCTGACCTCGTGATTTGCCCACCTCAGCTTCCCAAAGTGCTGGGATTACAGGCATGAGCCACCGTGCCCAGCCTTCTTGTTTTTAGTTTTTTTTTTTTTAATGAAAAAAAAAGTATTATTATGGCCGGGCACGGTGGCTCACGCCCGTAATCCCAGCACTTTGGGAGGCCAAGGTGGGTGGATCACCTGAGGTTAGGAGTTGGAGACCAGCCTGACCAACATGGCAAAACCTCATCTCTACTATAAATACAAAAATTAGCTGGGCATGGTGTCGCATGTGTGTAATCCCACCTACTTGGGAGGCTGAGGCAGGAGAATCGCTTGAACCCGGGAGGCAGAGGTTGCAGTGAGCTGAGATTGTGCCACTGCACCCCAGCCTGGGCAACAGAGAGAGACTCTGTCTCAAAAACAAAACAAAACAAAACAAAAACCAGAAGAGATGTGTGGTGCATGTAAAATACACATGAGATGAGATTTTGAAGACTGATTTTGAAAAAAAGAATGTAAAATGTCTTGGCCATAACTTTCATCAGAATTACTTGATTTGTATTTAAATATCATGGCATTTAGTTTATGGGGGATTTTTTTGTTTTAATTTATCTTTTTTCTTTTTTTCCAGCAAATGCTTAACATCCAAAGTTTATGGTTATATGTTTGAGATGGGATCTCATTCTGTCGCCCAGGCTGGGGTGCAGTGGCTCACTGCAGCCTCTACCTCCTGGGTTCAAGCCATCCTCCCACCTCAGCCTCCCAAGTAGCTGGGACTATATAGGTATGTGCCATCACGTTTGACTAATTTTTAAATTTTTTTGTAGAAGCCGGGTGCAGTGGCAAATGCCTGTAATCCCAGCACTTTGGGAGGCCGAGGCGGGCGGATCACCTGAGGTCAGGAGTTTGAGACCAGCCTGGCCGACATGGTGAAACTCCGTCTCTACCAAAAATACAAAATTAGCTGGGGGTGGTGGCGCGCGCCTGTAATCCCAGCTACTTGGGAGGCTGAGACAGGAAAATCTCTTGAACCTGGGAGACAGAGATTGCAATGAGCCAAGATTGTGCCACTGCACTCCAGCCTGGACGACAAAGTGAGACTCTGTCTAAAAAAAAAAAAAAAAAAAAGTTTTCTGTAGACACCGAATCTCACTATATATGTTCCCCAGGATGAACTTGAAGTCCTGGGCTCAAGTGATCCTCCCATCTCAGCCTCCCAAAGTGCTGGGATTACAGGTGTGAGCCACCGCGCCCGACCCATAGATGCTTGTTAAGGGAAAATCCCAGCACTTTAGGAGGCCAAGGAGGGTGGATCACCTGAAGTCAGGAGTTCGAGACCAGCCTGGCCAATATGGTGAAACCCCATCTCTACAAAAAATACAAAAATTAGCTGGGCTTTTTGGCTGGTGCTTGCAATCCTTGAGAGGCTGAGGCAGGAGAATCACTTGCCTGTAGTCTTAGCTACTTGGGAGGCTGAGGTGGGAGGATTTGCTTGAACCCAGGAGTTCAAGGCTGCAGTCAGCTATGATAGCGCCACTGTACTTCAACCTGGGCAACAGAGGGAGACCTGGTCCCTTAAAAAAAAAAAGACATTTCTCAAGAGGGCCTTCTACCTTCCTTCCTTCCCTTTGAAAAACCTAGGAGGGAGTTACAGATGTTATTGTTCACCAGCTGTATCCTAAGGAATTCAGGTTCGTCCTAAAGGAAAATGCCTTTTCCCCTTTCCTCACCTCGTTTTAGATACTCTCTGGAGGATTTTCCTCAGATTCTCGCTGAAACCTGACTCTCTCCTGGTAATGCAAATATTCCTGGGCTCTCTATGGGAAAGCTGCGGCCCTGTGCCTGACCCCAGGGCACTGGGAGAGAAAGTCTTTCCGGGCCGCAAGGTGTCATAGGAAAGGGGTCCCAATCCAAACCCCAAGAGAGGGCTCTTGGATCTCAGGCAAGTCTGTAAAGTGAAAGCAAGTTTTTAGGAAAGTAAAGGAATAAAAGAATGGCTACTCCATAGACAGAGCAGCCCCAAGGGCTGCTGGTTGCCCATTTTTATGGTTATTTCTTGATAATATGCTAAAGAAGGGGAGGATTATTCATGCCTCACCTTTTTAGAGCATCTGGGGTAACTTCCTGGTGTCGCCATGGCATCTGTAAACTGTCATGGTGTTACTGGTAGAAGGTGTCCAGGTTCTTGGCATCCCAAACAAAGAATTGGACAAAACACACCAACAAAGCAAAAGCAAGGAAGGCAGAAGCAGGGATTTTTTTTTTTTTTTTTTTTTTTTGAGACGGAGTCTTCCTCTGTCATCCAGGCTGGAGTGCAATGGTGCAATCTTGGCTCACCGCAACCTCCGCCTCCCGGGTTCAAGTGATTCTCGTGCCTCAGCCTTCCGAGCAGCTGAGATTATAGGCATGCACCCCCATGCCCGGCTAATTTTGTATTTTTTTTTAGTAGAGTCGGGGTTTCTCCATGTTGGTTAGGCTGGTCTCGAACTCCCAACCTCAGGTGAACTCCCGACCTCAGGTGATCCGGCTGCCTCGGCCTCCCAAAGTGCTGGGATTACAGGTGTGAGCCACCGCGCCCCAGCCAGAGGCAGGGATTTATTGAGAATGAAAGCACACTCCACAGTGTGGGAGTGGGCTGGAGCATAGGGGCTCAAAGTCCCCATTACAGAATTTTTCGGAGTTTAAATACCCTTTACTTGGGGTACGCCCTATGTAAATGGAGAGGATGAAGTAAGGTTACAGTCATTGACTTGGCTTCCGCCCTTCCTGCCATAGGTGAAGTGTGAATCGACCTTATATTCTTGGCCTCCAGACCTTGTTTTCCTGACTCAGTGACACTGATGGGAGTGTAGCAGTGAGGACAACCAGAGGTCACTATTGGGGCCATCTTGGTTTTGGTGGGTTTTGACTGGCTTCTTTTTGCAACCTGTTTTATCAGCAAGGTCTTTATGACCTGCATCTTGTGCTGACCTCCTATCTCATCCTGTGACTTAGAATGCCTTAATTGTCTGGGAACACAGCCCAGCAGGTCTTGGCCTTATTTTACCCAGCCCCTACACAAGATGGAGTCACTCTGGTTTAAACATCTCTGACAAAGGCATTCAGAGAGAAAGTCTGTCCATGTGAACATTGTCTCCTAAGCTTGCCGGGTGCTCCAATCACGGCCATGGGCAGGACGTGTGACAGCTGGTCTCCCCCTCCAAGACTCCCAGACTAGCAGGCAAATCTAACATTCCAGAAACCCTTAAATAGTTCATGAATGACACCTGAAATCTGCATTCTGCTGGGGGAGGCAGGGACGTGTCTTGGCCGTGGCTGGGAAGCAAGATTTTTAAAGCTCAGGCCTGAGCTGGAAGAAAAGACTGGAGGAAGAGGGGAGGGGATGGGCAGGATTCCAACTCTCCTGGGGGAGTTCCAGGCTGGGGCAACACCGGTTTTACTTTCTGAAGCGGAGGGAGGTCTCTGTCCATCTCCTGCTGACACCCACCCCACCTGGGCCTGGCTGCTACCCGAGGGTAATTATCTGCACCCAGCCATGCACCGCACCGCCGTTCCCACTGCCCATGACTCACTCGGCCCCCCTTGCGTTCTTTGTTCTTCGCCTCCTTCCCCCACCTCCCTGCAGGCTTCACACTTTGCAGGCCTAGGTCTTAGTCATCTCTGGGAACGGCTCCAATTTTCTTACAATGATAAGTAAATGGATCATTCTTTAGCTCGGCTAGAATGTCCCCATCTTTATTCTCAGAGCAATTCCTTGCACATAGCCGCATGCCCTCATCATAGGGATTTTGCCCTGGCTGCCACCTTGCCCTCCTTCTGGTTCCCTGTTTCATTTTCGAAGGTCTTTCTTCTTTGAGACAAGGTCTCACTCTGCCCCTAGGTGAAGGGCAGTGATGCGATCATAGTTTACTGTAGCCTCCAACTCCTGGGCCCAATCGATCCTCCAACCTTGGCCTCCTGAGTAGCTGGGACTGTAGGCACCCGGCTAATTTTTAAAAATTATTTTCAGAGACAGGGTCTTGGCCGGGTGCGGTGGCTCATGCCTGTAATCTCTGTACTTTAGGAGGCCGAGGTGGGTGGATCACCTGAGGTCCGGAGTTCCAGACCAGCCTGGCCAAAATGGTGAAACCCCGTCTATATTAAAAATACAAAAAAATTAGCCAGGCGTAGTGGTGCACGCTTGTAGTCTCAGCTACTCAGGAGACTGACGCAGGAGAATCACTTGAACCCAGGAGGTGGAGGTTGCAGTGAGCCGAAATTATGCCATTGCACTCCAGCCTGGGCGACAAGAACAAAACTCCATCTCAAAAACAAAACAAACAAACAAACAAAAAAACTCAAAAGAGACAGGTTCTTGCTGTGTTGCCCAGGCTGGTCTCGAACTCCTGACCTCAAGTGATCCTACTGCATTGGCCTCCCAAAATGCTGAGATGACAGTCGTGAGCCACCACACCTGGCCTCGTTTTGAAGGTCTTGAATCAAATAATTACCTTTTCCTTGAGGTATCTGGAATATATAGATAACATAACCGGTTAGGTCAGGGGTCGATCTTTAACCAGGCCCAGGGTGCGGTGCCGGGCTGTCTGCCTATGGATTTGATTTCTGCCATTTAGTTTTTACTTCTTCTTTCTTTGGAGGCAGAAATTGGGCATAATATGAGGGGTGGTGTCCTCCCTTACTATGATTGTGCCCCTGCACTCCAGCCTGGTCAACACAGCAAGACCCTGTCTCAAAAAGAAAAGGGATCTAACATCTTTTTAAATTTACTTATTTATTCTACCTGTAGACTCTTAACACTAGAATGTCAGGGATTTTTGCATGTTGGTTCATTCACTGATCCGTTGTATTCTCAGACCTGGGGCTTGTCAAGCATGCAGGCACTGAATGAACATCTGTTAAGGAAATGCCGAGTGAGCCAAGCATGGAATTTGTAAGGCTCTTGTGTCGTTTCGAACCCCGAGAGCAAGCCAACAAACAACATGAGCTGGTGTGGAGCAACACGCTGTTTTAATGTGCACCTGGGTGCAGACGGCTGAGGCCTAAAATGGCGTCAGCCCCAAGTGAGGACGGGGCAGGGGTTTTATAGTCTCCCGTAAACAGCAAGTGTCCCAGTCTGACGTAACTGCTACATGGTACCCGGATGGCCCGTCTCTTGATCTTCAGGGGCATGTGTCTTCCGGCCAGGGTAGATGTCTTCCAGCCAGGGTACGTGTCTTCCGGCCAGGGCAGGTGTCTTCCGGCCAAGGTAGCTGTCTTCCGGCCAGGGTAGATGTCTTCCGGCCAGGGTAGATGTCTTCCGGCCAGGGTAGGTGTCTTCCGGCCAGGGTAGATGTCTTCCGGCCAGGGTAGATGTCTTCCGGCCAGGGTACGTGTCTTCCGGCCAGGGTACATGTCTTCCGGCCATCTCTCTTCCTGCTTCTGCTATCTTGCTGGCGCATGCTGCTGGGGCAAGTAGCCTTGCACCTTGGGACTGGGCCTGAGAAGGGAGGAGTTATTCATCCCCCCAAGTTTATCCTCCCAAGTTTTCAGGCCGCGGGGAGAATCTTTCAGAATTATTCTGTCAATATTGTTTCTTCCCCCTTACCCTGGCTCTCTTCTCCCAATCCTGCCCTGGTCCCCACTCTGCAGATGAGTAGACACTGTGTCCCACCTTGTCCTGTGGGTGCCTGATACTTGACTCTGTCAGTGCTTGTGGCTGCTGTAGTTTTATTTATTTTCGAGACAGAGTCTCACTCTGTCACCCAGGTTGGAGTGCAGTGGCGCTATCTCGGCTCACCGCAACCTCTGCCTCCCAGGTTCAAGCGATTCTTCTGCCTCAACCTCCCGAGTAGCTGGGATTATCTAGGCGTGCACCACCATGCCCAGCTATTGTATTTTTAGTAGAGACAGGGTTTCACCATGTTGGCCAGGCTGGTATCAAACTCCTGACCTCAGGTGATCCCCCCACCTCGGCCTACCAAAGTGCTGGGATTACAGGTGCGAGCCACTGTGCCTGGCTTGTAGTTTAATTTTTATTTATTTATTTATTTATTTATTTATTTATTTTTGGAGATGAAGTCTTGCTCTGTCACCCAGTCTGGAGTGCAGTGGCACAATCTCGGCTCACTGCAACCCCCACCTCTCAGGTTCAAGCGATTCCCCTGCCTCAGCCTCCCAAGTAGCTGGGATTACAGGCGTGCACCATCATGCCTGGTTAATTTTTGTATTTTTAGTAGAGATGGGGTTTCGCCATGTTGGCCAAGCTGGTCTTGAACTCCTGGCCTTAAGTGATCTGCCTGCCTTGGCCTCCCAAACTGCTGGGATTACAGGCGTGAGCCACTGCACCAGGCCAATTAACTTCTCCTAATCTGTAACTAAGGTCTGAGTCCTGAAGACCTTCCTCTGAGCCTCAGTAAATTTACTTAATCTAGATGGGTCCAGGTGCCAGGGATAGTTACCCTTATCTTGTCTCCTGCTAAATTTTAGAGTCTAGAGAGTTTCTTCAGACTCCCAATAAAACTTGTTTAATCCTAAACAGGTCCATTAAGAATTCCTTCATTATCTTGTCATGCTTCAAGGCCCAGGAAAGGCCTGGGCAAAACTCTTGGTGTGCTTTTGTTACGTTCCAGCCTTTGTCTAAGGGCACTGGCGCTATCATCTTTAAATATTTAACTTAACCACGCAGTCAGTGCTGAAACAGTTGTTAGAGAGGCCTGTGTTAGTGAGACCTGGCCTGTCACAGTATCTCTCTGTCTCTCTTTCCCTCCCTCTCTCTTTTTCTTGCATAACTGCAGTATCTCTCTGTCTCTGTCTCTCTCTGTAGCGCTCCCTCTGTCTCTCTCTTTCATTTTTCTTTTCTTTTTATTTATTTATTTATTTATTTTTTGAGACGGAGTTTTGCTCTTGTTGCCCAGGCTGGAGTGCAATGGTGTGATCTCGGCTCACTACAATCTCCACCTCCCGGGTTCAAGCAATTCTCCTGCCTCAGCCTCCCAAATAGCTGGCATTACAGTCACACACCACCATACCTGGCTAATTTTTTTTTTTTTTTTTTTTTTTTGAGATGGAGTCTCGCTCTGTCGCCCAGGCTGGAGTGTAGTGGCGCAATCTCGGCTCACTGCAACCTCCACCTCCCAGGTTCAAGTGATTCTCCTGCCTCAGCCTGCCGAGTAGCTGGGATTACAGGCGTGCACCACCATGTCCAGCTAATTTTTGTATTTTTAGTAGGGACAGGGTTTCACCATGTTGGTCAGGCTGGTCTCGAACTCCTGACCTCTTGAACTGCCCGCCTCGGCCTCCCAAAGTGCTGGGATTACAGGTTTGAGCCACCACGCCTGGACTAATTTTTGTATTTTTAGTAGAGACGGGGTTTCGTCATGTTGGCCAGGCTGGTCTTGAACGCCTGACTTCAGGTGATCCACCTGCCTCAGACTCCCAAAGTGCTGGGATTACAGGCGTGAACCACCAGGTCCGGTCTTCTCTCTCTCTTTTTCTTGCATAACTTCAGTATCTCTCTGTGGACAACAGAAACCAGATGGCCCCAGTCCTGGGTTAGGTGGGAAGATATTCACCGAGCCCAGGGGCTGGGGTGGGAAATTTGGAAAACGTAAGGCCACTTTCAACCCTTTCCCAGTGTGCCTTAACTTGGGAAGCCCCTGGGCTATAGGCTTCTGGCTCCCCAGTGGCAAAAGGCACTGAGGTCAGGTGGGGAAAGGGACCAGGATTAAGCAAAATGTCTGTGCTAGGCGGGAGATGCTGTCTGTGAAAAGTGCCCGAGGGACTGGAGCACCTGAGACGTCCTCGCTGCGTGTTTCTTCTGCCCTCGTGTGTCTCCATTGGGAACTGCAGTAACCCAAGTCTAGGTTTTTGTTGTTTTTTGAGATGGAGTCTCTCTCTGCCGCCCAGGCTGGAGTGCAATGGTGTGATCTTGGCTCATTGCAACCTCCACCTCCTGGGTTCAAGCGATTCGCCTGCCTCAACCTGCCGAGTAGCTGGGATTACAGGTGCCCGCCACCACGCCTGGTGAATTTCTGTATTTTTAGTAGAGATGGAGTTTTGCCATGTTGGCCAGGCTGGTCCCAAACTGCTGACCTCAGGTAATCTGCCCGCCTCGGCCTCCCAAAGTGCTGGGATTACAGATGTGAGCCACCACACCCGGCCTTAAGTTTATTATTATTATTATTATTTTAGACAGCATCTTGCTCTGTCACCCAGGCTGGAGTACAGTGGTGCAATTATGGCTCATTGTAGCCTGGACCTCCCGGCCTCTGCTGATCCTCTTTCCTCAGCCTCCCAGGTAGTTGAGACTACAGGTGTACACCACCAGGCCTGGCTACTTTTTTTTTCTTTTTTGGTAGAGATGGGATCTCACTATGTTGCCCAGGCTGGTCTTAACCTCCTGGGCTCAAGCAATCTACCCACCTCTGCTGGGCATGGTGGCTCATGCCTGTAGAGCCAGCACTTTAGGAAACCTTTATTTCTTAACACAGAGCAAGTTGGAGATGTTTTTGTTTGGCTGACAGAATCTTAAGAGATTTATTGGTGCCTGAGGCATTTCTCATTTCACAGGGGAGGGAGGGGTCTAAATAAATGCTTCAGCTCAAGCTGGATACAGAGGGAGGGATTTTCCCAAATTTCTAGCAGCCCCCAGGTTGTAATAACTTCCCAAGTCTCTGGCAATTCCAGCCTTCTGTCAATTAGCACTGTAATCACCTGCGTGCCTATGGCAAGAGAGTTTAGGGAACTTGCAAGAAGAGAGAGCTGTAGTTTCGCTTTCCCATGGTTTCTGGTTACTCCAAAAAGGCCCTGACCAGAATCATGGACTCTCCATGGCAAACTCTCATCTTATTTTATATTTATTTGTTTATTTATTTATTTTTTTATTTTTGAGATGGAGTTTTGTTCTTGTTGCCCAGGCTGGAGCGCGATGGCATGATCTTGGCTCATCACAACCTCCACCTCCCGGGTTCAAGCAGTTTTCCTGCCTCAGCCTCCCGAGTAGCTGGGACTATAAGCATGCACCACCATGCCCTGCTAATTTTGTATTTTTAGTAGAGACGGGGTTTCCCCATGTTGGTCATGGCTGGTCTCGAACTCCCAACCTCAGGTGATCCACCTGCCTCGGCCTCCCAAACTGCTGGGATTACAGGCGTGAGCCACTGCACCTGGCCTATTTTATTTTTTATGTATTTTATTTTTTGAGATGGAGTCTCGCTCTGTTGCCCAGGCTGGAGTGTAGTGACGTGATCTTGGCTCACCGCAACCTCTGCCTCCTAGGTTCAAGCGATTCTCCTGCCTCAGCCTCCCGAGTAGCTGGGACTACAGGTGTGCACCACCATGTCTGGCTGATTTTTTTGTATTTTTAGTAGAGACGAGGTTTCACCATCTTGGCCAGGCTGCTCTTGAACTCCTGACCTCGTGATCCAGCCGCCTCAGCCTCCCAAAGTGCTGGGATTACAGGCATGAGCCATTGCGCCCAGGCTTACTTTATTTTTTTAGTTTAATTTTTTTTTTTTGAGACAAGGGTCTTGCTATGTTGCCCAGGCTGGAGCACAGTGTTTATTCACAAGCACAATCATTGCACACTACAGCCTTGAACTTGGTCTCAAGCAATCCTCCCAACTTCCAATTATCTTAAATTCTGTTTTTGTCTTTGTTTTTGAAATGGAGTCTCTCTCTGTAGCCCAGGCTGGAGTGCAGTGGTGGGATCTTGGCTCCCTGCAACCCCCGCCTCCCGGGTTCAAGTGATTCTCCTGCCTCAGCCTCCCAAGTAAGTGGGATTATAGGTGCGCACCACCTCGCCTGGCAAATTTTTGTATTTTTAGTAGAGACCGGGTTTCACCACCTTGGCCAGGCTGGTCTGAAACTCCTGATCTCAGGTGATCCGCCTGCCTCTGCCTCCCAAAGTGCTGGGATTACAGGTGTGAGCCACCGTGCCACCTGGCCATTCTTTTTTTTTTTTTTTTTGCCAGAGTCCTGCTCTGTCACCCAAGCTGGAGTGTGGTGGCACCATCTCAGCTCACTGCAATCTTCGACTCCCGGGTTCAAGTGATTCTCTTGCCTCAGCCTCCGAAGTAACTGGGATTACAGATGCCCACCACCACACCCAGTTAATTTTTGTATTTTAGTAGAGATGCGGTTTTACCATGTTGGCCAGTCTGGTCTCTAACTCCCGATCTCAAATGATCCACCTGCCTTGGCCTCCCAAAGTTCTGGGATTGCAGGCATGAGCCACCATCCCCGGTCAAATTCTGTGTTTCATTCACCAGAATAGTCACCAGAAAGCAGATTTTCTTCGTCTTTCCAACCTGTGTACTTACTTATAGAAATCTACAGCAGGGCCACATCTGGAGGTCTGTTTGTTCACCTGAGAAATTAAAATTTAATTCTCTTGGAAGAAAAGTAACACAAATAAATCAGAGGTTTGATTATTCAAAGCCATTCTGCTTAATATCATGTCAGCTTGAGGCCGGGCACTGTGGCTCATGGCTGCTTTTGCTTTTGCTTTGTTGGTGTGTTTTGTCCAATTCTTTGTTTGGGAATCCAAGAACCTGAACACCTTCTACCAGTAACACCATGACAGTTTACAGATGCCATGGCGACATCAGGAAGTTACCCCAGATGCTCTAAAAAGGTGAGGCATGAATAATCCTCCCCTTGTTTAGCATATCATCAAGAAATAACCATGAAAATGGGCAACCAGCAGCCCTCGGGGCTTCTCTGTCTATGGAGTAGTCATTCTTTTATTCCTTTGCTTTCCTAAAAACTTGTTTTCACTTTGTGGACTTGCCTGAGATCCAAGAGCCCTCTCTTGGGATTTGGATTGGACCCCTTTCCTGTAACACCTTGGGGTCAGGAAAGGCTTTCTCTCCCAGTGCCTTGGGGTCAGGCACAGGGCCACAGCTTCCCCATAGAGAGCCCAGGAATGTTTGCATTATCAGGGATAAGAGATGGCCTTGCTTCCGGTTTGAAGGCTCACCAGCATCTTGGGGATGGTGTTGGTGGCCAGACAGAAATCAATCAGGGACAGGTTGGCCAGGAAGAAGTACATGGGGGTGTGGAAGTGGGAGTCTATGCTGATGGCCAGGATGATGAGCAGGTTCCCCAGGACTGTACCAGGTACATGCAGAGGAACAGAGAAAAGAGAAGTGTTTCCTGCTCCGGCTTTTCTGACAGTCCCAGGAGGATGAATTGAGATGCACTGGTTTGGTTTCCTGGTTCCATGGGTGTGATTCCTCTGGAAGTATGGAAAGGGGAGGTTATAGGAATGCCAGGGAGATGGTTTTGGAAGGTTAGATGAACTCTAACCTTTAATTTTAACCTTTAACTTTAGAGACCCTGTCTCTAAAATATAAATATTATATATGCTATAATATATATATTATTTTTCAGAGACAAGATCTTGCTCTGTCACCCAGGATGGAGTGCAGTGGTGCAATCATAGCTCATTGCAACCTTGAACTCCTGGACTCAAGCCATCCTCCTGCCACAGCCTCTCTAGTAGCAGGGTCTACAGTCACACATCACCATGCCTGGCCTATTTATCTTCTTTTTTGGGGGTGGAGAGAGGGTTTTGCTATCTTGTCCAGGCTGGCCTTGAACTCCTGGGCTCAAGCGATCCTCCCATCTAGGACTTCCGAAGCTCTGCGATTGCAGGTGTGAGCCACCACACTTGGCCTGACAACAGCTTATATATAGGTTGCACCTTGAACCATGGATGAAATGTTTACAGCAACTCATCTTCTTCTTTTTTTATTAATTAAAAAATTTTAGGTTGGACGTGGTGGCTCACGGCTGTAATCCCAGCACTTTGGGAGGCCAAGGCGGGCGGATCATTTGAGGTCAGGAGTTTGAGACCAGCCTGGCCAACATGGCAAAACCCTGTCTCTACTGAAAATACAAAAATTAGCTGGGCGTGGTGGCAGGCGCCTGTAATTTCAGCTACTTGGGAGGCAGAGACAGGAGGATTACTTGAACCCAGGAGGCAGAGGTTGCACTGAGCTGAGATCATGCCATTGCACTCCAGCCTGGGCAACAAGAGTGAAACTCCATCTCAAAAAAATAAAAAAGTAATATAACCATTAATATTGATGCTACTGTCAACTGTTGACTCTCCAAACAAACCCAGCAAGTGCTTGTAAGCCAAAAATAACCACCCCCATCCATCTGAAGGGACCCCTCCTCTTGGCCAAAGGCATTCTAAAGTTAACCTGAAAAGCTGCTTCAGGACTGTGTGTGGTGGCTCATGCCTGTAAACCCAGCACTATGGTAGATGGGCGAATCACTAGAGGCCAGGAGTTCAAGACCAGACTCTCCAACATAGTGAAATCCTGTCTCTACTAAAAATACAAAAACATTAGCTGCGCGTGGTGGCATACACAGGTAATCCTAGCTACCTAGGAGGCTGAGGCACGTGAATTGCTTGAACCCAGGAGGCAGAGGTTGCAGTGAGCCAAGATCGTGCCATTGCACTCCAGCCTGGGCGACAAGAGTGAAACTCCGTCTCAAAGAAAAAAAAATGTTAAAAGAAGTAATTTATAGAGAAGAATATAATAGAGGTCAGAAACTCAGATCTACGTAAATAAAGGAAAAGCATTAAAGAAGTAATAGGTAAAAGAGAAACAAGAGCTTTTGGCTGGGTGTGGTGGCTGACACCTGTAATTCCAGCACTTCAGAATTTTTATCATGAAAGGTTTTTATTTCATGAGTGTTTATTGAGTGAGCACATTACCCCATAATCTGGGCATTGCCTCATAAAACCAAATTTCTAAAAATTTAGGAGGCTGAGGCAGAAGAATCCCTTGGGGCCAAGAGTTTGAGACCAGCCTAGGAAACCTAGCGAGACCCCATCTCTATAAAACATTAAAAATTTTTTAAAAATTAGCCAGGATTGATGGCACACACCTGTAGTCCCAGTTACTCAGGAGGCTGAAGAGGGAGGATTATGTAAGCCCAGGAATTGGAGGCTGCAGTGGGTTATGACCAGACCACTGCACTCTACCCTGGGTGACAGAATGACACCCTGTTCAAAAATAAGAAAGGAAAACAGAAAAACCTATAGATTAAAAGGACTTAAAACAGTAATCAACCAACTGCAATCTATGGACATTATATGAATTCTGATGTAAAAAACTAAAAATATATGAGGCAATTTGGGTAATTTGAATAATAATTGGGTATTTGAAAATGTTATATAATTATTATTAATATTTTGAATCAAAATAATTGCTAGGCGCAGTGGCTCACATCGGTAATCCCAGCACTTTGGGAGGCTGAGGTGGGTGGATCGCTTGAGGTCAGGAGTCCAAGACTAGCCTGGCCAACATGGTGAAATCCTGTCTCTACTAAAAATACAACTTGGGAGCCTCCCTACTCAGGAGGCTGAGGCAGGAGAATCGCTTGAACCCGGGAGGCGGAGGTTGCGGTGAGCCAAGATTGCACCACTCTACTCCAGCCTGGATCACAGAGCGAGACTCCATCTCAAAATAATAATAATAATAATGGTATTGTGGTTATGCTTTCAAAAAGAGCTTTTTGTTTTTTGAAGACATACCAAAATCATTATACATATGGAATTTGCTCTGAAATTATCTCTGGGAAGAGAGAGGTCAAAGTAGGTAGGACACAGATTCAACAGAGGCTTGACTTGGTAGGTGTGGAAGCTGAGTGATTGGGCACACAGGATTTCATTATATGAAGCTGAGGCATACCAAAAAAAAAAATGCCAGTTTTGTTGATCAAAAATGGTAGAATATTGACAATTGCATATGGCTCAACCTAGTATTTTGCTCTTTACATAGCTAAAGGCTTTGAAAAACTGAGCCTTCATGTATCCATCAGTTTCATGAGTGTTTACTGAGTAGACACAACCCAATAATCTGGGCATGACCTTATAAAACCAAATTCCTGAAAATTCCCAGTAATGCCACCATGGTCCCAATACTCAGTGAGAATCTGGCTGCAGACTTAGTCAGCCAACCACTCTCTCCATGTACATCCATTAGGGTAGGCTCTAGTTTCTCCTTTTGCAGAACTGAATGAAAGCCATGATCCCTTTATAGAGAGTTGTTCTGTTGAGGTTGAGTGATGAAAGCAGGCAGCCCTGGGTCTTGGTGACAGATCACTGGGTGGACGTGGGAAAATGTTTGGAGTGTTTCTTAGTTCTTTTCTTTTTTTTTTTTTTTTTTTTTTTGAGATGGAGTTTCGCTCTTGTTGCCCAGGCTGGAGTACAATGGTGCAATCTCGGCTCACCACAACCTCTGCCTCCTGGGTTCAAGCGATTCTTCTGCCTCAGCCTCCTGAGTAGCTGGGACTACAGGTGTGCACCACCATGCCAACTAATTTTTGTATTTTTAGTAGAGACAGTGTTTCACCATGTTGGCCAGGATTGTCTCAATCTCTTGACCTCATGATCCACCCGCCTCAGCCTCCCAAAGTGCTGGGATTACAGGCGTGAGCCATCACACCCGGCCATTTCTTAATTCTTTAAGTGATGAGGAACATTGGCTTCCAATAAGAATGGAACCTTCTGATATAAGAAGCCCTGGGCATTGGAAAGACTGAGTTTAGAAGACAGGGAGAGTTTGTTCCTGGAAGAGAGGGTGCAGAGAAAGTTAGGAATCATGCAACTTACCCCTAAGTTGCCTCATGAAGACATAAAATGCTTCTTACTGCCACGTCCCAGCCCCCATAGGAAACAGAACTATTCAGGGACTAGAGATGAAATTGGACAATTTGTGTAACAAGGAGCTTGGGGAATTGACTTCTTATTGGCCCAGAAATTGTAAATATTCCCTCGGTTCCTACAACTTATCCCCCACCCTAGCTTTTCTTCTTTGGACCAGGAGGACAACTTCCCAGTATTTCTATGTAGCATCTGCTGGCCCAAACATCTAACTTCATCATCTAGTACCTGCTGGGAGGACACTGAGCCAGTTTAACTCATGCCTGGGTGATGGTGTCAAGAAGAGGAAAGATAGCCCAGTGAGTGAGCTGAGAGAGAGAGAGAGAGAGAGAGACTGAACGAATGTTGGTAAAATTAATGAAGCCAAGCTCAATGATCTCAGATACACTGGAAGATTCTTTTTTATTATTTATTGATTTACTGATTTATTTATTTTAGAGACAGAACCTTGCTCTGTTATTCAGGCTGGAGTGCAGTGGCACAATCACAGCTCACTGCAGCTTCTACCTCCTGGGCTTAAGCAATCCTCCTGCCTCAGCCTCTAGAGTAGCTGGAACTACAGGCATGTGCCACCACACCCAGCTGATTTTTTGAACATTTTTCCCCCACCGAGATGGAGTTTTGCTCTTGTTGCCCAGGCTGGAGTGCAATGGCACGATCTTGGCTCACTGCAACCTCTGACTCCCAGGTTCGAGCAATTCTCCTACCTCAGCCTCCCGAGTAGCTGGGATTACAGGCATACACCACCATGCCTTGTGAATTTTGTATTTTTAGTAGAGACAAGGTTTCACCATGTTGGTCAGGCTGATCTCGAACACCTGACCTCAGGTGATCACCCGCCTCAGCCTCCGAAAGTACTGGAATTCACTGTGCTCGGCCGACACTGGAAGATTCTGTCTGGTCAATCAGCACCCACTTGTCAGCCCAGAATCCAATGGCTCTTCTTACCAAACTAGCTCAGCCTGGTTTAGTTGTGATGCTACCAGTCCTTTACCTAAAAACCATGATTATTTGTAGCACTGTTTTTCTTCGTAACTAGACTTTTTTTTTGAAATGGAGTCTTACTCTGTCACCCAGGCTGCAGTGCAGTGGCATGATCTTGGCTCACTGCAACCTCCATCTCTCAGGTTCAAGAGATTCTCCTGCCTCAGCCTCCCAAGTAGCTGGAATTACAGATGCCCGCCACCACACCCAGCTAATTTTTGTATTTTTAGTGGAGCTGGGGTTTCACCATAATGGCCACGCTGGTCTCCAACTCTTGACCTCAGGTGATCCACCCGCCTCAGCCTCCCAAAGTTCTGGTATTACAAGCATGAGCCACTGCGCCCAGCCTGGACTTTCTTTTCCAAGCCCACTTGAGTGCCTGAAGGAACAGATGGCTTCCTCCTCAGTACTTCTGTAGGCAGAAGTTTGTGTTATTCCCCATGTTGGGTCTTGGAAGCCCTTGGAGATTCCCAAGTATTCCAGGCTGAGAGATCTTAGACACAGAGTGCAGAGGTCCAGATAGGATAGGACTGGTGCTTCCTTGGAGAGAGGCTCATCAAGAAGCTTAAGGGATGAATCTTCGGGTTCCTGATACTTAAATTTTTCCCAAGAGCTGTGGAAGAATGAGGAGTGACAGAGTAATTCAGTGAAAGCTTAGGTGTCAGGGCAGGAGGATGTCTGAGATCAGTTCCTTGATTCCATTAGTAGTTTAATCACAGAGCATTCACTGGCTTCCTTGAGATGGAAAAATACTCTGACTCGGCCAGGCACGGTGGCTCACACCTGTAATCCCAGCACTTTGGAAGGCCGAGGCGGGCGGATCACCTGTGGTCAGGAGTTCAAGACCAGCCTGGCCAGCATGGTGAAACCCCATCTCTAGTAAACATACAAAAAAATTAGCCAGGTGTGGTGGTGGGTGCCTGTAATCCCAGCTACTCGGGAGGCTGAGGCCAGAGAACCATTTATATCCGGGAGGCAGAGGTTGCAGTGAGCTGAGATTGCACCATTGCACTCCTGCCTGAGCAACAAGAGCGAAACTCTGTCTCAAAAAAAAAAAAAATACTCTGACTCCTTTTAAAATGTTTTAATTGTATATATTTATGAGGTACATAGTAATGTTTCCATATATGTAATGTATAGTGATCAGATCTGGGTAATTAGCACATCTATTATCACAAACATTTATCATTTCTCTGTGTTGGGAACACTCAATATCCTCCTTCTAGCTGTTTAGCTATATAGCATATTATTGTTAACTGTATTCATCCTACAGGGATATAGAACACTAGAACTTATTCTTCCAATTTGCCTGTAGTTCTGTATGCTGTAACAAATCTCTTCCTATCTGCCCCCTCCCTCTACCCTTCCCAGACTCTAGTATCCTCTGTTCTTTTTACTTCTATGAAATCATTTTTTTTCTTTTAGCTTTCACATGTGAGTGAGAACATGCAGTGTTTAACTTTCTGTTCCTGGCTTATTTCATTTATAATATGCTCCAATTCTTTCCATGTTGCTGTAAATGACAAGATCTCCTTCATTTTTATGGCTGAATAGTTTTCCATTGTGTATTTCTACCACATTTTTTTTTTTTTTTTTTTGAGACAGAGTTTCGCTCTTGTCACCCCGGCTGGAGTGCAATGGCACAATCTCAGCTCACTGCAACCTCCGCCTCCTGGGTTCAAGCGATTCTCCTGCCTCAGCCTCCCAAGTAGCCAGGATTACAGGGGCCCACCACTACGCCCGGATAATTTTTTGTATTTTTAGTAGAGACGGGGTTTCACCATGTCGGCCAGGCTGGTCTCGAACTCCTGACCTCAGGCAATCCGCCTGTCTCAGCCTCCCAAAGTGCTGGGATTACAGGTGTGAGCCACTGTGCCCTGCCTAAAGCCAACACATTTTCCAAAAATCCCTGGCTGCCTCAACAGTTTTCGGAGTGCTCTTACAATCCTCAGGGGTGCTGTGTGTGGGGTGTGATTCTCTATTAATCCAAGCTCCTCATAATCTGATAAATGCTGCCTGGAGTTCATCTCCCTCACTAAACTGTGAATTCATGAATCCATGCGTGCTTCATGAATTACAGAGATTAAGAGTACATGCTCTAGATTTAGAATGCTTGGGCTAATCCAGCCACCTGCTCTCAGTTAAACCCCATTTGATTGTATTAATCTTCTGTGCTTCCATTTCTTCCTGCATGAAATAGCACTAACATTATTCTGTTGTCGTGAGTAGCAAATTAGCAGAGACCTTCGATCAGTGCCTGGCAATACAGGATAACCATCACTGATTCATGCGTATATGGAACAATTATGTTTATGTCTTCTGTATCCCAGACAAGATGCTGGTCACAAAAATGAACAAAGACAAACAATTCCTGATTTCAAATGTCTTGAGGACAGGGTCTGTGTATTTTCATATATTTGTCCCCACAACTCAGGCCAGATCCTGTCACTATATATTGCAATTACCAATAATTTTTTACAAAATGAATGAACGAATGCGTGAGTGAATAAAAGTGACATCTGCAAGGTGTTCATTAGAAATCACAAAAATAAAAAATAAAAATATAAAAGTAACATGATCAGAACTGTAATGCAGGAAGATTAATTTAGTGACTTCAGGATTGTTTCTTTTTTTTGAGATGGAGTTTCGCTCTTGCTGCCCAGGCAGGAGTGCAGTGGCGCAATCGGGGCTCACTGCAACCTCTGCCTCAGCCTCCTGAGTAGCTGGGTTTACAGGCATGCGCCACCATGCCCGGCTAATTTTGTATTTTTAGTAGAGACGGGTTTTCTCCATGTTGGTCAGGCTAGACTTGAACTCCCGACCTCAGGTGATCCGCCTGCCTCGGCCTCCCAAAGTGCTAGGATGACAGGCATGAGCCACCGCGCCCGGCCGACTTCAGGATTGTTTCAAAGGAAGATAATTGGATGCATGAGGCTAGCTTAAGATTAGTGAACTTGGCAACTCAGAAGTAATAAGAGCCTTTCATTTAGGGTGTCTGGAAAGAGGAGATGACTGGAAATGACTATAAAAATAAAAAGTTCAGGACGGGCGCGGTGGCTCATGCCTGTAATCCCAGCACTTTGAGAGGCCAAGGCGGGCAGATCACGAGGTCAGGAGATCAAGACCATCCTGGCTAACATGGTGAAACCCCGTCTCTACTAAAAAGTACAAAAAATTAGCCAGGCGTGGTGGTGGGCGCCTGTAGTCCCAGCTACTCGGGAGTCTGAGGCAGGAGAATGGCGTGAACCTGGGAGGCGGAGCTTGCAGTGAGCCGAGATCGTGCCACCGCACTCCAGCCCGAGTGACAGAGCGAGACTCTGTCTCAAAAAAAACAAATAGATAAAATAAAAAATGGAAAGTTCAGGCTGGGAGCAATGGTTTACACCCATAATCCCGGCACTTTGGGAGGCCAAGTGTGGGCGGATCACCTGATGTCAGGCGTTCGAGACCAGCCTGGCCAACAAGGTTAAACCCCATTTCTTTTTTTTTTTTTAAATAGTATTTGCACCACAGGTGCTATTGTTTATTTTAATTCCAATTAATCAAGAATTGCCACACATGCTAAGAATAAAGCTGTTGGATGTGAACTAAGGAGCACGTTGCTATTTTATTTTAGTGTCCAGATACTCAGCTGGGTTAAACCCCATTTCTACTAAAAATACAAAAGTGAGCTGGGCATGGTGGCGTGCTCCTGTAATCCCAGCTACTTGGGAGGGTGAGGCAGGAGAATTGCTTGAGCCTGGGAAGCAGAGATTACAGTGAGCCAAGATCGTGCCACTGCACTCCAGCCTAGGCAACAGAGCAAGACCCCGTCTCAAAAGGAAAAAAAAAAACAAAGGAAGGAAGTTCGACTTGTAGAGGATGTAACACTCATTGATGGATTGCCTTTGACGGTGGAGGTAGAAAGGAGGAAGACTGAAAATTTCAAACACAGGTATCTGGAAGGATGGTGATTCCATTCATGGACATAGTGGCTCCGGGAGAAAATAGACTTTATTTTTTTATATGTTGAGTTTGCCATGTCAGGAAGAAAGAAAAGAGGGAAAGAATGCTTTGTATAACCCTATTATTATTGTTGTTGTTATTGAGATGTAGTCTTGCTCTGTCACCAGGCTGGAGTACCGTGGTGTGATCTTGGCTCACTGCAACCTCTGCTCCAAGGGTCAAGCAATCTTCCCACCTCAGCCTCCCGAGTACTTGGAACTATAGGTGTCCACCATCATGCCTGGCTTTTTTTTTTTTTTTTTTTTTTTTTTTGGTAGAGAAGGGGTTTTGCCATGTTGCTCAGGCTGCTCTTGAACACCTGCATTCAAGCTCTCTGCCCACCTCGCCCTCCCAAAGTGCTGTGATTACAGATGGGACCCATCGTGCCTGGCCCTAACATTTTTTAATTAATCAAAAAAGAAGAAGAGTTGCTATAAATACTTCATCCATGGTTTAAAGTGCAACCTATATATAAGCTGTTGTCAGGCCAAGTGCGGTAGCTCACACCTGCAATTGTAGCACTTTGGAAGGCCTAGATGGGAGGATCACTCAAGCTCAGGAATTCAAGACCAGCCTGGACAACATAGCAAGATCCTGTCTCCACCACACACAAGAAAAGATAAATAAGCCAGGCTTACTTATGGTGTGTGCCTGTAGACCCCGCTACTAGAGAGGCTGTGGCAGGAGGCTGGCTTGAGCCCAGGAGTTCAAGGTTGCAATGAACTATGATTGCACCACTGCACTCCCTCCTGGGTGACACAGCAAGACCCTGTCTCTAAAAAATAATATCTTTAGCCTGGCGTGGTGGCTCACGCCTGTAATCCCAGCACTTTGGGAGGCCGAGGTGGGCGGATCACGAGGTCAGGAGTTCGAGACCAGCCTGGCCAATATGGTGAAACCCCATTTCTACTAAAAGTACAAAAAATTAGCCGGACGTGGTGGTGGGCACCTGTAGTCCCAGCTACTCATGAGGCTGAGGCAGGAGAATCACTTGAACCCAGGAGGCAGAGGTTGCAGTGAGCAGAGATTGCACGACTGTACTCCAACCTGGGTGACAAAGCAAGACTCTGTCTCAAAAATATATATATATGTATATATACATAATATGTAATAATATATATAATATTTCTATTTTAGAGACAGGGTCTCTAAAGTTACAACACCGTACATGTGTGGAATATATTTACATATATTCTCTCTCTCTCTCTCTCTATATATATATATATACACACACACATATATATTCTATATATACACACACACACACACACACACACACACACATATATATATATACACATCTGGTCTCATAATTAGCCCAAATGAGAACTGGGATGTGATCGCATCTAACTTTCCAAAACCATCTCCCTGTCATTCCTATAACCTCCCCTTTCCATACTTCCAGAGGAATCACACCCATGGAACCAAGAAACCAAACCAGTGCATCTCAATTCATCCTCCTGGGACTCTCAGAAAAGCCAGAGCAGGAGACGCTTCTCTTTTCCCTGTTCTTCTGCATGTACCTGGTCATGGTCGTGGGGAACCTGCTCATCATCCTGGCCATCAGCATAGACTCCCACCTCCACACCCCCATGTACTTCTTCCTGGCCAACCTGTCCCTGGTTGATTTCTGTCTGGCCACCAACACCATCCCTAAGATGCTGGTGAGCCTTCAAACCGGGAGCAAGGCCATCTCTTATCCCTGCTGCCTGATCCAGATGTACTTCTTCCATTTCTTTGGCATCGTGGACAGCGTCATAATCGCCATGATGGCTTATGACCGGTTCGTGGCCATCTGCCACCCATTGCACTACGCCAAGATCATGAGCCTACGCCTCTGTCGCCTGCTGGTCGGCGCCCTCTGGGCGTTTTCCTGCTTCATCTCACTCACTCACATCCTCCTGATGGCCCGTCTCGTTTTCTGCGGCAGCCATGAGGTGCCTCACTACTTCTGCGACCTCACTCCCATCCTCCGACTTTCGTGCACGGACACCTCTGTGAATAGGATCTTCATCCTCATTGTGGCAGGGATGGTGATAGCCACGCCCTTTGTCTGCATCCTGGCCTCCTATGCTCGCATCCTTGTGGCCATCATGAAGGTCCCCTCTGCAGGCGGCAGGAAGAAAGCCTTCTCCACCTGCAGCTCCCACCTGTCTGTGGTTGCTCTCTTCTATGGGACCACCATTGGCGTCTATCTGTGTCCCTCCTCGGTCCTCACCACTGTGAAGGAGAAAGCTTCTGCGGTGATGTACACAGCAGTCACCCCCATGCTGAATCCCTTCATCTACAGCTTGAGGAACAGAGACCTGAAAGGGGCTCTCAGGAAGCTGGTCAACAGAAAGATCACCTCATCTTCCTGACCACCAGGACTCAGGAACTTCTGGGGGGTAGAATATATACATCTGGGAGTCTTGGGCTAACATCTGGAATTGCATGAGTTGAAGAGTAGGCACTTTGAATTTTATTATTATTATTATTATTTAGAGATGGGGTCTCACTATGTTGCCCGTGCTGGAGTGCAGTGGCGTGATCATAGATCACTGCAGCTTCAAACTTCTCTCTCTGTGTGCATTGTTTTACTAGAGACAGGGTCTCACTAATTTGGCCAGGCTGGTCTGGAACTCCTGGGCTCAAGCAGTACTTCCCCCTCAGCCTCCTAACATCCTAGGATTACAGGTGTGAGCTACCACGCCGAGCCTCACTTTGAATTTTTTGTTTGTTTTTGTTTTTTGAGACAGAGTCTCGTTCTGTTGCCCAGGCTGGAGTGCAGTGGCATGATCACGGCTCATTGCAGCCTTGACCTCCCTGGCTGAAGCAATCCTCCCACCTCAGCCTTCCGAGTAGCTAGGACCATAGGCACATACCACCATGCTCAGCTAATTTTTGTATCTTTTGTACAGACAGGGTTTTGCCATACTACCCAGCCGCAGAAGTTTCACGGGAAGTCTCAGGATGGTCTGGTAACTGTTTTTCTTTTTGTTTTCTTTTTTGTTTTTGAGACAGAGTCTCATTCTGTCACCCAGGCTGGAGTGCAATGGCATGATCTCTGCTCACTGCAACCTCCGCCTCTGGGTTCAAGTGATCCTCCTGCCTCACCCTCCAGACTAGCTGGAACTACAGGCACCCATCACCATACCCGGCTAATTTTTGTATTTTTGGTGGAGACAGGGTTTTACCATGTGGGCCAGGCTGTTCTCGACCTCCTGACCTCAAATGATCCACCCACCTTGGCCTCCCAAAGTGCTGGGATTACAGGCGTGAGCCACCAAGCCTGGCTGGAAAGGCCATTTGAGGACACAGCGAAAGGGGGTCTATCTGCCACGGAAGAAAGACTTCACCAAAAACCAATCCCAACGGCACGTCGATCTTGGGCTTCTGACCCTCAGAACCATGAGACAATCCACTTCACTTATTTAGCCACGCAGTCTGCGGTGTTTTGTTATAACCAGCCCTGGCCGAATAACACAGTGACTGTGAGGGGAGGAGTCTTAGGAAGATGTCAACACGTGAAGGAGTGAAATGCCGCCATGTGGTTCTGTGGCTGGACCGACTCTGTCTCCAAACTCCGTTAGGAAAGATAATCATTCTGGGGCTCTGTTGCCCAGGCTGGAGTGCAGCGGCATGATTATAGCTCACTGCAGTCTTGACCTCCTGGGCTCAAGCAGTCCTCCCACCTCAGCCTCCCAAGTAGTTGGGACCAGAGGCATGCAGCACCATGCCCGGCTAATTTATTTTTATTTGTATATATTTTTTTGGTAGAGATGGGGTCTCACTATGTTGTCCAGGCTGCTCTCAAACTCCTGAGCTCAAGCCATCCTCCCATCTCAGCCTCTCAAAATGCTGGGATTACAGGTGTGAGCCACCACACCTGGCCAAAATTTTTTTTTTTTTTTTTTGAGACAGAGTCTCACTCTGTTGCCCAGGCTGGAGTGTAGTGGCACTATCTCAGCTCACTGCAACCTCCACCTCCTGGGTTCATGCAATTCTCCGCCTCAGCCTCCCCAGTAGCTGGGACTACAGGAGCGCACCACCACACCCAGCTAGTTTTTTTGTATTTTTAGTAGAGACGGGATTTCACCATGTTGGCCAGGCTGGTCTTGAACTCCTGACCTCAGGTGATCCACCTGCCTTGGCCTCCCAAAATGTTGGGATTACAGACATCAGCCACCACGCCTGGCCCAATCATTGTTTTTACCCCTTGTCTTTATATGAGTCACTAATAAAGCAGAAGTGTCCCGGGTGCTGTGGCTTACACCTGTAATCCCAGCACTTTGGGAGGCCAAGGCAGGCAGATCACCTGAGGTCAGGAGTTCAAGACCAGCCTGGCCAACATGGCAAAACCCCATCTCTACTAAAAATATAAAAATTAGTCAGGTGTGGTGGGGCGTGCCTGTAATCCCAGCTACTCGGGAGGCTGAGGCAGGAGAATCACTTGAACCTGGGAGGCGGAGGTTGCAGTGGGCCGAGATGGCACCACTGCAACCTGCACTTCAGCCTAAGGGATGGAGCGAGACTGTCTCAAAATAAATAAATAAATAAATAAATAAGTTGAAGTGTCTCAAGTTGATATAATGTGGATGTTTCTCTCCTCCAGATCTTATGTTGAAATGTGATCCCCAGTGTCGGAGGTGAGGCCTAGGCAGAGGTGTTTGATTATGGGGGCAGATTCATCATGAAGAATTTAGTGCCCTCCCCATAGTAATGAGGAAGTTCTTGCTCTACTACTTCACAAAGACCCTGGCACTCCTCCCCTCTCTCTCTTCCTCTCTCACCATTTGACTTGCCAGCTCCCCTTGCCCTTCCACCGTGATTGGAAGCTTCCTGAGGTCTGCACCAGAAGTAGATGATGGCACCACCCTTCTTGTACAGTCTGCAGAACTGTGAGACAAATAAACCTCTTTTCTTTATAAATTACCCAGACTCTAGGCTGGGCTCAGTGGCTCACGCCTATAATCCCAGCACTTTGGGAGGCTGAGGCAGGCAGATCACCTGAGGTCAGGAGCTCAAAAGCAGTCTGGCCAACATGGTGAAACCCTGTCTCTACCAAAAATACAAAAATTAGCTGGGCGTGGTGGCGCACTCCTGTAATCCCAGCTTCTGGAGAGGCTGAGGCAGGAGAATCACTTGAACCCAGGGGGCAGAGGTTGCAGTGAGCTGAGACTGCACCACTGCACTCCTGCCTGGGCGACAAGAGCGACACTCTGTCTCAAAATAAATAAATAAATAAATAACCCAGACTCAGGTATTCCTTGTAGCAACACAAACACTGATATAGAAGTCTTCCTAAATACGTAAATAAATATGATAATGCTAACTTAAAAAAATTTTTTTTTGAGAAGGAGTTTCACTGTGTCACCCAGGCTGGAGTGCAATGGCGCCATCTTGGCTCATTGCAACCTCCACCTCCCCGGTTCAAGTGATTCTCCTGCCTCAGCCTCCCGAGTAGCTGGGATTACAGGTGTGTGCCACCACGCCCAGCTACTTTTTTGTATTTTTAGTACAGACAGCATTTCACCATGTTGCCCAGGCTGGTCTCGCACTCCTGACCTCAGGTGATCCACCCGCCTCGGCCTCCCAAAGTGCTGGGATTGCAGGTGTGAGCCACTGCGCCTGGCCGATAATGCTAACTTTATAGGGGAGCAAATAGAGCTTGGAACAGTGAAATAAAGTGTCAACAATTATACGGTTATTTACAAAGCACAGGTGGGATTCAAAGCCAGTTGGTCTGATTCCAAATTCTCACCCTTAACCATGATGATCTTCTCTTGTATTTGAAGACCTTAATCAGGTTTTCCGGATCATTCATTATGAATTTCTCTTTTGTATATTTCACAGCTTAAAGTCCGAAGTAGCTGGCATGTTAGTGGAATGATGACACTCTAGAAATGGGTTTCTGAGAGGTGAGATCCACAGGGAGAAAAGGCCGGTGCAGTGGCTCATGCCTGTAATCCTGGCACTTTGGAAGCTGAGGCGAGTGGACTGCACGAGCTCAGGAGTTTGAGACTACCCTGTGCAACATAGTGAAACCCCCTCTCTACAAAAAATACAAAAATTAGCCAGATGTGGTGGTGTGAACCTGTAGTCTCAGCTACTCCAGAGGCTGAGGTGAGAGGATGCGTCACCTGAGCCTGGGGTGGTTGAGGCTGCAGTGAGCCATGATCACACCACTGCACTCTAGCCTGGGCAACAGAGTGAGATCCTGCTAAAAAAAAACAAAACAAAAAAACAACAACAAAAAAAAAACACACACACACATAAATTGCCTAGTAGGAAACTCTCATCCTTGTTTATTTTATTTATTTATTTATTTATTTATTTTGAGACAAAGTCTTGCTCTGTCGCCAGGCTGGAGTGCAGTGGCAAGATCTCAGCTCACTGCAACCTCCGCTTCCCAGGTTCAAGCGATTCTCCTGCCTCAGCCTCCGGAGTAGCTGGGACTACAGGTATGTGCCACCATGCCCGGCTAATTTTTGTATTTTTAATAGAGACAGGGTTTCACCATGTTGGCCAGGCTGGTCTTGAGCTCCTGACCTCAGGTGATCCGCCTGCCTCAGCCTCCCAAAGTGCTGGGATTTCAGGCATGAGCCACAGCGCCCGGCCTCATCTTCCTTCTGTACTGGATTCAACACCTCTTTCTCTACATACCTTTAAAGGTGTCCTCACTTTAGCAAACAATATCAGAAAGATTAATACTACATTTCAGCTTAAAAATAAAATTAATTCATAAGGATGTGTGTATTTTTAAAAATTTTACATTCCTGCATAAGAATATGTGGTATTACTTTCTCTTGCATTCAAATTGTCTCTTTCATTCTGAGAATGCCACCAGATGATGAAAAGCATGACAACTTTTTTTTTTTTAGATGGAGTCTTGCTGTGTTGCCCAGGCTGGAGTGCAGTGGTATGATCTTAGCTCATTGCAAACCTCCGTCTCCCGGGTTCAAACGATTCTTCTGCCTCAGCCTCCCAGCCTGGGTGAGAGTAAGACCCTTCTCAAAAAAAAATAAAAAAGGAAACAACAATCAGGGCACAAAATTCGTTCATGAAGTTTCAACTTTTACAATGTCAAAAAGAATAAAATTTGATTAATAAATTGTCTAGGGCTATAAACAACATGCATATTAAAAGGACAGATTTGTAGGGCAAAAATGTACAAGACTGTCAATCAAATACTAATTAATAAAAAAATCACTAATCAAATACAGCATCAATAAAATTCCTGTCTCCATGGTTACATTACTTCTTCCTTTTCTTTGTGTTTCCTCCACTTCTGTCTTTTTTTTTCTTTTTTTTTTTTTTTTGTTTGAGACTGAATCTCACTCTGTTGCCCAGGCTGGAGTGCAATGGTGCAATCATAGCTCACTGCAGTCTCCAACTCCTGGGCTCAAGCGATCCTCCCATTTCAGCCTCTCAAGTAATTGGGACTACAGGTACACACCACTGTGCCAAGCTAATTTTTAAAATTTTTTGTAACAGGGTCTGATTTTGTTGCCCAGCTGGGTTCAAACTCCTGGCCTCAAGCAATTCTCTTGCCTCAGCCTCCCAACGTGTTGGAATTACAAGGATGAACCACTGCGCCTGGCCTCCACCTCTGCCTATCTTATAAGAAAACATGTGGTTACATTTAGAGCCTGCCCAGGTAATCCAGGGTAAGCTGCTTCTCTGCAAAGACCCTTTTCCCAAATAAGTCACATTCACCCTTTTGTCATATGATTTAAGGCCAGGTGCGGTGGCTCACGTCTGTAATCCCAGCATTTTGGGAGGCTGAGGCAATTGTATCACTTGAGTCCAGAAGTTCAAGACCAGCCTGGCCAACATGGCAAAAACCCATCTCTACTAAAAATATAAAAATTAGCAGGCTGTGGTGGCAGGCACCTGTAATCCCAGCTACTCAGGAGGCAGAGGAAGGAGGATCTCTTGAACCCGGGAAGCGGAGGTTGCAGTGAGCCGAGATCACGCCACTGCACTCCAGCCTGGGCGACAGGGCAAGACTCCAGCTCAGATAGATAGATAAATAAATAAATAAATAAATAAATAAATAAATAAATAAAAGCTCAGATTCACAAGCGAGAGGATTAAAATGTGGATATAGTCTTCTGAGGGCCATGAGCCAACTCATGACAGAAATGTCTTCTGGTTGACTCCATGAAAGTTATCTATTATCAATGGACCCAGGGAAGGGTTCTCCATTTTCTGTCTCTGGGAATCAGGTCTAGATATGTCTCTTGCATTGACTGCAACTACCTGTTGCAGTCAGAGGAAAACCAGTGCTGGGGGGAGGGAACCTCGTGAAGGACTGAATGAAGCCCTCTCCTATTCGTGCACATTCCTTAATTCTGAGGTCCTTGTAATGAAAGAGAACTGTCTTTACTGTTTGAGCATATTAGAGTTAGGGGTGCTATTTATTTATTTATTTATTTATTTATTTTTTGAGTCTTGCTCTGTCTCCCAGGCTGGAGTGCAGTGGTGCAATCTCGGCTCACTGCAACCTCCGCCTCGCGGGCTCAAGCAATTCTCCTGCCTCAGCCTCCCGAGTAGCTGGGATTACAGGCTCCAGCTACCACACATGGCTAACTTTTGTATTTTTAGTAGAGATGGGGTTTCACCACGTGGGCCAGGCCAGTTTTGAACTCCTGACCTCAAGTGATCCACCCACCTTGGCCTCCCAAAGTGCTGGGATTACAGGTGTGAGCCACTGTGCCCAGCCCAGGGCTCCTATTCTTTAAACTGGAACCTAAGGTATCCTCACTTATGAAGTTCAAATATCTCACAATAATCTCAAATCACTAAGATAATCTAATCATGCTAATTTTTTGATGATAAAACTGAGTATAATAGATGCTAATGTTGTCTAGGGAGAATATAGTTTACCAGTGACTGGTCCCAGTAGTTACTAAATTGGGTATGAAAACTTAGCTCCCTTGACCCACTGTAGGTCTACACTGGGGTGCAATTGACAAGACCCTAAATACGCAATAAGGTGGAAGCTTGTCTCCAGATATAACAACAACCTCGCTTAAATCCTTTTCCTGGCAGCGCACAGTGACTTCACCACTAATCTCAGATCTTTGGGAGGCCATGGCAGGAGGATCACTTGAACCTAGGTTTTGAGACCAACCTGGGCAACATAGCCAGAGTCCATCTCTACACCACACCCCACACTGGACGTGGTGGTGCATGCCTGGAGTCCTAGCTTCCTAGGAGGCTGAGGTAGGAGGGTCCCTGGAGTTTGAGCCCTGGAGTCCTGGAGTTTGGGGCTGCAGGGAGCTATGATCATGTCATTGCATTCCAGCCTAGGTGACAAAGCAAGACCCTGTCTATGGAAAAAAAGAAACAAAAAACAAAACTGCCCAGCTACTTGGGAGCCTGAGGTAGGAGAATCGCTTGAACCCAGAAGGCGGAGGTTGCAGTTAGCCGAGATTGCGCCATTGCACTCCAGCCTGGTGGACAGAGCAAGACTCCGTCTCAGCAAAACAAAAAACAAAAAACCTAAACTAAACAAAAAACCAAAAATACATTTTCCTGACCTATCCTCCTGAACTATCTACCTTCCACAACTTTTCTTCTTCTGAGACTAATCCATTAAAAAAAAATCACTTAGCCAGGAGCGGTGGCTCACGCCTCTAATCCCAGTAATCCCAGAACTTTGGGAGGCCGAGGCGAATGGATCACAAGGTCAGGAGATCGAGACCACCCTGGCCAGCATGATGAAACCTCACCTCTACTAAAAGTACAAAAATTAGCCGGGTGTGGTGTCGTGCACCTGTAGTCCCAGCTACTCAGTAGGCTGAGGCGGGAGAATCGCTTGAACCTGGGAGGCAGAGATTACAGTGAGCCGAGATCACACCACTGCACTCCAGCCTGGCCGACAGAGCGAGACTCTGTCTCTAAATAAATAAATAAATAACTTGGGCTCAGCCTCTGAGTCTATGGCCTGAGCAAAGAAATTGAGTCTAGAGAATTAAAATCACATGTCCATCATCACAGATCCAGACATAAAAAGCAAAGTCAGATTTCAAGCCGGAGTGGAAATGTAGTTGGCTTTTATGTCATCTAGACATTTTAGAAGAACTTGGTGATGAAAGAGTCAGGCAGGCTGGGCGCATTGTCTCACGCCTGTAATCCCAGCACTTTGGGAGGCCGAGGCGGGTGGATCACCTGACGTCAGGAGTTTGAGACCAGCCTGGCCAACATGGTGAAACTCTATCTCTACTAAAAATACAAAAATTAGCCAGGCATGGTGGCAGGCGCCTGTAATCCCCACTACTCAGGAGGCTGAGGCAGGAGGATGGCTTGAACCCGGAGGCGGAAGTTGCAGTGAGCCGAGGTCGTGCCATTGCACTCCAGCCTGGGAGACAGAGAAAGACTCCATCTCAGAGAAAAAAACAAAACAAAACAAAGAGTCAGGCATTCTAGCTCACCAGGAATCCTGTCACTTTGACTTACTCTAGAAACCTGAATCCAAAGCAAATGGCACACCACAGAAGAGAAGGTATCCTCCCTATGAACTTCCTCAAGGTTCCTTTCATGTCCTTATTCCTCAGACTATAGATAAAGGGGTTCACCATTTGAGGGAACACAGAATACATCACTGAAGCCACTGCAGTCTTCCTAGGTGAGTCAGTAACCACAGAACTAATGTACACCCCCAAACCTGCCCCATAGAACAAGAGAACAATGGAGAGGTGAGACCCACAGGTGGAAACTGCTTTGTGCTTTCCACTTGCTGATGGCATTCTCAAAACACAGGAGGTGATCTGAGTGTAAGACAAAATGATTCCAGACAGAGGAACACCACCAAATATGCAAGCTGCAAAATATATCAGGATGTTATTGATGAGGGTGTCTGAACAGGTGAGTTGGATGACCTGAGCCAGTTCACAGAAGAAGAGCGGGATTTCCAGGTCTGTGCAGAAGGACAGCCTCAACACCATCAGGCTGAGAAGAAGGGCATTCACAACACTAGTCAACAGAGAGAGAAGAATCAGCAGGCCACAGAGGCGGGGGTTCATGATGACTGTGTATCTAAGGGGGTGACAAATGGCCACATAGCGGTCATAGGCCATTGCTGCAAGGAGACAATTTTCCAAGCCAGCAAAAAACAAGACAAAGCAGATCTGGGTGAGGCAGCCTGAGTACGTGATGCTCCGATTCTGAGCTTGGATGTTCACCAGCATCTTTGGGATCGTGGTTGTGCTTAAACAAATGTCCAAAAAGGAGAGATTGGAGAGGAAGAAGTACATGGGGGTGTGGAGGTGAGAGTCAGAGATGACAGCCAAGAGGATGAGCAGGTTCCCCAGGATGGTGACCAAGTACATGGACAGGAACAGGCTGAAAAGGACGGGCTGCAGTTCCGGATCCTCTATCAGTCCCAGGAGAAGGAATTTTGAAATAGCTGTTTGGTTTCTCGCTTCCATGCTGTTGATGATGAATCTGATGGAAAAGATAATAAAATCTGTAAGCAGCAGCTGCATCGGCATCACTCGAGAACATGACAGAAACGCAAAATCTTGCTCCCCTCCCCAGACTTCTTGCTGATAAACTCTGGGGATGAGAACCGACAGTTTATTCTTTCACAAGCCTTGTAGATGTTTTTGATAGATGCTGAATTTTGAGAAACAGTTCAAAACATTTACTTAGGAATGGAGTTTTCTTAATCAAAAAATGTGGAAATCTTTTTTTTTTTTTTTTTTTTTTTGAGACAGGGTCTCACTCTGTCCACCAGGCTGGAATGCAGTGGTGTAATCTTAGCTTATTGCAAGCTCCACCTCCATGTTCAAGTGATTCTCTGGCCTCAGCCTCCCAAGTAGCTGTGGTTACAGGTGCACACCACCATTCCTGGCTAATTTTGTGTGTGTGTGTGTGTGTTTTTAGTAGAGACGGCGGGGGTGGGGGTCTCACCATGTTGGTCAGGCTGATCTCGAACTCCTGACCTCAAGTGATCCACCTGCCTCAGCCTCCCAAAGTGCTGGGATTACAGGCTTGAGCCACCATGCCTGGCCCAGGAGTGGAGTTTTCTTAATCAAAAAATGTGGAAATGTTTTTTTTTTTTTTTTTTCGGGAGATAGGGTCTCACTCTGTCGCCCAGGCTGGAGTGCAGTGGTGTGATCTTAGCTCACTGCAAGCTCCACCTCCCAGGTTCAAGTGAGTCTCCTTCCTCAGCCTCTCAAGTAGCTAGGGTTACAGGTGCACAGCACCATATTTGGCTAATTAAAAAAAAATTTTTTTTTTCGTATGTTTAGTAGAGACAGGGTCTCACCATGTAGGTCAGGCTGGTCTCGAACTCCTGACTTCAAGTGATCCGCCTGCCTCAGGCTCCCGAAGTCCTGGGATTACAGGTGTGAGCCATCACGCTCGGCCAAAGAATGTGGAAATCTTTTATCTTTATTCTTTCTGCTGTTCCCTTACCCATGGCAGACACTTCTAGTCTAGTCTAGTGCTCTTTCCTGCTAAGACCACATGTACCTTTGGGATTCTTATCAGCATAGAGCTCCAAACAGCGCTAGAGATAGACAGAAAGTCAGAGTTAGCATGCTAAATATTACCTATTTGTCATCTTTCACATGTGATTTTCTAAGACAATCATCCAATTTTCAATGTTACCCAAAACAAATGAATATAGAAACATACTGCAACATTGCTAACATTTTGTCAGTTTGTGTCATTCTTAAACTTTTAAAAATGATAAAACTTGACATTTAAAAAATTTTAAAATTCTTGGTGGGGCGTGGTGGCTCATGCTTGTAATCCCAGCACTTTGGGAGGCCGAGGCGGGCAGATCACGGGGTCAGGCAATCGAGACCATCCTGGCTAACACGGTGAAACCCCATGTCTACTAAAAATACAAAAAATTATCGGGGCGTGGTGGTGGGCGCCTGTGGTCCCAGCTACTCGGGAGGCTGAGGCAGGAGAATGGCGTGAACCCAGGAGGCAGAGCTTGCAGTGAGCCGAGATCGCGCCACTGCACTCCAGCCTGGGCAACAGAGCGAGACTCCATCTCAAAAAACAAACAAACAAATTTTTAAATTCTCTAGTGTGCACTGTGAACCCAAGTGAATATTCAAATCCTTCCCCTTGCTTACTTTCTTCCTACATTTCTTTTCTCTCTCCTCCTGTTCCCTCCATTTTCTTTTCTTTTTTTCTTTTTCTTTTTCTTTTTTTCGAGATGGAGTCTTGCTCTGTCACCCAGGTTAGAATACAGTGGCGCGATCTCGGCTCCCTGCAACCTCCGCCTCCCGGGTTCAAGCTATTTTCCTGCCTCGTCCTCCAAAGTAGCTGGGATTACAGGCGCCAGCCACCGCACCCGGCTAATTTTTGTATTTTTAGTAGAGACGGGTTTCACTATCTTAGCCAGACTGGTCTGGAACTCCTGACCTTGTGATCCACCTGCCTCGGCCTCCCAAAGTGCTGGGATTACAGGTGTGAGCCACTGCGCCTGGCCTCTCCATTTTCTTTATTGAAACAAATTATTATAAGACACTAACTCAATTTCATTTCTTCTTCTACGTGCTGAGAATAAAACAAGGTATAAAACATGATTATCCACATCAAAAAACTTATCCACCACTATCAAATAGACTTTAATCCCTCTGATGCAAGATTGGTTCAACATACAGAAATCAATAAATGTGATTCATCACATAAAAAGAACTAAACCCAAAAACCACATTATTATCTCAATAGATGCAAAAAAGGCTTTTAATAAAATTCAACATTGCTTTATGTTAAAAACCCTCAACAGGCTGTGCGTGGTGGTTCACGCCTGTAATCCCAGCACTTTGGGAGGCTAAGGCAGGCGGATCATGAGGTCAGGAGTTCGAGACCAGCCTAGCCAACATGGTGAAACCCCATGTCTATTAAAATTACAAATATTAGCCAGGCATGGTGGCATGCACCTGCAATCCCAGCTACTTGGGAGGCTGAGGCAGGAGAATCTCTTGAACCCAGGAAATGGAGGTTGCAGTGTGCCAAGATTGTGCCATTGCACTCCAGCCTGGGTGACAGAGTGACACTCTGTCTTAAAAAAAAAAAAAGTTTAGCTTGTTTTTTAACAACTGATGTATGATTCACAAAAAAAAGAGAGAAGGGAAGAGAAAGAGAGAGAAAAAGAAAAGGAGAAAGAAAGGAAGAAAGGAAGAAAATTTTTGTATGATAAACAGTGTACAGTGTGAGAAAAATTCTAAACGTTTTTGAACCTGCACAGATATATTCATTTTTATTATAGATTATTCATGTGTGAATTATTCAGAAAGTACGGAGAATAATGAAGGGCTGGCTACCCATCAGTCAACGATATAAGATTCACACAAGGCCAGGCGTGGTGGCTCAAGCCTATAATCCCAGCACTTTGGGAGGCTGAGGCAGGTGGATCACCTGAGATCAAGAGTTTGAGATCAGCCTGGCCAATATGGCGAAACCCCGTCTTTACTACAAATACAAAAAAATTAGCTGGGTGTGGTGGTGTGGTGCACGCCTGTAACCCCAGCTACTTGGGAGGCTGAGGCAGGAGAATCGCTTGCACCTGAGAGGCAGAGGTTGCAGTAAGCCGAGATCGTGCCACTGCACTCCAGCCTGGGTGACAGAGGGAGACTGTGTCTCAAAAAAAAAAAAAAAAATTCACACAATTCACCATCCTTGATTAGATATTTTTATTGCAAAAAGTAAAAAATATTTTTATTGCAATAAAGTGTGTATTTGAGGCTGGGCATGGTGGCTCATGCCTGTAATCCCAGCATTTTGGGAGGCTGAGGCAGGTGGATCATCTGAGGTCAGGAGTTCAAGACCAGCTGACCAATATGGTGAAACTCCGTCTCTACAGGAGAATCGCTTGAACCTGGGAGGCGGAGGTTGCAGTGAGCCGAGATCATGCCACTGCACTCCAGCCTGGGTGACAGAGCAAGATTCCATCTCAAAAAAAAAAAAAAAAAAGTGCATATTTCAAAACCACCGCTTCATGTTTTTGATTTTTTTTCCCTTCCCTAGGGGAACCAGTACACACACTTGATCTATATTATTCTTCTATACCTTTCATTATATTTGATATTATTCTTCCAAATAATAACAATGGCATTGTGTTGCATTTTAAAAGCTTTATATAGCCAGGCACTGTGGCTCACATCTATAATCCGGGTCCTTTGGGAGGCTGAGGCGGGAGTACAAGAGGCCAGGAGTGTAAGACCAGCCTGGGCAACGTAGTGAGAACCTGTGTCTACAAAAAAAATTTAAAAATTTGCAAAGTGTAATGGCATGCACCTGTAGTCCCAGTTACTCAGTAGGCTGAGGCTGAAGGATTGGTTGATCCAGGAATTCAAGACTGCAGTGAGCTATGATCGAGTCACCACACTCCTTCCAGGCAACAGAGTGAGACCTTGTCTCTAAAAAAACCCCAAAAAACAAAACCACCTGCCCTCATTTCCAAAGCATTAATTAACTAAAGGACTTTGGGTTAACTGATTGGCTTCAACAAAAATGATGCTCAACAACTCACATGGATATTGCAGAGGATGATCTATCCTCAGGAAGTGCAGACAGACTCGAGTCCTGGTCAAAAATATCATGTCTGGAAGGAGGTTCTGATGCAGCTTCCGAGCTGGGTAAGAGATGTTCAGTGAGGTGCTTACAGCCTGACTTGTTGCACTGTCTATATCCCTGGGACCTCAATATCCAACGCTCCTCATTACACTGGCTATTTTACCATCGTTCTGATCCCAGGAGTGCACATCCTTAAAGACCAAGACTAGAGGAGTGAGGAATTCGGGATGGCTGAGTCCCTGTCCCCTGAGGCCACGTGTACACCATCCATATCTCTCCATTGTTTCTGCTCACCTCCACTTCACGAATCTTGCTCCCAGAACACATACCATTCGTCTAGTAAAAAAAAGGATTTTGATCTGAAGAATGTGAGTTCTCTTCATTGTCAGACCCGGAAAGACATTAAAATGAGACAGAAACCACACCCCTCCTCCCCTCCTTTGAACTATGCATTCATCTCATAAAACTGCTTGCTGTTGCCACAAGTAGCTATAAATTAACCTAATAATAGCATATGAATTAAAAAGAAATTATTTAGGCAGTTAGTGAGGGTACAGAAGTCCTGGGTAAGGTTTTTCTTTTTAATAAAAAGCAGCCCCCAAATCATTTCTTTTCAGGCAAAAAGTAGCCTGAAAAATCAAGCTGCAAGCATAGGTAAGCAAGCTGAAAGCCTGCGTAGGTGAATGCCAGCAGCTGTGCCAGAAGACAGGTATAACCAACATGAAGGTTTTCTTTTTTCTTCTTTCTTTCTTTCTTATTCTTTTTTTTTTTTTTTTTTTTTTTTTTTTGAGACAGTCTCACTCTATCACCCAGGCCGGAATGCAGTGGCGCCATCTCAGCTCACTGCAACCTCTGCCTCTGGGTTCAAGTGATTCTTGTGCCTCAGCCTCCAGAGTAGCTGGGATTACAGGCGAGTGCCACCACACCTGGCTAATTTTTGTATTTTTAGTAGAGATGAGATTTGATGCTGGGCGTGGTGGCTTATGCATGTAATCCCAGCACTTTGGGAGGCTGAGGTGGGTGGATAACCTGAGGTCAGGAGTTTGAGACCAGCCTGGCCAATATGGTGAAACCTTGTCTGTACTAAAAATACAAAAATTAGCCAGGCGTGGTGACAGGCACCTGTAGTCCCAGCTACTCGGGAGGCTGAGGCAGGAGAATCGCTTGAACCCAGGAGGTGGAGGTTGCAGTGAGCTGAGATCGTGTCCCTACACTCCAGCCTGGGTGACAGAGCAAGACTCCATCTCAAAAAAAAAAACAAAAACAAAAACAAAAAACCCTTAACCTGTAAGCCATCTGCAAGTTTGGGTCTTACATGTAAACTAGCTGGGCACAGTGGCTCACGCCTGTAATCCCAGCACTTTGGGAGGCTGAGGCAGGCGGATCACGAGGTCAAGAGTTCAAGACCACAATGACCAACATGGTGAAACTCCGTCTCTACTAAAAATACAAAAATTAGCCAGCCGAGGTGGCGCACACCTGTAATCCCAGCTATTCAGGAGGCTGAGACAGGAGAATCGCTTGAACCCAGAAGGCAGAGGTTGCAGTGAGCTCAGATTGTGCCACTACACTCCAGCCTGGGCGACAGAGCAAGACTCCATCTTAAAAAAAAAAAATGTGTAAGCTGCCCCAATTTTCCTTGCTTCGTTACCTGTCTTTTAAGGTTCTTCAATCTCTGACCACACAGGTAGTATCTGGCAAGCAACAGTATTCAACCTGAGATTTCAAGATGTTATGTCCATTATGCCAGTAATAATAATCTGTGTTCCCCCAGTTGATCTGTCAATCTAAAATAATCAAAAGGGTCAGAATCTAGTTTGTTTTATTATTTTTAGAGACAGGATCTGGCTCTGTTGCCCCGGCTGGAGTGCAGTGGTGCAATCATAGCTCACTGCAGCCTCAACTTCTTGAGCCCAAGCGATCCTCCCACTTCAGCCTCCCATGTAGCTGGGACTACAGATGTGCACCAACACGTCTGAGTAATTTTTTATTTTTTTTTTCAGAGAGATGGGGGTCTCTCTATGTTGCCCAAGCTGGCTTTGAACTCCTGGGCTCAAGCGATTTTCCCACCTCGGCCTCTCAAAGTGCTGGTATTACAAGAGCCACCACACCCAGCCAGAATCTAGTCTAAAGACAGTTTATTCAAGCACGATGTCTGAGACAAGTCACCAGGGAAGCACAGCTTCCAAAGAAGGGAAGTGAGTGTTTCAAGGTGCAAAAGTTTGAGATTGTTTATGTAGGCAAAATTCAGGGAAGTTTAACAGAATTTCTTTTTTCTATTTTTTTTTTTTTTTTTTTTGAGACACAGTCTTGCTCTGTTGCCCAGGGCTGGAGTGCAGTGGTGTGATCTCAGCTCACTGCAGCCTCCGCCTTCCAGGTTCAAGTGATTCTCGTGCCTCAGCCTCCTGAGTAGCTGGGATTACAGGCACCTGCCACCACGTCCGGCTAATTTTTGTATTTTTAGTAGAGATGGGGTTTTGCCATGTTGGTCAGGCTGGTCTCAAACTCCTGACCTCAAGTGATCCACCTGCCTCTGCCTCCTAAAGCCCTGGGATTACAGGTGTGAACTACTGCATGAAGCCCAGTTTAACAGAATTTCAACATCTTTAAGGCTTAATGCATAGTTACAATATTTGGTATTATTCTTCTAAACAGTAACAATTGCATTGTGTTGCATTTTAATGCAACTGATTAGTCTGGGTGGTTTTTTCTTTTAGGGAAGGTGTATTTAACATTTTACAATGATGACATAACAGTCGTGGGGTCCTGTGTACCATCTGGTCTGAGTTAGGTACAGGACAGTAAAGGAGGCAGTTAATCTATAACAAAGGTCAGTGACTGGAAGCAGGGAGATCTGGTCTCTGGTCTCTCCCAGTGCTTTATAGAACAAGAACCACAAAGAAGAGCCATTATGGAAAACAGTATAGAGGTTCCTCAGAAAACTAAAAATGGAATTACGATGTGATCCACTAATCCCACCATGGAGAATGTCTCCAAATGACTGAAACTAGGATTCACGACAGAAAAATCAACTGGACACAGAACAAGGCAGTAATCGAGGAAACAGAAAACTGAAACGTATAAAACACATAGAACACAGCAATGGCAGAATTAAGTCTCTCCTAATCAGCAATCATGTTAAAAAATAAAAGGATTGGCCGGGTGCGGTTGCTCACACCTGCAATCCCAGCACTTTGGGAGATTGAAGTGGGTGAATCATAAGGTCAGGAGATCGAGACCAATCTGGCTAACATGATGAAACCCCGTCTCTACTAAAAATACAAAAATTAGCCAGGCGTGGTGGCATGCACCTGTAATCCCAGCTACTCGGGAAGCTGAGGCAGGAGAATTGCTTGAACCCTGGAGGCCGAGGTTGCAGTGAGCTGAGATCACACCACTGCACTCCAGCCTGGGTGATAGAATGAGACTAAAAAAAAAAAAAAAAAGATAAAGGATTAAACTATCCAAACAAAAGGCAGTATTTGTCAGCATAAATACTAAAAATTGATTCAACTATATTTAGAAGAGACTTGTTTTAGACTCGAGACAAAACAGGGTAACAGTAAGAGTATGGATAGACAGATGTATTTCATGCAAATAGTATGCAGATGACAGCTGCGGAGGCTGCACTAATATCAGAAGACAGAATAAAGTCAAAACCATTAAATCAGTCAAAGGAGGACATATATATACATATACTCTTCCTGCTTTTTTGTGGTTATGAAATAAGCGATGTCACTACCTTGCTAACTTTTCTTTTCTCCTGTCTTATTTCACACTCAATATCTTCTTCTCTAACTAAAGTACTTCTCCATGGTAGAACTGTCCTTGTAAAGAAACATTCGAAAGGTTTTCATGACAGCCCCAAGGCAGCAGTGAGTCCTCTAACACGGCAATGATAGAATTACTTTTATTCAATGATGATTCTTTTTCTTTCTTTCTTTCTTTCTTTCTTTCTTTCTTTCTTTCTTTCTTCCTTTCTTTCCTTCTTTCTTTCCTTCTTTCTTTCTTCCTTTCTTTCTTTCCTTTTCTTTCTTTCTCTCTCTCTTTCTTTCTTTCTTGTCTTTTTTTTTTTTTAATTTATTTTTTGAGACGGAGTCTCGCTCTGTTGCCAGGTTGGAGTGCAGTGGCACTATCTTGGCTCACCACAACCTCAGCTTCCCGAGCAGCTGGGACCACAAGGTGCCCGCTACCATGCCCAGCTAATTTTTAAATTTTTAGTAGAGATGGGGTTTCACCATGTTGGCCAGGCTGATCTCGATCTCCTGACCTCAGGTGATCCCCCTGCCTTGGCCTCTCAAAGTGCTGGGATTACAGGCGTGAGTCACCGTGCCCAGCCAAGTAAGATTTTTCTTTTGGTCTCCAAAGGAGATGGGTTAGAATCATAGCAAGGGAAGATGACTGAGGGGGAAAGCGAGAACTTAGATAACATTCTTACAAATAAATCAATGGGACTGTTCTAAACCAAGTAAGATGTCAAAAAAAGATGATCAACCTTTGTCCTTCCTACCTAATAATTATTTATTTTATTCTACAATTCAGGTTTAATAAGTGGATGATAAATGCAACAAGGGGAACAATTCTAATTTCTAAAACAAGAGGGAAAAATATGTGAGAACAATAGCATTATAGGATTTATGATTATAGACTGGTTATGGAACACAATGATTCCACATTATTATACTGAATACTTAGGAGGTGCTGGGCATTGAATTAAGTGTTTGTAGTGCTTATCAGAGTGGAGTTCCCAGCCGGGTGTGGTGGCTCACGCCTGTAATCCCAGCACTTTGGGAAGCAGAGGTGGGCAGATCACCTGTGGCCAGGAGTTCGAGACCAGCTTGGCCAACTTGGGGAAACCCCATCTCTACTAAAAAAAAAAAAAAGAACAAAAATTAGCTGGGCATGGTGGCGCATGCCTGTAATCCCAGCTACTCAGGAGGCTGAAGCAGGAGAATCTCTTGAACCAGGGAGGCGGAAGTTGCAGTGAGCCTAGATTGCACCTTTGCACTCCTGCCCAGGTGACAGGCTCCATCTCAAAAACAAACAAAAAAACAAACAACCAAAAAAACCACCAAAAAACACCAGAGTGGACTTCCCAATAGGAATTATACTTTATATGGTCAGTCTAAGGCTCTCATACTAATCATTTCCCCCTCACCAGGAATTAGATTAAGAAAAAATATATGATCTATCTCTCTGTGGTGAGATTAAAGGTGATATCTTTTGGATTACTCTATGCAATCCCATTTATCAATAGATCTGGGAAGAAGAGTCAGATTTCTGTCTCTGGGCATCATGTCTGGGTATTACGTCTGTATTTGCTACAGCCATCTGGGTCCATGAGGGGAACCAGCCCTAAAAGAAAGCCACAGCCGGGCACGGTGGCTCACGCCTGTAATCCCAGCACTTTAGGAGGCTGAGGTGGGCAAATCACTTGAGGTCCGGAGTTCAAGAGCACCCTGGCCAACACGGTGAAACCCCATCTCTACTGAAAATGCAAAACTTAGCCAGGTGTGGTGGTGTGCACCTGTAATCCCAGCTACTTGGGAGGCTGAGGCAGGAGAATCACTTGAACCCAGGAGGCAGAGGTTGCAGTGAGCTGAGATTGTGCCACTGCACTTCAGCCTGGGTGACAGAGCCAGGCTGTCTAAAAAAAAAAGAAAGCCAAAAGAAGAAGGAGTAAGTGAATTATTCTCTACATTCCCTACCTCTGATATATTTGCAAAGAAATGTAGCTCTCTTTATTATTTGAGTATATTATAATCAACATTTCTTTCACTAAAGCCGACTTCTTCACTGATCAAGATAGAATATCTCACCACTAGGCCGGGCACAGTGGCTCACACCTGTAATCCTAGCACTTTTGGGAGGCTGAGGTGGGCGGATCCAAAGGTCAGGAGTTTGAGACTAGCCTCGCTAATACGGCAAAACCCCATCTCTACTAAAAATACAAAGATTAGCCAGGTGTGGTGGCAGCTGTCTGTAGTCCCAGCTACTGAGGAGGCTGAGGCAGGAGAATAGCTTGAATCTGGGAGGTGGAGTTTGCAGTGAGCTAAGATTGCACCGCTGCACTCCAGCCTGGGTGACAAGAGCGAGACTCTGTCTCTCAAAAAAAAAAAAAAAAAAAGAAAGAAAGAAAGAAAGAAAATCTCACCACTGAAATAATCTAATGATAGCAATTTTATTGATGATAAAACTGAGGGTAGTAAGTAGACGTTGATGTTGACCTGCACAGACAGTTTAGCAGTGACCGGGCTCTAAAATTACAGAATTCTGGTATCAACAATCAGCTCCCATTTTGCACAATAGGTTTCACTCTGGCATGCATTTCATATGGCCCTAAATATTCAATCAGGCAGTATCAATTCTGTGTTGCGAACACAGCCTTCTTTGGATTCTTGCCCTGACCTGTGAGACGCCTCCTGCTTTTCTTCCTCTGAGAATATTTACCAACCAAATCACTGTAACACTTGCCACAGGTTAACTTTTTAAACACCGCATGCAAAGAAACTGAGCTTTGAGAATAGAATTCATTTTTGACACATGACAGAGCTCCAAAAGAGGCAAGATTTCAACAACAACAACAAAAAACACACACACACATCCATGATGCAGACTAGTCACTTTAAGAAAATCTTGAAAGGTCGGGCGCGGTGACTCACGCCTGTAATCCCAGCACTTTGGGAGGCCAAGGTGGGCAGATCACTAGGTCAGGAGATTGAGACCATCCTGGCCAACACGGTGAAACCCCATCTCTACTAAAAAAATACAAAAAATTAGCCTGGCATGGTGGCGGGCGCCTGTAGTCCCAGCTACTCAGGAGGCTGAGGCAGGGGAATGGCGTGAACCCAGGAGGCGGAGGTTGCAGTGAGCGGAGATCGTGCCACTGCACTCCAGCCTGGGTGACAGAGCGAGACTCTGTCACAAAAAAAAAAAAAAAGAAAGAAAGAAAAAGAAAATCTTCATGATGCAAGAGTCAGGCACTCTGGCTTACCAAGGAATCCTGTCATGTTGATTCCTTTTAGAAGCTTCAGTTCAAAGCAGAGCACAAAGATCACAAAAAAGAAAGTAGGTCAGGCATAGTGGCTCATGCCTGTAATCCCAGCACTTTGGGAGGCCGAGGTGGGTGGATTACCTGAAGTCAGGAGTTCGAGACCACCCTGGCCAACCTGGTGAAACCCCATCTCTACTAAAAATACAAAAAAAATCCAGGTGTGGTGGTGTGTGCCTGTAATCCCAGCTACTCGGGAGGCCGAGGCAGGAGAATTGCATGAACCCGGGAGGCGGAGTTTGCAGTGAGCCGAGATCGTGCCACTGTACTCCAGCCTGGGCGACAGAGCGAGATTCTGCCTCGAAAAAAAAAAAAAAAAGTAAATCTCGATGCAAGAGTCAGGCACTCTGGCTTACCAAGGAATCCTGTTATGATGATTTATTTTAGAAGCTCCAATTCAAAGCAGAGGACAAAGATCGCTAAAAAGGAAACAGCCTACCAATAAGTTTCCTCAAAGCTTTCTTCATCTCCTTATTTCTCAGGCTGTAGATGAAGGGGTTCATCATTTGAGGGACCACAGTGTACATCACTGAAGCCACAGCAGTAATTCGGGAAGACTCAGCAACAGCAGAACTAATGTACACCCCAAAAGCTGTCCCATAGAACAAGGAAAAAACAGAGAGGTGACAGCCACAGGTGGAAAACGCTTTATACTTTCCTCTTGCTGATGGCATTCTCAGAACAGAGGTGACTATTTGAGAATAAGAGAAAATTATTCCAGAGAGAGGAATTGCACCAAATACACTACTTGCAAAATATATGAGGATGTTGTTGATGAGGGTGTCAGAACAGGCGAGCTTGATGACCTGAACGACTTCACAGAAGAACAAAGGGATTTCAACGTTTTTGCAGAAGGACAGCTGCAATACCATCAGACTCTGAACCAGGGCATCCATAGTGCTCATGAACATGGAGAGAAGAATCAGCAAGCCCCAGAAATGGACATTCATGAGGACTGTGTACCTCAGTGGGTGGCAAATGGCCACATAGCGGTCGTAGGCCATGACTGCAAGAAAGCAACTTTCCAAGCCAGCAAAAACCAAGACAAGACAGATCTGGGTGAGGCAGCCTGTGTAAGTGATACTCTGATTCTGAGCTTGGATGTTCACTAGGATCTTTGGGACTGTGGTTGTGGTTAAACAGATGTCAGTAAAGGAGAGATTAAAGAGAAGGAAGTACATGGGGGTGTGGAGGTGGGAGTCAGAGATGACAGCCAGGAGAATGAGCAGGTTCCCCAGGATGGTGACCAGGTACATGGACAGGAACAGGCTGAAAGGGATTAACTTCAGTTCTGGGTCCTCTGTCACTTTCATGAGAAGAAATTCTGAAACAGCTGTTTGGTTTCTGGGTCCCATGTTTTTGATGATCAAAAAATGGGATAATTAGACAATCAAATGTGTTTTCTAGACTGCGGGAGCAACGTCAACAGAGGCAAACACCATCTTGAAAAGGGGTAGATTCTAAGGGAAGAAAATAAATAAGTGTTGCCTTTTGTATTGATATTACTTTACTGCTTTTACAAAACTTGAAGCTAATACAGCACAGCATCAATAATTGTTAATTCTGGAAATGGTTAAGGGGTCATCATTTTTTATTTTTATTTATTTATTTTTTAAATTTATTTATTTATTTTTGAGACAGAGTCTTGCTCTGTGGCCAGGCTGGAGTGCAGTGGCTTGATCCTGGCTCACTGCAACCTCTGCCTCCTGGTTTCAAGCAATTCTCCTGCCTGAGCCTCCCAAGTAGCTGGGATTAAAGATGCTTGCCACAACACCTGGCTAATTTTTGTATTTTTAGTAGAGACGGGGTTTTGCCATGTTGGCCAGGCTGCTCTCAAATGCCTGGCCTCAAGTGATCTGCCCAACTTGGCTTCCCAAAATGCTGGGTTTACAGGCGTGAGCCACCACGCCCAGCCTCATCTTTTTTTTTTTGAGATGGAGTTTCGCTCTTGTTGCCCAGGCTGGAGTGCAGTGGCACAAACTTGGTTCACTGCAACCTCCGCCTCCCAGGTTCAAGCGATTCTCCTTCCTCAGCCTCCTGAGTAGCTGGGATTACAGGCATGTGCCACCACTCTGCTGTTCTGATTATTAAAAATATTTGGTAATGAAAAAACAAAAAATAAATAAAATAAAACAAAGTACATACCAGGAAAACGGCTGGAAGACTCTGTCTGGACCCCCAGAGACTTCACGCCAGCCAACAGAAATAATACAAAGCTGTGTCAAGAACCAGGAAAGGAGAATCGCTTGAACCCAGGGGGCGGAGGTTGCAGTGAGCTGAGATCATGCCATTATACTCCAGCCTGGGCAACGGAGCAAAACTCCATTAAAAAAAAAAAAAACACCACAGGAAAGTGAAGATAAGGTGAAGTTTAGCAAGCTGCTCACCTCCTCTCCCCCACAAGACTGCAAGTAAATTACAGAGAATTTTATAACAGTCATCCTGTTTTCAAAGAAAATGGTAACTACAGAATTCAGGATAGTGTATTTGTTGCTGGAAGAAAACAAGGTGATTTGAGTAGAAAATCCTACAGGTAGGTTCTATGGTGATGACATTAACTTATTTTTAATGCCAGATAGGTATATGCGGTTTTATCATGTTACTATTCTCTCAGAATTACAGATAGATTTTTTTTTTTTTCCTGAGACAGTGTCTCGTTCTGTCGCCCAGGTTGGAGTGCAGTGGCACGATCTCGGCTCACAGCAAGCTCCGCCTCCCAGGTTCACGCCATTCTCCTGCCTCAGCCTCCTGAGTAGCTGGGACTACAGACGCCCGCCACCACGGCCGGCTAATTTTTTGTATTTTTAGTAGAGACGGGTATCACTGCGTTAGCCAGGATGGTCTCCATATCCTGACCTTGTGATCTGCCCACCTCCGCCTCCCAAAGTGCTGGGATTACAGGCGTGAGCCACTGTGCTCTACACTACCTACAGATAGATAGATTTTATGCATTACTTTGTATATGATAATGTAACAAGTATGATTAAAGAAAGACCCTTCATATTCTAACCCTAAATATGTTTTCTCATGTTCTCCTAATATTAAAGTTAGGAGTGTCAGGCTTCAGAGGTTATCAGCATCTCTCCAAGTGCTTATTAAAAATTCTCATACCTCACACATTTCTCAGAGATTTAACACCAGTAGTTCTCGGGCAAGGCCAAGAACCTTCTCTATGAGGAAAGGTCTCGGGTGGTTCCTCTCTGTGTCTGTTCTGTGGACACCAACAGAGGAATCTCAGTCCTAGGAGACTCTATGAGTGCTAGAATAGGAGCTGCGTTCCAGATATGTAAGAGCTTTTTGTTTTGTTTTGGGGGTTTTTTAGAGACAGGATCTTGCCATGTTGCCCAGGCTGGTCTCAAACTCCTGGCCTCAAGCAATCCTCACGCTTCAGCCTCCCAAGTAGCTGGGACTACAGCCACGAGCCACCATGCCTGGCTTCCCAGATATTTTGGTGAAAATAAAGCCAGCTCCTCAAGCTCCAAAGACAGCTGCAACAGAAGACTCTCCACCCACTCCTTTGATTCTCTTTTGACACCTCCATTGTTTGCTCCTCACACTTAGAGAGATAATTCTGACTGATGATCCTGCGTGTGTGTGTGTGTGTGTGTGTGTGTGTGCTTATAGAAAAAAATTATGCCCCAAAATCTTGCCAACTTCCATTTTCTCCTGTCTTGTCTTACACTCGACATCTCCTTCTCAAATGAAAGTATTTCTCTACAGAGTAATCTTCCTAGTGAAGACACAGTAAACAGTTTTGCACGGGAGCACTGAGACTACAGCTAATCCTAAAATTATACAATTAGAATATATTTGTGTAATATACATATAATTATACATATAGAGGATTATATATATATGTATATCTCCAGGTGTGGTGGCACTCACTCATTTGTAGTTCCAGCTACTCAGGGTCGCTGAGGCCCAGGAGTTCAAGGCTGCAGTGAGCCATGATCGTGGCACTGCACTCCAGCCTGAGTGACAGAGTGAGACCCTGTCTCTAATAAACAAGTAAATAAAAATAAAATTTAAAAAGAAAATTTCTATTACAAATAGACTCTCTTCACAGCAGACCTACAGAAAGACCGTCGGTTTTCTCTGAGCACCATGTCTGAATATGATGCCTACATTTCTGCAGACATCTGTTTGCAAGAGGAAAATCAGCACAGACATGGAGCCATCTTCCCGAGGCTTGCATGAATCCCCACACTACTGCTCCCATGCATTTCTTACCCCTGAAGTTCTTGTCATAAAAAATAACTCTGTTTCTTATTCATGTAAATTATAGTCAGAGTTTCTTTCTCTTATAAGAAATAAAAGCTTCTGGCTGGGCACAGTGGCTCATGAATGCGGTGGTCACTGGTACATTGTAGTCTCTGCCTCCCTAGCGGCTCAATTGCCAAAGCTCCTCATTAGCCAAGGAATTTGTGTTGGCACTGTAATCCCAGGGTGCTTAAATCCTTGCAGAACAAGGGAGAAATTCAGGATGGCTGCTGTCCTGACCCTAGAGGCCAAGTGTACATCATCCACTTTTCTTTTTTTCTTTCTTTTTTTTTTTTTTTGAGATGGAGTCTTGCTCTTTCACCCAGCCTGGAGTGCAGTGGCGCAATCTCGGCTCACTGCAACCTCTGCCTCCTGGGTTCAAGCGATTCTCCTGCCTCAGCCTCCCAAGTAGCTGGGATTACAGGCGCCTGCCACCACTCCCAGCTAATTTTTGTATTTTTAGTAGAGATGGGATTTCACCATGTTTGTTAGGCTGGTCTGGAACTCCTGACCTCAGGGGATCCACCCACCTCTGCCTCCCAAAGTGTTGGGATTATAGGCATGAGCCACCATGCCCAGTCTATTTTATTTTTTTAATTTTTATTTTAATTCAGGGGCACATATGCAAGTTTGTACATAGGCAAACTTGTGTCATGGGAGTTTGTTGTACCAATTATTTCATTACCCAGGTATTGAGCCTGGTACCCATTAGTTATTTTTCCTGATCCCTGCCTCCTCCAGCCCTTCACCCTTCAATAGGCCACAGTGTATGTTTTTCCCCTCTATGTGTCCATATGTTCTCATCATTTAGCTCCCACTTATAAGTGAGAACACGTGGTCTTTGGTTTTCTGTTCCTACACTAGTTTGCTAAGGATAATGGCATCCAGCTCCATCCATTTTCCTGCAAAGAACATGATCTCATTCTTTTTTATGGCTGCATAGTATTCTATGGTGTGTATGTACCACATTTTCTTTATCCATTCTATCAGTGATGGGCATTTAGATTGATTCCATGTCTTTGCTATTGTGAATAGTGCTGCAATGAACATAATGTGTGCTTGTGTCTTTATAGTACAATGATTCATATTCCTTTGGGTACATACCCAGTAATGGGATTGCTGGGTCTAATGGTATTCTGTCTTTAGGTCTCTGAGGAATTCCCACACTGCCTTCCACAATGGTTGAACTAATTTACACTCCCACTGACAGTGTATAAGTGTTCCTTTTTCTCCACAGCCTTGCCAGCATCTGTTATTTTTTGGCTTTTTAGTAATAGCCATTCTGATTGATGTGAGATGATATCTCACTGTGGTTTTGATTTGCATTTCCCTAATGATCAGTGATATTGAGCTTTTTTTTATATGATTGTTGGCCGCCTATATGTCTTCTTTTGAAAAATGTCTGTTCATGTTCTTTGCTCACTTTTTAAATGGTTTTTTTTTCTTGTAAATTGGTTTAAGTTCCTTAAAGATGCTGGATATTAGACCTTCATCAGATGGATAGATTGCAAAAATTTTCTCCCATTCTGTAGGTTGTTTGTTCACTGTGATGATAGTTTCTTTCGCTGTTTAGAAGCTCTCTAGTTTAATTAGATCCCATTTGCCAATTTTTGCTTTTGTTGCAGTTGCTTTTGGTGTCTTCATCATGAAATCTTTGCTCGTGCCTATGTTCTAAATGGTATTACCTAGGTTGTCTTCTGGGGTATTTATAGTTTTGGGTTTTACATTTAAGTCTTTAATCTGTCTTAAGTTAATTTTTGTATATAATTTAAGGAAGGGGTACAGTTTCAATCTTCTGCATATGGCTAGCCAGTTATCCCAGCACCATTGATTGAGTAGGGAATCCTTTTCCCATTGCTTGTTTTTGTCAGGTTTGTCAAAGATCAGATAGTTGAAGGTGTGCGGTCTTATTTCTGGGTTCTCTATTCCGTTCCATTGGTCTATTTGTCTGTTCTTGTACAAGAACCATGCTGTTTTGATTACTGTAGCCCTGTAGTGTAGTTTGGAGTCAGATAGTGTGATGCCTCCAGCTTTGTTCCTTTTGCATAGGGTTATCTTGGCTATTCAGGATTTTTAAAAAACAGTTATTTCTAGAAATCATTTTAAAAGAGAGTAAAATCTTTTTCTGGAGGTGTGTAAGCTACTTCAGTTGCTTCTTGGATGTGAGCCTTTGGTTGTAGCTATTTTTTGATAAATTTTCTCTGTTTTTTTCTTGGTTGTTACTGGCACTACTATTACATGAATATTTATGATTATGTCACACTAAAATATGTCTTTGAACCAGAAATTAATAAAAGTTTTCTCATCTTATTGCTTTATCACATTGAAAGTCACAAAAATTAGTTTTATTTCTATTTCTGGTTCTCCAGCCTGGGCAACACAGCAAGATTGTGTCTCTAAAACCAAAATAAAGAAAAAATTGAAATGTTCAGAGACTCAGAAAGGGAAAAGTCATGAGGCAAGTGTTCAGATACCACCTTGGGGAAAGTTTGCTGACTCTGTGGAAAGTGAGCAGGAAATGAAGTAGCGTTAAGGGTAGAATGTGTTGTCCCAGGGTTGATAAGAAATGTGGTGGTGGTCGGCCTGGTGACTCAGGCCTGTAATCCCAGCACGTTGGGAGGCCGAGGCGGGAGAATCTCTTGATCCCAGGAGTTCGAGATCACCCTGGCCAACATGGCGAAACCCCGTCTCTACTAAAAATAGAAAAAAATTAGCTGGGCGTGGTGATGCTTGCCTGTAATCCTTGTTACTCCGGAGACTGAAGCATGAGAATTGCTTGAACCTAGGAGGCGGAGGCTACAGTGAGCCGAGACTGCACCACTGCACTCCAGCCTGGGTGACAGAACAGACTCTGTCTCAAAAAAAAAAAAAAAAGAAAGAAAGAAAAAGAAAAAGAAAAAGAGAAAAACTGAGCTTGGAGAATGGAACTAATTTTTTTTTATTATTTATTTTTAATTTTTATTTATTTATTTATTTATTTTGAGACGGAGTCTCGCTCTGTCGCCCAGGCTGGAGTGCAGTGCGGCATCTCAGGTCACTGCAAGCTCCGCCTCCTGGGTTCACGCCATTCACCCGCTTCAGCCTCCCAAGTAGCTGGGACTACGGGTGCCCGCCACCACGCCCGGCTAATTTTTTGTATTCTTATTCGAGACGGGGTTTCACCGTGTTAGCCAGGATGGTCTCGATCTCCTGACCTCGTGATCCTCCCGCCTCGGCCTCCCAAAGTGCTGGGATTACAGACGTGAGCCACCGCGCCCGGCCGTGGAACTCGTTTTCGTACAATCACAGAGCTACACACAAAGAACAAGTGATGTTTCAACCCCAAGTTAAAATGTACTTACCCACTATGTTATCTAATCATTTTAGAAAACTCAGTGATAGATCAGTCAGGCATTCTGGCTCACCAGTATTTCTGTGTCTTTGACCCACTTTGAATCCCAAGTCCAAAGTGGACAACATAATCAGGAAGAGAAGTTATCCTACCAATGAGTTTCCCCGAGGCTCTCTTCATATCTCTGTTCCTCAGGCTGTAGATAAAGGGGTTCATAATAGGTGTGACCACTGTGTACATCACTGAAGCCACCGCAGCCCTCCTTGAAGAGTCAGAAACGGCAGAGCTAATGTACACCCCCCAACCCGCCCTGTAGAATCGGGAAACAAATGGGAGGTGAGACTCACAGCTGAAAAAAGCTTTATTACTTGCTGACGGCATTCTCAAAACAGACAAGGCTATTTGAGAATAAGAAAACATGACCCCAGAGAGAAGAATATCACCAAATATGCAAGTTGCAAAATAGACCAGAAAGTTATTTTTATTTATTTATTTTTATTGTTTTTTTTTTTTTTTTTTTGAGTCGGAGTCTCCCTCTGTCACCCAAGCTGGAGTGCAGTGGCATGATCTCGGCTCACTGCAACCTCCGCCTCCCAGGTTCAAGTGATTCTCCTGCCTCAGCCTCCTGAGTAGCTGGGACTACAAGCAAGCGTCACCACACCCGGATAATTTTTGTATTTTTAGTAGAGACAGTGTTTCACCATGTTGGGCAGGCTGGTCTTGAACTCCTAACCTCGTGATCCACCCGCCTCGGCCTCCCAAAGTGCTGGGATTACAGGCATCAGCCACCGTGCCTGACTGCAGTAGCCATTATTTTATTCTGATTTTATGAGATCAGCTCTTTTGGATTCTACACATGGTTGAGATCATGCAGTATTTGTCTTTCTGTACCTGGCTTATTTCACTTAGCATAATGTTCTCCAGGTTCCTCCATGTTGTGGCGAATGACAGAATTTCCTTCTTTTTAAAGGGTGCATAGTACTCTATCATATACCACATTTTCTTTTTCTTTTCCAGACAAAGTCTCACTCTGTTGCCCAGGCTAGAGTGCAGTGGTGCGATCTCGGCTCACTGCAACCTCCGCCTCCTGGGTTCAAGTGATTCTCCTGCCTCAGCCTCCTGAGTAGCTGGGATTACAGGCATACGTCATCATGCCTGGCTAATTTTTGTATTTTTAGTGGAGACACGGTTTCACCATGTTGGCCAGGCTAGTCTTGAACTCCTGACCTCAAGTAATCTACCTACCTCAGGCTCCCAAAGTGCTGGGATTACAGGCGTGAGCCACCGTGCCTGCCATACCACATTTTCTTTATCCACTTATATGTTGATGGACATTCAGGTTGATTACATTTCCTGGCTATTGTGACTAATACTGCAATGAACATGAGAGTGCAGATATCTCTTCAGCATATTGATTTCAATTCCTTTGAAATTCAACAGCACAAACATAAATCAATATAACTATAGATAGTCAACCTAAATAACAGAAAGAGGCTATCTAAAAGAAAATGATGTTTATTGCCAAAGAAAGCATTGCAATAGCGATACGCGTGCCATCATAAACTATGTATGCATTCAAGGAGGTAAAGGAAGACAAAGTTTTTTAATGGAAAAATGAGGAAGGTTACATAATTGTTTTGAAATAATTATCCTTCACAGTAATAACTAATAACAAGGGTGATGCCAGTCTGAAGCTGGACAGGCAGTTGCTGGGCAGATGTACTTGCAGAAATATTTTTTGTGTAAGGTTGCAACAGCCTTTTGTGCAAGGTTGTGGTTTTTGTCGTCTCGTGATAGTTTTTGTCGTCTCGTGATAGTTTTTGTAGTCTTGTGATAGTTTTTGTTATTAGGCATGCAAGTGAAATAAATCTCTTCATGGCCTTCCCTAGCTTTACTTGTCAGGATGTTTTTGTTTTTTTCATTTTTGTTTGTTTGTTTGTTTTTCATGAGATGGAGTCTTGCTCTGTCGCCCAGGCTGGAATGCAGTGGTGCGATCTTGGCTCACTGCAACCTCCGCCTCCCAGGTTCAAGCGATTCTCATGCCTCAGCCTCCTGAGTAGCTGGGATTACAGATATGCGCCACAACGTCTGGCTAATTTTTGTATTTTTCATAGAGATGGGGTTTCACCATGTTGGCCAGGCTGGTCTCGAACTCCTGACCTTGTGATCCGCCCACTTCAGCCTATCAAAGTGCAGACTTTTTTGATAGCCGCTACACCCAGCCTTTTTTTTTTTTAATAAGTGACTCCATTTTGATTCTGACAATTTTAACAATATATATACCAAGTACAGTCAGCCTTCCATATCTGCCAGTACCACATTCATGGACTCAACCAACTGTGGATCAAAAATATTAAAAATATTAAAGAAAATTTTAAAAATATTAAATAAGAATATTACAAAAATACAATATTAAGTAATACAACTATTTACATAGGATTAACATTATGCTAGGTAATATAAGTAATCTAGAAATGATTTAAAGTATAGGCGACCTGGGCACAGTGGCTCACACTGCTTAATCCCAGCACTTTGGAAGGCTGAGGCAGAAGGATTGTTTGAGGCCAGGAGTTTGAGGCTGCAGTGAGTTATAATCACACCACTGTAGTTCAACCTCGGCAACAGAGCAAGGCTCTCTCTAAAAAAGAAATTAATCATTTAATATTAAAATTAAAAATTAATTACTTGATTTTTAAATTGTAAATAAATTACTTAATTTTTAAATTAAAAATAAATTAGCTAGCTGGGCATGGTGGCTCATGCCTGTAATCCCAGCACTTTGGGAGGCTGAGGCGGGCAGATTACCTGAGGTCAGGAGTTCAAGGCCCGCCTGGCCAACATGGTGAAACTCTGTCTCTACTAAAAATACAAAAATGAGCCAGGCACAGTAGCAGGCGCCTGTAATCCCAGCTATTCAGGAGGCTGAGGCAGGAGAATCGCTTGAGCCCCAGAGGTGGAGGTTGCAGTAAGCCGAAATTGAGCCACTGCACTCTAGACTGGGCGACAGAGCAAGACTCTGTCTCAATAAATAAATAAATAAATAAATAAATAAATAAGTTTTTAAATTTTTAATTAAATTTAATTTTTTTTAAAAAAAGACTTAGTATTGGATAGACCAGTAGGGTGACTATAGTTCAAAATAATCCATTGTATATTTCAAAATACCTAGAAGAGAACAATTGGAATGGTTGGAGCATAAAGATAAGACAAATATTTAAGGTGATGGATATCTAAAGTAACAAATCCTTGCAGATTATACAAATGTATTACACTATCACATGCATCCTGAAACAATGTACATCTCTTATGCATTGATACAAAAATTTAAAAAAAGCCAGGTGTGGTGGCATGCACCTGCAGTCTCAGCTACTCGTCAGGCTGAGTCCAGAGGATCGCTTTAGCCCAGGAATTCGAGGCAGCAGTGAGCTGTGATCACACCACTGCACTCCAGCCTGGGCAACAAAGTGAGAGACTGTCTCAAAAATCAATTAGTCAGTCAATCAATCCAAAAAGAACTCAAGTCCACGTGGTCCGATTCCAAAACTATCACCCTGAACCATCTGATCTCTGGTCTCATGTATTCAAAGACATTGGTCAGGTGGGGCACAGTGGCTCATGCCTGTAATCCCAGCACTTTGGGAGGCTGAGACGGGCAGATCACCTGAGGTCAGGAGTTCGAGACCATCCTGGCCAATGTGGTGAAACCCCGTCTCTATTAAAAATAGAAAAATTAGCTGGGCTTGGTGGCACGTGCCTGTAATCCCAGCTACTCCGGAGGCTGAAGCAGGAGAATCGCTTGAACCCAGGAGGCGGAGGTTGCAGTGAGCCAAGATTGCGTCACTACACTCCAGTCTGGTCAACAGAGCGAGACTCCATCTCAAAAAACAAACAAACAAACAAAAACAAAAACAAAAACAGAAAACCCCAAAGACATTAGTCAGGCTTTCAAGACTTCTCATTACTTCTTTCTCCCTGACATATCCCAGCAGTGTAAGCCCAAGAAGCTGAGACATCAATGGAAAGATGGTATCCTAGATATTAGTTTCCTCAAAGCCTTCAACATGTCCTTGTTTCTCAGGCTGTAAATGAGTGGGTTCAGCATGGGGGTGACCACGGTATACATCACTGATGCTATTGCACCCTTCCTGGAGGAGTGGGTAGCCCCAGAACTAAGGTACACCCCAAACCCTGTTCCATAAAACAAGGAAACAACGATTAAATGTGACCCGCAGATGGAAAAAGCTTTATACTTTCCACCAGCTGATGGAATTTTCATGACAGAGGAGACAATTCGTGTGTAAGAGAAAATGATCCCAGAGAGAGGAACAACACCTAACAGGCTGGTCACCAAATACACCAGGATGTTATTGATGAGGACATCAGAACAGGCGAGCTTGAGAATATGAGCTAGTTCACAGAAAAAGTGGGGAATTTCCAGGTCTATGCAGAAGGTCAGCTGTAGCACCATCAACGTGTGCAGCAGAGCATCCAGGACACTAACGATGAAGGACAGCAGAAGCAGCAGCCCACAGAGTTTGGGGTTCATGATGACATTGTACCTCAGTGGGTGACAGATGGCCACAAATCGATCATAGGCCATCATGACCAGAATTCCATTTTCCAATCCAACAAAAACCAGGACAAAGCAGATTTGGGTGAGGCAGCCTGTGTAATTGATGGATTGAGCCTGTGCCTGGATGTTCACCAGCATCTTGGGCATCGTGGTGGAGGTGAAACAGATGTCGACCAAGGACAGGATAGAGAGGAGGAAGTACATGGGGGTGTGGAGGTGGGAGTCAGAGTTGACGGCCAGGATGATGAGCAGGTTCCCCAGCATTGTGGCCAGGTACATGGACAGGAACAGCATGAAGAGGATGGGCTGCAGCTCCGGATCCCCTGACAATCCCAAGAGAAAGAATTCTGGAGTGTCTGAGAAGTTTCCTGCTTTCATGTTGTTGATGAGTCTTGATCTTGTCAATATTATCAAAACCAAACCAGTTATAAGTTATAGACCTTTTTTCCTTCCTTCCTTCCTTCTTTCTTTCTTTCTTCCTTCCTTCCTTCCTTTCTTTTTCTTTCTTTCTTTCTTTCTTTCTTTCTCTCTCTCCCTCTCTCTCTTTCTCTTTCTCTCTCTTTCTTTCTTTCTCTCTCTCCCTCCGTCTTTCTTTCTTTCTCTTTCTTTCTTTCTTCTTACTTTCTTTTTCTTTCCCTCCCTCCCTCTCTCCCTCCTCTTTCTTTTTCTCTTTCTCTTTCTTTCTTTTCTCTTTCCTTCTTTCTTTCTTTCTCCTTTTTCTTTCTTTCTTCCTTTCCTTTCTTTCTCTTTCTTTCTCTCTCTCCCTCCCTCCTTCCCTCCCTCTCTCCCTCCTCTTTTTCTCCTTCCTTCCTTCCCTCCTTCCCCCCTCTCTTTCTTTCTCTCTCTTTTCCTTCCTTCCTTCCTTTCTCTCTCTCTCTCTCTTTCTTTCCTTCCTTCCTTCCTTCCTCCCTTCCTTCCCTCCTTCTTTCTTTCCTTCTTTCTTCTTTGCAGGGTCTCTCTCTCTCTGTCATCCATGCTGGAGTGCAGTGGCATGATCATAGCTCACTGTAGCCTCATCCCCCTGGGCTCAAGCAATCCTCCTCTCTCAGCCTCCCAAATAGCTGGGATGACAGGCATGAACCCCCATGCCCAGCCTGTTCTTTACTTCCTTCCTAGGTACCCTATCAGTGTCTTTCTCACCCACCAATTTCCCTTTCTCATTACAGTTTGTGAAAATAAAAATTAAGCCCTCTTTATCTAGCAGCATAAGCCCCTCCCACTATTTTTATTTGCCTTCATCTGTCTTTCATTTGTATCACAGATAATGTTAATAAAGAAAATTTTAACAGTAAGCCATGCATCAGACCCTCTTTCCATTATTTTTTTCTTTTCTTTTTTTTTTTGAGATGGAGTCTCGCTCTGCTACCCAGGCTGGAGTGCAGTGGTGGGATCTCAGCTCACTGCAACCTCTTCCTCCAGGGTTTGAGTGATCCTCCTGCCTCAGCCTCCCAAGTAGCTGGAACTACAGGTGTGTGCCAACACACCTGGCTGATTTTTATACTTTTAACAGAGATAGGGTTTCACCATGTTGGCCAGGCTGGTCTTGAACTCCTGACTTGAAGTGATCCACCCGCCTCAGCCTCCTAAAGTGCTGGGATTACAGGCTTGAGCCACTGCACCCACTCTTCCTATTATTACTGGTGCAGCCCCTGGTTCAGGCAACCCCTGAGCCTTGGCACTGATTCCTGGAGGAGTCCTGTGTGAGTCAGCGCCAAACCTTTCCTGTTCCTTCTGGCTTATCCAGATTCTTGAGAAATTGATTCTGGGGCCCCCAAAGCAGGAAGTAAAGAATTGATGTATGCCGGCAATGTCAAAACATCAGCCTGCTGTTCTCATAAACCCATAAGTTAAGGAAATTCTGTAATGATGACTCAGGAGTTGGGGCAAACATATTATAGAATCACAGCATGTGAACAGTTGAATGGTGCAGTGAGCCCATCTCAGCCCTTTGCTTCACAAATTGAGTTCCTGGCCAGACACAGCGGCTCACACCTATAATCCCAGCACTTTGGGAGGCTGAGGCAGAAGGGTCGCTTGAGGCCAGGAGTTTGAGACCAGCCTGAACAAAGTAGCAAGACCCATCTATAGTAAACATTTTTTAAAAATTAAATTAAATTAAAAATTAGCCAGGCACGGTGGTACGTGTCTGTAGTCCCAGCAACTTGGGAGGCTGAGTTGGGAGGATCACTTGAACCCAGGAGTTGGAAGCTGCAGTGAGCTTTCATAGGGTCACTGCATGCCAGCCTGGGCAACAGAGCAAGACTCTGCCTCTTAAAACAAATACACAAACAAGCTGGGCGCGGCGGCTCAAGCCTGTAATCCCAGAACTTTGGAAGGCTGAGGCAGGCGGTTCACGAGGTCAGGAGATCAAAACCATCCTGGCTAACATGGTGAAACCCCGTCTCTACTAAAAATACAAAAAATTAGCCGGACGTGGTGGTGGGTGCCTGTAGCCCCAGCTACTCAGGAGGCTGAGGCAGGAGAATGGCGTGAACCCGGGAGGTGGAGCTTGCAGTGATCCGAGATCCTGCCACTGCACTCCAGCCTGGGCGACAGAGCGAAACTCTGTCTCAAACAAACAAACAAAAAACCAAATACACAAACAAAAACAAAATTCAGGCCCCCAACCGGGAGCTGGCTTTTACTGGAGAAAGACAAATGATTATAAAAGCTTCAACCATTGGTGCATAAAACTTGGACTCAGACAGTTGTCAGTTCCGTCATGTATGCCTCAATTGTGACATGGATCCGTGACATGAGAAGGTCCCTGAACCTCTCTGAGCAGACTCAAGTTTCTCACTTCTCCGATGGGAACTGGTATAAAAATGTGCATGGGGTGTTGCAGGGATGAAAAATGAATAGATGTTAGGATAGGTGTATCCTAGCACAGTGCTCAGGGGTCCTGCAATAACCTTTTATTTATTTATTTTGAGATGGAGTCTCGCTCTGTGGCTCAGGCTGGAGTGCAGTGGCACGATCTTGGCTCACTGCAACCTCTGCCTCCCGGGTTCAAGCGATTCTCCTGCCTCAGCCTCCTGAGTAGCTGGGATTATAGGTGTGCACCACCATGCCCAGCTACTTTTTGTATTTTTGGTAGAGACGTGATTTCACCATGTTGACCAGGCTGGTCTCAAACTCCTGACCCCAGGTGATCTGCCCACCTTGGCCTCCCAAAGTTCTGGGATTACAGGCGTGAGCCACCACGCCTGGCCTGCAATGACCTTTCCTATCATTTTTGTTTCTAGCTGTGGACAATGCTTGATGCCTCAGGGACATGGGGGTGAGATGGGGTGCAAAAGGAAGAAGCAGGGAAGATATCCCAAGAATAATGTCAGGCCGGGTGCGGTGGCTCACACCTGTAATCCCAGCACTTTGGGAGGCCGAGGCGGGCAGATGACCTGAGGTCAGGAGTTTGAGACCAGCCTGGCTGACATGGTGAAACCCCGTCTCTACTAAAAAAATTTAAAAATTAGCCAGGTGTGGTGATGCATGCCTGTAATCCCAGCTACTTGGAGACTAAGGCAAGAGGATTGCTTGAACCTGGGAGGTGCAGGTTGCAGTGAGCTGAGATCACGCCACTTCACTCCAGCTTGGGTGATAGAGTGAGACTCCATCTCAAAAAAAAAAAAAAAAAAAAAAAGAAGAAGAATGTCTTAGGGCTGAGCAAAGAAGGCATGTGCTCAAAATCCCACTGAGGGTTCTCCTAGTGTAATAAGGTACAGAAAAGAAAGAACTGGGCTTGACACAGTGGCTCAAGCCTGTAATCCCAGCACTTTGGAAGGCCGAGGTGGGAGGATCACTTGAGCCCAGGAGTTTGAGACCAGCCTGGGTTGTGTGTCTGTACTCTATCTAGCCTGGGTGACAGAGCAAGATGCTGTCTCAGAGAAAAGAAAAAGAAAAAAGAAAAAGCCAGGCGCAGTGGCTCGCGCCTGTAATCCTAGCATTTTGGGAGGTAGAGGCAGGCAGATCACTTCAGCCCAGGAGTTAGAGACCAGCCTGGGCAACATGGTGAAACCCCATCTCTACAAAAAATACAAAAACTAGTCAGGCATGGTGGCATGCACCTATAGTCCTAGCTACTCAGGAGGCTGAGGTAGGAGGATCACCTGAGCTCAGGAGGTCGAGGTTGTTGTGAGCCGTGATTGAGCCACTGTACTCCAGTCTGGGTGACAGAGTGAGATCCTGTCTCAAAATAAAGTAAGAAAGAAAGAAGCTAAACAAACATCAGTATGGGGATAGATACACAAATTATGGCACTATTATTACATGTAATAATAGTGTTAAACTAAGCATAGTGAATGCCCACCAATTTCAGAGAGTGGTGGTCCCCAGGAAGGGAAGGAGAGGAATAAAAACAAATCAAGAGGACTTCATGTTTAAGTGTTATACTTTATTGTTATTATTATTATATTTAGTATTTTAAATCTATTTTTAAAATTAAAAAAAATTTTTTTTTTTTGCAGAGATGAGCTCTTGCTATGTTGCCCAGGCTATGTTGCTATGTTGCCCATGCCTGTAAGCCCAAAGTGCTAGGATTACAGGCATGAACCACCACATCTGGCCTGTTTTGGGGTTTTAAAAGAGAAACCGAAAGACTGGAAATGTAAGTGAGTGGGTCTCAACTTCCTCTTCTGGAGTTTCTCACTGTCAAGAGATGGGGACAAGAGTCAAGTTATTTAAGGGTGAAATCTGGCAACAGACATGGTGAAGATTGAAAAGCCAGACACATCTCATCAAAGCCCCATCTGCAGTCAAAAGAATGAGGAAAACCATGGGGCCAGGCATGGTGGCTCATGTCTGTAATTCCAGCACTTTGGGAGGCCAAAGTGGGCGGATCACGAGGTCAAGAGATCAAGACCATCCTGGCCAACTTGGTGAAACCCCATCTCTACTAAAAATACAAAAGTTAGCCAGGCATGGTGGTGGGCGCCTGTAATCCCAGCTACTCAAAAGGCTGAGGCAGGAGAATCGCTGGAACCCAGGAGGCGGAGGTTGCAGTGAACTGAGATGGAGCCACTGCACTCCAGCCTGGTGACAGAGCGAGACTCCTTCTCAAAAAATAAAAAAAAGAATGTGGAAAACCAGAGAACTGTAGATTCCTTTTGTTTATTTGTTTGTTTTATGAGACAGAGTCTTGCTCTGTCACCAGGCTGGAATGCAGTGGTGCCATCTCAGCTCACTGCAACCTCTGCCTCCCGGGTTCAAGCGATTCTCCTGCCTCAGCCTCCTGAGTAGCTGGGATTACAGGTGCATGCCACCATGCCCGGCTAAATTTTTGTATTTTTAGTAGAGATGGGGTTTCACCATGTTGGCCAGGCTGGTCTTGAACTCCTGACCTCAGGTGATTGATCCGCCTTGGTTCCCAAAGTGCTGGGACTACATGCGTGAGCCACCGCACTTGGCCAGATTCCTTTTTGAAGGGACTAATTCATACTTAGGTAGGGAAGGAGTCCCTAGGATTTAGAAGACAGAATGAGAGCTGAAAATAATGAAATCTGATTATAAATTGTAAGAAAACAGGGGAAGTAAATATATCATGAAAAGGGTCACCGATTAGTTTGGAATCTCACTTATAACAATTCTGCTGAATTGTCTCTTACTTTATGGTTGTCCTCCAGATAAGATGGGAGAAAAAATAAAATAAAAAACTTGTTCAGTTTCTCACAGCATTTATTGGGAGCATTTCAGATTACCTTGAAGGCATCAGTAAGGAATTCTCCATTTTTTTTCTTGGAGAATTGTAAGATGAAATGGAAGATCTATCCCCAAGAAGGGCAGATGAACCAAGTAAGGCAACCCACTCTTGGGCAAGAGGGATCATCTCTGGAGCAAGACTCAGGTGTGATGTTTCCTAACATGAGCGGGGCTGTTGAGTGGAGTGGTCACCGGTAGATTATTTGCAGTCTCTGTGGCCCCTAGGAGCTCAATTTTCAAAGCTGCTCATTAGCTAGATGTGTACAGTACTGTCATTTCTTCCCCTAAGGCAGCTCAAATCCTTAATGAGCACAGGTCAGACGTGAGCACAAAGGGGGAATTCCTGGATGGTTGACTTTCTGACCCCAAGGGACAAGCTGTATGTCATTCTCTTCCAACCACATTTCCTCTTATCCCGAGGGTATCTCATTCTTGGATCCTAGGATCGGACCCCTAGGGAGCTGGTGGAATCCTCCTTAGACAGAATCCCAGCTTTCTCTGAGTCAGAAATTGCTTTTTTTTTTTTTTTTTTTTTTCAAACCAAGTCTCACTCTGCGCCCTGGCTGGAGTGCAGTGGCGTGATCTCAGCTCACTGCAACCTCCGCCTCCCAGGTTCAAGCGATTCTCCTGCCTCAGCCTCCTGAGTAGAGTAGCTAGGATTACAGGCACACACGACACCTGGCAAATTTTTATATTTTCAGTAGAGACGAGGTTTCACCATGTTGGCCATGCTGGTCTCAAACTCCTGACTTCAAGTGATCCACACACCTCGGCCTCCCAAAGTGCTGGAACTATAGGCACGAGCCACCGCACCTGGCATCAGGTATTTCTTTATACCAACACAATAATGGCCTAGTACAGTAAGTTTTTGGAAAAGAAATGGTGACATAATGTTGACAAAATGCAGATAAAGCCCAAACCCAGTCTGAAACAAATGAAGAACAAAACCTAAAGTTGATAGGGTATGAAATGGTGCAGTGATGGTGACAAAAAATGGGGCCTGTGTGGGTTTCTCTTTAAATATTGACCCTAAACTTGGGAAGACAAGGGGAAAAATGTCTGCATTCATAATCAAAGGAATGATACTTCCATCGTTTGATATTTTATGTAGTTTACTAAGGAATGATTCTATTACGATTGGAAATTACATTGACAGGCAAAAGCTATTATGTATGAAAAATGAGAAAGAATTAGACAATGGCTTCCAACGTAAATATTAAGGAGAACAGGTCTTTAAGAAGACAGTTCTTTCAAAAAAAAGGCCAAGCGTGGTGGCTCACGCCTGTAATCCCAGCACTTTGGGAGGCCGAAGAGGCAGATCATTTGAGGTCAGGAGTTTGAGACCAGCCTGGCCAACATGGTGAAACCCCGTCTCTACTAAAAATACAAAAATTAGCCAGGTGTGGTGGTGGGTGCCTGTAATCCCAGCTACTTGGGGGGCTGAGGCAGGAGAATCACTTGAACCTGGGAGGTGGAGGTTACAGTGAACAGAGATCGTGCCACCACACTCAAGCCTGGGTGTCAGAAAGAAGACAGGTCTTTAAGATCCTAAGTAGGAAATGATAGGTAAAAAGTGAAAGATAGGGAAAGCTGAAGCTATATGAGGAAACTCATAGTAAATGTTCTCTGCTTTCCCCTTAAGCTTTTCTTTTTTCTTTTCTATTTTTTTTTTAGAGACAGGGTCTTGCTCTGTCGTCCAGGCAAGAGTACAGCGATGCCATCATAGCTCACTGCAGCCTTGAATTCCTGGACTCAAGGAATCCTCCTGCCTCAGCCGCCCAATTGACTGGGACTACAGATATGCACCACCACATCCAGCTATTTTTGTGTGTGTGCAAAAATGGGAACTCACTATGTTGCCCAGGCTGGTCTCAAACACTTGATCTTTCCACCTCAGGATCCTAAGTAGCTGGGATAGCCACCGTTTCGCCACCATGCCCAGCCTAAAATCAAGACATATGAACAAGAGAATTCACAAGTTTTCTGTTTCTCTGTTGCACCAAAGGCAGTTCCATCATGACCCATCCAGTATCTTCTCCTTCTGGATTCAAGGTGTTTTTGATCTTGGGTCTTGATTTTGTGTGGCATGTACAACCTCAAAGCAATATGGTGAACTTTTTTTACCTGCTCTATCCCTAATGTATATCCACATTATTGAACTGCATTGCTCACCATTTATCAAAACTCCCATGCTGCCCTGACACATCTCTGGCTTCTCATCTGAATTGGCATCAACACAGAGACCTAATGCATTCAAGTCATTGGCACCTGACTCCTGTTCTTTAAACACCCAGCTATGCCATGATTCAGGATAATTTATTTTCTTTTATTTTTGAGACAGAGTTTTGCTCCTTCACCCAGGCTGGAGTGCAGTAGTGCAATCTCAGCTCACTGCAACATCTACCTCCTGGGTTCAAGCAGTTCTCCTGCCTCAGCCTCCCTGAGTAGCTGGGATTACAGGTGTGTGCCACCATGCCTGGCTAATTTTTATGTTTTAGTAGAGACGGGGTTTCACCATGTTAGCCAGGCTGAACTTGAACTCCTGACCTCAAGTGATCTGTCTGCCTCCCTAAATGCTGGGATTACAGGCATGAGCCACTGCACCCGGCCCCAACTTCTTCACCCTTTCGGCCTTACTGCATCTCCTCTCCTAATGCATAGAGGCCTCCAAGCCATCTATTCTTCAACCATGTTGCTATTTATTTATTTTTATTTATTTTGAGATGGAATCTTGCTCTGTAGCCCTGGCTGGAGTGCAATGGCGTGATCTCAGCTCACTGCAACCCTCACCTCCCGGGTTCAAGCAATTCTCCTGCCTCAGCCTCCCTGAGTAGCTGGTATTACAGGTGCCCGCCACCATGCCCAGCTAATTTTTGTATTCTATTTATTTATTTTGAAATGGAGTTTTGCTCTTGTTGCCCAGGCTGGAGTGCAATGGCAAGATCTCGGCTCACTGCAACCTCTGCTTCCAGGTTCAAGCCATTCTCCTGCTTCAGCCTCCTGAGTAGCTGCGATTACAGGCATGTGCCACCATGCCCAGGTATTTTGTATTTTTAGTAGAGACGGGGTTTCTCCTTGTTGGTCAGGCTGGTCTTGAACTCCCAACCTCAGGTGATCCACCCACCTTGGCCTCCCAATGTTATGGGATTACAGCCGTGAGCCACCGCGCCTGGCCAACCTCATTTCTTTAACTAGGTAACTGAGATTCAATCATATATTTTCCAAAACCTCAAATTCCCTACTCTCTGTCCTATCATAATACCTGCCCTGGAAAACGCTAACCATCTGTCTCTCCTGCCTACATAATTCTGCCGCCACGCGGTGATATGGGAAGCGCTAAAAAATTTGAGATCACCTACTCTAAAGGGGCCTTCGACACTTCAGGAAATTTCCAGTGGGCAAAGATCTTTTCATGATTTCTGCAGGATTTTGAATTCACACCATCTCAACTTCCCTCTTTTTTTTTTTTTTTTTTTTTTTTTTTTGAGACAGAGTCTTGCTCTGTTCCCAGGCTAGCGTTCAGTGGCACCATCTCGGCTCACTGCAACCTCCAACTCCCTGGTTCAAGCTATTCTCCTGCCTCAGCCTCCCGAGTAGCTGGGATTACAGGCACGCGCCACCACGCTCAGCTAATTTTTGTATTTTTTTAGTACAGACGAGGTTTCACCATGTTGGCCAGGATGGTCTTGATTTCCTGATCTCGTGATCCGCCCGCCTTGGCCTCCCAAAGTGCTGGGATTACAGGCATGAGCCACTGCGCCCGGCCACAACTTCCCTGTTTAATAACAAATGATTTTACAACTTACTGCAGAGAGAAATAGTAACGACCATGAGAAAGATTTCTCACCTTCTTTATTTTTTCTCTTATCCTAGATTCGAGAGATTTCTCACCTTCTTGACACTAGTGCGAAAGTAGTCCAGTAACAACATCACCAGTTCTTTCTTCTTTCACTCTGCAAGCAATGAGATGTCTGCCTTCTTATCTACAGCCAGTATCTCCTGCTTTTTTTTTTTTTTTTCTTTGATACAGAGTCTCTGTCACCCAGGCTGGAGTGCAGTGGCACGATCTCCGCTCACTGCAACCTCTACCTCTTGGGTCCAAGAGATTCTCCGGCCTCAGCCTCCTGAGTAGCTGGGACTACAGGCACGCACCACCACGCCCGGCTAATTTTTGTATTTTTAGTAGAGACGGGGTTTCACCATGTTGGCCAGGCTGATCTCGAACTCCTGACCTCATGGTCCACCCGCCCCGGCCAAAGTGCTGGGATTACAGGCGTGAGCCACCGCGCTCGGCCATCTCCTACTTTTCTATGCAAGGGTTTCTCATCATTGGCACGACTGACATTCAGGACCTGGTATTTCTGTTAGAGGGAGTAGGGCATTCTATACTCTAACCACTAGATGTCAGTAGTATCCCGGGTAGTGGTAAAACCAAAGGCGTCTCCACAGGTGGCACAATTGTCCTTGTTAAGAATCAAAACGTGCCTCACTCATAGGTGGGAATTGAACAATGAGATCACATGGACACAGGAAGGACATCACACTCTGGGGACTGTTGTAGGGTGGGGGGAGGGGGGAGGGATAGCATTGGGAGATATATCTAATGCTAGATGACAAGTTAGTGGGTGCAGCACACCAGCATGGCACATGTATACGTATGTAACTAACCTGCACAATGTGCACATGTACCCTAAAACTTAAAGTATAATAATAAAAAAAGAAAAAAAAACGTGCCTGGCGCCGTGGCTCACGCCTGTAATCCCAACACTTTGGGAGGCCAAGGCGGGTGGATCACTTGAGGTCAGGAGTTCGAGACCAGCCTGACCAACATGGTGAAATCCTGTCTCTACTAAAAATACAAAATTAGCCAGCCATGATGGCTAATTACAGGCTTCATACCTGTAATCCCAGCTACTCGGGAGGCTGAGGCAGGAGAATTGTTTGAAGCCGGGAGGCGGAGGTTGCAGTGAGCCGAGATCGCACCATTGCACTCCAGCCTGGGCGACAAAAGTGAAACTAAGTCTCAAAAAAAAAGGGACCCAGCGTGGTGGCTCACGCTTGCAATCCCAGCATTTTGGGAGGATGAGGCAGGTGGATTGTTTGAGCCCAGGAGTTCAAGACCAGCCTGGGCAAACATAGGGAAACCCTGTCTCTATGAAAAATACAAAAATTAGACAGGCGCTGTGGCATGCACCTGTAGTCCCAGATACTTGGGGGGCTGAGGCAGGAGGATCACTTGAGCCCGGGAGATCGAGGCTGCAGTGAGCCGTGCACTGCAGCCTGGGTGACAGAGCAAGACTTGTCTCAAGAAAAAAAAAAAAAAAAAAGGCATGATACTGGCATAAAAATAGAAACTAAAGGAACAGAACAGAGAGCCTGGGAATAAATCCAAACATATATGATGAACTAATTTTCAATAAGGGCACCAAGAGGACAAAATGGGAAAAGGATAGCCTCTTCCGTAAATGCTGCCAGGAAAACTAGATTTCCACATGCAAAAGAAGGAAATTTGACCCTTATCTTACGCCATACACAAAAATCAACTCAAAATGGATAAAAGACCAAATATATATATATATATTTTTTTGATATTACACCAAAAGATCAGACTACAAAAGCAAAAATTAGTAGACAAATGGGACTACATCAAATTAAAAAGCTTCTACATAGCAAAGGAAACAATCAACAGAATGAATCGGCGATCCACGGACTGGGAAAAAATATTTGCAAACCACATATCTGATAAGGGGTTAATATCCAAAATTTATAAAGAACTCTTATAAATCAATAGCAGAAAAACAAATAACCTGATTTTAAAATGGGCAAAGGGTCTGAACAGACGTTTTTCCAAAGAAGGCATAAAAAAGGCCAGCAGGTATATGAGAAGGTGCTCTACATCACTAATCATCAGGGAAATGCAAATTAAAACCACTGTGAGATATCACCTCACATCCTTAAGGAGAACTATCATCAAAAAGATAGGAGAGGCCGGGCGCGGTGGTTCAAGCCGGTAATCCCAGCACTTTGGGAAGCCGTGGCGGGCGGATCACCTGAGGTCGGGAGTTCGAGACCAGCCTGACCAACATGGAGAAAGCCCGTCTCTACTAAAAAGACAAAATTAGTTGGGCGTGGTGGTGCATGCCTGTAAGCCCAGCTACTCGGGAGGCCGAGGCAGGAGAATCGCTTGATCCCGGGAGGCGGAGGTTGCGGTAGCTGAGATCTCACCATTGCCCCCCAGCCTGGGAAACAAGAACGAAACTCCATTGCAAAAAGAAAAAAAAAAAGGAAAAAAAAGATGAGAGATGAATGTTGGCGAGGGCATCAAGCAAAGTGAACCCTAGTACATTGTTGGTGGGAATGCAGACTGGTACAACCTTTGTGGAAAACAGTATTCAGGCTCTTAAAGAAATCTACAACAGAACTACTATATGACCCAGCAATTCCTCTTTTGAATATATGCCTAAAAGAGATGAAATAATCACCTCATAACGATGTCTGCACTTTCATTTTCATTGTAGCATTATTTACAATATCCAAGTTACGGAAACAACCTGAATGTCCATTGATGCTCACATGAATACGAAATACAAAATAGCAGCTATGTAGTCTGAATAATATTCTATCTCTTTTGTATTTATATATGATGTCAACATTAATATCATATAATATTGATATATATTTCATATTATATTAAATATTAATATAATATGTTGTATATAAATATATACCTATTACATAATAGATATTCCCATTATGTTATATATCATGTAATATATTATATGTAATATATGTATATAATATACTATATGAAATACATATTATATATTATATGTATTATTATATGTATATATGCTATATATTATGGTGTATATATTATGTATTATGAAATATATATTACGTTATGTAATATAGATTATATATTATATATGAATATCTTATATCCATATATATTCCATACATACATTTTATATGTGTGTGTATATATATATATACGCACCATGGTCCATCCCCTCAATAATATATTTTCCAAAACCTCAAATTTCCTTCTCTCTGTCTTTTATAATACCTGCCCTGGATAATACTAACCATCTGTCTCTCCTGCCTATATAATTCTGCCCCTACTGGTTACATGGGAAGCCTTGGTTTCCTAAAGTGTTGAGATTACAGGTGTGAGCCACTGTACCCAGCCTGATTCTGGAATTTTGTATATGCAGACTCCTCCTGCTAAAATAATATATATTATATATAATATATATTCCATAATATATATAACATACATACATATATTATTTTAGCATATATTATATAATATACGGTAATAATACACATAATACATAATTATAATAAATATGATATAATATATATTCCATTGTATAAAACATATAATATATATAACGGAATATTATTCAACCTTGAAATAGAAGGAGGTCCTGACATTTATCACAAGATGGGTGGACCTGGAGGACATTACGCTAAGTGAAATAAGCCAGACACAAAAAGAAAAATATTGCATGACGTCACTTACATGAGGAACTTTTTTTAATCAAGAGAGACAGCTCAAATACACAGAAATAAAGAATGAGGCAGTTGGGGAAGAAAATGGGAAGATGTGGGTCAAAAAATACAAAATAGCAGATATGCAGGATGAACACCACACAGGTGATGGTGATTTTACGCCCTTCCCAAGGTGTCATTCAGAGGCACGTGGTCTCCATCTGACCCTCACTGGTGATATTGATTTGATCACCTGGTCCAGATGTTGTCCAATTTCTTCGCTGTACAATTTCTATTACTTTTTCTCCATTCCAACATACGAGCAGTTTATAGAGAGGCATTTAAGGCAATTCAAATATTCTGCTCGTCATGCAAATGTCCCCCAGTTGTGTCATGTAGATGACAATTCTTGCCTGATTCAACCTTTACCACTACGATGGCTACAAAATGCTGTGGGTTGTGGTTGAAAATTTGAGTCTTGAGTAGAAATTGGAGAAATATGCTGGACCGTCAGATTCCACCGGGGCACGGCCGCCATGCCAATCCAAACTTCAAAACTACAATTCCCAGCATCCTCTCCGCCCCGCTTCCGTATTAGACGCCGCCAATGAAGTCCCGCGAGAATTGGAAGGCGGCAGTGAAGCGGAAGCCATTACTCTCTGGAGTCGATTGCCCCGAGACACATGGGCCAAGGAGGGGTCAGCGGCGAATTCTTTCGGCCTGTTGGGGACCCCTCGTGTCCCCACGCCAGACTGGACCTCCCGTATGAACTTCTCTTCGCATCGGCGGCGGCTTCCGTCACCTCCGCTCCCCCGATCCTATTCCCAGTCGTGTAAGCCCTGCTTTCCTTAACCCTTCTCCCCCTCAGTTCCAGGGGTCACGGGAGGCCTATCTGGCGGTGAGGACTAAGAGGGTACGAGGGTCGGGGGCTAAAGAGCTAGGCATCCAGACGAGGGGTGCGTTTAGATCTCGCGATCAGCGATATGAAAAGCTGGGGACGCGAAGGATAAAATTGGACCATTGCAGCTAGTGATGAGAGAAGCATTGGTCACCTGATCCTGAAAAGCCCTAAGTCTCTGGTGGGGGCGGAAAAGCCCGGCTGAAGTGAATTCAAGAGTTTGGGGGCAGTTCAGGAGATTGGGGGGCGTCAGGATTTGGACATCGCGAGGAGAAATCACCTTCTTTCTGCGCTGTAGTCAATTTTATCTCGTGAATGTCAGCACATTGGTGTTCTTATTAGCACTTACCTTGAGTACCTTTTATATTTTTAATTTAAGACCTTCTGGTTGCACTTTTTTATTTATTTTAATTTTAGTGGACTCTTGTAAATAGCCTATATGTATATTTACTATTCAGTTCAACATTTTGTTAATTAACTTGAGTTAGTCCAGTTATACTTATCGTGATTATTAATATTTTCCATTGAATTTTACCGTCTTATTTTGTGGTGTGTCCTTTCCTATGCACATATTTTAACACTGGAAAATAGGACATACATGCAAAAAAAGTATGATTACACACACACGCAGACTTACACACACTTAAAAGGACAACAGTAAAGCGAATTTACAAACCAGGCCAAGAAAGAGATTATTAAATCTCAGAAAGCTGTGTGCCTCTTCTAAACTGCATCCTCCTCTCCCACCAATACTGTCTCCGTGGATTTGACTGCGTATACATCTTTTCCAGAAAATATATTTCCTAAATTTTGGTAATTATTTGTGAATGAACTCAGGCGCTTCAGTATTTTTGGAAACAATCTTTTTCTGTATTGATTCAAGCACACCTTTGTAATTTAGAGATTTCTAAATATCTTGTAGATGAAGTACTTACACCTAGCCATTCTTTTTCAGGAATGTCATGGCTTAAATTCTAGTCAGTTCACCAAATTCCACATACTGGACTTTTGTTTTCAAGTTGTGGTGAATCTATATTTGAACTTTGGGAATATTGTCGTTTTTATGCCATTGAGTTGCAGTTAATTGATTTACATCATTTATTTACATCTTCTTTAATGCCTTTCAATAAAGTGTTTTTTGTTGTTGTTGTTGTTTTTTCCTTTTTGAGATGGAGTCTCACCCTTGTAGCCCAGACTGGAGTGCAATGACAATCTCGGCTCACTGCAACCTCTGTCTCCCTGGTTCAAGCGGTTCTCCTGCCTCAGCCTCCCGAGTAGCTGGGAATACAGGCACCCACCACCACACCCAGCTAAATTTTGTATTTTTAGTGGAGATGGGGTTTCAACATGTTGGCCAGGCTGGTCTCGATCTCCTGACCTCAGGTGATCCACCGGCCTTGGCCTCCCAAAGTGCTGGGATTGCAGGAGAGAGCCACGATGTCCGGCTCAGTAAAGTTTTATAAGTACCTGCAAAAAGGATTTAGGTTGTTTTTGTTATATTTATTCTTGGGAACTTTGTTTTTTGGTGCTCAGAAAAGTCTAACTTTTGTGTAGTTTGTTGGATGTTCTTCGTAGACAAGGAAAATGTGTACAATTCAAAAGGAAAATACAAATATTTATTTTATACAGACGATAAATTGTCTTTTTTGTTTGTTTGTTTGTTTGTTTGTTTTTTGTGCTGGACTGGGTGGGGACTTCCCTTGTCATTGACTGGAGTTTGGATGGCACACTCTAGGCAAGCCTGTTTGTTTTCTGATCTTAAAGGGAATTGTCATTTGTGTCTGCCGAAGGCTTTTCTGTCGAATAGTTTTTATTAGGTCAAGGAAGCTCCCCTCTTTTCCTACTTGAGTTTTTCTTGTGAATTGCTGCAGGCTTTTAACAAGTGATTTTTTTTTTTTTTTTGCCATTATGTATCTGTTTATTGATACATTTTGTATCTGTTTGATACAAAATCTATATTGATAGTTTTGTATCTGTTTATTGATACATTTCTAGTACCTTAAATTATGGCACTCAGTACTGCTGTGTAACAAATTAATGAGTGAATAATATAATTTTTTTTCTATCCTGTAGTGTGGCAAATTAAACCAATTGATTTTCTCTTGTTACATTGAATTTGTATTGGTAAATAATTTGGAAAGGACATGTTACTATTTGTTACTTTTGGCTTCGGTTTGCTAATACTTTGTTTGGTGTTTTTGGATCTATGCTTGAGTGAAATGTTCCTTTTCTGTTTCAGATTTATGCCAGCCTCATAAAATGGGATGAGAAGTGTTCTGTTTTCTAAACTCTGGAATGTTTTGCATAAGAATAGAATATTTTGTTCCTTAGAACGGGAGTGGTACCTGGAAAAACCATTTGGGTCTGGAGTTTTCTTTGTGGAAAGTTTTAAAGCTATTGTTTCTGTTCTTTTAAGGTTTGTGGGGCATTCAGGTTTTCTGTGTTGTTATGATGAGTAAAATTTCTTTAGGAATTTATTTATTCCATCTGAGGTTTAAATCGTATAGTCAGGGTTGTTCATAACATACTCAAATTTTTAATGCTTGCTGCATTTGTAATGTTATCCACTTTTTTATTTATAATAATTATATGTTGCTTTTTACAAAAATAAATTCCATCAGAATGTTGTCAGTTTTCTTCTTAAAGAACTTCTGGCTTGATTGAACCACTTTATGATATATATGTTTTCTATTTTATAACTTTCTGATTGTTATCATTTTCTTCCTTTTTGGGATGTTTCTTTCCAGTTTCTTATGTTGAATGCCTGTCACATCCCAAAGAATTGCAGTATCATACTTTATTGTATTTTAATTATAAATATCAAATATCATGGCTTCTTTGGCATGCAGATTTAGAATTTTTTTCTTTTAATTTTCATTTCTGTGACTTTTTTTCTGGTTATCTTTTGGTCATTGTTTGCCAACTGCATTGCTCTGTGGTCAAGCATTTTCTGAGACAAACATGGCCCCATGAGTGCTGTCTCATCATGTTCAATCTGCACATAGTTATTGAACTGCCTGCTTAAACTGGATTTGTGAGAGCTCTGGTGGTGGCTTCATCCATTTCTCCTTAGAATTCTGTCCCCCCTTTTTTTTTTTTAATTTTTGTGTTTTCCTTTTTTTTGAGGCTGTGTTTTATACACACAGGCACACACACACACCTCTTTTTGGATTTATAACTTTTTATTATGTAATACTTCATTTTTCTCTATGAGCCTTTTTGCCTTAATCTATTCTGTCTGATACTAACATTCAAACCAGCTTTCTTTTTTTTTTTTTTTACTTGCCTTATATATCCTTTTATTTCCATTCTTATTGTACTCTTTTTTCTTTCTTTCTTTCTTTCTTTCTTTCTTTTTTTTGAGACGGAGTTTCACTCTTTTTGCCCAGGCTGGAGTGCAATGGCGCGATCTTGGCTCACTGCAACCTCCACCTCCTGGAATCAAGTGATTCTCCTGTCTCAGCCTCCCAAGTAGCTGGAAGTACAGGCGCATGGCACCACACCCAGCTAATTTTTTTATTTTCAGTAGAGATGGGGTTTCATCATATTGGTCAGGCTGGTCTCGAACTCCCAACCTCAGGTGATCCACCTGCCTTGGCCTCCCAAAGCATTGGGATTACAGGCATGAGCCACCGCGCCCGGCTCTTATTGTATTCTTATATTTTAGATATCTCTTGTACGTAGCATATAATTGGATTAATCTATTCTGTGAATATTAGTATTTTAGTTAAAGCATTTATTCTGTTAGCATCTTCTGTATTAATATATTTGAATGTTACATTTGTCTTCTGTTTTTTCTCTAGCTTCTTTTGTGTATTTTTGTCATTCTCCTTTTTTATTTTCTGTACATTTTGAATTTATTTACTCTATTATTTCAGTGGTTGTTCTAAATAATTCTTACCCATGCTCATTCACTAAATCTAGATTTGCATATGTTACTCTCCTGATTTACATGGTTTTCTTATGCATTTTCATTCTTTCTTTATTGATATATCATAGTTGCACATATTGAGTTCTTTTTTTAAACCTCAGAAGAAATTATTATTGCTATTGCATACCATCATTTCTTGTTTCATTATACTCACATGTTTATCACTTTGAGCACTTTACTTGGTTCTTACACTTTTTGGTGTAATTCTTCCACTGTTTGCTTTGGTTCTTTAATTACTTCTTTCTCCCTGAGGTATGTCTTTGATGATGTCTCTTTTCTGTGGGTTGCAAGCCCACAGGAACTTTGTTTTTTGGTGCTCAGAAAACACCTCTTTCTCTCTTTCTCAGTGGACATTTTTGGTGGTAATAGAATTTTATATTTCAGAACTATGAAGATGTTCCATTATCTTCTGGCTTCCACTGTTAATGATGAGAAGTCAGCTGTCAGTCTAATGTTTGTTTGTTTGTTTTCTGAGACAGAGTCTCACTCTTGTTGCCCAGGCTGGAGTGCAATGGCGTAATCTCGTCTCACTGCAACTTCTGCCTCCTGGGTTCCAGCAATTCTCCTGCCTCAGCCTACTGAGTCGCTGGGATTACAGGCATGGGCCATGACACCCAGCTAATTTTTGTATTTTTAGTAAAGACAAGGTTTCACCATGTTGGCCAGGCAGCGGTTTTAGGAGCCTAGAAATGTGAGTTTTTCGTTTTGTTTTGTTTTGAGACAGGGTCTTGGTATGTTGCCCAGGCTGGTCTCGAACTCCTGCGTGCAAGTGATCCACCTGCCTTGGCCTCCCAGCATGCTGGGATTACAGGTGTGGGCCACCATGCCCAGGCTTACTTTGTTTCTTAATGGAGAGATATTTACGGTGTGTTTTAACAAGACCTCCAGGTGACTCCCATGTAACTTAAAGTTTGAGAACTATTGCTTAAAAGGTAACCTGTCTTTTTCTCCTCTGGCTGCTGTTCAGATATTCTTTTTACCGTTGGTATTATCTGGTTCATTGTGCTTAAGATTTTATCTCTCTTCAATCTGTTTATATTTTCCTTCAAAATGAAAAATCTACAGCCACTATATTTTGCAGTGATTGCCTAGGCTCCTTCTCTGTCTCTCATCAGTAACTCCAGTTAGAAATGGTTCAATTCCTTATCTTCTGCCCCCACGTGGTTCTTAGCTGTATTTATGTTCCTCAACTCTTTTTCTGTGCTTCCCTTGCATTTATTGCTACAACTGGCTTTGAAACTTCAGCCTTCATAAAAATTTCATGTAGAGTTTATTAAAATACTGATTCATCAGCCCACCCCAAAGAGAATTGAACTGAGATATGATCTGGGTGTCAGAGTTACTTAAAGTGTTCCAGGGGACGCTTATGCAGCAGACTATATTTAAGAAACAAATTATTATTATTATTATTATTATTGGCTGTGTATAATCTAAAAGCTATTTACTTAGGGCTTTTGTTGTGGGTTTCCATTTTGCTTTTTTTTTAGCAATTGTAATTGCCCTTTAGAAATCATAAATTTTTAATTTTCTGAATGTTAATTTCTTGCCAGCACATGAATTTGAAACCTATCATCTGTCTGTACTTTGTGTTGCATTTGAAATAGTTATGCATGGAAGGTTTAATTGGGGCACCTAGGTTGCTTGTTGGAAACAGAATTCCTACCCTGCTCCCCACCCCCTGGGACATCTCATCTAGCTGGTTGAAAGGAGGGTATATTGATTTACTAATGTAATGCATTTCTGGACCAAGAAAATGGCATATGATGTTCTCACAACCTTTGTTGCCTTCTCTGTCTCTCGCTATATATATATTGTATATATTATTTATATACTTTTTTTCTTTTTTTTTTTTTTGAGGCAGTGTCTCATTTCTGTCACCCAGGCTGGAAGTGCAGTGGCATGATCTTGGCTTACTGCAACCTCCGCCTCTCAGGTTCAAGCAATCTTCCCACCTCAGCCTCCCAAGTAACTGGGACTACAGGCATGTGCCACCATGCCTGGCTAATTTTTTTGTATTTTTAGTAGAAACGGGGTTTCACCATGTTGGCCAGGCCAGTCTTGAACTCCTGACTTCAAATGATCTGCCCGCCTCAGCCTCCCAAAGTGCTGAGATTACAGGCATGAGCCACCATGCTGGGCCTATATTTACGTGAATAACAGTGGTAGAAATGGTTCTAGCAAGGGCAGAAATACCAGTCAGTAAAAGTAACAAAATAATTATTCTCTCTACAGTATTTACATCTGCAAATTCTGAATATCCTGGGATACTGTGATTAAGTTGAATATGGGGATAAAATCAAATATTGGGAGAATTATGGTCCTGAGAAAGCTCATAATGGAACAGTTTTGGGCAACATTTGTTTTGGACCACAAACTTGATGGAGGAGGCAGATCTTCTAAAACTGAGGAGCAGGGCTGGAGCAAGGGTGAGGTTTGTGAGTGCAGAGCCAGGGAGCCACTCGCTCTGAGCCAACCTTGTGCTTGTCTGACACCAGAAGTGCTTCCTTAAATACCACACTCTTGTCTAGCAGCCTTGGTTGCCTCATCCCAGTCCTGGCCCTGGTGAGGAGAAAAACAGATCCCAATGAGAATAGAGTAAGATGTGTAGAAATAGAAAAATAGAACTGCTTTCACCATGCTGTAAAGAAAATTAAAAGAGAAATTAAGCAACCCCAACAGCTCTGAAAAATTAACCTGTCCGTTCTAACTCATCCATGGTGACAGCATTCCAATGACACTGGTTTTTTTTTTTTTTTTTTTTTTTTTTTGAGATGGAGTCTCGCTCTGTCGCCCAGGCTGGAGTGCAGTGGCACAGTCTCAGCTCACTGCAAGCTCTGCCTCCTGGGTTTCACACCATTCTCCTGCCTCAGCCTCCTGAGTAGCTGGGACTACAGGCGCCCGCCACCGCGCCCGGCTAATTTTTTGTATTTTTAGTAGAGATGGGGTTTCACCATTCACAGGATGGTCTCAATCTCCTGACCTCATGATCCGCCTGCCTCAGCCTCCCAAAGTGCTGGGATTACAGGCGTGAGCCACCACGCCCGGCTGATCCTGGTTTTGTTTCATGTATCATGTAGAAACGGGGCAGAACGTCTCTGAGTTCATAGATCCTACAGCTGTTCTAGACACCCTGCTCCACATCCTGCTGGGGTCGCTTAGATGCTGAAATCTTCCTGCTTTATTTGTATTCATGGCCACCAGTTCTTTGAGACTCTCTGATACAGTTTGGATGTGTATCCGCCCCCTCCCCCCCTCCAAATCTCATATGGAAATGTAATTCCCAATATTGGAGGTGGGGCCTGGTGGGGGGCGATTGGATCAGGGGGGCAGATTTCTCATGAATGGCTTAGCACCATCCCCCTTGGCACTGTCCTCGTGATGGCGGGTGAGTTCTCCTGAGATCCGGTCATTTACACGTGTGTGGCACCTCCTCCCAACCCTGCTGTCTTGCTCCTGCTTCACCATATGCTTTGCCTGCTTCCCTTTTGCCTTCTGCTATGATTGGAAGCTTCCTGAGGCCTCCCCAGAAGCAGATAGCACTGTGCTTCCTGTAGAGCCTACAGAACTGTGAGCCAATTAAACCTCTTTTCTTATAAATTACCCAGTCTCAGGTATTTCTTTATAGCAGTGCGAGAATGGACTAATACACCATCACCCAGCACTGACAACCCCTGAAAGTGATAGAATCACTCAGGTGAGAACTTGGCCAGAAGCTCCACTCTGAGCTCTGGTTTGCATCGTTGCAAAACATCGACAAGGTTCCACAGACTGAATTGATGTGGGTGCGCTCTCTAAGCTCCAGCCCTCTGGACACTTTGTCCTTCATGGAGGGTGGTGGTGGATGTTGGCCCCAGGGTGTTGGGCTAAGCCATAGGGCTGTGTCCTAGTACCTGGATTACTGTTTAATTTCACAGGACCTTCTGAGGAGATCCCAGACCCCCTACATTCCATAGGCCCCTCCTTTATGGTCTCCCAAGGTCTGGGTGGCTGTCTCAGTATGAAGGCAAATGTAGATCAGCTTGCTCATCATCCATTCATTCTTTCATTCCCTACTTATTGTCTTATTTATATCAGGCACTGGAATGGTGAATGAAATATCATCAAAGTAAAAAGTCTCTACTCACCTGGAATGTATTTTCTAGTTGGGCATACAGGAAATCAAAACAAGTAAACTACATAGTGTGCATGGAGGAGACAGCAGAGAGATAATAATGCTTACCCGGTGTTCTGTGTCCTGTCCTACATTTCCCAGGATCCTTGGAGCTGGCAGGGGCATGTGACTAGTTCTGGCCAATGGGCTGCAAGTGCTTCAGGGTCAAAATATAGACGACAGAATGCATAGTTGTCCAGCTTCCTGCTCATCATCTATGACCAACATGGCCAAGGGTATCAGTTGGTTCAGAGACAAGTGGCATCCTTGAACAACAGGAAAACTTTTGACATCAGCCTGGGTTGAACAAGTGACATGAGCAAGGCGTAAACTTTCCATTTTATTGAGTCATTGAGATTTGGGTTTGTCTGTTTTTGCAGTAAAAAATAGAGCCTAATCTTACACAGAACATTACTTGGAAATTAGTGCTTTAGGGAAAAAGAAAAGGAGTGGAGAATTGGGATTGAAAGAAGCAGGGGTTTGCATTTTAAAAAGTGGCCAAGGCGGGTGGATCAGCTGAGGTCAGGAGCTCAGGACCAGCCTGGCCAACATGGTGAAACCCTGTCTCTACTAAAAGTACAAAAATTAGCCGGACACAGTGGCACACCTATAGTCCCAGCTACTTGGGAGCCTGAGGCGGGAGAATCACTTGAACCCGGGAGGCGCAGGTTGCAGTGAGCTGAGATCACACTACTGCACTCCAGCCTGGGTGACAGAGCGAGACTCCATCTCAAAAGAAAAGAAAAGAGTGGCCAGTGAATGCCAGATCAGGACAGGTAAAGTTGAATAAAGATCTGAAGGATGAGAGGGGGCCAGGCACACTGAGAATGTGGGGGAAACATTTCAAGCAGAGGAGCAGCAGGTGCACAGACCCTGAGGTGGGAGCATGGCTGGCGGGGCCTGATGCACAGCAGTGAGGCTTCTGTGGCTTGGGTGAGGGACCAGTGGCAGAGCGAGTTGTGGGTGAGGCGGCAGGGACCTGGGCCCTTGGTCTGAGTGAGATGGGACACCATCAGAGGATCTTGAACAGAGGAGCGGTGTGATCTTCATTTTACCCATAAAGTTACGGCTGTCATGGAAGCTAAGGGAAGTCAGGGACAGCAGCTGGGAGACCAGTTAGGAAGCAGTTGGAATGTTCTAGAAGAGAAGCGATGCCTTATGCCAAGGCAGTAGCAGTGTAGGTGGTGAGAAGCAACCAGATTTTTGTATTAAGTTTTAAAGTTAAGGCTGGCAGGATTTGCTGGTGATGCAGGTGTGGTTTATGGAAAAGAAAGAGGAGAGTTGAAGGTGATGACGAGCAAGGCTTTTGACTTGAGCCCCTGGGAGGCTGGAGCTGCCATCAACGTGGGGAGGCTGGTGGCAGCACAGTTGTAGGTGTTTAATGTGGGATCCTGTTGGCTGTTGCAGTAGGGATACTAAGTAGCCACCTGGCTGCCACTCACTCTGAGTCATTCTGGGTGGGGCAGGTGCCAGGGAGCGGAGAGTGGCACCCACTATAAATGAACAATTCTGTTAAGTAATTGTGAAATCGTCAGTGGTCATTTTATTTTAATGATAATGGCATTTTAGAGTGAATGTTTGTTTACTGAGCCTATAGAGTTCCATACATAACCCAGTGTTAAAGTCTTCAGTTTCCAGATGAGAAAACTGAGTTTTGATGAACTGACTCTTGGGAGGGGAATGAGCAGAACTGTGGGCTTGCATTAAAGGGGAGTCTACTGAGGCCTCAGGGACAGGGAGACCTTCACAGAAGTGCAATCAGAACCTGGGTGTCAGCACCTCCAAATGGTGGGGGTGTTTCACAATGTGGACCTGTGGGAGATGGGGGAGAGGGGCCCAGGGGAACCCTGACCTTTAGGGGCTGGGCAGAGGAGGGATCTCAAGCCAGAGTCTTCAAAAGAGCAACCAGAGATGTGAGCACAGACTGGGATGAGTGGGCTATGGCTGCAAGAGCAGTGGCATTCCCAGGAAGAGGGAGATAGATTCATAGTGAGCAAGATGATGTGTCAGGAGGTCAGGCAAAGGAAGGGTCAAGATGTAGTGTCAAGGAGTTCCCACATAGGGGACAGTACAGGTGACATAGGTCACTTTGAGAGGCAACAAGATGTGGCTCCGCAGTCACGTCAGCTGGGCTCACAACTTCCACCTATGACCTTGACCAAGTGTCTCGGACCCTTGGTGCCTTATTCTCTGGGTACTTGAGAATAATTCCGGGAGGTTGTGAGGATTAAATAGGAGTGGCCCTGGAAAGACTCAGGAGAATGTCTCATACCTTGTAAACACTACACATGTCGTTATTTGTAGAATTGGCATTAATGTTGGTGGGGAAAGGTGGAATGGGACCTGCAGAAGCTTGTTAGTTGAGCATGAATGAATGAATGGTAGGTGAGGATGGAGATACTGTGCCTCAGGAACTGAGCCTCTGTCACCCTCTCTCCCCTTCCTCAGCAGTGACTTAATGTCAGAACCCAAAGGCACAATGACTAGAAAAGGGCTTTGTAAAAAGAATGAAAGCGTCATGCATCTTTGAGTTGGCCCAAGATCAAATTTGGTGTTGAATAATGAATCCCCAAGGCAGAGTTTATACGTTAAAACACACTTCCTATATTATTGTTTTGAAATGTTTCTGAATATCTAAAACAATTCCAATAGCAGAAATACTAATTGATGTTGAAAAAGATTGTTATAACCCTGGTAATGTTTAAAAGTGGTAATATTGATTATTGATCTGAGTCAGATGTTAAAGTAGCAGCGTCACGGTTCTTACATCAGTGCTGTCATGAGAGTCGCGGTGGAAGCCAGAGAGAGGAGGCATGTTCATACAAAGCAAATTAAATCCCCTCCCGAGGTGTGGGCCACCATACCTCACCAATGTATTGTGGTTTTGATGTTATTTCCTTAATGACTGATGTTGTTAATCATCTTTTCATGTGTTTACAGTTCATTTCTGTAAATTTGGAGAAATGTCTGTTCTGTTCAAGTCTCCTGCCCACTTTTTTACTGGGTTGTCTTTGTTGTTGAGTTTATAATGATATTAAATCCCTATCACATACATGATTTGCAAATATTTTCCACCATTCTGTGTCTCATTCACTTTCTTGATAATGTCCTTGATGTTAATTCTAAATGTTTGGTAGGGTTCACCAGTGAAGCCCCTTGGTCCTGGACTTTTTTTTTTTTTTTTTGAGACGGAGTCTTGCTCTGTCGCCCAGGCTGGAGTGCAGTGGCGCAATCTCGGCTCACTGCAAGCTCCGCCTCCCAGGTTCACACCATTCTCCTGCCTCAGCCTCCCGAGTAGCTGGGACTACAGGCACTCATCACCACGCCTGGCTAATTTTTTGTATTTTTAGTAGAGATGGGGTTTTACCGTGTTAGCCAGGATGGTCTCGATCTCCTGACCTCCTGATCCACCCGCCTCGGCCTCCCAAAATGCTGGGATTACAGGCGTGAGCCACCGTGCCCAGCTGGTCCTGGACTTTTTATTTAATGGCTTTTGATGACTGCCTCAGTCTCTTGTTATAGGTCTCTCAATTTTCTTTTTCTTCTAGAGCCTGTTTGGGTATGTTTCAAGGAATTTGATACATCTAGAGCATTGATCCCCAAGCCCTGGGCCACAGACAGGTACCGGTCCCTGGCCTTTTAGGAACAAGGCCCTGCCGCAGGAGGTGAGCGGAGGGCAAGTGAGTGAAGCTTCATCTGTATTTACAGCGGCTCCCCATCACTCACATTACCCCTGAACTCCACCTCCTGTCAGATCATCAGCAGCATTAGATTCTCATAGGGGCGCAGACCCTATTGTGCACTGCACATGCAAGGGATCTAGATTGCACACTCCTTATGAAAATCTAATGCCTGATGATCTGTCAGTGTCTCCCATCACCTCCAGATGGGACCATCTAGTTTCAGGAAAACACTCTCAGGGCTTCCACTAATTCTATATTATGGTGAGTTGTATAATTATTTTACCATATATTACAATGTAATAATAATAGAAATAAAGTGCACAATAAATGTAATGCACTCAAGTCATCCCAAAACCATCCCCCCTCACCTCACCATCCATGGAAAAATTGTCTTCCATGACACCAGTCTCTGATGCCAAATTGGGTGGGGACTGCTAGTGTAGATGATCTAATGTGTTGGTGCATAATTGTTCATGGCATTCTCTTACAGCCCTTTGAATTTCCGTAAGGTCGGTAGTAATGTCCCACTTCCACTGATGATTTTAGTTACTTGCATCTTTTTTTGTTAGTAATTCTAGCTGTAGTTTTGTCACCTTTGTTGATCTTTTTGAAAGAACCAACTTTTGTTTTCATTAATTCTCCTATTCTCTATTTCATTTGTCTCTGCTTTAATCTTTATTTCTTCACTTTTGCTTTCCCTAGGTTTAGTGTGTCAAGGTAGTTGTTTTTGTTTGTTTGTTTGTTTGTTTGTTTGTTTGAGACTGAGTCTCGCTCTCTCACCCAGGCTAGAGTGTGATGGCACGATCTCAGCTTACCTCAACCTCCGCCTCCCGGGTTCAAGCGATTCTCCTGCCTCAGCCTCCCGAGTAGCTGGGATTACAGGCATGCACCACCATGCCCAGCTAATTCTTTGTATTTTTAGTAGAGACGGGGTTTCTCCATGTTGGTCAGGCTGGTCTCGAACTCTCGACCTCAGGTGATCCACCCACCTTGGTCTCCCAAAGTGCTGGGATTACAGGTGGGAGCCACTGCACCTGGCTGGAACTGGTTTTTGTATGAGATGTCTTACTGGTGGCTTTTCCTAGGCAAAGGGAATAAGATCTCGAGTTCCTACTGGAACCTAAGTGTTAGAGATGGGGATTCAGGTTAAATGAGTGGATGTGATTACCTGGGCAAAGCATGAGGCATGCGAAGGAATGGGTAAAGAATGGCTCTTGAGCAGAATCAGCCTTTAGTGGTGAAAGAGGACCTCTGGATGGTCCAGATGATCCAGAGAAGCAGGGAAAGAACCAGGAGACAGTTGTAGAGGAGCCGAGAATAGAGAATGATTCTCAAAGAAAATAGACACCACATTTTCGTGAGACTCTAAGACTGAAGTGCATTTACTGGATTCACTGACACGGGAGTAAATTGTATTTTCTGTGAGGATGGGGATGATGGTAGTGGATGCTGGGTGTACTGAATTGGGAGATGGTGAATGTAGACTGCTCCTAAGTTTTTGCTCGGAAGGGGGCACTAAGGGGAGCCAGGGCAGGCATTGGTTTCAAGATGGGATAGACCTGAGCATGTGTCCATGCATAGGAAATTGTCTAGCAGGGCGAGAAATGAGGCTGAAAGTAAAGGAGAGCCAGGTAGTGCGAGGGTCCAGAGACGGGGATGGGCCTGGAGCAGATTTGAAAGGATTGCCTTGAGAAGGGAGGGCAGACATCTCTTTGTCATAGAAGGAAAGGAGGAGGTCATAGATCAGTTGTGAGAAGACTGTTTAAATAACTAGAAGCAAGAAGGTAAGAAAGCCTCATTTTTTTTCTTTCTTTTAAGCAGGGTTTAATATATGTTCAAGAAAATGCATAGGTCTTACTTAGGTGATCAGTTTGAATTTTTGACAATTGTGTACACTGTACATCTGAAAATAGGTAAGTTTCTATCATCCTAGAAAGTTCCCTTTGCTTCTTTCAGTCTATCCCTGTCTTATCCTCCATTGAAGAAACCCCCTTTTTTTTTTCAATTCTATCAACTTAATTACGTTTTGCCTATTCATGGACATTATATTGTTGGAATCAGAGCGTTTCTTGTGTGTCCAGTTTCTTTTGGCCAGCATCGTAGGGATTTCTCCATGTAGTGTGTCTGCATAGTTTCTTTTTATTGCTGAGTAGTATTCCATTCTGTAAACATTGCAATTTGTATATCCATTCTCTGGTTGATAGATGTTTAGATTGTTTACAGTATTTGGCTATTAGGAATCAGACTACTACAGACATTTTTGTACGAGTCTTTGTGGATATAAATTGTTTACAGTTTCTCTTATATAAATATCTAGGAGCAGAATTGTTGGATCAGATAGTCAGTGTGCTTGTTAAAAACTGCCAAAGTGTTTTCCAAAGTAGTTGAACTATTTCACACTCCTACCATCAGGATATGAGAGGTGCCAGTGTGCCCCAAACTCAGCAGCATTTAGTATTGGTAGTCTTTTTTATTTTGGCTGTTCTAGTTTTAATTTGCATTTCTCTAATGACTATGATATTCAACACCATTCGATGTGATTCTTACTGGTTTTGTGAAATGTCTGTTTATTAATTAAAGTCTTTTACCCTTTTTGTTGGGTTGATTTTCTTTCTTTCTTTCTGTTTTGAAGGAGTTCTTTTTATTTTTTCCAATAAGCCTTTTGCACTCCTATCTAGGAGTTCTTTAATCTGAATACGAATTCTTTTTCAGGTGTATGCATTGCAGATATTTTTTTCCCAATCCGTGGTTCACTGTTCATTTTCCTTTTTTCTTTTTCTTTTTTTGTTTTTAGAGACAGAATCTTACTCTATTGCCCAGGCTGGAGTGCATGATGGTAGCTCACTGCAGCTGTTCTCTATGAATTTTTAAGTTTCTGATTCATCTCAAAAGATGTTTAAATTCAAATTCAGTGAGTGGAGGAGGTGGCAGAAGCATAGGTGGCCGCGAATCTCTAAAGTGAGAGTTGATGTGAGAAGGTTGCACAGGAGACTTTGCCCAGAGAGCAGATTTCCAAATCATTGCCTGTGAGGTGAGGCTGATTCTAGTGATGATGCAGTCCAGGCCATGGCCCAAGGGTGTATATGTTGGTGTGGAGTGTGGGTGCAAAGGGCATTGGAGTTTGGAACTCATGGTTGATCCTGGGTGGACCATCTTCATGGATAGAGCCATCCTAAATGATCGCAGGCCTCGAAGGTGAAGGAAGAGCAGAAGTCTAGGACCAGAGTGTTTAATGAGTGAGGGGGTTTAACAGAGTTGTACTTGGTGGAAAATCACTTAGGAAGAGTAATTCTGAACCCACTTATAGCAGATCAGGGGCTGTCCCCCCACCACATCACCACATTGCTGAGAGAGTTTACCTAAGTAAGATAAAAGTCCAGGATCAGGCAGATCTTGCTGCTCAAAAGAGGAAATGCCAAAAAACAAAACTCAGAGTTTTCTTTGGTGAGCAGGAGAGACAGATAGCCTTTCACTACTCCCGATGTTCTTTCATTTGCTACAGATGCCAGCTTGGAGAGTCACGTGAGAGCAAGAGAGTAGCTTTCTGGTTGTCCTGGTGCCCTGCTCAGGCAAACTGACTGCCATTCTCTGAGGATGGCAGCTCTGTCCCCCACATTTGGTAAGTTCTTGGGTCAGTGCGTGCCCTGAGAAAGTGAGTGCAAGTGGCCCCTGCCACTTGATGGGGTGAAAGATACGTACACCATAGAGGGCTGCTGGGAGAGGATGGGCAAGTGGAAAAGGGGTGGGAACAGAGCCCCAGCAGCCACCCCAGTGACTGTGTCTGCTGAGGGTCTTGGTGGGTCTGGGAGCAGGCCAGTGTCCTTATCATTCATGCATGAAGAGGGTGCAGGTAATGGGTAACCCTGAGTTATCTCATTTATTATTTTGATCACTTTCAGCAAGGTCACAACTCTAGCTCTCAGAACTTGCATTTCTTCACTCCTAGGTTGGAACTATGTCACTTCTTATGAGTATGTAGCCCACCACCCTCTTTATGTTTTTGGTGGAACAGGGCTGCTCTGACTTGTTATGAAACTGATGTGTGCAAGAGAGGTGGGGGGAGGAAGAGAGAGAGAGGATTGAGGATGTGAACACTCAGAATCAGTGTGGAGCAGTTTCCTGGTTTACAAGTGTTGTATTATGAGACAGGGCAGGCTCTGATTCTCATGAACCCTGTTTTCTCCTCCAGCCACGTCCACCCAGGATTCCACCTGTCTCCAGGACTCAGAATTTCCTGTTTCTTCAAAAGACCATTCCTGTCCCCAGAATTTGGACCTGTTCGTGTGCAGTGGTCTGGAGCCTCACACACCCAGTGTTGGTTCCCAGGTGCACTAAGATCTCTGGGTCCCTAGAGCAGGAGAGGCACTTCCTGGAAGACCCCACCAGTGCATGCTGGAATTCTTGCAGAGCTTCATCTCAGCCAGTGGATGCCAGAACAGGGCCCAAGAGAGAGCCAAGGAATATTGGGGCTGTCCTGGTGTTGGGGAAGTTAGGGGAAGTGATTTATGTAGCATCTGTTTCCCTCATGCTTGCAAAATCTCAGGCCCTTGCTCAGCCCCAGAGACGGGGGGAAATAAAGGGCAAAGCTCTCGGAGTGGGCTAGAACTGGAGGGAGATTAGTCCCTTGTCAGGGTTGCATCTGAAGTGACGGCACAGGACAAGATGGCCTCAATGGGGAGAGAGGATGTCTGAGGACTGATGCCTGGAGGAAATGTTGAGCCCCGTAGCAGGCCATCTGGAAATCCTGTGTTGGGTCTCTCATGCCCGGTCTTCAACCTCAGCCATCTTACCATGAACATCGTTAGGCTGGTTCCTCGCTGACCCCAAGTTTGTGTGGCGTTCCAGGAATCGGTGACTTTCCAAGATGTCGCTGTGGACTTTACCGAGAAGGAGTGGCCCTTGCTGGATTCTTCTCAGAGAAAACTGTACAAAGATGTAATGCTGGAGAACTACAGCAACCTCACTTCACTGGGTAAGGCCAGTGCCATTTCTCCACTTATTCATCCATGAATTAGATGTTTTTGTTTGAGTATGTTCTGTGACCCAGGAACTATGCAGCGGTTCAGAACGCAGCTGTGAACAAGCAGCCCCAGCACCCATGCTTAATGGGGCCTCTCCTGGGTATCGAGGCCCATCTATTGCAGGGACCATGGTGGTTCTCCGGTGTGTGTCTGAGCTTGGCATGGGCTTCTGAAATACGAAATCCCCATTCTTTTGGAGGGTCAGTGTGTGGGTACTTGTGATCTTATTTCCTATTTCTTTTTTTTTTTTTTTTTTTTTATTTTTGGTGATGAAGGGTTCTCACTATGTTGCCCAGACTGATCTTGAACTCCTGGCTACAGGCACGAGCCACCATGCTTTGCCTGTGGTTTTGTTTTCTATCAGTCAAAAACTTTTACTGTGTTCCTTAGAAATTTTGGCACCACCATTTTGCTGCTCCTAAGTCAGACTTGTCCACCCTCAGAACACTGAAGACCCAAGTGTTGAGCCCAGGCTACTGGAAGGGGTTGTCCTCTGCATGGCCCTCCCTCAACCTGTGTCTTTCCCGTGAGTGTAGGGTATCAGGTCGGCAAACCCAGCCTCATCTCACACTTGGAGCAGGAGGAGGAGCCGAGGACAGAGGAGAGGGGCGCTCACCAGGGCGCTTGTGCAGGTGAGCGAGCCCCAGGCAAAGAGCGGTGCTGTGACTCTACCTCTATTCAGTGACTGGGGTGGAGGGAGGTAGGTTAGGGAGTGTCACCCAGGGAAATTGAGAGATGCTCCTTCCCTCTTTTTGCCCATCCATTCTCTGACAAATCTTTTGGTCCACACACTCCTTCATCTTTGACTTTCACATTCCCATTATTGGGCTCTTTGTCCCATTCTTTCATATTTGATGTTTCTGATCATCCGCTTTCTGTCATTATCAACATCATCTGAATTGCCTTAAATTTCTTTTTTCTTTTTTTTTTTTTTTTTTTTTTTTTTTTGACGGAGTCTCACTCTGTTGCCAGGCTGGAGTGCAGTGGCATGATCTCGGCTCACTGCAACCTCTGCCTCCCAAGTAGCTGGGACTACAGGCATGATGCCGCCATGCCTACCTAATTTTAGTATTATTAGTAGACATGGGTTTCACCATGTTGTCCAGGCTGGTCTCGAACACCTGACCTCAGGTGATCCACCCACCTCGGCCTCCCAGAGTGCTGGGATTACAGGCGTGAGCCACTGCACCAGGCCTGAATTGACTTAAATTTCTACCCCTGGCATTGCCAAATATCTCACATGACCAGATTTTTTAACAATTGCTTTTGCACCACTTTTCCTTACATAGCCTTAGGATCTGCCAAGAAATCCACCTGTCATTGTCACCATCATCCCACCATTTTCCTTTTCCAACAATTAATACTTTTCCAATTTGTTTCAGATTGGGAGACTCCATCTAAAACCAAGTGGTCACTTCTTATGGAAGATATTTTTGGGAAGGAAACGCCCAGTGGTGTGACGATGGTAAGATTTCCGTGGGATAATTCTGGATCTTCCTTCCACGTCTGAGGAGACTGGGGCAGCCTAGGTTAGAAAAGCAGTTCAACACCAGGGCAAGCAGCTTCCCTCAGAGGAGACTGTGTTTCAGAGACACTGGGTATTACCAAGATGGAGACAACCCTAAAGCTAACCTCAAGCTACTTTACCTAGAGTGTCTCTGAGTGAAGATTTTTATAGCTGTGTCTCAGATATTGAGTGTTGGGGCTCAATGCAGTTTTTGTTTTATTTTATATTTATGCTGTACACTTACTTATCAATTTAGTTTTGGTGGTGTTTATTTTTTGGGGGGCAGACAGTCTTGCTCTTGTTGCCCAGTGCAGTGGGCAACATCTTGGCTCACTGCAACCTCTGCCTCCCAGGCTCAAGCCATCCTCCCACCTCAGCCTCCTGAGCAGCTGGGACTATAGGCGTGTGCCACCACACTTGGCTGATTTTTCTATTTTTTGCAGAGACAGGATTTCACCATGTTGCCCAGGCTGGTCTTGAACTCCTGGAGATCCATCAGCCTCGGTCTCCCAAAGTGCTGGGATTATAGGCTTGAGCCACCATGCCCAGCCTCAATTCAGTGGTTTTTGTTTGTTTGTTTTTGTTGTTGTTTTTGTTTTTTGTTTTTTTTTTTGAGGCACAGTCTTGCTCTTGTCACCCAGGCTGGAGTGCAATGGCACGATCTCAGCTCACTGCAGCCTCCACCTTTCAGGCTCAAGTGATTCTCCTGTCCCACCCTCCCGAGTAGCTGGGATTACAGGTGTGCACCACCATGCCCAGCTAATTTTTGTATTTTTAGTAGAGACAGCGTTTCACCATGTTAGCCAGGCTGGTCTCGAACTCCTGACCTCAGGTGGTCCACCCGCCTTGGCCTTCCAGAGTGCTGGGATGACAGGCGTGAGCCACCTTGCCCAGCCTCAATTCAGTTTTAAGCAGTGAAGAAATGCTATATGCAAAAAGCTTTGAAAAAGTAACACATGTGGAGCCTTGTGGCCTGGCATTCACCTATTGTCCTTGATGGAGCTCAAATGGGGCAGGGACAGCACGTTTGCACGGCAGATGGTTACAGCTCTAGTCATAGTAATGTGCTTCTATCTGTTCATAGCAGTGTATGTGGGGATGACGCTTAGGGTTGCAATGAATATGAGAATTGCCTTTGTCAGCACTTACGTCTTAACCAACAGGAAAGAGCCGGTCTTGGAGAGAAGTCCACTGAATACGCTCACTTGTTCGAAGTCTTTGGCATGGACCCTCATCTCACTCAGCCAATGGGAAGGCACGCTGGCAAGAGGCCCTATCACCGCCGCGACTATGGGGTAGCGTTCAAGGGCAGGCCGCACCTCACTCAGCACATGAGCATGTACGACGGGAGAAAAATGCATGAATGTCATCAGTGCCAAAAAGCCTTCACCACGAGCGCGTCCCTCACACGGCACAGGAGAATCCACACCGGGGAGAAGCCTTACGAGTGCAGCGACTGCGGGAAAGCCTTCAACGACCCTTCAGCCCTTAGGAGCCACGCAAGAACTCACCTCAAAGAGAAGCCCTTTGACTGCAGTCAGTGTGGAAATGCATTCCGGACCCTCTCGGCCCTGAAAATCCACATGCGAGTTCACACTGGCGAGAGGCCTTACAAGTGTGATCAGTGCGGGAAGGCTTACGGCCGGAGCTGCCACCTCATCGCACACAAGAGAACGCACACCGGAGAGAGGCCCTACGAGTGTCACGACTGTGGGAAAGCTTTCCAGCACCCCTCCCACCTCAAAGAGCACGTGAGGAATCACACGGGGGAGAAGCCCTACGCGTGCACGCAGTGCGGCAAAGCCTTCCGCTGGAAGTCCAACTTTAATTTGCACAAGAAGAACCACATGGTGGAGAAGACCTACGAATGTAAAGAATGCGGGAAATCCTTTGGCGATCTCGTGTCCCGGAGGAAACACATGAGGATTCACATCGTCAAGAAACCCGTGGAATGTCGGCAGTGCGGGAAGACCTTCCGAAACCAGTCCATCCTTAAGACTCACATGAACTCTCACACTGGAGAGAAACCATACGGGTGCGATCTCTGCGGGAAAGCTTTCAGCGCGAGTTCAAACCTCACCGCACACAGGAAGATACACACGCAAGAGAGACGCTACGAATGCGCCGCCTGCGGGAAAGTCTTCGGTGACTATTTATCCCGGCGGAGGCACATGAGCGTTCACCTTGTAAAGAAACGAGTTGAGTGTAGGCAGTGTGGCAAGGCCTTCAGGAACCAGTCAACGCTGAAGACGCACATGCGAAGCCACACGGGGGAGAAACCGTACGAATGCGATCACTGTGGGAAGGCCTTCAGCATAGGCTCCAACCTGAATGTGCACAGGCGGATCCACACCGGGGAGAAGCCCTACGAATGCCTTGTCTGCGGGAAAGCCTTCAGCGACCACTCATCCCTCAGGAGCCACGTGAAAACTCACCGGGGAGAGAAGCTCTTTGTGTCATCCGTGTGGAAAAGGCTCCAGTGAGCGCGCCTGCTTTAGAGACACAGGATGATTCAGACCGGAAACAGACCTCGTGGGTGTAAGAGGAAGCCTCTGTGAGCTCGCACCTTACTGGGTGCAAAAGAATCCACGGAACTTGGGAGAAGTCCAGTTCCTGTAAAAACTGGGAAGACGAGGCGTTCTCATCCCATAGGAGGTTTGTGAGAACTCACGCCGGGGGTGAAAATGTACGTCTGTAGCATGGAGAAGCCTTCAGGGTACATTCAGCTCTTAACAAACACAGGAGGACTTAATGGCAGCTTGGCATTTAATGTCAAAATCCAAGCCGTGGCATTTAATGTCAAAATGACTTCAGACCACTTCTAGCCTTCTGGGCCCATGAGTAATAATGAGCACACTAGGGAGCATCTCTGTAAACACAGTGGCTGGGGAAACCCTTCCTAGTCTCACTTGATTCCTCATGACGGAAATCACACTAAAGAGAGAAATCAGTGAAGTAAGGAACGTGGAAGGTCATGAATGGGCCGCAAACCACGGCCAGCTGCTTGTCTTTGTATGGCTTGCCAGCTAACAATAGTGGTTCCATCTTTAAGGAAGAAGAATGTTTGATGGAGAAAATTTGTGGCCAATGAAGTCTGAAATACTTCCTGTCATCTGCCCCTTTCCAGAAAAACTTGGCCGACCCTTGGTCTACAGCACGGGTTCTCAGTCGGGCGACGATTTGGCTGTCTAGGCGTCATTTGGCAATGTCTAGAGACATTTTTGGTAGTTAGAATGGGGGGAAGATACTCCTGACTTGTAATAAGAAGACATCAGAGATGCTGCTAAGTCGGCTCCAGCACACAGGAGCCCCCCACAACGAAGAGTTAGTGCCCCCAAACGTCACTGTTGCTGAGGTTGAAAATAATCATGCAGTCATTCCTCAATTACTGCCTGCAGCAATTCCTCCATTTTTATGAATCTTGTGAGCACTTACGCTAGGAGAAATTTCTTTTACAAAACTTTTAAAATACAATTAGTGCTGATAATTCCTATGTGGAAATGATTCCAGCCATGGTCCCCTCACTTGAGCATGTGAATATTCTCACGGAGAGAAGCCCCAGCGAGATTTTCCGGTGAATACGGGATTGCACTTACTCTTTCATCACGGAAACAGACCCCCCGAGAGAAGCCCCAACGAGATTTTCCGGTGAATACGGGACTGCACGTACTCTCTCATCATGAAAACAGAGCCCCGTTCATAAATTTTTCATCTTTATTTTTAAGGTTATACTCCTCTAAATAACCCTTAAGCCTCATCAAGAAAGGTTTGTTTATAGTATTTTTACTATAGCTTCATCCTTGATAACGTCCTAATTTCCTTCTGGACAACCTCCTTGACCAATGGCATATTGAGATCTATGTGACATGAGGATATTTCTCAGTACCACTTTGTTACTGGTACCTGATGCACACGGATTGCGACCAGAGCATGATGCCTCCATCAAGTGGTAATATGTTTGCAGCCTGCTGTCCAGCCAAGAGTGACAGATACTTCTAGTGACTTCCCCGGTATCCACTCTCATCTTCTTCCAATATCAAGAGAATCCAGGTTCTGTCAGATTAGTAAGGTGTGCTAATCTAAATTTTAAAAAATCTCTTACAGGTTTTCTTGCAGCTGGTACCATCCATGTCTCACAGCCCTGGCCACTGACAGATCAGCAGATGTCACCACATGGGCTTCTGAGAAAGCTCTTGAATGGGGATCGTTCTTAAACATGAATTCCTCCCTGTATGTTTTGTTCTTTGCTTTACTTTTCACCTTGCAAAGAGATCCAGTACCTAGTATTGGAAGATCCACCTTAACGACCGTGCATATGAAAACCACAGTCTAAGGAAGTGACTGCAGAAAGCTCACAGCGACCCTGGCCTCCCCTGTGGCCTCTTTGAGTGTCTGCAGCAGCCCTGGACTTCCAGACTTCTATCACATGAGAAAAAATAAAACTGATTATTGGTTTAAGCTGCTATGGATATTTCATTGTTTTTCTTTTAAATTTATTTATTTTAAGATGGGGGTCTCCCTATGTTGCCTAGGCTAGATTCGAACTCCTGGGCTCAAACAATCTTCCTGCCTCAGTCTCCCAAGTAGCTGAGAATACAGGCATGTGCCACCACACCCAGCTTGTTTTTCTATTTCATTTGTTTATTGGTGGGAGGGGGTTTCTACACCCAGCTGGATGCTGCCTGGAGCCCATACACCTGGTCATTGGTCAGTTGTGTGGTTTTTTTTTGTTTTTTTTTTTTTGTTTGTTTGTTTTTTGAGACAGAGTCTTGCTCTGTCACCCAGGCTGGAGTGCAATGGCGCGATCTCGGCTCACTGCAAGCTCTGCCTCCCAAGTTCATGCCATTCTCCTGCCTCAGCCTCCTGAGTAGCTGGGACTACAGGTGCCCGCCACCACACCCGGCTAATATTTTTTTGTATTTTTAGTAGAGATGGGGTTTCACCGTGTGAGACAGGATGGTCTTGATGGCCTGACCTCATGATCCGCCCACCTTGGCCTCCCAAAGTGCTGGGATTACAGGCGTGAGCCACCGCGCCCGGCCATGTTCAGATGACTGATTAGCCTATCAAAGGCATTCTTCCGTTTCTTTATGGTGGCTTTGATTTCTGATCTTTCCTTCTGATTCTTTGAGTCTCTATTTTTCTGCTGATGATGTAGGGCAGATGAGCCCCCAAACTGGGGGTTAGCCCAGGAGGGTTCTTGGCTTTGCTCAGGAAAGAATTCAAGAGGCAGCCAGCAGTAAAAGAAATTGGGTTTATTGAAGCAGCAGGGCACAGCAGAGTGGCTGCCCCTTGTGGAGCAGGGCTGACTCATAGGCAGTATACCCAGGGTAGCAGCATATAGGCTGTTGGCTAGCAGTATTTATACCCAGTTTTAATTACATGCAAATTAAGGGGTGGGCTATTCAGACAGCACTCCTCATTCACCTTCCACCATGATTGTGAGGCCTCCCCAGCCATGTGGAACTATGAGTCCATTAAACCTCTTTATGAATTAGGCAGTCTCAGGTATGTCTTTATTAGCAGTGTGAGACACAGTTGCTCCGGCCTATAAATGACACATAGTTTTAAGTCTGTTTCCTGCAGTTCTCCTATGATTGGCCAGGGTTTTGATTCTGTTTTGTTTTTTTGCATTTTCAAATTAAGGGTAGATGATTCTGAGGGTCTTGCTCCAGCTCTGTCTCAGGCCCCCCCACCAGCTATCCCTCTTTCTTGCAGTTTACCTAACAGAGCCTTGGGGTGGGCATGTGTGGGACCGTGGTGCTAAGATTTAATGCTTTTTCTCATTTTACTCATAGTTATGTTGCAATTTTGGCATTCTCTATGTCTTAAAGGCAGTGTTGAAGGTATAGTTTTGTGTAGAAGATTCATAGGTGTGGAGTTACTTCACAGCATTTGAAAGGGGATTTGGGGAGGTTGCTTACCACTCACTGGCCATTGTTTTTAGTTACCTGGAAGTCTCCTCACCTTAGTTTTTGGAGATACTTTGGCTGAATATGTTATTTTATTTTATTTTAATTTATTTTTTGAGACAGAGTGTCGCCCAGGCTGGAGTGCAGTGGCATGATCTCAGCTCACTACAACCTCCACCTCCCAGGTTCAAACGATCTTGTGCCTTAGCCACCTGAGTAGCTGGGATTATAGGTTTGCACCACCATGCCTGGCAAATTTTTGTATTTTTAGTAAAGTTGAGGTTCCATCACGTTAGCCAGGCTGGTCTTGAACTCCTGACCTCAGGTGATCTGCCTGCCTCAGCCTCCCAAGGTGCTGGGATTACAGGTGTGAGCCACCGCGCCTGGTCTGGATATGCTTTAAAGGGGTCATTTCTTTGTCTTCTGGCCTCCATTGTTGCTGACTAAAAGTTAGCGTTATTCTTAACATTATTCCCCTGTAAGTAATGTAAGTAATGTGTTGCTTGTCACTGGCTCCTCTTCAGATAATTATCTTGGGTTTTCAACAGTTTGACTCTGTGTCTTGGTGCAGTTTCCTGTGCATTTACTCTGCTTGGGGATCCTTCAGATTCTTAGATACGTGAGTCACTGTCTTTCACAAGGAAGTATTTGGCCATTATTTCTTCATAATTTTTTAATTGTGGTAAAATAAACATAACATGAAATTCACTGGGTTTTTTTGTTTGTTTGTTTTTGTTTTTTGAGGCAGAGTCTCGTTCTGTTGCCCAAGCTGGAGTCCAGTGGTGCAATCTTGGCTCACTGCAACCTCCACATCCTGGGTTCAAGCAATTCTCCTGCCTCAGCCTCCTGAGTAGCTGGGACTATAGGTGCGCACCACCATGCCCAGCTAATATTTGTATTTTTAGTAGAAATGGAGTTTCACCATGTTGGCCAGGATGGTCTTGATCTCTTGACCTCATGATCCACCTGCCTCGGCCTCCCAAAGTGCTAGGATTACATGTGTGAGCCACCGCGCACAGCCCCATTTTAATCATTTTTTAGGTGTACTGTTCGGTGGCATTAAGTACATTGACAATATTGGCTACCACCACTATCCATTTTCAGATCTTTCTCTTCATTCCAAAAAATTATGTACCCATTAAGCAATCACTCCTCAACACTTCTATCTTCAGCCCCTGGTAACTTGTAGGTAGTGTCCATGAATTTTGTCAGAAGTAGAATAATAAAATACGTTGTTTTGTGTGCGTCTGCCTTATTTCATTAAAAGTAATGTTTTCAAGGCTTATCCATGTTGTAGCATGTATCAGAATTTCATTCCCTTTTATGGCTTAATAAATTCTGTTGCATGTATGTGTCACGTTTTATTCATTCATCTATTGATGAACATTTGGGCTGTTTCTACCTCTTGGCTATTGTGAATCATACTGATATTGATGATTTTTTTTTCTTTTTTCTTGAGATGCAGTCTTGCTCTGTTGCCCAGGCTGGAGTGCAGTGGCGCGATCTGGGCTCACTGCAACCTCTGCCTCCTGGATTCAAGCAATTATCCTGCCTCAGCCTCCAAAGTAGCTGGGTACTCGCCGAGTAGCCTGCCACCATGCCCGGCTAATTTTTGTATTTTTAGTAGAAACGGAGTTTTACCATGTTGGTCAGGCTGGTCTTGAACTCCTGACCTCAGGTGATATGCCCGCCTCAGCCTCCCAAAGTGTTGGGATTACAGGTGTGAGCCACTGCGCCCAGCCTGAAGACAGCATTCTTAGCATGAAGGATGCAAAGTTGAGGCAAAGGAGATCTATCCAAACCAACCTCATTACACTACGGCTTCTGAGCCACTTCTCTACCTGATTAACCACCCTAGCCCACACCCTTGGTTTTATCCCATTAGCGCAGTTTACTTGTCTGTCCAATTCAGTTTATAAGTGTTTGGCTCTTAACTGCTTTTCTGGCTTGTTTCCTTATGAGGAACCCCATGCCACATAAAACTTTCATTAAACAAATACATGTGTATGCTTTAATCTTGTTAACCTAATCGTATGTCGGTGTAATTATCAGGCCCAGCAAGGATCCTAAGATGATGAAGGTGAAATCTTGTTGCCCCTACAATATGGACATTGGATGCAAGTGTCTGTGTGAGTTCCTGCTTTCAATTCTCAGGAATTTTCCGAAGTTGTTTTCTTCCTCATTTTCTCCTTTTGGGACTCCAGCTGCGCCACAGGACTCTGAAGTTCCTGTTTCATTTTTCTAATGTGTTTGTTTTCCAGTTTGTATGACTTCTACTGATATATCTTAAAGTTCACTAACTCTTCTGTCCTCTTCATCTGTGGAATCCATTTAGTGACTCCTTAAAATCCAGATGTCTGAGGTCCTTAGGAAAACAGGTGCTTCTCCCTGTTGTAGCTTGAATTTGCTCTGAATGTGGTGGTCCCCTAAGCCAATAACACAATGCCTCCTGGCCTGCCCTGGCCACCCAGGGAGGAATGAAGGGAGAGGTAGGTGTAGTGGTAATAAGCCTTGCTGTGCACAGCTTTGTGTAATAACTGAAAAGGGTGATGTGTTTTCCTGCTCCCATCCCCAAGCCTGATTTCTTCAAGATGCAGTAACTGGGACGGGTGCAGTGGCTCATGTCTGTAATCCCAGCACTTTGGGAGGCCAAGGAGGGAGGATCACGAGGCCAAGAGTTCGAGATCAGCCTGACCAACATAGTGAAACCTCATTTCTACTAAAAATACAAAAGTTAGCCGGGCGTGGTGGCGCGTGCCTGTAGTCCCGGCTACTGGGAAGCTGAGGCAGGACAATTGCTCGAACCCGGGAGGCAGAGGTTGCAGTGAGCCGAGATCACACCACTGCACTCCAGCCTGAGCGAAAGAGTGAGACTCGGTCAAAAAAAAAAACAAACATGTAGTAACTGACACCCCCCACACATGCCCTCCCCTCCACCTCCTGTTATTTCATTAGAAACCCTGCCAAGGAACAAGGAAATCCTACAAAGAAGGTGTCTCAGGTACCCATCAGCAGCCATGCAGTGATGACAAGTGGGTCTGATGCCATTAAAAGGTTGTTTTCAAACCACCTTCTGTTGCAAGCAGAACCCAATTGCACAGGAATCCAAGCTCCATGATGGAGCTTTGGCCATTGTTTTTAGTTACCAGGAAGGAAAATGGCAAGATTGAGATTAAGCCTGGAGGCCCGGCGGGGACCTCATGGCTGTGAAGACCCTGGACTCCTGTGTTGCTGGAGATAGTGTTTGTGCTCTCACATGGTCTGCTCAGCCGTCTTTCTGCCATTCAGCACAACGGAAGGACCTAGTGTGTTTCCAGGGTGGGAGCCTACGAGTGGTGGACTCTGACTTTGACATTCGGGACAGATTTATTCCTTAATTTTCTTCCTTACATACTTGGTTCATCTGAGGGCCTCAGACTCCCTCTCCAACAGCCTTCTACCCTCTCCCATTTCCACATTTTCATTTTTGAGCTTCCTTAGCTAAGTGGTTTTACTTTCTTCCCTTTCCATCTCTCTCTCTCTCTTTATATTTCTTTCTCTAGATTTTTAAAATTCTGTCTCTCTCTTTTCTCCAATTTCTCCATTTCCCTCTTTTTTTTTTTTTTTTTTTTTTTTTTTTCTTTTTCTAAGTCAGGGCCTGACTCTGTCGCCCAGGCCAAGTGCAATGGCATGATCTCAGCTCACTGCAACCTCCACTTCCCAGGTTCAAGGGATTCTCTTGCCTCACCCTCCAAAGTAGCTGGGATTACAGGCACACACCACCACACCCAGGTAATTTTTTGCATTTTTAGTAGAGACAAGGCTTCACCATGTTGGCCAGACTGATCTCGAACTCCTGACCGCAAGTGATCCTCTCCCATTTTGGCCTCCCAAAATGCTGGGATTACAGGCGTGAGCCACTGCGCCTGGCCTTACATTGTTATTCTGCACACATTGGCCATTGCGGGCATCGTTCCTTACCTGAGTGAACACATCCATGCATTCCTAATATGTGTGTCCTGGGAAACCTGGGTTTGGAGTTTGGAGTTTGGAGTAGAGAGGCCAAGGGTTTGCAGTCAGGCAGGTTACTTGCAAAATATTTACGTATCAGTCAGATACATTGGCTCATGCTTGTAATCCCAGCAGTTTGGGAGGCTGAGGCTGGGGGATCACATGAGGTCAGGAGTTGGAGACCAGCCTGGACAACATGGTGAAATCCCGTCTCTACTAAAAGTACAAAAAAATTAGCTGGGCATGGTGGTGCATATCTGTATTCCCAGCTACCTGGGAGGCTGAGGCAGGAGAATCACGTGAACCAGGGAGGCGGAGGTTGCAGTGAGCCGAGATTTTGCCACTGCACTCCAGCCTTGGTGACACAGCGAGACTGTGTCTCAAAAAAAAACAAAAACAAAACAAAAAAAAATTATATATATATATATATATATATATATTATGTATTGTGCTAAGTTTCTTCTTTGTAAAAGCCCTTGGGGGACTGTTAAGTGTGTGTCTCAGCTTGGATTTGGGTTTTTTTAGACCAGAGATCCCTGGTCCCTTTGGAGGTGTGAGTATGAGGGTATTTGTGTCTCTTGAGAAGGTCTAAGAGTTGCCATCAGTTTGGTGGCAGGGTATGTTGTACTTAGAGATCTTGTCAGAATGGATAACTCATTTTACCTCCATCACTTACGAAATGACTTTTATCAGCTACATTAAAATGCTAGCAATGTCATACTACATTCTCATAAATACTGGGAATTAACTAATGACTTTCTTGTCCAGGTATTTATAGGCTTTGGCAAGGCAGCAGTACACAAAACTGGTCCCATTCATAGTAATCTTGACGTTAAACTTTGGAGCCAGAGTACAAGCGAATAAATAAACACTAGGAAGAAAAGTAAATGCGGAGAAGAATAAATGCTGTGAGGAAGAGTAAAGTTGAGGAGGGGAACAGACAGATGGGATTGACCCGTTCAACCTGTGCAGTGTACAGCGTATACTCTTTTTTTTTTGAGATGGAGTCTCGCTCTGTCGCCAGGCTGGACTGCAGTGGCGGCGATCTCGGCTCACTGCAACCTCTGCCTCCCGGGTTCAAGCGGTTCGCCTGTCTCAGCCTCCCAGATAGCTGGGACTACAGGCACCTGCCACCACGCCCTGCTAATTTTTTTGTATTTTAGTAGAGACAGGGGCGTACACTCATTTTTGGCCACTTTACCTTTTTAGGAAACAAAATCATCACAGAAATCCTCAAGAGGCAGCTTTCCTGTACATTTCAGTTTCTCCTAAAACAGAACAGGGCTGGGAATGCTTACTGAGGAATCATCAAAGCATTTCTTTCTGTCATGACAAGAGCAATTCCAGCTTGCTCCATGAGACCCTGCTTCTCTCACTGTATTTGGTTTTCAGGTTGCAAGATTTGAAGAACACTTGTCAAAACTCGACGGTTATTTCTGTTTTCAAGGACTGTTTGATCTGCATTTTCTTCCAGTCCATTCATTTCTATCTGGTTTGGCCTCCAAGGTCTTAATCTTTTGCCCAAGAAAACGCTTACATTTAAGCAACATGAGTTCCTTGATTTGTCTGTAGCCCAATGCTACTTTCTTGAGTTCAGAATAAAAGCTGATTATTATTATTATTTATTGTTATTATTATTTTGAGACAGAGTCTTGCTCTGTCACCCAGGCTGGAGTGCAATGGTACGATCTCGGTTCAGTGTTACCTCTGCCTCCCAGGCTCAAGCAATTCTTCTGCCTTAGCCTCAGGAGTAGCTGAGGTTACAGGTACCCACCACCATGCCTGACAAATTTTTGTATTTTTACTAGACAGAATTTTGCCATGTTGGCCAGGTTGGTCTTGAACTCCTGGCCTCAAGTGATCTGCCCACCTCGGCCTCCCAAAGTGCTGGGATTACACCAGCCTTGGGACTTGACAGTTTTTTTTTTTTTTTTTAAGATGGAGTTTCGCCCTTGTTGCCCAGGCTGGAGTGCACTGGCGCGATCTTGGCTCACCATAACCTCTGCCTCCCAGGTTCAAGTGATTCTCCTGCCTCAGCCTTCCTGAGTAGCTGGGATTACAGGCATGTGCCACCATGCCCGGCTAATTTTGTATTTTTAGTAGAGACGGGGGGTCTCTCCATGTTGGTCAGGCTGGTCTCGAACTCCCAACCTCAGGTGATCCGCCTGCCTCGGCCTCCCAAAGTGCTGGGATTACAGGCGTGAGCCACCATGCTGGGCCCTTGACAGTTATTTTGACCTAACATTGGTGATAATTTTTCTCTACCTCAACCAAGAAGATGGCGGATTGGAGCACTTTTTTCATAGATTGACCAGTCTTCCCAACAACACTGGAGGCCAGTCATTTACTTTCTGCAGAGAAAGAGACATGTCAAAGAGTCAACTTACCAGCTGGAAACTGGGACTAGTGTCAAGTGCTTACTCTGACATTCAGCTCTTGTTTCACCTCTTGACCCCTTTCATGCCTGCATCAACCAGTGGATCTGCTGGGCTCAGAGCACATGACAAAGGGGCTTGTGGTGTTCCACTTGGCTTCCTGAAATCCCTTCCTTTCCCCTGGCAGTGCTTCCACGCAGGACTTTGAGTGTGTAGTCGGGGCAGTTTACATCCCCAAGTGAAAATGCTGAACGTTCAGCAAGCCTTGGTCAAAAGTTTTCCTAGGCTCACTAGTGAAGAAATAGCAATTACTCACTGGCTATTGCCAGGATTGAGAAAAAGAATGTGTACCCTAGAGGCCGGGCCCAAGGGGAAGAGAGTACTTTCTCTCAGCATTGAGTAAAATCGGCCATTTTTTAAATGAGCCTTGGGAACCAGCATAACTGGTCCCTTTGTGCCCAATTTCTCCATCCCGATAATGAATTCCATGGATAACCTCAGTGGCCCATGACAGTTGCCTCTCATTGCACTTCCCTGCCAGTTCTCAGAAAGAAAGTGTCACACAGTCTCTGGAGGGAACTTCTAATTACAGGAACACAGTCTGCTTGTCTGAGTCTTGTTTTCAGTTCTTGGACCCTCTCCAGCAGGGAAAATCTCTGTCTTGTGTAACCTTTGGGTAACATCCAATCCACTCAGGAATTCTTCCCTGCTAGGGAACCTATTGTATATACCCAATGAATATTAGCTAAGTGCCTTACACTTTTAATTAGGTTTTGGGAAGAAAGATCAATAAGACAAAGTACTGCCCTTAAGAAAGTAAAGGTCTAGGAGAAGAGCGATATTAACAGTAAATAAGACACCTAGTATGGCAGGTGAATCCATTTGGGAGGCCCCAGATGAGGAAGATGTTGAACTGGGGGCCATCAAGAAAATCTAAGTAGAAGAGATGATGCAAGCTCAGTGTAGAAGGATGATTATGATTGTGATTATGATTATTTGGAGATGGAGTCTCGCTCTGTTGCCCAGGCTGGAGTGCAGTGGCGCGATCTCAGCTCACTGCAACTTCCGCCTCCCGGGTTCAAGCGGTTCTCCTGCCTCAGCCTCCCGAGTAGCAGGGACTACAGGCACACGCTGCCATGCCTGGCTAATTTTTTGTATTTTAGTAGAGACAGGTTTTACCGTGTTCTCAGGCCAGTCTCAAACTCCTGAGCTCAGGCAATCTGCCCACCTCGGCCTCCCAAAGTGCTAGGATTACAGGCATGAGCCACCGAGGCCTGCCTTGTAGAAGGCTCATTAAGAGTTCAGGAGCAGAATCAAATAAGCATGCTAATCCTGAGTGCAAAGGCACTGAAAAAATGACAGTATATTACATTCTGTAGATAAAAGACAATCTTTGGAGTAAGAGGCAGACTTGAAAGGTAATATGGGACAGATTGGAGAACACACACATTTCCTTTATTCTCTCTCTTTTTTTAAAGACTCGGTCTCATTCTGTCACCCAGATTGGAGTGCAGTGGCATGACCATAGCTTTCTGCAGCCTCAACCTCCTGGGTTTAAGCCATCTGCCAACCTCAGCCTCTTAAGTACCTGGACTATAGGCACACACTACCATGCCTGACTAATTCTATTTTTTTTATTTTTGTAGAGACACAGTCTTGTTATGTTGCCCAGGCTAGTCTCAAACTCCTGGGCTCAAGCAATCCTCCTGCCTCAGCCTACCAAAGTGCTGGGATTACAGTCATGAGCCACTGTGCCTGGCTCACACACATATATCTATATGTTAGTCTACTAGTTTCAATGTAAATGTTAGTTGGAAATCGATGGAAACAAATTGATATTCAATGAAGTTTGCAGTTGAGCAAGGTAACTGGTTCCCAGTTGCGGAATGGAATGAAGGGTCCTGTTTCTATGAGCTTTTGTTTCATAGCCACCCAAAACATGGTGGTTTAAAGCAACCACCAGGCCGGGCTCAGTGTCTCATAATCCCAGCAGTTTGGGGGCCAGGCAGGAGGATTACTTGAGTCCAGGAGTTCAAGACCAGCCTGGGCAACATGGTGAACCCCCGTCTCTCAAACAACAACACCCCACCACCTTTTATTTAGGGTTTGTTTGTTGACAATTTGGGCTGTGCTTAGCCTGAGAGTTCTCTTGACTGGCTTCTGCAGTCACTGTCTAGGTGGGGTGGGGTTTATTGTTCTTCGTTCAAGGTCTCATTCCTCCAGTCGTCCAGGTAAGGCCTGTTCACACATTGCTGGAGTGTTCCAGCAGAGCTTGTATTGGGAATGCCTATGCCCCATCAGCCAGTGCAATCATGGGTGAGCCCAAGGTGGAAGGGCACTCAGTTACACAAAAGGGGCTTGGATATAGGGAAGAAAAGACACAGTGGCCATTCTTTTCTGCAGTTGGCCACAAGGCCAGTATATTATTGCAAGAGTCTAAGTAAGGGGAACATCTTTATTGAGAAGTGATGAACATGTGGGAAATTCACATATTTATTTATTTATTTATTTTTTATTTTTTTTTTTTTTGAGACAGAGTCTCGCTCTGTCACCCAGGCTGGAGTGCAGTAGCGCGATCTCGGCTCACTGCAAGCTCCACCTCCTGGGTTCACGCCATTCTCCTGCCTCAGCCTCCCGAGTAGCTGGGACTACAGGCGCCCACCACCACACCCGGCTAATTTTTTTTGTATTTTTTTTAGTAGAGACGGGGTTTCACCATGTTAGCCAGGATGGTCTCGATCTCCTGACCTCATGATCCGCCTGCCTCGGCCTCCCAAAGTGCTGGGATTACAGACGTGAGCCACCGTGCCCGGCCGAAATTCACATATTTAAAGTATACAACCTGATCAATTCCCTTCTCTCTGTCTTATCATAATACTTTCCCTGGAAACTTTTTTTTTTTTCTTGAGACAGAGTCTCACCCTGTTGCCCAGGCTGGAGTGCAGTGGCACGATCATGGCTCACTGCAGCCTCAACCTCTCAGGCTCAAGTGATTCTCCTGCTTCAGCTTCCTGAGTAGCTGGGACTACAAGACACATGCCACCATGCCTGGCTAGTTTTTGTATTATTTGTAGAGATGGGGTTTCGCCATGCTACCCTGGCTGGTATCGAACTCCTGAGCTCAAGCAATCCTCCCATCTCGGCCTCCCAAAGTGCCGGGATTACATGCATGAGCCACCGTGCCCGGCCTGATTCCAGGTCTGATAGAAAAACTCAACCAACTGCCTATTGGAAAAACTTTGAATCTGCATATGACCTGGAAGCCCCACTTCCAGTTGTCCCACCTTTCTGGACTGAACCAATGTACATCTTTTTTTTTTTTTTTTTGAGACGGAGTCTCGCTCTATTGCCCAGACTGGAGTGCAGTGGCACATCTTGGCTCCCTGCAAGCTCCGCCTTCTGGGTTCATGCCCTTCTCCTGCCTCAGCCTCCTGAGTAGCTGGGACTACAGGTGCCCGTCACCATGCCCGGCTAATTTTTTGTATTTTTTTCTGGTAGAGACGGGGTTTCACCGTGTTAGCCAGGATGGTCTCGATTTCCTGACCTCATGATCCACCCGCCTCAGCCTCCCAAAGTGCTGGGATTACAGGCGTGAGCCACCGCGCCTGGCCGAACCAATGTACATCTTATACGTATTGACTGATGTTTCCCTAAAATGTGTAAGACCAAGCTGTAGCCTGACCACTTTGGGGGCACATGTTCTCAGGGTCTCCTGGGGTTATGTTATGGGCCATTGGTCACTCATATTTAGCTCAGAATAAATCTCTTCAAATATTTTACAGACTTTGATTCTTTTCACCAACATCCATATGAGAATTTAGTTCATCATACAGACATATCACAAGTCAAGTCAGAAAAGGCAAATTATGTAAAAAAAAAAAGTGCTTAGGAAACTAGAAAACTAGAAAATTTTTTTTTAATTAAAAAATTTTTTAAAAATTCCTAAATAAATAACTGATAGAAAAGAGAATGAGGGCTGGGTGCAGTGGCTCACACCTGTAATCCCAGCATTTTGGGAGGCCAAGGGGGGAGGATCACCTGAGGTCAGGAGTTCAATACCAGCCTGGCCAACATGGTGAAAACTTGTCTCTACTAAAAATATAAAAATTAGTCCAGTATGCTGGCGTGCGCCTATAATCCCAGCTACTTAGGAGGCTGAGGCAGGAGAATCGCTTGAACCCAGGAGGCAGATGTTGCAGTGAGCCGAGATTGTGCCACTGCACACCAGCCTGGATGACAGAGTGAGACTCCATCTCAAAAATATATATATTTTTATATATTTTTATTATATATATTTTATTTTTATATATATTTATTATTATATATATACATATATATATATATATAGCAAGAATTAGATGCCATTTTAATAGACTTTATTTTTTTAGAACGTCCACCAATGCTGCTTTGATTCAAGTCCACATGATCTGTCATCTGGGCTGTAGGTAGCCTGGCACCCTTCCTGCCCATTCTGCAGGGGAACATCATTGTACACATTTTTTTTTTAACACCCGGTGCTCTTACTTCCCTCCAGAAGGAAACCTAAACTCCAGTGTCCTCCATGATCTGACTCCTGTTTTTTGCTCCAACTCCATCTCTTGTTCCATCACCCTCCTGTCTTCTAATCCATCCTTTGTATTAAGAAGCAAATTACCTAAACCTTTTAAATAAGGCAAAAGGATGACCGCATTACTGTTCAGTATCATGCTGAAGCATTGTCTGACAGGCCTAGCTAGTTCTTTCCTTCTCAAGGCAATGTTCGTTTGTTTGCTTGAGACCTGGACTCTGTGAAGTTATTGCCAACCCACAGGGAATTAATCAATTGCAAATGATTTTTGTCCAGTCGAGTTGCAAATTACTTCAATTGCTTCTGTTCAGTTAAAAAGATTACCCCTAAATGGCCAGGCGTCATGGCTCATGCCTGTAATCCCAGCACTTTGGGAGGCCAAGGTGGGTGGATCATTTGAGGCCAGGAGTTTGAGACTAGCCTGGCCAATACGGTGAAACCCCATCTCTACTAAAAATACAAAAATTATCTGGGTGTGGTGGCACATATGCCTGTAATCACAGCTACTACGCCTCAGGAGGCTGAGGTGGGAGAATCACTTGAACCCGAGAGGCAGAGGTTACAGTGAGCTGAGATTGCGCCGCTCACTCCAGCCTGGGTGACAGAGTGAGACTGCACCAAAACAAACAAATGAAAAAAAATGAAATAATGTGTTAATAATTTTATATTAAAAATTATATTTCAGAAAAAATATTTACCCCTTTTTTTTTTAGACGGGGTTCGCTTTTGTTACTCAGGCTGGAGTGCAATGGTGCAATCTCGGCTCACTGCAACCTCCACCTCTTGGGTTCAAGCAATTCTCTCGCCTTAGCTTCCCAAGTAGCTGGGATTACAGGCGCCCACAACCACGCACAGCTAATTTTTTTTTTTTTTTTTTTTTGTATTTTTAGCAGAGACAGGGTTTCACCATGTTGGCCAGGCTGGTCTCGAACTCCTGACCTCAGGTGATCCACCTACCTTGGCCTCCCAAAGTGCTGGGATTACAGGCATGAGCCACCGTACCCGGCCAAGCACATTTTGTTGTATATTTGAAGTACTCGAAATTTATTCCTGCAAACCACACAGATTTTTGTACATTTAATTTTAATTTTAAAAGATCTGTCAGTCATTGACAGATGAATGGATAAACAAAATGTGTGTATATACATATAATATAATGAAATATTTTGTGGCTTTAACAAAGAACATTCTCCTGAGCATGGTGCCTCATGCCTATAATCCCAACACTTTGGGAGGCTGAGGCGGGAGGATCACTCAAGGCCAGGAATATGAGACCAGCCCGGCCAACATGGTGAAACCCCATCTCTACTAAAAATACAAAAATTAGCCGGACATGGTGGCGCACACGTGTAATCCCAGCTACTCGGGAGGCTGAGGCAGGAGAATCGCTTGAACCTCGGAGGTGGAAGTTGCATTCCAGCCTGGGCGACAAGAGTGAGGCTTTGTCTCAAAATAATAATATAAAAATAATAATAATAATAAATAGAAAAACAACAAAAAATAAAAAACAAATTAGCTAATTGGGAGACTGATGTGGGAGGATTGCTTGATCTCAGGTCTTTGGGATTGTAATGAGCTATGATTGTGCCACTGCACTCCAGCCTAGGTGACAGAGTAAGACCCTGACAAAAAAGAAGAAAGAAAAAAAAAGAGAGAGGAGAGAGAGAGAGAAAGAACATTCGGACACATATACAGCATACATGAACCTTGGCAATATTTCACTTAAATGAAATAAGTCAGTCACAAAAAGACAAACAGTGTATACTTCCGTCTATGAAGTAGGTACCACAGTCAGAATTATAGAGACAGAAAGTGGTATGGTGGTTCATTAGGGGCTGGGGAGGGTGAATGAGGGATGAGTGTTACGGGACAGAGTTTCAGCTTGGGGAGATGAGAAGATTCTGAATATGGAGGATAGTGATGGCTGCTGTGAATATACTTAATGCCACTGAATAGTACACTTAAAATGGTTAAGATGGTGAACTGTATGTTATGTATATTTTACCATCATTTTAAAAATTGAAAAAAACTTTTTTCTTATTGTTCAGTTCCTCCCAAACTTGCCATCAATGAAATTTTCCCCATCACTCTACCCAGATCGCTGTTTCTAATGTTTTCCATGCCATTAAATGTGATGGATATTCTTCAGCCTTTATTTTGCTTAGCCTTATAGCATCGTTTTACATGGTTGTTAGAAATAAATCTTGGAGTCATAAAGAAAAATGAGCACTCAAACAAAGGATTTCTCAGCAAAGCAAATTTACTTCTGCGCAGAAGGGTGCTTCTCGTAGGGTTGGCTGCTACAAGAGCACCCTGAACAAAGGAGAGTAGCAACTTTTATTCTTAATGCGACTCTTGACTTTGTGTGTCCTTTCCCCATTGGCTGGGGTCGGACAGCACAATCTAAACTAGACTTGATTGGTTACACATTTAAACTGTCTTAGATAAGGTGGGTGTGTGATGGGAGACAGAGGAGAGGAGGAAGGGGTCTTCTACAGAGGAATAGACAGCTAGTCTATTCTTAAATAAGGAAAGAAATGTGAGCTGGGGCTATGGCATATCTGGGCATGCAGCAAAATCAGAAAGAAGAAAAGGAGAAGAAAGTGTGTGGGGGGGGTACTTGGAATTAGAGAATAAGAAGCTGAGCAGGCTGTTTGAAGAGAAATCTTGCTGTATCTCGCAATGGTTGACTCTCCCTCTCTTGAAACAGGACTTACGACATGTCCACAGCCTGTTTAACGCCCTGCAGCCAACGCGATCACAGGGGATTCACGGAAATAGTTGCATCTCTATTTTCTTCTGTGTTACCTTGAGACCCTTAGGCACTGGGATTACAGAGAGATGGGTCTTTGTAGCTTCTGCGACACATTCCAGAGGGGAAAACCTCTTTATCTCAAAGCCAAACCAATAGTGATGAAAGCTCTTCCAAGAATAAAGAGGCCCCAAGAGGGTGGGAGGTGCAGAGAGAGTCACCTGGCTTCAGAGCTGCCTTCTTGGAAACAGAATTAGAACACATCATACCTTTCTGCCATTTGCTCTTGATCCCAAGGGAGCCGAATGGGTTGGAGAGTAGAACATCACTGGAACAGTGGATTTAATGAGGAAGGATGAGACATCAGCTCCCTGGGGCTTGAGAAACCATAAATACTTCCCTAAAACACCTCACCTGGACAGTTTCCTGACGCCACACTCATGCATCTTAGAGAGGAGAGTTAGGATGACTTCATGACAAGTTCCATCTCCCCGCCTTTCCCTGCTAGATTCTGTCTTCAGCATTCAACAGTCAGGGGAGGAAGACGTCATACCAGCATTTTTTTTTTTCAAGCAATGTCAGTTGAGTGACTCACACTATCCTTGTTAGTACCGTGTGTGAAAAGGATTTAAAAAGTAGTGTGGGGAGGAACAGAGATGGAGGTAACAGGGTTGATAATGTCTCATGATTTTTAAAATGTCTCTAGGATTCCCTTACCTGGTTATAGATGTCTTAAGGCATTGCAACTTTTGGGAGGCTGAGGCAGGCGGATCGCTTGAGGCCAGGAGTCTAAGACAAGCCTGGCCAACTTGGTGAAACCCCATCTCATCTAAAAATACAAAAATTAGCTGGGCATGGTGGCGGATGCCTGTAATCCCAGCTACTCGGGAGCCTGAGTCAGGAGAATGGCTTGAACCCGGGAGACAGAGGTTGCCATGAGCCAAGATCACGCCACTGCACTCCAGCCTGGGTGACAGAGTGAGTGAGACGCTGTCTCAAAAAAAAAAAAAGATTCTATTGCAACTGTTTCTGTCACCTCCACCTCTGATGGCCTTTCATTCTGGAAACTAGTGACTTTCTCAATGTCAGTAGGAACTGGCACTTCCTTGAGTGGATTCCTTTCAGTCTACCTGCTAACACCTTCCTTTTTCTTCTCTAGTATAATATAATAGTTCTCGGCCGGGTGCAGTGGCTCATGCCTATAATCCCAGAACTTTAGGAGGCCGAGGCGGGTGGATCACAAGGTCAAGAGATCGAGACCATCCTGGCCAACATGGTGAAACCCTGTCTCTACTAAAAATACAAAATTAGCCGGGCATGGTGGTGTGTGCCTGTAGTCCCAGCCATTTGGGAGGCTGAGGCAGGGGAATTTCTTGAACCTGGGAGGCAGAGGTTGCAGTGAGCTGAGATTGCACCATTGCACTTCAGCCTGGGCAACAAGAACAAAACTCCGTCTAAAAAAAAAAAAATCAACAAAGCAAAGCAAAACAAAACAAGTATGTATTAAATGTTCACTCTGCACCAGATGTTACATATATTATCATTGCAATTGTGAATGGACTTTTTTTCCTCTTATTTTTTCTCATGGCTGTTTGCAGATACATAAGAAAGCTGATGACACTGATTAGTTGTAATTAATTGTGTTTAAGTTGACTTTTTTTTTTTTTGAGACAGGGTCTTTCTGGGCTCAAGCAAACCTCCTGCCTTGGCCTCCCAAGTAGCTAATTTTTTAAAAATCTATTTTTGTAGAGGCAAGTGTCTCATTTTGTTGTCTAGGCTGGTCTCAAACTCCTGGCCTCAAGAATTTCTCCTGCCTTAGCCTCTCAAAGTGCTGGGATTACAGGCAGGAGTCACAGCACCCAGCCAGGCTGTTACATTTTATTAAATGAATTTTAGCTTATGTTAAAACCATGGTTTCTTTTTCTGCCTTGCTCTATTCACGCATATACTTTGTTATCTGACTTGCCGATATTAAATTTTTTACACTCTTAGGATAAATATTCATTAGTAATGGAGTGTGTTATTTTATCCAAAAGATAACTTCATTTCACTCCCCTTTCAGGCTTTTGCATCTGTTGTCAACATGAGATTAATTTGCAGATTTCTTGTTTGTCTTATATGTGATTTTTTTTTTTTTTTACCTTCATTCAGCTTTCCATGATGAGTACAAAGCCTTGGGGAATATCTGGATAAAGTAAAATTTTCTAGAATGTGATCTGGACTTGCCACAAAGAAACTTCAGGTTCGTCGGGCTTCATGGTGTATTTGTCTAAATATTTAAGTAAAAAATAATGCTGGCTGGGCACAGTGGTTCACGCCTGTAATCCCAGCACTTTAGGAGGCTGAGGCGGGTGGATCACCTGAGGTCATGAGTTTGAGACTAGCCTGGCCAACATAGTGAAACCCTATCTCTATTAAAAATACAAAAATTAGCCGGGTGTGGTGGCGAGCATCTGTAGTCATAGCTACTCAGGAGGCTGAGGTGGGAGGATCGCTTAAGCCCAGGAAGTGGAGGTTGCAGTGAGCTATGATCATGCTACTGCACTTCAGCCTGGGCAACAGACCCAGACCCTGTCAAAAAAAAAATTGTTTCACATAACTACAGTGCAATGATCACAATCAGGAAATTGGCATTAATACCATATTATATATAGTATTATAGATATATAATACACTATTTGCTATATACTATATTAGTAATATAGTAATTAGTATATAGCATTAATATAATACTATAAAATTTACAGAGCTCATTTATATTTTATTTTTTTATTTCTTCTCATTTATATTTTAATTATCCCAATAATGTCATCTATAGCAAAAGAAAGACTCAAGTCATCCATTACATTTGATTGATATGTCTTTTTTGCCTCCTTTAATCTGGAACATTTCCTAGACTTTTTTTTTTTTTTTTTTTTTTTTGAGATGGGGTCTTGCTCTGTCACCAAGGCTGGCTGGGTTGCAGTGGTGCAATCATAGCTCACTACAGCCTCAACCTCCTGGGCTCAGGCAATTCTCCTGCCTCAGCCTCCCAAGTAGCTGGGACAACAGGCATGTGCCACCATGCCCAGCTAATTTTTGTATTTTTTGTAGAGAAGGGGTTTCACTATGTTTCCTAGGCTGGCCTCAAACTGCTAAACTCAAACGATACTCTCACAGCCTCACAAAGTGCTGGGATCCCAAGTGTAAGCCTCCATGCCTGGCATTTCTTTGTATTTTATGGCACTGACATTTTTGAAGAGCACAAGTGAGATATTGTGCCCCTCAAGCTCAGTTTGTGTGATGTTCCCTACTCTTTAAAGTTCTGCGTCTTTGGCAGGAATCCCACAGAAATGATGTTTCGCTGTTTCCAGTGAATCCTATCAGAAAGCACATGTTTATTATGTCCCATTAAGAATCTCCTTGACCATGTAATAGGGGTGCTATAAAATCAGTGTTAAGATAGATGGTTGGGATTAGAGAGTCCATTTTCTAGAATTCTATTTTGTTTGGGACGTTATAAAATGGATATTTAATATGGGTGGTTAACTATGAGATATTTCCTCACGCCTGTTAGAATTGTTTATTATTATTATTCTTTTACCTATGAATTGGCATTTTTGTTTATTTATCAGTTTGTGAAAATGTCCTTAATTTGTTGAGGTAGCAAACAAATTTCAACTTTGATTGCTATGCAAAACCAGAAGATAATCTGCTTTGCAATGAACTTTATACAGTTCAGCTGCATATAGGCAACATGCTATATATGAAAAAAATACTAACTGAACTACAGGTATTAAATACTGAAATGAGTTAACAGTTTATTATAATTTATTGTATTTAACAATCTAGGAAGTTCGCAGCCATCAGCAGTTCTAGTGCAATTTCAGGCGCAACTGGGAATTCGGGAATCTCGGTGGAGCTGTTAGCGTAGCGAACCTTGTACATAAAATACATGCATACTTTATTTATTTATTTATTTATTTATTATCATTATTATTATTATTTTTGAGACGGAGTCTCGCTCTCTCGCCCAGGCTGGAGTGCAGTGTCGCGAGATCTCGGCTCACTGCCAGCTCCGCCTCCCGGGTTCACGCCATTCTCCTGCCTCAGCCTCACGAGTAGCTGGGACTATAGGCGCCCGCCACCACGCCTGGCTAATTTTTTTTGTATTGTTAGTAGAGACGGGGCTTCACTGTGTTAGCCAGGATGGTCTCGATCTCCTGACCTGGTGATCCGCCCTCCTCGGCCTCCCAAAGTGCTGGGATTACAGGCGTGAGCCACCGCGCCCGGCCACATGCATATACTTTTGATAGCACATGTGAAGGGATCTCTCTAAAATGGACCTCATCGGCTTCGTTCTCAGCAAATTGACCTGGGCCACTCAACATGGCTTTTATCGTGCCCGATGTTAATGCACGTTCTTTTTTGACAATAAATTCATGGCCATCAGATAATATCAATTTGACATACACGGCATCAGGGCCTTCACAGCCACCGTAGGTTTTCTTCTCACCATCCATTTTGTTCTTACGAAATTCTACTTTGCTTCCCCAGGAACTTTAGTAGTTTCTCGTCAGGCCCACAGCCAGCGCAGCAGGGTCCGTGTGTACTGCCACAGCCCCTATTCCAAGGCCGCCCCACCCCGCCCCGCCAACCCAGCTGCCTGCTCCCGTGGGTGGGTTCCGGGGCAGTGGAAAGAATTACTTCAGCTGGGTCAGAGCCGCTTTCTGTGACTGGTGGGAGATCCGTGTAATTTTTTATTTTAAGACATGGTCTCGCCCTGTCACCTAGGCTCAAGTTCAGTGTCACAATCTCAGCTCACTGCATCCTCGAACACTGTGGCTCAAAGCGATCCTCCCGCCTCAGCCTCCTGAGTGGCTGGGACTACAGGCACATGCCACCATGCCCAGCTAATTTGGTTTATTTTTTTGTAGAGAGCAAGTCTTACTGTGTTGTTCGGGCTGGTCTTGAACTCCTGGCCTCAAGCAATCTTTTCATCTCAGCCTCCCAAAGTGCTGGTATTACAGGCGTGAGCCACCATGCCTGACCTTAGAATTATTAACCATTACTAGCGGTTAGCTAACAATTGGCTCTATTATTAGCTAACTATTAACTAACTATTCACTATTATTAAAAAGACAAGAGTTGGCCGGGCGCGGTGGCTCACGCCTGTAATCCCAGCACTTTGGGAGGCCGAGGCGGGCGGATCACGAGGTCAGGAGATCGAGACCATCCTGGCTAACACGGTGAAACCCCGTCTCTACTAAAAGTACAAAAAATTAGCCGGGCGAGGTGGCGGGCGCCTGTAGTCCCAGCTACTCGGGAGGCTGAGGCAGGAGAATGGCGTGAACCCCAGGGGGCGGAGCCTGCAGTGAGCCGAGATTGCGCCACTGCACTCCAGCCTGGGCGACAGCAAGACTCCGTCTCAAAAAAAAAAAAAAAAAAAAAAAAAAAAAAAAAAAAAAGACAAGAGTTGGCAAGGGTGAGAAGAAAAGGGAACCCCTTGTGCCCTGTCGGTGGTAATGTAGATTGGAGCAGACATTATGGGAAATAGTGTGAGGGTTCCTAAAGGAATTAAATAGAGGCCGGGTGTGGTGGCTTACGCCTGTAATCCCCAGCACTTTGGGAGGCCAAGGCGGGTGGATCACTTGAGGCCAGGAGTTCAAGACCAGCCTGGTCAACAAGGTGAAACCCTGTCTCTACTAAAAAAAAGAAAAAATACAAAAAATACAAAAATTAGCTAGGCGTGGTGGCACATACCTGTAATCCCAGCTACTCAAGAGGCTGAGGCACAAGAATCGCTTAAACTTGGGAGGTGGAGGTTGCAGTGAGCTGAGATCACGCCACTGCACTCCAGCCTGGGCGACAGAGAATCTGTCTCAAAAAATAAAAAGGAAAAAGAAATTAAAATTTTGAGACTCTTTCTCAAAAAATAAAAATAATAAAATCAAAAAGAAGAAATTTAAAATAAAAGAAATTTAAAATAAAAAGAAATTAAATATGATCCAGCAATCCCTCCCCTGGATATGTATCCAAAGAAAATGAAATTGCCACTCGTAAAGATATCTGCATGCTCATGTTCATTGCAGCATTACTTGCAAAAGTCAAGATATGGAAACAACCTAAGTGTCTGCTGATGGAGAAATGGCTAAAGAAAATGTGATATATATGTATATGTACATTTGTGTGTGTGTATATATTTGTGTATATATATTCCATTGTGTGTATATATATGTATGTGTGTGTATATATATGTATGTGTATGTGTGTGTATATATATTTTTACACAATTTTTACAATCAATATTATTCCACTGATTGATAAAATAGGAATAGATCCTGCCATTTGCCACAACATGGATGAATCTGGAGGCCATTATGTTAAGTAGAATAAGTCAGATGCAGAAAGAAAAATATTGCATTTTTTCACTTCTATGTGGAATATTTTTTTTAAAGTCAAATATAGAGAATAAAACAGTGGTTACCAGAGGAGGGGTGCGGCTGGGGGAGAAAATGAAGAAGATGTAGGATAATGGATATAAAGTAGCAGATATATAGGATAAACGAGTCTAGAGATCCAGTGTACCCATGAAAATTATAGTCAATAACAGTATGTAGTATTCCGGATTTATGCTACATCAGTAGACTGTAGCTGTTCTTGCTATAAAGAAAATGGGTAACTATGTAAGACGATGGATATGTTCATTTGTTTCACTACAGTAACCATTTTACTATCTATATGTATCTCATAACATATATAGTATACGTTGAATATACAGAATATAATTAATTTTTAAATAATTAAATATATGGGTGGTTGAGATGAGAGACTTCATTTTTTAGAATTCCATTTACGTATGAAAGATTAGACAAAATGAGTCCATAAATCACAAGTAAATAGTATGGACAACATTTCTATTACATGAAGGATGCCCGTTGGATGTTAACTGATGTTTCTCTTACCGCTTCCTTTTAAATAAATAAATAAATATAATTTTAAATAAATATGTATATTTTAAAATAAATACATATATACATAGTTTTATTTTTATTTTATTTTTTATTTTTATTTTTTGAGACAGTTCTCCCTCTATTGCCCAGGCTGGAGTGCAGTGGTGTAAACATAGCTCCCTGCAGTTGCAAATTCCTGGGCTCAAGTGATCCTTCCATCTCAGCCTCCCGAGTAGCTGGGACTACAGGTGTCCACCACCATGCCTGGCTAATGACCTCTTCTTTTGTAGATACATCAGCTACATGGAAGCAGGAAACCAAACAGGATTTTTAGAGTTTATCCTTCTCGGACTCTCTGAGGATCCAGAACTACAGCCGTTCATATTTGGGCTGTTCCTGTCCATGTACCTGGTGACGGTGCTGGGAAACCTGCTCATCATCCTGGCCATCAGCTCTGACTCCCACCTCCACACCCCCATGTACTTCTTCCTCTCCAACCTGTCCTGGGTTGACATCTGTTTCAGCACTTGCATCGTCCCCAAGATGCTGGTGAACATCCAGACCGAGAACAAAGCCATCTCCTACATGGACTGCCTCACACAGGTCTATTTCTCCATGTTTTTTCCTATTCTGGACACGCTACTCCTGACCGTGATGGCCTATGACCGGTTTGTGGCTGTCTGCCACCCTCTGCACTATATGATCATCATGAACCCCCACCTCTGTGGCCTCCTGGTTTTTGTCACCTGGCTCATTGGTGTCATGACATCCCTCCTCCATATTTCTCTGATGATGCATCTAATCTTCTGTAAAGATTTTGAAATTCCACATTTTTTCTGCGAACTGACGTACATCCTCCAGCTGGCCTGCTCTGATACCTTCCTGAACAGCACGTTGATATACTTTATGACGGGTGTGCTGGGCGTTTTTCCCCTCCTTGGGATCATTTTCTCTTATTCACGAATTGCTTCATCCATAAGGAAGATGTCCTCATCTGGGGGAAAACAAAAAGCACTTTCCACCTGTGGGTCTCACCTCTCCGTCGTTTCTTTATTTTATGGGACAGGCATTGGGGTCCACTTCACTTCTGCGGTGACTCACTCTTCCCAGAAAATCTCCGTGGCCTCGGTGATGTACACTGTGGTCACCCCCATGTTGAACCCCTTCATCTACAGCCTGAGGAACAAGGATGTGAAGGGAGCCCTGGGGAGTCTCCTCAGCAGGGCAGCCTCTTGTTTGTGATGGATCCCTTGGCCCCAGGACTAAGAAGTTTTGTGAGCACCAATGGCAAAAATGTTTTATTTTGAAATTCTTACTCTTTAAAATTAAAAACATTTTTTTATACTTTGAGAGTACAAATGCAGATTTCTTAACATGCATTTGCATAAGGGTGAAGTCTGAGCTTTTGGCGTACCAATTACCTGAATAGTGAACATAAGGCACTTTTTTTTCTTTTTTGAGACGGAGTCTCACTCTGTCTCCCAGGCTGGAGTGCAGTGGAGTGATCTCGGCTCACTGCAACCTCCGCCTCCCGGGTTCAAGTGATTCTTCTGTCTCAGCCTCCTGAGTAGCTGAGATTACAGGTGTGTGCCACCCATGCCTTTTAGTAGAGACGGGGTTTCACCATCTTGGCCAGGCTGGTCTCGAACTCCTGACCTTGTGATCCACCTGCCTTGGCCTCTCAAAGTGCTGGGATTACAGGTGTGAGCCACCACGCCCGGCCAAGGCAGTTTTTAAACTCTCACTCCCCTCTCACCTTTTGCAGTCTCCAGTGTCCATTATTCTGTTATAATGCCCATGCGTATACATTGTTTAGCTCCCAATTATAAGTGAGATCATGCAGCATTTGACTTTGTTTCTTTACTACCTTACTTAAGAGAATGGCTTCCAGTCCCATCGATGTTGCTGCAAAAGACATGATTTCATCCTTTTTTATGGCTGAGTAGTACTCCATTGTATATATCCTCGATATCTATATAGATATAGACATATGTAGATACATACCATGTTTTCTTTTTTTAAAAAAATTTATTTTTATGTCAGTAGTTTTTGGGGTACATGTGGTTTTTCATTACACGGATGAGTTCTTTAGTGGTGACTTCTGAGTTTTTAGTGTACCCGTCACCCAAGTGGTAGTAGTCTCTTATTCCTCACCCCCCTCCCAACCTTTCTCCCTTCAAGTCACCAAAGTTCATTATATTGTTCATATCCCTTTGTGTCCTCATAGCTTAGCTCCCACTTATAACTGAGAACATACGATATGTTCATATGGATCTTATGTATGTTGGTTGAACATACAAACAAGTCCAGGTTTTTCATTCCTGAGTTACTTCACCTAGAGTAATGACCTCCAGTTCCATCCAAGTTGCTACAAAAGACATTATTTGGTTCCTTTTTATGGATAAGTAGTATTCCATGCTGTACATATACCACAATCTTTATCACTCATTGGTTGATGGGCACTTAGGTTGGTTCCATGCCTTTGTAATTGCTAATTATGTTGCTATAAACATGCAGGTGTATGTGTCTTTTTCACATAATGACTTTGTTTCCTTTGGGTAGATACCCAGTAGTGGAACTGCTGGACTGAAAGGTAGTTCTACTTTTAGTTCTTTTTTTTGTTTTTTTTTTAAGACAGAGTCTCACTCTGTTGCCCAGGCTGGAGTGCAGTGGCGCGATCTCATCTCACTGCAACCTCCACCTCCCAGGTTCAAGCGATTCTCCTGCCTCAACCTCCTGAGTAGCTGGGACTACAGGCACCTGCCACCCCACCCAGCTAATTCTTCTATTTTTAGTAGAGACAGGGTTTCACCATGTTGGCCAGGCTGGTCTTGAACTCCTGACCTCAGGTGATACGCCCACCTCGGCCTCCCAAAGTGCTGGGATTACAGGTGTGAGCCACTGTGCCTGGCCTTCTAGTTCTTTAAGATACCACTTTAAAAAAAGTCCAGTCCTCCATTGATGGACACGTAGGTTGATTCCATATCTTTGCTAATGTGAATAGTGCCGTGATAAACATGGGGGTGTAAGTTAACAATTAATCTCCAAGTAATTTCCTTGATGGCACTTCTGTCCTATGTGCTATTCAAAAATTGTGTCCTTGATCATCGTTCTTAATTCTCCATTAGTGAGTTCTGAACTTGGGTTTGAAGCATTTGCTATAGCTTTGTTATCTCAAGTGGTGGCACAGAGTTCTTAAGCTATTGATTGTTCACTGACTTTATTTCTATGTGTTTGCATGTGGGTTTTTGTTGTTTGTGTGTTCGATCATGAACAGATCAACAGTGTTTATTTGTTTTCCTACTGGATGAAGTATGATTAAAATACGTATTTAAATATAGCTGGTTATATCTCTCTGGTGTCTCTTCTTCTTCTAAGAATATCAGTCCTATTAGATCAGGGCCTGACCCTTATGATTTCAGTAAACTTTAATTACCTCCCTGAGGACCCTGTATCTAAAGACAGTCATCATATTGGGGGTGAGGACTTCACTATATTAATTTTGGGGGGTGCAATTTAGTCCATAAGAGATGTTTATGCAGATCTGAGAAAGTTTCTGCCAACTCTATGGGGAGCTCTAAAGCTAGGGCTGCTCTTTGGAGAATTCTCACATTGTGTAGAAATAACCAGGCCCTATTACCCCAGGAAGCGTGGGGCCTTGAGGGTGATAGGGACAGAGGGTGGAGAAATTCTAGGCAGAAAAGGGCAGTTCCCAGGCAAAACCCCACCCTCAAGCCAAAAAGCCTGAAACTGCAGCCCAAAGTGAGAACTTATATCCCTGTTTTCTCGCTTGGATATCACCTTTTCCTAAACCACCCCTGACCCTGCCCAACCCCATGCTATGCCTATAAAAACCCCAGACTCAGCCAGTAGATGAAACTATGGCTGGACATTAGAGAGAAGCAGCTTTGACCTCAGAAGGACAGCTCGATGGTATAACTTCAGAGAAGAATTTGGCAGGAGACGACTGGACTTCATTACCTGCCTGCCCCATCCCTTTTCCAGCTTCCCTTACCTGAGAGCCACTTTGATCAGACATAAGATCCCTCCTGCATTTAACATCCTTCAATTCGTTCATGCAACCTTATTTTTCCTAGATGCTGGAAAAGTGCTCAGGAGCCACAAGTGCGGTTACAAAAGCCTGTCATACTGGCCCTTTGCCCTCGCTGGTGGAGGGCAGCCACTTCATGCAAAAAGGCAAAGGGCCCACTGAGCTGTTAACACTTAACACCCCACCCTAATCTTTTATTATGCAGATGGATTCTCTATCTGGCCGGCGCCATGTTGCCTGTGTCTTTACTGCACATGGGCTGACAAAGAAAAGGAAAGATGGAGACTCTATGCTGAACGTGTCTGGCTTTCAAGTAGCCCTTTCCTATTGGCGCAGCTGCTAGGATTCACCCATGCAAGCTTGCAGTTGCTTATCTATGTCTGCAGCTTGATTTTTCAGGCTTCTCTTTGTCAGAAAAGAAATGATTTGGGGGTTGCTTTTTGTTAGGGAAATTCCTCCAAGGACTCTTTTACCCTCACTCTCTGCCTAAATAATTTCTTTCTATCTCCTTTATCAATATGGCTGAGTCTGGGGCTGTTATGGGCTCAGAATGGGGGAGGGACAGACCATAGGTATTATTCAAAAAGGCAACATTCGATTGGCTAAAAGGCATTTTTCAAAAAAAAAAAAATCTGTTGGGAAAGGGCAAGTAAACAAGAACAGAAGTTTTCACTCTGGGTCGCAGGTTTCATCCAGGACGAGTAGTCCAGTCTTTCAGCCTATAGACTGTTTTTGGCTTGAAGGTGGGGTTTTACCGGGGACCCACCCCATCTGCCTGGGTATTTGGCTGTCTCCTGTCACTATCACAGAGATAACAAGAACACAACAAAGTAAAGAACCACGACATTCAAATGGATAATTTTTGAGGAAGCCATGTCAGTGCATGACATGAAAATGATTTAAATGATGCTTTAGAAATCTCAAGAACAGCTGAAAGTAAACTGATCAAAGACAGAGATTTGATGACCATGTACAGAGAAGAAAACTATAAAAGTAATTAATCACTGAAGGAGTTGTTGAATAGAAATATACAAAAACATATAAAGCAATTTTATAGGTGCTTTAGGAATGGGAAACAGAGGCATGTCTTTTAGAGAGAGAAAAAAAGAGCCAGAATATTTAAATTCACATTTGCCTTAGGTAGTTGTAATATCCAGGAAACAGGAGGATGTTCCATCTAACATCACTGGGATTACAGGCGTGAGCCACCGCATCTAAGAAATATTACTAATCATATCACAGAGTGTACACACAATGTGTACACTTACTGTGTTGTTAGCAGTAATAGCGAAGAGATATTATGAGTCATGTCACAGGGTGTACATCCACTGTGATATTAACATTAATATTGAAGAGATATTATGAATCATATAACAGGGTGTACAACCAGTGTTATATTAGCAGTAATATCGAAGAGATGTTATGAATCATATCACACGGTGTACACCCACTGTGATATTAGCAGTAAAATCGAAGAGATATTTTGAATCATATCACATGGTGTATACCCATTGTGATATTAGCAGTATTATCAAAGAGATATTATGAATCATATCCTAGGTGTACACCCACTGTGATATTAGCAGTAATTTCTAAGAGATATTATTAATTATATCACAGGGTGTACACCCATTCTGATATTTGCAGTAATATCAAAGAGATATTATTTGCAGTAATATCAAAGAGATATTATTTGCAGTAATATTGAAGAGATATTATGAATAATATCCCAGCATGTACACACAGGGTGTGTACAGATTAAGAACTGCAGCCCATCCTCTTTGGGCTGTTCCTGTCCATGTGCCTGGTCATGGTGCTGGGGAACCTTCTCATCATCCTGGCCGTCAGCTCTGACTCCCACCTCCACACCCCCACGTACTTTTTCCTCTCCAACCTGTCCTTGGCTGACATCGGTTTCCCCTCCACCACTGTCCCCAAGATGATTGTGGACATCCAGTCTCACAGCAGAGTCATCTCCTATGCGGGCTGCCTGACTCAGATATCTCTTTTTGCTGTTTTTGGATGCATGGAAGACATGCTTCTGAGTGTGATGGCTTATGACCGGTTTGTGGCCATCTGTCACCCTCTGGATTATCCAGTCATCATGAACCCATGTTTCTGTGGCTTCCTGGTTTTGTTGTCTTTTTTTTCTCAGTCTTTTAGACTTCCAGCTGCACAATTGGATTGCCTTACAAATTACCTGCTTCAAGGATGTGGAAATTCCCAGTTTCTTCTGTGACCCTTCTCAACTCCCCCACCTTGCCTGTTGTGACACCTTCACCAACAACATAGTCATGTATTTCCTTGCTGCCATACTTGGTTTTCTTCCCATCTCGGGGATCTTTTCTCTTACTATAAAATTGTTTCCTCCATTCTGAAGGTTTCATCATCAGGTGGGAAGTATAAAGCCTTCTCCACCTGTGGCTCTCACCTGTCAGTTGTTTGCTTATTTTATGGAACAGCCCTTGGAGGGTACCTCAGTTCAGACATGTCCTCTTATCCCAGAAAGGGTGCAGTGGCTTCAGTGATGTACACAGTGGTCGCCCCCATGCTGAACCCGTTCATCTACAGCCTGAGAAAAAGGGACATTAAAAGTGCCCTGCAGCAGCTGCATGGCAGAATAGTCTAATCTCATGATCTTATTATCGGTTCCATTCTTTAGCATGGGTTGGAAAAGGCAGCAAGGTCAAATATCTAGACCTGCAAAGAATATCGCTTCCTTCGTTATGTCTCTAGTTGGAATTGCTGAGTATTCTGATATCCTTTGTTCTTAATAAACATCATGATTGAATTCAATATACCTAGACGGACTCTTTTAGTTTCTGGGCAATGACCCTGGTATCCAGGTGAAATTACATTCTACTTCTTTCTTCTTTCTTCTCTTCTTCTCCTTCTCCTTCTCCTTGTTCTTCTTCTTCTTCTTTTTCTTCTTCTTTTTTGAGATGGATTCTCGCTCTTTTGCCCAGGCTGGAGTGCAGTGGTGTGATCTCAGTTCACTACAACCTCTGCCTCCCGGGTTCAAGCAATTCTCCTGCCTCAGCCTCCTGAGTAGCTGGGACTACAGGCACCCACCACCATGCTTGGCTAATTTTTGCAGTTTTAGTAGAGACGGGGTTTCACCATGTTGGCTAGGCTGGTCTCAAACTCCTGACCTTGTGATCCACCTGCCTCAGCCTCCCAAAGTGCTGGGATTACAGGCGTGAGCCACCGCACCTGGCCACATCTCTCTTCTTGTATACAGTTAAGTCCTCACATAATGTTGATAGGTTCTTGGAAACTGTGACTTTAAGAAAATGAATTATAGGAGGTCCTCAAATAATGTCATTTCCTTTAACATTGTTTAGCTATAAAGTTGTTGAGAAAAAGAATCTGGTTTCATTATACATCATTTTTCTTATTGTTGCAGTTTCCAAAAATCTATTGAAGACCTTAAATGAGAATTTACTGTACTTCACATTTATATTGCTTTTCACTGTTCATTTGTAATTTATTTACACTTTGCATCTATAAAATCTATTTAGGCAGATTATATGTGAGGATCCATGTCACTGGTCCTCAAGTTTGAGTTAGATTGAAATTGCCCAGAGAGCTTACAAGTGCTGATGCCTGGGTCTCATTACCAGAGATTCTGATTTACTTAGACTTGTGTGGGTATGAGGATATTACAAACATCAGAGAGAGTTCAGATGGTAAAGTTCCCAAAGGGATTAAACTCAATGTAAGTTACAAAGGAGTTTTTTGTACCACCAGGCAATGTGATTTCTTCAAATGCATTGCCTTCAACACTGAACCGACTGTCATTATGCTGGGTTATTTTCACCCCTTAGAATTTTTATTTTATCTACTGCAACTGTAGTTTTACATGTATATAGATTTTTATCATATTTCCTTCTTGTGCATACATAAAAAGAGAAATAGGAAATAATAACATGGTAACAATATCCCTAGACTTCCCATTCAGAGACTGGTTCTTTAAAAATACGTGTTATTTTTACTTTCTAATAAAGAAAATGTGGTGTATGCATATACAATGAGATATGATTCAGCTGTAAAACAAATGGCATCTTGTCATTTGCAACAACTTTGATGGGACTGTAGGTCATTACGTTAAGTGAAATAGGGAAGGCACAAAAATGCATGTTCTCATTCATACGTAGGAGCTGAAAAGTTAATCTCATGAAGGCAGACAGTAGAATATTGGCTACCAGAGCATGGTAAAAATGGGGAGGGGGTTGAAGAGAAGTTGGTATATGGGTCCAAAGGTCCATGCAGAAGAATTAAATTCGAGTATTTAATAGTACAGTAGAGAAATTTTAGTTAACAATAATGTGGAATATTTCAAAATAGCAAGGAGATACGATTTGTGTGGTTCTTATTATGTTGGTCTTTAACCTATAGTATTTCTGTTCTGATGTCATTCTTCTGTACTCATCTTTTGCCAGGTTGGGACTCTCGAAACCCTGTTCTATTTCCCATGTGGGTTTTTTGTTTTTGTTGTTGTTTGTTTGTTTTTGAGACGGAGTCCCACTCTGTTGCCCAGGCTGGAGTGCAGTGGCATGATCTCAGCTCACTGCAACCTCTGTCACCCGAGTTTAAGCAATTCTCCTGCCTCGGCCTCCCAAGTAGCTGGGATAACAGGCACAGGCTACCATGCCCAGCTAATTTTTGTATTTTTGTAGAAATGGGGTTTAACCATGTTGGCCAGGCTGATCTCAAACTCCTGACCTCAAGCCAACCACCCACCATGGCCTCCCAAAGTGTTGGGATTGCAGGCGTGAGCCACCGTACCCAGCCCATGTAGTTTTCTTATGTAATTCCACTCCTGGTCACTAAGGCTCATCACACTGAAAGTTCAGTGTACTTCACTAACACCTTCACTCCCCGAAGCCTCAGAGTTTAGAGGCTACCTTCAGTTACTGTTTCTGTTACTACATTGTTTCCTTTTGCCTTTGTCCTGCAGTAACAATTGAACCAACTCCCTATATTCAATTCTCTTCATTAAAATAACTAGATTGACTTCTATTCCTGAACTTTGATTTGGGAACAAAGGTATGTTGTAGTTCTCTACAATTGGAATATTTTTAAATGTGCTCAAGAAATAAAGCTGGTTATAAAACACATGTCTTTGTGAAGGGCATCTAACTGAGGTTTAAATGCTGGTTTTCTACTTCCAGTTGCTATGTGGCTCTACTGATGTCTGAGGATTATTGAACCACCAATTTCATCATAAATAATTTAATCATGTTCTTCTATAACTTTATCCTAAGATATTAAATGTATATGTCACCAATAAAAGTGAGCTCTTCATTTGTCACCCAATAGTCAACGAACATGATAAGTGGTACATTAATATTGCCTGTTGAAATCACATTGTAGACGCTCCCCATAGGTGATGCTCTGTCCTTTGCTCTTTATGTCAAGATTTAGAAGAGAGCTATGATGAACTAATACCTTACATGGCAGAAGTTTGGATGCTTCAGAATAGCCATCTAAGATTACTATGACAATCTTTGATTTGGACGGAAATTACAGATAATGGAAAAAAATGTCAGATTTGTAGCTACTTCATCAGCCATATATTGGCTCTTGAATTTGGGACCTTTGGCAGCTCACAGCTCTTTTCTGAACCTCAGATTCCTCAGTAGCAAATTAAGTACAATCATTTTTTTTCCTTCCAAGATCATGCAATGATCATATATAATGGTATCATGAACCAGTAAAGGTAGTTTTCCATCAAATATTTTTAGTATATATTATTAGTATATATTATTACATAAAAGAAGTCAATTTTATGAAAATTTCCAGAATTCATAAGCAAATTGTTATTGCAGAATTCATAAGCAAACTGTTATTGCAAACTGTGTAACCTTGTATGCAATACAAAACATATTTCTATTACACTAGTTCACCTAATACTGTGATAATGGTCTATCTGAGAGGCTGGCTGGGGAGATATAATGAAATATATCTCTAATTAGATAACTATTTAATAGGTAGTAATGGAACAATAAGGCCAAACTGTCATAATCAATGTATTATTGATTAGTGTATTGTTGAACATGTGTTTTATTTTTTGTTTTATTTTTGAGACGGAGTCTCGCTTTGTCGCCCAGGCTGGAGTGCAGTGGCACGATCTTGGCTCACTGCAAGCTCCGCCTCCCAGGTTCACGCCATTCTCTTGCCTCAGCCTCCCGAGTAGCTGGGACTACAGGCGCCCACCACCGCACCTGGCTAATTTTTTGCATTTTTAGTAGAGACAGGGTTTCACCATGTTAGCCAGGATGGTCTCGATCTCCTGACCTTGTGATCTGCCCACCTCGGCCTCCCAAAGTGCTGGGATTACAGGCGTGAGCCACTGCGCCTGGCCCAACATATGGGTTTTAAGGGTTGAAGTTTGATTTTCAACATTAGCTCATCTAAGTCATTTGCTGACTGGACCAGAACATATTTATTAGCTCCACATCCTCTAATTCATCATTTTTAATGATGTTCAGCTTGAGGAACTCTAGGATTAAACAGATAATGTATTTACCTGATAAGAAATTAGTAAATGTAGATATCATTGTCATCATCTACACTTAGATCAATGCATTTCAAGTAAATTATTTGAACTCCTGTTGTTCATTATCCTGGATGGCTGACGGACTGTCTCTTTTTTATATTTACACAAGGGCAGAGAATGAATATCATTATCTATATACTCACAACCTTGCACAGTGAGGACAGCTCTCCTTCATATAACAATGAAGTAATTGTACACTGACTTATGAGAGTGAAGGCAATTTGATATCTGTTCAAACCATATTTTCTTTCCTCACTGAAGCCCTATTCCTCTTATACAGAGAACTCCTTGGAAACAAAACGTATGGTTTGTTAGTGTTTGATCAGAACCGTTGAATGGGATCTAGATTTCTTAAACAGTATTTACAGATAAAGAATCACATAAGACTTGGAACCAACCCAAATGTCCATCAATGATAGACTGGATTAAGAAAATGTGGCACATATACAGCATGGTACTATGCAGCCATAAAAAAGGATGAGTTCATGTCCTTTGTAGGGACATGGATGAAGCTGGAAACCATCATTCTCAGCAAACTATCGCAAGAACAAAAAACCAAACACCGCATGTTCTCACTCATAGGTGGGAATTGAACAATGAGAACACTTGGACACAGGAAGGGGAAAATCACACACCGGGGCCTGTTGTGGGGTGGGGGGAGGGGAAGGGATAGCATTAGGAGATGTACCTAATGTAAATGATGAGTTAACGGGTGCAGCACACCAACATGGCACGTGTATACATATGTAACAAACCTGAACGTTGTGTACATGTACCCTAGAATTTAAAGTATAAAAAAAAAATCACATAAGAAAAGAAAGGTTTTGAAAGATTCTGCAAATAATGAAGGTTAATACATTAAAAAGTGATGGTAGACATTCTTCAGTTGCACATTAAAAAAAAACTCAGAAAATAGTATCCTCCTGTTTCCATTAAGTGGACTCTTCATGTGAGGGGAAATTAGGAAAAGATGAAAGAAAATGATTCATTCTACTGCACAAACATAACTCTTTTTTTTTTTTTTTTTTAAGATAGAGTCTCACTCTGTCGCCTATGTTGGAGTGCACTGGTGCAATCTTGGCTCACTGCAACCTCCGCCTCCCAGGTTCAAGAGATTCTCCTGCCTCAGCCTCCTGAGTAGCTGGGACTACAGGTGCGCACCACCACGCCTGGCTAATTTGTGTATTTTTAGTAGAGACAGGGTTTCACCATATTGGCCAGGCTGGTGTCGAACTCCTGACCTCATGATCTGCCCACCTCAGACTTCCAAAGTGCTGGGATTACAGGCCTGAGCCACTGCGCCCAGCCAACTCTTTGGTTTTTATACAAAAGTACATACCTTGAAGACATTATCATCACTGAAGTAAATAAATCACAGAAGGATAAACACAACTGGGCTCAGTGGCTCACACCAGTAATCCCAGCACTTTGGGAGGCTGAGGCAGGCGGATCACTTGAGGTCAAGGGTTTGAGACCAGCCCGGCGAACATGGCGAAAGCTCGTCTCTACTAAAAATACAAAAATTAGCCAGATATGGTGGCACATGCCTGTAATCCCAGCTACTTGGGAGAATGAGACAGGAGAATTGCTTGAACTTGGGAGGCAGAGGTTGCAATGAGCCAAGATCACGCCACTGCACTCCAGCCTGAGTGACAGAATGAGACTCTGTCTCAAAAAAAGATAAACACAGTATGATTCCACTGATATCAAATATCTAGAGTAGTTAAACTCATAGAGTTGGAAAACAGAATGGTGGCCCCAAGGAGTGGGCGAGAGAGAGGAATGGAGAGTTTGTTGAATGGGCACAGTTTCCATTTTGAAAGATAAAAATGTTCTGGAGATGATGGTGGTGATGGTTGCTAAACAATACAAATGTACTTAATGTCATTAAACTGTAAACTTAAAAATAGTGGAAATTGTTTATATTGACCCTTCTATATAAAATAATATATATTTATACTTTTTAATATTTACACATGGTATATTTTACCACAATAAAAGATGAAAATTGAAGCATTTGGATCTTTACAAAGAAAAGAAAAAAGTGAATAATACACACAAGCTTTCTCCTGATTAGAGGAAGAGCCCAAAAGCTTCTATGGACACTCATTTTTCTCTTCTTCTTCCTGAATTATTATGAGGAAGTCCTTAGAGATTGGGGAACTTGGGCCAATTTGGCTAATGAGGAGCTCTGTGCCTTGAGCCCCCAAGGCCATAGCATAGTGAATACTCAGCCTGTGCCTCCAGCCCTGCAGTGTGAGCTTCCAGTCCAGTGGGCTCCACACCTGTCGTCTGCATCAGGAGGCTCATGTCTGACCCTGTCTTCCTGCCAGTCCTGAGGACGGAGCCTGAGCCTCCATCGTGCACCACGCAGGGAGGACAGCGGACCTGCTCTCCATGATCATGGCCCAGCAGAGGGGAAGCGCAGCTCAGTGAGTGCTGAGGGATGGTCGGGAGCCTTCTTTCCTCATCCTCAGGACAAACAGGACAGTGGAGTGGCAGATAGGAGGACATCAATGTGCAAAATATCAGCTCAGACAACTGTGGAGTTTATGTTCTTGATTGTGGTGGGGACTCTGAAATCTCACTCAAAGTTTTACTTTCTCCCTCCACTGGTTCTACTTGCTATAGACATCTCACTGAAGCTAGGAAAAAATAGGTCTCTCTAAGCTATTCCATGAACACTGTAAAAGGATTATGAAGCTGATGATGAGGATGAGGAGGAAGAGGACAGTCACTATGACATCATGAACTTTTCCTGAGGGCTTCCTGAATGCCAGGCGCCCAGTTCTGTGTTCTATGTGGTTTGTTTCATTTTATCTGCATAGCCTTCTGCAATCCATAAGTGCACACATTATTATTATTTTGCACGAGGAAAGGAGCTGTGCATTTTTATGTAACTTGTAGTATTTCATGAAGTAGAGAGGAGTAAAGCCATGTTTGAATCAGGCCATCTAAATCCTTGCACATGGCATTTGGCTAGGCCTCTTCCTGCATCCAACCTGCCCTCTCGAATCCCTGTCACTCTGGACCCCTGGTGTGCTCACTGCTTACCAGTGGGTTCCTGGTAGACCACAGCTAGACCAGTGGGTGCTACGTTCACTGTATCAAGTATAGAAAGGGCAGCTGAGATCACATCAAAGATCCCAGAAAGAACTGGCACAGGATCCTTCAGGGTGCATCTCTCCCTTGCCCCTGTTCCTGGCTTTCCTTGCAGCTCTCCACCTCCTGAAAGGAGAAATAAAATCAGAGTTTTGGCCTCATTCCTACTCAGGAATCTGGAAACAGTTTGAAAATGCACCTCCGATGTGCCTGTGGTTAAGACCTCTTACCTCTGCTTACAACTTTCTGATAGCTGGGAAACATAAAAAAGGTTCATGCCTGAGACTCAGAGACTGATCATTTATTAGGTTGGTGACAACAGTAATGGCAAAAACCTCAATTACTTTTGCATCAACCTATAATTTTTTTAAAATCCTGTTATTCCACTTATCTGTGTGGCAGGGGGCAAGATGTTAGTGTTTCTGAGACTCAACATTGCCACCTGAGTTGATTTCTAGTTGACACAGATACATTCAGTATTGATTAAGCAGATCATGGGGGCTCCCTGTGGGATCTATTTGTGATGGATGCATAAAGTAAAGGCAACGTGTATTCTAGAAATTGTTATTAATATTTTAAGATTAATCTTTATATCACTCAACTGAAATATCCTGTGACCTGAAGTTACTGTTTCTGTACTTCCCACAGGACATTTTATTTTTGTCCTTATATAATTAAGTACTGATTATTGTGACAGAAACAACTGAGTCTCTTTCATCTCTAATTCTCCAGAGTCTCTAACCTGCTTGACACAGAGGAGGCATCAGAAATAAAAATCTCTTTTAAGAGAAATGCAGGTCAGGCGCATTGGCTCATGCCTGTAATCCCAGCACTTTGGGAGGCTGAGGCGGGTGGATCACTTGAGGTCAGGAGTTTGAGACCAGCCTGGCCAACATGGTGAAACCCCATCTCTACTGAAAATACAAAAATTAGCTGGGCATGGTGGTGGGCACCTGTAATCCCAGCTACTCAGGAGGCTGAGGCAGGAGAATCACTTGAACCTGGGAGACAGAGGTTGCAGTGAACTGAGATCGTGCCTCTGCACTCCAGCCTGGGTGACAGAGCAAGACTCCATCTCAAAAAAAAAAAAAGAGAGAGAGAGAAATGCAAATCGAAACTACAAGGAGATATCATCTCACCCCATTTAGAATGGCTTTTATCAAAAAGTCAGGCAATAGCAAATGCTCACAAGGATGTGGAGAAAGGGGAACAATTGCACACTGTTGGTGGGAATGCAAGTTAGTCCATCCATTATGGAGAACGAGTTGGAGTTTCCTCAAAATACTACAAATAGAGCTACCATAAGATGCAGCAATTCCGGGCCAGGTGCGGTGGCTCATGCCTGTATTCTCAGCACTTTAGGAGGCCAAGGCGGGTGGATCACGAGGTCAGGAGATCGAGACCATCCTGGCTAACATGGTGAAACCCTGTCTCTACTAAAAATACAAAAAATTAGCCGAGCGTGGTGGCGGGCGCCGGTAGTCCCAGCTACTCGGAAGGCTGAGGAAGGAGAATCGCTTGACCTGGGAGGCGGAGGTTGCAGTGAGCCAAGGTCGCGCCACTGCACTCTAGCCTAGGCGACAGAGCGAGATTCCATCTCAAAACAAACAAACAAACAAAAGATACAGCAATTCCATTGCTAAGTATATACCCCCCCATAAGGGAATCCATATATTGAAGAGATATCTGCACTCCCATGTTTATTACAGCACTAGTCACAATAGCCATGATTTGGAAGCAGCTAAGCATTCACCATCCATTCAACATATGAATGGACAAAGAAATTGTGTACATGTGCACAATAGAGCATTATGCAGCCATAAAAAAGGAAGAGATCCTGTCATTTGCAACAACTTGGATGGAACTGGGGGCCATCAATTTAAATGAAATAAGCCAGGCACAGAAAGATAAGCTTCACGCGTTCTCACTTATTTGTGGGATCTAAAAATTAAAACAATGGAAATCATGGAGATAGAGAGTAGAAGGATGATTACCAGAGGCTGGGAAGGGGAGTGGGGGTGAGGGGAAAAGTGCAGGATGGTTAAGCAACACAAAAGTATAGTTAGAGACAATGAATGAGATCTAGTATTAGGTGACTGTAATCAACAATAATTTATTGTACATTTTAAAATAGCTAAGAGTAATTGGATTGTTTGGCACAAGGAAAGGATAAATGCATGAGGTGATGGATACCCCATTTACCCTGATGCGATTATTGTACCTTGTATGCCTGTGTCAAAATATCTCATGTCATTCATAAATATATACACCTGCTATGTACCCATAATATTTTTTAAAAAGAAAATGATGTATAATTATGTGTGTAAATGTGGATATAACTCTACAGAAATACTGAATGAAAAAGCAAGTTACAGAGTAATACCTGCTCTATACTTTCGTTGACATAAAATTTAAGAAAGCAAAATTAAATGATTCATTACTTAGGGATATATATATATATGAGTAGAGTATAAAGAAAGAAGAGATTAACTCAAATTTCACATTGGAGGTTACCTGTGCCGTAGGGCTGGGGTGCCTGGAACCATAGAAGGATGCACGGCTTCGAAGATTGTGCTTTTTTTTTCTTGTTTGTTTGTTTTGTTTTGTTTTTGTTTGTTTGTTTTTTGAAAGTGAGTCTTGCTCTGTCACCCAGGCTGGAGTGCAGTGGTGCAATCTTGGCTCACTCCAACCTCTGCCTCCTGAGTTCAAATGATTCTCATACCTTACCCTCCCAAGTAGGTGAGATTACAGGTGTGTGCCACCACGCCCGGCTAATCTTTGTATTTTTAGTAGAGGCGGGGTTTCACCATGTTAGCCAGGCTGGTCTCGAACTCCTGACCTCAAGTGATCAGCCCACCTCGGCCTCCCAAAATGCTGGGATTACAGGCATGAGCCATCGAGCCTGGCCCAAAGATTGTTTTTTGTTTTGTTTTGTTTTTTGAGATGGAGTCTCGCTGTGTCACCCAGGCTGGAGTGGCACGATCTTGGCTCACTGCAGCCTCCGCCTCCCAGGTTCAAGTGATTCTCTTGCCTCAGCCTCCCGGGTAGCTGGCATTACAGGCAGGCCCTACTGCGCCTGGCTAGTTTTTGTATTAGAGACGAAGTTTCACCGTGTTTGTCAGGCTGGACTCAAACTCCTGACCTCAAGTGATCCTGAGCCTCAGCCTCCTAAAGTCCTTCGATTACAGGCATGAGCCACCACGCCCGGCCCAAAGATTGGTTTTATTGCATTTGTTAAACTGTGGGATAGGTACTTGGGTATTTCATTATTGTTCTTTTTTTTTTTTAAGTACATACATATTATGTACATTCCCTTGATTTCTTGGAACATTTCACAAAAAAATTATATACACAGAATAAAATAAATATTTAAAGCCAAAAATCTCTGGAAATACTGAGAAAAAAAGAGAGAAAGAGACAGAAAGAAGAGGGGAAGGTAAACATTATTGCTTAGACAGAAACACATTTTAGACTTTCACATCTTTCTAGCCTCACATAAAGTAATGCAAAAGTGTTCTTAAAATTGCATTACTCACGCCTGTAATCCCAGAATTTTGGGAGGCCGAGGCGGGCAGATCATGAGGTCAGGAGTTCGAGATCAGCCTGACCAACATGAAACCCCGTCTCTACTAAAAACACAAAAAATTAGCCGGGCATGGTGGCACCCGCCTGTAATCCCAACTACTCAGGAGGCTGAGGCAAGAGAATCTCTTGAGTCTAGGAGGCGGAGGTTGCAGTGAACCAAGATTACGCCACTGCACTCTAGCCTGGGCGACAGAGCAAGACTCTATCTCAAGAAAAAAAACACTTTTATTAATGCTCAAACATCCACAGGTGCCTTGCGCACTACAGACAACTTGTAGTCACTGATGGCTTTGATTATGCGCATTTAACTAAACCTTATTTATCAAAACTCTGAGTCCACCTAAGCAAGGACAGGAGTTGAATATTAAATGAATTTCAAAAGAAAACCCACATATTTGAGGGAGACTTTGCTTCCACAGGAAAGTGAAGTCAGAAACCATGAAGACAATGAAAACACTAGAACAGAACTGGAATGTGAAAATGTCTGCTTATGAACTGTCAACTTTAATTTATCTTTGAAATAACGTGGTCCTAGGTCTTACAGAATATTTCTAAATATTGTAAATCAAAGGAATTTGTAGCATTGAATTAGAATGAAATAAGGCATATTTGAATGTCTTTGGTTTCTTTTAATTACAAAGATTTCTTTTCTTAAATGGGGAAAGATATTTCTTTACTTTTTGTGTGTGTGTGTAAGACAAGGTCTCACTCTGTCATCCAGACTGGAGTGCAATGGTGTGAACTTGGCTCACTGTAACCTCCACCTCTGGGCTCAAGTGATCCTCCCACCTCAGCCTCCCAAGTAGTTGAGACCATAGGCACATGCCACCACGCCAGCTAATTTTTGTATTTTTAGTAGAGACGGGGTTTTGCCATGTTGTCCAGGCTGGTCTCAAACTCCTCAGCTTAAGTGATCCTCCCGCCTTGGCTTCCCAAAGTGCTGGGATGACAGGCATGAGCCACTGCGCCTAGCCAATATTTCTTATTTTATATTTTTACTGAAAAGAGTACGCTGTATTTTAATGTGATCATGAATTTTCTCAAATGTTCTTGCTCTTCTCACTTTGTTCAGTCAAGGGTCTCTAAGGTAAGTGTCTACAGAATCAGGTGACTAACACACCAATCAATTACAAAAGGACTTGTAGCAAATTGGGTTTTACGGACACAAAGATGGGAAAAACAGTGGGGACTGCTTGATGGGGGAGGGTGGGGGTTTATGGGGTGGAAGTCTATCTATCCAGTACTAAGCCCACTACCTTGGTGTTGGGATCATTGCTGCACCAAACCTTTACCGACACATTATTTACTCATGTAACAAGCCTGCATATGTATTCTGTGAGTCTAAAATAAAAAAAAAGAAAATTAGGGTTTTCAAAACTGAGAAATATGGCTGAGGGTATATGATCCTCAAATGTGAAAACATTAATTGTAAATTGCTTGTATCCAAAATATAGACACAGTGCTGGGTGCTGATTTTGTCCTTTCCTTTTTTCCAATTCTCTTTTTCTCAATTGTGTCCAAGATACACAGAGCCAGAGAATCTCACAGGTGTCTTAGAATTCCTGCTCCTGGGACTCCCAGATGATCCAGAACTGCAGCCCGTCCTCTTTGGGCTGTTCCTGTCCATGTACCTGGTCATGGTGCTGGGGAACCTGCTCATCATTCTGGCCGTCAGCTCTGACTCCCATCTCCACAGCCCCATGTACTTCTTCCTCTCCAACCTGTCCTTGGCTGACATCGGTTTTGCCTCTACTACTGTCCCCAAGATGATTGTGGACATCCAGGCTCATAGTAGACTCATCTCTTACGTGGGCTGCCTGACTCAGATGTCTTTTTTGATCTTTTTCGCATGTATGGAAAGTCTGCTCCTGATTGTGATGGCCTATGACCGGTTCGTGGCCATCTGTCACCCCCTGCACTACCAAGTCATCATGAGCCCACGACTCTGTGGCTTCTTAGTTTTGGTGTCTTTTTTTCTTAGCCTTTTGGACTCTCAGCTGCACAATTTGATTGTGTTACAACTTACCTGCTTCAACGATGTGGAAATCTCTAATTTTTTTCTGTGACCCTTCTTAACTTCTCAAGCTGGCCTGTTCTGACACCTCCATTAATAACATGGTTGTATATTTTATTGGTGCCATATTTGGTTTTCTCCCTCTCTTAGGGATCCTTTTCTCTTACTATAAAATTGTTTCCTCCATTCTGAGAGTTCTCTCTTCAGGTGGGAAGTATAAAGCCTTCTCCACCTGCAGCTCTCACCTGTCAGTTGTTTGCTTACTTTATGGAACAGCCCTTGGAGGGTACCTCAGTTCAGCTGTGTCCCTTTCCTCCAGGAAGGGTGCAGTGGCCTCAGTAATGTACATGGTGGTCACCCCCATGCTGAACCCCTTCATCTACAGCCTGAGAAACAGGGACATTCAAAGTGCCCTGCAGAGGCTGCACGGCAGAATAATGTAATCTCCTTATCTGTTGCATCTTTTTTGTAGTATTGGTTGGAAAAGGCAGAGCTTTGATACAAAATATCAAGACCTTTAAATCCTTCCCCCTTGGTTACATTATATTTATTGCTTGATAGGTTCAATTCCTCTCCATGTTTCATATGTGAATGTGGGCGGCAAGCCACCAGGGGCCGAGGCAAGAGACCGAGGGCACGAGCTGTTCCAGCATAATAAAGAAAATATATAAAATAAGAATAGTTATACTAGATATAGATCATAGATATGATTATATATGAACATCATTAATCATTAGTTTGTAGCAATTACTCTTTAGTCCAATATTAATCTTCACTCTACAATCATAACCTAGGAAAAACCAGGCCATACAGAGATAGGAGCTAAAGGGACATGGTGAGAACTGACCAGAAGACAAGTGTGAGCCCTCTGTTATGCCCGGACAGGGCCACTAGAGGGCTCCATGGTCTAGCGGTAACGCCAGTGCCTGGGAAGGAGCCCCGTTACCTTGCGGATCTTGGTCTAGCAGTAGGGTCAGTGCCTAGAAAAAGCACTCCTTACTCAGCTGACCGGGAAAAGGAGTCTCTCTTTTCCCGGGGGAGTTTAGAGAAGACTCTACTCCTCCACCTCTTGTGGAGGGTCTGACATCAGTCAGGCCTGCCTGCAGTTATGCGGAGGCCTGTTTCCCTGTGATGCTGTGCTTCAGCGGTCACGCTCCTGTTTCACTTTTATGTTCCACCCTGTACAACTGGCTCTGCCTTCTAGACAGCAGTAGCAGAATTAGTGAAAGTACTAAAAGTCTCCGAAATGCAGAAATAATGGTGTAAGCTGTCCTCTCTCTCTCCGCCTCGGCTGCCAAACAGGGAAGGGCCCCCTGTCCAGTGGACACGTGACTTGTGTGACCTTACCTATCATTGGAGATGGCTCACACTCCTTACCCTGCCCCCTTGTCTTGTATCCGAAAAATAACAGTGCAGCCAGGCATTTGGGCCACTACCGGTCTCCGCGCCTTGGTGGTGGTGGTCCCCCCGGGCCCAGCTGTCTTTTCTTCTCTTTGTCTTGTGTCTTTATTTCTACAATCTCTTGTCTCCACACACGGGGAGAAAGACCCACAGACCCTGTAGGGCTGGTCCCTACATGTGAATATTGTTTCCATTGTTTTGTCTTTAATTGGAATGTGAAGGTATTCTGGAATTCTTTGTTTATTGCAAAAATTCGTGGCTGAATCCAGTATACCTGGACAGCCTCCTTTAGTTTCCGAGCAATGACCCTGGTATCTAGGTGAAATCACAACCCTGTTTTTATATATAAGAAGTCCTTGCTTAAAGTCAATAGCATCTTGGAAACTGCAACCTTAAGGAAATGATATACAGCAGGTCCTCAAGTAAAATTGTTTTGTTCAAAGTCCATTAGTTATATTGTTGATAAGGAAAAACACACGGTTTCATTATAAATCATTTCACTTAAATCACAGTTTCCAAAAACATATTGAGGGTGTTAATTGAGGACTTACTGTATTTCAAATTTAAGTTAATTTTCACAGTTCGTGTGGAAATTATTTACATATTACATCTGTAAAATCACTTTAAGCAGGCTATGTGTGACGAACTTGTTCACGAGCCCTCAACCTTGGCTTTTATTGACCTCACCTGGGGAGCTTACAAATGATGATGGCTGGGCTCTCTTACCCAGAGATTTTGATTTACTTGAACCTGTGTGGGTCTGAGAGGTTTTAAAAGCACCAGTGATAGTTCAGACGATGAAGTTCTTCAAGGGATCAAGCTCAAATGGGTAAGCTACTAAAGAGCTGATTGCAGCACTAGACAATGTAATTTTCTTCAACTGTCTTCTTCAAATTCATTATCCTTCAGCAATATACAGATTGTCATTATGCTGGGAATTTTTAGTAAGCACTTGGAATTTGTTGAAAATGTTGATTTATATACGTATAGATTTTCTTCGGATTTCACTCTTGTGCGTACTGAAAGGGAAAATAGAAAAGGATAACATGGTAACAACATCCCTAAAACTTCACATGCTATAACTGATTTTTAAAAATTTGTTTAGTTTTCTTTCTTTTTTTATGAAGTGTGGGGTAGGTACACAAAGTTATACTATTCAGCCTTTAAGAAATGAAAGTGAGTCATTTGCAGCAACATGGATTTAAGTGAAATAAGCCAGGCATGAAAAGACAAATATGGCATGTTCCCACTCATACCTATGAGCTAAAACAGTGAATCTTGTGAAGGTACAAGGTAGAATGGTAATTACTAGAGGCTGGTAAGGGAAGGAAGGAGTGGAGCATGAAAAGATGTTTACAGGGTACAAAAATGCAGTTAGATAGAAGAAATAAGTTCCAGCGTTTCCTAATACAGTAGGGGAATTCTAGTTAGTGGTAATTGATTGCATATTTCAAAGTAGCTAGGAGAGAAGATTTGTATTGTTCTCATTATTCTGGTTTCTAAGCCATTGTCTTTCTGTTCCCTTCCCGCCTTTCTCTACTCAGCTCTTTCATGCTAGGTTGGGGCTCTTGAAGTTATTGCTCTGTTTTCCATCTGGTGTTCTTGTTACAGACTTTCATGAACACTGAATTTTACTACACTGAAATTCGGTATACTTTGCGACCACCTTCTAGTATACCCCTATGCCTGCCTCAGTGTTTAGAGGCTGCTGCCTTCAGTTACTGTCTCTGTTACCACATTGTGTCCTTTAGCCTTTGTCCTGCAGTAACAATCAAGCCAACTCCCTCTGTTCAATTCTCTTCATAATAAGTAGATTAGTTATTCAAAATAACTAGATTAGTTTCTATTTTTTTTTTTTTTTGAGATGGAGTCTCCCTCTGTCACCCAGGCTGGAGTGCGGTGGCATGATCCCGACTCACTGCAACCTCCACCTCCCAGGTTCAAGCAATTCTCCTGACTCAGCCTCCCGCGTAGCTAGGATTACAAGGACCGCCCACCACGCCTAGCTAATTTTTGTAATTTTAGTGGAGACGGGGTTTTGCCATGTTGGCCAGGCTCGTCTGGAACTTCCGACCTCAGGTGATCCACCTGCCTCGGCCTCCCAAAGTGCTGGGATTACAGGCATGAGCCGCGTGCCCAGCCCTGGTTTCTATTCCTGACCTAACCTTGACTGAGGAACAAAAGTATGTTGGAGTTGTCTGCAAGGGGAATATTTTAAAAATGTGCTGATGAAATAAAGCTGCTTTTAAAACATATGTCTTTGTGAAGAGAGTCCAACTGAAGTTTAAGTGGCAGTGCCCTATTTCCGGTTGCTGTGTGACTCTAGTGATGTCTAGGGATTGTTAAATCACCAGTTTCATCATAAATAATTTCAGGGTTTTCTTCTTTTACTTTACACTGAGCTACCAAAAGTCCATGTCACCAGCAAACATGAACTCTCCTTTATTTCACATAAATGATAGTCAAAGAATTTGATAAGTGGGACATTAATGCTGCCTTTTTTTTTTTTTTTTTTTGAGACAGAGTCTTGCTCTGTTGCCCAGGCTGGAATGCAATGGCATGATCTTGGTTCACTGCAACCTCCGCCTCCTGGGCTCAAGTGATTCTCCTGCCTCAGCCTCCCAAGTAGCTGGGACTACAGGCACACACCACCATGCTCAGCTAATTTTTGTATTTTTAGTAGAGATGGGGTTTTGCCATGTTGTCCAGGCTGGTCTCGAACTCCTGACCTCAAGTGAGCCACCCACCTCGGCCTCCCAAAGTGCTAGGACTACAGGCGTGAGGCACTGTGCCTGGCCTAATGCTGCTTTTTGATGTCACATGGTGGACTCTCCCCACTGGTAATGCTTTGTTGTTGGCACTTTTATTTTAATATTTAGAAGAGTGCTATGATGGATTAATACCTTGTGATGGGAAATGTTTGGATTGTTTGGATGGTTCACAGTAGCCAACCAAAAGCGATGTGACAAACTTCAATCGGGATAGAATATACAGATGGTAGAAAAAATGTGGGATTTATGGACCCTTCATCACTCATATATTGGGCTCTTAAACGTGGGACTTTTGATAACTCAGAGGTCCTTTCTGAACCCCATGTTCCTCAGCAGCAAATTAATTGCAGTAGTCTTTTCTTCCAAGGCCATGCAATGATTTTATATCATGGTGCCATTAACCAGTCAAATGTTAGTTTCCCTTGAAATGATAGCCCCTATTATTACATTGAGGAAGTTAATTTTAGGGCCTGGCATGGTGGCTCATACCTGTAATCCCAGCACTTTGGGAGGCTGATTTGGCAGGAAAGTTTAAGGCAGGTGTTTGAGACCAGACTTGGCTACATAGTGAGACCCTGTCACTACATTTTTAAAAAATTTAAAAGAAGTTAATTTTAAATGGGTATTCTCAGAATATACAAGTAACTGGATATTACAAACTGTGACCTTGAGTATAAAACAAAACATTTCTTTTTTTTTTTTTTTTTAAAGACAGAGTCTCGCTCTGTTGCCCAGGCTGGAGTGCAGTGGCACAATCTCATCTCACTGCAACCTCTGCCTCCCGGGTTCAAGCAATTCTCCTGCCTCAGCCTCTTGGGTAGCTGGGACTGCAGGTGTGTGCCACCATGCCCAGCTAATTTTTGCATTTTTATTAGAGACAGGGTTTCATCATATTGGTCAGGCTAATCTCGAACTCTTGACCTTGTGATCCGCCTGCCTCAGTCTCCCAAAGTGCTGGGATTACAGGCGTGAGCCACCACACCCAGGTAAAACAAAACATATTTCTATTGAACAAGTTCATCTGTAGAGATGTGATAACAACTAAGAGTCTGTTTGAGGAGACATATCAAATGTACTGATTAGAACACTATTTTTGCTACTACCCAAACATTTTAAAAGCTCCCAACTCCCAGCATCTTCCGATCCAATCTACCTCTACATTCCTGTCATTTTATCATTTGTGCCCTCATATTTACCTCAGTATTTATTGATACACTGATAAATAGCATCCTTTCTTCCACATTCAACTTGTTGGAATATATATTTACATTTATTATATCAGTCATTGACAAATATTGTTGAGTACCTCACCTCTGAGCCATGGGTGGAATGTGAAAGTTTATAAAGAACCATAATATCTGGCTGGGCATGGTGGTCTGTACCTACAATCTCACCACTTTGGGAGGCTGAAGCAGGAGGGTCACTTGAGACCAGAAGTTCAAGACCAGCCTGGGCAACATAGCAAGACTCCATCTCTACAAAAAAATAAAATAAAATAAATTACCTGGACATGGTGGCGCAGGAGGATTACTTGAGGCCAGGAATTCAAGGCTGCAGTGAGCTATGACTGAGCCGCTTCACTGCAGCTTGGGCAACAGAGCAAGACATCTCAAAACAAAACAAAACAAAAACTCCATAACTTCCATACAACCTATTTTATCTACTTGAATAAAGACAGGCCAAAAGAAAGTACATTTCATTAAAGAATTTACTAGGTGATCTCACACACACACACACACACACAACACACACAACACAGAGTCTACACTAGGGAGTTCTCCGCCTGAAGTGAGATGAGCTCTTTCTTGATGAGCAACAATCAGAAGCTGCTGGGAACACTTGCTGAATTTAGGTGCAGAATTGCAGCAGCTTATTGTGATGTTGGGCTGAGAGCTTGTGGCGAAGGAGAACCAGGGTGGCTTATTTTGTCTGAAGGTCCAGGAGAACATTGTTAAGTCTGTAGAAATATCCAGTGCAGAGGAAAGGGCGACATGTCCATGTGCCAGTTCTACAGCATGGAATTTTTCTGACAGTACAATGTCTTGAATGGTGAGGAACTCTACCGGAAGGCAGAGGGAAATCTCCATGGTCTTGGGTGCTTAGAGACCCATGTCCTGGTAGAAGGATAGGCCTGGCCTCTGTTGCTCTGTCCCTTGCTTCCCTGCACTGACAGAACTCAGCTGGCATATGTGAGCTGCCCCATGAGAGTCCCTTGTGGCAACAAACTGAGGGGCCTTAGGCCATTGTCCTGCAAGAACCTAAACCCTACAAACAGCCATGTGAGTGAGCTTCACAGCAGATCCTCTCCAGTCAGTCCACGAGATGACTGCAACCCTGGCTGACATCTGATTGCAGTCTTGTTAGATATGGGGAAATGCTTAAGCAATATATAAAGTTACCAAGTTAGGCTGCAAAGATCAGCAGTTTCTAACATGCCAACATAGATCAATCAGACAGAAAGAATTAGGGTCTTATCCAACTTAGCAAAAACATAAATTACCAATGCATAAAATCTCAAATTACAGGCAAGGAGTATAGAAAGTAAAATAGAAAGTCCTCCTTAGAAACATAAATCTGAACTTCAAGAATGAAAGTAGTGGCTGGGTGTGGTGGGTCATGCCTGTAATCCCAGCACTTTGGGAGGCCGAGGCGGGTGGATCACGAGGTCAGGAGTTTGAGACCAGCCTGGCCAGCATGGTGAAACCCCATCTCTACTAAAAATACAAAAGATTAGCCGGGCATGGTGGCGTGCGCCTGTAATCCCAGCGCCACTGTGCTCTAGCCTGGGCGACAGAGCAAGACTCCATCTCAAAAAAAAAAAAAAAAAAAAAAAGGTGCAACATATTCTTCTCATGGAAGGCCTGCTTCTTCTTTATTTACATGGTTCATTCAATGGATTTGCAGATATGACTCCCATTTCATTTTAAAATTAAAAAAAAATCTGATGTGGTTTGTCACTGTCTCTGAAACTTGGTGGTGGGAACTCAGAGGACAGAAGAGGTTTTAATGAGAAGAGGAAGCCCTGTTCCTTCAATGGTCATTCACTTTTCTCCTCTTCTACTTTTATTTTTCTTTAAAAATGTTTTAAAACATTTTTAATTTTTGTGCGTAGATAGTAGCTGTATATATTTATGGGGTAGATGAAACGTTTTGATACAGGAATGCAATGTGAAATAACCACATCGTGGAGAATGAGGTATTCATCCCTCAACTATTTATCTTTAGAGTTACAAACAATGCAATTATACTTTCTAAGTTATTTTGTTTTATTTATTTATTTTGTTTTATGTTTTAGACAGAGTCTTGCTCTGTCGCCCAGGCTGGAGTGCAGTGGCACAATCTCAGCTCACTGCAACCTCTGCCACCTGAGTTTTATTTCAAAGACAAATATTTATTGCAGGTATTTGAATAAACAGAAAATACTGGCTACCAAATTTGCAGGATGCAAATTAGGATTAGTATGCATTCCAAATCAGTGAAAAATGATAATATCTTTTGATACCATCAAAATGATAATATCTTTATGATATAGAATACAATGGCCCGGAAATCAAGAGTTGGAACAAGATTGGCCCTGCCTAACATCACCTGTAGTGAGACACCTAAGGGGTTTGTGCTCCCAGATTCCACGGCTCTGATTTCTGTGGGCTTATAGGGCTTGTATTTCAAAGGGATAGCATGTCAGACTCATTCTGGCCAGTATATTACTAGGAACCATTTGACCCAACCAGCTTTCAAATATAGAGTCATAATTTGAAGTTGAAAATCACATTATCATTCTTTGCTTTTGTGTTTGTTTTTGGTTTGAGACAGGGTCTTGCTCTGTCACCCAGGCTGGATTGCAGTGCCACGATCACAGCTCACTACAGCCTCAAACTCCTAGGCTCCAGTGATTCTCCTGCCTCAGCCCTCCAAGTAGCTGGGAAGACAGGTGTGAGCCACTGTGCCCCGAAAATTTTATATCACTGTTTTTATGGAAAGTAGGATGGCAAAGTTAGAAGTGTGGGCAAAGTGTCAGATTGTTAGGATATACTCTACCTCCATCTCAGTCTCCTCCTTTGAGAAATGCAGTGAATGAGACAAAATTTCTCACGAAATGTTTTCAGGATTGAATAACATCAGACATGTAAAGCAACAAGCACTGTCCTGATATTGTAAACATTTTATACGACTAATCTATGGTTTTCATTTTATTTCCTATCCAGAGGACAAGAAAAAACTATACTAAGGTGAGGAACATCAACATTCAACAGGATAATTTTTGAGGAAACCAGGTCAGCACTTGATATTGGGAGTGCCATACACATCAAATTAGAAGTCTCAGAAAGAGTGGTAAGAAAACTGATCAAAGATGGAACTTTATGGGAAACATCTAGGGAAGAAAAGTCAAAAAGGGCTTACAGAGGGAGTTTTTAGGAGAAACTAACACAAAAACAAAAGCAAAATCATAGTTGTTTTTGATTAAAAAAAAAAAGAAAAGAAAGAAACACATTGGCCAGGCACGGTGGCTCACGCTTGTAATCCTAGCACTTTGGGAGGCTGAGGCAGGCAGATCATGAGGTCAGGAGTTCCAGACCAGCCTGAACAGTATGGTGGAACCCTGTCTCTACTAAAAATACAAAAATTAGCTGGCTGTGGTGGCACACACCTGTAATCTCAGCTACTTGAGAGGCTGAGGCAGGAGAACCGCTTCAACCTGGGAGGTAGAGGTTGCAGTGAGCCAAGATTGCACCACTGCACTCTAGCCTGGGCGACAGAGCCAGACTCTGTCTCAAAAACAATAACAATAACAACAACAAACAACCCAATAACAACAACCAAAAATCCCACATCAAGCACATTTTTTAAAAGAGAAAAAGAGCCGGATATTTAAACCCACAACATTTGCCTTAGGGGTACGCAGTGTGTCCTCTTAGTTCTGAGGCCCTGATTTGTCATGGACAAGAGTCGGCCCTGCTGAGGAGTCTTTCCAGGGCCCCCTTCACATCCTTGTTCCTCAGGCTGTAGATGAAGGGGTTCAGCATGGGGGTGACCATGGCGTACATCACTGAGGCGGTGGAGCTGCTCTGGGAAGAATGGGTCACAGCAGAACTCAGATAGACCCCAAGTCCTGTTCCATAGAACAAGGAGACCACACAGAGGTGAGATCCACAGGTGGAAAAGGCTTTGTACTTGCCCTTGGTGGAGGACATTCCCATTAAGGAGGAGACAATCTGAGAGTAGGAGAAGAGGATCCCAGCTACAGGAAACACACCCAGCAGTGCCGTGGCCACATACAAGACAATGTTATTGAGGAGGGTGTTAGAGCAGGCCACCTTGAGGACCTGAGCCGGTTCACAGAAGAAATGCGGAATCTCAGTGCCTGTGGAGAAGGTCAACCTCTTCATCAGTAGAATATGAACCAGGGAGAACCAGAAAATGATGAACCAAGATGCCAGAACCAGGAGGCCACAGAGGCAGGGGTTCATGATGACCGTGTAGTGCAGTGGGTGGCAGATGGCCACAAACCGGTCATAGGCCATCACGGCCAGTAGGAAAGTATCCATTCCAGCAAACATCATTAAAAAATACACCTGAGTGAGGCACCCCATGTAGGAGATGTCTTTGCTCCGTGCCTGGATGCTCACTAGCATCTTGGGGACTGTGGTGGAGATGAAACAGATGTCAACAAAGGACAGGTTGGAGAGGAAGAAGTACATGGGGGTGTGGAGGTGGGAGTCAGAGCTGACGGCCAGAATGATGAGCAGGTTCCCCAGCACCGTGACCAGGTACATGGACAGGAACAGCCCAAAGAGGACGGGCTGCAGTTCAGGATCATCTGAGAGTCCCAGGAGGAGAAATTTTGATAATTCTGTAAGGTTTTCTGCTTCCATGTAGCTGTTGTGTCTGCTGGGGAAGGAGGAAAAAGCAACGTTTAATGAACAGCAAGTGGCAGCTCAGCTTGTCATCACTTTACAATATCACCTTTTGATGGACATTTGTCACCCTTCCTGGAGTCCTTACAAAGACAATGAATCTCTCAGGAAGTGGTATCTATTTTTATTCTATTTGTGTAGAGTTATCCAGCCATTCTTTAATTTTTAGAAATCTCTCTCTTTGGCCGGGCATGGTGGCTCACGCCTGTAATCCCAGCACTTTGGGAGGACAAGGTGGGCAGATCACGAGGTCAAGAGATTGAGACCATCCTGGCCAATATGGTGAAACCCTGTCTCTACTAAAAATACAAAAATCAGCTGGGCGTTGTGGAGTGCACCTGTAATCCCAGTTACTAAGGAGGCTGAGGCAGGAGAATCGCTTGAACCCAGGAGGCGGAGGTTGCAGTGAGCCAAGATCATGGCACTGCACTCCAGCCTGGTGACAAAGTGAGACTCCGTCTCAAAAAAAAAAAAAAAAAAAAAAAACCTCTTTTTTTCATTTACTCACCAGTTTTAATTCCCCCATTTGTATCTATGAACTTAAATCAATTTCTTCTTTGGTGTGAATCTTCCAAAATAATTAAAGGTATGTCATGTCTTTTCCTCGATAATCCCCATGCTTCCTTCATTCTAATAGATGTACAATAGTTATTAAGTTGTGGATTTTCAACCCAAACAACCTTTATTCTGTGACCCAGTGCTTGGAAGTGATGTGACAGTTAACTCTCAGGGCTTTCTTCCTTCCTTAAAATTAAATTATTGATATTACTTTCTTATTGAGGTTTAAAAATGCCATATGCACGGTAGGAATATCAACAAATGATAGCTATCATTACTGCTACTATTACTATTAATCTTATTAATCTTTTCCTTTTATGATAATTACTTAGATATATAACTCTTCCAAGGTATAGCATAGAGCTGTGATTTGGAAAATATTTTCTGAAATCAGACTTTTTAGAATAAAATTCTGATCCATGCATTAGTCTGTTTTCACTCTGCTGATAAAGACATACCTGAGACTGGGCAATTTACAACAGAAAGATGTTTAATGGACTTACAGTTCCACGTGGCTGGGGAAGCCTTATAATCACGGTGGAAGGCAAGGAGGAGCAAGTCACATCTTACATGGATGGTGGCAGGCAAAGAGAGAAAGCTTGTGCAAGGAAACTCCCCCTTATAGAACCATAAGATCTCATGAGACTTACTCACTATCTCAAGAACAGCATGGGAAAGACCTGTCTCCATGATTCAATTTCCTCCCACTGGGTCCCTCCCATTACACATGGGAATTCAAGATGAGATCTGCCACCCCCTGCACCCCACAGTCATCATGAACTCCTGCCTCTGTGGCCTCCTTGTTCTGGCATCTTGATTTATCATTTTCTGGGTCTCCCTGGTTCATGTTCTTCTGATGAAGAGGTTGACCTTCTCTATAGGCACTGAAATTCCACATTTCTTCTGTGACCTGCCTCTGGTTCACTGTGTAGGGACACAGCCAAACTATGTGAATCCACCAACTTACTACTGTATACCATAGAGAAAGTTATTTGAACTGTCTTAGCTGCAGCTACCTCACCTCCATAGTAGGAGTAGTAAATACTCCCTATGTGGGAATATTGAAGAGTGAAATTAAATGAGATTATCCATGTCATTTGTCTACTATGATTTCTGTGTCATACAATGGATATTTCACACATATGAACTTTTGTTCTTTTGCTTTTTTTTTTGAGACAGAGTCTCACTCTGTTGACCAGGCTGGAGTGCAGTGGTGCAATGTTGGCTCACTGCAACCTCTGCCTCCTGGGTTCAAGTGATTCTTGTGCCTCAGCCTCCCAAGTAGCTGGGACCACAGGCATGCACCACCATGCCCAGCTAATTTTTCTATTTTTAGTAGAGATGGGGTTTCACCATGTTGGCCAGGTTGGTTTTGAACTCCTGGGCTCAAGTGATCCACCCACCTTGGCCTCCCAATGTGCTGAGATTACAGGCATGAGCCACTGTGCCCAGCCTGAACTTTTGTTTTTAACATTACAATAAATCTGTCTTTCATGGCTATCATTTATCAATATCAATATCCCCCTTACATGGGGCAGCCATCAAGGATGGAATTCTGATCACTGTGAATACAACAGGTCTGTTACGTCTTGTGACCACCACACAGGACTCTCAACTCATGAAGATCCCTATGCTTCCCTGCTTCAGAGAATGTCTGCCCAGTGTATTCCTCCAAGAAGTAACAAAAGCCTGTGGACTACATACACAAGATGAGAAAAGAAAGGGACACCGCCATTAGAATCAAAGACAAGGCCTGAGAGAATGTGTGCTTGTGTACACATGCAGTTGAGTGGGAATGTTGGACTAATATCAGGGCAATGAATTGCCAAGAAATGTGACTGATAAGTTTGATATAAAAATTTAAAAATTTCTATAAATCAAATCATCCTAAAAAACTAAAGGGCAACTTTGAGGTTTGAAAAAAAATTTGCATTTTTCATGATGGAAAAAAGGTTGTTACTATTTATGCCTAGAGAATGTTGATTAATTAAAGATGGAAAAATAATCACTGAAGACCAACTTTAGTCCTGGAAAGTGGATAGAAGAGGCTTCTCTGAGATAGGAAAATTTGGGCTGAGAGAGGAAGAATGGATCATTGGTTTGTTTGTTTGTTTGTTTGGAGATGGAATCTCGATCTGTTGCCCAGGCTGGAGTATAGTGGTGCTATCTCTGTTCACTGCAACCTCTGCCTCCCAGGTTCAAGCGATTCTCCTGTCTCAGCCTCCTGAGTAGCTGGGATTACAGGTGTGTGCCACTACGCTCAGCTAATTTTTTTATTTTTAGTAGAGACAGGGTTTCACCTTGTTAGCCAGGCTGGTCTCGAACTACTGACCTCAAGTGATCTGCCCACCTCGGCCTCCCAAAATGCTGGGATTACAGACATGAGCTACTGCACCTGGCCGGATCATTGTTAATTAGGGGAAGTAAGGAAAGGAAAGGGTAAATCTTCTAGGCTGACAGAAGAGAATTCGAGATTGTCCCATGGGTCATTGAGCTTGTAAAGGAAGGGATTTGAGATGCCAGTGAGATGGGGAGCAGGGAATGAAAGCGGGATATGTATTTGATGACTAGAAATAGAACATCCTATATTCTTCCTCCTTGTCCCTTTCACATTGGTCAACTTATATTTAGTTTTAGACAGTGGTTGCGATTGTTTTGTCTCATCATTTAACAAGGATTTACGTGGTGCCCAGCACATTACTGATTCTGAGCAAGTACAAATTGAAATGTTCTATAAAGACTGGGACCAAAGCATCAACTATAACACAAAATAGAAATCTTCAAGTTTAAGACATGTTTGAATATAGACATAAATTTAATAATACAGTAAATAACATATTCATATCTCTTTTAAAATAATGATAAATGAAGTAGTAATACCAGCTCTAACAATGGAAGCAGGTTTAATGTAAGAATGTCTGCATAATTCATCACAAAAACAGGTCAGTAAAGAGAAATCATAAACAAAATCACAATAGAAAAAATGCATTTGAAAAAGATTATCAACCAGGGCAGATCCTCTCAATAAAGGAAGAAACCAAGGACAATTGCTTAACCCGATAAACAATGGTTGTTTTAATACCACAGGCAACAAGATATGCTATGTTAAAACAGTAAGGGGTTTAAATTCCTGGATACACCAAAGGCCGTCTACTACAATTTCAATCTTTTGATATTTTGGTGAACATGCAAATGGATTTTTTTTTGGGGGGGACATGGTGTCACTTTGTCACCTGGGCTGGAGTGCGGGGTGCAGTCTCAGCTTACTGCAACCTCTGCCTCCTGGGTTCAAGCAATTATCCCATCTCAGTCTCCCGAGTAACTGGGATTGCAGGTGTAAGCTAAGGTGTCAGGCTTTCTTTTTTTGTTATTGTTTAGTAGAGACAGGGTTTTGCCATGTTAGCCAGGCTGGTCTCAGGGTCCTGGCCTCAAGTGATCTGCCCGCCTCGGCCTCCCAAAGTGCTGGGATTATAGATGTGAGCCACTACGTTCAGCCAAGGGATTTTTAATATGAGAAAAAAAATTGGACTGCATGTTGAATGTCAGAAATAATTGTATTATTTCTATATGATATCATGGATACTAAGTTGAAATAGCAAAAACATAACAGCTAGTAAGTGCTGTAAATAAGTCACCATCTCCACCACATCAACCCTACCCCCAATCCCCAGACCACTCTGGGTCTGGTAACCAATAATCTGCCAGGAAAAATATAGAATATAATAGAAAAATCCAATCACATTAGGAACACATAGACAATACCTTGAGCATAGTAGATCTTCCGTGAGTAGTTAATGAATAAGTAACTGGATGTACGAAATTCAACAGGAGACTAAAGTTTATAGGAAAGAGTGCAGGAGAGTTAGAGACTGTTCGGAAAATAACTTATTAAAGACGGGCCCTGGATTCCAAGGAGTGAGAACAGAAGGTGGGAGACACTGGTTTCTGTGAAAACTAAAGTACCATCAAAGTACAGGGACTTCACCTTCATAGACTCAATAAGTATGGGACTTTCCAGGCTCATTACTGTGAAGGCTAGTACTTATTCTCTCTCCTCTTTTCCTTCTTACCCCACCAGCCCTCACTGGGTCACACTAACTCTGATGGTTATCACTGAAGTTTTCTCTTCTACACGATCTGTTCCTAGGAAGCCGTACTGGGTTTTTTCCAAAGGCTGGGAGCAGAGAATTACAGGTGAGGTTGTTTAAACAGGGGCACATTTTAAGTTTCCAGTGTCTCAAGAGTTGAATTCTCAGAGCACCTTATTAAATAAATTGTTCTATTTTCTTCCCACTCTCCAAAGAGTTTGGCTCCCTTTGAGTAGTAAGAAGATGATAGAATGGAAATTTTTCAGTTAATTTTGTGATGAAATAGGCAGTGGTAGGGCATGATGGATTTATTTCCCCCAAGAAGAAATTCTTTCTTCGGTTTAATTTGAAAGTCACAAGTTTTGCCCTAAGGAAAGATTAATTTCTGCAAGGAACTAAACTCAGGAATCATCTCCAAGCGATGTGACTCCCTTGAAGAGTCTTTGGAGATTTTATGGATCCCTCGGTGTTGAAAATTCATGGAAACAAAAATGTCTTTTCTTTTTAAATATTTTTTCAAATTATTTTTATATATTTTTTTAAATTATAGAATTATATGTATGTATCATGTACAACTTGATATTTGGAAATATATATACATTGTGGACATTCAATGTATCTAATTAACATACGCATTATCTCACAGAGTCGTTATCCTGGTGAGAACACTTAATATCCACTCTCTTAGCATTTTCAAAGAATATCATATATATCATCATTAACTAAAGTCATCCTGCTGTACAATAGATCTCTTGAACTTACTTCTCTTATATAGCTGTAATTTTGTATTCTTTTACTAACATCTCCACAACACCAACACTACTCCTCAACCCCAAACCACTCTGGGTCTGGTAACCAACATTCTACTTCTTTGAAATCTGGATTCTATTTCTCTGAGATCACCTTCGTTAGATTCCACATATGAGTGAGATCATGTGATATTTGTCTTTCTGTGCCTCCCTTATTTCACTTAACACAATGTTCTCTGAGTTCATCCATGTTGCAAATGACAGGATTTCCTTGTGTTTTATGGATGAATCATATTCCATTGTGTATATATACTACATTTTCTTTATCCATTCATTTATTTGCAGACAACTAGGTTGATTCTGTGTCTTGGCTACTGTGAATAATGCTCCAATAAACATGGGAGTGCGATATCCCTTCCACACACTGACTTCGTTTCTTATTGATATATACCCAGTAGTGGACTGCTGGATCATATGGTAGTTCTATTTTTAAGTTTTTGAGGAACCTCCATACTCTTTTCCATAATGGTTGTACTAATTTACATTCCTACCAACAGTGTAGAAGGGTTTCCATTTCTTCATATCCTGGCCAGCACTTACTATCTTTTGTCTTTTTAGTAATAGCCATTTGAGATGAAGTGAGGTGATATCTCATTGTGGTTTTCATTTGCATTTCCCTGATGATTAGTGAAGTTAAACCTTTTAAAAATGTATGTTGGGCCGGGCGCAGTGGCTCACGCCTGTAATCCCAGCACTTTGGGAGGCCTAGACGGGCGGATCACAGGGTCAGGCGATCGAGACCATCCTGGCTAAAGGTGAAACCCCGTCCCTACTAAAAATACAAAAAATTAGCCGGGCGTGGTGGCGGGCGCCTGTAGTCCCAGCTACTTGGGAGGCTGAGGCAGGAGAATGACTTCAACCCGGGAGGGGGAGCTTGCAGTGAGCCGAGATCGCGCCACTGCACTCCAGCCTGGGTGACAGAGCGAGACTCGTCTCAAGAAAAAAAAAATGTATGTTGTCCATCTGTGTGTCTTCTTTTGACAAATGTCTTTCAGGTCTTTTGCCCTTTTTTTTTTTTTTTTTTTTTTTTTTTTGAGACGGAGTCTCGCTCTGTCACCCAGGCTGGAATGCAGTGGCGCGATCTCCGCTCGCTGCAAGCTCCGCCTCCCGGGTTTACGCCATTCTCCTGCCTCAGCCTCCCGAGTAGCTGGGATTACAGGCGCCTGCCACGACGCCCGGCTACTTTTTTGTATTTTTAGTAGAGACGGGGTTATCACCGTGTTAGCCAGGGTGGTCTCGATCTCCTGACCCCGTGATCCGCTCTCCTCTGCCTCTCAAAGTGCTGGGATTACAGGCGTGAGCCACCGCGCCAGGCTGTCTTTTGCCCATTTTAAAATTGGGTCGTTTTCTTCCTACTGAGTTGTTTGAGCTTCTTACGTATTTTGGATATTAGCCCCATATCACATGTCTAGTTTGCAAATATTTTCCTCCATTCTGTAGTTTGTCTCTTCACTCTACTGTTTCCTTTGCTGTGTGGAGATTTTTAGTTTAATGTAATTCCATTTGTCTATTGCTTTTGTTGTCTGTGCTTCAGAGGTCATATCCAAAAAAATCACTGCTCAGACCACTATCATGAGGTTTTCCTCTTTTGTTATTTTCTAGCTTTTCTATTTTAGGTTTTACATTTAAGACTTTAATCCATTTTGAATGGATTTTCGTATATAGTGTGAAGTAAATACCTAATTTCATTCTTCTCTGCCTGGATATCCAGTTTTCCCAACACCATTTATTAAAGAGACTGTCCTTTCCCCCTTGTGAGTCTTTGGCACCTTTGTTGAAAATCAGTTGGCTATAAATACATGGATTTATTTCTGTGGTTGATATTTTGTTCAGTTGGTCTATGTATCTAGTTTTATGCCAGCACCATGCTGTTTTGGATATTACAGCTTTGTCAAATAGTTTTAAATCAGGTAGTGTGATGCCTCCAGCTTTGTTATTTTGGCTCACATTGCTTTAGCTATTTGGTGTCTTTAGTGATTCCACAAAAATTATTTCTGTGAAAAATGTTTTTACAATTTTGACAGGGTTTGCATTAAATCTGTAGATTGCTTTGGATAGTATGGACATTTTAATATAGCAATTCTTCCAGTTCATGAACATGGGATATCTTTCCATTTATTTGTATCTTCTTTAATTTCTTTCAACAATGTTTTATAGTTCTGGGTGTACAAATTTTTCACCTCCTCAGTTAAATTTATTCCTAAGCATTCTATTTTTGGGGGTACCAATTATAAATAGGATTATTTTGTTGATTTCTTTTTTGAGTAGTTTGCTGTTAGTATATAGAAACACTATTGATTTTTATATGTCGATTATGTATCCTCCAACTTTACTGAGTCTTTTTTGTTAGTTCTAACAGTTTTTGGCAGTCTTCAGAGTTTTCTATACATAAGGTCATGTCATCTGCAAACAGGGAAAACTTAACTTCTTACTTTCCAGTTTGGATGTCTTTTATTTTTTTTCTCTAACCTAATTGATTTAGCTAGAACTTCCACTACTATATTGAGTAGAAGTGGTGAGAACAGGCATTCCTTTCTTGTTCTGGACCCTAGATAAAATGTTTTCAATTGTTCCCCATTGAGTGTGATGTTAGCTGTGGGTTTCTTGTGTGTGGTTTTTACTATGTTGAGGTATATTCCTTCTATATCTAACTCATTGAGTCTTTATCATTAAAGGATGTTAATTTTTGTCAAATGTTTTTTTCTGCATCTATAGAAATGGTCATATGGCTTTTGTTCTTCATTCTGTGAGTTTGATGTTTCTTGTTGTTTAATTTGCATAATTTGCACCATCCTTGTGAGGATAAACTGCTGGTCTTTTCAAGATAGAAGGAGCCCCATGTGGTCAACCTGCTCCCCTGGCTGGCTGGTCTCCTCAAGAAAGAAGGCCCTCTGGGTGTTCTGCTATTGTCTCTTGCTGACCATTCGGACATTCCGAAGCAGCACCAGCTCAATGGATCTTTGCAAATGGGAGGATCAGCCCTTGTGGCCACTCTGTTTATCAGGCCATCATACCATCAGGTGGCCAATGATAAAGGCTGGAAAATGTTATGTGGCAAAATGAATGCCTATCTGCCTCCTATGTGACATACAACACAAATATTTTCATTTATCATATCCAGTCCTCTATGTCCATCTACATACCTGTCTACACTGTTTCATCATTTTCTTTCAAAGCCCATGACCAGGTGGTCCCACCACCTCAAATGACTTTTTCTTCCAGACAACGTGGATGACCAGATGTGCCGCTTGCAGTTCCACCCTTTGCAGAGATTTTTTCTATACACCCCTTTTTCAGGGTGTCCCTGAACTTGGCTATAATGAAGCCATGGCTCATTTTTTATTGTACTCACATACCAAGCCAATCTGTCTATAAAGCAAACTCAGGCATTTTTCTCTTCTTTTTTTTTTTTTTTTTTAATAGTACAGGACATCTCCTGCTCCCCAATGGACCCTAGGTACAAGCTAAAGGCGTGGTGTTGGTGCGATAATGGTGAATGCCATTGGGATCTGCTGGAGTCTTGGCTTTTTTTTTCAGACTGAATCTTGCTCTGTGGCATAGACTGGAGTGCAGTGGCACAATCTCGGCTCACTGCAACCTCTGCCTCCTGGGTTCAAGCAATTATCGTGCCTCCGCCTCCCGATTAGCTGGGATAACAGGTGTGTGCCACCACACCCAGCTAATTTTTTGTATTTTTAATAGAGACAGGGTTTCACCATGTTAGCCAGGATGGTCTCGATCTCCTGACCTCGTGATCCACCTGCCTCAGCCTCCCAAAGTGCTGGGATTACAGGTGTGAGCCACTGCACCCAGCCGGGGTCTCGGCTTTCTACACGTGCAGCTTTCTCATGCCTCTGGTCCTGTTTGGGTTCATTCTCAGATGTGCCATTTCCACCATGGATTGGGGCTGGGCCTGTCTAATGTTACGACTTAGTAGGGCCCATAGAATCAGGTTATAGTGGGAAATTTCATATATGTGGTCATTGGTACCCCGTCATCAAGCATCCCATATCTACAGGACTTGGTAACAAACCAGGAACTATTTCTCAAAGACATATAAATATTTCCAGTGGATGGCATAGCCTCATTCTAGAATCCTTAAAACCTGATCATGATTTTCCCACTAAGAGATTCCATATGGCCAGGCATGGTGGCTCACACCTGTAATCCCAGCACTTTGGGAGGCTGAGGCCAGTGGATCACTTGAGCCCAGGAGTTCAAGACCAGCATGGCCAACAAGGTGAAACCCTGTCTCTACTAAAAAATAAAAAATACAAAAAATTAACTGAGCATGGTGGTGCAAGCCTGTAATCCTAGCTACTTGGGAGGCTGAGGCAGGAGAATCACTTGAACTGGGGAGGTGGAGGTTGCAGTGAGCCAGAATCGTGCCACTGCACTTCAGCCTGGGCAATGGAGTGAGACTTGGTCAAAACAAAAAAAAAAAAGAGAGAGAGATTCCATAGATGCACTCTGAATTTTGTTCACCAATGACCTTCAACACCATAGATCTAGCAGATAATATGGCCCAAGCATAGGGGTGTATGATGTGAGAAGAGGAGATTATGTTGGTATGTGGGTGATCCATTTAAACACTTATCAGTAGACTTTCTCTCAATTTTCACAATCAATGGTCAAATGCAACAGACATGACCTGAAAAAGAAATGACAACCAGGACTTGGAATGCTTAGGGATGAAGGTCAAGGTCACCCCACCACCTGAATCACCCAACAACAGAAGTGTTATACAAGGAGAGGGGAGGTCGGGTGCGGTGGCCCATGTCTGTAATCCCAGCACATTGGGAGACTGAGGTGGGCAGATCACCTGAGGTCAGGAGTTCAAGACCAGCCTGACCAACATGGGGAAACCCCATCTCTACTAAAAAAAATTAGCCAGATGTGATGGCACATGCCTGTAATCCCAGCTACTCGGGAGGCTGAGGCAAGAGAACTGCTTGAACCTGGGAGGCAGAGGTTGCAGTGAGCCAAGATCACACCACTGTTCTCCAGCCTGGGCAACAAGAGCGAAACTCAAGAAGGAAAGAAGGAAGGAAGGAAGGAGGGGAAGGAAGGGAAGGAGGGGAAGGAAGGGAAGGAAGCGAAGGAAGAAAGAAAAGAGAGGGAGGGAGGGAGGGAAGGAAGGAAGGAAAGAAGGAAGGAAGGAATAAAAAAACAACAAAAAGGAGAGGGGAATTGAGGATGGTGACAAGGGAGGGGGACACTACCTATATCAGTGGGACCTTGAGATGACAGGCAGCAGCAGAGGCTGCTGTTTGAACCACTGACCCTCCTTTTGTAAGTATTTCATCCTATTGGCCTCTCTTCCCTAAAACGACACAAAGGAAACCATGGGGAATGCCACTCCTTGAATGTACACAAAAAGTTTATCCAAATGGCTGAAGGAGTGGATGGTCATGGATGCTGCGTTGCATTCCTTACTTATCCATTTCAGAATGAAGGTCCTGTTCTTCAGGGCATAAGGAGTGTAGCCATATGGCAGCCTGCAGCCTCAATCCCCTTAGAGAGTTGCTCTCAGCTGAAGGAGGCTGCTTTATTCATGGTGGAAACACTCATCTCTCTTGCTGTAGGAGCATAACTGACCCAGAGCCATCTGTATTCATTACTATGTTTGTGCCAAGCTTGCTCCTGGGCTGCTCCCATCACGGCTAGAACACAGCAAGGCACCTGTGCATGCTCCTTCCTGTGTCCACAATGACATTGATGACCTGGGTCAATTACTCCTGCCAGGTGGGAGCTCCTCTCCTTGGCATGAGAGCCCTGAAGTGCTAGGCAGCAGCATGGCTTGAAGTTCTTAGAGACTTCTGCCCTTTCTCTAGAAGGGCTAAGCCTTGTTTGAAATGCTTGTTCCCTGGTACCATAAAGAAATAGCACTTGAATATAAATTTAATTTCCTCAGCCAGGCCATTTTTATACTTTCTGCAGAAAGGGTACACTCGCCAGCAGTTTTGCCACGAGAGTATACTGAACAAAGGAGACAAGGTCATTTATAACCTGATGTGTCCACCCTACTGCTGGGTCCGGTTTCCACTGGCTGGAACGGGACCGCACATTCCGTGTTTGTCCTGATTGGCTAGCAACTTAGAACTTTTTAAAAGAGGCAAAGGCAGAGGAGAACAAAGGAAGGAGAAAGTAACTTGTGGAATGTTGAGAAAGGTAAAAACACCTTCAAATAAGGAAGAGGAACAGGCTATGACCTAATGCTTGCTTGGACCAGTATAAGCATGCCAGGGCAAATATTTAGGCTAAATTGTGAGAGCTAAAAACATAAAGTACATTGATTTCTTTATTACGGCTAGCAGATATTTAAGAATGTTAGCACAGGTCTTTGAATAAATTTTGCTTCTAAGGGAAGTTACTATTTATTCCCAATTAGACAAGGAGGAAAGTCTTTGAAGAGGAACCTCTACTTACTTTTACAGCCTTTAGAAGCCAAGACCTCTAAATCTGCAGAAGTCAGACTTGAGAACAGAAGCACAAAGTCCCCAAGTGGCTCCCTGAGAGGAACATCAGGCAGGGACCCTTCTACTTTCCACCCTTGATTTTTTTTAACTTTATCTTAAGCTCAGGGGTACAAGTGCAGGTTTGTCACATAGGTAAACTGGGTCATAGGGGTTTGTTGTACAGATTATTTGATCACCTGGCTATTAAGCCTAGTACCCATTAGTTATTTTTCCTGATCCTCTTACTCCTCCCACCCTCCATCCTCTGAAAGGCCTCAGTGTGTGTAGTTCCCCTCTCTGTGTCCATGTGTTCCCATCATTTAGCTTTCACCTATAAGTGAGAACATGCGGTATTTGCTTTTCTGTTCCTGCATTACTTTGCTAAGGATAATGGCCTCCAGCTCCATCCATGTCCCTACAAAGGACATTGATCTCATTCTTTCTCTTTTTTTTTTTTTTCCAGAGTCCTGCTCTGTCACCAGGTGGGAGTGCAGTGGCACGATCTCGGCTCACTGCAACCTCTGCCTCCTGGGTTCAAGCTATTCTCCTGCCTCAGCCTCCGGAGGAACTGGGACTACAGGCATGAGCCACCAAGCTCAGCTAATTTTTGTATTTTTAGTAGAGACGGGGTTTCGCCACGTTGGCCAGGCTGGTCTCAATTTCTTGACCTCGTGATCCACACGCCTTGGGCTCCCAAAGTGCTGGGATTACAGACTTGAGCCGCCATGCCTGCCTGATATCATTCTTTTTTATGGCTGCATAGTATTCCATGGTGTATATGTACCACATTTTCTTTATCCAGTCTATCACTGATGGACATTTAGGTTGGTTCTATACCTTTGCTATTGTAAATATTGCTGCAGTGAACATATACATCCATGTGTCTTTATATACTAATGATATATATTCCTCTGGGTATATACCCAGTAATGGGATTGCTGGGTAGAATGGTATTTCTTTTTTTTTTTTTTTTTTTTTTGAGACGGAGTCTCGCTCTGTCGCCCAGGCTGGAGTGCAGTGGCGGGATCTCGGCTCACTGCAAGCTCCGCCTCCCGGGTTCATGCCATTCTCCTGCCTCAGCCTCCCAAGTAGCTGGGACTACAGGCGCCCGCCACTACGCCCGGCTAATTTTTTGTATTTTTAGTAGAGACGGGGTTTCACCGTTTTAGCCGGGATGGTCTCGATCTCCTGACCTCGTGATCCGCCCGCCTCGGCCTCCCAAAGTGCTGGGATTACAGGCGTGAGCCACAGCGCCCGGCCAGAATGGTATTTCTGTCTTTAGGTCTGTGAGGAATCATCACACTGTCTTCCATAACGAATGAACTAATTTATACCTCCACCGACAGTGTATAAGCATTCCTTTTTCTCCACAACCTCACCAGCATCTGTTATTTTTTGACTTTTTAATAATAGCCATTCTCACTGTCCACCCTTGAGTTTTGGACCCATGGATTTTATATATTGGGGATGTAGCACATTATGATTTTTCTTTGTCTTATGGTGTATATTACATCCTGCCAATTTTGTAGTCAGTATCTGTGTATTCAAATACCTACATTAATTATTTTCATTCTCTTTGAAATTAAACACATTCCCCTATTGTCCAGTTAAAAACATTTTTCAAAATACTCTCCCATACTCCATGCCCCCGTTAGGCTACACTTTCTCTCTTCTCTCCGCTTCCCTAAAAACTTCATAGTTGGTGTACATTTGCCACCTATATTTCCTCTAGACACACTCTTCACCTACTCCATATGGGCTATTACTGTCCTACCCTTCTATTTAGAGGTAATAAATGAAGCCCTTCCTAAAATCAACAAAGGCTTCCATGTCACCAGAAAATGTCAAAAACTATTGTTCAGTCCTCATTTTGTTGGTTCTTTCACCAGGACAAAACCTACTCACCAATTTGCTTTCCTTCAGGAAGGACTACTTTGGAGTAGATGGTGAATGCCAGGGACTGAAAAGGGGAGAAAATGGGGAGATGCTGGTTAAACCACAAAGGGTTCTAGTGATGCAAGATTAATAAGTTGTGGATATGTCCTATACAATACAGTGCTTGTAGATATCAATAATGTATTATTTAGAAAAATGTGCTTAAAGGCAGACGTTATGTTATGTGTGGTTATCACACATTAAAATATTAAAGCCAGTTGAAACTTTAAGAGGTGATGGGTATGTCCCTCGCCGTAATGGTGGTGATGGTTTCAAGGATGTATGCCTGTTTCAAAACTCATCATGTGTATACATTAAATGTCTACAGCTTTTACATTTTAATCATACTTCAATAAAGTGGTTAAAACATAAGGAAAGTAAATTTAAAAAAAAGATCCCTTTGCCTCTATAACCTTGTGGACACCAAGGGATCCATAAAATCTCCAAAGTTTCTTCAAGGGAGGCACATTCCAGAGAGAAGATTGCTGAGTTTTGGTTCCTTATAGAAATTAAACTTTCCTGCCAGGGATGGTGGCTCATGCCTGTAATTCCAGCACTTTGGGAGGCTGAGGCGGGTGGATCACCGGAGGTCAGGAGTTCGAGACCAGCCTGGCCAATATGGTGAAACCCCATCTCTACTAAAAAAAAACTACAAAAATTAGCCGGGCGTGGTGGCAGGTGCCTGTAATCCCAGCTACTCAGGAGACTGAGGCAGGAGAATCACTTGAACCTGGGAGGCAGAGGTTGCAGTGAGCCAAGATCACACCACTGCACTCCAGCCTGGGCGACAGAGCAAGATTCTGTCTCAAAAAAAAAAAGAAAGAAAGAAAAGAAAAAAAGAAATTAAACTTTCCTTAGGGAATACCTTGTGACTTTTAAATCCAACTAAAGAAAGAGTTTCTCCTTGGAGAAAATAAATTCATCTCCCACTACCGCTGCAAAATTGCCTGAACATTTTCCATTCTGCTATCTTCTTTGTATCCTAAGGGAGCTGAATTATTTGGAGGGTGGAAAAACAATAGAACAATTTATTTAATGAGGCTCTCTGAGAGTTCAACCCTTGAGGCAATGGAAACTTCGAACTGGGCCCTGCCACCCCTCAAGTGTAATTCTCTGATCCCAGCCTTGGAAAAAACACAATTGGGTTTAACAGGGACACACCATGGAGAAGAGAAAGCATCAGTGACAATCAGAGTCAGTGTGACCCAACAAGGGCTGCTGGGGTAAGAGGAGAGAGAGTGGGTACTGGGCTGTACCTTTAGAGTAATAAGCCTAGACAGTCCCATATTTATTTAGTCTATGAAGCTGAAGTTCCTGTATTTTTTTTTTTTTTTGAGACAGAATTTTGCTCTTATTACCCAAGCTGGAGTGCAATGGCACGATCTCGGCTCAGCACAACCTCCGCCTCTTGGGTTCAAGCGATTCTCCTGCCTCAGCCTCCTGAGTAGCTGGGATTACAGGCAGGCGCCACTACGCCTGGCTAATTTTTGTGTTTTTAGTAGAGACGGGGTTTCTCCATGTTGCTCAGGCTGGTCTCGAACTCCTAACCTCAGGTGATCCCCCTGCTTTGGCCTCCCAAAGTGCTGAGATTACAGGTGTGAGCCACCGCGCCCAGCCTTGAAGTTCCTGTATTTTAAAGGTACTTTAGTTTTCACCAATACCAGTCTTTTGTAGCCCTTGTTCTGTTCCTTTTCTTTCCTTCTGGAAGCTGAAGCCTCTTTCCGGGAACAGTTAGGAATGTCCATACTTGAATGTATGATTTTCTGATGATCTCCAAATCCTCTCCACTCTCTGCCATAAACTGTAGGTTCCTGGTAGGTTTCCTGAATCCAATCACCTCTTCCTGAATGACTCACTGAAGATCTGTCCTACGCAAGGTATTGTCTATTTTGTTTCTAATATGATTGGATTTTCTTTTATAATTTTACTATGTTGCTGGCAGATCTGACTTCAAATATTACTAAAGAATTCTATATCATTGTTGTTGTCATTACTATTTTTTCACTTCAGTGTCCACAGTGCCATGTAAAAAATAATATTATTTTTGACATTTGAAACTCGGGCCAATTTCCTTTATTTCATTTTTACCAATGTCTTTAAATGTTCAGGAGACTCTCAGACGATTGATGCTGAGTAGACTGCCTTGGCCTATTCATGAATTTAAGAGGAATGCTGTAGTGTTTATTTATTGATTGATTGATTGAGATGGAGTCTTGCTCTGTGGCCCAGGCTAGAGTACAATGACATGATCTCGCCTCACAGCAACCTCCGCCTCCGCCTTCAAGTGATTCTCTTGTCTCAGCCTCCCAGGTAACTGGGATTACAGGCTTGCACCACCATGACCAGCTAATTTTTGTATTTTTAGTATTTTTATTAGAAATGGGGTTTCACCATCTTGGCCAGGCTTGTCTCAAACTCCTGACCTCAAGTGATCTGCCCACCTCAGCCTCCCAAAGTGCTGGGATTATTACAGGTGTCAGCCACCACTCCCGGCCTGAGAAATGCTATAGTGTTTTAATATGGACTATGCTGTTGGCTGTGGTTTCCTTTACTAGGTTAAATTGTCCTTGGTGGCCGGGCATGGTGGCTCATGCCTGTAATCCCAGCACTTTGGGAGGCCAAGGCGGGTGGATCATGAGGTCACGAGATTGAGACCATCCTGGCCGACATGGTGAAACCCCATCTCTACTAAAAATACAAAAATTAGCTGGGCATGGTGGCGCATGCCTGTAGTCCCAGCTACTTGGGAGGCTGCGGCAGGAGAATCGCTTGAACCTGCGAGGTGGAGGTTGCAGTGAGCCGAGATTGCGCCACTGCGCTCCAGCCTAGGCAATAGAGCAAGACTCTGTCTCAAAAACAAAAGCAACAACAACAAAAATTGTCCTTGGTTTCCTCATGTCCTGAGAGTCTCTGCACTGGCTGCTGTTTGATTTTCTGAAATATATTATTTTGCATTGTGTTTGTGGTTAAGGTTTTTTTTTTATTGACCTATTATTGTGATGAACTATGTAAACAAACATCCTAATATTAAGCCTGTTTGCTATTAATAGGAGTCTTACATGTTCACGGTGTATGATTCTTTTAAAATAAACAGAAACGTATTTTATTTAACTTTACTGTTCAATTTAGTGTCTATATTCAGGCATGAAATGAATAAAAATTTCTGTTTTGTGTTATGGATGTCAGTTTTGATCTCAATCTTTATTACACATCCAAAATCGTGTTTCTTGAACACCTACTAATGATACAGGAGCTAAAAAGAAATTACTTAGGCAGCTAGTGAGGGTAAGAGAGTCCTTGGCAAGGGTTTCCATTTTAACAAAAAGCATCCCCCAAAATCATTTCTTTTTTAACAAAGAGCAGCCTGAAAAAATCAAGCTGCAGACATAGAAAAGCGGGCTGCAAGCTTGCACGGGTGAATGCTGGCAGCTGTGCCAATGGGAAAAGGCTACCTGGGGGCCAGGCGTGTTCAACATGGAGGCTCCATCTTCCTTTTGTCAACCTTGTGTGCATTAAAAAGCAGGCTATATGGCCGGGCTCGGTGGCTCACGCCTGTAATCCCAGCACTTTGGGAGGCCGAGGTGGACGGATCACGAGGTCAGGAGATAGAGACCATCCTGGCCAACATGGTGAAACCCCGTGTCTACTAAAAATACAAAAATTAGCCAGGCGTGGTGGTGTGCGCCTGTAGTCCCAGCTATTCAGGAGGCTGAGGCAGGAGAATCACTTGAACCTGGGAGGCGGAGGTTGCAGTGAGCCAAGATCGCGCCACTGCACTGCAGCCTGGGCAGCAAGAGCGAAACTCCGTCGCAAAAAAAAAAAAAAAAAAAAAAGATTCTTCGTGCACTTTGTAAACGGCACACCTGGTCCAACCAGTCCTTTGTGCCCTGTGTAAATCAGACACCACCTCCTCAAGCTTATCTATAAAATCCCATGCATTTCACAATGGAACTGGAAGACCCACTCGGCAGCGCCTCGGAGAGAGCTTTTCTCTTTCTCTCATCTATGAAACCTCCGCTGTTAAACCCAATCCTTGTTTGTCTGTGTCCTTGATTTCCTTGGCGTGAGGCAGCGAACCTCAGGTATTACCCCAAACGAATGACACTGCTTCCACTAAGTGACGGGTACCATGTACACCTCTGGAAAGAAAAATGATGAAAGAAAACACAACCTCAGATCCACAAATAAACGTAAAATTACCTACATGAGATGCACTCATGTAGAAAGAGCACAGGATGGTCTCTTGTGGGGCTCACGCTCTGACCCCCCTAACCCTCACTCTCCACTCTCCATCTCACTGGTCTCTCAAGTCCCAATTACTAAGCTCTCTGAGTCACGTGCAACCAGGCATTTCATCCTCCCAGCCTACGCTGTCTATTCTTTCCTTGCTTCCCCTTTTGAATCATGACCCAATCTTCTTCTCTTAGCTCCAAGATTCCTATTTCAGAACCCAACTTCCTAGACTAAATTCGTCTTCTATGATGTTTTTCTGGTCTTTGATTAGTTAAATATCTCTAGGCATCAGTATCACTGCCGTTTTTCTACCATGGTAAATGTAATCATTTATTTTCAAATCTTAAATTTGCCTTTTCTTTTTCTAGGATGACATGATTTATGTAAGTTTTGAATATTTTGAACCAAATCCATGAATTATATATGTTGATGATCGACTCTACTGACCTTAGTACACTGCAACCCCACTGGAAAGCACGTACACACGAGAACAGACTCACACGTGACTTGTGTTTTATTTTAATGGCTGTGTGCTTTTGTTTCCTCCTCTTATATATGTAGTCCACATGCTTTTTTCTCTTCTTGGAAGAATCACCTGGCAGGCATTCTGAAGGAAGGAGTCACAGGAATCTTCATTAATTAGAAGTGTTGTATGGCAGTCAAAGAGGTAACAGTTCTATTCATCTTCACCAGAATTCCATCCTTGATGGTCAGCACAGTTTGAGATGGATATTAAGAAATGACACTCATGCAAGGCAGATTATTGTGATGTTAAGAACGGAAGCTCACATTTATGATATGGCCGTTGTATGCCACAGAAACCAGAGCAGAAAAACAACATGGATCATCTCATTTAATTTCACTCTTCAATCCGTCCATGCAGAAAATATTTACTACTCTTATTTAGAGGTGAATTATCTGCAGCTAAGAGGGTTTACATGTCTTTCTTTTTTTTTTTTTTGATATAGAGTCTCACTCTGTCACCCAGGCTGGAGTGCAGTGGCACGATATCAGCTCCCTGCAACCTCCGCCTCCCAGGTTCAAGCAATTCTCCTGCCTCAGCCTCCCAAGTAGCTGGGACTACAGGTGCGCACCACCACGCCTGGCAATTTTTTGTATATTTAGTAGAGACGGGGTTTCACCATGTTGGCCAGGCTGGTCTCGAACTCCTGACCTCGTGATCCGCTCACCTCGGCCTCCCAAGGTGGTGGGATTACAGGCGTGAGCCACTGTGCCTGGCCACATGTCTTTCTTAAGGTCACACAATAGTAAGTTGGTGGACCAAAATTCTATTCCAGAAAATCTCCCTCAAGATTCCATTTCCTAAATTACACCTATGTATTGTACCTTGGAAGAGTGATATATCCAAAATAACTATCTTATAAGAAGAAGGAGTTTAATAATATCGACAGCTATCATTTACTGAGACTCTTATTGTACACAAAGCCACTTTTAAAACCTCACAAAGTGATACTGACAATCATATTTTTAGAAAGAAAAAAATAAACGTACACTTAGATAAAAGGTATATGTTCTTTTGATCAAGAGCAAAGTAGCATTACTATAGTTAACAACATTGTATTGCATATTTCAAAGTAACTAGAAAAGAGGACGTGAATTGTTCCCAACACATAGAAAGGATAAATACTGAAGGTGGTAGACACCTCAGATACCCTGATGTGATTATTATGTATTCTATGCATGTAAGAAAATATCACATGTCCCCCATAAATGAGTAAAACATGAGGTATCCATGAAAACTAAGGAACTGAGAATTAACTGTCACATCACCTGTGTCAGGTCACAGAAAAAAAGATTGCCTGAGTTGAAAATGCGTATCTTAATCATGATTATACACCTATTAGCATGAAGGAACTATGGAGATGTATCAAAAGACATGGCGAGTCTGCAGTTATGTGGAAGGATCCTATCAAAGAAGAAATTACTGTCCATAGGTTTGAATCAAATAATTAAAACTCAGGAGTATATGGTAAAGGAGAAAGATTACTGCTAAATTAAAGGTAGTTTGAGAAACTCCGCACGTTTCAAATGGAATTAGGCTACCAAATGGCTGAGTGAATCAGGATCTTTGGAAGGACTCCATAGAAGTTGCATCCAAGGGTGATATTGAAGAGTGATTGAATGTTGCTTTTTCCTCCTTCCCCAGTAGACACAACAGCTACATGGAAGCAGAAAACCTTACAGAATTATCAGAATTCCTCCTCTTAGGACTCTCAGATGATCCTGAACTGCAGCCCGTCCTCTTTGGGCTGTTCCTGTCCATGTACCTGGTCATGGTGCTGGGGAACCTACTCATCATCCTGGCCGTCAGCTCTGACTCCCACCTCCACAGCCCCATGTAATTCTTCCTCTCCAACTTGTCCTTTGTGGACACCTGTTTCATCTGCACCACAGTCCCCAAGATGCTAGTGAACATCCAGGCACGGAGCAAAGACATCTCCTACATGGGGTGCCTCACTCAGGTGTATTTTTAAATGATGTTTGCTGGAATGGATACTTTCCTACTGGCTGTGATAGCCTATGACCGGTTTGTGGCCATCTGCCACCCACTGCAGTACATGGTCATCATAAACCCCCATCTCTGTGGCCTCCTGGTTCTGGCATCTTGGTTCATCATTTTCTGGTTCTCCCTGGTTCATATTCTACTGATGAAGAGGCTGACCTTCTCCACAGGCACTGAGATTCCGCATTTCTTCTGTGAACTGGCTCAGGTCCTCAAGGTGGCCCGCTCTGATGCTCTCCTCATTAACATTGTCTTGTATGTGGCCATGGCACTGCTGGGTGTGTTTCCTGTAGCTGGGATCCTCTTCTCCTACTCTCAGATTGTCTCCTCCTTAATGAGAATGTCCTCCACCGAGGGCAAGTACAAAGCCTTTTCCACCTGTGGATCTCACCTCTGTGTGGTCTCCTTGTTCTATGGAACAGGACTTGGGGTCTATCTCAGTTCTGCTGTGACCCATTCTTCCCAGAGCAGCTCCATGGCCTCAGTGATGTACGCCATGGTCACCCCCATGCTGAACCCCTTCATCTACAGCCTGAGGAACAAGGATGTGAAGGGGGCCCTGGGGAGACTCCTTAGCAGGGCAGCCTCTTGTCTCTTACGGTACACAACCTCAGAACTAAGAGGATGCTATGGGTCCCTTAAGCAAATGTGAATGCGCATATCCTAGATCTTGCTCTCCCCTAAAATATATGTTGCAGTTTCCTATTTTCAAAGCACCTACGACTTTGCTTAAAATGTTTTTGTATGGCCGGGCACGGTGGCTTACACCTGTAATCGCAGCACTTTGGGAGGCAGAGGCGGGCAGATCATGAGGTCAAGAGATCGAGACCATCCTGGCCAACAGGTGAAACCCTGTCTCTACCAAAAACACAAAAATTAGCTGGGCGTGGTGGCACACGCCTGTAGTCCCAGCTGCTTTGGAGGCTGAGGCAGGAGAATCGCTTGAACCCAGGAGGCGGAGGTTTCAGTGAGCCGAGGTAGCACCACTGCACTCCAGTCTGGGTGACAGAGCGAGACTCTGTCTGAAAAAAAAGAAAAAAAAGGTTTTTGTATTAGGTTGGTGCAAAAGTCATTGCAGTTTTGCCATCAAAAGTAATGGCCAAAACTGCAATGACTTTTGCACCCACCTAATATATTTCTGCTGAAGAGCTCTCTCAGTAATTCCTTTTAAAGTTTTCTTCTCTGCACATAGTCCTTAAAGTTCCATCTTTGATCCATTTTTTTAGTGCCATTCCTGAGATTTCTAACTTGACATTATAAAACTCTTCATGTCAAATGCTGACACGCGTCCTCGAAAATGATCCATTTGAATGTTACTGTTTCATCTTAATTTGATTTTGCTCGTTATCCCTGGAAGAAATAAAATGAAATTCATAAAATATTCAAAGCAAAGTACTTACCATATCAAAACTCTGCTTACTAGTTTACATCTATAAACTATTTCATCCTAAAAACCTTTCTTTGAGTTATTTTCTCTCATTCACTCTATTTCTCAGAGGAAGAGATTGAGTTGAGGTCGGCTATATCAGGCAGTGTGACACTGCAGCCCCACTACTAACTTTGCTGACCCGAATTTCATAAAAATACTCAGGAGCTTTTCAAGTTGAAAGCTGGGATCTAGATTCACAGGCTGGTTCATTCATAAAATTCATAGAGATTAGTGCTTCGGAGTACCCTGAGCTGTTGCTTCATTCCTTGTGATTCTTGCTTTTGTCCTTCTTACTTCTCTTTTCCCTTCTATCCTTCCTCCTTTCTCCCTTCTTTATCTTAGTCTCTCCCTCCTTCCTTTCCTTGTTCCTCTAGGTTTTTTTAAAATTTATTTATTTATTTATTTATTTATTTTTGAGACGGAGTCTCGCTCTGTCCCCCAGGCTGGAGTGCAGTGGCACGATCTCGGCTCACTGCAAGCTCCGCCTCCCGGGTTCATGCCATTCTCTTGCCTCAGCCTCCTGAGTAGCTGGGACTACAGGCGCCCCCCACCACGCCTGGGTAATTTTTTGTATTTTTTTTTTAGTAGAGACGGGGTTTCACCACGTTAGCCAGGATGGTCTCGATCTCCTGACCTTGTGATCCATCCGCCTCAGCCTCCCAAAGTGCTGGGATTACAGGCATGAGCCACCGCGCCCGGCCTAGATTGTTTTATTTGTTAATGTTAATTTCCTTCGTTCCTTTTTATGGTGGAGCAATATTCCACTAGATGTGCAGACTGCAAAGTGTTTATTCACTCATCCATTGATGGACAAGGGGTGATTTCCATCTTTGGGCTACTGTAAATAGTGCTGCCATGAACATGCATGTAAATTTGTTTGTTTGGTTCTTAGTTTCCATCAGTTGGGGAAGATAACTAGCAGTGGGACTTCTGGGTCCTATGGTAATTATATGTTTAACTTTTTGAGCAAGTGACAAACTGAGTTTTATAGAAGCTGGCACATTGAACATTTCCAGCAATGTATAAAGTTCTAGTATCTCCACATCCTTGCCAATACTTTTTTAAAAAAACAACTGTAGCCAGCCAGGTGTGGTGGTTCATGCCTGTAATCCCAGCACTTTGGGAGGCTGAGGTGGGTGGATCACTTGAGGCCAGGAGTTTGAAACCAGCCTGGCCAACATGGCGAAATCCCATCTCTAATAAAACAAAAATTAACCAGGCATGGTGGCATACGCCTGTAATCCCAGCTACTTGGGAGGCAGAGGCACGAGAATGCTTGAAGCTGGGAGGCAGAGGTTGCAGTGAGCCAAGATTGCATCACTGTGACAGAGCAAGTGACAGCCTGGGTGACAGAGCAAGACTCTGTCTCAAAAAAACAAAAATAAACAAAAAAACAATGAAGTGGTGTCTCATTGTGCTCTTGATTTCCATTTTCCTAATGATTCATTGAGCATCTTTCCACATGCTTGTTGGCAGTTTGTATATCTGCTATGAATCAATGTCTTTTCACATCTTTGCTCACTTTGTAATTGTGCAGTTTGTACTTTTGTTTCTCACCTGTAAGAATTCCTCATATATTCAGAATACTCGACCCTTATCAGATATATGCTTGCCAAATATTCCCCACCCATTTGTATGTTATCTTTCCGTTTTTTGAAGTATACAATTTGTTATTAACTATATTCATCATAAAGTGTAAATAGATCTCTTAAAATCACTTCCCCTGTCTCACTGAAACTTTGTGTCTTTTGACTATGATCTACCCAATCCCCTCACTTCACAGCCTCTGGTAACCTCAATTTACTCTGTTTTTATGAGTTTGACTTGTTTTCATCTACCTGCATGTGAGTTCATGCAGTATTTGTCAAGCCGTGCGTGGTTTATTTCACTTACCAGAAAGTCCTGCAGGTTCATCCATGTGGTAGTAAGTGACAGGTTTTTCCTTCTTTGTAAAGGCTAAATAGTATTCCATTGTGCAGATAGAATACATTTCTTTATATTTCTGATGATGAGTCCTTAGGTTGATTCCATTTCTTGGCTATGGTGATGAATGCTGCCATGAAAACAGAAATGCAGATATCTCTCAACATACTGCTTTCATATAAACTCAGTAGTGGGATTGCTGGATCCTAAGGTAGTTCTATTTTCAATTTTAGAAGGAACCTTCATACTGTTTTCCATAATGCAGCACTAATTTATATTCCAACCAACAGTATGCAATGTCCCTTTTCTCCACATACCCAACATTTTTACAATTCAACTTTTTTTTTTTTTGAGATGGAGTCTTGCTCTGTTGCCCAGGCTGGAGTGCAGTGATGCAATCTTGGCTCACTGCAAGCTCCCCCTCCTTGGTTCACACCATTCTCCTTCCTCAGCCTCCCGAGTAGCTGGGACTACAGGCACCCGCCACCATGCCTGGCAAATATTTTTTGTATTTTTTAGTAGAGACGGGGCTTCACCGTGTTAGCCAGGATGGTCTTGATCTCCTGACCCCGTGATCCATCCACCTTGGCCTCCCAAAGTGCTGGGATTACAGGCTGAGCCACCGCACATGGCCAACAGTTCAACTTCTTGATAACAGCATTCTAACACGTACAAGGTGATATGTCATTGAGGTTTGAATTTGCATTCCTGAAGATTTGTGAAGCTGAGTGTTTTTTCATATACCTGTTAATTTGCATGCCTTCTTTCTAGTAATGTCTATTCAGATCCTTTGTCTATTTTCCAATCAGGTTGTTTTCTCACAATTGAGTTGCATTTCATACAGTCTTAATATTCTTTCTTTTTCTTTTTCTTTTTTTTTTTTTTTTTTTGAGTTGGAGTCTCGCTCTGTTGCCCAGGCTGGAGTGCAGTGGTGCAATCTGGGCTCACTGCAACCTCCGCCTCCCAGCTTCAAGCAATTCTCCTGTCTCAGCCTCCTGAGTAGCTGGGATTACAGGCACATGCCACAGTGCCCGGCAAATTTTTGTATTTTTAATAGAGATGGGGTTTCACCATATTGGTCAGGCTGGTCTCGAACTGACCTCAAGTGATACACCCGCCTTGGCCTCCCAAAGTGCTGGGATTACAGGCATGAGCCACTGTGCCTGGCCTGAATATTCCCTCTTGAATAGGTCGTTTTTTCTTTTTTAAAATTTAGTCGAGATGGGGTCTCCCTAGGTGGCCCAGTCTGGTCTCAAACTCCTGGGCTCAAGTGATCCTCCTGCCTTGGCCTCTCCAAAGTGCTGGGTTTACAGGCCTGAGCCACCACACCAGGCCCCCTCTTTAATTTTGCAATTGTATTCTCCCATTCCATAGGATGTCTCTTCACTCTATAGATTGTTTCTTTTGCTGTGTGGGAACTTTTTAGCCTGATGCAATCTCATTTTTCTGTTTTTGCCTTTGTTGCTTGTGTTTTGGGTTCTTATCCAAAAAATCATTGCCCAGTGTAATTTCATGGAGGATTATTCCTATGTTTTCTTTTAGTGGTTTTGCATTTTCAGGTTTACTGAGACCTGAGATGAGGAGCTAATTTCATTCCTCTGCATGTGGTTTTCCAGTTTTCCCAGCACCATTTATGGAAGAGACTGTCCTTTCCCCACTGTGTGTTCTCGGCATCTTTGTCAAAAAATGATTTGCCATAAATTCATTGATTCATTTCTGCACCACCTCTTCTGTTCCATTGTCCTTTGTATCTGTGTTTCTATTGGTACCATGCTCCATTTTCTTAACAGAACATTTTGATAGAGAAAAGTTTTAAAATTTGATGAAGTTCAATATATCTATTTTTTTGTTTTGTTACTCATGCTTTCACTGTTGTATCTAACAATCTGCTTCCAAATAAAGTGTAATCAAGATATTCCTGTATGTTTTTTTCTAAGAGTTTTATGATTTTAGCTACATTATATTTAAGCTATTGACTTTTTATTTATTTATTTATTTTGAGACACAGTCTCTCTCTGTCACCCAGGCTGGAGTGCAGAGGTGTGATCTCGGCTCTCTGCAACCTCTGCCTCCCGGGTTCAAGTGATTCTCCTGCCTCAGCCTCCCAGGTAGCTGGGATTACAGGTGCCCGCCACCACGCCTGGCTAATTTTTGTATTTTTGATGGAGATGGGGTTTCACATGTTAGTCAGGCCGGTCTTGAACTCCTGACCTCAAGTGATCCACCCGCCTCGGCCACCCAAATGCTGGGATTACAGGCATGAGCCATTGCGCCAGGCCTGTTGATCTGTTTTTTATTTGATTTGATTTTTGTACATGGCAGAAAGTAGGGTTCAATCTACTTTCCTTTGCATCGAGTTTGTTCTTGGAAGGGTTTAGTTTGTTGTGCTGTGAAACACCTTATTAATAACATCCACTTGGCAGCAGAATGTGTTAGCCTAGGGTTCAATCTGTCTAAGTGGTGGTTGTCAGAGAGATCATTGGGTTTATAAAAAGGTCACAAAGGCAAGATTATGTTTGACAGAGCCCTGCTCATGAACATTCAGTTCCTCAGCAGACCAGCCTCTTGTCCATGACAGATCAAGGTCTCAGAACTAAGTGGATGTTGTAGGTCCATTAGGCAAATGTGAATTTAAATATCCCGGCTCGACCAGGCTTGGTGGCTCATGCTTGTAATCCCAGCACTTTGGGGGCTGAGGTGGGTGGATCACTTGAGGTCACGAGTTCAAGACCAGCCTGGCCAATGTGGTGAAACCCCATCTCTGCTAAAAATGCAAAATTAGCTGGGTGTGGTGGTGGGTGCCTGTAATCTCAGCTACTTGGGAGACTGAGGCAGGAGAATTGCTTGAATCTGGGAGGTAGAGGTTGCAGTGAGCTGAGATTGCGCCATTGCATTCCAGCCTGGGCGACAGAGTGAGACTTTGTCTCAAAAACAACAACTACAAAACTAAAAGAAAACAAGAAATAAATATCCTGGCTCTTTTTCTCCTGAAAATCACATGCTTCATTTTTACTCTTCCCAAAACACTTGTGATTTGGCTTTTGCTACATGTTTTTACTTTAGGTTCTCTCAGTAACTCCCTTGGTAATTTCCTTCTAACTTTTCCGTTTTATATACAGTCTTTAAAGTTCCATCTTTGGTCCATTTTCTTAGAGCCACTCTTGAGAGTTCTCACGTGTTGTTTGAAACACTTATCATATCGAGTGCTGATATGATGACATGCTTTCCTCAAAAATTACCCATTTGCATGTTAGCACCCTTCACCTAAACTTGGTTGTGTTCTTGTTTCCTCTGGAAGAAATTGGATGAAAATCATACAATAGTCAAGGCAACGTGTTTCCCTTTTAGGATTGTGCTTGTTGCTTTACATGTATGGCTTTATTTAATCCTGAAAACATTTCTTTCTTTTTGTTTTTGTTTTGTTTTGTTTTGAGACACAGTTTCACTCTGTCACCCAGGCTGGAGTGCCATGGCGCTATCTCAGCCCACGGCAACCACCTCCCGGGTTCAAGCAATTCTTGTGTCTCAGCCTCCCAAGTAGCTGGAATTATAAGTGTGCACCACCACACCTGGCTAATTTTTTTTGTATTTTTAGTAGAGATGGGGTTTTGCCATGTTGGCCAGGCTGATCTCAAACTCCTGACCTCAAGTGATCCACCTGCCTCGGCCTCCCAAAGTGCTGGGATTATAGGCATGAGCCACCACAGTTGGCCCTGAAAACATTTCTTTGACATGTCTTTTCTCATTCACCTTGTTCCACAAAGGAAGAAGCAGATAGAGGTGAACTATAACCTGGCAACTTGACGTTGAGACCACACTCCAACTTTGCTATCCTTTATTTCATAAGAACAGTGATGTGATTTTTCACATCAAATTAGGAATGTAGATTTGTAAGCTTGTTTGTTCTGATGATTCATAGTAATGAACTGCCTAGAATAACTGAGACGTTGCTTCCTTCTTTGTGATTATTCCTTTTCTTCCCTCCCTCCCTCCTTTTTTACTTTCTTCCTTTCCTCTTCTTTCTTCCCTCATTCCCTCCTCTTTCTTCCCTCATTCCCTCCTCTTTCTTCTCTCATTCCCTCCTTCCTTCTTGTCTTTCTTTCTTTCCTTCTTTATTTGACCTTTATTTCCCATAATTGCAGTTTTATGATCTAACCCCAGATTGTAGAACATGTAATAATTATACGATAGAAAAGATTTGTTCTCTCATATAGTTTAATTTTCTTCTGAGACTTTCTGGAGATGTCTTCAGGAATGGAAGCCACAGAATGTGGACTGTGTTTGGGATGCAGTTCACCCTTTTGATGAGAACTGGTAGAACTGGGTCTGCAGTGAAGGATGGGGTAGTAGATGGTGTCAGGGTTCATCCCACATCCCTAAGACCCTCCCGCCATCTCCACACACACCATCCTGTCTGCCAATGGTCAGCATCAGCTGAGGGATCCACTTTCCCCAATGCATGGTGGCAGAAAGGTAATGAATGCTTACAATTTTATGTTGCTCTGGCATTTTTTTTTTTTTTTTTGAGCCAGTGTCTCACAGTATTGTGCAGGCTGGAGTACAGTGGCTCACTGAAATCTTGAACTCCTGGGCTCAAGTGATCCTCCTCAGTCTCCCAAGTAGCTGGGACTACAGGCATGCATCATCACACCCAGTTAGGGGGTCTCTCTATGTGACTCAGGCTTGTCTTGAAATCCTGGCCTCAAACCAGGATTGGCCACCTTGGCTTCCTGAAGCACTGGGATTGTAGGTGTGAACCACTGCACCTGGCAGGCATCTATTTTGAATACAGGCTTAGCTTTCTGATGCTAGAGGCAGGGTTCCATTGCCTTTGACACAGTTTCCAATTCCACACCACCCTCAAATGGCTCAAGCTGGTGCAATTGTTGCTCCTTGCATCATCCTTTGAAAGTGCAAGTTGTAAAAGTTTATGGATTCACCTCAGAGGGTTTATCTGAGAAGTTGCCTCAAGCAGTTAGAAGATACAGCTTCCTGATGCAACTTCAGCTGCAGAGACCAGGGAAGGAGGGGAGGCCTTAGAGGCCTGAGACTTCTGCTGGCATCCTTCTCACCAGGCTGCCTCCTCCCGGGAGAGTCCCTCCTTCAGCCCCAGTCCCTGTGCAGGAGCCTGGTTTCTGGAAAAGGCCCCACAGCCTGGTGGACACAGACCCAATTCCAGTATCAGACCCATCAGTGACCACTGTGTTGGGATTCAACAGCCTCTCCAGACTGTGATTCTCACTGGCAAAATAAAAAATCTGTCTGTCTTTATTTGATCAGGAGTACTAAGGCTCCAATGAGACAGTGTATTTGAAAAACCTTGGGAATCCACTCTCCAAAGCCTAGCAGGTTTTGTTACTATTATCCAACTCAATGTACAATTCTAAGGTAAATTGAAAAAATGTATAAATCCATTAAAAAGAAAAGTTGAAGGTCTCACATTTCCTGGTTTCCAAATAAACTACAAAGATCCAGGAATTAAAACAGTGTGGTACTATAATACATAAAGACACATATACAGAAAAATGGAAGAGTAAAGAGAGCCCAGAAAGAAACTCTCACTTATATGGTCACATGATTTTCCACATGGGTGCCAAGAACATTCATTGGGAAAAAGACAGCCTTTTCAACAAACGGTGTAGGAAAAACTTGATTTCAAAATGCAGAAGAATGAAGGTGGGTTCTTACCTTACACCATATGCAAAAGTTAACACAAAATGGATCAAAGGCCTAAACCTAAATTCCAAACCTATAAAATTCTTAAAGAAAACATTGATCAATACCTTCATGACATTGGATTTGGTAATGATTTGATCAATACCTTCATGACACTGGATTTCTTAGTGATTTCTTGAATATGTCACCAAAAGCACAGACAACAATATATAGATAACTTGGACTACATCAAAATTAAAAAACCTTTGTAACTCAAAGGATATACTATCATCAGAGTCAAAAGTTAACCCAGGGAATAGGAAAATATATCTGTAAATCATATATATATGCTTAGAGGCTAACAACCAAACAATATTAAGAACTCCTACAACTCAGCAACCAAACAAATGCCCATTAAAAATGGGCAGAAGGCCAGGTGTGGTGGCTTACACCTATAATCCCAGCACTCTGGGAGGCCAAGGCGGGCAGATCACCTGAGGTCAGGAGTTCAAGACCAGCCTGGCCAACATGGTGAAACTCCGTTTCTAGTAAAAATACAAAAAAATACAAAAAAAATTAGCGGGCGGGTGGCCTGCACCTATAGTCCCAGCTACTCAGGAGGCTGAGTCACGAGAATCGCTTGAACCCGGGTGGTGAAGTTTGCAGTGAGCCAAGATCATGCCACTGCATTCCAGCCTGGGTGACAGAGCAAGACTCCGTCTCAATAAAGAAAAAAAAAAATTGGGCAGAGGACTTGAATAGACATTTCTCTAAAGAACATATGCAAATGGCCAATGAGCATACAAAATGATACCCAGCATCACTCATCAATAGGGGCATGCAAATAAAAATCACAATGAGATACCACCCAATAGGATGGCTATTAAGAACAAACAAGCAAAAAAACCTGTCGAGTTTTGGTGAAACTGTAGGGAAGGAGGAATGCTTACACAGGGCTATGGAAATGTAAAATGGTGCAGCAGTATGAAAATCCATATGATGGTTCCTCATAAAATGAAAAATAGAACTACCATAGGATGCTGCAAGTTCACTTCTGGGTGCATACTTAAAAGGATCGAAAACAGGGATTTGAACAGATATTTGTATAACCATGTGTGGAGGAAAAGTTAAATATTAAATTCGAACTCAATTGAACATGGACACAAACAATGGTCAGCAAGTCCTCGAATGGGTCGTGTGAGCCCCTTGAGGCGTTCATCCAGCGCTGTTTCGGAGAAATCTCTATTTCAATCTATTCCTATACATTAGTTATTGAAAAACAATAGACAATCACGAAAACGAGTTGACCTTTTTGCGTTCCTTGGGCCCAGTCGTGAAGGGCCCTCGTGACTGGGCCTCATGCCAAACAACTCATTACAAAAAGAGTTAGGGTCCCAGACTGCGCCAAAGCTTCAGGAGACCTCTCCTTGTCTGTGCACGGACTGGTGGCTGACTCTGGAGCCCAGACTGTTGCTGGTGAATCCTTCATAGTCTGGTGAGTGTGTATATATATATTTTTTTTTCGCTTCGGCGACTTCCCGTTGCAATTTGCTTATTATATCAATGTGCTTTTTTTTTTTTTTTTTTTTTTTTTTTTTTATGGAGTCTTGCTCTGTCTCCCAGGCTGGAGTGCAGTGGCGCGATCTCAGCTCACTGCAACCTCCGCCTCCCAGGTTCAAGCGATTCTTCCGCTTCAGTCTCCCAAGTAGCTGGGATTACAGGCACGGGCCACCACACCCTTCTAATTTTTGTATTTTTAGTAGAGACAGGGTTTCACCGTGTTAGCCAGGATGGTCTCGATCTCCTGACCTCGTGATCTGCCTGCCTTGGCCTCCCAAAGTGCTGGGATTACAGGCATGAGCCACCGCGCCGGGCCTCAATTTGCTTATTATAGTAATTTGCTTATTATATCATTTGCTTATTATATCTACATTGCCATTTACGTGGGATAAAGCTTATTTACCCTTAAAGGTATTGTGTGTGTGTGTGTGTGTGTGTGTGTGTGTGTGTGTGTGTGTGTGTGTTTTCTTCTCCCCTTGTGCGTTTCCTGCACAGAACACCATGTTTATAGCAGCGTTATTCACAATAGCTAAATATATGGAAGCGACACAAGCGTCCACCAACAGATGACTGGAGAAACACAATGAGATCCATCCATACAATGGAATATTTTTCAGCTTTAAACAGGAAGGCACTTCTGACACATGATACAACAGGGATGAATCTAGACAACATTATGCTCAGTGAAAGAAACCAATCACCAAAGGGCAAATACAGACTGATTCTATTTATGTCAAGTATTTTGTGCAGTTAGATTTGTAGAAACAGTAATCAGAATGGTGGTTGCTAGTGGTTAGCGAGTTGAAGGAAAGGATTTTGTTTAATGGTTGCTGAGTTTTTGTTTTGTAGGATAGAAAAGTTCTGGAGATGGATGGTGAGGATGGTTGTACAACATTGTGAATCTACTTCATGCCACTGAGCTATATACTTTAAAATGATGAAAATGATAAAATGTTGTATTTACCATTTTATATAAAACCATTTATATGTATAATTTTAACATTTATATGCAATATCTTTTATATAATAAAAAGGAAAATAAAAAGTAGACAGATCTTAATAAAAAATAAATGAAAGAAGTGAATAGTACACTCAGGATTCCTCCTGAGTGGAGGAAGAGCCCAAAAGCTTCTGTGGACATTCATTTCCTCTTCTTCTTCCTCTGTTAATATGGGGCAGTCCTTAGAGACTGGGGAACATGGACCAGTTTGGCTAATGAGGAGCTCTGTGCCTTGAGCCCCCAAGGCCCTAGAATAGTAAATACTCAGCCTATGCCTCCAGCCCTGCAGTGTGAGCTTCCAGTCCAGTGGGCTCCACACCTGTCGTCTGCATCAGGAGGCTCATGTCTGACCCTGTCTTCCTGCCAGTCCTGAGGACGGAGCCTGAGCCTCCATCGTGCACCACACAGGGAGGACAGCGGACCTACTCTCCATGGTCATGGCCCAGCAGAGGGGAAGCGCAGCTCAGTGAGTGCTGAGGGACGGTTGGGAGCCTTGTTTCCTCATCCTCAGCACAAACAGGACAGTGGGGTGGCAGATGGGAGGACACCAATGTGCAAAATGTCAGCTCAGACGACTGTGGAGTTTATGTTCGGGGTTTATTTTCAGGGTTTATGTTCAGGGTTGTGTGTGTGGTCTTTCATTTCATATTGCTGCACTATTTTACATTTCCATACTCCCTTACAAGCATTCCTACTTCTCTATGGTTTCACCAAAACTTGACAGGTTGTTTTGTTCATTTGCTCTTAATAGCCATCCTATTGGGTGGTATCTCATTGTGTTTTTTATTTGCATGTCCCTGCCAATGAGTGATGTTGAATATCACTTTGTATGCTCATTGGCTGTTTGTATATGTTCTTTAGAGAAATGATTATTGAAGTCCTCTGCCCACTTTTAATGGGGTATTTGTTTTGTTGTTGAGTTGTAGGAGTTCTTGGTGTAGTTTCTTTGTTAGCCTCTTAGCATATAGATGATTTGCAAATATATTTTCCTATTCCCTGGGTTAACTTTTGACTCTGATGAAATTTTACATTCCTCCCATGCTGATTGAACTTCCCATAGACATCTCACCCAGGATAGCAAAAAGTGGGTCCCTCTAAACTGTGCCCTAAACACAACAAAAAGTTTATAAAGGTGATGTTGAGGATGAGGAGGAAGATGCCAGTCACCATGACATCATGAATTCTTACTGAGGGCTTCCTAAATGCATGGATCTCAGCTCTGTGTTTTGTATAGCTTGTTTCATTTCATCTTCATAATTTTTCCTGAGTTATAGCTGCACACATTATTATTATTATTGTACAGAGGAGGAAAGGAGCAATGCATTTTTATATAGCTCGTACCAGATCATGAGGTAGAAAGAGGTGAAGCCACATTTGCACCAGGCAGTCTAAGTCCAGACACATAGCATTTGGCCAGGCCTCTCTCTGCATCCAACCTTCCCCCCCTCGAATCCGTGTCACACCCAGCAGGTGCCCCTGCTAACTGTACCCTTCCCTTTGGGGCTTCCTGGTAGACCACAGCTAGACCAGTGGGTGCCACGTTCACTGTGTCAAGTATAGAAAGGGCAGCTGAGATCACATCAAAGATCCCAGAAAGAACTGGCACAGGATCACTCAGGGCGCATCTCTCCCTTGCCCCTGTTTCTGGCTTTCCTTGCAGCTCTCTACTTCCTCAAAGGAGAAATAAAATCAGGGTCTTGGAATCCATTTCTATTCAGGAAACCGGAAATAGTTTCAAAATGCGCTTCAGATGCACCTGTGCTTAAGACCTCTGGCCATTGCTTAAAACTTTCTGAGAGCTGGGAAACAATGAAGAAGTTTAGTGCCAGAGACTCAAAGACCAACCATTTAATTCCAAATCCTGCCCATGCCCCTGATCTGTGTGACAAGGGGTGAGATGTCTGTGTCTCTGAGGCTCAACACTATCATCTGAGTTGATTTCTGGTAGATCCCACTGCAGTGAGCAATGATTAAACAGACCGTGTGTGCTCCTGTGTGATCCCTATGTGATGGATGCATAAAGTGAAGTGTATTCTACATGTTTTCTATTAATATTCCAAGGTTAATCTCCATACCATTGAACTGAAATATCCAGGAACCTAGCTATGGTTCCCAATGTCTCTGACAGGACATTTAATTTTTGCCCTTATATAAGTAAGTACTGAGGATTGTGAGAGGAATATTTGAGTTTCTTTCAACTCTGATTTCCCAGAGCCTGTATCTTGCTTGGTACAGAGGAGACACCAAAAATTAGAATCTCTGTTACATATTGAATAGACCCTTCCTTAGTTCACAAAACTGGCTGTGATCAGTGTGACTTCAACACACTCACTGCTTTCCTATCTGTACTTTCATTCCTTCCAGGAATGTGTCACAAACTAGGCAGAAGGTAAAATAGCACTTTTTTGTGTCTATATTATGGACACATAATAATAGCATCTACAACATTCAATTACTTAAAGACCATGGCAGAGATTTTTACAGGCATAAAAAAAGAGAAAAGGATGCAGAAGGAAGTGGGGGCAGGTAAACCTTATTGTTTAGATCAAGATACATTTTAGAGTTTCACATGATTCCAGCCACAACGAAAGTAATGCCAAAGTATTTTAACATTACCTTGGCCAGGCACAGTGGCTCACACCTGTAATCCCAGCACTTTGAAAGGCAGAGGTGGGCAGATTACTTGAGGTCAGAAGTTTGAGACCAGCCTGGCCAACATGGTGAAACTCCATCTCTACTAAAAATACAAAAATCAGCTGTGCATGGTGGGGCGTGCGCCTGTAGTCCCAGCTACTCGGGAAGCTGAGGCATAAGAATCGCTTGAACCCAGGAGGCGGAGGCTGCAGTGAGCTGAGATCATGCCACTGCATTCCAGCCTGGTGACAGGCTCAAAACTTCGAGACTCAGGTCTTAAAAAAAAAAATTAAAAGCATTTTAACATTATATTAATGTTCTGTCATCCACAGGTACGTTGCACACTATCAACATCTTTGCTATCAGTGATGTCCTGGTAATTATGTGCATTTAACTAAACCTTCCTTTTAATTACTTATTGATTTAATAGTCAAGGTCTCACTCTGCCACTCTGCCTAGAGTGCGGTGGTATGATCATGGTTCAGTGCAGCCTCGAACTCCAGGGCTCAAGCGATTCTCCTGACTCAGCCTCCTGAGTAGCTGGGACTACAGGGCGGCGCCACCATGCCTGTCTAATTTTTTAGTTTTTTGTAAAGATGGGGTTTTGCTGTGTTTTCCAGGCCGGTCTTAAACTCACATCCTCAAGCAATCCTCCTGCCTTGGCCTCCCAAAGTGCTAGGATTCCAGGTGTGAGCCACCACCCTGGGCTACTTTCTTATCAAAACTCCAAGTCCACCTAAGGCAAGGACAGGAATTATAATTAAGTGAATTTTAAAAGAAAGCCCACATATTTGAGTGAGTACTTACTTCCATGAAGAATGAAAGTCAGAAAACGTAAGAATGATGGAAACCGTAGAATATAACTGGTATGTAAAGATGTTTTCTGGCTATGAACTATGAACTTTCATTGAGTTTTGAGACAACATGATCCTAGATCTCATTGAGTGTTGATAAATATCCTCAATCAATGGAATTTGTAGAATTGTATTAGAATAAAACAAGACATAGCTGACTCCTTCTTAGTATCCTTTCAATGGATTTAATCTTTTTCTTAAAGGGGCAAGAATATTTTTGTTGTATATTTTTTCCTGATAAATTAGGCTATATTTTACCGTGATCATGGATTTCTAAAATCTCTAATGTTTTTGCTCTCCTAACATTCTTCAATAGACTGTCTCTAAGTTAAGTGTATACAGAAAGAGGTGAATAACACAAAATCAATTATGAAGTAACTCTAAGGAAATTGGGTTTGTCACAACTGAGAACTATTGCTGAGGGTGTATAATCCTATGTGAAAACTTAATTTCTTAATTGCTTGTATCCAAAATATAGACACAGTGCTAGATGCTGGTTTACTTATGTCCTATTTTCCAATTCTCTTTTTTTTTTTCCTCAAAAGGTGTCCGAGCTACACAGAGCCACAGAATCTCACAGGTGTCTCAGAATTCCTCCTCCTGGGACTCTCAGAGGATCCAGAACTGCAGCCGGTCCTCGCTGGGCTGTTCCTGTCCATGTACCTGGTCACGGTGCTGGGGAACCTGCTCATCATCCTGGCTGTCAGCTCTGACTCCCACCTCCACACCCCCATGTACTTCTTCCTCTCCAACCTGTCCTTGGCTGACATCGGTTTCACCTCCACCACGGTCCCCAAGATGATTGTGGACATGCAAACTCACAGCAGAGTCATCTCCTATGAAGGCTGCCTGACTCAGATGTCTTTTTTTGTCCTTTTTGCATGTATGGATGACATGCTCCTGAGTGTGATGGCCTATGACCGGTTTGTGGCCATCTGTCACCCCCTGCACTACCGAATCATCATGAACCCACGCCTCTGTGGCTTCTTAATCTTGTTGTCTTTTTTTATTAGTCTTTTGGACTCCCAGTTGCACAATTTGATTATGTTACAGCTCACCTGCTTCAAGGATGTGGACATTTCTAATTTCTTCTGTGACCCTTCTCAACTCCTCCACCTTAGGTGTTCCGACACCTTCATCAATGAAATGGTCATATATTTCATGGGTGCCATATTTGGCTGTCTCCCTATCTCAGGGATCCTTTTCTCTTACTATAAAATTGTTTCCCCCATTCTGAGAGTTCCAACATCAGATGGGAAGTATAAAGCCTTCTCCACCTGTGGCTCTCACCTGGCAGTTGTTTGCTTATTTTATGGAACAGGGCTTGTAGGGTACCTCAGTTCAGCTGTGTTACCATCCCCCAGGAAGAGTATGGTGGCTTCAGTGATGTACACTGTGGTCACCCCCATGCTGAACCCCTTCATCTACAGCCTGAGGAACAAGGACATTCAAAGTGCCCTGTGCAGGCTGCATGGCAGAATCATCAAATCTCATCATCTCCATCCTTTTTGTTATATGGGATAGAAATGGCAGCAAAATTTAACACCTAGGCCTGCAAATTCTGCCTCCTTGGTCACATTATTTTGGTTGCTTGATGGCTTTCATTCCTCTCTGGGTTTCGTATGTGAATATTGCTTGCTTTGTTTTGTCTTTAATTGCAATGGGTGAGTATTCTGGTATCCTTTGTTCATCATACACATCATGAATGATTCCAATATACCTAGACAGCCTCCTTTAGTATCTGTGCAATGACCTTGATATCCAGGTGCAATCACAATCTTTTCTGATAGACTTGAAATCCTCACTTAACTTTGTCAAGAGGTTTTTGGAAACTGCAACTTTAAAAAAAAAGCGCAGCAGGTCCTGAAATAAGTTCATTTTGTTCAATGTTGTTTAGTTTTAATTTTGGTGAGAAATGAATAAATTGGTTTCATGGTTCATCGTTTTGCTTGAATTGTGGTTTCTAATTTTCTGTGGAGGATGTTAAGTGAGGACTTATCGTACTTCGTATTTACCTCCCTTTCTACAGTTCCTGTGTAATTTCTGTCCAAATCGCATCTAGGAAATCACTTTAGGCAGCTTACGTATGATGATGTCTATCAATGGTCCTCACATTTGGTTTTATTGAAATCACCTGGGGACCTCACAAATACTGAGGCCTGGGTGTCATTACCAAAATTTACTTGGACCTGTGTGGGTTGAGGAATTTTAAAAGCACCAGAAATAGTTCAGGTGATGATGTTTCTAAAGGGACGGAGCTACAATGGGTAAGTTACAAAAGAATGTAGCACCAGGCAACGTGATTCATTCAAATATCTTCTTAAAACGCATTATTGTTCAGCACTGTAGAAATTTACATTATGGCCGGGCGCGGTGGCTCACACCTGTAATCCCAATACTTTGGGAGGCTGAGGTGGGCAGATCGCCTGAGGTCAGGAGTTGGAGTCCAGCCTGGACAACATAGTGAAACCCCATCTTTACTAAAAATACAAAAATTAGCCAGGCATGGTGGTGCGTGCCTATAATCCCAGCTCCTCGGGAGGCTGAGGCAGGAGAATCACTTGAATCCAGGAGGCAGAGGTTGCAGTGGGCTGAGATAGTGCCATTGCACCACAGCCTGGGCTACAGAGGGAGACTCCATCTCAAAAAAAAAAAAAAAAAAAGGAAAAAAGGAAAAGAAAAAGAAAGAAAGAAATTAACATTATGTTGTTTTTTTACCACTATAATTTTTATTGTACATTTATTCAGCATATATTTATACACATACAGTTTTTTCTCCTCTTTCACTCTTGTGCATACATAGAAAGGGAAATAGAAAAGAATAACATGGTAACAGTATCACTGTAGCTTCACATTCAGAGACTAATTTTTGAAATTTGCTATAGTTTTAGTTTTTATAAACAAAATGTGATATATATATATACACACAATGGAATATAATTCAACCATAAAATGCGTCACATCCTGTCATTTGCAGCAGCGTAAATGGAAAGTGAAATAAGCCAGGCACAGAACAATAAGTATTGCATATTCTCACTCATGTGTAAGAGCTAGCATGTGAGTCCCATGGCATTAGAGAGAAGAGTGGTGGTTACCAGAGGCTGAGAAGGGTGTGTGAGTGGGTGTGGGGGATGAAGAGAGTTTGGTTAATGGACACAAACATACAATGAGATAGAAGGAATAAGTTCTAATATTTGGTAGCACAGTAGGGTAAGTATAGTTAAAAATAATTTATTATATATTTCTTTTTTTTTTGAGTTTTGCTTAGTCACCCAGGCTGGAATGCAGGGGCATGATCTCAGCTCACTGCAACCTCCACCTCCTGGGTTCAACCGATTCTCCTGCCTCAGCCTCCTGAGTAGCTGGGATTACAGGCGCCAGCCTCCACGCCCAGCTAATTTTTGTATTTTTAGTAGAGAGGACGTTTCACCCTGTTGGCCAGGCTGGTCTCAAACTCCTGACCTCAAGTGACCCATCCGCCTTGGCCTCCCGAAGTGCTGAGATTACAGGTGTGAGCCACCTTGCCCATTTCTTACATATTTCAAAATAGCCAGAAGAGATTTGAAATATTTCCAAGAAAAAGAAATTATAAATGTTTGGAGTGATGGATATTCTAAATATCCATAATTACACATTGCATGCTTATATCAAAATACCACGTGTACTCTATAAATATATGCAATTATTACATATCAATAAAAAATTGATGGCTATTTTAAATGGAACTTTTGAAAATTAAATTATAACTGTTTTAGTGTATAGAAATAGAGTTTTTTTTTTTGGCATAAAGAACTTCATGGCTGGGCGCGGTGATCATGAGGTCAAGAGATTGAGACCATCCTGGTCAACATGGTGAAACCCAATCTCTACTAAAAATACAAAAATTAGCTACACGTGGTGGTGCTTGCCTGTAATCCCAGCTACTCGGGAGGCTGAGGCAGGAGAATCACTTAGACCCGGGAGGCTGAGGTTGCAGTGAGCCGAGATCGTGCCACTGCACTCCAGCCTGAGCGACAGAGCTAGACTCCGTCTCAAACAAAACAAAACAAAACAAAAAAAACTTCATGCAGTCACGCAATATACCCATGTAACTTAAATTCAGCCTAAAGTTGTCTCCTTACGTTTTTTTTTTTTTTTTTTTTGAGACGGAGTCTCGCTCTGTCGCCCAGGCTGGAGGACAGTGGCCCGATCTCCGCCCACTGCAAGCTCCGCCTCTCCGGTTCACACCATTCTCCTGCCTCAGCCTCCCGAGTAGCTGGGACTACAGGCGCCTGCCACCACGCCCGGCTAATTTTTTGTATTTTTAGTAGAGACGGGGTTTCACCGTGTTAGCCAGGATGGTCTCGATCTCCTAACCTCGCGATCCGCCCACCTTGACCTCCCAAAGTGCTGGGATTACAGGCGTGAGCCACCGCGCCCTGCCCTCCTTACGTATTTTAAGTTCAGCCTGAAAGTTTCTCCATGCATATGAACTGTAACCTACCTGGATGTTTAAACAGATTGTACCCTATGCCTGAGCCAATTACCTGTTTTTGAGCCATCAAAGCTGGCCAGCCTTTCAAACCGTATTCAAATTCGTCGAACGCCGAGAGGTAACCCATCCAGCTGTTTGTGTACTTCACTTCCATTCTTTTGTACGTCACTTTTCTTTTTCTGTCCATAAATTTTCTTCCCCTAAATGGCTGTACTGGAGCCTCTCTGAACCTATTCTGGTTGGGGGTTACCCGATTTGCGAATCGGTATTTGCTCAATTAAACTCTATTAAATTTGACCCGGCGTGGGGGCTCATGCCTGTAATCCCAGCGCTTTGGGAGGCCAAGGCGGGTGGATCACTTGAGGTCAGGAGTTCAAGACCAGCCTGGCCAACATGGTGAATCCCCGTCTCTACTAAAAATACAAAAAAAAAAAAATTAGCCGGATGTGGTGGTGGGCACCTGTAATCCCAGCTACTCAGGAGGCTGAGGCAGGGGAATCGCTTGAACTCAGGAGGTGGAGTTTGCAGTGAGCCGAGATGACAGACACCACTGCACTCCAGCCTGGGGGACGAAACCAGACTCTGTCTCAAAAAAAGAATAAAAAATAAAACAAAAAAACCCCTCTATTAAATTTAATTTGTCTAAGGCTTTTCTTGTAACACAACAAAACTGCACATGTACTTTCTGAATCTAAAATAAAATAAAATGGCCGGGCATGGTGGCTCACGCCTGTAATCCCAGCACTTTGGGAGGCTGAGGCAGGCAGACCACTTGAGGTCAGGAGTTCGAGACCAGCCTGGTCAACAGCTCCTAATGTCACAGGGGTGTACACACTGTAATATTATTCACAATATCCTAAAGGGATGTTACTACTAATGTCACAATGCATGTTCACCCTATGATATTATCTGTAATATCCTAGGGGGATGTTACTGCTAATGTCACAGGGGGTGTATACCTTGTAATATTATTTGTAATATCCTAGAAAAATGTTACTCCTCATGTCACAGGGGGTATACACTCTATGATATTATTCATAATATCCTAGGGCGACATTGCTCCTGTTGTCACAGTGGGTGTACGCCCCGTGATATTACTCATAATATCCCAGGAAAATGTTACTCCTAATATCACTTAGGGGGTGTACGCAATGTCACAGGGGATGTACACCATGTGTACTCCTAATGTTACTTCTAATGTCACTTGGGGTGTACAGAATGTCACAGGGGGTGTACTCCTAATGTCATAGGCAATGTACTCCTAATGTCATAGGGAATGTACTCCTAATGTCACAGGGGGTGTACACAATGTCACAGGGGGTGTAAATTGTCACAGGGTGTGTACATTGTCACAGGCGGTGTACACAATGTCACAGGGTGTGTACACCATGTGTACACAATATCACAGGGAGTGTACACCATGTGTACACCATGTCGCAGGGACTGTATACCATGTGTGCACACTCCCTGTGATATTATTCATAATATTCTATGGGGATGTTACTTCTAATATTAAATGTGATATTCACCATCACTATTCTAGAAGGATGTTACTTCTAACATCACAGGGTGTGTACACCATATGTGTACACACCCTGTGATATTACACATAATATCTTAGAGGGATGCTTCTTTTAATTTCACAGGGTGTGCACACCATGTGTACACACCCTGTGATATTATTCATAATAGCCTAGGGGGATGTTACTCCTAATGTCACAAAGGAAGTATCCCATTTATGTACAAGTCCTGTGATATTATTCCTAATATCCTAGGGGGATGTTGCTTCTAATATCACATGGAGTGTACAGCATCTGCGTACACCTTCTGTGATATTATTCATAATATCCTATAGGGATGTTACCCCTAATGACATAAAATGTGTACACCATGTGTGTAAACCACCTGTGATATTACTCATAATATTCTAGTGGGATATTAATTTTAATGTACACAAAGGGTGTACAAAATGTCACTGGCTGTACATCTTGTGATATTATTTGTAATATCTTAAAAGGATGTTACTCCTAATGTCACAGGTGGTGTAAATTCCTTGGTATTATTTGTAATCTCCTAGGAAGATATTACTTCCAACATCACAGTAGAAGTATGTACATGGTACACCCTCTGAATTGTTTGTAATATCTTAGGGAGATATAATTCCTAATATCACAGTGGGTGTACCCCATGTGTGTATACCCTGTGATATTATTCATAATCTCCAGGGTAAATATTACTTGTAATATAACAGAGAGTGTACACTCTGTGATACTGTTCATAATATTTTAGGAACATATTGCTTCTAATATCACAGTGGGTATACACAATGTGTGTACACTCTATTATAATATTCCTTATATTTTAGGAATATAAATGTCACAGTGGCTGCACACGATATTATTCATAATATCCTTGGAGTGTGTTACTATTAATATCACAGTGGTTGTACACTCTGTGATATTATTCTTTTTATACTAGGGGGATGTTACTCCTAATGTCACAGGGGGTGTACGCCCTGTGATATTATTTGTAATATCCTATTGGAATGTTACTACTAATGTCACAATGCATGTACACCCTGTGATATTAGTTGTAATATCCTAGGGGGATGTTACTCCTAATGTCACAGGTTGTGCTTGCCCTGTGATATTATTTGTAATATTCTAGGCGTATGTTACTCCTAATGTCATAGTGGGTGTACACTCTTTAATATTATTCATAATATCCTACGGGGATGTTACTCCGAATGTCACAGAGTGTGTACACCCTGTGATATTATTTGTAATATCCTAGGAAGATGTTAATCCTAATGTCACAGGGGGTGTACACCATGTCTGTAAACCTTCTGTAATATTCTACAGGGATGTTACTCATAATATTACAGGGGGTGTTCACCATGTGTGTACACCCCCTATGATATTATTCATAATATCCTAGAAGGATGTTACACCTGATGTCACAGGGGGTAAACACCATGTGTGTACACACCCTGTGATATTATTCATAATATCTTAGGGGGATGTTACTCCTAATTTTACAGAATGTGTAAACCATGTGTATCCACCTCCTGTGATATTATTTGTAATATCCTAGGGGGGTGTTACTTCTACTGTCACAGGGTGAGTACATCATGTGTGTACAACCACTGTGATATTATTTTTAATATCCTAGGGGGATATTGTTCCTAATGTCACATGGAATGTGCACCATGTGTCTACACCTTCTGTAATATTATTCGTAATATCCTAGGAAGATGTTAATCTTTATGCCACAGGGGGTGTACACCATGTGTGTATACCCCTTGTGTTATTATTTCCAATATCCTAGTGGGATGTTACTTTTAATGTCACAAAGGGTGTACACCTTGTGATATTACTCATAATATCCTAGAAAAACGTTACTCTTAATGTTACAGGAAGTGTAACCCTTTGAAATTATTCATAATATTCTAGGGTGATATTACTTTAAATATCACAGCGGGTGTACATACACCATGTGTCTACACCCTTGATATTATTCATAATATCCAGGGTACATATTTTTTCTAATATCAATGAGGGTGTACACCCTGTGATATTTTTCATAATATTTTAGGGAGATATTGCTTCTAATATCACTGTGAGGATACACCATGTGTGTACACTCTCTGATATTATTCCGTATGTCCTAGAAAGATATTACTCCTGATATCACAGTGAGTGTACCCCATGTGTGTCCACCCTGTGATATTATTCATAATATCAAGAGTAAACATTACATCTAATATCACAGAGAGTGTGGACCCTGTGATATTTCTCAAAATATTGTAGGGAGATACTGCTTCTAATATCACAGTGGGTACACACCATATGTGTTCATTCTGTGATATTATTCCTTATATCCTAGGGAGATATTACTCCTAATATCACAGAGGGTGTACACCCAGCGACATTATTCGTAATATCCTAGGAGGATGTTACTCCTAAGGTCACAGTGGGTATACACCCTGTGATATTATTCATAATATTCTAGGAAGATGTTACTTTTAAAGTCACAGGGCATGTACACCCTTTGATATCATTCGTAATATCCTAGGCAGATATAACTCCTAATATTATAGCGGGTGTACCCCATGTGTGTACACCCTTGATATTACTCATAATATCCAGGGTAAATATTCATTCTAATATCACAGAGGGTGTACATCCTGTGATATTTTTCATAATATTTTTGGAGATATTGCTTCTAATATCGCAGTGGGTGTACCCCATGTGCGTACACTCTGTGGTATTATTTTTTATATCCTAGGGAGATATTACCCCTAATATCACAGTGGGTGTGAGAGGTTACAGCGTGCTGGCAGTCCTCACAGCCCTCGCTCGCTCTCAGCGACTCCTCTGCCTGGGCTTCCACTTTGGCGGCACTTGAGGAGCCCTTCAGCCCACCGCTGCACTGTGGGAGCCCCTTTCTGGGCTGGCCAAGGCGGGAGCCGGCTCCCTCAGCTTGGTGGGAAGTGTGGAGGGAAAGGCGCGAGCGGGAACCGGGGCTGCGCGCGGCGCTTGCGGGCCCGCTGGAGTTCCGGGTGGGCGTGGCCTTGGCGGGCCCCGCACTCGGAGCAGCAGGCCGGCCTGCCGGCCCTGGGCAATGAGGGGCTTAGCACCCGGGCCAGCGGCTGTGGAGGGTGTACTGGGTCCCCCAGCAGTGCCAGCCCGCCGGCGCTGCGCTCGATTTCTCACCGGGCCTTAGCTGCCTTCCCGCGGGGCAGGGCTCGGGACCTGCAGCCCGCCATGCCTGAGCCTCCCACCCACTCCATGGGCTCCTGTGCGGCCGGAGCCTCCCCAATGAGCGCTGTCCCCTGCTCCACGGCGCCCAGTCCCATCGACCACCCAAGGGCTGAGGAGTGCGGGCGCACAGCGCAGGACTGGCAGGCAGCTCCACCTGCAGCCCCGGTGCAGGATCCACTGGGTGAAGCCAGCTGGGCTCCTGAGTCTGGTGGGGACGTGGAGAACCTCTATGTCTAGCTCAGGGATCGTAAATACACCAGTCAGCACACTGTGTCTAGCTCAGGGTTTTCGAATACACCAACGGACACTCTATATCTGACTACTCTGGTGGGGCCTTGGAGAACCTTTGTGTTGACACTCTGTATCTAGCTAATCTGGTGGGGACGTGGAGAAACTTTGTGTCTAGCTCAGGGATTGTAAAGGCACCAATCAGTGCCCTGTCAAAACAGACCACTCGGCTCTACCAATCAGCAAGATGTGGGTGGGGCCAGATGAGAGAATAAAAGCAGGCTGCCCGAGCCAGCAGTAGCAACCCTTTCCGGTCCTCTTCCAAACTGTGGGAGTTTTGTTCTTTCGCTCTTTGGGTACACACTGCTTTTATGAGCTGTAACACTCACCGCGAAGGTCTGCAGCTTCACTCCTGAAGCCAGGGAGACCAGAGCCCACCGGGAGGAACGAACAACTCCAGACGCGCTGCCTTAAGAGCTGTAACACTCACCGCGAGGGTCCGCGGCTTCATTCTTGAAGTCAGTGAGACCAAGAACCCACCAATTCCGGACACAGGTGTACATCCTTTTATATTATTCGTATTTGACCTTGCTGCCTTTTCTTTTCTTTTCTTTTTTTTTTTTTTGAGATGGAGTCTTGCTCTATCGCACAGGCTGGAGTGCAGTGGCGCGATTTTGGCTTACTGCAAGCTCCGCCTCCCGGATTCACGCCATTCTCCTGCCTCAGCCTCCCGAGTAGCTGGGGTTACAGGCGCCCACCAACATACCCGGCTAATTTTTTTGTATTTTTAGTAGAGACAGGGTTTCACCGTGTTAGCCAGGATGGTCTCGATCATCCTGACCTCGTGATCCGCCCACTTCGGCCTCCCAAAGTGCTGGGATTACAGGTGTGAGCCACTGCGCCCGGCCCCTTGCTGCCTTTTCTAACTCACACTACGGAAGGAATGGAACAGATAATAAGAAAATGAGATTAGACTATTCTGCAGTGCAGCTGCCGCAGGGCACTTTTAATTTCCCTGTTAGGCTGTAGATGAAGGGGTTCAGCATGGGAGTAACCACCGTGTACATCACTGAGGCCACTGCACCTTTTCTGGGATAAGAGGACATGTCTGAACTGAGGTCCCCTCCAAAGCCTGTTCCATAAAATAAGCAAACAACTGACAGGTGAGAGCCACAGGTGGAGAAGGCTTTATACTTCCCACCTGATGATGAAACCCTCAGAATGGAGGAAACAATTTTATAGTAAGAGAAAAGGTCCCCGAAATGGGAAGAAAACCAAATATGGCAGCAAGGAAATACATGACTATGTCATTGGTGAAGGTGTCACAACAGGCAAGGGTGGGGGAGTTGAGAAGGGTCACAGAAGAAATTGGGAATTTCCACATCCTTGAAGCAGGTAATTTGTAAGGCAATCCAATTGTGCAGCTGGGAGTCTAAAAGACTGAGAAAAAAAGACAACAAAACTAGGAAGCCACAGAAACATGGGTTCATGATGACTGGATAATCCAGAGGGTGACAGATGTCCACAAACCGGTCATAAGCCATCACACTCAGAAGCATGTCTTCCATGCATCCAAAAACGGCAAAAAGAGATACCTGAGTCAGGCAGCCCGCATAGGAGATGACTCTGCTGTGAGACTGGATGTCCACAATCATCTTGGAGACTATGGTGGAGGGGAAACCGATGCCAGCCAAGGACAGGTTGGAGAGGAATCTGGCTATTTCCCGGTTTCCATTTAATATTGGAGTTACAGAGAATGTCTTAATTCACTTCTATTAGCCCTTGCATTGGATTGGCCTTTAATGTGCCAGAGACTTATGTTTGATGCTTGTTTCAGTGACTCTCCGGGTCTAAGTATTTTGTCCAAATGAATATACAATGGTATATTCCTTACTTATTGAACTTTAGTTATTTGATAACTGATACATCACTGAAATACAAGACATTCTCAGAAGGTGGCAATTAACGTGTTGACCAGGGTGGCAGTCATCTGAAGGCTGGAAGGTAGAGGATCAACTTCCAACCTCACTCACAAGGTTGTTACCAGGATTCGGTTGCTCTGAAACATTAGACAGAAAATTCCCTCAATTTCTTGCATTAAGGGTCTCTGCATAAAGCAGCTGACCACATGGCATTTGGCTTCCATCAATGCAAAGCAAGATGGGGCAGCAAAATAAAAGCTGAGGTCCTTCGTTCTATTCTCAGAGTGACATCACATCACTTCTTCCACACTCTCGTAGTTGGGAATCAGTCACCAGGTGCATCTCACACTAAATAGGAGCAGATTGCCCAAGGGTATGAAAACCAGGAGGTGGGATGTCCTTGGGAACATCTCAGATGCTGCTCATCACACAGGCCCCATTTTCTGCCAGGACTTTGGGCTCCAAGGACATCAAGAACCAGGTCTGTTTCCTCTGTTTTCTTTTTCTTTCTTTTTTTCTTTTTGTGAGATGGAGTCTTGCTCTGTCACCCAGGCTGAAGTGCAGTGGCACAATCGGCTCACTGCAACCTCTGCCTCCTGGGTTCAAGCCATTCTCCTGCCTCAGCTTCCCCAGTAACTGGAATTACAGGTGTGCACCACCACGCCCAGCTAATTTTTGTATTTTAGTAGAAATGGGGTTTCACATGTTGGACAGGCTGATCTTGAACTCCTGACCTCGTGATCCGCCCACCTTGGCCTCCCAAAGTGCTGGGAATACAGGCGTGAGCCACCGCGCCCGGCCCTCAGTTTCCTCTGTTTTCTAGCATAGGATCCAACACACCACAATATCTCAACATGATTCAGTGGAGACGGAGAACTTCCTCTGTGCTGGGTCCTTCTGTGGACCCCACCATACTGCTCCTGGACATGCAGTGCAATGTAGCCCCCTTCTGTAGCTGAATTTAGGCAATGTCCAGGGGTTTTGATTTCTGCTCACTTGAAAGGCTGAAGTAGCTTCAGAATATAAGTTTCTTTTATTTATTTACTTTTTAAGATGAAGTCTCACTCTGTCACCCAGGCTGGAGTGCAGAGGCATGATCTCAGCTCACTGTAACCTCTGCCTATGGGGTTCAAGCCATTCTCCTGCCTCAGCCTCCCACATAGCTGAAACTACAGGTATGTGCCACAACGCCCGGCTAATTTTTGTATTTTTAGTAGAGATGGGGTTTCACCATCTTGGCCAGGCTGGTCTCAATCTCCTTAACTCGGGTGATTCACCCAACTAGGCCTCCCAAAATGCTGGCATTACAGTCATGAGTCACTGCACCCGGTCCAGAATATAGCTTCTATAGTATCATTGTGTGTTCCCAGCTCTTGAGCACTCTAATAAAAGGTGTTTTCTGGCTGCCTGGGTTTTTTCTAATAGATCACGTGAGATGCACGTGAAGAGTGGTCTGTTGCCATCTTCTGCATTTTATCAATGGAGCTCCCTGGCTGAGAAATATCTACTCTAAAGAAATGAGATTTATGGCCTGGCGCGATGGCTCATGCCTGTAGTCCCAGCACTTTGGGAGGCCAAGGCAGGCGGATCGTCTGCGATCAGGAGTTCGAGATCAGCCTGGCCAACGTAGTAAAACCCCGTCTCTACTAAATATACAAAAAAAAAAAAATTAGCCAGGCATGATTGTGGTCGACTGAAGTCCCAACTATTTGAGAGGCTGAGGCAGGAGAATCCCTTGAACCCCGGAGGCGGAGGTTGCAGTAAGTCGAGATCGCACCACTGCACTCCAGCCTGGGCGACAGAGTGAGACTCCGAAAAAAAAAAAAAAAGAAATGAGATTTGTCTTTAGTGGACATAAAGAACACTTTCATATACACCAGATGAAATTGGATATGGATGAAAGGATGTTATTGACCTGTGGTGTGTAAATAAATGACAGTGTTTTTGAGGGAGACCAGATGGCAGGTGTATAGAGGTAAATAGGGAAAGAAGTCTATGATTTGAGACACATAGAATGACAGCACATTGGAAAAAAGAATATACTTATTTTTTGAGACAGAATCTTCCTCTGTCACCCAGGCTGGAGTGCAATGGTACAATCACAGCTCAGTGTCACCTCGAACTCCTGGGCTCAAGCAATCCTCCAAACTTCACCCTCTAGAATAGCTAGGACTACAGGAATGTGCCACCACACCCAGCTAATTTTTTATTTATTTTTATTTATTTTATTGAGATAGAGTCTCTCTCTGTTGCCCAGGCTGGAGTGCAGTGGCACGATCCCGGCTCACTGCAACCTCCGCCTCCCAGGTTCAAGCGATTCTCCTGCCTCAGCCTCCTGAGTAGCTGGGACTACAGGCGTGTACCCCCATGCCCAGCTAATTTTTGTGTTTTTAGTAGCGACATGGCCAGGCTGGTCTCCAACTCTTGGCCTCAAGTGATCCACCCACCTTGGCCTTCTAAAGTACTGGGATTACAGGCGTGAGCCACTGCACCTAGCTTGTAATACTGTTCTTGCCAGTACATTTGACTATATCCCCTCAAACAGCCTCTCAGTTAAGCAATTATCGCTCTACAGATAAAATATTAATCATTCGATAGAAATATGGTTTATATCATACCCTGAGCCATGCAGCTTATAACATCATTACTAATATATTCTGGAAATATGCACATAAAATTAAATTCTTTAAATGTGATACTAGAAGCTACCATTTGATGGGAAACTACTCTGACTGGTTCATGACACAAGATATACAATCGGCTGGGCACAGTGCCTCACGCCTGTAATCCCAGCACTTTGGGAGGCCAAGGCGGGTGGATCATGAGGTCAGGAGTTCAATACCAGCCTGGCCAGGATGGTGAAACCCCATCTCTATTAAAAATACAAAAAAATTAACTAGGAGTGGTGGTGTAATCCCAGCTACTCGGGAGGCTGAGGCAGAGAGTTGCTTGAACCCGGGAGGCAGAGGTTGCAGTGAGTCGAGATCATGCCACTGCACTCCAGCCTGGGTGACAGAGGAAGACTCCATCTCAAAAAAAATAAAAATAAAATAAAATAATAATAATAAAAAGATATGCAATCATTGCATGGCCTTGGGGGAAAAAAAGGCTATTGCACTTACTTTGCTGCAGAGAAATCTGAGGCTCAGAAAGGAGCTGTGAGTTGTGATATCACCAGGACACCAGTGTCATTGCTCAGACACTCCTAGACACAAGGACGCTGTTGAGGTATATGGGATCCGCTTGTGATGTTTATGATGAACAAATGATACCAGAATACTCACCCGTTCCAACTAAAGACCCAAAAAAGGAAGCAATATTCATACATGAAACATGGAGAGAAACGAAAGCAAACAAGCAACAAAAATAATGTGACCAAAGAGACAGAATTTGCAAATAGACATGTTTGATTTTGCAATATATTTCAGCCCCCACTACAGAAAGGATGGAACAGATAATGAGATTAGACTGTTCTGCTGTGCAGCCTCCACAGGGCACTTTTAATGTCCCTGTTTCTCAGGCTGTAGATGAAGGGGTTCAGCATAGGGATGACCACAGTGTACATCACTGAGGTGACCGCACCCTTCCTGGGGAAAGAGGACGCAGCTGAACTGAGGTAGGCTCCAAGTCCTGTTCCATAAAATAAGCAAACAACTGCCAGGTGAGAGCCACATGTGGAGAAGGCTTTATACTTCCCATCTGATGATGGAATTCTTAGAATGGAGGAGACAATTTTATAGTAAGACAAAAGGATCCCTGAGATGGGAAGAAAACCAAATATAACACTATCTAAATACATGAATATGTTATTGATGACACTGTCAGAACAGGCAAGGTTGAGAAGTTGAGATGGCTCACAGAAAAAATTAAAGATTTCCACATTCTTGAAGCAGGTGAATTGTAACACAATCTGATTGTGCAGCTGGGAGTTCAACAGGCTAAGAATAAAAGACACCAAAACTAAGAAGACACAGAGATGGGGATTCATGATGACTGGGTAGCGTAGGGGGTGACAAATGGCCACAAACTGGTCATAGGCCATCACAGTCAGGACCATGTCATTCATACACACAAAATAGATAAAGACATCTGCATCAGGCAGCCCTCATAGGAGATGATTCTGCTGTGAGATTGCATATCAACAATCATCTTAGGGATGGTGGCAGAGGTGAGTCCGATGTCAGCCAAGGACAAGTTGGAGAGGAAGAAGTACATGGGGGTGTGGAGGTGGGAGTCACAGCTGACGGCCAGGATGATGAGCAGGTTCCCCAGCACCGTGATCAGGTACATGGACAGGAACAGCCCAACGAGGACGGGCTGCAGTTCTGGATCCTCTGAGAGTCCCAGGAAGAGAAATTCTAAGACACCTGTGAGATTCTGCGAGTCTGTGTAACTTGGACACCTTGAGAAGAAAAGAGGGTTGAAAAAATAAAAGACATAAATCAGCACTTACTGCTGTGTGCATATTTTGGATACAAGCAATTCACAAGTAACATTTTCACACTTGAAGACCATACACCCTCAGCAATATTTCTCCATTGTGAGAAACCCAAAAATCTCAGAATTATTACATGATTTACTTTTTTGCTATTCAACTCTTTCTGTATATACCTACTTCAGAGAAAATCCACTGAAGAATGTTAAAAGATCAAGGACGTAATATATAACAAATCCATGATTGCAATAAAACATGGCCTAGTCTTTTCAGAAAAAAAAAATAAGAAATGTACTTTTCTAAGAAAAAAAAAGCCCAATTTAATTAAAAGAAATTAAGAAGCAGTGAAATATAATTCATTTTATTCTGACACTGTGCTACAAACTCCTTGGATGTAGAATATTTATAAACACTATACAAGAGCTAGGAGCACATTATCTAGAAACTAAAACAGACCTGCTAGTTCATAATCAGAAGACCTTTTTACATGCCAATTACTTTTCATATTTTTTATCATTCTTAGGTTTTCTGACATCATTTCTTCACACAAGTAAATGCACACTCAAATATAGGAGCTATGTTTCCAAATTTATTTAATATATAGCTCTTGTCCTTGGCTCATGTTTTCTTTGGGTTTTGATAAGAAAGCTTTGTTGCACATAATCATAGGCCTTCAGCAACCACACAGCTATCGATAATGTGTAATGCATGTGTCATCACTAAATAATAATGAAGTTTAATAACATTTTCTCTTTATTTTATTTTAGCCTGGAATGATGCGAAACTCAAAATTGTGTCTAAGCACGAGAATCAGGTCTACCTGCCCTCTTCTCTTTGTGCCTTTCTTCATTCTGATATAGCTACAAAAATCTCTGCGATGGTATTTAGGTACTTGAACATTGCAGATGCTATTAAATGGAATTCTAAGGTCCCTGTGTCTGTGACATAGACATAAACAGGTGTTATCTTGTATCTCATTTTATTAGACATTCCTAAAGGGATGAGGGGACAGACAAGAAACCACCAACTGTGTTGAGGTCACACTAATCACAGCCAATTTTTTGTGATCCAAGGAAGGGCCTATCCAGTATTTAACGGGGAACTTTATTTTTGATGCCTCCTTTGGGACTGGCAAGATATAGGCTCTGGGGGATCAGAAACGAAAGAGATGCAAACATTCCTCTCATAATACTCAGCACTTACTTAGATAGGTGCAAATGTCAAATGTCCTGTCAGGGATGTAGGGAACTGTAACTTCAGGCCAGAGGACATTTCAGTTCAATTGTATGAAGATTAAGCTTAAAATAGTAATAAGAATATCAAAATTCACTTTGGTTTTATGTATCCATCACATAGAGATCAGCAGAGAACACCCATGATCTGTTGAATCATCACTCACTGTAGTTGGGTCAACTAGAAATCAGCTCAGATGATAGTGCTGAGTCTCAGAGACACAGAGATCTCACCCCGTGTCACAGAGTTCAGGGAAATGGGCAGATTCAAAACTAAATGGTCCGTCTCTGAGGCCCAGGCACTACCCTTCTTCATTATTGTTCAGCTCTCAGAAAGTCTTAAGCAGAGGTGGGAGGTCTTAACTACAGGCACTTCTGGGGTGCATTTAGAAACGAGTTCCAGCTTCCTGAATAGAAATGGAGCCAAGACCCTGATTTTATGTCTCCTTTGAGGAGGTGGAGAGCTGCAAGGAAAGCCAGGAACGGGGGAAAGGGAGAGATGCACCCTGAATGATCCTGTGCCAGTTCTTTCTGGGATCTTTGATGTGATCTCAGCTGCCCTTTCTATACGTGATACTATGAATGTAGCACCCTCTAGTCTAGCTGTGGTCTACCAGGAACCCCCCAAGGGAAGGGCACAGTGAGCAAGGGCATCTGCCAGGACTGACAGGGATTTGAGAGGGCAGGTTGGACTCAGAGAGAGGCCTGGCCCAATGCCATGTGTCTGGACTTAGACGGCTCCTTTCCTATTCTATAATTAAGAATAATGCGGCAGGTATAATTCAGGGAAGACTAAGCAGATGAAAGAGAACAGGCTTCATAGAACATCAAGAAGTCCTCAGTAAAAGTTCATGATAGCCTGGTGACCATCGTCTTCCTCCTCATCCTCATCATCACCTTCATAATCCTTTTGGCATGCTTAGGGAACACGCTATTACGAGTGAGATGTCTTTGGGAAGTTGAACCAGTGTGGAAGAAAAGTTAAACTTTGAATGAGATTTCTGAGACCAATCACAACCCAGAACATAAACTCCACGGTCGTCTGAGCTGACATTTTGCACGTGGGTTTCCTCCCATCTGCCACCCCACTGTCCTGTTTGTCCTGAGGATGAGGAAACAAGGCTCCCGACCATCCCTCAGCACTCACTGAGCTGCGCTTCCCCTCTGCTGGGCCATGACCACGGAGAGCAGGTCCGCCGTCCTCCCTGTGTGGTGCACGATGGAGGCTCAGGCTCCGTCCTCAGGACTGGCAGGAAGACAGGGTCAGACATGAGCCTCCTGATGCAGACGACAGGTGTGGAGCCCACTGGACTGGAAGCTCACACTGCAGGGCTGGAGGCACAGGCTGAGTATTTACTGTCCTATGGCCTTGGGGGCTCAAGGCACAGAGCTCCTCATTAGCCAAACTGGCCCAAGTTCCCCAGTCTTTAAGGACTTCCTCATTAATGCAAGATAAAGCAGAAAAAATGAACGTCCCCAGGAACTTTTGGGCTCTTCCTCTAATGAGGAGAAAGCTTGTGTTCATCGTTCACTTCTTTCATTTCTTTTTCTTTTTCAAGGATGCATCTTTTTTAAGTTTTCATATTTTTATCCTGGCAAAATGTACCACATTCAATATAAAAATTATAAATATAGGTTTATACAAAATGGTAAGTAACATTTTACCATTTATCCTCTTCAAAATGGTAACCAATACCATTTTAACCACTTTTCACTGTACAGTTTGCTGGCATTAAGTACATCCACAGTGTTGTGCAACCACCACCGTCATGCATCAATATATTTCTCTTTCAGAACAGAAACTCCTGACTGCAAGCAATCCACCCAGCTTGGCTTCCCGAAGTGCTGGCATTACAGGCGTGAGCCACTGCACCCGGCCATTCTGTATGCTCATTGTCTATTTGTTTATCTTCTTTAGAGAAATGTCTATTCTAGTCCTCTTGATGGAGCAGTTAACTCCCATTAATATCAAGCAATGGATTGTTCAATACTTCATTATGCAAAAATAAATAATAGGTTTTTTTTTATTTTAAAACATCAAGCAACAGGGCCACAGAGTGGCAGTTAAAAAAAAAAAAAGCTACTGTTGTTTCAACCTTCAATCGGAACACAGAGATCCCCATATTCTTGTCATCAGAAGCTACTCATGGAGTCCAGCCCACACTCAAGAAGAGGAGATGACACTCGGGCATGAAAACTAGGAGGGAGGGACCCTTGGAAGGGTCTTAGGAGCCACCCGCAGGCTTCATCTTCTATCAGGGTTTTGTACTCTAAGCACAGCAACACTCTGCAGATATCCAGCATAATTCCCAATTCATCACACCACTATGATCACAACCAAAAAATTCCAAAAAAAAAAAAATGTCTGGAAGGAAAAACTGGCACTTGGGCAGAACTTCTTCTACATTGAGTACCCACCTGACCAAGCAGTGCACAGAAGCCTCCCTGGATTCTCTTACCCCTGTAGAGTCCTGCCATTGACATCAGGCCAACCAGCAGCCACTCTATGCCTGAGAACAACAAATCTCCCCTGCAGCTTCCGATTTCCACTCAGTTATCAAGGGATCATCTTGCCGGTCCACAATGTGTCATCATTGTTTTTCTTTGTGTTTACAGCTTGGGGACTGCCCTTCCCATTAGTGCATTTCCCTGACATTGCCCAAGATATTATGGGTATTTCAAGTTTCAAGATTTCAGTAATGCACCGCATAAGGATGTTTCAATGACCAGACTACATACACAGTGGTGGTTCCGTAAGATTTTAAGGGAGCTGAAAAATCCCTATAGCCTAGTGATGTCTTAGCCATTGTGGCATCATAATGATAGCAGTGGCTGCTGCCATCAGGCCAGCTGCAGCAGAGAAGGGGCAGCTGGGGCTGCAAACTCCATGGAGCCAGAGGGAGCCCCGCCCACCCCTTATGAGCTGGAGCTGGAGCTCCCCAGGTGCTGTTGCAGCCGCCCAATCCATGGATGCAGACCCAGGCCTCCGGCTCCACAGAGCAGGCAGGAGCCTGTGCTCTCCTGGGTGGGGCTACAGCTGCCCCATCTGGCTGTGGTTCCGAGCCTCCCTGTGCTCTTGGAGGCGGGCAGGAGCAGACAGGATCTGCTCTCCCGGGTGCAGCTGTAGCCGACTGACCCACAGCTGCAGACCTGGGGCTCCCACTCCACGGAGCAGGAAGGAGCCAGGGACAAGTGGGAGCCCCAACCCTCCCGAGTTGGCATGGCAGGAGCTCCCAGGGTGTAGCTGCCACTGCCCTCCCAGGCACAGGACCCAGGCATATCTGCAGCCTCCACCCTCGGGGGCCTGGGAAGGACCCTCCAATCACTGCAGGCTTGGCAGTGTCTGCTCCCACAGCCTGGCCTCTTTCCCTTCTGGTGCCTCCTCCAGTCTCGGAGAGGGGTTGGGACCAGCTCTGGGGCCATAAATGGCAGTGGGATACAGAGTTCTGGATAAAAGGGGGCAGGTCCCCAGTAAGACCCTACCTTCAGGCCATGGAAGGCCTGAAGGCTAGACACCATGATGCCAGTCTCACGGATGGAGTGGGGACTTGTAGTGCCTCCTCTGGCCCACCCATGGCTGCCCGTGGAGCGATCAGCATGTGCTTCCTCCCCTCTGAGGTCCATAAAAGCCCCGGGCTCAGCCAGAGCAGGGCAGAGGATGGAGAGATGACCAGACGACCTGTTAGCAGGGAGGAGCCACCCTCTCCAGGGCCCCATCTCAGCTGAGAGCTGAACACTTCACCAGAAGACCTGCCTACAGAGAGCAGTTACCCACTGTGGGTCTCCTCTAAGCTGTTGTAACACTCAATAAAGCTCCTCTTCATCTTGTTCACCCTCCAGTTGCCTGCGTACCTCATTCTTCCTGGATGCAAGACAAGAATTCAGGCAAAGGCACCACTGGCCACAGAGCTTTCCAGACAGAAAAGTGAAACCCTAAAGATCCCATAACAATAACACAATGTATTCCCCACGTTTGTGATGATGCTTGTGTAAACGAACCTACTGCACTGCCAGTTACATAATACTGTAGCACATATAATTCTAGGTAGTATGTAATGCTTGACAGTCATCATAAATGACCATGTTAGTGATTTATGTATTTACTATACTATACTTTTAATCATTATTTTAGAGTGTTGTCCTTCTATTTTTTATTATTTTTTAATTTATTTTTTATTATACTTTTAAGCTTTAGGGTACATGTGCAAAATGTGCAAGTTTGTTACATATATATACATGTGCCATGTTGGTGTGCTGCACCCATTAACTAATCATTTACATTAGGTATATCTCCTAATGCTATTCCTCCCCGCTCCCCCCATCCCATGACAGGCCCCAGTGTGTGCTGTTCCCCATCCTGTGTCCAAGTGTTCTCATTGTTCAATTTCCACCTGTGAGTGAGAACATGCAGTGTTTGGTTTCCTGTCCTTGCAATAGTTTGCTCAGAATGATGGTTTCCAGCTTCATTCATGTTCCTACAAAGGACATGAACTCATCCTTTTTTATGGCTGCATAGTATTTCATGGTGTATATGTGCCACGTTTTCTTAATCCAGTCTATCATTCATGTCGTCCTTCTATTTTTATATTTTAAAAAATTAACTGGAAACAGCCTCAGGCAGGTCCTTCAGGAGGTATTTTGGAAGAAGGCATTGTTGTGATAGATGACAGCTCCATGAGTGGCATTGAGACCTTCCAGTGGGACAAGATGTGGAGGTGGGAGATGTTATATTCATGCTCCTGACCCTGTGTATGCCTGGGCTAATGTGTGTTCGTGTCTTTATTTTTTGGTGCTTTTTTTTTTGTAGGGACTGTGTCTCGCTATGTGGACCAGGCAGGTCTCAAACTCCTGGCCACAAGTGAATCTCTTCCTGGCTCTCCAAAAGTACTGGGATTACAGGCGTGAATCACAGCTCCTGGCTATGTGTCATAGTTTTTAACAGAAAAAAATTTTAACTAAAAAAAAAAAATCTTAATAGAAAAAAGTTATAGAATAAGGATAGAAAGAAAATAACTTTTGTAACAGCTGTACAATCTGTGTTTTAAGCTAAGTGTTATTACAAAACAGTCAAAAGCCTTTTTTAAAAAGTGAAAATGTTACAGTAAGCAAGGTTAATTGATTCTTGAAAACAGAAAAATATTTTTTACAAATTTAGTGTAGCCTAAGTGTACAGTGTTTCTAAAGTCTTATAATGATGTACAGTAATGTCCTAGGCCTTCACATTCACCCCCTACTCAACGACTCACCCAGATCAACTTCCAGTCCTGCAAGCTCCATTCATGGTAAGTACCCTAAACAGGTGGAACTTCTTTTGTCTTTTAGACTGTACCTTTAAACTATATTTTAACTGTACCTTTTCTATGTCTAGATACACAAATACCATTGCACTACTATTGCCTACAGTATTCAGCACAGTGACATGCTGTGTGGGTTTGTAGCCTAGGAGCAGTAGGTCATAGCGTAGAAACTAGGTGTGTAGTGGGCTCTACTATCAAGTTAGTCTTGATTCCTCTTTCTTTTTTATTTGTATTTTTGCGTTTTGTTTTGTTTTGTTTTGTTTTGCTTTTGAGACAGAGTCTTGCTTTGTCACCAGGCTTGTAGTGCAGCGGCGCCATCTCGGCTCACTGCAACCTCCACCTCCCAAGTTCAAGTGATTCTCCTGCCTCAGCCCCCCAAGTAGCTGGGATTACAGGCGTCCACCACCACACCCAGGTAATTTTTTTTGTATTTTTAGTAGAGATAGGGTTTCAACATATTGGCCAGCATGATCTCAATTTCTTGACCTCGTGATCTGCCCACCTCGGCCTCCCAAAGTACTGGGATTACAGGTGTGAGCCACTGCTCCGGGCCTGATTCCTCTTTCAATATCATTACCTTCTCTGTGATCTCACACGTTTTGAGTACTATAAAGGAAAGTCTTTGTAGCAATCAGACTCAGCTATTCTCTTCCAAATTAAACATATGCAAGTCATCAAGACAGTGAGCTTTGATCTCTTTGCAGTCCAAAGTCCTTTGCAGAGTGTCATGTTATTGATTTAAACTAGCAAGACATTGGGTAATTCCATCGCCAAAACCATATATCAGTTGGTAGAAATTTGCTATGAAGTGTGGAAAGTCATTGATCGTGTCAAAGAAAAATTACATCACATGGGGTCAAGCTGGCAAAGAAGACTTTATTCAAGACAATTGCAATAAGGGTCAAGACTATTGCCTTAGGGAGGCCAGGCAATGTGGCTCACGCCTGTAATGCCAGCACTTTGGGAGGCCGAGGCAGATGGATCACAAGGTCAAGAGATTGAGACCATTCTGGCCAACATGGTGAAACCCTGTCTCTACTAAAAATACAAAAATTAGCTGGGCATGGTGGCGGATGCCTGTAGTCCCAGCTACTCAGGAGGCTGAGGCAGGAGAATCACTTGAACCCATGAGGCAGAGGTTGCAGTGAGTCAAGATTGCACCACTGCACTCTAGCTCGGCGACAGAGGGATGCTCCGTCTCAAAAAAAAAAAAAAAAAAAAAAGACTATTGCATTAGGGAAAAGAGATTGAACTCAACTCCACTGAAACAAAAATGAGAGGATTTTCAAATGCTGGAGTGAGCTAATGGAAAAGCCCAGGAAGACGTTAGGGAGGAGGTTGTCCAGTGTGATTTGGCCATGTGTGTTCACTAATTGTCACTTACAGAAGGCTCCTACCCTCCCAAAGAAGCTGAAAGATAGGGATGTTGTTTTTATTAATAATTACATTTCAAAGGGATGGCAACCAGGTCCTTGAGAAAGAGATTCCTGGGTTATACAACTGGGATGTGGCAGGGCGTGATGGCTCACACCTGTAATCCCAGCACTTTGGGAGGCCAAAGTGGGATGATCATTTGAGCCAAGGAATTCAAGACCAGCCTGGGCAACGTAGCAAGACCCCATCTCTACCAGGAAAAAAAAATTAGCCAGGCATGGTGGCCTGTATGCCTGTAATCCCAGCTGCTTGGGAGTCTGAGGCAAGAGGATCACTTGAGCCTAGGAGTTCGAGGCTGCAATGAGCTATGATCACGCCACTGCACTCCAGCCTAGGTGACAGAGTGACAGACAGTCTCATAAAAAAAAAAAAGGCATGAGACTTAAAAATGATTTATCTCCCTTTCAAGGGAGCAGATAAATAATTTGCAATCACAAGTTTTTTAAAGTAAATGCTCTAAAAAAAGGTCAGGGCTCTGTAGTCAGGAAGAAACCTAGCTCGTTTTGTAAAGCTGAGGAAAACGTTAAAGCCATCTTAGTCCATTGAAAATCAGAATTTTCAAAACTGTTGTTCCAACTCTTGAATATTTAAACATAGCACCGTTAACTGTCATAGTAAAACAGAGGTGTTCTTGTTGTTGTCATTGTCGTTGTTGTTGTTTTGAGATGAAGTCTCACTCTGTCGTCCAGGCTGGGGTGCAGTGGCGCAATCTCACTGCATTGGATGATGATTTGCAGCATCATCCAAAGACACATATCCGATTGCTTCTTGGGACATCCCTGCATAATCTCTCCTTACACCAAGGTATTCACTGCAACCACCGCCTCCCAGGTTCAAGTGATTCTCCTGCCTCAGCCTCCTGAGTAGCTGGAACTACAGGTGCACGCTACCACACCTAGCTAACTTTTGTATTTTTAGTAGAGATGGGGTTTCACCATATTGACCAGCCTAGTTTTGAACTCCTGACTTCCAGTGATCTGCCTACCTCAGCCTCCCAAAGTGCTGGGATTATAGGCGTAAGCCACCGCGCCCAGCCTAAAACAGAGGTTGTATATTTTTTTTTACTAGTATCTTGAGTTCCAAGCTCAAATGACAACACTAAAAGTGAGAGGCAAGGTAGGCTATCAGGCAGCAAGTCTAAAATGGTAAACAGGGTCCATGACCCACAGAGATTTGTGGTGATGGCAACAGATTGTAGGTGAGCAGACATCGAGTGTATTGTTTGACCTACATATCCAAAAATATCATGATCAAGTCAGCAGAAGTCAGATGTCAGCCACCACCATTGAAAATCATGATTCTTCTACTAGTTTTCTTGTTTTTTAATGATCACTGCACATTTAATCTTTAAATATGTACATTAGGCCAGACGCGGTGGTTTATGCCTGTAATCCCAGCACTTTGGGAGGCCGAGGCGGGCAGATCATGATGGCAAAAGATGGAGACCATCCTGGCCAACATGGTGAAACCTCGTCTGTACTAAAAATACAAAAATTAGCTGGGCGTGGTGGTGGGCGCCTGTAGTCCCAGCTACTCAGGAGGCTGAGGCAGGGAAATAGCTTGAACCCAGGAGGCAGAAGTTGCAGTGAGCCAAGATCGCGCCACTGCACTCCAGCCTGGCAACAGAGTAAGACTCCGTCAAAAAAAAAAAAAAAAAAAAAAGGACATTAAACATCATATTTGGGTTTTATTTAAAAACTTCATTTTTGTGCCTTGTTTCATAATACATACTTATAGTTTAAGTGTTTTTCTATTGTAAAATGACATGACTTTCTTAAGGACCACATGGTGTAATAGCAAATTGAACTTGTCTTCTACCAGTTTTCATACTCAAGCCTGTTTTCAGATTTAGAGCATTGAAATTGAAGAGTTGCTGGGCTCATCTTTGGATGTCAGTATATGGCCTCTAAATAGTCATATTCCTCGAGGACCACATGGTGGCAAGTTGATTACATCAGACACTTTGCACCCCAGGGTAGGCAGCAATTCATCTTTACTGAGATGAATATTTATTTATGTACTTACGTTTGCCTTTCCTGCCCGCAGTGCCTTGGCAAACAGCATCATCCAAAGACATATTATCCAATTTCTTGTTGGAATATCCCTCCATAATCTCACCTTACACCAAGGTACTTGTTTTATGGTGGAGGAGATATTAAAATGAACATTTAGGAAGAGATCCAGTAGTCCTAATGGATTTGCAGCATCTGAAGCTGCTCAGCACTATATACCTAGATTCTGGCAACTCTGTGATTCAGTTCTCACTCTCCTGAATCATAAGCTAGTGCTCGCTGCTGGCACCATATTTGAAGATGTTTCTACATTCAGCCAGGTGCTGTTACTGTCTAAACTCCTGTTTTGGGCCTCTGTGAATTCACCTGCAAAATTAGGCAACTAGACAAAATACAGCACGATCAGACCTAAAATTCTGGGCAGATGGTTTGTCTGTTTCTGGTGATACATTTTCTTTTTTCTTTCTTTTTTTTTTTTGAGATGGAGTTTTGTTCTTGTTGCCCAGGCTGGCGTGCAGTGGCGCTATCTCGCCTCACCACAACCTCTGCCTCCCAGGTTCAAGCCATTCTCCTGCCTCAGCCTCCTGAGTAGCTGAGATTACAGGTGCGGGCCACCACACCCAGCTAATTTTGTATTTTTAGTAGAGATGGGGTTTCGCCATGTTAGTCAGGCTGGTCTCAAACTCCTGACCTCAGGTGATCCACCCACCTTGGCCTCCCAAATTGCTGTGATTACAGGTGTGAACCACCGTACCCGGCCTTTTTTTTTTTTTTTAAGCAGGGTCTCTTTCTGTCTCTGAGGCTAGAGTGCAGTGGCACCATCACGGCTTACTACATGCTCAAACTCTTGGGCTCAAGTGATCTTCCTGCCTCAGCCTCCCAAGTGGCTGGGACTATAGGTGAACACTACAATAGCTGGCTTTTTTTTTTTTTTTTTTGAGACTCTTGACCTCAGGTGATCCACCCACCTCGACCTCCCAAATTGCTGGGATTACAGGTGTGAGCCACCACGCCTGGCCTATTTTTTTTTTTTTTTTTTGTAAAGAAAGGGTCTCCCTATTTTCTTTATTTTAGAGGCTATCAAAGCTTATTTTAGAAATGTACTAAACAAACATATGGAGAAATGTTCAACCTCACTAATAAGGAAATAAATTATTTACCCATCAATCTATTTTAAGTTTGAACATACAACATGATCTGATAACATTCTAAGATTGCAGATTTAACTCTATGGGGCAAGAATTTATTTTCACTTCTGTATCCCAGGCACCTAGAACAGCCTGGCACACTATAAGGTCCAATAAATACTGTCAAAGGATTATTGAGAAAGGTTTAAGAAAAGATTGTCAAATGAATGAACTTGATAAGAGCTAGCTAGCAATGGTTAATGGTAAAATGAACTATTTCATAACTTTTATCCAACAATGTCTGAGTTAAGTACTTAAACTTGTTGTATTAACCCTCAGGAATCAACACAAACAAATCTACAAACACCAAGCTGAGGTGCAATCGTGGAAAATGTAAGAGGAGATGAAAGGGTAGAACTGAAGGATAACAGAGAAGTCTCTTTGTATAAGACTCATACAAAGTACTCACAGTACTCACAAGGTAATGTTGACCAAAGGCAGAGAAACAGAGAAACAAATTCCATGAGATTAAGAGGCAGAATTTTTTTTTTGAGACATTTTACTATCTTTGTTGCCCAAACTGGTCTTGAACTTCTGGTCTCAAGTGATCTTCCTGTCTCAGCCTCCCAAAGCACTGGGATTACAGGTGTGAGCCACTGCGCCTGGCCTACAGGCAGAATTTCTTTAGTTGCTGTTGTTTTTGAGACAGGGTCTGGCTCTATTGCCCAGGCTAGAGTGCAGTGGCATGATCTCGACTCACTGAAGCCTCAGCCTCCTGGACTCAAGGGATCCTCCCACCTCAGCCTCCTGAGTAGCTGGGACCACAGGTACACCACCATGCCTGGCTAAATTTTATATTTTTTTTGTAGAGACAGGGTCTTGCTATGTTGCCCAGGCTGGTCCAGAATTTCTTTAGCTCACTGCTGCTACCTCTGCCAACTCAGAAGCCCAGGACCAATGTCCCCGTCATTGAGCATACAGCATTCTCCCAAGCAGTGTTTCTAGGGTCCTCTTGATGTCCCTGTTCCGCAAGCAATAGATGAAGGGGTTCAGCATGGGGGTGACCACAGTGTACATGACCGAGGCCACCATGCCCCACCAGGAAGAGGACGATGCATTGGAACTAAGATACACACCAAGGCCTGTCCCATAGAATAAAGAAACCACAAACAGATGAGATCCACAGGTAGAAAAGGCTTTGTGTTTCCCATCTGTGGATGAGATTCTCAGGATGTAGGAGACAATTTGGGTGTAGGAGAAAAGGATCCCTGAGAAGGGCACAAAGTCCAGAAGGCCGGCCACCACGTAGAGCAGGATGTAATTGACATGTGTGTCTGAGCAGGTAAGCCTGAGGACCTGAGCAAGCTCACAGTAAAAGTGCTGAATGACTCAACTGGTGCAGAAGGACACCCGCAGCACCAACAGACTCTGGATCAGGGAGTATGACAAGCTGAGGAACCAGGACACAAGAACCAGCAGGCCACAGAGGCAGGGGTTCCTGGTGACACAGTAGTACAGGGGGTGACAGATGGCCACATACCGGTCATAGGCCATCACGGTGAGGAGAAATGTGTCCATGCCTCCAAAAACCATGAAAAACATACATCTGGGCGATGCAGTCTGCATAGCTGATGGCATTGCTCTGCACCTGGATGTTCACCAGCATCTTGGGGACTGCGGTGGAGGTGAAACCGATGTCAGCCAGGGACAGATTGGAGAGGAAGAAGTACCTGGGGGTGTGGAGGTGGGAGTCAGAGCTGATGGCCAGGATGATGAGCAGGTTCCCCAGAACGGTGACCAGGTACATGGACAGAAACAGTGCAAAGAGCAACTGTTGATCCTCTAGGTCTTGGGAAAATCCCAGGAGTAAAAATTCTGAAACTCTTGTTTGATTTCCCAAGTCCATGTTGCTGACACATCAGCTAGACAGTTAAGGAAGGGAAGAAACATGAAATAGATGCTGAACAGGCTCCAAAATCTCTCTGCTTTTTTATTTCTTGAGGTGAATAATTGGATACAAAAGCTTTAAAATAGCAAAACTTAGGAATCCTACATTCTGTCATTTGTTATAGGCAACATTTCATAACGTTGACTAACCCCTGTTCATTGGCCTCTCAGAGGCTTACCCATTCCCTTTTTCTCTGCTTTAGAATCATCAAATCTACCAAGAGCAACTTTAGACCTTAGAGATAAAATGGTCTGCACCTGCTCTAACACATATAAGGTTCAGTGAACTTAAGAAAAGGTCAGGGTCATCTTCCTTGTCTAAGACACAACTGAGACTGAAGAAGGTCAGACAACTATGTCTGAGCAGTGAGAAAATATGAAAGCAGAGATAATAGCTAGACAAAATATTGCAAGATGAGTGGATTTAGGTTTTCAAGGAAGGAAAGAGGAAGGGAGGGAGGGAAGGAGGAAGGAAGGGAAGGAAGGAAAGAAGGAAGGAAGGAAAGGAAGAAAGGAAGGAAGGAAGGAAGGAAGGAAGGAAGGAAGGAAGGAAGGAAGGAAGGGTTACTTGTTGCCTTAAGTCCCACTTGGAATTATGGTGGCAGCCAAATTCTGATTCAAATAGGTCATGACATTACCAGTAATAACATTCATCTTAAGAAGCTGACCGCACATTAAAAACTTTCTACCTTAGAACCAGGGTTTCAAAATTAGAGACCAGAAAGATACAGTCATTTGACACTTATATGATTCTCTTTTTCCATCCACATAATAAATATGTCCTAATCTGTTTCTAGTGTCTAGTGTTGGTGCACAATTTTTTTTGTTGTTGTTGGGTTTTTGTTTGTTTTCTTTTCTTTTGAGACAGAGTCTTGAGCTGTCACCCAGGCTGGAGAGTTCAGTGGCGCAATCTCGGCTCACTATAACCTCTGCCTCCCGGGTTCAAACAATTCTCCTGCCTCAGCCTCCTGAGTAGCTGGGATTACAGGTGTGCACCACCATGCCCAGCTAGTTTTTGTAAAAATACAAAACTAACTAGCTAGTTTTTTACAAAAACTAGTTAGTTTTACCATGTTGGCCAGGCTGGTCTTCAACTCCCAACCTCAGGTGATCTGCCCACCTCGGCCTCCCAAAGTGCTGGGATTACAGGCATGAGCCACAGCACGTGGCCTGGTGCATAATTTTTGTTGAGCCGTGCTGGGAAGTACAGAAGAATTGAACTAGGTTGACAACTAGGTTGTCAGTCACTGAAAAAGTGCTAACAGCCATTCTGCAAGAGGGTCTTCTTTGGGCCAGGCTAAGTGTTAGCTGTTGGGGATACAAAGATTAATGATGTGGTCTTTTTTTTCTTATGGTTCCACCTTCCAGAAGATGGATTCAGAAACAGATCATTGTAACACAGTGAATTAAGTGCTAAAATAAAACGATGTACAGAGTGGAGTACAGAGAGGAACCCTCAATCCAGCCTGGAGTAATGCATTCAGGGAAGGAGTCCTGGAGGAAGGAATACCTGGGCAAGGAGTTACCCAGGTGAATGGTTGCACAGGGGCATTTCTGGCAGAGATATAAGCAAGGGAATAAGCCTAGAAGCAAGAAGCAGCATGGGACAGAGTTCTCTTAGCCCTTTGCTGCTGCTTAAGTACAAAGTGTTAGATAGAAACGATGAGGATGATGTTGGAGAGGTGGGCAGGGATGACATGTCTAAGAACTTTGAAAAGTATAATCCATAAAGGATGGGGCTGTGAAGGAACGGCAATCAAAGGAGTAACATGATAGGAATTGCAATTCTCCCTGGGGCCTGGAGGGAAAGATGGATTTAGGGCAGGCAAAACTAAGGATAAGGGAACAGGGTTGGGGATTCTTCATATCATTGGAATTGAGGGGAACAACTCAGGAATATTTTTGCAGAAGAAATACAAAGGCCAGGAGAGGTAAAGGAATGAGGTCAATGTCTTGCTAACAATCTCAGCTTAAGGATGAGACTTGACCTTCAAGTGAAATGAAGGGAATTATGGAAAAGAATCCTGCAGGTTTCAATGCTTCCCTCGTGTTCCCCAGAGGATACGATGTCAAGAGGAGACTGGATGTTGGGCTTGCCTGAGCCCTTCACTTTCCCTCACTCACCCATCGTACCCTAGTTGTTATACACCATGGCCTTCCATTCCAGGGAACACAGACGCTTGTCTCTTGAAGGTGTCTACTTAGAATCATGGATAAGGGTAAAGAAGGATGGGGAAGGATAAGTCTTTCTGGAGAGGCAGGAGATGTTTCCAAGCAAGTGAGGGTCACAGAGAAGAATTCAGAGAGGCTTGATCTAGGCTGAGGGCCTCTGAAGTTCTTGGGTCAGGTAGTAGGTGAAAAGAACTAGAAGTGACCAGGACTTCACTGCAAGGCACCTACAGCTCCTACTGAAACCTGCAGGATTCTTTTCCATAATTCCCTTCATTTCACTTGAAGTCAAGTCTCGTCCTTAAGCTGAGATTGTTAGCAAGACATTGACCTCATTCCTTTACCTCTCCTGGCCTTTGTTTTTCTTCTGCAAAAATATTCCTGAGTTGTTCCCCTCAATTCCAATGATATGAGGAATCCCCAACCCTGTTTCCTTGTCCTTAGTTTTGCCTGCCCTAAATCCATCTTTCCCTCCAGGCCCCAGGGAGAATTGCAATTCCTATCATGTACCTTGGAGCATCCATTTGTACAATGCAGATTGGTCACTCCAAGACCACACAGAGTGATCCAGGGCAGCGCTAAGATATCAAACAGTGCCCCAGGCCAACAAAGAGTAGCCCTTCCTATAACCTCCATCAGTCATCTACCCAAGTAATATACAGGCAAAGTTAAAGCTCGCTATACAATGGCTATTTAAGCAAGTAGTCTAGCCATTCTCCCTTCCAAGAAATCAGCCTCAACAGCCCCTTCTCCGTGGACATCACAGGGTTTCTCCTGCCCTATGATTAACAAGTCAATGCCTTTCCCCTCAATCATCTCTTTTCCCTATTTCCCTCAACACTTACTGAGCTATGAAGGTTTGACAATGTGGACCCACCACAGGAGCCACCTTGTGTCCAGAATTGGTGGGTTCTTGGTCTCACTGACTTCAAGAATGAAGCCGCAGACCCTCGCGGTGAGTGTTACAGCTCTTAAGTGGCGCGTCTGGAGTTTGTTCCTTCTGATGTTCGGATGTGTTCGGAGTTTCTTCCTTCTGGTGGGTCCATGGTCTCGCTGGCTCAGGAGTGAAGCTGCAGACCTTCACTGTGAGTGTTACAGCTCTTAAAGCAGCGCGTTTGGAGTTGTTCGTTCCTCCCAGTAGGCTCGTGGTCTCGCTGGCTTCAGGAGTGAAGCTGCAGACCTTCGCGGTGAGTGTTACAGCTCATAAAAGCAGCGTGGACCCAAAGAGTAAGCAGTAGTAAGATTTATTGCAAAGAGCAAAAGAACAAAGCTTCCATAGCTTGGAAGGGGATCCGAGCGAGGTGCCACTGCTGGCTGGGGCAACCTGCTTTTATTCTGGTATCTGGCCCCACCCACATCCTGCTGATTGGTAGAGCCAGTGGTCTGTTTTGACAGGGTGCTGATTGGTGCCTTTACAACCCCTAAGCTAGACACAAAGGTTGTCCACGTCCCCACTAAATTAACTAGATACAGAGTGTCCACACAAAGGTTCTCCAAGGCCCCACCAGAGTAGCCAGATACAGAGTGTCAATTGGTGCATTCACAAACCCTGAGCTAGACATAGGGTGCTGATTGGTGTGTTTACAAACCTTGAGCTAGATACAGAGTGCCGATTGGTGTATTTACAATCCCTGAGCTAGACATGAAGGTTCTCCAAGGCCCCACCAGAGTAGCTAGATACAGAGTGTCCATTGGTGCATTCACAGACCCTGAGCTAGACACAGGGTGCTGATTGGTGTATTTACAATCCCTGAGCTAGACATAGGGGTTCTCCATATCTCCACCAGACTCAGGAGCCCAGCTGGCTTCACCCAGTGGATCCCGCACTGGGGCTGCAGGTGGAGCTGCCTGCCAGTCCCGGTGCCGTGCGCCCGCACTCCTCAGCCCTTGGGTGGTCGATGGGACTGGGAGCCGCGGAGCAGAGGGTGGCGCTCGTCGGGGAGGCGCGGGCCGCACAGGAGCCCATGGAGGGGGTGGGAGGCTCAGGCATGGCGGGCTGCAGGTCCCAAGCCCTGCCCCGTGGGAAGGCAGCTAAGGCCCGGTGAGAAATCGAGCGCAGCGCCGGCGGGCTGGCACTGCTGGGGGACCCAGTACACCCTCCACAGCCGCTGGCCCGGTTGCTAAGCCCCTCATTGCCCGGGCCGGGCAGGGCAGGCCGGCTGCTCGGAGTGCGGGGCCCGCCAAGGCCACGCCCACCCGGAACTCCAGCCGGGCCCGCAAGCGCCGCGCGCAGCCCCGGTTGCCGCTCGCGCCTTTCCCTCCACACCTCCCTGCAAGCTGAGGGAGCCGGCTCCGGCCTTGGCCTGCCCAGAAAGGGGCTCCCACAGTGCAGCGGTGGGCTGAAGGGCTCCTCAAGTGCCGCCAAAGTGGGAGCCCAGGCAGAGGAGTCGCGGAGAGTGAGCGAGGGCTGTGAGGACTGCCAGCACGCTGTCACCTCTCAACCTCCCCTGAATCTTGTTGTCTCGTGGAAGTAGGCGATGAAGACAGAAGCTCTGCCCCCCAAAAGAGCAGGGAGACAGAGCCCGGCAGGTGGTACGCGGCCTGGATGATTTCTCCTGGAGAACGCATGAGTGTCTTGGACCTTGCGCCTGGGGGCCTGGGTGACTGTAAGTAGATGAATTGCATGTTGGGCCCTGGGGTGGTCTATCCCCTCTGAAGCTTGTTAGACAAATTGGTCAATGGCGTATTCATTCCCTGATCAGTTTGGTTCCTCATGGGCAGGGACTACACAGGAAGAGGTCTCTGAACGGCCAATTCCTTATTCTTGGGAGACTATCAATGGGGCCAGCTGTGACTCCCGTCTCCTGTACCTCTCCTTTGGGAAGAATCACTCTAGTCTACTTTGAATCACCTTTGGTGACAACTGTCAGCAATTTTTTTTTTTTTGAGACAGAATCTCGCTCTGTCACCCAGCCTGAAGTACAGTGGCGAAATCTTGGCTCATTGCAATGTCTACCTCCCAGGTTAAGCGATTCCCCTGCCTCAGCCTCCCAAGTGGCTAGGATTACAGGCGCGTGCCACCATGCCCGGCTAACTTTTGTATTTTTAGTAGAGATGGGGTTTCACCGTGCTGGCAGTCTGATCTTGAACTCCTGCCTTCAAGTGATCTGCCCATCTTGGCCTCCCAAAGTGCTGGAATTACAGTCGTGAGCCACCACACCTGGGCAGCATTTTCTGACTTGAGGTTTCCTAATTAGGCAGATAGTTGGGTAGCAAAGGGTCCCAGGATTCACAAAAAGGTAGTGGTTCTCAAAAGGGAGCCCGCACCAGATGACCTCAAGGACTTGTTTAAACACAGATTGCTAGAACCCACTTTCAAGTTTCTGTCCCAGTAGGTCTAAATTTGAGTCATAATTTGCATTTGGGACACATTCTAGATGTGATGGTCCCCAGGACAATCTTTTTGGGAACCAGTGTCCTGGGGCAGTGCTTCACAAATTGAGATTTATCAAAGGTATAAAGAGGGGATCTTGTGAACAGATAGCTTCCTACCCTATCCCAGACTTACCTTGCCAAGATCTCCAAAGGAAGACCTAAGAGTCTACTTTAAAAAAAAAATACTATAGTTTTTTGTTTTTGTTTTTGAGACAGGGTCTTGCTGTGTCACCACGGTGGAGTGCAGTGGTGTGATCACAGCTCACTGCAGCTTTAACTTCCTGGGGTCAAGCAATCCTCCCACAACAGCCTCCTGAGTAGCTGGGACTACAGGAGTGCACCAACATGCCCAGCTAGTTTTTACTTTTCTTTTTTTTTTTTTTTTTTTTTTTTTAGAGACAGGGTTTCACCATGCTACCCTGGGGGATCCCAGGGTAATAGCTTCCCACTCTATCCCAGACTTACCGTGTCAATATCTCCAAGGGAGGACCTAAGAATCTACTTTTTAAAAAAAATTTTAACAGTTGGCCGGGCACGGAGGCTCACGCCTGTAATCCCAGCAGTTTGGGAGGCCGAGGCGGGTGAATCATGAGGTCAGGAGTTTGAGACCAGCCTGGCCAACATGGTGAAACCCCGTCTCTACTAAAAATACAAAAATTAGCCAGGCGTGGTGGCACACGCCTGTAATCCTAGCTACTCAGGAAGTTGAGGAAACAGAATTGCTTGAACCTGGGAGGCGGAGGTTGCAATGAGCTGAGATCGCACCATTGCTCTCTGCCTGAGGGACAGAGTGAGACTCTGTCTCAGAAAAAAAAAAATTACAACAGTTTTATTTATTAAAGTTTTTATTAATCTAAAATAAATAAATAATAAAGTTTTTATTAATTTTTTTTTCTTTTTGAGACAAGGTCTCACTCTTGTTAAGGCTGGAGTGCAGTGGCGCAATCTCAGCTAACTGCAGCCTCAAATTCCCGAGCTTAAATTATCCTCTCACCTCAGCCTTCCAAGTAGCTGGGAGTACAGGCTGCGCCCCCATGCCCCACTAATTTTTTTTATTTTTTTGTAGAGACAGGGCATCACTATGTTGCCCAGACTGTCTAGAATTTGTGGCCTCACGTAATTCTTCTGTCTCAGCCTCCCAAAGTGCTGGAATTACAGGCATGAGCTACCACACCTGGCCTTTATTAATATTTTTATTGTGGTAAAATATGTATAACAAAATTGACCATTTTAAGTGTAAGACTCAGCAGCACATTGCCGGGCACGATGGCTCATGCCTGTAATCCCAGCACTTTGGGAGGCTGAGGTGGGTAGGTCACCTGAGGTTGGGAGTTTGAGACCAGCCTAACCAACATGGTGAAATCACGTTTCTACTAAAAAAAAAGTATACAAAAATTAGCCAGGCCTGGTGGTGTGCACCTATAATCCCAGCTACTAGGGAGGGTGAGGCAGGAGAATCGCTTAAACCCGGGAGGCGGAGGTTGTAGTGAGCCGAGATCACGACACTGCACTCCAGCCTGGGCGACAGAGTGAGACTCCATCTCAAAAAAAAAAAAAAAAAGGAGACTCAGTGGCACTAGGTACATTCACAATGGTGTGCACCATTACTACTATCCATCTTCCATTCTTTTTCATCATTTCTGAATGGAAACCCTATACGCATGAAATAATACCTCCCATTCTCCTCTGCTTCCAGGCCCTGGCAACCTCTATTGCTCCTTCTGTGTCTATGAATTCCCTGTTCATGTTTCCTCATATAAGTGGAATCATACAATATTTGTCATTTTGCGTCTGGTTTATTTCACTTAGCATAATGTTTTCAAGGTTCAACCATATTGCTTTTATTTATTTATTTACTTTTAATAGCAATGTGGGTCTTACTATGTTGCCCAGGTTGGTCTCAAACTCCTGGCCTCATGCAATCCTCCCGCCTTGGCCTCCCAAAGTGCTGGGATTACAAACGTGAGCTATCATGCCCAGCTCCATGTTGCTTTTGGGATCAAATGCAAACAATCATTACTGAGGCCAATGTCAAAGAGCTTTTTCCCTATATATATTTTTTGAGAAGGTTTATGGCTTCATGTCTTACATTTAAGTTTTTCGTGCATTTTCAATTGATTTTTGTATATAAGAGTCAAATTTCTTCTTTTTTTTCTGTTTTGCATACGGATATCCAGTTTTCACGCCACCATTTACTGAAAAGACTATCCTTTCCCCATTGGGTATTCTTAGTGTCTTTGTTGAAAAATAGTTGACTGCACATACATGGAGTTATTTCTAGGCTCTCTATTGTGTTCCATTGGTCTATGTGTCTGCTATTATGGCACTAACATACTGTTTTGATTCAGTAGTTTTGTAATATAGCAATGAAATCATGAAATGTGATGCCTCCACCTTAGGTCCTCTTTTTAAAATTTTTAATCAACAAATAATAATTGTATATATTTAAGGGGTACTATGTGTTTTGTTATATGTATACATTATGGAATGATGAAATAAAGCTAATTAACATACCCATCACCTCACATACTAGACAGGAACAGAAAGATAAACACTGTGTGATCAGGAGCTAAGCTATGACTACATGAAGACATAAGAATGATACATGGGACTCTGGGGACTTGGGGGAAAGGGTGGGAGGGGTGAGGGATAAAAGACTACACATTGGTTAACAGTGTACACTGCTCGGGTGATGGGTACACCAAAATCTCAGAAATCACCGCTAAAGAACTTATTCATGTAACCAAACACCACTTGTTCCCCAAAAACCTATTGAAATAAAAATGATAATAAATACTGCATGATCTCACTGATATGTGGAATCAAAAAAGTCAAACTCTCGGCAGCAGAGAGTAGAATGGTTGATACCACGGGCTGGAGGATGGGGTGGAGAAATGGGAAGATGTTGGTCAAAGGGTGCAAAATTTCAGTTAGACAGGAAGAAAATTTCTGGACATTGATTGTACTGTATGGTGACTATAGTTAATAATAATGTATTGTACATTTGAAAATTCCTCAGCCGTGGTGGCTCATATCATGCCTATGATCCCAGCACTTTGGGAGGCTGAGGCGGAAGGATCACTTGAATCCAGGTCTTCCAGCCTGGACAACATAGCAAGACCCCATCTCTACAAAAAAAAAAAAAAGTAAAAAATTAGTCAGTTATGGTGGTGTGTGCCTGTAGTCCTAGCCACTTGGGTGGATCACTTAAGCCCAGAAGTTCCAGGCTGCAGTGAGCTATAATCACACCACTGCATTCCAGCCTGGGCGACAGAGTGAGACCCTGTCTCAAAATAATAATAAACACTAATTTTCAAATATTCACCATAATCCCATCAACAATTGTATTTCCATATCCTCGCAATCTAACTATAGCCCCTGTTAGGACTCCATTACCAGTCTTGGAACCAGAGTACATGAGGCTCCCATGTCAAGGAGTCCCAGAAAAGTCTTTTCTCTACCTCCTGACCATTTTATGCACTTGTGTGAATATCACCTTGTGTTACCAGCCACGTTTCTACTAAAGAAAGTATACAAAAGTTAGCCAGGTGTGGTGTGCACCTGTAATCCCAGCTACTCAGGAGGCTGAAGCAGGAGAGTCACTTGAACCCAGGAGGCAGAGGTTGTAGTGAGCTGAGATCATGCCACTGCACTCCAGCCTGGGTGACGGAGCAAGACTCTGTCTCAAAAATAATAATAATAATAGTAATAATAATAACTCTTTGGGAGGCCGAGACGGGTGGATCACAAGGTTAGGAGATCGAGACCATCCTGGCCAACATGGTGAAACCCTGTCTCTACTAAAAATACAAAAATTAGCTGGGTGTGGTGGCATGCGCCTGTAATCCCAGCTACTCGGGAGGCTGAGACAGGAGAATCCCTTGAACCTGGGAGGTGGAGGTTGCAGTGAGCCGAGCTCGCGCCACTGCACTCCAGCCTGGAGACAGAGTGAGACTCCATCTCAAAAAAATAATTAATTAAATAAAATAAAAATAAAATAAGAACTTAGGATAGTGGAAGAAGTGTTTCTGATCCCACAGAAAGGATATAGTCCCTGCTTCCACCCCAGCCATGCTAGTATCACTTCCTATATGCATTTCTGGTGATACTGAGTGGCTTTAATTTACAGCCAATGTTGATAATCCATCTGCCCAAGGCTAAACATAGACTGGTTCTTATTCCTTATTTTTTAACACCTTTCAGATTTTTACATATTAGCCAAAAATTTTATGATTGAGGAAGATAACAGAAACACAACTAATTGAGAAGCTTCTCTGGGTACTTTGGGCCTCTTAGAGTGGGGTGCTGGGTTAAGTCTTATCGCATTTCAAAAGACTTAGTGTGGATAGTGAATTTGAAGACAGAACTGACCAGAATACTGTGTCCCACATATCCTGGTAGCAGAACACTTAGATATCTGTACTCATTCATTTTACAAATGTTTGAGTCACTATGAGGTGTCTGTCACCATAAAGGAAAGGAAGCAATCCAGGACTAGTCATAAATTTGAGTTGGAAGTACAGTGTCATTTATAAGGGTGGAACAGGTATGATAAGGGTAGCTTGCTAAAGAAAAGTTCTATTTGGGGCATGTTATTTTGAAGATGATTATCAGCCATGCAAATATATGTTTGGAGCTCAGAGGAGGAGTCTGAGCCATGATTTGAATTTGGGAGTTGTTAGCCAATGTGTGTATCAGTTAGCTATTGCTCCAATGTGCTGCCTAACAAATGATCACAAAAATCCCAGAGGCAAAACATCAAGCATGTTATTTAGCTCACAAATCTGGGAGTTGATCTGCATTGGGCTCCACTGAGCCATTTAGCTACTCTTGTGTCTGTAGCAGTGCCAGAAGTGCTAAAGTTAGCAAACCAAACTACACAAGCATGTTTAAAGCCTCTGCTCATATTTTACTGCTTAACGTTCCATTGCCCAAAACAAGTCACATAGCAAAGGGCATGAATATACAAGGAGTGAGGAAATGGGGGCATTAATTTTCTAGAATGTGGCAGTGAAAGTCAAAGTACTTGGACCATGGGATGAAACCACCTTCTGAAGGAGAAAGAAAAAAAGGATCTATTGAAAGAAAGGTCACAAACAGGCATGGTGGCTTACATCTGTAAACCTAGTATTTTGAGAGGCCAAGGTGGGCAGATCACTTGAGCCTAGGATCTCAAGACGAGCCTGGGCAACATGGTGAAACCCCGTCTCTACAAAAAAAAAAAAAAATAGCTGGGTATGGTGGTGTGTGCCTGTAGTCACAGCTATTCAGGAGGCTGAGGCAAGTGGGTCACTTGAGTCCAGGAGGTCGAGGCTGCAGTGAGCTGCGATTTTATAGCACCTTTCAGAATAGTTTTCAACTTTTATAAGACAATATAAACCTAATACAAAACAGACAAGTATATTATGATAAAAGAAATCACAGGACAACCTTCTCATGAACATAGACACAGAAATACTTTTTTAAAAGTAACATTGAATCTAGCAAAAATGAAAAGGCTAATAAACCATATCCAAGTGTGGTTTATTCCAGTAATAGATGTTGTTTTACCATATGAAAATCAAGGAATATATAATTCACCTTATTAACAGATTTAAGAATTTTTTTTTCCAGACCTCTCAGGATTGACAAGGATTTCTTAAAGACTCTGATAAAGACTCTCTTTATCTAGAGAAGGCACTAGATAAAATCTAATGTCCATTCATGATTTTTACAAAACAATCTTGACAATCCAAGAATAAAACAGAATTCCCTTAATTTGATAAAGGTTATTTATAAAAAACTTCTAGGTAGTATCATACTTAATGGTGAAATATTAAACACATTTCCCTAAGTTCAGAAACAAGGCAAAGATATTCACATTCATTTCTGTTCATTATTCTAAAGAAATAAGGCAAGAAAAATAAGCAAAAAATAAAGTTTAGACGTTAGGTAAGACTTTCTTTTATTGGTATTAACAGGATTATATATATATAGAAAATCCAAAATCCACAAAGTATTGGAATAAATAATTGAATTTATAAATGTCACCAGCTATAAAGTCAATATACAAAAAGATATTGCAATTCTACGTGCTAGCCAAAAACATTGAAAAACAAATTAAAAATACAAAGCAAAATATACTAGAAATAAATTAAACAAATCAAGATTTCTACAATGAAAACTATAAAACACTCTTGAGAAAAGTTAAAGACAACCTAGGTAAATGGACAATTATACCATATTCATCAACTGGAAAACTCGATATTGTAAAGATGTCAATTATCCTCAGGTTATTTTATAAAACCAATGCAATTACAGGCATAGTACCAAAAATTCATTTGTGAAAATTAATCCTGAGATTCCAAAATTAATTTAGGAAACATGGGGAACAGAGAAGGCAAGACAATCTTAAAGAATAAAAAAGTTGGAAGGCTTTCACTACCAGATTTCCAAAAATATTACAAAGCAACATAAATTAAGATAGTATGGTATTGATGCAAGAAAAGACAAATGAACCAAGAGGCAGAGATCACCTCAGCAAAGAGGAAACCATGGTCTCTTTGATAAATCTATATACACACACCTTGATCCTACCTCACACGCTACAAAAAATTATTCAAAGTAGATCACAGACCTACATAAAAAAACAATAAAGAATCTAGAAGGAAACATAGGAGAGTAGATTCATTATCTTGGTCCAGGCAAATAATTCTTAAACAGGTGTCAGATCTCAAGTTGATCTTTATGCTCATTAAAGATTAAGCAGCAATCTTTTTTTTTTTTTTTTTTTGACACGGAGTCTCATTCTGTTGCCCAGGCTGGAGTGCACTGGCACAATCTTGGCTACCTGCAACTCCACCTCCTGGGTTCAAGTGATTCTCCTGCCCCAGCCTCCTGAGTAGCTGAGATTATAGGCACAGGCCACCACGCCTGGCTAATTTTTTTAGTACAGACAGGGTTTCACCATGTTGGCCAGGCTGGTCTTAAACTCCTGACCTCAGGTGATCCGCCCACCTCGGCCTCCCAAAGTGCTGGGATTATAGGCATGAGCCACTGTGCCTGGCCAAGCAGCAATCTTTAGCAATCTAAACACATGTTAATGGATGACACCTGACCTTTCTAAAATGCTATCTAGGAACTACCTAACCCTGGCTGAGTTCCCAGACTTCACAGTTCCCACTTGCTGCTAAGACCAGCATAACAGCTAACATTACCACTGCTTTTAGATCCTACCTGCCCACTCCTTCCTCCTCCCCTCTGCATATGCCCCAAAACTGCCAGGACTCTATGATTCAGTCAGTGCAGACTCTAATCCAGTTTCTGGATAAGAACAGGCACTAACCCTAAACAAATGAGAGTATTACATTCCCCAGGCCAGTGACTAGAGTACAGTGGGCAAGTGAGCCAATCAGAGCCAACGAGATTCAATTCTGATCATCATATTGGAACCACTCAAAAAGACAATCACTCTTTTCTCCCTGAGACTTTAAGTTGGGAAGAAAGTAGCCAGAGTTTCTGGGGCCATCTATGAAGAGACAACCTGCTTGGAAGAAACACTAATGCAGGAGGATGCACAGCCAAGACAGGGAGACAGAATTCAACTAGATAACATTTTTTTAGCCCCAGGATTTAGCCATGTCTGAAGCTCGTTATACCCAAGGACTTTTTAGTAATAAATTATTTAAACCAACAAATTCCCTTTAAAGAGTGAAAAGACAAGACAGAGATTGGGAAATGTTATCTGTAATGTATGTATATATAATATACATATTTTATGTATATATGTAATATATGATACATGGTTTATACATATCTATGCATGTGTACCTAGATATAGATATACATACATACAATAAAGGACAAGTAACCAGAAGGAAACCTTTCAATTTTTTTTTTTTTTTAAAAAGGAACCATAAGTCTGGGTGCAGTGGCTCACGCCTATAATCCCAGCACTTTGGGAGGCCGAGGTGGGCAGATCACCTGAGGTCAGGAGTTCAAGACCAACCTGGCCAACATGGTGAAACCCCGTCTCTACTAAAAAATACAAAAATTAGCCAGGTGTGGTGGCACACGCCTGTAATCCCAGCTACTCAGGAGGCTGAGACAGGAGAATCACTTGAACCCAGGAAGCGGAGATTGCAGTGAGCAAGATCACGCCACTGCACTCCAACCTGGGCACAAGAGTCCGTCTCAAAAAAAAAAAAAAAGAAAAGAAATCATAAATGGATGAAATGTTTCAACAGGTGCCCTCAAAAAAAAAAAAAATCCAAATAGCCAATAAGCACATCGAAAAGTACTCGAAATCATTACACATCAGGTAAATGCACACTGTCTGCTGGATGACTATAATCAGAAAGAGCTGGACAGGTGTGTGAAACAACTGGAACTTTCATGCATTGTTTTGGGGATTATTCGTGGAATCGATATTTTTTGAAAACTGCAATACCTACCAAAACTAAATTTAAAGTCTACCCTATGATTCAGTAAATTCATTCCTGAGCATATAGCACATACCAAGATAAATAAGCCCATACATCTATCAAAAGAACAATTAAAAGTCAAACCACACATTATGTTGAGCAAAAGAAGTCAAAACACATAACTGTATATATTGTATTTTAACATTTGGATGAAAATCAAGAACAAGCACACCAAGTCAATTATAGTAAGAGTCAAAATTGTGGTTGCCCTGTGGAGTAATTATCACTGAGAAAGAGGATGAAGGAACTTCCTAAAGTCTTGGAAATGTTCTGTTTACCAGGACATGTACATACATGAAATGTCATTAAGCTGTACATTGAAGATTAGCACACTTCATGCATGTTAGTATATGTATAATAAAATAAAAAGTGATTATGGGGAAATAGTAGAGTTATACTTTTAAAGAGAAAATATAATAGGAGGGAAATATCACAGTAGTAGATTATACTTTTAAAGGGAAAATATAATACTGTAGCTAAAGGTACCTGAAGCAATTCATCTTCTTACATTTAAAAAAAAAAAAAAAGCAGTAAAATCTTTCCTGTTTAAAGGTGTCAAGTATAAATCTTCCTCCATTAAAACAGGATGATACCCTGTGGATGCTTACCTCAATTACCAAGGGTAACTTCCCTCACTCTCCACAGCTCTTGCTTTTGAGACTTGCGAACGTATTTTTCCCCATGAATAGCATGACATGATGCGATTGGACTGTGTAAGAAAGACTGCAACATAAGCAAAATGGCAATGCCAGAGCTTGCTAGAAAATCCAAGAAGCTGTATCTGGTGATAGCTTTAGAGATGCTGCCTTGGAAGACACTGAGGTCAAGCAAGCATTTAATGTTTGGTTTTTTATTTCGTTTTGTTTTGTTTTTGAGAAAGGGTCTCACTCTATCACTCAGGCTGGAGTGCAGTGGCATGATCATAGTTCACTGCAGCCTCAAACTCCTGGGCTCAAGTGATCCTCCAGCCTCAGCTCCCTGAGTAGCTGGGACCACAGGTATGCACCATCACGTCCAGCTATAACATTCAGTTTTGAGCAAATATTGATCAATGAGTCCAACAGTCAGAAAAATGAGCTGAAAACTAGAGGTCACCAGGCCTTTATACATCTGTCTCTCTGTCTGATGGCCCCACTAAACATAGCATAACAGCTTTTTCTTCCCTTATGCCTTCCAAATCTCGTACAAACTCTTATTTTAGACAAGTCTAACCTAGAACTGGAGAAAAAAGTGATTCTGGGAAATGTAGTTAATGTAACACAATTTTTACACTCAAAACACTGGATCCAATTCCCAGCCACGAGCAAGGACAAAGAATAAAATATAAAAATAGTATATTAAATTAATTTCTGCTGAAATTACTCACTAGACAATAAAAGCTTTTAATAGTAAAAATTTATCATCTCAGAAACTCTAACGTCTCTTAGCAAAAAAGAATAGGAAGAAAAATATTGAGTGGGCAAGTTCCATTATCTGCCATGTAGACTAAAAACAAAACATCAACAAAAATCAATATTTGGTTTTTGGTTTGTCAATATTATATTGGTTTGTCAATATTATAACGACTACCCATTTAAAGAACAATGAACATTAATTAGAAACCACTTTTTTAAAAAAGACCACTGCTGCCTATACAGAAAAAATATTTCGTGTCCTCCATGATCCAAAAGATTTTGTAATGGAAATCATATTTACATCAGAACCAAAATTAAAGCACCTCATACTAAAAAGTATGTGGCTAGAGCTGAAAAGGTAAATTTATCACCTTCAATGTTCCTATCAGAAAACACTGGTAATCAACGAGCCAGCATTCTACTTTAAGGATGAGGCACTGATCTTCATTTCTAGTAGAGATTTTCTTATACATAATAAGCAATGTTCATAAAGGCTTTAGCACATGACTTACATACACAGGGTTTCTCTAAAGTGTCCTCAAATCTTCAAAACGATGAGCAACAATTTCCTACTTTCTTACATTCATAGGGTGTCTCCACAGTATGAGATCTCACATGTTGCCTAGGATCTGAAGCTTTGCAGACATTCCCATATTCCTTACATTTATATGTTTTCTCTAGTGTGAGTTTTCACATGCCTTCGAAAGTAGGCAGGACAAACAAAGGCTTTCCCACATTCCTTACATTCATAGGGTTTCTCTCCAGTGTGGCTTCTCACATGCCTTCGAAAGGATGAGGGACAACTGAAAGCTTTTCCACATTCCAGACATTCAAAGGGTTTCTCTCCAGTGTGCATTCTTGCATGTACAGTAAGGTATGAAGAATGACGAAATGCTTTCCCACATTCCTTACATTCATAGGGTTTTTCCCCAGTGTGCGTTCTCATGTGGATCCTAAGGGCTGAGGGATAAATAAAGGCTTTCCCACATTTCTTACATTCATAGGGTTTCTCTCCAGTGTGAGTTCTGATATGTACTGTAAGGTGGGAGGAACTAATAAAGGCTTTCCCACATTCTTTACATTCATACGGCTTCTCTCCGCTGTGAGTTCTTAGGTGTTCGGTGAGGGATGAGGAACGACTAAAGGTCTTCCCACACTCCTTACATTCATACTGTATCTTTCCAGTGTGATCTCTCACATGTGCTCTAAAGGACGAGGGACAACTAAAGGCCTTCCCACATTCCTTACATTCATAGGGTTTCTCTCGACTTTGATTTTTCACATGTGTATTAAGGGAAGTGGGAAGGTAGAAGGCCTTTCCACATTCCAGACATTCATACGGTTTTTCTCCAGTGTGTTTTCTCATATGGATACTTAAGGAGGAGGGACAATTGTAGGCTTTCCCACATTCCTTACATTTATAGGGTTTCTCTCCAGTATGTGTCCTCCCATGTACAGTGAGTTTTGAGGACTCGCTGAAGGCCTTCCCACACTCTTTACATTCATAAGGCTTCTCTCCAGTGTGAATTCTTATATGTATTATAAGGTGAGAGGAAGAGCTAAAGGCCTTCCCACATTCCTTACATTCATATGGCTTATCTCCACTGTGAATTCTTTTGTGTTTGGAGAGTGAGGAGGAACAACTGAAGGCCTTCCCACATTCCTTACATTCATAAGGCTTATCTCCACTGTGAATTCTTTTGTGTTCTGTGAGCGATGAGGAACAACTAAAACCTTTCCCACATTCTTTACATTCATAGTTTGTCTTTCCGATGTGAATCTTCATATGTGCCCTAAAGAATGAGGAACAGCTGAAGGCTTTGGTACATTCCTTACATTCATAGGGCTTCTCTTCAGTGGGGGTTTTCATATGCTTCTTGAAACAAGCAAGAAAATGGAAGGCCTTCCCACATTCCTTGCACTGATAGGGTTTGCTTCCAGTATGAGACCTGATGTGACTCTTAAGGGATGAATGATCCACGAAGGCCTTTCCACACTCATGGCATTCACAGGATTTTACTTCAGTATTTCTCTTGAGTGAATCAAGATTTGGAACTTGGCTGAAAGTCTGTCCATCTTGATTTTCTTCATAACATTCATAGATGTTCTCTACCATATGATTTCTTTTAAAAATAAAAGACACATTATTAGTAATAAATTTCTACCAATTTCAGTGAATGTATATGTTTTCTGCCCTTCTGTCAAGTTTAAGCTGAAAGTTTTCACAGAGGGCTCTACGACAGCCAATACTGTCACTGAGTTATTGACTCACGGGATTTTTCTGATAATTGTTTACAACTGAAGTATGTGTCAAACATTCAAAATCCCGGTCTCATTTGTGGAAAAAATTAACTCATGAAAATTCTTTCTCAAACCACAATCTTTGATCTAGGCTTATTTATATATACATATTTCTTAAATTTCATGACTTTAATTTTAAGATTCTCTCCTGAGGCACTTTCTCTTTCTCACGAATGGCACTCACCTCAAATGTCTCTCATGGCTTTTGTTCTGATAATCAATACCACAGGACTCCTGGTTTTCATGTAAACTGGAGAACCAGGAATCATTCCTTTTGAATCTTACTATTTTCTGTTCATTGGATATTTTTTCTCCACAAATATCTTGTGAAGCAACTGATTCATTAGTTTTAAGTTGAGTCTCAAAACCTGAAACGAAAAAAAGTGAAAGCTTCCATGAGCCAAGGACTTTTAGCAGAGTGACTATTTCAGGACTTTGGTATTAATAGGCACAAGGGTCAAAATGGTAAGCAATTAACTAAGAAATAATTTTATGAAGATTGAAACTAACATAACTAATATAGTATTAGGAGAACAAAACAGAAATTGGATAAAATGCACATGACCAAATGCCAACTTACAAAGAGGAAACGTGGAAGGTCTTTGCCAAGAACAAGGAAAATGCGAGAGGACTGATAAAAAGTCAAAATAGTCATCTGAGCTATCTGTGGAAGATGAGCTTCCTCATATAAAACAAAGTTTGTTTTTGTTTTTTACTTTAAGTTTATTTTTTCCCCCAACCAAAACAGTTTCTCCCAAGGGTTCTTGCCTTCCCGGTGCTCTCCCATAAAGATGCCCTGGATAAGTTCTCTCTTCACTGTCTGCAGGTCCTCCTCTTGTTCCCACTGGGAGATCAGATGGGGTGTGTGTAGCGGATACCCTGCACAAGCAGAAAGGCATATCACGAGGGAAAATAATGAAGAATCACTAACATTTCCATGAAACAGAAACAAAACTTTAGTCTTCTGATATTCCAAAAATGGACAACTGTGAGTTTAACTGCAACAAAATGTCAAATTTATTTATTTTTTTTTTTAAAAAAAGGAGAGGTGGCAGGTTGGGTGCGGTGACTCACGCCTGTAATCCCAGCACTTTGGGAGACTGAGGCAGGCAGATCACGAGGTCAGGGGTTCGAGACTAGCCTGGCCAACATGATGAAACCCTGTCTCTACTAAAAATACAAAAATTAGCAGGGTGTGGTGGAGCACACCTGTAATCCAAGCTAGTCAGGAGTCTGAGGCAGGAGAATTGCTTGAACCCGGGAGGCGGAGGTTGCAGTGAGCTGAGATCGTGCCACTGCACTCCCGCCCGGGCGACAGAGCGAGACTCTATCTCAAAAAAAAAAAAAAAGGAGAGGTGGCAGGAGGAAGCAGCTTCTGACATACAGAACTGATCTAATGTTCACACCTAAACCTCAATATCATTACAAGCTGGTCAGACAGTCACAACTGGGACATTTTGTTCTCCTATAGAATATAAATAATCTCACAAAATACTAATCTTGGATAAAGTTACTCTGAAATCATGATAAAATGAAACAAAACAAGGTTACCTCATAATTTTGTCTAAAGACTTTATGCCACCCACAACATACTCAATAATAGAGTATTATTGAATAATACTGTCAGCAACCAGCAATACTATCCACTTTCTGTCAGCAACCAATCTAAAATGACTGCCTGTGTCACTAGGCTGAACAACGTCCCCTCAAAATTTATGTTCAAATGGATCAACAGAAAAGCACAGTGGGTTCAGAAACAGAGCCACACCAATACAGTCAGCTGACCTTGACAAAATAGCAAAGGCAATACAATGGAGAAAAGCTAAGTCTTTCCCACAATTGGTACTGGAACAACTGGACATCCACAAGCAAAAAAATAAATCTAGACACAGGCCTTAGACCCTTCACAAAAGTTAACGCAAAATGGGTCACAGACCTTACTGTAAAATGCAAAGCTAGAAAACTCCTAGAAGATAACAGGAGAAAAATCTAAATGACCTTCTGTTTGGCAATGACATTTTAAATTTTTTTTCTTTTTTTTGAGACGGAGTCTCGCTCTGTCGCCCAGGCGGGAGTGCAGTGCCACAATCTCAGCTCACTGCAAGCTCTGCCTCCTGGGTTCACGCCATTCTCCTGCCTCAGCCTCCTGAGTAGCTGGGACCACAGGTGCCTGCCACCACACCTGGCTAATTTTTTGTATTTTTAGTAGAGACGGGGTTACACCGTGTTAGCCAGGATGGTCTCGATCTCCTGACCTCGTGATTCACCCGCCTCGGCCTCCCAAAGTGCTGGGATTACAGGCGTCAGCCACCATGCCTGGCCTGACATTTTTAATTTTTTTTTTAAGAGACAGGGTCTCACTTTATCACCCAGGCTGTAGTAGTGGTGTGATCATAGCTCACTGCAGCCTCAAACTCCTGGACTCAAGTGATCCTCCAGCCTCCACCTCCCAAGTAACTGGGACTACCAGCGCGTGCCCCCCACACCCTGGCAATGATATTTTAGATAATAATGCTAAAGCATGATCCATAAAACAAAGAATCAATAATTGAGCTTCATTAACATTAAAAATTTCTGCCCTCTGAAAGACAATGTCAACAGAATGGAAAGATAAGCCACAGCCTGGGAGAAAATATTTGCAAAAAACATATCTGAGAAGGAACTGTTATCAAAAATATACAAAGACTGTAGCAGATATCATACAGAAAAAAACAAACAAAATATTCAAAGAACTCTTAAAACTCAACAATGTTTAAAAAAAAAAAAGACAAAAAAATGAGCCAAAGACCTTTACAGACACCTCACCAAAGAACATATACAGATGGCAAATAAGCATATGAAAAGATGCTCAACATCATAAGTCATCAGGGAAATGCAAATTAAAACAAGGCACCACTACACACCTGTTAGAATGGCCAAAATCCTGAACATTCACAACAACAAATGCTGGTGAGGATGAGGAGCAACAGGAACTCTCATTCATTGCTGGCTGGAATGCTCGCTCTGTCGCCCAGGCTGGAGTGCAGTGGTGTGATCTCAGCTCACTGCAAGCTCTGCCTCCCAGGTTCACACCATTCTCCTGCCTCAGCCTCCCGAGTAGCTGGGACTACAGGTGCCCGCCAACACACCCGGCTAATTTTTTGTATTTTTAGTACAGATGGAGTTTCACCCTGTTAGCCAGGATGGTCTCGATCTCCTGACCTCGTGATCCACCCGCCTCGGCCTCCCAAAGTACTAGGATTACAGGCATGAGCCACCGCGCCCGGCTGGCAGTTTCTTATAAAATTAAACATCCTCTTACCATAAAATCCAGCAACTGAATTGCACTCCTTTTACCCAAAGGAGTTGAAAACTTAAGTCCACATAAAAACCTGCACACCAATGTTCATAGTAGCTTTATTTGTAACTGCCAAAACGTGTAAGCAACCAAGAAGTCCTTCAGTAGGTGAATGGATAAACCGTGGTACATCCAGACAATAGAATATTAGTCAGAGGTACAAAGAAATGAGCTCTCAAGCTATGAAAAGACATGGAGGAATCTTAAATGTATATTGCTAAGTGAAAGAAGCCAATCTGAAAAGGCTACATACTGCATGATTCCAACTATATGACATTTTGCAGAAGGCAACATCATTATGGAGACAGAAAGATCAGTAGTTGCCAAGATTTAAGAGGGAGGGAAGGAGGGATGAATTGATAGAGCACACAGGATTTTTACAGCAGTGAAACTATTCTGTATGATATTATAATGGTGGATACATGTCATTATATATTCTTCCAAACTCATAGAATGTACAATACCAAGAGTGAACCCTAATGTAAATGATGGACTCTGGGCAATGATGACGTGTCAATGTAGCTTCATCAGTTATAACAAATTTACCACTCTGGTGGGGGATGTTGTTATTAGAGGAGGCTATGCATGTGGGAGCCAGAGGTTATACGGGAAATCTCTGTACCTTCCACTCAATTCAGCTGTGAACCTAAAATTGCTCTAAAAATAATAATAAAGCCTACAAAAAAAAAAGAGAGAGAGAGAGAGAGAGAGAGAAGTCCACCCAGAACCTCAAAATGTTACCTTATTTAGAAATAGGGTCTTTACAGATATAATCAAGACAAGGTTATACTGGATTAGGATGGGCCCTAAATCCAATGACTGGTGTCCTTATAAGGAGACAGAGACTTAGACACACAGGCAAGAAGGAGAAGGCAGAGAATGGAATGATGCATCTGTAAGTCAAGGAATGCCAATGATTGCCAGCAATCACCAGAAGCCAGGAAGAGAAAAGGGAGTCTTTCCCCCAGAGCCTTCAGAGAGAACATGGCCCTGCTGATCCCTTGATTTCAGATACCCAGCCTCCAGAAATGCTGTGAAGGAAAAAATTTCCGTTGTTTTTAGCCACCAGTGTGTGATACTCTGCTACAGAAGGTCTAGGAAACTAATACAGCCTGCTTCCATAGACCCATCCCCAAATCACTCAACTGAAGCACAAATCCTGTAATAGGTCTTTTCTAACACCATCTTACTAGGACATGTAAGAGGCATGTATTCTTGCTTGCTGCACTGCAAAATAAACCCAACTTGTTTAACTATAAGTGTGTTCTGGTAGTCTTTGGGTAAAGGACACAGATAGCAGTAAAATCCTCAAAATGTTCAAACTACAAACCTCCTCCCTGTGTCCTATAGTGATTGCTGAGGTTTATACCCACACTTTCGATACTTAATAAACCTCAAGGCTTTCAACCACGAAAAAAAGCATCAGTTCAATATACAGATGTTTATTTTCTTTTTTCTTTTTTTTTTTTTTGAGATGGAGTTTCACTCTTGTTGCCCAGGCTGGAGTGCAATGGAGCGATCTTGGCTCACCGTAACCTCCACCTCCTGGGTTCAAGCCATTCTCCTGCCTCAGCCTCCCAAGTAGCTGGGATTACAAGCATGCACCACCACGCCTGGCTAATTTTGTGTTTTTAGTAGAGACGGGGTTTCTCCATGTTGGTCAGGCTGGTATCGAACTCCTGACCTCAGGTGATCCACCCGCCTTAGCCTCCCAAAATGCTGGGATTACAGGCATGAGCACTGCGCCCGGCCCAGGTGTTTATTTTCATAGCAAAGCCACTAGACTGTAAGTTCCTTGGGGTCAGTGACCATATCTGTCTTACTTACCAATGTCTTCCCATTCCTCAGCCCAAATCCTAGAATAAAGTCAATTTAGTGAGATAAAATAACTTTCTAAACAACTACATGAAAGAATCTTGCCATTCTTACCTAGTGAGGCCAGGTTCTGGAAGTTTTCCAGCATCACATCTCTGTAGAGGTTTCTCTGAGCAAGATCCAGCAAAGCCCATTCCTCCTGGGTAAAGTCCACAGCCACATCCTCAAAGACTACTGAGTCCTAAAACATACCACAAATTCTGTTCAGAAAGGTACAATTCCTCCAATGTGTACAAGAGGACAGATGAGGCTCACAACATCGAGGAAATGAGAGTCAATTCATAGGAAGTTCAGAAGATCCCAGCATCTACTCTAGGGCTCAGTCAACAAATCTCTCTCTCTTTCTATCCACACATAATTCATCACTGATCAAATCCTGGCTTATAGATTTAATACTTCTAAAACACTAAATTGCCAGGCAAATTGGGTCAAGCCTATAATCCCAGCACTTTGGGGAGCCAAAGCAGGAGGACTACTTGAGCCCAGGAGTTCAAGACCAGCCTAGGCAACAGAACATAGTGAGAATCAGTCTCTACTAAAATTTTTTTAAAAAATAGCTGGGCGTGGTGGCATGTGCCTATGGTGGCAGCTACTCCGGAGGCTGAGGTGGGTGGGAGGATTGCTTGAGCCACAAGGTTGAGGCTGCAGTGAGCACGACCATGCCACTGCACTCTAGCCTGGACAAAAAAAAACAAAAACAAAAACAAAAAAACATTAAATTTATCTCCCCACAATCTGATGCCAATGAGCTAGGAAAAAACAAAGTGTTTTTCCTACCCTCTTACATAGTCACTCAATACTGTACAGAACACTTCTGACACCAGATGTGTGGGGGATATTTTCCACAAACACCAAGCAATTCCCCAGTGGACACCAGCTGGGTATCCTACAACTTGCTTCTGATACTATCTACCTGGAGATTCCACAGGTTGGAGATTCCACAGGAGGTCCCACTAAACTGCCTCCCACTTCAGATGCCAATCCCAAGTTAAAAGGCTGTCAATTATACTTCTGACTGGCTAAAATCAGGGCTCCTACTACCCTCTCCTTGAGTTTGATTAATTTGCTGGAACAACTCACAGAACTCAGGGAAACATGTTTACTGGTTTATCACCAAGGTCATTACGAAGTACACAGATAAAATAGCCAGATGAAGAGATGGACAGGCCAAGGTATGCTGGGAAGGGGTGCAGAGATTCCATGCCCTCTCCTGGCATGCCACCCTCCGGGAACCACCACACGTCCAGCTATCCACGAGCTCCTCAAGCCAGTCCTTTGGGTTTTTAAGGAGGCTCCATCACAGGCATGGCTGATTTAAGTCCCAATCCTCTGATCTTGCCTGGGTCTTTCTGAACCAGCCCCCATTCTGAGTCTCTCTAGGGGCTTCCAGACACCAACCATCTCATGAGCACACAAAAGACGCTCTTATTGCTCTAGAGATTACAAGGGTTTTTAGGAACTCTGTCCTAGGAAATAGGATGAAAACCAAATTGTTTTCTTTTTTTTTTTTTTGAGATGGGGTCTCGCTCTGTCGCCCAGGCTGGAGTGCAGTGGCGCGATCTCGGCTCATTGCAACCTCCACCTCCCTGGTTCAAGCAATTCCCCTGCCTCAGCCTCCCGAGTAGCTGGGATTACAGGCACGTGCTACCATGCCCAGCTACTTTTTTTTGTATTTTTAGTAGAGACAGCGTTTCACCATGTTGGCCAGACTGGTCTCGAACTCCTGACCTCAGGCAGTCTGCCCACCTTGGCCTCCCAAAGTGCTGGGATTGCAGGCGTGAGCCACCGTGCCCAGCCCCAAATATGTATTTCACAATATCATAGATGGTGACCAATGCCAGTCTTATGATGGCCTAGAAAAGTCCAGAACATATTGAAGAAATGAGAAAAATGCTCTGGAAATGAAATAATTTCCACATTGACATCATCGATTCCTTATTACAGAAATAACTTCACCTGTTACTTTATTCCCACCATAGCAATCACTACAACATTAAACACAGGGTCAAATCTAGATGGGATTTTAATGAATAAAAATACACCGAGAGAAAAGCAGCCTTTCATTTTTTTCCCCCTCACAAAACTGAGAGGCCCAGGAGACTGCATAAGCACAATTTTGAAGCCAGGCCCACAGCTGGTCATACTTTCTTGTATTCTAGGCCAGTGGTCAGCAAACTATGGCACATGGACTATATCCAAGCTGCCACTTGAATGCATAAATACAGTTTTATTGGAACACAATAAAATGTGTTTATGTACTGTCTATGGCTGCTTTTGCACCAAAATGGCAGAGCTGAATTGCAATAGAAACACTACGGCCGGCCGGGCACGGTGGCTCATGCCTGTAATCCCAGCACTTTGGGAGGCCAAGGCGGACAGATCACGAGGTCAGGAGATTGAGACCATCCTGGCCAACATGGTGAAACCCCATCTCTATTAAAAATACAAAGTTAGCCGAGAGTGGTGGTGCATGCCTGTAGTCCCAGCCACTCGGGAGGCTGAGGCAGGAGAATCGGTTGAACCAGGGAGTCGAAGGCTACAGTGAGCCAAGATGGTGCCACTGCACTCCAGCCTGGCGACAGAGCAAGACTCTGTCTCAAAAAAAAAAAAAAAAAAACTATAGCCTTCAGTGCCTAAAATACTATGTGGTCCAATACAGAAAGAGATTGCTGGCTTGTGCCCTAAAACACTGAGGGAGACCTGGTACAATGGAAATATTCTTTTGGACAATTATCACCTTTTACTTACCTGTATTCTATTTTTCTGTAACTCAGCAGTTTTTCTTTCTTCCTCCATGTCGCCTTCATGAAGAAAAGCAGGATATTGAGAAGTTAGAATTAAAAAAGGTGACATGAGAATCCAGACCTCCCCAAAATTCCCACACTCATGAGCCTGGATGTTGCAGCCCATCAATTATAAGTAACAACTCCCCTCAAAACACATACACACACACACACACACACATGCACACACCCAAGACACCCAAGTAAATATACCCTGCTCTTGTGGGAAAGTGGAACAACCTTACGTCCCCCTAGAGATACAAAACAGTGCTCTGGTCCTTGTTGATCATAAAGAAGAGGTTAAGAGTGCTATTTTGTAAGTTAACTGAAGACTAGAAAAGTCTGGCTGTCAATCTGCCCATGATAACAAAAAGTATAAAATGTATCAGGGAGTATCTTCCAAAACATGAATAAACACTCCCCATCTCAAATTCAAGAAAGCACTGATTTATATGCCAGGCTTCTGGGAGTTCCACTCCCGATATTTCTTACTTCTGCACCCCTTGGCTGGCTAACAGGCTTTGCTGCTCAGCCCTAGACCACTGCCCCTGCCCCCATGAGCTGCAGGGTTCCCCAAAACCTGAGAAAGAGCATCAGCCTATTTTTTTTTTTTGAGATGGAGTCTTGCTCTGTCACCCAGGCTGGAGTGCAGTGGTGTGATCTCAGCTCACTGCAACCTCCACCTCCCGGGTTCATGCCATTCTCCTGCCTCAGCCTCCCCAGTAGCTGGGATTACAGGTGCACACCACCATGCCTGGCTAATTTTTCTGTGTTTTTAGTAGGGACGGTGTTTCACCGTGTTAGCCAGGATGGTGTCAATCTCCTGACTTCATGATCCGCCTGCCTCGGCCTCCCAAAGTGCTGGGATTACAGGCGTGAGCCACCGCGCCTGGCCAAGCATCAGCCTATTGAATTCCATATGCTGGAGGCAGAGAAGGCCGCTATGCTGTGATACACATGCTAAATCTGCCTGCACAGTACAGTAGTAGCAGAATAAGAATACTTGGCCAAGCATGGTGGCTCACGCCTGTAATCCCAGCACTTTGGGAGGCCGAGGTGGATGGATCACGAGGTCAGGAGTTCCAAACCAGCCTAACCAATATGGTGAAACCCCTCCTTTACTAAAAATACAAAAATTAGCCAGGCGTGGTGGCGCAAGCCTGTAATCCCAGCTACTCAGGAGGCTGAGGCAGGAGAATCGCTTGAACCCGGGAGGCGGAGGTTGCAGCAAGCCGAGATTGCGCCACTGTACTCCAGCCTGGGAGACAGAGCGAGACTCCATCTCAAAAAAAAAAAAACACTTGACCTGTGTCAGCCCTGATGTGGTATCTGCAGTGCTGTTTCACAAATTTCAAACAACGACATGTTAACAGTTACTTCCACTGCAGTGGAACAAGTAGCATTTTAAAAAGCCAATAAAAAACTGTAACATTCTTTGCTGTATTAGTAACAATATATGCCATCTGGACAACCCTGATGTGAGAATGACTTTGCAAAGAAATGGCCACATTTTAGAATATTTCTCACAGAAGCTCTGCAAATCAAATATTATTACAACCAGTTTAGAATTATCTTAGAATGAGTCAATTAACCACATCTTCAATATTACCCAATTAGACAGCTGCTGAGGCAGGGTATGAATGCAGGCCTATTTGTCTTCAAAACCCAAACACCCAGTGAGTACATTTTTGAACACATACCTTAAATTTTAATTGTTTTTAAGCCCCTTATTCCCTAGTTTTACCAGGATTTAGCCTAGAACCCTATTGGGCACTACAGAGAGTGGACAAATGAAGCATTCTAATCAAATATGCTGTGCGTGGTAGCTCATGCTTGTAATCCCAGCACTTTGGGAGACCAAGGTCGGGGGAATCACATGAGGTCAGGAGTTCAAGACCAGCCTGGCCAAAATGGCGAAACCCTGTCTCTACTAAAACTACAAAAATCAGCCGGGCATGGTGGCGCACAGCTGTAGTCCCAGCTACTCAGGAGGCTGAGGCAGGAGAATTGTGTGAACTCAGGAGGCAGAGGTTGCAGTAAGCCGAAATCACACCACTGCACTCCAGCCTGGGCAACAGAGCCAGACTCTGTCTCAAAATAAATAAAATAAATAAATAATCAAATATGTTATCTTTGAGCTCCTTTTCCTAAGGCCTATGTCTTGGGCAACGATGCTTCCCTTATAGCCCTTACCTCCTTCGTTTCATGTTTATTTAGGTGACATTTATCCTGACCCTACTACATGAAGTCACAAGGAATAAGGCATAGAAAAATAAAAAAGAAAAATCCTGAAGCAAATGAATGTTATAATATTTTGGGTAAGACATTAAACAAAATACATCAGGTAGAGATACATGCTATATAAAAAATGTAGCACATTATAGGGATAAGGAGACACGTAACATATTTATCTTTAGCAAGTCAGGACAGGTAATGTGGCAGGGTAGAAGCAGAAAATTAAAATAACTATTTCAGATCATGCTGGAATTTCAGAGGGTTTAGTATATCTATTATATATTTATAAGCATTATCAACTCCTAGAGGAAAAAAAATCAGTACTGGCCAGGCACGGTGGCTCACACCTGTAATCCCAGCACTTTGGGAGGCCAAGGTGGGTGGATCACAAGGTCAGGAGTTCAAGACCAGCCTGGCCAAGATGGTGAAACCCACCTCTACTAAAAATACAAAAAAATTAGCTGGGCATGGTGGCAGGTGCCTGTAATCGCCACTACTTGGGAGGCTGAGGCAGAGAATTGTTTGAACCCAGGAGGCAGAGGTTGCAGTGAGCCAAGATCACGCCACTGCACTCCAGCCTGGGAGACACAGCGAGACTCTGTCTCAAAAAAAAAAAAAAAAATCGGTATTAATAGGCTAGACTATTGATATATAAAGTTGAATAAAGACCAGCATAAAAGTTTAGAAAGAAAATAGAAAATAATCTTTTTTAAAACATAGTAAACAAAATCAGAAAAGCTAAAAAAGCATCCTTTGCAAAAAGAAAAACTAATGAAACTGACAAACTCAGCTTTTTAAAAAAATTTTTTAATTTAATTTATTGTTTAAGACAGACTCTTTATGTTCCCAGGTTGATCTCATTTCCTAGGCTCAAGCGATCCATCTGCCTTAGCTTCCCACCAGCTGGGACTACAGATATGCGCCACTGCAGCCAGCAACAGACTCAGCAATTTTAAGAGCAACAGGGCATAAACAACAACAACAAAAAAAAAATGAACAAGAATTAATCATAATTACAGATATCATAAGGAGAATATAGAAAAAATTTAAGGAATAAATATGAAGATGCACAGGTAATTAATGAATTTCTAGAAAGTAGTACAACTTTCAAGCAGTGATCTAAAACCTGATTACACCCAGTAATTAAAGAAAAAAAAATCAGCGGTTTAAAACACGGTCAGGCCGGGTGCAGTGGCTCATGCCTGTAATTCCAGCACTTTGGGAGGCGGAGAGCCCATGAGTTCGAGACCTGCCCGGGCAACAGAGCGAGACTCCTATTTTCTAAAAAGAAATAGGAATAAAGAAAGGAAAAAAACCTACAAACACCTACAGCAAACATCCTATTTAATGGTGAAATGATAGAATAATTCCCTCTGGAATCAGAAACAAGACAGGATGTAAATTACATGCTATTCTGTCGGACATTGTACTGGAGGTCCTGGCAAGTGCAGTAAAGAAATGAAAAGAAATGGAAACTGCAAGGAATAAAAAGGGAAAAGATTGAAACTGACAGATGACCAAATTTTCTGTGTGAAATTTAACCAATCTATAGACAAATGATTCAAATGCATCATTAATGACAAAATGCATCAGTTCACTTTCACTTGAATATAATGTATCAAACTGATGTCCACAGGCAGAATATAATATCCAGAGACCAAATACTATCTTTTTGTTTTTTTGAGACAGTGTCTCGCTCTGTTGCCCAGGCTGGAGTGCAGTGATGCGATCTCAGCTCACTGCAACCTCTGCCTCCCGAGTAGCTGGGAACACAGGAGAGCACCTTTTATTTTACTTTTTTTTTTTTTTTTTTTTTTGGTAGAGACGGGATCTTGCTATGTTGCCCAGGCTGGCCTCAAACTCCTGGGCTCAAGCGATCCGCCCGCCTCGGCCGCCCAAAGTGCTGGGATTACAGGCGTGAACCACCGCGCTTGGCCCAAACACTACCTAATGCATAAAGAGGGGACAGGAGGGGACCGAGCCGAGGCAAATGTCACCCCGTGCTCACCCGACACGCCGCGATCCACAGATCAGCTCACAGAGAACGAGGCTGAAGCGCTTGTCCTTGAGACACGAATGGCAGAGATGCTCTTCCTTTCTGGAAAGAGAGCAAAGGATGCTTTCGGAGGCTGATGAACTACGACATTGGTTCTCCAACTCTCGCCTGCATCAGAATCACCCCGATTTCTGTACCCAGACCAGAGTTCCCGATTCAGTGAGTTTGGGACCAGCCGCGGCCACAGGGGCAGCTGACCCGGGCTCTCTGAGGAGGCGCCGCGGCGGCGGGAGGCCCCGGGCGCGGGGTCCGGACAAGGAGTGGCGGGGAGGCAGCCCTTAGACCGCCGATTCCCAAACCCAGCCCTCGGTCTCCCGCGGACCCGACCCGGGGCAGGCAGGGCGGGGCGGGGCAGGGCAGGACAGGAAGCGGGCGGAGGCAAAAATGTTCCTCAGACGCGGGCGGAGGCGTAGGGTGACAAGGCTGTCGACTCGCGCATGCGCAGAAGCACACTTCTGATTCCTCTTTCGGCGCTGCAAATGGCGTATGGGGCGGGGCCTGGGAAGCGGGACTTGAGGTGAAGGGGGTGGAGCAGGTAGGAGCGGGATGCAAAGGAGCGCCAAGGCTGGTTCCAGCCGCAAGTGGATGAGAAATCCTAGTTTCTTCATGATTTGGAGTAAACAGAGAAGAAACAGAACCCTGAACTGGACTTGCATGACTCGGCCTGAGGGGCGGAACTGGGGCTAGACCTAGGGGCGTGGCCTTTTAAATACTCCAAGGGGCGGGGCTAAAGGTGGAACCAGATTGGGAGCGGGGCTTGGTAGAAATTCCTAGGGGGCGGAGACGAGGGCTGGGCGGGGCTTAAGTGACAAGGCCTAGGGATGGGGCTAAGGCTAGGGCTTCCCATCCAGGTTCTCAGCTACCACGGATACAGGATGCTCATCGATCGGGTTTCTACCTATCCTCCACGTTGCTACAGTCCTGTACACAGGACACATATATTTGCAGCTCTAATAGGAAACAGACTCTCCTTGACACTCACTCAGTCCTTTTGGGCCTTTTAGTTTTCCCTTTCATTGTTGTATTGATAACTTCTCCTGTAGAGGGAAGCCATTGATAATTATTTAAATAGAACCTTTTTCCTGGAAACTTGCTGAATTCTGATAGCTGTCAGTTTATTATTTGAACCATCAAATATAAATATTTTCTCTGCATATTTTCATTGTTTTAATGTGTATAACTCATTTCTTTATGTGAGGCAATGTCTCATTCTATCGCCTAGACTGGAGTGCAGTGGCGCGACCATGGCTCACTGCAGCCTTGACTTCCCCAGCTCAAGTGATGGTCCCATCTCAGCCCCCCAAGTAGCTGAGAATACAGTCGCGTACCACCCCACCCAGCTATTTTCTTTATTTTTTTGTAGAGATGGGATCGCACTATGTTGCTGAAGCTGGTCTCAAACTCCTGAGCTCAAGCTATCCTCTCACCTCAGCCTCCCAGAGTGCTAGGGGTACAGGTGTAAGCCACCACACCCAGAGTCATTTCTTTTTCTTATTGTTTGTTTAGGGCTTCCTCAACTATAAGTCGGAAAGAAATTAAGCATTCTTGTCTTGGTCGGTAATGATTACCAAAGTTCCTCAGTAAGCTGTTTACAACAGGTTGCACCTCTTATCAAGTTAATCTTTTTAAACCAGGTTTATAAAGATATTTTATCAATAATTTTTTATGAACACTATCAAATGTTTATGCAACAATTGAGTTGATAACATAATTTTGCTCCTCTTAGTTTATAATATGATATCCATATAAAATATTTAATTTTAGGCAAGGCGCAGTGGCTCATGCCTGTAATCCCAGCACTTTGGGAGGCCGAGGCCGGTGGATTACCTGAGGTCAGGTGTTCAAGACCAGCCTGGCTACCATGGTGAAACCCCATCTCTACTAAAAATACAAAAAATTAGCTGGGCATGGTGGCGGGTGCCTGTAATCCCAGCTACTCAGGAGGCTGAGGCAAGGAGAATCGCTTGAACCTGGGAGGCAGAGGTTGCAGTGAGCTGAGATCGCGCCATTGCACTCCAGCCTGGGCGACAATAGAAAGACTCCATCTCAAAAATATATATATTCAATTTTATATATCCCCAATGAATCTATACTTTTAGTAAAATGGTTTCTGAGTTTCCTAGTTTGCTTTTAAATGTCTCCCCAAACTCTAAAATATAAAAATACTTCCTAATTTACTTCCAAATTGTACTGCTTTTTAAAACGTATAATTCTTTACTGCTCAGGGAATGTATTTTGGTATAATATGAGGTAGAGATGTGTTATATAAGTGAACCACAGGTGGCCTTTCTGTATTGGTCCCTAGGTTGTTCATTACTTCTTCACTGCGGCTTGAGGTCACCTTCCCAATGCCTGTCCCTGGTGCCCTAGCCAGCTCCCTTTCATCATCTATGTTTTTTAAGTGTAAATCTTTTTCTATTATGAAGCATTATGTTCTCATTGTAGTTTTTTATTTTAAAGGAAAAGTATAAGGAAAAGACAAACAACATTCAGAATCCCAGCAGTGTTTGAATTTTCTGTATTTCCTTTCTGCCTTCTTTGTACGCGTGGGTGGCAAGCCACCCAGGTGCCAAGGCAAGAGACCGAGGGCACAAGCTGTTCCAGTATAATAAAGAAAATATATAGAATAAGAGTAGTTATACTAGAAATAGATTATAGATATGATTGTATATATCATTAATCATTTGTAGCATTACTCTTTATTCCAATATTATAATAATCTTTGTTCTACAATCATAACCTAGGAAAAACCAGGCCATACAGAGATAGGAGCTGAAGGGACATGGTGAGAAGTGACCAGAAGACAAGGGTGAGCCCTCTGTTATGCCTGGACAGAGCCACCAGAGGGCTCCCTGGTCTAGCGGTAATGCCAGCCCCTGGGAAGGAGCCCGTTACCTAGCGGACCTTGGTCTAGCAGTAGCGTCAGTGCCTGGGGAAGGCACCCATTGCTTAGCAGACAGGGAAAGGGAGTCTCCCTTTCCCCGGGGGAGTTAGAGAAGACTCTGCTCACTACCTCTTGCGGAAAGCCTGACATCAGTCAGGCCCGCCCGCAGCCATCCAGAGGCCTAAACGTCTCCCTGTGATGCCGTGCTTCAGTGGTCACACTCCTGGTCCACTTTCATGTTCCACCCTGTACACCTGGTTCTGCCTTCTAATCAGCAGTAGCGGAATTAGTGAAAGTACTAAAGTCTTTGAAATGCATAGAAGAAATAATGGCGTAAGCTGTCCTCTCTCTCTCTCCACCTCAGCTGCCAAACAGGGAAGGGCCCCCTGTCTGGTGGACACGTGACTCGCGTGACCTTACCTATCATTGGAGATGGCTCACACTCCTTACCCTCCCTCCTTGTCTTGTATCCAATAAATAACAGTGCAGCCAGGCATTCGGGGCCGCTACTGGTCTCTGCACCTTGGTGGTAGTGGTTCCCCGGACCCAGCTGTCTTTTTGTCTATCTCTTTGTCTTGTGTCTTTATTTCTATGATCTCTTGTCTCCACACACGAAGAGAAAAACCCACAGACCCAGTAGGGCTGCTTCCTACAGTACGCATAACAGTAGGTTTTTTTATTGTTTGTTTGTTTTTGACTCAGTCTCGCTCTGTCGCCCAGGCCGGAGTGCAGTGGTGCAATCTCAGCTCATTGCAACCTTCACCTCCTGGGTTCAAACAATCCTCCTGCCTCAGCCTCCCGAGTAGCTGGGATTACAGGCATGTGCCACAACACCCGGCTAATTCTGTATTTTTAGTAGAGATGGAGTTTCTCCATGTTGGTCAGGCTGGTCTCGAACTCCTGACCTCAGGTGATCCACCTGCCTTGACCTCCCAAAGTGCTGGGATTACAGGTGTGAGCCACCATGCCCGGCCAATCAGAAGTAATTTCAATTTTTCATCTGCCATGCAAAAAAGGTGAGGGATTGCAAAGGCAATAGCCTCTGGTCCTTTTGTTACTTGGGCATGGAAAGTGGGGTTTCCTTTTGATCTAGTTCTAGAAAGTCAGCGTGATTGGCCTTAGGTTCCCTTCCTCTAGACCCTATTCTACCTCAACACTGAAACTTGGAAAGGAAGCTTCTTCCTCCTTCCTTGTCTTCCAGCACCCTACACTGGTAATGGGTAAAAGAGAAATATTTATAAGGCCCATCTCCATTATCACAAAGCAGAAAAAAAGGACAAATTTGTAGCATAAGTAATAAATCTATAACTAGGACAGTGGTCAAAGCATGTTTTGCCTTGGTTTTCCTTTACTGACAGACCAGGTCCTAGCAACACCAAGAATTGGTTCATGGTATCCAGACTGCTTTTCCTCCCAATTTGTGGCAGGTCAATTCTCCCTGACAATCACACAGACAGGCCTGCATGACAGTCACACAGACAGACCTGCACAGCACTTCTGTTACACAGACAAATTTCCACAAAACTGCCTTAACATTGAGCAAATAGTTAAATCTAGGGAAATCAGTGCCCAGACATCAAAGCTAGAAATGAAACACATGGTCAGTTGAAGCTTCACACGGGCTTCTCCCTAACCTGGAGCAAGCCAAAATAATACAGACAGTCTTACATTCCTAGTACCAGCACGTGTCTCAGGTGGACGAAATCTGAGATGAGTCAAGATAACAGAGGCAGCTGTTTGAATAGATTCACTGGAGAGTCTAAGGCAGCTCTCTGGACCCAAGCTGTAAAGGAGATAATGTGTCCAGAGTTGGTTCCTGCTGGTGGGTTTGTGGTCTTGCTGACTTCAAGAATGAAGCTGCGGACCTTTGCAGTGAGTGTTACAGCTCTTAAAGATGGCATGGACCCAAAGAGTGAGCAACGTTTATTGTGAAGAGCGAAAGGACAAAGCTTCCACAGCGTGGAAGGTGACCCTAGCGGGTTGCCTTGCTGGCTGGGGGGGGGTGGCCAGCTTTTATTCCCTTATCGACCCCTCCCATGTTCCGTTTCTGTCCTATCAGAGTGCCCTTTTTTCAATCCTCCCTGTGATTGGCTACTTTTAGAATCCTGCTGATTGGTGCGTTTTACAGAGTGCTGATTGGTGCATTTTACAATCCGCTTGTAAGACAGGAAAGTTCCCCAAGTCCCCACTCAACTCAGGAAGTCCAGCTGGCCTCACCTCTCAATTATCCCTCTAAACAGGTCACCCAACAGCTGTTGGGAACTGGGTGATGACCGCTCTGGGCTACTTCCTGCCGGATAGGGGTGAAGAAGGGGCCCTGCAGTTGTAGTGTCCTCCAGAGGGGAACTCTCTAGGCCAGTGAAAGGGCCAGTGGGTCAGTCCAGGGGTCCTCAGTAGAAGTTCTGAGTTGAGCTCATTTGGGGTTCCATTTGTAAGACCCTCTGTAGCTTGATGGCCTCGATCCTGGAGGAAACAAATTTGACAAGGTTGTTAAAAATACAGGACCCAAAGGCAAGTAATAGCAAGATGGCTGTCCTGAGACTGAGAAAGGGGAGAAGCCATGTTGCCCAACTCCAGAGGTTGGTATAAGAGTTTGAAAGGCGTTGTCTGATTTCAGAAGCCTTTTCCTGTAAACGATAAGCGGCATCTCATACTATCCCTTACTGGTTAGTGTAAAAGCAACACTCTTCCCTTAAGAATGTACAGTCCTCCTTTCTCAGCAGTGAGGAGGTCTAGGCCTCAGCGGTTTTGGACAGTCACTGCCACTAAAGAGTCTATTTGGGATTGTAGAGTAACGATAGATTTTATTTCTTGCAAACTGTTTGAAAAATCTTTTGAGAGTGTGTGGTAATAGGATAATGAAGTAGATAAACTGGCTATTCCAGTTCCTGTAGCAGTGGCCATTCCTAACCCTATAAGTTGGAGTATTAGTTGTATGGCCCTGCACTGACAAACTTGAGCTTTGAGGGGCACTGATAGGGTCTGATTTCCTGGGGCAATGTCAATGTTGGGACTTAGGAAGACTAAGGTGCAGGTGCGTCTCCAGTTGGTGGGGAGGCAGATATAGGTTGAAGTTCCACATGGGAAGAATATGCCTTGGCTGGGTAGACAGAAATGGTTGTGTATGTTAAAAAGGCGTGTGAGTTTGTTCTTTTCATTTTCCCATACTCCTGGAGTACTTGTCAAGGTAGCTCCAGTGAGCAGCTGGAAAGGGGTATTGGGAGCAAACTGAGTGGCTCCCTGTGTTCTATTTTCCCATTAGAGAAAAAACCATTTTGTATCTACTAGGAACCATTCAAGAGAGTGATTGAAAGAGGGGATGAGAAGGCATTCATTAGTGGTGGGGGCGCTGCTGCAGGGGTTCCAGGGGTGAATGGTCATGCAGGGAGGATGTTTGCCATTACAAACTGTTTAAGCAGGGAGGAGGTGATGATTTTAGGGGGCCCTGAGAAGCAGACAAGCCATCTGAATGGAGCTGTTTGGGTGACTCGGAAGTTACTATGATCAGTTGGGGCTTGAAGTTGTAGGGTATAATTACACTGATGGGATAGCAGGTGTCCCAGGGGCAGGCCTGATAACAGGTTCCATTGGATGCATAAAGGGGCTTGGAAAGTTAAGATGGTATTCGCGGTTACAGGGCCATGTATGGGTTTTTCATTGCTCATGTAATAGATGAAGTTGGAAATGTAAGAGCGTAAAAGCTGGATTGTACGTCCTGTTAGGGTATTTTTGGTCCTATCGGAGATGGGGAAGTTGGCTAATGATTGCATATTTACAAGTTGGAAAGGGTATTTTCCTTCATAACGGGTGTCCAAAGTTTAACTCGGGTGTGGTGAATCCAAGATTCCACTTCTGCCACCTTAACTGTAGTGGGGGTAGAGAGGATTACGGAGTATGTTCCTTCCCACAAGGAATCCATAGATGGGGAGGTAGAGGGGAGGGACTTGACCAACACTAGATCTCCTGGTTGGAACAACTCTGTTCCCTTGTCTTCGTGACATCCTTCGGGTAGGTTTTTAAGATTTTATTGATATTTTGCCAAAGAAGTTATATCTTTGACCAAACTGGCCATTTCCTGATAAAGTAGAAGGTCATTAGTGAGAAAAGGTCATCCATACAGCATTTCATATGGACTGAGCCCCATTTTGTGAGGAGAATTTCGGATTCTCAACAAGGCCATGGGCAACAGAGTAGGCCATGGGAAATGAGTTTCTTGTGTTAGTTTCCTTAGGTGCCTCTTGAGTGTTTCATTTGCCCTCTAGACCTTCCCTGAGGATTGTGGCCTCCAGGTGCAGTGAAGGTGATATTTTATCCCTAGTGCCCTGGAAATTCCCTGAGTTACCGTGGCTTTAAAAGCCAGACTGTTGTCGCTTTGTAAGCTTTGGGGAAGCCCAAATCTAGGAATTATTTAATGAATTAGGTCTTTAACCACTTCCTGAACCTTCTCTGTCTTGCAGGGGAAGGCTTCTATCCAATTTGTAAAAGCATCAACACAGACCAACAAGTATTGAAATCCACTTGACTTAGGCATATGGGTGAAGTCTAATTGCCAGTCCTCTCCAGGATAGTGCCCTATTCTTTGTTCCCCAAGAGGGGCCTTACAATGAACCAAGGGATTATTCCTTTGGCACACCTCACAGGCTCTGACTACTTGTTGGATGGTTCAGAGGAGATTTGACCCTGTAAATAGGGATTTAGCTATTTGATGAGTGCTCTCAATACCCATATGAAAAGTTTGGTGGAGGGTCTTAAGTATTTTCCACTGGCTGGCTTCGGGTATGAGTACCTTTCCCTCTTCTGTCATTAACCACACCAAGGGGAGAAAACTATGCCCCCGTGAAAGTCCTCATTCTGTTTCTGTCGGAGAATACTGGGGCTTAATCTCCTGGAGAGGGTTGTTCCATAACAAGGGTCCTTATTATGGGTAATAATAACAATATGGAACCTTGTTCCATAACAAGGGTATTTCTAATGGGAGGTTCTGCCTGGCAGCAATTTTAGCCTCAGCGTCTGCCTGACAGTTTCCTTCTGCCTTTTCTCCTTCACCTTTTTGATGGCTTCGGCAGTGTAAGACTGCCACCTCCTTGGGTTTTTGCACGGCGTGCGATAACTCCATGATTTTCTTGTGGTATTTAATGGGGGTACCCCCAGAAGTTAGGAACTCCCTTTCATTCCATATTGCAGCATGGCCATGTAAGATTAGATAAGCATACTTGCTATCTGTGTACATGTTTATTCTTTTTTCCTTTCCCAGTTCTAAGGCTCAGGTAAGCGCCACTAGTTCTGCTAACTGGGCGCTGGTCCCTGGGGGAAGAGGCTTACTTTCAAGTACTGTTACATCACTAACTATGGCATAACCTGCCTTTCATATCCCATTCTCCACAAATGAACTTCCATCGGTATATAGGTTAAGGTCAGGATTAGCTAAGGGGACTTCTAAGAGATCCTCTTGGGCAGCATAAGGCTGGGCTACAATTTGTTGGCAGTCATGCTTGATTGGTTCCCCATCCTCTGGGAGAAAAGTAACAGGGTTGAGGGCAGCACATGTGTGTATTTGAAGCACCAGCCCCTCAAGGAGTAGTGCCTGGTATCTAAGCAGATGGTTGTCTGATAGCTATAAATTTCCTTTGGCACCCAGTATGCCATTTACATCATGAGTAGTCCAGAGGGTGAGATCCTTTCCTTGTATTATTTTGATAGCCTCTGATACTAAGATGACCACCGCCATAACTACCCATAAACAGTGAGGCCAGCCTTTTGCTACTACTTAGGTATTTCCTTACTTAGGTATGCCACTGGTTGTGGGGTTGTTCCACGAGTCTGAGTAAGGACTCCAAGAGCTATTCCCAATGTATAAAGAGAAGTTTTGTGACGTATAAAGAGAAGTTTTGTCCTGTGAGAAGGCTTAAGACTGGAGCTTGTACTAGGGCCTGCTTTAAGGTTTTGAAGGCTGTTTCTGCCTCTGGTTCCCATTCTACTAGATAAGTATTTGCCCTCTGGGTGTCCTTGATTAGAGTATAGAGTGGCCTGGCCAACTCGCTATATCTGGGGATCCATAGTTGGCAAATGCCGATGATCCCAAGGAACACCCACAACTGCTTTAATGTCTTTGGGTGAGGAAAAGCCAATATAGGCTGTATTTGTTCTTTGCTGAGGGCCCTGGTTCCTCTGGCTAAGATTAGGCCTAGATATCTGACATGCTGTAGGCAGAGCTGGGCCTTCAATTTAGATGCCTTGTACCCTTGATTAGCTAGAAAGTTCAAGAGATGTAGAGTAGCCTGCTGGCATGAGGCTTCCGAACTGGTAGCCAAAAGTAAATCATCCACATACTGAGGGACCAGAGTGCCTGGACTTGAGAAGTGGCCTAGATCTTGGGCCAATGCCTGACCAAAGAGATGAGGACTATCCCTAAACTCTTGAGGCAAGACCATCCACATGGGTTGGGAAGTGTGGTCTGTGGGATCCTCAAAGGCAAAGAGAAACTGGGAGTCAGAGTGCAGGAGAATGCAGAAGGTGGCATCCTTGAGGTCCAGAACAGTGAACAATTCTGCTTCCTCTGGTATTTAAGACAGCATGGTAAATGGGTTGGGTACAGCTGGATATAGAGGAATTACTGCCTCATTGATGAGTCTAAGACCTTGCACTAGTCTCCACTGACCATTTGGTTTTTGTACTCCCAGAATTGGGGTGTTGCAGGGACTGCTGCATTTTCTTACTAAGCCTTGAACTTTTAAATGTCTAACAATATCCTGTAATCCTTTATGAGCTTCAGGTCTTAAGGGATATTGCCTTTGATAAGGAAAGGTAGTGGGGTCTTTTAGCCTGATTTGAACTGGGTGGGCATTTTTTGCCCTTCCAAATTGTCCTTCCAATGCCCAGACTTCAGGGTTGTTCCCTCTTCAAGTAGGGGACAACAAATGGGTAACTTGTTCCCCATATTCATGTAAATAATAGCTCCAGCTTTGGCTAATATATCTCTCCCTAATAAGGGTGTAGAACTTTCAGGCATAACAAGAAAGGCATGTGAAAAGAGCAGTCTCCCAATTACAAATGAGGAGGTGGGAGAAATACCTGGTTACAGGCTGTCCCAAGATTCCTCGGATGGTAACAGACCTTGAGGACAGCCATCCAGGGCAGGAGCTTAACACTGAGAAAGCTGTGCCAGTGTCCAGGAAGAAGTCAATTTCCTGGCCCTCAATGGTTAAACTTACCCGAGGCTCAGTGAGGGTGATGACATGAGCTGGCACTTGCCCCGGGCACCCTCAGTCCTGTTGTTGGATCATCTGGTTGGGGGCTTCTGGCCTAGAGAAGCTTTGTCCTCTGGGGCAGTGTGCCTGCCAGTGATTGCCTTGGCATAGTGGACATGGGTGAGGGGGCGGCTTGTTTCTCATTGGACAATCTTTTTTAAAGTGTCCCTGCAGAAAAAAAAACCAAACACCGCGTGTTCTCACTCATAGGTGGGAATTGAACAATGAGAACACATGGACACAGGAAGGGGAACATCACACACGGGGGCCTGTTGTGTGGTGGGGGGAGGGGGAGGGATAGCATTAGGAGATACACCTAATGTTAAATGATGAGTTAATGGGTGCAGCACACCAACATTGCACATGTATACATATGTAACAAACCTTCACGTTGTGCACATGTACCCTAAAACTTAAAGTATAATAAAAAAAAAAGTGTCCTTGCAAACCACACTGATAACAAGCCCTACTGGGTGATTGGCCTGCTCCATTTTCTGTCCTCTCTGAACCACCAAGGTTTGTTTGTCTGAGGGCCATGACTAAGTCTGCGGCCTTTCTCTTATCTCGCTTTTCCTTTTTGGCCTGTTCCTCTTGGTCCCTATTATAGAACACCAAGGTTGCCAGGTTTAATAATGCCTCCAAATTTTGTTCAGGGCCAGGGCTAGCTTTTGGAGCTTTCTCCTGATATCTGCGGCTGATTTGGTAATAAACTTATCTTTGAGGATCAATTGACCCTCGAGAGAGTCAGGTGACAGGAGAGTATATTTTCTTAAGGTCTCCCATAGTCACTCAAGGAAGGTGGTAGGATTTTCTTCCTTTCCCTGAGTTATGGTGGACTTCATTGAATGATTCATGGGCTTTTTTCTAATTCTCCATAGTCCTTCTAGAACACAGGTCAACAGATGTTTGCAACTCCAGTCCCCATGATCTGAGTCGAGGTCCCAGTGGGGATCCATACTGGGGATGGCTTGCTGACCCATAGGGAATTTGTCCCTTTCTTCAGCTGTCATTCTATCATTTACTTGACTAAGATACCAGGTATCTCCAAACTCTCAGGCTGCAGCTAAAGCCGCATTCTTTTCATTAAAGGCCAGTGTTTGATCTAACAATAGCATGACATCTCTCCAAGTGAGGTTGAAGGTTTGCCCTAGACCCTGTAGGACATCTATATACCTATAAGGATCATCTGAAAACTTCCCCAGGTCTACCTTGATCTGCTTTAAATCAGAGAGGGAGAAGGGGACATGTACCCGGGTTGGGCCAAATTCCCCTCTCCCTACAGCTTGAAGGGGACAAAACCGATAGCCGGCGGGGGGGGGGTGGGGGCTGTGGTACCTTGGAGATTTCTTTGCTTGTTTCTTTCTGGGTGGGGGAGATTAGAGGAGGCTTATCAGTTTCCATTGGCTAGAACAGGACCTTCCATTCTGTATTTGTCCTGATTGGCTAGCAACTTAGGACTTTTTAAAAGAGGCAAAGGCAGAGGAGAACAAAGGATGGAGGAAGTAACTTGTGGGATGCTGAGAAAGGTAAAAACACCTTCAGATAAGGAAGAGGAACAGACTATGACCTAATGCTTGCTTGGACCAGTATAAGCATGCCAGGGCAAATATTTAGGCTAAATTGTGGGAGCTAAGAACATAAAGTACACTGATTTCTTTATTACAGCTAGCAGATATTTAAGAATGTTAGTGAGAGGTGACAGTGTGCTGGCAGTCCTCACAGCCCTCGCTCGCTCTCGGCGCCTCCTCTGCCTGGGCTCCCACTTTGGCGGCACTTAAGGAGCCCTTTAGCCCACCGCTGCACTGTGGGAGCCCCTTTCTGGGCTGGCCAAGGCTGGATCCGGCTCCCCCAGCTTCACGGAGGTGTGGAGGGAGAGGCACTAGCGGGAACCAGGCTGCGCACGGTGCTTGCGGGCCAGCTGGAGTTCCGGGTGGGCGTGGGCTTGGCAGGCCTGCACTCGGAGCAGCCAGCCGTCCCTGCCCCGGGCAATGAGGGTCTTAGCACCCGGGCCAATGGCTGCGGAGGGTGTGCTGGGTGCCCCAGCAGGGCCAGCCCACTGGCGCTGAGCTCGATTTCTTGCGAGGCCTTAGCTGCCTTCCCGTGGGGCAGGGCTCGGGACCCGCAGCCTGCCATGCCTGAGCCTTCCCCGCCACCACGCCCTCCTCCCCCCCGCCCTCCTCTCCCCCCCGCCCTCCTCCCCCCTGCCACCCTCCTCCCCCACTCCTCCTCCCCTCCTCCCCCCGCCCTCCTCCCCCCCACCCTCCTCCCCACCCCCCTCCCCACCCCCACCCTCCTCTCCCCCTGCCCTACCCCCCGCTCCTTCCCCCTCCTACCCCCTCCTCCCCCGCCTCCTCCTCCGTGGGCTCCTGTGCAGCCGGAGCCTCCCCGACAAGTGCCGCCCCCTGCTCCACGGCACCCAATCCCGTCGACCACCCAAGGGCTGAGGAGTGCGGGCGCATGGCGCGGGACTGGCAGGCAGCTCCACCTGCAGCCCCAGTGCAAGATCCACTGGGTGAAGCCAGCTGGGCTCCTGAGTCTAGTGGGAACTTGGAGAACCTTTATGTCTAGCTAAAGTATTGTAAATACACCAATTGGCACTCTGTATCTAGCTCAAGGTTTGTAAACACACCAATCAGCACCCTGTGTCTAGCTCAGGGTTTGTGAATGCACCAATCAACACTCTGTATCTAGCTACTCTGGTGGGGACTTGGAGAACCTTTGTGTCGACACTCTGTAGCTAGCTAATCTAGTGGGGATGTGGAGAACCTTTGTGTCTAGCTCAGGGATTGTAAAGGCACCAATCAGCGCCCTGTCAAAACAGACCACTTGACTCTACCAGTCAGCAGGATGTGGGTGGGGCCACATAAGAGAATAAAAGCAGGCTGCCCCAGCCAGCAGTGGTAACCCGCTTTGATCCCCTTCCACGCCGTGGAAGCTTTGTTGTTTCACTCTTTGCAATAACTCTTGCTACTGCTCACTCTTTGGGTCCACACTGCTTTTATGAGCTGTAACACTCACCGCGAAGGTCTGCAGCTTCACTCCTGAAGCCAGCGAGACCACGAGCCCACCGGGAGAAATGAACAACTCCAGACGCGCCGCTTTAAGAGCTCTAACACTCACCGCGAAGGTCTGCAGCTTCACTCCTGAGCCAGCAAGACCACGAACCCACCAGAAGGAAGAAACTCCGAGCACATCCGAACATCAGAAGGAACAAACTCCAGACGTGCCACCTTAAGATCTGTAACACTCACCACGAGGGTCCCCGGCTTCATTCTTGGAGTCGGTGAGACCAAGAACCCACCAATTCCGGACACATTAGTACAGGTCTTTGAATAAATTTTGCTTCTAACAGAAGTTACTATTTATTCCTAATTAGATGGGCAGGAAAGTCTTTGAAGAGGAACCTCTACTTTACTTTTTACTGTAGAGAGAGTAGTCTTTGATCTTGGGGAGATGGGGTTTTTCCTTTTGGTTTAGCTTCAGGAAGTTTGTGTTAATTGGCCTTAGGTGCCCTGCCCCCAGCCCCAGGTGTTTTTCCTTTGATTTAACTTTAGGAAATTATCACGAATTGGCCTTAGATTCCCCGACCCCAGATCTTGGTGTTTTCACTTTTAGGAAGTCCGCATGAATCTTATCTATGCTCTTAACTACGTCCTAATTTTTGTGTTTTTTGTCTTTTTTATAGGAATAGGGTTTTGCCATATTGCCCAGGCTGGTCTCGAACTCCTGAGCTCAAGTGGTCTGCCTGCCTCAGCCTCCCAAAGTGCTGGGATCACTGGCGTGAGCCATCAGGCCCAGCCTCTATGTGCTAATTTTTGAACAAATTCCAATAGGAGCATTCTAGTCTCTGAGTGTGAGATGACCAAAAATCAAGCCCTTGTGAGGCTGAATAGAGTCGGGAGGCAGGGAACTTAAGGCTGTTTCAGGCCGACTTCCTAGAACTAAATTGAAAGGAAAACCCTCACTTTCCTCGCCTAAATAACAAAAGGACCAGAGGCTACTCCCTTTGACCTTTTCTGCTGGCAGATAGGAAATTGGCTGTCTGCAACAAATCAGACTGATGGCCGGTTGAGTCTTCATTTGCATAGAAGTGTAACTTTGTAACGTCGTAACTTCACCCTAGCCTTTGATTGGTTGCTTTTTGCAACCAATCAGATGTTTGCACAGGAGTGTGACCTTTGTAACTTCAGACTCTGGTTGGCTGCTTTCTGCAACCAATCAGACTGAACGCGGGCTACCGCTTCATTTACAGGAGGTGAGCATGAAGTGGCCAATGGGAAAATTCTAGGAGGTATTGGGACTCATGAAGGTTCTGTTTCGGAGCCCTTGAGCTGCCGCTTGGCCAGTTCCCACACTGTGGAGTATGCTTTCGTTTTCAACAAATCCCAGCTCTTGTTCTTTTGTTGCTTCATTCTTTCTTTGCTTTGCTGGGCGTTTTGTCTAATTCTTTGTTCAAAACGCCAGTAACCTGGACAGCTTGCAGTCAAGACCCCCTACCGGTGACACTTGCGCTCTTCGGGGAGGTAAACAGCATTTCCTCTCAGCTCTGGGTTGGAAAAAGCCGCAGCAGCTGATGGGCCCGGGAACCCGAGGCCCCGCCCCCTAGGTGGTCCTAGCCTTTGCGCGTGCGCGGCGTGTCTGCGTGGGCGCATGCGCATAACGGCCGCCATCTTAACAGCGCGTTCCCGTTGGCGTCTGAGGTAAGTTTTTGTTTCTGGGCGGCGTTCGGTGGTGTCCCGGTGCAGCCACGCGAGAGTAGAAGGGTGGAAAGGGGAGGTGCCCAGTGAAATGGAGCCTGTCCCGTGCACTTTCGGGCATTTCGAGCATCTTGTGGGCTCTCCCAAGTCGCGGCCCCTCCTCTGAGAGCCACAGTCAGGTCTGTCCTCAGGGGTCGAGGCGGCTGCGCTGGGGCCTCGGCCCGGGAGGAGGCGGGGGGCACGGCCTTTCCATTTTCCCTGCTCCCCTCTGCAGAAGCCTCATAGGGCCCGGCGCGGCGGCTCACGCCTGTCATTCCCAGCGCTTTGGGCGGATTGGGTAGGAGGATTACTTGAGGCCAGGAGTTCAAGACCAGGCAGGGCAACATAGGGAGACCCCCCCCCCCAACCATCTCTAATGGAAAAAAAAAAAAAAGTCTCCACATCCAGCGTTGTGCCTTTTCTCTATAAGGAACAGCATCTCTGCCTTCCTGTTCACGGTGACCTTCGCTTGGTGTCCTCCTGGCCTCAGCAACCTGACAATTCTGTCGTGTCCCGGTGAGCACTTCATGCACTTGTTCTGGCTGTGGGTGTCGGGTCTTGAAGTTTAAGTTGTGTCGAGGTGGAAAGAAACCTTTTCAGGTGGTTGTTCGAGAGCACATGGATCTGATACCATCGAATGCATGAGTGGATGAATGCACATAACTGTAAAATTTACCACCAAGGAAAAACACAGGACTACTCAACTGTGGTTCCAGGCCATCACCTAGATCTCACTCTAGCGCCCTGTAGATTCCCCCAGAGGTTCAAAACGAGGGCATCCCCAGGAACACGGTGCGGGCTGATTTACTAGCAGGAGGGATTGAATTGATAATGAATGCGAAGATAACTTTTGACAGGTGGGTTTTCTACCAGTTACTCATTTGAAAGTCTTACTGAGGGCGGGGCAAGGTGGCTCACACCTGTAATCCCAGCGTTTTGGGAGGCTGAGGCTGGAGGATCGCTTGAGCCCAGGAATTTGATGCCAACCTGGAAAAAATAGGGCAAGCCTCTGTCTCTACTAAAAATAAAAAATTAGCTGGGCATGGTGGTGTCTGTGGTCCCATCCACTTTGGAGGCCGAGATGCGAGGATCACTTGAGCATGGGAGGTCGAGGCTGCTGTGAGCCATTATTGTGTCACTGCATTCCAGCTTAGGCAACAGAGTGAGACCCTGTTTCAAAAAGAAGAAAAAAAAACAAATACTGATCTAGAGAACATCTGTAGCTCGAGTAAAACAAATGTCTTTAGTCCAGGTGTGGTGGCTCACGCCTGTAATCCCAGCATGTTGGGAGGCTGAGGCTGGCGGATCACGAGGTCAGGAGTTTGAGACCAGCCTGGCCAACATAGTGAAACCCCGTCTTTACTCAAAATACAAAAAATTAGCCGGGCGTGGGCACCTGTAATCCCAGCTACTCAGGAGCCTGAGGCAGGAGAATCGCTTGAACCTGGGAGGCAGAGGTTGCAGTGAGCCAAGATTGCACCCTTGCATTCCAGCCTGGGCAACAGTGCGAGACTCCGTCTCCAAAAAAAAAAAAAAAAGTCTTTAACCCTTAACTACATTCACTAGTTGTTAAGATTTGTTTCATTTTTTTGTATATGTACTTTATCATGAGCCATTTAAATTGGAAGTGAATGAACTTTCCCCTTTTAAGCGTGTATCTCAAATACCTCCTGAAAGTGAAGACAAGCTTAAAACAAGACTTCATTGTCCATCCCCACCCCCAAATCAAATCAGATTTCCCCAGCTGTCCAAAAGTCACCATAGTCACCATTATAGTTGCCAGGTTGTTTGCATGTTTTTAGATCTGTTAAATCTGTTTTTTAACTAGACTATTCACCTGATTTTTTTTTTTTTTTTTTTTTTTTTTGAGACGGAGTCTGTCTGTCCCAGGCTGGAGTGCAGTGGTGTGATCTCAGCTCACTGCAACCTCTGCCTCCTGCGTTCAAGCGATTCTCCTGACTCAGCCTCCCAAGTAGCTGGAATTACAGGCGTGTGCCACCACGCCCGGCTAATTGTATTTTTAGTAGAGACAGGGTTTCACCGTGTTGGCCAGGCTGGTCTCGAACTCCTGACCTCGTGATCTGCCGGCCTTGGCCTCCCAAAGTACTGCGTGAACCACCATGCCCCGCCATTCACCTGAATTTTTAAAAATAAAATTTTGGCCTTTGAAGATTTCAGGAGCATTATCTTGTAAAATGCTGCCGTTCTCATGCAATGATGTTTTCCTGTGATTTTATTTGATTTACCTATGTCCTGTATTTCTTGTAAAGTGGATGTTGGGGTTACAGTGGTACTGTCTAATACAAATATAATGCAAGGCACAGATGTAATTTTTAAAAATTTTAGTAGCCAAATTAGAAAATGTTAAATGTATGTGTGATATCATTTTTAATATATTAAAAATGCAGCATATCCAGTTATCAATATAAGTTTTTGAAATTAGTGACTAATGTAGTCAGTTTAAAACTGAGACATTTCACACTTCTTTTGTACTAAGTCTTTGGAATCCTGCACGTATTTTACACTTACAGCTAATTTTCATTGGAAATTCTTGATCTGTATTTAGAGTTTATAAAATTAACTATTGAAAAAGTAGATTAACAAACCCAGGTTGTTCCAAACATACTTAAAAGTTTTTCAATAACAATTTTATTTTTAAAGTTGAATTAAAAGTAAATAAAATTAAGAATTCATTTCCTCAGTTGCACTAGCCACATGGGGCTAGTGGCTGTTGAGTTAGACTGGCCAGATCCAAGGCTTCCATTTTCTAGGTAATGTACTGGGCTTCATATTATATCCTATCAGTAGTCACATACTACAAGTTTGTTAGTGATACTACGCATTTGGTCAAGGTACTCATCTCTGTATAGTCATGTTTTTCTTATAGTAATCTATAAGTGATACTTTGGCTACAGGGGAATATTCTGTTCCCCAACAGCCTTTCACCCAGTGGTTTTTTTGGTTTTGTTTTGTTTTGTTTTTTTTTGTTTTTGTTTTTGTTTTGACGGAGTCTCACTCTGCCGCCCAGGCTGGAGTACAGTGGCGTGATCTTGGCTCACTGCAACCTCCGCCTCCCCGGTTCAAGTGATTCTCCTGTCTCAGCCTTCTGGGTAGCTGGGATTAGAGATGTGGGTCACCACGCCTGGCTAATTTTTGTAATTTTAGTAGAGAAGGGGTTTCACCCATGTTGGTCAGGCTGGTCTCGAACTCTTGACCTCAGGTGATCCTCCCGCCTCGGCCTCCCAAAGTGCTGGAATTACAGGCATGAGCTACCGCGCCTGGCCTCACCCAGTGGCTTTTAACATCACTCAGTCATCTTCTCCTGAACCTGTTTTTACATTGAGAGGTTAACAGTTTTTTTTCCTAGTTCTGTTGTTCTTTCTCCATTCTTTAGCTGACAGTCTTAGGTGAAGAGGAGCTTTCTTTCACCACTTTCACTGCCCTCTATACTTTTTTTCTTTTTTGGAATGTCACAACTTATTCTAATTTTTTTTTCTTTTCATTCACTGTATTATAATCAATTCCTGTCATTCGTATTGATGCTCAAACTGTCCCAATTTTGACCAATGGTAATTTTTAAATTTGGCTCTGTGTCTTGTGACACAACTCTACTAATCTGAGTGCAAAATCAGACCCCAGTTCACTTTGTATTTTCCTCTTACAGACCTGGAATCAATGATTGCTCCAAAAAGTCATGTTCCTTTTAGACACTAAGGTCTGTGTGATAGGCCCACAGTGGACATCTATGGCCTTACAGTGGACATCTAGAATATGTATTTTCTTACATCATACATTTATACTCATATTCCTATTACAAACTTAAGAGGTTTTTTGTTTTTCCTTATGTTTGTATCTCTTATCTCTTATAATAAAGACCTTGACTCCTAATGACACTGATATATTATTTGTTGTAGCAACATTACCAGATGACTAGTATTACTACCATTACTTTATTTAGTATTGAGTTTCTTTATATTTCTTTTTGTCCTTACTAAGGATATAAAGTTCAAACATTTGCTTGAACTCAGTTTTTTTCTCTGTGTGGTTATGTTATGAATTTGACATACTATTAGGCTTGTTTGTCTTTTTTTTTTTTTTTTTTTTTTTTGAGACGGAGTTTTTGCTCTTGTCCAGGCTGTAGTGCAGTGGCGCAATCTCGGCTCACTGCAACCTCCACCTCCCGGGTTCAAGTGATTCTCCTGCTTCAGCCTCCTGAGTAGCTGGGATTACAGGCTCCTGCCACCACACCTCACTAATTTCTGTATTTTAGTAGAGACGAGCTTTCATCATGTTGGCTAGGCTGGTCTCAACTCCTGACCTCAGGTGGTCTCAACTCCTGACCTCAGGTGATCCACCTGCCTCAGCCTCCTAAAGTGCTGGGATTACAGGCATGAGCCACTGCGCCTGGCCTAAATGCATCAGCATTTTGATAGTCTCAGCGCAAAGTAGGGCTGTATAAAGGGGTCATCATCCGTATCTGGGTGCAAACAACACGGTGTCGCATTTCCTTGGAAAACAGTAAATTTGAGTAGATGTGGAATGTTGTGTCAGAAGTCTTTTCTTTGAAACTCAGCACCTGGGTTGTAAATGGATACTTCTTCTTGGTGTCAAAATATTACATAAGCCCTCCAGGTGAAAGTGGGATATTTCAGTCTTTCTGATATTTCTTACTGATAGAATTTCAAACAGCAAATTTCTAATAACTGATTTTAGAGAACAAAGTTTCACAGTGTGTAAAAAAGCAACAACTCAAAAAAGTCATTAGAACTGCTTTGTTCTTTTTGTGGTGACTGTGCAGCTGTGTTTTTTTGTTTTTTGGGCTGGGGGTTTGAAGTTTTAAACTTTTCTTTATTATTCTTGTGCTTACCCAATACAGCTGTTTAAAAATCATAGTTTATTATTCCTGTTTCATAAATGGAATGACCTTGAGCATATGTGGTGCCATAGTTTTTAATTTCTTTTATATTTATATACAATATGATTGATTTTTGTAGTTAGTCTTTGTTTTTCAAGGTCACTATTTTCTTATTACTATTTTGTCTGGGTGATCCAGTCATTGTTGAAAGTGGAGTGTTGAAGTCCCCTACTGTTATCATATTGCTTTTTCTTCTTTCAGATCCATTAATATTTGCTTTATGTATGATGAGCTCCCTAAATATATTGGTGTATATGTACTTAAAACTTCTATATCCTTTTGATAAATTGGTCCATTTATTATATAATGATCTTTGTCTCTTGTCACAATTTTTGTCTTAAAGTCTATTTTGTGTGATGTAAGAATAGGGGCTCCTGCTGTCCTTTGGTTATCATTTGCATGGAATATCTTTTTCTAACCCTTGACATTTAGTCTGTGCCCCTTAAAATTAAAACGAGTCTCTTGTAGCCAGGAGATAGTTGGATCTTGTTTAGTTTGTTTTGAGACAGAGTCTCACTCTGTTGCCCAGGCTAGAATGCAGTGGCGTGATCTTGGCCTACTGCAACCTCCACCTCCCGGGTTCAAGCAATTCTTCTGTCTCAGCCTCCTGAGTAGCTGGAACTACAGGCATGTGCCACCATGCCTGGCTAATTTTTGTATTTTTAGTAGAAACGGGGTTTCACCATATTGGCAAGGCTGGTCTCGAACTCCTAACCTTGGCATCTCCCTGTTTCGGCCTCCCAAAGTGCTGGGATTACAGGTGTGAGCCACCGTGCCCCACCTGTTTGTTTTAACCATATTCAGCCATTCTGTGTCTTTTCATTGGGGAATTTAATCCATTTAAAGTAATTGTTGATAGATGATGACTTGTTATTACCATTTACTTCATTGTTTTCTGGCTGTTTTGTAGTTTTTATTCCTGTCTTCTCTTGCAGTCTTCCTTTGTGATTGATGACTTTTTGAATATTCCATTCTCCTGGTTTGCAAGGTTTCTGCTGAGAAATCAAAGGGTAGTATTATGGAGATTCCTTTGTATGTAGTAAGTCATTTTTCTCTTGCTGCTTTCAAAATTCTCTGTCTTTGACTTTTGACAAGTTCACTATAATGTGTATTAGTTTAGATCTCTTTCAGTTGAACCTTGTTGGGGGCTTTGAGATTCATGAATATGGGTGCCTCTGTCTCCCTAGATGTGGAAAATTTATAGCTATTCTTTATATAGGCTTTCTACTCATTTCTCTCTCTGCTCCCTCTGTAACTTCTTTAATGTTTCTGTTCACTTGGCAGAGTTCCACAGGTTCTTTAGGCTTTCTTCACTCTTTTTCATTGTTTTTTCTTTTTGTTCCTCTGACTGACTATAATCTATTTTTTATTTTGTTGATTCTTCTGTTTGATGATGTCTGCTCTTGGACCCCTCTAGTTAATATTTTAGTTCAATTATTGTACTCTTCAACTCCAGTATTTCTCTTTTGTTCTTTATCATTTCAATCTCTGGGTTGAATTTCTCACTTCATTCATGTATTATTTTCCTGACCTATAGTTATGTATCTCTGCTGTCATTTAACTCACTGATCTTTAAGATGATTGTTATGACTTCCTTCTCAGGTTATTCACAGGTCTCCATTTCTTTTGGGTTGGCTACTGAATATTTGTTTTCTTTGTGTCATAGTTTCTTCTTGATTCTTCATGCTATTTGTAGGTTTGCTTTGCTGTCTGTGCACTGAAGTAGTAGGTATTTCTCTCAGTCTTTATGGCTTAGTCTTGACTGGGAAAGACGTTCATCCATTAGCAGTGCTCCATATGAGACAAGATCAGGACTGACCCCTACAGAAGTATACCATAAGGTTGATGACAAGCACACCTTCTCTTCTCTCTCTCTCCACAGAAAAGCCTCTGTTTGTGATTTTTCTCAGTCATACAGAGCAGATGTAAGAGGATGTCTGCCTCATTTCTTTCTCAGATGATCAGCACCTTAGTATGAGGCAAGATGGCTACTGGCCCCTTGGAGAACCCTCTGAGAGGTCAGGAGGTCAAGTAGCCAATCTCACTTCTTCCCATGAAGAAATAATGTGCCACCATGTCCAGCTAATTCTTTAGTTTTCTGTAGAGATGGGGTCTTGCTATGTTGCTCAGGTGGGATGCAAGTGATTCTCTTGCCTTGGCCTCCCCAAGTGCTGGGATTACAGGTGTGAGCCACTACGCCTAGCTTCCTTTGGAATTATTTTTAACTTCATTTTAATTTTAAGGGGCACAGACTAAATTGTCAAGGGTTAGAAAAAGATACTCCATGCAAATGATAACCAAAGGACAGCAGGAGCCCCTATTCTTACATCACACAAAATAGACTTTAAGACAAAAATTGTGACAAGAGACAAAGGGCATTATATAATAATAAAGAGACCAATTTATCAAAAAGATATAAAGTCAGCACAACTGAGCTGAGCTGGTTTTGCAGAAGGGCTGATGAGGGTAAGTTGAAAATTGTTCTTACTGGTATAAATGCAACTGTTCTCAGTTTGTGCTCCTCTAGGGTTGCTTGCAATTATTAGCTTGATTATGGATTTCTCTTCAAGGTATTTTGGTTCCAGTATTGTTACTATGTGTTTCCATGAGTGAACAGAGAGGTAGGGCTTCCTACTCTGCCATTTTACTGACATTTTTTATGATATATTACTTATTGAATCTTAAAATACAAATAAAGTAGTTCTGAATTGCTAATTCAGACCCCTGTGGAAAACAGATTTATTAACTGAGTTATTTTTGTGTCATTCTTTTATATTTAGGCTTAGATTATATGTTCAAAATACTGTTTTCCAAAATCACTTAGATGAGTTATTTTTATCTTTCAATATGGTTTTGTTATTCATTTGTAATACAGTTAAAAAGCAGTCGTTTTTGTTACCTTAAAGTATAATGTTAGCTTTGGCGTTTTTGTAGATGCCCTTTATTAGGCTGAAAATTTTTCTTGGGCTTATTGAACTTCATTAAAAACAATCATGGTTAATGAATTTTGTCAAATTCCTTTTCTGCATCTCATGAGATCATCTGATTTTCTGGCCTGCTAATATGTTGCATTAAATTAATTTACATTTGAATATCAATCTGGCATTTCTGGGATATGTTCTAACTTGATGTATTATCTTTTCATATATAGAGGTATACATATGTATGTGTGTGTGTATATATATATATATCACTGTATTCATTTTGCTAAAATTTTATTGAGGGTTTGTGTTAACTCTCTGCTCTGCAACCAGCCTGTGATAGCTGAGGGCCCAGAGTACCTTAAATGGATTTATCTTCACCCCTTTGCCCTGCCACTTGCCTTGGGGGGATGGTTGCCTCGGTCATCAGGGAGGCTACATGCACCTCAGTGATCCTGCCTTATCCCAGCCTTTGATATACTATGGTCTAATATTAGGTGAAGGCTTGGTGAAAGTCTGTGGATGGATTCATCACTGTGAATTCTGTAACTGAGATGTCTCAGAATTCTAATGTGGTCAATCAGTCCACACTCTGCTGTCAAATTTTGGTAAGATTTAATTATGATTTCTTTATACCTTCATGTGTGGCAGATTCTTTCTCTCATCACTCATCCAAGATTGAGAAAAATCATGGGTATCTTCTTTCTTAGCAAAGCTTATTATTTAGGTGTATCTGCATTCTTGGCTCTCTGAGGTATTTTTAAAAGGTATGATTTTGTAGTTATGTGGCTTGTGTTTTAAGAGAGAAGGATCAACCCTTGGAAGTTCTACATTCTAATATGAATGTATGAGAAAATGTATCTTGGTTTTTGTTTTGTTGGATTTTTGAGACAAGGTCTTACTCTGTTGCCCAGGCAGGAGTACAGTGGTGAGATCACGGTTCACTGCAGCATTGACCTCCCTAGGCTCAGGTGTTGCTCCCACCTCAGTCTTCTGAATAGCTTGGAGTATAGGTGAGTGCTACCATACCTGGTGAAGATTTGTATTTTTTGGTAGAGACAGGGTTTCACCGTGTGTTGCCTAGGCTGGGCTCAAGCAATCTACCTACCTCAGCATGCCAAAGTGCTAGGATTACAGGCATGAGCCGCCATGCCCAGCCAGAAAATTTTAAAAATAGATATTTGTAGAGTTATGCATCCAGGAGGATTTTTAGAAATGGGACTTCTAAGTCAAAGGGTAAATACATATATAATTTAACTATATCCTGCCAAATTCCCTAGTGTTTTTTCTTTTAATGAAGTTAAAAATAATTCCAAAGGAAGCTAGGCGTAGTGGCTCACACCTGTAATCCCAGCACTTGGGGAGGCCAAGGCAGGAGAATCACTTGCGTCCCACCTGAGCAACATAGCAAGACCCCATCTCTACAGAAAACTAAAGAATTAGCTGGACATGGTGGCACATGCTTCTTCTCCTAGCTACTTGGGATGCTGAGGCAGGAGGATTGCTTGAGCCCAGGAGGTCAGGGCTGCAGTGAGCCAAGATTGTGCCTACTGCACCTCATCCTGGGCAACAGAACAGGGCCCTGTCCCCCACCCCCACCCAGAAACAAGCCTGAGAATAAGAGGAGATAATTCCTACGTATGTAACTGACAAAAAAAAAAAGGCTAATATCCAAAATACATTAAGAACTCTTACACGTTAATTCCAAAAATTCAAACAATCCAATAGAAAAATTAAGAGGCTTGAGCAGGCTCTTCGCAAAACTGACTGTACTATGGATAATAAACATGAAAAATTGAAGTTTTTATCCTCATCAATAATCAGGCAAATGGAAATTAAATCTGCCACTACACATATATCAGAATGGCTAAATCCAAAAAGAGTTACGAGATGTTGAAGAGAATTTAGAGAAACTAGAGTTTGTGTATACTTTTAGTGTGTAAAGTAGAAATATGTTTTGAAAAACAGTTTGGCATTGTGTTCCAAATTTGAATGTAAGGATATACCCTTAAATGCGACCATATAACATCATTATTTGAAATAGCCCAGAATTAAGCAACTCAAATGTCTGTCTACAAGAATACATGAATAAACCATGCTATACTGGTTAAGTGTCAGAAATACTTGGGACCAGAAGTCATTTGGATTTCAGATTTCTTCAGATTTTGGAATATTTGCATTATACTTCAGAAATTTAAAATGTTTCAGTGAGCATTTCCTTTGAGTGTCATATCTGTGCTCAAAAAGGTTTTTTGGAGCATTTTGGATTTCAGATTTTCAGATTAGAGATATTCAACCTGTATTATGGAGTGCTTTTCGGTAAAAGGAAAAGAACTATATGTGTAACAGTATGGATGACTCATAAACATAATGTTGAATCAAAAAAGCTAGACATAAATGAATAGATGATTTCATTTATAAAGTTTAAAAACAGACAAAATTAACCTATACCGTTAGAAGTGAGAATAGTTTCCATTTGCGAAGAGGGGCAATGATTTAGATGTGTCATGTGTGCATCAAGGTGTAGAAATTAATGATGCATTATACCTTTGTAATTCTACTCTTTTGTGAATATATATTTCAATTAAATGTTTAAAAAATTCAGATGTCATTTCCAGGTGTTTGAAAGAGATTAGCAAAATGAGTATAAAGAAAACATAACACTAAAAGCAACATTTAATGGGAAAAAAAGTAAAACTGATGAGTAAACCCAAGAGATAGGTTTTTTAGAAGTATAAAATTGGCTGGTCATGGCCAGGCGGGGTGGCTCATGCCTGTAATCCTAGCACTTTGGGAGGCTGAGGCCGGCGGATCACGAGGTCAGGAGGTCGAAACCATCCTGGCTAGCATGGTGAAACCCCTTCTCTACTAAAAATACAAAACAAATTAGCCAGGCATGGTGGTGGGCGCCTGTAGTCCCAGCTACTCGGGAGGCTGAGGCAAGAGAATGGCGTGAACGCGGGAGGCGGAGCTTGCAGTGAGCCGAGATCATGCCACTGCACTCCAGCCTGGGTGACAGAGCGAGACTCTGTCTCAAAAAAAAAAAAAAAAAATTAGCTGGTCATGGTGGCTCACACCGGTAATCCAGCACGTTGGGAGGTCAAGGCGGGAGGATCGCTTGAGCCCAGGAGTTCAAGATCAGCCTTTCCAACATTGCGAGGAACCCCTTCTCCATTCCAGCCCCACCACCAATCTCTGCCAAAAAAATTTTTAATTGGCCGGGTGTGGTGGTGGCTTTTGCCTGAAGTCCTAGCTACTCAGAAAGCTGGGGTAGGAAGATTGCTTGAGCCCAGGAGTTCAAGGCTGCTGTGAGCTTGATCCTACTATTGCACTCCAGCCTTGGGAAGAGTGCAGCCCTGTCTCCCCCATACCCCCAGAAAAATATAAAATAGACAAACTTTTGCACAATGTGTGATTCAGCATTTCATCCACCCCATACATTTTCTTTTTTCTTCTTTTTTTGTTGAGACAAGGTCTGGCTCTATCGCCCAGACTGGCATGCAGTGGCGTGATCTCAGCTCACTGCAACCTTTGCCTCCCAGGCTCAAGCCACCTTCCCACGTAGCTGGCACTACAGACACGTACCACCACACCTGGCTAATTTTTGTGGTTTTTGTAGAGACGGGGTTTTACCATGTTGCCCAGGCTGGTCTCAAACTTGTGAGCTCAAGTGATCTGCCTGCTTTGGCCTCCCAGAGTGCTGGGATTACAGGCATGAGTCACACCCCAAATATTTTCTACCCTCTGCTAGGACCTATGAATATTAAAAGAAAAACTTCAGATAAACGTAATAGTTAAGCATTAAAGGATTCGTGAATCAGGCAGCACTCCAAAACCAGAAGGGTTCAGGGGGCTCTGCTGTAGCAGCATGCACAGTTGGCTTTTGTAGACTGAATGTGAAAGCAAAGTAAAGAAATTACTTAATTGGCTTAGCCTTAGCAGTATTCTGAGTTTCTTTAGTGAACCATTATTATTACTCTATTGCTTTGGATAAAAAGTTGAGTGTCAACTTTTTTAGGGAAGCCAGATGTCAGTTTTCAAGTGTCTTATGGTTATTTTCTTATATTTTCTTGCCAGAACCAGTTCTGAGTCTGTAAATATACATTTATATGTGTGTGTGTGGTAGGGGAGGTGGAGGATGATATTACTTATCCATTCATCTATTTTTTTCCATAGTACTTGTCACCAATTGACATAATACATATTTATGGCTGGACACAGTGGCTCATGCTTATAATCCTAGCACTTTGGGAGGCTGAGGCAGGCGGATCACCTGAGGTTGGGAGTTCGAGACCAGCCTGACCAACATAGGGAAACCCTGTCTCTACCAAAAATACAAAATTAGCTGGGGTTGGTGGTGCATGCCTGTAATCCCAGCTACTCGGGAGGCTGAGGCAGGAGAATGGAGTGAACCTGGGAGGCAGACCTTGCTTGCAGTGAGCCAAGATCGCGCCACTGCACTCCAGCCTGGGCGACAGAGCGAGACTCCATCTCAAAAAAAAAACAAAAAAAAACTTATGTGTTTATTATCTGCTTAGCCCTTTAGAATGTGAGATACTTAAGGTCTAGGACATTTTTTGTATAGTTGACTGCTCTATCCTAAGTGTCTAGTACATTACCTCACAAAGATAAGGTCCTTCATAAATGTTTGCAGAGTGAATGAAAGCGTAAGCCAGAGATGAGGACTTGAAGGGAAGCCACCTGGCCTACATGATTTTTACAGCTGGAGGAGCTAAAGATGTCTAAATTCAATAAGCCATTTGTGTTGGGGGTCCTCAAGACCACCACCCTCACGCTCAGTGATGGAAGCACTCACAGGACTCAGAAGCTATTAAACCTACAGTTATGGTTTATTATAATAAAAGGGTACAGATTAGAATCTGCAAAGGGAAAAGATGAATGAAGTCTAGAAGAAACCAGGCTTCTCTCCCATGTAGTCACATGGACAGTGCTTAATTCTCCTAGTAAAAGTGTGTAGTATTCCTGCAAACTGTTGCCAACTAGGGAAGCTCACCTGAGCTTTGGTGTCCAGGATTTTTACTGAGGGTTAGTCCCGTAGGCATACAGCACCTGAATGACTTCATACACTTATGCCCAGCCCCTCAACAGTTCAAACTCATGCATTATTGCCAGAAGCCTCAGGCATACAAAAACAGGCCTTCAGCATAAATCATATTGTTAGCATACACAATCTGGTCACACTAGTATAGTTTGGCTCAATAGCTCAACCATAGAAAAATATACACTTACCAGGGAAGATATTCCATAAGCTAAAAGGTCATCTCTCACAAACTGAGCCAAGTGTCAGTCCTGAAGACAGATCTTTCTCAAGAGAGTGCAGGGTTTGGGCAACCCAGGCCTGTTGAGTTAACCTTTCCGTACATCATTTCATGACGATCTCATGGTCACGTTGGAGAATAAGAAGAACCTCAGGAGTTTAGGTTTGTGAGTCAGAGTAACCTGTATTCATATCCTGGCTCACACTTTCTAATTGGTGATGTTGGGTTAATTAGTGTCTGAGCTTAGGTTTCCTCAACTAATATGATAGTAACAAAAACTGCTTTGATAATTATATGAACTTATCCTACCACTGTTTCTGGCACATGGGTACTAGGTAAACGGGATTTGTTATTATTTATGTCCACGTGGCATAATACTCTAGTGGCACTCACATGAACAACTTCATCTTCTGCAGAGAGATGGCTAATGAATGGCGCTTGATGACAGATGAGTAATGCCTGTTGCTGAAAGATTGACGGTATGAGGCAAGACTCCCACTACTACTTAATCAAGAGGAATTGAGATTGACTTACCCATAAGTTCAGACAGTGTCTCGAAGAGACTTTGGGAACAAGATATTCAGGCACATTTCACTGTTAGACTCACAGGATGCTGGCCATTGGTCTTTCCCTTTGTGGTAAGTCCGTATTGATGGTCCTTCAAGACGCTGCTTTAACCAGTCTGTGAACAGCTTGTCTTGTGATTAGGGTTTAGGGTCTAAGTGGCCCTGCTTTTGAGATACCTAGAAGAGGCTAAAGTAGATACGAATATTCTGTGGTCTAAATCCTGGGATTTGGGAAGGAGGAGTAAGTATGCAGGCTTTTGTGGAAGAAGTTCTGCTTAATCACATGATCAGTTTCTTTTTTGGCAAATAAGGAAAATGTTAACTTCTCTGGACTTTGTATTCCTTATAAAATGGGATTGTTAAACTCTCTCTCTCCTGGTCATCAAAGCCTGAAGCATATTTTCTGGCTTCAGGTGAGACAGGCTGCTCAGGCATTTTATTATAACGTGTGTGTGTCCACTTAGCATTAGTATGAGGTGGCTTCTTGCCTTGTGAGTATGGAAGCTATCAGCAGCCTGGATTCTCAGATTTTATTTCTTCTTCTTAAGATCATCTTTCTCAAGATGTTTTCTGTCTTCATGAGTCAAAATTTGAAGAGGAAAGGATGGTGGCTGGGTGGTTGACAAATTACTCTCAGGTAAGTAGGAAATTGCTTTTTCTGTAGAAGCATATGCTTCTTCCTACCATGTAGATGTGTTTTCTCCTAGTGGAACAGGGCCCCTGCAAGCAAAGAGGGTCTGCTTAGGGACCACATCTCTCATCAAACTTCTTCGGACCACAGGGCCTCTCACATGGTTGACAGGTTTCACAGGGAAATGATTGTACTATCCCACTGTTTACTAATTCAGTCTGACTGTCATCCATGCTGATATGCTTTCATTTTGCTGTGATAGGGAGAGAATGCACATGTGCTTCTCGGAATTTGTGCTGTCACTGGAGCATTTATTTGAGTGTCTATAATGTATTCAGGGTTGTGCTAAAACCTGTCAGTAGAGAACAATAAGAAGAAGTCACAATCTAGTTGTGCTGAGATATATTCAGTTAGGTGAAAGAGGTGCTCTTCAAGCCATATGACTAGATGAGATCACCGGTGAATATGTACAGACAGGGGAGAAGAAAGTGAGGACCATCAAGTGATAGGAGACCAAAGAGTCTTGTCAAGGCATGCCAAGACAAGGTCCCTCATTCTCCAGTCAACATAGTGGAGAACGTACTTGCCTGACGCCAGCATGTGTGTGATGGTTTAGGACTCAGTGACCTTTGAGGATGTGGCTGTGGACTTCACCCAGGAGGAGTGGACTTTGCTGGATCAAACTCAGAGAAACTTATACAGAGATGTGATGCTGGAGAACTATAAGAATCTAGTTGCAGTAGGTAAGGCTGGTACCATTCTTTTCATTTAGTTTTTTTCTGGAACAAATGTGTCTTAAGTAACTATGTTCTAGACTCTGCTTGTTAATGGGCTGCATTGGTAAACAGGCGAAACATTGTTTCCATCTCATAGACCTTACTGCCTTGTGATTTTTCTGATGAAATTGAAGATCTGTTCATTGTTCTAGCTTTATTTTCTCCATGGATAAAAGACTTAGAGCTTCTTGAATATGTGTATGAGCTTAAGCCTGGGTTTCATGGGAAGGATTGCTAGTCCTTTTGGTGAACAGTGAATGAGAAAAGAGTATTTGAAGTTTAGGTTCACTTGAAAGTTTTTGTCATGAACATTGTGTTGTAATTTAAGTTATATCTGAGAGGGTTCAGAATGCCCAGACAGCAAAATCTTAGCTCTTAACATGGAAGCATTTGTTATCCCTTGCACATTCTTTACTTTTTTTTTTTTTTTTTTTGAGACAGAGTCTTGCTCTGTCACCCAGGCTGGAGTGCAGTGGCGTGATCTTGGCTCACTGCAAGCTCCGCCTCCCGGGTTCACACCAGTCTCCTGCCTCAGCCTCCCGAGTAGCTGGGACTACAGGCGCCCACCACCACGCCTGGCTATTTTTTTTTTTTTTTTTTTTTTTTTGTATTTTTAGTAGGAACAGGGTTTCACTGTGTTAGCCAGGATGGTCTCGATCTCTTGACCTTGTGATCCGCCCACCTCGGCCTCCCAAAGTGCTCGGATTACGGCATGAGCCACTGTGCCCAGCCATCCCTTGCACATTCTAACATCATTCATCTTTCCCTGAGACCAGGGTACTAGCTATGCAAACATAGTTTGACTTTTCAGGTGAAACAAGAAGAGTTAAAGACAGCGCAGAAAATTCTCCAAGATGAGAGAAAAGACAGATGTGATTATTTGTGAGAAACAGCCCTGATCTATGAGAGGTGCAGTCTGTTTATAAATATTAAGTAGGAAGGTTTTGAAAGTGTACTTTTTTGGGGAGAATATCAAGGCCAATTGGTTTCCAAGGTTCCTTGGGTACCTTAACTTCTCTTTCACTTTATCCATCTTGGAAACTTTCTTTTGCTCTGACATTAAGATCTGTCTCACTTCTCCTTTAAATTTATGATTTGCATTTAGCTCTGTATCCATTTCCTTTCAACTTTGTTTCCCTGGCTGTACCTCTTTTTTGTTCACTATAAAGTCTCAATGTTTAGAGAACCATTTCTTTTTTTTCTCTCTCTGTCTCTAAAAAAAAAAAAAAAAAAAAAAAAGAGTCTTGCTCTATCGCCAGGCTGAAATGCAGTGGCGCGATCTCAGCTCACTGCAACCTCTGCCTTCCGGGTTCAAGTGATTCCCCTGCCTCAGCCTCCTGAGTAGCTGGGACTACAGGTGCATGCCACCTTGCCTGGCTAATTTTTTTTTTTTTTTTGTATTTTAGTAAAGATGGGGTTTCACCATATTGGCCAGGACTCAATCTCCTGACCTTGTGATCCACCTGTCTTGGCCTCCCAAAGTGCTGGGATTACAGGTGTGAGCCACCACACCCAGCCTAGAGAACCGTTTCTTAGTGAATCACCTACCAACTTGACCTCAGTACCTTACTGTTGCTAGACTCTTACTACATCCAAATTTCTCAATTTATGTTTCCCGTTCTTTAAAAAAACAAACTATATTTCAAGCCAGTGTTTGAAACTACAGTACATACTAGTCTTGCATTTTTAACACCCTTTTTAAAATCATTATTTCTCTAAGAACTTAAAATTTTTTTCATCTTATTTCAGATTGGGAGAGTCATATTAATACCAAATGGTCAGCACCTCAGCAGAATTTTTTGCAGGGGAAAACATCCAGTGTGGTGGAAATGGTAAGATTCAGAAGGTATAATTTATTGTCTTCCATGTTAGAGGAAGATTGGAAATTCCTTAAAATGGAAAAGCAGCACAATAACCTTGAGACATTTGAGACTAGTGTTTTTCACCCAAAAATAATCTGTCTCTTGGAGAGACTATGGATCATGAGTTTGACAAACACTCTAAACATCCCTCAGAATATATTTGTTTACATATTTCCTTCAACATTCCCATATGTATCTCAGATGTTTTTGATAAATAATTCACTCTTGGGCCGTTATCAGCTAAGCTCTATTTAGAAGCCCTCTGAAAGTAAAGAATATAACAGAACTTCCTGCAGTCACTTTGTTCCACTTGAAAACACTCAGGTCTGAACCATGCCTTGCAATGAAAATGGCAGGAACAAACAGTTTCAATTATACTAACTTATTTTCCATGTGTAACAGAATTCAGAGTAAAAGGGAGAATCTCAATGAAATAAATTTGGAAAACTTCTATGAACCATCATTAATTTTCACCAACAGGAGAGAAACCATTTTGGAGAGGAACTGTTTGACTTTAACCAATGTGAAAAAGCCTTGAGTGAACACTCATGCCTTAAGACTCACAGGAGAACTTACTTTAGAAAGAAAACCTGTGAGTGTAATCAATGTGAAAAAGCCTTCAGAAAACCCTCTATCTTTACTTTACACAAGAAAACTGATATCGGAGAGGAACTTCCTAACTGTAATCAATGTGAAACAGCCTTCAGCCAACATCTACATCTTGTTTGCAAGAAAACTAGCCAAAATCTACATCTTGTTTGCAAGAAAACTCACACTCAAGAGAAACCATATAAATGCAGTGACTGTGAAAAAGGCTTACCTTCCTCCTCACACCTCAGAGAATGTGTAAGAATTTATGGTGGAGAGAGACCATATACTCATAAGGAGTATGTCGAAACCTTTTCTCATTCTACAGCCCTTTTTGTACACATGCAAACTCAAGATGGAGAAAAATTCTATGAATGTAAAGCATGTGGGAAACCCTTCACTGAGTCGTCATATCTTACTCAACATTTAAGAACTCATAGTAGAGTGTTACCTATAGAACATAAGAAATTTGGCAAAGCCTTTGCTTTTTCCCCAGATCTTGCTAAACATATAAGACTTAGAACTAGAGGAAAACACTATGTTTGTAATGAATGTGGCAAAGAATTTACTTGTTTCTCAAAACTCAACATTCACATAAGGGTTCACACTGGAGAAAAACCGTATGAGTGCAACAAATGTGGGAAAGCCTTCACTGATTCATCAGGTCTTATAAAACACAGGCGAACTCACACTGGAGAAAAGCCTTATGAATGTAAGGAATGTGGGAAAGCTTTTGCTAACTCTTCACATCTTACTGTACATATGAGAACTCACACTGGTGAGAAGCCTTATCAATGTAAGGAATGTGGAAAAGCCTTTATTAATTCCTCTTCCTTTAAAAGTCACATGCAGACTCATCCTGGTGTAAAACCCTATGACTGTCAACAGTGTGGGAAAGCCTTCATTCGATCCTCATTTCTTATTCGACATTTGAGAAGTCACAGTGCAGAAAGGCCTTTTGAATGTGAGGAATGTGGGAAAGCCTTTAGATACTCCTCGCACCTTAGTCAACATAAAAGAATACATACAGGGGAGAGGCCATATAAATGTCAAAAGTGTGGGCAAGCCTTCAGTATCTCATCAGGCCTTACAGTACACATGAGAACTCACACTGGTGAACGGCCCTTTGAATGTCAGGAATGTGGGAAAGCCTTTACTCGGTCCACATATCTTATTCGACATCTAAGAAGTCATAGTGTGGAGAAACCATATAAGGAATGTGGGCAAACCTTTAGTAATTCCTCATGCCTTACTGAATGTGTGTGAATTGGGGCTGATACTTGGAAAGAATGTGGTAAAGCCACTACTTCCTCACACTTACTGAACATGTACTCATTCATAGTGGCAATGTACACAGTCATAAGGAATGTGGGAAGCCTTCCTTGGTGTCTCAGATCTTAACAATTCCAATAGAAGAGAAGACATATGAATGTAAGGAATGTGGGAAAATCTTGGCTCCTTCCATAGGCCTTACTATTCATGTGTCTGTGCATCCTAGGAAACAAACTGAACGTAGGAAACCTGTCGATGCTTACATCTTACTGAGTCTGTTTGAACTCATGCTGGAGAGAAATGCTATGAATGTGAGGAAGGTGGAAAAGCTTTCATTATTTTCCTCGGGCCTTACTGAGCTTGTGAGCACATTGGATATAAATGCACGTCCTCTGGCTGTAAGGAATGTGTTGAAACCTTTCACTCTGCCTTATACCTTAATATTCAGCTGTGATCTCACAAGTGTGAAAAATCTTATGAATGTAAAATGTGTGGAGATTCTTCTTTGTTTTTAGCTTCCACTTTGGGAACATGTCAAAGCACACATTGAGAAGTCCCATGAGTGAAAGAGATGTTGGAAAGCCCTTGAACTTGGTCGTTAGGAAACATCCACACTGAAGAGGAACCTGACTGTATGGAAGGTCAAAAAGGCTGTATTAATTTACATGCAAAAAGTCACACTAGAGGAATGCCATATCAGAATGCTTTTGGTAAATATACATGTTTTAAAGAGGTTATATATCATTAATAAAAATATCTAGCTGGTCTGAAGATCCTGAGTTATCTCAATTGTTCACGGTTACAGATGGAACTCTTTATTATTGAGGAGTTCCACTCTTTCCCCCATTTGTCACTACTACACTTCCCTAGTCTTTAAAACAATTTTAGGCTGGGTGCAGTGGCTCATTCCTGTAATCCCAGCACTTTGAAAGGCCGAAGCGAGTGGATCATTTGAGGTCAGGAGTTCGAGACCAGCCTGGCCAACGTGGTGAAACCCCATCTCTACTAAAAATACAAAAATTAGCCAGGCATGGTGGTACGTGCCTGTAATCCCAGCTACTCGAGAGGTTGAGGCAGAATTGCTTGAACCCGGGAGGCGGAAGCTGCAGTGAGCTCAGATCACGCCACTGCACTCCAGCCTGGATGATATGGTAAGACCATCTCAAAAAAAGAAAAAAAAATTAAAATATCCTCAGAGGGTTTTTTAATGAAAAACTTAGTTATAGGGAATTGAGGAACATTTAGGGGTACAAATTTTCACTTATTGCACACAAGAAAATTGGTACTGGCCAGGCATGCTGGCTCACACCTTAATTCCAGCAATTTGGGAGGCCAAGGCAGAAGGATCACTTGAGCCCAGGAGTTCAAGACCAGCCTGGGCAATATAGTGAAACCTCATCTTGACAAAGAATAAATAAGATTAACTGGGTGTACTGGTTTGTGCCTATAGTCCCAGCTATTTAGGAGGCTGGGGCAAGAGGATTGCTTGAGCCTGGTCAGGGAGGCAGAGGTTGCAGTGAGCCCTGATCGTGCCACTACACTCTAGCCTGGGCAACAGGATGAGACCCTGTCTCAAAAAAAAAAGAAAATTGACGCCAGCAAAGAAAACCAAATAAATTATTTAAGTTTGCCTTTCTATATGTCTTTAAAGACTAATGATATTGAACATCACTTTCATATGCTTATGAGTCTTTGGTGAAGTGTACATTTAATGATCTTTTTTCACTGTTGCTGAGAATCTTTGGTTTGAATTATTGAGGCAGGTTCTTTCAGTAAGTTTGAGATATAATTGCCATGTAATAAACTGCACATGTTTTTAGCATACACTTTAAGTTTGGACACATACACATATGTGTACATACACACCATCAAGATAATGAACATACCTATCAAACCAGATGGTTTCCTCATGCCCTTTTATAATTTCTTCTTCTCCTCACCCTTCCCTGCCTGTCACTCTCCTGATCCACTGATTTGCTTTCTCTTAGAATAGACGACTTTATATTATGTACAGTTTTTATATAAATGGAATCATATAGTCTGGCATCTTTCAGGATAATTTTTTCAGATCCATTTATGTTGTAGGGTCCATTTCACTGCTGAATAGTATTCCATTGCAAGGCATACCACAAGCTATTTATCCATGTGTTATTTCTACCTTTTGGCTATTGCAATTAAAACTGCCTTGAATACCCATATGCAGATTATTCTTTAAACATGTGCTTCTGTTTCTTTAAATAGTTAAGAGTGGAATGATCAGATCATATGTTAGTGTACGTTTAAGTTTTTAAGAGACTGCTAAACCTTTCTCAAGTAGTTATGCCATTTGACATTTCCATGAGCAGTATATAAGAGTTGCAATTCTTCTGCATCCTTGCCAATTATTGGTATGGTCAGTCTTTTTTATTTTGACCATTTTAATAGGTGTGTAGTAGTATCTCATGGTTTTAATTTGCATTTCCCTAGTGACTAATGATGTCTTACATGGTTTCACGTGCTTACTGGCCTTCTTTAAGCCTTTGGGGAAGAGTCTGTTCAAATCTTTTGCCTGTTTATATTGGCTTTATTTTTTATTTATTTTTATTTTTTTTTATATAGAGACAGGGTTTTACTCTGTCTCCCAGGCTGAAGTGCGTGGCACGATCATGTGGTTTTGCAATATTTATTGAATTTTGAGAGTTTAAAATTTGTAATATATTTAATATTAAACCTATTAGTGTATTTGATATTAATACTTTATATTTAATATAATGTACATTTAAATATATAATAAAACATTTCATTTTAACAGAGGTAACATAAATACACTTCCCAATTTATGGAGTTTGACTTAGTATTGTTTTTAATTTACAATGGTGCAAACATATTATGCATTCAATATGTTTCTCAATTTATGATGGGGTTACAAATTGTCAACTTATGATAGTTTCAACTTACAATAGGTTTGTCAGGACATAGCCCTGTCATAAGTTGAGGAGTATCTGTATTACAATATATTTAATATGTTGTACTTGTGGTACAAGTACATGGTGCACTTTGAGTTAAAATCTTTATATGGCACAAAGATTGGATCAAAATTTGGGGTTTTTTTTTTCTTTGTATCTCATTGTTCTAGCATCATTTATTGAAAAGACTATCCTTTCTCCACTTAATTGCCTTTGCTTCTTTCTTGAAATATTGGTTGTCTTTATACGTGTGTCTGCTTCTCAACTGTTCTGTTCCATATAGCTACTTATCTTTTATTCCAAGACTACCCTCTCTTGACAACTTCATAACTTTTGAAGTCCGATAGAGTTTAGTCTTCCAGCTTTTTCTTTTCAGAGTTGTCTTTACTATTTTAGGTCAGAGGTTGGCAAAGTTTTTTATAAAAGACCAGATTGTAGAGATTTTAAGCTTTACATGCTATATATAGTTTCTGTTGCATATTATTTTTTCTATTACAGACCTTTTAAAATATAAAAATAGTTCTCACATTCCATTCAACCTATACAGTTATAGGCTGTGAGCCACATTTGGTCTTGATGTGGCTGTACCTTGTTGACTTACAGCTGTTACAGGACTTTCGTATTTCCATATAAAGTTTAGAATCAGGTTGTCAATTTCTACCAGCACCACCCCACACCCCCAAAGTAATTCACTAAGATTTTGATTATCATTGTGTTGAATCTGCAGAATAATTGATGTCTTCACAATATTGAGCATTTCAACCCATGAACATAATATATCTCTCCACTTATTTAGGATTTATAATTTTTTTCTCAGTAGTATTTGTGTTTTTCGGTGTTTGGGTCTTCCTAGGCATTTTTTCTCTGACACTATTGCAAATGGTATTTTAAAAATTTCAATTTCTCTGCTAGTTCACTACTACTATAGAGGAACACAGTTTTTTTACATATATTCATCTTGTATGCTGCACCCTTGTTAATTTGTTCTGGAAGATTTATATTAACATTATACTTAGAATATATTAACATTATAATAAGCTACATAATTTTATTTTTTTATTTTTTAAATTAAAATAGAGATTGGGGTCTCACTATGTTGACCAGTCTTGAACTCCTGGCTTCAAGCGATCCTCCCATCTTGGCCTCCCAAAGTGTTGGGATTACAGGCGTGAGCCACTGAACCTGGCCACAATTTTATTCTTAAATGAAAATAGATCTTTGATATCATCGCCAGATTCATATTTGTTTTTTGTTTTCTTGAGATGGAGTTTTGCTCTTGCTGCCCAGGCTGGAGTGCAGTGGTGCCATCTTGGCTCACTGCAACTTCCACCTCCCAGGTTTAAGTGATTCTCCTGCCTCAGCCTCCCGAGTAGCTGGGATTACAGGCACCCGCCTCCACCCCCAGCTAATTTTTGTATTTTTAGTAGAGACGAGGTTTCGCCATGTTGGCCAGGCTGGTCTTGAATTCCTGACCTCAGGTGATCCACCCACCTCGGCCTCCCAGAGTGTTGGGATTACAGGCATGAGCCATCACGCCCAGCTACCAAATTAATATTCAAATATATGTTGCCATTACAGAGTGATAACTAAGGACACTTTGAGGTATAGGCATAGCTGTGGTAAAAACAGCTCTCTCCAGCTTTGCATCTAAGTTGTAAAATAATTACATTGATGCTTTTAAACCTGCCATGTATAATTTTTCAATGTATTAGCCATTTAATAACTCTGAGACAGCTAACATTTAAATAAATCCCTGTTTGGGAATGGTATTTGAACAAATAATATTGTGAACATATTTGCCAATTTATACTATATTAAGATTCTAAATAATACAGCTATTTAATATATCTTGATAATTAGTATTTGAAATAAATATATTTCTCTGAGTAGCCTTTTGGAAAAAGTGCACAGAATATAGTTTCCAGTCATATGCTACTTTTCTAACTTGCACTTATCTAAACATTTCATCAGGAGAGAGTTCAATAGTACCCGAACCAAAAGTCCAGTGAATCTGACTTACCCAGTCCCCAATTTGGTTTGCATGTCTGCTTACAACCATCATTTCTCTGCAGATTTTCCACTTAGTCTATCAAAAATCAATGGTGCAGCAGTTTTTTGGAGTCTCTGACAACAAAACTCTGTAAATCTGCTTCTTCCAGTGTGAGTGTCTCATCTAACAATCTGAGGATAGGACAAACTGTTGCCAGGGACAGGGGAGGACTTCTTTTGAGATCCTTGGTAGTTTTCAATGAAGTCTTTGATATGGCTTACCCTTCCTACTTGGTGACCCTGTCCTGAAAAGAGCTGGAAGACAGGCTTCGTAGACATATATGTTTCATTTTTCTTGTCTTCAACTTTAACACCCACCTCTTTATCAAAAATTCCCTGTAATTCTGAAGGTAATTCCCCCTTTTTGATGGAGTTCAGAAACTGCTGACTTGCACCATTTGAATAACTTCTGAAATAATTGTTGACGGTGAATCCATTTTTCCATAATTTTATGTTTACGTCTACCTGTTTCTTTTGTTAAGTGGGAGACAAGCATTTGGAACCAACCTTCTGAGCTTCCTCAAAAAGGCTATCAACAAACTATTCACAATTTGTTTATTGATTATCACCAAGACCTTGATTGTCAGGTCCTGTTTCACAAACCCAGTCTTTTATACTTTCGAGATTATCTACGTCTTTCATTCTCTTTTGCGTTACTCCGAGCACAGCCTCCAAGCCTAGGCCTCACTCAGCTCAGGAGCCACCAGCACTGTTTGGCTGCGAGCTCCGTTTGGCTGGAGCCCTTCAGACCCGGAGCGCCTCGCCCGAGACCACCTCCGGTACCCCGGCTGCGCTGCTGATATCCCGCCGGCCTCTCTGTCTCCACCAAGTGCCAAGCGTTCACCCACGCCTGCTGCCTGCAAGACCTGAGGAACGCGCATGGGCTTTTTTTTTTTAAGACAAGTTTCACTCTGTATCCCAGGCTAGAGTGCAGTGGCATGAGCTTGGCTCACTGCAACCTCCGCCTCTCGGGGTCAAGCGATTCTTGTGCCTCACCTTCTGGAGTAACTGGGACTACACGCGTGCACCACCACACCCAGCTAAATTTTTCTGTATTTTTAGTAGAGCCAGGGTTTCGCCATGTTGCCCAGGCTGGTCTAGAACTCCTAGGTTCAAGCGATCCACCTGCCTCGGCCTCCCAAAGTGGTGGGATTATAGACGTGAGCCACCGCACCCAGCTTCTGGCAGCTTTTTAGTAGGTTCTATCATATTTTCTACTAGGACAATTCTGTTGTCTGCATATAAAATTTTTTACTTCTTCCTTTCCAATCTGTATGCGTTTTGTATTTTTCTTGTTACATTAACCAGAACCTGCAGTGTATTGTTAAATAGAAATTGAGAGACTAGACATTCTTGTCTTGTTTCTGGTCTTGGGAGTAAATCATTGAATCTTTTACCATTTAGTAACTATCTTTTTAATCTTTTTTTTGATAACACCTATTGGGTGGGAAACAGTATTTGTAGTTTTTTATTTTTATTTCCCTGGTGGCTAAAGATTTTTATTATTTTTTTTTTCTGGGCTTAGCTCGCCTGAAAACTAAAGATATTGATCATCTTTTCATCAGTTTGTTGACTATGTATCTGTCTTCTTTGGGAGAATGTCTATTTAGATCCTTTGCCATTTTTAAATTGAGTTCTTTTCATTATTGGGTTTCAAGAGCCCTATAAATTCTAGGTACAAATACCATATCAAATAAATCGTTTACAAGTATTTTCTTTCATTCTTTGTGTTGTCCTTTCACTTTCTTGATGATATCCTTTCGAGTGTAAAAGTTTTAAGTTTATTTTTTTCTTATGCTTTTGGTGTCAAATCTGAGAAACCATTGCCTAACCCAAGGTCGTGAAGTCTTTTATATTTTCTTCTAGGATTTTTATAGTTCTAGCTCTTAAAGTTAGTTCTATGATCCATTTTGAACTAATATTTGTGCATGCTGTGAACAGTGTATCCAGCTTCATTCTTCTGCATGTAACACCCAGTTACCCTAGCATATGTGTTGAAAAGACTGTTTATCCCATTGAATTGTCTTGGCACTCTTGTCAAAAATCAGTTAACCATAAATGTAAAGGCTTATTTATTTGTTTTGAGACTGGGTCCTGCTCTGTTAACCCAGGTTGGAGTGCTGTGGTGTGATCTTGGCTCACTGCAGCCTTGACCTCCCAGGCTCAAGTGATCCTCCTCCTTGAGCTTCCCAAGTAGCTGGGACTACAGGTATACACCACCACGCCTGGCTAATTTTTGTATTTCTTGTAGAGACAGGGTTTCATTTTGTTGCCCAGACTGGTCTTGAACTCCTGGGCTCAAGCAATCCTCCTGCCTCTGTCTCCCAAAGTGCTGGGATTACAGATGTGAGCCACTGTGCCCAGCATTAAGATTTATTTCTAGACTCTCAGTTCACCTCCATTGTACATGTCTAACCTGTTTGTAACCACACTGTCCTGATTACTGTAGCTTTAGAGTAATTTTTGAAATTGGGAAGTGCGAGCCCTTCTGTGATCCTTTTTGCAATGCACGGGTTAAGGTTACTTTTGGAGGTGGTAGAAGGGATACGAATGTTTTAATTTTTTTTTGCACGACAGTTGGTTGAAAACAGTCTTTTCTCTATTGGATTATTTGTACCTTTTTTGAAAATGAAATTGATGACTTATGTTTAAATCTATTTCTGGGATCTATTCCGTTTCAGCTAATCTATGTGTCTGTCCTTTTGCTAATACTACACTTTTTTTTTTTGAGACAGAGTCTCACTGTATCACCCAGACTGGAGTGCAGTGGTACCATCTCAGCTCACGGCAGCTTCCACCTCCCAGGTTCAAGCAATTCTTGTGCCTCAGCCTCCCGAGTAGCTGGGACTTGTGCCTGAGCCTCCCAAGTAGCTGAGACTATAGGTGCGTGCCACCACAGCTGGCTAACTTGTGTTTGTAGTAGAGACAGGGTTTCACCATGTTGGCCAGGTTGGTTTCAACCTCTTGGCCTCAAGTGATCCACCCACCTCAGCCTCCCAAAGTGCTGGGATTACAGGCGCGAGCCACCGCATCTGGCCTGCGGATACTATACATTTTTGATTATGGTAGCTGTCTAGTAAATCTTGAAAGCAAGTGGTGCGAGAGTTCCAACATTGACCTTAATTTTCAGAATCATTTGGGATGGTCCGTGTTTTTTGTTTTTTCACGTAAATTTTTTTTTTTTTTTTTTTTTTTTTTTGAGACGGAGTCTCGCTCTGTCACCCAGGCTGGAGTGCAGTGGTGCAATCTCAGCTCACTGCAAGCTCTGCCTCCCGGGTTTACGCCATTCTCCTGCCTCAGCCTCCTGAGTAGCTGGGACTACAGGCGCCTGCCACCACGCCCGGCTTTTTGTATTTCTTTTTTTTTGTATTTTTAATGGAGATGGGGTTTTACCATGTTAGCCAGGATGGTCTCGATCTCCTGACCTCATGATCCACCCACCTTGGCCTCCCAGAGTGCTGGGATTACAGGTGTGAGCCACCACACCCGGCCTTTTCACATAAATTTTAGTGTAAACTTACTGGTTTCCATAAAAAGCCTGCCGGGATTTTTTTTTTTTTAACTGAGATTTGGTTTAATCTAAAGATGAATTAGAGAATTGGCGTCTTAATACTGGCTGTTCTGAACCATAGACACAGTATATCTCTGCCGTGGTCTGAATGTTTGCATACCCGCAAAATTTATATGGTTGAAATCCTAATCCCCAGTCCAATGATATTGGCAGGCGAGGCCTTTTGGAGATGATTAGGCTAATGAGGGCAGAGCACTAATGAATTAGATTGGTGCCTTTATAAAAGAGATTCCAGAGAGCTTGCTCATCTCTTCTGCCTTGTGAGGACACAGCAAGAAGTCACCATCTGTGAACCAAGAAGTGGGACCTCATCAGATGCCAAATCTGCCAACACTTCAATCTTGGACTTCCCATTCTCCAGAACTGTGAGCAATACATATCTGTTGTTTATAAGCCATCTAGTCTATGGTATTTTGTTCTAGCAGCCCAAACGGACTAAGACAATCTCCCCATTAATTTAGGTCTTATTTCTTTCAACAGTGTTTTGTGGTTTTCTGTATTGCACCATTTCATTGATGGTATTATAAATGCTAGTTTTAAATTTTCAATTTTTTAGTGCTAGTATATAAAATTATTTATATTTATATATAATTTATATTTGACCTTGAATCCTGCAAACTTTTTATAGTTATCTATTCCTGTAACTTTTTGGAATATTCTACATAAACAAATCTTATGCTCTGTATTATAAAGGCAGTTTTGCTTTCTCTCTGATATCTGTCCCTTTTATTTCTTTATATTTTCTTAATGTACTGGCTAGGGCCTCCAGTAGTGTTGAATGAGAGTGGTGAGAACACACATCCTTGTCTTATTCCCAACCTTAGGCAGAAAGCGTTCCGTCTTCTACCATTAAGTATGATGTTAGCTGTGGGTTTCTTTGAAGACAGCTTTATTAGGTTGACGAAGTTCCCTTCCACTGCTTGTTCACTGAGAGATTTTATTTCATTTTTTATTTTTTCAGCATTTATTTATGCATTTTAATTTTTTTCTTTTCTTTTCTTTTTTTTTTTTGAAACAGGGTCTCACTCTGTTGCCCAGGCTGGAGTCCAGTGATGCAATCATAACTCACTGCAGCTTCTAACTTTGGGCTCAAGTGATCTTCCCACCTCAGCCTCCCATCTAGCTGGGACTACAGTAGTTCACTGAGAGATTTTATTATGAAAACCTTTTATCATAGAACCATTTCTTAAGACCTCAGAGACCTTTAGTTTGGTGTTTGATAGAGTCTTATGAATAGATATCGTATGTAGAAGTTCAAATAAGGTGCGTTTTCATTAACCAAAAGAGTATCTCAGCATCCCTTCTGGGCATTGTTCCCCTGCATTCTCACAGACAGTGGTCCAAGATAGAGAAGGGCCTAAGAGATTTTAGCCATGACTTTTGTCTAATGACACAAATCCAATAAAATTAATGGAGATAAATGGGAAAAGGTTTTTTATTGCAAAAAAAAAAAAAAAAGTTGGCAAAAGCAAGGTCAACTTTGTCCAAACAAAATGGAAAGAAGTAGTACAAAATGTAAAGAGACCTTTGAACCCCCAAACTGCAGATAGCAAACAGATGAAATAGGCCTATAAAACTACTCAGTTGAAAATGTTTACTTTTTATGGGAAAGCAAGTATGATTCAGAGTACAGAACTTCAGAAGACTCACTCCTGTGGAGCTGCACTGGTGCTTGAGAAACAGATAACATGTTCCTGCCTGAATTTAAGAATTGCTGTGGGTCAGGGGCTGCTGTGGAATCCCATTTCTCCCCACCCATGCCTTTTTAATAGGAATGTCTATTTTAACTATCCCATTCCTGTCTCAAACTCTGTATTGGTTTTGTGGGGAACAGATAACTTGTCTCTTTAGCTTACAAATGTTCAAATCTAGAGGAGCAGGAGTATATTCAAGAAACCAAACCCAAGGACTTTTTTATGATTTTTATTTATGTTTTATTGTTATTTTTAAATTTTTATTTTTATTTATTTATATTTTGAGACAGAGTCTCACTCTGGCACCCAGGCTAGAGTGCAGTGGCACAGTGATCTTGGCTCACTGCAATCTCTGCCTGCCAGGCTCAAGCGATCCTCTGCCTCAGCCTTCTGAGTAGCTGGGACTATAGGCACATGCCACCATGCCCAGCTATTTGTTTTTTTTTTTTTTTTTTTGGTAGAGACAGGGTTTCATCATTTTTCCCAGGCTGGTCTCAAACTCCTGGGCTCAAGCTGTCTTCCTGTCTTGGCCTCCCAAAGTGCTGGGATTACAGGTATGAGCCACTGTGCCCAGCCACTTTTCAAAACATTTTTTGAGACAGGGTCTCATTCCATCACCCAGGCTGAAGTTCAGTGATGCAGTCATAGCTCACTGCATCCTTGAATTCCTGGGCTCAAGTGATCCTCCTGCCTCAGCCTACTGAGTAGCTGAGACTACAGGCACATGCCACCACACCCGGCATGTGTTTGTGGGGGGTAAGAGGGGTCTTTTTTGCTGTTCTTGCCAGGGTTGGAGTGCAGTGGCACAATCATAGCTCACTGCAGCCTTGACCTCCTGGGCCCAGGTGATCCTCCTGCCTCAGCCTCTTGAGTAGCTGGGACCAGAGGCATGTGCCACCACGCCTGACTAATTTTTGTATTTTTTTGTAGAGAGAGGGTCTCTCTCTGTTGACCAGGCTGGTCTTGAACTGCTGGACTCAAGGGATCCTGCCACCTCAGCCTCCCAGAGTGCTGGGATTACAGACGTGAGCCACTGCTCTTGGCCGTCTTTTCTGGATTGCACCTTATTTGGATGACCAGATCCTGGACATAAAACCAGAGTCTACTACCACGGGCATGAGACTTTGGTGTGGCCTTAGGAAGTGGTGAGAGTTTCTTGTACATGGGAAGTATAAATATTAATAATTTGTAGCCACATGCAGACTCCGATGGTTTTAAAACACGGCCCTAAAATTCTTTGATACTTTTACCTCCCCCTTGTATCTGCACTGACCTTTGACTGCATTTCCCAAAGGAGTACAACATAAATGATTCCATGAGATTTCCAAAGCAAGGCCACGAAGGGCCATGCGGTTCCCTTCTGGCTGGAACATTCCCTCTTGAGATGCTTCCTCCTCTCAGAGTGCTTCCTCTTGGGAACTAGCAGCTATGCTGTAACAGGGAGGGGTTACATGTAGATGCTGCCATCAACAGCCACCAGCTGCTGTCTGTTTTTTAGCCATTTCAGGGAAAACATCAGATACAAGAGTGATAATAGAATCCAGATGATTCCAGCCCCCAGCCTTTGGATTCAGCATCAGCTGTGTAAGACTTCCCAGCTAGGCCCTGGACATTGTGAGGCAGAGAAAAGCCATTCATTCCTCCTGTATCCTGTCCAAATTCCTGCCCCATGATCTGTTAACATAATAGAGTAGTAGTGGTTCTGTACCAGCAGTTCTCAACCTTTTTTATCTTGAGACTCTTTTATACTCCAAAAATTGAGCACCCCAAAAAGCTTTTGCCAATGGGCATTCTATCTGTGAATATTTAACATTTTAGAAATTAAGGCAGGCCAAGCATGGTGGCTCTTGCCTGTAATCCCAGCACTTTGGGAGGCTGAGGCCGGCGGCTCAACTGAAGTCAGGAGTTTGAGACCAGCCTGGCCAACATGGTGAAACCCTGTCTCTACTAAAAATACAAAAAAACTAGCCAGCATGGTGGTGTGTGCCTGTAATTCCAGCTACTCAGGAGTCTGAGGCAAGAGAACTGATTGAACCCAGGGGGCAGAGGTTGAAGTGAGCTGAGATCATGCCACTGTGCTCCAGCCTCCAGCCTGGGTGACAGAGCAGGACTTCATCTCAAAACAAAAGGAATTGGGGCAAATTTTAAAAATATTTTAGTAATATACATAACATGCTTTTTAAAAATAACTTTTCCACAATGGCAACAAAATAATGTGGAAAGAGCGACATATTGCATGCTTTTGCAAATCTCTTTAATGTCTTAAGAGCTTAATAGATGACAGCTGAATTCTCATACTTGTTTCTACATTTTTTGCCATTAGTTGCTTTGATTAGAAAGTTTGGCTTTGCTGAGATACGTAGTTGGAAAAGAGAGAAGCATTTTCAGGTAATTTTGGATTTTCTTTGATATTACACCAAAACTCAAGAAATGGTAGTTTCTGAAAGATTAGTTGCAATATGGAATGAAATCCTGTTAAGGAATTGTTTCTATTCTGTTACATTAAAATTCATTTGTTTGTCTTGCACTATTTTTTTCTTTTCCTTTTATTTATTTATTTATTTATTTTTGAGACAGAGTCTCGCTCTGTCGCCCAGGCTGGAATGCAGTGGCGCAATCTCGGCTCACTGCAAGCTCTGCCTCCCAGGTTCACACCATTCTCCTGCCTCAGTCTCCCGAGTAGCTGGGGCTACAGGCTCCCGCCACCGCGCCCGGCTAATTTTTTGTATTTTTAATAGAGACGGGGTTTCACTGTGTTAGCCAAGATGGTCTCAATCTCCTGACCTCGTGATCCACCTGCCTCGGCCTCCGAAAGTGTTGGGATTACAGGCGTGAGGCACTGCGCCCGGCCTTTTTTTTTTTTTTTTTTTTTGAGATGGAATTTTGCTCTTGTTGCCCAGGCTGGGGTGCAATGGTGCGATCTCCACTCACTGCAGCCTCCGCCTCCTGGGTTCAAGCAATTCTCCAGCCTCAGCCTCCTGAGTAGCTGGGATTACAGGCACCCACCACCACACCTGGTGAATTTTTGTATTTTTAGTAGAAACGGTTTCACCATGTTGGCCAGGCTGCTCTTGAACTCCTGACCTCAATCTACCCGCTTTGGCTTCCCAAAGTTCTGGGATTACAGGCATGAGCCATGGCGTCCAGCCCATATCTTGCACTTTGATTGGCTATTTTATCAATGCATGATTTTATACCTTAATACCTGACTTAGAAAATAGGGCTGGCACAGTGGCTCTTGCCTGTAATCTCAGCACTTCGGGAGGCCAAAGTAGGAGAATCCTTGAGTCCAAGAGTTCGAAAGCAGCCTGGGCAACATAGTGAGACCCTCATTTCTAAAATGAAAGGAAATAGTCATTTACTTCATTATGCAGATCTTTCAAATGTTTACCCATTTTAAAGTACAGTGTCTAAAATAAACCTTCATGAACATGACCATTGATCCTATCAGAAAAGTTTTTATGCGTTGAGACGCTTCTAAGGTGACAGATCTAAGCTTTCCAACTTTTGCTGTTCCTTCAAGGACATTTTTATTTAGCCTGAGTGTGGGGCAGTGAGGCATTCAGTGACTGCGCAGTTCAGTGCCACTGCCTTAATTTTTTTTTTTTTTTTTTTTTTTTGCGATGCTGTTTTGCTCTTTTTAGCCACAGGCTGGAGTGCAATGGTGTGATTCGGCTCACTGTAACCTCCGCCTCCCGGGTTCAAGCGATTCTCCTGCCCCAGCATCCTAAGTAGCTGAGATTACAGGCGCATGCCACAATGCCCGGCTAATTTTGTACTTTTAGTAGAGACGGGTTTCACCATGTTTATTACCAGGCTGGTCTCTAACTCCTTACCTCAGGTGATCCACCCACCTTGGCCTTCCAAAGTGCTGGGATTACAGGCATGAGCCACCGTGCCCAGCCCACTGCCTTAATTTCTGCTGAGGCACCAGCGCTTTTGGCCACTTTTATAATGTGTCATCAGTATAAATGTGGATATGGTGAAAAGGTCAAGAATGTATTTGTGCTATTATAACAATAGTTTTTTTTTTTTGTTTTTTTGTTTTTTTGAGACAGAGTGTCGCTCTGTCACCCAGGGCGTGATCTCGGCTAACTGCAAGCTCCGCCTCCTGTGTTCACGCCATTCTCCTGCCTCAGCCTCCTGAGTAGCTGGGACTACAGGCACCCGCCACCACGCCCAGATAATTTTTTGTATTTTTAGTAGAGACGGCGTTTCACTGTGTTAGCCAGGATGGTCTCCATCTCCTGACCTCGTGATCCGCCCGTCTCGGCCTCCCAAAGTGCTGGGATTACAGGCGTGAGCCACCGCGCCCAGCCATAACAATAGTTTTAATCTCACAGACCGCCTGAAAGTGTTTTGGGTCCCTCAGCAGTTTACCAACCCTGAGAACTGCTATTCTGTATCACTTAAGTTTGAAGTGGTTTTTTTACACAACAATAATAATCAGAACCGAACTCATATCCCTTTTTTCTTCTTCTTTTTGATTATTAGTTTCTTCAGTGTACTAGATGGCTGACTGGGAAGATTCCAGGGTCCCAACAGGCTTCAGAGTTGCGAAGGCTCTAGAGGTACTGTTTGCTCACATAGAGCCTAGGTGTTGAGGGCTTAGACTCTGGAGCCCAGCTGCTGGAATGTGGGCCCTGCAGCTGTTACTGTTGAGCTGTGTGTCTGGAGCCCTTCCCTTAGCCTTTCCTGAGTCTCATTCTCCGTTGGTTAAATGATGTCATTAATAAGGCAAATGATTTTGTTGCTAAATGCCAGTGGAAACTTTCTAATAGTCATAACTGTCACAAGGTCTGATGACCTCACAGTTATTTTGCCCTTAACGGATGCCATAAAATGCCCGAAAAGCTTTCCCGGGGTCAACTCACTTCATTACAACTCCCTGAGGGAGTACCATTGTTAATGTCTTATGTGGTCTGTGTACTATGAAATATCCACCACCATCTCTGATGGATTCCAGCGCACCTTGTTTCACTTGAGTCTGTCCAGTCTTTAGAGTTAACAGAGGAACCCTAGTTACTGATTCCAGACTTTGACCTCATCCAAAATTAACAGCAGCCAATTTGCATTCTTCTGGGTTATATATTGTTGGCCAAATATTCAGAATTATTGTGTGCCTCTGGGCAGAGAACTCACAGTTCAAAATATCTTTTTTGTTTTCCTTTGGTACAGGGTCTTGCTCTGTCACCCAGGCTGGAGTGCAGTAGTATGATCATAGCTTACTGCAGCCTCCACCTCCTGGGTTCAAGTGATCCTCCCACCTCGGCCTCCCAGGAGCTGGGACTACAGGCACAAATCACCATGCCCAAATATATATATATTTTTCAATCTCCTATTTCTTTCCTCTCTCTTGTTTTGGAAGTTACTCAGCAAGCTACATCTGTCTAATTGGATATGTATGTCCATATCCTGTTAGAATCAAGTATTTCAGAGTATAAGCATGATAGTAATAAAGCTCGCAATATTATCATTAAGCCACTTACTTTAGAGATCCCATGATGAACCCAAAGTCTCCCCTATTGCGGACCCTGGAGACCGGTTAAGTCTAGGAGAAATAATATCAAGATTTAGACTGATCTTTTTTTCCCCAATCTCTTTGCCTCTGAGTAACCATTCTTCAAATTCAGAACCACACTCAGGGTAAAATATAAGTAAGGGCTATTTATTTTTTTGCCACTGTTTTGGCATCTGTAGACAATACAGTTTATTTAATTTCAGGTTTTCACAGTTATGTACAGTCATACCTCGGAGATATGTGAGTTCGCTTCCACAGACCATCATAGTAAAGTGAGTCATACAAATTTTTTGGTTTCCTAGTGCATATAAAAGTTACGTTGGCTGGGTGAGGTGGCTGTCACCTGTAATCCCAGTGCTTTGAGAAGCTGAGGTAGGAGGATCACTTGAGTCTAGGAGTTTGAGACCAGCCTGGGCAACTATAGCAAGACCCCATCTCTACAAAAAAAATGTTTTACATCAGTCAGGTGTGGTGGAGTAGCTGTAGTTCTAGCTATTCAGGAGGCTGAGGCAGGTGGATTGCTTGAGCCCAGGAGTTCAAGGCTGCAATAAGCTATGATTGTGCCACTGCATTCCAGCCTGGGTGACAGAGTAATACCCTGTCTCAAAAAAAAAAAAAAAAAAAAAAAAAAATGCTGAGCGTGGTGGTTCATGCCTATAATCCCAGCACTTTGGGAGGCCGAGGTGGGTGGTGGATCACCTGAGGTCAAGAGTTCAAGACCAGCCTGTCCAACATGGTGAAACCCCATTCTCTACTAAAAATGTAAAAATTAGCCAGGTGTGGTGGAGCACACCTACAATCCCAGCTACTTGGGAGGCTGAGGCAGGAGAATCACTTGAACGCAGGAGGTGGAGGCTGCAGTGAGTTGAGATTGTGCCATGGCACTCCAGCCTAGGCAACAGAGCAATACTGCATCTTAAAAAAAAAAAAAAAATTATAGTCTATTGTGTGCAGTAGCATTATGTCTAAAAAACAAAGGATGCACCTTAATTGTAAAATACTTTGCTTAAAAATTCTGACAGAGAAACAAAGTGAGTATGTGTTATTGGAAAAATGGTGCTAGTAGACTTCATCAGTGGCCACAAACCTTCAATTTGTAATAACCTTCAATTTGTAATAAAAATAAAACCCCACACGTTATCTGCAAAGCACAATAAAATGAAGTATGTTACATGTTGATTTTCAGGAATTAGAAGAAAATGAGAGTATTGTTGTCATCGGAAATAAGAGGATTGTTTTGCCAAGCTACTGAAAAAAAAAAAAACTTTCATTCCTTTGTCAACTGCAAGAATGGTAATATTTGACAAGAAAAACCCAACTTGTCAAATACTACGATTCTTGCAGTTGACAAAGGAATGAAAAGTTAATAGCATATGTGAGGCTGGACACGGTGGCTCACACCTGTAATCCCAACACTTTGGGAGGCCAAGACGGGTGGATCACCTGAGGTCAGGAGTTCGAGGCCAACCTGACCAATGTGGCAAAAGCCCATCTCTACTAAAAATACAAAAATTAGCCAGGCATGGTGGCAGGCACCTATAATCCCAGCTACTGGGGAGGCTGAGACATGAGAACAGGTTGAACCCGGGAGGCGGAGGTTGCAGTGAGCTGAGATTGCGCCACTGCATTCCAGCCTGGGCAACAGAGGGTGACTCCGTCTCAGAAAAAAAAAAAAAGTATATATGAGCATTTAACAAGGCTATAGGTTTTGATTTTGAGCCCTGAAAACCCCCAGGTTTAGTTTCATTGGGAATTTGTATTCAAACATGTCTCTGCTCTGGATCCATAGGTGGCACAATTTTGCCAGTTTTTGATGCATAAATGGTGACAGTATCCTTTAACAAAATTCCTAAAGTAGTCTTTTAAAAAAATAATTCTGAAAATCTGGCCAATGATAATACAGGACTCGGAAGAAAATACTACCCATTGAAATTGGAAAGCCTGTTTTCAATTTGGGGTCTGCTTTTTTTTTTTTTAATTGCTTTAAGAGATTAAGGATTTTAGACACAAACACGTCATAAAGTGTTTTTAGATTTGCATGAACCTACTGTGGTTTAGTATAAATAAACCCCTAACATGAGTGTTACAGATGCCTGTGAGGGTATCTTGGGGGTTTCTACACTGCCTACCCCAAACCTGACTGCAGTCAGAGCCAACAGGGCCCCACGTAGGCAAAGGCTATGTCATTAATTCTCAAATGAGATTCGTCCAAGCGGGAAATGCACATCTAGTGCAGTAGTTTTAGGCCAGCCTTTTTCAGAGCCTCAGGCTCTGCCTGTCACCTTGAAGACATCCATGTGGGTCCCCTCAGGGCTTCTCTTTGCCATAAAAATAAAATGATTGCTCCCACCAATGTTTGCGTCCATGGGAGAGGAGGTAGGAGCAGCAGTACTTGTCCTGTGTGTGGGAGACACTTGAAGGGCTCAGTGGGAATTGTCAGCAGCAGGGAACAGAACAGGTGGTGAGAAGAGTCATTCCACTGAGTTTCTGGGCCTTTGACTCCCTGAAACTTCCTTCTCCTCTATCCAACCTCCCTCTCCAGAAAAAAAAAAAAATAATTTAAAAATGGAATCAGTGTAATCAGTGAAGTAGCTGTATTCCAGTGAACAAGCAGCCTGCCCTTGCATCTGCATGCATGCAGCCTTGGCGTTTTCTCTAGAAAAAAGAGAGGTTCTACCTCGTGCATGAATACAGGTGGAGGCCAAGACCAGCATTAACAAAGGCTGTGTGTTTGCCATGGAGCTCAGGAGGGCTAACAGTCATTTTACTTCTGCCTCCGACCATCACACTTTGTCCCCAGAACAAAGCCAAGAGTCCTTGGTCAATGAAAGTGTGTAAATATCCTCACACTTCCCCTAGTAGTTCCTTTTTAGGCTGTAATCATGTGCTAAAGAAAAGAACCTAACTTCTTAAAATCTTTCCCTTTTTGGATGTAGATTGAAATTTTTGTTTTAAACACAATGGCCCTAATGTCTAAATCTAATGTTAGTAATTAATCCCTAGTGCTTTAAGGATCTTCTGTTTATAGGCAGTTATTTTATGGAGCTGGTCTCTGTGAGAGGCACAGACTGCCAGGAGGGGTTGAGATTTCCTTTAACCAGGATTCTTAGTTCTGAATGGCTCTAGTGAATAACATTAACAATGATTCTCTGGCCGGGCACTCACGCCGGTAATCCCAGCACTTTGGGAGGCCTAGACGGGTGGATCACTTGAGGTCAGGAGTTCAAGACCAGCCTGGCCAACATGGTGAAACCCCGTCTCTACTAAAAATACAAAAATTAGCCGGGCATGGTGGCAGCCGCCTGTAATCCCAGCTACTTGGTAGGCTGAGGCAGGAGAATTGCTTGAACCTGGGAGGCGGAGGTTGCACTGAGCCCACAGTGCGCCACTGCACTACAGTCTGGATGACAAGCAAAGCTCAATCTCAAAACAATAATTTTTAAAGTAATGATTATCTTAACCATTCTTAAATCCTTCTGTCTAGTAGGAATCTTATTCATGGGAGTGTCTGGAAAAGGGACAAAGAGCGGCTATTGAGATTTTTTTAAAGCCTGGATTTGGGATGTCTGAACAGTGAATAACTCCAAAGCCATTTAAAAATCATCTTTTTTTCTACCACCGGACTGAGCTTTTCAGTTTTAATTCCAAGGTTCCAATCATATAGATGTGAGTCAAACCCTGTTGGGCCAAACAGGATCTCCTTTGTTGGCGGATAATTTCAAGTGCTCACAGAGACCCTCCGTTTTTTTTTAAATACCTGGACTTAATTGTTTAAACTGGAGTCCGGACCAAAACATCTCTGACCTCGGGGGTCTTCCTTTGGTCAGGAAGAGGGGAGGGAGCAATTGGACCCCTTTCCCTCTGCGGCTGCAGAGTCCAATTTTCCTCTGGGGACATTTGCTTTTTCCCTTGGGGAAGACAGTACGGATTCTAGTTCTGTGGACTCTTTTACTTAGCTTTGAGACCCAAGCAAGTTAATTGGCTTGTGCCTCTTATTTTACTCTAATGCAATGAATAAAGACAGTCCCAGCCTTCGCCCTAAGGGAGCAGGAGCACCTGCGATGCCCCGTTCCCAAGTCCTCAGGGCGAATCCGCCAAATGTGCGAGCTGGGCAGCCCACCCCTTTCAGCTGCTGGCCGGAAGCGGAAGTGGGCGTCCGTCGCCTCGCCATCTCCCATAGCTGTCGCCTGCAGCTGAGAAAGGGTTGCTGTCCCAGCAGGCCAGGTCCAGGTGCGCCCCACTAGTGAGGCCGGCGGAATCGGGAGGGAAGGGGTCAAGGGCACAGTGCGCAGCCCCGGCTGCTCCAGACCTTGCCTGCAGCTTCCCGCCCCAGCCTCCGGCTATCGCGGCGTTTCTTCTCAGAGGCCGCCGGCTTTGGTTCCTCCCGGCACTGCTGGGCTTGGGGCTGCCATTCCGGGCATTGGTTCCCGGGAGGAGGCAAGTGGGTTCATGTGGTCAGAGTGCGTCGGCGGGGCCTTTTCTCCACTTTCTGTACCCTTCTCTTTAAACGTCGTCCCCAGTAGGAGACTATTTTTTCTCAAGAAAATGCTCTCTTGGACCTCACTTTCCGTTGTTAGAAGGCATATCTTGGGATGCGCGTTATTGGTTTGTGGAGATCGTCCCTTTTTTTCCCCTCTGTTATGTGGATGCACCCTAGTGCCTGATACACATTTGAGTTCCTATCTGAGTGGGCTTGTGCATGTTTTTTCGTATTTGTGGACTTAGGTCTTCAAGGTTTATTTTTGAAAGTCAAGTTGTTGGGTCAAAGCATAAATGAATGTGTAATTCCTAGGTATGACCAGATCCCCCTCTATGGGACTTGTGCTTTTTTGAGCCCTCAGGGTGTGTTTTGTATGCAGCAAGCAGCAGACCTTAGTTTTCAGTTTACCTGTAGTTTCTTTTGGATGTTTACATATTGACATATCGTTTATGAATAAGAACTTTATTCTCCCTTTATAATCCTATTACGACCCACTCCTGCCCTACAAATTTACTGCCCTGCCTACGACCTCCGAAACATTAGAAGGAGCAATCCTTGCTGCCTTCCAGGTCTCAGAAAGAAAGCTTTCAGCTTGTCACTACTTACATGTTTGCTATGTGTTTTTGATAGATTAAAGACATTCCCTTCTGTAACAGCTTTATTGACATAAAATCATATATTTCATCTCATTTAAAGTGTATAAATCAGTGGTTTTTAGTATATTGAGTTGTGCAACCATGACTACAATCTAACTCTAGAACATTTTCATTGCCCCAAAAGAGAATCCCATACTCATCAGCAGTTACTCCCCCATGGTTGGCAAGTTTTTGGGCTCTATTCTTGAGTTTTTTTATGTTGTCATACACCAGGTCAGATTGATTTAGGTAAAAACAACACTCTTCATTTAAGAATATACAGATGTTCTCCTTTTCCAGCAGTAAGTCAAGGCCTCGGCGGTTTTGGAGGACAACTGCAGCTAGAGTCAACTTGGGCCTGGAGGACTGATGAAGTTTGTGATATGACTGTGATGCTAGCAGAGAATTCATTAGAGAGACTATGGAAGGTCCTGACAGAGGTTGAAATGCCTGCTATTCCAGTACCGAGAGCAATAGTGGAGGCAGAAAGTCTTAAACTGACAAGGGAATTAGTGGAATAACTCTTTTTGTCGTGTCGGTGTCATGAGGGGAACAGGGAGCTCTTCAGTCCTATTTGCAAATTGCATTTTGAGAGTAAGGAAAACTAGTGTGCATGTGCCTGTCCAATTAGCAGGTAGACACATGTAGGTAGAGGATCCACAGAGGAAAAAGAGACCTTGTGCGAGGCAAAACTGGAGATGCAAAGTAAAAAGATGAGGAGTGCTGAAAGGGGTGTCTTGTACTTAGAATCCTAGGGATCCAGCTAGGGCGGCAGTCGTCAGAGGTTGTAATGGGGACTGATGAGGTAATTGCGTCGAGGGGGAGGTTCGATTTTCATGGTGTATGAGAAAACGTCGAGTATCTACAAGCAACCTTTCACTGTTATTTTCAGGGCTGGGTATAAGTAAGCAAGAAGAGGGCCTGGGAGAAGAGTCTGACGAGCAAGGGGAAGGTAGCCAAGGATGGAGTGAAATACAGGGTAAGTGTCTTCCTAAGCAATAATTACTGCTAATGTTTTTAAGTTTGCCACTACTGATAGAGGGCTTGTCTGTAATATGGAGCTGGAAGGCTCCAATTGTTTCAGTGATGTGTGTAGTTGGGCTTTGGAGATGAAGAGTAAAGGAACATCGAGAAGGTGAAAGTTTACCTAGGGGAATTCCAGTGGGTCTTTGCTGAGAGATACATAAAGGAGCTGCCACAGGAATAGTAGTTTGTGTTGTGAGAGGTCTAAATATGGGGGGAGTAGAGTTGATATAAGGAGGAAGGTTTTAGGTCTTTAAGAACACAGGCTAAGGGAGAAGGGGGAATGGAGGGCAGAAGCTTGCCCATAGTGAAGGAGGCAAGCCCAGAAAAAAGAGAGAGTAGAGACATGGAGAGAAGGGGTGGGGGCTTCTTGTCCTCCAGAAAAGCAGAGAAGGGGTAGAGACACAGAGAGAAGGGACCGGGGGGTTCTTGCACCCCAGAAAAGTGGAGAAGGGCTAGAGATATGGAGAGAAGGGTTCAGGGGTTCTTGACCCCCAGAAAAGCGGAGAAGGGTAGACACATGGAGAGAAGGGGGTCAGGGGGTTCTTGCCCCCAGAAAAGCAGTACTTGCCGCTAAGGGTGAAGGACCAAGGCAGGCATCCCCACGTGGTCAGACACCTCTGAAATGTGGGTGAATAATCAGGCAGGCGTCCCCGCATGATTAAACACCAAGGGAAGACTGTCTTCCCGAGTCCATGACCGGCGCCGGAGTTTTGGGTCCATGGATAAAACACGTCTCCTGTCTACGAGAAAAGGAAAGGAACTGAAATTGAGAGAAGGGAGAGATTGAAGTGTGGCGCCAAGATTGAAATGAGAAAGAGGTTGAGGGATAGTAAGAGAGGTTGGAGAAGAGAGTAAAAAGAGGCCACTTACCTGATTTAAAATTGGATTGATGTTCCTTGGCTGGTCGGTCTGAGGACCTGAGGTCATAGGTGGATCTTTCTCACAGAGCAAAGAGCAGGAGGATAGGGGATTGATCTCCCAAGGGAGGTCCCCAGATCTGAGTCACAGCACCAAATCTACCTCTGTCGCCAGGCTAGAGTGCAGTGGCGCAATCTCGGCTCACTGCAACCTCTGCCTCCCGGGTTCAAGTGATTCTCCTGCCTCAGCCTCCCAAGTAGCTAGGATTACAGGCATGCTCCACCACACCCGGCTAATTTTTGTATTTTTAGTAGAGACGTTCTTTCACCATGTTGGCCAGAGTGGTCTGGATCTCCTGACCTCGTGATGCGCCCACCTTGGCTTCCCAAAGTGCTGGGACTACAGGCGTGAGCCACCGTGCCTAGCCTCATTCCTTTTTTTAATGAGACAAGGTCTTTCTCTGTCACCCAGGCTGGAGTGCCGTGGTGCCCTCGACCTCCCTAGCTCGGCCTTCCACCTTAGCCTCCCGAGTAGGTAGGACCACAGGTGTGGGCCACCAAGCCTGGCTATTTTTTTAAATTTTTGGTAGAGATGAGATCTCACTGTGTTACCAGGCTGGTCTGAACTCCTGGGTTAATGTGATCCACCCACTACAGCCTCCCTAAGTGCTGAGGATTACAGGCATGAGTCACCATGCCTGGCCTTCATTTTCTATTGTCAAATGATAGTCCATTGTATGGATATACCACATTTTCATTTATCCGTTCATCGGTAGATAGACATTTGGGTTGTTTCTCCTTTTTGGCTAATATGAATAATGCTGCTGTGAATATTTCTCTTGGGTATATACCTAGGAGTGGAATGCCTTGTTCATGAGACGAACTTTTATGTTTAATCTTCTGGTAAAATGCTAGGCTGTTTGCCAACGTGGCAGCACCACTTCCCACTTCACTCCCCTCCACAAAAAAACAAGAGAATTTCTCCACATCCTCATCCACACTTGTCTTTTTAATTACACTCACCTTAATGTGTGAAGTGGTATCTTAATGTGGTTTTGATTTGCATTTCCCTGGTGTCTAATGATGTTCAGCATCTTTTCATGTGCAGTTGACCTTTTTATCTTTAGAAAAATGTACATTCAGATCATTTGCCCATCTTTGAATTGTGTTTTCAAAAGTCAGCTGAGGCTGGGCGTGGTGGCTCACGCCTGTAATCCCAGCACTTTGGGAGGCCCAGGCGGGCGGATCATGAGGTCAGCAGATCAAGACCATCCTGGCTAACACGGTGAAACCCCGTCTCTACTAAAAATACAAAAACATAGCTGGGTGTGGTGGCACGCGTCTGTAGTCCCAGCTACTTGGGAGGCTGAGGCAGGAGAATCACCTGAACCTGGCGAGGTTGCAGTGAGCAGAGATCGCACCACTGCACTCCAGCCTGGGAAACAGACCAAGAGTGTCTCAAAAAAAAAATAAAAATAAAAATAAATAAGCTGGCTGAATTAAATTCAGCCCGAAAGTTTTCAGGTTGAAAAAATTTATTTTTGAAATCATTATGTGATACTGGTTTTTATCACTTTGAGTTGATCATACAATTTTTCTTTTGCTCTATTAATGAAGCAAATTATATTGATTTTCTAATAGCAAGCATCTCTTGCATTCCTCTGGTAAACCTAACTTAATTCTGTTGTACTATATTTCCTATTTATTGACATTTTTTGTTTGGACTTATTTTCCTTAGAATATCTGAATCTATGTTGAAATTTGCCTATAATTTTGTTTACTTAAAGTGGCCTTGTCATGTTTGATATCAGTATGCCAATCTCAAAGAATATTCTTCCTTTTATACTCTTAATCACGGTAATCCCTTTGATAAGTTAAACTGTTTTGTGAAATTAGTTTAAAAGTGACCATATTTTTTTCCCTTGTAATATTGTAAACTGCTGTTAATAGAATAACCAAAGGCAAACATGACATTTTGAACCATACACAATTCTGGGGTTTGCATAAAGGCTATATTAAATAAAACCTTCCAGATACCCAGCTCTTGCCTATAGAGTGGATAAGTTATCTATACCTGAAATAATGCAAACATTAGTGACAAATTACATTGAAGTGTAGTTTAAGTAACCAGTCTTCATAAATATGCCTAATCTCTGGAATATTTTCATCCAGACTGGAATTCTTTCTTCTTTGAGTGGCATAACTGACTGATAAAGCCTTTGAGCATGGTGTTTTTTGGTGAAAACCTAAATAATCTAGTTTTGTTTTCTGTTTTAAAAGAATATCTGGGCAGTGAGTTAAGCTGGGAAGACCTAGCACCTTGCTGACGGGATCAGTCTAGATTCTTCTTTTATATTTTTTAAATTGTGGTAAAATACCTAAAGCCAAATTTGCCATTTTAATCATTTTTAAATGTACAAGTCAGTGGCATTCATTGCATTCACAGTGTTACTCAACCATCACCAGCTAGTTCTTTTTATTGTAATTTCTACACAGTTTTGGTAAGTTGTATTTCTGTAGGAATCAATTTATTTCCTGAAAGTTTTGAATTTGATTAAAGTTATTCATGTCTTGTTAATCTCTGCAACATTTGTAGTTGTGTTTTTCTCCTTTTGTCTTTGAAGAATTTTGCCCGATTTTTTTCCTAGTAGTTTTCAAAGAACCAGTTTGTAGCTTGAGTGATACTGTTGTTTTCTAGTTCATCATCGTATTTTCTGCTCTTCCCGTTCCAGCTGCTTAAGTTAATTTTTAAGTTCACTTCTTTTCTAATATAAACATATAAAGCTTATTTTTTTCCTAAGGACCAGTTTAGCTACATTCTACAAGTTGTGGTACTTAGAACTAATCAATAACCATAGTATTATGTATTTTCTAATTCAATTCTTTTATAAAAGCATAAGTTATTTGGAAGTGTGATGTTTTCTGAATTCCAAATGTGTTACTTTTTTCTGTTTGCTTGAAAAATATGAAACCACTAATATTCAACCATATTTTAAAACTACCAAAACACCCATTTCATATAGTTCAATGTAATCTCGTTATTAACTTACAACTTAGTTACATTGTAATTAAGACATGTCAGAGAACATGTTTGTATACCAAATCTTTTTCTAAGTTTTAATTTTTGTGGGCACATAGTAGGTATATATATTTAAGGGGCCCATGAGATGTTTTATATACCAAATTTGGAAGGTTTAAGACTGGCTTTACAGTATATTCACCATACAGTATGGTCAGTTTTTATAAACACTTCATGTGTGCTTCAAGAATCTATGTATACTCCATACATTCAGTAGTGTCCCTCAGTGTGCTAGATTAAGCATACTCATTGTGTTGTTCAAATCTTCATATCCTTTTTTTCATATGATCTTTCTATTGCTGAGCAGTGTTTGAAAGTCTTATAGTGATGATTTGTGTTATTTATCCTTTAATTGTGCTAGCTTCTGCTTTATAAGTTTTATGAGACTAGAATTTTATATCTTCCTAATTGGTACTTTACATCCTCATGTCATTACCTCTAATAGTGCCTTTTGTCTCAAAATCTATGAAATTAATTTAGCAAACAAACTTTATTTTGGTTAATATTCACCTGGTATATCTTTCTTATTTTTGAGACTCAATTTTTATGTGTTGTTGTGGATTTTAGTGCATCTAATGAAATAACATAGAGCTAGTTTATCTTAATCTACCAGGACAGTCTGTTTTTAAACTGCAGAATTTAGCCCATCTGTACACTTACTGTTATTGATACAGTCAGACATTTTTTACCATCTTACATTTTACATTGTGCTTTTCATTTGACCTATTTTTTTTGTTTCATTTCCCTTATTTTTCTTACCTTTGGAATTGAGATTTTTTTTTAACCTAATTCCATTTTCTCTTCTAGACTGTGAGTTAAACTCACTATGTCCATCCTTTGAATTGTTACCCTAGCTATTTTATCATGCATACTTACAGTCTAAACCTAATCAATATTGTGAGTCCCCAGTGGAAGAATACAAGGAACATACTACTCAATCACCTCCTTCCCAATTTATATATTATTTAGTATTAGGATTGAGCTTATTTTTCCATGTCACGAATTTGGTATTATTACCATTTTATATAATAAAGGTTTGCTTAATTTTATCCATTTTACCTTTGTTCATTCTACTTAACATTTTGGGTCTTCCAGTTCCTATCTCCTGAAGTACTTTTAAGTTACTTCTGTGATGGTCTTTTTGGATGGGTAAGTTGTCTCAGGTCTTTATTTTAAAATGCCTTTATTTGACTCTCCATTTATTTTTCTTAAGCTTTTAATCATGAAAATTTTTAATTCTCCACAAAAGTAGAATAGTACAGTTGTCTCTCATATCCATGGGGGACTGGTTCCAGGACCCCCACATGGCTTCCAAATTCCACAGTCACAAATTCCTTATATAAAATAGCATTGTATTTGCATAGAACCTACACACATCCTCCCATAGATGCTATTTTTTCCCTCCCATTTACTTTAAGTCATCACTAGATTACTTACAGTACCTAGTACAATAAGTGTTATGTAAGTGGTTGGTTTGTTTTTTTTTTGTTTTTTTTTTAAGAGATGGGGTCTCATTCTGTTGCTCAGGCTGGAGTACAGTGGTGTGATCATAGCTCACTGCAGCCTGAAACTCCTGGACTCAAGTAATCCTCCCACCTCAGCCTCCCTAGTAGCTGGGACCACAGGCATGCGCCACCACGCCTGGATAATTTAAAATAGATACATATTTTTGTAGAGACAGGGTGCTGCTTTATTGCCCAGGCTAGTCTCAAACTCCTGGCTTCAAGGCATCCTCCTGCCCCAGCTTTCCAAAGTGCTGGGATTACTGGTGTGAGCCACTGTGCCGGGCCATAAATAGTTATGCTGTATTGTTTAAGGAATAATGACAAGGGGGAAGGTCTACATGTTCAGTACAGACACAAGCATTCATCTTTTTTCCACATATTTTTGATCTGTGGTCGAGTAGCCAACAGATACAGAGGGCTGACTGTATAATGAATTCTCATGTCCTTAACACCCAGCTTTGACAGTTACCAATATTTTGCACATCTTGCATCATCTAGCGCTGAGCTGTCCAATACAGTAGCCACTAGCCTCATGTGGCTATTGAAGTTTAAATGCTCATTTCAAGTATTCAGTAGCTATCCGTACATGATTAGTGGTTACTGTATTAGATACTGCAAATAAATATTGAATAATGCTGGGTTTTCCCCCCAGATTTGTTTTTAAAGCAAATTCCAGACATCCTGTCATTTCATCAGTATATTACTAACTGTGCATCTCTAGTTGGTTCATCACCACTACTCCATTATCCCACCTAACAAAGTCTGACGTTCCCTGATTGGCTACAGAATATCTTTTTACATTTGGTTTGTTCAAATGAGAATCTTAACAGGGTCCCAACATTTTTTTTTTATTTTAGACCCCTTAAGTTTCTATTGTGTCTGTTCTCTTCCTCCTCCCTTTTCATTTTTTTAATCCACTGATTTATTGAAGAAATAAAGTTATTTGTTCTTAAAATGTCCCACATCATATATGGATTTTGCTGACTGGTTTGTTTTCATTGCTTAACCTGGTTATCTTTGTATTTCTTATAAAGAGTAGTTAGATAGTTTGTCTAGCGTTTTAGGTTGATAAGTTATTTTTTTCTCAGCATACTGAAGACATTGTCCTGCTTTCTTCTGACGTCCATTGTTGCTGTTGAGATGTCAGCTATCAGTCTGTTTTTCCTTTTATAGGTGACCTGTGTTTTTCCCCTGGCTGCTTTGGAAATTATGGGAAAAAATCAAATACCAAGGAAGAAAAATCTATAATGAAATTAGATGTGGATTTCTTTTTATGTATTCAGCTTGGGGGCTTATGATACTTCTAGTACCCAAAGGTTAGTGTCTTTCACTAATTCAAGAAAATTGCTAGGTTTTCATCTAATAGTGCGATCAAAGTTCTGATCTGGTAGTTAATACTGGCACTGAATTTCTCATTTCAGTGAGTTTATTTTTCATTTCTAAAAATTGTTTTTTAAACTAACCATTTTATAGTATCTTAATCTATATCCATTCAAATTTTTATTAAGCTTTTATATATTTTAAAATATATCTAAAAGGGTAATATCCAAAGTGTTATGCTTTTTACCACCTGACACCTGTGTGTTAGCTATGTCTTACACATGGTACATTGTGTATTTGTGTTTCACAATTTCTTAAACTGTGCCTTCCTCAATTTACTTAGAACTTTGTATATAAGATTTTTTCTCAAGACCTGACTTAAAGTTGATTTTCCAGAGATAGGTCGATTTGCTTGCACTAGTTGCTTGGGGACAATGCCACTTAGGACCCTCTTTAAGTGAAATTATTCCCTTGAGGTTGTTTGAACTACAGAAATGAATTTGGACTGAAATCTAAAAGAGAGCACTTGTGTATACAGATCCTCAAGAGAGATTTGCTTTTTATTATACCTGATGGGTACAGTTCCTTGCTTCACGCTTTCATATGGAAATTTTACTTTCTTTTTAAAAAACTGTTCACTGTGGATTTTCAGTCATACCTAGGAATAGAGTGCTATAAAGCCACTATGTACCTACCACCCAGCTTCAATGATTGTCACCATTTTGCCATTCTTATTACATCTGTTCTCTCCCTTGCTTCCTTTCATCATTGAGCTTTCTTTTCCTTTTTTTTTTTTTTTTTTTTTTTTGAGATGGAGTCTTGCTCTGTCTCCCAGGCTGAGGTGCAGTGGCATGACCTCAGCTCACTGCAACTTCTGCCTCCCAGGTTCAAGCAATTCTCCTGCCTCCCCTCCCGAGTAGCTGGGATTACAGGCACCTGCCACCACACCTGGCTAATTTTTGTATTTTTAATAGAGAAAGGGTTTCACCATGTTGTTCAGGCTGGTCTTGAACCTCCTGACCTCAAGCAATCCACCCACCTTGGCCTCCCAAAGTGCTGAGATGACAGGCGTGAGCCACCACACCCTGCCAGTTTTGTTTTTCTGAAGCATGGTTTTCCAGCTTTCTTGAGGTATAATTGACAAATAATAAAAATTATATATGTTTAAGGTGTACAACATAATGTTTTGATCTACCTGTCCATTCTGAAATGATCATCACAGTCAAGCTAATTAACATATCCATCCCCTCACTTACTTTTGTAAGATGCACTCTCTTGGAAAATTTCAAATATACAGTACATCATTAACTATAGTCACCAAGCCATACATCAGGTCTCCAAAACTCAGCCATCTTATAACAGCAAATACATACCCATTGACCAACATCTCCCCATTTCCCTTGCCCCTTGGTAATCACCTTTCTAATGCTTCTAGGAGTTTGACTTTTCTAGATTCCATGTAAGTGAGGTCATGCGGTATTTGTCTATGTCCGCCTTATTTTACTTAGCATGATGTTCTCCAGGTTTCCTTCTTTTTTAAGACTGAATAACCCACTGTGTGTATATATATGACATTTTCTTTACGCATTCAGCAATCGACAAACACGTTGTTTCCATATAGCAGCTATTATAAATAATGCTGCAATGAATATGAGGTCACAGATACCTCTTTAAGATATTGATTTCACTTCCTTTGGTTATATACCCAGTAGCAGGATTGCTAGATCATATGGTAGTTCTATTTTTAATATTTTGAGGCACCTCCACTACTGCTTTCCATAATGGCTGTACCAATTTTCACTTCTAACAACGATGTATAAGGGTTCCCTTTCTCCACATCCAACACTTGTTATCCTTTGACTTTTTGATAATATCTATTATAACAAGTGTGAGGTAGCAGCCAACTATGGTTTTGATTGGTACGTCCCTAATAATGTGATGTTGGGCACTTTTTCATATACCTACTGGCCATTTTTATTTCTTCTTTGGAAAACTGTCTATTTAGATCCTTTACCCATTTTTTATTCCATTTTTTTCTATCGAACTGTATGTATTTCGTAAATATTTTAAATATTGTGCAGATTCTTTCTCCCATTCCATAAGGTTGCTTTTTCATTTTGTTCATTATTTCCTTTGCTGTGCAGAAACTTTTTAGTTTGATGTAGTTTCACTTATTTTTGCCTTTCTTGCCTGTGCTTTTGGTGTCAACTCTTTAAAAAAAAAATTTGTCAAAATTAATATCAAAGAGCTTTTCCCCTGTTCTAGAAGTTTTATGATCTCAGGTCTTACATTTAAGTCTTTAATCCATTTTGAGTTGATTTTTGTTTGTAGTTTAAGGATCTAATTTCACTTTTTCACATGTGGATATCTAGTTTTCCTTACACCATTTGCCGAAGAGACTGTCCTCTCCCCATTGCTTATTCTTGGCATCTTTGTCCAAGATTAGTTGACCATACATGCCAGGGTTTATTTCTGGGCTTCCTATTCTGTTACATTTGTCTCCGTTTTTATGCCAGTACCATACTATTTTCATTACAGTACCTTTGTAATATATTTGAAATAAGGAAGTGTGATGCCTCCAGTATTGTTCAAGATTGCTTTAGCTATTTGGAGTTTTTGTGTTTCCATATGAATTTTAGGATTGTTTTTTCTATTTCTGTAAAAAATATCATTGGAATTTCATAGGAATTGCATTAATTTGTAGATCACCTTTCATAGTGTGACATTTGACAATATTGATTCTTCCAATCCATGAACACTGGGTGGCTTCCCATTTGTTTGTGTCTTCTACTTTCACCAGTGTTTTAGAATTTTCAGTGTTGAGATCATCTCCTTGGTTAAATTTATTGTCAGTATTTTACTCTTTTTGATATTATTATAAGTGAAATTATTTTCATAGTTTTTTTTAGATAGTTTGTTAGAAATACATTTAATTTTTGTATGTTGATTTTTTTTTACCCTGCATTACTGAATTTACATGTTAGTTTTAACATTTTTTCATGGTGTCTTTAGGGTTTTCTAGATACAATATCATGTCATCTACAAACATAATTTTACTTCTTTTCCAACGTAGACGCCTTTTGTTTTCTTGCGTAATTGTTCTGGCTAGAACTTCAGTTGTATGTTGAATAGAAGTGGTGAGGATGGGCATCTTTGCCTTGTTCCCAATCTTAGAGGAAAAGCTTTCAATTTTTTATAATTGGCTGTAAGCTGTGGTTTTGTCACCTATGGCCTTTACTGGTGTTGAAGTACTTTCCTTCTGTAACTAATTCGTTGAGGGTTTTTATCACAGAAGAATGCTGAATTTTACCAAGTGCTTTTTCTTCATCTATTCTAATGATGATATAGTTTTTATCCTTCATTCTGTTGATGTGATGTATCACATTGATTTTGCGTATCTTGAACTATCCTTGAATTTCTGGGATAAATCTCACTTGATCATGGTGTATGGTCCTTTTAAGGTACTGTTGAATTTGGTTTGCTAGTATTTTATTGAGGAGTTTTGCATCTATTTTCAGTAGGGATATTGGCTTGTAGTTTTTTGCTCTTACAGTGTTTGTCTGGCTTTGGTATCAGTGTAATGCTGACCTCATAAAATGAGTTTAATGAGGAGTTTGGTTGGGCTCCTTTTCCATTTTTTTGGAAGAGTTTGAGAAGGATTCTTTAAATGTTTGGTAGAATTCAACGGTGAAGCCACCAAGTCCTGGGCTTTTCTTTGATGGAAGATTTTTCCTCACTGATTTAATCTCCTTACTCATTATTGATCTTGTCAGGTTTTCTATTTATGATTCAGTCTTAGCAGGTTATATATTTCTAGGAATTTATTCATTTCTTCTAGGTTATCCAATTTTTTGGCATATAATTTTTCATTATGGTCTCATGATCCTTTATATTTCTGTGGTTATCAGTTGTAATGCCTTCTCTTTCATTTCTAGTTTTACTTCAGTCTTGTCTATTTTAATCTTAAGTAGTCTGGCTAAAGGTTTTTGTTGGTTTATCTTTTCATACAACCAACATTCAGTTTCATCGATCTTTTCTATTGTCTTCCTAGTCTCTCATTTATTTCTGCTGCGATCTTTATTATTATTTCCTTCCTTGTACTGACTTTGGGCTTAGTTTCTTTTTCCTTCTACTGACTTTGGGCTTAGCTGCTGCTTTTTCTAGTAACTTGAGGTGTAACATTAAGCTGGTATAAGATCTTTCCTACTCACCCTTGCTCTCTTTGGTTTCCATTTACGTGGAATGTCTTTTCCCATCTTTTTACTTTCGGGCTACATGCATTCTTAAAGCTATAGTGAGCTTCTTGTAGGCAGCATATACCTTAGGTCTTTCTTTTTTAATCCAGTCAGCCACTATGTGTTTTGACTAGAGAACTTAATCCATTTACTTTTTTGTTTAAGGAGATAGGGTCTCTGTCACCCAGGCTGGAGTGCAGTGGCATGATCATACTCCCACTACTCTCAGATTCAAGCAATCCTCCCACCCTAGCCCACCAAGTAGCTGGGACTACTGGCAGATGCCACCACACCCAAATAATTTTTTTAAATTGTTTTCTGTAGAGATGCGGTCTTGCTGTGTTGCCTAGGCTGGTCTCAAACTCCTGCTCTCAAGTGATCCTCCTGCCTCAGCCTCCTGAGTACATTTATATTTAAAGTAATTATTGATGGGTAAGTACTTACTGTTGCCTTTTTGTTCATTCTTCTGTGGCTGTTGTACAGATGTTTTGTTGCTTTCTTCCTCCCTTGTCTTCCTTTGTGATTTGATGACTTTCTGTAGTGATACGCTTTGATTTCTTTCTCTTTTCTCCATAATATAGGTTCTTGCTTTGTGGCTACTATGAAGCTTAAAACATCCTGTAGTTTTAATAGTCTGTTTTAAGCTGTTAACAGCTTAGCTTTGATTGCATACAAACAATTTATACTCTTCCATTTCCCACATTTTATGTTTTTGATGTCACAATTTACATCTTTCTATATTGTATATTAACAAATTATTATAACTTTTTAATATTTTTATCTTTTAATCTTTTACACTAGAGATAAGTTATTTAGATACCACTGTTACAGTATTAGGGTAATCTGGATTGAGTATATAATTACCTTTACCCCAGTGGGTTTTATAATTTCATATGGTTTCATGTTACTAAGTGTCCTTTCTTTTAAGCTGAAGAATTTACTATTTCCTATAAATCAGCTCCATTACTGATGAAGCCCCTCATCTTTTGTTTGTCCAAGGAAGTTTTTATCTCTCCTTCATTTCTGAAGGCCATTTTTGGCAGGTAAAACATTCTTGGTTGGCAGTACAGTCATGCACTGTGTAAAGACATTTTGGTCAGTGATGGTCCACATATGTGACAGTGCTCTCATAACATTTTAATAGTGCTAAAAAATTCCAATCACCTAATGACATAGCCAGTGTAACATTGTAAAGCACATTACTCACATGTCTGTCATTTAAACCTGCTGCACTGCCAGTCATGTAACAGTAGTAAATATGGTTATGTACAGTAGATTATATACAGTACATAATAATGAATAGTAATAAGTGACCACATTACTGGTTTATATATTTTTATACTATTTATTGTTATTTTAGAATGTATTCCTTCTACTTACTAAAAAAGAAAAGTTAACTCAAAAACAAGCCTCAAGCAGATGCTTCAGAAGACATTCTAGAAGTCATTGTCACCATAGGAGATGTCAGCTCCGTGCATGTTATTGCCCCTGAATACCTTAAGTGGGACACGGTAGAAGGTGTCAGACAGTGATACTCAAGATCCTAACCCTATTTAGGCCTAGATTAATGCGTATGTGTCTTCGTTTACAACAAAAAAGTTTAAAAAGTAAAATCGGGCAGGCAAAAAGGGCCTGGAAGGTAGGCTACTGAGTTAAGAAGACAGAGTCCTAGCTCTGCTATAAGATTTGCAGCACTAGATTTTGATACATATACAGCTAAGTGTACTAAATGTTGTTCTGGAATGTCACCCTTTTATTATGAAATGCAAATATGCTCACCTTTATGGTCCTTATGAGTTACTCCTTATTGTTCTAAGTAATTTCGGGATATTAACTCAGCCCAACCCTATGAAATTGGTCCCATTCTAACAATGAGGAACGTGAGGGTGTGATATAAGATATTCCAAACTCATCTTGAAGATTTCTTAGTCTATACTAGACTCAGCTATTTCTCCAGTGAGTCCTGGTTTCTGTCACGGGTAAATGATATTCAGAGACAGTTTTGCACTTTAGAGGCTCATTCCTCCTGAGCTGTTAGCAGTCATAAGCCTTTTTAGTGGTTCAGGCTAGAAAAAAGTCCAAGAAAAAATGAAAAATGCATACTATATTTCTAATTTGAGGATATACTGTGTTCTTGGATAAGGAGGCAAATTGTAACTACACTCTATGTGTATGTTGTTACCCTTTAGTAAGAAGAAGCTTCCCAGCCTGCTAGTGTTGAACATCTAGCAGGCCTAGACTCTAATGGCTTCTGTGTTCTCCTCTAGCTCTGCCTGCTTAGGACTCTGCCCAGCCAGGAAGGAAACCTACAGGAGGAAGAATGGCTGCAGGGTGGCTGACAACCTGGTCACAGGTACACAAGAAATTTCTCTATTTCCAAAAGCACACTGCCATTCCTGAAAAGAACACATCTCTTGCCCCTGACCTGAAGCTTCACAGCCCAATCTGAGCTGGCTTCATCTTCCGCAGCTCCCAGGCTGCTTCATGTGGAAGAGGGAATCCCTGGGAAAGGCTTCTGTTCCCACATTTGTTAACTTTCTCCAGATATTCTTCCATATTTTTGAGTATGAATTCCATACTGTAGTGAGTGCTGTAAAGAAAGACTTTTACTAGGAAAATTATTTATCATTTCTCAAGTATTTCTTGCATTCCTACAGTATGCCCTGTCTATACTGGATCTGAATAAGACGAAAAGAGTCCTCACAACCTAACTGTGCAAAGATCAAGCCAACCATATTTTAGAAAAGCTGTTTTGACCATGACCCTGAATGAGATGGCCCAGGGAGTAGGATTTAAAGAGAGTTCTGAGAACTCAGCTTTAAGGCAAATTAAGAGAAGGCCTCTGATGCATGTCTGAGCTTCCAGTGCCCTGAGTCTCCTCTCCAGTCCTGTCAGCCTCACCCACCATTCTCCTGGTACATTGTCAAAAATGGTCATTGGCTGAGCCAGAATATGTATGTGATGTTTTAGAACTCAGTAACCTTCCAGGAAGTGGCAGTGGACTTTTCCCAGGAGGAGTGGGCATTGCTGGACCCTGCTCAAAAAAATCTATACAAAGATGTGATGCTGGAGAACTTTAGGAACCTGGCCTCAGTAGGTAAGGCTGGCCTCATTTCTTCATTTGTTTATGTAGCAAATAGTTCTTAAGCACATATTATGTTCCAGAATCTGTGGAAAGAATAGCAATACAGTGGTTAACCCCAAAATGAATGGTCCCTGCCCTTGAGGGGGCAGTCCAGTGGCTTCCCATGAAAATGCACTGATTTCATTTTCTCTATCACTAATAGCTTAAGGTAATTTGCAATCTGTGTCTCATCTTGTGTATAGGTTTCAAGGGTCACTTCCATATAGGGCGTGGACCATGCTTTTTGGTTCTTGTGAAAGAAAGAGCTCGGCTCTGATTGTTTTGTTGTTCCTAAAGCTGCACTTGACTATTTTAATAATCCTTTAGTTAAAGCCAAAGTATGGCAATCAGTTTTGTGGAATATTTAATTCTCACACATTTCTCCCACATCCTTGCTTTCTGCGTGAGCAGGGTATCAGCTCTGCAGACACAGTCTGATCTCCAAGGTGGATCAAGAACAGCTGAAGACAGATGAAAGAGGAATTTTACAAGGTGACTGTGCAGGTGAGCCTTGGGCAGAACAGGGTGCAGCCTTGGCCAGTGAGGGTTAGTACATTTGGGAATGTCACTCAGTGAAGGAAAAGAAATCTGAGGCCATGACATGAGCTTCCTTCCTGTTTCACCATCTATTCAATCGTTCATACGTTCATTTGGTCTCCGAGAAAGAAGTTTTAATTCCTCTTTAAATGTAATGTCTCCATGAATGCTTTTTGCCAGATAATACTGTCTTATTTCCCAACCTCCACAATCCTTTCTAACTAAAATACCTCCCATTTCTACTGCTTGTTCCTATCACTGGTGAATCACTGGTTGTGTCTTCTTTCTTACATTTCTCTACTTAGAAGATATTATTTGAAAACAAATCCATAGGGTCTCCCTCCCTTTTTCTTTGATCCCAACCTTTTCTCCCAATAATTATAAAAATTCCTGTGCTATTTCAGACTGGGAAACTCAACTTAAACCAAAAGATACAATTGCTATGCAGAACATTCCTGGGGGAAAAACATCCAATGGCATAAACACGGTAAGACTTACTAGGAAGTATTCCTGGTCTTTGTAGTAGAAGTCTGGGAATCTGAATGAGTTAAAACATCAGCACCCAAAGCAGGGGTAAGAATTCAGGCACCAGGCTTTCACCAGAAAGCTGTCTCGGGAGAGTTTGGAGTTTGATTTTCATGAAATTGGAGAAATCTGTAAACCTAGGTTAACACTTGCTGGCTCACAGAGAATAACCACAAGTAAACATCTATGTAAATATGATTTTAGAGTTAAGTATTTAGTACATAATTCATTCATTCTTCACTCAGTATTAGAAAAACTGTATTAAAGAAGCCCTTTGCTGGGAAGGAATAGAGCCTTGGACAGAGGAGTGAGCTTATTCAACTCGAAAAAGCTAATAGGGCAAAAGTCATACGCACCTACTGAAAATGGTACACATGTCAGTCATGATCATGTGCTTCCTATATATGGCAGAATCCTCATGGAAGAGAATTCCTGTGAATAAGGTGAAAGTGAAAAAGCCTCTAGTCACCACTTACTCCCTTTTCAACAGGCAGAAAATCAACCTGGTGAGCACTCCCTGGAGTGTAACCATTGTGGGAAATTCAGAAAGAACACTCGCTTTATTTGTACAAGATATTGCAAGGGAGAGAAATGCTATAAATATATAAAGTATAGCAAAGTCTTCAACCATCCCTCAACTCTTAGGAGTCATGTGAGCATTCACATTGGAGAGAAAACTCTTGAATTTACTGATTGTAGAAAAGCTTTCAATCAAGAGTCATCCCTCAGGAAACACTTAAGAACTCCCACAGGACAGAAGTTTCAGGAGTATGAGCAATGTGATATGTCCTTCAGCCTACACTCTTCCTGCTCAGTACGTGAGCAAATACCTACTGGAGAGAAAGGTGATGAATGCAGTGACTATGGCAAAATATCTCCCCTTAGTGTCCACACAAAAACTGGTAGTGTGGAGGAGGGTTTGGAATGTAATGAACATGAGAAAACTTTCACTGACCCTTTGTCCCTTCAGAACTGTGTCAGAACTCACTCTGGAGAGATGCCCTATGAATGCAGTGACTGTGGGAAAGCCTTCATTTTTCAGTCTTCCCTTAAGAAACACATGAGATCTCATACTGGAGAGAAGCCTTATGAGTGTGATCACTGTGGAAAATCCTTTAGCCAGAGCTCTCATCTGAATGTGCACAAAAGAACTCACACTGGAGAGAAACCCTATGACTGTAAGGAATGTGGGAAGGCTTTCACTGTTCCTTCATCCCTTCAGAAACATGTGAGAACCCACACTGGAGAGAAACCCTATGAATGCAGTGACTGTGGAAAAGCCTTCATCGATCAGTCATCCCTTAAGAAACACACACGCTCTCACACTGGAGAGAAGCCTTATGAGTGTAACCAGTGTGGAAAGTCCTTCAGCACAGGCTCTTACCTTATTGTGCACAAGAGAACTCACACTGGTGAGAAAACCTATGAGTGTAAAGAATGTGGGAAGGCCTTTAGGAATTCCTCTTGCCTGAGGGTACACGTGAGAACTCACACTGGAGAGAAGCCTTATAAATGTATTCAGTGTGAAAAAGCCTTTAGCACAAGCACTAACCTTATAATGCACAAGCGAATCCACAATGGCCAGAAACTCCATGAATGAAATGACTCAGGGAAGTGTTTGTTGCCCCTCATGCCTCCTTTCTCACTTTAGAACATATATTGGAGAGAAGCCCTGTTATGGTCACCTGGAAACAGCCTTCTGGCCCAACTCTGGATGCCTGTTATACTGGGACAAACCTTATAAATGTTATAGCTATGATTGTTTTTATCAGTGAGTATTTCATTCTTATATGTGTCACAACTGTAGATCCTATGAATATTTTAGTTATCTTTTCAGTTTAATTGCATTGTGAACAGAACACATGGTCTTCAATATGTAGATTCTGTGTGACATAGATTTGAACATAATTGCTGGACACTGACTGATGTACTGTGGCAGACAGAACTAGTTGCTGTCTCAATATCCATTCCTCCCTTCTTTCTTAAAGTAATAAAATTTACCATTTAGTTCAAGCTGGCAATGTGGACAGTTTTCACCCAGCTTCCCTTACAGCTGTGAGCGGCCAAATATGTTCACATCCCTAGCCCATGCAAAGTAGGCAGAAGTCACTGGATACAGCTGCTAAGGAAGCTCATGGAAATGGGAATATCTCATCTGGTGTTTTTTTCTTAACTATTTGCCCTTTGTCTTGTCCCTTATTTCCTAGAAAATATATACACCAAGAGGAGGACAGAGAAAGGATACTAAATGAAACAACAGGGGAGATACAATATTATCTGGTTGCACTAATCCTGTGCTGCTTATCTCTGGATTTCATGTTACATGAGAAAAATTAACTGCCATGTGGTTTAAACCACTCTTGTGGGAAGTTCCTCTTTCAGCTGATTTCAGTCCCAACTGTTACATCTAATAAATGGTCAAGTTTTAGGAATCGTTCAAGTATGGTTGAAAAATTGTGTTTTCTGAGGCAGAAGGATCACTTAAGTCTAGGAGCTTGAAATCAGCTGAGGCAACACAGTGAGACCCCATCTCTACCAAAAAAGGAATAATTAGGTCTTGCTGTGTTGCCCAGGCTGGAGTGCAGTGGTGTGATCTCAGCTCAGTGCAACCTCCGCCTTCTGAGTTCAAGTGATTCTCGTGTCTCATCCTCCCAAGTAGCTGGGATTACAGGCAAATGCCACCACGCCTAGCTACTTTTTTGTATTTTTAGTAGAGGTGGGGTTTCGCCATGTTGGCCAGGCTGGTTTTGAACTCCTGATCTCAAGTGATCTGCCTGTGTTGGCCTCCCAGAGTGCTAGGATTACAAGTGTGAGTCACCGCCCCCAGCCAAATTGTTTTCTTTAAAAATCTCTCTCTCTAGGCCAGGTGCAGTGGTGCATGTCTGGGAGCCCAAGGCGGGCAGATCACTTGAGCTTACCAGTTCAAGACCAAGCCCAGCCAATGAGCCGAAACTCCATCTCTACAAAAAACAAAACAAAAAAAAGTTAGCCAGGTATGGTATTGTGTACCTGTAAGTCCCAGCTACTCAGTAGGCTGAGGTGAGAGGATCACCTGAGCCCAGGAGGCAGAGGTAGCAGTGAGCCGAGGTCATGCCACTGCATTCCTGCCCGGGCCACAGCAAGACCGTGTCTCAGGGAAAAAAAAAAAAAAAAAACTCTCCTTTTTTGGGGGGCACTGTAATTGGGTACATTTAAGTTTACTCATTTTATGTTTCTGGCAAATTGTGCTATTAGTGCCCATACTTTTCCCCTAATAACTAATGTTCATTAATTTACTACAAATGTGAGCTACTGACCTAGAAATACCATTTTCTCAACCTGTAAGGACAACCAGGAGCAACTTACTTTTTCTCAGCGTTACATCAGTTATACTGTTGCTTGCAATAACATCCAGCAGGTATGGTCATCTTTACATCCCACAACTTGTCCTCTCTATTGATGCCTTTATGAGTTCTTTCGTAAGACAGACGTGAATGTTTGTTGGGGAATACACCCAAACATTCAGGCTAACCACCTGAAGTTTCTAGGGGTTCAGTTGTCTGGCGCTTGTCAAGATATTCCCTCTAAGGTGAAAGGAGAATTGCTGCAATTTGTACTACTAATCACAAACAGCACAATGCTTGGTCGGTTTTTTTGGTTTCTGGAGGCACCATATTGACGCAATATGACAACACTTGGAGAATTTAGAAAAATAACACGTTCTCGGCCAGACGCGGTGGCTCACGCCTGTAATTCCAGCACTTTGGGAGGCCAAGGCGGGCGGATCACCTGAGGTTGGGAGTTCGAGACCAGCCTGGCCAACATGGAGAAACCCCATCTCTACCAAAAATACAAAATTAGCTGGGCATGGTGGTACATGCCTGTAACCCCACCTACTTGGGAGGCTGAGGCAGGAGAATCGCTTGAACCCGGGAGGCAGAGGTTGCAGTGAGCCGAGATTGGACCGTTGCACTCCAGCCTGGGCAACAAGAGCGAAACTCCATTTCAAAAAAACAAAAAACAAAAACATTCTGGCAGTATATGAGGGCAGGATAACAAACTCAGACAAGGACAGAATGAAGCCTGAAAACCTTCAAAAATAATTTATGAAATAGAAGGAAACTGGGTTTTTTTTTTTTTTCGTTTTTTTTTTTGAGATGCAGTCTCGCTCTGTTGCCAGGCTGGAGTGCAGTGGCGCAATCTCAGCTCATTGCAAACCTTCGCCTCCTGGGTTCAAGTGATTCTCCTGCCTCAGCCTCCGGAGTAGCTGGGACTACAGGCAAGGGCCACCACACCCAGCTAGTTAGAGATGGGGTTTCACCATGTTGTCCAGGATGGTCTGGATCTCTTGACCTCGTGATCTGCCCACCTCAGCCTCCCAGAGTGCTGGGATTACAGGTGTGAGCCACCATGCCTGGCCGGAACTGGGTATTTTTTAAAAAGAAACCATCATATCGCATTTAAATTTATCCAGAAATGCAAAGTTGGTTTTACATTAGAAAAATCAATAAATACAATTCACTTTTAAAATAGGCTTATTACTCATTCACTCATACTAATAATTACTAGGCACCTAGAATGAATGAGGCAGTGTTCAAAGCATTTAATGCATTATTGAAAAAATAGGATAATCTCAGTAGATAAAGAAAAAGCCATAAAGAGGTATTACTGAGAAAAATCTTTGAAAATATGATAAACATTGTATAAAAAAATGCAAAAGTAAACAATAAATGAATGGTGGAAAATAGAAAATGAGTTTAAAATCAGGAAGATGACAATGGTATCCACTACTTAGTATTTTACTGGAATCTTAAGTGAGGCAGGCTAGGAAAAGATATTTAAAAACCTAAGGACCAGAAAGGTAGAAGTAAATCTGTCATTATTTATAATATGATTACCTAAATGGAAAATTTCAAAGGATCTATATTTAAATTAATGAAAATGTTTACTATCTTAATAAAGATAAACTTGCAACTTATACTCAGGAATAGAAATAATAAAATTTAAAAGTCAATACCATTTATAAGAGCAACAATGGTATAACATATGGAAGAATAAATTTTAAACTTACCAAAATTGTGGAAGAATAAATTTTAAACTTACCAAATTGTTTTGAAGACAGTATTGAAAACATTAAAGATGACGTAAACAAATTTGAGACATTCATTGAAAGGTCAAATTCTGAAAAGACTCACTTCTCCCAAACTGATTTAGATTCAAAAAGTTCCAAATACAGCTCCACTTCCAGATTGGCTGCAGACATTTACAGGAACCCACATGAATAAACAGTGAACTAACATCTTCAAAGACCCTGGAAATCTGTGGACAAAAAAAGGAGTGAAAGAATTAAATGCCAGAGGATGAGCTCCTCCTAGAAGAGCAGAAATCAGTGGCTGGTTTCTTCCCTGAAGGCATTTTCCTGGTCTAGGAGCAGATTGGCGGAGAGCCAGGCCTGCCACAGGCAGAGGAACTTTACTGGAATATGGAGAGACCAGGGGGCATTAATGGTCACAAGGCTAGTGTGACACTATAATATAAAATAGACTCTCTTTACCAGTGCTGCGTATCCCTATAATGATTTGCTGAGTGTGTAGCAACAGCTGGTGCTGGGCACTAACCAGGAAAAAATGGATATCCCTATTGTAGTGCTTAGATTCCACAGTCCTGTTAGAGGGAGTGGTCTGAAATAGTCATAGGAAAGATCTTACTCAAGATGTTTGAAACCCGAAGTGAACCAAAACTAATTTTTACATCCCAACCTCTGATTGGATCAAAGTTGAGGAGATTCTCACCTAAACTGCTTGGCAGAGGAAATGGAGTGACTTCCAGATGAAAATATTTTTCAATTTCTGCTGTTCTTTTAAGCATAATATCCACATCCAACTTAAAACATCACATGATGTGCAGAGCAGCAGGTCAATGTTACCAATCATCAGGAGAAAAAGGTCCAACAAAAATAGACCCATAGATGATATGAGAAGTTGGAATTAGCAGACAAGGACTTTAGAATTGTTATAGAACCAACAGGTTCATATGTCTGCTGTGTAGTAGCAGACCAATTACACAGACACGGATTAAGCAGAGAGTTTAATTACCACAGGGCGCCAAGTAAGGAGATAGGAGGAGACATCTATATCCCCAAGAAGTTCCAGGCTGGAGTTTTAAAGGGGATCAGGGAGGGTGAAGGACTGGAGAATTAGGGTTGTTGATGGTCAGAGCAAGCAGGATAAAGTCATCAGGATGTGGAAACTAGATTCTTTGGTAAGTCAGCTCGTGGTGCCCCTCAGACCAGCTGAGTCAATGGGGTCCTTCAGACCACCTGAAATGGTAGGTATATCAGCATGTAAAAAGTGTGAAAGAGTATCTCAAAGGAAAAACTTAATGTTTTATAATGGTCAAGTTATCAATAGAGTAGTTAATCTTGTAACAGGGTGATATGGTTTGCCTGTGTTCCTACCCAAATCTCACCTTGAATTGTAAGAATCCCCACCTGTCATGGGAAGGACCCAGTGGGAGGTAACTGAATCACGGGGGTGGGTTTTTCTGTGCTGTTCTCATGGTAGTGAATAAGTCTCACGAACGTATGATTTTATAAAAGGGCAGTTCCCCTGCACACGCTGTCTTGCTTGTCACCATGTAAGATATCCCTTTGCTCTTCGTCTTGGGCCATGATTGTGAGGCCTCTCCAGCCATGAGGGTCTGTGAGTTCATTAAACCTCTTTCCTTTATTAGTTACCTAGTCTCAGGTAGTATGTCCTTATTAGCAGCATGAGAACAGACTAATACACAGGGTCTACATGATTCTAGGACAATAGGCACCAGTGAACTATGAAGAAGTAGGTCAGAGATTAAACTTCATTAATGTTGAATGTGCTATAAGCTTGGTTTTTCATTTATCCCTCTCTCTTCTTTCCTGATTAATTTTATAAAGTTTATAGGGGCAGTTTCAGAATTGCCCCTATAACTTATGACAGATACGTTAAAACAAAAAATTTCAAATGGATGAAAATATATATAGAATTGCAGGCCAGGCGTGGTGGCTCATACCTGTAATCCCAGCACTTTGGGAGGCCAAGGTGGGTGGATCACGAAGTCAGGAGTTCGAGACCAGCCTGGACAACATGGTGAAACCCCATCTCTACTAAAAGAAAGATCAGCCAGGTGTGGTGGCACATGCCTGTAATCCCAGCTACTCGGGAGGCTGAGGTAGGAGAATCACTTCAACTTGGGAAGCAGAGGTTGCAGTGAGCCAAGATTGCGCCATTGCACTCCAGGGTTGGGTGGCAGAGCAAGACTGTTTCAAAAAAAAAAAAAAAAGAAAGTACATAAAATTGCAGTATCTAAGTGGAATCTCTAAAGTAGAAACAGACAATCTAGAGGTAAAAATTATAATTTCTGAAATTAAAAAAAAATTCTGTAAGTGGGCCTAAAAGCAAACTAAACACAGCAAATAAAGGTGGGGGAGAGGGCAATCAGTGAACTCAAAGATAGGTTAACAGAAATGTGCCTAACTTACGGACACGGGAAAACAATGAGTGTTTTCTAAAACTGATTAAAAACATCAAACCAGCAGAGTCAAGCTCAGCAAACCTAAGCAGGATAAATGCAAAGAAAACCACACACAGTTCACCATCAATCTGTTAAAAAAAAAAAAATCTTAAGAAAGAGAAAGTACGTTCAGGATTTTAAAAAATGTGGCTGACTTCTCAGTGACATAACAGGGAGAAGAAAAATGTAATTGTATCTTTAAAGTGCTGAAAGAGAAAAACCTAATTGTATGCTTTGCAAAAAAAATCTTCAAAAATACAAAATTCCATTTTGAGACAAAAGCTGACAAAATAAATTGTCAAACTTGTGCTATGGGAAATACTACAGGAAGTGTTTCATACTGAAGAGAAATAATCCCAGGCTGAGGTGCATGCAGATTGATGGGATGAAATTAAAGAGTATGGAAGGGCAAACAGGTGGACAAATATAAAATACTATTTTTTTAATTTAAAGACTATTGATTGATTAAAGCAACAATAACTTAGTGTGAACTCTGTAATAAGTTCCAGGGTCTGTATGTCTGCTTTTACACCAGTACCATGCTGTTTTGCTTACTGCAGCCTTGTAGTATAGTTTGAAGTCAGATAGAGTGATGCCTCCAGCTTTGTTCTTTTTTATTACCCCCAGACAGGGTTTCATTCTGCCACCCAGGCTGGAGTGCAGTGGCACGATTGTGGCTCCCTTCAGCTTCAACCTCCCAGGTTCAAGCAATCCTCCCGCCTCAGCCTGCCGAATAGCTGGGACTACAGACACATGCCACCACACATGGCAAAGTTTTGTATTTTTTGTAAAGATGGGGTCTCACTGAGTTGCACAGGCTGGTCTCAAACTCCTGGACTGAAGTGATCTCACCTAGGGCTCCAGTGATCCTGTCTTGGGCTTCCAAAGCACTGAGATTATTAAGTGTGAGGCACTGCACCTGGATCTCCTCATCTTTTTCTAAAGCCACAAGTCCTGCAGGGTACAGGAGCTCATGCCTGTAATACCAGCACTTTGGGAGGCCAAAGTAGGAATACTCCTTGAGGCCTCAAAGGTTTGAGAGCAGTTTGGGAAACAAAGCAAGACTGTCTCTACAAAAAAATGTTTTTAAAAATAAGCTGGGCGTGGTGGTGTGCACTTGTAGTCCTAGCTACTTCGGAGGCTGAGGTGAGAGGACTGCTTGAGGCCAGGAGGTTGAGGCTACAGTGAGCCATGATTGTGCCACTGCACTCCAGCCTGGGTGACCAAGCACAAGACCCTGACTCTTTTATAACAAAACAAAACAAAAAAAGCCACCAGTCCCACTCACATAACCTATTAATCTATTAACCCATTAATCCCTCAATCTATTAATGAATTAATCCATTCAAGAGGGCAGAGCCCTCAAGACCAGTCGTCTCTTAAAGGCCCCACTTCTGAATACTGCCACATGGGAGATTAAATTTCAACATGAGTTTTTGGAGGGGACAAATATTCAAACTATAGCATTCCGCCCCGGCCCTCAAAAACTCTTGCTCCTCTCACATATGAGTACATTCATTCCTTCTCTATAGCCTAAATGTCTCAAGTTATTCCATCACCAACTCAAAAGTTCAAAGTCCAGAGTATCATCTGTGAGCCTGTGAAATCAAAACAAGTTACCTACTCTCGAGAGACAGTAGTGGTACAGGCATAAGACAGACATTCACATTCCAAAAGGGGAGAATGAGGAAAAAGAAGTAACAGGCCCCAATCAAGTCTGAAGCCCAGCAGGGCAGACCATAAATCTGCAAGCTGGAGAATCATCTCTTTTGACTCCACGTGCTGCCTCCTGGAAAAACTGAGGTCACAGTTTGACCCCCCAAGGCCTCAGGCAGCCCAGCCCCTCTGGTTTTGCTGGGTGCATCCCAAATAGTGGCTTATACAGTTTGAGGACTTGTGCCTGAAGACTTCCTAGGTGGGCGTTGCATGCTGCTGGTTACTCTGCAGTTTTGGGGTCCTGATGGCATTCTTACTCCCATAGCTCCACTAGGTATTGCCCTGGTGGGGATTCTGTAGCAGCCCCAACGTCACATTTCTGCATGTGACCATGGCTCTGGTCGGGACTCTCTGCAGTTGCTCTATCCTTACAACACGTCTATGCTTGGGCCTCCAGGCTTTTGATGACATCCTTTGGAATCTGGGTGGAAGCTGCCAAACCTCCATTCTGCAAGTCTGCAGAATTAGCTGCACATGGATGCCACCAAAGTTTATGACCTGTACCTTCTGAAGGGCATGAGCTGCACCTGGGTCACTTAAGCTATAGCTGGGCAGCCACAGAGCACTGTGCAGAGGTGCAGGGAGCAGAGTTCCAAGGCAACTCAGCAGCAAACTATGGAGAATGACTGGTCTGTCCCCTGAAGCCACTGTGCCCTCGTAGGCCTCTAGGCCTGTAATGTGAGGGGCAACCTTGAAAATCTCCAGAATGCCTTCAGGGTCTTTCTTCCATTGTTTTGAGTAAAAGCACCCGGCTCCCTTCTGTGCTAATCTCTTCAGCAAAGGATCACTAGGGTACGACCTTAGTTTCCCCACCTGAACACACTTTTTCACTCTATGTGGCCAGGCTAAGAGTTTCCCAGATTTTTCCATGGTGCTTCCCTTTTAACATAAATTCTGTCTTTTAAGTTGTTCTTTTGCTTCTGAATCTTGGCACAAATAGCCAAAAGTAACCATGCAACTCCTATGTGTTGCTTAGAAATTTCTACTGCCACATACCCTAGTTCATCACTCTCAAATTAGGCCTTCCACAAAGCCCTCAGGCATGGATCGAGTTCAGCCAAGTTTTTTGCCAGTTTATAACAAGGACAGCCTTTACTGCAGTTTCCAATGCCTTCTTTCTCAATTCCAGCTGAAACCACATCAGAATGGCCTTTACTGTCCATATTTCTATCAAAATTCTAGACACAGCCACTTAACAAATCTCTAAGGCGTTCCAAATCTTTACCTAGCTTTGTTTTCTAAGCCTTCATCAGAATCTAGGCTTTTTCTAGTCTGCTCCTCCAAATTATTCTACCTTCTGCCCCATTATACCCAGTTTCAAAGCTGCTTCCACATGTTCAGGTATTTCTCGTTGTCAGTAACACCCTACTTCTTGGTACCAATTTTCCAGAATTCCATGAACTCTACCACCAGTTAACCCAATGGTAACTGGAACATATTCCAGCTAAGAAATTCAGCAGTTTATTAAAAATTAATGGATCTAGGCCAGGCATGGTGGCTCACACCTGTAATCCCAACACATTGGGAGGCTGAGATGAGGGGATCACTTCAACCCAGGAGTTTGAGACCAGCCTGGGCAACAAAGCAAAGCCTTATCTCTACAAAAAATGAAAAGATTTGCTGGGCATGGTGGTACATGCCCTGTGGCCCCAGCTACTCAGGAGGCTGAGGTTAAAGTATTGCTTGAACCCAGAAGTCAAGGCTGCAGTGAGGTATGATGGTGTCCCTCCACTACAGCCTGGGTAACAGAATGAAACCATGTCTCAAAAAAAAACCTCAGCCAGGCGCAGTGGCTTATGCCTGTAATCCCAGCACTTTGGGAGGCCAAGGCAGGTGGATCACCTGAGGCCAGGAATTCAAGACCAGCCTAGCCAACATGGCAAAACACCGTCTCTACTAAAAAAAAAAAAAAAAAATACAAAAATTAGCCGGGCACAGTGGCACACACCTGTAACCCCAGCTACTCAGGAGGCTGAGGCAGGAGAACCACTTGAACCCAGGAGGTGGAGGTTACGGTGAGCCAAGATCGTGCCACTGCACTCCAGCCTGGGTGACAGATCAAGACTCTGCCTCAAAAAAAAAAAAAAAAAAAAAAATTGGGTCTAGACACTGAGCACCAATGACTACTAACACTCACAAAAGAGACACCATTGGACATTATGTACCTTCTGATCAAAGATCACATGTGCCACCACCTCCCCAAAAATGAAACTGAATCTTATCTCTAGATCCAACTATGATATAAAAAGAAATACGCTGACAACCCTATGAGAATGCAATTAGCAAAATCCACACTACACATAACTCTAGATCTTAATCCAGGTGCTTCAAAAAATAAAACGGGGAAGACTAAAAAATGACATCCAAAAATGAGCAAAAATTAAATAATGTTTGGGGTTCCACATTTGGGTGAAAGGTAATAAATGATTACTATAAAAGTCATGAGAGTGGTTACTCTGAGGGAAGAAAGAGGCAGTTGTGACTGGGACATGGTATTTGAGGCAAAGTTCTACATCTTGAACGGGGTCGTGGTTACAAGAGTATTTGTTATTTAATTCATGAACCACACATTTAGGTCATGTGAAAAAATAAACCTAAACCTGATCTCCCCTTACCAAAAAATACTAGGAAATACAAGAGGAAATCTTCCCCCAACTACCCTTATGAGGCTGGCATAACCATGCTATGTACCAGATAATATGGCAGAAAAAGAAAACCACAAAGCTATCTCACAAACAGATTGGTCAGGTACAGTGCCTCACACCCATAATCCCAGCACTTTGGGAGGCCGAGGCAGGAGGATGACTGGAGCCCAGGGGTTCAAGACTGGCCTAGGCAACATAGGGAGACCCTGTCTCTACAAAAATTTAAACATTGGCCAGCATGGTGGTGTGTGCCTGTAGTCCCAGTTATTCGAGAGGCTGAGGTGGGAGGATGGCTTGAGCCCAGGAGTTCAAGGCTATACTGAGCCTGATCATGCCGCTGCACTCCAGCCTGAATGAGAGTAAGACTCTCTTAAAAAAAAAAAAAAGTGTATGAAAAGTCAGGAACTATAGTTTCTATAAATATATGTTAATTACTTTTTCTGGCAGGGCGCAGTGGCTCACGTCTGTAATCCCAACATTTTGGGAGGCTGAGGCAGGCGGATCACTTGAGGTCAAGAGTTCGAGGCCTGCCTGGCCAACATGATGAAATCCCGTCTCTACTAAAAATACAAAAATTAGCTGGGCATGGTGGTATGCACCTGTAGTCCCAGCTACTCAGGATGCTGAGGCATGAGAATCGCTTGAACCCAGGAGGCGGAGGTTGAAGTGAGCCAAGTTGCACTACTGCACTCCAGTCTGGGAAACAGACTCTGTCTAAAAAGTAAATATATATATACATACACACACGCATACATTTTCAAAGTATATGTTCAATTTGGTTTTTTTTCAACCATGACCTATCTTTATAGGTGAAGCACCTCCAAATTAGCATCAGGGGGTCCAACTGTTAATCTAAAAAAAGTATAATGAATACACTACTACCCTGAAGTTTCAGACTTTTTGGCCATTATACATTATGTTAACAATTAGATCCATTGCTTTAAATTTAGTTATTTCATCTGAAAAGTTTTCCGGAGGCCAGGCATGCTGGCTCACACCTGCAGTCCCAGCACTTTAAAAGGCCAAGGCAAGAGGATTGCTTGAGCCCAGGAGTTCGAGACCAGCCTCAGTAACGTAGTAATACTCCATTTGTATATAAAAAAAAACTTTTTTAAGAAGAAAAGTTTTCTGGAGATTGAAATGTATCCAATTTAATATCCTCTTTGCTCTCAGGTATTTTACCAGTGTTTCTACAATGAATGTGGAAAGGTTTCACAACAAAACCAATCTTTGGCCTTTCCTCCTTCCCCCTTTCTCTTCCTTTTCAGCAGAGTGTCCTTTTGGAAGGTACCCCTGAGGTGTGGGGGACTGCAGGGGCCAGCATGTCCACAGCCAAGCTTTTGGGTAACACAGATGCAAATGAGGGTTTAAAAGCCAATGAGGATAATGGAAGCTAGCCTTCTCACTGAGAAAAGAGTTACAAACAGGAAAGGGGAAGGTGAGAATAATACCTGTCCTGATTAATTGAAAATATTAGTGTAAAGTCCTGTTAACATATAATATAGGACTCAAATGTGTATACTTATATCCACAAATGTGTTTAGGTAGAAAAACACTTATTCTCTACTCCTGTTTGCTGAGAGGCCCTGAAAGCAATGAATCCAAGGTAGCAATGATAATACTTAGTGCCCAGAATTGGTTTCTAAATACCATTATCCTCTTAAAGGAACTAGAGCTCTTTGGAGAAAAGGCTGACTCCAGGGCTGGAGAAGGAAAAATATGAGATGAGCCTAGAACATCTTAAGACTGGAAAGTTCTCATGGAATGACGGGTCATGTCAAGGGGATACAGGAGGCAGCCAAGGGGCCTTCCACTGGCCAAAGCTGGGACAACTAGAGCAAAATAAGTAATGAGTATATGGGAACCCATGAATTCACACTGCTACAAATAAATGAAGAAAGAAATAGGGAGGAAAAAAATCTCTAACCTAGAGCAGTACGACAAACGGGAAATCTGGAAGGCACAGACAGTTGGAAAGAAAAAAAAATTGCCGGGTGTGGTGGCTCACGTCTGTAATCCTAACACTTCAGGAGGCTGAGGTGGGCAGGTCACCTGAGGTCGGGAGTTGGAGACCAGCCTGACCAACATGGAGAAACCCCATCTCTACTAAAAAAATTAAAAATTAGCCAGGCATAATGGCTCATGCCTGTAATCCCAGCTGAGGCAGAAGAATCGCTTGAACCCAGGAGCCGGGGAGGTTGCAGTGAGCCGAGATCATGCCATTGCACTCCAGCCTGGGCAACAAGAGCGAAACTCTGTCTCAAAAAAAAAAAAAAAAAAAAAAATTGGCAACTATTATAATAATAATTAATCCAGACAAGAATCATTACTGGTGGATGAGTTTCTAAGAGGAAAAAGATATTTACATAGTCTTAACACATTGCCCCCTAAAAGCATTTAAGTATAACCTACTTTTAATTAATGCAGTTTTGCAACTTTTCAGTCTAAAGAAAAACAAAAAATTAAATTAAAAAAATTAATGCACAGTGGAGAAACTTGCCAGACACTATCTTAACCAAGAGATAACAGCTTACACCACTATTAGAAATAATGGGGAGTGGCCAGGCGCTGTGGCTCACACCTGTACTCCTAGCACTTTGGGAGGCTGAGGAGGGAGGATTACTTGAGGTCAGGAGTTCGAGACCAGCCTGGCCAACATGGTGAAACCCTGTCTCTACAAAAATACAAAAATTAGCCGGGTGTGGTGGTGTGTGCCTGTAATCCCAGCTGCTCAGGAGGCTGAGGCAAGAGAATCGCTTGAACCCAGGAAGCGGAGGTTGCAGTGAGCCGAGATCACGCACCACTGCACTCCAGCCTGGGTGACAGAGCAAGACTCTGTCTAAAAACAAAAAGAAAAGAAATAATGGGGAGTCTTTGGTGGTTTGTGTTGTGGGTCTTTATGATCAGTGATGAGGTCTATTCATCTCTACTGTGAGACCACAGGGGTCAGTGGGGTTAGTGAGTGATATGGTTTGGCTGTGTCCCCACCCAAATCTCACCTTGAATGGTAATAATCCCCACATGTCAAGGGTGGGGCCAGGTGGAGATAACTGAATTACAGGCAGTTTCCCCCATACTGTTCTTGCGGTAGTGAGTAAGTCAAGATATGATGGACTTATAAAGGGAAGTCCCCCTCCACAAGATCTCTTGCCTACTGCCAGGACATTGCTCCTCAGTCGCCTTCTGCCATGATTGTAAGGCCTCCTCAGCCATGTGGAACTGTGAGTCAATTAAACCTCTTTCCTTTGTATATTACCCAGTCTCAGGTATGTCTTTATTAGCAGCATGAAAACACATCAATACAGTGAGGATTTGTGAGGTTAGTGATGAAGGTCTGTAGGGACAGTGATTAGGAGTCTCTGGGGTCAGTAACATGTACACTGTGGGGTTAGTGATAGAGATTCCTTAGGAGCAGTAATAGGGATTATACAGAGATCAATGGAGGAATCTCTGGTGCTATGTTGCAGCTCTGTGGGGTCGGTGATATATATGAAGCGGGGTCAGGGATGTGCAGTCTGAAATCAATGGTGTGGCTATGTGGGGGTCAGCGATGTGATCCCAAGGGGGCTTGGTGGAGATTCAGATGGTCAGTCATACTGGGGAACTGTGGAGTCATTGATGGAAGGTCCGTGGGATTGCTCATTGGGAATTTAGAGGTAAGTACTGTGGCGCCCATAGAATATTTACCAGGGATGGAAAGTGCATTAGTTAAGGTCAGTGATGGGGGTTGAGGATTGGTGATGGGGTGTAGGTGTGTAATATGCCAGTGGTCAATAGGTTAGATGACGAGGGCTATAAGGAATGCTATTCATTGTCTATAAGAAACCCACTTTAATTAAACAGACACATATAGATTAAAAGATGAATGAAGAAAGATATACCATGCTAATGACAATCAAAAGAAAGCAGGAGTAGCTATATTAATTTCAGACAGAGCAGACTTCAACTTTTTTAAATTACAGATGTGGGGTCTTGCTACATTGCCCAGGCTGGTGTCAAACTCCTAGCCTCAAGCGATCCTCCACCTCAGCATCCCAAAGTTCTGCATTACAGATGTGAGACCCTGTGCCTGGACCAGAGCACACGTCATATCAAGGAAAGTTATCTGGGATAAAGAGGGGCATAACTTAAAGAGACCAATATTCCAAGAAGTCATAACAATCCTTAATGTGTGTACACATGACAGAGCATCAAAATGAGGTAAAAGCTAGTAGAACTGCATGGAGAAATAGATAAAACCACTATTATAGCTGGAGATTTAAATACCCCTTTATCGCCAGGCACAGTGGCACACTTTGGGAGGCCGAGGCGGTTAGATCACGAGGTCAGGAGTTTGACACCAGCCTGGTCAATATGGTGAAACCTCGTCTCTACTAAATATGTAAAAATTAGCCAAGTGTGGTGGTGCACACCTATAGTCCCAGCTACTTGGGAGGCCGAGGCAGGAGAATCGCTTGAACCCAGGAGGCAAAGGGTGCAGTGAACTGAGATCACGCCATGGCACTCCAGCCCAGGTGACAGTGCAAGACTCCATCTCAAAAAAAAAAAAAAAAATGAAAAAATAAATTAATTAAAAATAAATACCCCTCTATCACAAATGGACAGATCCAGCAGGGAGAAAATCAGTAAGAATGTAGTAAAACTCAACAGCATTATCAATCAACTGGATATAATTAACATATATAGATTACTTCATCCAAAACCAGCAGATTATACATTCTTCTCAAGCTCACATAGAATATTCATCAAGACAGGCCACACTGCGGGTCATGAAACACCTCTTAACAAATATGAAAGAACTGAAATCATACAATGTATGCTCTCAGATCACAACAGAATTAAACTGGAAACTAATCAAAGACAGCTAAAAAAATCTCAAAATACTTGAAGATCAAACAGCACACTTCTAAATAAATAGGTCAAACAAGAAATCTCAAAAAAAGTTTAAAAAATTTGCACTGACAACAGATACAACTTAACAAGATTTGTGGGGTGCAACAAAAGCAGTTCTTCGGGGGAAATTTATAACACTGAATGGTTAGAAAAGAAAAAAGATCTGTGCCAATCATCTAAGCTTCCACCTTAGGAAACTAAAAAAAAAAAAAAAAAGCAAATTAAATCCAAAGTAAGCAGAAGAAAAGAAATAATAAAAATTCAAGGCCAGACATGGTGGCTTATGCCTGTAATCTCAGCACTTTTGGAGGCCAGTGTGGGAGGATCACTTGAGGGCCAGGAGTTTTGAGACCAGCCTGGGCAACACAGCTAGACTCCATTTCTACAAAAATTTTAAAAGCCAGGCATGGTGGCACATGCCTGTACTCCCCTCTATTTGGGTGACTGAGGTGGAAGCATCCCTTGAGTCCAGGAGTTTGAGGCTGCAGTGAGCCATGATCATGCCACTGCACTCCTGCCTGGACAACAAAGCAAGACACTGTCTCAAACAAAAAACCTCAAGCAAAAGTCAGTGAAATTGAAAACAGAAAATAGAGTAAAATCAACAATACCAAAAGCTGGTTCTTTGAAAGGATGAATAAAATAAACCTCTCATCAGGCTAACAAAGAAACAACAGAGAAGACACAAATTACTAATAGCAGAAATTAAGAAGGGACATCACTACAGATCTCATAAATATGAAATGGGGGGCGGAGCCAAGATGTCCAAATAGGAACAGCTCCAGTCTACAGCTCCCAGCATGAGTGATGCAGAAGACGGGTGATTTCTGCATTTCCAACTTAGGTACCGGGTTCATCTCACTGGGGAGTGTCAGAAAGTGGGTGCAGCGCACCGAGCGTGAGCTGAAGCAGGGCGAGGCATCACCTCACCTGGGAAGCGCAAGGGGTCAGGGAATTCCCTTTCCTAGTCAAAGAAAGGGGTGAGAGACAGCACCTGGAAAATCGGGTCACTCCCACCCTAATACTGCACTTTTCAAATGGTCTTAGCAAACGGCACACCAGGAGATTACATCCCACGCCTGGCTCGGAGGGTCCTACGCCCATAGAGCCTTGCTCATTGCTAGCACAACAGTCTGAGATCAAACGGCAAAGTGGCAGTGAGGCTGGGGGAGGGGCGCCCGCCATTGCTGAGGCTTGAGCAGGTAAACAAAGTGGCTGGAAAGCTTGAACTGGGTGGAGCCCACCGCAGCTCAAGGATGCATGCCTGCCTCTGTAGACTCCACCTCTGCGGGCAGGGCACAGCCAAACAAAAGGCAGCAGAATCCTCTGCAGACTTAAATGTCCCTGTCTGCAGCTTTGAAGAGAGCAGTGGTTCTCTCAGCATGCAGCTGGAGATCTGAGAATGAACAGACTGCCTCCTCAAGTGGGTCCCTGACCCCTGAGTAGCCTAACTGGGAGGCATCCCCCAGTAGGGGGAGACTGACACCTCACATGGCTGGGTACTCCTCTGAGACAAAACTTCCAGAGGAACATTTGCTGTTCACCAATATCCACTGTTCTGCAGCCTTTGCTGCTGATACCCAGGCAAACAGGTTTGGAGTGGACCTCCAGCAAACTCCAACAGACCTGCAGCTGAGGGTCCTGACTGTTAGAAGGAAAACTAACAAACAGGACATCCACACCAAAACCCTATCAGTACATCACCATCATCAAAGACCAAAGGTAGATAAAACCACAAAGATGGGGAAAAAACAGAGCAGAAAAACTGGAAACTCTAAAAATCAGAGCGCCTCTGCTCCTCCAAAGGAACGCAGCTCCGCATCAGCAATGGAACAAAGCTGGACGGAAAATGACTTTGACGAGTTGACAGAAGAAGGCTTCAGATGATCAAACTACTCCAAGCTAAAGGAGGAAGTTTGAACCCATGGCAAAGAAGTTAAAAACCGTGAAAAAAAATTAGAATGGCTAACTAGAATAGCCAATGCAGAGAAGTCCTTAAAGGACCTGATGGAGCTGAAAACCAAGGCACAACAACTACATGACAAATGCACAAGCCTCAGTAGCCGATTCGATCAACTGGAAGAAAGGGTATCAGTGATGGAAGATCAAATGAATGAAATGAAACAAGAAGAGAAGTTTAGAGAAAAAAGAATGAAAAGAAACAAAGCCTCCAAGAAATATAGGACTATATGAAAAGACCAAATCTACATCTGATTGGTGTACCTGAAAGTGACAGGGAGAATGGAACCAAGTTGGAAAACACTCTGCAGGATATTATCCAGGAGAACTTCCCCAATCTAGCAAGGCAGGCCAACATTCAAATTCAGGAAATACAGAGAAAGCCACAAAGATACTCCTCAAGAAGAGCAACTCCAAGACACATAATTGTCAGATTCACCAAAGTTGAAATGAAGGAAAAAATGTTAAGGGCACCCAGAGAGAAAGGTCGGGCTACCCACAAAGGGAAGCCCATCAGACTAACAGCTGATCTCTCAGCAGAAACTCTACAAGCCAGAAGACAGTGGGGGCCAATATTCAACACTCTTAAAGAAAAGAATTTTCAACCAGAATTTCATATCCAGCCAAACTAAGCTTCATAAGTGAAGGAGAAATAAAATACAGACAAGCAAATGCTGAGAGATTTTGTCACCACCTGGCCTGCCCTACAAGAGCTCCTGAAGGAAGGACTAAACATGGAAAGGAACAACCGGTACCAGCCACTGCAAAAACATGCCAAATTGTAAAGACCATCAAGACTAGGAAGAAACTGCATCAACTAATGAGCAAAATAACCAACTAACATAATGACAGGATCAAATTCACACATAACAATATTAACCTTAAATGTAAATGGGCTAAATGCTCCAATTAAAAGACACAGACTGGCAAATTGGATAAAGAGTCAAGACCCATCAGTGTGCTGTATTCAGGAAACCCATCTCACGTGCAGAGTCACACATAGACTCAAAATAAAGGGATGGAGGAAGATCTGCCAAGCAAATGGAAAACAAAAAAAGGCAGGGGTTGCAATCCTAGTCTCTGATAAAACAGACTTTAAACCAACAAAGATCAAAAGAGACAAAGAAGGCCATTACATAATGGTAAAGGGATCAATTCAACAAGAAGAGCTAACTATCCTAAATATATATGCACCCAATACAGGAGCACCCAGATTCATAAAGCAAGTCCTTGGACACCTAGAAAGAGACTTAGACTCCCACACAATAATAATGGGAGACTTTAACACCCCACTGTCAACATTAGACAGATCAACAAGACAGAAAGTTAACAAGGATATCCAGGAGTTGAACTCAGCTCTGTACCAAGTGGACCTAATAGACATCTACAGAACTCTTCACCCCAAATCAACAGAATATACATTCTTCTCAGCACCACACCACACTTATTCCAAAATTGACCACATAGTTGGAAGTAAGGCACTCCTCAGCAAATGTAAAAGAACAGAAATTATAACAAACTGTCTCTCAGACCACAGTGCAATCAAACTAGAACTCACGATTAAGAAACTCACTCAAAACCGCTCAACTACATGGAAACTGAACAACCTGCTCCTGAATGACTACTGGGTACATAACGAAATGAAGGCAGAAATAAAAATGTTTTTTGAAACCAATGAGAACAAAGACACAACATACCAGAATCTGGGACACATTCAAAGCAGTGTATAGAGGGAAATTTATAGCACTAAATGACCACAAGAGAAAGCAGGAAAGATCTAAAATTGACACCCTAACATCACAATTAAAACAAATAGAAAAGCAAGAGCAAACACATTCAAAAGCTAGCAGAAGGCAAGAAATAACTAAGATCAGAGCAGAACTGAAGGAAATAGAGACACAAAAAACCCTTCAAAAAATCAATGAATACAGGAGCTGGTTTTTTGAAAAGATCAACAAAATTGATAGACCACTAGCAAGACTAATAAAGAAGAAAAGAGAGAAGAATCAAATAGATGCAATAAAAAATGATAAAGGGGATATCACCACTGATACCACAGAAATACAAACAACCATCAGAGAATAAACACCTCTACGCAAATAAACTAGAAAACCTAGAAGAAATGGATAAATTCCTTGACACATACACCCTCCCAAGACTAAACCAGGAAGAAGTTGAATCCCTGAATAGACCAATAACACGCTCTGAAATTGAGGCAATAACTAATAGCTTACCAACCAAAAAAGTCCAGGACCAGATGGATTCACAGCCGAATTCTACCAGAGGTACAAGGAGGAGCTGGTACCATTCCTTCTGAAACTATTCCAATCAATAGAAAAAGAGGGAATCCTCCCTAACTCATTTTATAAGGCCAGCATCATCCTGATACCAAAGCCTGGCAGAGACACAATAAAAAAAAGAGAATTTTGGACCAATATCCCTGATGAACATCAATGCAAAAATCCTCAATAAAATACTGGCAAACCGAATCCAGCAGCACATCAAAAAGCTTATCCACCATGATCAAGTGGGCTTCATCCCTGGGATGCAAGGCTGGTTCAACATACGCAAATCAATAAACGTAATCCAGCATATAAACAGAACCAACGACAAAAACCATATGATTATCTCAATAGATGCAGAAAAGGCCTTTGACAAAATTCAACAACCCTTCATGCTAAAAACTCTCAATAAATTAGGTATTGATGAGAGTATCTCAAAATAATAAGAGCTATCTATGACAAACCCACAGCCAATATCATACTGAATGGGCAAAAACTGGAAGCATTCCCTTTGAAAACTGGCACAAAACAGGGATGCCCTCTCTCACCACTCCTATTCAATATAGTGTTGGAAGTTCTGGCCAGGGCAATCAGGCAGGAGAAGGAAATAAAGGGTATTCAGTTAGTAAAAGAGGAAGTCAAATTGTCCCTGTTTGCAGATGACATGATTGTTTATCTAGAAAACCCCATCGTCTCAGCCCAAAATCTCCTTAAGCTGATAGGCAACTTCAGCAAAGTCTCAGGATACAAAATCATGTGCAAAAATCACAAGCATTCTTATACACCAATAACAGACAAACAGAGAGCCAAATCATGAGTGAACTCCCATTAACAATTGCTTCAAAGACAATAAAATACCTAAGAATCCAACTTACAAGGGACATGAAGGACCTCTTCAAGGAGAACTACAAACCACTGCTCAATGAAATAAAAGAGGATACAACCAAATGGAAGAACATTCCATGCTCATGGGTAGGAAGAATCAATATCGGGAAAATGGCCATACTGCCCAAGGTAATTTATAGACTCAATGCCATCCCCATCAAGCTACCAATGACTTTCTTCACAGAATTGGAAAAAACTACTTTAAAGTTCATATGGAACCAAAAAAGAGCCCACATTGCCAAGTCAATCCTAAGCCAAAAGAACAAAGCTGGAGGCATCATGCTACCTGACTTCAAACTATACTACAAGGCTACAGTAACCAAAACAGCATGGTACTGGTACCAAAACACAGATATAGACCAATGGAACAGAACAGAGCCCTCAGAAATTATGCCACATATCTACAACCATTTGATCTTTGACAAACCTGACAAAAACAAGCAATGGGGAAAGGATTCCCTATTTAATAAATGGTGCTGGGAAAACTGGCTAGCCATATGTAGAAAGCTGAAACTGGATCTCTTAAAGACTTAAATCTTAGACCTAAAACCATAAAAACCCTAGAAGAAAACCTAGGCATTACCATTCAGGACATAGGCATGGGCAAGGACTTCATGTCTAAAACACCAAAAGCAATGGCAACAAAAGCCAAAATTGACAAATGGGATCTAATTAAACTAAAGAGCTTCTGCACAGCCAAAGAAACTACCATCAGAGTGAACAGGCAACCTACAGAATGGGAGAAAATGTTTGCAACCTACTCATCTGACAAAGGGCTAATATCCAGAATCTACAATGAACTCAAACAAATTTACAAGAAAAAAACCACCCCATCAAAAAGTGAGCGAAGGACATGAATAGACACTTCTCAAAAGAAGACATTTATGCAGCCAAAAGACACATGAAAAAATGCTCATCATCATTGGCCATCAGAGAAATGCAAATCAAAACCACAGTGAGATACCATCTCACACCAGTTAGAATGGCAATCATTAAAAAGTCAGGAAACAACAGGTGCTGGAGAGGATGTGGAGAAATAGGAACGCTTTTACACTGTTGGTGGAACTGTAAACTAGTTCAACCATTGTGGAAGTCAGTGTGGTGATTCCTCAGGGATCTAGAACAAGAAATACCATTTGACCCAGCAATCCCATTACTGGGTATATACCCAGAGGATTATAAATCATGCTGCTATAAAGACACATGCACATGTACGTTTATTGCAGCACTATTCACAATAGCAAAGACTTGGAACCAACCCAAACGTCCATCAATGATAGACTGGATTAAGAAAATATGGCACATATATACCATGGAATACTATGCAGCCATAAAAAATGATGAGTTCATGTCCTTTGTTGGGACATGGATGAAGCTGGAAACCATCATTCTCAGCAAACTATCCCAAGGACAAAAAACCAAACACCACATGTTCTCACTCATAGGTGGGAATTGAACAGTGATAACACATGGACACAGGAAGGGGAACATCACACACCGGGGCCTGTTGTGGGGTGGGGTGAGGGGGAGGAATAGCATTAGGAGATATACCTAATGTTAAATGACGAGTTAATGGGTGCAGCATACCAACATGGCACATGTATACATATGTAACTAACATGCACGTTGTGCACATCTACCCTAAAACTTAAAGTATAATAAAAAATAAAAATAACAAATACGAAATGGATAATAAAGCAATTTCATGAACAATTCTACATCCACAAATTTGAAAGCCTAGATGAAATACATCAGTGATGTGAAAGAAACAATATGCCTGTATTAGTCTGTTTTCATGCTGCTTATAAAGACATACCCGAAAGTGGGCAATTCACAAAAGAAAAAGGTTTAATTGGACTCACAGTTCCACGTGGCTGGGGCGGCCTCACAATCATGGTGGAAGCCAGGGAGGAGCAAGTCACATCTTACGTGGATGTTGGCAGGCAAAGAGAGAGCTTGTGCAGAAAAATTCCCGTTTTTAAGACAGTCAAAACTAGTGAGACTTATTGACTATCACAATAACAGGATGGGGAAGACTTGCCCCATGATTCAATTACCTCCCACCGGGTGCCTCCCACAACATGTGGGAATTCAAGATGAGATTTGGGTGGGGACACAGCCAAACCATATCACTGCCAAAACTCACACAAGAAGAAACAGACAATCTAAATAGATCTGTATCTATAAAGAAAAAGAATAATAACATTCCAAAACAAAAAGCACCAAGTCCAGATGTGTTCACTAGTGAATTCTACCAAACATTTAAGGAAGAAAGTAAGAAAGTATGCCAGTTTTCTACAATCTCTTCCAGAAAAAGCAGAGGGAATACTTTCTAACATTCTGTGAGGCCAGCATCACCCTAATACCAAAACGAAAGACATTAAAACAACAGAGAACTACAGGCCAACACCATGGCTCACAAATACAGATGCAAAAAGTTTCAACAAGGTCGAGCATGGTGGTTCATGTCTGTACTCCCAGCACTTTGAGAAGCCAAGGTGGGTGGGTCACTTGAGTCCAGGAGTTCGAGACCAGCCTGAGCAACATGGCAAAACCCCATCTCTTTAAAAAAAAAAAACCAAACAAACAACAACAACAACAAAAACCAATCCTGTATTAGTGAGGGTTTTCCAGAGAAATAGGATTAATAGGATTTATATAGGTATATACCACACCTTTTTTCTCCACTTCTTTTCCCCACAACACAACAAGCGGATGACAATATTTGTGAGTCATAACAAGTTAAATGAAACAACATGGTTAACTTAACAAACTTCTCTATAAACTTTTCTTGATTCTCTAAAAACTGTCCAATTTTTTCCTTGCATAAAGCCAAATTAGACACAGAAAATGGCACATGTTCCCTTACTTCCACTAGCTACCACCCACAATGCACACAGGTTTCACTTTAGGGGCCGATATGGGGCCCCACTCCTGGTGATACTGGTTGGGCTTACTCTCTTGGGAAGTGGGAGGGATAGGGGCTAGTTTGCATAAGGGGGAGGCGTGAGTGATGACCTTGGGGTGGGTTCCTTCATTGAAAAACTGGTAGGAAGCCCCTCAGAATTGGGGGACTGAAGAGACCCTGGGGAAAACGTAAGCCTTCTAAAGGGAGCAGCTAGGAGGGGATCCCTTAGGCATGGCATTCTGGTCCCTGGAATTAACATGAGCCTGTAAAGAGCCATAAAAGCCTGTACATAAGGGACGTCTTCCCATTTTCCTTTTTACAAAATAAGTCTAATTGTAAATATCATTATAATGTATAGAACCATATGTAGGCCAAATCTGTTAGTTTTCTAATCTGTATTGAACCCAAACAGTGCTGCAACAAAAAATGAGTCTCTTCTTAAGACGAATTTGAACTTGCTCCAATAGCGTAAAAGACACTCCAGTGCCAAGTCCTCTGGGATGCTTGCTGTTGTCCCCAGGTCGACTAAGGATCGCTACAGGGGGTTTCAGCCTAAGTTTAGCAAATGTCTAGTTAATTTTCCCTTTTAAATTCCCACCTTCCAGAAAGGTGTAAATATAAATAGCAGGGTGTTATAAAAGTGGATTAGGAGCTAAAAATGGACAGTTGGATGTTGAACCTAAATTCCAGAGGGCTGGGCAGAGAGGAGCTAAACAAATGGTAACTGTGGAAGGGAGGAAAGGAAGGGGGTAAGCAGCATTGCCCAAAGGGAGACCTCAGAGGCCCTGACCACCTGAGAACCTACTCAATAGTGGAGACACCAAAAAAAAATATTCATGTGGCACAGACCTGTTTTAGCTAGTCTTCAATTTGGTGGGGTGTCCAAGCCCACTAGACTCCAGAGTCTAGTCCCGCCTCCTACCTCACCGTCAACTTACTTTTAGCTTATAAACCTTCGTATGTGCAAGGCGCGGTGGCTCGTGCTTGTAATCCCAGCACTTTGGGAGGCCCAGGAGGGCAGATCACGAGGTCAGGAGTTAAGCCTGGCCAACATGGTGAAACCCCGTCTCTACTAAAAATACAAAAATTAGCTGGGTGTGGTGGTCTGCGCCTGTCATCCCAGCTACTTGGGAGGCTGTGGCAAGAGAATCACTTGAACCTGGGAGGTGGAGGTTGCAATGAGCGGAGATCGTGCTGTTGCACTCCAGCCTGGGCAATAGAGTGAGACTGTCTCAAAAAAAGGAAATGACAAGAGATTAATTACTTAGTGAATCTAGGGCAATGGTGGTTTGTTGTACCAGACTTTGACATTTTCTTCAGTTTGAAAATTTCCAAATTAACAAGGTAAGGAAAATCCACTTGGAAAAGGCTCTTGCTGTTTATGGTCAACTCAATTCCCATTTGTGATACAAAAACAAGCCTGCATGTTCTCTTTTTTTCTCTGGAGATGCTTGTATTTTGAAGCTTAGAGATTTACAGGGTTCTGAGCTGAATACCGAGCTGATTTTCCGTGACAGTAAAATTTGCATTTACATGCATTCATTCACCCATGCATTTAATTGTGTCAGATGCCCGTACTCCCTAACAATGAGTTTCTAATTTCTCCACCTGTACATAATTTACCAAATATAAAGAACATCCCCCAAAAGAACAAATTCACCCAGTGTTCACCCAAACTGGCTGGAATCCCCTGGTCGGTGAAGCTGCTGGGGACAAAACAACCACGACTCCAGCAAGAGATTTTCTTCCTTCTGCAGAAAGTCTGCAAAGGCTGATGAAGAGGCTTGGGAAAGGGGAGACCGCGGACGAAAAGGCCCCACCGAAGCTCGCTGCCCGCACTCCCGACCCGCCTTTTACCTGGACCCAAGCCCCCAGCGGCGCAGGTGGGAGTCTGGGAAGAAGTGCGGTGTCGGCAGGAAGTCCCAGCGCGACGTCCGGGAAAGCCACAGGAGGAGGCGACCTGCAGGAGGCTACCCTTTGACCCCAACCCTACTCTCCAGTCCTCCTAGTCTGGTGGGAGCAACCTTAGACTGGTTGATGTGGAAGGAGGCGGGCCTGCACGCGGAGTACGGCATTCACTTCCGTTTCCGGGAGCGCACTTCCGTTTCCAGGCATGAGGGCAACGGGGGAGGGGGGGGAGGTGACCTGGAATGGGCTGAGAAACAGGAGCCACGAGAGCCGCGTGGTGACGTTAGAAGGGCGCTACAGCCGCGACTTTCCAAAGCTAGTAGAGAGATCCCAGCGTCCCCCGGGAAAGGCAGAAGGGGCGGGGCGATACCAAGACGGAGACAATGGGGCGGGGCGATGCCCTGGAGGCGGGATTGCCTGTGGGAGAGCCACCCTTCAGGCCATGCAGACCCCAGGTGAAATCTGCACAGGGGTCTCCTGGAGCCGTGGGAGGGGTTCCCCTTCTTCTCCTTCAAGAGCGTTTTTATGTTGCCCTCTTTATGGATGGAAAACAGAGGCATGGACGGGCGGTGTAACTTGGCCACATTCACTAACCTAATGAAGAAGTCTCTGAAACTGGATCCTGGGTCGCTGGAGGCCTTACACCCTCCTCCAGGGACTATGATAAATATCAGTCTACAAGCAAAGAAAAACTTTGGAATTTAAAGCCCTGTGTACTGTAGTTCTTCCTATATTTTTGACAACCAAACCAGAACCTTTATATCACACACATACACACACACAAACCCTTTTTGGCATTTTCTAAATATCCGTGTGAATAAAACACCTGCCAAGACGTGGTAGGATTTAAAAGTGATTTGGGGCGGGTGTTTTATTCACGTCTGCAATCCCAGCACTTTGGGAGACCCAGATGGGAGGATTGCTTGAGCCCAGGAGTTAGAGACCAGCCTGGGCAGACCCCTGTCTCCTAAAAACATAAAAAAGTGATAGGGAATAAATGTAGAATTGCCATAGGTCATAATTTGTTTAATATAAAGCTGCTACGCTTTTAGGTCTGACAAACTTCCTCTCCCTGTGCGGTTGTTTCCTGATATAACCCACGTGTTCCTCATCTCACAGCTGCTGACTCCTATAAAAGCTAATGACCAACACCACAGTCATGTAAATAAATTCCCCCCTTCATTTTTTTCCCTAGCCAATCGACAGTCACGTGAAGAAAGACTGAAGGACAAACCCATGGTCCTTAAAAGGCACAGTCCCACAGGCCCTCTCTGTCTCTTCATCTCTCCAGTAACCTACCCACAGGTTGAGCACCATACTGTCTCTGGACTTCCTGTGGGCCATTATTCAGCACCCCTAACTTCTCTGGAATCTATAATAAACTTTTTCCTTTCATTGATTTTGGTTTCACTTTCTCATTGTGTCTCACTTGACACACTTGAACTTAACATCCTCCACCAGCTCTCCTAGAGAGTGGCTATCTCGGGCCGGACATGTTGGCTCAGGCCTGTAATCCCAGCACTCTGGGAGGCCAAGGTGAGTGGATCACCTGAGGTCAGGAGTTCAAGACCAGTGTGGCCAACATGGTGAAACCCCGTCTCTACAAAAAATATAAAAATTAGCTGGGCATGGTGGGAGATGCCTGTAATCCCAGCTGCTCGGGAGGCTGAGGCATGAGAATCACTTGAACCCAGGAGGCAGAGGTTGCAGTGAGCTGAGATTGTGCCACTGCACTCCAGCCTGGATGACAGAGCAAGACTCTTAAAATAAAAAAATTAAAAAAAAGAGTGTGGCTATATTGGCTTTTGGCCTTTCTCAAGAGAGAAACCTCAAGACCGAGTTGGAAAATAAACATTAATACTAAAAAATGATACCAACGTATGATCCAGCAATTCCACTTCTGGGTATATTAATCAAAAAGTTGAAAGCAGGTACTGGAAGAGCTATTTGTACACCCATGTTCATGGCAGCTTTATTCACAATATTGAAAAGGTGAAAGCAAATCAAACTGTGGTATAGCCATACAATAGATTATCCAGCCTTAAAAAAGGAAATTCTGAGATGTGCAGAATTTGAACATGAACATGAACATGTTCCTTGAACATGTTCCTTGATCATGAACATGAACATGAACCTTGAACATGTTACGCTAAATGAAATAAACTAGTCACAAAAAGTCAAATACTGGGACTTCACTTTTATGAGGTACCTACAGTAGTGGGGTTAACACAGACACATGTTGGAACAACTAAGTTCCTCTTCAAAGACTCAACTTTCTGATCATAAGTTATAAAAGTTGTACATCAATCCTACCCCCTTTCTTCTCTTCTGTTTCCACAAATCGCACATTTACCCTATTTGGAAAAGTTTAAGTCTTAGCCAATCGGGATCAGCTTAGATTGTGCAGTCCAATCCCAGCCAATTGGGGGACGACACAGAAACAGGAACTGCATTAAATTAAAAACTCCTTCCCTTCTTTGTTCATCGTGCTCTTGCGATCGTAACGGGCACAAGCAGCACCCTTCTGCAGAAGTAAAGGTGCCCTGCGGAGAAATTTTCTAGGGGGTTTCTTTTGGCTATGTCGAGCACTTGTTTCCAACAGAGAATTGAATGGTGTTTGCCAGAGATTGGGAAGGGAGCAGTAGGGAGTTAGTGTTTACTGGGTTCAGTTTGGGAAGATAAACATTTTTTAGTGGGATGATGGTGACAGTTGCCCAACAATGTGAGTATACTTAATGCCAGCGAAGTGGACACTTAAAATGGTTAAAATGTAAACTTTATGTAATATACTTTACCACAATTCTTAAAAAGTGAATAGAGGATTATTAGTTTTATTTAATGAAGCCTCCAAAAACCAGAGATCTGGGGCAAAAGAAATTCAAAAGCAGTTTGGCTAGCAGTGCATTTTATACAGTCTCTGCTAAATAAAATACCCACTGATAAGTAAAGGGTTTGGAATTGTATTGCTAACATTAGATTTATACATTAGAAACGTGTGTTTAAAACAGACATTCTCTATCAACTGGCAAATAAAAGATTTTTAAAGGATTAGGTTTTAAAATAAGTATTAAATTAGATGCTGCACCAAAGAATATATTGGTTTAAAAAATTGCTCAGTGCCGGGTGCAGTGGCTCATGCTTGTAATCCCAGCACTTTGGGAGGCCAAGAGGGGCAGATCATCTGAGGTCAGGAGTTCAAGACCAGTCTGGCCAACATGGCAAAACCCCATCTCTACTAAAAATACAAAAATTAGCTGGGCGTGGTGGCACGTGCCTGTAATCCCAGCTACTGAGGCGTCTGAGGCAGGAGAATCACTTGAACACGGGAGGCAGAGGTTGCAGTGAGCCAAGATCTCTCCACTGCACTCCAGCCTGGGCAACAAGAGCAAAATTCCATCTCAAGAAAAAAAAAAAAAAAAAAAAAAAAAAAAGCTCAGCTGCTGTGTCAGAGAATTAAACAATGAGTTAAAAACCTAACACTAAACAGTATTTTTAAATGTCCTCATCCTGTCCTCACCCAGATTCCAAGCATCAAGGAGTCACGCTCTTGAGGAAAGGTGCGCCTTGTCCAGGAGCTCCAGAAGCCACCTGTGCAGAAATTTCACCAGTCTCCAAGTCCTGCAGAGCAGTCACATGGCACTCCAGACCCACCCTGCAATCCACTGCCCCAAAAGTCACCATGGGGTGAACACAGCTCAACATTGGTGGAAGGTGTGGGTGCCTTAACGCATTCATTAACCAATAACTGTGGGCTTTGCTCTAGAGACAGAACTAAAGCCCCCACCCTCTTCTACTCTGTTAGTGGAGCCTGCGGTTTTTATGGGCACAGGATGAGGGCGGGGCAGGCCATGAGTGGTTTTGAAAAAGGCAACATTTGAACTGGAAAAGAAGGATGTGAAGTTATCACTTTGGGCCAATCTGAAAAGTTACGTACTGCACAATTCCAACTCTATGACATTCTGAAAAAGGCGAAACTATGGAGACAGTAAAAAGATGAGTGGTTGTCGGGCTGGGGAGAGGGAGGGAGGAATAGTGGGAGGACCGATGATCTGTGGACTTTGGGTGATAATGAAGTGGCAATGCAGGTTCATGAATTCTAACAAATGTATTACTCTGGTGGAGTATGTTGATGATGGTGGAAGCTATGCATATGTAGTGGCCGCAGGAATATAGGATGTCTTTGAACCTTCCACACTATTTTGCTGTGAACCTAAAACTGCTCTGAAACATGGATTTTTTGTTTTGAGACAGCGTCTGACTCTGTCACCCAGGCTAGAGTGCAGTGGCACAATCTCAGCTCACTGCAACCTCCTTCTGGGCTAAAATGATTCTCCTGCCTCAGCCTCCTGGGTAGCAGGGACTATAGGCATAAGCCACCATGCCCAGCTAAGTTTTGTCTTTTTTGTAGAGGCGGGGTTTCACCAGGTTACCCAGGCTGGTCTTGAACTCCTGAGCTCAAGCAATCCACTCACCTCAGCCTCTCAAAGTGCTGAGATTACAGCTCTGAGCCACTGCACCAGGTGAACACGGATATTTTAAAAGAGTAATAAAACATTTTCAATTGGTCAGAGTTTTCCAATCTGAGAAGTCAACATTATTTAGCTGAACTACCACTCTCCAAAACCTCTTACACTAATAGGATTTCTCTCTACTGCAAAACCTTACTTAAGCAATCCCTGAGATAACAGCAAAGGGCTTTCCATGTTTCACAGACTGTGTGGTCTCATTGCAAGTTACTTCCTGCTGGGTTGTGAAGAGATTCTGACAGCTTTCCCATATTTCTTACATTCACATGGCTATGAACTGTGATACAGTAAGATATGAGAAGCAAATGAAGTACTTCCTGCATCCTTTTTATAATCACAGGGTTTTACCCCAGTGTGAATTCTCACAAAGATATTAAGGCTTGAGCAATGAAATAAGGTGACACCATATCCCTGGGATACACAGGTTCTTCCTCCAATGTGAGATTTCATGTTAACATTATGGCATGTGAGATATTTAAAGGTTGCCATACATTCCCCTACATTCCCAGGACATTTGCAGTCTAATTTTATTTTATTTTTTTTGAGACAGAGTCTTGCTTTGTCACCCAGGATGGAGTGTAGGGGTCTTGGCTCACTTGCAGTCTAATTTTAGATATGTAAAATGAGCCTCGTGGAATTAGTAAAAGCTTTCCCACGTGCCTTACAGCAGAAGTGTTCTCTACACTGTGAATTTTTATTTCTCATGTAAGGTATAAACATTTAATGAAATCTCTCCACATTACTAATAATGGAGCCTCAGTCCACTCTAAGTCACTAAATGTTGGGTGAAGTCACATTTATGACTTTCATAGTAAAAGAAACTTTCTCTTCTTGATGGTCTTTGATTTTCACAGGGCCTATCACCACAAGAGTTGGAAGTGAGTATTAAGATCTGATGAGCACTTACAGACTTCTTCACATGTCCTACATTCATAGAACGTCTCTCCTGTGATTGCTTTTGTGTTTACACTAACACTAATGATAGCTAATGAACGGAAAAAATAATCACAAAAAAATTTTATTATGTTTGAAGAAAGCTTAAAAATTTGTGTTGGTCTGCATTCAAAGCCATCCTGGCCTGCGGGTTGGACAAGCTTGATCTAAAGCTTTTCCCAAGTTCCTCACAGTATTAGTTTCCTAGGGTTGCTGTACAAAATAACAGACTGAATGATTTAACCAAGAGAAATTTATTGCCTCACAGTTCTGGAGCCTGGAAGTGCAATATCAAGGTGGAGACAGGGTTGGTTTCCTCTGGAGGCCATAATGAAAGCATCTGTTCCAGGTCTCTGTCCTTGGCTTGTAGATGGCCATCTTCTGGTGGATCCACACAGTCTTCTCCATGTGTATCCTTCCTTCAGTTTCCCTTATAGGGACACCAGTGATGTCAGATTAGGGATCGAACCCAACAACCTCATTTGAAGTTACTCACCTGTTTGAAAACCCTATGTCCAAATACAGTTATAGTGTAAGGAACTAGGACTTAGGGCTTACAAATATGGAGTGGGGCATCATCCAGACCATACCATTTAAATTGCAGGGTTTCTCTCCAATGTGAGTTCACATACACACATTAAGGTTTGTGGGATTCAGAAAGGTATTCCCAGATTCTCTACATTCATACAGTTTCTCTCCAGTGAGATTTCTGATGTGTTTGGTAAGGCTTGAGAATTCAGCAAAGTCATTTCCACATTCCCTGATGCAGGGTCTTCTCCACTGTGAATTCATATGTGTTCATTAAGACCTGAGATACAAAGTTGCTTCCACATTTTTACATTCATAGGGTTTCTCCCCAGTGAGTTTTCATGTCTTCAGAGAGAACAGGGACACCTTTAGGTTTTCCCACATTCCTTATGCTGACAGTCTCTCATCCGCATGCCTTCTTTCATGATTTCGAAAGGAACTGGAAGAACTGAAGGCTTTCCCGCACTCCTTACATTCATAGGGTTTCTCTCCAGTGTGAGTTCGTTCATGTAACTGAAACGAATTGGAGTAACTGAAGGATTTCCCACACTGTTTACATTTGTAGGGTTTTTCTCCAGTGTGGATCCGCATGTGAAGGTTAACACACGTGGGAAACTTAAAAGCTTTGCCACATTCCATACACGTGAATGGTTTTTTGGCGCTGTGGGTCCGCATGTGATTATTAAGACTGGAGGAATGCGTAAATGCTTTACCACATTCCAGGCACTCAAAGGGCTTCTCTCCAGTGTGAATTCTCAAATGTCCACTAAGATTTGAAGAAATAGCAAAGGCTTTCCCACATTTGACACATTCAAAAGGCTTCTCTCCAGTGTGAGTTCTTGTATGTTCACTAAGGCGAGAGGATCTGGCAAAGGCCTTTCCACATTCCTTACATTCATAGGGCCTCTCTCCACTGTGAGTTCGTGCATGCTTAGTAAGGTCTGAGTTCTGAGTGAAGGCTTTCCCACAATCCTTACATTTATAGGGTTTTATTCCAGTGTGAATTCGAAAGTGATCACTGAGGCATGAGGAATTTCTAAAGGATTTTCCACATATCTTACATTCAAAGGGATCCTTTGCAGTGTGAGTTTTTAAATGTTCAGTAAGTTGAGAAGATCTAGTGAAGGCTATCCCACATTCCTTGCATTCATAAGGCTTCTCACCCACATGGATTTTCATATGTTGACTTAAGCAAGAGGAAACAGTGAAGGCTCTCCCACAATCCTTACATTTATAAGGTTTCTCTCCAGTGTGAGTTTTTCTGTGCTGAGTAAGTTGACAAGACCTGGTGAAGGCTTTCCCACACTCCTTACACTCATAGGGATTGTCTCCAGTGTGGGTTCCCATGTGAATATTAAGGTATGCAGAATATCTAAATCCTTTTCCACATTCCTTACATTTGTAGGGTTTTTCTGACCTGTGAGTTTGTATACGCACAGCAAGGTCTGTGGAGTGAATAAAGCCTCTCCCACATTCCTTCCATTCATGGAGACTTTCTCCATTGTGAGTTCTTAAATGTCCCTGAAGGTGTGAATGATTAATGAAGGATTTCCCAGAGTCACTGCAATCAAAAGCTTTCTCTCCTGTGCACGTTCTCTGGCAAACAACATCTGGGTTCAGGCTGAAGGCTTTTCCACACTGACTAAATACAGAACGTTGCTCTCCAGTAGAGGTTTTCTTGTGCAGAGTAAGGAAGTCTACTCCATACAGATAACACTCAAATGTGTTCTCACTATTTTGAGTTCTCACATGTGTCTTAAGGCATGAGTGTTCACTGGAGACATCTCCACATTGCTTAACATCACTGACCTCCCCTCCGTTGTGGCTTCCTATCTGTTGATAAAGGAATGAATGATGATTAAAGGACGGTTCAGATTGATTAACAGATTCCACTCATCTGAAGAGAGGAACACTGTGATGATTATTATCATGTTTACCATTTTCATTACACACATATAAGTAATGCCCTTTTGATTTCTTTCCAGCGGAATGACAAAAAACTCCTGCCAGGCTGTGCCATCTACTCTAATCTCAAATGTCTGTAGAGTTTTATGAAATTGTCTTAAAAACTCACTATCTAGTTACAAATGTGTACTTGAGGGGAACTCTAAAACACCTAAGTGTTGGCTGGGCGCAGTGGCTCACGCCTGTAATCCCAGTGCTTTGGGAGGCCAACGTGGGCAGATCACCTCAGGTCAAGAGTTCAAGACCAGTCTGGCCAACATGGTGAAACCCTGTCTCTACTAAAAGTACAAAAACTAGCCGGGCATGGTGGCACGTGCCTGTACTCCCAGCTACTCAGCAGGGTGAGGCACAAGAATCGCTTGAACCCAGGAGGTGGAGGTTGCAGTGAGCCAAGATCATGCCACTGCATTCCAGCCTGGGTGACAGACCAAGACTCTGTCTAAGAAAAAAACAACAATAAGTGTCAAGCTAGATTTCAAGCATCCCCAGGTCATCGTATTCTGAGTCTCTCTCCAGAGTCATTATCCCTTTTGGGAATGCTACTTATCTCAAAGAGCTCTCATTCTGCTAATTTTCTTTTTCTTTTAATGTAATTAAATTTAGTTTTTAGCGCCAAGATCTTGCTACGTTGACCAGGCTGGTCTAGAACTCCTGGCCTCAAGTGATCCTCCCACTTCAGCCTCCCAAAGTGCTGGGATTACAGGTGTGAGCCACCATTCCCAGCTTTATTCTGATTTTCTATAATGGAATCCCCAATCATCTCTAAATGTGAAAACTAAGACGTATCCTTGTTAATCTTACCATTTGAATCCCACTGGAGGTTGGCTCCCCCAAAACATCCTGCTGAAGGGCTAACTCTTTGGTTTTAAGTTGCACTTTCCATTCTGAAGCTGAAGAGAAAAAGAAATGTAAGGGTTTGGAGACATACAGGGTAGACAGATGGAGCTGAAAATGAGAGGGATCATTTGTACTTGTTTTCTTTTTTTCTTGAGACGGTGTCTCACTCTGTTGCCCAGGCTGGAGTGCAATGGCGTGGTCTCAGCTCACTGCAACCTCTGCCTCTCAGGTTCAAGTGATTCTCCTGCCTCAGCCTCCTGAGTAGCTGGGACTACAGGCACATGCCACAACGCCCAGCTAATTTTTGTATTTTTAGTAGAGACGAGATTTCACCATGTTGGCCAAGCTAGTCTCAAACTCCTGACCTCGTGATCCACACGCCTCAGCCCCTCAAAGTGCTGGGATTACAGGCATTAGCCACCACACCCGGCCCCTGTATTTGTTTTCAAATTAAACACGGTAACAAAAAACAAACACAAAGACAGATTTGAAGATTGTATATCAAAAATTTGGCAATAATAAGGATATAGCGTCAAAATTTTACATAGTTTACTACAAACTGATTCTATGAAAATTATAAACTGATGGTGAACACAAAGAATATTACCATGGAAGGAAAGTTGAGGAATAGAACAAAAAGCACACATCAAAACAAGGAGCTTGTTTTTGTTTTTTGTTTTTTTTTTTTTTTGAGAAAGACTTTCACTCTTGTCACTCAGGCTGGAGTGCAATAGAACAATCTCGGCTCACTGCAACTTCCGCCTCCCAAGTTCAAGCGATTCTCCTGCCTCAGCCTCCCGAGTAGCTGGGATTACAGGCACCTACCACCAAGCCCAGCTAATTTTTGCATTTTTAGTAGAGACAGGGTTTCAGCATGTTGGCCATGCTGGTCTCGAACTCCTGACATCAGGTGATCCTCCCACCTCGGCCTCCCAAAGTTCTGGGATTACAGACGTGAGCCACCGTGCCAGGCCTTTTTTTTTTTTTTTTTTTTTTTTTTGAGACAGAGTCTTGCTCTCTCACCCCAGCTGGAGTTCAGCGGCACGATCTTGGCTCATTGCAACCTTCGGCCCCTGGGTTCAAGCGATTCTCCTGCCTCAGCCTCCCTAGTAGCTGGGACTACAGGAGTGCGCCACCACGCCCAGCTAATAGTTGTATTTTTGTAGCGATGGGGTTTCACCATGTTGGCCAGGCTGGTCTCAAACTCATGACCTCATGTGATCTGCCCGCCTCAGCCTCCCAAAGTGCTGAGATTATAGGCGTGAGCCACCACACCTGGCCCAAAACAGGAACTTTTAAAGAAGAAACCAACGGGTCCTATCACAGAAAAGAATGAGTAGACAAAGCGTAAAAGTATGAGAAGTTGAAGATTTCTTAACTTCTGAGAAAGAAATGGCCTACCTGGGCATGGTGGCTCATGCCTGTAATCCCAGCACTTTGGGAGGCCAAGGCAGGTGGATCACTTGAAGTCAGGAGTTTGGGACCAGCGTGGCCAATGTGGTGAAACCCTCTCTCCACTAATAATACAAAAAATTAACCAGGCGTGGCACACACCTGTAGTCCCGGCTACTCGGGAGGACGAGTACTCAGGAGAATTACCTGAACCCGGGAGGCTGAAGTTGCAGTAAGCCGAGATCGCACCACTGCACTACAGCCTGGGTGACAGTGAAACTGTGTCTCAGAAAAAAATAAAAATAAAAAAAATAATGGCCTCAACACTGTGAGATGAAGCACATCTTAAAAAGTTTCCTCATTATGGCTAAGCGTGGTGGCTCACGCCTGTAATCCCAGCACTTTGGGAGGCCGAGGTGGGCAGATCATGAGATCAGGAGTTTGAGACCACACTGACCAACACGGTCAAACCCCGCCTCTACTAAAAATACAAAAATTAGCCAGGCATGGTGGCGTGAGCCTGTAATCCCAGCTACTCAGGGGGCTGAGGCAGGAGATCAGAAGGCTGAGGCAGGAGAATCGCTTGCACCTGCGAGGCGGAGGTTGCAGTGAGCTGAGACTGTGCCACGGCACTCCAGCCTGGGTGACAGAGTGAGACTCCATCTCAAAAAAAAAAAAAAGTTTCCTCATTATACTTATAAACATACTGAACTTATTGACCAGGGCGGTCCTTTGTGAACACTCACCTTGGAAATCACCTCTCTGCACTGTCCTAGACTCTTCTTGTTCCAGCCAAGAGATCAGACTGGGTTTGAAGAGCTGATATCCTGTGCACAAAGAAAGATACATTACCAGAAGAGGCTCATGCAAGAGATGATAAATCTTTCCACAACTCAGGAGATATAGTTCCAATGGAAGCAGTGAAATTATTTTAAAAGGGCTAAAAATGCAAATATCGTCTGTCTGTGCCCCCAAAAGATTGGTGATCTCTGATCCCTGAAGCCCAAATCCAGGCTGATGTACACACTTACAAAGCACTAAGACTTTTATCCAAATAGGAAGTTAAGTGAAACAAAGAGATCTTCATTCTCATGGGAAACAACTATACATCTCATTCTTCAACATTATAGCACATCAGATTCATGAGAGCTTGTTAAAACACAGATGACAGGGGCCCTGTTGCAGTTTCTCACTGAGTATGTCAAAGGTGGAGACTGAGAACATACATCTCCAACAGTGCTGGTGATGCTCTTCATCTGACACCACATTTTGAGAATCACCAAGTAGATGAAACCCTATTAGGGCAGGGACTATGTCTGTTATTTCCCATTGTGTTCAGAGTTGCTATCTCTGATGTGCAATACAGTAAGTACATAACATAATCTGTTCCATAGTAGGCTACAAGGGATGAGGCCAGTCTTACCTACTGTGGCCAAATTCTTGTAGTTCTCCAGCATCACATCTCTGTAGAGGTTTCTCTGAGTTGGGTCCAGTAAAGTCCATTCTTCTGGGGTGAAGTCCACAGCCAGATCATCAAAAGTCACTGAATCCTAAACCATCACACACATGCTGGCTTGAGCCACAAAACATGTCTACCAGTGTTCACTGCAAAATGCAATACCTACAGAGTCTGAGGGCTCACATTGCCCACCCCAGGAGGTCCTCTCTATCCACACTCACTCACTGTCAGTCCCCTCCAGTGACACGGCTTGAATGGCACTTCTTACACATGATTGTATGTAACACAACCAGACTGGGAGGTCATCTGATTTCCCTCCACTGCAGCACACTCTTGAGCAGATGCTAGATAAACACTGATGAATGGAAAGATTATCTCAAAGGATACTTTCATGTCCCTTACCATGTGTCAGAACACTCAACAAAATAAAAACTATGCAGTTGGGACCATGAGGGAAGACTAATTAATCAATATTGAAATACTGGGATGACATTCAAGGCAAACCCTCACCAATATGACAGGCTCCACTCCTTCCGGGAATTCGACTAGGGACTCAGTCCTTGAAGGAGGCTTTATTTGCTTTAAGAAGCTCTGAAGATAATTCTGTGTAGAAGGAAATGTGTCTACCTGGTGATGCAAGTATGATATTTTGGAGAAGGATATACTTCCTGCATACCTGATAACAATTTGTCAGACAGTCAGCCACCACCCTTTCTACTTCTGTCTTTTCTTGAAGGCAGACTGGGTCCCTGTAAAGACCTCATGGAAAAGAAAGAAGGCATGAGAACCCAGGGCTGACGATAATTCCCACATTCACGTACCCCAAAGTCATTCCATCCTACTGTGAGATTCCTATATACTCCCGCACACTCAAGAAAACACACACATACACACCACCGCTATCAATTCCAGGGCACTACTGCCTCACGTAAAGGCAAAAAAAAGGATAGTCAGCCATGCTGCCCACTGGGAAAAGGGTAACAGTCTTATTTTACAGATAAGGAAAACTTCTCTTCCCTGGAAAGACACAGCACCTCTTCCCAAAGCACACACAGCAGGGGGCTGATGAAGTATTCTGGCTGGGCGTGATGGCTCACACCTGTAATCCTAGCACTTTGGGAGGTCGAGGCAGGCAGATCACTTGAGGTTAGGAGTTCGAGACCATCCTGGCCAACATGGTGAAACTCCATCTCTACTAAAATTACAAAAAATTAGCCAGGTGTGGTGGCACACGCCTGTAATCCCAGCTACTCGGGAGGCTGAGGCAGGAAAATCGCTTGAACCTGGGGGGCAGAGGTGGCAATGAGCTGAGATCATGCCACTGCACTCCAGCCTGAGCAACAGAGCAAGACTCTGTCTCAAAAAAAAAAAAAAAAAAAGGAACAAAGCATTCCCTAGCCCACATCAGCACCTCAGAAATGAAGCTGCAGCGTGAATGATCAGGCACAGGCCACTGGACTCCATACTGTGTGGGGGGGGACACCTAAAGCAGGGTATCTGAAAATGAACAGAAACAGGACTTACCATAGGACAAATCAGTGGCTGCCATCCCACAGGGCTGATGGCTGAATGTGCTTCAAAGCACCTTTCCTTTACTCCAAGGATCACTCCAGGACAGCTTAGGAATCTACACGGACAGAGGTAACCTCCATTCTCTTTATCCAGGGTTAACGGTATCCTGTTTGTATAAATCATTAATCAACAAGCATTACTTATCAGTCATCAGACATCATTAGCACTCTCTCTGCAGAGCATATAGAGGAAAAGACACTGAAAACGGTGTACACTACAAATAGTAGGAAGACCAACTTCCACTACTGAGGAACAGTGTGTGTCAGAAGTCACACTAGCAGCTTTATATACTCGCTTAATTATCATAACCACCCTTTACAGTAGATACCAATGACCCCTATTTGATAAAGAAAAAATCAGGCCGGGGGCGGTGGCTCACGCCTGTAATCCCAGCACTTTGGGAAACCAAGGCAGGTGTGTCAGTTGAGGTCAGGAGTTCAAGACCAGCCTGGGCAATGTGGTGAAACCCCATCTCTACTGAAAACACAAAAATTAGCTGGGCATGGTAGTGCATGCCTATAAATCCCAGCTACTGAGGAGGCTGAGGCAGGAGAATCGCTTGAACCTGAGAGACAGAGGTTGCAGTGAGCCGAGATCACACCACGGCACTCCAGCCTGGCAACAGAGTGAAACTCTCTCTCAAAAGGAAAAAAAAAAAAAGAAAAAGAAAAAAAAGAAAACCTACAATCAGACAACACTTGGATTTGGTCCAGAATCATCCAGTTTGGAAGTTGTGAACCAGGACTTGAACACAGGCAATTTTGTCCCTGACACCCAATCTGTGGCTGCTCTTACTTTCCCACATGACCAGCGTTAGTCTAAACCTGCACAGTACAACACCATGGTCACTACCCACATGTGTTATTGAACACCCACTCCATATAAACCGAGTATGACCCAACAACAGAATGTATTTTAATTTAATAAAATTTATACAATTAAAATAAAATTTAATAAAAATTAATCACAATCTTTAATAAATCAAACACAGAACAACAGTGCAAATGCTGATTGACAGAATGGAATCTGAACGATGAAAATCACTGAAAACTGAACAGTTCATTATCCATGAACCAGATACACCCCCACAAGGACGCTACAGCCTTTATTCTATGAATGAGAAGGCTGAAACTCTGAGGTCACACTGGGTTACAGAAACCCCATGTCTAGACTCCTGGTGTAGATTGTACCCACTACCATGGGTTTCAAACTGGGGATCCTTAGGCTGAAGAGGGCCACAAATGTGTTTAATTTGGTGAAATCTAAACCAATTATGTTATTTTAAACTTGAAATGTAATTAATGTACAATTAAAAGTACAGATCTTAGGTATTCAGTGGATGAATTTTGACAATCGCATACACTTGCATAATCAAAAGCCTAAACAAGATATAAAACATGTTCGTCTCCCCATGAAAACCTTCTTGCCCCTTCCAGTCTATCTTTTCACTCTCAACTCCAGATAAGCACCCTGTGATTTCCTTCATTTAGCAGACACAACACTGGACAGGTAAATTAGGCAGTGTGCTCATCTCTCGCAAATGTACATCCTATCTTCATTTTTCTCTACTATTTAAATAACATGAGATAAAAATTCTAAAATCTCCCACTGCAACTGTGGACTTGTCTATTTCTTCTTGTGTATCTGTAATGTATACTCCTTTATACATCTTGTAACAACATTACTGGGTAGATAGATACACACATTGAACTTTCCTATTTTTGGAGCAACAAAACCTTTCTTTTTTTTTTTCTTTTGAGACGGAGGCTCGCTCTGTCACCCAGGCTGGAGTGCAGTGGCGCGATCTCGGCTCACTGCAAGCTCCGCCTCCAGGTTCACGCCATTCTCCTGCCTCAGCCTCCCGAGTAGCTGGGACTATAGGCACCCGCCACCACACCCGGCTAATTTTTTTGTATTTTTAGTAGACACGGGGTTTCACCCTGTCAGCCAGGATGGTCTCGATCTCCTGACTTTGTGATCTGCCCGCCTCGGCCTCCCAAAGTGCTGGATTACAGGCGTGAGCCACTGCACCTGGCCACAACAAAACCTTTTTTTTATCATAAGGAACTCTGCGAGTCTCTAGGAATGTTCTTGGATGATGCTGGGTGACACTGCAACTTGCTTTTCTTTGTGGAGTCTCTGTATCTCATGGGCAGCCTTAGGTATCTTTGGGTGCCAATGTTCCCCTTGACCTGGCATGGAGCCTAAAGGCACCCAGTGATGGCTGGACAGACAACTGAGATCCTTCTCAACACTGTTAAAGTACACCCAGACTACAGCCCCATCACAATTCATAACACAATATGCATCTGAGTTCTGAGGAAATGCATTGAACTACTCAAAGAATGCAAGGGTGACAGGAATACTGTCTCTTTCTATGCACTTAGCCACCACCCATGGCCTGTCTGCATACCAAAGACTGGTTTCCCCTGGCCACTTAATGTGGATATTTAGTGCTCTCAGTCTTGTATCCTTACTGGCACCCCAACTTCCTCTGCTCATGAGCACAATAGCCAGGGTTGCCTGCATTCCAGAGGGCTGCTTCCTGCTTTCCCCGAGTCCAATGACTAGCTCTAGTACCCGCTAAAAGTGCAGAGCAGAAGCACTACAGCCCCGCTAAAGGCTGACCCTGAAGGGGGCAGTACTAAAGGAAAATCTTCCGAGTGGCAGAACTTCAGGCAGTGTATTGGCCTGCTTCTGGGTCTGGAGTAAGAGTTGACAAGATGCATGCATACACATACACAGATTCATCAAAAGTTGCCGATGGCTTGGCTGGATGGTCAAAAATGTGGAATGAACCAGAGTGGTAACAAGGAAACCTAGGAAAAGGTATATGGATGGACGTCTCTGAAAGGAAAGATTGTGTCCCACGTGAATGCCTGCCGTGATCCACTAGAAATAGAGCAGACAAAATCACGTGCTCTAAAGATACCTGTTACTTTACCTAGCTGCACCTCAGTGCTTGCTCAATGGGCCCATTAAAAAATGTTCATGACAGCAGGGATAAAGGCTATGTGTGGGCTCAGCAATAAGGACTTCCCCTTACCAAGTCTGACCCAGCTAACATTACTGCTGGGCCTAATCTCCTGAAAGCAGAAATCAACACTGAGCATCCAATACAGCACCATTCCTTAGAGGAGACCAGCCAGCCATGCTGTAATGGGCCCTCTTCTATCAGGAAATTGTCAAAGACTCATCCCCACCAGAACAGACTCACGTTCCGGTGTGGATCTGCCTTTCGACTAGTTAGGCTTCTGCTGGCACCACCACCCACGGAATCACAACATGCTTTATCAGTAGTCATGGCCTCCACACAACAGAGTTTCTAAACAAGCAAAGCATTTCACTGCAGAGGAAGTGCAACAATGGAAGCATGTCCTTGAAATCAACTGGTTCCATCACACACCCCATCACTCAGAAGCAGTGGATCTACATGAAAAGTGGAATCGCATACTGAAAACTCAGTTATAGGGCCAAATGGGGGACAACCCTTAGAAAGGAATTCTGACTCACAGGTCAAGGTGTACGCTTTGAGTCATAAAGCCTTCCATGGTACTGTCTCCCCAGAGTCAGAATACATGGGTCCAAGAATTGATGAGTAGGCCAGGCGCGGTGGCTCATGCCTGGAATCCCAGCACTTTGGGAGGCCGAGGCAGGTGGATCGTTTCAGGTCAGGAGTTCGTGACCAGCCCGGCCAACATGGTGAAACCCCGTCTCTACTAAAAACACGAAAAATTAGCTGGGCGTGGTGACACATGCCTGTAATCCTAGCTACTTGGAAAGCTGAGGCAGGAGAATGGCTTGAACCCGGGAGGTGGAGGTTGCAGTGAGCCGAGATTGTGCCACTGCACTCCAGCCTGGGCGACAGAGCAAGACTCCATCTCAAAACAAAACAAAAAAATAGAATTGATGGGTGAAGGTGGAATTAACTCCACTGACAGAAGTTTGCTTTTATTCCCAGCAACTCAGAGCACTGCTGGTCTGGAGATCTTCTTAGACCCTAGAGGAAAATGCCCCCCCCAGGGGGCACAGCTATGGTTCTAATGCATTGGAACAGGAGACTGCCACTTGGCCCTTTTGGGCTTCATATACCACTAAACCAAGAGGCAAAAAAAAAAAAAAAAAAAAAGAAAAAAGTTAATCTACTGGCTGGAGTGGTTAATCCCAATTATCAAAGGGAAACTGTGGCACTACTAGACAATTGAGGCAAGGAGGATGAAGTGATGAGGTGTAGAACCTCCGAGTACTTCTATACTCCATAGAAAAGGTTAATGGAAAACCACAACTGAACGAAAGCAGGACAACAGAGGATTCGGACTCTGGGCGAACGAAGATTTGTATTGCTCCTCCCTGGTACAAAACCCGGAGCAGCTGAGGTTCAAGTGGAGGGCAGGGAAAATATGGAATTAGTCACTGAAGAAGTAAACCATGGACATCAACTACAACCTCAAGAGCAGTGACAGAAACAAGAAATGTAGTTTTGCATGTTTTCTCTCTGCTTGTTATACGTATGTGTGTTTATATCCATGTGTTTATTTATTTAAATGAACCATTTACTTCTATCTTTTTCCCACTTTTATTTTATATACACATTATTAGAGGTTACATTTATAATTTTGTCTTTAAGAAACAGAATAGTTAGAATGGGACTAAATTTGAGGAGTAATTGACATGGCGTGCCATGGGAATACAAAGGACTGTTTGAACTGCGCATCTGCTCCTTTGGGGGTGGGTGAGGACTTCTTCCCTCATATCTTCTTAGGTAGGAATATAGACTTGTTTAATTATTCCAAAGAAATTCCTATGTGTGTAGGAGAGTGCATATGGATGGTAAAGAACCAAAAGTGAAATATGCCAGTTAGCTGTTTATTTATCTCAGCTCCAATACCCCCATCGTCTTTGTCTTAGTTAAAACTTCCCCTGCCTGTGTAGCTGTTTGTTATACAGCCTGCTTGTTCCTCACCTCACTGGCCCCAAATCCAACACATCTCACAGCTGCTGACTACAGTGAAACTTAGTGGCCAACACCAGAGTCATATAAATAAGAACTTTCCTTTGCGCAACCAATCCACAACCCCCAAAGGAAGTCCTGAGGGATAACGTCCATGCACCTTAATAACGCAAGGCCCAACAGGTCCTCTCTCATTCCTATCCCACAGGTTGAACACCCGGCTGTCTCTGGACTTCCATCAGCCCCCGAGAGCAGCCTCCCATCCTGGGGATCTGTGAGTAGGAGGATGCTTCTGACATTTCATGTGTTTTGTTGTGCTGCCTCCTCTACATCTTGCCCGCCCAACACACTGGAATGTAACTCTCCTCCCGGTCTGGGTAGGGCTAGAATTTGCAGCCACTCTCCAGAGAGAGAGAGACCCCCTAGACCAAAACAGAGGAAAATATATTCAGTGTGGTGAACAGGGTGTGTGGTCACAACCTGAGGGACACAAGACCAGGCCTTCAGATTGCTCTTGGCCTGTTTACTACCTGGCCCACTCACATGGCTGATGCCATATGGGAGGGCTCCACAGCCTGCTGGGGTACCTCTCTGCTGCTGTGCATTGCTGCCTGTTGTCTCTGTGAAGCACTGCCAATACTCCCATCCCTAAATTGGGTGGGTCCTCCATAGTCCAAGCGCTCCCTAGGACTCACCAACTGCTAGCCTTAAGAGGGCAAGAGGGGCACGACAGTCACTATCCAAGACTGCTGTCACTTCCCCAAATAGGAACTGCTGGGCTGGAGGAAGCCAACTGTATTCCCAAGGCCTCACTCTGGCATAACGGGCTTGCTACTGAGAGGCAGAAGGGGTAAGGCAGGCGCTGGGCCAATCAAAGGGTTAGCGGAGTGCAAGAGGAAGACCGGCATTCTGACTGCCCACTGTATGGATAAGCAGTACAGACGAGGCCACCAGACTTCCCACTCTGACAACAGTAGCAACCCCTTCACTGGGGAGATGACGGCACCTCGCTGGCAAGGTTGCTGTTGGGGTCTGCTATCCCCAGGACACTGCCTTCCATTGCATCTGTTGCTCTACGCCCCCACCCTGACGAGGTCAACTGGGCACCCTAGAGAGAAAGGCGGCTGCCTACAAAGGGGTCAGATGGGAAGCACAAATGGAGGCCAGAGGACCCGGGGCCACTCGGGACCACCGGGAGCTTGTCAGGTAAACAAAGGAAAAAATATTTTAGCCACCTGGAGATACAAGCCATTCTGAAGATTTTACTTAGAAGAAAAAAATAGAGGGAAAGAAACTGATTGTCTTGAGGTCTGGAGTTCCCAGTCCTCTGTTGCCTAGAAGCACTGGGCGCCTTACCCCTCCTTCTTTTCCTCTTATCAACCAGAGACAGAAATTAAGAACCCTTCAGGCAGTTAAAAGTCTAAGACCAAAAAAAAAGGAAAAAAAGCCTCGAGATTTAGGAGGTTACAAGTTCAAGAAAAAAAAAAAGAGGAACTTTTTGAACTTTAAGTACTAAACAAATGCCAGGTCTAACAAACATAATCCCGCTGGCCCTAGATTACTTAATGATTTAAACACAGACCATGAGACATGGGGAAAAAAATAAAAGGTAACTAGACTTTAACTAACATTTGGTAAAATGTACCAATTAACAAAACTGCATAGGCCTACTCAATCTGGGGCTCAAATTACACTTATACCTGGGGATCCCACTAAATTCAAACATTGTGCTCCCTAAAATCTTAAAAGGGTAACTAAATACAGGAGAAAAAAAATAGGTACGCCTCGCTTTAACTGTAGCCTTGCTTAAATCTCCCATTGTCATAGTACCCATGGCCCTAAAATATTCCATATTAGGTATAAATATGCTAACATAATAAATAACAAATTAAAATTAAAGTGAGACTTTGACACTTACAAATTGGCTTGATAAAATGGGACCCCATGGATAATTAGTTGAAATATTTCACATGGCCCAATGTAAGTTACAACAGGGCCTCAAGGATGAAAACTTCTATAAAACCTAATTAATGAAGGGGTGATTATCCCTACTGCTTCTCTATTTGACAGCCCAATTGTGCCTGCTCTTGAATCTGAAAAAGAAAATAAAGGGCACCTCATGCTGGATTACTACAGCCTTCATACTGTGGTCCCATCCATCAAGGTGCCCACACCCAATATTATTAAAACTCCTGATTTTATTCAATAAACAACCAATAACTATTGTGCTTTTAATTATAAATTTGACCAACATGTTTGTTTGTTTTTTTTTCTGAGATTGAGTCTTGCTCTGTCACCCAGGCTAGAATGCAGTGGCACAATCTCGGTTCACTGCAACCTCCGCCACCCAGGGTTCAAGGGATTCTATTGCCTCAGCCTCCCGAGTAGCTGGGATTACAGGTGTGCGTCACCATGCCCAGCTAATATATATATATATATTTTAAGTAGAGACAGGGTTTCAGCATGTTAGCCAGGCTGGTCTTGAACTCCTGACCTCAAGTGATCTGCCCACCTCGGCCTCCCAAAGTGCTGGGATTACAGGTGTGAGCCACCACACCCGGCCTGGACAACATGCCCTGTTCAGTGCCTATTTCAACAGCCTCTCAGCTGCAGCTTGCCTCTCCCTCCAATGGGACACAACACACCTTTTCCAGGCTACCCAACAGATCTGTCATCACATACGATCTTTGCAAACGAGATCTTAACAACATCCACCTTCTCCAGGAACACAGGTATGCACCGCACCGATAACAGCCTTCCCCAAGGAAACTCTTGACATGTCATTAAGGGGAAGTAATTCCAGTATCTTTTAGTAATTTTTGGGTTCTGGTGGCAACATATGCCTGATTTACAAATTATAATTTAAATTAAAATCAACAAGCACTCCTATTAATGCCTCGAAGAAAAAAAAAAGAAAACGGGGGGAAAAATCAACTTCCTAAAAGGACTCCCTTCATGCTAGAGACTGGCAACTTTTTAAATGCCTGCTGGAGTCTCTAGACCACTTACGATGGTCATTAGCTGCCCCAGGCCGTCTAGGAGAGACTGCCCCTCCTGACTTCCTGTTATTCACCAGTAAAACAAGTGACTGGCCATCTACTGGGCTCTCCTGGAAACAGAGGATCTCACAGACCTGAGCCTGTGATCCTCCTATGCAGCTGCCCACTGTGCTCTAGGTCAGGGAAACAACCCCCCATAAGCTCTGCCTGGCCACTGAGGCCTCCTTAGGCCACGATGAAGCCAATCTCAGGCCCTTGGGTCTAATCCACCCGCAGAAGGCAGTGGCTTCCCCTGTTCTCAGTCCCTTGCCTGATGCCAGCGTGCTGAAGGTGGTCACTCCTCCCTCCCACAGGTCCCCTGACTACCTGGAAAGCCCCTGGGATTAACTAAGTGAACACTAATGGGAGTTCATAGACTGTGCAAAGGCCACTGCTGACCATTATAAGTGATGGGGCTCAGTGGAATGCTGCTGCCTTCCATCCCTTAGCCAGGATGTCCCTAATAAAGGACAGGACCCAAGAAACAACGTGCCTGGCCAAACTTCAGGCAGCTGTCTTAGCGCTGGATGCCCAGGTCAACAAACCGACCCACCTTCTTCATGGTTACAATAAACTATTGGGTCATTACCTAAAAACTGTCCCTTCCAGGGTGGGAAAAAAAAAAAAAAAAACCCTGGGAATCTCTTGTCTGACAGATACCCAAAATATAAAGCAAAATCCCATACCTCTCCAAACACTAAAGGCACAATACGAGGCCTTGCCAGGACACTACTTATTCCCTTCAGAGTTACAGACATTATTAGTAACCTACATATATATTTCACTTCTTTTTTGTCAATTTAATTTTTTTTTTAAGAGGCAGGGTCTCGCTATGTTGCCCAGGCTGGTCTCAAACTCCTGGGCTCAAGCAATCCTCCCACTTCGGCCTCCCAAACTCCTGGGATTACAGGGGCGAGCCACTGTGCCCAACCCATGTTTCATTTCTTAAAATACATAATGCTAGCGCCTCGAAAAATATATTCAATAGAACTTTCATTTCCCTAATAGGTCTCAGATAACTGGTTTCACTGAAAGACAGAAAAATGTCCTCAAATAACTACTTTTCAAATTCCAGTCCAAAAAACAAACTCCTGAAATTCTCTATCATGCTCTAGGGCTTAACTTATTTTCAATCTTGCCCCCATCCCACAAACACTGAAGGCCAAATCGAGGGTGCACAGTCGCCTGGGACTTACTAACATTAGATTGTCCCAGAGGCCCGGCAGCTGCTCATCTGATAGGGGACCCACCTGAACCTAAACTTCCACCAAAAGACAGAAACAAAAACATGTTGTCAGGTACAGCTACATATCATTCTGTTAACGGTTCGTCTTACTAGATGCTTTGTTGGTTTACAACCTAGAGGGCCACATCTACTTCAATGGGTATCCACTTTATACCCCAGTGACATCCTAGACGACCTTGTCCTAGCCCAAAATATCACCGCTGGAAACAACATTGCCTCCAGCAACACAGCCCTGACCCAAGACTCTGATGGTGGAGATGACTCCACCATTACACTAAAACCTCCACACAGTGACATCCGTGGACTGCCTCTCCTAAAACACAAATGGACACAGAACATTTTTTTCTTTCTGAACTGTCTGCTTAGCCCCTGATCCTGGTAGCGTACTTGCATTCTGCTCAAATGTGCACACCCACATACCCAAGCCTGAAGGAAAATCTGGTAGGAGTTACTAAAATTAATGGAGATTACTGTTTTCCCCAAGAGGCACCTGCCTCATGTCGGTAAACTCCTTAACCCCAGGGAGGGGACCACCTACTCCATGATGCCTTCTAATGAAGAAGGAATTCATGAATTTTACAAGTACAATCAAAGACGAGCAAAAATTTTTACTTTTTCCTGCAAAAGCTAAGTGTAGCGTAGCCCCTCCTCCTACCCCACCCCCCCACCCAGTAGCCTAAGAGAGAATACTAACTGCCTGTTTTTCCTTCTGTGCTCAGCCAGCCTTATCTGTACTTGCTAGTTTCACACTCCTTGAGGCTCAGTGAGTTCCTGCTTCACCTCCCTAGCGCAGCTGCAAAGTTACAAGGTTAATACAGAAACATGGTTTCCCAGGGATGTGGAACATGTAGTATAGATAAATGTAAAAGACTGATCAACTGCCTTCGTTCTCGCTTCTGTAAGTACGCTTCCTGTATCAGTAGCTCCCGGCCAGAGTGCTTTAAAGGTGGCTGCTTTCTTTGTCCAGGGCTCAGACTTTCCTGGATGCCAGTCCTCCTGAGCCAGGTGATCACCTTTTAAAGACCTTTCCTGAACTCACTCTGTTCAGTCTCTCCCATCGTTGATCGTCCCGCAACACTACTACCCTTCTCACTTTCTATCTTGACCTCCAGCCTTGCCTATCCAACCACACCACTCTTGCCCCTTGGTTACACACAATACCACTAACCTTTACATATGCTTTACTAAATCATCAGCTCATACCCTCCAACATAACTGCCCTACATCTATTTTTAGGCCTGACATAAGTTATTTGGAACCCAGTCAGACCCCATCACCTTTGGCTTACTTAAAACTTTCCCCTCCCTGTGTGCTGTTTGTGACATAGCCTACTTGTTCCTCACCTCACTGACCCCAAACCCAACACACCCCACAGCTGCTGACCATAATGAAACCTACTGGCCAACATCAGTCATGTAAATCAGTTCTCCCCACTGCTCAGGTCTACCTAATCCACAACCACGCTGGGAAAGCCTGAGGGATAAGGCCCATGGACCGTAACAAAGGCACAGTCCCACAGGTCCTCTCTGTCTCATTCCCCACCCACTGGTTAGCACCCGGCTGTCTCCTGAGTTGCTGTCAGGACCTCAAGGGCAACCCTCTTCTCGCGGATCTGTAAGGAATAAAATGCTTCTGCTACTTGATGTGTTTTGTTGTGTTGCCTTTTCTGTACCTAACCCACCCAACACACCAGAACACCTCTCCTCTTGGTCGGGACAGAGCTAGAATTTACAGCCACTCTCCAGAGACAGAAGCCTCAGGACCTAATTAGAGGAACATACTAAAAGGGGACATGGGATGGACACTGCAAAAGGGAGCGTTGCCTGCTGGATACAATTGCGACACGGTGGTCAGCAGTGTGGGTGTGAGGGCATTGGAGGGTGCTCTGTCCACGCCATATGCCCATAACACAGTCCTTAGGATACCACAAAACCCTGGCCCAGTCACCACCACCCTGTGGCCCTCCTAATATGGACGCCACATGCTCAAAGGACTCCCACTAGCAGAGGCACCCTCTGCACATGTGCCGACTGGCTTGATGGCTTGTGTCCCTCATGACACAGACAATGCGCATGCCAGGATGCATGCTGCTGCATGACCTGTACCCCAAAGGTTTGTTCCCAAAGGCCTCCGAACGTGAACACTGAAGTCCCAGGCCTTGCAAACAAAGTGGCATCCAAATTTCCTGTGCATAGCTGCCCATCACCATCAGTGTGAGTGTGCCCCAGAGGTGTGTTTGTCACAGCACTTCCAGGGCAGACACGAACCAGTCCAAGCCTCATAGCTACAGTGGTGTCCTGACTCCCCCTACAGGCTGATCCACCCATTGCAGCTGGCCTTTGCCTTGAAACACTGCTTCAATCTTCCCTAAGGACTATGACTAACTCCCGCCTGAGTAACCCAGCAAACTTCACCATCCAGTGGGCTACAGCCACACTGTGGCCAAATACTGTAATATGACCCCAGAGATCCCCACCTGCTGGCATTCATACCCCTGGATAACACCCTCCTGTTGAGCGCACGCACGACCTTTGACCAGTTTCTAACAGAAGAATAAGCAAAAATGAAGAGAATGCAGATGTAATTGAGGTCTCAAGTCAGTTGGGTTTTGTTTTGTTTTGTTTTTAGACAGGGTCTCACTCTGGTTGCCCAGGATGGAGTGCAGTAGCGCAATCTCAGCTCACTGCAGCCTTCACCTCCCTGGTTCAAGTGATTCTCCTGCCTCAGTCTCTCAAGTGGCTGGGATTACAGGCACCCACCACCATGCCCGGCTAATTTTTGTATTTTTTTTAATAGAGTCAGGGTTTCACCATGTTGGCCAGGCTGGCCTTCAACTCCTGACCTGAAGTGATCCACCCACCTTGGCCTCCCAAAGTGTTGGGATTACAGGCGTGAGCCACTGCACCTGGCTTACTTTTATCTTGATACACATAGTGTATACATTACTGTTGCTGTAGGGCATGTATGTGTATAAACCTAGTATGTACTGCCAACAGTTTTTGAAATTGGTTTGCCAATACACTCTCCAAAAAGCAGTATATGCACATCCTCAGCAACTTTATATCAGAATCCCCATCAATGATTTCACTACATGCGGCTAGTTCACTGGAACCCCTAAGTGCCAAACAGAGAAAATGTATAGAATTTAAGTCTTCACTTAAAGTCATCAGCAGGTTCTTGGAAACTGAGACTTTAAGCGAAATGACATACAACAAAGCGAATTTTTTCACATGCTAATTAATATAAGCGAGTTAAGCTCCTACAGCATATTTCTGGTCACAAAAACATCACTAAACTTCTAAATAAAGACCCCAAACACTTCTAATATTAAATATTGAAATAAATGTGAAATATATATACATTTAAGAAAGACTAATAAAAATAGGCTATTTATCCAATTTTTGATGAATTGGTATGTGATGGCAGTTAACAGTGGTGGGTTAAAACAAATAAATGCTTCCAAAGCAAAAACTCTAAGGACCACCTCCTACCACCAAGAAGCTCAAAAACAATAACAAATGGGGCCAGCTTGCTAAGTGGTACCATTTACTGTTGTACAGTTGTATCATTATCAAATGTTTTAGGAATTTTTATTTTACAATAGTTTGTATTCATTCATTCATTCTCCAATCCACCTATTCCAGTTCCAGAATGAAAATGGCCAGAGCCCATCCTAACAGCTCAGGGCACACACACACATAGTGGGACAATTTAGACACACCAATTAAGCTAACATGTGCATCTTTGGCATGTGGGAAGAAACCAGAGTACCCAGAGAAAACCCATGCAGACATGGGAAGAACGTGCAGAATCTACAGAGTGGCCCTACTGGAATTTGATTTTTTTTCCGTCATCGATGTTATAATTAACAGACATTATTCTAAGATCTGTTGTATTTCCAGGCCATGTGGCCCCTTCACAGCTTTTTGGCAGCCCACATTGGCAGGTGAGTTTTCTGGTCATTTACTTACATGGATTGTATCAAGCCAACCCCCTAGGTGTATGAGTGTCTATAAGGAGTCACGCAGAGTGCTTACTCTGGACATTCCTTCAGGGAAACGAAGGACTAATTTAGGTAGGAGAAGGAACCCAAAAGTGAATTGAAAAAAACAACGAGAGAAGTTTTGTCTGTTTATGAATATACATATTTCCTAAGACTAATAATTAACATCAGTGAATTTTCATGGAGAGCTTATTTTTCAGTGATCAAGCACTGATTCTCATTAATCCCTTGAATTAATTTCTTATTCATGTAATTAAAACACATTCATGCTTCTCCTATTTTCCCTTGATTTACATCATTTGTCAGATATCACTTACTTTGGCCAGGCACAGTGGCTTATACCTGTAATCCCAGCATTTTGGGAGGCCGAGGTGGGTGGATCACTTGAGGTCAGGAGTCTGAGACCAGACTGGCCAACATGCTGAAACCATCTCTACTAAAAAAAAAAAAAATACAAAAATACAAAAATTAGCCAGGCATGGTGGCGCACACTTGTAATCCCAGCTACTAGGGTGGCTGAGGCAGGAGGATGGCTTGAAAACCCAAGAGGTGGAGGTTACAGTGTTTCAGTGAGCCGAGATCCTGCCACTGCACTGGAGCCTGGCAACAGCGAAACTCTGTCTCCCAAAAGATATCACTTACTATTTCCTGTCATACATTTAAGATTAAATTATCCCACCACATTGTTTCCCCAACCAAAGAAAGAATACTGACTCTGTCAAACCTGGGAGTAATCTTTGATGCACTCCTCTCTCTCACCATAGAAGTGGAGTCAGCCAATTCACAGAATGCTTTGCCCAGCTCTTATTTCCTTCCCCTTCAGTATGGCTAAATCATACCATATTTTTGGTCTCAGCTTGCATATCACTCTTTTCTTAGCATTGCCTATTCCAAAGAAAAATAGAGAAAATAATTCTGTCCTCTACTTTACTTACAGACCTTCATCAATTTGTAATACACTTATTTGCTTGGTTACATGACAGCCTCCTCCACTAGTTTACAACCTCCCTAAGAACAGCCCTAGGCTGAATTTTTTTACTATGCCTTAATTAACCATTCAGACACTCATCCATTTACAGGATACACCAATAAATGAAGGATACATTTAAACACGGCACAGAATACAATCAGAACTACCAAAATGTATAACTTTCTGAAAGAACGAGTGACTGCGCAAAAAGACAATATAACGGATAAACAGTGTCTGCTAGTTTTAAAGAGACTAAAAGACATGAAACTTGGATACGTAATAGATCCCAAAACAATCAAAACCATATATTGGAACAAAGTGGAGAACTGTACCTTTTTACACAGGGTACATATTAACAACATTTTAAATTTTCTGGGGTAATAGTATTATGGTTTTAAAAGGACATGTCTTTATCCACAGGACACGTATTACCAAGCATTTAAACCTTAAGTGTCACGCCTGCAATGTTCAACTTACTTCAAAGCCTCCATTCCTTCTTCCTAAAAGCCCGTTTTGAAGCTCTGTGGGGAGGTACAGGCCTAGGAAGTTCAGATAAAAAGAATAGCTGAGTATTCTTGCTTTTCTTCAGTAGAAAGACTTCTGGTCTACAAACGTTTATATTCACATAGAGAAATAACCACACCCCAGATACCTAAAAAATAGCTTTATGTTTCTACCTGAATGTAGAGTGTCAAAAGTAAATACAGGATGCGCAAAGAGAAAAACAAATTCTCAGATAAAACAGGAGGAAGAAGCCCCCGAAACCAACTTTCACCCCAGTACTCACCGCGACGAGCTGGACTCGCCAGGTACGGGAGATTGGGGGGATGAAGGACCAGTCAACCTGATTCGAACGACGAAAACTCGTTGTTTCTGGAAAAAAAAAAGTCACAAAGAATTGCTTTGGAAGAGTTTGAAGCGGCAATCACCGTGTTTGCAAAAATCGTGAGGAAGCGCCCTTACGACAGATCCCGAAACGGCTCCTGGCCCAGGGCCGTCGCAGTGACAACTCGAGTGGCTTTTTGAACCTGGCGGCGCCAGGAGGACCCGCGCGGCCCCGGCGGACGCGAGCGGAGCAGGCAAGGTCTCTCTAAGGAGGCCCCTCGGCGGCCTGGGGCAAACCGGTACTTTCGCCACCCCTTCCACCGCTGGCTCCCACCCGTCATCCGACCTCGCCAAAGCTGTATTAAGCCCAAACGCCACCAGGAAGAAAACGGGTTTGGCGGCGCGGAGAAAGCGCCGGAAAACACAGCAGCGCTCCGTGACGTCACTTCCGCCTCCAGCCTCAAACCTGGAGGAGCGCTCGGGAACTGCAACCTCAGCCGAGCTGAACAACCTCAGGCAGAGAGATTCTGGTTTACTCCCCAGTGGCTACGGAGACGCCTTGGAGGCCTTGGAGTCTGCTCACCTTGAGGGATGGAGGCCAAAAGGGGCCCAGAGCACAAGGCTGAGGTTAGAACCAGCCCTGCGGACGGGGCTAACCTAGGGTGGGGTCGGTGGTGTTGGCAAAGTTAGAGGTGGGGGCTCCCCCACAGGATGTGCACAATGCTCACAAAAAGCTTTTATTCTCACCTCCTCCCACGTTCCTAGCACCCTCAAAATGATGCTTCCTTTGATAATCCTGCCAGTCCATGATATGGCCTATCTCCTCCATTCATTCAATCTAGTTTTAGTTTTTTATTTTGTTTTTGTTTGAGACAGGGTCTCACTGTGTAGTCCAGGCTGGCGTGCTGTGGGGCGAAACTCATGGGCTCACGCCATCATCCCGCCTCAGCCTCCCGAGTAGCTGGGTCTACAGGCGCAGGCCACCATGCCCGGCTAATTTTTTTTCCCCCAGAGTTGAGGTATGTTACCCAGGCTGATCTCAAACTCCTGGGCTCCAACAATCATCCCGCCTCAGCCTCCCAAAAGGCTGGGATTACAGGCGTGCACCACGGCGCCGGGCCCAATTCAACTTGAGGCCAATATTTCCCCTTATTTCATTTATCTGGACGCCATGCTAAATTCTAATAGTTGATTCCTTTGTGTATTCAATATGCTGATACTTTTTGTAAATGTTGATTTTTTTTTCTTTGACTAATATATTGTTTTCTGAGATCTTACAGTGAGTTCCAGGGCCTCGTTGTAAAATACCGCGTTGTAAAATAGCACTGATATCAGGCATTCACTTCTGCAGGAGTGATTCTAGTTTCTCCAGAAATCGTTTTTGCTGTGCTTTGTAGTGGGTGGCCTTTATGGAGTTAATAAAGTTATTTTGAACACTGTTTTACTAACATGAAGAACTGTTCATGTACATTATCAAATATTTTGTGAATCTACTGAACTGGTAACTATTTTGCAGTTAATTTTTCAACTCAAAAAGATTTTCTTTTTTAAGTTTCCTCTCTTGCATTAAGAAGTCTTCATAAACTCTAGATTACATATAGATTTCCTAATTTTCTTCTGCAGCATATTACTTTAAAAACATTGAAATCTTTCATACTCATGGAATGTGTTTCAGTATGTGGTGTGGGATAGTGGATACAATATCTCTTTCCTCCAGAAACACGGCCAATTATTGTAGTACCACATATTGATAAACTGTCCTTGATTTACTGATTTCAAATTCCATGTTTATTAAACTATAAATTCCTATGTATACCTGTATCTGATTCTAGACTCTATGCCAGTAATACATTTACTTATGCCAATATCAAGATCATAATCTTTTCATTCCAGTGGTTTTGTATCAACTAATAATATTCCGTGGTAATAATAATAATAATGGTAGCTTTTTTGTTTGTTTGTTTTTGAGACAGTCTTGCTCTGTCACCCAGGCTGGAATACAGTGGTACGATCTCGGCTCACTGCAACCTCCACCTCCTGAGTTCTAGGGATTCTCCTTTCTCAGTCTCCTGAGTAGCTGGGATTATAGGCACGCGCCACCACGCTCAGCTAATTTTTGTATTTTTTTTTTTTTTTTTTTTTAGTAGAGATGGGGTTTCGCCATGTTGGCCAGGGTGGTCTCAAACTCCTAACCTCAGGTGATCTGCCCACCTCAGCCTCTGAAAGTGCTGGTGTGAGCCACCGCACCTGGCGGTAGCTGTTTTTTAAATCTTACTACCCTAAATGCTTAATAGACATTAAATTTTTACGCTCCCAATGATGTGGCTATTATTGTGATTTTTCCCTTTTGGTTTTTAGACCAGCTGTATTGAGATACAATTCACATATAACCAACACAGTTCACCCACTTAAAGCTATATAATTCAATATTTTTTAGTACATTCGCAGTGTTGTTCAAACATAATTTTGGAACATTTTAATCACACTAAAAGAAATCTTTGAATGGGAAAACCCATTTACCTCCTCTTTAAGCTCCAGGGAACCACAAACCTACTTTATCACTACAGATTTTTCTTTTGTAGACATTTCATATGGATATACTCATACAATTTATTTTTATTTTTGTATAGACAGGGTCTCACTATGTTGCAAGGCTGATCTCGAACTCCTGGGCTTAAGTAGTCCTGCCTCGGCCTCCAAAAGTGCTGGGATTATAGGCGTGAGCCACCATGCCCGGCCTAAAAATCATACAATCTTTTGTGAATAACTTTTTTCACTTAGCCCGTTTTTCAAGGTTCATCTGTATTATAGCCTAGATCATTCTATTTTATTGCTGAATGATATTCCATTCTATGTATATACCATATATGATTTGTCTTCAGTTGATGGACATATGGTTTGTTTCCACTTTGGGGGTGTTGTGATTAATGCTGCTATGAAAATTCACATATATCTTTTTGTGCATACTGGCTTTTATTTTTTGAGAAATCACAGCTCACTGCAGCCTCTACCTCCTAGGCTCAAGCGATCCTCCCACCTCAGCCTCCTGAGCAACTAGGACCACAGGCATAAGCCACCACACCCAGCTAATTTTTGTATTTTTTTGTAGAGACAGGGTTTTGCCCAGGCTGGTCTCAAACTCCTAAGCTCAAGCAACCTGCCCGCCTCGGCCTCCACAAAGGCATAAGCCACCACGCTCAGCTGGTTTTTATTTCTCTAGAGTATATATCTGGGAATGGAATTGCTGAGCCATACAGTAACTATCTAAGAATTTGAAGAACTGCCACACTGTTTTTGAAAGGGGCTGTACTGTTTTACATTCCCACCAGAAATGTATGAGGGCTCCAACTTCTCTACGTCCCTGCTAACACTTTAGTGTTTTTCATGTTAACTGTGTTAGTGGTGTGAGGTGATACCTCATGATTTTGACTTGTATTTCCCTAACACTAGTGATGTTCAGCATCATTTAATGTGCTTTGTTAGCCATTTGTATGCTTCTTTGGAGAAATTTCTGTTCAATTCCTTTGCCCCTTTTAAAATTTGTTTTCTGGCTGGGCACGGTGGCTTGTAATCCCAGCAATTTGGGAGGCTGAGACAGACAGATCACTTGAGGCCAGGAGTTCAAGACCAGCCTGGCCAACATCGTAAAAGATAAAAAATCAGCCAGGCGTGATAGCACACACCTGTAATCCCAGCTACTCGGGAGGCTGAGGCAGGAGAATCGCTTGAACCCGGGAGGAAGAGGTTGCAGTCAGCCAAGATTATGCCACCGCACTCCAGCCTGGGTGATAAAGTGAGACTCTGTTTCGAAAAAAAAAAAAAAAAAGGTCCGGGTGCAGTGGCTCACGCCTGTAATCCCAGCACTTTGGGAGGCCAAGGCAGGCAGATCACCTCAGGTTGGGAGTTCAAGACCACCCTGACCAACATGGAGAAACCCTGTCTCTACTAAAAATACAAAAAAGTAGCCAGGCATGGTGGCACATGCCTGTAATTTCAACTATTCAGGAGGCCAAGGCAGGAGAATCGCTTGAACCCAGGAGGCGGAGCTTGCGGTGAGCTGAGATGGTGCCATTGCAATCCAGCCTGGGCAACAAGAGCGAAACTCTCTATCTTAAAAAAAAAAATTCCATTGAGTTGCAAGAGTTCTTTATATATTCTGAAGAGAGGTCCTTATCATATATATGATTTACAAATATTTTCTCTCAATAGGTTTTCCTTCTCTTTCTTGATGGAATATTTTAGAATACTAAACTATATAATATTGATGAGTGTCCTCTGAAGTACAAGTTTAATGTTGATAATTTTTTGTTTGCAATGTTTTTGATACTGCACCTAAGAAAACAGTACTAAATCCAGTATCATGAAACTTTTCTGCCTATACTTCTGGGAATTATTGTAGGTCTTACATGTATGTTTAGGTCTTTGATCCATTGTCAGCTAACTTTTGTGGGGTTTTTAAATATTTTAATTTTTTTAGCTTAATCCCCAATGTGGTATCTGTTAACTTTTGTATGTGGTATAAAGTAAAAGCCCAAATGCATTCTTTTGCAGTATGGTATCAATTTCTCCCAGAACCATTTGTTGAAAACATTCTTTTCATTCTTCATTGAATTACCCTGGCAGCCTTGTAGATCTGTTGACCATATATGTGAGGGCTTACTTCTGGACTCTCAATTCTATTCCATTAATTTGTATGTTTATCCTTAAGCCAGTGCCACATTGTTTTGATTACTACAATTTTGTAGCACTTTATGAAATCCAAAAGTGTGACTCCTTCAACTGTGTTCCTCTTTTTCAAGACTGTTTGGCTATTTGGTGTTCTTTCCATTTCTATATAAAGTTTATGATGAGCCTGTCAATTTCTGCTATGAAGCCAGTGCTAAATTAAAAAAAAAAATAACATCAGTGGAACTTGTTAAAGCATAGTAAGGCAGACTTTATTCAGTACCATCACGTTAGGTATAGGGACCACTGCAGTAGGATTTTGCAGTGGAGGTGACAGAGTAGGCTAACTCTGAATAATTATAGCATGAGCAAATGGGAATTTATAGTCAAGTTAAAGAGTAAAGGTCAGTGAGTGGAAAATTGCCAAGAGGAATATCAGGGGTATGGAGGATGGTGGATAAACTGACCTAACATGATGTCTGATCACTTTGGCCTGTAATTGGTAGATAGTAGAGAATCGGGAACCTGATCAGCTATAAGGGTGATCTGATACTGAGGGTGGTAGGTTCTTATTGTACTGACTTAGCAGGGTTCTTGCTAAAACTCAATATACAAAAGTGTACACATGGGCCTAAGAAAAGTTTAAGGAGCTTGACTATAGTTGAGTAAAGCAAAGACTCTGTCACCATCTGGAATTTTGATAGGGATTATGTTTAATCTATAGACCAACTTGGAGAGTACTGCCATCTTAAAAATAATGTTCAGTATTCTTGGTCAGGTGTGGTGGTTCATGACTACAATCCCAGCACTTTGAGAAGCCGAGATGGGCAGATCACTTGAGGTCAGGAGTTCGAGACCAGCCTAGCCAACATGGTGAAACCCCATATCTACTAAAAATACAAAAATTAGTTGGGCATGGTGGCACATGCCTGTAATCCCAGCTACTCGGGAGACTGAGGCAGGAGAACTGCTTGAACCCAGAGGCAGAGGTTACAGTAAGCCGAGATTGCACCAGTGCATTCCAGCTTGGGCAACAGAGTAAGACTCCCTCTCAAAAATAATAAGTATTCTAATCCATCAACATGGGGTGACTTTCCATTACTTTTCATCTTTATCAACATTTTGTGGTATTCAGTATGGAAGTCTCGCACATCTTTTATCAGATTTATTCCCAAGTAGTTTATTATTTTAATACTATAATAAATGGAATTGTTTTCTTTTCTTTTCTTTTCTTTTCTTTTTTTTTTTTTTTTTTGGAGATGAAGTTTCGCTCTTATTGCCCAGGCTGGAGTGCAGTGGTGCCATCTCAGCTCACTGCAACCTCCACCTCCTGGGTTCAAGCGATTCTTCTGCCTCAGCCTCCTGAGTAGCTGGGACTACCGGCACGCGCCACCACACCCAGCTAATTTTTTTTTTTGTATTTTTAGTAGAGACGGGGTTTCACCATGTTGGCCAGGCTGGTCTCGAGCTCCTGACCTCAGGCCTCCCAAAGTGCTGGGATTACAGGCATGAGCCACCACGCCCAGCCAGAATTGTTTTCTTAATTTCATTTTTGGCTTGTGCCGTGATAGTATACATAAATACAACTGAGTTTTCTATGTTGATCTTGTTACCTGTAACCTTGTTGAACTTGTTTATCAGTTTTAATAGTTTAGTGGATTCCTTAGGATTTCCTACATAAAAAATCACATCAGTAGATAAACTTCTCCATTCCATTCTGGATTCATTTTCCTTTCCTTGCTCACTTACTTTTTAAATTCCAAATGGATATGGAATTTTTCATCTTCCCTCACAATACTTTCCTCTCTCTCAAATGTAGTATAGTAATTAGTTGTGTTGAAAACATTCCTGATAATAAGCCATTCTTGCAATCCTAAAGTAAAACTGTTCATAGGGCACTATTTTTTCTCATAACTGGATTAGTTTTGCTAGAAATTTTATTTAGAAGATTTGCATACAGATGAGTTTTCTTTAAAATATCATTACCTAGGACTAATTTAATCTTACTAAGTACCACTAAATCTTGTCTTATCATATTTGAGTAGATGCATTCACTTATTTGATTCTTACAGTACCAAATCAGGCAGCTTATTATAAAATTCATCCACAGTTTACAGAAGATCAGACTGAGATGGCCAGGCGTGGTGGCTCACGCCTGTAATCCCAGCACTTTGGGAGGCCGAGGCAGACAGATCACGAGGTCAGGAGATCGAGACCATCCTGGCTAACACGGTGAAACCCCGTCTCTACTAAAAATACAAAAAATTAGCCGGGCACGGTGGCGGGCGCCGTAGTCCCAGCTACTCAGGAGGCTGAGGCAGGAGAATGGCGCGAACCCGGGAGGCGGAGCTTGCAGTGAGCCAAGATCAGCCACTGCACCCCAGCCTGGGCAAAAGAGCCAGACTCTGTCTCAAAAAAAAAAAAAAGGAAGATCAGACTGAGGCAAGAGAGGCCATTTAACTTCTACAAAATTACGTAGCCAGCAAGAGGCAGAGCCAAGACGTGTACTCTAGCAGTCTGACTCTATTCTGTACTTCACTTTGCTCTATAACCAGTACAGCTTTAAAAGTTTCCTCACCTTTTCAAATGTGTTGACCTCTGTGAAATGCTCTGAGATATTTCTTTTCTTTTCTTTTTTTTTTTTTTTTTTTGAGACAGAGTCTACTCCATCACCAAAGCTGGAGTGGCACAATTTCAGCTCAATGCAACCTCCGCCTCCTGGGTTCAAGTGATTACTGTGCCTCAGCCTCCCAAGTAACTGGAATTACAGGCGTGCATCACCATGCAGGGCTAATTTTTGTATTTTTAGTGGAGACAGGGTTTCACCATGTTGCCCAGGCTGGTCTCTAACTCCTGAACTCAAAGTGATCCGCTTGCCTCAGCCTCCCAATGTGCTGGGATTATAGACATAAGCCACCATACCTGGCCTGAGATATTTATTTTCATGCCCACCTGGCTGAAATTAGTATATATTTGGAGGACCAACTCCCCTTACCTAAAATTAATGTTTCAGTATTTCAACCCCTATCCTTTTCTCTTGTTTTCTCTTCATTAAGAGAAAAGTCTCAGCCACATGTGTGGCTCACGCCTGTAATCCCATCACTTTGGGAGGCCAAGGCAGGTGGATCACGAGGTCAGGAGATCGAGACCATCCTGGCTAACACGGTGAAACCCCGTCTCTACTAAAAATACAAAAAATTAGCCGGGTGTGGTGGCACACGCCTGTAATCCCAGCTACTTGGGAAGCTGAGGCAGGAGAATCGCGTGAACCCAGGAGGTGGAGGCTGCAGTGAGCTGAGACTGTGCCACTGCACTCCAGCCTGGGCAACAGGGCGAGACTCTCAAAAAAAAAAAAAAAAAGGAGATATAAGTCCCTTAAGGAGGCCAGGCGCAGTGGCTCATGCCTGTAATCCCAGCACTTTGGGAGGCTGAGGCAGGCAGATCACAAGGTCAGGAGATCGAGACCATCCTGGCTAAGACGGTGAAACCCCATCTCTACTAAAAATACAAAAAAAAACTTAGTCGGGCGTGTTGGTGGGTGCCTGTAGTCCCAGCTACTCGGAAGGCTGAGGCAGGAGAATGGTGTGAACCCGGGAGGCAGAGCTTGCAGTGAGCCGAGATTGCGCCACTGAACTCCAGCCTGGGAGACAGAACAAGACTCCGTCTCAAAAAAAAAAAAAAAAAAAAAAAAGTCCCTTAAGGAGACCACAAGGATATGAAAGAGGCATGTGAATCCAGGCCTACGCACAGTTCCACTACATGAATACATGGAAGCCATTCCACATTTTGAATCACCATGCACACACACAGAGAAACGCGCAGAATCACCATGCACACACACAGAGAAACGCGCACACACACACAGTTCCTGTGCGTGCAGATGGTGTGACCTGGGAGCTTGAGCAGCTGGCTGCACGCAGGTAACAAACAAACTAAGAGGGCAGAAGTCTAAGAAAGTATTTCACATAGCCATCCAAAGAAACTTTAAGGTGTTCCTTTTCTCTCAGCCCTTAAAAAATGTCATTTAATTTGCTCTTTGCCTTTATGGTGGTGTGTTTTTTTGTTTTTTTGTTTTTTGTTTTTTGAGACAGAGGCTCACTCTGTCACCCAGGCTGGAGTGCAGTGGCGTGATCTCGGCTCACTGTAACCTCCACCTCCCAGGTTCAAGTGATTCTTGTGCCCAGCCTCCCCAGTAGCTAGTATTATAGATGTGTGCCACCACGCCCAGCTCATTTTTGTATTTTTAGTAGAGACAGGGTTTTGCCATATTGGCCAGGCTGGTCTTGAATTCCTGACTTCAAGTGATCTGCCCACCTCAGCCTCCAAAAGTGCTGGGATTACAGATGTGAGCCATTGGTGGGTTTTTTTGCTTGTTGTTTTGAGACAGGGTCTTGCTGTCACCCAGGCTGGATGACAGTGATGTAATCATAGCTCACTGCAGCCTTGAACTCCAGGGCTCAAGTGATCCACCTTGGCCTCCCAAAGTGCTGGCATTACAGGGCATGAGTAACCATGCCCAGGCCTTTATAGTTTCTATAAGAAATCCACAGTCGGCCAGGAGTGGTGGCTCATGCCTATAATCCCAGGCCAAGGCGGATTGATTATGAGGCCAGGAGTTCGAGACCAGCCTGGCGAACATAGTGAAACCCTGTCTTTACTAAAAATACAAAAAATTATATGGGTGCGGTGGCAGGCACCTGAATCCCAGCTACTCGGGGGGCTGAGGCAGGAGAATCGCTTGAATCCGGGAGGTGGAGGTTGCAGTGAACCGAGATTGTGCTATTGCACTGCAGCCTGGAGTGTGAGACTCCATCTCAGAAAGAAAGAAAGAGAGAAGGGGGGGAGAAGAAAGAAAGAAACAAAGAGAAAAGAACGAGGAAAGAAAAAGAAAGAGAAGAAGGAAGGGAAGAAAGGAAAGAGAAAAGAAAAAAAAAAAGGAAGGAGAAGGAAGGGAGAAAGGAAGGAAGGAAAAAAGAAAGAAGAGAAGAGAGAGGGAAAGGAGGAAAGGAAAGGAGGGGAAAGAAGGGAGGGAAGGAAAAAGAAATCCACAGTCAACTGAACTGTTCTTTTATTTATTTACTTTGAGACAGGGTCTCAAAGTACTACAGGCACATGCAACCACACCCAGCTAATTTTTTTGTAGGGGTGGGATTTTTCCATGTTGCCTAGACGGGTCTCGAACTCCTGGGCTCAAGTGATCTGCCTGCCTTACCCTCCCAAAGTATTGTTGGGATTTATAGGCATGAGCCACGAAATGTTCTCTTATAAGTAACATGTTATTACTTCCCAGGCTAATTTCAAGATGTTCTACTTATCTTTAGCTTTCACAACTTTAATTATTATATGTTTTGGCTTATATTTCTTTGGGGTTATGTTTTGGGTTCATTAAATTTCTTGAATCTGAATATTTGTGTCTTTCATCAAATTTGAGAAGTTTTTCATCATTACCTTTTCAAAAACTTACTGCATCACACATCTTCTTCTTCTTTTAGGACTCTAATATCATGAATGTTAGCCTTTTGTACTGTTACACAGCCCTGTGAGGCTCTGCTGCTAGTATGCTGAATAGTTTGGGTTTATATTCAGGGCACTTTGAATATTATAACACTCTGGGCCTTTAAGTCCTATGGAGAACGTAGATTTTTTTTTTTTTTTTTTGGATGGAGTCTAGCTCTGTCGCCAGGCTGGAGTGCAGTGGTGTGATCGTGGCTCACTGCAACCTCCGCCTCCCGATTCAACCGATTCTCCTGCCTCAGCCTCCTTAGTAGCTGGGATTACAGGCATGTACTGCCACGCCCAGCTGATTTTTGTATTTTTAGTAGAGACGGGGTTTGACCATGTTGGCCAGGATGGTCTCGATCTCTTGACCTCGTGGTCCACTCGCCTCGGCCTCCCAAAGTGCAGGGATTAAAGGCATGAGCCACTGCACTCAGCTGATTTTTTTTTTTAATCTGGACAATTACCCAGTTGGGTTCAGCTTGCAAGTTTTAGTCAACGCTCTGAGTTGTGGTTTCAATGAGAGCTTTATTTTCAAAGATTTTGTTGTATGCTTTGTGTCTCTACCTGGAGGCTAGACTACACAGAAGGTCATCTATCTCACATTCCAGCTCTCAAAGTCTATGGTATGTCTCATTGCCACCACAGGATTGCTTGGAGGCTGGAACCAAGTAAATGGAGAAAACAAACTGAGGTATTAATCTCCCTCTCTTTCTCACTGAGCATTAGAAACCACCCCTCCCACCCCCTTGTTGATATTACCAGAACCAGAGGGCTTCTTCTGGAACTCTCCATGTTGGTCATGATGTGTGCCTCTGGTTTTTCAGCCACACTGAGTACAGACCAGATGAAACCAGAAGGGGTAAAACTAGTAAACTTACTGCCTGCTTGGTGGTACTTTGAACGCTGATTTTTTTTTCCATCTCCCTGCTGCTATTTACTTTTCAGATTCTTCAAATAGCTGATGCATTCTGTCCAGGTGGGACATTCAGTGGGACAGACAGGATAACTGCATTTACTCCACCTTTCCCTAAACCAGAACCAATTTTGCCAAGTCATACACACACACACACACACACACACACACACACACACACACACATAAAATATAGGATGCATTCTCTTGTTACTTCTGGTTTCTTTCACAACATCATGTTTGTGAGATTCATCCACGTTAGGGGGTTTACCTGTATAGTAGGCAGAATTCTGAGATGGTGCTTATGAGTCCTGCACTCTGGTATGCCTTGGTATAATCCCCTCCTGTTGAGTGTTGGTAGGATAAACAGTTTCCTCCTAATCAAGAAAATATAGCAAAAGTGATGCAATGTCAGTCAACTGTATTACATTATGTGGCAACAATGAAGGAATTTTCCAGATACAATTCAAGTCCCTATTCAGTCGATTACACATTACACAAAGCGAATAATCTCCTAGAATATTCCTAGGAGAACTTGATTTACTTATAGTATAGAGATATCTAGAGATATTCACCTGACAAAATTAGATGAGTCCCTTCAAAGGGGATTTGGATATCAGTGACTAAAAAATAGCAGACAGCTGGATGCCATGGCTCACACTTGCACTTTGGGAGGCCGAGGTGGGCAGATCACAAGGTCAGGAGTTCGAGACCAGCCTGGCCAATATGGTGAAACCCCATCTCTAGATAAAAATACAAAAATTAGCTGGGCATGGTGGCGCGTGCCTATAGTCCCAGCTACTCGAGAGGCTGAGGCAGGAGAATCGCTTGAACCTGGGAGGCGGAGGTTGCAGTGGGCCAAGATCACGCCACTGCATTCCAGCCAGGGCAACAGAGCGAGACTCCGTCACAAAAAAAAAAAAAAAAAAAATAGACATACTCTCTGTTGCTGGCATTGACAAAATAAGCTGTAAGGAATTCTACAGCCATAACAAAATTAATTCTACCAACAATCTGACACAGATTAGAAGCACATTCTTCTATATTTTAGCCCCAACCCTCTCCAGATGAGAAGGAAACTGTAAGAATTCTGCCACCATGAAAAAGCTGAATGTTGTGACACCACCAAAGGGTCACTCTCACTCTACAGCAATGGTCCCTTTCCAAAATGGAGGCACAGAGATGACAGGTGGAGAATTCAAAGCTTGGCCTACAGGGAAGCTCAGCTAGATCCAAGACAAGATTGAAAATCAACACAAACATAAAGCAATCAACAAAATAAGAAATAAACATCTTAAGAAGTAATTAATCAAAGCTACAGGAACTGAAAACCTCACTTAAGGAATTTTAAAATAAAATTGAAAGCTTCATCAACAGACTACACCAAGCAGAAGAATTTCAGAGCTTGAAGACTGGTCTTTCAACTAACCCAGTCAGACAAACACAAAGAAAAAAATGTAAGGAACAAAGTCCCCAAGAAATATGGGATGATGTAAAGTGATCAAATTTACAAATAACTGGCATTCCAGGGAGAGAAAGAGAAAAAGTAAGCAACCTGGAAACCATACTTGAGAGAATAATTTAAGAAAATTTCCCTAATTGTGCTAGAGAGGTAGCCATCCATATGTAAGAAATCCAGACAACACCTGCCAGATACTACATAAAATGAACACCACGAAGACATACAGTCACCAGCCTAAGGTCAACGCTAGAGAAAAAAGCTTAAAGGCAGCTAGAGGAAATGGCACATCAGGTACAAAGGGAATCTCGTCATCAGGCTAATAGCAGACTCCTCAGGAGAAACCCTACAAGCCAGAAAAGACTGGGGGCCTATTTTCATCATTCTTGAAGAGGAAACTCAAACCAAGAATTTCAAACCTGACCAAACTAAGCTTCATAAGAGTAGAATAAACATTTCTAGAGACAAGCAATCACTAAGGGATTTCATTACCAGTAGACCAGCCTTACAATAAATCCTTAATGGAGTTTTTGTGTGTGCGTGTGGCGGGGGGTTTGTTTGTTTGTTTTTCAGACATTTCACTCTTGTTGCCCAGGCTGGAGTGCAATGACACGATCTTGGCTCATGGTAACCTCTGCCTCCTGGGTTCAAGTGATTCTCCTGCCTCAGCCTCCGGAGTAGCTGGGATTACAGGCATGCACCACCATGCCTGGCTTTTTTTTTTTTTTTTTTTTAGTGGAGACAGGGTTTCTCCATGTTGGTCAGGCTGGTCTTGAACTCCTGACCTGAGGTGTCCACCCTCCTCAGCCTCCCAAAGTGCTGAGATTACAAGCATGAGCCACCTCACTTGGCCCCTTAACGGAGTTCTAAACATGAAGACGAAAGAATGATACCTGCTACCACAAAACAACCAAACCTAAGTACGCAGCCCACAGACCTTTTGAAGCAAAAACAAAATAGAAACTATAAAACAACCACCTAACAGCTTCATAATAGGATCAGATCCTCACATATCAATATTAGCCTTGAATGTAAATGGTCTTACCACCCCATTTAAAAGGGACAGAGTGGCAATCTGGATAAAAACGACAAGTACTATCCTTCTGAGACCTATCTCACACATATGAGACACCCATGGACTCAAAAAGTGGGAGAAAGAGCTATCATGCAAATGCAAAACAAAAAAGAGCACGGATCATTATTCTTTTGTTGGATAAAATAGACTTTAAACCAACAACAGGAAAAAAGGACAAAGAGCACTATATAATGATAAAGGGTTCAATCCAACAAGATGACTTAACCTTCAACATTGGAGCATTCGCATTCATAAAACAAGTACTTCTAGACCTACAAACAGACAGCCAAACAAGAATAGTGGCAGACTTCAACACCCCACTGGCAGTGTTAGATCACTGAGGCAGAAAACTAACAAATTCTGGACTTCAATTTGAAACTTCACCAATTGGACTTAATAGATATCCACAGAACATTCTACCCATCAACCACAAAATACATATTCTTCTCGTCTGCACACAGAACACTCAAAGACCACATTCTCAGCCATAAAGCAAGTCTCAATAAATTCATTCAAAATTTGAAAATCATACCAACCATACTCTCAGACCACAGTGAAATAGAAATAAAAATAAAGATCAATACCAAGATCTGTCAAAATCACACAATTACATGGAAATTGAACAACTTGCTTCTGAATGACTTTTGGGTAAACAGCTAAATTAAGGTGGAAATTTAAAAATTCTTTGAAATTAATGAAGGCAAAAAAACAAGATACCAAAATCTCTGGGATGCAGCTAAAGCAGGGTTAAGAGAAATGTTTAGAGTGCTAAAACACCTACAGCAAAAACTTAGAAAGTCAGCACCATATGAAGTGAAAAAAACAAAAAAGGAACATACCTCAAAATAATAGAGCCATCTATGACATAGCTGCAGCCAACATCATACTAAATGGGCAAAAGCTGGAAGCACCCCACTTAAGAACTGAAAAGGCTGGGCACAGTGGCTCATGCCTGTAATCCCAGCACTTTGGAAAGTCAAGGTGGGTGGATCACCTGAGGTGAGGAGTTCGAGACCATCCTGGCTAACATGGTGAAACCTCGTTTCTGCTCAAAGTCCAAAAATTAGCCAGGTGTGCCAGTCTGTGCCTGTAATCCCAGTTACTTGGGAGGCTGAGGCAGGAGAATCACTTGAACCCAGGAGGCGGAGGTTGCAGTGAGCCAAGATTGCGCCATTGCACTGCACTCCAGCTTGGACAACAAGAGCAAAACTCTGTCTCAAAAAAAAAAAAAAAAAAAAAAAACAACTGAAAAAAGGCCAGGCACGATGGCTTGTGCCCGTAATCCCAGCACTTTGGGACACTGAGGCAGCTGGATCATGAGGTCAGGAGTTCAAGACTAGCCTGGCCAAGATGGCGAAACCCTGTCTCTATTAAAAATACAAAAATTAGCTGGACGCAGTGGCAGGCGCCTGTAATCTCAACTACTCGGAAGGCTGAGGCAGGAGAATCATTTGAACCCGGGAGGCGGAGGTTGCAGTGAGCCGAGATCGCGCTATTGCACTCCAGCCTGGGTGATAGGGCAAGACTTTGTCTCAAAAAAAAAAACTGAAAAAAGAAAAGGATGCGCACTCTAACCACTGCTATTCAACATAGTACTAGGAGTCCCAGCCAGAACAATCAAAGAAATAAAAGGCACGCAAATAGGACTATTTGTCTTCACTGATGATATGAGTCTGTACATAGAAAACTCTATAAGACTCTGACAAAAGGCCCCTGGAGCTGATAAACAACTTCAGAATTTAGAAAACTCAATTCAGTTCTGGATACAAAATCAATGTATAAAAATCAGCATTTATTTGTTTGTTTATTTATTTTTAAAGATACAGTCTCGCTGTTGCCCAGGCTGGAGTGCAGTGGCACGATCTCGGCTCACTGCAACCTCTGCACATCAGCCTCCCGAGTATCTGGGATTACAGGCATGCAGCACCATATCCAGATAATTTTTATATTTTTAGTAGAGACAGGGTTTCACCATGTTGCCCAGGCTGGTCTTGAACCCCTGCCTCCAAGTGACCAGTCTGCCTCAGCCTCCCAAAGTGCTGGGATTACAGGCATGAGCCACCACACCAAATCACCATTTCTGTACACCAATAGTGTTCAAGCTGAGAGCCAAATCAAGATGCAATCTCATTTACAATAACCACAAAATAAAATACCTAGGAATACATCTAACCAAGGAGGTTAAAGTTTCTGCAAGAAGAACTACAAAACAACACTGCTGAAAAACAATGGAAAAACACCCCATGGTCATGGACAGGAAGAATCAGTATCATTAAAATGGCCATAGTGCCTAAAGCAATCTGCAGATTCAACACTATTCCTATCAAACTCTCAATGTCATTTTTCAAAGAATTAGAAAAAAAAACTATTCTAAAATTTATACAGAACTGAAAAAGAGCCCAAATAGCCAAAGCAATCCTATGCAAAAAGAACAAAACCAGAGACGTCACCCTACCTGATTCCAAACTACACTACAAGCCTACAGTAACCAAAATAGCATGGTACTGTTACAAAAACAGACACATACACCAATGGATCAAGGTTAAAAAATAAAAGAAGCCACATACCTACAACCATCTGATCTACAAAGTAGACAATAACAAGCAATAGAGAAAGAATTCCCAACTCAATAAATGGTACTGGGAATAACTGGCTAGCCATATGCAGAAGAATAAAACTGGATCCCTACCTTTCACCATATACAAAAATTCAGGATGGATTAAAGACTTAAATGTAAAACCTAAAACTGTAACAATCCTTGAAGAAAACTTAGGAAATACCATTCTGGGTATCAGCCTTAGCAAAGAATCTGTGAATAAGTCCCCAAAAGCAACTGCAATAAAAACAAAAATTGATAAGTAGGACCTAATTTAACTAAATAGCTTCTGTACAGCAAAAGAAACTATCAAGAGAGTTAGACAACCTACAAAAGAAAATATTTTCAAATTATGCATCTGACAAAGGTCTAATATCCAGAATCTATAAGAAACTTAATTCAACAAGCAAAAAACAAATCCCATTAAAAAATGGGCAAATGGTTTGGCGCAGTGTCTCACACCTGTAACCCCAGCACTTTGGGAGGTCAAGTAAGGAGGATAACTTGAGTTCAGGAGTTCGAGACCAGCCTGGCCAGCATGGTGAAACCCCCATCTCTACCAAAAATACAAAAATTAGCTGGGCATGGTGGCGAACATCTGTAATCCCAGCTACTCATGAGGCTGAGGCAGGAGAATCGCTTGAATCCAAGAGGCGGAGGTTGCAGTGAGCTGAGATTGTGCCACTGCGCTCCAGCCTGGGTGACACAGTGAGACTCCATGTAAGCCAAAAAAAAAAGTGGGGGGCAGGGCAAAAGAACATAAACAGGCAGTTCTCAAAAGAAGACATACATGCAGCCAATAAACATAGGAAAAAATGCTCATTACTAATCATTAGAGAAATGCAAATCAAAACCACAATGAGATACCATCTCAAACCAGTCATAATGGCTACTATTTAAAAGTCAAAAAACATGTTGGCCAGGATGCAGAGAAAAGGGAACATTTGTATACACTGTTGGTTGGAATGTACTGTGGAAAGGAGTGTGGAGACTTCTCAAAAGAACTTATAACAAAGCTACCACTCTAACCAGCAATGCCATTACCGGGTATATACCCAAAAGAAAATAGATTTTTCTATCAAATAGACACATACACTCATATATTCATCACAGCAATATTCACAATGGCAAAGACATGGAATCAACCTAAATGCCAATCAACAGTGGAATGGATAAAGAAAACGTAGTACATATACACCATGGAATACTACGCAGCCATAAAAAAGAACAAGATCATATCCACTGCAGCAACATGGTTGAAGTTGGAGGTGATCATCCTAAACAGATTAACACAGGAACAGAAACCTAAATACTACATGTTCTCATTTGTGAGAGCTAAGCGAGTAATCATGGATACAACGATGGGAACAATAGACACTGGAGACTACTGGGCGGGTAGGTGGGAGGCTGGGGGAAGAGGAGAGAGTTGAAAAACTACCTACAGGATACTATGCTTACCACTTGGGTGATGGATCATTCATATCACAAACCCCAGCAATACACAATTTACCCATGTTACAAACATGCACATGTATGCCCTGAACCTAAAGGTGAGAAAAAATAATGTACTACAATGGAAGCAAAAATTAAAAATAGAAACTAACAAAATAGAACACTATAGACTGAACTGTGTATACACTCTTCCCCGCACAATGTTCATATCTTCGAATCCCAACTCCTAAGGTGTTTATATTTGAATATGGGGGCTTCTAGAGGTAATTAGGGTTGGATGAGATCATGATGATGGGGCTCTCATGATAGTATTAGTACCTTATAAAGAAGAGACACAAGAGTGTTTGCTGTATCTGTCAGCCAAAGGTGAGCCAGCAGAATGAGAGATAATGAGAAAGCAGCACTCTACAAGCCAAGAAGATGCCCTCACCAAAAACCAACCATGTTGGCACCCTGAAGACATTTACAGCCTCCATAGCACTGAGAAAATTAATTTCTGTTGCTTAAGCCATCCTGTGATAATTTGTTATGTCAACACAACTTTTCTACAGAAATCAAACCAAAAATATACTAATCAAATCCATTTATTTTGAAAGGAATTAACAAAACTAAGTAAATTCTAGCAACATTAATGTTTTTCATAAAGGAGAAAAGGCACAAGGAAATGATATCAGGAATGAAAAGGGGTATGCAAAAGGTATGCAACAGCAAAAGGCACAAATACTTAAAATATCAGAAAATATAAACATTGAGTATAAATTTTAAAATACAAAACTACCTATAAAAACAACTCTTGCCAAAACAGACTTAAGATGAAATTGGAAAATAATAAATAAAAACTTTAAAAAGATGAAATTGGAAACCTTACTAGTGCCTACAAAATATAAAAATAATTGAGTCCATGCTTTGAATTCATTCCAAAACATGAAAATAAAATCCCATAACAATGGCAACAAATAATCCAGATTCAGCTGATTCTGCCAGTGAATTGTGACTGATAATACTTGTAATAAGAAAGTACTGTATGAGTTAAGGAAAGGAGAAAATACTCCAACCTTCATACAAAAAAACAGGCAATGATAGACTAAGAAAAGAATATTGCTTGGAACAGGCCCCAAGCCTGGACATAAACAGGCCATGAGAAACTGGCCATAAACAAGATCTCTGCAGCACTGTGACATGCTCGTGATGGCTATGATGCACACACTGGAGGTTGCTGGTTCACCAGAATAAGCTCAAGGAACACCTAGCCCACCCAGGGCGGAAAACTTCTCAAGGCATTCCTAAACCACAAACAATGGCATGAGCAATCTGTGCCTTAAGGACATGTTCCTGCTGCAGATAACAAGCAAGAGCCTGTCCCTTGGTTCTCCATAAATAATACATTCAGTTAATCTATAAACTGCAGAAACGATGTTTATCATGAGTTTACTGTCAATAAATAGTTGGGTCAAACTCTGTTTGAGACCGTCAGCTCTGAAGGTCTCATTGCACTTCTGATCCCACATTGCACTCTCTTTTTGTGTCTGTGTCTTTATTCCTCTAGCACCGCTGGGTTGAGGTCTCCATGACCAAGCTGGTCTCAGCAAGTGGCGCCCAAACATGGGGCTCGAACCCGGGTCGAAGGGTCGCCAGAGCGATGGTTGGAGAACATGGAACTACGCTGGAGCACACCTGAGTACTCTTAAGCAATCCCCATGGTAAGTAAGAAGGGGAGCTCGGAAGCATCAGGGTAACAATGGGACAAGGGTCAAGCAGGCACAAGGCTTATTTGAGTCTGCCTCGGCAGCTCCTCAGAAAAGGAGGAGTGAAAGTTAGCACTAGCTGACTTATGCAGCTTTTTAGTATGGTAGAGAAATATTGCCCCTGGTTTCCGACTGAGGAAATATGGATGTAGAGGTCTGGGAGGAGGTAGGCAGCGCACTGAAAAAGGCGTATAAGGATGGTGCTGAGGATATTCCTATAACTGTCTGGTCAGTGTGGGCTCTGATTCATTCCACCTTGGAAGCTTTTCACACTGATGATGAGGAGGAAGGAGACAAAGAAGAGAGGGAGTGTGATAATGTTGCAGAAGAGATAAAAGAACAGATCCGTCAACCACTTAAAGAGACCCAAGAAGGGGAAGCTTGTCCCTGCCCCTCAGCACCTCCTCAATACCTTGAAGATAGGGAATGGCCTGACCCTCTGGATCTTTCTTTTCTGGAGGACACTGAGCAAAAAGTAGTCTCCCCAGCAACTGTTCGAGCAGAGCCCCGAGTGACCGCCCTCAGTTCTATTCAGGCAGGAATTCAGCAAGCTAGAAGAGAGGGTAATTTAGAGGCTTGGAAGTTCCCTGTTAGGATACACCCCCCAGATCAACAGGGGAATGTTATGGCTACATTTGAGGCTTTTCCCTTTAAATTACTGAATGAGTTTAAACAGGCTATCAATCAGTATGGACCACGTTCTCCTTTCGTGATGGGTCTGTCAAAAAATGTTGCTACCTCCAGTCAGATGATTCCCATTGATGGGACACTCTTACTCGAGCCTGTCTGGCTCCTGCTCAGTTTTTACAGTTTAAGACCTGGTGGCCAGATGAAGCTTCTATTCAAGCTGCCTGCAGTGCACAAATTCAACCTCCAATTAATGTAACTACCGACCAACTTTTGAGAGTTGGTGGCTGGGCTGCATTAGACGCACAAGTGGTCATGCAGGATGATGTTATAGATCAGCTTAGAGGAGTGTGCATTAGAGCTTGGGAAAAAAATCTCTTCAGGTGGAGAACAATACCCTTATTTTAGTGCTGTTAAGCAGGGGCCAAAAGAACCCTATGCAGATTTTATAGCTTGGTTACAGGAGTCTCTTAAAAAGGTGATTGCAGATTCAACTGCTCAGGATATAGTGTTGCAGTTATTAGCTTTTGACAATGCTAATCCCAAGTGCCAGGCTGCTCTGTGACCTGTTAGAGGGAAAGCACATTTAGTTGATTATATCAAGGCCTGTGACAGTATTGGAGGTAATCTGCATAAAGCTACTCTGTTAATGCAAGCCATGGGAGGACTGAGAGTGGGTAAAGGAAATGCTCCATTTCCTGAAGCTTGTTTCAACTGCAGGAAACATGGGCATACGAGAGAGAATGTAGAAAAAATCAGAGGGTCCAACTACCCATTGATGGAAAAAAGAAAACTGCTGAACCAGGTCTATACCTGAAGTGTAAAAAAGGAAAGCACTGGGCCAATCAGTGTCATTCTAAATTTGATAAAGACGGAAACCCGATTTCGAGAAACGCCATGAGGGGCCAATCCTGAGCCACATTCCAAACCAGGGCATTCCTGGCTCAGACCACTCCCTCACCCCTGTATAATGCTTGTCCCCCGCCACAGCTGGTAGTGCCTCAGTAGATCTGTGTTGCACCAGGGCTGTGAGTCTCCTGCCTGGAAAGCCACTGCAGAAGGTACCAACAGGAGTCTGCGGACCTCTGCCAGCAGGAATGGTAGGACTACTTCTGGGAAGATCTAGTTTAAATTTAAAAGGAGTGCAGGTTCATACAGGAGTAATTGATTTGGATTGTAACGGGGAAATTCAAATCGTTATATCTACCTCTGTTCCTTAAAAGGCAGAACCGGGAGAGCGTATAGGGCAGCTTCTGATTTTACCGTATGTGGGACTAGGAAAAAGTGAAACTAAAAGAACAAGGGGATTTGGCAGTACAAATAAACAAGGGAGAGCCACCTACTGGGTAAATCAAATTACTGATAACCATCCTACCTGTGAAAAAACTATTCAGCGAAAGAAATTTAAAGGTTTGGTAGATACAGGAGTGGACATTTCAATCATATCTCTACATCACTGGCCGTCTGCATGGCCAATTCAGCCTGCTCAATTTAACATAGTTGGAGTTGATAAAGCCCCTGAAGTATATCAAAGTAGTTATACTTTGCATTGTAAAGGGCCCGATGGACAACCTGGGACTATTCAACCAATTATAACTTCTATACCTATAAATTTATGGGGGCTCTCCCCCCATACATTTATTACAACAATGGGGAGCACAAGTTCTAATTCCTGAGCAATTATACAGCCCTCAAAGTCAACATATGATGCATGAAATGGGGTATGTCCATGGTATGGAACTAGGAAAAAATTTGCAAGGTTTGAAGGAATCTCTTCAAGCGGAAAGACAAAGTTCCCGCCAAGACTTAGGATACCATTTTTGATGGTAAGCCTGCAGAGCCTATCCTGTTAAAATGGCTGACAGACAGGCCAATATGGATAGAACAGTGGCCGCTGAGTAAAGAGAAACTGGAGGCTTTAAATGAACTAGTCAAAGAACAGCTTCAAAAGGAACATATAGCTCAAACTCTCTCCCCTTGGAATTCCCCAGTTTTCGTAATTAAGACAAAACCAGGTAAATGGAGAATGTTAACTGACTTAAGGGCTATTAATTCAGCTATATAACCTATTGGGGCATTACAGCCAGGACTGCCTTCTCCTGCTATGATTCCAAAAAATTGGCCTTTAATAGCCATAGATTTAAAAGACTTGTTTCTTTACTATCCCCTTAGCTCAGCAGGACTGTGAACAGTTTGCAATTACGATTCCTGTGGTAAACAACTTGCAGGCTGCTAAGCGTTTTAATTGGAAAGTGTTGCACAAGGCATGTTAAACAGTCCAACAATTTGCCAGACTTATGTAGGGCAAGCAATTGAACCTACTCATAAAAGATTTTCACAGTGTTACATTATTCATCATATGGATGATATTCTTTGTGCTTCCCCCACTCCGGAAATATTACTCCAATGTTACGGTCACTTGGAGAATTCAATTTCTCATGCCAGTTTAATTATAGCTCCTGACGCAATTCAGACTACTACTCCTTACGTCTACTTGGGGGCCTTAGTAAATGTCACCACAATAATGCCACAGAAAGTAGCCATATGTAGGATCAATAGAAAACATTGAATCAGACTTTCAAAATTTACTAGGGTATATTAATTGGATACCGCCTGCTCTAGGCATTCTGACTTATGCCATGAGTACTCTGTTTTCTATCTTTAGAGGAGATCCTAGTGTCACAAGCCCTTGGCAATTAACAAAAGAAGCTGAGGCAGAGCTGCAGCTAATTGAAAAGCAAGTCCATAAGGCCCAAATAAATAGAATAGATCTAGAGAATACTCTAGATTTGCTCATTTTTCCAACTCAGCATTCACCTACTGGTGTTATTGTTCAAGAGCGAGATCTTGTGGCGTAGCTTTTCCTTCCATATACTAATTCACGGACTTTGACTCCTTATTTGGATCGAATTGCTACTATGATAGGAAATGGGAGAACTCGGATTGTTAAATTACACGGATATGATCCTGGAAAAATTATTATCCCTCTCACAAAGACACAAATACAGCAAGCTTTTATAAATAGTCTTACTTGTTAAACCCATTTAGCTGACTTTGTGGGTATTCTCAATAACCATTTTCCTAACATGAAACTGTTTCAATTTTTTGAAATTAACTAATTGGATTCTCCCTAAAATGACTAAATCAAACCAATTGAAGGTACTGAGAATGTCTTCGCAGATGGGTCTAGTAATGGTAAAGCCTCTTATTCTGGATTGAAAGGTAAAGTTTTTCAGACGCCCTATACTTCAGCTCAAAAAGCGGAGCTTGAGGCTGTAATTGAGGCATTGACTGCTTTTAATATGCCTATTAATATGATTTCTGATTCTTCATATGTGGTTCTACACAGTTAGTTGAAAATGCTCAGCTACAATTCCACACATAAGAGCAACTGATGACTTTATTTACCCAATTGCAAACAGCAGTTAGGAGTAGAATGCACCCTTTTTACATCACTCACATTAGGGCTCATACACCTCTTCCAGGACCTTTGACTGTAGGGAATCAAATGGCTGATCACCTAGTTGCTACTGCAATATCTAATGCTAGACAATTCCACAATTTAACACACGTTAATGTCTCTGGTCTCAGACACAGATACAGCATTACCTGGAAAGAAGCTAAAGCTATTAACCAGCGATGCCCAACTTGCCAAATGATTCCTTGAGGATTGGAACCTAATTCTCTTTGGCAAATGGATGTCACACATGTTCCCTCGTTTGGGAGACTAGCTTATGTACATGTATGTGTAGACACCTTTTCTCACTTTGTCTGGGCTACATGCCAATCAGGAGAGTCTTCTGCCTGTGTTAAACATCACCTTTTGCAGTGTTTTGTGGTGATGGGCATTCCAGCTTCTATTAAAACAGATAATGCCCCAAGCTATACTAGCCAAGCTCTAGCTACATTTTTCTCTATATGGAATATTGAAGACATTACTGGTATCCCATATAATTCTCAAGGACAAGCTATAGTGGAAAGAATGAATCTCTCCCTAAAACAGCAGTTGCAAAAACAGAAAGGGGGAGACAGTGACTATAGGACTCCACACATGCAACTAAATCTAGCATTATTAACTTTAAATTTTTTGAGCCTGCCTAAAGGCCGATTGTTATCAGCAGCTGAAAAACATTTACAGAAGACAGCTGCAAAGGCAGAAGTGGAACAATGGGTTTGGTGGAAAGGACCCAATAACAAAAGATTGGGAAACAGGTAAAATAATAACATGGGGCAGAGGTTATGCTTGTGTTTCTAAAGGACTGAATCAACAGCCAATTTGGGTGCCATTGAGACATCTAAAGCCCTACTATGTTGGGGTGATCAGACTGAACACTAGGCCATGGGGGCTACGAAGTATGGCAGAGTCAAAGGAATGAGACAAGTTAAGAGTTCATAGGGTGGGTCCAGGGGGCCAACACTAGTATGGAGGCTGCGAAGTCCCTGAGCTCTGGGAGCCCACACTATTTATTGGTGATCAAAGAAGCAGGTGGTGAGGACGTGTGGACATGGGGGTAGACAGGTGAGGATGTGGGGGTAGAAAGGTAGCTGTGATGGTTTAGCATATGCTCTGCTACTTGAGATAATGGAGAATAGGTTCTTCTAACTCAAGATACAATCAATTTATGAGCCACAAGGGGTTTTATGCCCTGGGCTTAGACTGTAGTGCAGCGGGGCAGCCTTCCATCCTTAGGCACAGAGCTTGGTGTTCCATAGGCCACAAGGGGTTTTAGACCCGGGACCCAGGACATGTTCCAAGACTCTTTTACATTATGTCAGACAAGCAGGCCCTGCCTCAGCCCTTCTACCGACACAGAAAGTGGAACAACGGGTTTGGTGGAAAGACCCGATAACAAAAGGTTGTGAAACAGGTAAAATAATAACATGGGGCAGAGGTTATGCTTGTGTTTCTCCAGGACAGAATCAACAGCCAATTTGGGTGCCATCGAGATATCTAAAGCCCTACTATGAGCCAGATAACGAGGAAGAGGTTTTGGGAGGATCCCAAACACCCACTGGTGGCAGCATTGTCCAAGTTGATGCTGAGGATGACCCCCAACTGTCACGAGCAACACTCATCGAAAGCAGCCACCTACCTGGGGACAGATCAAGAAGCTGTCACAGATGGTGGAAGAAAACCTGAGGAAAGCAGGACAAGCAGTCACAGTGAGTAATTTTATGACAGCGGTGATCACCATTGCCATGAGTATTCCTTCAGCAAGGACTGACAAAAAGAGCAATTATACTCATTGGGCATATTTACCTTTTCCACCACTTCTATGGCCTGTAACTTGGCTGGACCCCCCAGTGGAGGTATACACTAATAATAGCTCTTGGATGCCTGGTCCTACAGATGATAGAGGCCCATCTCACCCACACAGGGAAGGAACTGTTATGAGTATTTCTTTAGGATTTAAGCATCCGCCCATCTGTTTGGGAAAGGCCACTAGTTGCCCACCCCCTCAGTATCAATCTTGGCTGGCAATAATGCCTGGACGTAATCACTCTATGGCAGTTACACATGCTTTCTGGTGTCAGTATTTACCATAATGAATCTGCTCCTCTAATTGAGGCATACCGCCCTCAAAAACCTATTTGTAAACAGGATTGGACCCGGTCAGAAAAAATGAATGTACTCATTTGGGAAGATTGCATTGCAGGACAGGCAGAGGTGCTGCATGATTCCTATGGAATCATTATTGATTGGTCCCCTAAGGGGATGTTTAGCATGAATTGCACCTCTGTCTGCATGTGATGGCCACACTATGTTCAGCTGGTCTGAATAAAACGATCAGATGGTAAAAATGATAAGAAGTACCGCAAGAGTTCCTATTATCTGGAAACATGACGGTATAGTGGCACCTCAACCTCAAATGATATGGCCCGCTGTAGGAGCTAAACATAAGGATTTGTGGAAACTATTAATAGCTTTTGATAAGATCAAGATTTGGGAAGGAAAATATACTATGCCATCACAATATAATCCTAATTACATTTTAGAACTTGTTGAAAATAATACAATTTGGATACAAAGTTGTGTTCACCCTCCTTTTGTTGGTAATGGGCGATCTAAAGTTTGACACCCCTAATTATCATGTAACTTGCCAGGAAGGTAGATTGTCCTCTTGTGTGAACTCTTCCTTGTTTAATACTAATCATTCTATACTAGCAGTGAGAGCTCAAGAAGGAGTTGGTTACCGGCGAAGCTTTCCCATCCTTGGGAACCCTCTCCCTCTGTACATATTATTACTAAATTCTTCAGAAAATTCTAAGAAGTTCTCAGTGTTTCATTGCTACTTTAATCTTGATTATTATGGGACTGATTGCTGTCACAGCTACTGCTGCAGTAGCTGGAGTGGCACTACATTCATCAGTGCAGACAGCAGATTTTGTAAATAATGGCAAAAGAATTCTACTCTGCTGTGGAACTCTCAAACTAAAATAGACCAAAAGATAGTTAATCAAATCAATGATCTCCAACCAACTGTAATGTGGGTGGGAGATCAAGTAGCTAGTTTGGAATATGGAATGCAGCTGAAATGCGACTGGAATACTTCTGACTTTTGTATCACTCCTCACCCTTATAATGAATTAGACCATGAATGGGAAAGAATAAAAAAAAGTATCTGGAAGGACACTCTACAAACTTGTCTTCGGATGTTGCAAAATTAAGAGAACAAATATTTCAAGCATCCCAGGCACACCTGACCTTAATGCCAGGAACTGGAGTGCTTGAAGGAGTTGCAGATGGATTGGCAGCCATAAATCCTATGAAATGCATAAAAACACTTGGAGGCTCTGTGATTTCTATGATGGTTGTGCTATTAATCTGTGTTGTTTGTCTTTGTGTAGTCTGCAGATGCGGATCCTGACTCCTGCAAGAAGTAGCTCACTGTGATAAAGCCGCCTTTGCTTTTATTGCCCTGGTAAAACAAAAAGGGGGACATGCTGGGAATAGGCCCCAAGCCTGGCCATAAACAAGCCATAAGAAAAGTCATAAACAAGATCTCTGCAGCACTGTGACATGCTCGTGATGGTTATGATGCACACACTGGAGGTTGCTGGTTCACCAGAATGAGGGCAAGGAACACCTGGCCCACCCAGGGCGGAAAACTGCTCAAGGTGTTCCTAAACCACAAACAATGGCATAAGCAATCTGTGCCTTAATGACATGCTCCTGCTGCAGATAACAAGCCAGAGCCTGTCCCTTTGTTCTCCTTAAAGAATACTTTCAGTTAATCTACAAACTACAGAAACGATGTTTATCACAGGCTGTCAATAAATAGGTGGGTCAAACTCTGTTCGAGGCTCTCAGCTCTGAAGGCTGTTAGCCCCCTGATCCCACTTTGCACTCTATTTCTGTCTATGTCTTTATTCCTCTAGTGCTGCTGGATTGTGGTCTCCATGACCGACCTGGTCTTGGCAAATATTACATGCCAATGTTAATAATATTTTTAAAAAATCTTTACACTATAGGTATATAAAATATTCTAGCAAAAAAAAAAGTTAATCCATTATACTCAAACTGCATTTTTCTGGAATTACAAAGATAATATAACATTGGAATGTCAATCAGTTATCTTTCCACATTTTAAAAAAACTTTTATTTACTTACACATTTAAATATTAGGTATCTATCAAGGGCAAGTACAGTCAGTCCTAGGTACCTGAATTTTCTGAGTAAGGCAAGATCATCAAAGAGGAATCAGGGAAAAGCATTCAATAAATTCTTAAGCCATTCATGGGAAAGATTCCCTAAGCAATGAAAAGTAGAAAAAAACCTTGACCTTTTAAAAATCTACAGCAACCAATACAGTGATTAGTAATGATGGAAAACATCTGCCATTAGGATTAGAAATAAAAGTATGCTTGTTTTACTACTTCTAGTTATTATTCTAGTATTTTCTGCCTAGACAAGACATAAATGACTGAAGGTTACAAGTTAAGTCAGTTACAGATAATATGAAATGTGGAAAACCCAAAATACATAAAACTAGGATGTTAAAGAATGTTGAACAAGGCTTCTAGTAAAATTCAGTATACAAAGATCAAGTGATTTTATATAAACAATCAGAAATCAGCTTCTAAAAAAAATAAAAAAGGAAATCAGCTTCTGAAGCTAGGCAATTTCTAGGCTGTGAGACTAGGGTATCATTTCTTAGTGATACATCACTATTAGTCCAAGCACCAGGATGAGGCCAACCTACAGTATTGACCTCACCTGTGACCCACAAGTGCTCATACTCCAACAACTGTGAAAAAGTTTCAGGAATAACCTATAGGTTTTATTTGAGACAATCAGGATGGCATCTAAGGACAGTCTGTGAGGTGACAGAAGTCACACAAGGCAATTAAGACTAATCTGCGTCTTTTGTGTCACTGGTAACAGTTAAACGCAACAAAGATGGGTTAAAATAATCACACTCATACCACAAGAGAACCACTCTGAAACCCTTTCCTCTCCATAAGAAAACATGTAACATGAAAATGCATGGACCTCAATTCAGTTTTTTTGGTTTTGTTTTGTTTTTGAGACAAGGCCTCTGTCACCCAGGTTGGAGTCCAATGGCACGATCTGAGCTCACTGCAGCCATGACCTCCCTGGGGTCAGTGAGACACCTATCTCAGCCTCCTGAGTAGGTTGGACTACAGGCACGTGCCATCACACCAGGCTAATCTTTACATTTTTTGTAGAGATAGGGTTTTGCCATGTTGCCCGGGCTGGTCTTGAACTCCTGAGCCCAAGTGATCCGCCTGACTTGGCCTCCCGAAGTGCTGGGATTACAGGCATAAGCTATTACACCCAGCTGATTCAGGATTGGTAAACTTACCTGAAGCTTTGGATTACCATTACACTGGCTGGATTAAGAACCACAGAAAGAATCACCAAGAAACAACAGCCTTAATTGCTGTACATGATATAACAGAAATATTTAAATTTGTACCACTCAGACTGGAACCTGGTTATGCAGCTTGTGCGTGTGTGTGTATTCCAGGGCCATGTTCAGGAAGTGCTAGTGATGGTGTCAAGCACAGCAGAATATCATGATCATCCATGTTCACAGGAGTTTTTCTGTTTTCATAGCACATGGGCAAAATGAAACCCCAGAAATAGGTCATACTGCCAATCATAGCAGTTAACTGAGTCAGGCATATATGACTGCTTTGCCAAACAGTGGCATCAAAGACAACATTCGTGGTTCCCACCACCTCTCTGCACTGCCTGATAGTACAAGAGTTCCCACCTCTCCAGGTGAAGGGTTATGGGTGTCCCTCCACGGCCATGAAATCACGGTATCTTAAGTTACTATCTGTTAGTGCACCCTTTCTCCACTCAGACCCTTCTTCAACCCTGACCATTTATCTGAAAAGATCAGGTTTGAAAAGAGGAACAAGAGTATTTTTACATTTTAAAGCTGTATTATAACTTTTACCTTGGCCAGTGTGAGCCACTACAGGTGGACCATGTCTAAAAATATGACAAACCAAAAAGAGAATCTACACTGTTAAAACAGGATTGTCTGAATCCTGAAGGCCCACTTTAGGTCAGTTGTAACCCAGAGGATGTATAGCAACTAGAGTGGTGTTGCTATAGGAGAAAGACATACCATGCCAGGAATGAGCAGCGGGGTGTAAGAAACTTCCAAAATAGTTCTATAGAACCACCCAGAAAGCCAGGCTTTGACAGGTTTCAGAGAAGCAATCCTGATATTCCATACATGCCCAGTTTCTCATAAGTGTGAATGCCCCTCATATTCACTAAAGGACGAAGAATATAAAAAATTACTTTCCAACATTTATTACCTTCATGAAGTTTTTCTCCACTATAAAATTACAGGTAAACACCAAAGTATTTGGCAAGAATAAAACTTCTGAACATATCTTACATCAAACATCTTACATAAAAAGGGTTTATCTCCATTCCAAGAACCCAAGGAAACAGTGAAAGCTATTGATTTTTTTTTTTTTTTTTTTTGAGATGGAGTCTCGCTCAGTCGCCAGGCTGGAGTGCAGTGGCATGATCTTGGCTAACTGTAACCTCTGCCTCCCTGGTTGAAGCGACTCTCCTGCCTCAGGCTCTTGAGTAGCTGGGATTACAGGGGTGTACCACCATGCCCAGCTAATTTTTGTATTTTTAGTAGAGACAGGGTTTCACCATGTTGGCCTGGATGGCCTGGATAGTCTCGATCTCTTGACCTCGTGATCCACCTGCCTCAGCCTTCCAAAGTGCTGAGATTATAGGCATGAGCCACTGCGCCTGGCCAGCTCTCTATGTTTCTAACATTGTACAGCTTCAGGATGAACTCTTACACAGTGTATTGTCAGCAGATTCCAACGGTTCTCCCACATGCCTTTAACTTTATGGAGCATCATCAGAGTGTAAGTTCTTTCCTATCTTTGAAGTGAACAGGGACAAATGAGCACTTTGACACAGTGCTTACATTGTTTTCTCACCAGTGTGAATTACAATGTGACTATTAAGGCATATGGACTTCCAAAAGGATTTTCCTCATTCCTTACATAAAATGGGTTTCTTGGCCAGGCGCGATGGCTCACACCTGTAATTCTACCACTTTGGGAGGCCAAGGCGGGCAGATTACCTGAGGTCAGGACTTCAAGACCAGCTTGGCCAAAATGTTGAAACCCCGTCTCTACTAAAAATACAAAAAATCAGCCAGGTGCAGTGGTGTGTGCCTATAATCCCAGCTACTCGGGAGGCTGAGGCAGGAGAATCGCTTGAACCCAGGAGGCGGAGGTTGCAGTGAGCCGAGATCATGCTACTGCACTCCAGCCTGGGCTACAGAGTGGGACTTCATCTCAAAAACAAACAAACAAAAAAACATGGTTTCTCTCCATGGTGTTTCTACACGTTCAGTAAGATGAGAAGAATGCCAGGTGCAGTGGCACACACCTGTAATCCCAGCATTTTGGGAGGTGGAAGCACATGATCACATGAGGTCAGGAGTTTGAGACTAGCTTGGCCAACATGGTGAAATTCTGTCTCTACCAAAAATATAAAAAATTAGCCAGGTGTGGTGGTGCATGCCTGTAATCCCAGCTACTCAGGAGACTAAAGCAGGAGAATTGCTTGAACTTGGGAGGCAGAGGTTGCAGTGAGCCAAGATCATGCCACTGCACTCCAGCCTAGGTGACAGAGTGAGACTCATCAAAAAAAAAAAAAGAGAGAGAGAAGAACTAGTGTTTTCCTACATCCCTTACATTTACAGGGTTTCTCTACAGTGTGAGTTTGTACATATCTAGAAAGATTCAACTGTTCAGGCTTTCTCACATTCCTTACATTGATAGTGTTACTTTCTCCTGTGAATTTTTACATGTTCAGTTAGGCTTGAGGAAACAGCAAAGGTTTTTCCACATTCTTCACATCCACAGGGCTTCTCTCTAGTGTGTTTTCAAATGTGCAATACGAGCTGAGAAAGAAGCAAAGGCTTTCCCACACTGGTCACATTCAAAGGGTTTCTCTCCCATATGAGTTCTTAAATGTTGAATACGTCCTGAGGATGTACGGAAGGCCTTCCCACATTCCTTACATTTATAGGGCTTCTCTCCAGTGTGAATTCGCACATGATTAGTAAGATCTGAATGACAAGTGAAGGCTTTCCCACAGTCCTTACATTTATAGGGTTTTATTTTGGTGAGAGTTTTTAAGCGATCATGAAAGCACATGGAATTTCGAAAGGAATTTCCACATGCGTTACATTCAGAGGTCTTCTCTGCTGCATGAGTTTTTAAGTGTTGAGTTAGTACACAAGACCTACTGTAAGCTTTTTCACATGCATTACATTTATAGGGTTTATATCCAGTGTGAGTTCTTAAATGATCAACTAGACTGGAGGAGACAACAAAGGCTTTCCCACAGTCCTTATATTCATAGGGCTTATCTCCAGTGTGTCTTCGTAAATGTTTAGTAAGATCTGAGCGTTCTGTGAAGGCTTTTCCACATTTCTTACATTCATATGGCTTCTCTCCACTGTGTCTTCGTAAATGTTTAGTAAGGTATGAGCGCTCAGTGAAGGCTTTCCCACATTTCATACATTCATAGGGTTTCTCTCCAGCGTGTGTTCGTAAATGTTTGGTAAGATATGAGCACTTAGTGAAAGCTTTACCACATTTCTTACATTGATAGAGTCTCTCTTCTGTGTGAGTTCGCATGTGAATACGAAGACAGGCAGAAGAGGTAAATGGTTTCCCACATTTGTAACACTTAAAGGGCTTCTCACCAGTGTGAGTTCTCAAATGAGCAAAAAGAGATGAGAAAGAAACAAAGACTTTCCCACACTGGTCACAATCAAAGCGTTTCTGTCCTGTGTTACTTCTTCTATCTTCAATAACACCTGAGGATGTACCAAAGGCCTTCCCATATTCCTTATGCTCATATGGCTTCTCTCCATTATGAACTCTCAAATGTCCAAAAAGAGATGGGTAAGAAATAAAGGCTTTCCCACAGTGGTCACATTTAAAGGTTTTCTCTCTGGCGTGACATCTTATATGTTCAATAAGGCCTGCAGATGTACCAAAGGCTTTACCACATTCCTTACACCCATAGGGCTTCTCTCCAGTGTGAGTTCGTACATGTTCAAGAAAGCCTGACGGCACAGTGAAGGTTTTGCCACAGTGCTTACATTTATAAGGTTTTATCCCAATGTGGGTTTGCATGTGATTATTAAGGTGGGTAGGGTATCTAAAATCTTTTCCACATTCCTTACATTCATAGGGGTTTTTAATAATGTGTGTTTCAACATTTACAGCATGGCTTGTGGAGTGAGTAAATGCTTCCCCACATTGCTTCCATTCATTGAGTTTTTCTCCACTCTGAGTTTTCCTGTGTGCTTCAAGGTATGACTGATAAATGAAGGCTTTCCCATAGTCAGTGCCTTCAAAGGATTTATCTTGTGTACACTTTCTCTGGACCTGAACATTTAAAATCAGGCGGAAAGATTTTCCATGCTTACTGAACACAGAAACTTTCCTTATGGTAGAGGTTTTATTGTATAGAGAAAGGAGGTCTTTTGCATACTGAATACATTCAGACGTGTTGCCTCTATTTTGAGTACTCATGTTGGTCTTAAGGCATGGATGTTTACAGAAGACATCTTCACATTGCTTACAGTCATAGAGTTCCTCTCCATTTTGGTTTCTTGCCTGTTAACACAGGAATGAACAATAAAGGAAGCATTTTAGCAGACTTATTAATAGATACCACTCTTCTAAGAAACATGATAATTATTATTTTTGCCACTTTTATAACATGCATATAGTTTCTACCTTTTGGATTTCCTTCAACTTGAATAATGGAACCCTACTGTAAGAATCCTATGTCATCTGCTCTAATCTTGGCAAGATTCCTGTAGCTTTTCATGAAGTTATTTTAAAAACTCAAATGTCTAGTTATACATGTTGGAATGAACATTCATGGGAAGTCTTAAGTACCAAGCTTCACACAAGGTATGGGATCTCTCTCCAGATATTTCTCCCCTTGGGTGAATTGGGTGAATGCCACTTCTCTCAAATATCTATCATTTCTGCTGATTTCTTTTTTTTTTTTTTTTTTTTGAGATGGGGTTACGCTCTGTTGCCCAGGCTGTAGTGTGCAGTGGCACGATCTCAGCTCACTGCAACCTCCACCTCCTGGGTTCAAACAATTCTTCTGCCTCAGCCTCACAAGTAGCTGGGACTACAGGTACACACCACTATGCCCAGCTAATTTTTGTATTTTTAGTAGAGATGGGGTTTCACCATATTGGCCAGGCTGGTCTCGAACTCCTGACCTCATGATCCGCCTGCCTCAGCCTCCCAAAGTGCTGGGATTAGAGGCATGAGCCACCGTGCCTGGCCATTTCTGCTGATTTCTATAATGCAATACCAGTCTTCTCTGAATGTGAAAAATAAGAAAGTTCTTTTGTTAATCTTACCAACTGTATCCCATTTAATGTTTTTAAACAAAAATTATCTTGCCAAAGGGCTGGCCCTTTGGTTTTCAGGCACATTTTCCATTCTGAAATAAAAGAGAAAAATATACATGAGAGTTTACACATGAAATGGTAGGTTAAATAAAAAGCAGATAGATTTGAACAATTTATATATGTCTAAAATTTGGCAATCATATGGGGTCAAGTTTTAGTAATTTTTAAAACAACTTATTCTATGAAAATTAAACATGATGGTTAACAGAAGCAATACTACCAGGGAAGGAAAAGTCGGAAAAATTGGAACAAAAGCATACAATAAATCCATAAACATAAAGAAGGTCATTTGTTAGGTAATAGGGAAGTCTGGATAGATGCAAAGCAATGGAGGATGAAAAGTTAAGATATCCCAAAACATCCAAGTCCAGTGGACAGCCTTCTGATTCAAAGGGCATCTTATAAAACTTCATTGTGCTTCCAAACGTACTGAGAACTTCTCATGGACCAGGGTTGTTCTTCACAAACACTCACCTTGGAGAACTCTTGGCAGTGTGCTCAACTCTTCCTCTTCCTCCAGCCAAGAGATCAGACTGGGTTTGAAGAGCTGGTAACCTGTACACAGGGAAAGATACACCAATGGAAGAGGCTCATGCAAGAAATGGCAAACTTTTCCATGAAACAGGGACTACGTTTCTAATTAAAGCAGTGAAAAGCACTTAAATTGCATATATCCCATCTTTCTGTTCTCTGAAGACACTGGTTATCTCTGACCTCTGAAATTCACATTCAAGCTTAACTCATTTCCTGTTTGCCCCAAGAAACAAGCACTAGCAGTGAGCTGCACTTTTTCTTTCTAAATGGCAAATGTTAAATACAAATTCTAAAAACCACTAAAACCTTTATTAAAATAGAAACTAATGGAAGCTCAAAGAGAGATCTTGATTCTCCTGGGAAAACTCCCATTCCAGTAGTTCTGAACTTTAGAGTGAATTACTCATCTGAATACAGGGCCCCAACAGCAGACTTTTTGATTTAGTACATCGAGTCTGAGAATGTACACATATCTAAGACAGTGATGGTGATGCTACTGACGCAAACTACCATACAAGATTAAAACCCATTAGTACAGGAACTGTCTCTGTTATTTCCTATTTTACTCATTAAAAAAAATTTTTTTTCAGTGTGTATATATCCCACTGTATTCAGATTTGACATCACTAATCCTAGAATACAGTAAGTACATAATTTGTATCTTGTTCCAGAATAGGCTACAAGGGATGATGCCAGACTTACCTACTGAGGACAGGTTCTTGTAGTTCTCCAGCATCACATCACTGTACAGGTTTCTCTGAGCTGGGTCCAGTAAAGTCCACTCTTCCTGGGTGAACTCCACAGCCACACTGTCAAAGGTTACCAGGTCCTAAACCATCAGACACATGCTGATTTGAGCCAAGCAACATCTCCACCAATGTTGGCTGAAGAATGAGGAAGGGGGACCCAATCCCTGTACAGGGTACTGAGTGCTCCCACTATCTACACCCCAAGGTTCAGTGGCCCTAGGAACTCTTCTATCCACATTCACTCACTGTCAATTTCCTCCAATAACATGGCTGTAACAGAACCTCTTACACAGAAACTTATCAACCACAACTAGACCGGGAGCTCATCTCATTTGATTCCTCTCTACTGCAAAACACTCCTGAGCACATAACAAATACTTGATAAATGAGGATATGGATAAATTCCTTAAGAAAAGAACACTTTCATACCCCTTACCATCTGTCCTAGCACCCAGAAAAATAAATATGCAGTTGGCACCAGGAAAATGAACACTAATTCATAAATACAAAAATACTGAGATAATTTCCAGGGTAATTCCTCACCAATATGAGAGGTATGACTTTCTGGGAAAAATTCAACTAGGGTCTATATTTGCTTTAAGGAAGAATACAGACAGGAGTACCTACAAGAAAATGAGTCTTTGTTGATATCATTACTCCAATTTTAGAAGGATACAACTTTCACACTAAGTTTAGATCTCCCCAAATTCATCATTATCAGAGCATCTCTCCAGAGACATTGCTCCCTCTTGAGTGAATGCTATTCCTCTCAATTATCTTTTGTGCTTATTTTCTATATTGGAAGTCCCAATATTCTCTGAGTGTGAAAAATAAGAAATACCCTTTCTTAACATTACCATTTGTATCCCATTAGAAGTTTGTATTTTCCAAAACTCCTGCTGCAGTGCTGAAACACTGGTTTGATGTTTTATTGCCCAGTCTGAAACAAAAACATAAACTGAGGTTTTTTTTTTTTTTAAAAAAAAAGGTAAAATGAAAGAGTTAAAAATTATAGGCCTCATTCATATTTGTTTTTAAAATAAACATAAGAAAAAAGAAAGCTAAATTGAACATTTAGACTGTGTCAAAAAATTGGCAATAATGAGATTAAAGGGTCAAAATTTTAGCTAATTTGCTACAAATTGACTCATTTAGATTTAAAACTAATGTTAAACAGAAAGAATGTTATCAGAAAAGTAGGAAAGATCTGGGCCAAAGCCATATTTCAAAGCAAAGAACTTGAAAAACAAAATATATAGTTTCATAAGATCATAGAAAGTTGGAGTAGATGGAAATTTAAAGAGTATCAAAAATTGAATATTTTCTAACTTCTGAGATAAATGGCCTTAACCTTGTGAGAGAAGGTGCATCTTAAAAAGTTCCCTCAGAGGGCTGGGTGTGGTGGCTTACGCCTGTAATCCCAGCACTTTGGGAGGCTGAGGTGGGCGGATCACAAGGTTAGGAGATGAAGACCATCCTGGCTAACACGGTGGAACACCATCTCTACTAAAAATACAAAAAATTAGCCGGGCATGTTGGCAGGCACCTGTAGTCCCAGCTACTCGGGAGGCTGAGGCAGGAGAATGGCATGAACCTGGGAGGCATAGGTTGCGGTGAGCCAAGATCGTGCCACTGCACTCCAGCCTGGGGGACAGAGTGAGACTCCGTCTCAAAAAAAAAAAAAAAAGTTCCCTCATTATGTTTCTGATGGTTTGGATGTTAGTTCCCTCCAAATCTCATATGGAAATGCAACGCCAAATACTGGAGGTGGGGCCTGGTGGGAGATGTTTGGATCATGGGGGTGGGTCCTTCATGAATGGCTTAGTGACATACTCGGAGTAATAAGTGAGTTCTTGTTCTGAATTCATGTGAGACCTGGTAGTTTAAAACAGGAGTCTCCAACTCCGGAGCCATGGACCAGAACCAGGCCACAGCACAGGAGGTGAGTGGCAGGAGAGCAAGTGAAGCTTCATTTGTATTTATAGCTGCTCTCCATCCTAATTGCCTCCTGAGCTCCGCCTCTTGTCAGATCAGCGGCAGCACTTGATTCTCATAAAAGAGCAAAATCTATCATGAACTGTGCATGCGAAGGATTTAGTTTGCGCGCTCCTTTTGAGAATCTAATGCCTGATGATCTGTCACTGTCTCCCATCACCCCCAGATCCCCAAATGGGACCATCTGGTTACAGGAAAACAACCTCAGGGTTCCCATTGATTCTACATTATGGTAGAATTGTATAATTATTTCATTACAGTAGAGTTATGGTAGAGTTGTATAATTATTTCCTTATATATTACAATGTAATAATAGTAGAAATAAAGTGCACAATAAATGTAATGCACCTGAATCATCCTGAAACAATATCCCTGAGACCTGGTCTGTGGAAAAATTGTCTTCCATGAAACTGGTCCCTGATGCCAAAAAGGCTGGGGACTGCTGGTTTAAAACACTATGACACCACCCCCAACTTCTCTTTTACTCCCTTTCTCATCATGTAATTTGTCTGCTCCTCCTTTGCCTTCTGCCATGATTGTAAGGTTTCTGAGGCTCTCACCTGAAGCAGATGTCAGAACCATGCTTTCTGTAGAGCCTGCAGAATCGTGAGCCAAAATAAACCTATTTTCTTAATAAATCACCCAGTCTCAGGTATTTCTTTCTTGCAACACAAGAACAGACTAACACAGCTTCTAAACATACTGAACTTCTCACTGACCAAGGTTGTTCTTCACAAATACTCACCTTGGAGAACTCCTTGCTGCAAGGTTCTCAACTCTTCTTCTTCCAACCAAGAGATGACACTGGGTTTAAAGAGCTGAAATCCTTTACATGAAGAAATGATACATTAATGGAAGAGGCTCAGGCCAGGCACAGTGGCTCATGCCTGTAATCCCAGCACTTTGGGAGGCTGAAGTGGGTGGATTACCTGAAGTCAGGAGTTCAAGATCAGCCTAAGATGGTGAAACCCCCGTCTCTACTAAAAATACAAAAATTAGCTGGGTGTGATGGCGTGTGCCTATAATCCCAGCTACTTGGGGGGCTGAGACAGAAGAATTGCTTGAACCCAGGAGGCAGAGGTTGCAGTGAGCCGAGATCATGCCACTGCACTCCATCCTGGACAACAAGAGCAAAATTCCATCTCAAAAAAAAAAAAATAATGGAAGAGGCTCATGCAAGAGATGATAAACTTTACATTATAGAACTATAGTTCTTAGAGAAAGCAGTGAAATTATTTCAAATGGACTAAAACTGAAAATATCTCTTATTTCTGTGCACCCCAAAATTGGCTCTCTGACCTCTGAAATGCAAATTCATGCTTATGTGCACATTTACAAAGCAATAACCTTTTAGTCACAGAAATAAGGTATGTTGTCAAACTCCTGAATGAAGAAAAAAAAGAAAAAAAGTGAAACAAAGAGACCCTTGTATACTTGGAGAATACAACTACACCAGTGATTCTTAATATTATAGTGCATCAAATTGATGTGGAAGGATAGTTAACACACAGATGACAATCCAAGTGGAGAGTTTCTGATTCAGTAGGTCAAAGGCAGAGACTAAGACTGTACATTTCTAAGGGAGTAACAGTGATGCTGTCGAAACTGGACCACACTTTGAAAACGACCACAGTAATTAAGACCTATTATGGCAGGGACAACGTCTCTGGTGAATTCAGTGTTGAACAAACCAATTCTGGAACACAGCAAGTACACAATGTATATCTCTTCCCTAAGAGGCTGCATAAAATGATGGCAGTCTTACCTACTTTGGCCACGTTCTCATAATTCTCCAGCATCACATCTCTGTATAAGTTTCTCTGAACTGGGTCCAGTAAAATCCACTCCTCCTGGGTGAAGTCCACAGCTGTATCCTCAAAGGTCACGGAGTACTAAACCATCACATACATGTTGATTTGAGCCAAGTAACAGATTAACCAGTGTTCACTGAAGAATCAGTTAACAGACCCCAATGCCTATAAAGAGTTGTGAGGTCTCTCATTATCTACCCAAAGCTTAATAATCCCAGGTAAATCTCAGGTATTCCTCTCTCTATCCTTGCTCTTTCACTACTTAACAATTCCAGTTGTATGGCTTTAATGGCACATCTCAATCATGAACTTCTCATCACAAGCAGACTGTGAGTGCTTTCTCAACTTATTTCCCTCTACTAAAAGATATCCCAGAGTACACTGCATCATATACTTGATAAACAGCGATGAATGATTAGCCTTTTTTTTTGGGAAGCAGGGTCTTGCTCTGTCACGTAGGCTGGACTGCAGTGGTGTGATCATGGCTCACTGCAGCCTTGACTTACTGGGCTCAAGTGATCGTCCTGCCTCAGCCTCCTGAGTAGCTAGGACTACAGCCATGCACCACCATGCCTGGCATTTTTTTTTTTTTTTTTTTTTTTTGTGGAGACAATGTCTCAGTATGTTGCCCAGGCTGGTCTCAAATTCCTAAGATCAAGCGATAATGCCACTCACTTCTCAGCCTCCCAAAGTGCTGAGATTACAAGTGTGAGCCACTGCACCTGGCCAGGATTAGCCTTTGAGTAAAGGATGCTTTCATCTTCCTTTCCATCTGCCAGACCACTCAGCAAAATAAGAAATATATATCTGGCACCATAAGGGACAAAATTAATTAACAATTACTGAAATGCTGAAATGCTTTTCAAGGATTATCAGTATGAGAACCTCCACTCCCTGGGGAAATTCAACAAGTGACTCAGTGCTTGAGTGAGTCTTTATTTACTTAAAGAAGCTCTGGAGACACATCTGCCTAGAAGGAAATGTGTTTACCTGGTGATGCAAGTATGTCATTTTGTGGAAGTATACATTTTCTGCATACCTGATAACAATTTGTCAGGCAGTAAGCCATCTTCCTTTCTGCCTCTGTCTTTTCTTCATGAAGGCAGATTGGGTTCCTAGAAAGACCTGGAAAAGAAAGAAGGCATAAGAGCCCAGACATAATCACAGTTCCAACATTCGCATGCATGGAAGTTATTCCAACCTGGTTCGAAATTCTCTTATAATTCATATAAACTCACATAAATATACATTACATCCATAAAATGCCACTGCACTTCTGTCTAACCTAGAGCAAGAAAAAGGAATTGTGGGCCAAGCTGTCGTAAGTAAAAGTATAATATCCTCATTGCACAGGTAAAGAAACTTTTTTTTTTTTTTTTGGAGATGGAGTTTCACTCTGTTGCCCAGGCTGGAGTGCAGTGGCACGATCTCGGCTCACTGCAAGCTCTGCCTCCTGGGTTCACGCCATTCTCCTGCCTCAGCCTCCTAAGTAGCTGGGACTACAGGCACCTGCCACCACGCCCGGCTAATTTTTTGTAGTTTTAGTAGAGATGGGGTTTCACCGTGTTACCCAGGATGTTCTCCATCTCCTGACCTCATGATCCGCCCAACTTGGCCTCCCAAAGTGCTGGGATTACAGGCATGAGCCACTGCACCTAGCCAGGTAAAGAAACTTAAGACCTGAGGAATGTAAGTCTTTTTGTGCCCATGGTGATATAACTCACAAATGAGATTATGCAGCACCTCTTCTCAAAGAACACACTTAAGGGGGCTAACTTACACAACAGGCCTCTCTGGCACACTTCAACAACTCAGAAAGGAACTACTAGTGTGAATACTAAGGCCTAGAGCCCTGGACTATATATTCTGCATGGGGTACTGATATGGTGTGGCTCTGTGTCCCCACCCAAATCTCATCTTGAATTGTGATAATCCCCACATGTCAAGGGCAGAACCAGATGGAGGTGATTGGATCATGGGGGCAGCTTCCCCCATGCTGTTTTCGTGATAATGAGTGAGTCTCACAAGATCTGATGGTGGGTTTTTTTTTGTTTGTTTTTGTTTTTGAAACAGAGTCTTGCTCTGTCACCCAGGCTGGAGTGCAATGGCGAGATCTTGGCTCACTGCAACCTCTGCCTCCCGGGTTCAAGCAATTCTCTTGCCTCAGCCTCCTGAGTAGCTGGGATTACAGGCACGTGCCACCAGACCTGGCTAACTTTTGTATTTTTAGTAGAGACAGGGTTCCACCAGTTGGTCAGGCTGGTCTCGAACTCCTGACCTTGTGATCCACCTGCCTTGGCCTCCCAAAGTGCTGGGATTACAGATGTGAGCCACCGCGCCCGGCCAATCTGATGGTTTTATAAGTATGTGGCATTTCCCCGGCTTGCACCCAATCTCTCTCCTGCCACCCTGTGAAGAGGTGTCTTCTGCCATTGATGCCACCCTGTGAAGAGGTGCCTTCTGCCATTGATGTTAAGTTTCCTGAGGCCTCCCCAGTCATGTGGAACTGTGAGTTAATTAAACCTCTTTTCTTTATAATTATCCAGTCTTATGTATTTTTTCATAGCAGTGAGAACAGACTAATATGGTTACCTAAAGCAGATTTTTGGAAAAACTTACCATAGGGCAAATCCTGTGAGGCTGACAGTGAAATATGTCTGGACACAGTTTTTTGTGATTCCAAGGACATATCAGGGTAGCTTATAAATCTAAGTGGATAACTGGCAATCTATTCCTCTTTATATAGAGTATCTGGACTCATGTAGACATCAATCATTAATCAACAAGCGTTACTTATCAGTCATCAAATACCATATATTAAATCTTTACTGCTGGTGATATGTGTAAAACCCACTAGAAATAGTATATGTTCTGTATAAAATGAGTATTAATAACACCAACTGCCATTTACTAGGGACTGTTATATGTTAGACATTACATATATATACACATACATATGTGCATATACATATATACATATATATATGCTCACTTATCTGAACAATATCCCTATTTAGTGCTGAAAAAAATCTAAATTCAGAAAACACAAATGACTCTTCTAATATCATCTACTTAGGAAGCGGTGAACCAGGACTTGAATGCAGTCAAGTTTGTCCCTAAGTCTAATCCTCTGTGGTTGTTATTACTCCCCCATAATGACTGCCATATAAAGGACTCTGGGAATTGATACCTGGCTTACTTAAAATGTGCTATTCTACTTTTGACTATAAAGAATTAGAACAAGAATGTCATCCTTTACAAACAAGTCAGAACTCATTTCCAACTCTGGTTGCTTCAACAGGGTTCCAAGTAGAACACTGAAGTTAGCGTTCAGAGTTCTGCCCATTGCTCCTGCAAGAGGACAAAAAACATGCAGAGCAGCAATCGCAAATCAGACTCTGCCCCTTATATTGACTATTTGATGGGTCTTCTCAGAAAATCACCTTTTATTATTATTCATGAGTTCTCTTTTTCCTAAAATTTCTGCTTGTATTTTTATCCCTTCCTTCCTTTATGGTTCTTACAAATCAAATGAAAAACGCAATTGAGATCATCAACAGTAGAGAAGGAAAAGAAAAAAATCTTTGAACTTGAAAACAGACTACTTAGAAATACACAAAGGAGAAAAAACAAAAATGAAGAAAAATTACAAGATTCAAGGGACATCATCAAAAGAGCAAATTTTTGAGTTACAGGAGTACAAGAAGACAAGAAAGAAAGAGAACACATACTTAAAGAAACAATAACAACATTTCCACACTGAGGAAAATATATAAATATCCATACTCAGGAAGGGCAAACATCTCCAATCACATTCAATCCAAACAAGGCTACCCTAAGATATAATATAATCAAACAGTCAAAAATGAAAAGCAAAGTGAAGATCTTGGAAGCAGCATGAAAAAAGATGCAAATCACATATGAACGAGTTCCAATAAGGTTATGAGCAGACCTGTCACCAAAGACCTTACAGGCCAGGAGAGAATGGGATGACATATATAAACTGCTGTCAGGAAAAACAAACAAACAAAAAAACTGCTCACAAAGAATACCATACCCAGCAAAGCTGTCCTTCAGGAATGAAAAAGAGATGAAGATTTTCAAAGAAAAACAAAAGCAGAGGTAGTTCATCGACACCAGACCTAATAAGAAATGCTAAAGGGAGTTCTCAAGCTTAAAAAAAGGACACTAATTAGTAACAAGAAAACAAAGCACAAAACTCAGGTAAAAATAAGCACGTAGCTAATTCAGAATACTCAAACACTGTAATGGTGGTTTATAAATGAATTATATCCTTACGATGAAGGTTAAGAGATAAAAGTATTAGGAACAGTAAGAGCTAAAATAATTAAGGGATATACAATATAAAAATATGTAAATTACAATATCAGAAAAATAAAATGAGGAGAGGTTGAGTTAAAGTATAGTTATTTTATGTGATCACAGTTATCGGCTTAAAATATCCTGCTATAAGATGTTTCATATAAGTCTTATGGTAACCACAAAGCAAAAATGTATAGCCAACACACAAAAGATAAAAAGTAAAGAATCAAAAGTACACTAGAGAAAATTATTAATCACAAAAATAGACAAAGGAAGAAACAAAGAATATAAAAAAAAACCCCACAAAACTTAACGAGCCAGGTGCAGTGCCTCATGCCACTAATCCCTGCACTTTGGGAGGTGGAGGCAGGTGGATCACTTGAGGCCAGAAGTTCAAGACTAGCCATGGCCAACATGGCGAAACCTTGCCTCTACTAAAAATACAAAAATTAGCCAGGCATGGTGACGGGCACCTGTAATCCCAGCTATTCAGGAGGCTGAGGCAGGAGAATCACTTGAATGGGCAGGAGAATCGCTTGAACCCAGCAGATGAAGATTGCAGTGAGCCAAGATCATGCCACTATACTCCAGCCTGGGATTTTTTTTTTCCAAAATGGAAAAAAAAAAAGAAAGAAAACTATTAACAAAATGGCAGTAGTAAGTACCTACCTACAATGATTACTCTGAATGCACACACACTAAATTCTCCAATTCAAAGACAGAATGGCCAAGTGGATTAAAAAAACAAACAAAGACACAAATGATCATGTTGTTTACAAGAGACTCACTTCATCCTTAAGGACATACATAAATTAAAAACAAAAGGGCAGGGGAAAAAACACTCCACACAGATAGAAACCAAAAGACAGCTAAGTTAAGTATTACTTATATCAGACAAAGTGAACTTTAAGTCAAAAACCGTAACAGGACACAAAGGTCGTTATATGATAATAAAGGAATCTACCAATCAATAAGATAGAATAATTATAAATATACAATTGGCCATCTGAATTCATGAGTACCACATCTCCACTTATTAGGGTAGATTCAACCTGCCATGGATTGAAAATATCCAGAAAAAAAAAATGCATGGGTCCAACTTTATTATATATGTGCACATATTTTCCCTGCTCATTATTCCCCAAATAATACAGCAAAACAACTATTTACATAGCATTTACTTTAAGTTTTACAGTAATCTAAAGATATTTTAAAGTACATGAGAGGATGTGCATGATTTTCAAACAAATACAACATCATTTTATAAGAGACTTGAACATGCCTAAATTTTGGTATCCACAGGTGGGGGAGGGGTTATAGGAAGGGGGGTTATCCTGAAACAAATCCCCCACAGATTCCAAAGGATGACTACATATGCCAACAACAACAGAGCACGTAAACATATAAAGCAAATTAATAATAGATCTGAAGACAGAGATAGATTGCAATAAAATAATGGGAGACTTTAATACCCTACTTTGAACAACGGACAGATCATTCAGACAGAAAATCAATAAAGAAACATGAGACTAGAACTACACTTTAGACCAAAACAATCTAACAACATACACAGAACATTCCATCCAACAGCAGCAAAATACACATTCTTCTCAAGTGCACACAGAACATTATCCAAGATAGATCATATGTTAGGTCACAAAACAACAACAACAACAACAAAGCAAGTCTTAACAAATTTAAGAAGCTTAAAATCATATCAAACATCTTTTCTGACTACAGCTGTAAGAAAATAGAAATCAACAATAGGAAGAAAATTAGAAAATTCACAAATAGGTGGAAATGAAGTAACACACACCTGAACAAGCAAAGGATTTAAAGAGGGCAGTTAATAGCAATAAATGCCTATATGAAAAAAGAAAATCACAAGTAAACACCCTAACACTGCACCTTGAGGACTTAGAAGAACAACAAGAACTAAGCTGAAAGTTAGTAGAAGGAAGGAAATAATAAAGACCAGAACTGAAATAAATGAAACTAAAAAAAAATCACAAAAGATAAAGGAAACTAAAAGTTTTCTGAAAAGATGAACAAACCTTTAGATAGATCAAGGGGTGAAGAGAAAAAAAAAAAGCCGGGCACAGTGGTTCACAACTGTAATTGCAGCACTTTGGGAGGCTGAGTTAAAAGGATCAACTGAGCCCAGGAGTTCAAGGCCAGCCTGAGCAACATAGCAAGGTCCTCATCTGTACAAAAAAATGCTTTCAAAAATAGCTGGGACTGGGCATGGTGGCTCACACCTGTAATCTCAGCATTTTGGGAGGCCAAGGTGGGAAGATTGCTTGAGCTCAGGAATTCGAGACCAGCCTAGGCAACACAGTAAAACCCTCTCTACAAAAAATACAAAAATTAGTTGGGTGTGGTGGTGCACGCCTGTAGTCCCAGCTATTCAGGAGGCTGAGGTAGGAGGATAGCTTGAGCCCAGGAGAGAGAGGCTGCAGTGAGCTGAGATCATGCCACTGCATTCCACCTGGGCAATACAGGCAGAGATTATCTGAAAAAAAAAAAAAAAAAGGCCTCAGAAATAACACCACACATCTACACCATGTGATCTTTGACAAACCAGACAAAAACAAGAAATGGGAAAAGGATTCCCTATTTAATAAATGGTGCTGGGAAAACTGGCTAGCCATATGTAGAAAGCTGAAACTGTATCCCTTCCCTATACCTTATACAAAAATTAATTCAAGATGGATTAAAGACTTAAATGTTAGACCTAAAACCATAAAAACCCTAGAAGAAAACCTAGGCAATGCCATTCAGGACATAGGCATGGGCAAGGACTTCATGTCTAAAACACCAAAAGCAATGGCAACAAAAGCCAAAATTGACAAATGGGATCTAATTAAACTAAACAGCTTCTGCACAGCAAAAGAAACTGCCATCAGAGTGAACAGGCAACCTACAGAATGGGAGAAAATTTTTGTAATCTACAAATCTGACAAAGGGCTAATATCCAGAATCTACAAAGAACTTAAACAAATTTACAAGAAAAAAATCAAACCACCCCATAAAAAAGTGGGCAAAGGACATGAACAGACACTTTTCAAAAGAAGATATGTATGCAGCCAACAGACACATGAAAAAATGCTCATCATCACTGGTCATCAAAGAAATGCAAATCAAAACCACAATAAGATACCATCTCAAACCAGTTAGAATGGCGATCATTAAAAAGTCAGGAAACAACAGGTGCTGGAGAGGATGTGGAGAAATAGGAATGCTTCTACACTGTTGGTGGGAGTGTAAACTAGTTCAACCATTGTGGAAGACAGTGTGGCAATTCCTCAAGGATCTAGAACTAGAAATACCATTTGGCCCAGCCATCCCATTACTGGGTATATACCCAAAGGATAATAAATCATGCTACTATAAAGACACATGCACATGTATGTTTATTGCGGCACTATTCACAATAGCAAACACTTGGAACCAACCCAAATGTCAATCAATGATAGACTGGATTAAGAAAATGTGGCACATATACACAATGGAATACTATGCAGCCATAAAAAAGGATGAGTTCATGTCCTTTGTAGGGACATGCATGAAGCTGGAAACCATCATTCTCAGCAAACTCTCACAAGGACAAAAAACCAAACACAGCATGTTCTCACTCATAGGTGAGAATTGAACAATGAGAACACTTGGACACAGGGTGGGGAATATCACACACCAGGGCCTGTTGTGGGGTGGGGGTATGGGGGAGGGATAGCATTAGGAGAAATACCTAATGTAAATGGCGAGTTAATGGGTGCAGCAAACCAACATGGCACATGTATATATATGTAACAAACCTGCACATTGTACGCATGTACCTTAGAACTTAAAGTATAATAAAAATAAGGAAGGGAGGGGGGAAGGGGGAGAAGGAAGGAAGGAAGGAAGGAAGGAAGAAAGGAAGGAAGCCAGGCATGGTAGCACAAACCTGTAGTCCTAGCTACTCAGGAGGATCACTTGAGACCAGGAAGTCAAGGCTGCATTGAGCCATGACTGCAGCACTGCACTCCAGCACAGGCAAGAGCAAGACCCTTTCTCAAAAAGAAAAGACCTCCCCCTCCCCCTCCCCCTCCCTCTCCCCACGGTCTCCCTCTCCCTCTCTTTCCACGGTCTCCCTCTGATGCCGAGCCGAAGCTGGACTGTACTGCCACCATCTCTGCTCACTGCAACCTCCCTGCCTGATTCTCCTGCCTCAGCCTGCCGAGTGCCTGCAATTGCAGGCGTGCGCCACCATGCCTGACTGGTTTTCGTATTTTTTTGGTGGAGACGGGGTTTTGCTGTGTTGGCCGGGCTGGTCTCCAGCTCCTAACCAGGAGTGACCTGCCAGCCTCGGCCTCCCGAGGTGCCGGGATTGCAGATGGAGTCTCGTTCACTCAGTGCTCAATGTTGCTCAGGCTGGAGTGCAGTGGCGTGATCTTGGCTCGCTACAACCTCCACCTCCCAGCCGCCTGCCTTGGCCTCCCAAAGTGCCGAGATTGCAGCCTCTGCCCGGCCGCCACCCCGTCTGGGAAGTGAGGAGCGTCTCTGCCTGGCCACCCATCGTCTGGGATGTGAGGAGCCCCTCTGCCTGGCTGCCCAGTCTGGGAAGTGAGGAGTGCCTCTTCCCGGCCGCCATCCCGTCTAGGAAGAGAGGAGCGTCTCTGCCCGGCTGCCCACCATCTGAGATGTGGGGAGCACCTCTGCCCCGCCGCCCCGTCTGGGATGTGAGGAGCGCCTCTGCCCGGCCGCGACCCCATCTGGGAGGTGAGGAGCATCTCTGCCCAGCCGCCCCGTCTGAGAAGTGAGGAGCCCCTCCGCCCAGCAGCCGCCCCGTCTGAGAAGTGAGGAGCCCCTCCGCCTGGCAGCCACCCCATCTGGGAAGTGAGGAGCGTCTCCGCCTGGCAGCTGCCCTGTCCAGGAGGTGGGGGGTCAGCCCCCGCCCGGCCAGCCGCCCCGTCCGGGAGGGGGGTGGGGGGTCAGCCCCCGCCCGGCCAGCCGCCCCGTCCGGGAGGGGGGTGGGGGGTCAGCCCCCGCCCGGCCAGCCGCCCCGTCTGGGAGGGAGGTGGGGGCCAGCCCCCCGCCGGCCAGCCGCCCCGTCAGGGAGGGAGGTGGGGGGCGCCTCCGCCCGGCCGCCGCCCCGTCTGGGAGGTGGGGGGCGCCTCTGCCCGGCTGCCCCTTCTGGGAAGTGAGGAGCCCCTCTGCCCGGCCGCCACCCCATCTGGGAGGTGTACCCAACAGCTCATTGAGAACGGGCCATGATGACGATGGCGGTTTTGTCGAATAGAAAAGGGGGAAATGTGGGGGAAAGATAGAGAAATCAGATTGTTGCTGTGTCTGTGTAGAAAGAAGTAGACATAGGAGACTCCATTTTGTTCTGTAGTAAGAAAAATTCTTCTGCCTTGGGTTGCTGTTGATCTGTGACCTTACCCCCAACCCGGTGCTCTCTGAAACATGTGCTGTGTCCACTCAGGGTTAAATGGATTAAGGGTGGTGCAAGATGTGCTTTGTTAAACAGATGCTTGAAGGCAGCATGCTCGTTAAGAGTCATCACCACTCCCTAATCTCAAGTACCCAGAGACACAAACACTGTGGAAGGCCCCAGGGTCCTCTGCCTAGGAAAACCAGAGACCTTTGTTCACTTGCTTATCTGCTGACCTTCCCTCCACTATTGTCCTATGATCCTGCCAAATCCCCCTCTGTGAGAAACACCCAAGAATGATCAATTAAAAAAAAAAAAAAGAAACAGAAGAACTGCTGAAAGCCATTGCACTAGAGCCGCACTACCCAATATGGCAGCCACTAGACATGTGTGGCTACTGAGCACTTGAAATGACCTGTGTCTGAATTGAAGTGTGCTCTAAATGTGAAGTGCACACCAGATTTTAAAGGCTTAGTATAAAAGAAGCATAACATATCTCATTAATAATTGTTTTCTGGCAGAGTATGGTGGCTCACACCTGTAATTCCGGCACTTTGGGAGGCTGAGGCAGGCAGATGACTTGAGGTCAGGAGTTTGAGACTATCCTGGCGAACATGGTGAAACCCTGTCTCTACCGAAAATACAAAAAAAAAAAAAAAAAAATTAGCCAGGCGTCACAGCGCGCGCTACTTGGGAGGCTGAGGCAGGAGAATTGCTTGAACCGCAGAGGCGGAGGCTGCAGTGAGCTGAGATCGCACCACTGCACTCCAGCCTGGGCGACAGAGCAAGACTCCATCTCAAAAAATAAGTAAATAAGTAAATAAATAAATAAAATTAAGCCTTTAAAAAATAAAAAAAAGAAAAAAAAAGAAAAGAAAAAATTAAAAAGAACACTCAAATAAAATCAGATATGAGAGAGGAAACATTAGAACTGTTAACTACAGAAATACAAAGGATCATAAAAGACTACTTGGAAAAATTACATGCCAACAAACTGGATAACCTAGCAGAGATGTACAAATTTCTAGACACACACAACCTACCAAACACTAAATACTAAAAAGGAGAAAATCTGAACAGACCAATAATGAAGAAGGAGACCAAATCACTAACTAAAAATCTCCCATCAAACACACACCTAGGACTTGACTGCTTCATGGCTGAATTATATAAGACATCTAAGAATATCTAAACCAATCCTTCTGAAATTATTCCAAAAAACTGAAGAAGGATGCTACAAAGAGAAACTTACAGGCCAATATCCCTAAGTATACAGATGCAAAAATCCTCAACAAAATACTAGCAAGCTGAATTCAACAGCACATTAAAATTATCATTCATAATGATCAAGTAGGATTTATCCCTGGAATGCACGGATGGTTCAACATATGCAAATCAATGTGATTAGAACCACATTAACAGAATTAAGTATAAGAATCATATGATCTTGTCAACAGATGCAGAAAAAGGATGAGATCACACCACTGCACTCCAGCCTGGACGACAGAGCAAGACTACATCTCAAGAAAAAAAAAAAAAAAGTGCTGAAGAACATTAACCAAAAGATTTTTTTTTTTTTTGAGACAGAGTCTCGCTCTGTCACCCAGGCTGGAGTGCAATGGTGTGATCTCAGCTCACTGCAACCTCCACCTCCTGGGTTCAATTGATTCTCATGCCTCAGCCTCCCTAGTAGCTGGGATGACAGGCGTGCACTGCCACACCCAGCTAATTTTGTATTTTTAGTAGAGACAGGGTTTGGCCACACTGGTCTTGAACTCCTGGCCTCAAGTGATCCTCCCGCTTCTATCTCCCAAAGTACTGGGATTACAGGCATGAGCCACCATGCCCAGCCCCAAAAGATTTGTAACCTCAAATAAGTTGAGAAACATGCTCAAGTATCTTAGGGGAAGAGGGATCAAGTACTCCTTCCATTCATCTTTTTAAAAAACATTGAGCTACCATTCTCCATGAAAGGCATCTGCCATAACCCATGGAGCTGGCAGGGGCAGGGAGCATCAGCACCAAACCAGAATAGCATCGCAACATAGGAGGCACCTAGCAAGGTGTAGCTGGTGCAAATATACAAAAGAGGAGCCCAATTCTATTGCCAGGGTCCCTTCTTCAAATCACAGTCACTTGTATGTGCATTAAGAAATGCCCAATTCACATGAACACATGACTCCAGATCCTGGAGAAGAACAGGATAATTACCCCTCTTCCTGGGATCATGGCTGGTAAGCAGTATCCTGGGGTGCATTATGGGGACTAGCACAGGGTCCAAACTTTATGACAAAGACTCTTGGCCAACACTCGGAAGGGACAACACAAAGCATGACACAGCAATACACATAAACTCCAACAAGACAGGCAGCCTTCCCAAATGGTACAGGGTGGAAAGTAAAAAAGTTCCTCTTCAAAGTTTCCCTTCTTGTTAAAGAATAAATCATAAGTGTTAGAAATAATATTTTCTTTTAGGCTGGGCACGGTGGCTTACACCTGTAATCCCAGCACTTTTGGAGGCTGAGGCAGGTGGATCACCTGAGGTTAGGAGTTTGAAACCAGCCTGGCCAACATGGCAAAACCCTGTCTCTAGCAAATAGACAAAAATGAGCCAAGCGTGGTGGCAGGTGCCTGTAATCTCAGACACTTGGGAGACTGAGGCAGGAGAATCACTTGAACCCAGGAGGTGGAGGTTGCAGTGAGCCAAGATCATGCCACTGCACTCTAGCCTGGGTAACAAGAGTGAGACTCTGTCTCAAAAAAAAAAGAAGAAAAGAAAAAAAAAAGAAATAATAGTTTCTTTTAAAGACTAACTTCCTTCAAGCCTCCTTGCTTTGTGCTAATAACTCTTTGTTAAGCCCTATCCTATGTAGCTGTTAGATATAAGGGAATGAGTACATTCTATGTCCTTGTACTTTAACCAAGATATTTATTCTAGACATGCTCAGCCATGTCCCAGCTCACAGCTTATGCCCCTTCCTTATTTGGAAATGTTATTACTTCTCTAAGTCTTTTCGTAAGCAACTTCCTCTTTTCCTTTGTTTTCCCTTGTCTTTACCTATTTAGGAAAGTTTTAAGTTATTGGCCAGTCAGGTTTAGCTTAGATTGTGTGGTCCACCTCCAGCCAATGAAGACAGGACACAGCAGCAGGGACAAGCTCCATAAGGGATAAAAATTGCTTCCCTCCTTTGTTCATGTGTCATCTCGTCATTGTTCCATCTGCGAGGACCACCCTTTCTGCAGAAAGTAAAATTGCCTTGCTGAGAAAATTCTTTGTCTGAGTACTAGTTCTTCTCAGCACAGAGGAACAAGCATTTCTAAAGGAATAAGCATTTTACTTATATGGCCAATCAGCAAGCCACAAAAGGACAAAGGGCACTTACAAGAGACTTTCCACCCCAGTTCAAAGTGATCTTCACCCTTTTTACCAACTGTGTTGTAAATGGGGCACTAAGTCACTTTTGTGGGATGTTTCAGGATCCCTCCAACACACTCTTGCAATTACACTTTGAGAGGCTCATGATATTAGATTTATTATACTCATAGATCCTAGAAAGGGAGGCATGCCATGCCATGCAGGGGTCCATGCTGGAGGAGGACCAAAGCAGGAGGCTCTGACAAGCATGTAGGGAGCTAAGAGAGAAGCCTCCCTTGAGGGCAACTGCCTTTACTGGGGCTTGGGGTATAGTACTAAAGCAAAAGGCATTAGATTTCATTGGTGCATTTGAATGTTACTAGGTCATGGTCAGGGGAGGGCCAACAGAAGAACTTGTAGCATAAGTACCTTATCATCCTTGTACATCTGGTCACTTGAGCAGGGAGCTCACAGCCTGTTTGTTAGAATGCTGAGGCATCAAGAAAATATGAATTTTTTAAAATGTACAATGTATTCAGGGAAGAATGACAATATGGAACCTGGAACGAAGACATCTGGTTGGATCCAGATAAGAAACATGATCTTAAACCCCACTATGATTTGGATGTGGTCTGTCCCCATCACAACTCCTGTTGAGGCTTGGTCCTCAATATCACAGCACTGGAAGGAGGGGCCTAATGAGATGTTTGGGTCATGGGGGTAGATCTCACATAAATAGATTAATGCTACCAGGCAGAAGTGAATTTTAGCTCACACAGGACTGAATTAGTTCCCACAGGAGCTAACTGTTATAAAGCAAGGCTGCTGTTTGTGTTTGGTCCCTTTTGCACAAGCCTGCTTCCTCTTCTGCCTCTCTACCATGTTTTGCCGCAACACGTGAGCCTCATCAGAAGTAGAGCAGATGCTGGGGCCATGCTCTTAGACTTTCCAACCAGCAGAATCCTGAGCCAAAGAAACCTCTTTTCTTTATAAATTACTCAGGTATTATGTCATAGCAATAATAAAGAGACTAACACAACCTAAGACACTTTGAGCCTCCCTTACCAGGGACGTAGCTTACCCTTTGGTTTCTGAGGAGAAAGCCTTCTGCTTGAAATTTTTGTGACAATCTCATTTGGTCCAGATACCTTGGAAGGTAATATATATTCTCCTCAAGATCCACACCATTATCACTTATTTTTATCACTAGAGTCCTAACTAGTCCAAAATCCAGGGAGAAAGATATACAACATAATGCAAGAGAAAAAAGCTCACACAACAAAAAAATTCCAACTCTGATAATATATCACAAGAAACCCAGGGAACATGTATGGGATGGATTCTAAGGGTATTAGATCAAGAAGGTTAAAATGTTAACATTAGATAGGCCCAAATTCATTGATATGGAGCACTGATATGGTTTGGATCTGTGTCCCCACCAAATCTCATGTGGAACTGTAGTCCCCAGTGTTGGAGGTGAGGTCTGGTGGGAGATGATTGGATCATGGGGGCAGATTTCTCATGAATGGTTTAGCACCATCTCCTTTGATACTGTCCTCATGATCTGGTCATTTAAAAGTGTACAGCACCTCCCCCTCATTCTCCCTTGCTCCTGGCTCCTGCCATATAAGATGTACCTACTCCTGCTTCACCTTCTGCCATGACTGGAAGCTTCCAGAGGCCTCCCCAGAGGCAGAAGTCACTATGCTTCCTGTACAGCCTGCAGAACTGTGAGCCAATTAAACTTTTTTTATTCTGCAATTTAAAACTTTTAATTAAAAAATAAACTTTAATGTTGAAAATGCAAACTTGGAGAGGGCAGAAAGATCACACACAAGGCTGTCACTTCACACTTGGAGGTTTGCACAGTGGCTCGACAGAGGTGCTCCTCACTTCCCAGACAGTGGGGCGGCCAGGCAGAGGCGCTCCTCGCTTCCCAGACAGTGCGGCGGCCGGTTAGAGGCACTCCTCACTTCCTAGACACTGCAGTGGCCAGACAGAGTCGCTCCTCACTTCCCAGACAGGGTGGTGGCCAGGCAGAGGTGCTCCTCACTTCCCAGACGGTGTGGTGGCTGAGCAGAGGCGCTCCTCACTTCCCAGACGGTAGGCAGCTGAGCAGAGATGCTCCTCACTTTCCAGACAGTGGGGCTGCCGGGCAGAGGTGCTCATCACTTGTCAGACAGGGCGGTGGCCAGGCAGAGGTGCTCTTCACTTCCCAGACAGTTGGGTGGCCGGGAACTTCTTTATAAATTACCCAGTCTCATGTATTTTTTTTTTTTTGAGACATGTCACCCAGGCTGGAGTGCAGTGGCGTGACCTCGGCTCACCGCAAGCTCCGCCTCCTAGGTTCACACCATTCTCCTGCCTCAGCCTTCTGAGTAGCTGGGACTACAGGCAGCTGCCACCACGCCCAGCTAATTTTTTTGTATTTTCAGTAGAGACAGGGTTTCACTGTGTTAGCCAGGATGGTCTCAATCTCCTGACCTCATGATCCGCCCACCTCAGCCTCCCAAAGTGCTGGGATTACAGGTGTGAGCCACTGCACCCGGCCAGTCTCTTGTATTTCTTTATAGCAATGTGAGAATAGCCTAATACAGGTACTTACTAGACATTTTGAATTTTACATATTAGCTAATGGACCATGGCATGATTCTAATAGCTAAACTGGTTGGATGATTGAAACTTGTACTCATGACCTAGTTAACAGAGTTAATATGTAAGAGCTTCCCTGGCTAATGTAAAGGAGGGAATCCTAGACACACAGGAAGGTTGCACTGAATTTATCACATGTGATCTGCACAGCTTCCCTTCTTCAACCTACATTAAGGGCCCAGAAGACACCCTCTTCACAAAGGCATTCAGAAATAGATAACTGAAGGGAATACTTCCATTCTTGAAAAGTTCTGTTTATTCTCCTTTAAACATTTGTTAAGACTACAGGAGATAACAATCATTAAGATGAGTTCCCTGTTTCAATGGGGATGATGAGAACCTTGAGTGCCAAAAACCAAGTGGGTAGCACTTAACTATCAAAGACAATGAGGCCACATCGAATGTCAAGGGCACACTGAATGTACCAATAATTGGAATGCTTTGGCCTGCAGAGATTATTGGTGTTAGCAAACTGATCACATTTCGTCACTAGCATGAAACAGATAAGAACCCTACTATAACAGGGATTAATAAATCTTGTTGTAATGTGACATATAGTAAATGTTATACTCTGTGGGCCACACAGTCTCTGTTACAAATACTCAACTCTGTCCTTGTAGTATGAAAGAAGCCTCAGAAAATATATAAACAAATGAACATAGTTGTTCTGTTCCAATTATAATTTACAAAAACAGGTTGAAGATTAGGTGTGTCCCATAAGCCACAGTTTGCCAATGTAAGTCTTGGAATATTGCTTGATCTATGTAACAAGAAGTCTCAAGTCTAATGGCCAAAAACCTGATAAGAGTCACCACAGGGGAGATTCAAAGTCTCTCACCCAATCACCAGACCTAGGTAACACACCACTCAGGATTGTGCAGAAGTCACATCGACTTTGGAGAATTACGGGGGACTATCATAACTTATATCAATTCTCCTGTTTTCCACCGAAATAGTCTTCAGAGGTTTTGCTATTACACAAAACATTGCAACACTCCATCACATTGAAAATATTTTGTACATGATATCCCATGAACAGGAAACAGTAAATAGTTTGGATACCTTTACAGGCTACAAAGTAGAGGATGGGAGATTCAAGAGCCAGCTAAATAAACAAAGTTGGTTTTGTTTTGTTTTTTTGAGACAGGGTCTTGCTCTGTTGCCCAGGCTGGAGTGCAGTGGTGTGATCACGGCTCACCACAACCTCCACCTTCTAGGCTCAAGTGATCCTCCCACCTCAGCCTCCCAAGCATCTGGGACGACAGGTGCACATTACTACACCAGGTAATTTTTTTTCTTTTAATCTTTTTTGGTATAGATGGGATCTCACTATGTTGGCCAGGCTGGTCTCGAACTCCTGGCCTCAAGCAATCTGCCTGCCTTGGCCTCCCAAAGTGTTAGAGTTACAGGCCTGAGCCACCATGCCCCATCCAATCAACAAAGATTTGTGGGTTCAGTTGTCTAGACCATATCAAGATATCCCCTCCAAGGTGTCATTCCTAGTTAGTGCTCCCCAAAATTAGGTGCAACACTTGGCAGACCTATAAGATTCTTGGCCAGGCATGGTGGCTCACACCTGTAATCCCAGCACTTTGGGAGGCTGAGGCTGGCAGATCATGAGGTCAGGAGATTGAGACTATCCTGGCTAACATGGTGAAACCCCATCTCTACTAAAAATACAAAAAATTAGCTGGGTGTGGTGGCACGCGTCTGTAGTCCCAGCTACTCAGGAGGCTGAGACAGGAGAATCGCTTGGACCTGGGAGGCAGAGGTTGCAGTGAGCCGAGATCCTGCCACTGCACTCCAGCCTGGGCGACAGAGCGAGACTCCGTCTCAAAAAAAAAAAAAAAAAAAACAGGGATAAAGGCTACTATGGCTCAACAGTATGGACTTCCATTTACCAAAGCTAATGCAGCTAATGCTACTGCTAGGTGCCTAATCTGCTAAAAGCAAAAACCAAAACTGAATATATAAGGGCATTAATTTCTTTTTTCTTTTCTTTTGGGGGGGGGACAGGTCTCACTCTGTCACCCAGGCTGGAGTGCAGTGGCATGATCACAGCTCACTGCAGCCTCAATCTCCTGGGCTCAAGCAATCTTTCTGCCTCATGCTCCTGAGTAGCTAGGACTACAGGCATGTATCATCAAGCCTGGCTAATCTGGGTGGTTTTCGTAGGGGGGTTGATTTTTTGTTTTCATAGAGATGGGGTTTCACCATGTTGCCCAGGTTAGTCTTGAACCAAGGGCATTAATTTCTAGAGTAACCAGGGGAGCCAGCTGGTGGCAAGATGATTACATTGGACCACTCCTATCATGAAGGTGACTAAGATTCATCTTCACTGGAATAGACTCGTGTTCTGGATATGGATTTGCCAGAAGCCTAACTAGTAGAGAGGCAAATCCATATAGGATTTGTATAGAGGCAGATTTGTACAGAGGAGAGGCAAATCCACTAGGCTTTTGCCTATACAATGCATAATCCATGCACTCACAAAATGCTTTCACTGCAGTCACAGCATTCACACAATACCATCTTTCATCAAGGAACCCATTTCACTGCAAAGGAAGTGCAACAGTGGGAACATGTCCCTCTCATCAGCTGGTCTCATCACACACCCCATCACTCAGAAGCAGCTAGTCTAAATGAAAGGTGAAATAGCTTACTGAAAATTCAGATACAGGGCCAACTGGGAGACAACCTCTGAAAGAATGGGATTCTGTTTCACAAGACACAGTGTATGCTCTGAATCAGAGATCACTAGATACTACTATCTCACCACAGTCAGAACAAACAGGCCCAGGAATTGATGGGTGAAGGCAGAATTAGCTCTAAGACAAAAATTTTGCTTCCAATCCCAGCAATGTAGAGCACTGTAATTTGGAGATCTGAGTCCATAATGGGGAATGCTTCCCCAGGGGCAACTATTTATTTGGTCCCAATACACTGGAAAGTGAGATTAACATCTGGCCCTTATAAGTTTCATATCCATTAAACCAAGAAGAAAAAGAAAAATAAGGAGGTGAGAGGGTATAATCTATTAACTGAAGGGATTAATCTCAACTACCAAAGGGAAACTGGGGTACTACTATACAACTGAGGCAAAAAGAATGATGTCTAGAACCTCCTAGCACTTCCATACCACTTAGAAAGGTTAACAAAAAATTACCGTAGAAAAAAGGCAGGAAAATGGAGGACCAAGATCCCTTCAGAAGGAAGGTTTGAGTCACTCCATCAGGTACAGAGCCCAGAGCTGCTGATTCTGGCTGAGGGCAAGGAAAATACAAAAAATGTTCATCGAAAAAGTAAAACCATGGATAGCAACTATAACTTCAAGATCAATGACAGAAACAACAACTGCAGTAGTCTGGCAGGTTTTCTGTTTTTGCTTTTTTGAGACGGAATCTCACTCTGTTGCCCAGGCAGGAGTGCAGTTGTGCCATCTCAGCTCACTGCAACCTCCACCTCCCAGATTCAAGCCATTCTCCTGCCTCAGCCTCCCAAGTAGCTGGGATTACAGGCGCCCGCCACGCCCAACTAATTTTTGTATTTTCAGTAGAGACAGGGGTTCACCATGTTGGCCAGGCTGGTCTCAAACTCCTGACGTCAAGTGATCCACCCGCCTCCCAAAGTGCCGGGATTACAGGTGTTAGCCACCACACCCAGCCCCAGGTTTTCTCTTTGATTGTTACGTATACATGTTAGTTTCTAAGCATGTATTTACATAAACCAATCATTCACTTCTGTCTCTTTTCTATTTCTATTTTGTATATAAGTTACTAGAGGTTAAATTTTTAATTTAGTCTTCAGGTAACAGAATATTCAAGGAGAATATGACTAAATTTCAGTAGAAATTAACATGGCTTCAGGCATGGTGGCTCACACCTGTAATCCCAGCACTTTGGAAGGCCGAGGTGGGCACATCACCTGAGGTCAGGAGTTCCAGACCAGCCTGGCCAACATGGTGAAACACTGTCTCTACTAAAAATACAAAAATTAGCTGGGCGTGGTGGTGTGCACCTGTAATCCCAGCTACTTGGAAGCTGAGGCAGGAGAATCACTTGAACCTGGGAGGCGGAGGTTGCAGAGAGCTGAGATCACACCACCACTCCCAGCCTGGGCGAAAGAGTGAGACTCCATCTCAAAAAAAAAAAAAAAAAAAGAAATTAATATGGCCTGTGATGAGGGGCTGTGCACATTCTCACTTAGGGGTGAGAAATTCTCCCTTCAATCTTGTTAAGTGGAAATGCAGACTTAACCATTATAAGAGAATCAAAGTGTGTATAGATGGGCACATGTGGATGCTGACTAGGCAAAACTGTGAACATGCCAGTTACCAAGTTATCCATCTCAGCTCCAAATTCACGATCATATCTGCTAGGAACAAAGGGCTGCATTCCTTAAGCATTTATCTTTTAATGGAACATGTTAAGCTTTATCATGTTGCATTAAAAGATGGGAGGGAGGCCAGGTGCAGGGGCTCACCCCTGTAATCCCAGCACTTTGGGAGGCCAACGTGGGTGGATCACCTGATGTGAGGAGTTCGAGACCAGCCTACCCAACATGGCGAAACCCTGTCACTACTAAAAATACAAAAAATTAGCCAGGCATGGTGGCAGGTGCCTGTAATCCCAGCTACTCGGGAAGATGAGGCAGGAGAATTGCTTGAACCTGGGAGGCAGAGGTTGCAGTGAGCCAAGATCACGCCACTGCACTCCACCCTGGGCGACAAGAGCAAAACTCCGTCTCAAAACAAAACAAAACAAAAAATTAGCCAGGCATGGTGGCGAATGCCTGTAATCCCAGCTACTCAGTAGGCTGAGGCAAAAGAATCACTTGAACCCGGGAGGCAGAGGTTGTGGTGAGCCAAGGTCACACCACTGCACTCCAGACAGCAATAAGAGTGAAACTCCGTCTCAAAAAAAAACAAACAAACAAAACAAACAAACAAACAAACAAAAAACCTGCTGGTAGATTCTAGGAGCTGAGCACAGCCTCTAGCAACAGCCAGCAACAAGTCCTATAACTGCAAGGAAATGAATTTTGCCTATTGACTGAGTGTGGAAATACATTCTGTTATAGGCAGAGGTTGGAGCAAGCCGAGGTTGCACCACCGCACTCTAGCCAGAGCAACAGAGCAAGACTCTATCACCAAAAAAAAATAAATAAAAATAAATAATAATAAAATTCTACTGTAGGTTTCAGCTAAGGCAATTAAACAAGACACAGCATGCTTATCAAATTTGTAAATGGACTATAGAATTTGATGACTGATAGAACTGGATTCAAAATTACTGCCACAGGCTGGAGTGATACACTGAATAAATAGGATATTTATTTTTAAAAAAGAAATAGAATATACAACACAAGAATTAAACAACACTCATATAAAATGTCTCACACATAAAATATAAACCAAAACACTACACTTCTGGCCAGCCACAGTAGTAGCTCACGGCTGCAATCCCAGCACTTTGGGAGGCCAAGGTGGGCCAATCACTTGATGCCAGGTGTTCAAGACCAGCCTGGCCAACATGATGATACCGCATCTCTACAAAAAAATACCAAAATTAGCCAGGCGTGGTGGTGCATGCCTGTAATCCCATCTACTTGGGAGGCTGAGGCATGAGAATCACTTGAACCCAGGAGGCGGAGGGTGCAGTGTATTCAGATGGCACCACTGCACTCCAGCCTGGGCAACAGAGCAAGAATCTGTCTCAAAAAGTCGGGGGCGGGGAAAGAAAGAAAAGAAAGAAAGAACACTATACTTCTGAAAATATATTTGAGTATTCTTATTCAGGATGAAACTGAACAAGACACTGACTTTCTTTTTGAAAACAAGTGGCTTTCAGTTAAAACTAAAATCTATTTTCAGATGTAGCAACAGTAAAACAAACAAACAGAAAAAACAAACAAAAAACAAACTAAAGTCTGTTCCTTATTTCTCTCCAGAATAATTTTTACACTTTACAATACATCCATTCAGAAACTGCCAAATGGTACAAGACCTATGGATGGGAATTTATAATATCCAGCAAAATTAAATGTATATTTGTCCTCTGACCTAAAGTCCAATATTAAAGGTTTAACCTAGTAATACACTTATAAAAATGTTAACTACATATAAAGAAGTTCATTTACTGCAGCTTACTCATGGATGCTAAAATAATTAGTAGGAACGTTGCCGGGGAACAAGATATTCTGGGCGTCCTGCAAGGGATGGTGGCTCATGCTTGTAATCCCAACATTTTCTGAGATTGAGGTGGGAGGATCACTTGAGCCCAGTAGTTCAAGGCTGCAGTGAGCTAGGATCGTGACACTGCACTCCACCCTGGGCGACAAAATGAATCTCAAAAACAAAAAACAAAAAACAAAAAAACCCCGCAAATATATATATATTTTTGTATTTTGTATTTTTAGTAGAGACAGGGATTCACCATCTTGGCCAGGTTGGTAGAGAACTACTGACCTCGTGATCCACCTGCCTCAGCCTCCCAAAGTGCTGGGATTATAGGCGTGAGACACCGCACCAGGCCTGGCTTTGGTCTTTTTGACTAAACCTCTTCTGAAATGTGTTCAATAAAAAGCTGAACTTGGAAAAAAAAAAGGTGGGGGTGGGGGGGACAGGGAGGAAGGCAAGAAAAACAAAAGACAACAAAGAAGATCCTGGCCAGGTGCAGTGGCTCACGCCTGTAATCTCAGCATTTTGGGAGGCTGAGGCAGGCGGATCACGAGGTCAGGAGATCAAGACCATCCTGGCCAACATGGTGAAACCCCATCTCCACTACAAATACAAAAATTAGCTGGGCGAGGTGGCACGTGCCTGAAATCCCAGCTACTCAAAAGGCTGAGGCAGGAGAATCGCTTGAACCAGGGAGGCAGAGGTTGCAGTAAGTCGAGATCACACCACTGCACTCCACCCTGGCGACAGAACGAGACTGTGTCTCAAAAAAAAAATAGAATGAAATCCTGTCATTTTCAACAACGTAGATAGAACTGGAGGACAGTACGTTAAGTGAAATAAACCAGGCACAGAAACACAAAGTTGGGCGTGGTAAGCGGTGGTTGCAGTGAGCCAATATCATGCCACCGCACTCCAGCCTGGGCAACAAGGCAACATCCTGCCTCAAAAAAACTCTCAAAAAAAAAAAATCTTGAATAGAGCTCAGATCCAAAAACATTCCGTTATATTTTAGAAGAATTTGGAGAATTTTCATTTATTATACATAGTAAATATTAGATAACATTATTATTTTTAATTTTCTTGATGCAAATAGTATTACGGTTTTAGTAAAACAACACTCTTATCATTGAGTCAGGCATTACCCACTACTTAAATGTCGAGCTTACCATCCTGGCTATCACGGTGAAACCCCATCTCTACAAAAATACAAAAAATTATCCGGGCACGGTGGCACACCCCTGTAATTACAGCCACTTGGGAAGCTGAGGCAGGAGAATCGCTTGAACCCGGGAGGCAGAGGTTGCAGTGAGGCGAGATCGCGCCACTGCACTCCAGCCTGGGCGACACAGCTAGACCCCCTCTCAAAAAAAAAAAAAAAAAAAAAATGTCGAGCTTCATCTCTGCAATGAATTTCCCATTGACTCTCAAACTGTTCACCATAAAATTTATTTACGAGACGGCGAATACACAAAACGCTAAAAAACAGGTGCAGCTACAATGGATATTTATTCGTGGTACTGGATGGTCAACATACCCATAGGTTTAAGTTTTTTCGAAAAAAAATGCGGGAAAAATACACTTAGTACAGTCATCCTGTTAATGGTAAATTCGATTATTCTAGTATTAGTGTGTAAACCCTCCATCCTTTCTTCCAGGAAGCCTGGTTATGAAGCTCTTTGGAGACGTACAGAGCTAGGAACTTCAGATGAAAAGAATGGCTGAGTATTCTTAGGTTTCTTTAGTAGAAAGACTCGCGGTCTACAAACGTTTATATGCACATGCAGAAATACGCACACCCTAGACAACTAAGAAAGCACCTTTCTACCGGAACGTAATGTGTCAATAAAAAATATACAGGTTTCACAAAGGCAAAATGCCAAAATCTCACATGAAACACTCGTTTGCATAAAAAAGGAAGCAGCTGCCCCCTTAAACCAACTTTTTCCCAATGCTCACCCGAACACGGTGGAGTCGCCAGGTCCGTGGGGCTACAGGATCTTGGGGACGGAGTCAATCGAACGCGAACGGCAAAATTCTTTTCCCTCTGAAACACAATTCACAAACGTTGCCTTGGAGACTTATTTTTTAAGGCCTCAGAACGCTTGGACACTTTTGAAGACGGGAACACACGGCTGAAAACAGCCCTCGGACGCGCCCATACTGCACTTCCCACCCGGCTCCTCTAGGGGACCGAAGGTCCCAATGGCCTCTTCGACGTGGCCTCACCCGATGGCTCCGCGACTCCTGCGGACTCCTGTGGAGTGGTCCAGGCCTCTGTAAGGAGGTTCCTCGATTACCCTGGGTCGATTGTGACCTCTGCCACCCCCCGAAACACCGCCCAACCCACTAGTCCACACGAGCCTCACCAAAGTAGTGAACGACCAGACAACACAAAGGAAAAAGTGGCTCTGAGGAAACAGGCGCCAGCGACCAAAAGAGAGAACTGGCGCGCCGCAACGTCACTTCCGTTTGGGGCATTGGAAGGGGCGTGGCTCGTTGTGTGGGCAGTTGGACAGGATGGAACTCTTCAGGATTCTAGTTTCCCTCCGCGTGGGTGCGGAGGTATCAAGGGGTCGGCTCAGTGCCTGGGTGGGCAAGAGAGAAATGGACCCACAGAGAAAGGTGGGGGTTAAATCAGGGCTGTGGGCGGGGCCCATGCCCGGGGGCGGGGCTGGAGGTGGGACCAGACCCAGCCGGTGGCTTCGGTGGCAGAATGGACCAGGAAGGCGAAACGTCGGGCGATGGACTCGCCCCTCAGGATGCTCATTAGAAACTTTCCCCACGTTCCTGGACCCCTTTCAGGATTCTCTCCAGTTGATAACCTGCCAATCCACAAAATGGCCTGCTTCCTGCATTCGATCACGTCTTTAGAACTTTATTTTCTCTTATTTCTTTTTATTTATCTGACCTTGCTAAACTCTAATCATTGATTCCTCTGCGTTTTCAGTTATCGATACTTTCTGTAAATATTGCAATTTTTTTCTTTTCTTTCTTTTTTCTTTTCTTTTCTTTTTTTCTTCGAGGTAGGGTCTGGCTCGGTTGCCAAGGCTGGAATGCAGTGGTAGGAACACGGCTCACTGCAGTCTCCACCTCTCCAGGCTCAAGCCATCCTTCCACCTCAGCCTCCCGAGTAGCTGGGACCACGGGCGCACCGCACCCGGCTAATTTTTGTATTATTATTATTATCATCATTATTATTATTTTGTAGAGACAGGATCTAACCATGTTGCCCAGGCTGGTCTGGAACTCCTGGGCTCAAGTGATCTGCCCGCCCTGCACTCCCGAAGTGGGATTACAGGCGTGAGCCATCATGCACCATGCCTGGCCTTATTGTATTTTTTTTTCTTCTTCAACAATGTATTTGTTACTATTTCTCAAATCTTATCAAATGATTCAAAGCCTCCTGTACTACTTTATGAAATAACACTGATACCAGGCATTCTTCACTTATTCTGTGCAGAAAAAGAAAGGACTGTTGGACTTGTGGTAGAGATTTAGTTGAATCTTCGGGTTATATTGGTATCTTTATAATACTGAGTCTTCCTATGTGTGAATATACAATATCTCTCTATTTAGGTCTTCTTTAAACTCTTTCAGTAATGTTTTGAAATTTTCAGTTTACAAATATTTTACCTCTTGGGGTAAAGTTATTCCCATGTAACTTATTTGTAAAAGGGATCACATTCTCAGTTTCCTTTTCTGATTGTTCATTGCTGGTGTATAGATACAAAACTAATTTTCATCTCTTGATGTTGTACTGTGCAACTTTACGGAATTTATTACAAGCTCTGCTAGTTTTCTTGTAGATTCTTCAAAATTCTCTATATATCAAATATCACCTATAAATATATTTTTATTTGTTCTATTCTAATTGAGAAACCTTTTATTTTATTTTCTTGTGTAATTGCTCTGGCTAGAATTTCCTGTAGAGGCTGGGCACGGTGGCTCACTCCTGTAATCCCAACATTTTGGGAGGCCGAGGTGGGTGGATCACCTGAGGTCAGGAGTTCAAGACCAGCCTGACCAACATGGTGAAACCCCGTCTCTACTAAAGATACAAAAAATTAGCCAGGCGTGGTGGTTGGCACCTGTAATCCCAGCTACTCGGGAGGCTGAGGCAGGAGAATCACTTGAACCTGGGAGGCGGAGGTTACGGAGTTTGCAGTGAGTGGAGATGGCTCCATTGCACTCCAGCCTGGGTGACAAGAGCAAAACTTCATCTCAAAAAAAAAAAAAAAAAAAGAATTTCCTGTAGAATGTTGAATAACAATAGAAAAATCAGACATCTTTCTCTCCTTCCTGGTCTTAGGGAGAATTTTCAGGCATTCACTATTGAATATCACGTTAGCTGTGTTTTCGTAAGTGCGTTTTGTCACGTTGAATAAACTCCCTTCTGTTTCTAGTTTTCTTAATTTTTTTTTTGAGACAATCTCGCTCTGTCACCCAGGCTGGAGTGCAGTGGCATGATCTTGGCTCACTGCAACCTCCACCTCCCGGGTTCAAGCAATTCTCTGCCTCAGCCTCCCAAGTAGGTGGGCACTCCCAAGTGCCCACCACAACACCTGGCTAATTTTTTTGTATTTTTAGTAGAGACGGGGTTTCACCAGCTTGGCCAGGCTGGTCTCCAACTCCTGACCTCATGATCCACCTGCCTTGGCCACCCAAAGTGCTGGGATTACAGGTGTGAGCCACCACGCCTGGCCAGTTTTCTTAATTTTTATCAAGGAAAAGTGTTGGGTTTCATCAAATGCCTTTCCTGCATTAGTTGAGGTGATTCTGTGGGATTTTTTGTCTTTTGTACTAATGTGAAGAATTACATTTTTTAAATTTCCTTTTGTTGAACCAACCTTGCATTCCTAGATAAATCTCACTAGTCATGGTGTATAGTGCTTTTAATGTGCTGTTGGATATGATTTGCTAATATTTTTTAAGGATTTTTGCATCTATATTCATGAAAGATAGTCTCTAATTTCTTTCTCTTTAGCTTTTTTTTTTTTTTTTTTTTTGAGATGGAGTCTCACACTATTGCCCAGGCTGGAGTGCAGTGGCACAATCTTGGCTCAATGCAGTCTTGACCACCACAGGCTCAAGCCATCCTCCCACCTCAGCCTCTCAAGAAGCTAGGACCACAGACGCATCACCATGCCTGGCTACTTTGTGTGTGTGTGTGTGTGTGTGTGTGTGTGTGTGTGTGTGTGTGTGTGTGTGTGGAGTGTTGCTCTTGTTGCCCAGGCTGGATTGCAGTGGTGTGATCTCGGCTCACCACAACCTCCGCCTCCCGGGTTCAAGCGATTCTCCTGCCTCAGCCTCTCAAGTAGCTGGGACTACAGGTGTGCATCACCACACCTGGCTAATTTTTTTCTATTTTTAGTAGAGACAGGGTTTCACCATGTTGGCCAGGCTGGTCTCAAACTCCTGACTTCAGGTGATCCGCCCATCTCAGCCTCCGAAAGTGCTGGGATTACAGGCATGAGCCACCACACCTGGCTAATTTTTGTATTTTTTTTTGTAGAGATGAGGTTTCGCCATGTTACCCAGGCTGGCCTCCAACTCCTAAGCTCAAGCAATCTGACCACCCTGGGCCTCCCAAAGTGCTAGGATTACAGGCATGAGCCACCACTCCCAGCAAGAGATATTTTTTATCTGGCTTCAGTAACAATGTAATGAATGGCCTCATGGATTTAGAAAGTGTTCTCTCTGGCCAGGCACAGTGTCTCATGCCTGTAATGCCAGCACTTTGGGAGACCAAGGCAGGCGGATCACTTGAAGTCAGGACTTTGAGACCTGCCTGGCCAACATGGTGAAAGCCAGGCTCTACTAAAAATACAAAAAATTGGCTGGGCATGGTGGCATGCACCTGTAATCCCAGCTACTGGGGAGGCTGAGGCAGGAGAATCGCTTGAACTCGGGAGGCGCAGGTTGCAGTGAGCTGAAATCATGCCACTGCACTCCAGCCTGGGTGACAGAGCAAGATCTCATCTCAAAAAAGAAAAAAAGAAAAAAAAAAGTGTTCTCTCATGTTTTGTTTTGTTTCGGTTTGGTTTGGTTTGGTTTGGTTTGAGACAGAGTCTCGCTCTGTTGCCAGGCTGGAGTGTAGTGGCGCAATGTCGGCTCACTGCAACTTCCACCTCCCAGGTTCAAGCAATTCTCCTGCTTCAGCCTCCCGAGTAGCTGGGACTACAGGTGCATACCACCACGCCCAGCTAATTTTTGTGTTTTTAGTAGAGATGGGGTTTCACCATGTTGGCCAGGATGGTCTTGATCTCTTTACCTTGTGATTCACCTGGCTCAGCCTCCCAAAGTGCTGGGATTACAGGCATGAGCCACAACACCCGGCCTCCTGTTCTACTTTTTTGGAGGATATTGAGAAACACTGGTGTTGATTACTCTTTAAATGTTTAGTACAATTCATTTGTGAATTGACAATTCATTGTTGGAAAGTTTTGAAATACTGATTTAATCTCTTTTCTTGTTATAGGTCTCTTGAGATTTTTCATTACTGTTTAATCCAGTTAATTTCTGTGTTTCTAGAAATGTGTCCACTTCATTTAGGTTATCTAACTAGTTGTACAATTAATTGTTCATAGTATCCTCTTATAATCTTTATTTCTGAATAGTTTGTTGTAGTGTGCCCCAGTTTCATTTCTAATTTTAATTATTTGCATCTTCTGCCTTTTTTGTCAATCTAGGTGAAGTTTTTCAATGTTATCGATCATTGCAAAGAGTAACTTTTAGTTTCATTGATTCTCATTGAATAGATTCTTATCTATTCTCCATTTCACGTATTTCCCTTCTTTATTATTTCCTTTCTTCTGTTAGATTAGTTTACTTTCCTCTTTTTTGGTAGTTCCTCAAGATATAAAATTATTTATAGGTATTTACAGCTATAAATTTCCTACTGAGGCCAGGTAATGTGGCTCACACCTGTACTCCCAGCACTTTGCGAGGCCAAGGTGAGAAGATTGCTTGAGCCCAGGAATTCAAAGCTGCAGTGAGCTGTGATCATGCCACAGCACTGCAGCTTGGGGGACCAGAGCCAGACCTTGTCTCAAATAATAATAATAATAATTTTCCACTGAGCACTCTCTTCATTGCATCCTATAAGTTTAGGTCTGTCCTGTCCATTTTTGTTTTTCTCTACATGTTTTCTTTTGTAATTTGTTTTTGTTGTTGTTGTTGTTTGTGACTAACAGAAATTTTTTTCTTATAGCTCTAGAGGCTGGAAAGTCCAAGAACAAGGCACAAGCAGATTCAATGTCTCAGGAGGGCCTGCTTCCTGGTTCATACGATTGTCTTCTCACTGTGTCTTCACATAGTGCAAAAGGAAAGGCAGCTATCTGGGCCTCTCATTTTAAAATTACTTTGTTTTTTGATATGTTTTGAGAAAGGATCTTGCTCTCTTGGGCAGGCTGGAGTAGAGTGGCAAAATCACAGCTTACTGCAGCCTCAACCAACTGGGCTCAAGCAATCCTCTCACCTCAATCTCCAGAGTAGCTGGGACTACAGGCACATGCCACCATACCCAGTTAATTTTTTAGAAAATTTTTTGTAGAGACAGGGGTTCACTATGTTGCCTGACTGGTCATGAACTCGCAGCCTCAAGTGATCCTCCTGCATCAGCCTCCCAACGTGCTAGAATTACAGGCATGAGTCATTGTGCCCAACCTAATTGCTTTAATTGACAAATTTTCATTGTACATATTAATGGAGTATAAAGTGATATTATAATTTATGAATATAATACAGAATAATTAAACGAAGCTAATTAACATATCCACCACCTCAAGTACTTATTATATTTTGTGGTAAAAACAGGTGCCTTGTAATTTGTTCTTGATCTCCTGTTTTTTAAGTGTGTGTTAATTCACACATATTTATGTATTTTAATGTTTTTCTGCCATTATAGATTTCTAGCTTAATTCTGTTGTGTTCTGACAGGTACTTTATATATATTCAGTGCTTTTAAATTTACTGAGACTCTGCTGGGTGCGGTGGCTCACACCTGTAATCCCAGCATTTTGGGAGGCCAAGAGTGGATGGATCATTTGAGGTCAGGAGTTGGAGACCAGCCTTGCCAACATGGTGAAACTCTGCTTCTACTAAAAATACAAAAGTTAGCCAGGTGTGGTGGCATATGCCTGTAATCCCAGCTACTTGGGAGGCTGAGGCAGGAGAGTCACTTAAACCTGGGAGATGGAGGTTGCAGTAAGCCGAAATTGCACCCCTGCCCTCCAGCCTGGGCAACAGAACAAGACTCTGTCTCAAAAAAAATAAAAATTAAAAAAAATAAATTTCCTGAGACTCATTCTGTGGCATATACATTTGACATATCCTGAAGATGTTCCATGTGAACTTAAGAATGTGTGTTCTCATGATATCAGATGGACTGTTCTACATGTCTCTGAGGCTTAGTTGGCTTACCGTATTTTTCAAGCTATGTCCTTACTGATCTTCTATGTAGATGTCCTTTTATTAAAAGTGTCATATATAACTCTCCAATTATTGCTATAGAACAATCTATTTCTCCCTTAAGTTTTGTCATATAACTTTGGGGTCTGTTTTTGGTGCATGCATGTTTATGATTGCTACATCTTCTTTTTCTAATTTTTAATTTTTTTAAGAGACAGAGTCTCGGCTGGGCACAGTGGCTCATTCCTGTAATCCCAGCACTCTGGGAGGCCAAGGAGGGTGGATCACAAGGTCAAGAGATTGAGACCATCCTGGCCAACATAGTGAAAGCCCATCTCTACTAAAAGTACAAAAATCAGCTGGGTGTGGTGGCACACACCTGTAGTCCCAGCTACTCAGGAGGCTGAAGCAGGGGAATCGCTTGAACCTGGGAGGTGGAGGTTGCTGTGAGCCAAGATTGCATCACTGCACTCCAGCCAGGCGACATAGTGAGCCTTTGTCTCAAAAAAATAAATAAATAAATAAATAAAAGACAGAGTCTCATTATGTTGCTTACACTGAACTTAAACTCCTAGGCTCAAGCAATCCTCCTGCCTCAGCATCCCAAGTTGCTAGAATTAAAGGCATATACCATCATGCATGGCTTATTACATCTCTTGATGAATTGAAGCTTTTATCAATATATTGCCATCCTTTGTATATTATAAAGTCTTTTACTTAAAGTTCGTTTGTCTGATATCATTATAGTCAATCCAATTATCTTTTGGTTGCTATTTGCATGGAATATCTTCTTCCCATCCTTTCACTAACAGCCTATCTGTTGCTTTTTATATAAAGTGAATTTCTTGTAGACAGAATACGATTTGATCATGGTCTTTATTATTTCATCCATTCTTCAACAGCATGACTTTTTCTTGGAGTGTTTGATTCATTTACATTTAAAGTAAAAATAAAGAAGGATTTTCTTCCTGCCATTTTGCTATATGTGTTCTGAATGTCTTATACTTTTAGCTCCTTATTTCCTCCACTGCTGATTTTTTTGTGTTTACTTGATTTTTAGAGTGAATCATTTAACTCTCTTCTAATTTTCATTGATTTTGTTTTGTTTTGTTTTGTTTTTCAGACAGTCTTGCTGTGTCGTCCAGGCTAGAGTGCAGTGGCACAATCTTGCCTCCCAGGTTCAAGTGATTCTCATGTCTCAGCCTCCTGTGTAGCTGGGACTACAGGCTTGTGCCACTATACCTGGCTAATTTTTGTATTTTTAGTAGAGACAGGGTTTCACCATGTTGGCCAGGCTGATCTTTAACTCCTGACCTCATGTGATCTGCCCACCTCACCCTCCCAATGTGCTGAGATTACAGGTGTTAGCCACCACACCAGGCTTTCATTCATATTTACTTTCTTTCTTTCTTTCTTTCTTTCTTTTTGAGATGGAGTCTTCTTGCTCTGTTGCCCAGGCTGGAGTGCAGTGGTGTGATCTCAGCTCACTGCAACCACCACCTCCTGGGTTCAGGTGATTCTCCTGCCTAAGCCTCCCAAGTAACTGGGATTACAGGTACGCACCACCACGCCTGGGTGATTTTTGTATTTTTAGTAGAGACAGGGTTTCACCATGTTGGCCACGCTGGTCTCGAACTCCTGACTTCAGGTGATCTGCCTGCCTCAGCCTCCCAAAGTGTTGGGATTACAGGAGTGAGCCACTGCACCCAGCCAAAACTTTAACAGCCCTCATAAGGATTACATTTACCATTCCAAAGTTATATTATTTGAATTTGTACCTACTTAACTTCAATAGCATACAAAAATTCTGCTATACGACTGCACGCTTCTGTTGTTTTTTTTTTTTTTGCAAAATATATCTTTATATATTGTATGCCTAAAACATACACTTATAATTTTTATTGATTTTTAAAAAATTCAGTAAAAAGTAAAAACTGGAATTAGATACAAAAATACCATAAATGTGGTTTTATATTTTCCAATATACTTACCTTTACTAGAGATCTTTATTTCTCCACACAGCTTGAGTTACTGTCTAGCATCCTTTTATTCCATCCTGAAGAACTCCTTTTAGCATCTCTTTTATGTTTATTTGTTTATTTATTTATTTATTTGAGACAGAGTCTCACTCTGTTGCCCAGGCTGGAGTGCAGTGGCACGATCTTGGCTCACCAAAACATCTGCCTCCCGGGTTCAAGCAATTTTCCTGCCTCAGCCTCCCAAGTAGCTGGCAGTACAGGCATGCACCACTGTACCTGGCTAGTTTTTGTATTTTTAGTAGAGACGGGGTTTCACTATGTTGGCCAGGCTGGTCTCAAACTCCTGACCTCGTGATCCACCTGCCTCAGCCTCCCAAAGTGCTGGGATTAAAGGCATGAGCTACCACGTCCAGCAGCATTTCTTGTATGGCAAGTGTAGTGGTAACTGTCCTTGGCATTAGTTTTTCTAGGAATGTCTTAAATTCTCCCTCATTTTTGAACATTTCTGGTGAGCACAGAATTCTTGGTTGATAGTGTTTCTTTTTCAGCTCTTAAATATGTCATCTCACCGACTATGTCCCCCATGATTTCTGATGACATATTTGTTATTAATAGTATTGAGAATCACTTCTTTCAGCACTCTTTGTCTTTGCCATTTGACATTTTGATGATATGTGATTCACTGTAGGCCTGAGTTTCTCTTTTTTTAATGTTTTTTTTTTTTGAGATGAAGTTTTGCTCTTGTTGCCCAGGCTGGAGTGCAATGGTGCAATCCCAGCTTACTGCAACCTCTGCCTCCCAAGTTCAAGGGATTCTTGTGCCTCAACCTCCCGAGTAGCTGAGAATACAGGCACCTGCCACCACGCCCGACTGAGTTTCTCTTACTTGGAGTTTGTTGAGCTTCTTGGATTTAAAGATTCATGTCTTTCATCAAATTTGGAAAGTTTTGCTTAATATTTCTTCACATTTTACTTCTTCCCCTTTATTTCTCTGTTATCTTTCTTCAGCTTCCATAATGTGTATGTTGGTCTGATGCATGGTGTACTACAGGTCCTTTAAGTTCTGTTTGGTCTTCATTCTTTTTCCTTTAGTCCCCTCAGAGTTGATATTTTTCAAAGGTTCTATCTTCAAATTTGTGGATTCTTTCTTCTGCATGCTCACATCTTCTATGGAAGAGAAGATGCAACCAGTGACCAAAGAACTAATGTTAGGAGTTTGGCTTTACAAAGAAAATAGCTCCATGTTATCTTATTTAGAATTGGTAGGTATTTTATTTAGAAAGTATTTTGAAAAGAAAGTAAAAAAGGATATAATCTAGAAAGAAAAGTACAGAAAACTTTACAAAGAACACTAAATAAAAACGTTTAAAAGGAATTAAAACAGTTCCTTCTCTGAGAATAAATGAAAATGTGAATAAATGGATAGACAATGAAAAGGTGGAAAATCTCATGTAATAGTGTTTTTTATCTTCTGCCACAGACCCCAGAGGACTGAGCAAAGGAGGATGAACACAGGAATAAAGACAAAGATAAAAAGATCTGTTTTAAAAGAAGGGGTCAGGGGGCTCCTTGCTTCTAGTGAACAAGGGCCCTGAGCTTCTAGAGCCCTTTGTATTTATTGAGTAAAGGAAATAGGGAGGAGCAGGTGATCATGAGCCAGTTGCATGATTTAGTGCAGGCCTGCATGTCTGCTTTCCTTGAACAGTAGGCTCCAGATATTCCAGTAGATAACCTCAAGGTGCACAGTGCCAGGGAGTGATTGCCCTCAGCCTACCTTCTGGTGGCAGGCACAGATGTGAGTTTGCCCACATCCTGCATTCATGATAAACAGTTTGCTGTTTGATCATATAGCCTCCAATGGAATGCTGAGTTGGTCATGACCCTCAGGTTTTCAGCTCCCAATATCTCCCCCTTTCTGTTTTTGCATTAATTGAATGAATGTAAGGCCAGGTTGGGCAGCTCTCATTTTCTGATTGGCAGTCCATCCAATTTTATAGACTATGAACAGAAAACAAAGACAGAACAGCATTATTCCCAGAACTATACATGAGATGTTAATGTGGCGCTTTAGATAGGTCCAAGGATTGAGGCTCTCCAGACCTCACTGGAATTTGGTCCAGGCTTCTAAAGAAGGCTGAAACTCTTGAGTTTGCTTATTTAAACCAATAATTTTGTTTCATAATTCACCAATATCAAAGGCGATATTGGATGTGAAAGCTCCCTGCAAATGGGCTTTCACAAGGTCCCATGGATACTCACTTTGGTTATATTCTAAGTTGGTTACACAAATATGAGTGTGATTAAAATGACAGCACAATTGCTGTTGCAATTGTAAGCTTTGTACTTGTTGCCCTAACCATGGAACCATGGATTTCAACATTGCCACTTCAGTTTGTAACTCAGTGTTAATTTTACTCTGAAGTAGCCATATTTTCTTGGTGGTACATGTCTAGTTCTCCACGTACTGAGCTGTTTGAACAGAACTATGCAAAGCTACAGAGGACATTACTACAGAAGTTATTAGTGTGACCAAGGAAATAATAGCAAAAATTATCATGCCTAAGACTTTACGGGTACAATGAGTAAGCTGAGTTAGAAGTTTCATGAAGTGCAAAGCAGGGGTGGAGGCCCAAGGCTCTGACAGATTAACAGGAATCCATATCCCAGGGATGCGACCCATAATTATCAAGGTAGAGATGTGTTTGCAATGTGCTATGATTAATGCAGTGATATAACTGACAAGATTTACAGGTCAATTGGGTATTGTTTACCTGGAGCTGGTCCTTCTTAGCTGCCATAAAGACATAAGGATTAAAAACACAAACCGTAAATTTAGTGGTGATACTCTTTACAAATGTAACATCAAAACTGTGTCGAGTAGCAGTACTAGTATTAGAGAGTACCCCTACCCAGATAGTACCATTTGTAAATGGGACTGCTGCTTTCCATATTGTTTCTTGAATTGGACCTTTCCTACCTAGATATTGCCACTGAAGAAGAGGCGGGATAAAGCCTGTTCCATGCCAAGCAACCCTGGCAGCAGAATGGGATTGGATCCTGGTGTGGTGTAAAGAAGAAGCATTGAAAGTCTGCTACCAATGACAGTGAAGTTTGTGCCATGATGTCTGATTTTATCTTTACCATCTAGTTGACCTTTAGGTCCCCAAGTCACAATGTCTTCAGTTAACATAGATTGTTTTCTAGCCAGTGGGCCAAGACATTGGGTCCATGGAGCGGGGTAGGAACTATTGAAGGGAATCCATTCCATATAGTCAACACAATTGGGGTGATTGGGCCGGGAATGGTTGGTTAGCACACCAGTTACATTAATAGAACTAAGACCTAATAAGCACATGACTTTTCCATGGTGACTCAACCATGCTTGAGCTTGAATTGTAAGACAGCTACTACAGTTGAGCAATATCTTTGTAGTGATACACCAGGGGAGTCCTTCCAGTGGGGCCATATAATTGATGACATTGTTCTGAGAGTCTAACTGTTCTATGTCAGGAGGAGTTAGAGGTCCTGGAGCCCATGCTCCCTGATCATGATAGATCTCAGGGGGAGTGCCACTCCAAAGTACAAGCCATACTACTAGGGGATTAGAAACATATGCCCAATATGTTTTTGCCTCTGCAGAGAGAAAACATACCACACAGGACATTATGGCTAACATGGCCAAGAACATGGATTCAGGGGTTTTTGCCTGGCCCTGACGCTCCAGCATTTTCTCAGCTTCCTGCGTGGTTTTCTTGAGTTGCCCTCAGGTTATGGGGTTTGATGTCCTCGTGACTCCGGTCAGCCTTTTCTCCATCTTCACACTCAGGCTCAGCTGGCTCATGGCCCATACCGGAGGGACCAGGCCCATGGTTGGCCGCCATGGATCCCTCCAGTCTCCTGTTCCATGGTTGCATGCACCTTGAGGACACCCAAATGGTTTGTCCATCTCCTGTAAAAACACAAGCATACCCTCATCCCCATGTCAATAAGTCCACCAGGCCTTTCCATTGTCCTTCCAGGGATTTCCATAACACTTTCAGAAGAACTTTCCTCTTTTTCTCTAACACTTGCCAATGTCTTTCTGCTGGAGTCTTACCACCAATACCAGGAGTCAAAAAATTTAAAGTAAATAGGGCTAAGTGTAGTTTTGTTTGAGGTAGTAGCTGGTCTGCTATTCCCTCTTTCTGTTTTTTCAACATGCATTGTAATGTTTGATGTGCCTACTCTATAATTCCTTGTCCTCAAGGGTTGTAAGCAATTCCTGTTTTGTGAGTAATAGCTCAAAGCTGTAGGAAATTTTGAAAAGCATTACTAGTATAAGCAGGTCCATTTGCCAAGACCAGCTCGGTCAGGGAGACACTAATCCAGCGGTGCTAGAGGAATTAAAGGCACACACACAGAAATATAGAGGTGTGGAGCAGGAAATCAGGGATCTCACAGCCTTCAGAGCTGAGAACCTCGAACAGAGATTTACCCACATATTTATTAACAGCAAGCCAGTGATAAGCATTGTTTCTATAGATTATAGATTAACTAAAAGTATTCCTTATGGGAAACAAAGGGATGGGCTGAAATAAAGGGATGGGTCTCACTAGTTATCTGCAGCAGGAGCATGTCCTTAATGCACAGATTTTTCATTCTATTGTTTGTGGTTTAAGAACACCTTTATGTGGTTTTAATTGGTAGCAACCAATTAATGTCCCCTAACAATTGTCAAAAATCATTTAAAGTCTGTAACCTGTCTTTACAGAGAACCATTTTCTGAGGCCGTACACTCCTCTCCATAACAATAGTTCCTAAGTAATGGTATGGGGAAGTTGTTTGCACTTTCTCTGGAGCAATTTTGAGCTTCCATTTAACAAGAGCTTGCTTTACTTCTCTCAATAATTGATGCAATATTTGATCTGTAGGTGCAACCAAAAGAATATCATCCATGTAATGAATGATATATGCAGTGGGAAACATATTTTGAGGCTCTTTTAATGCTCTTTGCACAAAATGCTGACATAATTTGGTACTGTTAAGCACGTCTTGAGGTAAAACTCTCCATTAATAATGAGAAACAGGTTCTTTTTTTATTAATAGAAGGCACAGAGAAGGCGAATCAAGGCTTATCTTTCTCATGTAATAGTATAGTAAAGAAACAATCTTTAAGATCTGTTACTACAAGAGGCCAGTCCCTTGGGATGGCTGCAGGGATGGCAGACCTTGCTGTAATGCACCCATTGGTTTAATCTGTGCATTAGTAGCTCCCAAATCATGTAGCAATCACCATTTCCCTGACTTCTTTGGAATTACAAATACTGGTGTATTCCAGAAGCTAACTGACTCTTCAATATGTCACGCATCTAATTGCTCTTTTACTAGCTGATGGAGTTGAGCTAGTTTCTCCTGTGATAGGGGCCATTGATCCACCCACACAGGTTTGTCAGTCAGCCATTCTAGCAACAAAGCAGTGGGGAGAGGAGAAATATTAATGACTCCAATCATAAATCCTGATGTCCCTATCTTTTTCTGTCTTTCCAGTTATTGATATCAGGTTAGGGTTTCCTTGTAGGAATTTTTCTAAACCTTTCCCATTCTGATATCCCATGTCTTTCAACATTTTAAATCCTGGGTTATCAACGTGTTCATTTGTAGGTCACATATCCCAAGCTGTAAGTAAGTCTCGACCCCATAAATTGATAGCTATATTTGCAACATAAGGCTGGAAAGTACATGATTGTCCATCCGGACCAAGACAAGGTAAAATCTCAGCACTCTGTTGAATGCTTTGAGCAGCTCCTATTCCCACTAGGGATGTGGAGGTTCATCTGAGGGGCCAAGATGGAGGCCAATCCTTACTAGATATTACTGACACATCAGCTCCTGTATCTACAAGCTCATAAAATTTTTTTCCTTTAATTTGCACTACACAGGTGGGTCTATTAGAGGCTATGGGTTGTGATAAATAGATTTCTCATGCAGTTGTGCTCTCAAATCCTTTATTTCCTCATTTCTCCTTTCATGGAGAAGGGTGTAATTTGCAGGGGATAGGCAATAATTGCACTATATATGCACCTGGTTCAAAAACCCAAAGATCTTGTGACATTAAAACTACTTTAATTTCTCCTTCATAATCAGAGTCAGCTACTCTGGGGACTACATTGATGCCTTGCAAGTTAAGGCAGCTTTGCCTAAAATTAGTCCCATGTATCCTGCTGGTATATGTCCCCAAATGCCAGGGGGGACTTTGGTAGGTTTGTCTCCTCCAATTAGTGTAATTCTTTCTCTGGCGGAGAGATCTAATCCTGCACTTCCTGGTGTTCCTGGGGAAAGGGAATCAATATTTGTCCTGGGACCCACCCCTGAAGTGGGGTTGTGGTCTGAACTGGGAATGCCCTCATTGTTTGAGGGGCCCAGGTCCAGGCCCCCTTATCGTTTCCCAACAGGTGGGGTGCCATTCTGATGAAATTTTGAGTGGCATTGATTAGCCCAGTGATTTCCTTTGTCACAGCGAGGACAGAGTCCTGGCATTTTTTCTGCTGGAAAGGACACCACATTGTAAAGTCCTTTCTTTTCTGAGATCTGGTGGCATTCCTTTTTAAAACTTCCAGTTTTTCCACAATTTTAACATTTTCCCACTTTGGGGTTTGACCCTTGGCTCCCTTTAGATTTGTCAACTACTAAACTAGCCATTGCTTGAGCTAACATTGTAGAATGATGATTCAGTTCCTACACCCTGAAAGGCTTTAAGGTAATTCCCCAAGCTCTTTGTGGATCTCAGAGCAGCCATTGCATGCTTGCAATCTGCATTTTCATTTTCATAGGCTAGAGTTATGGTAAGCATTTCTGTAGCAGAGGCCTGAGGGACCTGATGCTGCACTGCCTCTTGCAGCCACGTGATAAATTGTCCATAAGGTTCCCATGATCCCTGCATGACAAGTAGAAAAGACTGCACTGGAACTCCCTCTTCAGGAATTGTGCTCCAAGCATGCTTAGCGGCTAAGGCAGACTGGAGGTAAGCGGTCTCTGGGAGTGTTAATTGTTGTACCAGATCTGAAAAGGGGTCACAGCCTGTCAGCATTTTCTCTGTAGTGTTTCCTTGACCAGAGGCATGATTCTGCCCAGCCTGGTCTGTGCACATTTCTTGTCAATTTAAACTCCATGCGAGATATGCACTGACAGATAAGCAAGTGCGAGCCAAATGTTTTATATCAAAGGGTGGGAGGCGCATGGCTCCAAACACTGATACTAACAGCCTTATAGTAAACAGGCTTTGCAACCCATTATTAACCACACTAGCTTTTAATTCTTCTAGTAATTTAAACTCTACAGGACTGTGCTCATGTAAAAGATGTTGCAGATCATTCGGATCAGGCCTTACAGTAATAGGAAAACTGCAAGGTCCTAAAGGTTCCCCAGCCGTAGCAGCAGCACACAAAATTTTTTGTACATGGGTTTCTACTTCTGTTACTGGATGGGGTGGCAGAGGTCAATTCTCCTCTCCTATTTCCTGCTTAGCAAACAGCCAATTCTCCTCCCCTTTCTCCTGCTCATTATTTTCAATAGGCACTGTCAGAGAAACAAATGATGTTTTTAATTCTTGAGACTCAGAACCTGACTCCTGTTGTCTGACAGAATAAGAAGACAATGGCAGTAGGACCATGTGAACCAAAACCCAAGCAGAAAAAACAGAAGGGTCTACTTTGAGACATTTTGATGAGCCCATTTCAATCCCTCTTCTACTTTGTCCCAATTTTCTACATTGAGAGTGCCTGCCTGCAGAAACAATGGGTTATGTGTCATAACCTCCTGCAGAAGCCTAGTTAATGTCTGTGAATTAACTTGAGCTCCAGGCTGTTTCAACAGAACTTTAAGCAATTGCACATAATGTTTTTCTTCAACAGACAAATTCTGCCCCATGTTACCCTGATTCAGAACTTCCCATTCCCAGCACTTCTTTAGAGCACTGACCTTATACTCCCTGCTGGCAGATTTGTCCCTAGGTCCTCGTTCATCTTGTTAGCTTCACTTCCTCTGCTCCAGCAGACCTTCTTCATTCACGTCCTTGAAGTCCCTGTTCATGATGCCACTTTGCCACAGACCCTGGTGGACTGAACAAAGGGGGACAAACAGAAATAAAGACAAAAACAAAAATATCTGTTTTAAAAGAAGGGGTTGGGGGCTCCTTGCTTCTAGTGAACAAGGGCCCTGAGCTTCTAGAGCCCTTCATATTTATTGAGTAAAGGAAATAGGGAGGAGGGGGTGATTGTCAGTCAGTTGCTTGATTTAGTGCAGGTCTCCATGACTGCTTTCTTTGAACAGTAGGCTCCAGATATTCCAGTAGATAACCTCAAGGAGCACAGCACCAGGGAGCGATTGCCCTAGGCATAACTTCTGGTGGCAGGCGCAGATGTGAGTTTGCCCACATGCTGCATTTATGATAAACAGTTTGCTGTTTGATCATATAGCCTCCAGTGGAATGCTGAGTTGGTCACAACCCTCAGGCTTTCAGCTCCCCAAATTTTTCACTATAGAGAATTCCTTTATGTAAGGAATTACTTCTTTCAGCACTCTTTGTCTTTGCTATTTGACATTTTGATGATAATGTGACTCACTGTGGGCCTCTCTGAGTTTCTCTTACTTGGAGTTTGCTGAGCTTCTTGGATTTAGAGATTCATGCCTTTCGTCAAATTTGGAAAGTTTTACCCATTATTTCTTCACATTTTAATTCTTCCCCTTTATTTGTCTGTTATCTTTCTCCAATGGCTTCTCACTAGACAAGGTTATCCCACACAATGACACTTTTCTGCCTGGGGCTCACCTGTACAGGTGACTTGAAGGATTCCTCTCTTCTCTGACCTCACCATTTTGTGCTACACCTTCTTAATCATACTACATTTGCAGAGCTGATACCCTGCTCATGGGACAAGACACAGGATGTGGGAGTCATGAGTAGGAGACAAGAACTTTGCATAAAAAGAATTCTAACACTTTGGATTTAAAGCGTTCTGAAGATAGACAAGTCCAATTTTAGAAACAGCAAAATAATAAGAGTAGAAAATTTTCACAAGGACTCAAAAGCAAATACCCTCACTCACTACCCCATATAGAACTAATCCTTGAAAACCATAACAGAGAAAATGAAATCCGTGCAATGAACAGATTTTTATTTTCCTGGGAAGTCACTAGACTGCCTCACAAGGACAGGAACCATCCATTTTGTGTTCACCACTAACTTGCCATTATTATGGCAAATCTTGGAACACAAGACATGCTTAAGAACAACTATTTGCTGCATTACGAAAGAAGAAGGAACAAGGCCAGCCTGCTCCATCAAGGTTAAGTTTCTAAAGTTCTCCAGCAACATGTCTCTGTACAGGTTTTCCCAAACAAAGTCCAGTAATACCCACTCCTCCAACAATAAGTCTACTGCCATTTACTTGAAGGTCAAGGAGTTCTAAAACATCACTCATATATTCTGGCTCAGGCAATGAGCATCTTCAAGAATGTACCAGGATGGATATCGCAGGAGGATGATGGATGGGCTGGTAGCACTAGGGAAGGAGACTCAAAACAGGAATTCAGACATGTTCTTGAGGCCACTTATTATCTGCCCCATGACTAACTTCTCTCCTCTTTTACCCACAGACACTGAACCACCTTCTAGATAGAAGCTTTAATGGCTTCACTAGCATATAGTTGACCTGATTTTTCCAGTATGTTGTAAAAACTCATCCAGTGGCCAGGCATGGTGGCTCATGCCTGTAATCCCAGCACTTTGGGAGGCTGAGGTGGTTGGATCACCTGAGGCTGGGAGTTTGAGACCAGCCTGACCAACATGGAGAAACCCCATCTTTACTAAAAATAAAAAATTAGCCTGGCATGGTATCTCATGCCTGTAATTCCAGCTACTTGGGAGGCTGAGGCAGTAGAATTGCTCAAAGCTGGGAGGTGGAGGTTGTGGTGAGCCGAGATTGCACTATTGCACTCCACCCTAGGCAACAAGAGTGAGACTCCATCTCAAAAAAAAAAAAAGGGAGGGGAGTAGGGGAGAATGAATATTGAGAAGACAACTAGCTATTATTTGACCTGCGAGGTCAGAGAGAATTTTCTTATAAATAAGAATAAAGAGGCCAGGAGTGGTGGCTCACGCCTATAATCCCAGCACTTTGGGAGGACGAGGCAGGTGGATCACGAGGTCAAGAGATCAAGACCATCCTGACCAACATGGTGAAATCCCATCTCTACTAAAAATTAGCTGGGTGTGGTGATGCACGCCTGTAGTAATAGCTGTAGTTCCAGCTACTCAGGAGGCTGAGTCAGGAGAATCGCTTGAACCCAGGAGGTGGAGGTTGCAGTAAGCCAAGATTGCACCACTGCACTCCAGCCTGGTGACAGAGCAAGATTCCACCTCAAAAATAAATAAATAAAAGAATAAGGAAGCTGAGCGCGATGGTTCATGCCTGTAATCCCAGCACTTTGGGAGGCTGAAGTAGGTGGATCACCTGAGTTCAGGAGTTCCAGACATGCCTGTCACCCCAATATGGTGAAACCCCGTCTCTACTAAAAATACAAAAAATTAGACAGGCATGGTGGCACGTGCCTGTAATCCCAGCTACTCAGGAAGCTGAGGCAGGAGAATCACTTGAACCTGGGAGGCAGAGGTTGCAGTGAGCTGAGATCATGCCATTACACTCCAGCCTCGACAACAAGACTAAAACTCTGTCTCAAAAAATATATATAAATAAAAATAAAGGGCCAGGCGCAGTGGCTCACACCTGTAATTCCAGAACTTTGGGAGGCCAAGGTGGGCAGATCACGAGATCAGGAGATCGAGACCATCCTGACCAACATGGTGAAACACCATCTCTGCTAAAAATACAAAAATTAGCCAGGCGTGGTGGTAGGCATCTGTAGTCCCAGCTACTCGGGAGGCTGAGGCAGGAGAATTGCTTGAACCCAGGAGGCAGAGGCTGCAGTGAGCTGAGATCGCGCCACTGCACTCCAGCCTGGACAACAGAGCAAGCCTCAGTCTTAAAATAAAATAAAATAAAATAAAGGCCAGGTGCAGTTGCTTATGCCTGTAATCCCAGCACTTTAGGAGGCCAAGGCAGGAGGCTCTCTTGAGGCCAGTGGTTCTCGACCAGCCTGTGCAACATAGTGAGACCCCCATCTCTATTTTTTTTTTTTTTTGAGACAGAGGCTCGCTCTGTCGCTCAGGCTGGAGTGCAGTGGAGCGATATTGGCTCACTGCTAGCTCTGCCTCCCAGTTTCACACTATTCTCCTGCCTCAGCCTCCTGAGTAGCTGGGACTACAGGCACCCCACAACGCCTGGCTAATTTTTTTGTATTTTTTTAGTAAAGACAGGGTTTCAGTGTGTTAGCAAGATGGTCTCGATCTCCTGACCTCGTGATCTGCCTGCCTCCGCCTCCCAAAGTGCTGGGATTACAGGAGTGAGCCACTGTGGCCGGCCCCCCATCATCTCTATTTTTTTTTATTTTTTTTTTAAAGAAGAAATGCGACCGCTGAGACTGCATCTATCCCGCGAGCACAAAGCCTTGCCCTGGCCACTCTGCCGCCTATACACGCCCGCTGTCAGCTCACCATGGATGATGATATTGAGGTGCTTGTAGTTAACAATGGCTCCGGCATGTGCAAGGTCAACTTCGTGGGCGACAATGCCCCCCGGGCCATCTTCCCCTCCATCGTGGGGCATCTGAAGCACCAGGGCGTTATGGTGGGCATCGGTCAGAAGGACTCCTACGTGGGTGAAGATGCCCAGAGCAAGAGAGGCAACCTGACCCTGAAATACCCCATCGAGCAGAGCATTGTCACCAACTGGGATGACATTGAGAAGATCTGGCACCACACCTTTTTTTTTTTTTTTTTTTTTTTGAGACGGAGTCTCGCTCTGTTGCTCAGGCTGGAGGGCAGTGGCGCAATCTCGGCTCACTGCATGCTCCACCTCCCGGGCTTATGCCATTCTCCTGCCTCAGCCTCCTGAGTAGCTGGGACTACAGGCACCCGCCACCACACCCGACTCATTTTTTGTATTTTTAGTAGAGATGGGGATTCACTGTCTTAGCCAGGATGGTCTCGATCTCCTCACCTAGTGATCCACCCACCTCGGCCTCCCAAAGTGCTGGGATTACAGGCATGAGCCTCTGTGCTCAGCCTGGCACGACACCTTCTACAATGAGCTGCATGTTTCTCCCAAGGAGCACCCGGTGCTGCTGACCGAGGCCCCCTTGAACCCCAAGGCCAGCCATGAGAAGATGACCCAGATCATGTCTGAGACCTTCAACTCCCCATCCATGTATATAGCCATCCAGGCTCTGCTGTCCCTGCACGTGGCCTCCAGCTTCTCCCTGAAGAAGAGATTCCAGCTGCCTGACAGCCAGGTCATCACCATCAGCAACGAGCGGTCCCCGCTGTCCCATGGCACTTTTCCAGCCTTCCTTCCTGGACATGGAATCCTGTGGCATCCATGAAACTACCCTCAACTCCATCATGAAATGTGACATTGACATCTGCAAAGACCTGGATGCCAACCCAGTGCTGTCCAGTGACACCACCATGTACGCTGGTATTGCTGACAGGATGGAGGAGGAGATCACCACCATGGCTCCCAGCATGAAGAAGATCAACATCATTGCTCCTCCTGAGCACAAATATTCTGTATGGATCAGTGGCTCCATCTTGGTCTCGCTGTCCCCCTTCCAGCAGATGTGGATCAGCAAGCAGGAATACGAGGAGTCCGGCCTCAGTATTGTCCACCCTACCACAAATACTTCTAGGCGGACGGTGACTTACATTATAACCTTTCTTGACAAAAACCTAATTTATGCAGAAAATAAGATTGGTTTTTTTTTTTTTTTTTTTTGGCTTAAGATTTAAAACCTGGAATGGTGAAGGTGACAGCAGTTAGTTGGAGCGAAGAATCCCAAACGTTCTACAATGTGGCTGAGGACTTTGATTATACATTGTTCTTTTTTTAAATAGTCATTCCAAATATCGGGAGGTGCATTCTCTTTTTTGTTTTTTTGAGACAGAGTCTCACTCAGTCGCCCAGACTGGAGTGCAGTGGTGCAAATTGGCACAGTGCAACCTCCGCCTCCCAGGTTCAAGCGATTCTTCTGCCTCAGCCTCCCAAGTAGCTGGGATTACAGGTGCACCATCACACCCAGCTAATTTTTGTATTTTTAGTAGAGATGGGGTTTAACCATATTGGCAAGGATGGTCTCGAACTCCTGACCTCATGATCCACCTGCCTCAGCCTCCCGTGCTGGCATTACAGGCGTGAGCCACCTCGCCCGGCTGGGAGGTGCATTCTTACTGGAAGTCCCTTGCCCTCCCAAAAGCCACCCCATTTCTAAGGAGAATGCCCAGTCCTCTCCCAAGTTCACATGGGGTGGTGATAGCATTGCTTTTGTGTAAATTATATAAAATTTTTTAAATCTTTGCCTTTGTATTTTTAATTTTGAATGATCAGCCATCATGTCCCCCCATTTTTGTCCCCCAACTTGAGATGTATAAAGGCTGTTGGTCTCCCTAGGGGTGGGTGGAGGAATGGAGGCAGCCAGGGCTTACCTGTACACTGACTTGACAGCAGTTGAATGAAAGTGCACACCTTAAAAAAAAAAAAAGGAAAGAAAAGAAATTCCATGTAGACCCATGGTATGACCAATTATCAATGACACTAGAGAGGACTATCTAAAAGCATCTATTAATAATCCCTCATGACAGCCAGGTGAGGTGGCAGAGGTTGCAGTGAGCAGAGGTTGCACCCCTGGACTCCAGCCTGAGTGACAGAGGGAGACTCCATCTCAAAGCAAAACCAAAAAATCCCCAAGTTTTGCAGAATCTGGATTTTATGGAAAAAAAAAGAAAAAACAAAAACAAAAAAACTTATCTTGGCAGTTAAACACACGCTCACTGTTAAATGAACATATAATGCAAATGAGAAAGTGTTTACAACTGCAGTCATGAAGAAAGTGCTAATTTATAAAATGTGCATAACAGAACAAGTAATATATTCAGAAACTCTTTCAAAAACAAATTTAATCACATAAAACCACCACAGAAAACTAAGGGGCCACACGTCTTATCTGAGAATAGGACAAACAGAAAGACAATTTCATCTTCATGTCATTTATTTGAATGTATCCCCAAAATGAATTATCTTATTTGCAACAAGAGTGATACAGAAAGGCTTCCAGAGCTGGGCAGGGTGGGTCATGCCTGTAATCCCAGCACTTTGGGAGGCTGAGGTGGGTGGATCACCTGAGGTTGGGAGTTCGAGACCAGCCTGACCAACATGGAGAAACCCCGCCTCTACTAAAAATACAAAAAAATTAGCCGGGCGTGGTGGCGCATGCCTGTAATCCTACTCAGGAGGCTGAGGCAGGAGAATCGCTTGAACCTGGGAGGTGGAGGTTGCGGTGAGCCAAGATCCCACCATTGCACTCCAAGGCTGGATGCCTGGAGAAACCCAGTGGACACATTCAGCTTTCAGCTTATTCCAATCATGACTGAAGAGGCCCAGCCAGAAAATAAGGGTCCCCTTGAGCCAGCAGCTTAGCTTCAGGTGGAGAAATGCATGATAAAATTATGATAAAGTTTTTCCAAAAGATGTAGCTGCCAATAGGTAAAGCCACAAGGCTGCTAATGTCAGGCTGCTGCACTCATTCCGTTTCCATTTCTATGTGACCAGCGAAGCTTACTGGGACATTCCCTTGCTGGTCACTGAATTCTTTGGAGATGTCAAGCATTCAGTTTCAGAAAGAGATTAGTACTACGTCCCTATCTGATCTTTTTTTTTTTTTTAAGAGGCAGAGTCTTGCTATGTTGCCCCAGGCTGGTTGTGAACTCCTGGGTTCAGGTGATCCTCCTGTCTTGGCCTCCCAAAGTGCGGAGATTACAGGCATGAGCCACTAGGCCCAGCCCCTACCTCACCTTCTTCTTTTTTTTTTTTTTTTTTTTTGAGATGGAGCTTCGCTCGTCGCCCAGGCTGGAGTGCAGTGGCGCAATCTTGGCTCACTGCAACCTCCACCTCCTGGGTTTAAACAACTTTCCTGCCTCAGTGTCCTGAGTAGCTGGGATTACACATCCCCACCATCATGCCTGGCTAATTTTTCTATTTTTAGTAGAGATGGGGTTTTGCCATGTTGGCCAGGCTGGTCTTCAATTCCTGTCTTGGCCTCCCAAGTAGCTGGGATTACTGGCATGCACCACAACACCTGGCTAATTTTGTATTTTTAGTAGAGATGGGGTTTCACCATATTGACCAGGCTGGACTTGAGCTCCTGACCTCCAGTGATCCACCCGCCTTGGCCTCCCAAAGTGCTGGGATTAGAGGTGTGAGCCACCATGCCAGGCCCCCTACCTGACCTTTTAAAGAAGGGACATGCTTGGTGGCTCCGTCAGGCAGATATTATGGCGTGTGAAATATCTAAGGGTTGTATCCCACTTTTCCCCTTCCCATGGCTTCACAGCAATTTACAATGCACAAAAGAAGCCTTATGAATGAACAAAGGTGATTCCACTTGATTTACAAGCAGGTTTCTCTCCACTGAGTTTCTACACCTTCTATAAGGTATGAAGTTTTTAAAAGCCCTGCCACGTTCCTTTTGTTTCTCTTATTTTTCAGTCAACTTTTTCTTGAGACAGGGTCTCATTCTGTTACCCAGGCTGGAGTGCACTGGCACAATCTCGGCTCACTGCAACCTCCACCTCTTGGGCTCAAGTGATCTTCCCACCTCAGCCTCCTCAGTAGCTGGGACTACAGACGCACACTACCATGACCAGCTAATTTTTGTACTTTTGTAGAGATGAGGTTTCACCATGTTGCCCAGGCTGGTCTCGAACTCCTGGGCTCAAGTGATCTGCCCGCTTCAGCCTTCCAGAGTGCTGGGATTACAGGTGTGAGCCACTATGCCCGGCCCACATTCCTTATGATGGGGCTTCAATCCACTCTAAGCTCTTCCATTTTGTGCAAGATCACGTTCTTTGATTTCATACTACAAGAAACCTCTTCTTTGTATTCTTTTTTCTCATGTGAGTTTTATAAGTTCTTTCACCAGATGAGTTCGGATGCTCTAAGGGATAATAAAATGGTTTTTCACATGCCTTAGATTCACTGAAATGGTCTCCTGTGTGATTTCTTACATTTAGCAGACCAAAGATTGAAAAGAGGCCAGGTGTGGTGGCTCATGCCTGTAATCCCAGCACTTTGGGAAGCCAAGGTGGGCAGATCACTTCAGACCATGAGTTCGAGACCACCCTGACCAACATGATGAAACCCCAGCTCTACTAAAAATACAAAAATTAGCTGAGCATGGTGGTACGTGCCTGTAATCCTAGCTACTCCAGAGGCTGAGAGAGGAGAAATGCTTGAACCCAGGAGGCAGAGGTTGCAGTGAGCCAAGATCATGCCATTGTACTCAAGCCTGGGCAACAGAGGGAGACTGTGTCTCACACACACACACACACACACACACACACACACACACACACTACACAGACAGAAAACATTTCATTCCTTACATTCATAAGGTTTCTTTCCATTGTAACTCTGAACATGAATATTAAAGACTATGGAATATCTAAAGGTTTTCTCACATTCTTTACTGTATTATTTTGATAGAGTTGACCAAAAAAAGGAACCCCACACATTGAATGGCTTAAACAACAGAAATTTATTTGCTCATAATTTTTGAGGCTGGAAGTCCAGGATCAAAGTGTAGATAAGGATGATTTCCTCTATAATGAGCCTTAAAAGAAGGATCTCCTCCAGGAATCTCTCTTTGCCTTGAAGGTAACCATTTCCGGTCACTTCACATAAAATTCTGTGCCTGCTACCCTGGTATCTCTTTCACTTCTTATAAGGAAACCAGTCATATTGAATGAGGGCCCCATTCTAACTGCCTCATTTTAAAATCACCTCTTTAAAAAACCACATCTCTAAATACCACCATTATCTTGAGGTCCCAGGGATGAAAGCCTTAATGTTAATGAGTGGATGGGACATGTGACATAATCTAAATCAGTGGTCCCCTAACTTTTTGGCACCAGGGACCAGTTTCGTGGAAGACATTTTTCCCACGGACTGGAGTTGGGGATTAAACTGTTCCAGTTCAGATCATCAGGCATTAGATTCTCATAAGGAGTGTGCAACCTAGATCCCTTGCATGTGCAGTTCACAATAAAGTTCATGCTCCTATGAGAATCTAATGCCACTGCTGATCTGACAGAAAGTTGAGCTCAGGCAGTAATGTTTGCTCATCCTACATTCACCTCCTGCTGTGCACCCTGGATCCTAGCAGGCCACAGACCAGTACCAGTCCATGGCCCAGGGGTTTGGGGATCCCTGACCTAGGCCATTCCACTTATTATAGTCATCAAGTTATTCTCCAGCATACATTGCATATGAATATTAAAGCTTGTGGAACATAAAAGGGTTTTCCCACAATCCTTGAATTCATAGTTTCTCTCCAGTTTGTGTTCTAAAATGTTTATCAAGGACTAAGTGGCAGGCAAGGGCTTTCCCACATTCCTTACATCAATATGGCTTCTCTCCACTGGGAATCCTGACATACACTTTAAGGCTTGAGAAATAAGTGAAGATTTTCCCACATTCCGTATAAACATAGGTTTTCTCCTAGTGGGAGTTTTGTGGTATCAGTCCTATGGATTAAATGAAGCCTTTCCCATATTTTCCATTTACATAGGGTTTCCTGCCACTGTGAATTCTTACAAGTTCATTATGACCTGAGATAATAAAGAAGTGGTTCCAGATTCCCAACTCTCACAGCATTTTTCTACAATGTGACTGTTCACATCTTTCATGTAAATGGGAACAACAGAGAGCTTTACCACAATTCTAACATTGATAAGATTTCTCTCCAGTGTGAGTTCTTTAATGACATGGAAAGGGACTGTAAGAATTGAAGAACTGGCTGGGCGTGATGGCTCATGCCTGTAATCTCAGCACTTTGGGAGGTCAAACCAGGCAGATCACTGGAGGTCAGGAGTTCGAGACCAGCCTGATCAACATGGAGAATCCCTGCCTTCACTAAAAATACAAAATTAGCTGGGCATGGTGGTACATGCCTGTAATCCCAGCTACTTGGGAGGCTGAGGCAGAATAATCACTTGAACCTGGGTGATAGAGGTTGTAGTGAGCCAAGATTGAGCCATTGCACTCCAGCCTGGGCAACAAGAGCAAAACTCTGCCTCAAAAAAAAAAAAAAAAAAAAAAAAAAATTCAAGAATTTATCATACTACTTATATTCACAGGGTTTCTTTACCATGTGAGTTCATATACTTGAAATGAATTTAAATAACTAGGTTTTTCAACATTGCTTTACATTTTCAGGGTTTTTCTTCAGTGAGTTTGTATGTGGATATTAAAAAGGAAGGATTGGCTGGGCGCGGTGGCTCACGCCTGTAATCCCAGCACTTTGGGAGGCCGAGGCGGGCGGATCACGAGGTCAGGAGATCGAGACCATCCTGGCTAACACAGTGAAACCCCGTCTCTACTAAAAATACAAAAAATTAGCCGGGCGTGGTAGCGGGCGCCTGTAGTCCCAGCTACTCGGGAGGCTGAGGCAGGAGAATGGCGTGAACCCGGGAGGCGGAGCTTGCAGTGAGCCGAGATCGCACCACTGCACTCCAGCCTGGGCGACAGAGCGAGACTCCGTCTCAAAAAAAATAAAAATAAAAATAAAAATAAAAATAAAAATAAAAAGGAAGGATTATATAAATCCTTTTCAACATTTCTTATGCTGAAAGGGCATCTCTCCAGAGTAAATTTTCACACATTCAATAAGGTTTGAGTAACTAGTGATGGCTTCTCTATATTCCTTACATTCATAGGGCTCTGTCCACCATGAGTTCATGTTTAAGAAAGGCTGAGCATTGATGATGGGTTTTTGTTGTTGTTGTTGTTGTTGTTGTTTTGAGACAGAGTCTCACTCTGTCACCCAGGCTGGAGTGCAGTGGCGTGATCTCGGCTCACTGCAAGCTCCACCTCCTGGGTTCACACCATTCTCCTGCCTCAGCCTCCCAAGTAGCTGGGACTACAGGTGCCCGCCACCACACCCAGCTAATTTTTTTGTATTTTTAGTAGAGACGGGGTTTCACCATGTTGGCCAGGATGGTCTCGATCTCCTGACCTCATGATCCACCCACCTCTGCCTCCCAAAGTGCTGGGATTACAGGGTTGAGCCACTGCGCCTAGCCTTTTATTTATTTATTTATTTTTTTGAGACAGTGTCTCACTGTTTCCCAGGCTGGAGTGCAGTATCACAATCTCGGCTCACTGTGACCTCCACCTCCTGGATTCAAGCAATTCAGGCTGGTCATGAACTCCCAACCTCAGGTGATCCACCTGCCTTGGCCTCCCAAAGTGCTGGTATTACAGGCATAAGCCACCACACCTGGAGTTTTAGTCAGAGCTTCAGTGACCTGGAGGAAGGGAAATATCCAACTCCAGCCAACTCTATACATCCTGACCCAACTAAAGGGTGGGAAAAACTGAAGTTCACAGTGCAGAAGCACAGACTCACTGCAAGACTGACATCTAATCCCTGGACAATAGAATGCTGCCCCTCTCCCCACAGCTTATCATGATTACTAGAGGCCTGCTTACAGCATTTCCTCTTATCCAGTATGCCATGTCCAGCTAAGGAAAAATTACAAGCATACTAAAAGGCAAAAGTTAGTTTAAAGAGAAAGAGTAAGAACCAGAACCAGATATAGCAGGATTGCTGAAATTATCAGACTGGGAATTTAAAACAATTATGATTGATATGCCATGGGTTCTACTGGATAAAGCAGACAGCATCCAAGAACAGACAGGCAGTGTAAACACAGAGATGGAAATTCTAAGAACCACAAAGAAATGCTAGAAATTGAAGACAGTGTAACAGAAATGAAGAATGTCTTTGGTAGGCTTATTATTGGCCAAGAAACAGCCAACTAAAGAGCTTGAGAATATATCAGCAGAAACATCCACACCTGAAAAGCAAAGAGAAGAATAAAAAAACAAGATATAAGAACTGTGGGATAACTACAAAAGATGTATCCTACATATAAAGGAAATACCAGATGGAAAGAAAAAAAAAGGGAAACAATGACAGAATTTCTCAAAATTAACTCAGACACCAAAACGCAAATCCAGGAGGCTAAGCAAACACCAAGAAGGACGAGCACCAAAAACCTATACCTAGGCATATCATTTAAAAATAACAGAATATCAAAGATAACAAAAAATTTTCATAGAAGCCAGAGGGGGGGAAATGCTTTAAGTATTGAGGATCAAGTATAAGAATTACATCCAACTTTGAGCATAGAAGGAAGAAGTGAAGGTAAAATAAAAATGTTTATTTTTCTAATACTTAATTGATCTGATAACTTCTGAAAAATAGCTACAATGTATTAGATTACATATGCTAATTTGTGTGTGTTTATAGGCATAAAAGTGAAATATAGTAATGATGGAAGGTCTGAGAGGGAGGATTTAGGATTATTTTGATAGTATAAGGTACTAACACTACTCAAGAAACGGTACAGTATTATCAGAATTCATGTACTTATTATGGCATGTGAAATATTTAAAGGTTATACCATATTCCTTACCTTCCCAGGGTTCTGAGGTAATTTTACATGTGTAAAAAAAATTCTGTGGAATTAATGTAAGGCTTCCTACATGCATTACAGGTAAAAGGCTTCTCTCCAGTTCGACTTCTTACACCTTCTAGAAGGTAGAAAACATTAATGTAAGCTTTTCCACAATCCTAATGGGATTTCAGTCCACTCCAAGTTCCAGTATGGTGTATGGGGTCACATTCCTTGCGTTCACAGTAAAAGAAACTTTCTTTCCTTTTTTCTCCTCTATTTTCACATGGTCTACGACCAGACAACTTGCATGTGAATATTAAAATATAGTGAACATTCACAGGCTTTTTCATGCTCCTTACATTCATACAATTTCTCTCCTATGTGATTTCTCCTGTATGTAGAAAGGACTGAAGACTCAATGAAGGCTCTCCCACGTCTTACATTCATATAGTTTCTCTCCAGTGTGGCTTTGCATGTGAATATTAAGGCTTTTGGACAATCTATAAACGTTTTTGCTTATTGCTTACTGTATTCACTTGCTAGAGCCACCACAACAAAATACCACAGACTGGGTGGCTCAAACAAGAGAATTTTATTTGTTCAAAGTTCTGGAAGCCCAAGATGAAGGTGCCAGCAGGGTTGGTGGCTTTGATAGAAGGATCTGTCCCAGTGCTCTGTCTTTGGCTTGCAGATGGCCATCATCTGATGACTTCACATCATCTTCTATTTGTTGTCTCAGTTGTGTCTTTCTCTTCTTATAGGGACACCAATCATATTGGATTAGGGATGTACTCTAACAGACTCAATTTAATCAAATAATTTTCTTTTTTTTTTTTTTTTGAGATGGAGTCTCACTCCATCGCCCAGGCTGGAGTGCAGTGGCATGATCTCTGCTCACTGCAACCTCTGCTTCCTGGGTTCAAGTGATTCACTTGCCTCAGCCTCCCAAGTAGCTGGGATTACAGGTGCCCACCACACCTGGCTAAATTTTTTGTATTTTCAGTAGAGACAAGGTTTCACCATGTTGGCCAGGGTGGTCTCAAACTCCTGACCTCAAGTGATCCACCCACCTCAGCCTCTCAAAATGCTGGGATTACAGGAATTAAGTAATTTTCATGCAGCTTCTTCTCTCCAGAGTGAGTTCATTCATGTCTTTAAAGTGAACTGGAACAAATGAGAGCTTTCCCACATTTATTACATGGACAGTTTCTCACTAGTGAATTTGTTCATGTCTTCGAAGTGAACGGGGATGACTGTAAGCTTTCCCGCATTGCTGACATTTATAGGGTTTCTCTTCTGTGTGAGTTTTTTCATGAATTCTAAAGGAACTGGAACACGTGAAGGCTTTCCCACACTCCTTGCATTCATAGGGTTTCTCTCCAGTGTGAGTCCTTTCATGTATTTGAAATGAACTGGAATGACTGAAGGCCTTTCCACATTGTTTACACTCATAGGGTTTTTCTCCAGTGTGGATTCGCATGTGAATTTTAAGGTGGGTGGAATAGTTAAAAGCCTTCCCACATTCCTTACAGGTGTATGGTTTCTGGGCACTGTGCGTTCGCATGTGATTATTAAGACATGAGGGATACCCAAATACTTTCCCACATATCTTACACTCACAGGCCTTCTCTTCAGTGTGAGTTCTCAAATGTCCACTAAGATTTGAGGAAACTGCAAAGGCTTTCCCACATTCAACACATACAAAAGGCTTCTCTCCAGTGTGAGTTCTTATATGTTGAATAAGGCGTGAGGATGTAAGGAAGGATTTCCCACATTCCTTACATTCATAGGGCTTGTCTCCACTGTGAGATCGTACATGCATACTAAGGCCCGAGTACTGAGTGAAGGCTTTCCCACATTCCTTACATACATAGGGTTTCTCTCCAGTGTGAGTTCTTCCATGTATCTGAAATGAGTTGGAATAATTGAAGGCTTTCCCACATTCCTTACATTCATATGGTTTCTCCCCAGTGTGGGTTCGCATGTGAATACTGAGGTAGGCTGGGTATCTATAGCCTTTTCCACATTCCTTACATTTGTAGGGCTTTTTTGCATTGAGGGTTTCTATAAGCACAGAAAGGCTTGTAGAGTCAATAAAACCTGGCCCATAATTCCTCCATTCGTAGAGTTTTTCTCCATTGTGAGTTCTCATATGTGCCTGAAGGTATGACTCATTAATGAAGGATTTTCCACAGTGACTACATTCAAATGACTTTTCTTGTGTGCTAGTTCTCTGGTATACAATATTTGGTGTCAGGCTGAAGATTTTTTCACTCTGATTAAACTCAGAAAGTTTCTCACCAGTAGAGGTTTTCTCACACAGGGTAAGGAAATCTTTTCCATACTGATTACAGTCATGAGTGTTCCCTGTACTTTGAGTTCTCACGTGCGTCTTAAGGCATGAGTGTTCACTGAAGACTTCTCCACATTGCTCACAGTCACAGAGTTCCCTTCCATTGTGTTTTCCTTCCTGTTGAAGGGATGATGATGATTTAAGGATTTTTCTCAAACATATTAACAGAACATACCCATCTGAAGCTAGAAACATTATAATGGTGATTATAATTGATGCCATTTTTATTACATGCATTCAGGTCCTTCCCTGTAGATTTATTTTAAGTGGTATGACTTAACTCTTATTCTAGAATGTTGTGCCATCTACTTTAATCTTGGCTAGGCATGGTGTCTCATGCCTGTAATCCCAGCACTTTGGGAGTCCGATGGGGGGCAGATCACCTGAGGTCAGGAGTTCAAGACCAGCATGGCCAACATGGTGAAACCCTGTCTCTACTAAAAATACAAAAATTAGCTGGGCTTGGTGGCACATGCCTGTAATCCCAGCTACTTGGGAGGCTGAGACACAAGAATCGCTTGAACCTGGGAGGCGGAGGTTGCAGTGACCCAAGATCACACCACTGCACTCTAGCCTGGGCAACAAAGCGAGACTCCGTCTCAAAATAATAATAATAATAATAATAACAGATTTCTGTAGAATTCAATGTCTAGATGGGTGCAGTAGCTCACATTTGTAATCCCAGCATTTTGGGAGGCAAAGGTGGGTGGATCATTTGAACCCAGGAATTAGAGACCAGCCTGGGCAACATGGCAAAACTCCATCTCTATAAAAAATATCAAAAAATTAGCTGGGCATGGTGGTGTGTTCCTGTAGTCCCAACCACATAGGAGGCTGAGGTGGGAGGATCACTTGAGCCAAGGGGTCAAGGCTTCAGTGAGCCATGTTTGTGCCACTGCAATCCAGCCTGGGTGACACAGCAAGACCTTGTCTCGACCAAAAAAAAAAAATTCATAGTCTAAGCCAGATGTGGTGGCTCATGCCTGTACTCCCAGCACTTTTGTAAACTGAGGCAGAGGATCACTTGAGCACAGGAGTTTGAGACTAGCCTGGGAAACACAGTAAGACCCTGTCTCCACAAAATTTTGAAGAATTAGCTGGGTGTGGTGGTGCATGCCTGTAGTCCCAGCTACCAAGGGAGGCTGAGGTGGGAGGATCGCCTGAGCCCAGGAGGTCAAGACTATACTGAGCCATGATTGCACCACTGCACTCCAGCCTGGGTGACAGAGCAGTATCTCGTTTCAAAAAAACACCAAAACAAAACTCAACGTCTAGTTACACTTGTGGGAATGTGTGAAAGCTCCAAAGAAACAAGTTTCACAATTGGAGCATCCCTAAATTCTTTGCTCCCTCTCATGTGTATGCAACTTCTCTCAAATATCTCTTATTTTTGCTGACTTCCCATAACAGAATTCCTGATTTTCTCTGAGGGTGGAAAATAAAAAATATCCTATGCAAATCTTACCAATTGTATCCCAATGGATGTCTGACCCCTCAAAAAGTCCTGCTGAAGTATAGACCACTGGGTTTCAAGTCGCATTTCCCATCCTGAAATAAAACAGACAAACAAATAAAAGGACTCAAGCTAGGCACAGTGGCTCATGCCTGTAATCCCAGCACTTTGGGAGGCTAAGGCAGGTGGATCACTTGAGGTCAGGAGTTTGAGACCAGCCTGGCCAACATGGCAAAACCCCACCTCTACTAAAAATTCAAAAGCTAGCTGGGTGTGGTGGTGAGCACCTGCAATCCCAGCTACTCACGGGGCTCAGGCTGGAGAATCTCTTGAATCCAGGAGGCAGAGGTTGTAAGGAGCTCAGATCACACCACTGCACTCCAGCCTTGGCAACAAACAGAGTGAACCACAACAAGAACAAATGAAAGGATTTGGAGAAAGAAATGCAAAGAGTTCAAAACAATATGGCTTATTTCTATTTGTTTCAAATTAAACATGGCAAGAAAAAGCAGAAAGACATTTGGGGATTTGGGCTATATCAAAAATTTGGTTTTGATGTAAATGATCCAAAGGGGGAAAAATTGGCCAAGACAAGGACATGGGGTAAAACTTTTCGATCGTTTATTACAAATTGATGCTATGAAAATTAAAACTGATAGTGAATAGAGAGAATCAGGGAATGAAAGTAGGAAATTTCTGAAAAAAGAGCGTATATCTAAACAATTAACTTGGCCGGGCACGGTGGCTCATGCCTTTAATCCCAGCACTTTGGGAGGCCGAGGCAGGCAGATCACGAGGTCAGGATATTGAGATTATCCTGGCTAACACGGTGAAACCCCGTCTCTACTAAAGATATAAAAAAATTAGCCAGGCATGGTGGCAGGCACCTGTAGTCCCAGCTACTTGGGAGGCTGAGGCAGGAGAACGGCATAAACCCGGGAGGTGGAGCTTGCAGTGAGCTGAGATTGCACCATTGCACTCCAGCCTGGGCGACAGAGCAAGACTCCATCTCAAAAAACAAAACAAACAAACAAAAGCCACAATTAACTTAAAGAAATGTTCTAAGACCCCAGGTGGATGCCTGAATCATGGCTAGTTCTGAACCCTGTACATACTATGATTCTTCGATCTGGTAACTGAGATGACCGCTACGTGACTCACAGGTGGTGTACACAGTGTAGATACATTGGACAAAAGGATGATTCACACCCCAGGCAGGATGACATAAGGGTTCATCATACTACTGAGAATGGTGAGAAATTTAAAACTTATGTTTTGTTTATTTCTGGAAATTTTTCTTTTTTTCTTTTTTTTTTTTTTTTTTTTGTGGGGTGGGGGTCAGTGGCCAGGGTCTCACTCTATCACCCAGGCTGGAGTACAGTGGTGCAATCACATCTCACCACAGCCTTGACCTCCTAGTCTCAATCCATCCTCACAGCTCAGTCTCCTGAGTTACTGGGACAGCAGGTGCGTCCCACCACCCTCGGCTAATTTTTGTATTTTTTGTAGAAACAAGGTTCTCGGTATGTTGCCCAGGCTGGTCTTGAACTCCTGGGCTCAATGATTCACCCACCTAGGCCTCCCAATGTGTGGGGATTACAGGTGTGGGCCACCATGCCTGGCCGAGTTTCCCATTTAATATTTTTGGACCATGGTTGAATGCAGATAACTGAAACCGTGAAAAGTGAAATCACAGACAAGGGGGGACTGCTCTGTAAATAAAAGCGTGTGGGAAGTTAAATATTTCCTAACTTTCTCTAAACCTTGGGGTTTAGAGTGCAGGGAGAAAGTACATGTTAAAAAGTTTCCTAATTATGCTTTCAAACATACTGAACTTCTCATCAACCAGAGTTGTTCTTCATGAACACTCACCTTGGAGAACTCCTCCCTGAACTGTCCTTGACTCTTCTTGTTCCAACCAAGAGATTAGACTGGGTTTGATGATCTGACCTCCTGAGCACAGAGAAATACATTAATGGAAGAGGCTCATAAAAAAGATTACAAACCTTTCTGTGATTCAGGAACTACAGATCTAATGAAAGTGGTGAAGCTATTTCAAAAGGGCGAAAAATGCAAATAACAACTCTGACTGTGCCCCAAACAGTCTGGTTACTTCTGTCCCCTAAACCGAAATTCAGGCTTATGTACACATTTAAAAAGCACTGAGACTTTTATTCAAACACAAAATAATGGCCGAGTGTGGTGGCTCATGCCTGTAATCCCAGCACTTTGGGAGGCTGAGGCAGGTGGATCACTTGAGGTCAGGAGTTCGAGACCAGCCTGGCCAACATGGTGAAACCCCATCTCTTCTAAAAATACAAAAAAAAAAAAAAAATAGCTGGGTGTGGTGGCGCATGCCAGTAATCCCAGCTATTCGGGAGGCTGAGGCCCAAGAATCGCTTGAACCCAGGAGGCAGAGATTGCAGTGAGCTGAGATCATGCCAGTGCACTCCAGCCTGCGTGACAGAGTGAAACTGTCTCAAAACAAGAACAACAACAAATAAGGAATAAGGAAGTATAACAGAGATCTTCATTCTTCTGGGGAAACAACTACCCCAGTGTTTTTTAAAACATTATTGTGCATCAGAGTCATCCAGAGAACTTGTTCAAACACAGATTATTGGGCTTCAACTCCAGGTTTCTGGGTGGAGAAGGAAAATGTACATTTCTAACAGGCAGATGGTGTTGCTATTAATCTTGGACCACATTTTCAGAATGGTCACAGTAGATTAAAATCTATTTAGGACAGGGACTATGTCTCTGTTATTTCTCTTTGCATTCAGAGTTGACATTGCCAATGCTGCAAAACAGTAAGTACAAAACATATCAGTTCCATAGAAGGCTGCAAGGGATGAGGCCAGTCTTACCTACTGTGGCCAGGTTCTTGTAGTTCTCCAGCATCACGTCACTGTAGAGGCTTCTCTGAGTTGAGTCCAGTAAAGTCCACTCCTCCTGGGTGAAGTCCACAGCCACATCGTCAAAGGTCACTGAATCCTAAAGCATCACACACATGCTGGTTGGAGCCAAGTAACAAGCCCATCAGCGTTCGCTGGAGGATGAGGAAGGGGGACCCAATGCCTATGCAGGATTCCAAGGGCTGCAGTGACCAGCCCCAGGTTTTAAGGGTCCTAGAAACTCCTCGCACCCTAAACATACTCACTGTCATCTCCTCCACTCATAGTGCATTAATGGCACTTCTTGAATATGAATTTATCTCAGCACAACCAGACTAGGAGATCTCTTTTTTTTTTGAAATGGACTCTTACTCTGTTGCCCAGGCTGGAGTGCACTGGTGCAATCTTGGCTCACTGCAACCTCCACCTCCCAGGTTCAAGCAACTCTCCTGCTTCAGCCTCCTGAGTAGCTGAAATTACAGGCACACGCCACCATGCCCGGCTAATTTTTTGTATTTTTAGTAGAGATAGGGTTTCAGCATACTGGCTAGGTTGGTCTCGAACTCCTGACCTCATGATCCGCCCCCTTCAGCCTCCCAAAGTGCTGGGATTACAGGCATGAGCCACTGTGCCCGCCCAAGATCTCATCTTATTTCCATCTATTTGAGCGCATTGCTCAGCACATTCCAGACATCTGATCAATGCTGATAAACAACTTAAAGGACACTTTTTTTTTTAATTTTTTTGAGACGGAGTCTTGCTGTGTTGCCCAGGCTAGAGTGCAGTGGTGCAATCACAGCTCACTGCAGCCTCAACCTCCAGGGCTGAAGTGATCCTCCCACTTCAGCCTCCAAAGTAGCTGGGAGTCCAGTCATGTACCACTTTGCCCAGCTAATTTTTAAATTTTTTGTAGAGACGGGGTCTCACTATGTTGCTCAGGCTGATCTTGAACTCCTGTACTCAAGCAATCTGCCTGCCTCAGCCTCCTAAAGTGCTGGGATTATGGGTGTAAGCCACCATGCCCGGCCTGGGATGATTTCCAAGTTAGCACCTCCCTATATGGGTGGCCCCAACCCTTGGGGAAATTCAAATGGGGATTCAGTCCTTGAGTGACACTTTATTTGCTTTAAGAAGCCTGGAGACCGGAGCTTGCAGTGAGCCGAGAGCATAGCACTGCACTCCAGCCTGGCAACACAGCGAGACTCCCTCTCAAAAAAAAAAAAAAAAAAAGAAGTCTGGAGACAACTCTGCCTAGAGGGAAATGTGTCTACCTGGTGGATGCAAGTATGTCACTATGTATAAGAATACAGCTGCTTTTTACCTGATAACAATCTGTTAGGCAGTCAGCCACTATTCTTCCTGCTGGTGTCTTTTCTTCATGAAGGCAAACTGGGTCCCCAGAAAGATAATGTCCTGTAAGAAAATGAAGGCAAGAGAACCCCGAGCTGACCATAATCCCCACATCCACCTACCTAGAGGTCATTACCTCCTAGTATGAAATTCCCATATATTCCTGCAAAATCAGGAAAACACACATAAGGCCAGTTGCAGTGGCTCACATCTGTAATCCTAGTGCTCTGGGAGGTTGAGGTGGAAGGATTACTTTAGGCGAGAAGTTTGAGATCAGCCTGGGCAACACGGTGAGACCCCGTCTCTACAAAAAAATTTTAAAATGAGCCTGGTGTGGTAACACACACCTGTAGTCCCATCTCCTTGGGGAAGCTGAGGCAAGAAGATTGCTTAAGCCTAGGAGTTCGAGACTACCCTGGACAACACAGTGAACATAAACTCCCCATCTCTACAAAAAAATTTTTTTAATCAGCCAGGCATGGTGGCATGTGCCTGCAGTCCCAGGTACTTGGGAGGCAGAGGTGGGAGGATTGCTTGAGCCCAACAGTTTGAGGCTGCAGTGAGCTATGAATGCACCACTGCACTCCAGCCTGGACAAAAGAGCGAGACTTTGTATAAGAAAAAAAAAAAAAAGAAAAGAAAGAAAATGCAAACATACAACCTACTACCATACAATGCCAGAGCAGTCCTAAACGTGATGATGAGCTGTGCTGCCCATCAGGAAAAGTACAATAGTCTCATTTCACACATAAGGAAACATATACCCAGAGCATGGGACTCTATCATGCTGATTAGAATTCATGAAGGAGATTATGCAGTACCTCTTTCCAAAATTCACAGGCAGAGCCTGACTCACAAGACAGCACGTTCTGGCACCCCTCAGCACCTCCCAAATGAATCAGCAACATGACCAGCTGCCCAAACCACTAGACCCTATATTGTGTAAAGGGAACCTAGAACAGGATATCCTAAAAAGAGCAACAGAGCTTACCATGGGACAAATCAGCAGCTGCCATCCCGCGAGGTGAGAACGTGTCAGAACCCTCCTTTCATTGATGTCACCATCACTTCAGGACACCTCATTAATCTAAATGGACAGTGGCAATCTCCATTCCTCTTTAAACAGGGTTATTGGGATTCCTGTTGGTATTAATCAATAATCAACAAGCAGTACTTAATCATCAGCCATCAAACATATACACCGGCTGGGGCAGTAGCTCATGCCTGTAATCCCAGCATTTTGGGAGGCCAGGGTGGGAGGACTGCTTCAGCCTAGAAGTTTGAGACCAGCCTGGGCAACATAGCAAGACCCTATCTCTAAAGAAACAAAAATAAAAATAAGTAAACAAACAAAAAAAAATGAAGTGGTAAACCAGAACCTGAATGCAAGTACAAGTTTTGCACACACACATAGAAAAAATAATCTCACAATACACTTTTAAGTATTGGGTAGCCTCAACTGGGCCTTGATTGGAAACACTCAAATCAAATCTGCATCCCCAGCTCACACTGTCAGAGAGGCAAGGCCAAACCACTCTGTGCCTAACACTGGTCTGTTTTATGGGTCTTCAAAGAGAACTACCTTTTCATAGTATTTATCTGGTTAATTTTTTTCCACCAAAGTTTGGTTTTATTTGGCTGGGCAGGGTGGCTCACGCCTGTAATCCCAGCACTTTGGGAGCCTGAGGCCAGAAGATCATGAGGTCAGGAGTTCAAGACCGGCCTAACCAACACGGTGAAACTCCATCTCTACTAAAAATACAAAAATTAGCCGGGCGTGGTGTGCGGCTGTAATCCCAGCTACTCAGGAGGCTGAGGCAGGAGAATCGCTTGATCCTGGGAAATGGAAGTTGCAGGGAGCTGAGATCACACCACTGCACTCCAGCCTAGGTGACAGAGCAAGACTCTGTCTCAAAAAAAAAATAATAATAATAATAATGACAATCATTAATTAATCAAACATGAAACAGTGGCTCAAACAATCACCTACAGAATGGGAGTCAAATGATGATAAACAGTGAAAGTTCCGCAGTTCATTATCCATGAACCAAATTCACAAAAACTCTATAGGCCTCCTTCTACCAATAAGACTAAAACCCTAAAGTCACAAAAACCACAGTTCTGGACTCCTGGTATAGATCACACCTACTCCCAGGGGTCTCAAACTAGGGGTCCTAGGGCTGACTAGGCCCACAAATATTCAGTTTGGTGGCATCTGTATAGAATATTTAACTCTTTTTTTTTTTTTTTTTTTGGAGAGATGGAGTCTTGCTATGTTGCCCAGGCTGGTCTTAAACTCCTGGGCTCAAGAGATCTTCCTGCCTCAGCCTCTCAAAGTGCTGGGATCACAGGTGTGAGCCACTGTACCCAGCCAGCTTTTTTTTTTTTTCATTGATATACAATCAATGTAGCTTAAAATGCACACATCCTTCGTTTCTCTTTTTTTTCTTTTGAGACGGAGGCTCACTCTGTCTCCCAGGCTGGAGTGCAGTGGCACGATCTCAGCTCACTGCAACGTCCGCCTCCTGGGTTCAAGTGATTCTCCTGCCTTAGTCTCCCAAATAGCTGAGATTCCAAGACCCCACCACCACGCTCGGCTAATTTTTTTTCTATTTTTAGTAGAGACGGGGTTTCACCATCTTAGCCAGGCTGGTTTCAAACTCCTTAATCCAACCATCCTGTTCATTGTAAATTTGATTATTGTGATACTAGAATAATAAAGCCTTCATCCTTTCCCTCTGGAGGTCTGATTAAGAAGCTCTCTTGGGATGTACAGGCCTAGGAACTCCATTCGAAGATAATGAATTATTATTCTTAGTATTCTTTAGCAGAAAGACTTGCGGTCTACAAACGTTTATATTCACATACACAAATACGCACACCCTATAAACCTAAAAAGCATCTTTATCTTTCGCCATGAAAGTAATGGTCAAAAATAAAACACAACACAATAAGACGAAACCAAACTTACAGATGAAACATTCGTTTGCATAAGAGAAGACAGAAAAGGCCCCCTAGAACCAACTTTCACCCAGTGCTCACCGGAACACTCAGAAATCGCCAGGTCCCTGAACCGGGAAGATCCTGGGGACGGAGCCAACGCGGATGCAAAAGGCAGCAATTATTTTCCTGCCGGAAAAAAATTCACAAACGCTGCTTTGGAGGCCTTTGGAGAGGGGCGCACAGATGAAAACACCCTGCGGACACCGTAACTATAAACCCGACTCCTCCCGAGGAGCGACGGTCCGAGCGGACGCTAGCGGGCCCAGCAGACACGAGCAGAGCGGGCCAGGCCTCTCTAACGTCCGGGCCAAACCCGTCCTTCACCCCAAAACCAGTTCATCTCCTCGGAACTCACCCAGGCCAGTGAGGCCTTAACTCTGAAAGGCAAAAAGACTCTCAGGCGCTCACAGCCGGCGTCACAAAAGGAACGGCGCACCGCTGACGTCATTTACGCTCTCCGCCTCGGGCCAGGCGGGGTTTCGGGACTAGGGTTTCTGCCGTGTAATACCTCCTCGAGGCAGAAAAATTCTACTTTCCATCTGCTTGGCTGCGGAGGACCTTGGGGTGGGCTCAGCGTGGGGGCTGCAGGCAGAAATGGGTCCAGAAGGCAAGGTCGAGGTTAGAGCCAAGCCTGTGGGCAGGGCTACGGGCAGGGGGCGGGGAGGAATGTGGGTCCAGGCCCAGAGGAAAAGGTTGAAGTTATAGCCAGGCCTGTGGGCGAGGCCGCAGCAGGGCGGCCATAGGGGAAGGAGCCAATGTGTTATGCATGTAGAAAATAGGTAACTACGTCTTTTGCTCTGTTACTATTTCAACATTTGATGTAAAAAACATTTTCTATGCAGCTAAAAGAATTGTTTTTAAAAATAATTTCTAGGTTTTCTGCCTTGCTTTAAAACATCTTTTCTTTTTTTTTGAGACAAAATCTCACTCTGTCACCAAGGCTGGAGTTCAGTGGAGCCATCTCAGCTCACTGCAACCTCCACCTCCCAGGTTCAAGCGATTCTCCTGCCTCATCCTCCCAAGTAGCTGGAATTACAGGTGCATGCTGCCACACCCTGCTAATTTTTGTATTTTTAGTAGAGGCAGGGTTTTGCCATGCTGGCCAGGCTGGTCTTGAACTACTTGTCAGGCCTCTGAGCCCAAGTTAAATCATCATAAACCCTGTCACCTGCACGTATACATCCAGATGGCCTGGAGCAACTGAAGAACCACAAAAGAAGTGAAACAGCCAGTTCCTGCCTTAACTGATGACGTTCCACCATTGTGATTTGTTGCTGCCCCACCCCAACTGATCTCTTGACCTTGTGACATTCTTCTTCTGGACGAGTCTCAGGAGTTCCCCACCGAGCACCTTGTGACCCCCGGCCCTGCCAGCAAAAGATAACCACCTTTAACTTTCCACTACCTACCCAAATCCTATAAAACTGCCCCACCCCTATCTCCCTTTGCTGACCCCTTTCTCGGACTCAGCCCACTTGCACCCAAGTGAATAAACAGCCTTGTTGCTAACACAAAGCCTATTGGTGGTCTCTTCACATGGATGTGTGTAACATTTGGTTCCGAAACCTGGGACAGGGGGACTCCCTTGGGAGACTGGCCCCGTCCTCACCCTCACTCCGTGAGGAGCTCCACCTACTACCTCGGGTCCTCAGACTAGCCCAAGGAACATCTCACCAATTTCAAATTGGGTAAGCAGTCTCTTCACTCTCTTCTCCAGCCTCTCTCACTACCCTTCCATCTCTCTGTCCTTCCAATTCCAGTTCTTTTTCCTCTCCAGTAGAGACAAAGGAGACACATTTTATCTGTGGACCCAAAACTCCAGCTCCAGTCACGGACTCAGGAAGACAGTCTTTCCTTGGTGGCTAATCACTGTAGGGATACCTGCCTGATTATTCACCTACATTCCATTGGTGTCTGATCACTGTGGGGATGCCTGCCTTGATCATTCACCCACATTCCCTTGGTGGCAAGTCAATTGCAGGGCTGCCTGCTTTGGCTGCTTACCCACATTACAGCCCAGGGCTGCTCACCCCCACCCCACTCCACTGCCTTCTCCATGTCTCTACCTTTCTCTTTAAACTTACCTCCTTCACTATGGGCAATCTTCTGCCCTCCATTCCCTGTTCTTCTCCCTTAGCCTGTGTTCTCAAGAACTTAAAACCTATTCAACTCACACCTGACCTAAAACCTAAATACCTTATTTTCTTCTGCAACACCACTTGGCCCCAGTACAAACTTGACAATGGTTCTAAATGGCCAGAAAATGGCACTTTTGATTTCTCCATCCTACAAGATCTAGATAATTTTTGTCATAAAATGGGCAAATGGTCTGAGATGCCTGACATCCAGGCATTCTTTACACATTGGTCCGTCCCTAGTCTTTGCTCCCAATGTGACTCATCCCAAATCTTTCTTGTTTCTTTCTTGTCCTTTGAATCCTCCTTTTCTATGGACCCATCTGACCTCTCCCCTCCCCCTCAGGCTGCTCCTCGCCAAGCTGAGCCAGGTCCTAACGTATCCAGAATTGGTGGGTTCTTGGTCTCACTGACTTCAAGAATGAAGCCGTGGACCCTCGCGGTGAGTGTTACAGTTCTTAAAGGCGGCGTGTCTGGAGTTTGTTCCTTCTGATGTTCGGATGTGTTCAGAGTTTCTTCCTTCTGGTGGGTTTGTGGTCTCGCTGGCTCAGGAGTGAAGCTACAGACCTTTGCGGTGAGTGTTACAGCTCTTAAAGGCAGCATGGACCCAAAGAGTAAGCAGTAGCAAGATTTATTGCAAAGAGCAAAAGAACAAAGCTTCCACAGCGTGGAAGGGGACCCAAGGGGGTTGCCACTGCTGGCTCAGTAGCCTGCTTTTATTCTCTTATCTGGCCCTACCCACATCCTGCTGATTGGTAGAGCCGAGTGGTCTGTTTTGACAGGGTGCTGATTGGTGTGTTTACAAACCTTGAGCTAGATACAGAGTGCCAATTGGTGTTTCCACAATCCCTGAGCTAGACATAAAGGTTCTCCACATCCCCACCAGACTCAGGAGCCCAGCTGGCTTCACCCAGTGGATCCCGCACTGGGGCTGCAGGTGGAGCTGCCTGCCAGTCCCGCGCCATGTGCCCGCACTCCTCAGCCCTTGGGTGGTTGATGGGACTGGGCACCATGGAGCAGGGGGGAGCTCTCATCAGGGAGGCTCGAGCTGCACAGGAGCCCATGGAGGGGGTGGGAGGCTCAGGCATGGCGGGCTGCCAGTCTTGAGCCCTGCCCTGTGGGAAGGCAGCTAAGGCCTGGCGAGAAATCAAGCGCAGCACCAGTGGGCTGGCACTGCTAGGGGACCCAGTACACCCTGTGCAGCTGCTGGCCTGGGTGCTAAGCCCCTCATTGCCTGGGGCCAGCAGGGCCGGCCAGCTGCTTCGAGTGCAGCCGCCAAGCCCACGCCCACCTGGAACTCCAGCTGGCCCGCAAGCACCATGCACAGCCCCAGTTCCCGCTCGCGCCTCTCCCTCCACACCTCCCTGCAAGCTGAGGGAGCTGGCTCCAGCCTTGGCCAGCCCAGAAAGGGGCTCCCACAGTGCAGCAGTGGGCTGAAGGGCTCCTCAAGTGCCGCCAAAGTGGAAGCTCAGGCAGAGGAGGCGCCAAGAGTGAGCGAGGGCTGTGAGGACTGCCAGCACGCTGTCACCTCTCACTAATTCTTCCTCAGCCTCTGCTCCCTACCCTGTGATCTTTCTATCACCTCCCCTTCTCACACCCGGTCCAGCTTACAGTTTCATTCCATGACTAGCCCTCCCCCACCTGCCCAACAATATCCTCTTAGAGAAGTGGCTGGAGCTGAAGGCATAGTCGAGGTTAATGCTCCTTTTTCTTCATCCAACCTCTCCCAAGTCAGTTAGCATTTAGGCTCTTTTTCATCAAGTATAAAAACCCGGCCCAGTTCATGGCCTGTTTGGCAACAACCCTTAGACAGTTTACCACCCTAGAACCAGAGAGGCCAGAAGGCCATCTTATTCTCAATATGCATTTTATTCTCAATATGCATTTTATTACCCAATCTGCTCCCAAGACTAGAAAAAGCTCCAAAAATTAGATTCTGACCCTCAACCCCCACAACAGGACTTAATTAACCTCACCTTGAAGGTGTACAATAATAGAGAAGAGGCAGCCAAGTGGCGTTGTATTTCTGAGTTGCAATTACTTGCCTCTGCTGTGAGATAAACCCCAGCCACATCTCCAGCACATAAGAACTTCAAAATGCCTAAACCACAGAGGCCAGGTGTTCCTCCAGGACCTCCTCCCTCAGGTTCTTGCTTTAAGTGCTGGAAATCTGGCCACTGGGCCAAGGAATGCCCGCAGCCCAGGATTCCTCCTAAGCCATGTCCCATCTGTGGGACCCCACTTGAAATCGGACTGTCCAACTCACCTGGCAGCCACTACCAGAGCCACTGGAACTCTGGCCCAAGGCTGTCTGACTGACTCCTTCCCAGATCTTCTCGGCTTAGCAGCTGAAGACTGACACTGCCCGATCACCTCGGGAGCCTCCTGGACTATCACAGATGCTTTGGGTAACTCTTACAGTGGAGGGCAAGTCTGTCCCCTTCTTAATCAATACAGAGGCTACCCACTCCACATTACCTTCTTTTCAAGGGCCTGTTTCCCTTGCCTTCATAACTGCCGTGGGTATTGATGGCCAGGCTTCTAAACCTCTTAAAAATCCCCAACTCTGGTGCCAACTTGAACAACTTTCTTTTATGCACTCTTTTTAGTTATCCCCACCTGCCCAGCTCCCTTATTAGGTCAAGACATTTTAACTAAATTCTCTGCTTCCCTCACTATTCCTGGGCTATAGCCACACCTCATTGCCACCCTTTTCCCCAGTTCAAAGCCTCCTTTGCCTCCTCCCCTTGTGTCTCACTACCTTAATCCACAAGTATGGGATACCTCTACTCCCTCCTTAGCAACTGATCATGCACCCCTTATCATCCCTTGGGGGTAAAACCTAATCACCCTTACCCTGCTCAATGCCAATATCCCATCCCACAACAGGATTTGAGGGGACTAAAGCCTGTTATCACTTCCCTGTTACAGCATGACCTTTTAAAGCCTACAAACTCTCCTTACAACTCTCCTATCCTACCTGTCCAAAAACTGGACAAGTCTTACAGGCTGGTCCAGGATCTTTGCCTTATCAACCAAATTGTCTTGCCTATCCACCCCATGGTGCCAAACCCATATACTCTCCTATCCTCAATACCTCCCTCCTCAACCCATTATTCTGTTCTGGATCTCAAAGATGCTTTCTTTACTATTCCTTTACACCCTTAATCCCAGCCTCTCTTCACTTTAACTTGGACTGACCCTGACACCCGTCAGTCTCAGCAACTTACCTGGGCTGTACTGCTGCAAGGCTTCAGGGACAGCCCCCGTTACTTCAGTCAAGCACTTTCTCATGATTTACTTTCTTTCCATCCATCTGCTTCTCACCTTATTCAATATTTTGATGACCTCCTACTTTATAGCCCCTCCTACAAATCTTCCCAACAGGACACCCTCCGGCTCCTCCAACATCTATTCTCAAAGGGATATCGCGTATCCCCCTCAAAATCCCAAATTTCTTCTTCATCCGTTACCTATCTCGGCATAATTCTTCATAAAAACACACGTGCTTTCCCTGCTGATCATGTCTGGCTAATCTCCCAAACCCCAATGCCTTCTACAAAACAACAACTCCTTTCCTTCCTAGGCATGCTTGGGTACTTTCACCTTTGGATACCTGGTTTTGCCATCCTGACTAAACCATTATATAAACTCACAAGGAAACCTAGCTGGCCCCATAGATCCTAAATCCTTTCCCCACTCCTCTTTCCATTCCTTAAAAACAGCCCTGGAAGCTGCTCCCACACTAGCTCTCCCTAACTCATCCCAACCCTTTTCATTACACACAGCCAATGTACAGAACTGTGTGGTTGGAATTCTTACACAAGAGCTGGGACCACGCCCTGTAGCCTTTCTGTCCAAACAACTTGACCTTACTGTTTTAGGCTTGCCCTCATGTCTCCATGTGGTGGCTGCCACCACTTTAATACTTTTAGAGGCCCTCAAAACCACAAGCTATGCTCCATTTACTCTCTACAGTTCCCATAACTTTCAATATCTATTTTGTTCCTCACACTTGACACATATACTTTCTGCCCCCTGGCTCCTTCAACTGTACTCACCATTCGTTGAATTTCCCACAATTACCATTGTTCCTGGCCCAGACTTCAATCCGGCCTCTCATCTTATTCCTGATACTACATCTGAACCCCATGATTGTATCTCTCTAATCCATATGACATTCTCCCCATTTCCCCATATTTCCCTGTTTCCTGTTCCCCACCCAGACCACACTTGGTTTATTGATGGTAGTTCTTCCAGGCCCAATCACCAATCACTGGCAAAGGCAGGCTATGCTATAGTGTCTTCCACATCTATCATTGAGGCTATGGCCCTTCCCCCTTCCACTGCCTCTCAACAAGCTGAACTCATTGCCTTAACTCGAGCCTTCACTCTTGCAAAGGGAATACGTGTCAATATCTATACTGATTCCAAGTATGCCTTCCACATCCTTCACCACCATCCTGTTATATGGGCAGAAAGAGGTTTCCTTACTACACAAGGGTCTTCCATCATTAATGCCTCCTCAATAAAAACTCTTCTTAAAGCTGCTGTACTTCCAAGGAAGCTTGTTTCATTCACTGCAAGGGCCATCAAAGGACATCAGATCCCATTGCTCAAGGCAACAATTATGCTGATAAGGGAGTTAAAGAAGCAGCTAGCCTTCCAACTTCTGTCCCTCATGGCCAGTTTTTCTCCTTCTCATCAGTCACTCCCACCTACTCTCCCACTGAAACTTCCACCTATCAATCTCTTCCCAAACAAGACAAATGGTTCTTGGATCAAGGAAAATTCCTCCTTCCACCCTCACAGCCTCATTTCATTCTATCTTCCTTTCGTGACCTCTTCCATGTGGGTTACAAGCCACTAGCCCACCTCTTAGACCCTCTCATTTCCTTTCCATCATGGAAATCTATCCTCAAGGAAATCACTTCTCAGTGTTCCATTTGCTATTCTACCACTCCTCAGGGATTTCTCAGGCCCCCTCCCTTTCCTACACATCAAGCTCAGGGGTTCACCCATGCCCAGGACTGGCAAATTGACTTTATCCACATGCCCTGAGTCAGGAAACTAAAATATTCTTGGTCTGGTAGCCACTTTCACTGGATGGGTAGAGGCCTTTCTCTCAGGCCTGAGAAGGCCAACGTGGTCATCTCCTCCCTTCTGTCAGACATAATTTCTCGATTTAGACTTACTACCTCTATACAGTCTGACAACAGACTGGCCTTCATTAGTCAAGTCACTCAAGCAGTCTCTCAGGCCTTGGGCATTCAATGGAAACTTCATGCCCCCTACCGCCCTCAGTCTTCTGGAAAGGTAGAAAGGAATAATGGTCTTTTAAAAACACACCTCACCAAACTCAGCCTTCAACTTAAAAAGGACTGGACAGTATTTTTACCACCTGCCCTCCTCAAAATTTGAGCCTGTCCTCGGGATGCTACAGGGTACAGTCCATTTGAACTTTTATATGGACATACCTTCTTGCTGGGCCCCAACCTCATTCCAGACACCAGCCCTCTGGGGGACTACCTTCCAGTCCTCCAGCAGGCTAGACAGGAAATTTACCAGGCTGCTAATCTTCTTTTGCCTACTCCAGATTCCCAGCCATATGAGGACACCCTAGCTGGACGATCAGTTCTTAAGAATCTGACCCCTCAAACTCTACAAACTCGGTGGACTGGACCCCACTTAGTCATCTATAGTACTCCAATGGCCATCCATCTGCAGGACCCTGCCCATTGGGTTCACCATTCCAGGATAAAGCTGTGCCCATCGGACAGACAGCCTGATCTCTCCTCTTCCTCCTGGAAGTTGCAAGTACTCACCCCTACTTCCCTTAAACTCACCCGCATTTCTGAAGAACAGTAGTGACACTTGTGAGCCTAATACACCCTTTCATTTTGTTAGGTCTATTCTTCCTTACCCTGATCTTTACAACAGGGCTTCACACAGTCACCCCCACTACTTGGACTGTACCCCAAAACTTTTCATCCCTGCTATCTTCTGTCTAGTCATACTCCTACTCTTCATTCTCACCTACCCATAAATGTCCTGCCCTTGTCTACACTGCCAGTTTACACTTTTTCTCCAAACCATCATAGCTGATATCTCCTGGTCTTAGCCCCTAACCACCACTCTTAACTCCCCCTTGGAGTGGATAGATGACCTTTGCTGGCAAGGCACACTCCAATTCTTTCACCCTGATGAAGTCCTTTTCTTTACTTTTCCTCATTCCCATTCTCCTGCCATCCTCTACCCCTCCCTAATTACCTCCAACATACTATCAATCTCGCTCACTCCCTCCTCACTCTTTCTAATCCCTCCTTAGTGAACAATTGCTGGCTTTGCATTTCCCTTTTTTCCTGCTCTTACACAGCTGTCCCCACCTTACATACCGACTGGGCAACATCTCCTGTCTCCCTACATCTCTGAACCTCCTTTAACAGCCCTCATCTTTACCCTTCTGAAGAACTTCTTTACTTTCTAGACAGGTCTAGCAAAACCTCAGACATTTCATATCAGCAAGCTGATGCTCTTCTCCGCATCTACTTAAAAAATCTTTATCCTTGATTGAAACCATCCTGGCTAACACGGTGAAACTCGTCTCTACTAAAAATACAAAAAATTAGCTGGGCATGGTTGCAGGCACCTGTAGTCCCAGGTACTCAGGAGGCTGAGGCAGGAGAATCACGTGAACCCAGGAGGCAGAGCTTGCAGTGAGCCGAGATCGTGCCACTGCACTCCAGCCTGGGTGACAGAGCAAGACTCTGTCTCAAAAAAAAAAAAAAACCTTTATCCTTATATTAATTCTACTCCACCCATATTTGAACCCCTCACAACATAAACTACTATCCCTGTTGTCACTCCTTTGTGCATCTCTCGGCAAAGACTGACTGGAATTCCCCTAGGTAACATTTCACCTTCTCTATGCTTCTTCACTCTTCATCTCCAAAGCCCAACTACACATATTACCAAAACCAATGGGGCTTTTTAGCTCCACATTATAGATAAGCCCTCTATCAATACTGGCAAACTTAAAAACATTAGCAGTTACTATTATTTAGGAAGACATTTGTCCTGCACTTCACTCCATCCTTGGCTACCTTCCCCTTGTTCTTCAGCCTCTCCTCCCAGCCCCCCTTCTTGTTTACTTATACACAACCCCATGAATAGCAATGAAAGGTTGCTTGTAGACACTATGAGTTTTCTAATACACCATGAATACTGAACCTCTCCCTCTACCCAGTTGCCCTATCAATCCCCATTACAACTTCTAACGGCTGCTGCCCTTGCTGTGAGAGGTGACAACATGCTGGCGGCCCTCACTCACTCTCAGCACCTCCTCAGCCTTGGTGTCCACCTGGCCACACTTGAGGAGAACTTCCACCCACCACTGCACTGTGGGAGCCCCTCTCTGGGCTGGCCAAGGCTGGAGCCGGCTCCCTCTGCTTGCAGGGAGGTGAGGAGGGAGAGGCATGGGTGGGAACCGGGGCTGTGCTCGGCGCTCACGGGCCAGCGCAAGTTCCAGGTGGGCCCTGCACTTGGAGCAGTCGGCTGGCACCACCAGCCCTGGGCAGTGAGGGGCTTAGCACCTGGGCCAGCAGCTGCGGAGAGTGCGCCGTGTCCCCCAGCACTGCCAGCCCACCCATGCCATGCTCGAATTCTTGCCATGCCTCAGCCGCCTCCCCACAGGGCAGGGCTCAGGACCTGCAGCCCACCAGGCCTGAGCCCCCCTGTGGTGGGCTCCCACATGGCCCAAGCTTCCCCAACGGGCGCCACCCCCTGCTCCATGGTGCCCAGTCCCATTGACTGCCCAAGGGCTGTGGAGTGCAGGCATGGCATGGGACTGGCAGGCAGCTCCGCCTGCAGCAGGATCCACTAGGCAAACCAGCTGGGCTCCTGTGTCGGGTGGGGACTTGGAGAACTTTTATGTCTAGCTAGAAGACCGTAAATGCACCAATCAGCACTCTGTGTCTAGCTTAAGGTTTGTAAACGCACCAATCAGTGCTCTGTGTCTAGCTAATCTGGTGGGGCTTGGAGAACCTTTATGTCTAGCTAAAGGATTGTAAATACACCAACCAGCACTCTGTGTCTAGCTCAAGGTTTGTAAATGCACCAGTCAACACCCTGTGTCTAGCTCAAGGTTTGTAAACACACCAATCAGCACTCTGTATCTAGCTAATCTGGTGAGGACTTGGAGAACTTTTATGTCTAGCTAGAGGATTGTAAATGCACGAATCAGCACTCTGTGTCTAGCTCAGGGATTGTAAACGCACCAATCAGTACCCTGTCAAAAAGGACCAATCAGCTCTCTGTAAAATGCACCAATCAGCAGGATGTGGGTGGGGCCAGATAAGGGAATAAAAGCAGGCTACCTGAGCCAGCAGCGGCAACCCGCTCACATCCTCTTCTACACTGTGGAAGCTTTGTTCTTTCACTCTTTGCAATAAATCTTGCTGCTGCTCACTCTTTGGGTCCACACTGCCTTTATGAGCTGTAACACTCACTGTGAAGGTCTGCAGCTTCACTCCTGAGGCCAGCGAGACCACAAACCCACCAGGAGGAATGAACAACTCTGGACAGGAGGAATGAACAACTACAGACTCACAGCCTTAAGAGCTGTAACACTCACTGCGGAGGTCTGCAGCTTCACTCCTAAAGCCAGCAAGATGACGAACCCACCAGAAGGAAGAAACTCCAAACACGTCTGAACATCAGAAGGAACAAACAACTACAGACTCACAGCCTTAAGAGCTGTAACACTCACTGCGGAGGTCTGCAGCTTCACTCCTAAAGCCAGCAAGATGACGAACCCACCAGAAGGAAGAAACTCCAAACACGTCTGAACATCAGAAGGAACAAACTCCAGACACACCACTTTTAAGAACTGTAACACTCACCTTGAGGGTCTGCAGCTTCATTCTTGAAGTCAGTGAGACCAAGAACCCACCAATTCCAGACACAGCTGGATCCCTAGGAGTCTGGGTGCACCTCTTTTGGCGCTCCCTCTCATCTTTTCACTTTACATTTCCAGTTTTGCCTTACACAAGATCTCTTCTTCCCTGTGACTCCTCCACCTACATGTGTCTACCTATTAATTGGACAGGCACATGTACACTAGTTTTCCTTCTTCCAAAAAATCGATTTGCAAATGGGACTGAACAGCATCCTGTTCCCCTCAGGACACGAACACTTCACTACAGTTTTGTTTTTCTTATTAATATAAGAAGACAGGAAGAGGCCTCGACTTACTCACTGCTGAAAAAGGAGGACTCTGCATATTTCTAAAATTAGAATGTTGTTTTTACCTGAATCAGTGTGCCCTGAATTAAGACTACATAAAAAACTCAAAGGTAGAGCCCAAAAAACTCACCAACCAGGCACATAATTATGCTGGACCTCCCTGGGCACTTTCTAATAGGATGTCCTGGCTCCTCCCAATTCTTAGTCCTCTAATACTTGTTTTTCTCCTTCTCTTATTCAGACCTTGTGTCTTCCGTTTAGTTTCTCAATTCATACAAAACCACATCCAGGCCATCACCAATCATTCTATACAACAAATACTCCTTTTAACAACCCCACAATATCACCCCTTTTCTCAAAATCTTTCTTCAGTTTAATCTCTCCCACTCTAGGTTCCCATGTTGCCCCTCATCCCACTTGAAGCAGCCTTGAGAAACATTGCCCATTATCTCTCCATAGCTCCCCCCAAAATTTTCATTGCCCCCCAACACTTCACCACTATTTTGTTTTTCTGATTAATATAAGAAGACTGGAATGTCAGGCCTCCAAGCCCAAGCTAAGCCATCATAACCCGTGTGACCTGCACGTATATATGCAGATGGCCTGGAGCAACTGAAGAACCACAAAAGAAGTGAAACAGCCAGTTCCTGCCTTAACTGATGAGGTTCCACAATTGTGATTTGTTCCTACCCCACCCCAACTGATCTCTTGACCTTGTGACATTCTTCTCCTGGACAATGAGTCTCAGGAGCTCCCCACCAAGCACTTTGAGACCCCCGCCCCTGCCCACAAATGATAACCACCTTTAACTGTAACTTTCCACTACCTACCCAAATCCTATAAAACTGCCCCACCCCTATCTCCCTTTGCTGACTCCTTTCTCAGACTTAGCCCACTTGCACCCGAGTGAATAAACAGCCTTGTTGCTCACACAAAGCCTGTTGGTGGTCTTTTCACACGGACACGTGTAACACTCCTGACCTCAAGTGATCTGCCCACCTTGGCCTCCCAAAGTGCTGGGATTACAGGCATGAGCCACCGCACCTGGCCTAAAAAGTCTTTTCAAACTCTAGATGACAGAGATTTCAATCTTTTCATTTGAAATGTATTACTTTAAAAATTTATATGTTTTGTTAGGGTGCAGGGGCTCACACCTGTAATCCCAGCATTTTGAGAGGCCAAGGTGCGCAGATCACATATATGTGTATATACATATATATTTTTATTGGAATGTATTTGGGCATGTGGTGTGGAGTAGTGGATCCAATTTTATCTCATCCAAAAAGAGGGCCAATTTTTGTAGCACCACTTATTGAGAGAAACTGCCTGATATGGTTTGGCTCTGGGTCCCCACCCAAATGTAATCCCCAATGTTGGAAGTGGGGCCTGGCAAGAGGTGATTGGATCATGGGGGTGGTTTCTAATGGTTTATCACCATCCCCCTAGCCCTGTCTCATGATAGGGTTCTCAGGAGAACTGGTTGTTTAAAAGTGTGTAGCACCTCCCCCTTTGCTCTCTCTCTCCTGCTCCACCATGTAAAGTCCTGCCTGCTTCCTCCTCACCTTCCACCATGATTGAAAGTTTCCTGAGGCCTCCCAGCCATGCTTCCTGTGCAGCCTGTGGAATTAAACCTCTTTTCAAATTTCTTTCTAAATTAGAGCAGTGCAGGAACAGACTAAGGCACTACATTTGACCTGCTGATATGAAATTCTACCTTATTAATTTTTTTTTTAATTGGGCCAGGTGCAATAGCTCATGCTTGTAATCCCAGCACTTTGGGAGGCTGAGGTGGGCAGATCACAAGGTCAGGAGTTCAAGACCAGCATGACCAACATGGTGAAACCCTGTCTCTACTAAAAATACAAAAATTAGCTGGGCGTGGTTGCACGCACCTGTAATCCCAGCTATTCGGGAGGGTGAGGCAGGAGAATTGCTTGAACCCGGGAAGCAGAGGTTGCAGCAAGCCAATATTGCACCACTGTACTCCAGCCTGGGTGACAGAGAGAGACTCCATCTCAAAAAACAATTTTTTCATCATTATGGATACATAATAGTTGTATTCTTAAATTTTTTAAAACTTTGTTACTCCTAATTTTATGACATTAAACTTTTGAATTATTATGGACACAATTGTATCCACCTTTTTAAAACAGTAATTCTTATATATACCTGTATCAGTTTCTAGATCCTTCTGTGCCATTCATAGATTTACTCATGCCAATCTTATTATATTCCTTTGATTCCAATGGTTTTATATCAAATTTTAATATTTAGTTGTAAAAATATAAGGGTAGCCAATGTTTGTTGACGATTACTCTTATGGGATCTTTGAGGTGTCAGTTATCTTCCCCTGGAAATCCTCTGTTGCCAGTGGCACCTTCACCCAAGTTGAAGAAGAAGAAGAGGAGCTTTATTTAGTGTTAGAGCAGCTCAGAGGAGCTGGGTACGGTGGCTCACACCTGTAATCCCAGCACTTTGGGAGGCCGAGGTGTGCGGATCACCTGAGGTTGAGAGTTCAAGACCAGCCTGACCAACATAGAGAAACCCCTTCTCTACTAAAAATACAAAATTGGCCAGGCATGGTGGCACATGCCTGTCATCCCAGCTACCTGGGAGGCTGAGGCAGGAGAATCACTTGAACCCAGGAGGCAGAGGTTGCGGTGAGCTGAGATTGTGCCATTGCACTCCAGCCTGGGCAACAAGAGCGAAATTCTGTCTCCAGAAAAGAAAAAAAAAAACAACAGCTCAGAGGAGACCCACAGTGAGTAGCTCCCCTCTGTGGGCAGGCAGGTCATTTGTCGAGTGTCCAGCTCTCAGCAGAGAGGAGGCCCTTGGGAGGGTAGCTCCTCTCCTCAGGCAAGTTGTTCGGTGGTCTCTGCAGGTCTCTGAGGGTCTCAGCAGAGACACTAGCTCCTCTCTTCTGCTAGTGGCACTGTCTGCTCAGCTCTGGCTGAGCCAGGGACATTTAGTGAGCCTCAGAGGGCAGGAAGTGCATGCCAATTGGCCCATGGGTGGCCATGGGCGGGCCTGGAAAAGGCACCAATTACCATTCCAGTTCATGGGACTGGCAGCCCAGCCACCAGCCTTCAGGCCGTCCCTGGCCAGAAGGAGGAACCTTACCAGGGACCTACCCCTTTCCCCCTGGGACTCTCTCATGTCTATCCTGCTGTTCATGGTGACCCGGCTTGGCCTGACTTTGCTCCAAGATAGGAGGGGGCGTGGACAGCAGGGAGAAGCCAGGCAGCTGGGGCAGGCATTAAACATTAGCCAGGCACAGTGGTGCATGTCTATAGTTCTAGCTACTCAGGAGGCTGAGGTAGGAGGACTGCCTGAGCCCAGCAGGCTGAAGCTGCAGTGAGCAGTGATCACACTGAGGTAGGAGGAATAATTTGACTCCAGAGGTGGGGCTCAGACCTGGACAAAATTGAGGACTAGCTAAAACAGGGATGGGGCAGAAGCAGCTTTCCATAAGACACGCCTACCAGTGAGCCATGTCAGTTTAACATTGCCATGGCAACACCCAGGAGTTTCCACCCCTTTCCATGGCAATGACCCGATGACCAAAGTTACCACCATTTTCCTACAAATTTCTGCATAAACTGCCCCTTAATCTACATGTAATTAAAAGTAGGTATAAATATGACCGCAAAACTGCCCTGAGCTGCTACTCTCAGCACACTGCCTATGAGGTTTCCCATAGGAGTAGTCACAAAGCTGTACCACCACCAGAGCTGAAACACTGCTTCTTCGATAAAGCTTCTTTCTTCTACCACCAGCTCACCCTGAATTATTTCCTGGCCAAGGCCAAAAACCCTCATTGGCTAAGTCCCAATTTGAAGCTTGCTTGTCCTACAGCAGCATGACTGCACTCCAGCCTGGGTGATGGAGTGAGAGCCTGGCTCAAAAAATATACTTTATCAAACAGAGGTATATTAGAGGTAAGTTAAGATAGAACAGTTTCTTAATTCTGAAAAAAACAAAACATTTGCGTAAAGAACAATCTTTTGAATAAAAGTCATAAAAACAGGCCAGGCGTGGTGGCTCATGCCTGTAATCCCAGCACTTTGGGAGGCTGAAGCAGGTAGATCAACTGAGGTCAGGAGTTCGAGACCAGCCTGACCAACATGATTAAATCCCATCTCTACAAAAAATACAAAAATTAGCTGGGCATGGTGGTGGGTGCCTGTAATCCCAGCTACTCAGGAGGCTGAGGTAGGAGAATTGCTTGAACCTGGGAGGTGGAGGTTGCTGTGAGCTGAGATCATGACATTGCACTCCAGCCTCAGCAACAGCGCATGACTCCGTCTCAAAAAAATAAAAAAGAAGCCCAGGCGTGGTGGCTCATACCTGTAATCTCAGCACTTTGGGAGGCTGAGGCAGGAGGATCAACTGAGGTCGGGAGTTCGAGACCAAACTGGCCAACATGGTGAAACCCCACCTCTACTAATAATACAAAAATTAGCCAGGCATCTTAGCGCACACCTGTAATCCCAGCTACTCGGGAGGCTGAGGCAGGAGAATCACTTGAACTCAGGAAGTAGAAGTTGCAATGAGCCAAGATTATGCCATTGCACTCCAGCCTGGGAGACAGAGCGAGTCTCTGTCTCAAAAAAAATAAATAAAATAAAATAAAAAGAATTTGCATTTGGGGAAGTTTGTCAAAGATGTTAGAAGGCTCAAAACATTTGATTGAAACAGGATAACAGCTCACTTGTTAGTAATCCATGTAAATACAGTGATAATCAAAAGTCATTAGTAGGAGTAAATAGAGTTACTAGGAAAAAATGAATCCTTTTAAAGCCCAGAGTTTTTTGTTGATTCTTTTTATTTATTTCAGGGGTAGATGGGGGACAGCGTCTCACTCAGTGGCCCAGGCTGGAGTGCAGCAGCACAAAAGTTCACTGCAGCATTGATCTCCCAGGCCTAAGTGATCTTCCCACCTCAGCCTCCCCAGTAGTTGAGACTACAGGCACACGTTACCACACCCAGCTAATTTTTGTATGTGTGTCTTTTTTTTTTTTTTTTTTTTTAAGAGATGGGCTTTCATCATGTTGCCCAGGCTGGTATCGAACTCCTGAACTCAAGTGATCCTCCCACCTCAGCCTCTCAAAGTGCTGGGATTCAGGCATGAAACACCATGCCCAACCAACCAGGTTTTTTTTTTTAAGTGATAAAAAACTTAATAAAGGCAATACAGGAAATTATCTCGATAATTTCTTGTAAAACCTTTCTTAGACCAGCTACCAAAAAGGTAAAGAAAAACCTTCTACAGTGTGATTATTTCTCCTTATGCAAAGTGCATTTAGATAACCTGGAAGTTGGCCAGGCATGGTGGCTCACACCTGTAATCCCAGCACTTGGGAAGCCGAGGCGGGTGGATCACTTGGGTCAGGAGTTCGAGACCAGCCTGGCCAACATGGTGAAACTCTTTCTCTACTAAAAAACACAAAAATTAGCCAGGGGTGGTGGCACACACCTGTAGACCCAGCTACCAAGGAGGCTGAGGCAGAGAATCACTTGAACCCAGGAGACAGAGGTTGCAGAGAGCTGAGATTGCGCCACTGAACTCCAGCCTGGGTGACAGAGCAAGAATCCATCTCAAAAAATAAAATAAAAATAAAAATAACCTGGAAGTTGAACGTGATGAAAAGTGTGCTTGGATTTAGTTAGGAATATGTCCAAGGCTATGAGTGTAAAAATTTAGGTACATCAAGAAAAGCCGAGAGTACAGAATCAAGTTATACAGAGCAAATACATTGCTTTTCTAGGCCTTCATGATAAATATTTCAGTGTCAGGCCATAATAGCCGATTTAGAACCAAAGAAAAAACTTACAGGAGCAGACAAAAAAGTTGGAGACAGTCATCATCCCAGACCTTCTCAATGTGAAAAAAAGAAGGCAATGATGTATGACCTGCAAATGACATACACTGAGATGCAAGTAAAGTTGAGCCTCTGAGACATGAATGAGAAATCTGAAAAAACAAAACTCTACCTCAACAAATTGGCTGGTTTTGGTTTTGGTGGCTCGTTCCTGTAATCTCAGCACTTTGGAAGGATGAGGCAGGAGAGTAACTTAAGGCCAGGAGTTTGAGACCAGCCTGGGCAACATAGCTAGATGCCATCTTTATTAGTCTGTTCTCGCATTGTTATAAAGAAATAACTAACAGTGGGTAATTTATAAAGAAAAAAGGTTTAATTGGCTCACAGTTCTGCAGGCTGGACAGGATGTATGTTGCTGGCATCTGCTTGGCTTCTGGGGAGGCCTCAGGAAACTTACAATCATAGCAGAATGCAGAGGACCAGGCATGTCACATGGCCGAAGCAGGAGCAGGAGAGAGGGGGAGGTGCTACTCACCTTTAAACGACCAAATCGAGTGACAAGAACTCACTCACTATCTATCACGAGGACAGTACCGAGGCAGGTAGTGCTAAATCACTCATGAGAAATCCACCCCGCCATGATCAAGTCACCTCCCACCAGGAACAACCTGTAACATTGGGAATTACAGCTGAACATGAGATTTGGGTGGGGACACATATCCAAACCACATCATCATCTCTACAAATTTTTTTAACTGTATGAAATTCCACCTCAATAAATAAAATTACTGTTTTAAATGATGAGGACAGCATTTAAAACCTGAAAACTACAGAAATTAAATCGATCTCAGGAAAAAATGTGGCCGAAATAGAAACTAGAGTTTAGAAGATGGCTACTAACAGATTTTAGAACGAACAAACAAAACGTCTTGCAAATTTATTAAGTGCAGATAAATATGTCAAAAAAAAACACACCTTCTTGTTTTCAATATAGAGGACCAGATTCTGGTCCTGTATCAGTGCACCCAACACCACTGTTTAATTTTTAGGAAAAAAATATCCTATGTACAATTTCTTTTCAATCCTAGCCAACACAATCATACAATAAACTGTCGGTAAGGCTTATCTTTTATAAATCCTATTCAAATTGTTTAGACGTTTAATCATTTTCTTAAACCTTCAGTCTTAGACTTACAGTTTTCTCCTTTTATATTGGTACAACCAATCATTTTACCTTAGGACAAAAATTTACCACATAAGATTCTCACACAAAAATTACTTTTTCCTAAATTTGTATTTGGAGTAATAGACCAAAATATATCTACTCTTTTTAGAAATTTTAAGAAGCCAGCTGGGCACGGTGGCTCATGCCTGTAATCCCAGCACTTTGAGAGGTGAAGGCAGGTGAATCACCTGAGGTCAGCAATTCAAGACCAGCCTGGCCAACATGGTGAAACCCCATCTCTACTAATAATACAAAAATTAGCCTGTCATGGTTGTGGGCACCTGTAAACCCAGCTACTCGGGAGGCTGAGGCAGAATTGCTTGAACCTGGGAGGCAGAGGGTGCAATTAGCTGAGATTACACCATTGCACTCCAGCTGGGTGATGAGTGAAACTCCGTCTCAAAAAAAAAAGAAAGAAATTTTAAGAAGCCAAGAATGAATATATATTTTTTCAGTAATTTGTTTGCCTTATATCTTATTTGGATATGACCCAGATAATTAATATTATTTAAGATTTTAAATTACATGAAAAGTTTATTTATAAACATTTATTCCATTTACAGTTACCTTTAATTTCTAATTACACCTAGATTACTTATTAAGATTTGACACAGCTAGTCATTGTTTTAAATTATTTTTTATTAACCAATTTTATATCCTGTTAATATTGTTTACCAAAGTTCAAACCCTACACTAAATACATGGTTATTCTGTCAATAACTCAGAAGATATAGCTATTGTTATTAAATCAAAAATATTAAGTAAATCTCACTTATAAAAGAATTGCACAAAGATCATTGTTTTAGATTGGGTTTAGCTTCATGAACTTAAAGTATCTAATAGAGACAGACACAACACTGTCAGACCAGTAAACCCAGACAAAAATATATGCTGACAATTTTGAAGACATATCTAATTTTATCGACAACTTTAAAACCAATTAATTTATAAAAGAATTGTCATGTGAACTTAAAAAAAATTGTGTTCATTTTTTTATGAACACATTTTTTTTGATCTGCCCTCCTCGGCCTCCCAAAGTGCTGGGATTACAGGCAGGAGCCACCATGCCCAGCCTGATTTCTGTAGTTTTATAGTAACTTTTGACATCAGGAAGCATGAGTTGCTCTTTTTTAAAATTGTTTTTAATACTGGGGCTCCAGTTATGTGTGGGCTTTCATAACCTAATTTCAGAACTGGCTTACCAGAACTTCTGCCATATTCTGGTGGTTACACATATCAATCATAGTACAGTATGAGAGGATTACACAAGGGTAGTCCTCAAATACCAGGAAGCAGAAACTGGAGGCCAATTTGGAGGCTGCCTAGCACAGAGAATTTGTCAATGTCTAATATACTACCTATTTAATCCAGCAATCCTAATTCTAGGAATTTGTCCTGAATGTAAATGCCTAAATATACAAAAATACACATGCTCAAGAATACTAACTGCATCCCTGTTAGTAATTGCAAATTTGAATTCTCTAATTGATGACATGTAGTAGAGCAGCTGAATATTACATGGTACATCCACAAAAGGAGTATTATGCAGCTACAGAATGAAGGTGAAAAAGGAAGATATATCTATGAATTTATATGGAGTGGTTATCAAGATACACTGTTAGGCAAAAATAGAAACTGCAAGAGTATAGTATGAAACTTTTTTTTTTTGGAGACGGAGTCTCACTCTGTTGCCCAGGCTGGAGTGCAGTGGCGCCATCTCGGCTCACTGCAAGCTCTGCCTCCCGGGTTCATGCCATTCTCCTGCCTCAGCCTCCCGAGTAGCTGGGACTACAGGCGCCCACCACCACGCCTGGCAAATTTTTTGTAGTTTTAGTAGACAGGGGGTTTCATCGTGTTACCCAGGATGGTCTCGATCTCCTGACCTTGTGATCTACCCGCCTCAGCCTCCCAAAGTGCTGGGATTAGAGGCGTGAGCCACCGTACCTGCCTGAAATCTTTTTTTAAATGGGCAATAACAAATATATATATGTTCATTTTTGCTAGAAGAAAACACAGGATTATTCAGAGAAAAAGGTTCATTACCTATAGCTGATGGGATAGGAACAGGTTGTAAAGGACAGTGAGATTAGAACAGACTGGAAAGGATAAGGCAAGAAAAACGTTTATGTTTAGTTCTAATGTTTAAAGTATGCAATTAGGTGGGCGTTGTGGCTAATGCCTGTTACACCAGCACTTTAGGAGGCCAGGATGGGAGGATCCCTTAAGACCAGGAGTTTGAGGCCAGCCTGGGCAACATTGCCACATCCTGTCTCTACAAAAATTTAAAATTAGCCAGTCCTGGTGGTGCACGCTGGTAGTCCTACCTACTCAGGAGGCTGAGGGAGAAGGACTGCTTGATCTCAGAAGTGTGAGGCTGCAGGGAGCTATGACTGCACCACTGCACTCCAACCTGGGTGACAGAGCAACACCCTGTCTCAAAAAAAAATAAGGGTAAAAAATTTAAAAACTGCCTGCACCTGGTGGTGCATGCCTGTACTCCCAGCCTCTTGAGACACTAAAGTGGGAGGAGTGCTTGAGCTCAGGAGCATAAGGCTGCAGTGAGGTACAATCATGCCACTGCTCTCCAGTCTAGGTGACACAGCAAGATCCTGACTCAAAAAAAAAAAAAAAGATAAACCAGTATAAAATAAAACATACTATTGTTTCACATATTAATTTTTTTGGGACAGTCTCACTCTCTAACAGGCTGGAGTACAGTGGCACAATCTCAGCTCACTGCAACCTCCACCCCCAAGGTTCAAGCGATTCTTCTGCCTCAGCCTCCCAAGTAGCTGGTATTACAGGTGGGTGTCATGACGCCTAATTTTTTTCTTTGAGACAGTCACGCTCTGTCACTTAGGCTGGAGTGCAGTGGTGCAATCTTGACTCACTGCAACCTCTGCCTCTGGGGTTCAAGCAATTCTCCTGCATCAGCCTCCCCAGTAACTGGAACTACAGGCACCCACCACCACGGCCGGCTAATTTTTCTATTTTTAGTGGACACGGGGTTTCCCTATGTTGGCCAGGCTGATCTTGAACTCCTGACCTCATGATCTGCCCACTTAGGCATGAGCCACCACACCCAGCCTTTTATTTATTTTTTTTGAGACAGAGTCTCACTCTGTCACCCATGCTGGAGTGCAGTGGCACGATCTCGGCTCACTGCAACCTCCGCCTCCCGGGTTCAAGTGATTCTCCTGCCTCATCCTCCTGAGTAGCTGGGACTATAGGCGCCTGCCACCATACCCAGCTAATTTTTGTATTTTTAGTAGAGATGGGGTTTCACCATATTGGCCAGGCTGGTCTTGAACTCCTGACCTTGTGATCTGCCTGCCTCGGCCTCCCAAAGTGCTGGGATAACAGGCATGAGCCACGGCACCCAGCCGCCTGGCTAATTTTTGTATTTACGGTAGAGACAGGGTTTCACCATGTTGGCCAGGCTGGTCTCCAACTCCCAGTCTCAGGTGATCCGCCCACCTCGGCTTCCCAAAGTACTGGGATTACAGGCATAAGCCACCATGCCTGGCCTGTTTTACATATCTAATTTAAAAAAAAATCGACAAGGATAACGGTGTGACACAAAATGGAAAATTAACAGGAATTACTGAAATGAACTTTGTATCAAATGGATAAAAATTCAACAATGAAGAGGGGGGTAAAAAGCACAAAATTGACCCAAGTAACTTCTTTTATTACAATTTTTATTGTGATAAAAACACATAAAATTTACCCTTTCACATACTTTGTGTGTACCGAAGAGTATTGTTAACTATAGGCATATTTTTATACAACAAATCTCAAAAAGCTTTTCCATCTTGCGTGGCTGACACTCAATACCCATTGAACAACTCATTTTCTCCTCCACCAGCTTGTGGCAAATACCGCAGTACTTTGTTCTTCTGAGTTTGACGTTAGATACCCCATATAAGTGGAAATGGGTGTATTTGTCCTTTCGGAACTGGTTTATTTCACTTAGCATAACGTCCATGTTGTAGCATATGGCAGAATTTTGTTTTTAAGGCTAAATGATATTGCATTGTATGTATATAATGCATTTTGTTTACCAATTCATCTGTCAATGGACATTTACTTTGCTTCCACCTCTTGGCTCTTCTGAATAATGCTGCAATGAACACAGGTAGGCATTCACACATTGAGATGCTTTCTTCAGTTCCTTTGGACATGTACCTAGAAGTGGATTGCTGCTGACCAAGTAAGTTTTAAACCTAGTGCTTTTATATTACGCCCTGAGCTAAAGATAAGAACTGTGAATAAAAACTGAATTCTGGTTAGTTGATTTTTAAAAAGAGTGGTATGAGTTATCAATTCTGAGAGTAGCTTATATTTTAATCTAGGATTGAGCACGTGCTATTTTTGCAAGTGATGAAAGATAGCTACAGACAAGGGAATTTGGAAAGCAAGAAATAACCCAGCAGTGCTGCAGTGGAATTAAAAGTGTTGGCTTGTGGTCATGTTTTTAATATAGAAATAGAGTTATTAATGTGTGGATACGTATATATAATTTTGTATGTCTTTGCCATATCCTCCATAGAGAAGACCTAAAAGCCAGGGCACTATTACCTAGGAACACCTCCCTACACAGAGACTGCAGCTTCTAAATAGTATTCTCCATTAAAATAAATTACATTTTTCTGAGTCTAGGGCTGGAGACAAATGTACCATGAACAAACTGTTGCCCAGAAAATAATTATATACCCATGAAATAAGGAGAATACATTTTTAAAGATTCAGAAGATAGCTTGATGGGGATCCTACTTATTGAATCTGGAAAAATATGTGCATCAAATTTACAGTAGCTAACTACACCCCATAGATTAAGAATTTATGATACATGCTCCTACAAGTAAATGGGTAAATAAATGAATAAGGATAACTCTTCCTTACAAAATTCCAGTTAAGAAATGTAGAAGAAACTATGGAATTAGAAAATCACTTTTTGGACTGGGTGTGGTGGCTCACACCTGTAATCCTGGCACTTTGGGAGGCTGAGGCAGGAGGACTGCTTGAGCCCAAGAGCTTGAGACCAGTCTGGGCAACATAGTGAGACCTCGGCTCTACGAATAAAAAAATTAAGTGGGTGCGTTAGCATGTGCCTGTGGTCCCAGGTACTCAGGAGACTCAGGTGGGAGGATCGCTTGAGCCCAGGAGGTCAAGGCTATAGTGAGGCATGATCATGCCACCGCACTCCACACCCTAGGCAACAGAGCAAGACCCCAATGCAGACCAAAAAGAAAAAAAAAAAAAAGGAAAAGAAAACCACCATTTGGAAACCACTACAGCAACAGCTACAGACATACCTCATGTTACTTCACTTTGCTTCATCTCACTTTACAGATATTTTTCACAAGTAGAAGTCCTGTGGCAATGTCATGTCGAATAAATCTATAACACCATTTTTTCCAACAGCATGTGCTTACTTTGTCTCTCACATCCTGACAATTCTGACAATATTTCAAACATTTTCCTTATTATTATACTTACTGTGGTGCTGTGTGATTTTTTTTTTTTTTTTTTTTTGAGAAGGAATCTCACTCTGTCACCTGGGCTGGAGTGCAGTGGTGTGATCTCAGCTCACTCTAACCTCCACCTCCTGGATTCAAGTGATTCTCCTGCCTCAGCCTCCTGAATAGCTGGGACTATAGGTGCCTGCCACCATGCCCGGCTAATTTTTTGTATTTTTAGTAGAGACGGGGTTTCACCATGGTGGCCAGGCTGGTCTCGAACTCCTGACCTCATGATTCACTCACCTCAGCCTCTCAAGGTGCTGGGATTACAGGTGTGAGCCACCGTGCCCGGCTGCTCTGTGATCTTTGATGTTCCTATTTTAATTGTTTTGGGGTACCACAAACCACAACCTTCGAAGACAGCAAACTTAACAAATGCTATGTTCTCACTGCTCCACCAACTGGCCACTCTCCCCTCTCTCCTCCTCTTCCCAGGCCTCCTAATTCCCTGAGGGACAATATTGAAATTAGGCCAATTCATTACCCCACAATGGCCTCTAACTGTTCAAGTGAAAGAAGGAGTTGCAAATTTCTCACTTTAGATCAAAAGCTGGAAATGATTAACCTCAGTGAGAAAGTCATGTCAAAAGCCAAGATAAGAGCCAGGTGCAGTGGCTCACACCTGTAATCCCAGAGTGTTGGGAGGCAGATAGGGGAGCATCACTTGAGGTTTTAAGTTCAAGATCAGCCGGGTAAACAGTAAAGTCCTGCCTCTTTAAAAAAAAAAAAAAAAAAAAAAAAAAATTAGCTGGCCATGGTGGTGCACACCTGCAGTCTTTAGCTACTCAGGAGACAGGAAGATCACTGGAACCCGTAAGTTTGAGGCTGCAATGGGCTATAACTGTACTACACTCCAGCCTGGGCAAAAGGGAGACCATGTCTCAAAAAAAAAAAAAAAAAAAAAACTGGGATAGGCCAAAATCTAGGCCTCTTGTGCCAGTTAGCCAAGTTGTGAATGTAAAGTTCTTGAAGGAAACTAAAAGTGCTACTCCAGTGAACACACACATAATAAGAAAGGAAAACAGCCTCACCACTAACACGGAATAAGTTTTAGTGGTCTGGATAGAAGATCAGACCAGCCACAACATTCCCTTAAGCCAAAACCTAATCCAGAGCAAGGCCCTAACTCTAATTCTATGAAGGCTGAGAGGTGAGTTAGCTGCAGAAGAAATGCTGGAAGCTGGCAAAGATCAGTTCGTGAGGTTTAACAAGTCATTTCCATAACATAAAAGTACAAAGTGAAGTAGCAATTGCTGATGTGGAATCTGCAGCAAGCATTTCCAGAATATCTAGATAAATGGCAGAGGTAGCTCTACTAGAGTTTTAACAGAGACAAAACAGCCTTACTTCAGGAGATGCCATTTAGGACTTTCACAGCTCTAGGTAAGCTAATATCTGACTTCAAAGATTCAAAGGACGGGCTGACTCTTTACTTTGTAGAGACAGCGTCACGCTCTGTTGTGCTGGCTGGTCTTGAACTCTTGACCTCAAGTGATCCTCCAACCTCAGCCTCCCAAAGCACTGGAATTACAGGTGTAAGCCACTTTTCCCAGCCTGGGCTGGCTTTCTTGTTAGAGGTCAATGCAGTTGGTGACTTTAAATGAATGCTAATATTCAATTACCATTCCAAAAATCCAAGAGCCAGTTAAGAATTATGCTACATCTACTCTTCCTGTGGTATCTATTTACATCTATTTACAGCATGGTTTACTGAATATTTTAAGCCCACTGTAAAACATACTGTTCAGAGATTCCTTTCAAAATATTACCACTGATAATGAACCTACTAACCAAGAGCTCTTATGGAGGTATAAACAAGATTGGCGTTTTCATGTCTGCTAACCGCAGCCCATGGATTCTGGAATAATTCTGACTTTCAAGTCTTATTATTTAAGAAATACATTTCATAAGGCTATAGCTGCCACTAATAATGCTTCTTCTGAGGGATCTGGATAAATTAAGTTGCAGACCTTGCAGAAAGGATTCTCCATTCTAGATGCCATTAACAACATTTATGATTCATGGAAGGAGGTCAAAATATCAACATTAAGGCAGGTGTGGTGGTGTGTGCCTGGAGTCTTGGCTACTCAGGAGGCATAGGAAGGAGGATCACTTGAGGCCAGGAGTTCAAGGCTACAGTGTGCTCTCATCGTGCTGGTGAATACCCACTTGTACTCCAGCATGAACAACACAGCGAGACCTTGTCTCTAAAAAAAATTTTTTTAATTAAAAAAATAAAAACCAACATTAACCAGAGTTTGGAAGAAGTTGATTCCAACCTTCATAGGTGACTCTGAGGGGTTCAAGTCTTCAGTGGAAAAAGTAACTGTGGATGTGATGGAAAAAAGAGAACTAGAATTAGAAGTGGAGCCTGAAGATGTGACAGAATTGTTTCAATCTCGTGAAAAAACTTGAACAGATGAGAGGCTGCTTTGTATAGATAAGCAAAGAAAGTGGTTTCCTGAAATGAAATCTACTCCTGAAGATGCTGTGAACATTGTTGAAAAGACAACAGACTTAGAATATTACATCAACTTAGTTGATCAAGCAGTGGCGAAGTTTGAGAGGATTAAGTCCAATTCTAAAAGAAGTTCCACTATGCGTAAAATGTTATCAAACAGCGTCGAATGCTAAAGAGAAGTTTTTCATGTAATGAAGAGTCAATCAATGCAGCAATCTTCACTGCTGTCTTATTTTAAGAAACTGCCACAGCCACCCTGATCAACAGCCATCAACACTGAGGCAAGACCTACCACAAGCAAAAAGATTACAACTCACCAAAGTCTCACATGATCATTAGCACTTTTTGGCAATAAAGTATTTTAAACTAAGGTACTTTACTTAGACATAACACAACTGCACACAAGAGACTACCATATGATGTAAACCTAACTTATATGCACTGGGAAACCAAAACATTTGTATGATTCATGTTATTGTGATATTCACTTTATAGTGGTAGTCTGGAACAAAACTCACAATATCTACAGGGCATGCCTGTATCTTGTATCAATAGGGTTTCTCTTCTCCATTGCAACATCTTATATACTTAGAAAGGCCTAAGGAAATAATGAGGGCTTTCTGTGTTTTCTACATTGTATGGCCCCATGGTGAGTTCTCAAATGTTGGATTGTGACCACAATCCAATCCCTTGAGAAAAGAATGTGTATTAACAACGACTTACAAAAAAAAAAAAAAAAAAAAAAAAAAAAAAAAAAGGCCAGGAGCAGTGGCTCACTCCTATAATCCCAGCACTTTGGGAGGCCAAGGCGGGTGGATCACCTGAGGTCAGGAGCTCGAGACCAGCCTGGCCAACATGGTGAAACCCCATCTCTACTAAAAATACAAAAATTAGCTGGGTGTGGTTGACGGCACCTGTAATCCAAGCTACTTGAAGGCTGAGGCAGAATCGCCTGAACCCAGGAGACAAAGGTTGCAGTGAGCTGGGATCATGCCATTGCACTCCAGCCTGTGTGATGACAACAGCAAAACTCTGTCTCAAATAAAATAAAATAAAATAAAATAAAATAAAATAAAATAAAATAAAATAATAAAAAAAGATTCCATTGGCTCCCTAACATTCCTAAAATTTATAGGGGACACATAGAGTATGAGTTCTTTCATGTCTTCGAAGTGAATGGGGATAACTGAAGGCCTCCTCACATTCTTTGTACCAATAAAATTTCTCTTCAGTGTGAATTCAAATGTGGTAATTATGGTATGAGAAATTCCTAAAAGATTTCCACATTCCTTACATTCAGAGTTTTTCTTCAGTGTGTTTTTAAATGTTTAGTAAGTAAATAAAATCTATTGTAGGCTTTCCCACATTCGTTACATATATAGGGTTTCTCTCCAGTGTGAATTCTAACATGTTTCTGTAGATGTGAAGAAGCACGGAAGGTTTTCCCACATTCCTTACATATATACGGTTTCTCTCCAGTGTGAGTTCTTATATGTTCAATGAGTTGTGAAGATGTAGCAAAGGCTTTCCCACAGTCCTTACATTCATAGGGCTTCTCTCCAGTATGGATTTTTACATGATTATGTAAGCTTGAGGAAACAGTGAATGCTTTCCCACACTCCTTACATTTATAGGGTTTTATTCCAGTGTGAATTCTAAAGTGATTCTTAAGGCATGAAGAGCTTCTGAAGGATTTTCCACATACCTTACATTCAAAGGGCTTCTCCTCTGTGTGAGTTTTAAAATGTTCAGTTAGTAGATAAAACCTATTGTAGGCTTTCCCACATTCGTTACATTCATAGGGCTTCTCTCCAGTGTGTATTCGTACATGTTTAGTAAGGCCTGAGCGCCCAGCGAAGGCTCTTCCACATTCCTTACATTGATAAGGTTTCTCTCCAGTATGAATTCTTACATGTTCAACTAGGTGTGAAGAAACAGTGAAGCATTTCCCACATTCCTTACATTCATAGGGTTTCTCCCCAGTATGGGTTCGCATGTGACTATTAAGATATGAAGAATATCTAAAGAATTTTCCACATTCCTTACATTCGTAGGGTTTTTCTACAGTATGCATTTTAACAGACACAGCATGGCTTGTGGAGTAAGTAAAAGCTCTCCCACATTGCTTCTGTTCATAGAGTGTTTCTCCATTGTGAGTTATCCTATTTGCCTGAAGATGTGACTGATCAACAAAGGCTTCCTCACAGTCACTGTATTCAAAGGATTTGTCTCCTATCCACGTTCTCTGGTGAACATTTGGTGGCAGGCTGAAGGCTTTTCTGCACTGATTCAACACAGAAAGTGTCTCTCCAGCAGGGGCACTGTTGTGTAACATGGGAAAGTTTTCTCCATACTCATCACAGTCATAAGTGTCCCCTGTATTTTCAGTTCCCATGTGTGCATTAAGGCATGAGTGTTCACTGAAGATTTCTCCATTTTCCATAAAGTCACAGAGTTCCCCTCCATTGTGGATTTCTGCCTGTTAATAAAGGGATGAATGATGATTAAAGGATTTTTCAGATTTATCAACAGATTTTACCCATCTGAAATCAGACAGTTTATTATGATTATAATTTTTGCCATTTTCATTACATGCATACAGTTGCTGCCCCATGTATTTCTTACAAGTTGAATGAAGAAAACCTACTGGCAAGAACCCTGTGCCATTTGCTCTAAGAACCTTGAAATAATTCCTGTATATTTTCATGAAATTGTTTTTATAATCTAGCTACATATGTGATAATTTGTACTTGTGAGAATGCTGAAGCACCAAGTTTTAAGATAGGATTAAGGTATCCCCAAATGCATTACATTTAGAGTATCCCTCTAGAGCAGAGGTCCCCAACCTTTTTGCTACCAGAGACTGATTTCGTAGATGACAATTTTTCCACAAACAGGGGTGGAATAGGGGTGGGATAGGGATGGTTTCAGCATGATTCAACAACATTACATTTACTGTGACTTTATTTCTATTATTATTACATTGTAATATATAATGAAATAATTATACAACTCACCATAAAATAGGATCAGCAGGAGGCCTGAGCTTGTTTTCCTGCAACTAGACAGTCCCATCTAGGTGATGGGAGACAGTGACAGATCATCAGTCTCATAAGGAGCACACAATCTAGAACCCTCGCATGGGTGGTTCACAGTAAGGTTTGTGCTTCTATGACAATCGAATGCTGCTACTGACAGGTGGAGTATATGACAGGCAGTAATACAAGCGATGGGGAATGGCTATACACACAGATGAAGTTTCGTTCATCTGCCACTTACCTCCTGCTGTGCAGCCCAGTTCCTAACACTAACAGAAACAGTACCAGTGGGGACCCTTGCTCTAGAGACATTCCTCCTGCTTGAGTAAATGTTACCTCTCTCAAATATCTCTCATTTTTGCTGATTTTTTATAATTGAATCCCAATCTTTTTTTGAGTGTGGTAAATAAGAAATCTTAATCTTACCATTTGTATGCCGTTTGATGTTTTGTTAAGCCAAAAAAAAATGTTGTTGAGGTGCTGACACTTTGGTTTTAACTTGCCATTCTGAAGTAAAACAGAAAAAAAGAAAAAAAAATAGGGTCTGAGAACAAAACAGTAGGTTAAATAAGTCAGAATTATAAAGCTCATTTTTATTTGTCATATTCAGCACACTCAAAAAAATTAAACAGACATAGATTTGAACAGTTTATCCATGACGAACATTTGGCAATCGTAAGGACTTGGGGTCTAAACTTAGTAATTTTTTTTTTTTTTGAGACAGAGTCTCGCTCTGTCACCCAGACTGGAGTGCTGGAGTGCAGTGGCATGATCTCGGCTCACTGCAACCTCCACCTCCTGGGTTCAAGCGATTCTCCTGCCTCAGCCTCCGAGTAGCTTGGATTACAGGTGCCCACCACCAGGCCCGGCTAATTTTTGTATTTTTAGTAGAGACGGGGTTTCTCCATGTTGGCCAGGCTGGTCTCAACTCCTGACCTCAAAAGATCCACCCGCCTCAGCCTCCCAAAGTGCTGGGATTACAGGCATAAGCCACCATGCCCAGCAATTTAGTAATTTTTTAAACAATTTATTCTATAGAAATTAAATGAGATAATGAACAGAAATAGTATTAGGGAAGGAAAATAGAAATGATCTGGATAAAGAGCACACATTAAAGTCATAAACAAAAAGATAAAAGAGCACTCATTTGCAAAATCACATGAAAGTCTGGGTTAGATGAAAAAGAGAGGAATATGGAAAGTTGAAGATACCCTAAAACTTCCAAGTCCAATGGCCCCATGTTCTGTGACAAAGTACATCTTTTAAATATATCTTCATTATGCTTCCAAACATACTGAACTTCTCATTGACCAGGAGTGTTCTTCATACTCACCTTGGGGAACTCCGGTTGGCAATGTGCTCAACTTTTCCTTCTCCTCCTCCAGTCAAGAGACAGACTGAGTTTGAATAGGTCCTGTACAGAGGGAAAGATACATCAATGGAAGAGGCTTATGAAGGAAATGACAAACGTAACCAAGAAAAAAACAACTATATTCCTAAAGAGAGTAGTGAAACTATTTTAAAAGAGCTCAAATTTCATATATCTCATCCTTTTGTGCCCTGAGGAGTTGGTTATCTCTGACCAAATACCCACTATTCAGACTTAAATACACATTTAAAAACCATTAAAGACTGGGCGCAGTGGCTCATGCCTGTAATCCCAGAACTTTGGGAGGCTGAGGTGGGAGAATCACCTGAGCCTGGGGAGGTTGAGGCTGCAGTGAGTCATGATTGCACCACTGTACTCCAACCTAGGTGACAAAGTGAGACCCTGTCTTAAAAAAAATAAAATAAAAACCATTAAAACGTGTATTCAAATAGGAAATAATCCAAGTGCAAAGAGAGATCATTATTTTGTTTTCTGGTTTTGTTTTTTTTTTTGAGACAGAGTCTCACTCTGTCACCCAGGCTGGAGTGCAATGGCACTGTCTCAACTCACTGCAACCTCCACCTCCCAGGTTCAAGTGATTCTCCTGCCTCAGCCTCGTGAGCAGCTGGGGTTACAGGCACCCACCATCAGGTCTGGCTAATTTTTTTGTATTTTTATAGAGACAGGGTTTCACCACATTGGCCAGGCTTGTCTTGAACTCCCGACCTCAGGTGATCCGCCCACCTCAGCCTCCCAAAGTGCTGGGATTGCAGGTGTGAGCCACCACGCCTGGCCGAGATCTTTTTTTTTTTTTTTTTTTTTACGATATCGTCAAAAGCTCGAATATTGTGTCTTTTGTAGCTTTTCTTATATCATGGGTAGTATTACATCTCTCTCTCTCTCTCTTTTTTTTCTTTTTGAGAGATTTTTGCTCTGTCCCCCAGGCTGGAGTGTAGTGGCACAATCTTCGCTCACTACAACCTCTGCCGCCGCCCACCCTAGTTCAAGCAATACAAAAATTAGCAGGGCGTGGTGGCACGTGCCTGTAGTCCCAACCACTCAGGAGGCTGAGGCAGGAGAATCGCTTTTACTCAGGAAGCAGAGGCTGCAGTGAGCCGAGATCATGCCACTGCACTCCAGGCTGGGCAACAGAGCAAGATTCCATCCAAAAACAAAAGAATCAGAGAGCTTCTTTAGGACACCCCTGAAATAAAGTTATTTCTTATGTTCTCAGGGCTGAAATTGTTATAATTAATGAGGCTCATATGCCAGAGCTTCCCTGGCATAATGTGAAGGAGGGAATCCTAGAGAGACAGGAGTGTTGCACTGGATTTACTATGTGTCATCTGTATAGCCCACTCCCCCGCCCTTTGTTGACAGAGCAGAAGACACTCTCTTCACAAAGGTTATTAAGAGAGTAGTGGCGGGAGTGTCGTAATCCTTGAAAAGCTCTGTTGGTATTCTCCTTCATAGGACAGGTATGACTGCAAAGAATACCATCACTGAGATGAGTTCCCTGGGTTTTTTTGTTTGTTTGTTTGTTTTTGAGACGGAGTTTTGCTCTTGTTGCCCAGGATGGAGTGCAATGACGCAGTCTAGGCTCACTGCAACCTCCGCCTCCTGGGTTAAAGCGATTCTCCTGCCTGAGCCTCCCAAGTAGCTGGGATTACAGGCACCTGCCACCACACTTGGCTAATTTTTTGCGAGGGGGGGGGGTATTTTTAGTACAGACGGGGTTTAACCATATTGGCCAGGATGGTCTAGAACTCCTGGCCTCAGGTGATCTGCCCGCCTCAGCCTCCCAAAGTGCTGGGATTACAGGCGTGAGCCACCGCACCCAGCCGAGTTCCCTGCTTTCAATCGAGATGAAGGGGACCCAGAATAGCAGAAATCAAGAAGGTAGTATTTAATCACCAAACACAAGGTGAGAAAATCAACTATCAAGGACAGTGGAAATGTACCAGTAATCAGAATGCCCTGACCTACAGAGATCTGTGGTGGTGGCTAACTGATCGTGCTGTCCCTAGAAATGAAATAGATAAGCAGTTAACAAAGCCTACTCTAAAGAGCCACAAAATATATGTTAGGCATTATGGGCCACATGGTCTCTGTTGCAGCTACTCAACTCTGCTGTTGTAGCATGGAAAATACCATAGAAAATGTAAACAAATGAACACGGTTGTGTTCTGATTAAACTTTATATACAAAAAACACATGGAGAGACAGATATGGCCCATGGGCCATAGTGTACCAATCTCTGTACTTGAATACTGCTCCATCTATGTAAAAAGTCTAAACTATAGTAGCCAAAAACTGGATTTATCCCAGTGGAGAATCATAACCTGTCACTCAATTACCACACTGAAATCATTCATAAATCATGAACTTAGGTGATCACTCCAATTACCGCCATTTTTCAAAATGTAATGCCTTTACTAGATAAATCAACATAATTTCTGTCACTTGGTATGCAGGCATTGACATAGCTAATGTCTTTTCTCCATACCAATTTGAAAAAAACAAGACTTGGTTACCTTTCACCTGGCAGGACCAACAATGTATCTTCATAACATTGCCCCTAGAATGTGTCAGTTCTCGAGGTCTCTGTCGTAACTTAATCCCCAGAGAAAATGACATTCCATGAAACACCACACTAGTACACTATGTTGACACCATTATACTGATCATATCCAATGAATAGGAAGTAGAAAACACATTTTTAAAAATTAGAGACAGGGTCTTACTCTGTCACCCAGGCTGGATTAGAGTGGCATGATCATAGCTCACTACAACTTCAAACTTCAAACTCCCGGGCTCAAGCAATCCTCCTGCCTCAGCCTCCCGAGTATGTGGGACTATAGGCACATACTACCATGCCTGGCTAATTGTTTTTCTTTTTCTTTTTACTATAGACATGAGGTTTCACTACGTTGCCCAGGCTAGTCTCAAACACCTGGTCTCAAGCAATCCTCCCACGTCAGCCTCCCAGTGTTAGGATTACGGGCATGAATCATTGTGCCCTGCCTGAAAATACCTTAGACAACTTTATTAGAAGCATGCAGCATTTACGGTTCCAAAATGGTAGTACAGAAGCAAGCTGGTTTCAATCCCCTGACAGAAAACTACAACCAAATGCATATTGTGAAAATTATCACCAGCAATATCCCTGATCTAAAATATAAAAATTAGGCAGTTTCTGGGGCTACAAAGAAGTGAAAAAACTCCAAGGGAGACGTTAAGAGAATCAAGTTTCCAAGAATGTGGAAAATTTCTACCAATTCACAGTTTCTACACTGGAAAAAACTGAGATCAATGTGGACAACCACCTTCTCCATCATCCTGGGTTCCCTGGTAAAAGATCAGTCCCTCCCTGTCTCAACCCACAGGAAGCATTACAAATGCCTGAAGGGAGAAACATCCCTGAGGACATCCAGGGACAAAGATGGGAGGCAGGACTACCATCCCAGCCCTGGAAACTCTGTTTTATAACTTGGCCAAAGGAGAAGCCAAGTCAGAGTGGCTGTTCAGGAGCACCATACTGTAGGGGTACGCTACACAGGTCACCTGGGCATGAACACACAGCCAGCCTTCCCACAGTGCTGGAATATGCCCTTTAGGACTCCCTCATTCTGAATGGGCAGTATTCTTGATAGTTTGCTATAGCAAAGGCAAACGTGGGTTTAAGATTCCATCTAGTGCTGAAAACGAGGCAGTGACCTAGGGAAATTTTAAAGAAAGAAAATCACTTTCGGAGGCTGAGACAGGCAGATCGCTTAAGCTCGAGTTCAAGACCAGCAACAAGATGAAAACCCATCTCTACTAAAAAGTACAAAAAGTAGCCAGGTGTGGTGGCGTGCACCTCACCTACTCAGGAGGCTGAGGTGGGAGGATTGCTTCAGCCTGGGAGGTAGAGGCTGCAGTAAGCCATGGTCACACCACGGCACTGCAACCTGGGTGACAGAGAGAGACCTTGTCTCAAAACAACAACAAAAAAGATAAAAAGAAAACATACCCAATAAAAACCACAAGCCAGACAAAGACTGTAATAAATAACTAATCCTTCAATGCACAGACACAGATGTACATCCACAAGAAACAACAGCAAATGGGGAACCACGACCTCCTAAAATGGACGAAAATAGTATCAGTGACTGAACCTAATGAAATGACAATATGTGAGCTCCCTAAGAATTCAAAATAACAGTTTTAAGGAAATTCAGTGATCTCCAAAATAACACAGAAGAGCAACTCAGAAATGTATCAGAAAAAACTTTAGAATATATTAACAACAACAAAAAAGAGAAATCTTACAACTGAGAAATACTCAACTCAAAAGTTCACGGTAGAGGCTCTCAACAGCAAGATGGATCAGAGGAAAGATTCACTGAGCTTGAAGAAAAGCTATTTGAAAATATAGCCAGAAGAGAAGAATGAAAAGGAACTAAGATTGTCGGCAAGATGCAGAAAATTACCTTGAAAGACCAAACCTAGGAATCACTGGTGTTCAAGAGGGAATGCAGCAAGTGCAAGGGGTAAGCTTTGAAAGCTTTATTAAGGAAATAACAAGATTCCAAAAATTGAGAAAAATATAAATATCCAGGTACAGGAAGGTAAGATGACACCAAACAGATTCAATCCAAATGAGACTACTACAAAGCATACAATCTTCAGACTCTCAAAGGTCAAGGACAAAGACAGGACCTTAAAAGCATTAAGAGAAAAGAAGCAAATAACATGAAGGACTCCAGCTGGTCTGGCAACAGGATTTCTCAAGGGAAACCACACACAGGCCAGAAGGGAGTAGGATGACATTTTCTTTCTTTTTTTGTGAGACGGTCTCACTCCGTTGCCCAGGCTGGAGTACCGTGGCACAATCATGGCTCAATGCAGCCTTTATCTCCCAGGATCAAGCCATACTCTCACATCAGCCTCCCAAGTAACTGTTACTACAAATGTGCACCACAATGCCTGGCTAATTTTTCTTTCTTTCTTTTTTTTTTTTTTTTGTAGAGACGGGGCTTCACCATGTTTGAAATGCTTGTTTCCCGGTGCCGTAAAGAAATAGCACTTGAACATAAATTTTATTTCTTTAGCAAGGCCATTTTAATTTATTTATACATTTTTTTGAGACAGAGTCTCATTCTGTCGCCCAGGCTGCAGTGCAATGGCGCGATCTCGGCTCACTGCAACCTCCGCCTCCCAGGTTCAAGCGATTCTCCTGCCTCAGCCTCCCTAGTACCTGGGATTACAGGCACATTCCAACATGCCCGGCTCATTTTTTGTATTTTTTGTTTTTTTAGTAGAGACAGGTTTTCATCGTGTTAGTCAGGATGGTCTCAATCTCCTGATCCCGTGATCTGCCCGCCTTGGCCTCCCAAAGTGCTAGGATTACAGGCACAAGCCACCGCGCCCGGCCCTAGCAAGGCCATTTTTACACTTTCTGCAGAAAGGGTACACTCCCCAGCAGATTTGCCATGAGAGTACACCGAACAAAGGAGACAGGTTCATTTATAACCTGACGCATCCACCCTACTGCTGTGTCCAGTTTCCACTGGCTGGAATGGAACCTCACATTTTGTACTTGTTTTGATTGGCTTAGAACTTTTTAAAAGGCGTAAAGGCAGAGGAGAAGAAAGGAAGGAGGAAGTAACTTGTGGAATGCTGAGAAAGGCAAAAACATCTTCAAATAAGGAATAGGAACAGGCTATGACCTAATGCTTGCTTGGACCAGTATAAGCATGCCAGGGCAAATATTTAGGCTAAATTGTGGGAGCTAAGAACATAAAGTACATTGATTTCTTTATTACAGCTAGCAGATATTTAAGTATGTTAACACAGGTCTTTGAATAAGTTTTGCTTCTAAAAAGAAGTTATTTATTCCTCATTAGATGGAAAAAAAAAAGTCTTTAAAGAAAAATGTCTACTTTACTTTTTACAACCAAGTTGCCCAGGCTGGTCTCAAAGTCCTGAGCTCAAGCAATCCACCAGGCTCAGCCTCACAAAGTGCTGGAATTACAGGCATGGGCCACCTTGCTTAGCTATGGGATGAAATTTTCAAAGTGCTGGAAGAAAAAAATTGATATCTAAGAATACCGTATTCAGGTCAGCACAATGTCTCATGCCTGAAATCACAACACTTTGGGAGGCTGAGGTGGGCGGATCACCTGACATCACGAGTTAGAGACCAGCGTGGTCAACATGGTGAAACCCAGTCTCTACTAAAAATTAAAAAAAAATTAGCCTGGTATGGTGGCACATGCCTGTAGTCCCAGCTACACTGGAGGCTGAGGCAGGAGAATCACTTGAACCCAGGAAGCGGAGGTTGCAGTTAGCCGATATTGTGCCACTGTACTCCAGCCTGGGCAACAGAGCAAGATTTCATTTCAAAAAAACAAAAACAAAAAGAGATAAAGAAGGTCTCTATAGCTGGGAGTAGTGGCTCACACCTGTAATCCCAGCACTCTGGGAAGGCTGAGATGGGCAGATCACGAGGTCAGAAGTTCAAGACCAGCCTGGCCAACATGGCAAAACTCCATCTCTACTAAAAATACAAAAATTAGCCGGGTGTGGTGGTGTGTGCCTGTAATACCAGCTACTCACGAGGCTGAGGCAGGAGAATTGCTTAAACCTGGGAGATGGAGGTTGCAGTGAGCTGAGATCACACCACTGCACTCCAGCCTGGGCAACAGAGCAAGACTCTGTCTCAAAAATAAAAAAAAAAGAAGGTCACTATATAATGATAAAGGGGTCAATTCAGCAGGAGGATATAACAACTGTCAATATTTATGCACCCAACACTGGAGCACCTAAGTATATAAAGCAAACATTAATAAATCTAAAGGGAGATACACACTGCAGTGCAGTAATAATAGTAGGGGATTTCAACACCCCACTCTCGGTAATGGACAGATCATCCAGCTAGAAAATCAACAAAGAAACACAGAAGAAGTTAAGCAATAAACTAAACCAAAAAGGCCTAACACAGGACATTTTATCCAACTGCTACAGAAGATACATTCCTTTCCTCAGCATATGGAATATTCTCCAGAACAGGCCATATCTTAGGCCACAAAAAAAAGTCACAACAAATTCAAAAATGTAGAAATCATATCATCTTTTCTGACCACAAGGGAATAAAACTAGAAATCACTAACAAGAGGAACCTTGATTCACAGGCTCAAAGTGGTGGCTCATGCCTATAATCCCGGCACTTTGGGAGGCCAACATGGGGAGACTGCTTGCACCCAGGACTTTGAGACCACCCTGGGCAACACAAGGAGACCCTGTCCCTTCAAAAAAAAAAAAAATTACACAACGGAACATTGTTTTGGTACGTTGACATATCAAAATCCATGGTACAAAAGCACACAGAAATTTGGAAATTAAAATATTTCTTGAAACAAATTAAAGTGAAACTACAACATACCAAAATCTATGGGATAAAAGCAGTACTAAGGGAGTATTTTACAGCAATAAACACGTACATACAAAAAGTAGAAAGATTTAAAATAACCGAATGATACCCTTAAGATACTAGAAAAGCAAAAACAAATCAGACTCACAATTAAATCAAAAGGATAAAGACCACAGCCAAAATAAACAAAATTGAGAATAAAAAACAATACAGAATATTAATAAAACATAAAGTTGATTACTTGAAAAGATAAACAAAATCAACCAACCTTTGGCTAGACTAAGGGGAAAAAAAGGACCCAAATAAAATAAAAAATGAAAAAAGAAAACAGAACAGAAACCACAGAAATACAACCAATCATTAGAAACTATTACAAAAAACTATATGCCAACAAATTGATAAGCCTGGAAGAAATGGACAAATTATTGGGCGCATACAACCTACCATGATTGAACCATGAACAAACAGAAAACCTCAACACACCAATAACAAGATTGAAGCCGTAACAAAATGAATCCCATCAAAGAAAAGCCCAGAAACTGATGGCTTCACTGCTAAATCCTACCAAAAACTGAAAGAATAACAATACAACTCGAATTCCTCAAAAAAAATTGAAGAGAAGAGAATATTTCCAAACTTGGTCTACAAAGTGAGCATTATTCTCATATCAAAAGCAGAGAAGAGCACAACAGCAACAAAACTACAGGCCAGGCTGGGTGCAGTGGCTCACGCCCGTAATTCCAGCACTTTGGGAGGCTGAGGCGGGTGGATCACCTTAAGTTAGGAGTTTGAGACCAGCCTGGCCAATATGGTGAAATCCTGTCTCTACTAAAAAAAAACACAAAAGTTAGCTGGGAGTGGAGGCATGTGCGCCTGTAGTCCCTGCTACTAAGGAGGCTGAGGCAGGAGAATCACTTGAACCCGGGAGGCGGAGGTTGCCGTGAGCCAAGACTGAGCCATTGCACTTCAGCCTGGGCAACAGAGCAAGACTCCGTCTCAAAAAAGAAAAATAAAGAAAAAGAAAAAAAAAAGTAACCAAAAATGTGAAGGAGCTATGCAAGGAAAACTATAAAACACTGATGAAACAAACTGTAGAGGATACAGAAAAAAAATGGGAAGATATTCCATGCTCATGGATTAGAATATTGTTAAAATGACAATACTACCCAAAGCAATTTACAATTCAGGGCAACCCTTCTCAAAATACCAGTGAAATTCGTCACAAAAAGAGAAAAAAAATCCTAAAATGTATATGCAATCACAAAAGACCTCAAACAGCCAAAGAAATACTGACCAAAAAAAACGAAGCTGGAGTGGCCAGGTGCAGTGGCTCACACCTGTAATCCCAGCACTTTGGGAGGCCGAGGCAGGTGGATCATTAGGTCAGGAGTTCAAGACCAGCCTGGCCAACATGATGAAACCCCGTCTCTACTAAAAATACAAAAATTAGCCAGCTGTGGGCCGGGCGTGGTGGCTCACGCCTGTAATCCCAGCACTCTGGGAGGCCAAGGTGGGCAGACCACGAGGTCAGGAGATCAAGACCATCCCGGCTAACATGGTGAAATCCCATCTCTACTAAAAAAAAAAATACAAAAAAAAAAAAAAATTAGCCTGGCGTGGTGCCTGTAGTCCCAGTGGTGGGTGCCTGTAGTCCCAGCTACTCAGAAGGCTGAGGCAGGAGAATGGTGTGAACCCAAGAGGTGGAACTTGCAGTGAGCCGGAACTTGCAGTGAGCCCAGATCACACCACTGCATTCCAGCCTGAGTGACAGAACGAGACTCCACCTCAAAAAATTAGCCAGACATGGTGGTGCGTGCCTGTAGTCCCAGCTACTAGGGAGGCTGAGGCAGGAGAATTCCTTGAACCTGGGAGACAGAGGTTGCAGTGAGCCGAGGTCGCACCACTGCACTCCAGCCTGGGAGACAGAGCGAGACTTAGTCTCAAAAAAAAAAAGAAGGAAAGAAAAAGCTGGAAGCATCAAACTGCCTGATATCAAAATATTCTACAAAGCTACCATAGCCAAATCAGCATGGTACTGACATAAAAACAAACACATAGATCTATGGAAGAGAACAGAGAACCTAAATATAAATCTACACATTTATAGACAGTTCATTTTCAACAAAGGCACCAAAAGCATACAATGGGAAAATAGCAGTCTTCAATAAGTGCTGCTGGGAAAACTGAATAACGATATGCAGAATGAACTAGATGCCATCTCTCAGCATAAACAAAATCAAAACAGATTAAAGACATCTAACACCTGAAACTATAAAGCTACTAGAGGAAGAAACTGGGGAAACAATCCAGGACATTGGTCTGGGTAAAGATTTCTTGGGTAAGACCTCAACAGCACAGGCAACAGGAGCAAAAATAAACATATGAGATTACATCAAACTAAAAACTTCTCCACAGCAAAACAATCAACAAACTGAAGAGACAATCTAGAGTATGGGAAAAAAATATTTACAAACTATCCACCTGACAAAGATTAGTAATCAAAATATATAAGGAACTCAACTTGATAGCAAAAAAAAAAAAAAAAAAAATCCGATCAAAAAATTGGCCAAAGGTCAGAATACTTGTTTCTCAAAAAACGACATACAAATGGCCAACAGGTATACGGAAAAAATGCTCAACATGGCTAAACATCAAAGAAATACAAATCACACATTACCACAATGAGATGTCATCTCACCTCATAGGGTGGCTTTTATAGACAGGGAATAACAAATACTGATGAGGATGTGGTGAAAAGATAATCCTTGTATGCAGTTGATGGGAATGTAAATTAGTACAGCCACTATAGAGAACAATACTCAGGTGTAGTGGCTCATGCCTGTAATCCCAAAACTTGAGGCTGTGGTGGGAGGATCACTTGAGCCCAGAAGTTCGAGCCAGCCTGGACAACACAGGAAGACCTGTCTGCACACATATGCACACATAAAACCTGTCAGTCACAGTGGCTCATGCCTGTAATCCCAGCTCTTTAGGAGCCCAAGGCAGGTGAATCACTTGAGGTCAGGAGTTCGAGACCAGCCTGGCCAACATGGCGAAACTCCATCTCTACTGAAAATACAAAAATTAGCTGGGAATTGTGGCGTGCGCCTGTAGTCCCAGGCAGGAGAATCACTTGAACCCAGGAGGTGGAGGTTACAGTGAGCCGAGATCATGCCACTGCATTCCAGCCTGGGCAACAGTGAGACTCCGTCTCTAGAAAAAAAAGAGAGGTTGATTCATGGGTAAAATACACAGTTAGAAGAAATAAGAACTAGTGTTCAATAGATCAGTAGGGTGACTACATTTAACACTCATCTATTGTACATTTCAAAACAGCTAAGAGAATAACTTGATTTTCCTGCAATAAAGAAAGGATAAATATTTAAGGTGACAGATATTCTACTTACCCTGATTTGATAATATAAATGCATCAAATTATCACATGTACTCAGAAAACATGTACGTCTATTATGAATCAAAAAACTTTTTTTGAATTTTCAAATAGAGGGTGGGAGATTCTGGGGCCACCATGTCTGTGGGTAAAGATATTCCCTTGTCAGCCAGGCGCGGGTGGCTCACACCTGTTATCCCAGCACTTTGGGAGGCTGAGACGGGCGGATCACGACGTCAGGAGATTGAGACCATCCTGGCTAACACGGTGAAACCTCGTCAATACTAAAAATACAAAAAATTAGCCGGGCGTGTTGGCGGGCACCTGTAGTCCCAGCTACTCAGGAGGCTGAGGCAGGAGAATGGCGTGAACTCGGGAGGCAGAGTTTGCAGTAAGCCCAGTTTGTGCCACTGCACTCCAGCCTGGGTGACAGAGAAAAACTAGTCTCAAAAAGAAAAAAAGAAAAAAAAAAAGATAGATATTCCCTTGTCTGGATCATGTAAAGACATTCCCTACAAAAAGACATTCCCTGCAAGATGTCCCTCCAAGTTACTTCACCTAATACCACCTACCACTAAAAACGAGCAATGAGCCATGATTATGCCATTGCCCTCCAGCCTGGGTGATCCAGCAAGACTCAAAAAAGAAAAAAAAAAAAACTCAGTATGGGGGTTTCTCAAAAAACTAAAAATAGAACTGTCAATAGAGCTACCACCCGTAAACCTCTTGAATTTTGGAGGCAACATATACATTTGTATGTGCTTTAACGCCCCACACAGTTGCCTGTAAGGATTCTAGTTTCAACTGTAGACAAGAGCAATTTCAGGCTGCACTGCAGGCTTCCCAAGCACTTGGTCCACCTGATCCAGCAGACCCAATGATACTCAACGTGTCCATGTTAAATGGCATCCTATTTATTGGAAGCCTCTGGCATACACCAACAGAAGATGTAGAGTAGAGGCCTCTGGTATTCCATAGTCAATCCATGCCCTCTTGTGCAGATTAACTGTTTCTCTTTTGAGAAACAGGTTGTGGTTTGCCACTACCATGCGATAGAGAATGAACAACTAATCATGGGACATGAAGTAACTAAGGCAGATCTGAGTAATTTGAGACTTTCTGGTCCCCAAAGCACGAAGTACATACTGTCAGCCCTTATCAAACAAAGGTTGTCAGCTTCTCCTTTAGGCCAAAAACCCCGAGTTTGTAGGAAATCGCATGAAATAAAGGAATATTTACACACACCATGAGAATCCAATCAGAAATATCTGATTGTATGACTTTCTAAGAGAATGAGTGTTAGGAATAACGCTCAAAATCCTAAGGAAATTGAACACTCGAACAAAGGATTCTTAGCAAAGCAATTTTACTTCTGTGCAGAGGGGTGCCTCCTTGACCAGTTGCCATGAGAGCACACCTGAACAAAGGGGCATGAGAGCCTTTACTCCTGATGCAAGTCCTGCCCCTGTACCCTTTCCCTATTGGCCGGGGTCAGGTCGTACAATCTAAACTAATCCCGGTTGGTGAAACACCTGATTTTTTTTAGATAGGGTGGGCACGTAGAAGAAAAGTGGAGAGGAAGGGGAAGGGATGTCTGTAGTGAGCTAGAAAGTCCTCTTTCTAAGTAAGGAAAGGTATGTGAGCTGGTACTGATAACGCTTTGTACTGTGGCATGCCTGGGCATCTAACAAAGGCAAAAAGGAGAAAAAAGGAGAAAAAGGGGGGGTACTATGAATTAGAGAATAAAAGATTGATGAGATTATTTGAAGAGAAACCTCATCATATCCTCATATCCCACAGTGTGACTCTCCAAAAGTCAATATAATATACAATAATAACTGTTCTAGGTAAAAAGACACTGAAAACATTAACAATTGCAATGTAAAAATCTTGAATGGATCTTAAACCCAAAAACATCCAAGAGCATACGTTGAATCAATGCGGAGAATTTTAGTTATTATAAAAAGCAGACATTAGATGACATTATTATTTTTTATTTAAGTGAAATACTAGTATTGTGGTTTCAGAATGACAGTGCTATTTTTTTAGGCGATGCATTACCAAGTATTTAAAGGTCAAGTATCACGTGTGCAATTATGCTCAATTTACACTCAAATTGTTCACCATAAAATGTATTTACCTGAGGTGAAAGAAAACAAGCACAATGCTCAAAAAGTAAGTGTTCAGGCACAGTGGCTCACACCTGTAATCCCAGCATTTTGGGAGGCCGAAGCAGGTGAACTGCCTGAGCTCAGGATTTCGAGACCAGCCTGGCCAACATGGTGAAACCTTGTCTCTACTAAAATACAAAAAAAAATTAGCTGGGCATGGCGGCATGTGCCTGTGTCCCAGCTACTAGGTGTCAGGCCTCTGAGCCGAAGCCAAGCCATCAGACTCCCTGTGACCTGCACGTATACATCCAGATGGCCTGAAGCAACTGAAGAACAACAAGAAGAAGCGAAAATAGCTAGTTCCTGCCTTAACTGATGACATTCCACCATTGTGATTTGTTCCTGCCCCAACCTAACTGATCAATTGACCTTGTGACATTCCTTCTCCTGGACAATGAATCTCAGGAGCTCCCCACTGAGCACCTTGTGATCCCCGCCCCTGCCCGCAAGAGAACAACCTCCTTTAACTGTAATTTTCCACTATCTACCCAAATCCTATAAAACTGCCCGACCCCTATCTCCCTTTGCTGACTCCTTTTCTGAACTCAGTCTGCCTGCACCCAGGTGATTAAAAGCTTTATTGCTCATACAAAGCCTGTTTGGTGGTCTCTTCACATGGACGCACCTAATGCTAGGGAGGCAGGAGAATTACTTGAACCTGGGAGGCAGAGGTTGCAGTGAGCCGAGATCGCACCTCTGCACCCCGACCCGGGTAGCAGAGCGAGACTCTGTCTCAAAAAAAAAAAAAAAAAAACTACTAGACTGGGTGTGTTAGATGTTCAAGTTTTCCCTAGGATCAAATTTTTCAGAAAAAAATGTCAAAACTACACTTAGTCTAAACATGCTGTTAATAAATTCAATAGATACTACTTTATTACACTAATACTAGAATAATATTCTGATTATAAAGCCTCCATCCTGGCCAGGAGCGGAGGCTCACGCCTGTAATCCCAGCTCTTTGGGAGGCCGTCAGGCGGATTACAAGGTCAGGAGTTCGAGACCAGCCTGGCGAGCATGGTGAAACCCTGTCTCCACTAAAAATACAAAAAAAAAAAATTAGCTGGGCATGGTCCCCATGCCTGTTGTCCCTGCTACTCGGAGGCTGAGGCAGGAGAATCACTTGAACCCAGGAGGTGGAGGTTGCAGTGAGCTGAGATCGCGCCACTGCACTCCAGCCTGGGCGACAGAGCAAGACTCCGTCTGAAAAAAACAAACAAAAGCCTCCATCCTTTCTTCCTGTGGGCCCGTTTTGAAGCTCTGTGGGGGGGTACAGACCTAGGAACTTCAGATAAAGACAACAGCTGTGTATTATTGCCTTTCTTTCTTTTTTGAGACGGAGTTTCGCTCTCATCGCCCAGGCTGGAGTGCAGTGGCAGATCTCGGCTCACTGCAACCTCGGCCTCTCAGGTTCAAGCAATCCTCCTGCCTCAGCCTCCCAAGTAGCTAGGATTACAGGGGACTGCCACCAAGCCTGGCTTTTTTTTTTTTTTTTTTTTTTTTGTGTGTGTGAGACGGAGTCTCCCTCTTTTGCCCAGGCTGGAGTGCAGTGGCGCGATCTCGGCTCACTGCAAGCTCCGCCTCCCGGGTTCACGCCATTCTCCTGCCTCAGCCTCCCGAGTAGCTGGGACTACAGGCGCCCGCCATCGCGCCTGGCTAATTTTTTGTATTTTTAGTAGAGACAGGGTTTCACCATGTTGGCCAGGCTGGTCTCGAACTCCTGACCTCAGGTGATCTGCCCGCCTCGACCTCCCAAATGGCTGGGACTACAGGCGTGAGCCAGCGCGCCCAGCCTGCCTTTCTTTTGTAGAAAGGCTTGTAGCTGGTAACAACAAAAAACATTAAGTCCAAGAAAATAAAATAAGAAACTAAAGGCTCACAGTCTACACGTGTTCATATTTACATGCAGATATAGGCACACCCTAAACGACTATTTTTTTTCCATCAGAAAGTAATGTGTCAAAAATAAGAATAGGACATCAATGCCAGATTCTCAGACGAGACATTTTTAAGCAAAGAAATGGAAGTCAGAGCCCTCTTGAAACCAATTTTCTGCAGGTGTTCACCAGGAACATGCCGGAAACGCCAGGTTCCTGAGGCGCGGAAATGCGGGGCCGGAGCCAACCTGACTGGAACGGCAGAAATCCTTTTACTTTCAGAAAGAAAGAAACTCACAAAGGTTGCTTTCCAAGCTTTTGAAGAAGGGAGCACAGCGGATGAAACCACTCCAGAAAACGCGCGGAGTCGGGACAAACACACTTCCCGACCTGGCTCCTGACTGGGACCCACTGAGCCTGCGGCCTCTAGCCACTGGCCGCGCAAGGAGGACCGACAGCCCCTGGAGAAGAGAGTGAAACGAGGCGGATCGGAGAGGCTCCTGGGCGACAGCACCCAATCGTTCCTTTGCCGCCCCCCGCTATCTCCGGGATCCCCAAGCAGGCGGAACTCACCACAGCCAGGGTGGACTCCACCACGATAAAGGCGAAATGGCACTGACCATGCGGAGCCAGCGCCGGAAAAGATGGCGATTGTGCGCTGACGTCACTTCCGCTCCGAGCCTCGGGCCGGGCGGGGCTCCTGGGTTCGAGTTTCAGCCACATAGGACCCAGTCAAACACAGAAATTGTAGTTTCTTCCCGGGTGGGCGCGGACAGGCCCTTACTTGGGGGCGGTTTAGAGGTGGGACCCGGCTAGCCGGCGGTTCAGGTGGCCGGACCTGCTGGAAGGGCGGGCGTGGGGGATGGGACGCACCCCAGGGGATGCTCCTGCAGAGCTTTTCCCAGGTGGGCACAGTGGCTAAGGCCTGTAAGTCCAACACTTTGGGAGGCTAAGGCAGGTGGATAGCTTGAGTCCAAGAGTTCAAGACCAGCGTGGGCAAAATAGCAACATCCTTTATTAAAATATATATGTGTGTATACATATATATAAAGCTTGTTTGTATACATCTCATGTTCCTAGAGCCTTTCCATGATTCTTCCATATGGATAAAGCTGCCAGTGAATGGCATGGTCTATCTCTTCTATTCAGTCAGGCTTTCTGTAGGCCTTTATTTCTTCATTCTTTATTTTTTAGAACCTGCTGGTTCCATTGCGTTTTCTTTTTTCGTTTTTCTTTTTCATTTTTTATTTTTTTTTGAGACAGATCTCACTCTGTTGCCCAGGCTGGAGTGCAGTGGCATGACCTCGGCTCACTGTAACCTCTGCCCCCCGGGTTCAAGTGATTCTCCTGCCTCAACCTCCCGAGTAGCTGGGATTACAGATGTCTGCCTCCACGCCCAGCTAATTTTTGTACTTTTAGTAGAGAAGAGTTTCACCATGATGGCCAGACTGATCTCGAACTCCTGACCTCCAATGATCTGTCTCCCTCAGCTTCCCAAAGTGCTGGAATTATAGACATGAGCCACCGCACCCGGCCACGTTTTCAATATAATAATATTTTCTGTAAATCTTGATTTTTTTTTGTCTTCATCAAGTATGTATTTCTGGCTGGGTATGGTGGCTTATGCCTATAATCCCAGCAATTTGGGAGGCCAAGGGATCGTTTGAGGCCAGGAGTTTGAGACCAGCCTGGGCAATACAGCAAGACCCCGTCTCTGTTTAAAAAAAATTTTAAATATGTTTTTGTTTTTGTTTTGAGATGGAGTCTAGCTCTGTTGCCCAGGCTGGAGTGCAGTGGCACGATCTTGCTCACTGCAACCTCTGCCTCCCGGGTTCAAGCGATTCTTCTCTCTCAGCCTCCTGAGTAGCAGAGATTACAGGCAGGCGCCGCCATGCCCGGCTAATTTTTGTATTTTTAGTAAAGACAGGGTTTCACCATATTGGCCCAGTTGGTCTCGAACTCCTGACCTCATGATCCGCCTGCCTCACCTTTCCAAAGTGCTGGGATTACAGATGTGAGCCACCACGCCTGGCCAAAAACATGTATTTCTATTGTTATTTTTCTGATCTTCCCACATGGGCCAGGACCACATTTCCTACATTGTAAAATAGCACTGACACCAGACATTCTCCCCAGGTTTATTCAGAAATGTAACATAATCCCAGTAAAAATATTAAAAGTTTTTTCTGGAGTTAGGTACGTTGATACTAAAGTTTATGTGGAAGAATAAATATCTGATAATAACCAAGAAAACAAAAACAAAAGCAATGATGAGCAGCAGATGTTAAAACATACTATTAACAGTTTTCACACAAGGCAAATAATTAAATTATATTAAAATAAAAATAAATAAGACATACTATAAAGCCTCTATAATTAAAACTATGTGGTACTAGCACATGAAGCAGAAACAGACTAATAAAATATCTAAAAACAGACCCAAGAACATGTAGGAATTTGGTTCATAAATGTGGTATTTTGCCAGGCGCGGTGGCTCATACCTGTAATCCTAGCAATTTGGGAGGCTGAGGCGGGAGGATCACCTGAAGTCAGGAGTTCGAAACCAGCCTGTCCAACATGGTGAAACCCTGTCTCTAATAAAAATACAAAAATAAAATTAGCCAAGCATGGTGGTGGGCTTTCTGTAATCCCAGCTATTCGGGAGGCTGAGGCAGGAGAATCGCTGAAACCCAGAAGGCAGAGGTTGCAGTGAGCCGAGATCGCGCCACTGGACTCCAGCCTGGGCAACAAGAGTGAAAATCCATCTCAAAAAAAAAAAAAAAAGGTATTTCAGATCAATGAGGCAAAAAAAGCCATTTGTAATGGAAAGTCTAAGACAGCTGGGTAGCCATCAGAGAAAAGATGAAATTAAATCCATACTTCACAGCATATACAAGAATAAACTCTAAATGGACTAGGGATCTAAATGTGAAAAATAAAACCATATACGCATTCAGGGTGTAAGTGATTTCTTGGCTGAGTAAGGAAAAAGACGTGACCACAAGGCGGCAGTAGCACACAAGCTTCATTTGGGATGTGCTTTGACAGGTAAGGAGTGGCGGGAGGTAGCAAACAGCAAGAGAATATCCACAGGCTTCTACCTGTGGGTCGCTGCTCAGAAAGGGTGGAAAGGAAGAAAGACTCCCAGAGGAGAAGGGGAATCAAAGAGGGGGCTTATATGACTAAGTGACGATGCTCAGCAGCCTGGCAGCATATCTTCCAGTTAAAAAGTTCTGAAGGACAAGTCTGGCCAACATGGTGAAACTCCGCCTCTACTAAAAATACAAAAATTAGCCGGGCATGGTGGCGGGCGCCTGTAATCCCAGCTACTCGGGAGGATGAGGCAGGAGAATTGCTTATACCCGGGAAGCGGCGGTTGTATTGAGCCAAGATCGCGCCATTGCACTCCAGCCTGGGCGATAGAGTGAGACTCAGTCTCAAAAAAATAAAAATAAAATATGTAATTATCTGTTCATTCTGAGTACAGGGAAACACTGATAGGACTATCCTGAAAATAATAAGATTCAGAATCTATCGGGGATAGATGGGAAGGGCTTGAACAGAATGGTGGGATAAGAACAAAATGGAGAGGATAGGGATAGGGAAACCTCTCTGAGCATATCATTCTGTTTAGTTCTGATGTTTAAAATCACATTCTACTTTTTTTTTTTCTTTTTGACAGGGTTTCACTCTGTCACACAGGCTGGAGTGTAGTAGCGTTATCATTGCTCAGTGCAGCCTTTACTTTGTGAGCTCAAGTAATCCTCCTGCCCAAGTACCAGGGAATACATATGTACACCACCACATCCAGCTAATTTTTAAAAATATTTTGGGTAGAGAAGAGATCTCTCTATGTTGCCCAGGCTGCTCTTGAACTTCCAGTCTGTCACATATAAAGTTTTGGTGCCACAAAAGAAATAACACTTGAATATAAAATTTTCTTTTTAATTCTCAGCAAGGCAAGATACTTCTATAGAAGGGTGCACTCTCACAGATGGAGCAATGGTGGGCACACACCTGGACAAGGGAGGGAAAGGGGTTCTTATTCCTGACACACGTGGTCCCTACTGCTCTGTCGTTCCCCTACTGGCTAGGGTTGGACCTCACAGGCTAAACTAATTCCGATTGACTAATTTAAAGAGAGTGATGGAGTGAGCGGTTTGGGAAAAGGGTGCTTTATGAGGAAGTTAAGTTTAAAAGTAGAAGGCAAAGAATTGAGCATACTGACATATTAATTCTTTGAAGAGAAATTTATAATTCATTTTCAACAACTTCCTCCTCTTGCATTTTTTTTATGGCTTTCTCTTCAAACTTATTTAACATGTCTTGACTTAGTTGTTCTGCTTGATTTTCCAAAAGAAGGAGCTTCTCTGGATAAGGTGGAGGATAGTTAAAGGAGGTTTTAGTAAGTGCCATTTCTATGAGCCTCTGCACCAACCTACAGATGCATGGTATGACACGGCACCTGACAAGGATAAGTACACCCATTACGGCTACAAGGGAGGTGAGAATTGAGGCTATTATTCCTTTCCATTTACCGAACCACTTTTCTAGCCATTCTGTAAATGGGTAATTTACCCCTGAATTGCTGGCCAACTCATTGGATAGAGGAGTCAGGCCTTGCAATGCCTTTCTTATACTTCCATTAGGGGCCGTGTTGTTTGGGATGAAGTTGCAACAATGAGTTTTAATAATGATGCAAACTCCTCCTCTTTCTGCTAATACCATGTCTAAAGCTATCCTATTTTCCCAAGCCATCAGGTTAGTAGCCCCCAATTGCTCAGCTATTCCTTTAACAGCATCTCTAGTGTAGTTAATAAATCGCTGTTGGTTGTAATAGATGTAGTTTACCCAATCTACATTTTTTTTTTTTTGAGATGGAGTCTCACTCTGTCACCCAGGCTGGAATGCAGTGGTGCGATCTTGGCTCACTGCAAGCTCCGCCTCCTGGGTTCATGCCATTCTCCTACCTCAGCCTCCTGAGTAGTTGGGACTACAGGCACCTGCCACCATGCCCGGTGAATTTTTTGTATTTTTAGTAGAGACAGGGTTTCACCGCGTTACCCAGGATGGTCTCAATCTCCTGACCTTGTGATCCGCCCGCCTCGGCCTCCCAAAGTGCTGGGATTACAGGCATGAGCCATCGCGCCCGGCCCACCCAATCTACATTTTTATTAACTGTCGCCTACCAAAATATTGACTTAAATCCTGCAGCTATTGGATTTTGGGCTTTAAATTGATCTGGTATTCCCCGTGGGACTCCAATTGCATCTAAATAGCCGTGAGAGTTGAAAGACCTATAACGGGCTTGTCTTGCTTTACGAAGTCTTATCTTTCCTCCCTCTGGTTGCTGAAATGCCAGGGTGAAAGGGATAGCCAATTGGACTAAAGCACAAGTGCCACTCCAGTTATTCAGCAGAGTGTCCAGTAAAGGTCCACCACAATACCACCACACATCCGCTCAGGGATGAGCAAGGGCTGACTGATTGGTAAGCTCTTGAAAGTTCTTAAGCTCACTGCATCCCTTCAGGTCTCCAAGGAACACTAAGTTTCCTCTCTGTTGTGAGAGACACGAAGTGAACTTAATGTTGGGAGATGGAAGCTGGATGGCCCTCGGGGGCTGACCAGCATGTTGTTGAACTTCAGGATATAGCAGAGACAGAGAGTCGGCATGACTCTTTACCCTAGGCTGTAGAATCCTGGAAAAGAGTTACCATGCAGCCCATGCCCGGTCTATTGGAGAACCACCCTAGTGGAAAGGGGACAATCTGGGCCTCTGGCCTGCTGTGCGCACTAGCATAACAATTGCTTTTGTTTAACATGCGGATGGAATATTTGATCCATTCCAACCAGGTATTTACATCTTGGTATCCTGTCTCAATTGCCAAAGTTTAAGTCTTTAACTTCTACCATCGCTATCATGGCCTTGTCCTTAGATGGAGGAGGAACAATGGTTCCGTTGTGAGAGGTTTTGGAAAAAGGCTAAGAGGCAGGTGCAGGCAGCGGGAGATCAAAGAAACGCATTTCAAAGAATCCAGTAGGGTCTGTCCTTGAAACCTCAGCCCCTATACCATAAAACCGGCTTAAAGAAAGGAACTGGCTTAGAAAAGGAGAACTTTGGGGCTCAAAATACTAACCTGTATAGGGTTGCACTGGTTTGGCTGACAGTTGGGGGGGGCTGTCCCTTTAGTAAATGAATGTATGGTTTTAGGAAATTCCAAAAACTGGTTAGGGCAGTCCATCCTTGCTCTTTGGTGGTCCACAGAACGTTGGACCAACTACGGCATAAAAGCTCTACATCGGGGGTTGGGGTCAAGACTCCTGGTTTCCACTGGGATCTTTATGGAAATCTCCCAGATTAAATGGTCCTAATTCACTAATGCCCAGTCTGAGGAGAGCCAGGAGGGACAGAGGTGCTTTTCTGAAGTAGTGAGCTGCCTTTGACTTGACAAATCCCCACAGGGTATAACAAGGCAAGCATTAAATGCAACAGTTTGAGGCAAAATTGACTTGGTTATGTTAATAACTAGATGGTCAGCAACAGAGCGAGGAAAGAAGAAAGAGTAATAGAATAGATGAAAGACAGTTAAATTCTTCTTAGCTTTAGTTTGGTAGGGTTTTCCCCTGGGACTATGGCCCACCACTCTGGAGGTGGTGGCGCGTTCTTGACTCTGGTGTGATGAGTCCATCCTCTCTCTGCCGTGCGGACTGCGGTTTCAGTAGTGAGGAGCAGTAAGTAATGAGATTCCCAGGCTGGCTCAGGCTTCTCCTCTTTCCAGCTCTTGATGAGGACATGATCCCCAGGCTGATGATGCACTGGGAACTCTAAGGGTGGCACCTGTGCTAATAGACCTTTAGTTTTAAGAGAAGAGAGAATAGAAGATAGACAAAGTATATAATTTTTAAGGATTGATCTTTTGTTTCAAAGGTAGGAATATCAGCAGTGGAGTGCAAATAAGGTAATCCATAGAGCATCTCATAAGGAGAAAGACCAACGTCTTTCCGTGGTGCAGTTTGAATTCTCAGCAGGGCGATAGGAAGACACTTGGTCCATGGCAATCGAGTCTCTAAGACTAATTTGGTTAAGTGGTTCTTTAGAGTCTGATTCATTCTTTCTACTCTCCCTGATGAGGGTGGGTGCCAGGGAGTATGGTGTTCCTATTTAATGTCTAATGTTTGGGATAGCTTTTTAATAATGTGTGTGGTGAAATGAGTTCCATTGTCTGAGTCAATATTTTCTATTAGTCCAAACCTGGGTACTATATTTTCAATTAAGGCCTTAACTACATTATTGGCTGTTGCATTTGAAAAGGGGACAGCTTCAACCAAGTGAGTGAGGTAGTCTACTATCACTAGTAAATATTTTAGACGACCTATTGGAGGCATTTCTGTGTAATCAACTTGGATACTTTGGAATGGCCTTAAGCCCAGATTCCTTCCCCCGAGAGGTAATCTTTTTATAGTATGTCTATTAGTTTTCTTACATACTAAGCAACTATCTGTAACCTGTTTGGCCAGAGTATAAATTCCTATATAACTATAAACTCTGAGAACTGCATCACACATGGCCTGGGGCCCCCAGTGGGTCTCATGATGTAGTTAGGATAAGACTTCCCTCATAAGGGGTTTGGACAACATTTCTCTCTGGTCTGACAGCATCCACTTTCCTTCTGAATTCTCTTTAGCGTCTATGTTTATTAGTTTCTCTTTTTTGGTGGAAGAGAAAATGGGGATTATGGTAGGAGGAGGGAGGTAGGGAGTTAAGTGAAAAATATGCATTTCAGAAGACACAGCAGCCTGCTTGGCTACCTGATCTGCTAGGTTATTTCCTCGACTTTCAAAAGAGGTTTTTCTGTTGTCCGGGAACATGGACAATAGTTATTTTTTCCGGCAACTGAAGATTATTCAATACTTGGGTGATCAGCTCCTTGTGAACAAGGTCTTGACCTTTACTATTAATGAGAACTCGTTCAGTCCAAATTTTTCCAAATGTATGAGCCACTTCAAAGGTGTACTTAGAATCGGTATAGATAGTTCCCTCCTGGTCCTGTAAGTACTTTAAGGCTTGGCTGAGTGCAAACAGCTCACACATTTGAGCAGACCAACTGTTGGGCAATTTTTCTGACTCTATTTCTATGAGAGTTTCTCCATCAATCACTGAATACCCATTGTGTCTTTTTCCCTCAATCACCCAGGAGGAACCATCTATGAATAAGTGCCCTCCAGTCCAGAAGGGGGTTTCTCCTAGGTCTGGTCGAACCTTTCTATGGTAATCAATTAAATCTAAACATGTGTGTTCTCTCCTTAGATTTGGATTCCCTGTAGGAAACCTGCTGGGTTGAGTGAATTATCAGTGGTCAGTGTTAAACCATCCTTTTTTTTTTTTCTTTTTTTGAGACGGAGTCTCACTCTGTCACCAGGCTGGAGTGCAGTGGTGCCATCTCAACTCACTGCAACATCCAACTCCCAGGTTCAAGCGATCCTCCTGCTTCAGCCTGCCAAGTAGCTGGGACTACAGGCGTGTGCCACCACGCCCAGCTAATTTTTGTATTTTTAGTAGAGATGGGGTTTCACCATGTTGGCCAGGATGGTCTTGATCTATTGACCTTGTGATCCACCAGCCTCGGCCTCCCAAAGTGCTGGGATTACAGGCATAAGCCACCATACCCGGCCATAAATCATCTTTTTCTAACAGAATGGCCTCATACTTTAAGATTCTTGAGTCAGTAAGCCATCTCCCTGCTCTATGGTTTAAGATAGTTCTAACTTGGTGAGGCGTGCTTACTGTCAATTTTCCTCCAAAGGTTAACTTTCTGCTTTCCTTGACTACTATTGCTGTAGCTGCGATGGACTGGATGCATTGAGGCCATCCACAAGTGACTGGGTCTGAGGCTTTTGGTAGGAAGGCTACAGGCTGTCGGCAGCCTCCATGCTCTTGAGTCAGCACTCCTAAAGTTATCCCACTGTCCACATTAACAAAAAGGTGGAATGGCTTTTCCAGGGAGGGTTAGGCTAAAACAGGGGCAGTTATGAGCCTTTCCTTCAGCTTCTCAACTTGATCAACTTCCTCAGAAGTCCACAGGAGACAGTTAGGTTTCTCCTGAGCAAGTTTTTGATATAACAGTTTACTGTGCAGTGCATATGAGTCAATCCAAAAGCGGCAGTATCTAACTAATCCTAAACATTTCCTGAGTTCTTGTTTAGTTTGAGGCAAGGGTAGGGACACAATTCCCTCAATTCGTTCAGGCCCTATTCTTCACTTGTCTGCACTTATTAAGTGGCCTAAATACTTAACTTCGGGATCTACATACTGAAGCTTTCTTGTTGAGACTCGTAGCCCCTCAAACTACAGGTGATTAAGAATATGTGTAGAGAAGTCAGTTACCTTCTCTATATCTTCACCAGATATAAGAATGTTGTCCACGTACTGAAGAAGGTATATTTGTTCTGGGATGACAACTTTTTCTAGTACTTGTTCTAAACTTTGGCCAAAAAGATTAGGGGAGTCTGTGAACCCTTGGGGCAAGACTGTCCATCGATATTGTTGTTTCCACCCTGATTGGGGATCTCAGCTATCTTCAGCCAGGGGACATGCCCAAAAAGCATTCTTCAAATCTATTACAGTAAACCATTGATGATTACATGAAATCTTGTTAAGAATAGTGTAAGGATTGGGGACAACGGGGTGGGTAGTCTGGACTATTTGGTTGATAGCTCTACAGTCCTGTACTAGCCGATATGACCCATCTGATTTCTTGACTGGCAGTATTGGGGTGTTTTAAGGAGACATACAGGGCTGGAGAAGCCCGTCCTTAATAAGGCCTTTGATTATAGGTTTCAACCTTATCCTGCCTTCTAGGGGAATAGGGTATTGTTTCCTTCTTACTACTTCTCCTGGGGTTTTTAGCTGATGTGGATTGGAGGGACTTGGAGTTTCCCTTAGTCTCCTTCTTTGGACCAGACATTAGGATTAATATATTTTTCATCCGCAGTGGTGAGTAGGTTTAATGGGGTGAAGAATTCTCTTGGGCTGACTTGTAGACCTATGCCCAACTTTAACATTAAATCCCTCCCCAGGAAATTAGTTCCTGCTTCAGGGATTAACAAGAACTGAATATAAGCTGAGCGATCCTGGTGTCTAACTTCTGTGCTTTGTAAAATTTTTGCTCTAAATCCTTCCCCTTTTACCCTGGAAACTAAAAGTTCCTCTGAGGAGGAGCCAACATTAGATGGGGGGAAACAAACAGGAGCGAGCAGCCCCTGAATCGACTAAAAAGGCGATAAGCTCATGTTTAGGTCCCACATCCAAATTGATCAAGGGCTCCTGGTGGGACTCAAGATAAAAGAGACAGGGCCCCTGACCCCCCTATTCCTTGAAAGTCATGAGTGGAAGGGCTTCTTTCTCCTTAGTTCAGGACATTCTCTCTTGAAGTGGCCTGTTCTTCCACATCTATAGCACATATCTTGTCCTTCCTCCCTCTTAGTTCTGGGATTCTTTAACCCTGTCCCCCCATACTCTTTAGGGGGCCTGGTAGATGAGGACCTTTGTCCTCCAGATGGAGGCTGGGGGCCTTTAAAACAGGGTTCAGACCCTTTATACTTTCTAGGTCCCTGGAAGCTCTGTCTAGAAGTACCTGGGTTTGGAGCCATCTGTTGGAAGGTGGAAAACATAAGTTTTGTTTTTTGTTTCTGTTTTTCTTCATCCCGTTTCACATGTACTTTCTAAGCTTCCCTGAGAAGCTCACTTAGAGGACGGTCTTCCCAATTGTCTATTTTTTATAACTTTTTTGAAATGTCTAGGCAACTTTTACTGACAAATTGGAGTTTCAACATTCCTTGCCCAAGGAGATCATCCAAAGTAAGGCCTGCATATTGCCTCATTTGCTCCCTCAGTCTGTCTAGGAATCTCACAGTCCCTTCATCCTTTTCCTGTTGTATATCAAGCGCTTTAGAAAGATTGCGGGTTCAGGGTACTGATTCCTGATTTCCTTTTATTATCATCTCCCTTAGGTCCTGCATATTTTCCCGGTGATCTGCGTTGTTATTGTCCCACCGGGGGTCTTGGGTGGGGAATTTCTGTTCCGCGGTAGGAACGTTTTTACCGGGAGGGTGCTCACGTTCCCTAAGTACCATAGCAGCCCTAGGAATCATACTCCTTTTTTCCCCTGAAAAGAGGACGGCCAAGATGGACATTAACTCGACCCAAGTGTAACTGAGGTCCTAAGAATTGGTCAATTTGGTCTGCCACTCTGTAAAGGTCATCTAGTAGTGGTTTAAGCTCCTTTTTAAAATTCCGGACTTCTGAACTGGTTAAGGGAGCATTTACAAAGCCAATTACAAAGCCATTGGCCCCCACTCCTTGTGGTACCTCTTTCAAAGGGAATAAGGTCAGGGCTGACCTCTTAGGTATGGAGGGAAGCGGAAAATTCTGAGTATCTTTTTTACATTGTTCTACCTCACGCTGGAGTCCTTTTAGAGAGGGGTATTTAGGTTGGGGGGAGGACAGGCTGGTGGGATGGTAATTCCCAAGAGTCAGGGTTATAAGGAGGAGGGATAACACGAGTAGAGGGGGAGTTTAGAATGGGATCTGAGGTGGAAGTGGCTGTCTGAGGGGAAAGATTGGGGATACTGAATGGAGGAAGATAGTTTAGGGGATCCCATGCACTGGAGTCTTTAGGCATGAGATCTGGCTCCTCTGACTTTTCATTTTGAGGTGCCAGATTGGGTTCTTCCCTATTTGTTTTTAAGGGAAAAAGGAGGGCTGGTCCTTGCCTCCAACAAAGGGCATAGCGTAGTTCTTCTTGAGACACTGGACTTTTATTATTAACATATCAGATTGGAAGCTGACACATTACATCCTCAGTTGATTCAAACTTTGGCCAGAAGATTGAGGAATTAAGGATGGGTCCCTGAGTCCAAATAAAACAGCAATATTTTATTATTTGTTGCTTTTTCCTATGTTTAGTCCTTTCATTATCCTTCCAGTGTTTCAGCATGAGACCTAGGGGGCTATCTGGGGGAATATCTTTGTTACCATCTTTATCCCCCTTGCTCCCTGTCTTGCTTGGGGTATTTCCCATCTTGATGGTTTTGGGGTAAGGTTCAAGGTTCAGTTTCCCTTACTGGAAATTTCTCACCTTTCAGGGTGAGGCTTAATTTTCACTGGAAACTTTTTGCCTTTTGGGGTAAGGCTCAATTTCCCCTCTGGAAATTTCTTGCCTTTTCTACTATTGGAGGTTTGTGTGAGGTTCAATCCCCCCCAACAATGGGGATGTCTCACCTCTTTTTAACCACTTAGCCACCCTGACCAAGGAGTACTTCACTGCACCCACCCCCAACCCCCGTGGCTTTCTTACCTTGTTCCTGACCACCAAGGAAATACTTTACTGGCTCCTGTGGCATCTCCTTCCTTGGTAGGTGCACAGAGTCATCACTGCAGTATGTGAGGATCCTTTAAGCTAGGTTGCTGGCCAGTTGTTTTTTTCCTGCATTGCTTAGAGCTAGGGTTATTCCTCACAATGGGTGGGTTCTGATTTCTCCCCTATGAGGCCACCACAAAGGGTGGGGTGCATGCCTCCTCAAGAGAGAGAACCAGAGACCACCCCCAGAGGGGAATGTAATCCTGGATGAGCCCCCAAATTGTTATATAATAAGTTTCAGTGCTGCAAAAGAAATAGCACTCGAGGCCAGATGCAGTGGCTCATGTCTGTAATTCCAGCACTTTGGGAGGCCTAGGTGGGTGGATCACAAGGGCAGGAGATCGAGACCATCCTGGCTAACACAGTGAAACCCCATCTCTACTAAAAAATACAAAAAATGAGCCGGGCGTGGTGGCGGGCACCTGTAGTCTCAGCTACTCAGGAGGCTGAGGCAGGAGAATGGTGTGAACCTGGGAGGTGGAGCTTGCAGTGAGCAGAGATCACACCACTGAACCCCAGCCTGGACAACAGAGTGAGACTCCATCTCAAAAAAAAAAAAAAAAAGAAAAAGAAATCGCATTCAAATATAAAATTTTATTTTTAATTCTCAGCAAGGCAAGGTACTTCTATAGAAGGGTGTGCTCTCACAGATGGAGCAATGGTGGGCACACACCTTCACAAAGGAGGGAAAGGCGTTCTTATTACTGATGCACCTGGTCCCTACTGCTGTGTCATTCCCCTATTGGGTAGAGTTAGACCACACAGGCTAAACTAATTCCAACTGATTAATTTAAAGAGATGGACGGGGTGAGTGGTTTGGCAGGAAAAATGGTTATGAAATGAATTGGAATGAATGAGTCAGGGTGGAGAAGGTAATCTGAATGAGCAGAATGAGTCAGGGTGGAGTAGGTAATGAGTCAAGGAGTAGAATGTGTCAGGGTGGAAAAGGTTGCTTTACGAGGAAGTTTAAAAGTAGAAGGCAAAGAATTGAGCATACTGACATATTAATTCTTTGAAGGGAAACTTCGAATTCACACTCAACAACTCTAAAGTGATTCTCTATCCTTGGCCTCCCACATTTCTTTTTTTTTTTTTTGAGACAGACTCTCACTCTGTTGCCAGGCTGGAGTGCAGTGGACTGATCTCAGCTCACTGCAACCTCTGCCTCCTGGGTTCAAGTGATTCTCATGCCTCAGCCCCCCAAGTAGCTGGGACTACAGGTGCCAGCCACCACGCCCAGTGAATTTTCGTATTTTTAGTAGAGACGGGGTTTCACCATGTTGGCCAGGATGCTCTTGATCTCCTGACCTTGTGATCCACCTGCCAAGGCCACCCAAAGTGCTCAGATTACAGGCATGAGCCACCATGCTCAGCCTTGGCCTCCTACATTGTTGGGATTACAGACATGAGCCACTGTGCTTGGCCCTTTATTCCTTTACATATTTAATATTTTAAAAAATTAACAAAGAGGCCAGGCACAGTGGCTCAGGCCTTTAATCCCAGCACTTTGGGAGGCTGAGGTGGGTGGATTACGAGGTCAGGAGTTCGACACCAGCCTGGCCAATATGGTGAAACCCCATCTCTACTAAAAAATACAAAAATTAGCTGGGCATGCTGGTGCGTGCCTGTAGTCCCAGATACTCAGGAGGCTGAGACAGGAGAATTGCTTGAACCCAAGAGGCAGAGGTTGCAGTGAGCCAAGATCGCTACACTGCACTCCAGCCTGGGTGCAGAGACTCCATCTCAAAAAAATAAGTAAATAAATAAACACCACACCCAATCAGCTCAAGCCTGTGGCTAGAGATAAGAATGCAGAAAGAATTGGCCAGGCGCGGTGGCTCACGCCTGTAATCCCAGCACTTTGGGAGGCCGAGGCGGGTGGATCACGAGGTCAGGAGATTGAGACCATCCTGGCTAACACAGTGAATCGCCGTCTCTACTAAAAACACACACAAAAAAATTAGCCGGGCGTGGTTGTGGGCACCTGTACTCCCAGCTACCCAGGAGGCCAAGGCAGAATGGAGTGAACCCGGGAGGCAGAGCTCGCAGTGAGCCGAGATCACACCACTGCACTCTAGCCTGGGTGACAGAGCAAAACTGTGTCTCAAAAAAAAAAAAATCTAGAAAGAATCTAGAGACATCTTTCCTGCCCAAGATAGTGTTTTCCTCCTACTTCCTTTAAACTGACTATCCATGTATTTGCTCCTAAATTTAAAGTGACTCACACCCTATTCCCTTATGTATACAGCTAGCTGCCACAACCTCCCTCCTTCTCTGCCTCTCATCCCTGCCTTGCGTGACCCATGGATGGAAGACTGTCCTCAAAACTCATTTTGCCCTCCCTTCCCAGGACGTGTAAGCAATAAATCTTTGAAATTATGTCCTATTGGGGTGGTGTTTTGAATTTGCACATACCATCTGAAGAACCAGGGGCCGCCCCTGGTTGAGATTTCCCCAGGGAGCTGGTGGGGACACAAGGTCAGGTTTCCAGTGTCAGAGTGATGATCAGGCAGGCATAAACTGAACACAGGTCAGACAAGAGCAGCTATGTCGCTGGGCACGGTGACTCACGCCTGTAATCCCAGCACTTTGGGAGGCCAAGGTGAGCGGATCACCTGAGGTCAAGAGTTTGAGACCAGCCTGGCCAACATGGTGAAACCTCGTCTCTACTAAAAATACCAAAAATATTAGCTGGGTGTGGTGGCATATGCCTGTAGTCCCAGCTACTCGGGGAGGCTGAGGCAGGAGAACTGCTTGAACCCAGGAGGCGGAGGTTGAAGTAAGCCAAGATCGGGCCACTGCGCTCCAGCTTGGGAGACACAGGGAGACTCCATCTTAAAAAAAAAAAAAAAAAAAAAAAAAAGAGCGGCCTAGGTCATCTATCAGTATAAACAAGTTTCCCAGGTGAGGGACCCCCTGTCAACCAGGTTTTGCGTGACAACTCACACTGTAATCCCAGCACTTTGGGAGGCTGAAGCAGGCAGATCACTTAGCTAAGGAGTTCCAGACCAGCATAGCCAACATGGCGACACCCCGTCTCTACTAAAAATACAAAAATTAGCCCAGCATGGTAGTGGAGGCATGTAATCCAAGCTACTTGGGAGGCTGAAGCAGGAGAATCGCTTGAGCTCTGGAGTGGCAGGTTGCAGTGAGCTGAGATCACGCTACTGCACTCCATCCAGCCTGGATGACAAAGGCAGACTCTGTCATTCATCAATCAATAAATAATTAATTAACTTTAAAAAATGTATCCCTTAGGCCAGTCGTGGTGGCTCACTCCTGAAATCCCAGCACTTTGGGAGGCTGAGGCGGGCAGATCGCCTGAGGTCAGGAGTTTGAGACCAGCCTGACCAACATGATGAAACCCCATCTCTAATAAAAATACAATATTAGCCGGGTGTCGTGGTTCATGCCTGTAGTCCCAGCTACTCAGGAGGCTGAGGCAGGAGAATCGCTTGAATCCAGGAGGCAGAGGTTGCAGTCAGCCAAGATCAAGTCATTGCACTCCAGCCTGGGCAACACAGCAAGACTCCATCTCAAGAATGCAATGGAATGGAATGGAATGAATGGAATGGAATGGAATGGAATGGAATGGAATGGAATGGGCCGGGCATGGTGGCTCACGCCTGTAGTCCCAGCACTTTGGAAGGCCAAAGCGGGTGGATCACCTGAGGTCAGGAGTTCGAGACCAGCCTGACCAGTATGGTGAAACCCCATCTCTACTAAAAATACAAAAATAACCCCAGCTACTTGGGAGGCTGAGGCTGGAGAATTGCTTGAACCTGGGAGACAGAGGTTGCAGTGAGCCGAAATTGCGCCACTGCACTCCAGCCTGGGCGATAGAGGGAGACTCCATCTCAAAAAAAAAAAAAAAAAAAAAAAAGAATAGAATAGAATAGAACAGAATAGAATAGAATAGAATGGAAATAATGCTGAGTGCAGTGGCTCACGCCTGTAATCCTAGCACTTTGGGAGGCTGAGGCAGGCGGATTGCCTGAACTCAGGAGTTCAAGACCAGCCTCAGCAACATGGTGAAACCCCGTCTCTACTAAAATACAAAAAAAAAAAAAATTAGCCAGGCGTGGCGGATGTGCCTATAGTCCCACCTACTTGGGAGGCTGAGGCAGAATTGCTTAAACCGGAGAGGCGGAGGTTGCAGTAAGCTGATATTGCGCCACTGCACTCCAGCCTGGGCAACAGAGCGACACTCTGTCTCAAAAAAAAAAAAAAAAATTAAATTAAATTAAAAAAAAAATAGGCTGCTGGGCGCGGTGGCTCACGCCTGTAATCCCAGCACTTTGGGAGGCTAAGGCGGGTGGATCAACAAGGTCAGGAGATCGAGACAAGCCTGACCAACATGGTGAAATCTCATCTGTACTAAATATACAAAAATTAGCCGGACGTTGTGGCATGTGCTTGTAATCCCAGCTACTCAGAAGGCCGAGGCAGGAGAATCGCTTGAACCCCGGAGAAGGAGGTTGCAGTGAGCCGAGATCGTGCCACTGCACTCCAACATGGGAGACAGAACAAGACTCCAACTCAAAAAAATAAATAAAATAAAAATAAACAAATAAATAAATAAAATAAAATGTATCACTTGAAAGAAAGGCTCCCTGTAAACACCCACATCTGGCTCCCCTTCATTTCTTGTTAGGGCAGCATTGCTAGTCACTCTGCTATTGGATCCTTAATATAGGTAGGGGCTCAAGACAGACCAAAACGGAAAGAAAAAAATAAACAAGAACTGACCCAAGTAACTTCTGGGGTTTTTTAAAATTTTTTTATTTTTTATTTTATTTTATTTTTTTGAGACAGAGTCTTGCTCTATTGGCCAGGCTGGAGTGCAGTGGCACAATCTCAGATCACTGCAGCCTCCACCTCCCAGGTTCAAGTAATTCTTATGCCTCAGTCGGCCGAGTAGCTGGGATTATAGGCACATGCCACCACACCCAGCTAACTTTTGTACTTTTACTAGTGACAGGGTTTTTGCCATATTGGCCAGGCTGGTCTCGAATTCCTGGCCCCAAGTGATCCACCCACCTTGGACTCCCAAAGTGCTGGGATTACAGGCATGAGCCACTGTGCCCGGGCAGTAACTTCTGTTTTATTGTATTTCTTTTTACTGTGATAAAAAGCACATAAAATTGACAAGTAACACATTTTTTTTTTTTTTTTTTGATGCAGGGTCTTGCTCTGTTGCCCAGCCTGGAGTCAGTAATTCAATCATAGCTCATTATAGCCTTGAACTCCTGGGCTCAAGCAATCCTTCTGCCTCAGCATCTCAAGTAGCTGGGACTACAGGTGTGCACCAACATGCCTGGCCAGGTTTTAAAAAATTTTTGTGGAGACAGGGTCTTGCTATGTTGCTTAGGCAACAGGCTGAAACTCTGTCTCTACAAAAAGTACCAAAAATTACCCAGGTGTGGTCGTGCATGCCTGCAGTCCCAACTACTGGGGAGTCTGAGGTGGGAGTATCACCCGAGCTCACGAGGTCAAGGTTGTAGTGAGCCACAATTGTGTCACGGCACTCCAGCCTGGGTGACAGGGTGAGACCCTGTCCCCCAGAAAAAAGGAAGAAAAAAAAAAACCAAAGTCTTAGAAGTATAACTCTTTTTAGAATTGATATGTAAAGCTGGGCTCAGTAGCTCATGCCTGTAATCCTAGCATTTTGGGAGGCCAAGGCAGGCAGATCACCTGAAGTAAGGAGTTTGAGACCAGCCTAGTCAACATGGCAACACCCCAACTCAACTAAAAATACAAAAATTAGCTGGGCAAAGGCCAGGTGCAGTGGTTCACACCTGTAATACTCCCAGCAGTTTGGGAGGCCGAGGTGGGGGGATCACAAGGTCAGGAGTTCAAGACCAGCCTGACCAACATGGTGAAACCCTGTGTCAACTAAAAATACAAATATTAGCTGGACTTGGTGGTGCACACCTGTAATCTGAGCTACTCAGGAGGCTGAGGCAGGAGAATCACTTGAATCCAGGAGAAGGAGGTTGCAGTGAGCCCAGATCGCATGATTGCACTCCAGCATGGGCGATAGAGTGAGATTCTGCCTCAAAAAAAAAAAAAAGTTAAATAAATAAATACAATAAAATAAAATAAATTAGCTGGGCGAGGTGGCACATGCCTGTAATCCCAGCTACTCAGGAGGCTGAGGCAGGAGAATCATTTGAACTGGGGAGGTGAAGGGTCCAGTGAGCCAAGATCATGCCACTGCACTCCAGCCTGGATGACAGAGTGAGATCAACTAAAAAAAAATTGATATGTAATAGTTGTACACTATTGCCTTGAATGCCTGGCCTCAAGTAATACCCCTGGCTCAGTGTACTTAGTAGTTGCAATGGAAGGAATACAGCACCTAAACTCAAGAGTTTTTTTGTTTTTTTTTTTTGGTAGAGATGGTATCTCACTCCATTGCCCAGGCTATTCTCAAACTCTTGAGCTAGAATGATCCTCTCTTCTCAGCCTCCCAAAGTGCTCAGATTACAAGCATGAGCCACCATTCCCAGCCCAGACATTTTTACATTACATGAAATTTTCAAGGTCCAGTTGGTCCTAATTCTCCATAAATCCTTTCAGAGTATTAAAAATGAAGCAAATTTTGCTAAAGCTTTTTATGATGCCAGTACAAGATATATGTATATCTTGTTTCTATCACTGATAAAAATAGTACAATCATTAAAAACTGCAGAATCATATCAGTAATGAATATTGCTACAAATGTACTAAGTAGGCCGGGCACAGTGGCTCACGCCTGTAATCCCAGCACTTTGGGAGGCCAAGGCGGGCTGATCATGAGGTCAAGAGATTGAGACTATCCTGGCCAACGTGGTGAAACCCCATCTCTACTAAAAATACAAAAATTAGCTGGGTGTAGTGTCGCGTGACTGTAGTCCCAGCTACTCGGGAGGCTGAGGCAGGAGAATTGTTTGAACCCAGGATGCAGAAGTTGCAGTGAGCCGAGATCGCGCCACTGTACTCCAGCCTGGCGACAGAGCAAGACTCCATCTAAAAACAAACAAACAAACAAAACAAACAAGCAAAAAAACACCAAAAAACAAACAAAAAAAATGCACTAAGTATAATAGAGGCAGGATTGCTTGAGCCCAGGAGTTTGAGAGCAGCCTGGGCAACATAGCAAGCGACTATCTCTACAAAAAATTTAAAAATTAGCTGGGTGTGGTAGAGCACCCCTGTACTCCCAGCTACTTGGGAGGCTGAGGTGGGAAGATTGCTTGAGCCCAGGAGGTCAGGGCTACAGTGAGCTGTGTCTGCAACACTGCACCTAGCCTAGGTGATAAAGCAAGATGAGAGGGGAAGGGAGGGGGGGGAGGGGAGGGGGGAAGAAAAGAAAGGAAGGAACGAAGGGAGGGAGGGAGGGAGGGAGGGAGAGAGGGGGAGAGAGAGAGAGAAAGAAAGAAAGAAAGAGAGAGAGAGAGAAAGAAAGAAAGAAAGAAAGAAAGAAAGAAAGAAAGAAAGAAAGAAAGAGAAGGAAGAAAGGAAGGGGAAAGAAAGAAGGAAAGAAAGAAAAGAAAAGAAAGCAAGAAAGAAAGAAAAGGAGAGGGAGGGAGGGAAGGAAGGGTGAAAAAGAAAGAAAGAAGGAAGGAAGGAAGGAGAAAGAAAGGAAAGGAAGAAAGAAAGAAAGAAAGGAAGGAAGGAAGGGGAAGGGAAGGGAAAGGAAAGGAAAGAAGGAAAGGAAGGAAAGGAGGAAAGAAAGAAGGAAGGAAGGAAGGAAAGAAAGAAAAAGAAAGAAAGAAAGAAAGAAAGAAAGAAAGAAAGAAAGAAAGAAAGGAAGGAAGGAAGGAAGGAAGAAAAAGAAAGAAAGAAAGAGCCGGGTGCGGTGGCTCACGCCTGTAATCCCAGCACTTCAGAGGCCGAGGTGGGCAGATCACCTGAGGTCGGAAGTTCGAGACCAGGCTGACCAACATGGAGAAACCCCGTCTCTACTAAAAATACAAAATTAGCTGGGCGTAGTGACACATGCCTGTAATCCCAGCTACTAAGGAGGCTGAAGCAGGAGAATCGCTTGAACCTGGGAGGCCGAGGTTGTGGTGAGCCGAGATCACGCCATTGCACTGCAGCCTGGGCAACAAGAGTGAAACTCCGTCTCAAAAAAACAAAAAAACAAAAAACAAAAAACAAAAAAAGATGAAAGAAAGAGAGAGAGAGGGAGGGAAAGAAAGAAATTAGCAAACAAATTCCAACGCCATGGTAAGAAAGTAGTAAACCCAGTGGCATTTACTCCAGGAATGTAAGGTTGGTTCTGGCTGATTTGTATCTTTGTATTAGTGCATTCACCATTATGGATGATGTGTGGAGTTTGCCCACAGCAATACTCAAGACCCTTTCAGACACATCCTCCCCCAAAGGGGAACATTCACCTGTTCTCAGGGGTAAAACTGCAGCCTCAGTGGAGGACAGATGAAACCCTCTGCTCTGACGGACTAGAGAATGCAGTGGGGGATAGACGGCAGCCTCGCCAGACAGCAGTCAATTCTCTGGCCCTCTGCAACTCTGGATAGGGCTGAGTCCCTACTTTCAGGTGGGGAGAGTCACTCTGGGGGCTTCAAGAACACTCTTCTGTCAGTCCATCCAACCAGGTTCAGGAGCCAATGGAAGAAATCTGAGAAAGGAAGGGGTTCTGTTGAAGATGGCTTTTGAGAATCACTGAAATAAATGCCTGGTAGGTCTTGAAATTCTAACTTCTGACGTATTAGTCCATTTTCATATTGCTATGAAGAAATAACAGAGACTGGGTACTTTTTTTTTTTTTTTTTTTTTTTGAGATGGAGTCTCGCTCTGTCACCCAGGCTGGAGTGCAGTGGCACGATATCGGCTCACTGCAACATCCGCCTTCCACGTTTAAGTGATTCTCCAGCCTCAGCCTCCTGAGTAGCTGGGATTACAGGTGCACGCCAACAGGCCTAGCTAATTTTTGTATTTTTTAGTAGAGACAGAGTTTCACTATGTTGGCCAGGATGGTCTCAACCTCTTGACCTCGTGATCTGCCCACCTCGGCCTCCCAAAGTGGAATTACAGGCATGAGCCACTGTGCCAGGCCTTTGTTTTGTTTTGTTTTGTTTTGTTTTGTTTTGTTTTGTTTGAGATGGAGTATTCCTCTGTTGCCCAGGCTGAAGTGCAGGGGCACGACCTTGGCTTACTGCAACGTCCACCTCCTGGGTTCAAGTGATTTTCCTGTCTCAGCCTCTGGAGTAGCTGGGATCACAGGCGCCAGCTACCACGCCCAGCTAATTTTTTGTATTTTTAGTAGAGATGGAGTTTCACCATGTTGGCCAGGATGGTCTCAAACTCCTGACCTCAGGGGATCCACCCGCCTATCCTCCAAAAGTGCTGGGATTACAGGCGTGAGCCACCACATCCGGCTTGATAACTCTTATTTTTTTGTAGAGATGGAATCTCACTATGTTGCCCAGGCTGATCTTGAACTCCTGGCCTCAAGCAATCCTCCTGACCCAGCCTCCCAAAGTGCTGGGAATATGTGTGTGAGCCACCATGATCAGCCAGAATAGACAACTTTTATTATTTTTTAAAATATTTTGTACTATTTTTTTTCGAGATGGAATCTTGCTCTGTCACCCAGAGCTGGAGTGCAATGGCACGATCTCAACTCACTGCAACCTCCGCCTCCTGGGTTCAGGCAATTCTTCCTCCTCAGCCTCCCAAGTAGCTGTATTACAGGCTTGTGCCACCATGCCTCGCTAATTTTTGTATTTTTAGTAGAGATGCGGTTTCACCATATTGGCCAGCCTGGTCTCCAACTCCTCACCTCTTGATCTGCCCACCCCAACCTCCCAAAGTGCTGGGATTACAGGTGTGAGCCACCATGCCCAGCACGTAGTATTTTTCAGTAGAGATGTAGTCTCACTATGATGTCCAAGGTGGCCTTGAACTCCTGGGCTCAACTGATCTTTTTGCCTAAGCCTTCCAAAGTGCTGGGATTACAGGCCTGAGCCACTATTCCCAGCCTAGATTCTTATAGCATATAGATGGATAAAGAATTTAGAAAAAGTAGGAACATTCCCCAATACAGTATATGACAGTCATAATTTACATGTAAATATCATTCAGGGCCGGGTGCAGTGGCACACACCTGTAATCCCAGCACTTTGGGAGGCCAAGGCAGTTGGATCACGAGGTCAAGACATCAAAACCATCCTGGCCAAAATGGTGAAACTCCATCTCTACTAAAAATACAAAAATTAGCTGGGCGTGGTGGTGCATGCCTGTAGTCCCAGCTCCTTGGAGGCTGAGGCAGGAGAATCGCTTGAACCGGGGAGGTGGAGGTTGCAGTGAGCCTAGATCGTGCCACTGCACTCCAGCCTGGACACAGAGCCAGACTCTGTCTCAAAAAAAAAAAAAAAATCATTCAGGGACAAGAAGAAAAAAAAATTGCAGTTATTCAAACATAGCTCCATAACATATTAGTAAAGGTAATCAAATAGTCTTTTAAAATGATCCATTATGTCTCAGTTGGGCTTATCCAGGAATGCAAGGTTGATGTAACACTAGAAATGTAATAAATACAAAAACACATTTATTTTATTTTATTTCTGATGGAGTCTCACTCTGTCACCAAGGCTGGAGTGCAGTGGCACAATCTACACTTAATGCAACCTCCACCTCCCAGGTTCAAGCGATTCTCCTGCTTCAGCCTCCTGCGTAGCTGGAATTCCAGGTGCACACAACCACACCCAGCTAATTTCTGTATTTTTAGTAGAGATGGGGCTTCACCATGTTGGCCAGGCTGGTCTCGAACTCCTGACCTCAAGTGATCTGCCCATCCCTGCCTCCCAAAGTGCTGGTATTACAGGCATGAGCCACCACACCCAACCTGACCACATTTATTTTAGAGATGAGTCCTTCCATGCATTCATTCATTCGTTTTGTTTTTTGTTTTTTGAGATGTGGTCTTGCTATGTTGTCTAAGCTGGTCTAGAACCCCTGGGTTCAGGCCATCCTCCCAAGTAGCTAGAACTATAGACATGCATCACCACATCATTTCATTGAAGTATTTATTACATACCATCATTGGCCAGGAACAGTTCTAGGTACTTGAGTTCTAGCAGTAAATAAACATGATCATCACAGAGGATGCACAGGAAGCATTTAATAAATTCAAGAGGAATTCAGCCTCATGAATTATGAAATACTGGGAAATCATTCATCATGTAAAAACTGGATATAAAAAGAAACCTTTCCTGTAAGAGATTAGCCTCTTCAAAAAATAAAATAAAAACCTACAGCCAAGCCAATAAAATAGAGCACGTATCTCAGCAGAACTGCAGACAATTATGCTGGTATTACTGCTATTCATTGGTGGTGTGCTGGAGGTTGAAATTAGTCCAGTAAAGCAAGAAAATATATATATAGGTATAACCTAACGACTAAAGTGGAAAAGTAAGAGTCATTATTTACAGATTATGTGATTGTCTATGTGGAAACGGAAAAGAATCATATTAAGTACTTTGGACTGAATGATAACCCTGAAAATTCATATGTTGAAGCTCCAAATCCCAATGTGACTGTATGTGAAAATAGGGTTTTTTAGTTTTGTTTTTGAGACAGAGTCTCGCTCTGTTGTCCAGGCTGGAATGCAGTGGCTGCGATCTCGGCTCACTGCAACCTGTGCCTCCCAGGTTCATGCCATTCTCCTGCCTCAGCCTCCCGAGTAGCTGGGACTGCAGGTACCCGCCACCACGCCAGGCTAATTTTTTGTATTTGTAGTAGAGACAGGGTTTCACCGTGTTAACTAGGACAGTCTCGATCTCCTGACCTCGTGATCCGCCCACCTCGGCCTCCCAAAGTGCTGGGATTACAGGTGTGAGCCACCGCGCCCGGCCTGAAAATAGGCTCTTTAGAAGTATCGTGAAATGATGTCAAGAGATGGGTAGGGGGAGGGAGGGGGAGGGAGGGGAAGGAGAGAGATGGTGGGGAGAGAGAGAGAAAGAGGAGAGAGGAGAGAGGAGAAAGGAGAGAGGAGAGAGAGACCTATTTGTTGGTTTCCTTCCTGTGAAGACATGAGGAAGTGGGCATTTACATACCAGGAAGAGAGCTCTCGCCAGAAGTTGACCATGCTGGCACTCTGATCTCAGACTTCCAGCCTCGAGAAATGTGAGAATATAAATTTGTTTTTAACCTCATTTATTTAAAATTAACAAATTTGTAAGCCATTTGGTCTGTGGTATTTTGTGATAGTGGCCTGAGCTCATTAAGGCAGATTAAAAACAAACAAACAAAAAAACTAAAAATGTGAAGCAGATTTGAAACTGACAAATGAGGCTGGAAAAATTCTGATGTGCAAGCTGGAAGTAAGGTTGGTAAGGGTGATCCTGGTGAGGTGTCATTGGGGAATGAGGAACATGCTATTGGGAAATAAAGAAAATACAACCCTTGATACGAAGTAGTGAAGAACTTGGCAGAACTGTATTCTAGCACTTTGCGGAAGGTAGAGCTTGAGAGAGATAAAACTGGTTATGTATCACTAAGATCTGTACTTAAAGTGTTAAAGGACACAGGAAGCTTCATTCTTCCTGAGTGCTTACAGGAAAATGTGCTCAGAACAGGCCCCCCAAATTTGGACATAAACAGGCCATGAGAAACTGCCCATAAACAAAATCTCTGCGGCACTGTGACATGCTCGTGATGGCTATGACACCCATGCTGGAGGTTGCTGGTTTACCCGAATGAGGGCAAGGAACACCTGGCCCACCCACGGTGGAAAACTGGAAAACTGCTCAGGCATTCCTAAACCACAAACAATACCATGAGTGATTTGTGCCTTAAGGACATGTTCCTGTTGCAGATAACAAGCCAGAGCCTGTCCCTTTCTTTCTTGTAAGGAATACTTTTAGCTAATCTATAATCTATAGAAATAATGTTTATCACAGGCTTACTGTCAATAAATATGTGGGTCAAACTCTGTTCAAGGCTCTCAGCTCTGAAGGCTGTGAGCCCCGATTCCCACTCTGCACTCTATTTCTGTGTCTTTGTCTTAATTCCTCTAGAGCTGCTGGGTCAGGGTCTCCATGACCCAGCTGGTCTCAGCAAAAATGCAAAAGGAGACCTGAATTGCAGAAAAAATTGTTAAGGAAAAAGGAACCAGAACTTGGAGATTTGGAAAATTCTCAGCCTATCCATAATGCAAAAATTAGAAAACTTGTACTGAAGAGAATCCTCAAAGTGTGGCTGAACGATCATCTGATAAAGAGATCATGAGTGGGATTCATGGACTATATCAGCCACCTTGACAGAAGTGAGAAGAGAGACTGGATTATACTAGAAGAGACATTGCCACTTACATTGTGCCATCTAAAATAGACATACAAGGCAGAACAGGCAAGGCTGTCACACTTCTTAGATTTTACAAGGGGACACAGAAATAATCAGCTGTGAAAGGGCACTGGCAGTTATGGATGGTTTCATTCCTGACACGCTCTGCAGGATCCGTGGGATCAGAAGAGACCCTTGGAGGAGCATCTCTTAACAACCCACCTTTGGGGTCCTACATCATCTTGGCTTCTGGTAAATTTTGACATAAATGTGCCACACTGGCAGCCACTAACCAACAGGGGCTGGGGTCAATCTGCATGATTTATCTCATACACAACTTGTTAATGCTATGATCTTAGGAATCTAATCACCAAGGTGAGGCAGCCTGCAGTACTGACCTCACCATCCATGACCCTTCTTCACAGATGCCCAGACTCAGGCAACCATGATGTTGTATTCAGAACCTGTAGGTTTAATTTCAGACCCTCAGGATGGTATCTAAGGCCAATCCATGAGTCATTACAACCTCCAAAAGGCATTTAGGACAAATCTGATAATCTTTGGTGTCATTGCCAATAATTAAAGATGGCAACCGATGGGCTAAATGGTAACACTCATATCCTTGCATTCATAGGGTTTCTCCCCAGTGTGAATTCTTTCATGTCTACTTAGGCGTGAGGAAACAGCAAATGCTTTCCCACATTCTTTACATACGAAGGGTTTCTCTCCGGTATGAGTTCGCAGGTGAACATTAAGGCGTGAGGAATATAGAAATGCTTTCCCACATATCTTGCATACAAAGGGCTTTTCTCCACTATGAGTTTTCAAATGTTTACTACGACGGGAAGAAGTAATGAAGGTCTTCCCACATTCAACACATTCATAAGGCTTCTCTCCTGTGTGAATTCTTGTATGCTGAATAAGACTTGTGGATGTAGTGAAGGCTTTCCCACATTCCTTACACTGATAGGGTTTCTTTCCACTGTGACTTCGTATGTGTATAGAAAGGCCCGAGTACTGAGCAAAGGCTTGGCCACATTCCTTACATTCATAGGGTTTTATTCCAGTGTGAGTTCTTACATGTTCAGTAAGTTGAGTTGATCTAGTGAAGGCTTTCCCACAGTAAGTACACTTGTGTGGTTTTATTCCAGTGTGAATTTGAATGTGATCATTAAGGCATGAGGAATTTCTAAAGGATCTTCCACATTCTTTACATTCAAAGGACTTCTCTCCTTTATGAGTTTTCACAGGTGCATAAAGTTGAGAAAAATTAGTGAAGGATTTCCCACATTTCTTAGTCTTTTTGGATTTCTTTCCTGTATGAACTGCTACACACTGCTTTAGGTGTGAAGAAGCTGTGACAGCTCTCCCATATTCCTGAAATTCACAGAGTTTCTCATCAGTGTGGATTCCCATATGATTATCAAGGCTTGCAAAATACTTAAAGCCTTTTCCACATTCCTTACATTTGTAGGGTTGTCTTGCATTGAGAACTTCAAGATGTACAGCAAGACCTGGAGTTAGAGTAAAGACTTTTCCACATGGATTAAATTTGGAAAGTTCCTGTCCAGTAGAGGCTTCCTTGTGCACACTGAGGGTGTCTTTTCCATAACAATTACCCTCAGAAGTATTCCCTCCATTCTGAACTCTCATGTGTGTCTTAAGGCAAAACTGTTCCCTGAAGACCTCTCCACAATTCTTACAGTCACAGAGTTTCCATCCACTGTAGCCTCTTGTCTGTTGATGACGAGATAAAGGTTTTAAAACATTTTCAGACATATTAAGAGATTTCACCCATCTGAACACAGAAGCATTTTGATGACAATTATGATTTTACTTTTTAATATTTAATTTTTTTTTCTTTTTGAGAGAAAGTCTTGTTCTATCTCCCTGTCTGGAGTGCATGGCACACTCTCAGCTAACGGCAACCTCCACCTCCCAGGCTCAACTGATTCTCCTGCCTCAGCCTCCCGAGTAGCTAGGAATACAGGTGTGCACCACTGCACCTGGCTAATTTTTCTGTTTTGTAGAAACAAGGTTTTGCCAAGTTACCCAGGCTGGTCTCAAACTCCTAAGCTCAGGTGATCTGCCTGCCTCGGCCTCCCAAAGTGGTGATATTACAGGCATGACCCACCACACCCAGTATGTTTCACTTTTTTCAGAGTTGGGGTTTTGCTCCATTGCCTGGACTATAGTGCACTGGTGTGATCATGGCTCTCTGTAACCTCAAACTCCTGGCTGAGTTCAAGTGATCATCCTGCCTTAGCTTCCTGTGTAGCTAGAACTATTTGAATGCACCCTCATGTCTGGCCAATCTTTCAGTTTGTTTGTTTATTTATTTATTTAGAGACAGAGTCTTGCTCTGTAGCCCAGGCTGGAGTGCAATGGCATGATTTCGGCTCGTTGCAAACTCTGCCTCCCAGGTTCAAGTGATTCTCCTGCCTCAGCCTCCTGAGTAGCTGGGATTACAGGCATGGGTCACCATGCCTGGCTAATTTTTGTAGTTTTAGTAGAGACAGGGTTTCACCATGTTGGCCAGGCTGGTTTTGAACCCCTGACCTCAGATGATCTGCCTGCCTTGGCCTCCCAAAGTGCTGAGATTACAGGGGTGAGCCACCATGCCCCACCTCAGTTTATTTATTTTTGAGATGTAGTCTCACTTTGGCTGGAGTGCAAGTGGCGAGATCTTGGCTCACTGCAACCTCCACCTCCTAGGCTCAAGTGATTCTCATGCATCAGCCTCGCGAATAGCTGGGATTACAGGCAGGTGTAGCCACATCCAGCTAATTTTGTTATTTTTTGTAGAGATGGGGTTTCCCCATGTTCGCCAGGCTGGTCTTGAACTGCTGACCTCATGATCTGCCTGCCTCAACCTCCCAAATTGCTGGGATTACAGGCGTGAGCCACCACACCCAGCCTCAATTTATTTTTATAGAGACAAAGTCTTACTATGTAGCCTAGGCTGATCTCAAACTCTTCACAAAACCCCACTGCCTCAGCCTCCCAAAGTGCTGGGATTACAGCCATGAGCTACCATGTCAGCCTACTTTGATAATTATAATTTTTACAATTTTTCTTCCTTGTTTTTATTCCCTGACTTCTTGATTTCTTCCAGATTGAATGATGGGCCCTTTTGCCAGAATTCTACGCCACTGGCTCTAATTGTTCAAAAAAAGAAAACTGTAGGGTTTTTTTATTATTATGCAGGGTGGTTTGAGACAAGGTCTCACTCTGTCACCCAGGCTGGGTACCATGGCATAATCACAGCTCACTGTGGCCTTAATCTCCCAGGCTGAAGCCATCATCCTGCCTCAGTCCCCCAAGGAGCTTGGATTACAGGTGCATGCCAACACGCCCTGCTAATTTTTTATTCCTTGTAGAGACAGGGTCTCTGTTGACCAGGCTGGTCTTGAACTCCTAGGCTCAAGTGATTCTCCTGCCTCAGCTTCCCAAAGTGCTGGGATTACAGGTGTCAGCCATTGCACCCAGTCAAATAGTGTAGATTTTCATGAAACTGTGTAAATCCTCAATGTCTAGTTACTTATGTGGGAATGTGTACTTGTGGGTATTTTGAGGTGACAAGTTATACAGATATGGAATATCATAAAATTCATCACATTCAGACTATCTCTCCAGAGATCCTGCTCCCTCAGTGGTGCAGAATTCTTCTCTAATTCTCTCAAGTATCTCTCATTTGTGCAGTTTCTTTTTCACTGCAAACTCCACCTCCTGGGTTTAAGCAATTCTGCCTCAGCCTCCCATGTATCTGGGATTACAGGTGCCTGCCACCACACCTGGCTAACTTTGTATTTTTAGTAGAGATAAGAGTTTCATTACATTGGCCAGGCTGGTCTCGAAGTGCTAATCTCAAGTGATCCACGTGCCTAGGCCTCCCAAAGGGATGGGATTACAGACTCAGTTTCTTTTCTTTATTTCTGAGACAGAGTCTCACTCGGTCAACCAGGCTGGAATGCAGTGGTGCAATCTCAGCTCATTGCAACCTCTGCCTCTGTGTTCATGCCATTCTCCTGTCTCAGCCTCCCAAGTAACTGGTATGACAGGTGCCCACCACCACACTCGGCTAATTTTGTATTCTTAGTAGAGATGGAGTTTCACCATGTCGGCCAGCCTGGTCTCAAACTCCTGACCTCAAGTGATCCACCCATCTCGGCCTCCCAAAATGTTGGGATTACAGGTGTGAGTCACCACATTCACCTTCTTTTTAAAATCAGAGATGGGATCTTACTATACTGCCTAGGCTGGTCTTGAACTCTTGGGCTCAAATGAGACCCCCACTTCAGCCTCCCAAATAGCTGGGATTACAGATGTAAGCCACACCTCTGACTGAGCTGATTTTCTAGAATGGAATTCTCTATCTTTTCTAAGAGAGGAAATTAAGAAATATCCCTCATGAATCTTACCATTTGTATCCCACTGAATATTTGATTCTTCAAAAAACCCTGCTGAAGTGATGACCGTTTGGTTCTAGGTTGTATTTCCCATTCTAAAGTTAAGCAGAAAAAGAAACGTAAGGATTTAGAGAAGAAATATTCATTTAAAATGAGTCATTTTTACTTGTTTTCAAATTAAACACAGCAATAAAATAAAAGCCAGAGAACCTTGAGGATTTTGGTACATCAAAAATTTGGCTATAATGATGTGGGGTTTATTACATAACTGATGTGTTTAGATAGTTTATTACAAACTACTTCTGTAAAAATTAAAAATGCCGGGAGTGGTGGCTCACACCTGTAATCCCAGCACTTTGGGAGGCTGAGGCGGGTGGATCACTTGAGGTCAGGAGTTCGAGACCAGCCTGACCAACATGGAGAAACCCCATCTCTACTAAAAATACAAAATTAGCCAGGCATGGTGGCGCATGCCTATAATCCCAGCTACTTGTGAGGCTGAGGCAGTATTGCTTGAACCTGGGAGGCAGAAGTTGCAGTGAGCTGAGATCATGCCATTGCACTCCAGCCTGGGTGACAGAGCAAGACTTCAGAAAAGAAAAGAAAATTAAAGCTGATGGAAAACAGAAAGAGTAGATTTTCGGGAAAGGAAAGTAGGAAAGATCTAGATAAACAGCATGTATCAGAATGATAAAGTTAACAAAGAAACAGAACAGGTAGTTTTATTAGATCATAGGAATGTTTGACAAGATGGAAAATAAGAGTCAAAGATATCCAAAACTCTGAGAAAAATAGCTTAAATCTTCTGAGGCAAAGTGCATCTTTAAAAATCTTTTTTTTTTTTTTTTGAGATGAAGTGTCACTCTGTCACCCACACTGGAGCGCAGTGGCACAATGTTGGCTCAATGCAACCTCTGCCTTCTGTGTTGAAGTGATTCTCCTGCCTCAGCCTCTTGACTAGCTGGGACTAAAGGCGTGTGCCACCACGTCTGGCTAATTTTTTGTATTTTTAGTAGAGATGGGGTTTCACAGTGTAGGACACACTGGTCTCAAACTCCTGGCCTCAGACAATCCACCCACCTCAGCCTCCCAAAGTGCTGGGATTACAGGCATGAGCCACCACACCTGGCCAGGAGATATATTTCTAATACAAGCAATGTAATTATTACAAAAGGGATATAAAAGCTAAGATCTCCATTTCTGTGCCCAAAAAAGATTGGTTATCTCTGACCCATTAAACCCAAATTCAGACTTATGTACACACCTGTAAAGCACTAAAACTTTTATTTCAGTAAGAAATAAAGTAGGCTGGGTGTGGTGGCTCATGCCTGTAATCCTAACACTTTGGGAGGTCGAGGTGGGTGGATCATTTGAGGTCAGGAGTTTAAGACCAGCCTGGCCAACATAGTGAAACTCCTTCTCTACTAAAAATACAAAAATTAGCTAGGCACAGTGACACTTGGCTGTAATCCCAGCTACTCAGGAGGCTGAGGCAGGAGAATCACCTGAACCTGGGAGGGCAGAGGTTGTAGTAAACAGAGATTGCACCACCGCACTCCAGCCTGGGCGACAGAGCAAGACCCTGTCACAAAAATAATAAATAAATAAAGTAAGTAGGCTGGGTGCAGTGGCTTACACCATAATCCCAGCACTCTGGGAGGCCGAGGTGGGTGGATCACCCGAGGTCAGGAGTTCAAGACCGGGCTGGCCAACATGGCGAAACCCCATCTCTACTAAAAATACAAAAAAAAAAAAAAAAAAATTTAACTGGGCATGGTAGCAGGTGTGCCTAATACCAGCAACTTGGGAAGCTGAAGTTGCAGTGAGCTGAGGTGGCACCATTACACTCTAGCCTGGGTGATGGAGTGAGACTCTGTCTCAAAAAAAAAAAGCAGAAATAAAGTTAAGTACTACAAAAAGATGCTTGCTGTCATGGGTAAACAACTCTGCCACTGGATCTCAAACATGATAGTATATTAGATTCACCTTCAGTGATTCTGAAAACACAGATGACTGGGCTCCAACCCTGGAGTTTCCAATTTACTACATCAAAGAATAGGGGAAGGAAGATGTATATTTCTTACAGCACAAAGCTGATGCTGTTGATGAAGTTTCCAGGATTACCACAGTAAATTAAAACATACTACAGCAGGGACTGTTACTTTGGGACTGTCTCTGTTATTCCCCACTGTTTTCAGAATTGACAAGCAAGCATGTAACATACATCTGCCCTATAACAGGCTACAAGAAATGATGCTAGTGTTTATTTTTATTTTTAATGTATTTTTTTTTAGACGAAGTATCACTGTGTCGCCCCGGCAGGAGTGCAGTGGCGCAATCTCAGCTCACTGCAACTTCTGCCTCCTTGTTCAAGCAATTCTCCTGTCTCAGCCTCCCAAGTAGCTGGGATTACAGGTGCCTGCCAACAAGTCTGGCTAATTTTTGTATTTTTAGTAGAGATGGGGATTCACTATTTTGGCCAGGCTGGTCTCAAATTCCTGACCGCATGTGATCTGCCCGCCTCGGCCTCCCAAAGTGCTGGGATTATAGATGTAAGCCACCACAACCGGCCTAGTCTTCATTTTTAGGATTTTTTTTTTTGAGATGGAGTCTCAATCTGTCACCCAGGCTGGAGTGCAGTGGTGTGATCTTGGCTCACTGCAAGATCCGCCTCCCGGGTTCATGCAATTCTCCTGCCTCAGCCTCCCGAATAGCTGGGACTACAGGTACCTGCCACTATGCCCACCTAATTTTTTTGAATTTTTTTAGTAGAGACGGGGTTTCACAGTGTTAGGCAGGATGGTCTCCATCTCTGGACCTTGTGATCCGTCCACCTCAGCCTCCCAAAGTGCTGGGATTACAGGCATGAGCCACTGCGCCCGGCCTAGAATTTTTTTTTTAAGAGACAAGGTATCACAATGTTGCCCATGCTAGTATCAAACTCCCAGGCTCCAGCGATTCTCCCACCTCAGCCTCCCAAGTATCTGGGACTACAGGTGCAGGCCACCATGCCAAGCATAGTGATGTTACTCTTACCCACAGAGGCCAGGTTCATGTAGTTCTCCAGCATCACATCTCTGTAGAGGTATTTCTCAGTTGTGTCCAGTAAAGCCCACTCCTCTGGGGTGAAGTCCACAGCCACATCATCAAACGTCACTGAATCCTATGTCATCATACACATGCTGGTTTGAGCCAATGAACACTTCCACCAATATTCACTGGAGAATGATGAAGGGGAACCTTATACTCACTTACACGTGGTTGTCAGGTCTCCCATGATCTACTCCAGGGTTTAATGTCTCAGGAGCTCTTGTGTCTAAACACTCAAGGTTGACCTCCTACAGGCATATGCCTTAAACAGCACTTTTTAAAATTTTTTTAAATCTTTTTTTGCTGATCTATTTTTAATTTTTTAATATTTGTATTTTTAAATTTTAAATTTTATTTTTATTTTGATTAGAACAGTACTTCCTAAAGATGAATTTTCCTCTATCTATCATCTATCTAATCTGTTTATTTATTTATATATAAAAACAGGGTCCAACTGTGTCACCCAGGCACAACTGCTGATTACTACAGCTTCGATCTCCTGGGCTGAAGTGGTCCTCTCACCTCTGTCTCCTGAGTAGCTGGAATTACAGGCATGAGCCACTGCACACTGCTTACGCTTGATCTCAGCACAACCAGGCTAGGAGCTCTTCCTGTCCCATTGGTGTCTATGCAGCACACTCCTCAGCACACTGCAGATACCTGATAAATGCTGATAAGTGAATGATTTGATAAAAGGACACTTTCATCTGCTTTATCATCCGTCACCGCACCCAGCAATGTAAGAAAGATGCAGTTGGCACCATGAAGGTCAAGCTTAAGTAGTAATTACTGAGCTACTGGACTGATTTTCAAGTTAACATTTTATGTATAGGAGACTTCATTCCCTGGGGAAATTCATCTGGGGACTCAGTCCTTGAGTAAGGCTTCATTTGCTCTAAGAAAACTCTGAAGATGAGTCTGTCTAGAAAGAAATCTGTCTACCTATTGGATGAAAGCATATCATTTTTAACAACAGTACGTTTTCTGCTTACCTGATAACCACTTGCCAGGTAGTCCTCCACCATCCTTTCTACCTTTGTCTTTTCTTCAAAAGGGCAGATTGGTTCCCTGGAAAAAAACCCTAGTGGAAAAGTAAGAAGGCATGAGAAGCCAGAGCTGCCCATCCTTCCCACATTCTCATGCCTAGAAGTCATTCCATCCTAGCTTGAAATTCCGATATGCTCCTACACACTCGAGAAAACTACACACACAACACTTCCATGAAATGCCATAGTAAGTCCTGTGTCAGCTAGACACAAAAGCAGACTTGGGCCAAACTGCCTGTTGGGTAAAGGGTAATAGTTTCATTTTTCAAGGAAACTTACACCCTGAAAAATGTGACTCTCGTCCAGGTGCGGTGCCTCATGCCTGTAATCCCAGCACTTTGGGAGGCCGAGGCGGGTGGATCATGAGGTCAGGAGAACGAGACCATCCTAGCTAACACGGTGAAACCCCATCTCTACTAAAAATACAAAAAATTAGCCAGATGTGGTGGTGGGCATCTATAGTCCCAGCTACTCAGGAGGCTGAGGCAGGAGAATGGTGTGAACCCAGGAGGCGGAGCTTGCAGTGAGCCGAGATCGTGCCACTGCACTCTAGCCTGGGTGACAGAGCAAGACTCCGTCTCAAAAAAAAAAAAAGTGACTCTCTATCTGCCCATAGTAGTAACACTCATGAAGCTTATGTAGCATTTCCTAAGGTACACAAACCAGGGCTGAATTCTAAAACAGCATTCTGGCTGGGCACAGTGGCTCATGCCTGTAATCCCAATACTTTGGGAGGCCAAGGCGGGCAAATCACTTGAGGTCAGGAATTTGAGACCAGCCTGGCCAACATTATGAAACCCCATCTCTACTAAAAATAGAAAAATTATGGGAGGCTGAGGCAGAGAATTACTTGAACCCAGGAGACAGAAGTTGCAGTGAGTCGAGACCACAGGCACTGCACTCCAGCCTGGGAGACAGAGTGAGATTCTGTCTCAAAAACAAAAACAAACAAACAAACAAAAATTAGCCAGGTCTGGCAGTATGTGCTTGTGGTCCCAGATACTTGGGAGGCTGAGGCAAGAGAATCACTTGAACCTGGGAGGTGAAGGTTGCAGTGAGCTAAGATTGCACCACTGCACTCCAGCCTGGGTGACGGAACAAGATTCTGTCTCAAAAATAAATAAATAAATAAATAAATAATAAAACAGCATTCTGTTCTGTGGTTCACTTCAATTCCTCCTAAAAGAACCAGCTGCATGCCTGCTCAGGCTCAGCTCACTGGACGCTTGTGTTGTGGAGGGTGACCTAAAGCAGAATCTCTGAAAAAGAGCATCAACAAAGACTTACCACGGGACAAATAAATGGCTGCCATTCTCTGAAGCTGATGGTGTGATGATGTGCATCCCTTCCTTGATGCCAAGATCACCTCAGGCCAGCTTATGAATCTAGGTGGATAGAGGCAATCTCCATTCCTCTTTGTACAGGGTTATTTGCGGTCCTGTTCATATCAATCATCAAACAACAAGCATGAAACATCAGTCATCAAACATTATGCCTGAGCTTTGTCTCTGCAGGTGACAGATGTGAAGGCCACCAAAAATTGCCCACTCAGTACCGTCACTCAGTAACAAAAGTATTAATAACAGTAACTGACATTTACTGAGGACTGATATGTCAGAAGTAGCTCTAGTAGCTTTATATATACATGCTCAGTTAATTATCATAGCCATCCTTCCCAGTAGCTATCATTACCTCTATCTATCTATATCTATCTATATTTATCTATCTATATCTATCTATCTATATATCTATCTATATCTATCTATCTATATCTATCCTATCTATCTATCTATCTATCTATCGAGACAGGGTCTCACTCTGTTGCCCAGGTTGAAATCCAATGGCACTAACACAACTCTCTGTAGCCTAGACTTCCCGGGCTCAAGTGATCCTCCCACTTCAGCCTCCTGAATAGCTGGGACCATAGGTGCGTATCATCACTCATTATTATTATTATTATTTTGAGACAGAGTCTCACTCTGTTGCCCAGGCTGGAATGCAGTGGCATGATCTCAACTCATTGCAACCTCTGCCTCCCAGGTGCAAGCGATTATCAGGCCTCAGCCTCCCGAGTAGCTGGGATTTCAGGTATGCACTACCATGCCTGGCTAATTTTTGCATTTTTAGTAGAGACGCAGTTTCGCCATATTGGCCAGGCTGGTCTTGAACTCCTGGCCTTAAGTGATTCTCCCACTTCAGCCCCCCAACTAGCTGGGACTACAGGTGCACACCACTGGGTCCGGCTAATTTTTTGTAGTTTTAGTAGAGACAAGTTTTCACCAGATTGCCTAGGCTAGTCTCAAACTCCTGGGCTCAAACAATCCTCCTGACTTGGCCTCCCAAAGTGCTGGGATAATAAGCATAAGCCACGATGCCTGGCCCATTACTTCTATTTAATACTGAAAAAAACCTACACTCAAACAACCCTAGTAGTCGGTCTGATACTTGTCCCTAGAGCCTGATCTCCTGTATATGGTGTTACCCCCCCGCCATATGACCAGAAGACAGTGCAGACCTGCACAGAACAATTCAGTAGTCACCAGCCACGTGTGTTATTGATAACTTCATTACGTACCTAAGATGACTTAAGAACAAAATCTAAAATTTTCAAAAGTCGGCCGGGTGCAGTGGCTCACACCTATAATCCCAGCACTTTGGGGGACCGAGGCAGACAGATCACCTAAGGTCAGGAGTTCAAGACCAGCCTGGCCAACATGGCAAAACCATCTCTACTAAAGATAGAAAAAGTAGCCGGGCGTGGTGGCACTTGCCTGTAATCCCAGGTACTCGGAAGGCTGAGGCAGGAGAACTGCTTGACCCTGGAGGCAGAGGTTGCAGAGGTTGCAGTGAGCCGAGAGAGCGCGCAGCCTCTCCGAACTGGACGCACAGGGAGGACTGATAGTCCCTGGAGAAGCGAGTGAAGTGAAGCGGATCTGAGAGGCTCCTAGGCGACAGCGCGCAATCATTCCTTTGCCGCCCCCTGCTATCCCCGGGACCGCCAAGGAGGTGGAACTCACCACAGCCTGGGCAGACTCCACCACCATAAAGGCGAAACCGCACTGACGGAGAGGAGCCAGCGCCGGAAAAGATGGCGGTGGTGCGCTGACGTCACTTCCGCTTCAACACTCTGGCCGGGCGAGGCTCGTGGGCTCCAGTTTCAGCCACGTAGGACCGGGTAGAACACAGAAATTCTAGTTTCCTCTCGGGTGGGTGCAGAAAGGGCCTGGGGTTGGCTCAGGGAGGGGGATGCAGAACTAGGTCCAGAGAAAAAGGTGAGGTTAGAACCGGGCCTCCAGACGGAACTGTGGGCGAGGGGAGGGGCTCGTACTCGGGGGGTGATTTAGAGGAGGGACCCGGCCTAGCCGGTGGTTCAGGTGGCCGGTCGGGCTGGAAGGGCGGGGATGAGGGATGGGACGCATCCCCGGGGGATGCTCCTCCAAAGCTTTTATCGGGCGAGCGCAGTGGCTCACGCCTGTAATTCCTGCACTTTGGGAGGCTAAGGTAGGTAAATAGCTTGAGTCTGCTGGGAATGGGTGCTCGCTTGGTGTCACAAAATCAACACTGAGACAAAGGATCTCAGCAAGGCTAGTTTTACTTTCTGCAGAATGGGTGCCACTGGCTGGCAGTCTTGCCACCAGAGCACACATTAACAAAGGAGACAGGGTTTTTTTAAACTTGAAGTGTCCATCCTTCTGCTGTGTCCAGCTTCCATTGGCTGGAACGGGACCTCACCTTCCTGTACTTCACTGGATTGGCTAGCAACTTAGAACTTCCCAAAAGAGGCAATGGCAGAGGAGAACAAAGGAAGAGAGGAAGTAACTTGTGGACTGTTGAGAGAGGCAAAAACACTTCTAAATAGGGAAAGGAATAGGCCATGACCTAATAGTTGCTTGGACCAGTTCAGGCATGCCAGGGCAAATATCTAGGCTAAAATGTGGGAGCTAAAAACAGAGTCTATTGATTTCTTTATTACGGCTGGCAGAATTTAACAATATTACCACAGGTCTTTGAGAAAATTTGGCTTCTAAGAGGGATTACTATTTATTTCAATCAGACTGGGAGGAAAGTCCCTTTGAAGAGGAACCTGTATTTATTTCATTTTCTACAAGTCCAAGAGTTTGAGACCAGCCTGGGCAAAGTAGCAAGACCCTGTCTCTCTCTCTCTCTCTCTCTCTATATATATATATATAAACATATATGTATAAATACATATAAATATATAAATATATAAAAAATATATAAATATACATGTTCAAAATGCTTGTTCCCTGGTGCCATAAAGAAATTAGCACTTGAACATAAATTTAATTTACTCAGCAAGGCCATTTTTACTTCCTGCAGAAACGGTATACTCACCAGCAGTTTTGCCACGAGAGTACACCAAACAAAGGAGATAGGGTCATTTATAACCTGATGCTTCCAACCTACTGCTGTGTCCAGTTTCCACTGGCTGGAATGGGACCTCACGTTCTGGCTAGCAACTTATAACTTTTTAAAAGAGGCAAGGGTAGAGGAGAACAAAGGAAGGAGGAAGTAACTTGTGGAATGCTGAGAAGGGTCAAAACATCTTCAAATAAGGAAAAAGAACAGGCTATGCCCTAATGCTTGCCTGGACCAGTACAAGCATGCCAGGGCAAATATGTAGACTAAACTGTGGGAGCTAAGAATATAAAGTACATTGATTTCTTTATCACGGCTCACAGATACTTGAGAATGTTAGCACAGGTCTTTGAATAAATTTTGCTTCTAAGAGAAGTTACTATTTATTCCTAATTAAATGTGAAGGAACGTCTTTGAAGAGGAACCTCTGCTTTACTTTTTAGATATAAATATAAAGCTTGTTTGTATGCCTCTCCTCATGTTCCTAGAGCCTTTCCATGATTCTTCCATATTGATAAAGCTGCCAATGAATGGCATGGTCTATCCCTTCCATTCAGTCAGAGTTTCTGTAGGCCTTTTTTTCTTCATTCTTTATTTTTTAGAACCTGCTGATTCCATTGGGTTTTCTTTTTCTTTCTTGCTTGCTTGCTTGCTTGCGACAGATCTCACTGGATCAGACCAGGCTGGAGTGCAGTGGTGTGATCTCAGCTCACCGCAACCTCCACCTCCCAGGTTCAAGCAATTCTCCTGCCTCAGCCTCTGGAGTAGCTGGGATTACAGGCGCCTGCCACCACGCCCAGCTAATTTTTGTATTTTTAGTAGAGAACGATTTCACCAGGTTGGCCAGGCTGATCTCGAACTCCTGGCCTAAAATATCTGCCAGGCCAAGATGGTAGGATCGTTTAAGGCCAGGAGTTTAAGACAAGCCTGGGCTACACAGCAAAACCCCATCTCTCTATATATATATAAAAAAAATTTAAATTAAAAAATGTTTTGTTTTGTTTTGTTTTTTTGAGACATAGTTTCGCTCTGCCACCCAGACTGGAGTGCAGTGGTGCGATCTTCACTCACTGCAAACTCTGCCTCCTGGGTTCAAGCCATTCTTCTGCCTCAGCCTCCTGAGTAGTTGGGACTACAGGCATGTGCCACTGCGCCCAACTAATTTTTGCATTTTTAATACAGACATGGTTTCATCATATTGACCCAGCTGGTCTCAAAGTCCTGACCTCGTGATCCATCCACCTGGTCCTCCCAAAGAGCTGGGATTACAGGCATGAGCCACTGCCCCAGCCAAAAATATGTATTTCTGTTGTTATTTTTCTGATCTTACCACATGGGCCAGGAACACATTTCCTACGTTGTAAAATAGCACTGATACCAGACATTCTCCCCAAGATTATTCAGAAATGTAACATACTCCCAATAAAAATACCAAAAGTTTTTTTCTGGAGTTAAGTACATTGATACTGAAGTTTATGTGGAGGAACAAACATCTGATAATAACCAAGAAAACAAAAACAAAAGCAATGATGAGCAGCAGATATTAAAACATACTATTGACAGTTTTCATGCAAGGCAAAGAATTACATTATTTTAAAATAAAAATAAAGTCCGGGCACAGTGGCTCACGCCTGTAATCCCAGCAATTTGGGAGGCCGAGGCAGGCAAATTACCTGAAGTCGGGGGTTTGATACCAGCCTGGCTAACATGGTGAAACCCTGTCTCTACTAGAAGTACAAAAATTAGCAAGCGTGGTGGCACATGCTTGTAATCCCAGCTACTTGGGAGGCTGAGGCAGGAGAGTTGCTTGAGCCTGGGAGATGAAGGTTGCAGTGAGCCGAGATTGTGCCACTGAATTGCAGCCTGGCTGACAGAGTGAGACTCTGTCTAAAAAATTAATTAATTAATTAATTTAAAAAACATACTATAAAGCCTCTATAATTAAAACTATGTGGTACTAGCACGTGAAACAGAAACTAATAAAATATCAAAAAATAGACCCATGAACATGTAGAAATTTGGTTCATAAATGTATTTTGCCAGATGCGGTGGCTCATGCCTGTATCCTAGCAATTTGGGAGACTGAGGCAGGAGGATCACTTGAGGTCAGGAGTTCAAAACCAGCCTGCCCAACATGGTGAAACCCCATCTCTATTAAAAATACAAAAACATAGCCGGGTTCGGTGGCTCATGCCTGTAATCCCAGAACTTTGGGAAGCCGAGGCAGCCGGATCATGAGGTCAGGAGTTCGAGACTAGTCTGACCAACATGGTGAAATCCCATCTCTACTAAAAATACAAAAATTAGCTGGGTGTGGTGATGCATGCCTGTAATCTCAGCTACTCAGGAGGCTGAGGCAGGAGAATTGCTTGAACCCAGAAGGCGGAGGTTGCAGTAAGCTGAGATCGCACCACTGCACTCCAGCCTGGGCAACAGAGTGAGACTCTGTCTCAAAAAAGAAAAAAAATTTAGCCAAGCATGGCCGAGCATGCTGGCTCATGCCTGTAATCCCAGCACTTTGGGAGGCTGAGGCAGGCAGATCACGACGTCACGAGATCGAGACCATCCTGGCCAACTTGGTGAAACCCCGTCTCTACTAAAAATAGAAAAATTAGCTGGCATGGTGGCGGGTGCCTGTAATCCCAGCTACTCAGGAGGCCGAAGTAGGAGAATCGCTTGAACCCAGGAGGCGGAGGTTGCAGTGAGCCAAGATCGCTCCCCTGCACTCCAGCCTGGCGATAGAGCGAGACTCCGTCTAAAAAAAAAAAAAAAAAAATTAGCCAAGCGTTGTGGTGGGCGCCTGTAAGCCCAGCTACTCGGGTGGCTGAGGCAAGAGAATTGCTCAAACCTGGGAGGCAGAGGTTGCAGTGAGCCGAGATCACGCCATTTCACTCCAGCCTGGCGACACAGCGAGACTCTGTCTCAAAAAAAAAAAAAAAAAAAAAAAAAAAAGCCGGGTGCATTGGCTGATGCCTATAATTCCAGCACTTTTGGAGGCAGAGGCGGGTGGATCACCTGAGGTCACGAGTTAGAGACCATCCTGACCAACATGAAGAAACCCCGTCTCTGCTAAAAATACAAAATTAGCTGGGCATGGTGGCACATGCTTATAATCCCAGGTACTCAGGAAGCTGAGGCAGGAGAACCGCTTGAACCCAGGAGGCGGAGGTTGGGGTGAGTGGAGATCGTGCCATTGCATTCCAGCCAGGGCAACAAGAGAGAAACACCGTCTAAAAAAAAAAAGTGGCATTTCAGATAAATGGGGCAAAAAATGCCATTTGTAACAAATGGAAGGTCTAAGATAGCTGGTTAGCCATCTGAGAAAAGATGAAATTAAATCCATACTTCACAGCATATACAAGAATAAACTCCAAGTGGACTAGGGATCTAAGTGTAAAAAATAAAACCACACACGTATTTAGGGTGTTTAAGTGATTTCTTGGCTGAGTAAGGAAAAAGATGTTACCACAAGGCGGCAGTAGCACACAAGCTTCATTTGGGATGTGCTTTGACAGGTTAGCAGTGGGGGAGGTAGCAAACAGCAAGAGAATATCCACAGGCTTCTACCTGTGGGTCGCTGCTCAGAAAGGGTGGAAAGGAAGAAAGACTCTCAGAGGAGAAGGGGAATCAAAGAGGGGGCTTATAAATAACTAAATGATGATATTCACCAGACTGGCAGCATATCTTCCAGTTAAAAAGCTCTGAAGGATAAGTCTGGCCAATATGGTGAAACTCCGTCTCTACTAAAAATACAAAAATTAGCAGGTATGGTGCCAGGTGCCTATAATCCCAGCTACTTGGGAGGCTGAGGCAGGAGAATCGCTTGAACCCAGGAGATGGAGGCTGCAGTGAGCTGAGATTGTGCCCCTGTACTCCAGCCTGGGTGGCAGAGCAAGACCCTGCATCAGAAAAAAAAAAAAAAAAAAGCTCTGAAGGACCGCAGGGGTATGGGGTTTTCATAGCCCTGGAGTTATCTTATCTATGGCTGTCAGATATTGGATATAATTTCAGAGAATACAAAGCAGGCGCACTCGAAATGGCTAAAAATAGGCTTGTTCAGGCTATGTTTCAAACAATCCAGTGTGTTAAAATTGCAGTTTGGCAGGGGTAGGCTATTGTGAATACTAGTGAGACAAACATTGGTGTACAAATATCTCTGAGTCCCTGCTCTGAACAGTTTTGGATATGCCAAAGTGGAATATCTGGATCACATGGTAATTCTGTTTAATCGTTCTTTTTTTTTCTTTTTTTTGAGACAGGGTCTCACTCTATTGTCTAGGCTCGAATGCAGTGACGTGATCATGGATCACTGCAGTCCTCAACTTACTGGGCTCAGGTAATCCTCCCACCTCAACCTCCCAGGTAGCAGAGATTACAGGTGCATGCCACCACCATCCTTGGCTGAATTAAAAAAAATTTTTTTGTAAAGACCATATTTCACCATATGCCCAGGCTGGTCCTGAAGTCCTAATCTCAAGGAATCCCCTGGCCTCAGCCTCCCGAAGTGCTGGGATTACAGGTGTGAGCCATCACATCCAGCATGGTTTTGATTTTCATTTTCATGATGTTTAGTGATGTTGAGCATCGTTTCATGAGCATCTTTTCGTGTGTTTATTGGCCATCTGTATATCTTCTTTGGTGATATTATTCAAGTCCTTTTTCTGTATTGAAATGAGTTTTGTTGTTGTTACTCTTGGGTTCTAGAAATTTTAAAAATAAACTCTGGATATTTGTCCCCAGTCAGATACAGGACTTGCAAATATTTTCTCCCATTTGTAGATTGTCTTTTTACTCTCTTGTTATTATGCTTTGATGCACAAAATTTGTATCATTGATTAGGTTCAACTCATAATTTTTCTTGTGTTGCCTGTGTGGTTGATGTCATAACTGAGAAGTCATTTCCAGTTGAAGCTTTCTCACCTATGTTTTCTTCTAATAGTTTTCCAGCTCTAGCTCTTACACTACACTAAGGTTTTTGATCCATTTTTAAAAAATCATGCCACATTATTATTATTATTATTATTAAGATGGAGTCTTGCTCTGTCACCCAGGCTGGAGTGCAGTGGCACAATCTCAGCTCACTGCAAACTCTGCCTCCCAGGTTCAAGTGATTCTCCTGCCTCAGCCTCCTGGGTAGCTGGGATTACAGGCGCCTGCCACCATGGCCAGCTAATTTTTGTATTTTTAGTAGAGATGGGGTTTCACCATATTGGCTATGCTGGTCTCGAACTCCTGACCTTGTGATCCACCTGCCTTGGCCTCCCAAAGTGCTGGGATTACAGGTATGAGCCACCACGCCCATCCTTCATCCATTTTAAGTAAATTTTTATATATGGTATAAGGTTAGGGTCCAACTCCATTCTTATGTATGTCTATATCTCAGTTCCTCCCCCATATAATCCTGTCCCCAGGGAATCAACAACCCATGCTCTTCCTAGTCACCTCCTTGAACATGTCCCTCCCCCAGGAAACCTCCAACATGAGATAGAACAATGTAGAAAGGACATTCAAAACTTCCCTTTCCCTTGTTTGTCAAAGGAATCCGCCCCAACGGTTGTCCCCTTAAGGGAAGTCCCACTGGGGGGAGGGGGCATTGGTTGCATTAATGCCCTCTTAACCAGCTCAGAAGTCAGAAACTTCAAAAGGGAACTCAAACCATTGTTAGATGACCCTTATTGGGTAGCAGATCAAATTGATCAATTTTTAGGGCCACAGTTGTATACTTGGGCTGAACTAATGTCCATTTTAGATATTCTTTTCTCAGGGGAGGAAAGGACTGTGATCCACAGGGCCACTGTGATAGTCAGGGAACGTGAACATCCTCCTGGCCAAAACGTTCTGCAGCGGACCAAAAATTTCTGTTCCAAGACCCTCAATGGGACAATCACAATGCAGCTCACCAAGAAAATATGAGGGATCTCGGGGAAATGATAATTAAAGGAATTCGGGAACCAGTACCCTGAACTCAAAATATTTCCCGAGCATTCAACATACAACAAAGAAAGGAAGAAGAGCTCATGGAATTTTTAAACAGACTCTAAGAGCAAGTTAGAAAATACGCAGGCTTAGAAATAAGAAGATCCACTTCGGCAAGGATTGTTAAAACTCCACTTTGTCACCAACATTTGGCCAGAAATTACAAAAAAATTGTCAAAAAAATAGAGAATTGGAAAGATAGCTCCATAGAAGAACTTCTAAAGGAGGCCCAAAAGGTATATATGAGAAAAGACAAGGAAAGCAGAAACAAAAAGCAAAAATTCCACTGCCCACCCTTCAACAAGGGACACAAGGAAATAGGTCCCATAAATGTTCTAAGCCACTAGCTGCAAAGTCACATACAGGAAAGAAAAGGGATAAAACCTGGGGACCTAACGGCAAGAAGGGAAAAGGGGGAAAATAAATGTTTCAGATGTGGGAAACTGGGACACTTTAAGACAGAATGTCCCGAATGAGAAAGAGAGAGAAATCCTCCCACTCATGACTTTTGAAGAAGAATAGGGGGTTCAGAGGCTCTGTCTCTTTTATCTCAAATCCCACCAATAGCCCTTGATAAATCTACAGGTGGGACCCAAGCTAGAAATTTTCACTTTCCTAATAGATTCAGGAGTAGCTCGCTCCTCTGTTTGCTACCTTTCATCAAATGTAGCCTGCTCTGCAGAGGAGCTGTTCGTCACGGTGGTAAAGGGGGAAAGGTTTAGAACAAAAATTTTGGAGGAAACAGAAGTTAAATTCAAGAATAGATCAGCCGCCATTAAATTCATGTTAATCCCTGATGCAGGGACAAATTCGTTAGGAAGGGACTTAATGTTTAAATTGGGGATAGGTCTATATGTTAATCAGGGAAAATTATTTACTTCCTTAAACTTGCTTACCGCCCCTAAAGAAAGCCAAATCCACCCTGATGTGTGGTTAAAGGAGGGAAATCAAGGAAGATTCAAGTTCCGCCAATTCATATAAAACGAAAACCTCCTGGGGAAATAGTAAAAAGAAAACAACACCCCATTCCCCTAGAAGGCAGAATGGGTTTAAAACCTATAATCAAAGGTCTCATCCATGACAGACTCCTTGAACCCTGTATGCCTCCTTATAACACTCTAATGTTGCCTGTAAAAAAGTCACATGGATCACGGCTAGTGCAAGATATCTGGGCTATTAACCAAATAGTCCAGACTACTCACCCTGTGGTCCCCAACCCTTATACCATTATCAGCAAAATCCCATATGACCACCAATGGTTCATGGTAATAGACCTAAAAGATGCCTTTTGGGCTTGCCCCTTAGCAGAGGACAGCCAGGACATGTTTGCTTTCAAATGGGAGGACCCTCACTCCAGTTGGAAGCAACAGTACTGATGGACAGTCCTGCCCCAAGAGTTTGTGGACTCCCCAAATCTATTTGGTCAAATTCTAGAACAAGTCCTAGAGAATTTTCCCCTCCCCTCATCCATATATCCGCTCCAATATGTGGATGACCTGCTAATTTCAGGAGGCACCAAGGGCTGGGTAACAGCAGTATCAATTAACTTTCTAAATTTTCTGAGGGAACGCGGATTGCTGGTCTCAAGGAGTAAACTCGTTTGTGGAACCTGAGATAAAATACCTAGGATACTTAATAAGCAAAGGCAAACAGAGATTAGGCCCCAAACGAACTGAAGGAATCATAGCCGTACCTTTGCCTGAAACAAAATAAGGGCTTAGGAAATTCTGGGGGTTGACTGGATATTGTCGCTTATGGATTGACTTTATGCTTTAAAAACAAAGCCTCTATGCCTGAAACTTACTCAAGAGAGACCTGATCCTCTTCTTTGGACACCACGGGAGGTCCAACAAGTAGAGGAATTAAAACACCTGCTCATAACTGCCTTAGTTCTACCTTCCCTAGAACAGCCATTCCACCTCTTCGTCAATGTGAATAAAGGGATAGCTCTAGGGGTGCTCACCCAAACACACGGGGGCCACCGGCAGCCTATAGCCTTTCTGTCAAAAATTCTTGACCCACTAACCCACAGGTGGCCCGAGTGTATTTAATCTGTTGCAGCAACTGCCCTATTTACAGAGGAAAGCAGGAAGATAACCTTTGGGGGAAACCTCACTGTAAACACAACCCATCAGGTTAGAACCATCCTAAACCAAAAAGCAGGCAGATGGCTTACCGATTCAAGAATCTTAAAATATGAAGCTATCTTACTAGAAAAAGATGATTTAACCCTAACCACAGAAAAAACACTCAACCCTGCCGCTTTCCTAATGGGAAATCCAATCCCCAGGACCCTGAACATAAATGTCTGGATCTAATCTGTTATCAAACTAAAGTCAGGCTTGATCTAAGCGAGACCCCATTCAAAACGGGGCAACACCTGTTTATAGATGGCTCCTCCCAGGTATTTGAAGAGAAAAGACACAATGGGTACTCGGTAGTCAATGGGGAAGCCCTCACAGAGGTAAAGTCAGGAAGACTGCCCAATAACTGGTCCACCCAAACATGTGAATTGTTCACATTAAATCAAGCCATAACTGGGAAAGGGACTATTTACACTGACTCCAAATATGCCTTCGGGGTAGTCCATACTTTTGGAAAGATCTGGACTGAATAAAAGGCCAGGACCTTGTCCACAAGGAGTTAATCACTCAGGTATTGGAAAATCTCCAGCTACCAGAAGAGATAGCCATCCTGCGTGTCCCAGGACACCAGAGAAATATTTCTTTCAAAAGCCAAGGAAATAAACTTGCAGACCAAATAGCCAAACAAGCTGCCTCTTCTCCCAAAATGCCCATTTTTCACCTAACCCCTTGTCTTTCTTCCCCAACTGCAATTCACATCTTCTCTCCCACTGAAAAAGAGAAATTAAGGAAAATAGGAGCTAAAGAAAACTCAGAAGGGAAATGGATGTTACCAGACCAAAGAGAAATGCTATCAAAACCCCTAATGAGGGAAGTCCTATCTCAACTGCATCAAGGGACTCATTGGGGACCTCAAGCTGTGTGCGATGCAGTTCTCAGAGTTTATGGGTGTATAGGAGTTTATACCCTAGCAAAATAAGTTACAGATAGTTGCCTAATATGTAAGAAAACTAATTTAAAAAAACCCTAAGGAAACCACCTTTTGGGGGAAAAAGCCCAGGATTGAGACCATTCCAAAGTGTCCAAATTGACTACACCAAAATGCCCCCAATAGGCCACCTAAAGTACTTGCTAGTAATAGTGGACCACCTTACTCACTGGGTGGAGGCTATTCCCTTTTCAAGTGCAACTGCTAATAATGTGATTAAGGCATTAGTAGAAAATATTATACCCAGGTTTGGACTGATAGAAAACATTGATTCAGACAATGGGACCCACTTCACTGCACATGTCATTAAGGGACTAGCCTAAGTACTAGGAATAAAATGGGAATATCATACTCCTTGCACCCACCCTCATAAGGAAAAGTAGAAAGGATGAACCAGACTCTAAAAAGCCACCTAACCAAATCAATTTTAGAAACTCAGTTACTATGGACTAAGTGCCTTCTCACTGCCTTATTAAGTGTCTGAACTGCCCCTCAGAGAGATGTTGGCCTATCTCCCTATGAAATCCTATATGGGTTGCCTTATCTACACTCTACTACTGACATTCACTGAAACAAAGTTTGTTTCATTTGAAACAAAGGATCAGTTCCTCAAAAATTATATACTCGATCTGTCTTCCACTTTCTCTTCCCTCAGGATGAAAGGCTTCCTAGCACAAACACCACCCCTGGAGTTCCCGGTACATCAATACCAGCCTGGGGATCACGTTCTCATCAAGAGTTGGAAGAGGGAAAGCTTGAACCAGCTTAGGAGGACCTCATCTGGTACTCTTGATGAATGAAACAGCAATCTGAATGGCTGAAAAAGGATGGACCCAGCACTCCAGGTAAAAAGGACCCCACCCTTACAGAGTCATGGGCTGTCACTCCAAGACCAATGCCTTCCAAGTTAGTATTCAAAAGGGTCTAATCTGTCTTTCCCTTCTTCCCTTAACTACTCAAGGACACTTCATTATCAATGTAACCAGATCACTCTCTCCTCAAACAATCACGTTTGACGCATGTCTTGCCATACACTTTGGGGACCTCCAAAACCAGAAGCAGCTATCCTCCTTGTAGAAATATCTCTGTCCTTCCAGGGTAGATTCTAACCTCTTACATTCACGCAACTCTTGCTTGGTAGAAGCCGAAACCCTTACGTTTTGGGAAAGGTTCTGCTCCACCTGGAACAATGTCCTATGGACTACTAAGCATCAAGGGTGGACCTCCCCAGGAAGCTGCGCCTCTTTAAAACCATATCTTCGTTTCACCAAAGGAAATGCCCCCTCTAATTGCCAACATCATCAATGCAACCCAGTGCAAATTTCTATCTTACCCCTACCTCCATCGATCTTGAGCCCACTTTAGGTCTTTTCTATGGCATAGGAACCGAAGTGGGCTGAGACAGATCCCATAGGGTCCTTTGAAATGCGCTTTAGCAACCCTTCCCCACCTCCTAGGGGTAACCCCTCTCCAAACCCTCCTCCAAATCAAACAACTATTTTGCCACTACCTAATGACAAAACTAAAGTGGTCATAGTGGAAGTCAAAGACTTAAACCCTAGCCATTGAAACCGGGTATCAGGATGCAAATGCCTAGCTGGAATGGATTAAATATTCCGTTCATACTCTAAACAAAAGTGACTGTTACGCTTGTGCAACAGGTAGGCCAGAAACAAAAATAGTTCCTTTTCTGCTTGGATGGTCTAACCAACCGGGTATGGACTGCATGGTAGCTCTTTCCAGCATCCCACAGCCTGGGGTAATAAGTCATGCGGCACTCTCTTACTGCTTTTCCCAGAAGTGAAAGACCGCCCTGTGTGTCAGCCCCCAAGGGCCATCCAGCTCCCAGCGTCTGATGCCAATTTTTCCTCATGTCTCTCACAACAGGGAGAAAACTTGGCATTCTTTGGGAATCTAACAGGATGCAGTGAACCCAAGCCTTTTGAAGAGCTCACCAATCAGACTGCCCTTGTCTATCCATGAGCAGATGTTTGATAGTATTGCGGAGGCCCTCTAGTGGGTATGCTGCCAAGCAACTGGAGTGGCACTTGGGCTCTAATCCAGTTGTCTATCCCTTTCACCCTGGCATTTCATCAGCCAAACAAAAACCAACTAACTCAGAAAAAAAGGAAAGCCCCTCAAGGGTCCTTTGACCCCGATATCTACATAGATGCTATCGGGGTCCCCTGAGGGGTACCAAACGAATTCAAAGCTCGAAATCAAATAGCTGCTGGATTCAAGTCTGTCCTTTTCTTGTGGTCTACTATAAATAAAAATGTAGACTGGATAAATTACATATACTATAACCAACAACGATTTGTCAGTTACACCAGGGATGCCATTAAAGGAATAGCTGAACAATTGGGTTTCACCAGCCAAATGGCCTGGGAAAATAGAATAGCTCTTGACATGATATTAGTGGAAGTCCAATGTTGTACCTGTATCCCCAATAATACAGCCCCTGATGTAACTATCACTAAGGGTCTATAAGGCCTCACCACTCTAGGAAATGAACTAGCTGAAAATTCGGGAATGAATGATCCCTTTACAGGTGTAATGGAAAAAATGGTTTGGTAGATGGAAAGGACTAATGGCCTCTATTCTCACCTCCCTTGTGATCATAATAGGGGTGCTCATTCTCTTAGGGTGCTGTATTATACCCTGTGTCTGCGGACTAGTTCAAAAGCTCATAGAAACAGCCCTTACCAAGACCTCCCACAACTCTCCCCCACCCTATTCAGATAAACGTTTATTTCTAAGCAACCAAGAAGAGCAGTGAAGCCAGATCCTGTTAGAAATATATGAAGAGGAAGGACTACAAAATCAAAAGGGGAAAATTATTAGACAAAATGAGTTGCTCTACAAAGGTCCAACTTCGTTGTCCTTTGTTCTGTAACCTTTGTTCTGTAAACTGCCCTTCCCGCAGAAACTGTCTTTCCCGCCGACCAAAACTGCCCTTCACTATCACTGTAATCCATACCCCTACTCTATTTGAAACTGCCAATCGGGATCAGCTTACATTGTGTGGTTCAACCACCAGCCAATGAGGAAAAAACACAGAAGCAAAAGCTATGATGCATTAGGGTTAAAAACCCCTTCCTTTCCCTGTCCAATGTGCTCTTGAGACTGCTACAGGCGCAAGCAGCCACCTTCTGCAGAAGTAAACCTTGCCTTGCTGAGAAATTTTTCTTTTGAGTGCTGGTCTCTCTCTGTGGCACCAAGAACTTATTTCTAACATGGAGTGATTTCCAAGATAGATGGTTAAGTGAAAATAAAAACTGTTGCCAGGCACGGTAGCTCATGCCTGTAATCCCAGCACTTTGGGAGTCTGAGGAGGTTGGATTATTTGAGGTCAGGAGTTTGAGACCAGCCTAGCCAACATGGTGAAATCCTGTCTCTTCTAAATATACAAAAAATTAGCCGGGCGTGGTTGTGGGTGCCTGTAATCCCAGCTACTTGGGAAGCTGAGGCAGAAGAATTGCTTAAACCCAGGAAGCAGAGGTTGCAGTGAGCCGAGATCACAGCACTGCACTCCAGCCTGGGTGATAGAGTGAGACTCGGTCTCAAAAACAATAATAATAATAATAATAATACAAATAAAAAAATGAAAATAAAGGCCAGGTGCTGTGGCTCACCCCTCTAATCCCAGCACTTTGGGAGGCTGAGGCAGGTGGATCACAAGGTCAGGAGTTCAAAACCAGCCTGGCCAAGATGGTGAAACCCCGTCTCTACTAAAAATACAAAAATTAGCTGGGCACAGTGGCAGGCGCCTGTAATCCCAGCTACTTGGGAGGCTGAGGCAGGATAATTGCTTAAACCTGGGTGGCAGAGGTTGCAGTGAGCCAAGATCATGCCACTGCACTCCAGCCTGGGCCACAGAGTGAGACTCCATCTCAAAAAAAAAAAAAAAAAAAGAAAAGAAAAAGAAAATACATAATTATCTGTTTATTCTGAGTATAGGGAAACACTGATAGGATTATTCTGAAAATAATAAGATTCAGAATCTATTGGGGATGGATGGGAACAGCTAGAACAGAATGGTGGGGTAAGAACAAGATGGAGGCTGGGCGTGGTGGCTCATGCCTGTAATCCCAGCACTTTGAGAGGCTAAGGCGGGCGGATCATGAAATCAAGAGATCAAGACCATCCTGGCCAACATGGTGAAACCCTGTCTCTACTAAAAATTCAAACATTAGCCAGGTGCGGTGGTGCATGCCTGTAGTCCCAGCTACTCAGGAGGCTGAGGCAGGAGAATCACTTGAACCCAGAAGGTGAAGGTTGCAGTGAGCTGAGATTGTGCCATTGCACTCCAGCCTGGGCAACAGAGCAAGACTCTGTCCCAAAACAAAAACAAAAACAAGATGTAGAGGATAGGGAAAGGGAAACCTCTCTGAGCTCTCTGAGCATAACATTCTGTTAGTTCTTATTACGCATGTCCAAGTAAAGAGACCACCAAGCAGTCTTTGAGTGAGCAACAATGGCTGTGTATTACATCCGGGTGTGGACGGGCTGAGTCTGACAAAACAGTCAGCAAAAGGTGGTGGGATTATCATTAGTTCTTATAGGTTTGGGATAGGTAGTGGAATTAGGAGCAATTTTTTTTGCAGGCAGGAGGTGGATGTTACAAAGTACATTCTCAAGGGCGGGGAGGATGTTACAAAGTACATTGACAAGGGTGGGGAGGGTGTATTGTCACAAGGGTGGGGTACATTCACAAGGGCAGGGAGGATGTATCCTACAAAGTACATTCAGAAGGGTGGGGGAATATCACAAAGTACATTATCACAAGGGCAGGGGGATGTCACGATGGCTTGATCATGATGCGGCCAGCTCAGAGGACCTTACATTCCTGCCTTTTTATGTTAATAATGCAGGTGGACTGCAGGTGGGGTACTATAGATGACTAAGTAGGGTCTGGTCCATTGAGGTTGTAGAGTTTGAGGGGTCAAATTCTTAACAAGAACTGATTGTCCAGCTAGGGCGTCTTCATATGGCTGGGAATCTGGAGTAGGCAAGAGAAGATTAGCAGCCTGGCGAATTTCCTGTCTAGCCTGCTGGAGGACTGGAAGATAGTCACCTAGAGGGCTGGTGTCTGGCAAGAGGTTGGGGCCTAACAAGAAGGTATGTCCATATAAAACTTCAAATGGACTATACCCTGTAGCTTCTTGAGGATAGGCTCTAATTCTAAAGAGGGCAAATGGTAACAGTACTGTCCAGTCTTTTTTAAGTTGGAGACTGAGCTTGGTGAGGTGTGTTTTTAACAGACTATTAGTTCTTTCTACCTTTCCCAAAGATTGAGGATGGTAAGGGGAATGGAGGTTCCACTGGATGCCGAGGGCCTGGGAGATGGCTTGTGTGATCTGACTAATGAAGGCCAGTCTGTTATTGGACTCTATAGAGGTGGGAAGGCCAAACCGAGGAATTATGTCTGACAGAAGGGAAGAAATGACCATGGTGGCCTTCTCAGACCCTGTGGGAAAGGCCTCTATGCATCCAGTGAATGTATCTACCCAGACAAAAAGGTATGTTAGTTTTTTGACTCAGGGCATATGAGTAAAGTCAATCTGCCAGTCTTGGGTGGGGGCAAATCATTGAGCTTGATGTGTAGGAAAGGGAGGGGGCCTAAGATATCCCTGAGGGGTGGTAGAGTAACAGATGGAACACCGAGAAGTAATTTCCCTGAGAATGGATTTCCATGATGGAAAAGAAATGGGAGGTTCTAAGAGATGGGCCATTGGCTTGTAACCAACATGAAAGAGGTTATGAAAGGACGATAAGATAGAATGAGACTGTGAGGCAGGAAGGAGGAATTTTCCTTGATCCAAGAACCATTTGCCTTGAGTAGGAAGGGATTGATAGGTCATAGTTTTAGTGGGAGTATAGGTGGAAGTGATAGATGAGAAGGAAAAAAAATGGCCATGAGGGACAGATGTGGGAATACTAGCTGCTTCTTTTGCTGCATTATCAGCATAAGCTTTGCCTTGAGCAGTGGGATCTGGTGACCTCTGAGGCCCCTTGCAGTGAATGACTCTGGCTTCCTTGGGCAGTAGAGCAGCCTTAAGGAGGATTTTTATTAAGGAAGCATTGATGATGGAGGACCCTTGTGTCATGAGAAAACCTTTTCCTGCCCATATAATAGCATGGTGATGTAGGATGTGGAAGGCATACTTGGAATCAGTGTAGATATTGACACATAGTCCCTTTACAAGGGTGAGAGCCCCAGTTAAAGCAATGAGTTTGGCTTGTTGAGAGGTAATGGAAGGGTGCAGGGCAGTAGCTTCAGTGACCGATGTGGAAGACAATACAGCATAGCCTGCCCTTGTTGGTGACCGACGATTTGGCCTTGAACTACCATCAATAAACCAAGTGTGGTCTGGATTAGCAACAAGAAAGAGGGAAATATGGGGAAATGTGGAGGATGCCATATGGATTAGAGAGATACAGTCATGAGGTTCAGGTTTGGTGCTAGGTATAAGGTGAGAGGCCGAGTTGAAGTCTGTGCCAGGAACAATGGTAATTGTGGGAGTTTCAATGAATAGTGAGTACAGTTGGAGGAGTGTGGGGGCAGAAAGTATATGCACCAAGTGTGAGGAGGAAAATAGATTTTGAAAATTATGAGAACTGTAGAGTAAGTGGGGCATGGTTTGTGATCTTGAGGGCCTCTGAAAGTATTGAAGTGGTGGCTGCCAGCACACATAGACATGAGGACCAGCCTAGAACTGTGAAGTTAAGTTGCTTGGATAGGAAGGCTACAGGCTGTGGGTCTGGTTCCTCTGTAAGAACTCCAACCACACAGCCTTGTATTTCAGCCGTACATAAGGAGAAGTATTGGGATGAGTTAGGGAGTGCTAATGTGGGAACTATTTCTAGGGCTGTCTTTAAGGAATGAAAAGAAGGGTGGGAAAAACTTAGGTTCTATGGGGTTGGTCAGGTTTCCCTTTATGAGTTTATGTAGGGGTTTAGTTAGGATGGCAAAACCTGGTATCCAAAGGCAAAAGTATCCAACCATGCCTAGGAAGGAAAGGAGTTGTTGCTTTGTAGAAGGGGTTGGGGTTTCAGAGATTAGCTGGACCCAGTTAGCAGGGAGAACACGTGTGTTTTGATGACAGACTATGCCAAGATAGGTAATGGATGGAGAAGAAATTTGGGCTTTAGAGGGGGATACATGATTCCCCTTTGAGAATAGATGTTGAAGGAGCAGGAGGGTATCCTGTTGGGAAGATTCATAAGAGGGGATGCAGAGGAGAAGGTCGTCCACATATTGAATAAGGTGAGAAACAGATGGACAGAAAGAAAGTAAATCATGAGAAAGAGCTTGACTAAAGTAATGGGGGTTGTCTCTGAAGCCTTGTGGCAGTACAGTCCAGGTAAGTTGCTGAGATTGGTGGGTGACAGGATCAGTCCATGTGAAAGCAAAAAGAGGTCGGGATGAGGGGTGCAAAGGAATAGTGAAGAAAGCATCTTTGAGGTTGAGGACAGAATAATGAGTTGTTGAGGGAGGTATTGAGGATAGGAGAGTATATGGGTTTGGCACCACGGATGGATAGGTTAGACAATTTGGTTAATAAAGCAAAGATCCTGAACCAACCTGTAAGATTTGTCTGGTTTCTGGACAGGTAGGATAGGGGAGTTGTAAGAATTTGTAGGCTTTAAAAGGCCATGCTGTAACAGGAGAGTGATAGCAGGCTTTAGTCCTTTTAAAGCCTGTTGTGGGATGGAGTACTGGTGTTGAGTGGGGTAAGGGTGATTAGGTTTTAATGGGATGGTAAGGGGTGCCTGATCAGTCACCAAGGAGGGCATAGTGGTATCCCATACCTGTGGATTAAGGTAGGGAGACATGAGACGAGGATGCAAAAGAGGCTTGGAATCAGGCATAAGGACAGCAATGAGGTGTGGCTATAGTCCAGGAATAGTCAAGGAAGCAGATAATTTAGTTAAAATGTCTCAGCCTGATAAGGGAACTGGGCAGGTAGGGATAACTAAAAAAGAGTGCATAAAAGAATATTGTCCAAGTTGGCACCAGAGTTGGGGAGTTTTAAGGGGTCTAGAAGCCTAGCCATCAATACCCACAACAGTTACAGGGGCAAGGGAAACAGGCCCCTGAGAAGAAGGTAAAGTGGAGCGGGTATCCCCCATATCAATTAAACAGGGGATGGACTTAACCTCCACTGTAAGAGTTACCCAAAGCTTGGTGTCCATCATGGTCCAGGGGGCTTCTGAGATGATTGGGCAGCATCAGTCTTCAGCCGCTAAGCCAAGGAGATCTGGGAAGGAGTCAGCTAAGGAACGTTGGATTTGAGCTCCAGGAGCTTTAGGAGTGGTGGTCATGTGAGTCAGAGAGTCTGACTTCCAGTGGGGGCCCTCACAGACAGGGCACGGCTTACAAAGAATCCCAAGATATGGTGGCACTTGGCAGCTTTTTCTTGGTTACTGAACACCTTGAAGGCGAGGTTGATTAAATCCTGTTGTGGGGCTTGAGGGCTGGAATCCAATTTTTGGAGTTCTTTTTCTAATGTTAGGAGTGGATTGGGTGATAAAATGCATATTAATGATAAGGGGGCCTTCTGTCCCCCATGGGTCTAGGGCTGTAAAGCATCTAAAGGTAACTGCTAATTGGGCCATAAACTGGGCTGGGTTTTCGTCTTTACATTGGGTAGTTTTCTTTAGCTTGTCATAATTAACAGCACTGTATGCTGCCTTTTTGAGCCCCTCAACTATGCAGGAGACCATGTAATCTTGCCTAGCTATACCTGGGGATTCCGTCTGGTATTGCCAATGGGGATCCTCTCAGGGAATTGCCCTGGTGCCCTCTTGGAGGTCTGGCTCATGAAGCCAGTGGGTGTCTTTGTAGGACTGGGCTAGAAAATAAACTCTTTCTCGTTCGTCTGGGAAGGGGGTAAAGGTCAGGATGACATTTAAGTCACTCCAGGTTAAGTTGTAGGACTGAGTTAGATATTGGAATTCCTGTATATATTTAGTGGGGTCCTATGAGAAAGAGTCTAAATGCTGGCTCATTTGGGAAAGGTCTGATAGAGAAAAAGGCACATGTACCCTCACTATGCCTTCAGCTCCAGCCACCTAAGAGGAAATTTTTGGGCATGTGGGGGAGAGCTAGTCACAGAACAAAACTATAAGCCAGACAGGGTGTGAGGAGGGGAGGTAATAGAAGCGTTATAGGGTGGGGTAGCAGAGGCTGCAGAAGAATTGGGACCCAATTCAGCCTGGCGAGGAGCAGCTGGGGGAGGAGGAGAGAGGTCAGAGGGGTCAGTGGAAAAGGAGGATTCAGAGGACTCTGAGCTTGGGGTGGAGAACAAAGAAGCAGACGGGAGAGAAAGAAGGAAAATCTGGGACAAGTCTCATTGGGAGCAGAAACTAGGGAGGGAGTAAAGTGTAAAAAATGCCTGGACATCAGGCATCTCAGACCATTTGCCCAATTTTCAACAAAAATTATCTAGGTCTTGTAGGATAGACAAATCAAAAGTGCCTTTCTCTGGCCACTTGGAAAAACTGTCAAGTTTGTATTGGGGCCAAGTGGTATTACAGAAGAAAACAAGACGTTCAGGTTTTAGGTCAGGTGTTAGTCAAAGGGGTGTTAGGTTTCTAAGAACACAGGCTAAGGGGGAAGAGAGAGGAATGGAATGCAGAAGGTTGCCCTTAGTGGAGAAGGTAAGTTTAAAGAGGAAGGTAGACACATGGAGAAATGGAGGTGGGCAGCTACCAGTCTTCCAGTAGGCATCCCTGACTGAGTCCTGGGCTTTAATGTGGGTGAGCAGCCAAAGCAGGCATCCCTGCAATTGACCTGCCATCAAGGGAATGTGGGTGAATGATCAAGGAAGGCATCTCCGCAGTGATCAAACGCCAAGGGAAGACTGTCTTCCCAAGTCCATGACCAACATCGGAGTCTTTGGATGCACGGATAAAATGTGTCTGCTTTTTGTCTCTACTAGGAAGGGAGAGAAACTGAAACTGAAAGAAGAGAGATTGAAGGGAGGTGAGAGAGGTTAGGTAGAGAGCAAAAAAACCGCTTATCCAAGTGCAAAAAAACCGCTTACCGATTTGAAATTAGTGAGACGATCCTTGGGCTGGCTGGTCTGATGACCCGAGGTCATAGGTGGATCTCCTCATGGAGGGAGTGTAATGACAGGGGATGGGTCTCCTGAGGAGTTCTAATGTCCCAGGTTTCAGCACAAAATGTTACATGCGTCTGAGTAAAGAGAGCACCTAGCAGGCTTTGTGCGAGCAACAATGGCTGTGTATTACATCCGGATGTGGATGGGCTGTCCAACAAAACAGTCAGCAAAGGGTGGTGGGATTATCATTAGTTCTCATAGGTTTGGGATAAGCGGTGGAGTTAGGAGCAATTTTTTTTGTAGGCAGTGGGGTGGACGTTACAAAGTACATTCTCAAGGGCGGGGAGGATGTTACAAAGTACATTCACAAGGGCGGGGAGGGTGTATCATCACAAGGGTGGGGAGGAAGGTTACAAAGTACATTTACAAGGAGAGGAAAGGTGTACTGTCACAAGGGCCAATGGCAGGGTACATTCACTAGGTGGGGGAGGATGTATCTTATAAAGTACATTCACAAGGGCAGGGGAATATCACAAAGTACATTATCACAAGGGCGGGGGGATGTCACAATGGCTTGACCATGGTATGGCCAGCTCAGAGTACCTTACAGTTCTGATGTTTAAAATTACATTCTTTTTTTTCTTTAAAAAAAAAAAAAAAAACAGGGTTTCACTCTGTCACACAGGCTGAAGTATAGTGGCATTATCATGGCTCACTGCAGCCTTTACTTCCTGGGCTCAAGCAGTCCTTTGCCTGAGTACCAGGGACTACATACGTGCACCACCACATCCAGCTAATTTTTAAAAATATATTTTGTAGAGAAGAGATCTCTCTATGTTGCCTAGGCTGCCCTCAAACTCCTGAGCTCAAGCGATCATCCTTCCTTGGCCTCCCACATTGTTGGCATTACAACTGTGAGCCACTCTGCTTGGCCCTTTATTCTTTTACATATTTAATTTTTTAAAAAATCAACAAAGATAGAGGGAAAACCCAAAATGGAATACGAACAGGAACAATCAATCTGAACTTTGTATCAAATGGGTAATAAGACTATGTAACAGGAACAACACAACAACAGTTGCTGCCTAGACATTAGAAATAGAGGCCAGGCACAGTGGCTCAACCCTGTCATCCTAGCATTTTGGGAGGCTGATGCAGAAGGATAACTTGAACAGGATTTCAAGACCAGCCTGGGCAATATAGTGAGACACAGTCTCGACCAAAAAAAAAAAAATTTAAAAATAAAAAAATTAGCCGGGCCTGGTGGTACATGCCTGCATTCCCAGCTACTCAGAAGGCTGAGGTGAGAGGATTGCTTGAGCCCAGGAGGTCGAGGCTGCAGTGAGCTATGATTGCACCACTGCACTCCAGCCTAGGTGACATGGCAAGACACTGTCTCTGGAAAAAAAAAAAAAAAAAAAGAACACCACCGGCCACTGTGGCTCATTCCTGTAATCCCAGCACTTTGGGAGGTTGAATCAGGCTGAATCAGGGGGGTCTCAGGAGTTCAAGACCATCCTGGCCAACATGGCAAAACCCCGCCTCTACTGAAAATACAAAAATTAGCTGGGTGTGGTGGTGCACACCTGTAATCCCAGGTACTTGGGAGGCTGAGGCAGGAGAATCACTTGAACCCAGGAATTGGAGGTTGCAGTGAGCTGAGATCACGCCACTGCACTCCAGCCTGGGTGACAGAGCGAGACTCTGTCATTCATAAATAAATAAGTTTAGAAAAAAAAAATGTGTCTGAAAGGGTCTTGAGCATCCCTCTGGGCAAATTCCAGGCATCATCCATAATGATGAATGCACAAATACAAAGATACGAATGAGCCAGAGCCAACCTTATATTCCTGCAGTAAATGCCACTGGGTTTACTATTTTCTTATCAAGCAGTTGGAATTTATTTGCTAATCCGTTCCTTCCTAGCTTCCTTTTTTCCTTCTTTTTTTTTTTTTTTTAAATGGAGTCTTGCTCTGTTGCCCAGGCTGGAATGCAGTGGCATGATCTTGGCTCACTGCATTTTTTAATTTTTAAGTTTTTTGTAGATGGGGGGCTTGCTATGCTGTCCAGGCAGGTCTCGAACTCCTGAGCTCAAGTAATCCTTTTGCCTCCTTTCAAAGTGTTGAGACTCCAGGCATAAGCCACTTTGCCCAGTTGCTACTATTATACTTAGCGCATTTTTTTGTTTGTTTGTTTTTTGAGACAGTCTTACTCTGTATCCCAGGCTGGAGTGCAGTGGTGTGATCTCGGTTCACTGTAACCTCCTGCCTCAGCCTCCCGAGTAGCTAGGAATACATGCACATGCCACCACGCCCAGCTATATTTTTTTAGTTTTAGTAGATACAAGGTTTCACCGTTTTAGCCAGGATCATCTCAATCTGACCTTGTGATCCACCTGCCTCAGCCTCCCAAAGTGCTGGGATTACAGGCATGTGAGCCACCGTACCTGGCTTACTTAGTGAATTTGTACCAATATTCATTACCAATATAATTCTGTAGTTTTTAATGACTGTACTGTTTTTATCAGTGATAAAAACGATACATATATACATCTTGTACTGCATCATAAAAAGATTTAGCAAGATTTGCTTCATTGTTAATACTCTGAAAGGATTTATGGAGAATTAGGACCAATTGGACCTTGAAAATGTCATGTAAAGATGTCTGGCTGGGCATGGTGGCTCATGCTTGTAATCCCAGCACTTTGGGAGGCCCAGAAGAGAGGATTACTCTAGCTCAGGAGTTTGAGGACAGCCTGGGCAATGGAGTGAGATACCTTCTCTACCAAAATAAAAAAGTGTGAGTTTAGGTGCTGTGTTCCTTGTTGTTGTTACAGTGTGAGCCACCGTGCCTGGCCGAGACTGGGTAAGTTATGAAGAAAAAGAGGTTTAATGGACTCACAGTTCCACATGGCTGGGGAGGCCTCAAAATCATGACAGAAGGTGAAGGAGGAGCAAAGGCACATCTTATATGGCAGAAGGCAAGAGAGCCTGTCCAGGGGAACAGCTGCTTATAAAACTGACAGACCTCATGAGATTTACTCACTGTGACAAAAACAGCACACGCCTATTATCCCAGCTACTTGGCTGACTGAGGCATGAGAATTACTTGAACAGCATGGGGAAACCCCCCCCCATGATTCTATTACCTCCCACCTGGTCTCTCCCTCGACACCATGGGGATTATGGGAGCTACAATTCAAGATGACATTTGGGTGGGGACACAGCCAAACCATATCAGCTGGCAACTTGCTTGCAGCTCATAACATCAACTGTTTCTTTGGGCCTTCAGTCCTGCTGACTTCCGGCCTCCTGAGTCCCTAAGCAGAGGAATACGAATTCAAATCTTGATTTTCTCATTGCAGCTCATAGTGGGAGATGCCCAGTCTCTCTGTGAACATTGACAGAATTTTTTTTTTTTTTTTGAGACAGAGTCTCACACTGTCACCAGGCTGGAGTGCCGTGGCGCAATATCAGCTCACTGTAACCTCCACCTCCCAGGTTGAAGTGATTCTCCCATCTCAGCCCCCAAGTAGCTGGGACTACAGGTGAGTGCCACCACACCCAGCTAATTTTTGTATTTTTAGTAGAGATGGGGGTTCACCATGTTGCCCAAAATGGTCTCAATCTCTTGGCCTCGTGATCCAACCATCTCAGCCTCCCAAAGTGCTGGGTTTAAAGGCATGAGCCACTGTGCCTGGCCCAGAATTCTTTACTGCTAACACGAGTGGGCCTGGTTCTGGAGGATTTCCCAGTGGGTCCTGAAGAACCACAGTTTATTGGCTTGTGGGCAAAGGGGTATGTGTATCAGTTGGCCTTTACTGTGTAATAAACAGCCACAAAAATTACTAGCTGAAAACAGCAGCTACTTAATTAGCAGAAGCCTCTTGAGGATGGACTTGCAAACCAAAGTTGTGCTGGTTTCTACTGGTCAAAGCAAGGACTGGCTCACATAAAAAGGAGAGAGATTGCACCTTCAGAGAGTAATCTCAAGACATCTGTAATCTACCACAGGGTGTCACTGGGCCTCTGTCAAGGAGCCTATTCTTTCTGCCACCAGATCTGTCTAATAGCTTGTGTGACAATGCACTTCCTTCTGGGTCTCTCTCCAAGTGTAGTAAGTGTATATGGGAATCACTTTATTCAAACAGTGTAGTGCACTTAGTTAGAAAGAAAAGGTATTAAGGAAGACTTATATTTAAAATTGTTATTTATGGTAACAACGAAAAGTAACATACAAATTTCAAACATCAAGAATAAAATAAATTAAAGGTATGATCAATACACATCAGTACAAAGAGGGGAACACAATGAAACAAACAAAAAAAATTAGATGCTAGAAATTAATCCAAATTATTACTAATTAAATGTCAGGCACTAAATGTGCAACATAAAAGGATTGTTAATTGGTATTATTCAAGTATTTTTTCTTTTTTTTTTTTTTTTTGTGACAGAGTTTCACTCTTGTTGCCCAGGCTGCAGTGCAATGGCGTGATCTCGGCTCACTGCAACCTCTGCCTCCCGGGTTCAAATGATTCTCCTGCCTCAGCCTCCCAAGTAGCTGGCATTACAGGCATGCACCACTAGGCACAGCTAATTTTGTATTTTTAGTAGAGATGGGGTTTCTCAGTGTTGGTCAGGCTGGTCTCGAACTCCCGACCTCAGGTGATCACCTGCCTTGGCCTCCCAAAGTGCTGTGATTACAGACATCAGCCACTATGCCCAGCGGTATACAGATTTTTTAAAACTCCAGCTAAAGTATGTATAAAAAGACACATTTTTTTAAAAAGCATACAGAAAGACTAAGAAGTAGAGGAAAATCAAGCTGATGTAACTATATAAATATCTAACAGAATTAGTGGAACAGAAAACATGCAAGAAATAGTGTAGATTTTTCAAGCGAAATATCTGAAAGAATTCATAAACCTGGGTACTCTCTACCAAGATTAACACAAGCAAAGGGAAAGAATGCACAATTAATAAGTTATTCCAGAATGCAAAAGGAGACTGAAGTTATACAACCAGCAAAAATGAAAAATATAAAAAGTATAAATTTTTGCTACACATTTGGAAATAAAAACATGCCTAGAAGAATATTCTCAAAATACTTATGCAAGCCTTAGTTGTCTTTTTTTTTTTTTTTTTATGAGATGGAGTTTTGCTCTTGTCACCCAGGCTGGAGTGCAGTGGCAAGAACTCAACTCACTGCAACCTTCGCCTCCCAGATTCAAGCAATTCTCCTGCCTCAGCCTCCCAAGCGGCTGGGATTACAGGCGCCCGCCAACTCACCTGGCTAATTTTATTTTTTGAATTTTTAGTAGAGACAAAAGTTTCACCGCATTGGCCAGGCTGGTCTCGAACTCCTGACCTCAGGTGACCCCCTGCCTTGACCTCCCAAAGTGCTGTGATTAAAGCCGTGAAGCACCGTGCCCAACCTAGTTGTCTTTTTTTTTTTTTTTGAGACGGATTCTCGCTCTGTCGTCAGGCTGGAGTGCAGTGGTGTGATCTAGGCTCATTGAAACCTCCACTTCAGGGGTTCAAGAGATTCTCCTGCCTCAGCCTCCTGAGTAGCTGGGATTACAGGGGCACAATACCGTGCCCAGCTAATTTTTGTATTTTTAGTAAAGACGGGGTTTCAACATGTTGGCCAGGATGGTCTTGATCTCTTGACCTCATGATCTGCCTGCCTCAGCCTCCCAAAGTGGTGGGATTACAGGCATGAGCCACCACTCCCAGCCTGATAACTGTTTTATTTATTTATTTTTATTTTTTTGGAGATATGGGGTCTGTGTTGCCCAGACTGATCTTGAACTCCTGGCCTCAAGGAATCCTTCTGACTGAGCTTCCCAGTGTGCTGGGATTAAAAGTGTGAGCCACTATGACCAGCCAGAAGAGATAATTTTAACTTTTTAAAATATTTTGCAGTATTGGCCGGGCACAGTGGCTTGTGCCTGTAATCCCAGTACTTTGGGAGTATGAGGCATGCAGATCACCTGAGGTCAGGAGTTTGAGACCAGCCTGGCCAACTTGATGAAACCGTCTCTACTAAAAATACAAAAATCAGCCAGGCAAGGTGGAGGCTGTCTGTAATCTCAGCTACTCGGGAGGCTGAGGCAGGAGAACCACTGGAACCCAGGAGGTGGAATTTGCAGTAAGTTGAGATCACACCATTGCACTCCAGCCTGGGCAACGAGTGAAACACTAACTCAAAAACAAAGAAACAAACACCAACTCAAAAACAAAGAAACAAACCAAAAAAATGAAAATATCTTGTAGTATTTTTAAATAGAGATGTGGTTTCGCTATGTTGCCCAGGCTGGTTTGAACTCCTTGGCTCAAGGGATCTTTTTGCCTCAGCCTCCAAAAGTGCTGGGATTACAGGCCTGAGCCACTATTCCCAACCTAGATGACTCTTATAGATTAAGAATTTAGAAATAGTAGGAACATGCCCCACTACAGTATATGACAGTCATTATATACAAATATCATTAAGGGACAATTTTTTAAAAATCACAATGTTATTCAAACATAGCTCCATAACATATTAGTAAAGGTCATGAAGTATTTTTAAGTGATCCATTATGTCACAGTCGAGCTTATCCAGGAATACAAGGTTGATGTAACATTGGAAAAGCAATAAATACAAATACCACATTTATTTAATTTAATTTATTTATTTTTGACAGAGTCGCACCCTGTCACCCAGCATGGAGTGCAGTGGTGCAATCTTGGCTCAATGCAACCTCCACCTCCCAGGTTCAAGTGATTCTCCTGCTTCAGCCTCCCAAGTAGCTGGGATTACAGGTGCACATCACCACACCCAGCTAATTTTTGTATTGTTAGTAGAGATGGGGTTTCACCATGTTGGCTGGGCTGGTCTCGAACTCTTGACCTCAAATGATCTGCCCACCCCCACCTCCCAAATTGCTGGGATTACAGGCATAAGCCCCCACACCCAGCCTGACCACATTTGTTTTAGAAAAGCGCCTTTCCATGCATTCACTTCTTCAAGTTTTTTTTTTGTTTTGTTTTTGTTTTTTTTTTTGAGATGGGGTCTTGCTATGTTGCCTAAGCTGGTCTAGAACCCCTGGGCTCAGGCCACCCTCCCAAGTAGCTAAAACTATAGGCATGCATCACCACATCATTTCATTGAAGTATTTATTAGGTACCATCATGAGCTAGGTGCAGTTCTAGGTATTGAGTTTTATCAGTAAATAAACATGATCATCACAGAGGATGTGAAGGAAGCATTTAATAAATTCAAGAGGAATTCAGCCTCATAAACTATGAAATATTGGGAAATAATTCATCATGTAAAAACTGGATATAAAGAAAAAACTTTTCCTGCAGGACATTGTTGCAGGAAGTCAGGGACCCCAAACGGGGGGACTGGCTGAAGCCATGGCAGAAAAACATGGATTGTGAAGGTTTCATGGACATTTATTAGTTCCCCAAATTAATACTTTTATAATTTCTTATGCCTGTCTTTACTGCAATCTCTAAACATAAATTGTAAAGATTTCATGGACACTTATCACTTCCCCAGTCAATACCCTTGTGATTTCCTATGCCTGTCTTTACTTTAATCTCTCAATCCTGTCAGCTGAGGAGGATGTATATTACCTCAGGACCCTGTAATAATTGCATTAACTGCACAAATTATACAGCATGTGTGTTTGAGCAATATGAAATCTGGGCACCTTGAAAAAAGAACAGGATAACAGCAATGTTTAGGAAACAAGAGAGATAACCTTAAATTCTGACCGCCGGTGAGCCAGGTGGAACAAAGCCACATTTCTCTTCTTTCACAAGCAAATGGGAGAAATATCACTGAATTCTTTTTCTCAGCAAGGAACATCCTTGAGAAAGAGAATGCACACCTGGGAGTGGGTCTCTGAACTGGCCCCCCTGGGTGTAGCCATCTCTTATGGTCGAGACTGCAGGGGTGAAATAGACCCCAGTCTCCCATAGCACTCCCAGGCTTATTAGGAAGAGGAAATTCCCACCTAATAAATTTTAGTCAGACCAGTTGATCTCAAAACCGTCTCCTGATAAGATGTTATCAATGACAATGGTGCCCAAAACTTCATTAGCAATTTTAATTTCACCTTGGTCCTGTGATCTCGCCCTGCCTCCACTTGCCTTGTGATATTCTATTACCTTGTAAAGTACTTGATGTCTGTGACCCACACCTATTTGCACACTCCCTCCCCTTTTGAAAATCCCTAATAAAAACTTGCTGGTTTTTGCGGCTTGTGGGGCATCACGGAACCTACCGACATGTGATGTCTGCCCCGGACACCCAGCTTTAAAATTTCTCTCTTTTGTACTCTGTCCCTTTATTTCTCAAGTTGGCTGACACTTAGGGAAAATAGAAAAGAACCTATGTGAATATCGGGGCTGGTTCCCTGACAGGACATAACCTCTTCAAAAAATAAAAAAGAAATAAAAGCCTACAGCCAAACCAACAAAATAGAGTGCATATCTCACCAGAACTGCAAAGACAAGTATGCTGGTATTACTACTTTTAGTTGGTGTTGTGCAGCGGGTTAAAATCAGTCCAGTAAAGCAAGAAAATATTTAGAGAGAGCTTCATCATCATACGAATTTTGGGGGTCATTGTTCAGTCCAAAGTACTTAATATGATTCTTTTCTCTTTCCACATAGAGAATCAGATAATCTATAAATAATGACTCTTACTGTTCCACTTTAGGAGTTAGGTATACATACATATGTGTATATATATGTATATATATATACACATACACACACACACACACACACACACAGTGACCCCCCAAATTTCATATGAAGTTCCAAACCTCAATGTGACTGTATGTGAAAAGAGAAGGGGGCGGGGAGGGGGGAGACCGACCGACCTATTTGTTGGTCTCCATCGTGTGAAAACATGAGGAAGTGGGCACTTACATGCCAGGAAGAGAGCTCTCACTAGAGGTTGACCATGCTGGCACTCTGATCTCAGACTTCCAGCCTCCAGATATGTGAGAATATAAATTTGTGTTTTGGGCCAGATACGGTGGCTCAGGCCTGTAATCCCAGCACTTTGGGAGGCCAAGGCAGGTGGATCACCAAAGGTCAGATCTGACCAACATGGAGATCAGCCTAACCAACATGGAGAAACCCTGTCTCTACTAAAAATACAAACTTAGCTAAGGTTTGTGGTGCATGCCAATAATCCCAGCTACTGAGGGTGAGGCAGGAGAATCACTGGAACTCAGGAGGTGGAGGTTGCGGTGAGCCAAGATCATACCATTGCACTCCAGCCTGGGCAACAAGAGCAAAACTCCATCTCAAAAAAAAAAAAAAAAAAAAAAAAAAAATCCTGTGTTTTTAACCTCATTGATTTAAAATTAAATTAATTTCTAAGCCATTTGGTCTGCGGTATTCTCTTATGGTTGTCTGAGCTGACTAAGGCAGATATTGGTACTGAGAAGTGAGGTACTGCAATTAAAAACAAACAAAAAAACTAAAAATGTGAAGCAGCTTTGAAACTGACAAATGAGTAGAGGCTGGAAAAATTCTGATGTGCAAGCTGGAAATAAGGTTGGTAAGGGTTATTCTGGTGAGGTGTCATTGGGGAATGAGGAACATGCTATTGGGAAATGAAGAAAAGACAACCCTTGATATAAAGTGGTGAAGAACTTGGCAGAACTGTATTCTAGCATTTTACGGAAGGTAGAGCTTGAGACAGATAAAATGGTATGTATCACTAAGATCTGTAATTAAAGTGTTAAAGGACACAGGAAGCTTCATTATTCCTGAGTGCTTACAGGAAAATGTGCTGGGAACAGGCCCCCCAAATCTGGCCATAAACAGGCAATGAGAAACTGGCCATAAACAAAATCTCTGCAGCACTGTGACATGCTCGTGATGGCTATGACGCCCATGCTGGAGGCTGCTGGTTTACCAGAATGAGGGCAAGCAACACCTGGCCCACCCAGGGCAGAAAACTGGAAAACTGCTCAAGGCATTCCTAAACCACAAACAATAGCATGAGTGATTTGTGCCTTAAGGACATATTCCTGTTGCAGATAACAAGCCAGAGCCTGTCCCTTTCTTTCTCATAAGGAATACTTATAGCTGATCTACAATCTATAGGAATAATGTTTATCACAGGCTTACTGTCAATAAATATGTGGGTCAAACTCTGTTCAAGCTCAGCTCTGAAGGCTGTGAGCCCCGATTCCCACTCTGCACTATATTTCTGTGTCTTTGTCTTAATTCCTCTAGAGCCACTGGGTTAGGGTCTCCACGACCCAGCTGGTCTCGGCAAAAATGCAAAAGGAGACCTGAATTGCAGAAGAAATTGTTAAGGAAAAAGGAACCAGAACTTGGAGATTTGGAAAATTCTCAGCCTATCCATACTGCAAAAATTAGAAAACTTGTACTGAAGAGAATCCTCAAAGTGTGGCTGAACAATCATTTGATAAAGAGATCATGAGTGGGATTCATGGACTATATCAGCCATCTTAACAGAAGTGAGAAGAGAGACTGGATTATACTATAAGAGACACTGCCACTTACATTGTGCCACCTAAAATGGACAGAGAAGACAGAACAGAACAGTCAAGGTTGTCACACTTCTTATTTTACAAGAAGGGGACATAGAAATAATCAGCTGTGAAAGGGCACTGGCAGTTATGGATGGTTTCACTCCTGACATGCTCTGCAGGATCCATGGGAACAGAAGAGAACCTTGGAGGAGCATCTTTTTAACAATCCACCTCTGGGGCCTACATCATCTTGGCTTCTGGTAAATTTTGACATGAATGTGCCACACTGGCAGCCACTAACCAACAGGGGCTGGGATCAATCTGCATGATTTATCTCGTACAGAACTTGTTAATGCTATGATCTTAGGAATCTAATCACCAAGGTGAGGCAGCCTGCAGTACTGACCTCACCATCCATGACCCTTCTTCACAGATGCCCAGACTCAGGTAACCATGATGTTGTATTCAGAACCTGTAGGTTTAATTTCAGACCCTCGGGATGCATCTAAGGCCAATCTGTGAGCCATTACAACCTCCAAAAGGCATTTAGGACTAATCTGATGATCTTTGCACTGCCAATAATTAAAGATGGCAACCAATGGGCTAAATGGTAACAACACTCATATCCTTACATTCATAGTATTTCTCCCCAGTGTGAATTCTTTCATGCATACTTAGGCATGAGGAAAGAGCAAATGCTTTCCCAAATTCTTTACATACAAAAGGTTTCTCTCTGGTAGGAGTTCACAGGTGGGGTGAGGAATACAGAAATTCTTTCCCACATATCTTGCATTTACCTTTCTCCACTGTGAGTTTTCAAATGTTTACTACGATGGGAAGAAGTAATGAAGGTCTTCCCACATTCAACACATTCATAAGGCTTCTCTCCTGTGTGAATTCTTCTATGTTGAGTAAGCGTTGAAGATCTATTGAAGGCTTTCCCACATTCCTTACACTGATAGGGTTTCTCTCCAGTGTGATTTCGTATGTGTATAGCAAGGCCCGTGTACTGAGTGAAGGCTTGGCCACATTCCTTACATTCATAGGGTTTTATTCCAGTGTGAGTTCTTACATGTTGAGTAAGGTGAGTTGATCTAGTGAAGGCTTTCCCACATTCCGTACATTTGTGTGGTTTTATTCCAGTGTGAATTTGAATGTGAACATTAAAGGATGAGGAATTTCTAAAGGATCTTCCACATTCTTTACATTCAAAGGACTTCTCTCCTTTATGAGTTTTTGCATGTGCAGAAAGTTGAGAAAAATTAGTGAAGGATTTCCCACAGTTCTTAGTCTTTTCGGATTTCTTTCCAGTATGAACTGCTACACACTGCTTTAAGTGTGAGGAAGTTGTGATGGCTCTCTCACATTCCTGAAATTCACAGAGTTTCTCTCCAATGTGGATTCCCATGTGATTATCAAGGCTTGCAAAATACTTAAAGCCTTTTCCACATTCCTTACATTTGTAGGGTTGTCTTCCATTGAGAATTTCAAGATGCACAGCAAGGCCTGGAGTTAAGGTGAAGACTTTTCCACATGGATTAAATTTGGAAAGTTCTTGTCCAATAGAGGCTTCCTTGTGCACACTGATGCTGTCTTTTCCATAACAATTACCCTCAAAAGTGTTCCCTCCATTCTGAGCTCTCATGTGTGTCTTAAGGCAAAACTGTTCACTGAAGACCTCTCCACAATTCTCACAGAGTTTCCATCCACTGTAGCTTCTTGTCTGCTGATGAGGGGATAAAGGATTTAAAATGTTTTCAGACATATTAAGAGATTTCACCCATCTGAACACAGAAACATTATTTTGATGACAATTATTTTACTTTTTAATGTTTAATTTTTTTTTTTTTTTTGAGACAGAGTCTTGTTCTATCTCCCAGTCTACAGTGCAGTGGCACAATCTCTGCTAACTGCAACCTTCACCTCCCAGGCTCAAGTGATTCTCCTGCCTCAGCCTCCCGAGTAGCTGGAAATACAGGTGTGCACTACTGCACTGGGGAGTTTTTCTACTTTTTTTGTAGACATGGGTTTTGCCAAGTTGCCCAGGCTGGTCTCAAACTCCTGAGTTCAGGTGAACTGCCTGTCTTGGCCTCCCAAAGTGGTAAGATTACAGGCGTGACCCACCATGCACAACATGTTTTACTTTTTTCAGAGCTGGGGTTTTGCTCCATTGCCTGGTCTATAGTGCACTGCAGTGATCATGGCTCACTGTAACCTCAAACGCCTGGCTGGGTTCAAGTGATCACCCTAGCTAAAAGCTGTGTAGCTAGGACTAGAGGCATGCATCATCCAATTTTTTGATTTATTTATTTATTTTATTTTATTTATTTTTGAGATGGAGTCTCACTTTGGCTGGAGTGCAGTGTCACGATTTCGGCTCACTGCAACCTCCGCCTCCTGGGTTCAAGCGGTTCTTCTGCCTCAGCCTGCCAACTAGCATGTGCAACCAGACCCAGCTAATTTTTGTATTTTTCCTACAGATGGGACTTCATCATGTTAGCCAGGGTGTTCTCAAACTCTTGACCTTCTCATCCGCCTGCCTAGGCCTCCGAAAGTGCTGGAATTACAGGCATGAGGCACTGCGCCCGGCCTCAATTTATTTTTATAGAGACAGGGTCTTGGTATGTAGCCTAGGCTGGTCTCAAACTCTACAAGAAACCCCCGTCTCAGCCTCCCAAACTGCTGGGATTACAGCCATGAGCTACCAAGTCAGCCTACTTTGATAACCATAATTTTTACAATATTTCTTCCATGGTTTCATTTCCTACCCTCTTGATCTCTTGCCAGAATTCTATGCCACTGGCTCTAATTGTTCAAAAAAAAACTGTCTTTTTTTGATTGTTGGGGGTGGTTTGAGACAGGGTCTCACTCTGTCACCCAGGCTGGGTACCATGGCACAATCACAGCTCACTGCAGCCTTAAACTCCCAGGCTCAAGCCATCATCCTGCCTCAGTCTCCTGAGGAGCCTGGATTACAGGTGCATGCCAACGTGCCCGGCTAATTTTTTATTTTTTTGTAGAGACAGAGTCTCCCTGTTGCCCAGGCTGGTCTTGATCTCCTAGACTCAAGCAATTCTCCTGCCTCAGCTTCCCAAAGTGCTGGGATTGCAGGTGTCAGCCATTGCACCCAGCCAAATTGTGCAGATTTTCATGAAACTTTAAATCCTCAATGTCTAGTTACATATGTGGGAATATGTACTTGTCGGTATTTTTCAGTGACAAGTTATACAGGTATGGAACATCAGAAAATTCATCACATTCAGACTATCTCTCCAGAGACCCTGCTCCCTCAAGGGTGCAGGCTACTTCTCTCTCAAGTATCTCTCATTTGTGCTGTTTCTTTTTCATGCCAACTCCACCTCCCGTGTTTAAGCAATTCTGCCTCAGCCTCCCATGTAACTGGGATTACAGGTGCCCACCACACCTGGCTAATTTTGTATTTTTAGTAGAGACAGAGTTTCACCATGTTGGTCAGGCTGGTCTCAAAGTGCTAACCTCAAGTGATCCACACACCTCCACATCCCAAAGTGCTGGGATTACAGGATTCACTTTCTTTTCTTTCTTTTTTTTTTTTTTTTTTTTTTTTTTTTTTTTTTTAGATGGAGTCTCACTTGGTCATCTAAGCTGGAATGCAGTGGTGCAGTGCTGGCTCACTCAGCAACCTCGGCCTCTGGGTAAGCAATTGTCCTGCCTCAGCCGCCCGAGTAACTAGGATAACGGGTGCCCACCACCACACACAGCTAATTTTGTATTTTTAGTAGAGACAGAGTTTTCACCATGTTGGCCAGGCCTGTCTCAAACTCCTGACCTCAAGTGATCCACCTATCTTTGCCTCCTAAAGTGTTGGGATTACAGGCATGAGCCACCACATCCAGCCTCTTTTTAAAATCAGAGATGGTATATTGCTATACTGCCTAGGCTGGTCTTGAACTCCTGGGCTCAAATGATGATCCCACCTCAGCCTCCTAAGTAGCTGGGATTACAGATGTAAACCACACCACTAACTGGGCTGATTTTTTAGAATGGAATTCTCAATCTTTTCTGAGAGAGGAAATTAAGAAATATCCCTCATGGCCTGACACAGTGGCTCACGCCTGTAATCCCAGCACTTTGGGAGGTCGAGGCAGATGGATCACGAGGTCAGGAGATCAAGACCATCCTGGCTAACATAGTGAAACCCTGTCTCTACTATAAATACAATAAATTAGCTGGGCATGGTGGTGGGTGCCTGTAGTCCTAGCTACTCGGGAGGCTGAGGCAAGAGAATCGCTTGAACCTGGGAGTTGGAGGTTGCGGTGAGCTGAGATGGTGCCACTGCACTTCAGCCTGGCAGAGCAAGACTCCGTCTCAAAAAACAGAAGAAAAAAATAAGTATCCCTCATGAATCTTACCATTTGTATCCCAGTGAATATTTGATTCTTCAAAAAACCCTGCTGAAGTGATGACCGTTTGGTTCTAGGTTGTATTTCCCATTCTGAAGTTAAGCAGAAAAAGAAATCTAAGGGTTTAGAGAAGAAATGTGTTAGTTTAAAATTAGTCATTTGTCCTTGTTTTCAAATTAAACACAGTATGAAAATAAAAGCCACAGGCCAGGCACGGTGACTCAGGCCCGTAATCCCAGGACTTTGGGAGGCTGAGGTGGGTGGATCACGAGGTCAGGAGATCAAGACCATCCTGACCAAAATGGTGAAACCCTCTCTCTAGTAAAATACAAAAATATATATATATATATATATTAGCCGGGCGCGTTGGCATGTGCCTGTAGTCCCAGCTACTCAGGAGGCTGAGGCAGGGGAATCACTTGAACCCCAGAGGCGGTGGTTGCAGTGAGCTGAAATCACACCACTGCACTCCAGCCTGGGTGACAGAACGAGACTCCATCTCAAAAAAAAAAAAGAAAAAAGAAAACAAGAGAACCTTGAGGATTTTGGTATGTCAAAAATTTGGCTATAAGGATGTGGGGTTTATTACACAACTGATGTGTTTAGATAGTTTATAACAAACTGCTTCTGTGAAAATTACAACTGATGGGGAACAGGAAGAGAAAATTATCAGGAAAGGAAAGCAGGAAAGATCAGGATAAAGAGCATATATCAAAATGATAAACTTAACAAAAAAACAGAACAGCTTCGGGAAGCTGAGGCAGGAGAATGGCAAGAACCCGGGAGGCAGAGCTTGCAGTGAGCAGAGATCCTGCCACTGCACCCCAGCCTGGGTGACAGAGTGAGACTCCCTCAAAAAAAAAAAAACCAAAAAAAACCAAAAGCAAAACAAACAAACAAAAAAAACAGAACTGGTAGTTTTGTTTGACTAGATGGAAAGTAAAAGTCAGAGATATCTGAAATTCTGAGAAAAACAGCTTAAATCTTCTCAGGCAAAGTGGATCTTTAAAAATCTTTTTTTTTTTTTTGAGTCAAAGTCCCACTCTGTCACCAGGCTGGAGTGCAGTGGCACAATCTCGGCTCACTGCAACCCCTGCCTCCTGGGTTCAAGCGATTCTACTGCCTCAGCCTCCCGAGTAACTGGGACTACAGGCATGTGCCACCATGCCTGGCTAATTTTTTTGCATTTTTAGTAGAGACAGGGTTTCACCATGTTAGCCAGGCTGGTCTTGATTTCCTGACCTTGTGATCTGCCTGCCTCAGCCTTCCAAAGTGCTGGGATTACAGGCGTGAACCTCCGGGACCGGCCTAGTCTTTATTCTTAGGATTTTTTTTTAGAGATGAGGTTTCACAATGTTGCCCATGCTAGTATCAAACTCCCAGGCTCCAGCGATTCTCCCACCTCAGCCTCCCAAGTATCTGGGACTACAGGTGCAGGCCACCATGCCAAGCAAAGTGATGTTACTCTTACCCACAGAGGCCAGGTTCATGTAGTTCTCCAGCATCACATCTCTGTAGAGGTATTTCTGAGTTGTGTCCAGTAAAGCCCACTCCTCTGGGGTGAACTCCACAGCCACATCATCAAACGTCACTGAATCCTAAGTCATCAAACACATGCTGGTTTGAGCCAATGAACACTTCCACCAATATTCACTGGAGAATGAGGAAAGGGGAACCTTATACTCACTTATACGTGGTTCTCAAGTCTCCCATGATCTACTCCAGGGTTTAATGTCTCAGGAGCTCTTGTGTCTAAACAATCAAGGTTGACCTCCTACAGGCATATGCCTTAAACAGCACTTTTTTTCTTTCTTTCTTTCTTTTTTTTTGTGACAGAGTTTTGCTCTTTTTGCCCAGGCTGGAGTGCAATGGCACGATCTCGGCTCACTGCAACCTCCACCTCCTAAGTTCAAGTGATTCTCATGCCTCAGCCTCCCAAGTAGATGGGATTACAGGCATGCAACATCACGCCTGGATAATTTTTGTATTTTTAGTAGAAAAGGGGTTTCACCATGTTGGCCAGGAAGGTCTCAAACTTCTGACCTCATGTGATCGGCCCACCTCAGCCTCCCAAGGTGCTGGGATTATAGGTGTGAGACACCATGCCCATCTGAACAGTACTTTTTAAAAAAATTTTTAAATCTTTTTTGTCTGATCTATTTATTTTTAATTTTTTAATTTTTTTTAATTTTAATTTTTGATTAGAACAGTACTTCCTAAACATTAATTTTTATCTATCTAGCATCTATCTATCTATCTATCCAATCTTTTTATTTATTTATATATAAAGACAGGGTCCCACTGTGCCACCCAGGCACAATCGCTGCTTACTGCAGCTTCAATCTCCTGGGCTGAAGTGCTCCTCCCACCCCAGCCTCCTGAGTAGCTGGAATTACAGGCATGAGCCACTGCACACTGCTTACATTATCTCAGCACAAACAGGCTAGGAGCTCTTCCTGTCCCATTGGTCTCTGGGCAGCACACTCCTCAGCACACTGCAGATACCTGATAAATGCTGATGAGTGAATTAATTATTTGATAAAAGGACACTTTCATCTGCTTTATCATCTGTCACCGCACCCAGCAATGTAAGAAAGATGCAGTTGGCACCATGAAGGTCAAGCTTAAGTAGTAATTACCGAGCTACTGGAATGATCTTCAAGTTAACACTTTATGTATAGGAGACTTCATTCCCTGGGGAAATTCACCTGGGGATTCAGTCCTTGAGTAAGGCTTCATTTGCTCTAAGAAAACTCTGGAGATGAGTCTGTCTAGAAGGAAATGTGTCTACCTATTGGATGTAAGTATGTCATTTTGTACAACGGTACATTTTCTGTTTACCTGGTAAGAATTTGACCGGTGGTCCTCTACCATCGTTCCTATCTTTGTCTTTTCTTCAAAAGGACAGATTGGTTCCCTGGGAAAAAACCCTAGTGGAAAAGTAAGAAGGCATGAGAAGCCAGAGCTGCCCACATTCTTATGCCCAGAAGTCATTCCATCCTAGCTTGAAATTCCCATATGCTCCTGCACACTCGAAAAAACTACACACACACAACACTTCCATGAAATGCCGTAGTAGTCCTGTATCACCTAGACCCAGAAAAGCAGATATGGGCTGAGCTGCCTGTTGTGTAAAGGGTAACAGTTTCATTTTTCAAGGAAACTTACACCCTGAAAAATGTGACTATCTGCCCATAGTAGTAACACTCATGAAGCTTATGTAGCATTTCCAAAGGCACACAAACCAGGGCTGAATTCTAAAACAGCATTCTGACTGGGCACAGAGGCTCATGCCTGTAATCCCAACATTTTGGGAGGCCAAGGTGGGCAAATCACTCGAGGTCAGGCATTCAAGACCAGCCTGGCCAACATGGCAAAACCCCGTCTCTACTAAAAAAAAAAAAAAAAAAAAAAAAAAAAAAAAAAAAAAAAAAAAAAAAACTACAGGAGGCTGAGGCAGAGAACTGCTTGAACCTGGGAAGTGGAGGTTGCAATGAGTCAAGATCATGCAACTGCACTTCAGCCTGGGTGACAGAGTGAGACTCCATCTCAAAAAAAAAAAAAAAAAAAAAAAAATTAGCTGAACCTGGTGATGCATGCTTGTGATCCCAGCTACTTAAGAAGCTAAGGCAAGAGAATTGCTTGAACCCAGCAGGCGGAGGTTTCAGTGAGCCAAGGTTACACCACTGCACTCCAGCCTGGGTGACAGAGCAAGATTCGGTCTCAAAAAATAAATAAATAAAAATATGAATAAAATAAAAGAGCATTCTGCGTCTTACTTGAATTCCTCCTTAAAGAACTAGCAGCAGCCAGGCACGGTGGCTCATGCCTGTAATTCCAACACTTTGGGAGGCCGAGGCAGGCAAATCACCTGAGGTCGGGAGTTCAAGACCGGCCTGACCAACATGGAGAAACCCGTCTCCACTAAAAATACAAAATTAGCCTGTGGTCCCAGTGACTCGGGTGGGTGAGGCAGGAGAATTGTTTGAACCCAGGAGGTGGAGGTTGCGGTGAGCTAAGATCATGCCATTGCACTTCAGCCTGGGCAACAAGAGCAAAACTCCATCTAAAAGAAAAAAAAAAAAAGCAGCATGCCTGTTCAGGCCCAGCTCACTGGACTCTTATGTTGTGGAGGGCGACCTAAAGCAGAATCTCTGAAAAAGAGCATCAACAAGGACTTACCATGGGACATATCAAAGGCTGACATCCTCTGAAGCTGATGGTGAGATGTGCCTCAATGCTGTCTTTCTTGATGCCAAGATCGCCTCAGGGCAGCTTATGAATCTAGGTGGATACAGGCAATCTCCATTCCCCTTTGTACAGGGTTATCTGAGGCCCTGTTCATACCAATCACCAAACAACAAGCATCAAACATCAGTCATTGAACATTATGCATGAGCTTTCTCTCTGCAGGTGACAGATGTGAAGGCCACCAAAAACTGTATACTCAGTATCGTCACTCAGTAATGATAGTATTAATAACAGCAACTGACATTTATTGAGGACTAGTATGTCAGAAGTAGCTCTAGTAGCTTTATATATACATGCTCACTTAATTATCATAACCATCCTTCCCAACAGCTATCATTACCTATATGTATCTATGTATCTATCCATCTATCTATTTATTGAGACAGGGTCTCATTCTGTTGCCCAGGTTTAAGTACAATGACACAACAACAGCTCTCTGTAGCCTACATTTCCCGGGCTCAAGTGATCCTCCCACCTCAGCTTCCTGAATAGCTGGGACCACAGGTGTGCATCGTCAAGCCTTATTATTATATTATTATTATTATTTTGAGACAGAGTCTCACTCTGTTGCCCAGGCTGAAATGCAGTGGCGTGATCTTGACTCACTGCAACCTCTGCCTCCCAGGTTCAAGTGATTATCAGGCCTCAGCCTCCCGAGTAGCTGGGATTACAGGTATGCACCACCATGCCTGGCTAATTTTTATATTTTTAGTAAGGATGGGGTTGGTCAGGCACGGTGGCTCATGCCTGTAATCCCAACACTTTGGGAGGCCAAGGCAGGTGGATCACGAGGTCAGGAGTTCCAGACCAGCCTGGCCAACATAGTGAAACCCTGTCTCTACTAAAAATAGAAAAAATTAGCTGGGTGTGGTGGTGGGCACCTGGAATCCCAGCTACTCAGGATGCTGAGGAAGGAGAATCGCTTGACCCCGGGAGGTGGAGGTTGCAGTGAGCTGAGACTGTGCCATCGCACTCCAGCCCAGGTGACAGTGCGAGACTCCATCTCAAACAACAACAACAAAAAAGAAATGTGTAAGGAAGGGGTTTCATCATATTGGCCAGGCTGGTCTCAAACAAGTGATTCTCCCACTTCAGCCCCCAAAGTGGCTGGGACTACAGGTGCACACCACTGGATCTAATTTTTTGCATTTTTAGTAGAAACAAGGTTTCACCAGGTTGCCCAGGCTGGTCTCAAACTCCTGGGCTCAAACAATCCTCCCACCTTGGCCTCCCAAAGTGCTGGGATAATAAGCATGAGCCACCATGCCTGGCCTATTACCTCTATTAATACTGAAAAAAACCTACATTCAAATAATCCTAGTAATTGGTCTGATATTTGACCCTAGAGCCTGATCCCCTGTATATGCTGTTACCCCCCAGTATGACCAGAAGACAGCCCAGACTTGCACAGAACAACTCAGTAGTCACTAGCCACGTGTGTTATTGATAACTTCATTGTGTACCTAAGATGATGAAAAACAGAATTTAAAATATTCAAAAGATGGCCAGGCGCGGTGGCTCACACTTGTAATCTCAGTACTTTGGGAGGCTGAGGCAGGCAGATCACCTGAGGTCAGGAGTTCAAGACCAGCCTGGCCATCATGGCAAAACCCTGTCTCTACTAAAAATACAAAAATTAGCTGGGCGTGGTGGCACACGACTACTCAGAAGGCTGAGGCAGGAGAATTGCTTGATCCCGGGAGGCAGAGGTTGCAGTGAGCCGAGATCATGCCACTGCACTCCAGACTGGGTGACAGAGCGAGACTCCATCTCAAAAAAAAAAAAAGAGAGAAAGAAAATATAGACAACAGGCCAGGCACAGTGGCTCACGCCTGTAATCCCAGCACTTTGGGAGTACCAAGGTAGGCAGACCACAAGGTCAGGAGATCGAGACCATCCTGGCTAACACAATGAAACCCCGTCTCTACTAAAATACAAAAAATTAGCCAGTTGTGGTGTTGGGCGGCTGTAGTCCCAGCTACTTGGGAGGCTGAGGCAGGACAATGGCGTGAACTTGAGGTCAGGAGTTCAAGATCAGCCTAGCCCATATGGTGAAACCTCATCTCTACTAAAAATACAAACCTTAGCCACTCATGGATGCTGTAGTCCAACCTACTCAGGAGGCTAAGGCAGGAGAATCACTCGAACCCGGGAGGTGCCCACCTCAGCCTCCCAAGGTGCTGGGATTACAGATGTGAGCCACTGCGCCTGGCCAGCTATTGTTCTAAATGTTGTTCTTTACTGAAAAGAATGAACACAACAGTTGCCACTTGGTACACAACTAATGTAGATAATGGCCTTATCTCTATGCCAATTTGAAAAAACAGCCAGAACTGGATGGGTGCAGTGGCTCACACCTGTAATCCCAGCACTTTGGGAGGCCGAGGCGGGTGGGTCACGAGGTCAGGAGATCGAGACCATCCGGCTAATGCAGTGAAACCTCGTCTCTACTAAAAATACAAAAAAAAAAAAAATTGCCAGGCATGGTGGCAGGCGCCTGTAGTCCCAGATACTCAGGAGGCTGAGGCAGGAGAATGGCATGAACCCAGGAGGTGGAGCTTGCAGTAAGTGAGATTGCGCCACTGCACTCCAGCCTGGGTGACAGAGCGAGACTCCATCTCAAAAAAAAAAAAAAAAGGAAAAAGAAAAGAAACAGCCAGAATCACTCCACACCATTGCCTCCAGACTGCATAAATTTTCCTTCCTGTTCACTTCCAAAATATAGTCTTCAAGGGTCCTGACATTCCAAAAATCATCACACTGGTTGACTGTGTAGATGGGTTTTTTTTTGTTTTGTTTTTGTTTTTTGAGACGGAGTCTTGCTCTTATCGCCCAGGCTAGACTGCAGTAGCACGATTGCCACCACTGTAGCTATTGTTCTTTTTTTTCTTTTTCTTTTTTTTTCTGAGACAGAGTCTCATTCTGTCGCCCAGGCTGGAGTGCAGTGGCGCGATCTCGGCTCACTGCAGCCGCCGCCTCCCAGGTTCAAGCGATTTTCCTGCCTCAGCCTCTCAAGTAGCTGGGACTACAGGACTCCAGAGTAGCTGGGACTCCCTAGTTCAAGTGATTCTCCTGCCACAGCCTCCCAAATAGCTGGGATTACAGGTGCATGCCACCATTCCCAGCTATTTTTTTTTTGTATTTTTAGTAGAGATGGGGTTTCACAATGACAGCCAGGCTGGTCTTGAACTCCTGACCTCAGGTGATCTGCCTGCCTTGGCCTCCCAAAGTGCTGAGATTACAGGTGTGAGCCACCACACCTGGTCTGTGAATTTGTTTTGTTTTGTTTTGTTTTTTAAGACAGAGTTTCACTCTTGTTGTCCAGCCAGGAGTGCAATGGCACAATCTAGGCTCACTGCAACCTCCGCCTCTTTGGTTTAAGCTATTCTCCTGCCTCAGCCTCCCAAGTAGCTGCGATTACAGGCATACATCACCACACCTGGCTAATTTTTGTGTTTTTAGTAGAGACTGTGTTTCTCCACGTTGGTCTGGATGGTCTGGAACTCCTGACCACGAGTGGTCCACCCGCCCCAGCCTCCAAAAGTGCTGGAATTATAGTTCACTTGTTTTAACGTTCCTTAAAGTTTAATTTTCCCCAAGGAGGGGCTGCACATTTTGGGTTGGATTTGTTATCAGTACTTACAAAAACTATTATGTTATGGTTAAGTTGTTCCACCACTGGCCAGTGGACTGTCTTCAAGATGGCTCCTTTCCTTTTGACAAGACCCTAACAGTCACTGATTGTTTTCACACAGGGCATGTGTTCCAACATTATCTTGTACATTTCTTGCACGGTTTGGCTTATGGATGTAATCATATATGTGATCTGAGGACTTTTGGGTTTCTGCCGTTTTTGAAAAGTTTCTCAGGGCTGGATGCAGTAGCTCACACCTATAATCCCAGCACTTTGGGAGGCTGATGCAGGTGGATCACCTGAGGGCAGAAGTTCGAGACCAGCTGGGCATGGTGGCTCATGCCTGTAATCCCAGCACTCTGGGAGGCCAAGGCGGGTGGATCATGAGGTACAGCCTGGGCGACAGAGTGAGACTCTGTCTCAAAAAGAAAAGAAAAGAAAAGAAAATATCTCAAATACCACCGTTTATATAACACATTTCTATATATGCACACATGTGCTTTAAAAAACAGCTCTAGGCCAGGTGTAGTGGCTCATGCCTGTAATGCCAGCACTTTGGGAGGCCAAGGCAGGTGGCTCACCTGAGGTCAGGAGTTTGAGACCAGCCTGGCCAACATGGTGAAACCCTGTCTCTACTGAAAATACAAACATTAGCTGGGCATGGTGGCACACGCCTGAAGTCCCAGCTACTCAGGATACTGAGGTTGGAGAATTGCTTGAACCTGGGAGGCGGAGGTTGCAGTGAGCCAAGATCGTGCCACTGCACTCCAGCCTGGGGACAGAGCAAGACTCTGTCTAAAAAAAAAAAAAAAAAGCAGTTTCTGTGGCTACAACGAAGTGAAAAAAACTCCAAGGAGATGGTAAGAGAATCAAATTTCCATATCCACAACACCCTTCTCCTTAATCCAGCACCAAGAATGTGGAAAATTTCTACCAATTCAGTTTCTACACTGGAAAAAACTGAGCTCAAGGTGGACAACCACCTTCTCCACCATCCTGGGTTCCCTGGTAAAAGATCAGTCCCTCCCTGTCTCAACCCACAGGAAGCATCACAAGAGCCTGAAGGGAGAAATACCCTGAGGACATCCAGGGACAAAGAGGGGAGGCAGGACTACCATCCCCAGCCCTGGGAGCAGCATACTGTAGGGGTATGCTACACAGGTCCCCTGGGCAGAACACACAGCCAGCCTTCCCACATTGCTGGAATATGCCCTTTAGGACTCCCCAATTCTGGATGGGCAGTATTCTTGACTGTTTGCTAGAGCAGAGGCAAACATGGGTTTAAGATTCCATCTAGTGCTGAAAAGGAGGCGGTGACCTAGGGAAATTTTAAAGAAAGGAAATCATTTTGGGAGGCCGACACAGGTGGATGGCTTGAGCTCAGGAGTTCAAGACCTGCCTGGGAAACATGATGAAAACCCATCTCTACTAAAAAGTACAAAAAGTAGCCAGGTGTGATGGCGTGCACCTCACCTACTTAGGAGACTGAGGTGGGAGGATTGCTTCAGCATGGGAGGTAGAGGATGCAGTAAGCCATAATCACACCACTGCACTCCAGGCTAGGTGACAGAGAGAGACCTAGTCTTTAAAAAAAAAAAAAAAAATCAAAAGAATTTAAGAGGCTGGTTGCTATGGCTCATGCCTGTAATCCCAACACTTTGGGAGGCCGAGGTGGGTGGATCTTCTGAGGTCAGGAGTTCAAGACCAGCCTGACCAACATAGAGAAACACTGTCTCTACTAAAAATACAAAATTAGCTAGACATGGTGGTGCATGCCTGTAATCCCACTACTCGGGAGGCTGAAGCAGGAGAATCGCTTGAATCCGGGAAGCAGAGGTTGTGGTGAGCCGAGATCGCACTATTGCACTCCAGCCTGGGCAACAAGAACAAACCTCCGTCTCAAAAAAAAAAAAAAAAAAATTACACAATGGAACTTTGTTTTGGTTTTGGTATGTTGACAAACCAAAATCTATGGGATAAAAGCAGTACTAAGGGAGAATTTTACAGCAGTAAACACATACATCAAAAAAGTAGAAAAATTTAAAATAAACCTAATGATACCCCTTAAAATACTAGAAAAGCAAAAACAAACCAGATTCAAAATTAGTAGAACAAAAGAATAAAGACCAGAGCCAAAATAAAATTGAAAATAAAAAACAATACAGAAGATCAATAAAACATAAAGTTGATTACTTGAAAAGATAAACAAAATTAACCTTCGGCTAGACTAAGGGAAAAAAATGACCCAAATAAAATAAAAAATGAAAAAGAAAACAGAACAGAAACCACAGAAATACAACCAATCATTAGAAACTATTATGAAAAACTATATCCCAACAAACTGAAAAGCCTGGAAGAAATAGACAAATTCTTGGGTGCATACAACCTACCAAGACTGAACCATGAAGAAATAGAAAACCTCAACACAACAATAACAAGATCAAAGTGATAACAAAATGAATCCCATCAAAGAAAAGCCCAGGACCTGATAACTTCACTGCTGAATCCTACCAAAAACTTAAAGAACTAATACCAATACTACTTGAACTCCTCAAACAAAATTGAAGAGGAGAGAATATTTCCAAACTTAGTCTACAAGGTGAGCATTATTCTCATATCAAAAACCAGACAAGAGCACAACAACAACAACAAAACTACACGCCAATATCACTGATGAACATACCTGCAAAAATTCTCACCAAAATATTAGCAAACCAAATTCAACACATTAAGAAAATCATTCATCACAATCAAGTGAAATTCATCGTAGAAATACAAGGATGGTTCAACATATGCAAATCAATAAATGTGACGTACCAAATTAACAGAACCAAGAATAAAAACCGTATGAGATTTCCACAGATGCTGAAACACCATTTGATAAAATTCAATATCCCTTTTTGACAAAAGTCCCCAACAAACTGTGTATAGAACGAATATACCTCAAAATAATAAAGGCCATATATGACACACCCACGTCCAACATCATACTGAACAGGGAAAAATTGAAAGTCTTTCCTCTGAGATCTTGAACAGAACAAGGATGTCCACTTTTACCACTTCTATTCAACATAATACTATAAGTTCTGGCCAGAGCAATTAGGCAAGAGAAACAAATAAAGGGCATCTCAACTAAAAAAGAAGTCAAATTAGCCATGTTTGCCAATGACATGACCTTTTTCTCCTTAGAAACAGGGTCTCCCTCTGTTGCTCAGGCTAGAATGCAGTGGTGATCATAGCTCACTGCAGCCTTGGTCTCCTGGGCTCAAGTGATACTCCTGCCTCAGCCTCCCGAGTAGCTAGAACCACAGGCATGTGTGACAATGCTAACTTTTTTTTTTTTTAGAGACTGGGGGCAGAGGGGTCCTCAATATATTACCCAGGCTGACCTTGAACTCCTGATTTCAAGTGATCCTCTTGCTTTGGCCTCCTAAAGTGCTGGGATTACAGGCATGAGCCACCATGCTCAGCTGACATAATCATATTTAGAAAAACCTAAAGACTCTACCAAAAACCTGTTAGAACTGATAAATGAATTCAGTAAATGTTCAGGACACAAAATCAACATACAAAAATCAGTTGCATTTATATACGCCAACGGTGAACAATCTGAAAAAGAAATCAAGGAAGTAATCACATTTACAATAGCTGCAAAGACTATAAAATGCCAGCACCAGGCATGATGACTCACAATTGTAATCCCAGAATTTTGGGAGGCTGAGGTGGAAGGATTGCTTAAGCCCAACAGTTCAAGACCAGCCTGGGCAACATGGCACGGCTCAGTCTCAATTAAAAAAAAGAAATTAGCCAGGCATGATGGCACACACCTGTAGTCCCAGCTACTCAAAAGAGACTGAGGCAGGAGGATTCCTTGAGCCCAGGAGTTCAAGGCTGCTGCATGAGCTACAACTGCACCACTGTACTCCAGCCTGGGCAACAAAGTGAGACCCCACCTCTGAAAAAAAGAGAAAATAAAAAGTAACCAAAAATGTGAAGGAGCTATACAAGGAAAACTATAAAACACTGATGAAACAAACTGTAGAGAATACAGAAAAAAAATGGAAAGACATTCCATGCTCATGGATTAGAAGAATATTGTTAAAATGACAATACTACCCAAAGCAATTTACAATTAAGAGCAACCGTTATCAAAATAGCAATGACATTCATCGCAAAAATAGAAAAAAAATCCTAAAATTTATATGCAACAATAAAAGACTTCAAACAGCCAAAGAAATACTGAACAAAAAGAACAAAGCTGGAATCATCACACTGCCTTACTTCAAAATATACTACAAAGCTATCATAACCAAATCAGCATGGTACTGACATAAAAAAAACAAACAAACACATAGATCAATGGAAGAGAACAAAGAACCTAAATACAAATCTACACATGTACAGACAGCTCATTTTCAACAAAGGCACCAAAAGCATACAATGGGAAAATAACAGTCTTTTCAATAAATGCTGCTGGGAAAACTGGATAACCATATGCAGAATAAAACTAGATGCCATCTCTCAGCATAAAAAAAAAAAGTCAAAACAGATTAAAGACTTACATCTAACACCTGAAACTATAAAACTAGTAGAGGAAGACCCTTGGGAAACAATCCAGGGCATTGGTCTGGGTAAAGATTTCTTGGGAAGATCTCAAAAGCACAGGCAACAAGAGCAAAAACAAACATATGAGATTACATCAAGCTAAAAAGCTTCTCCACAGCAAAAGAAACAATCAACAAAGTGAAGAAACAATCTACAGTATGGGAGAAAATATTTACAAACTATCCACCTGGGATTAATAATCAGAATATATAAGGAACTCAAACTTGATAACAAAAAAAATCCGATAAAAAAATCAGCAAAAGGTCAGAATAGATGTTTCTCAAAAAAAAGACATACAAATGGCCAACAGGCATACAAAAAAATGCTCAACATCACTAATCATCAGAGAAATACAAATCACACATAACCACAATGAGATATCATCTCACCTCATTTAGAGTGGCTTTTATAAAAAAGACAGGGAATAACAAATGCTGATGAGGATATGGTGAAAAGATAATCCTTGTATGCAGTTGGTGGGAATATAAATTAGTACAGCCACTGTAGAGAACAATATTCAGGTGTGGTGGCTCAGGCCTTTAATCCCAAAACTTGAGGCTGCGGTGGGAGATCACTTGAGCCCAGGAGTTCCAGACCAGGCTAGGCAACACAGCAACACCTGTCTGTACACACATGCACGCACAAAACCTGTCTGAAACTGGCAAGACCTGTCTGCATGCACGCGCGCGAGCGCGCGCGCGCGCGCGCACACACACACACACACACACACACACACACACACACACACAACCAGTCAGGGACAGTAGCTCATGCCTGTAATCCCAGCTCTTTAGGAGGCCAAGGCAGGCAGATCATTTGAGGTCAGGAGTTTGAGACCAGCCTGGTCAACATGGTGAAACTCTGTCTCTACTGAAAATACAAAAATTAGCTGGGCATGGTGGCGTGCACCTGTAGTCCCAGCTACTCCAGAGGCTGAGGTAAGAGAATTGCTTGAACCCAGGAGGCGGACGTTGCAGTGAACCAAGATCGTGCCACTGCACCCCAGCCTGAGTGACAGAGTGAGACTCTGTCTCAAAAAATCAAAGAAACAAACAAAAAAACTTAGCCAGGTGTATTAGTGGAGGCCTGTAGTCCTGGCTACTCAGGAAGCTGAGGTGGGAGGATCACCTGAGCCCAGGAAGTCAAGGCTGCAGTGAGCCATGATTATGCCATGGCACTCTAGCCTGGGTGACACAGCAAGACTATCTCAAAAAAAACAAAACAAAACAAAAAAAACAGTATGGGGGTTTCTCAAAAAATTAAAAATAGAACTACCATATGATCTGGAATCCCATTGGGTATATATCCAAAAGAAAGGAAATCAATATATTTGAAAAGATATATATACATTCCCTTGTTTACCGCAGCACTACTCATAATAGCCAAAATATGGAATCAACCTAAGTGTCTAACAATGAAAGAATGAATAAAGAAAATATGGTATATATAGACAGCAGATTATTATTCAGCCATAAAGAGAATGGAATTCTGTCATTTGCAGCAACTGGATAGAACTGGAGGTCATCATGGAAGTGAAATAAGCCAAGCACAGCAGACAAATACCCCATATTCTCACATGTGGGAGCTAAAAAGTGGATCTCATGAGCATAGAGTACAGATTGATGGTTACTAGAGGCCAGAAGGGTAGGAAGGAGACGGAGATAAAGAGAGGTTGATTAGGCTGAGTGAGGTGGCTCATGCCTGTAATCCCAGCACTTTAGGAGGCCAAGGCGGGCAGATCACCCTGATTATGTGAGATCAGGAGTTCGAGACCAACCTGTCCAATATGGTAAAACCCCGTCTCTACTAAAACTACAAAAATTAGCCGGGTGTGGTGGTGCACCCCTTAATCCTAGCTACTCGGGAGGCTGAGGCAGGAGAATCACTTGAATCCGGGAGGAGGCAGAGGTTGCAGTGAGCCAAGATCATGCCACTGCATTCTAGCCTGGGTGACGGTGAGACTCCATCTCCCAAAAAAAAAAAAAAAAGAGGTTGATTCATCGGTAAAATATACAGTTAGAAGAAATAAGAACTGGTATTCAATAGATCAGTAGGGTGACTACACTTAATACGCATCTATCATACATTTCAACACAGCTAAGAGAATAACGATGTTCCTACAATATAGAAAAGATAAATATTTAAGGTGACAGGTATGCTACTTACCCTGATTATGTGAATGTATCAAATTATCACATGTACTCTGAAAATATGTTCATCTATTATGAATCAAAAAAATTTTTCTGGATTGTAAAATAGGGAGTGGGAGATTCTGGGGCCACCATGTCTGTGGGTAAAGATATTCCCTTGTCTGGATCATGTAAAGACATCCCTCCAAGATGTCACTCCAAGTTACTGCACCTAATACCACCTACCATTAACAAGGAGCAATGAGCCATGATTATGCCATTGCTCTCCAGCCTGGGTGATCCAGCAAGACTTTGTCTCAAAAAAAGAAAAAAAACCCAGCATGGAGGTTTCTCAAAAACTACCATCCATAGACCTCTTGAATTTTGGAGGCAACACATACATTTGCATGTACTTTAACGCCCCACACAGTTACCTGTAAGGATTCTAGTTTCAACTGTAGACAAGAGCAATTTCAGGCTGCAATGCAAGCTTCCTAAGCACTTGGTCCACCTGATCCAGCAGACCCAGTGATACTCAACGTGTCCATGTTAAATGGCATGTTATTTATTGGAAGCCTCCGGCATGCACCAACAGAAGATGTAGAGTACAGCCCTCTGGTATTGCAGAGTCAATCCATGCCCTCTTGTGCAGATTAACTGTTTTTCTCTTGAGAAACAGGTTGTGGTTTGCCACTAGCACATGACAGAGAATGAACAACTAGTCATGGGACATGAAGTAACTAAGGCTGAACTGAGTAATTTGAGACTTTCTGGTCCCCAAAGCATGAAGTACATACTGTCACCCATTATCAAACAACTGTTGTCAGCCTCTCCTCTGGACCCAATTCCAAGTTTGTAGGAAATCGCATGAAATAAAGGAATATTTACACACACCATGAGAATCCAATCAGAAATATCTGATTGTATGACTTTCTAAGAGAATGAGTGTGACTCTCTGAAAGTCAATATAATGGACAGTAATAACTGTTATAGGCAAAAAGACACTGAAGACACTGACAATTGCAATGCAAAAATCTTGAATGGATCTTAGATCCAAAAACACCCAAGAGCATACGTTGAATCAATGAGGAGAATTTTAGTTATTACGGAAAGTAGACATTAGATGACATTATTATTTTTAATTTAAGTGAAATACTAGTATTGTGGTTTTAGTATGACAATGCCTATTTTTAGGAGGTGCATTACAAAGTATTTAAAGGTCAAGCATCACATGTACAATTTATGCTCAATTTACACTCAAATTGTTCACTGTAAGATTTACATGAGGAGAAAGAAATAAAATGCTAAAAAATTAAGTAAATCTACTAGACTGGGTGTGTTAGATGTTCAAGTTTTCCTTAGGATCAAATTTTTCAGAAAAAAATGTAAAAACTACACTTAGTCCAAACATGCTCTTAATAAATTATACAGATACTAGATATTTTATTACACTGATACTAGAATACTATTCTGATTATAATAGTAAATAATTCTAGTGTCAGTGTAATAAAGCCTCCATTCTTTCTTCCTGGTTCCTGGAGGCCTCTGTTTTGAAGCACTGTGGGGAAGTACAGACCTAAGAACTTCAGATGAAGAGAATAGTTGAGTATTATTGCCTTTCTTTTTTTTTTTTTTTTTTTTTTAGACAGTTTCGCTCTTGTCACCCAGGCTGGAGGGCAGTGGCGGGATCTCGGCTCAATGCAACCTCCGCCTCCCGGGTTAAAGTGATTCTCTTGCCTCAGCCTCCGGAGTAGCTGTGTAAGATACAATATATTTCTCTGAATTTCTCTTCAAAAGTTCAGCCTGTAAACTTCCTTGTTCTTTGTTCTCAAACTCAACTTTCCTGTTCTCCATGCCTCCTTGCCTCTAGTTACTGTAAACAACCTTCCCATCAGCTCTAATCAATAACTCACATCTGTTCCCTTGGCTACTCATTCTGCAGCTATTCCACTCTTTGAAACTGCACATCCCACCATCATGACTCACACATCCCCCTACCCTTCCTTATTTGGGGAAAATATTCACAGATAGCCAATAGGGTCAGTTTAGATTCTGCGGTCTGACCCTAACCCACGGGGGAGAGACACAGAAGTAGGGACCCAGCGTTAGAAATAAAAACCCCTTCCCCTCCCTTATCTGGTGTACTCTCGCCATCACTCCATCCACGAGACTCACCCTTCTATAGAAATAAATTGCGTTGCTGAGAAAACTTTTGCCTGAGTGCTGGTTTCACTTTGCAGCACCCAGCGTTTTATTTTTTTATCTCCAACAGCTGGGATTACAGGGGCCCACCACCAAGCCCGGCTAATTTTTGTATTTTTAGTAGAGACAGGGTTTTACCATGTTGGCTAGGCTAGTCTGGATCTCCTGACCTCAGGTGATCCGCCTGCCTCTGCCTCCCAAAGTGCTGTGATTACAGGTGTGAGCCAGTGCATCTGGCCTGGCTTTAAGTAGAAAGGCTTGCAGCTGGTAACAATTAGAAAAAAAATAACCTGCAAGAAAATAAAAATTAAAAACTAAAGGCTTAGTCTACACGCGTTCATATTTACATACAAAAACGGGCACACCCTAAACAACTATGTTTTTTCCATCTGAATGTAATGTGTCAAAAATAAGTGGCGGGTGGATCACTTGAGGTCAGGAGTTCGAGACCAGCCTGGCCAACATGGTGAAACCCCATCTCTACCAAAAATATAAAAAATTAGCCAGGTGTGGTGGTGCACGCCTGGAATCCCAGCTACTCGGGAGGCTGAGGCAGGTGAATCATGTTATAAAGTTTTCATGCCACAAAAAAAAAGCACTCAAATATAACATTTTCTTTTCTCAGCAAGGCAATTTACTTCTACAGAAGGGTGTGCCCTCACAGATGGAGCAATGGTGAGCACACACCAGGACAAGGGAGGGGAAGGGGTTCTTATTCTTGAGGAAAGTGGCCCCTGCCGCTTTGTCCTTCCCCGATGGCTAGGGTTAGACCCCACAGGCTAAACTAATTCCAATTGGCTAATTTAAAGAGAGTGACAGGGTGAGTGGTTTGTTGGGGAAAATGGTTATAACAGAGCAGGAAATTGGAATGAGTCAGGGTGGAAAATGAGTCAGGGTGGAGTAAGTAATCGAAATAAGTCTGGGTGGAGCAGGTAATCAGAATGAGTCAGGGTGGAGCAGGTGATCGAAAAAGGTTGCTTTACGGAGAAGTTTAAAAGTAGAAGGCAAAGAATTAAACATACTGACATATTGATTTTTTAAAAAGAAATTTAAAACTCATATCTAACAATCACTTGAACCCGGGAGGTGAAAGTTGCAGTGAGCCAACATCGTGCCACTGCACTCCAGCGTGGGCGACAGAGTAAGACTCCAAATCAAAAAAAAAAAAAAAGTAAAGGACATCAAGACAACGCCAGATTCTCAGATGAGACATTTTTTAGCAAATAAATGGAAGTCACAGCCCTCTTGAAACCATTTTTCCGCCGTTGCTCACCAGGAACATGCCGGAAGAGATAGGTTCCAGACGCGGGAGAATGCGGGGCCAGAGCCAACCTCACCAGAAGGGCAGAAATCCTTTTCCTTTCGGAAAGAAAAAAACTCCCAAAGGTTGCTTTCCAAGCTTTTCAAGAGAGGAGCACAGCGGATGAAAGTACTCAAGAAAACACCCGGCGGAGGCGGAACAAACACACTTCCCGACGCAGCCAGACGGACTGTGCGGCCTCTCGGAACTGGCCAGAGGCCGCACCAGGAGGACTGACAGCCCCTAGAAAAGCGAGTGAAACTAGGCGGATCTGAGAGGCTCCTGGGCGACCACGCCCAATCCTTCCTTTGCCGCCCCGCTGGTATGTCCCGGACCCCCAAGCAGGTAGAACTCACCACAGCGGGGTGGACTCCACCACAATAAAGGTTAAACGGCACTGACCATGCTGAGCCACAGCCGGTAAAGATGGCGGTGGCACACTGACGTCACTTCCGCTCCGAGCCTCCGGCCGGGTGGGGCTCCAGGGCTTGAGTTTCAGGCACGTAGGACAAAGAAATTCTAGTTTCCTCCTGGGTGGGTGCCGGACAGTGCCTGGGGTTGGCTCAGGGAGCGGGATGCAGAAACGGGTTCAGAGAAAAAGATGAGTTTAGAACCGGACCTCTGGACGGAACCGTGGGCGAGGGGTGGGGCCCATATTTGGGGGCGGTTTAGAGGTGGGACCCGGCCTAGCCCGCGTTTCAGGTGCCCAGACGGGTTGGAAAGGCGGGGATGGGGGATGGGACGCACCCCAGAGGATGCTCCTCCAAAGCTTATCCTGGGCGGGCTCAGTGGCTCACGCCTGTAATTCCAGCACTTTGGGAGGCTAAGGCAGGTGGATAGCTTGAGTCCAAGAGTTCCAGACCAGCCTGAGTGAAATAGCAAGACCGTGTGTCTTTTTTTTTCTTTTCTTTTTTTTTTTTTTTTTTTTTTTGAGACAGAGTTTCACTCTTGTTGCCCAGGCCTGTGCCCGGCTCGACCCTGTCTCTATTAAAATATATATATAAGGCCAAGCGCCAGTGGTTCACGCCTGTAATCCCTGCACTTTGGGAAGCCAAGGCGGGCGGATCACCTGAGGTCGGGAGTTTGACACCAGCCTGGCCAACATGCTGAAACCCCGTCTCTACTAAAAATACAAAAAAATAGCTGGGTGTGGTGGCAGGCGCTTGTAATCCCAGCTACTCAGGAGGCTGAGGCAGGAGAATCGCTTGAACCCGGGAGGCGGAGGTTGCGGTGAGCCGAGGTTGCGCCACTGCACTCCAATCTGGGGGACAAGAGCGTGACTTCATCTCAAAAAGAAAAAATATATATATATGTGTGTGTGTGTGTGTGTGTGTGTGTGTGTGTGTGTGTGTCAAGCTTTTTTGTATGCCGCTCCTCATGTTCCTGGAGCCTTTCCATGATTCTTCCATATTAAACCTGCCAGTGATAGATGGCATGGTCTGTCTCTTCCATTCAGTCATTCTTTCTGTAGGCCTTTATTTTTTCTTTTTCTTTTTCTTTTTTTTTTTTTTTTGAGACGGAGTCTCTCTCTGTCCCCCAGGCTGGAGTGCAGTGGTGCAATCTCGGCTCACTGCAAGCTCCGCCTCCTGGGTTCACACCATTCTCCTGCCTAGCCTCCTAAGTAGCTGGGACTACAGGCGCCCGCGACCACAACCAGCTAATTTTTTTGTATTCTTAGTAGAGACGGGGTTTCACGGTGTTAGCCAAGATGATCCCCATCTCCTGACCTCATGATCCACCCGCCTCGGCCTCCCAAAGTGCTGGGATTACAGGCGTGAGCCACCGCGCCCAGCCTATTTTTTCATTCTTTATTTTATAGAACCTGCTGTTTCCATTGCGTTTTCTTTTTACTTTTTTTTTTTTTTTTTTTTTTTTTTGAGACTGGAGTCTCACTCTGTTGCCCGGGCTGGAGTGCAGTGGTGCAATCTCAGCTCACTGCAACCTCCGTCTCCTGGGTGCAAGTGATTCTCCTGCTTCAGCCTCCTGAGTAGCTGGGATTACAGGTGGCTGCCACTATGCCCAGCTATTTTTTCTATTTTCAGTACAGAGGGCATTTCACCATGTTGGCCAGGCTGGTCTCAAACTCCTGACCTCGTGATTTGCCCATCTCAGCCTTGCAGAATGCTGGGATTATAGGTGAAGGGGGCCAGCCCCTCCACACCTGTGGGTATTTCTCATCAGGTGGGATGAGAGACTGAGAAAAGAAATAAGACACAGAGACAAAGTATAGAGAAAGAACAGTGGGCCCAGGGGACCGGCGCTCAGCGTCCAGAGGACCCACACTGGCACCAGTCTCTGAGTTCCTTCAGTATTTATTGATTACTATTTTCACTATCTCAGCAAGGGGAATGCAGCAGGAGAACAGGGTGATAGTGGGGAGAAGGTCAGCAAGAAAACATATGAGCAAAGAATCTGTGTCACAGATAAGTTCAAGGGAAGGTACTATGCCTGGATGTGCACGTAGGCCAGATTTATGCTTCTCTCCACCCAAACATCTCAGTGTAGTAAAGAATAGCAGAGCAGCATTGCCACCAGCATGTCTCACCTCCAGCCACAGGGCAGTGTTCTCCTGTCTCAGAAGAGAACAATGTACATTCGGGATTTATACCAAGACATTCCGTTCCCAGGGGCATTCAGGAGACAGAGGCCTTCCTCTTTTACTAATGCTCCTCAGCACAGACCCTTCATGGGTGTCAGGCTGGGGGACGGTCAGGTCTTTCCCATCCCATGAGGCCATATCTCAGGCTGTCTCAGTGGGGAGAAACTTTGGACAATACCCAGCTTTCCTGGGCAGAGGTCCCTGCTGCTTTCTGCAGTGCATCGTGCCCCTGGTTAATTGAGAATGGAGAATGGTGATGACTTTCATCCAGCATACTGCCTGTAAACATATTGTTAAGAAGGCACATCCTGCACAGCCCTAGATCCCTTAAACCTTGATTCCATACAACACGTTTTGTGAGCACAAGGTTGGGGCTAAAGTTACAGATTAACAGCGTCTCAAGGCAAAACAATTGTTTAGGGTACAGATCAAAATGGAGTTTCTTATGTCTTCCTTTTCTACATAGACAAAGTAACAGTCTGATCTCTTTCTTTTCCCTACAATAGGCATGAGCAACCACGCACAGCCACATTTTCAATATAATAATACTTTCTATAAATCTTGATTTTTTTTTTCTTCACCAAGTATGTATTTCTGGCTGGGCACGTTGCCTCATGCCTGTAATCTCAGCACACTTTGAGAGGCCAATATGGGAGGATCGTTTGAGGCCAGGAGTTGGAGACAAGCCTGGGCAACACAGCAAGACCCTGTCTCCTTAAAAAACAATAAAATTTTTAAAAAATTCCTTTTTTCTTTTATTTTTTGCGATGGAGTCTCGCTCTGTTGCCCAGGCTGGAGTGCATTGGCACAATCTTGGCTCACTGCAACCTCTGCTCCCTGGTTCAAGCGATTCTTCTGTCTCAGCCTCCCAAGTACCTGGGACTACAGGCCTGCGCCACCATGTCCAGCTAATTTTTGTATTTTTAGTAGAGACGTTTCACCATATTGGCTTGGCTGGTCTTGAACTCCTGACCTCATGATCCACCCACTTTGGCCTTCCAACGTGCTGGGATTACAGGTGTGAGCCACTAAGCCTGACCAAAAATATGTATTTCTATTGTTATTTTTCTGATCTTACCACATGGGCCAGGACCGCATTTCCTATGTTGTAAAATAGCAGTAATACCAGACATTCTCCCCAAGTTTATTCAGAAATGTAACATAATCCCAATAAAAACACCAAAATTTTTTCTGGAGTTAGGTACATTGATGCTAAAAGTTTATATGGAAAAAGAAAATCTGATAATAAGCAAGAAAACAAAAACAAGGCCGGGCACTGTGGCTCATGCCTGTTATCCCAGCACTTTGGGAGGCTGAGACAGGCAGATCACAAGGTCAGGAGATCAAGACCATCCTGGCCAACATGGTGAAACCGTGTCTCTACTAAAAATGCAAAAATTAGCTGGGCATGGTGGCACGTGCTTGTAGTCCCAACTACTTGGGAGGCTGAGGCAGGAGAATTGCTTGAACACGGGAGGCGGAGGTTGCAGTGAGCTGAGATCGCACCATTGCACCCCAGCCTGGGACAGAGGGAGACTGTGTCAAAAAAAAAAAAAGGAAAACAAAAACAAAAGCAATGATGAGCAGCAGATATTAAAACATACTATTGACAATTTTCACGCAAGACAAAGAATTATTTTAAAATAAAAATAAGAAAACATTCTATAAAGCCTCTATAATTAAAACTATGTGGTACTAGTGCATGAAGCAGAAACAGACTAATAAAATATCTATAAATAGACCCAAGAACATGTAGAAATTTGGTTCATAAATGTGGTATTTTGCTGGGCGTGGTGGCTCATGCCTGTAATCCTAGCACTTTGGTAGGTCAAGGCAGGAGGATCACTTGAGTTCAGGAGTTGGAAACCAGCCTGGCCAACATGGTGAAACTCCGTCTCTACTAAAAATACAAAAAATAGGCTCGGCTGGTGGCTCACGCCTGTAATCCCAGTACTTTGAGAGGCCGAGGTGGGTGAATCACCTGAGGTCGGGAGTTCAAGACCAGCCTAACCAACATGGAGAAACCCCCATCTCTACTAAAAATACAAAAATAGCTGGGTGTCCTCCCTCTCCCTCTCCCTCTCCCCACGGTCTCCCTCTCCCGCTCTTTCCATGGTCTCCCTCTGATGCCGAGCCGAAGCTGGACTGTACTGCTGCTATCTCGGCTCACTGCAACCTCCCTGCCTGATTCTCCTGCCTCAGCCTGCCGAGTGCCTGTGATTGCAGGCGCGCGCCGCCACGCCTGACTGGTTTTCATATTTTTTTGGTGGAGACGGGGTTTCGCTGTGTTGGCCAGGCTGGTCTCCAGCTCCTAACCGTGAGTGATCCGCCAGCCTCGGCCTCCCGAGGTGCCGGGATTGCAGACGGAGCCTCGTTCACTCAGTGCTCAATGGTGCCCAGGCTGGAGTGCAGTGGCGTGATCTCAGCTCGCTACAACCTCCACCTCCCAGCAGCCTGCCTTGGCCTCCCAAAGTGCCGAGAGTGCAGCCTCTGCCCGGCCGCCACCCCGTCTGGGAAGTGAGGAGCGTCTTTGCCTGGCCGCCCATCATCTGGGATGTGAGGAGCCCCTCTGCCTGGCTGCCCAGTCTGGAAAGTGAGGAGCATCTCTGCCCGGCCGCCATCCCATCTAGGAAGTGAGGAGCGCCTCTTCCTGGCCGCCATCCCATCTAGGAAGTGAGGAGCATCTCTGCCCGGCCGCCCATCGTCTGAGATGTGGGGAGCGCCTCTGCCCCGCCGCCCCATCTGGAATGTGAGGAGCGCCTCTGCCCAGCCGCGACCCCGTCTGGGAGGTGAGGAGCGTTTCTGCCCGGCCGCCCCATCTGAGAAGTGAGGAGACCCTCTGCCTGGCAACCGCCCCGTCTGAGAAGTGAGGAGCCCCTCCGCCCGGCAGCCGCCCCGTCTGAGAAGTGAGGAAACCCTCCGCCCGGCAGCCACCCCGTCTGGGAAGTGAGGAGCATCTCCACCCGGCAGCCACCCCGTCCGGGAGGGAGGTGGGGGTGTCAGCGCCCCCCGCCCGGCCAGCCGCCCCGTCCGGGAGGGAGGTGGGGGGGTCAGCCCCCCACCCGGCCAGCCGCCCCATCCGGGAGGTGAGGGGAGCCTCTGCCCGGCCGCCCCTTCTGGGAAGTGAGGAGCCCCTCTGCCCGGCCACCACCCCGTCTGGGAGGTGTACCCAACAGCTCATTGAGAACGGGCCATGATGACAATGGCGGTTTTGTGGAATAGAAAGGGGGGAAAGGTGGGGAAAAGATTGAGAAATCGGATGGTTGCCGTGCCTGTGTAGAAAGAAGTAGACATGTGAGACTTTTCATTTTGTTCTGTACTAAGAAAAATTCTTCTGCCTTGGGATCCTGTTGATCTGTGACCTTACCCCCAACCCTGTGCTCTCTGAAACATGTGCTATGTCCACTCAGGGTTAAATGGATTAAGGGCGGTGCAAGATATGCTTTGTTAAACAGATGCTTGAAGGCAGCATGCTCGTTAAGAGTCATCACCACTCCCTAATCTCAAGTACCCAGGGACACAAACACTGCGGAAGGCCGCAGGGTCCTCTGCCTAGGAAAACCAGAGACCTTTGTTCACTTGTTTATCTGCTGACCTTCCCTCTACTATTGTCCTATGACCCTGCCAAATCCCCCTCTGCGAGAAACACCCAAGAATGATCAATTAAAAAAAAAAAATAGCCAGGTGTGGTGGCAGGTGCCTGTAATCCCAGCTACTCGGGAGGCTGAGGCAGGAGAATCGCTTCAACCCAGGAAGCAGAGGTTGCAGTGAGCCGAGATCGTGCCAATGCACTCTAGCTTGGGCAATAAAAGCAAAACTCCATGTCAAAAAAAAAAAAAAAGTGGTGTTTCAGATCGATAGGGAAAAAATGCCATTTGTAATGGAAAGTCTAAGACAGTTGGTTAGCTATCAGAGAAAAGATGAAATTAAATCTATACTTCATATCATATACAATATACTCCAAATGGACTAGTAATCTAAGTGTGAAAAATAAAACCATACACGCATGTAAGGTGTTCAAGTGATTTCTTGGCTGAGTAAGGAAAAAGATGTAACTACAAGGCGGCAATAGCATACAAGCTTCATTTGGGATGTGCTTTCACAGGTTAGCAGTTGCGGAGGTAGGAAACAGCAAGAGAGTATCCACAGGCTTCTACCTGTGGGTCACTTCTCAGAAAGCGTGGAAAGGAAGAGAGACTCCCAGAGGAGAAAGGGAATCAAAGAGGGGGCTTATAAATAACTAAATGATGATACTCACCAAACTGACAGCATATCTTCCAGTTAAAAAGCTCTGAAGGGCCGGGCAAGAAGGCTCATGCCTATAATCCCAGCACTTTGGGAGGCCAGTGGGGCGGATCACGAGGACAGGTGTTCAAGACCAGCCTGACCAACATGGTGAAACCCCATCTCTACTAAAAATACAAAAATTAGCCGGGCGTGGTGGCGTGCACCTGTAATCCCAGCTACTCAGGAGGCTGAGGCAGGAGAAACACTCGAAGCCGGGAGGTGGAAGTTGCAGTGAGCCGAGATCTTGCCACTGCACTCCAGTCTGGACAACAGAGTGAGACTCCATCTCAAAAGAAAAAAAAAAAAAAAGGTTCTGCAGGACAGCAGGGGGATGGGATTTTCATAGCCTCTGGAGTTATCTTATCTATGGCTATCAGATATTGCACATAATTTCAGAGAATACAAAGAAGGCACACTCGAGATGGCTAAAAATAGGCTTGTTCATGCTATGTTTCAAACAATCAAGTGTGTTAAAATTGCAGTTTGGCAGGGATTGGCTATTGTGAATACTAGTGAGATAAACATTGGTGTACAAATATTTCTTTGAGCACCTGCTCTCAACACTTTTGGATATATATGCCAAAGTGGAATGTCTGGATCATATGGTAATTCTGTTTAATCTTGTTTGTTTGTTTGAGATAGGGTCTCACTCTGTTGTCTAGGCTGGAATGCAGTGACATGATCATGGATTACTGCAGTCCTCAACCTACTGAGCTCAGGTAATCATCCCACCTTAGCCTCTCGAGTAGCAGGGATTACAAGTGCATGCCACCACCATGCCTGGCTGAATTAAAAAATCTTTTTTGTAAAAATGAAATCTCACAATATGCCCAGGCTGGTCTTGAACTCTTAGTCTCAAGAAATCCCTCACCCTGAGCCTCCCAAAGTGCTGGGATTACAGGTGTGAGCCATCACATCCAGCATGGTTTTGATTTTCATTTTCATGATGTTTAGTGATGTTAAGCATCTTTTCATGAGCATCTTTTCCTGTGTTTATTGGCCATCTGTGTATCTTCTTTGGTGATATTATTCAAGTCCTTTTTCTGTATTTGAATTGGGTTTTGTTGTTGTTACTCTCGGGTTCTAGAAATTTTAAAAATAAACTCCAGATATTTGTCCCCAGTCGGATACAGGACTTGAAAATATTTTCTCCCATTTGTAGATTGTCTTTTCATTCTCTTGTTATTATGCTTTGATGCAAAAAATTTGTATTATTGATTAGGTTCAACTCATAATTTTTCTTGTGTTGCCTGTGTGGTTGATGACATAACTAAGAAGTCATTTCCAATTCCAATATCATGAAGCTTTCTCACCTATGTTTTCTTCTAATAGGTTTTCAGCTCTAGCTCTTACACTACACTTAGGTTTTTGATCCATTTTTTAAAAATCATGCCACATTATTATTATTATTAAGATGGAGGCTTGCTGTCTCCCAGGCTGGAGTGCAGTGGTGCGATCTCAGCTCACTGCAACCTCTACCTCCCAGGTTCAAGTGATTCTCCTGCCATTGCTTCCTGAGTAGCTGGGATTACAGGTGCATGCCACCATGCCCGGCTACTTTTTGTATTTCTTTTTAGTAAAGACAGGGCTTCACCATGTTGGTCAAGCTGATCTCGAACACCTGACCTCGTGATCCACCCACCTCGGCCTTCCAAAGTGCTGGGATTAGAGGCGTGAGCCACTGTGCCCGGCCATGCCACATTATTTTTAATTATGTACAAAGATCTAAAATGTCACTCAGGGACCATTTCATCCACCACTCTGTTTGGCCACCAGTCTTTTGTCTGTCTCTTCTGCAATAGTGAGGCGGATACCCTTTCCTCGGGGAAGAGAAATCCATGGTCTGTTGCCCTTGCCAATAACAAAAATGTTGGAAAATCTAGTGGCAAATCTGTTGCCTTTGGCATCCTTCACGTAAACCACTTTGAAAGATCGAGGGTGCCGCTCTCTGTTGATCACACCAATTCTTCCCAGGTTAGCACTTCCAGTCACCATACACAGGTTCCAGTGTCAATCTTGATGAAATCAGTAATCTTGCCAGTCTCTAAATCAATCTGAATGGTATCATTCACCTTGATAAGGGGATCAGGGTAGCAGATGGCGTGAGTATCAAGAGTCACCAGATGAGGGATTCCTTTTGTGCCCACAAAGATTTTTCTCAGTTTGCATAACATGTACTTGGCCTCCTCAGGTGTAATACGTTGTACAGCAAAGTGACCCTTGGTGTCACAGGTCAGTTGGGAATTCTCTCCCATCTTGTCAGTGTTGATGACATCCATTAATCCAGCAGGGTAGGTTATATCAGTTCGGACCTTGCCATCGATCTTAACCGCTGTGGGAAAATCTTTACTTCAACTCCTGTCAGGGCATACTTAAGTCTCTTCCTTAGGAAAATGATGAGGGGTAAACACTCTCTCAACTTGTGGGGACTGGTGGATGGATGAGGAGAAACACACCAGTCAATTTATCCAACATTCAATACTTTGGAGCTGCTATCCCCTTCAGATGCTTCTTGGGACCACGAGCCATGGCTGTGTTAGGCAAGGAAAGAGTTAATGATTTTTCATCTTTTTTTTTTTTTTTTTTTGAGACGGAGTTTCGCTCTTGTTGCCCAGGCTGGAGTGCAATGGCGTGATCCCAGCTCACTGCAACCTCTGCCTCCCCGGTTCAAGCAATTCTTCTGCCTCAGCCTCCCAAGTAGCTGAGATTACAGGTGCCCACCACCACACCCGGCTAATTTTTGTATTTTTAGTAGAGGCGGGGTCTCACCGTATTGGCCAGGCTGGTCTCAAACTCCTGACCTTGTGATTCCCCTGCCTCAGTCTCTCAAAGTGCTGGGATTACAGGTGTGAACCACCGTGCCTGGCCTTGATCCATTTTAAGTTCATTTTATATATGGTATAAGGTTAGGGTCTAACTCCCTTCTTATGCATGTCTATATCCAGTTTTTCTGCTAACACTTCTCCCCCACCTCCCACCACAAGCTTTATTGATACCTCATTGACAAAGAAAAACTGTATATACTTAAAGTGTGCAATGTGATGTTTAGTATAAACATTGTGAAATGATTACCACTACCATACTAATTTATGTATCCATCACTTCACAGTCACCTTTTTTACTGTGTCGAGAACACTTAAAATCTGCTGTCTTAGTAAACTCCAAGTATACAATACAGTTTTTTGTTTTTTGTTCTTTTATTTTTTTTGAGTCGGAGTCTTTCTCTCTCACCAGGCTGGAGTGCAGTGGTGTGATCTTGGTTTACTGCAACTTCTGCCTCCCAGATTCAAGCGATTCTCCTTCCTCAGCCTCCCAAGTAGCTGTGATTACAGGTGCACACCACCATGCTGGGCTAATTTTTTGTATTTTTAGTAGAGACGGGGTTTCACCATGTTGGCCAGGAAGGTCTTGATCTCTTGACCTCTTGATCCCCCCACCTCTGCTTCCCAAAGTGCTGGGATTACAGGCGTGAGCCACCACACCCAGCTGGACAATACAGTATTGTTAACTAAAATCTCCATGCTGTACATTAAATTCCTGAATTTCTTCATCTTGTAATTGAAAGTTTATACCCTTTGACTAATGTCTCTCCAGTCTCTCCCCATTCTCCCAGTCCCTGGCAACCAAAATTCTCCACTTTTTTTTTTCTTCAGATGGAGTATCACTCTGTGCCCAGGCTGGAGTGCAGTGGCAGGATCTTGGCTCACTGCAGCCTCCGCCTCCTGGCTTCAAAGGATTCTTGTGCCTCAGCCTCCTGAGTACCTGGGATTACAGGCGCCCACGACCACGCCCGGCTAATTTTTGTATTTTTAGAAGAGATGGAGCTTTACCATGTTGGCCAGGCTGGTCTCGAACTCCTGACCTCGTGATCCACCTACCTCAGCCTCCCAAAGTGCTGGGATTACAGGCGTGAGCCACCGCGCCCAGCCAGCATTCTCCTCTTTGCTTCTGTGAGTCAAGGACTATGTGGCTATGTTACAGCCCACATATATGTGAGATTATACAAGATTTCCTTCTCTTTTTAAGGCTAAATAATATTCACATATATAATCACATTTTCTTCATTTCTAAATGTCCAGGAACATTTAGGTTGTTTCCATACTTGTCTATTATGAAGAAGGCTGCAATGAACGTGGGAATGCAGATATCTCTTCAAGATATTCACGTCATTTCCTATGGAAATATACACAGTAGTGGGATTCCTGGATCATGATGGTATTGTTAATGGAAAGGCGTCTGGATCCAGACCCCAAGAGAGGGTTCTTGGATCTTACACAAGAAAGAATTTGGGGAGTTCATAAAGTGAAAGCAAGTTTATTAGAGAAGTAAAGAAACAAAAGAATGGCTACTCCATAGGCAGAGCAGTGGTATGCACTGCTCTATTGAGTATACTTATGGTTATTTATTGATTATATGCTAAATAAGGGGTGGGTTGTCAATAAGTTTTTCAGGAAAGGGGCAGAGATTTTCTGGAACCTAGCATCCCTCTTTTTTTTTTTTTTTTTGAGACGGAGTCTCGCTCTGTCGCCCAGGCTGGAGTGCAGTGGCGCGATCTCTGCTCACTGCAAGCTCCGCCTCCTGGATTCACGCCATTCTCCTGCCTCAGCCTCGTGAGTAGCTGGAACTACAGGTGCCGGCCACCACACCCAGCTAATTTTTTGTATTTTTAGTGGAGACGGGGTTTCACCGTGTTAGCCTGGATGGTCTCGATCTCCTGACCTTGTGATCCATCTGCCTTGGCCTCCCACAGTGCTGGGATTACAGGCGTGAGTCACCGCGCCCGGCCTACATCCCTCCCTTTTTAGACTATATAGGTAAACTTCCAAACATGGCCATGACATTTGTAAAAAGTCATGGAGCTGGCGGAAGTGACTTTTTAGCATGCTACTGCATTATAATTAACCTATAATGAGCAGTGAGGATGACCAGAGGTCACTTTTGTCACCATCTTGGATTTGGTGGGATTTGGCTGGGTTCTTTACCGCATCTTGTTTTATCAGCAAGCTCTTTATGACCTGTATCTTATGCCGACCTCCTATCTCTTCCTGCGACTAAGAATGCCTAACCTCCTGGAAATGCAGCCCAGCAAGAAAAAAAGAAAAAAGACTGCCTTTTCTCCATTGAAGGTTCTTGGCACCATGGTCAAAAGCCATTTGATTATATCTGTGAAGGTTTATTTCTGGTCTCTTTATGCTATAACAATGGTCTCCATGTCTAGTTATGCCTATACCACATTGTTTTGATTACTATAGCTTTGTAGTACCATTTTTTCTGCTTTTTTTCTTGAGACAGGTTCTTGCTCTGTTGTCCAGGCTGGAGTGCAATGGTGTGATCACAGCTCACTGCAGGGTCGACTTCCTGGGCTCAAGAGATCCCTCCTATCTCAGCTCCTGAGTAGCTGGGACTACAGGCATGCACCACCATGCCAAGCTATTTTTTATTTTTATTTTTTGTAGAGATGAAGTCTCCTTAAGTTCCCCAAGCTGGTCTCAAACTCCCGGGCTCAAGCAGTTTTCCTGACTCAGCCTCCTGAATTGTTGGTATTACAGGCTAGTAACTTTTGACATCACAAAGTCTGAATTTTCCAACAATCCTTTTTTTTTTTTTTTTTTTTTTTTGAGACTAAGTCTCGCTCTGTTGCCCAGACTGGAGGGCAATAGCATGATCTCAGCTCACCACTGGCTAATTTTTGTGTTTTTAGTAGAGACAGGGTTTCACCATATTGGCCAGGCTGGTCTCGAACTTCTGACGTCAAATGATCTGCCTGCCTTAGCTTCCCAGAGTGCTGGGATTACAGGCTTGAGCCACCTTGCCCTACCCAACAAACTTCTTTTTCAAGATTGCTTTCACTGTGTGGACTCCAGTGAGATTCCATATGTGTGTGGTCTTTTGTAACCCAAACTTCAGCAGTGACTTAACATGATTTTTGCCACATTCTGCTAGTCACAGAGACGAAGCCTGCTACAATGTGAGAGGACTACACAAAGGTATGAGTATTGAGAAGCAGAGATTATTGGGGGACAATTTGGAGGCTGGATACTACAGAGAAGGAATTGGCAATACCCAAAAACACTACCTGTGCAATCTGGAAACCGTTTTCTTTTTTTTTTTTTTTTAATTTTGAGGCAGAGTATCCCTCTGTTGCCCAGGCTGGAGTGCAGTGGCACGATCTCAACTCACTGCAACCTCCATTTCCTGGGTTCAAGTGATTCTTGTGCCTATCTCCCTAGTAACTGGGACTACAGGAATACACCACCACACTTGGCTAATTTTTTTTAATTTTTAGTAAAGACAGGGTTTGGCCATGTTGCCCAGCCTGGTCTCAAACTTCTGAGCTCAGGCAATCCACCCCCTTGCCCTCCCAAAGTGTTGTGATTACAAGTGTGAGCCACCGTGCACGGACTTTTTCTTTTCCCTTTTTTTTTTTTTTTTTTTTTGAGAGAGTTTTGCTGTGTCCCCCAGGCTGGAATGTGCAGTGGTGCAATCTGGGCTACCTGCAGCCTCCACCTCCCAGGTTCACGCGATGCTCCCACCTCAACCTCCAGAGTAGCTGGGGACTACAGGCATGAGCCACCACACCCAGCTAATTTTTGTATATTTTTTAGAGATGGGCTCACCATTTTACTCAGGCTGGTCTCGAACTAAGGAGCTCAAAGTGCTGGGGTTACAGGCATGGGCAACTGTGCCTGGCCTTGCAATCCTACTTTTTTTTTTTTTTTGAGATGGAGTTTCACTGTTGTTGCCCAGGCTGGAGTGCAATGGCATGATCTTGGCTCATCCCAACCTCCACTTCCTGGGTTCAAGTGATTCTCCTGCCTCAGCCTCCTGAGTAGCTGGGATTACAGGTGTGTCACCACACCCTGCTAATTTTTTGTATTTTTAGTAGAGACGGGGTTTCACCATGTTGGTCATGCTGTTCTCGAACCCCTGACCTCAAGTGATCTACCCACCTCGGCCTCCCAAAGTATTGGGATTACAGGCATGAGCCACCGTGCCCAGCCACAATGCTACTTTTAAGAATTTTTTTTTATACTAAGTCCAGGATTCAGTCTAAACTTCTAAGAATTTGCCTTAAAGGTAAACCTTTAACAATTCAAATAAGTTCAACAGTATTAATTGCAGCACTGTTTGTAATTTCAATTTGAATGCCTAAATGCTCTCAAGTATTAGAGTATCTGAATATATGGTACATCAACCAGTGGAGTATCCTGCAGCTCTAGAAATGAATGAAGATCTCTATGAACTCACATTAAGTGATTTCCAAGATACATGGTTAACTAAAAACACAAACTCCATCTCAAAAAATAAAATTTTGTGTTTTTAACCTCATTTATTTAAAATTAAATGAATTTGTAAGCCATTTGTTCTGTGGTATTCTGTTATGGTTGCCTGAGCTGATTAAGGCAGATTTTGGCACTGAGAAGTGAGGCACTGGAATTAAAAACAAACAAACAAATAAAAAAACTAAAAATGTGAAGCAGCTTTGAAACTGACAAATGAGTAGAGGCTGGAAAAATTCTGATTTGCAAGCTGGAAATAATAGTAAGGGTGATTCTGGTGAGGTGTCATTGGGGAATGAGGAACATGCTATTGGGAAATGAAGAAAAGACAACCCTTTATATGAAGTGGTGAAGAACTTAGCAAAACTGTATTCTAGCATTTTGTGGAAGGTAGAGCTTGAGAGAGATAAAACTGGGTATGTATCACTAAGATCTGTAATTAAAGTGTTAAAGGACACAGGAAGCTTCATTCTTCCTGACTGCTTATAGTAAAATGCAAAAGAGGAGACCTGAATTGCAGAAGAAATTGTTAAAGAAAAAGGAACCAGAACCTGGAGATTTGGAAAATTCTCAGCCTATCCATAATGCAAAAATTAGAAAACTTGTACTGAAGAGAATCCTGAAAGTGTGGCTGAACAATCATTTGACAAAGAGATCATGAGTGGGATTCATGGACTATATCAGCCATCTTAACAGACGTGAGCACAAAGACTGGATTATACTAGAAGAGACACTTCCACTTAGGTTGTGCCACCTAAAATGGACAGAGAAGACAGAACAGGTAAGGCTGTCACATATCATAGATTTTACAAGAAGGGGACACAGAAATAATCAGCTGTGAAAGTGCACTGGCAGTTAAGGATGGTTTCATACCTGCCATGCTCTGCAGGATCCGTGGGAACAGAAGAGACCCTTAGAGGAGCATCTTTTAACAACCCACCTCTGGGGCCTACATCATCTTGGCTTCTGGGAAATTTTGACATGAATGTGCCACACTGGCAGCTACTAACAGGGGCTGGGACCAATCTAGATGACTTATCTCATACAGAAATTCTTAATGCTATGATCTTAGAAACCTAATCACCAAGGTAAGGTAGCCTGCAGTACTGACCTCACCATCCATTACCCTTCTTCACAGATGCCCAGACTCAGGCAACCATGATGTTGTATTCAGAACCTGTAGGTTTAATTTCAGACCCTTGTGATGGCACCCAAGGCCAATTCATGAGCCATTACAACCTCCAAAAGGCATTTAGGACAAATCTGAATATCTTTAGTGTCACTGCCACTAATTAAAGATGGCAACCAATGAGCTAAATGGTAACATTCATACCCTTATATTCATAGGGTTCCTCCCCAGTGTGAATTCTTTCATGTCTACTTAGGTGTGAGGAAACAGCAAAAGCTTTCCCACATTCTTTACATATGAGGGCTTTCTCTCTGGTATGAGTTTGCAGGTGAACATTAAGGGGTGAGGAATATAGAAATGCTTTCCCACATATCTTGCATACAAAGGGCCTTTCTTCATGGTGAGTTTTCAAATGTTTACTACGATAGGAAGAAGTAATGAAGGTCTTCCCACATTCAACACATCCATAAGGCTTCTCTCCTGTGTGAATTATTTTATGTTGAGTAAGGGTTGAGGATCCATTGAAGGCTTTCCCACATTCCTTACACTGATAGTGTTTCTCTCCAGTGTGATTTCGTATGTGTATAGCAAGGCCCGTGTACTGAGTGAAGGCTTGGCCACATTCCTTACATTCATAGGGTTTTATTCCAGTGTGAGTTCTTACATGTTGAGTAAGGTGAGTTGACCTAGTGAAGGCTTTCCCACATTCCGTATATTTGTGTGGTTTTATTCCAGTGTGAATTTGAATGTGAACATTAAAGGATGAGGAATTTCTAAAGGATCTTCCACATTCTTTACATTCAAAGGACTTCTCTCCTTTATGAATTTTCACATGTGCAGAAAGTTGAGAAAAATTAGTGAAGGATTTCCCATGTTTCTTAGTCTTTTTAGATTTCTTTCCAGTATGAACTGTTACACACTGCTTTAGGTGTGAGGAATGAGTGATGGCTCTCCTACATTCCTGAAATTCACAGAATTTCTCTCCAATGTGGATTCCCATGTGATTATCAAGGCTTGCAAAATACTTAAAGCCTTTTCTACATTCCTTACATTTGTATGGTTGTCTTGCATTGAGAATTCCAAGATGTGCAGCAAGATCTGGAGTTAAGGTGAAGACTTTTCCACATGGATTAAATTTGGAAAGTTCCTGTCCAATAGAGGCTTCCTTGTGCACACTGAGGATGTCTTTTCCATAACAATTACCCTCAAAGATGTTCCCTCCATTCTGAGCTCTCATGTGTGTTTTAAGGCAAAACCATTCACTGAAGACCTCTCCACAATTCTCAGAGTTTCCATCCACTGTAGCTTCTTGTCTGCTGATGAAGGGATAAAGGATTTAAAATGTTTTCAGACATATTAAGAGATTTCACCCATCTGAACACAGAAACATTATTTTGGTGACAATTATCATTTTACTTTTTAATGTTTAATTTTTTTTTCATTTCCTACCCTCTTGATTTCTTCCAGATTGAATGATGGGATCTTTTGCTAGAATTTTATGCCACTGGCTCTAATTACTCAAAAAAAAAACAACTGTTTTTAATTGTTGGGGGTGGTTTGAGACAGGGTCTCACTCTGTCACCCAGGCTGGTACCATGGCAGAATCACAGCTCACTGCGGCCTTAATCTCCCAGGCTCAAGTCATCATCCTGCCTCAGTGCCCCAAGGAGCTTCGACTACAGTTGCATGGCAACACACCCAGCTAAATTTTTATTTTTTGTAGAGACAGGGTCTCCCTGTTGCCCAGGCTGGTCTTGAACTCCTAGACTCAAGTGGTTCTCCTGCCTCAGCTTCCCAAGCTGCTGGGATTACAGGCATCAGCCATTGTACCCAGCAAAATAGTGTAGATTTTCATGAAACTGTTCCAATCCTCAATGTCTAGTTACATATGTGGGAATATGTACTTGTCGGTATTTTGCAGTGACAAGTTATATAGGTATGGAACATCACAAAATTCATCACATTCAGACTATCTCTCCAGAGACTTTGCTCCCTCAATGGTGCAGGCTACTTCTCTAATTCTCTTAAGTATCTCTCATTTGTGCTGTTTCTTTTTCATTGCACACTCCACCTCCCAGGTTTAAGCAATTCTGCCTCAGCCTCCCAAGTAACTGGGATTACAGGTGCCCACCACCATGCCTGGCTAATTTTGTATTTTTAGTAGAGATAGAGGCTAGTCTCAAAGTGCTAACCTCAAGTGATCCACCCACCTTGGCATCCCAAAGTGCTGGGATTACAGACTCAGTTTATTTTCCTTCTTTCTTTCTTTCTTTTTTTTGTGAGATGAGGTCTCACTCCATCGCCCAGGCTGGAATGAAGTGGTGCAATCTTGGCTCGCTCAGTAACCTCCACCTCTGGGTTCAAGTGATTTTCCTGCCACAGCCTCCCAAGTAACTGGTATGACAGGTGCCCACCACTACACTTGGTTAATTTTGTATTTTTAGTACAGACGGAGTTTCACCATGTTGGCCAGGCTAGTTTTAAACCCCTGACCTCAAGTGACCACCTACCTCAACCTCCCATAGTGTTGGGATTACAGGCATGAGCCACCACATCCAGCCTCTTTTTAAAATCAGAGATGGGATCTTGCTATATTGTCTAGGCTGGTCTTAAACTACTGGACTTAAATGATCCTCCTACCTCAGCCTCCCTAGTAGCTGGGATTACAGAAGTAAGCCATAGTTCTGACCGTGCTGATTTCCTAGAATGGAATTCTCAATCTTTTCTGAGAGGAAACTAAGAAATATCACTCATCCTGCCATTTGTATCCCATTGAATATTGGATTCCTCAAAAAACCAAGCTGAAGTGATGACCATTTGGTTCTAGGTTGTATTTCCCATTCTGAAGTTAAGCAGAAAAAGAAATGTAAGGATTTATAGAAGAAATGTTTAAAACGATGAGTCATTTGTACTTGTTTTCTAATTAAACACAGTAATAAAAGATAGGCCAGAGAACTTTGAGGATTTTGATATGTCAAAAATTTGGCTATAAGGACGTGGGGTTTATTACACAATTGATGTGTTTAGATAGTTTATTACAAACTGCTTCTGTGAAAAATGAAACAATAGGGAAGAGGAAGAGAAGATTATCAGGAAAGGAAAGTAGGAAAGATTGGGATAAAGAGCATGTATCAAAATGATAAAGTTAACAAAAAAAAGAACAGGTAGTTTTGTTAGGTCATAGGAATGTTTGACTAGATGGAAAATAAAAGTCAGAGATATCTGAAATTCTGAGAAAAATAGCTTAAATCTTCTGAGGTAAAGTGGATCTTTAAAAATATTTTTTTTATTTTTTTGAGATGGAGTCTCACTCTGTCACCCAGGCTGGAGTGCAGTGATGCAGTCTTGGCTCACTGCAACCTCTGCCTCCCGGGTTCAAGTGATTCTACTGCCTCAGCCTCCCGAGTGCCTGGGACTACAGGGATGTGCCAATATACCCAGCAAATTTTCTGCATTTTTATTAGAGACGGGGTTTCACTGTGTTAGCCAGTCTGGTCTTGATTTCCTGACCTCATGATCTGCCCACCTTGGCATCCCAAAGTGCTGGGATTAAAGGCGTGAGCCACCAAGCCCGGCCTAGTCTTTATTTTTATGATTTTTTTTTTAGAGATGCGGTCTCACAATACTGTCCATGCTAATATCAAACTCCCACACTCAAGCACTTCTCCCACCTCAGCCTCCCAAGTATCTGGGACTACAGGTGCAGGGCACCATGCCAAGCAAAATGATGTTACTCTTACCCACAGAGGCCAGGTTCACATAGTTCTCCAACATCACATCTCTGTAGAGGCATTTCTCAGTTGTGTCCAGTAAAGCCCACTCCTCTGGGGTGAACTCCACAGCCACATCATCAAACGTCACTGAATCCTAAGTCATCACACACATGCCGGTTTGAGCCAATGAACACTGCCATGAATGTTCACTGGAGAATGAGGAAGGGGAAACTTATACTCACTTATATGTGGTTCTGAGCTCTCCCAAGATCTACTCCAGTGTTTAATGTCTCAGGAGCTCTTGTGTCTAAGCAATCAAGGTGAACCTACTAGAGGCATATGCCTTGAACAGCACTTTAAAAATTTTTTTAATTCTTTTTTTGTTTGATCTATTTTTAATTTTTAAATACTTTTATTTTTAAATTTTAAATTTTTATTTTGATGAGAACAGTACTTCCTAAGCATGAATTTTTACCTATCATCTATCTATCTATCTATCTATCTATCTATCTATCTATCTATCTATCTATCTATCTAATCTGTTTATTTATTTCTATATAAAGACAGGGTCCCACTGTGTCACACAGGCACAATCGCTGCTTACTGCACCTTCGATCTCCTGGGCTGAAGTTCCCCTCCCACCCCAGCCTCCTGAGTAGCTGGAATTACAGGCATGAGCCACTGCACACTGCTTACACTTTATCTCAGCACAACCAGTTTAGGAGCTCTTCCTGTCCCATTGGTGTCTATGCCGCACACTCCTCAGCACACTGCAGATACCTGATAAATGCTGATAAGTGAATAATTTGATAAAAGGACACTTTCATCAGCTTTATCATCTGTCACTGCACCCAGCAATGTAAGAAAGATGCAGTTGGCACCATGAAGGTCAAGCTTAAGTAGTAATTACTGAGCTACTGGACTGATTTTCAAGTTAACACTTTATGTATAGGAAACTTCATTCCCTGGGGAAATTCATCTGGGGACTCAGTCTTTGAGTAAGGCTTCATTTGCTCTAAGAAAACTCTGGAGATGAGTCTGTCTAGAAGGAAATATGTCTACCTATTGGATGTAAGCATGTCATTTTGTACAATGGCACATTTTCTTTTTACCTGATAAGAATTTGCCAGGTAGTCCTCCACCATCGTTCCTATCTTTGTCTTTTCTTCAAAAGGGCAGATTGGTTCCCTGGGAAAAAACCCTAGTGGAAAAGTAAGAAGGCATGAGAAGCCAAAGCTGCCCACAGTCTCATGCCCAGAAGTCATTCCATCCTAGCTTGAAATTCCCATATGCTCCTGCACACTCGAGAAAACTACACACACACAACACTTTCATGAAATGCCATAGTAGTCCTGTGTCACCTAGACTCAGATAAGCAGACATGGGCCAAACTGCCTGTTGGGTAAAGGGATATAGCTTCATTTTTCAAGGAAACTTACACCCTGAAAAATGTGACTATCTATCTACCCATAGTAGTAACACTCATGAAGCTTATGTAGCATTTCCTAAGACACACAAACCAGGGCTGAATTCTAAAACAGCATTCTGACTGGGCACAGAGGCTCATGCCTGTAATCCCAATATTTTGGGAGGCCAAGGTGGGCAAATCACTTGAGGTCAGGTGTTGAAGACCAGCCTGACCAACATGGCAAAACCTCGTCTCTACTAAAAAAATAAAAAATAAATAAAAAAATACAGGAGACTGAGGTAAAGAATTGCTTGAACCAGGGAAGCAGAGGTTGCAGTGAGTCAAGATTGTGCCACTGCACTACAGCCTGGGTAACAGAGGGAGGCTCCATTTAACAAACAAACAATATTAGCCAAGCCTGGTGATATGTGCTTGTGGTCCCATCTGCATGGGAGACTGAGGCAAGAGAATCACTTTAACCCAAAAGGTGGAGGTTGCAGTGAACTGAGATTGCACCACTGCACTCCAGCCTGGGTGAGAGAGCAAGATTCTGTCTACAATAAATAAATAAAACAAAACAAAACAAAACAAAATAGTATTCTACATCTTACTTCAATTCCTCCTAAAAGAACCAGTGGTGGCTCATGCCTGTAATCCCAACACTTTGGCAGGCCAAGGCAAGCAAATCACTTGTGGTCGGGAGTTCAAGTTCAGCCTGACAAACACTGAGAAACCCGTCTCTACTAAAAATACAAAATTAGCCTGTAATCCCAGCGACTCGGGAGGCTGAGGCAGGAGAATCGCTTGAACCCAGGAGGCAGAGGTTGCGGTGAGCCGAGATTGCACCATTGCACTCTAGCCTGGGCAACAAGAGTGAAACTCCATCTTGAAAAAACAACAGAACAAAACAAAAGAAAAAAACAGTGGCATGCCTGCTCAGGCCCAGCGCACTGGACTCTTATGTTGTGGAGGACGACCTAAATCAGAATCTCTGAAAAAGAGCATCAACAAGGACTTACCATGGGACAAATCAGTGACTGCCATTCTCTGAAGCTGATGGTCAGTTGTGCCTCAATGCTCTCTTCCTTGATGCCAAGATTGCCTCAGGGCAACTTATGAATCTAGGTGAATAGAGGCAATCTCCATTCCTCTTTGTACAGGGTTATTTGAAGTCCTGTTTGTATCAAGCATCAAACATCAGTCATCGAACATTATGCATGAGCTTTCTCGCTGCAGGTGACAAATGTGAAGGCCACCAAAAACTGTACACTCAGTATCGTCACTCAGTAATGATAGTATTAATAACAGCAACTGACATTTACTGAGGCCTAGTATGTCAGAAGTAGCTCTACTAGCTATATACATGCTCACTTAATTATCATAACCATCCTTCCCAATAGCTATCATTACCTCTATCTGTCTATCTATCTATGTATCTATGTATCTATGTATCTATGTATCTATGTATTTATGTATCTATCTATCCATCCATCCAGACAGGGTCTCACTCTGTTGCCCAGGTTGAAGTGCAATGGCACTAACACAGCCCTCTGTAGCCTAGACCTCCCAGGCTCAAGTGATCCTCCCACCTCAGTCTCCTGAATAGGTGGGCCCACAGGTGTGCATCACCACACCTTATTATCATTATTATTATCATTATTATTACTATTATTATTATGAGACAGAGTCTCACTCTCCCACCCAGGCTGGAGTGCAGTGGCACGATCTCGACTCTGTAACCTCTGCCTCCCAGGTTCAAGTGATTGTCAGGCCTCAGCCTCCTGAGTAGCTGGGATTACAGGTATGCACCATGCCTGGCTAATTTTTGTATTTTTAGTAGAGATGGTGTTTCGCCATATCAGCCAGGTTGGTCTCAAACTCCTGGCCTCAAGTGATTCTCCCACTTCAGCCCCCAAAGTGGCTAGGAATACAGGTGCACACCACTGTGTGGGGAAAAGAAATAGAGACCAGATTTTTACTGTGTCTATGTAGAAAAGGAAGACATAAGAAACTCCATTTTGATCTGTACTAAGAAATATTGTTTCTGCTTTGAGATGCTGTTAACCTGTAACTTTAGCCCTGACCCTGTGCTCACAGAAACATGTGCTGTAATGAATCAAAGTTTAATTGATTTAGGGCTGTGCAGGATGTGCCTTGTTAACAATATGTTTGCAGGCAGTATGCTTGGTAAAAGTCATCACCATTCTCCATTCTTGATTAACCAGGGACAAAATGCACTGCGGAAAGCCGCAAGGACCTCTGCCCATGAAAGCCTGAGTATTGTCCAAGGTTTCCCCCCACTGAAACAGCCTGAGATATGGCCTCATGGGAAAGGAAAGACCTTACCATCTCCCAGCCCAACACCCGTAAAGGGTGTTGCGGGAAGTCAAGGACCCCAAACGGAGGGACCGGCTGAAGCCATGACAGAAGAACGTGGATTGTGAAGATTTTATGGACATTTATTAGTTCCCCAAATTAATACTTTTGTAATTTCTTATGCCTGTCTTTACTGCAATCTCTAAACATAAATTGTAAAGATTTCATGGACACTTATCACTTCCCCAATCAATACCCTTGTGATTTCCTATGCCTGTCTTTACTTTAGTCTCTTAATCTTGTCAGTTGAGGAGGATGTATATCATTCCAGGACCCTGTAATAATCGCGTTAACTACAAAAATTCTACAGCATATGTGTTTGAGCAATATGAAATGTGGGCACGCTGAAAAAAGAACAGGATAAGAGCAATTGTTCAGGGAATAAGAGAGATAACCTTAAACTCTGACCGCTGGTGAGCCAGGCAGAACAGAGCCCTATTTCTCTTCTTTCAAAAGCAAATGGGAGAAATATCACTGAATTCCTTTTCTCAGCATGGAACATCCCTGAGAAAGAGAATGCACACCTAGGGGTAGGTCTCTGAACTGGCCCAAGCCCCCCCGGGGGCGTACCTGTCTCTTATGGTCGAGATTGCAGAGGTGAAATAAACTCCAGTCTCCCATAGCGCTCCCAGGCTTATTAGGAAGAGGAAATTCCCACCTAATAAATTTTGGTCAGACCGGTTGATCTCAAAACCTGTCTCCTGGTAAGATGTTATCAATGACAGTGGTGCCCGAAACTTCATTAGCAATTTTAATTTCACCTCGGTCCTGTGATCTCGCCCTGCCTCCACTTGCCTTGTGATATTCTATTACCCTGTTAAGTACTTGATGTCTGTCACCCACACCTATTCGCACACTCCCTCCCCTTTTGAAAATCCCTAATAAAAACTTGCTGGTTTTTGTGGCTTGTGGGGCATCACGGATCCTACCAACATGTGATGTCTCCCCCGGACACCCAGCTTTAAAATTTCTCTCTTTTGTACTCTGTCCCTTTATTTCTCAAGCCAGCCGACGCTTAGGAAAATAGAAAAGAACCTACGTGATTATCGGGGCAGGTCCCCCAATAAAGGGGTCTGTGCTGAGGAGTAGTGAAAGAGGGAGGCCTCTTTGCAGTTAAGAGGAAGGCTTCTGTCTCCTGCCAATCCCTGGGAATGGAATGTCTCGGTGTAAAGCTGACCATTCCCATTCATTCTATTCTGATAGGAGAAAACCACCCTGCAGCTGGAGGTGAGATATGCTGGCAGCAATACTGCTCTGTTACTCTTTGCTACACTGGGATGTCTGGGTAAAGAGAAACATAAATCTAGCCTATGTGCACATCCAGGCACAGTACCTTTCCTTGAACTTATTCATGATACAGATTCCTTTGCTCACATATTTCCCTGCTGACCTTCTCCCCACCTGTTGCCCTGCTACACTTCCCTCGCTAAGATAGTAAAAATAATAATCAATAAATACTGAGGGAACTCAGAGTCTGGCGCCGGTGCATGTCCTCCTTATGCTGAGCACCAATCCCCTGGGCCCACTGTTCTTTCTCTATACTTTGTCTCTGTGTGTTATTTCTTTTCTCAGTCTCTCGTCCCACCTGATGAGAAATACCCACGGGTGTGGAGGGGCTGGCCCCCTTCACCACTAGGTCTAATTTTTTGTATTTTTAGTAGAGACAAGGTTTCACCAGGTTGCCCAGGCTGGTCTCAAACCCCTGGGCTCAAACAATCCTCCTGCCTTGACCTCCCAAAGTGCTGGGATAATAAGCATGAGCCACCGCGCCTGGCTCATTACCTCTATTTAATACTGAAAAAATCCTACATTCAAATAACCCTAATAATTAGTCTGATATTTGTCCTTAGAGCCTGATCTCCTGTGGATGCTGTTACCCCCTAATATGACCAGGAGGCAGTCCAGACCTGCACAGAACACTTAAGTAGTCACCAGCCACGTGTGTTATTGCTAACTTCACTATGTACCTAAGATGACTGAAGAACAGAATTTAAAATATTCAAAAGATGGCCAGGCGCGGTGGCTCACACCTGTAATCCCTGCACTTTGGGAGGCTGAGGCAGGCAGATCACCTGAGGTCAGGAGCTCGAGACCAGCCTTGGCAAACATGGCAAAATGCCATCTCTATGGCAAAACGCCATCTCTATGGCAAAACCCTGTTTCACCATGTTGGCGAGGCTGGTCTCAAACTCCTGACCTCAGGTGATCCACCTGCCTTGGCCTCCCAAAGTGTTGGGATTACAGATGTGAGCCAGGGTGTCTGGCATGCCCTTCTTAAGTAGAAAGGCTTGTAGCTGGTAACAACTAGAAAACAAATAACGTCCAAGAAAATAAAAATTTAAAAAAACGAAAGGCCTACAGTCTACACGTGTTCTTATTTACATACAGAAATAGACACACCCTAAACAACTATGTTTTTTCCATCCAAATGTAATGTGTCAAAAATAAGCAAAGGACACCAAGGCAATGCCAGATTCTCAGATGAGACATTTTTTAGCAAATATATGGAAGTCAGAGCCCTCTTGAAACCAATTTAACACCGGTGCTCACCAAGAACACTCCGGAATCGCCAGGTTCCTGACGCGGGAGGATGCGGGGCCAGAGCCAACCTTACCAGAATGGCAGAAATCCTTTTCCTTTCGGAAAGAAAAAAATTCACCAAGGTTGCTTTAGAAGCTTTTGAAGAGGGGAGCACAGCGGATGAAAGCACTCCAGAAAACATCCCATGGACGCGGGATAAACACACTTCCTGACGCGGCTCCTGACGTGGACCGACTGAACCTGCAGCTGGGAACTGGCCACGCTGGGAGGACCAACAACCCCTGGAGAAGCTAGTGAAATGAGCAGGATCAGAGAGGCTCCTGGGCGAGCGCACCCAATCCTTCCTTTGGCATCCCCCGCCTGTCTCCAGGACCCCCAAGCAGGGGCGGAACTCACCACAGCCGGGGTCGACTCCACCAAGATAAAGGTGAAACAGCACTGACCGTGGGCAGCCAGCGCGGGAAAAGATAGTGGCGGCGGGCTGATGTCACTTCCGCTACGAGCTTCGGGAAGGACGGGGCTTCTGGGATCCAGTTTCAGCCACGTAGGACCAGGTTGTTAGAAATGCTTGTTCCCCGGTGCATAAAGAAATAGCACTTGAACATAAATTTAATTTCCTCAGTAAGCCCATTTTACTTTTGGCAGAACAGGTACACTAGCCAGCAGTTTTGCCACTAGAGTACACTAAACAAAGGAAACAGGGTCATTTATAACCTGACGTGTCCACCCTACTGCAGCGTCCGGTTTCCATTGGCTGGAATGGAACATCACATTCTGTATTTGACCCGGTTGGCTACCAAGTCAGAACTTTTTAAAAGAAGCAAAGGCAGAGGAGAACAAAGGAAGGAGGAAATAACTTGTGGAATGCTGAGAAAGCTAAAAACACCTTCAAATAAGGAAGAGGAACAGGCTATGACCTAATGCTTGCTTGGACCAGTATAAGCATGCCAGGGCAAATATTTAGGCTAAATTGTGAGAGCTAAGAACATAAAGTACATTGATTTCTTTATTACACCTCACAGATACTTAAGAATGTTAGCACAGGTCTTTGAATGCATTTCGCTCCTAAGAAGAGTTACTATTTATTTCTAATTAGATGGAGAGTAAAGTCTCTTTGAAGAGGAACCTCTACTTTTCAGGGTCGAACACAGAAATTCTAGTTTCCTCCTGGGTGGGTGCAGACAGGGCCTGGGTTGGCTCAGAGAGTGGGATGCAGAAACAGGTTCAGAGAAAAGGTGAGGTTACAACCACGCCTCTGGATGGAACTGTGGGTAGAGGGTTGGGGCCCGTACTTGGAGGTGGCTTAGAGGTTGGACCCGGCCTAGCCCCTGCTACAGGTGGACAGATGGGCTGGAAAGGCTGGGATAGGGGATGGGACACACCCCAGGGAATGCTCCTCCAAAGCTTTTCCCCAGTGGGCGCAGTTTCGTTCTTGTTGCCCAGGCCGGCACCTGGCTCGACCCCGTCTCTATTAAAATATATATATACATATATATACACACATATATATACATATATGTGTATATATACGTATATACGCATATATACACATACGTGTATATATACGTATATACGCATATATACACATACGTGTATATATACGTATATACGTATATATACACATACGTGTATATATACGTATATACGTATATATACACATATATACGTGTATATATACACGTATATACGTGTACGTATATATACACGTATATACGTGTATATATACGTATATATACACGTATATACGTGTATATATACACGTATATATGTATATATACACATATATATACGTGTATATATATGTGTATATATATATAGCCGGGCGTGGTGGCTCATGCCTGTAAAAAATAAAATAAAATATATATATGTGTGTGTGTATCTACATAAAACTTTTTTGTTTGCCTCTCCTCATGTTCCTAGAGCCTTTCCATGATTCTTCCACATTGACAAAGATGCCAGTGAATGGCATGGTCTATCTCTTCCATTCAGTCAGGCTTTCTGTAGGCCTTTGTTTCTTCATTCTTTATTTCTTAGAACCTGCTGATTCCATTGCATTTTCCTTTTTTTTTTTTTTTGAGACAGAGTCTCACTCTGTCACTTAGAGAAGAGAGACAGACCCTCTCATATTGTTTTATATTGTTTTATACTCAGAAAAAGAAAGAAAAGCAAAACTAAAGGCAGGTAGCCCAGCACCTAGGAACCAGATCTGAAACCAGGCCTGGGCCTGCCTGACCTAAGCCTGGTAATTAAAGATCCACCCCTGACCTAACCGGTTATGTTATCTATAGATTCCACACATTGTATGGAAAGGCATTGTAAAACTTCCCGGTCTGTTCTGTTTCACTCTGACCACAGGTGCATACAACCCCTATCACATACCTGCTCCTTGCTCAATCAATCATGACCCTCTCACGTGGACCCCCTTAGAGTTGTGAGCCCTTAAAAGACACAGGAATTGCTCACTCAGGGAGCTTGACTCTTGAGACAGGAGTCCTGCCAATGCTCCCGGTTGAATAAACCTCTTCCTTCTTTAACTCGGTGTCTGAGGAGTTTTGTCTGCGCCTTGTCCTGCTACATTTCTTGGTTCCCTGACTGGGAAGTGAGGTGATTGGTGGATGGTTGAGGCAGCTCCTTAGGTGGCTTAAGCCTGCCCTGTGGAACATCCCTGAGGGGGACCACGACCAGCCCGAGCAATGCAGATCCTGAGAGTACTCCCAGGTAGGCATTTGCCCTGGTGGGACACCTTGCCAGAGCAGTGTGTGGCAGGCCCCCATGGAGGATCAATGCAGTGGCTGAGCACCTGGAAGGAACGGGCACCTAGAGTCTTGACATCTAAAACTTGGTAAGACTAGTCTTTGGAACTTGCCACTCCGTTTTAGTGGAAGTGTGGCCTGATCACCCACGGTGTGCCTTTATCAGCACTTTGGTTTTGGTTTTGGTTTTGGTTTTGACTTGGTTTGAATTGCTTGACAGGACCAGTCTTGGGAACATGCCCACTCCATTTGAGTGGAAGCATGGCCTGATCACCCATAGCGTGCCTTTATTGGCACTTTAGTTTTGGTTTTGACTTGGTTTGAATTGCTTGACAGGACTGGTCTTGGGAACTTGCCTACTCCATTTGAGTAGAAGCGTGGCCTGATCACCCACGGTGTGCCTGTACTGGCACTTTGGTTTTTGTTTTTGACTTGGATTGCTTGATACTTTGGTTTTGGTTTTGACCTGGCTTGGATTTCTGGATAGTCTGATTTTGGTTTTGATTTTGGTTTAGTGTAAACTACAAAGGTGTGTGTGTGTGCCCTTTTAACCCGTTCTTTGTTTTGTGGTGTGCATGTGGTGTGAGCGTGGTGTTTTGTCTCGAGGAAACAGGGGTGAGGCAAAAGTAAGCCCACCTCACTAGGAACTATGTTGAAAAATTAAAAAAAAAAAAAAGGAGATTTAAAGGAGACTATGGAGTACTATGACACCAGGAAAACTTAAAACTTTGTGTAAGATAGACCGGCCAGCATTAGAAGTAGGTTGACCATTAGAAGGAAGCCTGGACAGGTCCCTTGTTTCAAAGGTATGGCACAAGGTAACCTGTAAGCCAGGACACACAGACCAGCTCCCGTACATAGACACTTGGTTACAGCTGGTTTTAGAGTCCCTTCCCCCAACACAGAATGGTTGAGAGAAAAGCAGCATAGGTGGCTATCAGAGGCAAGGAAAGACTAGCAGAGAGAGAGAAAGGAAAGATACAGAGAGGAAAAGAGGCAAAGACAGAGAGAAAGAGACAGAGAGGAAGAGACAGACAAAGAGGGAGTCAAGGAGAGAGAGAGAGAGAAAGAAAGAGAGAGGCAGAGAGAGAGAGGAAGAGACAGAGGCAAAAGGAAAGTCAGAGAGAGACAAAATCAAAGACAGAAAAAAAGAGAGAAAGAGATAGACAAGTAGTTAAGAAAAAAAAAGCCGTCTATACAAATTCTAAGTTAATTTGGACAAAACAAGGTCTTATTAATAGCAAAGGATAATTAAAATCCCAAACTTACAAGGTTTTCAACAAAAGTAAAGTTTGCTAAAAGTTAACAGCGTAACATGTATTATAGTAACTTCTATTCTTGTGGCCTTAGACAGTCTAGTCCACAGACATAAAAAAAAAGGTTCACTTTGGAAGAGAATGGTTATCATCTTCAAAAAAAAGAGTTATAAAAAAAGTGTGTTAAAAAAGAATTTATGCAAGAAATGTTGTATAATTTAAAAGTAATTAGTCCTCCTAAATGTAAAACTATTGAAGAGACAGTTTATGTGCAAGGTGTATAAGGAAAGTAAAGTATATCTTTGGTAAAAGGATTATAAGGAGGCATAAGAATGTGGATTTTTACCTACATTAAAAGGTTAAAAATATGTATATTTTGTTTTAAAGGTTTAAGCAAGTTTTGAAACGTTAATTGGGTGTAAATTCTGTGGGTAAATATATTAGCTAAAATTAAAGGGGTATCATCCAGTTTCTCTGTATACTGGATATTAAAATAAAAGCATAACAGGTTTTTCTTAAAGCACCAACCTGCTCTTTAGCAAAAATTTTAAAAGGTTAAAAAGAGTCTATAAAATCTTACCTTATGGTCAAACATTAAAAATTAGATAAATATGTCTACAAGTTTTTATTAAAATTAAGTTTAACATTAATAACACACTAATATAAAGATAAAATTTAGCTTATCTGGTATAAAAATAATAAAAGAAGCATTATTAAATATAAAATGGTGTTTAGCTTCCTTTGGTCTAAAAACCAATAAAAATAGGTGCTAAAGGAAATTTCTCAGTAAAAAGGCACTAAGGACTATAAAGTCCACTGCCAAGGTCCCCACATTTAAAACAAAAGGTCAATTTCTTAGAAATTATATACTTGATTTATCTTCCACTTCCCTTTCCCTCAAAACTAAAAGTCTTTTAGCACATGTACCACCCCTAGAATTTCCGGTCAACCAGCACCAGGCTGAAGATCATGTTCTCATTGAAAGGTGGAAAGAAGAAAACCTCGAGCCAGCCTGTGAAGGACCCTTCCTTGTGCTGCTAACCACCAAGACTGCTGTTTGTACACCAAAAAGGATGGACTCATCACACCCGAGTCAAGAAAGCGCCACCCTCTCCAGAGTCATGGGCCATAATCCCAGAAGAAAACCCTACCAAACTAAAGCTAAGAAAAATTTAACTGTTTTTCATCTATTCTATTACTCTTTCTTCTTTCCGCACTCTATTGATGACCATCTAGTTATTAACATAACCAAGTCAATTTCACCTCAAACTATTGCATTTAATACTTGCCTTGTTATACCCTGTGGGGACTTGCCAAGTCAAAGACAGCTCTCTACTTCTGAAAAGTACTTCTGTCCCTCCTGACTCTCCTCAGACTGGGCATTAGTAAACTAGGACCATTTAATTTGGGGAGATTTCGATAAAGACCCCAGTGACAACCAAGAGTCTTGCCCCCACAATGTAGAGCTTTCATGCCATAGTTGGTCCAACGTTCTGTGGACCACTAAAGAGCAAGGATGACTGCCCCAACCGGTTTTTGTAATTTCCTAAAACCATACAATCATTTTACTAGAGGATCATAGAAGTTAAAGACTTAAAACAAACTTTAGCAATTAAGACAGGATACCAAGATGTAAATGCCTGGTTAAAATGGATCAAATATTCCATCTGCATGTTAAACAAAAGCAATTGTTATGCTTGTGCACATGGCAGGCCAGAGGCCCAGATTGTCCCTCTTTCACTAAGGTGGTCCTCCAGTCAACCAGGCCCAGGCTGCATGGTAGCTGTTTTCCAGGATTCTACAGCCTGGAGTAATAAGTCATGCCAAGCTCTCTCTGCTATATTCCGAAGTCTGGTACCCTGTGGGTTAGCCCCCAGGAGATATCCAGCTTCCGTCTCCCAACACTAAGGTCACTTCCTGTCTCTCACGACAGGGAGGAAACTTAGCATTCCTTAGAGACCTGAAGGGATGCGATGAGCTTAAGAATTTTCAAGAGATTATCAATCAATCAGCCCTTGTTCATCCCTGAGCGGATGTGTGGTGGTATTGTGGTGGACCTATACTGGGCACTCTGCCAAATAACTAGAGCGGCACTTGTGCTTTAGTCCATTTGGCTATCCCTTTCAACCTGGCATTTCATCAACTAGAGGGAGAAAAATAAGACATCCTAAATTAAGAGAAGCCCCTTATGGGTCTTTCAACTATCACATCTATTTAGATGCAATTGGAGGCCTGCAAGGAATACCAGATCAATTTAAAGCTTGAAATCAAATATCTAGAGGATTTAAGTCAATATTTTAGTTGGTGACAGTTAATAAAAATTTAGATTAAATAAACTACATCTATTACAACCAACAGCAACGAGCTTTTCATGAGTTAAAAGAAAAACTCAGGTCGGCCCCAGCCCTGGGGCTACCTGACCTGACAAAAGTTTTTACACAGTATGAGTCAAAAAAAAAAAAAAAAAAAAAAAAAAAGGCAGTTGGAGTTTTAACCCAGACTGTGGGGCCCTGGCCAAGGCCAGTGGCCTATCTCTCAAAACAACTAGACAGGGTTTCCAAAGCCTGGCCCCCATGTCTAAAGGCCCTGGCAGCAATGGCCCTGTTAGCACAAGAAGCAGATAAGCTAACTCTTAGGCAAAACCTAAACATAAAATCCCCCCATGCTGTGGTGACTTTAACGAATACCAAAGGACATCATTAGCTAACGAATGCTAGTCTAACTAGATACCAAAGCTTGCTCTGTGAAAATCCCCGCATAACCATTGAAGTTTACAACACCCTAAACCCTGCCACCTTGCTCTTGGTATCAGAGAGCCCAGTTGAACATAACTGTGTAGAGGTATTGGACTCAGTTTATTCTAGTGGGCCCAACCTCCAAGACCATCCTTAAACATCAGTAGACTGGGAGCTGTACGTGGACTGGAGTAGCTTCACCAACCCTTTCAAAGTGACTCTGAAGAAGACGACAAGAGTTGCTCCAGTCACACCCGGAAGCTGACTGGTCCACGCACAGCTGAAGCATGAGAAAACTCATCATGGGACTCATTTTCCTTAAATTTTGGACTTGTACAGTAAAGATTTCAACTGACCTTCCTCAGACTGAGGGCTGTTCCCAGTGTATACATCAAGTCACTAAAGTAGGACAAAAGGTTGCTACGTTCCTATTATTTTACGGTTATTATAAGTGTACTGAAACTCTAAAAAAGAACTTATTTGTATAATGTTATTCTATACAAAGTATGTAGCCCAGGAAATGACCAACCTGATGTGTGTTATGACCCATCTGAGCCTCCCATGACCACAGTTTTTAAAATAAGAGTAAGAACTGAGGACTGGTGGGTGCTCATAAACGATACGAGTAAAATGTTAGCCACAAAAAAAAAAGAGGTGCCTGAACGAGTCACCTTGAAATTCGACGCCTGTGCTGTCATTAATAGTAATAAGTTAAAAATAGGATGTGGTTCTCTTAATTAAGAAAGAGGCTATATGACAGAAAATAAGTATGTTTATCATAAATTAAGACTGTGTAAAAATAAATGTAGATACTGGTCTTGTGTCATTTAGGCTACTTGGATAAAAAATGAAAAAATGCAGTCCACCTTCACCAAGGGAAAAGTGGCCATTCCTGTACCAGTGGTCCGTATAACCCCTTAGAACTAGTAATAACAAACCCCTTTAATCCTCGCTAGAAAAAAGGGGAATGTGTAACCCTAGAAATTGATGGAGCTGGACTGGATCTTCAAGTAAATATCGTGGTTTGAGGAAAAGTTTATAAACCCTCTCCTGAGCCAGTATTTCAAACCTTCTATGATGAACTGAATGTGCCAGTACCAGAAATTCCAGGAAAAACAAGAAATTTGTTTTTGCAATTAGCCGAGCATATAGCCCAGTCTCTCAATGTCCCTTCATGTTATGTATTAGCACAAGTGTACTGTATGAATCATTATCAATCTATTGCACAGGAAGACATAAGTAGCAAAAATAAGAGTGAGAATTCCCACTAATAAAAAGTGAGAGTCTCAAAGCCGGGAAATGAGAGAAGACAGACCCTCTCATATTGTTTTATGTTGTTTTATACTCAGAAAAAGAAAGAAAAGCAAAACTAAAGGCAGGTAGCCTGGTGCCTAGGAACCAGACCCTAAACCAGGCCTAAGCCTGGTAGTTAAAGATCGACCCTTGACCTAACCAGTTATGTTATCTATGGATTCCAGACATTGTATGGAAAGGCATTGTAAAACTTCCCGGTCGGTTCTGTTTCACTCTGAGCACCGGTGCATGCAGCCCCTGTCACGTACCCCCTGCTTGCTCAATCGACCACGACCTTCTCACATGGACCCGCTTAGAGTTGGGAGCCCTTAAAAGGGACAGGAATTGCTCACTCGGGGAGCTCGGCTCTTGAGACAGGAGTCCTGCCGATGCTCCCGGCTGAATAAACCTCTTCCTTCTTTAGCTCCGTGTCTGCGGAGTTTTGTCTGTGGCTTGTCCTGCTACATCACCAGGGCTGGAGTGCAGTGGCATGATCTCAGCTCGCTGCAACTTCCGCCTCTCGGGTGCAAGCGATTCTCCTGCCTCAGCCTCCCAAGTAGCTGGGATTACAGGTGGCCACCACTAAGCCCAGATAATTTTTTGTATTTTTAGTAGAGATGGGGTTTCACCATGTTGGCCAGGCTGGTCTTGAACTCCTGACCTTGTGATTTGCCCATCTCGGCCTTCCAAAGTGCTGGGATTATATATATTCCTGTAGGAGATAGAAGCTTCAAAAAATAAAAACCTACAGCCAAGCCAATAAAATAGAGCACATATCTCACCACAACTGCAAAGACAACTATGCTGACATTACTACTTTTAGTTGGTGTTGTGCTGGAGGTTAAAATCCATTCAGTAAAGCAAGAAAATATATATTTATATAACCTAATGACTGAAAGGGAAAAATAAGTCATTACTTACAGATTATCTCACTGCCTATGTGGAAAGGGAAAAGAGTCATATTAAGTACTTTGGACTGAACAATGACCCCAAAATTCATTTGTTGAAGCCCCAAACCCCAATGTGAGTGTATGTCAAAATAGGATCTTTAGGGAGTATCATTAAATGAGGTCGAGGGACACAAGGGGCTGTGGGGAGGGAGAGCGAGAGTGAGAGCACGACCCGTTTCTTGGTCTCCATCATGTGAAGACATGAGGAATTAGGCATTTACATGCCAGGAAGAGAGCTCTCACCAGAAGTGGGCCATGCTGGCACTCTGATCTCAGATTTTCAGCCTCCAGAAACATGCGAATATAAATGTTAAAAACAAGTAGTTTAGATAGTTCCTCTTCAAAGGGTTTCATTTTGTTACAAAGTGTTCCTCTGCAAGAGGTCTTTACTTCCTTGTACTGTCTGTCCTGAAGTCTTATTTCCCTGTTGCTTAAATTAACCTTGCCCACCAGTCTATCAGCCCCTCCCATCCTGCTGTGCTCAGGCATGCCCACCAAGAAGTCACCCCCTCCCTGCTGTAACAGCCTTCCCTGCCACAACTGTTCTTCCCTGTACTCTTCAAATTAGCTAACTGCATTCAGTTTAGACTGTGTGGTTCAACCCCAACCAATAGGGGAATGACACATCAACTAAGGCCAAGTGCATTAGGGATTAAAAACCCCTGCTGTCTTTTGTCTGATGAGCTCTTGCCATTGCTCCATCCACGAGACACATGCTTCTGTAGAAGTAAATTTGACTTTCTGAGAAAATTTATGTTCGACTGCTATTTCTTTTGCAGCACAAATAGTATGTTTCTAACAATTTGGTGGCCTGTACAAGGACCCCATTCTCCTCCCAGAGGGTTTTCCATCCTCTCCTGTGAGGACACATGCCCCACTGCCTCATTGCAGTAGCCTCAGGGGTAAGGAATGGAGACCCCCCTAGTGTGATGAATAAACCCGGACTCTCAGCAACATGGGAAGAAAAGACCTACAAATACCGTGGTGACCAGATAACTCTGTCCACAGACCAAGGTAAGAAATGCTGCAGGAGCTGGCAAAGTATTTCCTAGGTGGTCATGACCAAGCTAAGAAAAGCCACAGGGGCAGTGAAATATTCCTTGGTGAGGACACACCAAGGCATGAAAAACTGCGGGGGTGGTGAAGTATTCCTTGGAAGGGGTATCTTGGAAGTTAATAGTGTATGAATAAGATGCACAATTGCATGTGAAATGAGTGTTAAGTCTAGATCTGCAGTTCTGTGGTCACCTCATATGGCTTAGGGTGACCCACCTGTAAAGGAGTCCAGGATGGGGGTTTATACCAACCCACCAATGCCAAGAGGGACCTAACATGGCTAGAGAAGGATGAAGTGAAAGAAGAGGCAAAAAATTCCCAGTAGGGGGGATTGAGCCTCACAGGAACCTCCAGTAGCAAGGAAGGCAAAAAATTTCCATTAGGGGAAATTGAGCCTCACCCCATATTGCAAGAAATTTCCAGTAGGGGAAATTGAGACTTACCCCAAAAGGCAAGAAATCTCCAGTAGGGGAGATTGAGCCTCACCCTAAAACCATCAAGATGGGAAATACCCCAAACAAGGTAAGAAAAAGGATAAAGCTAGCAACAATAATATTCCCCTGATAGTCCCCTAGGCCTAATGTTAAAATATTAGAAGAATAATGAAAAGACCTTAGAGAAATGATAATTAAAAGAATTAGAGAATCTGTACCCTGTATCCAAAACATTACAAAAGCTTTCAATACACAACAAGAAAAAAATAAATGACCTATAAAATTCTGAAAAAAACTCAAAGAGCAAATGGAGAAATATGCAAATCTAGAATAGAAGACCCCCTCAGATGAGGGATGTTAAAGCTTCATTTTGTTACTAATCGTTGGCCAGATATTAACAAAATATTACAAAAAATAGAGAACCAGAAATACAGACCTATAGAAGAGTTTCTTTAAAAAGCCCAAAAAAACACCAGTGCAGTGGCTCATGCCTGAAATCTCAGCACTTTGGGAGGCCAAGGCAGGCAGATCACCCGAGGTCAGGAGTTCAAGACCAGCCTAACCAAAATGGAGAAACCCCATCTCTACTAAAGTTACAAAATTACCCAGGCATGGTGGCACTTGCTTGTAATCCCAACTACTTGGGAGGCTGAGGCAGGAGAATCACTTGAACCCAGGAGGCAGAAGTTGCAGGAGCTGAGATCACACCACTGCACTCCAGCCCAGGCAACGAGTGAAACTCTGTCTCAAAAAAAAAAAAATCCCAAACAGTATATGTAAGAAGAGAAAAAGAAAAACAAAAGCAAAAGGCAAAAATCTTGCTGTCCACCATACAACAAAGTACCAAGGGAGCCAGACATATAAAGAACCTAGACCACCACTGTCCAGGTGATATAAAATGTATGAAAGAGTAAAGCCAGGAGACTCAAAGGAAGAAAAAAAAAAGACAGAAAAATTGTTTCAAATGTGAAAAAATAGGTCACTTTAAAAGACAATGTCCCAAGTGAGAAAGAGGAAGAGACTGAGTGTGAGGGAGAGAATGCTGAGACCAGATCGGTCAGGGAGACCCTAACCCAGTAGCGCTAGAAGAATTGAAGACACACACACAGAAATATAGAGGTGTGAAGTGGGAAATCAGGGGTCTCACAGCCTTCAGAGCTGAGAGCCCCAAACAGAGATTTACCCACGTATTTATTAACAGCAAACCAGTCATTAGCATTGTTTCTATAGATGTTAAATTAACTAAAAGTATCCCTTATGGGAAATGAAGGGATGGGCCAAATTAAAGGAATAGGTTGGGCTAGTTAACTGCAGCAGAAGCATGTCCTTAAGGCACAGATCACTCATGATATTGTTTGTGGCTTAAGAATGCCTTTAAGCAGTTTTCCACCCTGGGCGGGTCAGGTATTCCTTGCCCTCATTCCGGTAAACCCCCAACCTTCCAGAGCGGGCATTGGGGCCATTATGAACATGTTACTGTGCTGCAGAGATTTTGTTTATAGCCAGTTTTGGAGCCAGTTTATGGCCAGATTTTGGGAGGCCTGCTCCCAACATGTCCCCCTTCTTTGATTTGCAGATTGATAAAAGCAAAGGAGCTTTGTCATGGTGAGCTACTTCTCATAGGAGTCAGGATCTGCATCTGAAGACTATACAAAGATAAATAACATGGATTAAAAGCACAATCATCATTGAAATTACAGAGCTTCCAAGTGTTTTTATCCATTTTAATGGGTTACTAGCTGCTAATTTGTCTGCAGCTCCTTTAAGCACCCCAGTTCCTGGCATTAAGGTCAGGTGTGCCTGGGATGTTTTAAAATCTGTTCTTTTAATTTTGCAATATCCAAAAACAAGTCTGTAGAGTGTCCTTTTAGATACTTTTTTATTCTTTCCAAAATTGTGATCTTATTAAGAGCTATTAATAGTTTCCACAAATCCTTAATGTTTAGCTCCTACAATGAGCCATATCATTTGAGGTTGAAGTGCCACTATACTGCTATGGTTCCAGATAATAGGAACTCTTGTTGTACTTCTTATCATTTCTACCATCTGACCATTTTGTTCAGACCAGCTGAACATAGTGTGGCTGGGGCATGCAGACTGAGAGGTGCAATTCAAGCTAAACATCCCCTTAGGGGACCAATCAATAAAGATTCCATAGGAATCATTGTGTAGCACCTCTACCTGTTCTGCAATGCAATTTTCCTAAACAAGCACATTCATTTTTTCTAACTGGGTCCAATCCTGTTTACAAATAGGTTTTTGAGGGTGGTATGCCTCAATTATAGGAGCAGATTTATTATGGTAAATACTGAGATCAGAAAGCATGTGTAACTGGGTCATAGAGTGATTGCATCCAGGCATTATTGCCAGCCAAGATTGATCAATATGCCCAATAAGTATAATTGTTCTCTGTGTCAGCTCTTATTGAAGGAATACTCACAGCAGTGGTGATAACCACTATGATAGCTACCATTAAATTATTCATTGTGACTGGTTGTCCCACTTTCCTCAGTTTTTCTTCCACCATCTGTGACAGCTTCTTGATCTGTCCCCAGGTGGGTGGCTGTGTTCAACGGGTGTTACTCGTGACAGTTGGGGTCCTCCTCAGCATCAGTCTTGACATGGCTGCAACTGGGGGGTCCTTGGGATCCTCCCGGAGTCTCTTCCTCGGCATCTGGCTCATGATAAGGTTTCAGGTGTCTTGATGGTATCCAAATTGGCTGTTGATTTTGGCCTGGAGAAACACAAGCATAACCTCTACCCTAAGTTATTATTTTACCTATTTCCCATCTTTTTATTATTGGATCTCTCCACCAAATCAGTTGTTCTGTTTCTGTCTTTGCAGCTGGTTTCTGTAGATGCTGTTCAGCTGCTGATAACATCTGGCCTTTGGGCAGGTTCAAAAAATTTAATGTTAATAATGTTAGATTCAGTTGTATCTGTGTGGTTCCATATTCTCCGTCTCCCCTTTTCTGCTTTTGCAACTGCTGTTTTAGGGAGAGATTCATTCTTTCCACTATGGCTTGTCTTTGAGAATTGTATGGGATACCAGTAATGTGTTTAATACTCCACATAGAGAAAAATGTAGCTAGAGATTGGCTAGTATATCCTGGGGCATTATCTGTTTTAATAGAAGCTGGAATGCCCATCACCACAAAACACTGCAAAAGATGATGTTTCAGACAGGCCAAACACTCTCCTGATTAGCATGTAGCCCATATAAAGTGAGAAAAGGTGTCCACACATACACATATATAAGCTAGTCTCCCAAACGAAGGAACATGTGTGACATCCATTTGCCAAAAAGAGTTAGGTTCCAATCCTCAAGGAATAACTCCTCCTGTAAAAGATGAGGAATGTACCATTTGGCAAGTTGGGCATCACTGGATAATATTTTTAGCTTCTTTCCTGGTAATTCTGTATCTGCGTTTGAGACCAGAGGCATTAACATGGGTTAAATTGTGAAAATGTCTAACATTAGATACTGCATTAGCATCTAGGCAATCAGGCTTTTGATTCCCTTCAGTCAAAGGTCCTGGAAGAGGTGTATGAGCCCTAATGTGACTGATGTAAAAAGGGTGCATTCTACTTCTAACTGCTGTTTGCAACTGGGTAAATAAAGTCATCAGTTGTTCATCTGTATGAAATAATAACTGAGCATTTTCAATTAACTGTCTGCAATGAACCACTATGAAGAATCAGAAATCACATTAATAGGCATATCAAAAGCAGTCAATACCTCAATTACTGCTAGAAGCTCCGCTTTTTGAGCTGAAGTATAGGGCGTCTGGAAAACTTTACTTTTTGAGACAAAATAAGAAGCTTTACCATTACTAGACCCATCTGTAATAACATTCTCAGCACCTTCAATTGGTTTAAATTTAGTTATTTTGGGGAGAATCCAATTAGTTAATTTCAAAAACTGAAACAGCTTTGTTTTAGGAAAATGATTATCAAGAATACCCACAAAGTCAGCTAAATGGGTTTGACAAGTAAGACTATTTATAAAAGCTTGCTGTATTTGTGCCTTCGTGAGAGGGACAATAACTTTTCCAGGATCATATCCATGTAATTTAACAATCCAAGTTCTCCCAATCCCTATCATAATAGCAATTTGGTCTAAATAAGGAGTTAGAGTCCATGAATTAGTATGTAGAAGAAAAACCCACTCTACTAAGTCCTGTTCTTGGAAAATAACACCAGTAGGTGAATGCTGAGTTGAAAAAATTAGCAAATCTAGAGTCTTCTCTGGATCTATTCTATTTATTTGAGCTTTATGGACTTGTTTCTCAATCAGTTGTAACTGCCTCAGCCTCCTTTGTTAAATGCCAAGGGCTAGTGAGACTAGGATTTCCTCTAAGGATAGAAAACAGATTACTCACGGCATAGGTAGGAATGCCTAGAGCAGGTCGTATCCAATTAATTTCCCCTAGTAATTTTCAAAAGTCATTTAATGTTTTTAATTGATCCCTACATATGGTTACTTTCTGTGGCACAATGATAGTGTCATTTACTAAGGTCCCCAAGTAGGAGTAAGGAGTAGTAGTAGTCTGAATTTTCTCGGTTGCTATAATTAAACCAGTGCAAGAAATCGAATTTTGCAAGTGATCATAACATTGGAGTAATATTTCTCAAATGGGGACAGCACAAACTATATCATCCATATAATGAATAATGTAACACCAAAAATTTTTTACAAGTAGGTTCAATTGCTTGCACCACGTACATCTGGCAAATTGTTGGACTGTTTAACATGCCCTGTGGCAACACTTTCCAATGATAATGCTTAGCAGGCTACAGGTTGTTTACTGCTGGAATTGTAAATGCAAACCGTTCACAGTCTTGCTCAGCTAAAGGGACAGTAAAGAAACATTCTTTTATATCTATGACTATTAAAGTCCAATTTTTTGGAATTATAGCAGAAGAAGGCAATCCTGGCTGTAATGCTCCCACAGGTTGTATAACTGAATTGATAGTTCTTAAGTCAGTTAACATTCTCCATTTACCTAATTTTTTCTTAATTAAGAAAACTGAAGCATTCCAAGGGGAAAATGTTGGAGCTATGTGCCCATTTTCTAATTGTTCAGTAACTAATTTCTCTAAAGCCTCCAGTTTCTCTTTACTTAGCGGCCATTGTTCTATCCGAATTGGCTTATCTGTTAACCATTTTAAAGGTATAGGTTCTGGAGGCTTAACAATGGCCGCCATCAAAAATGACATCCCAATCTTTGGCAGGAACTTTGTCTTTCCACTTGAAGTGGTTTTTTCAAACCTTGCAAATTTTTTTCTAGTCCCATACCAGGGACATACCCCATTTCATGCATCATATGTTGATTTTGAGGGCTATATAATTGTTCTGGAATTAGAACTTGTGCTCCCCATTGTTGTAATAAATCTCTTCCCCATAAATTTATAGGTACATAAGTTATAATTGGTTGAATAGTCCCAGGTTGTCCATCGGGCCCTTCACAATGCAAAATATAACTACTTTGATATACTTCAGGGGCATTACCAACTCCAACTATGTTAAATTGAGCAGGTTGAATTGGCCACGTGGATGGCCAGTGCTGGAGAGAAATGATTGAAATGTCATCTCCTGTGTCTACCAAACCTTTAAATTTCTTTCCCTGAATAGTTATTTCACAGGCAGGACATTTATCAGTAATTTGATTTACCCAATAAGCTGCTTTGCCTTGTTTATTTGTGCTTCCAAATCCTCCTGTTCACTTAATTTCACTTTTCCCCATTCCCACATGTGGCACAATCAGGGGCTGTGGTATGCACTCTCCTGGCTCTGCTTTCCAGGGAACAGAAGTAGATATAACAATTTGAATTTCCCAAATGTAATCTGAATCAATGACTCCTGTATGTATTTGTATGCCTTTTAAACTTTAACTAGGCCTTCCTAAAAGTAATCCTATTGTCCCTTCTCGCAAGGGTCCACAGACTCCTGTTGGGACCTTTTGCAAGGCTTCCCCAGGCAGAAGGCTTACAGCTTTTGTGCAGCATAAATCTACTGCAGCACTACCAGCTGTGGCAGGGGACAGATATTGTACAGGGGTGAGGGAACGGCCTGAGTTGGAAATGCCCCACTTTAGAATGGGGCCCAGGACAGGCCCCTCATGGTGTTTCCTGAAATTGGGTTCCCATCTTTATCAAACTTAGGGTGACACTGATTAGCCCAATGTTTTCCTTTTTTATATTTTGGACATATTTCAGGATCAGCAGTTTTCTTTCTTCCCCTATCTGGCAGGCTGACTCGCTGATTTTTTCTACATTCTTTTTTAGTATGACCATGCTTCCCACAGTTAAAACAAGCTCCAGGAAATGGAATATTTCCTTTATCCACTCTCAGTCCTGCCATTGCCTGTGCCAACAAAGTAGCTTTATGCAGATTACCTCCGATACCATCACAGGACTTGATATAATCAACTAAATGTGCTTTCCTGAATTTAAAAGGAAAAGGCTCAAATGTAGCTATAATATTTCCCTGTTGATCTAGGGGGTGTATTCTAACAGGGAACTGCCAAGCCTCTAAATCACCCCTCGTCTAGCTTGCTGAATTCCTGCCTGAGCTCAAACAGTCACTGGGGCAACTACTTTTCACCCAGTGTCCTCCGGAAAAGAAAGATCTGGAGGGTCTTTTTCTTCAAAATAATAATGACGGGGTGCAGAAGGGTAGAGATGAACCTCTCCCTCCTTTGCTGCTTTAGCTTTAGCTGGCAAATAAACCTGCTCTGTAACCTCTTCTGTTACTTTGTTATACTCTAGTTCCTCATCATCATCAGCGTGAAAAAGCTCCAAGGTGAAACGAACCAGACCCCACACCTGTCCCATTGTTACCCTGATGCTTCCAAGCTCCCCTTCTTACTCACCATGGGGATTGCTTTAAGAGTGCTCGGGTGTCCTCCAGCTAGTTTTCCATTCCAACCATCGCTCTGGTGACACTTCAACCTGGATTCAAACCCCCACGATGGACACCACTTGCCGAAACCAGCCCAGTCAGGGAGACCCTAACCCAGTGGTGCTAGAGGAATTAAAGACACACACACAGAAATATAGAGGTGTGAAGTGGGAAATCAGGGGTCTCACAGCCTTCAGAGCTGAGAGCCCCAAACAGAGATTTACCCACGTATTTATTAACAGCAAACCAGTCATTAGCATTATCTCTATACATGTTAAATTAACTAAAAGTATCCCTTATGGGAAATGAAGAGATGGGCTGAATTAAAGGAATAGGTTGGGCTAGTTAACTGCAGCAGAAGCATGTCCTTAAGGCACAGATCGCTCATGCTATTGTTTGTGGCTTAAGAATGCCTTTAAGCCATTTTCCGCCCTGAGCAGGCCAGGTGTTCCTTGTCCTCATTCCGGTAAACCCACAACCTTCCAGCGTGGGCATTAGGGCCATTATGAACATGTTACAGTGCTGCAGAGGTTTTGTTTATGGCCAGTTTTAGGGCCAGTTTATGGCCACATTTTGAGGGGCCTGCTCCCAACAGAGAAGAAACAGGGGATGACAGAGAGAGAGAAAAAAAGAGAGATTGCAAATGAGATAGAGACTTAAAAAAAAACCCTATGAGTCTAAAAATAAAAAATGTAGAGAGAAACAAAAAAATTAGAGACAGAGATAGAAGGAGAGAATGAGTGAGAAAGAGACTAAACGAGACAGAGATCAGAGAGGGACACAGAAAGTGAGACTAAGGAGAGAAATAGTGTAGAAGAGAGAGGAGGCCAGGAGCAGTGGCTCACACCTGTAATCCCAGCACTTTGGGAGGCTGAGGCAGGTGGATCACGAGGTCAAGAGATCGAGACTATCCTGGCCAACATGGTGAAACCCTGTCTCTACTAAAAATACAAAAAATTATCTGGGCATGGTGGCAAGCGCCTATAATCCCAGCTACCTGGGAGGCAGAGGCAGGAGAATCGCTTGAACCCAGGAGGCAGAGGTTGCAGCAAGCTGAGATCACACCATTACACTCCAGCCTGGGCAGAAAGAGCGAAATTCCATCTCAAAAAAAAAAAATTGCAAAAATAAAAAAAGAGGAAAAGACAGGAGACAAAGAGACAAAAAGTGAGTGAGCAGGTGAGGAGAGAGATTGAGAACTATGAGAGACAGCAACTAGTAGAAAAAGGAGGCAGGAGACTGCTTGGGTGCCACAGCACCCACACCATCCTCTTGCCCCTGTCATTTGGACCCAATAGCTGACCCTTGATAGAGGAGAGCAGACCTCGCAGCAGCCTGAGCCTGGGCAGCCGTGCCTCCACCATCTCCCCACTCAGCAGCCTAAGTCCCAAGCTATATGTGATGCAACTCTCAGAGTCTATGGATGTGTAAAAATGTATACTCTGGCAAACAACTTACAGATAGTTACCTAATATATACATACATACATACATACATACATACATATATGTGTGTGTGTGTGTGTGTGTGTGTGTGTGTATATATATACACTAATAAGCAAACTCTAAGAAAGTCACCCCTTGGAGGAAGGGAGCCAGGATTAAGGCCGTTCTAAAGTGTCCAAACTGATTACACCAAAATGGCCCCAAATTGGTTGCCTAAAGTACCTACTAGTAATGTAAATCACCTTACTCACTAGGTAGAGGCTATTCTCTTTTCAAGTGCAACAGCCAGTAATGTAGTTAAAGCATTAATTGAAAACATTATACCCAAGTTTAGATTAATAGAAAATATTGATTCAGAAAATAAGACTTATTTCACTGCACATGCCGTTAAAAAATTAGCCCAAGTACTAATCATAACATAAAAATACCATACCCCCGGCACCCACCTTCATCAGGAAGAATATAAAAAAAACAAACTCTAAGAATTCATCTAACCGAATTAGTTTTAGAGATTCGGTTACCATAGACTAAATGCCTCCCCATTGCCTTGTTAAGAGTCAGGAATGCCCCTCGGAAAGATGGTGGCTTATCCCCTTATGAAATGGTATATGGGTTGCCTTATTTACACTCCACTGCTGACATTCCTACATTCGAAACAAACAAACAAAAAATCAGTTTTGCAAAAACTATATACTTAGTCTACCTTCCACTCTCTCTTCCCTCAGAACTAAAGGCCTTTTAGCACAGGCACCACCCCTGGATTTCCCAGCACACCTGCATCAACCTGGAGATCACGTTTTCATTAAGAGCTAGAGGGAAGCAAAACTCGAACCGGCTTTGGGAAGGACCCTTCCTAGTGCTTCTAACCACCAAGACCACAGTTGAAACAGCAAAGAGGATGGACCCATCACACCCGGGTCAAAAAAGCACCACCCCCTCCAGAATCATGGACAGTTATTCCAGGGCCAACTCCAAACAAGCTAAAGCTAAAACGGGTTTAATCCTCTTATGTTGCAACTCTTTCTTTTCCCCTTCTATTACTAGTCCTCTCATGATTAATGTAACTAAGTCAAGTTCACCCCAAACTATTACTTTTAATGCTTGCCTTTTGATGCTCTGTGGAGATTTACCAAGCCAGAGGTAACACTCCACTTCAGAAAAGTATCTTTGTCCTTCCTAGCTCTCCTCAGACTAAAAATCTGTTAACTAGGATAAGTTAGTTTAAAAATAGCTTGACAAAGATTCCAGTATAAACTGGAATCTTGTCCTCCTAGGGCAGAGCTTCTCTGCCAAAGTTGGTCCAATGCTCTATAAAATACTAAAGAACAAGGATAGATTGCTCTAACTAGTACTTGCAGTTTCTTAAAACCTTATATTTATTTTACTAAAGCACTTACCCCTCCCAATTGTCAGCTGAACCATCATAATCCAGTACAGATTACCATCTCTGCTCCCCAGAGTTCTTCCCCTTCATTAAGCTACGTCTATAGTATAAGAGCAGAAGTATCAGGGAAGGACGCTTTAGGATCCTTTAAAATGCACTTCATTGTTTCCCCACCTCCTGCACCCCCTTCTCCCTCTCCAAAGTTCTCTGCTAATCAAATCTTTTCTCATTATATACCCAATGATAAAACCAAAGTACCTGTTACAGAGGTTAAAAATTTAAAACAAACTATAGCAATTAAACAGGATATCAAGACACAAATGCTTGGCTGGAATGGATTAAATATTCTGTTCACATGCTAAACAAAAGCGACTGTTACTCTTGTGTGACAGGCAAGCCAGAGACCCAAATTGTCCCCTTTCCACTTGGGTGGTCCTCTCATGGACTGGGCATAAGCTGTATGGCAGCTGGGCATAAACAGTATGGTAGCTGTATGCTAGCCCCCTTCCAAAACCCCACAGCCTGGGGCGATGAGTCATGCGAAACTCTTTCACTGCTGTTCCCTGAGGTCAAGAGCCCTAAGGGTCAGCCCCTGAGGGCCATCTGGCCTCCAGTCCCTAATATTAACTTCACCTCGTGCCTTTCACTGCAGGGGGAAAAGTTAGCATTCCTTGGAGACTTAACAGGGTGCAGTGAAACCAAGCCTTTTCAAGAGCTTACCAATCAGTCTGCCTTGTTCATCCCCAAGCAGATGTGTAGTGGTATTGCGAGGGACTATTGCTGGGTACTCTGCCAAGCCATTAGGGTGGCACTTATGCTCTAGGCCTTTTCCAGGTGAAAAGGCCATCCTTTTCCCCCTCTCATTTCATCAACCAAGAAAGATAATGGCAAAAGACCACAAAAACAAAAAATGCCCTTCGTGTGTCCTTTAATCCTCATGTTTATATAAATACTATTGAAGTTCCACAAAGAGTACCAAATAAATTTAAGGCCCATAACCAAATAGCTGCAGGATTTGAGTCTATATTGTTCTGATAGTTGACTATAAATAAAAATGTAAGTTAAATGAATTACATCTATTACAACCAGCAACAATTTAATTATACCAAAGATGCTATTAAAAAAATAGGTCAACAATTAAGGCTCATCAGTCAAATGACTTAAGAAAATAAAATAGCATTAAATATAATACTAGCAAAAAAAAAGAGGTAGAATTTGTGTCATAATTAAAACTAAATGTTGTACTTTTATCCCTAATAGCACTGCCACCAATGAATCATAACAAAAGTACTACAAGGCATTACTACTTTGTCCAATAAGCTAGCTAAAATTTCTAAAATAAATAATCCCTTCACTAATTTATTGAAAAATGGTTTAGCAAGTTAAAAGGACTTACGTCCTAAATCCTCACTTCCCTTGCTATTATACTAAATGTGATCATTCTTGTTAAGTGTTGTATTATCCCTTGCATCCATAAGCTAATTTAGAGGCTTATAAAAACAGCTCTCATTAAAACCTTCCCCAATTCTCCCCTACCCTATTCAGACAAACTTTTCCTTCTAGATAATAATTTTTTAAAAATTCGACAAATTCAAGCCACGTTAAATAAATTTAAAGAAGGAAGTGTATAAATTCAAGAGGGGTCAAATTGTTAAAAACAAGTAGTTCAAACAGTTCCTCTTCAAAGAGTTTCACTTTGTTACAAACAAGGTATTCTTCTCCATGAGGTCTTCACTTCCTTGTACTGTCTCTCCTGAAGTCTTATTCCCTGGTCTAAATAATTCTTGCCTGCCAATCTATCAACCCCTCCTGCCCTGCTGTGCTCAGACATGCCCGCCAGGAAACCACCCCCTCCCTGCTGTAACAGCTTTACCCGCAGAAACTGTTCTTCCCTGCGCTCTTCTAATTAGCTAATTACATTTAGCTTAGACTGTGCGGCCGACCCCAACCAATAGGGGAATGAAACAGCAACTAAGGCCAACAGGGTTAGGGATTAAAAACCCTCTCCATTAAAAATGCTCTCCATTGTGTGATGTGCTCTCGCCATTGCTCCACCCACAAGATACACTCTTCTATACAAGTAAATTTGCCTAGCTGAGAAAACTTATATTCAAATGCTATTTCTTTTGTGGCACTAAAAATTTGTTCCAACAATAGATTTCTGTGGTTTTAACCTCACTTATTTAAAATTAAATGGATTTGTAAGCCATTTGGTCTGTGGTATTTTGTTATGGTGGCCTGAGCTAAGGCAGATTTTGTACTGAGAAGTAGAGGTACTGCAATTAAAAACAAACAAACAAACAAAAAACTAAAAACGTGAAGCAGCTTTGAAACTGACAAATGAGTAGAAGCTCGAAAAGTTCTGATGTGCAAGCTGGAAATAAGGTTGATAAGGGTAATTCTGGTGAGGTGTCACTGGGGAATGAGGAACATGCTATTGGAAAATAAAGAAAAGACAACCCTTGATATAAAGTGGTGAAGAACTTGGCAGAACTGTATTCTAGCATTTTGTGGAAGGTAGAGCTTCAGAGAGATAAAATTGAGTATTTATCACTAAGATCTGTAATTAAAGTGTTAAAGGACACAGGAAGCTTCATTCTTCCTGACTGCTTACAGGAAAATGCAAAAGAGGAGACTTGAATTGCAGAATAAATTGTTAAGGAACAAGAAACCAGAACTTGGAGATTTGGAAAATTCTCAGCCTATTCATACTACAAAAATTAGAAAACTTGTACTGAAGAGAATCCTCAAAGTGTGGCTGAAAAATCATCTCATAAAGAGATCATGAGTGGGATTCATGGACTATATCAGCCATCTTAAGAGAAATGAGGAGAGAGACTGGATTACACTAGAAGAGACACTGCCACTTACATTGTGCCATGTAAAATGGACAGAGAAGGCAGAACAGAACAGGCAAGGCTGTCACACTTCTTAGATTTTACAAGAAGCGGTCACAGAAATAATCAGCTTTGAAAGTGCACTGGCAGTAAAAGATGGTTTCATTCCTGCCATGATCTGCAGGATCCCTGGGAACAGAGAAGACTCTTGGAGGAGCATCTTTTAACAACCCAACTCTGGGGCCTACATTATCTTGGCTTCTGGTAAATTTTGACATGAATGTGCCACTGGCAGCCACTAACCAACAGGGGCTGGGGTCAATCTGCATGATTTATCTCACACAGAACTTGTTAATGCTATGATCTTAGGAATCTAATCAGCAAGGTGAGGCAGCCTGCAGTACTGACCTCACCATCCATGACCCTTCTTCACAGATACCAAGACTCAGGCAACCATGAAGTTGTATTCAGAAGCTGTAGGTTTAATTTCAGACTCTTGGGATGGCATCTAAGGCCAGTCCATCAGCCATTACAACCCTCACAAGGCATTTAGGACAAATCTGATAATCTTCTGGTGTCACTGCCAATAATTAAAGATGGCAACCGATGAGCTAAATGGTAACACTCATACCCTTATATTCATAGGGTTTCTCCCCAGTGTGAATTCTTTTTTTTGAAATGAAGTCTCACTCTGTTGTCCAGGCTGGAGTGCAGTGGCTCAATCGATCTCGGCTCACTGCAACCTCTGCCTCCAAGGTTCAAGGGATTCTCCTGCCTCAGCGTCCTGAGTAGCTGGGACTACAGGTGCATGCCACCATGCCTGGCAAATTTTTTGTACTTTTAGTAGAGATGGGGTTTCACCGTGTTAGCCAGGATGGTCTCAGATCTCCTGACCTCATGATCCACCCACCTTGGCCTCCCAAAGTGCTGGGATTACAGGCATGAGCCACTGTGCCCAGCCATGATTTTATGTCTACCTAGGTGTGAGGAAACAATAAATGCTTTCCCATATTCTTTACATATGAAGGGTTTCTCTCCAGTATGAGTTTGCAGGTGAATATTAAGGGATGAGGAAAATATAAATGCTTTCCCACATATCTTGCATACAAAGGGCTTTTCTCCACTATGAGTTTTCAAATGTTAAGTACGATGGGAAGAAGTAATGAAGGTTTTTCCACATTCAACACATTCATAAGGCTTCTCTCCCATCTGAATTATTGTATGTTGAGTAAGGCCTGAGGATCTAGTGAAGGCTTTTCCACATTTGTTACACTGATAGGGTTTCTCTCCACTGTGACTTCGTAAGTGTATAGCAAGGCCCGTGTACTGAGTGAAGGCTTTCCCACATTCCTTACATTCATAGGGTTTTACCCCAGTGTGAGTTCTTACATGTTCAGTAAGTTGAATTGATCTAGTGAAGGCTTTCCCACAGTCTGTATATTTGTGTGGTTTTTACTCCAGTTGGAGTTTGAATGTGATCATTAAGATATGAGGAATTTCTAACGGAAATTCCACATTCTTTACAATCAAAGGACTTCTCCTCTTTATGAGTTTTCACATGTGCAGAAAGTTGAGAAAAATTAGTGAAGGATTTCCCATATTTCTTAGTCTTTTTGAATTTCTTTCCAGTATGAGCTGTTACACACTGCTTTAGGTGTGAGGAGGGTGTGATGGTTCTCCCACATTCCTGAAATTCAGAGTTTCTCACCAGCGTGAATTCCCATGTGATTATCAAGGCTTGCAAAACACTTAAAGCCTTTTCCACATTCCTTACATTTGTACGGTTGTCTTGCATTGAGAACTTCAAGATGTTCAGCAAGGCCTGGAGTTAGGGTGAAGACTTTTCCACATGGATTAAATTTAGAAAGTTCCTGTCCAATAGAGGCTTCTTTGTGCACACTAAGGGTGTCTTTTCCATAACAATTACCCTCAAAAGTGTTCCCTCCATTCTGAGCTCTCATGTGTGTCTTAAGGAAAAACAGCTCCCTGAAGACCTCTTCACAATTCTTACAGAGTTTCCATCCACTGTAGCTTCTTGTCTGCTGATGAGGGGATAAAGGATTTAAAACATTTTCCAACATATTAAGAGATTTCACCCATTTGAACACAGAAACATTATTTTGATGACAATTATTATTTTACTTTTCAATGATTAAATTTTTTTTGAGACAAAGTCTTGTTCCATCTTCCAGGCTGGAATGCAGTGGCACAATCTGGGCTAACTGAAACCTCCACCTCCCAGGCTCAAGTGATCCTCATGCCTCAGTCTCCCAAGTAGCTGGGAATACAGGTGCTGCTAATGCACCCGGCTAATCTGTACCAAGTCAGCCACAAACGCCAGGCCATGTTCTGAGCTGATTCATAAGGGCAGTCCAAACCCAGGAATAAGATCTCAGAGAAGCACACAGGTTACCTCGTAGACCTTTTCAGTTGATGTTGGATAAGCCTCCACCCACCCAGAGTAAGTACACACAAGAACCAGCAAATAATTGTTACCTCCACATTTCGGCATTTCTGTGAAATCCACCTGAAGATCCTCAAAAGGAGCCGTACATAAGCTTGTATGCCGGGTGGAACAGTGAGGCCTTGCCTCGCATTGTGCTGTCGGCAAGTAATGCACCATTGTGCTACTGCTTTGCAAGGGCTGGCAAGTGTGAGATGTAGAAGTACCGGCCTAACAATTTTTCAAGTGACTCTTGACCTAGATGAGTGGTTTCGTGCATGGCCAATACGATTGTGGCTCCCATTAACTGCAGCACAGCTACCCTCCCATCTGGCAGTCTGTTCCATCCTCCTTTTATTACTTGCCCCCCTTCTGCATGGAAGAAGTCTTTTTCTTCCTTAGAATAGGTAGTACCAGGTCAGGTGTTTGAGGGAGTAAGGGGGCTGCTACCGATGCCCGGTAAGGGGTAGATGCTGCTTTTCGAGTTTCTGAATCAGCTCGAGAGTTTCCCAAGGCCACTGAGGTGGAAGCTCACTGGTGTCCCCTGCAGTGCATGACTGCCACCTTCTGAGGTTTCCACACTGCCTCTAATAATTGTAGAATATCTTGTTGATATTTTATGTCCTTTCCCCCAGAGTTTAACAGGCCCTTTTCCTTATATAATGCTCCACACTCCATGCACTTGGAGGGTTAGAAATGCATATCGAGAGTCAGTGTAGATGTTTACAGTCTTACCTTCACTGAGTTCTAGAGCCCGAGTTAAAGAATGAGCTCAGCCTTCTGGGCTGAAACACCCTGTGGCAACGGTTTGGCTTCAATGACAGCATCCAAAGTTACCACCGCATATCCTGCACATCTTTCTCCTTGTGGGTTGATGAAGCTGCTCCCATCCATGTATAAATCCCAGTCTACTGATGCCCATGGCTGGTCTCAAAGGTCAGGTCTGCTAGAATAAACTGAGTCCAACACCTCTACACAGTTACGCTTGACTGGGCTCTCTGATACTGGAAGCAGGGTGGCGGGACTTAGGGTGTTACAGATTTCAGTGGTTATGTGGGGATTTTCACATAGCAAGCTTTGGTACTTGGTTAATCTAGCATTTGTTAGCCAATGATGTCCTTTGGTATTCATCAAGGTTACCACAGTATGGGGGACATTTATATTCAGGTTTTGCCCAAGGGTTAGTTTATCTGCTTCTTGTGCTAACAGGGCTGTTGCTGCCAGGGCCCTTAGACATGGTGGCCAGCCTTTGGAAACCCCATCTAGTTGTTTTGAGAGATAGGCCACTGGCCTTGGCCAGGGCCCCACAGACTGGGTTAAAACCCCAACTGCCATTTTTTCTCTTTCTGACACATAGAGAGTAAAGGGCTTTGTGAAATCTGGTAGTCCTAGGGCTGGAGCCGACGTAAGTTTTTCCTTTAACTTACAAAAGGCTTGCTGTTGTAGAGGCCCCCGTTCAAAAGACACCTGGTCGCCCCCCTTTGTAACCCTGTACAAAGGTTTGGCTAGTACTGCAAAGTTTGGAATTCATAATCTACAAAACCCCACAGCTCCTAGGAATTCCCTTACTTGCCTTCTGGTTTTAGGTTCTGGTAGGTTGCAGATGACCTGCTTTCTTTCTGCCCCAGGGTGTGCTCCCCTTTCCGAATAGTGAATCCCAGGTAGCGTACGTGCTGTCTGCAGGTCTTAGCTTTCTTCTTGGACACCTTATATCCACAGTCTTCCAGGTGCCAAAGCAGGGCATCCGTCCCTTTTGTGCACCCAACTGCTGTGGAGTGTCCCAGCAGAACGTCGTCCATGTACAGGAGCAAGACGCAGCCTAGGTCTTCAGCAGGAAGCTTTTGCAGGTCTCGAGCCAGGGCCTCCCTGAAGATAGTAGGGGAGTTCTTGAACCCTTGGGGAAGCCAGGTCCATGTGTACTGAGTAGTGACACCTGACCCCAGATCTTCCCATTGAAAGGCAAACAGCTTCTGGCTCTCAGGAGCTAGTCTGATGCTAAAGAAGGTGTCTTTTAAGTCCAGACAGGTAAACCAGCTGTCCTCAGCTGGCAGCAGCTCTAACAATGTGTAAGGGTTAGGAACTGTTGGTGCAGAGTCACTGTAGCTTGGTTGACCAAGCGCAAGTCCTGTGCTGGCCGGTAGTCCTTGGTCCCTGGCTTAGGGACAGGCAGCAGGGTGGTGCTCCGTGGAGACTGGCAAGGAACTATAACTCCACAGGCTTTCACGCACATGAGATGAACCTGGATTCCTTCAAGAGCTTCTCTGGGAACCGGATACTGCTTTTATCTAACTGGTTGGGCCCCAGGCTTAACTTCTATGAGTATGGGGGTTTGGTTGACTGCCAGTTCCAGAGGATTATCTTCTGCCTATACTTGAGGCCATTGTTTAGCTAGAGCTGGTTTTATCTCTTGGCCTGGCTCTGTTAGAAAAAGTCTCCATTATTCTTCCTGAGGAACTGTAAGGGCTGTGATAACTCCTGTTCCTGGTAATTTTAGATGTAAAGAGCTCTGTTTTGTAAAGGAGATGGTGGCTCTCAGCTTGCTAAGCAAGTCTCTTCCCAGCAAGGGCAAGGGACAGTCAGGCATGTACAAGAACTGGTGAACTATTTCATGTCCCCCCACCGAGGATGTCTGTGGTAGACAGAAAGCCTGCTTAGTGGAAACTCCTGTTGCTCTGATTATATCAGTGGTTTTCTTGGATAAGGGGGTGACCAGGGTGGTCACTACTGAATGTTCAGCACCAGTATCGACCAAAAACTTAATGTCCTTGCCCCCAATTGTAATCCTGACCGTGGGCTCCTTGGGGGCGCTTGAGCCTGGTTGCCTTCACTCTGGTGGTCCTTCAGCCAGATTGAACAAAGCTCCCTCATCTTTATCTGAGATCTTTTGTTCCGAATCACCTTGCTTTTCCTTCAGTTAGGGACACTTATCTTTCCAATGTCCTATTTCCTTACAATAGGCTCATTGGTTATGTTGCAAGCATGGGCAATTAGACTGGGTATTCTTCCCGGAACCCCCCTTTCCCTCTCCTTTTGGGGGAATTCCCCTAATGGCCATGGCCAGTAAGTTGGTGTTTCGCTTGGCCTGGCGTTCACCTTCCTTACGGCTTTCTCTGCAGCTTGTTGCATCTCTGTTCACAAACACTTGATTGACTATTTCCAGTAACTGTGAGGTATTCATACCCACAAACCCAGCCTGTTTCTGCAATTTTCTCCTGGTATCTTCTGCGCTTTGACTAACTAAGGCCATGTTAATCATGCGCTGATTTTCAGGGCTATCTGGATCAAAAGGAGTGTACATAAGGTAAGTCTCACACAGTCTTTCATAGAATTGCGCTGGACTCTCCTCTTTTCCTTGGATGACCTCAGAGACCATATTTACATTTGTAGCCTCTTGAGCCCCTTTCTTTAGACCTTCTATTAATGCCTCACAGTACCATGTCTGGTCCCTTGTTTGGGTCCCATTGGGGGTCTGTTCCTGGCAGCTGAATTCTTATATATTACTGGGGGTTTTGGTAATCTGCTGGGACGTACTCCTCTAGCCACTTAGTTGCTGCCTGGAGCACCCTTCGCTGTTCGTCTGTATTAAAGAGGTACATGAGTAGCTGGTGGCAATCAGCCCAAGTAGGATTATGAGTCTGCATAATAGTTTGGAGCAAGTCAATTAAAGCTTGAGGCTTTTTGGTGTAAGATGGAGTATTATTTTTCCAATTGAGGAGGTCAACAGAGGTGAAAGGTTGACACACAAAGGCATGCCTTTCCACCACGTCTCCATCCTCATCTACCCCAGTATATCGCTGCTCTCTCAGGGGTGTTTGGATTCCAGTCTTGGGCTGTAAGCGAGCTGCCAAAGGAGGAGTTTCTCCCACAGCTTCACTTCCTCTTTTGTCCACTCTGGGTGGTCTAGGAGTGTGGCTATCTGGCAGAGGTATAGGTGCTGTGGGCTCAGGAGTGGGGACCCCTTCCTCTCGATAAGGAGGGGGTACTGCTGGTACCAATTCCTGCCATGATTCTTCTGGTGTTGGGTCTGACAGGACTTTTGGTGCTGATTTCCCTTGGTGTGTGGAGCAAGAACCTTCCTTAACTGTCCCTTTCCTACTAGTACTGCTGCTGCCTGTCATCTTAACCACTGTGGGGGATCCAAAACTAGCTTTAACCAAGAATCTATATACAGGAAATGATCTGGGTGCCTGGCTTATGGGTTACCCTGTGCCATACCTTCGAGACAAGGGACCTGTCCAGGCTTCCGATGGCCAATCCACCTCTAATGCAGGCCAGTCTATCTCACACAAAGTTCTAAGTTTTCCTGCTGTCATAATAACTCCATAGTCTCCCTTAAATCCCTTTTTGAAATTTTTCAACATATTCCTAGTGGGGTGGGCTTACTTTGTGCCTGACCCATGTTTCCTTGAGACAAAACACCACACTCAAACCACAAGCACACCACAAAATAAAGAACGAGTAAAGAGGACACACACACACTTTTATAGTTTATGCCAAACCAGAATCAGAACAAAATCAGAGTATCAGGGAATCCAAGCCAGGTCAAAACCAAAACCAAAGTATCAAGCAATCCCAGTCAAGTCAAAAACAAAAACCAAAGTGCCAGTACAGGCATGTCATGGGTGATCAGGCCACGCTTCCACTCAAATGGAGTGGGCAAGTTCCAAAGACCAGTCTTACCAAGTTTCAGATGTCCGGACTCCAAGTGCCAGTTCCTTCCCGGTGTTCAGCCACTGTGTTGATCCTCCACGGGGGCCTGCCACGCACTGCTCCAGCGAGGTGTTCCACCGGGGCAACTGACTACCTGGGAATGCTCTCAGGATCCGAGTCGCTCAAGCTGGCCAGAGTCCCCCAGAGGGATGCTCCACAGGGGAGGCCTAAGCCACCTAAGGGGCTGCCTCAACCTTCCATTAATCACCTCGCTTCCCAGCCAGGGAATCAAGAAAGTGTAGCAGGATGAGCCACAGACAAGAACCCCTCAGACACCGAATTGTAGAAGGAAAGGGCTTTATTCAGCTGGGAGCATAGGCAGACTCACATCTCCAAAAACAGAGCTCCCTGAGCGAGCAATTTCTGTCCCTTTTAAGGGCTTACAACTCTAAGGGGGTCAGTGTGAGAGGGTTGCGATCGATTGATCAAGCAGGGGGTACATGACTAGTGGCTGCATGCACCTGCACCGGTAATTAGAATGGAACAGAACAGTACATGGTTTTTCACAGTCCTTTTCCATACAATGTCTGTAATCTATAGATAGCATAACCAATTAGTTCAGGGGTCTGTCTTTAACAACTAGGCCCAGGGTTTGACGCCGGGATGTCTGCCTGTGGGTTTCATTTCTGCCTTTTAGTTTTTACTTCTTTTTTTCTTTGGAGGCAGAAATTGGGCATAAGACAATATGAGAGGTGGTCTCCTCCCTTACTTTGACCAACATCTCCCCAACCCATACCCCTAAGCCCCTGGTAACTACCATTCTGTCTCTCCTTCTATGAATCCAACTTTTTAAATTATACATACAAGGGAGATCATCTGGTATTTGTTTTCCCATACCTGGCTTATTTCACTTAACATATTGTCCTCCACATCCATCCATGATGTTGCAAATGACAATGTTTCCTTTTAAAACATACACCACTTTTGAATGTGTTTTATTCAGTCTACAAAGTCACCTATGAGACATTCAGTGGGGTCACAGAAGGAAAGTGCTTTGCAAGCCAGGCGAGGTGCCTCATATTTTTAATCCCAGCACTTTGGGAAGCCGAGGTGGGTGGATCACCTGAGGTTGGGAGTTCAAGAGCAGCCTGGCCAACATGGTGAAACTCCATCTCTACTAAAAATACAAATATTAGCTGGGCATGGTGGTGCACACCTGTAATCCCAGCTACTTGGGAGGCTGAGGCAGGAGAATCGGTTGAACCCTGGTGACAGAGGGTGCAGTGAGCTGAGATTGTGCCATTGCACTCCAGCCTGGGCGACAGAGCAAAACTCCGTCTCAAAAAACAAAACAAAACAAAAAACAAAGCAAAGCGCCCTGCATCAAGTTCAGGCTGCTCTATAACATTCTCAAGCACTTCGTCCAAATGATCTAGTAGATCCAATCATACTCAATGCCTCCATAGCATTCTCTGGCAAGCACCAATAGGAGACGCGCAGCACAGTAGTGTGGAGCAAATCCATGCCATCTTCTGCAGGAAACTACCCTCTTTTTGAGAAACACCTTGGCTCTGGTACTAGGTAGAAACAACTGACCGGTGATTTTTTTTTTTTTTTTTTTTTTTGAGACGGAGTCTCGCTCTGTCACCTAGGCTGGAGTGCAGTGGCGTGATCTCGGCTCACTGCAACCTCCGTCTCCTGGGTTGAAGTGATTCTCCTGCCTCAGCCCTTCTGAGTAGCTGGGATTACAGGCGCACGCCCCCACGCCTGACTAATTTTTTTTTTTTTTGTATTTTTAGTAGAGACAGGGTTTCACCACATTGGTCAGGCTGGTCTCAAACTCCTGACCTCATGATCCACCCGCCCCAGCCTCCCAAAGTGTTGGGATTACAGGCGTGAGCCACCGTGCCTGGCCTAACACGTGATCTTAAGATTATGTTAGTGAAGTTGATCCATATCACTGTATCTACCTTTATTACTTCATTTGCTGTAGAGCATTCCAGTAGTATAATTATGCCACAATTTACCCATTCTGTTGATCTCATTTGAGTAATTCCCAATTGAGGATTACATCAAATAATGCTGGTGAAATGTCTTTAATGTTATCTTGATGCACACTGGAGCCATTACTCTTATGTTAGAGCACATGTACGTGTACAAATTTAGTAGATGTTGCCAATAGTTTTTGAAATTTTCTCTAATACTCTCTACAACCAGCAGAATACGCACATCCTCATCAGCTTTATCTTCAGAACAAACCATTTTTTTCTCTGTGTCCAGCTAGCTCACTGGGACCCCTAAGTGACAAATACAGATGGTAATGTATTTCTTTTTTTTTTTTTTTTTTTGAGACAGAGTCTTGCTCTGTCGCCCAGGCTGTAGTGCAGTGGCACGATCTCAGCTCACTGCAACCTCCGCCTCCTGGGTTCAAGCAATTCTCTGCCTCAGCCTCCCCAGTAGCTGGGATTACAGGCGCCCACAACCATGCCCAGCTAATCTTTGTATTTTTAGTAGACGGGGTTTCACCATTGTGGCCAGGCTGGTCTTGAACTCCTGACCTCATGATTCACCCTCCTCGGCCTCCCAAAGTGCTGGGATTACAGGCGTGAGCCACCGTGCCCGGCCCAATGTGGGTATTTTTAAGCCTCATGTTTCCTTCAGAGCTTTCTGGCAGCCCATGTCAGCAAGAGAGTCTTCTGATTTCATTTACCCATGGAGTGAGTAGATGTGTCGGTGACATAGGAGTCTCACACGGGACTGGTAACTCTGTACATTTCTTCTGGGAAATGGAGTCCTACTTTGGGTAGGAAGAACCCAAAGTTGAACTGAATACCACGGAGAGCCTTGCCCCTCCATATATGAACACATATTTGCTAAGATTGGTAATTAAGTGAATTTTCATGTAGAACTTATTTTCAAGTGCTCAGCCAGCCACTGATTCTGATTCTTTCAATTAATTTCCTACTTAAGAAAATTAGTTTTTCATGAGTAGAATAAAGTGATGATTAGACATCATTTTTTCTGTAGTTATAATGTTGTAGATTAGATTCATCCCTCATTTTAATCCCCAAAGAAAATTCTATCAAACCTAAGAAAAACCCTTGATGTACTCACCTCTCTCCGTAGATATGTAATCAGCCAATTTATATGATGCTTTCCTTAACTCCTACTCCCTTTCCTTTCAATATGGCTTATTTAGACACCATCTTTTTGGTCTCACCTTAAATAGAACTCACTTTTCTTACATTCATCTATTCCCATATATACACATAGAAAACAATACTGTCCTCTACTTCCAAAACTCTCATCAATTTGTAATAATAAGTCAAGCGCAGTGGCTCACCCTTGTAATCCCAGCACTTTGGGAGGCTGAGGCAGGTGGATCACCTGAGGTCAGGAGTTCAAGACCAGCCAGGCCAACAGGATGAAACCCCCATCTCTAGCCAGGCGTGGTGGCGCATGCCTGTAATCTCAGCTACTTGGGAGGCTGAGACATGAGACTTGCTTGAATCTGAGAGGCGGAGGTTGCAGTGAGCAGAGATGGCACAACTGCACTCCAGCCTGGGCAACAGAGGGAGACTCTGTCTCAATTTAAAAAAAAAAATTGTAATGAAACATTTATTTGCTTGGTTAGACGTCTGCCCCTCCACTAGTTTACAAGTTCCCTAAGAGCAGCCCTTGGTTGGATTTTTTTTTTTTCATTATGCCTTAATGAACCATTAGCATTAATCACTTTATAAGAAATACAAAAAATAAAAGAAATATTTAAACACACCATAAGTCTACAATCAGAAATATTAAAATGGGTGTCTTTCTGAAATAATATGTGACTCTTCAAAAAGTTGATTTGACAGAGAAACCATAGTAACTGGTCTAGGTTCAAAGATACTAAAGGCCATAAACTTTAAATAGATCTTAGGTCCCAAGGGCCTATTTTGGAACCATGTAGAGAATTTTGTTTTTACAAAGTAGATACTAGATGAGTCGTTCTTTTTTTTTTTTTTTTTTTTTTTTTTGAGACACAGTCTCCTTCTGCCACCCAGGCTGGAATGCAGTGGCGCGATCTCGGCTCACTGCAACCTCCACCTCCCGAGTTCATGTGATTCTCCCGTCTCAGCTGGTGGGATCACCGGTGCTGGCTTTATTTATTTATTTATAGTAGAGATGGGGTTTCGCCATGTTGGCCAGGCTGGTCTCGAACTCCTGGCCTCAAGTGAGCCACCCGCCTCGGCCTTCCAAAGTGCTGGGATTACAGGTGTGAGCCACTGTGCCCAGCCTAAATGACTTTTTTTAAATTTTTCTTGGTTGAAATACAAATACTGTGGTTTTAGTAGACCAGTATCCTTTATCTTTAGAAAATGCATTACCAACTACCTGAAAGTCAAGTATCAATTTCCTGCAATTTTCAACTTACCCTCAAATACTTCACCATAAAAGGTATTTTAGTTTTCTAGGGAGAGGGCGAATGGTAAATTTGATTCCTAATACTAGTGCAACAAAATCTATATCCTTTCCTCCTGGGTGCCCATTTTTGTCTTTTTGTTTAAGAGGCAAGGTCTTGCTCTGTAGCCCAGGCTGGAGAACAATGGCGTGATCATAGCTCACTGTAGTCTGGAACTCTCTGTCTCAAGTGATTCTCCCGCCTCAGCCTTCCGAGTAGCTGGCACACACCACCATCTCTGGCTGATTTTTAATTTTTTTTTTTTTTTTTTGTAAAGACGGGGTCTCGCTATGTTGCCCAGATTGGTCTTGTACCCCGGGTACGAGACCCCGTACCCCGGGTGGGCCCCTGGTTTGTTCGTTTGCTTGGGTTTTTTGTTGTTGTTGTTTTTGAGACAGAGTCTCGGTCTGTCACCCCAGCTGGAGTGCAGTGGCACGATCTCAGCTCACTAACTTCCTCCTCCTGGATTCAAGTGATTCTCCTGCCTAAGCCTCCCAAGTAATTGGGATTACAGACGTGCGCCACCACGCCTAGCTAATTTTTTTGTACTTTTAGTAGAGACGAGGTTTTGCCATGTTGGCCAGGCTGGTCTCAAACTCCTGACCTCAGGTGATTTGCCTGCCTCGGTCTCCCTAAGTGCTGGGATTACAGGCGTGAGCCACCGCACCTGGCCAGCGCCTGTTTTTAAAATCTGTGGGGAGGTCCAGGCCTACGAAGTTCAGATCAAAATAGCTTAGCATTCTTATTTTTCTTCAGTAGAAAGACCTGTTTGTGGTCTACATAATTTTATATTTCCGTAGAGAAATATGCACTCCCTAGATACTTATTAAAGTGTCTTTATAACAGAATGTATGGCGTCAAAAATACGTTTATGACGCATAAACAAAGGAACATTCTCAGTTGAAACATTCGTTCGTATAACAAGATGCCCCCTTGAACCATCCCTCACCCAGTGCTCACCGGAATGCGCGGGAATCGCAGGGTCTGTAAGGCAGGACGACGCTGGGGGACAAGTTAACGTGGCTCAAGTGGAGGAAATTCTTTTCCTCATAGAAAAAACTCACAATGGTCTTTTTGGAGGCTTTTGAAGGGAGCTCCATGGGTGAGGGCGGCAATTATCGACCCCGACTTTCGCGAGGACTGACAGCCCGAGCGGCCTCGCAGACCTACCTGACGCGAGCACAGCAGGCCAAGTATCTCTAAGAAGGCCCCTCGGCAGCTTCGGATAAACTTCAACTCTCACCACCCGTTCCACTACCAGTACACTTGCTCCCTCCGAAATCAAGGACAACCATGGGTAAACCTCGCTCAGGCTCGCGGAGCCAGTACCGGAAAAGAGGGTGGCGCCTCGCTTGCGTCACTTCCGCTTACAGCCTCCAGCCAGGAGTGGCTCTGCTGCTCGTGCTTCAGCCTTGCTGGAAGACATTACGTCGAGAAATTCTAGTTTCCTCCCGCGTGGGTGCAGCTGAGACTTGCTGTGGACTCACAGAGGAAGCTGGAGTCCCCAGGTTCAGAGAACAAGGTTGAAGTTAGTCAGGCCTGTGGAGGGAGCTATGGGCCAGGGGCACGGGCCCACGCTAGAGGACCAGGAGGAAGGTGAGGCCAGGCCCAGAGGATGAGCTTGAGGTTAGAATCAGGCCTGTGGGCCGGACTACGCTGGGGGAGGAGCCATGATTGGGGGCGGAGCAGAAGGTGGGTCCAAGCCCAGAACACCAGGTTGAGATCAGATCCAGTCCTGTGGATGGTAGAAGGGCAGGGAGGAAGGTGGGGCCTGGCCCCAAGTAATCGGCCTGTGTGGGCCTCCCAAAGTGGTGGGATTACAGGCATGAGCCACCGCGCCCTGGCCCCGGACTCTCAATTCTATACCATTAATCTGTAGCTCTGTCCCTAAGCCAGTGCCACATTGTTTTGATTACTGCAACTTTGTAGTAAGTTTTGAAATCCAGAAATGGGAGTCCTTCAACTGTGTTCCTCTTTTTCACAATTGTTTTGGCTATTTGGTGTTTTTTCCATTTCTGTTTGAAGTTTAGGATTCACTTGTCAATTTCTGCCCAGAAGCCAATGTCAAAAAAATAAATAAAAATAAATAAATAAATAAAAAAGCACTGGAAAAAGCAAGATCTTCATTAATTTTAGTCACCTGTACCAGATTTCTCTTTCTTTCTTTCTTTTTTTTTTTTTTTTTGAGATGGAGTCTCGCTCTGTCACCCAGGCTGGAGTGCAGTGGCACAAACTTGGATCACTGCCACCCCCGCCACCCAGGTTCAAGCAATTCTCCTGCCTCAGACTCTAGAGTAGCTGGGATTACAGGCTCCCACCACCCTGCCCGGCTAATTTTTTTTTTGGGGTGGGGGACAGAGTTTCACTCTTGTTGCCCAGACTGGAGCACAATGGCATGATCTCAGCTCACTGCAAATTCCAACTCCCGGGTTCAAGTGATTCTCTTGCCGCAGCCTCCCAAGTAGCAGGGATTGCAGGCACCTGCCACCACGCCCAGCTAATTTTTGTATTTTTAGTAGAGACAGGGTTTCACCAGGTTGGCCAGGCTGGTCTTGAACTCCTGACCTCAGAAAATCCACCTGCCTCAGCCTCACAAAGTGCTGCGATTACCGGTGTGAGCCTCAGATTTTTCTTTAGGCATGGAAGTGTAGGGGTCTACATTAGGAGAGAGTTAAGAGTGTAACAGTATCATGGGTTAAGCAGAGCTCAGGAGGAAAACCAAAAAATATTGTATCCATTTTGTACCTTAGGAAAGGCCATCCATGAGCATCACTGGGTGGAGATTTTTGGGTAAGAGGTGTATAGTTTCTAGCACAAGGGTCAAACTCAACTCCGATGGAAAATTCTTCGTTGGGGCAGTGTCTTCTGAGGCAATGTCATCTCAGCCAGTGAAATTTGGGGGCCAGAGTGATATCATGATGTCATCTGGGATGTGGGACTGGGGAATCCTTTGTTGTTGTTGTTGTTGTTTTGAGATGGAGTCTCACTCTATTGCCCAGGCTGGAGCTCAGTGGTGGGATCTCAGCTCACTGCAAACTCTGCCTTCCAGGTTCAAGCTATTCCAATGCCTCAGCCTCCCAAGTAGCTGGGATTAGAGGCACACACTGCTATGCCAGGATAATTTTTGTGTTTTTAGTAGAGGCAGGGTTTTGCCATGTTGGCCAGGCTGGTCTTGAACTCCTGTCCTTAAGTGATCCACCTTCCTTGGCCTCCCAAAGTGCAGGGATTACAGGCATGAGCCATCAAGCCCAGCCTGAGGAATCATTTTACGTGAGTACCCATTTGAGTTAATAGGGACCTCCTGAGTGTAAACCAGTGAAAGTACAGAAACTAGTAGTAATAACACCAACAGTAAACAGAATGGTGTGCAACTGTGCCTGACAGTTTTTGTTTTTGGGTTTTTTTTGTTTTTGTTTTTGGTGGAAATTTAGCTGCTTTTTGTTTGGAGGGTTTTTTCGAGACAGGGTCTCACTGTATTACCCAGGTTGGAGTGCAGTCGTGCAATCATAGCTCACTGCACCCTTGAATCCCTGGGTTCAAGGGATCCTCCCTAAGCTACTGAGTAGCTGGGGCTAGAGGCGAATGCCACCATGTCCAACTCATTTTTCAATTTTTTTGTAGAGATGGGTCTCATTATGTTGCTTGGGCTGGTTTTGAACTCCTGGCTTCAAGCAATCCTCCTGCCTCAGCCTCCCAAAGTGCTGGGATTACAGGTGTGAGCCACCGCACCCGGCCAAAATTAAGTTTAAATGGGTCCTGTGGCCAGGCGCGGTGGCTCACACCTGTAATCCCAGCACTTTGGGAGGCGAAGGTGGGCAGATCATGAGGTCAGGAGTTCGATACCAGCCTCACCAACATGGTGAAACCTCGTCTTTACTTAAAAAATACAAAAGTGAGCCAGGCGTGTTGGCACGCGGCTGTAATCCCAGCTACTCAGGAGGCTGAGGAAGGAGAATAGCTTGAACCTGGGAGGAAGAGGTTGCAGTGAGCCGAGATCACACCACTGCACTCTAGCCTGGGCAATAGAGAGAGGCTCTGTCTCAAAAAAAGATCATAATAATAAAATAAAATAATAAATGGGTCCCGTTATCAGATGATCAGCTGGCTGGCCTGTGGGACAATCTCTGCTTAATGAGTCCAAAGAAAGCATATACACTCAATCTGGATTCTAATCCCTGAGAGATGGGGGCAAAATTAAAAATTTGTTAAGATTGGTTAAGATTTGGGGCAAAATATAAACTTATGTAGGGGTTTATTTGTTGGACTGCAATTTGAAAAGGAGTTGTTTGAGGACTTCATTACATCCCTCAGTTAAAATGTCTATTTGGAACCTGTTAGGGACACAAAACGTCTATTGAATGCCTTTTTCAAGAGCCTAGCGTTCTGTATTTTAAGAAGTGAAATGTGTGTCTTGGTTACTATCAGTAATGCCTGTTACTCCAAAGGGAATGTGGAGTGGCCTTGCAGAGGCTGGTATTGCGGCCTCAGTATACGTGGCAATGTGTTGTTTTGATTTATATTTTCGGTATCAGTCAGGCAAGAGATTTCCAGACTTTTTTTTTACCTTATGGGGACAATATTTAGGTAATGGCTCAGTTGTGTATAATAAACATGATGATGGGATCATATGTTTGACCAGGGCATCCAGTGCCAAAACAGTTGCCAAAAGTACGGCCAAGCAAATTGTTTCTTGGATCCTGTCCTTTAAAAAAAGAAAATTAGCCGGGCGTGGCGGCTCACGCCTGTAATCCCAGCACTTTGGGAGGCCGAGGCGGGTGGATCATCTGAGGTCAGGAGTTCAAGACCAGCCTGGCCAACATGGTGAAACTCTGTCTCTACTAAAAATATAAACATTAGCTGGGCGTGGTGGTAGGCGCCTGTAATCCCAGCTACTCAGAAGGCTGAGACAGGAGAATCGTTTTAACCTGGGAGGCAGAGGTTGCAGTGAACCGAGATAGTGCCACTGCACTCCAGACTAGGTGACTCCCATATATATATATGGGAGTTTATTAAGTATTAACTCACAGGATCACAAGGTCCCACAATAGGCTGTCTGCAGGCTGAGGAGCGAGGAGAGCCAGTCTGAGTTCCAAAACTGAAGAACTTGAAGTCTGATGTTCGAGGGCAGGAAGCATCCCGCATGGGAGAAAGAGGTAGGCTGGGAGGCTAAGCCAGTTTCTCTCTTCACATTTTTATGTCTGCTTATATTCTAGCATCTCTGGCAGCTGATTAGATTGTGACCCCCCAGATTAGGGGTGGGTCTGCCTTTCCCAGCCCATTGACTCAAATATTAATCTCCTTTGGCAATACCCTCACAGACACACCCGGGATCAATACTTTGTATCCTTAAATCCAATCAAGTTGACACTCAGCATTAACCATCACACCAATCTACAAGAGCAAATTATTTATCTGTTGTTGAATGAATAGAATCAGTAATCTAAATAATATTGGAAATTGAGTATGGAGACCCTGATGGATGGGACCACAACATTAAGTCAATAATTAGTCCATCACGAAGGGCCATTTATCACTTTTATTATTTGTTTTGTTTATTTTCTAGAGACAGGGTCTCACTCTGTTTCCCAGGCTAGAGTGAAGTGGCCCAGTGACAGCTACCTGCAGCCTCAACCTCCTGGACTCAAGTGAACCTCCCACCTCAGCCTCCCAAGTAGCTGGGACTACAGGCACACATTACCATGCTCAGCTAATTTATTCTTTTTGTAGAGATGGGGTCTCACTATGATGCTCATCTTCCCACCTTGGCCTCCCAAATCTCTGGGATTATAGGCATAAGCCACCACAGTTCACCCTTGTTTTTAAATCAGTAACTAATCTAGGGATAGAATTCTGTTTACTAGCCTTGATGTTTCTTTAGTACTTACAGTTTCAAGTTACTCATTTCCACCACCTTGGATTTACAGCTGCCTAGAGCAGCCAGAAGTCTTTTTTTCTCCCCTCAAACCTCCCCATTTTAGGCTTTGAGTTGCCTAAAGCCACAGTTCTTTGTGTTTGTTTTGGTTGGTTTGAGACAGATCCTTGTTCTGTCACCCAGGCTGGAATGCAGTGGCACAATCTCAGCTCACTGCAACCTCCATCTCCCAGAAAGCCACAGTTCTTAAATTCCATCTCTGGTTGATAAGAGGAAATGAGGGAGCAGTAAAGGTCCGATGCCTATAGGCAGTAGCCTCAAGACAATTGGTCCTTTTCTTCCCCCCAATTTTTTATTTTACATAAAATCTTTACAATGGCTTGTATTTCTAAGTGGCTAAAAAAAATTTTTTTTTTTTGGCCAGGCACAGTGGCTCATGCCTGTAATCCCAGCACTTTGGGAGGCCAAGGCTGGTGGAGCACTTGAGGTCAGGAACTTGAGACCAGCCTAATCAACATGGTGAAACCCCCTCTCTACTAAATATATAAAAATTATCCAGGCATGGTGGCACATGCCTGTAATCCCACTTACTCGGAAGGCTGAGGCACTAGAATAGCTTGAATTGGGAGGTGGAGGTTGCAGTGAGCCAAGATTGCACCATAGCACTCCAGCCTGTGCAACAAGAGTGAAACTCCATCTCAAAAAATAACTTTTTTCCTCTTATTTTGGATGTTTACTTGACATACTGGTTGCTTGGTCCCCACTGGCTCCTGTTGTAAGCAGTGGACTCCATTTGGTTCCCTTTGGCCCCATGGACAGGCAGTCACCTCCCTCCCTCTCTCTGGTGTCCCCATTGACCTCATTAGGGTCAGGTGACAAAGAACTACATAAGCCAGTGAAGGCACCAACATAGAGATCCCAGACCCTGGCAGTACGTTTGCCTGGAATGGGATATGACTTCCTGGGGAGGGGGCACCCCTCCTACTGAAGGAACCCTGTGGGGTTTTGGCACATCACCACCAAGAGCGAGGGTCTAACAGAGGCCAGTCTTCAAACTCCCATGAGGGGTTTTGCCAAATACTGGGTATATATATGCATGAAGCTGGGGTTGCCCCTTTCCTGTTCCAGAACTTATGACATGAATTGCAATCTTGAACAGCTTAGCCAATTTGGTTCTGACTCATTCATTGGACTAACAGTGAGTATAGTTCTCCCTCTTGCTGTACTAGGGCTGGGTTTTTAGTCTAGGCCAAGTGATACCAGAACAGGAAAAACTGGTATTCTTATTGCCCCTTTAGTGTTACTTGTAATGTCCTCTGAGCTGGCCACACCATGGTCAAGCCAGCATGACATTCACCCGCCCTTGTGATAATGTACTTTGTGATATTCCCCAACCTTGTGAATGTACTTTGTAAAATTCCTCCCCACCCGTGTGACAATACACCCTCCCAGCCCTTGTGAATGTACTTTGTGACATCCTTCCCACCCTTGTGAATGTACTTTGTAACATCCTCCCCGCCCTTAAGAATGTACTTTGTAACAACCATCCCTTGCCTGCAAAACAATTGCTCCTAACTCCACAGCCTATCCCAAACCTATAAGAAGCAATGATAATCCCACCACCCTTCGCTGACTCCTTTCTCAGACTCAGCCCACTTGCAGCCAAGTGAATAAACAGCCTTGTTACTCACACTAAGCCTGCTTAGGCAGTCTCTTATATGGTCGCACATAACATTTGGTCCCAAAAACCCAGGACAAGGGAACTCCTTCAGGAGATGTGTCCCCTGTCCTCAAGCTCCCTGCATGAGGAGATCCACCTATGACCTCGGGGCATCAGACCAACCAGCCCAAGGACCATCTCACCAATTTCAAATAAATAAGTGGTTTTTGGCACTTGGGTCAGCAGTTTTTTCACTCGCTACTTAACCTCTCTCACCTCCCTTCAATCTCTCTTTCAATTTCAGTTTCTCTCCTTTCCTGGTAGAGACAAAAAGGAGACACACTTTATCCGTGCATTCAAAAACTCTGACATTGGTCACAGACTTGGGAAGATAGTCTTCCCTTGGTGTCTGATCACCGTGGGGACGCCTGCCTTGATCATTCACCAACATTCCCTTGGTGGCAGGTCAATTGCAGGGATGGCTGCTTTGGCAGCTCACCCACATTACAGCCTAGGACTCAGTCAGGGATGCCTACTGGAAGACTGGTAGCTGCCCACCTCCATTTCTCCGTGTCTCTACCTTCCTCTTTAAACTTACCTTCTCCACTATGCGCAACCTTCCATCATCCATTCTTACCTCTTCCCCCTTAGCCTGTGTTCTTAAAAACCTAAAACCCCTTTGACTAACACCTGACATAAAAGCTAAATGTCTTATTTTCTTCTGTAATATTGCTTGGCCCCAATACAAGCTCGACAATAGTTCCAAGTGGCCAGAGAATGGCACTTTCAATTTGTCTATCCTACAAGACCTCAGTAATTTTTGTCGAAAATTGGGCAAATGATCTGAGGTGGCTTACGTCCAAGCATTTTTTACATTTTGCTCCCTCCCTAGTTTCTACCACCAATGCAACTCATCCCAGATTTTCCTTCTTTTCTCTCCTGTCTGCTTCTTCGGTCTTCACCCCAAGCTCAGAGTCCTCTGAATCCTCCTTTTCCAGTGACCCCTCTGACCTCTCTCCTCCCCCAGCTGCTCCTCGCCAGGGTGAATCAGGTCCCAATTCTTCCACAGCCTCTGCTCTCCCACCCTATAACCCTTCTATTACCTCCCCTCCTCACACCCAGTCTGGCTTATAGTTTCATTCTGTGACTAGCTCTCCCCCACCTGCCCAACAATTTTCTCTTAGAGAGGTGGCCGGAGCTGAAGGCATAGAGTCAGTACATGTGCCTTTTTTTCTATTAGACCTTTCCCAAATCAGTCAGCATTTAGGCTCTTTCTCATAGGACCCCACTAAATATATACAGGAATTCCAATATCTAACTCAGTCCTACAACTTAACCTGGAGTGACTTAAATGTCATCCTGACCTTTACCCCCTCCCCAGACAAACAAGAAAGAGTTTATTTTCTAGCCCAGTCCTACACAGACACCCACTGGCTTCATGAGCCAGGCCTCCAAGAGGGCACCAGGGCTGTTGCCCGAGAGTATCCCCATTGGCAATACCAGACAGACTCCCCAGGTATAGCTAGGCGAGATTACATGGTCTCCTGCCTAGTCGAGGGGCTGAAAAAGGCAGCATACAGCGCTGTTAATTATGACAACCTAAAGGTAACTACCCAAGGTAAAGTTGAAAACCCAGCCCAGTTCATTGCCCGCTTAGCAGCTACCCTTAGACACTTTACAGCACTAGACCAAGAGGGGCCAGAAGGCCACCTTATCCTTAATATGCATTTTATCACCCAACCTGCTCCTGACATTAGAAAAAATCTCCAAATTTGGATTCTGGCCCTCAAACCCCACAACAGGATTTAATCAATCTCACCTTCAAGGTGTTCAATAACAGAGAAGAACTGGCCAAACAGCAACGTATCTCTGAGTTACAGCTACTTGCCTCCACTGTAAGACAACCCACAACATCTCCAGCATACAAAACCTTCAGAACAACCAAGACACAGCTCCCAGGGGCTCCTTCAAAACCTCCTGGTGGACCTTGCTTCAAATGCCAAAAGCCTGGTCACTGGGCCTCGGAAAGCCCGCAGCCCGGGTTTCCTCCTAAGCCATGCCCTCTCTCTGTGGGCCCCCACTGGAAGTTGGACTGTCCGACTCACATCGCCACCATTCCTAAAGCTCCTGGAGCTCGAACCCAACTTTCCTTGGCAGACTCCTTCCCAGATCTCCTCGACTTAGTGGCTGAAGACTGATGCTGCCCAATCACCTTGGAAGCCCCCAAGACCATCATGGATGCTGAGCTTTGGGTAACTCTTACAGTGGAGGGTAAGTCCATCCCGTTTAATTGATATGGGGGCTACCCACACAACACTACTTTCTTTTCAAGGGCCTGTTTCCCTTGCCCCCGTAACTGTTGTGGTTATTGATGGCCAGGCTTCCAGACCCCTTAAAACTCCCCAACTCTTGTGCCAACTTGGACAACATTCTTTTATGCACTCTTTTTTAGTTATCCCCACCTGCCCAGTTCCCTTATTAGGCTGAGACATTTTAATCAAATTATCTGCTTCCCTGACTATTTCTGGACCTCAGTCACACCTCATTGCTGCCCTTTTGCCCCATTCAAGACCTCTTTTGAATCCTCCTTTCGTGTCTTCCTACCTTAATCCTCAAGTGTGGGATACTTCTACTCCCTCCTTGGCGACTGATCAGGCACCATTTACCATCCCATTAAAACCTAATCACCCTTACCTCACTCAACACCAGTACCCCATCCCACAATAGGCTTTAAGAGGACTAAAGCCTGTTATCACTCACCTGTTACAGCATGGCCTTTTAAAGCCTACAAATTCTCCTTACAACTCCCCTATCATACGTGTCCAGAAACTGGACAAATCTTACAGGTTGGTTCAGGATCTTTGTTTTATTAACCAAATTCATCCTGTAGTGCCAAACACATGTACTCTCCTATACTCAATACCTCCCTCCACAACTTATTATTCCATCCTTGACCTCAAAGATGCCTCTTCACTATTCCTTTGCACCCCTCATCCCAATCTCCTTTCACTTTCACATGGACTGACCGTGACACCCACCAATCTCAGCAACTCACCTGGACTGTACTGCTGCAAGGCTTCAGAGATAACCCCCATTACTTTAGTTAAGCTCTTTCTCATGATCTACTTTCTTTCTGTCCATCTGTTTTTCACCTTATTCAATATATGGATGACCTTCTCCTCTGCAACTCCTCTTACGAATCTTCCCAACAGGATACCCTCCTGCTCCTTCAACATCTATTCTCAAAGGAGTATCACGTATCCCCATCTGAAGCCCAATTTCTTTCCCATCTGTTACCTATCTTGGCATAGTCCTTCATCAAAACACACGTGGTCTCCCTGATAACCATGTCTGGCTAATCTCCGAAACCCCAACCCCTTCTGCAAAGCAACAACTCCTGTCCTTCCTAGGCATGGTTGGATACCTTTGCCTTTGGATACCAGGTTTTGCCATCCTAACTAAACCCCTATATAAACTCACAAAGGGAAACCTGACTGACCCCACAAACCCTAAGTTCTTTCCCCACTCTTCTTTTCATTCCTTAAAGACAGTCCTAGAAACAGGTCCCACATTAGCACTCCCTAATTTGTCCCAATCCTTCTTATATACGGCTGAAATACAAGGCTGTGTGGTTGGAGTTCTTACACAGGAACCAGGCCCACGACCTGTAGCCTTCCTATCCAAACAACTTAACTTCAAAGTTCTAGGCTGGCCCTCATGTCTATGTGTGGTGGCAGCTGCTGTTTCAATACTTCTAGAGGCCCTCAAGATCATAAACCATGCCCCACTTACTCTCTACAGCTCTCATAACTTTCAAAATCTATTTTCCTCCTCACACTTGGCGCATATACTTTCTGCCTCCAGACTCCTCCAACTCTACTTACTATTCATTGAAACTCTCACAGTTACCATTGTTCCTGGCACAGACTTCAACCCAGCTGTTCACCTTATACCTAGCACCAAACCTGAACCTCATGACTGTATCTCTCAATCCATATGGCATCCTCCACATTTCCCCATATTTCCCTCTTTCCTGTTCCTAATCCAGACCACACGTGGTTTATTGATGGTAGTTCTTCAAGGCCAAATCGTCAGTCACCGGCAAGGGCAGGATATGTTGTGGTGTCTTCCACATCGGTCACTGAAGCTACTGCCCTGCACCCTTCCATTACCTCTCAACAAGCCGAACTCATTGCTTTAACCCAAGATCTCACCCTTGTAAAGGGACTATGTGTCAATATCTACACTGATTCCAAGTATGCCTTCCACATCGTACATTACCATGCAGTTATATGGGCAGAAAGAGGTTTTCTCACTACACAAGGGTCCTCCATCATCAATGCTTCCTTAATAAAAATCCTCCTTAAGGCTGCTCTACTGCCCAAGGAAGCCAGTCATTCACTGCAAGGGGCCTCAGAGGTTACCAGATCCCATTGCTCGAGGCAACGCTTATGCTGATAATGCAGCAAAAGCAGCAGCTAGTATTCCCACATCTGTCCCTCATGGCCATTTTTTTTCCTTCTCATCTATCACTTCCACCTATTCTCCCACTGAAACTATTACCTATCAATCCCTTCCTACTCAAGGCAAATGGTTCTTGGATCAAGGAAAATTCCTCCTTCCTGCTTGACAGGCTCATTCTATCTTATCACCCTTTCATAACCTCTTCCATGTGGGTTACAAGCCAATGGCCCATCTCTTAGAACCTCTCATTTCTTTTCCATCATGGAAATCCATCCTCAAGGAAATTACTTCTCGGTGTTCCATCTGCTACTCTACCACCCCTCAGGGATATCTCAGGCCCCCTCCCTTTCCTACACAAAAAGCTCGAGGATTTGCCCCCGACCCAAGACTATCAGATTGACTTTACCCATAGGCCCCAAGTCAAAAAACTAAGATACCTTTTGGTCTGGGTAGATACATTCACTGGATGGATAGAGGCCTTTCCCACAAGGTCTGAGAAGGCCACCACAGTCATTTCTTCCCTCCTGTCAGATATAATTCCTTGGTTTGGCCTTGCCACCTCTATACAGTCCAATAACGGACCAGCCTTCGTTAGTCAGATCACTCAAGCAGTCTCCCAGGCCCTTGGCATCCAGTGGAAGCTTCATGCCCCTACTGTCCTCAATATTTGGGAAAGGTAGAAAGAACTAACAGTCTTATTATTATTATTATTATTATTATTATTATTATTATTATTGTTACATTAGGTTCTAGGGTACATGTGCACAACGTGCAGGTTTGTTACATATGTATACATGTGCCATGTTGGTTTGCTGCACCCGTCAACTCGTCATTTACATTAGGTATGTCTCCTAATGCTATCCCTCCCCCCTCCCCCCAGCAGGCCCCAGTGTGTGATGTTCCCCACCCTGTGTCCATGTGTTCTCATTGTTCAATTCCCACCTATGAGTGAGAACATGTCTTGTTTGGTTTTCTGTCCTTGCGATAGTTTGCTCAGAATGGTGGTTTCCAGCTTCATCCATGTCCCTATAAAGGAGAAGAACTCATCCTTTTTTATGGCTGCATAGTATTCCATGGATCATATGTGCCACATTTTCTTAATCCAGTCTATCACTGATGGACGTTTGGGTTGGTTCCAAGTCTTTGCTATTGTGAATAGTGCTGCAATAAACATACGTGTGCATGTGTCTTTATAGCAGCATGATTTATAATCCTTTGGGTATATGCCCAGTAATGGGATGGCTGGGTCAAATGGTATTTCTAGTTCTAGATCCTTGAGGAATTGCCACACTGTCTTCCACAATGGTTGAACTAGTTTACACTCCCACCAACAGTGTAAAAGCGGTCCTATTTCTCCACATCCCCTCCAGCACCTGTTGTTTCCTGACTTTTTAATGATCACCATTCTAACTGGTGTGAGATGGTATCTCATTGTGGTTTTGATTTGCATTTCTCTGATAGCCAGTGATGATAAGCATTTTTCCATGTGTCTGTTGGCTGCACAAATATCTCCTTTTGAGAAGTGTCTGTTCATATCCTTCACCCACTTTTTGATGGGGTTGTTTGATTTTTTCTTGTAAATTTGTTTAAGTTCTTTGTAGATTCTGGATATTAGCCCTTTGTCAGATGGGTAGATTGTAAAAATTTTCTCCCATTCTGTAGGTTGCCTGTTCACTCTGATGGTAGTTTCGTTTGCTGTGCAGAAGCTCTTTAGTTTAATTAGATTGCATTTGTCAATTTTGGCTTTTGTTGCCATTGCTTTCAGTGTTTTAGTCATGAAGTCCTAGCCCATGCCTATGTCCTGAATGGTATTGCCTAGGTTTTCTTCTAGGGTTTTTATGGTTTTAGGACTAATATTTAAGTCTTTAATCCATCTCGAACTGATTTTTGTATAAGGTGTAAGGAAGGGATCCAGTTTCAGCTTTCTACATATGGCTAGCCAGTTTAACTGGCAACATTTATTAAATAGGGAATCCTTTCCCCATTTCTTGTTTTTGTCAGGTTTGTCAAAGATCAGATGGTTGTAGATGTGTGGTATTATTTCCAAGGGCTCTATTTTGTTCCATTGGTCTATATCTCTGTTTTGGTAGAACTAATGGTCTTTTAAAAACATACCTCACCAAGCTCAGCCTTCAACTTAAAAAAGACTGGACAGTACTTTTACCGTTTGCCCTCCTTAGAATTACAGCTTGTCCTCGAGAAGCTACAGGGTATAGTCTATTTGACTATATGGACATACCTTCTTGCTGGGCCCCCACCTTGTGCCAGACACCAGCCCTCTAGGCGACTATCTTCCAGTCCTCCAGCAGGCTAGACAGGAAATTCACCAGCCTGCTAATCTTCTCTTGCCTACTCCAGATTCCCAGCCATATGAAGACACCCTAGCTGGATGATCAGTTGTTGTTAAGAATCTGATCCCTCAAACTCTACAACCGCGATGGACTGCTTAGTCATCTATAGTACCCCAACTCCCGTCCACCTGCAGGACCCTCCCCATTGGGTTCACCATTCCAGAATAAAGCTGTGTCTGTCAGCCAGCCAGCCTGATCTCTCTTCTTCCTCCTGGAAGTCTCAAGCACTCTCCCCTACTTCCCTTAAACTCACTCGCATTTCTGAAGAACAGTAATAGCCCTTATAAACCTAACACATCCCTTCATTCTATTAGGTCTATTCGTCCTTACCCTACTTTTTGCAACAGGGCTTTATGAAGTCATCCCCACTACTTGGACTGTGCCCCCAAGACTTGTCATCCCTATTATCTTCTGTCTAGTCATACACCTATTCATCATTCTCAACTACTCGTAAATGCCCTGCCCTTGTTTACGCTGCCAGTTTACCAGTTTACACTTTTCCTCCAAGTCACCATAACTGATATCTCCTGGTTTTACTTCAAATAGCCACCCTTAACTCTCTTGCAGTGGATATAATATCTTCAGTGGCAAGATACATTCCAATTCTCCTATCCTGATAAGTCTTTCTTTTTTTTTTTTTTTTTTTTTACTTTTCTACTCACTCTTATCCTTGCCCCTATTCTCCAGTCACTCTCTACCTCTCCCTAGTTACCTCCAGCATAGTATCAACCTCACCCACTCTCTCCTCACTGCCTCCAATCCTTCTCTAGTAAAAAATTGTTGGCTATGCATTTCCCTTTCTTCCTGCTCTTATGCAGCCGTCCCCGCTCTACAGGCTGACTGAGCTACCTCTCCTGTCTCCCTACACCTCTGAACCTTCTTTAATAGCCCTTGTCTTTACCCACCTGAGGAACTTCTTTACTTTCTAGACAGATTTGGTGAGAACTCCCCAGAGATTTCGCATTAAAAAGCGGCCACACTTCTCCGCATCTACTTACGGCACCTTTCTCTTTATGTCAATTCCACTCCCCCCCATATTTGGACCCCTAACCACACAAACAACTATCCCTGTTGCTGCTCCTTTATGCTTCTCCCAAAAACAGCCTACTGGAATCCCTTTAGGAAACCTTCCACCATCCAAATGTTCCTTTACTCTTTATCTCCAGAACCAAGCCACACACACTACCAAACAGATGGGAGCATTCCAACTTCACATTACTGATAAGCTCTCTATCATTACTGACAAACTAAAAAACATTGGCAGTCACTAATGCTTAGGAAGACACCTACCCTGCATCTCACTCCATCTTTGGCTACCCTCGCCCTGCTCATTTGACTCTCCTCCTGACCCCTCCTCTTGCTTGCTTATACCCAGCCCCATGAATAGTAGTGAAAGACTACTCACAGATACTATGTGCTTTCTTATACACCATGAGAACTGAACCTTCCCTCTACGCAGTTGCACCATCAATCCCCATTACAACCTCTAATGGCTGCTGCCTTTGCTGGATCTCTAGGATTTTGGGTGCAGGACCCCTCTTTCACTACACCCTCTCACCTTTTCACTTTACATTTCCAGTTATGCCTGACACAAGCTCTCTTATTTTTCTGTGGTTCTTCCACGTACACCTGCCAACTGGATGGGCACATGTACTCTAGTCTTCCTTACCCCCAAAATCCAGTTTGCAAATGGGAACGAACAACTGCCTGTCCCCCTCATGACACCAACATGACAAAAAAGAGTCATCCCATTAATCCCTTTACTTGTGGGTCTAGGAATTTCTGCCTTCACTATTGCACTTAGAACTGGAATAGCAGCTATCTCAACCTCTGTCACACCATTCTGCAGCCTCTCTAATGACTTCTCTGTTTAGCATTACAGATATATCACAATCTTTATCTGTCCTCCAAGCCCAGGTTGACACTTTAGCTGCAGTTGTCCTCCAGAACTGCCAAGGCCTCGATTTACTCACTGCTGAAAAAGGAGGACTCTGCATATTTCTTAATGAAGAGTGTTTGTTTAACTTTAATCAGTCTGGCCTGGTATATGATGACGTCAAAAAACTCAAAAACAGAGCTCAAAACCTCGCTAGTCAGGCAACTAATTATGCTGGACCCACCTGGCCACTCTCTAACTGGGTATCCTGGCTTCTTCCAATCGTTAGTTCTCTAATACCTGTCTTCCTCCTTCTCTTATTGAGGGCTTGTGTCTTCTGATTAATCTCTCAATTCCTACAAAACTGCATCCAGGCTATCACTAATCACTCTATACAACAAATGCTGCTTTTAACAAACCCACAATATCACCCCTTACCCCAAAATCTTACTTCAGTCTAATCTCTCCCACTTTAGGTTCCCACACCACCGCTAATCCTGCTCAAAGCAGCCCTGAGAAACGTCACCCATCACTCCTCCATACAGCCCCAAAATTTCACCCCAAGTTTTCACTATTCTTATTTTATTTATTATTTTTATTTCTTATTAACATAAAAAAACAGGAATGTAAGGTCCTCTGAGCTGGCCGCACCATGGTCAAACCATTGTGACATCCCCGGCCCTTGTGATAATGTACTTTGTGATATTCCTTGTCCTGTGAATGTACATTGTAACATTCCTCCCCACCCTTGTGAATGTAATTTGCAACACCCTCCCTGCTCTTCTGAATGTACTTTGTAACATTCCTCCCATCCCTTGTGACAATACACCCTCCGCGCCCTTGTGAATGTACTTTGTAACATCCTCCCCGCCCTTGTGAATGCACTTTGTAACATTCCTCCCTGCCTTTGGGACAAGACATCCTCCCCGCCCTTGTGAATGTACTTTGTAACATCCTCCCCACTCTTGAGAATGTACTTCATAACATCCATCCCCTGCCCACAAAAAAAGTCGCTCCTAACTCCACCGCCTATCCCAAACCTATAAGACCAATGATAATCCCACCATCTTCACTGACTCCTTTCTCAAACTCAGCCCACTTGTACCCTAGTGAATAAACAGCCTTGTTGCTCACACTAAGCCTGCTCAGGTGGTCTCTTATATGGATGCATGTAACATTACTGTAAAATGAGATCTTGCGGGGTGCAGTGGCTCATGCCTGTAATCCCAGCACTTCGGAGGCCGAGGTGGGTGGATCACCTCCCAAAGTGCTGGGATTACATGCATGAGTCACCATGACCAGCCAGGTATTTCTTTATAACAACTCAAGAACAGACTAATACACGTGACTATTTCCAGACTATTTTGTACCAATAGTCTAGTTGTCTGTGTACAATGCAACAGCATCTTAATTACTATAGTTTTAATCTTGATATTCATTAGGGCAAGTTCTTCCACCTTTTTTATCAGCTGGGTCTTGATTATCCTTGCCTATTGTTCTTCCATATACCTTTTAGAAACAGTATTTCAAGGGCGGGTGTGGTGGCTCACGTCCATAATCCCAGCACTTTGGGAGGCCAAGGTGGGTGGATCACCTGAAGTCAGGAGTTTGACACCAGCCTGGACAACATGATGAAACTTCGTCTCTACAAAAAAAAAAAATACACAAAATTAGCTGAGCTTGGTGGTGCATGCCTGTGATCCCAGCTACTCGGGAGGCTGAAGCAGGAGAATCACTTGAACCTGGGAGGTGGAGGTTGCAGTGAGTGGAGATTGTTCCACTGCATTCCAGCCTGGGGAACAAAGTGAGACTTCATCCCAAAAAAAAAAAAAAAAAAAAATTCTTATTGCTTCTTTCAGTGATTTCCCTTTTTTTTTTTTCTATTCTCTCATTCTAGAATGCCTTGTAGCTGGATATTGAAGCTTTTTGCTTATCTCATACATTATTTAATTTACATCCTTTCCAGCACTTTTCTTTTTAGGCTGAATTCTGTGAAACATTCCTTGGCTTAGTCTTTGAGATCTTTCTTCTTTTTGAATTTGAGTAGTTACTGCTATGAGTTGCCTTCTTTTCACTACTTTCACTGTATCTGTCCATTCAGGCTGCTATAACAAAATACCATAGACTGGTGGTTAATAAACAACATAAATTTATTTCTCCGAGTTCTGGAGATTAGGTCAAAGCTCAAGGTACAGTCAGATTCAGTGTCAGATGAGGGCCCTTTTCCTGGTTCACAGAGAGCCATCTTCTTGAAGTAACCAAATACAGTAGAAGTGGCATGAAATATCTTTGGGGTGTCTTCCATGAGGGGGGTAATCCCATTCTGCAGAGCCCTCATGACTTCATCATGTCCCAAAATTCCCAGCTCCTAATACAATCACTTTGGGAGTTAAGATGTCAACATACGCAAGTTGAGGAGACAAAATTTATTTATTTATTTATTTATTTATTTATTTATTTATTTATTTATTTTTGACATGGAGTCTCACTCTGTCACCCAGGCTGGAATGCAGTGGTGTGATCTTGGCTCACTGCAAGCTCTGCCTCCCAGGTTCACACCATTCTCCTGCCTCAGCCTCCTGGATAACTGGGACTACAGGCACCCAGCACCACACTGGGCTGATTTTTTTTTTTTTTTTAAGTAGAGACAGGGTTTCACCACCTTAGCCAGGATGGTCTCAATCTCCTGACCTTGTGATCCACCCACCTTGGCCTCCCAAAGTGCTGGGATTACAGGTGTGAGCCACCGTGCCCAGCCTAGGAGACAAAATTTAGACTACAGCAACATCTCATAAATTTTGGTATGCCATGTCTTTGTTTTCATTTGTCTCAAGATGTTTTCTAATTTACCTTGTGAATTCTTGCTTCACCCATTGATAGATCAGGAGTGTGTTGCTTACAATAAAATGTATTTGTGAATTTTCCAGTTTTCCTTGTTTTTCATTTCTTGTTTCATTCTATGTGACTTGAAATGGTACTTTGTGTTTCAGTCTTTTACATTTCATTAAGATTTGTTTTGTGGCCTAACACATGGTTTCTCCTGGAAACTATTCCACATATGCTTGAGAAAAATGTGTTCTCTTCTGTTGTGGGGTGGGTTGTGCCAACTGTTATATAGTACTTGTCCTGTTTCCTTCTTGATATTATCGTGGCTGTTCTACCTATTAAATTGAAAGTGGTATAATGAGGTCTCCAATTGTTATGCAGAATTGTCTATTTTTCCCTTTAATTTTGCCAATATTTACTTCATGTATTTTAAGCTCTGATGTTTGATACATATAATTTTTTTATCTTCTTGATGAATTTTACCTTCTATCAGTATATACTCTCATTCACTCTCTCTTCTATCAGTTTTTTACTTCAAGTTTACTTTGTCTGATATTAATATATCCAGGCAAATTCTCTTTAGGTTACTATTTACATGGAATGATCTTTTTCCATTATTTAACTTTCAACCTTTTTTGTCTTTAGATCTAAAGCGAAGGATGGCCAGGCGTGATGGCTCATGCCTGTAATCCTAGCACTTTGGGAGGCTGAGGTGAGCAGATCACCTGAAGTCAGGAGTTTGAGACAGCCTGGTCAACATGGCAAAACCCTGTCTCTACTAATACTACAAAAATTAGCTGGGCATGGTGGTGGGTGCCTGTAATCCTATCTACTCAGGAGGCTGAGGCAGAGAGAATTTCTGGAAGCCAGGAGGTGAAGGTTGCAGTGAGCCGGGATCTTGCCATTGCACTCCAGCCTGGGCGACAGAGCGAGACTCTGTCTTAAAAAAAAAAAAAAAAAAAAAAAGCAAAGGGCAACATACAGTTGGATTGTGTATTTTAATCCATTTTGCCAAATTATGCCATTAGATTGGAGAAGTTATCCCATTTACCCTTCATATAATTACCAATAAAAAAGACTCATTTTGCCACTTTGTTACTCTTTTTCTGTATGTCTTACAGCTTTTTGGTCCCTCATTTCCTACATTACTGCCTTTTTTGTTGATTTGTTTTTTTAGTGACATCTTTTTTTCGTCTCATTTTGTGTATATTCCATTGATATTTTATATGTAGTTACCATGGGGATTTTTTTTTCTTTTTTTGAGATGGAGTATCACTCTTGTTGCCCAGGCTGGAGTCCAATGGTGCGATTTCGAGTCACTGCAACCTCCACCTCCCAGGTTCAAGCAATCCTCCTGCCTCAGCCTCTCAAGTAGCTGGGACTACAGGCATGCACCACCACACCCAGCTAATTTTTGTATTTTTAGTAGAGACGGGGTTTCACCATGTTAGCCAGGCTGGTTTCAATCTCTTGACCTTGTGATCCACACACCTCAGCCTCCCAAAGTGCTGGAATTAGAAGCATGGCCTGGTGACCACGGGGATTAAATATAACATCCTAACATCCACTGTACAGTCCACTGTCCAGTCCTCACTCCTCCCACATGCTGTTCTTACTAAAATATAGAAAAAATTCTACTAGGGGGAATTTTAAAAGCAATTAAACTTTTCAACCACAGAAAATTTACTGTCCATGACAAGTCGTCATGGACAGTAAGACACATAGAAAGGCAATCTCATTTTCATGTCATTTATTTCAATTTCTCCTCTAGTATGATCTTGTGTACAGTAACAGTAGTATCTGAAAGCTTCCCATAACTCCTCAGATTCATAGTTTATTCTTCCAGTGAGTATTTTCAGAGGCACTTAAGGAATATGTACTGCTAAAAGTATTACCAGGCCGGGCGCGGTGGCTCACGCCTGTAATCCCAGCACTTTGGGAGGCCGAAGCGGGCGGATCACAAGGTCAGGAGATCGAGACCATCCCGGCTAAAACGGTGAAACCCCGTCTCTACTAAAAATACAAAAAATTAGCCGGGCGTAGTGGCGGGCGCCTGTAGTCCCAGCTACTTGGGAGGCTGAGGCAGGAGAATGGCGTGAACCCGGGAGGCGGAGCTTGCAGTGAGCCGAGATCCCGCCACTGCACTCCAGCCTGGGCGACAGAGCGAGACTCCGTCTCAAAAAAAAAAAAAAAAAAAAAAAAAAAAAAAAAAGTATTACCAGATTTTTTTTTTTTTTGAGATGGAGTTTTGCTCTGTCACCCAGGCTGGAGTGTAGTGGCAAAATCTTGGCTCACTGCAACCTCTGTCTCCTGGGTTCACACAATTCTCCTGCCTCAGCCTCCCAAGCAATTGGGATTAAAGGCACCCGCCACCATACTTGGCTAATTTTTGTATTTTTAGTAGAGATGAGGTTTAACCATGTTGGCAGGCTGGTCTCAAACTCCTGACCTCAAATGATCTGCCCACCTCGGCCTCCTAAAGTGCTGGGATTACAAGCATGAGTCACCACGCCCAGCATATTCTCATATTTTCACATTCATATAGCTTGTTTGCAGTGTGGGTTTTCACAAGTATAGTAAGACTTGTAAAATGGATGCAACATTTCCCTCATTCTGTATTATCAAGATTTCTCTCCAGTATGAATTATCATTTATATTAAAGGATGAAATAATACATACGTGTGTGTATGTGTGTGTGCATATATATGTGTGTGTGTGTGTGTGTATATATATATATATATATATATATATATATATATATATAAAGACATTCCCATATTTCTAACATTCATAATGTTTCTGGCCTCTTTGAGATTACCAAATATTAACACATGAGACAGAAGTAAAGATTTCCCACATCTTACCTTCATAGAGTTTCTCTCCAACGCATGTTGACTGACTTAGTAACACTGGAAGAATTCTTAACACATCTTAAATTGATGAGGTTTCTTATATCTGAAACTGTCAGAAATTTCTGAAGGCTGTCCCAGATTTCTTACATATATAGGCTATCTGCCCACTGTGAGTTCTTTGATGTTGAGTTATTAAAAGGCATAAGTGAAGATCTTGTAGCCTTTACATTTGTAGGGTTTTATACCACTGTGAATTCTCATGTAGATATTAAGTCCTGAGCACTAAGTAAATGTTTTATCACATTCCTTACATACAGAGGGTTTTTCTCCAGTGTTGATTATGAAGTACTATGAAGGTTTGTGAAGTATTTTAAGGCTATCTCTCATTCTTACCTTCAATTGGCTTTTACAGTAATTTTTGTTATGAAAAATAAACAATATGCTGGGTGTGGTGGCTCAAGCCTGTAATCCCAGTACTTTGGAAGGCCAAGGCGGGCAGATCATGAGATCGGGAGATCGAGACCATCCTGGCTAACATGGTGAAACCCTGTCTCTACTAAAAATACAAAAAATTAGCTGGGCATGGTGGCACATGCCCGTAGTCCCAGCTACTCGGGAGGCTGAGGTGGGAGAATTCCTTGAACCCAGGAGGCAGAGGTTGCAGTGGGCCAAGGTCATGCCACTGTACTCCAGCCTGGGTGAGAGAGAGAGACTCTGTCTCAAAAAAAAAAAAGAAAAATAAACAATAGTGGAAGAAACAAAGGCTTTACCACATGCCTTAGAACCAGATTTTTCTCCCAAAGGTGAGTTCTTACACTTTATAAGATGTGAAGAATTACTACTCTTGCCTATTCCTTATATCACTGGGACTTGTGTCCATGTTAAATTCATTCCTATTATATAAGATATGGAAATTCAGTGAAGGTTGTTCATATTCTTTACCTTCCTATGATTTTTTTCCAGATGAGTTTAGATGTAAATACTAAGATCTGAGGAACACTTCAGGTTTTTTCACATGCCTTAGTTCTTAGATGTTTAGCAAGTGCTGAAGATTGAGTGAAGTTTTTCCCACATTTCTTACATTCATATGGTTTTGCTCCAGTGTGAGTTCGTGTGTGAACGTTAAGGTATGTGGAATACCTGAAGGCTTTCCCACATTCTTTACATGCATAAGGCTTTTCTCCTGTGTGCGTTCGCATGTGCATATTAAGATTTGTGGAACGAGCAAATGCTTTACCGCATTCCTTACATTCACAGGCCTTTTCTCCAGTGTGAGTTCTTAAATGGGTACTAAGGCCCGAGGATTGAGTGAAAGCTTTCCCACATTCTTTGCATTCATATGGCTTCTCTCCAGTGTGAATCCTTACATGTTGACTAAGCATTGAGGAATTATTAAAGGCTTTCCCACATTCTTTACATTCATAGGGCTTTTCTCCAGTATGTGTTCTCATGTGTAAAACAAGTCCTGAGGAACGAGTAAAAGCTTTCCCACATGCCTTACATAAATACAGCTTCTCTCCACTGTGAATCCTTACATGTTTTGTAAGGTATGAGGAATGAATAAAAGCTTTTCCACACTCCTTACATTCATATGGCTTTTCTCCAGTGTGAATTCGCATGTGTAAAATAAGTCCTGTGGATCTAGTGAAGGCTTTTCCACATTCCATACATACATAGGGCTTCTTTCCACTGTGGATTCTTGTATGATCAGTAAGGTATGAAGAATGGGTGAAGGCTTTCCCACACTCTTTACATTTATATGGTTTTTCTCCACTGTGAGTTCTGATGTGTAATTTAAGTCCTGTGGATTGAGTGAAAGCTTTACCACATTCTTTACAGACATAGGGCTTCTCTCCACTGTGAATTCTTCCATGTCCTATAAGGTGTGAGGAATTACTGAAGGCTTTCCCACATTCCTTACATACATAGTGTTTGTCTCCATTGTGAGATCTTATATGTAACTTAAGGGATGACTGATTAAGAAAAGTTCTCCAACAGTCTTTGCATTCACACAATTTCTCTTGTGTGTGAGTTTTATTCTGCCTAGTAAGATTTGGAAACTGGTTGAAGGCTTTTTCATGTTTAACACACTTAGGCATTTTCCCCTCAGCATGACTTTTCTTGTAAAAACTATGAGGAAAGTTCTTTCTTAAGGCTTTTCCACTCTGATTATCCTCAGAAGTTTTCTCTCCAATGTGAGTTATCATGTGAGTCATAAGAAATGGGTGTTCATTGAAGACTTTTCCAGAATGGTTAGAGTCATACAGTTTCTCTGCAGTATTGCTTCTCTCCTGTTGAGATATAAAAGATGAATAAAGAATTTCTCACATTCAGTATGGTAACAGAATTTCTCCCCAATCACAACATATATGCATTGGAAATATATTTAAACATTTTAACATATCCATTATATGTACAGAGTTCCAGCCCCATTTTTGAGTTAAGTTGAGTAATAGGACAATGAGGCCACCAGCCTGCCTATATTCTCTGCATTCACAGAGCTTCTTAGACAATCTGTCTGATATTTATTTATTTATTTATTTAAGAAAGATTCTCACTCTGTCACCCAGGCTGAAGTGCAGTGGCACGATCTTGACTCACAGCAATCTCTGCCTCCCAGTTCAAGGGATTCTCAGGCCTCAGCCTCCCAAGTAGCTAGGATTACAGGCATGTGCCACTATGCCCAGCTAATTTTTGTATTTTTAGTAAACACAGATTTTTGCCATGTTGACCAGGCTAGTCTCCAACTCCTGGCCTCAAGTGATCTGCCCGCTTTGGCCTCCCAAAGTGCTGGGATTACAGGCATTAGCCACAATACATCTGAGAATTATTTAGACTAAATTATGGGCTGGGCACAGTGGCTCATGACTGTAATCCCAGCACTTTGGGAGGCCAAGGCAGGTGGATTGCTTTGAGCTCAGGAGTTTGAGACCAGCCTGGACAAAATGGTGAAACCCCATCTCTACAAAAAAAAAAATAATCAGCCAGGCATGGTGGCTCATGCCTGTAGTCTCAGCTATTCAGGAGGCTGAGGCTGGAGGATCATTTGAGCCCAGGAAACAGAGGTTGCAGTGAGCCAAGACTGCACCATTGCACACCAGCCTGAGCAACAGAGTAAGACCTTGTCTCAAAAATAATAATAAAGTAAAAGAAATTATGCACAAAAAACTGAATAGCTGAGTTGTATGTTTGTGGATGTTTATTTGTGAGATCTCTGAGAAGAAATATGTTTGTAGTAAGTTTAGAGTGCTTCCCATATTCATGATATTCAGAGAATCTCTTCAGACTTTGTTTTCTCTGGGTAAATGCCATTTTCCTCATATAATTTTCATGAATATTGTGCTTCTTGTCCTAGTGTGGAAGATTTCATCCCTTGGAAATCTTACCAATTGTACTCCATTTGGTGATCTTTCTGCAGAAATATCTTGCAGCAGTGGGGAGCCTTTGGTTTTGAGTTGCAAATCCAATTCTGAAATAAAGTGAAAAATGCAGCTTGGGAGAAAAATTGTGGAATAAAGTCGTTTAAAAGCCTATGGGGCTGGGCGTGGTGGCTCACACCTGTAATCCTAGCACTTTTGGAGGCCTAGATAGGTGGCTTACCTGAGGTTAGGAGTTCAAGACCAGCCTGGCCAACATGGTGAAACACTGTCTCTACTAAAAATACAAAAAATTAGCCAGGTGCAGTGGTGCATGCCTGTAATCCCAGCTACTCAGGAGGCTGAGGCAGGAGAATCACTTGAACCCAGAGGGTGGAGGTTGCGGTGAGGTGAGATCCACCACTGCACTCCAGCCTGGGCTACAGAGCAAGACTTCGTCTCAAAAAAAAAAAATGCCTAAGGAACAGACATAGCATAATCAAATGTGGCAGAGTGAAGAACTACAGGGCTCTTTCCTACCACAATATGACTAATAAGTTCAGAAAACCTATCAGAATCAACTGTGCTGGGCTGGGTGTGGTGGTTCATGCCTATAATCCCAGCACTTTGGGAGGTCAAGGTAGGTGGATCACTTGAGTTCAGGAGTTCGAGACCAGCCCGGCCAACATGGTGAAGTGCTGTCTCTACTAAAAATACAAAAATTGGCCAGACATGGTGGTGTACACCTGTAATCCCAGCTACTCAAGTGGCTGAGTCATGAGAATCACTTGAAACCAGGAGGCAGAGGTTGCAGTGAGTCAAGATCATGCCATTGCACTCCAGCCTGGGTGACAGAGTGAGACTCTGTGTCAAAAAAGAAAAAAATATATATATACATATATATATAGCTAAGTGAAAGAAGCTAGAGAGAAAAGGTTACATTGTATGATTCCATTTATATAAGATATACAGAAAGGGTAAATCCGTAGAGAGAGAAAGCAAATTAGTCTCTGTAGGGTGAGTGGGGACTGACTACTTGATGGGTATATGGTTTCCTTTTGGTGTGATGGTAATGCTTTGAAACTAGACCAAGCACACTGGCTCATGCCTGTAATCCCAACACTTTGGGAGACGGAGGCAGGTGGGTCACTTGAGGTCAGGAGTTTGAGACCAGCCTGGCCAACATGGTGAAACTCCATCTCTATCAAAAAACACAAAAATTCACCAGGCATGGTGGCGCACGCCTGTAGTCCCAACTACTCAGAAGGCTGAGGCAGGAGAATCACTTGAAGCCAGGAAGCTGATGGAGGTTGCAGTGAGCCAAGATGGCTCCACTGGACTCTATCCTGGGCAACAGAGAGAGACTCTGTCTCAAACAAACAAACAAACAAAGAAATGCCTTGAAACTAAAAAGAGCTGATAGCTACACAACACTAAAATGGTAAATTTTTGTATATTTTACCTAAAAAAAGTATATGGCACATTTGTATATCTTTCCAAACATGCATAAAACATGATTAAAAAAAAAAAGAGTGAAGCAAATGGAAAGATGGACTATAAAGAGTTTGGCTATGTCAGAAGTTTTGCAATGGTAAAGATATGGTGTCAAAACTATCACTACACCTGTAATGCCAGCACTTTGGGAGGCTGAGGCAGGTGAATCACAAGGTCAGGAGTTCGAGAACAGCCTGGCCAACATAGTGAAATCCCATCTCTACAAAAATACAAAAAATTAGTTGGGCGTGGTGTCAGGTGCCTGTAATCTTAGCTACTTGGGAGGCTGAGGCAGGAGAATTGCTTGAACCCAGGAGGTGGAGGTTGCAGCAAGCCAAGATCATGTCACTGCACACCAGCCAGGGCGACAGTGCAAGACTCCATCTCAAAAAAAAAAAAAACCTGTATTACTTATTATCCAACTAATAATATGCAGAAAACTGAGGCTGGTAGTAAGCAAAAAGATGGGAGAATCAAGAAAGCAATATAAGAAGGTGTTGGCAAAGGACCTACATGCATAAGATGGAATTTTCAAATAAGGCAGACAAACCTTTCTGAGAACAGAAAAGAGGTTGAGAAGATCAATGGAAATTTAAAGATGAGGGGAGTTGAAAGTATCTAAGGAAACCAAATGGCCTCAGCCTTCTCAGGAAGAAGAGTATACCCTGAGAAGTTCGCAAAGTAACATTTCCAATGTACTGCATGTCTCCTAGGGTGGCACAGCAGTGCCATAATACCACATCTGCTTATGAACTCACCCTGCAGAACTCCTGTCACTCCTGTCCTCAGCTCTTCCATTTGTTCCAATCCAGACATGAGACTACGTTTGAATAATTCAGACCCTGCTGGAGGGAAAAATGCACAAAAGAAGAGGCCCATGCAAGACATAACACCATGTCCTTCAATGGGGAACCAATACTTTTGCCTTCGGGGATTCTAAAGATGGTCAAGTGTAACTTTACAAATAGCAAACTAATCATATAACATTTCCAATACATGCACTAAAACTATTTTTAAAATAACAAAAATGTTGCCCAGGTATAATGGCTCATGCCTCATACCTCAGCACTTTGGGAAGCCAAGGCAGGGAGATCACTTGAGGTTAGGAGTTCAAGACCAGCCTGGCCAACGTGGTGAAACTTCCTCTCTACTAAAAATACAAAAATTAGCAGGGCATGCTGGCACAGGTCTGTGGTCCCAGCTACTCAGAAGGTTGAGGCAGAAGAATTGCTTGAGCCTGGAAAACCAAGTCCAACTTCATACACATTTAAAGTCTTAAAGTTTTTAATCCATACATTAAATAAACTCATTTACTTAAATCTTTATTTTCATGGGGAATCCTCTACACCAGGGGTGTCCAATCTTTTGGCTTCCGTGGGCCACACTGGAAGAAGAAGAATGGCCTTGGACCACATATAAAATACACTAACACTAACGATCGCTGATGAGCTACAACAAATAAACAAAAAAACTGGTCTGTGCATAAATCTCATAATGCTTTAAGAAAGTTTACAAGCTTGTTCTATAAAGTAATGCCCAGGCCATGCATGGTGGCTCACGCCTGTAATCCTAGCACTTTGGGAGGCCAAAGCAGGTGGATCACCTGAGGTCAGAGTTTGAGACCAGCCTGGCCAACATGGTGAAACCCTGTCTCCACTAAAAATACAAAAATTAGATGGCCATGGTGGTGCACACCTGTAATCCCAGCTACCTGGGAGGCTGAGGCAGGAGAATCACTTGAATCCAGGAGGGGGGGCTTTGCAGTAAGCAGAGACCATGCCACTGCACTCCAGCCTGGGCAATAGAGCCAGACTGTGTCTCAAAAAAAAAAAAAAAGGAATGTCCACTGGCCAAGGTCCATGCCTGTCTTGCTTATTACAGTACCCTCATTTGACAGCAAACATTTAAGAAACATTGATTTCCTAAAGGGGTCAGTGAAGAAATGATGCCAGTTTTACCTAGTATAATGAGATTCTTGTAGTTCTCCAACATCACATCTCTGTAGAGATCTCTCTGGGCTTGATCCAACAAAGTCCACTCCTCCTGGGTAAAGTCCACAGCCACATCCTCAAAGGTCACTAAGTGCTAAACCATTAAATACATGCCAGCTTCAGCTAAGTACCATCTCCTTTGATGTTCTGAGAAAAATGCATGAAGGACTAAGGAAGACTAGAAGCCTGCAGTACTCCCAGGCCTCAGGCCTCTTCTCCTCTATATAGATATTGTCTTGCAATGGCATCCAATCCCATGGACTTATCAGCATCACTGAAACATGACTAAACTGATCTTCCTACAGCTTTACAATGGGCTCTTCTGGCCTTAGTCCTCCTCTATTTATAGGTGCAGTCTGCACTGAATATGTTGCAGCACTATGTAAAATCTAATAACAAATGAATTATCTCCACAGTGACACACAAATTCCTTCAGATTAGACATCTCCATCCCTTTCTTACAATCTGTCATAACACTCAGCAAAACAATGAGCCAACAAGCATGATTGAGGATCAGAAAGAATTAGTAAACATTGAGATAAAATAATCATTTCTGTAGGGAGACCCACTGAAACTATTGCTACAGAATAAAAGATGAAATGCTCCTGATTACTGTAAATACAAAATTGCATGCAGGATTGTGTAAAGACAATGCCAGGTTGGACTGCCAGAATGAGCCAACAGCGTGTGATGTGCTTCCCCCTGCACAGAGCCTATGAATGGACGTGCAGTCAGGGAGGTTTCACATCACCAAGATTCCTATCCCAGAAAAGCAGATGTTCATAGCTCTGGGAATGGAATGCGACCCTTGTGGAGAGCCTATAAACAGATGCATGGGGGGTGCCTGTCCATATGGATAAACGCCCTCATCTTGTCACGGCTCTTGTAGGCCTCTTTAAAGTTAAGGCATACTCCCTTCTGAGAACTTCTGGTCTAACCAGTTGTCTAGCTTCACATCCTGTTTCCATGGATTGTTTCTAACCAGCATTTGTGGCAATTGTTACTGCTGATTAATATCTTGCTAATCATAGGTTATGGAAAGATTGTGTTTCTGTTTTAAGGCTCTGTTAGAAATTACTGACACACACACTATATTTTAAATTCTTGTCTCTGTATACTGTACTTCTACATACAAATGTACTGTACTTCTACATACAAATGTTATGTTAAAGAATTACTTCATCCCCATGTGACCATCTCACCTCATAATCAAATGACCCTAAATCCCTCACTAACCTACCCCCGCCCTCACTAAGCTTAATAATAACTGCTGGTATATCCAGTGCATTGTTGGCACTGTGGGACCAGAAGGCGGTGACCCCCCTGGACCCAGCCTTCACTATCTTGTGTGTGTCTATTATTTCTCAACCTGCCAATCTGCCTGGGAACAAAGAGAGAGCCCCGTTGCACTGTGGGCTGCTGGCCAGATCCCGCAATACACTTCCATTGCAATCTCTGTACAACCTGAGATGGCTTGGTTCCTAGAGAAATTCACCTGGGGAGTTATTTCCTGAGCAGGACCATCATTTCTTTAAGATGCTTGAATACACGATAACAAGGTAAGGCTACCGATGATGGCTACAAGCATAACATTTTGAAGTTAGGTCTGCTTTCCACTTGCCTGAGAAGAATCCATCAGTAATCCATCAGTAACCCAGCCACTAGCCTTGGCTTCTCGATGTTCCTGTCATGAAGACAGAAAGTGTCCTGGAAAAAATGACCTTTGGAAAAGAATAATGGCATGTCAGTTGGATACATCAAAGAAAAAGTATTTCAGGCTAGGCATGGTGGCTCATGCCTGTAATCCCAGCACTTTGGGAGGCCAAGGTAGGCGAATCACTTGAGGTCAGGAGTTTGAGACCAGCCTGGCCAACAGGGTGAAACCCTGTCTCTACTAAAAATCCAAAAAAACCAGCCAGGTGTGGTGGTGCATGCCTGTAATCCTAGCTACTCGGGAGGCCGAGGTGGGGGAATCACTTGAACCTGGGAGGTGGAGATTGCGGTGAGCCGACACCATGCCACTGCACTCCAGCCTGGCTGACAGAGTGCGACTCCATCTTAAAAAACAAAAAAGTAGGCCAGGCACGGTGGCTGACACCTGTAATCCCAGCACTTTGGGAGGCCGAGGCGGGTGGATCACGAGGTTAGGAGATCGAGACCATCCTGGCTAACACAGTGAAACCCCGTCTCTACTAAAGCTACAAAAAAATTAGCTGGGCATGGCGGCGTGTGCCTGTAGTCCCAGCAGCTGGGGAGGCTGAGGAAACAGAATAGCATGAACCCAGGTGGCAGAGTTTGCAGTGAGCCGAGATTGCACCACTGCACTCCAGCCTGGGTGACAGAGCAAGACTCCATCTCAAAACAAACAAACAAACAAACAAATAAAGCATTTCCATACCCTGCATTGCAGACATAGTCTTTTCCATGGCATGCCTCCCAATTGTAATACTATTCTGACACTTAATACTCTAATTGTCCAGGGGGTGGCTCATGCCTGTAATCCTAACCCTTTGGGAGGTTGAAGTAGAAGGATGCTTGAGGCCAGGAGTTAGAGACCATCCTGGGCAATATAGTGAGACCAAGTCTCTTTATTAAATAAATAAATAAACAAATAAATATACATATATATATATACACATATATGAAAACAAAGAATAAAAGAAAAAATACTCTAGTTGACTTTGCCTAGCAACTATCAGACAGTAAGAATACTTTTGTGTCTGGCTTCTTTCAGTCAGCATTATGCTGGTGAGGTGCACCCAAGTTGTTGTGTTCATCCACCTGTGATTTGGTTCATATCTTTGCTGAAGAATATGCCACAGAGGCTGGGCATGGTGGCTCACGCCTGTAATCCCGGCACTTTGGGAGGCCGAGGTGGGCAGATCGCTTGAGGTCAGCAGTTCAAGATCAGCCTGGTCAACATGGTGAAACCCCATCTCTACTAAAAATACAAAGAAAAATGGGTGGCTCACACCTGTAATCCCAGCTACTCGGGAGGCTAAGGCAAGAGAATCACTTGAACCAGGAAGACAGAAATTACAGTGAGCCAAGATTGCGCCACTGCACTCCAGCCTGGTGACAGAGCAAGACTCTGTCACAAAAAAAAAAAAAAAAAGCCACAGAAATATGCCACAATTCACCCATTCTGTGGATCCACATTTGGGTTGTTCCTAATTTAGGCTATTTCAAATAATGTGATAAATAACTTTTACATTTAGCCTGGCACACGTATGCATGTTGCATCACCAAGTCCATATTTAGTTGTCACTGTTTTAAAATGTAGCTGGGCATGGTGGCTCACGCCTGTAATCCCAGCACTTTGGGAGGCCGAGGTGAGTGGATCACAAGGTCAAGAGATGGAGACCATCCTGGCCAACATGGTGAAACCCATCCTGGCCAACATGGTGAAACCCCATCTCTACTAAAAATACAAAAATTAGCTGGGCATGGTGGCATGCACCTGTAGTTCCAGCTACTCGGGAGGCCAAGGCAGGAGAAGCACTTGAACCCGGGAGGTGGAGGTTGCAGTGAGCCGAGATCATGCCACTGCACTCCAGCCTGGCAACAGAGCAAGACTCTGTCTCAAAAAAAAAAAAAAAAAAGTGTTCTCTTCAGCAATGCATGCACATCTTAAAGAAGACTTGATATTGTCACTGACTTTAGTTATGCTTTTATTTATTTATTTTTTTTTTTGTAGAGATGGGGTCTCACTATGTTGTCCCAGCTTGTCTCAAACTCATAGCTTCAGTGGCTCCTCCTGCTTCTGCTTCCCAAAGTGCTGGGATTACAGGGGTGAGCCACTGTGCCCGGCCTAGTTTTATTTATTTATTTATTTATTTAGACGGTGTTTTGCTCTTGTTGCCCAGGCTGTAGTGCATTGCCACGATCTCAGCTCACCACAACCTCTGCCTCCCGGGTTCAAGCGATTCTCCTGCCTCAGCCTCCCGAGTAGCTAAGATTACAGGCATGCCCCACCACACCTGGCTAATTTTGTATTTTTAGTAGAGACAGGGTTTCTCCATGTTGGTCGGGCTGGTCTGGAACTCCCAACCTCAGGTGAACCGCCCACCTCGGCCTCCCAAAGTGCCAGGATTACAGGTGTTTAAGTTACCGCACCCGGCCAATACACATTGATCTACACAAGAGATGCAAAGAAACAGAAAACATGCAAAATATTAACAAATGATCAGTCTACAACAAGGATATATAATAGGTGTTCAATATTCTGGCCTTTCACATTTTCTTTGGTTTAGAATATTCAATCTACAGATAGCCTGGGCAACAAACCAAGACCCTGTCTTTAAAACGTAAATAAATAAATAAAAATATATGAGGGGGAAGGCCAGGCGCGGTGGCTTATACCTGTAATTCCAGCACTTTGGGAGTCCGAGGAGGGTGGATCACGAGGTCAGGAGTTCGAGACCAGCCCAACCAACATGGTGAAACCCCGTCTCTACTAAAAATGCAAAATTAGCCGGGCGTGGTGGCACATGCCTGTAATCCCAGTTACTCAGCATGCTGAGGCAGGAGAATCGCTTGGACCGGGAGACAGAGTTTACAGTGAGCCTATATCACGCCATTGCACTCCAGCCTGGGCAATAAGAGCGAAACTCCGTCTCAAAATATGTATATATACGAGAGGAAAAACGCTGAATCAAAACATGTCTCTTTCACAGTTAATACAACTGTAATTTCTGATACTGGTATAATGAAGGCGGCATCCTACTTCCTGGAAGCCCCTCCGTTTTGAAGCTCTTTGGGAGGTACTGACCTAGGAAGTTCAGCTGCTTTTGATCTCAAAAACACAGCGGAGTATTGCTACTTTGCTTTATAACTGTGGCAATATTTGCTTTTATTTCTATAAACCTACAACTCCTGCACACTTGACAAAGCATTTAACTGCTGAGCAATTTCGCAAACTTCAATAAGCGATGCCCTCCCACAGCCAGATCATCTCCTCCGTCCAGGGCTCACCGGAACGCACTGCAATCGCCCTGTCGGTGACAAGAGGACGCTGGGGCCCTTTTCCACAACAGCTGAGATGCTTTTCCTTCTGGAGAAAGGACACAAAGGTTGACTGGCTGCTTTTAAACAGAGGGGCACGGTGGTTGGAGAAAAAAACACGTCTCCACCGGGGACCCTGGGCCAGGCCCAGACTGATGCGGGCGCAGCGGGAAGAGGCGCTCAGAAGAGAAGGCGGGAACCCCCCGCCTCGGGGTCCTGGCGGGGAGGAGGCGCCGCTTCTCCGGAGCAGCAGCGGGAGGCCGGCGCGTCTCAGACCTAGCAGAAGTCCGGAGCGTCACCCTCCGACCCTCGCTCCGCCTCCCGCTAGGCCCTCCTGCCCCGCCCTGCCTAGGTTGAGCATGAGCGCTGGCTGAGGTGAAAACCCAGCTAGGAAGCTGCTGGAGAGCGGGGAATACGTATAGCTGCGCGCCGGCTGGCACTTCCGCTTCCGGTTGCGCACGGCATTAAGTGTAGGGGCCGAGCCCCAAGAGCTTTGGAATGAGGATGATGTGAAGCTGAGAGAAGAGCTGGGGCCACCTCTTCGACACGCGTACAGAAAAGTCCCGTTTTCTCGCATCCCAGGTGGACCAGGATCCAGATCAATCTGTCGATATTGGGAACGACGCCGGACCAGGAAACCCAGCGCCAAGGGCCGGGTTGGAGGCGGGGACTGGCGCAGCGGGCGGGGCACGCGTGGAGGCGTCACCTAAGGCTTCGATTGCAGACAGCGGGATGCTCATCGAGTGCTTTTCTTTTCTTTTTTAATTTCTCTTTTTAGTTTTTTGAGATAAGGCTCCGGTCTGTCGCCTAGGCTGGAGTGCAGTGGCTCGGTCATAGATCATTGCAGCCTGGAATTCCTGCGCTGAAGCTATCCTCCCGCCTCGGCCTCCGGAGTAGCTTGGACCACAGTTGGGCCCATCACGCCCAGCTAAGTTATCTTTTTCTAGACACTTGGGTCTCACTGTGTTCCCTAGGCTGGTCTCGAACTCCTGAGCCTAAAGGATCCTCCCCCCTCGGCCTCCCAAGCAGCTTGGACCACAGGTGTGTGCCACCACGCCTGGCTAATTTATTTTTATTTTATTTTTATTTTTTTGTAGAGACAGGGTCTCTCTTTGTTACCCAGGCTGATCTGGAACTCCTGGGCTCCAGTGATCCTTCCACCTTGGCCTCCCAAAGTGCTGGGATTATAGGCGTGAGCCACCACCCTAGGGAAATTCTTTTCTGCAGGATTTTCTCCTTGTTTCTTCAACCCTCTGCAGGGATATAAACATATTTACAAAGATAATCCCGCTGTAGTCCTAGCTACTGCGGGAGAATCGCTTGAGCCCAGGAGTTCGAGACCAGCGACACCCTGTTTGAAAGATTAACCTGATGGGGCTGGGGGCAGTGGCTCACGCCTGTAATCCCAGCACTTTGGGAAGCCGAGGCGGGTGGAACACGTGAGTTCAGGAGTTCGAGACCAGCCTGGCCAACATGCCGAAACCCCATCTCTACTAAAAATATTTTTTAAAAAATAGCCGGGTGTGGTGGTGGGCGCCTGTAATCCCAGCTACTCGAGAGGCTGAGGCAGGAGAATTGCTTGAACCTAGGAGACTGAGGTTGCAGTGAGCTGATACGATGCCACAGTACTCCAGCCTGGGCGACAGAGTGAGACTCCGTCTCAAAAAAAAAAAAAAAAAGATTAACCTGTTAATCCATAAAATGCTCTGTGCCTCTGATACATTCAGTTCCTTCTTTAGGCCTTTAGTTTTGTTGTGATACAATTATCATAGCATACAATTAACCTGTTTAAAGTGTACAGTTTCGTGGCTTTTTGTATATTCATATATTTGTGCATCGATCATCACAATCAATTTTAGAACATTTTCATGACCACAAAAATAAACCCAGTACCCTAGCCATGATCACCCAATCTGCTCATCCAGCCCCACCCCCACCCCCAGAGTCCAAAGCAACAGCTAATCTTTCTGTCTGTATAGATTGCCTACTGTAGATATTGCCTGTAGAATTAGAATATAAAACACGTGGTGTTTGGCTTGTTTCATTCAATGTTTTCAAGGTTCATCCAATTAGCATGTATCAGTACTTAATTTTTTTTTACTAAATAAGATTCCATTGTATGGCTGTATCATAACATCAGTTGTTGGATATTGGGTTTTCTCTTTTTTTTTTTTTTTTGGCTTTTTTGGATAATACAAGACGCATTTTAAGCAGTGGTCAAAGGAACATTCATATTCCTAAACACTTTTGTCAATAAAAATAAGAATAGCTGGGTGCAGTGGCTCACACCTGTAATCCCAGCATTTTGGGAGGCCGAGGCAGGCGGATCACCTGAGGACAGGAGTTTAAGACCAGCCTGGCCAACATGGTGAAACACGGTCTCTACTAAAAAATACAAAAACCAGCAGGGCGTGGTGGTGCGCACCTGTAATCCCAGCTTCTCGGGAGGCTGAGGCAGGAGAATCACTTGAACCTGGGAGGCGGAGGTTGCAGTGAGCTGAGATGGCGCCACGGCACTTCAGCCTGGGCAACTGAGCACAACTGTCTCAAAAAAATAAAAAATAAAAAATAAATCCCCAGCTCAAAAAATAAAACCTAGAAAAAGAATATAAATGTAAACCAAAATGGAAAAAGGTTTATTTATTTATTTATTTTTTATTTCAATAGCCTTTGGGAAACAGGTGGTTTTGGGTTACATGGATAAGTTCTTTAGTGGTGATTTCTGGGATTTTGGTGCACCCATCATCCGAGCAGTGTACAATGTACCCAATGTGTAGTTTTTTATCCACTTTTATCCCTCACCCTTCTCCCACCCTTCCCCCAGAGTCCCCAAAGTGCATTCTTTCTTTCTATCCTTTTTTGTTTTGTTTTGTTTTTTCTTTTTGAGATGGAGTCTCATTCTGTTGCCCAGGCTGGAGTGTAGTGACATGATCTTGGCAACCTCCGCCTCCCAGGTTCAAGCAGTTCTCTTGCCTCAGCCTCCTGAGTAAGTGAGATTACAGACATGCGCCACCATGCTTGGCTAATTTTTGTATTTTTAGTAGAGATGGGGTTTTCCCACGTTGGCCAGGCTGGTCTTGAACTGCTGGCCTCAAGTGATCCACCCACTTCGGCCTCCCAAAGTGCTGGGATAACAGGCGTGAGCCACTGCGCCCACCCAAAGTTCATTATATCATTCTTATGCCTTTGCATCCTCATAGCTTAGTTCCCACTTATAAGTGAGAACATATATATGGTTTTCCATTCCTGAGTTACTTCACTTAGAATAATAGTCTCTATCCAGGTTGCTCAGAATGCTATGACTTTCTTGCTTTTTATAGCTGAGTGGTATTCTGTGGTGTATATATACCACATTTTTGTTATCCCCTTATTAGTTGATGGGCATTGAGACTGGTTCCATATTTTTACAGTTGCAAATTGTGGGCTGTAAACATGTGTGTGCAAGTGTCCTTTTTTTTTTTCTTTTTTGAGATGGAGTCTCCACTCTGCTGCCAGGCTGGAGTGCAGTGGCCTATCTTGGCTCACTGCAACCTCCGCCTCCTGGGTTCAAATGATTCTCCTGCCTCAGCCTCCCAAGTAGCTGAGACTACAGGTGCACACCACCATGCCCAGCTAATTTTTGTATTTTTAGTAGAGACGAGGTTTCACCGTGTTGGTCAGGATGGTCTCGGTCTCTTGACCTCGTGATCCACCCACCTCAGCCTCCCAAACTGCTGGGAATACAGGTGTGAGCCACCATGCCCAGCCTGTTTCAGACATTTTTAAGACTATGTCCCATTCATTTAAAATACTATTTTTCCCCATTGAATTGTTTTGACACCTTTGTCAACCATCATTAGACTGTAAATGTGAGCTTAGATGTTTTAAATGGAGAATTATACCAAACCTTCCAAGTTCAAATATTCCCAGTGCTCCATAACTTAAGAACAATGAAAATGAAGAAATACTTCCTAATTCCTTTTATGAAGAAAGTATAACATTGATATAAAATGTGGTAGAGGCTGGGCATGGAGGCTCACACCTGTAATCCCAGCACTTTGGGAGGCCGAGGTGAGTGGGTCACCTGAGGTCAGGAGTTTGATACTGGCCTGGCAAACATGATGAAACCCTGTCTCTACTAAAAATACAAAAATCAGCCAGGTGTGGTGGCACGCACCTGTAATCACAGCTACTTAGGAGGCTGAGGCAGGAGAATCGCTTGAACCCAGGAGGCAGAGGTTGCAGTGAGCTGAGATCATACCGTTGCACTCCAGTGGTGACAGAGCAAGACTCCGTCTCAGAAAAAAAAAAAAAGTGGTAGAGTACAAAAAATGAAAAATTGCAGAACCATATCAATTATGAATATGGATTCAAATATGCTGTTAGCTATTAGCAAATAAAATACAAGACCACATTAAGAAAATAACTATCCCCACATGAAATTTAGCATAAAACAGCAGTATTAGTGCAGTTATTAGAAAATCCATTAAATAGTCCAGGTGCAGTGCCTTATGCCTGTAATATCAGCACTTTGGGAGGCTGAGGTGGAGGTTGCATTGCCCAAGCTCATGAGTTCCAGACCAGCCTGGGCAACATGTTGAAACCCCATCTCTACAAAAAAGACAAAAATTAGTCGTGTGTGATCTCAGCTACTCAGGATGAAGTGGGAGGATTGCTTGAACCCAGGAAGTGGAGGCTGCAGTGAACTAAAACCGACCATGCCCCTGCACTCTAGCCTGGGTGATAGAGCCAGACCTTGTCTAAAGAAAAGAAAAGAAAAAAAATCCATTAAATAATGCACCATAAAAATACATCTACAAGAACAAGTCATGTGACTTTCTCCATAGATGCTGATGAAGCCTTTGGAAAAAATTCAACACTCATTTATTATTATTGTTATTATTATTGTTGTTTGAGATAGGGTCTTCCTATGTTGTGCAGGCTGGATCAAACTCCTGGGCTCAAGGGATCCTCCTTCCTCAGCCTCCTGAGTAGCTGGGGCTATAGGCGTGCAACACCACACCCAGTGCAATGTCCCTTATTGATATCAGCACTCCAGAAAAATAGAAATTAGTGAATACTTTCTTAAGATGATTGCCTGTACCTATAGCTGAGTGTGTGTGTGTGTCTGTGTGTGTGTGTACTGGAAGCATTAGCTAATACAATTCAGTAAGAAAAATTAATTTTGAAACATAGAATTGCAGCTGGGCACGGTGGCTCACACCTGTAATCCCAGCAATTTGGGAGGCCAAGGTGGGAGGATCACCTGAGGTCAGGAGCTTGAGACCAGCCTGGCCAACATGGTGAAATCCCGTCTCTATTAAAAATACAAAAATTAGCCAGACATGGTGGCATGCTCCTGTAATCCCAACTACTCAGGAGGCTGAGGCAGGAGAATCACTTGAACCCGGTAGGTGGAGGTTGCAGTGAGCCGAGATTGCACCACTGCACTTCAGCCTGGGCGACAGAGCGAAACTCCATCTCAAAAAAAGAAAAAGAAAAAGAAAAAGTAAATAAGCATAGAATTGCAAAAGAAGGAAACTATCTCTTTTTGCAGATGATGTGATATTATATATGGAAAGCCCTAGAGAATAAAATAATAAGTTAACAGAATGTGAAATTGCTATCTAAAAACCAATGGCATTCATCTACCAGTCAAAAGCCAGTAAGGTGATGTAATAAAACTTATGTAGAATAACATAAAGATACTTAGGTTTAGACTTATCAAAAAATGTGTAAAACATACATGAAGAAGCTTTAAAACAAACATTCTTGAAAGACACAAAATAGACTTGAACAAATGGAAAATTCCTTGTTCTTCTATAAGATGACTTAACATCATATAGATAGCAATTCTTAACAGGTTAACTCAAAAATATAACAATCCCAGGCCGGGCGCAGTGTCTTATGCCTGTAATCCCAGCACTTTGGGAGGCTGAGGCAGGAGGATCAGGAGGTCAGGAGATAGAGACCACCCTGGCTAACACGATGAAACCCAGTCTCTACTAAAAATACAAAAAATTAGCCAGGCGTGGTGGCAGGTGCCTGTAGTCCCAGCTACTCGGGAGGCTGAGGCAGGAGAATGGCGTGAACCCGGGAGGTGGAGCTTGCAGTGAACTGAGATTGCGCCACTGCACTCCAGCCTGGGCAACAGAGCAAGACTCCGTCTCAAAAAAAAAAAAAAAATACCAAATCCAAGATGGCGGCCAGCAGGAGGCTGATTAAGAGCTTGAGGAAATCTGCAAATGTGGGATGAAAAACTTCCCGTAACATCCAGGTTGATGAAGCTAATTTATTGACTTAGCAAGGGCTTATTGTTCCTGACAACTCTCCATATGATTAGGTGACCTTCAGAATCGAAATCAACTTTCCAGCAGAGTATCCATTCAAACTACCAAAGATCACATTTAAAACAAAGATCTATCACCCAAATATCGACGAAAAGGGGCAGGTCTGTCTGTCAGTAATTAGTGCTGAAAACTGGAAGCCAGCAACCAAAACCGACCAAGTAATCCAGTCCCTCATAGCACTGGTGAATGACCCCCAGCCCGAGCACCCGCTTCGGGCTGACCTAGCTGAAGAATACTCTAAGGACCGTAAAAAATTCTGTAAGAATGCTGAAGAGTTTACAAAGAAATATGGGGAAAGTGACCTGTGGACTAAAATCTGCCACGATTGGTTCCAGCAAGTGTAAGCAGAGGCCCCATGCAGTGCATTCAGACACCCGGCAAAGCAGGACTCTGTGGAAATTGACACGTGCCACCGCCTGACATTCACTTGTGGCAGTTACTAACTTTCTACAGTTTTCTTAGTGAAAAATGGTGTAGGTAATCTGTAAAGAAAGGATTAAAATCTAAGATGTTTTAAATATATATACATATATATGTGTATATATATGTGTGTGTGTGTGTGTGTGTATATATATATAACAATCCCAATAAAAAACCAAACTTTTTAATGGAGTTTTGTAAATTAATTTTAAAGTTCACATGGGAGCACAAACGTCTGATAATACCCAAGAAAACTCTGAAAAACAAAAGTGACAATGCCCTACAGATATTAAGACATACTATAAAGCCTCTACAATTAAAACTGTGGATAGGAACAGGAACAGGAAACAGACAAATGGGATAAAATGGAATATCTAGAAATAGATCCAGGAACATATGGGAATTCAGTTCAGAAAGGTGGTATTTCAGATCAATTGGGGCAAAAATGCAGTTTGCAATGAAAGGTGCTAAGATTAAGTGGTTAGCCATCTGGAAAAAGACAAAATTACATGGATAACTCACACCATTCACAAAATAAACTCCAAATGAATCAGGGAACTAAATGTGAAAAACAAAAATATATGCATATGTAGGGTATTTGAATGATTTTTGGGTGATTAACGTAAAATATGTGACCACAAGGCAGCAGTAGCTCACTTGGGCAGTGCTTTGATGGGTTTGTGTGTGGGGTCCCTTGTGGGCAGCAAGCCACCCAGGTGCTGAAGCAAGAGACCGAGGACACGAGCTGTTCCAGTATAATAAAACATAAAACAAGAATAGTTGTACCAGATATAGATCATAGACATGATTATATATGAATATCATTAATCATTAGTTTGTGGCAATTACTCTTTATTCCAATATTATAATAATCCTTGCTCTATAATCATAACCTAGGAAAAATCAGGCTATACAGAGATAGGAGCTGAGGGGACATAGTGAGGAGTGACCAGAAGACAAGAGTGCAAGCCTTCTGTTATGCCCAGACAGGGCCACCAGAAGGGCTCCTTGGTCTAGCGGTAATGCCAGCGTCTGGGAAGACGTCCATTGCCAGGTGGACCATGGTCTAGCGGTAGCGAAAACTGTCAAGGAACAACACCCGCTACTTAGCAGACTGAGAAAGGGAGTCTCCTTTTCCCCGGGGGGGTTTATAGAAGACTCTGCTCCTCCACCTCTTGTGGAGGGCCTGACATCAGCCAGGCTTGCCCACTGTTATCTGGAGGCCCAACCGTCTCCCTGTGATGCTGTGCTTCAGTGGTCACACTCCTAGTCCGCCTTCATGTTCCATCCTGTACACCTGGCTCTGCCTTCTAGATAGCAGTAGTAAATTAGTGAAAGTACTAAAAGTCTCTGATATGCAGAAATAATGGCATAAGCTGTCTTTCTCTCTGTCTCCTCTCCCTCTCTGCCTCAACTGCCAGGCAGGGAAGGGCCCCCTGTCCAGTGGACACGTGACCCACGTGACCTTACCTATCATTGGAGATGACTCACACTCTTTACCCTGCCCCTTTTGCTTTGTATCCAGTAAATAACAGCGCAGCCAGACATTTGGGGCCACTACCGGTCTCCGTGCATTGGGGGTAGCGGTCCCCCAGGCCCAGCTGTCTTTTCTTCTATCTCTTAGTCTTGTGTCTTTATTTCTACACTCTCTTGTCGCCACACACAGGGAGAAGCCCACCGACCCTGTGGGGCTGGTCCCTGCAGTCCCTCATAGCATGAGAATATCCAAAGGCTACAGACTTGGAGGTCACTACTCAGAATGGGAGGAGAGCAAGAGAACTCCAGGGAAAGAATGGGAGTTGAGAGGGAGCTTATGTGCTAGGTGAAGTTGCTTAGCAGCCTAGTGGGAAGTTTCTAAATCAGAAAGCTCTGAAGAGCAGCAAGGGATTGGGGTCCTTTTTATAGCTGGAGGGTTTATCTTCTCTGTGGTCATCAAATGGTTGGCACAATTTCACCGGGGTATGCAGAGCAGGCAGGCCCTAAAGGACTAAAAAATCTGCTTGTTTGGACTATGTTTAAAACAATTGATTCAGGATCATTAAAAAAAAGAAGAAGAAGAACGAAAGAAAACACACACACACGCACACACACACACACACACACACACACAATTGGATGGCCAAGCATGGTGGCTTGCACCTGTAATCCCAGCTACTTGGGAGGTCAAGGCAGGAGGATTGCTTGAACCCAGGAGTTTCAGGCTGCAATAAGCTGTGATCCTGCCACTGCACTCCAGCCTGGGCAACAAATCAAGACCCTATCTTTAAACAAACAAACCAAAAGAAAATTAAAAACAATTGGGTGTGGAAAAACTTGAGTTTGGAGCCGGGTGCGGTGGCTCATGCCTGTAATCCCAGCACTTTTGGAGGTCGAGGTGGGCAGATCACGAGGTCAGGAGATCGAGACCATCCTGGCCAACCTGGTGAAATCCCGTCTCTACTAAAAATACAAAAATTAGCTGGGCGTGGTGGCATGTGCCTGTAATCCCAGCTACTTGGGAGGCTGAGGCAGGAGAATCCCTTGAACCAGGGAGTCGGAGGTTGCAGTGAGCCCAGATCGTGCCACTGCATTCCAGCCTGGCAACAAAGTGAGACTCTGTCCAAAAAAAAAAATTTAAACAATTGGATGTGGAAAAACTTGAGTTTGGGGCCAGGTGCGATGGTTCATACCTGTCATTTTAGCACTTTGGGAGGCCAAGGTGGGTGGATCACCTGAGGTCAGGAGTCTGAGACCAAGCTAGCTAACATGGCAAAACCCCATCTCTACTAAAAAATACAAAAAAAAAGCCAGACTAAAACTTGAGTTTGACACTGGCAGCTATTGTGAGTAACGGTGCTATGAACACTGGTGTACAAACCAAAACAATACAGAAAAAACCCAGCAAACACTGGACAAAGGAGAGAATCAGCTTTCCAGAGTTACAGTATTATCAGATTCAAATGTCCAGTTTTTAACAAAAATCTCAAGGCACACAAACAGGAAAGTATGGCCCATTCAAAGAAAAAATAAATAAATATAAATTTTCCCTGGAAGAGACCTAATGGTATATCTACTAGACAAGGACTTTAAAACAACTGCCTTAAAGATGTTCAAAGAACTAAAGGAAGACATGGAAAAACTCAAGAAAATGATGTATGAACAGAATATAAATAACAATCAAGAGATAGAAAACCTAAAAAGAAACCAAGAAGAAATTCTGGAGCTAAAAAATACAATAATTAAAATGAAAAATTCACTACAGGGATTCAAAGGAGATTTCAGCTGTTGCATCCCAGACCTCTCCATGGATGATGTCAAAGGCATCCCCAGTAGTGACAACCAAAAATGTCTCCAGACATTGCTAACTGTCCCCCAGGAGTAAAATCATCCCCATTGGAAATCACTGCTCTAGACCTACCTCCCAATTTACAGAAAATGCAGGTGACAGAAAAACAAGCTAAAAGAAACCATGAGGGGGCCGGGCACTGTGGCTCAGGCCTATAATCCCAGCACTTTGGGAGGCCAAGGCGGATGGATCACCTGAGGTCAGGAGTTTGAGACCAGCCTGGCTAACATGGTGAAACCCTGTTTCTACTAAAAATACAAAACAGCCAGGTGAGGTGGCATGTGCCTGTAATCCCAGCTACTGAGGAGGCTGAGACGGGAGAATTGCTTGAACCCAGGAGGCAGAGGTTGCAGTGAGCTGAGATCATGCCATTGCAGTGCAGCTTGGGCAACAAGAGCGAAAACTCGTCTCAAAAAAAAAAAAAAAAAAAAAAAAGACGCAAGGTCTCGCTATGTTGCCCAGGCTGGATTCCAACTCCTGGGCTCAATCCATCCTCCCAACTCAGCCTCCCCAGTAGCTGGGACTACAGGTGTTAGCCACCATGCCCTATCTTCAAAGTTTAATACTATGCTAGTATATAAGAAAACTGATACTTTATAACCCAATGTTGAAACAATATTCCTCTGGAATCAGACTGCCTGAGATTGAATCTAGGCTTAAACTCTCTGTGCATAATATTTTTCATTTGTAAAATGAGGGTTAGATTAATATCCACTTTCTAGCTCTGAGGGTAAATAGTTGAATAGAATGCTCATGTGAGACGATTTAACTCTGACATTTCAGCCAACTGTAGCTTCGGGGTGTCACCTTGAAAAGAGGTTGGTTCCTTTGGAAGAAATGTTACTTCCAGAAGTTAGAATAAAAGGAATTTATTTATTTATTTATTTATTTTTGAGACTGAGTTTCACTCTTGTTGCCCAGGCTGGAGTGTAATAACACGATCATGGCTTACCGCAACCTCCGCCTCCCGGGTTCAAGCGATTCTCCTGCCTCAGCCTCCCAAGTAGCTGGGATTACAGGCATGCGCCACCACGCCTGGCTAATTTTATATTTTTAGTAGAGACAGGGTTTCTCCATGTTGGTCAGGCTGGTCTCAAACTCCCGACCTCAGGTGATCTGTCTGCCTCAGCTTCCCAAAGTGCTGGGATTACAGGCATGAGCCACTGCACCCCACCAGAATTTTTTTTTTTTTTTTGAGGCCAAGTTTCACTCTTGTTGCCCAGGCTAGAGTGTAATGGCGTGATCTCAGCTCACTGCAGCTTCTGCCTCCCAGGTTCAAGGAATTCTCCTGCCTCAGCCTCCCAAGCAGCTGGGATTACAGGTGCCCACCACCACACCCAGCTAATTTTTTGTATTGTTAGTAGAGACGAGGTTTCACCATGTTGGCCAGGCTGGTCTCGAACTCCTGACCTTCAGGTGATCCACCCACCTCCAACTCCCAAAGTGCTAGGATTACAAGCATGAGTCACCACGCCCGGCCATCACGACTTTTTTTTTTTTTTAGATAGGCTGTCACTCCTGTCACTCAGGCTGGAGTGTAGTACAGTGATCTTCACTCACTGCAGCCTTGACCTCCTGGTCTCAAGAGATCCTCCCACCTCAGCCTCTCAAGTAGCTAGGACTACAAATGCATGCCACCATGCCCAGCTAATTTTGTTTTTTTTTTTGTTTTTTTTTTTGTAGAGATGAGGTCTCACTATATTGCCCAGCCTGGTCTCAAACTCCTGGGCTCAAGCAATCCCCCTACCTCAGCCTCTTAAGTGCTGGAATTATAGGCATGAGCCACTGCACCTGGCCACTCTTTTTTTCTTTCTGTTTAAAGACAGGGTCTTGCTATATAGCCCAGGCTGGAGTGGAGTGGTCATTCACAGGCATGATCATGTACACTGCAGCTTACAACTCCCAGGCTCAAGTGATCCTCCCGCCCCAGCCTCCCCAATAACTAGGACTACAGGCATGTGCCACCACACCCAGCAAGTTTCCCTTAGTTCTCTGAAATGTTTTAAGACTCCACTCAAATCTTCTTAAACAGTCTTAAATTTTCATCATGATATTACCTAGTGATTTTTTTTTTTAAGATGGAGCCTTGCTCTATCACCCAGGATGGAGTGCAGTGGTGTGATCTCAGCTCACTGCAACCTCTGCCTCCCAGGTTCAAGCGATTCTCCTGCCTCAGTCTCCCGAGTAGCTGGGACTACAGGTGTGCACCATCATGCCCGGCTAATTTTTGTATTTTAGTAGAGGTAGGGTTTCACCATGTTGGCTAGGCTGGTCTTGAACTCCTGACCTCAAGTGATCCACCTGCCTCAGCCTCCCAAAATGCTGGGATTACAGGTGTGAGCCACTGCACTCAGCCTGACCTAGTGATGTTTTACTCCCAGTTCTAATGTTCCACAGTTAGAGACTCCAGACATACCAAAATCAGTTAACTTTCATGAATTCACCATGGCCCTTATGCAGTAGTTTTCAACAGTGGCTGCACATTAGATTCACTGGAGGACTTTTAAAAACACTGATACCCATGACACATCCCCATAAATGCTGTTTTAATTGGTCTGAGGTAGGACTCAGCCCTTAGTACATTTCTCAAGTTTCCAGGACATTCTATAAGGATTAGGTTGAGAATTACTGACTTGGCTTCTGCATTCATATGCTCTTCTTGTCCACTTGATATAGTCCTACACATCTTTCAGAACTTAAGTCAACCTTGCCTCCTCTGGAGAAAATATCCTGTTAGGTGTTTTTTTGTTTGTTTGTTTGTTTTGAGATGGAATCTCCCTCTGTAGCCCAGTGGCGGATCTTGGCTCACTGCAACCTCTGCCTCCCAGGTCCAAGCGAATTCTCCTGCCCCAGCCTCCTGAGTAGCTGGAATTACAGGCATGCACCACCACGCCCTGTAATTTTTGTATTTTTAGGAGAGATGGGGTTTCACCATGTTGGCCAGGCTGGTCTTGAACTCCTGACCTCAAGTGATCTGCCCACATTGGCCTCCCAAAGTGCTGGATTTACAGGTATGGGCCACCATGTCCCACCCACTGTTAGGTGCACTCTTATCCCTCCCCTCCCAGCACCCCATAGCCCCTTTGAAATTCCTTTATTATAAGTCTTGTCATAACGCTTTATCACTTGCGCTGTTTATCTTTCATGCTGTCTGATGAACTCCAGGAAAGTAGAAACTAATTTTAGTCTAGACACCTGCTTGTGGAAGTTAGGCAAACAGTCTTCTGAAAGACTGTCTTGATATAAAATCCCAGATCCCACAAAAAAAAACTTTTTTCTTTACAGCAAAGCAAGTGGAAAAAACAAAAACAAAAACAAAACCCTTTATTTTTTAATTGCTCTATCAATGAAAAAGAAAATAGAGAAATTTCCCAAGGGCAAACAATTTTTTTTTTTTTTTTTTGAGATGGAGTGTCGCTCTTGTTGCCCAGGCTGGAGTGCAATGGTGCGATCTTGACTCACTACAACCTCCGCCTCCGGGTTCAAGGGATTCTCCTGTCTCAGCCTCCCAAGTAGCTGGGATTACAGGTGCACATCACCATGCCCTGCTAATTTTGTATTTTTAGTAGAGATGGGGTTTCACCATGTTGGCCAAGCTGGTCTCGAACTCCTGACTCCAGATGATCCACCCACCTCAGCCTCCCAAAGTGCTGGGATTACATGTGTGAGCCACCGCACCCGGCCTAATAATTTTTTTAAGTTAGCAGAATCCAGAGATAGAAGAACTTTCCCTCAATATTTTTCTTCCCTTCCAGAATACAGAGTGATTGCTGAAAAATAGCTGCCCCACCAGGAATGGCACTAGCCCTTGTGACTAGTTTTTACCACAAAATGTTAAAGGAAAAAAATGTGTCGTGTTAGCCAAAGAGCAATGTGCTTTCTCTTTTTTATTAGACAGGGTCTCAATCTCTCACCCAGGCTAGAGTGCAGTGGTGCTGCACAGCTCACTGCAGCCTCAAACTTCTGGGCTCAAGCAATCCTCCAGCCTCAGCCTCCCACGTAGCTGGAACTTCAGGTGTGCACCACCACACCTAATTTTTAATTTTTTGTTCCAGAGATGGGGTCTTGCTAGGTTGCCCAGGCTTGTCTCCAACTCCTGGTCTCAGGCAGTCCTCCCGACTCAGCCTCCCAAAGCACTGGGATTGCAGGCATGAGTCACCATGCCCAGCCAGCTTTCTCTATTTTTACTTTCCCTTTCCACCTAGATGTACATGGTGTCTCAACATTGAAAGATACTGGGTTTCTGCACCACCAGGGGAAGAAAGCCAACTAAATTTAGATTGTTACATGAGTAGGAAATTAACTGAAACTTTGATATGTGTCTGTTACATTAGGTTACCCATAAATACACAGCTAGATGGAAAAGAAATGTTACTGGGATATAATTTTGGTTAAATAGGACACCATATGCATTTGAAAGGAACAAATGGCTTTCCTCAACTTCCTTTAACTCTCTCAAAATGCACACCTGTGGCTCTTTCTAGATCTTCTACCTCTTCAAGCACTCCATACATAACACTATCTCCCTGTAACTTTTTTTTTTTTAAGAGACAGGGTCTTGCTCTGTCACCCAGGATGGAGTGCAGTAGCATGATCATGGCTCACTGCAGCCTTGACCTCCCAGGCTCAAGCAATCCTCCCACCTCAACCTCCCCAGTAGCAGGGACCATAGATGTATGCCACCATGCCTGGCTGATTTTTAAATTTTTTTGTAAAGATGGGTTTTTACTATCTTGCCCAGGCTGCTCTTGATCACTTGAGCCACCCCTTGGCCTCCCAAAGTGCTGAAATACAGACCTGAGTACCTGGACTTCTCCCTATAATTCTTTTTTTTTTTTTTTTTTTTTTTTTTTTGAGATGGAGTCTAGCTTTCTGTCACCTGGGCTGGAGTGCAGTAGCACGATCTCAGCTCACTGCAACCTCCAACTCCCAAGTTCAAGCGATTCTCCTGCCTCAGCCTCCCTAGTAGCTGGGATTACAGACCCGCATCACCATGCCTAGCTAATTTTGTATTTTTAGTAGAGACAGGGTTTCGCCATGTTGGCCAGGAGTTCAAGGCTGCAGTGTGCTATGATTGCCACTATGAATAGCCACTGCCCTCCAGCCTGGGCAACATAGTGAGAGTCTCATCACTAAAAAAAAAAAAAAAAAAATATATATATATATATATATATTCTTTAAAAGTTTATTTTGTATAAATAATAATGAGACATAATTTCACCAGGCTGGTCTCCAACTCCTGAGCTCAAGTGCTGGGATTACAGGTGTGAGTCACCGTGTCCGGCCAGTTTTGTTTTTGTTTTTTTTTTTAATTTCAGACAGGGTCTTACTCTGTCGCCTGGATGGAGTACAGTGGCACAATCACTGTTCACCACCACCTCAACCTCCCAAGCTCAGGTGATCCTCCCACCTCAGCCCCCCAAGTAGTTGGAACTACAGGCACAGTGCCACTATGCTTGGCTAATTTTTATTTTTATTTATTTTTATTTTTGTAGATACCGGGTTTTGCCATATTGTCCAGACTGGTCTTGAACTTCTGAGCTCAAGCGATCTGCCCGCTTCGGCCTCCCAAAGTGTTGGGACTGCAGGCACTAGCCATCGCGCCTGGCCAGATAATGGTGATTTTTTTTCCTAAAGAAAAAAAGTCCAGGCCCATGTAGATTTTTTTCGTATTGAAGGGGGCCTGCCCCTCCACACCTGTTGGTATTTCTCGCAAGGTGGAGACAAGAGACTGAGAAAAGGAAATAAGACACAAAGTATAGAGGAAGAAAAGTGGGCCCAGGAGACGGGTGCTCAGCAAGTGAGGATCTGCACCGGCACTGGTCTCTGAGTTCCCTCAGTATTTATTGATCACTTTCTCTACTATCTGGGCAAGGGGGATGTGGCAGGACTATAGGGTAATGGTAGGGAGAGGGTCAGCAGGAAAATGTGAGCAAAGGACGCTATGTCACAAATAAGTTTAAGGAACGGTGCTGTGCCTGGATGTGCATGTAGGCCAGATTTATGTTTCACTTTACACAAACATCTCAGTGCAGTATTGCCGCCAGCATGTCTCACCTCCAGCCATAAGGCGGTTTTCTCCTATCTCAGTAAATAGAATGTGCAATCGGGTTTTACACCAAGACATTCCATTCCCAGGGATGAGCAGGAGACAGATGCTTTCCTCTTATCTCAACTGCAAAGAGGCCTTCCTCTTTCACTAATCCTCCTCAGCACAGACCCTTTACGGGTGTCAGGCTGGGGGACAGTAAGGTCTTTCCCTTCCCACAAGGCCATATCTCAGGCTGTCTCAGTGGGGGGAAACCTTGGACAATACCCGGGCTTTCTTGGGCAGAGGTGCCTGCGGCCTTCCACAGTGCACTGTGTCCCTGGGTAACCGAGAATGGAGCATGGCGATGCCTTTTACCAAGCATACTGCCTGCAAACACATTTTTAACAAAGCACATCCTGCACAGCCCTAAATCCATTAAACCTTGAGTCAACACAGCACATGTTTTTGCAAGCACAGGGTTGGGGCTAAGGTTACAGATTAACAGCATCTCAAAGCAGAAGAATTTTTCTAAGTACAGATCAAAATGGAGTTTCTTGTGTCTTCCTTTTTCTACATAGACACAGTAACAGTCTGATCTCTCTTTTCCCCACAAGTAACAGTCTGATCTCTCTTTCTTTTCCCCCGCACATATACTGACCTAACCATAAGAAGTCAGTGAGACTGGGAAATATGCATCATTGATGCAGCCTCACAATACCCCGGCCCCATCTGTTCTCTCACTACTGAGACCCCACCCTGTCTCCCCCTTCACCGAGATTTTTTTTTTTTTTTTTTTTTGAGACGGAGTCTCGCTCTATCACCAGGCTGGAGTGGCCCGATCTCGGCTCACTGCAACTTCCGCCTCCCAGGTTCAAGCGATTCTCCTGCCTCAGCCTCCCCAGTAGCTGGGACTACAGGCGCCTGCCAGCATGCCCAGCTAATTTTTGTATTTTTAGTAGAGATGGGGTTTCACCATGTTGGCCAGTATGGTCTTAATCGATTGCCCTCGTGATCCGCCTGCGTCAGCCTCCCAGTCTGTCCCCTCACCACTACTCTCTTTCACGGAGACCCCACCCCCATCTCTCCCTTCACCGACTCCCCGCCCCCGTCTCTCGCTCACGGAGTCCCCGCCCCTGTCTCAACCAAGACCGAGTCCCCGCCCCCATCTCTCCCTCGCCGAGTCGCCGCCCGCGTCTCTCCCTCACCCAGACCCCGCCCCATCTCTCCCTCACCGAGACCCCGCCCCATCTCCCCCTCACCGAGACTCCGCCCCCGTCTCTCCCTCACCCAGACCCCGCCCCCATCTCCCTCTCACCGAGTCCCCGCCCCCATCTCTCCCTCACCAAGACCTTGCCCCCATCTCCCCCTCACCGAGGCTCCGCCCCCGTCTCACCCTCACCGAGACCCCACCCCCATCTCGCCCTTCACCCAGTCCCCGCTCCCATCTCTCCCTCACCGAGACCCCGCCCCCGTCTGCCTCCCTCCGGGTGGCTAAGCCGCACCTGAAGCCGCACCTGGTCGCAGAGGCTACTGCTGGGGAAACCGTTGGGCCAGCGGCGGCTAAAGGGCAGGAGGCGCCGCTGTGGCCACGCGCACTTCTGATTCCGCTCCAGGGTTTCAGAAGGAACTGAGGGCTCTGGACCCGGCCTCGGAGGCCTGAGGAGTTGGGAGGGGCGGCGGCCGCGTCCTCCGCAACTCTGGGGAGAAGTCTTAGTTTCCGCGCAGCCAAACGCGATTGGACCCCGCCCTCCGGCTTCACTGGGGACCGTGGGGGCGGAACCCGGCGGGAGGACGTATGGGGGGCTGGACCATGATGGAGGGAGTCGGTTGGGCTGGACCTCGAAATGCCTCTGCTCGCTTTCCTCTGCGCTTATGCCGCCATGTACGAGTATGCGCTGTTTCCAGGTGGTTTGTTATACAGCAGTAGATAACTGATACATCCCTTTTCACTAATATTTTTATTTCCTAATACAATTTTTAAATAATTTTTTATTTTATACCAAAAATAATAGTGAAGAGGGTTTTTTTAAGGTCAGGATCTCCCTCTGTTGCCCAGGCTGGAGTGAGTGGCGCAATCATGGCTCCCGCCCCCGTCTGTCCCTCACCGGGTGCCCGCCCCCATGTCCCCCTCACCGAGACCCTCACCACTGCAGCCTCCAACCCCTGGGCTAAAGTGACCCTCCGGCCTCAATTCCTCTAGTAGGTGGGACTACAGGCTCGTGACACCACAGCAGGCTAATTTTTTGTGGAGATAGCGGTTGCACTATATTGCCCAGGTTGGTCTTGAACTCCTGGGCTCAAGGGATTCTCCTACCTCAACCTCCCAGTTTGTAATCAGTCTTCAAAGTGTTGGGATTACAGACGTGAGCCACCGCTCCAGGCCTGGTTTTTCCACATGGATTATGTACATGTGGCTTCTCACCACGTTGAGTCGATGCCTGTCAATTAAGGGATAACTAATCAACTGAAGACTTTGTCACTCTTATTGCACTCATAGGGATTCTCCCCCATGGAAAGTCTGTCTTGACAAGCAAGCAAGTGCATTGCTACATTAGAAGCTGCTGCCATTTAGGTTGGGTGTGGTGGCTCATGCCTATAATCCCAGCACATTTGGAGGCCGAAGTGGGCGGATCAGTTGTGGTCAGGAGTTTGAGACCAGCATGGCCAACATGGTGAAAACTCATCTCTACTAAAAATGCAAAGATTAGCCGGGCGTGGTGGTATATGCCTGTAATCCCAGCTACTTGGGAGGCTGATGTGGGAGAATCGCCTGAACCCGGGAGGAGAAGATTGCAGGAGCCGAGATCATGCCACTGCAACCCAGCCTGGGTGACAGAGCAAGACGCGAGACTCTGTCGCAAAAAAAAAAAAAAAATTGCTGCCATTTTCAGAGCACCTAGACTGCTTCTGCCTTGTCTGAATTCCTTCAAATTGAGTACGATGAATGCTTTGCCATAGGTTCCATTATAGTCATGACATTCATAAGGCTTTTCATACACAGATATTTTATTCTGATAGTCATCTAAACAAAAACTGAATTCTGTGTAAATATTCAACATGCGAGTCTCATTTATGGACGACGTGCCTACTTGTGAGACCTCTCTGTGAGTAAGCATATTTTGAATAGGTTTAGAATGTTCCCCAAGTTCATGAAACTCAGAAACTCTCTCCTGAAGGGTGGCTTCTCTTGGGCATAGACAAGGAGAACCTTGTCTCCAGGTTCTTCCCATTGTGGGGTGGCTCTTCCATCTCATGGCCTCCCTGACTCGTGCTGCGGAGAACCGGCAATCATCCTCCTGCATCTTACTCTCTTCCGGCCAGCAGATTGTTTTCCCCAACTTTATTCCGCTTTGCAGCTATCTTTTTGGTGCTACATGGTCTTCTGGTCTGAAATGAATTGGGAAAAGAAGTAAATCAGGTTTTTGTTTTTGTTTTTGTTTTTTGTTTTTTGTTTTTGAGACAGAGTCTTGCTCTGTCGCCAGGCTGGAGTGCAGTGGCGCGATCTCGGCTCACTGCAACCGACTCCCAGGTTCAAGCAATTCTCCTGCCTCAGCCTCCCAAATAGCTGGGACTACAGGCGCGTGCCACCACGACCAGATAATTTTTTGTATTTTTAGTAGAGACCAGGTTTTACCATGTTGGCCAGCATGTTCTCCATCTCCTGACCTCATGATCCGTCGGCCTCAGCCTCCCAGAGCGCTGGGATTACAGGTGTGAGCCACCTCGCCTGACCATCAGTTTGTTTTTTGTTTGTTTTTTTGAGACAGTGTCTCACTCTGTCACCCAGGCTGGAGTGCAGTGGTGCGATCACAACTCACTACAGCCTCAAACTCCTGGGCTCAAGTTATCGTCCTGCTGCAGCCTCCCAGTGCTGGGAGTACAGGTATGAGTCACTGTGCCAGGCCTTCAAAATTTATGTTTTTGGATAAAAAATGATGACATAATGGTGCTTTGTTTTGTTTTGTTTTTGACACAAGATCTAGCTTTGTCACCCAAGCTGGAGTGCAGTGACGTGATCATGGCTCAATGCAGCTTCGACTTCCTGGGCTCAGAGGATCCTCCCACCTCAGCCCCCCAAGTAGCTGGAACTACAGTTGCACACCACCATGCCCGGCTAATTTTTGTATTTTTGGTAGAGACGGGGTTTCACCATGTTGCCCAGGCTAGTCTGGAACTTCTGAGCTCAAGCGATCCGCCCGCCTCGGCCTCACAAAGTGCTGGGATTACAGGAGTGAGCCACTGCATCCAGCTCGATAATGGTGATTTTTTTTTAAGATTTTTTTTTTTTTTTGAGACAGAGTTTCACTCTTCTTGCCCAGGCTGGAGAGCAATGGTGTGATCTTGGCTCACTGCAACCTCCGCCTCCCATGTTCAAGCGATTTTCCTTCCTCAGCCGCCCGAGAAGCTGGGATTACTGACATGTGTCACCACACTTGGCTAATTTTGTATTTTCAGTAGAGACGGGGTTTCTCCATGTTGGCCAGGCTAGTCTTGAACTCCCACCCTCAGGTGATCCGCCCACCTCGGCCTCCCAAAGTGCTGGTATTACAGGCATGAGCCACCGCACCCAGCTAAGAATTTTTGTTTTTTTAAGAATAAGAAAAAAGACTCCGTCTGAAAAAAAAAAAAGGAAAGAAAAAAATAAAGTCCAGGCCCATGTAGATTTTTTCATATACTGACCTAAACATAAGAAGTCAGTGAGACTGGGAAATATGCATCATTGCAATATGCAGCCTCACAATATCTGGCCCTCATCTCTCCCTCACTGAGACCCCGCCCCCGTCTCTCACCTCATCGAGAACCCGCGCTCATCCTTCTCTGAGAACCCGCCCCCATCTCTCCATCACCAAGACCCTGCCTCCGTCTGTCCCCTCGATGACTCTGCTCTGCCCACCCCTCACCGAGATCTAACCTCTGTCTGTCCCCTCACCGAGTGAAGGGGGCCTCCCCCTCCACACCTCTGGGTATTTCTCGTCAGGTGGGATGAGAGGCTGAGAAAAGAAATAAGACACAGAGACAAAGTATGGAGAAAGAACAGTGGGCCCAGGGGACCTGCACCGCTGGCTGTCTCTGAGTTTCCTCGGTATTTACTGATCATTATTTTTACTATCTTAGTGAGGGGAGTGTAGCAGGGCAACAGGTGGGGAGAAGGTCAGCAGGGAAACATGTGAGCAAAGGAATCTGTATCACGAATAAGTTCAAGGAAAGGTACTGTGCCTGGATGTGCACGTAGGCCTGATTTAAGTTTCACTTTACACAAACATCTCAGTGTAGCAAAGAGTAACAGAGCAGTATTGCTGCCAGCATATCCCGCCTCTAGTCACAGGGCAGTTTTCTCCTATCTCAGAATTGAACGAATGGGAATGGTCAGTTTACACGGAGACATTCCATTCCCAGGAAGGAGCAGGAGAGAGAAGCCTTCCTCTTATCTCAACTGCAAAGAGGCCTCCCTCTTTCACTACTCCTCCTCAGCACAGACCCTTTAGGGGTGTCAGGCTGGGGGATGGTAAGGTCTTTCCTTTCCCATGAGGCCATATCTCAGGCCATCTCAGAGCTTTCTTGGGCAGAGGTCCCTGCGGCTTTCCGCAGTGCATTGTGTCCCTGGTTAATCGAGAATGGAGAATGGCGATGACTTTTACCAAGCATACTGCCTGCAAACATACTGTTAACAAGGCATCCTGCACAGCCCTAAGTCCATTAAACTTTGATTCAATACAGCACATGTTTCTGTGAGCACAGGGTTGGGGCTAAAGTTAAGACTCACAGCATCTCAAAGCAAAACAATGTTTCTTAATACAGATCAAAGTGGAATTTATGTCTTCCTTTTCTACATAGACATAGTAACAATCTGATCTCTCTTTCTTTTCCCCACAACTGAGTCCCGGGCTCCATCTCCTGGTAGAGTCCAGCCCTACAGGGCTTTGCGGGTGTTCTCCCCATGTGTGGAGATGAGAGATCATAAGAAATAAAGACACAAGACAAAGAGATAAAGAGAAGACAGCTGGGCCCTGAGGACCACTGCCACCAAGACGCAGAGACCAGTAGTGGCCCCAAATGGCGGATGCACTGATATTTATTGTATATAAGACAAGGGGGCAGGGTAAGGAGGGTGAGTCATCCAAGTGATTGATAAGGTCAAGCAAGTCACGTGATCATAGGACAGGGGGCCCTTCCCTTATAGGTAGCTGAAGAAGAGAGGGAAGACAGCATACATCAGCATTTTCTTTTTTTTTTTTTTTTTTTCCCCCGAGACAGAGTCTCACTCTGTCACCAGGCTGTAGTGCAATGGCCCGATCTCAGCTCACTGCAACCTCCGCCCTCCGAGTTCAAGCGATTCTCCTGCCTCAGCCTCCCAAGTAGCTGGGATTACAGGCGCCTGCCACTGCACCCAGCTAATTTTTTGTATTTTTAGTGGAGATGGGGTTTCACCTTCTTGGCCAGGCTGGTCTTGAAGTCCTGACCTCGTGATCCACCCGCCTCGGCCTCCCAAAGTGCTGGGATTACAGGCATGAGCCACTGCGCCCGGCCCAGTGTTTTCTTTTACGCACTTATCAGAAAGATAAAAGACTTTAAGACTTTCACTATTTCTTCTACCACTATCTTCTAAGAAATTCAAAGAGGAACCAGGAGTACCGGAGGAATATGAAAGTGGACAAGAAAAGTGACCACTGAAGCACAGCACCACAGGGAGGGGTTTATGCCTCCGGATGGCTGCGGGCAGGCCTGGATAATATCCAACCTCCCACAAGAAGCTGGTGGAGCAGAGTGTTCCCTGACTCCTCCAAGGAAAGGGAGACTCCCTTTCATGGTCTGCTAAGTAACGGGTGCCTTCCCAGGCACTGGCATTACCGCTTGACCAAGGAGCCCTCAAGCGGCCCTTATGCGGGCCTGACAGAGGGCTCACCTCTTGCTTTCTTGGTCACTTCTCACAATGTCCCTTCAGCACCTGATCCTACACCCGCCCGTTATTCCTTGGTTATGTTAGTAATACAACAAAGAGTAATATTAAAAGCTAATGATTAATAATGTTCATACTAATGATTGATAATGTCCATGATCATCTCTATATCTAATTTATAACTATTCTTATTCTAACTGTTTTCTTTATTATACTGAAACAGTTTGTGCCTTCAGTCTCTTGCCTGGGCACCTGGGTAATCCTCCGCCCACAGACTCCCGCATCACTGAGTCCCGGTCCTCCTATCCTACACGGAGTCTCTACCTTCATCTCCACACTCAGGGAGACTCCACCTCGGTCTCCGCCTTCACTGAATCCCCGCCCCCATTGCGCCTTCACTGAGACACCAGCCCCATCTACGCTCACAGAGACCTTACCCCGTCTCCCCGTCACCGAGACCGCTCCCCCATCTCGCCCTCACCAAGTCCCCGCCCCCGCCTCGCCCTCACCGAGTCCCCATCCCTGTCTCTCCCCCACTGAGACCCCGCCCCCGTCTCGCCCTCATCGAGTCTCCGCCCCCGTCCTCCGTCATCGAGTCTCCGCCCCGCCTCGCCCTCACCGAGTCCCCGCCCCCGCCTCCCCCTCACTGAGTCCCCATCCCTGCCTCTCCCTTACTGAGACCCCGCCCTCGTCTCTCCCCTCACGGAGACCCCGCCCCCGACTCCCCCTCATCGAGTACCCGCCCCGTCTATCCTTCATCAAGTCTCCACCCCCGCCTCTCCCTCACCGAGTCCCCGCCCCCGCCTCCCCCTCACCGAGTTCCCATCCCTGTCTCTCCCCTCACCGAGACCCCGCCCCCGCCTCTCCCTCATCGAGTCCCCGCCACCGTCTCTCCTTCATCGAGTCCCCTACCCTTCCCGTCATCGAGTCCCCGGCCCCGTCTCCCCCTCATCGAGTCCCCGCCCTCTTCTCTCCCTTCACTGAGATCCCGCCCTCTTCTCTCCCCTCACTGAGGTCCCGCCTCTGACAGCCCCTCACCGAGTCCCCGCCCCCCGTCTCTCCCTCACCGAGTTCTCGTCCCAGTCTCCCCATCACCTAATCCCCACCCCTGTCTCTCCCTTACGAAGTCCCCGGCCCCCGGTTCCCCTCACCGAGACCCTGCCCTGTCTGTCATCGAGTCCCTGTCTCCCCCTCACCTAGTCCCTCTTCTCTCCCCTCACCGAGTCCCCGCCCCCGTCGTCCGCTCACCAAGTCCCCGCCCCCGTCTCCCCCTCACCGAGTCCCGCCCTCTTCTCTTCCCTCACCGAGTCCCCGCCCCCGTCGTCCCCTCACCGATTCCCGCCCCCGTCTCCCCGTCACCGAGTCCCCGCCCCCGTCTCTCCCCTCACCGATTCCCCGCCTCCGTCTCCCCTCACCGATTCCCGCCCCTGTCTCTCCCTCACCGAGTCCCCGCCCCCGTCAATCCTCTCACCGAGTCCCCGCCTCCGTCTCCCCTCACCAAGTCTCCGCCCCCGTCTCTCGGTCACCAAGACCCCACCCCCGTCTCCCCCTCACCGAGTCCCTGCCCGGGTCTTCCTGCCTCCACGTGGCGAAGCCGCACCTGAAGCCCCACCTGGTCGCAAAGGCTGGTGCAGGGGAAACCGTTGGTTCAGCTGCGGTTCCTGGGAAGGGGGTGCCGCTCTGATCACGCGCACTTCTGATTCCCCTCTCGGGGCTCGGAAGCGGCTGAGGGCTCTGGACCCGGTCTCCGAGGCGTGAGGCGGTGGGAGGGTCGGCGGCCGCGTCCTCCACGACCCTGGGGAGAAGTCCCAGTTTCCGCGCAGCCGACAACGGTTGGACCCCGTCCCTCCGGCTTCACTGGGCACCGTGGGGGCAGAACCCGGCGGCGGCTTGGGGTGGGGGCGGGACCACGATGGAGGGAGTCTGTTGGGCGGGACCTCGAAATGCCTCTGCTCGCTTTCCTCTGCATTCATGCGGCTTGTACGAGGATGCGCTGTTTCCTGGTGGTTTGTTATACGGCAGTAGATAACTGATACATCTCTCTTCACTACTTTGTTTGCGTTTTTATAGGTCAGGGTCTTCCTCTGTCGCACAGGCTGGAGTGCAGTGGCTCGATCACGGCTCACGGAAACCTCCAATCCCTGGGCTCAAGCGATCTTCCCTCAAATTCAACAGTAGCTGGAACTACAGGCTCGTGACACCACAGCAGGCTAATTTTTAAATTTTTCGTGGAGATGGGAGGTCACACTATATTGCCCAGGCTGGTCGCGAACTCCTGAGCTCAAGCGATCTTCCCTCTTTGGCGTCCCAAAGAGCTGAGATTGCAGGTATGAACCACCGCACCGGGCCCATTCTCAACATCTCTCAACAAACTGATAAAGAGCATGTAAAAAAATCTACAGCTAACATTGTAGTGAAATACTGAAAACTGTTCTAAGCTCAGGAGTACAGCAACGATGCCCACTCTCACGAATTCTATCAAGCATTGTAGTTACGGCCACGCGCGGCTCACGCCTGAGATCCTAACACTTTGGAAGGAAGATCGCTTTGAGTTCAGGAGTTTGAGACCAGCCTGGGCAAGATGGCAAAACCCTGTCTCAATTTTAAAAAATACAAAAATTAGCCAGGCATGGTGATGCATGTCTATAGTCCCAGCTACTTCGGAGACTGACACAGGAGGATCACTTGAGCCCGGAGGCAGAGGTTGTAGTGAGCTGAGATGGCAACATTGCACTCCAGCTGGGGCGACAGAGGAAGGCCCTGTCTGAAAAAGAAATTGGAAGAAACATTATCTACATTTCTTTTCTGCCATTATTTACAGACAACATAATTGTCTAAGTGGGAGATCCAAAAGAATCTAAATTGTTACACATAATGTGCGGGTTAGCAAGAATAGTGGCTAAAAACTCAATATGCAAAGATAATTGTCTTGTCTCTCTCTTTTTTTTTTTTTTTTTTTTTTTTTGACGGAGTCTTGCTCTGTCGCCCAGGCTGGAATGCAGTGGCTTGATCTTGGCTTGCTGCAACCTCCACCTCCCTGGTTCAAGCGATTCTCCTGCCTCAGGCCCCTGAGTAGCTGGGATTACAGGCGCATGCCACCACGCCCAGCTAATTTTTGTATGTTTTTAGTAGAGACGGGGCTTCGCCACGTTGGCAAGGCCGGTCTGGAACTCCTGACCTCAGGTATTCCGCTGGCCTCGGCATCCCAAAGTGCTGGGATTACAGGCGTGAGGCACCGCACCCGGCCGACTTGTCTCTTTTAACAGCAATATTACAACAGCAATAAAATAAGTAGAAATAAATACAACAAAAAAGTATGCAATATCTCTTCCGAGAAATTTGTAAACTACTATTGAAAGAAATCAAAGATGACCTAGATCAATGGATAGACCTTCCTTGTTGATGGATTAGAAGTTTCAATATAAAGACTTGAATTCTTCTTACTTAATATAGAAAGTTAACAAGTTTTCAGTCAAAATAACATGTTTGATGAGGAACCTGATCTACTTATAATAAAATGTATGTATGTGGAGGTACAAAATACTCCTGAAGAACTGTTGGCACTTACCCTACAGACATTAAGAAATAGAAAGACAGGGTCGGGCACGGTGGCTTACGCCTGTAATCCCAACACTTTGGGAGGCCGAGGCGGGCGGTTCACCAGGTCAGGAGATCGAGACCATCCTGGCTGACACGGTGAAACCCCGTCTCTACTAAAAATACAAAAAATAGCCGGGCGTGGTGGCAGGCACCTGTGGTCCCAGCTACTCAGGAGGCTGAGGCAGGAGAATGGCATGAACCCGGGAGGTGGAGCTTGCAGTGAGCAGAGATCGTGCCACTGCACTCCAGCCTGGGCGACAGAGCGAGACTCCGTCGCAAAAAAAAAGACAGTAATATTGGTGTAGTGGTAAATAAATTAAACCAATAAATAGAATAGAAAGCCCCAAAATACACCCTTATGAATGAGGTGTGTTCTTGGCCATTATGAATAATGCTGCTATAAACGTGGGTGGTCAAATATCTTTTTGAGAGCCTGTTTTCCATTCTTTTAGATATATACCCAGAAGTGGGATTGCTAGACCATGTGATAATACCAATTTTAATTTTTTGAACCACTGCCATACTGGTTTTCATAGCTGCTGCACCGTTTTATAGTCTCACTAACAGTGCACAGGTGGGCCAGGTGTGCTGGTTTTCATGCCTGTAATCCCAGCACTTTGGGAGGCTGAGGTGGATGGATCACCTGAATTCAGGAGGTCAGGACCAGCCTGGCTACATGGTGAAACCCTGTGTCTATTAAAAATACAAAAGAATTAGCTGGGTGTGTTGAGTCCCAGCTACTTGGGAGACTAAGGCAGGAGAATCGCTTGAACCCAGGAGGTGGAGGTTGCAGTGAGCCGAGATCTCGCCAGTGCACTCCAGCCTGGGCAACAGAGCAAGACTCTGTCTCAAAAAAAAAAAAAAAAAAAAAAAAAAAAAGAATTCACAACACAATGACTGTGTTAACAATGTTGTTGAAGTTCATCCTAAGTTTGGTAATTGGGGTGGCCATTTGTGTTAACTAATTGCCTTTATCCAAATGAAAAATAAAAATTCTTATATCCTTTTGGCAAGCAGGCAGTTTTAGCTTATAAGCAGGTGCCTAAGGAAATAGAAGTGTGCTACTGATGCAGGTAAGTGCCATCATTGGGGATTCACCCAGGAAAGAATTCAACTGGTGGTGCTACACAAGGATCTTTCATTCACTCAGAGTTGCTTTTTCCAGAGTACAGCTAAAACCTATGCAGTGTGCCCAGAATCAGCATTTTGTGCTGTTGGCTAGCTATAGTTATACTCACTTTTAATTACATGCAAATTAAGGGGTGTGCCATGCAGAACTTTCTAGAAAGGAGGCTATAACTTCCAGGTGATTGTTGTGGAAGTGAATGGTAACTTTCATGTTGTTGCCATGGTACTTATCAACTGTCATGGCTCTGGTAGGAGTGTCTTACCCTAACAAGCAAGGAGAGCAACTAGAGATGGCTTTTGGTGCCATCTGCTGGTTCCCGGTGGCTTCTTCACTTTATCCTGTTGGGACCAGGAAACAAAGTAAGTCCTACCCAGTCTCCTACCTCACTATGGTCTGAAGGTTGTATGTTGTGTGTGTCCTGCCTCCACACCACCACTCCGCAAAGCCAAATGCTTAAATCCTAACCGCAGAAGTGATGAAATTAGGATATGAGGCCTTAGGGAGGTGATTAGATCATGAGGGCGGGGCCTTCGTTAATGGATTTACTAGCAAGTTTGTCCAAGTCGCCTTATTTTGTTGTTGTTGTCTTGTTTTGTTTTGTTTTAGACTTGTAGCAGCCTGAAGCCATGGTTTTTAGTTTCTGTTTCTAGTGATAAGTGGAAAAGAGGGATGAGGAAGAGGCTTTGCAGGCCCAACCAGAAACAAAAACTAACAACCCATAACTGTATTCTTGAACACCCCTGTATGGGATTGGCCGTGGAGACTTTCTCACCCCTTCTATCATGTGATTATGAGGTATGAGGTAGGAAATGTCTTTGTGTTTAAGGAGGGACTGTTCTGAACGTCCATGCTGATTCCCACTGAAGACGTTAAACTCTAGAGTCTGTGGGAAAAGGAAGAAGCTTAATTGAATGTCTTTCTTTTTTCTTTCTTTTTTTTTTTTTTTTTTTTGAAGCTGAGTCTCACTCTGTTGCCCAGGCTGGAGTGCAGTGGCGCGATCTCGGCTCACTGCAACCTCCACCTCCGGGTTCAAGTGATTCTCCTTCCTCAGCCTCCCGAGTAGCTGGGATTACAGGTGCATGCCACCACACCTGGCTAATTTTTTATTTTTAGTAGAGATGGAGTTTCACCATGTTGGCCAGGCTGGTCTCAAACTCCTGACCTCATGTGATCTGCCCGTCTCAGCCTCCCAAAGTGCTGGGATTACAGGGGTGAGCCACCGCGCACGACCTGAATGTCTTTTTTTTTTTTTTTTTGAGACGGAGTCTCACTCTGTCACCCAGGCTGGAGTGCAGTGGCGCGATATCGGCTCACTGCAACCTCCGCCTCCCAGGTTCAAGCGATTCTCCTGCCTGAGCCTCCCGAGTAGCTGGGACTACATGCACCTGCCACCACGCCCAGCTAATCTTTTGTGTTTTGTTTTTAGTAGAGACGGGGTTTCACTGTGTTAGCCAGGATGGTCTCGATCTGCTCACCTCGTGATCCACCCGCCTCGGTCTCCCAAAGTGCTGGGATTACAGGCGTGAGCCACCGCGCCTAGCTGAATGTCTTTCTTACGAGCCCTGGGTACTGGGCTTGAAACCACCTTTGCAAAAATTATAACTGAGAAACTGATTACAGGGAAAGAGATCTGACCAAACTAACTGCATCTTGCTTCTAACCTCCACACTGTCCTTGTTCATTCCTGGACATAGGCCAAACTAAGTTTGGGATGAACTTAGTTTATAGTTTAACTTTGAAACAAAAACAACAATAATGCTTTCCCAAAACAAACCTCCTTTTCCCTGGAGACTAGACTGCCTTTGCAGGACTAACACATTAGCCACAGATAAGGAATTATGGTTTAGGAGTCATGCAGCTGGTGGGTGCAATATTCTGGACCTCCCCAAATTGCTCCTGGGGATAAAATCACTATCGTAAAACCTAGAATCAGTGCTTGAGATATTTTGCAGACCCTGTGTTTCAGTGCACAAGTTGAGGCCACCTAGATGGATAAACCGGCTCATCTGGTCTTGTGGTTCCCACCCAGGAACTGACTCAGAGCAACAGGACAGGTTCCACTCCCTGTGATTTCATCTCAGACTCAACCAATCAGCACTTCCCACTTTCAGACCCCCTATTATCCTTAAAATTATCTCAAATTATCCTTAAAAACCACGATCTCAGGCCAGGTGCGGTGGATCACGCCTGTAATCCCAGCACATTGGGAGGCCAAGGCAGGTGGATCACCTGAGGTCAGGAGTTCAAGACCAGCCTGGCCAACATGGTGAAACCCCGTCTCTACTAAAAAAAACAAATAGAAAAATTAGCCAGGCGTGGTGGCGGCCACCTGTAATCCCAGCTACTCGGGAGGCTGAGGCAGGAGAATCTCTTAAACCCAGGAGGAAGAGGTTACAGTGAGCTGAGGTGGCGCCATTACACTCTAGCTTGGGTGACAAGAGCGAAACTCTGTCTCAAAACAAACAAACAAACCCCCTGATCCCAGAGTTTTCAGGGAGACTGATCTGAATAATAGTAAAATTTTGGTCTCCTGTACGGCTAGCTGGCTCTGCATGAATGAAACTCTTTCTTTATTGCAATTTCCTGTATTGGTAAATCAGCTCTAGGCAGTTAGGCGGTTACAAGCTTGGTAACTCATGCCTATAATCCCACACTTTGGGAGCCCACGGCAGGAGGATCGATTGAGGCCAGGAGTTAGAGCCAAGCTTGGGCAACATAGTGACATCCCATCTCTACAAAAAGAAAAAAAAATAGCTGACTGTGGTGGTGGGCGCCTGTAGTCCCAGCTACTGAGGAGGCTGAGGTGGAAGAATCACCTGAGTCCAGGAGTTCCATGCTGCGGTGAGCTATGATTGTGCCATTGCACACCAGTCTGGGTGACAGAGTGAGACTGTCTCTAAAAAAAAGGAAAAAAAAAGAAAGAAAATCCATCAGCAGATAGCTCTTGGATCTACCTTCACTTTAGCCTCAGACCATGCCACAACCCCTCTGTTCTCCCCTGCTACCAACTTTCCAAACCACTTTCTTCTCATCGGGATTATTGCCTTAACTTTCCAATTACGCTCCCTGATTCTACCTTTGATTCCCAAGAGTTGTACAAATGACAGACAGATATTCTTAAAATATATATCAGATAATATTGCTCCAGTAGCTCAGACCCTTCTATGACTTTGCATTGCACTCATAGTAAAACCCAAAATGTTTAGTTGTTCTCATGGCCCCATATGATCTGACTGATAATTGACTTCCTTCCTGCTAGTCTCCATCCTACCCAACTCACTTAAACCATTTCAGACACAGGGCTTCTGCTGTTACAGAAGCATTGTCCTGCCTTCCTGCCTCAGGGCCCTTGCACTTGCTGTTCTGTCTTTCCTCAGAAATTGACAGACATCCCCTAAATTCCTTCAGTCATTTCCTGGAGATGAAGTGGAAATACTGTGTGTAGATGACTCTGAGTCCCAGTTTTCTCATCTGTCAAACTGTTGTTCCATCCCCATCCCAGCTTGGAAAAGGCTTTTTTTTTTTTTTTTTTTTTTTTTTGCTGGCCCCTTGCTCTGTTGCCCAGACTGGAGTGCAGTGGCACGATCTCAGATCACTGCAACTTGAACCCTCGTGAGTTCAAGCAATTCTTATGCCTCAGCCACAGGAATAGCTGAGATTACAGGCGAGCACCACCACACCAGCTAATTTTTGTACTTTTTTTTTTTTTGAGATTGAGTTTTGCTCTTGTTGCCCAGGCTGGAGTGCAATGGCACTATCTCGGCTCACTGCAACCTCTGCCTCCTGGGTTCAGGCGATTCTCCTGCCTCAGCCTCCCAAGTAGCTGGGATTACAGGGGCCCACCAACACACCTGGCAAATTTTTTGTATTTTTAGTAGAGATGGGGTTTCTTTTTTTTTTTTTTTTTTTTTTTTTTGAGATGGAGTTTCACTTTGTCGCCCAGGCTGGAGTGCAGTGGCGCGATCTCGGCTCACTGCAAGCTCCGCCTCCCAGGTTCACACCACTCTCCTGCCTCAGCTTCCTGAGTAGCTGGGACTACAGGCGCCCGCCACCACGCCCAGGTAATTTTTTTGTATTTTTAGTACAGACGGGATTTCACTGTGTTAGCCAGGATGGTCTCAATCTCCTGACCTCGTGATCCGAGCACCTTGGCCTCCCAAAGTGCTGGGATTACAGGCGTGAGTCACTGCACCCGGCCAAGATGGGGTTTTATCATGTTGACCAGGCTGGTCTTGAACTCCTGACCTCAGGTGATCCACCTGCCTCAGCCTCCCAAAGTGCTAGGATTATAGGTGTGAGCCACTGTGCCCAGCCAATTTTCGTACTTTTAGTAGAGACGAGGTTTGACCATGTTTGCCAGGCTGGTCTGGAACTCCTGACTTCAGGTTATCCGTCCACCTCAGCCTCCCAAAGTGCTGGGATTACAGGTATGATGAAAATGCTTTTTCAAGTGATAACTTTCCAATAGGGAAGGAAGGTTTAAAGGTAAGTTTCAAAAAGCACCTGCTTGAGATGAAATGTAATACCATAGGTCTCCAGAAGACAACAGCGCATCACTTGGTTTGCCTTATAAATCCTTAATTCTCAAAACACAGGAATTAAGAGAAACAGCGAACATTTGTAGACCTCTTCACCCTTCGTTAGGGGGAAAGTGAAAATAACTATTTGCTGGGCATCTCTTGTTCTTTTCTATTTTTATTATTTTAATTGATGTCCCATTCCAGGATGTTGGGCATCTATTGTTTCATCTGGACACTATTTTATATCTGTGATCTACTTTATTTATTTATTTTCCTTTTTTTTTTTTTAAGAGACGGAGTCTCCCTCTGTTACCCAGGCTGGAGTGCAGTGGTGTGATCTTGATTCACTGCAAACTCCGCCTTCCGAGTTCAAGCAATTCTCCTGCCACAGCCTCCCGACTAGCTGGGATTACAAGCACGCACCACTATGCCCGGATAACTTTTTGTATTTTTAGTAGAAACGAGGTTTCACCGTGTTAGCCAGGCTGGTCTCGAACCCTTGACATCAAGTGATCCGTCCGCCTCGGCCTCCCAAAGTGCTGGGATTACAGGCGTGAGCCACCGTGCCCGGCCTATTCATTTTTCTTTTTTCTATTTCTTTTTTTTTTTATATAGAGAAGGAGTCTCAGTCTGTCACCCAGGCTGGAGTGCAGTGGCGCCATCTCGGCTCACTGCAACCTCCGCCTCCCAGGTTGAAGCGATTCTCCTGCCTCAGCCTCCCGAGTAGCTGGGATTACAGGTGTGCACCACCACGCGCAGCTAATTTTTGTATTTTATTGGGTTTTTGGTTTGTTTTGTTTCGTTTGAGACAGAGTTTTGCTCTTGTCGCCCAGGCTGGAGTGCAATGGCACCATCTCGGCTCACTGCAACCTCCGCCTCCCGGATTCAAGCTATTCTGGTGCCTCAGCCTCCCAAGTAGTTGGGATTACAGGCGCCCGCCACCACGCCCAACTAATTTTTTGTATTTTTAGTATAAGCGGGTTTCACAATATTGTTCAGGCTGGTCTCGAGCTCCTGACCTCAGGTGATCCACCCGCCTCGGCCTCCCAAAGTGCTGGGATTACAGGCTTGAGCCATCGCGCCCGGGCTATTTATTTTTCTTTTTTTAATTTTAATTTTAATGTTTCATAGAGACAGGGTCTCCCCATGTTGCCCAGGCTGGTCTAGAACTCCTGGGCTCAAAGGACCCTGCCTCAACCTCCCAAAGTGCCAGGATTACAGGTGTGAGCGACTGCGTCTGGCCTACATTTGTGATTTAAATCAGCACATTTCTCATCTCTCAGAACTCCTCAATAACCATCGGTTGGAAAAAAGAGCAAAAAACCTAAATGTATTTATATGTAATCTCTAGGAGTTAACCTCACCGAAAGATACAACCGATTTAAGAAGAAAATGTTAAAACTCTCTTCAAGGGCCTATAGAAGAAACGGGATGAATGGAAACGTGATTCACTCTGTGGACTGGCAGATACCTCTGGAAATCTGGTGTTCTATTGTAATAAGTTCTCGGGAAGGTAGAGACTTTTATTTGGGACATAGAGGCTTGGCCAACCAGAATGGAGGACCCACCCAAGTCCCGCCCCCAAGCCTGAGCCCTCTCCTTTGCTCCACCCACTCTGCCTGAAGTCCCCTCAACCCCTCCGACTTCGCAGTCTCCCAGCCCGGCCTTCTGGGGCTGGTCTTCATTGGAAGCCACGCCCCCAGGTCTGTCGGATAAACATTTTACAACCTATTCTCTCTGAAGTCTAGTACCTGGAGGCTTCCTCTGGAAATAAGAACTTGGGTCTCCCGCCTGGCCAACATGACGAAACCCCGTCTCTACTAGAAATACAAAAATTAGCCGGTCGTGGTGGCACACACCTGTAATCCTAGCTACTCAGGAGGCTGCGGCAGGAGAATTGCTGGAACCCGGTAGGCGCAGGTTACAGTGAGCTGAGGTCGTGCCACTGCACTCCAGCCTGGGCGACAGAGCGAGACTGCGTCTCCGAAAAAAAAAAAAAAAAAAATTAGCCGGGCATGGTGGCGGGCGCCTGTAATCCCAGCTATTCTGGTGGCTGAGCCAGGAGAATCGCTTGAACCCGGGAGGTGGAGGTTGCAGTGAGCCGAGATGGTGCCATTGCACTCCAGGCTGGGCAACAAGAGCGAGACTCCATCTCAAAAAAGAAAAAAGAAAAAAAAAAAAAAGAACTTGGGTCTCCACAACCTCAAGCCTCCTCTCAAAAAAAGAAAAAAAGTTTTAATCTCCCTATAAGCTGGAATCCCCACTCCCACCCCACCCCAGCTCCCGGTTTGAGCTGTCCTGCCATTCTGGAACAAATGAATGTATTTCTTTTCCTTTTTTTTTTTTTTTTTTTTTGAGACGGTGTCTCGCTCTGTCACCCAGGCTGGAGTGCAGTGGTGCCATCTCCGCTCACTGCAACCTCCGCCTCCCTGGTTCAAGCGATTCTCCTGCCTCAGCCTCCTGAGTAGCTGGGATAACTGGCGCGTGCCACCACACCCGGCTAATTTTGTATTTTTAGTAGAGACGGGGTTTCACCATCTTGGTTAGGCTGGTCTCGAACTCTGACCTCATGTGATCCGCCCACCTCGGCCTACCAAAGGGCTGGGATTACAGGCGTGAGCCACCGCGCCCGGCCAATATATTTCTTAAATGTATTTGATTGAAGTCTCATGTCTCCCTAAAATGTACAAAACCAACTGCACCCCAGTCACCTTGGGCACATGTTCTCCTGGCCTCCTGAGGGCTGTATCACCGGCCATGGTCACTCATATTTGGCTCAGAATGAATCTCTTAAAATATTTTACAGAGTTTGACGCTTTTCGTCGACATTGCTTAGGCTGGCATCGAATTCCTGGGCTCAAGCTGTAATTGCCGGAGGGTTCTTCCTGCCCACTGCATAAAGAAAGACAATGGCATTGTAGTAAAGGAAGAGTTTAGTGGACATGAGGCTGGCCATGCCACGTGGGAGTCGAAGTTCCTACTCAAATCATCTCAAAGCTCCTAGGTTAGGGGTTTTCCAAAGACAGTTTGGGGGAACGGGTGGGGATGGCAGAGTAACAGGTGCTTGCTGCTGATTGGTTGGGGCAGATGCAATCATAGGGGGGTCGAAGCCTTCCTCCTACAGGCTGAATCGATTTTGGGTGGGGCCATAGGAGCAGGGTTGACGGGTCCATGAGGAGTGTTAGGTGTCAGACATGCAATAAAACCTGAAAGGGTATCTCCAAAGGCCAATCTGGGGTTCTGCAATAGTGGTGTTATTTGCAGGAGTAATTGGGGAAGTTGCATATCTCATAACCTCTGGAATAGTGGCTGACATACATTTCTGCGCCTTTGCAGGAATCAGGCTCCTCTCCTGCTGATGGCTCCCCATTAGTTTTACCAAAGCGATTGAGTTTTAGGCAAAGCTTATTATCACCTAAACTATAGCCTAAATGTTTCTTAAAGTTACCTCAGCCCAATAGCCCAGGAAATATTAAGGGAAAGGGAAGATGGGGGGTGGATTGGCTCAGATCTCTTTCACTGTCATAATTTTCTGATATATATTTTTTTGAGACAGGGTCTCACTCTGTTACCCAGGCTAGAGTGCAGAGGTGCAATCACAGCTCACTGCAGCCTCGACCTCCCCAGGCTCAAATGACCTGCCCATTCTGGAGTTCATTCAGCCTCACAAAATGTTGGAATTACAGGCGTGAGCCACCTCGACTGTCCTGATTATTATTTTTGCAAAGGCAATGGTTGACAAAGAGTCAAACTCTGTAAAATATTTGAAGAGATTTATTCTGAGCCAAATATGAGTGACCATGGCCCACGACACAGCCCTCAGGATGTCCTGAGAACATGTGACAAAAGTGGTTGGGGTGCAGCTTGGTTTTATATATTTTAGGGAGACATGAGACATCAATCAAACACATTTAATAAATACATTGGCTTGGTCCAGAAAAGCAGGACAACTCAAAGCAGGAAGCTTCCACGCTATAGGTAAATTTAAACTTTTTTTTTTTTTTTTTTTTTGAGATGGAGTTTCGCTCTTGTTGCCCAGGCTGGAGTGCAATGGTGTGAACTCGGCTCACCGCAACCTCCGCCTCCCAGGTGCAGGCGATTCTCCTGCCTCAGCCTCCCGAGTAGCTGGGATTACAGACATGTGCCACCACGTCCGGCTAATTTTGTATTTTTAGTAGAGACGGGGTTTCTCCATGTTGGTCAGGCTGGTCTCGAACTCCCGACCTCAGGTGATCCGCCTGCCTCTGCCTCCCAGTGTTGGGATTACAGGCGTGAGCCACCGCGCTCGGCCATATGTGCAATTTATTACATGTTAATTATACCTCAGTGAAGCTGTAGGGGCTGGGCATGGTGAGTAGTTCACACCTGTAATCCCAGCACTTTGGGAGGCTGTGGCAGGCAGATCGCTTGAGCCCAAAACTTTGAGACCAGCCTGGGCAATATGGTGAGACCCCATCTCTACAAAAAAAGAAAAATTAGCTGGGCATGGTGGCATGTGCCTATAGTCCCAGGTACTTGTGTGGCTGAGAGGGTAAGGAACACTACAGCCCTGGAGGTCAAGGCTGAGATGAGCCATGATGCGCTCTGGCCTGGGCAACAAAGCAAGACCCTGTCTCGAAAAAAAATTTTTTCTTTTTTTCCTAAAGAATGTGTAGGCCAAGTTAACCCTCCAGACAGGTAAGAATGTGATATGTGTCATAGCCTGTAATTTATACAATAACATCAAGGCTGCTTTGGTCCAAGGGCAGGATCTATGGCGAGTATATGTTCTTACACAAGAACAGTAAATAAAGTAGAAATCCTGGCTGGGTGCAGTGGCTCATGCCTGTAATCCCGGCACTTTGGGAGGCCAAGGTGGGCGGATGGCTTGAGCCCAAGAGTTCAAGACCAGCCTGGGCAACATGACGAAACCCTATGTCTTAAAACAAAAAACAAAAAAAAACAAAAAACCACCAGGCATGGTAGTGTGCACCTGTAGTCTCAATTACTTGGGAGGCTGAGGTGGGAGGATTGCTTCAACCCAGGTGAGGGAGGTTACAGTGAGTCGAGATTGGGCCAGTGCACTCCAGCCTGAGGGACAGAATAAGACTCTGTCTCAAAAAAAAAAAAAAAAAAGTAGGTGGGGCACAGTGGCTCATGCCTGTAATCCCAGCACTTTGGGAGGCCAAGGTGGGTGGATCACCTGAGGTCAGGAGTTTGAGACCAGCCTGACCAACATGGTGATACCCCATTTCTATTAAATACAAAAAATTAGCTGGGTATGGTGGTGGGCACCTGTAATCCCAGCTACTCAGAAGGCTGTGGCAGGAATCTCTTGAACCTTGGGGGCAGAGGTTGCAGTGAGCTAAGATTGCACCATTGCACTCCAACCTGGGCTACAAAAACAAAAACTCCGTCTCAAAAAAAAAAAAAAATCTAGAAATGTTGGAGTTGTTCTCAGGACTTGGGTTAAGCAGAAGTCAAGATGGCAGTTGGCATCCAAGATGGAGTCATGATTGCCTTCACAGCCCCTAATAGGGCCCAGTTACTGGGCCTCCCTTCAGATACTATTGCATGGCAGCATGGCAGCTTTATATCCTGGGCAAGATTGTGGAGTAAAATTACTCAGGTTCTACTTTACCAGCTATGTTGCTTTGGGCAACTTAACTTCTCTGTGCCTCAGTGTCTTCATCTCTACCTCCCTCAGTGGGCTGCTTATAGGAGTCCATGCATGAAGGACTGAGCACAGTGCCTGCCACATAAGAAGCACTCAGTAGGCTGGGTGTGGTGGCTCACGCCTGTAATCTCACCACTTCGGGAGGCTGAGGCAGGAGGATCGCTTGAGCCAAGCAGTTTGAGACCAACCTGGGCAACACAGTGAGACCACGTCTTTACAAAATAATAATAATAATAATTCTTTTTAAAAATTAGCCAGGTGTGGTGGTGCATGCCTGTATTCCCAGCTGCTGGGGAGGATGAGGTGGGAAGATTGCTTGAACCCAGGAGTTCGAGGCTGCAGTGAGCTACAGTCACACCACTGCACTCCAGCTTGGGTGATGGAGTAAGACCATGTCTCAAAATAAATAAATAAAAATAAAATAATAATGTCAGCTATTGTGATTATGCTTTGCCTTCATTGGAGGGCAGTCCTGAAGCCCCCAGCCCCTTATCTGGGAGAAGGCAATGATTAGGGGTGGGGAGGTTCCAAAAGGGGAGAAGCTCTGTCTGATGTCCCATCACCCCATCACCCCTTGGGGCAAGGCCCATGTTAGAGGTCACTAAGGCAGAATGAATTCTCCATAGGGTAAGCCCAGGAAGAAGACACCTGTAACCAGTGGTATGCCACAGCTCAGGAGAGCCAAATGCTGAATCTTCAACTATTTTGTGAGCCAGTTGTTAAACTGTTGGTAGCTTGAAACCAGCTGTGGTGAGACAGTGTTTACACCATAGTAATCTGCAAATGCTACAGATCAGGGCCTTCTTCCCCCACCTGCTAGCACTGCCTGTAAACACTTACCTGCTTCAAAATTAATGCCTGCTGGCCAGTTGCAGCGGCTCACACCTGTAATCCCAGCACTTTGGGACGCTAAAGCAGGCGGATCACTTAAGGCCAGGAGTTTGAGACCAGCCTGGCCAACATGGTGAAACCCCATCTCCTAAAAATATAAAAATTGGCTGGGTGTGGTGGCATGTGCCTGTAATCCCAGGTACTCAGGAGGCTGAGGCAGGCTGCAGCATAAACCTTGGAGGCAGAGGTTGCAGTGAGCTGAGATCGCACCATTGCACTCCAGCTTAGGTGACAGAGTGAGACTAGCATCTCCAAAAAACAAACAAAAAAACTAAAACGAATGCCTGCTGCTCCCTCCCTTCCAACTGGAAAGGCAGAGAGGAAAAAGAAAGGAAGCTTTTTTGCCCTAGAGTTGTTCCAGGTTGGGGCATCGGCAATGCACTTCCAGAACCACCTGCAGAGTCCAGCACAGGGCTGGTGTTGAGTCACCCTCATGTTCTCCCAAACTGACCCCAGCTCTCCAGACACTCTCTGCAAGCAAAACAAACCTCATTTCCCTCCTTGTTCCCACAGGCTCTGAGACTTCACCAATCTCTGTTTCTACCTGGTTCAACCCAGCCCCCTGATGTCCTGGGCTGGAGCTGCTGGGGTGGTCACAGCATTGGACAATCAGACCTTGACTAGGGCCACATCAGGGGCACACTCATAGCCTAGTCCTCATGTGGCCAGATGGAGAAGGAATTTCAGGTGAGGTGGCTCATGCCTGTAATCCCAGTATTTTGGGAGGCCAAGGCAGGAGGATCATTTGCACTCAGGAGTTAGAGACCAGCCTGGGCAACACAGTGAGACCCCCATCTCTACAAAAAATAAAAAGTAGCTAGGTGTGGTGGCACATTCCTGTGGTCCCAGCTACTTGGGAGGCTGAAGTAGGATGGCTTGAGCCCAGGAGTTCGAGACCAGTCTTGGCAACATAGGGAGACTCCTGTCTCTGTCTGTCTACCTGTCTGTCTATCTATCTATCTATATTTATTTTTGAAACAGAGTCTCTCTCTGTTGCCCAGGCTGGAGTACAGTGGCACAATCTCGGCTCTCTGCAACCTCCTATCTATCTATCTATATTTATTTTTGAAACAGAGTCTCTCTCTGTTGCCCAGACTGGAGTGCAGTGGTACAATCTCGGCTCTCTGCAACCTCCCACTCCAGGGTTCAAGCGATTCTCCTGCCTCAGCCTCCTGAGTAGCTGGGATTATAGGCATGTGCCACCAAGTCCAGCTAATCTTTGTATTTTTAGTAGAGACGGGGTTTCACCATGTTGGCCAGGCTGGTCTCGAACTCCTGACCTCAGATGATCCTCCCGCCTTGGTGTCCCAAAGTGCTGGGATTACAGGCATGGGACACACCGTGCCTGGCCCCATCTCTATTTAAAAAAAAAAAAAAAAAAAAAAAAAAGGTTGGGCGCAGTGGCTCACACCTGTAATCCCAGCACTTTGGGAGGCCAAGGTGGGCAGATCACAAGGTCAGGAGTTTGAGACCAGCCTGACCAATATGGTGAAACTCCAACTCTACTAAAAATACAAAAATTAGCCAGGCATGGTGGCACACGCCTGTATTCCCAGCTACTTAGGAGGCTGAGGCAGGAGAATCATTTGATCCTGGGAGGCAGAGGTTGCAGTGAGCTAAGATTGCACCACTGCACCACTCCAGCCTGGGCAACAGATCAAGACTCCGTTTCAAAAAAAAAAAAAAAAGAGAGACAGAAAGAGAAGGAATTTCTACTGCAACTCTGAGTGGGAAGAGCATGGGAGGAACATCTCTGGCTCTTCTCTGATGGGTAAGCTTGGAATAAGAAACCAAGTGTACCCAGCTCAGCTCTCTTCTCCAACCTGGCTCTAAGCACCAGAGGAGGCACCTGGGCCTGCTGAGCAGGTGGTGAACCCACAGAGCCGGGGCTTAGCCACACACAGCAACGCTCATCTCACGGGTAGGCACTCACACTTATAATCTGACACCTGCATCTTTCAAGTGGTTCAGACTCGAAAGGCAGGAAAAGGTGGTGTTACTTACTGAACCCCTAAAGCCTGAGCCACCTGCAAGGCCCTGCCCACTCCTGTCCCCATTATCTCCTTTTGTTTTATTTTTTTTTTTTTTGAGACAGGGTCTCACTCTGTCACCCAGTCTGGAGTGCAGTGGTGATCACAGTTCACTGCAACCTCCGAGTCCCAGGCTTAAGCAATCCTCCCACCTCAGCCTCCTGAATAGCTGGGATACCAGCTGGGTAGATGCACACCACCACACCTGGCTAATTTTTTCTGTAGAGACAGGGTTTCACCATGTTGCCCAAGCTGGTCTCAAACTCCTGAACTCAAAGTGATTCACTTGCCTCAGATGTCCCAGGTTGGCCTTAAACTCCTGGGCTCAAGTGATCCACCCACCTCAGCCTCCCAAAGTGCTGGGTTTACACATGTGAGCCACCATGCCCGGCCCTGACCTCAACTTCGACAGCTCTTACCCCTGCTCACTCTGCCACACAACCTTCTTTCTGTTTCTGGAAAATGCCAAGTTCATTCTCATCTTAGCAGTGCTGGCCTTTCCTCTTCTGCCCTAGCTCTTCTGATCTTTGCTTTCTCTTCACCTCTCAGATCTCAGCACAGAGGCCTACCGTGCTCACTCAACCATGCAAGTATGCCTCCATCACGTGACCCTGGTGTACTGGCTCAGAGTCTCCAAAATTACAACATGGTGGCCGAGCGCAGTGGCTCACACCTGTAATTCCAGCACTTTGGGAGGCCGAGGTGAGCAGATCACGAGGTCAGGAGTTTGAGACCAGCCTGACCAACATGGTGAAACCCCATCTCTACTAAAGATACAAAAATTAGCTGGGCGTGGTGGCGGGTGCCTGTAATCCCAGCTACTTGGGAGGCTGAGGCAGGAGAATCACTTGAACCCGGGAGACGGAGGTTGCAGTGAGCCAAGATCGCACCACTGCACTCCAGCCTGGGTGACAGAGTGAGACTCTGTCCCCACACAAAAAAACTAAAGCATGGACTGGCTTACCTGTTTGTTGTCCTGTCTTCTCCTCTATGAGATCTACGAGGGCAGGGTCTTGTCAGTTTTGTTCACTGTGGTGGCCCAGTTTCCCAGAACCTAGAACAGTGCCTGCAAAATAGCAGAAGCTCAAGAAAGATTGGTTGAATGAATAAACTGAATACTTCTCGGGAAAAAAAAATGATTTTTTTCTTTAATAGTAAAATAATATACGTCTTGGAAAATACAGCATACAAAATACAGAAAATATAATTGAGCACTTTTATGAGCATATCGATCATTGAATCGCGAGTCTGCATCGCCTATCTCTCCGCGTCTCTTGCGTGCGTGTAGGTATATAAATGGTGTATAGGCTTGTGGGTGTGCATGCATAGACAGTCCTTCTTGGGTACTCATAAGGGGGCTCAGACCCTCAGGTGCCCCTGAGTCTTAACCCCACCCCTTCTTCATCCGTCCTGTTCCTGAAGACGACCATGAAGGTGACTCTTCATTGAGAGCCTCTGGAGGCTGGGAGCTTTTAGAGTAAGGCTTTGCAATGTAACCGTGAGGTAGCTATGATCATCCTTATTTCCAGATGTGGGAACTAGGCTTCCCAGAGGCTGATGATATGACCAAGGCCACACAGCTGGCAAACAGTGATTCCAATGGTCTGGAGGTCCCTAGGCCTCTGTTCTCTCAACCTGGGGCTTTCAGTTTCCTCAAGTCTGATTATCTGCCCTCTTCAAGGTGCTGCTCAGAGGGTCTGGGGCTCAATGATGAAAACTGGGATGGGTCCCAAGGGCAGGTGGAGTAGTTACATCCACCAGTCCATAGACTCTTTGGGGCAAGCCCTGACGATGACCATACAGTGGGGCAGCCCCTTACACAGGATCTTCTCCGCCTCCTGACCCTCCCACCCCAGCCCCTGCAGCTCAAGGACTCTGAGCTTGGGCATAGTGAGGCAGGAGGAGAGGATTTCAGTGGGGGAGGGCATTTCTGGGGTGACGAGGGGACCCTGCAGGCACAGACTCTCCAGGGCCGGCATTCCCTCCAGCACAGCCAGGCCAGGGGCAGAGAGGCCCCTCACGGTCAGCCGGATCTTGCGCACATCTCGGAGGTGGCGGCTGATGGCCAGCAGGGTGCTGTCGGCAGACAGGGTGCAGCCCAGCACCTCAAGCCTCTGCAGATAGCTGAGCTCCTGCAGGCCAGCATCCAGCCCTGTCTCGGTCACACGGTAGGTACCACCCAGCACCAGCGAGCGCAAGGCCCGGAAGCGCGTCAGGCCCTGCAGGTGCTCGTCACGGAAGGCGGGGACGCGGTCCAGCACGATGCATTCAAGCAGGGGCAGCACGGTGGGGTCCTGCTGCTTGTGGAGCCAGGCCATGGAGATCTCGCAGCTGTGCAGCTCCAGGGTCCTCAAGGTGCTGGGCAGGCTGGTGATGGGCACCATGCTCAGGTCGGCCACGTGCAGGCAGAGGCGCTTCAGGTTGGGGCACTTCTGGCCCAGGGCTCTCAACAGAGCAGGGGACAACTGGGGGGCCTGGGAGCCAGAGAACAGGTAGCCACCCATCCGCAGGGAATGGAGCCGGGATGCCATGTACCTTCGAAGGAGGTGCCACATGACTTTAGGTCGCATCTGTAAGAGCCAGAGATTGGGGTGACAGAGTGAGAGGTATGGAGCTTCCAAGGCCCCTGCTGGGCTGGAGACACACAACCCCGGGGTGGGGGATTCTGGTGCCCTGCTGGGCTTCTGCCCTTGCCTAGCCAGTCTCCTCCCCAGGTTCAACCTCCCCAGGTTCAACCAGATGGTTTGAGTGCACCATCTTGCCTGCTAGGGCTTTGAACAAATCTTTTTTTTTTTTTTTTTTTCTGAGACAGGTTCTTGCTCTGTCACCCAGTCTACAGTGCAGTGGTGAGATAATGGCTCACTGCAGCCTGGACCTCCTAGGCTCAAGTGATTCTCCCACTTCAGCTTCCCAAGTGGCTGGGACTTCTGACACATGCCCAGCTAATTTTTGTGATTTTTAGTAGAGATGAGGTCTTGCTATGTTGCCCAGGCTGGTCTCCAACTCCTGGATTCAAGCAATCCTCCCATCTCAGCCCCTCAAAGTGCTGGGTCTACAGTCGTGAGCCACTGCACTCGGCCACTTAGAATAAATCTGGTAGGGGCTGGGCACAGTGGCTCATGCCTGTAATCCCAGCACTTTGGGAGGCTGAGGTGGATGGATCATTTGAGGTCAGGAGTTTAATACCAGCCTGGCCAACATGGTGAAACCATGTTTCTACTAAAAATACAAAAATTAGCTGGGCGTGGTGGCAAGCACCTGTAATCCCAGCTACTCAAGAGGCTGAGGCAAGAGAATCACTTGAACCCAGGAGACAAAGGTTGCAGTGAGTCGATATCGCACCACTGCACTCCAGCCTGGGCGATAGAGTGAGACTCTGTCTCAAAAAAAAAAAAAAAAAAAAAAAAAGATAAATCTGGTAGGGGAAAAAAAGATACTAACAGAATCTATCTTTAGCAATAAATTTTTACCGTTTTTTCTGGACTAAGAAAAAGAGCAGAGCAACCCATTGATATTTTACCCCTTTCTTAATGATCACCTCCAGTAGAAATAAGCAACACAGAATAAAATTTTAAAAGCCGAAAACTACCCAGAGTAAATTAGGTCTATGTTAAAAAAAAAAAAAAAAAAACAACAAATGAAAAGGCTGGGCACGGTGGCTCACACCTGTAATCCCAGCACTTTGGGAGGCCAAGGCGGGCAGATCACCTGAGGTCAGGAGTTCAAGACCAGCCTGACCAACATGGAGAAACCCCGTCTCTACTAAAAATACAAAATTAGCCAGGTGTGGTGGTGCACGCCTGTAATCCCAGCTACTTGGGAGGCTGAGGCAGGAGAATCACTTGAACCTGGGAAGCAGAGGCTGCGATGAGCCAAGATCGTGCCGTTGCACCAGCCTGGGCAACAAGAGCGAAACTCCATGTCAAAAAAAAAAATATATCAAAGCCTGGTAGAGTGGAAGCTGCAAAAATCAACCCTGGGAAGTTAGACTTAGTAGAAAATAAAAAATATATATAATTGATAGCACTGGGCATTTCATTCTAAGTACAGTTTATCTTAAAAAGAAAAAGTTAGCATGCTTACATCTGCCTTTTATTGCTGGATTTCTCTACTTGGCATCATAGGGCCTAATGGAAAAAGGAAAATTGTCTAATAACATATTCTTTATGTGTGCTTACAAAGGTGTTTCTTTTCTTTTCTTTTTTTTTGAGACGGAGTTTTGCTTGTTGCCCAGGCTGGAGTGCAATGGCACGATCTCAGTCACCGCAACCTCCGCCTCCTGGGTTCAAGCGATTCTCGTGCCTTAGCCTCCTGAGTAGCTGGGATTACAGGCATGTGCCACCATGCCCGGCTAATTTTTTTTTTTTTTTTTGAGACAGAGTCTCGCTCTGTTGCCCAGGCTGGAGTGCAGTAGCGCAATCTCGGCTCACTGCAATCTCCACCTCCCAGGTTCAAGCAATTCTCCTGCTTCAGCCTCCCAAGTAGCTGGTACTACAGGCGTATGCCACCATGCCCGGCTATGTTTTTTTTGTATTTTTAGTAGAGACGCGGTTTCACCATGTTAGCCAGGATGGTCTCAATCTCCTGACCTCGTGATCCAACCACCTTGGCCTCCCAAGGTGCTGGGATTACAGGCATGAGCCACGCGCCTGGCCTTAATTTTGTATTTTTAGTAGAGACAGGGTTTCTCCATGTAGGTCAGGCTGGTCTCAAACACCCGACCTCAAGTGATCTGTCCACCTCGGCCTCCCAAAGTGCTGGGATTACAGGCATGAGCCACTGCACCCGGCCAAAAAGGTGTTTCTACATCAAACTCTTCCATTCACTGAAGAAAATAGCTTATCATCAATCCTTCAGAAAGCATGCTTACATTTGCCTTTTATACATGCATATATATACCCATGTAATACAAACTGTATTAGTCTATTTTCATGCTGCTGATAAAAACATACCTGAGACTGGGAAGAAAAAGAGGTTTAATTGGACTTACAGTTCCACATGGCTGGGGAGGCCTCAAAATCATGGCAGGAGGTGAAAGGCACTTCTTACATGGCGGCAGCAAGAGAAAATGAGAAAGAAGCCCGGGCGCAGTGGCTCATGCCCATAATCCCAGCACTTTGGAAGGCCGATGCGGGCGGATCACGAGGTCAGGAGATTGAGACCATCCTGGCCAACATGACAAAACCCCGTTTCTACTAAAATACAAAAAAAAATTAGCCGAGTGTGGTGGTGCATGCCTGTAGTCCCAGCTACTAAGGAGGCTGAGGTAGGAGAATCGCTTGAACACGGGAGGCAGAGGTTCCAGTGAACTGAGATCGCACCACTGCACTCCAGCCTGGTGGCAGAACAAGACTCCGACTCAAAGAAAAATAAATAAATTAATTTAAAAAATACAAAAAATTAGCTCAGTGTGGTGGCACGTGCCTGTAGTCCCAGCTTCTCAGGAGGCTGAGGCAGGGGAATCACTTGAACCCAGGAGGCAGAGGTTGCAGTGAGCTGAGATCATACCACTGCACTCCAGCCTGGCAACAGAGCAAGACTCCATCTCAAAAAAAAAAAAAAAAAAAAAATTAAGAAAACGAGAACAAAGCAAAAATGGAAACCCCTGATAAACCCATCAGATCTCTTGAGATTTATTCACTATCACGAGAATAGCATGGGAAAGACCAGCCCCCAAGATTCAATTATTTCCCCTGGGTCCCTCTCACAACACATGGGAATTCTGGGAAATACAATTCAAGTTGAGATTTGGGTGGGGACACAGCCAAACTATATCATTCCACCCCGGCCCCTCCAAGTCTCATGTCTTCACATTTCACAACCAATCATGGCTTCCCAACAGTCTTCCAAAGTCTTAACTCATTTCAGCATTAACCCAAAAGTCCACAGTCCAAAGTCTCATCTGAGACAAGGCAAGTCCCTTCCACCTATGAGCCTATAAAATCAAAAGCTAGCTAGTTACTTCCTAGATACAATGTGAGTACAGGTATTGGGTAAATGCAGCCATTCCAAATGGGAGAAATTGGCCAAAACAAAGGGGTTACAGGGCCCATGCAAGTCTGAAATCCAGTGGGGCAGTCAAATTTTAAAGCTCCAAAATTATCTCCTTTGATTCCAGGTCTCACAACCAGGTCACACTGATGCAAGAGGTGGGTTCCCATGGTCTTGGCCAGCTCCGCCCCTTGTGGCTTTACAGGGTACAGCCTCCCTCCCAGCTGCTTTCACAGGCTGGTGTTGAGTGTCTGAAGCTTTTCCAGGTGCATGGTGCAAGCTGTGGGTGGATCTACCATTCTGGAGTCTGGAGAACAGTGGCCCTCTTCTCACAGCTCCACTAGGCAGTGACCCAATAGGGACTCTGTGTGGGGGCTCTGACCCCACATTTCCCTTCCACACTGCCCTAGCAGAGGTTCTCCATGAGGGCCCCACCCCTGTAGCAAACTTTTGCCTGGACATCCAGGCATTTCCACACATCTTCTGAAATCTAGGCAGAGGTTCCTAAACTTCAATTCTTTTTTTTTTTTTTTGAGATGGAGTTTCGCTCTTGTCACCCAGGCTGGAATGCAATGGCACGATCTTGAGTCACTGCAACCTTTGCCTCCCGGGTTCAAGCGATTCTCCTGCCTCAGCCTCCCGAGTAGCTGGGATTACAAGCATGCGCCACCACGCATTTGTTGTATTTTTAGTAGAGATGGGGTTTCACCATGTTGGCCAGGCTGGTCTTGAACTCCTGACCTCAAGTGATCCGCCTGCCTTGGCCTCCCAAAGTGCTGGGATTATAGGCGTGAGCCACTGTGCCTGGCCCTGAACCTCAGTTCTTGGCTTCTGTGCACCAGCAGGCTCAAGACCATGTGGAAGCTGCCAAGACTTGGGGCTTCCACCCTCTGAAGCCACAGCCCGAGTTATACGTTGGCCCCTTTCAGCTACAGCTGGAGCAGCTAGGGCACAGGACACCAAGTCCCAGGGTGAACATAGCACAGGGACCCTGGGCCCCCAGGAAACCACTTTTTCCTCCTGGGCTTCCAGGCCTGAGATGGGAGGGGCTGCCGTGAAGGTCTCTGACATGGCCTGGAGACATTTTCCCCATGGTCCTAATTAGGTTCCTTGCTACTTATGCAAATTTCTGCATCTGGCTTGAATTTCTCCCTAGAAAATGGGTTTTTCTTTTCTATCACATAGTCAGGCTACAAATTTTCCAAACTTTTCTGCTCTGCTTCCCCTATAAAACTGAATACCTTTAACAGTACCCAAGTCACCTCTTGAATGCTTTGCCACTTAGAAATTTCTTCCACTAGATACCCTAAAACATCTTTCTCAAGTTCAAAGTTCCACAAATCTCTAGGGCAGGGGCAAAATGCCATCAGTCTCTCTGCTAAAACATAACAAGAGTCACCTTTACTCCAGTTCCCAACAAGTTTCTCATCTCCATCTGAGACCACCTCAGCCTGGACCTTATTGATCATACCACTATCAGCATTTTGGGCAAAGTCACTCAACAAGTCTCTAGGAAGTTCCAAACTTTCCCACATTTTCCTGTCTTCTTTTGAGCCCCCCATACTGTTCCAACCTCTGACTGTTACCCAGTTCCAAAGATGCTTCTACATTTTTGGGTATCTTTTCAGCAACGCCCCACTTACCGCTACCAATTTACAGTATTAGTCTGTTTTCACACTGCTGCTAAAGACATACCTGAGACTGGGAAGAAAAAGAGGTTTAATTGAACTTAAGTTCCACATGGCTGGGGAGGCCTCAAAATCATGGCGGGAGGTGAAAGGCGCTTCTTAACATGTTGATGGCAAAAGAAAATGAGAAAGAAGCAAAAAAGGAAACCCCTGATAAACCCATCAGATCTTGTGAGACTTATTCACTATCACAAGAATAGCATGGGAAAGACTGGCCCCATGATTCAATTACTTTCCCCGGGTCCCTCCCACAACACGTGGGAATTCTGGGAGATAGAATTCAAGTTGAGATTTGGGTGGGGACACAGCCAAACCATATCATGAACCAAGAGAGAAAGAAACATGTTTTAATGAATCTTCTCAGGCGGCTGAGGCAGGAAGATGGCTTGAGCCCAGGAGATGGAGGTTGCAGTATGTTATGATTTTGCCACTGCCTGGGTGACAGAGTGAGATCCATCTCAAAAAAATAAATTAGAAAAAGATAAACTGCAGAGCATAAATGTTATGGGCTACTTTTGACAGAGGAATCAAATCTTCCTTGCCAAATTTAGACCCGTGTGGGTCAGCAGAAATTGACTAGAAATAGTGGCCACCGAATGGTAACTCACAAGGGTAGCAGTTAAAGTTGGTAAAATTTTAAATGCACACAAAACCAATGGACGAATCAACTTTTCCTCGCAAAACCAACAACTAAGTTTCAACAACTGAGAAAAAGTTTCATATTATCAGGCCAGACACTGTGGCTCACACCTGTAATCCCAGCACTTTGGGAGACTGAGGTTGGGGGACAGCTTCAGTCCAGGAGTTCGAGACCATCCTGGGCAACATAGCAAGACTCTGTCCTTAAAAAAAGAACTTCAAAAGCAACTGTATTAAAGGGAGTTACAGATGGATATATACAGTAAAATTGTTTAAAAGTAGAACACTATCTAAATAGTAGAACAGCATTACCCGAAGTTCAGAAATACATTACTAACACTATAATTGTTTTTGGACACACACATATGAAGTAACGTAAAAGGAAGGGTGCAAATTCACTTTATAATAGCAATTATCTATGAAGACAGTTTCAAAAAGGGCAACAAATATATCTATAAATGTTTTGAGCCAGTTGCTGTGGCTCATGCCTGTAATCTGAACACTTTGGGAGGCTAAGTCGGGAGAATCACTTGAGCCCAGGAGTTCGAGACCAGCCTGGGCAGCATAGTGAGACTCCGTCTCTACAAAAAATAAAAAATTAGCAGGTGTAGTGGCGAGCGCCCGTGGTTCCAGCTACTCAGGAGGCTGATGCGAGAGGATCGCTTGAGCTTGGGAGGTCGAGGCTGCAATCGCACCACTGCACTCCAGCCTGAGCAGCAGAGCGAGACTCTGTCTCAAAAACAAAACAAAAACTTGATAACATAGTCATAAATTAGCATTTATCGAATGATAAATATGTGCCAGACTGTTCTAAGCCCTTTCCCTGCGTGATCTCAGTGAAGTCCCATAATAGCCCCGTGAGGCAGGTACTGTCCTTTATCCCCATTGCAGGGATGAGGAAATTGAGGCCCTGAGGTCGAAGAGGAGCTGGTAAGCGATGATGCCGAGATAGGCCCCGGATCGCCTGGCTCTAAATCCCCAGCCCGGGCCCCGACACACAGTCCCAGGGTGGGAGAGGTGGTCTTCGGGGTCCGGGCACCGCGACCGCGGCCCAGGCCCGCCCGGCCAGCTGCGCGTACCGTGTAGAGCGTCAGGTCGACATGTCGCCACAGCCACCGGTCGTCCACCAGCCTCTTCCAGCGGTGACAGACCCTGGGGGAGGGGACGCGCGGTTAGAACGACCCCAGCCCCGGGCCACATCGCATCTCCAGGTGCCAGCTGCGCCCTCCGCCCTGCCCTTCCCCCCGGAGGCGGGGCCGCACCTGGAGATGCGGATCCGGTCCCGTACCGGGAGGTAAGAGAAGATCTCGAGCAGGACCGAGTCCGGCAGTTCGACCAAAGTCGCCATGATCCCGCCGACACGCACTTCCGCTTCCGGTTAAAGAGACCCGAGGGGTCCTGGGGGCGCCGAGGCGGCTGACAGGGCGGCGGCCGCGACCTTCCCGTAGCCGGTCGAGAAATTTGACCTTCCTCTCGCTGGGAAGTGATTCGGTCCCAGGGCCGGACCAGCCGCGGATGGGGACCAGAAACCAGCCTGGAAAGCGTGGCTGAGGCAGTGAGAGGCTTGCGGGAGGTGGCTGAGGCGTGATTTGGCCGCGACTGGGAACTAAGACCAAGTCCAGAAGGCGGGGCTGGAGTGAGGCGAAGCTCGGAGGCGGGGCTAGAGACGAGGACCAAGTCCGGAAGGCGTGGCCGGGGTGGGGTGAGGATCGGAGGCGGGGCTAGAGACCAGGACCAAGTCCGGAAGGCGTGGCTGGGGTGGGGCGAGGATCGGAGGCGGGGCTAGAGACGGGGACCAAGTCCGGAAGGCGTGGCTGGGGAGGGGCGAGACCCGGGGACGGGGCTAGAGGCGAGGCCCAAGCCCGGAAGGCGTCGCTGGAGTTGGGCGAGGCTCAGGGGCGGAGCCAGAGAACGGAACCAAGTCCAGAAGGCGGGGCTGGGGCGCGGCTAGGGGGCGGGGCTAGAGACGAGGACCAAGTCCAGAAGGCGTGGCTGGGGTGGGGCGAGGATCAAGCCCGGAAGGCGCGGCTGGAGCGGGGCGAGGCCTAGGTGGGGCTGCAGACGAGAACCACGCCTTGGAGGCGTGGCTAGGGCGGGTAGAGGCTCGGACAACCGCTGGAAGGCGGGGCTGGGGCGGGGCGAGACCTTGGGGGCGGGGTTGACGACGAGGACCTAGCCGAGAGGTCGTGGTCTGGACGGAAACCAGGCTGCAGCAGGACCAGGCGCCAAGGGCGTGGCTGGGGAGCGATGGAGACGCTCGGAAGGTGGGGAGCGGGGGACGGAGACAGGGAGAAGACTACGCCATGAAGGCGTGGTTGAGGCGGGGCGAGGCCTGTGGGTCTGGCCCCGAGCGAATGGCTTGGTAGAGAGTCAGAGAACTCTATTTTTTTACTTAATGATGCTTCTTGATGTCTATGCACAAGGATAAATTTGTATTACTGGAATATCGTGGCCAAAGGACCTGTTGAATTTTTCACTTTCATTGATACTACAGATATTTTCTGAATTGGCAAGTCCACCAAGAAACTATAAAAATGTGTGTGTGCAATGGCTGCACACAGCAGCTTCCTTGGTAGTGTACGCAGCCTGTTGGTTGTATGGGTTGCTCTAAGGGACCTTGGAGACAGGCCTTTCCGATGGATGTTCATGTTTCTAACCTTGCACTACCACAATGTAGGCTCCAAACAGGCATGTGAGGTGCCTTTGGAAAGCCCCAGGGCACTGTGGCCAGGGTTGACATTGGCCAAGTTATCATGTCCATCCGCACCAAGCTGCAGAACAAGGAGCATGCGATTGAGGCCTTGCGCAGGGCCAAGTTCAAGTTTCCTGGCCGCCAGAAGATCTACATCTCAAAGAAGTGGGGCTTCACCAAGTTCAATGCTGATGAATTTGAAGACATGGTGGCTGAGAAGCGGCTCATCCCAGATGGCTGTGGGGTCAAGTACATCCCCAATCGTGGCCCTCTGGACAAGTGGCTGGCCCTGCACTCATGAGGGCTTCCAATGTGCTGCCCCCCCTATTAATACTCACCAATAAATTCTACTTCCTGTCCAAAAAAAAAAATGTGTGTGTGTGTGTGTGTGTGTGTGTGTGTATATATATATATATATATATATACACACACACACACACACGCACGCCTCCTGAAGCCAGGAGGCGGAGATTGCAGTGACCTGAGATCGCGCCACCACACTCCAGCCTGAGTGACAGAGCGAAACTCCGTCTCAAAAAAAAAAAAAAAGAATATGAAAGAGATTGTGGAGGTTGCAGTGAGCCCAGATCGCGCCACTGCACTCCAGCCTGTGCGACGGGTGCGAGACTCCATCTCAAAAAAAAAAAAAAATCATGTTACTGCAAAGGACATGATTTCATTATCTTTTTTTTTTTTTAAATTTGGGACAGGGTCTCTCTCTGTCACCCAGTCTGGAGTGCAGTGGCGAAATTATAGCTCACTGCAGCCTTAACCTCTGGGGCTCAAGTGATCCGATCCTTCCACCTCAGTCTCCCGAGTAGCTGGGACTGTAGGCACATGCCAACACGCCCGGCTAATTTTTGTTTTGTTTTTTGAGATGAAGTCTTGCTGCATCACCCAGGCTGGAGTGCAGTGGCACAATCTCGGCTCACTGCAACCTCCGCCTCCCAGGTTCAAGTGATTCTCCTGCCTCAGCCTCCCGAGTAGCTGGGACTACAGGCGCCCGCCACCATGTCCGGCTAATTTTTATGTTTTTAGTAGAGATCAGGTTTCACTATATTGGCCAGGCTGGTCTCAAACTTCTGACCTCAGGTGATCCACCTGCCTCAGCTTCCCAGAATGCTGGGATTACAGGTGTGAGCCACTGCGCCCGGCTAATTTTTGTATTTTTTTCTAGAGCCGGGGTTTTGCCATGTTGCTCAGGCTGGTCTTGAACTCCTGGGCTCAAGTTCTTCCTGCCTCAGCCTCCCAAAGTACTAGGATTACAGGCGTGAGCCACCACGCCCAGCTGATTGCATTTTTTTTATGGCTGCATTACGTGTGTCTTCTTGGCTTGTTGCCCTCCTATATCAGACTGAATTCTGGGGTGGCAGGTGGGACTTGTGCACCCCGGCCCTGCTGAGGTGCTCAGGTAATGGGGGGAGGAAACTCCTATGCCCCTCCCTCCACCCCTAAGATTATTTCCCTTCTTGTGAACTCTGGCAGGGGAAGGGGAGTGCCTCTAAGTTTGGCAGAACCCAGGTGTCCCTTCCCTGCCATCCCTACTCAGTTACAGGGGGTTCCTGCACCACCAGCATACAGGGCTGGAGAGAGGGAAGTAGTCAGGTGAGAGCAAAAGAAACCCACATACAAGCTCCTTCCTCTGGGCCAGGAACCCAAGAAGCAAGGGGGGAGAAGAAGCCTCCCCAGCTTGCTCCTTGGGTCTTGACCCAAAACTCTACCTCCTGGGAAGTATCCACCTCCCCCAAGGAAAAGCGGCTGTGAGAACAGCAGATCTTCCTACAGCAGGCTAGGTCTCCATGTGCAACCACAGCAGTGAGCCTTCACCAACACCTTGTGGTAGCTCTGATGAATACGTAAGTTAAATATTAAAGACCTGGAAAAACTGGGGCCTTCGAGCAAGGGCTAGAAGGTAAAACAAAGTCCTTAAGACCCTGCCTGGGTTTTCTCAGAACTTAAGAGTTCAGTTAAAATAATGGAGGCATTCTTACATACCTCGTAAACCTTGTACCAGGATCCACTTTATTTTTTAAAATTTACTTTCTTTTCTTTATTATTTTGAGACAGAGTTTCGCTCTTGTTGCCCAGGCTGGAGTGCAGTGGCACGATCTCGGCTCACTGCAACCTCCACCTCCCGGGTTCAAGCCATTCTCCTGCCTCAGCCTCCCGAGTTGCTGGGATTTAAGGCATGCGCCACCATGCCCAGCTAATTTTGTATTTTTAGTAGAGATGGGGTTTCACCATGTTGGTCAGACTGGTTTCGAACTCCTGACCTCAGGTGATAGCTGATCCGCCCACCTCGGCCTCCCAAAGTGGTGGGATTACAGGTGTGAGCCACTGTGCCCAGCCTTTTTTTTTTTTTTGAGAGAGTCCGACTCTGTCCCCCAGGCTGGAGTGTAGTGGTGTGATCTCGGCTCACTGCAACCTTTGCCTCCTGAGTTCAAGTGATTCTCCTGCCTCAGCCTCCCAGGTAGCTGAAACTACAGGTATGTGCCACCACACCTGGTTAATTTTTGTATTTTTAGTAGAGACAGGGTTTTGCCATGTTGCCCAGGCTGGTCTTGAACTCCTGACTTCAGGTGATCTACCACCTTGGTCTCCCAGTGTTGGGATTACAGGTGTGATGTAATGGCACCCGGCCCCATTTTCCTCTTCTCTCAGCAGCACTTCCCATCCCTTTCCCAACTCCTCGCCCCACAGCTCAGCACCAAGACCCTGTGCTTGGCAGATCTTTGAATCAAGCACTGAGAAATTAGAACATTTTGAAAAAGCAAACATTTCCTTTTCCACCCCCGGTGATTACAAAAGTAACATATGTTCTGTGTCAGAAATCTGGAAAAACACCACGAAGAGGGAAAATGAGGCCGGGTGTGGTCGCTCATGCCTGTAATTCCAGCACTTTGGGAGGATCACTTGAGGCCAGGAGTTTGAGACCAGCCAGGGCAACATAGTGAGACTGTCTCTCCAAAAATTAAAAAAATCAGCCAGGCGTGGTGGTGCACGCCTGAAGTCCCAGGAGGTGAGTCCCCTTGAGTCCAGGAATTGGAGGCTGCAGTGAGCTATAATTGTGCCACTGCACTCCAGCCTGGGTGACAGAGCAAGACACTGTCTCAAAAAAAAATTAAAAAATTAAAAAATTAAAAAAAAAAAAGAAGGGAGAATGAGACTCTCAGTAATCCTACCATGAAGTGGTAACTACAGTCAATGCTTGTGTGACCCTGCATTTCTTTGTTTTCAAACAGTCTCACTCTGTTGCCCAGGCTGGAGTGCAGTGGCATATCTCAGCTCACTGTGACCTCTGCCTCCTGGGTTCAAGCGATTCTCCTGCCTCAGCCTCCTGCGTAGCTAGGATTACAGACGCCTGCCACATTTTTGTATTTTTAGTAGAGATGGGGTTTCCCCAATTGGCCAGGCTGGTCTCGAACTCCTGACCTCAAGTGATCCACCCACCTTGGCCTCCCAAAGTGTTGGGATTATAGGTGTGAGCCACCGTGCCTGGCTGTGACCCAGGATTTCTAAGAGAATGCAAAGATGTGCTGCTTCTAAACTTCCTTAGGCACCTCAGCCCCCTCAGCTCACTTTTGACCTTCCAATCTGTTTCATCCCGGCTAGAGTCTCCCCAAAAGCAGAGGCAGGGGAATTCCCACAAAGGAATGCCCTAAATCATCCCAAGATGGGGCCAGTGGGGATTTCAAGAAAACACCAATTACCAGAGCAATCAGTCCAAAGCATTTATTAGGGAAACTTACAGAGTGCTCCAACAATCATCAAGACAGGAACGAAAAGGGGTGTTCTACCGAGGCACAGCTGCAGCTAGGGGGTCAGGACATGGAGTTCAGATGCACAAGTCAGCATGTCTGGTTTCCATTACTATTTTGAGTAATGGGCCACCTGCTGGTCTGGCAGGTGTCAGCTTGACCAAAACAGGATTGTGGATTCTTTCCCTGGGATGGGACGTTCCACAACCTTGGTTTTATATTTAGATTTTCTTTTTTTTGTTTGGTTTCTTTTGGAGACGGAGTCTCACTATGTCTCCCAGGCTGGAGTGTAGTGGCGTGACCTCGGCTCACTGCAGCCTCTGCCCCCCTGGGTTCAAGAGAAGAATTCTCCTGCCTCAGCCTCCCAAGTAGCTGAGACTACAGGCGCAGGCCACCACGCCCGGCTAATTTTTTGTATTTTAGTAGAGACGGGGTTTCAGCGTGTTGCCCAGGCTGGTCTCCAACTCCTGAACTCACACAATCCGCCTGCCTTGGCCTCCCAAAGTGCCAGGATTACAGGTGTGAGCCACCACACCTGGCCTATATTTAGATTTTCAAGGCCAGTTTCTGGAATTTTTAAGCAAAGTACACGGGATAAACATTATGAGACCTTAGCACAGAAAAACAGAAGAGAGGTTGGGTGTGGTTGCTTACACTTGTAATCCCAGCACTTTGGGAGGCCGAGGCAGGCGGATCACCTGAGGTCGGGAGATCAAGACCAGCCTGACCAACATGGAGAAACCCCGTCTCTACCAAAAATACAAAATTAGCTAGGCATGGTGGTGCATGCCTGTAATCCTGGGAGTTTCTCTCTTGTTGCCCAGGCTGGAGTGCAATGGCACCATCTCGACTCACCGCAACCTCCGCCTCCCTGGTTCATGCGATTCTCCTGCCTCAGCCTCCCAAGTGGCTGGGATTACAGGCATGCGCCACCATGCCAGGCTAATTTTGTATTTTTACAAAATTAAAGAGATGGGGTTTCTCCATGTTGGTCAGGCAGGTCTTGAACTCCTGGCCTTAGGTGATCTGCCCACTTTGGCCTCCCAAACTGCTGGGATTACAGGTTTGAGCCACTGCACCTGGCCTTGGAGAATTCTTAAACCACTGTAGCAGTATAGTTCAACGATAGTAAAAGGGGGTTTTAGTCTCTGGATCCTGCCATTCAAAAGCAAATAGGCCGGTTGCGGTGCCTCACGCCTGTAATCCCAGCACTTTGGGAGGTCGAGGTGGGCAGATCACTTGAGGTCAGCAGTTCGAGACCAGCCTGGACAACATGGTGAAATCCTGTCTCTACTAAAAATACAAAAATTAGCTGGGCGTGATGGCATGTGCCTGTAATCCCAGCTACTAAGGAGGCTGAGGCAGGAGAATCGCTTGAACACGGGAGGTTGTGGTGAGCTGAGTTTGTTCCACTGCACTCCAGCCTGGGCAACAGAGCGAGACTCTGCCTCAAAAAAAAAAAAAAAAAAAATTGAGATAGCCTCACTCTGTGTTGCCCAGGATGGAGGGATGGAGTGCAGTGGCGCGATCTCAGCTCACTGCAACCTCCGCCTCCCGTGTTCAAGCGATTCTCCTGCCTCAGCCTCCAGGTAGCTGGGATTACAGGTGCCTGCCACCACACCTGGCTAATTTTTTTTTTTTTTTTTTAATAGAGACGGGGTTTCACCATGTTGGCCAGGCTGGTCTCGAACTCCTGACCTTGTGATCTGCCCACCTCAGCCTCCCAAAGCGCTGGGATTACAGGTGTGAGCCACTGTGCCTAGCCTCAAAAAAAATTTTTTTTTAAAGGCCAGATATCTCCACAGGTAGCTTACTTTATGTTATGGAAAGTGCCAATTTACTGAGCACCAAATGAATACATAATGGAGTATTCTTCATGTAGATTAAATAATGTGACCATACTCTCCCTCTTTCCCCTCCAGCCCACTTTTCCCTTTAAATAATGAAGCCCTCAAAATCATATTTGGAAAAAAGCACGGATCACAGATTGTTCCTGGGGTTTTGTGTTCCTTTTCTCCCAGGCTTGTCCTTAACCTTGTCTACATAAACCTGTCAATTTATTGAGACCTGTCTCAGATACTTTTTGGTTTACAAATTGTTTGACTGAATTGAGGAAGGACGGTCCTTGTCCCACCAGCCCTCACAAACCTGGAATCTGGTACAAAGTGCTCCCCAAAGATACAGCTGCAGGAGATTGTGCAAATGTGCAATGTTTCCAGTTACCTCGCAGGCATTTAAGGTTGGTGACTGGCAGTGAGAAAGGAGAATAGGGAAAATGAGGCAGAAGAATAGCAAAGGGAATTAAAAGTTGGATAAAGGGTAAAATACGTAAAAGCAGAGAGCAGAAGCAAGGTGAAAGGGCACCCGCCCCTTCTTGCTCACCCAGCAAGAAGCAAGATAAATGGCAGAAGCTGAGGAGACAAAACAAAAGGAAGATTAAAAACTGAGTAAAGGCCGGGCACAGTGGCTCACACCCAACACTTTGGGAGGCTGAGGCAGGCGGATCACGAGGTCAGGAGATCGAGACCATCCTGGCTAACACAGTGAAACCCCGTCTCTACTAAAAATACAAAAAAATTAGCCGAGGGTGGTGGGGGGCGCCTGTAGTCCCTGTTACTCGGGAGGCGGCTGAGGCAGGACAACGGCGTGAACCCGGGAGGCGGAGCTTGCCGTGAGCCCAGATCACGCCACTGCACTCCAGCCTGGGCGACAGAGCGAGACTCCATAAATAAATAAATAAATAAATAAATAAAATTAAAAAAAAAACAGTAAAAATCCCACGGCCGGGGAAATCAGGACCAAACCAGTAAGGAGCAGCTCTTTAGGCATAAGCACGCGCATTAAAGACAAAAAGTATCCTTAACATGATAAGGATAACCAGCTCATTAGCGCTCATGCATATGGACGGCATATCATGAATGGAGGCGGCTCTCAAGCACACAGGGGCCAAAGTAAGCAACACACCTATCATTCAAAAAGGTAGACACTGGCTAGATATTAGGCAGCCTTGGGAAGAGAAAAAAAGCCTGGCCAATAAGGTGAAACCCCATCTCTACTAAAAGTACAAAAATTAGCCGGGCGTGGTGGCGGGCGCCTGTAATCCCAGCTACTTACTCGGGAGGCTGAGGCAGGAGAATCGCTTGAACCCGGAAGGCGGAGGTTGCGGTGAGCCGGCACCGCGCCATTGCACTCCAGCCTGTGCAACAGAGCGAGACTACGTCTCAGAAAAAAAAAAAAAAAAAGACCCAAACTATACCAAGCTGGGGCTGATCTTATCTCGCAGAGGTCAGTCCGCTCTCCCCACTCCGAGAGTGGAATACTGTGCTTAATAAACTTGCAGCTTTGCCATCTCTGTGTGTCTGGTCCAAATCTTTCTTCAGGACACCAAGAGCCTGGAACTGTCCGGCACCATGCGGTAACAGCAGCTGTTGGGCAGCGTAGAGTCTACTCTAGGATCAAGCTTCGCCTACTGACTGGAGTCCGTATCCCGGGGGAACGCGATGGCCAGAGGGAAGAGGTGAGCCAAATGCTCACCAAGCCCAGCCCTGAATGAACCCAGGGGGTCAGAAGGGATGACTGCAGAACTCGTCCCCCACCCCCACCCTCCGCCCTTGCTCCTAGTTGCCGCTGCAAGAGGCTTCGGGCTCAGGATCAGGAGCTTACCCCTACTCCCGGGACCCTCTGGCGTCCCCACCATGTGACCGAGTCTCCCTGCAACAAACAATGACTTCAAACGAGCTGGGCGCCGGCGCCTGACCTCTGACTCTCGCTCCACGCCCCTTCCCTGGCCACAAACCCGCCGAGGCCCCCCTCTCTACCCGGCGCGCCTACCACAGGCGCGACACCTGTCAAGCCTTGGGACACCGAAACCGTACCTGGGAACAGCAAACACACCACAGACTGCAGACCCGGAAGAACTTGTCCCAGTGTTGACCACACCCCCTGGCTAGGGGCAGGGCTTCCGGCCTCGAACTTTAACTTCCGCTTCCGGTTCCTAGCGTTAACTGCGACCGGGGTTCAGCGCTCGGGTGAGGAGCTGGTGGCGTCGGCAGGTTCGAGGCGATTCGAGGTGAGGGGGTCAAGCGGAGAGGCTCGGAGTCGGAGAAAGCTGTCGCGACCCAGCCACCCAGGGTCTGGGGTCGGTGGGAGGTGAGGCCAGGGAGTTTTGTGGCAGGGCTTTCAGGCGGCGAGAAGGGGCGGAGGCGCGGCTCCCCGGGGTTCGCGGCCCTGGGACAGGGGACTTGGGGCCTGGGAGTATTCGAGTCCGGGGGGTTGGGGGCAGAACGGAAGGCTCAGTAACCTGGAATTTTAGGGCCTGGGACTGGGAGACTTGTAGGCTGGGGCTTCTGGGCCTGGGAGACGCCTGAAGCTCTGACTTTGCTGCCTCCCACCCACCCCCCGCTTTGTGTAGCTCCAGCTAGGATGATCGAGGTTGTTTGCAACGACCGTCTGGGGAAGAAGGTCCGCGTTAAATGCAAGTATCCACTGGCAGCCGAGAGGCAGTGGTACCCGCAGGGGTGCTTGGCGTGAGGCAGGCAACTCAATCTGTGTTGTCGGATGGTTTTAGTTAAACCCGGGAGAGGGGGCGGATGGGGTCCTGGCAGATGGTATTCTGCCCTAGAATGTCCTCTTCCTCGTTCTACCGCTTCCATTTGCCTTAACTGCTCTGCGCCCAGCACGGATGATACCATCGGGGACCTTAAGAAGCTGATTGCAGCCCAAACTGGTACCCGTTGGAACAAGATTGTCCTGAAGAAGTGGTGAGTGCAGCGGTAGAGCCACTGGGTGGACTGGACTAGGCCGGAAGGTTTTGGTTGGGGGAGCGCTGCAGGCAGCCCTTTGCTTAGGCTTGGCTACCTCATTTGGCCTACAGACTGAAGAGCCTCCTTAGCCTTATCTCTGAAATGTCTCTTTTTCTTAGGTACACGATTTTTAAGGACCACGTGTCTCTGGGGGACTGTATCCTTTGTGTGACTTTTTGAGGAAGCATCTACATACCCAGCCTCGGTTATCTGTTCAAAACTAAAGTCTGCATGAGCTTATGCATATTAAGTGTTTAACTTAATACGTGGCACATGGTGAGCACTTAGAAAATGGGAGCTAGGTAATTATTTGGTTGGGGAGGAGAGTGGTTGGTGAAATAGTTTGACTTCAAGTTCAAAATATTTATTACTGACCTCCACCTGAGTGCTGGACAGTAGGTCAGGGTGGGGTGAGACTCAGGCATATCTATTGTGCAAAAGGAGCAGAAACTTTTTACAATTTTTATTTTATTTATTTATTTTTTTGAGACAGTCTGGCTCTGTCGCCCAGGCTGGAGTGCAGTGGCACGATCTTGACCCACTGCAACCTCCACCTCCCGGGTTCAAGCAATTCTGCCTCAGCTTCCCAAGTAGCTGGGATTACAGGTGTGTGCCACCACTCCCTGCTAGTTTTTGTATTTTTAGTAGAGATGAGGTTCCACCATGTATGCCAGGCTAGTCTCAAACTCCTGGCCTCAAGTGATCCTCCCGCCTCGGCCTCCCAAAGTGCTGGGATTATAGCCGTGAGCCACTGTGCCTGGCCTAGAAGGAACAGAAACTTTTTTTTTTTTTTTTGAGATGGAGTTTTGCTCTTGTTGCCCAGGCTGGAGTGCAGTGGTACAATCTTGGCTCACTGCAGCCTCTACCTCCCAGGTTTAAGCGATTTTCCTGTCTCAGCCTTCCAAGTAGCTGGGATTACAGGTGCCCACCACCACACCCAGCTAACTTTTTGTATTTTTAGTAGAGACAGGGTTTCATCGTGTTGGCCAGGCTGGTCTCAAACTCCTGACGTCAAGTGAGCCACCTGCTTCGTCCTCTCAAAGTGCTGGGATTACAGGTGTGAGCCACTGCACCCAGCCAGAAATTCTTTTGTAAAGTTTTGGTTCTCTCCAAATAAAAATGGCCTGGTCCAAAATGGGCTTCCTTAGCCCTGGGCTGAGACCTCAGGCCACCTGACCCGGCTGTGAATGGATGAGAGGGGTGGGGACGGAAGTCAGAGTCAGGATTCCTTAACACCTTTCCTTCAGATGAAATCCACGATGGGATGAACCTGGAGCTTTATTATCAATAGATGAGAATCCTCATCTTCCTGCCCCGCTTTCCTCTCCCATCCTCATCCCCCACACTGGGATAGATGCTTGTTTGTAAAAACTCACCTTAATAAAGACTTAGATGTTGCTTTGTTGTTGTCTCTGTATGACAGCTGTCTAGTGATGGGTGGATCAGTCGCTGTTTGGTCATCACTGCACCATCAGCATGCAGCTGCTAAAATAAGAGCTCTGATCAACTGGATCCATGAGGGCAGAGTAGACCAGCAGGCTGGGAGTCTGTGTGGGAGCCCAGAGAGAGCTCTGGGGTTTGCTGTGGGTGTCTGAAGGTCAAGAGACTCTGGGATTATTGTCACCCTAATAAACCAAAGAACCTCCGGCTAATGACAGTAGATGTAATTGTTAGGAATTCAGATTCTGAAATCACACAGACCATGTGTGGAATGTCAGCTCTGCCACCAAGCAGCTGAGTGACACTAGGCAAAATTTTTTAACCTCTGTAAGCCTTTACTTCCTTATCCACTGGAAATAATTGCGTTTACTTCATGTCTGCTTTCAATCGGCATATTGTGAGGAGGTATAAATGAGTTTAAAGCATGTTTAAACATCCACAGTTCCTGGCATTTTTTTTTTTTCTTTTTTTGAGACAGGATCTTGCTCTGTCACCCAGGCTGGAATGCAGTGGTATGTTCATAGCCCACTGCAGCCCTGAACTGGACTCAACACAGTCCTCCTGCATCAGCCTCCCAAGTAGCTGGGCAGTGTGTACCACCACGCCAGCTAATTTTAAAATTATTATTATTATTTATTTTATTTGAGACAGAGTCTCGCTCTGTCACCCAGGCTGGAGTGCAGTGGCACGATCTCAGCTCACTGCAACCTCTGCCTCCTGGGTTCAAGCAATTCTCCTGCCTCACCTGAGGCAGGAGACTGGGACTACAGGCGTGCCCCATGACACCAGTTAATTTTTGTATTTTTAGTAGAGATGGGGTTTCACCATGTTGGCCAGGCTGGTCTCAAACTGCTGACCTCAAGTGGTCCACCCTCCTCGGCCTCCCAAAGTGCTGGGATTACAGGCGTGAGCCACCGCGTCTGGCATTTTGAAATTTTTTGTACAGACAGGGTCTCCCCTATGTTGCCCAAAATAGTCTTGAACTCCTGACCTCAGGTGATCCTCCAGCCTTGGCCTCCCAAAGTACTGAGATTATAGGCACAAGCCATCATGCCTGGCCCTAGCACTTCTTTTCAAGACAAAACGTGATAGTAGACAGTGAGGCAGTGTGGCACTATAAGTGTGGCTACATGATCCCAGCCTCAAGAGTCAGACCGACTAGATTTGAATTTTGATTGATCCTTAGCAGTGGGATTTCAGCCTCTGCGACCCTCAGTTTCATCCTCTAAAAATGAGCACTACAGTGGCACCCACATCTCAATGAGACCACGCAATTAGAATAGCAGGATGCCTGGCACATAATGTTATTTGCTGTATTCTTCCTCTAGGTGTGAGTAGACAGGAGACCAACTGTCCCTCTGTTCCCCTGGCCACAGTTCTTTGTGTCAACCTTGCTCCTGTCCTGTTTTATTTTTTAAATTAAAAAAATTTTTTTTTTGAGATGGAGTTTCACACTTGTTGCCCAGGCTGGAGTGCAATGGCATGATCTCAGCTCACTGTAAACCCCGCCTCCTGGGTTCATGTGATTTTTTTGCCTCAGCCTCCTGAGTAGCTGGAATTACAGGTGCATGCCACCACACCCAGCTAATTTTTTTTAGTAGAGACAGGGTTTCACCATGTTACCCATGATGGTCTTGATTTCCTGACTTCATGATCCGTTCACCTCAGCTTCCCAAATTGCTGGGATTACAGGTGTCAGCCACTGCGCCCGGCCCTGAATTTCTTATTTCTTATACCACTCCTCCCACCAGTGGTGGGCATTAATACATTTGAGTGACTCTAGAAACTTTCTGGAATAACCTAGAGTTTTTATCATACGGGGATAATTATATGTCCCGTAATATTTATATGACATTCCATAGTTTGCTTTTCTGTGCTTTTTTTTAATTATTATTTTTTATTATTATTTTTTGAGATGGAGTTTTGCTCTTTTTGCCCAGGCTAGAGTGCAATGGTGCAATCTCGGCTCACTGCAACCTCTGCCTCCCGGGTTCAAGCGATTCTCCTGCCTCAGCCTCCCAAGTAGCTGGGACTACAGGCACGAGCCACCACACCTGGCTAATTTTTTGTATTTCCAGCAGAGACAAGGTTTCACCATGTTGGCCAGGCTGGTCTCAAACACCTGAGCTCAAGTGATCCGCCCGCCTCAGCCTCCCAAGGTGCTGGGATTATAGGTGTGAGCCGTTGGGCCAGCCATGATTTAGCAATTTTGAAACTACTTTTGTGTGTGTGGGTGTGGGCACATGGGCCCATGTAATACACACAAACAGGGTTGAACAAATAAGTAAACTTGTAGATAATGAGAGCTGGGTGTCTCACTGTGGAGAAGGAAGTTACAAATAAAACAGGAGATGGGAATGCTTAAAATGAACCTTGTAGGACTGGATTTGGAGGCATCAGTCTGAATTCATGGTTTTCGTTTAACAGATATATTGATACATATAGATGTGTGTATACATATGTATATTTCCTTGCTCTATCCACTTAGAGGGACCAGAAACAGTGACACTCCAGGAACAGTGAGCACCCATCCTGGAACATAAAAACACTAGTGGGAAAACAGGATTGGGGGGAATTTGTGGTTTAGTTAATAGTATTATATTGATATTGGTTTCTTAGTGTTGATAATTATATTATAGCAGGGTTTCTAAGCTTTGGCATTGTTGACTTTTTTGGGTTGGATTTTTTTTTTTTTTTTTTTTTTTTGAGACAGGCTGGAGTGCAGTGGCACGATCTTGGCTCACTGAAAGCTCCACTCCAGGGGTTCAAGCAATTCTCCGCCTCAGCCTCCCGAGTAGCTGGGATTACATGCGCCCGCCACCACACCTAATTTTCGTATTTTTAGTAGAGATGGGTTTTCACCATCTTGGCCAGGCTGGTCTTGAACTCCTGACCTCTTGATCCACCCACCTTGGCCTCCCAAAGTGGTGGGATTACAGGCGTGAGCCACCGCACCCAGCCTTTTATTTTTATTTATTTATTTATTTTTTGAGACAGAGTCTCCCTCTGTCACCCAGGCTAGAGTGCTGTGGCAAGATTATGGCTAATTGCAGCCTCTTAACTCCTAGACTCAAGAGATCCTCCCACCTCAGCCTCCCAAGTAGCTGGGATTACAGGCACGTGCCACCACACCCAGTGAATTATTTTTGTAGAGATAGGGTCTTGCCATGTTGCCCAGGCTGGTCCCCAACTCTGGGCTCAAGCGATCCTCCTGCCTTGGGCTCCCAAAGCCCTGGATTACAGGTGTGAGCCACCACACTCAGCCCTTGGATTGGATAATTCTTTTGGTGGGGGCTGTGCCTTGAAGGATGTTAGCAGCATCCTTGGCATCTAATACTAAATGCCAGTAGCCAGTAGTATCTCCTGTTCCAAAATGTCTGAAGGTGTTGTAACAACCAAAAATGTATCAAGATGTTGCCAAATGTCCCTTGGGAAACAAAATCGCTACTGGTTGAGAATTCTGTTCTATTGTTTATTTAAGACGCTAATATTAGGGAAGTTTGGGTGAAGGGTACATGAAAACCCTACTGTTTTTGTAACTGCCCATGTCTAAAATTATCTTTATAAAAAGTATCTTTTTAATATTATGCTAATACTTGTAAAAAATGTTCTATTAAAACTTAAACTTTTTTTGTTTTTTGAGATGGAGTCTCGCTCTGTCACCTACGCTGGAGTGCAGTGGTGCGATCTCGGCTCACTGCAACCTCCGCCTTCCAGGTTCAAGTAATTCTCCTGTCTCAACCACCCGAGTAGCTGGAATTAAAGGTGCCCACTATCACGCCTGGCTAATTTTTGTATTTTTAGTAAAGACAGGGTTTCACCATGTTGGCCAGGCTGGTCTCGAACTCCTGACTTCAGGTTATCCACCCACCTCGGCCTTCCAAAGTGCTGGGATTACAGGTGTGAGCCACCGAGCCTGGCTTGAGTGCTTTATGTGGATTAATTTATTTAATGTTCACATCAAACAGAAGGATGTAATTGCTTATCCCCGCTTTGCAGATTGGGAAACCGAAGTACAGAGTAACGTTAAGTAATCAGTTCAAGGTCGCATAGCAAGTGTCAGTCCCAGGCTTTAAACCCAAGTCTGGCTCCAGACTTCTCTTAGCCTTCTACTGCATCCTGCGTCTAATTTGTTGTGGGCAGGTTTCCCTATGAGTTCACTTCACTGAGCCTCATTCTTTTTAACGGTCACATAGGGTTCTATGCTAGGTGAACTGTAGTTGCACCCTTTGCTGTCAGTGTCTTCAACTCCCATATCTACCCACAGTTCCCCAACTCTGGGTCCCCAAATACCTCCCCTGTGTCCCACGGGCTCTGCAGACTCTATTTTAAGTTGGCTAAAACTGAGCCCATCTCCTCCCACCTGCACCTCCTCCGTGTTCTTATATGAATGTCAATGTCGGCACCCACTGGTCACCCAGGATGGAGGAAGGAGCCAGACTGCGAGGGAATAAAGGAAGTAAGCAGGTTCCAAAGGACGTGGAAGGCCTTTGGGTCCAGAGCCTAGGGAAAAGTTGAGCCCTGCAAAAAATAAAAGAGGCTGGGTTAGCTTTGGACATCTGTGGGAAACAGGTGGGAAGAGGGAGGATGGAGGAGCCAAATTTAAGCATCGGGTACTTAGGTGCTCATCTCCAAGGCAACTGCATTGCTATGGCAACAGCAGAGGCAGCACCGCCCCGCCCAAGTACCTCCTGGACCGCCGTTACCTCTGCACCAGCCAGACTCTTCCGCATGGGAGGGCTGGGGGCTTGCGGACCTCCGGGAACAGCTCAGGCAGGCGGGAGTTGCTGCGGCATTAGCCAATCCATAAGCTCTATCCCGCCTGGGTGGGCTCTGCGGCGACGCGCGCCAAGAAGGGGTCGGGAGTTTTTTGGCGCTCGCTAAAGGGCGTTGAGAAGGGCGGGCCCGCGTCGCTTCGGACCACTCAGGAGCCGAGGAGAGCGAGTGGGCGGGGCCAGGCTGAGGCTGGCCGGGGGCGGGGCGCAGGGATAACGTGGGAGGGTCCGCCCAGCCTTTCTTCTACCCAATAGAAGGCCAGAAAGCCAATCCGGACCGTTAGGGAGCCCAATGGGCGTCGCCGCCAGGCCCCGTTGCAGAGCGCGTCTAGCCAATAGGCAGCGGCGGCGGGCGGGCGCGGGCGACAGGCGGCGCAGCTGAGGCGGAGCAGGCGCTGCGGCAGGAGGGAAGATGGCGGACGAGGAGAAGCTGCCGCCCGGCTGGGAGAAGCGCATGAGCCGCAGCTCAGGTGCCGCGGGGGTCGGGGCTGGGGCGGGACTGCGCGGGCCCGCGTAAGCAGGGCTCGAGCTCGCCCCTTGGGCGCGGCGGCAGCGCTGCCTCCCTCCCATGGGGTCCTGGCTCTTCCGCGTCGTCCCCGGGGTAACGGCCCCGGCCCGCCCTGTTGTGGGGACTGCGAGCCTCAGGAGCCGCCGGGAAGCCTGAGGAAGCTGAGGCAGGGGGCTGGGCGGGTGAGGGTCCGGGGAGTCCGGGGCGATGGCCCTGGCCCTGCCGGCCCGGCTGATACCTCTCGGCCTAATGCACCTGACACCCCGGGGGACGTCTCTGCACCTTGCTGGGCCCGGGGGCACCCCTGGGAGGGAGACACCCCAGTACCCTGCAAAGGGCGTAGGGTGTTGCCCGGCCTCGGGTCCACAACCTACCCCTGCTAACACCCCTACTGTGTACACCTAATGCTGAGTCTGCGACATCGCCCGTGACATTCTGCCAGACGATGGCCCCTGTGCTTAGGCCCGATTTAAGGGTTAGCCACAATGATAATATTGCCAGTAACAGGGCATGTTTTTCTCTGTGTCAAGCGCTTTAAGTTCTCTCTGAATTGCCGCAACTCTGGGAGCCAGGTAGTTATTACTTCCACCTTACCAGCAAGGAAACTGAGGTCAGAAAACTGAAGGAACTCGTCCAAGATCATTCATTTCAGGGGCCGGGGGTTGGATTAGGACCTAGGCAGTTTGCCTACAAATCCCCCTCCCCGTGTCACTGCAAACTCCTGAGGAGCAGGCCCAGCATCTGTGGGCAGGTCCCGAGTCACTCTGCTGCCTCTAGAGCCCATAGCAATCGCATTTGCAATAATAATTCTCCTTGGTTGAGTGCCAGGTTCTGGTGAACTGTTTGGATACATGGACTCTCCTCATTAACCCCATGAGGTTTGATCTCCTTATTCTCTATTCCCCATTTTTCAGATGAGAAAACTGAGGTGCAGGGAGATTAGAGCCCATTGCCAAGGTTTTAGAGTGAGTCAGTAGCTCAGCTGCATTTGCACCTGGAACCCGCGCTCTCGCCCACCCTGCTCTAGCCCTGGCCTGTGGCTGGGACCTCCAGCATAAACCGGATGCTCTGCCCAGCTCTGGGCCCATTTCTGCTGTTTCTGCTCAGTTCAACCCTGATGGCTTCCTTTATGGGTGACACTCCATGTCACCCAGGCGAACTGTCAGCCTTTGGAGTGGCACCCAGTAGGGTCTTTACTTCCAGTTTCTTGTTCACAGTCTTCACTCCTTCATACCCCTCACTCCCTGGGTAACATCGGGCCACCAGTAATGCTGGTTCCTAGCTCTGCAACACCATGCACGGTGTAGTAGCTAAGAGCAGAGCTTTCGGGTGTGAAGTACCTGAGTACAGTTCCTGCCTTCCCCTGTGTGTGCCTGGAACAGAGTAAACACTCAGGAAGCGTTACCCACTGCTGCCATTCCCAGAGATGCAAAAGGTGAGGTCTCCGTTTTGCCATCTATACAATAGAGATAATAAAGGCTATCCCACTCTTAATGTGTGCCAGTTTCTGTCCTAGGCATTTTGTAGATGTGTGAGCTTATTTAGTGCTTTCTTATTATTATTTTTGGAGATGGTCTCACTGTGTGGCTCAGGCTGCAGTGCAGCCTCTGCCTCCCAGGCTTAAGCAATCCTCCCACCTCAGCCTTTCAAGTAGCTGAGACCACAGGCGTGTACCACCCACCCATGGCTAATTTTTTATTTTTTATTTTTTATTGTTTGTTTGTTTGTTTTGAGACAGAATCTCACTCTGTCACCCAGGCTGGAGTGCAGTGGCATGATCTTGGCGCACTGCAACCTCTGCCTCCCGGGTTCAAGTGATTCTCCTGCCTCAGCCTCCCGAGTAGCTGGGATTACAGGTGCCTGCCACCACGTCTGGCTAATTTTTGTATTTTTAGTAGAGACGAGGTTTCACCATGTTGGCCAGGCTGGTCTCGAGCTCCTAACCTCAGGTGATCCACCTGCCTCAGCCTCCCAAAGTGCTGGGATTACAGGCCTGAGCCACTGCGCCCAGCCAGCCTGTTGTTTTTGTTTTTGTTTTGAGACAAGAGTCTCACTCTATCGCTCAGGCTGGAGTGCAGTGGCATGATCTTGGCTCACTGTAGCCTCCACCTTCCAGATTCAAGCAATTCTCCTGCCTCAGCCTCCCGAGTAGCTGGGATTACAGACATACACCACAACGCCCGGCTAATGTTGGTTTGTTTGTTTGTTTGTGACGGAGTTTTGCTCTTGTTGCCCAGGCTGGAGTGCAGTGGCACAATCTCAGCTCACTGCAACCTCCATCTCCCGGGTTCAAGCGATTCTCCTGCTTCAGCCTCCCCAGTAGCTGGGATTACAGGTGCCTGCCACCATGCCGGGCTAATTTTTTATATTTTTAGTAGAGATGGGGTTTCACTGTGTTGGCCAGGCTGGTCTTGAACTCCTGACCTCAGGTGATCCACCCCACCTTGGCCTCCCAAAGTGCTGGGATTACAGGTGAGAGCCACCGTGCTTAGCCCTTTTAAAAATGTTTAAAAATTATTATTTAGTCCTTTCAATGACCCTAAGGTAGGAACTGTTATCTCCATTTTGCAGGTGAGAACACCAAGGCCCAGGGAAGATATATCACATTTGAACCCAGATTCAGATTTGAATCCAGGTGGCCTGGCTGCTGAGTGCATGGTTTGAGTCACTCCCTGTCCCCCAGCTTCCTCTGTTCCATCACTCTGGGTTATTTTCCTCCTTGAAGTTATCAGGGATTGATACTATCCTGTGTTTCATTTGCTTGTTTAGCACCTGTCTGCTCTCACCTAGAATGTTAGCTCTCTAAGGGCAGGGACTGTATCCTGCCACATTGGCCCACGTCTGGAGAGCCTGTGGCACATGGTGGATACACCATGGATTTGTTGAATGAAGGCGCCCCCTGCAAGCCAGGCCCTCACCCTGGCTTCTGGCTGTGGGCCCAGGGGTGTCCTGGGAGCACAACCCTAGCTGAATTCCTGCCTGCCCTCCCCTCCAGGCCGAGTGTACTACTTCAACCACATCACTAACGCCAGCCAGTGGGAGCGGCCCAGCGGCAACAGCAGCAGTGGTGGCAAAAACGGGCAGGGGGAGCCTGCCAGGGTCCGCTGCTCGCACCTGCTGGTGAAGCACAGCCAGTCACGGCGGCCCTCGTCCTGGCGGCAGGAGAAGATCACCCGGACCAAGGAGGAGGCCCTGGAGCTGATCAACGGTGAGCAGGGCGAGGGCAGGGGCTTGGGAGGGGGTCTTCTCCCAGGTGAGCCTTTGTAGAAGTCACATCAGACCCTTCACCCCAGCTTGCTCAGCTGCCAGGCGTGGTGTTGGCCAACACAAAAACGCCAGTGCATGACCTGACCCTGACCTTCACAGCAGCCATTCTCTTTCTTTTCCATCTGGCATTTGAGGGTGAGCCAGGTAGGGGCAGAGGACCCAGCCTGGGGGCTGGCAGACATGGGTTCAGGTAGTAGCTGTGCCTCTGTGAACTCTGTGACCTTTGGGAGGGGACTCGTGTCACCTCCCCTAGACTCAGCTTTCTCTGTAAAATGGGCATCCTCTAAGGACCATTGTGAAGGTTCAAGGGAATAAGGCAATGGATTTTGCACAGTAGGCCCTCAGTCTGTGGGAAGTGTTGTCAATAGTAATATCATCCACTAGGGGCCTGAGTCATAAACATAGGTGGATCCAGAGAGAGCAGTCAGGAAGGTAGTGAGTGCATGCAGGGTGCGGTGGCTCACGCCTGTAATCCCAGCACTTTGGGAGGCCTTGGAGGGCAGATCACCTGAGGTCAGGAGTTCAAGATTAGCCTGGGCAGTATGGTGAAACTCCATCTCTACTAAAAATACAAAGATTAGCCAGATGTGTTGACGCATGCCTGTAATCCCAGCTACTCGGGAGGCTGAGGCAGGGAGGCAGAGGTTGCAGTGAGCCGAGATCGCACCACTCCACTCCAGCCTGGGCAGCAAAGTGAGGCACCATCTCAAAAAAAAAAAAAAAAAAGAGGTAGTGAGTGCCAGTAGATAGTGAGTTAATTCTGACCTAAGGGAGGAAGCTATTCCCTGCTCTGTTCTGTGTTTCCTCTGCAGTCTGGCACCAAGGTGGCAAACTTTAAAGGCCAGATGGTAAATATTTTAGGTTTTGTGGGCCATGCAGTCTCTATCAGCTCTGCTTTGTAACTGGATAGCACTCATAACTAATATGTAAGCAAGCACATGGTCATGGCTGTGTGCCAAGAAAACTTTACTATTTACAAAATCTGGGAGGATTTGGCCTGCAGGCCATCATTTGCAGAGCCCTGTCTAAAGCTGTCCAGTTTGGCTGCCACTCCCACCCTGTGCGGGAGGATCACTTGAGCCCAGGAGTTTGAGACCAGCTTGGGCAACATAGCAAAACCCCGTCTCTAAAAAAATAAAAAAATTAGCTGGACATGGTGGTGCACGCCTGTAGTGTCAGCTACTTAGAAGACTGAGGTGGGAGGATCCTTTGAGCCCAGGAGGCAGAGGTTGTAATGAGCCGAGATCACACTACCGCACTCCAGCCTGGGTGACAGAGCAAGACCCTGTCTCAAAAATAAATAAGATAATATCAAAAATTGGTTTCTCAATTGCACTGGTCATACTTTAGCTGGTGGCTGCCATCTTTGACAGCGGGAATATAAAACATTTACATTCTTGGCCGGGCGCGGTGGCTCACGTCTGTAATTCCAGCACTTTGGGAGGCCAAGGTGGGTGGATCACGAAGTCAGGAGATCGAGACCATCCTGGCTAACACGGTGAAACCCTGTCTTTACTGAAAATCCAAAAAAATTAGTCTGGCATGGTGGCGGGCACCTGTAGTCCCAGCTACTCGGGAGATAGGCAGGAGAATGGCATGAACCCGGGAGGTGGAGCTTGCAGTGAGCTGAGATCGTGCCACTGCACTCCAGCCTCGGCAACAGAGCGAGACTCCGTCTCAAAAAAACAAAAACAAAAACAAAAAAAAACACTTTTCCATTCTTGCAGTAAGTTGTGTCTGATGCCTTTCTCAGAGTCCCCAAACCTGGGCTGTCCCTACTCCAAACAACCCATCTCTCAACCATGCCCAGACAGCCTGGGTTGCTATGCAGCTCTGCCACGTCCTGGCTATGTGCTCTTGAGCAAGTTACTTAACATCTCTGGGCTTCAATCTTTTTCTCCTTCTTCTTTTGAGACAGGGTCTTGCTCTGTCACCCAGGCTGGAGTGCAGTGTTCATAGCTCACTGCAGCCTCAACCTCCTTGGGATCAGGTGATCCTCCCACCTCAGCCTCCCAAGTAGCTGGGACTGCAGGCTCATAACACCACACCTGGCTGATTTTTGTATTTTTAGTAGAGACAGGACTTCACCATGTTGCCTAGGATGGTCTCAAACTCCTGGCCTCAAGTGATCCTTCCACCTCAGCCTCCCGAAGTGTTGGGATGACAAGCATGAACCACCGCCCCCAGCTGTCAGTCTTTTTCATTTATAAAATTAGTATTAGAATAATAAGACCCACTTCACAGGGTAGTTGTGAGGACTCCTGGCTAATACAGTAAAGCGGGAGTAACAGCTCCTGGCATCGGTAAATGTTCTGTCATTGTTAGTGGTCACTGTCATTGCTGTTGTTGGTTGTGGTAGCACAGGGCCCAGCACAGAGTGTACACTCGGTCAGTATTGGCTGTTGTTTTACTCTCTCATCACTTGGTCCAGTTGGCCTGTAGGATGTTATTACATATGCACACCCCCAACATGGCATCTAGGACAGTAAGTGCCACCCGTTAGTCTTATATGTAAGCATGGCAGAGAGAAGCCGAGTTCTTGCACAGAATCTTGAAGGCTGATTGAAGAGCCAGCCTCCTGACCTCTGAGGGCAGGGACTGGATCTCTCTCTTTCCCCTGTATTCCCATCCTGCCACACAAAGCCTGGCCCAGAGTCAGCCCTCACAGCCTTGTTTCATGAGCCAGTAGGAAGCAAGAAGGATTCCTGGCACAGGACGGGGCAGAAGTAAAGGCCTAGGACTAGGATGTAGCCAGAACTCTGGGGAAGGCTTTGCAGGGAGCTAGGGGGTGATGAGACCCTTCACGGGCAGGTCCCAGCCAGGTTGAGGAGGGTCCTTGTCAGGTGAGGAGGTTTGGTTCTTTCCTGGAGGCAGCAGGACATATGTGGCCATGTGGGACCAGGAGAGGAACCCACAGTGCTCTGCTTTCAGCAGAGATCTGTGAAGCTAGAATGTCAAGGGCCAGGGAAGTGGAAGGCCCAGAACCTTCAGGGGTTCTGGTTGCCCCAGAGCAAGAAGAAGAAGTGGAGGGAGAAGCCAGGAGAGAATTGCAAGATGACCCTTCAGGTCCTCCCAGCTCTAGTGGTCTCTGTTCTGAGGCTTCCGGACCCTATAAGAGTGAGCAGGAGGGTGCAGGCATTTGGGGATGGAGCGGCATGAAGTGGGCTCCTGGGGGTCAGCAGAGCAGCCAGGCGCAGGACAGAGCTGCTCCAAGCAATCCTGATGAGAGCTGGCAGAAGGCTGAGGTCGGTGGGGATAGTGAGGAGGGCATGGGTCTGGGTGTGGTGGGCGAGGGTGTCTCGCCCATCTCTGGGTTGGACAGGTGCACCTGGTAAGTAGCCAGGCCCTGAGGCGTCACCGTAGGTACCTGCAGATTCTGGAATGTCAGCAGGAGCCTTGCCTGCCCACCTGGTGGAAGCTGTGGGAGGAATTGGAGCAAGAGGCGGTGTGACTTGAACTTGGGGGCTGGAAGTGGAAGAAGAAGTGAGAGGGAGCAGACCCGAGAGAGATTCAGGAGGCAGGATAGAGAGGACTGGGTGATGGATTAGGTGGGCAAGGGTGGGATGTCTGGGGGAGGGTCAGGGCAGAACAGCGTGGCCCACCCTGGGCTCGTACAGGGCTGGATTTCAGTGCCAGCTGTGTGGTCTTCATTTCCTGAGCCTCAGTTGCCTCATCTGTAGAATGGGGAGAGGGTGGCTATGAGGATCCAGGAGCTATGGGCTCAGTGGCTGGCGTGCTCTGCACGGTGGAGCCTCAGCCCCAGTCATTGGGGTGTGGACGATGGGGGAGCTGAGGTCAAGTCAAGGCCTCTGCTCACGGGCAGCCCCTGCTGCCACCCCACAGCCCGTAGAAAGAGTTCCGGATAGGACCACAGGAGGCCTGGTGGGCTCAGCACACAGATGATGACCTTGGCACACGACCTCCCTCTCCTGGTATCCTCCTGCCTGAGACGGTGCTGGGGCAGATCTCCTCAGAGGTCGATAGGAGGATGCAGTGAGGTGGCCCCGGCCGAGGTACACTCGGTAACAGATCATCATGTGCAGTGTCGGCGCAGGCATTGGGCACCTGGGCCTCATTTTCTCTTCCATGAAGTGGATGTTCTCCCCTCGAGGGTTCATGCCGGGTGATCAGGAGACCATGATTTGGGCAGCTCACTCCCCAGCTGGCAGCCGGGCTAAATCTCATCAGTGCCCATTTAGATCTGGTGCTCCGCCCTTGCCCCGAAGGGACAGGCTGCCTGCAGAGAGAGCCGGGACCTCCACATTTTCTGCTGAGGCTCCTTTTCCCAGCATTGGCTCCTCTGCAGCTGCTGGGCCACAGCCAGAGGCTGTCAGAGATCCAAGGGAGTCATTGCCAGTGTCCTTGTCTAAGGAGGATGGGCCATGGAGAAGCCCTCCCTGCCCGCTCTCCACCCAGATCTGTTGACAGCCACCCCTCACATGCCCAGGGCCTGGAGGGTCCCAGCAAGGCTGAGACTATGAGCAGCTGTCCTACTCACATACCCATCCCAGCATCCAGGTCAGCCCCTTTGTCCTGGGGTCCTCAAGGTCACTGGCGCCCTTCCAGCCTGCTGGCCTTGGGCCAGCCTCTAGCCCCTCCTTCTGGATCTTGGTCTTCTCAGATCTGACCCTGTCACCTCTTTCCCCGACCAGGCCCCTTCCCCTCTGGTGCCTGGGCAGCCTGGGGGAAGTATGCTGGAAGCAGCGTAATGATCTGGCAAGGCAGAGGAGACAGCACGTCTTGAAACATTTTTGGGGTCAAGGACTACCCCATTTGTTCCCTCACTCCCACCTAGGTCACTGATGTGCATTAGCTTGGACTGTTGTAACAAAATATCACAGACAGTGTGGCTTAAACAACAGTCATCACTTTCCACAGTTCTGGAGGCCAGAAGTCCACAATCCAGGTTCCCTCAGATTCTGTTCCTGGCGAGAACCCACTTCCTGGCTTGTAGACGGCTGCCCTCTCACTGTGCACTCACATGGCATTCCCCAGGCGCATGTGCACGGAGTGAAGGAGCACGAGCTCTCTGGTGTCTCTTATAAGGACACTAATCCTGGCCAGGCGCAGTGGCTCATGCCTGTAATCCCAGCACTTTGGGAGACTGAGGTGGGTGGATCACCTGAGGTCAGGAATTCAAGACCAGCCTGGCCAACATGGTAAAACTCCATCTCTACTAAAAATACTAAAAAAAAAGCCAGATGTAGTGGCGCACACCTGTGATCCCAGCTACTCAGGAGGCTGAGGCAGGAGGATCGCTGGAACCTGGGAGGCAGAGGTCACAGTGAGCCGAGATTGTACCACTGCACTCCAGCCTGGGTGACAGAGCCAGATTCTGCCTCAAAAAAAAAAGGGGCGCTAATCCTGTTGGATCAGGGCCCCACCCTTATGACCTCATTTAACCCTAGTTACTTCCCCAAAGTCCCCATCTCCAGATGCAGCCACACTGGAGGTTAGGGCTTTAACACATGAATTTGGGGTGACACAAACATTGAGTCCATAACGGATGGGCAGCTTGGATCTGTCAGGGGCCTGCTCTGCAACAGCCACTGCTTAAGCGGTCACTGATTCACTCCTTGGAACAGGCTCCAACGTGGGAGCAGCGGTTACCCCATTTTACAGGCCAGTTGAGTGAGGCTCCAAGAGGTAAAGTCACCTGCCAGACTCTCATTGTTCAGGAGCAGCAGAGGTAGGATCTGGACCTGATGGAGTCTGGAGTCAGCACCCATAACATGTCCTCCTGGACCTTGGGGATACACTGTGAGCAGGCTGGCTGGGGTCTGCCAGCACAGATAGGTGCCATTCTGTTTTGCATACTATTTCAGGGGGTCCTGAACACCTTGAAGCAGGTGGAGGCCCCTGCTCCAGACTGGGAGCTCCTGGAGAGGCCACCCTGTGTCTGTGTGGTTCTAAGCTGGAGCCACATCGAATCAGGATGGGGCTCCAGCACCCGACAGTCCCCATCAAATTTCACAGGTTTTGGCGCCGTCGGGCAAGGCTGACACATTGTCTTGGAGGAGGCCCAGGAAGTCTGGCCTTAGGGTCGCAGCCTGAGTTTCAGGCAGATAGGGCATGAGATTCCAGCATTTCTGCTTCGAGCCCCGTGGTAGATCCCTGTCTCCCTCCTTCCCCATGGCCTATTTCTGTCTCATTTATTCATTAACTTCTTGAACATTCGTGAACACCTGTTTTGTGCACAGTGCTGGGTTCTGAGGGTGCAGCAATGAAGAAGGCCAACCCAGCAGCCTCCATTCCTGCACTGTGAGGCGGGCAAGCAACACACCAATGGGACGGTAGTAAATGCAGCACCCAGGGGGAGGCACCTAACACAGTGGGGGATTAGGGGAGGCTTCTTGGGGAGACCAGAGGATAGCTGATGAGTTTCAGGCAGGACAAGAGGCTTAAACCAAGGTCTGCGAGGTGGGAGTCGGAGGATGTCATTGTCGCGGGGTCAGGTACAGGCTGAGCTAACAAGACACACAGGACCAAACCCCTCAAGGTCAGCCTCACAGAGCAGGAACTCAGGAAGAAAGCGTTTTTGTTTGTTTGTTTGTTTGTTTGTTTGTTTGTTTGAAATGGAGTTTCGCTCTTGTTGCCCACGCTGGAGTGCAGTGGCAACGATCTCAGCTCACTGTACCTTCTACCTCCCAGTTTCAAGAGAAAGCGTTTTTTTGTTTGTTTGTTTGTTTGTTTGTTTGTTTGAAATGGAGTTTCGCTCTTGTTGCCCACGCTGGAGTGCAGTGGCAACGATCTCAGCTCACTGTACCTTTCTACCTCCCAGGTTCAAGAGAAAGCGTTTTAAAAAAAAAAATCATTCCAGCTACTTGCGAGGCTGAGGCAAGAGGATTGCTGCAGCCCAGGGGTTTGAGGCCAGCCTGAACAATAAAGTGCGACCCCATCTCTGCAAAAGGAAAACAAAAACAGTCATTGCAGGCTCCCATCATAGCAGAAAATTTTCCAAGAGAGCTGGCAGGTCAGAGGCAGATCTGGGTGATATGAGCTATTGGTGTGCCAAAGTGTGGCTTTTATTTGTTTTTAAGTGGTATGGCTTGCACACTATGTGTGTGAGAGAGGACAACTTGGGCGGGCTGTCCAATTTCAGGGATCCCTGTGGCTGTGTCCCCAGCCCTGGCCGCTGGGGGCTGTGGCAAGGTGATGCTTGTTCAGGGCCTGGGCCTGGCTCCTCAGACGCTCAGTGCCTGCAGGCAGTCCTGCTTCCCCGAAGTAGGTGGGTACCTCTGGGGGCACCGTGCGATCCCCTGGCTGGCTTAGTGGTCCAGACAGAAGGGGGGACAGGGGACTCCAGTGCTCTGTGCCTAAGGCCAAGGAGATACCTAGAAGTTCAGGGAGAGGAGGGGTGGGAGGGGGTCCTAGCAACATCTGGTTTAAGTCGGAGTCACTGGTGGATGTGTCTGGCACAGAGGAGGACCCCGTGGCAGCCCTGGAAGCGGGGCATTCTGATCAAACCAGGGCATCACGGGCAGAAGCCTCTGTAATGTGCCATCCCAACAGAAGCTGGGGCCCTGTATGGCATCGATGTCCCTGTCAGACCAGGACACGTGGGCCGGCAGGGCCAAGGATAGGGAGAGCAGAGCAGTAGAGGCTGCGTCATCCCTGGGATGCAGTCCCCATGGAGGGGAAGAATGATGACAGCAAGGGACGTTGGTCAGGGTCCTGCTCGGTGCCGGGCACTATGCTGCATGTCACAGCCACTGGCACAAGACTGTCAGGCGGAGGGGCACAGGGATGTCAGGGCAGCAGGTCGTGGTGACATCCAGCTCAGATACCAGGACACTGGTGGCTGCCATGACGTGCAGCCAAACAGGGAGCTATGGCTGTGCTCTCACGGTGGTACCATTTCCACTGCAGTCCCAAGCAGGTTAGAGCGTGAGGCCGAGGGGCCCTGGGGACACTTGGATCAGTCCAGTGTGTTCAGCAGGTGCCACGGTTGGGTGTCCAGGCCTCCCAGCACTGGCTAGGTCACCCAGCAGTGTTCCCGTGGGTCTCCAACAGGCTCCAGGCCAGTGTATCAGCTATGTATGTCCTGGGCAAGTTGGCCGGCAGGTGTGTCATGGCATCATTTAGGTCAGAAGGAGCAAGGGTAGAAGTGTCAGGGTGACATTAAGAAACCCCCTACTGAGTGTGTCAGGGTGACCTTCACGTTGGAGAGAAGAACTGGTGTCCCTGGAGAGTGGCTGCCAGGCCTTAGGGTACACGGGGCGGGTGCAGTTCACCCAGAGGGCTGCCCTGGCTTGCTGGGGCTGTCGCACCACTGGCCTAGGGAGGACACTGGAAGGGACGCCCGTTTGTGTCAGAGCAAGAGGATTGGGGTAGGGCAGGCTTTGGCCCATGGGCACCTTCCTGGGGGTGGCCTGGAGTCAGGAAGGCGGTAGCCATTCCTCCTGACCTGGCACGTGCACAAGACTGCATACACACACTTGCTCACACACAGTCACACCACACACACCACGTGCACACACACGCAGCCCTCCCCACTTGGCTTCCGAAACGTGAGTCACTCAGATGCTACTCTGCTGCCGTCTTGCCCCCTCTGCTGGCAGCCCTGTTCCTCCTAACTCCACCAGCCCTGGCCTCCTCCGCCTCCTGGAGAGTCAGAGCCGATGGGCTAGTTTGGGCCACACAGGGTGGGGCCACCCTGAGTTCTGCCAGCATGCAGACTGTAGGTGGGGAGCCGGGAGAAGAGCTATGTTGCCTGCCTCTGGGACCCTGGGGCTACAGCCCACGAGTGTCCCTTGCAGAGCCCACCAGGGTGCCTTGGAGGCCCATCCCAGTGCCAGGCTGTTCTTCCCAGATGGGACAGCTGGGGCCACAGGCTGCCGTGGCAGTGCTGGGCTTTCTCTGGACAGCTCTCCCACCTCTGCCCAGGGGGCCCGGGGGGCCAGCCCCCTGCCTGGGTCAGCCTCTCCCTGCCTGCTGCTCTCCTCTGGCCCATCCAGCTTGTATGTAGATTTTCCCTCACGTGTGTGTGTGTGTGTGCATGTGTGTGTGCTGGTGAGAGTGACAGCGGGAGCAGGGATGTGAGACCTGCAGGGTGGCAGGGCTCATGGATGACTGGCGGGGTGCATTAAGTGCTCATGCTCGTGAAAGGCACCTCTTCTTGGGTGTGGGTGAGGACAGGTGTGACTGCGCATGCAGGTATGTGTGAGGAGAGGGGTTGTGGGGAGCATGTGCGCCTGTGAGGGGAGGCTTTCCAACTGAAGTGCTGCCTCCCCCGCTGGCCAGCTCTGGAGTCCTCCATCCTGTCTGGTCAGGCCCCCCCCAACCCCTGACCTGGCACTCCCATTCCGTTCCATGTCCACAGGCTACATCCAGAAGATCAAGTCGGGAGAGGAGGACTTTGAGTCTCTGGCCTCACAGTTCAGCGACTGCAGCTCAGCCAAGGCCAGGGGAGACCTGGGTGCCTTCAGCAGAGGTGCGCAAGGAATGGGCCTCACCAGGTTGGGGGACCCTTACCACCCTGAGGGGTAGAGGCCAGGAGGGTCTGGGCATTGGGCTCCCAGGTGCCACACCGGCCTTCGGGGTCCAGCAGGTGGCAGCACAGCCCCTTCCTCAGGCTTCAGAGGCTGCTCTGCTGGGCAGGGCCAGGGCCACACAGGGAGGGGGGCTGCAGCACTTTCTTCCTGGCATCATCTCTACCCTGGGGGGCATGGTCTCTTGTGTGTCTGTGCACAGATGTCCTCATCCCAGGCCCACCAAGGTGGGTACATCCTGTCCTCTGCCTCTTCCTTTTTGTGGTTTAAGGTTGAGGGCCCTGAGAGTCCCAGGGCCTGTCCCCCAGAATCCCTCTCAAAGGTGGGGAAACCAGGGGTGAGAGGAGGTGGCCCTGAGTTTAGGCCTGTCTGGCCAGGACAGTGGAAATCAGGGACAGAGGGGACTAGGCCTCCTCCTCTTCCTCCTCTTCAGTCCTCGGGGTCTACAGAAAAACATCAGGGAGAGGCCAGGATGGGTTGCAGGGTGTGGTGTGCAGGTGTCTTAGTGGGGTGGGGCGGCAGCATGGGGCCAGCAGCTGCCCACCTCCTCCGAGGAGGCTGGTGGGACAGATGACATGGCAGGGCTGGGAACCAGGCCCAGGGAGACGAGTTCACTACCGAAGTGGCCCCTAAATGCACGGCGGCGGCCGTAGCCCTGCCTGCTATCCTTCATGCTGTCCTCGGGCTTCCCAGGGCCTCCTTAATGGCCCTGCCACCCCCAGCTGGGCCGCCGCTCAGCACTGGCAATAAACATGGTGACGGATGAGTGTGGACGAGTGTGAGGCTCAGCGCAGGCAGGAGCCCCATCTGTCGCGGCTGCCACCCGCCCTGCCTCATCCTGGCCTCTGCCAGCCCAGCCCTGACACCCCCACCGCCCCTCCTGGCTCCCAGGTCAGATGCAGAAGCCATTTGAAGACGCCTCGTTTGCGCTGCGGACGGGGGAGATGAGCGGGCCCGTGTTCACGGATTCCGGCATCCACATCATCCTCCGCACTGAGTGAGGGTGGGGAGCCCAGGCCTGGCCTCGGGGCAGGGCAGGGCGGCTAGGCCGGCCAGCTCCCCCTTGCCCGCCAGCCAGTGGCCGAACCCCCCACTCCCTGCCACCGTCACACAGTATTTATTGTTCCCACAATGGCTGGGAGGGGGCCCTTCCAGATTGGGGGCCCTGGGGTCCCCACTCCCTGTCCATCCCCAGTTGGGGCTGCGACCGCCAGATTCTCCCTTAAGGAATTGACTTCAGCAGGGGTGGGAGGCTCCCAGACCCAGGGCAGTGTGGTGGGAGGGGTGTTCCAAAGAGAAGGCCTGGTCAGCAGAGCCGCCCCGTGTCCCCCCAGGTGCTGGAGGCAGACTCGAGGGCCGAATTGTTTCTAGTTAGGCCACGCTCCTCTGTTCAGTCGCAAAGGTGAACACTCATGCGGCCCAGCCATGGGCCCTCTGAGCAACTGTGCAGCACCCTTTCACCCCCAATTAAACCCAGAACCACTGCTCTGCTCTCCTGTGTCTCATTTCTCCTCAGGGAAGCATAGTGGGGAAGATGTCGTGGGGAGGGGATCATAGCCCCCCCATCCTAAGGGTCCCAGCTGCAAGTTCTCCCCCGAGGCTTCCCCTTGCCCTGGGCCAGGGGGAGTCACAGCAGCTGGCTCTTGGGGACATGGGCACTGTCCAGCTGCCCAGCACCCTGAGATCTGCTTCCCTGCCATCTCAGGGGCTTCCAGAAGGTTCGTGGGTCCAACCCGGCACCTGGCCCAGCACCCATTGCAGCTGCAGTTACCATGACAACAGGGCCCTCCCGGACTGGAGGGGGCTCCTGCAGGGAGGGGGATGGGAGCAGACATGGCTTTTAGTGCCTGAAGGTGGAGCAGAGGGAATCCTGGGGTGGGTGGCGGGGAGATGGGGTCCCCCGCCAGTGTGGGGGCTGTGGATGTGGCATGCCTGACCCCCATCCCCTGTTCAGTCGGGGGGCTGTGGGTCTGATGGAGAAGTGGTTATTCCTGCATGCCCTGTTCCCCCTCCACTTGATGGGGACCAGCCCAGATTGCGGGGGTGCCTGGCTGGCAGAGCTTAGGGACCTGAGCAACTAAAGCCCGGCCCCAGGGGACCTCCCCTCCCCCAAGCGCTGAGTTTCTAATAAAGGCCAAGCCTCATAAACAATCACCTGTGCCCGCTCCCATCTGGCTGGCTTCGGGAGCAATCGCTCATTCGCCTGCTGCCTGCCTGCCGGAGCATTTGTCATTAGGAAGGTTTAATGGGTTTCCTCTCAGCTCCAGAGGGCTGGGGAGAGCCGGCTGCATGGATACACCGCCAGGCAGAATGTTCTCCCATCGCCTGGTGGAGGGGGGTTGGGAGTGAGGCAGCCATGCCACCATTCACACCAACAGTTGGATGTGGGGTTGGGGAAGTGACTGCACCCCTCCTGGAACAGTAGAGGCCCTGGGTCTGGAAGGATCGGAAATTAGTGGCTGGGGCCCAGAGGGTTTGCTGAGTTCCACTCCAGGGTGAAGAATGGGCTTTGTGTCCTGACCATCAGCAGCAGGGCCCAGGGAAGGCTGTGCATCGTTCTGTGTGGGAGCCGCTGCCCCCACCCGTGTGTATGTGTGTCTGCGTTTGCCCAAGAATGTGTGGGGCCATGTGACTGGTCGTCTCTCTGTCCTGTGCATTTTGGGAGTCCTCCGGTTCTGAGAGTCCTCCGGTTCTGAGTGTGACCACCTGCCCCTCCAGGTACCCCCTTCCCTTGTCTGTCTGTGCAGTGGCCAAAACCCAAATGAGAATGTCGCTGTTAGGTAAACATGCCTCCAGAGCCCACTTCGGGGCCGGTGATTCATTATTAAGCAGCTGCGCATTCCCTCACCTCCCACCCACCCCCTCACCCCCTCCTGTCTAGAACCAGGGCATAAATCCCAGGCCTTTAGGATGGTGACAGTGTAGTCTTCCCTAGTGCCACTTACAGGCACCTCCCAGGCCAGACCCGCCCCAGGGGGTCAGTCTCTACGTGCCCCTGGCTTCTGTGGCCGCTGGGCAGAGCTGGAGCAGGTCACCTTGGGGTAAACGGTATTACTGCCCCAGGACAGGAGTTGGCTTCGCTGTGCCCACGTCCATGATGAGAGGGGAAGTCAGTGAGTTAGCAGTGGATAGCCGAAGACGCACACAGATTGATCCTGGCCTGGGAAATGTTAGTCTGCCTGCCCATCCTTGTTTGTAACAAAAGCCACAAACTCAAAAGGAGCTCTGAGCGTGTGTGTGTGTGTGTGTGTGTGTGTGTGTGTGTGTGTGATCTCTCTGAGGACCTGATACAGATGTGATGGACACACCCACACCCAGCCCTAATCTCGGTGTGAGGATGTGGCTCCCCAGCACTCAGCATAGTGTGGACACAGATTGTGGACCTCAGCAGCCTCAATTCTCCACCTTACTTTAGGAGAATCCAGTATCTAAGGCCGATAAACTACCTCGTCCCCTCACTGTGGAGACTCTCTGCCTCCAAATAAATGTGAGTTGGGGGGGATACAGATGTTCTAGGTGTCCTGGCTTTGTGCTGCTTTTCATTTCTTCAGCAGGTACAGGGTAAAGTGCCTCTCCACATGCTAATCCGGGAATTAATCCTTTTTCCGATGTCAAACATATTCGCTTAAATGGAAATTAATTGCTTTTCTTGAGGATTTCTCTAAAAATTGGTTTTAAATGAGTACATTAGGCAGTCCCATTTATTATTCGTTGGTTTCGTTCCCAATATGGCCCCGGTATCCGAGTTCCCGGAGATGCCAGCACGGAGCGGAGATGATTTAATCAGGGTAACCATTAATTAGAGATGAGGAGAGCCTCCCCCAGGAGGAGTGGGAGTGCCCCCTTTGTGGCCTCAGCAGGGTGGCGGTCTGGGCCAATAGGGCTCTTTAAATGATTGTTTCTGCTCTGGATTCAATAGGGACCAACCACTGGGGTCAACATGGGGCAGGATCACCTGGGCAGCACCCCCTACCTTCATTCTTGGTCCCTCAGCCCCAAGGGTGACGCTCCTCACCTTTCTTGTACCCCTTCCAACTAGCCTGGCTGCACCCCTTAGGTCTGCCTCATGCAGGCCTTCAGACAGGCCTGGCTCGTATAAAGCCCTCATCTGGTTCTTCCCCTTCTGTGACTTCCCTTCCCCTGCCTTTAGCCAGATCTCTAAGGCTGCTGAGGACTTAGCGTCTCCTTTTTTATTTTTTAGATTGAGACAAGGTCTCACTCTGTGGCCCAGGCTGCAATGCAGTGGCACTCATGGTTCATGGCAGCCTCGAACTCTTGGGTTCAAGAGATCCTCCCACCTCAGCCTCCCGAGTAGCTGGGACTATAGGCGCACGCCACCATGCCTGGCTAATTTTGTAAAATTTTTTTAGAGACGAGGTCTTGCTATGTTGCCCAGGCTGGTCTTGAACTCCTGGGCTCAAGCAGTCCTTCCCCCTCAGTCTCCCAAAGTGCTGAGATTACAGGCATGAGCTGCTGCATCCAGCCTACTCCTAGTTCAGTCCCTTCCTGTCTCCCTCATACTCTTCTTTCCTGCCTCCAAAACTTCTTGTCTTTTCCTCTCCTTCCCCTCCAAGAATTCTGGTCCCCCATCAAGGGCTGTCCCTGCCCAATCCCTCCTGCAGGCAAACAGGCTCCAGGTGTGAGGTATGAGTGTGTTCAATTGAAGGCACCTGAGTGCCCCTTTAAAAGGCTGTTTCTAGCTTTTTTGGGATTAGTTTACTCGGCACAAATGTGACTTGTCTAAAAACGATTTTTGAAATTACAAAGCAACAAGAGAAAAAAGAAAATGGAAAAATTCAGCTGGGCCCTACTCTTTCATACTCAGCTTCTTAAAAGCCAGCTCGATTGTTAAAAACCCATTAAAAAATTGCCAGACTGGCCGGGCTCAGTGGCTCACGCCTGTAATCCCAGCAGTTTGGAAGGCCGAGGGGAGCGGATCACTTGAGCCCAGGAGTTCAAGACCACCCTGGACAACATGGCAAAACCCCCATCTCTACTAAAAACACAAAAATTAGCCTGGCATGGTGGTGCGTGCCTGTAATCCCAGCTACTCGGAAGGCTCAGGCACGCGAATCGTGTGAACCTGGGAGGTGGAGGTTGCAGTGAGCTGAGATCATGCCACTGCACTCCAGCGTGGGTGACAGAGCAAGACTGTCTCAAAAAAAAAAAAAAGAAAAAAAAAATTCCAGACCTCTTAGTAATGCATCAACAGTGATTGCAGAGTGGCAATCCAGTGACGGGAGAATACTCATTTGAGGCCAGTTTTCATTGCTGTGCTAGAATTCTCGGTTGTTTTGATCAAACTGCTTTTAAACGAATTGCTTTCGATCAAAACAACTTTGGATTGGGTCTCCTCACCCATCTCCCCAAAGGGCTGGCCCTGGGGAACCCCTTCCCCCCAGTTCGCTTAAGCTTGAGTCATGGAATAAGGGGATCCTCACTGGAGATGGGTCTCCAGGCTTGGACTTCGGGGCCACCTCCACCTCTGTCGCCATTGGACACACACAGTCACCGAAGCGTCAAATGTCAAAGGTCCTGTTTATTCCGGCAAACCGGAAAGAAAAAGTGTAAATAAAAAAAGAAACAGATCCATGCACTCAACTCCTGGGGGTGGGGGTGGGGGTGGGAGTGAGGGATGAGGAATGGGTGGGAAGCAAGGAGGGAGGGGTGGAAGGACAGAGAGAGAGAGACAGAGAGAGGCAGAGACGGAAAGAACTGGAGAACCAGAGCCATAAAAAGAAAAAGACATCCATAAAAAGGCAGAAAGAAAGAAGTGGTGTATTAAAAGCAGAGATCAATAAAGGAGAAGAGGGGAAATTGAAAAAATAGACAGAAATACATAGGCAGAGAACAAAAGCCCAGCAAAAAGGCGGGGAGAAAGGGCGTGACAGAGACAGAGAGATCACCCTTGAGGGACACAGGCAGAATGAAAAGGGCCCCCAGCCCCCAGAGGCCCCCCAGGCAGCAGCCCGAGCCACAGCATTGGCTCAGGGGTCCCCAGAGGTGCTGATGACGTGAAACAGGGTGACATTGTAGAGCACCTGGTGGCCGTTGTTCCAGGTATAGAGGGCGCGCTCCCGGGGGTTGTAATCCAGCATCGAGATGTGGGAATACTGGTTGTGGAAGGGCACGTCCGTGTACTCGTAACTGGACGTGTTGGTAAAATAGGCGAAGTAGACCTTGGCCCCAGCCAGGTGGGAGTTGGTCACGTAGAGCACACCGCAGATCATGAAGGCCTCGCCAGCGCTGCGCTTGGGGTAGCCGGTGTCCCAGGACCGCATGACCTCGAGGGTGTGCGGGTCCAGCCGGCTGACCACGATGTTGCCCGCGTTCTGGTTGGTGGTGTACACAGCCCAGAGCCCGCTCTCGTCCACCATGAAGTCCATGTCGGAGAAGCCGCCCCAGGAGTAGGGGAAGGTGTTGTTGTAACCGGCGCCCGGGAGGCTCCTCTGCACCAGCACAGAGCGCGAGCGGAAGTGGTATTTGACCACCACGTTGCTCTGGTACTTGTTATAGAACAGGGAGCCGTTGTACACCACGTGGCCCGTGCCCGCCCACGGCTGGGGCAGCAGGTGCTGGATAAAGTTCTGGCCTTTGATGAAGTCTCCCAGGGTACGGAACTCCAGGACCCGGCGGCCTTTGTAATAGCCATCCATGTACCAGACCTATGGTAGCAGCCGCTGGTCACTGGGGGGAACCACCACCAACGACCCAAGGGTCCCAGCACCAGCTACAGCCATTAGAGTTCAACAGTCACTAAGTGGTCATTAGTCATGGGAACTCTGTTGACCATTCATTACCAATTATGGCCCTAGTGTGACCATGATCATCTCCTGGTGACAGCATTAACCATGGGCAGTGAATTCAAGTGACGTCTTATCACTCAATGGCTGTCCAGTGACCACTAACCACCCAATATCCAATGACCAGGGAATTCCTGGGCCCAGTGAGTCCCCAGGGGCTGCAGTTTCTTGGGGAACTGCATGGCCCCAGTAGGACCCAAATCCCAGTGAGTGCTATTGGTCTTTTTTTTTTTTAAGTAATTTTTTTTTTTTTTTTTGAGATGGAGTCCCTCTCTGTTGCCCAGGCTGGAGTACAGTGGCGTGATCTCAGCTCACTGCAACCTCCGCCTCCCAGGTTCAAGTGATTCTCCTGCCTCAGCCTCCTGAGTAGCTGGGATTACAGGCGCATCCCACCACACCCGGCTAATTTTTGTATTTTTAGTAGAGATGGGGTTTCACCATGTTGGTCAGGCTGGTCTCAAACTCCCGACCTTGTGATCCACTGTCTCAGCCTCCCAAAGTGCTGGGATTACAGGCATGAGCCACCACGCCTGGCCTTTTTTTTTCTTTTGAAACAAAGTCTCACTGTTTTTCCCAGGCTGGCGGGCAGTGGCACAATCACGGCTCACTGCAGCCTCGACCTCCCAGGCTCAAGCAATCCTCTCACCTCAGCCCCCCGGAATAGCAGGGACTACAGGCACAAGTCACCACGCCCAGCTTATTTATTGTATCTTTAGTAGAGACAAGGTCTCGCAATGTTGCCCAGGCTAGTCTCAAACTCCTGAGCTCAAGTGATCTGCCTGCCTCGGCCTCCTAAAGTGCTGGGATTACAGGCGTGAGCCACTGCACCTGGCCACTATTGATCTTAAAACAGACCCTAAGTGGACAATGCTCCATCCCAAAGGACCCAGGGAACTGCAGCCCCTGGGGAGTCACTGGGCCCAGGAATTCCCTGGTCATTGAATATTGGGTGGTTAGTGGTCACTGGACAGCCATTGAATGATAAGACATCACTTGAATTCACTGCCATGGTTAACTAACCCCTGTCACCATGAGGTGACCAGGCGTGTCATCAACATCATTGTTGTCATCATGTTAACTAGCATTTGTTGTTGTTTTTGTTTTGTTTTGTTTTGAGACAGAGTTTCACTCGTGTTGCCCAGGCTGCAGTGCAATGGTGCGATCTTGGCTCACTGCAACCTCTGCCTCCAGGGTTCAAGTGATTCTCCTGCCTCAGCCTCCCGAGTAGCTGGGATTACAGGCATGCACCACCATGTCCGGCTAATTTTGTATTTTTAGTAGAGACAGGGTTTCTCCATGTTGGTCAGGCTGGTCTCGAACTCCCGACCTCAGGTGATCCGCCCACCTCAGCCTCCCAAAGTGCTGGGATTACAGGCATGAGCCACCATGCCCAGCCTCATGGATGGTTCTTGTGTGTCTAAGTGATGGGCAGTCATGACCATGGAAGCTACTAGAAGTCCGAAGGTCACTGAGCAGTGCTTGGTGGAAGAGGTCTCTTGTCCTTGGGAGGGCATTGGTCATTGGGTAGTTACTTGGACGTCAGTAGTCCCTGAGAACTGGTCAGTAGAACTCAGTAACCATTAGCCACTATACAGACACTGGAGGTCAACAGAGTGGGATTCACAAGGCTGCAAAGCCCTTGGTCACTTGGGGGTTACTGGACAGGGAGGTCCAATGGCCCTGGGGGATCCAGGACACTTTGGGCTACAAGACAGTCACCAGTGTGGACTCCCTAGGCACCTATGGGCAGTCAAAGGCTCTGTCCCTCCCAGGCCCTGACCCCAGGGGTGGGCGCAGTCACTCACCCGGCTATCCGCACTGGGGGCCATCGTGTCAGTCATCCAGGAGCCGAAGCGGGACCCCATGGCCCGAACGGTGATGGGGTTACTGACCCCGGTCAGCTTCCCACAGCCTGGGAGGCAGGAACAGGGGGAATGAGGATGGGGAAATGAACAGCCCAAGAGAGGCCAGGCAAAGATGAAGTGCTGTGATCAAGTTGGGAAAGCTGGGACCAGGGATGAGGGAAGACTCAAAAATCTGGTCCCAATATGTTGTTCAGTTGTGAGTGAGGGGTTAGAGGCCAAGGGTCAGGGCCATTTCCAGCTTCTGGACTCAAGTGTAGCCTTAGGTAGGAAGGTCAAGGGTTGAGGTTTAAAAGTTAGAGGTCAAAACTGTGTCCAGCTTCTAGGCACAAACAGGTGATACTGGAGTTGGGTGTGGCAGTCAGAGATCAGGGGTCAGGGTCAAGGGCCAAGGCATACCCAGCTTCTGGGCGCAGGCGTGGAGCCGGGCCTCCAGGGCCATCACCCGTTGCTGCAGGTCCTCATACCCGTAGGCACCCATCTCCTCCTGAATGGCCGCCAGACTGCCGGAGAGATTCCTCACCTCCTCCCGCAAGCGTACAATGGTCCGCGTGTCTGCCTTGTACTGCTCCAGGACCGAGCTCAGGGGCAACAGTTCCGTCATCCTGTCCTTCAGCTCCTGTGCATCAAGATGGAACCATGGCCAAGCCTGACCCCTGGCCTTTGACCCAGACATGACTCCAACCTCTGACTCATAACTTCACCCTTTGTCTTTGATGCACACCTGGCCCTTGACATGTGGCTCATATTGGACCCTAGATTCTTCCCAGACATGACTCCATTGTAGGAACTAATGGATACCAAATCCCAGTCATTTGTTTGACCTCTGGTCTGGACACAGGAGGACCCACCTGGAAGCTCTTGGCCGAGAGGGACCCATCAGCTGCCCGGAGCCGCGCATCCAGGCTCCGCATGAGGGTCTCCATGCCGCGTACATACTGGAGGTCGCGATACGTCCGCAACTCAAGGACCTCCATGGACTGGGAGACGTTCTGGACCTAGGAATGGGGACAACTGAAGGGACCAGACCTCCTTCCCCAAATCCCAACCCAGAGATGCCACAGACAAGAGCTGGCAGGAACAGAGGCTGTACAAACACCACACCGACGAGGCCACCTTCTCCTCCCCTGAGCTTACCAGCAGCCTCCCAATTGCGTGCCCAATCCATCCATCCATCGCTCCCTCCCTACTACCCACTGGCTCCCATCTGGTCCACCTACCACCACCTCTCACCTCCTCCCTAGTCTCCCAGTTCCACCTTCATCCCCTGTAGTCAATTCTCTACACAGCAGACAGAAGGAACTTTCAAAACAGAGATTAGATCACCTTCCTCCTCCACAGATCCTGTGCTGGCTGGTCCTGCCCACCCCCCCCGCCCAACCCACTTCCTCTCTCTTTGTTCTCACAGACTCTAAGCTCCTTCCTTCTGCAGGGTCTTTGCACTTGCTGGTCTCTCTACCTGGAGTGCTGTTCCCCCAAGTTCCCATGGCTGGCTCCTTCTCATCCTTCAGGGTTCAGCTCCAGCGTCCCCCACTCAAAGCATCCTTCCCTGACCACCCTGTCCGGTAGCCGCTCACTCACTCTCCTCTTGCCTGGTCATTTCCTTCCCAGCTGTGACTATGTAGAACATTCTTATCCATCTGCCTCCTTCAGGTGGGACCCTCAGAGGCAGAGGCTGCGTCTAGCTTGTCCACAGCTTAACCTCCAGTGCCCAGCACTGGCCTGGAGTAGAGGCCCAATAAGTATTTTTTGGCTGAATGAGTAAAATAAACTTCCCTTGCCCTGGCCTCTCCTGACCCAACCTGAGAGCACCCAGCTCCCACCTCCACCTGGCTACGGTGAACTCCACCTAGATAAGTTGAACTCCCCCTGGCTAAGGTAGACTCCCATCTGACTAAGGTGAACATCTGGCTAAGGTAGCCACCTTGTTAAGGTGAACTCCATCTCTGGCTTAAGTAGACTCTCACCTGGCTAAGGTAGACTCCAGCTGGCTAAGGTGAACACCTGGCTAAGGTAGACTCCCACCTTGTTAAGGTAGACTCTCACTTGGCTAAGATGAACACCTGGCTAAGGTAGACCCTCACCTGGCTAAGGTAGACCCTCACCTGGCTAAGGTAGACCTTTACCTGGCTAAGGTAGACTCTCACCTGGCTAAGGTAGATTCCCACCAGCTTCACCTGACTAAAGTGGACTCTGCCTGGCTAAGGTAAACTCAGTCAGAGTTACCACTGGATGCTTGTTGAAATACAGACTTTCCTGTACAATTATTCACATGACACTTGGAAACTCCCAGAAACTCAGCAGCCTAATACCCACCCTGAACGCCACAAAACATTTTTACATACTCTTCCCTTCTCCACAGTTTCACGTTTCAGCTACCTGAGGCCAACCACAGTCCAAAAATATTAAGTGGGAAATTCCAGAAATCAACAATTTGTAAGTTTTATTTATTTATTTATTTATTTATTTGAGATGGAGTCTTGCTCTGTCTTGCCCAGGCTGGAGTGCAGTGGTGCCATCTCAGCTCACTGCAACCTCCACCTCCCGGGTTCAAGCAGTTCTCCTGCCTCAGCCTCCCGAGTAGGTGGGACTACAGGCACACACCACCACGCCCGGCTAATTTTTGTATTTTTGGTAGAGGCTGATCTCAAACTCCTGACCTCAAGTGATACACATGCCTCAGCCTCCCAAAGTGCTGGGATTACAGGCGTGAGCTACCACGCCCGGCCCAGGGGACTATTTTCTCTTGACCATGATCAGAGGTAGAAGGAAACTTTTATAGGAGCCTCTTGAGGTGGAGGGTTAGACCCTCCCCAAGGGGCACAGAACTCCTTCTTAGTAGGTGAGTCTGGTGAACTGCAAAGCTGGGTGGGACATGCCTGGTGGACCAGAGCTCACACACAGGAGACTCAGATGCTGCCCCTCCAGTCTTCCTTCCTTCCCCCCACCCCAATCCCAGTAAGTGCTTGGCTTCTCTCCCAAAAAAGCATTGAACAGGCAGGGCGCAGTGGCTCACGCCTGTAATCCCCGCACTTTGGGAGGCCAAGACAGGCAAATCACCTGCAGTCAGGAGTTCAAGACCAGCATGACTAATATGGTGAAACCCCATCTCTGCTAAAAATAAAAAAATTAGCTGGGCGTGGTGGCACACGCCTGTAATCCCAGCTACTCGGGAGGCTGAGGCAGGAGAATTGCTTGAACCTGGGAGGTGGAGGTTGCGGTGAGCTGAGATCGCGCCACTGCACCTGCACTCCAGCCTGGGCGACAGAGTGAGACTGTCTCAAGGAGAAAAAAAAAAAAAATACATTGAACAGATATTGGATAAAGTATCCATCTGGGCATGGTGGCTCACACCTGTAATCCCAACACTTTGGGAGGCTGAGGCAGGAGGATCACTTGAGCCCAGGAGATTGAGACCAGCCTGGGCAACATAGGGAGACCCCGTCTCCACAAAAAATATAAAAATTAGGGCATGGTGGTGCATGTCTGTAGTCCCAGCTACTCAGAGGCTGAGGAGTGGGGATTGCTTGAACCTAGGAGTTTGAGGCTGCAGTGAGCTGATCATGTCACTGCATTCCAGCCTGGGTAACAGAGTGAGACCCTGTGTTAAAAGGAAAAAAAAAAAAAAAGGACCTGCCTGGAGAGGAGCTGGATTATCAGCCAGCTCTGAATAATTTGCATAGCTGGATATGGCCACTGGCTGACCTGGATGGGGCTGGAGGGCGGGGTGAGAACTGGGAGATTTTCCCAGCTGCCCCCAGGGTACCTGGAAGGTTCTCACCTTCTCCATCAGTTGCCGCAGCTCCCGACTCCTGCCATCTCGAGAGCAGGTACTCTGCGCTGGGATCACGGCCGTGCAGATGCATTTCCCGTCAGGGGCCTGGGCTGAGGTGTACAGCTGCCAGCCCTCTTCTGGGTTCTGGAAGAGAGTCTGCAAAGAGGTGGGGGTCAGAGACCGGAATCCCAGTGAGGGTCTCGCCTCGCCCTCACTGGGACAGGAAGGGGGCCCAAGGAAACCACAGATGCCCTTTGCTGGGCTCCGGGCATATGCCAGTGCCTGTTGTGTGTGATCTCAGGCCCTCCTTAAGGAGCCTCATTTCACGGATGGCAAGACTGAGGTGCGGAGGGCTTAAGGAACACGGCAAGGAATTGGAGGACTCAAATCTTCTCCAAGACCAGAATTCATTCTCTCACACAGATTTGCACGCACACAACACTGTCTCTGTGACTGCCATTAGAACAGAGATCCACTCAAATAACCCCCAAACCTGGACCTCCTCTCTGCTTCCCCAGCCCACAGTGACATATCGGCTCTGGAGCTATCTCAGGGCCACTTAATGTTTTTTTTTTTTTTTGGTTTGTTTTTTGTTGTTGTTTGTTTTTGAGACACAGTCTTGCCCTGTCACCCAGGCTGGAGAGCAGTGGCGCGATCTGGGCTCACTGCAACCTCCGCCTGTCTCCAACACCTGGCCTCCACTCCAGCCTGGGTAACAGAGTGAGACCCTGTCTCACAAAAAAAAAAGGATCTCACCTCAGGTGATCCACCCGTCTCAGCCTCCCAAAGTGCTGGCATTACAGGCGTGAGCCACCGTGCCCGGCCATCAGGGCCACCAAATGTTAAGTGCAACCCTGCTGTGCCCCCACCTCACCTGGAGCCACCCAGGCAAAGTGATGGCAGACAAAATGCTCAGATAATCCAGTGACCAATTATGGCTTTGTTTCCCAAGCCATACTCCTTCCAACACTGGTAATCTTACCAGGTGTGCTGGGAAAAGGATGCTCTGTGGTCAAATAAATGTGTGTCACTGGGTGAAACAAGTTTTGTTACTGCAGGACTTATCAGAGGCTTAGAAATGCAAATAAGTACCAGGGAACTCTAGACACAAATCATAAACTTCCAAACTGATTAGAAGACACCCCTGAGGCAGGTGGATCACCTGAGGTCAGGAGTTTTGAGAACAGCCTGGCCAACATGGCAAAGCCCCATCTCTACTAAAAATACAAAAATTAGCCAAGTATGGTGGCGGGCACCTGTAATCTCAGCTACATGGGAGGCTGAGGCAGGAGAATGGCTTGAACTTGGGAGGCGGAGGTTGCAGTGAGCTGAGACTGCGCCACTGCGCTCCAGCCTGGGCGACAGAGCAAGACTCCGTCTCAAAGAAAAAAAAAAAAAAAAAAAAAGAAGATATCCATGAGAGTCTCTTCTGTCCCAGGCATAGGGTCTGGGATAGGATCAAGGAAGAGAAGGAATGAAGAAAACATCTGGTGGTTGTCCATGGAGCTACTAGGAGAGACGGACATCAACCACTTAATGCCAGTGATACTTCTAGAACCACATGCTGCAGTGAGTGCTTTGAAGAAGTAGTGCAGGGAGTAACAGGGGGTCTTCCCTCAGGCTGAGGGTCTCTGAGGAGGTATCCAAGAGAATGGGCTCTTGAGATGAACTTGAGGGACGAGTGAGACAGAAGAAAAGGAGAAGGCAGGGGACATTTCTATCATTACAAATCCTGATCAATGTCTGGAGGGACCCAGGAATGGTGGCTCACGCCTGTAATCCCAGAATTTCAAGAGGCTGAAGGGGGCGGATCACTGAAGGTCAGGAGTTTAAGGCCACCCTGGGCAACATAACAAGACCTCATCTATACTAAAAATTAAAAAAAAAAAAAAATTAGCTGGATGTAGTGGCATGCACCTGTGGTCCCAGCTACTCACAAGGCTGAGGCAGGAGGATTGCTTGGGTACAGGAAGTTGAGGCTGCAATGAGCTATGGCTGTGCCACTGCACTCCAGCCTGGGTGACAGAGTGAGACCCCATCTCTTAAAAAAAACAGGCCAGACGCGGTGGCTCACACCTGTAATCCTAGCACTTTGGGAAGTGGAGGCAGGTGGATCACCTGAGGTCAGGAGTTCCAGACCAGCTTAGCCAACATGGTAAAACCCCGTCTCTACTAAAAATACAAAAATTAGCCGGGCATGGTGATGTGCGCCTATAATCCCAGCTACTTGGGAGCCTGAGGCAGGAGAATCGCTTGAACCTGGCGGGGTGGGGGCAGCGAGCCGAGGTTGCAGTGAGCCGAGATCACACCACTTTACTCCAGCCTGGGCAAAAGAGTGAAACTCTGTCTCAAAAAAAAAAAAAAGGATGTGGGGGGACGTGAGGGTTGTGGGGTGACTGGCTTGGGCTTGCACACGTAGGCGTCGTTTGTTCAAAACCTGAAGTCTTTGTTCAAGACCTGAAGGAAGTGAGGGAGGAGCCATTTGGATGTCTGGGGAAGGGGTTCCAGGCAGAGAGAACAGCAAGTAGAAAGGCTGAGGCAGGACCATGCCTGGTGTGTTTGTGAAACAAGGAGGAGGCCCATGTGGCTGGAGCAGATTGAGTAAGGGGTAAGTGGAGGCAGATGAGAGAAGGGAGGTGATGGGGCAAGGCCTTGTGGGAAGCAGTGAGGGCTCTGGGTTCTGCCCTGAGGAAGGTGGGAGCCATGGAGGGTTCTGTGCAGAGGCGAGACGTGACCTTACTTGGGTGTTCACAGTGACCTCTGGCTGCTCTAGGGAACGAGGGAGGGAGGCCAGGGCAGGGGTGACTGCACAGATCCAGACAGGTGATGATGGGTGGTGGCCATAGAGGCGGTAAATGGAAGATTCTGGTCCTATTCCAGGATGCATTCTGACAGGCATGGAAGAAATTCTGATTAAAAAAACCCCAGTGTTTTACAGAGAAACAAAGCACCACAATCATTGATCATTTGCACAGCCATTACTAGATCTCCCAGCAGAATCGGTGCCGTGAGCTGCAGCACAGATAAACCAAGCTGTGAATTATGAGCGATCCCGGGGACTCCAACTATTAGCCCACCTTTTTCTCTCCCACTCAATCGAGTCTTTTTTTTTTTAAGGCTTATTGGAATATGAGCAAATGATATAATTGTACAAATTATACAGATGAGCTTGACTCCCCCACTAATCTATAAGGAAAACAAACCATTCATAAACGCCAGCTGAAACTATTACAGTCAGTCATTCTTCGAGCCTTTGTACACCCTTCCTAAATGGGGGGAACCCCCTCTTTGTAAGTTGCACATCCTCAGCCCTGGCAGCGGAGCACAGTAACTCACTTTCTCCGCCTTCCTTGTACTCAGGTAGGAGCTGGGTGGAGCTAACATTCACTGCAGGTGTGCCCAGGATTGGCCACAGCCAAGAGCTTTCTCTGGTGGTCATATCCCACCCTGCCCTTGCATGGGGCCAGCAGAAAATACACCCAGCAATCCTCAGAGATGACCTACAGGCATTCGTGATTAATACCACCCCTCTTGCCTCTCCAGTGGGAAAGAACTCGAAGGTGTATGTTCATGAAATCTTCCAGGGCAACCCATTAGATTTACACCTCAGTTGTCCACAGCAGCAACCTGCTCATTACTTCTCTTTTATTTATTCGTTTATTTTATTATTTTTCATTTTTGAGACAGACTCTCGCTGTGTCTCCCAGGCTGGAGGGCAGTGGTGCGATCTTGGCTCACTGCAACCTCCACCTCCTGGGTTCAAGCGATTTTCATGCCTCAGCCTCCCGAGTAGCTAGGATTACAATCACCCACCTCCATGCCTGGCTAATTTTTGTATTTTTAGTAGAGATAGGGTTTCACTATGTTGGTCAGGCTGGTCTCGAACTCCTGGCCTCAAGTGATCCGTCCACCTTGGCCTCCCGAAGTGCTGGGATTGCAGGCGAGAGCCATTGCGCCTGGCACATTTATTTATTTTTTTAAGATGGGGTCTTGCTGTCGCTCAGGTCTGGGTCTTGCTGTCACCCACCACTGGAGTGCAGTGGTGCAATCCTAGCTTACTGCAGCCTCGAACTCCTGGGTTTAAGCCATCCCCTCCCACATCTGCCTCCTGAGTAGCTGGGCCTACAGGCAGGTACCAACACACCCAGCTTTTTTTTTTTTTTTTTTTTCCTTTTGTAGAGATAGTCTTGCTTTGCTGCCCAGGCTGGTCTTGAACTCCTGGGCTCAAGCGATCCACCTGCCTCGGCCTCTCAAAGTGCTGGTATTACAGGTGTGAGCCACTGCGCCTGGCGTACTCATTAAGTCTCCCGGCACGGGTTTCCTTCACCTCCTCTCTCACTTCACTGCTCCCCCACTGGTTCTTCCTGGGGTATCTTAGGTGGATACCTGCACTTAAATCCTCCCTGAAAGAGCCTGACCTAAGACAACAAGGATGGCCCAGTACAAGAGGAATACCCCAAGAAAGCCTGCCCCTTTGGTTCTGGGAGGATCCAGAACTACTCTCCCACCTCCCTTCTTCTTCTTCTCCTCTTTTTTTTTTTTTGGAGATGGAGTCTCACTTGGTCACCCAGGCTGGTGTGCAGTGGTACTATCAGGGCTTTTGGCAGCCTCAACCTCCTGGGCTTAAATAGTGATTCCTCCCACTTCAGCCTCCCGAGTAGCTGAGACTAAAGGCCTTTAGTCTCACCATCGCACCTACTAATTTTTAAATTTTTTTGTAGAGATGGGAGTCTTGCTATATTGTCCAGTATGGTCTCAAACTCCTGGGCTCAAGCGATCCTCCTGCCTCAGCCTCCCAAAGCACTGGGATTACAAGGCATGAGTCACTGTTACCTCTCTGTTTTTTCTTTTTTTTTTTTTTTTTTTTTTTTGAGAGGGAGTCTTGCTCTGTCGCCCAGGCTGGAGTGCAATGGCGGGATCTCGGCTCACTGCAGCCTCTGCCTCCCAGGTTCAAGCAATTCTCCTGCCTCAGCCTCCCAAGTAGCTGGGATTACAGGCATGCACCACCACGCCTGGCTAATTTTTGTATTTTTAGTAGAGACAGGGTTTCGCCATGTTGGCCAGGCTGGTCTTGAACTCCTGACCTCAAATGATCCACCCGCCTTGGCCTCCCAAAATGCTGGGATTACAGGCATGAGCCACCGTGCCCGGCCCTCCCTTCTTGATAAATCTCATTCTTAAAAAAAAAAAAAAAAAACAAAGAAAAACATCAAACAGGAGCCCAAGCATCCCTGCCCCTCCTCCCCTGGCTCTAGTCCCCAAGCAATTTGGATAGAAACCCCCAAGGAATATCTTTTGTGCAGAGACAAAGCCGCCGGTTCAACGTAATTAACATCTTCCTACATTGCCTAGCGTGTCCGTTGAAGCAAATAAGCCATTTTCTCTCGACAGAGGAAATATTGAATTGTAAAAGAGAAGCAAGATTTAAGTGGTGCAGAGAGAAGGCCTCCATGGTTTTCCTAAAATAATTGTCTGCGTTGGACGCATCTCACCGGAGTGTTCTCTGCAGCAGTGTAATTAAATGCCTGGGTTTTGGCTGCCAGATCGCAGCAGGCAGAGGTCCTGAGTTTTGCCCATTGGGTTTAAGTTCAGATATGCAGTTAATGCATGTCCCTAGGAACCGCTGGAATGTTCTGGAATGTACCATGTGCTAGCTCTCCCAGACTGGGTCTAGCTTGGAAACAAAGTCAAGAGTTCTTGGCAGTCAGAAGACTAGAGAGGAACAGAGAGTGTCCTACTCTAGGGGAAATGCTTACAACAGCAGGTGCAAGAACACAGGCGTTCTCCAGCATAGAAGTCTGTGGTCTAGCAGCCTGTCTCACCTCGGATGTGGCAGATGTACTAAAGAAGCCAACCCACTTTTTTTTTTTTTTTTTTTTGAGACAGGGTCTTGCTCTGTTGCCTAGGCTGGAGTGCAGTGGCATGATCTAGGCTCACTGCAGCCTCAACTTCCCTGACTCAAGCAATCCTCCCACCTCAGCCTCCCGAGCAGCTGGGACTACAGGCATGCACCATCACGACTGGCTATTTTTTTTGGTAGAGACGGGGATCTCACTACATTTCCTAGGCCGATCTTGAACTCCTGGGCTAAAGTGATCCACCCGCCTTGGCCTCCCAAAGTGCTGGAATTATAGGCGTGAGCTATCACGACGGCCCTGCCAACCCACTCTCTCTTTGCTGAGCTCTTGGTTCAGGGTTTAATATTCCTGCTAATGGGCTTTAAGGGAGTGAAGCTATGCACTCAAGTATCTGTTCCTCAAATGTCTTTTCTGGCTGAAATCTTACAAACACTTTTGCTGAGGCTGCCCTAATTAAACACCAGCCTCTAAAACAGGTCCAGGATTAACTGAGTAGGACACAGGCAGGGAAAGCTGTTCTTGCTGTCGGGCCAGGGATCATCATCTCCTACTACTCCACCACCTATATCTTGGTTCAAAAACAATTCCTGGTGGCCAGGCATGGTGGCTCACGCCTGTAATCCCAGCACTTTGGGAGGTGAAGGTGGGCGGATCACCTGAGGTCAGGAGTTCCAGACCAGTCTGGCCAACATGGTGAAACCCCATCTCTACTAAAAATACAAAAATTAGCCAGACGTGGTGGCAGGCACCTGTAAGCCCAGCTACTCAGGAGGCTGAGGCAGAAGAATTGCTTGAACCCAGGAGGCAGAGGTTGCAGTGAGCCGAGATCGTGCCATTGCACTCCAGCCTGGGCAATAGAGCGAGACCCCGTCTCAAAAAAACAACAATAACAACAACAAAAAAAAACAATTCCTGGTGTTTCCCTGGGGACGGAGGCATTGCTACAGGGTCCTGGGGACAGGAGAAGCATTGGCTATCAGGAAGTAGCCAACAGGAAGAGAGCAAGCGCCTGCCTCTTAATAAAATGAAGCTATTATTGTGTTTGAGGCTGGATAATTTAATCAGGAAGCCAAGGCACCTTGGGGCTTACATATTTATTTGTGCCCTGCCTTGTTCCAGAGAGGACTCTAAGTGGTTTACAAGGATATGTAAAATACCATAAGATAGCGCCAATTAAATATGAGAGCGGGGATTAGATATTTTTGGAGGACAGCCTGCCAGTCCACAGCCAAGCCATTACAGTTTCTGCAATTTGCATTTTATTCGGCCAATCCAAAGCTAAGAATTCAGCCCATGGAAACTTTGTGGACAGCATCTGATTGTTGCAAGGGAGGTTCATTAAGCATTGTTTAAAATTGGACAATTAGAAATTAATTTGATCAAAAGCTATTACACATGCTAGAAAAAAAATTTTTTTTTTTTGGAGACAGGGTCTTGCTCTGCCACCCAGGCTGGAGTACAGTGGCATGATCATAGCTCACTGCAGCCTTGATGTCCAAAGGCTCAAGCGATCCTCCCACCTCTGTCTCCTGAGTAGGTGGGACTACAGGTGTGAGCCACTAAACCAGGCTAATTTTTTTTTTTGAGATGGAGTCTCCCTCTGTTGCCCAGGCTGGAGTGCAATGGCGTGATCTTGGCTCACTGCAATCTCCACCTCGAGGGTTCAAGTGATTCTCCTGCCTCAGTCTCTGGAGTAGCTGGGATTACAGGCACCTGCCATTATGCCCGGCTAATTTTTGTATTTTTGTAGAGACGAGGTTTCACCATGTTGGCCAGGCTGGTCTTGAACTCCTGACCTCAGGTGATCTGCCCGCCTTACCCTCCCAAAGTGTTGGGATTACAGGTGTGAGCCACCACGCCTGGCCCAGGCTAATTTTTAAAAAGATTTTTTGTAGAAACAGGGACTAGCTATGTTGCCCAGCCTGGTCTCAAATTCCTGGGCTCAAGCAGTTCTCCCACCTCAGCCTCCCAAAGTATTGGGATTACAGGCGTGAGGCACTGTGTCCAGCCAATTTACAAATTTAAGATGCATCTACAGAATGAGATACTATGCAGTCATTAAAAATTAGAGATTAATGGAGATTTTAATCACCATCTTTAAATTTATCTTATTTTCCAAGTTTTCTACAATGAACGTGTATTGTTCTTATAAAGATTTTTAGGGCCGGGTGCAGTGGCTCACGCTTGTAATCCCAACACTTTGGGAAGCCAAGGCAGGAGAATCACTTGAGCCCAGGAGTTTGAGACCAGCCTGGGCAACATAGTAAAACCTCATCTCTACAAAAAATTTAAAAATTAGCATGGTGGCACATGCCTGCAGTGCCAGCTACTCAGGAAGCTGAAGTAGGAGGATCACTTGAGCCCAGGAGTTCATGGCTGCAGTGAGCTATGAAGGCGCCACTACACTCCAGCCTGCGTGACAAAGTGAGACCCTATCTCAAAAGAAAAAAAAAAGATTTTTAAAAGTCCCTTAAATTTTTTTTTTTTTTTTTGGCAAGGGAGAAAAAGAAGAAAAACAAAAGCAGGGACATAAAACAGAGCCAGAAACGAGGCTAAGAAAAACTCATCCCTTAAAAACCTGAACAATCAGCATATGGCCGGGCCATAAGTTTGGCTCCAAGCTCCTTAGCAGCCAACTCAGAAAGGGAAAGCTGGTCATTTATGCGGTTCTCAGTGTCCTGAAACAAAAGTACACCAGATGCTCAGGAGAAAGCTCAATTATTTTTGGCAGGGATTTCTCCCACAGTCCTCCCAAAAAGGATTCCACGTGATGTCACCAGCATCTCTCCGGGCAATATCCTTACGATAGAAGTGACTAGTTTCCTCTAGATGTTTCTTATTCCTCCTGGGATGGTAGAGTAGGGCCAACTGGTAAGAGCAGGGTCCTGGAGTCAGGCTGCCTGGGTTTAAGTTCTGGCTTCACCATTCGCTTGCTGTGTGACCTCAGCAAGTGGCTTAACCTCTCTGTGTCTTTCTTAGTTTTTTCATTTGTACAATGGACATGATGACTACCTACTTCTCTGGGTTGCTAGGAGGATCAAATGAGTTCATAATATATATAAGAGCAATTAGAACAGTCATCAGCATGTAGTAAGAGCTACACAAGTGTCTGCTAATACTATTATTTTTATTTTTTAAGAGACAGGGTGTCACTCTATCGTCCAGGCTGGAGTGCAGTGGCACAATCATGGCTCACTTCAGCCTCGAACTCCTGACCTCAAGCGATCCTCTGGCCATCAGCTTCCTGAGCATCTGGGACTACAGGCATGTGCCACTATGCCCAGCTAATTTTTTATTTTTTGTAGAGATGGGAGTCTTGCTATAATTGCCCAAGCTGTGTTTGAACTCGTGGCCTCAGACAGTTCCTCCAGCCTCAGACTCCCAAAATGCTGGGATTACAGGCATGCACCACTGCACCTGGTTAATTTTTTAAAATATTTTTGTAGAGACAGGATCTTACTGTGCTGCCCAGACTGCTCTTGAACTCCTGGCCTCAAGCAATCCTCCAGCCTCAGCCTCCCAAAGTGCTAGGATTACAGGCATGCACCACTGCACCTGGTTAATTAAAAAAAAATTTTTTTTTTGTAGAGGTGGAGTCTCACTATGTTGCCCAGGCTGGTGCAGCAGCACGCTCACGGTTCACTGCAGCCTCGGATTCCTGGCCTCAAGGGATCCTCCCATCTCAGCCTCCCAAAGTACTGGGATTACTGGCCTGAGTCATCACACGCTGCCCTGCTATTATTATCTTCATAACACTCAAAAGGCCAATTTGGTAACTTCCTGAGGTCAAACGGTGTGAGTCTTGACACAATAAAAAGGATCTGGCAAAGTCTCATGGAGTTGGGGTTGAGGCTGTGGGATCATGAGGCAAAGAAAGTCCAACGAGGGAGAGAGGAGAGTGAGGGATGAGAGGGGACACTTGCTCCATCCTAGTCCCCACGCGGCCCAGCTGGCTTCCTTTTCCAGAATATCTCCTTGCTATAACCTGGCAGCAGGGGAGCCAAGGTCCTTCTCCATCCTTACAGGCACTGAACCAGGATGTAGGCGCACACTGCTGTGTTCTCTCTGGCCCATCCTCTCTAATTGTCTTTCCCTTCCCAGGTCACAGGATGCTTATTCTCATCTCCAGGCCTTTGCACGGGCCGGGCCTGCTGCCAATCCCCGCACTCTCCCCTTCTTAGGGCCAGGCTAACTCTTCCCCATCCCCGGGGCTCAAGCGTTCAGGTCTCTTCCAAAAGCAGTCTTGGTGGTCCCTGCCACGCGTTACCCTCCTCTCAAGTCACCCGGGAGGTGGAGGTTGCTGTAAGCCAAGATCGCAGTGAGCTGAGATTGCACCATTGCACTCCAGCCTGGGCAACAAGAGCAAAACTTTGTCTCAAAATAAATAAATAAATAGCCGGGTGTGGTGGTGCATGTCTGTGGTTTACAGTGGCTCGCATCTGTAATCCTGGCACTTTGGGAGGCCGAGGTGAGCTCAAGAGTTTAAGACCAGACCGGGCCCAGTGGCTTATGCCTGTAATCCCAGCACTTTGGGAGGTCATGTCAGGCAGATCACTCTAGGTCAGGAGTTCGAGACCAGCCTGGCCAACATGGTGAAACCCCATCTCTACTAAAAATACAAAAAATTAGCTGGGCATGGTGGCGAGAGCCTGTAATCCCCACTACTCAGGAGGCTGAGGCAAGAGAATCACTTGAACCTAGGAGGCAGAGGTTGCAGTGAGCTGAGATGGTGCCACTGCACTCTAGCCTGGGCAACAAAGCGAGATCCTGTCTAAAAAAAAAAATTATATAAAATTCCGGGTGCTGTGGCTCACACCTGTAACCCCAGCACTTCGGGAGGCCAAGGCAGGCGGATCACAAGGTCAGGAGTTCGAATCCAGCCCGAGCAACATGGTGAAACTCCGTCTCTACTAAAAATACAAAAAAATTAGCCAGGTGTGCTGGTGTGCTACTATGATCCCAGCTACTCAGGAGGCTGAGGCAGGAGACTCGCTTGAACCCTGGAGGCGAAGGTTGCAGTGAGCTGAGATCCCGCCATTGCACTCCAGCCTGGGCCACATAGCATGACTCTGCTCTCAAAAAAAAAAAAAAAAAAGCTCTTTGCCAAAGCATCACTGCCTGTAAGTGATGTAGCTGGAATTCGAACACAGGCCATCTGGTTACACAGTCTACACTGGCTTGCGGCACCTCTCCTGTCCTCCTCCAAGCCCTGATCACAGTCGCCATTAGGAGGGCCTCACGGGTGGGAATGCTGGCTCCAGGCCTGCCTCTACCCTGGGAAAGGAAACCACAGGGGAGCGGGGAGTTTTGTTTGCTGTGCAAACAATTCATCCGTGATCCTCAGAACCTGGCACAAGGTATGTTTGTTGAATGAGGATGCTGATGAACCAGTGGGACAGAGAGCAAACACCTTCACAGGTCTACCGTGAATTTCTCCTTTCTGCCACGGAGCTTGCTTCTGTTGTTCGTCCTAGGGAAGGATCACCTGAGATTAGGCTGCAGACAGGTGCCCAGTAGGCTAGGCAGAGGCTGTGGCTTCTCTCTGACTGCGAGAATGGCAGGAGGGCCGTGATGAATGATGGAGAATGTGCCTGTCTGCTATGTCTGAGCCGTGACAGGGGGCCACGTCCCTTTGGAAAGCTTGAGATAATAGCAGCCTGCTCTTGTCAAACCTTGAGGTATTGGGCAAATATCCCCTGAGTGATAAGCTTGACAGGCCTTAAAGAAGATATCAGCCAGGCGCTGTGGCTCATGCTTGCATTCCCAGCACTTCGGGAGGCCAAGGCAGGCAGATGGCTTGAGCTTAGGAGTTCGGGACCAGCCTGGGCAATATGGTAAGACCCTGTCTCTACCAAAAATACAAAATAATTTAGCCAGGCATGGTGGCACGAGCCTGTGGTCCCAGCTACTCAGAAGGCTGAGGTGGGAGGATCGCCTGAGCCTGGGAGGCAGAGGTTGCAGTGAGCCGAGATCACGCCACTGCACTCCAACCTGGGTGACAGAGCGAGACCCTGTCTCAAAAGAAAAAAAAAAAAATATTAGTTCACCCGCGCCATGCTGGAAGCCTGGGAACCGCCTGGGGCCTCCCTCAGCCTGAGAACTGGGGTTTTGCCTGGAAGAGCCTTGTGGGTCGGGGAGGGGTCAGGATAGAAAGTGATTGTGAATCCACATATTCATTCATCCATCCATTCATTCACCTTTCCACCCATTCATCCATCTATCCATTCATTCATAAAACCAACCATCTATCCATCTATCCATCCATTCATTCATCTGCTCATCCATTTATCTGTTTACCCATTCATTCATTCATCCATTCACTCGTATTCATTCATCCAACCATCCATTTATATACATCCATCCATCTATCCATCCATCCATTCATTCATCTGTCCATCCATCCCTCCCCAAGCTCTACTCCCATTCTGAATTTCATATTTTACTTAACACTTGTAGAGCTCGCTCTTCTTAGTTGCTTTACAAATATTACCAAAATTCAATCCTTAGAGCCCCATCTCATGGTAGGTACTAACACTAGCTCCATTCTACAGATGGGAAAACTGAGATACAGAGAAAAGTCAAGTTACCCAAATTCACAGAGCTGGGATTTGGATGCCAGCCTATCAGACTCTCAGCCACTATGCTGGGAGGACAAGAGTCACTTCCTTCAGGGTCTCACTCTGCCGCGCAGGCTGGAGTGCAGTGGTGTAATCACGGCGCGATCACTGCTCACTGCAACCTCCACCTCCCAGGCTCAAGCCATCCTCTCATTTCAGCTCCCTGAGTAGCTGGGACTACAGGTGCACACCACCACGCCAGGCTAATTTTTGTATTTTTTGTAGAGACGGGGTTTCACCATGTTGCCCAGGCTGGTCTTGAACTCCTGGGTTGAAGGGATCCACCTGCCTCAGCCTCCCAGAGTATTGTGTTTACAGGCGTGAGCCATCACACCTGGCCAACATTTTTGGTTTTTTAAGAGACAGGGTCTCAAGCAGTTGTCCAGGCTGGAGTGCAGGGGCATGATCATAGCTCACTGCATCTTCAGCCTCCTAGGCTCAAGCAGTTCTCTTGCTTCAGCCTCCGGAGTAGCTGAGACCACAGGTGTGTGCCACCACACCCTGATACTTTTTTTATTTTTATTTTTGTTTTGAGATAGGGTCTTGCTCTGTCCCCCAGGCCGTGTCCCACATTGGTGTGATCATGGCTCACTGCAGCCTCAACCTCCCAGACTCGAGCAATCCTCCCACCTTAGCCTCCCAAGTAGCTGGGACTACCGATGTACACTATCATGCCCAGCTAATTTTTTTTTTTTTTTTTTTTTTTTTTTTTTTTTTTGTAGAGACAGGATCTCACTATGTTTCCCAAGCTAGTCTCGAACTCCTGACCTCAAGCGATCTTCCCATCTTGGTCTCCCAAAGCGCTGAAATTACAGGTGTGGGCCACCATGCCTACCTAATCAACTTTTACTTTTGGAATTATTTTAGGTTTACAGAAAAGTTACAACAATAATACAGAGAGCTCCTGTGTACCTCTCATCCTGACTTCCCTGTTATTACATCTTACATAACCATGATACACTTGTCACAACTAAGAAATCAACATCCGTGCATCCATTACTATTAACTAAACTCTAGACTTTATTCAAATTCCCCAGTTTTCCCACTTGAGTGCTTTTTCTGTTCCAGAATCTAATGCAGGATCCCACGTTACACTCAGTGGTTATCACATGTCTTTAGACTTATCTGGTCTATGACGTTTCTGTCTTGTTTTTTCTGACCTTGACAGTTTTGAGGATTACTGGCCAGGGAGTTTTGGAGAATGCCCCACTGGCCTTTTTTTTTTTTTTTTTAAGAGAGATGGGGGTCTCACTATGTTGCCCAGGCTAGACTCAAACTCCTGACCTTAAGTGACCCTCCCACCTAAGCCTCCCAAAGTGGTGGCATTACAGACATAAGCCATCATGCCCAGCCACCACCGGCTTTTATTTTATTTATTTATTTTTGAGATAGAGTCTCCCTCTGTCGCCCAGGCTGGGGTGCAGTGGAGCCATCTCGGCTCACTGCAACCTCTACCTCCTGGGTTCAAGCGATTCTCCTGCCTCAGCCTCCCAAGTAGCTGGGACTACAGGTGTGCACCACCATGCCTGGCTAACTTTTCTATTTTTAGTAGAGATGGGGTTTCACCATGTTGGCCAGGCTGGTCTCAAATTGCTGACCTCAAGTGATCCACCCACCCTGGCCTCCCAAAGTGCTGGGATTACAGGCATGAGCCACCGCACCCAGTCTTTTATTTTATTTTTTAGAGACAAGGTCTTGCTGTGTTGCCCAGACTGGTCTTGAACTCCTGAGCTCAAGTAATCCTCCTGCCTCGGCCTCACAAAGTGCTGGGATTACAGGCATGAGACACTGCACCCGTCCCCTAATGGCTTTTGAGGGCAGGAACTGTGGCCTCACTTTGCTGGACGTTTCCCCAGCCTGTAACCCAATGCAGTAGCTGCTTCAGACGCTTCCTAAATGAACAAATATTGAATGGCCATCACTGAGAGCTTTATCTTCCTGTGCTCCCTGTTCCGCAGGCATCCCTGCCAGAGGCTAGATCTAGAAGAGTTCACGGCGAAATAAAAGCTTTTCTCCTTTCAGAAAGATTTGTTTTTGATCCTTTCTTTGTAGACATCAAGGATTCATTTCTTTAATATTTAAGGGCTTTTGTACCAAAGAGAAGCAGCCGCATTTGCATCAGTCTCATTTTTTCAAGGCAGGCGAGAGAGATCTTTCTAGCAAGATGGGGTTTCTTCCTTCACGGAGCTGTCACTTGATTTATCTGCTTCTCCTTCCCCAGCCTTCATGCCTCTGGCAGGGGGCAGGGAAGAGCGAGGGTTCTGGAATGATCCACAGACTCTGATGTCCTCTCTGCCACAGCCCAAGGAAGCTTAATTAGAACCTCGCCAATTTGCTGGGACTGAGGTGGCCTTAGGAGCTGGTGCAGGGGCCTGGCCGGGGATGAAGATGAATTAGCAGCTTTTTTTTTTTTTTGAGACAGGCTGGAGTGCAGTGGCACGATCACGACTCACTGCAGCTTCGACTTCCCTGGCTCAGGTGATCCTCCCACCTCAGCCTCCCGGGTAGCTGGGACCACAGGCACTTACCAGCACATCTGGTTGTTTGTTGTTGTTGTTTTTCTTTTGTTTTTTGTTTGTTTTTTCTCACAGAGACAGGGTATCGCCCTGTCTCAAACTCCTGAGCTCAAGCAATCCTCCCACCTCGGCCTCCCCAAGGTGCTGGGATTACAGGTATGAGCCACTGCACCTGGCCTGAATTAGCAGTTTTATTTCCTGTCCCTCTGAATAGCTCAATAGCTACCACGGGGACCAAAAGCCTGCCTTGGGTACACAGAGCATGTCCCTTTTCTAACATTAGCTGGTCAGAAGTGGGAATCCCTTTAGCCATGCAGGCCTGCAGGTCTCACTGCTTTTTATTTCTCAGCCCCAGGAGGCCAAGCTGAAGGCAGAGAATCTAAAGAAGCTGTCTTCAGCGAGGTCATCTCCCCGCCACCGAGGTCCCTACTGCTGGGAGACACTGGCCCCAATTTAATCTCTTGCCTGAAGTTTTTCAGACGTAAAAATGAGCCTGGGTGAGCTTTTCAGATAGTTCCTTCAACTTACAGGAATTCAATTTCTGGCCTGGATATAAATTTGCAGCCATCAGCGCCCGTGGTAGGGGCTGGGGCTGGGCGCTTTGGCCGGGGATGGATTTCTGAAATCAATCCGTCCGCGTGTGGAAAAGGTCGCCATGGGGGACATTTAACTTCCATGGCTGGCTGAGGCATTTCACACCGATAGCCAGGGACACCCCTATACAAAATGGAAGTGTTTGCTGCGAGTCCCCCAGGCAGCGGCTGGAGGGAGGCCTCGAAGGCTGGACAGCACAGCCAGGAGGTGACATTGATCAACCTGCCAATAACAGACAGCCAGGTACCAGGACTCCTGAAAACCCACCTCCAAGGGCTCTTTCCTGCTAGGTCCCCATGCGCCCCTGCGGGTGGCAAGTCCACTCTGGGTCCAAACCCTTTATCCCTTGGCTACACCTCCAACACACATTCCAGGGTTTCAAAGAAATGAGTCTCAAATGCATTCAATTCCCCCAGTGGAGGTGGGAGGACGTGGTCATTAAGGGTCTCCTAGGTTCGAGCCTCAGGTCTGCCGTGTGACCTTGGGCTACTGACTTAACCATCCTGTGCCTCCGTTCCCCCAGTTAGAGTATATAGCTAAGAATAGTACTGATGTCATGAGGTGGTTGTTAATATATCAGAATGGCTTAACGTAATGTTATGGTTTGAATGTGTCCCCGCAAAATTCATGTGTTGGAAACGTAATCCATTTTATTTATTTATTTATTTAAAGTGAAAGCAAGTTTATTAGAGAAGTAAAGAAACAGAAGAATAGCTACTTCAGAGGCTGGGTGCGGTGGCTCACACCTGTAATCCCAACACTTTGGGAGGTCAAGGGGGGCAGATCACTTAAGGCCAGGAGTTCGAGACCAGCCTGGCCAACATGGTGAAATCCTGCCTCTAGTAAAAATACAAAATTTAGCTGGGCATGATGGCGGGCGCCTGTAATCCCAGCTACTCGGGAGGCTGAGGGATGAGAATCGCTTGAACCAGGTAGGTGAAGGTTGCGATGAGCCGAGATGGTGCCACTGCACTCCAGCCTTGGCGACAGAGTGAGACTCCATCTCAAAAAAAAAAAAAAAAAAATATGGCCAGGTGCGGTGGCTCACACCTGTAATCCCAGCACTTTGGGAGGCTGAGGCGGGCAGATCACCTGAGGTCAGGAGTTCAAGACCAGCCTGACCAACATGGAGAAACCCCGTCTCTACTAAAAATACAAAATTAGCCAGGCGTGGTGGCACATGCCTGTAATCCCAGCTACTCTGTAGGCCGAGGCAGGAGAATGGCTGGAACTCGGGAGGCGGAGGTTGCGGTGAGCCAAGATTGTGCCATTGCACTCCAGCCTGGGCAACAAGAGAGAAACTCTGTCTCAAAAATAAATAAATAAATAAATAAATAAATAAATAAATAAATACAATAAAATAAAAATAAAAAAAGTAACAGTGTTGAGAGGTAGCACCTTTAAAGATGAGGTTAGGTGAATTAATGCCATTATCAGGGAAGTGGGTTAGTTATCATGGCAGTGGGCTATTGACAACAAGAATGATTTTGGTCCAATTTCCTCTCTCTGTGTCACTTTTGCCTTCAGCCCTTTGGCCATGGGATAACCTTTGCCAGAGGCTGGTGCTATGCCCTTGGACTTCCCAGTCTCCAGAACTGGAAAAATAAATTTTTTTTTTTAAGAAAGATTAATTAATTGATTATTTTACAGATGAGGTCTGGTTCTGTTGCCCAGGCTGGAGTGCAATGATGCGATCCTGACTCATCACAGTCTCAACATTCCAGGCTCAGTCGATCCCCCTGCCTTAGCCTCCTGAGTAGCTGGGACTACACACGTGCCACCACATCTGGCTAATTTAAAAAATCTGTGTAGTCATGGGGTCTGGCCACATTGCCCAGGTGGGTCTTGAACTCCTGGGCTCAAGCAACCCTTCCACCTTGGCTGCCTAGGTGCTCGGATTACAGGCGTGAGCCACCACACCCAGCCCTTTATAAATTACCCAATCTGTGGTAGTCTGTTATAGTAACAGCAAACAGGCCGGGACACATACGCAACGTGATATTCAAGGGAGTGTGACAGAATTGCCTATGGAATAAAAATAAGCAAATCGGTGCTGACTGGGAACACAGAAAGGTGGGCTGGACCATCTGAGCTTCAATCTTGGCTCTGTGTTACCCTGGACAAGTGACTCTCTCTGAGCCTCAGTTTCATTTCTCTCTTTTTTTTTTTTTTTTTTTTTTTTTGAGATGGAGTTTCACTCTTGTCACCCGGGCTGGAGTGCAATGGCACAATCTCAGCTCACTGCAGCCTCCACATCCCAGGTTCAAGCAGTTCTCCTGTCTCAGCCTCCCTAGTAGCTGGGATTACAGACATGAGCACCTGGCATCAGTTTCATTTCTCAAACAGGGAAACTGGCAGTAGGTGATGAGATGACCCTGTCGGCATTTTGAGGCTCCAGCGAGCTAATACAACGGAAGTGCTTCAAGCCCTGGTTCAGAGAGAGTGCTCAGGAAATACCAGTGGCTGTTTTCCAGATAGGACAGCACCCTCCACAGCTTCCCCACATTCACAGATAAGCAAGGAAGAAAGAAAAAGGAAGAGGCAATTATAACAGGGTGTGATAAGTGCCACGATGCAGGGAAGCACAGAACACTGGAAGACCTGGGCTCTATCTCTGGGCTCCAGAGCCTGAATTTTTTGTTTGCTTGTTTGAGACTCGGTAGCCCAGGCTGGAGCACAGTGGCGCAGTCATGGCTCACTGCAGCCTCAACCTCCTGGACTCAAGCGATCCTCCCACCTCGGCCTCCTGAGTGGCTGAGTGATAGGGTCTGGATTTGTGTCCCGTTCAAATCTCATGTCAAATTGTAATCCCCAATGCTGGAATAGGGGCCCAGTGGGAGGTGACTGGATCATGGGGCTAGGTTTCCCCTTGCTGTTCTCCTGATAAGGAGTGAGTTCTTATGAGATCTCGCTGTTTGTTTGTTTATTTATTTTGAGACAGTTTCACTCTTGTTACCCAGGTACAATGGCGCAATCTCAGCTCGTTGCAACCTCCGCCTCCCGGGTTCAAGCGATTCTCCTGCCTCAGCCTCTCAAGTAGTTGGGATTGCAGGCATGCGCCACCACGCCTGGCTAATTTTGTATTTTTAGTAGAGACGGGGTTTCTCCATGTTGGTCAGGGTGGTCACCAACTCCCAATCTCAGGTGATCTGCCCCCCTCGGCCTCCCAAAGTGCTGGGATTACAGGCGTGAGCCACCGTACCCAGCCAAGCTCTCGTTGTTTAAACGTGTGTAGCACCTCCCCCAGTCTCTCTCTTGCTCCTGCTCTGGCCGTGTAAAACCCGCCTGCTTCCCTTTCACCCCCTGCCATGAATGTCAGTTTCCTGAGGCCTCCCCAGCTATGGTTCCTGTACAGCCTGTGGAACTGTGAGCCAATTAAACCTCTTTTATTTATAAATTACCCAGTGTCAGGTATTTCTTTATAGCAGTATGAGAACGAACTAATACACTGGGACTCCAGGTGTGCGCCACCACGCCTGGCTAAGTTTTTTAATTTTTAAAAATTATATTTAAATTTTTAAGAGCCTGGGCTATGTTGCCCAGGCTGGTCTTGAACTCTTTTTTGTCTTTTGAGGTGGAGTCTCACTCTGTCACCCAGGCTAGAGTGCAGAGGCAAGATCTCGGCTCACTGCAACCTCCGTCTCCTGGGTTCAAGTGAGTCTCCTGGCTCAGCCTCCTGAGTAGCTGGGACTACAGGTGCACACCACCATGCCTGGCTAATTTTTGTATTTTTAGTAGAGACAAGGTTTCATCATGTTGGCCAGGCTGGTCTCGAACTCCTGACCTCAGGTGATCTGCCCACCTCAGCCTCCTAAAGTGCTGGGGTTACAGGCATAAGCCACTGGGCCCGGTCTGGTCTTAAACTGTTGAGCTCAAGTGATCCTCCCACCTCGGCCTCCCAAAGTGCCAGGATTACAGATGCGAGCCACTGTGCCTGGCCCAGAGCCTGGTTTTGAGGGTGTAGCAATGGCCTTCTGGAAGATGCAATAGCTAAGTTTACGGATGTAGGAGCGAGAGTCAGCATGGGCAAAGGCAGGGAGGGCAGAGCATCCGTTCATCCCAGAAATATTTACTGAGCACCCACTATGTGCCAGGCACTGTTCTAGGTACTGGGGTCACTACTGTCCAGGAGACGCGCAGACATCCCCAACCTCATAAAGCTTCTGCTCTAGTAGGAAGACGCATGGCAAACAGAGGAACCTGAAAGTTGTTTAATGAGGAGTTGGGGCCAGGTGTGATGGGGCACACCTGTAATCCCAGCACTTTAGGAGGCTAAGGTGGGAGGATCACTTGTGACCAGGTGTTTGAGGTTGCAGTGAGCTGTGATCACACCACTGCACTCCAACCTGAGCAAGAGAGCGAGACCCCATCTCTAAAAATAAATAAATAATACAAATAAATAAAAGAGGAGATGAAGACACACACATAGGAAAAGACCACGTGAAGATACAGTAAGAAGGTGGCCACCTGCAAGCCAATGAGAGAGGCCTCAAAAGAAACTAATGCTTTGATTTCAGACTTCAAGCCTCTAGGATTGTGAGAAATTAAATTTCTGTTGTTTAAGCCACCCAGCCCAAAGCACTTCATGACAGCAGACCTAGTAAACAAACACACATTTCTGCAGCTTTGGCGCTCTCTCTGTGGCCTGGGGGTAGCAATAGCTCCTCTCAGCTGCAGACCCAAGGATTTTCTGAGACAGAGTCTTGCTCTGTCACCCAGGCTGGAGTGCAGTGACGCAATGTAGGCTCACTGCAGCCTCTGCCTCCCAGGTTCAAGCAATTCTCCTGCCTCAGCCTCCCAAGCAGCTGAATTTACAGGCACCTACTACCACACCCGGCAAATTTTTGTATTTTTAGTAGAGACGGGGTTTTGCCATGTTGGCCAGCTGGCCTCAAACTCCTGACCTCAAGTGATCTGCCTGCCTCGGCCTCCCAAAGTGCTGGGATTACAGGCATGAGCCACTGTGCCCGGCAACCCCAGGGATTTTCAACATCCCTTTGCTCCTTCTATTAACCTTGCCCACATCTCTGAAAACAGTCATTTCATTCCAGAGAATTGTCCTCTGGAATCCCTTTTGAAGGAACTATGCTTTTTCCTGGGACCCTGCCCTATACAGTGATGCCCTATACAGTAGCCTGACCGGGCAGGGCTACTGAGAGATGGACTCTAAGATGGACTCAAGGGTAGGAAACTTCCAAGGGCGTGCATGTGAGTTTGCTCAGGCTGCCTTGACTGAGTATCCCAGGCTGGGCAGCATAAGCAACAAAAATGCATTGTCTCACAGTTCTGGAGGCCGGAAGTCAGAAGTCGAGGTGTCAGCAGGGTTGGTTCCTTCAAGCCTCACTACAGCCTCAACCTCTTGGACTCAAGGGATCCTCTCAGCTCAGCCTCCCGAGTAGCTGGGACTACATGTGCATGCCACCATGTCCCACTAATTTTTAATTTTTTTTTTTTTACAGTTGGGGGGTCTTGCTGTGTGGCCTAGGCTGGTCTTGAACTCCTGCTGTCAAGTGATCCTCCCACCTCAGCCTCCCAAAGTGCTGGGACGACAGGTGTGAGCTACTGCACCCGGACCTAATCTCCTTTTCTTATACAGACATGAGTCATGTTGGATTAGGGCCCATTCCAAAGGCCTCATTTTAATTTAATCACCTCTTAAAAAAACCCCACCTCCAAATACAGTCACATTCATTGTGAGGTACTGGGTGTTAAGAATTAAACATATGGGCTGGGCGTGGTGGCTCACGCCTATAATCCCAACACCGTGGGAGGAGGCCGAGGCGGGTGGATGGCTTGAGCCCAGGCAATTACTTGAGACTAGCCTGGGCAACACGGCAAAACCTCATCTCTACAAAAAATACAAAAATTAGCCAGGTGTGGTGGCTCGCACCACTAATCTCAGCTACTCGGGAGGCTGAGGAGGGAGGATCACCTCAGCCCAGGGAGGTCAAGGCTGCAGTGAGCTGTGATAACGCCACTGCACTCCAGCCTGGGCAACAGAGTGAGACCCTGTCTCAAAAAAGAAAAAAAAAAGGCCAGGCGCGGTGGCTCATGCCTGTAATCCCAGCTCTTAGGGAGGCCGAGGTGGGTGGATCGTGAGGTCAGGAGATCGAGACCATCCTGGCTAACACAGTGAAACCCCGTCTCTACTAAAAATACAAAAAATTAGCCAGGCAAGGTGGCGGGCGCCTGTAGTCCCAGCTACTCGGGAGGCTGAGGCAGGAGAATGGCGTGAACCCGGGAGCTGCAGCTTGCAGTGAGCCAAGACCGCACCACTGCACTCCAGCCTGGGCGACAGAGTGAGACTCCGTCTCAAAAAAAAGAATTAAATACATGAATTTTTGGGGGGTGGAAACACACAATTCAGCCCATAGCTGTGTGTGAGTGGGGTAGGAATGTGGTCAGGGGCTGGGCGGTGGCTCACACTCGTAATCCCAGCACTTTGGGAGGCCGAGGTGGGTGGATCACTTGGCCTCAGGAGTTTGAGACCAGCCTGGGCAACGTAGTGAGACGCTGTGTCTACAAAAAATTAAAAAATAAGCTGGGCATGGTGGTGCATGCCTATAGCCTCAGCACCTCAGGAGGCTGAGGTGGGAGGATTGTTTGAGCTCAGGAGTGAGCTATGATTGTGCCACTGCATTCCAGCCTGGGGAACAGAGCAAGACCCTATCTATTAAAAAAAATAAAAAAAAAAGCCAGGCGCAGTGGCTCACACCTGTAATCCCCCCACTTTGGGAGGCCAAGGTGGGTGGATTACATGAGGTTAGGAGGTCGAGACCAGCCTGGCCAGCATGGTGAAACCCCATCTCTACTAAAAAAAAAAAAATACAAAAAAAATTAGCCAGGAGTGGTGACAAGTGCCTGTAGTCCCAGCTACTTGGGAGGCTGAGGCAGGAGAATCACTTGAATCCGGGGGTGGAGGTTACAGTGAGCCGAGATCGCACCACTGAACTCCAGCCTGGGTGACAAGAGCGAGACTCCATCTCAAAAAAAAAAAAAGGATGTGGCCAAGGAGATCATGAAAGGTGAACTGGCCAGGGCAAAACACAGGCAAAAATCCAACAAATTCCAGGTAAGCATATCCAGGCTGACTCAGCCCATCCCTCTGGGTAAGCCCAAGACTTTCAGATGAATCAATCTCAGAGGCAGAAAACAGCTCCAGCCTAGAGGCAGGCACGTCCTCTGCTTGGAGGGGAGGGGGTAGTGGCGGCCACCTGGGTCACCGGAGACCTTTGTTAGCGAGAATGGGCTGCTTAAAGGGAAATCAATCCTGGCTAAGCACTGAGCAGCTGCTCCCAGTCAAAGCTGCCGGAGAGAGGCCCGTGGCCCCCCAGCTTCTCCAGGGCTGGGAGTGGAGCCAGAGGAGGCTGAAGACTGCTCTGCCAGGTGGCAGGACTCAGAGGGCCTTCAATCAGCCTGCATTGTACCCGCCAGCGCCTGTATCCATCCCCGGCTGAGCACGCACTTCAGTATCACCTCTAGCCATGGCATGCACCAAAGAGCAGCATCCAGCAAGTGATAACATCTTCACCAGTTTAGTCAAGCATTGCCCGTGTGCCAGGCATTTTGCATGCACGATGTGTGCACGGGGGACCTCATCGCACCACCTCCTAGCCATGACCTCAGACAAGTGACTTAAGCCTCATGGTGCGCCAGTTTCCCCATCTGTAAAACGAGGTGAACAGCAGCATCCCCCTCTTAGGGCAGTCACGGAGGTTGAACGAATGCCTGCGCACACAGAGCTTAAAATCACAGTAGTCTTAGCTGGGCATGGTGACTCACACCTATAATCCCAGCACTTTGGGAGGCCGGGGTGAAAGGATGGCTTGAGCCCAGGAGTTCAAGACCAGCCTGGGTAACATAGTGAGACCTCCGTCTCTAACAAAAATACATAGATTAGCCAGGCATGGTGGTGCGCACCTGTAGTCCCAGCTACTTGGGAGGCTGAAAGAGGAGGATCACCTGAGCCCAGGGAGGTTGAGGCTGCAATGAGCTGTGATCATGCCACTGCACTCCAGCCTGGGTGACAGAGTGAGACCCTGTCTCAAAAATTAAAAAAAAAAAAAAAAAAAGCCCAGGCACAGTGGCTCAGGACTGTAATCCCAGCACTTTGGGAGGCTGAGGCAGGCGGATCACAAGGTCAGGAGTTCGAAACCAGCCTGGCCAACATGGTGAAATCCCATCTCTACCAAAAATATATAAAATTAGCCGGGTGTGGTGGCAGGTGCCTGTAGTCCCAGCTACTCGGGAGGCTGATGCAGGAGAATCGCTTGAACCTGGGAGGTGGAGGTTGCACTGAGCCGAGATTGTGCCAGTGCACTCCAGCCCCAGGTCTATGGGACTGTAGAGATGCTGGTGTTTCTACAGCTAGGACTCGCCAGTTCTAGGCATTCTTCAGAGCTCACAGCAAACACCACCACCTCCAGGAAGCCTTCTCCATCATCTAAGATAGGTCTGTGTTCCTTCCTGTGCACATCTCCACAGCTCCCTGCCCCTTCCCTCCACAAAGTTCTTATATTTTATTCTTTTCCTTGCATGGTGGGTGTCTGCATGCCCCATTAGGATGTGAGCTCCAAAAGGGCAGGGCTGAGTCTGTCTTCTTCCATGCTATGGTCCCAACACCAGCAGATGCTGGAGACAATGGACAGGCATCAAGATATGAATGAATGAATGAATGCTTCCTGTACACTCCAAGTTTTCCATGTGACCCCTTCCTCCCCGACTCCCCAACACCCTCTGTCTGCTCTCTTCCTCCTTCCTCTCCCATCACAGGGTGGATACAGGGGCTCTGGGTTTTGAAGCGGTCATGGAGTCAAAGGTAGTTGAGTGTAGCTGTGAAGCACATGGACCCTGGAGGCCGACAACTTGAACTTCAAAACCCGGCTTCTCTTTCTAGCTGTGTGACCATGGGAAAGTGACTTAACCTCTCTGTGCCTCACTTTCCCCACCTGCAAAATGGGAGTGATAGTAGTGCCTTACTGTTGAGTGAGTGATTCTGACCCATTCCCAGACTGCAATTCCCAGACTGGGAGGCAGAGGGCTGAGTCTCCGGCAGTTAATGAATCCGGAAAAAATCTCAGCTGTGTCAGAGGAGCCCCAGTGCCAAGTTGGCCTGGTTTTCATCCCAAGAGAGCTGAGAACATGGTCTGGTGTCAGACATCCACGCTGTGATTGGCACAAATGCCTGGTGCTCCTATGACCCCCCTCGTTAGGGCTGGGGGAGTGTGGGAGATGCTCCTGGGGCTCTGCCCAGAGCTGCTGACTGCCTAGATGTACCCACCCTGCAGCTGCTGAGCACGGCGGCTCATTGCTAGCAGCTGTGATCTTCTCTGGACCTGCCCATGGCTTTTGGGAGCCACCACACCTTGGAGATGCTTGGGAGGTGTCACCTACTCCCAGGGGCAGCTAATGACTGATGCAGGGGTAAAAAGCCCACTCCTCTTCTCATGGTGAGATAACTCCACAGTGTCCCCCCACCCTTGTGGAGCAAGCCAAACCGGGACTTTACCTAGGATCTCATCTTTGCTCAATCTATTCTCTTCCAGGTCCTGCTCCCCTCACCCCTGCCCTGACTTTCAATTATGTGCTCCACAGTCAGGCACGGTGGCTCATGCCTGTAATCCCAGTACTTTGGGAGGCCGAGGCAGGAGGATCATTGAGCCCAGGAGTTTAAGACCAGGCTAGGCAACACAGCAAGACCCTGTCTCTACAAAAGATTAAAAAATTAACCAGGTGTGGTGGCGCACACCTGTAGTCCCAGCTACATGGGAGGCTGAGGTGGGAGGATTGCTAGAGCCCAGAAGGTTGAGGCTGCAGTGAGCCATGATTGCACCCCTGCACTCCAGCCTGGGCAACGGAGCAAGACCCTGTCTCAAAAAAGAAAAAAAAAAAGTGCTGGAAACTTACGTCTCTAGTTCTGCTTCTCAGGAACCCAACCTAAGATGGGGGAAATGATGAACATTCAACCTAAGAGGGTTTTTGTTTTTGTTTTTGTTTTTTGAGACAGAGTTTCGCTCTTGTTGCCCAGGCTGGAGTACAATGGAGTGATCTTGGCTCACTGCAACCTCTGCCTTCCAGGTTCAAGTGATTCTCCTGCCCCATCCTCCCGAGTAGCTGGGATTACAGGCACACACCACCATGCCCAGCTAATTTTTTGTATTTTTAGTAGAAATGGGGTTTCACCATGTTGGCCAGGCTGGTCTCGAACTCCTGACCTCAGGTGATCTGCCCACCTTGGCCTCCCAACATGTTGGTATTACCGCACTGGGCCCTAAGAGGGTATTTATGTCAGTGTCCCTTCAGGTTCACATTCACACCCTGGCACCGAGTTCTGTCATTTCCACCTAAATAGGCAATCCATCCTGCACAACCCCGAAAGCAGCCCTCACTTCGAAATGCATCCTCGATTCTGCCCAGTCTGCCTCGTCCACATGTGCAGCCCCTGTCATGCTCCAGGACCATCCCTGATGCATTTTTCCGCACCTTACATTCATCTCGTTTCTTTTTCTTTCTTTCTTTTTTTTAAATCTCAGCTCACTGCAACCTCTGCCTCCTGGGTCCAAGCGACTCTCCTGCCTCAGCCTCCCAAGTAGCTGGGATTACAGGCATGTGCCACCACGCCTGGCTAATTTTGTATTTTTAGTGGAGACAAGGTTTCACCATGTTGGCCAGGCTGGTCTCAAACTCCTGACCTCAGGTGATCTGCCTGCCTCGGCCTCCCAGTGTTGGGATTACAGGTGTGAGCCACCGTGCCTGGCCTCATATTATTTCTTGTCTGTCGCTCTCATATGTACACTCCCCAAAGGGCAGGAATTTTTATCACTTTGTTCATTGCTGTGTCCTCAAAACAGAACAGTGCCTGGCACGCAGCAGGTGTTCAATAAACATCTCTGGCATTCAAGAATAAATCGTTTAAGTACATTCACTTGCAAACAGAATCCACCCAATTTTTCTTTTTCTTTCATTTTTTTTTTAGATGGAGTCTCGCTCTTGTTGCCCAGGCTGGAGTGCAGTGGTGTGATCTTGGCTTACAGCAACCTCCACCTCCCGGGTTAAAGCGATTCTCCTGCCTCAGCCTCCCGAGTAGCTGGGATTACAGGCACACACCACCACCCCCAGCTAATTTTTGTATTTTTAGTAGAGATGAGGTTTCTCCATGTTGGCCAGGCTGGTCTCAAACTCCTAACCTCAAGTGATCCACTTGCCTCGGCCTCCCAAAGTGTTGGGATTACAGGCATGAACCACCGCACCGCCCACCCTCTCTTTCTCTTATACCAATGCATCAGCCTTACCTTTAGAATCTACCCATTGCTCTACCCTCTTGATGGCCATCTCCATGGTCAAGCCCCTGGCATTGCTCACCTGAACCAGCAGAGTTCATCCCTTCCATGGTCTCCCAGTTCCCCCTACTTGCCCCCACAGTCTGCTTCCCCCACAGCAGCCAGAGAGCACCTGTGAACACATGAATCACACTGAGTCTCTCCCGTGCTGAGAACCCTCCATGGCTCCCATCTCCCCTGAGTTAAAAGCCCAAATCCTCAGCCAAGCGTGATTACACCTGTAATCCCAGTATTTTGAGGCCAGAGGATCACTTGAGCCCAGGAGTTTGAGACCAGCCTAGGCAACATAGTGAGACCCCATCTCTACAAAAAATTAAAAAATAAGCCGGAAGTGGTGGCATGTGTCTGTAGTCCCTTCTACACAGGAGGCTGAAGTGGGAGGATCGCTTGAGCCTGGGAGGTCGAGGCTGTGGTGAGCCATGATCTCTCCTTGTCTCAAAGTAGAGTTCTCCCCAAGGCACGTAACTCCTTCACAATCTGTCCCATCACCTCCCTGCCCTCACTTCCTTCCACTCTCCCTCTCACTCACTCTGTTCCAGCCACACTGTTCCTGCAAAACCCCAAACATATTTCTTCTATATCACCTCTTTGCACTGGCTATCCCCTCTGCCTGAAATGTCCTTCCACCTCCTTCAGACCCTTACTGAAATGTCATTGTCTCAAAAGACCCTCCCTGCTGGCCTGGCGCAGTGGCTCATGTCTGTAATCCCAGCACTTTGGGAGGCTGAGGTGGGTGGATCATTTGAGGTCGGGAGTTCGAGACCAGCCTGGCTAACATGGTGAAACCCCCGTCTCTACTAAAAATACAAAAATTAGCCGGGTGTGGTGGTGCGTGCCTGTAATCCCAGCTACTCGGGAGGCTGAGGCAGGAGAATCGCTTGAGCCTGGGGGGCGGAGGTTGCGGTGAGCTGAGATCATGCGACTACACTCCAGTCTGGGCGACAGTGAGACCTTACCTCAAAAAAAAAAAACAAAAAACAAACCTTCCCTGATCTCCCCTGGCCAGAACTACAAGTGCCCCAGCACCCCCCATCCACTTCCCTACTCCATCTGCTTCCGCCACATCATTTATGCATTAATTTTGCAAATTATCTTTCTTCCCCTCCAGAACGTCAGGCAGGAGTTTTTACCTGTTTTTGTTCACTGCTGTGTTGCCAGCACTTAAAATAGATCATCTTGCACACAACAGGCACCTGGTATCCATTTGTTATTTTTAAAATTCTGCCGGGCACGGTGGCTCACGCCTGTAATCCCAGCACTTTGGGAGGCCGAGGCGGGCGGATCACAAGGTCAGGAGATCGAGACCATCCTGGCTAACACGGTGAAACCCCGTCTCTACTAAAAATGTAAAAAATTAGCCGGGCATGGTGGCGGGTGCCTGTAGTCCCAGCTACTTGGGAGGCTGAGGCAGGAGAATGGCTTGAAGCCGGGAGGCAGAGGTTGCAGTGAGCCAAGATTGCGCCACTGCACTCTAGCCTGGGTGACAGAGCGAGACTCCGTCTCAAAAAAAAAAAAACAATTCTGCACAACAACCATATGAGGTAGGAACTCTCGGTGTGCCCCTTATGTGGGTGAGGAAACTGAGGCCTGGAGAGGGGAGGGGGTGTGCTTGGGTCATGGGTTAGGGAGTGAGCTGTGGCCATGTGTCTCTCCATGGTGTGTATGTGTGCAACTGTGTGTTTTTTGTATTTTGTTTTTTGTTTTTGAGATAGGCTCTTGCTCTGTTGCCCAGGCTGGAGTGCAGTGGCGCGATCACAGCACACACAGTGTCAATCTCCCAGGCTCAAGCAATCCTCCCACCTCAGCCTCCCAAGTAGCTGGGACTACAGGTGCATGCCACCATGCCTAGTAAATGTTTGTCTTCTTTTGTAGAGATAGGGTCTCACTATGTTGCCCAGGCTGGTCTCAAACTCCTGGGCTCAAGCAATCCTCCTGCCTCAGCCTCTCAAAGTATTGGGATTACAGACATAAGCCACCACACCCAGCCCAACTGTGTGTTTTGTGCAGATGCAGTGTGAGTGGCTGCATCAGCCCGAATGTGGACAGAGGAGGATGCATTCAGGCTCACTTTGCATCGGGGTGTCTGTGAGTGGAAGGGAGGCAGTGGGCCAGACCCAGGCAGGTGTGAACACGTGTCTGTGTGTTCGGCTGGGTATGAATGCGTGTGTGTGCGCCAATGCACTGGCGGATGGGAAATTGTGCATCCACAGTGAAGCTGTGTGTATGTGTGTGAAGGGGAGGCTCTGTGAGCTTTGGATGGGGCTGGAGCTGCAGTTGAAGCAATGTTGTGGGTGAGGGAAGAACCCCACCAGCCACAGGCCTGTTATTTATAGACGAATCCTGGTTCATAAATTCCAATTTTTTTTTTTTTATATCTGCCTCACTGCCAGGCCCCTATAAATATTCATGAGTTTCCTGCCTTGGAATATTTGAGTAGTCAGAAGGAGGAGCCGGGAGGAGAGGGGACAACGAAGGGTCCCCAGTGGCGCTGGGAGCTCACACGGGTCGGGAGGACAGGGGTCTCTCTGGTTTTGCCTTCTCTTCCCTCTGGGCTCCCCTCTTCCAAGCTGCAGCTGGCAAGACGGGGAAGGCGCTGGGCTGGTGGAGACATCTACCAGCACCTATTATTCTTCTTCCCCAGTGTCTGTGGAAAAATACCACCCACTCCGGGGGCAGAGAAGGTGTCTGCACTGTTTTCTCAGCTCCAGCTCTAGCTGCAGCTCAGAAACTCATTACCCCTGGGACCCCCAGCTCAACAGAGACAGGGAGATCCCCCTGATGTATCTGAAGCTAAGGGAAGACTCTGGGGGGAGGGGGCGGGCACTGTGGCCTCCTGCCCTGCCTCAAGGAAGGAAACAGGTCATGAGAATGGGTGCCCGTGAGAAGGAATAAAGTGCGTGCATGTGGACGTGTCTACAGGAGTGAGTAACTGTTGGAACATGTAAGAGACTGCAGTAGTCAACAGAACTGTTGACACATTTTCTAGTTCTTTTCTCTTAGGCACATGATGGGGCTGTAGGACTTCCCCAGTGTGGCCACGTGACTTCCTTTAGCCAATGCCTTTTAAACGGCAGTGACTTCCAGGTGAATACTTTAAGAGCCGGTGTGGACCAGGTGTGGTGGCTCACACCTGTAATCCCAGCACTTTGGGAGGCCAAGGCAGGAGAACTGCTTGAGGCCAGGAGTTTGAGAACAGCCTGGGCAACATAGCAAGACCCCTATTCTACAAAATATTTTAAAAATTTATCGGGCATGGAGGTGCACACTTATATTCCCAGCTACTCAGGAGGCTGAGGCAGGAGGATTGTTTAAGCCCAGGAGTTGGAGGCTGCAGTGAGCTGTGATCACACCACTGCACTCCAGCCTGGGCACAGAGCAAAACCCTGTCTCTGAAACAACGAAGAAAAAAAGAGGCAAGCCAGTGTGCAGTGCCACAGTCTTCCCTCAGCAACCGCAGAAGGGCATGTTGGGCTGGGTGCAGTGGCTCACACTTGTAATCCCAGCACTTTGGTAGGCTGAGGCACGCAGATCACCTGAGGTCAGGAGTTCAAGACCAGCCTGGTCAACATGGTGAAACCCAGTCTCTACTAAAAATACAAAAATTAGCCAGGCCTGGTGGTGGGTGCCTGTAATCCCAGCTACTTAGGAGGCTGAGGCAGGAGAATCACTTGAACCTGGAGGCAGAGGTTGCAGTGAGCCGAGATCGTGCCACTGCACTACAGCCTGGGCAACAGAGCGAGACTCCATCTCGGAAAAAAAAAAAAAAAAAGTGCATGCTGGGGCCAGGCACAGTGGCTCACATCTGTAATCCCAGCACTTTGGGAGGCCGAGGTAGGTGAATCACTTGAGGTCAGGAGTTCGAGACCAGCCTGGCCAACATGGTGAAATCCTGTCTCTACTAAAAATATAAAAATTAGCCAGGTGTGCTGGCACGTGCCTGTAGTCCCAGCTACTTGGGAGGCTGAGGCAGGAGAATTGCTTGAACCGGGAGGCAGAGGTGAGCTGAGATGGCACCACTGCACTCCAGCCTGGCAACAGAGCAAGACTCCATCTCAAAAAAAAAAAAAAAAGTGCATGTTGGTATGAAGCCTCCATCACTGGGGTCCCTGAGTGGCCAGACTAGGCAGAGACCCTGCCAACCCTCATGTATCATGAGCAAAAGCTCATTTGGTTGTACTAACCCTCTGAGACTTGGGGGCTGTTTTGTTATACAGCAAAACCTAGCCTATGCTGACTGGCACAGAGCCAGTGAGTGTGTGAGACTGAGGTGTGGCACGTCTGTGTCTACATGATCAAGAACACACATGAGCAGGTAGCTATATATAGGTTTATGTGTGTGAGCATCAGCAAGTGTATAAAACTATGCATATGAATGTATAAAACAGGATGGTGTCAGATGATAGATAAGTGAGAAAACTCCAGGGACACTGTTCTCCGAGAACACCATGACCCTGGAGTCGGGCACTATTGCAGATGTGAAACTGGCATAGTGAGGAGGGCTATGTCTGAGTGTGCCAGTTGGCTGTGTTTGTAAGACTGTGATGTGGTCTGTACGTGTGTGTGCCAGGGTTTGGGGTGTCAATGTGCATGTCTGTGCCACGTGTTGCTGTGTATCTGAGGCACGTGCATGGGTTGGTGTGACTGTGTGTGTGCATGTGTGTATCTGCTGCTGTGTGGATATGTGATACCCTGGGTGTGACAGCCTATATGGAGTGGGGGCATCACTCAAGTCTGTATCAGAGTACATACAGCCAACACCACAGGGAGGGACAGCCACCCTGGGCATCCCTAGTGCTGTTGGCTCATGGGCCTGACCTGGCTCAACCTTGGATCCTAGGATGACCTGGCATTGGGAAATAAAATTCTGGCTGTGTGCGGTGCCTCACGCCTGTAATCCCAGCACTTTGGGAGGCCAAGGTGGGTGGATCACTTGAGGCCAGGAGTTCGAGACCAGCCTGGCCAACATGGCAAAACCCTGTCTCTACTAAAAATACGAAAATTAGCTAGGCTTGGTGGCGGGTGCCTGTAGTTCCAGCTACTCAGGAGGCTGAGGTGGGAGAATCACTTGAGCCCAGGAGGCAGATGACGCCACTGCACTCCAGCCTGGGTGACAGAGCAAGACTCTGTGTCAAATCAAATCAAATAAAAATAAAATTCTCATCCCCTCATGAGTCCTGGGACATTCCAAGTCATCTGCAATGGCCATTCATCCCAGAGGCACTCGACAGTTTGGGTGACGCGGCTCAACAAGTAGGGAGAGCAAACCTGTTCTCCCACAACTTCTCTAAGATAAGCCCATTTTCTGGTTCTCTCCTCACAAGGTTCTGGTCTGATCTGTCTCAGGATGTGGGTTCAGCCCTGGTCCATCTCAGGATTCAAGTTAAACTCTGGTCTATCTCAGTACTTGGGTTTGGCCTTGTCTATCTCAAGTCCACAGCGTAGCCCTGATCTACCCAGGACTCGGATTTGGTCCTGGCCCTCTTCATCTCTTAGAACCAGGTTTCTCTTTGGTCTCTCCCAGTTAAGCCTTTGTCTGTCCAAGGCTTGGGCTTGACTCTAGTCTGTCATAGAGTCAAACCACAAGGCATCTTTTATTTTTTTTCTTTTTCTTTTTTTTTTTGAGACAGAGTCTCGCTCTGTTGCCCAGGCTGGAGTGCAATGGCACAATTTCAGCTCACTGCAGCCTCCACCTCCCAGGTTCAAGTGATTCTCCCGCCTCAGCCTCCCAAGTAGCTGGGATTACAGGCGCCTACCACCATGCCCAGCTAATTTTTGTATTTTTAGTAGAGACTGGGTTTCACCATGTTAGCCAGGGTGGTCTCGAACTCCCAACCTCAGGTGATCCACCCGCCTCCACCTCCCAAAGTGCTGGGATTACAGGCGTGAGCCACCGCACCCGGCCAATCATGGAGCATCTTAACACCTTGGGGATGTATCTGTGTTCTGTTCCAGGACTTGAGTGAACCCCCCGTCTTGGAACCTGAGCTGAGCCTGGTCTATCTCAGTACCTGGGTACACCCTGCCCTAGTAGAACGTTCACAATCAGGTGAGGATTTCATGGCAGAAATTTCCCCTTCCTGGGCACCTTCTCACGTGTGGAGCACTTCTCTTAAAGTGTTTGGGGCCTCTTGGGTGAACGTCTACTGCAAATGATTGCTGTGTCTCAGGATTAATGAGGGTAAGGGGATTTCATTTCTCCAACGCCATCATGTAAAATTCATTAAAGCAGAGTTCGCAGGTCTATTTCAAGGATTATTACCAGGGTTTCTTGATGAGCTATTACACACAGCATAAATCTTCAAGAGGTTTCAAGACGTTACAAGAACCATCCTGAGTCTCACCTCATAGATACTAGAGTTGAACATCCCTCTATCTGAGCTCTCCCCAGCCTCAGACACCAAACCTCAGGTCAGGAGTTCAGGAGAGAGCATTCAAGAGGGTTTTCTTGGTCGGGCATGGTGGCTCACTCCTGTAATCCCAGCAACTTTGGGAGGCCAAGGCGGATGGATCACTTGAGGCCAGGAGTTCGAGACCAGCCTGGCCAACATGGTGAAACCCCATATCTACTAAAAATACAAAAATTAGCCGGCCGTGGTGGCGCACGCCTGTAATCCCAGCTACTCAGGAGGCTGAGGCAGGAGAACCACTTGAACCCGGGAAGGGGAGGTTGCAGTGAGCAGAGATCATGGTAACATGTGCTAAACAGGAAGGGTCAAAACCTGCTGTCACCTGAGCCCAGGTAAGTCACGGCTGCAGTGAAACCGGGATGGTGTCACTGCACTCCAGCCTGGGCAACAGAGTGAGACTCTCTCTCAATAATAATAATAATAATAATAATAATAATAATAATAAATAAATAAAATAAAGCCAGGTGCAGTGGCTCACGCCTGTAATCCCAGCACTTTGGGAGGCTGAGGCGGGCAGATCACCTGAAGTCAGGAGTTCGAGACCACCCTGACCAACACGGAGAAACCCCGTCTCTACTAAAAATACAAAATTAGCCAGGTGTGGTGGTGCCTGCTTGTAATCCCAGCTACTCGGGAGGCTGAGCCACGAGAATGGCTTGAACCCAGGAGGCAGAGGTTGCAGTGAGCCGAGATTGCACCATTGCACTCCAGCCTGGGCAACAAGAGCAAAACTCCGTCTCAAAAGAATAAAAAATTAAAAAAATACATAAATAAAATAACTTCCCACTCCTCGGTTGAGAACCACAGCTCTAGACTTAGCCTTGCATTTTCTCTTTATCTTTCTCTAAGGAGTCTGACCCTTACCAAAGCGTCCATCAACACCTGCCTGTATATATGTCCTCAGAGCTCCAATGCATATATTCATCATCTGACTCCTTGACCGCTCCCCCTGCCCCAGATATCTCTAAGGCATCTCAAGCCCAACATGCTCAAACTGAAGTGCACAGCCTTCCCTCCCTAACCTAGTTCTTATCCAACATTCCTTATGTCACCATCTCCATCCTCCCCACCCCCGGGCCAGTGGGTCAGACACCCGGGCATTATCCTCACCCTCATTTTACTCCCTCACCAAATCCTACTGATGTTAACTCCTAGATAGCTTTAGAATTCATGCATCATTCTTCATCTCTATCACCATGCAATGGTCCAAGCCACTTTCACAATTCAGCAAGTCTAGGCTGTGTGCAGTGGCTTATGCCTGTTATCCCAGCACTTTGGGAGGCCGAGGTGGGAGGACTGCTTGATCCTAGGAGTTTGAGACCAGCCTGGGCAACATACTAGGACCCTAACTGTACCAAAAAAAAAATTTTTTTTTAATTAGCGGGGTGTGGTGGCACACGCCTGTAGTCCCAGCTACTCGGGAAGCTGAGGTGGGGGATCACTTGAGCCTGAGAAGTCAAGGCTTCAGTGAGCCGTGATCACACCACTACACTCCAGCCTGGGTGACAGAGTGAGACCCTGTCTCAAATAAATAAATAAATAAATAAATGTAAAATATGACAAAACATTTAAATAAAAATAAAGTCTATTCGGTCTACCTCAATCTACCTTTTTTCTTGCTAGTAACTCTACACATGGGAGCTTCTGGGAAACTTTATTTATTTTTATTATTTATTTATATTTTTAGACCGAGTCTCGCTCTGTCGTCCAGGCTGGAGTGCAGTGGTGCCATCTCAGCTCACTGCAACCTCCACCTCCAGGGTTCAAGTGATTCTCCTGCCCCAGCCTACTGAGTAGCTGGGATTACAGGCCCACGCCACCACACCTGGCTAATTTTTGTATTTTTAGTAGAGACAGGGTTTCACCATGTTGGCCAGGCTGGTCTCAAACTCCTGACCTCAAGTGATTCACCCGCCTTGGCCTCTGAAAGCTGGGAAACTTTACAACGCACGTGTGATCATATTATCCTCCCGGCCAAAACCATATTGGTGGATTCCTTTTATTCTTAGGATAGAGATAAAACTCCTTAATGTCGCCACAAGAGCCTGTGGCTCTGCACTTTACTTACTTCTCTGCTTTCATCTGGTCTCCTCGTTCCCAGGCCTTCTTTACTTTATTTTAATTTTTTTTTTTTTTTTTTTTTTTGAGACGGAGTCTTGCTCTGTTGCCCAGGCTGGATGGAGTGCAGTGGCGCGATCTTGGCTCACTGCAAGCTCCGCGTCCCGGGTTCATGCCATTCTCCTGCCTCAGCCTCCCGAGTAGCTGGGACTACAGGCGCCCGCCACCACGCCCGACTAATTTTTGTATTTTTAGTAGAGACAGGGTTTCACTGTGTTAGCCAGGATGGTCTCAATCTCCTCACCTTGTGATCCGCCCGCCTCAGCCTCCCAAAGTGCTGGGATTACAGGCGTGAGCCACAGCGCCCAGCCTATTTTAATTTTTTTTAGAGACAGAGTCTTGCTCTGTTACCCAGGCTGGAGTGCAGTGGCACAAGTGTAGCTTACTGCAGCCTGGAACTCCTGGCTCAAGCCATCCTCCCACCCCGGCCTCCGAAAGTGCTGGGATTATAGGTGTGAGCCACCACCTCACCTGGCCTTGCAAGGCCTTCTTTAGTCCATCATATTTTCCATCCTTCCTCTTACCCCAGGGCCTTTGCATAAGCAATTCCCTCTGCGCAGAGCATCCTTTCCTCTCTGCATCAGATCTCAGCTCTTGCTTCCTCTGACTTCCAAATTACATCAAATCTCCTTATTAGAAGCTACTAGAGCACCAAGAATCTTTCCCTCAAAGCTGTTAATCACAGCTGCCAATTATATTTATTTGCAACTACATAATCATCACCTACCTCCCTGTTTTGCAGAAAGCGCCACACATCCATGTCTGTTTGGTTGAATATAATTTCTCCCTTAAAAGCATATAAGAAGTCCTCAAAAACACTTGTTGAGGGTGCAGTGGCTCACACCTATAATCCTAGCAGTTTGAAAGGCTGAGACGGGTGGATCGCTTGAGCCCAGGAGTTCAAGACCAGCCCGGGCAACATAGCGAGACCCTGTCTCTACAAAAAATTAGAGGATGTGGGCCAGATGTGGTGGCTCACACCTGTAATCCCAGCACTTTGGGAGGCCAAGGTGGGCAGATCACCTGAGGTCAGGAGTTCAAGACCAGCCTGGCCAAAATGGTGAAACCCCATCTCTACTAAAAATACAAAAATTAGGCAGGCATGGTGGTGCATGCCTGTAATCCCAGCTACTTGGGAGGCTGAGGCAGGAGAATCACTTGAACCCAGAGGTGGAGGTTGCAGTGAGCCAAGATCCCACCACTACACTCTAGCCTGGGCAACAGAGTGAGACTTCGTCTCAAAAAAAAAAAAAAAAAAAAATTAGAAGGCATGGTGGTGTGAGCCTGTAGTCCCAGCTACTCAGGAGGCTGAGGTGGGAGGATTGCCTGAGCCTAGGGAGGTTGAGGCTGCCGTGAGCTGGGATCGCGCCACTGCACTCCAGCCTGGACGACAGAATGAGACTCTGTCTCAAAAATAAAATAAAATAAAAACAAAATACTTGTTGAATAAATAAATACACGAATGGATAAATGGCTCCGCTGTTTTCAGGATCTAGTCTGAGTGACTTGGCCTGGCATTTGAGGCTCTCCATGACCTCAGGGGCTGAGCTCCCTCCCGGTCTCAGTAAAGGTCAGAGCAAAAACCCAAGGGCATGAGATGCCAGGTGGGGAATAATAATTCAGCAGAAGCAAGAAGTCAGAAGCACAGTGACCAAGACAATTCAGGCTCCTCCACAGAGTCACAAAAATCTTGGGGGACACACTGGCTTTCTTCCCATGGAGCATGGAAGGGGGTTCGGATCATTGTTACTTCCTGGCTATTAACATGCAGAGTGACCTGTCTGATGTCTGTTCTGCCTTGATTCTCCTTGTCTTTTATTTTATTTTTACTTTTAGACAGGGTCTCGCTCTGTCACCCAGGCTGGAGCACAGTGGCGTGATCATAGCTCACTGCAACCTCGACCTCCTGGGCTCAAGCAATCCTCCCACACCTCAGCCTTCCAAGTAGCTGGGACTATAGATGCATGCTACTGTGCCCAGCTAATTTTTTTTTTTTTTTTTGAGACAGACACGGGATTTCACCATGTTGGTCAGGGTGGTCTCGAACTCCTGACCTCAGGTGATACACCCACCTCGGCCTCCCAAAGTGCTGGGATTACAGGCATGAGCCATAGCGCCTGGCCCCAGCTAATTTTTTTAAAAAAATTTTTTGTGCTGGGAGTGTTGGCTCATGCCTGTAATCTCAGTACTTTGGGAGGCCAAGGCAGGCAGATCACCTGAGGTCAGGAGTTCGAGACCAGCCTGGCCAACATGATGAAACCTCTTCTCTACTAAAAATGCAAATATTAGCTGGGTGTGGTGGCGGGCGCCTGTAATCCCAGCTACTTAGGAGGCTGAGGCAGGAGAATTGCTTGAACCCGGGAGGTGGAGGTTGCAGTGAACAGAGATTGTGCCATTGCACTCCAGCCTGAGCAACAATGAGACTCCGTCTCAAAAAAAAAAAAAATTTTTTTGTGTGTGGAGACTGGGTCTTGCTATGTTGCCCAGGGTGGTCTCAAATTCCTGGGCTCATGCGATCCTCCTGCCTCAACCTCCCAAAGTTCTGGAATTACAGGCATGAGCCACTGTGCTTGGCCCCCTCCTTATCTTTAAGAAATTCTCCCTGGGCCTTATAAGTCTCTCCAGCCACCACGCCATTTCTGTGTTCCTCTCTTCCCCCAATTCATCACATCTGATCCATCAGCAAGTGCTGACGGCTCTGCTTCTGAGATGTACCAGTCTGCCCACTGCTCACCATTCCAGCTACCACTGTTCTGGTTCAGATAACACCGGGCTTGCTCGGTCCTTCTGATTCTACTCTCACTTCCGGGAATCCATTACCCAACCCAGCAGCTAGAGAGATCTTTAAATAATGTGAATCAGATCAAGTCCCTCCACCCCACGGCAAATCGTCCAGCAGCTTCTCACTGCGTTTGGAATAAAAGCCAACAACTTTGGGAGGCCGAGGTAGGTGGATCACTTGAGGTCAGGAGTTCGAGACCAGCCCAGCCAACATGGCAAAACCCCATCTCTACTAAAAATACAAAAATTAGACAGGCGTGGTGGCAGCCACCTGTAATCCCAGCTACTTGGGAGGCTGAGGCAGGAGAATCACTTGAACCCGGGAGGTGGAGGCTGCAGCGAGCCAAGTTTGCACCACTGCACTCCAGCCTGGGCAACAGAATGAGATTCCATCTCAATTAAAAAAAAAAAAAGAATAAAAGCCAACAGTTCACTGTGGCCAGAAGCCTCGAATGCAGTGTTCCCTGCCAACCTCTACAACTCCATTCTCTCTCCCTCTCCAGCCTTCTCTTTCCAGAGTGCACTATGCTTGTTTCAACCTCAGGGCCTCTGCACATGCAGCTCCCTCTCTCATGATGCCCGTCTCCCTGGCTCCTTCTCAATCAGCTCCCCAAAGAGCTTACCCCAGTGACCCAACATAATGGGGCTCACCCACTCATACTCTCTCCCATCTACTTGTTTTGTTCTTCTCTTTTCTTTTTTGAGACAGAGTCTTGCTCTGTCACCCAGACTGGAGTACAGTGGTGTAACCATGGCTCACTGCAGCCTCGACCTCTGGGCCCCAGTGATCCTCCCATTTCAGCCTCCCAAGTAGCTGGGACTACAGGTGCACGCCACCATGCCTGGCCAATTTCTGTATTTTTTTTTAGAGATAGGGTTTCACTATGTTGCCCAGTCTGGTCTTGAACTCCTGGGACCAAGCAATCCTCCCACCTCAGCCTCCCAAAGTGCTGGGATTACATATATATGTGAGCCACCACACCCGCCCCACCCCCGCCGGATACTGTTTAGCCCTCTGTACTGCGCTTATGGCCAGATGATAATTTCTTGTTTATTTGTTTGTTATTGATCTCCTCCCACCACAATGTCAGTTCCACAAGAGCAAGTGCCTTGTCTCACGTGTCCCCCTGGCACATAGTAGGTGCATAATAAATATCTGTTGACCGAATTGACAAATGAGCGAATCATGGCTTTCTAGGTCCCTGGAGCCCCAGCTATTGGGTTTTGTGAGATCCCCTGCATTCCTTACATAAAGCTCCTACTTCCCTGGGCCGGTTAGGAGGCTTTCAATTCCAAACAGACTCTCTGACTCCCACCCACCCCATGGCCAACAGGAGGCAAATGAAAATGAAGAGAGGTGTCAGGGAAGAGCTAACTGCCGAGAGAGGAAACCTGGGAAGGGGAGGAGAGGGATGACTTGAAAAGATGGACCTTCTCCAGCTGGAGCAGGGAAGGAGAGAAACTGACGGAGCTGCATCAGTGGATGATGGAGGCACACCACGGTGGACACAAGCACACGCAGGAGGTGTGAGAAAAGGCTGGAAAATGAGACAGAAAAGGGCCGGGATCTCTCTGCACCACACTGGTGGAGAATATTCATGATAGTAATCATGATTCGACTCAATAAAAACCACGGTCTCTACCACGCACTGCACCCTTCCTTGTGCCGGGCACCTTTCTTTGCATTGCCCCCCATACTTAGCTCTGATGGGGGAAAGGTGTGAAACGTGATGGGGGTGGGGAGAGAAATCCCAGCTAAAAAAGGCTGGTGAAGCGCTTCGGGTGGCTGAGGCAGGAGGGTCGCTTGAACCTAGGAGTTTGAGACCCGCTCGGACAACATTGTAAAACCCTGTCTCTACAAAAAAATTAAAGATTAGCTGAGCATGGTGATGCATGCCTGTAGTCCCAACTACTCAGCAGGCTGAGTTGGGAGGATGACTTGAGCCCAGGAGGTTGAGGCTGCAGTGAGCTATGATTGCAGCACTGCACTCCAGCCTGAGTGACAGAGCAAGACCTTGTTTCAAGAGAGGAGAGGGGAGGGAAGGGGAGGGAAAGGGAAAGGGAAGGGGAGGGAAGGGGAAGGAAGGAAGGAAGGAAGGAAGGAAGGAAGGAAGGAAGGAAGGGAGGGAGGGGGGAGGGAGGGAAGGAGGAAGGGAGGGAAGGAAGCGGGGAGGGAGGGAAGGGAGGGAGGGAGGGAAGGGAGGGAAAGAAAGAGAGTGAGGAAGGAAGGAAGGAAAAAGGAAGGAAGGAAAGAAAGAAAAAGGAAGGAAAGAAAGAAGGAAAGAAAAAGAAAGAAAGGAAGGAAGGAAAAGAAAGAAGGAAAGAAGGAAAGAGGACGGAAAGAAAGAAAGGAGAAAAAAAAAAAAGGAAGGAAAGAAGAAAGAAAGGGAGGGAGGGAGGGAAGGAAGGAAGCTGGATACAGTGGCCTGTGCCTGTAATTCCAACTACTTGGGAGGCTGAGGAATTAGACTTGCTTGAGCCTGGAAGGCAGAGGTTGCAGTGAGCTGAGATCGCGTCACTGCACTCCAGCCTGGGCGACAGAGTGAGACTCTGTCTCAAAAACAAACAAACAAACAAACAAACAAACAAAAAACATAATGAAAGAAAGGTTGGTGTGGTGAGCAGGGCTGTGCTCAGGGCTCTGTATTCCTGGCTCACTATCCAGGATGGCCGAGAACTCAGACACCCACCTGACTCTGAACTTCCCTCTGTACTCCTTTGAAAAGAGCCTGAGGGCACTTTTGAGGCCACCTTTGTTGGCTTTGAGATCTCGCTTTGCCAGGAGTTCAGAGAATTTCTGGAGATTTGGTTATTTGTGTTCCAAAAGAGCAGCATGTAGGCATTGGAGTGCACAGGGATTCTGCAACCAGATGTGGACGCCTGTGTTGTTTATCCACAGGCACCTGTGAATTCCCACGTTTAGGGCACATGTGGAGTATCTGGACATGCCTGTAACTAGCTATGCACATATGTGCACATCAGTGGAAATCCAGGGAAACGCCATTGTGCATTAGAGGATATGTATGTCTGTGTGCTGTTGCCAATGGCAATAAACATTCCTTTTGTTCACACATGTTCACAAACATTCTATTTCCATAGATTCTGTGTACAATTCGTGAGCCCACAAGTCAACCTGCGTAATCACTTTATATACTGACTATATATATATATATATTTCGAGATGGAGTCTCGCTTTGTCACCCAGGCTGGAGTGCAGTGGCGTGATCTCGGCTCACTGCAAGCTCTGCCTCCTAGGTTCACTCCACTCTCCTGCCTCAGCCTCCCGAGTAGCTGGGACTACAGGCACCCGCCACCAAGCCTGGCTAATTTTTTGTATTTTTAGTAGAGGCGGGGTTTCACCGTGTTAACCAGGAGGGTCTCGATCTCCTGACCTCGTGATTCGCCCACCTCAGCCTCCCAAAATGCTGGGATTACAGGCGTGAGCCACTGCGCCCAGCCGACTCTATATTGATATTGAGGACACTGGATATATCTGTGTTTACTTGCCTTCATCTTTTTTTTTTTTTTTTTTGAGATGGAGTCTCACTCAGTCGCCCAGGCTGGAGTGCAATGGCGTGATCTCGGCTCACTGCAACCTCTGCCTTCTGGGTTCAAGCGATTCTCCTGCCTCAGCTTCCCGAGTAGCTAGGATTACAGGAACCCACCACTGTGCCTGGCTAATTTTTATATTTTGTATTTAGTAGAGATGGGTTTTCACCATGTTGGCCAGGCTGGTCTTGAACTCCACTCAAGTGATCCACCTGCCTTGGCCTCCCAAAGTGCTGGGATTACAGGTGAGAGCCCAGGAGTTCAAGACCAGGTGGGAGGATCACCCAGCCTTTTCTGGTTTCTTTTTAGAGACAAGGTCTCACTGTGTCACCTAGGCTGGAGTGCTGGTGCGATCATAGCTCACTGGAGCCTCGACTTCCTGAGTAGCTGGGATTAAAGGCATGCACCACCATGCCTGGCTAATTTTTTATACTTTTTGCTGTAGAGACAGGATCTCCCTATGTTGCCCAGACTGGTCTTGAACTCCTGAGCTCAAGTGATCCTCCTGCCTTGGCCTCCCAAGTAGCTGGGACCACGGGCGGGTACCACCACGCCCAGCTAATTTTTGTACTTTTTGTACAGACAGCCTCGATTTCCTGAATAGCTGGGATTACAGGCATGCACCACCATGCCTGGCTGATTTTTACATATTTTGTTGTAGAGACAGGATCTCACAATGTTGCCCAGGTTGGTCTTGAACTCCTGGGTTCAAGTGATCCTCCCACTTTGGCCTCTCAAAGCGCTGAGATAATAGGTATAAGCCACTGCACCTGGCCATTGCTTTTATCCTGGATAATTCTGCAGCCATGGACAGAAGTGCACATACCCATACTCACAAATAGCTCTGCCACATGTGCCAGCATGAGAGCCCATCACACAGGTGAACGCCTCCCTGTGAACACCCATGGCCCTCTGTGTGCTCTCCTGAACAGCCAGGTACCCACATGTATGCTCACCAGGAGCCAAAAACATGTTATTCACTAACATGTTAATCACACAGAAGCCACACACTTGCATCCATTCAAGTAACAACTGTGCCCTTCCATGATTAACTCTCCACACCCATTTGTTCAGCCGCCTGTATCCACAAACATTCCTACGCTCCTTTCAGGAGGAACTGGCATCTGTATATATCTGTCAGCTGCCATCTTAGGTCTCCCCAACGAACTCATTAGCATTGCGGTGAAACCTGAAATATTCCTGCAGAACTTCTGCTCTACTAATAAGCCTGATGTCCTGCTGAGGTCACATGGCACTTACGAGGGCTAATGGAGCCAGCCTTGGCCAGCAAGGTAGGAAACCCTGGACTCCTGGAATAGCCAGAGAATGTCTGGCTATTTACTCCCAAGAATAAACAAATTTCCTTTCCTTCTCACTGCACCAAGTGCCCCAGCCAGCATCTATCTGCAGAACCAAAGTCATATTTAAGATACATTTTTGGCCTCAATACTATCCTGGCATCACACTAAAGGCTACATCTACTTGTTATTCTACTGAAGGTTGCATTACTCTGATGGGCACTACACTGGGAGCTGCATCACCAGATTTGTCATTATACTGAAGGCCACATCACTATCATGGGCACTACACTGAGGGCTGCATCACCAGACTTGTCATTATACTGAAGGCTGCATTACCTGGTTGGGCATTACACTGAGGGTTGCATCATCAGACCTGTCTGAACCACCCTGTTAGTCTTGCCCTTAAGGCCTCCAATCCCAGGCTGAGTATTGTTTGTGTGTGTGTGTGTGTGTGTGTGTGTGTGTGTGTGTGTGTGTGTGTGTGTGTTTTGAGATGGAGTCTCACTCTGTCGCCCAGGCTGGAGTGCAGGGGCAGGATCTCGGCTCTATGCAACCTCCGCCTCCCAGGTTCAAGCGATTCTCCTGCCTCAGCCTCCCACGTAGCTGGGATTATAGGCATGTACCACCACGCCCAGCTAATTTTTGTATTTTTAGTAGAGACAGGGTTTCACCATGTTGGCCAGGCTAGTCTCGAACCTCTGACCTCAGGTGATCCACCCACGTCTGCCTCCCAAAGTGTTGGGATTATAGGCGTAAGCCACCATGCCCAGCCCAGTCTGAGTATTATACTGAGGGCTTCATAACTAGAAAGCTAAACTTAACAGGCAACACTTTCCCTCAGCACTGGTAGCTCCCCTGTGTGTAGTGTGAAGGGGCAAGCAGAAGTGGGGTTGAGAAGTGACTCTGAGGGGCCTGGTAGGACTAGAGAGATGAGGAAAACTGGGGACTCTGAAGCCACACACTGGGGGTGGGAAGCCAGAGGACAGAAAAGCAACTATTATATCAAGAGTTGGAATTCTGGCCAGGCATGGTGGCTCATGCCTGTAATCCCAACACTCCGGGAGGCCAAGGTGGGAGGATCACTTGAGGACAGGAGTTTGAGACCAGCCTGGGCCACATAGTGAGCTCCATCTCTATGCAAAATTTAAAAATTAGCCAGGTGTGGTGGTGCACACCTGTAGTCCCAGCTATTTGGGAGGCTCAGGCAGGAGGATCACTTGAACACAGGACGTCGAGGCTGCAGTGAGCTATGATCATGCCATTGCACTACAGTCTGGGTGACAGAGTGAGACCCTGTCTTGGGAGGAAAAAAAAAAGTTGAGGCCAGGCACAGTAGCTCATGGCTGTAATCCCAGCACTTTGGGAGGCCAAGGCGGGTGGACTGCCTGAGCTCAGGAGTTCAAGACCAGCTTGGCCAATATGTTGAAACCCTGTCTCTACTAAAAATACAAAAAAAAGACCGGGTGCGGTGGCTCACACCTGTAATCCCAGCACTTTGGGAGGCCGAGGCGGGCAGATCATGAGGTCAGGAGATTGAGACCATCATGGCTAACACGGTGAAACCCCGTCTCTACGAAAAATACAAAAAATTAGCCGGGCGTAGTGGTGGGCGCCTGTGGTCCCAGCTACTCGGGAGGCTGAGGCAGGAGAATGGCTTGAACCCGGAAGGCGGAGCTTGCAGTGAGCCGAGATTGCGCCACTGCATTCCAGCCTGGGCAACAGAGCGAGACTCCATCTCAAAATAAAATAAAATAAAATAAAATACAAAAAAAATTATCCAGGCATGGTGGCAGGTGCCTGTAGTTCCAGTTACTCAGGAGGCTGAGGCAGGAGAATCACTGGAACCCGGGAGGTGGAGGTTGCGCCACTGCACTCCAGCATGGGCGACAGAATGAGACTCCATCTCAAAAAAAAAAAAAAAAAAGTTGGAACTCAACCTTCTTGAGCCACTAGTGCTGAAGGGGCCGGAAAGATTCAGATTGGCTCCTCTTGGAAGCTGTGGATCCTTGTCCTGTCTCTGCTGTTCTTACCAGGAGCCCCTGCCAAAAACCTACCTTGCCATGCCCTTGAGAAGAAAAGCTTTACCTGCAAGTACAGGCCTTGGCAGCCTGGCACAGGCGCTATACCCTGAGCAGCCCCAACATGTGCCATATCCTCATATGTGCTCCACAAGCCCCATCGCACCTCAACAGTCAGGCATGGCTTTGCCACGCTCAGACATTCCGCACACAAGACACGCTCTCATTCACTCCAACACGTCCCTTGGGTTCAGACACAACTGATGGCCATCAGATTCCCCTTACACGATGGGGCGTGCTTGCCATGAAGACACGCTCAAACATGCTATGACACGCTCTGACACACAGGGGCACACACACACCCAAGCATGCTTTCACGGGGACCAGGTAGGTCTCCAACCTCTGCCACAGTCTACACGCCCATGGCCACCTTGCCCTTCCAGATGGATTGATGGGGCGGCGGGGAGAAGGCTGTTATAAATTAAACATCGAGACACTGTCTGAGCACCAGGCTCTGCCATCCACTCATTGGCTGGTTCCCTCCCAGGAGGCTGCGGGCACACAGGGTGGGGGAGAGGGCAGGGGAAGTGGCTCGCTTAATTAATTAGTCCTCATTGAGATATCTTTGCAAATATCCCTTTATCGAAGGACACCATTCCATCCGTTTCCTGGGAATTTGTTGCCTCTATGTGTCTCTGGCCCCTGAGTATCGCAGAAATGACAAGACAAGAAAGAGCGCGCCCAAGAGCTGCTCAAACCTTAGCTGTGTTTCTGATCACGACAGCAGCACTGAGGGACAAGCGGGAAGGCTCAGAGATTCAGAGATCCAGGCGGAGGGGCAGAGAGATTAGGCAAGGGGAGATGCGGAAACTCAAATACAAACCGAACTGCAGAGTCAGAGATACGGACTCTGAAATGCAGGAAGAGAGAGACGCAGGCAGAGAAACTTTGCAACTGGGAGGACCAGAGTGGGGACAGATGGACGTGCGGCTGGGCAGACAAACCTCCCCTCTGCCTTTTCCCGCCTGGCTTGGCCTTCCCCATCTCCTGGGCAATCCACTCTCTGCAGCGGCAGGCAGCAGTAACAATCAGGCCTGATTCCTTTTGGCCCTAGCTACCCTCCCCTTCCCTCTCCCTCCCCCAATCACTCTTGCAATCATCTCCCTTGTTCAAAATGAGCTTCTGCAGCTGCAGCCCAGACAGCTGTTCCATCTTGGAGCCAGTACTGGGCCTGGTGGCTGGGTCCTAGAGGGACGCCCTCCTGAGTGGCAGCCGGGGAGGGGGAATGGTGCTCGGGGGCAGAGGGGGCAAGGGGTCACCCGGAGCTTGGGAGCCCACCTCCATCTCCAGTCAACACTTGGCCCCATCACCAGCATACCCAGGGGGTCCAGACACTGCCAATGCCTCTCTTTGGGGCCCTCAAGAGAGGTGGTCTGGGGCCGGGCGTGGTGGTTCACGCCTGTAATCCCAGCACTTTGGGTAGCTGAGGCGGGTGGATCACTTGAGGTCAGGATTTGAGACCAGCCTGGCTAACATGCTGAAACCCCATCTCTACTAAAAATACAAAAATTAGCTAGGCAGGGTGGCGCACACCTGTAGTCCCAGCTACTTGGGAGGCCGAGGCAGGAGAATCGCTTGAACCCGGGAGGTGATTGAGGGAGATCGCAGTGGGCCAAGACGGTGCCACTGCACTCCAGCCTGGGTGAGAGCGAGATTCTATCTCAAAATAAATGAATAAACAAACAAACAAATAAATAAATAAGAGAGGTGGTCTTGGTCATCCTGCCCTCTGTCACCAAATCCTTCCTAACATCCAACACAGGTCCTGGCCCTAGAAGCCTCTGCCGTCCAAGAATTCTAGTCTGTTTCCCAGGGTCCCCGTCAGGGTCCTATGGTGAGATGGAGATAGAATCCCAGAGGTAGAGACAGACAGACACAGAGAGACATGGAGAGACAGACATGAATGAGATAAAGAGACAGATATAGGCCGGGCATGGTGGCTTATGCCTGTAATCCCAACACTTTGGGAGGCCGAGGTGAGTGGATCACTTGAGGTCGGGAGTTGGAGACCAGCCTGGCCAACATAGCAAAACCCCATCTCTACTGAAAATACAAAAAATTAGCCAGGCCTGGTGGTGCATGCCTGTAATCCTAGCTACTTGGGAGGCTGAGGCAGGAGAATCGCTTGAATCCGGGAGGCAGAGGTTGCAGTAAGCAAAGATCGTGCCACTGCACTCCAGCTTGGGCAACAGGGTGAGACTTGATCTCAAAAAAAAATAAAATAAAATTTAAAAATTTTAAAAATCTAAAGTCCCTGAAAGATCCCCCTCCCCACGACATGATATGGCTCCCATCACCTTCCTTCCCTCACCTCCTCTCCCTCTTCCGCTCGCTCACTATGCTCCAGACATGGGCCTCCTCCCTGTTCCTCCAACATGCCAGGCGTGGTGCGATCATAGCTCACTGTAGCCTCCAACTCCTGGGCTCAAGCAATCCTCATGCTTTAGCCTCCTGAGTAGCTGGGACTACAGGTGTGCACCACCATGCCCAGCTAATTCTTTTTATTTTTCCTCTTTTTCTTTTTTTTGAGATGGAGTTTTGCTCTTGTCACCCAGGCTGGAGTGCAATGGCGCGATCTCGGCTCACTGCAACCTCTGCCTCCTGGGTTCTCCTGCCTCAGCCTCCTAAGTAGCTGGGATTACAGGTGCCTGCCATCACACCTGGCTAATTTTTTTTTTTTTTTTTTTTTTTTTTTTTTTGAGACAGAGTCTTGCTCTGTCACCCAGGCTGGAAGTGCAGTGATGCAATCTCGGCTCACTGCGAGCTCCACCTCCTGGGTTCACGCCATTCTCCTGCCTCAGCTTCCCGAGTAGCTGGGACTGCAGGCACCCGCCACCGTGCCCAGCTAATTATTGTATTTTTAGTAGAGACGGGGTTTCACCATGTTAGCCAGGATGGTCTCGATCTCCTGACCTCGTGATCTGCCCGCATCAGCCTCCCAAAGCACTGGGATTACAGGTGTGAGCCACCGGGTTTCACCATGTTGGCCAGGCTGGTCTTGAACTCCTGACCTCAGGTGATCCACCTGCCTTGGCCTCCCAAAGTGCTGGGATTACAGGTGTGAGCCACCGTGCCTGGCTAAAAATGTATTTTCTTTTGGGGTTTTGCTATGTTGTCCAGGCTGGTCTCGAACTCCTGGCCTCAAGCAATCTTCCCACCTTGACCCCTCAAAGTGCTGAGATTACACATGTGAGCCCACTGTGGTCAGCCTATTTTAATTTTTTGTAGAGACAGGATCTTGCTATGTCGCCCAGGCTGGTCTTGAACTCTTGGCCTCAAGCAATCTTCCCACCCCTGCCTTCCAAAGCTTGAGAATTATAGGCATGAGCCACAGTGCCACTCTAAGAGCCTTTTGCTGAGAACTGCTCAGCTCCTCCTTATTCGTCCCATAAAGCAAAAGGTCCCCCTCAAATAGCACACCCCTCCTCCATCTCCCCTTCCCTCTCTCCAGCCCCCCAGGCAGAGGCGACGGTCAAGGGTATAACATACAAGATTCAGGTATTTTACTTCAGGCCTCGAAATGATGTCCGTGGCTGGCAATACAGCTGACAGCTCTTAGTCTGGTCCTGGATTTATGATCCCCAGGTGAGAAGCCATTCCGCTGAAGGCTCCTGTCCCACAGGGATGGTTTATGGCTGGGAGTTGGCCAAAGGTAGTAGCGGCAGCTTCCTCCCCACGTCTTCCCAGAGATGGTCTATAACCACAGGAATGCTAAGCTGCTTCTGCAATTCAGGAGGAGGAAGCCAGAGAGAAGCAGGACCCCCAAGGCTCTACGCTCACCGCCCCACACCACTGAGTTCCTTTTTAAAGCCAAACACCAGCATCCAACCTTCCGCCTCCTGACTTTGGGAATCCATACTGCTTTGTTTCCTGAACCCCTCAGCCTCCCCGACGTTGGGGTGCTAAACCTTCCGACATCTCCTCCTAACCGAACACCTACTGTGTGCCTGGTCACTTTCCATTTGTTCTCCCCAGTCCTGAGGAAGGTGAAATGGATTTAGACACTTGAGAAATGTTTATTCCAGGCTTGGCTAGAGGGGTAAATAAAACAACCCCTCCTTACTAAACACTACTATGTGCCCGTTATTTATTTGTTTTTGTTTGAAGGAGGAATCCACAAATCCTTATGAAGGTGTGATTGTGGATTCAGTCATTGGACAAATATTTATTGTAGGCCTATGTGCGCCACACCTTAGGGTTCAGTAGTGAGCAAAACACAGATGTCTTCAAGGATCTTACCATCTCATAAAGACTCTAAATTCCCCCTGACTAATAAGGAAATCGAATCCCAGCTTCTTAGGAGGCTAAGACAGGAGAATGACTTGAGCCTAGGAGTTCCAGATGTTAGTGAGCTATGATGGCATCACTACACTCCAGCCTGGGTGACAGAGTGAGACTCTTTCTCTAAAAATAATAATATTAATAATAATAACAATAAGGAAGTTGGGGCTTAGAGAAATTAAATAATTTCCCCCAAAGTCACACAGCTAGTAAATTACAGGGCCAGAATTCAAACCCAGATATGTTTGACTCAAAAATCTTATCACTAACTGAGCATCTGCTATCTTAGGCACTGAGCTGGGGGTTTTCAAACATAAAAATTCTTGACATAGAAGAGGCACTTGATAGTCTTGTGGAATAGGCCAGGCACTGGTGGCTCATGCCTGTAATCCCAGCATTTTGGGAGGCCGAGGAGGGAGGATCCCTTGAGCCCAGGAGTTCAAGACCAGCTTGGGCAACATGGTGAGACTCCACCTCTTAAAAAAATAGTTTTGTGGAATAAATACAATGGATGGAAGGATAGATGAATGGATGGAGAGGCAGATGGATGGTGGAAGGATGGATGCACAGAGGATAGAAAAAGAGAGTTGGATAATGGATAATGCATGCATGGAGGAATTGGTGAATGCATGGATAGAGATGGATGGATAGAAGAATGGATCCATGAAAGAACAGAGAGACAAATGATGCATCATGGATAGATGAAAAGAGATGGGTGGAAGGATAAAGAGATGGATGTGTGAAAGGATGGATGTACAGATGGATGGACAGATGGAATAGTGGGTGGGTGTATGAGTGAATGGATGGAGAGAAAATGGATGGGTAGATGAAATAATTGATGGATAGATGGACAGACTGATGGAATAACAGGTGGTTGGATGAATGAATGAATGGAGATATGGATAGCAAGACAGATGGAAGGATGGGCGTAAAAACAGATGGATAGATGAAATAATAGATGGAGGGAAGGATGGATGGATGGATGAAGAGATATATGGAAGCGTGGAAGGATGGGAATTTGAACAGCAGATCTCTGTTACCCACAACAATTCTGTGAGGTAAGACATCATTCCCATTTTATAGATGAGAAAACAATAGCTCAGAGTGACAAAGGCACTGGCCAGAGTCATAGAGCAAGTTGGGGACAAAATCTAGATTCCAACATAGGTCTTTCAGACTCCCAAAATGGACACCCTCATGTCACAGTCCCCTCCCAGCCCTCACCCTGAGTACCTTAACATCTCACTTCTCAGATCCCTTTTGACAAAGTATAATGAGACTGAGGGATGGGGTGGTGTCAGGGATGGGAGGGCCATTGGCTTTCAGCAGGTGAATTCATGGAAGCATTGGATGAAGATGCTGTTAGCTACGAATGGGCCAGAGTGGAGATCAGGTCTGTTTGGGCACACACACATACACACTTACAGAAAACACACAGCACACAGGGCATCCTACCCACATGCACACAAGGCAGGCACACACACACACTTTCATAAATACACACTTGCAGTTATATGCACACACTTACAAAGACATACCTGTCCACACATATGCACACAAAGATACTTGCACACACGTTTGCACAGATACATATGCACACACAAAATCATAACTCATAGACATGCTCTTATATACTTATTTATACATTCTGCAGACACACCATATGCACACATTTACACACACCTGCATAGAACACATGTACACAGACTCACTTGCTTTCAATGGTGGTAGAGGGAAATTTGGCTTCTGATTTCAATGAGATACCATCTCTCTCCCTTCTCAGATGGCAACGGCAAGAAGCCTGTATCATACTTGTGTATAACAAACTCATATGCACACATGCAATCTTGTAACACAGGCAAACCCATAGTCAGGGACAGGCAATTGCAGATACACATGCTGATACGTCCACACCCAAGCACAGTCACTCAGGGACACACCCACACTCATTCTGGGATGCACCCTCACACACAGGAAGGCACATCGGACCCCATGCCGGCAGTGCACATAAACTTTCTCCACTCCCATTCCCCCATATACACACCGAAACACACACATATAGACACACCAGGACATACCCAAATAATAAACACTTAATGTGACAGACACACAGAAACACACCGTCTCACACATTGGCTGCCAAGTCTAAGAATCTAGCCTGAAAGCTCTCACCTGTGTCAAGCCCAATACCACCCCCACCAGGGGCTGGACAAAGCCTTCTCAGGTGTCCCCACCACCACCACACACCCTTGCCTTCGACCCTAGGGAGCAAATTCTTCTTTGCTCCCATCAAGGAGAAAGAAGCTGCGGGATGACCATTTGGGGCTAAGCAAGGGAGGGTTGGTGAAGTTGGGGCTAAAGAAAGGGAGCCCCAGGCATCGCAGCCTGGGTTTGGGGGATGATTTGGGAGGAGCCCCCCAAACAGATGGAACAGGGGTGGGGCTACCAGAGGTTGAGGAGTGGGGGGAAAGGCATATCTGGAGGAGGCCCAGGGAAGTTTGCAGTGAAGGAAACCCCTCCCCTCTCTCCTCAGGACACCACGGGGAGAACCCCACTGAGTTCTCTCCTTCTTCCCTGATCCAGGGAAGCTCTGTAGTGGGGAAGCTGGAGGATAAAGCCTCAAAGGGGGATGGGATGGGAAGGCGCCATCCTGGAGCTTCTGGAGGCAGTGTCAGCTCCGGCCCCAGTCTGCGCCCCGTCTACCTCCCAGGGAGGGTGAGTTATGGGGATAAATATTCAGCACATGGCGAGGCAAGAATGGCGGAAGGGGTGCAGGGGAGAGAAAAAGAGAGAAAAAAAGAGATACAAATTCTCAGCGCCACAGAGACAGAGACAAGGAAAGATAGAAATATTAATAGAAAGAGACCCAGAGACGCAAAGCAGGGGAAATGAATAGAGACTCAGACAGAACTACTCAGAGACGCCGAGACGCAACCAGGCAGAGACCTTGAAGGTGGAGACACTCGGAAACCCCTCGATCCTCCCCTCTTTCAGAGACAGGGTCCTTCTAAACCCCCGAGTCTCACCCTCCTCCCGCTGCACCCCACTCAGCCCGGACTCAGCTCAATTCTGCAGCCCTTGTCGCCTCCGCCCTGGGGCCGGAGCGAGCCTGGTACGCTATTCGCGCTCAGACATTGCTCACTAATAATCATAATAATCAATAATAACAGCAAGAACCATCCTAAATGGCGCGGAGGTGGCTAGGGGTCCCGGGGCTCCTTCTGCCTCCACGTCCGACCCTGGAACCCCGAGAGGGCGTCCCCTACCCAGGCGTGCCGGGCAGGGTCGTGGGAAGCACAGGGGTAGAGGGGGACAGGTGGGGGCCCCGGGGGCTGCGGCGGCGGCAGCGGCTGTGGCGCGGGTACCACGCCCCCCGGGAGCGCCCCCCGCGCGGCGGCCACTCACGATTTTCTCAGAGGCGCCCGCACGGGACACGGTGCCGTTGAGCCCCACGAGCGAGGGCAGCGTCTGCGACATCCAGTTGGTGACCATGGCCATGGTGCTCAGCACGGCCCCGATCTTGAGCAGCGGCACCGACATCGCGCCTCCGCCTCATGCCCCGCGGCCGCCCGCCGCGCGTCCCTTCTCTGGCCCGCCGCGGGGCGCTCGGTCCCTCGACACCCAGGCGCCCCGGGGGGGCGTGGGGGAGGGGGCACGAGCGCGAGCTGCGGGGCAGGGGGTCCGGGACGGGGTGAGGGGGGGCTCGGGGACGCGGGCTGCGGCTCGGCGCGCCTGGCGGGCTCCTCTTATAAAGCGCCGGCTCGGGCCCCCGCCCCCTCCCGCGCCTCCGCGCCGGGCACTTCCAGCCGCCGTGACGTCACGCCTCCGGCCCGGAGCCCGGCGGGGGGCGGGGGGCGCCCAGACTGCCCCCACCCCCCACCCCACGCCCTCGCCCGCCCCCCGCCGAGGACCTCTCCATGGGGTGGGGGACCTCCCCCTGGTGGCATTCCCCAAGCGCCCCACCACCACCGCGGTGGCATTCCCCAGCCCCGCCCCCCAACGGTATTCCCGGCCCCCCTCCCCCTAGGCGGTGTTCCCGGACCGCCTCCCGCACGCAGACCCTCTTCGAGCCTGAGCCGCGGGACCCCGCGCGTAAAGGCGCCCTCGGCCCACCCCGGCCACCCAAAGACGGCAGGGGGCCGGAGTCGCAAATCCCCACCCACCCACTGTTGGGACACCCACCCTGGCTACCTAAAACCTCGGACAGCGGGCATTGGGGGGCGTGGGGGGGCGACACGCTCGTGCGCTCCCATGAATCGGGTCACCAAGGGTCTCCTTTAGCTGGGGGAAGGGGCTTCCTTCCCGGGCACTGAGACCACTCTAAGGATCCTTCGGTCATTTCGTGCCCCCAGGGTGGCGTGATCCAGGGCCAGCAGACGAAATTGTTTGGGTGCAGGTGCGGTCCTGGGGTCACTTCGGCCACGGGAGGAGTTCCCACGACTACCAAGGGCAGTTTCCTACCCAGGGACCACGGAGACCTGGCACGCGGCTTTTAGGAGGCGAGTCCCGGGCAGGTGTCTACTTGCAACTTTAACTTTGGGTGGGGGCGGGGCACTCACGCTTCGGACCTTCCTCGCGGCCCCGGGGACCCCGCTCCCGGCCCGCTCCCTCGGGGGAGCGGGAAGCGCAGTGCCCTCGCCGCCCACCCGTCCGCCCACGCATCAGCCGGCGGCGGCAGCCGCTGGGCCGCGGAGAGGAGCGCCGGGCTAGTTTTAATTTCCTCTGTTTTGCCTGCACTCACGCCCCCTCCTGGCGTCCCCGCATCACCTCGCTCCGCCGCCGCCGTCGCCCTCAGCCCGCGGCCGCCGCCGTCTGGAGGCGGCGATGACTCAGGCCTTTCCAGGCGGCGGCCTGGGGCTGAGGGCTCTGGCTGGGGAGGAGCGCCAAGCATGAGCGGGGAGGGGGGCTAGGGGTCTCGAACCGTCTTTTTTTCTGAGCTGGACAACACCAAGATGCAAGTGTGACCTGTAGGGATGACTGTTCCTCTCTGCCTCAGTTTCCCCATCTGCAAAGTGGGTGGTGGAGACCTAACACGTGTAAAGGGCTTGGTCATCCTGAGAATCAGGTAATTTACTGAGCATCTACTATGTCCCAGGCACTGTGAACAACAGACAAAAATGCCTGCCTGTGTGAAATTGAATATTCTTTTTCTTTTCTCTCTCTTTTTTTTTTTTTTTTGGTAGAGATGGGCATCTCGCTATGTTGCCCAGGCTGGTCTCGAACCCCTGGCCTCAATCGATCCTCCCACCTTGGCCTCCCAAAGTGTTGGCATTCCAAGAATGAGCCTCCGGGTTGGATGTGAAGATGAATATTCTATGGGGTGAGACAGTCAAGAAATACGGGAAAAAAGTAAAGTACATAAGATATTAGGAGGAAGGGGAAGTAAACTTTAAACAGAGTGATTGGAGAAAGGGACTTTTTTATTTATTTATTTATTTATTTATTTATTTATTTATTTGAGACGGAGTCTTGCTCTGTCGCCCAGGCTGGAGTGCAGTGGCGTGATCTCGGCTCACTGCAAGCTCTGCCTCCCGGGTTCAGGCCATTCTCCTGCCTTAGCCTCCCGAGTAGCTGGGACTACAGGCACCCACCACCACGCCCGGCTAATTTTTTGTATTTTTTAGTAGAGACGGGGTTTCACCGTGTTAGCCAGGATGGTCTCAATCTCCTGACTTCGTGATCTGCCCACCTCGGCCTCCCAAAGTGCTGGAATTAGAGGCGTGAACCACCGCGCCTGGCGAGAAAGGGACGTTTAAGCAGAGACCTGAAGTGAGGAAGGGAACCATCTGGATATCTAGGGGAAGAGAGTTCCACGCAACAGGAACAGCAAGTGCAAAGGCCCTGGGGCAGGAGTGTTTGAGGACCAGGAAGGAGGCCAGTGTAGTTGGAGTGAGCCAGGGGGAGAATAAGGAATGATGATGTTTGTAAAATACTTTACAAGTGTCTGGGACATGGTAAGTTTTTCAAATAGTAGCTACCATTGTTGTTATTATTTGAGGCCGGGCACAGTGGCTCATGCCTATAATCCCAGCACTTTGGGAGGCCGAGGAGGGTGGATCACTTGAGGCCAGGAGTTCGAGACCAGCCTGGCCAACATGGTAAAACCCTGTCTCTACTAAAAATACAAAAGTTAGCCGGGTATGGTGGTGCACGCCTGTAATCCCAGCTACTTGGGAGGTTGAGGTGGGAGAATTGCTTGAACCCAGGAGGCAGAGGTTGCAGTGAGCCAAGATCGAGCCACTGCACTCCAGCCTGGGCGACAGACGAGTGAGACCCTGTCTAAAAGAAAAAAAAGATGAGTTCTTGCCAGCTTGTTCTAAAGCTTTCACTGATGAGTGCTGAACACTTTGCAGATGCAATGTTAACAACTGCTGCAACATCCATAAACAGTACAGTGACACCCCTATTTCCAGGTGAGGAAACTGAGCTCAGAGAGGAGAGGGACCCAGATCAGGGGAACCCAGCAGGGAAGTGGGGGCCCAGGTTTTGAAACCAGGACTGTCTGATTTCAGACCCTAAGACCAACTGGGCTCCAGGCCTCCTGGCTTAGACAATTTGGGACCCAAACAAACTTTCTCACTCTCTGGCCATGGGTGCTGTGGGAAACTGCCTTAGTTCAGCGCATCCAGGCTTCTCCAAGGAGTGGTCTGTGCTCGAGTTTGCACTTGCTTGCATTTAACTCCTTGCCTCCCACCTCCCCAACGTTTCCAAAACTCTTCTCACCAAAGGTGCCAATTTGCCAGGTCCACACCCTCATGCCAGTCCTCATTAGATCATTCTCACAGTCAGTCAGTCCCCACTCACCATCACCTTCTTGAAACTCCTTTTTCCCTTGACTTCAGAGACACGGTATCACTTCCTAGTTCTGCACCCACCTCTCTGGCTGTGCCGTCGCTGTCTCCTGCTACTCCCTAAAACTCTGTATCTTTCAGGGCTTTGTCCTGGGTTCCCTGCCGCTCTCATTCTGCCTGGACCATCACACCCACTCTCAAGGTTTTGGCTCCATCTGGGACACTGCAACCTCAGGACCTTTGAACTTCCTGTTCCTTCTACACAAAATACATCAAGGATGCCCCCCATGGCTTGTTCCTTTACTTAATTAATGTATTTTTTAGAGACAGAGTCTTGCTCTGTCACCCAGGCTGGAGTGCAGTGGTTCAATCATAGCTCATTGCAGCCTCTAACTCCTAGGCTCAAGCTATTCTCCTGCCTCAGCCTCCCAAGTAGCTGGGACTACAGATGCGAGCCACCATTCCCGGTCCTTTATTTAATTTATATCTCTGCTCTGTCATTGTGTGGGTCAGAGCCATGCCCTGCCCTTCCCCCAGAAAACTACATTTCCCAGATTCCATTGCATACTGGCTTCCTGGTCGGTTTATCCAATGGGAGCCACTGGAGGGAGATCGGAGATTGGAGAGGAAGGCAGAAGCCAGGGTGTTTCTCTCCTGTGTCTGCTTGGGGTGGAGGGTGTTTTCTGACAGTGGCTACACCTCCTCCATAGTGCCAGTTCCTCCCCAAGGGTCCCTTCCTTATCACATCCTCTCTTTGCCATGTCCCTCCAGTAGCTTTCTGCTGTAGCTTATGCCAGATTTCCTCATCATCCCATGTGGCTTCTCAACTCTTTCTTCTCCCACTTAACCAATTCCCTGTATTAAATTTCCCCTCTCTGAAACACGTAGTTTGTTTCCCTAACAAGACCCTCAGTGATATGGTGATCTTATCCAAAGGACCTTCCCTGGCCACCTCATCTACAATCTGAACACCCCACCACTCTGTGCCACTTACCCTACTTTAGTTGTTTTTTGTTTTGTTTTGTTTTGAGATGGAGTCTCGCTCTGTTGCCCAGGTTGGAGTGCAGTGGTGAAATCTCTGCTCACTGCAACCTCCATCTCCTGGGTTCGAGTAATTCTCGTGCCTCAGCCTCCCAAGTAGCTGGGTTTACAGGTGCATGCCACCATGCCTGGGTAATTTTTGTATTTTTAGTAGAGATGGGGTTTCACCATGTTGACCAGGCTGGTTTTGAACTCCTGACCTCTAGAGATCCACCCACCTCGGCCTCCCAAAGTGCTGGGATTACAGGCATGAGCCACCATGCCTGGCCACTTTAGTTCTTTTATCTTTTTTTTTAAGGCGAGGGGCTGGGCACTCTGTTGCCCAGGCTGGAGTGCAGTGGTGCAATCATAGCTCACTGCAACCTCAAACTCCTGGGCTCATGTGATCCTCCTACCTCAGCCTCCTGAATAGGTGAGACTACAGAGGCACACCACCGTGCCCAGCTAATTTTTTAAGTTTTCTGTAGAGATGGGGTCTCACTATGTTGCCCGGGCTGGTCTCAAACTCTTGGGCTCAGGCAATCCACCTGCCTCAGCCTCCCAAAATGCTGGGATTGTAGGCATAAGCCACCACGCCAGACCCTAAAACTCTTTTTAAAGACCCAGCAATTCCATCTACCCAAGAGAAACCAAAGCATATGTCTATGAAAAGACCTAAACATGAATATTCATAGCAGCATTGGTCATAATGAATGAAACAATCCAAAGACCCATCAACTGGTGAGTGAATAAACAAATTGCGGTACATCCATACAATGGAATGCCATTCCACCATAAAAAGGAATTTGCTCCTGATATATGCTACAATGTGGATGATCCTCAAAAACATTTTGCTAAGTAAAAGGAGCCAGACGCAAAAGACCACATAGTTTATGATTCTATTTATACATAATGTCCAGGGACAGCAAATCAATACAGACAGAAAGTAGACGAGAGATTGCCTGCAAGTGGGGGTGGGAGTGGAGATGGAATGCAAATGGGCACGGGGGCTGTTTTGGAGGTGATGAAAATGTCCTAAAATTGGATCGGGGTGATGGCTGCACAACTCTGTAAATTTACGAAAAGTCACTCAATTGCACGCTTACACAGGTGAATTTTATGCTCTGTAAATTATACCTCCATAAAACTGCTGAAAAGGGAAGATCCACCAGGCACGGTGGCTCACGCCTGTAATCCCAGCACCTTGGGAAGCTGAAGCGGGAGAATTGCTTGAAGCCAGGAGTTTGAGACCAGCCTGGGCAACGCAGTGAGACCTCATTTCTCTCTCTTTTTTTTGAGATGGAGTCTCGCTCTGTCACCCAGGCTGGAGTGCAATGGGATGATCTCGGCTCACTGCAAGTTCCGCTTCCCAGGCTCATGCCATTCTCCTGCCTCAGCCTCCGGAGTAGCTGGGGCTACAGGCGCCTACCACCACGCCCGGAGAATTTTTTATATTTTTAGTGGAGATGGGGTTTCACTGTGTTAGCCAGGATGGTCTCGATCTCCTGACCTCGTAATCCACCTGCCTCGGCCTCCCAAAGTGCTGGGATTTACAGGCATGAGACACCTTGCCCGGCCGAGACCTCATTTCTTCCTATTCATTTATTTATTTGAGACAGAGTCTCGCTCTGTCACTCAGGCTGGAGTGCAGTGGCCTGATCTTGGCTCACTGCAACCTTCCCCTCTGGGTTCAAGTGATTCCCTTACCTCAGCCTCCTGAGTAGCTGGGATTACAGGTGCACGCCACCACACCTGGCTAGTTTTTGTATTTTTAGTAGAGATAGCATTTTGCCACATTGGCCAGGCTGGTCTCAAACTCCTGACCTCAGGTGATCCTCCTGCCTCGGCCTCCCAAAGTGCTGGGATTACAGGCATAAGCCACCACACCTGGACCACTGCCATTTTTTTTTTTTTTTTTTTTTTTGAGACAGAGTCTTGCTCTGTCACCCAGGTTGGAGTGCAGTGGTGAGAGCTCGGCTCACTGCAATCTGTGCCTCCAGGGTTCAAGTGATTCTCGTGCCTCAGCCTCCTGAGTAGCTGGGATTACAGGGGCAAGCCACCATGCTCAGCTAATTTTTGTATTTTTTTTTTTTTTTAGTAGAGGTAGGGTTTCACCATGTTGGCCGGCTGGTCTCGAACTCCTGACCTCAGGTGGTCTGCCCACCTTGGCCTCCCAAAGTGCTAGGATTACAGCTGTAAGCCACCACACCTGGCCCCTCCCCACCAAAAAAATTTTTTTAAGTAGCTGGGCATGGTGGCATGTCCCTGTAGTACCAGCTACTTGGGAGACTGAGGTGGGAGGATCGCTTAAGCCCAAGTGTTTGAGGCTGCAGTGAGCTATGATGGCACCTCTGCACTCCAGCCTGGGCAACAGAGCAAGACCCTGCCTGTACAAAAGGGGGAGGCATTTTTAAACTTTACTTGCAAGCTCCCTCTTTGAGGTGCCCTGCACTGTACTAACACAAGAATAGGTGTCTCCTTAAATTTTGAGCCCAAGATTCCTTGCTTGCATCACCCTGGTCCTGGCAATGATGTACCCACGGTCAGAAATGAGAGATTATTTACTTTTTACCCCTCCTTCTCCATCACTCCTCTTCTATTCAAACCAGCACCAGAGCCAGCTAATCCTGATGCAGAAATATCTCAAGAAAGTGTCCCCTCTTCCCCATCATCATCACTGTGAACATCGTGCTGGTAAGCCACTGAAAAAAAATGTTTCTTCTGGGGCTAGGCGCGGTGGCTCATGCCTGTAATCCCAGCACTTTGGAAGGCTGAGGTAGGCAGATCACTTGAGGCCAGGAGTTCGAGACCACCCTGGCCAACATGGCAAAACTCTGTGTCTACTAAACATACAAAAAAAAAAAAAAAAGTAGCCAGGTGTGGTGGCACAGACCTGCAATCCCAGCTACTTGGGAGGCTGAGGCAGGAAAGTTATTTGAACCTGGGAGGCAGAGGTTGCTGTGAGCAGAGATCACACCACTGTACTCCAGCCTGGGCAACAGAGTGAGACTCCATCTTGAAAAAAAAAAAAGTTTATTTCCCTTGAAATTTCTGGGTGGTAAAAAACTCGTAACTGTTGGAAAAATATCAATAATTGCTGAGATTTATTTAGTACTATCATGTTCCAGACACCATTTGCAGCAAAGTACATGTAACAACTCATTTAACCCTCAGAATACCTATATGCAACAGACAGAATTATAATTTTCTTTTGTTTGTTTTGGGATTTTGTTGTTGTTGTTTTGAGACAGGGTTTTGCCTACCGTCACCCAGGCTGGAGTGCAGTCACATGATCATACTTCACTGTAGCCTCAACCTCCCTGGCTCAAGCGATCCTTCTGCCTCAACCTTCCGAGTAGCTGGGACTACAGTCACATGCCACCATGCTTGGCTAATTTTTTTTTATTTTTGGTAGAAACAGGGTCTTGCCATGTTGCCCAGGCTGGTCTCAAACTCCTGGGCTCAAGCGATCCCCTTGCCTCAGCTTTTCAAAACACTGGGAAGACAGGCATGAGCCACTGCACCCAGCTAGGCAAAGGTTTTTAAAATAGGACACTAATAAGCACTAGCCATGAAAGAAAAAATTATTTGAACTACATTAAATTTTTTTTTTTTTTTGAGACGGAGTCTCACTCTGTCACCGAGGCTGGAGTGCAGTGGCATGATCTTGGCTTGCTGCAAGCTCTGCCTCCCGGGCTCATGCCATTCTCCTGCCTCGGCCTCCCAAGTAGCTGGGACTACAGGCGCCCGCCACCACACCTGGCTATTTTGTATTTTTAGTAGAGACGGGGTTTCACCATATTAGCCAGGACGGTCTTGATCTCCTGACCTCGTAATCCGCCCACCTCGGCCTCCCAAAATGCTAGGATTACAGGCATGAGCCACCACACCCAGCCTGAACTACATTAAAATTAAGAAATCCTGGCTGAGTGCAGTGGCTCACGCCTGTCATCCCAGCACTTTGGGAGGCCGGGGCGGGAGGATGGTTTGAACCCAGGAATTTGAGACCAGCCTGGGCAACACGGTGAAACACCATCTCTAAAAAAACTACAAAAATTAGCTGGGTGTGGTGGTGTGCACCTATAGCTCCAGCAACTCGGCAGGCTAAGGTGGGAAGATCGCTTGAGCCCGGGAGATCGAGGCTGCAGTGAGCCGTAATTGCACCACTGCACTCCGGCCTGGGCAACAGAGTGAGACCCTGTCTCAAAAAAAAAAAAAAGAAATGAAATGAAATTAAGGAATTCTATTGATTAAAAGACACCACTAAGAGAATGAAAAGAAAAGCTACAGAGAAGATATTTGCAGTCATTATGTCCAATAAAAATCTCATATCCTGATTTTATAGTTATGTAAAATATGAATATGTATCTATGTAAAATCTAGATACACACACACACACACACACATTCCTACAAATCAGTAAGAAAAAACCAGACATCTGAACAGAGAAGTGGGCAAAAGACTTAGACATTTCACAAAAGTGGATATCCAAGTTGTCAATAAACATATGCAAAGGCACTTAATTCATCATCAGGCACATCACTCATCATCAGGAAATGTAAATGAAACCCACAATGTTCCCAGCACTTTAGGAAGCTAAGGTGGGAGGATCACTTGAGCCCAGGAGTTGGAGACCAGCCTAGGCAGCATAACCAGACCCTGACTCAAAAAAACAAAAATAAATTTATAAATAAACCCACAATGCAATACTATTTGGCACCCATCAGAATGTCTAAAACTAAAAAAAGGCCAGGCACAGTGGCTCATACCTGTAATCCCAGTACTTTGGGAGGCCAAGGTGGGTGGATTGCTTGAGCTCAGGAGTTCCAGATTAGCCTAGGCAACAGGGCAAAACCCCGTCTCTACAAAAAAATTCGCCAGGAGTGGTGCTGCATGCCTGTGGTTCTAGCTACTTGAGAGGCTGAGGTGGGAGGATCGCTTGAGCCTGGGAGGTTGAGGTTGCAGTGAGCACAGATCGTGCCACAGCACTCCAGCCTGGGTGACAGAGTGAGACCCTGTCTCAAAAAAAAAAAAAAAGAAAGAAAAAAAGAAAAGAAAAGAAAAAGAAAGACAACACCAAGTGTTGGGGAGGATATGGAGCAACTGGAACACTTCATACACTACTGGTGGAAGAGTTGTTGACTTTTTGGAAGAGTCTCTGAAACTTTGGAAGACTGTACAGCAGTTTCTCCCTATGACCCAGCAATTCCACTCCTACATATATACAGTTGAGCTTCATGATTCGAAAATTCCAGATTGGCAAATTTGCCTACTTGTTGCAATTTGTTTATACTCTAAGATCAATACTCGCTGGGGCATTTGTGGTCATTTGTGGACATGCACAGTGATAATTTTTTTTTTCTTGCTTAGAAACAGGGTGGAGTAGCTGGGCACGGTGGCTCATGCCTGTAATCCCAGCACTTTGGGATGCCAAGGTGGGCAGATCACTTGAGGTCAGGAGTTCAATACCAGCCTGGCCAACATGGTGAAATCCTGTCTCTACTAAAAATACAAAAATTAGCCAGGTATGGTGGGTGCACACCTGTAATCCCAGATGCTTGGGAAGCTGATGCACAAGAATTGCTTGAACCTGGGAGGCAGAGGTTGTAGTGAGACAAGATCATCGCCACTGCACTCCAGCCTAGGCAACAAAGTGAGACTGTCTCAGGAAAAAAAAAAAAAGAAAGAAAAGAAAGAAAGAAAGAAGGAAAGAAAGGAAAGAAGGAAAGAGAGAGAGAGAGAAGGAAAGAAAAGGAAAGGAAAGGAAAAGAAAAGAAAGAAAAAAGAAAAGAAAAGAAAGAAAAAAGAAAAGAAAAGAGTGCAGTGGTGGGATTGCCTTTACCTCCTGGGCTCAAGCGATCCTCCCAAGTAGCTGGGACTTCAGGCATGCAGCACCACACTTAGCTAATTAAACAAATTTTTTTTGTAGAGCTGGGCGTGGTGCCTCACGCCTGTAATCCCAGCACTTTGGGAGGCTAAGGCAGGTGGATTACCTGAGGTCAGGAGTTCGAGACCAACCTGGCCAACATGTCGAAACCCCATCTCTACTAAAAATACAAAAATTAGCCGGGCTTGGTGGTGTGTGCCTGTAATCCCAGCTACTCGGGAGGCTGAGGCTCAAGAATCACTTGAACCCACGAGGTGGAGGTTGCAGTGAGCCGAGGTCGTACCACTGCATTTCAGCCTGGGCAACAGAGCAATAACCTCGTCTCTACAAAAAAAAAAAAAAAAAAAAAAAAAGCCCGGGCGCAGTGGCTCACACCTGTAATCCCAGCACTTTGGGAGGCCAAGGCAGGCAGATCACGAGGTCAGGAGATCGAGACCATCCTAACACGGTGAAACCCCGTCTCTACAAAAATACAAAAAAATTACCTGGGCGTGGTGGCGGGCGCCTGTAGTCCCAGCTATTCGGGAAGCTGAGGTAGGAGAATGGCGTGAACCCGGGAGGCGGAGCTTGCAGTGAGCCAAGATCACACCACTGCACTCCAGCCTGGGCGACAGAGCGAGACTCTGTCTCCAAAAAAAAAAAAAAAAAAAAAAAAAAATTGTTTTTGAAATGGAGGTCTCGCTCTGTCGCCCAGGCTGGTCTCGAACTCCTGGGCTGAAGCCATCCTTCCGCCTTGGCCACCCAAAGCACTGGGATTATGGGCGTGAGCCATTGCTCCCGGCCTGACAACATACTCAGTCACCCAACCCTGTTGAGGTCTAATAAGGAGACACTCTGCTTTCTTCCTCCAGCTCTGATACTACATGCAAGTGTCTTTTTTATGGTCCATTTAGTGCCAAGCTTTTCATATTTTTGTGCTGTTTGTTGGTGACTCTGCTATCTTCAGTGGCCCCCACGCACCGTGCTGAAGTGTAGTCTAGTGTTTCTAAGTCAAGAAGGCCGTGACGTGTGTCACGGAGAAAAGACGTGTTACAGAAGCTTCATTCAGGCATCAGATCTAGTGCTATTGGCCGGGAGTTCAATGTTAATGAATCAAAAAATAAATATATATGTGATATATATATATATATGCGTGTATATATATAGATATGATTGATATATATATATGATATTCTAAAACAGAAACACACATAAAACAAAGTTATGGCTGGGCGCCGTGGCTCATGCCTGTAATCCCAGCACTTTGGGAGGCTGAGGCAGGCAGATCGTTTGAGCCCAGGAGTTGGAGACCAGCCTGGGCAACATGGTGAAATCCTAGCTCTACAAAAAATTAGCCAGGCCTGGCGGTGCATAGTCCCAGCTACTCAGCGTGTTGGGAGGCTGAGGTGGGAGAATGGCTTGAGTCCGGAAGGCGGAGGCTGCAGTGAGCCTAGATCACACCACCGCACTCTAGCCTGGGGGACAGAGTGAGACCCTGTCTAAACAAAACAAAACAAAAAAAGTTATATATTATTCAGTTGACAAAAACGTTGTGGTCAGAGGCTTTTGACAAAAATAGCAAGTGTTGGTGAGGATGTGGAAAAATAGGAACCCTTTGTGGGAATGTAAAATAGCGCAGTCGCCGTAGAAAACATTATCGTAGTTCTTCAAAAACTTAAAACATAGTTACCATATGACCCAGCAATACTTTTTCTTTTTTGAGACAGGATCTTACCCTGTCACCCAGGCAATGGTACAATCATGGCGCACTGCAGCCTTGACCTCCTGGGCTCAAGTAATCCTCCCACCTCAGCCTCCCAAGTAGCTGGGACCACAGGCACAGCTAATTTTTGTATTTGTTGTAGAGACACGGTTTCACCATGTTGCTGAGGTTGGTCTCAAACTCCTGGGCTCAAGCAATCCACCCACCTCAGCCTCCCAATTGCTGGGATTACAGGTGTGAGCCACCGCGCCTGGCCCAGCAATGCCACTTCTGAATACGTACACAAAAGAATTGAACTCAGTGTCTCAAAAAGATATTGGTACACCCGTGATCATAGCAGTATTATTCAAAAAAGCCCAAAGGTGAAAACAACCAGGCCGGGCGCGGTGGCTCACACCTGTAATCCTAGCACTTTGGAAGGCTGAGGTGAGAGGATTGCTTCAGGCCAGGAGTTGAAGACCAGCTTGAGCAAGATGACAAGACCCCATCTCTACAGAAAAAATTTAAGAATTAGCCAGCCGTGGTGGCATGCACCTGTAGTCCCAGCTACTTGGGAGGCTGAGGTGGAAGGATCCCTGGAGCCCAGGAGATAGAGGTTGCAGCGAGCTGTGATGGTGCCACTGCACTCCAGCCTGAGTGATGGAGAGAGACCTCCTCTGTAACATTAAGACTTTTTTTTAAAAAAAAGCTGAAAACAACCCAGTGTCTATTTATTGATGAATGAATGGATAAACAAAATGTGGTATATCCATACATGGAATATGATTCAGCCTTTAAAAGGATGGAAATTCTAGGCCAGGCATGGTGGCTCACGCCTGTAATTCCAGCACTTTGGAAGGCTGAGGCGGGCGGATCACGAGGTCGGGAGATCGAGACCATCCTGGCTAACATGGTGAAACCCCATCTCTACTAAAAATACAAAAAATTAGCCGGGCGTGGTGGCGGCCGCCTGTAGTCCCAGCTATTCCGGAGGCTGAGATGGGAGAATCGCTTGAATCTGGGAGGCGGAGCTTGCAGTGAGCTGAGATCGCGCCACTGCACTCCAGCCTGGGACAGAGAGCGAGACTCCATCTCAAAAATAAATAAATAAATAAATAAATGACTAAAGTGATAAATTTTATATTATGTGTATTTTACCACAATTAAAAATTTTTAAAGTCTTCCATTTAAACATGCACAACCTCTTCTATGAGTCACTATTACCAGCTCACTAAATTCTAGGCCAAGTGCAGTGGCTCACGCCTGTAATCCCAGCAGTTTGGGAGGCTGAGGCAGGAAGATCTTATGAGCCCAGGAGTTCAAGACCGGCCTGGACAATATAGTGAGACCCTGTCACTACAAAAAATAAACAAAAAAAATTATGTGGGCATGGTGGCACACGCCTGTGGTCCCAGTGACTCAGGTGGCTGAGGTGGGAGGATTGCCTGAGCACAGGAGTTTGAGGCTGCAGTGAGCTGTGATCGCGTCACTGCACTCCAGCCTGGGCAACAGAGCAAGACTCTATCTCTAAAAATAAATAAATAAGGTCCAGCACGGTGGCTGACGCCTGTAATCCCAGCACTTTAGGAGGCCGAGGCAGGCAGATCACGAGGTCAGGAGTTTGAGACCAGCCTGGCCAACATGGTGAAATCCTGTCTCTACTAAAAATACAAAAATTAGCCAGGCGTGGTAGCACGCGCCTGTTAACCCAGTTCCTTGGGAGGCTGAGGTAGGAGAATTGCTTGAACCTGGGAGGGGAGGGTTGCAGTGAGCTGAGATCGCACCACTGCACTCCAGCCTGGGCGACAGAGCGAGGCTCTGTCTCGAAAAAAATATAAATAAATAAATGAATAAATAAATTCTAAAATCCTTAACCCAGCTTTCGAAGCCTTTACAGTCAGATCACAACCTTTTCAAGCTCACTTCCCTTCTCCTATCTGCACCCACCATAGGCATCAACCACACACTTACCCTAGTTCCCATTTCCAGAAACTTCCCCTCTTTTAAACATGGTTAGAATCATGTAAAATAAGGGTAAACCCACCAGGTCTTGTCAGCATGACCAATGACTTTCTTCTGTGTCCACCCTCCAGTCTTCACTCGCTCATCCTTCAAGGCCCATCTCAAATGCCACCTCCCCCAGGAAGCCCACTTGACTCTTGACATCTGGCACTTTGTACCATGTGTCGGCTGCATCTGTCTCCCAAATTTGGCAACTGACAGCCATTCAGAGCGGACTGTGTCACGTCCCTCCTGAGTGAGTGAGTGCCTCTATCAGTGTCTTTCTCATAGAAATTACTAGAGAAATTAGGAACAGAAACAATGTGGGCCGGGTGCAGTGACTCATGCCTGTAATCCCAGCACCTTGGGAGGCTGAGGCGGATCACTTGAGGTCAGGAGTTCGAGACCAGCCTGAACAATATTGTGAAACCCTGTCTCTACTAAAAATACAAAAATTAGCTGGGCCCTGTGGCTCATGCCTGTAATCCCAGCACCTTGGGAGGCTGAGGCAAGAGGATCACTTAAGGCCAAGAGTTCAAGACCAGCCTGGGCAACATAGTGAGACCCCCATCTCTACCAAAAAAAAGAAAAAGAAAGAGAAAAATTAGCTGGATGTAGTGGTACACACCTGTAGTCCTAACTATTTGAGAGGCTAAGGTAGGAGGATCACTTGGGCCAAGGAGGTTGAGGCTACAGTGGGCTGTGGTCACACCACTCCACTCTAGCCTGGTCAACAGAGCAAGACCCTGCGTCTTAAAAAAAAAAAAACAAAATAAAATTTAAAAAGAACCCGGCTCACCATGTGCTCATCATGTATTCTTCCTGGGATTCACCAGGACTCTCTTAGAGCCTAAAAAGTGAGAAGCTATTTGCCATTTCATTTGATGGCTGAACTGGCTTTGCCTTTTTGTTTCTTTCTTCTTGTGCAATGACACCTGTCTTCTCATCTATTAAGCAAGGCTAGTTACTAGCTGCCCAGGATTGTTGGAACTATGTGTAAAGTAAGAGTAAACTGGGACCGAGAGTCTACTGGGTCCCCAGGAGCAACAAGAACAACCTTTTCCAGGCTGGATGCAGTGGCTCATGCCTGTAATCCCAGCACTGAGGGAGGCCAAGGTGGGTGGATCACTTGAGGCCAGGAGTTCAAGACCAGCCTGGGCAACATGGCAAAACCCCGTCTCTATTAAAAATACAAAAACTAGCCAGGCATGGTGGTGCACGCCTGTAGTCCCAGCTACTTGGGTGGCTGAGGCATGAGAATTGCTTGAACCCAGGAGGCAGAGGTTGCAGTGAGATGAGATCGTGCCACTGCACTCCAGACTGGGCGACAGAGTGAGACTCTGTCTAAAAAAAAAAAAAAGAGAGAAAGAGAATAAGCTTTTGTATACAGTCTTCATGGAATCTACTCTCCCTACTCTCTGCTCTTTCCTGGTGACTTCTTGGTTTGTGGCTGCACTCTGGATGGATGAAGTTGCAAGACACACTGAGGTGGTGTGCACCTGTAATCCCAACTACTTGGGAGGCTGAGGCAGGAGAATTGCTTAAGCCCAGGAGTTCGAGGCCTGCCTGGGCACCATGGCAAGACCCCATCTCAAAAAGAAAAAAAGAGATAGAATGGGCTTCCACCTTGGCAGGGAGGACATGTCAATGTTCTCAGACAAGAGTTCCCTAGATATGGGAATAAAATGTTCCTGTCATGACAAGTTTTTTCCCAACACAGCCAGACTCAACTCCTCCAGAAGTTAAATCTACTCCACCCCTTGAAAGCACAAACTACCACCCAGTGCTTGTTGCATAGTACAACGCTTGAGATACAGAAGGCTCTCAATGAATGCTCTCTAAATGAATACATGGGCCGGGCGCGGTGGCTCACACCTGTAATCCCAGCACTTTGGGAGGCTGAGGCGGGTGGATCACCTGAGGTCAGGAGTTTGAGACCAGCCTGAACAACAATATAGAGAAACCCTGTCTCTACTAAAAATGTAAACATTAGGTGGGTGTGGTGGTGTGTGCCTGTAGTCCCAGCTACTTGGGAGGCTGAGGCGGGAGAAGAGCTTGAACTCGGGAGGTGGAGGTTGCAGTGAGCCGAGATTGCACCACTTCACGCCAGCCTGGGCGACAGAGTGAGACCCCGTCTCAAAATAAAATAAAATAAAATAAAATAAAATAAATGAATACATGCATGTAGGAACAAATGAAAACAGCACATTACTGTCTCTCAGGCACTAACACTGAATCCTGGGGCTACAAAGTCATTGCCCACACCAGCCACTGGGCTCATCAGAAACCCACACATACCAGGCCAGGCGTGGTGGCTCACGCCTGTAATCCCAGCATTTTGGGAGGCTGAGGCAGGCAGATCACCTGAGGTCAGGAGTTCGAGACCAACCTGACCAACATGGAGAACCCTCGTCTCTACTAAAAATACAAAATTAGCTGGATGTGGTGGTGCATGCCCGTAATCCCAGCTACTCGGGAGGTTGAGGCAGGAGAATCACTTGAACCCAGGAGGCAGAGGTTGCGGTGAGCCGAGATCGCGCCACTGACCTCCAGCCTGGGCAACAAGAGCGAAACTCCATCTCAAAAAAAAAAAGAAAGAAAGAAAGAAATCCACACATACCATATGGTTGGCCTACATGGATACAGTCACTGGTGTGATGATGATACAAGCATGTCCCTGTGCTCATGGTCCCTGAACATGCACACAGTCACCAAACATACACATACACGCATGACACCACAGACACATGCCTATGGGGCCAAAGTTAGAGTGAGGCAAGTTATGCAAGTGCAGAGGGGGAGCCCATATTTATTTAAAAATTTGTTTTTATTCATTATAGATTTTTCTTGCATCAATTTAGATTTTTCTTAAAATGTTCCATTAAAATATTATTTATCTTGGTTACTGGTTTTTATTTTTTTGGGGGGCATACCCTTAAATTTTGTACTATAGCTGAACTCTGTACCATGTACCTGTCACCCTAGCTACTCAGGAGGCTGAGGCAGAAGAATCACTTGAGCCCAGGAGTTGGAGGCTTCAGTGAGCTATGACTGCACCACTGCACTCCAGCATGGGTGACAGAACAAGACCCCGTCTTAGAAATAGGCCCGGCACCGTGGCTCACGCCTGTAATCCCAGCACTTTGGGAGGCCAAGGCGGGCAGATCATCTGAGGTCTGGAGTTCGAGACCAGAGTGGGCAACGTGGTGAAACCCTGTCTCTATTAAAAATACAAAAAAAAAAAAATTTAGCCGGCTGTGGTGCTGTGCGCCTATAATCCCAGCTACTCGAGAGGCTGAGCAGGAGAATCGCTTGAACCCGGGAGGCAGAGATTGCAGTGAGCCGAAATCGCACCACTGCACTCCAGTGTGGACGACACAGCAAGACTCTGTTTCAAATATCATCATCATCATCATCATCAACTTTTTAAAATGTTTGCACCCGCGGCGAGTATCTCACCTGTTTTACCCTGACCTGGGCACCCCCATCCCACATACGCACGCGCCCACGCACAGGTGCACAACCACACACATTCACCCACCAGTCACACAGACGCACACAGTCCCTGCACAAACCTCACTCGACCACTAGATGTCGCTCAAGCTCCATAATCTTAAATCCAGCCCCAAGGGGCTCTTTCCTACACTAACTCGGAGTCTTTAAATTTCCTTTTACTTCCCTCCACTGGGACATTTACATGCTCTAAAGGAGCCCCAGGAGAACATCGTCTTACCCCTAAACAACAGTGCCCTATCGGTGGAATGTCAGGCACAGGTAAAGAAGATGGGTTTTCTTTCTTTCTTTTTTGTGGAGACAGGGTCTCAGTCTGTCGCCCAAGCTGGAGTGCAGTAGTGCAATGATAGCTCACTGCAGCCTCAAACTCCTGGGCTCAAGTGATCTTCACACCTCAGCCTCCTGAGTAGAACTACAAGCCTGGCCAATTTTTTTTAAAGTTACTGCAGAGGCCGGGCACGGTGGCTCACGCCTGTAATCCCAGCAGTTTAGGAGGCCGAGGCAGACAAATCAAGATGTCAGGAGTTCGAGACCAGCCTGGCCAAAATGGTGAAACCCCATCTCTACTAAAAATACAAAAATTAGCTGGGTGTGGTGGCACGCCCCTGTAGTCCCAGCTACTCGGGAGGCTGAGGCACTAGAATCTCTTGAGCCCGGGAGGCAGAGGTTGCAGTGAGCTGAGATCATCACAATACTGTACTGTACTCCAGCATGGGTGACAGAACAAGACTCCATCTCAAAAATAAAAAAAAAAAAAGAAATAAAAAGAAAAAGTTATTGTAGAGATGGGATCTTGCTGTATTGCCCAGGCTGGTCTCAAATTCCTGGCCTCAAGAGACCCTCTGGCTTTGGTCTCCCAAAATGCTGGGATCATAGGTATCAGCCATCACACCTGGCCTGAAGAATGGATTTTCTTGGTGCCTTCCATCCAGGAGCGAGTGTTCCCCTGACACTCTCTTGATAAAAGAATCCTGTGGTTTGAGAAAGAAAGACACTCTGTGTGTGTGAGGGGGTCCATCCATCCATCCATTCATCCATTCAGCAGATATTTCTTGAGCACCTACTGTGTGTCAGGCTCTGCTCTAGACACTGGAGAAACAACAAAGCTAGCTGAACCCTGATAAACTGCCGCTCTAGTGGGGAAACAGAGAATGAATGAATAGAAGAATCATAGAAATGTGGAAACGAGGGCTATAAAGAAAAATATGGCCGGGCGTGGTGGCTCATGCCTATAATCCCAGCACTTTGGGCGGCAGATCACCTGAGGTCAGGAGTTCAAGACCAGCCTGGCCAACATGGTGAAACCCTGTCTCTACTAAAAATACAACAAAAACTAGCTGGGCATCAGGTGGCACGTGCCTGTAGTCCCAGCTACTCGGGAGGCTGAGGCACGAGAATCACTTGAACCGGTGAGGCAAAGCTTGCAGTGAGCCGAGATTGCGCCACTGCACTCCAGCCCAGGCAACAGAGTGAGACTCAGTCTCAAAAAAAAAAAAAAAAAGAAAGAAAGAGAGAGAAAGAAAAAGAACACGGAGTAAGCACTCAGAGAGTGGCAGCAGGGGGCTATTTCACTTAGCTGTTCAGGGTGAGCCTCTTGGAGGAGGTGACATTTAAGCAGAAATCAGAGATAAATAGCTACCAGGGGGAACAGTGTCACAGGCAGAGGGAACAGCAAGTGTGAAGTCCCTGAGGCACGTGATCTAAACTGAATTATTCCTTCTCCCCATCCTCTGAAAGCCCCAGGAAAGAGTTGGTCCCAAACCCAGATAGTGCCAACGATGTAGCTAGATCTTAGGGAGGCCTTCGCAGGGATCAGGAAGGCATCTTTTCCACAAGGAAAATAGTGGGGCTCAGAACTGTCAAGCTCTCTGGTAGTCACTCCCAGGCCAGAACCCAGAACATCTTGGATAGATCCTGGATGAATGGACAATGCCTCTGACAGGCCCTGCTTTCCTGTTCTCCTGCTCTCTGGGTCAAATCCAAACTTCTGCCCACAGCTTACAAGTTCCTAAGTGGTCTGGCTTCCCCGGCCTCATCTCCCCGCGACCTCTCCAGCCACACCAGCGTCCACACTGCTTCTGAAACTCACCAAGCTTGTTCTTACCCCAGGGCCTTTGCACCTTCTGTTCCTCCCACCTTCAATGCTCTTCCCCCAGACACCCACAAGGCTCCCTCTCTCACCTCCTTCAGATGTCACCTGAAACACTACTTCCTTAGAGACACCTTCCCTGACCACACTGGCTCAAATAGCCCCCACCTTGTAATCTTTTTCTGTTTTTTTGCTTTGAGACAGTCTTGTTCTGTTGCCTAGGCTGGAGTGCAGTGGCATGACCTTGGCTCACTGGAACCTCTGCCTCCCAGGTTCAAGCAATTCGCCTGCCTCAGCCTCCTGAATAGCTGGGACTACAGGTGTGCAACACCACACCTGGCTAATTTTTTGCATTTTTAGTAGAGACGGGGTTTCACCATGTTGGCCGGGCTGGTCTCAAACTCCTGACCTCAAGTGATCCACTCACCCTGGCCTCCCAAAGTGCTGGGATTACAGGCGTGAGCCTCCATGCCCGACTGCTATCACTCTAATCTTTTTTTTTTTTTTTTTTTTTTGAGACAGAGTTTCACTCTTGTTGTCCAGGCTGGAGTGCAATGGCGATCGCAGCTCACCGCAACCTCTGCCTCCCAGGTTCAAGCAATTCTCCTGCCTCAGCCTCCCTAGTAGCTGGGATTACAGGCGCCTGCCACCACACCCAGCTAATTTTTTGTATTTTTAGTAGAGACAGGGTTTCACTATGTTGGCCAGGCTGGTCTCGAACTCCTGACCTCAGGCGATCCACTTGCCTCAACTTCCCAAAATGCTGGGATTACAGGCGTGAGCCACAGCACCCGGCTCCAGTCTAATCTTCTATACTTTATCTGTTATTCTTCATGCTACTTGCATTGTATTATATGTATATTTAGTTGCCGACACCGTATTACATGGTTATTCGGCTCTTTTCTGTCTCCTCTGCTAGGTCAACTCCAGGAGAGCAGGGATTTGATGACTCAGTTGGTGGCTGTATCCCCAGTGCATAATCATATCTGTTCATTGAATGGATTAACCAATGATTTCTAGGAAGGACCCCTGGGCCCATCAGGGACAGGGAAGAAGTCTTTGGAAAGTGATGGAGGGAGCGAAGAGTGGGTAGAGCATCCTCTCTGCAGACCCCTCCCTTCCCTGGGGTGCCAGGCTTGGTGGGCCAACGCCAAGGGGGTGTATGGGGCGCCGAGACTGTTTCACAACCATGTAGTTCCCGCGGTGGCCGCCTGGAGGCACTGCAGCCCGCGGCAGGATTCCACCAGCCCCGCCCTAACGGATTACCTCATTTGGCCACGCCCCCGTTGTCCTTTAGCCCCGCCTCCACTGACCTCGTTAGTCCCGCCCCCAAAGCAACTCCCTCCCAGCCCTGGGGGCTGTAGGAGTCACCCTCCAATTGCAATTCTGGCAGCAAACTCTGGCATCCTAGCCAATCTTGGTGAGAAGCCAGAAAATCTAGTGCCCCCCTAGCAGGGAGTGGAGGAGAAGCCACAGGGGGTGGTTCTCTGTCTCCTCTGCTAGGTCAAGGATAATTCAACTTGATTCCTGGCTCATTTTTTTTCCACTGGTTTCTCAAGTGTGTGCCTCTTTTGGTCTCTCGTCTCCCAGGTGTGTCTCTTGGCTTCTCTCAGGCTCACACATCCATTGAGTACCTATTGTGTGTGTCCTCATGCCTGGGGCTGGGCACACTCCCTATCCCACCCAGCGCGTGGGTGCTGAGATGCGTGGGGAAATGGAGGAGCGAGGGAGGGGACCCCACAATCTCTCCTCGTGGCCTGGAAATCCTTCTATCTGGAGTCTAACCTCCATTCCTCCCAACACCCCCCTCGGGGTGAGCACAAGGGTCTGATTCTTTTCTTGATAAGGGGAAGGTGCCCAAATTGTTTCTCCCCTGCCTATCTACCTAAAAGCCCACCTAGCAATGTCTTCACGGACGCTGTCCACACCCATGGAGCGGATTATTTAACAAGAGGGTAATCGTGTGGGCTCAGGAGCCGGACTGCCTCGGTTCAGTCCCACCTCTGTCACTCTCGAGCTTGAGCAAGTGATTTAACTTTTCTGCGCCTCAGTTTCCCCATCCATAAAATGAGGTAACAATACCATGCTCTAGTAGGGAGGAGGCAGAGGGGGTTAAATGCCTTAGTCTGTGCTGTGTGATTGAAACAGCACCTCTCAAATTAGCACGTAATGAATGATCACTGTTATCATAATGACTATTTTATTATTTTTGATCCCAGCTTCCCTGTGAACTCCTACAGATCTGAGAACTTGGGGGTGCTCTCACTCCCAAGATGGAGGAGGAGAGGGGCTTTCCAATAGCAAAAGAGAGCGTGGACGCCCCACATTTTGCAAGCCTCCCTGAGCCTGCCCAAGAGAAAGGTGCCATGGGGAGGGAGACCCGCTTCTGTAAGGGTATGAATGGCGTGTGCGGTTGTGAGCAAGGCACCAAGATACACACACACACGTGCATGGATGGACACGTTTGCACACACAGCGCTTGCACACACACACACCCTTTTAGAGTGATTTACCCAAAGGTACAGAATAGCACACGCTCACTCCAAGGCTCTCACACGGCCACACACCTGGCCACACACGTATTGTACAACACCCAGTCATCTGGAGCCAGTAATGAGGACACGGTCACACACAGACTCTGTCTCACGTACTGATCACACCCCAACTCGGGCACTAGTTGGACAAGCCCCCCAACCGCCACACACACAAACTCCCCCCGGTCACACCCAACCACGACACAAAGACACACACGTTTACCCTGCACCCCCACAGCATTTCACACGCGTCCCCGTCAGTCACTCTCACGTGAGTCCCGTCCCCTGCCCCACACTGGGGGCTGCAGGCGAGGAGTGGAGGGCTTCAGAAACTGGGCATCTCGGCCCCGAAGAGGAAGTCAAGGGTAAGCAACCGCCCCCCTCCAATGCCCCCTGAAGTTTCCCTCCCAACCCCATTCAGCTCCAGCGAGATGGCGGGGTGGGGGCTCGGGGCCATGGAGGGGTTGAGAACCCCAAAGACGCCACCCCCCAAACCAGCCCAGCTTGAGGCTGGATTTGAAGCCCCCCTCGTCCTCTCCCAAGCCAGAGAGTGCACGTCCCGGCCCCTCCCCCGCTGCGACCCCCGCCCCTCGCCGCCCTGCAGCTGGGGGGGCTTGTGGAGCCTCCCAACCCCGTTTCTCCGGGAACCCTCCGCGCCCCCCTCCTCTCCCGGAGCCACCCGCGCCCGCACCTGCCCGCCGGGCCCCTACCTGTCCGGCCAGGCCTGAGCACAGCAGCAGCAGCAGCGGCGGCGGGACCGTGAGCGGCCACATGACGCGCCCCTAGCCCGGCGTCCCGACCCCCGCCCGCCCTAGCGGCGCCTCGGCGCGGGGACCGCCACCAGGCGCGACCCCGCCCGCCCGGCCGGGGCGACCCTGCGCCGCCGCCTCCCCCGCCTCGCCGGCGGCCGGGATTCCGCCCCACCCCCGCCCCCTCGCTCGCTCCGAGTCTTTGTTGCGGGCTCCGCCCCCCGCCCCGCCCCCAGCTCCTCTTCGGGAGCAGCTCGAGCAGGGTCGGGTGGGGGGGTGGGGGCGGGGAAGTGGGGGAGCCAGCGCCGGCGAGGGGACCTGAGGACAGGACTTGGCAGCGCCCCCCAACCCCCAGGCCATTCCGGGAGCGGGTCGCGGAGGTGGGGGAGGGGTGCCCGTCACGTGTTTGTAAATTTCACCCTCCGGGGGCATTTCCCACGTTGCAGGTGGGACGGGGACGAATGGTTGGGGGAGAGGAATAGGAGGAAGGCCTGGTAGCAGAGAGGGGAAATGATGAACGCCCCCTCCCTAAAAACTCAAGAGTCAACAGGGAAACTGAGGCAGAATCTGAAATTGGAAGTTGGAGGAGGGGTCAATGCCAGGACAAGAGGGGTGAGGCATAGATGGAGACGGGGAATAAGAGGAAAAAATTGAGGTTGGGGGGACAGGAGACCGAGAATCAGGCAAGAGGCCAATGGAAATGGCCACGTGGGTGGGCTTGGCCTCAAAAAGGGGCGTCTCGTTTTCACTCTCCCCGGGCGCCCCATTTCCCCACCAGTCCTCCCGCTGGAAGCCTCCCCGCCTCCGCCACACCTGGAAGAGTTTCTCTTCGCTCCCTGTTTCAATAGCCCAAGATGAAAGACCACATCCCCCGAGAGAATCAAAATATTAACACCGCCTCCACGCGAAGCCATTTGCATATGAAGGGCGTCCTTGTCTAGCCTCACTTTCGGGAGGCTTTCCAGCCTTTCTCTGCCTCTCACTCCTCCAAAAGTCTCCCTAGGCCGGGCGCGGTGGCTCACGCCTGTAATTCCAGCAATTTGGGAGGCTGAGGAGGGTGGATCATCTGAGGTCAGGAGTTCAAGACCAGCCTGGCCAACATGGCAAAACCCCACCTCTACTAAAACATACAAAAATTAGCCGGGCGTGGTGGTGCATGCCTGGAATCCCAGCTACTCGGGAGGCTGAGACAGGAGAATCGCTTGAACCCGGGAGGCAGAGGTTGCAGTGAGCAGAGATCGTGCCATTGCACTCCAGCCTGGGCAACAGGAGCAAACCTTGTCTCAAAAAAAAAAAAAAAAAAAAAGTGTCCCTAGTCGTCTTTCCTCCCCACAGCCCCTCTAGGGATTCGGATATATGTAGGCAGAGGTGGAGGAGGGGGGCGGGCAAATAAGTCAGATTGGAAAGAAATCGGGCATAAAATATGCGAGGCCAGGAAGCCTGGCATTTTTGTGACCCTGATACTGTTGGGCTAGGAGGGGTCTCCCCAGACGCTGGTGGGGCCTCGACCCCAGCTGGTGTCCAGGCTCTTAACACCATCGCAAGAATGAATTCAAGGAGGAATCAGAAAATCATGAAAAGTTCGGAGATTTTTTTGTTAAGGGAAAAGTCCACACTTGAGAAAAGGGAGTGGGCGTACTTAAGAGAGAGAGATGGGCAAGGTGGTTTGGGACTGCTACCTTTATGTGTCTCTTTTTTTTTTTTTTTTTTTTTTTTTTTGAGACAAAGTCTCGCTCTGTCACCCAGGCTGGAGTGCAGTGGTGTGATCTCGGCTCACTGCAACCTCTGCCTCCCAGGTTCAAGCAATTCTCCTGCCTCAGCCTCCTGAGTAGCTGGGATTACAGGTGTGCGCCATCACAGCCGGCTAATTTTTTGTGTTTTTAGTAGAGACAGGGTTTCACCATATTGGCCAGCCTGGTCTCAAACTCCTGACCTCGTGATCCACCCGCCTTGGCCTCCCAAAGTGCTGAGATTACAGGCGTGAGCCACCACAACAGGCCACTGTGTATCTCTTTAACCAAGGGATGGAATATTCATGAAAACTGGAAAAAGGTGGACTGTGGTGCCACCCACTTTTACACCAAATTTGGGTGTCCCTGGAATTGTCAAGGGCGCTGGTGGGTGGGTAATTTTAGTATTTTAATGAGTACATAATGAGATCCTAGGTGAAACCTAGGTAGAATGTAACGCCATGTTGGGTCCAGTAGGTCTTAGCCAGCTTGGTCCACACCCTGGTTTTCAGGATCTTATCAGCCCATAGCCTCTAGTCATGTGAAACGGCTGCCTGTGACCACCCTGGATCATTCCTGTCTCAACCCTACTGGGGATAAAACATGTCGATGATGGTTTTGTCAGGTCAATGAGAAAGAGCTTGGTGACCCACAGATCTGGGTTCAACCCTGGTGCTGCCACTTCTTGGCCATGTGACCTTAGGGAAAAAGCTTTCCCCCTCTTAGAAGACCTGTTTTTTGCAGTTATTGGGAGACATCTGTGACTCTAAGCAAAGAGAGCACCTAGCTAGCACTCACTCCCCAGCACGCCTTGCAATAACCAACCATGCACTGGGTTGAGGACACTCATCATGGGATGTGGACACAAAATAGAGTCTGAGCCTGCGAAGACATCCTGTTTATTCTTCTATCTCTTTTTTTTTTTTTTTTTTTTGAGATGGAGTCTCACACTGTCACACCCAGGCTGGAGTGCAGTGGCTTGATCTCGGCTTACAACCTCTGCCTTCCGGGTTCAAGGAATTCTCCCGCCTCGGCCTTCCAAGTAGCTGGGATTGCAGGTGCCTGCCACCAGGCCTGTCTAATTTTTCATATTTTTAGTAGAGATGGGGTTTCACCATATTGGCCAGGCTGGTCATGAACTCTTGACCTCAGGTGATCCACCTGCCTCAGCCTCCCAAAGTGCTGGGATTACAGGCATGAGCCACCGCACCCATCCTATTCTTCTATCTCCTTTTCCCAAATGGGAGACAGTCCTTTGTGGGCCCTTCAGGCCAAGCCTGCAGTTGGCATTGCATAAAAGGAGGACATTGGTTGGTAGGACCCACAAGCTCTTGACCAAGAGTGGGTCTCACGGTCAAGAGTCAGCACTCTTGACTCATGAATGCTGCATTTCAGGACCATGAACAGTGTCCTCCTTGGGCTCTGGTCACTAAGACGATCACAGTTACAACTAAGCTACAGCCTGTGTTATATGGTTGGAATTTGGTCGATATGCACTTAGATCTATTCCCCACTTTCCCCCTGCTCCCCTCTGTATCAGGGCAATGGCTCCTGCAAATTATCTTTCTCAGGTTCTCTACACACTACATTTCCCAGGCTTCTTTGCATCTGGTTAGGCTCAGCCAATGGGAGGTCTACAGGCAGATTGGAGGGTGCCAAGAAAGGAGAAGCCAGAGAATTTCCCCCCCTCCACTTTGAGTGTCTCTAGCCATGGCTGCTGTGCCTCCTCTGTGGTCTCAGTCCCATTAGGTATTCCCCACCATGGTGGGGGGTGGGGGCAGGTGACTGGCCAGGTAACTGCAGCTCCTGGATTCAGGTAACTACCACCTCCCTTTGTTGTTTCAGTCCTTGCAAAGATGATAGCTAGCAACTAGAGTTGATTCACCTGCTCCAGTTTGCGCTTAAAACCAACCTAATAGGGCCAGGTGCGGTGGCTCATACCTGTAATCCCAGCACTTTGGGAGGCTGAAGTGGGTGGATCACCTGAGGTCAGGTGTTTGAGACCAGCCTGCCCAACAAGGCAAAATGCTGTCTCTACTAAAAATACAAAAAATTAGCCAGGCATGGTAGCAGGTGTCTGTAATGCCAGCTACTGAGGAGGCTGAGGCAGAAGAATCGCTTGAACCCAGGAGGTAGAGATTGCAGTGAGCTGAGATCATGCCATTGCACTCCAGCCTGGGCAACAATAGTGAAACTCTGTCTCAAAAAAGAAAAAAACAAAAACAAAACCTACCTATCGGCTGAGTGCCATGGCTAACACTTCTAATCCCAACACTTTGGGAGGCTGAGGCAGGTGGATTGTTTGAGCCAAGGAGTTCAAGACCAGCCTGGCCAACATCTCTGTAGAGATGCTGCATCTCTACCAAAAATACAAAAATGAGCCAGGCATGGTGGTGCACACCTGTAGTCTCAGCTACTCAGGAGGCTGAGGTGGGACGATCATCTGAGCCTGAGAAGGTCGAGACTGCAGTGAGCTATGATTACTCCACTGCACTCCAGCCTGGGCAACAGAGTGAGACCCTGTCTCAAAAAACCCCACAAAAGCAAACAAACAAACAAACCTACCTACCTAATACCTCAGTGTGTGGCTAATTAAAGTCCCCATATTAAATTCTTTCTATTGAATTTGCTGGGATGGGCTGTTTTTCTGACTGGACCTTAGTCAATGCATTCGATGCCGTTGGTCGTTGACTGGTATGGTTAGTGGCCCTCTGGGTGTCCTGATGGCATTGTGGTTTGTGTCCTGTTGAACCGGGATCTGTGCTGCCGTCAACATCCTGGTTCTGCCAGGGTCAGCATTGTGGTCAGAATTGTGGTCACTCCTGGTCATTCTTGGTTGTGTTGTGGTCAGTGTGGTGATTAGTACTACAGTCAGTTTCCTGGTTATGCTGTGCTCTGTCCTAGTGCTATGGTCCTTGTCCTGAGCTTGCTGTGGATAATGACCTGGCCAAGCTATGGTCAAAATTATGATTGAGTCATACTAAGGTCAAAGTCACACTCAGCATCCTAGTTGCACTGATATCAGCTTCAAGGTCAGCACTGTGGTTAATGTTAAGAAGAGTGCACTGTCTATGGTGCAGTGGTCAGAATTGTGGGCCATCATTGAAGAGACATCAGGATCCGCTTCTCAAGGATCTATTGTGGCAAAATGGATGAACTGGGGACTCAGGGTCTGGCACTGGGCACAGGTCATTCTCCATGACAGGAAGCAGGGAGGCAGGGCGTTGGATCTTGCCATCTGGCCATTGGGTTTTTCTAATTGGCACTTGGACAGCCAATTAGACAGGAACTTGGACAGCCATGGGTTCCTGTCACCCTCTCACAGCCCACATCTGTTTCCTCACACCCTGCACCACCCACTTCATAGAGAAAATGATCATGAAGTGAATGCCTGCCAACACATACCTTTGCTCTTGCTAATCCCTGAATATATTATTTAGAGGTCCTTTGGTAGAATTTAGCAGAAACTCAACTTGAACTGGATTAAGAAAAAAAATCTATTGGCTCATATAACTTAAACAAAAATGAGGGTAGTGGAATTCAGTCATGGCTGGATCCAGGGTTTCTGTTATATCATCAGGATTCTGTCTCTCTCCATTCCTCATCTCTCATTTCTCATCTCTCATTTCTCATTCCATGCTGTCTTTTGGGAAGGATTCACTTTTAGCCAAGAGATGACAAAGATGGTTTCCAGAAGCTTCTCTCTTCCAAGCTCAGCAGCATCAGCAAAAAGAGAGCTTGCAAAATAATGTCTCATTATGCATCCCAAGTTGTGTGCCCATCCTGAACCAATTATGTATTCAGAGGAATTCATTATTTGGCTTGGCTAGGTCTGGCTCATAGATCACCCCCACGGAGCCAGAGAGTGCAGTTAGCCTTATTCAACCTACATTGGATAGGAAGTGGGAGGTAGAGAAGGATATAGAATGTTGACCACTAAAAGAGAGAAAGGACACTGTACAAGCAAAACCAAAATATATGGTTTTGGGCAGGGGGTGGTTCTTGGCATCATTTCAACCCCCTAGTATGCATTCCTTATTATAGAGCCTGCAAAGCGAAAATACTTCCAGACTCCCTTGCAGCTAAACTTCTGTAGGCCAATTAGGTTTCATCCATTAGAAGCATGAGAAGTGGGTGGTGGAAGAAGGTGGAATTAATCTTCCTGTTATGCTGGTAGAGGCAGCTGCTAAGCACAATTGGGAGACACTGGATTTTCCTGCAGGAATGTTCCTGTTTCCAATTGTGAGAACAACCCGTTTTTGTTGAGAGTCCATTGCAGTAACAATGATGACTGCCTCCGTATCTCTGAATTGCAACTTTCCTGGTGTTTTCATTGTTTTGTTGTTCCTGTTGCTGTTGTTGTTGTTGTTGTTTTTGAGATAGAGTCTCGCTGTGTCACCCAGGCTGGAGTGAAGTGATGGGATCTTGGCTCACTGCAACCTCCACCTCCCAGACTCAAGCAATCCTTCCACCTCAGTCCATCCCAGTAAATGGGACTGCAGTTGCATGCCACCACACCTTGCTAATTTTCTGTATTTTCTGTAGAGATGGAGTCTCTCCATTTGCCTAGGCTTGTCTCAAACTCCTGGGCTCAAGGGATCCACCCGCATTGGCCTCCCAAAGTGCTAGGATTACAGGCGTGAGTCACCACGCCCAGCCATGCTGTTCCTTTTTATGGTTCAATAATATTCCATTGTGTGGATATCCCATATTTTGTTCATTAATTATGGTGATGTAGTCTTAAAGTCAAAAATCCCCACTCTAGGGGATAATTCTCCACCTCCCTGCTAATAATAGAGGCAGAAGCTCCTGCTTGGGTGAGTTGGGAGGTGATGGTTTTTGTTTTGTTTTTGTTTTTGTTTTGAGATGGAGCCTCGCTCTGTTGCCCAGGCTGGAGTGCAGTGGTACAATCTCAGCTCACTGCAACCTCCACCTCCTGGATTCAAGCAATTCTCCTGCTTCAGCCTCCAGAGTAACTGGGATTACAGGCACATGCCATCACGCCCAGCTAGTTTTTTGTATTTTTAGTAGAGACAGGGTTTCACTATGTTGGCCAGGCTGGTCTTGAACTCCTGACCTCAAGTGATGTGCCTTCCTTGGCCTCCCAAAGGGATAGGATTACAGGGGTGAGCCATTGCTCCCAGCCGGGAGGTGGTGTTTTGTAGCAAGTCATTCTATCGGCTTTCCCTAGATCCCTATTCTCCAGCCTTGGTTCTGTAAGCACCAAGTTCCCTGGTTTTGGTTCTCATTTCCTGCAACTAAACCGTGATTGATATGTGCTTGGAAGATTCATTCCCTTTATCTGTCTGAAGAGAACCTCATAATTCACGAAGCCCCAATACTCCAAGCTATTCATGACCTACCTACTCAGTACTCCCTCCTGGACCATGCTGGAAACATCTCTTTAACAGGAACCTTCCTGACTCACTGAGCTCCAGTGAAGCACCCACCACTGGGATACATCCTCTCCATACATTAATTCCTTGAGTTCTTACAACAACCCTGTAGGGTAGGCACTGTTATCCCCCATTTAAAAATGCAGGCCAGGTGCAGCAGCTCATACCTATAATCCCAGCACTTTGGGAGGCAGAGGACTGCAGATCACTTGAGCCCAGGAGTTTGAGACCAGCCTGGCAACATGGCAAAACCCCATCTCTACAACAAATACAAAAAGTAGCTAGGCATGGTGGCTTGCGCCTGTAGTACTAGCTACTTGGAAGGCTGAGGAGGGAAGATCGTTTGAGCCCAGGAGGTCGAGGCTGCAGTGAGCTGCAATTGCACCACTGCCCTCCAGCCTGGGTGACAGAGCGAGACCCTGTCTCTAATAAATAAATAAATGAAAACTTTGAGGCTCAGAGAGGTTAAGTAATTTGCCCGAGGTCACCCAGCTATAAAGGGCAGACACAGGATTCAGACTCAGTTCCATCTGACTCAAAGCCAACCTATTGACCGGGTGCAGTGGCTGGCACCTGTATTCCCAGCACTTTAGGAGACCAAGGTGGGAGGATCACTTGAGCCCAGGAGTTCTAGGCTGCAGTGACCTGTGATGGTGCCACTGTACTCCAGCCTGGGTGACAGAGTAAGACCTTGTCTCTTTTCTTTTTTTCAAAAAAAGAAAAAAAAAAAGGAAGTAGTTGGGGTCTCGCCCAGGTAATTCTTTTTTTTTTTGGGGGGGAGATGGAGTCTTGCTCAGTCGCCCAGGCTGGAGTGCAGTGGCGCGATCTCGGTTCACTGCAAGCTCTGCCTCCTGGGTTCACACCATTCTCCTGCCTCAGCCTCCCGAGTAGCTGGGACTACCGGCACCTGCCACCACGCCCAGCTAATTTTTTTGTATTTTTAGTAGAGACAGGGTTTCACCATGTTAGCCAGGATGGTCTCGATCTCCTGACCTCGTGATCCACCCACCTTGGCCTCCCAAAGTGCTGGGATTACAGGCATGAGCCACTATGCCCAACCTCACCCAGGTAATTCTTTTAATTAATGAGAGCCCATCTCTACTAAAAATAAAAAATTATCTGAGCATGGTGCCTTGTGCCTGTAGTCTCACCTACTCTGGAAGCTGAAGCAGGAGAATTGCTTGAGCCTGAGAGATTGAGGCTTCAGTGAGCTGATTGCACCACTGGACTCCAGCCTGGGCAACAGAGTGAGACCTTGTCTCAAAAAAGAAAGAAAGAAAGGGGCCAGGCACTGTGGTTCACAACTGCAATCCCAGCACTTTGGGAGGCCACGGTGGGTGGATTACTTGAGGTCAGAAGTTTGAGACTAGCCGGGCCAACATGATGAAACCCCGTCTCTACTAAAAATACAAAAATTAGCCTGGCATGGTGGCGCATGCCTGTAATCCCAGCTACTCGGGAGGCTGAGGCAGGAGAATTGCTTGAAACCGAGAGATGGAGGTTGCAGTAAGCTGAGATCACTGCACTCCAGCCTGGGTGACAGAATAAGACGAAAGAGAGAAAGAGAGAGGGAAAGAAAGAAAGAGAGAGAGAGAGAGAGAGAAAGAAAGAAAGAAAGAAAGAAAGAAAGAAAGAAAGAAAGAAAGAAAGAAAGAAGAAAGCAAGAAGGAAGGAAGGAAGGAAAGAAAGCAGCAGAAAAAGAGGAAGGAAGGGAGGAAGGAAAGAAGGAAGGAAGGAAGGGAGGGAGGGAGGGAAGGAAGGAAGGAAGGAAGGAAGGAAAGAGAGAGAGAGAAAGAAAATAGACACACACACAACTCCACAAAACCCACAATTCAGACACACAGCTCACACACAGGTCTCCAGCATAGACATATTTATACATCCGTTTACTCAAACACTCACAATACAATCACATAAAACAGGCAGACAGTTCACATGCCAACACACTCTTGCACAGACACGCAAACAGAAGCATGGAATTTGTACAGAGCACGCTCACAGTGTCTGATCCATAACTCAGACACGGAGTCACGCCCACAAAGGCACAGTAGAGGCAGAGTTCACACACAAACAGACCCGCGGGGACCCACGACACAGCCCTCTGACACGAGGACGCCAGGCCAGGGCAGCGTGGGAATGAGGCTGCAAGGAGGGAGTGAGGTGGAGAGGATGACTCAGGAGGCCTCTCTGGGGGAGGAGGAGGGAAGGGGGAGGAGGGCAGGCATCCAGCGCATGTGGTTCCTATTAGGGGCCTGGGAATTGAGGCATGAGCTGGCGGGACAAGGAGACCCAGGAACGCTTCCCAGCCTTACCAAAGCAGGAAGGAGCAGGGCCCTGATCTAAGGCCATGCGGCCGGAACTTGGCTCAGAACCACAGCCGTTCTAAGGCAGAGTGGTCTGCCCCAAGCCAGGCCCAGCAGGGGGCTCATTTCAACCCCTGCGATAGTCCTGGAGAAGATTTCTTTTTATTTTTTCTTCTTTCTTTCTTTCTTTTTTTTTTTTTTCTGAGACAGAGTTTCGCTCTTGTTGCCCAGGCTGCAGTGCAATGGCGCGATCTCAGCTCACTGGAACCTCCACCTCCCAGGTTCAAGCGATTCTCCTGCCTCAGCTACCCGAGTAGCTGGGATTACAGGCTCCTGCCACATGCCTGGCTAATTTTTGTATTTTTAGTAGAGACAGGGTTTCACCATGTTGGTCAGGCTGGTCTTCAACTCCTGACCTCAGGTGATACGCCTGCCTCGGCCTCCCAAAGTGCTGGAATTACAGGCATGAGCCACCAAGCTGGGCCCCTTTCTTTCTTTTTTTGAGACAGGGCCTCACTCTGTCACCCAGGCTGGAGTGTGGTAGCACAATCACAGCTCATTGTAGCCTCGACCTCCCCAGGCTCAGGTGATCCTCCTACCTCAGCCTCCCAGGTAGCTGGTACTACAGGTGCACACCGCCACCATGCCCAGCTAATTGTATTTTTTATAGAGATGGGGTTTCACCATGTTGCCCAGGCTGTTCTGGTCTTGAACTCCTGGGCTCAAGTGATCAACTCGCCTTGGTCTCCCAAAGGGTTGGGATTACAGGCATGAGCCACCCGGCCTGGACTTTTTTCTTTTTTTTTTTTTTTTGAGACAGGGTCTTGCTCTGTCGCCCAGGCTGGAGTACAGTGGTGCAATCATGGCTCACTGCAGCCTCGACATCCTGGCCTCAGGCAATCCTCCTTGGAGGGTTTCGTAGGGGAGGAAAGTGACATTCAGAAAGGTGAAGCAACTTGCCTGAGGTCACACAGCAAGGAGGTAGAGGAGCTAGGATTCAAGCCCTTGTCTCTGTGCAGCCTCCTCTCCCCACCTTGTAGTAGAGGCCAGGACCCCTCCATTTAAGCTACAAGCAGAGATCAAGAACTGACACCTGGACCAGGCTGCACTGGATTTGTGGCTCTGAAACAGCCAGCTCTGGCCAGGCGCGGTGGCTCTTGCAAGTAATCCCAGCACTTTGGGAGGCCAAGGCAGATGGATCACTTGAGGCCAGGAATTTGAGACCAGCCTGACCAATATGATGAAACCCTGTCTTTACTAAAAATACCAAAAATTAGTCAAGCGTGGTGGTGTGTGCCTGTAGTCCCAGCTACTGGGGAGACTGAGGCAGGAGAATCACTTGAATCCAGGAGGCGGAGGTTGGTGGGCCGAGATCACGCTACTGCACTCCAGCCTGGGGAGCAGAGTGAGGCTCTGTCTCAAAAAAAAAAAGAAAAAAAAAGGGAAAGAAAAAGCCAGCCCCATCCTCAAATAACTTAGAGTCAAGAGCGTGCTGTGTGCACATGTGGGCAAGGTTCTCTGGGCGTGTATGGGAGGCCCTGACGTAGCCTGGGTTGTTTGCCATGAGGGGCGGATGCTGGAGATGAAACCTGAAGGATGCAGAGGAGCTAGCAGGGCTCGGTGGGCAGCAAGAAGACCCTGGGGCTGCAAGGTTCAGAGAGTTAGGTCACCTGGTGAGGGACAGTGACAGGGGAAGCCCAAGATTCTAGGTCAGAGGACTTGGGCTTTATCTTAGGGTTAACAGGGAAGCCTCAGAAGAATGGTGAGAGGAAAGGGACAGGGTGAAGTCTGAGTGACCAGCACGAAGTCCACACCCAGGACAGCTGAACATGTGCCTCCCCCATAACCCAGAATTTCTATTCTTAGCAATCTATACACCCTAGAGACACTTATCTATGTGCACAAAAGACACACGCTGTGGCCGGGTGCAGTGGCTCATGCCTGCAATCCCAGCACTTTGGGAGGCCAAGGCGGGAGGATGGGTTGAGCCCAAGAGTTCCAGACCAGCCTGGGCAACAGGGCAAGACCTCCTCTCTATAAAATAATAATAATAATAATAATAATAATAATAATAATAATAATAAAACTACCTGGTCATGGTGATTTGCGCCTTCTATTTGGGAGGATGAGGTGGGAGAATCACTTGAGCCCAGGAGTTGAAGGCTGCAGTGAGCTATCATTGCACCGCTGCACCCCAGCCTGGGCAAGAGCAAGACCCTGTCTCTTAAAAAAAAAAAAGACACATGGCTGGGCCGGGTGCAGTGGCCCATGCCTGTAACCCCAGCACTTTGGGAGGCCAAGGTGGGTGGATCACAAGGTCAGGAGTTTGAGACCAGCCTGGCCAACATGGTGAAACCCCCGTCTCTACTAAAAATACAAAAATTAGCAGGGCGTGGTGGTGCGCACCTGTAGTCCTAGCTACTCAGGAGGCTGAGGCAGGAGAATCGCTTGAACCCGCAAGGCGGAGGTTGCAGTGAGCCGAGATCAGGCCACTGCATTCCAGCCTGGGTGACAGACGGACAATCTGTCCCAAAAAAAAAAAAAAAAGACACATGGCCAGGCACAGTGGCTCTTGCCTGTAATCCCAGCACTTTGGGAGGCCAAGGTGGGTGGATCACGAGGTCAGGAGATCGATACCATCCTGGCTAACACGGTGAAACCCCATCTCTACTAAAAATAGAAAAAATTAGCTGGGCATGGTGGCGGGCGCCTGTAGTCCCAGCTACTCAGGAGGCTGAGGCAAGAGAATGGCGTGAACCCGGGAGGCGGAGCTTGCAGTCAGCCGAGATAGCGCCACTGCACTCCAGCCTGGGTGAAAGAGCGAGACTCTGTCTAAAAAAAAAAAAAAAAAAAAAAAGACGCATGCCAGAATGTTTAAACAGAAACAAAATGGGAAAAACCTAAGAGTTCATGCATAGAATGAGTAACTATGCAGAGGTAAGGTCACACGTTACCACTGCACTTTAGCATGGGCAAGAGAACAATACCCTGTCTCAGAGAGAGAGGGAGAGAGAGAGAGAGAGAGAGAGAGAGAGAGAGAGAGATACTTGTATCTACAAGGACAGGCAAAACCTCCAGTTGAGCTAACAAAGCAAGTTGCAAAAGAACATGTTCAACCTTGAACCAGTTAGAGATCATTTAAAAATCTGCCAAATCATGTGTGTCATCCATGGATACAGCAGTCCATATGCAGTACATTTGGAAAAGCATTCTGGGAACAGCCATTCCCACACTCAGAGGGGTGGGATAATGGGGAAAGAGTGTTTCATGGGGACAGTAGTTCAGTCTGGGAAGATGAGAACATTCTGGAGATGAGTGGTGATGATGGTTGCACAGTAATGCGATCGTACTCAAGCCACTGGACTATACACTTGAAACTAGTTACAATGGAAAACGTTATGTTATATACATATATATATATATTTTTATTTATTTATTTATTTATTTATTTGAGACGTTGTCTGCCTTTGTCACCAGGCTGGAGTGTAGTGGCACCATCTCAGCTCACTACAACCTCCGCCTCCCGGGTTCAAGCAATTCTTCTGCCTCAGCCTCCTGAGTAGCTGGGACTACAGGTGCACACCACCACACCCACCTAATTTTTGTTTTTTTAGTAGAGACGGGGTTTCACCGTGTTGGCCAGGATGGTCTCAATCTCTTGACCTCATGATCTGTCCACCTCGGCCTCCCAACGTGTTGGGCATGAGCCACCGCGCCCAGCCCTATGTTATGCATATTTTACATACACATTTGGATACAGTTGGTGAGGGAAAGAAAGAGATGCAGTCGGATAAATGTATACAAGGGGCATCAATTATGTGCAAAGCGTTATTTCTCAGGTGGGTGTGTGAGTAGGTGAGAGTTCATGATAAGAGTTCTCTCTATTATTTTCTATTTATGTATTAATTAATTAACTTTTTTTTGAGACGGAGTCTCACTCTGTCACCCAGCGTGGAGTGCATTGGCATGATCTCAGCTCACTGCAGCCTCCGCCTCCTGGGTTCAAGCGATTCTCCTGCCTCAGCCTCCTGAGTAGCTGGGATTGCAGGTGCACACCACCATGCCCAACTAATTTTTGTATTTTTAGTAGAGACGGGGTTTCACCATGTTGGCCAAGCTGGTCTCGAACTCCTGACCTCAGATGATCTGGCCTCCTTGACTTCCCAAAGTGCTGGGATTACAGGCGTGAGCCACCATGCCTGGCTGGTTATTATAAATAGTGCTGCTATGCACATGGGTGTACAAATATGTCTTTGAGCTTTCGCTCTCAATTCTTTTGCTATATACCCAGAAGTGGGATTGCTCTGCCTGGTACATTTCTTGTTAAAATTTTGTTTTCATTGAGGCATATATTATACACAATAAAATTCACTAATCTCTATTTTTTTTTTTTTTTTTTTAGACAGGGTCTCATTCTATCATCCAGGCTGGAACGCAGTGGCCCAGTCATGGCTCACTGCAGCCTTGACCTCCTGGGCTCAAGTGATACTGTTGCCTCAGCCGCCCTAGAAGCTGGGACTACAGGCACATGCCATTACACCTGGCTAAAGTTTTAAGTTTTTGTAGAAACAGGGTCTCACTATGTTGCCAGGGCTAATCTTGAACTCCTGGCCTCAAGCGATCCTCCCACCTTGGCCTCCCAAAGCGCTAGGATTACAAACTTGAGCCACCACCCCTGGACTCCCCTAGCTTTTCTTCATAGCACCACTTGATATTATATATATACATATATATACACACATATATGTGTGTGTATATATACATATATGTGTGTGTGTGTGTGTGTATATGTGTGTGTGTGTATGTGTGTGTGTGTATATATATATGTATATATTTGCTTACTGCCTGTCAACCATCCTAAAGTGTTAACTCCAGCAGGGCAAGGATCTTTGTTTGTTTCATGGCTGTCTCCCCAGAGCCTACGCCATTGCACTCTAGTGCCTGGAGCATAGTAGGTGCTGAACAAATATTTGTTGAATGTTATATGTGCTGGGATGGGGCCTCTGATATGTCTACAAGCCAGTTTTTTGGGGTTTTTGTTGTCGTTGTTGTCGTTTTTGAGATGGAGTCTCGCTCTGTTGCCCAGGCTGGAGTGTAGTGGTGCGACCTCGGCTCACTGCAACCTCCACCTCCCGGGTTCAAACGATTCTCCTGCCTCAGCCTCCCGAGTAGCTGGGATTACAGGTGTGCACCACCATGCCTCACTAATTTTTGTATTTTTAGTAGAGATGGGGTTTCAGCATGTCCACCAGGCTGGTCTTGAACTCCTGACCTCAGGTGATCTGCCGGCCTCAGCCTCCCAAAGTGCTGGGATTACAGGCATGAACCACCATGACTGGCCTACAAGCCAGTTTAACCAGGCTCTTGTATGTAGCTTCATGTGTCAATGGCATGTCTTCATGTGAGGCTGCAGTTTTCCAGGTCTAACATGTGCCAGCCAGGTCTCATGATGCAGTAGTTTTGTGTATGACAATGACAGTCTCTCTCTCCAGGTGTGGCTCTGTCTCTGCAAATGGATTTCTGAACACCAATGTGTGTGTGTGAAGGGAGCTCTGGGTGTGTGTTGTAAACCAATAAGTAGGCCGGGTGCGGTGGCTCACGCCTGTAATCCCAGCACTTTGCAAGGCCGAGGAGGGCGGATCCGAGGTCAGGAGATAGAGACCGTCCTGGCTAACACAGTGAAACTCTGTCTCTACTAAAAATACAAAAAATTGGCAGGGCGCGGTGGCGAGCACCTGTAGTCCCAGCTACTCAGGAGGCTGAGGCAGGAAAATGGCGTGAACACGGGAGGCGGAGCTTGCAGTGAGTCGAGATGGCACCGCTGCACTCCAGCCTGGGCGACAGAGCGAGACTCTGTCTCAATAAATAAATAAATAAATAAATAAATAAATAAATAAACCAATAAGTAACAGAGGCAGATCTCAATCAATTTAGAGGTTGATTTTGCCAAGGTTAAGGACACTCCTGGGAAAAAGAAACACAAGTTACAGTAGGATCTGCCGCCTGTGCTTTGTCCAAAGAGAGTTTTTAGGACTTCACTATTTAAAGGGGACTGGGTGTAGTGGTTCATGCCTGCAATCCCAGTGCTCTAGGAGGCCGAAGTGGGAGGATCACTTGAGCCCGGGAGTTCGAGGCTGCAGTGAGCTGTGATGGCACCATTGCACTTCAGCCTGGGCAACACAACGAGACCCTATCTCCAAAAAGAAATTCTTTTAAGAAAAAAAATTAGAGTGGGCACAATGGCTCATACCTGTAATCCCACACTTTGGGAGGTCAAGGCGGGCAGATCACTTGAGGCCAGGAGTTCAAGACCAGCCTGGCCAACATGGTGAAACCCCATCTCTACTAAAAATACAAAAAATTAGCCGAATGTGGCAGCATGTGCCTGTAATCCCAGCTACTTGGGAGGCTCAGGTATGAGAATCGCTTGAACTCGAGAGGCAGAGGTTGCAATGAACCGAGATCACATCATTGCACTCCAGCCTGGGTGACAAAGCAAGACTCCATCTCAAAGAAGAGAAAAAAATTAAAACAAATTTAAGGGGAAAAAGCAAAAAGGAGGGGAAGGAGGAAGGGAAAAATAGGGGAGAGAGTAGGCAATGAGGCAAGTGGTTTCATTCATGTGAGGCTTTGATTACCGCTTAGTGAATCTGCATTTTACATGTGAAAAGAGAGGGGTAGATTATGCAATCGGCTCCAGCTCAGTAAATCTACATTTTACGTAAGACAGAGTAAGCAAGTGAAATTACAGCTATCTCCTTCGGAACAAAAGGAAAGCAGTTTTCGCCTGACTCAGTTCCCAAGCTTCACTTTTCCCTTTTGCCACAGTTGAGTTTGGAGCCCCAAGTTGCAATTTTCCTTTCACAGCTGGGAGTGTGTGACTGTGTGTGTGCCCTGCTATTGGTGCCAGTGTGTCTGAACCTGGCTGAGGATGTGGGTGTGTGTACGGGAGTTTGGAACATGACCTGCAGCCGTGGCAGGGGTGACAAGAGAAAAGCCTGACTTTGAGGGTCCTTGGTTCTGATATATAATTGTGTGTGAGTGTCCCCATCAAAGTTGTGGCCGGGCACGGTGGCTCATGCCTGTAATCCCAGCACTTTGAGAGGTCAAGGCAGGCGGATCGCCTGAGGTCAGGAGTTTGAGACTAGCCTCGCCAACATTGCCAAACCCCGTCTCTAATAAAAATTTAAAAAAAAAAAAAAAAAAGCTAGGAATGGTGGCACACACCTGTAGTCCCAGCTACTCAGGAGGCTGAGTCAGAGGAATTGCTTGAACCTGGGAGGCGGAGGTTGCAGTGAGCCAAGATTGTGCCACTGCCACTGCATTCCAGCCTGGGCAACAGGGCAAGACTTCATCTCAAACAAAACAAAACGAAGTTATGGGTATGCGTGTGTAAAATTCCCTGCTAGGCCCGGCACCCTGGCTAACACCTGTCATCCCAGCACTTTGAGAGGCTGAGGCAGGAGAACCGCTTGAGCTCAGGAGTTCCAGACCAGCCTGGGCAACATAGTGAGCCCTTGTCTCTACAAAAGATTTAAAAATTAGGTGGGTGTGGTGGCACGAGCCTGTGGTCCCAGCTACTCAGGAGGCTGAGATGTGAGGATCTCTTGAGACTGGGATGTTGAGGCTCTACTCCAGCCCGGGCAACAGAACGAGACCATCTCAAAAACAACAACAACAACAAAAGAAATAGCCGGGCATGGTGGTGCGCACCTGTAGTCCCAGCTATGAGGGAGGCTGAGGCAGGAGGATTGCTTAAAGCCAGGAATTTGAGGCTGCAGTGAGCTATGATCAAGCCACTGAACTTCAGCTTGGGTGACAGCACAGGACCCTGTCTCTAAAAAAATAAATTAAAAACCATTAGTGAGGAGAGGTGGGATGCACCTGTGGTCCCAGCTACTCTGGAGGCTGAGGCAGGAGGATCACTTGAGCAGGGGAGGTGGAAGCTACAGTGAGCCATGATCACACCACTGCACTCCAGCCTGGTGACAGAGCAAGACCCCAACTCCTAAACAAATAAACTCCCCTACCATATCCGCCCCGCGCCTGACCACAGCCATCTCTGTATAAAGCCACAGGCGGCCCCCACTCTGGCCACCCCACTCCACCCCTGGCTGGAACACTGGGTGTCAGTAATTGCTCAGGGAGCACTAGCAGTGTGATTAATTATGGCTGCTAAATATGTAAATCAGCTGGGGGTTTTCCGGGCAGCCGCCTGGGTGCTGGCACTAATGTTGAATAAACACAAGGAGCTTAGCAAGGCCCAGAATTCCCTTCTCACACCTTTGTCAATTAACGTTTCATTTATGGGGTTGGGTTTCTCATTCATTAACGAGCTTTGGGCTCATTAAAGAGTCCTCATTAAACTCTATAAATCGTCCCTCCTTTCCAAAACGCCTGCACTGGGATGGGAATGGAGTTGCAAAACCGAGACAGGCCGACCTGCATTCAAACGCCTGGCTGTGTACTGTGGGCAGACGCCTCCCCTCTCTGAACCTGTTTCCTTCCTGTAAAATGCAAGCAAACAGACATGGGGGCATGGGGGCAAGCGCCCTGTGGCTCATGCCTATAATCTCAACACTTTGGGAGGCCAAGGCGGGAGGATCGCCTGAGGACAGGAGTTTGAGACCAGCCTGGGCAACATAGCAAGACCCTTTCTCTACAAAAAAAATTTGAAAATTAGCTGAGCATGGTGAAGCGCACCTGTAGTCCCAGCTACTCAGGAGGTGGAGGCAAGAGGGTTGGTTGAGCCCAGGTGTTGGAGGCTGCAGTGAGCTATGATCGTGTGACTGCACTCCAGCCTGGGCAACAGAGCAAGATCCTGTTTCAAAAAAATAAAAGGCTGGGGTCAGGAGTTCAAGACCAGCCTGGTCAACATAGTGAAAGCCCTGTCTCTACTAAAGATGCAAAAATTAGCTGGGTGTGATGGCACGTGCCTGTAGTCCCAGTTGCTCAGGAGGCTGAGACAGGAGAATTGCTTGAACCCAGGAGGCAAAGGCTGCAGTGAGCTGAGATCATGCTACTGTACTCCAGCCTGGTCAACAGAGCAAGACTCTGTCTCAAAAAATAAAGAAATACAATAAATAAAATAAAATAAAAGAAATAGGCCGAGCACGGTGGCTCACACCTGTAATCCCAGCACTTTGGGAGGCTGAGGCAAGTGGATCACCTGAGGTCAGGAGTTCGAGACCTGCCTGACCAACATGGTGAAACCCCCGTCTCTACTAAAAATACAAAAATTAGTTGGGCATGGTGGCACACGCCCATAATCCCAGGTACACGGGAGCCTGAGGCAGGAGAATCGCTTGATCTCAGGAGGCAGAATTTGCAGTGAGCTGAGCTCACGCCATTGCTCTCAAGCCTGGGTGACAGAGCGAAACTCCTTCTCAAAAATAAATAAATAAATAAATAATAATAATTAAAATAAAATAAATATAAATAAAAAGAAAGGGAGATATTAAAGTGGACTGTGATAATTAAGAAAGAGAATACATGTAAAGTGCTGAGCCCAGGGGTGTAATTTTGAAAAACGGCAACAGCCAAAATTCCCTTAAGAGAGAGAATGGCTTTTTGTTTAGCAAAATGTTTGTGTTTTTTGTTTTTCGTTTTTAAGAGATGGGATCTTGGTATGTTGCCCATGTTGACTTGAAGTCCTGGGCTCAAACTCACTCCAGATCTCCCACCTTAGGCTCCTAAATAGCTTGAGCTACAGGTGCATGTCACCATGCCCAGCTCTGTTTAGCAAAATCTGTTGATGATCTTCATCACTTTCTTCTTTTTTTTTTTTTTTTTGACGGAGTCTCGCTCTGTCGCCCAGGCTGCAGTGCAGTGGTGCAATCTCAGCTCACTGCAAGCTCCACCTCCCGGGTTCACGCCATTCTCCTGTCTCAGCCTCCCGAGTAGCTGGGACTACAGGCGCCCGCCACCACGCCCTGCTAATTTTTCATATTTTTAGTAGAGACGGGGTTTCACTGGGTTAGCCAGGATGGTCTCGATCTCCTGACCTCATGATCCACCCACCTTGGCCTCCCAAAGTGCTGGGATTACAGGCGTGAGCCACCGCGTCTGGCCGATGGTCTTCATCACTTTCTAGTTCTAGACTTTGGATAAATTATTCCACCTCTCTCTGTTCCTCAGTTTCTTTATCTGCACCACAGAGATAATAATAGAACATCCCTCAAAGGTTGTTATGTGGGATAATTAAATTAATCGAGGTAAAACATTTGATGAACAGTGTCTGGCATATGAGTAATAAATGGCAACTATGATTAAGATTAATAGTGTTAGTTGAGGCTGGGCATGGTGTCTCACGCCTGTAATCCCAGCACTTTGGGAAGCTGAGGCTGAATGATCCCTTGAGCCCAGGAGCTTGAGACCAGCCTGGGCAACACAGTGAGACCTTGTCTTTTTTTTTTTTTTTTGAGACAGAGTCTCGCTCTGTCACCCAGGTTGGAGTGCAGTGGCACAATCTCGGCTCACTGCAACCTCCACCTCCCTGGTTCAAGCAATTCTCATAGCTCAGCCTCCACAGCAGCTGGGACTACAGGCACATGCCACCATGCCCAGCTAATTTTTGTATTTTTAGTAGAGACGGGGTTTCACCATATTGGCCAGGCTGGTCTCAAACTCCTGACCTCATGATCCACCCGCCTTGGCCTCCCAAAGTGCTGGGATTACAGGTGTGAGCCACTGTGCCCAGCCGAGACCCTGTCTCTCTGTTTTTTTTTTTTTAATTATACTTTAAGTTCTAGGGTACATGTGCACAACGTGCAGGTTTGTTACATAGGTATACATGTGCCATGTTGGTGTGCTGCACCCATTAACTCATTTACATTAGGTATATCTCCTAATGCTATCCCTCCCCCCTCCCCCCAGACCCTGTCTCTTTAAAAAAGTTTAAAAATTGGCTGGGCGCGGTGGCTCATGCCTGTAATCCCAGCATTTAGGAGGCCAAGATGTGTGGATCATGAAGTCAGGAGATCAAGACCATCCTGGACAACATGGTGAAACCCCGTCTCTAGTAAAATACAAAAAAAAAAATTAGCCAGGCATGATGGCGCACACCTATAGTCCCAGCTACTAGGGAGGCTGAGGCAGGGTAGTTGCTTGGAACCAGGAGGCAGAGGTTGCAACGAGCCGAGATCACGCCACTGCACTCCAGCCTGGCGACAGAGCAAGACTCTGTCAAAAAAAAAAAAAAAGTTTAAAAATTAGCTGGGCGTGGTGGCACATGAATATAGTCCCAGCTACTTGAGAGGCTGAGGTGGGAGGATCACTTGAGTCCAGGAGTTGGAGACTGCAGTGAGCTATGATTGCACCACTGCACTCCAGCCTGGGCAACAGCAAGAAAAAAAAATGCTTCTAAAAAAACATGAATGAACGAATCATCAACCTCTGGGCACCAACAGTCTTCATGGAGTCAGGACTCTTAGCAACGTTGATTCAATGAATGAGGACAAGTATTCAGGTGGCCTTAAGGGGCTGGTGGCAGGAGTAGTAGGGTGAGAGCCTTGGGTTTGAGGGAGAAAACTCACCCCAACCTGAAGTTTCTACCCACCCAATCCCATCTGACCCAACTCAACTCACACCATTTCTCCATCACTCCTAACTAAACTCAATCCAACAGTGCCCATCAACGATGAATGAATTAGCTGAAGGTGGGAGATGACTGAATATTACTTGGCAATAAAAAGGAATGAAGTACTGATGCATGCTGCAAATAAACCTGGAAACCAGCCAGGCACTGTGGTTAATGTCTGTAATCTCAGCACTTTGGGAGATCGAGGTGGGTGAATCACTTGAGGCCAGGGGTTCGAGACCAGCCTGGCCGACATGGTGAAACTCCGTTTCTACTAAAAATACAAAAATTAGCCAGGGATGGTGGTGCGTGCCTGTAGTCCCAGCTACTCGCGAGGCTGAGAAAGGAGAATTGCTTGAACCCTGGAGGGGGAGGTTGCAGTGAGCCGAGATTGTGCTACTGCACTCCAGCCTGGGTGACAGAGCGAGACTCTGCCCACAAAACAAAAAACTCCTGGAAACCGTTTTGCTGAAAATGCCAGATACAAAGGGCCATATATCATTATATCATTTATTTGTATTTATTCCTTTTTTTTTTTTTTTTTTAGAGACAAGGTCTCACTCTGTTTCCCAGGCTGGAGTGCAGTGGTGAGATCACAGCTCACTGCAGCCTCCAACTCCTGGCCTCCAGTGATTCTCCCGCCTCAGCCTCTTGGGTAGCTGGGACTACAGATATGCACCACTGTACCTGGCTAATGTTTTTATTTTCATTTTTGTAGAGATGGGGTCTTGCTATGTTGCCTAGGCTGGTCTGGAACTCCTGGCCTCAAGCGATCCTCCTGCCTTGGCCTCCCAAAATGCTGGGGTTGCAGGAGTGAGCCACCTCACCTAGCGTGATTCCATTTATATGAAATGGATATTTCTGTCCAGAATAGGCAAATCCTTAGAGACAGAAAGCAGATTCGTGGTTGCCTACAGCTGGGAGGTTGGAAAGACATGAGTGACCACTAATGGGTATAGGATTTCTTTTAATTACACAGCTTAAATGGGTGAATTATATGGTAATGAATGGTAATGAATTATATGGTAATGGGTAAATGAATTCTATCTCAATAAATCAGTTAAAAATATACCTCAAACCAACATCTTACTCCTAATTCAAATCATCCCAAACCAAATTTTTTTTTTTTTTTGAGACAAGTTCTTGCTGTGGTGTCACCCAGGCTGGAGCACAGTGGTGCAATCTCAGCTTACTGCAACCTCCGCCTCCCAGGCTCAAGTCATTCTCCCACCTCAGCCTCCTGAGTAGCTGAAACCACAGGCATGCTCCTCCATGCCTAGCTAATTAAAAAAAATTTTTTTGTAAAGAGGCCAAACTTCTGGTTTAAGCTGACTTGGGCCTCCCAGCCCAAGCTGACAATTTTCAACTTTTCCTCTAGGAGCCTGGGTGAATAAATAGGCCTATAATCTCCAGTGAGTCTCATTATAATTGCATTCCCAAAAGACATACCTAATTAATACAGGTGGTGACAGGTACCTCAGATGAGACAAGAGCCAGATCCCAAGACAGATATGGGCCACATCAGATGAAAGAGATCAAGAGCTGGGTGAGGTGGCTCGTACCTGTAATCTCAGCAGCTCAGGAGGCTGAGGTGGGAGGATTGCTTGAGGCTAGTAGTTTGAGACAAGCCTGGGCAACAAAGAAAGACACCATCTGTACACAAACACACACACACACACACACACACAAAACAACCCAGCTGGGTGTGATGGTGCATGCCTGTGGTCCCAGGTACTCAGGAGGCTGAAGAAGGAGGATCACTCGAGTCCCAGAGTTGGAGGCTGCAGTGAGCCATGATCATGCCCTTGCACTCCAGACTGGGCGACAGAGTGAGACCCAGTCTCTAAAAACGAGCAAACAAGGGCTGAGCGTGGTGGCTCACATCTGTAATCCCAGCACTTTGGGAGATCAAGGCGGGCGGATCACCTGAAGTCAGGAGTTCAAGACCAGCCTGGCCAACAAGGTGAAATCCCATCTCTACTAAAATTATAAAAATTAGCCGGGTGTGGTGGTGCATATCTGCAACCCCAGCTTCTAGGGAGGCTGAGGCAGGAGAATTGTTTGAACCCGGGAGGCGGAGGTTGCAGTGAGCCAAGCTTGCACCACTGCACTCCAGCCTGGGCGACAGAGCAAGACTGCGTCTCAAGGATAAATAAATAAAACAAACAAACAAACAAAAAAATTTAAAAAAGAAATACACAGAGACAGAAACACAGTTCATCAGTTTATTCTCAGATTTGAGATGCAAATTATGCCCTATGGCCTGGCGGTGGGGGGCCAGGCTTGGGCTGGAATCTCTCATCATATCCCAGCCTTCCCTAAGGAGGAAGCAGATGAAATCTACAACAGGGGGGACTTTCCCTTTTAATACAGACCCAGGTATAAATAGGGCAGCACCATTAGGATCCTGATTCACCCCCCCAACATCTTGGTCCCCAAACCACCTGGCATGGCAAGGTGAGCCTGGGGAGGTGGGGGGCAGGGGGAGGGGATTTGCAGAGCTGGGCTGAGGCAGGAAAAGAAACACAACCCAGTCAAGGGAAGTCCCTCTTCCCTCTGTAGTCCGACCTCAGTCCTTTCACCGTGGAAGTAGAAAGGATCAAAGGGGGTGGGGGTAGGGGTCCCAGCCTGGGATCAGGAGACATCCAGTGCTTAACTCTGGGGAGGGGTAGCACCAAAAGGTGTGAAGGGCAGCGACGGAGGAGTGAGGAGGCAGGCATTGGGGGTGGGGGGGCTTTTGTTCATCAGCTCTGAGTTAGAAGCTCATTGCATGGGGGTTCAAGGGGTGGGGAGGTGAGGCTTGGGTGGGGAGGGAGGGGAGAAAGAGCCAGACTGCAGTATGCCACCTGGAATGGGGTGAGAGGAGGCTGGACCCTTGGGCCAGGGAACCCCAGCCCCCAGCACCCTGGAAAGGAGAAGGAATGACTGTCCGTGATGAGCGAAGTCACATCCCATTGGCTCCATAGTCACAGGTAACGAAAAATACGGTGGCTTCAAAGCCTCAGCACCAAATGCACCCCATTCTGGGGCTCCCTCATGGTCCCTCCCACCCCGGACACTCTCAGCTGCTGAAGCAGACGGGGCCCAGTTCAAACCCAAACTTTTGGTTCGTCTGGCCAAAGTCAGTGGCCGCCACATCCCACAGGGGCAGAAATCCCGCTCGAGAAGAGCTGAATTCGAAAAGGGTCTTCGTCTGTCCTTTCCGGAGCTGTCCCCAGAGAAGACAGAGACGGTGAGTTACCGGGAAGGTGGCCGACATCTTGCCTCCCCTCTCTAGCTGGCCACTGCCCCACCCTCTTACCCGGCAGCCATCCTGGGGGACGCTGACAGTGGCTGCTGTCGTCTGGTTGAAAGACAGCTCCTCTCCATTGGTGCCAAGGAAGCGGGCGGAGTGGCTGTAGTCACCCGTGGCTTCGTCCAGCCAGGCAGCTGCATTCTGGCAGGAGTAGGTGAAGTTCTGGCGAGCTGTGGCACTCAGCAGTTTCAGGAAGTTCAGCTGCACGACATTCACTGGGGACCCGTCGGCGTCCACGTAGGAGAACTGGTGAGAGGAGGGCAAGGCAGAGGATGAGGGGCTCCATGAGCCTCTTTCTGCAGAAGCCACCCCCTGGAATCTCCATCCACTGGCAGACAAGCCACCCCCCCCATGTCACCATCTCTGAGGAGGTCCCACCAGCCACCTAGAGATCCCTGGCAGAATCCCAAGAGTCACCTGAACATCCACTCTGTCCACCTCTCCATCCAGTAGGCCTCCATGCCCACTCCATCTGACCTCCCAAATTCTGATTGCTTCATCCACCAATCCAGGGTTTTAACACACTCATCCCCACCCAGAAGACACAACTCTGCCTCCACTCTTGTGAGTCGCTGGATCTACAGAGCTCACTGTCCCTGATACCAGATTTCTGCCCTGTCCAATATGGCAGCCACATGTCTAATAGCCACGTGGCTTTTGAGCACTTGAAATGTGGCTGATTTGAAGGAGGGATTTTTTTTTACTTTATTTAATTTTTTTTCCTTTTTTGGGGGGTAAGGGTTGGGATCTTGCTCTTTCGCGCAAGTTGGGGTGCACTGGCACAATCCTGGCTCATTCCAGCCTCCATCTCCTGAGCTCAAGTCATCCTCCCATCTCAGCCTCCCAAGTAGCTGGGACTATAGGTGCACACCACCATGCCTGGCTGGGACTTTTTTTTTTTTTAACTTCATTTAATTTTTTTTTTTTTTTTTGAGACGGAGTCTTGCTCTGTCGCCCAGGCTGGAGTGCAGTGGCATGGTCTCAGCTCACTGCAAGCTCCGCCTCCCGGGTTCACGCCTTTCTCCTGCCTCAGCCTCCCAAGTAACTGGGACTACGGGCGCCTGCCACCACGCCCGGCTAATTTTTTGTATTTTTAGTAGAGACGGGGTTTCACCATGTTAGCCAGGATGGTCTCGATCTCCTGACCTCGTGATCCGCCCACCTTGGCCTCCCAAAGTGCTGGGATTACAGGCGTGAGCCACTGTGCCTGGCCCTGAATTCTTTTACTTAAAAAAATTCACAACTAATGACTGAGCTTCAATCCAGTTATCAGAAAGCTTATGCTTGGAACAACTTGAGTCTGAATCTACTTTTTGAACTGTTGTTCAATGGTTTTATGAAATCTAAATATAGAGCAAATATTCCCAATAAAATTTAGCATTCAAATTGTGATGTACTATAAATGTAAAATCTCCATCAGATTTTGAAGAGCTAATCTGAAAAAAATACAAAATATCTTAATAATGCTTTTTTTTTTTTTGAGACGGAATCTCGCTCTGTTGCCCAGGCTGGAGTGCAGTGGCACGGTTTTGGCTCACTGCAACCTCTTCCTCCAGGGCTCAAGTGATTTTCCTGCCTCAGCCTCCTGAGTAGCTGGGATTACAGGCACACATCACCATGTCTGGCTAATTTTTTGTATTTTTAGCAGAGATGGGGTTTTACAATGTTGGCCAGGCTGGTCTTGAACTCCTGACCTCAGGTGATCCGCCTACCTTGGCCTCCCAAAGTGCTGGAATTACAGGCCACTGTACCCAGCCATGTGGCTTTTTCTTCTTCAAATTCACCAGACCCTGTCTTGACTGAGCCTTTGCATATGCCTTTCCCTCTCCCTGGAACACTTGTCCTTGTCCTTCCTAGCTTGCTAACACAGTGCATTCTTTAGGCTTCAGATGAGCTGTGATCTCTACTAGGAAGCCTTCTGGTCTTTCCAACACTGCCTCTAAATTTCCACCATGCCCTGTGCTTCCCCTATCCTGGCACCATCATTCTGTATGGCAATTGACTGCCTGTTACACATCTGATGCTGCTGCCACCCCACCTCCAGCTTGCGATCCCTAGGAAGGTAGAGGAAAGCCTATCCTCTTCATCTCACCTCTCAGAACCCACCCCTCAAACCCCCCTGCTGGTTCCCATCAATTTTCATGTCACTCCCCATCTCGGCCTCGGTGACTCACCTTCTTCCCTCGACGGAATGTGCTATACCAGCCTCCAGGCTTTTCCTTGGACCAGGAGGCCAATTTCACCTGGAAGAGAAAAGGGAGGGTCACTGTAGCTGACGCCCTTGGTGCCATCTAGATCTCATCTGCATTTCCCTCCTCACACAGTAGGCTGTTGTGACTATGTCAGGATGTTCTCTGGCTTCTGGGATGGACGAGCTCTGCCAGTGCACAATGGGGGAAGGAGGTTCATGCCCCTGAGGCAGCCCTCACCCAATGACTAATGGGAGTTGGTGGATAAATACCCCAGCTCCCTCACCTCCAAGGGGGATAACTCTCAGGTGCCTGTGCTACACAGTCTCCCAGGGCTCCCCAGTGGGATTGAGCTCTGGGTCTCCAATGGCACCATTTTATTTTAATTAATTAATTAATTAATTTTTGAGACAGGATCTCACTCTGTCACCCAGGCTGAAGTGCAGTGACATAATCATAGTTCACTGCAGCCTCAAACTCCTGGGCTCAAGCAATCCTCCCACTGCAGCCTCCCAAGTAGCTAGAACTACAGGCATGTACCCCCATGCCCAGCTTTTTTAAATTTTTATTTTTTGAGACAGAGTCTTGTTCTGTCACAGGGTCTTGGAGTGCAGTGGTGTGATCACTGGCTCACTGCAGCCTCGACTTCCAAAGTTCAAGCAATCCTCTGACCTCAGCCTCCTAAGTAGCTGGGATAATAGGAGTGTGCCACCATGCCTGTTTTTTTTGGGGGGGGGGGCGGGTGGAGGGGGTCTTTCTATGTTGCCCAGGCTGGTCTTGAACTCCTGGGCTCAAGCGATCCTCCCACCTCAGCCTCAGCCTCCCAAAGTGCTGGGATTACAGGTATGAGCCACTGTGCCCAGCCTCAGCCTCTCCCTTTAGGCTAAGCAGGTGAGTGAAGAGGAGGTCCTCAGATGTTAGTAATTGTTTAGGGATCAAGTCTTGCACTCCGGGCCCAGTGGGAAGTCCAAGCTTGTCTAAATTCCCATCCACTGGGCATCTGAGCTCCCACTAAACCAGGAGAAAATAAACCAGTTAAAAATAACAACATGGGGCCAGGCGCGGTGGCTCAAACCTGTAATCTCAGCACTTTGGGAGGCCGAGATGGGTGGATCACTCGAGGCCATGAGTTTGAGACCAGCCTGGCCAACATGGTGAAACCCCGTCTCTGCTAAAAATACAATACAAAATGAGCCAGGTGTGGTGACAGGCACCTGTAATCTCAGCTACTCGGGAGGCTAAGGCAGGAGAATTGCTTGAACTGGGGAGGTGGAAGTTGCAGTGAACCAAGATCACGCCACTGCACTCCAGCCTGGGCAACAGAGTGAGACTATGTCTCAAAAGAACAAAACAATATGGGGCTGGGCACAGTGGCTTTCTCCCACTGCTTAATCCCAGTGCTTTAGGTTACAGTGAGCTATGATGATGCCACTGCACTCCAGCCTGGGTGATAGAGAAAGACCCTGTCTATAAAAATTAGAATAGACCGGGTGTGGTGGTTTATGCCTATAATCACAATACCTTGGGAGGCCAATGCAGGAGGATCTCTTGAGGCCAGGAGTTCAAGACCAGCCTGGGCAACATAGTGAGACCCTCATCTCTATAAGAAATTTAAAAAATTAGCCAGGCATGGTGATGCACACCTGTGTGATGCACAGCTACTCAAGAGGCTGAGACAGGAGGATCATTGAACCCAGGAGGTTAAGGCTGCAGTGAGCTGTGATCCCACCACTGTGCTCTAGCCTGGGTGACAGAGTGAGACCCTGTCTGAAAAACAGACAAAAATAACAATAACAATAAATATTATTTCACACTTATACCGGCCAGGTTCTTGCTAAGTGCTTTACCTGCAGATAGAGGTATTAGCCCAGCACTACATGTAGTCAGGGTTTAGTAAATGTTCCCTGCAGGCCAGGTGCGGTGGCTCATGCCTGTAATCCCAGCACTTTGGGAGGCCAAGGTGGGCAGATCACCTGAGGTCAAGACCAGCCTAACCAACGTAGTGAAACCCCATCTCTACTAAAAAAAAAAAAAAAAAAAAAAAAAAAAAAAAAAAAAAAAAAAAATCAGCTGGGCATGGTGGCGCATGCCTGTAATTACAGCTCCTGGGGAGGCTGAGGCAGGAGAAACACTTGAACCTGGGAGGCAGAGGTTGCAGTGAGCTGAGATCACGCCACTGCATTCCAGGCTGGGAGACAGAGACAGACTCTGTCTCACACACACACAAAAACAAAACAGTTCACTGATATTTGTTTTTGCATCAGTATCTGAATTGCACAGCCACTCTATGAAGTAGATACTTTCTTTTTTTCTTTTCTTTTTCTTTTTTTTTTTTTTTTGAGATGGAGTCTCGCTCTGTCGCCCAGGCTGAAGTTCAGTGACACGATCTCGGCTCACTGCAAGCTCCGCCTTCTGGGTTCACGCCATCCTCCTGCCTCAGCCTCCCGAGTAGCTGGGACTACAGGCGCCTGCCACCATGCCTGGCTAATTTTTTGCATTTTTTTAGTAGAGACAGGGTTTCACCATGTTAGCTAGGATGGTCTCGATCTCCTGACCTTGTGATCCACCCGCCTCGGCCTCCCAAAGTGCTGGGATTACAGGAGTGAGCCACCGCGCCCGGCCTTCTTTTTTTTTTTTCTAGGCGGAGTCTCACTCTGTCACCCAGGCTGGAGTGCCATGGTGCAATCTTGGCTCATTGCAACCTCCGTCTCCCAAGTTCAAGTGATTCTGCTGCTTCAGCCCCCGAGTAGCTGGGATTACAGGCGCCCGCCATCACGCTCAGCTGATTTTTTTATTTTTAGTAGAGACGGGGTTTCACCATGTTGGTCAGCCTTGTCTCGAACTCCTGACCTCAGGTGATCTGCCCCCGCTTGGCCTCCCAAAGTGCTGGGATTACAGGCGTGAGCTACCACATCCAGCCTATTGATTTCTTTTGGAGTTTTCCTTGTCTGTCTTCCCATGGAAGGTATGAGTTCCATAAAAGCAGAGATAGTTTGTTTTCTTTCCTTTCTTTTTTCTGAGAAGGAGACTTGCTCTGTCTCCCAGGCTGGAGTGCAGTGGCACAATCTCGGCTCACACTAACCTCTGCCTCTAGGGCTCAAAGGATCCTCCCGCCTCAGTCTCCAGAGTAGCTGGGACTACAGGCTCGCACCACCATGCCCGCCAGTTTTTTAATTCTTGTAGAAATGGGGTTTTGCTATGTTGCTCAGGCTGGTCTCGAACTCCTGACCTCAAGCGATCCTCCCGCCTCAGCCTCCCAAAATGCTGAGATTATAGGCATGTGCCACCAGGCTGGCCTGATTTTTTTTCTTTTTGATCCTCTGCTGTAGTCCCAGCTCTTGAGGCAGGACTTGGCATACAGTAAGTGCTCAATAAATGCCGGTTGAAGGAAGGATAACGTCCCAGACAAGGTGGTTGTGGGTGTGGGGAGCAGGGGACAGCACTTCCTGGGGGAGGCGATGAGAGGTTTGGGTTACTCACGATCTCAAACTTCTTGTCGGGATAGAGGCAGGTCTCTCCTCCCGCCGTGAAGTTGCAAAAAACCCTGAACGAGTCCCGCGCGCAGCCCTGGTTGGGGTCAATCCAGTATTCCCCTGCCGCAGAGCCAGGCAGGGTGGGTGAGTCCGGATGGGACCCGACGGACCCCAACCCCCCCCACACCCCCACTCCGCCCATCCAAGTGGCGGGGGGACCGGACCTCACCATCAGGCAGGTGCGGGTGGTTGCGGTGCAGCTCGTGGCACACGAGGCCCGGGCGCTCCGCAGTGCCGGGAGGACGCCGCAGCTGCTCCAGCTCCAAGCTCAGCGATGTGAGCGAGGCCAGCACCTCCTCCAGGCCGCCCTCCACGACTGGAAGCGGGACTGGGACGAAGCGCCGGCGCCTGCGCAGCCCATGCAGCTCGGCAGGGGCACCCTGGGCGTAGGGGATGGGGACGGAGAAGAGAGGGGAGATGGGGGAGGGAGAGAGAGGGAGAAAGAGAGACAGGCAGAGATGAAGAGGCAGACAGACACAAATGAGAAAGAGGAGGGAGAGAGATAAACAAGGGGCAGAGATAGAGAAAGGAGAGATAAGCAGACAGGGAGAGACACACAGGAAAGAGAGAGACAGATTCAGAGATGGGGAGAAGCCAAGTTGTAAGAGGACAAAAGAGAAAGCGCAAGAATAGCAGAGACAGGGAGAGAGAGCAGGGAGAGAGACAGAAGATGAAATAGTGGCGCCAGTATAGACAGAGACAGATAAGGGAGATGGACAGAGACAGGGAGGGAGAGATGGGGTCCAAGAGACAAGACCCAGGTCAGAGCCCCCATGGGTGTCCCCCCAAGTCCCCCCTCCCAGGCCAGACCTTCCTTGGGGTTTTACAGGGAACTACCCTCTTCACCTACATCCTCTGAACACCTAGTGTGTGCCTGGCCCAGTGCTGCGCACGGAAGGACCCTCTGGGGACACCCAGACATAGTCCTTGCTCTCCCCCCAGGTTTTGGTGTCCATTCCCCCGCCCCCCGGGGAACTCACCGGGGGGCCTGGTGGGCCTGCAGGTCCAGTGTCTCCACGGGGGCCCATGGACCCCTGTAGGGAGAAGTCACTTGGAGAATGAACCCTGTCTATGGAGACCCTTCCCACCAACATACACACAAACACACACACACACTCACACACACACTCACACACACACAGTCTCACACACTCACATACACACTCACTCACACACTCACACACACACATACAGCCTTGGGGAAGAGACATGCAGTTTTCAGCATTAGGCATCAGACACAAATTTTCTTTTCATGTTTTAATGTCTCTGAAATCAGCTTCTTAACATCTTTGGCAAGTCATAGTTTACTTGGCAGAACTGTTTTCTTTCCTAGCAGTTTGTAAAATAATGGTACATCTTATAATTGATGGCATTTTGGATCTGATGAAATACAACCGTAGGTGTTGAATAAATATTTGTCGAACGCACGATTGCATGAATAAATAAATAAATGAAGGCAGAGACGTGGAGGGTTCTGGTGCAGTGAAGGGGGTGGGGAGCTGGGATGTGTAAGCCCACGGAAGCAGGGTGTACTCACCGGAGACCCTTTTGAGCCTTTCTGTCCTAGAGGGCCCTGTAGGGTACAGACAGGGAGAGCTGAGGTCCTGGCCTGGACCACCACAGTGACCTCATCCCACAAAAGATTCCCTGCATACTCACCGCCACACCTGGGGGCCCAGGGTGGCCCAGAGAGCCAATGGGACCAGGGGGACCCTAGGAAAAGGACATCGGGTCAGTATTGGTGGGGTACACCCTATTGCCCTGACACATCCCCCAGACAAGCCTTCAATCCTACCAAAGGAAGACCCCGAACCCTAGACAAGCCTCCAGTTCCCCCACAGAGAGACCCCAAACCCCAGACGCAGCCTCCAACTTGCCAGTTCCCAGATACATCCCCCTATTTTCCCCACACACACCCTCATTAATCCAGACCCACGTTTCCCAGACCCCACACCCACAGTCTCTCAACCGACCCCCTCCTTCAAATGCATTCTTCCCGCTCAGGTCAGGACACTCACAGGGTCTCCCTTGGGACCAGGGGGTCCCTGCACGCCTGGCAACCCCTGATCTCCTTTCTCACCAGCTTCTCCCGGGGGGCCAATGAGACCGATCAATCCAATGTGGCCCTGAAGGACAAAAGAGGCACAGACAGGGGAGGACGTGGGAGGATTCAGGGAGGTTTTTCTCCTAGAGCCTTAGGGTGATGAGTTTGGGAGCAGAGGATGCACCAATCTCCCAGCCCCCCAGCCAGGGAGGGAGGGAAAGAGGGGAGGAGATGGGGAAGAGAATAATGGAATGATGTCCTTACCTTTTCCCCCTTGGGGCCAGTGTCTCCCTTCAGCCCTGGGAGGCCAGAGGGCCCCTGGGAGAAGAGCAAGGGTCAGTTAGGGATTCTCAAATGTGAACTCGAGGTCTGTGTGGGTGGTTAGGGGATGGTCAAATGGGAAATTATGCAGATTTCAAATGGGAATTACCAGGGATGAGGTCAAGGGATGGTCAGAGTAGGCCACCAAGGTGGGATGATGAGAGCTAATGAGGGGTTGACTGGAGGATGGACAACGTGAGTGGTCAGTGGCCAAGGTCAGCGTGGGTGATCAGTGTAGACCATTAAGATGGAGAGTCAGTGCAGGCATCAAGATGAAGGGTCAGTGTGGTCAGTGTAGACCATCAAGGTGGAGTATTAGAGCAGAGGGTTATAGAGATGGGCAGTGTAGACCATCAAGGTGGAAGGTCAGAGCAGGGGGTTATAGAGATGGGCAGTGTAGATCATCAAGGTGGAGTGTTAGAGCAGAGGGTTATAGAGATGGGCAGTGTAGACCATCAGGGTGGAAGGTCAGAGCAGATGGTTAGTAGAGACAGGCAGTATGGACACTCAGATGGATGGTCAGTGAGGGCTAGCCTGCACCAATGCTCACTAGGTGGTCACTAGGTGCCCAGAGTGGTCCTCAGAGCCAGAACCTCAAGGATGAACAAGTCTCTTACCAGGGGGCCAGGAGGGCCCATCTGTCCAGGGGCTCCCAGGAGGCCTGGTTCACCCTGAGAATGGAACAGAACATGGGGTGGGCTGCACCCTGTCAGAACACAGTGTGGACCCCCCCCCGACCATGCACCAGGGGCAGCCCCTCCAAACGGTGATGGGATCACAAGCTGGGAGCAGACAGAGAGGAGCTGGATCCACCCTGTCCCACCCCTGCCCCGCTCCACTCACCACAGGGCCAGGGATCCCTCGAAGACCCTCAGGCCCCACACGTCCAGGGGGCCCTCTAGCCCCCATTGGACCCGTCCTCCCTGGGGGCCCATCAGGACCTGGCTCCCCCTGAAATGGACACAGGCAAGGGAGGGGCCAGAGTCAGAGGGTTCCTGCCTCCTGACCCCTGCCAAGAAGCATCTGGGATCGGGAGGGAGTAGGTGCACAGAGTGGTCATAGGTCCACCCTCTCCTGATGGCCCCACTGTTGGCCTAGAGTAGTGCAGGGACCCTTCCCCTTGCCAGGGGGACTCACCTTGGCACCTTTCTCCCCTTCTCTGCCTTCTCGACCCATGTGGCCTGAAGGACCCTTGGAAGGGAAAGACAGTGAGGGGGGTCTAGGGGCTGACTGAGGGTCAGAGGGGTGAGTGGGGTCTGGGTGACTGGGGGGTTATGGATGAGTGGGGTCTGTAAGGTGAGTGGGGTCTGTGGGGTGAATGAGGTCTGGGTGAGTGGGGGCTGTGGGTGAGTGGGGGCTGTGGCTGAGTGGAGGCTGTGGGTGAGTGGAGGCTGTGGGTGAGTGGAGGCTGTGGGTGAGTGGGGTCTGTGGGGTGAGTGGGGTCTGTGGGTGAGTGGGGTCTGTGGGTGAGTGGGGGCTGTGGGTGAGTGGGGGCTGTGGGGTGAGTGGGGTCTTTGGGGTGAGGTGGGGTGTGTGGATGAGTGGGGTCTGTGGTTGACTGAGGTCTGTGGGGTGAGTGGAATCTGTGGGTGAGTGGGGTCTGTGGGTGAGTGTGTTCTGTGGCTGAGTGGGGTCTGTGGGGTAAGCGGGGGCTGTGGGGTGAGTGGGGTCTGTGGGGTGAGTGGGGGCTGTAAGGTGAGTGGGGTCTGTGGGTGAGTGGGGTCTGTGGGTGTGTGGGGTCTGTGGGGTGAGTGGGGGCTGTGGAGTGAGTGGGGTCTGTGGGTGTGTGGGGTCTGTGGGGTGAGTTGAGGGCTGTGGGATGAGTGAGGTCTGTAAGGTGAGTGGGGGCTGTAGATAAGCTGAGGACCCAGGAGGTGGCTTATCACTTACCCTCTTGCCGGGGGGCCCGGGGGCGCCGGGCTCCCCAGAAGCTCCAGGCGGACCCTGGAGGAGACAAGGACACCAGCTGTGGTCTCAGCTAACATTGTTTGAGCCTGACTGTTTTAGGACGCCTTGGACCAGAGGACACCCTTCCCCAAGCCTCACCCCAGCACCGGGTACTCCCACCTCCCACCTACTCCCTCAAGCTGCTCACATTCCTGGGGGTCCCCAGAGAGGTGAAGCGGGAGCATCTGCAGGGGCCTTGGGTACCCCACTAGCCCACTCCCCTGCCCCCCCAATTCACTCACTCATTAGCTCCCCAACCCCCGCCTCAGCACCACACCCTCTGTTTTCCCACTCACCGGTCCCCCAACATCACCAGGGTCTCCCTTCTCCCCTGGGGAACCATCTATGCCCTGCATGGGGGGAAGACAGAGTTGGGAGGGGTGATGAGGGTACGTGAGAATTTGGGATGGGGCTGGGAGGCAAAAGAACGTTTTTGGTTCCACTGTCAGTGCCCAGGTCTGTGGGGGTAGGGAGATGGGGACAGAATTAGGAAATATGCCAGGATTGGGGAGGGGGTCACACTCACTGAAACTCCAGGGTCTCCTGGGGGCCCTAGATCTCCGGGCAGCCCCGTGGGGCCCTGGAACACAGAATGATTAATAATCACATCTCTGAATTGTGGAGCAATCATGCATTTATGGAACAGATCAACTGTATCCAGGAACAGTTTGGTTTCTGGGGACACATTAGTGAACAAAACATAAAATCCCTGGCTTGGTAGAGCGAACATTCTCGTGTTTCATGGGTGCAGACGCTGAGCTAAGAATGCCGCACGCATGGTCTCACTGCAGCGTCCTCACAGCCTCTCAGCTCGGGACTCACAGAGAAAACTGGCCATTCATTTGTCTATTCATTCATTGATTCGTCTATTCATTCATTCACTCATTCATTCATTCATTCATCCATCCATCCATTCATTCATACACTCAGAGAAGGGACACGCCAAACAATGCCATTCAAGTCGAGGTCCCACAGATGCTAAAGCCCCTTCCTGACCTCCACCCGCCCCAACCTCTACTGTGGTGACAGAAGGGCCTCAACCTTCACCTCAAAGCCAAATCCCACATCCACCCCAAATCTGACCCAATTCAACCTTAATCTTTGCAACAGTGTTAGAATGATCTGCCGTGAAATCAACTTTCTTGCCATTCAATGATGTATAACCACTGCACGTTTATGTTTCATTCACACATTTACTCACTAATTCAAGTGTTAGAATGATCTGCCATGAAATCAACTTTCTTGCCATTCAATGATGTATAACCACTGCACGTTTATGTTTCATTCACACATTTACTCACTAATTCACTCATCCATCCATCCATTCGTTTATTCACTCATCTCTTCAGTCATTTTGTTCACTTGCGCCTCTGTCCATTCATTCATGCATCCATTCACTCATTCACTCACTCATTTGTCCATTCGGCCACTCATTCATTCATCCATTCATTCATATTCATGCATCCATTAATTTACTTATTCATCCATTAATTTACTCATTCATCCATTCATTCACTCATTTATTCGTGCACATTTATTCATTCACATATTCATATATCCACTGATTTATTCATTTTTCCATTAATTCACTCATTCACCCATTCATTCCCTCGTTCATCCATTCATTCACTCGTTCATCCATTCACTCACTCGTTCATCCATTCACTCATTTATTCATCCATTTATTCATTCACGTATTCATCCATCCACTGAGTTATTCACTTGTCCATTCATTAATTCACTCATTCATACATTCATCCACTCATTCATTAATCCATCCATCCACCCATTCATTCATTCATCCGTGTTCTGGGGGTTACTCATGAGATCAGTAAATTAGAGGATGCAATCCCTGGCTAGAAGTCTGGGAGAGTTTTGGCCGAGCGCGGTGGCTCATGCCTGTAATCCCAGCACTTTGGGAGGCTGAGGCATGCTGATCACGAGGTCAGGAGATCGAGACCATCCTGGCCAACATAGTGAACACCCATCTCTACTAAAAATACAAAAATTAGCTGGGTGTGGTGGCGCGTGCCTGTAGTCCTGGCTACTTGGGAGGCTGAGGCAGAAGAATCGCTTGAACCCGGAAGACGGAGGTTGCAGTGAGCTGAGATCGTGCCACTGCACTCCAGCCTGGTGACAGAGCAAGACTCCATCTCAAAAAAAAAAAAAAGTTTGGGAGAGCTTCAAGTACATTCAAGTGCCCCCTCCCATGTCTGCCCCCACTTCCCCCCAGGACTCACCACGCTCCCTTTGGCTCCATCCTCTCCAGGGGGACCTTTCTTGCCTGGGGGTCCAGCAGCTCCAGATGGGCCTGAGTCCCCCTTTTCACCAATGTCTCCCTTGGGCCCCTTTACAGAAAGAGGTCAGAGGTCAGAGTGGCCTGGACTCTCCAGGGATCAAGGATTAGCATACTTGGATTCAGGCATTGGGGTGGTCTGGGACTTTTCTGGGGTCAGGGTTCAGAGTAGCCTAGGTTGTCCAAGGGTCAAAGGTCAGAAGGAGCTAGGACTTAAGACAGTGAAAGGTCTGGATGGTCTAGGTGCCCATTGGTCATGTGCAAGGTTGGCCTAGCCCATGTGCTGCCCTTGAGTGAATTAGAAGAGGGGCCCCATCTGGGCAACTCATCCTCAGGTCAGGACTCATGACTCAGATTTGAGCCCTCACCTATCCCCTGGGTCATGTAGTCTTGTGTAGTGTGCAACCTGCAGAACTGTACATAGCAGCCCTATCTGAGAACTTCCAGGTGTCCTTCCTCAAGGTAATCAGGGACGGCCACAGGACAGGGGTGAGTGGATGATCTTGCACTGTCCAGAGGTCAAAGTGGCCCAAGATGCCCAGGGGTCAGGGGTTCCCTGAGTTGGGTGCAGGGACCACATCACACAGTCACTCACCGGGATGCCTGGGGCTCCTGGAGGCCCTGGGTCTCCAGCGTCCCCTCGCTCACCCTGCAGGAGGCAAAGTGAGAGTGGGGAGAGGTCCCATCCTAGCAGACAGGGAGGGGCTCCCCAGAATGTCCCTGCCCAATAGGACTAGATTTATCTCTTCCCCCCGTGCAGCCCCTGCCTTCCCTCACTCACCTTCTCACCCACGGCGCCTGGCTGACCAACTCCTCCAGGCAGCCCTGGAGTGCCCTGGAGAGACAGCAAGGGGTAAGAGTGGGACTGTGGAATCCCAACATCCTCTTCTTAGGAAATGGTTGTCCCCATCTCTGAGCCTTCCTGGCCCCCCAAGAGTTCTCACCTCTGATCCAGTGGGGCCTTGGGGACCCCGAGGACCTGGAGCTCCATGGGGACCCTGTGGAAGGTCAGAATTAGTACCCAGTGACCCCAGGCCCCTCTCCCCAAAAGGCCACATTGACCACAGATACCACTGTCAATGCTGGTGACCCTCAGGGCCCTTAAAATGACAATGTCCCTCAAATGAATCTAATGCCTGCCGCCAACCTATAACCCCACCATCCTCCCCCTCCCACCTTCCTCTGGGAGTGCATACCATGGACCCGACGTCTCCGACCTCCCCTTTCTCTCCCGGAGGGCCTGGCAGCCCCTGTGGAACAAAGAAGCAAGATTGGGGCACCAGGTAGGGAGAATCAGAAGTGCCACCCCCAAACCCAGACACCCACCTGCAGTCCAGGAGGGCCAATCACCCCCACAAAGCCTCTGACTCCGTCATCTCCTTTCTGCCCAAAGAGGCCTGGGGGTCCCCGGCGCCCCTGAGCCCCGTCTGCTCCCTGGAAGAACACAAACAGGGGCACATTTAAGGTCTGGGTCAGTGATTAGGGCAGAGTGAGGCTCAAGGGTCAAGACTGAGGTTAAGGGTTGGAGTCAGGGTTCAGATTAAGTTTAGAGAGGGTCAGTGTTGAGTTGGAGTTGGGGTCTAGGTTAAGGAACAGGGCTTGGGAATGAAGTCAAGGGTTGAGTCAAAGTGTTAAACAGTGAGTCGGATTTGCAGTTGAGGTTCAGTTCTTGGGCAGGGTTCAACTGGGGTTGAGATGGAATTTAGGGTTGGGTTTGAGGTTGGGCCCAGGGTCATATTCAAAGTTTGAGTTCAGGTCTGGGGTCAGCATTGGAAGAGTTGGGTCAGAGTTGGGGTTAAGGATAGGGCCGTATGTTCCTATTGTATGGTAATAAACAAAAAAGGACAGGTCTGGGTCAGGGCTTGGTTAAGAGATTTGAAGATAAGGCTTTTGTTTGTTTGTTTGTTTTTGTTTGTTTGTTTTTGTTTTTTGTTTTGTTTTGAGAAGGAGTCTCACTCTGTCACCCAGGCTGGAGTGCAGTGGCGCAATCTCTGCTCACTGCAACCTCTGCCTCCCTGGTTCAAGCAATTCTCCTGCTTCAGTCTCCTGAATAGCTGGGATTACAAGTGTGTGCCACTGTGCCTGGCTTTTTTTTTTTTTTTTTCTTTTCCCTCTTTTGAGACGGAGTCTCCCTCTATCGCACAGGCTGGAGTGCAGTGGTGCTATCTTGGCTCACTGCAACCTCTGCCTCCTGGGTTCAAGCAATTCTCCTGGCACAGCCTCCCAAGTAGCTGGGATTACAGGGGCCCGCCACCATGCCCAGCAAATTTTTTTTTTGTATTTTTAGTAGAGATGGGGTTTCACCATTTTGGCCAGGCTGATATTGAACTCCTGACCTCAGGTGATCCACCCGCCTTGGCCTCCCAAAGTACTAGGATTACAGGCATGAGCCACCGCACCTGGCTGGAGATAAGGTTTGAGTAGAACTGAGGTTAAGGTCATGAGTAGAGTTGAGACTGGGGCTGAAGTGGGGGTTCAGAGCTGGGTTTAGGTTGGAATTTAGTCTGATTTTAAGGTTGAGTGTATATTGGACATCGATATAGAGGGGCAGATCAAAGTTGAGCATGAGGTTGAGATTGAACCAGATTCTGGGGTTGAGTCCATATTGGATGTTGGCATTGAGGGGAAGACATGGTTGGAGTTGAGATTGAGCCAAATTCTGGGGGTGAGTTCATATTGGATTTTGGTATTGAGGGAAAGACATGGTTGGGTTGGGACTGGGCAGGATTCTGGAGTTGAGTTCACATTGGGTGCTGGTATTGAGGGGGAACACATGGTTGGGTTGGGATTGAATCAGATTCTGGGGTTGAGTTCACATTGGGTGTCAGCATTGAGGGGAAGACATGGTTGGATTGGGATTGAGACAAATTCTAGGGTTGAGTTCATATTGGGTGTCGGTATTGAGGGAAATACATGGTTGGGTTGGGATTGGGCCAGATTCTGGGGTTGAGTTCCCATTGGGTGTTGGCATTGAGGGGAAGACACGGTTGGGTCGGGATTGAATCAGATTCTGGGGGTGAGTTCATATTGGGTGTCGGTATTGAGGGGAAGACATGGTTGGGTTGGGATTGAATCAGATTCTGGGGTTGAGTTCACATTGGGTGTCAGCATTGAGGGGAAGACATGGTTCGACTGGGATTGAGCCAAATTCTGGGGTTGAGTTCACATTGGGTGTTGGCATTGAGGGGAAGACATAGTTGGGTTGAGATTGGGCCAAATTCTGGGGTTGAGTTCACATTGGATGTTGGTATTGAGAAGAAGACATGATTGGGTTGGGGTTGACTCCGAATTTGGGATTGGGTTCATACTGGGTGTTTGTACTGAGGGGAAGACATGGTTGGGTTGGGATTGAATCAGATTCTGAGGGTGAGTTCATATTGAGTGTCGGTATTGAGGGGACAACATGGTTGGGTTGGGATTGACTCCGATTCTTGGATTGAGTTCACATTGGGTGTCAGTACTGAGGGAAGATCAGGGTTGGGTTTGAGGTTTGGATTAAGTCAGTGTGCTTCCACTGTCGTTTGCTCCCACTATCCCTCCCTTCAAGGACCCAGAGAAGGACTGAAAAGATGGGGGCACTCACCGGGGGACCTGGGTGTCCTGCAGGACCCCGTATCCCTGGTTGTCCAGGTGGGCCCTGGGAGAACAGGAAACAGAATCAAAAATTCCCTCAGGTTTAAGATTAGAGAGGGCACTGGAGCTATCAATCACTGCCTCCCACACCCCCTTTATGAGAACAACTTCCCCTACCAGGCAGCAACAGCTACATCCCCCCAAATCCTGTCTTCTCAGCCACCAACAGATGGGATCAGACAGACGTCTGTCCTAAGCCCAGCCCTGGCCACAAGTTCCACCAAGACCCAGGGACGAAGCTGGCTCAATGATGCAAGCCACTGGAGCTGACATTCGGGGTGGGGGGAAGTTGGGTATCAGATGCTTCAGTGCCTGCCACGCAGAGTCACAGGCAGAGGGAAGGATGTGTCACTAACAATGGAGAAGGTTACCCGCACCCCAGTGCCTTTCCAGTTCTTTGGGAGCCCCAGCTGTCCCTATCCTGTCTGCAGTTGGGTTCTGTGGACCCATCGCTCCAGGCAGCTCAAGTACCTTCTGTTGCATGTAATTGTCAAGATGGTACCCGAGAAGGCAGAAAACTCCATGGCCTCTCCTACCCCATGGAGAATGATCTCTACATCCCTGGCCTCCTCTTTCTTCCGCTACCCACCCCACCCTGCCCCACTGGGGACCTTCACTCACCGCGTCTCCTTTATCGCCTTTACTCCCCTTGTGTCCGGGGGCACCCACATCCCCCTGCAGAGGAAATGGGATGAAGGACCCAGCTTCCATTCACCCCCATCCTCCCCTGGACCCTTCCTCTCTGTGAACCCCTCACCTTGTCCCCTTCCTCGCCAGAAGGCCCAGCAGCTCCAGGGGGTCCCAGAGGCCCCAGGGGCCCTGGGATCCCATCTTTGCCAGTGGGGCCAGGGGGGCCACGTTCTCCCTGTTGTGGGGAATGGAAAGGGGGATGTCAGGGCAGGAATGTCCTGCAGGAGCCATGTCCTGGGATGTGGCAGGGCCAGACCCTGAGGAGGCCCTAGGAATGGGATGGGCAAGTCACTTACCCGGGACCCCTTCTTGCCTGCAGGGCCAACGGGGCCTTCGCTGCCACTTTGGCCAGGAAGTCCAATGCCTCCTGCTGGGCCCAAAGGACCGCGCTCACCAGGGGAGCCCTGAGAACAGGGGTGATGAATCAGGTATAATACCAGTAGTAGCTGTCCTTTATGGAGGGTTTTTAAGCCACCAGGCACTGAGTTCTGAGGTTACCAGGATTGTATCTAACCTGTTCCCCTCCTGCAGCAGCCAGAGGGTGCCTGTGAGCACCTGAGGGGCAGGGCATATTCTTCTCCTGCTCAAGAACACTCCATGGCTCCCATCTCACTTAGAACAAAAGCCATAGTCCTCCTGGCAGCCTATACATATATATATATATATATATATATATATATATATATATTTGTAGAGACAGGACCTGGCTATGTTGCCCAGGCTGGTCTCAAACTCCTGGGCTCAAGCGATTCTCCAGCCTCAGCCTCCCAAAGAGCTGGGATTATAGGCATGAGCAACTACACCTGGCCCAAGAAAAGGGGTTTTTATATGTTGATGGCCAATGCACAGGTAAGTATTTACTGGATAAATGATCTCAATGAGGTTTGTGATCATACATGAGATAAGGCTTCCCATCATGGCTATTTTACAGACAAGGAAACTGAGGCTTGCCAAGGAATACAACGGCCCAGCCAGTGAGCAACAGAACTGACCTTGGCTCATTGCAACCTCCACCTCCCAGGTTCAAGCGATTCTCCTGCCTCAGCCTCTAGAGTAGCTGGGATTACAGGCATCTGCCTCCATGCCTGGCTAATTTTTGTATTTTTAGTAGAGACGGGGTTCCACCATGTTGGCCAGGCTGATCTTGAACTCCTGACCTCAAGTGATCTGCCTGCCTCAGCCTCCATCATGGGTTTTATCATGACAATGTCAAGCTTCCAAGACACCTTGAGTCCCCTCCACCCTGCCCCCACCCAGCACATGGGGTTATACTTACATTGGCCCCCACGGGCCCTGGGGGGCCCTTATCACCCTTTAAGCCAGTAGGTCCCTGAAGGAGGAGATAATTCACAGTTAAGAGACTCCCAAAGGTGTCCCCAGGTCCTGTCTTCCTCTGTGGGGAGCTCACAGTCCCCACCTCTCTCCTGGGACTGGACACTGAGCTTTGAGGGGTCTGCCTTCCCCAGTTCCCTCCACCATTTTTTTTGCTTTCATCATTTCCCGCACCCCAAATGCTATTCCCCATCCCTCCCCTGACCCCCCCATCCTTTCCTTCTCTAAGGGACATGCAGGAGGGTCTCCAAAGATACTCACCGGGTCCCCAGGGCCCCCTTTGGGGCCGGGAAAGCCCCTGAGTCCAGCTGGCCCTTCTTTCCCAAGGGGTCCTGGTGGTCCCAGTTCCCCCTACAGGAGTGCAAAGGAGGGAAGTCAAGCTCCAGGGAGGGGATGTCTCCCTCCAATCTGTGACTCAGGGCCCCCTCCCCCATGAGACTGATTCTGAGTCCTTGGTTGATCTTGGATGTTCAACCAAGATCTCCAGTGGACAGTGTCTCACCTTGGCCCCCTCTCTGCCTTCCAGGCCAGGAAGACCTTGTTCACCAGGAGGTCCAGGGGGGCCTGGAGGCCCCCTTTCACCTAGAGGTCCCACTTCTCCTGTCTTTCCCTGGTGAGGAAGAAGGCTCCTGTTGAGTGGGGGTGGCCTAGGGGAGTCGCTCAGGAGTCCAGCTTTCCCCTAAATATCCCCCAACTGGTACAAAACAAGGGAGGTTTATGGAGTCCACTCTGACCTGAGGGCCTAAGACACCAGCTGGTCCAGGCGGGCCTGTCTGACCTTGGAAGCCCTAGAGAGAAAAATTAAATGTGGGGGCGGTGTTACATGGGGAAGGGATGGAGGAGCAGGAGACAGGGAAGGCCTGATAGGATCAGGAATCTGGCCGGTCCGGTGGCTCACGCCTGTAATCCCAGCACTTTGGGAGGCAGAGGCAGGTGGGTCACTTGAAGCCAGGAGTTTGAGAGCAGCCTGGTCAACATGATGAAGCCCCGTCTCTACTAAAAATACAAAAATTAGCCGGGCGTGGTGGCACGCGCCTGTAGTGCCACTCGGGAGGCTGAGGCAGGAGAATTGCTTGAACCTGGGAGGCAAAGGTTGCAGTGAGCCGAGATTGCCCCACTGCACTCTAGCCCAGGTGACAGAGTGAGACTCTGTCTCAAAAAGAAAAAAAAAAAAAAGGATCAGGAATCAAAGGTTGAGGGGTTACTCACCAGTTCTCCTCTCTGTCCAGGGTGCCCTGGTCGCCCATCTTTACCTTGGTGACCCTGGGGGATGAGGTGGGAAAAAGTTGGGGCACAGATACAGGGCTTCCTCCCTTCCCACATCCTCCACCCACCCAACCCCCAATGAGGGTGACCTCACTCACAGGGGGGCCCTTTGGCCCAGGGAATCCTGGAGGGCCTTGCAGACCAGGGAGGCCCTGAAATGGAAACAGAAATCATGATCTCATCCCCCCTGCCTCCCTGCCCACTCCCTGAGCCCCACATAATGACAACAGGATCGAGCACATATTGAGTGCTTACTGCATGCCAGGCATGGGCAGGGCATTCTCCACAAGTCAGTCATTTTATTCACCACTGTAGCCCTTTGGGTTGGAGACTGAGGTTACTCCCATTTTACAGAGGAGAAAACTAAGGCACAGAGTGGTTAAGTGACTTGCCCAAGGTCACACAGTAGGTGAGTGGCAGAGCCAGGACTTGAACTCATGGCTCTCTGACTTCACAGGCTGTGCTCCTTCTTTTTTTCTTTTCTTAAAGATGGAGTCTTGCTCTGTCACCCAAGCTGGAGTGCAGTGGTGTGATTAGCTCACTTCAGCTTCCAACTCCTGGGCTCAAGCAATTCTCTCATCTCAGCTTCCAGCATAGGTGGGACTACAGGCGTGCACCACCACACCCAATTAAGCTGTGCTCTTACCACTGCATTATAATGTCTCTTCATCTCTTGGGTTTGTCCTCCACTCAGAATCTCTCTCTCTCACACACACACACATTCACACACACACACACACACACACACTCACCTTTTCTCCAGGGATCCCAGGGGCTCCATCCTGGCCCACATCGCCCTAGGACAGAGTGAATGAGACTCAGGCCCCAGAACAAACTCAACTGGGAAGAATTTGGAGGGACTGGCTGAGCCTGGGGCATGGGGGGCCTTGATTGCCCACCCATCCCATACCTTGGGGCCTGGTTGCCCTGTGGCACCCGGTTGCCCCCTCTCTCCACGGGAACCCTGAACAAAAAAAAAAGGCAAAGATCAGATATGAGGGGGTGGGGGAGCCTGGGAGATGAGACCAAGTCTTCCAGGTCCCCTCCCCTTGTGACTCCCTCTCCTGCCCGACCAGGGACATTGATATAACCCAAACCCTTTCCCTGCCCACAGATGACCTCTCCACTACCTTTCCTTCCCAGCCCTGTCCCCAAGTCCCAGCAGGGTAGGGGGCACTGTCTATTTTCTTACTGGTGGTCCCCGCTCTCCTTCCAGGCCTGGCTGCCCTGTCTTTCCCTGAAAATGAATTGTAAGAGAGAAAGCAGAAGAGAGTTAGGGTGCAAAGGTATGACGCAAACACAAAAAGACACCCAGTCACAGACCCAGAAAGCTGTCTGCCACATATTTATTCACAAGCTTTTCAGTCATACACATACACACAAATACAACTTATACTCAAAACCACACAAAGATCTCAAACACACAATTACAACTATGATTGCATCTACAGAGTACAAACGTGCAAGCATGTTTGCCCACAAGACATATATTGATCACAGCTGTGCAGTATGCATACATGATTGCATGTAATCATGGCATGCATTTGGCAATCCACAGCCTGAAGATGACACAGAACTCATCATGCAATACATCTCTTGCACACATGTATACCCACTGTAAACACATGAAGGCCTGGATTCAGCTGAGGACTTTGTCTTGGTAAGCACAGCAGTATACATACACTCATGTACGTACATACAATGTTCATTAACACTGTTACAATACACACATAGCAACACAAATACAATACATGCATGTATACCCATCACTCAGTGTGCACAGAAACACACACATGTGTATACACATGTCCTTTCACGCATATGTACAAGCTTCTTGCACACATTTATGCCCACCATCATGCAAAGTGCACGCAGATTCATGCCCTTGTTCACCCAGGCACAGGCCTGCAGGCTGCGGCATTCAAACCCTGTCTCATCGATATTGAAAGATACATGAAACACATATACATGTGCTTACAGTCATATTCATGATAATACCATGTGTAATCACCTACATGTGTCATGCATTGCATATAATAGCATGTGTGCACACAAATGTTCCAGGCATAGACACAAACACCCAGGGTCCACCCATCATCAGACACAACCACACATGCTGTTCCCCTCAGACAAGTTCTCCCCTCTCCCTTACCCCCGGTCATGACTCACCGACTTCCCTTTCTCTCCTATGGGTCCCAGGGGACCGGGAAATCCAATAGATCCCTGAGTGGAGAGAATTAGAAAGAAGACATGAGGGTGAGGAGTGAGTGGTGGGTGGAATTGGCCCCTCATACCATCCTTTGAGGCATTTCCAGGTCACTGATTCCAGAAGCTTCCTTGGTCTCTACAGCCCCAGCCTCCTACAAGGCAGCCCTCTTCTCTCCTCTCCCCTCCTCTCCTCCCTTCTCATTTCACTGCAGCCCTTTGCACTGGCTGCTGTCTTTGGCTGAAATGCTTGTCTCCTAGGCCTCCACAAAGTCAGCCACTCCTGACCATTTAGATCTCATTCAGATGTCACCTCCTTAGAATGCCTTTCTACCACCATCCTGGCTTCCACATTGCCCAAGTCACCCTCTGTCTGTCACATTATGCTATTTTGTTTTCCCAAGAACACTTGCGTTGAAATGACCCTTATTGACTTATTTATTCAATGCCTGTTTTCCCCCACTGTGACATAGCTCATTGGTCTTATTCCCCACTGCCTGGCACACGGTGAGTGCTTTTTAATATTTGTTAACTGACTCCAGTCCATGCTGGAGGAACCCTTCCTCCACCTGGGGGAAGACATCACAGGCTCTGATATCCTCTCCCACACCTCACTGTGCAGACTGAGTTCAGATCAGAAAAGACAGTTGCCCAAGTTACACAGTCTGTGGTGGCATCCCGCCTCAAAGCCCATTTCAGGCTCCCTCTACTCTCCCTTCCCATCTGGGGGTTCCATGGTCTCTATACTCTTTTTTTGTTTGTTTTATTTTTAAGAGACAGAGTCTCACTTTGTCACCCAGGCTGGAGTGCAGTGGTGCAATCATAGCTCACTGCAGCTTCAACCTTTTGGGCTCAAGTGATCCTCCTACCTCAACCTCCTGAATAGCTGGGACTACAGGTTCACGCCACCATGTCCAGCTAATTTTTGAAATAAATTTTTAGTAGATATGGGGTCTCACTATGTTGCCCAGGCTGGTCTTGAACTCCCGGCCTCTAGTGATTCTCCTACCTCAGCCTCTGAAAGTGCTGAGATTACAGGTGTGAGCCACCAACCTGGCCCCAACACTCTTCAAGGATCCTGAACACATGCACACAAGGACTTTCTAAAATCTTAGTCTATGTCAGGTACAGTGGCTTATGCTTGTAATCCCAGCACTTTGGGAGGCCAAGGTAGGAGAATCACTTGAAGCTGGGAGTTTGAGATCAGCCTGGGCAGCATAGCGAGACCCTGTCTCTGTAAAAAATTTAAAAATTCATCAGGTGGTGCGCACCTGTTGTTCCCAGCTACTCAGGAGGCTGAGGCAGGAGGACTGCTTGAGTCCAAGAATTGGGGGCTGTAATAAGCTATGATCGCACTATTGCACTCCAGCCTGAATGACAGAGTGACACCCTGTCTGAAAGGAAAGCAAGCAAGCAAGCAAAAAGAAAGAAGAAAGAAAGAAAGAAAGAAAGAAAGAAAGAAAGAAAGAAAGAAAGAAAGAAAGAAAGAAAGAAAGAAAGAGAAAGAGAGAGAGAGAGAAAGAAAGAAAGAAGAGAGAGAGAGAAAGAAAGACAGACAGAAAGAAAGAAAGAAAAAAGAAGAAAGAAAGAAGGAAAGAAAGAGAAAAAAGAAGGAAAAGAAAAGAAAAAAGAGGGGGACGCAGTGAGGGAGGGAGGGAAGAAAGGAAGGAAGGAAGAAAGGAGGAAGGAAGGAAGGAGAATAAAGTTGTCCATCAAAACTAAGCTTCAAAGTTTTTTTCTCAATCGTTAAAAAGAAAAAAAAATCTAAGTTAAAGGAAAAGGAGTCAATGTAAAGGGAAATCACTGAAAAAATAAAAAAAAAAAACCACTGTCAAATCCAACGTAGGCAAGATAACTATCAGCTCAACAGCACAAAAATGTGAAACTCTAGGAGGATTCTGCACTCAATTATCTTCCCAAATGTCTATTTTTTTTTTCTTTTGAGACAGAGTCTCACTCTGTTGCCCAGGGTGGAGTAAGTGGCACGATCTCAGCTCACTGCATCCTCTGCTTCCCGGGCTCAAGCAATTCTCCTGCCTCAGCCTCCATGTACCTGGGATTACAGGCACCCGCCACTGCACCCAGCTAATTCTTGTATTTTTAGTAGAGATGGGGTTCTGCCATGTTGGCCAGGCTGGTGGTGAACTCTCGACCTCAGGTGATCCACTCGCCTCGGCCTCCCAAAGTGCTGGGATTACAGCCATGAGCCACTGCGCCCAGCCCCAAATGTCTTTAGGTTCCTGCTCTACTCTAGAGAAACAGAACTCATCAGTGATATAATATGGGAATAGTTTAGGCAGAAAAATGAATCTCATCAGTGTCCTCACCCATCAAAACATTGGCAAACAAATGTTATGTTTTCATATAAGTACGTTTTTGCATAAGTACATTTGACTATAAGTTATAATTAATTCAAGATATGTAAGATGTGTATTTTATGATTCTATGATTCTCCCCTTTAACTGACTTTGTTGGTGAATGAAACTTAATCACACCAAATAAAAGGATCCTACAGTTTTATAATCATTGTCATCATCAGCATTATCAACATTATTATAATCAAATTGATGAGGTGGAAATTACTGGGATGTCTGTTTCACCGCAGAGAAAACAGGCTCAAGAAACTTTCCCAAGATCACATAGCGGGTAAGAGGGCATTTGACCCCAAGTCTGTCTGATGTCAAAGCTCACTTTTTAAAAAAATTTTTGAGACAGAGTCCCCCTCTGTCACCCACGCTGGGGTGCAGTGGCTCGATCATAGCTCACTGCAGGCTCAATCTCCTTGGGCTCAGGTGATCCTCCCATCTCAGCCTCCCAAGTAGCTGGGACCACATCTGGCTAATTTTTTTTTTTTTTTTTTTTTTTTTGAGATGGAATCTTGCTTTGTCACCAGGCTGGAGTTCAGTGGTGAGATCTTGGCTCACTGCAACCTCTGCCTCCTGGGGTCAAACAATTCTCCTGTCTCAGCCTCTTGGGTAGCTGGGATTACAGGTGCATGCTACTATGCCCAGCTAATTTTTTTGTATTTTTGGTAGTGACAGGGTTTTACCATGTTGGCCAGGCTGGTCTCAAACTCCTGACCTCAAGTGATCCGCCTGCCTCTGCCTCCCAAAGCGTTGGGATTACAGGTGTGAGCCACTGCCCCCGGCCACATCTGGCTAATTTTTTTTTTTTTTTTAGATGGAGTTTCGTTCTTGTTGCCCAGGCTGGAGTGCAATGGTGCAATCTCAGCTCACCACAACCTCTGCCTCCTGGGTTCAAGCGATTCTCCTGCCTCAGCCTCCCGAGTGGCTAGGATCACAGGTATGCACCACCACACCCAGCTAATTTTGTATTTTTAGTAGAGATGGGGTTTCTCCATGTTGGCCAGGCTGGTCTCTAACTCCTGACCTCAAGTGATCCGCCTGCGTCTGCCGCCCAAAGTGTTGGGATTACAGCCATGAGCCACTGCGCCCAGCCACATCTGGCTAATTTTTGTATGTTTTCATAGGGACCACGTTTTGCCACGTTGCCCAGTCTGGTCTCGAACTCCTGGGCTCAAGCAATCCTCTCACCTCAGCCTCTCAGGGTGCTGGGATTATAGCCAAGAGCCACTATGCCTGGCCAAAGCCCACATTTTACATTCTCTCAGTGACCCTTGGGGTGGGCAGCTCATCCCCCAAGACCACAGCCTGGACCCCCAGATGTTAGTCTCTGAATCCTGCCCATATCCATCTCCACCCCCCACCCCCAGCTTCCTACCTTAGGTCCAGGGCGTCCTGGATAACCTGGGAGGCCTGGCACCCCAAGCTTGCCCTGCAGAAAGGTTATGGGACAAAGGTCAGAAATTGCAACCTGGAGGTCAGAGGCGGAAAGGTCAGGCTGGCTGGGGCATGGTGAATGGGCTAATGGGATGGGAGTTGGGGAAACGAGGTTCAAGTCCTTGCTCCTGCCTGCTAGGGGCATGTCCTTGGGCAGGTCATTCAGCCATTCCAAGTCTCAGTTTTCCTTGTCTGTAAAATGGGATGAAAATGCCTATTGCATGTGGTGGTTATGGATATGAACACATAAGTTGCATGCATTAAATTGCTCTGTAATGCTGAGCTGAGGAATTAAAGATGACAAGGTTGGTAGCAACCTCCTGAGGTCGAAGGTATAATAAAAGGGCAAAGGGCAGAGGGAAAAGATTGGGGACACCTTGACTGTGGGAGGCTAGAGGGTGGAGAGTCATTTACCTTCTCCCCAGCTGAGCCTGGGGGCCCCTCCTCGCCAGCCTGCCCCGCCTGCCCCTTCGGCCCCTCAGGACCATCCTCTCCCCGGGGACCTGGAGCTCCGGGTTTCCCCTGGAAGAAAAAGGAGAGTATTTAATATCCATCTTTTGTCCTTCCTGCTCTGTCTAGCCCCAGCTCATCCCCTCCCTATCTTCCCCGAGCCCCCAGACCCACACCACCCCTCATCTGGAGCTGGTCTTACCTGATCACCTTTGAGCCCCACATCGCCCTTGAAGCCTGGGAAGCCGTCCTCTCCCTGGGTGGGAGAGACAGAGGCCAGAAGTGAGGGCCTCGGGGAAGGGACACAACCAGGACCCCATGATTGGGACTCCCTCTCCTCTGATGAGTTCCTTCTCTCCTCACCTTCTCGCCTTTCTCCCCCTGGAGGCCCCGGTTGCCTGAAGTGCCCTGGAAAATAAAAAAAAAAAGCTCTCAAGCCTCTTCCCTGCTTAAGAAGTGACCCAGACTCAGTCCCCTGCTCTAAAGCAGCCAGGATAGTCCCAAGAGGAGGCTAGGCAGAAGCTGGGAGGGGCAGCTTCAGAAGAAATGATCTTTCCCCAGAGGCCCCTCCCTCCCCACTGGAGGCCTCTCAAGGTCATCTGTGCGGGGGTGTGCAGGGAAGGCCAAATTTCCAAGTAAGCGATTCCCATCTCCTGGAGACGCTTTGTCCACAGTTCCTTCTGGCAGGAGAAAGAGGATGAACATTCCAGGCCCGGACCTCATTTTAAAGGCAAAGGAATGTTCCCCATTGTGCCAGCTACAAGGCGACTCTGTGCTTGGCAACAAGATGACCTCTGTGCTTGGCTATGGAGAGAGCGCTTAGTTCAAGTCTGGATGCTGCTCACACCAAACTCTGAAAACTGCACTTGGCTACAACATCTCTGAGCTCAGCGGGCTACAATGAAATTGCGCTTGGATACAATACAGCCCATGTGGTTAGTCTCCAGCTACAGACAAATTCACTTGATCACAATGTAACTGAGCTTGGCTACAAGTTGTTCTCTAGCTTTGGCTACAATGTAACTAGACTCAACTACAACATAGGGGTTGGCTACAATGTAACTAGACTCAACTACAACATAGGGGTCAGTTAATGTTTCTAAAGGCTGGGCATGGTGGCTTACACCTGTAATCCCAACATTTTGGGAGGCAGAGGCTGGAGGATTGCTTGAGCCCAGGAGTTCCAGACCAGCCTGGGCAACACAGGAAAACCTCATCTATACAAAAAGTACAAAAAAAAAAGAAAAAAGGTAGCCGGATGTGGTGACGTGCACCTATAGTCCCAGCTACCTGGGAGGGTGAGGTGGGAGGATTGATTGAGCCTGGGAGCTCTAGGCTGCAGTGAGTGAACTGTGATGGTGGTACTGCACTCCAGCGTGGGTAACAGAGTGAGACCCTGTCTCAAGAATAATAATAATAATAATCAAATGAAAAAACTGCCAAGCCTGGTGGGATACGCCTATAGTCCTAGCTATTCAGGAGGCTAAAGTGAGGGGATTACTTGAGCACGGGAGTTCAAGGCTGCAGTGAGCCATCATTATGCTGCTATATTCCAGCCTGGGCAACAGAGAAGACCCTGTCTCTAAAAAATAAAACATTTAGGGCCGGGTGTGGTGGCTCATGCCTGTAATCCCAGCACTTTGAGAGGCCGAGGCGGCCGGATCACCTGAGGTCAGGCGTTCAAGACCAGCCTGACCAACATGGAGAAATCCTGTCTCTATTAAAAATACAAAAATTAGCCAGACGTGGTGGCACATGCCTGTAATACCACTACTCGAGAGGCTGAGGCGGGAGAATCGCTTGAACCTGGGAGGCAGAGGTTGCGGTGAGCCCAGGTGGCATCATTGCACTCTAGCCTGGGCAACAAGAGCAGAACCAGGTCTCAAAAACAAAAACAAAAAAAGATTAAAAATGTAATTATGCTTGGCTACAATGTAACTCTGAGGGTGATGCTTGCCAGACTCTGTGCCTGCTACAGTATAGCCAATTCCTTGATTATAGTGTGTCTAAGCTTGTCTAATGCACACATGTTCAGGTAAATTACATCTGTATTTGGCTACAATGTCACTGGACTCAGCTTCCATATGGATATGAACTCTAATGCCCCTGCACCTCTATTTAGCCAGGTTGCAGCTCTTGGCTTAACCCAGCATACTGTGCTTATGTGATTCTGAGCTTGGGTTAGAACACAACCCTCGGGCCAGGCACAGTGGCTCATGCCTGTAATCCCAGCACTTTGGGAAGCCAAGGAGGGTGGATCACCTGAGGTCAGGAGTTCGAGACCAGCCTGGCCAACATGGTGAAACCCTGTCTCTAATAAAAATACAAAAATTACCCAGGAGTGGTGGTGCATGCCTGCAGTCCCAGCTACTCAGGAAGCTGAGGCAGTAGAATCGCTTGAATCCGGGAGGAGGCAGAGGTTGCAGTGAGTGGAGATCGCTCCACTGCACTCCAGCCTGGGCGACAAAGCGAGACTCTGTCTCAAAAAAAAAAAAAAAAAAAAAAAAAGAAAGTAAAGAAAAGAAAAGGAAAAAGGAAAAGAGAAAAGAAAGAAATGTGTTTGGCCTCTAATGGGCTTAGCTGTTCTAACAACAAGGTGACAACCACACTGTAAGGCTGTCCTTGGCTGTGCAGCTCCAAACCCCAGTCCCACTACATTTGGCCTGGCCAACTGATTCCCCTCTCCACACATCCAGAAGTTTCTGATGGAGCTGCATCGCATGCCTGAACCCAAAGCTGGTAAATCACTCATACCTGCAAGCGTATCACCTACCTTCACTCCCCGAGGTCCAGGATAGCCCGGAGGGCCTGCCGACCCTGGTGGACCCTGGGAGGAAAATAAGGTCAGTGCCATTCTAGACAGTCCCTTCCACATTCTAAGAGCCCTCATCTCTCTCCTCTGTGGCCCCTGACTGCAGGCCCTGCCTCCCGACCCTCGTCCCCAACCCAGCCTAACCTCCTGGTCACTCACCTGAGCCCCTTTCTCTCCCGTGGGGCCCTCATGTCCTGGGTGACCCTGGGGAAGAAACATTCTCAGTTGTCAGAGACCAAAACTTGCCATTCCAATTCCCAAGGCTCCCCTTTCTCCTTCCTCCTTTTCCCAGCTCATGGTTCTCACCAGAGGGCCATCGGATCCTGGGAGGCCTGGAATTCCTGGGTTTCCAGGGGGACCCTGAAAGAAGATGAACAGCAGGGGAGAGACAGAGGTGCTCAGAGCCCTGGAGCACCACTAGGATCTACGCAGACATGCAGCCGCCTCAAGGTTAAGAAATAAGCAGACCTCACTGGCCAGGAAATCTATCCCAGCTCTGCCCAAACTTGCTGTGTGACCCCAGGCAAGCCCATTTCCCTCTCTGATCCTCAGAAATCCACTGCCTCTGGGAAGGTTGCAAGGAAGAACATAAAAACAGTACAAGATTGATAGCACAACAGGGTAACTATAGTCAATTATATGTCGCCCAGGTTGGAGTGCAGTAGCATGATCTCAGCTCACTGCAACCTCTTCCCAGGTTCAAGTGATTCTCCTGCCTCAGCTTCTCCAGTAGCTGGGACTACAGCACCCGGCTAATTTTTGTAATTTTATTAGAGATGGAGTTTCACTATGCTGGCCAGGCTGGTCTCAAACTCCTGACCTCAAGTGATCCACCCACCTCGGCCTCCCAAAGTGCTGAGATTACAGGCGTGAGCCACTGTGCCCGCCTTCCCTGGCAGACACACTTCTGTGTGATAATTTACTTGTACATTTAAAAATAACTAAAAGAGGCCGGGCGTGGTGGCTCATACCTGTAATCCCAGCACTTTAGAAGGCCGAGGAGGGTGGATCACCTGAGGTCAGGAGTTCAAGACCAGCCTGGCCAACATAGTGAAACCCCGTTTCTACTGAAAATACAAAAATTAGCTGGGCGTAGTGGTGGGCACCTGTAATCCCAGCTACCTGGGAGGCTGAGGTGGCAGAATCACTTGAACCCGGGAGGTGGAGGTTGCAGTGAGCTGAGATCATGCCATTGCACTCCAGCCTGGACAACAAGAGTGAAATTCTGTCAAAAAAAAAAAAAAAACTAAAATAGTATAACTGGATTGTTTGTAACACAAAGAATAAATACTTGAGGGGATGGATACTACATGACATGATTCTTATGCGCATGCCTGTATCAAAACATCTCATGTACTCCATAAGTATATACCTACTATGTACCCACAAAGATAATAAATAAAATTAATTTTTTTTTTGAGGTGGAGTCTCGCTCTGTCGCCCAGGCTGGAGTGCAGTGGCAAGATCTCGGCTCACTGCAAGCTCCGCCTCCCAGGTTCATGCCATTCTCCTGACTCAGCCTCCCGAGTAGCTGGGACTACAGGCGCGCGCCACCACGCCCGGCTAATTTTTTGGTATTTTTAGTAGAGACAGGGTTTCACCATGTTAGCCAGGATGGTCTCGATCTCCTGACCTCGTGATCCCCCCATCTCAGCCTCCCAAAGTGCTAGGATTACAGGTGTGAACCACCGCACCTGACCAATAAAATTAAATTAAAACAGTGCAAGAGACATGTTGAAATAGAAGCTTCACAGCCACACCCCTTTCTTTAAAAATGCCCAGCCGGGCATGATGGCTCTCGCCTGTAATCCCAGCATTTTGGGGGGCCAAGGCAGATGAACTGCATGAGCCCAGGAGTTCAAGACCAGCCTGGGCAACACAGGCAGACCCCATCTCTACAAAAAAAGAAAATAAGAAAAGAAAAGAAAAATTAGCCAGGCACAGTGGCATGCGCTGATAGTCCCAGCTACTCGGGTGGATGAGGTGGGAGAACCACCTCGCCTGGGGAAGTCAAGGCTGCAGTGAGGCATTATTGAGCCACTGCACTCCAGCCTGGGCGACAGAGTGAGACCCTGTCCACACCCCCCAAAAAAAGATATGTGCAGAAAGAAGTGTGTCTGCCAGGGAAGGCGGAAGCAGATGTGCCAGGGAACAAAGATGAGACCCACAGGGCCTGTGCCTCTTGGTAATATCTTCTGTGACAGGCTTCTGTGGGCTCTCTGTATCCTGACAATATCCCTTATGTGAGCTAGCCTTGGTGGGTTTCTGTTTCTTGCAACCAATCCTTCCCCAACAAGGACACTTTGTATCTCCGGGCTGGCTTAGGGAATGTTGCAGTCTATCACTATCCAGAGCTAACAGAGGGGTCTTGGTGGGAAGATTTTCCTGGCAACAGAGTTGAAGGAAGAAGACTTGAGGAGGTCGCGGTAGGTGGAGCTGTCACTCACCTTCTCCCCAGGAGTGCCAATGAGTCCCTGGGGACCGGGGAGTCCCTGGAGACAGAAAAAGAAGATGAGAGAAGGCATAAGAAAGAAGCGGTGAGTGTGGAGGTTGGGAAGCCTGGTCACGGTCTAAGGTCTTAACTGACCACTCCCATGCCCCATTATTGGGAAAGACAGTTCAAACCTGGGACCCATGGTTTCCCTGCTGTCCCGGAGGGCCTGGTTCTCCTGGAGGACCCTGGGGAGAAAGTGGGGTTTCAGTGAAGCTAAGAGGGGTCATGGTGTTGGGGCGTTAGTGAAATTGACTTGGGGGGGGTCAGTCATGGAAGGGAATAGGGATGTGGACAATCGGGGTCAGAGTGTCAGAAGGGTCAGAGGTCAAAGGGCACAGGGCACATACCACATTGCCTTTGGCACCAGGAGCACCATCAATTCCAGTCACACCCTAGGGGAAAAGAGGATGTGAGACCAAGACAGAGCAACAAGCTGGGAGCCTGAGTCTGAGACACCGAGAGATGCAGGTGGAAAGGTGAGCAGGGCCGGGCACTGTGGCTCATGCTTGTAATCCCAGCATTTTGGGAGGCTGAGGCAGGTGGATCACCTGAGGTCGGGAGTTTAAGACCAGCCTGGCCAACATTGTGAAACCCCGTCTTTACTAAAAACACAAAAATTAGCCAGGCATGTAATCTCAGCTACTCAGGAGGCTGAGGCAGGAGAATAGCTTGAACGTGGAAGGCGGAGTTTGCAGTGAGCAGAGATCGTGCCATTGCACTCCAGCCTGGGCAACAAGAGCAAAACTCTGTCTAAAAAAAAAAAGAAAGAAAGAAATGTGAGCAGGCAGAGAAGCCAGCAACAGATATGGACATGCAGAAGGCAGAAAAGCGAGAAAAAAAAGACAGACAGGGGCCAGGAACAGTGGCTCAGGCCTGTAATCCCAGCACTTTGGGAGGACCACTTGAGGCCAGGAGTTCGAGACCAACCTAACTAACATGGTGAAACCCTGTCTCTACTAAAAATACAAAAATTAGCCAGGTGTGCTGGTGGGTCCCTGTAGTCCCAGCTACTCAGGAGGCTGAAGCATGAGAATCACCTGAACCCAGGAGCCGGAGGTTGCAGAGAGCTGAGATCTCGCCACCGCACTCCAGCCTGGGCGACAGAGCGAGACCCTAATCTCAAAACAAACAAAAAGACAGACAGGGATGCAGAGAGCCAGTGACACTCACCGGGCGACCCGTGGGGCCAGGAGAGCCTCTGGGGCCAAGCAGTCCTCGTGGACCCTGCAAGGGAGCAGGCGAATTATTTCCACATCACCTCTGTGTGGCCATGTGAGCTCTAGGGGTCCTATGAGTCCTGGGGCCCTGGGAGTCCTGACTCCCTCCCCTGCACCAAGCAAGGGGCCCAGGGATCCCTGATACTCACCGGCTCCCCAGCCTGGCCAGTGGGCCCTGGAGGTCCCTCTGCTCCCTGTGGAAAAGCGTCATTACTTGGGAACAGGAAGGTACAACCCTCGGAGAGCCACCTCCCCTCATCTGGGCAGCCCCTTCCAGGGGGTCTCGGAATTAGACCAGGATCCCTGGGAACCTGCAGACTAAGTTCATGGGATTCCATTCAGGCCCCTGACTCCAATCCTAGACCTGCAAGTCTCACCTCCTCACCCCACAATTTGTCCCTAGCTCTCAAGCTGGCCACTGAGACCTCCAGATCTTCCTCTCTGATTCTCACTCAGGCTTCCAAACTTACTTTCCAAACCAGGCCCTAACTCTCTTCCAAACTTACCCTCTCACCATCCTCTCCTGGGGGACCGGGTTGCCCCACATGGCCAAAGTCACCCTGGAGAGGGAACAGAGGGGAGTTCAGAGTGGAAGGGTGTGGGCGGAGAGACCAGCCCCCTGGGAAGGCAGATGGGGTGTGAGGAGGGACACAGGGATCATGACTCTGATACTGAGGGAGAAGTTGGGGGGGCTTGAATATTGGGAGGAGGGCTTAGACTTGGGGGAGGGACCTCACACACTCACCCTTTGGCCCTTCTCACCAGGCAGCCCAGGGAGGCCATCGAAGCCACGATCACCCTGTCCAGAGACACCAGTGAGCCTTGACCCCATAAGCCTGACAGCTCCCACCAAGTCTTATCTCAGCCCCCATCACCTACCTTAGGTCCAGTGTCCCCTGGGAGGCCCCGAGCTCCATCTGCTCCAGGGCGGCCCTATGGAGAAAGTAAGCCCAAGAGTCAAGGATGAGCCTTCCCTGTACCCCTCCACCAAATTAGGAACCCAACTTCATCATCAACATCAAGATTTTTTTTTTGACAGGGTCTCCTTCTGTCACTCAGGTTGGAGTGCAGTGGCACGTTCTCAGCTCACTGCAACCTCAGCCTCCTGAGTAGCTGGGACCACAGGTGCATGCCACCAGGCCTGGCTAATTTTTTATATTTTTGGTAGAGATGGTGGGGGTTTCACCCTGTTGCTCAGGCTAGTCTCAAACTCCTGAATGCAAGCGATCCACCCACCTCAGCCTCCCAAACTGCTGGGATTACAGGCATGAGCCACCATGCCAAGGCTAAGATATTATTTTTTTTAATTTATTTATGTATTTTAGAGCTGAGGTCTTGCTCTCTTGCCCAGGCTGGAGTGCAGTGGCATGATCATGGCTCAATGCAGCTTCGAATTCCTGGCTCAAGCAATCCTCCCACCTCAGCCTCCCAAGTAGCTGGGACTACAAGTGCACACCACCACACCTGGCTAATTTTTTATTTGTATTTTGTGTAGAGACCGGGTTTTGCCATGTTGCACAAGCTGGTCTCAAACTCCTGGGCTCAAGCCATCCTTTCACCTCAGCCTCCCAAAGTGCTGGGATTAGAGATACCAGTTGCTATGCCATGGCTGATTTTATTTTATTTTATTTTTTTGAGATGGCGTCTTGCTCTGTTGCCCAGGCTGGAGTTACATATATGTTTTACATATATATATATATATATATATATATATATATATATATATATATATATGGTCACATGTCACTGAACAACAGGGATACATTCTGAGAAATGCATCAGTGGGCAATTTTGTCATTGTGTGAACAAGATAGAATGCACTTACACAACTCTGGATGGTACAACCTACCAAACACCCAGGCTATGCGGTATAACCTAGTGCTCTCAGACTACAAACCTGAACAATGTGCGACTGTACTGAATATCACAGGCAATTGTAACACTATAGTAAGTATTTGTATGTCTAAACACATCCAAACATAGAAATGGTACAGTAAAAATACAGTATTATAATCTCATGGGACCAGCATCTTATTTATTTATTATTATTATTATTATTTTTTGAGACACAATCTCACTCTGCCACCCAAGCTGGTGTGCACTGGCTCACTGCAACCTCTGCTTCCTGGATTCAAGCCATTCTCATGCCTCAGCCTCCCGAGTAGCTGGGATTACAGGCGCACGCTGCCATGCCCGGCTAATTTTTGTATTTTTAGTAGAGACGGGGTTTCCCCATGTTGGCCAGGTTGATCTCAAACTCCTGACCTCAAATGATCCACCTGCCTCGGCCTCCCTAAGTGCTGGTATTATAGGCATGAGCCACTGCGCGCAGCCAATCATCTTATAAGCATCATTATGTGGTGCATGACTCTATCTGAAGTTGACTTGTTTGTCATTTCCTTCCATGTGACAGGCCTCTTTTTTGCCGTGCTGTTTCTTCCACTTCCCCATCTGTTCATCTGGTTCTATTTCAGATCTCAGGGCAAGCATCACTCCTGCAGGCAAGTCCTTCCTGACTCTACGGCCTGGCCGGATTCCTTTGACACACACTCAGTGGAGCTGCCATTCCCTGCCTTCAGCACTCTTTTCCCACTAACGACACCAGCAGACCCCAAGGTCACAAAGCCAAGGCTCATGTTGGGTGTTGAGGGATGGATAAGGGGTGGTCTGGGGACCTAGCTGTCACTCACCATCTTGCCCACTCGGCCAGGGGGTCCATGAGGTCCCTGCAGGCCTCGGGGACCCTAGAAGAAAGCAAAAAGGAGGAAGGAAAGGAAAATAAGAAGAAAGAGGGACTTATTCTATTGTATTAAAAAAAATTAGAGATGGGGTCTTGCTGTATTGCCCAGGCCAGACACCTGGGCTCAAGCAATACTCCCTCCTCAGCCTCCCAAGTAGCTGAGACAAGTGTGTGCCACTGTACCCAGCTTGGAAGGACATATTTATTTATTGTATAGACAGGGCCTCCCTATGTTGCCCAGACTGGTCTTGAACTCCTGGCCTCAAGCAATCCTCCCACCTCGGCCTCCCAAAGTTCTGGGATTCCAGATGTGAGCCACCATTCTCTAGGAAAGTCATCAATTGCAAGGGTATCCCCAGCCCCTTTGGCACTTTCCCCATCCAGCACTGTATCTTGTGGTCCTGGGGGAAGGCTATTCCCATCCTATCCTGCCCTATCTCCACAAGTCTCACCTGTGGCCCTTCTGCTCCCTCCTCTCCTTTCAGACCTGGATGCCCGGGGAGACCCTTGGGGGAGGAGAGATGGAGGAGTGTGGGTAGATGATTCTTCACTAATGCATGCACCGCCCCCTCCACGCAGTCGCCTTACTCACCACAGGGCCTGGGCGCCCAGTGAGCCCCACTGGACCAGGGGGGCCTTTCATAGAGAGCTGGAAAGACAGAGGAGTCAGAGCTTGGGGCCTCCCACAAGACCCCCAACATTCCCCACAGAGGCATCTTCAGGAGAAAAATAACCCCCTTCTCCTGCCCAGCCCCTCCTTACGCCGAGGCTCTATCACTCTCTGGGGTTCCTCCCACTATGTCCACACCTCCCACTCACCTGAGTCTGCTGCAGAACTGCCTGAGCCTGGGCCTGCTGGAATGAGACTGGGGGGCCTTTAAAGGAGCCGCCTGCAAACTGGAACTGGGAGGAATTTAGTGGTGAGGGAAGCCCCCAGGAGAGGCCCCCTCCTGGATCAGGACTCCACTCCCCAAGGCTGGGCCACTCCATCTCCTTCTTACCGGCATCATGATCACAGTGCCCGGTGGGCCTCGGATCCCATCAATGCCGGGGATTCCTGGGAGGCCAGCAGGGCCCTGAGAGAGGGATGGGGGAAGAGAGGTGGAGACAGGGAGAGAGGGAGAGAGAGAGCGAGGACAGGGGAGGCACAGAAGGATGAGTCAGAAAGAGAGAGAGAGGGAGAGATGGAGAGAGACACAGAATCAAAGAGGGATCATGGCAAGGAAAGAGAGAGAAGTAGAGAGAAGTGGAAAGGAAAAGACAGAGATGGAACAGAGACAAAGAGAAGGGGAGAGAGGGATGGAGAAGGATGGGGGCAGATGGAGAGACATACAGAGACAGAAACAGAGAGACAGAGAGAGATAGACAGAGACAGAAAAGCCAGTGAAAGACAGACAGAGATGGAGAAATAGAGAGAGAGGCGAACATAGAGAGATGGACGGAGGGAGAGGGACAGAGACCAACAGAGAGAGACAGAAGAGAGACAGAGACAGAGTCACAACAGGAGAAAGACAGAGATAAAAGACACTCAGAAACAGAGACAGGCAAAAGAAGAAAAGCAAAGAGTAGGCCCCAGCAACACAAGGTGAACCAGAGAAATAGTTCACAGATGGGAGACAGAGAACAGAAGAGGTCAGTGCCAGCCCCGGGATGGTGTTCCCGAGTGCCACACCCTCATATCTATGTTCAGACTGTCACGCTCCCAGCCCCAAACCTCACTCCTCTGAGAAGTGTACACCCCAGTGGGAGTCTCTTACCGGTGGACCAGGGTCGCCAGGGAATCCTGGGGGGCCGGGAGGGCCTGAGGGGCCAACCACCCCCTGTTGGGGACAGAGAAACAGGAGTCACAGGAAGTGCAAAGTTTGAGCTAGGCTGACTTTCAACCTACCACTGACTCTAACCTCAGGCTGACCTCCCTACCCCACTACAGAGCCACTCCAACTCCCCTAATGCAATACTGACCCCCACTCACCCCCAACGCTACTCTCGGACCCCTCTTCTTTTTTTAGAGACGGTCTCACTCTGTCACCCATGCTGGAGTGCAGTGGCGTGATCATAGCTCACTGCAGCCTCCAACTCCTAGGCTCAAGCAATCCTCCCACCTTGGCCTCCCAAGTAGTTGGGACTACAGTTGGGTGCCACTATTTTTTAAAAAAATATATGGCTATTTTTAAAGAGATGGGGTCTTGCTATGTTGCCCAGTCTCTATATTGTTCATCCTCCCTATTTTGACTCACCCTTTAAGCCTCAAATGTCCACTACCCTCCACTTGGCCAGGCAACATTACACCCCAACTCCTCACTCCAGGGGATTAAACACCCCTCAGCTGGAAGGGAAAGACTGGAAGAAGGAAACACAGCCATGACTTACTTGGGGTCCTGGGGCTCCTGGAGGTCCCTCAAACTGCTGCCCCTGAAGGGAGAAGTGAGTGTCGGTGACCGCTGTCATCATGAAGCCTCTCAACCCCCTCACAATCCAGACCCCTCACCTTTTCAATCACTGCGGGCTCTCCTTTTGCTCCTTTCTCTCCAGCACCCTGGGGTGGGGTCAGGGGAGATGGAGAGAAAAGAGATGTGAACTTGGACATAAGCCCTTCAGTTATCTGATCACACACACTTGCACACACACACACACACACACACACGGAGTCCACCCTCAGAGCCCCTTCTCCTCTACTGTAACCAATATGCACTGAGAAGCTCAGCCCCCCGCATCCACCGGGCAATGCCATGCCAAGGTGAATGAAGAGCGTGAAATCCAGAGACTGCTGCCCAATACTGATCCTGCATCTGCCTCTTACTAACTGAGTGATCTAACTAAGTTGGGAAACTTAGTCAACCCCTATGGCCACTTACAGGTAACCGGTCAACCTGTAAAGTCAGTGGATGAATGACGCCTGTGTATATATCATGCAAAGATGAATGAATTAAAACAATGCTTGGCACACAACAAGCACTCCAGGTAACAAGGTAGCAAGGGCAAGTTAGTTACAACTATGTGTCTATGCGCCTCCCCTGTGGAACACCTAGGCTTTTCCTTTCTCCCTTTCTTTCTTTCCTTCTTCTTTTTCTTTCTTCTTTTTTTTTTTTTAAATGGAGTCTTGCTCTGTCCCCCAGGCTGGAGTGCAGTGGTGTGATCTCAGCTCACTGCACCTTCTACCTCCTGGGTTCTAGCGATTCTCCTGCCTCAGCCTCCCCAGTAGCTGGGACTACAGGTGCCCGCCAACACGCCTGGCTAATTTTTGTATTTTTAGTAGAGACCAGGTTTCACCATGTTGGTTAGGCTGGTCTCGAACTCCTGACTTAGGTGATCCACCCGCCTCATCCTCCCAAAGTGCTGGGATTACAGGCGTGAGCCACCATGCTTGGCTCCTTCCTTCCTTCCTTTCTTTCTTTTCTTTCTTTCTTTCTTTCTCTTTCTTTTTCTTTCTCTTTCTTTCTCTTTTTCTTTCTTCTTTCTTTTTTCTTTTTTTTCAGAGTCACTCTATTGCCCAGGCAGGCTTTTCCTTTTTTCTCTCTCTTTTTTCCTTCCTTCCTTCCTTCCTTCCTTCCTTCCTTCCTTCTCTTGCTTGCTTGCTTTGCTTGGCATTTTTTTTTTGACACAGGGTCACTCTATTGCCCAGGCTAGAATGCAGGGGTACAATCATGGCTCACTGCAACCTCGATCTCCTCAGACTCAGGTGATCCTCCCTCCTCAGCCTCCTGAGTAGCTGGGACCACAGGTGCACACAGCACCATGCCCAGCTATTTTTTATTTTATTTTTTTGTAGAGACAGGGTCTTGCTATGTTGCCCAGGCTGAACTCAAACTGGGAGCCACTGCACCTGGCCTTTTTTCTTTTCTTTTTTTCTTTTTTCTTTTTTTTTTTTTTTTGAGACAGAGTCTCCCTCTCGCGCCCAGGCTGAAGTGCAGTGGCGTGGTCTCGGCTTGCTGCAAGCTCCGCCTCCCGGGTTCACGCCATTCTGCCTCAGCCTCCCGAGAAGCTGGGACTACAGGCGCCCGCCACCACGCCCAGCTAATTTTTTTGTATTTTTTAGTACAGACAGCGTTTCACCATGTTAGCCAGGATGGTCTCAATCTCCTGACCTCGTGATCAGCCCTCCTCGGCCTCCCAAAGTGCTGGGATTACAGGCGTGAGCCACCGCGCCTGGCCCAAGCCTCTTTTCTTTTCTCTAGAGAAAGGTCTTGCTCTGCCACCCGGGCTGCAGTGCAGTGGTGTGATCATGGCTTCCTGAAGCCTCCACCTCCTGGGCTCAAGCGATCCTCCTGCTTCAGCTGGGACCAGAGGCACGAACCACCACGTTCGATTAATTTTTTGTATATTTTGTAAAGATAGGGTCTCGCTATGTTACCCAGGCTTGTCCCAAACTCTTGGGCTCAGGTGATCTTCCCGCCTCAACCTACCAAATTGCTGAGATTATAGGTGTGAGCCACCATACCTGGCCTCAGTTACCTCTTGATCTCTACCCTCTTCTCTTCTCCCTGCCCTTAACATAAAAAAAAAGCCTAAAATTTGTACTGACTTAAGATGGTGCTTCGGAACAACAGTCCACCATCTTCTTGGTTTGCTGTCTCTTGGAATAAACCTGCTTTTCCTTCCACCAATTCTCGTCTCTCTTGTTTTCCTTTCAAACATCAAGCCACCGAGCTTGGGTTCGGTTACATCGAATGCGTATCCATCTTTCTCCAAGACCAAAATGGAGCATGTCCCAAAGTGGTCCACTTCTCTGCGTCCCTCCCATCTTCCTCCAGGTCACGTCCCGACTGCAGATTGCGGGCTTCCCTGCTGCCCCTCTGGCTCCCCCTACTGTCCATGTGCCATTCAGCAGCCAGAGAGCTCTTTTTTTTTTTTTTTTTTTTTTTTTTTTTTAAGAGATGGGTCTCACTGTTGCCCAGGCTGGCCTCAAACTCCTGGCCTCAAGCGATCCTCCCGCCTCAGCCGCCCAAAGCATTGGGATTACAGCCGTGAGCCACTGCCCCCGGCCCAGGGGGAGCTTTTAAAGCTCCAAGTCAGATCATGTTCCTTCACAAGTGCTCAAGTGGCATCTCCTGGTGCTTGGAGTAAAAGCCAAGCGCCTCTCTCTAGTCACAGAGTCAACTATTAGCACAGTGCCTGACACAAGCAGGTGCAGAAGTCAAAAGAGAGACTGGCCTTTCGTGGCTCCAGGTAGAAATCCCTTCTAAGACCTCAAGATGTGAGAAAAGTAAGTAAATAAAATAACACAGGAACAGAAGACCATATACCACATGTTCTCACTTATAAGTGGGAGCTAAATGAGAACACATGGACACATAGAGGGGAACAACAGACACTGGGACCTATCGGAGGGTGGAGGGTGGGAGGAGGGAGAGGATCAGGAAAAATAACTAATGGGTACTAGGCTTAATACCTGAGTAATGAAATAAATAATCTGTACAACAAAACCCCATGACACAAGCTTACCTATGTAACAAGCCTGCACTTGTACCCCTGAACTTAAGATAAAAGTTTTTTTAAAAAAAGAAAAAATTAAATTAAATAATTTTTTTAAATTGTTCGGTTTTTTTTTTCAAGATGGAGTCTCACTTTGTTGCCCAGGCTGGAGTGCAGTGGCACGATCTTGGCTCATTGCAGCCTCTGCCTCCCGGGTTCAAGCAATTCTCCTGCCTCAGCCTTCCCAGTGGCTGGGATCACAGGCGCGCGCCACCGCTCCCAGCTAATTTTTTGTATTTTTAGTAGACATGGGATTTCACCACGTTGGTCAGGCTAGTCTCAATCTCCTGACCTCAAATGATCTGCCCACCTAGGTCTCCCAAAGTGTTCGGATTACAGGCGGGAGCCACTGCGCCCTGCCTAAATAAATAAATTTTAAAAAAATTTTAATAGGAATCCCACTCTCTTGCACCTAACCCCAGCCACCTAGAAACTCACAGGAAAGATCTGGAACTGAGTCCGAGATGGATATTCTGCTGCCCGGAAGTCAGGGCCCATGGTGGAATCATCTCCTTCTTCATCCTCCCTGGCTGCCTTGGTCTCCAGGGTCCCCAGCTCGGTTCCACTGTCAGGGTCCAAGCTCCTCTGAGAACGTTAGGAAAGACCAAAGTTTTCCCTGACCTCCTTATTTTCTGCCACCCCCGTAACCCTTGGGGTCTCCCCTCTTCCATCCCCATCCAACCTCTAGGATCGTGGCATTGAGTCCAGTAGTCACAGTGGAGGTGACGACCAAAGGCGTGGGGGTCGGAGGCAGATTTGGAGCTGGAGTCTCTGTCTTGGGGATGTCAGTGGAGGTCTGGAGCAGGGATGGAGGGAGCCTTGGGTCTCGGGTGAGGGCAATCAAGACAAAAGGGAGGCACCCTCCCACTGTCCCCAGGAGCTCCCAGTCCGGGGACAGGGACAGAGGAGGCTCCCCAAAGAGCACCAGAGGCCAATGGAGACAAAAGTGTGCCAGCTGGACCAGGGCTGCCAGCAGAGGGAGCCACCGTGGATGGAGGAGGTGCTGAGTCAGGCTGGCCCTGAAGCCCAGTGGTCAAGGTCAAGGTCCAACATTCAGGGCCAGGCTCCCGGAAGCCTAGCCCACATGTCCTCTCCCAAGGCAGAGTTCAGCGGCCAGCAGGCCACAGTCAGAGAGGGAGTGGCGGCTCCTTCTGGCCTGGACAGCTGCAGAGGAACTGGGTCAAGGTGGGGGTTGGGGGGGTGTGGGAAGAGGGTGGTGGGGTCCCAGGTGAGGGGACAAGGCTGAGGAAGGGGCTGAAGAGGGGCCCACTACTCCTGGTGTTTGTATTCTTGGCCAAGAAGATCTGGAACTGAGATGTAGTGCAACCAGTGACTCCCCCACCAGCCAAAGACCCCAAGCAATGACCCCCACCAAGGACCCCCCAACCCAGTGACCCACCAAGAATGACCTACATCAACAGACCCCAGTGATTCTAGAACCAGAGACCCACAAACAACCCCTCCCACTCCCATCAATGGCCTCAACCTGTTACTGCTCCATTCAGTGATTTTCCTAACCAGTGACCTCAACCAGTGACATCTCTTGGCTATTAGCACTAACTAGTGACTCTCCAACTAATAACCCCCATCGGTGACCCCTAATCAATTATTCCTCTAACCAGTGATGCTCCAACAGTGAATACCCATAAATGAGCGCAACAAAAGCGTCCTAACCAATGACCCCCAAATAGTAATTCCACCCATCAATGACTTCCTAACTAATAATTCCCTCAGGGACTCCCAAACCAATTACCCCATCTGCGACCCCCTGAAAATCACTCTTCCAACTTGTGGCCCCAATGAGTGACCCCACTATGACTTCCAGTCAGTGACCACCCACCAACAACCCCCCAGTCATTGACCCCAAACTAGGGACATCAGTAACACCAATAATGGTTTCTATCCATGACCTTCCACTGTGATCCCCAGCTAGGTGCAGCCCAAACACTGACCTCAATTAATATCTCCCTCAATGATTCCCCACTATCCAGCAATCCCTATCAGGGAAGCCAAATAATGCCCCCAATTAATGACTCTCCCAATGAATAACTGTCCCCAGTGACCCCAAGCAGGGAACCCCAAACAATGACACACTAACTAATGAACACGTCATTCAACCCAGCCAATGATCCCCCCTTAAACAGTAGCCCTCATCAAGAACTCCCTTAAAATCAGGAACTTATCTGGGTCTGTCCCCTCCCTCTAGTGCCCCAGGACTGGAGATTGAGGGGGTCAGAGATGGGAGAGATCATAAGATGGGACCCACCCCCACCCTGTTATCAGTCACCCTGACAGTCATCAGTCAGCTGAGAGAAGTCAGAGCTCATGGATCCGAGACCAGAGAAAAAGATCATAGATGAGGGACCAGAGATTAGTAGAGATGGGAGACTAGAAGTCAAGCACCAAGACCAGAAGTCAGACAGTCAAGACCGGAAGTCAGGTGGTCAAAACCGGAAGTGAGAGGTCTCAGGGCCCTTACCTGGTTCTCTGCGGAGTCAGGAGGTGGACTTGAGGTCCAAATTTCCTTGTTCTTTTTCCTGCCCTTCCCCTTGCGACCTCGCCCTTTCTTCCTCCCTTTTCCCTTCCCCTTCCGCCGAGGACGAGGGGTTTCTGGTTCACCCTGGGGAGCCTGGGAGAAGGGTTCCAGTCAGGTCTAGAGCATCCCACCAGCAGAGACCCCATCATTCAGGTCACCTGGGGTGAGGCTGGCTCATGGCCCGTGGGTCCTCACTCAGCCCTGTGACCTGGAGTCAACGTTATTCATGTAACCTGGGGTCAAGGGTGGCTCAGGAATATGACTTGAGGTCAAAGTCATTCATGCCTGGGATGTGTTGGAGGTCACGGGTCACTTAACCCCATGTCTGGGGGATGAGAATTCACTCTTTCTAGGGATCTGGAGCCAGGAAGGACCCAGCCTGTGTCCTGAGATTAGGAGTCATGGAGTCCCTCACTCACCACTGTGGCTGCCGGTGCCAGGTTGTCACAGTCGGGGAGGTACCGCTCACAAGCCTGGAAGGCAGCCTGAGGATCTGGGCTTATCAGCAGCTCCTGAATGTCTCCCTGGGGGTTGGGGGTGTAGGAGTCAAGGAGGGCAGCCATACAGCCATAGGCTTACTCTGACCCCCTAACCCCCAGCAGTCCTGCCCACCTCCTGGCACCAGGGTGCAATGCTCCCCCACCCAGAGCATGCTAAGTATAAGGAAGAGATGACCCCATCACAGCCCTAGTGATCTCTCTACCCCCTGTAACTAAGAGAAGGAAAGATCCTATCAGGGGCACACCCGATCCCAACCACAAGCCACATCCCACACATCTGCCCCACTAGAGGTGCATCAGTTCCTTCACCGGTTCAAGTGATTCTCAGCCTCCCAAGTAGCTGAGATTACAGGCGTGTGCCACCACGCCCAGTTAATTTTTGAATTTTTAGTAAAGACAAGGTTTTGCCATGTTGGCCAGGCTGGTCCCGAACTCCTGGCCTCAAGTGATCCACCCGCCTTGGCCTCCCAAAGTGCTGGGATTACAGGTATGAGCCACCGCGCCCGGCCAAGACCATAAATTGTGACGATGCCTACTTGGCTTGTTGTGGGAAGAGCTGGTACTGGGGATAAGGAGGAACATGAGATAGATCAGGTCCCTGGCCTCCCAGAGGTGACACACATCACGGTCACACACAGCTAACAAAGGTCTCCACACCCAGAACACATATCACACAACCACACAACACAGCTGCCTGCTGGCTCCCAAAGTCATAACCGCCCCCACACAATCACACACTATCACAGCAACCAGCACCATCTCAGGTCACAGTCTCAGACACACGACACCACCAGATCTTTCCACAACAAGCCAAGTAGGCGCTGTCACAATTTATGGTCTTGTGGCTCTGCAATCTCACAGTCATGCACTGCAACGGCACACACAAGCATGCACTGGCACAACTGGATCTTCCCACAACAAGCCAAGTAGGCATCGTCACAATTTATGGTCTTGGCCAGGCGCGGTGGCTCATACCTGTAATCCCAGCACTTTGGGAGGCCAAGGCGGGTGGATCACTTGAGGCCAGGAGTTCAGGACCAGCTTGGCCAACGTGTCAAAACCTTGTCTCTACTAAAAATTCAAAAATTAGCTGGGCGTGGTGGCACACACCTGTAATCTCAGCTACTTGGGAGGCTGAGAATCGCTTGAACCCATGAGGTGGAGGTTGCAGTGAGCTGAGATCAAGCCACTGCACTCCAGCCTGGGTGACAGAGCAAGGCTCCATCTCAAAAAAAAAAAAAAATTATTGTCTTGTGGCTCTGCAATCTCACAATCACAGGCTGCAACGGTGCACGAAAGCATGAACTCGCTTCCCTTAGCTTCCTGGGGATAGATTGAAGCTTGACATCTTCCTTCTTTAATATCCTCTCCAGATTCAGGCTGTAGACAAAACATCCCACCCTCTGCCTCAGTTTCCCCCATCACTGAACTCCTACCTCGAAAGTCTTTTCCCCAAGGTCCTGGGTCCCCAGCACAGTGAGTCCAGCTATGCTGATGAAGCGGGGGCCATGGCCCAAAACAGGGGGCTGAGCTTCACAGTCAGCTACCAGGGTCACCATCTCACCATCTATGCTGACGGCCACACGGTGCCACCTGCAAGGGGACGGCCTCAGTGCGGGTGCTTCTCACCCCACCCCTTATCCACGGACCCCCGCCCACTCTCCCCATGCTCACCTGCCATCTGTGAGGTTGACCTGCTGGGGGAGGGGGCGGAAGGGGTCACCTAGGAGACCCAGCGCTGGCCCCAGTGCCAGGCCCAACTGCCGGGCACCCCTTTCATCATAAATGGACAGCAGGACAGACTGATTGGCTGGCTGTCCCCGCAAGGTGATCAGCAAGGAGAAGTTCTCAGGAAAGTGGCCTTCTGGGTGGGCAGAGGGAACAAGGCAGCTCAGAGGGCCCAGCAGTGCCTCCCTCCGGGGAGGTACCCAGGCCTCCTACTCCAACTCACCTGGAAAGAGTTCCCACGTGGGGATGCCGAGCGTGCTGGCCTGGCCAATTCTGAATGCCCGGTCACCCTCTGGAGTCCTCTGGGGACAGAAGCCAGGCCCCTCGGGGACCCCAGCCTGGCCTCCCTGCACACCCAGGGCCTTCAGGACATCCACAGGATCTGCAGCAGAGAGAAGCCGGGGGTGTCAGGCAGAGGTGGGGAACAGCTAGAATAAGCCCAGGACTCCAGGATAGAGGCTCAGGGTTTTTTTAGGGGGCTCAGCCTCTCCCTCCCTCCCACCATGTTTGTGGCTCAGGAAGAAGGAGCCGGCCTGGGCCCCCAGCACCCCCCGCCTCCTCACCACCCCACAGATGTTCCGACCTCAGCAGCTTGTTGACTCTGTTTTTTTTTTTCCCCTTGGTTTTTGGTGAGAAAAAAAGTTGACCTAGTTCTGGGATGAATCAAAACTTCCTGGCCTAAGCCCCAGAGTGGAACGGTCCCCCTCTCCCTGCTCTCCCGCGCAGGCTCCCTAGGGCTATATCCCAGGCCTGGAGCCCCCTTGCCAGGGGAAACCCACGTGGAGAGGAGGGGCTTCCAGTGTGTTTTCTTCCCCCACCTCCTCCCTCTCTCTAACCTCCTCCTTTGACCACCATCACCCACAACCTCTTCCTTTTGACTACAGCCATTTTGGATCTCCTCCCTCTGACCATCTGCCTCTGACCATGCCCACTAACTTCTTTTTCTGGTTACCCCCTCTGACCTTCTGATCTTCTTCTGCCTGACCCCAGCCTATTCCCTCTGATCTCCTTTTTCTGTCTGATCCCAAACTCCTCCTTCTGAATTTCCCCTTTGACCTCTTCCCTCTGACTTTCACCTCTAACCTCTTCCCTCTGACCCTCCTCTATGAACTTCCTCTCTCAGACTTTGCCCTCTGACCTCCTCCCTCTGAATGTCTCCTCTGATCTCCTCTCCTGACTTTCCCCTCTGACCTCCTCCCTCTGACTTTCCCCTTTGACCTCTTCCTTCTGACTTTCCCCTCTAACCTCCTCCCTCTGACTCTCCCCTATGACCTCCTCCCTCTGAGCCTCCCCTCTGATCTCTCCTCTGACTTTCCCCTCTGACCTCCTCCCTCTGACATTCCCCTCTGACCTCCTCCCTCTGACATTCCCTTCTGATCAACTCCCTCTGACCTCCTCCCTCTGACTACCCCCTGACCTTCTCCCACTGCCTATCCTGATCTCCTCCATCTGACCCATGACCTCCTCATTTCATCTCTCTGACTTCCTCCTTCTGACCAGCTGTCTCCGATAACCTCCAGACCTCCCCTGTCTGACCCTCTCCCTCTTTCATCCCAGCTAAGGAAAGGACTTGTCTGGCCCAACAGTTCCTAATCTAGGCCATGCTACCAGCCCCACCCCAGCAGGCAGCCCAGCCAGTGCTAAGTGGAACCACATGGCTTGGGCAGGGGCGGGTGGGGGCTTCCCCTGGGCCCCGAGCCCCTGTCTGATTCCCCCATCCCCCAACCCTCAGCAAACTGTCCCACTGACCCCCTGCCCCAGCCTCTTGGCGGGAGCTGGATTCTCCAGAATCTGCCATGACCTCACCCCTGGGGGCGGCTCTGCTGATCTCACCACGGGGAGCTGGGGCGGGGGGGCTAAGACGTTGGGGAGGCACGGGCTTGGATGAAGGACCCCCATTCCCACTCTTCCTAGGTCAGAACCCTCATTTTCCAGACTCCTCGGAGGCCTGTTTCAGCCTCTGTTTCCTCTTGCCTCCAATCTCCTTCTCTCCCCATCCCTGCCCGCCCTCTCTCTGTCCCACTTTCTGTGCCGGGTCTTTCCAGGCCTCCATCTGTGTCCAAGTCTCTTTCTCTCTCTCTCTCTCTTTCTCTCATTCTCTCTCTCTCTTCTCAATCTCTCTCTCTCTCCACCCGCCTTCCCCAACCCATCACCCCAGCCCCCATCTCTAATTGCCTGTTTTGTGGCTAGGCTGTCATTAAGAGAAATCTGGGTTGCAGTCCCCTGGGGCTGAGATCTGGGCTCCCAGGCTCTGCTGACCACAAGAGTCACTTCCCCACGGAACAATCATCCCAGCTGCCCCATCTCAGCCTGGGGCCCAGGGCAGGATTGAGACCGACGACCTCACCCAGCCTGGAGGCTCTCCCCTGACCCGCACCCTAACCTCTCTGCAGAGGAAAGAGGGTCTTCCCTCAACTACCACTCATTTACATTAAGAAAGTCCTTCCCGGCATCCAACTCAAAGCTCTCCTGCTTGAAACTTGTGTCCCCTCTGGAATGACCTTTCAGAAACTGACTGCCCTTTCTTTTCACAGCTGGCATTATGACAAAAAGGCACACAAGCTGCATTGAGTCCTGCCTACAGGGGACAAGGGGTGGGGGGGTCTGTCAGGGGCCCAGCCTGCCCCCTGCCACTCTCCCCTGTGCTGGTCAGGGCCCCCACGGGGATGTTGGGTGGGGTCTGGGATGTGGAGGGACAGAGGCGGGGACTGAGTCAGGGCATGGCTGGGAACCCCCCAGGTGTGCGATGTGTGTGCAAATACGTGTATGTGCATGAGATTGTACAAGCGTGGGTGAGTCTGAGTGAGACAGGCAGAGAATAGCTGGGCATATGTCGTTTCTCCAGGTGTCAATGTGTGCAAATATTTGGCTTCTAATGGAGGGATTAGATACACTTGCTTGACGTGTGGCCATGCAACGCTTGCCGTGAGCTTGCAGGTGTGTCTGTGACTTTAACACCTCGGACTTCTGATGGGGGAGTGCCGTTCTGTGTGAGAGTGTGACCCAGTGGGTGAGTGGGTGATGGGTTGTGAATGTTGACAGTGTTTGTTCGGATGTCAGGGGCAGCATGTGTGAGAATTTGAGCACGTGGGAGGGTCATAAAAGCTGGGACCATTTGGCGGGTGGCTGAAGGGGGTTGCCTGGACACGGTGTTTCACATTCCTGGAGTCCCAGGGGACTTATATTCAGAGTGGATGCCTAAGATTCCATGACCATGTGGATGTGTGAGCGTGGGAATGCGGCATAGTCCAATCAGGGATTAACCATATGGACAGGCACCTTCCTGGACTCCAAAGTAAGAAGTGTGCTGTGGTGTGTGTGTGTGTGTGTGTGTGTGTGTGTGTGTGTGTGTGTGTTGGGAGACTGAGCTCACCTTAGAAAGGGATTTCCAGGAGGACCTAGTCTAGGGTCTCTCAGATCAGGGAAGCCCCATCTCCAACACTTGAGAAGCTACGCCATCCCCTGACTCCCGAAGCGCCCCCCACTCTGAACCCTGAGGGGCGGGACAGGGCGCCCAGCCAGATGCGCGCAGCTGGGCGTGCGTCAGCGCTGACTCACCCATCCGGCGGCCCCCGGGACCCCTTGGGGGCTCCTGAGAAATTCCTCGGGAAAAACACCCAAGGCTCCAGCAGCTGGGGTGGGGAGGGGGGGAGCAACTTCCACTCCTGCCCCGCCCTGCGCCCCGCCCCGTCTCGCCCCTCACCGCGGCCCTCCCCGAAGCCCTGTCCATGGTGCTGATCGCGGCTCTGGGGACCGCGGGGTGGGGGAGGGGGCAACAGGGAGGGAGGGGAGGAGATGGGCGCTCGCCAATTTGGGGCAGAGGAGGAAAAGGGAGAATGAGGTGAAGCCATTTAAAGAGACGCAAAGGAAACTGTGGGTTCCCGAAGAGCACCCCCCAATACTTGTCCCCACCCACCTTCATCCTCATGGGCAATTATTTGCACCCAAAAATCATAACTACACCCCTCATAGCGGCACTCAGAGACACACAATCACACGCATAACCACTCACACGGTTACCCTCGAAAATCAGCACATAGACAAGAGCACAAGTGCATACTCACCTGTCGCAATACACACCGTCCCAGCACTGCCCTGTCACTCACAGTCACACTATCACCATCAACCTCCACACGCAAGCACATACGCAACTTCACTCCAAATGCACACACATGCTACACACACATACACACATGCACACACCTGCACATTGCATGCATTCCCACGCGCTCGCCAGAAAACGCACTCACACATCCCCACCCCCACCCCGAGCTGTCACACCCACAAATCACCCAGAGTCAGATACTCATGCGCCCACATCACACCGGGGCCGCACGCGGCGCCCACGCCCTTCCCCTCCACGCCCCTCCACCCCCCTCCACCCCTCGCTCTTTTAGAGCCTCTCTGAGTCGTGGACCCTGGGTCCCATCTCTTCCCTCCCGGCTCACCGGCCTGCGTCCCCGGCAGAAGCTGCAGCGCGGCCAGGAGCAGGCAGAGACCGGCCCGCGGCTGGCCCAGGTCCCGGCGGTTCCCCATCCCGGCGGGGCCCACGGGCAAGGCGGGGAACCAGTCGGGGCGGCTGCGGGGCGCGGCGACTTCTCGGGCTCGGTGCAGTCACTCGCGGCGGCCGCTCCTCTCAGGGTCCGCGGGAAACTGCCCGAGACCCCGCCCTGGCCTCGCCCTGCGCTCCAGCGCCTGGCCAGGCGGGGCTTTTTGGAGGGGGAGCGCTGACAGCTGGACTGGGAAGTTGGGAAACTTTGTGCTGAGGGCTGATTGGCTGGCTGGGGTGGAGCCCAGCGCCAGGAGCTGGGTTGTTCCTGCCCCACCCCACTGTGGAGGAGAAGGGTCACTCCCACCCAGCCCTAGAGTTCGAGGGTTCCAGTCTTACCCCAAACCTTTTCCGCCTAGCAGATCCCCTCAAAGGAGACCTTAACCTCATTCAAGACTTCAGCCTCCATCCAGGCCCTAGAATTAGGAGGAGGTGCAGCTTTATACCAAATCTTTTTTATTTTCTATTATTTTTACATTTTATTTTGGAGACAGGGTCTTGATCTGTCACCCAAGCTGGAGTGCAGTGGTGCAATCATAGCTCACTGCAGCCTCCAACTCCTGCGTTCAAGCCATCCACCTGCCTCAGCCTCCTGAGAAGCAGGTACCACAGGCACACACTGCCACACCCAGCTAATTTTAAAATATGTATATTTTGTAGAGACCGGGATCTTGCTATGCTGCCCAGGCCGGTCTTGAACTTCTGGTCTCAAGCGATCCTCCGGCCTTGCCCTCCCAAAGCGCTGGAGTTACAGGCATGAGCCACCGCCCCTGGCACCAAGTCCTTTCTGCCTCACTCAGGCCCCCAACTGGGGTCCCAACCTCACCCCGAACTCTCACTCACCTACCTGCTTTATCCTCAGTCCCTCAGCTGCACAATAGGAGGTACCAGCCTCAGCCCCAAAGCCTTTCCTTCAAGTCCCTAACGGGTCCTCATCCCACCTCAAATCTCACCCCAGATCCCAAAATGGGGTCCCCAGCCTTACTCCAAACCTTCATCTGTCCACTCAAATCCCTAAGTCACGTGTCCTGGTCCCAAATTCTCACCACAGATCCCAAAACACAGTTTTCACTTTCCCCAAATTCTTGATTCCTCAAATAAAGGGTCTCATCTCCATCCCTAACCCTCATCTCCCCCCGCCCCAACTCAGGTCTCCAGTGGATGCCCCGGCCTCAATCCCAAATCCCCACCAAATGAGGGAGTCTGAGCTGGGTGCGGTGGCTCATGCCTGTAATCCCAGCATTTTGAGAGGCTGGGGCGGGCAGATCGCTTGAGTCCAGGAGTTAGAGATCAGCTGGCCAACATGGCGAAACCCCATCTCTACTAAAAATACAAAAATTAGCCAGGCATTGTGACTGGCGCCTGTAGTCCCAGCTACTTGGGAGGCTGAGGTGGGAGGATCACTTGAACACGGGAGGTGGAGGTTGCAGTGAGCTGAGGTTGTGCCACTGCGATCCAGCCTGGACAACAGAGCAAGACTCTGTCTGTCTCAAAAAAAAAGGCCGGCGCGTTGGTGGGAGGTGGTGGGAATCTGTCCCTGTCGCAAAGCAACGCACAGCCACTGGGGAGGAAGGGGTGGATTCTTGCCATTCTTGGGATGAGGCAGAGGCCCCCCTCACCGTGCTGGGACCCCCACCTCCAGCATGAAGAGGCCCCCATGAGGTCAAATAGAGCTTTTATGCAATTGGACAAGCGCAGACACGCAGGATGTGAGGGTGTTTCCCCAGGGAGGGGAGGAACCAAGAGGCGTATTCTGAGCCCTGAACTGCTCCCCGAACCCTGCTTCCCCCACCTCCGCCCCAGGGGAAGAGGGAGACGCAAGCAGTGCCTCCCTCCCAGCCTCTGACTCCCCAGACAAAGAGTCTCTGTGTCCCTGAAGAGGAGGGGTTGGGGCCCCATCAAGCCTGAGGGGGAGATGGGGGCCCCCCAGGGTGGGAGGAGGAGAGGGTATCTCTGTAAGCTGTGCCTCCTCCCACCCCAGGGACATCTGAGGCTGAGACTTCTCCAACTAAAAGACTCTCACAAAATTCCTGCCCTGCCCTGCCTTGCTGGAAGTTCTTCCTATAGTCTAACTACATCTTCTGACAGTTCTACACCCCTTCCCTCTATGAAACACTTCTGGATCCACATTCTCTGTCTCCTTCTCTCACTCTCTCCCTTCAATCAGAGATTCTTCACCCAGAATACAGACACTAATTCCCCCCAACTTTCACAGAAACTCTCCCCAGCCCTAAATAATTTATACTCGGCCAGGCTCAGTGGCTCATGCTTGTAATCCCAACACTTTGGGAGGCTGAGGCGGCTGGACCACTTGAGGTCAGGAGTTCAAGACCAGCCTGGCCAACATGGCGAAACCTCATCTCTACTAAAAATACAAAAATTAGCTGGGTGTGGTGGCACACGCCTGTAATCCCAGCTACTCAGGAGGCTGAGGCAGGAGAATCATTTTACCCTGGAAAGCTGAGGTTGTAGTGAGCCGAAATTGCACCACTGCACTCCAGCCTGGGTGACAAGAGCAAGACTCTGTCTCAAAATAATAATAATAATTTACAGTCATAATAAAAATTATAAATTAAGAAAACAGTTACAAATGGCCAAGGCAGGAGGATCACTTGAGGCCAAGAGTTCGAGACCAATCTGGGCAACATAGCAAGATCCCATGTCTAAAAGAAAAAGAAATTTAAAAATTAGCTGGGCATGGTAGTGTGCGCCGGTAGCCCCAGCTACTCTGGAGGCTGAGATAGGAGGATCGCTTGAGGCTGTGGTGAGCTATGATGGTGCCACTGCACTCCAGCCTGAGTGACAGAGCAAGATGCTGTCTCTTAAAAACAAACAAACAAAAACCAGTGATGTCTATAGTAGGTGCGGAGAAGAAATGTTTGGCAGATGAAGAAAATGAGGTGCAGAGAGGATTTAAGAGATTCTCTCTTACTGCCTGTTCAGGGTCAGTCCAGAATTGAGGGTCTCCGGGGGAGGGCAGAGGCTTTGCCCTGCAGGGGATCTGTGGGAGGGGGTTAGGAGGGAGCAGATGAGCCCAGGATGAATGGTCAGAGTCAGGTGCTGCCCGGCGGAGGTCACGAGTCCAGGGAGGGGATCAACATGGCCGCTGCACCCCGGACTGTGTTGATCTCCGGCTGCTCATCAGGAATTGGTCTGGAACTTGCAGTGCAACTGGCCCATGACCCCAAGAAGCGCTACCAGGGTAAGAAGTGCAGGGTGGCACTAGGAGGCAGCCGGGTGGAAACGGCTTCCCCAGCACTGTCTCCCCTACCCATCCCTCCCAGCTGCACTTGTGGGCTTGGGGAGACCCAGGATTCCCTCCAGGAATCATCCCCTCATCCTAGAAATATTTCTTGAGCATCTTCTGGGTGCTCTGAATGCTGGCAACACAACTGGAGATGAAATAGACAAAAATCTCAGCCCTCAGGACGGGTGTCATGTGGGGAGGAGAGGGAGAATGGGTGATAAACAGATAAAAAGAAATTGTTGCTCTATCTGGTGGGAATAAGTGCTGAGACACAAAATAAAGCATGCTGAGAGTGGCAGGGGGTGGGTGGGGGTTATTTTTAGAAGGGTTTCACTAGGGCATTTCCTAGATTGGAATAATCACTACCCTGATGCTCACTCTTCCACGTCTCCCCAGATTATTGCTTTTACTGAGATAAGCTTCTTAAGTGCTCCTGACCTTGGGGGTTGAAGGGATGGCCTTCTAGTTCTAAGAACTTGCCCTTCTGCACCTCTAGAATAAATCCCTGGGACCTGCATCCTAACCAACCAGGAGAACCCCTGACCCAGAGGGAGCATGCTGGAGTCAAAGTGGGCAAAGGGTTGTTACTTACAAAGAGGCGACTGGGGGTGAGGGCATTGCCCCAGTTGGCAGGGCTGCTTCTCCCAGCCCTCTGCCCTCTGTTTTAGAGACGCACACAGCTTTGAGCATGACAGCCTGAATGCCAGTGTGCAGGGAATAACGTGTGTCCCTATGGGCGGGCAGATGGGTGTATGAAACTGCTGGAGGCTAATGTTTATGGAGCTTTTACAATGCACCAAGCTGCATTCTAAGTGCCCTGAATCCAGGAAGTCATTTAATCCTCACATCACACCCGTGAGGCAGGCACAATCATTCACCCCATTTTATTATTATTTTATTATTTATTTATTTTGAGTCAGAGTCTTGCTCTGTCACCCAGGCTGAGTGCAGTGGTGCATCTTGGCTCACTGCAGCCTCCACTTCCCACGTTCAAGTGATTTTCATGCCTTGACCTCCCGAGTTTCTGGGATTAAGGCATGCACCACCACACCCGGCTAAGTTTTTGTATTTTTAATAGACAAGGTTTCACCATGTTGGCCAGACCGGTCTCGAACTCCTGGTCTCAGGTGATCTGCCTGCCTGGGCCTCCCAAAGTGCTGGGATTACAGGCATGAGCCACCGTGCCTGGCCTGCCCTATTTTAGAAATGAGGAAACTAAGGTGCAGACTGTGAAAGGTCTTTGCTCAAGGTCTCCCAGCTGCAAAGTAGCAGAGCTGGGATTTGAACTCAGGCAGCCCATCCCTTGCACCCATGTTTCCCACTATATCACATGTAGATGCAAGTGACCCCATTCACGTGCCTGCTACCCACAAATCACACTGACCCGAAGACAAGAGGCAAATGCCCCCAGGAGTGTTCATGGGTGATTATGGGTGCACACATTGGGGGATATCAAACACGTATGCTGGTGCATGTGCAGACATAGTACATATGCTGAGGTCCTGCTTAAGAACATAAGCTTGAGGCTGGGCACAGTGGCTCATGCCTGTAATCTCAGCACTTTGGGAGGCCTAGGTGGACAGATCACCTGAGATCAGGAGTTTGAGACCAGCCTGGCCAACATGGTGAAACCCCGTCTCTACTAAAAATACAAAAAATTAGCCAGGCGTGGTGGTGGATGCCTGTAGTCCCAGCTATTCGGGAGGCTGAGGCAGAAGAATGGCGTGAACCTGTGGGGTGGAGCTTGCAGTGAGTCGAGATCATGCCACTGCACTCCAGCCTAAGCGACAGAGCATGACTCTGTCTCAATAAATAAATAAATAAATATACAAAAATTAGCCAGGCATGGTGGCAGTGCCTATAATCCCAGCTACTTGAGAGGCTAAGGCAGGAGAATTGCTTGAACCGGGAGACAGAGGTTGCAGTGAGCTGAGATTTCACCACTGTATTCCAGCCTGGGCACCAAGAGCGAGACTCCGTCTCAAAAAAAAAAAAAAGGGCATAAAAGCTTGGCCAGGTGCTGTGGCTCTCTGGCTCCTCACGCCTGTAATCCCAGCACTTTGGGAGGATGAGGTGGGCAGATCACCTGAGGTTCGAGACCAGGCTGACCAATATGGTGAAACCCCGTCTCTACTAAAAATACAAAAGATTAGCCAGGTGTGGTGGCAGGCACCTGTACCCCTGTAATCCCAGCTACTCGGGAGGCTGAGGCAGGGGAATTGCTTGAACCCAGGAGGTGGAGGTTGCAGTGAGCCGAGATTGCACCCCTGTACTCCAGACTGGGCAACAAACAAGAGTGAAACTTCGTCTCAAAAAAAAAATATATATATATATATGGCTATTCACTTCAGTGTTCATATATGCACATATGTTGGCTATAGTTGTGTATGCATTTTTTTCATGGCAATCTGTTTTATGTTTATATATTTTATTGTCTTACCTACTAGGCTATAAATTCCATGAAGGCAGAAACTTTATCTTATTTATTTATTTATTTATTTATTTATTTATTTATTTATTTTGAGACAGTCTCGCTCTGTTGCCAGGCTGGAGTGCAGTGGCGCTATCTCGGCTCACTGCAAGCTCCGCCTCCCGGGTTCACGCCATTCTCCTGCCTCAGCCTCCCAAGTAGCTGGGACTACAGGCGCCTGCCACCACGCCAGGCTAATTTTTTTTTTTTTTTGTATTTTTAGTAGAGACGGGGTTTCACCATGTTAGCCAGGATGGTCTCGATCTCCTGACCTCGTGATCTGCCCACCTCGGCCTCCCAAAGTGCTGGGATTACAGGCGTGAGCCACCGCGCCAGGCCGCCCGGCCTTATTTTTTATTTTTTGAGACAGGGTCTCACTCTCTCACCCAGACGGTAGTGCAGTGGCTCCATCTCGGCTCACTGCAGCCTCAACCTCCTGGGCTCAAGCAATCCTCCCACCACAGCCTCCCAAGTAGCCAGGACTACAGGTGGGGGCCACCCACCACACCTGGCAAATTTGTAAAATATAATTTTTTTGTAGAGATGGGATCTCGCTATACTTCCCAGGCTGGTCTCAAACTCCTGGGGTCAAGCAATCCTCCCACCTCAGCTTCCCAACGTGCTGGGATTACAGGCTTGAGCCACCACACCTGGTGACTTTATCTTATTTCATGCCATAGCCTCAGCACCTAGAATAGGGCATAGTGTATAGTAGATGCTCAATAAATGTCTGTTGAACTCATGGTTGGAAGGATGGATATAGGTACGTGGAGATGCGTGTACACAAGTGTGCACTTGTTGGCTGAGTGATAAATGTAGGTGTGTAAACTTGTGAGTTTCCATCTCTCTGTGACTTGTAACGCAAGATCACAGACACGTGGCGCCCACACCAAGGGGAAAGGAGCTCAGTGCCTGTCCCTGCTTTACTCTCTGCCCCGCAGTCGTGGCCACCATGAGGGACCTGGGGAAGAAGGAGACACTGGAGGCAGCTGCTGGGGAGGCTCTGGGGCAGACCCTCACCGTGGCCCAGCTGGACGTGTGCAGTGATGAGTCGGTGGCCCAGTGTCTCAGCTGTATCCAGGGAGAAGTGGACGTGCTGGGTGAGACTTCACAGCCCCTGATTCACTAAGCCCCATCCTGGTCTGAGTATAGACCCTCAATATGGCAAGGTCTGAGCACCAGCTCTCTGGCTTCTTCAGCAATCTCTGAACCTGGGCAGAAGGGGTAGACCAGTTGGCCAAGAGGGGTAGACCAGTTGGTCCTACCAATTGATTTATTAAGGGCTGGGTGCAGTGGCTCATACCTGTAATCCTAGCACTTTGGGAGGCCGAGACAGGAGGATTGACCAGCCTCAGCAAAATAGTGAGACTCTGACTCTACAAAAAAATTAAAAATTAGCCAGTCATAGTGGTGCATGCCTAATCCCAGCTACTCGGGAGGCCAAGGTGGGAGGATCCCTTGAGCCCAGGAGTTTGAGGCTGCAGTGAGTTATGACAGAGCCAGTCTGGGGAGACAGAGTAAGACCTTGTCTCAAAAATAATTTTTTTTTTGAGACGGAGTCTTGCTCTGCGCCCAGGCTGGAGTGCAGTGGCGTGATCTCGGCTCACTGCAACCTCCACCTCCCAGGTTCAAGCAATTCTCCTGCCTCGCCTCCTGAGTAGCTGGGATTACAGGTGCCTGCCACCATGCCCAGCTAATTTTTGTATTTTTCTTAGAGACGAGGTTTCACCGTGTTGGTCAGGCTGGTCTCAAACTCCTGACCTCAAGTGATCCGCCCACCTCGACCTCCCAGAGTGCTGGAATTACAGGCATGCACCACCACACCTGGCCAAAAATCAATTTTTTTTGAGATGGAATTTCACTCTTGTTGCCTAGGCTAGAGTGCAATGGCGCAATCTCAGCTCACTGCAACCTCCACCTCCTGGGTTCAAGTGATTCTCCTGCCTCAGCCTCCCAAGTAGCTGGGATTACAGGCAGGCGCCACCACACTTGGCTAATTTTGTATTTTTAGTAGAGACGGGGTTTCTCCATGTTCATCAGGCTGGTCTCGAAGCCTGACCTCAGGTGATCCACTCACCTTGGCCTCCCGAAGTGCTGAGATTACAGGCATGAGCCACCATGCCCAGCTCAAAAATCAATTTTTTTAAAAAACAAAAATATTAGAGACACTAGTAACAATCTGAGGCCTGGAGGTGGGGCAGATTTTATGGAATAGAAATTCTCATATATGGAGAAAGCCATATGTGGTTGGGAAAATTACTTGGATGAGTCACTTGGGGAAGACAGCATGATACAGAAATAAGTCATAAGGTCCCTAACCTTCGCAGGAAGGTGGGTGTCGCTGTCTTGATGTAATTTGGGGTCAGAATTGAATTGCTCATGGATTAAGGGGGGCACTATTCCCAGCAGCCCTTCCTCCCACTCAGGGCTGAGGATCCCCTATGACAAATGCTAAACTGTGTTTAAAGGTTACCAAGGTTTCATATTTGTCCACCCAAGATACCCTGGACTGGCCTTGGACTTGGAGTACGGGGTGAGGTGCTTCAGGGAGTGTCTAGAAGTAATGCTAGAAGAGTGAGGGACTTTAAGGTAACCCTTAGTACCTCTTCTCTTAGTGAATAATGCTGGAATGGGCCTGGTGGGGCCCCTGGAGGGGCTCAGCCTTGCTGCCATGCAGAATGTCTTTGACACCAACTTTTTCGGAGCTGTCCGTCTCGTCAAAGCTGTGCTTCCAGGCATGAAGAGGAGGCGGCAGGGCCACATCGTGGTGATCAGCAGTGTCATGGGCCTGCAGGGTGAGCTGTGGGGACCCAACCCTGGAAATCCCACCAGTGTCTGATCCTCCCCAGACTGGGAGGATGGCGAATGGGTTTTAGATCATATTCTAAATTAGCATGGACCCTGGGCACGGTGATTCATGCCTGTAATCTTAGCACTTTGGGAGGCTGAGACGGGTGGATTGCCTGAGCTCAGGAGTTTGAGACCAGCCTGGGCAACATGGTGAAAGCCCGTTCCTACTAAAATACAAAACAATCAGCCAGGCATGGTGGCATGTGCCTGTAATCCCAGCTACTCAGGAGGCTGAGGCACGAGAATTCCTTGAACCTGGGAGGTGTAGGTTGCAGTGAGCCAAGATCGTGCCACTGCACTCCAGCCTAGGCAACAAAGTGAAACTCTGTCTCAAAAAAAATAATAATAAAATAAAATAAATTAGCCTGGAGAATTGTGTTCAGAAGGATTCTGAAGTTCAGAAGGAAAAAGTGGCCAGACATGGTGACTCACGTCTATAATCCCAGCACTTTGCGTGGCCTAGGCAGGAGGGCTGTTTGAGCTCAGGAGTTTGAGACCAGCCTGGTCAACACAGGGAGTCCTCATCACTACTAAAAATTTTTTTAGAATTGGGCCAGGCACGGTGACTCATGCCTGTAATCCCAACACTTTGGGAGGCCGAGGCAGGTGGATTACCCAAGATCAGGAGTTCAAGACCAGCCTGGCCAACATTATGAAATCCCATCTCTACTAAAAATACAAAAAAATTAGCCGTGTGTGGTGGCACACACCTGTAGTCCCAGCTACTCGGGGTGCTGAAGCAGGAGAATTGCTTGAGCCCAGGAGGCAGAGGTTGCAATGAGCTGAGATTGCGCCATTGCACTCCAGCCTGGGCAACAAGAGCAAGACTCTGTCTAAAAAAAATAAATAAATAAGTAAACAAACAAACAAACAAAAAACAACAACAAAACTTTGGCCAGATGTGGTGGTTCATGCCTGTAATCCCAGCACTTTGGGAGGCTGAGGCTGATGGATCACTTGAGGTCAGGAGTTGGAGACCAGAATGGCCAACATGGTGAAACTCCGTCTCTAGTAAAAATACAAAAATTAGCTGGGTGTGGTGGTGTGCACCTGTAGTCCCAGCTACTCAGGAGGCTGAGGCAGGAGATTCACTTGATCTCAGGAGGCAGAGGCTGCACTCCAGCCTGAACGACAGAGTGAGACTCCGTCTCCCCCCCGCCAAAAAAAAATTAAATTAAATAAAAAAATCAGCCAAGCATCCTAGTGTGTGCCTGTAGTCCCAGTTACTCAGGAAGCTGAAGTGGGAGGATCGCTTAAGCTCAGGAGTTCAAGGCTGCAGTGAGCCATGATTGCACCACTGCACCCCAGACTGCAGAACAGAGCAACACCTTATCAAAAAAGAAAAAGAAAAAGAGAGAGAGAGAGAAGGAAGGAAGGAGGGAGGGAGGGAGGGAGGAAGGAAGGAAGGGAGGGAGGAAGAGAGACAAGGGCCCTAATGAAGAGAAAAATGAAGGGGATCCCCAAGCGGCCCCAAAGGTTTAGAGAATGGAGGGAAATAGGGGAGTTTCCTGGGACCAGGTGGAGCTGGGAGGAGGTGGCACCCGGCACCCGAGAACAACCTCTTTCTGACCCCATATGACCCCATCACACAATGCCATACACCCATCATCTTGGCACCATGTATCTGCTTTCTCTGGTTCCCACATCCTCTTTGCTCTGTCTCCCAAAGACCCCATCACCCTGGAACCCACAAAGCCCACCTCCCAGACCCTCAAAGAGCTCTCCTCCCTCTGACCCTCACAGGTGTCATCTTCAACGATGTCTATGCAGCTTCCAAGTTCGCCCTGGAGGGATTCTTCGAAAGCCTCGCTATCCAGCTGCTGCAGTTCAACATCTTGTGAGGCGGGCACGTGGGCAGAGGGGGCTTGGAGCCAGTGATGGGGAGGTGGCATCGAAAGGGGGAGAGGAGAGATGAAGACAATGAAGCTGAGTGCAGTGGCTCACACCTGTAAGTCCAGCGTTTTGAGAGGCTGAAATGGGAGGATCGCTTGAGGTCAGGCATTTGAGACCAGCCTGGGCAACATAGCGAGACCCCCATCTCAGCCCAAAATTTAAAAATTAGCCAAGGGTGGTGGTGTGTGTACCTGCAGTCCCAGCTACTCAGGAGGCTGAGGCGGAGGATTGTTTGAACCCAGGAGTTGGAGGCTGCAGACAGCTATGATCATGCCACTGCACTCCAGCCTGGGCAACAGAGTGAGACCCTGTATCTTAAAAAAAAAAAAAAATGGACAAAATAGGTCAGGGAGTGGTTGGGGCATCAGACTTACACTACCCATGCCTGGTCGCCAGCATCTCCCTGGTGGAGCCAGGCCCCGTGGTCACCGAGTTTGAGGGGAAGCTTCTGGCGCAGGTTTCTATGGCTGAGTTCCCAGGCACTGACCCTGAGACCCTGCACTACTTCCGGGACCTCTATCTCCCAGCCTCCAGGAAGCTGTTTTGCTCCGTGGGACAGAACCCACAGGACGTGGTTCAGGTGAGTGAAGGGCCCAGAGCCCCAAGACGTGGCTCAGGTATGTTGCGGGGTGAGGCCCTCCCTGGGTCCCAGCGCTCAGGGCCTCCATTCTGCAGGCCATTGTCAACGTCATCAGCTCGACTCGACCACCCCTGCGCCGACAGACCAACATCCGCTACTCGCCGCTGACCACGCTCAAAACCGTGGATTCCTCTGGCAGCCTGTATGTGCGAACGACCCACCGCCTCCTCTTCCGCTGTCCACGCCTCCTCAACCTTGGCCTTCAATGTCTGTCCTGCGGCTGCCTCCCAACGCGGGTGCGGCCAAGATGAGCAGAACAGAGCTTCACGATCCCCATCCCTGAACAACCAGACCTCTTCATTCCACATCTAATTCAAAGGATGAACAGACTCTTCATTTATTCATTCTGCAAACTCCCCCTCCCCTCCTCTGTGCCTAGACATGGCTAGAATCCCAGAAGGGCCTTTATTTTCAGGCATAGACTCCTCTGTGGTCACAGCTGGAGCACAGAGAGGGACCCTGGGAACTTGGCCTGGGAAGCCCAGAGCAGGAAGCCACAGCTGTCTCTGGGAAAGCAAGGGAGGCTTCCTGGAGGAAGCGGCATTGTTATGAGCCTTGAAGGAAGAGACAGACTCTGCTACATTCAACCTCGTGACTTCATGATCCTGGGCCTGAGAACACAGGAATGATTCATAGCCCACCCCCCACCTCCATGCATACACCAGAGCTCTGTGGACCAAGGGGTCATTCCTGGTCACACACTCCATCAGCAAAATGTATTTGAGCACACACCAGCAATGTATGTATATTTTTTCCATTAAATATATATTTATAACCACAAGTTGTAGTTACATTTACTATTTAATAAAGCTCAATTTCTTAAAATTAAATAAAAACTTAAAAAGCCAGTTGAACTACTGGCTCCAAAGAGAGAGAGAGAGAAAGCAAGCAAGCAAGCCAGACATGGTGCCTCATGCCTGTAATCCCAGCACTTGGGAGGCCGAGGCAAGTGGATCACTTGAGTCCAGGAGTTTGAGATCAGTCTGGCCAACATAGAGAAACACTCTGTCTACTAAAAATACAAAAATTAGCTGTGCGTGGTGGCAGGCGCCTGTAATCCCAGCTACTCAGGAAGCTGAGGCATGAGAATCACTTGAACCCAGGAGGTGGAGTTTGCAATGAGGCCAAGACGGCGCCACTGCACTCCAGCCTGGGCAACAGAATGAGACTTTGTCTCAAAAAAATACAAAAACAAAAACTCATGAATGGATAAACAGACTTTTGTATATTCTTTTTTTTTTTCTTTGAGATGGAGTCTCGCTCTGTCGCCCAGGCTGGAGTACAGTGGCGCGATCTCGGCTCACTGCAAGCTCTGCCTCCCGGGTTCATGCCATTTTCCTGCCTCAGCCTCCCAGGTAGCTGGAACTACAGGCGCCCGCCACCACACCCGGCTAATTTTTTGTATTTTTAGTAGAGATGGAGTTTCACCATGTTAGCCAGCATGGTCTTGATCTCCTGACCTTGTGATCTGTCCACCTCGGCCTCGCAAAGTGCTGGGATTACAGGCGTGAGCCACCGCGCCCGGCCAACTTTTGTATATTCTTAAAGAGGAAGGAAATTCTGATACGTGGGTAAATACTGAGAATACCATACTGAGTGAAATAAACCAGATAGAAAATTCCACTTATCTGAGATGCCTAAGGTAGTCAAATTCATAGAGATAGAAAGTCACTCAGTGGGCGCCAGGGGCTGAGGGAGGACAGAATGGGGAATTAGTGTTTCATGGGGACAGAGTTTCAGTTTGGGAAGATGAGAAAGTTCTGGAGATGGATAGCGGTGATGGTTGCACAACAGTGTGAATGAACCTAAGGCCACTGATCTGTACAGTTATAAATGGTTAAAATGGTAATTTTTTTTTTTTTTTGAGACAGAGTCTCGCTGTCACCCAGGCTAGAGTGCAGTGGCACAATCTCAGCTCACTGCAACCTCTGCCTCCTGGGTTCTAGCAATTCTCCTGCGTCACCCTCCTGAGTAGCTGGGATTACAGGCGCCCACCACCACGCCTAGCTAATTTTTGTATTTTTAGTGGAGATGGGTTTTTTCCATGTTGGCCAGGCTGATCTCAAACTCTTGACCTCAGATGACCCTCCCGCCTTGGCCCCCCAAAGTGCTGGGATTACAGGCATAAGCCACTGCGCCCAGCCAAAAATGGTAAATTTTGTAGTGCACATATTTTACCACAACTTTGAAAACAGACATAGAGTGTTTTAGTTTAAAAAAAAACTTAATATAGACCAGGCACAGTGGCTCACATCTGTAATTCCAGCACTTTGGGAGGCCAAGGCAGGTGGATCACCTGAAGTCAGGAGTTTGAGACCATCCTGGCCAACATGGAAAAACCCCATCTCTACTAAAAATACAAAAATTAGCTAGGCATTGTGGTGCGCGCCTGTAATCCCAGCTACTCCAGAGGCTGAGGCATGATAATTGCCTGAACCCAGGAGGCAGAGGTTGTGGTCAGCTGAGATTGCACCTCTGCACTCCAGCCTGGGTGACAGAGTGAGACTCTGTCTCAAAACAAAAACCAAACAAACAAAAAAACTGAATATATACTTTTTAAAAAACTTTTTCACTAAAAGCAGCATACTATACAAATAAATGTGAACTTTAGTTGTTTCCTTGGATCATGTATACCTTGGAGGATTTTCTTTTTTTTCTTTTTTGAGACAGGGTCTCACTCTCTCCCCCAGGCTGGAGTGCAGTGGCGCAATCTCGGCTCACCGCAACCTCTGCCTCCCGGGTTCAAGTGATTCTCCCACCTCAGCCTCCTGAGTAGCTGGGACTACAGGCGTGTGCCACCACGCCTGGCTAATTTTTGTATTTTTAGTAGAGACAGGGTTTCACCGTGTTAGCCAGGCTGGTCTCAAACTCCTGACTGATTCGCCCTCCTTGGCCTCCCAAAGTGCTGGGATTACAGGCATGAGCCACTGTGCCTGGTCGCAGGGTTTTCCATATCGGCCCAAGCAGACATCCTCATTCCTTGCAGATCTGGAGTTTATTCCATTGTGGAGATAAACAATAATTTATGCAACTCTTTTCTCTACTAATAGATCTCTGGATTCTCTCCAAATGTTTGCTATTACATAAATGGCAGCAATGACAAACCTCATATCATCTCACACATGTGCAAGAGTTTCTGTCATGAGATTATTTGGCCAAAGTATCTAAGCATTTGTAATTTTTCTGAACATTATCAAATTCTTGTCCATCCTGGAGGACCAATGTCCATATGGTAGCCTCCTTGCTTGGCAATACCTTTGGCACACACCATATTATCTGTCTTCTGAATTTATGCAAATCTAATGGATAAAAATTGGTATCTTGGTGTGGTTTTAAATTGTACTTCTCTTATTATGAGAGAAGCTGAATATCTTTTCAAATGTTAAAGAACCTTTTGTGTTTCATTTTTAGTGGGCATTCTGATCACACCTTTGCCCAATTTATTTTCTGTTGGATTGTTGATGTTTTTATTATTCATTTCTAGAAACTTTATATATTGAGGAAATTAAGGAATCTGATACGAAGTGCAGACACTTCCATTCCCAGTTTGCTTTTTTTTTTCTTTTTTAACTTATCTGTTAAGGGTGTTTGGCCTTATTTTTATGTTGTGGAATTGTTATTATTACTATTATTTGAGATGAAGTTTCATTCTTGCTGCCCAGGCTGGAGTGCAACGGTGCGATCTCGGCTCAGCACAACCTCCTCCTCCCGAGTTCAAGTGATTCCCCTGCCTCAGCCTCCCAAGTAGCTGGGATTACAGGCATGTGCCACCACACCCGGCTAATTTTTGTATTTTCAGTAGAGATGGGGTTTCTCCATGTTGGTCAGGCTGGTCTCAAACTCCCGACATCAGGTGATCCACCTGCCTCGGCCTCCCAAAGTCCTGGGATTACAGGCGTGAGCCACCATACCGGGCCATTATTATTATTTTACTTTTAAATTTCAAGACACAGAAACAAAGAACATACTGATAGCACAGTGGCTCACGCATGTAATCCCAACACTGGGAGGTGGAGGCAAGAGAATCACTTGAGTCCAGGATTTTGAGACCAGCCTGGGCAGCATAGCAAAACCCCATCTCTACAAAAAATTTTAAAAAATTAGCCTGGTGTGGTGTCATGTCCTTGTAGTCTCAGCTACTCAGGAGGTTGAAGCAAGAGGATCTCTTGCATCCAGGAATTAGAGGCTGCAGTAAGATATGATCGCACCACTGCACTCCAGCCTGCTGAGAGAGACAGTCCCTGTCTCAAATAAATAAATAAATAAATAAAATAAGAAAAGACATACACAGACTGATTCTGTTAAAACACAAAGACAGGCCGGATGCGGTGGCTCACGCCTGTAATCCCAGCACTTTGGGAGGCCGAGGCGGGCGGATCACGATGTCAGGAGATCGAGACCATCCTGGTTAACATGGTGAAACCCCATGTCTACTAAAAGTACAAAAAATTAGCCAGGCATGGTGGTGGGCGCCTGTAGTCCCAGCTACTCGGGAGGCTGAGGCAGGAGAATGGCATGAACCCGGGAGGCGGAGCTTGCAGTGAGCCGAGACCACGCCAATGCAGCAAGCCGACATTGCACCACTGCACTCCAGCCTGGGTGACAGAGTGAGACTCCGTCTCACAAAACACACACACACACACACATACACACACACACACACACAAAGACAATGTCAATGCTCTTTTCAAACCTCTGCAGTGGTTTCTCCTCTTATTTAGACTTTTTTTTTTTTGAGACAGGGTCTTGCTCTGTCATTCAGATCGAAGTACAGTGGTGCAATCACTCAGCCTCAACCTGCTAGGCTCAAGAGATCCTCCCACCTCAGCCTCCTGAGTAGCTGGGACCACAGGTGCGTGCCACCATGCCTAGCTAACTTTTTAAACATTTTTTGTAGAGGGGGGTCTCACTATGTTGCCCAGGCTGGTCTTGAACTCCTGGTCTCAAGCAATCCTTCCACCTTGGCCTCTCAAAGTGCTGGGATTACAGGTGTGAGCCATGATGTCCGGCATGCTTCCCCTCTTATTTAGACTCAGATCAAAACTGCATCATCTGACCAATGAATATTTGTCTCAAATTATCTCCCACTTTTTCCCCATCACCTACTCATTCCAGCAACACTGACTTCTTTGCTGTGCCGTTTCGTCTGTCTGTCTGTCTGTCTTTATCTCTTTTTAGAGACAGGGTCTCTCTCTGTCACCCAGGCTGGTGTGCAGTGGCATGATCATAGTTCACTGCAACCTCAAACTCCTGGATTCAAGTGATCCTTCAGCCTTGGCCTCCTAAAGTGCTGGTATTACTGGTGTGAGCCACCACGCCTGGCCTACTTGCTGTTTCTTAAACTCTCCAACCTCAATACCTTTGCACTTGCTGTTCCCTCTACATAGAATGCTTTTCCCAAATATCCACAAGGTTCCCTTCCTCATTTCCTTCATGCGCTCAAATACCACCTCCTCCAAGAGGTCCTCCAGGCTCACCTCAAGATAGCACACTGTCCCTTTATTTTCTTACGTGTTTTATTTCCCATGATCTGACATGGTTCTCTCTCTTTTTTTTTTCCTTCCTTCCTTCTTTCCTTCCTCCCTCCCTCCCTTCCTCCCTTCCTTCCTTCTCTTTCTTTCATTCTAAAAACAAATAATCATAGAAACGGGGGTCTTGCTTTATTGAGCAGGCTGCTTTTGAATTCCTGGGCTCAAGTGATCCTCCCACCTCGGCCTCTCAAAGTGCTGGGATTACAGACATGAGCCACCACGCCCGGCAGGCATATACCACTGTTTCTTGCTTGTCTCCACCCACTAAAATGTCAGCTCCATGGGCAGGGGACTGTTGTCTATTTGCTCTACCCACATCACCAGCACCGTGGAAACCAAAAAATGACTCAAGGAGTTAACCAAGCTGGCACATCCTGGCAGTACAGTCCACCCTGAGAAGCTCCTGACACCTCCTACCTGGACAAGACAGGGTACTTCTCTGACCCTCAGTTTCTTCATCTGTGAAATGGAACTTGCCAGGGAGAAAGTTATATTAAGGGCTGGAATGTAGTCGGGGTCTAATAAATTAGAGCCCTTAATAGTTATGTTGATGGTAGCCTTATTCCTTGGTCTCCTGGGTCCTGCCCGGCCTTCCCTGGGAAGCTCTGAGCTCAAAGCCCTGGAGGAGGGAGTAAAACCAGAGGCTGCATCTCTGCAAGGACACATCCCTGCAAGTCCACCCCTCCCGCCCGCGCCTTCTCGGTGCAAACTCCCGATCCCAGGGAGGGGAAGGCGGGCGGAATCTGAGCGGCAGGCGCAGCTGCTCCGGGCGGGCGGCCAAGGTTCCCTCCCTCGAGCACTGGCATTCCTGAGGGAGGGGCCGAGCGCAGCTGCCCGCCTGGCCGGAGGCTCGCTTGCGCCCTCTGGTGTCCAAGTACGAGAGGCCACGTGGACTTGCGCACCAGCAGCCGGTCTGTTCTAGGCCACTGTCTGCAGCTCAGGTGGACCTGGGTGGAGCTAGGTCTACCCCCTACCTTTCTTGGGCTCCCTTTTCTTATCCGGGTTCACGAACTCAGCTTCCATCACTAAACTTGCTGTGTGACCCTGAGCAAGACACTCAACCTCCCTGTACCACAGTTTCTTAGCTGTGCAATTTGGGACAGGATCCTTTACCTTTTTAGTGCCACTTTTTCTTTCTTTCTTTCTTTCTTTCTTTCTTTCTTTCTTTCTTTCTTTCTTTTCTCCTTTTTCTTTCTTTCTCTTTCTTCTTTCTTTTTCTTTCTTTCTTTCCTTCTTTCTCTTTCTTTTCATTCGTTTGTTCTTTCTCTTCTTTTCTTTTTCTTTTTCTCTTCTTTCTCTCTCTTCTTTCTCTTTCTTTCTTTCTTTCTTTCTTTCTTTTTCTGTTATAGAGATGGGGTCTCACTGTGTTGCCCAGGCTGGTCTCAAACTCCTGGGCTCAAGCAATCCTCCTGCTTTGGCCTCCCAAAATGCTGGGATTACAAGAGTAAGCCACCACCCTGGTTGCCTTCGTTTTTTCTTTTTCTTTCTTTCTTTCTTTTTTAATTTTTGGGACACAATCTCACTCGGTCGCCCAGGCCAGAGTGCAGTGGCAGGATTACTGTTCACTGTAGCCTTGACTCCTGTGCTCAAGCGATCCTCCCACCTCAACCCCCTGAGTAGTTGGTGTTATGCATGCGTCTAATTGAAGAGACACCCTGAACAGGCTAAGTGTGAGCAACAAGGCTGTTTACTCACTTTTCGGCTAAGTCCAAAAAGGGAATCAGCAAAGGGTGGTTGGAGTGGAACTGGTTTTATAGGTTTGGGGTAGGTAGTGGAAAGTTACAGTTAAGGGCAGTTTCTTCGGGCAGGGGAAGAATGTCACAAGGTGCATAGTCACGAGGTGGGAGGTCACAAGGCACGATATCACAAGGTTGATTGATTAGTTAGGGCAGGGCAGGAGCAGATCACAATGGTGGAATGTCACAAGGTTGGTTAATAAATTAAGGCAGGAACTAGCTGTTTCTTCTTTAGTGGTTCTCCTGTTGCTCCAGGCTTCGTGACTCCAGGGGGCCTGTACGTGTGGCTCACAGGGATCACAATGGCTGGACCATGGTGTAGCCTGTTCAGAGGACCTTACATTCCTGTCTTTTTATGTTTAATAATGAAAAATAAAATGAGAAAGAAATAAAACGAGAAAGAGTAGTGTAATGTTGGGATGTTGGGGTGAAAATTTTCGGGATGGTATGGAGGGGTGATGGATGATGTTTTGGGATGATGGGTAATGTTTCTCAGGACTGCTTCAAGCGGGGTTAGGGGCAGCATGGGAACCTAAAGTTGGAGAGATTAAACTGAAGAAAGATCTTGGTGTAGGGGGTGATATTGTGAGGTTTTAGGAGGAGTATTTGCCGTATTGATTGATTAGTAATAGCTTAGATGCAATTTTGTATAAACTGAGAGATTAGCCTGAAAAGACAAGGTCCGATCAAGAGGAGGAGAAGGATGAAAGGGCCTGTTAGTGGAAGGAGCCTTGAAGCTAGGCTAGAGAATGGCAAGGTAGGTCCAGAATAATTATTTGCCTGATTTGCAAGTTTTTGAGCTTTGTCTTTAAATTTTTTGATGTTATCATATACGAGGCCAGATTGATTTAAGTAAAAGCAGCATTCTTCATTTAAGAATAGGCAGAGTCCTCCTTTTCCAACAGTAAGCAGATTGAGGCCTCGGCGATTGTGGAGGACAACTGCACCCAAGGAATCGACCTGGGCTTGGAGGGCAGAGAGTGTTTGAGTTATATCGATAAGGCTAGCAGAGAAGTCATTGGAGAGACTGAGAAAGGTAGTGATGTTGTAAGGCCTGCTACTCCTGTCCCGATTGAAGCGGCAGAGACTTCTAGTCCTACAAACGGAATTAATGGAATGACTTTTTTTTGTCGTGCTGAGGTTAAGAGAGGAACGGGCAGCTATTCGCTACCATTTGCAAACTTGATTTTGGAAGTAAGGAAAACTAGAGTACGGGTTCCTGTCTGATTGGCAGGGAGGCACATGTAGGTGGAAAAGCCACAGAGAAAAAAGAGTCCTTGAGGCATGCAAAACTGGAAGTGCAGAGTAAAATGGTGAGAGTGTGTTTTGGAAGTGGGGTCCTGCACCCAGACCCCTAGGGATCCAGCAAGGGCAGCAGCTGTTAAAGGTTGTAGTGGGGTTTGATAGGGTAGTTGTGTAGAGGGAGAGGTTCTGTTTTCATGGAAGGGTAAAGGAACATAAGGAAGATGGGAGGCTCCCTAAGGGAATTCCAGTAGGTAATTGCTGGGAGACGTATAAGGGGGCAGCAATGGGGATAGTTTCTGTGTAGTGAGGGGTCCAAGAACAGGGGGTGTGGCATTGATATAGGCAGACAGCTTTTTTTAGGTAGGTACAGAGGAGAGTGGCAGCTTGTTGTTAAAACATGTCAGGGGAATTTTTACTGAATTTGTCTAGAAAGTAAAGAAGTTGTTCGGGAGGGCAAAGGTGGGGGGTCACTGAAAGAGGTTCGGAGGTGTAGGGAGATGGGGGAGGTTGCCCAGTCAGCTGGTAGGGCAGGGACAGCTGTGTAGTAGGAGGAAGAGAGGGAAATGCATAGCCAACAATTTTTGGCCAAGGAAGGAACAGGATGGAGGGGAGGACAATCTGATTAATAAGGCGAAGGTCTTGGACTAGTCTGTAGGATTTATCTGGCTTTTGAACAGGTAGGGTGGGAGAGTTGTAAGCGGAGTTGGTAGGAACTAAGAGGCCATGCTGTAGTAGACAGGTAATAACAGGCTTTAGGCCCCTTAATGCCTGTTGTGGGATGGGGTATTGGCATTGAGCAGGATAAGGGTGGTTAGGTTTTAATGGGATGATAAGGGGTGAATGGACAGTTGCAAGGGAAGGAGCGGAAGTATCCTACACTTTAAGGTTGAGGTGGGGAGATGAAAGGGGAGGTTGCCAGGGAGGGTTGGAATTGGATAAAAGGGTAGCTATGAGATGTGGCTGTAGTCCAGGAATAGTCAGGGAGGCAGATAATTTAGTTAAAATACCTTGGCCTGATAAGGGGACTGGGCAGGTGGGGATAACCAGGAAGGAATGCCTGAAAGAGTGTTGCCCGATTTGACACCAGAGTTGGGGACTTTTAAGGGGTTTAGAAACTTGGCCGTCAATACCCACAACAGTTATGGGGGCAAGAGAAGCAGGCTCTTGAGAAGAAGGTAATGTGGAGTGGGTAGCCCCCATATCAATCAAAGGGACGGACTTACCCTCCACCGTAAGAGTTGCCCAAAACTCGGTGTCCATGATGGTCCAGGGGGCCTCCGAGACGTTCGGGCAGCGTCAGTCTTCAGCCGCCAAGCCGAGGAGATCTGCGAAGGAGTTGGTCAGGGAGTTTCGGGTTTGAGCTCCAGGAGCTCCGGCAGTGGCGATAAGAGTCCGACAGTCCGACTTCCAGTGAGGGCCCGCACAGACCGGGCATGGCTTGGAAGGAATGCCGGGCTGCGGGCATTCCTTGGCCCATGGCCAGGTTTTCAACCCTTGAAGCAAGGTCCTGGAGCGGGGATTTGGACGTCTTGAGGTTCTTACACGTAGGCGGTGCAGCTGGGGTTTGTCTTAGGGCAGAGGCAAGCCTCTGCAGTTCTGAAATACGCCGCTGCCAGGCAGCCTCTTCCCTGTTATTGAACACCTTGAAAGCGAGGTTGATTAAATCCTGTTGTGGGATTTGAGGGCCAGACTCTAATTTTTGAAATTTCTTTCTAATGTCAGGAACTGACTGCGTGATAAAATGCATGTTAAGAATAAGGCGGCTGCCGGGCGCGGTGGCTCACGCCTGTAATCCCAGCACTTTGAGATGCCGAGGCGGGCGGATCACGAGGTCAGGAGATCGAGACCATCTTGGCTAACACGGTGAAACCCCGTCTTTACCAAAAATACAAAAAATTAGCCAGGCGTGGTGGCGGGCGCCTGTAGTCCCAGCTACTGGGGAGGCTGAGGCAGGAGAATGGCGTGAACCCGGGAGGCGGAGCTTGCAGTGAGCGGAGATCAGGCCACTGCACTCCAGCCTGGGCGACAGAGCGAGACTCCTTCTCAAAAAAGAAAAGAAAAGAAAAAAAAAGAATAAGGCGGACTTCTGGCCCTTCAGGGTCTAGTGCTGTATATCGCCTGAGGGTGGCAGCTAGATGGGCCATAAACTAAGCTGGATTTTCATATTTGTTCTGAGTGGTCTCTTTTAGTTTGTCATAACTGATGACTTTATATGCAGCCTTCTGAAGCCCTTGAGCTAGGCAAGAGATCATATAGTCCCGCCTGGCTATGCCTTGGACCCCTGCGTGGTAGGTCCACTGGGGGTCTTCACGGGGTACTTCCCTGGCACCTTTTTGGAGGCCAGGCTCAAGGCACCAGTGGTCATCAGCATAAGACTGAGCTAGGGTCCAAACTCGCTCTCGCTCCTCAGGAGTGAACGTAGAGGTGAGGATGACGTTTAAGTCATTCCAGTTAAGATTATAGCACTGGGTTAAGTATCGGAATTCTTGTATATAGTTCGTGGGGTCAGACGGGAAAGAGCTTAGGCGTTGACTATTTTGGGAGAGTTCTGACAGGGAGAAAGGGACATGAACCTGGACTATTCCTTCGGCTCCTGCCACCTCTCGAAGGGGAAATTGCTGGGCAGGGGCAGGGGGACCGGCCACGGGGCCAAATTGTAAGCCAGATAAGGTGTGAGGAGGGGTGGTGATGGGAGGGGCATAAGGGGGTGGGCTGTGGGTAGAAGAGGGATCAGGTTCTGAGGGGGAATTAGAACGAGTTCGGGTGGGTGAGGGGGAGAAATATCAGAGGGATTAACAGACACAGAGGAATCGGCATTGCCAATGGAAAAAGGAGGGGTAGACGGAAGGGAGATAAGGAAAACTTGGGACAGGTCACATTGGGAGCAGACGGTAGGGAGAGATCATAGTGTAAAAAAATGCCTGGACATAGGGTACCTCAGACCATTAGACCATTTTGTGACAGAAGTTGTCTAAGTCCCGCAAAATAGAGAAATTGAAAGTGCCGTTTTCTGGCCACTGAGGGCTGTTGTCTAATTTACACTGGGGCCAGGCATGTTACAGAAAAAAATAAATAAACGTTTAGGCTTTAGATTGGGTGAAAGCTGAAGAGGTTTGAGATTTTTGAGGACAAAAGTCAGAGGGGAAGAAGGAGGGATGGAGGGCGGGAGGTTGCCCATGATAGAAGAGGGAAGATTGGATGGGAAAGAAAGAGACAAAGAATAGAGCAACCACAGGGATCTTCGGTGGGCATCCCGAATGGAAGTCCTGGGTTGTACGGCTGTGACCAACGCTGGATTTCAGAAACACAGATAAAAGGAGGTTCCTTGTCTGAAAGAAAAAGAGAGAGAGAGACGAAGAGAGACTGAGGCAGCTTAATCGATCTGTAGGCAGGAGTGGGGTCATTTTGCAGGGGTGGGTCTGAAGTCCCAAGGTGGAAGGGAGTCTCTTCAAGGAAGAGTGCAGGGGAATGGGGGTAGGTGTCCCGGAGGAGATCCTCTATCCCGGGCTTTCAGCACCAAATGTTCTGCGCGCGTCTAATTGAAGAGGCACCCTGAACAGGCTAAGTGTGAGCAACAAGACTGTTTATTCACTCGGATGCAAGCGGGCTGAGTCCGAAAAAAGAGTCAGTGAAGGGTGATTGGAGTGGAACTGGTTTTATAGGTTTGGGGTAGGGTAGTGGAAAGTTACAGTTAGGGGCAGTTTTTTCGGGCAGGGGAAGAATGTCACAAGGTTTATAGCCACAAGGTGGGGGGAGGTCACAACGTCAATTGATTAGTTAGGGTAGGGCAGGAACATATCACAGTGGTGGAATGTTCCAAGGTCGGTTAATAAGTTAAGGCAGGAACTAGCTGTTTCTTTGGTGGTTCTCCTGTTGCTCCAGCCTTTGTGACCCCAGGAGGCTGTACATGTGGCTCACAGGGGTCACAATGGCTTGACCTTGGCGTAGTCCGTTCAGAGGACCTTACGGTTGGGATTACAGTCACACACACCACTATACCCAGCTAATTTTAAAAAAAACTTTTGTAGAGATAGGGTTGGCTATGTTGCCCAGGCTGGTCTCGATTTCCTGGTCTCAAGCGATCCTCCCGGCTCTGCCTCCCTAAGCGCTGGAATTCCAGGTGTCAACCCGAGTCTGGAGAGTTTTTTCATCTGTAAAATGGACCAGTGATGATCCTTCATTCATTAGATTGCTAAGAGAATTTAAACAGACAGTCCAGGTGAATGTGGCTACAGTAAAAATATACACTCCAGGCTGGGCATGGTGGCTCACACCTGTAATCCCAGGGCTTTGGGAGGCCAAGGCTGGAGGATCACTTGAGCCCAGGAGTTCAAGACCAGACTGGGTAACATAGGGAGACCCCCGTCTTTACCAAAAATACAAAAAAATTAGCTGGGCATGGTGGTGCCTGCCTGTAGTCCTAGCTACTTGAGAGGCTGAGGTGGGAGGATCACTTGAGTCTAGGAAGTCAAGGCTGCAGTGAGCTATGATTGTGCCACTGCACTCTAGCCTGGATGACAGAGGGAGACTGTCTCTAAAAACAAAAAATAAAAATAAAAATTTTAAAAATGGCTCAGATGGTTCTACCTGGCAATTCCCACTGTGTAGATGGAGACACTGGTACTGGGAGACAGGGCTCAGACTGGAGGAAAAGAAGGGAAGGACTGCGGAGACAGGCCCTGATGCCCTTTGCCTTTGGGCAGTTGCCTGTCCCAGACTCCTGCAATCCCTGCCCCCAAGAGAGGGAGGATGTGAACACCTGGTGAAGGGGAACACTCACCCCCAGCCCAGGCAGAGCTAAACAGAACCAGTGGAGGCCAGGCACGATGGCTCAGACCTGTAATCCTGGCACTTTGGGAGGCCAAGGTGGGCGGATTACGTGAGGTCAGGAGTTTGAGACCAGCCTGGCCAACATGGTGAAACCTCGTCTCTACTAAAAATATAAAAATTAGCCGGTTGTGATGGCCTGCACCTGTAACCTCAGCTACTTGGGGGGCTAAGACAGGAGAATCACTTGAACCCAAGATTGTGCCACTGCACTCTAGCCTAGGCAACAGAGTGAGACTCTGGGGGAAAAAAAAAAAAAAACAGAACCAGTGGAGATTCCTGAGACCCTGGGACAGTAAATAGACACTAATGTTCTAGAACCTTCCAAATTAACTATAATTTGCTTCCCTGAGCCAGGCTTTAATTTGATTCTATTGAGTCTTTGCTCTCTAAAACATCAACTTAAAAGCATTAGCTGAAGACTCACTGCTCCTCAGCTGCCTGACATGGGGCAAATTGTTTAGCCTCTTGGGGCCTCAATCTCCTCATCTTTGCAATGGGTGAGAATTACTTCAGCATAGCTGCAAGATGACTTCTTCTTTTCTTCTTCTTCTTTTGAGGTAGGGTTACCCAGGCTGGAGTGCAGTGGTATAATCACAGCTCACTGCAGCCTTGACCTCCTGGGCTCAAGCAATCCTCCCACCTCAGCATCCTGAGTAGCTGGGACTACAGGTGTGCACTACCACACCTGGTTTTTTGTTTGTTTGTTCGTTCGTTTTGTAGGGGCAGAGTCTCACTATGTTGCCTGGGCTGGTCTCGAACTTCTGGCCTCAAACAATCCTCCCGCCTCAGCTTCCTACAGTGCCAGGATTACAGGCATGAGCTACCACTCCTGGCCCAGCTGCAAGACTTCTATCAGGGGACATAGAGCACATTGAACAGTGTCTGGCACCTAGTAGGTGCTTGACAAATGCCCAAGGAATAAATAACTAGATCCTACTCCTCCCTTTGCTTCTAACATCCTTGGTTTCAGCTCTCTACAAAGGCAGGATCTAGGAAATGGGCACACATTAAGCCCCAATTCATGGGAGACTATGAGATTTCAGTAGAAAATGCCCTTCGTAAGTAAGTTTGCAGTAAATGTCCACACCACACAGGAAGGGATTTTGTCTGTCATGTTCACTGCTGTGTCCCCAGTATGCTAAGTAGGGGCCAGGGTCAAAGTAAATGCTTGATGAATCTTTGCCGGATAAATGTATATTATCTGCTGGATGCAGTGGCTCATGCCTGTAATCCCAGTACTTTGGGAGGCAGAAGTGGGCGGATCATGAGGTCAGGCGTTTGAGACCAGCCTGGCCAACATGGTGAAACTGCGTCTCTACTAAAAATACAAAAAATTAGCCGGATGTGGTGGTGCACGCCTGTAATCCCAGATACTCAGGAGGCTGTGGCGGGAGATGGCTTGAACCTGAGAGGCAAAGGTTGCAGTGAACCAAGATCGCACCACTGCACTACAGCCTGGGCAACAGAGTGAGATCCATCTTTAAAGAAAAAGAAAATTATATTATCATTTGATGGGGGGATCAGGGACCCTTCAATAGGCAAAATTTCCCAAGCTGGCTGAATTGACATCACTGTAGGGTGCAGATTCAAACAGACTCATCATCAAGCCCAACTGCTTCTTAGAGGCAGACACCACAAAGCCGTCTCAACATTCTCTTTAATAAGCCTGCTAAACATTGAGAATTATTTGAGGACAGAGAAAGCCTTTTTCCAGGAATGCTTCAAGCATGATGTGTTTCCTTCCCTGGTTTAATATGTATAATTTGCCTTCTGGAAAAGGAACCCAGAGACTCTGGCATGACTTAGGAAACAATAGACAATGGTCACAATTTACTAAGCATAACTGTCTCCTGCAAGGATGACGAAATCCATATAGCGCAAGGATTTGAAGCCCAAGAAGAGGACTTTGACCTATGGATTTCTCAGGAGGTTTCGTTATGGTGGATCCTGGAGTCAGATGGTCAAATGCCACATGCTGCTCACTCCCGGAATTGGGAAATAGGGAAAAAATGCCAGCACCTCCCCTGTTTGTGCAGCTGCCCTGTTTTGCCAATTTCACAAAGGCAAAAGTAGGGAAAATCCATCCAGGCTAGGGTAGAAAGATGTTTGCTCTCCTCCTGCCAGCCAATCCCAAGCAAGCCCTGAGTTCAGTGTCCTGGGTGTGCAAAGCTCCTTGCTGGCGGAGGGGAAGGCTTTAGGATATGACCTTCATGGCCAGGCACAGTGGCTCATGCCCGTAATCCCAGCACTTTGGGAGGTTGAGGCGGGTGGATCACTTGAGGTCAGGAGTTCGAGACCAGCCTGGCCAACGTGGTGAAACCCTGTCTCTATTAAAAATACAAAAATTAGTATTTTTGTACTAAGTACAAAATGAGCTTGCTGGCCCATGCGTGTAATCCCCGCTACTTGGGAGACTGAGGCATGAGAATTACTTGAACGTGGGAGACAGAGGTTACAGTGAGCTGACATTGTGCCATTGCACTCCAGCCTGGGTGACAGAGCCAGACTCTGTCTCAGAAAAAAAGGGGAGAGGGGCGTGGATAAGACCCTCATGGCTCATGGGACAGGCAGTTCTCCTACCACTCTGGCCCCCAAGGAAGCGGATGGGGCACTTCTCAAGCATATCTTGGAGGCTTGGCTGGGAAGTAAGAAACACCCCCAACTCCGCCCCATTGGATTTATAGGGATTCTTGCCCCACACCTGTTTAGATATTAACTCAGCCACTACAAGTCAAGGCAAACAGGCCAGGGCCAGGGCAGACAAGAGGACAGACAAGAGGACAGACATCTGCAGCCTGTGGCCTCCTGTCACCCTCCCACCCACCATGGAAATGCCCTGGCCCCTAGGGTGGATTCTGCTTCTTTTGGGAAGCCCCCTCATCCACGCTGAGCCTCTGTGAGTCTGGGGAATGGAGGGGGCTCAGCCGGCTTCCTGCACATCTGATGTCTGCGTGATTCCAGCTTATGACTCGTGTTCGGTGTCATTTTCCCTACTCAAGTCCCTTAATGCCCTTGTGTTAGTCTACTGGCAGGTACATCCTGGTGACCCCCCGAGTTCTGAGGGTTGGCAGTCCGGAGAGCATTCACATTCAGGCCCACTCAGACTCCAGACAGCCCCTCACAAGGACCCTCAAGGTGAACCTCACAGTGTGGGACTTCCCCATGAGGAAGACAGTGTTGGCAAGGAGCCAGCTCATTCTCTCACCAGGAAACAACTTTATGGACCAGGCACCTGTGACGGTGGGTGACAGGCTGGAATGTGTGACCCCAAAGGGAGGCTACAGGTCAGCAATAAAGGTAGAAAGGGGCAGACTTTCTGTCCAGAGAGTAGATAAAGGGCCCAAAGTACTTACCACTCCTCTAATATCCTGTGCATTTAGAAGCCAAAAGTCCCTAAGCCTGGGCTCCAGGAAGCCTCCACTAGCCCATTTGATGCCTCTCTGAGAACTATAAAAGGTGCCTTCTGTTGGTAGCTTGGGAAGATGAGCATGGACTTGATTTCGTCCTTCCTTTGGCTGGGTGCTCTTGTGCAGTGAGCAACCTACACAACTGCACATGGCAACCTAGCTCCCAAAGGCAGAGTCAGAAGACCCTCAGTCAATTGCTCCTCCCAGGATCTGTCCCAGGGCTTTACCCCCAGCCAGGGAGACCCCAGCAGAGCCTGAGGAGTATGGATATATATCTCTCTCAGGTTCCCGAGAGCCTGATGTACCTCCCAAAACCAGGGCAGCAATATGTCATCATCCGGGCAACTTGGGCACCCACCTCGGGCTCCTCATTCATGGAGAAGATGGTGCTGGTGGCTCTTCATGCTGGCTACATCTTTATCCAGACGGAGAAGACCATCTACACCCCTGAGTACTTGGGTACAGCCCCGAGGCACTTGGCTCGGGGCAATCACTGGCTCTCATCCCGTCTCTCCCAATGTCTGAGATACTCCCATCCCCTAAAATCTTCTCCACCTCCCAAGATCTCTCTCTATGCATAAGTGCCCCCCACCCCGCCACTGCCCAAGATGCAAACTCTCTCTCTCTCTTTCCCTTCCTCTACCCAATACTCAGAGTCCTCCTTCTCCCCTAGTTCACTACCGGGTGTTCACTGTGAACCACAAGATGGACCCTGTGACCAGGACATTCACTCTGGACATCAAGGTGGTCTTTCCCGATGAGGGGTGGGGGGTGGTGGTGGATCCTGGACACTGGGGTTACATGGTGTGCTGAAGTCCTGGGGGCATGAGCCACCAGGGCCCTCCCAGAGGGCAGTCACCAGCCCCACCCCCTATCCCCACAGAACCCAAAGGGAATCACCGTGATTAGCCAGAGTCTGATGGCCAAGGATGGCTTCTTTTTCAGCTCCTTTCACCTCCCAGAGCTTGTCAGGTGCCCTTGTCAGGTCTGGGAGCCCGAGGGGTGGCAAAGGAGGCTGTCATTCTCTGTCTCCATCTCTCTTAACTTTCTGTGCCTCAGTTTGGGGACCTGGACCATCGAAGCCAGCTACCAAAGTACACCCAAGCAGAAGTTCGAGGCTGCCTTTGATGTGAAGGAATATGGTGAGAAAGGTGTGGGTGGGGTGAGCAAGATGAATACGCCAGGGACAGGACTTGGAATAGAAAGGAGGTCTCAAGGGGAACCTCTGCTGTAACCCAGGGCCTGAGCTGGATGCTAAGTGTTGGGTGCTGGTGTTGCAGCCCTTCGGGCTTGACAGAGCCACCAAGGAAGGAGCAGGACTGGGAGGGGACGAGGGAGCAGGTAGAATACTGAGGGTGACCATGGCTTTTTTTTTTCTCCCAGTCCTCCCATCTTTTGAGGTCCAGCTGGTCCCAAATAAGACTTTCTTTTACCTCAAGGATGAGGCTCTGGGCGTTGACATCCAGGCTCGGTGAGCCCCCTTCCTCCCAGCTCTGCCAGAAGACCAGGGACACAAAGATTGAGTACAGAGAAACAAGCACCAGGTGCTATGGCTCACATCTGTAATCCCAGTGCTTTGGGAGACCAAGGCAGGAGGATCACTTGAGGCCAGGAGTTCTAGACCAGCCTGGACAACATGGCAAAACCCCTTCTCTACCAAAAAAAAAAAAAAAATTAGCCAAGCTGGCTGGGCATGGTGGCTCACACCTGTAATCCCAGCACTTTGGGAGGTTGAGGTGGGTGGATCGCCTGAGGTCAGGAGTTCAAGACCAGCCTGGCCAACATGGCAAAACCCTGTCTCTACTAAAAAGACAAAAATAGCCAGGCATGTTGGTGCATGCCTGTAGTCCCAGGTACTCAGGGACTACTGAGGTGGGAGAATCGCTTGAACCCAGGAGGCGGAGGTTGCAGTGAGCCGAGATTGTGTCACTGCACTCTAGCCTGGGTGACAGAGTGAGACTCTGTCTCAAAAAAAAAAAAAAATAGCCAGGAGTGGTGGCACATGCCTGTTGTCCCAGTTACTAGGAAGGCTGAGGTGGGAGGATCGCTTGAACCCAGGAGGTAGAGGTTGCAGTGAGCCAAGATTGTGCCACTGCACTGCAGCCTGGGTGACAGAGTGAGACCCCATCTCAAAAAAGAGAAAGAGAGAAGCAAGCCACTTCTGTAGCATTTAGGGTGGTAGACATACTCTTCTCCCACCCATGAGATATTCTGGGCTACCTATGTTGTCCTGTGAGGTTGTACAGACCATGTCTGCCACCTGTGAGGTTGTATAAACCATTTCTTCAAGTCTATGAAGTTGTACAGGCCACCTTGTCTACCCAGTGGTGTTGTACTGCATCTCATCTCATCTGCCACTTCACAGTTTAGACCATCTCTGAAAGTCTATGAGGTAGTACAGGTTATGTTTGCCATCATGAGATTGTCCAGACCATCTCTGCAGCTCTATGTGATGGTAAATGACACATTTGCTGCCTTGTGTTTTACAGACCATCTGCATTGCTATGAGGTTGTGCAGGCAATGCTGTCCACCTGAGATTGTATGGGCTATGTCTGCCACTTCTGGACATTATATGAATCATTCCTGCAGCTCTAACATGCTACACAGGCCACCTAGTTTCCCTGGTGAGGCTGCACAGGCCACTTCATAGGTTGCCCAGACTTCTTTGTGGCTTTATATAGTTTGAAGTCCACCTCCACCATCTTGAGAGATTGCCTAGACCACATCTGCAACCCATCAAGGCTTTATGGGATATATTCGTCACCTCCCAGAGTTGTGTGGGTCATCAATGAAACCATCTAAGTTTCCAAGGGCCACCTCTGCCCCTCCCAATTTTGCACAGCCATCTCTGAAGCAGCATGAGGTATGTGGGTGCTTCAGAGACAGTGGAATTGTCCTCCATCCCCCACGTATATATTTAACAAGCCAGTGGACGGACATGCTTTGGTCATCTTTGGGGTGAAATTGGACTCCTGCCGGATCCCTATCCAAAGCTCCCTGCAGAGGGTGGAGGTGACTGAATCCCAGCTCCTCCCCAACCTCCAATCCACTCCACTCTCTAACGCTCCCCAAAAAACCATATCCTCTCCTCTATCTTACCCTAAGAACAGATCTCTGAAGGCCTGGGCCACGTCTCCCTCCAGAAGGACACGCTCATGGCCGCATTCCAAGGCCCAGGAGAGGACTTCATTGGAGGCTCAATCTTTGTCAATGTCACCATGTTCTCCTCAGGTGCCACCCTCACCCCGGCCCCTGACTGAGGTCAGGACATGGTGTTCTTGCCCAATGCAGACACTCCACCCATGTGACCTTGGGCCACCTCCCAGCCTCAGTTTCCTCATTAGAGAAATGGGTGGAAGGAGCTGAAATAGTGTTATTGTCGTTCTCTGCCTTCACCAAGATGGGGCTCTCATACTAGTCCTGCCACTCACTTAAGAAATTGAACTCCCTCACAAACTCTGTGTTCTCACTGTCTCTACAGGGGGTGAGATGGTGCAAGCTGAGACCTCAGGGGTGAAGATCATCCAGAGCCCATACAACATCAAGTTCACCAGGACACCCCAGTATTTCAAGCCAGGAATGCCCTTCCACTTTCGGGTCAGAGTCTGGACTCACTACACCCAGGGACTCAGGGCCCCCTCCCCAAAGCAGACTTCCCACAAAGAGACAAAAACCCACACTGGACTCACCTGCATCCAACTCATCTGAAGGTTGAGTCTATCATGTTCCCCAGACTAATCCCAGAGTCCCCCCAAACCTTAACCCTAAAGCACAGTGATGGCTCCAGAATTTCTCTGTGGGGACTTAGAGGCCACAATCAGGCTGGAAGTTGGTGTTTGAAAGTTTATCTAGAGGCTGCATTTGCACATCAAAGCATGGCCTTTTCACATATATTAATTTGGATGGGCATTAGGAAAGTCAGGGATATCCTTTGGCACCAATCCTACTCCAAGTCTCCTATAGGCTCTCATGTGTCCTCCTTCCCTCTCCACTCTCAGTCTTCCCACTCACCATCAGCTCTGCAACACCCAGGATAACCACATGTGGTTGTACACTGCAAAGCTCTAGGAGGTGCCATTCATAAAAACTCCAATATGAATGGTGCCCCCGGTGTTGTTTAGTGCACCATGTATAAAGTTGTACAAAGCAGTCCTATTCAGATCATATTCCAGTCTCACCTCTCACACCAGGCCACTGCAGGCTTTTCCTTCACCTTACCCCAGATTCCACCTCAGGTCTTCATCTCAAATCCTGATGGGTCCCCAGCTTCCAGAGTCCTTGTCCACTCCCAAGACCAAAAAGTGTACACCTCAGCTGAGGGGTTGGCCACTCTGACCATCAACACAGATGCAAATCTGGACAAGCTCCCCATCGAGGTACCAACTTGACAAGGCAAGGAGGGTGGGATTAGAGCTGTGTGAGTTGGAAGGGTTGGGGTTTACTTGCCCATCATCCTCCCTAGGTGAAAACTGAGGAATCTCTTCAGCCAGAGGAGCAGGCTTCAGCCAAGATGACAGCTTGGCCTTACTTGACTCAGGATGGGTCAGGAAACTTCCTACACATCGAAGTAAAGACATTGGGCACAGAGGTTGGCAGCAGCATCCAGCTGAGCCTCAACACAAGGCATCAGGACCCTAAAACCAAGGACAAGATTACTCACTTCACCATCCTGGTGAGGAGCTAGGACCAGGGTCTGAGTCAAGGAATTCTTTCCTTGGAAAAACCTTGGCTTGCTGAGTTGGAGAAACTATGAAAAAAGATGTGAAGGTGGCAACAATCTTGAGTGGGCTCAGATCTAGAGGCTGAAGAAAAGAGACTATGAGCCTCCATTGTGGGATGGGACAGATTCAGAGAAAGACTGGCCCTCCCTTCTCATCCTTGACCTCCCTTGTCTTCAAGGTCCTGAGTAAGGGCCAGACCGTGAGTGCCAAACATCAGTCAAAAAGCCAGGGGAGTGTCTACACATCAGCCATTATTGATGTGACTTCAGCGATGCTGCCCTCCTTCCGCATTCTGGCCTTTTATTTACTTCCCAGAGGAGCAAGCCAAGACCCTGAGTTGGTGGCTGATTCCATATGGATTGATGTGAATGACAGATGCATAGGGATGGTAAGCCAAACTCCTTGTAGTTGTGCATCACCATCATAAAGCCCCAGAAAGGGGCTGTACAAGTTTAGGCATTCCCAAACTAGAAGCCAGGGAAGAGAAGGAGAATATGTGGCCTTAAGAGCTCAACACAAGGTGTGGCGGTGATGCAAGTAAATAAATATACGGAGTTGGGATTAGCCTAGTGGAGTTCCCAGATGCTCCACCAGAGCAGTAGGGAACGTAAGCCTGAAAGTGTAGTTGTGTGGTCTATGATTCCCTTTTTCTGACATCTCTCTTTTTCTTGGCTCAGCTGAAAGTTGGCTTGAAGAATGATAGATTCTTCCAGTCTTTGGAGCCCAACAGCCAAGTCGAACTGAAGGTGACAGGTGATGCAGAAGCCACAGTGGGGCTGGTGGCTGTGGACAAGGCTGTCTATGTCTTGAACAGCAAACACAAGCTCACTCAGAAGAAGGTAAGAGCATGTGGGCTTTGGGCCAAGATGTTGCCAGGATATTCTAGCTGGAGCCTCAGCTTCTTCAGCCATAAAGAGGACAACATCAATGTAAGGATTCAAGGAGATGGTGCAAAGTCTAATGACTGAAAGGTGATAAGAGCTCAAAAAATGGGAGATAGTATGAGAATTATGATTTGAGCCTGCAATTCCAGTACACCATTTCTCCTTTCATGGAGGAGTCATACAGGTCCCAAATCCAGGTTCCTGTCTTGACCTCTAGGTCTGGAATGTGGTGGAGGAACATGACATTGGCTGCACAGGAGGAAGTGGGAAAGACAGATTTGCTGTGTTCAAGGATGCTGGATTGGACCTGAAAATCAGCACAGGAATGGATAGCCTGGCAAGCTCAGGCACAGGCTTTGGGGGTTGGGGCAAGAGGAGGGCAGAAATGGGTGCAGTGCTGCCTACTTGGTTTTAGTGTCAAACAGATATGGGCTGTAATCCACATCCTGTCACTTACCATGGGCCAGTCACATTTCTCTCTGAGTCTTGATTTCTTTGTCCATAAAATAGAGATAATAATAGAAGTAACTCACAGTGTGTTGGTTAAGACAGGGTTAGCCATGTGTATCAAATATACAAATAACAGTAGGTCAAACAGGTAGTTTATTTCTCATTCAGTAACACTACAGAGGTCATCCTGGGACTCGGACTCCTTCTAGGAGTCCATCCATGCCAGGCAGCAAGATGAAGGGAAGTGGAAAGGGGAGGACACTTCTTCCACATCTCATTGGCCAGAATATAGTCACATGGCCCCACCTAAGTGCAAGAGAGGCTGGGAAATGTAGTCTTTATTCTGTGTGATCTATACAATATGGAGGCTTACTTGTCACAGATGAGGGATGATAATGGATTTGGAGACAACTAAGAGTGTATTCTCTCAGCTATAAATTGTAATATTAATAATAGTTCTTATTTATTACATGCCAGGTCCAGTGCTAAGTATTTGTATATGCATTATCTCATTGATAGAACTATGATTATGCCCATTTTACGTCACTGGGGAAATTAACACCCAGAGAGGTTAAGTGACTTATTGAAAATCGCCCAGCTTTTAAGTGACAAGTCTTGAATATAGGAGGCTGTCAGATGAAATGAAGTGATGCATATAAAGTGCTGGACATACAGCAAACACCCAATAAACATCATCAAGGATATTGATAATGATCTTGGCGGTTGTTCTATCATCATTCCCTCTGACCCCCAGACTAGCCCTGCCCCCAGGACCCTCCTCCCAGCCGCCATCGCCGCTCCCTGAAGAGGCTGGAGACAAAAAGGAATGCAGGTCAGTGTTAAAGCTGTATGTCTCCCTCCATCTCCCCAACTTAAGGTATCCATCAGGGCTTAGAACAGGACACCAAAACCACTCAATGTATTTCCAGCAGGGAGGGATCTAATAGGGGGAGTTTGGTGCTTACAAAATCATTAGATGGGCTTTTGGGGTGGAAGTTGGAAGGCTGCTTGCTGGGACTCAAGATCACCCACTTCAGTCTTGCAATCCATGAAATATCAGGAAACTGCTGCCAATATCTCTCAAAGGGCTGGTAGGTTGATAATCAAACACGAAATCATGCCCATTACAAAAACACACATAGACTAGAGCCCACCCATCAGCTACCACTGCTGCAGGAAAAATGGTTTCTGCTTCTCTTCTATCTCCCAGATCTCTCATAAAAGCATCTCAGTGGCTGCATCTAATCCCATTCAGAACCCTAGCAGCAAGGGAGTCTGGGAAATGTAGTTTTCAGATGTCTAGCCTCTGTGGTTCAGGATGGAATGTAGACAAAAGGAGAGATAGGTCTTGAGTGTCATTGGACAATATCTGACTAAACTGCCATCCTGAAGGCTAGAATGTGGACCAGAAGAAAAGGCTTTGAGCCTGGAGTCAGAGGAAGATGGGAGGCAGCACCAGGTGTTAGAAGCATGGATTCTGAGGCTGGCATGGTGGCTCATGCCTGTAAACCCAGCACTTTGGGAGGCCAAGGCAGGTGGATCATTTGAGGTCAGGAGTTCAAGACCAGCCTGGCCAACATGGTGAAACCTTGTCTCTACTAAAAATACAAACATTAGCTGGCTGTGGTGGTGGGAACCTGTAATCCCAGCTACATGGGAGGCTGAGGCATGAGAATCGCTTGAACCTGAGAGGCAGAGGTTGCAGTGAGCCAAGATTGCGCCACTGCACTCCAGCCTGGGTGACAGCATGAGACTCCATCTCAAAAAAAAAAAAATGCAGTATGGATTCTGGTTCCACCTCTGCCACTTGGGAGCCTTGACTCTAAGCAAATGAATTCACGTCTCTGTGGCTCAGCTTCCTTGTCAGAATCTCACCATGTGAGTTCAATATGAGGCTTCAGAAAGGGCACAGATAAGGCACTAGGCATAGAATCTACCACAGAGTAATTGCTAAATAGTGGCAAGGTGTGCATAGCATCAAGGTGAATGGGTCCCAGCTTCTTAGGTCCTGCCCAACCCTCCTCTTTCCCTCTGACTCTGGCCCACAGTGAACAAGTTTAAGACAGAGCTGGAGCAAAAGTGCTGTGAGGCTGGGCTCCGGGAGAGCCCAGTGGGGCTGTCTTGTGAGGAGAGGACCTGGCATGTCCGCCATGGTCCAGCCTGTGTGGCTGCTTTCCTGGACTGCTGCCATCTGTCTGAGACCCTGACTCGGGAGGCTCGAGAGGATCAATTGCATCTGTGGACAAGTGAGGGGGCTATGGCAGGAGATGCAGGGTGGGGGGCTTCATGGAGGGATATAGAGTGACATGGGACAGGTTAAGGGGTGATATGGGCCATGGAGGGTTGGAAAGGAGGACTCCACAAGGAGTCTGATGGAACATGGAAGAAACATGAAGGAGACTCCACCTCACACCTGCTCCCTCCAGCGGATGAAGAAGAGGACTTCGATGACCTCTTCTTGGATGACATGCCTGTGCGGACCTTGTTCCCCGAGAGTTGGCTCTGGAGGAAGTTCACTCTGCCAAAGAGTAAATCGGGGTAAGACATCAGCCTCCATACCAGAATCTGGTCCCAGGTCCTTGCAATCATCAGTGGATGCTGGTCAGGGACAATGACCCCAGCAGTGACATCGAGCCTCAGGACAGTCCCATAATTGGGAAAACATCTTAATGGATTCCCTAAAAGGATGACCCTCTAGTGAGGCTGTCACTAATGAGGTGATCTGATGATCCTCAATAGTGACCATAACCCCTGCATGGTGACCCCAAATCCAGAAGCTCTATCCAGCACAAACTCAGTGATGTTTTCTCACTCACAACAGCATCTCCCATTACCCCATCTCTGTGAAGGTGCCAGATTCCATCACCACGTGGCAGTTTGTGGTGGTCAGCCTCAAGGCTGGACAAGGTGAGCCGCAGCAAGCCCAGTGCCAAGGGAATGGGGGTATGGTGACCTTACCCAGCCCCTCCCCCAACGGAGCCTCTGCTTAAACCCAATGTGCTCTCCTGGCTGTAGGTCTCTGTGTCTCGGACCCCTTTGAGCTGACAGTTATGAAATCGTTCTTTGTGGACCTTAAGTTGCCCTCCTCCGTGATCAGGAATGAGCAGGTCCAGATCCAAGCCATGTTGTACAATTTCAGGGATCGCCAGGCCAAGGTGAAGCCCCAAGCCCTCAACTTCCTGCCAAAACCTCTGCTAGTGTGTATTTCATTTTATTTTTTAATGGCTTTATTTCATTTTATTTATTTTTTGAGACAGAGTTTGCTCTGTCACCCAGGCTGGAGTGCAGTGGCACGATTTCGGCTCACTGCAACCTCTGCCTCCTGGGTTCAAGCGATTCTCCTACCTCAGCTTCCTGAGTAGCTGGGACTACAGGCGCCCTGCCACCATGCCTGGCTAAGTTTTGTATTTTTAGTAGAGATGGGGTTTCACCATGTTGGCCAGGCTGGTCTCAAACTCCTAACCTCAAGTGATCCACCCGCCTCAGCCTCCCAAAGTGCTGGGATTACAGGCGTGAGCCACCGCACCCAGCATATTTTATTTTATTTTTGGAAACAGAATCTTGCCTTGTCACCCAGGCTGGAGTGCAGTGACGTGATCTCGGCTTGCTGCAATCTCACCTCACAGGTGCAAGCAATTCTCGTGCCTCAGCTTCCCCAGTAGCTGGGATCACAGGTGTGGGCCACCATGCCTGGCTAATTTTTAGTATTTTGGTTAGAGACAGGATTTTGCCATGTTGCCCAGGCTGGTCTCAAACTCCTAAGCTCAAGTAATCCACCCTCCTCAGCCTCCCAAAGTGTTAGGATTACAGGTGTGAGCCACCGTGTCCAGCCTGTTAGTGTGTTTTAGAAAAGGAAATTCAGTGTATTTTTATTCCTATCGGTCAGTGAAGTGGTGGCTCTTTTGGAAAATCTAAGGTATTCTCTTATTTAGCCAGGCATAGTGCTGCACACCTGCAGTTTCAGCTACTTGAGAGGCTGAGGTGGGAGGATCTCTTGAGCCCAGTAGGTCAACGCTGCAGTAAGCTGTGATTGCACCACTGCACTCCAGCCTGGGTGACAAAGTGAGACCTTGTCTCTACAAAAAATGATCTTAAAAAAATTAGCCAGGCTTGATGGCATGCACCTGTGGTGCCAGCTGCTCAGGAAGCTAAAGCAGGAGGATCGATTGAACCCAGCAGTTTGAGGCTGCACTGAGTTGTATTTGGACCACTGCACTCCAGCCTGGGTGACAGAGTGAGACCAAGAAAGAAAGAGAGAAAGGGAGAGAGAGAGAGAGAGAGAGAGAGAGAGAGAAAAGAAGAAGAAGAAGAAGAAGAAGAAGAAGAAGAAGAAGAAGAAGAAGAAGAGGAGGAGGAGGAGGAGGAGGAGGAGGAGGAAGAGGAAGAGGAAGAAGAAGAGGAAGAAGGAGGAGGAGGAGGAAAGAAAGAAAGAAGGAAAGAAAGAAAGAGAGAGAGGGAGGGAGGGAGAAAGAGAGAAAGAAAGAAAGAGAAAGAAGAAAGAAAAAGAAAGAAGAAAGAGAAAGAGAAAGAAAAAGAAAGAAAAAGAAAGAAAGAAGGAAGAAGAAAGAAAGAATGAATGAAAGAAAGAAAGGAAGGAAGGAAGGAAGGAAGGAAGGAAGGAAGGACGGAAAAGGAGAAAAGGGGGCCGGGCATGGTGGTTCATGCCTGTAATCCCAGCACTTTGGGAGGCTGAGGCGGGCAGATCATGAGGTCAGGAGATCGAGACCATCCTGGCTAACACGGTGAAACTCCATCTCTAATAAAAATAAAAAATTTGGCTGGGCGCGATGGCTCACGCCTGTAATCCCAGCACTTTGGGAGGCCGAGGTGAGCGGATCACAAGGTCAGGAGATCAAGACCATCCTGGCTAACACGGTGAAACCCCGCCTCTACTAAAAAATACAAAAAATTAGCCGGGCGTGGTGGCGGGCGCCTGTAGTCCCAGCTACTCAGGAGGCTGAGGGCAGGAGAATGGTGTGAACCCGGGAGGCAGAACTTGCAGTGAGCCGAGATTGCGCCACTGCACTCCAGCCTGGGCGAGAGTGCGAGACTCCATCTCAAAAAAAAAAAAAAAAAATTAGCCGGGCATGGTGGCGGGCTCCTGTAGTCCCAGCTATCCGGGAGGCTGAGGCAGGAGAATGGCATGAACCCAGGAGGTGGAGCTTGCAGTGAGCTGAGATCCCACCACTGCACTCCAGCCTGGGCGACAGTGCGAAACTCCATCAAAAAAAAAAAGAAAGAAAGAAAGAGAGAAAGACAGAGGAAGAAAGAAAGAAGAGAAAGAAGGGGGGGAGAGAGAGAGAGAGAGAGAGAAAAAGAAAGAAAGAAAGAAAGAGAAAGAGAGAGAGAAAGAAAGAAAGAAAGAAGAAGGAAGGAGGGAGGGAGGGAGAGAGGAAGGAAGGAAGGAAGGAAGGGAAGTTAAACCTCACAACAACCCCATCAGATGGGTACTATTATTGTTCTTGGTTTACAGATGAGGAAATTGAGGCACAGAGAGGTTAAAGGGCTTGCCTGGAGTCACACAGCACATAAATGGCAGATGGGGCTCTGACTCAGGCTGGGTCTGTGGTCCTCATCACTAGGCTTTGCTGTCACCTACGCAGGCATCTCAGGGTGGGGAGGGGACTGTGACCCTAGGGTCCTGGACCACACCATACATAGATACCCCATCCCTTTGCCCATCCTGCCCTAGGTCCGAGTGGAGTTCCCCCACAAGGAGACACTGTGCAGTGCGTCAAAGCCAGGAGCACCATCCCACCAGGTAGTGGTCGTGCCCCCCACCTCCTCCAAGATAGTACACTTTGTGCTTCTCCCTCTGGAGACAGGCAAAGTGGACGTGGAGGTCAAGGCTGTGGGCTACGGGGTCCAGGACCATGTGAAGAAGACACTCTTGGTCCGGGTAATGGGCACTCCCAACTCACTAGCTGCTGGTGCAGACAGCGGGGCTTCCACCAGGTCCAGGCTGGGCAGGTGGGCCCAGGATCGATAAGCAAGGCTCCTAGATGGGAGTGAGGTGAGAAAGAACAGATTTGAAAGTTCAGTCAGTTGGCTGGGCATGGTGGCTCAAGCCCGTAATCTCAGCAGTTTGGGAGACCAAGGTGGGTGGATCACCTGAGGGTAGGAGTTCGAGACCAGCCTGGCCAACATGGTGAAACTCCAACTCTGCTAAAAATACAAAAATTAGCTGGGCATGGTGGTGCACACCTGGAGTCCCAGCTACTCGGGAGGCTGAGGCAGGAGAATCGCTTAAACCTGGGAGGTGGAGGATGCAGTGAGCCAAGATTGCACCACTGCACTCTAGCCTGGGCAACAGAGCGAGACTCGGTCTCAAAAAAAAAAAAAAAAGAAAGAAAGAAAAGAAAAGAAAAAAAGAAGAAAAAAGTTTAGTCAGTGGACTGATGTGAGGGGGTCAGGTCACAAGCCCCCACTTGAGAGTTTTGGAGTCAGGCCTGGGTTCTAATCTTGTCTCTGCTGTGTGACCTTGGGCAACTTACTTAACTTCTCTGTTCTGAGCCTCCATTTCCTTGCTTGCAGGATGAGGATAATCATCATATCCCTGAATAAACATAGAGCTGGGAAAATGACCCAGAACCAGTGTATGGCCTATCAAAAACATTTTATTAGACTGGGCTTGGTGGCTCATGCCTATAATCCCAGCACTTTGGGAGGCCAAGGCAGGAAGATTGCTTGAGCCCACGAGTTTGAGATCAGCCTGGGCAATATAGCAAGACCTCTCTAGAAAAAAATTAAAAATTAGCCTGACATGGTGTTGTGCACCTGTAGTTGCAGTTACTCAGGAAGCTGAGGGAGGATTGCTTGAGCCCATGAGATTGAGCCTGAAGCTGAGATCACGCCACTGCACTCCAGCCTGGGCAACAGAGCAAGACCCTCTCTCTAAAAAACAAACAAAAAACTTTATTTGCTTAACAAACACATGTTTAACACTTAAGATATAAATGCTTAAGAATATTAACTCGGGCCAGGTGCGGTGGCTCACACCTGTAATCCCAGCACTTTGGGAGGCCAAGGCGGGCGGATCATGAGGTCAAGAGATCGAGACCATCCTGGCTAACATGTTGAAACCCCGTCTCTACTAAAAATACAAAAAATTAGCTGAGCGTGGTGGCGGGTGCCTGTAGTCCCAGCTACTCAGGAGGCTGAGGCAGGAGAATGGCATGAACCTGGGAGGTGGAGCTTGCAGTGAGCCGAGATAGTGCCACTGCAGTCCAGCCTGGGCAACAGAGCGAGACTCGGTCTCAAAAAAAAAAAAAATATTAACTCAGTCAGGTGTGGTGGCACCCCGCCCCCCCCCCCCCCCCCCGGTATTCCCAGCTATTTGGGAGGCTGAGGTGGGAGGATCATTTGAGCCTAGAAATTCGAGTCCAGCCTGGGCAACCTGAAGTTTTTTTTTCTCTGGAAAAAAAATTAACTAGGCCAGGCATGGTGGCTCATGCCTATAATCTCAGCACTTTGGGAGGCTGAAGCAGGTGAATCACTTGAGGCCAGGAGTCCAAGCCTGGCCAACATGGCAAAACCCTATTTCTACTAAAAATACAAAAATTAGCCTGTCTTGATGGTGTGCACCTATAATTCCAGCTACTCAGGAGGCTGAGGCATGAGAATCCCTTGAACCTGGGAGGTGGAGGCTGCAATGAGCTGAGATCGTGCTACTGCCTCCAGCCTGAGTGACAGAGTGAGACCCTATCTCAAAAAATAATAATAATAACTAATTCAGCCCTCCAAACAACCCTATGAGTGAGGGACTATTCTTATCCCCCTTTGATATATGAGAAAACTGAGGCAGAGAGAGGGTAACTAATTTTCCCAAGGACACACAGCTAGGAAGCAGAAGAGCTGGGATTCGAACCCAGGTATTTGGGCTCCAGAGTCTGTGCTTATCACAGCCAAGCAATGCCTCCTCTCACCATCACTGCGATTGTCATTCTGACTGTGATTGCTGTTTTTGCTTTTGACTTATATCCTCATCTCATCCCTCAGGCAGGGGTTCAGATCCAGCAAACGTCCTATAGCATCGTCCTGGAACCCCAAGGTTTGTGAGATCTGCAGGGGGCCTGTGAGATCCTGGGGCTGTGCTAGGGAGGAGGAAGCAGTTGGCATGAGGGGATATGCTCAGATAGGGATTCTGAGCCCCAGCCCCGGGCTCTGTGCACCCTGACTTCCCCAGCCCCAGAGCCCACTTGTCACAGAAGGTTGTGGTTATTCAGGTCAGACCCAGACAAAACTGGTGCCAAGACAGGAGTTCTTGAACATGGTACCCGACACGGAGGCGGAAGTGTTTATCAGTGTTCAAGGTGCTGGGGGACACAGGGACATGGGGAGGGCTGACGCTGGGTTCTCTAAGGTCCGTGAGGCACCAGAGCAGGAGGAGCCGTGTGGGGCGATCAGTAAACCACTGTGGCTTAAGCATAGGCCACTCCCAGGGTGACCCAACTCACCCACCTGACAGGTGACATCCTTGGTGAGACAATTGTGGGCAGCCTGACACCCAGTGAGATTCAGCAGCTGCTGCGGGTCCCCACGGGCTGCCCTGAGCAGACGCTGAGCTCCCTGACGCCCGTCATCATCCTGTCCCGCTATTTGGATACCACCGGCCAGTGGGGCAAGGTCGGGGTGGAGCACAGGGACCAGGTGATGAAGAATATTGTCAGCGGTGAGAGCGGGGACCCTCCTGGGGCCTCCAAGAGGGTGCCTGGGGATCTCCCGGAGGGTGGCTGGGGCACCCCCAGGATTGGGGAAATCTTCATGGGACCCCCCAGCCCCCGCCTCAGGCATTAACACCCAAACTATGACTCCTTCCCCAGACTACAACCTGATACCAATTCCCCAACGTCATCCCCCAGCTGTGACACACCCATGGGAATTCTTCACCTGACCACTTTCCCAGGCTTTAATCTTTTTTTTTTTTTTTTTTTTTTTGCAATGGAGTTTCATTCTGTCACCCAGGCTGAAGTGCACTGGTGTGATCTTGGCTCACCGCAACCTCCGCCTCCCAGGTTCAAGCCATTCTGCGGCCTCAGCCTCCCGAGTAACTGGGATTACAGGTGCCCGCCACCATGTCTGGCTAATTTTTGTATTTTTACTTTTATTTATTTATTTATTTTGAGACGGACTCTCACTCTGTCACCCAAGCTGGAGTGTAGTGGCACAGTTTCGGCTCACTGCAACCTCCGCCTCCTGAGTTCAAGTGATTCTCCTGCCTCAGCCTCCTGCGTAGCTGGGATTACAGGTGCCCGCCACCACACTCAGCTAATTTTTGGATTTTTAGTACAGATGGGGTTTTGCCATGTTGGCCAAGCTGCTCTAGAACTCCTGACCTCAGGTGATCCACCTGCCTTGGCCTCCCTAAGTGCTGGGATTACAGGTGTGAGCCACCGCGCCAGACCTCCAGGCTTCAGTCTTATGACAGACACCCTGATTTCTCCCAAAAAGCCATCCTGCGAGAGGATGTTATACTCAGGCCCTGCCCCAGGTTACACCCCCTCAGTGCCACTCCCAGGGAACCCTAGGGAACACCCAAGCAGCAAACCCCAGAATAACCCCAGGCAGTGGGCTCTTGGTTGCACCTGTATGCTGATACTTCCCCAGGTTACAACCACACACCCTAGGGAGCAACCAGAGATGAACACCCCTAGTAACACCCATAGACCTCTGAGTTAATTGGTCCCAGGTTACCCTCAGACTCCAACTTTCCCTCCAGGTTTTCTCAAGCAGTAATCCCACAGGTAATGTCCAGATACTGTCACCCCAATGCTCCAAGCAAACAGTAAACCTCCAGGGGAACTTCAAGTAATACCCGAGTAGCGAGGCTCAGAATACACCTGAAAGGCTGGGTGTGGTGGCTCACGCCTGTAATACCAGCACTTTGGGAGGCCAGGGCAGGAGGATCACTTGAGCCCAGGAGTTTGAGATCAGCCTGGGCAACATAGTGAGACCCCCATCTGTACAAAAAATTTAAAAATTGGCTAGATATGGTGGTTCACGCCTGCAGTCTCAGCTACTCAGGAGCCTGAATGGGAGGATTGCTTGAGCCCCAGAGTTTGAGACTAGCCCGGGCAACATAGTGAGACTTCATCTCTAAAAAAATTAGCCTGGTGTGGTGGCACATGCCTGTAGTCCCAGCTACTTGGGAGGCTGAGGTGGGAGGATAGCTTGACCAGGGAAGGGCGAGGCTTCAGTGAGCTATGATTGTACCACTGCACTCCAGCCTGGGTGACAGAGTGAGACCCAGTCTCAAAAAAATAAAAATAAATAAAAAGAGGGCCGGGCATGGTGGCTCACACCTGTAATCCCAGCACTTTCGGAGACCGAGGCAGGTGGATCACCTGAGGTCAGGAGTTAGAGACCACCCTGGCCAACATGGTGAAACCCAGTCTCTACTAAAAATACAAAAATTAGCCAGGTGTGGTGACGCATGCCTGTAATCCCAGCTACTCAGGAGGCTGAAGCTGGAAAATTGCTTGAACCCGGGAGGCGGAGGTTGCAGTGAGCCGAGATCACACTACTGCACTCCAGCCTGGGCGATAGAGCAAGACTCCGTCTCAAAAAAAAATAAAAGAAAACTCCCACGTAGCACCCCTCAAGTTGCCCCATCTCCCAGGTTGCATGTGGACAACAACACCTTCTATGATTTCTTCCAGCAGCAACTCCAAGGGTAGCATGCCCTGCTCCAGAGACCCTGAGGTGAAGGTTTCCTGGGTTACACCCAGAGACAACTGCATCCTGGGTCCCTCAAAGTCATTCCTGAGCCCTGCTCCTCACTTACATCTGGGCCCTAAACACCCCTCCAAAGTACACCTGGACAACAGGTCTCCCCTTCTAGATTACCTGTATGTGTGACACCCCCGTGTCACCTCTAGTCCCTGCCCGCCAGGTTATTCCTGATAACACTGACTGTCCCTCAAAGCCCTGCTCTGTTTCCCCAGGCTACACTCAGATGCTGACCCACCGGAGTTCAGACGGCACCTACCACACCTCCAAGGGGAACCCAGGAAGCACTTGGTGAGGATGACCCTATCTCTCCTGCCACTGCCACCCTGGAAGCCCAAGGGTCCAGCCTGGGGTCTGATGACCCAGGAGCACCCACGCTGTAGAGTCATGGGGTCTTGGGGTGTCCAGCGCACGGCCCTGGGGCATTCTACACTGGCAGACCTGGGCAGCGGCGAATGACAGGGGTCCACCTGGAATGGTGTGGACCATGGTGTAGACTCCCCTATCCCAGAGCCCCCTTGACTGCGGTTCGCAGGTGTCACTTTTGCCCTCTCCTGACAGGCTCACAAGCTATGTGTTCCGCGTCTTTGCCCTGGCCTACTCTATGATGACGACCCAAGTGCTTAGCCTGTCCTCTCTCTGTGACATGGCCAACTGGATCATCATCGACAGGCAGGCAGAGGATGGGCACTTCCTGGAGAAGGGCCCTGTGGTCATGACATCCATGCAGGTGATCACAGCCCTCCCTGCCTGGGCCATTCAAACAAATCCGAGGGACTCTGTGCACTAAGAGGGGGATTTCAGGCTCCCAATCTGTTCTCGGGCAGAATGAGAACAGGAAAGAGCTGAGGCTCAGCGCCAAGGATCACATCCCCCCCGGTCTGAACCACCTCATACTCTGTTAGAATGTGGGTGAGGCTGGGCATATCTGGGAACCCATCTCTTCTTCATCCCCACATCAAGCAGTGGCTCGCCCTGGCCCTCCTCCCTCAGGAACTGAGTCCTCCCCAGCTTGCATACCCATCCCCACCAAGAGTCCCCTCACACCAGCGTCCAGAAATGTCTTTCAAATGCAGCCTGGCAGGTCTCTCCCCTGTTCAAACACCTGCTGTGGCTCACAGCTATCTTTGTCTGTATCACCTCCTAGGCCTCACCTCACCCCTCCCTTCTCACTATTCACACTTAACCACTCACGGGCTCCTCCAACTCTCCTCCAAAAAGCGCTTTTGCTGCCCTCTCTGCATGCACCAGGCCAAATTATTATTATTATTAATTTTGAGACAGAGTTCCACTCTGTCACCCAGACTGGAATGAAGTGGCATGATCTCAACTACTGCAACCTCCATCTCCTGGGTTCAAGCGATTCTTATGCCTCAGCCACCCGAGTAGCTGAGATTACAGGCATTTGCCACCACATCCAGCTAATTTTTACATTTTTGTTTTAGTAGCTGGGGTTTCACCATGTTGTCCAGGCTGGTCTCAAACTCCTGGCCTCAAGTGATCTGCCCACCTCGGCCTCCCAAAGTTCTGGGATTACAGACATGAGCCACGGCTGGAGTGCAGTAGCATGATCTCGGCTCACTGCAACCTCTGCCTCCTGGGTTCAGCCTATTGTTATTATTTTTAGGGACAGGATCTTGCTCTGTCGCCCAGGCTGGAATGCAGTAGCTTAATCATGGCTCATTACAGCCTCAAACTTCTGAGCTCAAGAGATCTCCCTGCCTTAGCCTCCTCAGTGGCTGGGACTACAGATGCACACCACCATTCCTGGCTAATTTTTTTTTTTTTTTTTTGAGATGGAGTCTTGCTCTGTTGCCCAGGCTGGAGTGCAATGGCGCAATCTCGGCTCACTGCAACCTCTGCCTCCCGGGTTCAAGTGATTCTCCTGCCTCAGCTCCCCAAGTAGTTGGGACTACAGGCACACACCACCATGCCCGGCTAATTTTTGTAGTTTTAATAGAGATGGGGTTTCACCATGTTGACCAGGCTGGTCTTGAACTCCTGACCTCAGGTGATCTGCCCATCTTGGCCTCCCAAAGTGCTGGGATTACAGGCATGAGCCATCACCCCTAGCACTGACATGATCTTCTTTTTTTTTGAGACGGAGTCTTGCTCTGTCGCCCAGGCTGCAGTACAGTAGCACGATCTCAGCTCACTGCAACCTCCGCCTCCTGGGTTTGAGCGATTCTTCTGCCTCAGCCTCCTGAGTAACTGGGACTACAGGCAAGTGCCACCATGTCCAGCTACTTTTTGTATTTTTAGTAGAGACAGGGTTTCACCATATTGGCCAGGCTGGTCTCGAACTCCTGACCTCGTGATCCATCCCCCCACCCCCCCGGAACCCCGCCCCTTGGCCTCCCAAAGTGCTGGGATTACAGGTGTGAACCACAGCACCCGGATTTTTTTTTTTTTTTTTTGAAACAGAGTCTTGCTCTGTCGCCCAGGCTAGAGTGCAGTGATGCAATCTCAGCTCACTGCAACCTCCGCCTCCCAAGTTCAAGCGATTCTTCTGCCTCAGCCTCCCGAGTAGCTGGAACTACAGGCTTGTGCCACCACGCCCAGCTAATTTTTTGTATTTTTAGTAGAGATGGGGCTTCATCCTGTTAGCCAGGATGGTCTCGATGTCCTGACCTCATGATCCACCCGCCTCAGCCTCCCAAAGTGCTGGGATTACAGACGTGAGCCACCACGCCCAGCCGACATGACCTTATAAGGACACCAGTTATTAGACTTAGGGTCCACCCTAATCCAGTATGACCTTTTCTTAATTTTAATTACATCCTCAAAGACCCAATTTCCAAATAAGATCACATCTTGAGGTCCCAGGTGAACATGAATTTTGGGGTCACTATTCAAGTCCAGAGAGGGGAAGAGGGTGGAAGCCAGGGTACTAAAGTGGTGTTTGGACCCTGAGTTGGCCATTTTCTAGCAATGGGAAGACTTTGCCACTCTGACCTCTGTTTTCTCATCAGTAAAATGGGGCTGCTGCTAGAATGCTCTGAGATGGTCTACAGAGCTCAGCTTCTTGTGTTGATAGCTTTTTGTTTGTTTATTTGTTTTGTTTTGTTGTTTTTGAGACAGTCTCGCTCTGTCGTCCAGGCTGGAATGCAACGGTGTGATCTCAGCTCACTGCAACTTCTGCTTCCCGGGTTCAAGCGATTCTCCTGCCTCAGCCTCCCCAGTAACTGGGCTTACAGGCACCCACATCATGCCCAGCTAATTTTTGTATTTTTGTAGGGACAGGGTTTCACCATGTTGGCCAGGCTGGTCTCAAACTCCTGACCTCTGGTGATCCTCCTGCCACGGCCTCCCAAAGTGCTGGGATTATAGGCATGAGCCACTGCGCCTGGCCGATATCTTTTGTTAGTAGGGCAGACCCCAGGGAGGCAAACCTCTCCTCTCTGTCTTCATCCCACCTCCACCATCATCCAGCCCAGAGCTGGGTACCTGGAAACTTCTCAGGGTCAGACAGGAGAGGCTGAGGAAGGCATCTCCAAGACGCTGAGGGAATCACAGATGGAACTCTGCATCCACAGGATGGCTACCAAGGCTCCGAGGAGGATGTATCCCTCACAGCTCTTGTCCTAATAGCCCTGAATGAGGGAAAGGAGTTGTGCAGACAGAAGGTAGGACCCCAGAGAGGAGGGCAGGATCTGTAAGGTCCTCTAGCCCCAGCATCTGGAAAGCTCCCCCACCCTCACATCCCTCTGGGTCCCTCTAACTCCCAGACTTCTTTCCTCTGATCATCTCCCTCTGGCCCCTCCCTCTGGCCCTCTAGAATTTGATGGCCAGCATCGAGAGAGCCCGTGGCTTCCTGGAGAGAAAACTTCCCGACATTCAGACAACCTTTGCCGTAGCCATAGCCTCCTATGCACTGGCCCTTGCCAACAGCTCCCAAGCCAACGACTGCCTGGACAGCTTTGCCAGCCCTAGTGGGTGTGGGATGCTTCTTAATCAACCTCAGTCATGGAGTGGGGAGGGGGTGATCTCAAATCCAGCAATGTGTTATTCATCACTTAGTGTTTCCTGAGCATCCACTGTGTATCACCTCCTGAGCTCAGACCCTGTGAGACCAAGGTGAGCAACACTGGTAAGTTCCCTGCCCTCAAGGGTCCCACCGTCCTTGGAAGAGACAATCAGAAGGTCACTATATAATTCCAAACTGAGGCTTGGAGCAGCGGCTCACGCCTGTAATCCCAGTACTTTGGGAAGCCGAGGCAGGTGGATCACCCTTGGTCAGGAGCTCGAAACAAGCCTGGCCAACATGGTGAAACCTCGTCTCTATTAAAAATGTAAAAATTAGCTGGGCGTGGTGGTGGGTGCCTGTAATCCCAGCTACTTGGGAGGCTGAGGCAGGAGAATCGCTTGAAGCCAGGAGGCAGAGGTTGCAGTGAGCCAAGATCACACCACTGCACTCCACCCTGGGTGACAGAGGGAGGCTCTATCTCAAAATAATAATAATAATTCCAAAATGAGACAAGCACTGAGATGATAACACACAAGGTGGGTGGGAGAGATGGCAAGGGGAGGGGAGTACAGGTTGGAGGGCTGAGATGAAAGATGGAAAGACATACCTGCTAGGTGTGATGGCTCATGCCTGTAATCCCAGCTACTTGGGAGTCTGAGACAGGAGGATTTCTTGAGGCCAGGAGCTCGAGACCAATCTGGGCAACATAGTGAGACCCCATCTATAAAAAAAGTTTGCAATTAGCTGGGTGTGGTGGTGCGCACCTGTAGTCCCAGCTAGTAGGGAGGCTGAGGCAGGAGGATCACTTGAGTCCAGAAAGCCAAGGCTGCAGTGAGCTGTGATCATCCCACTGCACTCCAGCCTGGGCAATAGACCAAGACTCTGTCTCTATTAAAAAAAAATAAAAAAATAAAAAATAAAAAATAGAAACTTTTTTTTTTGGGACGGAGTCTGGCTCTGTTGCTCAGGCTGGAGTGCAGTGGCACGATCTTGGCTCACTGC